>NC_000023.11:120929381-130929381 GCF_000001405.40 Homo sapiens
GATCACACCAACCTTGTCTGCCTAGCACTAGAAAAGCTTGTTGCTTTTGTTTTTACATGAGGGGCCATTCTGGGATTTAAATAAATCTCTCAAGCTTCAACAGCCTGTGCTGGTTCCACAAATAATACTCCCTTACCCTCCCAGACCCTTGGTTTCCGTATCTACCATGTGGGAAAGAAGCCGTTACGAAATATACGGCTGTGAAAATGCAAAATAAATAAATAAATAAGAAAGAAAGAAAAATGTTAACCATTTAAATACACTCAAAGATGGATATACCTTAAGACTTCATTACCAATTCAGTGATAAACACACATTCTTTTCATCTGACTGTGACATAAAATACCAAAATATATAGCCAAATAAATATCTAGGTATTAACCATTCATTGTGGTCCTACTTGAAATTCTTAGCTTTTTGCTATTTTTAAGTAGTCACTTTGTAAAAGGCATTGAGTTGTCTCCTAGTTACTACGGGAGCCTGCATTTCTGTGGTCAAGTAACGAAGGCCCAACTAATGCGTGGCCCAGCCAAGTTAGCGGCTGTGTCTGGCAACTGTTTTCTACACAAATATTGGTCCTGGTAGTAGGTCTGATACATCTGCCACTTGTTAGTAGTCTTGCAGCTAGAGGACAAAAGACCTCAACATGAACAAATGAGTAGCCGAGAAGTATATTTCAGAACACACTGCAGTTCATATTACTAGGTACATGAATATTCTCGTAACATTTTAAGTAAGTTAAATTGAATTTTTAAACTAATTTTAAACTTTTTCTTACTTAACTTACTGAGAATTTTTGTTGTTGTTCAATAAAACTGTCTGCAACAGGTAAATGCCAGGAATAGTTGAGTGATTCTCAAAGCTATACACAGATACCTGGATTTTCTTGGCTTCACCTCTGCTGCGTCTAGGTCCCTTTGGAGTTCTTCACCTTGTTTTCCGCATCCTTCTCTTTTTCTTGTTCTTTCTCTTCCTCGCCTGCAGCATCTTGGGCCTCTTCATCCCACTTTTCGGGCTGAGATTTAGTGACTTCTTTAGGGAAGAATAATACACACATGGGGACCAGACATTCACAGAAAATATAGCCCAATTTATAACTAGCAGCGGCATTCAGCTACTCCACCCTCAGGAGAAGCAGGATAGAGTTAAGTAAGAAAGGAATAGCTGGGCACCTTCCTACTGGTTTTCACAACAGTTCCATGGCCCTCACGTTGCTGCTGCTTGATCATTTCCACAGGGACACTGTATTTCCCTTTTTTCCAGTAAATCTCCCACCCAAAGCGGCTGATTATTTCTAGTTCTTTGGAGAAGAAGAGATCTGAATCATCGGGTCCGATCTCATTCTACGGTGTTTTGGTCAGAACTTTGTTGGGAAAATATTTGTTTACCTCAAAAGACAAATTCTATGGTGAAGCTCATTGGTTCCTCACCCCCCCGAATGCTTCATTTTTACCAAGTGCTCCTGCATCACTTCATCATTTGGGGGATCAACTTTCTACGAATCTTTACACTTTGAAAAGCCATGAACTAAAAGGGATGCCTGCCATTTGCCTGTTCTTTTCCTTGGCGCATCCCTTCTGTTTCCTGCGGAGCTCCCTCCTGAACCCCTATCTACCCGGCCATTCATCTGCGGGCTCACAAATGGCACCGATGATCTCAGATCTCCTATCAAATATAGGTTGGTAGAGGGCGACAAGTTTTCTCAAAACCACAGATGTCGTTAGAGAATTGGGCTTCGACTCATTGGGACACATTCTGCCTTAAGTTTCAGGAGGGCCCCGACTCCTGCTTCACCACCCGAGGCCCCGACCCCCCTTCACCACCCGCTTCACCAGCTATGCCCGCACCGCGGCCCTGCCTAGAACCCTGGGACACACGGGTCCCCGCCTCCCCGCTGCTGCCGCTAGCCCGTTCCTTACCCTCTGGGGCCGTGGCCTCCTGTGCGGTCGGTTCTTCTGTGGCCGGTTCCTCTGCGTCTGGTTCCTCTGTGGCCTCCTCTGAGAGCTTCTCCTCTGCGGCCTCCTCCGCGGGCTCCCTGGCCATCTCGGCCAGGTCAGCTGGCACTGCAGGCTCTGGGACCGATGCGGCCTCCTGGATCAGGCCCAGGCCCTCGCCCGCCCGGGCTGCGGCCCCTGCACCCAGCCTCTGGGGCAGCAGCAGCGGGGGGAGGTTGCCCCAGAGGTTGCGCGCAGCAGCGTGTGGCCCCACCATCAGGCGGCTGAGTTGACGGTTCTCTATGAGGATGTGGTCGTTGTGAGAGAGGCGGTGGAGAAGGGAGTGGACCATGTCCAGGAGCACGAAGTGAATGCCCGACGCCGGGTAGCGACGGGCGACCACCGCCAAGTCGAAGTTGGCCGCCTCGTTCCCCTCTTCCTCCTCCTCTTCCTCCGTCGCGGGCCCGATATCTGAGTCCTCCTCGGCGCTCCCGCCCCGGGGGACTGCGGCCAGGCCTGCCGCCTGCTCACCCTCCTCCTCCCCGAGGCCTTCCACGGGCCCTGCGACTCCGACCACCTCGGCCGCAGGCACCACGTCGCTGCTGTCGGGGCCGGAGTCGCCGCCCTCCTGGTTACCAGCTCCGGCCGCCTCGGCCTGTGCTCCCTCCTGGCTTACCGGGGCCTCCTGGTCCCCTTGGGTCGGGTGTCGGTCCCCTGTGGCAGACATGACACCAGCAGCGCCTCAACTGGGGTGGCGAGCGGGCTGAGGCGACCACGGTGAAGACGGTGACCACTGAGGTGGCTACGGCCGAGGGGAGGCGAGGAGCTGGCCGCTGAGGGAATAAGAGTCTCTCTCTTTATTGAGGGAATAAGAGTCTGTCTCAGACGACACCCTAAGATGGGAAGGGCAGGGAGCGAATCCTAGAAACCTCCCACCAAGGCTGGCCTGAGAGGACTTAGACAAGTTGGGAAAGATTCTGGTTGGCAGGCGAAAGGGGGCGGGACCGGAAGGGTCAACGAGGGGCTCTCAGTGAGCCCTAAGCTCATTTGCTGAAAACTTCAGATTGACATGTTCTATGTCCAATGAATGATCAAGGCCCTTAAGCTCTAGAACTGAGAATCCAGAATCCAGAGCTTTTTCTTTTCTTTTCATAGTGTTGCTCTGTTGCCCAGGCTGGAGTGCAGTGGCAAGATCTCGGCTCACTGCAATCCCCGCCTCCTGGGTTCCAGTGATTCTCCTGCCTCAGCCTCCTGAGTAGCTGGGACTACAGGTACATGCCACCACGCCTGGCTAGGTTTTGTATTTTTAGTAGAGACAGGGTTTCACCATGTTGGCCAGGATGGTCTCGATCTCCTGACCTTGTGATCCACCTGCCTCAGCCTCCCAAAGTGCTTGGATTACAGGCATGAGCCACCGTGCCAGGCCGAGCTCTACCTTTTCTATGAGGCCTTAGTGTCCAAGGCTACCCCTTTAGGTCCACACAAGTCCTGCCCTTTTAATTTTATGATTATTAGCAACACTATAGTAGTCCCATGTGGAGGCACCCTGGAGCATGGGAACTGCAAGGCGGTCACAGAGTTCACTTATTTCCACCTAGTAATGGCTCATGCCAGTAGAGATAGTGTCATAAAAATGTTATATAGTTCATAGCTAAGCAGTAGTGAAAACCTCCCAAGAGACATAAGAATTTCACTGAGTTAACGTAGTTAAAGCTACTTAGAAAAGAATGTGCAGAGTTGAAATGGATGCAGTCATCACTGAGTGTTGAGGTGGTAAATGACAGACACTGGAAGGTGTTTAATGAATCCTGCCAAATTCACTTCAAACCTCCAAATAATGGGGAAAAAAAGAGATACTTTTTTTAAAAGGACCAGGTCATCTCATAAGAGCTAAGCATCAAAAACACCAAAAGTGCCTGGGGGTGGTGGCTCACGCCTGTAATCCAGCACTTTGGGAGGCCGCACTTTGGGAGGCCGAGGCAGGCAGATCACCTGAGGTCAGTAGTTCGAGACCAGCATGACCAATATGGTAAAACCCTGTCTGTACTAAAAATACAAAAAATTAGCTGGACATGGTGGTGCGCGCCTGTAGTCCCAGCTACTCGGAAGGGTGAGGCAGGAAATTTGCTGGAGCCTGGGAGGTGGAGGTTGCAGTGAGCCAAGATGGCCCCACTGCACTCCAGCCTGGGTGACAGAGCGAGACTCAGTTTCAAAAAAAAAAAAAAAAAATTAGTAATATATGCAATATTATTTTCACACTTGCATCACATATTAAATCAGACTAGCCGTATTACAAGTGCTCAGTAGTCACAACACACAGCTCTAAAGATGAGCCCCATCTCTCTCTTTTCAAAAATTGTTTTAAACTTGTCATTTTACTTGATTTTTGGCTGCAGTGAAAGAATTTCAAAGAGTCTTACCAAATGGCGGAAAGTAATATCTTTCAATGAAGGTATGGTGGGCCAAAACAAAGACGTAAAGGAGAGATTTGAGTTAAGATTACTTATTGAAAAATCTTCCCACGTTTCAGTTTATTCATTTAAAACAAACTTTTATTTTTTAACTTGAACACTGTCACATACATCCATGAAAGTTAGATGTCACTGGATATCACTTTTGATGTAACGAACTTTGGAATGATATGTGTTACAATTCCCACAGGCATCTGGAGAAAAAGATAAAAACAATGAACAACAGAGTCTTCTTTCTTTTCCTCCCAACTGTGGGATGAAATGAGAGATGATAAACAATAGTACAACATTAACCAGCACCAGTGACTTTCTAAATAGAAGAAAATGGCCAGCTCTGTGTATATCTGCAACATTTGTGTGCTATATCTTAAACAAGTAGAGAAGCCCATCTTTTCCTTTTGTAACTCACGAGCTTGGATATCAGGGTGCTTGTGGAACTGAAGGTTTCAGTCAAATGATCACACCAACCTTGTCTGCCTAGCACTAGAAAAGCTTGTTGCTTTTGTTTTTACATGAGGGGCCATTCTGGGATTTAAATAAATCTCTCAAGCTTCAACAGCCTGTGCTGGTTCCACAAATAATACTCCCTTACCCTCCCAGACCCTTGGTTTCCGTATCTACCATGTGGGAAAGAAGCCGTTACGAAATATACGGCTGTGAAAATGCAAAATAAATAAATAAATAAGAAAGAAAGAAAAATGTTAACCATTTAAATACACTCAAAGATGGATATACCTTAAGACTTCATTACCAATTCAGTGATAAACACACATTCTTTTCATCTGACTGTGACATAAAATACCAAAATATATAGCCAAATAAATATCTAGGTATTAACCATTCATTGTGGTCCTACTTGAAATTCTTAGCTTTTTGCTATTTTTAAGTAGTCACTTTGTAAAAGGCATTGAGTTGTCTCCTAGTTACTACGGGAGCCTGCATTTCTGTGGTCAAGTAACGAAGGCCCAACTAATGCGTGGCCCAGCCAAGTTAGCGGCTGTGTCTGGCAACTGTTTTCTACACAAATATTGGTCCTGGTAGTAGGTCTGATACATCTGCCACTTGTTAGTAGTCTTGCAGCTAGAGGACAAAAGACCTCAACATGAACAAATGAGTAGCCAAGAAGTATATTTCAGAACACACTGCAGTTCATATTACTAGGTACATGAATATTCTCGTAACATTTTAAGTAAGTTAAATTGAATTTTTAAACTAATTTTAAACTTTTTCTTACTTAACTTACTGAGAATTTTTGTTGTTGTTCAATAAAACTGTCTGCAACAGGTAAATGCCAGGAATAGTTGAGTGATTCTCAAAGCTATACACAGATACCTGGATTTTCTTGGCTTCACCTCTGCTGCGTCTAGGTCCCTTTGGAGTTCTTCACCTTGTTTTCCGCATCCTTCTCTTTTTCTTGTTCTTTCTCTTCCTCGCCTGCAGCATCTTGGGCCTCTTCATCCCACTTTTCGGGCTGAGATTTAGTGACTTCTTTAGGGAAGAATAATACACGCATGGGGACCAGACATTCACAGAAAATATAGCCCAATTTATAACTAGCAGCGGCATTCAGCTACTCCACCCTCAGGAGAAGCAGGATAGAGTTAAGTAAGAAAGGAATAGCTGGGCACCTTCCTACTGGTTTTCACAACAGTTCCATGGCCCTCACGTTGCTGCTGCTTGATCATTTCCACAGGGACACTGTATTTCCCTTTTTTCCAGTAAATCTCCCACCCAAAGCGGCTGATTATTTCTAGTTCTTTGGAGAAGAAGAGATCTGAATCATCGGGTCCGATCTCATTCTACGGTGTTTTGGTCAGAACTTTGTTGGGAAAATATTTGTTTACCTCAAAAGACAAATTCTATGGTGAAGCTCATTGGTTCCTCACCCCCCCGAATGCTTCATTTTTACCAAGTGCTCCTGCATCACTTCATCATTTGGGGGATCAACTTTCTACGAATCTTTACACTTTGAAAAGCCATGAACTAAAAGGGATGCCTGCCAT
This sequence comes from Homo sapiens, assembly GCF_000001405.40. NCBI lineage: Eukaryota > Metazoa > Chordata > Mammalia > Primates > Hominidae > Homo > Homo sapiens. Next base: position 120,935,790 of record NC_000023.11, read on the forward strand.
TTGCCTGTTCTTTTCCTTGGCGCATCCCTTCTGTTTCCTGCGGAGCTCCCTCCTGAACCCCTATCTACCCGGCCATTCATCTGCGGGCTCACAAATGGCACCGATGATCTCAGATCTCCTATCAAATATAGGTTGGTAGAGGGCGACAAGTTTTCTCAAAACCACAGATGTCGTTAGAGAATTGGGCTTCGACTCATTGGGACACATTCTGCCTTAAGTTTCAGGAGGGCCCCGACTCCTGCTTCACCACCCGAGGCCCCGACCCCCCTTCACCACCCGCTTCACCAGCTATGCCCGCACCGCGGCCCTGCCTAGAACCCTGGGACACACGGGTCCCCGCCTCCCCGCTGCTGCCGCTAGCCCGTTCCTTACCCTCTGGGGCCGTGGCCTCCTGTGCGGTCGGTTCTTCTGTGGCCGGTTCCTCTGCGTCTGGTTCCTCTGTGGCCTCCTCTGAGAGCTTCTCCTCTGCGGCCTCCTCCGCGGGCTCCCTGGCCATCTCGGCCAGGTCAGCTGGCACTGCAGGCTCTGGGACCGATGCGGCCTCCTGGATCAGGCCCAGGCCCTCGCCCGCCCGGGCTGCGGCCCCTGCACCCAGCCTCTGGGGCAGCAGCAGCGGGGGGAGGTTGCCCCAGAGGTTGCGCGCAGCAGCGTGTGGCCCCACCATCAGGCGGCTGAGTTGACGGTTCTCTATGAGGATGTGGTCGTTGTGAGAGAGGCGGTGGAGAAGGGAGTGGACCATGTCCAGGAGCACGAAGTGAATGCCCGACGCCGGGTAGCGACGGGCGACCACCGCCAAGTCGAAGTTGGCCGCCTCGTTCCCCTCTTCCTCCTCCTCTTCCTCCGTCGCGGGCCCGATATCTGAGTCCTCCTCGGCGCTCCCGCCCCGGGGGACTGCGGCCAGGCCTGCCGCCTGCTCACCCTCCTCCTCCCCGAGGCCTTCCACGGGCCCTGCGACTCCGACCACCTCGGCCGCAGGCACCACGTCGCTGCTGTCGGGGCCGGAGTCGCCGCCCTCCTGGTTACCAGCTCCGGCCGCCTCGGCCTGTGCTCCCTCCTGGCTTACCGGGGCCTCCTGGTCCCCTTGGGTCGGGTGTCGGTCCCCTGTGGCAGACATGACACCAGCAGCGCCTCAACTGGGGTGGCGAGCGGGCTGAGGCGACCACGGTGAAGACGGTGACCACTGAGGTGGCTACGGCCGAGGGGAGGCGAGGAGCTGGCCGCTGAGGGAATAAGAGTCTCTCTCTTTATTGAGGGAATAAGAGTCTGTCTCAGACGACACCCTAAGATGGGAAGGGCAGGGAGCGAATCCTAGAAACCTCCCACCAAGGCTGGCCTGAGAGGACTTAGACAAGTTGGGAAAGATTCTGGTTGGCAGGCGAAAGGGGGCGGGACCGGAAGGGTCAACGAGGGGCTCTCAGTGAGCCCTAAGCTCATTTGCTGAAAACTTCAGATTGACATGTTCTATGTCCAATGAATGATCAAGGCCCTTAAGCTCTAGAACTGAGAATCCAGAATCCAGAGCTTTTTCTTTTCTTTTCATAGTGTTGCTCTGTTGCCCAGGCTGGAGTGCAGTGGCAAGATCTCGGCTCACTGCAATCCCCGCCTCCTGGGTTCCAGTGATTCTCCTGCCTCAGCCTCCTGAGTAGCTGGGACTACAGGTACATGCCACCACGCCTGGCTAGGTTTTGTATTTTTAGTAGAGACAGGGTTTCACCATGTTGGCCAGGATGGTCTCGATCTCCTGACCTTGTGATCCACCTGCCTCAGCCTCCCAAAGTGCTTGGATTACAGGCATGAGCCACCGTGCCAGGCCGAGCTCTACCTTTTCTATGAGGCCTTAGTGTCCAAGGCTACCCCTTTAGGTCCACACAAGTCCTGCCCTTTTAATTTTATGATTATTAGCAACACTATAGTAGTCCCATGTGGAGGCACCCTGGAGCATGGGAACTGCAAGGCGGTCACAGAGTTCACTTATTTCCACCTAGTAATGGCTCATGCCAGTAGAGATAGTGTCATAAAAATGTTATATAGTTCATAGCTAAGCAGTAGTGAAAACCTCCCAAGAGACATAAGAATTTCACTGAGTTAACGTAGTTAAAGCTACTTAGAAAAGAATGTGCGGAGTTGAAATGGATGCAGTCATCACTGAGTGTTGAGGTGGTAAATGACAGACACTGGAAGGTGTTTAATGAATCCTGCCAAATTCACTTCAAACCTCCAAATAATGGGGAAAAAAAGAGATACTTTTTTTAAAAGGACCAGGTCATCTCATAAGAGCTAAGCATCAAAAACACCAAAAGTGCCTGGGGGTGGTGGCTCACGCCTGTAATCCAGCACTTTGGGAGGCCGCACTTTGGGAGGCCGAGGCAGGCAGATCACCTGAGGTCAGTAGTTCGAGACCAGCATGACCAATATGGTAAAACCCTGTCTGTACTAAAAATACAAAAAATTAGCTGGACATGGTGGTGCGCGCCTGTAGTCCCAGCTACTCGGAAGGGTGAGGCAGGAAATTTGCTGGAGCCTGGGAGGTGGAGGTTGCAGTGAGCCAAGATGGCCCCACTGCACTCCAGCCTGGGTGACAGAGCGAGACTCAGTTTCAAAAAAAAAAAAAAAAAATTAGTAATATATGCAATATTATTTTCACACTTGCATCACATATTAAATCAGACTAGCCGTATTACAAGTGCTCAGTAGTCACAACACACAGCTCTAAAGATGAGCCCCATCTCTCTCTTTTCAAAAATTGTTTTAAACTTGTCATTTTACTTGATTTTTGGCTGCAGTGAAAGAATTTCAAAGAGTCTTACCAAATGGCGGAAAGTAATATCTTTCAATGAAGGTATGGTGGGCCAAAACAAAGACGTAAAGGAGAGATTTGAGTTAAGATTACTTATTGAAAAATCTTCCCACGTTTCAGTTTATTCATTTAAAACAAACTTTTATTTTTTAACTTGAACACTGTCACATACATCCATGAAAGTTAGATGTCACTGGATATCACTTTTGATGTAACGAACTTTGGAATGATATGTGTTACAATTCCCACAGGCATCTGGAGAAAAAGATAAAAACAATGAACAACAGAGTCTTCTTTCTTTTCCTCCCAACTGTGGGATGAAATGAGAGATGATAAACAATAGTACAACATTAACCAGCACCAGTGACTTTCTAAATAGAAGAAAATGGCCAGCTCTGTGTATATCTGCAACATTTGTGTGCTATATCTTAAACAAGTAGAGAAGCCCATCTTTTCCTTTTGTAACTCACGAGCTTGGATATCAGGGTGCTTGTGGAACTGAAGGTTTCAGTCAAATGATCACACCAACCTTGTCTGCCTAGCACTAGAAAAGCTTGTTGCTTTTGTTTTTACATGAGGGGCCATTCTGGGATTTAAATAAATCTCTCAAGCTTCAACAGCCTGTGCTGGTTCCACAAATAATACTCCCTTACCCTCCCAGACCCTTGGTTTCCGTATCTACCATGTGGGAAAGAAGCCGTTACGAAATATACGGCTGTGAAAATGCAAAATAAATAAATAAATAAGAAAGAAAGAAAAATGTTAACCATTTAAATACACTCAAAGATGGATATACCTTAAGACTTCATTACCAATTCAGTGATAAACACACATTCTTTTCATCTGACTGTGACATAAAATACCAAAATATATAGCCAAATAAATATCTAGGTATTAACCATTCATTGTGGTCCTACTTGAAATTCTTAGCTTTTTGCTATTTTTAAGTAGTCACTTTGTAAAAGGCATTGAGTTGTCTCCTAGTTACTACGGGAGCCTGCATTTCTGTGGTCAAGTAACGAAGGCCCAACTAATGCGTGGCCCAGCCAAGTTAGCGGCTGTGTCTGGCAACTGTTTTCTACACAAATATTGGTCCTGGTAGTAGGTCTGATACATCTGCCACTTGTTAGTAGTCTTGCAGCTAGAGGACAAAAGACCTCAACATGAACAAATGAGTAGCCGAGAAGTATATTTCAGAACACACTGCAGTTCATATTACTAGGTACATGAATATTCTCGTAACATTTTAAGTAAGTTAAATTGAATTTTTAAACTAATTTTAAACTTTTTCTTACTTAACTTACTGAGAATTTTTGTTGTTGTTCAATAAAACTGTCTGCAACAGGTAAATGCCAGGAATAGTTGAGTGATTCTCAAAGCTATACACAGATACCTGGATTTTCTTGGCTTCACCTCTGCTGCGTCTAGGTCCCTTTGGAGTTCTTCACCTTGTTTTCCGCATCCTTCTCTTTTTCTTGTTCTTTCTCTTCCTCGCCTGCAGCATCTTGGGCCTCTTCATCCCACTTTTCGGGCTGAGATTTAGTGACTTCTTTAGGGAAGAATAATACACACATGGGGACCAGACATTCACAGAAAATATAGCCCAATTTATAACTAGCAGCGGCATTCAGCTACTCCACCCTCAGGAGAAGCAGGATAGAGTTAAGTAAGAAAGGAATAGCTGGGCACCTTCCTACTGGTTTTCACAACAGTTCCATGGCCCTCACGTTGCTGCTGCTTGATCATTTCCACAGGGACACTGTATTTCCCTTTTTTCCAGTAAATCTCCCACCCAAAGCGGCTGATTATTTCTAGTTCTTTGGAGAAGAAGAGATCTGAATCATCGGGTCCGATCTCATTCTACGGTGTTTTGGTCAGAACTTTGTTGGGAAAATATTTGTTTACCTCAAAAGACAAATTCTATGGTGAAGCTCATTGGTTCCTCACCCCCCCGAATGCTTCATTTTTACCAAGTGCTCCTGCATCACTTCATCATTTGGGGGATCAACTTTCTACGAATCTTTACACTTTGAAAAGCCATGAACTAAAAGGGATGCCTGCCATTTGCCTGTTCTTTTCCTTGGCGCATCCCTTCTGTTTCCTGCGGAGCTCCCTCCTGAACCCCTATCTACCCGGCCATTCATCTGCGGGCTCACAAATGGCACCGATGATCTCAGATCTCCTATCAAATATAGGTTGGTAGAGGGCGACAAGTTTTCTCAAAACCACAGATGTCGTTAGAGAATTGGGCTTCGACTCATTGGGACACATTCTGCCTTAAGTTTCAGGAGGGCCCCGACTCCTGCTTCACCACCCGAGGCCCCGACCCCCCTTCACCACCCGCTTCACCAGCTATGCCCGCACCGCGGCCCTGCCTAGAACCCTGGGACACACGGGTCCCCGCCTCCCCGCTGCTGCCGCTAGCCCGTTCCTTACCCTCTGGGGCCGTGGCCTCCTGTGCGGTCGGTTCTTCTGTGGCCGGTTCCTCTGCGTCTGGTTCCTCTGTGGCCTCCTCTGAGAGCTTCTCCTCTGCGGCCTCCTCCGCGGGCTCCCTGGCCATCTCGGCCAGGTCAGCTGGCACTGCAGGCTCTGGGACCGATGCGGCCTCCTGGATCAGGCCCAGGCCCTCGCCCGCCCGGGCTGCGGCCCCTGCACCCAGCCTCTGGGGCAGCAGCAGCGGGGGGAGGTTGCCCCAGAGGTTGCGCGCAGCAGCGTGTGGCCCCACCATCAGGCGGCTGAGTTGACGGTTCTCTATGAGGATGTGGTCGTTGTGAGAGAGGCGGTGGAGAAGGGAGTGGACCATGTCCAGGAGCACGAAGTGAATGCCCGACGCCGGGTAGCGACGGGCGACCACCGCCAAGTCGAAGTTGGCCGCCTCGTTCCCCTCTTCCTCCTCCTCTTCCTCCGTCGCGGGCCCGATATCTGAGTCCTCCTCGGCGCTCCCGCCCCGGGGGACTGCGGCCAGGCCTGCCGCCTGCTCACCCTCCTCCTCCCCGAGGCCTTCCACGGGCCCTGCGACTCCGACCACCTCGGCCGCAGGCACCACGTCGCTGCTGTCGGGGCCGGAGTCGCCGCCCTCCTGGTTACCAGCTCCGGCCGCCTCGGCCTGTGCTCCCTCCTGGCTTACCGGGGCCTCCTGGTCCCCTTGGGTCGGGTGTCGGTCCCCTGTGGCAGACATGACACCAGCAGCGCCTCAACTGGGGTGGCGAGCGGGCTGAGGCGACCACGGTGAAGACGGTGACCACTGAGGTGGCTACGGCCGAGGGGAGGCGAGGAGCTGGCCGCTGAGGGAATAAGAGTCTCTCTCTTTATTGAGGGAATAAGAGTCTGTCTCAGACGACACCCTAAGATGGGAAGGGCAGGGAGCGAATCCTAGAAACCTCCCACCAAGGCTGGCCTGAGAGGACTTAGACAAGTTGGGAAAGATTCTGGTTGGCAGGCGAAAGGGGGCGGGACCGGAAGGGTCAACGAGGGGCTCTCAGTGAGCCCTAAGCTCATTTGCTGAAAACTTCAGATTGACATGTTCTATGTCCAATGAATGATCAAGGCCCTTAAGCTCTAGAACTGAGAATCCAGAATCCAGAGCTTTTTCTTTTCTTTTCATAGTGTTGCTCTGTTGCCCAGGCTGGAGTGCAGTGGCAAGATCTCGGCTCACTGCAATCCCCGCCTCCTGGGTTCCAGTGATTCTCCTGCCTCAGCCTCCTGAGTAGCTGGGACTACAGGTACATGCCACCACGCCTGGCTAGGTTTTGTATTTTTAGTAGAGACAGGGTTTCACCATGTTGGCCAGGATGGTCTCGATCTCCTGACCTTGTGATCCACCTGCCTCAGCCTCCCAAAGTGCTTGGATTACAGGCATGAGCCACCGTGCCAGGCCGAGCTCTACCTTTTCTATGAGGCCTTAGTGTCCAAGGCTACCCCTTTAGGTCCACACAAGTCCTGCCCTTTTAATTTTATGATTATTAGCAACACTATAGTAGTCCCATGTGGAGGCACCCTGGAGCATGGGAACTGCAAGGCGGTCACAGAGTTCACTTATTTCCACCTAGTAATGGCTCATGCCAGTAGAGATAGTGTCATAAAAATGTTATATAGTTCATAGCTAAGCAGTAGTGAAAACCTCCCAAGAGACATAAGAATTTCACTGAGTTAACGTAGTTAAAGCTACTTAGAAAAGAATGTGCGGAGTTGAAATGGATGCAGTCATCACTGAGTGTTGAGGTGGTAAATGACAGACACTGGAAGGTGTTTAATGAATCCTGCCAAATTCACTTCAAACCTCCAAATAATGGGGAAAAAAAGAGATACTTTTTTTAAAAGGACCAGGTCATCTCATAAGAGCTAAGCATCAAAAACACCAAAAGTGCCTGGGGGTGGTGGCTCACGCCTGTAATCCAGCACTTTGGGAGGCCGCACTTTGGGAGGCCGAGGCAGGCAGATCACCTGAGGTCAGTAGTTCGAGACCAGCATGACCAATATGGTAAAACCCTGTCTGTACTAAAAATACAAAAAACTAGCTGGACATGGTGGTGCGCGCCTGTAGTCCCAGCTACTCGGAAGGGTGAGGCAGGAAATTTGCTGGAGCCTGGGAGGTGGAGGTTGCAGTGAGCCAAGATGGCCCCACTGCACTCCAGCCTGGGTGACAGAGCGAGACTCAGTTTCAAAAAAAAAAAAAAAAATTAGTAATATATGCAATATTATTTTCACACTTGCATCACATATTAAATCAGACTAGCCGTATTACAAGTGCTCAGTAGTCACAACACACAGCTCTAAAGATGAGCCCCATCTCTCTCTTTTCAAAAATTGTTTTAAACTTGTCATTTTACTTGATTTTTGGCTGCAGTGAAAGAATTTCAAAGAGTCTTACCAAATGGCGGAAAGTAATATCTTTCAATGAAGGTATGGTGGGCCAAAACAAAGACGTAAAGGAGAGATTTGAGTTAAGATTACTTATTGAAAAATCTTCCCACGTTTCAGTTTATTCATTTAAAACAAACTTTTATTTTTTAACTTGAACACTGTCACATACATCCATGAAAGTTAGATGTCACTGGATATCACTTTTGATGTAACGAACTTTGGAATGATATGTGTTACAATTCCCACAGGCATCTGGAGAAAAAGATAAAAACAATGAACAACAGAGTCTTCTTTCTTTTCCTCCCAACTGTGGGATGAAATGAGAGATGATAAACAATAGTACAACATTAACCAGCACCAGTGACTTTCTAAATAGAAGAAAATGGCCAGCTCTGTGTATATCTGCAACATTTGTGTGCTATATCTTAAACAAGTAGAGAAGCCCATCTTTTCCTTTTGTAACTCACGAGCTTGGATATCAGGGTGCTTGTGGAACTGAAGGTTTCAGTCAAATGATCACACCAACCTTGTCTGCCTAGCACTAGAAAAGCTTGTTGCTTTTGTTTTTACATGAGGGGCCATTCTGGGATTTAAATAAATCTCTCAAGCTTCAACAGCCTGTGCTGGTTCCACAAATAATACTCCCTTACCCTCCCAGACCCTTGGTTTCCGTATCTACCATGTGGGAAAGAAGCCGTTACGAAATATACGGCTGTGAAAATGCAAAATAAATAAATAAATAAGAAAGAAAGAAAAATGTTAACCATTTAAATACACTCAAAGATGGATATACCTTAAGACTTCATTACCAATTCAGTGATAAACACACATTCTTTTCATCTGACTGTGACATAAAATACCAAAATATATAGCCAAATAAATATCTAGGTATTAACCATTCATTGTGGTCCTACTTGAAATTCTTAGCTTTTTGCTATTTTTAAGTAGTCACTTTGTAAAAGGCATTGAGTTGTCTCCTAGTTACTACGGGAGCCTGCATTTCTGTGGTCAAGTAACGAAGGCCCAACTAATGCGTGGCCCAGCCAAGTTAGCGGCTGTGTCTGGCAACTGTTTTCTACACAAATATTGGTCCTGGTAGTAGGTCTGATACATCTGCCACTTGTTAGTAGTCTTGCAGCTAGAGGACAAAAGACCTCAACATGAACAAATGAGTAGCCGAGAAGTATATTTCAGAACACACTGCAGTTCATATTACTAGGTACATGAATATTCTCGTAACATTTTAAGTAAGTTAAATTGAATTTTTAAACTAATTTTAAACTTTTTCTTACTTAACTTACTGAGAATTTTTGTTGTTGTTCAATAAAACTGTCTGCAACAGGTAAATGCCAGGAATAGTTGAGTGATTCTCAAAGCTATACACAGATACCTGGATTTTCTTGGCTTCACCTCTGCTGCGTCTAGGTCCCTTTGGAGTTCTTCACCTTGTTTTCCGCATCCTTCTCTTTTTCTTGTTCTTTCTCTTCCTCGCCTGCAGCATCTTGGGCCTCTTCATCCCACTTTTCGGGCTGAGATTTAGTGACTTCTTTAGGGAAGAATAATACACACATGGGGACCAGACATTCACAGAAAATATAGCCCAATTTATAACTAGCAGCGGCATTCAGCTACTCCACCCTCAGGAGAAGCAGGATAGAGTTAAGTAAGAAAGGAATAGCTGGGCACCTTCCTACTGGTTTTCACAACAGTTCCATGGCCCTCACGTTGCTGCTGCTTGATCATTTCCACAGGGACACTGTATTTCCCTTTTTTCCAGTAAATCTCCCACCCAAAGCGGCTGATTATTTCTAGTTCTTTGGAGAAGAAGAGATCTGAATCATCGGGTCCGATCTCATTCTACGGTGTTTTGGTCAGAACTTTGTTGGGAAAATATTTGTTTACCTCAAAAGACAAATTCTATGGTGAAGCTCATTGGTTCCTCACCCCCCCGAATGCTTCATTTTTACCAAGTGCTCCTGCATCACTTCATCATTTGGGGGATCAACTTTCTACGAATCTTTACACTTTGAAAAGCCATGAACTAAAAGGGATGCCTGCCATTTGCCTGTTCTTTTCCTTGGCGCATCCCTTCTGTTTCCTGCGGAGCTCCCTCCTGAACCCCTATCTACCCGGCCATTCATCTGCGGGCTCACAAATGGCACCGATGATCTCAGATCTCCTATCAAATATAGGTTGGTAGAGGGCGACAAGTTTTCTCAAAACCACAGATGTCGTTAGAGAATTGGGCTTCGACTCATTGGGACACATTCTGCCTTAAGTTTCAGGAGGGCCCCGACTCCTGCTTCACCACCCGAGGCCCCGACCCCCCTTCACCACCCGCTTCACCAGCTATGCCCGCACCGCGGCCCTGCCTAGAACCCTGGGACACACGGGTCCCCGCCTCCCCGCTGCTGCCGCTAGCCCGTTCCTTACCCTCTGGGGCCGTGGCCTCCTGTGCGGTCGGTTCTTCTGTGGCCGGTTCCTCTGCGTCTGGTTCCTCTGTGGCCTCCTCTGAGAGCTTCTCCTCTGCGGCCTCCTCCGCGGGCTCCCTGGCCATCTCGGCCAGGTCAGCTGGCACTGCAGGCTCTGGGACCGATGCGGCCTCCTGGATCAGGCCCAGGCCCTCGCCCGCCCGGGCTGCGGCCCCTGCACCCAGCCTCTGGGGCAGCAGCAGCGGGGGGAGGTTGCCCCAGAGGTTGCGCGCAGCAGCGTGTGGCCCCACCATCAGGCGGCTGAGTTGACGGTTCTCTATGAGGATGTGGTCGTTGTGAGAGAGGCGGTGGAGAAGGGAGTGGACCATGTCCAGGAGCACGAAGTGAATGCCCGACGCCGGGTAGCGACGGGCGACCACCGCCAAGTCGAAGTTGGCCGCCTCGTTCCCCTCTTCCTCCTCCTCTTCCTCCGTCGCGGGCCCGATATCTGAGTCCTCCTCGGCGCTCCCGCCCCGGGGGACTGCGGCCAGGCCTGCCGCCTGCTCACCCTCCTCCTCCCCGAGGCCTTCCACGGGCCCTGCGACTCCGACCACCTCGGCCGCAGGCACCACGTCGCTGCTGTCGGGGCCGGAGTCGCCGCCCTCCTGGTTACCAGCTCCGGCCGCCTCGGCCTGTGCTCCCTCCTGGCTTACCGGGGCCTCCTGGTCCCCTTGGGTCGGGTGTCGGTCCCCTGTGGCAGACATGACACCAGCAGCGCCTCAACTGGGGTGGCGAGCGGGCTGAGGCGACCACGGTGAAGACGGTGACCACTGAGGTGGCTACGGCCGAGGGGAGGCGAGGAGCTGGCCGCTGAGGGAATAAGAGTCTCTCTCTTTATTGAGGGAATAAGAGTCTGTCTCAGACGACACCCTAAGATGGGAAGGGCAGGGAGCGAATCCTAGAAACCTCCCACCAAGGCTGGCCTGAGAGGACTTAGACAAGTTGGGAAAGATTCTGGTTGGCAGGCGAAAGGGGGCGGGACCGGAAGGGTCAACGAGGGGCTCTCAGTGAGCCCTAAGCTCATTTGCTGAAAACTTCAGATTGACATGTTCTATGTCCAATGAATGATCAAGGCCCTTAAGCTCTAGAACTGAGAATCCAGAATCCAGAGCTTTTTCTTTTCTTTTCATAGTGTTGCTCTGTTGCCCAGGCTGGAGTGCAGTGGCAAGATCTCGGCTCACTGCAATCCCCGCCTCCTGGGTTCCAGTGATTCTCCTGCCTCAGCCTCCTGAGTAGCTGGGACTACAGGTACATGCCACCACGCCTGGCTAGGTTTTGTATTTTTAGTAGAGACAGGGTTTCACCATGTTGGCCAGGATGGTCTCGATCTCCTGACCTTGTGATCCACCTGCCTCAGCCTCCCAAAGTGCTTGGATTACAGGCATGAGCCACCGTGCCAGGCCGAGCTCTACCTTTTCTATGAGGCCTTAGTGTCCAAGGCTACCCCTTTAGGTCCACACAAGTCCTGCCCTTTTAATTTTATGATTATTAGCAACACTATAGTAGTCCCATGTGGAGGCACCCTGGAGCATGGGAACTGCAAGGCGGTCACAGAGTTCACTTATTTCCACCTAGTAATGGCTCATGCCAGTAGAGATAGTGTCATAAAAATGTTATATAGTTCATAGCTAAGCAGTAGTGAAAACCTCCCAAGAGACATAAGAATTTCACTGAGTTAACGTAGTTAAAGCTACTTAGAAAAGAATGTGCGGAGTTGAAATGGATGCAGTCATCACTGAGTGTTGAGGTGGTAAATGACAGACACTGGAAGGTGTTTAATGAATCCTGCCAAATTCACTTCAAACCTCCAAATAATGGGGAAAAAAAGAGATACTTTTTTTAAAAGGACCAGGTCATCTCATAAGAGCTAAGCATCAAAAACACCAAAAGTGCCTGGGGGTGGTGGCTCACGCCTGTAATCCAGCACTTTGGGAGGCCGCACTTTGGGAGGCCGAGGCAGGCAGATCACCTGAGGTCAGTAGTTCGAGACCAGCATGACCAATATGGTAAAACCCTGTCTGTACTAAAAATACAAAAAATTAGCTGGACATGGTGGTGCGCGCCTGTAGTCCCAGCTACTCGGAAGGGTGAGGCAGGAAATTTGCTGGAGCCTGGGAGGTGGAGGTTGCAGTGAGCCAAGATGGCCCCACTGCACTCCAGCCTGGGTGACAGAGCGAGACTCAGTTTCAAAAAAAAAAAAAAAAAATTAGTAATATATGCAATATTATTTTCACACTTGCATCACATATTAAATCAGACTAGCCGTATTACAAGTGCTCAGTAGTCACAACACACAGCTCTAAAGATGAGCCCCATCTCTCTCTTTTCAAAAATTGTTTTAAACTTGTCATTTTACTTGATTTTTGGCTGCAGTGAAAGAATTTCAAAGAGTCTTACCAAATGGCGGAAAGTAATATCTTTCAATGAAGGTATGGTGGGCCAAAACAAAGACGTAAAGGAGAGATTTGAGTTAAGATTACTTATTGAAAAATCTTCCCACGTTTCAGTTTATTCATTTAAAACAAACTTTTATTTTTTAACTTGAACACTGTCACATACATCCATGAAAGTTAGATGTCACTGGATATCACTTTTGATGTAACGAACTTTGGAATGATATGTGTTACAATTCCCACAGGCATCTGGAGAAAAAGATAAAAACAATGAACAACAGAGTCTTCTTTCTTTTCCTCCCAACTGTGGGATGAAATGAGAGATGATAAACAATAGTACAACATTAACCAGCACCAGTGACTTTCTAAATAGAAGAAAATGGCCAGCTCTGTGTATATCTGCAACATTTGTGTGCTATATCTTAAACAAGTAGAGAAGCCCATCTTTTCCTTTTGTAACTCACGAGCTTGGATATCAGGGTGCTTGTGGAACTGAAGGTTTCAGTCAAATGATCACACCAACCTTGTCTGCCTAGCACTAGAAAAGCTTGTTGCTTTTGTTTTTACATGAGGGGCCATTCTGGGATTTAAATAAATCTCTCAAGCTTCAACAGCCTGTGCTGGTTCCACAAATAATACTCCCTTACCCTCCCAGACCCTTGGTTTCCGTATCTACCATGTGGGAAAGAAGCCGTTACGAAATATACGGCTGTGAAAATGCAAAATAAATAAATAAATAAGAAAGAAAGAAAAATGTTAACCATTTAAATACACTCAAAGATGGATATACCTTAAGACTTCATTACCAATTCAGTGATAAACACACATTCTTTTCATCTGACTGTGACATAAAATACCAAAATATATAGCCAAATAAATATCTAGGTATTAACCATTCATTGTGGTCCTACTTGAAATTCTTAGCTTTTTGCTATTTTTAAGTAGTCACTTTGTAAAAGGCATTGAGTTGTCTCCTAGTTACTACGGGAGCCTGCATTTCTGTGGTCAAGTAACGAAGGCCCAACTAATGCGTGGCCCAGCCAAGTTAGCGGCTGTGTCTGGCAACTGTTTTCTACACAAATATTGGTCCTGGTAGTAGGTCTGATACATCTGCCACTTGTTAGTAGTCTTGCAGCTAGAGGACAAAAGACCTCAACATGAACAAATGAGTAGCCGAGAAGTATATTTCAGAACACACTGCAGTTCATATTACTAGGTACATGAATATTCTCGTAACATTTTAAGTAAGTTAAATTGAATTTTTAAACTAATTTTAAACTTTTTCTTACTTAACTTACTGAGAATTTTTGTTGTTGTTCAATAAAACTGTCTGCAACAGGTAAATGCCAGGAATAGTTGAGTGATTCTCAAAGCTATACACAGATACCTGGATTTTCTTGGCTTCACCTCTGCTGCGTCTAGGTCCCTTTGGAGTTCTTCACCTTGTTTTCCGCATCCTTCTCTTTTTCTTGTTCTTTCTCTTCCTCGCCTGCAGCATCTTGGGCCTCTTCATCCCACTTTTCGGGCTGAGATTTAGTGACTTCTTTAGGGAAGAATAATACACACATGGGGACCAGACATTCACAGAAAATATAGCCCAATTTATAACTAGCAGCGGCATTCAGCTACTCCACCCTCAGGAGAAGCAGGATAGAGTTAAGTAAGAAAGGAATAGCTGGGCACCTTCCTACTGGTTTTCACAACAGTTCCATGGCCCTCACGTTGCTGCTGCTTGATCATTTCCACAGGGACACTGTATTTCCCTTTTTTCCAGTAAATCTCCCACCCAAAGCGGCTGATTATTTCTAGTTCTTTGGAGAAGAAGAGATCTGAATCATCGGGTCCGATCTCATTCTACGGTGTTTTGGTCAGAACTTTGTTGGGAAAATATTTGTTTACCTCAAAAGACAAATTCTATGGTGAAGCTCATTGGTTCCTCACCCCCCCGAATGCTTCATTTTTACCAAGTGCTCCTGCATCACTTCATCATTTGGGGGATCAACTTTCTACGAATCTTTACACTTTGAAAAGCCATGAACTAAAAGGGATGCCTGCCATTTGCCTGTTCTTTTCCTTGGCGCATCCCTTCTGTTTCCTGCGGAGCTCCCTCCTGAACCCCTATCTACCCGGCCATTCATCTGCGGGCTCACAAATGGCACCGATGATCTCAGATCTCCTATCAAATATAGGTTGGTAGAGGGCGACAAGTTTTCTCAAAACCACAGATGTCGTTAGAGAATTGGGCTTCGACTCATTGGGACACATTCTGCCTTAAGTTTCAGGAGGGCCCCGACTCCTGCTTCACCACCCGAGGCCCCGACCCCCCTTCACCACCCGCTTCACCAGCTATGCCCGCACCGCGGCCCTGCCTAGAACCCTGGGACACACGGGTCCCCGCCTCCCCGCTGCTGCCGCTAGCCCGTTCCTTACCCTCTGGGGCCGTGGCCTCCTGTGCGGTCGGTTCTTCTGTGGCCGGTTCCTCTGCGTCTGGTTCCTCTGTGGCCTCCTCTGAGAGCTTCTCCTCTGCGGCCTCCTCCGCGGGCTCCCTGGCCATCTCGGCCAGGTCAGCTGGCACTGCAGGCTCTGGGACCGATGCGGCCTCCTGGATCAGGCCCAGGCCCTCGCCCGCCCGGGCTGCGGCCCCTGCACCCAGCCTCTGGGGCAGCAGCAGCGGGGGGAGGTTGCCCCAGAGGTTGCGCGCAGCAGCGTGTGGCCCCACCATCAGGCGGCTGAGTTGACGGTTCTCTATGAGGATGTGGTCGTTGTGAGAGAGGCGGTGGAGAAGGGAGTGGACCATGTCCAGGAGCACGAAGTGAATGCCCGACGCCGGGTAGCGACGGGCGACCACCGCCAAGTCGAAGTTGGCCGCCTCGTTCCCCTCTTCCTCCTCCTCTTCCTCCGTCGCGGGCCCGATATCTGAGTCCTCCTCGGCGCTCCCGCCCCGGGGGACTGCGGCCAGGCCTGCCGCCTGCTCACCCTCCTCCTCCCCGAGGCCTTCCACGGGCCCTGCGACTCCGACCACCTCGGCCGCAGGCACCACGTCGCTGCTGTCGGGGCCGGAGTCGCCGCCCTCCTGGTTACCAGCTCCGGCCGCCTCGGCCTGTGCTCCCTCCTGGCTTACCGGGGCCTCCTGGTCCCCTTGGGTCGGGTGTCGGTCCCCTGTGGCAGACATGACACCAGCAGCGCCTCAACTGGGGTGGCGAGCGGGCTGAGGCGACCACGGTGAAGACGGTGACCACTGAGGTGGCTACGGCCGAGGGGAGGCGAGGAGCTGGCCGCTGAGGGAATAAGAGTCTCTCTCTTTATTGAGGGAATAAGAGTCTGTCTCAGACGACACCCTAAGATGGGAAGGGCAGGGAGCGAATCCTAGAAACCTCCCACCAAGGCTGGCCTGAGAGGACTTAGACAAGTTGGGAAAGATTCTGGTTGGCAGGCGAAAGGGGGCGGGACCGGAAGGGTCAACGAGGGGCTCTCAGTGAGCCCTAAGCTCATTTGCTGAAAACTTCAGATTGACATGTTCTATGTCCAATGAATGATCAAGGCCCTTAAGCTCTAGAACTGAGAATCCAGAATCCAGAGCTTTTTCTTTTCTTTTCATAGTGTTGCTCTGTTGCCCAGGCTGGAGTGCAGTGGCAAGATCTCGGCTCACTGCAATCCCCGCCTCCTGGGTTCCAGTGATTCTCCTGCCTCAGCCTCCTGAGTAGCTGGGACTACAGGTACATGCCACCACGCCTGGCTAGGTTTTGTATTTTTAGTAGAGACAGGGTTTCACCATGTTGGCCAGGATGGTCTCGATCTCCTGACCTTGTGATCCACCTGCCTCAGCCTCCCAAAGTGCTTGGATTACAGGCATGAGCCACCGTGCCAGGCCGAGCTCTACCTTTTCTATGAGGCCTTAGTGTCCAAGGCTACCCCTTTAGGTCCACACAAGTCCTGCCCTTTTAATTTTATGATTATTAGCAACACTATAGTAGTCCCATGTGGAGGCACCCTGGAGCATGGGAACTGCAAGGCGGTCACAGAGTTCACTTATTTCCACCTAGTAATGGCTCATGCCAGTAGAGATAGTGTCATAAAAATGTTATATAGTTCATAGCTAAGCAGTAGTGAAAACCTCCCAAGAGACATAAGAATTTCACTGAGTTAACGTAGTTAAAGCTACTTAGAAAAGAATGTGCGGAGTTGAAATGGATGCAGTCATCACTGAGTGTTGAGGTGGTAAATGACAGACACTGGAAGGTGTTTAATGAATCCTGCCAAATTCACTTCAAACCTCCAAATAATGGGGAAAAAAAGAGATACTTTTTTTAAAAGGACCAGGTCATCTCATAAGAGCTAAGCATCAAAAACACCAAAAGTGCCTGGGGGTGGTGGCTCACGCCTGTAATCCAGCACTTTGGGAGGCCGCACTTTGGGAGGCCGAGGCAGGCAGATCACCTGAGGTCAGTAGTTCGAGACCAGCATGACCAATATGGTAAAACCCTGTCTGTACTAAAAATACAAAAAATTAGCTGGACATGGTGGTGCGCGCCTGTAGTCCCAGCTACTCGGAAGGGTGAGGCAGGAAATTTGCTGGAGCCTGGGAGGTGGAGGTTGCAGTGAGCCAAGATGGTCCCACTGCACTCCAGCCTGGGTGACAGAGCGAGACTCAGTTTCAAAAAAAAAAAAAAAAATTAGTAATATATGCAATATTATTTTCACACTTGCATCACATATTAAATCAGACTAGCCGTATTACAAGTGCTCAGTAGTCACAACACACAGCTCTAAAGATGAGCCCCATCTCTCTCTTTTCAAAAATTGTTTTAAACTTGTCATTTTACTTGATTTTTGGCTGCAGTGAAAGAATTTCAAAGAGTCTTACCAAATGGCGGAAAGTAATATCTTTCAATGAAGGTATGGTGGGCCAAAACAAAGACGTAAAGGAGAGATTTGAGTTAAGATTACTTATTGAAAAATCTTCCCACGTTTCAGTTTATTCATTTAAAACAAACTTTTATTTTTTAACTTGAACACTGTCACATACATCCATGAAAGTTAGATGTCACTGGATATCACTTTTGATGTAACGAACTTTGGAATGATATGTGTTACAATTCCCACAGGCATCTGGAGAAAAAGATAAAAACAATGAACAACAGAGTCTTCTTTCTTTTCCTCCCAACTGTGGGATGAAATGAGAGATGATAAACAATAGTACAACATTAACCAGCACCAGTGACTTTCTAAATAGAAGAAAATGGCCAGCTCTGTGTATATCTGCAACATTTGTGTGCTATATCTTAAACAAGTAGAGAAGCCCATCTTTTCCTTTTGTAACTCACGAGCTTGGATATCAGGGTGCTTGTGGAACTGAAGGTTTCAGTCAAATGATCACACCAACCTTGTCTGCCTAGCACTAGAAAAGCTTGTTGCTTTTGTTTTTACATGAGGGGCCATTCTGGGATTTAAATAAATCTCTCAAGCTTCAACAGCCTGTGCTGGTTCCACAAATAATACTCCCTTACCCTCCCAGACCCTTGGTTTCCGTATCTACCATGTGGGAAAGAAGCCGTTACGAAATATACGGCTGTGAAAATGCAAAATAAATAAATAAATAAGAAAGAAAGAAAAATGTTAACCATTTAAATACACTCAAAGATGGATATACCTTAAGACTTCATTACCAATTCAGTGATAAACACACATTCTTTTCATCTGACTGTGACATAAAATACCAAAATATATAGCCAAATAAATATCTAGGTATTAATCATTCATTGTGGTCCTACTTGAAATTCTTAGCTTTTTGCTATTTTTAAGTAGTCACTTTGTAAAAGGCATTGAGTTGTCTCCTAGTTACTACGGGAGCCTGCATTTCTGTGGTCAAGTAACGAAGGCCCAACTAATGCGTGGCCCAGCCAAGTTAGCGGCTGTGTCTGGCAACTGTTTTCTACACAAATATTGGTCCTGGTAGTAGGTCTGATACATCTGCCACTTGTTAGTAGTCTTGCAGCTAGAGGACAAAAGACCTCAACATGAACAAATGAGTAGCCGAGAAGTATATTTCAGAACACACTGCAGTTCATATTACTAGGTACATGAATATTCTCGTAACATTTTAAGTAAGTTAAATTGAATTTTTAAACTAATTTTAAACTTTTTCTTACTTAACTTACTGAGAATTTTTGTTGTTGTTCAATAAAACTGTCTGCAACAGGTAAATGCCAGGAATAGTTGAGTGATTCTCAAAGCTATACACAGATACCTGGATTTTCTTGGCTTCACCTCTGCTGCGTCTAGGTCCCTTTGGAGTTCTTCACCTTGTTTTCCGCATCCTTCTCTTTTTCTTGTTCTTTCTCTTCCTCGCCTGCAGCATCTTGGGCCTCTTCATCCCACTTTTCGGGCTGAGATTTAGTGACTTCTTTAGGGAAGAATAATACACACATGGGGACCAGACATTCACAGAAAATATAGCCCAATTTATAACTAGCAGCGGCATTCAGCTACTCCACCCTCAGGAGAAGCAGGATAGAGTTAAGTAAGAAAGGAATAGCTGGGCACCTTCCTACTGGTTTTCACAACAGTTCCATGGCCCTCACGTTGCTGCTGCTTGATCATTTCCACAGGGACACTGTATTTCCCTTTTTTCCAGTAAATCTCCCACCCAAAGCGGCTGATTATTTCTAGTTCTTTGGAGAAGAAGAGATCTGAATCATCGGGTCCGATCTCATTCTACGGTGTTTTGGTCAGAACTTTGTTGGGAAAATATTTGTTTACCTCAAAAGACAAATTCTATGGTGAAGCTCATTGGTTCCTCACCCCCCCGAATGCTTCATTTTTACCAAGTGCTCCTGCATCACTTCATCATTTGGGGGATCAACTTTCTACGAATCTTTACACTTTGAAAAGCCATGAACTAAAAGGGATGCCTGCCATTTGCCTGTTCTTTTCCTTGGCGCATCCCTTCTGTTTCCTGCGGAGCTCCCTCCTGAACCCCTATCTACCCGGCCATTCATCTGCGGGCTCACAAATGGCACCGATGATCTCAGATCTCCTATCAAATATAGGTTGGTAGAGGGCGACAAGTTTTCTCAAAACCACAGATGTCGTTAGAGAATTGGGCTTCGACTCATTGGGACACATTCTGCCTTAAGTTTCAGGAGGGCCCCGACTCCTGCTTCACCACCCGAGGCCCCGACCCCCCTTCACCACCCGCTTCACCAGCTATGCCCGCACCGCGGCCCTGCCTAGAACCCTGGGACACACGGGTCCCCGCCTCCCCGCTGCTGCCGCTAGCCCGTTCCTTACCCTCTGGGGCCGTGGCCTCCTGTGCGGTCGGTTCTTCTGTGGCCGGTTCCTCTGCGTCTGGTTCCTCTGTGGCCTCCTCTGAGAGCTTCTCCTCTGCGGCCTCCTCCGCGGGCTCCCTGGCCATCTCGGCCAGGTCAGCTGGCACTGCAGGCTCTGGGACCGATGCGGCCTCCTGGATCAGGCCCAGGCCCTCGCCCGCCCGGGCTGCGGCCCCTGCACCCAGCCTCTGGGGCAGCAGCAGCGGGGGGAGGTTGCCCCAGAGGTTGCGCGCAGCAGCGTGTGGCCCCACCATCAGGCGGCTGAGTTGACGGTTCTCTATGAGGATGTGGTCGTTGTGAGAGAGGCGGTGGAGAAGGGAGTGGACCATGTCCAGGAGCACGAAGTGAATGCCCGACGCCGGGTAGCGACGGGCGACCACCGCCAAGTCGAAGTTGGCCGCCTCGTTCCCCTCTTCCTCCTCCTCTTCCTCCGTCGCGGGCCCGATATCTGAGTCCTCCTCGGCGCTCCCGCCCCGGGGGACTGCGGCCAGGCCTGCCGCCTGCTCACCCTCCTCCTCCCCGAGGCCTTCCACGGGCCCTGCGACTCCGACCACCTCGGCCGCAGGCACCACGTCGCTGCTGTCGGGGCCGGAGTCGCCGCCCTCCTGGTTACCAGCTCCGGCCGCCTCGGCCTGTGCTCCCTCCTGGCTTACCGGGGCCTCCTGGTCCCCTTGGGTCGGGTGTCGGTCCCCTGTGGCAGACATGACACCAGCAGCGCCTCAACTGGGGTGGCGAGCGGGCTGAGGCGACCACGGTGAAGACGGTGACCACTGAGGTGGCTACGGCCGAGGGGAGGCGAGGAGCTGGCCGCTGAGGGAATAAGAGTCTTTCTCTTTATTGAGGAAATAAGAGTCTGTCTCAGAGGACACCCTAAGGTGGGAAGGGCAGGGAGCGAATCCTAGGAACCTCCCACCAAGTCTGGCCTGAGAGGACTTAGATAAGGCGGGAAAGATTCTGGTTGGCAGGAGACAGGGGGCGGGACCGGAAGGGTCAACGAGGGGCTCTCAGTGAGCCCTAAGCTCATTTGCTGAAAACTTCAGATTGACATGCTCTTTGTCCAATGAATGATCAAGGCCCTTAAGCTCTAGGACAACTCAGAATCCAGAATCCAGAGCTTTTCCTTTTCTTTTTTTTATTTTTATTTTTTCAGACGGAGCCTTGCTCTATTGCCCAGGCTGGAGTACAGTGGCATGATCTCAGCTGACTGCAATCCCCGCCTCCTGGGTTCCAGTGATTCTCCTGCCTCAGCCTCCTGAGTAGCTGGGACTATAGGTGCATGCCACCACGCCCGGCTAGTTTTTGTATTTTTAGTAGAGACAGGGTTTCACCATGTTGGCCAGGATGGTCTCGATCTCCTGATCTTGTGATCCACCTACCTCGGCCTCCCAAAGTGCTGGGATTACAGGCGTGAGCCAGTGTGCCCGGCCGAGCTCCACCTTTTCTTTGAGGCCTTAGTGTCCAGGGCTACCCTTTAGGTCCACACAAGTCCTGCCCTTTTAATTTTATGATTATTAGCAACACTATAGTAGTCCCATGTGGAGGCACCCTGGAGCATGGGAACTGCAAGGCGGTCACAGAGTTCACTTATTTCCACCTAGTAATGGCTCATGCCAGTAGAGATAGTGTCATAAAAATGTTATATAGTTCATAGCTAAGCAGTAGTGAAAACCTCCCAAGAGACATAAGAATTTCACTGAGTTAACGTAGTTAAAGCTACTTAGAAAAGAATGTGCAGAGTTGAAATGGATGCAGTCATCACTGAGTGTTGAGGTGGTAAATGACAGACACTGGAAGGTGTTTAATGAATCCTGCCAAATTCACTTCAAACCTCCAAATAATGGGGAAAAAAAGAGATACTTTTTTTAAAAGGACCAGGTCATCTCATAAGAGCTAAGCATCAAAAACACCAAAAGTGCCTGGGGGTGGTGGCTCACGCCTGTAATCCAGCACTTTGGGAGGCCGCACTTTGGGAGGCCGAGGCAGGCAGATCACCTGAGGTCAGTAGTTCGAGACCAGCATGACCAATATGGTAAAACCCTGTCTGTACTAAAAATACAAAAAATTAGCTGGACATGGTGGTGCGCGCCTGTAGTCCCAGCTACTCGGAAGGGTGAGGCAGGAAATTTGCTGGAGCCTGGGAGGTGGAGGTTGCAGTGAGCCAAGATGGCCCCACTGCACTCCAGCCTGGGTGACAGAGCGAGACTCAGTTTCAAAAAAAAAAAAAAAAATTAGTAATATATGCAATATTATTTTCACACTTGCATCACATATTAAATCAGACTAGCCGTATTACAAGTGCTCAGTAGTCACAACACACAGCTCTAAAGATGAGCCCCATCTCTCTCTTTTCAAAAATTGTTTTAAACTTGTCATTTTACTTGATTTTTGGCTGCAGTGAAAGAATTTCAAAGAGTCTTACCAAATGGCGGAAAGTAATATCTTTCAATGAAGGTATGGTGGGCCAAAACAAAGACGTAAAGGAGAGATTTGAGTTAAGATTACTTATTGAAAAATCTTCCCACGTTTCAGTTTATTCATTTAAAACAAACTTTTATTTTTTAACTTGAACACTGTCACATACATCCATGAAAGTTAGATGTCACTGGATATCACTTTTGATGTAACGAACTTTGGAATGATATGTGTTACAATTCCCACAGGCATCTGGAGAAAAAGATAAAAACAATGAACAACAGAGTCTTCTTTCTTTTCCTCCCGACTGTGGGATGAAATGAGAGATGATAAACAATAGTACAACATTAACCAGCACCAGTGACTTTCTAAATAGAAGAAAATGGCCAGCTCTGTGTATATCTGCAACATTTGTGTGCTATATCTTAAACAAGTAGAGAAGCCCATCTTTTCCTTTTGTAACTCACGAGCTTGGATATCAGGGTGCTTGTGGAACTGAAGGTTTCAGTCAAATGATCACACCAACCTTGTCTGCCTAGCACTAGAAAAGCTTGTTGCTTTTGTTTTTACATGAGGGGCCATTCTGGGATTTAAATAAATCTCTCAAGCTTCAACAGCCTGTGCTGGTTCCACAAATAATACTCCCTTACCCTCCCAGACCCTTGGTTTCCGTATCTACCATGTGGGAAAGAAGCCGTTACGAAATATACGGCTGTGAAAATGCAAAATAAATAAATAAATAAGAAAGAAAGAAAAATGTTAACCATTTAAATACACTCAAAGATGGATATACCTTAAGACTTCATTACCAATTCAGTGATAAACACACATTCTTTTCATCTGACTGTGACATAAAATACCAAAATATATAGCCAAATAAATATCTAGGTATTAATCATTCATTGTGGTCCTACTTGAAATTCTTAGCTTTTTGCTATTTTTAAGTAGTCACTTTGTAAAAGGCATTGAGTTGTCTCCTAGTTACTACGGGAGCCTGCATTTCTGTGGTCAAGTAACGAAGGCCCAACTAATGCGTGGCCCAGCCAAGTTAGCGGCTGTGTCTGGCAACTGTTTTCTACACAAATATTGGTCCTGGTAGTAGGTCTGATACATCTGCCACTTGTTAGTAGTCTTGCAGCTAGAGGACAAAAGACCTCAACATGAACAAATGAGTAGCCAAGAAGTATATTTCAGAACACACTGCAGTTCATATTACTAGGTACATGAATATTCTCGTAACATTTTAAGTAAGTTAAATTGAATTTTTAAACTAATTTTAAACTTTTTCTTACTTAACTTACTGAGAATTTTTGTTGTTGTTCAATAAAACTGTCTGCAACAGGTAAATGCCAGGAATAGTTGAGTGATTCTCAAAGCTATACACAGATACCTGGATTTTCTTGGCTTCACCTCTGCTGCGTCTAGGTCCCTTTGGAGTTCTTCACCTTGTTTTCTGCATCCTTCTCTTTTTCTTGTTCTTTCTCTTCCTCGCCTGCAGCATCTTGGGCCTCTTCATCCCACTTTTCGGGCTGAGATTTAGTGACTTCTTTAGGGAAGAATAATACACACATGGGGACCAGACATTCACAGAAAATATAGCCCAATTTATAACTAGCAGCGGCATTCAGCTACTCCACCCTCAGGAGAAGCAGGATAGAGTTAAGTAAGAAAGGAATAGCTGGGCACCTTCCTACTGGTTTTCACAACAGTTCCATGGCCCTCACGTTGCTGCTGCTTGATCATTTCCACAGGGACACTGTATTTCCCTTTTTTCCAGTAAATCTCCCACCCAAAGCGGCTGATTATTTCTAGTTCTTTGGAGAAGAAGAGATCTGAATCATCGGGTCCGATCTCATTCTACGGTGTTTTGGTCAGAACTTTGTTGGGAAAATATTTGTTTACCTCAAAAGACAAATTCTATGGTGAAGCTCATTGGTTCCTCACCCCCCTGAATGCTTCATTTTTACCAAGTGCTCCTGCATCACTTCATCATTTGGGGGATCAACTTTCTACGAATCTTTACACTTTGAAAAGCCATGAACTAAAAGGGATGCCTGCCATTTGCCTGTTCTTTTCCTTGGCGCATCCCTTCTGTTTCCTGCGGAGCTCCCTCCTGAACCCCTATCTACCCGGCCATTCATCTGCGGGCTCACAAATGGCACCGATGATCTCAGATCTCCTATCAAATATAGGTTGGTAGAGGGCGACAAGTTTTCTCAAAACCACAGATGTCGTTAGAGAATTGGGCTTCGACTCATTGGGACACATTCTGCCTTAAGTTTCAGGAGGGCCCCGACTCCTGCTTCACCACCCGAGGCCCCGACCCCCCTTCACCACCCGCTTCACCAGCTATGCCCGCACCGCGGCCCTGCCTAGAACCCTGGGACACACGGGTCCCCGCCTCCCCGCTGCTGCCGCTAGCCCGTTCCTTACCCTCTGGGGCCGTGGCCTCCTGTGCGGTCGGTTCTTCTGTGGCTGGTTCCTCTGCGTCTGGTTCCTCTGTGGCCTCCTCTGAGAGCTTCTCCTCTGCGGCCTCCTCCGCGGGCTCCCTGGCCATCTCGGCCAGGTCAGCTGGCACTGCAGGCTCTGGGACCGATGCGGCCTCCTGGATCAGGCCCAGGCCCTCGCCCGCCCGGGCTGCGGCCCCTGCACCCAGCCTCTGGGGCAGCAGCAGCGGGGGGAGGTTGCCCCAGAGGTTGCGCGCAGCAGCGTGTGGCCCCACCATCAGGCGGCTGAGTTGACGGTTCTCTATGAGGATGTGGTCGTTGTGAGAGAGGCGGTGGAGAAGGGAGTGGACCATGTCCAGGAGCACGAAGTGAATGCCCGACGCCGGGTAGCGACGGGCGACCACCGCCAAGTCGAAGTTGGCCGCCTCGTTCCCCTCTTCCTCCTCCTCTTCCTCCGTCGCGGGCCCGATATCTGAGTCCTCCTCGGCGCTCCCGCCCCGGGGGACTGCGGCCAGGCCTGCCGCCTGCTCACCCTCCTCCTCCCCGAGGCCTTCCACGGGCCCTGCGACTCCGACCACCTCGGCCGCAGGCACCACGTCGCTGCTGTCGGGGCCGGAGTCGCCGCCCTCCTGGTTACCAGCTCCGGCCGCCTCGGCCTGTGCTCCCTCCTGGCTTACCGGGGCCTCCTGGTCCCCTTGGGTCGGGTGTCGGTCCCCTGTGGCAGACATGACACCAGCAGCGCCTCAACTGGGGTGGCGAGCGGGCTGAGGCGACCACGGTGAAGACGGTGACCACTGAGGTGGCTACGGCCGAGGGGAGGCGAGGAGCTGGCCGCTGAGGGAATAAGAGTCTCTCTCTTTATTGAGGGAATAAGAGTCTGTCTCAGACGACACCCTAAGATGGGAAGGGCAGGGAGCGAATCCTAGAAACCTCCCACCAAGGCTGGCCTGAGAGGACTTAGACAAGTTGGGAAAGATTCTGGTTGGCAGGCGAAAGGGGGCGGGACCGGAAGGGTCAACGAGGGGCTCTCAGTGAGCCCTAAGCTCATTTGCTGAAAACTTCAGATTGACATGTTCTATGTCCAATGAATGATCAAGGCCCTTAAGCTCTAGAACTGAGAATCCAGAATCCAGAGCTTTTTCTTTTCTTTTCATAGTGTTGCTCTGTTGCCCAGGCTGGAGTGCAGTGGCAAGATCTCGGCTCACTGCAATCCCCGCCTCCTGGGTTCCAGTGATTCTCCTGCCTCAGCCTCCTGAGTAGCTGGGACTACAGGTACATGCCACCACGCCTGGCTAGGTTTTGTATTTTTAGTAGAGACAGGGTTTCACCATGTTGGCCAGGATGGTCTCGATCTCCTGACCTTGTGATCCACCTGCCTCAGCCTCCCAAAGTGCTTGGATTACAGGCATGAGCCACCGTGCCAGGCCGAGCTCTACCTTTTCTATGAGGCCTTAGTGTCCAAGGCTACCCCTTTAGGTCCACACAAGTCCTGCCCTTTTAATTTTATGATTATTAGCAACACTATAGTAGTCCCATGTGGAGGCACCCTGGAGCATGGGAACTGCAAGGCGGTCACAGAGTTCACTTATTTCCACCTAGTAATGGCTCATGCCAGTAGAGATAGTGTCATAAAAATGTTATATAGTTCATAGCTAAGCAGTAGTGAAAACCTCCCAAGAGACATAAGAATTTCACTGAGTTAACGTAGTTAAAGCTACTTAGAAAAGAATGTGCAGAGTTGAAATGGATGCAGTCATCACTGAGTGTTGAGGTGGTAAATGACAGACACTGGAAGGTGTTTAATGAATCCTGCCAAATTCACTTCAAACCTCCAAATAATGGGGAAAAAAAGAGATACTTTTTTTAAAAGGACCAGGTCATCTCATAAGAGCTAAGCATCAAAAACACCAAAAGTGCCTGGGGGTGGTGGCTCACGCCTGTAATCCAGCACTTTGGGAGGCCGCACTTTGGGAGGCCGAGGCAGGCAGATCACCTGAGGTCAGTAGTTCGAGACCAGCATGACCAATATGGTAAAACCCTGTCTGTACTAAAAATACAAAAAATTAGCTGGACATGGTGGTGCGCGCCTGTAGTCCCAGCTACTCGGAAGGGTGAGGCAGGAAATTTGCTGGAGCCTGGGAGGTGGAGGTTGCAGTGAGCCAAGATGGCCCCACTGCACTCCAGCCTGGGTGACAGAGCGAGACTCAGTTTCAAAAAAAAAAAAAAAAAATTAGTAATATATGCAATATTATTTTCACACTTGCATCACATATTAAATCAGACTAGCCGTATTACAAGTGCTCAGTAGTCACAACACACAGCTCTAAAGATGAGCCCCATCTCTCTCTTTTCAAAAATTGTTTTAAACTTGTCATTTTACTTGATTTTTGGCTGCAGTGAAAGAATTTCAAAGAGTCTTACCAAATGGCGGAAAGTAATATCTTTCAATGAAGGTATGGTGGGCCAAAACAAAGACGTAAAGGAGAGATTTGAGTTAAGATTACTTATTGAAAAATCTTCCCACGTTTCAGTTTATTCATTTAAAACAAACTTTTATTTTTTAACTTGAACACTGTCACATACATCCATGAAAGTTAGATGTCACTGGATATCACTTTTGATGTAACGAACTTTGGAATGATATGTGTTACAATTCCCACAGGCATCTGGAGAAAAAGATAAAAACAATGAACAACAGAGTCTTCTTTCTTTTCCTCCCGACTGTGGGATGAAATGAGAGATGATAAACAATAGTACAACATTAACCAGCACCAGTGACTTTCTAAATAGAAGAAAATGGCCAGCTCTGTGTATATCTGCAACATTTGTGTGCTATATCTTAAACAAGTAGAGAAGCCCATCTTTTCCTTTTGTAACTCACGAGCTTGGATATCAGGGTGCTTGTGGAACTGAAGGTTTCAGTCAAATGATCACACCAACCTTGTCTGCCTAGCACTAGAAAAGCTTGTTGCTTTTGTTTTTACATGAGGGGCCATTCTGGGATTTAAATAAATCTCTCAAGCTTCAACAGCCTGTGCTGGTTCCACAAATAATACTCCCTTACCCTCCCAGACCCTTGGTTTCCGTATCTACCATGTGGGAAAGAAGCCGTTACGAAATATACGGCTGTGAAAATGCAAAATAAATAAATAAATAAGAAAGAAAGAAAAATGTTAACCATTTAAATACACTCAAAGATGGATATACCTTAAGACTTCATTACCAATTCAGTGATAAACACACATTCTTTTCATCTGACTGTGACATAAAATACCAAAATATATAGCCAAATAAATATCTAGGTATTAATCATTCATTGTGGTCCTACTTGAAATTCTTAGCTTTTTGCTATTTTTAAGTAGTCACTTTGTAAAAGGCATTGAGTTGTCTCCTAGTTACTACGGGAGCCTGCATTTCTGTGGTCAAGTAACGAAGGCCCAACTAATGCGTGGCCCAGCCAAGTTAGCGGCTGTGTCTGGCAACTGTTTTCTACACAAATATTGGTCCTGGTAGTAGGTCTGATACATCTGCCACTTGTTAGTAGTCTTGCAGCTAGAGGACAAAAGACCTCAACATGAACAAATGAGTAGCCAAGAAGTATATTTCAGAACACACTGCAGTTCATATTACTAGGTACATGAATATTCTCGTAACATTTTAAGTAAGTTAAATTGAATTTTTAAACTAATTTTAAACTTTTTCTTACTTAACTTACTGAGAATTTTTGTTGTTGTTCAATAAAACTGTCTGCAACAGGTAAATGCCAGGAATAGTTGAGTGATTCTCAAAGCTATACACAGATACCTGGATTTTCTTGGCTTCACCTCTGCTGCGTCTAGGTCCCTTTGGAGTTCTTCACCTTGTTTTCCGCATCCTTCTCTTTTTCTTGTTCTTTCTCTTCCTCGCCTGCAGCATCTTGGGCCTCTTCATCCCACTTTTCGGGCTGAGATTTAGTGACTTCTTTAGGGAAGAATAATACACACATGGGGACCAGACATTCACAGAAAATATAGCCCAATTTATAACTAGCAGCGGCATTCAGCTACTCCACCCTCAGGAGAAGCAGGATAGAGTTAAGTAAGAAAGGAATAGCTGGGCACCTTCCTACTGGTTTTCACAACAGTTCCATGGCCCTCACGTTGCTGCTGCTTGATCATTTCCACAGGGACACTGTATTTCCCTTTTTTCCAGTAAATCTCCCACCCAAAGCGGCTGATTATTTCTAGTTCTTTGGAGAAGAAGAGATCTGAATCATCGGGTCCGATCTCATTCTACGGTGTTTTGGTCAGAACTTTGTTGGGAAAATATTTGTTTACCTCAAAAGACAAATTCTATGGTGAAGCTCATTGGTTCCTCACCCCCCTGAATGCTTCATTTTTACCAAGTGCTCCTGCATCACTTCATCATTTGGGGGATCAACTTTCTACGAATCTTTACACTTTGAAAAGCCATGAACTAAAAGGGATGCCTGCCATTTGCCTGTTCTTTTCCTTGGCGCATCCCTTCTGTTTCCTGCGGAGCTCCCTCCTGAACCCCTATCTACCCGGCCATTCATCTGCGGGCTCACAAATGGCACCGATGATCTCAGATCTCCTATCAAATATAGGTTGGTAGAGGGCGACAAGTTTTCTCAAAACCACAGATGTCGTTAGAGAATTGGGCTTCGACTCATTGGGACACATTCTGCCTTAAGTTTCAGGAGGGCCCCGACTCCTGCTTCACCACCCGAGGCCCCGACCCCCCTTCACCACCCGCTTCACCAGCTATGCCCGCACCGCGGCCCTGCCTAGAACCCTGGGACACACGGGTCCCCGCCTCCCCGCTGCTGCCGCTAGCCCGTTCCTTACCCTCTGGGGCCGTGGCCTCCTGTGCGGTCGGTTCTTCTGTGGCCGGTTCCTCTGCGTCTGGTTCCTCTGTGGCCTCCTCTGAGAGCTTCTCCTCTGCGGCCTCCTCCGCGGGCTCCCTGGCCATCTCGGCCAGGTCAGCTGGCACTGCAGGCTCTGGGACCGATGCGGCCTCCTGGATCAGGCCCAGGCCCTCGCCCGCCCGGGCTGCGGCCCCTGCACCCAGCCTCTGGGGCAGCAGCAGCGGGGGGAGGTTGCCCCAGAGGTTGCGCGCAGCAGCGTGTGGCCCCACCATCAGGCGGCTGAGTTGACGGTTCTCTATGAGGATGTGGTCGTTGTGAGAGAGGCGGTGGAGAAGGGAGTGGACCATGTCCAGGAGCACGAAGTGAATGCCCGACGCCGGGTAGCGACGGGCGACCACCGCCAAGTCGAAGTTGGCCGCCTCGTTCCCCTCTTCCTCCTCCTCTTCCTCCGTCGCGGGCCCGATATCTGAGTCCTCCTCGGCGCTCCCGCCCCGGGGGACTGCGGCCAGGCCTGCCGCCTGCTCACCCTCCTCCTCCCCGAGGCCTTCCACGGGCCCTGCGACTCCGACCACCTCGGCCGCAGGCACCACGTCGCTGCTGTCGGGGCCGGAGTCGCCGCCCTCCTGGTTACCAGCTCCGGCCGCCTCGGCCTGTGCTCCCTCCTGGCTTACCGGGGCCTCCTGGTCCCCTTGGGTCGGGTGTCGGTCCCCTGTGGCAGACATGACACCAGCAGCGCCTCAACTGGGGTGGCGAGCGGGCTGAGGCGACCACGGTGAAGACGGTGACCACTGAGGTGGCTACGGCCGAGGGGAGGCGAGGAGCTGGCCGCTGAGGGAATAAGAGTCTCTCTCTTTATTGAGGGAATAAGAGTCTGTCTCAGACGACACCCTAAGATGGGAAGGGCAGGGAGCGAATCCTAGAAACCTCCCACCAAGGCTGGCCTGAGAGGACTTAGACAAGTTGGGAAAGATTCTGGTTGGCAGGCGAAAGGGGGCGGGACCGGAAGGGTCAACGAGGGGCTCTCAGTGAGCCCTAAGCTCATTTGCTGAAAACTTCAGATTGACATGTTCTATGTCCAATGAATGATCAAGGCCCTTAAGCTCTAGAACTGAGAATCCAGAATCCAGAGCTTTTTCTTTTCTTTTCATAGTGTTGCTCTGTTGCCCAGGCTGGAGTGCAGTGGCAAGATCTCGGCTCACTGCAATCCCCGCCTCCTGGGTTCCAGTGATTCTCCTGCCTCAGCCTCCTGAGTAGCTGGGACTACAGGTACATGCCACCACGCCTGGCTAGGTTTTGTATTTTTAGTAGAGACAGGGTTTCACCATGTTGGCCAGGATGGTCTCGATCTCCTGACCTTGTGATCCACCTGCCTCAGCCTCCCAAAGTGCTTGGATTACAGGCATGAGCCACCGTGCCAGGCCGAGCTCTACCTTTTCTATGAGGCCTTAGTGTCCAAGGCTACCCCTTTAGGTCCACACAAGTCCTGCCCTTTTAATTTTATGATTATTAGCAACACTATAGTAGTCCCATGTGGAGGCACCCTGGAGCATGGGAACTGCAAGGCGGTCACAGAGTTCACTTATTTCCACCTAGTAATGGCTCATGCCAGTAGAGATAGTGTCATAAAAATGTTATATAGTTCATAGCTAAGCAGTAGTGAAAACCTCCCAAGAGACATAAGAATTTCACTGAGTTAACGTAGTTAAAGCTACTTAGAAAAGAATGTGCAGAGTTGAAATGGATGCAGTCATCACTGAGTGTTGAGGTGGTAAATGACAGACACTGGAAGGTGTTTAATGAATCCTGCCAAATTCACTTCAAACCTCCAAATAATGGGGAAAAAAAGAGATACTTTTTTTAAAAGGACCAGGTCATCTCATAAGAGCTAAGCATCAAAAACACCAAAAGTGCCTGGGGGTGGTGGCTCACGCCTGTAATCCAGCACTTTGGGAGGCCGCACTTTGGGAGGCCGAGGCAGGCAGATCACCTGAGGTCAGTAGTTCGAGACCAGCATGACCAATATGGTAAAACCCTGTCTGTACTAAAAATACAAAAAATTAGCTGGACATGGTGGTGCGCGCCTGTAGTCCCAGCTACTCGGAAGGGTGAGGCAGGAAATTTGCTGGAGCCTGGGAGGTGGAGGTTGCAGTGAGCCAAGATGGCCCCACTGCACTCCAGCCTGGGTGACAGAGCGAGACTCAGTTTCAAAAAAAAAAAAAAAAATTAGTAATATATGCAATATTATTTTCACACTTGCATCACATATTAAATCAGACTAGCCGTATTACAAGTGCTCAGTAGTCACAACACACAGCTCTAAAGATGAGCCCCATCTCTCTCTTTTCAAAAATTGTTTTAAACTTGTCATTTTACTTGATTTTTGGCTGCAGTGAAAGAATTTCAAAGAGTCTTACCAAATGGCGGAAAGTAATATCTTTCAATGAAGGTATGGTGGGCCAAAACAAAGACGTAAAGGAGAGATTTGAGTTAAGATTACTTATTGAAAAATCTTCCCACGTTTCAGTTTATTCATTTAAAACAAACTTTTATTTTTTAACTTGAACACTGTCACATACATCCATGAAAGTTAGATGTCACTGGATATCACTTTTGATGTAACGAACTTTGGAATGATATGTGTTACAATTCCCACAGGCATCTGGAGAAAAAGATAAAAACAATGAACAACAGAGTCTTCTTTCTTTTCCTCCCGACTGTGGGATGAAATGAGAGATGATAAACAATAGTACAACATTAACCAGCACCAGTGACTTTCTAAATAGAAGAAAATGGCCAGCTCTGTGTATATCTGCAACATTTGTGTGCTATATCTTAAACAAGTAGAGAAGCCCATCTTTTCCTTTTGTAACTCACGAGCTTGGATATCAGGGTGCTTGTGGAACTGAAGGTTTCAGTCAAATGATCACACCAACCTTGTCTGCCTAGCACTAGAAAAGCTTGTTGCTTTTGTTTTTACATGAGGGGCCATTCTGGGATTTAAATAAATCTCTCAAGCTTCAACAGCCTGTGCTGGTTCCACAAATAATACTCCCTTACCCTCCCAGACCCTTGGTTTCCGTATCTACCATGTGGGAAAGAAGCCGTTACGAAATATACGGCTGTGAAAATGCAAAATAAATAAATAAATAAGAAAGAAAGAAAAATGTTAACCATTTAAATACACTCAAAGATGGATATACCTTAAGACTTCATTACCAATTCAGTGATAAACACACATTCTTTTCATCTGACTGTGACATAAAATACCAAAATATATAGCCAAATAAATATCTAGGTATTAATCATTCATTGTGGTCCTACTTGAAATTCTTAGCTTTTTGCTATTTTTAAGTAGTCACTTTGTAAAAGGCATTGAGTTGTCTCCTAGTTACTACGGGAGCCTGCATTTCTGTGGTCAAGTAACGAAGGCCCAACTAATGCGTGGCCCAGCCAAGTTAGCGGCTGTGTCTGGCAACTGTTTTCTACACAAATATTGGTCCTGGTAGTAGGTCTGATACATCTGCCACTTGTTAGTAGTCTTGCAGCTAGAGGACAAAAGACCTCAACATGAACAAATGAGTAGCCAAGAAGTATATTTCAGAACACACTGCAGTTCATATTACTAGGTACATGAATATTCTCGTAACATTTTAAGTAAGTTAAATTGAATTTTTAAACTAATTTTAAACTTTTTCTTACTTAACTTACTGAGAATTTTTGTTGTTGTTCAATAAAACTGTCTGCAACAGGTAAATGCCAGGAATAGTTGAGTGATTCTCAAAGCTATACACAGATACCTGGATTTTCTTGGCTTCACCTCTGCTGCGTCTAGGTCCCT
The DNA here is from genome assembly GCF_000001405.40 of Homo sapiens. Classification (NCBI taxonomy): domain Eukaryota; kingdom Metazoa; phylum Chordata; class Mammalia; order Primates; family Hominidae; genus Homo; species Homo sapiens. Next base: position 120,969,206 of record NC_000023.11, read on the forward strand.
TTGGAGTTCTTCACCTTGTTTTCCGCATCCTTCTCTTTTTCTTGTTCTTTCTCTTCCTCGCCTGCAGCATCTTGGGCCTCTTCATCCCACTTTTCGGGCTGAGATTTAGTGACTTCTTTAGGGAAGAATAATACACACATGGGGACCAGACATTCACAGAAAATATAGCCCAATTTATAACTAGCAGCGGCATTCAGCTACTCCACCCTCAGGAGAAGCAGGATAGAGTTAAGTAAGAAAGGAATAGCTGGGCACCTTCCTACTGGTTTTCACAACAGTTCCATGGCCCTCACGTTGCTGCTGCTTGATCATTTCCACAGGGACACTGTATTTCCCTTTTTTCCAGTAAATCTCCCACCCAAAGCGGCTGATTATTTCTAGTTCTTTGGAGAAGAAGAGATCTGAATCATCGGGTCCGATCTCATTCTACGGTGTTTTGGTCAGAACTTTGTTGGGAAAATATTTGTTTACCTCAAAAGACAAATTCTATGGTGAAGCTCATTGGTTCCTCACCCCCCTGAATGCTTCATTTTTACCAAGTGCTCCTGCATCACTTCATCATTTGGGGGATCAACTTTCTACGAATCTTTACACTTTGAAAAGCCATGAACTAAAAGGGATGCCTGCCATTTGCCTGTTCTTTTCCTTGGCGCATCCCTTCTGTTTCCTGCGGAGCTCCCTCCTGAACCCCTATCTACCCGGCCATTCATCTGCGGGCTCACAAATGGCACCGATGATCTCAGATCTCCTATCAAATATAGGTTGGTAGAGGGCGACAAGTTTTCTCAAAACCACAGATGTCGTTAGAGAATTGGGCTTCGACTCATTGGGACACATTCTGCCTTAAGTTTCAGGAGGGCCCCGACTCCTGCTTCACCACCCGAGGCCCCGACCCCCCTTCACCACCCGCTTCACCAGCTATGCCCGCACCGCGGCCCTGCCTAGAACCCTGGGACACACGGGTCCCCGCCTCCCCGCTGCTGCCGCTAGCCCGTTCCTTACCCTCTGGGGCCGTGGCCTCCTGTGCGGTCGGTTCTTCTGTGGCCGGTTCCTCTGCGTCTGGTTCCTCTGTGGCCTCCTCTGAGAGCTTCTCCTCTGCGGCCTCCTCCGCGGGCTCCCTGGCCATCTCGGCCAGGTCAGCTGGCACTGCAGGCTCTGGGACCGATGCGGCCTCCTGGATCAGGCCCAGGCCCTCGCCCGCCCGGGCTGCGGCCCCTGCACCCAGCCTCTGGGGCAGCAGCAGCGGGGGGAGGTTGCCCCAGAGGTTGCGCGCAGCAGCGTGTGGCCCCACCATCAGGCGGCTGAGTTGACGGTTCTCTATGAGGATGTGGTCGTTGTGAGAGAGGCGGTGGAGAAGGGAGTGGACCATGTCCAGGAGCACGAAGTGAATGCCCGACGCCGGGTAGCGACGGGCGACCACCGCCAAGTCGAAGTTGGCCGCCTCGTTCCCCTCTTCCTCCTCCTCTTCCTCCGTCGCGGGCCCGATATCTGAGTCCTCCTCGGCGCTCCCGCCCCGGGGGACTGCGGCCAGGCCTGCCGCCTGCTCACCCTCCTCCTCCCCGAGGCCTTCCACGGGCCCTGCGACTCCGACCACCTCGGCCGCAGGCACCACGTCGCTGCTGTCGGGGCCGGAGTCGCCGCCCTCCTGGTTACCAGCTCCGGCCGCCTCGGCCTGTGCTCCCTCCTGGCTTACCGGGGCCTCCTGGTCCCCTTGGGTCGGGTGTCGGTCCCCTGTGGCAGACATGACACCAGCAGCGCCTCAACTGGGGTGGCGAGCGGGCTGAGGCGACCACGGTGAAGACGGTGACCACTGAGGTGGCTACGGCCGAGGGGAGGCGAGGAGCTGGCCGCTGAGGGAATAAGAGTCTCTCTCTTTATTGAGGGAATAAGAGTCTGTCTCAGACGACACCCTAAGATGGGAAGGGCAGGGAGCGAATCCTAGAAACCTCCCACCAAGGCTGGCCTGAGAGGACTTAGACAAGTTGGGAAAGATTCTGGTTGGCAGGCGAAAGGGGGCGGGACCGGAAGGGTCAACGAGGGGCTCTCAGTGAGCCCTAAGCTCATTTGCTGAAAACTTCAGATTGACATGTTCTATGTCCAATGAATGATCAAGGCCCTTAAGCTCTAGAACTGAGAATCCAGAATCCAGAGCTTTTTCTTTTCTTTTCATAGTGTTGCTCTGTTGCCCAGGCTGGAGTGCAGTGGCAAGATCTCGGCTCACTGCAATCCCCGCCTCCTGGGTTCCAGTGATTCTCCTGCCTCAGCCTCCTGAGTAGCTGGGACTACAGGTACATGCCACCACGCCTGGCTAGGTTTTGTATTTTTAGTAGAGACAGGGTTTCACCATGTTGGCCAGGATGGTCTCGATCTCCTGACCTTGTGATCCACCTGCCTCAGCCTCCCAAAGTGCTTGGATTACAGGCATGAGCCACCGTGCCAGGCCGAGCTCTACCTTTTCTATGAGGCCTTAGTGTCCAAGGCTACCCCTTTAGGTCCACACAAGTCCTGCCCTTTTAATTTTATGATTATTAGCAACACTATAGTAGTCCCATGTGGAGGCACCCTGGAGCATGGGAACTGCAAGGCGGTCACAGAGTTCACTTATTTCCACCTAGTAATGGCTCATGCCAGTAGAGATAGTGTCATAAAAATGTTATATAGTTCATAGCTAAGCAGTAGTGAAAACCTCCCAAGAGACATAAGAATTTCACTGAGTTAACGTAGTTAAAGCTACTTAGAAAAGAATGTGCAGAGTTGAAATGGATGCAGTCATCACTGAGTGTTGAGGTGGTAAATGACAGACACTGGAAGGTGTTTAATGAATCCTGCCAAATTCACTTCAAACCTCCAAATAATGGGGAAAAAAAGAGATACTTTTTTTAAAAGGACCAGGTCATCTCATAAGAGCTAAGCATCAAAAACACCAAAAGTGCCTGGGGGTGGTGGCTCACGCCTGTAATCCAGCACTTTGGGAGGCCGCACTTTGGGAGGCCGAGGCAGGCAGATCACCTGAGGTCAGTAGTTCGAGACCAGCATGACCAAAATGGTAAAACCCTGTCTGTACTAAAAATACAAAAAATTAGCTGGACATGGTGGTGCGCGCCTGTAGTCCCAGCTACTCGGAAGGGTGAGGCAGGAAATTTGCTGGAGCCTGGGAGGTGGAGGTTGCAGTGAGCCAAGATGGCCCCACTGCACTCCAGCCTGGGTGACAGAGCGAGACTCAGTTTCAAAAAAAAAAAAAAAAATTAGTAATATATGCAATATTATTTTCACACTTGCATCACATATTAAATCAGACTAGCCGTATTACAAGTGCTCAGTAGTCACAACACACAGCTCTAAAGATGAGCCCCATCTCTCTCTTTTCAAAAATTGTTTTAAACTTGTCATTTTACTTGATTTTTGGCTGCAGTGAAAGAATTTCAAAGAGTCTTACCAAATGGCGGAAAGTAATATCTTTCAATGAAGGTATGGTGGGCCAAAACAAAGACGTAAAGGAGAGATTTGAGTTAAGATTACTTATTGAAAAATCTTCCCACGTTTCAGTTTATTCATTTAAAACAAACTTTTATTTTTTAACTTGAACACTGTCACATACATCCATGAAAGTTAGATGTCACTGGATATCACTTTTGATGTAACGAACTTTGGAATGATATGTGTTACAATTCCCACAGGCATCTGGAGAAAAAGATAAAAACAATGAACAACAGAGTCTTCTTTCTTTTCCTCCCGACTGTGGGATGAAATGAGAGATGATAAACAATAGTACAACATTAACCAGCACCAGTGACTTTCTAAATAGAAGAAAATGGCCAGCTCTGTGTATATCTGCAACATTTGTGTGCTATATCTTAAACAAGTAGAGAAGCCCATCTTTTCCTTTTGTAACTCACGAGCTTGGATATCAGGGTGCTTGTGGAACTGAAGGTTTCAGTCAAATGATCACACCAACCTTGTCTGCCTAGCACTAGAAAAGCTTGTTGCTTTTGTTTTTACATGAGGGGCCATTCTGGGATTTAAATAAATCTCTCAAGCTTCAACAGCCTGTGCTGGTTCCACAAATAATACTCCCTTACCCTCCCAGACCCTTGGTTTCCGTATCTACCATGTGGGAAAGAAGCCGTTACGAAATATACGGCTGTGAAAATGCAAAATAAATAAATAAATAAGAAAGAAAGAAAAATGTTAACCATTTAAATACACTCAAAGATGGATATACCTTAAGACTTCATTACCAATTCAGTGATAAACACACATTCTTTTCATCTGACTGTGACATAAAATACCAAAATATATAGCCAAATAAATATCTAGGTATTAATCATTCATTGTGGTCCTACTTGAAATTCTTAGCTTTTTGCTATTTTTAAGTAGTCACTTTGTAAAAGGCATTGAGTTGTCTCCTAGTTACTACGGGAGCCTGCATTTCTGTGGTCAAGTAACGAAGGCCCAACTAATGCGTGGCCCAGCCAAGTTAGCGGCTGTGTCTGGCAACTGTTTTCTACACAAATATTGGTCCTGGTAGTAGGTCTGATACATCTGCCACTTGTTAGTAGTCTTGCAGCTAGAGGACAAAAGACCTCAACATGAACAAATGAGTAGCCAAGAAGTATATTTCAGAACACACTGCAGTTCATATTACTAGGTACATGAATATTCTCGTAACATTTTAAGTAAGTTAAATTGAATTTTTAAACTAATTTTAAACTTTTTCTTACTTAACTTACTGAGAATTTTTGTTGTTGTTCAATAAAACTGTCTGCAACAGGTAAATGCCAGGAATAGTTGAGTGATTCTCAAAGCTATACACAGATACCTGGATTTTCTTGGCTTCACCTCTGCTGCGTCTAGGTCCCTTTGGAGTTCTTCACCTTGTTTTCCGCATCCTTCTCTTTTTCTTGTTCTTTCTCTTCCTCGCCTGCAGCATCTTGGGCCTCTTCATCCCACTTTTCGGGCTGAGATTTAGTGACTTCTTTAGGGAAGAATAATACACACATGGGGACCAGACATTCACAGAAAATATAGCCCAATTTATAACTAGCAGCGGCATTCAGCTACTCCACCCTCAGGAGAAGCAGGATAGAGTTAAGTAAGAAAGGAATAGCTGGGCACCTTCCTACTGGTTTTCACAACAGTTCCATGGCCCTCACGTTGCTGCTGCTTGATCATTTCCACAGGGACACTGTATTTCCCTTTTTTCCAGTAAATCTCCCACCCAAAGCGGCTGATTATTTCTAGTTCTTTGGAGAAGAAGAGATCTGAATCATCGGGTCCGATCTCATTCTACGGTGTTTTGGTCAGAACTTTGTTGGGAAAATATTTGTTTACCTCAAAAGACAAATTCTATGGTGAAGCTCATTGGTTCCTCACCCCCCTGAATGCTTCATTTTTACCAAGTGCTCCTGCATCACTTCATCATTTGGGGGATCAACTTTCTACGAATCTTTACACTTTGAAAAGCCATGAACTAAAAGGGATGCCTGCCATTTGCCTGTTCTTTTCCTTGGCGCATCCCTTCTGTTTCCTGCGGAGCTCCCTCCTGAACCCCTATCTACCCGGCCATTCATCTGCGGGCTCACAAATGGCACCGATGATCTCAGATCTCCTATCAAATATAGGTTGGTAGAGGGCGACAAGTTTTCTCAAAACCACAGATGTCGTTAGAGAATTGGGCTTCGACTCATTGGGACACATTCTGCCTTAAGTTTCAGGAGGGCCCCGACTCCTGCTTCACCACCCGAGGCCCCGACCCCCCTTCACCACCCGCTTCACCAGCTATGCCCGCACCGCGGCCCTGCCTAGAACCCTGGGACACACGGGTCCCCGCCTCCCCGCTGCTGCCGCTAGCCCGTTCCTTACCCTCTGGGGCCGTGGCCTCCTGTGCGGTCGGTTCTTCTGTGGCCGGTTCCTCTGCGTCTGGTTCCTCTGTGGCCTCCTCTGAGAGCTTCTCCTCTGCGGCCTCCTCCGCGGGCTCCCTGGCCATCTCGGCCAGGTCAGCTGGCACTGCAGGCTCTGGGACCGATGCGGCCTCCTGGATCAGGCCCAGGCCCTCGCCCGCCCGGGCTGCGGCCCCTGCACCCAGCCTCTGGGGCAGCAGCAGCGGGGGGAGGTTGCCCCAGAGGTTGCGCGCAGCAGCGTGTGGCCCCACCATCAGGCGGCTGAGTTGACGGTTCTCTATGAGGATGTGGTCGTTGTGAGAGAGGCGGTGGAGAAGGGAGTGGACCATGTCCAGGAGCACGAAGTGAATGCCCGACGCCGGGTAGCGACGGGCGACCACCGCCAAGTCGAAGTTGGCCGCCTCGTTCCCCTCTTCCTCCTCCTCTTCCTCCGTCGCGGGCCCGATATCTGAGTCCTCCTCGGCGCTCCCGCCCCGGGGGACTGCGGCCAGGCCTGCCGCCTGCTCACCCTCCTCCTCCCCGAGGCCTTCCACGGGCCCTGCGACTCCGACCACCTCGGCCGCAGGCACCACGTCGCTGCTGTCGGGGCCGGAGTCGCCGCCCTCCTGGTTACCAGCTCCGGCCGCCTCGGCCTGTGCTCCCTCCTGGCTTACCGGGGCCTCCTGGTCCCCTTGGGTCGGGTGTCGGTCCCCTGTGGCAGACATGACACCAGCAGCGCCTCAACTGGGGTGGCGAGCGGGCTGAGGCGACCACGGTGAAGACGGTGACCACTGAGGTGGCTACGGCCGAGGGGAGGCGAGGAGCTGGCCGCTGAGGGAATAAGAGTCTCTCTCTTTATTGAGGGAATAAGAGTCTGTCTCAGACGACACCCTAAGATGGGAAGGGCAGGGAGCGAATCCTAGAAACCTCCCACCAAGGCTGGCCTGAGAGGACTTAGACAAGTTGGGAAAGATTCTGGTTGGCAGGCGAAAGGGGGCGGGACCGGAAGGGTCAACGAGGGGCTCTCAGTGAGCCCTAAGCTCATTTGCTGAAAACTTCAGATTGACATGTTCTATGTCCAATGAATGATCAAGGCCCTTAAGCTCTAGAACTGAGAATCCAGAATCCAGAGCTTTTTCTTTTCTTTTCATAGTGTTGCTCTGTTGCCCAGGCTGGAGTGCAGTGGCAAGATCTCGGCTCACTGCAATCCCCGCCTCCTGGGTTCCAGTGATTCTCCTGCCTCAGCCTCCTGAGTAGCTGGGACTACAGGTACATGCCACCACGCCTGGCTAGGTTTTGTATTTTTAGTAGAGACAGGGTTTCACCATGTTGGCCAGGATGGTCTCGATCTCCTGACCTTGTGATCCACCTGCCTCAGCCTCCCAAAGTGCTTGGATTACAGGCATGAGCCACCGTGCCAGGCCGAGCTCTACCTTTTCTATGAGGCCTTAGTGTCCAAGGCTACCCCTTTAGGTCCACACAAGTCCTGCCCTTTTAATTTTATGATTATTAGCAACACTATAGTAGTCCCATGTGGAGGCACCCTGGAGCATGGGAACTGCAAGGCGGTCACAGAGTTCACTTATTTCCACCTAGTAATGGCTCATGCCAGTAGAGATAGTGTCATAAAAATGTTATATAGTTCATAGCTAAGCAGTAGTGAAAACCTCCCAAGAGACATAAGAATTTCACTGAGTTAACGTAGTTAAAGCTACTTAGAAAAGAATGTGCAGAGTTGAAATGGATGCAGTCATCACTGAGTGTTGAGGTGGTAAATGACAGACACTGGAAGGTGTTTAATGAATCCTGCCAAATTCACTTCAAACCTCCAAATAATGGGGAAAAAAAGAGATACTTTTTTTAAAAGGACCAGGTCATCTCATAAGAGCTAAGCATCAAAAACACCAAAAGTGCCTGGGGGTGGTGGCTCACGCCTGTAATCCAGCACTTTGGGAGGCCGCACTTTGGGAGGCCGAGGCAGGCAGATCACCTGAGGTCAGTAGTTCGAGACCAGCATGACCAAAATGGTAAAACCCTGTCTGTACTAAAAATACAAAAAATTAGCTGGACATGGTGGTGCGCGCCTGTAGTCCCAGCTACTCGGAAGGGTGAGGCAGGAAATTTGCTGGAGCCTGGGAGGTGGAGGTTGCAGTGAGCCAAGATGGCCCCACTGCACTCCAGCCTGGGTGACAGAGCGAGACTCAGTTTCAAAAAAAAAAAAAAAAATTAGTAATATATGCAATATTATTTTCACACTTGCATCACATATTAAATCAGACTAGCCGTATTACAAGTGCTCAGTAGTCACAACACACAGCTCTAAAGATGAGCCCCATCTCTCTCTTTTCAAAAATTGTTTTAAACTTGTCATTTTACTTGATTTTTGGCTGCAGTGAAAGAATTTCAAAGAGTCTTACCAAATGGCGGAAAGTAATATCTTTCAATGAAGGTATGGTGGGCCAAAACAAAGACGTAAAGGAGAGATTTGAGTTAAGATTACTTATTGAAAAATCTTCCCACGTTTCAGTTTATTCATTTAAAACAAACTTTTATTTTTTAACTTGAACACTGTCACATACATCCATGAAAGTTAGATGTCACTGGATATCACTTTTGATGTAACGAACTTTGGAATGATATGTGTTACAATTCCCACAGGCATCTGGAGAAAAAGATAAAAACAATGAACAACAGAGTCTTCTTTCTTTTCCTCCCGACTGTGGGATGAAATGAGAGATGATAAACAATAGTACAACATTAACCAGCACCAGTGACTTTCTAAATAGAAGAAAATGGCCAGCTCTGTGTATATCTGCAACATTTGTGTGCTATATCTTAAACAAGTAGAGAAGCCCATCTTTTCCTTTTGTAACTCACGAGCTTGGATATCAGGGTGCTTGTGGAACTGAAGGTTTCAGTCAAATGATCACACCAACCTTGTCTGCCTAGCACTAGAAAAGCTTGTTGCTTTTGTTTTTACATGAGGGGCCATTCTGGGATTTAAATAAATCTCTCAAGCTTCAACAGCCTGTGCTGGTTCCACAAATAATACTCCCTTACCCTCCCAGACCCTTGGTTTCCGTATCTACCATGTGGGAAAGAAGCCGTTACGAAATATACGGCTGTGAAAATGCAAAATAAATAAATAAATAAGAAAGAAAGAAAAATGTTAACCATTTAAATACACTCAAAGATGGATATACCTTAAGACTTCATTACCAATTCAGTGATAAACACACATTCTTTTCATCTGACTGTGACATAAAATACCAAAATATATAGCCAAATAAATATCTAGGTATTAATCATTCATTGTGGTCCTACTTGAAATTCTTAGCTTTTTGCTATTTTTAAGTAGTCACTTTGTAAAAGGCATTGAGTTGTCTCCTAGTTACTACGGGAGCCTGCATTTCTGTGGTCAAGTAACGAAGGCCCAACTAATGCGTGGCCCAGCCAAGTTAGCGGCTGTGTCTGGCAACTGTTTTCTACACAAATATTGGTCCTGGTAGTAGGTCTGATACATCTGCCACTTGTTAGTAGTCTTGCAGCTAGAGGACAAAAGACCTCAACATGAACAAATGAGTAGCCAAGAAGTATATTTCAGAACACACTGCAGTTCATATTACTAGGTACATGAATATTCTCGTAACATTTTAAGTAAGTTAAATTGAATTTTTAAACTAATTTTAAACTTTTTCTTACTTAACTTACTGAGAATTTTTGTTGTTGTTCAATAAAACTGTCTGCAACAGGTAAATGCCAGGAATAGTTGAGTGATTCTCAAAGCTATACACAGATACCTGGATTTTCTTGGCTTCACCTCTGCTGCGTCTAGGTCCCTTTGGAGTTCTTCACCTTGTTTTCCGCATCCTTCTCTTTTTCTTGTTCTTTCTCTTCCTCGCCTGCAGCATCTTGGGCCTCTTCATCCCACTTTTCGGGCTGAGATTTAGTGACTTCTTTAGGGAAGAATAATACACACATGGGGACCAGACATTCACAGAAAATATAGCCCAATTTATAACTAGCAGCGGCATTCAGCTACTCCACCCTCAGGAGAAGCAGGATAGAGTTAAGTAAGAAAGGAATAGCTGGGCACCTTCCTACTGGTTTTCACAACAGTTCCATGGCCCTCACGTTGCTGCTGCTTGATCATTTCCACAGGGACACTGTATTTCCCTTTTTTCCAGTAAATCTCCCACCCAAAGCGGCTGATTATTTCTAGTTCTTTGGAGAAGAAGAGATCTGAATCATCGGGTCCGATCTCATTCTACGGTGTTTTGGTCAGAACTTTGTTGGGAAAATATTTGTTTACCTCAAAAGACAAATTCTATGGTGAAGCTCATTGGTTCCTCACCCCCCTGAATGCTTCATTTTTACCAAGTGCTCCTGCATCACTTCATCATTTGGGGGATCAACTTTCTACGAATCTTTACACTTTGAAAAGCCATGAACTAAAAGGGATGCCTGCCATTTGCCTGTTCTTTTCCTTGGCGCATCCCTTCTGTTTCCTGCGGAGCTCCCTCCTGAACCCCTATCTACCCGGCCATTCATCTGCGGGCTCACAAATGGCACCGATGATCTCAGATCTCCTATCAAATATAGGTTGGTAGAGGGCGACAAGTTTTCTCAAAACCACAGATGTCGTTAGAGAATTGGGCTTCGACTCATTGGGACACATTCTGCCTTAAGTTTCAGGAGGGCCCCGACTCCTGCTTCACCACCCGAGGCCCCGACCCCCCTTCACCACCCGCTTCACCAGCTATGCCCGCACCGCGGCCCTGCCTAGAACCCTGGGACACACGGGTCCCCGCCTCCCCGCTGCTGCCGCTAGCCCGTTCCTTACCCTCTGGGGCCGTGGCCTCCTGTGCGGTCGGTTCTTCTGTGGCCGGTTCCTCTGCGTCTGGTTCCTCTGTGGCCTCCTCTGAGAGCTTCTCCTCTGCGGCCTCCTCCGCGGGCTCCCTGGCCATCTCGGCCAGGTCAGCTGGCACTGCAGGCTCTGGGACCGATGCGGCCTCCTGGATCAGGCCCAGGCCCTCGCCCGCCCGGGCTGCGGCCCCTGCACCCAGCCTCTGGGGCAGCAGCAGCGGGGGGAGGTTGCCCCAGAGGTTGCGCGCAGCAGCGTGTGGCCCCACCATCAGGCGGCTGAGTTGACGGTTCTCTATGAGGATGTGGTCGTTGTGAGAGAGGCGGTGGAGAAGGGAGTGGACCATGTCCAGGAGCACGAAGTGAATGCCCGACGCCGGGTAGCGACGGGCGACCACCGCCAAGTCGAAGTTGGCCGCCTCGTTCCCCTCTTCCTCCTCCTCTTCCTCCGTCGCGGGCCCGATATCTGAGTCCTCCTCGGCGCTCCCGCCCCGGGGGACTGCGGCCAGGCCTGCCGCCTGCTCACCCTCCTCCTCCCCGAGGCCTTCCACGGGCCCTGCGACTCCGACCACCTCGGCCGCAGGCACCACGTCGCTGCTGTCGGGGCCGGAGTCGCCGCCCTCCTGGTTACCAGCTCCGGCCGCCTCGGCCTGTGCTCCCTCCTGGCTTACCGGGGCCTCCTGGTCCCCTTGGGTCGGGTGTCGGTCCCCTGTGGCAGACATGACACCAGCAGCGCCTCAACTGGGGTGGCGAGCGGGCTGAGGCGACCACGGTGAAGACGGTGACCACTGAGGTGGCTACGGCCGAGGGGAGGCGAGGAGCTGGCCGCTGAGGGAATAAGAGTCTCTCTCTTTATTGAGGGAATAAGAGTCTGTCTCAGACGACACCCTAAGATGGGAAGGGCAGGGAGCGAATCCTAGAAACCTCCCACCAAGGCTGGCCTGAGAGGACTTAGACAAGTTGGGAAAGATTCTGGTTGGCAGGCGAAAGGGGGCGGGACCGGAAGGGTCAACGAGGGGCTCTCAGTGAGCCCTAAGCTCATTTGCTGAAAACTTCAGATTGACATGTTCTATGTCCAATGAATGATCAAGGCCCTTAAGCTCTAGAACTGAGAATCCAGAATCCAGAGCTTTTTCTTTTCTTTTCATAGTGTTGCTCTGTTGCCCAGGCTGGAGTGCAGTGGCAAGATCTCGGCTCACTGCAATCCCCGCCTCCTGGGTTCCAGTGATTCTCCTGCCTCAGCCTCCTGAGTAGCTGGGACTACAGGTACATGCCACCACGCCTGGCTAGGTTTTGTATTTTTAGTAGAGACAGGGTTTCACCATGTTGGCCAGGATGGTCTCGATCTCCTGACCTTGTGATCCACCTGCCTCAGCCTCCCAAAGTGCTTGGATTACAGGCATGAGCCACCGTGCCAGGCCGAGCTCTACCTTTTCTATGAGGCCTTAGTGTCCAAGGCTACCCCTTTAGGTCCACACAAGTCCTGCCCTTTTAATTTTATGATTATTAGCAACACTATAGTAGTCCCATGTGGAGGCACCCTGGAGCATGGGAACTGCAAGGCGGTCACAGAGTTCACTTATTTCCACCTAGTAATGGCTCATGCCAGTAGAGATAGTGTCATAAAAATGTTATATAGTTCATAGCTAAGCAGTAGTGAAAACCTCCCAAGAGACATAAGAATTTCACTGAGTTAACGTAGTTAAAGCTACTTAGAAAAGAATGTGCAGAGTTGAAATGGATGCAGTCATCACTGAGTGTTGAGGTGGTAAATGACAGACACTGGAAGGTGTTTAATGAATCCTGCCAAATTCACTTCAAACCTCCAAATAATGGGGAAAAAAAGAGATACTTTTTTTAAAAGGACCAGGTCATCTCATAAGAGCTAAGCATCAAAAACACCAAAAGTGCCTGGGGGTGGTGGCTCACGCCTGTAATCCAGCACTTTGGGAGGCCGCACTTTGGGAGGCCGAGGCAGGCAGATCACCTGAGGTCAGTAGTTCGAGACCAGCATGACCAATATGGTAAAACCCTGTCTGTACTAAAAATACAAAAAATTAGCTGGACATGGTGGTGCGCGCCTGTAGTCCCAGCTACTCGGAAGGGTGAGGCAGGAAATTTGCTGGAGCCTGGGAGGTGGAGGTTGCAGTGAGCCAAGATGGCCCCACTGCACTCCAGCCTGGGTGACAGAGCGAGACTCAGTTTCAAAAAAAAAAAAAAAAATTAGTAATATATGCAATATTATTTTCACACTTGCATCACATATTAAATCAGACTAGCCGTATTACAAGTGCTCAGTAGTCACAACACACAGCTCTAAAGATGAGCCCCATCTCTCTCTTTTCAAAAATTGTTTTAAACTTGTCATTTTACTTGATTTTTGGCTGCAGTGAAAGAATTTCAAAGAGTCTTACCAAATGGCGGAAAGTAATATCTTTCAATGAAGGTATGGTGGGCCAAAACAAAGACGTAAAGGAGAGATTTGAGTTAAGATTACTTATTGAAAAATCTTCCCACGTTTCAGTTTATTCATTTAAAACAAACTTTTATTTTTTAACTTGAACACTGTCACATACATCCATGAAAGTTAGATGTCACTGGATATCACTTTTGATGTAACGAACTTTGGAATGATATGTGTTACAATTCCCACAGGCATCTGGAGAAAAAGATAAAAACAATGAACAACAGAGTCTTCTTTCTTTTCCTCCCGACTGTGGGATGAAATGAGAGATGATAAACAATAGTACAACATTAACCAGCACCAGTGACTTTCTAAATAGAAGAAAATGGCCAGCTCTGTGTATATCTGCAACATTTGTGTGCTATATCTTAAACAAGTAGAGAAGCCCATCTTTTCCTTTTGTAACTCACGAGCTTGGATATCAGGGTGCTTGTGGAACTGAAGGTTTCAGTCAAATGATCACACCAACCTTGTCTGCCTAGCACTAGAAAAGCTTGTTGCTTTTGTTTTTACATGAGGGGCCATTCTGGGATTTAAATAAATCTCTCAAGCTTCAACAGCCTGTGCTGGTTCCACAAATAATACTCCCTTACCCTCCCAGACCCTTGGTTTCCGTATCTACCATGTGGGAAAGAAGCCGTTACGAAATATACGGCTGTGAAAATGCAAAATAAATAAATAAATAAGAAAGAAAGAAAAATGTTAACCATTTAAATACACTCAAAGATGGATATACCTTAAGACTTCATTACCAATTCAGTGATAAACACACATTCTTTTCATCTGACTGTGACATAAAATACCAAAATATATAGCCAAATAAATATCTAGGTATTAATCATTCATTGTGGTCCTACTTGAAATTCTTAGCTTTTTGCTATTTTTAAGTAGTCACTTTGTAAAAGGCATTGAGTTGTCTCCTAGTTACTACGGGAGCCTGCATTTCTGTGGTCAAGTAACGAAGGCCCAACTAATGCGTGGCCCAGCCAAGTTAGCGGCTGTGTCTGGCAACTGTTTTCTACACAAATATTGGTCCTGGTAGTAGGTCTGATACATCTGCCACTTGTTAGTAGTCTTGCAGCTAGAGGACAAAAGACCTCAACATGAACAAATGAGTAGCCAAGAAGTATATTTCAGAACACACTGCAGTTCATATTACTAGGTACATGAATATTCTCGTAACATTTTAAGTAAGTTATATTGAATTTTTAAACTAATTTTAAACTTTTTCTTACTTAACTTACTGAGAATTTTTGTTGTTGTTCAATAAAACTGTCTGCAACAGGTAAATGCCAGGAATAGTTGAGTGATTCTCAAAGCTATACACAGATACCTGGATTTTCTTGGCTTCACCTCTGCTGCGTCTAGGTCCCTTTGGAGTTCTTCACCTTGTTTTCTGCATCCTTCTCTTTTTCTTGTTCTTTCTCTTCCTCGCCTGCAGCATCTTGGGCCTCTTCATCCCACTTTTCGGGCTGAGATTTAGTGACTTCTTTAGGGAAGAATAATACACACATGGGGACCAGACATTCACAGAAAATATAGCCCAATTTATAACTAGCAGCGGCATTCAGCTACTCCACCCTCAGGAGAAGCAGGATAGAGTTAAGTAAGAAAGGAATAGCTGGGCACCTTCCTACTGGTTTTCACAACAGTTCCATGGCCCTCACGTTGCTGCTGCTTGATCATTTCCACAGGGACACTGTATTTCCCTTTTTTCCAGTAAATCTCCCACCCAAAGCGGCTGATTATTTCTAGTTCTTTGGAGAAGAAGAGATCTGAATCATCGGGTCCGATCTCATTCTACGGTGTTTTGGTCAGAACTTTGTTGGGAAAATATTTGTTTACCTCAAAAGACAAATTCTATGGTGAAGCTCATTGGTTCCTCACCCCCCTGAATGCTTCATTTTTACCAAGTGCTCCTGCATCACTTCATCATTTGGGGGATCAACTTTCTACGAATCTTTACACTTTGAAAAGCCATGAACTAAAAGGGATGCCTGCCATTTGCCTGTTCTTTTCCTTGGCGCATCCCTTCTGTTTCCTGCGGAGCTCCCTCCTGAACCCCTATCTACCCGGCCATTCATCTGCGGGCTCACAAATGGCACCGATGATCTCAGATCTCCTATCAAATATAGGTTGGTAGAGGGCGACAAGTTTTCTCAAAACCACAGATGTCGTTAGAGAATTGGGCTTCGACTCATTGGGACACATTCTGCCTTAAGTTTCAGGAGGGCCCCGACTCCTGCTTCACCACCCGAGGCCCCGACCCCCCTTCACCACCCGCTTCACCAGCTATGCCCGCACCGCGGCCCTGCCTAGAACCCTGGGACACACGGGTCCCCGCCTCCCCGCTGCTGCCGCTAGCCCGTTCCTTACCCTCTGGGGCCGTGGCCTCCTGTGCGGTCGGTTCTTCTGTGGCCGGTTCCTCTGCGTCTGGTTCCTCTGTGGCCTCCTCTGAGAGCTTCTCCTCTGCGGCCTCCTCCGCGGGCTCCCTGGCCATCTCGGCCAGGTCAGCTGGCACTGCAGGCTCTGGGACCGATGCGGCCTCCTGGATCAGGCCCAGGCCCTCGCCCGCCCGGGCTGCGGCCCCTGCACCCAGCCTCTGGGGCAGCAGCAGCGGGGGGAGGTTGCCCCAGAGGTTGCGCGCAGCAGCGTGTGGCCCCACCATCAGGCGGCTGAGTTGACGGTTCTCTATGAGGATGTGGTCGTTGTGAGAGAGGCGGTGGAGAAGGGAGTGGACCATGTCCAGGAGCACGAAGTGAATGCCCGACGCCGGGTAGCGACGGGCGACCACCGCCAAGTCGAAGTTGGCCGCCTCGTTCCCCTCTTCCTCCTCCTCTTCCTCCGTCGCGGGCCCGATATCTGAGTCCTCCTCGGCGCTCCCGCCCCGGGGGACTGCGGCCAGGCCTGCCGCCTGCTCACCCTCCTCCTCCCCGAGGCCTTCCACGGGCCCTGCGACTCCGACCACCTCGGCCGCAGGCACCACGTCGCTGCTGTCGGGGCCGGAGTCGCCGCCCTCCTGGTTACCAGCTCCGGCCGCCTCGGCCTGTGCTCCCTCCTGGCTTACCGGGGCCTCCTGGTCCCCTTGGGTCGGGTGTCGGTCCCCTGTGGCAGACATGACACCAGCAGCGCCTCAACTGGGGTGGCGAGCGGGCTGAGGCGACCACGGTGAAGACGGTGACCACTGAGGTGGCTACGGCCGAGGGGAGGCGAGGAGCTGGCCGCTGAGGGAATAAGAGTCTCTCTCTTTATTGAGGGAATAAGAGTCTGTCTCAGACGACACCCTAAGATGGGAAGGGCAGGGAGCGAATCCTAGAAACCTCCCACCAAGGCTGGCCTGAGAGGACTTAGACAAGTTGGGAAAGATTCTGGTTGGCAGGCGAAAGGGGGCGGGACCGGAAGGGTCAACGAGGGGCTCTCAGTGAGCCCTAAGCTCATTTGCTGAAAACTTCAGATTGACATGTTCTATGTCCAATGAATGATCAAGGCCCTTAAGCTCTAGAACTGAGAATCCAGAATCCAGAGCTTTTTCTTTTCTTTTCATAGTGTTGCTCTGTTGCCCAGGCTGGAGTGCAGTGGCAAGATCTCGGCTCACTGCAATCCCCGCCTCCTGGGTTCCAGTGATTCTCCTGCCTCAGCCTCCTGAGTAGCTGGGACTACAGGTACATGCCACCACGCCTGGCTAGGTTTTGTATTTTTAGTAGAGACAGGGTTTCACCATGTTGGCCAGGATGGTCTCGATCTCCTGACCTTGTGATCCACCTGCCTCAGCCTCCCAAAGTGCTTGGATTACAGGCATGAGCCACCGTGCCAGGCCGAGCTCTACCTTTTCTATGAGGCCTTAGTGTCCAAGGCTACCCCTTTAGGTCCACACAAGTCCTGCCCTTTTAATTTTATGATTATTAGCAACACTATAGTAGTCCCATGTGGAGGCACCCTGGAGCATGGGAACTGCAAGGCGGTCACAGAGTTCACTTATTTCCACCTAGTAATGGCTCATGCCAGTAGAGATAGTGTCATAAAAATGTTATATAGTTCATAGCTAAGCAGTAGTGAAAACCTCCCAAGAGACATAAGAATTTCACTGAGTTAACGTAGTTAAAGCTACTTAGAAAAGAATGTGCAGAGTTGAAATGGATGCAGTCATCACTGAGTGTTGAGGTGGTAAATGACAGACACTGGAAGGTGTTTAATGAATCCTGCCAAATTCACTTCAAACCTCCAAATAATGGGGAAAAAAAGAGATACTTTTTTTAAAAGGACCAGGTCATCTCATAAGAGCTAAGCATCAAAAACACCAAAAGTGCCTGGGGGTGGTGGCTCACGCCTGTAATCCAGCACTTTGGGAGGCCGCACTTTGGGAGGCCGAGGCAGGCAGATCACCTGAGGTCAGTAGTTCGAGACCAGCATGACCAATATGGTAAAACCCTGTCTGTACTAAAAATACAAAAAATTAGCTGGGTGTGGGGGTGTGCGCCTATATTCCCAGCTACTCAAGACAGTGAGGCAGGAAATTTGCTGGAACCTGGGAGGTGGAGGTTGCAGTGAGCTGAGATGTCCCCACTGCACTCCAGCCTGGGTGACAGAGCGAGACTCAGTCTCAAAATAATTAAAAAAAAAAAACTAAACAAAACACCAAAAGGACAGGCTTCCTAGGATATTTCAAGCAACAGCCCAAGGCTTTTTGTTGATTTCAAAACCCGCTTAATCAAGATTCAAGTAGTAAGTAATTCTGAACATTTTGGAGAAATCAACTGTTATTTTGTGTTCATTCTATGAAATTTTTTGTCACACTACAACTGCTCTCTGAAAAAAATTGCAGGTAGCATATTTCATGTATTAAATTGAGCAATATTAGTACCATTAAATCTCATCAAGTTGAGCAGGTCATTGTTGTTCCTTTCATCAACTCAGTCAAATTTCAGTGCTTCTATTTTTCTCTAGTTTCATCTAAAAAAGGGGCATGGTGCTGTCACAAGTCATTGGTTTAAATCTGGAAGACAATGTGGAAAATTTCTAATCCAAAATACTCACTATTAAGACAGCAAAACCCAGGCAGAACCCCAGTCTGAGGTCTGGAGTTGCTTTAATATTTGCTTCCTGATGCGATGTTTGGAAAGTTATTTATTTCTATGCCTCAGTTTTATCATTTGTGAAGTTAAGATAATGATTCTCTAGCTACCTCCCAAGGTTGATCTGAGAATCAAGTAAGATAATGGGATGAAAACCCTTTTTGTACTGTAAAATACTATACATGTATATGATTACATCAAAAATAATTTTTCCCTGTTCTTAAATTATTGGAGAGAAGCCGTCAGGTATATTTGGCCCTCTGTATCTATGGATTCTGCATGTGTGGATTCAACTAACTGGATCAAAAATATTCAGAATTTGCATATGCACTGAGCATGTACAGACTTTCTTTGTGTCATTATTCCCTAAACAATATAGTATAACAACTATTTAGATAGCATTTACATTGTATTAGGTATTACAAATAATCTAGAGATGATTTAAAGTATACATGATAATGTGCATAGGTTATATGCAAATATTATGCCATTTTATATCTGGAACTTGGGCATCTGCAGATTTTGGTATCTGCAGGAGGTCTTGGAACAAATCCCCCATGGATAACTAGGAATGACTGTAGTCTCTCAGGCCTTCAGAGAACCCTCTAATTTGGATTTGGAGGAATCCGTTTTTTCCTAGCTACATGGAGTTATATACTCCCCTGGCTAATACCCTGACTTCAGTCAAGATTTGAGTGAGATAGGTAGATGGAATGAGATGGAATTATATTTACAATATTAATTATTTGTTGAAAATATTTTCCCAGTTTGATTTTGCCTTCTAAGTTGGTTAATGTTTCCAAGTATTTAGTTTTTCATTTGTATGTTCCAAAAGTCTAACAATAATTTTTTAATGGTTTTGACTTCACTGTAAATTTGTAAATCTTCTTGTACAGAGAATTTTTATTTTATATTTTCTTTTTGGGGATCTTCTTAATGTTTACCTTTAGCTCCTTAATCCATAGTGTGAGATTAAAGTCTCAGATGATTTTTATTTTGAACAGCTCACCTATACCACCACTTATTGAGTAACTCTTCCCCTGTGTACTGATGTGTGGCCATGTACGCTTTAGCACTTTCTGTAAAGGTAGAAAACATGCAAGAGAAAACTCATTTTCCCCAAATTTCAGAGCTTGGTACGGCCTTTAGCTATTGAGTCCAAGCTTATTCTTTTTTAAGTGGAAAAATTAAGGCCTGGAGTAGTTAACTGGCTTTCCAATGTCATACTACTCAATGGAGGAGCCAGGAGTAGAACCAACATCCTCTGACCTTTAATCCGAAATTGAGACAGGCATGCTTATTGTACATACAGCTTCAGGTGCAATTTGACAGCACAAGGTTAATTACCCAAATAAATAAATGGCTATGAGTTGAGGGTCTCTGAAATTCAGGCAAGCCTGTCCTCCTGACTCTGAATCAATCAGCAAATATTTACTAAACACCTACATTCAATGCCTTGTGTAAAACCTTGCTAGGGACAGAGAAGCAGGTGCCACCACCTCTGGCAAGAAGAATCTCACAGTCTAGTCGGGAGAAAGGATTGTGTATTGAGAATGGAGGTAAAAAAGCAGCACCTGACGCCCGGGCGCGGTGGCTCACGCCTGTAATCCCAGCACTTTGGGAGGCCGATGCGGGCAGATCACCTGAGCTCGAGAGTTCGAGACCAGCCTGATCAACATGGTGAAACCCAATCTCTACTAAAAATAAAATAAAAATTAGCTGGGCGTTTTGGCACGTGCCTGTAATCCCAGCTACTTGGGAGGCTGAGGCAAGAGAATCGCTTGAACCTAGGAGGCAGAGGTTGCAGTGAGCCGAGATCACACCACTGCACTCCAGACTGGGTGACAAGAGCGAAACTCCATCTCAAAAAAAAAAAAAAATGCAGCACCTGACATTCAGAGCTGACCTGGCACTCACAGCTAAGCCATCTTATTCTCCTACTGGATATAAACAATTGCATAGAACACCAACATCAGACAGGATCACTCTATGTCCATGATAAAAAGAGACAAAGCAAGGCCACTTTATAATTTTATTCAAGCAGAGAAAAATGAAGTCACAAAATACTAAACAAAATACTAAACTTAGCTTCTCTTGATTAAAATGAGTACCACTTATTTACCAATTACAGCTTTATCCTGGTTCTAATAGCCCCTCTCTATAAATAAGATTTATCGAAATACCAATCAGAACTGCACCCACTTTCTGATAGCACCTAATCTAGAGCAAATCCCCACTTTGTTCAAAACTTCCACATATTCTAAGCTTTGGAGTTGGGGAAGGAAGTGATATTGCCTCTGGCAAGAAAATAGACATAGGGGATTTGATGGAAGTCTTGTGGTGAGGAAGGTGCCCAATGGAGCACCCCTGTTTCCTGCTGCAATGCTGTCACCAAGACTGGTTCTACTCTTTCTTAGTGAAAACAAATACAGTCAGGTAGATGGTTTTTGTATACTTATAGTATTTCTACTTTTTTTCTTTTACCTCCTTTCTGTCAATGTCCATCCAGTTTTGCTTCACAACTTTCAACAGGACCATTGCTATTCACTTTAGAGGAGCATATTACCAAAAAACCAAAACCGAAAACTATAGAAGTGTCTTCCTAGGTCATGAAGAGCTGGGCTGTCCGCTTGAAGCTGTAGGAAAAATACTCCAGACCCTAGTCATTCAATCATCCAGTGAGCATATATTGAGCACCTACTATAGGCCTGGAGTTATGTCAAGGGCTGGGGACGCATTGGTGCTTAAGATCCATGGCTTGATCTATCTAGTTCATGGTCTAGAGGGGAAGACAAACATTTGGATGATGATGACACAAGGTGTCAAGAACTATAACAGGGATGAACACAAGGTACTGTGGGATCTCAGGAGACAGAATGATTAGCTAAGGTTGAGGGGATGGCAGGGAAAGCGGGTTGGTGCCTGGGAAGGTGCTCAACAAGAGGCATTTCAGCTGAGTTCTGAAACTAGGAGTTCAACCGGCAATAAAGATTGGGGGAAAGTCATTGCAAGTAAAGGAAGCAGCATGGATAATGGCAGCGGTGTGTGCATATTGGTCCAAGGCAATGAAATGGCTAGAGCATTGGGCAGAGTGGCAGATGGGCCTTTAAAGGAGATGGGGCTGGGGATGGATACCCCATTCTCCATGATGTGCTTATTTCACATTGCATAACTGTACCAAAACATCTCATATATCCCATAAATATATACACCTACTATGTACCCACAAAAATTAAGAATAAAAGAAATAGAAAAATAAAGCAGATGGGGCGATGAATAATGAATGCTTCTCTAAAGAGTTTGCCCTTTGGCCTGAAAGGGCTGGGCTGTCCACTAGAAGCTGCAGGGCAAATACTCCAGACTCTAGTAATTCAATCATTCACTGAGTTTGCCCTTTGTCTTGAAACCCCTTTGCCTGCTTGCCCTTTGCATAGAAGACATTTCTAGAAGTATTACTGCAAGTTTTCACCCTCATTTTTATGTTCTTAGTTATTTTCATGGGTCTTCCTCCCAGGTTGTCCAATGACTGCCTCCTTGGCATTCAGGTTTTAGTCAAAGGGCACTCATGGGGTTTGTTCCTGACCACCTTGACTAAAGCTGTTACCTACCTCCACCCCGATCACTATTATGTCACTACCTTGTTTTGTTTCCTTTCTAGCCCTTGTACTAATTTAACTAATTTTATCTTTGTTTTTATCCTCTATCCCTACTACCACCACTCTAGATGCTATAAGGAAACTGTCCGTTTCCACTGATATTTACCCAAACACCTAGAATGGTGCCTGGAACATAGTAAATAAACACTTATTTGATGATTGTTTTCTCTACATTGGTTAACTGTACAAGGTGTACAAGGTACAAAACCAAATGTTAAGTTGCAAGATCATGTTTATGAATTGGATGAGCCTCCAATGGGTTAGTAAGATTAAGGTTGTTTTGAATTTCTGTAAAATGTTGGTAATTTCCTTAGACATCTCTGTTTTTAGATTGAGAAATTAACTTCAGAGGAAAAAAAATGTTTTCATTTGACAACAATTAAAATGGGCCAGTATATATAAGATTAGAGGGGCTTATACTAGTGTTAAATGTGTTTGTTTTGTGATTACCTCATGCCAAATTGCAACTTTTGGAGGTCAGAGAATTCACATGTAAGCCAACTTCCTGTCTTCTTACATGGTGTGAGTTAAAGTCTTCACTTTAGATTTACGTAGATTTGGTCTTTTCACATAGTCCCATATTTCTTGGAGGCTTTGTTCATTCCTTTTCATTCTTTCTTCTCTAATCTTGTCTTCACGCTGTATTTCATTAAGTTAATCTTTAATCTCTGATATCCTTTCTTCCACTTGATCAATTTGGCTATTGGTAACTTGTGTATGCTTCACAACGTTCTTGTGCTGTGTTTTTCAGCTCCATCAGGTCATTTATGTTCTTCTCTAAACTAGTTATTCTAGTTAGCAATTCCTCTAACCTTTTATCAAGGTTCTTAGCTTCCTTGCATTGGGTTAGAACATGCTCCTTTAGCTTGGAGGAGTTTGTTATTATCCACCTTCTGAAGCCTACTCCTGTCAATTCGTCACACTCACTCTCTGTCCAGTTTGTTCCCTTGCTGGCGAGGAGTTGTGATCCTTTGGAGGAGAAGAAGCATTCTGGTTTTTGGAATTTTCAGCCTTTTTGTGCTGGTTTTTCCTCATCTTCATGGATTTATCTACCTTTGGTCTTTGATGTTGGTAATCTTCAGATGGGGTTTTGGTGTGGACGTCCTTTTTGTTGATATTGACACTATTCCTTCCTGTTTGTTAGTTTTCCTTCTAACAGTCAGGCCCCTCTTCTCCAGGTCTGCTGGAGTTTGCTGGAGGTCCACTCCAGACCCTGTTTGCCTGGGTATCATAAGCGGAGGCTGCAGACCAGCAAAGATTGCTGCCTGTTCCTTCCTCTGGAAGCTTCATCCCAGAGGGGCACCAGCCAGATGCCAGCCGGAGCTCTCCTGTATGAGATATCTGTCGACCCCTGCTGGGAGGTGTCTCCCAGTCAGGAGGCACAGGGGTCAGGGACCCACTTGAGGAGGCAGTCTGTCCCTTAGCAGAGCTTGAGCGCTGTTCTGGGAGATTCGCTGCTCTCTTCAGAGGCAGCAGGCAGGAACGTTTAAGTCTGCCGAAGCTGTGCCTACAGCCACCCCTTCCCTCATGTGCTCTGTCCCAGGGAGATGGGAGTTTTATTTATAAGACCCTGACTGGGGATGCTGCCTTTCTTTCAGAGATGCGCTGCCCAGAAAGGAGGAATCTAGAGAGGCATTCTGGCTACAGCGGCTTTGCTGAGCTGCAGTGGGCTCCGTCCAGATTAAACTTCGAGGCAGCTTTGTTTACACTGTGAGGGAAAACCGCCTACTCGAGCCTCAGTAATGGTGGATGTCCCTCCTCCCACCAAGTTCGAGCATCCCAGGTCCACTTCAGACTGCTGTGCTGGCAGCAAGAATTTTAAGCCAGTGGATCTTAGCTTGCTGGCCTCTGTGGGGGTGAGATCCGCTGAGCTAGACCACGTGGCTCTCTGGCCACAGCACCCTTTCCAGGGGAGTGAACGGTTCTGTCTCGCTGGTGTTCCAGTCACCACTGGGGTCTGAAAAAATACTCCTTCAGCTAGCTCTGTTTCTGCCCAAACAGCCGCCCAGTTTTGTGCTTGAAACCCAGGGCCCTGGTGGTGTAGGCACCCGAGGGAATCTCCTGGTCTGTGGGTTGCATAGACCGTGGGAAAAGTGTAGTATCTGGGCCGGAATGCACCATTCCTCATGGCACAGTCCCTCACGGCTTCCTTTGGCTACCGGAGGGAGTTTCCCAACCTCCTGTGTGTTTCCTGGGTGAGAAGACACCCCATCGTGCTTCAGCTCGCCCTCCGTGGGTTGCACTCACTGTCTAACCAGTCCCAATGAGATGAGCCGGGTACCTCAGTTGGAAATGCAGAAATCACCTGCTTTCTGCATTGATCTCTCTGGGAGCTGCAGACTGGAGCTGTTTTTATTTGGCCATCTTGCCAGCCACACCCAAGATTATTCTTTAAAGCATACAATATTTATCACTGAGTAGATAATGACTATTTACTACACCAGCACAATGAATGGTATACTGCCTCATTACTGTTAGTTGTGAATGAAAGTCCCATGCCTATTTCCCACTAGGTCTCCTTTGACATCTCAGAAAGAGGAGACCCTCATTACTTCTGGGCAGGGATGGAATTTCAAGTCCCCAGTAGTACTCTGCAGATACTGGCTGGGAGGGAAAAGGGTGCTTTGCTACTGTTTTTTTCACGTGGCTTCCACTATCACCCTTGAAGAGGGCCTCCTTACCACTAGGCCAGGCTAGAATGAAAGTTCTGGCTACCCACTCAGCTTTCTTTGTCACCACCCTGGCAGTGGAGAGGGAGAAGGGAAGAGGTGCCTTGTTACAGCTTTATGAAGGTAGGAGTCTAGGTTTACCACTTGGCCTGTGCTGTCATGGGTTGGGATGAGACCGTAGGTTTTTATTTTTTTCCATGGTGTTTGACTGAATGCTATGGTTTAAATGTTTGTCCCTTTCAAAACTCATGTTGAAATTTAATTTCCATTTTGATTACATTGGGAAGTGGGACCCTTTTTTTTCTTTTGCGATGGTGTCTCTTTCTGTCACCCAGGCTGGAGTGCAGTTGTGCGATCATAGCTCACCATAGCCTCGAACTCCCAGGCTCAAATGATCCTCCTGCCTCAGCTTCCCTTCACCTCAGCTTGGACGGCAGGTGCATGCCACCACACCCAGCTAATTATTTTATTTTTTGTAGAGACAGGGTCTCTCTTTGTTGCCCAGACTGGTCTTGAACTTCTGGGCTCAAGTGATCTGCCCACCTTGGCCTCCCCAAATTCTGAGATTACAGGCATGAGGGGAGGTGGGATCTTTAAAAGGTATTTAGGTCATGGGGGTTCCACTCTCACGAATGGAGTAATGCCATTATCATGGGAATGGGTTTGCCTCCTCTTGCTCACTTTCTTGCTCCCTCTTGCTCACTGTATCATCTTCTCTTTGCCCTTCCACTATGTGATGCCTTCTGCCATATTATTATGCAGGAAGAAGGCCCTCACCAGATGGCAGCACCTTGATCTCAGACTTCTCAGCTTCCAAAATGGTGAGCCAATAAATTTCTGTTTATTGTAAATTACCCAGTATGTGGTATTCTGTTGTAGTAGCAAAAACAAACTAAGACACTGAAGTAGGGTGATTATTTTCTAAAAGTTTTCCGTCTCGTTAGCCTGCCATTTTCCTGGTCCTTTGGCTAGAGAGAGCAGGTTTTTCTTGAAACATTTTAAGTCTGCAGTCATTGGTGCTTCCTGGTTACAGGGTTCTAATAACCCAATTAAAAATATATGAGGCAAGAATAAAACCATAGAATTTAATACCATGACATTCCTTGGGTCCCAAGTCCCCTAGTTGCTCATTCCCCTTTTCTCCACCTTTTAGAATCTTCACATGTTTTTTTGTATGTAATGTCCAGAGTTGTTAATTGTAGTTAGTGGGAGAAATGTAAAGTAGTGCATCTGCTCTTCCATCTTTTAAATATTACCATTTTAGGCACTGGAGACATTTTGATGCAGCTATTTTGGAATAGCTTCAGAACAGTTATGTTAAAACGTGGGAATACTTTTATTACTAGGTAACGTACACAAGATCATTTTTGCCTCTTACTTCATCCTATCCTTGACCTCCTTGGAAGTGGAAGTTCTTTTATCTCTCTGAAGTAAAGCAGAACTGCTTCAGATAAAATGCGGTCCCTTCTACTTGCAGAAGAGACCTTCTGTTGAATCTTTCTCTGGTTCCTCCTTATATAGTGCCCATTAATGGCTCATCTGATTATCTGAGGAGAAAAGAAATGGCATTTACACCAAGGTGGAAATAGAAATAGAAGTTGGGAGCCTGTAGCATCTGATTTATTCTTGCAACAAATTACTACTTAGCTCTTATACTTATCCTGAAATGGTTTTCATTAGAGTGGAGACAGAGACAGTGATTAGCCGTGAAGTCAATAAATAGTAAATTTTAGTCTAAGGCAACAAAAGTTACTGAAATAATGTCTTCAATGGCAGAGTTTATGATTACCTCAAGATAAGGTAACCTATGGGTAAATGGCTTGCCACTTTTCTGGAAAAGTCATCACTATTGTTCTTGGAATTTTCCTCCCTTCTCTTTCAACATGAAGTGATAGCTTTTGCCACCAGCTCTTAACTTCTGTTGCTCAGGACTCTCAGGTGGAAATCGGACAGAAGACTCAGGACAGAAGACTAGAGACAGAAGAAGCCTACCTAGAGTTATGCAAATTAACTGAGCCTATTGAGTAAATGTTGATTGTATACAATATACAGTACATATATCCTTTAGTTAATACTGTCAAAGTCCATGGAGAGAACCCTCAGATTTAAATGGCAATGAATAAGGAGAGTCTAATATTTGGCTTAATAAACTGACTTACAAATTATGTGATTTTAAATAGATAAATGAGTTTTGAGATGGTATTCCTCAATACATTTTTTTTTGCCTAATTGTTTCCCTTGAGCATTATAACTGTTAAGAGCTGTAATCTTGGAATCAGACTGCATGACTTCAATTTCTAGCTTTGTCATTTAACTATTTGTGAGACTTGGGGCAAATTATCTAAATTTCAGAGGCTTGATTTCTTCAGTGGTAAATTGAGCATCTTGGCAGCACCTATCTCTTAGAGTTATTGTGAGATTTAGCTGCAATAAAAATTATGAATCCCTAGAAAAAGCTGGCCCATTATAAGCATTCAATACATGTTAGCTAAAATAATAAACATTTTTTTCAGAACACATCTAGTTATGTGGATGTATCTCAGCTGCTGACAGCATTTATTGGCCCTTGTTTTCTCCCCTTCTGACCTCTGAATAAGGTGTATAGTTGGATAGTGTCTCAGTTTTCAGGTGCTTCATTGTAGTACAAGGGCCTTAACAAAATTTTGGGCTCATTTTATTATGAAAACTTGTGAGATTGTAAGGAACTTTTTTGTCCAGAAAGTCTGGCCGTCGGTAGGTAATAATTTTAGGGATTTGACCTGGTGTAACAAAAAATCAGGCAAACCAAATAGAAAATGTGGTTGAGATGAAGGTGTCACCCTTCCCTCTCATCTCATTCTGATTTGGGTCTCTTGTGAGACTGTAGACTGAGAATGTATATCTGGGGCTGATATGCCTGTACTTATGTATATCAGTTTCTTACTATTCAGAATCTCCCTTAGGGAATACTGATTCCTATTTACTGCTACTTTTTAATACCATCTGGAATGACTTTTGCTTATCATTGTAACTTAACATCCAAAAATACATTGCATATTTAGCCTTTTTAGCCTTCTTAAAGAGGATATGATGGTTTTCTGAAGAATAATGCCAGATGATAGTACAGTCATGCATCACTTAATGATGTGGATATGTTTTGAGAAATGCATCATTAGGCATTTGTCATTATTGTGTGAACATCAGAGTGTACTTATACAAACATAGATGGTATAGCCTACTACATACCTAGGCTATGTGTTACAAGTCTATTTTTCCTAGGCTACAAAAGTGTAATTGTAACACAATGGTATTTGTGTATCTACATAGATATTTGTGTATCTTGATAGGTAAGGTACAGTAAAAATGCAGTATAAAAAACGTAAAAAATGGTATTTCTATATGGGATATTTACTATGAATGGAGCTTGCAGGACTAGACATTGCTTTGGGTGAGTCAGTGAGTAGTGAGTGAATGTGAAGGCCTAGTACTGTACCCTACTGTAGACTTTATAAACACTGTACACTTAGGCTACACTAAATTTATTATTTTCATTTTTTACAATAAATGTACAATAATATTTTTCTTTCTTCAATAATAAACTTAGCTTACTATAACTTTTTTATTAACTTTTTAATTTTTTTTTTTTGAGACAGTGTCTCACTCTGTCACCCAGGCTGGAGTACAGTGGCACAATCTCGGCTCACTGCAACCTCCACCTGCCGGGTTTAAGAGATTCTCCTGCCTCAGCCTCCTGAGTATCTGGGATTACAGGTGTGCACCATCATGCCCAGCTAATTTTTGTATTTTAGTAGAGACAGGTTTTCACCATGTTGGCCAGGCTGGTCTCAAACTCCTGGCCTCAAGTGATCTGCCTGCCATGGCCACCCAAAGTGCTGGGATTACAGGTGTGAGCCACCACGCCCAGCCACCAGCCAACTTTTTAATTTTTTAAACTTTTTGACTCTTTTGTAATAACGGCTTAAAACACAAACACATTTACAGCTGTACACAAATATTTCATTTCTTTGTATCCTTATTATATAATCTTTTTTTTTTTTAACTTTTCAAACTTTTTTGTTAACTAAGAGACAAATACCCATATTAGCCTAGGCCTGCACAGGGTCAGGCTCATAAATATCATTGTCTTTCACCTCTACATCTTGTCCCATTGGAAGGTCTTCAGGGGCAATATAATGCATGGAGCTGTCATCTGTAACGATACCGTCTTCAGGAATACCTCCTGAAAGACCTGCTTGAGGCTTTTTTACAGTTAAATTTTATGTTTTATATGTATAAGGAGTACCTTGTAATGTAATAATGAAAAGTATACTATAGTAAATACATAAAGAACCTAGCTTTTTATTATAATTATCAGGTACTACATGCTGTACATAATTGTGTGTGCTATACTTTTATATAACTGGCAGCACAATAGGTTTATTTACATCAATATCACCAAAAACATGTGAGTAATGCATTGTACTATGACATTATAATGGCTACAAGTCACTAGGCAATAGGAAGTTTTCAGCTCTGTTATAATCTTATTATAATGGAGTTATATATGTGGCCTGCTGTTGACCAAAACATCATTATGCATCACATGACTGTATGTAGCTATAGTTTAAAAAATTATTCTTCATCTTAAGTTTTTAGGAAAATATTTAAAGGTAAATATTTTTAAAAGATGGCAGTAGGGAAAGATGGAAGATATCAGATAAATATATTTTAGTTTGCCAAAATAGCAACATGAAACCAGTTATTTTTTGTGCCAAATTTTCAGTCACTGAATTAGATCGAAGGCTCTATAAAGTGTTTTTTTCCATTACTTATTAATTCACCAAAATTTATTTAGTGCCTACTCTGTGTCAGGTACCTTGCTGGGCTGTGGTTATATTACTGAAAACTAGATGAACAAGAACTCTTCATTCATGGGATTTCAATCTAGTGGGTGTGGAAGGTGAAGACAGAGGATCAAAAAGGTAAACAAATAAGGGTAATTTCAGGATAAGGGTTCTGAAATAAATACCATCCTGTGATAAAAAATACATAGAGGGGAATTACTAGGTAGCATGATTTGGGGAGGCCTCTATAAAGGAAAAACAGTTAAGCTGAAGTTTGAGGATAAGAATGAGATACAAGATATTTAAATAAGATATAAATAAGATATTGAAAAATCTGAGAAGAGAATTCTAGGAATTGGAATGAATAACAGAGAAGAACTTTGAGCATTCTTACAACTGAAAGAAGATCAATAATATTTGAGTAAAGAGCATACTGATACTGTTAATTCTTTAAGTGTTTGGCAGAATTTACCAGTGAAGCCATCTGATTCTGAGCTTTTCTTCATTGAGAGGTTTTTGATTAATAGTTCTATTTCCTTACTTGTTATAGATCTATCCAGATTTTCTGTTTCTTCTTTGGTCGTTTTATTAGTTTGACAATTTATAGAGATAAAATTGTTCATAATCATTTATAATCCTTTTGATTTCTGCAAGTTTTGGAGTAATACCACACTTCCATTTCTAATTTTAGTTATTTGCATCTTCTCTTTTTTCCATAGTCTAGGTACAGACTTGTCAGTTTTGTTGATATTTTTTCAATGAACCAACTTTTTGGTTTCAGTGATTCTGTTTTGTTTTCTGTTCTCTATTTCATGTATTTCTTCTCTAAATTTTATTTCCTTTATTCTGCTAGCTTTCGGTTTAGTTTACTTTTATTTTTCTAGTCTTTAATATGTAACATTAGGTAACTGATTTTGAGATACAGCTTCTATTGTAATGTATTCTATTGTAACATTTAGAGCTATATATAGCACTGCTTTTACTTCCTTCTACAAGTTTTTGGTATGCTGTGTTTTCATTTTCATTTTTATAAAAGTATTCTCTGATTTCCCTTGTGGTTCCTTTCTTGACCCATTGGTTGTGTCACAGTCAAATAAAATATAGAGAAATTAAAACATTTTATTTGGGAAGAAATAATCGTAATTTGGGGCACGCTCACAAACTGGATGGTCTTTGTTATATCTGAAGAACAAAGAGAAGGTTAGAGGTTTTATAAAAAGGATCAATGTTACATATTGCTCTTCAAGAAAGTTCATTGCAATTGGTAAGGTTTGGGGGAGCTGACAAGTTATGATTGGGGAGTGATGGCAATGAGCAAACCAAGTCTTAGAGTTGCAGAAGGTTTTTCAGCAGCCATTAGATAAAACTGGTTTCAAGTTACAGCAGGCAGTTTCAACAGCCAACTTGCTGAGAATTATATTTTTCAAACCACGTTATGTGCCCTGAATGCTTTCTTCCCCAGACCTCTCAACTCTGTTTTAGTTGGGTATGATAAGAATGACCCAATTTGTATAATTGACTTTCACATTTCCCCCTTTCGATCAAGATCTTTCTGTGAAAGCATGGATGATCAACAATTTTGCAGTTAGTTTTAATCGTCCCTTGGCTCTGTGATGGGCCTATCCTGGTTGTCTCTGTCCCAAGTCAGGGGGAAGGTATGGGAGGTGTCTGTCAGGGATCTTGGACGTATTTAAGTAACAAAGAAGCCAGAAGAAAAAGTCTCAGGGTAGGTTTGTTTGGAGTCCAGCATTGAATTCCATCTTATCAGTTTTAGGCATCGGCAATCATCCTGAAGTGTTGAGCTAACATTATCCTGTTAGGAGAATTGGCTTTACACAGATTAGTCAGGCAATGAGGATGAAGTTTAAAAATCATAATATAAACAATTAACAATATAAAAAATTTAGTTTGTACAGTGATTTTGAACTAAGCATCAAGCCTGAGGGCAACAAACTAAACAAATCAATAGACCATTGGGGAAACTGGGTGAGACCCGTTGAGACCGGTAGTATTTTATGATTGGGTTGAATTAAAGCAGAGAATGCCAGCTTTGCAAAAGGAGTCACCAGTACAATTTGAACAAAAAGTTGTCTTAGCGATATTGCCAAAGTTACCCACTAGGTGGACTCAAAGGATTTCTTAGATTGGGTTTTGTCAAGTTACCTATATGGGTTACGGATTGTGAAATCTTAACTACAGAATTATTCTGCCAAGTCAAATAGGCATCATTAAGGGAGGTAAGAGTCTCATTATGATATGGAGTCTTGTTCTGATGTCTTAAGAAAAGTTGTTTACAGCATGGAAAATATCAACCTCTTATCCTTGTTTGCAGTTTGAATGTCTCTTGATATGGCATCAGGCAGCTTGGTGAGCCTTCTGTGTGGCCTATACATCAGGCACAAGACAAGCACTTTAAAATTTATCTAGTTTCAGCTTATAGGGCTTTAGAAACAGAACAGTTTACGTTTCAGTAATGTTTTGGAACAATGTCGCATTGGAGTAACCCAGAAAAATTTAGGATGTAGACTAATCTATAGGTATATAACAAAAACTCAAAAACAGTGTACAGGGTTTTAATCTAATAATAAGTATATTATAGTTTCTCTTTGGAAACATAACTTTTTCCTTTATTAATCACATAGGATTCTCAGATTTACAAGCGTCTTGAGGCTAAGAAGCCAAACCAATGCAGATTTTAGATTTTGTTTACAGTCTTAAGGTCCCCAAGCCTTCCAGGAAGTGACAATATTTATTTATTTACTGTAGGGCTGGGAATACTTGAAGTCAGGCATTTTATGCGTATTTTCAGGCCGAGCACGGTGGCTCATGCCTGTAATCCCAGCACTTTGGGAGGCTGAGGCGGGCGGAT
This sequence comes from Homo sapiens, assembly GCF_000001405.40. Lineage (NCBI taxonomy): Eukaryota > Metazoa > Chordata > Mammalia > Primates > Hominidae > Homo > Homo sapiens. The sequence goes on from NC_000023.11 coordinate 121,001,501, forward strand.
CACAAGGTCAGGAGGTCGAGACCATCCTGGCTAACACGGTGGAACCCTGTCTCTACTAAAAATACAAAAAAATTAGCCGGGCGTGGTGGCGGGCGCCTGCAGTCCCCCAGCTACTCGCGAAGCTGAGGCAGGAGAATAGCGTGAACCCGGGAGGCGGAGCTTGCAGTGAGCGGAGATCACGCCACTGCACTCCAGCCTGGGCGACAGAGCGAGACTCCGTCTCTAAAAAAAAAAAAAAAAAAAGAAGAAAGACTTCATAAATTATTTTAATTATAGCCAACTTGATCACATACAAAATTCTTTTTATAAATTTTTATTTTATTTTATTTTATTTTTTGAGGCACAGTCTCGCTCTGTCACCCAGGCTGGAGTGCAGTGGTGCAATCTTGGCTCACTGCAAGCTCCGTCTCCCGGGTTCACGCCATTCTCCTGCCTCAGCCTCTCGAGCAGCTGGGACTACAGGCGCCCGCCACCACGCCTGGCTAATTTTTTGTATTTTTAGTAGAGACGGGGTTTTACCATGTTAGCCAGGATGGTCTCGATCTCCTGACCTCGTGATCCGCCCGCCTTGGCCTCCCAAAGTGCTGGGATTACAGGCGTGAGCCACCGCGCCCGGCCTTATACATTTTCTTTACACAAATCTTATTACGATGTTACTCAGAACTTTGAAAACATGGTTGGACTATCCGCTCTGTCTCATATTTCCTCTTCCTTAAATAACCAGTCATTTAATTTTCACACAAAAATATTTACCACAAGATTTTTTCTTACACAAAATTTTCTTTTTCTCAATAATGAACATTTTTATTCCTGTCACACTTTTTTTCTTTTAAAAACATCTCTTTTTGGCACACTTTACATACAGAATTTTATATATTAATTAGAATTTTCAACTCTTGGTAACTTTAAATTTTAGTGGAAACCTAGGAAGTAAGAAATTTTGAGTTATCTGTCATGCATTTGTATTTTATAGATGAGAACAATTTTATAATTTTTAGAAACATGTTTCATTATAACATAAAATTTCCCTTAATTGTAAATGATCCAGACATTTAATGAGTATTATTTTTCAATTTAAAACAACATAACTTTAAGATTTTAAATTACATGAAAAGTTCATTTATAAACATTTATTCCATTTACAGTTATCTAATTTAACAATTATATATAGATTGCCTATGAAAACTTAGATATTAGATGGAGCTAGTTATTTCTTTCAAGTTTTTTTTACTAACCAAGTTTATAGCCTATTACCTGACTTAATAGGCTATAAACTTGGTTATCCATGTATTTAATCAGGTGTTTGCCTGGTTTAGTAGGCTATAAACTTCAGAGTTAAATACGTGGATATCTTATTGTTATCTCAGGAGATGCAACTGTTTTTATTAAATCAACAATATTAAATTTAAGAATATTTATCAAAAAAGTATGCAAAGATCATTCTGTTTTAGGCTGATTTTATAGCTTTATGACCTTTATGTCAAACCCTGACACTTTAAAATATTCGTGAAGTTTATAAGACTGTCTGAATTGTAAACCCAGGAAAAAGTGTACACTAACAATTTTGAAGACTGTTTTACCAATAATTTTAAATCCAAACTATTTGTTAAAGATTTACTTAAGTCATGTGAACTTAAAAAAATTGGTTTAATTACTATATATTTTATGAGTACTCATTTATTTAAACCAATTGGAATAACATTCTTTTAGGGATTTTGGCTAACTACACCAGATTTTATTATGTAGACACAACATACAGCATAATGCATGTATATATGTATAAACACACCTAAATACATATACATATAAATAAAAATCTCATAGCATTTATTTTAGAATTCTAGTCATGAGATAGTAAAATACATCAACTCATCAGTTTATGGAAATCTGTTGGATCCAAATCATTTATCTGATGAAATGTGACAAGGCTAAACTTTAAGATTTTTAAAAATGGCAGTCTTATAAAGGCTGTGAACCAAAATTTGGGTAAAGCAGTTTGAGTCAGTTACCAATATACTGGATTGGACAAAGGACAGTTAACTGTGAAAATGTGACTGAATTATGGGAGGAGGCCCAAAAGATAAGAGTTATTCTAACAGAGTCTATACAGTATTATTTTTTGGTCTCAATTCTTTGTCCTTGAAGATAAGAATGTTGCCATTCCCCTTAGTATAGGATACATTTGTCTTCACATGGGAATTTCTTTTTTTTTTTTTGCAAAGGAAACAGCATGAAGATCAAAATGATTTTTTTATACCTGCTGGTTTTCAAGTGTTTTACTTAAATAGTATGTTAGAATAGCTCAGGAGTTTTGGAAAAAGAGAGTTTATCTTAGAGAAGCATAAAGAGAAATTTTAAGAAGGGGAGGGGAAAACTGCAGAGAGGAAAGAGTTCAGCCAGCTTTGAGACAGTATTTTGTATGAGACAATCTTTGAGTTCTGAATGATTTTCTCTCTTTTATCAGATCTCAGTGAGATATGCGTATCTTATTTGGAGTATATGCTTTTATAGCCATGATCTTTTGGTTTAGTTTTAAGAACAGCAGACTGAATGATTCCTATAATATTTGAACATGAGTCCCAGAAAATATCTTGGCATGCCTTTGAATTTTGAGAGCCCATTTTGTGAGTGCTCTGATTTAATACCAAATACACAAAAGCCAATTAAATGCAAGAGCTGAATACTCAATGACCAAATAAACTCAAGCACAGACAGAAAATAAAGTATACGCTTACCAAGAATAATGGTAAGTTGCCTTCTCCAACTGAAGGGAAAAGGAAAGATCCCTTCACCAAGGTCTCAACCTGAAGGGGAAAAAAATCCCTTAGCCCAGATTCCAAAGCCAGGGTCTCCAAGGGGAAGAGTACTCTTGAATAGTAGCTCTCCCAAGTAGATCAGGCATAAAGGAGAAAAAAACCCTCCCCATCCAAGTCCTAAATAAAACAGAACTCAACCCAAATCAGGAATTCAGTGCAAGAGAGACTTGCCAAGGGGAAAAGAGGCAATCTGCAGAAGTGGGGGGATCATAGGGCCCCAGTGTGCGTTCCTTATGCTGTAGTTCCAAGGGCTGGTGATTTTTCTCCAAGGTTAGACAGCTTTGGACCCCACTTCTGTCAAGTATGTCAAAATCAAATAAAATATGAGATAAATCTCTGAAATTAAAACATTTTATTTGGGAAAAAAGAATCCCAATTTGGGGCATATGTGCTGACCACGTACGTGGTCTCTGGTATGTCTAAAGAATAAAGAGAAGGTTAGAGGTTTTATAAAAAAAAAAAGAGAAATGTTATGTATTACTTGTCAGGAAAGTTCGTTGACACTTAGTAAGGTTTTGGGATGCTGGAAAACTCTGATTGGTGAGTGACAGCAGTGGGTAAAACCAGTCTTAGAGTTGCAAAAGTTTCTTTAAATAGCCATTAAATAAAACTGATTTCAAGTTACAGCAGGCTTGCAAAGAATTACATTTTTTGGAGCAATGTTGTGTGCCCTGAGTGCTTTTTTCCCCTTGAGCTCTCAACTCTGTTTTAGTTGGGTATGACAAGAGTGACCAAATTTATATGATTAATTTGCACAGTTGTTTAAGAATATGTTGTTTAATTTTCACATATTTATGAATTCTCCAATATTCTTTCTGTTATTGATTTCTGGTGTCATCCCTTTGCTGTCAGACAAGATGCTTTGTATGATTACAATATTTTAAAATTTACTGGGATTTGTTTTGTATCCTAACATGCAATAAATTTTGAAGAATATTTTACATGCACTTGAGAAGAATATGTATTCTACTATTGTTTGGTAGAATGTCTATCTGTCTGTTGGATATTTGGTCTATAGTGTTGTTTAAGTCCTGTATTTTTAAATTGATCTTCTGTCTAGATGTTCTATCCATTATTGAAAATGAGACATTGAAGCCTCCAAGTATTATGGTAGAACCAAGTATTATTATCTGTTTATCTTTTCAATTCTGTCAATAATTGCTTCATGTATTTTGGGGCCCTTTTGTTGGTACACTTATATCTATAATTGTTATATCTTCTTGATTCATTTATTAGTATATAATCTCTTTTTTGTCCCTTGTAACAGTTTTTGGCTAAATATCCATTTTGTTTATTAATATAGCCACTTAAGCTCTCTTCTGTTTATTTACTGTTTGCATGGAATATATTTTATTTCATTCTTTTTTTTTTTTTTTTTTTTTGAGATGGAGTCTCACTCTGTCGCCCAGGCTGGAGTGCAGTGGCGCGATTTCGGCTCACTGCAAGCTCTGCCTCCCAGGTTCACACCATTCTCCTGTCTCAGCCTCCCGAGTAGCTGTCATTCTTTTACTTTCAACTTATTTGTGTCTTTGGGTCTAAACTGAGTCTATTGTAGACAGCATACAGATGAATCATTTCTCTTTTTTGAGAGAGAGTATTTTTTATTTTATAAATTGATATACAGTAATTGAACATGTTTATGAGGTACATATGATATTTTGATAAAGGCACATAATGTGTAATGATCAATCAGAGTATTTACAATATTCATCACCTGAAACATTCATCATTTCTCTATGTTGGGAATATTCAAATCTCTTCTTCTAGGTATTTAGAAATATACAATAAATTATTGTCAACTATAGTCACCCTATTGTGCCACTGATCACCAGAAATTACTCCTTCTATTCAACTGTGTGTTTGTACCTATTAACCAACCCCCCTCATCCCTCCTCTGCTTCCTTGCCTCTGGTAACATTCTACCTTTTACCTCCATGAGATCAACTTTTCTAGCTCCTGTATATGAATGAAAACATGTCATTGAATCATTTTTCTTAATCCACATTGCCAATCTGTGTCTTTTAATTGGTGAGTTTAACTCATTTACATTTAAAGTGATTATTGATATGGAAGGACTCATTTCTGTCATTTTGCTATTTGTTTTCTATATTGCTTATATAACTTCTGTTCTGCAATTTCTCCAATTCTGCCTTCTTTTCTGTATTTTTCCTATTATACCCTTTGATGCCCTCATCATTTCCTTTTGTATATTATTTTAGTTATTTTTTAATTGGTTACTTTGAGAATTGCAATTAAATAGTCAGTGGAGCATACAGATCTGGGGAAAGTCAGGGGTGGAGAAATAAATTTGAGAATAATTGGTGTATACATGGTATTTATATCTGTGGGGCTAGATGAGGTATTTTAAAAAAGAATATAGCCAGAGAAGAGCAGAAAATGCAGTAGCAACCCCTGAGATCTTTAAATAACCTTCCCTTTGATGGATAATTTTGAATTTTCCCCTCAAGTCTTGTGAATAGGCAACATAACTTGTCACTTGTGTATCTTCACTGGTCCTCACTGGTTCTCTCAAGCACTGAGAACTGCTTTTCTGTGTTAGCTGAGTATTAGAATGGGATGAGTCCTATTTTTTCATTTCCGAAGATTTCTTTCAATTTCTTCATTTTCTTGAAAAGTCTTTATTTGCCTATTAATTTCAAGATCATTTTCTTTCCAGCCTCTCACTGATCTCCTTAATTTTTTCCTTGAATATCATTTGTCTAGAAAAAGTGACAAATCCTCTGTTTGCATTTTGTGATTCTTTAGATGGGTCTGATGAGGACAAAGATTTGTGCTAATGAAGTCAAGGATGTGCATGTAAACCACAACACATCTTATTCTTTAGCCACAGCTTGCACTACTGATTTGACCAGCTTCCTCTCAAACGCGTATCTTTAATCACAATGGTTGAGGGAAAGTGGAGATGATTGTTATGGAGAAACAACTCTGCATTTACATTTTGTTGAAGCAAGGCCAGGATTGTTACCTTTATATCTGAATGATGCTACATTCTGACCCTTAAAACATAGTCTCTGTTTGTAGGAGGAAATTGGGTTATGGATAACCATGCCATGCATACACTGAAAGTTTTAAAATATATATAATAATAAAAGCTAATTGAACATAGCTGCCACTTGCTTTTTGCCTGATGTCTAATTCCTGCTATTTACTGTATGCAGTCTGTTTTATCCTTGCCTCTCCCAGCTGATTGTCACCTGAAAAACAGATCTCTCACTGTTTGACTTTTATATCTGAGAATCAGAGAATTGGCAAGTTGATATTCTGAAATCCCCATTAGAAAAAGCAGAATGGGGAAGGTGGGAGGCAGTGCTTGAGAGTGGAGCAGAAGCATTTCCCAACATAGTTGCAATATCATGTGAGCAATGTGGATAACATGACTCCTAAATTTTGAATGGGGCCTTTGGAGAAAACTTAGTCTTCCTTGTACTATTCCCTTCATCCTGCCTTCTGTCTCTGCCAAATTTATAGAAGCTGGAAAACATATTTTCCAAACTAATTGAGTTTCTAATCACCTCACCAGGGCAACCCCATCATTGCCTAGACATACGCTGCATGTAGTCCTTTTGAGAACCCACGTGTTTGTTAAAGAAGTCCACATGAGTTTTCTGTGGGGTTTTAATAGCCTTCACAGAGAAGGAGTTCATATGTTATTATTAGGGTTAGGAGGGGCTCAGGGTTGACCCAGAATCCTTGTTTACTTGAGAAAGAATGGTAAATGACAATACTCATATCAGAGCTTCTTAGTCTGGGTTTTGTTGATGATCTGTGGGGAGTCTGTGAACCTTCATAAATTGAATGCAAAATATGATGTGTATGTGTATTTTTCTCCCCAGGAGACAGCATTCATAGCATTCATCAGGTTTTCAGAAAATTGCATAGCCTCCTTTGTACCTCTGTGAGCCCTTGCCTTTCTTGATTTGTTAGGTAAATCCAAATATTGCTGTATTTACTTTTTAAATTTCATGAAAATACTGTGAAAATAAATAGATTAAAATGAGATTTTAAGAAAAAGAGACATCCTCAATTAGCATTAAAACTCATAACCTGCTTGCTACTCTATCATACTGGTAACTGATGACCAACCTCAACTGTTAAGATAACTGCCAGCCCATGAAATCAACCATATTAAATGGCACACCGTGTCAATTGCAAAAGGGTGCCGCCCTGAGCTAGCTGGTGGCTGGAGACACTCTCACTGCTATTGAGTGATTGGTGTGGCAATGGCTCCAGACCAAATTATGAGGGAGAAATGAAAGAATGAATGTTGCAGTGGTTTACTACCAGGTACTGTGCTACATATTTTTATAAACTAAACTCAACTTTTGTAATCATCTTTTGAGGTAAATATTGATATCCTAATTCTATAGGCCTATAATAGTGAAATGATTTGCTCAAGGTCTTAGTCAAGTGTCAGAGCTGAAACAGAATCCTCATATTTCTGCCATTGCCTGAAGTCTTATAGGAGCCTGGCATCCAGGTATGGAAAGGGCATCCCAAGGGGTGTTTGAGCCAGACTCTGAAGTTTGAGCCTGAGAAGTAATTCACTTCCCACACCTTTAAAAGAAGTGGGTGGTCTGTGCTCTAGGGTGACTCAGTGGCTCCAGCAAGTGCAAGTCCTGTTGCTGGGGAGGCCACTGTTGTGTCCCCTTAAGTAGCTCTAAGTCTTGATTCTGTTTGTATGTCCTCTAAATAACACTGACATTAGCCTACATGGAAACTACCTCCTCAGGATTCTGAAGTGCTATACAAAGAGCTAAGAGAGAGCATTGTCTAAAGTCATATGACAGGACTGGAATTTGTCTGGTGAGCAAAGTTTCACAATCATAACACCCTTTACTCCCACAGCAAACAGAATGTTTTCTTTGTGAAGGAAGCAAGCAAATATTCCATTTTCAGAATAATGATGCTCTTTAAAGGGACAGTGCCGGAAGTTTAGCTCTTGATTTCCTTCTGTGCATTTCATGCTATCAGAGGAGAAAATGCAGGCTTCCAGATGCATATTCTTGAAAGCACTGAAAGGAAAATTTGTGTTTCTATTAGTTGAGCAGATTCATGTGGGCTTTATTAACAATCTAATAAGATGACTTTTCAAAGTGTGGTCCACAGCACCCCTGACATTAGAATCACCTTAGTGCTTATATAAAAGGTAGATTCATGGACTCCACCCTAGACCTACTAACTCAGAATCTCTTGTACTGGGGGGATGGGGCTCAGGAATACGTGTTTTTAGCTACTCCTCTGGAGATTTTTATGTACACTATATGTGTTTTTAGCTACTCCTCTGGAGATTTTTATGTACACTAAAGTCAGAAAATCACTGCATTGGAAGTTCAAACCCCATGATAAACTGAGTTAATTTTGCTATAATGACATTTGGCTAAAATGAATCTACTACTTACATTCTTGGAGAGAAAATCAAGTTAAATACAGCTTTTCTGAAGTGAATTTGCACAAAAAAAGAGTAGAAAAAATGTGGATAGGAGCTTTACTCTCTTCAAGAGCCTGAGACACTCCAGAGGTCATAACTAGTATCATATCTTAAAACAAAAAGAGGCACACTTGAAAAGACTGATATCTGCAACTATATTGGCCTAACTGGGTTGAGGCAGGCACAGATCCAGCTGCAGAGTTTAGGAGGAAGTTCACAGTACATCACGCAGTGCAGGTTAGCCCTAAACATGCAAACAGACGGTATGTCAGAGTCTAGGCCAGTAGTTTACTGTGTGTGAGTGTACATGCATGTGCGTTTCTATGTCTGTGAGATGGATTGAGGCAATTGCAATGACAAATTAGTAGTAAAGAATACAGTAAAGTCTCTCTTATATGATCAGGACTAGAGTTAACTAATCAAAAAATCAATTACATCAGGGAATTGTAAATACATATATTTAAATATCTAATTTTAACTTAAAACATTCATTTGAAAGTTTTATATACTATTTATTCTCTATCAAATACAATGCCCCCAAATATCCTGATATTAGCCATACTTCTTGTCTTCTGTCTGAAGTTGTGACTCTTCAACTGCCCCAATGGTACTGAACCCCACCGCTAGAATGACTCATATGATCGAGTATGAAAGAACAGTTTTGTTTGCAGTCCGGAGCCAAGCTTCTGTGGGGAGTTCTAGATGATAATTCTAACTAGGACAAGTGTGGGCCCTCTGTTCCCCAGAGAGGAAACAGTGTATCCATGGAGAAAGCTAATGACAAATTCCTTACCTTTTTTTGGAATACAAAGGGATAAATTTCTTTCTAATTTATCTATGATGATACACGTATATAAAAGAACAGGCAAACAAGTAAGCAAGTGAGCAGGCAGTGTTTCCAAATTAAGGGGCTTTAATCAGGAAACCACCACATGTTAGTCATTTCACTTAATGAAACTCAGTAACCTTCAACTACCTTTTTATTTATTTAACAATTTTTATATTTAATTTTTGTGGGTGAGCAGTAGGTGTGTATATTTATAAGGTACACAAGATATTTTGATGCAGGCATAGAGTGTGTAATATTCACATCAGGGTAAATGGGGTATCCATCACCTCAAGCATTTATCCTTTCTTTGTGTTACAAGCAATCCAATTACACTCTTAGTAATTTTAAAATGTACAATTAAGTTATTATTGACTATAGTCACCCTGTTGTGCTATCAAATAGTATGTCATTCATTCTTTCTATTTTTTTGGTACTCATTAACTACTCTTACCTCCACCCCAGCCTCCTATTACCCTTCCCAGCCTCTGGTAACCATTGTTCTACTCTCTATCTCCATGAGTTCAATTGTTTTCATTTTTAGCTTCCACAAACAGGTGAGAACATGTGAAGTCTGTCTTTCTCTGCATGGCTCATGTCACTTAACAAAATAGTCTCCAGTTCCATCCATGCTATTGTGAGGGAGGAGAAAGGAAAACAAACAAACAAACAACAACAACAACAACAAAAAACAGACAGTTAAGGCAGGTCCTTGGTAGAATTCTTTTAAACAGAGAAACAGCTTGAAAAATAAAGCTGCAGCTGCACAGATAAGAGAGCAAGTCCCAACATAGAAACGCCTTTGTTCTTTGTGTAATCAGCGGGCACCCAGGAAAAAGTTTCCTCCCCTTCTACGGACATGTACATGGTGGGTTCCGCACAAATTTGCACGGGTAGCGGGAGGCTTGCCTGAGAAATGCCTGTGACCGCATAGGTAAGGGCAGTCACACAGGCAGCTACACAGACAGGGGAACTTTCTAATAAAAGCTTTTGTGTTCAACTGTAAAACAGCAACCCTCTTGGACCCCCTCTCTGCTGTGGAGAGCTTTCCTCTTTTGCTTATTAAACTTTCACTCCAACCTCACTGTTGGTGTATATGCTCCTTGTTTTTCTTGGTCATGACACAAAGAACTCTGGATAACACCTCAGACAGTGAGGCTGCTTCAATTGCAAATGACAAGATCTCATTCTTTTTATGGATGAGTAGTACATATATACTCTATATTTGTAGTATATATACACGTGTGTGTGTGTGTATCTATATACATATCACATTTTCTTTATCCATTCATCTGTTGATGGGCACTTAGGTTGCTTCCAAATCTTGGCAATTGTGAATAGTGCTGTGATAGACATGGAAGTGCAGATATCACTTAGATGTACTGACTTCATTTCTTTTGGGTACATACTTAGCAGTGGGATTACTGGATTATATGGTAGATCTATTTTTAGTTTTTGAAGAAACTGTTCTCCACAGTGGTTGTACTAATTTACATTCTCACCAAGAATGTAGGAGGGTTCCCTTTTCTCCAGATTCTCACCAGAATTTGTTATTGCCTGTCTTTTGGATAAAAGCCATTTTAACTGGGATGAGATGATATCTCATCATAGTTTTGATTTGCATTTCTCTGATGATCAATGATGTCGAGCACCTTTTCATATGCCTGTTTGCCATTTGTATGTCTTCTTTTGAGAAATGTCTATTCAAATCTTTTGCCCATTTGAAAATTAGATTTTTAGATTTTTTTTCTGTAGAGTTGTTTGAGCTTCTTATATATTCTGATTATTCATCCCTTGTCACCTGGATAGCTTGCAAATATTTGTGATCCCATTTATCTATTTTTGCTTTGGTTGCCTGTGCTTTTGGGGTACTACTCTACTCAACAAATCTTTGCCCAGTCTAATGTTCTGAACCTTTCTGCCATGTTTTCTTTTATTAGTTTTGTAAATTAAGGTCTTAGATTTATGTTTTTAATCCATTTTGATTTATTTTTGTATATGGCAAGAAACAAAGGTCTAGTTTCATCCTTCTGCATATGGATACCCAGTTTTCCCAGCACCATTTATTGAAGGGACTGTCTTCTCCCCAATGTATGTTCTTGGCACCTTTGTTGAAAATGAGTTCAGTGTAGGTGTATGGATTTGTTTCTAGGTTCTCTATTCTGTTCCATTGGTCTATGTGTCTATTTTTGTGCCACTACCATGCTGTTTTTGTTACTATAGCTCTGTTTAATGCCTCTTGAGTTCAAGTGACTCTCCTGCCTCAGCCTCCAGATTAGCTGGGATTACAGGCATGCGCCACAATGCCGGGCTAATTTTTTTTTTCTTCTTTTTAGTAGAGACGGGGTTTCTCCATGTTGGTCAGGCTGGTCCCGACCTCAGGTGATCTGCCCACTTCAGCCTCCCAAATGCTGAGATTAAGGCGTGAGCCCCTGCGTCTGGCCCTAATTATTAAATATCTTTAGGTAGTCTTCTTTGGGCTGAATCTGCTTGGTGTTCCATAACATTCTTGTACTTGAATATTGATGTCTTACTCTAGGTTTGGGAACTTCACTGTTATTATCCCTTTGAATAAACTTTCTACCCCTATCTTTCTCTCTACCTCCTCTTTATGTCCAATAACTCTTAGAGTTGCTGTTTTCAATCTATTTTCTGGATCTTGCAGGTGTGCTTCATTCTTTTTTTTTTGTCTCCTCTGAATGTATTTTCAAATAGCTTGTCTTCAAGCCCACTAATTCTTTCTTCTTCTTGATGAGTTCTGTTTTTGTGACTCTGATGCATTCTTCAGTATGTCAGTTGCATTTCTCAACTCGAGAATTTGTTTGATTCTTTTAAATTTTTTCAGTCTGTTTGTTAAATTTAACTGATAGGTTCCTCAATTACTACTCTGTATTATCTTGAATTTCTTTGAGTTTCCTCAAAACGGCTATTTCAAATTATCTGTCTGAAATGTTATGTATCTCTGTCTCTCCATGATTGGTCTCTGGTGACTTATTTTGTTCATTTTGTAAGGTCATGTTTTCCTGGATGGTCTTGATGCATGTGGATGTTTGTTAGTGTTTGGGCACTGAAGATTTACCTATTGATTTTAATCTTCATGACAAGTCTAGGCTTGTTTGTACCTATCCTTCTTAGGAAGACTTTCCAGGTACTGAAATGGACTTTGGTGGTTGTAATATACATTTCTGGTCTCTGCAGCTGGAACTGTATTGGGAGCTATCTCAAGCTCAGCAATGCTGTGGCTCTTGTAGACTCACAGGTGTACCCACCTTTGTGGTCTTGGATAAGATTTGGAAGAATTCTCTGGGTTACCAGCCAGAGACTCTTGTTCTCTTCCCTTATTTCTCCCAGATTTTCTCTCTCTGTGCTGCACTGCCTGGAGCTGTGGATGGGGTGACACAAGCACCCCTGTGGCCACCACCACTGGGACTATGGACCTGAAGCCAGCACAGTACTGGGTCTTGTGCAAGACCCACAGTCTGTACTGCCTGGCTACTCCCTATATTTGCTGAAGGATCTAGGGCTCTACAGTAGGCAAGTGGCCAAGCCAGTCAAGCCTGTCTCTTTCCCTTTAAGGTGGCAAGTTCCCCCAGGTCTGGGTGGATCCAGAAATGCTGTCCAGGAGCCAGGGCCTGGAGTCAGAAGCCTTAGGAATCTACCTGGTTCTCTATTCTACTGCTGCTGCACTGGCACCCAAGCTACAAGACAAGTTTCTTCCCACTCTTATCTTCCCTTTTCACAAGCAGACAACTCTTTCCCATGGCTACCATTGCCCCAGGCTTGTGGTGAGTACTGCCTAGCTCCTGGCAATGCTCATTCAAGGAGCAAGGGCTCTTCAGTCAGCTTATGGTGAATGCTTCTAGGCCTTGGACTCTCTCATCAGGGCAGTGATCTCCCCTCTGGCCTAGGGAAGGTCCAGAAATGCCATCTAAGAGTCAAGGCCTGGAATCAGGGACCCCAAGATTCCACTTGGTTCTGTATCCCACTGCAGCTGAGCTGGTACCTAAGCTGCAACACAAAGTCCCCTTTACTCTTCCCTCTCCTTTACTCAAGCAGGAGTCTCTGCCCATACCCACCATAGCTGGGAATATGCTGGGTCACACCTGAAGCCAGCGTGTCTCAGAGTCTCACCCACGGCCCACGGCCTGGGTATTGCTGCTGATTATTCAGCGCCCAAGGGCTCTTTAGTCAGCAAGTAATGAATGTTGCCAGGACTGGGTTCTTCCCTTCAGGGCAATGGGTTCCCTTCAGGCCCAGGGTGTGTCTAGAAATGTTGCCCAGGTGCTAGGGCCTGAAATGGGGGCCTCAGGACTCTGCCTGGTGCCCTGTCCTACTGTAGCTGAGCTGATATCCAAGTTGCAAGATGAAGTCCTCTTTGCTCTTCCCTCTCCTCTCCTCAAGCAGAAAGAGGGAGTCTTTACCAGAGCTGTGAGCTGTGCTTCCTGGTTTTGGGGGAGGCGTGGTGCAAGCACTCCCTTGGGTGCCCTGGCTGGTGTCTCACTATGTCACGTGCCCCCAAATCCACTGGCTCTGAGCCCAGCACAGCACTAGGACTTGCCCAATAATAGAGTTTAAAAAAACATGCACATATATGTTCATATGTTCAATTTATTTTTGACAAAACTGCCAAAGTAATTCCTGGAGAAAGGATAGCCTTTCAGCAACTGGTACTAGAAAAAATAGATAACCATATGGGAAAAAATGGACACTGACCATTACCTCACATCATACACAATGTTTACTTTAAATTGATTGTAGAATTAAACACAACTAAAATTATAAAAATTTCTAAAATAATCCATAGGATAAATTTTTTTTTTTTTTGAGATGGAGTCTCACTCTGTCACCCAGGCTGGAGTGCAGTGGCGCGATCTCAGCTCACTGCAAGCTCTGCCTCCCGGGTTCATGCCATTCTCCTGCCTCAGCTCCCCGAGTAGCTGGGACTAAAGGAGCCCACCACCATGCCCGGCTAATTTTTTTGTATTTTTTTAGTAGACACGGGGTTTCACCGTGTTAGCCAGGATGGTCTCGGTCTCCTGACGTCGTGATCTGCCCGTCCCAGCTTCCCAAAGTGCTGGGATTACAGGAGTGAGCCTCCGTGCCCGGCCAGGAGAAAATCTTTACAGCCTCGCACTAAACATAAAAAACGACAAATTCTGCTCTTCAAAAGGAAAATTAGAAGGCAGTTCACAGGCAGAGAGAAAATATTTGCAATACATACATCTGATAAAGGGCTTTTATCCATAATATATAAATGACTATTATATCTTAGTAAGAAGACAAGCAATACAATATTAATGGGAAAAAGATTTAAACAGACACCTCACGAAAGGAGATATGAATAGCCATTAAGCACTTTAAAAGATGTTTAACATCATTAGTCAACAGAAGGATGCAAATAAAAAACACAATGAGATACCAGTCTATACCCACTGGAATGACTAAAACTAAAAAAGACTGATAATCTCAGGTTTTGAGGAAGATGCAGAACTACTGGAACTCATATATTGTTGGTGAGTGTGTAACATGGTACAGTCAGCCATCTTGGTAGTTTTTGTTTTTTTACAAAGGTCAATATACTTTTATATTACCCAGAATTTTGGACTTCTATCTCCTTATACATTGCAAATAAAAGGAAACATATGGTCACAAAATAACTTACACATGAATGCTCTTAATAGCTTTATTTATTATTGTCCCAAACTGGAAGTCAATAAAAATAGCTATCAACATTTAAAAGAACAAAAAATGTAGTACATTAATGCAATGGAATATTACTTCATAATAAAAGGAGTAAACTACTGATGCAGCAAACTACTACATGCAACAACATGGGTTGATTTCAAAACACATTGAACAAAAGAAACCAGACGCCAAACAATACATATTGTATAATTCCATTAAGATGAACTACTGGAACAAGCAAAACTGATCTATAGTACCAGTGGTTGTCTGAGGCCAGTGATGAGTTAGGGAATGACTACAAAGCTGCTACAGGGAACTTTTTGTTGTACAGAAATATTCTATGTCTTGATTGTGGTAGATACGCTAGTATCCACATTTG
This sequence comes from Homo sapiens, assembly GCF_000001405.40. Lineage (NCBI taxonomy): Eukaryota > Metazoa > Chordata > Mammalia > Primates > Hominidae > Homo > Homo sapiens. Next base: position 121,016,656 of record NC_000023.11, read on the forward strand.
TCAAGACTTATTTAACTTTACACTTAAGTGGGTGCATATTACTCTGAGAATTATACTCCAATAAAATTAATTTTAAAAAGAAAGCAATGCTGATTTGAATTATTTATGGGTAAATGGGGCTTATCTCTTCTTAAGCATACAGTTCAACTGGTGGGAACTGAAGTGTGAATACATCCTAGAGCATATCGATGTGCTTTTAGCATGCTGAGGGTATCAGTATGTTTTCCAGATGAAACTAAGGGTTTCACTTAACCTCATTAGTGTCACTAAAGTAGAGTTTGATTAAATTAGCTAGAAAATCTAGGCAGCTATTGAGCAGCCTGCAACAAGTGAATTCAGCAGATCACTGTGTTTCAGGATTTTAGCCCCTGGGCTAGAGGTCTAGGGAAAAACTTTTGTCCTGAGGTACATGGCTGGTGGTGGGGGAAAATGACTAAACCAAATCTCTTGCCAATCCAGTAAAATATCTTCACAGAATGTAGAACAGAATGAAATATAATGAATAAGCATTAAACCAGACCATGATGCACATCACAGGCAATACCCTAAAGAGATTACAAAGACAAAAAAGAACTCTTGCCCTTTTGTTTTATGTATATGTTAATCTATTGTATACATGTTAATTGTATTTATCCAAAGGAAAAATACAATCTCTCATATATTTTTGATAAGCAGGAGGTTATATCTTGGAGCTAAATTTCCACAGGGAAAGAGAGCACCACCTGTTTTAGTGTTCACTTTTAAAAGAAGTGGCTCCTTGGCCATTAAGAATGACAACCCCATCAAAAAGTGGGCAAAGGAGATGAACAGACACTTCTCAAAAGAAGACATTTATACAGCCAAAAAACACATGAAAAAATGCTCATCATCACTGGCCATCAGAGAAATGCAAATCAAAACCACAATGAGATACCATCTCACACCAGTTAGAATGGCAATCATTAAAAAGTCAGGAAACAGCAGATGCTGGAGAGGATGTGGAGAAATAGGAACACTTTTACACTGTTGGTGGGACTGTAAACTAGTTCAACCATTGTGGAAGTCAGTGTGGAGATTCCTCAGGGATCTAGAACTAGAAATACCATTTGACCCAGCCATCCCATTACTGGGTATATACCCAAAGGACTATAAATCATGCTGCTATAAAGACACATGCACACGTATGTTTATTGCGGCACTATTCACAATAGCAAAGACTTGGAACCAACCCAAATGTCCAACAACGATAGACTGGATTAAGAAAATGTGGCACATATACACCATGGAATACTATGCAGCCATAAAAAATGATGAGTTCATGTCCTTTGTAGGGACATGGATGAAATTGGAAATCATCATTCTCAGTAAACTATCGCAAGAACAAAAACCCAAACACCGCATATTCTCACTCATAGGTGGGAATTGAACAATGAGATCACATGGACACAGGAAGGGGAACATCACACTCTGGGGACTGTTGTGGGGTGGGGGGAGGGGGGAGGGATAGCATTGGGAAATATACCTAATGCTAGATGACGAGTTAGTGGGTGCAGCGCACCAGCGTGGCACATGTATACATATGTAACTAACCTGCACAATGTGCACATGTACCCTAAAACTTAAAGTATAATAATAAAAGAAAAAAAAAGAATGACATTCCTAGGATGCAAAACTGGCAAGAAGTTTATTTATAATTCCATTTTCTGAAGGAAATGCTGAAAGAAAAGGGAGGGGGAATAGTTCTTTCCTTTTTGCACTGAGGAAAATTTTAAATTAAAATTCATTTTTAGATTTGTATTTACCCTTACAATTTTCCTTGTTACTATTTTCTACTAAAACTACAGTTTTCCAATTGTTTACTCTGACATTTTAACCTTTCTCTGGGCAGTTTGCAGCAGTCTTTAGATATTTATATCCAGCAAGTCCATGGTAAAATACAAAATAAAGCAATTATCAGAATTATAATGGGATGAATCAAAAATTAGTACAATATTTTTCTTGGGGGAATCTTTAAATATACCAGTTGTGAATGGTTAAAGCAGATATTTGATTAGCCATACACAAAAATTATCCTCATGATACATTAATTTTATAAACTGTTGTCATGTCTTTGTTTCTGCTTTCAAATGATTAACTACTTGAGTATTATTTTGTAGTTTTAGAAAATGAAATCTGGCCAGGCACAGTGGCTCACGCCTGTAATCCCAGCACTTTGGGAAGCTGAGGCCAGCGGATCATGAGGTCAGGAGTTTGAGACCAGCCTGACCAACATGGTGAAACCCTGTCTCTACTAAAAATACAAAAATTAACCTGGCGTGGTGGAACATGCCTATAATCCCAGCTACTCAGGAGGCCGAGGCAGGAGAATCACTTGAACCCAGGAGGCGGAGGTTGCAGTGAGCTGAGATCGCACCACTGCACTCCAGCCTGGGCTATTGAGTGAGAATCCATCTTCAGAAAACAAACAAACAAACAAAAAAGAAAGAAATCCCTATCCTAGCCGAGTTAATAGCTTAACTCTGGAGCCTGATAATATATGTTTTTTAACTGAGTTTTTCTTGTAAGGCCCAATGAATTTCCTCTGAGTTCTCAGCAGTCACAGGAGTAATATTGCATTTATAGGATAAACTAGGCCTTTTGGTAATTATCCCATCTTCCCAAATAATTTCTCCCAGATGCAAAATGCAAAGACACTCGTGGCCATTATATAGTATCAAAGTCTTATTATGAAGTACCCGTTGAAGGGCACAGATTGAATTTCCAGTGTTTAGTGTACATGGCTCTAATAGTTTTAAGTCTGGAGGACAAAGCCAACTTTTGGGCCATTTCTTACCTCGGTCCAAACCAGTAGTTATATTATTATAACAGTTAACTAAATAACCATAGATAACAGGCATATCCACCTTTGTTTATCTATCCATAGTAGGACTGGAGAAAACTTCTATTCTCAAGTTAATCGATTGACATTAGAGCTGTCTTCTGAGGTCTCTATCCATAAATGCCAGACACTTAATTAGATGCATTTCTTTTCTATACTATACTTCCAATCAAACCAGTTAACAAATTTTTTTGTGTGAAATTTAGGGCTTTGGTTTCTGGATGCATAGTAGTTACTTTTACTTTGATATTAAAACATAGTAATGAACATGGTCTTGTGTTTATTTGGCCAATAATCAGACTGTTGGATTCATAAATGCAGGCCCAGCATTTCTGTACTGGGAATACAATTCAGAGGAGAGAGGAAATGTGACTGTAGGAACCATTATTGGGAGTACAGAAAGAAAAAGTGGTGTAACAAATAACATGTTTATTTTCTAATAAAATGTGATTCTTATAGTAATTGAACAAAACACTATTGCAACTAGGACAGCAAGGTAGTCAGAATAATACATTCCTTAGAATACCTCCTTTCAGTTGAGTTCATTACCAATATTAGTCACTCTAGGAAATTAAACTTCAAATCCTTTGTGGAAACTGCAGTCTAGTCCTCCTGAGGAGCTGGCTTCACATGGAAAGCATGAAACCATCTGGTTTTTCTTTCACTCTGATACCCATATGAGTGATCGTGGCACTTGAAAGGGTCCCATCCAGCCTGGTGACAATGCATGTTTCCTCCAGAACACTCATATTTAAACAAAATTGCCCAGTTTAATAGGGGTGATATTTCTTCCAGTAGTTCCTTCTAGGTCCTTTTCACTTTATGTCTCAGGATGTCTAGAAAAGAGAGAAGCCCTTTTAGCTATTGAACATGATTATGAAAGAATTGTTAAAGCAAGCAGAGTAAGTGGTTTCAGACCTAAATTCACAGGCTTGCCGAACATAAGTTCAAAGAGAGAGATAACATTATTAATTGCAAGAGTCACTCTAATTTTTAACAAAGCCAATTTTAACAAAGCCATTGGTAAATATCCAGGCCATTTTAACATAGTCGATTGTTGAATCATAGCCAGTGAGTTTGTTACTGTTTGAATCATCTATTCTACTTGGAGTATGATGATAGCTTATAGTAATCTGCAAATATCTGCATAATTCCTGGACAACAGTGCACATAAAATTATTTCCTCTGTCTGACTGAATAAGCTCTGAGAGCCCAAAAGTGGGGTTATGTGCATTAAGAGGACCTTTACCACTACTTGAGCATAAGCGTTTGAAGAGGGAAAGACTTAGGCCATTCAGATGTCATATACACCATAACCAGACAAAATCTCTTCTTTAGGCATTAATTCTATGAAATTGAATTCCCTCTATAGACACTAATTCCATGAAATCTAAGTGCCATCAGTTTTCTGGTAAAGTTGATTGAGGAAATTTTTCTGTGGTACTTGGAAGTGGCCTGTAAAGTATTCTGCTCACAAATAACAAGTCTTTTTAATATGTTTTGAATAATTTCGTCTTTCTGATTGATGTAGTAAGAGTCTAGTGTCTCTTCATGTATTTATTTAAGAGATAGAGTATTTCTCTGTTGCCCAGATAGGAGTGCAGTGGCATGATAATAGCTCACTGTAGGCTATGAACTCCTGGACTCAAGCTATCATCCAGAGTAGCTGGGATTTCAGGTGTGAGCCACCACACCTGGCTAGAGTCTAGTGTCTTTAACATCCCTCTGTTACGTAAATCATTTTGTTTGATAATGCAACAAAAATGAATCAAGCAAATACTGTGGTATAGGAATTATTTTATGGATAATTCCTATAGTCCAGTTGAATTTCTTTTAACTCCTTTTCAATATTTGTCTGTTTCCCTTCATGAATCTTATTTTTCTGAAAATAAATACAGGTTCTTTGTATTAAAAGTGGGGCTTCTAAGTTTGAAGTCTGACATGTTTTAACAACGACTTTTGCAGCTGTTGGCAAAATCATTGCCTTCATAAATTTCATAATTCTATTCTGTGTGAATTCTATAGTGGATTACTGATATCTGAACAGGTAGTTGTAAGGCTTCTAACAAATCATCTCTTGATTATCCATGAGACATTGTAGTTCCCGTTGAAGTCAATAATCTATTTTTCCAAATTTGCCCTGTTGCATAATATACACCAAACATATATTTATCACTGGCATATATATTCACTCTAAGTCCAGACCAAGAATTTTAGCACTAGTGACGGCTATTAACTTACCTACTTGTGCCAACTTAATTCCAGACAAAACATAAGCTTCCAAGAGCTCATGATCAGACACCACAGCATAAGAAACCTTCAGTTGGCCAATTTATCCCAAGTACATGGTCCATCAGTAAACACTATGAAATCTGCATTTTGAAAAGGAGTATAAGATCATCAGATTGGGGCCTAGCATTTGCCTCTATGATCATTTTACGGTCGTGATATGTTTGACTAAGATCTGGCAAAAGAGTACAAAGGTCTAGGAAATTGCATCTCCCAGGCATGGTATTAGAATTGGATAACAATGCTTGTTCATAGTCACTCTGATGGCATACCAACAAAGGCTGTTTTATGTATGTATAACTATCATCATATGTAGAATACTCAAATAAATCTAGTGACCCAATGTAAGGGCTTGAGCCTTTTCAATAAGAGTGGTGGCTGCTACCACCGCTCAGGGGAACCCAAGCAACTATCTAAAAGATCAGTGCCTCCTTCTTGCCAGGAGTCAATTTGATGCAGGGAAAGAGAGAAGTGCACGGGGTTCAGAGACAGTTGGGACAGCAGAGAAAGGAAGAGGTTTATGTGAAAGAGAAAGTCGCTTTAATTCTTGTATTTCCTCTTCCATTTTCCTCAATCTTTCCTTCTTGTTATTAAATCATTTTTAAAATTTTCCCCTTAGAATGGCAGTTATCTCATAAATACCAGTAATTCTTATGGCTGAAGTGAGAGATTTTTAAGATAAGACCCACCCAGATACGTTACAGTCATTCCTTTATATACACGGGGGATTGGCTCCAGGATCCCCCAAAGTACCAAAATCCTTGAGTACCTAAATGCCTTCTATAAAATGGTATCATATTTTCATATAACCCATACACATCCTCCTGTATACTTTAAATCATCTCTAGATTACTAATACCTAATACAATGTAAATGGTGTATGAACAGCTGTTATACTGTATTGTTTAGGGAATAACAAGAAAAAAAGTCTGTAAATGTTCAGCACAGACACAACCATCATAGGCTTCACTACATTTTTGATCTGTGGTTGGTTGAATTTCTGTATACAGAACCCACAGATATGGAAGGCCAACTATAATTTGTCCAAATTAAAGAAACTGTAAAACTAGATTCTTACATGTATGCTCATTCCAAATGTGACAAAAAGGTATTCGAATTTAAGAGATTTAAAAGAAACACCTGCAGGCAACATTTCTGGCTTCCCATATTTTTCTACCATCAAAGATAATAGTGATCCTGATGGGATTTTTAGCTCTGGTATCACCCACCCTCACTCAATAATAAAATCTTGAATTTGGAGTGGATGGCTCAGGTAGTATTCCAAAAAGTGAAGAGCTAGAAAGGAGACTTTTCTATAATTCAGGGTCTCTTACCTAACTGTTGTGTGACCACAAGTCTTTCAGATGATCTACCCAATTCAGAAATTGCCAGAAAGATCCTATCCTCATTGCTAAATTGTTGGGGAAATAATTAAACACAAAATCTCCTGCCAACCCAATACAACCTGTATATAAAACATAGGAAAGAATGAAATAGTTTTGTCATTGAATAAGCACTAAACCATATGCCTCACAGGCAATGCATTAAAACAACTGCGAAGACAAAAACACTCTCAATCTTCTATGTTTTATGTATATGTTAATTCATTACATACATGTTCACTGTATTTATTGAAAGGAAAAATAACATTTCTCATATGTTTTTGACAAGTAAGAAGTTACATTTTGGAGCTGATCCCACAGGCAGGGAGATAGGGCATCATTCTTTTTGGTGTTCACTTTGGTGTTCGAAGTGCTCCTTGGCACCTAAGAATGACACCTAAGAATTGGCACACTTGGCTGCAAAACTGTCAAGAGGTTTATTAGCTTTGAAAAAAATTTATATACATTTCAAAGAGACAGAGCTAACATTTATAATCTCAAGTTTTCTGAAGGAAATACTAAAAGAAAACAGAGCAAGTTCTCTTCACTTTTTTATACCAGGAAGAATTTTAAGTTAATTTTTAGAATTTTATTTACCCTTATACTGGCAAAGACAAGTCAAGGTCACAGTCCTAGAGGGGTAATACTGCCTAATAAATTTCCTGGATAGAGATTCATGCATAGGAAGAAGAAAAGGCATTGCCTTAGTAACTGTAACCAGAGTATGAGGTGAACACTGACTCTCAAGAAAGTAGAGGTGTCCCATTATAACTAGGGCATAAGGTCAGAGTTGGAGTAGCAAGAAGAATTTGATGCTGGGTTTGAAAGGTTTGGGCTAGAGCTGCTTAAATGCTTCTCATTTGTATGGGTTCTTTTTTGTTTTGTTTTGGGTATTTTTGTTTGTTTGTTTGTTTGTTTGAGATGGAGTCTCGCTCTGTGGCCCAGGCTGGAGTGCAGTGGCATGATCTTGACTCACTGCAACCTCTGCCTCCCTGGTTCAAGTGATTCTCCTGCCTCAGCCTCCTGAGTGGCTGGGATTACAGGCATGCACCACCATGCCCAGCTCATTTTTGTATTTTTAGTAGAGACGGGGTTTCGCCATTTTGGCCAGGGTGGTCTCGATCTCCTGACCACAGGTGATCCATCTGCCTCGGCCTCCCAAAGTGCTGGAATTACAAGTGTGAGCCACTGTGCCCGCCCTCATTTGTATGGGTTCTAAAATCCACGGCAGTGCTCAGCCTACAGATGATTTGGACCACAGAGCCTAGCTACATTGAGAAAGAACAACTTGGCCCTAGAAACAAGGACATTCTAAATTACACTGAGATTTGTGTATAAAGCTCATATTGCTGTCTTAACCACCAATAATGAAATTTACTCCTTTTACCCAGGTTAACAAAATATATCACAATAAAAACTAAACATTGAGTTTAACAGAAACAATATTTTGGAAGCAGAACACACATATTTTTAAGAAAATAATATTGCAAATGGTCAGTTTGGGGTCAATTTACCACACTAGAGTAACAAAGTTGATAAAATACAGCTATGTTCAACTAAACCATTTATCTACACTATAGTAAAATACTCGCAATCATTCCCAAGATCACAGTTTAAAACTATTTTAACAGATAAGACGTGTTTTACGGGCACCTCTGTAAGAGATGCTTTGCCTTCCTCAGTCAAAAGCATGATTAGAAGGTTGACAATATTTACTTTTTCCTCTTATCATATAGCCTGCTCAAAATAGTATTATCATTGGTAATATGGTCTGTATCTTGTCTGACCCGGATGATGTGTCCCAAGAAGTAGGGTTTGAGAAGGTAGATTCTGCATTCATAGAGGAAGGGGTGGCCGTCCAGGTACAGGCCACATGTCATGAATCATTTCCCCTGGTTGTATAAATGGAGGACTCGGAGTTCCTTGATATTCAGTGAACTTGGGTAAAGAGTTATGATTATAATGGTGAGAAGGGTGTGTTTTTACATGTTGTTGTGAGGCAGGTCCTGGAAGAAGATATCTTATATGAGGTGGCATCTGGACAATACTATGTCCGTGAAGAGAGTGGTAGAGTAGAGGTCATTGCTGGACTTGAAGCTTAGCTATGAACCAAGTGAGGAGTACCTGCAGCCTAAGGAAGATGTGGCATTGCATGGCTTGTTGGTAGCAGAAGAGGTGCTATGGTACAGAATGTAGCTATGGAGGTAGAGTATTATAAGAACTCAATACTACTCGTTGACCTTGATATTCAGGATGATGGTGAGCAAATGTGGAGGAAGTAGGTGTGGTTCTCAAGCACCTGAATTGGAGTGCTTTTGAATAGGAACAGTTATGAAATTGCCATGTTTTCTTGTTGAAATACAAAGGTTCCTTGACTTACTGAAGGAGATGGAGGTAAAGCCGTGAACAATTCTGCTGCAGGAGCATGAATATCCTTGGGGCTAATGATGTAGCTCATGTGGCAAATGCTGCAAAGAAAGTAGGTATCATAATGTGCTGCTTTGGGGGAATATTGGCTCATATGGTGCTTGTCTGGCCGCATCATAAAATGGTTAGGGATTTCAATTCGTGATGGGGTATCATGGAGGATGAACATTTTCTAGTCAGGCACAAGCAACAGGGTTTTACACTCTCATATGACAGTAGTTGATATGAGCCTCTAGGTCCCTCTTGAACCCTTGAAGTGTGCTACACATGAAGATAAAACCTTGTGTATGTTTCTCAATTTGCTTCACAGGATTGCTACAGCCTGGACACATCTTATCTCTTCCTTTTCCATGTAAAATAGCACAGACCTAGCAAAAAACATGCTTACATGTAATCATCCGTCCATAGATTTTAATTGATAATTCACATTTGTCACATAAATGGACTGGTGTATCGTCTTTTTCACCTAAGTTGTTTACCTGAACGTCCCCCAAAAGTTATTCACTAGATCTTTGCTGATTTGTTTCTTAATTTTTTTTCCTTTCTTTCTTTCTTTTTTTTTTTTTTTTTTGGATGGAGTCTCGCTCTGTCGCCCAGGCTGGGGAGCAGTGGCGCGATCTCGGCTCACTGCAAGCTCCGCCTCCCGGGTTCACGCCATTCTCCTGCCTGAGCCTCCCGAGTAGCTGGGGCTACAGACGCGTGCCACCACGCCCAGCTAATTTTTTTGTATTTTCGGTAGAGACGGGATTTCACCATGTTAGCCAGGATGGTCTCCATCTCCTGACCTCGTGATCCACCTGACTCAGCCTCCCAAAGTGCTGGGATTACAGGCGTCAGCCACCGCGCCGGGCCATCTTTGCTGATTTCTAAATGATTCTCCCCTTCTACCGTCACTATACAGTTCTTTGCTATGGTCGAATCCTTCAGCGTCCTCCATGATTTGGCTCGCAGGGCACAGTGGGAACTGAAGTGTACTGCACTGGAATCCCAGGGAGCGCATGGACCCTACCTTCTCCAGCCCCAGAGGCAGGAGTCTGACCAGGTCGCCTCAGCTCTGATCTCTTCTTACCTACCCCCATTCCAGAGAGGGAGTCAGGCAGAGGGAAAAACAGCGGGCATGAGAAGAGCTTCGTCATTGAGGTTGCTAAGGCTGCTTTTCTTATGGTTCAATAATATGTAGCCTTTAACTGTGGAAAAAGAAACTAACCTTGAATGGGGGAAGAAGACGGGGAACAGAGGCATGTTAGTACCTGAAGGAATAAGATGGAGGCAGGTAAGGTGGCCAGCCTGCCCTTAAAGGCTTTTTGAACGGTGGAATCCTTTATGTTTTTGAGGTGAAAGCCCACATATGCTATGCAATTTTCAAATAGAGACTGGATACCTTCCTATCAGAAATGCTGTAGATCTGGCCTCTCAAACTTTTCTGGCAAATTACCCCTAATGGCAGAGAAGAGTTAACTTTGTAACTGTGAGGGTGAGGGAGCAACATTCTAAGTACCTTCTAAAGCAAGACAATTTTTGGAATTCTTGTATGTTACTTTAACATATGAATATAACTTTCTGTTGCAGAATGTCTGTTTTAATGGAAAATACTGCATTTAATTATTTAGTTAACTTCTAGTATTTTCCTGGTCTTTGAGTAATATTAAAATCCTAGGAAGATGTGCCAGGATGTGTGCCAAATTCTATAGAACACTGCTATATCTCCCGTCGGTGTTGGTACACTAGTTTGTGATGCAGTGCATAGAGTAACTCCTTTACTGAGTACAAGATCATCCATTAGGACTTAGAAATCCTTTTTTATACAGAATCCTTTATATAGGTATTCATTTATAAGAGTATTTATCTGTAAATGAAGTTCAAAGTTAAAAGCCTCAACAAATTAGGAAGGTGATTAGTTGCATTACAAAATGCCTTCCCATATCCCAAAACTTCTCCTTTTGGTTCTTTAAATATTACATTCTCTTGGTGCATTTGATGTATATTTATAGAATATTAACAACTTGGAGGAGAGAACTAAATAAAATAATGAGTTAAAGGGCGAATAATCAATCAGTGATAATCACTCAAATATGAATAGAAAGCATATTAGAAATGAACATATTTGTTTATGGAAAGATAAGGCTGGATTTACGGAAATTTCATCTGTACCCACCTTTTCATAACCTATGCCTATTGTGAAGTGAGGATATACCTTCTCTGTAATAGCTTCATTCAATACTATTCAGAATAAATGTTTTCATTCTCACTTACAAAGAAACTTTGCAAAGAAAGTGATGAACTGCCATGCAAAAATATACCAAATACATTATTAAAAAGTAATTAAAGGGTAAGTCAGAGCATAAAACTACCCTTATGAAGCAGATTATCCATTTCTGCTGAAACACAAAGGCACTGTCAAAAGTGACCTCTGCCAGACAAAAAGACAAAACGGGGATGTTGCACCAGGTTGAAAATGCTATATTGAAAAGAAAAAATAAAAGCCATAAAAACATTTTTGATGGTATGCATTTATATACTGGAATTGCTGAATCATATAGCTAGATTAGAATATTTTTGCAGTAATATCATATGATTGATGTTAAGGATTTGGAGAGACTGAAATAATGAGAAGTTGAAAATTTTTCACATTTGCTGACACATTTTATAAAAGAAAAAATTTATAGTCACATGGAACATTTTATTGGAGAGAATGAATGAGAGAGAGAGTGAACAGCTGAGGTAGGGGGAAAAAGAATGAGACAGACCACTTTATGATGTTGGAAATCATTATGAAACTTACAGCTGGTTGGAAGAAGGAACCAAGGATAGAAGCTTAGAGAAAAGCCACCCCTCTTTATCCATTTCATTGTTGATGGGTTCCTGAAAGGTTGCAAGTAAATACGTACCAGTTTTCTCACCTTGACCTATAATATCATTTCACAACTATTTTACCTTAAGTTTGAATTTGTCATCACTGGGCAATGGCTGCTGATACTTGAGTTTTTGATATATTTGGCCCTCTGCCAAATAGCTAATGCTATATAAACAAATACCTAACTGTACAAGGGGACCTTGTAATTCAGTGTGTACCCTTCTTTCTGCAGAATAATCCTGCTTGAAGTTCTTTTCCAACCTCCTCTATATTCAGATGGATGCAGCTGCTCTGAGTGAAATTGAAGTGGGAGAGCCCAGAGTCTTACCTCCTTAACACTCCTACTGCTCTGGCCACCCCAATTACTCTCTCTTACAGTGGTTATTTAGGCAGCTCAGAGAAACACAGCTTGAAAACAACTCCTCACAATATATATTTTCTACACTGATGTATAAAATGTTTATAGTGAACTATATCATATGGGCAAAAGAATAATAGGTGAGTACCCATCTCTAGCTTAAGAAACAGAGTATTATTCGTGCATTTGCAAGCCCTGCAGCACCCCCTCACTCATTATCACCTCCAACAAGAGGAAAGCACTATGCTAAATTTTGTGTTCCTCATTCTCTTGCTATTTTCAGTTTTAAAAATTATGTGTATATATCTTTATCCAAAATCTTGTTTAGTTTTATGTTTTTACATTTCTATGGATGAAATGATACCATGACTTCCTTTATTCCCTTAACATATTTCTGAGATATTTTTATGTTAATGCATGTAGCTGTATTTAATTCATTTTCAGCAGTGTATTTCATTGTATGAATATATTATAATTTAACTGTTGTCTTGTTGGGGAATATTTGGTTTGTTCCCAGGTTTTGCAATTACAAGTGCTACTATTGACACTACTATTGATGCCAGGGATTTGGAGAGACAGAAAGAATGAAACATTTGTGTATGTCTCTTGTACATGTTCAAGAATTTTTCTAGGGTGCATATATATGTTTGGAACCACAAGATCATAGAGAATAAACATACTCAACGTTTCCAAAGTGGTCCTACCAATTTGTCAGCAGACTATAAAAGTTTTTGCTCCACATCTTCACCAATACTTCACATTAATAGACTTTTAATTTATTACCAATTTGGCAGTAGTAAAATTCTTATTGTTATGTTTTTAATTTTGTGTTTCTCTGATTGCAAATGAGATTGAGCAGCTTTTCATGTTTTATAGGTCATTTATAATTCCTCTTTAAAAAAATACCCATTCATATTATTGGAACATTTTTTTCTGTTGAACAATTTGTCTTTTCCTTATTGATTTGTATGAGTTCATTATATACCCCCAATATTGATTCTTTGTTATATGATTTTCAGTTATCTTCTATAAGTTTGTAGGTTGCCTTTTAATTTTCTTCATGGTGTCTTCTGATAAACAGACGTTCTCAAATTTGATGGATTAAACTTATCAATATTTTTCTTTAGTGCTTTTCTGATATGCTTAAAATGTTTTCCCTAACCTGAAGTCAAAAAGGATACTTTCCCTTATTTATTTGTAGGTTTGGACTTTCAAATGGAGTATTTTTTTTTGGCTGGGGGGAGACCTGAGTTTTATTATTACTCAAATCAGTCTCCCCAAGCATCTGGGGATCAGAGTTTTTAAGGATAATTTGGTGGGTGGGGGAAGGCCAGTCAGTCAAGAGTGCTGATTGGTTGGGTCAAAGATGAAATAATAGGGAATTGAAGCTGTCCTTTTGGACTAAGTCAGTTCCTGTGTGGAAGCCACAAGATCAGATGAGTCAGTTTATCGATCTGGGTGGTGCCAGCTGATCGATCGAATGCAGGGTCTGCGAAATCTCTCAAACACTGATCTTGGGAGCAGTTTAGGGAGGGTCAGAATCTTGTGGCCTCCAGCTGCATGACTCCTAAACCATAATTTTTAATCCTGTGGCTAATTTGTTAGTCCTACAAAGGCAGTTTAGTCACCAGGCAAGAAGGAGGTTTGTTTTGGGAAAGGGCTGTTATTGTCTTTGTTTTGTACTATAAACTAAGTTCCTCCCAAAGTTAGTTCAGCCTTTGCCCAGGAATGAACAAGGACAGTTTGGAGGTTAGAAGATGGCATTGGTTAGACTAGATCTGTTTCACTGTCTTCAGTTATAATTTTGCAATGGTTGCTTCAGTCCTTCCCTTTGGATTTTATAACACCTTAATCTTAAAGTGTTGGCTAATGAAGATGGAAAAAGTGTGAAGACCGCTCTAACTTCTTCCTGCTGATCAGGGGGATAGTGGGGGTAGGTGTTGACCCCAAGGTGAGAGGAGTGGAACCACTTTGCAACTGTCTGAGCATACTCATGCAGGCCTGGTTGGGGTTCCAAGGTTTGCATGGCAAAGGTGTTAGTATTGTCATCTATAGTTTTAGTACCACATTTAAGAGAACAGCATACTATAAGGTAAATATTGAGTACTAGGGTAAGGGGTGCAATTCTTAGTTTTAAAAGTAAAGATTTGAAAATATTAGTTTGGGGACTTGTAGCCCTCAAGGATTTAGTCCAAACTGCAGAAAAAAACTTTGAGAACAGCTAACAACAGGTATACTATATTTTTTCTTTTGAACCGTAATTTTTCTCTCTCCAGTCCCCATGTTTATTAATAACAAATCATGATATAATTGAGTTGTTTACAACATAAACTTTAGTCTTATTGTACTTGGCCTGATTATTTGCATAAAGTACAGCAAGAATAATGATTTTTCACATAGGCTTTAAAAATTGGCTTCGATGGAACTCTATTCCATAAGGAATCTTAGATAAGACTTTTATAAAGCTGAGCCCAGCTATGGGTTCGTACCCTCAAATACCTACGAGTTGGCTAAATTCCTCTCCTCTCCTCTTGAGGTTCCTATATAGCTTGGGGCTCCTGGACCTGTTAGAAAGTTGACATTCTTTACTTACCACAAGTCGGGAATCTTGTACAGAGATGGCATAGACAAGGTATGAGGCCACATTTCCCAAGGGGCTTTTATTGGCTCTACAAGTCAACTTTGATTCTTTAAAGAAGCATGCCATTCCAGTCAAAGCCTTGGTGAAATAACTAGTTTCTCCAGTTGTGTCCTGTTACAAAAGAAAACAGTTTCTTATTGCACTTATGCAAATAACTATACTGTCATTAAGTTGAGAATATTCACAAATAAAATGGAGTCATTTAATTGATCTGCTATTGATTTTGTATGGAGTGACATGGTGATCCAATTTCATTTTTTTCCTCCATATAAACAGTCAATTATTCCAGAACCATTTCTAAAATAGTCTACTCGTTCTCCTATGATTATCAATGGCAAGCTCTGTCACCTATCCAGTTTTCATATATGCATAAATCTGTTTCTGGAGTCTCTGTTTCATTCCATTGGTCTGTTTTCTTATCCCATCTTAATTACTGTGGCCGTATGAAGTTTTGAAGTTTTAAAGAGAGGAACAAGTCTCCCAAACTTATTTTTGAGGAACGTCTTGGCTCTCCTTGGCTGTTTGCTGTATAACAATATTTTAGGTTGGTGGGATATTGGAGGGGGAGGGATAAGGGAAAAGAAGGGGAGAGGAAAAGGTTTACAAATATATATTTGCTCACATATAAATCTTCTGAAAGTCAACTCTGCTGTTGTAGTCAAGCATTTTTTAGGCCATAAAAGTTGTCTGCTTAAATTTATTGACATGAGTGTCAGTACCATATGTGATGAGGCACTGGGTCAACATAATTTTTGTTTCTTTTATTTTTAAAACTAACTTCCTTGGGATCTTATCATTTCTTGAGATGAACAGTATAACGTTGTGATAAAAAAAAAAGCATGAGCTTTACTTTGAGGAACATTTCTTTTTAAATTTCTGTTCTGCTGCTTAGTATTTGTGTGACCTTAGACATATTACTTAATATTTCTGAAATGAATTGCTTGCTTTTTGGTCTGTAAATGGTAGTGATAATATTGACCTACTGTGTTAGTTTTTTATCTGCTGTAACAAATTACCATAAGCTTAGTGGTTTAAAAGAATATAAATTTATTATCTTATATAGGTTAAAAGTCTGACAAGGTCCTTACTGGACTAAAAGCAGGTTATTGGCAGGGCTGCATGCCTTTTTGGACTCTCTACAGGAGAATCTGTTTCCTTGTTCATTCAGATTGTTGGCAGAAATCAGTTTTCTGTGATTGTAGGCCTAAGGTCTCCATTTCCTCATTGGCTGTCCACTGGGATCTTCCCAGCTTGCAGAGGCCAACTTCATTTCTTGGCTCATGGCCCCGTCCTTCATCTTCAAATTCAGCAACAATGGATTGAATCCCTCTCACTCTTTGAATCTCTCTTGCTGCTTCTTCCATCACGTCACTCTGTGTCTGTCTCTCTCTCTCTCACTCTAGCCTGGAAAGGTTCTCTAAGGGCTCATATGATTAGATTGGGCCCATTCAGATAATTCAGAATAATTTCCCTATTTTAAGGTCTGTAACTTTAATCACGTTTGTACATGGCCCTTTTGCCATGCAAAGTAACATATTTACACGTTCTGAGATACAAATGTGAACATCTTTTTGGGGAAAGGAAGGGTTGCATTATTGTTCTGTCTATCTGCCATGCCTACCATGTGACTGTTGTGAGGAATGCATGAGCTAATGCATGTAAAGAGCTCAAGATAGTTTTGATATGTAGTAAACACTCAACTGGAGTGTTATTAACATTTGAATTACTACTTATGAGCAGCGAAATGTGGGTTTTCTCCTTTACTGTTTTTGGAATATTTATGTGAACTTATCTTACCTTCTACTGACATAATTCCTCTTTAAACTTTTTTGAAGTCATGAAATATTTTAAGCATACAGACTTATATAATTTTTGAGAATATTGATGCCCTATACAGTTGTAATGGGTTGAATTGTGCTTGCCCCCAAATATATGTTCATATCCTAACCCCTAGTACCTGTGAATATGACCTTTTTAGCAATAGAGTCTTTGCACATATTAATAAAGTTAAGGTGAGGTCATATTATATTAAGGTTGGCTTAAGTCCAGTGATTGGCATCTTTATAAGAGAAAGAAAAGGCAGATTCTGTCACAGAGGCACAGCAGAGAAACACAAGGGAAGAGGCCATGTAATGATGGTGGCAGAGAGTGAAGTGACGCAGCTCTAAGCCAAGGAATGCCAAGGATTGCTGGCAACCGCCAGAAGCTAGAAAGAGACAAGGGAAAGATTCTTCCCTAGAGCCTTTAGAAGGAGCATGGCCCTGCCAGCACCTTCATTTTGGACATCTAGGACTGTGATAGAACAAATTTCTATTGTTCCAAGCCACTTGGTTTGTGGTATTTTTATTACAGCAGCCTAGGAAACTAATATAAAATCTTGCCATGTATTTTTTTCAACTTGGTTTTTCTTTGAAGTAGCATATCAAAGATGGTCTTGTTAGTTTCTAGTGTATGAGACATCTACATTCAAATATATGCCAAATATACGGTCAATATCTTAAGGAAGACTTGTTTTGTGTGGCCCCTAATAGTAAAATTAGGATCTATGAGTAAAAGTTGTAAGGAAACTGATTTTTTAGCTCAATATATAAAATGAGGCTTTCTAACAATCACAGTGGTCCGTGGCAGTGAGAGCTGTTTCAATACTCATACGCCAGACATTTTTTTTGAGGCAGTGGAACTAGTTTCTCATGAATGTTTTAGATAAAAACTCATTTTAAAGAAAATTAATTATTCTCATCGTAAATTGGGAATAATAATGTTTCATGTTGGTCACAAAAAATAAAAGTCTAAAATGATGCTGGCTTATTTAAATGTATACAAGAAAAACACAGAAAGCTCTTATCAACATTTTCTGCATGAAATTCAAATGGAAATGAAATTTAATCAGTTAGCTGATACATATATAGATAGCTAGTCTATATTATAAGGCTGCATCTAAATCAATTGGTAGAATTTTTTCTTAAAAAAAGCAATGAATCATCCAGTGTTTATTGAGTGCTCCCTCTGTAACGTAAGGGAGGTAGATGATACTGTCACTACCCTAGTTGATGTTATACTTTTGTTGAGTTGTGTGGTAGTAGGCTTATATAGGGTGTTTTTCCAGGATCCATTTTCTAACCCTCTTTCTAACCATATTCAGACTTTCTTTCTGGTATTCCCCCCTCTCCTTAACAGGTTACTTGCTTCAGGCCACCCAGTCAGGGGGAATTTCAGTACTCTTATTTGGAATGCTGGTGAGAAGTTCTGTGTGTCTCTTTGGATGTTGTAATAATGTAGTCTTGATTGTGGCTGGCAGTTATATGGTTGTCAAGAGATGTACCAGTCTTAGGACAAAGTTGACACTGAGGATAGTGGAGTAGAAGGATATAAGGATATTGAGTCCCGGAAGATATCATTGAGCTGCTACATCAACTAGTATCTGCATGTTTCAGTTAAGTGAGAAAATAAATCCCCTTTTTGTTTAAGTCAGTTTGCACTGGATTTTCTGTTTTTTCGTAGCATAAAGTCTTATCTGATACAAACATGTATTCATAAAGCAACTGAAGAATAACAAATGATAATCTATAATCAAGAGCTAGATATGCTAAAAATAAATACTGTAGATTTTTGGTTTTTAAAGTGTGGTTCCTAGGCCAGCAGCATCAGCATTGCCTGAGAACTTGTTAGAAATGCAAATTTTATGGCCCCACCCCAGATTTACTGAATCAGAAACTCTGGCAGAGGGTCCCAGTAATTTTTGTTTTAACAAGCTCTCTAGGAGATTCTGATCATGCTGAAGTTTGAAAACCACTGCTCTAGAAGTTCAGGAAATGAGGGATTATTGTTTATTGAAGAGTAGTGAAAGACTTCATGGAGAAGGTGAGATGAGCTAAACACTAGAGTAAGATGGACTTTTGAAAAGGAGACTCATGAAACAGTTAATAAGGCACAGAGGTAAGAATGAAGATGGTATTTATGGGGCATTTTATGACTAATTGTGACATTAATAAAATAGTGAAGGACTAAAATTGCTTGAGTAGTGGGGTAGGAGAGAATTGGTGGCTGAGATTCAGTTTTTATGTTTGTCCAGGTATTCTCATTTTACTTGAATTCATTGAAAACCTGAACAGTAGAATGCATTATTGATATTCTTCATTGTAGGCAATATATGTTGAATCAACCTGTCTAGACTATAGCCATAGAATATTAAGATCATCAAGTCATAGAAAGAGAATGGACTAATCCTACTTGTATTGGCATTAGGTAGGCAGAGAGGCCTCCTTCCTGGACTTCAAAAATTTGTTTGAAGGGAGTTACAGTAGTTCCCCCTTAACTGTGGGCGATATGATCCAAGATTCCCAGTCAATGCCTGAAAGTATGGATGTACTGAATCCTACATATACTATATATATTCTATATATACTTGTACACATGTACCTGTGATAAGGTTTAATTTATAAATTAGGCACAAGAAGAGATTAACAACAATAATGAATCAATAAAATAGAACAATTATAAAAATATACTGTAATCAAGGTTATGTGACTGTGGTCTCTTTCTCTCTCTCTCAGAATATCTTACTGTTCTGTGCTCACCTATTTTCAAATTGAGGTTGCCCAAGAGAGACCACAGAAAGCAAAACTGTGTATAAGGGGGACGAATATACTTTTATCTTGTGAAAATTTAACACTAGCAGGGTGGCACCAGCAGTGAGACTTCAACCAGCCTTGGATTTGTGTGATATTTATACAGTTCCTTGTCTTCCTCCTTCCATTCCATATTTTGTGGGAGAAATTCCTGCCTTAAATACCGATGTCATGTCTAAGGTTGTACATCACCCACCTACACTGCCTGCTCAGTTTGATAATGTGTGCTTGGATGGAAATGTTTACATTCCATCCTTTTCCCTAAAGTACTATAAGCCATGCATAATGATGCCGCCCTGTGGAATTATGGAATGGGAACTGACTGGCTCAGAGACTGCTGGAAAATGAGAGAGAAGCACTTTAAAGCTAAAATGCCAAAGGCTGCAAAAAAAATAAACTCTTAGATAGACTTTAAAATCGCCTTTCCAAAACTGTCTAGATCTAAGTTTGTGGTGGTGGTTGGTGTGGGTGTGTAAGTGATAGCAGGGCTGGAGGAGAGAGGAAGGGTTTTAACCTGATGATGCAAATTACTTCTCCTTGTTGACAACTATCTTTTTGTTAAGGAGTGCTAGAACAGTGAACAAGCATTTCTAAAGCATTGGCACTGTTCAGTGTGTTTAGACATTATTTAATTAGTCAAAAATGGGGCTTTATTTTAGAGAGGATTTAATTGTCTTGATACTGAATGATCTTGGTATGGCAAAGACATTTGTCTCTGTATATATGTGTATGTGTATGTGCAAAATGTATATAATGGAAGTAGCTTTGGAGTTGGGCCAAAAAATCCTCAGCACCAAGCTAAGGTTACTTTAAATCTGCTTGCTTTGCAGGTAATATTGAAGGATGCGTGAGACAAGCAATAAATTTCCCCCCTCTGCCACTTTGGAAGACTGAATCACCTCGTTTGTTCAGTTAGACTAACCTATCATTTGACTTGCTTTGAAGGTCTAAAGTTTAAATTTTTCCTCTCTTTGGGGATTGGGTAAGGAGGTGATTGAAAAAAGAAAATGTTTAAATCACGGAACACTAATGAGTCATAGGCCTGGAGAAGTCATTTTTGACTTTACACTTTGCTCGAAGGAGCAACTTGGACTTGTGCTAGCTTGTTCTCTGGTGGAACAATTTCTGCAGGCAGAATGATTTCCATGGGCATAGGCTGGTGGAGACTTGGATTTCCAGTGCTTTCTTGGAAAAGATGGTATGTTTTGATAACCTTGACACAGGCCTGATAATTCCTATTATCCTAGCGTCTCTGACCAATTTTTACTAGCACTGGACTGTGAAGCTTTTGCTGTTTGAGGGCTGAATTTGTGCACTGCTTCCCTTCCTTGCTCTGGAGGTTTTTAGCTCTGTGATGTTTCTAATATATTCTTTTAAATGTTCTATTTATGAGTTCATTTTCATTCATTAAATGCATCTCTCACCATTAATGGGAGTTGTCTAAAGGAAGATGTATAGTCTGACACACCCCGTGGTGTCTTTTGCAAAGTATTTGAAGTGAGATAAAGTCCTGCTGTAGCCAACATACCCATAAAGCAGCTGACAGGTATGTATTGCACATCTACTAAGTACAGTTGACCCTTGAACAACACAAGTTTGAACAGCACAGGTCCACTTATATGCAAATTTTTTTCAGTAAAATCACTCTGTGTACCTGCCTCTCTTGCCTCCCTTCCACCTCCTCCACCTTTTCAGCCTCTGCAGCCCCTAAGACAGCAAGGCCAACCCTCCTCTTTCTCCTCCTCCTCAGACTCCTCCATGTGAAGACAAGGATGAAGACCTTTATGGTGATCTGCTTCCACTCAATGAATAGTATATGTATTTTCTTTTCCTTATGATTTTCTTTTCTTATCTCTATCTTACTTTATTATAAGAACATAATATATAATACATATAACATACAAAATATATGTTAATTGACTGTTTATGTTATCAATGAGGCTTCTGGTCAACAGGGTCCTTCTAACAATCCTCTGCACTGTGCTCTTTCTAGAAGCATGCATGTGACCAAGGTACTCTCTGGCTTGATCCACAGGATAAAACCTTAGGGCCCGGAATGAGATAGATTTGTCTTTTGTCCTTGAATTAGAATAACTTATGAGAAGGTAGTGTTGAGGTCTGTTGATTTTACTTTAGTCTCTTTAGTATGGTGGGCCTGGGAACTTGAGATAACCAGCTAGGGCTCTTGTGTGCGGTCATATGAAACATGAATAGGAGCTTCTCTGTGGGAAAGAAGTTGGCTTTTGCTCTTAGAATAGCAGAGGTACCTGAGAACAGGCTTTTGCTTCAGAGTAGGATGAGTGTGAGAAGGCAGGTAGCTAGGAGCCTGATCATAGAGGATCTTATGGAAAGGTTGACCAGTCAGCCAGAGAAAAGTCCAATGTGCACCTGTAGGTCTGGTATAATTATTAGGAGCACCCTCTTTTTACTACCAAAAGTCTCCTGGTTTGTATGACAAATTTTATTGCAAGGAGATTAGATGAGATTGCTTTGTCCTTTTGAATTCCTGATGCTGCTCTGCTGGCTGGTCCTTCAACTGGCACCACCTACTTTACCTTATCTAGGGCATCCGATATCCTCCACTCCCTTTCTGTTAAGCCCCTCTTTTTCCATATGCTTCTTTGTCTTTTTCCCTTTTCCCATTCATATTCTTGCGATGTTCTTTATGTCTGTGGCCCTTTTTTGGCCATGGGGATTATCTAACCTGAGACTGGCTTTGTTTCAAGCTCCAATGGCTCTGATGCTTGGTTCATTTTTATGTCCTTTCGCCATTTTTGAATTTGATTGGCCAATTGCCCAAACAAGAGGAATCACCTGTCTGTTCTATTAGGGTCAGCCTTTCACAGCAGTTATGTAATGTCTTTAGAACTAAGGTTTCTTAGCCCATTTGGGTTGCTATAACGAAATACCATAAGCTGGGTAGCTTATAAACAACAAAAATGTATTTATCATATTTCTGAAAGCTAGGAAGTACAAGATCAAGGTGCCAGCAGATTCAGTGTCTGGTGAGAGCCCACTTTCTGGTTCACAGCCTTCTAGCTGTGTCCTCACATGGTAGAAGAAGCAAAGCAGCTCTCTGGAACCTCTTTTATAAAGGCACTAATCCTATTCATCATTCATTCATAATCCTTCCATATGTGCCCAGACATATCCAAGTAGTAGATTAGTACCAGCCCCACCTCCTAATACCATCACATTGGTGATTAGGTTTCAACGTATGAATTTTAGGCAGACACAAACACTCAGACCATAGCACAAGGCTTCATGAAATTTAGTGCTGCCCATCTGCTTCCATGGTCTTGGTCTGAGGGACGATTGTTAGGAATGTTGTCTAACTGGCAATCCTTACTACAGCAAATACAGATAGCAGTTTTTCCCCCAAAGTAATATGTACCATTGTCCCTGAAGGAAATGTGAGAAAAAAAAAGTTTTTGGAGATCACCCAGGAAGCCCAGTCATCCTACCAGAACTTCTGCTGATAGAGCCCAGTTAGCTCATGTTGGGCTTTGACCCACTTAGTACTCTTTCAGCTTAGGACAGTAAAACCAGTAGCTTTAAGAAATCTGTAGATGTTCCATTCATCTTCATATCATTCAATTCTTATGTTGCTAGGGTATGAAGACAGTTAAACACAAGAGCATTTTATAGGTTTATCAGGGCACTGATGTCATCTGGGGATAGCGTACTTCACTTATACATCATATGTGAAAAACAGAATGAGACACAAATCACAGAGAAATGCAGTTAACGTTTCATGAGTTCATAAATCTGGAGCTGTGGCCAACACTGGGACCTCTGTTGGAAACTTCCAGCTTTATAATTCAGTAGCTCCAAGGATTAATTTTACCATGCAGAGTTTGGGTCAGGAGCTAAAATACATCCACATGCAAATCTAGACCATGGAGAATAACTAAACACATTTTTGTATGGAGATTTGTGAATGTGCTGTGGTGAAACAATCTCATAAGGGGCCTTTGAATTGTCACTTGTTACTTGCATACATAATGTGCACTATTCAGTACAGTAAACTTTCCATTCAGAACAATCCTCAGGAAGTCAAATTGTCTCTCTGCCGATGACATGACTGTATACTTAGAAAACCCCATTGTCTCAGCCCAAAAACTCCTTAAGCTGATAAGCAACTTCAGCAAAGTCTCAGGATACAAAATCAATGTGCAAAAATCACAAGCATTCCTATACACCAATAATAGACAAGCAGAGAGCCAAATCATGAGTGAACTCCCATTCACAATTGCTACAAAGAGAATAAAATACCTAGGAATACAACCTACAAAGGACGTGAAAGACCTCTTCAAGGAGAACTATAAACCACTTCTCAAGGAAATAAGAGAGGACACAAACAAATGGAAAAACATTCCATGCTCATGGATAGGAAGAATCAATATCGTGAAAATGGCCATACTGCTCAAAGTAATTTATAGATTCAGTGCTATTCCGATCAAGCTACCATTGACTTTATTCGCAAAATTAGAAAAAAAAACTTTAAATTTCATATGGAACCAAAAAAGAGCTTGTATAGCAAAGACAATCCTAAGCGAAAAGAACAAAGGTGGGGGGCACCACGCTACCTGACTTCAAACTATGCTACACTATACTACAAGGCTACAGTAACCAAAACAGCATGGTACTGGTACCAAAACAGATATATAGACCAATGAAACAGAACAGAGGCCTCAGAAATAACGCCATACATCTACAACCATCTGATCTTTGACAAACCTGAGAAAAACAAGCAATGGGGAAAGGATTCCCTATTTAATAAATGGTGTTGGGAAAACTGGCTAGCATTATGCAGAAAACTGAAACTGGACCCCTTCCTTACACCTTATAAAAAAATTAACTCGAGATAGGTTAAAGACTTAAACCTAAAACCTAAAACCATGAAAACCCTAGAAGAAAACCTAGGCAGTACCATTCAGGACATAGGCATGGGCAAAGACTTCATGACCAAAACACCAAAAGTAATGGCAACAAAAGCCAAAATTGACAAATGGGATCTAATTAAAGAGCTTCTGCACAGCAAAAGAAACTATCATCAGAGTGAATAGGCAACCTACAGAATGGAAGAAATTTTTTTGCATCTGAAATTTTATCCATCTGACAAATGTCTAATATCCAGAATCTACAAGGAAGTTAAACAAATTTACAAGGAAAAAAACCAACCCCATCAAAAAGTGGGTGAAGGATATGAGCAGACATTTCTCAAAAGAAGACATGTATTTGGCCAAGAAACATATGAAAAAAAGCTAATCACTGGTCATTAGAGAAATACAAATCAAAACCACAATGAGATGCTATCTAACGCCAGTTAGAATGGCGATCATTAAAAAGTCAGGAAACAACAGATACTGGCAAGTCTGTGGAGAAATAGGAATGCTTCTACACTGTTGGTGGGAGTGTAAATTAGTTCAACCATTGTGGAAGACAGTGTGGCGATTCCTCAAGGATCTAGAACCAGAAATATCATTTGACCCAGCAATCCCATTACTGGGTATATACGCAAAGGATTATAAATCATTCTGCTATAAAGACACATGCACATGTATGTTTATTGGACCACTATTTACAATAGCAAAGAATTGGAACCAACCCAAATGCCCATCAACGATAGACTGGATAAAGAAAATGTGGCATATATACACCATGGAATACTATGGAGCCATAAAAAAGAATGAGTTCATGTCCTTTGCAGGGATATGGATGAAGCTGGAAACCATCATTCTCAGCAAACTAACACAGGAACAGAAAACCAAACACCGCATGTTCTCACTCATAAGTGAGAGTTGAACAATGTTAACACATGGACACAGGGAGGGAAACATCACACACTGGGGCCTGTTGAGGGGTGGAGGGCCAAGTGAGGGAGAGCATAAGTACAAGTACCTAATGCATGTGGGTCTTGAAACTTAGATGATGGGTTGATACATGCAGCAAACCACCATGGCACATGTATACCTATGTAACAAACCTGCACATTCTGCACATGTATCCCAGAACGTTTTTTAAAAAAGATCAAAATATTTTAAAAAAGAGTGCTTTCTCCAATTGAATGTGTGCTGGCCCCCAGCAGGGGAGAAACTGCTGTGTCCGCAAGAGTGGATGGAGTAGGTTAAGAGATGACCGACTCTTTGCATCCATTCCTGGCTACTGGTGCTACTCCCTTCAGAAATTGGTGCCGTGCCTGTGTATTCTTTATCCCAAGAAAGAATTCTGTGGCAGGTTGCACTCCCCCCTCCGTTAGAGGTGGCCCACGCTGAGGGTGAGATCTCTAGGAGTCCTATATAACTCCCTGGTGACCCACCAGTCTCCCGTGTTTGCCAAAATCAGAGTGGGTTGTGGGGTATGTTTGCAGGGAAACTGGTGGTGTGGGGACTCAAGGCAGAGATTCCTTGGGCAGGGCAGTGGCGCACCACAGCTACAACTGGTATGACACCCACTGTCTCAGTTTGTGTCTGAGCGGCATGCAATCATGCCTGCATGAGATGACCTTTCAGTTCTCTGCCCCTAGGAAGCTCTCAAATCACAACCAACAGTATTGCCCAGGGCCATAAGGGCAGAGGGGCTCTCCAATGGTTTGGCAGTCAGCAGACTGTTACAGGGGTGGGGGAAGCAGAGAAACACTCCTACCTACACTTTCTGCAGGGATCTGAGTTCCTTGGGGGTCAAACTTTGTCTGATTCTTGCTGCTTTCTGTTTCTGCACTCCAGCTTCTTCCTCTAGGAGTTTTTGACAGGTCCTGGCTCTCTTCCCACAGTTTTCTATTTGGAACATGCACTCACCAGTAACTTTGATCTTTCTGAGGAGAACTGGCATCCAATGTCCCTAGTCATTCATTTTGGGAAAAAAGACAAGACCTGTTGAATTACATCTATTTGAGGATCTCTGAGCTTCCTGTATCTGCATGTCTAAATCTCTTTTTAGACTTCGGATGTTTTCAGCTATTATTTTATTAAATAGGTTTTCTATCCCTTTTATTTTCTTTCTGTTTTCTGGGACACTAAAAATCCAAAATATTTGGTTGCTGTATGGTGTCCCATATTTCACATGGGCTTTTCTCATTCTTTTTATTCTTTTTTCTTCATTTTTGTCTGACTGGTTTATTTCAAAAGCGCAGTCTTCAAGTTCTGAAATTCTTTCTTTTGCTTGATTTAGCCTATTATTTATGCTTTCAAATGTATTTTGTATTTCATTCCATAAATTCTTCTAGAATTTATTTGCTGCTTTTTAAAGTGATATCTGTCTGGTAAATTTCTCATTTATATCCTAAGTTGTTTTTCTGATTTTTTTGTATAGTTCCTCGGAGTTCTCGTGTGTCTTACTGAGCTTCTTAAAAATCTG
This sequence comes from Homo sapiens, assembly GCF_000001405.40. Lineage (NCBI taxonomy): Eukaryota > Metazoa > Chordata > Mammalia > Primates > Hominidae > Homo > Homo sapiens. The sequence continues at coordinate 121,043,451 of NC_000023.11, forward strand.
TATTTTCCATTATTTATTCAGCATTTTGTTAATTTCTTTCTGATTGGATCTGTTGCTGGTGAATTATTATATTCCTTTGGAAGTGTCATTTTCCCTTGCTTTTCCATGTTTCTTGTGCTAATTCACTGATGTCTGTGCATCTGGTGTAACAGTTGCTTCTTCCAATTTTTGAATTTGCTTTTGTAGGGAAGAACTTTTTCCTGAAGATGTATTTATGATATTGGTTGGGTAGTGCTTTGATTCTGTGTATGTGCAGTATTGCAGTCTCCATATGATTTTTTTGGCTGTAAGCAGTGTCAGTGGTGCCTGTGATTTTCTCAGTGGCATAGGGTGCAGCTGCTAGTACAGGCTGTGACATTTTCGTGGTCACAGGTATATCAGGTTGGCCAGTGCTCAGGCTTTATTGGTGAAAACATCAGGCTGAGCATGCCTGTCACTGGGCCTCTGGGTGGCATAAGCTGGCATTGGCATTAGTTGGTCCAGGTGGGCTGATTCCTGGGGCTCCAGGTAGCTTGCTCACATGTTGGCAGTGGCAGAAGTGGGCTGGGTGAGTGGCCATATCCTCAGGCCTCTTGGCAGTGGGCGTGGCATGGTGATGGCAGTAGCAGTGGCAGGATAATCCTCTGCCTTGCAATTGGTCCTCACTAGTGTTGGCAGTGACTACAATGGGCTGGGTGGGCTAGTACCCAGGCCTGCATGTGGCATGTGTGAGTGGATGCCTGCTGTGGTAGTAGCATCAGGTTGGGTGGGCTCATTCCCAGGACCCTGGGAAGAGTGCTCTGGTGTTAATGGTGGTTTATGGGGCAGGGCAATTCCCAGACCACCTGATGGCATGTTCAGCACTAGTAGGTGGAATCAGGCTGAGTAGGCCTGTCCTCGGGTCCCTTTTTTTTGTTGGCAATTTTTTGATTACCATTTCAATTTTGCTGCTTGTTCAGAGATTCTGTTCAGAGATTCTGTATCTTGCTAGTTTAATCTAGGAGGGTTGTATATTTCCAGGAATTCATCCATCTTTTCTAGGTTTTCTAGTTTATGCTCATAAAGGTGTTCATAGTAGCCTTAAATGATCTTTTTTATTTCTGTGGTATCAGTTGTAATCTCCTGTTTTATTTCTAATTGAGCTTATTTGGATCTTCTCTCTTCTTTTCTTGGTTATCTCACTAATGATCTGTCAATTTTATTTATCTTTACAAAGAACAAGCCTTTTGTTTCATTTATCTTTTGTAATTTTTGTTTGTTTCAATTTCATTTAGTTCTTCTCCGATTTTTCTTATATCCTTTCTTCTGCTAAGTTTGGGTTTGGATTGTTCTTTCTCCAGTTCCGTGAGGTGTGACCTTGGATTGTCTATTTGTGCTCTTTCAGACTTTTTGATGTAGGTATTTAGTGCTATGAACTTTCCTCTTAGCACAGCTTTTGCTGTATCCCAGAGGTTTTGATAGGTTGTGTCACAATTATCGTATTGTACAGTTCAAAGAATTGCAAAAATATAGAACCAGCCCAAATGCCCATCAATCAATGAGTGGATAAAGAAAATGTGATATATATATATCCCATAGAATATTACTTAGCCATACAAAGGAATGAAATAGTGGCATTCACAGCAACCTGGGTGGAATTGGAAACTATTATTCTAAGTGACGTAACTCGGGAATGGAAAGCCAAACATTGTACGTTCTCACTCATAATTGGGATCTAAGCTATGAGGATGCAAAGGCATAAGAATGATACACTGGACTTTGGGGACTTGGGGGAATGGGTGGGTGGTGGCAAGGAATAAAAGACTACATGTTGGGAACAGGGTGCACTGCTCAGGTGATGGGTGCACCAAAATCTCAGAAATCATGACTAAGTAACTTATTCATGTAACCAAACACCACTCGTTCCCCCAAAACCTATTGAAATTAAAAAAAAAACAAAACACATGCACACGAATGTTCATTGCAGTACTATTCAGAATAGCAAAGACATGGAGTCAACCTAAATGCTCATCAATGACAGATTGTCCAAAGAAAATGTGATACATATACACCACGGAATACTATGCAGCCATAAAAAAGAATGAGACTCTGTTATTTGCAGGAACATGGATGGAGCTGCAGGCCACTATTCTTAGCATATTTACCCAGGAACAGAAAACCAAATATTGCATGTTCTCACTTATAAATGGGTGCTAAATGATGAGAACTCATGGACACAAAGAGGGGAGCAACAAACACTGGGACCTACCAGAGGGAGGAGGGTGGGAGGAAGAAGATCAGAAAACATAACAATTGGACTAGGCTTAGTACCTGGGTGACTAAAAAATCTGTACAACAAATTTCTGTGTCATGAGTTTACCTATATAACAAACCTACATGTGTACCCCTGAACATAAATAAAAGATTTTAAAAATTTAACTGATTATATGTTTAATGTTTATTTTTGGGCTATTCTATTTCATTTGTTTATGTCTGTCCTTATGCTGGTACCACGCTATTTTGATTACTTCAGGTTTGTTGTAAGTTTTGAAATCAGGAAATTTGAATCATCCAACATTGTTCTTTTTCAAAATTATTTTGAGTACTCTGAGCCCCTTGAAATTCCATATATATTTTAGAATAGACTTTTTTATTTATACCAAAAACATCATTGGGATCCTGATCGGGATTGCTTTAAATCTATAGATCACTTTTGTGAAGTATTATCCATTTTAATAATTGTAAGTTTTCTAATTCATGAACATAGAATGTCTTCTCATTACTTATGCCTCCTTCAATTTCTTTCAGCAATGTTTTGTATTTTGCAATGTACAAGTCTTTTGCCTCACTGGTTAAATTTATTCCTAAGTACTTTACTCTTCTTGATAGTATTGTAAATTGAATTGTTTTATTAGTTCCCTTTTTAGATATTTACTTCATAGCATATAGGAATGTAGCTGATATTTTTGTGTTTATTTTGTATTCAGCAACTTTGTTGAATTTGTATATTACCTCTGTGTATGTGTTTGTCTCCCTCTCTCTCCCTCTGTATAATATTTGGCGTTTGCTACACATAAGGTCATGCCATACGTGAACAGAGGTAATTTTACTTTTTTTCTGTTTTTTTTTCTTTCTTGCCTAATTCCTCTGATTAGAACTTCTAATACTATGTTGAATAAAAATGGCAAATGTAGGCATCTTTGCCTTGTTCTTCATAATAAGACATCCTGTGATTTTTAACATGCATTATGTTGTATGTTTTGGCAGCATTGTTGTTTTTCTTGCAAATAATTTAATAGTTTAACTCAAAGCTTCTAGGATGCTTTCATGTTGTTAGGTGAATCATTCCATGACTGCCGAATAAGGAATTTTCCAAGTGAATCTCAGAAATTTGTGTTTTAATAAGTGCTTCAGGTGATTCTGTTGCATACTCAAGTTTGAGAACCATTGTCCAAGGGGCAAAAGCTGCCATTGCCAATTGCTCTTTTTTATCTGAGAGGGGGCAGGATCCTCCTGGTCCACTGCTTGTGGATGCAACTTATTAAATGAAATAAGGCCATGAGTACTCTAGGGCCCAATCTCTGCTTTTTGTTTTGTTCACTCCTGTTTAAAATTTCACTCAGGGCTCTCTTTGGAAGAATTGCACTTACCTTTGCCATCCGGGGCTGAGGTTTCATTTTCTTTGGTTATTCCCCAGGCCAGTACCATTTGCTTTTTACTTTCCAGAAGTTCTGTAAAGATTGTTGATGGTACCCTTTCTTAGCTTTTTTTTTTTTTTTTGGTCTTGATATAGTCCTATTCTTCTAAAAAATCTTTTCATTTGTCTCCGTCAGACTTTGATGGAGAGGAGGGGAGATATTGTTTACATTTGTTAAAAATGGCTTTTAAGTTAAATTCTAACTAAGGGTCTATTAGGAAATAAAATTGCCTTCTGACTCCTTTTGATTTATTTTGCAGAATTGCATATATCCAAAGCTCTGGGTAATTATTAAACATTAGAAGTATAGAACAAACAGGCCAGCCAGGCCCGGCGAGGCCGCGGCGGGTCCGGCGCCCCGGACCTCCGGACCCGGAGGTCCGGCGCCCTGGTTGGCGCCCTGCCCCCAAAGTCCGTCCTCCCCGTTAGGTGGCGCCCAAGGGGAGGGGACAGCCGGGCAGGCAGGAAGCTGCGGCTTAAAAGGGCAACCCGCGCCGGACCCTTCCTTCCTAGTCGCGGGGAGTCTGAGAAAGCGCACCTGTTCCGCGACCGTCACGCACCCCTCCTCCGCCTGCCGCGATGTACCGCTACCTGGCCAAAGCGCTGCTGCCGTCCCGGGCCGGGCCCGCTGCCCTGGGCTCCGCGGCCAACCACTCGGCCGCGTTGCTGGGCCGGGGCCGCGGACAGCCCGCCGCCGCCTCGCAGCCGGGGCTCGCATTGGCCGCCCGGCGCCACTACAGCGAGTTGGTGGCCGACCGCGAGGACGACCCCAACTTCTTCAAGATGGTGGAGGGCTTCTTCGATCGCGGCGCCAGCATCGTGGAGGACAAGTTGGTGAAGGACCTGAGGACCCAGGAAAGCGAGGAGCAGAAGCGGAACCGGGTGCGCGGCATCCTGCGGATCATCAAGCCCTGCAACCATGTGCTGAGTCTCTCCTTCCCCATCCGGCGCGACGACGGCTCCTGGGAGGTCATCGAAGGCTACCGGGCCCAGCACAGCCAGCACCGCACGCCCTGCAAGGGAGGTATCCGTTACAGCACTGATGTGAGTGTAGATGAAGTAAAAGCTTTGGCTTCTCTGATGACATACAAGTGTGCAGTGGTTGATGTGCCGTTTGGGGGTGCTAAAGCTGGTGTTAAGATCAATCCCAAGAACTATACCGAAAATGAATTGGAAAAGATCACAAGGAGGTTCACCATGGAGCTAGCAAAGAAGGGCTTTATTGGTCCTGGCGTTGATGTGCCTGCTCCAGACATGAACACAGGTGAGCGGGAGATGTCCTGGATTGCTGATACCTATGCCAGCACCATAGGGCACTATGATATTAATGCACACGCCTGTGTTACTGGTAAACCCATCAGCCAAGGGGGAATCCATGGACGCATCTCTGCTACTGGCCGTGGTGTCTTCCATGGGATTGAAAACTTCATCAATGAAGCTTCTTACATGAGCATTTTAGGAATGACACCAGGGTTTAGAGATAAAACATTTGTTGTTCAGGGATTTGGTAATGTGGGCCTACACTCTATGAGATATTTACATCGTTTTGGTGCTAAATGTATTGCTGTTGGTGAGTCTGATGGGAGTATATGGAATCCAGATGGTATTGACCCAAAGGAACTGGAAGACTTCAAATTGCAACATGGGTCCATTCTGGGCTTCCCCAAGGCAAAGCCCTATGAAGGAAGCATCTTGGAGGTCGACTGTGACATACTGATCCCAGCTGCCACTGAGAAGCAGTTGACCAAATCCAACGCACCCAGAGTCAAAGCCAAGATCATTGCTGAAGGTGCCAATGGGCCAACAACTCCAGAAGCTGATAAGATCTTCCTGGAGAGAAACATTTTGGTTATTCCAGATCTCTACTTGAATGCTGGAGGAGTGACAGTATCTTACTTTGAGTGGCTGAAGAATCTAAATCATGTCAGCTATGGCCGTTTGACCTTCAAATATGAAAGGGATTCTAACTACCACTTGCTCCTGTCTGTTCAAGAGAGTTTAGAAAGAAAATTTGGAAAGCATGGTGGAACTATTCCCATTGTACCCACGGCAGAGTTCCAAGACAGTATATCGGGTGCATCTGAGAAAGACATTGTGCACTCTGCCTTGGCATACACAATGGAGCGTTCTGCCAGGCAAATTATGCACACAGCCATGAAGTATAACCTGGGATTGGACCTGAGAACAGCTGCCTATGTCAATGCCATTGAAAAAGTCTTCAAAGTGTACAGTGAAGCTGGTGTGACCTTCACATAGATGGATCATGGCTGACTTCCTCACTAACCTCTTCACGTGTAACTTCTGCAGACCTACCACAAGTTTACATGTAACCACAGAAATCCCTTTCTCTCCTGACTCATTACTAATGGATACCATTCTCAACAAGTCAATCCAAATCAGCCCGTTAAGGAGAAAGAAATTAATATACAAGCTGAGTGTGAAAGTAGAAATCACCTACACCAGAGAGCTATTTTGGTATTTTGCCTTTAAATAAAAAGCCTCCTCCATATGGCTGTGCAGCCTTGCTCTGTGGCTTTTCCCAGCACAATCAGTGCTAGTGCTGGGGAAGGGACAGTCAAGAGCAGTCAGTTGCTTACTTATTTTGCTCTGGATGAGTCTGGGACACGCTGTAACTTTAACACATTTAAGAAGAAGGTGTGTGGCCTTTTCAGAAGGTGGCATGGTCCTCAAGTGAGTTCTTAGTATTTTATATCAGCAAAATAACTCAATTTTGCAGATTGCAAACAAATATAAAAGCTGTTTCTGTTTATGAATTTTATTCTTTTAGAATAGAATAAGTACATGCTGCTGTAATAAAATTGCCTTTAATCACTTAACAAGCCTAACCTTGACTCAGTGAATGCCTATAAAAATAATAAATGAAAAAAAACAGTATTTTTATATCATAAAAGTTTCATTTGTAGCTTATCATTCACGTATTGTTGTCCAGCAAACATTAAAAGCCCTGTGGATAATTACGTTATCTTCATACCTGCAAAACGGTGGAGGCTATTTTCGTTAAAACTGTCAGAATTCGCTGTTATAATTATGACACATAGTCCAAAGAATGCAGTAACCTTTTTATCATGTTAACTAATTGTTCTCTTTTGAAGATCTATGGTTGACTAATTAAACAATAATTCAAGTAGAGTGTCCCAGAAAAAAACCACTTGGGCTCCCTGTTTGGAGTCTGGCTGGCTCTGAGCATTGCCAATGGCCCCTACTCACCTGACTTTGTATCCTCTTCTTTTAGAGGCTTTGCATTCTGCACCCAGCTTCACTAACAGTGGGCTGAAACCAACCTTGGGTTGAGTGTTTCATTTGGGAGTTATTTGGCCAGGGCCTTTTGAACAATAGTGTCCCCATGAAGTGCTAGATAATATATGTGTAAGAATCAGCTTTTTTTTTTTTAACTATAATATCCTTCAGAAATTTCTAACTACTTTGTAACTGCATGGCTTAACCTGGTGATAAAAGCAGTTATTAAAAGTCTACATTTTTTTTTAAAAAAAGAATAGAACAAATAATGGGAGCATTGGGTTGACCTTTGCAAATTATCTAGTTTTATTTACCTATTTTACACAGGAGAAGACTGAGAGAAGGGAGGAGTAGCTTGCTGTAGTTCAGACAGCAACTTATTTCAAAGCTGGTGCTAAAACCTAGAGTGAACTGGTACTTCTCCATTTCTGAAGGAAATGCAGAAGAAACAGAAGCAGAAAGACAACATTTTGGCCTGGACATATTTAACTTAAAGATGACTCCATTTTTGAACTTTATTTCTTGGAATAGAGTATCTTCTAAATTTAAACTGATCCAACTTTCACAAAATTGGGCAGTTAGAAGTCACAGAGGGAATTAGCAGCTGTTGTTATAAGAAAAAGCAAAGGGATTGTTGCCAGACTTCATAAATCTTGGCATATTTGAGAAAAATGTCCCAATTTGTTACATATGCTCATTCATGTGTGTAAACCTTTGGTTATAGTGCTTTGTCAATATAAATATGTTTTACATTATAAATTGGTCTGAGTGCTGGATTTCATGTTTATTATCCCTTAGAACCCCACTTTCTTTTGCTCTTCTTCTCGGGCTTTCTTTGCTTTATTTCTCCCACTCTTTTCTTCTTTTTTTTAGTGTACAAGCAGTGAAGGGTGCAGATCATGGATAGAGCTTTCAAGAAGTTTGTTCTAGTTCTTCTCCTGAAACTGGACCTCCCTCCTAGCTTGGTAACAACTACCTTATGGTCTCCACCTTGGACAGAGGTTTTTTGTTTGTTTGTTTGTTTGTTTTTGTTTTTTTTTTTGAGACGTAGTCTTGCCCTGTCACCTAGGCTGGAGTGCAATGGCGCCATCTCAGCTCACTGCAACCTCTGCCTCCCGGGTTCAAGCGATTCTCCTGCCTCAGCCTCCTGAGTAGCTGGGATTACAGGCGCACGCCACCATGCCGGCTAATTTTTGTATTTTTAGTAGAGACAGGGTTTCACCATGTTGGGCAGGCTGGTCTCGAACTCCTGACCTCATGATCCACCTGCCTCGGCCTCCCAAAGTGCTGGGATTACAGGCGTGAGCCACCATGCCTGGCTGGCCAGAGTTTTAAGAGCAAATCATATAAACTATTCTTCAGTGTAATAGAAAAGTAAATGGTATTTTTTTTTTTTTTTTAAAAAGGGAAACCAGGAAAAAGCAGTTTGAAGCCCAAAGTGAGGAAGTAACACAGCAATTCTCAAAGCTGGCTAGGTAGGGACTTTTTTCATATAGAAATAATCAGTAAACAGGCTGGGCGCGGTGGCTCATGCCTGTAATCCCAGCACTTTGGGAGGCTGAGGTGGGTGGATCCCTAGGTCAGGAGTTCAAGATCAATCTGGTCAAGATGGTGAAACCCCGTCTGTACTAAAAATACAAAAAAAAAACAAAAAAAAACTAGCTGGGCATGGTGGTGGGCGCCTGTAATCCCAGCTACTCAGGAGGCTGAGGCAGAGAATTGCTTAAACCCAGGAGGCGGAACTCCATCTCAAAAAAAAAAAAATCAGTAAACAGAAGTATATGTCCTGAAAAAGTAGTGTACAAGCATAAAGACATCATTAGTTAAACACTGGTTTATTCACTCAGGTTTTAGCACAATCAACTTCTCTGAGAAATTGGGAGATTTCAATGAGAGATTTCAGTAAGGACCGTGTTTGCTCTGTAAATGGACTCATCTCCGAGTTGCTTGCTCTGTGTCACAGTCATACCCCATAAAGAGTGAGTCAACAGGCATGCTGAAGCAGCAACAGACCAATGAGAAAAGGGAAGAAATCTGGGATTTAAGGGGCATGGAAAGATCCTGAAATATTTTTTCTATTGGTCTTTCCTAGCATAAGAAACATCAATTGTTAATCATTCCTTTGGTCTAGGCAGTACTTTTAAAACTTATTTTTAACCAGATAAATGGTTTGATTTGTCAAATGAAATCTTGTATGGAAACCCAATGTAGAAAACAGATGAAAACAGAGCTTCTCTGGCTGAAGCATCTCCACAAATCACAATTTGGAAAACATTCAGCTAAGGCATTGATGACTCCTTTGAAATGCATACTACCTGGGAAGTAGAACATACTAAGAACACTTTTGGGAAAATTAAGTAAGTCACATGTTAAAATACTGTATTAGCTTCTGGGAACTGTACTTTAAGCAGGACATAGAAAACCTGAGACTCATCCAGAGTAGGATTTCCAGGTTTCAGTGTTTCGTAGAGCAAGTGAAATTTGAAGTCAGAAGACTTTAATTCAAGTTTTGCCCCTGCTGTTTAGCACTTATGTGACCTTAGACAATTAGTCTCTGTGAGACGCAGCTTCCTTATCTGTACAATGGGGGTAATAATATCAATATCTAACAGGATTTTGAGGATTGAAAATAAATAATTAACTTTATCAAATGTAAAGTGCTGTATAATTTTTAATTTACTGATGAGTCTGGAAAACATGTGAGATGAGCCAAAAAGTGAAGGAACCAGATATATTTTAAGGAATAAAGATTTCTGGACACATGTGATAATTATCTTTGAAAATTTTAAGGTCTGATATGTGGAAAAATTAAGTTTGCTTTGTTTGTTCCTGATGGCACTGTGACCAATGTGTGGATGTGTCATGAGGGAGCATATTGGCTCAACATAAGAAAGGATTTTATAATTTCAAATAAAAGGGAGCACCACGAGTTATAGAAAACCTTGTCGTTGTAATTTTAGAGAGATTGCTGGGAGTCTACCTATTTGGGTTGCAGAATAAAGCATTTCTGCATTGAACAAGATGTAGTGACTTCAAAAGCCTGAGATTATTAATCCTCTTTTCCTTCTCCTTTTATTATATATCTTACAATTTTTTGACTGCTCAGTATCTATCCCTTCTTCTTCTGATAACAGCAGAACAGCCCCCGGGGAGAATTTGTGAACCAGTTACAATCAGTCATAGCATCACATTCTCATGGCCTCAGTGACTAATTGGTTTAGTGATAGATATATGACCCAAGCCAGGCCAAAATAGCTAGAATCTCAATTTTTGGACTTTTCTTGATCTACTGGGCATAAAAGTGTGCTGTTTCTGGTAGGAATGCTGATGACAGGTAGTAACTTGCAGCTGCTTGTAGCCATCTTGGCAATCCCAGGGGAGATCTGCCTGAGAATAGAGACAATGTGAAGCTAAGCAATGATCAGAGATACAGACTGAGATCAAGCCCTCATGACATAATTTGAACCCATAGCTCTAATCATTCCTAAAATAAAATTTAGACTTCACCTTTTACGTGAACCAATAAAGTTGCATTTTGAGGAAGTTTTTTGTCACTTGCAACTTAAGGAATCTCAATGGCCACATTAGCCCTCACCTCCAACTTTGTGTCTGACACAGTCGTCTCTGCAAAGCAACAGGAGGAAAGAAGGCTGTGGTCACATGTGTAAAGACAGTCCTAGGTTTGGAGAGGATGTGAAGGGCAGAGAATTCTTGTCCCCCACGTAACAGGAAGATGAAAAGTCCCCAAGGCTATTCTCATATATTCTGTCTAGGGGAGACAGTACATTTTTTGAGTTGCCCACTTTCTGCTTGCAGAGCTTTTGGCGGGACAGGGAGCCCTGCTCAAATTGTTAATTAGCAAATTAAAGAAAGGCTGCAGTTGCAAAACTTGTACTAGTTCTTTGTGTTGCTCATTGTATAAAGAAAGTAATTTTGTTTATATAAATACCTTGATGGGTCTTTTTTGTTGTTGCTCATGAAAAGGGTTAGGTTCTCAGGACAAGATCTGGAATGAGAGATTTGACAGAAAAGGGCAAAACCACCCTTTTATATATAACAACTTTGTGCCAGAGGTACTCTGTGCAAGAAAGAAGAGAGTCTGTGTATCCCAGTAGTGTTACACTGTGCTCAGAGACCAACTGAAGCCCCAGCCCTAAGGCATAGGGATATGAGATGCTAGGAGGAGGAATAATAATAGTTGAGTAGAGTAATGCGAATCTGCACACAAATCTTCACCCTAGGATAGCCTGGAAATACTGAAGAGTGTTTACCATCCCAGAGGATTTGTATTTAAGGCAAAAGGTGACACCAGAAGGCTCAAAAGCTTTGATACAGACATTTGTGTAGCACTTATTTTTGTCTATCTTGTCCCAAGCCCTTTCATGACTCTGTCCTATCTATGTAATTCTATCCCAGCTATTAAAAAAAAATAGCTACTAGTGATGACCCTTTCTCTGAAATTAGTCCAGACTACTTCTTGCTTTTTCACCTTAAACTTACTCTTAACTTTCCTGGTTTTCTACCCCCTTGGTAGCTCAGTGTCTTGTTCCTGACATTTACTTATTTTGGATAAGTTATTTCATGGTTACCTTAGCTCCATTTTTTTGGAAAAGATATGTTCTATTCACTTCTGGTTTCATAACTGTATAGGAAGAAATATGTATTTTTTTTCTGTCCTGGCCTTGTGATAACACCAGACAAGGCTTGTTCCCCTACCTCAGTATTCCTTTTAAGAAACGAAGACTGGAAAACATTTTTTTTCTCCAGACAGTTCATTTGTTCCATATGTTCCAAGAAAAGAATAAATATTTCTTTGTGAGACCTTAAGCCTTAGGGTAGGACCTGCGCCTTGATTTCTGTTTTTCTGCAGTTGCTACACTGACTATGCTTTTCCCAGACTTGAGAAATACTTTAGATGATAGTAAGGCTGTATATGGTAACTAGTGGTGAATACATAGTGGATGTCTAAGATATATAATTGATGTTGATGAATGATTGCAGGTACTCTGCTGAAGGTTATAGATTTATGTTGTTAATTATGTAAAATGTATGTCACAGAATATTGTTTTCTGCCTTTAATATATACAGTGAAGAAATGAAATGTTTTAGATGTGAATTCTCAATATCATTCTTTTGTTGTCTAGATCCCTTTGGGACCCTGTTTTGTTCCCTGGGAGGCTGAGCTTTATTGGCTACATCAATGGACTCTCTTTTCTTCAGACTTTTGATTGGTTTAGTCAATGGTAGGTACTGACAGGAAGTTGGGAGAAAAGAGAGATTGAGGCATTTATGCTAGACTCCCTTTCTGATGTGGTTTGGAATTGCCTTTGTTCCTCCACTGAAGGCCTCAGCTCCTCTTTGGTAGCTCTCCTCTAATGTTCTCTACAGGTTCTGGTTATTCCTCTCTCCCTTGTCCCTTCAGGTAAGGGAGGTGGTAAAGGCTCCCGGTCTCCATGTTTCACCTTCCCTTATTGGCTTTCCTTACTTTTCCCTAAAGCATTATACAGAGTCCCTTTTTAATATTAAATTTTCCTTTTGAATGTGCCATCTGTTTCCCGGGGTGGGATTCTGACTAATTCATTATGAAAAAAAAGGTACTCCATTATTGGAATGTGTTTGAATATTTGGAAAATAATTCCTAAAAAAGGTATTAGTATGTTGTTTCTTCAGGAACATTTGTTAAGTGAATGAAACTTCCACATTGGTATTCAACTATCCATTTACTTTATTTATTTATTTTGGTTTAAATTTATATATATGTATATATATATCAATTTATATATATTTTATTAGGTGGCATAAGTACAGGTTTCTTACATGCATATATTGTGTGAAGTCATGGCTTTTACTGTACGCATCACCTGAATAGTGATCATTACATTTAACTCTGGGCTTTCCTAAACTCACTGTCTGTGGGCTCCTAAGAACTGTGGAGTCTGCTTGGGTAGTATATACAACTGAGATTCACTGCTGTAGAGCTTAGGTGAGTTAATGGCCAGCGAACTCAGTGGTTTGCTCACCTCGGGTCTAACAAAGCCATGACTAATGTTTTTATCTTTTTGGGGACCAGTTAGGTAATTTTGTCTTCAAAAGTCCCACAGATAGTACTTGCAACCTTGGTCATGAATGAATATTCTTGAGGGCCAGTCATGACAACATGACTGGCTCAGATCAAGCAATAAAATGCCTCAGTCTACCAATCTTGGGTCAGTAGTGTCCTTTTTGACTAGGAAGAGCAGTGATATTGTTTACAAAAGAACAAAGGAGCAACTCAAATAACATAACCAGACTTTGGGAATTATTCCCAAAGAATATTTATATTCTCTTTTGGGAGGTACAACTTGATGCCACTTTACCTTTCTATCTTGGCTATCAAGATGCATATTGCTGAATTTAAAACTTGATTACAGTAATAATCTCATCTTTAGTTTCCGGCACAACTACAGCTGTCTTTCTCATTAATGATATCTAATTCTCTTTGGTCTTTGTTGAACTATTTTGTGGATATTTATATTTTACTGAAGGTACTTTAAATTCTCACAATATATGGTTGTTTAAATGTGTGTGGCACCTCCACCTCTTCTCTCTCTTGCTCCTGCTTTTGCCATATGATGCACCTGCTCCCCTTTTACCTTCTGCCATTATTGAAAGCTTCCTGAGGCTTCCCCAGAAGCAGATGCCACTGTTTCCTGTAAAGTCTGCAGAACTGTGAGCCAACTAAATATTTTTTATTTATATATTACCCAGTCTCAGATATTTCTTTATAGCAATGCAAGAATGGCCTAATACAGAAGATTTACCTAATAAGCTTAAAATTATAACAAAGGAAATAAAATCAATCAAACCCTGATGCCTAAGGTGTCAGGGTAGCCCAATATATCCAACACATTGGGATGCTCTCCATAATAGGTCAAAGTATTAGAAATGCATTGGCTCAGCTCTCTCTTGAGCATGATTGGGTGGATACAGCTAACATATGTCTTCTTTAATCTCTTTTTTCTTTGCTTATTCAATTGGCTGCACCTTTTTCTTATTGATATGGTCTTTATCTACATATAATAATACAGTACAACAGTAATTATGGTCTTAGAACCATCTCATTTCAGGTGAATTTATAGATCTACTTGACCTACATGTTGATTTCAGAGGTCAATTTGTCCCCCTCATTTCTCCATGTTCTTGGGGGCACCCAATAAAAGCTCCCCAAAGTACTTACAAGAGTCTTACTATGAGAGAAACCACAATTGGTAAGGCCCTAAAAAACCTGAAAATTTTAAGTAATGGTAGAAATAAGCATACTTCAGGAAACACATAGTTGTTTATCCATTCCCATTGACTTTAAACACTTCCTATGACCAAAAGAATTTAAAGTACCTTCAGTAAAATATAAATATCCACAAAATAGTTCAACAAAGACCAAAGAGAATTAGATATCATTAATGAGAAAGACAGCTGTAGTTGTGCCTTTGCATACCCATAGCTTAGCTCCTACTTATAAGTGAGGACATGTGGTATTTGGTTTTCCATTCCCGAGTTGTGTCACTTAGTATAATGGCCTCCAGTTTCATCCCAGTTGCTGCACAAGATATTATTTCATTCTTTATCATGACTGGGTAGTATTCCATAGTGTAGATATGCCACATTTTCATTATCCACTCATCTGTTGATTGGCAATTAGGTTGATTCCATGTCTTTATAATTGTGAATTGTGCTATGATAAACATGAGTGCAGGTATCTTTTTAATATAATGACTTCTTTTCCTTTGGGTGGATACCTAGTAGTGGGATTCCTAGATCAAATGGTAGACTTACTTTAGTTCTTTGAGAAATCTCCATACTGTTTTCCATAGAGGTTGTACTGATTTACATTCTCACCAACAGTGTACAAGCATTCCCTTTTTACTGCATATACACCAATATCTACTGTTTATTATGTTTTAAAAATGGCCATTCTGATTGGGGTAAGGTGGTATCTCATTTTGTGTTTTAATTTGCATTCCCTTGATGATTAATAATGTTGAGCATTTTTTATATGTTTGTTGGCCATTTGTATATTTTCTTTTGCGAAGTGTTTATTTATGTTGTTTCCCTACTTTTTAATGGGATTATTTGTCTTTTTCTTTCTGATTTGATTTCCTTGCATATTCTGGATGTTAGCCTTTTGTTGGATGTATAGCTTGCAAATATTTTTTCCTATTCTGCAGGTTTTCTGTTTACTCTGTTATTTCTTTAGCTGTGCAGAAGCTTCTTTAGTTTAATGAAGTCCCATTTATTTATTTTTGTTTTTGCTGCATTTGCTTTTGAGGCCTTACTGATAAATTACTTTTCTAGGCCAATGTCCAGAAAAGCTTTCCCTAGGTTTTCTTCTAGAATTTTTATAGTTTCAGGTCTTATATGTAAGTATTTAATCCATCCTGAGTTAATTTTTGTATATGGTAAGAGTTAAGGGTCCAGTTTCATTCTTCTGCATGTGGCTGTCCAATATTCTCAGCATCATTTATTGAAAAGAGTGTGCTTTCCCCAGTGCATGCTTTTGTCTGCTTTGTCAAAGATCAGCTGTTTTGTAAGTATTTGGCTTTATTTCTGGGTTCTCTATTCTGTTATATTGGTCTATGTATCTACTTTTATACCAGTACCATGCTGTTTTGGCTACTATAGCCTTGTAGTATAATTTGAAGTTAGGTAATGTGATGTCTCTGGCTTGGTTCTTTTTGCTTAGGATTGCTTTGGCTATTTAGGCTCTTTTTTGGTTCCATATGAATTTTAAGATTTTTTTCTAATTCTGTGCATGATGATATTGGTGATTTGATAGGAATTGCATTGAATATGTAGATTGCTTTGGGCAGTATGGTCATTTTCACAGTATTGATTTTTCCAATCCATGAGCATGGAATGTTTTTCCATTTGTTTGTGTCACCTATGATTTCTTTCATCAGTGTCTTGTAGTTCTCCTTGTAGAGATTTTTCAGCTCCTTGGTTAAGTATATTCCTAGGGGTTTTTTTGCAGCTATTGTAAATGGAATTGATTTGATCTGATTTTCACCTTGGTCATTATTTGTGTATAGCAGAGCTACTGATTTGTGTATGTTAATTTTGTAATCTGAGACTTTAGTGAATTCATTTATCAAATCTAGGAGGCTTTTCGAGGGGTGTTCAGGGTTTTTAAGATAGAAGATGATATCAGCAAACAGATACTTTGACATTATTTTTTCCAATTTGGATGCCCTTCATTTCTTTCTTTTGCCTGACTGTTCTGGCTAGGACTTCCAGTACTACATTGAATAAAAGTAGTGAAAGTGGGCATCCTTGTCTTGTTCCAGTTCTCAGGGGCAGTGTTTTCAACTTTTCCCCATTCAGTGTGATGTTTACTGTGGGCTTGACATATATGGCTTTTATTATTTTTAGGTATGTTCCTTTGATGCCTAGTTTGTTAAGGATATTTATCATGAAAGGATGCTGAATGTGATAAGGTGCTTTTTCTGCATCTATTGAAATGATCATATTTTTTAAAAAATTACTTATGTGGTTAATCACATTTATTGATTTCTCTACGTTGAACCATCCTTGGATCCCTGGGATAAAACCCCCTTGATCTTGGTGAATTATTGATGTACTGTTAGATTTGGTTGGCTAGATTTTTGTGTTCATGAGGGATATTGGTCTGTAGTTATTTTTGCTATTGTTATGTCCTTCTCTGGCTTTGGTATCAGGGTGATATTAGCTTCACAGAATGAGTTAGGGAGGATTCCCTACTTCTCAAGCTCTAGTAATAGTTTCAGTAGAATTGCTACCAGTTCTTCAAATGTTTAGTAGAAGTTGGCTGTGAATCTGTCTGGTCCTGGGCGTATTTTTTTGTTTGGATATTTTTATCACTGATTCAATCTCACTACTTATAATTAGTCTGTTCAGAGTTTCTATTTCTTCCTGATTCAAGCTTGGAGTGTTGTATGTTTCCAAGAGTTTATCCATTTCCTCTAGATTTTCTGGTTTGTGCACATAGAGGTGTTCATAGTAGTCTCAGATGATCTTTTGTATTTCCATGGTATCAGTAGTAATGTTTCCCTTTTCATTTATGATTGAGCTTATTTGAATCTTCTCTCTTTTCTTGGTTAATTTAGCTAACTATCAATTTTGTTTATCTTTTCGAAAACAAATTTTTCTTTTTATTGATCATTTGTATTTGGCAGGGGTTCAATTTCATTTAGATCCGCTCTGATCTTTATTTGTTTTCTGCTGCCGCCTTTGGGTTTGGTTTGTTCTTGGTTTTCCAGTTGCCTAAGGTATTATGTTAGGTTGTTGGTTTGTGATTTTTCTTTCTGATGTAGACATTTGGCAATATAAACTATTGTCTTAGCACTGCTTTTCCTGTATCCCAGAGATTTTAATAACTTGGGTTACTGTTATCATTTGTTTGAAAAATTTTTAAATTTTCTTCTTGATTCTATCATTTATCCAAAGATTATTTGGGATCAGATTAATTTCCATGTATTTTTATAGGTTTGAGAGTTTCCCTTGCCGTTGATTTCTAGTTTTATTGTCCTGTGGTCTGAGAAGGTACTTGTATGATTTGGAATTTTTTGTATTTATTTAGGCTTATTTTGTGGCCTCTCATATGGTCTATCTTGGAAAGATTCCATGTGCTGATGAGAAGAATGTATATTTTGAATTTTTTTGTAGAATATTCTGTAAATATCTGTTAGAGTCCAGTTTCAGTCCAGTGTTTATTTGTTGACTTTCTGCCTCCATGATCTGTCTAGTGCTGTCAGTGGAGTGTTGAGGTCCCAAACTATTATTGTATTGCTGTCAATCTCTTTTCTTGGGTCTAGTAGTAGATCTTTTATTAATCTGGAAGCTCTTGTGTTGGGTGCACATATATTAAGGATTGTTATATCTTCAATTATATATATATAATTGAACCCTTTATTATTATATGATGACATTCTTTTTCTTTTTTTTTACTGTTATTGATTTAAAATCTATTTTATCTGATAGAAGAAAAGCTACTTCTGCTCATTTTTGGTTTCCATTTGTGTGAAATATTTTTCCCATCTTTTTGCCATGAGTCTATAAGGATCTTTATGAGTTAAGTGGGTCTCTTGAAGGTAGCAGATATTTGGACTGTGTTTCTGTAAGACATTCTGCCAATATACATCCTTTCAGTGGGACACTTAGACCATTTACATTCAAAGTTAATATTGGTATTTGAAATACTATTCCCATCACCAAGCTGATTGTTACCTAGTTGTTTGTTTTTCCATTCTGTTACTGTTCTACAAGTCTTGTGAGTTATACTTTCAAGTGTTTTTATATTGATGCATATAGACCTTTCATTTTGATATTTGAAATTCCTTTGAGTATTTCTTGTAATGCTGTTCTAGTGGCAGCAAATTTCCTAAATGTTTGATTGCCTGAGAAAAAGTTTATTTCTTCTTCATTTATGAAACTTAGTTTAGCAGAATACAAAATTCTTGGCTGGCAGTTATTCTCCTCTAGGAGACTTAGGACCCTAATCCCTTATGACTTGTAAAGTTTCTGCTGAGAAGTATGCTCTTAATCTGATAGGTTTTCCTTTATATGTTATTTGATACTTTTGTCTCACTGGTCTTAGAATTCTTTCCTTCATATTGATTTTAGATATCCTGATTACTATATACCTTAGCGATATCCTTTTTGCAATTAATCTGTTGGTATACAGAAATGCTACTGATTTTTGTGTGTTGATATTGTATTTGCAATATTACTGAATTTATGAGTTCTAACGGTTTTTTGTTGGAGTCTAGGTTTTTCCAATTATAAGATTGATACGATCTTATAATAAGGATAATTTGACTTCTTTCTTTCTAATTTGGATGCCCTTTATATTTTTCTCTTGTCTGATTGCTTTAGCTAGGGCTAAAATATTCAAAGATAAGAGTTTCATGTAATAGAAGTCTTAATCTGTGAACCTGAGACAAGTCAGGATGTCAGGATGATGTTGGCCTCATAGCATGAGTTAGGGAGAGCCTTCCTCCTCAAGTTGTTTTGAATGGTTTCTGTTGAAATTGTATCAGTTCTTCTTTATACATCTGGTAGAGGTTGGCTGTGAATCTATCTGGTTCTGGGCTTTTTTTTTTTGCTTAGTAGGCTTTTTATTACTGATTCAGTGTCAGAACTCATTATTAGTTTCTTCAGGGATTCTGTGTTTTCCTGGTTCAATCTTTGGACATTGTATGTGTCTAGAAATTCACCGATTTTTTTCCTAGATTTTCTAATTTATGTGCATAGAGCTGTTCGTAACAGTCTCGAAGGGTTTCTTTTATTTCTTTGGGGTTGGTGGTAATGTCCTCTTTCTCATATCTGAATGTGTTTATTTCAATATTTTCTCATTTTTCTTTATTATTCTAGTTAGCAGTCTACCAATCTTATCCTTTTGAATAAAAAACTCCTGGTTTCCTTTATCTCTTGAATTTTTTTTTACATGTCAATTTCATTCAGTTCATCTCTGATTTTGGCTATATCTTGTACTGCTAGCTTTGGGGGTTAGTTTGCTCTTGTTTCTCTAGGATTTCTTTTTTTTTTTTTTTTTTGAGATGGAGTCTCACTCTGTCACACAGGCTGGAGTGCAGTGGCGTGATCTTGGCTCACTGCAACCTCTGCCTCCCGGGTTCAAGCGATTCTCCTGCCTCAGCCTCCCGAGTAGCTGGGACTACAGGTGCACGCCACCATGCCCAGCTAATTTTTTTATTTTTAGTAGAGACGGGGCTTCACCATGTTGACCAGGCTAGTCTTGAACTCCTGACCTCGGGTGATCCGCCCGCCCCGGCCTCCCAAAGTGCTGGGATTACAGGAGTGAGCCACCACACCCAGCCTGTTTCTCTAGGTTTCTTAAGATGCAATGTTAGCTTGTCAATTTGAGATCTTTCTAACTTAAATTTTTTTTATTTCAATAGGTTTTTGGGGAACAAGTGTTTGGTTACATGAATAAGTTCTTTAGTGGTGATTTCTGACATTTTGGTGCACCCATCACCCAAGCAGCGTACACTGTACCCAACATGTAGTCTTTTATCCCTCACCCTCCCATCCTTTCCACCGAGTCCCAAAAGTCTGTTGTATCATTTTTATGCCTTTACGTCCTCATAACTTAGCTCCCAATTATGAGTGAGAACATAAAATGTATGGTTTTCCATTCCTGAGTTACTTCACTTAGAATAATAATCTCCAATTCCATCCAGGTTTCTGTGAAAGCCATTATTTTGTTCCTTTTAATGGCTGAGTAATATTCCATGGTGTATATACATACCACATTTTTTGTATCCACTAGTTGATTGATGGCCATTTGGGCGGGTTCCATATTTTTGTATTTGCAAATTGTGCTGCTATAAACATGTGTGTGCAAGAATCTTTTTTGCATAATTACTTCTTTTCCTCTGGGTAGCTACCTAGTAGTGAGATTGTTGGATCAAATGGTAGATCTACTTTTAGTTCTTTAAGCAATCCCCACACTGTTTTCTATAGTGGTTGTACTATGTCATTTTCACAATATTGATTCTACCCATCCATGAGCATGGGATGTATTTCCTTTTGTTTGTGTCATCTATGATTTTTTTCAAACTATACTATAAGGCCATAGTCTCCAAAACAGCATGGTACTGGTATAAAAATAGGCACATAGGGCCAGGCACAGTGGCTCACGCCTGTAATCCCAGCACTTTGGGAGGCTGAGGCGGGCGGATCATGAAGTCAGGAGATCGAGACCATCCTGGCCAACACGGTGAAACCCTGTTTCTACTAAAACATTCAAAAAGTTAGCTGGGCATGGTGGTGGGCACCTGTAGTCCCAGCTACTCGGGAGGCTGAGGCGGGAGAATGGCGTGAACCCAGGAGGCAGAGCTTGCAGTGAGCCACTGCACTCCAGCCTGGGCGACAGAGCGAGACTCCATCTCAAAAAAAAAAAAAAAAAAAAGGCACATAGACCAATGGAAAAGAATAGAGAACCCAGAAATAAAGCCAAATACTTACAGCCAACTGATCTTCAACAAAGCAAAGATTATATATATATATATATACACATATATATGTATATATATGTGTATATATGTATATATGTGTATATATATGTGTACATATATGTATACATATATATATGTATATATATATACCCTTCTAGACGTTGGCTTAGGCGAAGACTTCATGACCAAGAACCCAAAAGCAAATGAAACAAAAACAAAGATAAATAGATGAGACTTAATTAAACTAAAATACTCCCACAGTTACAGGCGTTGCTCAGCTCCCACGCAGCCCAAAAGGCCAGTCTCACTCCCACCATGTTCCCTGCAACAGCACCAAGTTTGTTTCCAGGCAGTGGGTGAGCAGGGCTGAGAACTTGCCCCACTCTACCAGCCTCCCTGATGTGAAAGTAAGCAGAGCTTTCAGGTTTCGTACCCCCAACCTGCCGCAGCTTCTGTGCTGTGTCTGCACTCTGCATTCACCCCGTCCCTCAAATTCTGTCCAGGAAACTATGCGTTCAGTTGAAATTGTTATAAAGTTCAACTTGAAGTTTACTTCTCCCTGTGGTCTTTTCCCAGTTCCTCTGGCAGCCCTTCCCAAGGACCTCTGTGAGACAAAGTCAGAAATGGCTTTCCTGGGGACCAAGAGAGCCCACAGGGCTCTTCCCCATGCTTCTTCTACCGCTGTGTTTGGCTCAGCTCTCTAAAATTGTTTCTGTTCCAGGTAAGGTCAAATCCTTCTCCCATGATCTGGAACTTCATGTTCCCCAGTGATGATGTGTGTTTGGGGGCAGATGATCCCCCTTTCACACTTTCACACTTTGGGCACTCACAGTGTTTGGGCTGTCTCCCAGGGCCTGCAGGAGCAATTCACTTCTTTCAAAGGGTCTATGGATTCTCTTGGCTTTCCTGGTATGTTCCTGTGGTAGTTCTTGGAGCAAAAGTTTACAACGTGAGTCTCCACATGCTGCTCTGTCTGTCTGAGTGGGGGCTATAATGTAGTCCTGTCTCCTATCTGCCATTTTGCTAACCCCTCAAAATTTGTCTTCCTCTTCATTCATTTTCATTGTTCTATAATACTTTTTTATATGACTATATTATAATTTGTTCATTTTTCTGTCAATAAATATTTAAAATGTTGCTCTGTGATATAGTTTGGCTGTGTCCCCACCCAAATCTCATCTCGAATTGTAGCTCCCATAATTCCCTTGTATTATGGGAGGGACCCAGTTGGAGTTAACTGAATCGTGGGGCAGTTTCCCCCATACCGTTCTCGTGGTAGTGAATAAGTCTCATGAGATCTGATGGTTTTATAAGGGGAAACCCTTTTCACTTGGCTCTCATTCTCTTCTTTGTCTGCTGCCATGTGACATTTGCCTTTTACCTTCTGCCATGATTGTGAGGCCTCCCCAGCCACACAGCGGCGGATTGTCCGCAGGCGCAGGTGTTCTGGAGATGATGCCCTTCCCAGAGCTGGAGGAGAGACTGACCTGCCTAGGGGGTTTGAAGGAAGACTGTGGCTTGGCCTGTGGTGGTCACTGTTGGGAGCCTGTCTGGCTGCAGGACTGCTCCCCACCTGGGCCCTGGACTGTGGGAAGTGACCCCTGCAGCCACGTGGAACTGTGAGTTCATTAAACCTCTTTCTTTTGTAAATTGTCCCATCTGGGTTATGTCTTTATCAGCAGCATGAAAACGGACTAATACACTGTGTATGTTGTTAGAAGTGTGAGAAGTTCTCTGGGGCAAATACTTATGAGTAGAATTGCTGTATAATAGAGTATGCATATCTACAATTTTACCTTGGTGAGTTTATTGTGAGAGCTTATTGTGATATTATTTTTAATCTCTTTAGTTACTAATGAGTTTGAACATTTTAAATTATCTTTATTGGTTGTTCTTATTTTCTTATTTGTGAAATGCATTTTTGTGTCTTTTGTCCATTTTTCTACTGAACAGTGTTTTAAATTTATTTTTATTAATTGCTAATGTCATCTTGGTACTAATACATGTGTCATATGTGTTGAGGATACCTTCCTTTAATTTGTGGCTTATCTTTTTGCTTTTCTCATGGTGACTTTGATCATCAGAATTTTTTTATTTAGTGTGTTCATATTTATTAATCTTCTTTTATGGTTTGTACTTTTTGAGTCTTGTTTAAGAAATACTTCCCAGACACCCTAACATTTGATGCTCAAATTACCATAGCTTGAACTTTCATTGGCCTCATATCTTGAACTTAGCAACCCTCCCCTTCTGGAATGTATACACATGTATCTGGAATTTTTCAAAAGTGTACAGTAAATGTGTTCCCAAGCCTGTTGCCCACTATAATTACCACATTACAACTGCCATGATATTTTTCTCCTATTCCTTCAGCTAATATCCACCGCTCTTGAAGCAGTTTAGTGGAGCCTCACTGTAGCTTGCATTGGGATTATCCTTCAGAAAATTGTCAGTATCTATGCTTAGGGTGTTATTTTTCTAAGTCACATGTCTTTGGGGCATTAGAGGGTGCTGGGCTCTTTGTGGAGATAGGGAGAATGTCTGTCCCCTAGGCACCAAAGCTATGTTACCTGAATGTAATATATCTTGATATCTCTTAACAAAACAAAAACAAACTAAAGCTAAACAAAAAGGTCCATGCTCATTTCTACAATCACAAGTAATGTTTCAGTCATAATATTATCTCAGTTCATACATAGTATAGCAAAATTTTTTACTCACCCTTATGTTACACAAAGCTTCAGAAATAGAGTCCTTGCTCAACCATAAACATCATTTATACTTAAAAACCAGAACACTTAACCTACACATTCATTTGGTTTTTACAGTCTTTACTCTAGTATGAAGTGAAGAAATTATGAGATCTATATATTCTCCATGGCATGGTTTTGTTCTTCCAATTTCTTGGGAGCAAGTATTTGGACAAAAAGACCTACTTAGAATTTTTAAAGATAATTTTCTGAGACAATCAAATAAAAATCCATATTAAAATATTCCTAACTCCTCATAGTTCAGCTAAAGATATACGTAATTTATTAAACAGTACAGTTGAAACTTAAGTCTATAGTCTCTGCATATAGCTTAACAATTTTCCCCAAAATAAGATGAAGGAATACTGTACCCCAAACTGACCGAAAATCTTCATCTCTAAAGAGATGGAACTTCTTGCAGACCTTGAAGTGACAAACTTCTGTCCATCCCACCTATTCATCAAAGATTTCAAAAAAGATCTTAAAGCCTGAGTTTCATGTCATATACTTCATTTCTATTAGTAAAAATATCTTAGAGTATAAAGCTACTGTTGCAGGGACAAAATTGTGTGGGAATAAACAATGTGGGGCAGGAGATGTTCAGAACTGGAATAGATAACTTCTTAGCTATTTTGGTTAAGTATTTGTGGTAGATTAAGGATGGCTTCAAATTCTGTGACATTTATTCCATCAAGTGTTGGTGTTTACTTCCCCTATATTTGAATCTGGGCTGGCTAGTCCCTGCTCTGGCTAATGGAGTATGGTGGAATTGATGCTGTGCCATTGCTGGGCCTAGCTGGTAAAAGTACTGGAAGCTTCTTGCTTGGTTTCATGGAGCCCTGAGCCACCATGTCTCAAAATCCTGCTAAAAGGACCATGTGGAGAAGCTCTGAGACTCCATAGGGAGGAGGAGGAGTATCATTGAGCTGCTCTTGTCAAGGAACCAGGAATATGAGTGATGTGTCTTGGATCCTCTATACCAGCCAAGCCACCACCTGAATACAGTTTTCCCTTGGTATCTACAGGGGATTTCAGGACACCTGTGGATATCAAAATCCACAGATGCCTAAGTCCCTTACATAAAATGGCATAGTATTTGCATATAATCTAGGCACATTCTCCCATGCACTTTAAATCACCTCTAGATTTGTAACCCTAAAATCAGAATCAACACTTATGCAGTCATTCACACAGCAATTTTATTTTTTTCAGAGAAGCAGTTTTTCAGAACAGAAAAAAATTTGAGTCTCTTTATGCACATATTCCTAGTTGAGGTTGAACAAAGTGATAGTCTGCCTTTTTGTTTCAGCTCTCATATTTTAAACAAGTGTCCTCTTTGCTATCTATTTAGTGCCATGGTTTTTGCATTTTTCTGCTTTTTTTTTGGGTGATTTTGCTGTTTAGAATGGCCCAGAAGCATAGTGTCGAAGTGCTTTCTAGTGTTTCTAAGCACAAGAAGGCTGTGATGTGCCTTATAGAAAAAATAATGTATAATATAAGCTTTGTTCAGGTATGAATTATAGTGCTGTTGGCTGCGAGTTTAGTAAAAATAAATCAACTATATATTAAATAAGAAATACACATAAAACAAGGTTATGTATTGATGAGATGATGGAAATATTATGGCCTAAGAGGCTCACACATACCTAAACCTGAATTTTCCCTAGGAACAGTAGTTCAGTATTTGCTAATTTGGTGCTAATGACAATGCTATAGAACATAAATACCACGAATAGGCCAGGCACGGTGGCTCACGCCTGTAATCTCAGCACTTTGGGAGGCCGAGGCAGGTGGATCACGAGGTCAGAAGATCAAGACCATCCTGGCTAACATGGTGAAACCCCATCTCTACTAAAAATACAAAAAATGAGCCGGGCGTGGTGGCAGGTGCCTGTAATCCCAGCTACTCAGGAGGCTGAGGCAGGAGAATGGTGTGAACCCGGGAGGCGAGGCTTGCAGTGAGCCAAGATCGCGCCACTGCACTCCAGCCTGGGTGACAGAGCGAGACTCCATCTCAAAAAAAAAAAAAGAAAGAACATAAATGCCATGAATAATGAGCATAGACTGTTCTGCATTCTGCTTACTCATTCTACTGTTGCTGGACACATGGATTGTTTCCACCTTTTGGGTATTGTGAATGATGCTGCTATAAACATTGGTATACAAGTATCTGTTTGAATCCCTGTTTTCAGTTCTTTTGGGTATATACCTAGGAGTAAAATTGTTGGGTCATACAATAATCCTATGTTTAACTTTTTGAGAAACCTCCAAACTGTTTTCCATAGTGGCTGCACCATTTTGCATTCCCGCCAGCAATGTGCAAGGATTCTAATTTCTCCATATCCTCAACAAAACTTGCTGTTTTCCTTTACATTTTTTATTATAGCTATTATAGTAAACATGAAGTTGTGTCTCCAATGAGTTGTCTTTGATTTGAATTTTCCTAATAACTAATGATGATGATATATATATCTTCTTACCAAAAAAGTATACTCTTGTAATTTGCCTATTTTTAAAATGGGTTTTTAGATGGTTGCTGAGTTATAGAAGACCTTCATATAGTTTGGATGTTAAGTCCTACCAGATTATGATATGCAAATATCTTTTCTCACTCTCTTGATTATTTGATGTACAAGAGTTCTTCATCTTAATGAAGTATTTTTTTTATTTTTTGTCTGTGCTTTTGGTGTCATATTTATAAAACTATTGCAAAATTCAAGGTAATAAAAACTTGCCCATATATTTCCTCCAAAGAGTTTTATTATTTTAGCTCTTAGATTTAGGCCTTTGATTCATTTGTATTAATTTTAGTATATGATATAATGTACAGGTTGAACTTCATTCTTTTGCATATGGTTGTCCAGTTTTCCCAGCACCATTTATTGAAGAGATTGTTCTTTCCCCATTAAATGATCTCAGAACTCTTGTTGAAAAATTTTTAATCAATTCCACTGGTTTATATGTCTGTACATATGACAGCACTATTTTGATTACTGTAGCTTTGTAGTAAGTTTCAAAATCAGAAAGTATGAATTTTCTAATGTTCTTTTTCAATATCGTTTTGGCTACTCCGGGTCTCTTGAAATTTCATATAAATTTTAGGGTAGGTCTTTCCATTTCTGTAAAAAATATCGAAATTTTCATAGGAGTTGCATTGAATCTGTGGATTGATTTGGGTAGTATTGCCATTTAAATTTTTTTATTTTTAATTTTTGATAGTATATAGTAGGTGTATATATTTTTGGGATACATGAGATGTTTTGGTGTAATGTGAAATAGGCACATCATGAAAAATGGGGTATGCATCCCCTCAAGCATTTATCCATTGAGTTGCAAACAATCCAATTACACTCTTTAAGTTATTTTAAAATGTACAGCTACTGAAACTCTGAAAACTTTTCTACTTTCTGTCTCTATGAATTTGACTACTCTGAGTACTTCATATAAGTGAAATCTTATAGTATTTGTCTTTTTGTGACTGGCTATTTTACTTAGCGTAATGATCTCAAGGTTAATCCATGTTGTAGCCTGTGTCAGAATTTTCTTCCTTTTTAAAGCTGAATAATATTTCATTGTATGTATATATGTGGGATGTATATATATACAGTGTATTGCAATGTGTATACATATATACACACATATACATGGCATTTTGAATATAAGCCATTTTAACTGGAGTGAGATGATATTGTATTTTTGATTTGCATTTCTCTGATGATAAATGATGTTGAGCACCTTTTCATATGCCTGTTTGTCACTTTATAGGTCTTCTTTTTGAGAAATGTCTGTTCAAATATTTTGCCCATCTTTTGATCAGATTATTAGATTTTTTTAATACAGTTGTTCGAGCTCCTTATATATTCTGGTTATTAATCTCTTGTCAGATGAGTATTTTGCAAATATTTTCTCCCATTCTGTGGGTTGTTCTTCATTGTGTTGATTGTTTTCTTTGCAGTGCATTAGCTTTTTAACTCGATGTGATATCATTTGTCCATTTATGTTTTGGTTGCTTGTGTTTGTGGGGTATTGCTCCAGAAAATTTTGCCTAGACCAATGTCCTGGAGATTTTTCTCAATGTTTTCTTGTAGTAGTTTCATAGTGTGAGGTACTAGATTTGTCTTTAATCCATTTTGATTTGATTTTTTTTATATGGGGGAAAATAGAGGTCAAGTTTCATTCTTCTGCATTTGGATATCCAGTTTTTCCAGCACCATTTGTTGAAGAGACTGTCTTTTCCCCAGTGTATGTTCTTAGCACCTTTGTCAAAAATGAGTTCACTGTAGGTGTGTGGATTTGTTTCTGAGTTCTATATTCTGTTCCATTGGACTATGTGTCTATTTTTATGTCAATATCATGCTGTTTTGGGTTACTATAGCTCTGTAGTATGATTTGAAGTCGGGCAATGTGATTTCTCCAGTTATATTCTTTTTACTTAGGATAGCTTTTGCTACACTGGGTCTTTTTTGGTTCCATCTACATTTTAGGATTTTTTTTTCTATTTCTATGAAGAATGTCATTGGTATTTTGATAAGGATTACATTGAATCTGTAGATTGCTTTGTGTAATGTGGACATTTTTAACAATATTGATTCTTTCAATCCATTAACATGGAATATCTTTTCCTGTTTTGTTGTCCTCTTCAATTTCTTTCATCAGTATTTTATAGTTTTCCTTATATAAATATTTCACTTCTTTGGTTAATTCTTAGGTATTTAATTTAATGTGTGTCTGTTGTAAATGGGATTACTTTTTAAATTTCTTATTTACATTGTTTTCTGTTGGCATATAGAAATGCTCCTGATTTATGTATGTTGATTTTGTATCCTACAACTTTACTGAATATCTTTATGAGTTCTGACATTTTTCTTGTGGAGTCTTTAGGTTTTTCCAAATACAAGATTATATCATCTGCAAACAAAGATAATGTGACTTCTTCCTTTACAATTTGGATGCCTTAATATCTATGTCTTTTTTTTATTATACTTTAAGATTTAGGGTACATGTGCACAATGTGCAGGTTAGTTACATATGTATACATGTGCCATGCTGGTGTGCTGCACCCGTTAACTCGTCATTTAGCATTAGATATATCTCCTAATGCTATCCCTCCCCTCTCCCCCCACCCCACAACAGTCCCCAGAGTGTGATGTTCCCCTTCCTGTGTCCATGTGTTCTCATTGTTCAATTCCCACCTATGAGTGAGAATATACGGCGTTTGGTTTTTTGTCCTTGCGATAGTTTACTGAGAATGATGATTTCCAATTTCATCCATGTCCCTACAAAGGGCATGAACTCATCCTTTTTTATGGCTGCATAGTATTCCATGGTGTATATGTGCCACATTTTCTTAATCCAGTCTATCATTGTTGGACATTTGGGTTGGTTCCAAGTCTTTGCTATTGTGAATAGTGCCGCAATAAACATATGTGTGCATGTGTCTTTATAGCAGCATGATTTATAGTCCTTTGGGTATATACCCAGTAATGGGATTGCTGGGTCAAATGGTATTTGTAGTTCTAGATCCCTGAGGAATCACCACACTGACTTCCACAATGGTTGAACTTGTTTACAGTCCCACCTATCTATATCTATGTCTTGTTCGATTGCTTTAGCTAGGACTTTCAGTACTATGTTGAATAACAGTGGTGTCAGTGGGCATCCTTGTCATGTTCCAGATCTTAGAGGAAAGGCTTTCAGTTTTTCCCCATTCAGTATGATACTAGCTGTGGCTCTGTCATTTATGGCTTTTATTATGTTGAGGTATGTTCCTTCTATTCCCAGTTTTTGAGGGGTTTTATCATGACGAGATGTTGAATTTTATCAAATTTGTTTTCAGCATCAATTGAAATTATTGTCTTTATTCTTCATTCTGTTGATATGATGTATCATACTGATTAATTTGTGTATGTTGAACCATCTCTTGCATCCCAGAGATAAGTCCCACTTGGTCATGAAGAATAAATCTTTCTAATGTATTGTTGAAGTTGGTTTGCTAGTATTTTGTTGAGGGATTTTCATCAATATTCATCAGAGATATTGGCCTGTGGTTTTCTTTTTTTGATGTGTCTGTGTCTTGTTTTGTTATCAGAGTAACACTGGCCTCATACAGTGAGTTTGGAGGTATTCCCTCATCCTCTATTTTTTGGAATAGCTTGAGTAGGATTGGTATTAGCTCTTTAAATGTTTGGTAGAATTCAACAATGAATTCTTCAGGTCCCAGGCTTTTTATTACTGGGAGACATTTTATTATGGCTTTGATCTCATTACTTGTTATTAGTTTGTTCAGGTTTTGGATTTCTTCCTAGTTCACTCTTGGTAGGTTGTATGTATCTAGGAATTTGTCAGTTTCTTCTGAATCTTCCAATTTATTGGTGTGTAGTTGCTCATAGTAGGCACTTATGATTCTTTGAATTTCTGTGATATTAGTTTTAATCTCTCCCATTTCATTTATGATTTTATTTATTTGGGTCTTTTTTCTTTTTTAGTTAGCCTGGCTAAAGGTTTGTCAATTTTGTTTAACTTTTCAGAAAACCAACTTTTAGTTTTATTGATCTTTTGTATTATTTTAAAATTTCAACTTGATTGATTTCTGGTCTGATATTTATTATTTATTTTCTTCTACTAGTTTGGGTTTCATTTGGTCTTGCTTTTCTAGCTCTTTAAGATGCATCCTTAGATTGTTTATTTGAAAATTTTCTTCTTTTTTTTGATGTAGGCACTTATAGCTGTAAACTTCCCTCTTAGTACTGCTTTTGCTGTATCCCATAGGTTTTGGTGTGTTGCGTTTTCATTATCATTTGTTTCAAGAAAATTTTTAATTTCTTTCTTAATTTCTTTATTAATCCACTGGTCATTCAGGAGCATATTATTTAATTTCCATGCATTTTTCAATGTATAGTTTCCAAAATTCCTCTTTTTATTAATTTCTAGTTTTATTCCATTGTGGTCAGAGGAGATGCTTGATATTATTTTAATTTTTGGAATGTTTTAAGGCTTTTTTGTTACCTATCATATGGTCTATCCTTGAGAATTATCCATGTGCTGTGGGGTATTGCCATCTTAACAATATTAAATCTTATATCCAAAAACATAGGCTGTCTTTTCATTTATTTTAGTCTCTTTAATTTCTTTCAGCAATATTTCATAGTTTTCAGCATACAAATCTTGTGCCTTCTTAAGTTTATTCCTAAACGTTATATTCTTTTTCATAAGTTGAATTGTTAATTTCCCTTTCAGAATGTTTATAAATATTGTATAGAAATGCAACTGATTTTTTGCATGTTGAAATTGTATATAGAGACTTCGGTAAATTTATTTATTAGCTCTAATAGTTTTCTTTGGAACATTTAGGGAATTCTACATATAAGATCACGTCATCTGTGAATTTTATTTCTTTCTTTCCAATTTGGATACTTTTTATTTCTTCTTAATTACTCTGGTTAGAACTTCTGGTATATATTGAATAGAAGTGGTGAAGTTAGCATTTCTTGTCTTCTTCCTGATGTTGGAGGAAAAGCTTTCTGCCTTTTCCAGTATAATCATTTTAGCTGTTAGCTTATCATATATGGCCTTTATTATGTTGAGGCCATTCTTTCTATACTTAATTTGATGAGAGTCTTTATCATGAAAGTATGGTGAATTATGTCAAATGCTTTTTCTGAATTTATTTGAGATGATGATATGTGAGTTTTGTCCTTAATTCCTATATTATGATATATTACGACGATTGCTTTTTGTAAGTTGAACCACCCTTCCGTACCTGGGATAAATTTCACTTTGTCTTGGAATATAATCTTTTTAATATCCTGCTTAATTCAATTTGCTAATATTTTGTTGAAGATTTTTTATTTATATTCATAGAAGATATGGGCTGTAGTTTTCTCTTTTTGTGTGGTGTCTTTCTCTGGCTTCAATTTTAGGTAAATGCTGTCTCATAGAATGAGTTGGGAAGTGTCCCTACTTTTGCAGATATTTGGAAGAGTTTGAAATGGATTTATGTAATTTTTCCTTAAGTGTTTGGTAGCATTCACTAGTGAAGCCATATGGTCCTGAGCTTTTCTTTGTTAGGAGGTTTTTGATTACTACCTTCAATCGCTTTGTTTGTAATTGGTCTATTCAGACTTTATATTTCTTCTTGATTAAGTCTTAGCAGGTTGTATATTTCTAGGAATTTTTCCATTTTTCCAATTTGCTGGTATATAACTGTCCATAATAGTCCCTTAATATTCTTTTTTTTTCCTGAGGCATCCATTGTAATATCTCCTCTTTCATTTGTATTTTATTTGAGTCTTCTCTCTTTTTTTCTTAGTCTAGCTAAGGATTTGTTGATCTTATTTTTTACAAAAACCAGTTCTTAGTATTGATTATTTTGTATTTGATTTATTTTTGCTCTGATCCTTGTTATATGCTTTATTCTGCTAACTTTGGGTTTAGTCAATTTTTCTTTTTCTAGTTTCTTGAGGTATATGGTTGGGTTATTTATTTGAAATTTTTCTTATTTCTTAATATAGATGTTTATTGTTATAAGCTTTTTTTCTTATTACTGCTTTTGCTGCAGACCATAAGTTTTGTTATGCTGTGTTTTAGTTTACATTCATCTCAAGATATTTTTAAAATTTTTATTTCTTCTTTGACTCTGATAGTTATCGTGCATTAGATAAGATAACTGCTGCACCTAGTCTTGTCAGACTGGCTTTGTGTAAGAGATGAATCTCACCAATCAGCCTGGTCAGAGATTCTAGGTCCCTCTCAAATCCTCTTGCTTGTCCAAACCACAGTCTGTGTTCATAATGGCCCCAAGTAGATAAGGATGTGCCAAGTCCTGTTATTGCCTTCAGATAGGTGAAGTAGAAACCACCTCCTCAAGATGCAGCTGAAAAGGTTGGGGGTGTTAGATGAGTATTCCAGTTCATTCTATCCTCAGGGAGAAACTAAAAGCTGGAGTTTATCTAACACTCTCTTAATAAACTACCTTTTTGTTCTTTGTTATCTAGGGAGTCTCATAAATTCAGAGCCTTGTCAATTCTCAGAGCTAGGTGATTTAGGAGCCAGACTCTGAGGTGGGAGCTGCAAAAGTTGGGGTGTTTGGCTCTGTGTCCCCACCCAAATCTCACCTTTAATTGTAGTTCCCATAATCCCCACATGTCATGGGAGGGACCCAGTGGGGGGTAATTTAAACATGGGGGTGGTTACCCTCATGCTGTTCTCATGATAGTAAGTTCTTATGAGATGTGATGGTTCTATAAGGGGCTTTTCGCCCTTTGCTTGGCATCTCTCCTTCCTGCTGCCATGTGAAGAAGGACATATTTGCTTCTCCTTCCACCATGATCATAAGTTTCCTGAGGCCTCCCCAGCCATACAGAACTACGAGTCAATTAAACCTCTTTCCTTTATAAATTACCCAGTCTTGGGCAGTTCTTTTATAGCAGTGTGAGAAAGGACTAATATAGGGTGTTTGATGCATGCATAAACTGCTTCTAGAAAGAATCTGTACACATGGATTTATGTCTGCCACTGTCTGAGAGATGAGGCCTGGGAAGTACCTATACTTCCATTCAAGCTCATGGAAGTCTATAGTTTATTTGCCCCATCTGCTCCCAGATATAGGCTAGCCAGAAGCCTGACTCTCTGGCAAAAGATGTAAAAGTGTGCAGACAAACCACTTCCAGGGAGATATAGGGAGCTGGACATTTTAGCCCATTCCCTGTGGACTTATCTCAGGCACTACAGCTACTGGACATTCCTTTGTACTCATTCAAAACCACCTCTTTGTTGTGTGCGGCCTAGGGAAACCTGAGAATGCTGAGTACCTTTCATTTTCAGGGCTATGTGATTTGAGAGCAAAAGCCTCTGGGGAAACCATAAAAGTTGGGGCACTATATATGTGGTCCAAACTCTTTACTCCTCAGTGAGAAGCGGGGTATTGGAGATTCCTTCCTGATTATATGGTATTGTCACTGGTGGAGGGTGTCCAGGTTCTTGGCATCTTGAACAAAGAATTGGACAAAATGCACAAACAAAACAAGGAAGGAATGAAGGGATTTATTGAAAATGAAAGTACACTCCACAGTGTGGGAGTGGGCTTGAGCATAGGGGCTCAAAGGCCATGTTACAGAATTTTTGGGAGTTTAAATACACCCTAGAGGATTCCATTGGTTACTTCAAGTCTGCCCTATGTAAATGGAGAGGATGAAGTAAAGTAACAAAGTCATTTACTTGGCCAACGCTCTGTGGAGAGGATATTTTCTGTTATAGCTGAAGTGTTAATTGGCCTTATGTTCCCTGCCTCCACACCCTATTTTCCTGCCTCATCTCCCCCACAAGAGATGTGATCCCCATAAATCTTTATGGGAGACAGAAGAACCAAAGGTCTTTCTTCTGTAACTGCTTCATTCTGGCTTGGGGTGTAGTTCCTACCTATTGGGGATTATGAAACTCACCCTGCTCTATCTAGTGGAGGCAGGGTAGCTTCTTGATGGCCAGGGGTGGTGTCTTCACCTAGAACTGGGTGGAACCTTTTTTGCATGATCATCTGAAGCTTGATGGTCCCTAGGCGACAGGAAATGAATTTGGTTAAAAGATTTAATGGGAACTTCAGGGGATAGATAGCTATACTGTCAGAAATGTTTGCTACAGAGATTTGCAAGAGAAAAAACAAAACCTGATCTGTTCCAGAATCTATGTGTTTCCTTAAAGTCTTAGCACAAACGACTCCATTTTGGTTTGGTTTGGTTTGGTCTACTGGGGCCTAGTGCATGAGCTCAGTCCAAAACAATGGCCTCCCAGAATTTTGTTTCAAAAATTCCCCCTTTTTGGTCAGGTTCTCACTTAGGCAAGAGTGTGACCAAAACTTAGGACCTTACTTAGCACCACTCTTAGTTACCATCATTTTGGGTTTCTGGTCTCAGCGCATCATTCATAGGTTACAGTGTCCTCATGGTTGCACATTTCTTTCAGCTCCTGTTATTCCAGTTGAAGAGAGACCATATGGCATTCTGGAGATGGCTGGATGCAAGCATTTAAAACCTTCGAGAGAATACAGTGCACCAAGGAGACTATTATTATGATTATTGGGAGGATGATACCAAGAGTTTGGAGTATACTCTCTACCCAAGGTCCCCATAAACCAAACCTCCTAAAACTAAATAGATCAAAGAATGAGCTAGATAAAGAGTTTACTCACTTGAGTAAGCAACTTCTTCATCAGTCCCCTACCACTGATTTTCTGTAATCTTCATTTGATGTATTTCCCCATAGGCTACAAGTGCTAGCAGCTGCACAGGTACTTTTCTGTTTAGCTAATTCTATTATTTAGCATAAGTTTCACAAGAGAATCTAAAGTTTGTTGTGTAACTGTAGCCTTTACAGTAGAATTTGCTATAGAACCTATCATGAGGGATACATTTCTAATCATTGCTTCTTTTACTTTAAACCATGGAGAAAGGACCTAACAAATGATGCACTTTTAAAATAGTGAAGGCCTTTTGGCAATGTTCTCTTTAACCCATGATGTTGGTTAAGAGGAGTAAACCAATGTTTTGTTTTTGACTGATTATGAAGCAACATATGCAGCATTAAAGTTTCTTACCTACATTGTGCCTTCATCTTTTATTTATCAAAGTATAAGGTTATCCATGTATAAGGCTGGCTTTAAACTTCTGCACAACAAATAAAAGAATACCCCATAAGTGCACATAACAGACCCCCTTTCCACTTCTATTTTTCATAGAGGCATAAGCAAGAAAAAATATTCAAAGATAAGAGTTTCATGTAATAGAAGTCTTAATCTGTGAACTTGGGAAAAGCTGTTCACATCAAGGATGCCATTCTCTTCTTGGGAGAAATTTCTCTGGTTAGTTTTAGCTTGAGGGTTCCAATGGGTGCATATTTCCAAGAGTGTGGAGGGACCCTTCTCAGTTGTGAGATTATGAACCCAAAGCCCAAGGTCCTGAGGTTTTGTTGTAGTGTAGATGGCAAGGACAGTTTTGCTCTGATGTTATCAGAAGATCCAAACCATAAAAAGCATTCTTACCTGGTAAAAATACACTGTAGCATAATAATCTAGTGTTATAACATCAGCCCTCTTGCATGGGAAAGCTTTTATACAACCAGAAAACATGCATTGAAAATAGCAAATGGGCCGGGCGCGGTGGCTCACGACCTGTAATCCCAGCACTTTGGTAGGCCGAGAATGGTGGATCACCTGAGGTCAGGAGTTTGAGACCAGCATGGCCAACATGGTGAAACCTCATCTCTACTAAAAAATACAAAAATGAGCTGGGCGTGGTGGTGGGCACCTATAATCCTAGCTACTTGGGAGGCTGAGGCAGGAGAATTGCTTGAACCCGGGAGACAGAGGTTGCAGTAAGCTGAGATCGTGCCACTGCACTCCATACTGGGCAACAGAGAGAGACTGCACCTCAAAAAAAAAAAAAAAAAAGGCCGGGCGCGGTGGCTCACGCCTGTAATCCCAGCACTTTGGGAGGCCGAGGTGGGCGGATCACGAGGTCAGCAGATCGAGACCATCCTGGGTAACACGGTGAAACCCCGTCTCTACTAAAAATACAAAAAATTAGCCAGGCGTGGTGGCGGGTGCCTGTAGTCCCAGCTACTCGGGAGGCTGAGGCAGGAGAATGGCGGGAACCCGGGAGGCGGAGCTTGCAGTGGGCCGAGATAGCGCCACTGCACTCCAGCCTGGGCCACAGAGCGAGACTCCAGTTTCAAAAAAAAATAAATAAATAAAAATAAAAAAAAAAGAAAAAAAATCGAATGAAATCCCTTTATAAAAGGTTTAAATGGCCCATCAGGTGACCAAATGTACATGAAGCTTTAATTGTCTTCCCAGGAATATGGGGCCAAGCATTGGTTATTAACTATTTTAAACAATTTCAGTATCAGCAGGTTTAACATGAAAACATGACAAAGCATTTTCTTGATATTTAATTAATTTTGGTTCTACATGGGTTAGTAGCTTTATACAAGGAAATTTGGTTATTTCTGTGGTTTACAATAACTTAACATAATAACCATAATTACAATTGATAGCATATAGTATTTTACAAATCCCATACAATTTTGGAACATATATTAGTATTATTCACAAAAATATAACCTAAAGAAGATTGAACATCATTTTGGCAATCCCATGTACCTAAACATGTCAAATAATCCTGTTTACCTCCTTTCTGGATGCTTCCAAGGGCCCTTTGATCCATCCAGAAAGCCAGGCATTAGGAAAGACAATTTTGAAACTGAAGTGTGATTTTGGAATTCTATATTACCATAAATTATTTATTTTGCCAAAATGATGTTTCAGAAATTTTAAAGAAGCAAAAACCTTTTACCAAAGAAAACCCCACATTGTACTGCTTTTCCACACCTTGCATGTAAAACTGTTTCTAGTAGTCTTAATTGCATGTTACAATGGTGACTCTTAGCAATTTTAACTTTAATGTAAAACCTGGTAAGTTATGTTCTGATAAGGTTTGACTATTTTCAGCATAGCTGGGGGCGTGGCGAACTCCACATATCCCCAGGCCTTACCTAGCTGGAAAGCAGGCAAGTTAAACAATTTTCAAAAGCCAAAGAAGCAGTTTATGACCTTAAAGCATTTAGCAAACCTAATATTTGAACATAATTTACACCACATGTTCACATTTTGAAGACAATTATATTTTACCAATAATCTTTAAAACCATCTTTATTTCCCAAAGATTGCTAAAGTCATGTGAACTAAAGGGCATTACACTTTCTACTTTTCTGACAAAATATTTGATTTAAGTTATTCTTATCATTAAACTAATTAATTTAGAACTTCACGGAGGAGATTAACCAGTTTGCAGAGAGAAAGAGGCCAGAGACTGACTGGTAAGAAATTCTTACCCTTTTGGTGGCAGGCCAGGTTTCTGGTTTCTCTCTCCCTGAGTGGCCCTGGGGACCCTGCTTGACTGTTTGCAAACAAACACAGTGCCATGAATTAAGAATATTCATATATTTTTGACAAATTTTGGAGAACCTAGGCAGAGAGAGAAATATGACCCAAATTCTATTTGTGAGAGTACACTCAACACACTTAAAGCATCAGGAAGCCTAAAATCCAAAAAGTTAGTTTAAGAATAAAAAGCTGGTGTGCTCCAGTAATTCCTGCAGCCCGACAGAGGTAGCTTAGGAATTCCAGAAAAATGGAACAAATGGTGAGTTGCTAGAAATGCATAGGAAACAAAGTAACTATTCACAGAACCGAATAAAAGGTTTCTGCTAGCATGGTTCTATATATATGGATACACAAGTAAAACCAGAAGAGAATAAACAGCAAACAAGTTAAAACTCGAAGCAAAAACAAATAAACAGGAAACCAACCTTAAATTTTCCTAATCAATTTACCCTGGAGGCTACAAGTGTTGCCTAGGGCTCCAAAAACCCACATAATGAATATTTTATTCCTGATACACAATTCAATATCCTTAAGTTCATCAATATTATACCTCCTGTGCAATTAAGAAATTCACTTTAGGCACATCACCAATAAGTACTCTAGCACTATCCACACAAAACAGTAAACGTAGTGTGAAGCAGTGCAAGCATGTATGTGAAATTTGGCTCCACACTAAATCCAGCTTCATGCTTAACTATATTAAAAAAAAAGAATTGCCAAACTGCCAATGCATTTCTTTACAGTGCTTCTTATTTTACTGAAGACTATGAGCTTTAGCTATGAAAACGTTAGCCAAATGTTTCCAATTCTTTATCAGCTTTTAAAGAATATATTATTATTTAAACTTTTTCCACAGCTTTCCCCCTACTTAATGGTTCCTTACTACACTGTTTCATAAATAACCTTTTCAAATCTGTAATTTGAACTACCTTTTAGATAACTTCTGAATTAGACAAAAATTATTATTTTTCACTAATAACATAACTCTTTTTGGCACATTTTGTATACCGAATTACGTGTTAACTAGAATTTTATCCTTAGTAACCTAAAACTTTAGTGAAGCCCTAAAAAGCAAGAAATCCTGAACTATCAGATATGGGCATTTATAGATAAGAACAGTTCCACAATTTTAGAAACATTGCCCCATATTACAACCCCTTCTTAATTGGAAATGAGTCAGACATTAAATGAGCATCAAAATTAAGTTTAATATTTTAATTTACACAAAAAGTTCACTTAAAACATTTATCTCATTCACTGTACATAATTTTTACTTTTAACACAGGAGACCTGATACATCAATCAACATACTTAAAATGAACATTGGTTTGGTCTGGAAAGGCAGGACAACTCAAAGTAGGGAGGGCGTTTGGAGGTTGTCAGATCATAGGTGGGAGACAAAGGGTTACATTCTTTTGAGTTTCTGATGAGCCTTTCCAAAGGAAGCAATCAGATATGCATTTATCTCAGTGAGACTTTGAATAAAATGGGAGGCAGGCTCGCCCCAAGCAGCTCCCAGCTCGAATTAACACTGACATTTAACAATATCTAACAAAGACAAACATAAAATTCAGACAAAATGTAGGCTGAAAATTCTGAAGGCATTTCTATTTTTATTCCACCAAATAATTTTAAATCTAGCTTGTTTAGTAAAGTTATACTTTAAGTCACGTGAACTTGAAAATTGCTTAGACTTATTTACTTAATTTATGAGGCCCTTTTACTTGTAAGCCAATTTTGGTAGACACAACCTATAATAATAAGTATACATACAAATAAACACATCTAGACCTGTATACACACAAGTAAATGAAGATCCAATAGCTTGGAACCTTAGCCATGAGATAGCAATATAAGCTTGCCAGTTTTAATTTGCCCCAGTAGATAATCCAATGAAGGCTATGAACCAAAATTTGGGGCAAAGTAGTCTCCACAGCAGTTTGATTTTTAAAGGCCAAACCTCCCCAGACTCCAAAGGGCCGTGGGGCCAAACTGTACCAGAGGAGGGTGTCACATATTAACCAGGCTTAGGACCGAAGCACAAAAGCCTGGTTACATTCAATGCTATTCTACTTTCCCATTCAACAGTAAACTCGAGATTCCAAGCAATGTTGTGGCCAAACAGCATTACAATTGTGAGAGAAAATTCTAAGGAGGGCTTTTATTACTAGACCTCAGAACCTCTGCCAAGAGCGTCCTCTTTGCAGTGGTTGGGGTCTGCAGAACCTATGAAGCATCCTCCTGTGGAGTCCAATCTTAGAGTTCCAGACGTTTCTAGCCTTAGGTGGGTGCCACATGCAGGTTTTCCCCTCCAGAGCATACCATGAGCTTTATAGGAATAGCCATGAACTGTAATAAGATCTAGATGCTGGGTGGGCCTTTTTGTTCCTTAGCCAGTTGAGTATGATAAGGGAAGAATTCAGCATAAGAGAAGAAGGTTTACATCCCCTGAAACATGTGCGAGTGTGCTCCAAGCTTCACTGCTGGTAGGGATCAGGAACCACTTGCGGAAAAGATAAAAAAATAAAATTCCTTCCCCCTTCGGGGCAGAGCAATTATTCCCATTCATTCCTAGGCCTTCAGGCAGTACTGATGAGTGATCTCAGCCAATTGCTCTCAATTTCCAAGGAGCTACTAGGAAACAGCCACTGAAAGACTGAAAAGGAAAGAGAGGAAAAGAAAATGAAAAAAGACCCTGCTCCCTTTAGTGAACCAGGCAGTGGCGGTAAGGCTTCCCTGCATGGAAACCTCTTAGTTTCACTGGCCATGGCCAGAAACCTGCAGTTGCTTCCATGTTTAGACGCTGTACACTAAGGGTCCCAGGTTGGAAAGGAAAAGAGAGAGAGCGCCTGTGTGGAGCAGAAAGAAGAGGGAGAAAAATGAATCCCAAACTTTAGGGTTATCTCTTCCTCCTGGCTGGGTTACCAAAATATGCTGGTGGAGAGTGTCCAGGTTCTTGGCATCTTGAACAAAGAATTAGACAAAACACAAAAACGAAGCAAGGAAGGAATGAAGGGATTTATTGAAGATGAAAGTACACTCCACAGTTTGGGAGCGGGCCCGAGCATAGGGGCTCAAGGGCCCCATTATAGAATTTTTGGGAGTTTAAATACCCCCTAGAGGATGCCACTGGTTACATCGAGTATGCCCTATGTAAATTAAATAAAGTTACAAATTCATTTACTGTTGGGATTCACTCAGGATGGTGGCGGAAATATTAAAGGGAAATATTAGGGAAAGTTATAGGAAATAGTCACAAACCTTTTGGAAGGCTGAAAGGTTACATAGCTTGTAATAACTGAACAGGCTGAAGGCAGCCAGTTCTTACCCTAGAGCATTAGGTCATAGGGTAAATACTAGGGACAATAGAGGCTTCCCCAGTTAAGTCTGTTTACCCTACCTCCATTAACTAACCTTTGAGCCAGATGGCCCTCTTGGGGCAGGTCGACTAGGGATATTGCCCCCTAATGGTATTTACCTTAGACCTGGGTGCCTGAGCTTTAATCATTACTTGATCTACTCTCTTAACCATCTTAATTATCCGCAAGTGTGTTTACTCAAAGCTTCTGTTGTTAATTGTATACCAAATAAATGCCTGGAGTGCAAACTGCTTAGGGCCGGCCGCAGTGACAAACCTCTCTTGGTGTGCAGGCGGTCGGACACTCAGCTGGACTGGCAAAACAGAATATCTGTGTGTCAGTGTATGTTTTATTCATCCGTCGTTTGGGTCAGGGTCTGCAGGCAGAGCCCCGCAACTAATGCCCTCAAGTGTGAGGAGCAATACCTCAATTTATGGCATACACCTTACGGAAAGGATATTTCCTGTCATAGCTGAAATTTGAATCAGCCTTATGTTCCCTGCCTCCAGACCCTATTTTCCTGCCTCAGTATTGGTGTCTAGGGTGAGGTTTGTGCACAAGTGTGCTTCAGCTTTTTCTATCCATTTTGTTGTGGATATGTTCTCAGTTATCCGGTGTGTAGGAGTCTCTCAACTAGGTTCTGGCTTTCTCTCAGAGAGAATTGATTCATGTGTAGATATATATTCAGCATGTCCATGGTGGAGTGGGGGTGAAAGTCAGGAGCCTCCTATTCTGCTATCTTGCCGATGTCACCAAGACAGTTGATTTAAAGTATTTGTCTAGCAAGTCCAATGTTTAGGCTTCCTCAAAGATGATTTAGTATCATTTTTTTTCCTGTTAATTGTCCATACATTCTATACATTTGCCTGTCTTGTAATTTTGTTGTTAAAAACTGGACATTTTGAACATTATAATGTGGTAGCTTAATATCAAATTCCTCCTGAAGCAGAAGATATAACAAAGAAAAACAAGTTTTCCTGTACTAGGCTGACTCACTCTAAGGCCCAGCAATGGGCAGGGCTCTGTCGGGGCCTTTGATAGCACTATCTGCAGAGCCAGGGCCCAGAAGGGATGGGCTCCAGAGCCTCTCCCTCCCATCCCAGAGCAGGGAAGAGAAAAACATGTTTTTCCTCTTTAAGCTTCCCCCTCCCCCCTTCCCCCTTACTATTCTCATAATTATGTTTGCAACTTTTGTAAGTTCTTGTTTTTCCTTCTGTGCAGCACAGCAGAGTCACAAGATATGTTTAAGTTGTAAAACCTGTCACTGTTTGACAAATTGCCTTTGGTCTGCTTCTGTAAGCTTGCTTGCCCACCCTACAGGTTTCTCGCCATCAGACTGGTCAACCCCCTTTCTGATGCATGTATAATAGTCAAGCCCTGTCTTTATTTAGGGCTCAGCCTTTGGATGTTAATTCACTGGGCCGGTGCACACCTAATAAAATCCTCCTGTCCCACCCATTGGTCTCTCCTGTCCCCTAGATTCCTGCAACATTTCCTCTTCCTGGGATTTGTTGTTTCTCTTTATCATTAAGTTATAGTTTTTGTTTAGTGACTTTTCCAATGTATCTTTGTACAAAAAAGTGTATTTGTCATGTGTGGTCACTGAAGTCTCTGTTATGTTAGCTTAATGTTTAGTGATTTGACAGATATTTTCTTAAATTACTAGAGCCAAAAGCAGTCTTCTAGTGTTTGCAGCTGGGCTTTTTGTGTGTGTTGGAGTAAGCCTTTAGCACTCAAATCAACAGTTTACAACTTTGCCTTTACCTTCACATCCTGCCTGTGCAGAGTTTGAATGTCACCCACAAGTGAGAGCTTACAGACTCCCAG
The DNA here is from genome assembly GCF_000001405.40 of Homo sapiens. Classification (NCBI taxonomy): domain Eukaryota; kingdom Metazoa; phylum Chordata; class Mammalia; order Primates; family Hominidae; genus Homo; species Homo sapiens. Next base: position 121,086,221 of record NC_000023.11, read on the forward strand.
GTCATCTGGGTGTGCTTCCAACCCTGGATATGTGCATGGACTTCTAAATTTCCAGGAATATGTGGGAGCTTTTCAAAGCCTTTATTCCCCCAAAGCATCTTACTCCTGACTTTCCATTGTATCTGTTGTTTGCCCAACTGATGTACATTGTCTCAGGCAGAAGCTGTTAGTTAATTTACTTTTAAATGTTTTTGATGAATGCCCATCCTCCATGTACTTACTTCTCTACCCTCAGAGAGCTCTAGGTTAGGCAAACAAATGCAAGCTATTTATGTTAGTACTTCAGGGAGCCACTAGCTAGGTAAAAACTTTAAAAACATGGTCTATGGTACTACCCTGGCACAAGGAATCCACATTGGGAACATGGACTGATGTCTTCAAGACCCTTACTAAGCTTGTGAGTCAGGGATGGGGCAGGGATAATTTAAAATTTAACAAAGCTTTCTTTTCAGCTTTCAGTCACCTGTTTCTTATTGAAGTGTTCTCTTGAGAACACAATTTTTTGAGAATACGGTTCACTCGGCTCCCTTTGGTACCAGAAATCCACACTGGGAATATGGACCGATTGCTTAAAGACAAACCTCTGGGCAAGCTATTTGGCAAAAGGTGGGCCAGGGGGCTGTATAAGACTGTCTTCAGTGAAATGGGGATACTTCCTGATTGGCTGTGATAGTGTGTGAGCTGAGTGGCTATGCAGGGCTTCTCAGCTGTGTAGGTCCACCCATTTTCCTGGGGAGTAGAGCATCTCATGAATTCAGATGTTGGAGTCTTGTCCATTTCACCAGGCCTAGGCTCTGGGAAGCCAGGGTATTGGTGTTGCAGGAACCCATGTGAACATAGTGGAATAATGGTGGAGCCTCAGGGATGGAAGGGGTCGGTGGTTATTAGTCCCCAGGGCATGATGCACTCTAGCTGTGGGTCTAGTTTCAAGATGGCACCATGTTATAGCAGCTTAGGTTGTTGGGGTTTGGGATGCCAAGGGAGTTCCTGCTCTGGGGCCATGCAGTAGTGTGGACTCTAGGCAACTGTCCATAGTAAATTTGAGGACTGGCAGACCCTTCTGTAGCAATGACTGTTGGCATCTGTGGCAAAGATGGAGACTGCCAAAGGTCTTCATCTTACCTTTTCCCTTTAACAAGAAGTTCCCTCTGGCTCTGAGCTGATCCCAGTGGGGGAGACAGTGTGGTAAAGGCAGGATGCCTCACTCCCCTCTCTATGGTGCTATCCTGGGCTTTTTTGCTCCACAGGGATTTCACTGTTCTTCTGGTGTGCCTATGTATACTTCCTCAGTTATTCCAGTTGAAATATAGTTGTTTATTTGTTGTTTCGGTCCTTTTTTGTTGGGGAGGGGCCAAGCACCAGGTTCTTGTAGTTGGTCATTTTGCTGGTGTCACTCTACTCGCCCTCATTCTCACAATACATGGCTTGAGGATATGAGAACACCTTCCATACTTGTCATGAAGTCAGTCCATTTGGTTTCCTCTGTTGCAAAATGCTCTTTGCCTCCCACCTTCTCCTCTGAATTGTTGCTTTATAAAGTACACTTTTTTTCTCTCAGTGAGGGATGAGAATGTGCAGGCATTCATTTTGATCTTGGACACTGTTTCCTATCCTCTCCTGATGCATTACTCTACCCAGAGTTCTTTCTTCATGTATCTCTTCTGGCTCATTTTTTTTCTGTGAGTAGAAGATACATTTTATTTACTTCCTCTTAGCCCAGGCAATTACATAGTGTGCCAAATCAGTACCCAGAGATAATCAAGTAGTCTTTCTTAGTCTAGGGTTTGTGATTTGTCCAATGTCTGTACGGAAAAGTGAATCGATAGCAATGACTTTAGGCATTTTAGCCTTTTGCCCCAGTAAGTATTTTCATACTTCCCAGACTGTATATCCTGACTTTCAGTTTAGAAAAATACGGTACCTATGGATCACCTTGGTGAATGAGGCAGGTGGGACTTTCTGAATCAATTTATTTTTCTCATAGACCTTTGATGAGAGCTGGTGTTCAGCGTGCTTTTCCTTGTTATTGATTTGTTTGATTTATTGGGAAATTTTGCTAGGAGCATTTGACTTAGCTTTAATGGAAAGAAGATAAATTAGACATGGCCTCTGATAACTTGATGTGTATGTGTGTGTGTGTGAGAGAGAGAGAGAGCGAGAGAGACTGCATTTTGTTGGTGCATTTAATGAAGAACTGATTTGCATTTGTTTTTTTTTTTGAGACGGAGTCTCACTCTGTTGCCTAGGCTGGAGTGCAGTGGCACGATCTCGGCTCACTGTAACCTCCGTCTCCCAGGTTCAAGCAGTTCTCCTGCCTCAGCCTCCTGAGTAGCTGGGATTACAGTCATGCACCACCATGCCCAGCTAATTTTTGTATTTTTAGTAGAGATGGGGTTTCACCATGTTGGTCAGGCTGGTCTCGAACTCCTGTCCACCTGCCTCAGCCTCCCAAAGTGCTGGGATTACAGGCGTAATCCACCATGCCCGGCCCTGATTTGCATATTTTTTAATGAGAAAGTAAATAACTGCAGAAAAAAGAAGGGTCAGGTAACCATTGTTAGAAACTTGGAGTATGTATGAGTATAGGCATTCTGCTAATATTTGCTATGGAGGCTGAGAAAAAAACCTTACAGTAGAATGTTCTATTTTATTATTAATGGGGCTAGTGACACTTCTTTCTCGTAATTCATTTGAGTGCCTTGCAACTCTGGATGGAGCTTGCTGGCCTCTTGTTACTCCTGATATGTATGGAAGACAAATGGATATCAGCATTAGTGCTGGTTTTTGTGCTTTAAGCCAAAAAGCTGAAGAGTTTATAGTTACCTTCCACACTGTGGCATTTTGCCTGAGAAGAATTCAAGGCAAATGGAACAATGGTATTAATAATAAAAATAATAGGTATTAGTTATCAGTTCATACTAGGCGACAGTTAATATTTTATTGATTATTCCTAAATGTTGTAACATTATTAGTATTGTCTCTACTCTATGTATAAGGAAACTGAGACACAGAGAATAGAGATAATTTTTCCTAGGTTACACAGCAAATGGTTCAAGTCCAGGTCTCTGTGAATGCAGAATTTTCTGTTTCCACTGTGCCTCAATCCTTTTCATGGATTTTGGTTTCTTAGTGGTATCATATATGCTTCCTTTTTCTCTTTCTCTTCCTCAAGTAGCTGTTGTTTGAACATTTTTTATATCCAGGCACTGTGCTTGCCATATATTATCATTAAAACTCACAATGGCCCTGAAAGATAAATATTAGTATCCTGGTTTTACAGATGAGATAATTTTCCATTTTACTATACTGACTCTCCTTGTTCTTAGAGTCACCTATTGTCCCTGGCCTGGGTACCTTTGAGCTATGCTTTTTCTCTTCCTTCCCTATTCTCATTATAACTTCCCAGACCTGTTTCAGGTGATTCCATCATCTTGCTACATGCTTGATGGGCGATAATGATTTTCTATGTTACTTTTCCAGCTTGTTAGCACTTTCTTAAGAGACCCACAGGCTTACTGCTCACTATAAATTTATGGACTTGCTGAAGCTTGTTTTTCCTCAACTATGATGAAAATCCACTGTATATCCAACAATTGTGTTTGCCCATATCAAATCACCTTCCTAGAATTTTTGGACAAGGGGAACCAATGCAAAGAAATATGCTTTTCTTACGCTGCTTGCTGTGGTGTGAGCACGGAAGTCCTTTTTTTCTGACCCAGGAATCTCTCGTCTTCTGTTGGCATCCATGAAACAGTATGATCTATCTTTTTAGTTTGCAAGTAGGGCAAATCCAAGACCCTTCCCAGTTCTTGACAAATACTGTACCTAAGGTTCTTCAGTGGGAAAAGGCTCTATTTCTAGCCCTATGTGAGGGCTGGCTACTCTAGGGGAACCTTTTGCAGCCCTCCAGAGTTCTCTGTGTTGCTCTTTTTTTTTTTCAGTACTCTGTTCTGCGAACTCAAGTCTCCTTGTTCTCCCTATACTCTCAGCTCCTTCTTCTTGACTCAGGGAATCCTAGAGGCTTCTCCCCTATTCTATCTCCCTGTATTGCATTCTGAAAACTCTTTTCAGGCAGTAAGCTAGCACAATAATTTGTTTCAAGGATCACTATTCTTTGATGCTTGATGATCTGTGTCTTGAAAACTCTGTTATTGTGTCTATTTTTGGAATACTTTTAGGTGAAAAGAGAATTTGGTCCCTGTTACTCCATCTTGGCCAGAAGCGGAAGTTGAATCTGTCTTTTGAAAGTGGATTTCATATTTGGAAACAACCCAAAGAAAGGGGTAAGTAACTGGAATTAATAATGTTGGCCATGCTAATTTCTCATACTCCTCTTCCCCAAAAACAATGTGGTAGTAAAGTAACCAACCTGCTTTTTCCTGTGGTTTCAAATTTCTGTGGTTTAGAATTATAATTTATATTTATATTTATATTTATATTTATATTTATTTATTTATTTAAGACAGAGTCTCACTCTGTCGCCCAGGCTGGAGTACAGCAGCGCGATCTCGGCTCGCTGCAACCTCTGCCTCTTGGGTTCAAGTGATTCTCCTGTCTCAGCCTCCCAAGTAGGTGGGATTACAGGCACCCGCAATCATGCCTGGCTAATTTTTTTTTTTTAATTTTTAGGAGACACGGGGTTTCACCATTTTGGCCAGGCTGGTCTCCAACTCCTGACCTCAAGTGATCCACCGTCCTCGGCCTCCCAAAGTGCTGGGATTACAGGCATGAGCCAATGCACTCAGCTTAGCATTATAATTTTTAAAGACAAATTTCAGTGGCCTCCCTCCACTCTCCCCTCTTCTACTTTAATAATTATTGCAACCTACAAAGAAATAAAAGTCATGAGAAAAAATGGCTAGGGTCATATTTTTACCATCAGCCACTCTTCCCCAACACCACAATTAATTTAGTAGACAAATTTTCTGACTTTTTCCTTATTGATGTCTCTTATAATTTTCTCTTTCTTAGTGCCATACTTCAGGCTGGCCTTTGGTCTGGATTATTATAAACCCCACCACCCCTTAGCTGGTTTCTTTCTTTTTCTGTCATTCACATTAAGGCCAGACTGGCTTTCAAAAAACAAAAACAAAACTGATCTATATCATTTTTGCTTCTTACAATGATCTTTCCCATGAATATAGAATAATGTCCAGCTTCCTTTTGCCCACAATCTGTTCTCTGCTTACATTTATCATCTTATTTTATGTACCACAGTCTCTACCATTGATAGGATTATAATCCACAAATTACAATATTGTAAGAAGCTCTAAACGCAAACCGAGTGAGGGAAGTTTGCCTTTCATATTCAGGTCCAGTTCTGTCCTACCTTCGTGCCTTTGCTTATTTTGTCTCTTTTTGCCAGGTATACCTCATTTTGCCTGCCTTCAAAGAATTTTCTCAACTAAGAACCACACCATAAGGCCTCCCTAGAAGCCTCCAATTGGAATAAATCCCTTTGCTTCTTATTTTCTCATAGCAAATTGGTTGTAGTTGTATTAGAGCACTTAACAAACTGTGCTTTGATTTACTTGAGTAAATGTCTGTCTTCTTTAGTGAATTGTGAGTCCCTGGAAGGCAGGCCTTATTTCTCTTTATATTCATCATAGCATCTATCTCAAGGCCTTATAGATAGTATGTGCCAAATGAATTTCTATTAAATTGAAATTGGTTAAATCAGGGAACTTATTTAGCACATGAGAATAAATCAATGTACTTTCATTCACTGACATCTGCAATCTGGTCTGAGTTCAGTGAAATTCCAAGTATATAATGTGTCTTTGGGTCTGTGAAGACCCTGCTCTCTCTTTTTGAACAGCCTGCAAGCAGAATCTTCATTTTGTCCCCTAAATGCACGTGGCACTACTTCTTCCTACCTTCTCTAGGCGATGTCCTTTGACAGCGGCTTCAAACATGGCTATACCCCTGATTCATCTGGGGGAATTGTTTTTTTCTTTTTTCTTTTTTTTCTTGAGATAGAGTCTCGCCCTGTCACCAAGGCGGAGTGCAGTGGCACGATCTTGGCTCACTGCAACCTCTGCCTCTCCTGGGTTCAAGCAATTCTCCTGCCTCAGCCTCCCGAGTAGCTGGGATTACAGGTGTGCGCCACCACGCCTGGCTAATTTTTTGTATCTTTAGCAGAGACGGGGTTTCAGCATGTTCGCCAGGCTGGTCTGGAACTCCTGACCTCATGATCCGTCTGCCTCGGCCTTCCAAAGTGCTTGGATTACAGGCGTGAGCCACTGCACCCTGCCAAGAATTGTTTTTTTTTTTCAACAATGCAGTTACTTGGGTTCCATCTGAGAACCACTGAGTTGGAATCTCTGGTGGTAGGGCTCAGGAATGTGTGTGTTTAGTAGGCACCTGGCACTTGGTGATACTTTAGTATAGCCAGGTTTGAGACCTACTCCTCTATGCTCTAGTCTAGATCATTCCCTGTACTTACCCTTCTGTCAAAATGTATATACTCTGAGTCTCCTGCCTTTAAGACTCAGATTTCAGCTGGCTGTAATTTTGAAAAGTGGTTTGATTTACTTTCAAACTCCCCTTCATTCAGTTATTAATGTCTTCTCTCAAGGGTGTTTGCATTTTCATTAAAAAACAATTTAATAGACTTTATTTTTTGGGGTGGTTTTAGGTTCACAGCAAAACTGAAAGTAAGCATTTAATTTTTTAACAGGACATTCTCGAAGACAATGTAGAAAATACTGCTTTTAAGAAATAACAATGTTTAGACTTTTCAGAAGGAAAGAGTTCACCCATTTAAGGAATATTTTTAAATTGCTGTGGAAAATAGACAAGATGGGGTAGGACTGGTCACGTGCCAACTTGAGTGGTCTAAGAAGTGAGGAGTGTGTGTTGGTTTCACTTAATCCTCATGAAACGGATTTTCCATAAGAAAGAGGATTTGATTACAGGAATAAAAGGGAAAGGTTATTATGTTGGGCAGATGATTTCACAATCTACTACAAAAGTGTACTTTGCAAAACATCTTGTTTTGGTGGTGCTAATGGCACTGGGTGGAATAGTCATAGAACCACAATGCCCTGAGACAAAAGGAATGTTTATCTAAGGGTGAACACTCTGTATAAGGTTGGTCTTATGTGAAGTTAACTTATAGATTCTTATATAAACTAACACACATTTTCCCTTTCCATTGTAAGTGTCAACTGATTCTTACTTTATGAATTGGTGAATTGTTCTTCCCTGCTGTGGACATTAGCTGCTGAGATCTTGGGAGGAACTGAATTCATTTTGGTGAGTGACAATGTGTTTAATGAAAATCTTAAGCTTCATTAGCTTAAGATTTGTTTAACATTAAGATTTGTTTAACATTCAGTTGAGGAGAAACCCTTTTTTTGGCTGTTGATTTACAGATTGATAAGACATTGCTCTTACTACAGTGATCAAGAAATTCTGAAAATTGTAGCACTGTTAGAATTATGATATTGTCAGGATCTATTCTATGTGAGAGCCCAGCTCAGGGTTTCTCTCTGAGATAGCACATATGTATTTGCAGTTGAAGCAGTGACCCTGAAAATCTGATTGTTGACTGGGAAAAGCACTTTTAGAGTCAGCTTCTTCTGTAATTGGTTGACACTCTTGTTTCTCCATGGAATCAAGTAATAGAGAAATAAATGCAGAATAAATAGAATTTCATGCTTGTATAAGTCACTGGCAAGATCATCTTTGGGTCATGCAGGAAGGGATGTTCCGTCCAGAGGAAAATTGCCTGGAAGGAAAACATTTTATTTTAGGCTCCCTTCTCTTACTTACTCAGTTTGAAGTTTTGTTTTTCATATGCTGCTCCTTTGCAGAGAGATGTACTGGGAAGGAGGGAACTTTAAACCTAGGGATCAGATGAGCTGTTGCAGCATTATCAAATGAGTGATTTACTCATGCAGATCTTGAATATTACAAAACTCACCCAAGGCTAATTGTATAAAAGGAGAGAAGATAATATTTAACATTCTATTTTAATATTAAATTTATTTATTTAATATTAAATTAGTGTCTACTAATTTTACCTATTGAGCAAAATGGTGAAATAGACAAAGTTTGCCTTAGCATATGAATTACCTCAATTCTGTTGGTTTTCTCTCTGTCTTTCTCCCTCGTTTCCCCCTCATCACTTTTCCTGTTACATTGTATTAATTTTTATTATTTATTTATTTATTTTTTTGAGATGGAGTCTCGCTCTGTCACCCAGGCTGGAGTGCAGTGGCTCGATCTTGGCTCACTGCAAGCTCCGCCTCCCGTGTTCACGCCATTCTCCTGCCTCAGCCTCCCGAGTATCTGGGACTACAGGCGCCCGCCAACACGCCTGACTAATTTTTTGTATTTTCAGTAGAGACGGGGCTTCACCGTGTTAGCCAGGATGGTCTCGATCTCCTGACCTCGTGATCCGCCCGTCTCGGCCTCCCAAAGTGCTGAGATTACAGGAGTGTGCCACCGTGCCCGGCCAACATTGCATTAATTTTCTAACACTGCTGTAATAAATTACCACAGACTTAGAGGCTTAAACCATGCAAATGTATTATAGTTCTGGAGGTCAGAGTTCTGAAGTCCAAAGTGGATCTCATTGGGCTAAAATCAAGGTGTTGACAGAGTTGTATTCCTTAATGGAGGTTCTAGGGGAGAATCTGTTTCCTTGTCTTTCTGGTTTCTAGAAGCCACCCACATTCTTTGGCTTATGGCCCCTTTTTCCATCTTCAAGGCCGGCAATGATCAGCCAAGTCTTTTTCATGTTGTGTCACTCTGACCTCCTCTTCTGCCTCCCTCTTTCGCTTTTAAGGGTCGTTGTGATTACATTAGATGATCCAGGAAAATCTCTCTATATTATTGTCAACTGATTAGCAAACTTAATTCAATCTGCAGCTTTAATTTCCTTTTGCTGTAGAGCCTATCATAGTCATGGATTCTGGGGTTTAGGATGTAGACGTATTTTCATGGGGCTGCATTGTACTGCTGCCACATATGTCAAGTGTTCCAGACTTTTATTGTGCTCATTGGCTGCCCAGAATTCCTGACACTAATCTAGGATTGTTACTTTTTAAAAATCTTGTAATATAGGCTGGGTGCCGTGGCTCGCGCCTGTAATCCCAGCACTTTGGGAGGCTGAGGCAGGTGGATCACGAGGTCAGAAGTTTGAGACCAGCCTGGCCAACATGGTGAAACCCCATCTCTACTGAAAATACAAAAATGATCCGGGTGTGGTGGCAGGCACCTGTAATCTCAGCTACTCGGGAGGCTGAGGCAGAATTCTTCAACCTGGGAGGCGGAGGTTGCAGTGAGCTGAGATCGAGCCACTGCACTCCACCTGGGCGACAGAGCAAGACTCTGTCTCGGGGGAAAAAGTCTTGTAATATAATGGATAGATAGGAACATGAGACTAGGAGGCAGAAGACCTTGGTTGGAAAATAGCCTCTCCACTTATGAGCTGTGTGACCTTGGGCAAATCGTTTAAACTCTTAGAGCCTCATCTTCCTTATTCATGACCCTTTCCTCTCTCCTCTATCAAAGCATACTTTTTCTATATTCTTTCTAGCAAGCCTCAACTGAAATCTCAAGTTAATTTGGAAAAATCTAATTCAAGCTAAGATATTAATAAGTGGTAATGGTTTCATCCATCACCACTCCCTTCCCTCCGACCTGCACACACATATACCCTCTCAAGTAGCATTTATATTTTAGTAGGACAAATTCACCTGGAAGGAAATCATTTTATTAGGTGTGCAATGCAAGTAATTGTAGTAGTCTGCTGCCTGCCTCTCAAAGCTGGCTTTATCCCTGACGATTTAAGAAGAAAGTATCTGTAGGATGACCAGAGGACCTGGTTTACCTAAGATAGTCCCAGTTTATGCCTGTTGCCTCATTTTGCTCTCAAATATCCTGGTTCAGGTCATATTATATGGTCACTTTATTTATTTGGTACTTGTTTATCAATGCCTGCAGTGTATTTATGAAACTTCCTTTCTACCTTTGACTTTAATGAAAGCAGGGGAATTTTAATTACTTTTTATAGTTTTTGCTTCTGTAAGTAGCCTAGAATCTGCATACCATGGCTTCTGGGTGGCTATTACTGACTGAGTAATTCCATATTTCACATTTCAGCCATCATTATTTTTCCAAGTAAAATTTGTAGACCACCCCTTATGGACTGAATTGTGTCCCTCCCCAACCTCATCAAATTTATATGTTGAAGCCCTAATCTGCAATGTGACTGTATTTGGAGATAGGCCCTTTAAAGAAGTAATGAAGGTTAAATGAAGTAATAAGGGTGACTGGAATCCAATAGGACTGGTGTCCTTTTAAGAAGAGGGTGCATTACCTGGGATGTACAGGAACAGAGATAATACCATGTAGTTTCTATAGCCTCTAAGCTTTCTAGAATTTTTAATGACAACTCCACGTATCTCAAAAATAAGCAGGAATTTAATCTTGCTTATTAGGACAAAGCAAGATGACAGCTATCTGCAAGTCAAGGAGAGAGGACTTAAGAGAAACCAAAACTGCCAATACCGTGATCTTGGACTTCCAACCTCAAAAATTGTGATAAATAAATTTCTGTTGTTAAAATCACCTGTCTGCATTAATTTGCTGTGGCAGCCCTTGCAGACTAATACACCATCTTTATAGGAATCAGTTAGAGACCTTGTTAAAAATGCAGTTTCCTGAATGCTATCCCAGACTTACTCAGAATTTCTCTGGTAGGGCTCAAGGAAACAAATGTTTTCCTCAGGCACACTAAACTTGAGAACCACTGAAACAGGGCCTTGCACTAAAAATTTTTTAAAAATACATGTCTTCATTATGTGAAATGTTTGTTCTCTCTTTATCTTTTTTTTTTTTTTTGTGATGGAGTTTCACTCTTGTTGCTCAGGCTGGAGTGCAATGGCGCGATCTCTGCTTGCTGCAACTTCAGCCTCCCGGGTTCAAGCGATTCTCCTGCTTCAGCCTCCCGAGTAGCTGGGATTACATGCGTGTGCCACCATGTCTGGCTAATTTTGTGTTTTTAGTAGAGACAAGGTTTCTCCATGTTGATCAGGCTGGTCTCAAACTCCCGACCTCAGGTGATCCGCCTGCCTCGGCCTCCCAAAGTGCTGGGATTACGGGCGTTAGCCACCATGCCCAGCCTCTCTTTATCTCTTTAGGGACTTTTTACCTAGGTAGAAAGATTAAATTCTTGCTTATTTTTGATATACCTAGAGTTGTCATCAAAAATTCCAGAAAGCTTAGAGGCTATAGAGACTGTATGTATGATGAATCAAAAGGGAGAAGAATATATCATTTTAGGGGAAAGTTAGGATCAAGAGTAACCTAGAATTGGCCCTTTAAAAAGGTCATCAGGAAAGCAATTAGAGCTGGGTTTGACCATTGCCCACCTCATACCTTCTTCATTTCCTGGAGATAATTAGCAATACTTAGAAATAATACTTTGCCTCTTTCCTTGAGACACTTAAGAAACTTTGACTTTCAAGTCTTCACCTCTGTGGGAAGCACCCTGGATCACACATTTAACCCTTCTACCTCTAATACAGATGCACTTAGTCCCCAGATATTTAATCCCATCTCAAGAGAGCTAGATTAGGCACAGGGAAGCTAAGAGACATGAACTCAATTGATAAGCATCTTATTCTATAAAGCTTGAGATGTTCATGCCTCAGAAGTTAGGTGCAACCTAGATGTCAGACTTAGTTATAATTAGTATGAATCCTTGTCAATTTCGTGGTCTCTGAAAGTCCAAAGCCTTCCCATAGATCCCTAAAAGTTGAAGTTTTCTCCAAATAATTTACTTGCATAAAGCATTTCTTTCTTTTATTTATTTATTTATTTATTTTTTTTTTTGAGACTGAGTTTCGCTCTTGTTGCCCAGGCTGGAGTGCAATGACATGATCTCGGCTCACCACAACCTCTGCCTCCTGTGTTCAAGCGATTCTCCTTCCTCAGCCTCCCGAATAGCTAGGATTACAGGCATGCACGACCAGCCCAGCTAATTTTGTATTTTTTTTTTTTTTTTGAGATGAAGTCTCGCTGTGTTGCCTAGGCTGGAGTGCAGTGGCACGATCTCGGCTCACTGCAAGCTCCGCCTCCCGGATTCATGCCATTCTCCTGCCTCAGCCTCCCGAGTAGCTGGGACTACAGGCACATGCCACCATGCCCGGCTAATTTTTTGTATTTTTAGTAGTGACAGGGTTTCACCGTGTTAGCCAGGATGGTCTCGATCTCCTGACTTCATTATCCACCCGCCTCGGCCTCCCAAAGTGCTGGGATTACAGGCGTGAGCCACTGCGCCCGGCCTGATTTTGTATTTTTAGTAGAGACAGCGTTTCTCCATGTTGGTCAGGCTGGTCTCAAACTCCCAACCTCAGGTGATCCGCCCGCCTAGGCCTCCCAAAGTGCTGGGATTACAGGCATGAGCCACCACTCCTGGCTGCATAAAGTATTTCTAAGCAAAAAGATTTTACTGAGAGTTTGCAGAGGATATGGAGAACAATTTACATTGCAGCGATGTAGATGACTTCAACATGTACTATAGGCATCACCATTCTTAACCATCTGTTAGCTACCACAACCATGTGAAGTTTCACTAGCCTGTCATCAAAACCCAGTTTCTGTCTTGCTAATTCTTTCACATTTCTATTTTAAGATCAAAACAATAATTTTTCTCTCATCTCATTCACAGCGACCACTGCCCATCTGTATTAGTCCATTATCACATTGCTATAAAGAAATATCTGAGACTGGGTGATTTATAAATAAGTGAGTATTAATTGGTTCATGTTTCTGCAGGCTGTGCAGGAAGCATAGGAACATCTGCTTCTAGGGAGGCCTCAGGAAGCTTCCAGTCATGGCATAAAAACGGAGCAGCCATCTTACATGGCAGGAGCAGGAGCAAGAGAGAGAGTGGGGAGGTGCTACACACTTTTAAACAAAAAGATCTTCCTTGTCGTTTAAGAGAACTCCCTATCACAAGGACAGTATTAAGGGGATGACGCTAAACCACTCATAAGAAATCCACCCCCGTGATCCAATCACTTCCCACCAGAAGCCACTTCTAACATTGGGGATTATAATTCGACATATGATTTGGGCAGGGATAAATATCCAAACTATATCATTCCACCCCTGGATCCTCCCAAATCTCATATTCTTTTCACATTGCAAAATACAACCATGCCTTCCTAACAGTCCCTCCAAGTCTTAACTCATCCCAGCATTAACTCAAAAGTCCAAAGCCTCATGTTAGAAAAGGCAAGGCCTCTCCACCTATGAGCCTGATAAAATAAAGAACAAGTTAGTTATTTCCAAGATAAAATGGAGATACAGGTATTAGGTAAAAATTCCCATTCCAAAGGGAGAAATTGGTGAAAAGAAAGGGATTGGAGGCCCCATTCAGGTTTGAAACCCAGCAGGGCAATCATTAAATCTTACAACTCCAAAATAATCTCCTTTGATGCTGTGTCCCATATCCAGGGCACACTGGTGCAAGGGGTGAGCTCCCAAGGCCTTGAGCTTGCCCCTGTGGCATTTCAGGGTTGAGGCCCCACGACTGCTTTCATGGGTTGATGTTGAGTGCCTGTGGCTTTTCTGGGCTGAGGGTGCAAGCTACTGGTGGATCTATTATTCTGGTATCTGGAGGATAGTAGCCCTCTTCTTACAGCTCCACTAGGCAATGCCCCAGTGGAGATTCTGTGTGGGGGCTCCGACTCCACATTTCCCCTCTGGCTACCCTAGTAGAGGTCCTCCATGAGGGCTCTGCCCCCACAGAAGCCTTCTGCCTGGACATTAAGGCTTTCCATACATCTTCTTATATCTAGGTTGAGACTCCCAAGCCTCAACTCTTGCCCTCTGTATACCAGCATGCTTAATACCTTGTGGAAGCTGCCAATGCTTAGGGCTGCACCCTCTGAAGCAGCAACCTGAGCCCCTTTGAGCCACAGCTGGAGCTAGAGTTGCTGGGATGCAGTGAGGAGTGTCCAGAGGCTGTGCAGGGCAACCAGGCCCTGGTCCTCATCCAGTAAACCATTCTTCCTTCCTAAGCCTCCCAGCCTATGATGGGAGGGGCTGCTGTGAATACATCTGAAATGCTTTTGAGGTCTCTTCCCCATTTTCATGGCTATTAACACTTGGCTCCTTTTTACTTATGAAAATTTCTGCAGCCTGCTCCATTTCCTCCCCTGAAAATGGACTTTTCTTTTTTACCACATGGCCAGGCTACAAATTTGCCAAACTTTTATGCTCTGCTTCCCCCTTTAAATATAGGTTCCAGCGTTAGGTCATTTCTTTGATCATGTATATAAGCATAGGTTTTTAGAAGCAGCCAGACCACATCTTGAATGCTTTGCTACTTAGAAATTTCTTCTGCCAGATACCCTAAATCATCACTCTCAAGTTCAAAGTTCCAGATTCCTAGGGCAGAGGCACAATATAACCAAGTTCTTGTCAAGGCATAACAAAAGTGACCTTTGCTCCAGTTCCCCTAAAATTTCTCATTTCAATTAGAGACCTGATCAGCCTGGCCTTCACTGTCCATATCACTATCAGCATTTTGCTGACAATTATTCATCCAGTCTCTAGGAAGTTACAAACTTTCCCTCATCTTCCTGTCCTCTTCTGAGCCCTCCAAACTTCTTCCAACCTCTGCCCCTCACTCAGTTCCAAAGTTTCTTCCACATTTTCAGGTATCTTTACAGCAATGGTTCACTCCTGGTACTAATTTTATGTATTAGTCAATTCTTGTATTGCTATCAAAAATACCTGAGACTGGGTAATTTATAAAGAAAAGAGGTTTAATTGGCTTACAGTTCTGAAGGATGTACAAGAAGCATAGCAACATCTGCTTCTAGGGAGACCTCAGCGAGCTTCCAATTATAACAGGGGGAACAGACTTCTTACATAGCAGGAGCAGGAGTAAGACAGAAAGGGAGCAGGGAGGTGTCAGACACTTTTAAACGAGTAGATCTCATGAGGCCTCACTCACTATCACAAGGACAGTACCAAGGTGATGGTGCTAAAGCATTAATGAGAAATTCACTCCCATGATCCAATCACTTCCAATTCAACAAGAGATTTGGTGGGGACACAAATCCAAACTATATCACCATCTTAAGACTTAGGGCCACCTGGTTACCTAGATATTTTGGGGGGGGAGTGGTTGAGAAAGGTCATTTTCTATCCTTCTACTTTAAACACCAAAGCAGTCTTCCAATCCAAGACAATGCCATTCTTGAGAGAAATTCTAGTGATCAAATTTGTCTCCAACTCATTTCATAAAAATGTAATTATTGCTGTTACTGTCATAAAGCAGATATGAATATGGCATGACTAAGTGAAAAGAATACAATACCAGATGGTGAAGAGAAGAAAACTGTTTTATTGAACTTGACCTGTAAATCCAGAACAAAGCTAGGTATTTTATATGTGTTGCTTTATTTAGTCCTCACAATAACCATGTGAGGTGTGTCATTATTAGTCCCATATTACAGATGAGAAAAATGAGGACCAGAGAGTTTAAGTGACTTCAGCTACTAAAAAGAAACCTTAGTATTTAAATGGAGATTTCTCTGACTTCCAACTTTATGTAATTTTCACTATACTGACACATGCCTCTGAATCTAGAGTCCGAGATCCAAAGTTCTATTACTAGTGATCCTTGGAAAAGTCATGTTCACTCTGTGAGTTTCACCACCTTATGTGTAAAACAGAAAGGCTGGATGAAATGGTTTCTAAGGGCCATTTGCGTACAGAAAATATGACGTTCTGTGAGCTTTCCTTATACCACATTTCAAGTGCTCAGTAACCACCTGTGACTAGTGGCCACTGTACTGGGAAGCACAAATATAGAACATTAACTTTATCACAGGAAATTCTATTAGACAGTACTCACACAATAACAAATGTGTTGAGTGAAAAAGAGGACTTAAGATGTTTAAAATTATTTAACAAGAGATTTAGTATGAGAGGCTTTCCTGAGGAGAGGGACATTTGAGTTCAACTTTCAGTCAGAAATAACTAAGCAAATATTCCCAGCTGATAACCTTTCTACAGATACTTCCTACTGTGAGGTAATGTGACTCTTGTTGAGTGACAGCTATGAGGTTGTCTAGGATATAAAGGAACTTACCTTCTGCCCTCAATGGACCCAACCTTGCCTAGGCAACAGAGAACAGAATAGGGGTAGGTAGGGAGCTCTTTCACATCTGTGCCTGTTAAGGTTAGGATGGTAGAACCTGGGACCATGGGAATTATTGTAAATGAACTGCATGTGTTTTGGTGCTTGCTCACATATCTTTTTTTAAATATTGGGAGATCCCAGCCTAAGTATCAATATTAAGTTTGATAGGACAATAGTATGATTCATATTGATAGAGTGTTCAGACAAAGAGACCAAGCAGAGGAAAAGCTGAGCAGGAGAAAAGCTGTCTGTTCTTGGGTGCCTGCATTCTGTCAGAAGCTATATGCTCCATGAGCTTCTCTAGTCTGCACTGGAGGGGAGAATGATAGTTAGATATCCAAACATCTGTAGGCAGAAAGTTAAGTTCAAATTCACAACCTGGCCAAGATGAAAACTGTGTGGCAATTTGATATATCTTCAAGTTAATTGCCACACAGAATGGATCTTCCTCTGTCTGTCACCGTCTGCCTCTCTTCTTCTATCTCTATTACCTATCGTTATCATCTATCATGTATCTGTATCAATTCTCCAGAAGTACTAGGCAGAATCTCCAGTGCTGTACACATCCCAAATCATTGCTTTCTGTATATTCCACTCAGGCCTTGATTCTTTCTCTGAACAGGACTCCATAGAGCAAGGTGTAGGAACGCCAGGTGCTTTTCTACAGTGCCAATGCCATGACCTAGGAATATTTCATATTTACTTTGCAGAGGAAGAAAACAAAGTCTCCAAAAGATGAATTTCACTTGATTGATAGATTATATGATATCACCACAATTGGTCATGTCAGTAAAAATCACCAATTAAAAACTGCATATTAGTATGATAGAAATGGAGGAAAATCAAATTGATTGCATGAACTTTCCAACATTCAGCCAATTATATTAATATCATGTGAATGTCATGGTATTGCACATGAGAATGACTCAGTTCTCCAAACACTTCCCAGTTTTTGAACCTTCAGGAACAGCTGTGTCAGCCTCTGCAAATCTGCCATCTGTTTGTCTCACTTGTATATTGAAGTGCTTTTTAATGCCTCCCATTGCTACTGTTTTCTCTAAGGGAGGGATGATTTGTTTCTGAAGGTGATATTCTCTTTAAAAAGTACTGTTTCTTCCTCTTTGATGTATAATCTTGCTTGTAGCAGCTCCTCAGAGACCTTGACTCACTAGTTATGGCTAGAATCCAGGTCCTGTCCCTCTCAGTTTTCATTGCATGCTCTGAGCTTTGTCAGAGCCATGCTGTATTTGATTTATCTCCTGCCAGGATGGTGGCTACATATTCAATCTGTGTGCCAAGTGCTTCTGAGGTTACCTTCCCATATCAGATAATTTAATTTCTCCATTTTTAGAAAGCAAAGAGTAAGCTACCTTATTAACTGGAAAGATGCTTATTTGGGGGATGAAATGATCCCTCTGAATCTTAAGAAGAAGCTCATTTTGTTCCTGAGGTTCAGTTCTCCTTCTTAAAATCTTTCTGCAACTCTCCCATTCCCTACTGCTGTATACATCCTCATATACAGATACACTGACACATACTTCCAACTCTTCAAGTTCTGTGAGTTGTTGGAGGCCCAGTTTAAGTCTCCTCTCCTCCATCGATTCTTCTCTAATTAGGAAATCTGAATTGTTTTTTCTCTTCTCCTGCAGCATCTATTGTCTGCAACACACAATTTAACCTTCACTTATTATACTAACTTGTGCTATCCTCTTTTAATTAGAGAGTAAATTCTTTGAGGGCTCAGTTCATGTATTACATATTTTCTCCTAGTGATTGCTTTATTCATTCATCTATTGAACAAACATTTACTGAACACTTTTACATTAGATCTTGTGTTAGGTACTGATGCTACAAAGGTGAATACTACAAAGATGAATGAGATATGGTCCCTGCCCTCAAGGAGTACCTGGCCTAGTAGGGGAGATAAACACATAAACATATAAGTGTAATAATGTACTAGGTACTATAATAAAAGTCAAAATAGGGGACAAAGAAAGCACAAAGAAAGGAGTGAAGGCCAGTTCTACTTGAAGGAGGCAGGAATGGCTTCATAAAGGAGATGATGATTGATTGAGCTGTGTTTTCAAAGCTTAATCCACATTTACTTGGCAAGAAACAGGTGTGTTCCAAACGGTGAGAGAATCAGAAGGAAAGTAATAGGAGCTTGAAAAAGTATGAAACGTTAGAGAAACTGTAAGTGGTTTGATACAACTGGAAGGCACTTGGGCGGAGGCGGGTGGTGTAACTAGTGAGATCACACTGGAGAGGTATCCGGAATTGGATTATGAAGGGCCTTGTCACGTTAAGAACATTGAACCTTAGGCTGCAGGCAAAGGTGAGCCATTGTAGAATTTTATACAGAGGAGTTACATGATCTGATCTGTGATTTTAAAAGATTACTCTGATAACATGGAGGCCAATTAGAAGGCTGAAATAATGAGGGACTGATAGACTAAGTACCATGGCAGTAGAAATTGAGAGGAAACACAGATTTTAGAGGTATAGAGAGTCAAACTTAACAGGACTTGTGATTGATTGGATAGGAAGGACCAGGGACAGGGAAAAGAAGTCTGATGAATCTCAGGTTTGTGGTTGGGACCTTTGGGTGGGTGGTGGTGCCACTCATTGATGCAAGAAACAAGGAAGTAAGCCTTCTCCCTAATGGTTCCCCAACCCCCTGCAATCCCATGCAGGTCCATAGTAGGTGCTCAATAAATACATTTATTTAATTTTATTCTATTGAGAGGAAAATGTCTTGCTTTTTCTTTGTGTCCTGCCATAGTTTATAAGATTTCCAGTAGTTGTAGGGAAATGTCATGGCTTTTTTGTTGCTGCTATCTTGTTCTCTCTGCAGTTAGATCTGGTTTTTCATTTCTGTGTCTCTAGTGCAGGTCCTGGATTCATTACTCAGCTTGCCTTTTTGTTGTTTTTGTTAGTGCTACACACTTCTGATCTTTGTCCATATATATGATTTAATAATAGTAATCACTCACATTTGAACAGTGATTTGGAGTTTACGAGGCATGTTCAAATATGATTATCTCCTTTGCTCCCTATTACTATACTGTAAAGTAGGCAGTGAAATAGATTTAATTGTGCATGTTTTATAAGTGAAAAGAATTTAGCTAGTGGTGATGTGACCTGTCAAAGATCACACAGTAGTAAGTAGCATAACTGGGATTCTGATTGCTTCCATATCCACCATATTTTAATTTTACAATCTTGATCCTCGCCTTGCTCTCTGCTATCCATGTGCATCCAGACTCCTTATAGCCTGACTGATTTCTACCCTCTGTCTTCTTCTGACCTCTAGTTATTTGCTGTGCTTTAGGTCCACTGTGACCTTCTGTTTCCAGTAATCTCTCTTGCCTTAGACCTGTACCTTACCTTGCATATCCAGATCTATTTTGGTTCTCCAAGTCCAGGCATCTTGCTCTGTCTCTCCAGTTCTTTTACTTACAGTCCTCGAAGTGACACAGCAGGACTTGCAGATGGATTTGTGGCACTGGAACTTTTCTTCCCAGGAACATAGGGCGACACCCACCTTCAGTCTGTTGGAAGGAAATCTGACCTGAAGAAATACAGGGTGTTGGACTATGTTACTTGTAAATTATTTAATTTGTGAATCTGAGCAGTGAAAGATGACAGATATAATGAAGAAGGCAAGTTTTCTAACCCACAGCCTGCCCCCTCTCCAGCACAGATCTCTTTTAAGGTTGTCTAGTGAGGTCCATTGTATGAGCTTCAGTCTCCCTGTGAGCACATGAATCTCTTGACTCAAATGCTTGTGTTTGAGTATTTTGGAGCATTTAATATTCATATGGTAGCAGCAAACATTTAGTATTCATTATGGTAGCTTTCAAGATTATATAAATTGTTGGTAGATGCCTTCTCAACACTGAAGTAGTTTAATGTGGCTCAGTGGGAGTCAGAGTCCTTAGCACTTTCGAGTTTTGTAGTTGAGTAGCAAGTACTTGTGAAACACCTACTGTGTAACAGGGATGTTATAAACAAACACTTTGCTCTTGAGCCTACCATCTAGTTGGGAAGATATATTATACATTTGTTGTATCCTGACTGAGCAGTGTACAACACAATTATAAATCTATGCTAGGAAGTTTGGAACAGAAAATGAGATATGAGCAGAGTTAGTCGAGGAAGCTTCCTAAAAATGATGACATTTGAACTGAGCCTTTAAGAGTGGGTAAGACTTTGAATGCAGAGTGTGTATGAGTCAGCGTTGACGCTGATATTTTGGGATGACAGAATGGCATGATGGAAACCCCATATTTAATTCTTTTTCAAAGAGTATTTTTCTCCATCTCAGGTGACAAGTTCAGGGGGGCGTGTCAAAGCAGTCTTTCTTAGTGATGCCAGATATTACACCGTAAGTTCCCCCGATTCCATAGTTGGTTCTTTTGCAACATGATTTTAGGCTGTGGTGTGAACGTAGCCTAGGAGATCCCTTTCTCAAGTCAGGTTTCAACTCCAAATGAAAACTAACTTTGTACTTTTGAGATAATTGTTCTAAGAAGGCAATGCTGCTGAAACACAGGCTAGAATAGAAAAGTTAACTTTGTGTGGCTCAGAGATGCAATTTTCTCTTCTTCCTTGGCAAAGATGATGCTGTGACTGGGGAGCCTTCTCAGAGTGACAGATCTGTGTGGGCTGAAGCTCCAGTTTGATCATGAGGGGGTGGGAGATGGAAATTTTTTTTTTCTCTATGATAGGTTCTGATGCAGACAACTATATGCTCTGGGAGTTATTGTTGGGGGCCTTGTATGATGTATACCTTGTTTCTCAGTGGAACATTATGTGGCAAACAGCTTCTGAAATGTGTTTTTGCAAGTGGGGCAGAGGGCACAATGTGATAAGCAGGAGAAATAATAATTTATTGAATAGAACTATTTTTTGCAGCTATGGCCTGTAGAAATGCTGTATCTGTTATCAAACTTAATTACCTCGCCCCGTGTTCTATTTTTCAAATGTTTTCCTAGATGCTAGGGTAGAATTGAGGTAAGATATTCTATCTTGCAATTTGGGTAATTGGAGAGGTATTGTTAAACAAAAATGGGAAAAGATAGTTTACCCTTAGCCAACTGTGAACTTGGCAACATATGTCTGTTAATTTCATACCTTCCTATTTGTTTTCCCTTTCTCCTCTTAATATTCTCCCGTGGGGAATCTAGAATCCCCCTCTGTTAAGTCTTTAATGTGACCTCAGTGGTGACTTACAGGGAGAGGGGAGTATGCGTGGGATGCAGTATGCAGGAATGGTGGTAGGACTGCCTCATATAAAGGGCTCTGCCTCAATAATGGTAGGAAGTAGTCCAAACATAAGATCCTGAAAGTATAGCAGATTCTTGTCCAGTATGGGCTGTTGTGTATGCCCAAGGATAGAAATTGATAGATGGAGTCAATCTGGGCTCCTCTTAGGGGCTCACATGTTTTACTGCTGAATAGACAAGGTGCACACATATTATGAAGAGCTAGAAAAAGAATTAAAGTGGAGATTAAGAAAAATAATCTCAAGGACTTGTTCAGGATGGATTCAGTGGGAGAGAAATTGGTATCTAGAGGGTAAAAAATTGAAGTAGCTAATATGTATTGAGAACTTACTATATGTCAAGCATTTTATATAAAGTTCTAATTTAATTCTCATAAGCCTATGAGGTAGGTAGTTTTACTACTCACACTTTACATATAGGTAAAGTGAGAATAAGTTGCCTACGGTCAGAGATCTGGTAAATGATTGAACCATGATCCATTGATTGATTGATTTTTATTGTGGTAAAAACATATAACATAAAATTGACCATCTTAACCAAATACACCCTGAACCAGGATTTATTTTATTATTTATTTATTTAACTCATTATTTTTTGATTCACGGGGTACATGTGCAGGTTTGTTACAAGGGTGTATTGCATGATGCTAAGGCTTACGCTTCCACTGATCTGTCACCCAGATAGTAAACATAGTACCCAATAGGAAGTTTTTCAGCTCTTTCCCCACTCCCTTCCTCCCTCCTTTTGGAGTCCCTAGTGTCTATTGTTCCTATCTTTATGTCCATGTGTACTTAATGTTTAGCTCCCACTTATAAATGAGAACATGAGATACTTGGTTTACTGTTTCTGTGTTGGGTTGCTTAGGATAATCCCTCCAGCTGCATCCATGTTACTGCAAAGGATATGATTTCATTCCTTTTTATGGCTGCATAGTATTCCATGGTGTACGTGTGTGTGTGTGTGTGTGTGCGCGCGCGCGCGCGCGCATGTGTGCGTGTGTTGTGTGTATCACATTTTCCTTATCTAATTCACCATTAATGGGCACTTAGGCTGATTCCATGTCTTTGCTTTTGGGAATAGTGTTGCAATAAACATATGCGTTCAGGTTTTGTTTTGGTAGAATGATTTATTTTCCTTTGGGTATATACCCAGTAATGGGATTGCTAGGTTGAATGTAGTTCTACTTTTAGTCTTTTGAGAAAATTCCAAACTGCTTTCCACTGTGGCTGAACTAATTTATATTCCCACCAATGGTGTATAATTGTTCCCTTTTCTCCACAGAGACACCAACTTCTGTTATTTTCTGACTTTTTAATAATAGCCATTCTGACTGCTGTGGCATGGTCTCTCATTGCAGTTCTGATTTTCATTTCTCTGATGATTAGTGATGTTGAGCATTTTTTCATATGCTTGCTGGCCTCTTGCATGTCTTCATTTGAGAAGTGTCTGTTCATGTCCTTTGACTACTTTTTAATGAGGTTCTTTTTCTCCTTTTTGACTTGTTAAGTTCCTTATAGATTCTGAACCAGGATTTATGTTTAATTGTATTTATAAAATAAAATTATTGAATTAGGAAAATAAATGTCAGATGGGAGATAGGACTAACTTTCAGCTCCCACTTGGATGAACAGAACAGCATGTGGAGACCGACATCGTAAACATTTGCTCCAAGAACTACCGCAGGAACATACTAGGAAAACTAAAAGAATTCACAGACCCTTTAAAAGAATTGACTTGCTGCTGCAAATTCCATGAGACAGCCAAAAAACTGAATGCCCAAAGTGTGAGAGAAGGAAAGTACACCTACGAACACCCATCCTCACTGGGGAACCTGAAAATCCACATCACAGGAGAAGGATTTAGCCTTACCTAGAGCTGAAATGAATCTAGAGAGATGAGTGAAATATAAAAGTAGAATAAGCAACAAGGAAAGCCCTGTAGGCACTCCTGGTCCCCAGGGATGCTCAGGGGAGCCATTTCTGACTTTATCTCACAGGGATCTTTGGGGAGGACTGCCAGTAGAACTGGGGAAGGACCACAGGGATAAGGAAACTTCTAGCTAGACTTTGTAATAATTTTGACTGAGCAGAAATTTTTCTGGGCAGAATGTAGTGGGGTCTAAGGGGGCAAATGGGAAGTGCAGATATTAGCACAGAAGCCACAGCAGGCAGGGAGGGGTGAGGCCAGAAAGCCCTGCTTGCTTTCTCAGTGGGGAGGCTTGTATCCTGGGCCAAGATCTCAGCCCTGCTCACTGGCTGCCTGGATATAAACTCTGTGCTTGTTGGTGGGGCACAGTGGGAGTGAGACTGGCCTTGCTGGCTGCATGGGAGGTGGGTGAGGCCTTTTACTACAAGCTTTCCCCCACTTCCATGGTGACCTGTATGATGCAGCAGAGGCAGCCATAATCCCCCTGGGAACATAACTTCATTGGCCTGAGAACCACACCCCCATCCCCCACAGTGGCTGCAGCAAGCCCCGCCCAAGGAGAGTCTGAGCTCAGACACACCTAACACTGTCCCCACCTGATAGTCTTTCTCTACATTTCCTGGTAGCCAAAGACAAATGACATAATCTATTGGGAGCTCTATGGCCCTGCCCATTGCCTGAAAAACCCTAATACTTATCCAGTTGGGTACAGTGTACACTGCTCAGGGGATAGGTGTGCCAAAATCTCAGAAATTTCCACGAAAGAACTTAATCCATGTAACCAAACACCACCTGTTCACACAAAAAAAACAACTATTGAAATACAAAATAAAATAATTATTCAGCAAAGGTGCCTTTCTTTTGGTGTACACTAGTATGAGTTTTAACACATGTACAGGTTCATGAAACTACCACCACAATGAGGATACAAAACAGTTTTATCTGCCTAGAAAACTCTGTCATGCTAGTCTTTTACTCTTACACCCTCTGTCAGTTATTCCATCACTATGTTTTGTCTTTCCCAGAAAGTTGTATACGTGGAATCATACAATATATAATCTTTCAAGATTGGTCCGTTTCACTCAGCAAAATTCTTTGGAGATTTATCCATATTGTTGCATGTCCATTCCTTTTCATTGCTGGGTAGTATTCCACTGTATGGATGTACCACTGTTCGTTTATCCATTCATCTGTTAATGGTCATTTGTATTGCTTTTGATTTTTGGCAATTATCAACAGAAACTCTATAAATATTAATGTGCAGATTTTTGTGTGAAAAACAATTTTCTTTTCTCTATGAAAAAATCTTAGGAGTTGGATTGCTGGTTCATATGGTAAGTGTATATTGAACTGTACAATAAATGGCCAATTCATTTTCCAGAGTACCTGTACCATTTTGCATTCTCATAAGTGATGTATGAGAACTGTAGTTTCTCTACATCCTGATTGACACTTGCTGTTGTCAGTATTTTTTATTTTAGTTAGTCTAATAGATACATAGTGGTATCTCATCATGGTTTCCATTTGAATTTCCCTAATGGCTAATAATGTTGGATGTCATTTTATTTTAATTAATTAAGCCATTTGCCATTCATCTTCAGTGAAGTATCTGGTCAAGTCTTTTGCAAATTTTTATATCAGATTGTTTTTCTTACTATTGAGCTTTGAGAGTTCTTTATACATTTTGTATATAAGTCTTTTGTCAGATATGTGATTTGCACTTTTTTTTTTTTTTTGAGACGGAGTCTTGCCCTGTCACCATGGCTGGAGTGCAGTGGCACGATCTGAGCTCACTACAAATTCCGCTTCCCAGGTTCACATCATTCTCCTGCCTCAGCCTCCCTGAGTAGCTGGTACTACAGGCGCCTGCCACCACTCCCGGCTATTTTTTTTTTTTTGTACTTTTAGTAGAGACAGGGTTTCACTGTGTTAGCCATGATGGTCTCGATCTCCTGACCTTGTGATCCGCCTGCCTCGGCCTCCCAAAGTGCTGGAATTACAGGTGTGAGCCACCACGCCCAGCCGTGATTTGCACTTTTTATCTTAGTTTGTAGCTTATCTTTTTATTATCTTAATAGTGTGTTTTGCCAAAGACTCTTCTATCAACTTTAAATTCAATAAAGTAGACTTTCTTTTATAGATTATATTTTTGGTATCATATCTAAGAATAATTTATAATAACACAAAACAGATATAAAATTACTTAGGAATAGTGTCCCTTGAATAATTTTAATAACTTTATTGAGGCATATTTTGCATATCATGTAATTTGCTCTTTTAAAGCATACAATTCAATGATATTTTAGAACCAAATTTACCAAGTTCTGCAACCATCATCATGAATCAGTTTTAGAACCTTTTTTATCACCCCAATATGATCACGTCTATATATATTTACTGTTATCTCCATTGACCCCTAAACCTGCTCTAGGAAACCACTAATCTACTTTCTCTGTAGTTTTTCTGGCACCATTTACCTTTATTAAAAAATCTTACATTGTGGGAAAAACATATAACATAAAATTTACTGTTTTAACCATTTCTAAGTATACAGTCCAGTAGTATTAATTATATTCACATTATTGTGTGACCAATTTCTAGAACTTTTTCATCTTGCAAAACTGAAACTCTATACCCTTTAAACAACAACTCCCCATTTCACCTTGTCTACCAGCTCTTGGCAACCAGCATTCTGCTTTCTGTTTCTATGAATTTGGCTTCTTTAGATACCTCTTATAAGTGGAATTATACAATATTTGTCTTTTTCTGACTGGTTTATTTTACTTAATGTAATGTTCTCAAGGTTCATCCATATTGCAGCATGTGTCAGAATTTCCTTCCTTTTTGAGGCTGAATAATATTCACCCTTAAAATAATATTGTATGAATATATCACATTTTGTTTATCCATTCATCTATCAATAGACACGTGGGTTGCTTCTACCTTTTAGCTATTGCAAATGATTCTGCTATGAACATAGGAGTACAAATATCTCTTTGAGACTCTGTCAGCATCATTATTTTGAAAAGACAATATTGTCCCCATTAAATGGAATCTTCACCTTTGTTAAAATCAATTTACCATATGCACATGAATCTAATTCTGGATTATCTGTTGTCTTTCATTGAGCTATATATTTATCTTTTTGCCAATACCAGTCAATCTTAATATTTTAGTGTTTTTTTCTTTTTTCTTTTTTCTTTTTTTTTGGAGAGAGTCTTGCTCTGTCCCCAGGCTGGAGTGCAGTGGTGCGATCTCGGCTCACTTCAAACTCTGCCTCCTGGGTTCATGCCGTTCTCCTGCCTCAGCCTCCTGAATAGCTGGGACTACAGGTGCCCACCACCAGGCCTGGCTAATTTTTTGTATTTTTAGTAGACACGGGGTTTCACTATGTTAACTAGGATGGTCTTGATCTCCTGACCTCGTGATCTTCCTGCCTCGGCCTCCAAGTGCTGGGATAACAGGCATGAGCCACTGCGCCCGGCTAATATTTTAGTTTTATAGCGTGTCTTAAATTTGGGTTCTATGAGTCTTCTAAATGTGTTTTTTCTCCAAAATATCTTTGGCTATTTTAGTCCTTTGCCTTTTCACATAATTTTAGAATCAGCTTGTCTATATTTACAAAAGACCTAGTGGGATTTCATTAAATTTATTTCTTAGGAGACATCTAAACACTCTTTCACCTAAAGACCTTTTGTGGAGTCTTTAAATCCAAGAAAATTTTATGTCTCTCCATTTATTTAGGTCTTCTTTGATTTGTTTTATCAAAATTTTGTGTTTCCAAGGCCTCATTGCACAGCAAAATTATCTGAAGTGTTTGTAAACTACAGATCTGAGGTATTACCTGGGAATATGTATTGTTAACAAACACTCCTGGTAATTCTGATGAAACAGATCCACAGAATGGTAGGCTGAGAGGAGTTTTACTTCTCTAGTTAGTGTCTCTGTATTAAAATCTACAGAGAATAGTTTTCTTTCAGCCTTAGCACCAGGAAAGGTTTATTTCTTCTGAATATCTAATATGCAGTTATAATATGGATAGTACAAGTATGTAAACTTGGCATGTTGACTTCTATTTTCTTTGTTGGCTTCTAGTTTTTATCTTTATATCGGAAGGGTAAGTATTTTTTGCCATACAAGATTATTATGGGACTCATATGATAAATATTGACTGAGCACTTACTGTGTGCCAGACACTTTTTATAGACATATAGGCATACCTCAGAGATGTTGAGGGTTAAGTTCCAGATCACCTTAATAAAGTGAATGTCACAATAAAGCAAGTCACACAAAGTTTTTGGTTTTCCGGTGCATATAAAAGTTATGTTTACACTGTACTGTAGTCCATTAAGTGTGTAATATCATTATATCTAAAAATGTGCATGTCTTAAAAACACTTTATTGCTAAAAATGCTAATGATTATCTGAGCCTTCAGCAAGTTGTAATCATTTTGCTGGCAGAGGGCCTTGCCTCATTGTTGACAGCTGCTGACTGATCAGTGTGGTGGTCGCTGAAGGTTGGGGTGGCTATGGTAATTTATTAAAATAAAACAAGAATGAAGTTTGCCACATTGACTCTTCAAAAAGTTTTCTCTGTAGATGCTGATTGATAACATTTTACTCATAGTAGAACTTTTCTTCAAAATTGAAGTCGGTCCTCTCAAACCTTGCTGCTGCTTTATCAATTAAATGTATGTAATATTCTAAATGTTTTGTTATTTCAGCAATGTTCACAACATCTTCATCAGGAGTACATTTCATCTCAAGAGACCATTTCTTTACTCATCCACAAAAAGCAACTTCTTATTCATTCAAGTTTTATCATGTGATTGCAGAAGTTCAGTCACATCTTCAGGCTTCACTTCTAATTCTGTTTCCCTTGCCATTTCCACCACATCTGTGGTTATTTTCCCCCATGAAATCTTGAACCCCTCAAAGTCATCCGTGGGGTGTTGGAATCAATTTCTTCCAGACTGTTAATCTTGGTATTTTGACCTCCTTCCATGAATCACAAATGTTCTTAATGGCATCTAGAGTGGTGAATCCTTCCCAGAAAGTTTTCAATTGACTTTGCCAAAATCCATCAGAGGAATCACTATCTATGGTAGCTACAGCCTAATGAAATGCGTTTCTTAAATAATAAGACTTGAAAATTGAAATTACTCCTTGGTCCATGGGCTGCAGAATAGCTATTGTGTTACCAGATGTGAAAACAACAATAATCTCCTTGTACATCTCCATCAGAGCTCTTGGGTGACTAAGTGCATGTCTCAATAAACAGTAATATTTTCAAAGGAATCTTTTTTCTTGAGCAGTAGGCATCAACAGTGGGCTTAACACATTCAGAAAACCATGCTGTAAACAGATGTACTGTCATCCCAGCTTTGTTGTTTCATTTACAGAGCACAGGCAGATTTAGTATAATTCTTAAGGGCCCTAGGATTTTCAGAATGGTAAATGAACTTTGGCATCAGCTTAAAGTCACCAGCTGCACTAGCCCGTAACAAGAGAGTCAGCCTGTCCTTTGAAGCTTTGAAGCCAGGCATTGACTTTTCCTTTTTAGCTATAAAAGTCCTAGATGGCATGTTCTTCCGATGAAAGGCTGTTTTGTCTATATTTAAAGTCTTCTGTTTAGTGTAGCCAATTTCAGCATTTACTTTAGCTAGATTTTCTGAATTACTTGCTGCACTTTTTATATCAGCACTTGCGGCTTCACCTTGCACTTTTGTATCACGAAGATGGCTTCTTTCCCAATCATCATGAAGCAACCTCTGCTAGCTTCCAACATTTCTTCTGCAGCTTCCTCACCTTTCTCAGCCTTCATAGAACTGAAGAGAGTTTGGGCCTTTCTCTAGATTTGGCTTTGGCTGAAGGGAATGTTGTGGCTGGTTAGTTTGTATCCAGACCACGCATACTTTCTCCATATGAACAATGAGGCTGTTTTGTGTTCCTATCATTTGTGTGTTCACTGGAGTAGCACTTTTAATTTTCTTCAAGAACCTTTCCTTTGCATTCACAACTTGACCAACTTTGGTACAAGAGGCCTAGCATTTGGCCTATGTCAGCTTTCCATTGATTTAAGTAAGAGATGTGCAGCCCTTTCACTTGAACACTTAGAGGCCATTGTAGACTTATTAATTGGCTTAATTTCAATATTGTTATGTCTCAGGGAACAGGGAGGGCCAAGGAAAGGGAGAGAAATGAGGGAATGGCCAGTTGGTGGAGCAGTCAAAATACACACGACATTTATCAATTAAGTTCACCATCTTATATAGACTTGATTCATTGCACCCCAAAACAATTACAACAGTAACAACAAAGATCATTGATCACAGCTCACCATAAAAGATATGAAAAGTTTGAAATATTGCGAGAATTACCAAAATATGACACAGAGATACCAAGTGAGCACACACTGTTGGAAAAATGGTGCCGATAGACTTGTTCTATGTGAGGTTGCCACAAACTTTCAATTTATTTTAAAAAACCCAACACAGTATTTGTGAAGCACAAAAAAATGAGGTATGCCTGTACATACCTCAAAATAACCCTGTGTAGTAGGTACTGTTTTTTGCCCACTTTATAAATGAGGAAACTAAGGCTCAGTGAGATTCTATAACTTATTTAAGATTGTACATTTAAGGCCGGGTGCGGTGGCTCAAGCCTGTAATTCCAGCACTTTGGGAGGCCAAGGCAGGCAGATTACAAGGTCAGGAGATCGAGACCATCCTGGCTCACACGGTGAAACCCTGTCTCTACTAAAAATACAAAAAATTAGCCAGGCGTGGTGGCCAGGCGCCTGTAGTCCCAGCTACTCGGGAGGCTGAGGCAGGAGAATGGCGTGAACCTGGGAGGTGGAGCTTGCAGTGAGCCGAGATCGAGCCACTGCACTCCAGCCTGGGCGACAGTGAGAGACTCAGTCTCAAAAAAAAAAAAAAAAAAAAAAAGATTGTACATCTAAACTGGGACGTAAATTTGATTTTTTGACTTTAGAGCCCAGGATTGTAACCATTATGTTATTCAGGACGGGCCATTATGTTGCAGGAACAAACAACTTTGAAACTTATTGCTTAAAATAACAAAGGTTTATTTCTTGTTCTTGCTACATATTTTTGGTTGCCTCAAGGTCTGATTCGTGTCATCATCACTCCAGGATCCAGGCTGACAGAGCAAATGCTATTACTAGCATTGCTGGTCACCTTGACCGAGGGGAAGAAGAGAGTTTGTGATATATTGCTCATTGGCTCTTAAAGCTTCCACCCATAAGTGACATATGTCATTTCCACTGAGGCATTGTAGGCCAAAGCCAGTCACATGGAGATACCTAACAAGTGTGTGTTGAGGGGTGGGACTCGGGGTCAGGCCTGGAATGCAATCTCACTATAATGCTGGGAGGGAGGAGAAATGTAGGTATTTGTGGAGCAGCACTAATGACTACCACAGCAGTTTTCAAATGTGCTTATTGACATAAAACTATTACCATGATTATTAATGTTATTCTTACATAAGAAGCAATGAGGTGGGTTTACATTTTTTGGCACGGTCTTTTTTATAAATCATATCATCAAGCCTACTTATGTGCTACAATTAAACAAAACAATAAATATATAAAACAAAGCAAATAAATGAGCAAGTTAGAATCTGAGCTGTTTTAATGGACAGATTTGAATGTGGCTTTCTTCTTATAGAAGGGTATGGTTTTTACCTTCTAGAAATATATTAAAAGAAAAAATGACACTAGAAGGAATTAAAGTTTAATAAATGGGGTTATATATACAAATTGGAAGAAATGCTGTAAACAGTTAAAGAGGTTTACTCTGATTTTGGGCCTGGCTGATTTGAGAGAAATTTCATGCATGTAATTGTCACAATGCCTAACATAGCCCTTTATAATTTTTAAACTGCTCCTACAGAATTACATGAACTAATAAATGTGAAAGAGCTTTCTGTAAACTGTAAATTCTTTGCAAATGTAATCATTATTATTGCATAATCTTATTTGGTCCTTACAATTAGCCTGTGAAGTAGATATAATGGTGTTGGTTGTTGTTGTTTTAATTGTTCCCATTTTATAGTTGAGGGAACTCAGGTGTATTAAACTACTCTCCATGGTCGTGTGGTTGGTAAATAGAAAACTCAGAGTAGAACTCCATCTTGTGACTCCTAGGTCAGCCCTTTATCCACTGCACAGTGCTGCCTCTCCAGCCAAATTTTTGGGTGTAACTTAAATACATAAGAGAAATTTAAAATGACCCAGTTGAAAGACTAAAGAGTGGCCGATCACGGTGGCTCATCCCTGTAATCCCAGGACTTAGGGAGGCCAAGGTGGGTGGATCACAAGGTCAGGAGTTCGAGACCAGCCTGGCCAATGTGGTGAAACTCTGTCTCTACTAAAAATACAAAAATTAGCTGGGTGTAGTGGCAGGTGCCTGTAATCTCAGCTACTCAGGAGGCTGAGGCAATAGAATTGCTTGAACCTGGGAGGCGGAGGTTGCAGTGAGCTGAGATCACCCCATTGCACTCTAGCCTGGGCGACAAGAGCAAAACTCCGTCTCAAAAAAAAAAAAAAAAGAAAAGAAAGAGTAAAGAATTCTCAGTTTTCCAAAACACAGCGGGCATTGTGCAGGCAAACAAGTCAAGCAGAACCTATTGCCTTCTGATAAGGAACTCCTGAAAGGACTGAATGTTCTAAAGCTTAACATTAATAGTAAGAAAATGATCTTTCCAAGGGGCCAATTAGAGGCTTGATAACCTGATATATTTTACAGAATGTCACAGCTCAAGGAGGCTGAAGAAAAGTAGTTATGCTGGCCTTGAGGAATTGCTCAAACTGAGTTAGTAGCATTGCTTCCGTTTTTATGAAAGAGAATGCCTTTCTAATTTTAGAGTTCTTCAAGAGGTGGCTGGGTTTTTGTGCCGAGGGAAACTTTTCTCAGTGCTCATCTCAAGAGATGCCTGTGAAATCATTTTATATCCTGTTTGGAAAAGGAAGACAATGTGGTAGAATTAAAAAAATGAGTTTGCATAGAAAGTTATCTTCCCCAGAAGAGATGGTAGAAATAGGGCTCTACAGCCATACTTATTACTTTTTTCCTGTTATAGAGCTATGTGTTATCAGTTCAATGCAGTTATTTGGATCCTTTAACTGTAATGTGTCTCCTGATGTTATGCAGTAAGAACTGTTTATTTAGCAGATCATTCAAGAAGGGACAGAGACTTTTTAACTCCTGGAGGGTGTTGGGTTTTTCCCAGCTTCTCAATAGCGCCACTGTAATTTATTTTGCAAATTCCAATTCTTAAAGCATTAAAAAGTAGCTCATAAGACAACCTTTTTATTTTCGAATCCATTGTTTCCTCTGGTAAAACAGTAAATATTCCAAATACAAAGACCCAGGGAAAAGAAGAGAGTTCCCATTAAGGACCTGAGGTCTCTTTACAGGCTGGCAATTACTGTGTGTAGCTTTGTTTAAGTAACTGAGGTTGGATTATGTCCTGAGAAGCCATTTTTCAAATTTCATTTTAACCAAAATTTTACATGTACTTTAAAAGTAGGAATTCCATCTAGAAAGAGAAAAACTTAGAGAAACCTAGGACACAAATCTGTAAAATTATCAAGTGGTCTGGTGGTTGCTAAGTCCTGGAAAACTAGGGGAAGATTAGACTAGAATTGAAGGTATTCTTTTCAGAACCAAATGCAGTGAGATTACTCTGAATGGAGAGTATATTTTTAAGACGTCCATTATCTACAGAGAGTGTGTAAATGTAAGGATAAAAAAAAAAGGATCCTAATGAGTATTTGGCATATATGGTCCCATTTAATCCTCACAAACTACTCTGGAAAGTACATATCTTATAAAGAAAATAATAAGTCACAGACAGAAGTTCAGTAATAGGCTTAAGGGTAATAAATAATAGAGCTAGAATTACAACCCAAATCTATGAGACTCTCAAAGCAGTGCTCATCTTATCATAGTAGGTTCAAGAAGACCTTAGGTAAACCCTTAGTAGACAGATATATAGAGAGAGTTATTAAGGAAAACCAAGAATATTAAAGCTCCCCTTAGTATTTGAGACTGATATCAAGGACAACTAGGCCTTTCTACCTTGGGCCTTGGAGACAGAACTTGAAGCCAAGTAGACTGCACAGCTGAGGTTGCAGTCATGCCAGGCTCCTGTGTAGGCCAGTTAGCAATAGGTGCCTTTCAGTTAGATCAGTTAGATCACATCCATAGCTCAATCAGCTAACGCCAGAGTGTCCTGGTGCAAAGCATTATGATTGTTGGGTAATATGTGACCTATAAGGATTTTTTCTGGTTACTTTGTTCACCTGGTGCTTGTTATTGGCATGCAAGATCCTGTCCTGTATAGGTGGATATATAGAAGAGATCTGTCTAGGATGGATTTTTCACTTGCTAGTATTGGACAAACTGCCTCTAGATCCAAAATAAGATTTATATTCATTAAGATCTGGCTTAAATGGAACTTTTTCACCTAATAAATATTTTTGTTATATGATATTTTCTAATTTTTTTGAACTGATGTCTTATCATTTTTACTCCCTCAAACTGGATCTTAATATGCATTTTTCACAAAATTTTTGAGGGCCCCGGCCAGGTTCAGTGCCTCACACTAGCACTTTGGAAGGCCGAGGAGAGTGGATCGCCTGAGGTCAGGAGTTCAAGACCAGCCTGGCCAACATGGCGAAACCCCGTCTCTATTAAAAGTACAAAAATTAGCTGGGCATGGTGGTGGGCGCTTGTAATCCCAGCTACTCAGGAGGCCGAGGCAGGAGAATTGCTTGGACCCGGAGGGTGGAGGTTGCAGTGAGCCAAGATCGTGCCACTTCACTCCATCCTGGGTGTAAGAGTGAAACTCCGTCTCGGAAAAAAAAAAATTTGAGGGCCCCTCATGTGTGCATATGCATATACACACAAATATATATATGCATGTATGTGCATATTATTTTGAAATCTCTATCTTTAGCTCCTATCTCTTTCCTGAGTATCATAACTCATCTCAAATGTCTCCTCAGCAGCTCAACTTGGATGTCCCACCTCAAACCTGGACTCATCTTTTTTCCACAATACCTCCTCTCTCTTATTTTTAGCATCTCTATGAAGGGTACCACCATCCACAGAACTGCTTACATCAGAAATGTGGGAGTTATTATTTACTGCTCTCTTTTATCTCCACAATAGATCTCTTACCAAGTTCTATTGATTCTACCTCTAATGGTATCCTGAGGGTGGAGTGGGTTGTGGAGAGTGAGGAGTGATTGTTAATAGGTGCAGGGTTTCTTTAGGAGATGATGAAATAATTCTGAAATTAGATCATGGTGATGATTGCAAATCCTTGTAAATTTTCTAAAAAAAAACACTTTAAAAAGCTGAATTTTGTGACATGTGAACTACGTCTCAAAAAGCTATTTAAAAATTACTATATTTCAATAACTCTGAGATTTTGTCTTAGACCTGTCAGCAGGATGTAACCTTTTTTTTAAATACTATGTTTTAAAAAAACTGGTGAAAGAACATACTCCTGCTTATTTGATCTCCTGTTAATATCTGGCTGAGGTGGCCTCTGTCCTTCCCACTTCATTGTGTTCTCTGGTTGCTGGGCTGACTCATTTAATCAAAATAAAATCTTGGCCCAGTCACGATCATTTTTCTATCTTCATCTTAATAATAATGATAATAAAAATATTTTATATTTATTGCAGGTTTGCCATGTGCCAAGTACATTTTTCAGTTAACCCTTACAAAAATCTAATGAGTCAGGTACTATTACTATCTCTTTTATCCAAATAAGGAAATTTGCTCATAAAGGTTAAGTGATTTCCTAAGATCAAGCAGATATAAATAAGTGATGGAGCCAATATTGAAACCGAGGTCTATCTGACGTCAATGTCCCCACATTCTCCTTCTTTCTTCCTCCTCCTTCCCCTAGGCCTCCTCTTCCCCTCTCTTCACATATATTAGCTTTTTCATAACACAAAGAAGAAAACAAATAAATAAAACACTCATAATTCACCTCCTAAATAACCCCTGTTAGCATAAAAAGGGCAATATATGTAGAAAGTTTGAAAGAAAGTTGAAAATCCAGATAGCGCAGAAAAGTACAAAGTGCAAAAGAGAAATTTTCTCTGTCCCCCCTCAAATATCTCTTCCCAACGTGTACCACTGTTAGGAGTTTCTAGTAGTTTCTTCCAACATCCATTTTTTCTTTTTTATTTCTAATTAGTATTCCATGGTATGGATATACCACAAGTTTGTTTAATCATTCATCCTCTGAAGGGCATCTGGCATGATTCAGTTTGTGGCCATTACAAATAAAGCTGCTATTAACATTTGTGTACAGATTCATAAGTTTTCATTTCTCTGGGAAAAATGCCCAGGAGTGCAATTGCTAGGTCATCTGGAAGTAGCACGGTTAGATTTTTTTTTTTTTTTGAAACAGAGTTTCGCTCTGTAGCCCAGGCTAGTGTGCAGTGGCGCAATCTCGGCTCACTGCAAGCTCCGCCTCCTGGGTTCACGCAGTTCTCCTGCCTCAGCCTCCCGAGTAGCTGGGACTACAGGCGCCCGCCACCGTGCCCAGCTAATTTTTTTGTATTTTTAGTAGAGATGGGGTTCCACCGTGTTAGCCAGGATGGTCTCCATCTCCTGACCTCGTGATCCACCCGCCTCGGCCTCCCAGAGTGCTGGGATTACAGGCGTGAGCCACTGTGCCTGGCCTAGCATGGTTAGATTTTTAAGGAACTGCCAAGCTTTTGCAGAATAGAGCTACCATATTGTGAGATTATTACCTCATTTTTTTTGAAAAGCACATGAATAGTATTTCAGTTTTCATAAAATTGAGTTTCTTCATATGTATACATTCTTTAACCATTTAATGTTCCCGCAAGCAATGTATGAGTCATCCAGTTTCTTCACATCCTCTCTAGCATTTGTTGTTGTCATTATTTTTCATTTTAGCTATTCTCAGAGGTGTATAGTGATATTTTGTGGTTTTGTTTTGGATGTCTCTGATAGCTAATGATGCTGAGCATATTTTCATGTGCTTATTTGCGATCCGTATATCCTTTTTGGGGAAATGTCATTTGTCTGTTTTCTAACTGGATTGTTTCCATTGATTGACTGATTGATTGATTGTTGGAGTCTCGCTCTGTCACCCAGGCTGGAGTGCAGCAGCACGATCTCGGCTCACTGCAACCTCCGCCTCCCGGGTTCAAGCTATTCTCCTGCCTCAGCCTCCCAAGTAGCTGTGATTACACGTGCCTGCCACCATGCCTGGCTAATTTTTTGTATTTTTAGTAGAGATGAGGTTTCACCATGGCTAGACTGGTTTCAAACTCCTGACCTCAAGTGATCCACCTGCCTTGGATTCCCAAAGTGAGCCACTGCGCCTGGCCTCCTTTTATATTTTTACTGTAGAGCTTTGAGAATTCTTTGTATATTCTAGATACTTCTACTCCATTATCAGATATGTCCAATTTCTCTAGCACCATTTGTTATGAAAGTTATCCTTCCTCTATTGGATTGCTTTTGTACTTTTTTCAAAAATCAGTTGGACATATTCTTGTGGGCAATATTTCTAGAATCTCTATTCCGTTCCACTGATTTATGTGTATAGCTTTCCACCAATATCACACTGACTTGATTACTGTAGTCATATAGTAAGGCTTAATATTTAATAGACACATTCTTCTCACTTTATCTTCAAAAGCATTTTAGTTATTCTAGTTTTTTGCCTTTTCATATAAATTTTAGAATAATTTTGTCAATATCACAAAAATGTCTTGCTGGAATTTTGATATAAATTGAGTTAAACCTTGCTATGGACAGAATTGTGTCCCTGCCAGATTTATAGGTTAAATCCTTAACCCACAATGTGTTTGGAGATGGGTCTTTAGGAGATAATTAAGGTTAAATTAGGTCATAAAGATGGGACCATGCTATGGTTTGGTTATGGTTTGTCTCCATCAAAACTTTTGTTGAAATTTGATCCCCAATGTGGTGGTGTTGGGAGGTGGGGTCTAGTGGGAGGTATTTCGGTCATGAGAGCCAATCCCTCATAAATGGCTTGGTGCTATTCTCATGAGAGTCCTCTTTCTGGCGAGATTATATTAGTACTCGCAGTAATGGAGATTAGTTCCCATGAGAGTAAGTTGTTAAAAAGCTAGAAACCCTTTGGATTTTGCCTCTTTGCATGTATCTGCTTCCCCTTTAACTTTCATAATGTCACGATGCAGCACAAAAGGTCTCAGCAGAAGCCAGGGCCATGCCTTTGAACTTCCCAGCCTTCAGACCCATGAGCTGAATAAACCTTTTTTCTTTATAAATTACCTAAACTTAGATGTTCTGTTATAACCACAGAAAACAGACGAGATAGGCCATAATCTGATAGGAATGTGGCCTTACAAAAAGAGGAATATCTGTTCCTCACTCTTTCTGTCTCTCTGCCAGGTATTACTAGATGGGGGTAGAAGCTCAAGTTTTTCACTCTGCTTCTATTGCCATTTGAGGTATGAGGCATGGAGCTATTTATTACTGTTGGATGAGAGTGGAAGTCCAGTCTCCTCCCATGGTTTCCACTGACACTGTCAGGGGGAGGGACAGGCTCATCACTATCCTTACTTGGCCTTCTCTGACCACCATAGTGGGGGTATTGGAGCGTTTTGTTGCAGCCTGTTGAAGATAGAAATCTAGACTCTCCACTTTGCCTTACTGGTGGGGGTGGGGGTAAGGCCACCGTTTTTTCTGTGGAGTTTGTCTAGAATAGGATAGATATTGTCTAAATTGTTTTCTGTCTTTCTAGGCTGCCCCCTTTTTGGTCCTTTGGTTAGAGACAGAAGGCCATTTTAGTCTGTGTTTGTTGATGTTTCCAGGTTGCTGGCTTATTCAGCTCCAACTCTGGGATATTGGAAGCAAAAAGACAAGCCAAGGAATCCACCACCTAGTTGCTCCTCGGGCCCTGATGTCCTTAGCAAGTTAGGCTTTTTCTTTCCTTCAGAGTCTTATTTTGTTTGTTTTATGTATAATACTCAAGAGTTTTAGTTGTACTTAGGAAGAAGAATAGCAAAAATTATGTCTGCTCCATCTTTCTGAAAGCTGATGTTGGTTTTAGAACTTTAATGATTTCGTCAGACACGGTGGCTCATGCCTGTAATCCCAGCACTTTGGGAGGCAGAGGCAGGCGGATTACTTGAGGTCAGGAGTTTAAGACCAGCCTGACCAACATGGTGAAACTCCGTCTCTACTAAAAATACAAAAATTATTTGGGCGTGGTGGCACATGCCTGTAATCCCAGCTACTCAGGAGGCTGAGGCAGGAGAATTGCTTGAACCCAGGATGCGGAGGTTGCAGTGAGCCGAGATTGCACCACTGCACTCCAGCCTGGGCAACAGAGCGATACTCTGTCTCAAAAAAAAAAAAAAAAAAAGAACTTTCATGATTTCAGTCTTTACATTTTAAATGTTTCATTTTATTTTTACTTAAAGAATGAGGTAGGGGTTTAGCCTTTCTTAAATTTCAGATGATCAGTCAGTTGATGCAAGCCCAATTATTGAATAATCCTTCTTTTCTTTGCCAACTTTAAATGCCACTTTTATCACAGAACTATTTCTATATTTGCATAGGCCTATTTTCATTCTGTCTATTCTCTTTTAGTGATCTTGGTTTTTTCTTTATTATCATATGGTTCTAATTAGTAAAGTTTAATAATAAGTTTTAATAGACAAGAGCTATACTCTTGACCATTTGACTGGTCTCCGCTTCATTCATTTGGAATCTCATTGGCAGTAGAAAGATGTCCTGTATGATTTTCACAAGTGACGATGCCACCATGTTTCTTCTCTGCCTATTGTGATTCTAGTGCTTGGCTGGATACTGGGATGTTAATTCTCTGGGGCAGGAAAGAGAATCTTGGAGGAAAGAGAGAATGCCTTCTGGCAAAGCCTCAATTCTTTCAGCCAAATAAGTTAGAAATGCTTGGTAGATGCTACTCTAGAGGGGATGGAAATTTGCAATTATTTTTCTAGCTTTGCAATCCAGCATGTTGCATCTCTGCCTTTTACCTTCACAACTTTCTGAGAGCATCAGTAATTCAATTTCACCCCTTGTTTCTAATGAGGAAAGTATAAAGACAACTGTATTTGACCTAGAAGTCCTGGGGAACAGGTTGTATGTGGAGAGTGCCACCATGGGGCACTCCTTGTACTTTAGGTTTTTTATTTTTTAGATGGAGTCATGCTCTGTGGCACAGGCTGCAGTGCAGTGGCGCAATCTTGGCTTGCTGCAACCTCCACCTCCTGGGCTCAAGTGATTCTCCTGCCTCAACCTCCCAAGTAGCTGGGATTACAGGCATGTGCCACCACGTCCAGCTAATTTTTGTATTTTTAGTAGAGACGCGGTTTCACCATGTTGCCCAGGCTGGTCTTGAGCTCTTGACCTCAAGTAATCGGCCTGCCTCGACCTCCCAAAGTGCTGGGACTAGAGGCGTGAGCCACCGTGCCCGGCCC
Source organism: Homo sapiens (assembly GCF_000001405.40). Lineage (NCBI taxonomy): Eukaryota > Metazoa > Chordata > Mammalia > Primates > Hominidae > Homo > Homo sapiens. Next base: position 121,126,128 of record NC_000023.11, read on the forward strand.
GGGGCATTCCTTTTAACATTTGCCCTAACATTTGCTTCCATGGCTGATCATCTGTTGGGCCATCTTGTACATTCCCTGTTCTAAGGGAGACTAAGTAAACTGGAAACTTTTTAGAGTATTTTTTATATATATATATATCTGGGGTGTAACACATTGATTTTTCTATCAGTGAAATGTAAACTGATCTGGGCTTCAGTCTTTGCAATCTCCAAGTTACCCCCTTTGCTGCAGCCAATATGATTTATCTCCCTTGTCTGTATTTCCAGCCCAGGCCTTTGCACTGAGCTAGTGACCCATATATACAGCTGCCTATGTAACATCTTCTTTTGGATGTTTCAAATACACTATCTTCAAAGTGATACAAATGATCCTCCCACCAAAACCTACTTTCCTTTTAGAATTTCTTTTCTTTTTCTATTATTTATTTATTTATTTGAGACAGATTCTAGCTCTGTCACCCAGGCTGGAGTGCAATGGCGTGATCTCGGCTCACTGCAACCTCTGCCTCCCGAGTTCAAGCAATTCTCCTGCCTCAGCCTCCTGATTAATCCCTGCCTCAGCTGGGATTACAGGTGCATGCCACCATGCCCGGCTAAGTTTTGTATTTTTAGTAGAGACAGGGTTTCACCATGTTGGTCAGGCTGGTCTCGAACTCCTGACCTCGTGATCCGCCCACCTTGGCCTCCCAAAATGCTGGGATTACAGGCATTAGCCACCGTGCCTGGCCTTCTTTTCTTTTTCTTAAAATAAATGACTACCCAGCTCTAGTAATGCACTAATCAGAGTCTCTCATTTCCTTGACCTCACAGCCTCCTAACTGGTTGTCTTGCTTCTACTTCTGTTCCTCTCCGCAGTATTCTCTACCTAGCAGCCAAAAGAGCTTACTAAAATACAAGTCTGATCACATCAAATTCCTGCTTAAAATCTTTTTAATGACTTCCCATTGCTATTAGAATGCCCTGAATAATTTGCCTACTTCTACCCTTCCCAATTTATTTTCTTTTCCCCCATGTCCTATTGAGTGACAGTGATGGATATTTTGCCTCCGAGATGTATTCTGAATGTATCTATTTATTTCCACCTTCAGTGCCACCAGTCCATTTCAAGCCACCATTTTTTTCTTTACTGTATGTTCATTTTGTGGTGACTAACTACCTAGATTTCCTGATTATACTCTTGTTTCCATTTATCTACCTCTACTTTGCAGTTACAATTATCTGTTAAACACAGATATGCTCATGTGACTGTTATTCTTTTACCCCCTCTTTCATATAAAGCATAGAATCTCATCTTTATAGTGTAGCACACAAGGCCCTCCATGATCTGGCTTCATCCCTGTATTTTCAGCCACACTACAGCATTAATTCATCCTGTACTGTAGCTTTAACAATAATTATGATAATAATAGTACCAAATACTACAAACAGTTACTTATTACTAACCCTCTTCAATACACTAACCCTGTAAATATATTACCTCCAATTCTTAAAACAGTCTTCCTACTTATTATATAACTGCTACTCTGGGCATTATTAATTGTAATGCTGACTATTTGTTTGAAACGAAAATATCATGTTAAGTGATTATCTTTCTGTTTCAAGTTTATTAAAATTTTATGAGGAATACAATGTGGAATTTGATGAAAACCTTTTTATATCTACTAAGATGATGTCTCTATCCATTCAGACTGCTATGACAGAATACCTTAGACTGGGAAATCTATAAAGAATATAAATTTATTTTACACAGATCTGGAGACTAGGAAGTCTAAGATCAAGGTGCTAGTAGATTCAGTGTCTGGTAAGGGCTTGTCTCTGCTTATCAGATGGCACCTTCTCACTGTGTTGTCACATGATGGAAGGAGCAAATGCTGTATCCTCACATAGCAGAAGGGCAAAACAGCTCCCTTGAACCTCTTTTATAAAGACATTAATCGCATTCATGAGGGCTTTGCCCTAATCACTTAATCACTGAATAAAGGCCACACCTCTTAATACTATCACATTGATGATTAAGTTTCAGCGTATGAATTTGCGGGGACACATTCAGACCATAGCAGATGGTCATATAGATATTTTTGTTACTTTATTGATGTGGGATATATTATGGCTGCAGATTGCTAATTAAAGGATGTGACATTTGAAGAATTACTCCTACTTGTTATCATGGTATTTTAATCTTTTAATATGCTGTTAGATTTGATTGAGTTTATTTAGCATTTTAAAATCTATATTCATAACCGAGATGGGTTAATTGAGATGAGTCAGTACCTTTTTGTGTATGTATGTGTGCACATGCAGATATGCATGTGTGATGTCTTTATCAGCTTTGTTATCAGAGTTGTACTACCCTCATAAAACTGGTAAGCCTACACAATATTCTCATAATTTTTTGTTTAGTATCTGTCCCTCCCAGTAGATTATAGCCTCTGTGAGGACAGAAAGCAAGTCTAGGGTAATCCTAGCACAATACTTGGCACATTAAAATTAATATGTAAATATTTGCTGAATGTTTAAATGAATCCTGGTTTTGTAGACGGGAAAGTGAGGCTCAGCACCTTAAAATTAATATGTAAATATTTACTGAATGTTTAAATGAATCCTGGTTTTGTAGACAGGAAAGTGAGGCTCAGAGTATTTAAGTAATGTGGTCAGGATCCTATAGTTAGTAAATGGTAAAGCCAGTCCTAAGATAACTATAAATAGAATAAATAGAATCTAATGGCCAAGAGTTGGGTAAGAAAGTAGGGTGCATGGATTGGAAATTTGAGGCTTTGTGGTTAGAATTTCAAAAATGCAAAATCAAATCTCAAAGTCATCTTCTTCTGTTTTGGTTCAGACTTATGGAGTCTATTCTGCCTTCAGAGTCTGTGCAAGCTTCCACTTTATCATATGGCCTCTCCAACTACCTACATCTTTTTACATATGCAGAGTGTATTGCATAATGTATTGTCCTGGGCACCAGGATGTCTGATCCTCCCATTCATACATATATTATGTGTTGTCACTCATATCCGTACATTTGCCCATGCTGCGCTCTATGCCTGAAATGCCATTTCTCATTTATGTAGCGCACTCTTACTAATCCTTCAAATTCTTCTTGCTCTGAGAAGCTTTGTCAGGCTCCCCCTTTCCCTGCAGAGTCAGTCAAGTGTTTTACTTTTGTGTATATTCAGCACTCTGTGATTATTCCATTCCAGCATTTATCATACTGTTATAACTGTGTGTGTTTAATGGTCTCCCTTCCTGATAGGTTGTGAGCTACCTGAGGTCAGGAACCATGTCTTTTCCCCCCTAGTGCCTGGAAGTGCTTGGCATATTTTAAGCACTTACTAATTGTTTCTTGAATATGTGAATCCACAGACAGTCAAATGAATGAACAACAAAATAAAATTGCTCTTTTCATACCAGAAAACAGCTATCTTTTGTGAAGGGAACAGGGCAAGAAAACATGCTCATGCCTTCCACTTTATGTGCGTGGCTGAGATCTCTCCACTGTCAACCATTTAGGAAACATTAGGGCTGGAACAGATGGCCTCGCTATGCTGTGAGGCATTCTAAAGGGTGGTCTGAACAATACAGCTTCCACTAGTGTGCCACAGTGCCTGGAATGCTGCCACCACAGCCATTCCTTTGGGGTAAATACTGTCTCCAGATGGCCACTCCTAAAATGTACATATATTATCTGAGAAGAGTAGCCCTGTAAATTATCACTCTTTCCTTTATCCACTTAGATTTTACTGGAAATGGGCTATAATATATAGAATGGGTGAATCTGGGTGGCAGTGGGGTAGGTCCAATGGATAGAATTTTCCTTGTCTGTAATTATTTATCTATCCATGAGATTAATATGTGTCTCCCCCACTATACTGTGAGCTCCATGAAGGCAGAGATAGGTCTTCTTTTTTACTCAGTACCCAGTGTAATACTATATATACTGACCTATATATAGTAGATGTTCAATAATGTTTGATGACTGACTGATACTACGGTCACATACCACTTTGACGTACTTATAGACCTTATATCATTGAACCTCATTTGTTTATTTACATTTTATCAGACCTTGCTTTTATGCAGCCTCACTCAAATTGAGGAACATTAAACCTATGGGTTTAGACTGCCCATCCCAGCATCAAATCTGACCAGTGCAGGCCGGGCATGGTGGCTCACGCCTGTAATCCCAGCACTTTGGGAGGCCGAGACAGGCAGATCACGAGGTCAGGAAACGGAGACCATCCTGGCTAACATGGTGAAACCCCTCTCTACTAAAAATACAAAAAAGAAAAAAAATTAGCTGGGCATGGTGGTGGGCGCCTGTAGTCCCAGCTACCCAGGAGGCTGAGGCAGGAGAATGGCGTGAACCCAGGAGGCGGAGCTTGCAGTGAGCCGAGATCACGCCACTGCACTCCAGCCTGGGCAACAGAGCGAGATTCCGTCTCAAAAAAAAAAAAAAATCTGACCAATGCAGGATCTATATTACCAAGTGGAACACTGACTTGTTTTACTTCCTGGTAATTAGTTATGTGTGTAGACCAAGTCCCAGAACCCCTGTGTGCTTAAGGAGCCACAGCATTTCTACTAATCCCTGATGTTCTGATCTTCAAATAACCCTGATTGGCTCTTTCCATAGTCCCATCCCTACCTTCATGGGATTGGATCATGCTTTCTGTACCCTCAGATTCTGGCTATGTCACTGTATTATAAGATTGGATTATAATTATAATTTTAGAGTGTGAGCTTCTGTCAGGTACTTTATTATATTCATTGATGTACTCCTGATGCCCAGTACAATTCTTGGCATAGAGTAGGTGTTCAATAAATGTCCACCAGATGAATGAATGATGAAACCCTTTCCAGAGAAGGTATGCCTTCTCTCTCTCTCTCTCTCTCTCTCTCTCTCTCTCTGTGTATAGATCTTGGACTGTAGTAGTAATAGCTATCATTTATTGTTTGCATATTCTGTGCCAAGTCCTTTGCTAAGCATTTTAAGAACTTTAAAAAAGTTGGCGTAAGGGTGGCTATGAAGCAGGTAGTATTATCTCCATTTTACAGATTCCTAAACTGAGGCTCAGAGACATTAAGCAACATGACTGAGGTCACAGGGTAAGTTGTGGAACAAACTCATATTGTTATGATTCCAAAGCCCCCATACTTTCCATTTTATCTTATGAGAGAGTACTGCATTGGTGACAGTGGGATGGCAATTTGGTGGGGGCACAGATGAGCTAGGGAGGAGGTAAGGGTAGTAAAGAGACTTTATTTCCTGACATATTTGCCAAGTACCAGCTCGGTTGCCCTTTGAGTCTGAAGCTGCTGCTACCCTCAGAAGAGTCAAGCTGTTCATCTCTGAGATGTATGTGGCTCAGTAAGCACTGAGAGCAGACAGGACAGAGGAGGTGGATAGGTGTTGATCGGCTATGTTGGGAGGTGGCTCTGTTGTTTACCACCTGCTCTGTGCAGGCTAGTCAAGGTGCTGGGAATTTGTGTTTACATAGGATTTTAAGTTGAGGAAAAAATTACTATTATTAGTTCTGGGGTACATATGCAGGATATGCAGGTTTGTTGCATAGGTAAATGTGTGCCATAGTGGTTTACTACACCTATCAACCCATCACCTAGGTATTAAGCCCAGCATGCATTAGCCACCCTTTCTAGTACTCTCCCTCCCCCAACCCTACCCCCCAACAGGCCCCAGTGCATGTTGTTCACCTCCCCATGTCCATGTGATCCCATCGTTCAGCTCCCACTTGAAGTGAGAACATGCAGTGTTTGGTTTTTTGTTCCTGCTTTAGTTTGCTGAGGGTAAAGGCTTCCAGCTTCATCCATGTCCCTTGAAAGGACATGATCTCATTCCGTTTTATGGCTGCATAATATTCCATGGTGTATATGTACCACATTTTCTTTATCCAGTCTATCATTGATGGACATTTGGGTTGATTCCATTTCTTTGCTACTGTGACTAGTGCCGCAATAAACATACATGTGTATGTATCTTTGTAACAGAATGATTTATATTCCTTTGGGTATATACCCAGTAATGGAACTGCTGAGTTAAATCCTATTTCTGGTTCTAGCTCTTTGAGGAATCACCACACCATCTTCCGCAATTGAGGAAAAGATTTTTAATTAATTTGGGATTATCTGCTTGATTCCCCAAGAGAAAAACTCAAATGAATCTATCTAGAAAATTTAATCCCCCCCATGTCATTCCTTCACTGGCTCTGTCTCTCAGCAATACATCTGATGAAATCCTTTTGGGGTAATTTATTATACTTGGGAATAACTGGTGGCAGGGGGCTGGAATTTGAATGGAAAGGAAGCCAAAATATGAAAATAATTGTGTAAAAAATTTTTAAAAAAATATCTGAAACTCAAAGGAAATACTGTATTATGGGGAAACCAACTCACACACTTAGCTTTTGCCAGGTTGGCTGGTTTGGAGGCGGTGGACATATGGGGTTAGCTGGAATATTATAAATAATCTAGCCTCTTGCTTTTTACCCAGGATGCTAGGGGCTTCATCTAGCTGAAATACATTCTAAGGAAAAATTGGACCAGCCTACCGTGGGTGGAAATTGCAGGCACTGCTTTTGTTAACAGTGGAGGGTATCCAGGTTCTTGGCATCTGGAACAAAGAATTGGACAAAACGCATAAACAAAGCAAGGAAAGAATGAAGCGATTTATTGAAAATGAAAGTACACTCCACAGTGTGGGACTGGGCTCGAGCATAGAGGCTCAAGGGCCCCGTTACAGAATTTTTCAGAGCTTAAATACCCCCTAGAGGATTCCATTGGTTACTTTGGGTATGCCCTATGTAAGTGGAGAGGATGAAGTAAAGTTACAAAGTCATTTACTTGGCCTATGCCCTATGGAGAGGATATTTCCTGTCATAGCTGAAGTTTGAATCGGCCTTATGTTCCTGTCTCCAGACCCTATTTTCCTGCCTCATCTTCCCTCTGAGATGAGAGATGTGATGCCCATAAATCTTTATGGGAGGCAGAGTGACCAATGGTCTTTTTTCTGTAAGTGTTTCTTGCTGGCTTGAGGTGTAGTCCCTACCTATTGAGGATCATGGAACTCTCACCCTGCTCTATCTAGTGGAGGCAGAATAGCTTCTTGATGACCAGGGGTGGTGTCTTCACCTGGAACTAACTGTAACCTTTGTTGCATGATTATCTGAAGCTTGATGATCTCTAGCCGAGAGGTAAATAATTAGGTTAAAAGATTTAATGGGAACTTCAAGGGGTGGATAGCTATGCTGTCAGAAATGTTTGTTATAGAGATTTGCAGGAGAAAAAACAAAACCTGGTCTGTTCTAGAATCTTATGTGTTTCCTTAAAGTCTTAACACAAACGACCCCATTTTGGTTTGCTTTGGTCTGCTGGGGCCTAGTGCATGAGCTCAGTCCAAAACAATGGCCTCCCAGAATTTTGTTTCAAAAATTCCCCCTTTTTGGTCAAGTTCTCACTTAGGCAAGAGTGTGACCAAAACTTGGGGCCTTAGCGCCACTCTCAGTTACCATCATTTTGGGTTTCCAGTCTCAGCACATCATTTATAGGTTACAGTGTCCTCATGGTTGCACATTTCTTTCAGCTTTTGTTATTCCAGTTGATGAGAGATCATTTGACGTTCTAGAGATGGCTGCATGCAAGCATTTAAAGCCTTTGAGAGAATATAGCACACCAGGGAGACTATTATTATGACTATTGGGTGGATAATACCAGAAGTTTGGAGTATGCTCCTTATGCAGGGTCACCATAAACCAAACCACCTAGAATTAAATAGATTAAAGAATGAGCTAGATGAAGAGTCTACTCGCTTAACTAAGCAATTTTTTTTTTGTCAATACCCTACCATTGAATTTCTATAATCTTCATTTAATGTATTTCCCCATAGGCCACAAGTGCCAGCAGCTGCACAGGTACTTTTCTGTTTAGCCGGTTCCATTATTTAGCAAAACTTTCAAAAGAGAATTTAAAGTCTGTTGTGTAATGATAGCCTTTCATGTAGAATTTGCTATGGAGCCCATCATGAGGGATGCATTTCTTATCATTGCTTCTTTTACTTTAAACCATGGAAAAAGGACCTAATAAATTAGGCCCTTTTGGAAGAGTGAAGGCCTCCTGGCTCTGTTCTCTTCAACCCATGATGTGGGTTAAGAGGAGTGATCCAATGTGTTGTTCTTGACCGATTACGAGGCAACATACATACCGTTTAAGTTTCTTACCTACATTGGGCCTTCATCTTTTATCTATCAAAGTATAAGTTCATCCATGTATAAGGCTGGCTGCAAACTCCTTCACAAATAAAAGTGTACCCCATTAGTGCACATAACAGACCCCTTTTCCACTTCTATTGTTCATAGAGGCATAAGCAAGGAAAATTCTTCAAAGATGAGAGTTTCATGGTAGTAGAAATCTTAATCTGTGAACTTGGGAAAAGATATTCACATCAAGGATGCCATCTTCTTCTTTGGAGAAATTTCCTTGGTTAGTTTAACCTTAAGGGTTCCAATGGGTGTACAGTTTGAAGAGTGTAGAGGGACCCTTCTCAGTTGTGAGACCATGAACCTAAAGCCCAAATCCCCGAGTTTTATTGTGGTCTGGATGACAAGGACAGTCTTTCTCTGATGTTTCCAGAAGATTCAAACCATAAAAAGTTTTCTTTACCTGGTGAAAATACACTGTAGCATAATAATCCACTGTTATAACATCGGCCCTCTTGCATGGGAAAGCTTTTATACAACCAGAAAACATGCATTAAAAATAACAATGGAATGAAATCCCTTTATACAATGTTTAAATGGCTGACCAGGTGATCCAATGTACCTGAAGCTTTAATTGTTTTTCCAGGAATATGGGACCAAGTATTGGTTATAAATTATTTTAAACAATTTTAGTATCAGCCGGTTTAATATGAAAATCTGACAAAGTATTTTCTTGGTATTTAATTTTTGTTCTACTTGGGTTAGTAGATTTATACAAGGAAATTTGGTTATTTCTGTGGTTTACAATAACAACATAATAATCATAATTACAATTGATAGCACAGACTATTTTAGAAGTCCCATACAATTTTGGATCATATATTAATATATTCACAAAAATATAACCTAAAGAAGATTGAACATCATTTTGGCAATCCCATGTACCTAAACATGTCACATAATCCTGTTTACCTCCTTTCTGGATGCTTCCAAGGGCCCTTTGATCCATCCAGAAAGCCAGGCATTAGGAAAGACAATTTTGAAACTGAAGTGTGATTTTGGAATTCAGTATTACCATAAATTATTTATTTTGCCAAAATGATGTTTCAGAAATTTTAAAGAAGCAAAAACCTTTTATAACCTTTTGCCAAAAAACCCACATTCTACTGCTTTTATACACCTTGCATGTAAAACTGTTTCTAGTAGTCTTAATTGCATGTTACAATGGTGACTCTTAGCAATTTTAACTTTAATGTAAAACCTGGTAAGTTATGTTCTGATAAGGTTTGGCTATTTCCAGCATAGCTAGGGGCGTGGCCAACTCCACATGTCCTCAGGACTTACCTAGCTGGAAAGCAGGCAGGTTAAACAATTTTCAAAAGCCAAAGAAGCAGTGTAGCAAACCTAATACTTGAACATAATTTAGACCACATATTTACATTTTGAAGACATTGTAGTTTACCAATAATCTTTAAAACCATCTTAATTTCCCAAAGATTGCTAAAGTCACGTGAACTAAAAGGCATTACACTTTCCACTTTTCTGACACAATATTTGATTTAAGCTCCTATTATTATTAAGCTAATTAATTTAAAACTTTACACAGGAGTTAAACAGTGACTTTTACTTTATATTTAACCAGTTTGCACAGAGTTAAAGAGGTCAGAGACTGACTGGTAAGAAATTCTTACCCTTTTGCCTGTGTGCCAGGTTTCTAGATTCTCTCTCCCTGAGCGGTCCTAGTGACCCTGCTTGCCTGTATGCAAACAAACACATTGCCTTGAATTAAGAATATTCACGGGTCTGGGCGCAGCGGCTCATACCTGTAATCCCAGCACTCTGGGAGGCCGAGGCAGGCAGATCACGAGGTCAGGAGATTGAGACCAGCCTAGCTAACACAGTGAAACCCTGTCTCTACTAAAAATACAAAAAATTTGCTGGCGTTGTGGCGGGTGCCTGTAGTCCCAGCTACTCAGGAGGCTGAGGCAGGAGAATGGCCTGAACCCAGGAGGCGGAGCTGGCAGTGAGCCGAGATTGCGCCACTGCACTCCAGCCTGGGCGACAGTGCGAGACTCTGTCTCAAAAAAAAAAAAAATTCACAAACAGTTTATAAAGTTTAGAGAAATTAGGCAGAGAAAGAGAAATATGACTAAAATTCTATTTATGAGAATATATTCAACATTCTTAAAGTATCAGGAAGCCTAAAATTCAACAAGTTAATTTATAAGGATAGAAAGCTGGCGTGCTCTGTTAATTCTTGTGGCTCAATAAAGGTAGCTTAGGAATTCCAAATAAATGGAACAAATGATGACTTGCTGGAAATGCATAGGAAACAAAGTAACTATTCACAGAACCAAATAAAAGCCTTCCACAGGAACTAAAAAAATCATAGTTTTATGTATATGGACACACAAGCAAAGCCAGAAGAGAATAAACAGCAAATGAATGAAAACTAGAAGCAAAAACAAATACACAGGAAACCAACCCTAAATTTTTATCCTCAATTTACCCTGGAGGCTACAGTGTTACCTAGGTCCCCCCAAAAAAACTCACTGTATTAGTCCGTTTTCATACTGCTGATAAAGACATATCTGAGATTGGGAAGAAAAAGAGGTTTAATTGGACTGTGGTTCCACATGGCTGGGGAGGCCTCAGAATCATGGCAGGAGGCTAAAGTTACTTCTTACATGGTGGCGGCAAGAGAAAATGAGGAAGATGCAAAAGCAGAAACCCCTGCAAAAACCATCAGATCTTGGGAGATTTATTCACTACCACAAGAACAGTATGGGGGAAACTGCCCCCATGATTCAAATTATCTCCCACCTGGTCCCTCCCACAACACATAGGAATTATGGGAGTACAATTCAAGATGAGATTTGAGTGGGAACACAGAGCCAAACCATCATTCTGTCCCTGGCCCCTCCAAATCTCACGTCCTCACATTTCAAAACCAGTTATGCCTTCCCAACAGTCTCCCAAAGTCTTAACTCATTTCAGCATTAACTCAAAAGTCCACAGTCCAAAGTCTTATATGAGACAAGTCCCTTCCACCTATAAGCCTGTAAAATCAAAAGCAAGTTAGTTACTTCCAAGATACAATGGGAGTAAAGGCATTGGGTAAATACAGCCATTCCAAAGGACAGAAATTGGCTAAAACAAAGGGGCTACTGGCCCCATGCAAGTCCAAAATCCAGCAGGGCAGTCATATCTTAATGCTCCAAAATAATCTTCTTAGACACCATGTCTCACATCTGGGTCATGCTGAGGCAACAAGAGGTGGGTTCCCATCGTCTTGGGCAGATCCACCCCTGTGGCTTTGCAGGGTACAGCCTCCCTCCTGGCTGTTTCCCCAGCTGGCATTGAGAGTCTGCAGCTTTTCCAGGGACGTGGTGCAAGCTGTCAGTGGATCTAATATTCCCGGGTTTGGAGGACGGTAGCACTCTTCTCACAGCTTCACTAGGCGGTGCCTCAGTAGGGACTCTGTCTGGAAGCTTCGACCCCACATTTCCCTTCTGCACTGCCCTAGTAGAGGTTCTCCATGAGTGCCCTGCCCTTGCAGAAAACTTCTGCCTGTGCATCCAGGCATTTCCATACATCTTCTGAAATCTAGGCAGAGGTTTCTAAACCTCAGTTCTTGATGTCTGTGCATCACAGGCTCAACACCACATGGAAGTTGTCAAGGCTTGGGGCTTGCACCCTCTGAAGCCATGGCCTGAGCTCTATGTTGTCCCCTTGCAGCCATGGCTGGAGCAGCTAGGATGCAGGGCACCAAGTCCCTAGGCTACACACAGTACCGTGACCCTGGGCCTAGCCCACGAAACCATTTCCTCCTAGGCCTCCAGGCCTGTGATGGGAGGGGCTGCCATGAGGACCTCTGACATGCTCTGGAGACATTTTCCCCATTGTCTTGGGGATTAATATTCGGCACCTCATTACTTATGCAAATTTCTGCAGCTGGCTTGAATTTCTCCTCAGGAAATGGGTTTTTCTGTTCTAATGTATCATCAGGCTGCAAAATTTCCAAACTTTGATGCTCTGTTTCCCTTTTCAAGCTAAATAATTTTAGCAGCACCCAAGTCACCTCTTCAATGCTTTGCTGCTTAGAAATTTCTTCCACCAGATACCCTAAATCATCTCTCTCAAGTTCAAAGTTCCACAAATCTCTAGGGCAGGGGCAAAATGCCACCAGTCTCATTGTTAAAACATAACAAGAGTCACCTTTGCTCCAGTTCCCAACAAGTTCCTTATCTCCATCTGAGACCACCTCAGCCTGGACCTTATGGTCCATATCACTACCAGGCTTTGGTCAAAGCCATTCAACAAGTCTCTAGGAAGTTCCAAAGTTTCCCACATTTTTCTGTCTTCTTCTGAGCCCTCCAAACTGTTCCAACCTCTGATTATTACCCAGTTCCAAAGTCGCTTCCACATTTTTGGGTATCTTTTCAGCAATGCCCCACTCTGTTGGTACCAATTTACTGTATTAGTCCATTTTCACACTGCCGATAAAGACATGCCTGGCTGGGCATCGTGGCTCATGCCTGTAATCCCAGCACTCTGGGAGGCTGAGGCAGGTGGATCACTTGAGGTCAGGAGTTTGAGACCAGCCTGGCCAACATGGCTAAACCCTGTCTCTACAAAAAATACAAAAATTACCCAGGCACGGTGGCATACACCTGTAGTCCTAGCTACTTGGGAGGCTGTGGCAGGAGAATCGCTTGAACCCGGGAGGTGGAGGTTGCAGTGAGCCGAGATCATGCCACTGCACTCCAGCCTGGGTGACAGAGCGAGACTCCATCTCAAAAACAAACAAAAGACATACCCGATAATGTGAAGAAAAAGAAGTTTAATTGGACTTATGGTTCCCCATAGCTGGGGAGGCACTGCAAATCATGGCAGGAGGCAAAAGTCACTTCTTACATGGCGGCAGCGAGAGAAAATGAGGAAGATACAAAAGTAAAAACCCCTGATAAAACCATTAGATCTTGTGAGACTTATTCACTACCACAAGAATAGTATGGGGGAAATTGCCCCCATGATTCAAATTATCTCTCACTGGATCCCTCTCAAAACACATGGGGATTATGGGAGTAAAATTCAAGATGAGATTTGGGTGGGGACACAGAGCCAAACCATATCACCCACACAATGAATATTTTATTCCTGATATACAATTTGATATCCTAAATTCACCAATATTATTATACATTCTGTGCAATCAAGAAATTCACTTTAGGCATATGACCAATAAGTACTCCAGCACTATCCACGCAAAATGATAAACATAGTGTGAAGCAATGTAAGTATGTAGGTGAAATTTGGCTCCACACTAAATCCAGCTTTATGCTTAACTATATTAAAGAATGTCCAAACTGCTGATGCATTTATTTACAATACTTCTTGTTTTACTTTAATCAAGACTAACAGCTTTAACTATGACATTCTTTTTTTTTTTTGAGATGGAGTCTTGCTCTGTTGCCCAGGCTGTAGTGCAGTGGTGTGATCTTGGCTCTCTGCAACCTCTGCCTCCTGGGTTCAAGTGATGCTCCTGCCTCAGCCTCCCGAGTATCTGGGACTATAGGCATGTGCCACCACGCGTGGCTATTTTTTAATTTTTATTTATTTTTATTTTTTGTAGAGATGGGGTTTCACCATGTTGGTCAGGCTGTTCTCGAACTCCTGACCTCAAATGATCTGCCTGCCTTGGCCTCCCAAAGTGCTGGGATTACAGGTGTGAGCCACTGCACATGACCAACTGTGAAAATGTTAATTAGCCAAATGTCTCCAATTCTCTACCAGGTTTTAAAGAATATTTTATTATTTAGACTTTTCCATATCTTTCTCACCTATTTAATGATTCCTTATGACATTGTTTAATAAATAACCTTTTCAAATCTGTAATTTGATCTAACTTTTAGATAACTTCTGAATTAGACAAAATTAATCTTTTTTCCACTAATAACATAACCCTTTCTGGCATATTTTATACAGAATTATGTGTTAACTAGAATTTTATCTGTAGTAACCTAAAACTTTAGTGAAACCCTAAAAAGCAAGAAATCCTGAACTATTAGATATGGCCATTTATAGATAAAAACTCTACAGTTTTAGAAACATACTTCCCCATATTACAACCCTTTCTTAATTGAAAATCACCCAGATATTAAATGAGCATCAAAAATAACTTTAAGATTTTAAATTACACAAAAAGTTTACCTAAAACAATTATCCTATTCACTGTACTTAATTTTTTACTTTTAACAAGGGAGACATGAGACATCAATAAACATATATAAAATGAACATTGATTTGGTCTGGAAAGGCAGGACAACTTGAAGCAGGGAGGGAGGCTGGGGCTTCCAGGTCACATGTTGGTGTGAGAGGAATGGTTGCATTCTTTTAAGTTTCTGATTAGGCTTTCCAAAGGATGCAATCCGACATGCATTTATCTCAGTGAGACTTTGAATAGAATGAGAGGCAGGCTCACCCCAAGCAGCTCCCAGCTTGAATTAACACTGACATTTTAAGATATTTAGCAAAGACAAACATACAATTCAGACAAAATGTATGCTGACAATTCTGAAGGCATTTCTACTTTTATTCCACCAATAATTTTAAAGCTAGCTTGTTTAGTAAAGTTATACTTTAAGTCATGTGAACTTGAAAATTGCTTAGACTTATTTACTTAATTTATGAGGCTCTTTTACTTGTAAGCCAACTATAGTAGACACAACCTATAACAATAAGTGTACATACAAATAAATACATCTAGACCTGTATACACACAAGTAAATGAAGATCCGGTAGCTTGGAACCTTAGCCATGAGATAGCAATATAAGCTTGCCAGTTTTACTTTGCCCCAATAGATAATCCAATGAAGCCTGTGAACCAAAATTTTGGATAATGCGTTCTCCATGGGGGTTTGATATACAAAGGCAAAACCTCCCCAGACTCCAAAGAGCAGTGGGGCCAAACTGTACAAAAGGAGGGTGTTAACACACTAACCAGGCCTCCTGCTTAGAACCACAGCACAAAAGCCTGGATACAGGCAATGCCATTTCACTTTCCCATTCAACAGTAAATTCCAGATTTCAAACAATGTTGGGGCCAATCAGCATTGCAGCTATGAGAGAAAATTCTAAGGGGGAGGCTTAGTACTAGACCTCAGAACCTCTGCCAGGAGCATCCCTTTTGGGCAGGTCGAGGTTTGCAGAACACCTGGAGCATCCTCCTGTGGGGTCTAATTTTAGAGTGTCAGATGTCTCTGACATTAGGTGGGCACCAGCACCACATACAGGTTTTTCCCTCCAGAGCATACTATGAACTTGATAAGAATACCCATGAACTGTAATGAGAACTGGATGCTGGGTGTGCCTTTTTGTTCCTTAGCCAGTTGAGTATAATAAGGGAAGAATTTACCATAGGAAAAGAAGGTTTAAGTCCCCTGAAACACGTGCAAATTTGCTTCGAGCTGTGCCACACATAGGGACCAGGGACCACGTGAGGAAGAGATTAAAAAAAACAAAGTCCTTCCCCCTTCGGGGCAGGGCAATTATAAACAGCTACTGAAAGACTGAAATAGAATGAAAGGACTCTGGAGGCTGAGACAGGGGAATCACTTGAACCCAGGAGGCGGAGGTTGCAGTGAGCTGAGAATGCACCATTGCACTCCAGCCTGCGTGACAGAGCAAGATTCTGTCCCAAAATAATAATAATAATAATAATGAAAGAAAAAAAAGAAAGAAAAAGCCCCAGGTCCCTTAAGCAAAACGGGTGGTGGCAGTCAGGCTTCTCCATATGGAAACCCCTTAGTTTCACTGGCCACGGCCAGAAACCTGCAGTTGTCTCCATGTTTAGGTGCTGCCCACCAAAAGTCCCAAGTTGGAAAGGAAAAGAGAGAGAGAAAGCCCCTGTATGGAACAGAAAGGAAAGGGAGAAAAATGAATCCCAAACTTTGGGCTTACCTCTTCCTCCTGGCTGGGTCACCGAAATATGTTAATGGTGGAAGGTGTCCAGGTTCTTGGCATTTTGAACAAACAATTGGACAAAATGTACAAGCAAAGCAAGGAAAGAATGAAGGAATTGATTGAAAATGAAAGTACACTCCACAGTGTGGGAGCAGGCCCAAGCACAGGGGCTCAAGGGCCCCATTACAGAATTTTAGGGAGTTTAAATACCCTCTAGAGAATTCCATTGGTTACTTGGGGGTACACCCTATGTAAATGGAGAGGATGAAGTAAAGTTACAAACTCATTTACTTGGCCTACGCCCTATGGAGAGGGTATTTCCTGTCATAGCTGAAGTATGAATTGGCCTTATGTTCCCTGCCTCCAGACTCTGTTTTCCTGCCTCACTTTAGAGCAGTGGAAAGCCAGTGACCTCAGGTCTAAGGAGAAGTACTTGGGGCAATTAGTTTACTGACCAGGACTAGTGGTAAGCCTGTCAGGTCTTGAATGCACTTTCCAAAACCAGTGGGCATTTGCCTTGTTCAAAGGAGCTGCCAAGAAAGGGAAACAATTGAAATTATAGGGGAGCTTCCATGTGGTATTTCAAAGTTTTGACTTCCTAAGAGGGAAGTTGTTACTTGGTAACAATTAGCTATTGGTATTCTCTGTGTGCATCAAAAGATGCCTCACTGCACCCAACATATTTCTTGTCATCAAATCAGACTGGTCCATGCTCAACCTATTCATTCTTTGTGTCTTTTTTTTATGTTGTACCCTTTGCCTGGATTACTTGCCCTATTTTTTTATGTGTATGTAAATCTTCATCTCTCTCCAATTCCTTCTTTTCCTTTTCTTGCCCCTCCACCTTCTCTTCTCTTTCCCCTTTCTCCGTCTACCCTTCTTCTGCTCTGAATAAACACAAAAAAAACAGTGATAATAAAACAATAGATTACATTTAATGTTTACTTAAAGAATTGCTACAAAATCTGTATACATGCTAAATAGAAGTTACCTGAAGATCTCTCTTTTGAGAAAATTTTTTCTTTTACAATCTCGTGCATAAGGAATCTATCAACAGTTGAAGATCCAAAAATAGCTCTCAGATACTGCTTAAATGATTTCCAACCACTAACAAGAAGAAATATCCAAGGAGAATAAAGAAAGAGTAAAATTTATCTAATGGAGGAGAACATATGGATAACACTTAACTAGCACGCACAGGGACTTGTGGCTATCCTATAAAATGTGACAGGCACTGTGCTAAGTTCTTTAACTTTCATTATCTTGATTAATCCTCATAAAAACCCAAAGGGGAAGATATTATTGTTATCTTTATTTTAAAACAGATGTAGACACTGGATTTCAGAAAGGTTAAGTAACTTGCTCAAATTCAGGTAGCTAAGAAATAGTGGGGTTGTAATGTTAACTCATGTTAGTTTTATTCCAACGCATCCAGCTCGTAAAAACCTCCTTGAGAACTCTAACTCAGTAAGTTGGTTTATAATCTGAACTCATATAACACAGTCTGTACTACCCAATTTAAAACTCGAGTATACACTATCACAAATTATCTTTTAATTGCTTTATATACATAAGCTTTTTCTTTGCCGCTAGACTTAAACTTTCTTTTATATACAGTGCTGAGCATATAGTAGGTACAGAGAACATACAATTCATCTTGAAGAAGAAGGAAGCAAAGCTGTGGTTCTGGCAGTAGAAGTTTCAGGAATGAGGGGTCTATGTTTGTTCAAAATCAAAACAAGTGGATAAAGCATTAAAAAGTCCAGTCAAATAACCATTGTGTGTTGATTTGTTTGGGGAAAGCTGAGGTGAGGTCAAGGAACCAGACAATGCAAAAAGATAATTTGGCTGATTTTTCTCTTCATTGATTGACCAGTTGATGTAGAAATCACAGGTTTCACATACAATCCCATTGACTGTGTTGGCTGAAACATCCAGGTAATGACGAATCATAGGGTAAATAAGACAATATCAGATAATTAAAGTTGGCTCTATAGATACACCACATTCTATAAGTTGATCAGTTCCTGAGAAGTACATGTTGATTCAAACCCTCTGTTTTATAACTTGGGTTTTCACTTCAGATGGGCTTCATCTTTGACTGGCAATGGTTTATTACATGTTAGTTTTAAATTTTTATCTTGCCCATCTCTCTGTCAATTACAAGTGACTTCTTTAAGAAGACCTAAGTTCACAAAACATAAAAATGAGACGGTGGTTATTTCTATTATGAAATCATTGACAAGAAGATTTCTATCCATAGTTTGCTTTATATATATTAACTAGAATTGTATTTCTAAAATTTTCACTGATATTATATGTATATATATTATGTCAATATGCATATAATGTATACAAATTTTAATAAACAAGTCTATTAAGTGAAAGAAGCTATAATTAATCTATAAACCACCCATAAATGTATAGAGTTTTTGGTATTTGAAAGGACTCTTTGGTGAAAGCTTTTTGATGTGGGAATAACCACCTGTTATTTATTGGCATTTGTCTCTCAGAATTTTGCTCTGTTGAGTTTTCATGAAGTGAAGAATGCCTCTGTATCAGGTTTTCTCAACTTTGGCACCATTAATATTTTGATCCAGTAATTTTCTGTTGTGTGTGCATTCTTTCCTATTCACGTTGGCCATGGAGAGGGATATTCTGCATGGTCAGCTGTGTGCCTATCAATATAGAGAACTTCAGATAAAGGCTAACGTATAGTTTTTGTTTTTTTTTAAAGGACTTTAATCAACTTTACTCATACCAAACTACACATATGTAGGCCTAATCTTGGTCATTAACCACTTTTTATTTATTTTTTAAATTGACAAGTGAAAATTCTACATATTTATGGTGTACAACATGATGTTTCAAAATATGTATACATTTTTGTGGAATGGCTAATTGAAACTAATTAACAAATGCATTATCTTCCATACTTAGTTTTTGTAGTGAGAACACTTAAAATCTATTCTTAGCAATTTTCATAGTTACTGTGGTGTACAATAGACCTCTTGAACTTACTCCTCCTAACTAAAATTTTGTATTTTTCGACCGACATCACTAACCACTTTCGATTGAGCCCATGAAAATTATGCTATTTGAGAGACTGAATGTGGTGCATATTCAGGTGGAGCCCATCTTCTGCTGACTCTAGGATTAAACATTGTTGGTGGATTCTATTACAGTATTTTCATGAAAAATAATTCATAATTCAATTTTAGCTGAGCTTGGTGGAACTCACATTACTCAAGCTTGATCCCCTAGCCTGAAGAGTGAGGGTAGTTCCAAAATGTCAGTGTATTCCTGCTGGGCAGTTATGCAGAATTTTCAGATATGAACTTTCGGTAGTTTGCGGGTCAAGGATAGAGTGAAAACATAAACCCATGATCTTTTCTTGGGTGAACAGCAGTTACTGTTGAAAGTGTATAATTTGATCTCTGGTTTTTGCCATTGAGTTTTATTATTCTTTACAAACGGCTAGCACCAGGCTGTTGATTGGTTATAGTCTAAAGAAGTATAGACGTCTGGAAAGGCTGTATCAGGTAAGACAGTTTCTGCAATTTAATGCATTCCATTCCTTTCCTCATTCACCATTTATTAAGAGTCAGTATAGCATAATGTTTAAGACTATTGGCTCTCAAATCAAATTTTACCTATGGCACTTATTAGTTAGTTGCATGATCCTTGGTAGATTACTTAATCTTTTAAAGCCTCAGGTTCCAATTTGTAAACTTGAGATGTGTAAATAGTATTCACCTCAAAAGAATTGTTTTGAGGATTAAATCAAATAATGTACATAAAGTACTCAGTACATACTCAATAGGTGTTGGCTATTACTAGTATTGTGTACCTATTATGTCACTGTATTATCTACTAGGGGAGAGATAACAAGGACATGAATAAATACAGCAGAATATGGCAGAAGGTGATATGTCACAAAAGAAGGAATGATAAAATGCTTTAGTAGTTCAGAAGAGAATAGGAGTCCTTTTGGATGAAAAAAACAAAGCCAGAATCATGGAGGAAGTGACATCTAAGATGAATCTAAAAGGAAGGATAGAATTAAGGCATACAGTTGTGAAAACACTATTTCTAGAATCAGCTATAAATACCTTCTGGGACTGGACTGCAAATGATGACTCATGCTTTTCTTCTTCATCATCCTAGCAATATGCAGAGAGGAAATCCACAGTGAAAGCAGATTTCTGCCCACTGGTGTCCCCCTTCCTTCATTTTCCAAGGAGAACATAGAAGGGCAGTCTTATTTCCTGGTGCAATAATGGAGGCACCAAGTTCAAGGTCATGTAGTCAGCCTTAAATTAGATGAAGGTTATGAACTCTATAGTAAGTAATCAAGCACCAAGTAGATTTGTTATTAGGTATCTACCCTAACTCAATATTAGTAGTACTTTGGGGGTATAGTCCTTCAAGAAATTATGTTCACATTGGGAAATAATGACATAAATACACTAAGTAATATTGTAAAATAGAATAGACTCCAAGATTCAACTATGTGGGATAGACTCTCTAATAGAAGTTCTGAGAAAAGATTAATCAGTGGGACCCGGAATGTCTTTGGAAAAAATGTTTCATGGAAGGATAGGAGCTTGAGTTGTTTGGGATTGGTGTCGGGGGGTAGTGGGGAGAAGAGCATTTGAGTTGGGAAAATTTATATAGCAAAGCAACTGAGGTAGTAATTCATGAAGAATGAATGAAGATAATATCTTTTAATTAATGGATTAAAATTTCAGTAATCTCTGCATCTCCTCAGCTGAGCGATATTTGCAGAGATGCGTTTGGATCTGTTGTGTCCTGATATACCTACTCCAGCTGATTTATAAACTGCACATAATTAGAGTACTTTGCTCAAATTCCTGCTCTTGCTGATGTTTCCTACCATCCGGAAACTATGCATGCATGAGTTAAATGAATGTCATGCTATTGACAGGAATGATTCACCATTTCTAGACTTTGTGAGGAAATGGATAATATTGGCTCATTTCAAAAAGGGGTCTTTCAAAGTCAGCACATTCCGACGCTTCTCTCTTCTCCCCCTTCAGTGTGTGAACCCCACTGATATCTTAGGAAGATGCACTGGTTGTCATGGTAAAAGCTACGCTAATTGGCTTCCTCTAGTTGATGTTCTGTCAAGCTCATTGCCCCACTGAGGATTTGGAATAGAGCGCTTAACTTTTTGCTTCTCAAAGAACATGTTCCCAGCAAGTCAGCTGCCTCAGCAGAAAATGGAAGGTATTTGAAATGTCCAATATGTTATCAAAATATTTCACTCTTCATGGGGCCAGACATGCACAGTTTCACTTTCATTTGGTATCCTCTTTCCACAGAGAGTACTGATGGAAACTCAGCTGGAGATTTTTAACTGAATTAAGTGAATTTGGGGGAACTTGTAAAGAATGAAAGTATGTGGGCAAACGATTACTTTGCAGAGACCTGAGTTCAGGTCAGAGTTGGTCTGGAGCCAACTGTGAAATAGTCTTCTGTTTTGTTGTCTTCTTGCCCTTTTTCTCATTGCTATAAGGGAAAAAGGAAGGAAAAAGGAAAAAAAAAAAAGAAAGAAAGGCATACAAGCCTAGTACTTCCCTCACAAGGTGGAGTCTCAACTTCAGACTATTTCTTGTTTTTCTTCTGCTATAGTCTGAATGTCCCTCAAAATTTATGTTTTGAAATAAAATCCCCATTGTGGTGCTATTAAGAAGTGGAATCTTTGGGGAAATGATTAAGTTAGAGGGCTCTGCCCTCATGAATGCATTAGTGGCTTTTAAAGGAGATGAAGGGAACTAGCTTGGGTCCTTTTTTGCCTTTCTATCCCTTCTTCCATGTGAGGACACATCATTCATCCCCTCTCAAGGATGTAGCAACAAAGAGCCATCAAGAAAGGAGAGACGGGATCCCTGATCAGACACCAACCCTGTGGTGCCTTGATATTGGACTTCCCAAACTCCAGAACTGTGAGGAATACATTTCTATTTTTTTTAAATAAATTATCCAGTCTATGATATTTTGTAATAGCAGCACAAACAGGCTAAGACACTTTGTATTCCAGACTTTCAAATCAAAATGTAACTATCTGGTACATCTTGCCAGGGATATTTTCTCTGTTTGAAAACTTCTAAGGAAATCTGAACTACGATTTTCATGGCTCTAAATGACTTAACATATCACTTATATAACTTATCATTTGAAATTGCCCTTGAGGACCACTGGGCTAGATATTTTGATAATTCTTATACAAGATCAGGTAAACAGGTGCCATCATCTACATACTGATTTAGTTTTGTTCTAGAGCTTATTGGTAGGAATGACTCACTGAGAAATTCTGAGCAACTTGTGTAACTCTATGCCTGTTTTCCCACTGGAAGAATGGGGCTTGTAAGGCTGCTTCCTCTTTGTTTGGAGGAACTTTACATGGTATGATATCTTACATCTCCTGCAACACTTTTAGCCATGTTGCAAACTCACCTGAAAACTCCCATCTATTATTTTAAATCCAATTTTAACTGTCATTGGTCATCTATACCTCAGTGTGAATGGATGTGAGAGAAGGTTCTGGCCTTGGCCACCTGAAAAAACGAAGAGGTAAAACACTAGGAAAAAAAAGTGTCCAGTGGGTGTTTGAAACTAGAAAACAAGTTGCCTTTTGAAGAATTTTGCCTCAGGTTTTATCATTATGAAGTGCTGCCCAATTAATTGCCTAACTGGGTATGATGCTGTATATTGAGAACTTCACAGACCTAGTCAATTTCTTTTCTTTTCTTTCTTTTTTTTTTTTTTCTAGATGAAGACTCACTCTGTCGCTCAGGCTGGAGTGTGGTTGTGCGATCTCTGCTCACTGCAACCTCTGCCTCCTGGGTTCAAGTGATTCTCCTGCCTCAGCCTCCTGAGTAGCTGCGATTATAGGCAGGCACCCCAACGCCTAGCTAATTTTTTTTTTTTTTTTGTATTTTTGGTACAGACAGGGTTTCACCATGTTGGCCAGGCTGGTCTCAAACTCCTGACCTCAAGTCATTCACCTGCCTGGGCCTCCCAAAGTGTTGGGATTACAGGCGTGAGCCACCATGCCCAGCCTTCACATAGTCAGTTTCTGCAATGAGCCTAAGGCAAGCACACTGTCATAGAGACTGTGTTGGTGTATGGAAGTATGGTAAGGTGGCATGAAATATGTGGTCCATATTACACACAGGCTAAAGATCAGTTGATTTGGGGAGAATACGGGTCAGTGAGATTAAAAATATGAAGGGAAAAGGAATCTGATATTGATTTGCCTTTACCTTCTCAAATATTTAGAAATGTTTCTGCTCTCTTTCCTCCTTCAGAAAGTAATGTCATAGAATCTTTGGTGGTAAGGAAAGCCCTTGCTAGGCATCAAAAACATTGTTCAGACTAACAGAGATCATTGTCTACTCTTGGAAATGGGGATGGAGAAGTTGAGGGTTAAAGATTCACACAAAAACATCCCTTGGAAGATGGTTTTGGGAGACCTTATAGACTAAAAGAGGATAAATATATACTAAGACTTATTGTTACTAGGTTCCAGGTACTGTGTGAAACACCCTATATCAATTATCTTATTTAATTCTGCTAACAAATGTTATATAAGTGAGGAAATTGAGGAACTGAGAGTATAAAAGAAGTTGCCCAAAGTCATACAGCTATACATATTACCGAGCTCCTCCCCATACATACACACTATACTAAATTCCTGTGATTTTTTTTTTTTTTGGCTTTGTTTATCATCAGGCACTTTCTTTGCAAAAAGTAGATGCAGTTAGTTGAGGACTCCACTTCTTTGGGTTTCTGGTTAATTGAGGTTTGGCTCTTTCATAGGGAGTTTGCAGTTCAGTCCAGGCAAATTTAGCCCCTGTTTTTCCACTAAATAATCACACCTCATGGTAGCTTGTAGTTGGAGATTGAGGAGTCTAATATTAATACACCAAAGGAACTTGAATCATCAAAGGAGAGGCCTGATTTAAATAAACTAATTTAAAGGGCCTGGAACTCTGTTGAATTCAAGCTGTTAAAATTCCATCATTGTTAAATCTCTTCTTTTCCAACAATCCACCAGCTGCCCAACCATAATGCCTTGTTTATAATACATAGGGTTCCTTTGAAAGACAAAAGGAGCTTTGCAGCTCATAGGGCGGTGGTGAAGCCTGCCTATGCTGTAGTTCCTACAGTTTGCCCTTACATGTTTCCATAGAAACAGAATTGTTGCTTGAAGAAAAAAATACTTAAATTTTATTTTCTCTTTATGTTCTTTGAAACTTGTGCTAACTTTGCCAGAACTGAAGGACAAATTCCTGGCTTTCCATTCTTCTGGGAAATTAGTGGAACCTGTGTGCTCAGAGGAGAAAGAAGGCACTCAGGAGTTTTTAGAGTCAGGTTTGTGTTAACCCTTGATACCAGTGAAGAGAGAGATACTTAGAATCCCCTTCCAATCCTCTTTTCCAACTCAGTCTTTCCATTCAGCTCAGCCATTCTGCCCCAGAGCATAAGATCATTTTGAAGGCAAGAGAGTGGTTAAATGCATGTGGGCTGTATAGTCAGGCAAACTTGGGTTTGACTTCTGTCCCTGCTACATATCAGCCTATCTGAGCTTTAGCAAGTAATTTAAGTACTCTGATCCTCCCATCCTCATCTGTAAAATGGGGGATATAGAAATACTGTGAAGGTTAAATGAATTAATCCATGCTTGGCATAATGCCTGAAACATAGCAAGCACTCAATAAATGGCAGCTTTTTAAAAAGTCATTTTTCTTCCCCCTGAAATCTCATCAATGTCCCCTAATCAATCACCCCTTTTAAGGGCTTTTCTTGAATCCCATTGTCAGAGGCGTCCAAACCAGAGCAACTCCATTTTGAGTGAGGGCTAGGAAAATGAGGCTGGGGCTTGCTGGGCTGCATTCCCAGAAAGTTAGGCATTCCTAACCTCTAGATATTTAAGGTTAAGGGAACAAATTAATAATGTTACTCAACAGAACCAGACTTGGGAGTGTCCAGATATCCTGATATCTAGAGAAAAAAGCATTCCTAATTTTGCTTTAAAGATAATAATATTGATTCTTGCAAAATATACTAATTAAGAAAATTAATCCTTTATCACAAACCCTTGTAGCACAGTGTATCTCCCCATATATACGAGCATTGTATCTAGGGTGGATGAGTTCCTCTTTTTACTTTCAGGAACCTCCTATTCTTGTCTATGGAGTAGCTGTTTTTTCACCACTTTACTTTCTCAGTAAACTTGCTTTTACTTTGCACTGTGGACTCGCCCTAAATTCTTTCTTGCAGGAGATCCAAGAATGCTCTCTTGGGGTCTGGATCGGTACTCCTTTCCTGCAACATATTTCTGGCGACCCAGATGGGACTGTAGTACAGAAACCCTGACTCAATGGCTACCTTTGGGTAAGTGTTGGGGTCCTGTAACATATTTCTGGTGAACCATGGAAGGGATGATACTGAAGAAACCCCCTCAAACCAAAGGAAATAGACTGCAGCACTGATTGGATGACTTTGGGTAACTGGTGGTGTACTTGGGTAAAGAATGGGATTGGGTTAGAGGCCCAACTTAGGGGAGTTAAAGCCTCTCTTAAGACAGAGTGGGTTAGAGGCCCCTCTTAATAAAAGGCAAGGACACTTGACTGACCTTGGGTTAGAGGCCCGACTTAGAAGGGATAGAGTCCCTTCTAAGATTTAGGGGCTTAGAGGCCCCTCTCGGTAAAGTCCCTCTTGGCTAAAAATGGGTTTAGCACCATAGGCTATGTTCTTTGTATTTACATTGTCCTCCTTGCTGCATGAATCAATTTCTTGGTTGCTGTCTCTGTTTCACTGTCATTTTCAGGAGACTTTATTTAACTGGTCTTGGAGATTTTAACTTTCTCTTTTCCTATGTGCCTCCCGATTTCCGTCCATCTGCTTGTGAAACATTGGGAACAAAAAGCATTGAAGGCTCTGTCTCTAAAATTGCTGATTGAGATTTGGTATTTAACAGCTATGAGCAATAGGATTAGACAGATGTGGTTATGTTTTGTTGCCGCTATGCCGACTAGGTGTGATCCAAAGCAGTAGGATGGAAATCAGGGGGGGACTTTTCTCCTTGCTGTTTTGTTTCATTTTGCACACTAAAAAAACACTTCTTTCTTGGATTCGGGCAAACCAGCTATGCTTCTCTGCTATTGTCCAAAACCTGCTTGCTCTGGTCATTCCCATCTAAATCCTCTTCATTTTCTTTGCCTTATTTGACATATTTGTCGAAGTCCATGTTGTGGTTTATCTAAGATTCATGGCTCGACTCACTTCCATTATTCAGATAATGTGAATCATGTTTGATGAGAAAAAAGAAAGGAAAAAAAACTAGACATACTAAATGATCCTTTAATGCAAGCCCCCTTTCCCTGGTTCAGCAGGCATTTTTGGGTGGAGCAGAACCTCCTTCTGTTGGCTCTGAAGGTTCAGATGTGTTGGTCTTTTCTCCCTCTCGTCCACCGGAAAGTTCTATTGAGAACCCTTTGTCCCCTCCTCCTTACCCATCTACTCCCACTCTATACCCACCACTCATGAGGAACTTAGCCCAGTGAGTACTACTCGTAGTGGAGCCTCCTAGCAACCACCAAAGGGAAATCTTTGTCCACTTAGAGAGGTGGCAAATAAGGAAGAAGGCCTATGAGAGTACATGTCCCCTTTTCTAGGTCTAATTGACTCTATGTAAAGAAAGGTTGGTAATTTCTCTGAAGATCCAGGAAAATTCATAGATAGTTTTGAGAAATTAACTGTGACCTATATTTAAACTTGGCAGGATCTGCACATTTTGTTGTCTCTGTGTTGTACAGTGGAAGAGAAACAATACATTTTGGGGACAGCTAGGGCCCATGAAGATGAGGTATTGGCTTGCAACTCGGACCATAATATATATCAGGCAGGAGGTATAGCAATTCCAGATCAAGATATAGAGTGGAACTATCAAAGGGGCAGTGAGGACTTGGGGAAGAGAGATCATATGGTCACTTTTTTGTTGGAAGGGATGAAGAAATGTATAAAAAAGCCTGTTAACTATGACAAGGTTAGGGAAGTTTCTCAGGGTAAAGATAAGAATCCAGCTTTGTTTCAAGGGCATTTAGTTGAGGCAATCAGGAAATATACTAACACTGATCCTGCCTCAAGGGAAGGGCAAACCCTTTTGGGAGTACATTTTATATCCCAGTCTGCCCCAATATCCATAGGAAACTACAAAAAGCAGCTATGGGTCCCCAGAATCCTATGGAACAGCTTTTGGGTATGGCATTTTTAATTTTTAATAACAAGGACAAAGCAGAAGAAGCAGAAAGAGCAAGAAGGACCTCCCACAAGGTGCAGTTCTTGGCTGCAGCCTTACGCTCACCTCCCACATGGGGTTGTCCTCCTGGCTCTGGGCCTTAGCAAGGGAAGCTGAAAGGTGGGAAGTCCAGAGCTGGACATCTGAGTCACCGTGCTTTGGGCATAAATCAGTGTGCACACTCTAAGGAAACTGGTCATTGGAAGAGGGATTTCCCAGCGTTCTGAAGGGAGACATTGGCACCTGAACCAATGATGGCTGAAGTAGCCAGGCAAGCTCAAGAGTGATTGGGCCCAGTCCTTCCACCCCAGCTCCCATCGGACAACTAGCCATATCTCCAGAGAAGCCTCGGGTAACCCTTGACGTGGCAGTCCCACAGGCCAATGGAAGACAAGAGACTGATACTGTTTATTCCTGTGAGCCAGTCAGTGACCTCCAACTCCTGTTCAGAAGAAATGAAAGGGATGGATAACATAAAGATATGGATTGGCATTCTACTTTTGGCTATAAGTTGGAATAATGCAGAGAGTAACTTACTTACTGAGTGGGCAAAGGTTTAGCCCCTCTTTTCCCATGTGTTATATATAGCCACATGGGCCTTAGCCCATTCCCCTACTGTGAGAAGACAAGAAGGTACCTTTTTAATTTAATTAGAAAACAGCTAAACTCCACCCCAACTTTAGGTTATGCTATACATAATGAACTTGGATGAATGACAGCTGTTCAACTGCAGGTCTCAGGCAAAGCACCTCTGTGTTTTCAAAGGCACAATAATAGTCACCACCAAACTGGAACCCCTGATATGGGATGGCTGTTATTTCAACAATGTAATCAGACTCTTCTTCTAACAGACCAGATGTGGATGGGATGACAAGATAATTTGCCAAAAAATGAGTGCCTACCCTTCTTCTTGGGGATGGTTGTGGGCTTGTGGAACTCATGGCTGGCCATACTTACCTTATAACTGGACTAGAAGGTGTAAGTGGGGTTGCCCTTATCTCCCGGGACGTATCCTCACCAAACTGGACTCTCTGTCATCTAACTGGGAAATTATAAAAGCTCGCCATGGGCAACAAAAAGAAGCATCTTGGTGATTTTATCCTATGGCTATATTTTCCCTGCAGGCAACTACAATCAGTATCGAGTGACAAGTTGAAGCCTTCGCAAAGCACACAGCTGCAGCTTTCCATAATACATGCCATGCCCTTACCCTCCTAACTGAGGAAACTTCTCAGATTAGGCAGGTAGCCTTACAAAACCGTGTGGCTTTGGACATTTTAACAGCAGCCCAGCGGGAGCTCGTGCTTTGATCAAAACCGAATGTTGTGTGTATGTTTCAGACTATTCACATAATATTACCCAAGCTGTGAAAGCTTTCGACACTCACATATCTGCCACTGATGCGCTATCAGTCGACCCCGTATCAGCTTGGTTGCAACAACTGCCCAGTTCTTGGAAGGCCTTTCTGTTTAGTTTACTTGGAATGACTTTACTTATTTTGCTTTGCTCTTGTGGAATATATTGGGGTTGTACTCTCTGTGTAGGAATGCAAGGCAAGCTCAATCAAGGCTTTATTAAATTGGATACTTTTTAATCTTCCGTATATCACCTTTTGTAGGAACTCAGAGTTATGAACGACCTTCACCATAGCAACGCTTTCTAACTGCGTTTCTCTCTACCCTGAATGCAAGAAGCCCTAATAGTTAGGCAGGAATATCATCGTCCCTATTCAGCCTGATGAAGTTACAGAAGATGGATCTTTGTCCCTCTGCAACCCTTAGGATTAAGGGTCCTCCTGTAAAGGGAGGGGGCATCTCTGTCAGAGGCGTTTGAACCAGAGCGACTCCGTTTTGAGTGGGGGCTAGGAAAATGAGGCTGGGGCTTGCTGGGCTGCATTCCCAGAAAGTCAGGCATTCCTAGCCTCTAGATGTTTAAGGTTAAGGGAACAAATTAATAATGTTTTCTAAACAGACCCAGACTTGGAGTTTCCAGATATCCTGATATCTGGAGAACAAAGGCATTCCTAATTTTGCTTTAAAGATAATAATACTGATTCTTGTGAAATATAGTAATTAAGAAAATTAATCCTTTATCACAAACCCTTGTAGCAGAGCACATCTCCCCATATATACGAGCACTGTACCTAGAGTGGACACATTCCTCCTCTTACTTTTGGGAACATCCTACTCTGTCTATGGAGTAGCTGTCTTTTCACCACTTTCCTTTCTTTTCTTTTCTTTTCTTTTTTTTTTTTTTTTGAGACGGAGTCTCGCTCTGTCGCCCAGGCTGGAGTGCAGTGACGCTATCTCGGCTCACTGCAAGCTCCGCCTCCTGGGTTCACGCCATTCTCCTGCCTCAGCCTCCTGAGTAGCTGGCCACCACGCCACCACGCCCGGCTATTGTTTATATTTTTAGTAGAGACGGGGTTTCACCGTGTTAGCCAGGATGGTCTTGATCTCCTGACCTTATGATCCGCCCGCCTCGGCCTCCCAAAGTGCTGGGATTACAGGCATGAGCCACTGCGCCTGGCCTCACCACTTTACTTTCTTAATAAATTTGCTTTTACTTTGCACTGTGGACTTGGCCTAAATTCTTTCTTGCGTGAGATACAAGAACCCTCTCTTGTGGTCTGGATTGGGTCGCCTTTCCTGTAACACCATCTCATCTTGCCTGCTTTAATGTCACATTGTTTGCAACTTTTGAGTTGATTGGCAATTAGATTTTAGTTATTTTATTATAGATGGGTTTTGTCTCCCAGATCAGCTAGATTGTAATCACCTGAGGGCCCAAGTGGGCTCTTGTTTAGCACACTACTGGGCACTCAAGAAATGCTAATTAAATGTTTATTGGAGTAAAGACTGGACTCTGGGCTTCACTAACTTTCCTAGAGACTGTTTCGAGTTGGCTTTTTGTCTCCACAGGAATCCAGATAACCACTGTCATTCCTAGCTTTTGCGGCCTCACTAATACAATCTGTTAAGACATGTTCAATGTGCCTAGTATAATAGATTCCATCTGTCTAAGGATTGGTGAAGGTGAAAGAATGATATCATATAACCCGAGGCTTCTCTGCCTTGAGTGGCCCTGTGCCTGAGGCTTATGTTATTTGGGGGAAGCACTATATTAAGTTTGGTCAGCCTCAAGGACAGACACTGGAGCCTCTTATTTGAGTGTAAGATGGAAATGCCTCCAGGTCGACTGAGCTGAGACCAAGGTCCACTTCACTTTAAGATTATCCTTTTGATCATCATCGGGTGATGGTATTACTTAGATTGAAAGTGTTAACTTTCAGCCTGGGCTATTTTTATCAGATATTTTGTGGTTAAAGATGATATCTAAGGTGAAAAATCAATTATAGGAAAGTGCACAAGTTAAACAGTGAGTTGCTTGCAGGCGGCTTGCTGAAGCAAAAGGAGAGACAAGGAATTATTAAGGAAAAACTCAAGCATTTACTAGTGCTTTGCAAAATAGAGGAGGAAACGAAAGTAGGGCTTCTGTGGTAAATGAACACAGAACATGGATTTGCCTCAGTTCTAAACTTTTTTATCACTCCAGTCAAATAGTAGAAGTTATTTGAACTCCTTTTTTTTTTTTTTTTTTTGCCACACTGAATAGAGCAGGCATCCAAGGAGCGTCTTCAAGAGCTTTTTCAGGTCAAAGTCACATTCTGATGAGATAGTAATTTTGCTACTTTCTCTGTAGCTCTCCCTATAGCTATCATTGTGGGTGGCATCTAGATGTCAAGTTGGTTGAATTTTTTCCATGAAGAAAAATACCCAACCTTGGAAACTTCTCCCTCCAACTTGGAGACCTGCCTGCACTTCCACCAGGGACCAAGGGCAGGCCTGAGGCACTGACTGGTGAGAAGGCAGAAGAAGATAGAAAAAGAAGAAGGGGGAGTGTGGGAGGAGAGAAAGGACAGGGAG
Source organism: Homo sapiens (assembly GCF_000001405.40). Classification (NCBI taxonomy): domain Eukaryota; kingdom Metazoa; phylum Chordata; class Mammalia; order Primates; family Hominidae; genus Homo; species Homo sapiens. Next base: position 121,157,557 of record NC_000023.11, read on the forward strand.
AAAGGCAAAGAGAAAATTATTGAGCCAGCTTGTTAATTGCACTTCCTACTTTTAGTCCTGTCTCTCTTTAATCCACTTTTCACACAGCCACTATTGATCTTCCTAAACAAAAATCTGATTGTCTCATTTTCCTCTTTAATGTTCCCTATTGACATGAGCATCAGGTCCATCCAAGCTCCTTGTCATGATGTATAAAGCCTTGCATGATCTGTCTCTTGCCATGATCAGTCTCACCTTCTCTTACTTTCTGCCTCCCACTTGATGCTATGGTAATAGCGAATGGCATACAGATCTTTCGACCCTTCAGTGACTCTTCTCCCCTACTACATACTTACACACAAAAGGCTTTCTCATGTCCTTGCCCATGCAAATCACTCTTCCTGAGATACTGTTTCTACCTTTATTTGCTAATTTCTGTCCATACTTCAAGATACAGCTCAGATAGCACCTCCAATTCCTTCAGTTCCATGGGATCTATGAATACCTCTACATCTGTCTCTTACCCCATTATATTAAAATTATATATTTACATATTTCTCTTCCTCACTAAACAGAGCTCCTTGAGGGAGAAGCTAACGGCACCCAAAATATTTCAAATGGTGGTAAGTGGTATAGAGAGAGCAAAGGCAGTGGTCTTAAGTGCCTGTCAGAAGCAGGTTTGAGCTTTCTTCCTGTTCAGCAGATGCCTGCTCTCTCATTGGCTTACATATTTGTGAAAAGTTGTTATGCAATTATTCATTAAACTACTGGCTCGAAATGTTTGCATTTGCAATGGATGTCCTTAATGCCTTACCTCTAGGGAACAATGGAATTTCAGAAACTGAGGCAGGCTGACATAGAGACATAGTTTCCTTGGCCCTTGTACCACATGGTGTAGGCAGCTGTCCATTAAGCCTGTGCTTTCTTAGGGTCAGCTTGGTACTCAATGCCCACTGAGCACCATGGTGATCTGTCAATAGTCGGTTAATTTGTCTCTTAAGAAAAAACATGTGGGTGTGTTGATACTGGGGCTCTAGCTAGAGTGTGAACTCCTTGAAGAGAGAGACTGTTTTTAACTTGGCTGGGACTCCCCAGAAGGCTCTATAATATGGGAGAGCCTTGTGGGGAGGGGGATTTCTTGACTAAATCTGCTGATCAATGTGGGGGTTCTCTTTTTACATTATGCCTAAACCAGAATGGAGAGCAACACTTTAATATAGTGCAATCAAGATTGGTTGTCCTGTACCTTACATCCCAGAGTGCTCTCTTAACTATAAGTCTGAGACTTAAATAAAATCTAGTGCAAAGGAAGTGAAGGATAGATGAGGAACAGCCTGGACCATCAAACTTGGTTGCTTTTATCACACTATCATTTCTCAGAAATTTCAAATGCTTCTTATTGAAAAATGAGAAGAAAATGAAGGAATCACATCTTATAGTATCCAGAGAAAAATGTGCTTTAATTAGCCAGATCCAGTCTTTCCTTATTGGAGGAATGCCAGTTTTACTAATGGAAAGAGTTTTCTCAGACCATCTGTCAGTTATCACAGCAGTCTGTGCTTAACCCTTTCTGTGCCAGCAGGAAAAAATTCACTAATCTAGTAAATTGCTCCATCAGGTGATTTGGAGAATAAGGCATGGCATCTGCCTTCGAGGGGCTTAAAATTTAATAGGCAAGACAGGAGACATACACGACCATGTATAAAGCAGGCAGAATGCACTAAGCATTATAAGAGAGCTACCAAATGTGGTGGAAGCATTAATGAGAGGAAGATTACTCTTGGCTAGAGGCTAGGGAAGTCTTCATGGAGGCACCTGAAGATAGATGAAAAGGGCAAAAATTGTGGGCATTCTGGGTGGAGGGACTACTAGCATGTTAAATGCCATACAGGGGAAAAAGTCCAGGGCAGGTCTGTACAATGAATGGGAATAGTCTAGTGTGATAGCAGTATAGGATGTGGAAATAACAGTAGATATGGTATTTCAGATTGTTTGGGGATCACATGAAAGAGGCATTTGACTGTCAGATTAAGAGGTAGGCATTTTATTCTATAGCGTAGACAATGGATTGTCAGTGCCTTGCTCAGAGCTGTGCTTTATTTGGGCATCCTAGGCAGTATGAGTTAAATGCTGAGCTATTTTCTCTAACCTCAGGGGAGGTGGAAATGGATCCCTGGCTTCTGCTATTCAAGATGTGATGCATTGGGTTTTGCAGATTTAGAGCTATATTTTTCTTTTATTATTTGCTACTGGATTGATAGCCCTGAGGTCACTGCTTAGGATAAGACATCTAGCCTGGCTGGGATGAGAGGGTACATTTTTCTGCTGGACTTTGAATCCGTGTAAACTTTGTAGGTTTTGAGTTAACCTGAGCCAACGTTTTATATCAGCTTGATGTTCTTTATGTTATAAATTATGTATGTATTTACATATGTATGTGCATGTATCCAAATTTTTGGGGGGTGGGGGATAATTTTTATAACTCAGTTGTTCTGTATTTCATGGAATAAAACAGCTGGAGGTTAGGGGTGCTGGTGAGGAGGATGTGGAGTCACATCTTAAATATCTATATTTTTATTCTCCAAGTTCCTTCTGGCTTAGTGCTATCAAGAGGCTTACATTATGGGGTACATTTTTATTAATAGGAATAGTACCAGTGTTTCTCAAAATCTGGCCCTCCTTGAAAATCTGCCACAGAATTCACCCAGACAGGTACCTGCTTGGGCTGAAATCAGAGACCATATAGCAGCTGCCTGTTTAATAAGCTAAACACGAGATTCAGATACATGCTTAGATTTGAGGACTACTTAAGTTAACAAAAGATTAAGAGCCAAGAAATGGATTTTTGAATTTTAAAAAGGTGAAAAATGGCAGATAATAAAGCTATTAAAAGGAGTTTTGAAAAGCCTAGGAAACTTGAACTTTTGGATATTTTTCTTTTAATTTGGCAAGATAGGAATTTTTCAGTCAAAAAGAAAATTTTGTGGTAGAAGGACCTTCACATCTTGAAATAGTCTTTCTCCTTTTTTCCCCCCTCTCTCTAGAAATCTGACCTATTCCTAAAGGCTCATCTTCTCTTACATGTTCCATGACCACTCTAGTCAATGAAAATTACCTTGGTTTTTAGAGTTGCCTTCTCTTATATTTGACATTCAGCCCTAGGGCCTCTTTTATTTTTAACTTGCCTACAGTGGAGACTTCACCTTTTAATTAGGATTTACGAGCTTCATGCCTGTTGATATGGTCTCTCCAACTATCCATGTTTATCACCCAGTAGGAGCCAAATAAATGCTTGCAGTGTGCATGAGAGTATTTCAGAGGACATAATGCAACTTTGCTTGAGGAACATGAATACCGAAGCTGTGTTGAGGGAAAGTGAACTTAAAACACATGGTTATATTCACTAAAATAGTCAAATATTGAAAAAAGTAGTGTGCAGAGTTCTCTTTCTCCCCAATAGTTTTTAAAGAAATGTGGTGAACCAAAATTCTTTATTTTCATTTATGAGAAATAAACCCATTTCCATAACTCACCGTTCATTTCAACACTTTCTTTCAATTTCACCTATGACTCAGACTTGGTTTATTTCTGGCAGCACGTTGTCTTTTAACTGAGAAGTGAAAAGAACTCAGAACAATGACTTTCCAACTCCTCTAGTCCTTCTATAATAGTCCTTAAGTGCTGAGAGATAGTCGTTTGTGTGTTCGCAGATTACATCATCCATTATACTGGCCCTGTCTTGGGATCCTTTTCTTCCTTTTGGAATTTGATAACTGACTTTCTTTAATTTCATTTGTAGAAATGCATCTTACCCATTTATCCCTTCCCCCTCATTCTCCCTTTGAAGCCATAGTGTCCCTGATTTTAGTGTGGGGGACTAGGGGTGGGTGGGAATTGATGCCTGCCTGGGGGTTTTTAAGTACCAGAAGCAACATTATTTCTATATTTTTTGTTCTGCCACTGAAAATGCCTCAGCCCACACATAACTAGTTCTGGTTCTCTTCCTGTTCCTCCGCCTACAGCATCCTCCCGCTCCTCTTCAGATGTCTTCCCCCCTTCACAGCAGGCCACTTTCCTTCACAGTTCCAGAATGGTTTCATTCATCACTGTCACAGTCCCTGTCAATAGTAAACTCTGCCATCTTATCTATGGCCACCAGTAAATGAGTTTGCATTTAACATTTTAAAGAGTTTTCTTTGTTTCTGACATTCTCCACCCACTGATACTTGTACTTATGCGGCTTGCTGTCACCTTTTTTTTCCTGCCAGTTGGTTGGCAGGAACCAATCTCCCCCAGAAAATGCAAGAGGATTGTCCTGTCACTCAGAAAATCTTTCTAATCTTAATCTGACATTGGTTACAAGTGCTCACGTTCTTCTTTGGGTGAGAAAGACAGACTTAGGAAGAGGAACAATTTGAGAATTTGGCAGAGGTAGCTGAAAGTTGCAAATGATTAAATTGGACACTGGGAAATTTTGGATTTGACTTCCTGCCCTGGGCTGACCTGCTGTCAGTTCTGTGTAAATTACTTAGTCTATTTGTGTCCTTTTCTGTGCTATGGGGATGATGTTAATTTCTAAATTGGGATGGGAGGTAGGTAATGGATACCACAATTTGAACTATTAAAGTATCAACAATAATATTGTTTGTTGAAAGCTTGCTATGTGAAAAGGTGCTAGGTGATTTGTACCCACGATGTCTACTTCTCAAGACAACATTGAGCAACTTGGGGCCCAGAGTAATTCAGTGTCTTGCTCAAGATCACACAGCCCCAGCTTGTACGCAGTGGAACAAGAATTTGAACATAGATCTGTCTGGTTCCAGAGTTCGCACATGTATGATGACTTTGTTACATAAGACCAGAGTAGTACTGAGCACAATTGGGTGTTCTCAGTGATTTGTGTCTCGCCCTGCCTTGGTCTCCTTCAGGATATCAACTGATGTTGGGTTTGTGTGTGACTAATAGTGTCAGTGTTTGAATTTCAGTTCGGCCATTTGCCAGCTACATAACTTTGGGCAAGTTATTTAGTCACTCTGTGCCTATTATCCACATCTATAAAATGGGCTGATAAAGGATGATAAAAACATTTACCCCATAGATTTGTTGTGAGTCTTGACAAGTAAACACATATAAACAACTTTTGTTTAACATATTGTAACCCCTCAACGATCGTTATCTATCATCATTCTCAGCTGCAGCATTATTTCCCTACAGTGCTTCTCTGCAGACCTGTTCTGACTGGCTGTTCGACCATGCTCCAGATGGATTCTTCCTTTTATCCGTGTGTGTGTGTGTGTGTGTGTGTGTGTGTGTGTGTGTGTGTAACAACTTGTTCAGTTTTTTTTTTTTTTTAATATTAGAGCCCCACTCTCTACCTTCCAAGGTGACTGACCCTTCCAGGATAAATTAACTCATTCTGTGATATTAGTAGTAGATGATTTATTCTTGACTAGAATTTCTGTTGACATGATTCTTTAACCCCAAGACGTAAAATCATTTAGTGCAGATTGCAGGGATGGGGTGGGTTGGGTTGTGGTGTAGTTTGGACTATAGCACGTTTTCTTCAAATAGAGCAGGGCCACTTTTTTCTCTTTTATGCATACATTCAATTTCCTGGTAAATTTTTTATTTGAATGATAATAATAGCAAGCACCTACATAATACTTAACTTTATGCCAGATATTGTTCTCAACACCTCATATTATCTCCTTTAATTCTTTTTTGTCTTTTTTCTTTTCTTTTTTTTGCGACAGAGTTTCACTCTTGTTGCCCACGCTGGAGTGCAATGGCACAATCTTGGCTCACCGCAACCTCCGCCTCCCGGGTTCAAGCAATTCTCCTGCCTCAGCCTCCCGAGTAGCTGGGATTACAGGCATGTGCCACCACACCTGGCTAATTTTGTATTTTTAGTAGAGATGGGGTTTCTCCATGTTGGTCAGGCTGGTCTCGAACTCTTAACCTCAGGTGATCCACCCGCCTCGGCCTCCCAAAGTGCCAGGATTATAGGCATGAGCCACCGCGCCTGGCCTATATCCTTTAATTCTCAAAAAACCTGTGGGGTAGATGTTCTTATCCTCATTTTCCATAAGTTAAAACACAGAGAGGTTAAGTAACTTGTTCAAGATTGCACAGCTAGGAAGTGGTAAAACTGGGATTTGAGCTCAGACAGTGCCCTTAACTAGTACAGTATATTGAATCTAACTGAAGAAAGGGTTGCCCGGGCATTTTGGTAAGTTTGAAAACCACTTATATTTATATTGGAAATTTAGGGCACAAACCTGTGCAAAGGTTGGGTGATGTCAGAAAGGTGTCAGCCTGAGATTGTAGTTTTGATTTTTTCAACATTTCTATATTTTTAATTGTTCCAACATTTTATTTACTTTTTAGTAACTGACCTGTAATTTTCAAACACTTCTCACCATCAGGTGGTAGAAGACAGTTGTAAGTCATGTGATTCATAAAGCTTCAAGCAGATATCAAAATGCCTACATATGTCTTTTTTTAATTTCAACTTTTATTTTAGATACAGGGATACATGTGCAGGTTTGTTACATGGGAAGATTGCGTGATGCTGAGGTTTGGAGTATGGATCCCACCACCCGGGTAGTGAGCATAATATCTGGTAAGTAGTTTTTTTTTAACTCACCCCTCCTCCCTCCACTCTCCAGTAGTCCACAGTGTCTATTGGTCCCATATTTATGTCCATGTGTGCTAAATATTTAGCTCCCACTTCTAAGTGAGAACGTGTGGTATTTGGTTTTCTGTTCCTGCATTAATTTGCTTAGGATTATGGCCTCCAGTTCCATCCATGTTGCTGCAAAAGACATTATTCCATTTTTTTAATAATTACATGGTATTGCATGGTACATATATACTGCATTTTCTTTATCCAATCTACCATTGATGGGCACCTGGGTTGATTCCGTTTCTTTGCTATTGTGAATAGTGCAGCGATACATATACAAGTGCATGTGTCTTTTTGATAAGAATGATCTATTTTTCTTTGGGTATATACCCAGTAATAGGATTGTTGGGTTGAATGGTAGCTCTGTTTTAAGTTCTTTGAGAAATTTCTGATACATACGTCTTTTATTTAAAATATTCTATTTATTAACATAAGAAGCTCTTAATAATATGGACCTTAATGTTTTCAGAACTCCTTATGGAACAAAATCAACGTGTCTGATAAATAATCTCTAAAAACCATGTCATACAGAAAAATGGTTGAAAGAGTAAGGTTGTTTCACCTACAGTGAGAAGGCTTATGGAGATGAGATAACTGTCTTTAAATATTTAAGCATCAAAATGTTTGTCATGAGGAGGTGGAAGTGGGCTTGCTTTCTTTGGACTGAAGGACTGAGCTAGGATTCATATGTAACCCCATATGTAAAAGTTATAAAGATAGCAAATTTTGGCTGATTATAAGGGAGGGTTTTCATAAAGGTTTTTCTCTCAAAAAGTTTTTATTGATACACAATAGATGTACATATTTTTGGAGTACATGTGACATTTTGATACATTTATGCAATGTGTAATGATTGACTATTGTATATTTCAAAATATCCAGAAGAGAATAAGGAGCTTTTTAATGACACAAAATTTCTTACAATTTTTAAAATTGTGACTAAAATACACTTGGGGAAATAAAATTTTTTGAGCGATGGCTATCAAGCAAGTCTTCATATATATATTTTCTTAGTTTTTATTAATATTAAATGTGTTCTTTCAAATTGTTAAAACTTGGCTCTAGTAGTGAGTGGTCTCTTCTGTACACACACCACTTACTGAATACTTACTATGTCTCAGGTCTGACTTATTTGAGCTTTGGATCCCTACTCCTTAGAAAACCTCTAGCTTTTCACCATAGCTGTTTCTATCATCAGTGACTTAATGCCCTCCTTCAGGTGGCCCTCTTATATGTGCTACTTTGCCTTCTGATTTAACCTGAAAAACCCAAGAGACTCAACCATTAGACCTGTCAGAACACTAAAATTCCACATCTCCTCATCAAGAGAAGGGAAAACATCTATCTTATTCTCTTGGCTGGTTGAATAAGCTTCCTAGTATGCAACATTTTTCCTGAGAAATTACTCTAAAATGAAGACAGAGAGGATTATAAGATGACAGAATCTTGTAATGCAGAAATTGGAACAAAATTTGAACCTTTAAAAATCACAGGGTGAACCTTGGTGTGTAGTCTAAAATCACTTCTAGGTATTTTCCTATTTTGCCCTTTCAGACTCAGGCAAAAGGTATTATCACTATATTGAGAAGCATAGGTTTGTTAAATAAAGAACTCTCTTGTTTCTATGAGGAAAGCAAACTTCAGTAAGAGCTCTTCAAATATTTTTTTCAAGACAATGCTGAGACAGAGTTGGGGTAAAAGATGCTATTTTATCTGCTGTCTGCTGGTAGTACCATATAGTCTCTCATTTAAAATTCATCAAATGTCAGTGTCCCATGACAGATGAAAAACACTGATGAAATACTTGGAAAGCGATGGTATCTGGTGTGTCAGATTCAAACCTAGTGAGATTTTTAAAGAATTTAAGAAGTATTCTTAGAAGTATATAATCATTTCTTGGTTGAGGACTGCTTAATATAATGCAGATTATATTAGGAACCAAGCTACCTCCTCCCCACCCTATCCTCAGTTTTCTGTTATTTTCTTATTTCATAAGCATGGTTAAATATTATGTTTCTCTAGACTCGTGTTAGACAGGAAGAAGAGATGTGTCATCATGTTTTGACTAACATGAGGGATGGATAACAAAGATAAATTAATCTTTCAAAGCAGGCTCCATTTTATTGAGGGTTCAATCTAACTATAAACCTTACTTGGTGCTGTTAAACAAAAGTTCACATTTTTCTATTTGGAGTTAACACCTTTTGTTGCTCTGACTACTGTCTAGTCTGCGAGCTAAGGAGCCAGGATCAAGTCAGGGAAGAAGCTTAGAGCCCATCTAATATCTGATTGGCCCAGCCTCTCTTGAATACACGAGAAATAACTAAAGAATCCATAGAGAGCTGCATTAAAGGAAAGATAACTGTATTTTTTTAAATCACTGTTTGCAAACCGAGGATGGGAAAATAGGGGAATTGTTATAACCGCTGCAAAAAAATGGTATTGCATTTTTTACCTAAGTCAGTCAGTTGAGAGAAGCCAGCTGCTTCTCAACTACTTTCATTCTTTTCTGCACTTTTCATAAGGAAACCTCTATTAACCTGAATGCTGGTATGTAGGAAGAAGGAAAGCATGAAAGGTTCTGATTAGGAGGATTTTTAGGACATGTAAATTCTTTTTTTCTCTCTCTCTTTTGGTGGATTAGGAGGATTTTTAGGACATGTAAATTCTTTTTTTTTCCTCTCTCTTTTGGTAAAAATATTTTCAAAACATTGGAATAAGAATAACTACTACGTATTGAGACCCACCTGGATCAGTGCTTACTTTATACCTGCCCTGGGTGGTAGCTGGTATATATTATCCTGCTTATACAGACGAGAAATCTGAGATTCAGAGAGCTTAAATAAATTTTCCAAGGCCACTCAACAAGGAAATAGAACACAAGGGATGAAATCCAAAGCCTTTTGCCCTTGCTCTGCCAAATTTACCACGCGAGGATCATGTTAAGCCTTAGGACTTCATTTTGGTGTCAGCAACCACCTCAGTGTTGGGGTTATTGTTCCCCACTTGACCGTCTTCTACAATAAAGTCCTCTAATAGAGACTGTTTATTAAGTGGTGGTTGATGCCTAGAAGAGACAGGAGTCAAGATGGTTGTTTTGGGGCATTATAATCTAATAGGAGGAACAGGAAACATTTTAAGTCTTTTTTAAAAAAATCACCGTGCTCTGTCAATACACAAGAGAAAATCTCCACACAGGTACGACAGAATTTCTCGGTAGGTGTGCAAGTTCTACTGTATAAAGGTTCAATAATTACTCAAAGATAAACATCATTTCAGGGTGTTGGAAACAGGAATCAATTTCACTAAGAAGTCATGTCCTTCTGCAGGAAATACCATGAGAATACTCAGAGTCTCCCCAGTGCTAGCCAATGTCCTAATTTTTGTACAATCTGTGATGTATCTCAGTTACCAGATAAATTTAGACTGACACAGTAGAAATGTTCCTGAGAAGTTAACTGGTGAATACCAATTTTTTTTTTTTCTCAAATGAATTATTTTTAACGTGTGCTTATGGAGCTATTATAAAAATCCTGTGATTGATCTCTTTTAAAACAAAGCAAGCATACCCCAGTTTTTTTTTTTTTGTTTTTTTTTTTTTGAGATGGAGACTCACTCGGTTGCCCAGGCTGGAGTGCAGTGCAGTGGCGCGATCTCAGCTCGCTGCAACATCCGCTTCCCGGGTTCAAGCAATTCTCCTGCCTCAGCCTCCCGAGTAGCTGATATGACAGGCACCTGCCACCATGCCCGGCTATTTGTTTGTATTTTAGTAGAGACGGGGTTTCACCGTGTTAGCCAATCTGGTCTCAAACTCCTGAGCTTAGGCAATCCGCCTGCCTTGGACTCCCAAAATGCTAGGATTATAGGTATGAGCCACCGCGCCCGGCCTTGAGTTGTTTGTGTGTTTGTTTTTTATCTATTAAACAGCTTGAAGTGGAGCAGATCAACACACACAAACTCTGGACAGCTCCTCAATTTATTGTAATAGGGTTTAAACTTTATTTCAGACTATAGTCACAAATGCCAAGGGGCTGTGGAGAAAAGAGGGACAAAGTTTCCTGGGAGAGGCTGTCTTCCCTCAGCGATGTGAACAGTACAGCTTGTCTGTTTCCCCCTTAATGGCAGGTGGGGATACTCAGCACTATACTAATGAAGGAGATACTGTTTTCCCCTAAATGAGAAATGGCAGGTGAGGTAGCTTTTGGTGTATTATGGATTTCTGAGAAATACTATAGGGATTCTGATTTTAATTCAGTCAGTTCAGATTCATGAAGCATTTTGTGTTTAAAAATATAGTGCAGAGTTTCTGAGTAGGATGTGCTAGAGGAAGGAGTGTGTTTTAGATCTGGTTTACAGGGGAATTCTTGAGGGGAATCCTTTAGTAAAACTGTAGAAAGACACTTCTTTACTGGAATCATACATTTTAGTGGTTACCTTTGGTAATTGTGGGTCAAGGCTGAATCCTTAGTTGTCTGCCTTTATAATTGTAAGGGAATTCAGGTTTCCATTTTTGTTTTCATGGCCATTTACAAATATTAATACACTGATACAACAAAAGAGAAATAACTAAATGAGATTAAATGTATTGCATTTTACTTAATTATGTACTGACAAAAAAGTATAATAAAGGATCCTGGCTGCAGAACTATGTAGTAATACTTAAGTTTTACATCTTTCAAGCATTTCACAGATAATAATTTCCATAGCAATACAGTGGAAGAAGTAAATATTATTTCTATAGATAGGCAGATCCCAGCAAAATGTGACCAAGGGATCTAGGTGTAGTTTTCAAAATTCGCATCTGGCCTTTTGGGCATATCTGGTAAAGCATCAGCTTATGTGTTTAGCAGGGAAAAAGCAATCATTAAATTCTCTAAAGTTAACCATTTGTTTTAAGGGGGAGATAGGATTCTTCAAAGCAATCCATTTAGAAGGAAACAAAAGTATGTCTGATTTTTAAAAAATGTGTTAGTTTTTTAATGAAAACCATATGTTTAGCATTGAGTTAGCAAACTACAGTCTGTGAATCAATCCTGGGTGCCACCTGTTTTTGAATAAAGTTTTATTGGACCACAGTTACCCATTCATTTCTGTATTGTCTGTGGCTAATTTCATGCTACAATGGTAGAGTTAAGTAGTTCTAACAGAGACTGTATGACCTGTGAAACCTAAAATATTTACTTATATCTAGCTATTTACAGAAAAACTTTACTTATACCTGATATATAGTATTTCATAGAAGAATACATGCTGAGACAGCATTATTTGATATTCCTTGTAAATAATGCATTATTTTTTACTGTAAGAAATAATACTCCTCACACAAGTACCTAACTTTTATTGAGGAATTATCTGTTCCAGATATTTTACTATGTTCCTTACATACAGCGAGTTTAATTTTTACAATTATGATTCAGAAATAGACACTGTCAATATTTTCATTTTATAGATGATGAAATTAATGTTTAGAGAACTTGACTACCTTGATACTTTTATGAGAGGTGCCAAAAGATTGAATGACTCATTTAAAGTCATATAGTTAGTGGTGGAGCCAAAATTCAAACCCAGAGTTCTTTTTTATATTGTGGTAAAATATATGTAACAATATTATTTTAACCATTCATAAGTGTACAATTCAGTGCCATTAAATATATTCATGACGTATAGCTGTCACCACTATCTAAACCCCAGACTTTTTCATCATTTCCAACAAAACCTCTGTACTCATTAAATAACTCTTCCTTTCCACCTTCCCTCAGATACTGATAACCTGTCTCACACTTTCTGTCCCTATTAATCTGCATATTCTAGGTATTTCATGCAAGTAGAATGACAAAATATTGTCCTTCTGTGTATCACTTATTTCACTAAGCATAATAATTGCAAGATCTATACATGTTATAGCATATATTAAAATACTATTCTTTCTTATGGCTGAATAATATTCCATTGTATGTATCATATTTTGTTTATCCATTTGTCTGTTGTTAGACACTTAGGTTGTTTCCGCCTTTTGGATATTGTAAATAACGAACACTGGGGTACACATATCTGTTTCAGTACCTGCTTTCAATTCTTTTGGCTATATACCTAGGAGTGGAATTGTAGGATCATATAATAGTTCTATGTTTAACCTTTGAAAAACTACCAAACTTTTTTTCAAAGTGGTTGCACCATTTTACATTCTCACTAGCAAGTGTAAGGATTAATTTCCCCATACCCTAACCCACATTAATTTAAAAATTTAAAATTATGGCCATCCTGGGAGTGGAGGTAAAGTGGTATTTTGTTGTGGTTTTGCTTTCTATTTTCCTGATGACTAATGATGTTGAGCGTGGTTTCATGTAACTATTGACTGTTTGTATACTTTCTTTGGAAAGATGTCTTCAAGTTCTTTGTCCACTTTTTAATCAGTTTTTTTGTTGTTGTTGATTTTTAGGAATTCCTTATATTCTGGATATTAATCCCTTAGCAAATATATGATTTGCATATATTTTCTAGTAAATTAGTAGATTTAGTTCTCTTGATAGTGTGTTTTCATGGATAAAAGTTTTAATTTATCTATTTTTTTCTTTTTTTGCTTGTGCTTTTGGTGTCAGATCTATGAAGCTGTTACCAAATCCAATGTCATGAAGATTTTCTCTAATGTTTTATTCTAAGAATTTTATAGGTTTAGCTGTTAAGTTTGGGTCTCTGATCCATTTTGAGTTAATTTTTGTATATGGTGTAATGTCCAACTCATTTTTTGGCATGTGGATGTCCAGTGTTCCCAGCACTATTTATTGAAAATACTATCCTTTCCCCATTGAATGATCTTGGTATCCCTTTAAAAAATCAATTAAAACCAGATGTGGTAGCTCACAGCTGTAATCCCAGCATTTTGGGAGGCTGAGAGGGAGGATTGCTTGAGCCTGGGAGGTTGAAGCTGCAGTGAGCCATGTTGCACTCTAGACTAAGCAGCTATGCAAGACCCTGTATCCTCCCAAAAATTAACTGATCAGAGATGTGACTGTTTATTTTTGGACTCTCTGTTCTATTCTATTGATCTGTATGCCTGCCCTCATGCCAGTAACATAGTGTTTTAATTATTGTAGCTTTGTAGTAAGTTTAGAAGTCGAGAATTGTGAGGCCCCCATCTTTGGTCTTTTTCAAGATATTTTTTGGTTATTCAGGCCCCCTTGAAATTTGATGTGAATTTGAGGATAAGCTTTTCCACTTCTGCAAAAAATATTCTTGAGATTTTCATAGAGATTTAAGTGAATCTGTATATCACTTTGGATAGTACTAGTGTCTTACAAATGTCAAGTCTTCCTATTCATGAACACGCATGTCTATTTCTGTAATGGAATTTAAAGACTTAAAAATAAAATCTTCATTTTTTTCAGCATTATTTTGTAGTTTTCATTGAATAAGACTTTCGCTTTCTTGATTAGATTTATTCCTAAGTATTTTAATTTTTAAGATGCTACTGTAAATAGACATGCTTTCCAATTTTCTTTTTGGATTATTCATTGCTGCTGTATAGAAACATGATTGATTTTTCTATGTTCATATTGTTCCCTGTAACTATATTGAATTTATTAGCTTGCGGTAGCTTTTTTATATGTGGATTCTTCGGGATTTTCTATATATTTAATTATGTCATCTGTGAATAGACATTGTTTTACTTTTTCCTTTCCAATTTGGATACTTTCGTATCTTTTTCTTGTGTAATAGTTCTGTCTAGAACTTTCAACACTATTTTGAATAGCAGTGGTAAAAGCAGGCATCCTTGTTTTGTTTCTGATTGTAGAGATAATTCTTTCAGTCTTTCACCATTTAGGATGATGTTAACTGTGGGTTTTTCATGATACTCTTCATCATGTTGAGAATTTGGATATTTAGATTCATGTTTTTCTTTAAATTTTGGAAGTTTTCAGCCATTATTTTTTCCAATATTCATATTTCCTCTTTCTTATTTTAGGATTCCCACAATGCATATGTTCATCCACTAAGTGGTGTCCCACAAATCTCTTAAGTTCTTCATACTCTGCCATCTTCCCTGCCATTATCCTCCAAACCAGACTTCTCAAATGTGGGCACCTATTCTCTCTCTTTTTTCCTTTTATATATATATATATACACACACATATATAATATATGTATATATATTACATATATAATATATGTATATATATTACATATATACATATGTAATATATTGTAATATATATGTAATATACATATGTAATATATACATAATATACATATGTAATATAATATATGTATATATATTACATATATACATATACATACACACATATACATATATATTTATTATTTTTAGAATATGAAAGTTATATATTTTTATTAAAAAAATATTAAAACCTGAATGTGGGAAGGAAGTTCATTTACCCCCAAATGAGCAGTTTGTGAATATTTATATATATAATTTTTTGCATGTCCTATTTTAAAACAAAAGTGGAATAACACTACATGCATTTTTAAGTTACTGTCCTTTTTTACCCAATTTTAAGCACATGTTGTACAGCATTGCAAATTAAGCCAATTTTTTCTATGGAGTGATACTAATATGACTGGCTACTACAATTTTTTTCTTTTTAATTGTACAATTCACTGGTTTATAGTATATTTACAGAGTCATGCAACCATCACCACAATTGTTTTAGTCTGTTTTATGCTGATATAACAGAATACGATAGAATGCATAATTTCTAAGGAACAGAAATTTATTTCTCACATTCTGGAGGCTGGGAAGTCCAAGATCAAGAGAGCTGCATATGGTGAGGTCTTTCTTGCTGCACCCTCACACAGTAAAAGGTGAAAGGGCAAGAGAGAATGAAACTAGTCTCGCAGAAACTTTTTTTTAGTGGCATTGATTTATTCATGATGCCTCTCATTAGGCCTCACCTCCCAACATTGCTGCATTGGGGATTAAGTTTCCAACATATGAATTTTGGAGGGACACATAATCAATTTTAGAACATTGTCTTCACCTCCCCCATAAAACCCATATCCATAAACATTTACTCCCCTTTTTCCTCCAACCTCTACAGCCCTAGTCAAACACTAATATACTTTCCTTCTCTATAGAATATACTTTCCTTCTTTATAGGCATTGTAAATAAATTTAATCATATAATACATAGTCTTTTGTGACTCATTTCTTTCATATATAATAATTGTTTAAATCTCATTCATGTTATAATATGTATCAGTACTCCATTCCTTTTTGTGGCTGAATAATATTCCATTCTAACTATATACCTTTGTTTATCCATTCATCAGTTGATGGACATTTGGATTGTGTCTACCTTTTGCTATCATGAATAATGCTGCTGTGAATATTTGTATACAAGTTTTTATGTGGACATATGTTTTCATTCCCTTCCATACTTAGGAGTAGAATTGCTGGTGTATGTGCTCACTTAATATTTAACATTTTCAGAAACTTCTAAACTGCTTTACAAAGTAACCGTGCCATTTTATATATTCAACTGCCATATATAAGAGTCCTAATTTCCCTCACATTTTTGTCAACTGTTGTTATCTGCCTTTTTTATTATAACCATTTCTAGTAGATGTGAAGTGGTTTTGATTTATATTTCCCTAATGACTACTGATGATGAGCATCTTTTCATGTGCTTATTTGTGACTTGTGTATATTCTTTGGAGAAATACTTATTCAATACTTTGTCTATTTTCTTTCTTTTTTGTTTTTTTGAGACAGAATCTTGCTCTGTTGCCCAGGCTGGAGTGCAGAGAACCACTGCTATAGAAGGTTACTTGTAGAAGTGAGAAGAAGACTTAAATACTTGGTTTTCTGGCAAGTTCCTTAGCTGCTTACCAATATTGTTCCTGTAGGGCAGGCCTGAAAGAGTGTTTTGTTTGTTTTTGTTTTTTTTTTGAGACAGAGTCTCACTCTGTCGCCCAAGCTGAAGTGCAGTGGCGTGATGTCGGCTCACTGTAAGCTCCGCCTCCCAGGTTCACACCATTCTCCTGCCTCAGCTTCTGGAGTAGCTGGGACTACGGGCTGCCGCCATTACGCCCGGCTAATTTTTTGTGTTTTTGTTTTTGTTTTTTTTTTTTTTTTTTTTTTTTTTTGAGACGGAGTCTCGCTCTGTCGCCCAGGCTGGAGTGCAGTGGCGGGATCTCGGCTCACTGCAAGCTCCGCCTCCCGGGTTCACGCCATTCTCCTGCCTCAGCCTCCCAAGTAGCTGGGACTACAGGCGCCCGCCACTACGCCCGGCTAATTTTTTGTATTTTTAGTAGAGACGGGGTTTCACTGTGTTAGCCGGGATGGTCTCGATCTCCTGACCTCGTGATCCGCCCGCCTCGGCCTCCCAAAGTGCTGGGATTACAGGCATGAGCCACTGCGCCGGACTACTTTGTTTATTTTCACATTGGGTTGTTAATCTTTTATTATTGTGTTATAAGAATTCTTTGTATATTCTAGATACAAGTCCCTTATCAGGCATATAATCTACAAATATTTTCTTCCATTTTTTGTCTTTTCTCTTTTTTGATAATGCTCTTTGATGCACAGTGGTTTTAAATTCTAATTAAGTAATATTTGTCTATATTTTCTTTGGTTGCTTGTGTTTTGAGTGTTATATATAAGGAACCGTTTCCTAATTCAAAGTACTGGAGATTTACTCCTATGTTTTTACTAAGACTTTTTATAGTTTCAGCTGTTATATTTAGGTTTATGGTCCATTTTAAGTTTTTATATGCAGCGTGAGATAGCAGTCCAACTTCACTTTTTTGCACATGCATATCTAGTCTTTCCACCACTGTTCGTTGAAAACTCTGTTGTTTTCCTCATTGATTTGTCGTAGCACCCTTGTTGCAAATCCATTTACCATGAATATAATGTTTTATTTCTGGACTCTCAATTCTGTTCTATTGATTTATATATGCCTATCTTTATGTTAATGTAACATTGTCTTTATTTAGCTTTTAAAAAATTTTTCATCCATTTTATTCCACTTTGCACACATAGTATTTTCAGAATAATAATGCTAACACTACCACCTACTATATAATTACTAAAAAGAGTTTAAGAGGTTTTTTTTTTTGAGACGGAGTTTCACTCTTGTTGCCCAGGATGGAGTGCAATCTCCAGGTGCGATCTCAGCTCACTGCAACCTCCGCCTCCCAGGTTCAATGGATCCTGCCTCAGCCTCCCGTGTAGCTGGGGTTATAGGCATGTGCCACCACGCCCAGCTAATTTTGTATTTTTTAGTAGAGACAAGTTTCACCATGTAGACCAGGCTAGTCTCCAAGTCCTGACCTCAGGTGATTTGCCCGCCTTGGCCTCTCAAAGTGCTGGGATTACAGGCATGAGCCACATTGAGAAGAAGAGAGTATCATACAAAGATGTGATGTTGGAATAAGAGTAAGGGAAATGCAAGGCAAGTGACTTGATTCATTGGCTTTAAATACGGATAAACGAGATGATGTACCAAAGAATGTGGGCAGACTTTAGAGCTAGAGAAGGCAAAGAGACAGATTTTTCCCTTAGGGCCTCAATACCACCCTGCTGATACATTGATTTTAGTTCAATGATACCCATGTCAGACTTCTGACTTACAGACCTGTAAGATAATTTTGGGGGATTTTTTGTTTTTGTTTTTATTTCAGTACTTTCTGGGGTAATTGGTGGTTTTTAGTTACATGGATAAGTTCTTTACTGATGATTTCTGAGATTTTGGTGCACTCATTACTTGAACAGTGTACACTTGAACAGTCTACCCAGTGCATAGTCTTTTATCCCTGAGTATCTCCCCACCATTCCTCCTGAGTCCCCAAAGTTTATTACCTCATTCTTACGCCATTGCATCTTCATAGCTTAGATCCCACTTATAAGTGAGAACATACAATATTTGGTTTTTTATTCCTGAGTTATTTCACTTGAAATAATGGTCTCCAACTCCATCCAAGTTGCTGCAAATGCAATTATTTCATTTTTTTTTTTACAGCTGAGTAGTACTCCATAGTGTATATTTTTCTTTTCTTCTTCTTCTTCTCTTTTTTTTTTGAGATGGAGTCTCACTCTGTCGCCCAAGGCTGGAGTGCAGTGGCGCGATCTCAGCTCACTGCAACCTCTGCCTCCTGGGTTCACGCCATTCTCCTGCCTCAGCCTCCCGAGTAGCTGGGACTACAGGCACCCGCCACCATGCCCGGGTAATTTTTTTTGTATTTTTTTTAGTAGAGACAGGGTTTCACTGTGTTAGCCGGGATGGTCTCGATCTCCTAACCTCATGATCCACCCGCCTCGCTATACCACATTTTCTTTATCCACTCGTTGGTTGATGGGGCATTTCAGTTGGTTTCGTATTTTTGCAATTGTGAATTGTGCTACTATAAACATGTGTGTGCAAGTGTCATTTTCATATAATGACTTTTCTCCCTTTGGGCAGATAACCAGTAGTGGAATTGCAGGATTGAATGGTAGATCTACTTTTAGTTCTTCAAGGTATCTCCACACTGTTTTCCACAGTGGTTGCACTAGTTTACATTCCCACCAATAGGGTAACAGTGTTCCCTTTTCACCATATCCGTGCCAACATCTATTATTTTTTTATTTTTTGGTTATGGCCATTCTTGCAGTAGTGAGGTGGTATCTCATTGTAGTTTTAATTTGCATTTCCCTGATAGTGATGTTGAGAATTTTTTCGTGTTTGTTGGCCAATTGTATATCTCTTTTTGATAATTTTCTTTTCATGTCCTTAGCCCATTTTTTGATGGGATCATTTTTTTTTCTTGCTGATTTGTTTGAATTCCTTGTAGATTCTGGATAATAGTCCTTTGTGAAATGCATAGTTTGTGAAGATTTTCTCCCACTCTGTGGGTTGTCTGCTTACTCTGCTGATGATTTCTTTTGCTGCACAGAGATTTTTACTTTAATTTAGCCACATATATTTATTTTTGTTTTTGTTGCATTTGCTTTTGGGTTCTTGGTCACTAATTCTTTGCCTAATCCAATATCTAGAAGAGTTTTTCTGATTTTGTCTTCTAGAATTTTTATGATTTCAGTTCTTAGATACAAGTCTTTGATCCCTCTCGAGTTGATTTTTATATAAGGTAAGAGATGAGGATCCAGTTTCATTCTTCTACATGAGGCTTGCTAATTTGTTGAATAGGGTGTCCTTTCCCCACTTTATCTTTTTGTTTGCTTTGTCAAAGATCAGTTGTCTGTAAGTATTTGGCTTCATTTCTGGGTTCTCTATTCTGTTCCATTTGTCTATGTGCCTATTTTTATACCAGTGCCATGCTCTTTTGGTAACTATAGCCTTGTAATATAGTTTGAAGTCAGTTAATGTGATGCCTCCAGATTTGTTCTTTTTGCTTATTATTGCTTTGGCTATGTGGGGTCTTTTTTGGTTCTATATGAATTTTAGAATTGTTTTTTTTCTAGTTATACAAAGAGTGGTTATGGTATTTTGATGGGAATTGCATTGAATTTGTAGATTGCTCTTAAGATTCTTTACTTTGTCTTGACTTTATATAACCTGATGATTATGTGCCTAGGTGATGATCCTTTTGTGATGTATTTCCCAGGAGTTCTTTGAGCTTCTTGTATTTGGATGTCTAGATCTCTAGCAAGGCCAGGTAACTTTTCCTCAATTATTCCCTCAAATAAGTTTTCTAAACTTTTAGATTTATCTTCTTTCTCAGGAATACCAATTATTTTTAGGTTTGGTTGTTTAACATAATCCCAAATTTCTTGGAGACTTTGTTCATTTTTTTGTTTGTTTTTTTTTTGTCTCATTAGGTTAATTTGAAAGTTTTTTCTTCAAGCTCTGAAGTTCTTTCTTCTAATTTTTCTAGGCTATTGTTGAAACTTTTCCCGGCATTGTGTATTTTTCTAAATGTGTCTTTTATTTCCCAAAATTGTAATTTTTTAAAATGTTATCTATTTCTTTGGAAATTTTTTATCATATCCTGTTTTTTTTTCTTAGCTTTTTTTAAGTTGGTTTAACCTTTCTCTGATATCTCCTTGAGTAGCTTAATAATTAACTTTCAAAATTCTTTATCTGACAATTTAGAGATTTCTTCTTTGTTTGGATCCATTGCTGGTGGGCTAGTGTGATCTTTTTGGTGTCTTACAGAACTCTGTTTTGTCATGTTATCAGAATTTCTTTCCTGGTTTCTTCTTATTTGAGTAGACTATTTCTTCAAATTGTTATTTATTTTTGATTGGAGTGTTTTTTTCTAATTTAAATGTTTTCCCCTCTTAAGTATCAGACTTTAATATTTTTTTCAGCCGAATTTGATTCTTGGTGCTTGAAGGGGTGAAGATTCTTGTTGTGTTCCTTAGTTATACAGTGTCTTTGTGCACTGGATTTCCCTGATGCTGCTTGTAGTAGTTACATTCTT
Source organism: Homo sapiens (assembly GCF_000001405.40). NCBI lineage: Eukaryota > Metazoa > Chordata > Mammalia > Primates > Hominidae > Homo > Homo sapiens. The sequence goes on from NC_000023.11 coordinate 121,178,603, forward strand.
GGTGTGTGGCTGAGTTCACCGTCTCCTATGGAGCTGATTGGCAGGGATAGCTTGAAGGTTTTCTCATTCTTTCATGATGTACATTTTATTTATTTAGTTAGTTATTTTCCAGTGTTTTATTTACTAAGTTGATGATTCGGGCTTCAGGCTTATACGGGCAGTATCCCTGTGTAGGCACCAGTTGTGTCTAAGGCAGGTGGGTAGATATAATACCCACTGGTGGGTCGAGGTCCCAGCCTTGATGAGGGTGGCTGAGGAGCTTTCAGTTAGATGTGCTGAAGTTTTATCAGGGTGAAGAATGGGAGCTACCTCAGCTCCACTGCCAAGTCACAGGAAAAGCTATTCACTTCATAGCCTCACTCTTGTCCTAGTGTTTCAGCGATTCAAATCAGACAGACACCTCTTTTTAGCTACAGGAATGTTGATGTTTCAAATAGGGAGGAATTGTGACTCTGCCTCTCATGTAGGCGTGAATCTGGGGGATGCTGCCTCTGTGGGGCTGCACTTACCCTGGACTGTTCCAGAAAGGCTGTCTATAGGTACCTTCATGCTGCATTTTTGTGGAGGAAGCCCCAGTTGTGTCTGCAGTGGAATGCCAGGGGGAACAAGGGCCCCTTCTCCAAGGCCCTTCATAATCATAGAGGCTGCTTTACTGTTGGAGAATAGGTACAGACTTTTCTTACTGCACCCAACACCGCAATTGTGTCTCTACTATGAGAAACTACCCACCAGTAGAAATATCTGGAATTTAAGGCCTGCTGTTCAGATTTTTTTTTTTTTTTGAGACAGAGTCTTGCTCTGTTGCTGAGGCTGAAGTGTAGTGGCATGATCTCAGCTCACTGCAAGCTCCGCCTCCTGGGTTCAAGTGATTCTTCTGTCTCAGCCTCCTGAGTAGCTGGGACTTCAGGCCTGTATCACCATGTCCAGCTATTTTTTTTTTTTTTTGTATTTTTAGTAGAGACGGGGTTTCACCATGTTAGCCAGGCTGGTCTTGATCTCCTGACCTCGTGATCTGCCCACCTCAGCCTCCCAAAGTGCTGGGATTACAGGCATGAGCCCCCGCGCCTGGCTGTTCAGATTATTTTGTACTATGGGGTGATCCCTTGATGTGGTGCTGTCCTCCTTACCCTAGGCATGGGGCTTCCTGAGATCTGGACTGCAGTGATTGTTATTGCTTTTCTGGATCTAGCCATCCAGTGGGGCTACCAGGCTCCAGACTGGTGCTGGGGAATATCTGCAAAGAGTCCAGTGATGTTATCAGTCTTCAGGTCTCCCAGTTGTGGATACCAGCACCTGCTCTGGTGGAGGTAGCAGGGGAGTGATGTAGACTCTTTGAGAATCTTTGGTTGTAGATAGGTTTAGTGTGCTTGCTTTCTCAAATGCTGGTTATGCTAGCAGTGAAGTTGTCACATGGACAGACTTGGGACCTCTGATTAGCCAGGATGTTGCAGGCAGTGGTATTAGCTGTTGTTTTCTTCTTCCTGGGAGTAGTGTTATTCTGTCATGAGTTGCTGTAATGGCCTGAGTTAGTTGGCCTCCAGCCAGGAGGTGGCACTTTCAAGAGAGCACCAGCTGTGGTAATAGCAGTGGGATTTGAGCTTGCCTTAAGTTGGCCAGGGGAAGAATTCAGGTTTCTCAGCTGATGGGCAGGGCCATAAATCTCCCAGGGGTTTATGTCTTTTGTGTTCGGCTACCAGGGTGGCTAGAGAAATACCATTAGGTGGGGTCATGGTTAGAGGAGTCTGAGCTCAGACTCTCCTTGGGTAGGGCTTGTCATGGCCACTGTAGGGAGTGTTTAGGGGTGGTTCTCAAGCCAATAGGGTTATGTTTTAGAGGGGAGTATGGCTGCCTCTGCTGAGCAGTATGGTTCACTGTGGAAGTGAGGGATAGCTGATATCGAAAGGTCTCACCCAGCTCCCACACAGTTGGTGAGGCCAGTCTCACTCCTGCAGTGCCCCACTAACAGCACCGAGTTTAGAACCATGCAGCCTATGCATGAAACTCAGACCTGCCCCAGGCCATAAACTTCTCCACTGAGAAAGCAAGTACAGATTTCAGGCCTACTTGTCTGCTTGCAATGCTGGCAGCTCCTGCACTTGTATCTGCAGCTCCTGCACTGTATCTTCCCCTTAACCCCCAGGGTTCTGCTCAAGGGAGTTCATGCCCACTTGAAATTATCACAAAATTCAGTTGGAAGTTTCTTTCACCTGTGACTCTTCCCTAATTTTGCTTGCTGCTTTCCCTGAGGGCCCCTGAGAGATATGGTCAGGAATGGTTTCTCTGGGTTCGCGCTGGAGTCTGGGAGTGCCTACAAGGCTCTTCCCACTGTGGTCTGTACTTTTATATTTCACATGGCTCCCTAAATCTGTTCCAGCTATAGGTAAGATTAAATACTTCTCTCATGATCTGGATTTTCAGATTCCCTAGTGGAGGTGTGTATTTGGAGGCAGGTTTTACCCCTCTCATACTTTGGGAACTCACAGCTTTTCACCTGTCTTGTGGAGTTTGCGGCAACATGCTGTTTCTTTCAAAGAATCTCTGAATTCTTTTGTTTTTTTTTTTGGTACATTCCTGTGAGGTTTCTTGAAACAAAATTCTAGTGTCGCTTTATAGTATGGTTGTTTGGTTGTTTTTCTGGGGAGAAGATCCATGGAGCTTCTCATAGTGCCATTCTTGTCACCCAATTTCTTAACTGTACACTCTGCTGCCTTTTGAGGTGGGGGGAGAATAGAAATTTTTAATTTTTTTTCTTAATGAGAATTTGAAGGTGGAATAACTTTGATGTGTTCAGGATTTTGGAGAAAAACTGTGGAAATTCTGATTGTAATAGAAATATTAAAAGGATTATTCATCTTAAAATTGCTTTTCTGTAAATGTTTTTCTATGCTCAGTCTTAAGCTATAAAATTTTAACACACAAAGCACTTAATTTGTCTTAACTGAATTAGTTGGATGTTCACTGTATCAGGATTGGGATTTGTTACAAGACAGAATACCCAAGGTAATAGTGATTTAAACATGACAAAATTTACTTTCTCATGTAAGTGAAATGAGATGATAAGCATTCTAGGTCTGGTATAGCAGCTCTACCATTATCCAGGAAATATTCTCCTGTGTTGTACCTCTGCTGTTTTCAACAATTCACTTCTGCTTCATAGTTGAAAAGAGCTGTTCCACTCTAGCCATCACAAATAATTTTTAAAAATATTTGATCAGCTTTATTAGGATAACATTTACATAGAATAAGATTCACCAATTTTAAATGTACAGTTCTGTGAATTTTGGCAAGTGTATAAAGTTGCATAACAAATAATTTGTATCCAGCTGGAAGAAGGAAGTGGTGGGAGGACACTTTTATTCTCATCCTGTTGGACAGAACTTAGTCATGAGTCCATACCTAGCTGCAAAAGATTCTGGAAAATATAGTCTTTCCTTAAGATGGCCATGTCTCCAGCTAAAAACCAAAGGTTCTATTTCTAAGAAGAAAGTGGAGAAAGGATACTGAGGAAGAAGTAACCTCAACCACAGTCAGTAATAAATTATTTGAATTGCTGGCTTTTTTTCCCTGAATTCACTCTCATCAGCCTATTAAGACAAAACACCCATTTTCTTTTTTTTTTAACTTTTATTTTAAGTTCAAGGATACATGTACAGGATGTGCAGGTTTGTTACATAGGTAAATGTGTGCCATGGTAGTTTGCTGCACAGATCACTCCATTACCCAGATATTAATCCCAGCATCTACCAGCTATTTTTCCTGATCCTCTCTTTCCTCCCACCCGCTGCCCTCTGACAGGCCCTAGTGTGTGTTCCCCCCTCCATGTGTCCATGTATTCTCATCATTTAGCTTCCACTTATAAGTGAGAACATGCAGTATTTGGTTTTCTGTTCCTGCATTAGTTTGCTAAGGAGAATGGCCCCCAGTTCCATCCATGTCCCTGCAGAGGACATGACTTCCTTCCTTTTTAGAGCTGCATAGTATTCCAGGAAAACACCCATTTTCTGTGGAATGTAAAAATCCGTTTCCCCCACCTTTAGACAGAACACAAATTTGGTATAGAGATTCTTTATACCATTTTATGAAAAATATTATAGTTAATGATTTTGATTTTTAAAGGGTGTGGACATTCATAAATATACCAGAGAGTGTTGGTGGATTAACCAGCAGCTAGCATATACTTATTTAGCACCAAGTAATTGCCTGGTTCCACAATAAGTGCACATATATGTTAGAGGAATGAGATTAATATGAATGAAATGACTGCAGAAAAATAAAAATTATATTTCCTTGGCATTTACCATGTATTACCTCATTTTATAGCTATCTGTATATCCTATATCTTGTCTTTGAACTCTGACTGTTAAGGTCTCACATGATTCATCATCTTGAGCTCCTCAGCACCCAGCATAGTGTTTCATACATAGAAGGTGCTTAGTATGTGTTCAAATGGAGGGACAAACCAATGAACTATAATTTACTATGTCAATTCAAAATTTGGGAATCCTCTCTAAGGTCTCCCTTTCTTACCCCTTATATCCATATCCATTTCATCAATAAGCCTGGTTGCTTTAGCTCTAAAATATATCCAGAATCTATTTTTCATCACCCCTATTCTCACCACTCTAGTCTAAGCCATCGTTATCCCTAACCTGTGTAGGGGTTCAGTCAGGCTGGTGAAGAAAATTTTAGTTACAGTAACAATAGCCACAAACCCTCTTGGAAGGCCTGAGAGTTTGCATAACTTCGGTAATAGATCTGACTGAAGGCAGCCTACTCCCTTTTCCTTTAGTTAAATAAATTAAAGTAGATACAAGGGAATGTGGGGGAGTTTCTCTAACTAGCTTGTTTACTCATGTGGTCCTAAGACTAACTTTTGATCTACCGGTTGCTTAATTGCTTTCTACTCAGGAGGTTCACAATGTCAATTACCCTCCAGTGGTGTTGACTCAAGCCTTTGTCAATTAATCTTTACTGAATAAATGTGAGTCTCGCTGGTTGGTTGCCCCTCAACTGTTTACAACACTCTGCTGGGAGTCTGTAAGTGGTCTGGATGCTCAGCTGGACTGGCAAAGCAGAATATCTGTGTCAGTGCATGTTATTCATCCGTCATTGGGTCAGGGTCTGTGGGACAGACCCCCACAAACCTAGACTTCTGCAATAGCTTTCTAATTAATTTTCCCAATTCCATTCTTCTTTATAATCTTATCATAGTAGCTAGATTTGGCTTTTAAATGTATGCATCAGATAATTTCACTGCCCTGCTTGAAATACTCTAACTTCCCAGTTTACTTAGAATGAAATCCAAACTCCTCACCGTATTTGACCCCAGGCCATCTCTCCAACTTCATCTCTTACTACTTTTCCCTTACTTATACTGCAGGCACACTAACTGTCTTTCCATTTTGACACCATGACTAATTCATGTATACATTAAGGCCTTTGTACCTCTGGTTCCCTCTGCCTGCAAGGCTATTACTGCAGATGTTTGTGTGTCAGACTGGTTCAAATGTTACTTTCTTACTGAGGCCATCATCACACAATCTAAATTAGCCAACCTGACTGAATCTCTGTCACATCACCCTACATTTTTTTCTTAATATTTATCACTATTTAATATATTGTTGTTTACTCATTTGCTTTGTTCATTCATTCATTATCTGTGTCCCTTCACTAAAACATAAGCTCCATGAGAGCAAGAACTTTATCTTTCTCAATGATGCATCCCTGATACTGAGAAAAAGTGCCCAGTACACAGGAGGCCCTCAATGAATATTAATTGAATCAATGAATGTTTAATGAACTAGAATGTATTGGACGTTTCTTATGTCATTGCCTATGTATTAGGCCATTCTTGCATTGCTGTGAAGTTGTACATGAAACTGGGTAATTTATAAGAAAAGAGGTTTGGTTGGCTTACAGTTCTGTAGGCTGTACCAGAAGCACAGCATCATCTGCTTGCAATCATGGGGGAAGACAAAGAGGGAGCAGGTGCATCACTTGGTGAGAAGGGGAACAAGAGATAGAGTGTGTGTTGGGAAGTGCCACATACTTTTAAATGACCAGATCTCATGAGAACTCAGAGCAAGAGCTCACTTATCACCAAGGGGATGGCCCAAGCCATTCACAAGGAGTCCACCCCCATGATCCAAATACCTCCCACCAGGCCCCACCTCCAACACTGGGGATTACAATTTAACATGAGATTTGGGTGGGATATCTAAACCATGTCAACCTATGTTGTCATAAACCCAAGGATTGAGTTTCCAAGGAAACAGACTCTGAGATGGCATTTAAACTATTAGGAGTACTCTTACATTCAAAACCTATGGGAGAGAGAGGAAAGAAGCAAAAATGGGCTGAGGGAGAAGGTGAGCTGTAGGCCCAACAATAACTTTGGCTAACCCCACAGGGAGATCTGGAGATGTAAATGTCCTTCGTAGCTTTCCCAAGTTGGGCTAGAGTGACTAGGCTCTTAAATCACCTCATGTGTCAGTCATTGGATATGGGCTGCCCCAGGAAGGATCATGACTTTGAACAAGGTGACTCTCTGCATTTGAGGTAATCTCTGAAGGAGCTAATAGCTGAAGGATGTCTGCCAAAGTTTCTCCAGCAACTGGAACAGGTACTTCATTGGAGGGGGATCTGAGCAGTGCATCACAATGTGTATTGCAGTCTACCCCTTGTACCACCAATACCTAATTATTCAAACATGTTTTGGTGCAGGTCCTCCAGGATTCTGTGGACATCTCTTCCTGTGGAAAGCTTAGAGAAGGAACATTAGTGGGGTAAGAATTACCACTCTCACAGCTGCAGGTGGTTTTAGGGATGCAACTGATGTTTATCATCTCCCTCCTCCACTATTAATTCTAGATTTCCCTCAACTTCAGCTAGCACTTGTGCTGGTCTTGGTTGCTTACATTGTGAGTCACACTTTCAATCCTGAGGGGATAACTTGGTGGTGTCTCAATGTGTTCACCATTAGTATATTCCATCTGAGCACTGTAGACCTTTTTAAATTGTGATACAGTGCCTCAGTGGTTAGCTCAAGGCATGCTTGCCCTTTATTGGGCAGAGGAAAACCATTTCAAAGTGTTTTCTTTACAATATGGCAGCAGGTACAGCCTTGGAATTGAAAAGCTAAATGTGTCATTGAAACAAATTGAAAGTTGATGAATTTTTTATATAAATGTTTTCAGGTGCTGTAAGAAAACTGCCCATGGCTCCTTTCCCAGCATAATAAGGTAAGAAGAAAATATTCAAACTCCCAACTAGCATGGTCAAAAATATGCAAAGCCTATTTAAGGCTTCATTTAAACTCTGAACTTAAGGTAAGTGGAATGCCTCAAAAAGACTATCAATCTCATGTTTCTAAATTGTTAAAATTTTACTATGTCTGGATTCTAATTACTTTTTGCTATTTGAAAATTATTTCTCTTTTCCTAGCAGAAATATGCCCCATCTGTATTTGAAAATTAACTTGTGTATTCTTTGTTGATTTATAGAGAGCTTTTTCACTTGATTTCTGGGTGCCAGCATCATCAGAAACTTTATCTCAGCAATGGGAAAAACTAAGGTGCTTAATCAGCGAGTTTTCCTGTTAGAACCCCAAAGGAACAGTGGGCCCAATAACAGACTCAGAGTCACCTTAAGGCAGATTGTATCATAGCATATATTACATGCACTTTCTTTGTGCAAGACACACTTTTTCAGTGTCGCCAATGAAGTCTTCCAATGAAGACTTGATTGCATTGTGTCCCCCTTCCCAACCCACCCTACCTCACCACAGCTCACTAGACACCACATGCCTGAATTTCAAAGTCCCTTGTTGATACTATTTTTTCTTCCTTTCCTGTACTCATTCATTTTTTTTTTTTGAGGCAGAGTCTTGCTCTGTCGCCTAGGCTGGAGTGCAGTGGCATGATCTTAGCTCACTGCAACCTCCGCCTCCTGGGATCAAGCAATTTTCTGCCTCAGCCTCCTGAGTAGCTGGGATTACAAGTGCCCACTACCACGCCCAGCTAATTTTTTGTATTTTTAATAGAGACAGCTAATTTTTTGTATTTTTACCATCTTGGCCAGGCTGGTCTTGAACTCCTGACCTCGTGATCCACCCGCCTCGGCCTCCCAAAGTGCTGGGATTACAGGCGTGAGCCACCATGCTCGGCCTCATCTCCTCTTAATAAATAATAGTAATAGTACCTATAAATATTGAATGCTTACTGTGTGCTAGGCACTTTGCCAAGTGCTTTACATGTATTGAATCATTCAATTCTCCCAGCAACTTTGGGGTAGGTGGCAGTGTTATCCCCGTTTCACAAATGGGTCAACTATGGCATAAAAAGGTTATATAACTTACCTAAGGTTATTTATTCATTCACCAAATATGCATTGAACACTTCCTAATTTCCAGAAACAATCCTAGGTGTTGGGGATATAGCAGTGAACAAAGCAGATGACAGTGCCCTCATGCCCTCATTTAGGTTATGTTCTGGAGTGGGAGCTAGACAATAAACAGAAAAGTAAATTTATTTGAACGAAAATAATTGAGAGAAAGCATATTGAAGGCTGGGATTGAAGGCATAGATATTGTATTAAATAGCACCAGGATAGGCCTTACTGATAGTTATAATTGAGTAAAACCTGAAGGAATGGAGAGGAAAAGCTTTGTAGATACACGGGCAAGAGTTTTCCAGGTTTAGGAAACAAAAAGTATAAAGATGCTGAGGTGGAATCATGCTCAACATACTTAAGGAAGAGCAAGGAGCTACCATAAAGTGGGATGAGCCAGTAGGAGATGAGATCAGAGGGGTAACAATGGGGGAAGGGAAGGCTCTTTGCAAGCCATTTCAGGATTTTAGCTTTTACTATGAGTAAGAGAGGAAGTCATTGGAGGGTTTAGAGCTGAGGAAGGACATGATCTGACTTATGTTTTAATAGGATCTCTAGCTGCTCTGTTGGGAACAGACTATGGAAGGCCATGACAAAAGCAGGAAGGCGAGTTAGGAAGCTGTTATAATAATCCATGTAAGAGATGATGGTGGCTTTTACCAGAGTGGTAGTGGTAAAGTTGTTGAGAAGTGGTAGAATTTTGAAAATATTTTGAAGATAGGGGCATCAGGATTTGTTAACCAAATGGATGTTGGATATGAAAGAAAGATAGGAGTCAAAGGTGGTACCAAAGTTTTTGGCCTGAGCAATCAGAACAGGGTTTCCAGCAAGTGACGTGGGGGAGATGATTAGAGAAACAGGTCTGAGAGGAAAGGGCTGGAGTTTGGTTTGGGACGTATTAGGTTTTAGGGGCCTGTTAGCCAAATGGGAAATGTTAAGGGAGCAGTTCCATATACATATCTGGAGTTCAGGGGAGGTGCACTGGCTGGAATTATAAATTTCGGAGACATCAGTGATTGGATATTTAAAGTCATGAGATTCAATGAGATCAGCAAGAGTGTGTTTTGGAGCAGAGAAGAAATTTCAGAATGGAGCCCAGGGCCCACTCAAGCATGTAGAAGTTGGGAAGAGTCAAAATGGGAAAGTAAGAGAGAGAAGTCCATGAGATAGGAGTAAATCCAGGAAAGTGTATTGACCTGGAGTCTAGGTGAAGAAAAGAATGTATTTCAAGTTGGAGGAAGAAAATGGTAAATACTGCTGATAGTCAAATAAAATGAGAACTGACAATTTCCAAGGCAGTTTTGTGAAATGGTTCTGCAAAAAACTTGACTGGAGAAGACTTAAGAGAATTCACACAAGAAAGAAGTGGTATGGACTCAGTGGTATATGTCACTTGCCCCCAAATAAGATAAGAATCATTGTCTTAAAGTTTTATTAATGGTAGAAATTTCAGGCACCACAAAAGCCAGTGTTGGAATGTTCCCAGGATTTCACAAGATATACCATATAGCCTCTGAAAAACAATGTGGAAATGTTTAGAAAGTTGAGCATGGTGACAAATTATAGTTTTTTCCAATAGCATTTTAAAATCAACCTTTGCTTTTTTTGATTGCTCCCTTAGCTGGTTGTGTGTGTGTGCATGTGTGTGTGTGTTTGTTAGAGAAGGAGAGAGGGAGAGCAAGAGAGAGGGAGGGGGAGAATTGGAGAGAGAGAGAAGAGGAGGAGGAGAGAGAGAAAATGGCTCAGTCCTTCAGGCTTAGGTAAGGCACATAATCTAATTGGGGACAGTTGAGTTTTGTCCATAGGTCACATTATCCTTTCTGCTATGCTAACTGCTTTCTTTCATGTAATTTCCTTTGTGTATGTTGGGTCTTCCAAAGTAGTTTAAAAACAACTCTAGGTTAAGGGCCAAGACTTTTACTTTTTTATGTAGGAAGTGCTTAGTAAATGCCTCTTTTTCAGCTAAAGGATGACTTGCCATTGAAAAGAGGTTGTACTCCCTCCAAACACATTTGGGGTATTATATTTTGTCATGGTTGTCGTAGATTATCTTTGTTTCACATTTGAATGTTAACAAAAATTTTGTGATGTTTATATGGTTACAGAACAAATAAAGGCGGAATTTCTGTTTTACAATCACATAACTGATTTATGTAATATTGTACTTCATTTGGTTTAATCTTTTGGATTGCTGCAAAGTCGTGTGTTTCTCTAGGTTCTTGGAGTGTTTCACTGTGATGTTTAGGTGTTGGGTAGGGGTGATTTGTGCTTCTGACCTTCCTGATGCTCTGCTACAGTCTCCAAACAAAATCTTAATCACTACATGTTTTTAATGTATCTAAATGCCACAGCCAGACTTTGATTCCCAGTTTATGTCAATGCATGTGGGTTATTCTGATACATATGCTCCAGCAAGTAATGGAATGTCATTCTCAGCAGATGCCAATTAGAAATTCCCAGGCCAACAAGGCTCTAAGGCATCCAGTCTTGCCTGATATAAAATTGTAATCAGTTAGATGGGCCAGCCGAGTTCAAGAGCTACAAAGTTAATTAGAAATGCCTTCTCAGTACCAGAAGGCCACTTCAAGAAAGGTAATGGAGAAACTCCTTCTGAGATGAACAGAGAGCAATCCACACTGCTTTTGAAGGTGGTGTTAGTTATATGACCCCTAGAGTCTCCAGAAGATAGTACTAACAAAAATATTACTAACAAAAATAGTACTTAGATAGTACTAAGAAAAAATATAACTTATTGTCTTGAAAATTATTGCTCACCAGAACTGGCTTCATCCATATCAGGAGTTTAGGGAACCCAGGAAAGGTAACCTCCTGCTTCCCAAACATCTCCCTGATGGTTCATTTGGTGCCCAAATTTCTGTCATTTTAGGCATGACTTGGGTGGTTGGAGTATTGCTGCTTTTGGGAATTTAGTTTACTGTGTAAATAGACCTGCAAAAAACACTTTACAATATTATCAGTCATTGGTGCCTTTGCATGGAAGACTTTGTTGTTTTTGCTGTTTTAATCAGAAATATATTTTGGAAAACAGGCATAGGAAATCAGAAGAAATGTGACATTCGATAGGGTCTTGTTCTGGAACAAGCAGAATGTGTCTTGTTGCATTTTTTTCAGGGAGCCCAGGTGTTCATATTTCTTGGCACTGGCAGCACAGGCAACACCAGCATAGGGTAGTAGAAACAGTATAAGACTGTGAGCTGAGAACTTGGATTTAAGTCCCATCTCTACCACTAATCAGTTTGATGACCTTAAGCAAACCCTTTCTTTTCCCTGAGATTCAGCATGCTTATTGAAAAATGAGGGAATTTGGACTAGATATTCTCAAATTTTAAGGTGCATAAGAACTATGCAAGAGTGTGTTAAAAATCCAGATTTTTTTGTCATCTTCCATTTCTTTATCCTTTGATTTAGTCAGTCTAGGTGAAGCCCAGGAATCTTTATATTAAGAAGCACCTCAAAGGATCCATACAGCTTAAGGATCATTCTTTGAGAAACTAGATTAGATGACTTCTAAAGCCTTTTCCAGGTCTAAAATTTCCTTCTTTAAGGTAGTTGTACTTCTGTTTTGAATGAGAAACAACCATTTTTGTACTTTTATTATTCCTGCTCTCTTCCTTTCTTTATTCCATCTTTTCCTTCTCATGCCACCTTCACTCCTTGCCCACTGTTTCATCTACAAAGTAACAGTTGGGTCCAGTGGGGCTGGGAACATTTCAGTCAACACTGACCCTGAAAGTACCGTGGGATGCCTGTAAGTATAGGGCAGGAGACAAGGACAGCTAAGGCCCAGTCCCTGGTCTTGGTTTGAGATATGTCGTATGCAGCTCCTAGTGATACATGACATGTGGGATGTGTGTTTTGATAGAGATAGAAACTGCAGGGTAGTCACAGAGGAGCACAGGAAAGAGATTAAGGGACTTTTGATGGGTAAATATGAAATGTCCCCTTTTTTTCCATCACTTCACTTGTGACCTATTGGATACTATTATCAATTGCAAGAGCTAAAAGAATGCAAGGAAAAATGCTGTTCAAATGAAACTTTAAGGTGGCTATTTAAAACCAATTGTAGATACAGTTGTTCTCAACCTGACTGCACATAGAATCCCCTGGGCAGTGTAAAAGAATAACAGTGCCTAAACTACACCACAGAATAATTAAATCCAAATCTCTGAGGGTGAGTGTGGGCATTGGCTTCTTCTAAAATATCCCAGGTGATTGCAAAGGACAGCCAAATTTGAGAACCACTGCTATAGAAGGTTACTTGTAGAAGTGAGAAGACTTAAATACTTGGTCTTCTGGCAAGTTCCTTAGCTGCTTACCAATATTGTCCCTGTAAAGCAGGTCTGAAAGAGTTTTTGTTGTTGTTGTTGTTGTTGTTGTTGTTGTTGCTTTTTGAGACGGAGTCTTGCTCTGTCGCCCAGGCTGGAGTGCAGTGGCTCAATCTTGGCTCACTGCAAGCTCCACCTCCCGGGTTCGGAGTAGCTGGGACTACAGGCGCCCGCCACTACGTCTGGCTAATTTTTATTTTTTTTATTTTTTATTTTTAGTAGAGACGGGGTTTCACCGTGTTAGCCAGGATGGTTTCGATCTCCTGACCTCGCAATCCGCCCGCATCGGCCTCCCAAAGTGCTGGGATTACAGGCATGAGCCACCGCACCCGGCATTTTTTTTTTTTAGTTCGGTTTTGTTTTCCCTTTCCCCAGTTGGCCCTTAGCACTCAACTATGAGTTTAAACTTTTCTTAAAAAGCATGTGCCTGTGATGTTAACCTTCCTCTATATATACAGACTCTTTTGTCAGTGTCTTCTCTTACTCTGGGCTCAGTTCTCTGCTTTGGTCAGGGATAGTGATATGGTTTGACTCTGTCCCCACCCAGATCTCACCTTGAATTGTACTCCCCTAATTCCCACATGTTGTGGGAGGGACCCGGTGGGAGATAATTTGAATCATGGGGGCGTTTCCCCCATACTGTTCTCGTGGTAGTGAATAAGTCTCACGAGATCTGATGGTTTTATCCGGGGTTTCCGCTTTTGCGTCTTCGTCATTTTTCTCTTGCTACCACCATTTGAGAAGTGCCTTTCGCCTCCTGCCATGATTCTGAGGTCCTCCCAAGCTATGGGGAACTGTAAATACAATTAAACCTCTTTTTCTTCCCAGTCTCCGGTATGTCTTTATCAGCAGCATGTAAAGGGACTAATCCAGGTAAGAAGCACCCCGTTTCAGTATATGACATGGATTTGATTTAAAGAAATCAAGGGAGCTTTGGTCTTTATTGTAGTTGGAGGCTTTTAGGCCACTTACTATTATTGTCTCAATTTTAGCTTTTGCATGTCCTACTAATTCCAGCAATAAAACCAAATATGTGAAATAGAAAATTTCTTTGATTTAGCTTGAGTCTCAATTCATTTCCTTCTAACTCTCAATTCAAGTTACCCACTGAGGAGAACATTTTGGACTGTATTGATTGGTCTCCTTTTAGATGATGTTATTGAATATATTCTTTTAAACCTTGACTTTGGAAAGAACAGAATCTATAGCATGCTCAGTTTCTTTGCTTGCTCACAGTAGTGAAATAGAAGATTTTCCTCCCTCTCTGATAAAGATTATGTAAACACTTTGAAGTTTACAATAAGCTTTGCAATCCATTCTTTGATCCTTACAGCAAAACCACACAGCAGGCTTAGCCTGAGCTGTTAGTATTCTTTTAAAGATGAGAAGACAATTCACTTGCCCCAGGTTTATGCAGTCAGGACTCAAAATCTATTTTCTGCATAGCACTATCAGATACCTTTTGTATTGTTTGCTTATTAGTTTTCTGTTTATTATCTGTCTTCTCTGCCAGTAGAATGCTAGTTGATATAAACAGGGGCCTTACCTGTTTATGTTCACCTGTGTATTACTGGAGACTATATTAACATACTGAATATCATGAATGATTTTGTTGAATCTTGAAAGAAACCTCAATCTTTTTTTTAAGTCTAACAAGAAAGATGAGTTTATTTTTAAGATACAGAATGCTCTTAATTCTTTTTTTGTTATTATACTTTAAGTTCTAGGGTACATGTGCACAACGTGCAGGTTTGATACATAGGTATACATGTGCCATGTTGGTTTGCTGCACCCATCAACTCATCGTTTACATTAGGTATTTCTCCTAATGCTATCCCTCCCCCAGCCCCCTACCCCCTGACAGGCCCCAGTGTGTGATGTTCCCCACCCCGTGTCGAAGTGATCTCATTGTTCAATTCCCACCTATGAGTGAGAACATGTTGTGTTTGGTTTTCTGTCCTTGTGATATTTTGCTGAGAATGATGAAGAAACCTCAAACTTCTTGTCCTAAGTCCTGTGGTCTATTGAATTATTTATGGCTATTCTTCTTTTGTCAGTCTTCAAAGAGATAGAAAAATATGTGAATGGTTATGGAGCTAGTAGTTAGTGGAGCTAGAACCAGAACCCAGGTTGTTTAATTCTTGATATATTTATGTTACTTTATTTTATTTTTAGACACTGGCAGACCCAAAATTATGGCATGACATGTTTTAGAAAGATACTCAAAGGGTGATATGCATACTCTTAAGGGAAACTGACAGAACCAAACTTCTGCAAGGCTGTGGAGTAGGACAAGTTTGTCTTCTTTGCCTGCACACCCTTTTTACTCTTTACTGAGCAGATACTCAGTGGTTTTGGGTTGTTTAGTGTCCCTACCATGGGGCCCCACCCTAGCCTTCTTCCGAGTGATCAGGGTCTTTCCAGATCCCTTCTCTTCTATCAATATTTTTCTCTTTTGAACCACTCTTAGTGCAGACGTCAGTTGTTGGCTGAATGGTCATCTTACCTCTTTAAGTCTCAATTTTCTTACCAAATAACAAGGACAATAATATGTCCTTCTTACATATGTCATTTTTGTGGTATGAACATAGGAACAACATATAGGTTATAGTCAGTTTACAAACGTGGTAGTATTAGTTTTTTTCTAGGAAACTGCCTAATATAGCAAACAAATGCCTCTAGGGCCCTAAGGCTTTTAATAATGGCTGGAATTACTTTTTCTGCATCTTCCAGTTATATTTTAACAAAGATAGTTAATAACTTTAAACTAAAAGAGTAATCCCTATGGTGGGAATTTACAGACTCCTGGTAGATCTGTGAGGGACAGATTTTTATTTGAGAGTGCAAGGAGAGGGTTTTTAGGATGTAACTATTCATTCTCTTTCTTTGTAACATGGTTAATCTTAACTCTTTGTTCATTCAATGTAGCTGCTACCTGTGCTGAATCATGAATTGGTCAGGACTGCCAGTACCTTGTGATGACCAGTTTGACTTGAAATGATTTTAACTCATACAAGCTAGGGTCTGTTTGGCTCACTTGCAGAAAGTTTTGCGCTATAGTCTCATGTTAGACCCCACTACACAACAGATCTCTACTGTGCAGGTGCAGTTGAATTTGTATAGTGTTTCTTTGCCTGCTCGTGTTCTGTGACAGGGGGACCAATGCCAATGAGGTGAAAGGTGCGGGTTAGATAGTGCATAGAAGACCACATTTGAAAAGTCTGAGGGCAAACAGGATGGTGTCCTATTCATATGAAATCTTACCCTAGTGTGTACTCGCTGGGGTCCTTTTGTCAAAATCTGTCAGCAAGTTCTGTTTTTTAGAGTTGTGAGACCCAGAGGTTGGTGTCTTTCCAGGCATTTTCCTGTCAGAACTGTCGTCTCTGAAAATTATAGAGTGTGGATTGAAACTAAGATTATAGGTTTAAGCAGCCCTCGTCTCTCTCTGACTAGGAACAATCTAAGCAATGCCAAGAAGCTAAATTTAGTCTTGGTCATTATAAAAATTGAAAGTAATGCTTTACAATTAAGAGTTTGAAAACAGCCTTTAATTTAGATTCCATAAAACATTGATGGGGCCGGAGGGTGTGATGCTGAGGGCTCAGAGGGCCTATGTTAAAGATGAGTAGGGGCTTTTAAAGCTTTGTTACTAGTTCAAATATGGTTCAAGGGCCATGTCAATTTGAAAGCATTGAGATTGGTTGATTATTCCAGGTCCTGTGAAATGCAGTATTCAACATCTTTGTAGCAATAATTATCATAATTACTGCTTAGAAAGGCAAAATAAAGCTTAGGATTCTAAACAGGTAAGGTGAACTCTAAATAAATGGAGCTCAGAAGTAAGTAAAAGAGACTGACTTTAAGAAATAGGGATATTCCAAAAGGACCATGGAATTTTTAAAAAAGTATAGAAAACTTGTCTTAGCTTGGAATGTAAAGAAGGAAAGAATTGTCAACATAGAGGGCAGACAAGACCAAACTTGGAAACAAAAATAAAAATTGGGTGATGTCTTACAACTCCCCACTCAAAAGTTTTCAGCCTAACAAAAAATAGAAGAAGGGCCGGGCGCGGTGGCTCACGCCTGTAATCCCAGCACTTTGGGAGGCCGAGGCGGGCGGATCACGAGGTCAGGAGATCGAGACCATCCCGGCTAAAACGGTGAAACCCCGTCTCTACTAAAAATACAAAAAATTAGCCGGGCGTAGTGGCGGGCGCCTGTAGTCCCAGCTACTTGGGAGGCTGAGGCAGGAGAATGGCGTGAACCCGGGAGGCGGAGCTTGCAGTGAGCCGAGATCCCGCCACTGCACTCCAGCCTGGGCGACAGAGCGAGACTCCGTCTCAAAAAAAAAAAAAAAAAAAAAAAAAAAAAAAAAAAAAAAAAATAGAAGAAATCCTGGAGCTAACAGACTCTTCCTAACTTGGAAGAGCCAGGGCTAGAAAGGAAGGTAGCAGGACACTATGATGTAGAAACCATTATACTGAAGGGGGCTGGTCTGAGTCTGGCCATGGGCACAGAAAATAAATAGAGGAAATGAAGACAAAGTTCCCGTGCCAGCATTGCTTATGGTTCTGACTTCCTCTCCATTACCTTTATGCTCTAGATTACTGAGCCAGAAACTAGCTTACGCTATGTGGGTTTGGAGGTGTGAGTGTGATATTTATGGGTATTTTTTTTGTGTGTATGTACATGGGTATGTGTTGGGATGGGGGAAGAAGAAGAAAGAAGTATCCAAAATCTCACTACCCTGAGATAGCCACTTTTAGGATGGCTTATTTTGTGTGGCTTATTTTGTGTATACATATATACCTAGGTAACTTTTCACAAATGGCATCATTGTCTAATGCTTGCTCTATTGTTAAGGACAATTTTGGGGGAAGTTGTCCTCCCCTCTTCTTTTCTTCCTTCTAATTTATACTTCCCCAAGGTAACCAGAGTTAATAGCCTGGTGCATATCCTTCTGTACATTTTTCTAAAGTCCCTTCATCTGTTTCAAACACACACACACACACACACACACACACACACACACACACACACGGCTTTTGTTTGGACATTATTTAAAAATGTGATTATTATATAATACATTTTTTCTATATCTTTTAATCAGTACCTAGTGGAATTTGCGTAAATTCCACAGTTGTTCTCTTAGTGGTAGCATAATAGCTCATGATATGAACGTATCACAGTTTATTCAATCATTTCCATATTAATGGGCATTTATTGGATTTCTAGCTTGTCACAATCACCATAGATACTGCAGTAACTATTCTTTTTTATTTTTCAGTTTAAACCATATTAAATTGCTGTTTTGTATGTCAAAAAGTCAACTTTGAACAAAAAAATGATACTGGCATGTAAAAAATAAATCAGCAGCAGTATGATCAGTTTTGAGAATGCAGAAATAAAATCAGAAATTTTTGATGCAACCCAAAGCTCTCCTAGAATGCAGAGGAAAAGAACAAGGAGATAAAAATAACAAGAAAATCAATAATAAATATAATGGGCCAGTGAATGTAGAACCAACATATTGAAAGGAGTAAACTAGCTTGCTTTAGGTAGACAGCAAGGGAAGGGTCCCAGAAGAGCCCCCCAGCCCATGGGTCAGTGCCTCATCCCCACATAACATAAAAAGCAGCCTGGGAAAATAATTCAAGCTGCAGGCACCGATAAGGGAACTAGGACAGGGTGTTGTGCCTGAAGACATGCCCATGGCTGCACAGATAGAACAACCTCCTGCCCGTTTGGATAAAACTTACACAGAACCTCCAGCTCACTCAGATAAGGGAACAAGGCCTGGCATCCAAATGCCAGGACAAAGGTCCTTTGTATAGTCAGCAGGTT
This sequence comes from Homo sapiens, assembly GCF_000001405.40. NCBI lineage: Eukaryota > Metazoa > Chordata > Mammalia > Primates > Hominidae > Homo > Homo sapiens. Next base: position 121,197,180 of record NC_000023.11, read on the forward strand.
CCCAGGAAAAGTTTCTTCTCCTTTTGTGGGCATGGGCACGGTGGGCTCTGGTGGGTTTAGGTGGGCACTCTACTTTCCTTTATTAGAACTATAAGTCCAGGCTGGGCGCGGTGGCTCACGCCTGTAATCCCAGCCCTGTGGGAGGCTGAGCTGGGCAGATCACGAGGTCAGGAGTTCGAGACCAGCCTGGCCAATATGGTGAAACTCCGTCTCTACTAAAAAATATACAAAAATTAGCTGGGTGTGGTGGCGCGTGCCTGTAGTCCCAGCTGCTCAGGAGGCTGAGGCAGGAGAATCACTTGAACCCAGTAGGCAGAGGTTGCAGTGAGCCAAGATTGCGCCACTGCACTCCAGCCTGGGCAGCAGAGTGAGACACCGTTTCAAAACAAAACAAAAACAGAAACAAAAACCGAAAGAAACTGTAAGTCCAGCTTCTATGAATCATCACCTCAGCTCCGGATTGGTTCCAGGCCAAGGTCCCGGGCCAAACTTTCACGTCAGCTTGTGATAGGCCCTGGGGCAAGCTAAGCAGCATCTGTGAATCATCATTTCGGCTTCTGATTGGTCCCCTGCCAAAGTCCCGGGCCAGGCTGAGTCACGGGTTCGCCAAGACAGCCCACAGACTAAGCACATTTCTTCTCTTTTCCGGTCCATAAAATCCCCAGAATGGGCCCCACAGTGAGTATTCCTGTTCAGGACTCTCCTCTCTACTGACAGAGAGCTTTCTTCTTTCACTTATTAAGCTTTCGCTCTAAGCTCACTTTTGTGTCCGCGCTCCTTAATCGTCTTGGAGGTAGGACAAAGAGGCGTTATCTCAGACAGACAATGACGGACTATTTCAATATGGCTTATCTATATATCTGAAAGACAAGAATAAATGCAATAGAAGCAATAATAGAAGAAAACATCTATAAAATTAAGAAACAGCTGAATCTGCAGATCAAAAGGTATCAGTGAAACTAGTAAGATATGACTGATATCTATATAATCCTGATGAATGTTCTGAATTTCAAGGATAAAGAAAAAACTTCTATAAGTATCTAGTCAAAGAAAGAGACAACAAAAACCAAAAACTGGGTACCTCTAAAGAAAAAAATGGGATATCCTTAGAATTTTCCATAGTGTTAAATGTCAGAAGACAAATAGTGGAACATTTACATTTTTGATGGGAAAATGTTTTGACCAAGGAGTTCTCTACCCTGACAGTGCAACATAAAGATATTTTCAGAAACGCAAGAGCTCAGAGAATATACCCTCTATAGAACCCTTGGGAAATGAGGTGGGGAGATGCAAAATAAATTCTCAAAGCATCTTGTAAACAATAAAAAGTAAAGACCTTAAGAATATAGACTATGTTATAAAAAGAATTATGTGTGCATTGAATCTATTTGAATGTAGAATTAGTCTAAATAGTATAGATAAGGTTACAAAACAGAATGGATATATTAATTCTTGAAAGGGTAGACAACATAATTTTAAATATACAAAAACCGGACTAAAATCTCATACTATGCCACCATTACCTGGGAGATAGAGGGGTGGGGTAGGAAAGTAGAGGAGGTATGAGAGAGAGAGTTTCAAGGAGAAATATAAATTCATTTATTTTAAATTTTGGGGTAACCTCTTACAGAATTAAAACTAGAAAGTATACTTTACAAATGACTCCAGCAAAAAAAAAAACACATTAAAAATTAGGAAGAAAGCATAATGCAAATAGAACAATTAAAGAAAGACCAATAAATGCCAGTAAACGTGTGTGGGTTAAACATTCCTATTATAAGACAAAGATTCTCAGATTGAATTAGAAAACAAGGTTCAACTGTAGTTTCTGTGGTTTATAAAAGACATATCTAAAAGTGACTGTTAAAGGTGAAAAGCAGAAAGACTATATATACACAAACTGTATATATAAACTATGTATACTGAGTACATATACATGCGTGAATATATACTGAGTACATATACATGCGTGAATATATACTGAGTACATATACATGCGTGAATATATACTGAGTACATATACATGCGTGAATATATACTGAGTACATATACATGCGTGAATATATACTGAGTACATATACATGCGTGAATATATACTGAGTACATATACATGCGTGAATATATACTGAGTACATATACATGCGTGAATATATAGTGAGTACATATACATGCGTGAATATATAGTGAGTACATATACATGCGTGAATATATAGTGAGTACATATACATGCGTGTATATAGTGAGTACATATACATGCGTGAATATATACTGAGTACATATACATGCGTGAATATATACTGAGTACATATACATGCGTGAATATATACTGAGTATATATACATGCGTGAATATATACTGAGTATATACATGCGTGAATATATACTGAGTATATATACATGCTTGAATATATACTGAGTATGTATACATGCATGAATATATACTGAGTATATATGTATGAATATATACTGAGTATATATACATGTATGAATATACTGTATTTACTTAGTTTATATATATATACATGTAGAGAGATGGAGAGATAGGTAAATATATCTAAATATATCAGCAATTTGAAGCAGAAAAAAAGCATAATATTCTAGACAAAGTGGAATCCAAGGCAACCACATTAATAAGATAAGGCTTTTCATTTATTACTGATTAACTATGGCCATCCAATCAGGTAGTCACTAGCTGCATATGACTATTTGAAATTATTTTATTTTATATTTTAATTTCAACAACTTTAGAGGTATAAGTGGTGTTTGGTTACACAGATGAATTGTACAGTGGTGAAGAATGGGATTTTAATGTACCCATCAATTCAGTTCTGTACATTGTACCCAATAAGTAGTTTTTTGTCCTTCCTCCACCTCCTACATTTCCCCTTCTGAGTCTCCAATGTGCATTAATACCAGTCTGTATGCCTTTGCATATCTGTAGCTTAGGTCCCACTTATAAGTAAGAACATGTGGTATTTGGTTTTCGATTATTGAGTTACTTCACTTAGAATCATGGCCTCCAGTTCCATCCAAGTTGCTGTAAAAGACATTATTTCATTCTTTATCATGAGTGACTAGTATTCCATGGTGTATATGTGTATGTGTGTACATATATATATATATATATATATATATATATATATATATATATGCACCACATTTTCTTTATCCACTAATTGGTTGATGGGCACTGAGGTTGACTACATATCTTTGCAATTGTGAATTGTGCTGTAATAAATATACATGTATAAGAGTTTTTTTTGATATAGTGACTTCTTTTCCTTTGGGAAAAGATTGAATGGTAGATCTACTTTTAATTCTTTGAGAAATCTCCATACTGTTTTCCATAGAGGTTGTACAAATATACATTCCCACCAGCAGTGTATAAGCATTCCCTTTTCATTATGTCCATGACAACATCCATTGCTCTTTGACCTTTTAATAATGGCCATTCTGGCTTGCGTAAGGTGATATCTTATTGTGGTTTTAATTTGCATTTCCCTGATTATTAGAGGTGTTGGGTGATTTTTATATGTTTCTTGGCCCTTTGTATATCTTCTTTTGAAAAACTGTCTATTCATGTTATTTGCCCACTTTTTGATGGGATTATTTGTGGGTTTTTTGCTGATTTACTTGAGTTCCTTGTAGATTCTGGACATTAGTTCTTTGTCAGATGTATAATTTCCAAATATTTTCTCCCATGCTGTGAGTTGTACGTTTACTTTGATGATTATTTCTTTTGCTGTGTGGAAGCTTTTTAATTTAATTAGTTTCCATTTATTTATTTCTGTTTTTGTTGCATTTGCTTTTGGGGTCTTAATCATAAATTCTTTGCCTATGCCAATGTCCAGAAGGGTTTTTTCCCTAAGTTTTCCTCAGAATATTTGTGATTTCGGGCCTTAGATTTAAGTCTTTAATCCATCGGCATTAAATTTTTGTATAAGATGAGATAGGGATCCAGTTTTATTCTTCTACGTGTGGCTCTTCAATTTTCCTAGCACCATTTATTGAATATGGTGTTCTTTTCCCAGTTTATGTTTTTGTATGCTTTGTCAAAGATCAGTTGGTTGTAAATGTACGAATTTATTCCTGGGCTCTCTGTTATGTTCCATTAGTCTGTGTATCTACTTTTGTACCAGTACTATGCTGTTTTGGTTACTATAGCCTTGTAGTATTATATGATTTGAAGTTGAGGAAGATAATGCCTCCAGATTTGTTCATTTTGATTACGATTGCTTTGGATATTTGGGGTCTTTTTTAGTTCCATTATGAATCTTAGGACTGTTTTTTCTAGTTCTGTGAAAAATGAAGTTGGTATTTTGATAGGAATTGCATTGAATCTGTAGATTGCTTTGACAGTATGGTCATTTTTACAATATCCATTCTTCCAATCCATAAGCATGGGATCTATTTCCATTTGTGTCATCTGTGATTTCTTTCTGCAATGTTTTTTAGTTCTCCTTGTAGAGATCTTTTACCTCCTTGCTTAAATATATTCCTAGTTATTATATTTTTTGTAGCTACTGTAAATGGGATTGAGTTCTTGATTTGATTCTCAGTTTGGTCACTGTTGTTGTATAGCAGTGCTACTGATTTGTGCACATTGATTTTGTACTATACTGAATTGAGACTTTACTTACTTCACTTATCATACCTAGGAGTCTTTTGGGGGAGCCTTTAGGGTTTTCTAGGTATATGATAATATCATGGGCAAACAGCAATAGTTTGGCTTCCTCTTTTCCTATTTGAATGCCCTTTGTTTCTTTCTCTTGCCTGATTGCTCTATGACTTCCTGTACTATGTTGAATAGAAGTGGTTAAAGTGGACGTCCTTGTCTTGTTCTAGTTCTTAGTGAGAATTTTCAACTTTTCCCCATTCAGTATGATGTTGGCTGTGGGTATGTCATATATGGCTGCCATTATTTTGATGTATGTTCCTTCTATGCTTATTTGTTAAGGGTTGTTAAACATAAAGAGATGGTGGATTTTATTGAATTCTTTTTTCTGTGCCTATTGAGATGATCATATGGTTTTTGTATTTAATTCTATTTATGTGGTGAAACACATTTATTGACTTGCATATGTTGATCCATCACTTCATATCTGGGATGAAACACACTTGATCATGGTGAATTATCTTTTGGATGTGCTGTTGGATTTGGGTTGCTAGTATTTTGTTGAGGATTTTTTGCATCTACATTTTTCAGATATTGGCCTGTAGTTTTATTGTTGTTGTCGTGTCCTTTCTTGGTTTTGGTATCAGTGTGATACTGGCTTCATAGAATGAGTTAGGGAGGAGTCCCTCCTTCTAAGTCTTTTGAAATAGTTTCAGTAGGATTGGTATCAATTCTGCTTTGAATGTCTTATAGAATTCAGCTGTGAATCCTTGTGGTCCACCTGGGCTTTCGTTGTTGTTGCTGTTCTTGGCAGTGGTTTTTTTTTTTTTAATTACTGATTAAATTTTACTGCTTGCTATTGATCTGTTCAGAATTTCTATTTCTTCTTGATCAAAGCTTGGCGGATTGTATATTTCCAGGAGTTTATTCATTTCTTCTAGATTTTCTGGTTTATGTGCATAGAGGTTTTCATAATAGTCTTGAATGATCCTTTGTATTTCTGTGGAGTCAGTTGTAAAGTTTAAAGTTTACCATTTCATTTCTTTTTTTGCCAATTTTAAATAGTTTTATTTAAGACATTGCATTTTTCCATGTACAATAGTGTTTATAAAGTGCAATGTTATATCCTTCCCCTGTGCATATGTTCCATATTCAAGCATTAGGAATGCCCAGTAACTTACTATAGCAGCTGAACTTTTAAAAACTGCCACAGAATTTGCTACAAATTTAGGTCCTTCAATGTTTTAAATGTGTGGAACAATGCTACATCTATACTTGGGTTGGCTTAATCAACCTCTTCAATGGTGGGCCCTGAGGAAGCACCACCAGAGGGAGGAGCTCCACCACCAGGGAATCCCCCAGGCATTCCTCCTGGCATGCCTCCTGCACTCTGGTACAGCTTGGTAATGATGGGGTTTCAGACTTTCTTCAGCTCTTTCTGCTGATGTTCAAATTCTTCCTTCTCGGCAGTCTGATTCTTATCGAGCCAGTTGATAATTTCATTATACTTGTGCAGAATCTTGTGTTTGTCCTCATCGTTAATCTTGCCTGGAAGTTTCTCATCTTTGAGAGTTGCTTTCATGTTGAATTCACAGGAATCAAGTGAGTTCTTGGATGACACTTTCCCTCTGCTTCTGATCTTCAGCTTTGTACTTCTCAGCTTCCTGGACCATATATTCAATGTCTTCCTTGCTCAAATGGCCCTTGTCATTAGTGATAGTAATCTTGTTCTTTTTTCTTGTACTCTTGTCCACAGCAGAAACATTGAGGATGCCATTGGAATTAGTGTCAAAAGTGACTTCAATCTGAGGAACACCTCGGGGTGCAGGAGGTATGCCTGTGAGTTCAAACTTGTCAAGCAGGTTGTCGTCCTTGGTCATGGTATGCTCACCTTCATAAAGCTGAATAAGCACACCAGGCTGGTTGTCAGAATAGGTAGTGAAGGTCTGTGTCTGCTTGGTAGGAATGGTAGTATTATGTTTGATGAGGTCAGTTATGACTCTACCAGCAGTTTCAATACCAAGGGAAAGAGGAGTGACATCCAAGAGCAGCAAATCTTGAACATTTTCAGACTTGTCTCCAGACAGGATGGCTGCTTGGACAGCTGCACCATAAGCAACAGCTTCATCAGGGTTGATGCTCTTATTCAGTTATTTTCCATGGAAGAAGTCTTGGAGAAGCTTCTGAATCTTGGGGATATGAGTAGAACCACCAACCAGGGCAATATCATGAATCTGTGACTTGTCTAGTTTGGCATCTCGAAGGGCTTTCTCTACCGGGTCCAGGGTGCTAAGGAACAGGTCAGCATTCAATTCTTCAAATGAGGCACAGGTACTGGAGGTATAGATGTCGATTCCTTCAGAGAGAGAATCGATCTCAGTACTGGCATGGGTGCTGGAAGAGACAGTACTCTTAGCACGTTCACAAGCAGTACGGAGGCGTCTTACAGCTCTCTTGTTCTCACTGATGTCCTTCTTATGCTTGCGCTTGTACTCAGCAATAAAATGGTTGACCATTCGGTTGTCAAAATCTTCTCCACCAAGTGGGTGTCTCTGGCTGTAGATTTGGCCTCAAAGATTCCATCCTCAATAGTGAGGATTGACACATCAAAAATGCCACTTCCCAGGTCAAAGATCAGCATGTTTCTTTCTGCTCTAACCTTTTTGTCTAAGCTGTAAGCAATAGCAGCAGCAGTTGGCTCATTAATAATTCTAAGTACATTGAGACCAGCAATAGTTCCAGCATCTTTGTTAGCCTGACACTGAGTCATTAAAGTAAGCCGGCACTGTGACCACAGCATTGGTAACAGTCTTCCCAAGGTAGGCTTCTGCAATTTCCTTCATCTTTGTCAGAACCATAGAGGACACATCCTCTGGATAGAAGCTTTTGGTCTCTCCCTTGTATTCTACTTGGACCTTAGGCCTGCCAGCATCATTCACCACCATGAAGGGCCAATGCTTCATAGCAGACTGGACAACAGCATCATCAAATCTGTGTCCAAACAGACGTTTGGCATCAAAAACCGCGTTGGTGGGGTTCATTGCAACTTGATTCTTTGAGGCATCACTGATCAATCGTTCAGTGTCCATAAAGGTGACATAGCTTGGAATGGTTCAGTTTCCCTGATCATTGGCAATTATCTCTACTTTTCCCTGATGGAAAACACCCACACAAGAGTATGTGGTGCCAAGATCAATACCAACTGCAGGTCCCTTCGACATGGTTGCTGGCATGTAGGCCTGGCTCCAACGATGAAGAAAGTCACAGGAACCCTGAGAGCTGCAGGCAAGCTCAATGAGCTACAGTTTCATTTCTAATTGAACTTATTTGAATCTTCTCTCTTCTTTTCTAGGTTAATCTAGTTACTGGGCTATGCATTTTCTTTATTTTTTCTAAGAACCAACTTTATGCTTTATTCATTTTTTTGCTTTCAATCTCATCAGAGATATTGGCTGATGTGTGTGTGTGTGTTTTCTTTTTGATGTAGCTTGTTATCAGGGTAATACTGGCCTCGTAGAATGAGTTTGGAAGTATTCCTTTCCTCTATATTTCAGAATAGTTTGAGTAGGATTGGTATTAGTTCTTCTTTAAATGTTTGGTAGAATTCAGCAGTAAAGCTCTTGAGTTCCAGACTTTTCTTTACTGGGAGTCTTTTTATCGTGACTTTGATCTTGTTACTTGTTATTGGTCTGCTCGCATTTTAAATTTCTTCATGATTCAGTCTTGGTAGGTTGTATCTGTCTAGAAATGTTTCCATTTCCTCTAGATTTTCCAATTTTTTGGCATATACTTACTTATAGGAGCCATTAGTGATCCTTTGAATGTCTGTGGTATCAGTTGTAATGTCTCCTTGTTTTATCTCTGATTCTATTTATTTGGGTCTTCTCTCTTTTCTTAGTCTACCTAAAGATTTATCAATTTTGTTTAACTTTCCAAAAAAGCAAATTCTGTGTCATTGTCCTTTTGTATTGTTTTCTTCTTTAAAATTTCATATATTTTTGCTCTAATCTTTAATATTTCTTTTCTTCTACTGGTTTTGGGTTTGGTTCACTCTTGCTGTCCTCGTTCTTTAAGATAGACCATTAGGTTGTTTATTTAAAGGTTTTTTTCTTTTTTGATGTAAGCAATTATAGCTATAAACTTCCCTCTGAGTCCTGCTTTTGTTGTATCCCATAGCTTTTGGTCTGTTGCGTTTCCATCATCATTGTTTTCAAGAAATTTTTAATTTTTTTTCGTAATTTCTTCATTGACACCCTGGTCATTCAGGAGCATATCATTTACTTTCCATGTATTTTTATAGTTTCTAAGGTTCCTCTTGTTATTGATTTCTAGTTTTATTTCATTCTGATCAGAGAAGATGCTTCATATTTTTTCCATTTTTTTAATGTTTGAAGACAAATTTTGTGACCTAACGTGTTCTCTACTTGAGAATGATCCATGTGCTGAGGAAAAGAATGTGTATTCTGCAGCTGTTGGATCAAAAGTTCCTTACATATCTATTAGGTCCATTTGGTCTATAATGCAGATTAAGTCCGATTTTTCTTAGTTGATTTTTTGTCTGGGCGATCTGTCCAGTGTTGAAAATGGGGTGTTGAATTATGCAGCTATTATTGTATTGGGGTCTGTCTCTCTCATTAGCTCTAATAATATTTTCTTTATATATCTGCGTGCTCCAGGGTTGGGTGCATATATATTTAAAATTGTTATATCCTTTCACTGAATTGACATCTTTATCATTATATAGTGACCTTTTTGGCTTTTTAAACAGGTTTTATCTTGAAATCTAATTTTTCTGATATAAGTATAACAACTCCTGCTCTTTGTTTATTTTCATTGGCATGGAATATCTTTTTGCATCTCTTTATTTTTATGCTATGTGTGTCTTTATAGGTGAATTGTGTTTCTTGTAGGGAACAGATTGATTGGTTTTGTTTTTAATCCATTCCATCACTCTATGTCTTTTGATTTTAGTGTTTATTCTAGTTACATTCAATGTTATTATTGATTAGTCAAGACTTACTTTTGCCATTTTGTTGTTTTCTGGTTGTTTTGTGGTCTTCTCTTTCTTCTTTCTTTTCTTCCTGTCTTCCTTTTAGTGAAAGTGATTTTCTCTGGTGATATAAATTAGTTTCATGCTTTTAACTTTGTGTGTGTTGTATATTTTTTGGTTTCAGATTACGATGCGGCTTGTAAACACAATCTTATAACCCATTATTTTAAGCTAATGAAAACTTAACACTTTGCATAAACAAGGAAACAAGCAAAAAGACAACTGATAAAGGCTCTACGTCGTAACTTCATTCCCATACTTTTTAACTTTTTGTAGTTTTCATTTATATCTTATTGCTCTATGTCTGTAAAGTTTTTTGTGGTTATTATTATTATTATTATTATTTGAAATGGAGTCTCACTCTGTCGCCCAGGCTGGAGTGCAGTGGTATGACCTCAGCTCACTGCAACCTCTGCCTCCCGGGTTCAAGTGATTCTCCTGCCATGGTTCATTGTTTAGTCTTTCTACATAAGATGAGAGTAGTTTACACACCGCAGTTACAGTGTTACAGTATTTTGTGTTTTTCTGTACACTTACTATTGCCAGTGAGTTTTATACTTTCAGATGATTTCTTATTGCTCATTAATTTTCCTCTCTTTCTGATTGAAGTACTCCCTTTTACATTTCTTGTAGGACAGGTCTGATGTTGATGAAATCTGTCACCTTTTGTTTGTTTTGGAAAGTATTTATTTCTCTTTCATATTTGAATGATAATTTTGCTGTATATACTATTCTAGGGCAAATTTTTTTTCTTTAGCATTTGAAATATGTCATGCCACTCTCTCCTGACCTAAAAGGTTTCCACTGAAAAGTCTGTTGCCAGACGTTTTGGAGCTCAATTTTATGTTGTTTCTTTTCTCTTGCCAATTTTAGGATCCTTTTAAAATTCTTGACCTTTGGGTGTTTAATTATTAAATATCTAGAGGTAGTCTTCTTTGGGTTAAATCTGCTTTGTGTTTTATAACCTTCTTGTACTTGGATATTGATATCTTTCTCTAGGTTTGGGATGTTCTCTGTTATTATCCCATTGTATAAATTTTCTACCACTATCTCTTTCTCTACCTCATCTTTTAGGCCAATAACTCTTTAATTTATATTTTGAGGCTATTTTCTAGATCCTGTAGATGTGCTCATTGTTTTTTATTCTTTTTTCTTTTGTCTCCTCTACCTGTGTATTTTCAGATAGCCTATTTTCATTCCCACTAATTCTTTCCTCTGCCTGATCAATTCTGCTATTAAAAGACTATAATGCATTCTTAATTATGCTACTTCCATTTCTTCAGTATTTCTTCTTGATTCTTCCAAATTATTTTGATGCTTTGTTAAATTTGAGTGACAGAATTCTGAATTCCTTCTGTGTGTTTTCTTGAATTTCTTTGAATTTTCTCAACACAGTTATTTTGAATTCTCTATCTGAAAGGTCACATATCTCTTGTTTCTCCAGGATTGGTCCCTGGTGCCTTATGTACCTCATTTGGTAAGGTCATGGTTTCCTGAATTGTCTTGATAGTTGTAGATATTCCTCTGTCTCTGTACATTGAAGAGTTAGGTATTTCTTTTAGTCTTCTCAGTCGCAACTTGTTTGTACCCACCCTTAGTGGGGAGGCTTTTCAGATATTTGAAATGACTTGCATGTTGTGATGTAAATTCTATCTGAATTTGGCAGCACCCCAAACCCAGTAACACTGTGATTCTTGCAGACTCATAGAGGTATTGCCTTGATGGTCTTGGACAAGATCCAGAAGAATCCTCTGAATTACCAGGCAGAGACTTGTTTTCTTCCCTTTCTTTCTCCCAAACAAATGAGATCTCTCTATCTGCTGTGAACCACCTGGAGCCAGAGGTGGAGTGACACAGGCAGCCCTGTGGCCACCACCACTATGACTGTTCTGGGTCAGAACATCACTGGTTCTTGCCCAAGGCTTATTGTAACCACTTCCTGTCTACTGCCTATGTTCACTTTAGGCCTTGGGGCTCTACAATTAGCAGGTGGCAAAGCCAGTCGGGCCTATGTGTTACCCTTCAGGGCGACAGGTTCCCCCAGGCCTTATATGGTCCCAGTGGTGCCATCTGAGTGCCAAGGACTAAGGTCAAAAATATTAGAAATCTACCTGGTGTTTTTTTGTACCATAACTTAGCTGGTACTCACACCACTAGATGCGGTCCTTCCCACTCTTTTCTCCCCTTTCCAAAGGCACAGAACCTCACCCTGTGGCCACTGCCACCTCATATCCACGGTGATGACTGCCAGACTACTACCGATTTTCCCTTAAGTCTCAAGGACTCTTCAGTCAGCTTGTTGTAAATGCTACCTGGCTTGGGACTCACCTTTCAGTGCAGTGGGATCTCCTGTGGTCCAGGCGAGTTTCAGGAACCAAAGCCAAGGCCTGGAATTGGGGGCCCCAGGAGCCCACTCTACTTTTCTGTGGCTGACCTGGTACCTAAGGTGCAAGACAAAGTCCCCTTTACTTTTCCGCAGAAGGAATCTTGCCCCATAGCCACCATATTTGGGAATATGCTGAGTCTCACCTGAAGCCAGCAAGTCTCACCCAAGCGCCTCAATGTAGTACCTAGGTATCACTGCTGGTTATTGAGGGTCCAAGGGCCCTTCAGTTAGCAGGTTATCAATCCTGCCAGGACTGGGTGCTTCCTGTCAAGTCAGAGTGTTCCCTTTTGGCTGGGTGTGTGCCTATAAGTGTCGTCCAAGATCTAGGGCCTGAAAAGGGGGCCTCATGACCCTGATCAGTGCTCTTTTCTGCTCTGACTGAGCTGGTATTCAAGATTCAAGACAAAGTCCTTCCCACTCTTCTCTCTTCTCTTTTCAAGCAGAGGAAGAGGTCTTTTGTTGTTGTTGTTGCTGCAAGCTGTGAACCCTGGGGTTAGGCAAGGGGTGATGCCAACACTTTCTTAGCTACTCTGCCTGGTGTCTCAGTAGACCATGTGTTCCCCCAGTCCACTCTCCCTGGGCCAAGTTCAGCACTAGGACTCACCTAGATGTTGCAGTTCTTGTGGCCTCGATGGATTCCCCTCTGGCTAGGGCTGGTTTAAATACTGTGATATGGTTTGATCTGTGTCCTCACCAAAATCTCATGTTGAATTGTAATCCCCCAGTGCTAGAGATGGGGCCTGATGGGAAGTGATTGGATCATAGGGGCGGATTTCTCATGAATGGTTTTGCATCATCCACTTGGTACTGTCCGTGTGATAGTGAGTGAGTTCTCATGAGATCTGGTCATTTAAAAGTTTGTGACACTTTTCCCCTTTCTCTCTCACTCCTGCTTCCACCAAGTGAAATGCTTGCTCTTGCTTTGCCTTCTACCATGGGTAAAAGCTCCCTCCAGCCTCTCCAGAAGCTGTCATGCTTCCTGTACATCTTGCAGAACCATGAGCTAATTAAACCTCTTTTCTTTATAAATTACCCAGTCTCAGGCATTTCTTTATAGCAATGTGAATGGACGAATAGATGTTCCTTCCATGGACAGGCATTAGCTGTTTGGTCCAATTTTGTTTTTTATTATAATAAGGCAGCACTGAGTTCAATTCCTCACAATTGCTGCAGTCTCCCTCTCCTCAGGACACAAAAATGCTCTCAACACCACACTGTCACTGCCAAGGTATGGGAGACAGGTGGCATCGGTGATTCAAAACTGTTTTTCCTACCTCTGTAGTATATATTTCAGTGACATGAAGTTAAAACCAGGTACTGTGAGTGTTTACCTGATTTTTGGTTCTTATGAATGTGCTTTTTTATGTGTGTAGATAGCTGTTAAATTGGTGTCCTTTGTGAGGAACAATTGGTAGATCTTTCTATTCCACCATCTTGTTCCACCTCGACTCTGAAGTATGTGTCTTATAGGAAGCATATAGTTGGATTTTGTTTCTTTATCAATTCAGTCACTCTATGCCTTTTAATTGGAGAATTGAGTCTATTTATATTCAATATTATTATTGGTAAGGACTACTATTGCCATTATGTTGCTTATTTTCTGGTTGTTTTACAATTACTCTTTTTTTTTTCTTTCTTACTATCTTATGGTTAAGAGATTGTCTCTGGTAGTACATTTTAATTTGTTTTTTTAATTTTTAGTTAAATAATTACAGATTTTTGAATTGTGGTTACCATGAGGCTTACAGAAATCATTTTGTAGATATAAACCATTTCATAGATATGTTTTTTAAAGAGATGACAAATTATCTTAGATCACAAGAATAAAAGCAAGAGAAAAATGAAAAAAGTAGTTATACTTTTACTCTATCACCCCCTTATTTTGAGTTTATGTTGTCTCAATTTACATATTTTTATATTGCCTTTCTCTTAACAGGCTGCTGTTGCTCTTATTGTTTTTTTAACCCACAACTTAGTGACTTAGCTATTATTGCTTTTGATAGATTTTTCTTTTGGGCTTCATACTAGAGTTATAAGTGAATTGCATGCCACAATTACATTATTAGATTATTCTGGGTTTGTCCATGTACTTAATTTTGCCAATGAGTTTTGTACATTCAAATATTTTATTTTTGCATGTTTTTTCTTTCCGAATGAAGAATTTCCTTCAGCATTTCTTGTAAGATGAATGTTGTGATGAAGAATTCTCTCAGCTTTTGTTTGCCAGGGAAAGACTTTAATTCTCATTTATATTTGAAGGATAGCTTTGCTAGATACAGTATGTCTTGAGTGTTTTTTGTTTTTAAATTATTCTTTTAGCACTTTGAGAATGTGATCTTTTTTTTTTTTTTTCTTTGAGACGAGTCTGTTTCTGTCGCCCAGGCTGGAGTGCAGTGACGTGATCTCGGCTCTCTGCAAACTCCGCCTCCCGGGTTCACGCCATTCTCCTGCCTCAGCCTCCCAAGTAGCTGGGACTACAGGCGCCCGCCATCACGCCCGGCTAATTTTTCTATTTTTTTTGTAGAGACGGGTTTTCACCGTGTTAGCCAGGATGGTCTCGATCTCCTGACCTTATGATCCGCCCGCCTCAGCCTCCCAAAGTGCTGGGATTACAGGTGTGAGCCACCGCGCCCGGCTGAGAATGTGATCTTACTCCCTCCTTCTGGCCACTATGGTTTCTGTTAAGAAATCTGTTGCCAGATGAATTGGAGTGCCTTATATGTTATTTGCTGCTTTCCTGTTGTTGCTTTTAGGATCCTCTCTTTGTCCTTGATCTTTGAGAGATCGATTATTAAATGCCTTTGCATAGTCTTATATGGGTCAAATCTGCTTGGTTTCCTTTAACATTTCTTGATCTGGATATTTATCTCTTTCTCAAGCTTTAAAATTTTTTCTGTTATTGTTTCTTTGAATAAGCCTTCTTCCCTTTGCTCTTGCCCAATTCCTTTTTGAACACCAATAATTCTTACATTTGTTGTTTTTGAGGTCATTTTCCATATCTTGTAGATGATCTTCATTCCTTTTCATTCTTTTTGCTTTTTTCTCCCGTCTGTATATATCAGATATCTTGTCTTTGAGCTCACTGATCCATTCTTCTTTTTGATGCATTCTGCTGATGAGAGCCCGTGATGAGTGTTTTAGTTTAATATATTTCTTATTTCCAATATTTCTGTTTGATTTTTAAAAAAATTATTTCAATCTCTTTCTAAAATTTTTCTAATAAATTTATGAATTGCTTGCTTTGTGTAATCTTGAGATCACTGAGTTTCCTTAAAACTGCTATTTTGAATTCTTGGTCAGAGAGTTCACATATTGCCATCTTGTTAGGGTTAGTCACTGATTCCTTGTTTTTTCCATTTGAAGAGGTTATGGTTTCATGTTTGCTGTTGTTTTCTGTGGATATACATCTATGCCTTTGCATTGAAGAATGACTTAATTTATTCCATTCTTCTCTGGCTTGTTTTGGTTTTTATTGGATATGTTTGCTTAGAGATTCTTTGTAATATACCTTTTGACTTTCTTTCTCTATTTTTTCTGGCCAGGTTACTATCTTTTTGGCATTAGACGGTGCCGTAAGCCTGGATTTGCCTTGGTTCTAGTCAACAATTAGAGTGCCAGCTGTCCAGAATGGAGGAGGTTTCAAAGGAGATATCCTGGTGGTGTAGGAAGGCTGGCTAGGGGTTCGTGTCCAGGGGACCTGTGGAATGAATGTCCTGTAGCATGGTGCTGCTGACCAACCACACTGAATTAGTGTCTCTGTTATCCAAGTTACAGATCAGAATTTCCAGGGCTGCAGACTGTAGTCCTTCCTCCCACCTTTATCTCTGCCTCTCCTCAGTAATATTTCTCCCTTCAGGCACTCATGATGCTTCCCATGGGTTGAGGCAGGGAAAGGTCTTTTGCCAAGGAACCCGAGATGGTGGGGAAACTGGTTGTCCACTCAAATCTTACTTTTTCCAGTGTAGAAATTGTGAGTTGTGTGCTTGGTTCTGGGCAGACTGGGGAGAGTGATGTCATGAATATGGAAGTCTTTTTCTCTTACCATCTCCTCAGAGTTTTTATTTACTTTTCTGTGGCCCCAGGTACTGTCTTATCCTCATATTTGAATCCTGAGACATTGCTCCTGATAATCTTGGTGCTATATATTTATGTTTTGTTTTTGGTGTACGTGGAGTAAGTGAAGCCTGCTTGCTTCCATGCTGCCATTTTGGAACCAGAATTTTCTCATGGGTAAGATTTATTACATCAAATGATACAGTACAAGAACAGTAGGAAAGTATATGCATAGATAAAGGCTGCAGAAGTCACAGGCATGATTCCAATTTCTGTTCTCTCCACATCTGCTAACCAAAGAGATATATATGTGAGATGTCTCCATTCAGGGAAGTCCACTCACTTCTTGGGATGTGGAGTTCTCAAAGGGGAATGGTGACATGGCCAGCCATAGTGTGAATCTTAAACCAGGTGCCAGCTGCACATTATGAATCTTTACATTTACTTTAAGAATGTTGGCCGGGCATGGTGGCTCACGCCTGTAATCCCAGCACTTTGGGAGGCCCAGGCAGGTGGATCACGAGGTCAGGAGATTGAGACCATCCTGGCTAACACGGTGAAACCCCGTCTCTACTAAAAATACAAAAAAATTAGCCGAGAGTGGTGGTGGGGTGCCTGTAGTCCCAGCTACTCAGGAGGCTGAGGCAGGAGAATGGTGTGAACCCGGGAGGCAGAGCTTGCGGTAAGCCGAGATCGTGCCTCTGCACTCCAGACTGGGCAACAGAGCGAGACTCCATCTCAAAAAAAAAAAAAAAAGAATACTGATAGTCTGGTTCATCTTGACCCACTGCCTCAGGAATATGAAATAACATTCCTAATCAGTAACTCAGTGAATATTTCTATAACTTACTCCTGAGTTTGAGCAAGTGTTATTGCTATGGCTATAGAGCTAAGTAAGAACCAAATAAAATGGACCTGCTGCATTAATGCTTTTCTTTTCTTTCTTTCTTTTTTTTTTTTTTTTAAGACGGAGTCTTGCCCTGTTGCCCAGGCTGGAGTGCAGTGGCCCAATCTCGGCTCACTGCAAGCTCCACCTCCCGGGTTCAAGCTGGGACTACAGGCGCCCGCCACCATGCCCGGCTAATTTTTTGTATTTTTAGTAGAGACGGGGTTTCACCGTGTTAGCCGGGATGGTCTTGATCTCCTGACCTCGTGATCCGCCCGTGTCGGCCTCCCAAAGTGCTGGGATTATAGGCATGAGCCACCCTGCCCGGCCATTAATGCTTTTCTTAGAGAGCTTTTATAACTCTTTTGAGTGTATATGTGTGCATGAGAGAGAAAGAGAGAGAGAGAGAAAGGGAGTTTATACCAATAGTTTGTAAGATTGTATTTTCTATTTCTTCAGATAGTTACTATTTTAACTATAACTTCATGTATTTAATCTTCCAATTTTAAAGATGGTGTCTATTGACTGCATAAGCAAGGATAAAATGAACCTACTTCTTTTTACTCCTATGTTCTTTTCCCACCATCTTACATCCCCTTCATCCAATTATATTTAGTTGTACTATTTTGTTTTTCTTTTTCTTTTTTTTTTTGAGACAGAGTCTCACTCTGTTGCCCAGGCTGGAGTGCAATAGCATGATCTCGGCTCACTGTAACCTCCACCTCCCAGGTTCAAGTGATTCTCTTGCCTCAGCCTCCTGAGTAGCTGGGATTACAGGTGTGCACCAGCACGCCTGGCTAGTTTTTGTAGTTTTAGTAGAGACGGGGTTTCACCATGTTGGTCAGGCTGGTCTCGAACTCCTGACCTCGTGATCTGCCCGCCTCAGCCTCCCAAAGTGCTGGGATTACAGGTGTGAGCCACCGCGCCCAGCCTAGTTGTACTATTTTCTTAGTTCTTTTTAGCTTTATACTTTAAAATATACCTATATATCTCATTTGATTTATCAGCCTTAAATCATATCGTTTGGTTTCCAGCTTTAAAATATGAAAAGGCCAGGCGTAGTGGCTCACACCTTTCATCCCAGCACTCTGGGAGGCCAAGACCGGAGGATCACTTGAACTCAGGAGTTCGAGACCAGCCTGGGCAACAAAATGAGAACCCCCTCCCACCATCTCTTTAAGAAAGCATTTCATCCTGGTCTCTCATTTAAGAATATAAAAATAAAATAAAATGTGAAAAAATCAATACACCTACAATAAGTCCTGCCTTCTCTGTCCTTGCCTGTCTTTACTTTTTTAGTTATATAATTCTTGTATTTTTATTTATAAGATTTACATTCTATTCTGGAGCCATAATTTTCCAGGTTGTTTTCATCCTAGTCCTGTAGCTAAATGGTTTCTGTGCAAAGTGCTAGCCATCTTGCCAGAGACAATCCATCATTTTTTTGTGTAGGTTATTTTTCTTCCAATAGTTTTTTAAGGAAGTGCTCAAGTGTTCATGTTCCCTAAGTTCCTGTATGATCCAAAACACTTGTTGCTTTTGTTTGTGAAAGAATGCATAATAAGACATATTTCTTCTCTTGAAGGTTTGGTAGACATTGTTTCATTTTCTTCTAGTGCTGAATATTGTTCTAGAAACAAATGAAACCAGCCTGATATATTCCCTTATTAATGACTTTAATTTATTGTCTAGATTCCTAGAAGATTCTTTATTCTTGAAATTCAGTTGCTTTACTAAGATATATTTTAGTGTTAATAATTCTGTATCAACTTTTATAGGGTTGTGGTATGTTTTTTTTCAATCTGTGCATTTATTTTTCTTTTTTGTTTGTTTCTGGGAAGATTTAAATACTTTCTAGCCCATGTTTTGTTGTATTCTTTATGTTTCTCAATTATGTTTACATTGGATCTCCTTTGTCTATTTGTCTATCCTTTTTATCTATTGTGTTATTTTAAATCATTTAAGCTCCTTATTTATTTACATTTTTTTTTACTTTTTATTCTGTATAACACATATCACCTACTGGGTTATTATCAGTATCATTTCTCCTTTGTGTTATTTATAGTGTGGTTTTATTTTCTTCTTCCATTGTCTTTTTTTTAGTTTATCAAGCAGTTTTATTCTTATCCCCCATATTTGCCAATACAATAAAACTATCTTATAAAATATAGTTTATCAATTTCTTATTGAAGGGATATTTCCTCCTAACCTCTACTAATTACTTATTTTTTAAACTGTTAATCTAGATACTGTTTCCTCTAGGAAGCTTTCCTTGACCCCCGACCCCTGTGCCTTCAGTGCTTGCCTGATTATAGCACTTACCACACAGTTCTGAAAATTTCTATTTGCTTCTGTGGAAACTACACTCTAAGCCCTGGGATGTCAGGGCCTGTGTTTATTGCTCTTGCTCAGTGATGCATTCCCAGCATCTGGCCTGTAATAACCCTTCAATTTATACCCTAAAATGTCTGGAGGGGCTTCAAGATGAAGTTCACCACCAGAAAGAACACAATCTTATAAATCACTAATTGTGAGCATGCTTTGAATCCTTAGGATGGTGCAAAAAAGCATTCTGTACTTTTTCTAGCTGTTCAAATTACAGATGAGTTAGATGAATGCTCAGGAAGCCCATTCTTTCCCTAATGATACTCTAGCTTCTACTTTCTATGCTTCTTTCTACCTCTAGGGCTCTGGCTGTTTCCTTAGTGATCAAAGCCATGCACTTTCGCTGGAGACTTCTTTCAGGTACAGTTGAAGATGGCTTTGTAGAATAGTTGATTATATCTCCTTTGGAAACAAGCTTAAATCTTTCAGTTGCTTCTTAGTGGGGCATCTATATGACAAATCTTTTTTAAAAAATTAATATTCATTAATGTTCATTATTTTGCTAAAAGAGCCTTTTCACCACTAGAGATGCCAATAAGAAAGAAGGTAGGGGGTGAGTGGTGATAAATTATGCTCTGTTAGTTCTAGGCAGTGGTCAGTAAATATTTGTTGAATTCAAGAATGAGTGGTGTAACTAGGGGTGATGTTTGCCTTCTCTCTCTCTCTCTCGCTCTCTGTCTCTCTGGTGTGTGTGAACATGCTTTTCAAATATTCTTCAATGTTTATATAAAACATTTGAAATAAGCAGATAAATGAATTTTGTTTAAAATTTTACAACCTAAAATTCAAAGAAAGGAAATTTAAATGGGGCTTATGACTATCCTGTCACCACCTTACATGGTGTGAATTGAGAGACTGAAAGGAAGTTCTTCCTAAAATGATCTTCCACAACTGCATCAGGGCCTACAATTCCGCCATGCTTTGGGCTAAGGCTTTATGGCATTTGAATTATTACCTGGGATTTAATTCAAGTCAGTTCACACACTAGTATATGGGATATGGGATGCTATTGAATTCCGTTGGATAGTTCATTATCTGGGTAGTTTCTTTATTTAGCTGTCTCTTGAGATAGACAGGGAATCAAATGTAAAGGATAACCGTCTTAAGGATGGGAATTGAGGTGCCTTACCAGAGGCAGAATGAAGACAGTGGGATGACATGGGTAAATAATTCTATCTATGTGGTTATATCCTGGCTCAATGTAGCTACCTCCTGCCTGTTTTTAGTAGTTGTAGCACGCTGGGATTCTTTTACCTTTTTCAAAGCCTTGTATCTTTAACTGTTTGTTCCTTTCAGCTATGTTGTTGCTTTCTGGGTTGCTTTATTGTTTTTTAGCTATCCAACAGGAAGTAGAGAAACAAACAAGAAAAACAAAGTGTACAGGGACTAGAGGCTCTAGCATTTGGAATGTGAAGCTCTACTTACCAGCCCCAAACATACATAAGCAGAGGCCTAAGACTTACACAGAAGTCTTATGATCTGTCCCTAATCAACAGCTCTCTAAATTTTACCTTTGGCCTCTCTCATACTTATGCTTTTCAAAGAACTGTCCAGTTTGGTGAAGGCAGCTTTGCATAGGGAATGGTGAGGGAGATGTATTCACGCTTCTTTACACTTCCAACTCTGCTTTGGAGAACCTGTTAATGGTAGCTGCTGCTGTTTCAAATGGGATGCCTTCTTCCTAGCTTCTCTAAATCCTACTTTTATTTTTTTTTAAGGATCTAACTTAAATCTCATCATCTTCTTGAAGGCTTCTGTGATTCTCCATTGTTCTTCTTTTATTTCTAAAACTGATTGTCTGATTTTGAATCCAAGCTTTGTCATAATAAGTGTGACCTTGGACAAGTTACTTAATCTCTCTGTGCCTCAGCTTTCACACCTGTAAATTGAGAGTAAGACTGCCTGTTTCATCAAGTTGGCTGTTGTGTGAATTAAATTGGTCACTATCTGTAAAACACTGTGAACAGTGCCTGACAGATAAAGCAATGCCTGCTCAGTAATTATTATATATTCTTTTTCTTGTTACTTCTAATATAGCTTACAACATATACTTTAACAATTTTTTCCTGGAGTTTCTATGGCTCCATTTTATCTCCTTATGTGAGCTTGTGGTAATGTAACATAGTGGAAAAACTATGGACTCTGGATTCAGACTACCTGAGTTTGAGTCCTAACTCTGCTACTTATAGCTCTCTGATCTTGGACAAGTTATTTAATCTTTTTGAGTGTTGGTTTCATCGTGCGTAATGGGGATAATGATACCAAACTACTTCAGAGACTCTTTGTGAGGATTAAATTAGGTAATCCTTACAGAGTACCAGGCACGCAGTAGTTGCCCCATAAATGGAGATGCTGTTATTACACATTTCAGTATTCACAGTGGCTAGGCCTAGTTTAGGCACTCATTGAATGTTTGTTAAATGGATTTGGCAGTAAAATATTATTCTCTTTCATGTATTTATCTTTTGTGTTATTCAGAACTGAAATCAGCTGGAAAAGGGATAACTGCATCTTTGAACTCTTGAAGTTAACTGTAGACTCAGTATTTTTCCTATCCATCAAGCTGTCCTTTTTGTTGTGTTAGGCTTAGTAATGTCAATGATGATTAAGAATAAGAGAAGCTACCATTCGTTGATTTCTTACTATGTGCTGTGTATGTGCTACATGCTTTACACATCCCTAGTTTTGTTCCTTCTCATGCTACATTCTCTTCCTAAGTAATCTCATCTATTATCTTGGCTTCAGATAAAATCTATGTGCTGATGACCCCCAAATTCCTGTCTTTACTCCAGACCTCATTTGAGCTTTAAACCCATGTGTTTAACTACAAACTTGACATTTGCATTTGGATATCACAGGGGCAACTGAAACCAAACATTTTCAGAACTGAACTCTATCTCCTATAGTTTTTC
Source organism: Homo sapiens (assembly GCF_000001405.40). Classification (NCBI taxonomy): domain Eukaryota; kingdom Metazoa; phylum Chordata; class Mammalia; order Primates; family Hominidae; genus Homo; species Homo sapiens. The sequence goes on from NC_000023.11 coordinate 121,219,466, forward strand.
CCACTTGAGTCTCATTTCAACTTTTCCTTTTGTACATCCCATCACTGTGAATGGCACCACCAACTATTTAGTTATACCCCACACTGAGAACTTTAGCAAGTTCTCATAGATTTTCCTCCAAAATATATATTAAATCTATTTCTTTCCTTCTTCAATACCACCACCATAGTCAAAGCTACCATCGTAGTCTGTGGGGATTATAATAGCCTACTAATTTGTCTCATCTCTTGTTTTTTTTTTTTTGAGACAGAGTTAAATTAAATCGCTCTTATTGCCCAGGCTGGAGTGCAATGGCGCAAACTCGGCTCACCGCAACCTTTGCCTCCTGGGTTCATGCGATTCTCCTGCCTTAGCCTCCCGAGTACCTGGAATTACAGGCATGTGCCACCATGCCTGGCTAATTTTGTATTTTTAGTAGAGACAGGGTTTCTCCATGTTGTTTAGGCTGGTCTCGAACTCCCGACCTCAGGTGATCCACCCAGCCTGGTCTCATCTCTTATATACTTGTCTCCTTCCAATCTATTGCCTATACTATGGCCAGATTTTTTTTTTTTTTACTTTTTCAATTGCAGTATGTCATGCATACAGCAATATGTACAAAGTGTACTAATCTCAAATGTATAGCGTGATAAATTTTTCCATATATATATACTTATGTAACCATTTCCAAGATCAAGGTTTAGAACACTTCCAGCACCTCAAAGCCTTCTTTCAGCCCCCTCGGAGAGGTAACTGCTATTTTTCTGTCAGATTTTTAAAATTGATCATTTGAGGGAAAGAATAAAACATAAATATTGAACTGAAGTTAATGATATGCATGTTGAAGTATTTCGGTCAAAGTGTATTAAGGAATTCAGCCTACTTTCAATTTACTTTGAAATGCAAAAGAAAATAAGATAGAATAGATGAGTACAAGGATAGATGCATAGTGATAAAACAAGTCTGATAAATGTAAATTATAGAATCTTGGTGGTGCATATGTGAGGTGTTCACTGTAAAATTCTTTCATATCTTTAAATTTGAAAATTTTCGTTATAAAGTGTTGCAAAAAAGGATCTTTTGAAAACACAAAATAATCTTGTATTACCTAAAGCTCTTCAATGGCTTTCAAATATACTTGATATAAAATATATAGTCTTTAATATATCCTAAAAGGCCCAATGTTGCCCCTACCAGACTCTCTAATCTCTTTTCCCTCATTCTTCATCTTCTTCACTGTGTTCAAGCCCCATTTGTCTTTTTCCATTTCCATCAATATACAATGCTGAATGAGGGAATAAAAACAGCGATATGCTTATAGGCAAGCTGTTCACAACAATGGGACAATCTGGGGAGAGGACACTTTTTCAGCAATACAGTTTCAGGCAGATAAGGTTGTTTGGGTTAAAAACAGAAAAGAGCCCTGGTCTCTAGTTGCTAAAACATATCCAATCACCTATTGCTGCAACTGTGCTATATGCATGAGGTCTATTTGTAGCACAGAGGGGACACTGTTGTCTTCATCTTATAAGTTCCATTAAGGCAGGAACAATGTGTAGCTTTTTATTTGATGTGTCTATAGCACCTAGCATAGTCTCAGCTAGCCATAAAGTAGACATTCCATAAACATTTGCTGAATAAATTAGTGAACTCATTAAATCCTTATAACATCTCTATAGGCTAGTTATCAGTTGACTTCCATTTTCAGATGAGGAAACTGAAGCCCATAAAGGTAAAATACCTAGCTTAAGGCCATACAGTTTTTAGTAAAAGAGCTAGGGTTCATTCCCAGGTTGGTTTGACTCCAAATCCCAGGCTCTCATGTGCTCTTCTGCCTTCCCTAATGCAAATATTTCACCCTTTGTGGAAGTCAACCCCGGAGAGTTAAAAGGGCAGAGCATGAGAGGGCATAGGAGAGGAAAGGGTGACTCTTTGAATATAACAGAAGTGCTGAGTGTTTCTATACCAGGGTGATTTCCTCTCCCCAATAAACTCCTTTCTAGTGGTGCTGGAGGCTGCAACTTGGAGCACACACATGGAAGTGAACAATATCCCTGCTGAGCCAACACTCCTCCCCAAATTGGTGATTCATTTTGGCTAATCACCTCAGTTATGCACATTAGTTTCCTTTTCATTAGGTCACATGTAATAACTGCCATTTTAGATGGGCGTGGGATTGGGGTGGAATAAAGCACTAGAATGAAAAAATTGCTAGCATCAATGAAAAAAAATTCTCCAACAAAACCAGCTTGAGGCACACTTATAAAGTGAAGGGATTCATAGGCAGCCTGATTTTCACTGGACATTGGACCAAAGTACTGTCTGGCCCCATGCCTAGGTGAAGTCAGCAGCTATCTATGTACTGCGAAGTGAGGGAGGTTAAAAATCCTTGATTACTATCAAGTCTACCCACTCAGATATGCCACAATAGTTGAAACCTTCACTGAAATCATTGCTTCAGGGTAAGAAACCTAGGCCTGCTATTAAAATGTATATCTCCCACTAGGGACCACTTCATTAAGTCACTATTAGCCATAACCATCTTAACTTGTTAGCTCTTGCTCTGTTTCCTTTGCTGTCCTTCCTCCTCAGCTCTTTCCAGATGAGCCCACAGATATCTAAAAATACAGATTTAGTCATGCCTCTTGAGCCTGTCCTGAATGAGATCAGAAAGAATACACATAATTGTTAACATTTAATGAGTGCTTACTATGTTCTGGGTACAATATTAAACATTTTATATATACCATATCAACTTAATCTTTTTACCAACCCAGTGAGATATTTTTTATCATGCCTATTTTGTAGAAGGGAAAATAGAGGTGCAGAGAGGTCAAACAATTTGCCTGAGATTACACAGTATGGCTGAGTTAGGATTTGAGCCCAGGTGGTTTGACTCCAGAGCCCATAATCTTAATTGTCATACAGTACTGCATTTGTTAGCCTCATTCTGACTGTTTGGAATTGTTGTCATAGTGTATCTCCAGGACCTGATGTACTTGTTATGAGTTCTGGATCCCTACGTGATATTTAAGTCAGAGCAAGAGAACAAGGGCTGTGGAAGACAAGTGGGCTTCAGATTTGGCCTCATGGAAGACAAGTGTAACCAAGCTGTTGTGCTACAGTTTTCTAAGTAATTATTATAATAATTAACACTTACTGAGGACTTTTTGTATGCCAAGCACTGTGCTATGTTTGTTATTTGTATTAACTCATCTGGAGACAGTAGTTTTGGAGATCCAGCCTAGATCCTCATTTTGCCCTATCCTAGATGCCAGGGCCATCTAGGATAGGGTTTTATCAGAAATATTGACTCAATTAACTAGGTTTCTGATACACAGAACATTCTTGCCAGTACATTCTTGGGTGTAAGATACTATTCCCTGTTTGTTTGGCTGATGTTTTGGGGACCTGTTGTATATTAAAGGATCAATTAGAATCTGAACACTGACGTTCTGTCTTGGATTTCTCACTGACTTATTTACTGACCTGATTGAATACTAGACCAATAATGAATGCTTTCAGGTTTAGGATGGAAACCATCACACTCTTTGGGAGACTGAGCTGCCCTCTCCTTAGCTAGCCTTTGAATCCAGCTTCCCATTCTGTATATAGACTAGTTCCATCATCTTCCCAATTCGAAAACCAACTATTAAATTTTGAAGTTACCTTGGCTGAGTACTCTTTTTCATTTAAAAATTTATCTCCAAAGTATCAGTAACCACACCTTTTCCCCTTTGATTCTCAGTAGGATACTCTAACCCACTTACCTAAAGGTTACAAAAGGTGAGTGGCACATAGAACCATTATGTTGGAATTGTCTCAGGTAAAATATATGGTCTCACTTTATAAAAAAGAAGGTAGCACTCCTAAACTGTTCTTACTAAAACATATGTTCTACATTTTTTACATTATTTCACGTGTAGCTGGTATTTCTTGCATAGAGCTAGCCACCCCACTTAGTTGTATTTGCTCAATGGTGATCCAAGGGAAGCGGGGGAGTTTTAGTGGCAGAGAACAGGTATCTAGATTACATGTAGCTTAAACTTAGAACTTTGGTCTCATGAGTGTTATGACTTAATGTAATGAGTTGGCCATCAGATTTATACACTTGCTTTTATATGCAAATATACTCCTTTTAACCTGTTCTTCCATCTCCAACTTACAAATGCATTTTGGTCATGTATAGGAAACTTTATTTTTACAGGTGCCAAAAGCTCTGAGGCCAAACATTATGGAGTGCAATCCTAAATCATAAGGTGTCATAACATTTAAAAAAATTATGAGTACATAGTAGGTATATATATTTATGAGGCACATGAGATATTTTGATACAGTCATACAATGCATAGTAATCATATCACAGTAAATGGAGTATCCATCACCTCAAGTATTTATCCTTTGTATTATAAACATTCCAATTATACTCTTATAGTTATTATAAAATGAATAGTAAATTATTGTTGCCCATAGTCACCCTGGAGTGCTATCAAATACTAGACCTTAATCATCCTATGTAACTGTATTTTTTTTTGAGACAGAGTTTTGCTCTTATTGCCCATGCTGGAGTGCAATAGCATGATTTTGGCTCACTGCAACCTCTGCCTCCTGGGTTCAAGCGATTCTCCTGTCTCAGCCTCCCAAGTGGCTGAGATTATAGGCACATACCACCACGCCCAGCTAATTTTTGTGTTTTTAGTAGAGATGGGTTTTCATCATATTGGTCAGGCTGGTCTCGAGCTCCTGATCTCAGGGATCTGTCCGACTCAGCCTCCCAAAGTGCTGAGATTACAGGCATGAGCCACCGTGCCCGCCCGGCCCTATCTAACTGTATTTTTGTACCCATTAACTGTATCCACTTCCCCCAATATACCCTTCCCAGCCTCTGGTAACAATCATTCTGTTCTTTATCTCTATGAGTTAAATTGTTAAAATTTTTAGGTCCACAAATGAGTGAGAACATGTTAATTTTGTATTGATGTGCCTGACTTATTTTAGTTAACAGAATGTTCTCCAGTTCCATCCATGTTGTTGCAAATGATTGGATCTTATTATTTTTATAGCTGTGTAGTACTCCATTGTGTATAGGTACCACATTTTCTTTATCTGGTCATCTGCTGATGGTCACTTAAGTTGCTTCCAAATCTTGGCAATTGTAAATAATGCTGCAATAAACATGGGAGTGCAGATATCTCTTTGATATACTGATTTCTTTTCTTTATATGCCAAAGAGTGGGATTGCTGGATCTTATGGTAGGTCTATTTTTAGATTTCCTCCAAATTGTACTCCTTAGTGGTTGTAGCAATTTACATTCCTATCAAAAGTGCACGAGGGTTCCCTTTTCTCCACATCCTTACCAGCATTTATTATTGCCTATTGGAAAAAAGCCATTTTAGCTGGGGTGAGATGATATCTCATTGTAGTTTTGATTTTAATTTCTTTGATGATCAGTGGTATTGAACACCTTTTTATATACCTACTTAAAATTTCTATGTTTTCTTTTGAGAAATGTCTATTCAGATGTTTTGCCTATTTTTTCAACTTTTTTTTAAGTTCAGGGGTACATGTGCAGATTTGTTATTTAAGTAAACTCGTGTCATGGGGGTTTGTTGTACAGATTATTTCATCGCCAAAGTATTAAGACTAGTACCAAATTAGTTATTTTTCCTGATTCTCTCCCTTCACCCACCCTCCAGTAGGCCTCAGTATCTGTTGCTTCCCTCTATGTGTCCATGTGTTCTAATTATTTGGCTCCCACTTACAAGTGAGAACATGTAGGATTTGGTTTTCTGTTTCTGTGTTGATTTGCTAAGGATAATGATCTTCAGATCCATCCATGTTCCTGCTAAAAACATGATCTCATTCTTTTTTATAGCTGCATAGTATTCCATGGTGTATATGTACCACATTTATTTATCCAGTTAACCATTGATGGGCATTTAGGTTGATTTCATGTTTTTGCTATTGTGAATAGTGCTGCAGTGAGCATAAGCATGCATGTGTCTTTATGATAGAATTATTTATGTTCCTTTGAGTATATACTTAGTAATGGGATTGCTGAGTCGAATGATAGTTCTGTTTTTAGCTCTTTAAGGAATCACTATACTGTTTTCCACAATGGTTGAGCTAATTTACACTCCCACTAACAGTGTATAAGCGTGCCTTTTTTCTCCACAGGAATGCTAGCATCTGTTATTTTTTAATTTTTTAATAATAGCCATTCTGACTGGTGTGAGATGGCATCTCATTGTGGTTTTGATTTGCATTTCTCTCATGATCAGTGATGTTGATCTTTTTTTCATATGCTTGTTGGCCGCATGTATGTCTTCTTCTGAAAAGTGTCTGTTCATGTCCCTTGCCTACTCTTTAATGAGGTTGTTGGTTTTTTTCTTGTAAATTTAAGTTTCTTGTAGATGGTAGATATTATCTTTGACAGATGCATAGTATGCAAAAATTTCCCCCCATTTTGCAGGTTGTTTGTTTTCTCCATTAATAGTTTCTTTTGCTGTAAGAAGCTCTTTAGTTTAATTAGATGTCATTTGTCATTTTTTTGTGTTTCTTGGAATTGCTTTTGATGTCTTTGTCATGAAATCTTTGGCCATTACTATGTTCAGAATGGTATTGCCTAGGTAGTCTTCCAGGGTTTTAATAGTTTTCTATTTTACATTTATGTCTTTAATCCATCTTGAGTTCATTTTGTATATGGTTTAAAGAAGGGTTCCAGTTTCAATCTTCTGCATATGGCTAGCCAGTTATCAGAGCACAGAGGACAACAATAGGTTGTCCTTTCCTCATTGCTTGTTTTTGTCAACTTTTTGAAGATCAGATAGTTAGTTGTAAGTGTATGGCCTTATTTCTGTGCTCTCTTTTCTGTTCCATTGGACTGCGTCTGTTTTTGTAACAGTACCATGCTGTTTTGGTTACAGGAGCCCTGTGGTATAGTTTGAAGTCAGGTAGTGTGATGCTTCCAGCTTTGTTCTTTTTGCTTAGGATTATCTTAGCTATTTGGGCTCTTTTTGGTTCTATATGAATTTTTAAATAGTTTTTCCTAGTTCTGAAAAGCATGTTATTGATAGTTTGATAGGTATATCATTGAATCTATGAATTGCTTTGGGCAGTATAGCCATTTTAACAATATTGATTCTTCCTGTCCATGAGCATGGAATGTTTTTCCATTTGTTTGTGTTATCTCTGATTTCTCTGAGCAGTGTTTTGTAGTTCTCCTTGCAGTCACCTGTCACCTTCCTAGTTAGCTGTATTCCTAGGTATTTTATTCTTTTTTGTGGCAAATGTCAGTGGGTTTGTGTTCCTGATTTGGTTCTAAGCTTGAGTGTTGTTGGTGTTTAAAATTCTAGTGACTTTTGTATATTGATTCTGTATCTTGAGACTTACTTGAAGTTGTTTATCAGCTTAAGGAGCTTTTGGGCTGAGATCATGGCGTTTTCTAGATACAGGATCGTGTCATCTGCAAACAGGAACAGTTTGACTTCCTTTCTTCCTATTTGAATCCTCTTTATTTCTTTCTCTTGCCTGATTAGTCTGGCCAGGACTTCCAATACTATGTTGAATAAGAGTGATGAGAGAGGGCATCCTTTTCTTGTGCTGGTTTTCAAGAGAAATTCTTCCAGGTTTTGCCCACTCAATATGATGTTGGCTTTGGGTTTTGTTTTTTTTTTTTCTTTTTGATGGAGTCTCACTCTGTCGCCCAGGCTGGAGTGCTATGGGGTAATCTCAGCTCACTGCAACCTCTGCCTCCTGGGTTCAAGCGATTCTTCTGCCTCAGCCTCCCGAGTAGCTGGGACTGCAGACACGCACCACCATGCCCGGCTAATTTTTTGTATTTTTAGTAGAGACGGGGTTTCACTGTGTCAGCCAGGATGGTCTTGATCTCCTGACGTCATGATCCATCTGCCTCGGCCTCCCAAAGTACTGGAATTACAGGCATGAGCCACCGCACCCGGCCCTTTGGGTTTGTTATAAATGGCTCTTATTATTTTGAGGTATGTTTGTTCAATACCTAGTTAATTGAGAGTTTTTAACATGAAAGAGTGTTGAATTTTATTGAAAGCTTTTTCTGCATCTATTAAGATAATCATGTAGGTTTTCTTTTTGTTTACATCTGTTTATATGATGAATACATTTATTGATTCATGTATGTGGAACAGCCAGCCCTTGCATGTCAGGGATAAAGCCTACTAGATCATGGTGGATAAGCTTTTTGATGTGCTACTGGATTTGGTTTGGCACTATTTTGTTGAGGATTTTTGCATTGATGTTCAAGAATATTGGCCTGAAGTGTTTTTGTTGTTGTTGTGTCTCTGCCAGGTTTTGGTATTAGTAATGAGGGAAAAGAAAAGGAAAAATCAGTTGGGTAGACAACGAAGACTAGCCCTTGGAGAAGCAGCCTGCCTGAAAAATCACAGCTGCAGGCAAAAATAGAGCAGCCTGGAGAAAACTCAGCCTGCACCTGCACAGAGATAAGTAGGCAAGGCAGGCAAGGTCCAGCACAGAAGCCTTTTGTTCTTTGTGTGATTAGTGAGCTCCCAGGAAAAAGTTTCCTACCCTTTTCAGACATATTCATGGTGGGCTCCATGGGAACTTGCACAGGGCGAAGGAGGGCTTACCTAAAACAAACCCATAGTTACACAGACAAGAGACACAGTGCTTTGTGCTTGCCTAGAGACATGCCCACAACTACATAGTTAACGGGGAGTTGTGCAGACAGCTTTTCAGATAAAAGAAGTTCCTCAAACAGCTACAGAAATGAGAGGAGTTTCTTATAAAAGTTTTTGGATTCAACTGTATAAACGGCAACCCACTCAGGCTCCCCTCTCTGCTGTGGAGAGCTTTCTTCTTTTGCTTATTAAACTTTTACTCCAACCTCACCTTTTGTGTCCACGCTCCTTAATTCTCTTGGTCATGAGAGGAAGAGCTCAGATAAAACCTTAAACAATGAAACCAGTGACCCTGACCTATTTCATTAGGATGATGCTGGCTTTATAGAATGAGTTAAGGAGGAGTCCCTCTCCTCAATTTTTTGGAATAGATTCAGTAGGAATGGTACTTGCTCTTCTATGTGCATCTGGCAGAATTTGGCTGTGAATTTACTTAGTCCTGGGCTTTTTTTGTTGGTAGACTATCTACTATTGGTTCAATATTGGAGCTCATAATTGGTCTATTCAGGGATTCAATTTCTTCCTGGCTCAGTATTGGGAGGGTGTATGTGTTCAGGAATTTATCAGTTTCTTCTAAATTTTCTAGTTTATTTGCATAGAGTTGTTCATAATATTCTCTGATGGTTATTTTTATTTCTGTGGTGTCAGTGGTAATATCTTCTTTGTTGTTTCTTTTTTTTTTTTTTTTTTTTTTCGAGATGCAGTCTTCCTCTGTCACCCAGGCCGGAGTGCAGTGGCATGATCTCGGCTCACTGCAACCTCCACCTCCCGGGATCAAGCGACTCTCTTGCTTCAACCTCCCGAGTAGCTGGGATTACAAGCACATGCCACCACACCTGGGGGTTTCACCATCTTGGCCAGGCTGATCTTGAACTTCTGACCTTGTGATCCACCCACCTCGGCCTCCCAGAGTGCTGGGATTACAGGCTTGAGCCGCCGTGCCCAGCTTCTTTGTCATTTCTAATTGTGTTTATTTTGATTTTCTCTCTTTTCTTTTGTATTAATCTAGCTATTGGTGCACCTATCTTATTAACTTTTTCAAAACACTAACTACTGGATTTGTTGATCTTTTGAATATTTTTTTTTGTGTCTCAATCTCCTTCACTTCAGCTCAGATTTTGGTTATTTCTTATCTTCTGCTAGATTTTGGTTTAATTTGCTCCTGTTTCTCTAGTTCTTTTAGTTGTAATATTAGGTTGCTAAATTGAGATCATCCTAACTTTTCGATATAGGTATTTAGTGCTATAAATTTTCCTCTTAACATTGCCTTAGCTGTGTCCCAGAGATTCTGGTATGTTGTATCTTTGTTCTCATTAGTTTCAACAAACTTCTGACTTAATTTTATTATTTGCCCAGAAGTCATTCAGGAGCAGATTACACAATTTCCATGTAATTGTATGGTTTTGAGCAAATTTCTTAATATTGAGTTTTAATTTGGTAGCTCTGTGGTCTGAGAGAGTGTTTTTTTTTTATGATTTCAGTTCTTTTGCATTTGCCAAGGAGTGTTTTGTGTCTCATTATGTGATTAATTTTAGAGTATGTGCCATGTTGCAGTTAGAAGAATGTATATTCTCTTGTTTTTGGTTGGAGGGTTCTGTAGATGTCTATCAGGTCCATTTGATCCAGTGCTGAGTTCAGGTCCTGAATATCTTTGTTAATTTTCTGCCTTGCTGATCAGTCTAATACTGCCAGTGGGGTGTTGAAGTCTCCCACTGTTATTGTGTGGGAGTCTATGTCTCTATGAAGGTCTTTAAAAACTTGCTTTATGAATCTGGGTGCTCCTGTGTTGGGTGCATATATATTTAGGGTAGTTAGGTCTTCTTGTTGAATTGAACCCTTTATCATTATGTAATGCCCTTCTTTGTCTTTTTTGACCTTTGTTGGTTTAATGCCCATTTTGTGTGAAATTAGAATTGCAACCCTTCCTTTTATCTGTTTTCAATTTTCTTCATAGATTTTTCTCCATCCCTTTATTTTGAGCCTATAGGTGTAATTGTATGTGAGATGGGTCTGTTGAAGACAGCACACCAATGGATGTTGGTTCTTCCTCCAGCTTTCCACTCTTGCCTTTTATTTGGAGCATTTATCCCATTACATTCAAAGTTAATATAAATAAGTGTGGATTTGATCTTGTCATCATGATATTAGGTGGTTATTATGCAGACTGGTTTGTGTGGTTGCTTTATAGTGTCACTGCTCTGTGTACTGAAGTATGTTTTCATGGTGGCTGGTAATGGTATTTGCTTTCCATATTTAGTACTTCCTTCAGGAGCTCTTGTAAGGCAGGTCTGGTGTAAAGAACTCTCTTAGCATTTGCTTGTCTGGAAAGGATCTTATTCCTCCTACACTTATGAAGCTTAGTTTGACTGGATATGAAATCCTGTGTTAGAATTTTTTTCTTTAGGAATGTTGAATATTGGCCCCCAGTCTTTCTGGCTTGTAGAGTTTCTGCTGAGAGGTCCACTGTTAGTCTGATGGGCTTCCCTTGTAGGTGAACTGACCTTTCTCTACAGCTGCTTTTGATATTTTTTTCTTTAATTTTGACCTTAGAGAATCTGATGATTATGCATTTTGGGGATGATCTTCTTTGAAGTTTCTTATTGTGATTCTCTGCATTTCTTGAATTTTAATATTGGCCTCTCTAGCTAAGTTGCAGAAGTTCTCATGGATGATATCTTGAAATATGATTTTCAAGTTGCTTACAGTCTCCTTATCTTTTTCAGGGACACCAATGATTCATAGATCTGATCTCTTTAAATAATCCCGTATTTCTTGGAGATTTTGTTCGTTCCTTTTCATCCTTTTAAAAAAAATTCTTGTCTGATTGTCTTTTTTCAGAAAGCCCATCTTCTAGATCTGAGATTGTTTCCTCGGCTTGGTCTATTCTGGTATTAATACTTGTGATGACATTATGACATTTTTGTAGTGTGTTTTCAGCTCTACCAGGTTGGTTACTTTCTTTTCTATACTAGGTATTTTGTCTGTCAGCTTTTGTATCCTTTTATTGTGATTCTTAACTTCCCTGGATTGGGTTTCAACATACTCTGGCATGATCTGTGTTCCTGTCCATAATCTGAATTCTATTTCTGTCATTTCAGTCATGTCAGCCCAGTTCAGAACCCTTGCTGGAGAGGTGCCGTAGTCGTTTGGAGAAAAAAAACCCGACTTTTTGAGTCATCAGAGTTCTTGCATTGTTTCTTTCTCATCTTTGTGGGCTGATGTTTCTTCAATCTTTGAAGTTCCTTACCTTTCGATGAGATTTTTTTTCTTTTATCCTATTTGATAACCTTGAGGTTTTGATTGTGGTATAAGGTGGATTTAGCCAACTAGCTTGTTTCTGGAAGATTTTAGAGGGGGGCAATGCTCAGTTTCTGACTCTGGATTGTATGCTTTAACTCTGGGGACTTGTATTGGGCCCTGACTTTGTTCTCTGGCTCTTTGAGATTAGGAACCCACTGGGCTAGCGGGGTCAAGGTGCTCCCAGACTGCTGGTCACTACGCATTGATGGGTAGTGTCAGCCAAAGCGTTTCATAGTGTGGTTGCAGTGGGATCTATTCGCATTTGCATGTGCCAGCAGCAGCGGCAGCGGCATGCCTGTCAGCTGCAGCAGGGTGCTAGCAGATGCCTGCCTCTGTGTGGGTGTTTACCACAGTGCTGGAGGCAGCACAGCTTGCGGGGAGTAGCCCCTGCTCATGACCGTGCCTGTGGTCACACTGGTGGTGGTGTTAGCATGAGGACTGGGCACTGGTGGACACAGGTCTGTGCATATTCTCTGTGTGCTACAGGCAGGGGAGGTCTCTCAGGGTTTGGAGGGGTTTGCTGTTCTCTGTGTCTATTTTCACTCCCAAGGCAGTGTTGGTGCAAGGGTTGGGTGCTGGTGTAGGTGAGGCTGTCTGGCTCTGTGCTTGGCTAACCTCCAACTGCAATGGCAATCTGGCGGGGTCACAGGGGTGGAGTGCACTCCCACCACAGCAGTGGCAGAGCAGGGTGCCTGTGCACAGGCTTGCAGGTGGGGCAAAGAAGGCAAAACAAACACGCACACACACACACACACACACACAACACACACACACACAAAACAAACACACACACACACACATACACACACACACACACACACACACCAGCAAAGCAATGTTGAGGGGTTGCTGTGGGCCTGGGGGAAGCTGCAGTGTGAGGAGGGAGTGGGTGGGCTTGTGCATGGCTGCAGGGGCCACCCTGCTGGAGTTTTCTACCAGTCAGGCATGGTCTGCCAGCACAAGAGCTAGACATGGGCAGTTCTTTCTGCCAACTCTAGTGTCCCTGGTGATTGAGGAGCCACCTCCTGCTGGGACTCCAGAGGCCCATGGCAAGAGCAAGTTGCTCCTTTCCAGTTCAACTCACCCCCTTCACAGGAGCCACTGGGGTCAGGAACAAGTCCTGGTGCAGGGTAGCCCTGTGCAGGGTTGCCAGCTTCCTTTCCCTTCAGCCCAGCTGCTGTGTCTTTCCTCCTTCCATCCTTGGTGTCTTCCCTCTGAAGATCAGTTAGGAGTATTCCAGTCATCTCAGCCCCTCAGTGGCAGCTCTTCCACCTGACTGCGTCTAGTTTGCCATGTTGCACTCTCTCCTTTTGTCTATTTTTAAAAATTGAATTATTAGATATTTTTTCCTACAGAGTTATTAGAGCTCCTTATATATTCTGGTTATTAATCCCTTGTCAGATGGGTAGTTTGTAAATATTTTTTTCTATTCTATTGCATGTCTCTTCACTTTCTTGATTGTTTCCTTTGTTGTGCAGAAAATTTTGAATTTAATGTGATTTCATTTGTTCATTTTTGCTTTAGTTGCCTGTTCTTGTGGGGTATTGCTCAAGAGCTCTTTGTAAAGACCAATGACTTGGAGTGTTTCTCCAATGTTTTCTTGCAGTAGTTTCATGGCTTGAGGTCTTAGAATTAAGTTTTCAATTCACTTTAATTTGATTTTTGTATGTAGTGAGAGATGGGGTCTAGTTTTATTCTTCTGAATATGGATATCCAGTTTGCCAGTACCATTTATTGAAGAGATTACCTTTTTCCCAATGTATGCTCTTGGCAGCTTTGTGGAGAATGAGTTCTCTCTAGATGTCTAGATTTATTTCTGTGTTCTCTATTCTCTTCCATTGGTCTCTGTGTTTGTTTTTATGCCACCACCATGGCATTATGGTTATTATTGCTCTGTAGTATAATTTGAAATCAAGTAATTTGATTCCTCCAGTTTTGTTCTTTTTGTTCAGGATGGCTATGGCTATTCTGGGTGTTTTATGTTTCCTTATAATGTTATGATATTTTTTATTTCTGTGAAGAATATTATTGTTATTTAGATAAGGATTGCATTGAATCTGTAGAGTGCTTTGAGGAGTATGGACATTTTAGCAATATTGATTCTTCCAATCAATGAACATGGAATATATTTCAATTTTAATGTGTCCTCTTTAGTTTCGTTCATCAGTGTTTTATAGTTTTTATTATAGAGACCTGTCACTTCTCGGTTAAGTTTATTGCTAAGTATCTTTTTTTAAATTTTATTTTAGGTATCGTAAGTGGAATTATTTCCTTGATTGTTTTTTAAGATGGTTTACTGTTGGCATATAGAAATGATTATTGTTTTTATGTGTTGATTTTGTATACTGCAACTTTACTAAATTTGTTTATCTGTTCTAGTAGTTGTTTTTGGTGGCCTTTAGGCTTTTCTAAATATAAGATCATTGTATTAGTCCGTTCTCACACTGTTATAAAGAATACTAAGACTGCATAATTATAAAGGAAAGAAGTTTGATTGACTCACAGTTCTGCAGGCTTAATGGGAAGCATGGCTAGGAGGCCTCAGAAAACTTACTATTATGGTGGAAGGTGAAGGGGAAGCAGACACCCTTTTCACAAGGTGGCAGGAGAGAGTGTGTGTGAGAATGAGAAAATGCCACACTTCAAAACCATCAGCTATTGTGAGAACTCACTATCATGAGAACAGCATGGGGGAAACCACCCCCCTGATCCAGTCACCTCCTACCTGGTCCCTCCCCTGACTTGAATTACAATTCGAGATGAGACTTCGGTGGCACACAGAGCCAAACCATATCAAGCATATCATCTTCAAACAAGGATAACTTGATTTCTTCTTTTCCAATTTGGATGCCCTTTATTTATTATTGCTCTTGTCTGATTGCTCTAGCTAGAACTTCCAGCACTATATTGAATAACAGTGTTGAAAGTGGGCAAACTTGTCGTGTTCCAGATATTACATAAAAAACTTTCTGTTTTTCTCTGTTCAGTATGATATTAGCTGTAGGTGTGACATATATGGCTTTTATTGTGTTGAGGTGTGTTCCTTCTATACCTACTTATTTGAGGTTTTTTATTATGACAGAATGTTGAATTTTATCAAATGTTTCTTTGGCATCAATTGAAATGATTATATGGTTTTTGTTCTTTATTCTGTTGATATGGTATATCACATTGATTTGCAAATATGGAATCATCCTTGCACCCCTGGGCTTAATCCCACTTGGTCATGATTAATGATATTTTCAACGTGTGATTGAATTCAATTAGACAGTATTTTGTTGAGGATTTTTGCATCAATATTCATCAGGTATGTTGGGCTATAATTTTCTTGTTTTGGTGTGTTTTGTGTGGCCTTAGTATTGGGTAATACTGGTCTCATAGAATGAGTTTGAAAACATTCTCTCCTCTATTTTTCAGAATAATTTGATTAAGATTATTATTATTCTTTCTTTAAATGTTTATAGTATTCAGCAGTACAGCCATCGGGTCCTGGCCTTTTCTTTACAGGGAGGCTTTTTGTTACAGCTTTAATCTTGTTACTTGTTATTGGTCTGTTCAGGTTTTGGATTTCTGCATGGTTCAATCTTGGTAAGTTGTATGTGTCTTAGAATTTATGCATTTTTTTCTGAAATTTCTAATTTATTGGAATATACTTTCTTATAATAGCCTTTAATGATCCTTTGAATGTCTTTAGTATCTGTTGTAATGTCTTCTTTTCCATCTCTGATTTTATCTCAGTATTCTCTCCCTCTCTCTGTTTTTTTTTTCAGTCTGACTAAAGGTTAGTCAGTTTTGTTTACCTTTTTAAAAAAAACTTTTCATTTCATTGGTATTCGTATCTTTTTTTGTTTCAATTTCATTTATTTTTGCTCTGATCTTTATTTTTTTCTACTAATTTTGGGTTTGATTTGCTCTTTCTTTTCTAGTTCTTCAAGATACATTATTAAGTTATTCATTTGAAGTGTTTTTTTTTTGATGTAGGCACTTATAGCTTCGCTCTTAGTATTGCTTTTGCTGTATCTCATAGGTTTTGGTGTGTTGTGTTTTCATTATCACTTGTTTCAATAAATTTATCAATTTCATTCTTGATTTCTTCATTGAGCCACTGGTTATTCAACAGCATATTGTTTAATTTCCTTATGCTTTATAGTTTCCAGAATTCCTCTGGTTATTGATGTTGAGTTTTATTCCATTGTGGTCAGAGACAATCCTTGATATTATTTTCATTTTTATTTTTTTTTCAGACTTGCTTTGTGACCTAATATATGGTGTATCCTTGAGCATGATTCATGAGCTAAAGAGAAGAATGTGTATTCTGTAGCCATTGGATGAAATGTTCTGTAGATATCTATTGGATTTATTTGCTCTATAGTGCAGATGAAGTCTGAAGTTTCTTTGTTGATTTTCTGCTAGATGATCTTTCCGGTGCTGAAAGCAGCGTGTAGAATTATGCAGCTATTATTGTATTGGGGCCGATCTTTCTTGTTAGCTCTAATAATGTTTGCTTTATATATGTTGGTATTCTTTTGTTTGGTGCATATATATTTATAATTGTTATATCCTCTTACTGAAATGACTCCTTTATCATTATATAATGAGCTTTCTTGTCTCTTATAGTTTTTGTCTTCAAATCTATTTTGTCTGGTATAAGTATACCTACCCTTGCTCTCTTTTGGCTTCCATTGGCATGACATATCTATCTTTTTCTATCCCTTTATTTTCAGGCTATGTGTGTCTTTATAGGTGAAGTGTGTTTTTGTAGCAAACAGATCATTGGGTCTTGTTTATTTATGCATTCTGCCACTCTTTGTCTTGATTAGAGTGTATAGTGCATTTACATTTATTGTTATTATTAATAAGTAAGTACTTTGTCATGCTATTTTGTTATTTGTTTTCTGGTTGTTTTGCGATTTTCTCTTCCTTCCTTCCTGTCTTTCTTTTTGTGAATATGATTTTCTCCAGTGGTGTGTTTTTATTTCTTGTTTTCTATTTTTTTGTGTATCTGTTGTATGGTTTTTGATTTGAGGTTGCTATGAGCCTTCAAATAACATCTTTTAACCCATTATTTTAAATTAATGACAACACCAATTGCAATAAAAAACAAACAAGTAAAGAGAAAACTACTAAAAACTGTGCATTTCAACTACATCTTCCCATGTTTTAGCAATTTGTTTTCTTTATTTATACCTTATTATACTGTCTATGATTTGAACAGTTGTTGTAGTTATTATTTTTGATAGGTTCATCTTTTAGTCTTTCTACTCCTTTTATGAGTGGTTTATACACCACAATTACGGTGTCATAATATTCTTTGTTTTTGTGTGTACCTACTAGTACCAGTGAGTGAGTTGTGTGCCTTCAGATGACTTTATTTTTATTTTTATTTTTTATTTATTTTTTTTGGACGGAGTCTCGCTCTGTCACCCAGGCTGGAGTACAGTGGCGCTATCTCGGCTCACTGCAAGCTCTGCCTCCCAGGTTCACACCATTCTCCTACCTCAGCCTCCCGAGTAGCTGGGACTACAGGTGCCTGCCACCACGCCCGGCTAATTTTTTGTATTTTTAGTAGAGATGAGGTTTCACCGTGTTAGCCAGGATGGTCTCCATCTCCTGACCTCGTGATCCGCCCTCCTTGGCCTCCCAAAGTGCTGGGATTACAGGCGTGAGCCACCGCGCCTGGCCTTTTTTTTTTTTTTTTTTGAGATGGAGTCTCACTCTGTCGCCCAGGCTGGAGTGCAGTGGCCTGATCTCCGCTCACTGCGAGCTCCGCCTCCTGGGTTCATGCCATTCTCCTGCCTCAGCCTCCCGAGTAGCTGGGACTACAGGTGCCCGCCACCACATCTGGCTAATTTTTTGTATTTTTAGTAGAGACAGGGTTTCACTGTGTTAGCCAGGATGGTCTCGATCTCCTGACCTTGTGATCCGCCCACCTCGGCCTCCCAAAGTGCTGGGATTACAGGCGTGAGCCACCGCGCCTGGCCCAGATGACTTCTTATTACTTGTTACCATCTTTTTCTTTCAGAAATAACTCCCTTTAGCATTTCTTGTAGGACAATTCTGGTGTTGAAATCCCTCAGCTTTTGTTTGTCTTGGAATATCTTTATTTATATTTTTATGTTTGAAGTATACTTTTGCTAGATATACTATTCTAGGATAAAAGTTTTTTTTTTCCTTCAGCATTTTAAACATGCCATGCCACTCTCTCCTGGCCTGTAAAGTTTCCACTATGATGTCTGTTGGCAGACATATCCTTCCTTGATATGATGTTAAAAGCAGGTACTGTGATCACTCACCTGTTTTTTTGTTCTTATGGAAGTGCTTTCTTGTGCAGATGGTTGTTAATTTTTTTGTCCCTATGGGAGAGACAATGACTGGAAGTTTCTGTTTATCCATCTTGCTCTTTCTGTACTCTTTGTCATAACATTTTGACATAAGGATGTTTAAGTATTGTTCCATGAAAGGGCCATGTATATGTAAAGCAACCACCAAATGAAGAAGAATCTGATAAATTAAAGGAGGAGGCAGACAAGTCAAACTTAGTATTATAGGGTGGTTTTATTGGGAAACTTATGGACAGAAGTGTGGTCTTGGGTGGCCACAAAACAGGCAGATTTCCACACCATCACTCCCCAGACTCAGAGACTATATACCATAGGGGAGGGTAATATATGCTTCAGATAGAATTGGTAGGAATTTGTCCTAAAGTAGAGTTTACAGTAAGTATAAGTTTATCAAGTTTGATTTGCTCTAATGGCAGGATTTACAGTAAGTACCATGGTCTTACACAAGGAACAATAAATGAACTGGAAGTCTCAGAGGCATTCCTGGAACCTGGTTTAATTAGAAGTCAACATGGTAGATTAGCTTCCAAGATGGAGTTACTTTGGCTTCCACAGGTAAACAAAATAAATATCTTCTGTCTTGTGATTTGCAAGACAAAGTAATAGTGCACATTATGTACTTAGAAAATTTGGCTTTTATGAAGTTAGAAAGACATATAAAGGAAGAACTAGTTTTTTTTTTAGACAGAATTTGTCCAGCGTGCCATTACTCAGCAATACCAAGGGATCAGGATTGTATCTCAGTGTATTGATGGGCCACGTTTTTTTAGATTAGCCCCAACTGTCATCCTAGACAATCAACAGGATTTCTCTGTGCATTTCTACAAATTAACACGTTGTATCTGACACACTAAGGCTGTTTCCAGATGCTGTTTTCTAGTGTTCTTCAAAGTATGATCTGTAAACCACCAGTATAAGAATAGCATGGGGTATTTGTTGAATATGTAGATTTCTGGGTCTTACCCCAAACTTATTGGGCCAAAAATATCTGGGGGTAGAGTCCAGAAATATGCACGTTTTAACACATGCTTCTATTCCAATAACCACTGCTCAGCACTTTATGTAGCATTGCCTCATTTTAGAATATTCTTTTTCTTATCCTTGCCTATGGAACTCCTGTCTTTTCCTCATGGCCCAGTTTAAAGGGTATCTCCTCAATGAAGCCACCCTAATACACTTCCCTCATGCCCAACAGATAAAGCCCGTTTTGGGGACTATGGAAGGGGGAACATGAAGGCCTCACAACTGGGGTGCAGGGAAGAGTTGAGGGAACTGAAATGGAATAGTGTGGACTGAGTTAGAGAGAGGACTCTGAATTTTACAGGAAAATTTTGCCCCTAGGTTTTGCATTTGACTTTTATGCAAAGAAGAGAAACTAGATAAACCAACAACAAAGTAACAATAGATCTGATTGATCAGAACAGTGAATTCCAGCCCCGTATCAACCATGTTTGAGAAGGAGGCTTAGTGGCCATATCAGGACAGGGAAGTAGGAGGAAAAAAGATACAAAATGCCCACTTGGCAACAGCCTCAAGGGTAAAGTAAGAAGGGATAACATTATTTTAAAGTGTTCCCAAAACACAGGAAACTGATTAAATATGCTACTTTTATATTTATATAGCATTTTCAAATTTACATATCCTGGGAATCACTTACTATTTGTCACTGTGTTTTCTCAATTAACAGGTAGAGATGAACAGCAGTTGTCATGTGAAGATCTGAGAAAATGTGTGGTGAGGAGAAGTTCTCACATTTTCTGAAAACAGCTGGAAACTATTAAACTAGCTATGAGATACCATAATGCAAAAGCAGTTTGAAATAGTCCATAGAAGAGGCAATTTGAAGGCACTCATTGCTGGTTAGTTAGCTGTTGATAGCTGAAGTCGTCTTTAGGTGAAAGGTAGTTACCAGCAGCACTAGGTTCAGCCATAATAAGAGTAAGAGAAACCAGTTTTCCCCTCCAAGATCACTGCTCTGGAAACATTTCTCTTCTGTTTGTTCTTGCCTTCCCACACACCTCGTTCTTCCGGCACCCAGTAGTGGCCCCTGGCACCACAGGTGGGACACTGTGATCTCTGTTGTTACCATGGGACATGACTCTACCAGAGAAATTTGATTAACAGATAAGTAATTTTAATTTGAGGTTTTGCTCCTTTCCTACCAATCTTCTGTCATGCTAAATGAGATGCTTGATGTCCCTAAACAATAGACTCATCTCCCAATGGTTATAAGAATATAGAAAATAAATGAAAAAGATCACACATCAGTAAATATAATGTTGGGTGTCAAAGGGCACATTACTTTGAATCCAGAGGCTTTACATTTTTTTTAAAGCCAGTTTAATGATCTGCCTCTTTTTTTTTTTTTTTTTTTTAGACGGAGTCTTGCTCTGTCACCAGGCTGGAGTGCAGTGGCGTGATCTCAACTCACTGCATCCTCCGCCTCCTGGGTTCAAGTGATTCTCCTGCCTCAGCCTCCCAAATAACCGGGATTACAAGCACGCGCCACCACGCCCAACTAATTTTTGTATTTTCAGTAGAGATGGGGTTTCACCTTGTTGGCCAGGATGGTCTCGATCTCCTGACCTCGTGATCTGCCCACCTTGGCCTCCCAAAGTGCTGGTATTATAGGCATGAGCCACTGCGCCTGGCCTGCCTCATTTTAAGAAGCAAAAACATCTAATTAGGACTTGGCAGAGCTGTTCATCTACAGATAAACTGCTTTGTGACGTGGATTGATCTGGTTGCCTTGAGTTTTCATTAATCTGTGTTATTCAAAATCACTGTATATGGATACAATAAATAGTATTAGTTATGGGGAAGCACAGAGCTGCATAATTCCTGAAGCTCGTACTCACCACCAGAGTTCTCATGCAATCATGCATTGACAGAGCTTATTATTTTCCAAAGCTATCATTTTGTATTTGGAGATACTGAGGCCCAGAAATGCATCAAGTCACAAAATGTCAATGTTGGAAAGCTGTTTAGTCAAGGAATGAGGTCAAGATCACTTCACTAGTTAGCAGATAAAGCAGAACCAGATTCCTGAGAGAATGTATCATCATGGTTACTTTGATAATATGGTACTTACTGTGTTCCAAACACCGTTAGCAGCTCTTTACAAATATTAAATCATTTAATATTTATAACACTCTTATGAGGCAGGTATTATTCTTTTCCGCCCAATTTTACAGATAAGAAAACTGAGTCACAGAGAATAAGTAATTTTCCCATTGACACATAACTACTAAATGGGTTTTTAACTTAAGTCATAGTTTCTTAGAAATTTTTGGAAGGAATAAAATTATTCATGTGAAGTTCTTAGAACAGGCTTCAGATAAGTGTAAGATATTATCGTGGTTACTTTTACTACATGTCGTAGTGGAAAGAAAATAGATTTTGAAGTCAGACACCTGAGTTCCAATTCAGGCTCTGCCACTAATTGGTTGTAGTCTCTCAGAGTCTCAGTTTCCTCATTTGCGAAATGACTATGATAATATTTTATAGGGCATTATGGAGATGAAATGAGATAATCTGTGTAAAGTATCTAATGTGTAAAGTATCTAATGCAATGTCTTGTACACAGAAGATGCTGTATTAGTTTCCTATTGCAGTTATAACAAATTACCACAAAGTTAGTGGCCAAAACAACACAAATTAGTTATTTTATAGTTCTGGAAATCAGAAGTCCGAAGCGAGTCTTACGGGGCCAAAAACAGAGTGTCAGCATGCCTGGTTCCTTCTGGAAGCTCAAGAAAAGAAACCATTCCTTGTCTCTTCCAACTTCTTGTGGCTGTTTATATTCCTTTCCTTGTCTCCTTATCATTCCAATCAATGCTTCCATCATCATATTGCTTCCTTCTCGTCTTTCTGGTAATACCTTCTTTTGCCTCCTTCTAATAGGGATATTTGTGATTGCATTTGGGTTCAATTGAATAATCCAGCCCAATTTTTACATTTCAAGATATTTAACTTAATGACATCTGCAAAGTCCCTTTTGCCATATAAGGCAACATCTTCCCAGGTTTCACAGGACTTGGAGATCATTGGGAGACCATTATTCAGCCTACCACAGATGCTGATTTGGTTTGGCTCTGTGTCCTCGCCCAAGTCTCATCTTGAATTGTATTCTCATAATTCCCATGTGTTCTGGGAGTGACCCAGTGGGAAATAATTGAATCATGCAGGTGGTTTCCTCTATACAGTTCTAGTGGTAGTCAATACGTCTCTTGAGATCTGATGGTTTTATAAGGGGTTTCTGCTTTTGTTTCTGCCTCATTCTCTCTTACTGCCACCATGTAAGAAGTGCCTTTTTTCTTCTACAATGGTTGTGAGGCCTCTCCAGCCACATGCAACTGTAAGTCCACTAAACCTATCTTTCTTTACAGTCTCATGTGTGTCTTTATCAGAAGTGTGAAAATGGACTAATACAGATGCTTAATCTTCGTACTGTTGGAACCCAGTTCTTCTCAATACAGGGATACATTCTTTACATTTCACTTCTTCATATCAACTTTGCATGGGCACTATTTATAAAGAATTTAAAAACAATAATGAAATGAAAAGTCAGTCTGCATCTTAATATCCCTGTACAGCAAAAATTATAAACAACATTAATGATGAAATATTCCTCCCTGCCAGGCAGACCTCTCTCACTGCATTCCCTACCTGCCTCCCACTCCCATTTGTACATCACTATTTAGGAACGACTGTGAAGTCATGGGATTCAGAGTTATTTGGGTATAGTGCTATCTTCTCTCCTCTACTTACTCCACCATCATTAATTCCTGGACTCAAGTTTCCTTTTATAACTTAATAACACTTATCCAAGGGCCCTGAAGGCTACTTTGAGGCTAACAGGCGTGTGTTATGGATATTTTCTTCTACTATGTTAGAAAGCAATCTCCTATTTTCTTTAGAAATGTTCTCACAAGTAAGAGGTTTGTTTGGTGGATGGATTCATAGCTTCCCATAGCCTTTAATTTAGAATAAAAGAAATTATTCTTTATTGCCAGGAAATCAGGCAGAGATTACCTGGTGGGAGGGTACATAAATTACTGTTAGGACAAACAGAAAATGAAGATATAATTAGAAGATGAAGGAAAGATGCAAAGAAGGGCTTATGTGATCCATCTGTGATCTGTGCACCTACAGCTGAAATTCAGGTTATAAAGGGAGATATAGAACTAGAGATTGAGAGCTGGGAGAGATCTCACAGACCATTCATAATAAAGCTATCGTTTTTACATCAGAGAACTTGAGGCCCAGAAGGAGAAAGATCTGTCCAAGCTCCTGCAATAAGCCAGGGATAGAAATGTCTTTTCTTATGTTTTAAGAGGCAGATATTCTTGGTATGAGACTGCTCCCCTCCTCCACCCATTTTTCTCTCTTTCTTACCCTTGTCCTTGAATTGATTTTAAAATGTTATTCTCTGGGTATATAAATGCCATATTACCTTATTTGGCTATCCATTGGCATTCTCTCTATTGAGTCAGAGACTACGTAATAGAAGGAGTTACATTGTTATTCATAACATAATTTGTAGCAACTTGTCTCAGTTGATTGGAACAAATCATTATCTACATGCAAATAGACTTTGGGGGCCAGAATTGTGGCTCAACACTCACTGAGGGCTAGGTAGTTTGAACCTGTTACAGGGTCTCAGACCATATCCCTATCTTGGACATTCTTTTGAAGAAAGCCTTTAATTGACTTAATTAGACAGGGTAAATATGTATAAATCCATTCCTGCACTTGGGAGGACAATTGGGTGTTTACATTAGGTTGCTGATGGCCTCTTAGTTCTAGCTGTGGAGATGAAGGAAGATTGTCAGTATCCTGGGGACATATTAATATTAGCATCTGACATACTGCTGGATGTTTCCATTGCTTAACCACCTAATCCTTGTAGATAATCCAGGTTCCTGAGTATATGGTTATACCATAGCAAAATAGTTACCATTGTGCTCACTGTGCTCAACAAGGCTGGTCTGAGGTATGTGGTCTGGGAGGTAGCAGTATGAGTAGGTTGCTGGCAGCTCCAGATTTACAGTCTGGCTCTGGATCTATATCTTCTCCCATGTTGTTCATTCCACATCTATCTTACAAAAACCAATCGATGCCTAATTCTTAACCCTTGTTTACCTACTTCTTTTGCCTGATTTCTTGGCCCTTTATTGCCTTGCCTCTAGGCCCAGTGTTTTGGCGGCTGAGGCCTGACTTCGCAAGCTTTCAAGCCTGTGGGTCTCCTGGTCTTCCACACTTGAATGAGAGCCACTCTGCTGATATGTTTTCTGCTTATATATTTTATAGACTGAGCTGCTATGTAAGATTGTTTTTTCAGACTGGGGAGGAGGGAGAGTGCATGTTTCACTGTCAAAGACCATTTTGAATATCACTGGCCTATATGGTGTGTAAGGGATCTTATCTGATTCTGTTTTAGGTATGTAGTAGAGCCCCAAATGTTAGCATATTTAATATTTTTGGGGCGGTCCTTTTGCTAAGATCCTCCATATCAGACTTAGGGGATCAATTTCTGGCAGCATTTGGGAATAATAAAGGTATTGTTCCTTGAGGGCCTGTAGAGACACATTTCAAGCATTTTCACATTATTTTGTTGCAGAGCTTTTAAAAGTATCCTGAGTTAGGACGGCACAGAATGTTTACATTAGGCAAAAACCAGTAGTAAGATTAGGTGCATTTGTGAAAGCCAAGCCATTCAACATGCTGGCTGTTTTTATTTACAAGTCACAAAATGGCATTAATACACAGAAGGTTGATAATAGTGGTGTCAGAAATGATCACAGAACCTAACAATCAAATGACAATAAGAACATTAAAGTTCATGAGCTAGTGGAGGTTGAATACATTGAAAGCTTACTCTGTTTAAAGAGGGATATTAGGTATAATCATTTTGCTCTTTAAAAATCAATAGTCTAAATACCACAAGTTTCACAGTCTGTTTGCTTGGGTGGAGTCAGTGGAAATTGAACACAATTCTCGGAAATGCTTTTAGTAGGTGATAGTTGGTGTAGGAGGGAAAATTGTGGTGGGAAAATGTCAGAGGGAAAAAAAGATGTTTTTAAAGGCTTTATAAGTAATTCACTCTTAAAAGAAATTTGCATTTTATAAAACATCTTCACCAATACATGACATGATATGCTACATCTACTTTATAGATCAACTCTGTATTATTTTGGTCAATGAGCTAGTTGGAGCGGGTGAAATGCAGTCAAAGCAAGGAAATTAAATTATTTAGGTGTCTGACTTTATATTGCAATTTCAAAAGTGATTTCACCCTTAAATCTTTGTAGAAGTCAGAGATGTTCTCTAAAAATTTGTATTGCTGATTTTCAAAATGACAAAGCTTTGGAGGCAAAGATACTAAGTGGCACTGATTGAAACATTTGGAGACTATTGTATTCATTTAAAAGTTTGAATAATAGAGTTTTTTTAATTGAAATTCTATCACTTTTAAGTATACTTAATGGTACTGTTTATTCTTTCACTTATTTAACAGATTTTTGCATCTACATGCCAGACACTTTTCTAAATGCTAGGGATATAGCAGTGAACAAAACAGAGAAAATCTTCTATCAGGCTTATATTCTAGTGAAGGGAGACAGACAAAAACAAATAATTGAAATATGAAATACAATGTAAAATTATAAATATTAAACAAATTTAGCTTAATAGGGATCCCTAGAGGAGCTGCCTTAGTAAGTAGCTAATGATCTATAATTTTCATAATCATTTGCATATGTGTTATTGGTGAACAACGGACTGTTTCTAATAGTTGGTGGTTAAGAAATATAAATATGCACTTTGAAATTTTTTCTATGTTAATTTGCATACCAAACTTCTTTTTCAAATGATCAGATTTTCACATTATTATGGTTTGAATTAATGAGGTTCTCTTACAGACCAGTCTATAGAATTTATATTTGTCTTTTGTTTCACAGTATATTAAGGAGAAATTTTAACTCTCGATCTTGGCATTAGATCAAAGGTGAAATCTTTAAAACATGTAAATAGTTTCTTCAGTTTGCTAAACAAAAAACAAAAGCAAATGTAATTTAGAGAAGGCTTTAGAAGATACATATTAGTACTGAGATTAGAAGAGACAAAAATCAATTGCTTCTGTTGACTTTTAATCAAAGGCCAGAAGAGAATAGTCTTCTTTATGTACAAATAAACCTTTCAAGTCTTTCTTCTGAAGTCTCTTTGTTTATCCCATAGCCACTGACTGAGCATGCACTATCTGCAAAGCACTGTGCCAGAGAAGTGTGTGTGTGTATGTGTGTGTGTGTGTGTGTGTGTGAGAGAGAGAGAGAGAAAGAGAGATTAAGAGGGCAAGAGAAGGGACTGAATGAAGGAGGAAAGGAATAAAGTGTGTGTGAGTTGAAACAGTTTTCAGTATAGAGGAATGCGTAGGTAAATAGGATAAAAATATTAAAATGGGTTCCCTGTAAAAAAAATTTAAAATAAAGTTTTATGTGGGTTCAAGGAAGAGAGTTGTTATTTCTGCCTGGAAGGACTGGAGAAAGTTTCATACAGGAAGATGTCTGGATTTGCTTATCTTTTCTTTGATATCATATTAAGTTGAGACTAGGGACTTGTTTATGATAATTTGATAAATACTAAAATGTCCACCTGCAAAAAAATTTATCCCTTCTTGACCCTGCTATAGGGCTCTAAATTCCCATTGTTACCTGATTCTTTGGAAGCTAGTTATAGCCCAATTGTGGTTAGATCAATGGGAATAGCATTTAAAACTATTTGGCCCCCATTAATGCCTTAGTTGGGATTTGTTTCTCAAATAAACCATGAAGAAAAGTTTTTTGAGGGAATAGGAGACAGAACTTGGAGGTTCTACTTGTCAGGGTGGTGGAAAAAGGGGGTCAGGAATGGTCTAGAATGGTAGGCTAGAAGAAGGGTCTTGGCCCGGGTAGGCAGATGGCTGCATGCGTTTTCTGGGTACTTGTTGCTGAGGAATACAGAAAGACAAAAGGCAAACTTAGAACTTTACCTGAACACCCAATCCCCTTCCAATGTTCTCTATCTCAGTGAATGTCAACTTAATCCATCCACTCATGCAACCGAACAGCTGGTGGTAGCTACAGGCTGGAACCTGACGTGCCCTTTTCTTTCTTTCTCTACTCAGCCATGAAGGAGACACTGGTTAGAAGCTTAAGACATGGCTGAAAACAGCTGAAGTCTCTTTTTTAATATATTGTTATGGCAGCTAAAAGTCAATATTGCATGCAAGAAAATTGTAGAATGAAGATTCTTTATGAGTGTCGTTTTACAGCTCCATATTACTGTGGTAAACCTCAGAAACACTCATTGGCTCCAGAAAGTTTTTGATTCTAAGAGAGATTCAGGGTATCCTAAGCATCATTTTTTACTTCTCTCTCAAAGGGAATCAAGACTGTTTTAAGAAATGATGATGGTCATTTACGTTTTATGAAGCAAAATGTTTTTATTATTATTATTATGCTAAATTTTTGTGAGTACATAGTAGTTATATATATTTACGGGGTGCATGAGATATTTTGATATAAGCATGCAATGTGAAATAAGCACATCATGGAGAATGGGCTGTCTATCTCATCAAGTGTTTATCCTTTGAGTTACAAACAATGCAAATGCATTCTTTATTTTAAAATACACAATTAAGTTATTATTGACTATATTCACCCTACTGTGCTATCAATTGTAGGTCTTATTCATTCTTTCTAACTATTATTTTGTACCCATTAACTATCCCCATCTCCCTCCCCAGCCTTCCACTACCCTTCCCAGCCTCTGGTAACCATCCTTCCACTCTCTATATCCATAAGTTCAACTCTTTCAATTTTTATTAGAACTGATAAACAAATTTAGTAAAATTGCAGGATACAAAAAGCAACATACAAAAATTAGTAGAATTTCTATGTACCAACAGTGAACAGTGTGATAAATAAAAATATAATTCCATTTACAGTAGCCACATATGAAATTAAATACCTAAGAAATAACCAAATAAGTGAAAGATCTCTACAATGAAAACTATAAAACATTGATGAAGGAGTTGGAAGAGGACACTAAAAACATTTTCTCTATTCTGTTCCACTGATCTATGTACCTGGTTTTATGCCAGTACCATGCTGTTTTGGTTACAATAGCACTGTAGTATAATGTGAAGTCAGGTATTGTAAAAAGTCAGTTTTGTTCTTTTTGCTTAGGGTAGCTTTGGCTGTTCTGAGGTTTTGTGGTTCCATATACATTTTAGAATTGTTTTTTCCATTTTTGTGAATGTCATTGGTATTTTGATAAGGATTGCATTGAATCCGTAGATCGCTTTGTGTAGTATGAACGTTTTAACAGTATTGATTTTTCTAATCCGTGAACATGGAATATTTTTCCATTTTTGGTGTCCTCTTCAATTTCCTTTATCAGTGTTTTATAGTTTTTATTATAGATAGCTTTCACTTCCTTGGTTAATTGCTAGGTATTTATTTTATGTGTGGCTATTGTAAATGGGATTGCTGCTTTTGATTTATTTTTCAGATTGTTCACTGTTGGCATATAGAAATGCTACTGAGTTTTGTATGTTCATTTTGTATCCTACGACTTTATTGAATTTGTTTATTAGTTCTAATAGTTGTCATGTGTAGTCTTTAGGTTTTTCCAAATATAAGATTATATCATTAGCAAACAAGGATAATTTGACTTCTTCCTTTTCAATTTGGATGCCCTTTATATCTTTCTCTTGTCTGACTGCTGAGGCTAGGACTTCCAGTACTATGTTGAGTATCAGTGGTGAAAGTGGGCATTGTTGTAGATCTTAGAGGAAAGGCTTTCAGTTTTTCCCCATTTAGTATGATACTGGGTGTGGGTCTGTCATATATGGCTTTTATTTTGTTGAGGTATGTTCCTTCTTTCCCCAGGTTTTTGAGTGTGTTTACTATGAAGCCATGTTGAACTTTATCACATGCTTTTTTGGCATCAATTGGAATGATCATATATTTTTTTTTTGAGACAGAGTCTCGCTGTGTCGCCCAGGCTGGAGTGCAGTGGCGCAATCTCAGCTCACTGTGACCTCCACCTGCCGGGTTCAAGCAATTCTCCTGCCTCAGCCTCCCGAGTAGCTGAGACTACAGGCACGCGCCACCATGCCCAGCTAATTTTTTGTATTTTTAGTAGAGACGGGGTTTCACAATGCTGGCCAGGCTGGTCTCAAACTCCTGACCTCATGATCTGCCCACTGCGGCCTCCCAGAGTGCTGAGATTACAGGTGTGAGCCACCGCACCCAGCCGATCATATGGTTTTAATCCTTCATTCTGTTGATATGATGTATCATTTTGATTGATTCTTCTAAGTTGAACTACTGTTGCATCCCAGGGATAAATCCCACTTGGTCGTGATGAATGATCTTTCTAATGTATTGTTGAAATCGGTTTGCTAGTATTTTGTTGAGGATTTTTGCATCAATATTCATCAGATATATTGTCCTATAGTTTTATTTTATTGGTGTGTTTAGGTCTGGTTTTGATGTCAGGGTAGTAACTGGCCTTGTTGAATGATTTTGGAAGTATTCTCCCCTCCTCTATTTTTTGGAATAATTTGAGTAGGATTGGTATTAGTTCTTCTTTAAATGTGTAGTAGAATTCAGCCATGAAGCTGTTGGGTCCTGGGCGTTTCTTTACTGGGAGACTTTTTATTATGGCTTTGATCTCCTTGCTTGTTATTGGTCTATTCAGGTTTTGGATTTCTTTTTGGTCCACTCTTGATAGGTTATATCGATCTAGGAATTTGTCTGTTGCTTCTAGATTTTTCAATTTATTGGCATATAGTTGCTCATAGTAGCCACTAATGATCCCTTGAATTTCTGCAATATCAGTTGTAGTGTCTCCCTTTTCATTTTTGATTTTATTTATTTGGATCCTTTTTCTTTTTCTCTTAGTCTGGCTAAAGGTCTGTCAATTTAGTTTAACTTTTCAAAAAACCAACTTTTTGTTTCATTGATCTTTTGCATTTTTTAATTTCAATTTCACTTATTTTTGCTCTGATCTTTAATTTTTCTTCTGCTAATTTTGAGTTTGGTTTGCTCTTGCTTTTCTAATTCTTTAAGATGCACTGTTTATTTGAAGTTTTCCCTTTTTTGATATAGGCACTTATACACTTCCCTCTGATTATTGCTTGTGCTGTATCCCATAGATTTTTTTTTTTTTTTTGAGATGGAGTCTTGCTCTGTCACCCAGGCTGGAGTGCAGCAGTGTGATCTCGGCCCACTGCAACCTCCATCTCCCAGGTTCAAGCGATTCTCCTGCCTCAGCATCCCAAGTAACTGGGATTACAGGCACATGCCACCATGCCCGGCTAATTTTTGTATTTTTAGTAGAGACAGGGTTCCACCATGTTGGTCAGGCTGGTCTCGAACTCCTGACCTCATGATCCACCCACCTTGGCCTCCCAAAGTGCTGGGATTACAGGTGTGAGCCACCACACCTGGTGCCCATAGATTTTTATGTGTTGTCTTTCCATTATCATTTGTTTCAAGAGATTTTTTAATTATCTTCTTTATTTCTTCATTGACCCAGTGGTCATTCAGAAGCATGTTGTTTAATTTCTGTGCATTTGTATAGTTTTCAAAATTCCTCTTATTACTAATTTCTAGTTTTATTCCATGGTGGTCAGAGGAGACACTTGATATCATTTCAATTTTTTGAATATTTTAAGACTCATTTTGTTACCTAACATAGGGTGTATCCTTGAGCATGATCCATGTGCTGAGGAAAAAAATGTGTATTTGGAGCTCTTAAATAAAACATTCTGGAAATATCTACTGGATTCATTTGGTCTATACTGCAGATTAAATCTAATGTTTCCTTGTTGATTTTGTGTCTGGAAAATCTGTCCGGTGCTGAAAGTGAGGTGTTGAAGTCTCCAGTTATTATTTATTGGGGCCTATCTCTCTCTTTAGGTCTAATAATTTTTTTATATATCTGGGTGATCCAGTGTTGGGTACATATATATTTAAAATTGTTATATCCTCTTGCTGAATTGACCACTTTATCATAAAATAGTAAACTTCTTTGTCTCTTCTTACAGTTTTTGTCTTGAAATCTACTTTGTTTGATATAAGTATAGTGACTCCTGCTCTTTTTTGGTTTCCATTGCCATGGAATATCGTTCTCCATCACATTATTTTTAGTCTATGTGTGTCTTTATAGTTGAAGTGCATTTCTTATAGGGGACAGTTCAGTGGATTTGGTTTATTTTTATCCATTCAGCCAGTCTATGTTGTTTGATTGGAGAATTTAGTCCATTTACATTCAATGTTATTATTGGTAAGTAAGCACTTACTCCTGTCATTTTGTTGTTTTCTGGTTGTTTTGTGGTCTTCCCTTCCTTTTTTTTTTCTTTCCTTTCCTTTCTTCCTCCAGTGAAGATGATTTCCTCTGCTGATGTGATTTATTTTCTTGCTTTTTATTTTTTTTTGTTTGTGTGTGTATTCATTATATGTTTTCTTGGTTTGAGATAACCATGAGGCTTGCCAATACTGTTTTTTTTTTTGAGATGGAGTCTCACTCTGTCACCCAGGCTGGAGTGCAGTGGCGTGATCTCGGCTCACTGCAACCTCCACCTCCCGGGTTGAAGCAATTCTCCTGTCTCAGCCTCCTGAGAAGCTGGGACTACAGGTGCACACCACCACGCCCAGCTAACTTTTTTGTATTTCAGTAGACGGGGTTTCACCATGTTGCCCAGGCTGGTCTTGAACTCCTGAGCTCAGGCAATCCACCTTCCTCAGCCTCCCAAAGTGCTGGGATTATAGGCGTGAGCCACTGCGCCTGGCCACCAATACTATCTTATGACTCATTTTAACCCGATAACAACAACACTATTTGTATATACAAACACAAAGCAAAACAAAAACTAATAATAATTCTGTGCTTTAACTTCATCCCCCACTTCCTAACTTTTTGTTGTTTCTATTTATATCTTATTGTATTGGCTATGTCTTGAAAAATTGTTGTAGTTATTATTTTGGGTATGTTCACCATTTAGTCTTTCTACTTAGGATAAGAGTAATTTACACATCACAATTACAGTATTATAATGTTCTGTTTTTCTGTATACTTACTATTACCAGTGAGTTTTGTACCTTCATATGATTATGTATTGCTCATGAATGTTCTTTTCTACCTGATCGAAGTACTCGCTTTAACATTTCTTGTAGGACAGGTCTGGTATTTATGAAATCCCTTAGCTTTTGTTTATCTGGGACAGTCTTTGTTTTGTCTTCATGTTTGAAGAATATTTTTCACTGGATATACTATTCTAAGGTAAAAGTGTTTTTTTTTTTTCCCCTTCAGCACATTAAATGTGACAAGCAACTCTCTCCTGGCCTGTAGGATTTCCACTGAAAAGTCTGCTGCCAAATGTATTGGAGCACCATTGTATGTTATTTGTTTTCCCTTGTTGCTTTTAGGATCCTTTCTTTATCCTTGACCTCTGGGAGTTTGATTATTAAATGCCTTGAGGTAGTCTTTTTTGGGTTAAATCTGCTTGTTGTTCCATAACCTTCTTGTATTTGAATTTTGATACCTTCTCTAGGTTTGGGACTTTCCCTGTTATTGTTCATGTGGATGAACTTTCTATCCTTATCTCTTTTTCTGCTGCCTCTTTAAGGCCAATAACTCTTAGATTTGCATTTTTGAGGCTATTTTCTAGATCATGTAAATGTGCTTTTTTTAAAAAAAGCACATTTGTCTCCTTTGACTGCGTATTTTCAAGTAACCTGTCTTCAAGCTCACTAATTCTTTCTTCTGCTTGATTAATTCTGCTATTAAAGGACTCTGATGCATTCTTCAGTATGCCATTTGCATTTTTCACCTCCAGAAATTCTTCTTGATTCTTTTAAATTATTTCAATCTCTTTGTTAAATTTATCTTTCAGAATTCCGAATACATTTTCTGCATTATAATGAATTTCTCTGATTTTCCTCCCTATAGCTATTTTGAATTCTCTGAAAGGTCACATGTCTCTGTTCTTCCAAAATTGGTCTCTTGTGCCTTATTTAGTACATTTTGTGATGTCATGTTTTCCTGGATGGTGTTTATGCTAGTAGATATTTTTCAGTGTCTGGGCATTAAAGGATTAGGTATCTATTGTAGTCTTAATATTGGTAACCATTCTTCTTACGAAGGCTTTTCAGATATTTGAAAGGACTTGGTTGTTGTGATGTAAGCTGTATCTGCTTTAGTGGGCACCCCAAGCCCAATAACAATGTGCTTCTTGCAGACTTGTAGAGGTACTGCCTTAATGGTCTTGGACAAGATCTGGTAGAATTCTTTGGATTACCAGGAAGAGACTCTTGTTCCCTTCCTTTACATTTTCCCAAAGATACAGAGTCTCTCTCTCTTTTTTGAGCCACCTAAAACTGGTGGTAGACACAAGCAGCCCTGTGGCCACCACCACTGTGACTACACTGAGTCAGACCTGAAGCCATCATAGCACAGGGTCTCATCCAAGCCCTGCTGTAATCAATCTTGGCTACTGCTTATGTTAGCTCAAGGCCCTTGGGGTCCACAATCAGGAGGTGGCAAAACCAGCCAAGACTGCATTCTTCCCTTTAGGGGGGCAATGTTTCCCAATCCCTGGATGAGTCCAAAAGTGCTGTCTGGGAGTCAGTAACTTAAGTAAAAGTCCTCTGCTATCTACCTGGTGTTCTGTTGCACTGCGGCTGAGCTGGCACTCAAACCACATGAGGCAGTACTTTCCACTCTTCCCGCCCCTTTCCAAAGGCAGAGGAGCCTCACTCCATAGCCACCACTACCCTAGGCCATGAGGAGTACTGCCAGGCTACTGCTAATGTTCTCTTAATGCCCAAGGGCTCTTAAGTCAGCTTGTCATGAATGCTGCCTGGCCTTGGACTCACTCTCCAGGGCAGCGGGCTTCCCACTGGCCCAGGGCAGGTCCAGAAATGCTGTCCAAGAGTCAAGTACTGGAATCAAGGACCCCAAGAGCACGCTTGGTGCTTTATCCCCTTGTGGCCTTGCTGGTACCTGAGGTACAAGACAAAGTCTCCTTGACTTTTCTTTCTGTTTTTTGCAAGCAGGAGTAGTGCCCTATAGCCACCACAGATGCTTATGTGGTGAGTCTCAGCTGAAGCCAGCAAGTCTCAGAGGTGCACCCAAGACCCTGGCTGTAGTACCTGGGTATCACTAGTTATTCAGGGCCCAAGGGCTCTTCAGTTAGCAAGTGATTAAGGCTGCCAGGACTGGGTCCTTTCCTTCAAGGCTGCAGGTTTCCTTCTTGCCCAGGGTGTGTCTAGAAATGTGTTCTGGAAGCTAGGAGCTGGAATGGGGGCCTCATGACTCTGACAGGTGCCCTTTCCTGCTGTGGCTGTGCCGGTATCCTAGATGGAAGATGCAGTTCTCCCAACTCTTTCTCTCCTCTACTCAAGTGAAAGGAAGGGGTCTGTTATGGAGCTGTGAGCTGTACAGCCTGGGGTTAGAGGAGGCGTGATTGCAGCACTCCCTTGGCTTCCCCATCTGGTGTCTCAGTATGTCATGTGCCCCTGCAGTTCACTGTCTCTGGGCCTAATTTAGCACTAGGACTCACCTAAGATTTGCAGTCCTTATGGCCTAGACTGCCTTTCAAGTTTACTTGGAGACAGAGAGTGCTGTAGCCTTTGGTAGCGAGGTTTGCAGGCACTCAAGTTTGGATTGCTGGGATCTGCGATTCCCCTCTGGCTAGGGTTGGTTTAAAAGCTCCCCCTATAGGCAAGCATCAGCTGAGTGTTTTGAGGGTTTTCTTTCTGCTCCAACAAGAGAGTAATGAGTTCATTTCCTCACAATTGCTGTGCGCTCTCCTCCCCAGCATCCAGAGTTGCTCTCCACACCATGCTGGTGATGCTGGGGTGGGGGATGCGTGGTATTGACAATTCAGGACTGTTTTTTCTATCTCTTCAGTGCCTCTTTCAGTAATACATAGTTAAAACCAGGTACTGTAAATGCTTACCTGATTTTGCATTCTTTTGTAGATGTTTTTTTCTTTGTAGATAGTTGTTAACCTGGTGTCCTTGTGGAGGAACAACAGTAGAGGTTTCTATTCTGCCATCTTGCTCTGCCCTCCAAAGCCCGAAAATGTTTTTATTTTTAAAGTCTTGCGATGCGATATAACTTTCCTTTTGTATCTATGTATCATTACTTTAATATAGTTGTGTTTTTGAAAAAAATGATAGAGGATACATGTACTAAATTAGTTTCCATGTATGTCTAGGTTGAGATTAGCTAATATTCCAAGTCGACATAAACTAGGCACCAATGTATACTTGATGTCAGTTTCCCAAATTGCAAGCACAGGGCAAAAGCGTAGATAAATAACTGATAAATAACTAACTTAAAGAATTTTGCACTCATGTCAAAAGATTGCTGTGACAGTTAAATGGCATAATATATGTAAAACATTTAGAATAGCATCTGGCACATAGTAAGCACTATGTGTCTTTGTTGTTGATGCTGTTACTGTTGTTAAAAAATTATACTACAGTATATTTGCGTGTGTGTGTGTATGCGTGTGTATGTATCAAGGGCTTGACTTTAGTTTTAAAATATCTACAATTTGTTCTGTCAAGTACTTAGATTTAATCAACAATTCTAAATTATCTTCAAAAATCCAAGAGAAACACATAGGTATGTAAATATGAATAGAACAATGGTGTAATATTCATTATTTATTTTTAATTCTATTAACATGGTTTATTTGCATCTTATAGCTATTTTCCTTTATAGTCAAGTACATGCCAATATAGGTGTCATGATTTTACTAATACTCTATGTGTGTGGATTAAAAAGTCAGCTCTTTATCATTTATTTATTCTTTAGCACTATGCTTACAATTTGGGAAACTGTTGTCAGGTATACATTGATGCCTAGTTTATATTGACTTGGAAAATTAGCTAATCTCCCTCTAGGCATGGAAATCTGATTTAATACATGTTTTTTTTTTTTTTTTTTTTTTTTTTTGAGACGGAGTTTCGCTCTGTCGCCCAGGCTGGAGTGCAGTGGCGTGATCTCGGCTCACTGCAAGCTCTGCCTCCCGGGTTCACGCCATTCTCCTGCCTCAGCCTCCTGAGTAGCTGGGACTTACAGGCACCTGCCACCACGCCCGGCTAATTATTTTGTATTTTTAGTAGAGATGGGGATTCACCGTGTTAGCCAGGATGGTCTCGATCTCCTGACCTTGTGATCCACCCGCCTCAGCCTCCCAAAGTGCTGGAATTACAGGTGTGAGCCACCGAGCCCAGCCTGCATTCTCTGTAATTAACCCCAGTGTGCAGATGAGGAAACTGAAGAACGTTAACAATAGTAACTCAAATTTCTCTGACTCTTGACTCTGCTTACTTATATAAGGCCTCTAGCTCCTTGCAGATCTTCTAATTTCACTCTTCCCTATCATCTATTATTTCTGAGTGTCCAGATACAGCTTGTGAATCTATACAGTTTGTGTTGTGTGCTTCTGTTGCATACTTACGCTTCTGTGTGTCCCTTACCTAGCACTAGTTTCCAACTAGGTACTGTTGCCACTCTGTTAGGCAGTATAGTCTATTGTGTGTTTTGGGGAGAGTGGAGGTACTTTTTATTTGTACTCTATTGACTCTCAGAAGGTAGCATCATTGCTTCATTATCCCTCAGGGGAAAAAGCAGTCTTCTGCTGGGTGCCACCACACTTTCCTTGGACACTATTGCTGCTTTTCTAGACCACCCTCTAGAACACTGATGGTAGCGAAGGTGAACTGTCCTTTGTGATAAAGAGACCCCTCTTTTGCTTTGTTCTACATGATTAGTGGAGTTGAGAACAGTCTGCTTATCTCTGAATGTACTGGAATTTTTTTATTGAAACTGCAGTTTGCAACTTTTACACAAAATACTCTTTCTTTTCAGAGCTTAGATATGTTTCCATGAGGCTCGGCCAAGGACAGATTTGAGTCATATGTTATATGTGGAATTACTACTCCCTTCAGATGACTAAGATTTGTTGCTAGGTCGAGTTTTTGTCTTTTCCCATCTCTCTCTCTCACTTCCTGTAGGATGAATTTCCTCTTAGTAGCCTCTTTGTCCCCCAGTTTATCCTTCCAGATTTGTTCAAGGATTTCTTAACCAATCATTTAGACTCAAGCTTGACTCATTTTCATAGAGAAGAGACCATTTGGTTTTGCAGTACCCAGTGTGCCCTCTTCAAGGTGTGAGTCATCAACAAAGATAGAATTCTGCTGCAATTTGATTTTTGTAAAAATAAAGTGGTTTCAGCTGATGAAGCAGAACCAATAGGGGCTATCAAGTTGTGCTGCTTAAATGCATTTTTACATTTCAACCTTTTCAAAGATCTTAATTAAAAAGAATGCCCATTAGTACCCAATACTCCAACCAGTACTCCTTTCCCTTTTTGAGTTTATGCAGCGTATCATTTTTTTTCATGAATTCTGTCAGCACGTAAGAGAATATTGTGAAAGTAAATAGCTTTTTATCAAAATTAAGCAGCTTTGCAAGGATACAGTTCCATCTGGATATGTTTTCAAAATGCATGGCTGCAAAGAAAACTCACCCTGTTGCTGAGATACAAATATTTTATTTTCTAGTGATCGAGTGTTGGTAATGCTTGAATTTAAAGAAAAGCATGCATTAGAGAATTGCTAATGGTTTCATGGGGGTAATTTCAGTAATATTCCAACCCTTGAAGTTTTTTATGAGAAGGTTTGAGAGCTTAGGGTCAGATTTGTGTTATTTAGACTAACGCCCATGGATCAATCCTTCAACAATATTGCTAAACCAAGCTAATGTAATCAAATAGAGGATTCCTCTATTGTGGCGCAGTCAAGTTTTCAAAGTTGACAAGTAAGATGAATTTAGAAGAGAGAGAGTTTATTAGACAATATAAAAATAAAAGTCAATCTTAAAGCTTACCAATGAAAAATAGGCATTTCAGCTGTGCAAACTGAATACAGCTGAAATGCTAAGGTCATGTCTTGTGTAGAAAGGGAGACACAATTTCATTCTGATTCTACTGACATTTTGCTTTCTAGGTGTTAGGCACTGAGCTAAGTACTTAAGATAGCTTAATAAAATATGATTTACAAATCTCTAAAATTCTTTAAAAAACCTCTTCCTTTAAGTATTCCTTAGTGCTCATATACATCTTATTTTTCAAATTGAAATTAGTTTAATAATTACAATGTGTGTTTACTGTAGAAAGATTAGGAAATATAGTCAAGGAAAACATTTCTAAAAATCACTTATAATTTTATTATCCAGAAATAACCATTGTGTCATCTGGGTGAACATTTTTCCAGGACCATTTCTATGCATGTACTTCATTTTATAGGGATATATTTCTAAAACAGCTTACACTCCTTCCAACTTGCCTTCTTCTTGACTGTAGCATGCTAATTATTATTTAGCTTCATAGTGATCACTCAAAGTCAGGATTATAAACATCAGTTTTTAGTCTGTTTTTGCTATATGAAGTCTTCATTCTAGAGTTCTAAGAGAGGCAACCAAGAGGCTACTTTTAATCTAAAGGAGGATTTAGGACTCAGAGCAATACCACAATAGAGCAAGAGTGCAAATTTCAGACATTATTCTGAATTATCTGTGGATTCTCACTTGCAGAGAATCTATGGATTCTCTACTTGATTGGTAGGATGTTTTGAAATAATGCTTTAGTCTCAAGGGAGGGAATATGCATAATTATTTAAATATATTAGTTGAAGCAAAACTGGACCATGGGTTTAACTGTTGTTACTAGTAGGCAGACTAGTTGATGGGTTATATAAGCTTATAGTATGAGAGATACTAGAAAACATATCAAAGACATTTCTCTAAAGATCTCTCTCACCACCTACTTCAGTAATGTACAGCATTCACCATTAGAGCTACTTCCTTGGTACAGGGCATTAAAATCTCTGTGAGAATGCAAATATGTTATGTGGGAGGGAAAGTACCATCATCTAGAAACATCTGAGTTTGAATGAGTAATGGAACTCAGCAAATAGCACAGTGCCTGGCATATAGTTTGTATGACAACTAGTTTATTAATTGGATGTTGAAAAAAGGGCACAGAGGATTTGATATAAGCTTGAACAAAATGGCCCAGGAAAGCATCAAACACAAAAACAGCTTCTCTGCTGTTCTCAGTTTATGGAATGTGTAGTGTTCACAGCTTTTGGAGTGGTGAACATCCCAAATAGAATAGATGAGGAAAATGTGTTGTACCTTTTGCTACTCTGCAAATGGTATTTGGACAGAAGATCAAATTCCCTCATCCAGTTTTAGTTGGATATTCTTCTGGAGATGACCAGAGAAAAACTGAGTATCTTTAAGGGTAAAGAAAGTTACCCAGTTTTCTAAATTGGGCTGAAGTTATTGCCACGTTTCAGCAAGGACATTCTCACCTAAGGGTATGAGGCAATGATATGAGTGGTGAAAACAAGTCTCATTCTCAGTTGATTTATGGTTAATGCTTCAGATCAAGAGTTTGCTCCTCTCCTTCCAGAGCACTCTACTTACAGGAAAGCTACTTGAGAGTAAAG
Source organism: Homo sapiens (assembly GCF_000001405.40). Taxonomy (NCBI): domain Eukaryota; kingdom Metazoa; phylum Chordata; class Mammalia; order Primates; family Hominidae; genus Homo; species Homo sapiens. The sequence continues at coordinate 121,259,343 of NC_000023.11, forward strand.
AGTATAATGCTGAGTTGAGTAGTAAAGTTAGACTGCTTGGCTTGGGAGTCAGGATCTACTTACGCTATCTGATGAACAGCTATCACCCAGAGAAACATGGCAGAGTATGGGATTCTGAAAAGACAAGAAGCAGCTTGACTAACATTTGATAAAGAGCAAAGAAATTGGGCACCTGGGTGCTCTCTTAGCTAGGAGTCAGGGTAGCATTCTGAGTATCTCTATATCCAGAAAGGAGGAAATTTAGGGAAGCTTGAAAAGGAGAAAAAAATGCACCAAAAGATAAGACTGCTTCTGTTTCACTTTACCATGCATGGCCAGCACAGTATTCTTAGGCCCATGAGGTCCAGGAGAGGTAGGAGTTTCAGGATATTCCGTTGGTTTTGCTTCTATTTTCTCTTCTCATTCCTTGGATTTTATATTTTTCTCTATGTCCATTTGTATAGGCGAGAACATTTTGTAATAGCTTTGGATGAAGAAAATAGCTGTAAAGTGTTAAAAAATGCCAGGAAGTAAAAACTCAGTTAAAAATTTATTTACCTTTCTGCCATCAGCTTTTCTTTTTATGGGCAGATATTTTAGTTATGAAAATTCCATTTATGGTATGAGTATCAGGAGAAACCCAATAAATGTAAAGTAATGCACTTTAATAGATGCTCATATTTAATTTTTGTATTTTTTATTTTAGAAATGCTCTTAAAAATATGTGGCTCTTGTCTTTGGTGAGAGAGACATGAAAAAAAATCTCTGCATTCCAGGAAGCAGACCAGTTTTAATTAAAAATGTCAGTCTAATTTGTCTTCCTCCCAGAGCTACCGGTATTTTGCCTTTGGGCTGTTGTGTAGACTTATGTATCATTTGTCTGAATATAAGTAACTCTCATTTTCACACTTGCCTTTTCTTGCCTAAATCCTGTGTAGGATTTAGACAACCTAAAGTTTGTCAAAATGGTTGGTTATAGTGGCAAATTAATTTCATATCTGGTGTGTGTATGTATATATATACACACACACTTTATATATATATATAAACTTATGAATAGAAGATGATTTTATCTTTTGTGTGAATGAAACAATAAAACATGGTCCTGTTGGGGGTCCCCATGATCACCCTTCAATGGGATGATTCACTAGAAGGACTGACAGAACTTACAAAAGCTGTTACAGTCATCATCATCATACATTACAATAAAGGGATACAGATAAAAACCAATAAAGGGTAAAGATGCATAGGGTAGAGTCCACAAGAAATGGGTGTAGTCTTCCAGTTGTCCTCTCCCACTGGACGGACACAGACAGCACTTAATTTTCCCAGCAACCATGTGTGACAACATGGGGAAAGTGTTGTTAAACAGGATTGCTCATCCAAGACTTGGTTGCCAGGGTTTTATTGGGTGTCAGCTGTATAAGCATGCAAAGCATGACTGACCTTAGCTACTCAGTGTCCAGCATCTCTCTCTCCTCATCAAACTGATTCAGTGTGGCCCAGGGCCCCAGATGTTCATGATAAATCACACTGTTAGCATGTTCTCTGTGGTGTGTCCCAAGGCTCTGGGTATACAAAGACTTTTAATCAGGCAGCATATTCCAAGGGCTTAGAAGTTATTTCACAGGACCCTAACAAAGGTCAGTCCTAAGAACCTTTGGAATGTGTAGGATTTAGACAACGCAGGCCTGCTGAGATTACCCTTTACTACACAGTGGTGGTGCCAAATACAAAGGCTTTTCACATTAACCAGAGTGCTGGATTACTTCTTTGGGAAAATGGTAAAGGCATTCCTTTGCTTTTAAAATGTTGAAGCCAAGTGGACAAACATTGTCTTACCTCAAGGGTGCCTTTTCTGTTGTGTATATGTTCTAAGGGGAGACTAAGTAGCATTGTGGAGGCCAACAGAGGCCTGGTTTGTGGAACAGCCACTATCGCTGGTAGTATGTGCATTGTCTCTAGAGGGCTGTGTGTCAATGTTAAAATATTATATGGAAGAGGAAACACTACTTGGTTAACTATTTGTTTATCTGTGTAAATTTCTTTATCTTGTTGTACAGCATAAAATCTGACAGAGAAGAAAACACCAGGGAATGATGAATGAACATTTTTATTGGGAAAACTGAGAACAAAAGTCTGGAGTAAAGAGTGATAAAAATGGTTAAGCTTGTGACCACACATGGGTGTTCCTGAGAATCAACAAGGAATTCTGAGAGCAGGGTGTATGAAGGATATTCAGTAAATATTAATTCAATATGAAGATACATTTCTCCAACTTCCCAGTTTTCTTGGAGGGCAGACTGTGAGGATATGATATGTTTTTGGTCTTGTGTTTACTTGTCAATCTCACTTGGTTTCAAACATTTAGAAGAATATAATGAATATATAGGATATTTGGGTGTCTGTGACTTATATTTAAGACTTCTTACTTTTAGTAACAGGATTAATTTCAGACCCAACCTGTGGGTAGAGCAGCGGCACACAGTGGTGGGAATTTAAAGGAAAGCCATGGCACTGATTGTTAAAATGTGAACTGTAGTATCAGGTAGCAAACTGGATCTTATTCCACATAGAGCAAGGTTTAGTATAAAGACCAGTTTACTCTTATGGTATCCATGTAAAATTTTACATCTAGAAATTTGAAGTATCCAGCAAATATAAATTTTTTATTCAAATGTTATTTTAAAATTATACTGAATCCTCTGTGATTTGGATACTAAATTTATAAAAAGGTAAATTTGAGCATGTAGCAAACATAGATCTGAATAAACTTGGTGCTTTAATATTAGTAGTGATGGCTAAACATGTTTAATGAGCAGACAACTTCATAGGAATAATTAGTCAAAACAGTAAGGTCTAATAAAAAAATTTGAAGCTGAACTAGAAACTCAGTTTTATGTTTGTCTTTTTAAATTTATGGATGATAGAATTGTATTTCGGGTTCTGCCAAATTGGTTGCATAAAAGAACATCCTGTATTTTTCAGTAATTAATTTATAAAATGGTTTCAGATTTTGTTGAAGAGAAATTGATTTGATAATTGTTCTGTCTTCCAAATGTGTTTTAATTTTATACTGTACAATTCAAAGGCTGTGTAACTTTTACTTAACGAGCCACCTAATTTTAATTATTCTTCTCTCTGTTTTTCCTCTCTTCTTTTCTGCTCCTCTGATTTTTGCTCTCTGACTCTCTCCCCTGCCACCTTTTCTCCCTATTTTCATCCATCCATCTATCCATTGAATAATTTTGCATCCTCCTATTTACAAGTATAATACTAATTACTAGGGGCACAGAGATGAGTAAAGCTCACATCTTTTCCTTAAGAATTGCTACATCTGCACCTATTCAGTGTTGTCAGTCTTCTTGTGATTGTAAAATATTTACTAATTGTGGCTTTAATTTGTATTTCTCTGATAATTAATGAGGCTGAGCACCTTTTCAAGTACTCATCGGCCATTCATATACTTTATTTTGTGAAATGTCTAGCTCTTTGGCTAATTTTTATTGGATTGTGTGTCTTTTTATTATTGCATTGTAGGAGTTCTTTCAAAGTTCTGGATACAAGTGTTTTCTCAAATAATATACATTGGAAAAATATTTTCCATTCTGTGGCTTTACTCTTTTTTTCCAGATGTATTGAGGTATCATTGATTGATAAATAAAAATTGTATATGTTTAAGGTATGCAACATAATGCTTTGATATATGCATTGTGAAATAATTACCACAATCGAGCTAATTAACATATCCATCATCTTGCATAGTTACCTTTTTTGGTGAGAATATTTAAGATGTAATTTCTTAGCAAATTTCAAATATATAATACATTATTAACTAATGTCACCATGCTATACATTAGATATCCAGAACTTATTCATCATATAACTGAGAATTTATGCCCTTGGATGAATATCTTCCTATTTTCCCACAATCCCCAGTCCCTGGTAACCACCATTCTACTCTCTGTTTTGGTAAGTTTGACTTTTACAGATTCCACATATAAGTGAGATCATGAAGTGTTTGTCTTTTTGTGTCTGGCTTATTTCACCTAGCATAATGCCCTCCAGATTATTCATGTTGTCTCAAATAGGATTTCATTTTTGTTAAGCCTAAATAATATTACACACACACACACACACACACACACACACACACACACACACACACGCAGGTTTAGTATCCGTTATCTGGAATGGGAGTGCTTGGGAGCAGAAGTGTTTTGAATTTTGAATATTTTCAAGTTTTGGAATATTCACATATATATAATGAAATATCTTGAGGATGGGTCCCAAGTCCAAACACAAAGTTCATTTATGTTTTATATATACCCGGTACACATAACCTGAAGGTAATTTTATAGAATATTTTAAATAATGTTGTGCATAAAACAAAGTTTTGACTGGAAGCTATCACAGGTCAGGTGTGGAATTTTCCACTTGTGGTGTCATGTCAGCGCCCAAAATTTTTTTTTTTTTTTTTTTTTATTATACTCTAAGTTTTAGGGTACATGTGCACATTGTGCAGGTTAGTTACATATGTATACATGTGCCATGCTGGTGCGCTGCACCCACTAATGTGTCATCTAGCATTAGGTATATCTCCCAATGCTATCCCTCCCCCCTCCCCCGACCCCACCACAGTCCCCAGAGTGTGATATTCCCCTTCCTGTGTCCATGTGATCTCATTGTTCAATTCCCACCTATGAGTGAGAATATGCGGTGTTTGGTTTTTTGTTCTTGCGATAGTTTACTGAGAATGATGATTTCCAATTTCATCCATGTCCCTACAAAGGATATGAACTCATCATTTTTTATGGCTGCATAGTATTCCATGGTGTATATGTGCCACATTTTCTTAATCCAGTCTATCATTGTTGGACATTTGGGTTGGTTCCAAGTCTTTGCTATTGTGAATAGTGCCGCAATAAACATACGTGTGCATGTGTCTTTATAGCAGCATGATTTATAGTCCTTTGGGTATATACCCAGTAATGGGATGGCTGGGTCAAATGGTATTTGTAGTTCTAGATCCCTGAGGAATCGCCACACTGACTTCCACAATGGTTGAACTAGTTTACAGTCCCACCAACAGTGTAAAAGTGTTCCTATTTCTCCACATCCTCTCCAGCACCTGTTGTTTCCTGACTTTTTAATGATTGCCATTCTAACTGGTGTGAGATGATATCTCATAGTGGTTTTGATTTGCATTTCTCTGATGGCCAGTGATGATGAGCATTTCTTCATGTGTTTTTTGGCTGCATAAATGTCTTCTTTTGAGAAGTGTCTGTTCATGTCCTTCGCCTACTTTTTGATGGGGTTGTTTGTTTTTTTCTTGTAAATTTGTTTGAGTTCATTGTAGATTCTGGATATTAGCCCTTTGTCAGATGAGTAGGTTGCAAAAATTTTCTCCCATGTTGTAGGTTGCCTGTTCACTCTGATGGTAGTTTCTTTTGCTGTGCAGAAGCTCTTTAGTTTAATTAGATCCCATTTGTCAATTTTGGCTTTTGTTGCCATTGCTTTTGGTGTTTTGGACATGAAGTCCTTGCCCACGCCTATGTCCTGAATGGTAATGCCTAGGTTTTCTTCTAGGGTTTTTATGGTTTTAGGTCTAACGTTTAAATCTTTAATCCATCTTGAATTGATTTTTGTATAAGGTGTAAGGAGGGGATCCAGTTTCAGCTTTCTACATATGGCTAGCCAGTTTTCCCAGCACCATTTATTAAATAGGGAATCCTTTCCCCATTGCTTGTTTTTCTCAGGTTTGTCAAAGATCAGATAGTTGTAGATATGCGGCATTATTTCTGAGGGCTCTGTTCTGTTCCATTGATCTATATCTCTGTTTTGGTACCAGTACCATGCTGTTTTGGTTACTGTAGCCTTGTAGTATAGTTTGAAGTCAGGTAGTGTGATGCCTCCAGCTTTGTTCTTTTGGCTTAGGATTGACTTGGCGATGCGGGCTCTTTTTTGGTTCCATATGAACTTTAAAGTAGTTTTTTCCAATTCTGTGAAGAAAGTCATTGGTAGCTTGATGGGGATGGCATTGAATCTGTAAATTACCTTGGGCAGTATGGCCATTTTCACGATATTGATTCTTCCTACCCATGAGCATGGAATGTTCTTCCATTTGTTTGTGTCCTCTTTTATTTCCTTGAGCAGTGGTTTGTAGTTCTCCTTGAAGAGGTCCTTCACATCCTAAACATGGAAAGGAACAACCGGTACCAGCCGCTGCAAAATCATGCCAAAATGTAAAGACCATCGAGACTAGGAAGAAACTGCATCAACTAATGAGCAAAATCACCAGCTAACATCATAATGACAGGATCAAATTCACACATAACAATATTAACTTTAAATATAAATGGACTAAATTCTGACATTAAAAGACACAGACTGGCAAGTTGGATAAAGAGTCAAGACCCATCAGTGTGCTGTATTCAGGAAACCCATCTCACGTGCAGAGACACACATAGGCTCAAAATAAAAGGATGGAGGAAGATCTACCAAGCCAATGGAAAACAACAAAAGGCAGGGGTTGCAATCCTAGTCTCTGATAAAACAGACTTTAAACCAACAAAGATCAAAAGAGACAAAGAAGGCCATTACATAATGGTAAAGGGATCAATTCAACAAGAGGAGCTAACTATCCTAAATATTTATGCACCCAATACAGGAGCACCCAGATTCATAAAGCAAGTCCTCAGTGACCTACAAAGAGACTTAGACTCCCACACATTAATAATGGGAGACTTTAACACCCCACTGTCAACATTAGACAGATCAATGAGACAGAAAGGCAACAAGGATACCCAGGAATTGAACTCAGCTCTGCACCAAGCAGACCTAATAGACATCTACAGAACTCTCCACCCCAAATCAACAGAATATACATTTTTTTCAGCACCACACCACACCTATTCCAAAATTGACCACATAGTTGGAAGTAAAGCTCTCCTCAGCAAATGTAAAAGAACAGAAATTATAACAAACTATCTCTCAGACCACAGTGCAATCAAACTAGAACTCAGGATTAAGAATCTCACTCAAAGCCGCTCAACTACATGGAAACTGAACAACCTGCTCCTGAATGACTGCTGGGTACATAACGAAATGAAGGCAGAAATAAAGATGTTCTTTGAAACCAACGAGAACAAAGACACCACATACCAGAATCTCTGGGACGCATTCAAAGCAGTGTGTAGAGGGAAATTTATAGCACTAAATGCCTACAAGAGAAAGCAGGAAAGATCCAAAATTGACACCCTAACATCACAATTAAAAGAACTAGAAAAGCAAGAGCAAACACATTCAAAAGCTAGCAGAAGGCAAGAAATAACTAAAATCAGAGCAGAACTGAAGGAAATAGAGACACAAAAAACCCTTCAAAAAATCAATGAATCCAGGAGCTGGTTTTTTGAAAGGATCAACAAAATTGATAGACTGCTAGCAAGACTAATAAAGAAAAAAAGAGAGAAGAATCAAATAGACACAATAAAAAATGATAAAGGGGATATCACCACCGATCCCACAGAAATACAAACTACCATCAGAGAATACTACAAACACCTCTACACAAATAAACTAGAAAATCTAGAAGAAATGGATACATTCCTCGACACATACACTCTCCCAAGACTAAACCAGGAAGAAGTTGAATCTCTGAATAGACCAATAACAGGCTCTGAAATTGTGGCAATAATCAATAGTTTACCAACCAAAAAGAGTCCAGGACCAGATGGATTCACAGCCAAATTCTACCAGAGGTACAAGGAGGAACTGGTACCATTCCTTCTGAAACTATTCCAATCAATAGAAAAAGAGGGAATCCTCCATAACTCATTTTATGAGGCCAGCATCATTCTGATACCAAAGCCGGGCAGAGACACAACCAAAAAAGAGAATTTTAGACCAATATCCTTGATGAACATTGATGCAAAAATCCTCAATAAAATACTGGCAAACCGAATCCAGCAGCACATCAAAAAGCTTATCCACCATGATCAAGTGGGCTTCATCCCTGGGATGCAAGGCTGGTTCAATATACGCAAATCAATAAATGTAATCCAGCATATAAACAGAGCCAAAGACAAAAACCACATGATTATCTCAATAGATGCAGAAAAAGCCTTTGACAAAATTCAACAACCCTTCATGCTAAAAACTCTCAATAAATTAGGTATTGATGGGACGTATTTCAAAATAATAAGAGCTATCTATGACAAACCCACAGCCAATATCATACTGAATGGGCAAAAACTGGAAGCATTCCCTTTGAAAACTGGCACAAGACAGGGATGCCCTCTCTCACCGCTCCTATTCAACATAGTGTTGGAAGTTCTGGCCAGGGCAATCAGGCAGGAGAAGGAAATAAAGGGTATTCAATTAGGAAAAGAGGAAGTCAAATTGTCCCTGTTTGCAGACGACATGATTGTTTATCTAGAAAACCCCATCGTCTCAGCCCAAAATCTCCTTAAGCTGATAAGCAACTTCAGCAAAGTCTCAGGATACAAAATCAATGTACAAAAATCACAAGCATTCTTATACACCAACAACAGACAAACAGAGAGCCAAATCATGGGTGAACTCCCATTCACAATTGCTTCAAAGAGAATAAAATACCTAGTAATCCAACTTACAAGGGATGTGAAGGACCTCTCCAAAATTTTTTAATTTTGGAGTATTTCAGAGTTTGGATTATTGCTTTAGGGATGCTTAACCTGTGCCACATTCTTTATCCATTCATTTGTTGACAGACACTTAAGTAGTTTCTATATCTTGGCTATGGTGAATGATGCTACAATTTACAAAGCAGAGCAGTTATCTCTTTAAAATCGTGATTTAATTTTTTATATATACCCAGAAATGGAAGTGTTAGATCACATAGTAGTTCTATTTTTAATTTTTTGAGGAGCCTCTATACTGTTTTCTATATCATCTGTACCAATTTGTATTCCCATCAAGAGTGTACAAGGGTTCCTCTTTATCCACATTTTCATCAATACTTATCTTTTGACTTTTCGATAATAACCATCTTAACAGGTGTGAGGCGATGTCTCATTGTGGTTTTGATTTGCATTTCTCTGATGATTAGTGATGTTGAGCATCCTTTCATATACCTGGTGGCAATTTTTATGTCTTCTTTGGAAAAATGTCTGTTCAAGTTCTTTGTTCATTTTTTAATTGGAATATTATTTTTGTTATTGAGTTATATCAGTTCCTCATATATTTTGGATATCAAATCCTTATCAGATATATGGCTTGCAAATATTTTCTCCAATTCCATAGGTTGCCTTTTCTTTCTGTTGAATTATTTTTTTTGCTGTATGGAAACTTTTTAGTTTCACATAGTCTCACTTACGTATTTTTGCTTTAGTTGCCTGTGCTTTTGGTGTCATACCCAAAAATTCATTGCCCAGCCTGATGTCAAGGAGATTTTCCCCTGTGTTTTATTCTAAGAGTTTTAAACTTTCAATTCTCACATTTAAAAATCTTTAATCCATCTTGAGTTGATTTTTTCTATGTTGCAAGGTTAGAGTCCAATTTCATTCTTTTGCATGTGGATGCCCAGTTTTCCCAGCACCATTTATTGAAGAGACTATTTTTTTCTCCATTGTGTATTATTGGTACCTTTGTTAAAGATTAGTTAGCTGTATATTTATGGCTTAATTTTGTTGCTTTCTATTCATTGGTCTGTGTGCTTGTTTTTATGCCAGTACTATATTGCTTTGATTATTACAGTTTTGTTATATAACTTAAAATCAGAAAGTGTGATAATTCTAGCTTTGTTTCTCTTATTCAAGGTTGCTTTAGCTATTCAGGGTCTCTTGTGTTTCCATACAAATTTCAGGATAGTTTATTTAGGTGAAAAATACTATGGGAATTTTGATAGGGATTGCATTGAATCTGTAGATTTCTTTGAGTAGTATAAAGTATGCATGTTCTAACCCAATGCAAAGAAGCTAAGAACAATGATAAAAGGTTACAGGAGCTGCTAACTAGAATAACCAGATTAGCGAGAGACATAAATGACCTTATGGAGCTGAAAAACACAGCACAGGAACTTTGTGATGCAAACACAAGTATCAACAGCTGAATCAATTAAGTGGAAGAAAGAATATCAGAACTGAAAGACTATCTTGCTGAAATAAGGTGGGCAGGCAAGATTAGAGGAAAAAGAATGAAAAGGAATGAACAAAACCTCTGAGAAATATGAGACTGTGTAAAAAGACCAAAGCTATGACTGATTGGAGTACCGAAAGAGATGGGGAGAATGGAAGCAAGTGGAAAACAACTTCAGGATATCATCCAGGAGAACTTCCCCAACCTAGAAAGACAGGCCAACATTCAAATTCAGGAAATACAGAGAGCCCCAGTAAGATACTCCATGAGAGGATCAACCCCAAGACACATAATCATCAGATTCAATGCTATTCCCATCAAACTACCATTGACATTCTTCATAGAGTTAGTAAAAACTACTTTAAAATTCATGCGGAACCAAAAAAGAACCCTTATAGCCAAGACAATCCTAAGCAAAAAGCACAAAACTGGAGGTATCACACTACATGACTTATACTGCAAGGCTACAGTAACCAAAACAGCATGGCACTGGTAGCAAAACAGACATTTAGACCAATGGAACAGAATAGAGATCTCAGAAATAAGACCACACATCTACATCCATCTGATTTTCAACAAACCTGACAAAAAAACAATGGGGAAATGATTCCCTGTTTAATAAATGGTGCTGGGAAAACTGGCTAGACATATGCAGAAAACTGAAACTGGACCTTTTCCTTACATCTTATACAAAATTTAAATGATAATGAATTAAAGACTTAAATGTGAAACTCAAAACCATAAAAACCCTAGAAGGTAATCTATGCAATAGCATTCAAGACATAGGCATGGGCAAAGATTTTATGATAAAATCCTCAAAAGCAATTGCAACAAAAGCCAAAATTGACAAATGGGATCTAATTAAATTAAAGAGCTTCTGCACAGCAAAAGAAACTATCATCAGAGCAAACAGGCAGCCTACAGAATGGGAGAAAATATTTGCAATCTACCCATCTGACAAAGGTCTAATATCCAGAATCTACAAGAAACTTAAAGAAATTTACAAGTAAAAACAACCCCATCAAAAAGCGGGGAAAAGACATGAACAGACACTTCTCAAAAGAAGACATTTATGTGGCCACAAACATATTTTAAAAAGCTCAACATCATTGATCATTAGAGAAATGCAAATCAAAACCACAATGAGATGCTACCTCACACCAGTCAGAGTGATGATTATTAAAAAGTCAAGAAACAACAGATGCTGACAAGGCTGTGGAGAAATAGGAGTGTTTTTACACTGTTGGTGGGAATGTAAATTACTTCAACCATTGTGGAAGAGAGTATGGCAATTCCTCAACGATCTAGAACAAGAAATACCATTTGGTCCAGCCATCCTATTACTGGGTATATACCCACAGGAATTTATATTATTCTATTATAAAGATACATGCACATGTATTTCATTACAGCACTAGTCACAATAGCAAAGACATGGAATCAACCCAAATGCCCATAAATGATAGACTGGATAAAGAAAATGTACACATACACCGTGGAATACTATGCAGCCATAAAAAGGAATGAGATCATGTCCTTTGCAGGGACATGGATGAAGCTGGAAGCCATCATCCTCAGCAAACTAACACAGGAACAGAAAACCAAACACTGCATGTTCTCACTCATAAGTAGGGGCGGAGCAATGAGAACACATAGACACAGGGAGGATAACAACACACACTGGGGCATGTCAGGGAGACAGGGGGAGGGAGAGCATCAGGATACATAGCTAATGCATGCAGGGCTTAATACCTAGGTGATGAGTTGATAGGTGCAGCAAATCATCACGACACATGTTTACCTATGTAACAAACCTGCACGTTCTGCACATGTATCCCAGAACATAAAATAAAATAAAAATGCCATTGGAATTTTGATAGCGGTTGCGTTGAATCTGTAGATATCTCTGAGTAGTATAGAGGATGCATATTTTAACAATTTTTTTTCATTCGTGAACGTGGGATGTCTTTCCATTTATTTGTGTCTTTGAATGCTTTCATCAATTTTTATAGTTTTTAGTGCACAATCTTTCACATCATTGGTTAAATTTAATTCTAAGTATTTTATTCTTTTTGATGCTCCTGTAAATGGAATGGTTTTCTCAATTTCTTTTTCAGATAATTCATTGTTAGTGTATAGAAATGTTACTGGCTTTATTATTGGTTTTGTGTCTTAAAACTTTACTGAATTTATAGTTCTAACAGTATTTTCATTAAGTCTTTTGGGTTTTTTATACATCAGATCATGTAATCTGCAAACAGAGACAATGTTATCTTCTTCCTTTTCAATTTGGATGTCTTTTATTTTTTTCTTTCCTGATTGTTTTGGTTAGGTCTTTCTGTGCTATGTTGAATACAAATGGCAAGAATGGACATCCTTAATTTGTTCTTCATATTAGAAAAAAAGCTTTCAGCTTTTCATTCTTGAGTATGATGTTTGCTGTTGGATTGTCATATCTGGCCTTTATTATGTTGAGGTGCTTTCTCTATTTAATATATTGATAGTCTTTATTATGAAAAGGGTGTTGAGTAGTGTGAAATGCTTTTTCTGCATTTATTGAAATGATCACATGATTTTTATGCTTAAATTTTTAATGTGGTATATCATATTTATTGATCTGCATTTCTCAAACCATCATTGCATTCTAGGAATAAATTCCGCTTCATAATGGTGTATAATCCTTTAAATCTGCTACTAAATTCAGCTTGCTAGTATCTTCTTGAGGACTTTTTATATTTATGTTCATTGGAGATATTGGCCTACCTGTTTTGTAGAATTATTGTCTCTTTTTCATTTCAACCTAAAGCTGGCCTCATAAAATAAGTTCGTATGTGTTATTTTTAAACGTTTGGAAGCCATTAAGAAGCATTGGTATTAATGCATCTTTAAATGTTTGGAAGAATTTACCAGCGAAGCCATCTGGTCCTGAGATTTTCATTATTTGGAGATTTTTGATTGCTGATTCAATCTCCTTATTCAATATTGATCTATTCAGATTTTTGTATTTCTTAGTGATTTAGTATGGTGATATTTATATTTGTCTAGTAATTTATTTCTACTAGGTTTTCCAGTATGTCGGTGTATATTATCTATATTTCTATGGAATCAATTATGATTTCCCCTGTTTTATTTCTTATTTCACTTATTTGAGTCTTCTTTTTTCTTAATCTAGCTAAAGGCTTGCCAATTTTGTTTATCTTTTCAATGAAACCAACTCTTAATTTCATTGATATTTTCTATTGTTTTTCTAGTCACTAATTAATTTATTTCTGTTCTTATCTTTATTCTCTTCATACTACTAACTTTGGACTCAGTTTGGTCTTTTTGTAGTTTCTCCAGTTACAAAGTTAAGTTTATTTGAGACATTTCTTTTCACATCAGCCTATATCATAATAAATGTCCCTTTAGAACTGTTTTTGCTGCATTCCATAGGTTTTGTATGTTGTATTTTCATTTTTGTTTTTCCCTTTTTTTTTTGAGACAGAGTTTCGCTCTGTCATTTGGGCTGGAGTGCAGTGGTGTCATCTCAGCTCACTGCAACCCATAACTCCCTGGTTCAAGTAATTTTCATGCCTCAGCCTCCTGGCTAGCTGGGACTACAGGTGTATGCCACCATGCCCAGCTAATTTTTGTATTTTTAGTAGAGACAGGTTTTCGCCATGTTGGTCAGTCTGGTCTCAAGATCCTGGCCTCAAGTGATCTGCCCGCCTTGGCCTCCCAAAATGCTAGGATTACATCAAAATATTTTTTTATTTCCATTTTGATTTCTTCCTTGACCCATTGGTTGTTCAGGAGTGTGTTGTTTAAATTCCACGTTTGTAAATTTTCAAGCTTTCATCTTGGTATTGATATCTAGTTTTACATCATTGTGGTTGGAATAAGGTATTTGATATAATTTCAATCATCTTAAGTTTGTTTTGACTTGTTTTGTGTCCTAACATATAATATGTCCTGGGTAATGTTCAATGTGTACTTGAGAAGAATGTGTACTCTGCTGCTGTTGCATGAAATGTTCTGTATATATCTCTTAGGTACATTTGTTCTAAAGGGTAGTGTAAGTCCAAAATAATTTCTGATTTTTTTATTGGAGTCTTTTCTTCATTAGTCTAGTTAGTGTTTTATCAATTTTATTTATCCTTTCAAAGAAAAAAACTTACCATTTTGTTGATTGTTTGTATTGTTTTGTTCATCTGTATTTCATTTAGTTCTTCTCTGATCATTCTTTTCTTTTCTTTTTTTTTTTTTTGCTAATTTTGAGTTTGGTTTGTTCTTGGTAAGTTGTGTTTTCATTTTTGGTTTGTTCTTGCTTTTCTAATTCCTTGAAGTGCATTATCAGATTGTCAATTTGTAACTTTCTACTTTTTTGATGTATTTATTTATTTATTTATTTTATTATTATTATACTTTAAGTTTTAGGGTACATGTGCACAATGTGCAGGTTAGTTACATATGTATTCATGTGCCATGCTGGTGTGCTGCACCCATTAACTCATCATTTAGCATTAGGTATATCTCCTAATGCTATCCCTCCCCCCTTCCCCCACCCCACAACAGTCCCCAGAGTTTGATGTTCCCCTTCCTGTGTTCATGTGTTCTCATTGTTCAATTCCCACCTATGAGTGAGAACTGCGGTGTTTGGTTTTTTGTCCTTGCGATAGTTTACTGAGAATGATGATTTCCAATTTCATCCATGTCCCTACAAAGGACATGAACTCATCATTTTTTATGGCTGCGTAGTATTCCATGGTGTATATGTGCCACATTTTCTTAATCCAGTCTATCATTGTTGGACATTTGGGTTGGTTCCAAGTCTTTGCTATTGTGAATAGTGCCACAATAAACATACGTGTGCATGTGTCTTTATAGCAGCATGATTTATAGTCCTTTGGGTATATACCCAGTAATGGGATGGCTGGGTCAAATGGTATTTGTAGTTCTAGATCCCTGAGGAATCGCCACACTGACTTCCACAAGCGTTGAACTAGTTTACAGTCCCACCAACAGTGTAAAAGTGTTCCTATTTCTCCACATCCTCTCTAGCACCTGTTGTTTCCTGATTTTTTAATGATTGCCATTCTAACTGGTGTGAGATGGTATCTCATTGTGGTTTTGATTTGCATTTCTCTGATGGCCAGTGATGGTGAGCATTTTTTCATGTGTTTTTTGGCTGCATAAATGTCTTCTTTTGAGAAGTGTCTGTTCATGTCCTTCGCCCACTTTCTGATGGGGTTGTTTGTTTTTTTCTTGTAAACTTCTCTATTAGCCTTGATATTGCTGTATTCCACAGATTTGGTATGTTATATTTCCATTTTTATTACTTTCAATAATTTTTTAAATTTCTAGCTTAATTTTTTATTGACCCAGTGGTCATTCAGGAACATGTTTTTTAATATCTGTGTTTTTGTATAGTTTCTGAATTTCCTCTTGGTATTGATTTCTAGTTTTATTCCATTGAAAAGAAACTTGAAATAATTTTTATTTTTAAAATATTTGTTGAGACTTGTTTTCTGGATTAACATGTTGTCTATCCTGGAATATGTTCCATGTGCTGGTGAAAAGAACGTATACACTGCAACATTGGTATTAAATGCAATGTTTCCTTACTAATTTTCTGTCTAGATGATCTGTCTCATGCTGAGAGTGGGGTGTGGAAGTCCCCCACTATTATTGTATTGGAACCTATCTCTCTCTTTATATTTAGTAGTATTTGCCTTATGAATCTGGGTGCTCCAGAGTTGGGTGCATATATATTTAAATTGTTTCATCCTCTTGCTAAATTGATCCATTTATTACTATATAATGATCCTCTTTGTCTTAGTTTTTTTACTATACTTGACTTAAAGTCTATTTCATCTGATATGAGTATACCTATTCCTGTTTTCCTGTGGTTTCCATTCGCATAGAATTTTTGTTATCTTTTTACTTTCAGTCTATGAATATATCTTTGCAGATAAAGTGCATTTCTTGTAGTCAGAGTATCATTGGATCATGTTTTCTTATCCATTCAACCAATATATATCTTTTAAGTGGAGAACTTAATCCATTCACATTCAGGGTTTATTATTGATGTGTTTGGTATATTATTGATATGGTTTGGATTTGTGTCTTGCCCAAATCTCATGTCAAATTGTAATAACTAATGTTGGAGGGAGGAGCCTGGAGGGAGGTGATTGGATCATGAGGGCAGATTTTCTTCTTGCTCTTCTCGTGATAGTGAGTGAGTTCTCTTGAGACCTGTGTCTTTTAAAGTATGTAGCAACTGCTGCTTTTCTTCCTTCCCTTCTGCTACAGCCATGTAGGATGTGCCGCTTCCCCTTTTCCATCCACCATGATTGTAAGTTTCCTGAGGCCTCCCTAGTCATGCTTCCTGTAGAGCCTGTTTAATTGTGAGCCAATTTTATAAATTACCCTATCCCAAATAGTTCTCTATAAGCAGTGCAAGAACAGCCTAAAACAGAAAGTTGGTACTGAGAGTGGGGTGTTCTTATAAAGATACCTGAAAAAGTGGAAGCAACTTTGGAACTGGGTAACAGGCAAAGCTAGGAAGAGTGTGAGGGGCTCGGAAGAAGACAGGAAGATGAAGGAGAGTTTGGAACTTCCTAGAGACTTGTTAAATTGTTGTGACCAAAATGCTGATACTGCTATGGACAATGAAGTCTAGGCTGAGGAGGTCTCAGATGGAGATGAGGAACTTATTGAGAACTGGAGTAAAGTCATTCTTGCTATGCTTTAGCAAAGAGACTGGAAGTATTGTGCACCTGCTCTAGAGATCTGTGGAAGTTTGAACCTGAGAGTAATGATTTAGAGTATCTGGACTTTCCCAGACAAATGAAAGCTGACGGATTTCATCAACATCAGATATGTCTTACAAGAAATGCTAAAAGGAGTATTTTAATTAGTATATAAAGGATGTTTATGAGCAATAAGTAATCATCTGAAGGTGCAAAAGTGACTTATAATAATAAGTACACAGAACAACACAGAATATTATAATGCTCTAACTGTGGTGTGTAAGTATCTTAAGTAGAAAGACTAAACTATAAACCAATAAAAAATAATAACTACAACAACTCTTCAATACATAGTATAATTAGATATAAATAGTCACAGGAAAATTTTTAAAATATGGGGGATGAAGTTAAGGCTTAAAAGTCTTTATTAGTCTTTTTTTTAGCTCGTTTGTCTTTGAAAACAATGCTAAGTTGTTATCAGCTTAAAATAATTGTTTGTAAGATACTACTTAAAGCCTCATGGTAATTTCAAATTAAAAAGCAGACAATGGTGACACAGAAAATAAATAGCAAGAAACTAAATCATATCACCAGAAAAAATCACCTTCACTAAAAGGAAGAAAGGAAGGAAAGAATATGGAAGAGAAAACAACAAAACAGCCAGAAAATGAATGATAAGATGGCAGGAGTAAATACTTACATATTAATAATAACATTGAATGTAAAAGGACTAAACTCTCCAAAAGACGTATGGTGGTAGAATTTTATTTTATTTTATTTTATTTTTGCGATCTCGGCTCACTGCAAGCTCTGCCTCCCGGGTTCACGCCATTCTCCTGCCTCAGCCTCCCGAGTGGCTAGGACTACAGGTGCCCACCACCATGCCCGGCTAATTTTTTGTATTTTTAGTAGAGACGGGGTTTCACTGTGTTAGCCAGGTTGGTCTCGAACTCCTGACGTCGTGATCCGCCCGCCTCAGCCTCCCAAAGTGCTCGGATTACAGGTGTGAGCCACCGCGCCGGGCCCCAGAATTTTTTTAAAAAAGAAGACCTATTAATTTATTGCCTACAAGATACTCACTTCACCTATAAAGACATACATAGACTGAAAATAAAGGGATCAAAATGGATCTTTCATCCCAATGGAAACCAAATAAAAAAAAGAGTTTCTATACTTTTATCAGACAAAATCGATTTCAAGACAAAAACTATAAGAGACAAAAAAGATTAACATAAAATCAGAAAAGGTCAATTCAGCAAGAAGATAAGACAATTTTAAATATATGTGTACCCAACACTGGAGCACCCAGACATATAGAGCAAATATTATTACAGCTAAAGAGAGAGATAGACTCCAATGTAACAAATAGCTGGAAACGTCAACACCCTACTTTCAGTGTTAGACAAATATTGTGAACAGTAAATTAAAAAGAAATACCACACTTAATTTGAACTGTAGACCAAGTGGACCTAATAGATATTTACAGAGTAGTTCATTTAAAAGTTGCTGCATAGACATTCTTTTTCTCAGAACATGGATTATTCTCGAGGATAGAACCTAGGTTTGGCCACAAAACAATTCTTAAAACATTCTAAAATATGGAAATAACATCAAGCATTTTCTGTGACCACAATGGAACAAAACAAGGAATCTATATCAAGAAGTTTAGAAACTGTACAAATACATGGAAATTAAACAATATATTCTTGAATGACCAGTGCTTCAATGAAGAAATAAAGAAGAAAATTGAAAAAATTTATTGAAACAAATTATAATGGAATCACAGCATACAAAAACCTGTTGTATTCAGCTGAAACAGTACACAGAGGGAAGCTTTTAGGTATAGAAACCTACATCAAAAAAGAATAACATAAAATAAACAACCTAAGAATGCATCTTAAAGAACAAGAAAAGGAAAAGCAAAGCAAACCCAAAATTATTAGCAGAAAAAGAAGTAAGATCAGAGCAGACATAAATGTAATAAAAAAAATACAAATAATCAATGAAACAAAAAGCTGTTTTTTTTTGAAAAGTTAAATCAACAAACCTTTAGCCACACTAAGGAAAAAAAAGACCTAAATAAATAAAATCAGAGATGAAAAATGAAACATTACAACAGATATTGCTGAAATTCAAAGCACAATTAGTGGCTAACTACAAGTAACTATGTGCCAATAAATTGGAAAATCTAGAAGAAATGGACAAATTTCTAAACACTTAAAAACTACCAAGGCTAAACTATGAAGAAATCCAAAACCCAAACAGACAAGTAATGAGATAAAAGCCATAATAAAGGTCTCCAATAAAGAAAAGCCCAGGAACCAATGGCTTCACTTCTGAATTGTACCGAACATTTAAAGAAGAACTATTACTAATTCTACTTAAAGTATTCTGAAAAATAGAGGAGGGAATCCTTCCAAACTCATTCTATGAGGCCAATATTACCCTGATACCAAAACCCGTTAAAGACAAAGAAAAGAAAGCTAGAGTACAATATCAATGATGAACACTGATTCAAAAATTTTCAGAAAACTATTCTCAAACCAAATTCAACAAGTGGTATTTATCCCTGGGATGCAAAGATGGTTTGGTGTACACAAATTAATCAATGTGATATATCCTATCAACAAAATGAAGGACAAATCTGCATGATCATTTCAATTGATTCTAAAAAGCATTTTATAAACTCAACATCCCTTTATGATAAAACCCTAAAAAACAGGGTATAGAAGGAACATACCTGAACATAATAAGAACAACGTATGACAGACCCACAGCTAATATCATTTTGAGTAGGGAAGAACTGAAAACCTTTTCTCTAACATCTGGAAAATGACAAGAATGCTCATTTTCACCACTGCTATTCAACATAACAGAAGTCCTATCTAGAGCAATAAAAGAAGAGAAATATATAGTAGGCATTCAAATTGGAAAGGAAGAAATCAAATTATCCTTGTTTGCAAATAATGTGATCTTATATGTGGAAAAACCTAAAGACCTCACCAAAAAATGATTGGAAGTGATAAACAAATTCTGTAAAGTTGCAGGACACAAAACGAACATACAAAACTTAGTAGTATTTCTATATGCTAACAATAAACAAACTGAAATGGAAATGAAAAAATGTAGTCCTACTTATAATGGCAACAAATACAATTAAATACCTAGGAATTGACTTCATTAAAGAAGTGAAATATCTCTGTAATGAAAACTATAAAACACTGATGAAAGTAAAGCGGATACCAAAAATTGGAAAGATATTTCATGTTCATGGATTGAAAGAATCAATATTGTTAAAATGTCCATATTACCCAAAGAAATCTACAGATTTAGCTCAATCCCTATTAAAATACCAATGTCATTCTTGACAGAAATAGAAAAGAACAGTCCTAAAATTAATATGGAACCGAGAATAGCCAAAGCTATTCTAAGCAAAAAGAACAAAACTGGAGGAATTACATTACCTGGCTTTAAATTATGCTACAGAGCTACAGTAACCAAAAGAGCATGGTACTGGATAAAACAGATACATAGACCAATGGAACAGAATAGAGAACCCAGAAAGAAACCTACACACCTACAGTAAACCCAGTTTTGACAAAGGTGTAAAGAACATTTATCGCAGAAAGGACAGTCTCTTCATTAAATGATGCTGAGAAAACTGGATATTCATATGCAGAAGAATGAAACTAGACCCCTGTCTCTCACCATGTACAAAAATCAAAATGAATTAAAGACTTAAATCTAAGGCCACAAACTATGAAACTACTACAAGAAAACATTATGGAAACTCTCCAGGACATTGGTCTAAACAATGATTTTTTGAGTACTATTCCACAAGCACAGGAAAGAAAAGCAAAAATGGACAAATGGGATTTTATCAAGTTAGAAAGCATCTGTACATCAAATGAAACAATCAGCAAAGAGAAGAGATAACCCACAGAATGAGATAAAACATTTGCAAACTACCCATCTGACAAGGGATTAATAACCAGAATATATAAGGAGCTCAAACAACTCTATAGAAATAAATCAGATAATTCAAATAATGGGCAAGAGATTTGAATAGACATTTCTCTGAGAAGACATACAAATGGCCAACAAGCATATGAAAAGGTGCTCCATATCATTGGTTATCAGAGAAATGCAAATCAGAACTACAATGAGGTATCATCTCACTCCAGTTAAAATGGCTTATAGCCAAAATACAGACAATAATGAGTGCTGACGAGATGTGGAGAAAAGAGAACTCTCATACACTGTTGGTGGTAATGTCAGGTAGTACAACCACTATGGAGAAAGGTTTGGAGGTTCCTCAAAAAACTAGGAATAGACCTACTATATGTCCAGCAATTCCACTGCTGGGTATGCACTCAAAGGAAAGGAACTCAATATATCTAAGAGATATCTGCACACCCATGTTTGTTGCTGCACTGTTCACAATAGATATGACTTAGAAGCAACCTAAGTGTCCATCAACAGATGAATGGATAAATACAATGTGGTACTTATATACAATGGAGTACAATTTAACTAGAAAAATGAATGAGGTTCAGTCATTTGCAACAGCATGGATGGAACTGGAGTTCATTATGTTAAGTGAAATCAGCCAGGCATAGAAAACAAACATTGCATGTTCTCACTTATTTGTGGTATCTAAAAATTGTAACAACTTGAAGCCATGGAGATAGAGCGTAGAAGGATGGTTACCAGATGCTGGGAAGAGTTGTGGGAGTGGGTTGGTGGGAGCTAGGGATGGTTAATTGGTACAAAAAAATAGCCTGAACAAAAAAGGCCTAATTTTAGATAGCACTACAGGGCAACTATAGTCAATACTAATTTAATTTTACATTTAAAAATAACTAAAACAGTATAATTGGATTGTTTATAACACAAAGGATAAATGCTTGAGAGGATGGATACCCCATATTTCATGATGTGATTATTACATATTACATATCTGTAAACATTTATAAATATTTACACTTCCTATGTACCTACAAAAATTAAAATAAAAAAATAAAATTAAATCAGTATTTTGACTTCTTTATCTGAGATTTTTAAAATTTATTTTTGATTTTGATCCATTGCTAGAAAATTATTGTGTTCCATTGGAGGTGTAATATTTTCCTTGCTTGTTCACATTTCCTCTTGCCATACCTTTGTATCTGAGAATCTGGTGTGACAGTTGCTTCTTCTAATTTTTTGAATTTATTTTCATAAGAGAGGACTTTTTCCTGAAGATACATATGTGTGTATATATATACACATATACATATATATATACATACATATGCATATATATATACACACACATACAAATATAAATATAGGTAGATATAAATATAGATATAGAAATAGATATAGATAGATAGGGTGCTTTGACTTTTGTTTGGGCTATATGTAGTAGTATAATATCTGTATGATTTTTTTGGCTATAAATAGCATCAGTGTTATTTTTGATTTCCTCGGTGTCTTAGGGTGCAGTTATTAGTAAAGACTATGGTGAAGTTTAGGATGCCAGGTAGGGCAGTCTTTGGGCCCCAGTGGTTGCAAAGGTAGGCTGAATATGCCTGTTCTTAGATGAGAGGGTGGCTTATGACACTCATGTTAGTGGGTCCTGGCAGGATGAGTCTTGGTCTTCCATGTGACTTTCTTGGGTGCCAGTAGTTACAGTGATGGTCTTGGCATGTCGGTGGTTTCTGGGGTTTCTCCACAGCAGGTGTGATGTGGATGATTGCAGTAGTGGTCATGGAGCAACCCATTAGAATCCAAGGATTGTGTACTGGTTTTGGTGGTGGCCTTAGCAGGTTGGGTATGCTAGTACCCCTGTGTGCTGGTGGTAGGTTTGGGTGGATTCCAACTGTGGTGGTACCAGCATGTTGTCTCAACCCAAACTCAGACCTTGGCAAGAATGTTCAGTTGCCAACTGTGGTGGACTGGGCTGGGGAATCCCCAGGCCCCTGGACAGTGTGCCCAAGTAGTGGGGAAAGGGGACTGGGATGGCAGATCTGTCCTCAGGCCCCTTGGTAGTACATTCAGGCACTGGCTGTGATAGGCAGTGGCAGGGTGGTTTCTGGGTTGTTGATGGGATGCTCAGGTATATGTAGTAGTGGGTGTAGTGTGAGCTTGCCATTTGGGAGGGCAGGGCCACTCTCTGTGTGTGCAGGGTAGGCAGGTAGTTGTGGCAAGTATGGTTTTCTTGCACCTTGGTCTCATGGCAGCACACAGCAGTGCCAGTGGGATTTGTCCTCAAGGTGCACGAAAGTGCTCAGCCTCTCCTCTTTCTCCTTTGTTTGTTGGTAGCAGCAGCCGTGTTAGTCTCAGCCCTATGGCAGGATGTGGATCTTTGGAAGCTGGGCTCTCAGAATGGTACCAACTGTGTGAGTATCACTGGGGAGGGAAGGGTCACTCTTAGTGGGAGCACTATATATATGTAGTTGTGAGGAGTGCTGTTTGCTTTTGCTTCAGTCCCATATTGCAGTGGTGATGGGATTTGTCCTTGGGATGCATGAAGGTGCCTGGCCTTCTCTGTCCCCCAATGGCCTGGTTGCAGCAGTGGCAGCATCAGCTCTGGGGCAGAATGCAGTCCTTTGGGTGCTTGGCTCTCAGAATGGTGCCAAGCTGTAGTTTCTCAGGGTTCAGAAGCCTGTTGGCCTCAGTGTGAGTTCCCTCTCTACAGCAGTGCCTCTATATAATCCTTAGGCAGCTTTCTATGTTAGTCTTGTGGCCTCCTTAGGTCAAGGGGCCCTCTCATACCTTTGACTATACAAGTCCGTGATGGGAATGTGGAGCCCTGGGCAGCTGTCACTTAACTCTTACACCGCATCTAGGAGCTTCACTTGGCTCCAGCCATTCCCAGCCGAATAGAGTGCTTCACTTTTGTCTACTTCTTAGCCTTCAGTACTTCCTATCACTTCCCTGTTGAATCCCAGTTTTCTCTCTTAGATGATATATTCAAAGTGTGAGTATCTCCTTTTGCTCCTTTCCATGAAAAAAGTGAATACTAGCTGCATATAGTCAGCCATTTTGTATTTGCTTTCATGGGAAACTTATTACAGTTTCAGTCTCATTACTCATTATGAGTTTGTTGAGGTTTTCTATGTCTTTATTGTTCAATTTTGATAGGTTGTATGTGTCCAAGAATGTATCCATTTCTCCTAGGGTTTTCAATTTGTTGACATATAGTGGTTCATAATAGTCTCTAATATTTCTTTGTATTTCTGTGGTCTCAGCTGTTTTTGTTTCTGATTTTATATATTAGGGTCTTTTCTCTTTTTTATTCATTAATCTACCTAAAGATTTGTCAATTTTATCTTTTCCAAAACAACTTTTTATTTCATTGATATTCTGTTTTTTTGGTCTCAATTTTATTTGTTTCTGCTCCGATATTTATTATGTATTTCCTTCTACTAATTTTGGATTTGGTCTGTTGTCAGTTAACTAGTTCCCTGAGGTGCATTATTGGGTTCTTTGTTTGAATTTTTTCTTTGACATAGATGTTTATTGCTGTGTATTTCTCTCTTAGTACTACTTTTGCTGTATCTCATAGTTTTTGATATGTTGCATCTCCATTTTTATTTGTTACAATAAATTTTAAAATTATCTTCTTAATTTCTCCATTGAATAATTAGTCATTCAAGAGCATATTGTTTATTTTCTATGTGTTTATGTATTCTCTGTGGTTTCTTTTATTATTGATTTCTAGTTTTATTCCATTGTGGTCTAAAAAGATACTTGATATGATTTCTATTCATTTGAATCTGTAGAGACTTGTTTTGTGGCCTAACATACGGTCTATTCTGGAGAATGTTTTATGTGCTGATGAAAAGAATATATATTTTGGAGCGGTAGGGTAGAATGTTCTGTAAATGTCAGTTAAGACTATTTGGTCTAGTGTGTAGTTTAGCTCCGTGTTTCTTTGTTGATTTTCTTTCTCAATGATTGGTCTATTCCTGAGAGTGAGATGTTTCAGTTCCCTATTATTGTTTTAGAATACTCTCTCTCTTTCTAGTTCTATTAATATTTGCTTTATATACTTGGTAGCTCTGGTGTTGATGCATAAATATTTATAATTGTTAAATTCTCCCTGAATTGACCCATTTATCATTATGTAGTGACATTCTTTGTCTTTTTTATACTCTTAAGCATATAGTCTATTTTATCTGCCATAAGTATATCTACTCCTGCTTTTGATTGGTTTCCAATTGCATGGAATAACTTTCCACCTCTTCACTTTCAGCCTATGTGTGGCCTTACAGGGAAAGGATTCTTGTAGGCAGCATATAGTTGTATATATTTTCTTTATCCATTCAGCCACTCTGTGACTTTTAATTAGAGAGTTGAGTCTGTTGACAATCAGTGTTATTGTTGATAAGTAAAGACTTACTACGACCATGTTGTTTCTTGTTTTTTGGTTGTTTGAGCCTCCCTCCCTCCCTCCTTCCCTCCTTTCCTTCCTTCCTTCCTTCCTTCTTTCCTTCCTTCTTCTTTTCTTTTCTTACTGTTTTCTTTTGCGTTAAGTAATTTTCTGTTAGTAAGTTTTAATTCATTGCTTTTCAGATTTTTACTGAATATATTATAGGTTTCTGCATTGTGGTTAAAAAAAGCATCTTATCGATATAAGAAGTTATATTAAGGAGATGGGAACTTATCTTAGGTCACAAAGAAATGAATAGCAACAACAAAAAAATGAAAATAAAACTCTGCAGTTTAGCTCCAGCCCCCTCACATTTCGACTTTAATGTTTTTTCAGTTTCTATCATTTTGTAATACCTATCTCTAATAGGTTGCTTTACAAAATATAGTTTTTGATACATTTTTCTTTGGGATTTTGTATGAGTTATGAGTATATTGCATACCACAGTTACAGCATTAGTGTATTTTGCGTTTGTCCATGTACTTAATTTATTTGTGTTTTATACCTTCAAATGTTTTCTAATTGCACAGGATTTTTTTTTTCTTTTAGATTGAAGAACTTCCTTTAGCATCTATTGTAAGGTGGGTCTGGTGGTGGTGAATTGTTTCAACCTTTGTTAGTCTGGGAAAGACTTTATCTCTTCTTCATATTCAAATAATAGTTTTGCTGGATACAGTATTTTTGGATGACAGTTTTGTTTTGTTTTGTCCTTCAACACTTGGAAAAATGTCATCCCACTCCTTCCCGGCTTGTATGGTTTCCATTAGGATATATGCTTCCAGATTAATTGGAGTACCTTCAGATCTTATTTTCTTCTTTTCTATTGCTGCTTATAGAATCCTCTCTTTGTCCTTGACCTTTGAGAGTTTGAATATTAAATGCCTTGGCATAATTTAATTTGGGTGCCTTGTGTTTGGTGTTTTCTGACCTTCCTGTGCCTGGATACTTATCTTTTTCTCAAGTTTTAGATTTTTTTCTGTTATTATTTCTTTAAATGAGCTTTTCCACCCTTGTTCTTGCTCAACTCCCTCATGAATACTAATAATTCTTAGATGTGGGATTTTAACATAATTTTCTGTATCTTCCAGGTGATCTTCATATTCTTTATGTCCTCTGACTGTGTATTTTCAAATAGCCTATCTTTAAGCTTACTGATTTTTTTCTCTGCTTTATCCATTCTTCTGTTGGGAGCCTCTGTTGAATTTTCCAGCTCAGCAAATGTAGTACTCATTTCCAAGATTACTGTTTTTTAAAAAATTATTTCAATCTCTTTGTTAAATTTCTGTGATAAATTTCTACTTTGGTTTTCTGTATTATCTTGGAGATCACTGAGTTTCCTTAAAACTGTTATTCTGAACTCTTGATCGGAGAGTTCACATTTTGCTAACTTATGAGTGTCAGTCACTGGTTTCTTGCTTTGTCTGTTTGTGGATGCCATGTTTCCCTGTTTGCAGTTGTTTCTTGTGGATATACATCTATGCCTTTGCATTGAAGGATTAGTTATTTATTCCAGTTTTCTTTATCTGGCTTGTTTTGGTTTCTATTCTATATTTGCGTAGATATTCTTTGTAATATAGCTGTTGATTTTCTGTCTTTTGTTTCCTTTTCACTATGCTTCTGCCTCCTTTTTGGCACTAGATAGTGCCTTAAGGCCAGGTTACTCTTAGTTCTAGTAAACAATTACAGTTCTGCCTGTCCATATAGGGGGAGTTTTCAAAGGAGATATACTTGTATTTCAGGAAGGCTGGCTAGGAATTGATGTTCAGGGGACTTGTGACCTCCTACCGTGTGGTGCTGCCGAACAGTCGCTCTTATTTGGCATCTCCTTTATGTGAGTTACGGAGCAGAGGTTCCAGGGCTGGGAACGGTAGTTCTTTCTCTCATCTTTGTCTCTGTCTTCAGGTATATCTCTCCCTTTAGGCACTTGCAGTGCTTCCCTAGGATTAAGGCAGGGATAGACAGGTCTGAAAGGAAGCCCATGTCTACCTTTATGTTACTTTTTCCAGTATAGAAAACATGAGTTGAGAGGACATTTTCTGCATTCTGGATGAGGGGTAGCATGGGAGCGAGGAGCATTGTGGATATAAAAATATATTTCTCTTACTGTCTGCTCAGAGTTTTTAAATTTTCTGTGGCCCTGGAAACTCTCATTCTCATATTTGAGTTCTGGAATATTGCTGGTGATAATCTTGGTGAGGCATATTTGTTTGGGGTTTTCTGTTGGGGAGGGAATGAAGCCAGCTTGCTTCCATGTCACCAGTTTGGAACCAGACCTCTAGCTCAAAATATTTTAAAATGTCATTGTGATTTTTTGACATATAGTTATTTTGAACTGTGTTGCTTAGTTTAAAACTATGTGAGGATATTTAAGTTACACTTTGTTATACATTTTCTAGATTAATTTCAGTGTTTGAA
This sequence comes from Homo sapiens, assembly GCF_000001405.40. Lineage (NCBI taxonomy): Eukaryota > Metazoa > Chordata > Mammalia > Primates > Hominidae > Homo > Homo sapiens. Next base: position 121,287,003 of record NC_000023.11, read on the forward strand.
GGGAATATTCTCTGTGTAATGTTGAGCTTTTTGGTCAATTTTAATATAGTTCCTTTGTATACTTGCAAAAGATTTTCTCTTCAATTAGAGATGCTGTTCTCTACATGTCAATTGTGTCTAATTTAATGTTTTCATTGTTTTATTCAAATTTCTATATTTTAGTTTGTTTTTCTATTTCCCTATTCTATCAATTACTAAGAAAATAGTGTTAAAGTTTCCCAGGGTGGTTGGTGATTTGTCTGTATTTTCAGTCCTATCAAATTTTCTTTTATATATTTCAAAGTTATGTTATTGTGTTCATATAAATTTAGAATATTTTAATCTTCCAATTGGATTGATCACTTTATTTTTAAGAAGCTTTCCTGTCTGTCCTTAGCATTACTTATCTCCTTAATGGTTTACTTCGATATTAGTATAGCTACATCATCTTTTGATTTTGGTGTACCTTTTATATTATTCTCATCTTTTTACCTTCAGCTTACTGAATTCTTATATTTAATATGTATCTCTGTAAGAAGTATATATATATTTGTGTTTTATTTAGTCAATGATTTCATTAGCGTATCTTGTTTATTTATATGCATTGTAATTAGTAATATATTTGAGTTAATGCCACTATATTGCCTAATCTTTCATTCAGCTTCCATTTTTTCTAAATTATTTTTGTTCTCTTTCTTGTCTTTTTTTAGATTGACTAGATTTTAGTTATTTTTCACTTTGTATTAGCATGGTAACTATATACTCTCTTAATATTATTTTAGTGGATACCCTAGATATTACAGCATGAATCCTTGACTGTTTCCTATCTTTAAACACAGTAACTCCATTTAAACTCTTTTCAATGTCTGTGATGTTGTAATTGTGTATTTTGAATCTCTATATATTTTAAACTCCATAAGACATTATTATTGGTATTGTTTAGCATCAATATTCATCTTGATTTACCTGTGTATTTATGCTTTCCTGTCTCTTCCTTGCTTGCTGCATTTCCTTGTTTGCGTCTGGTTCCTTCTTCCCAAACAGCATCCTTTTACCATTTCTGTGAATGTGAGTCTAGATAGTGAAAAATTACACTGGTTTTTGTTTTTTATATAAAAATGTCTTTTTGTTAACTCTCATTCTTTAATAATCCTTTTTTTCCTATTATAGTATTTTAGGTTGACAGTTATTTTCTTTCAGCACTTTGAGGCTTTCGTTGGATTTATTTCTGAATTCTTTTGTCCCTGTTGAGGTAAACAGTTGGACTAATTATTAATACTTTGAATATAATGTATCTTTATTAATATATTTTCTTATTTCTTGTTTTTATGGAGCTAAAATTAACCATTTTAACTATTTTATAGTATATATTCATTTAGTGGTTTTTAATATTCTGATTTCTTTTAAGAATTTTTTCTTTGTATTTTTATCAGGTTTACTATGATATTCTTAACGTGTGGTTTTATTATTATATTTACTATTTGGGCTTCATCTTTTCCTTGGTTCCATCTTTCCTTTGATTTCTTTCTCCAATTTTAGAAAATTCAGTTATCATGTCCTCAGATATTGCGTCTCTTCTCTTTCTCCATTCCTGTTTTGAGACTTATTTTCTGACCTATTTTCCAATTCACTGAATTTCTCTTCTGGTGTATTTATTTTGCTGTTAAAATCATCAACTGAGGCCAGGTGCAGTGGCTCATGCCTGTAATCCCAGCACTTTGGGAGGCCGAGGTGGGTGGATCACCTGAGGTCAGGAGTTCGAGACCAGCCTGGCCAATGTGGTGAAACACCATCTCTAATAAAGATACAAAAATTAGGCAGTCATGGTGGTGGGTGCCTATAATCCCAGCTACTTGGGAGGCTAAGGCAGGAAAATCGCTTGATCCCGGGGGGCAGAGGTTGCAGTGAGCCAAGATCGCGCTACTTCACTCCAGCCTGGGCGAAAGAGTGAAACTCCATCTCAAAACAAAACAAAAATCATCAATTGAATTCTTAATTTTGGTGATTTTATTTTTAGTTCTAGAACTTTTTATAGGTTCACTTTTCTCCAAATATTCATAATATTTTCTTAAGTATACCTGTCATTTGGTATTTAAAAACCCATGTCTGATATATTTATTATGTTTATTTTCTGATTTATTTTTTCCTTTTTTATCATGTTGTCTTATGCCCTGGTTTGTGTTCTCATTCTTTTATTTAGTGTTGGATATTGTATATAAAAATTATAGAAAGAATTTGAGCCCTAATATGACATCTTTTCAAATAAAAGATTACCCTTACCCCTTTGCTAAACTGGCAGATGACGGCTGTGGGAACTCACAGTATTGGATCATCTTAATCAAATTTCATTGATTGAAAGGCCTGGTCCCTGAGAGCTGGTGTAATTTCAGTCTATCCTTATTTCTAGGACATAAACCCTTGTAGGCCCAACCTATTCCCCCTGCCATAGAATCTTGACTTCAGTTTTTCTCCCCTAACCTCATCAGACTTTCAAAATAATTGTTTATTTAGCCTCTTAGGGGCCTATTCCAGAACGAAAGATCCAGCTAACCTGTCTTGGTTTCCTTATTTTATATCTTGGTTCCACAATATTTTGTCATGTTTTTAGTTTTCTAATTCCTTCTCAGACTTTTAAAAGATTTATGCCAGGTTTGCTAATTGTTTTGGGGGAAGGTTGGTCCTTATTACCCCTTGTTACCTAGTTCACCTTTATACAAAATAGAAATTTGCTAGTTTAAAAAATATCCTTATTTGGCCAAATAAACAAATTTGCAACCTTTTGTGAGATCTCCAGAGTCTTTTTGTTGGGAGTTTAGTTATCCATGAAATCCATTAGTTTAATGGCTACTGATTAAAGGGACATGAAAGAAATAAAATTATCAGTCCTTGTGATCAAAGAGCCTTCTATGTAGTTAGGAAATCATATTTAACATGGGTGAAGCAATTAGTGACTTATAGAATATGGGATTTATGCAAGGCTTTGATTGGGTAGCACAACCTCAAACAGCAGTTAAGAATTCACATAGAAGATAGGGCTAGAGCTAGGTTTGAAAAATAAGGATAGCCAGAGGGAGGGGGAAGGGTGTTTCAGGCAGGGAACAACATAAGCTAAGGCTTAATCATCATTGAACTGATTTAATTGATACCTTGATGACTGAATAGTTTATCCCTTAATCCCTCTTTCCCTTGGTTTATTGTTAATACTAATCAGGCTGGGCTGAAAGCTTGGGAATTCATTGGAGCACACCGTGATACATGTGTTAATTTGACTGCCTGTGATTCTTTTAGCAGACCCAGAAGTGCAGCTAACATGCCGGTGATTCTATAAAGTCTGCATAGTCCCCCAGCTGGATGTTTTATAATCAGCCCTACCTCAGGAGAACCTCAGCTAATCCAGCTATTTTTATCTAAGGCTCAGTTGGAGAAATCCCTTGTATTCATTCCCCTGCCTTGGTACTGAAGTGAGACATTTGTGACTATAATTCTAAAGCATAAGCCACACTGGTAAAGATTGAGAAATACCCACGTTATACTTGCCTATTCATGATTCTGATTTCACCTGGCTGATGTGACTACTTTTTAGAGCTCAATATTTTTCTCTGTGAATTTGCTTAAGATGAGTGAGGCATCTTTTGCAACTGCTAAGGGCATGAAGCCTCTATTTTTTAGATACTCGATGAGTCTGAATTTCTGGTGGTGGTGGTAGGGACTAGGCAAGGTAGTATAGTGAGTATACATTTTACTTCATAAACTCAGGTATACAAGAAATATTTTATATGTTCCTTTAAATCAAGTTTAATCTACCCTGAGCTCCTAATTTATTAGGCTGATTAGAAACTCAGTCTCATTTATTCTTTGTACTTTCTCCTGTCTCTCAGAATGATTGCATTGTGCAGTCATTCTGGAAATTAGTACAGAACAGGACTTGTAGAGAGGACCCTTTGATCTTTGGTTTATACCGATCACCACTGGCATACTCCTTGTCCAAGTCAGCACAATTCCTTGAAGGGTAAGTTCCACTGTGGCTTCCATGGATTTTTGCCAACTCTTAGAACTCCAGTGTCCAGGATTGATCCTTTTTGGATATTACTATACATCAGTTGTCCTGTGAGGTCCTGCCATTATCCCATGGTTCTATGAAGAAAAGGGCATCTGAACATGGTTCCCTCCTTAGTCTTTTAGAATCATTTCTTTTCTCAGAGGCAAACATGAAAGCATAATGGCAAGTATTATGAAGTTGCCTCAAAGCAATGCTACCAGTAGACATCTCTTTCTTCCACTGGGTGAAAGGGGGTTGTGGGAATCTGGCAACTAAGAGAGGCATTGGGGCAGAGGTTGAACTTTCCAGTCATTAGTTAATTTACTGGTCACGTATTTGGTTTCAGGCCCTAAGCAATGAATAAGACCTGGTCTACACCCTCAGGCAGATGTTATTCAAGCAGAGAGTGAAGAATATAGTAGAAAAGGGGGCCCCTTATTACTACTGACCTCAACTTCTGAGGGGAACACCTTAAATCTCAGCTCTCAAATTGCCTTTTTCCATCTCCTTGGTAGTTATGAATCAATCAGTCTTTGGAGGTGCTTGGCCTGTAACTGTAGGAATAGATGTGTGTGTCTATTTTTATACTAGATGCTCTTGGGCTGTGTCCTCAAAGGATAGAACTGTGTAGGTCTGTCACTTCTGAAATCTCTGGCTTTACAAGACTTCCCACTGCAGATAAGGGCACTGACTTCTCTTATCTGCTTGTCCCTAGGTTCCTCTCTCTGGTGAGATACCGACTTTACCTGCAGAGCTGGATAGCTTTTATCCCTGAACTATATACCACAGACACTCAAGATTAGTGCCAGGACAGGAGAAAGGGTAATTGTTTCGGGGAAAGAGAATTGTGTAGGTGGTAGTTGTTTAAAAAACTGGGGGCTAGAGTGGTATTTAGTCAAATATAGCTCCCACAGAGCAATGAAAAGGCCTTTTGGCATCTTTTTCAAAGAGCTCAACACTTACATGCTTTGTGCTCTGATGGGAAAAGTGTTTAGAATGTTTCAGCCTCTAAAAAAATCCCTCACCTGTTTTAGTTGTATATCACATTTTTGTTGAAGCCTCTGAAATACTAAAATTGTGTCAGGTTTTTATTAATTCAGTGATGCTGTATTGTAAATTAGAAGGTTTAAGTCCTTGGCCCATACTGTCTTAATTTTCCAACCCTCTGTGCAAACTGCAACTATTACTTGATAAGTATCTGAATACACTTCTTGTCAAGTATATATTTATCTTTAAAAACTTGGTTCTGTAGAGACCCTTTTATGTGTAATTTTGACTTCATATTTTGTAAAACTATTGATTTTTTTTTCATCTGCACACAATTGGGATTCCTTTTTAGTGTTTTATCCTTTTTAACAAATGTGAGTAAATCTAAATGAAGCTTTTAGAGAGAGTTCTTAAAATTGCCCTAATGACTTAGGGGTATCAAGGTTATAGCCATCCATTTTCACTTGGGCAGAAGGGAATTAATCATGAGCTATCAGCATGTTAAACCACATTCTCCTCATAGGATGTTAGCTTCTTAAATATGTGTCTTCCTATCACTTGAGATCTATGTGAGAGAAAGAAGGGTAGTAGACATAACTGGGGTGTATATATAGGAGAACCACATGGTTTCCATAATTTTTCCATAGTCCTTCTCCTTAGCTTTTATGGGGACCCCACATGCTTTCTGTATCTTGAGAAAACCTGATCTTAGAAAGGAATCAGAACATACTCTTAGTAGAGCCTGGGTAACTTAATGACTTAAAATGTCACTATCCAAAAAGATTTGCATTTGATTAAGTTGACAAAGCCCAAAATAAGACATTTCCCAGGAGATTTTCAAGCATCATTCCTCTAGTGGGAAGGGTATTATTCTGCACCCCCCTCCCTCCAGAATCACCATTTGAGGTCTCCCTAATCTTTTTTTCTAAATCTATTCCTAACTAGTATCCATGCTGAGTAGCAGTTGAACTATAGCTGACCACATTTTTGACACTGTGTGTTTATGGGATTGGGGAGGGGAAGAGAGTGAAGATGCAAAGAGGAGGAACATTGATAAGAGAGGAAGCAAGTCTGCCATCATGTGTCTATCCACTATGGGCCGAATGGGGCTATATGTTTTGGAAAGATGGAAAGGCATGCATAATTCCTGGTTCATACAATAAGCATTTTATGACTTTGGTGATTAAATGAGATAAAAGTTTGAAATTTATTAAACTACATTTGGAGTCAGGTCAATCTAGGGCTTGTATATCATCCTAACTTCTTCTCAACTACATATTCTTGAATGAGTCTTTTATTCTCTCTAGCCTTGAATTTCTCAAATGTAAATGGACATCATGCCTATCTACTGTTAAAAGGATGTCATGAAAAACAAATGAGATAATAGATATAAAAAGTACTTTACAAACTCAAAAGCTAGAAAGTGCTATATAAAGCTGAGATGTTTGTAACTTGGGATAATCATTTAAGAACATTCAGCTGATAGCTTTAACACCTTCCTCTCCCCTAAACTGCATTGCCTTTCACTTCCCTGGCTTGGAAAGGCCACAGTGATGTGTAAGTGGTGGCCTTACATGGGTAAACAGGATAGTTTAGTGCTCCTTGGCAGTCACACAGCTCCCCACATGCAGAACAGCCATTCACTTGGCCTAATGATCTACTCTTGCTATTTTTAAACTTTTAATTTTTGAATAAAAAGTCCCACATTTTCATTTTGCATTTAGTCCTCAAATATGAGGACTGGTCCTGCTCTTGGACTGCCTTCTGTTCCTTTGTGCAGTGATGGGAACCAGAAGTTCCTTTATGAACCCAGGGATAGAGGCAGCCATATGGAAGTTAGCTGAGAGTTTGGCTGGGAAGTTTGCTAGAGGTGGTTCAGTGGCAGGGGTGAAGTGGCTCCCTAGATGAGGGTTGTGGAGTAGTTAGTCTGAGCTGAAGATCAAATGTGTGTGGGTCGCAAACATCAGGGTGTCCCTGTGCTAGCAAATGCCATGCTGGAGTCTAATCAGCAGTAAGAATCATCAGACCCCAGCCATGCTAAGAGAAAACAACTCAGAGTTCATCAGTCTCTGACTTCATCAGCAAATGTGGAGTGAACACTGAGCAGATAGACAAGGCACATTGTTGCAGAGACCCAAAGAATTAGGGAGTCAGAGGACAATTACAGGAATCCATGCATGATTGTGGGCCTCCCCTGCATTTCATTCTGCCACAAAGGTGTATAATGGTTACACTGAAGAAATAGAACTTAATAACGTTAATTCACAAAGCATCTGTATTCTACCTATTTTCCTCACTGCCTGCTCAAACCTGCTTCGAAGTTTGGTTCTTTCCTTGCTACTGGAGAAAATTTTGGCAGATACTAAAGCTCTTAGATAACTAAAAGTTCTCTGGTTGCATCTTGCCATAACAATTGCCTCATTTCCATAATTAAAATATCAAGTTCTATGTAATAGTCAATATTCTGAAGGTCACTTGTCGTTACAGTTTTTCCCCTCTCTGAAAATGGTTTACTTCAGGCTTGGAGACCTGTAGTAGAAAATGGGGCACATTTTTTACCTTCTTTTCTACTTTTCTTTAGGCAGTTCCTCTTACTCCTTGACTCCTTCTTGACTCCTTCCTCCAATTTGATAGCCCTTTTTTTTTGGTGACAGAGTCGTCTCCCTCTGCCGCCCAGGCTGGAGTGCTGGAGTGCAGTGGCGCAATCTCAGCTTATTGCAACCTCCGCCTCCTAAGTTCAAGCGATTCTCCTGCCTCAGCCTCCCAAGTAGCTGGGATTACAGGTGTCCGCCAACACGTCCGGCTAATTTTTCTATTTTTAGTAGAGATGGGGTTTCCCCATGTTGGCTAGGCTGGTCTCAAACTCCTGACCTCAAGTTATCTGTCTGCCTTGGCCTCCCAAAATGCTGGGATTACAGGCATAAGCCACCGCATGCTGCCCCGATAGCCACTGTTTATGAACCCTTTGGGTCATACTGTGTAGAAGCATGAGAATTAAGGAACAAGAAAAATCTTACCTGAAAGGTAGGTATTATTGTGGTCTGACTTTTTTTTTTAAGAGACAGGGTTTTGCTCTATTGCCAAGGCTGGTCTTGAATTCCTGGTCACAAACGATTCTCCCACCTCATCTTCCAGAGTAGCTGGGACTACAGGTGTGAGCTGTTGCACCCAGCTGTGGTCTGACTTTGATGTCCTGCTTGGTAGGTGTTTAAACCTGACTATTCAGTTGTCTTCATGGGTTATTTGGTGATCTCTTACCTCAAGGTTCCTTTACAAAATTAAAGTCTCTCTTCTGTATCGCCATTAAGGAACTACCTCCCACTCTTGCCATCTCTTGATTTTGATAGTACGCCTCTAGTCTCTTTCTGCTTAGGTCCCATTGTTCCAGGCTAGAAACCTTCTTGAGACAGAGTATTAAAGAAAGCTTACTTCTGGTCCGCAGTAGGCTGAATAATGGTATCCCAAAGATGTCAATGTCCAAATCTCTGGAACCTGTGAATACAGAATCAAAGGGACTTTGCAGATATGATTCTGGATTTTGAGATGAGGAGATTATCTGAGATAACCTGGGAAGGACTGATTCCTTATAAGAGGGAGGCAGGAGAGCAGAGGTAAGAGAAGGCAGTGTGACAATAGAAGTAGAGATTGAGGTAAATGTGGCCACAATAAAGGGAGTCTGGAAGTCTCTAGAAGCAGGAATTGATGAGGAACAGATTCTCTCATGGAGCCTGCAGAAGGAACTAACCCTGCCAAAACCTTGACGTTAGCCCTTTAAGGCTCATTTTGGACCTCTTAACTCCAAAACTGTGAGATAATAAATTTGTGTTGTTTTAAGCCACGAAGTTTATGGCAATTTATTACAGGAGCAATGGGAAACTAATACATTGTCCAAATGAGATACAAAAGAGCCATTTATGTGGACAAACTTTAAGTGTGTAGGCTACTGTCAGTGCACCGTCCTGTCTTTCCTGTATTGTCAGAGCCACTAGACAGCCACAACTGTTGCCCTTTAGATTTCCAAGTTAGACACCAGGCTCTTGTGACCCCCAAATGTCTGAGGACCAAAAGTAAAGCTCTCTGAATCTTTCCGAGGTCACTCTTACTTGGCTTGGGGTAAGGGGGAAAGCAACAACTCCCTTTTTCTATTGGGAGAATGAAGAGTAATATTACAAGAAATCAATAACTGTTAATATTTCTGAAAGGGATTGTTTCTTTCCAATTTCCAACCCCTCTTCAAACTCAACTCTTTATGCCAGGAGGAGATATTACACTACACTAAGGGTGTCAAAATAGGGTTTGGACCCTATTTTGGGCATTGGTGGTTCAAGAGCCTCACTTTGGAATGTAAGCATACTTGGAATGTAGGCATACTTTGGAAATGTAGGCATAAAAAATAGTCAGCTATTTTTAATTCTTAGTCTTTTGAGGTGTCAGATTAAACAGATTCAAAGGGCCACAGTTTAGTATATATTTACATTCATGAATTCCCTCTCATAAAAGCCCAGGTGCCATCTTGGAGGTGAGCAGGAGGATGGGAGAGAACATTTCAAAGACTGTGAAGTTACCTAAAGAGACTCAGTTACTTGAAAATTTGAAATGATTAGATTGGGCTGAAATGAACAAACTGAGTTAGATAAATTTTTCTCTTTTATCAAATGCATGAGTGTGTATAAGGAATATTAGATCAGTTATAGAATAAGTGAATAAGCTACATATTCTTCATGCATTGGAGTGCAATGTGAGCAATTGTTTTTCCTGCTACATATTTGGTTTCTGAGTAATGATTGGCAAAGTCAGCAATGCTTCCTCCATGTCAGGACTATCTTGAAGACCACCTTAGTGATTGTTACAGAAGCTAGTTGCATAGATCTAATAAAAAGCTTTTACTGAGTTGTAAAATAAAGAGCTCTTGTCGGGCATGGTGGCTCACGCCTGTAATCTCAGCACTTTGAGAGGCCGAGGCGGGCAGATCACGAGGTCAGGAGATTGAGACCATCCTGGCTAATATGGTGAAACCCTGTCTCTACTAAAAATACAAAAATTAGCTGGGCGTGGTGGCAAGTGCCTGTAATCCCAGCTACATGGGAGGCTGAGGCAGGAGAATCACGTGAATCCGGGAGGTGGAGGTTGCAGTGAGCCGAGATTGCACCACTGCACTCCAGCCTGGGTGACAGAGCGAGACTCCCTCTCAAAAAAAACAAAAACAAAAAACAAAAAACAAAAACAAAAACTTTCAAGGCAGTACCTGACAAATAGTGGGGGAAAGAAGACACACCTTTATGTCTCCAGTATTCCTAGTATATAGGTGGCAGTTGTGGGATAGGTCACCTCCAATGAATAGGTGCATAAAGTAAAATTTAAATGTTTTTCCCTTTGCTTTAGAGAGCCCCACCTGGAAGACTCTAGGTTCTCATCTTCATGCCCCGATGTAAGGAGAGTGGTCCGTAAGTATATGCTTTGCCTACTTTCTCCATGTAATATCTCAAGTGAGAAAAAATGATAAAAATAAACACCCAGAAACATCTGTTAGATCTGAAAAAGCACAGAGCTAATTTACATCTAGAACTATCATCAGCTGAGAAATGAACTAACAAGATGGCATGTTTAATGCATCGTATACAGCATCTTAGTTGTGCTTCCTCTATAAACAGAATATAAACTTTAGTATTACACTTATTGCTCAGGTGGTAGTTACACAAATAAAGGTCACGCTTGGATCACAAGTGATTTCAAGAAGCCAGTAGTTTTTTTAGTTGTGGAGGAATAGTTTCTATAAAGTAAATGATCTGATGGGTTTTATTAGAAACACGTGTAATATTATCCAAACAGCATGAACTAGGAGTCAGGAGACATAGGTTCCAATCCCATCTTTGTCATGTATTAGCTATTATATCTTAGACAATTTATAGCCTATCTGGGCCTAATTTTTTCCATCAATTAAAAGTAGATAACATTCCTTGCCTTGCCTATCCCCTAGGACAGTTATGAGACTCAAATGAAAAAAAAAAAAAAACCATACATGAAAGAGCTTCATGTGAAACGCTATGCAGTTAAGAAGGTATTAGCTTTAGAATGACACATATGTGTGTCTTTATTGAATTCCCATTCCCTCACACTTTCCCTCTAAGGAATTCCCATCACTATCCCAAGGATAATCTATTTTAAGTAGGCCATCTTGAGTGTGGTCTGCTATTTTTGTTTCTCAAGACATTTCCCTCTGTATTTAATGAATTTCCATTGCAGGAAAGGATGATGAGAATCTGTTCCTGCTACCTGAAATAGTTTCAAAATTTGTCTCTTTGCCTTTTATGTTAGAACTACTGTATTTGCTGACGTGTATCTCCTTTTTTGCATGTTCTTTTTCTCTATTTGTTGTTTGTATGATTAAATATAAGATTTATTTTCCCTATATTTCATTCTTGACAGGACATTAATTCCTAGCAGCAATTAGATTCTAACTTTGGAAGACTGGGTCAGAGCAGTTTAAGGAATATAAACTACATTGACTCTAGTAAACCAAGTTGTATTAGTCAGGATAGGCCAGATTCTATTTTAGGAACAAAGAATACTGAAATCTCAGTGGTTCCAAACACAAAAGTTTTATTCTCTGCCTATTCCAGCTGTACCCCCATCACAGGTCTTCTGAGGGCTCTGCTCTGCATTGCCATCACCCTTACTCTGACTCAGACTGGTGGAGAAGCAGCTATCAGGAACATTAGCAGTCTTTGTGGTAAAGGACAAAGAGATCCCTGAAGGTTCTCACAATGACAATTATCTGGTTTAGAATCAGCATATATCACTTCTAGTTACAACTGATTGTCCAGAACTGGTCATGTAGAACCACCTAGAACCACCAGTAGTCCAGGAAGCACGATCCTACTATGTATTTGGAAGAGGGGAAAAACTAAACATTTTGACAGACAGCACCAATGACTGACAGACGAGCTTAAACTGCTCACACTGTTTTGAGGCCTCTGATCTATAAAGGAGGAGGTTGGAACCATTTGTCAGTTTTGCTGTGGAGGCAAAGGCAAATGGTGACATTTGCCCCTGAGATCTGGCTTGTAGAGTCAAATTCCTTGTTAAAGTCAGTACTGGTTTCAGTTATGCCACTTGTTATTTTTGATGGCAGGACCTGGTGGTTTCCAGCTTCCTATATTCATTCACCTAAATGCTTTTAGTGAAAATGATGTCTCTTAGCAGTGGTAAGAAAACAGAATGATTCGATGGTATATATGTGCCACATTTTCTTAATCCAGTCTATCATTGTTGGACATTTGGGTTGGTTCCAAGTCTTTGCTATTGTGAATAGTGCCGCAATAAACATACGTGTGCATGTGTCTTTATAGCAGCATGATTTATAGTCCTTTGGGTATATACCCAGTAATGGGATGGCTGGGTCAAATGGTATTTGTAGTTCTAGATCCCTGAGGAATCGCCACACTGACTTCCACAAGCGTTGAACTAGTTTACAGTCCCACCAACAGTGTAAAAGTGTCCCTGTTTCTCCACATCTCCAGCACCTGTTGTTTCCTGACTTTGTAATGATCGCCATTCTAACTGGTGTGAGATGGTATCTCATTGTGGTTTTGATTTGCATTTTTCTGATGGCCAGTGATGATGAGCATTTTTTCATGTGTTTTTTGGCTGCATAAATGTCTTCTTTTGAGAAGTGTCTGTTCATGTCCTTCACCCACTTTTTGATGGGGTTGTTTGTTTTTTTCTTATAAATGTGTTTGAGTTCATTGTAGATTCTGGATATTAGCCCTTTGTCAGATGAGTAGGTTGCGAAAATTTTCTCCCATTTTGTAGGTTGCCTGTTCACTCTGATGGTAGTTTCTTTTGCTGTGCAGAAGCTCTTTAGTTGAATTAGATCCCATTTGTCAATTTTGGCTTTTGTTGCCATTGCTTTTGGTGTTTTAGACATGAAGTCCTTGCCCATGCCTATGTCCTGAATGGTAATGCCTAGGTTTTCTTCTAGGGTTTTTATGGTTTTAGGTCTAACATTTAAGTCTTTAATCCATCTTGAATTAATTTTTGTATAAGGTGTAGGGAAGGGATCCAGTTTCAGCTTTCTACATATGGCTGGCCAGTTTTCCCAGCACCATTTATTAAATAGGGAATCCTTTCCCCATTGCTTGTTTTTGTCAGGTTTGTCAAAGATCAGGTAGTTGTAGATATGCGGCGTTATTTCTGAGGGCTCTGTTCTGTTCCATTGATCTATATCTCTGTTTTGGTACCAGTACCATGCTGTTTTGGTTACTGTAGCCTTCTAGTATAGTTTGAAGTCAGGTAGCGTGATGCCTCAAGCTTTGTTCTTTTGGCTTAGGATTGACTTGGCGATGCGGGCTCTTTTTTGGTTCCATATGAACTTTAAAGTAGTTTTTTCCAATTCTGTGAAGAAAGTCATTGGTAGCTTGATGGGGATGGCATTGAATCTATACTCATAGGTGGGAATTGAACAATGAGAACACATGGACACAGGAAGGGGAACATCACACTCTGGGGACTGTTGTGGGGTGGGGGGAGGGGCGAGGGATAGCTTTAGGAGATATACCTAATGCTAAATGACGAGTTTATGGGTGCAGCACACCAGCATGGCACATGTATTCATATGTAACTAACCTGCACATTGTGCACATGTACCCTAAAACTTAAAGTATAATAATAATAAAATAAAAAAAATTAACAGCTTGTAAAAAAATAAAAAGAAAAAGAAAACAGAATGATTCTAGTTTATTCACATGACTGCTTTTGTTGATGCTTCAAATTTCCTATCATTTATTCATTTTTATCCATCCATCCACCCATCCATTCACCTATCCATCCATCCATTCATCCAACTCAGACTTTTATTGAACACTTCCTATATGCCAGGCACTATACTGGATGCTAGAGATAAAAAATAGAATTAAACATAGTCTCTTTTTCCAATAAATCCTAGTATTTATTTTCTAATCCATGCCACTTTTTTATAGATGTCATGTCTTCAATGCTATTTTAAATTACAAAATAAACTATCGTGACCTAAAACATATCAAAGGAATGACTGTTTTATATTTTTTTTAAGAAAAACAACCTACATACCTCTTTCCCCAAAAGATTTTATGCTCTATGGGGAGTTTTCTCCCTGTTCTCCATCTCTGAAGTATACTTTCGCCACCCTGGTTGAGAATCAGTGGTGATTATGTCATTTTCGCTTATATCCATTGTTAGAATGGGGAGTGGGGAGCTTTTCAGGCTGTGTGTGTGAGCCCACAATGTTGATGCTTAAATTGGCCACAGTCCAGGATCACAATTGTAACTGAAATTCCTTGTTTTAACTAAAGCTGAATTATTTCTGTCGCACCCTTTCGGATGCCCAAGAAGGTAAGTGTTTGAGTGCCTGCTCTTGTCAGGTACTATGCTAGGTGCTATACAGAATTTCAAAGAAATGGAAAATAGCCTCTAATTCTAAGTAGCATTAATGTTTCTGTCAGAATCAGTACAGGATCAAGTCATCTAAGAAAATAACAGAATGAATGTACAACTTGGGTTAGGCCTTGAACGATGAGTGGGTTTTGAGTGGTTAGATGAGAAGAGATTCTTAACTGAATCATAACACAGTACATTATGATTCCTACTCTATTTCTGTTTATAGCTTCCTTTGTGTCCCTTCATAGTGCTGGGAACATAGTGGATAGTTCTAAACTTGCTTATTCTGAGAACAAAGAAGTTGACCTGCCCTAAAACTCTTGTTTGAAAGCTCAGATATTGACAGGCAGGTAGCTGTAAAATGTATTAACTACTACAGCAGAAGCAAATTCTCAAATATTAAAGCCTTTCCTAACCTTTCATGAGGGATTCTAAAAGATTGTACTAGTCTGGATATGGAAAGAGACTTGGGGGAAAAGAAGCTCAAATTGGTTAATTAGCTGACATAGAGACAGAGATACATAATCTAGGACTGCGGAACCTTTCAGTACTCCCCACAAACAACCAGCTCTTTGGCCATCATGTTCTAATTTAGCTTAGTGCTCTAAGCTTTCATTACCTGGTTTGAATTTCTCACTACTGATCTCAGTTAGCAAATAAAAATCAGAACATTGTCTCTGCCAAGGCCAGTGTTAAAAATCAGAGATGTTTCCTGGGTATGCATCTTTTTTAAATTGCATATTTTTAAGTTTCATCTTAGATGTCACAAAATGCTTGTCTCATAAACCCCAAAGGGAACCAAAAATGGATAATAGAAATGGGGTCTTCATGTGAACACCTGGGAAATTCCACCTGTCACATTAGCTCTGCTGATGCCCTTTACAAATTTGGACCTTGGACTCTCTGGCTCCATGTTCATCTTCATTCTATATTGGCCCACAGCCCACCCAATTTTGCTTCTAGGTGGGCTTCCTTCTAAACTGCAGCCCTGCTGATTTGCCTGAAGAATGGCCTCTTCACTTAATTTACAATTTCTCTCTGATTTTTACCAAAAGATAGAAAACCTATCATCAGTCTTTCTTGTCTTCACCTCTAGATTTCACTTTGTGTAATTGCTCCAAGTGAATTCTGGGGGATGGGTGGTGGGTGGTAATTGCCATGGAGCATTTAGCCCATTGCTGTGATGGAAAAAAATAATGGTAATAATAACTATTATTATTATTATTTGCAGCAAAGAATGCTTTGTAAAGCTGATAGTTGCTCCAGATGATCTTACAGAAAGATAAAAAATTACACATGAGCTTTCCTTAAAGCAAGATCTTCTCGTCGGCACAGACTTTCTTGCTATTCCTTTCTCTGCAAACTAGTCCTCCTACTATTACCATGGAGAATTTCAGTGGGTCTTCTTTGGGAAATGTAAAAAGGCAACAACCTGATAGTCTCCTGAAAGGGTAATGCTTTCTTGGGGACATGGCCACTTTTTCTTAATGCTTTGGGCATAGCCACTCTGTGCTCTATAAAATGAGACACAAATATAATTTAAAAATCATTTCCTGTATCTTAATATCAGACTTTACCAGGAAAGCAAAGTTATTTCTCCATTTTCTCCATCCCTTTTGCCTTTCACAGCCAGTATTTCCTCAGGCCAAATGAAGCCAGACCTTTGCTTTTTGCCCTTTTATGCTCCCCTCTCAGTTCTCCTGGAGAATCAGGATTAAAAGGATTACTTTACTTTTTAATTTTCTGCAATGTGCATTTCCATTCTCTGAATGCAAGGCTCCTCAGCTAGATCATGACATTATTACTTGATGATTTTATTTCCCTGATCACCCTTTGGCATTTAATGATTTCTAGTTTTGCCTGTGTATAAAACATGAAACCCAGAAGACTGTGAATCAAGGCCAGGCCCATCTTCTATTTATGAAGGTTTTTTTCCTAGGGTATTTTTCAGGTTTGAAAAGTTATAGTCAGAAAACTTGCAGTATTTTCACTGGAGTTACTAAACTTTCCAGGAAGAGCCCTATGAGATGGAGTTGAGAAGGGAAGGCAAGCTTGATATTGACTATACTGAGAAAGTTCTGGGAACACCAACTTGGAGAAACTTTTCATTTTTTAGACTCTCTGGTGCTCAATATCTAGGATAAACCCCTTTAGATAAATGTTGTGTTCAAGATTAATAGTTTAATGTATAATAATTTTGTTCCAATTCGTTTTTTACTAATCCATGGTTTAAAATCCCAATTAAGGTTTGCATCCTCCAGAAAGCCTTTGTTGGTGACTGTATACCAAAGTTTTGTCTCTTCCGAACTATTAGCAGTTATCTGGCACTTAGTTACATATTACAGTTTGACAATTATTGTCTCCAGTTTCTATGTTACTCTCATATTGTGATTTAAATGTTTATAAATACATACATTGGTCTAGCTTACCCCTCTCCTTTAGGACAAAGTTAATATACCTTATCGTCTCCCCTGCAACACTTAGCATCATTCTTTGTAGAACTCCAGTAGATGCTTTTTGAATAAATGTATGTTTATAATTACCTTTTAAATTATAAGTAATCTGTAAATTATTCCAGCAGATAACCATATCTTTTTAAAAGACCATTCCAACCTTAGCTTGGAAATTCCCTTTTGTGATTAATTTGAATCCTTTATAATGCACTCTAGTGTAACTATTCTTAAAGATAAGTACTGTTTATTTTCTCTCCCCACTTCTTAAAAACTTCTTACACTTTTCTTCTACCTTATTTCACAATTGTGGTTGTTCTTCAAGGCTCTGTTTTCCTTTCTCTGTGCTCCTCCTGGTAAATTTATTGTTTTGGCAAGTTTATCTACTCTCCATCTTCAACTCCTTGTAGTTGCTTCTCAAATCTACTTTTCCATTCCTGTCCTAAGGACCTTAATACACTATTTTCAAATATTGGTCAGAATATCATCACTTGAGTATATTTAAATCTCCTCAAACTCAATGTTTTACAAAAAATAATAATCTCTTATACCACCCAGACCACCCACTCTTTGCATTCTTTTCTTCATTTTTGCTGTTTGTGTGTACTGCTGTTATCCATGGCTCCTATGCCCTGGAATCTTCTTTCTGACTTCTTTCTTCTTTACCCTTCATGTTCTATCTGTCCCCAAATTGTGTTGAATCTTTCCTTTGAATATTTTTGAGAGTCAATTTCTCCTTTCTGTGACCTCGGCAAATGGGCTAGTCTAGGAGATTATCTAGGCCTAAATTGTATGTATGTATGTATGTATGTATGTATGTATGTATGTATGTATGTACGTATGTATGTACTGAGACAGAGTCTTGCTCTGTCGCCCAGGCTGGGGTGCAGTGGCACAATCTCGGCTCACTGCAACCTCTGCCTCCAGGTTCGAGAGATTCTCATGCCTCAGCCTACTGAGTAGCTGGAATTACAGGTGTGTGCCACCACACCTGGATAATTTTTGTATTTTTAGTAGAGACAGTGTTTTGCGGTATTGGCCAGGCTGGTCTCGAGTTTCTGACTTCAAGTAATCTGCTTACCTTGGCCTCCCAAAGTACTGGAATTACAGGCATGAGCCACCATGCTTGACCAAGGCCTAAATTTTAGATTACTATTACCATAGCTTTCTAATTGCTTCCCTTGATATTATTGTTGGTAATGATGATAATAATATGATTATTAGCATAAAAGCTGCTATTTATGAACTCTTGTGTGCTAGGCATTGTACTAATGTACTTTTTGAAGATTAGTTTGATTCTCATAATGACTCAGTGAGGTATATATTAATATTACCATTTTAGAGATTAAAAACCAGTAACATACAGAATATACATAACTTGTCCATGGCTTCATAGCTAATAAATGGAAAAAGCTGGGATTTTAACTTTGAAGCCCATGTGCAATAACAATACCCTGCATTTTCCTGTTAGACTAATGCATTCTTTTCATTGTGTCACTCACCTGTTCCAGAGCATGTGAAGACTCCCATTGCCTGCATCAAGGATGAATTCCTTCATCTGATACCAAGACCTGCCATGATATTGTGCCACCATCTCTCCCCAACCTTATTTCTCATGACTCTCAATACCTACTCATTGTTCCATTCAAGCTGACTTGATCATTGTTTCCCCCTCTATTCCCAATGTTTACTCCTGCTTAATGATTTTGTCTAAATCTGAGATACCTTTTCCTCACCTCTTCAAATTCTGCGTATACTTTAAGGTCCAGTTCAGATCCCACTTCTCCATGAAGTCTTCACAAAATAGTCCAAAATGCAATGAGCTCTTGTTTATTATCTTAACTTCTCTGCCACATTAGTTTGTGTACTATACCACTTACCACTCTATGATGTACTCTTGTAACACTCTCTAGTATGAGATGATCCAAGGAAACATTTTAATTTTAGTAAAAGTTACCTTTGATAATGTTTCTTTCATCTTGTCTCCTTACCGTAATTCTCCTGCCTCCTAGGCATCAAGTAAATCTTCATGCTGTCTCCAGATTGCTAAGCCCTCACCCCTACCCAACTGCTGGTATACCCTGCCCAGACTCTTCTCAGGTTTTTCCAAGTAGAAGTGAATTGTTATTCACCCACTTCGTAATGCCCTTTATCCAGACTCAGCTAGGGAACCTATGTAAAAGTATATGTGATTGCTTGTACACCTTTCTGAGAGGCTAGATTTGAGCAGCAATTGTTTGTAAAGCCATATGTGCTTTGGTCTTTGAAATTTCAGAAAGTTGAGAGTGTGGAGTATAGCAGAGGGAAGTAAAGGATATGAAAGAGTGGGAAGGAAAATATATTGGGGCAGGTAAACCTTCCTGGCATCCATTAAAACATATCATGTAAGTCAGTCACTTCCAGTTCTGCCAAAGTATGAAGTTGGATCTCGCTGTAGTGTTTTCAGTTTTTTTCTCTGTAGCAGCAGTTCCCTGCCTCTAACCTGCAGCTACAAAGTATTGCCCTTGGTGCTTTCTGAAAAAAAGAAAAACAAAGTTTGGAAACTAAATAATTTCTCAAAAAAAATATATATATACCATTTTCAGATTCAGGTGCAGGTTTTATTTAAATACAAATATATTTAAGAGCATGACTGAATTCATAGCAACTTTTGGTCGTTGCCAATTTTCATACTCAGTGAACACCACCAGTATAATGCTATCATGGGCAGATCCACAGAATGTTGTCCTTTAGAAAGGATCTACAGGCCGTGTGTGGTGGCTCACACCTGTAATCCCAGCACTTTGGGAGGCTGAGGCGGGTGGATCACATGAGGTCAGGAGTTTGAGACCAGCCTGGCCAACATGAGGAAACCCCATTTCTACTAAAAATACAAAAATTAGTTAGGCATGGTGGTGCACAACTATAATCCCAGCTACTTGGGAGGCTGAGACAGGACTGCTTGAACCTGGGAGGCAGAGGCTTCAATGAGCCGAGATCACACTACTGTGCTCCATCCTGGGTGACAGAGCAAGACTCTGTCTCAAAATAAAATAAAATAATAAAATAAAAAGGATCTACAGTTTGAACTGTATCAGAAAATCCTTGAGGGCAAAGATTATGTCTTTCACTTTGTTCACATTCCCCAGCACATTCAACAACAGTAGTTTGATGGGTCTTTGGAGCTCTTGAATGAATGATAGAAAGAAGAAGTTGGATAAGGATTTTTTTTTTCTGTTATCAGTCCTTTCATTTTTCAAATAAGAGGATCAGATTAGGTGGTGTCCAAGTTCCTTTGTAGCTCTGGCATCCTAGGTTGATATGTACTTGACTATAATTGCAATGCTTAACTGTTTACTTTGTACTAGGGAAAGTTTGGGAGAAGGTAGTTCTTAGTACAGTTCTTAGCATCCGTGTGAACTTGGTTTATCCATTCTCAAAAGTGCTATGAATCATAGAAAATTGCTGGAAGGTTTCAGACACTTTCTGAATTTTCACTATACAACATCATTGTTTGGAGTGACAAGTTTTGCCACCTCAACAATGTGGTAAGCCATGGATTCACTTGGCAATTAGTGAGTTTTTGATTATCCATCTCTGTGGAAAATGGCCCAAACCCCTCTCTTGAACACAGATTCTTAAGAGTTGGAGGTAATACTGTGTCTATGCTCATGGAAACCAGTTAGAGGAAGGGTAGACAAATATGACTTCTGACAAGTTTGGTTTGGTTTTGCCTAGCCACATTTACACCACTTACAAGCCTAGCAAAATTGATCAGGTTTCAAGTAAGCTACCGCTCTCTGCCTAATTTTGGTACAGAAAAAGAACAACTTGCTCATCTGACCACAGACAGCAGCTCTGGCCAAGTAGCTTCTTTCTTTCTCTCTCTCTCTCTTCTTTCATAATAACCAGTTACTTCCGGTTTACAATCCAGATTCTGTCTCTCATTATCGATATGATCTTGGGCAAGTGCTTTTACTGTTTTGAGCCTCAGTTTTCTCTTCTGTAAAACTAGTCATATTGTTTAGTGGTTTAGGAATAGTGGCATATTAAAATGCCTACAGAAGTATCAGGTTTATAACATGCATTTAGTAAATGGAGATGCCACTGTTATTCCCTCCTTTTTTTCTTTTCTCCTTTCCTTTTTTCTCTTCTTGTTCCCTGTCTCTGTCGTGAGAAGAGAAATTATCTTTACCAATTTTCATGGAAAAGACTTAAGTGGCTAATGGAAGTATCAGCCTCTCAGCCTGCAACTCTTTCCCCATGTAATTTGTGATTTCAGGTTTGAAACTAGGGCACTAATTGTGGGTGCTTGGTGGCAAGTAACAGTTGGGGAAGAAATTAGTACAATGCCCATTGCTGCTTTTCAGTTGTTTTAGTGCAGGGCATCTGAACTAAGAGTTGTGTCTCATGTAGGTTGTTCCTGCAAAGTTATCTCTGAATCTTCTAGATTTACAAATCATTTGGTACCCAGCTGTTATGCTGAGTGATTCATGGTTATGGGTGCCTTGTTTCAAATGCTTGTCAGCAGTTTCTTCCCTGTGGTTGCCTTGTGATTCAGTTGTTTTCAGTATGTGTGCATCTCTTCACATTCATTTGGACTCTGCCTCCCCCAACTTCTGTCATGGAACAAATGAGTCAGTGTCTAATCGTGCTGGCTTGCCATCCAGTTACTTCAAGTTTCCTATGGTAGGTGGGCACCAGAGAAGATGGTGCTGCTGGCTCACAGAGGGGGCTGACTGTCCTGCTGCCAAACTGCTCTGAGAAGGGGGAAAAGAATGGCCACATTTCTCAGAATGAATATCAGGAAGCATTCAGTATACAGGAGGCCAAGAGAATGCACATTCTTGTTCAGTAGGTGGCAGTGTGGTCTGGCTTGAAGCAGCACAGCACATTCAGGCGTGTATTTTGCAGTGCTTTATCCCGATGTCTTTGACAGCTCCAATTTGAGATTTTATTCTGAGTATTTTAGCACCTTTTGTCAAGTGCTCTTAAAAAAAAAAAACTTCATTTTGTTAGAAACTTCTCTCTTGGTAGTGGGCGGCATGTTTGTGGCAAGTACTGTGATTTGAAGCTTTTGGGAGCTAGGTGGCTAATTACTGTTAGTTGGACATCTTGCCAGGTAGGCTGTACTTCTGTTTCCTAGCTGTGGTAAGAGGAGTTCTTTTCTAATGAATATGGTGGTTATTTCACTGACTTTATCAGTGGGGAATACTTCTTCAGCCTGTAGATCTTAATAGTTTCTCTGCTGAGGAGGGAGGCTCCTGCGAACCAGTGTGTCAACTCTGTTGGAGTTCATTCAACCTTCAGGGAATAGTACATTTGATATGGCTGAGCTTGGACTATAATAGCGCAGTGTCCTCTGAAAAGCTGAATATAGGGCAAATCCCAAACTCTATCTCTGTACCTTGCCTCCCACTGCAAAGCCCTTTTCCAGAATGGCTTATTTCTCAACACATGTAGAAATCCTTGAAAAGCTTTGCATTTCAGTAAGAAGCCTACTCTCCAGCATGAGGCCTGGGCAGGAGGAAGAAATTATGCCTAACTAGGCCACAGGCAGTGTAATCCGTGAAGATTTGCTTCCAAGCAACTGACTAGGGCAAGCGGACTACCTTAAGCAGCATTGATCTATTGGTTTTTCAAATGTGTTAGTTAGCAACTTATTGGCCAGCAATTCTGAGGACTAATTAAGTAGGTTTCAATATAGAGTTGAATGTGATTACACATTGTATACCTGTGTCAAAATGTCTCATATACCTCATAAATATATACACACACTATATACCCATAAAAATTAAGAAGAAAAAGTATAGAGTTGGAGTAGAAAAATCAAATCCAAATCATGTTTATAAACTCAAGCAAACTACCACTTTATATACATGTGCCTGAGTTTAGATATTTATAATGAAATTTGTGGTTTAAACTCAAAAAGTAAGAATGGGCTGGGCACCGTGGCGCATGCCTGTAATCCCAACTATTGGGAAGGCTGAGGTGGGAGGATCACTTGAGGCCAAGAGCTTGAGATCAGCCTGGGCAAAATAGCAAGACCCCATCTCTAAAGAAAAAATAAAAAAGGTAAGGATGATGGCTTGAACCTAAAAAGTCAACTTGATAACCTTTAGTGAGTCAGCAAGTCTTTTTGTTCTGCTTTTTATCTGTACAAGGGTAACAAAAACACAAAATTGTCTTATCTGTTCATTGTCAATAAAAAAATTACTACTATAATCAAGAAGTTTACAATTTCTTGGGATAACCCCATTCTCCTGCTGGACCATAATAATTCTTAGTGTATCTTTCTTATTTTTAGTTAAGATTTGACACCTTATAACTTCTGCTCCTAGAATCACACAGAATATTAGAATAATATCTCTTCCACATGATTAGCATTTGTACATCTCAAGACAGCACTGAAGTAATGCATTCATCTTTTTTTTGCTATTAATTCATTCATCCAGTTATTCAACAAATATTTATTGAGAACCTACTATATGTTAGGCATTAGGGTAGAAATTAAGGGTATATGGGTGATTAAAAGACACATAATCCATGAGTTCATGGATCTTGTGTCTAACTGAGTCTTTTTTTTTTTTTTCCAGGCTAAATATCTCTAGTTTCTTGAACTTTTCCACACATTGCATGGTTTGGAGTCCCCTCACAGCCTTGGTCACCTTTTCTGGACATGTTATCAATTTCTCTCTAGGAGTGTGAGTCCCAAATCACCCAAAGGAGCGATCTAACAAATGGTTAAGAGCTTTCTGGGTTCAAATAGCAGCTCTGTCTTTTACTATGTTATATTGAGCAAGGTATTTAACTTTTTTGGGCCTCCATTTTCTCATTCTTAAAATGAAAATAATAATGATATTCTCTGGGCTGTTGTGAGGATTAAACAATATAATGCACATAAAAAGCACTTCATTCAGGACTTGGCACCTAATGCTTAAAAAGGAACAAGACATCATTTTATTCATATTTGCTAAACAGCTTAAGATGGCATTATCATTTTTGGCAAATACATTCTGCTGTTATTGCCTCCAGAGGTTGCAATCACTTTAAACCTCCAAGTCATTTTCTATCTTTCAGGGAAATTACTTCTATCTTCCAGAGCTGTGCTCAGATGTCAAGCCTCTATCAACCTCTTTAAGACACGTTTTGACCAACTCTGTCTGTTTGACTGGCTTGTGTGTCATCTTCCTGAGAGATGGATGTAATTTCAGTGCCAGGATTGATGTCCTTGACTTGACTTTTTTTTATCTCTGGGTTTGCTAAGAATATGGAAATGTGCTTGTGGCCTCCCTCAGCTTTAGGATCTTTTCTGTAGAAGTACGGATTATAAATATAACACCTCAAGCAATAGGGGGAAAATGTTGCCCATTCTCTTTGTGCCTTGTTTTATTTATATTTAGGAAGCTTTTGATTAATATGCCTTTACAAGATGATTGTTGAATAAAATTAATCCCATTTCATAATATGATCATTTAATGATGGCCTGGCTGTTTTTGCCTGCTCCATCATTTTGTTTTAGGACTTTGTCTGGATTTCTATTACTGATTTCATTTTTTGGATGTAAACACAAATACATATAATTTACCCCTTCCCTCACTGCTCTCCAGGGATCTTTGACAATAATTCAGAGGGTGGGGAATCATGAGTGGGAATGAGGGTAGGGAGAGTAGAGATCAGAGCTGTGACTTGTATGCATTATGGAGATTAATATAACCCTGAGGACAGGGCTTTTTGTCAGTGTTTCTGGGCCAGAGTTAAATCAGGAACATAGGAAAATAGACCCGAGGGTGTACTAAGGATCTGAATTCTTTTCTCTTCCATTCTACTTGGTCCCTGAGAAAATCCCCAGCTACCCATGTGGCTCATATGCCGTTTAGCTCACTTTGATGTCTAAAATCACCATCATTAGAGTCATTCTTCTCTGGATAACATATTATCGGTATCCATGATCACTTACTGATTACTGTTGTTCATCAGCAGAGTTGGGGTTTCTGGTGTTAGGAAGGTCAGGAAAGACGAAAAATGTCCATGCCAAGTGGAGAAATGAGAAAGCAGTCAGAAGGCACTGGTGTGAGATAAAGCAGTACAGAAAAAGCAGCAAGTGGAAGACAGAAAAGAGATCCATAAACAAAACTGATTTAATTGCTTAGGGCCTGTCCGCTCTTAGACCTGGGCAAGAAGTGCTATTACCCTGGGCTTTATGCTTTTCTAAAAGGCCTCACTCTGGCCCTCCTTTAGCCACACTCTTCTCTATAGGGAGGGGACTTTGTGCTGCCAGTGTGTGCATCCCTAGGCCTGAGGAATACCATGCACAGGGGAGTATAGTCTAGGGTTGCCAGATGAACTATATGACACCCTGGAATTTTATTTATAGAATATGGCAACCTTAGTATAGTCAGAACTTGGATGTGTAGGCTGGAATGTCCACATGCATATGTGTGGGGCTACTCACTGTGTGGGATGGAGCCTAGGATGGAAAGAGAAGGGAGCAAGTCAGAGATCTGGAGTTACCTGTCTCTACACTGATATATTTTGGTTCAGAACTCTGGGGAATCTGAGAATTAAAAATTTGAACCTGGCATGCGAAGTTGTTTTGAAGTATATTTTTCAAGGTAGGAAGATAGAACATATTTTATTTAACTATTCCTAAATTTTGATACATATTTTTAAAATATGTAGACATCTGGTATGTGGGCCTCCGTTTATACCCTTGTCCCAGGCTCTGCAAATGCTAGTCGAGAGCCTTTAATAATGGCAACACATTGCCAGATGAGGGTACTGTGCCATGTATTTTAGAACCATAACTTTATTTAATCCTCATTATAACTCTGTGAGTTTGGCACTGTTAGTCTCTCCATTTAACAGATAAGGAAACTGAGGTTCAACAAATTGCAATGACTTTTCCAAGGTCAAAGAGTAAATGACAGAACTGAGATTGAAACTCAATCCTTGGACTGTGCGCATATAATAAGCTTTAAATCAACATCACTTGAGTCAGAATCCTGCCTCTGCTACTTGCTAACCCTTTGAATCTTGTGCGAGTTATTAATCTCTCAGTGCCTCAGTTTCTTGAACTGCAAAATGTAGATGTGTGTATGATAATAACAGTACCTACCATATATGATTACTGGGAGGATATAAAAAGATCTTGCATATTAGGCCAGGTGCGGTGGTTCCAGCCTGTAATCCCAGCACTTTGGGAGGCCGAGACGGGTGATCGCTTGAGGTCAGGAGTTCAAGACCAGCCTGGCCAACATGGCGAAACCCCGTCTCTACTAAAAATACAAAAATTAGCCAGTTGTAGTGGTGTGTGCCTGTAATCCCAGCTACCTGGGAGGCTGAGCCAGGAGAATCACTTGAACCCAGGAGGCGGAAGTTGCAGTGAGCTGAGATTGTGCCATTGCACTCCAGCCTGGGTGACAGAGCCAGACTCCGTCTAAAAAAAAAAAAAATCTTACATATTAAAGTGCTCAGTACAATGCCTGGAAAATCAAAGAGCTGAAAAATATTAGCAATTATTATTAGTAGTAGTGTTAGTAATAGTTGCAGCAGCTGCTTTAAATTGAGATATAAGTATGGTATGAGCATAGTATTATATTACTTACTTATTGTTGCATAACTAATTACCCCAAAACTTAGTGGCTTAAAACAACACACATTTATTTTCTCACTGTCTTTCTGTGGATCAAGAATCCAGGCACAGCATATCTGAATCCTTTAGCTCAGAGTTTCTAACAGGCTGTAATGAAGTCTCTACTGGGGAAAGATCTGCTTGCAATATCATGCCTGTGGCTGTTAGCAGGTCACTATTCCTTGCTGACTACTGGTTGGAGGTGTCTCAGTTCCTTGGCACACGGGCCTCTAAAGGGCAGCTCACAAGATGGCGGCTGACTTCCCTCAGACAGAGCCAATGAGAGAATGCTAACAACAATGGAAATCCCAGTCTTTTGTAACCTAATGATGACAGTGAAATACGATAATTTTTGTCATATTCTGTTCATTGGAAGCAAGTTGCTATAGGAGGGGATTGTAAAAAGGCATGGTTAGTAGGAAGCAGAGATCACTGGGATTTGTCTTTGAAAGCTGCCTGGCACAGGTAGATGGCATTATATCAGGGCTGTGTGAGGTTCCATGGGACAAACATGATGCATCTTCTCTGGGAGGCAGCTTCACTATGCAGCAAATGCAACTTTAATTCAAAATGTAGCTGCATCATGTAATAGAAACAAAATTCACGAATACTAAAAATAAACAAAAACATGAGATTATAAAAATGCCTTATATTTGTGGCTGCTGTTTTGGCTGCATTGCCTCCTTAACTTATGCCGACTTTACTTCAGTGATTCTCAGCTGAAAGGAAAAAAAAGATTCATTTTGAAAAGGTTTGTTGTGTATTCTCTCTGTTCCCCAGCAATCCTTTGTTTCTGTTTCTTTTAGAAGCTGAGATGGTCATCTTTGTTGCCTCACCTCTCTGTAAGATTTAGGGGAGGATGGGGAAATATCGTTCCCAGTGCAGTGGTCTTCAATTTTGGCTGTATGTTATAATCACCTTGGAAATTTTTGAAAAGTACTGAGATCAGAGCCTCTCCTCCAGAGATTATTTGTTCTCAACAAATAATATCTAACAAAAACTAATAGCACATGTTAACCATCTGTTTATTAGAATGATGGAGGAATTGATTTGTTTGGTGCACTTGGTGCCTTTCACCACCGAAAATAATGATAGTTAATATTTTGCATACGTATGACATAACAAGCTGTTCTAGGGGCTTTATGTGCAATACTGCTTAATCTTCACAAAAATTGTATTATCCCCATTCTACGGACAAGGAACTTGAAACCATGTTAAGTAACCTGTCCAAGGTTATAAAGCCCAAAAGAAGTAGATAATTGTAGTGAATACTTATATGATGCTTATATGGTGCTCAGTGTGTTATATTCACTTTTCCAAGCAGGATTTATAGAATTATTTAGTCTTCACAACAGCCCCATGGGAGTACTACTACTATTGCCACTAGGCAGATGTGGAAACTAAGGAACAGAGAGATTAAGTGACTTGTCTAAGATCACACAGCTAAAATGTAACAGAGCCAGTATTCAAGCTCAGGCTATCTGGCTTCAGAATATACCCCCCTAACCATACTGCATATTGCTTCTTGTGAAGTAGTCACACCCAAGTAACATGAATCGAGAGTCTAGATCCTCTGCTCTTAACTGTCATGCTATTCTGCCTGAGAACACTGAAAGCTAATATTTATTGAGTTGTTATGATGTGATGAACATGAAGGCCTTCATTTTAATTACCTTATTTAATCTTTATAATAGCTGTACAATATCAGTACTTGATACAGTCATAAGTAAGGCCTTGGAACCATGTCTGGTAGGTTTCATCTCCGCCTGCCCCAAATCATCTGCCTCCAGAAACTGAGTTTCTGACCCAGCCTCCGTTCGTTAACTATGAGACCTTGGGCAATTAACCTAGCCCCACTTCAGTTTTTTAACATTTAACATGGGAACAATAGCAACACCTTCTTTGGTTACTTCAAAATCCTACTGTGGTATTTAATCAGATTATGAATGTGAAATTACTTTACTAAATACAAAGTGCTAAACAATGTGAGGTGTGTTTGTTATGACTCCTCTCACATTCTCTGCTCTAAACAGGAACATAACTGCCATGAAGATATTCTAAGAGCAGGCATATCAAAAGCTTGAGATTTCCCCTTAGGCCATCTATGGGGGATAGCTCCTGGGAGTCTGGAGGTATATAGGGAGAAGCTAGCAATTGGCAAGGCCTTGGGAAACTTGGTACCTAAACTCTCAGGTGGGGAGAGACTAACCTGCATATTGGTTGGACAGATTAAAGTTGCAACAAGAGAAGAGATGTCAGTCTCAGTAGCTATGGAGCATAGAAACCAAACCAAAAACAAGCCACAGGTAATGATGGGATCTGTCAAGGTGGGAGAACTGAAGGAGAAAATATTGTCTAGCCCCAAGTGAGGAAATGCAAGCAAGTTGAGTTACAAATGATGTTGAGTTAGACTTTCAGAGCCACAGTGGGAAATTCAGGCAAACAGACAGGGCCTGGAGGTCTATAAGAAGAGTTATTCTAATATTTTGCATGAGAATTAAGGAAGAGGTGCTTTCTAAGACATGAAGCTAGGGATCCTGGTCACAGCTTCCAAATCTTAAGAGCATCTTGTCCTGGACATGCTAGGGAATGGGTCTGAATCTGAAAATGCCATAGTAGTTCTTACCTATGGATCTTCATGCATTCTAGTGTTCCATTGTCTGAGATGTCCTCTAGTCCTTACTCTGTCAGTATAAATTGACCATACTCCAAAATGTAGCCTAAATTCTCAGTACAGTTTGCTAATTTCCTGGATAAATTCTTCGATACTAGGAGCTGTGGTTGGGTCACCCCCTGTGGAGTACCCTTCAAATAAACCTATATTGTCTTAGAGATTGTTTGGCTGCAAATAACAGAATCTCACCCACAGATGAGATTACATAAGATAGGAAAATACATTATAATAATGCAGAACTATCTCACAATACTTAAGGACAGGGCTAGCAGCCAGCTTCATGAGGCACTGAAATTAGGATGTTAAAACCTATCTGAGACTAAAGCAGCTACTCTCTCATACATTTTTAAAATCTGGGGATGTATGGTCTTTTCTCTGCAAATAAGCTTTGCATTGCTCTTTCATAGCAGGAGAAAATGGCCATCATGGACCTACTAGGCCCTCTAGTTTATGAATGAATAGAGACTAATGAGAGTCCGAGACTAAATTCTAAATTTTGGAGAGAAGGAATCTGATCATTTCATCTTGGGTCTTGTTTTACTCCTGGGTTAATCTAGCAGTGTCCATTGAAGTATATCCTTGACCCATTGCTTACTCAACAGGATTCCATACAGTACACTCTCTAAGATGGATGGCAAAGACTACGACTAGTCATCCCCAAATTTCTACTTCTCTTATTACTTTTTTAGAAACATAAGTTTTGATTTTTACCTGGGTATTATGACCACACAGTATAAAGACTATATTTTCTTGACTTGCTTATAGTTAAATGTGGCCATATGACTAAGCTTGGTCGATGAGCTATGAGGGTACTATGTGTAATTCCTTGTTCTGCCTTTAAATGGAAGGAGAGGCTATTCTCTTCATCATTTTTTTCCTTCCCATTGGTTAAAATGTGGATGTGGCAATGGTCCATCTGGATAATGTAGGCAACTCCTATAAATACTGGAGCAGTGAGACAAAAGGGGCCCTGATCCTTGATACTATCTAGCTACCATGTCAGCCCTGGTCGGCTTATGCCTGGACTGTTACATAAGACAATTGAAAAATCTTTCATCTGGATAAGCCATTGTTATTTTGAATCTGTTTCAGTAGACAGACATAAATCCTATGGCAGATACAAACCTGGAAAGTTTCTGTAAGAAGAGGTAAGGAGACAAGAAGGAACTTATTGATGCGGGCAATTATTACCATTCATGCATAGTGTAAACTGGGCATTCCATGACTTTCAGTTTAGGTCATATGACAAATTTCATAGCCTGAAAATGAAGGACACTTATGGGTATGAAGTAGGTGTTCAATAAATACATAAATGAAAATCTAGATATACAAGAGACATGAAAGAGCACCATAGTATGGACACAAGACAGAGATTAGAGTTTTGGGATAAGATAAGTCATACTGGATATACCTAATACATTCTTTTCCTAGATATCAACGACATAAATGAAGCTTTGATAAGGAGTCATCATCTCATCCCCAGTGTCAACATGGAAATGCTGACAGGCTATAAATGCTGGCAATGCCCAATTTATGCTATGCATGAATGCCAATAATCTCCTGCATTAAGGGAAGCAGGCTATTCAAATGGTCTTAGAGGTAAAATGTAGAAGACTCAAGAAAAATATTCTCCTAGGTTCTAGGGCTGGTTCTGCCGATATTTCTTATATAAGAGATGTGAAAATGCACAAATGAAAGGGCAAAATCTTATACACTGTCTGAGATGCTTCAGTTTACTAGTATATGAAAAGGTAAAAGTAATGAAGCTGCTGTTTTTCATAAACTGAAAGAGACCTTAGAAGCCAAATTCATTTCCTACTTCATGCTCTGTGATTCTCCTAGCTTAAGTGATTATTCAGCCTCTGATTGTAAACCGGTAACTCACTGTTACTCAATGGTGACCACCACAGTTTGAACGTGTTTTCCTGTGTTGTACCAAAATTATAACTTCCACACATTGATCCTGGTTCTTCCTATTGGAGTCACCCCAAAGTGGTTCCATTCAGAATTACCACAATATGGCATAGTGTTTAAGAGCACAGGGTATGGATTCAGACTTACAGCTACTTGGTTGAAATCCTGACTCAACCTTCTGTTAGCTGGGTGACCTTGAACAAATAATTTAAGCTGAAACATACTTTTCCCATCTGCGAAATGGGTAGAATAGTATCTTCCTCAGATAGGTTGTGAGTATTTAGCATAATTTCTTATACTTGGTAAGTATTAAAAAATGGTAACTGCTATCAGTAATAGGAATACCACTAAATAATAATATAATCTATTTCTTTTTACTGGATAGCACTGCCTATATTTGGAAAGAGTTATTCTTCCCAAGCACCCTTTTGTCTCCAGGCTAGACATTTTCAGTCTTTTCAAGTTGGCTTCCTGTGACGTGGTTCTTAGACTCTTCCCCATTTTGTTTTCTCTTGTTAGTTTAATAAATGTTTCTCATTGAGGATAGATGCTACTTACGTTTTAGGCAAGAAAGGTCTGCATACATGTAGGATCCTCTTGCACATTGCAAAGTGTTTAACATCCCTGGCTCTGCCCACTGGATGTTAGTAGTTCTATCCAGTCATTGTGAGAACTCCAAATGCCCCCAACACATTTCCATATGTCCTCTTGTGGCAATACTGCCTCTACATGAGAATCAACCTAACTAAACAGAATTCCTGTGAAGCAGCACCAATATTTTTTGGATCAACTGTCTAATAAAGCCTATTTATTAGTTTTGTAATAACTGATAGTACATTTCTCTTAAAGCAGTTTTGTTTGCAGTTTTTAGGAGGCACAACACACTGTTAACTAAGTTGAATTTGTTAACAGAAACTTCTAAAACTGTTTATAGGTCAGGTCTTCCTATCTTGTACCTATATATATTTGATTTTTGGAACACAAGTGTGATATGCAAATGCGGCACTTAATTCATCTTTTGCTTCAATGTTTTATATTTTGATTCTGTCAGCTAGTGTATTTGCTAATCTTTCAAACCATTTGTCACCTGGAATTTTAACCAACAGCTTCTCTGTATCTTCATTCAAGTTAGTGATTACCAATGTTGTCCCAGATTAAGTGAAGAACAAGAGCCCTATGTGTTACTATAGACCTCCTCCCAGGCTGTCATTGAGCCATTAGTGAGCATCAATTAGTTAAGGTTGCACCTAACTATATTGCTATCCAGAAATTCTGCATTCTTGATCTTGCCCATAAAGGTATCATGAAATGCCTTTTTAAAAAAATATGTTGATAAAATCAGGAATCACTCTGGCAACATATCTCTTTTGATATACCATTTCAAAGTACTTTTCATAAAACTATCAATTATATGGTTCATCATTTTATAGATAAGTTCTATTAGCAATTAGAAATTACATTGAAATAATGAATTTGATAAGTGTTTTAGAATTTAAAAGATTTTATTACCTCTAACACTCATGAGTAATATCAAGATGTACCTTATATTATATGTTAGGTCTGTACTTGGAATCAGTCCTAGTTTTAGATGGAATCTCTGACTTCAGGATGCCTAAGAAAGGTTGTAGTCCCCCCGCCCCCGCCTTAAAAAGAAAACATTCACTAAGGCCAGAAATTCCTTCAGTAGGAGACAAAAAAACAAAACAAAACAAAACAAAACAAAACAAAACAAAACAAAACAAAACAAAACACACTTGTCATTCCACAAAGAGACGTTGGAATTCATCCACCACTGGGAAAAGAACATGGTGCAGTACTCTAATTGAAGTATTAATGACATTGCAGTTTATTTTCTGAGAGCAGATTTTGATGAAAGGAAGGGAAAGAGGATGAAGATACTAGTTCCCTGGTTAGGGGAAAGATTGATTTTAGAGGGTAGAGAAGTAAGAAGAAAAATGGTACAGAAAGGGGAGACTGGAACCATGGAAAATTTTTCTATTTGACAGTCAGGACTTGGACCCACCCTGTCTTCCAGCAAATTTCTATGGAGCCTGAAACTTCTATCCACTGAAATTACTTTTTGAAGCTTTTTCAAAATGTGCATTTTTACTGTTAGAGATGTCTGTTTCTGGGAGAGTTAACATACTATTTTTCTGATTCAGGCCTGCAATCACCTAGCAGAGAGCAGGTGTTGAAGCCAGAGGCCTTCCTGAGAAGGCAGGGATGGGCAGCAGGAGGACAGTGAATACTTGGGGGAGGTGGGAGCCCAAAACGGCTAAAGGGATTCAGTAATAGGGGTAATTGGGTTGCTGAAGACCCAGATTATCTAATTAGCAATTTTAGGGTATGTTGCCCAGGGCATGACTGTTCATATGATCAGAACCTGTACCCCTCCTTTCATTTGGACACAGATCTAGGCTTGGAAGACCACCCCCCAGGGGTAGCTCTGCTTCTCCAGTTTTCCTCTAGTTTGCATTTCTGCTTTTGCAGTCTCTTGCACAAATACTTTCTTGGCAGTTTGTTTTTTGCATACTTCTCTCTAAAGGCTGAACATTGATGAATTTGGCTGCACTTCTTGTGGCACATGCAGCATTAAAGAATCTGCTTTTATATCTTTTTTCTTCTTCTTTTTTTTTTTTTTTTTTGTTTTACGTCTTGCAGTTTGAAACAAAGTTAGTCAGCTGGCTGAGTAGCAAAGAGAGCTCTTCTATTCTTGACCAGTGCTTGAAAGGAGTATGATTTGGCCCCTGTCTCCTCAGCCTACCTCTTCCTTGCCTCAGCCTTTGGCTGTCTCAGCTGCCTAGCCGGTGGGGACTGAATTACGGACAGTGACTAAAGGAGCTACAAATGAGCCTCAAAGAGGTAAAGTTAATCATGAGCCAGGTCTGAAACCTGTCTCCTGACCCCAATCTATGGTTCTTTCTGTGGCATCATTCTGCTGAGAACATTCATGGCAATGTTTCTGATGATGCCAGCATTGTGCTTCTGTTTTTCCTGGTGGAGCTGATATCCTCAGTACTAAGATGCATGCAAAGAGATCACAGCAGAAATGATGGCAAGGGTGATTTATTTACTGGATGACCATATTCCCCCAACACTTAGATATTTTCCTCTTGTGGGCTTGTTTGATGCAAAGGAAGTCAAGTTGAATTTTATTCTCTACCACTTACTCGCATTTTTCTCTCTTTTCATCTGGTTTTGTCATAACTGCCTCATCCTATGCCTATGCACAGTTATCTTCGACTGCCCGTGGGCTGACTAATGTCCCTATATTGTTGTTCTCCTACCGCAGCAGTACCTCAAGTTTCAGTCTTTCTCTTCCCTGCATCCCAAACCGAGTCCTACATGAGTCAGCTTATCTACACATTTGTTAAAGAACCACTAGGAGTTATGGATCAATATGTTCATATTATGTGATTTTAACAATGGGCTACTGGAGGCAATAGCTTACCTGAAGGCATCTGAACTATTCAGAGTGCTTGGTAAAAATGTGTGTTGCTAGGGCCGACCACAGATTTTCTAAACTACAAACTCAGGAGGTGGGACCTGGGAATCTCAATTTTAATAAAAATTTTAAGTCATTCTGAAATATACTAACAGTTGAAAATTACTACCTTATGTTGTGTTTAGAATTAAAGCGTTTGTTGCAAGTGTGCAAACATTTAGCAGGTATCAATGGTCATTGTTAAGCTGACCGATGGAATCTTGCCTTTAAGATTACATTTCACGTGTAATTATTACCCCCTAACTTCCACCACCCACCAAATACATACAGTGGACCTGGAATCTATCTGTGAATCTGGATTTGTCTTCCCAAGATCTTGGGCTCCTGCTGTTTTATACTGGAGTTTCAAGTATAACCTGTGACCTCTGGAATAATTTTCTTCTGGAAAAATTTCTAATCTCCATGTCTAGCTACACAATATGACTTATGCTATGTTTAATAAATATTGTGTGTTCCACGTGGCAGAAAGCACTCAATTTCTCTATAACAAGGGAACCCAACACTTTCCTCTGTGATGTAAAAGCAGCTATGACTTGAAAGAAGAGAGGAAGATTGCTAGGTAAATTGGGAAGTCCTCAAAAGATGACTGTATTCTATTTCCCATCTTATAGTCTTGTTCTCCTAAGAAAATAAGAATATATTATAAAGATGTTTGCCCTTGGGATCCAATGTAATCTTTTCACATGGGCAGATGTTTTAAAACTCAGATATCTGGATTCACTGAAGAGATACATGGTAAATAAAAATATGACTCAAATGCAACCTTGCAGCCAGGGGGAGCTATTTCTGACAGCTCTCAGAATTGGTGGAATAACTTATCTTTTGAATATCATGTTTATGCAGTATATAGATCATCTCTGGCTACAAAGAAGACAGGCTCAGCTATGCAAGGAATCTCTGCTCTTGATATAAACTGGAGAGCTGTTTGGTGGCCATGCTGCCAACGGTGATCAGTAACACTAAAGTCATACTTTTGGTCTATTATTCCACATTGTTTTCAAGCTAGGGGAATGCTTTTTACCCTTCCACCTATTTCCTATCAAATAAAATGATTGGATTTGAATTTGTGAAGAATATTTATCTAAATCCCTTGTTTTTAGTTAGGACCCTCACAACTCTCTACTGGGAAGCTTTACTGGGATGCTAGATGTACTCACACCATAATACTGATTTTTGACCAAGGGGGTAAAACTGGTGATCACCCTGACTGAAGTAGGAAATGAGGCAGTTGTATTACTTATCAAAGCTCAAGTGGAGACACTGACCCATTTTTAACTACATCTGTGCTTTGACAAGTTTATTCACCTACCTATACACAGAAAATCTTCATTCAAAGCTTAAAAATTTAGCATTAAAAATCAAGTTAAAATGTTTTATTTATTTAACCCATTGAGTTTAAAAAGCATAAATTCTCAAAAGATAAAGTTAATTTTTATAAACACCTGACAGCTATCATCTTTATTTACTAGTTTTTCAGAGGTGAATGGGGGCAGGTAAAGTAAATAATGACTCCGGATTTTTTTTTTCTGTGACTCTTGCAAGCCAGAGAAATAGAAAGGCATTAATAATCTGCAAGATTTTCCCTTTACCACTAGTTATAGGTAAGGAGCCATGCCTATCCTCTCACTATAATGCAAAAGCATTCTTATGCCTGTTATAAGTAGACAGTCTCATTTGAGATTTTAGGAAGACTAATTCTGTTTTCCATAAGACTAATGAAGTTATAAGTTATTTATGCAGTTTTATACTCATCACATTTGTGCGCTAAAGTGCTAACAACTTTCTTCACCATCATCTTCTTAGAGTGTTTAATTTGTTCATATTTGAGGAACAGCCCATCCCAATCTCATGTGATCCTGCCCTCCTTGCTGTGGCTGATGACATTTAGATGGACCTTAGATTCTCCAGAAACTGTTCAATTGGGATTACAAAGACTGGGTCAGTTAGACTGCTGAGTCATGAACATGGAGAAGTTGGTTAGCAAGAAATGAATAAGGCAGATATATAGAGAAATGGAGATGAGAGACCACATGGTCCATAGAGAGAGAGAGAGAGGCAGAGTAGCTATCTTTTGACTTTGTAGTTTCTGTGAGGTCCATCTATACTTCTGGCAATGGGATTCTATGAGAATGTCCTGCATTTGTAAAATAAATCCTTTTTCCTAAAACAAATTTATTTTCAGTGGGTTTTTGGTCACTGTAACCTATAATCCCAAGTAGGAATAATTTGAACTTGGTACACAAAATTTTTATTTTTCAAAGTCTTTCATATCTATTATCTCCCTTGTTCCCTATTCCAATCTCATATCAGAAATAGGGCAGAAATGATAATTGCCTTGAAAGCCAAAGAAACTGAGGCCTCAAATAGAAAATGTACTTGCTTTAAGTCAAACAGCAAGGTAGAGGGCAGAGCCAGGCCTGAAATACATGGCTTCTGGCTCCCATGCCTAGAACTTGGCATTTACTAGGCATGCAACAATTATTTGTGGGATGGTAAATCTAAATAGGGATGGGGGATTCCATTTAGAAAAATGAAAAGTAGCTGATCTTAACAGACATTAATATTCTGAAAGAACCCAACAAAAGAAAGCCACAGGAGACACTAGCAATTCTCCCCATTTTAACCTCTTCACTTAAGAAAAGGCAATGTATGGACAGATTCACAGCCAAATTATACCAGACATTCAAAAAAGAATTGGTACCAACCCTACTGAAACTATTTCAAAAGACTTAGAAGGAGGGAATCCTCCCTAACTCATTCTACGAAGCCAGTTTCACCCTGATAGCACAGCCAGGAAAGAACATAACAGAAAAAGAAAACTACAGACCAATATCCTTGATGCTTACATCCAAAAATCCTCAACAAAATACTAGCAACCCAAATCCAACAGCACATCCAAAAGATAATTCACCATGATAAAGTGGGATTGATACCAGGGATGCTGGGATGGTTCAACATACACAAGTCAATAAATGTGATTCATCATGTAAACAGCCCCAAGACTGGGTATCTACCCAAAGAGAAAGAAGTCATTACATGAAAAAGACACTTACACTTACACACACGTTTATGACAGCAGAATTCACAATTACAAAAATATGGAACCAACCTAAATACCCATCAACCAATGAGTGGGTAAAGAAAATGTGGTATACATATACCGTGGAATATTACTCTGCCATAAAAAAGAATGAAATAATGTCTTTTTCAGCAACTTGGATGGAACTGTAGGCCGTTATTCTAAGTGAAGTAACTCAGCAATGGAAAATCAAATACCGCATGTTCTCACTTACAAGTGAGACCTAAGCTATGGGTACACAAAGGCATACAGAGTGGTATAATAGACATTGGAGACTCATAAGTGGGGGAGAGGAGGAGGAGGGTGAGGGATAAAAAACTACATATTAGGTACAATTTACACTACCAAGGTGATGAGTACACTAAAATCTCAGACTTAACCACTATATAATTCATCCTTATAACCAAAAACAACTTGTACCACAAAACTATTGAAATAAAATTAAAAAATTAAAAAATTAAAAAGAAGGCAATGTATTTGAAATGTCTTCCCTTGTCTCCCTCTACAACAGACTGCAAATCAGATCTTGCCTCTGAAGATGTTGACTGGGTCTTACCTCTCTGCAACTGTTGCTAGTGGAGGTACAGTTTGGCTCAGTTTGGTGATTTCTACTTGACCATTAGGAAAAAAAAAGTAGTCCCTGTGGTGAAACTTTTGAGTGCCAACTGAACTAGAAATAACTTTTCTTGGAAGATCATCTTTTGGTACTGAAGTGCTGACAGGACCTAGCATCTAATGGAATATTTAGAGCTGCAAATAGAGGTATCTCTCTAACTTTAACTGTTAAGCGGTTGCAACCTCTTCAGGCTACGTCTGATAGAGTATGGTTTGGAAGTATTTCATATGTCTCAGTGGTGGTGTCCTATTTTCTAAATAATGACTTATTTGTATTTTGAAAAACAAATAATGAAAGTTATGTGTGTGTGTGAATGTATGTATGTGTGGGCGGGAGGGGGGGGCCTGAAGGAATGTTTCCAGTGCTATTTTATGATACATTAATAGGTGTTAGACCAGAAAATACACTCTGTCTTAAGATAATGCAGGTTTTACTCAGTATTTCACATGGACTTTGAAGATTTGTGTTCCCATTTAAATAAAAGAAACCCAATCAGTGCATGGCACATAAGGTGGCTGTTCTTTTTGTTTGTTTGGTTGGTTTTGTTGTTGTTGTTGTTTTTCGAGACAGAGCCCCTTTCTGTTGCCCAGGCTGGAGTGCAGTGGCGTGGTCTCAGCTCACTGCAACCTCCAACTCCTGGGTTCAAGCTATTCTCTTGCCTTAGCCTCCTGAGCAGCTGGGATTACAGGCGCCTGCCTCCACGCCCGGCTAATTTTTTTTGTATTTTTAGTAGAGATGGGGTTTTGCCATGTTGGCCAGGCTAGTCTCAAACTCCTGACCTCAGGTGATCCACCCGCCTTGGCCTCCCAAAGTGCTGGGATTACAGACGTGAGCCACCACACCCGGTCAGGTTGCTGTTCTATACTTTGTATTTATAAGGAAAGTAGAATTAAACAGTGATGCTGAGGAAAGAACCATTTAGACACATGGTCCAGTGAGAAAATCTGGATAAGGAAACAGAGGTTGTTAAAAAGCTTGTTTAAATTAAAGGCTCTGGGAATGGCCTGAGGAGTTTCTCAATGTCCGTGATATAGTTTGGCTCAGTGTTCCCACCCAAATTGCATCTCAAATTGTAATCCCCACATGTCAAGGGAGGGAACTGTAATCCCCACATGTCGAGGGAGAGAGGTGATTAAATTATGGGGGAGGCTCCCCCCGTGGTGTTCTCGTGACAGTGAGTTCTCACAGATCTGATGGTTTTGTAAGGGGCTCTTCCCACTTCACTCACTCTTGCTCTCTCACTCCTGCTGCCTTGTGAAGAATGTGCCTGCTTCCCCTTCTGCTATGATTTTAAGTTTCCTGAGGCCTCCCCAGCCATGTGGAACTGTGAGTCAATTAAACCACTTTTCTTTATAAATTACCCAGTCTTGGGTGATAACTTTATAGCAGTGTGAGAACGAACTAATGCAGTCCCAGTGTCAAGGCCCCACATTGACTGATTATATCAGAATCTCTGAGTTCAAAGCTCAGGCATCAGTCATGTGTAAAACTTTCTGGGTGATTTCAGTGTGCAGCCACTTTTGAGAACCAATGCCCTGAAATCTGACACGATGCTGAGTCCGTAGTACATACTCACTTAAGACATGTATGTATGGTAAATGCACCTGATAGAAATAATTTAAGTATGCCCTGAGAACGACCTTGTATGGCAGACACACCTAAATGTGTGCTCAGAGTGAGGGAATCTGGGAGTAGCCAACCTGGAGATTTGTTCTTTTTCTATGAGGAACATCTTGAACCCCAGTCCATCCTGTGGATTAGGGGCCATGCTGGGAATGGAGGCCCCGAAGTTTTGGGTTGAATGAAGGTTGCCAGGTGAAGGTTGTTAGGGAAAGGGTGTTGAGTGAAAATGCTATATAAACTGCATGCTTTTTGCAAGCTGCTGCAGTTTTCTCGTCCAACCCACTGCCATTGGACCGTATGTAAGGCAGTTCTTCTGTCCAGCTCGCCACCACTGGACTCTCTCCCCTGTATGTAAGCTCCCGGTAAAACTCCATGTTTGCTTTGCTGGCTCTGGGTCTCTTCTTCAGCCATTTGAACCTGTTCCTTGGCTATTTGAGTTGATAGGAGTTTGGCAAAACAACATTAGTCATGTGGTTGATATTACATTAATTAATTTCCATAGAGCTTTACATTTACTTAGCAAGGGGAGACTCTAATCCTCCTCTGGAAAATCAAAGCTGTCAGTTTTGTGCTTGAAAAGAGGAAATTATTTTACTAATAAATATTCTTACTTTTTGAAGAAAATCATAAGTACAGCAGGAGCTTTGGAGACCAAAGGACTATTGAAGTTTTTTCTAGTAAACTCATTGCAAATGTCTTTATCAGTCAATTTGATTGATTACAGCATGCACACATTGAAGTGCACTTCAGACAGCCAGTTTGTCTGAAGCCTTGCTGTTAAATCTCTTATGAAGTAATTTAAGATTTAAACCTCAGAGAATTCCGAACTGCTCTTTGAAGGCAGCACGCTCTTGTAAATATACCGTCACTGCACACTATTAGAGAAATCAGATGGGTATTCAGTTCTGGCATTTAACAATAACAACAAAGGTAGGATGTTTGGAAAGGTTGCTTTTTCCTTTTCTCCAAACTTGTCCTTTAATAGAAAAGATGACATTCAAGCCACAGAAGAGCATGGGTTGTTTGGGCGTAGGGCATTGAGAGAATGTGAGGTTGAAGGATTAGGATCCCAGGAGTGCAAGATTCCTGAGTTTAATCCAAACCTTCTTTGATCAGGTGTTTTTGTTTGTTTGTTTCTTTTTTGTTTTTTACCTTGGCTAAGCAACATTGTTTGACTGTCCCCTTTTCCAGCTGTATCCAGTGGAGTGCAGGCACAACACCAACACCCTTCCACCTTACAAGCATGGGAAGTGTGTTGCTGTGATCCTGAATTTTAGTCCATACTTTCCATAGCTTTGAGAAATTGGTTCTGAATAGATTCTACTTTTCTTTCCAATAGTGTCTTGATTCAGCTCTTAGATGGAAACTACCTTCCCTGTTTCTTATCCTGGATTATTATCCCTCTACCAACTATATGATCAAACTAAAAACTATAAAACCTGGACATCATCTTGGCCATCTGCCTGTCACTCACTTCTTACCCCCTCCAATCAATCCTCAATCCCTACAATTTTTATAGATCAATGATTCTCAAATTTAACATGAACCAGAATCATCAGGGCATCTTGTTAAAGCACAGGCTGCTGGGCCTTACCTCCAGAGTTTCTGAAACAGTAGGTCCAATGTGGAGGCTGAGCATTTGCATTTTGAACAAGTTCCCAGATGAAGCCGGTAATCTGGGGACTACATTGAGAATCTCTGCTCTAGTGCAGTGAGTGTCAACCTCAGCTGTACGTTAGAATCACCTGGAAAGTTATTGGTAATTACTGATACAAGTCCAGTTTTCCAAGGCTTCTGATGTATTTGGTGTGAGTAGGACCCAAGCACAGTTGTGATATTTTTTTCAAAGCTCTAATAGGTGGTCAGGGTTGAGAGTGATTGCTGTACATTTTTGTCTCCAAAATTCCTTTTGATTTCTTTGTCCTCTTTTATGCCTGTAACCTTCAAATATTTTCCCATTGCCTGCAGAATATATTTCATACTCCTTAGCATGACTTACCAGGTTCTTTATAATCTCACTACAATAGTCTCCCTTATCTACAAGGGATACATTTCAAGACCCCCCCAATGGATGCCTGAAACCATAGATAATATCAAACTTCATATAAACTGTTTTTTCCTATGTATACATAGCTTTGATAAAGTTTAATTTATAAGTTAGGCATAGTAAGAGGTTAACAACAACTAATAATTAAATAGAACAATTATAATAATAAACTGTAATAAAAGCTATGTGAATATGGTCTTTCTATATAATATCTGAAAATATCTTACTGTACTGTACTCACCTATTCTCAGACCGTGGTTGACTACAGGTAACTAAAACCACAGAAAGTGAAGGTGAAGATTGAGGGGACCATTGTGTATTCATTTATTTTTTCAAAAAATTTATTGATGGTGATGGTTGTACAACAATGAGAATCTACTTAATTTCATTGAACTTCTCACTTAAAAATGGTTAAAATGGTAAATTTTATGTTATGAACATTTTACCACAATAATAAAAAAATATTGACACCTTCTGTGTGTCAGGTACTTTCCAAAATCATTAACTGTCTTGCTTTTGCCTGAGCATGCCAGCCTTTCTCATATTCAGTCCCTGCTTTCTGGAATGTCCTCCTCTCCCCTGACTAGCAAACCCCCCTATTACATTAAAGATCCAGTAAATGTTTCCTCCTACATAAAGCATTTTCTAATTGCTAGGTATAGAGGAACTTATCACATTAAGATTGTAATTGAGAATGTATTTATTTACCTCCACTAAATTGTATTTTCCTTGAAAAGGGGACGGCTTTGTGTCCCCCTTACTTTTTTTTTTTGTTTCTATCTGATTCCCACCTTGGAGTAGATGAGGTAGGCAGACTTGACTGGGTGCTGGTGTTGGAGTGTGGATTATGAGGGGCCTATGCTGGAGCAGGCACCAGGGCACAGTGAATATTTAAGAATTGGTTTAAACCATAGCCTGTAGGGGAAAGCTAGGGTTTAAAAATCAGGGGGACAATGTGTAAATGGCAAGCAAGCCACAAGGGACAAATGGTAAAGAATTCAGAGTTGGCTGAAGATGTGTTCTAAAATCTTTCTCCTACTGACCTGACCCAAATAGCCCAAATCCCCATCATTAGAGATCCTTTTCTTGTGCTCATGCCATAGTCCCTACTGGAAATAAACCCCTACGAAAGAAACCAATGATCACAGAATGTGTACCACATTGACTTTCCTTTGACAACTCAGCACAAATGAGTTACTAAGATGTTCAGGCTATCACTTTGAAAAGCAATGAATAAGAGCCTAAGTGATGTTTTTGTGAAAGAAGGGGACGG
Source organism: Homo sapiens (assembly GCF_000001405.40). NCBI lineage: Eukaryota > Metazoa > Chordata > Mammalia > Primates > Hominidae > Homo > Homo sapiens. The sequence goes on from NC_000023.11 coordinate 121,330,216, forward strand.
ATTTTCTGTGAGCCTTCTAGTATGGGGTCTGGGTAGCTAGGTAGCAGGAAACTAGTGGACTCCTGGGATAGTGGCTGTCAGAGAGAGTAGAGATACACCTTACCTTTATTCAGGTCCTATTCTGAGCTGAGTCTGCTTCCAAAGGAAACATGGTCCAATCTCTGATCCTTAGAAATTTGATAGCTATGGGCATAAAATGTAGAATTTTTTTTTTTTTTTTTGAGACGGAGTCTCGCACCATCACCTGGGCTGGAGTGCAGTGGTGTGATCTCAGCTCACTGCAACCTCTGCCTCCCAGGTTCAAGTGATTCACCTGCCTGTGCCTTCCGAGTAGCTGGGATTACAGGCGCCCACGACCACGCCCAGCTAATTTTTTGTATTTTTAGTAGAGACGGGGTTTCACCATGTTGGCCAGGCTGGTCTTGAACTCCTGACTTCGTGATTCGCCCGCCTCGGCCTCCCAAAGTGCTGGGATTACAGGCGTGAGCCACCACGCCTGGCCAAAATGTAGGTATTTTAAAGAAAATGAAGGCCATAGAAAAGATTGAATCTGAATGTTTTCTCTTAGAAGCAAAAGTTAGAAGAGGAGGAGAAGGAAGATTGAGATAGATTTGGTGCTTTAGTATATAGTTAGTAAGCGAGGTAAGGCGGGAGGCTGCATGCATTTCCCCCCAGCTGACCCTTCTCTTGCGTGGCCTGAGAGCCTAATTTTTCACTTGCTAGTCTGCTTTTACATAGTAGGTTCCTTGCCATTATTCTTCCTGGCTTGATTTACTATTGGTATCACTTTTAGCAATTGCAGGTGTCTGTGGGACAAGGAGATACTTCTGTGACTTGCTGCAAGTTTAGATGCTCCTTTGTCTCCTGCTACATGGACACTTTTAAGTTTCTCTGGAACCAGACTGTTTAAATTCTTGCTCAATGAGTGGCTCAATATGTGTGTATTTGAATCTAATCTATACTTGGAATGTACTCAGATGCTATGGTTTGTGTGTGGCAGGGGACATTGTGTGTTTATATCTTTCTGGACATTTAAATAATCTAATAACCAAATCTGCAAGTCCTGCTTACAGTACTCAGTAGGAAATTCACATGCATGTCAAATCACTTTGGAAACTGTAAACCGCTTTATAAGTTGAAAGGCTACTAACAGGCAGCTAAACACATTAGATAACCCCTGAAAATTCTTCATTAGCAGATTGAGCCTGCTGGGCCAGGTGCAAATACAAATTTCTTATTATCTTTACTCACTGGAGGAGAACATTGGAACAGTTATTCCAAGAGCGGTAGATAATCTAGGCATCCTTGATATTTGTGCTAGAGGTGTATCATATTGCAAGTAAACTTTTGTGTTTTATTGAGTCCAGTAGAAATACCAGTTGTCTGTCAATGAGCACAACTACGTAGGTATGGATAATTGATAGCCTAGGAATTAAGCACTTTTTTGACTAATGCACAAAGTGGTTAATTCTCATGAAAATACAGATTTTTGAGACTTGAGATTATTCCATGTGACACCTGATTCTATATTGCCTTATAATGTTCTCCATTTATTTCAAAGATATTTGGCTTATTACTCTAACTAGATTATATTACTTAAAAACAAATCTTGGCTAGGCACGGTGGCTCGCGCCTGTAATCCCAGCACTTTGGGAGGCCGAAGCAGGTGGATCACCTGAGATCAGGAGTTCGAGACCAGCCTGACCAATATGGTGAAACCCTCTCTCTACTAAAAGTACAAAAATTAGCTGGGCATGGGGGCATGTGCCTGTAGTCCCAGCTACTTGGGAGGCTGAGACAGGAGAATCACTTGAATCTAGGAGGCAGAGGTTGCGGTGAGCCGAGATGGCACCACTGCACTCCAGCCTGGGTGATGGAGAGAGACTCCGTCTCAACAACAACAACAACAAAAAATTATGAAATGAAACTCATTTATTGAAAAAATTCCATGGGATGATTATTTTTCTAGGCTCTTTCATGTATATCATTAAATCCTCACAGCATTCATGCGAAATGGAATTTTTATCTCTATTTTTATAGTTGAAGTGCTGAGAGCTTAAGTGAACTTGTGCGAGGTCACACTACCACTCAATGATGAGTGGGGATTCAAAGCCAGATATTTCCATCACAAGTCACTGATTTTTCATTTTTGGTGCATGCTATTCTCTTTTATCTGACTCTATGATTTCTCTAAATGGGAAAATATGTACATTCTTCACACACCTTAGCTGATGGAGAAGTGACCCAGAATCTCTTTGTTTGTCAGCAGTGTTAGAAAGGAATCACAATTCTTTAACTGCAAGCAAGAGGAGTCCGAACACTATTTGAAAATTTTCTGTTAGGTTGATGCAAAAGTAATTGTGGTTTTTACCATTGAAAGTAATAGCAAAAACCACAATTACTTTTGCACCAACCTAATAATATAGAAACGTGGAAATTCTCATGGTACTTTCACTGTCGCGTGATGTACACCTGAGGAGATTTTGGGAAGAACGCTTTGAATCTCTCACCACATCTGTGAATTTCAAAGTGTATGTGGAAAATGGTAAGATTGTCTAGGGAGCAGAAAGGCAGGTATTTCTCCATGAGCACTAAGCTGTCTTATCCATTTTTCAGTCACTCATTTTCTAAAAATGAATCTGACATTTTTTTCTTTTTACAGGATGGAATGAGAACTCATTTAGGTTAAATTTTCAGCTATAAAATCCACTTTTAATCTGTCACTTGATTACTCGTATCTCAGCCAAGAGAGAAAGGTCTCAAAAACAAAAATGATATTCCAGTATGTATTAATCAATTGGATGGAACTACTTTATGCCTTGAATGCAAAATTTTAAAATGTATCATTTAAGGATCAATACAGTTTCTAAGTAACTAAAGCTAAATCAGTACCAGCTCGGCACTTCACTTTGGTAACAGATCATTAGATTCTAGTGTTTCTGAACCCGTAACTACAAATACATACTGCCCAGAAACAGTTTTCAGAGGAAAATTGTTCCCATTTGCCTTTTTAGATGTTGATTTATTTGTGCATTCCATGTATAGTCTAACCTTTTTATAATGTTACTGTAGAGGTAAGGCAAATTCTCTTAGAAGAACTGTATTAGACTTATTTTGTGGGGTTTCTAAGTCTCAAAGGGCTTAATTTGACCTATGTATGTCCAAAATCATGTAATAACAAGTTCAGCTGTATTGTGTATTATTGATTTCTGCTTACTCACTGTAGTTTTATTGCACAGTGGGCTTAGGGAATTAATGAGTTTTATGTTAAATGCTTAAGGACAAAACGATAAATTTCAATTCTGCATTTCAGAATTGAAGAAAACCCCAAGTGTATATGGTTTAACCTCTTATGTGAGGGTTTGAATTAGTTCCTTTTACGGAATTCCTGGCAAGGCCATTCAATCTTAGATTGGATTAAATAAATCATAGAATTTAGAGGGAAGGAGGTTGAATTGGTCAGATTCCTTGCAGGAGACAGATAAGACTCTGAGGACAAATTTGAGGAGAGTTTAATAAAGGGGCTATATACAAAGGTATGGGGAGGGATTTGGGATACTAAGAAGAGATAGTGATCCACTCTCAATAATATGGAACTATTATCTTTTTTAAGCCTGAAGAGCAAAGAGAGAAGCAGTTTCTGGAACTCCAAGAGTTCCTGATAGGAACTGTGGCTTTTGGTAGAAAAACACAACTACAGCCAACCTGAGATCCAGCAGGAGTGAGTACCAGGGGAATAAAATCTCTGCTTCCACATCCTCATTTTCCTCCTCCATTAACTCTCCAGTTATTTCCGCAGTCCAAAACTAACTAAAATCCACAGGACAAGAGAGCCTAGTTAATGTGGTACATAAAGGAGTTCAGACTTGTTGGTAAAGGGCAGAGTAAAGAGTAGTTTGGAAGAGAAGATATTCAACCGAAAGGTGGCAGTCTCTCTTTACCTTATCAGAGCATGTCTAGCTAGTGTAGTAATTAATTCTCAACAAAAAAGGGCCACAGCGAAGCAAATGTTTTCAAATAAAGCAAACCAATATAATGAGAAAACTCAAAGGCATTCCATATGAAAAAGTTTAGAGGAAGTATCACTGTTAATGCTGGTAAAGAAAAGATTTGAGGATCAATATAACATGGTGGTAGAAGGTATAGACTCTGAAGTGAGCTCTGAACTTCCTAGCTGTGTTGCCTGAGTTCTCTCATTTGTAAAGTTGTGGTTGACTCTTGTATCTACTTTGCAGGGTTGTTATGAGGATTAAATTACTCGTTATGCAAAATACTTAAAAAAGTGCTTGGTACATAGTAAATGCTATATATGTTAGTTAAACAATTGGGGAGAGTCATGGTAGAGAAATTTGAGTTGGTCTATATGTCCTGAAACAGTTGAATCAAGCCCACTGAATGAAAACGCTAAGACAGATTTTCATTCAGTGTAAAGATAAATTGTCTCATAGATGTACTAATAGTGATATATAGTAGTGAGTTCCCCATCTTAGAGGTGTTCAAACTGAGACTAAATGGCAAATCATGTCCTGCGGAGATTCAAGCTTGAGAGATTGGATTTAGAAGACCTTTAGAATTCATTTCAATCCTGGCATAGGTCTGATTCTTCAGAAAAATTCATGTGTGTTGCATTGTATATATAACCTTGTTAGCTCAGCCTCTGTCTTAAAGAACCAACAACTGCCATGTGGGCTATAGTTGGCCCAGATGTGATTCTTGACCTTTAGGTAGCATATGAAAAAGCAGATTCAGGCCGGGTGCGGTGGCTCTCATCTGTAATCCCAGTGCTTTGGGAGGCTGAGGCGGGTGGATCACAAGGTCAAGAGATGGAGACCATCCTGGTCAACATGGTGAAACCCTGTCTTTACTAAAAATACAAAAATTAGCTAGGCGTGGTTGCATGCGCCTGTAGTCCCAGCTACTCGGGAGGCTGAGGCAGGAGAATCACTTGAACCCGGGAGGTGGAGGTTGCAGTGAGCTGAGATCGCACCACCGCACTCCAGCCTGGCGACAGAGCGAGACTCCGTTTCAAAAAGAAGACAAAGCAGATTCCGAAATTACTTTGTGATTATATTATGTTCCCCATCCTCCATCATCTTGCAATAATCTCTCCCTCCATTTCCATTTTCACCAATAAAAATAAATGGACTAGGTGTCATAGTTTTCTGTTTAAGAGTGTAGCCTCTATAGTTATACCATTTAGATTTCAGATTTAGTCTCAGCTGCCTACTAGATATGTTTTTGAACAGATTGTTTAACCTTTTACAGCATCAGTTTTTGCCACTGTAAAATCAGGATAATAATAATCGTTACTTTACAGGCTCATGAAAAGGTTAAGTGAGATATTATAGGCAAAGTTCCTGGCATATAGTAAACTTTGAATAAATATTAGCACTTGTTACAATAATATCTCATGCAAAATGTTCTTGTTATTATAAAACTATTTCTTGAGATGCCTGATTAACCTTGGGTGTTGCAGGTTTTCACATTTCCCTTGACAGGAGCCTACAGTCTCCAGTTAATTCTGGAGGGTTTCTGCAGGAATTGTAAAGTTTCTGGGCAAAAGAAAAAAAAGGTAATTGGTCTTTCAATAAGAGACACCTTCCACCTTCCTCCTTCCTCTGAGGCCATCCCCATCCCAAAGCAAGTCATAAAGAATGGTGTGCAGCAGAAAAGCAGTCCTCTAGCTATATGGAGGAGACCACACCAACAAAGAAATTCTCCTTTATCTCAGAAACCAAGCATAAAGCCTATATTTGGATTTTCATATGAATAAATCTTCAGAAGTTAGAATAGCCAGCTGTGAAAGGCCTGGCTGCTCCTTGATCTGTAGAACAAGAGCTTATGATAAAGAATAATAAAAGAGAGAAAAATACCACCTTCCTAGGCTTTGTCTATATAATGAAAGGAGTTTTCAAACTTCCTTTAGCTGTAAATAATTTCAATTAGCATTTTTGATGGGAATGAATGTAAATACCAATTCTGCTGTATGCTAGAACCAGTTGATTAGCCATTCTATGACGTGCTACAGGCTTCTATTTGGGGACAGAGGAAAACAGGCACTCTTGTTTGGCATTCTGTCCTTGTCTCTTCCAGAGGCATTGAGTCCAATCTTCCCTTTTCTCTTATTCATCTAACCACCCCAAATGCAAATTGATTTCTTAAGGGTGGCATCTCAATGCGAAAATGACAAGAAAGGAAACTTAAGGGTAGGGTGAAAGACTCATCCCAGTTTGCTTATTCCAGTTGTAGCACTGAAAGCCCTGTGTCCTGGGAACTCCCTCAGTCTGGGACAAACCAGGATAGTTGGTCACTCTAACTGGGCCCATAGGAAACATTATTCATGAAATCATGGATTAAAACCTCTGTGAAAAACCTTGTCAGGCTGAAGGGTAGTGTTTGCATATCAATAGGTCACCTAGCTAGACTAGTGAAACAAAGTTATCTTTGACCTGAGAATCGGTAAATAAAATGAAACACAAATAAGAGGAGAAACAATATTGATGAAGAGGAGCAGAAAGAAGAGGAAGAAGGGTAATTACAATTGGCATTTATGTAATGCTTTCTATATGCTAATGGTCATATTATTTTATATAAAGTAATATATAAGTTACTTCAATCCGCTATTATCCTCATTTCATAAATGAGAAAACTGAAGTTCAGTGAAGTTCTGTGACTTTCAAAGTCAAGTGGAGCCAGAATTTAAATCCATACCTTTTTGACTCTGAAGTACATACTCTTAACCATATAATAATGCCTTGTTTATTGAGAACCTCCTATATTCCAGGCATTGTGCCAGGCCTTTTGGATACAGCAGTGAGCCAAACACACATGATCCTGATCCCTACCCTCGTGGAGCGTCAGTCCATGTAAGAGTGACCCATATAAAAATTAGATAATTGTTTTTGAAATCATTACAGTTGCATGAATGTCACTGCTAAGTTACCAATTTGAACCAGAATTCCAGAGAGGGTCTATTATTTCTTGATGTACTATGTCTAAGCAATTATAGGAAGTGGCTAAACCAGTTTTTGACTCATCTCAGAAGGATGAGGCCCTTGTTTTAGGAAGCTAAATTAAGTATGCCAACATGAGCAGCTGCTCATGAGGTAAGAAAGTGAAGGTGATTGTTCTCTGTCAGTTTTCCATTATGCATCAAACAAAAAGAACATGATTGAAAAACATTTATTCATGGCGTCTCTTTAGAACCAAAAGGTAGATATTTATTAACATACATCTTCTACTAGTTGCAAGGTTTTTTTTTTTTTTTTTTTTTTCCTGTCAGTAACCGTCAAAGTAAAGATCTACTTATATTTAGAGCAGTTATGGTGGGGGTTTATACCTCCTCAAATCTTAGCCTTACCCTGAAAATTAGTGTGACCTGTTAAGTCCTGCTATGATCTATTTCTTATACTACAGGACAAATGGCAAAGTCATAATATATATTACTTGTTGTCGGGAGCTATGAATATGTGGGAGTAGGGGATACATGGAAATGTCTGTACCTTCCATTTGACTTTGCTGTGAACCTAAAACTGCTATAAAAATTTATTTAAAAGTATATAACATGTACTTTTAGTATCTGCTTGGTCCATACCTAGATCAGAGGTTGACAACTATGGCCTGGAGGCCAAATTCTGCCTGCTGCCTAGTTTTGTACAGCCTGTGAGCCCAAAATGATTTTTACATATTTAAATGGTTGAAACAAAAATCAAATGAAGAATATTTTTGGCATGTGAAAATTACATAAAATTCAAATTTAAGTGTCTATAAATAAAGTCTTGTTGGAACGCAGCCATGCTCATTCCTTTATATATACTGTCTATGGCTGCTTTCCTGCTACAGTGGCAGAACCGAGTAGTTACTACAGAGACTGTATGGGTCACAAAGCCTAAACATTTACTATTTGATCCTTTATGGAAAAAAATACTCTAACCTCTGGCCTAGAGGAAGGGGCTATTCCTGTGTATAGAAAGCATACATGATAAAGCCCACAATTATGAGAAAAGTCAGTCATAATCATCAATGTTATATTTTGGAGAAAACAACAATAACAGCAAACATAAATTGATCCAGTAAATGCAAGTCAGTTAAAATCTACAAAAATTAAGAAAAAAACTTACATTATATCTCTAATCATAATCTTTATAGTATTTTTAAACTTCTATTTATAGTGGCTATGACCAATAGCCATTGATCACTGATAACAAGACCCCACAAAAACATACATAAAAATTCGTATTTTAGCTGACATTTATATATAATAAATAAATATACAATGTATATATTTTACATATCTCTGTTTATTTGAGTTTTCATTCAGGCTTCACTACTACTAAGATTAACCCTGGAGAAACACAGAGTCAAATGAACAGTAAAGATGTGATTTATTTTTTGCTATCCCTTTCTCAGAGCTTCTCTGTAATACTTCTGACTTAAAACTGTGTCTCTAATTTTTTTCTCCAAAGTAAAGAGAAGAAAGAAATATGCAGAGATTTTTCTCCCCCGCTCCACTCTTCCCAAATCCCTGGCTCCTTTTTTTTTTTCCAGCAGTATGATTACCTGCTATGCAGAAATGATGAGCTCAAAAATATTCATTTAAGATGTTCCTGTCAGTGTTGGTTTAATAAATCAACACTGGAAATTAAACTATTAATTTTTCAAAACATTAAACAGCAAAGGAGCACAAGAAGAAAGACTAAGGGAATAGGAAATTATCACCTAAGAAATATTTACCCTTCATGATAGCCCTTGTATAACACTGCAGATTGAGATTCTATCATTTGTTACTGAATAATATAGCAAAGGAAATGGGTTGCTGTATATCTTATTTAGAGCTGGACTGGGTGCTAGATGGGTGAGCAAGTGAGTAGAGGTCTAGGAACAGAGAGGGCTAGGTCAAAGGTCAGTGTAATGAAATATGGGACAGGACTCAAATGCTTTCGTCATACTGAAGAAACATAGTGATTAAGAGCATTGACTCTGGAGTCAAATGGACTTGGGTTTGAATTCTGGTGTTTCCATTTAGTATCTGAGAGGTCTTAATTAGGTTATTTAATCTTAATGAACTTTAGTTCCCTCATTTGTAATTGTAATTATAACCCTTTATGAGATTGTTGTGAGGATTGAATGAGATGTATATAAATATGCTTAGCACTGGGCCTGGCACACGTACTCAATATATGTTTATTTATTTATTTTTGTTAGGGATGCCAAATGAAAGAGTACTGGAAATCATTGCATAACTAATTAATTTTTTTATATGGTGGATTTCTATATACTCAAATAAAGGAAGGCGGTGGAAGGAAAAATGAGTGGAAGTTAGGAGACCTGTGCTTTAGTCTGGATAATAATAATAGTAACAACAATAAGAAGTTAGTATTTATTAGGCATTTACTATGTGTTTAATACAATAACCCTAAGAAGGGAATGCCATTATCCTCATTTTAAATATATAGGAACTGAGGCTTAAAATGATTTGGCTTCTTGCATAAGTCAACACAGCTATTAAGTGCAGAGTTGGGATTTGAACTCAGGTAGACTGACTCCCGAGCCTCAGTGATTAACCATGAGGCTATACTATCCTGGTTCTGCAATTATCTAGCTCCTATGACCAAGGGCATAACAGGGCTACCCATATGATTGTACAGGTTTTGTGCTGCACAACTCAAGGGGTATTCTATTCATATTGGGTGTATGCAGTGAATAACCTGTGCAAACACATGGGTGGTCATGGGGAAGTTCCTTATCTTGTCTAGGTTTTAGTTTCCTTTTCCCGAAAAATGAAATGTTCGAATTAATTTGTCACCAGGCCTCTACCAGCTAAGGGTCTAGTGTAAATATATGGATAATTTAAAAAGAATTCTTACTTGCTTTGGAGAGTTTTACACATATATTTGAATTTGTGCTTATCTGATGAAATAAGTACCTAGAGCAAATCAATTAAGGACATGACACTAGGGAGATCTGGAGCTCGATGATTAGAGAGTTGCCTCATGCACTTCTGCTCAGGTTCTCAGTATATTGAAGAAACAGTCCATATCTACCACTGATTCTAGAACAGCAAAAGCAGACATCACTTTTTCAGACATCCCCTGGAGTTAGGGATATGGCTAACTGAATAGGTCCAAAATGCTTTCTTTGCCAGGATGTGAACTGCATAAAAATTAACTGCATACAGCGCCATAGATTCAAAAGCAGTCATTCAAGTAAATTAGGTGTTGCCTATAGGAACCCATTTCAATGAAGCAATTAATTAAGCAAAAATTGTATGTGCTATCCATCAACAAGCTTAAAGGCACGATTTAATTGTTAATATTGTGGATGTACAGATCTGCACAGAAAATTGGATTTAGGTATGAGGATGTTTCTATCATGATACTGTATTAGCAGTCAACATTGTTCCTCTTAGATGTTTTGCCTGGTTTTAGTTAAATGATGCTTTCTATAGTCAGGCTTAACTGAAAAATAGATTAGCATGTTCTATTCAATTGTATTCCACATCCAGATAGAATTCATTACTAAGCAGTTGTACTTTAGCATTAAAGACCTATGGTTAAGGTAAATTTAAAAATAAGTATTCTTCTGATCCTTCCTCCTCACTAGGCTTCTTTCTTACTCTTTTTAGAGTTAAAAATTCTCCCATCCACAATACATTTTTAAGGCTCTGGCACCTTACCAACTGTCACAGCCCCTACAGCCTTTCTTATGTAGGCAATCAATTTAGCTCCCCTGTGAGAAAGATAACTGCCTGCTTACAACTAATCCAAGGTTGGGAATTTCACATGTTTTCTATGCTTTAAGATGACCTCTTGATTCCTACTCTAGTTACACTGGTTTCTTCACCATTCCATGGCTTCTCCTTCATCTTGCTGCCTCAGAAGTTTTGCTCAAACTGTTTCCTTCGCCTGAAATCTGTCTCCCATCCACCCATTTCTGCCTGTTCCTCTTTACATTTAAAGCCCAATGCAGATTGCACTTCCTCTAATAAGTTTTCCTCAGAACTCTTCTTTCCATCTTCTACACCCTCTCCAGCATTTTGCTTATATTTTAGTTATAACTACAGTGACTGCATTTGCTGAACTGTACAATCAGGACACATGCTTTGACAACTCTAAGTATACTTATGAACAATGTGATAGATTATTTGAAATCAAGTCAGTTCTAGAAAATCCAGAGTGCGTGTTTGCCTTAATTGTAGCACTCATTACAGTCTGCCTTGTGTTGGCGTTAATTATGCATTTGTTCAGATCCTTCCTGATGTTGCAAGCAAGAATTGTGTCATATGCATCCCTGTATCACCCTACACCTGTCAGATTTCTTTGTCTGCAGTATGCATTTATGTTTTATGCAGTCATCGAATATTTATTAAGCTAATATGATGTGGCAGGCCCTAAATGCTAAGGGTTGGGGATAAGATGAGGTCCCTACTTCCATGAAATAATTAATTACAACACCAGGAGATAAGTGCCATGTTAGGGTAGACCTGCAACATATACGAGGGGCTCCTAACCTAGACATTGAGAATTAGGGAAGTCTGGGAGCAAGTGATTCATAAACAGAGGACTGAGAATGGGAATAATTTCATCAGGAAATGATGGGGTTTAGGGGCTCAGGTAGAGAGAACAGTGTGTGAAAAGGTCCAGAAGTGGGAGAAGAATGCCATTTGCAGAAATTCAGTTTTTCAGTCCCATTTTGAAGGTAGAATGTGAAGAAGGGAATGAGAGAAGAAGAGGCTGAAATGGGAAGTGGGTCACTGGGCCAGGTGCTAGAGATACAGGCATGAATAAGGAATGGCCCTTGATCTCCCAGAGTTTACATTAAAGAGAACACAGAGAAGTAATGGAGAAATTATAGTACAGTATGATGGGTGCTCTGACTGCAGACATTCTGTGTACTGTGAGAACACATGTTAAGATACCTCACCCTTAATAACTAGGGGAGGTTTACCAGCAGATGTGAGTTTTAAGTTGAAATGTAGATCACTACATGCTAAGTAAATTAAATTGCTAGTATTTAGCTATTTTGCCATTTCTACTGTTCTGAATCATAACATGAGACAGAAACTACCAGAGAATAAGAGAAGGAAAACATCTCCTCTCTTGTTCCTTGCTTTCCTCTCTACATCTATGCACAGTGGCTGAAATAGAGAGATTGATTACATAAGATATAATCCTTTTTCCCAGTAAGAAAGTAGTTTCTCAGTCACTTTATTACTTGGCTTGAAGCATCTTCTCTTTCTTCTGATCAATACTTTAACTGAACGTTACGTAAAATGAAATTTACATTTAAGTGTTCCCTTAGCAACCATCACACAAAACCAAATACATCTGCTTTCAGAATCCACTTCTCTTTTGAAAATCCTTATAGTTACACAATTTTCTTCTATTAGCAAAAATGGCTTTCTAAATGGGCTACCATCTCTTTCAAAACAAAGTGTTTTAAAAGCCATATTTAAATATAATGTATGGGATTTTAGAATAGAGATATGAAATGGTGTCACCAAAACTTTTCTTCATTTGTTTAATCAATCAGTCAATTAATAAACATTTATTAGTACCTATAGGTGCTATGTCAGGTACTGTGGGTTACAAAGATGACAAATATATGGTCCTTTGCTCTTATAAAGGTTATAATGGAACACCTACAGCAAAGTATAATACAGTGCTTAAAATGATGATACACAGTAAATGTTGTGGGAACACACATACATATGGGTTTGCTATAATTTGTTATAACAATCTTTAACATGTATTGGAATGAATCTAAGAAATATCAGCTGTCAGCTTTTGCTGATCTAATCCCAGAAGTGAATTCTGAAGATATAAAATGTCTTTGTATTGGTGAGTGCTCACATTGTCATAGGAATCTGGAAAAATCATAAAAGTGCCGTGAGGAACTGTCAGTTACTATGTGCTACATAAAGTCAATGTGCAGTTCACAGAGGGATTTCCGGACTTTAATTTTTCAGTAAATGTGATGTCCTTGCCAAGAGAGAACATGGAATACTGAAAGGATGTGAAATGTTCAAAGATTACTGTGATTAAAATAACATTTAAAATAGTATGCTTTCTTCAAAATAGGGAAGGAGGAATCTATGCCCAAGTCCACAATAGGGAGTTTTAAACTGTTAAAATCCACATTCACAGGCCCTTTAGTCTTTTGTAATCCTGTTCAGAATTCCTTAGATGTTCTGTAGGACAGTAGCAATTCTAAAGTGCATGTGAGCCTGCCTCAGGCTATTAAGACTAGTGGTGCTTTGACTTCTCCAAGCAAATATCTTCTTTGCTAGTATAGGTAATTTATGCGTTTTTTTCCTCAGCATGTATTTACTCATTACTATTATACTTAGGGTAAAAACTGTGTTTCTTACTATAGTCTACAAAGCTCTGCATGGTCTGGTTTCCACTTGACTTCCCAACCTCATTCTATACATTTCTCTGTTTTGCATTTCAAGCTCCATCAAGACTAAGCTACTTGTAGTTCCTGAAACACAGCATGTTGTTTTAGGTTTCTAAGCTGTAACTCACACTTCTCTTTATGCTTGGATTGTTCTGCTGCAACTTTGATTAATCCATTAATTATATAAGATTTAGCTCAATTACCGACTCCTCCAGACTGCCTTTGTTTACCCTTCATCTTCATATATTGGGTAACACAGTCTCCTTCTCTGTTCCCATAGTTTCACTCGTGTCCGTGTGAAGAGACCACCAAACAGGCTTTGTGTGAGCAACAAGGCTGTTTATTTCACCTGGGTGCAGGCGGGCTGAGTCCGAAAAGAGAGTCAGCAAAGGGAGATAGGGGTGGGGCCGTTTTATAAGATTTGGGTAGGTTAAGGAAAATTACAGTCAAAGGGGCTTGTTCTCTGGCGGGCAGGAGTGGGGGTCACAAGGTGCTCAGTGTGGGAGCTTTTTGAGCCAGGATGAGCCAGGAGAAGGAATTTCACAAGGTAATGTCATCAGTTAAGGCAAGGACCGGCCATTTTCACTTCTTTTGTGGTGGAATGTCATCAGTTAAGGCAGGAACTGGCCATCTGGATGTGTACCTGCAGGTCACAGGGGATATGATGGCTTAGCTTGGGTTCAGAGGCCGGACATTCCTGTCTTCTTATATTAATAAGAAAAATAAAACAAAATAGTGGTAAAGTGTTGGGGCAGCGAAAATTTTTGGGGTTGGTATGGAGAGATAATGGGCGATGTTTCTCAGGGCTGCTTTGAGTGGGATTAGGGGCGGCGTGGGAACTTACAGTGGGAGAGATTAAGCTGAAGGGAGATTTTGTGGTAAGGGGTGATATTGTGTTAGAAGAAACATTTGTCATATAGAATGATTGGTGATGGCCTGGATACGGTTTTGGATGAATTGAGAAACTAAACGGAAGATACAAGGTCTGGATAAAAGAAGGAGAAAAATAGGTATTAAAGGACTAAGAATTGGGAGGACCCAGGACATCCAATTAGAGAGTGAATAAGGGGGTTCAGCATAATTACTTGCTTGGTTGGCAAGTTTTTGGGCCCTATCCTTGAGTTTTTTTATGTTGTCATACAACAGGCCAGATTGATTTAGGTAAAAACAACACTCTTCATTTAAGAATATACAGAGTCCTCCTTTTTCAGCAGTGAGTAAGTCAAGGCCTCTGAAAGTATTAGGGCAGTGGCAGCCGCTGCATGGAGACATGGTGGCCAGCCTGAAACAGTAAGGTCAAGTTGTTTGGACAAAAAGGCTACAGGACACGATCCTGGTCCTTGTGTAAAAATTCCGACTGCACAGCCCTGCACTTCGGCTGTGTGTAATGAAAAGGGTTGGGATGAGTCAGGGAGAGCTAGGGTGGCGGCAGTCTTTAAAGCTGTCTTCAAGGAACGGAAAGAGGTGTGGGAAAAGGATTTAGGATCTATGGGGTCAGCTAGGTTTCTTTTTGTGAGTTTATATAATGGTTTTGTTAGGATGGCAAAACCAGGTATCTAAAGTCGAAAGTATCTAACCACGCCTAGGAAGGAAAGGAGTTGTTGTTTTGTAGAAGGTGTTGGGGTTTGAGAGATCAGTTGGACACGATTGGCAGGGAGAGCACGTGTGTTTTTATGAAGAATTATGCCGAGATAGGTAACAGATGAGGAAGAAATTTGGGCTTGATTGAAGTAATGGGGGCTGTCTGTGAAGCCTTGCGGCAGCCCAGGTAATTTGCTGAGCCTGATGGGTGTTAGGGTCAGTCCAAGTGAAAGCGAAGAGAGGCTGGGATGAAGGGTGCAAAGGAATAGTAGAGAAAGCACGTTTGAGATCCAGAACAGAGTAATGGGTTGTGGAGGGAGGTATTGAGGATAGGAGAGTATATGGGTTTGGCACCAGGGGGTGGATAGGCAAAACAATTTGGTTGATAAGGTGCAGATCCTGAACTAACCTGTAAGCCTTGTCCGGTTTTTGGACAGGTGAAATGGGGGAATTGTAAGGAGAGTTTATAGGTTTTAGAAGCCCATGCTGTAGCAGGGAGTGATAACAGGCTTTAATCCTTTTAAAGTGTGCTGTGGGATGGGATATTGGCGTTGAGCCGGGTAAGGGTGATTAGGTTTTAATGGGATGGTAATGGGCTGTGATCGGTTGCCAGGGAGGGGGTAGAGATGTCCTATACTTGTGGGTTAAGCTAGGGGGATACGAGAGGAAGACTCAAAGGAGGCTTTGGGTTGGGAAGAATGGTGGCAATGAGATGTGGCTGTACTCCAGGAATAGTCAGGGAAGCAGATAATTTGGTTAAAATATCTCGGCCTAATAAGGGAGCTGGGCAGGTGGGGATAACTAAAAAAGAGTGCATAAAAGAATGTTGTCCAAGTTGGCACCAGAGTGGGGGAGTTTTAAGGGGTTTAGAAGCCTGGCCATCAATACTTACAACAGTTATGGAGGCAAGGGAAACAGGCCCTTGAAAAGAAGGTAATGTGGAGTGGGTAGCCTCCCTATTGATTAAGAAGGGGAGGGACTTACCTTCCACTGTGAGAGTTACCCAGAGCATCTGTGATGGTCCTGTAGGCTTCCTAGGCGATTCGGCAGTATCAGTCTTCAGCTGCTAAGCCGAGATCTGGGAAGGAGTCAGTCAGAGAGCCTTGGGCCAGAGTTCCAGGGGCTCTGGAAGTGGCTGCCAGGTGAGTTGAACAGTCCGATTTTCAGTGGGGTCCTGCACAGATGGGAAACAGCTTAGGAGGAATACCAGGCTGTGGGCATTCCTTGGCCCAGTGGCCAGATTTCTGGCACTTGTGGCAAGCTCCTGGGGGAGGAGGTTCTGGAGGAATGCCTGGCTGCTGCGGTTTAGGCGTTTGGAAGTTCTTGTGTGCTGGAGATATGGCTGGGGTTTGTCTCACAGTGGAGGCAACGAATTGTAACTCAGAAATACATTGCTACTTGGCTGCCTCTACTCTATTATTGTACACCTTGAAGGCAAGGTTAAGTCCTGTTGTGGGTTTGAGGGCCGGAATTTAATTTTTGGAGTTTTATTTAATGTCAGGAGCGGATTGGGTAATAAAATGTATATTGAGAATAAGACGGCCTTTTGACCTTTTAGGGTCTAGGGCTGTAAAGCATCTCAGGGTTGCTGCTGAATGAGCCATGAACTGGACTGGGTTTTTCATATTTGATGAAAGAGCCTAAACGCTAATTGACTTGGGAGAGGTCGAATAAAGAAGGAGCATTAACCTTGACTGTGCCTTTAGCTCCAGCCACCTTTTTAAGAGGAAATTGCTGGGCAGGTGGGGGAGGGCTAGTCGTGGAATGAAACTGTAAGCCAGACCAGGTGTGAGGAGGGGAGGTGATAAAAGGATTATAGGGTGGGGGAGCAGAGGCTGAGGAAGAATTGGGACCTGGCTCAGCCTGGCGAGGAGCAGCCTGGGGAGGAGGGGAGGGGTCAGATGGGTCTGTAGAAAAGGAAGACTAGAAAGACTCAGCAACGCTTGGGGTTGGGACTGAGGGGACAGGCGGGAGGGAAAGAAGGAGGATTTGGGATGAGTCACATTGGGGACAGAGACTAGGGAGGGAACAATGTGTAAAAGAATGCCTGGATGTTAGGCACCTCAGACCGTTTGCCCATTTTACGACAAGAATTACCTAGATCTTGTAGGGTGGAAAAATCGAAAGTGCCATTTTCTGGCTATTTGGAACCACTGTCAAGTTTGTATTGGGGTCAAGCGGCATTGTAGAAGAAAATAAGGCATTTAGGTTTTAGGTCAGGTGTGAGTTGAAGAGGTTTTAAATTCTTGAGAACACAGGCTAAGGGAGAAGGAGGAGGAATGGAGGGTGGAAGGCTGCCCATAGTGAAGGAGGCAAGCCTAGAGGAAAGAGAGAGTAGAGAGACGGAGAGAAGGGGTGGGGGGTGCTTGCCTTTTAGGAAAGTGGAGAAGGAGTAGAGACACGGAGAGAAGGGGTCGGGGGGTTCTTGCCTTCCAGAAAAGCAGAGAAGGGGTAGAGACATGGAGAGAAGGGGTCGGGGGGTTC
The DNA here is from genome assembly GCF_000001405.40 of Homo sapiens. Lineage (NCBI taxonomy): Eukaryota > Metazoa > Chordata > Mammalia > Primates > Hominidae > Homo > Homo sapiens. The sequence continues at coordinate 121,347,679 of NC_000023.11, forward strand.
TTGCCCCTTAGAAAAGCGGAGAAGGGGTAGAGACATGGAGAGAAGGGGTCAGGGGGTTCTTGCCTCCTAGAAAAGCGGAGAAGGGTAGAGACACAGAGAGAAGGGGTCGGGGGGTTCTTGCCCCCTGGAAAAGCGGTACTTGCCGGTAAGGGTGAAGGACTAAAGCAGGCATCCTTGCCTGGTCAGACACCTCTGAAATGTGGGTCAGGCATCCCCGCGTGATTAAACACCAAGGGAAGCCTGTCTTTCCAAGTCTGTGACTGGCGCCGGAGTTTTGGGTCTACGGATAAAATGTGTCTCCCTTTGTCTCTACCAGAAAAGGAAAGGAACTGAAATTAAGAGAAGGGAGAAATTGAAGTGTGGCGCCAAGATTGATAGGAGAAAGAGGTTGAGGGATAGTGAGAGAGGTTGGAGAAGAGAGTAAAAAGAGGCCACTTACCTGATTTAAAATTGGTGTGATGTTCCTTGGGCTGGTCGGTCTGAGGACTTGAGGTCATAGGTGGATCTTTCTTATGGAGCAAAGAGCAGGAGGACAGGGAACTGATCTCCCAAGGGAGGTTCCCCTGATCCAAGTCACGGCACCAAAATTTCACTCACGTCCGTGCGAAGAGACCACCAAACAGGCTTTGTGTGAGCAACAAGGCTGTTTATTTCACCTGGGTGCAGGCGGGCTGAGTCTGAAAAGAGAGTCAGCAAAGGGAGATAGGGGTGGGGCCGTTTTATAAGATTTGGGTAGGTAAAGGAAAATTACAGTCAAAGGGGGTTGTTCTCTGGCAGGCAGGAGTGGGGGTCACAAGGTGCTCAGTCGGGGAGCTTTTTGAGCCAGGATGAGCCAGGAGAAGGAATTTCACAAGGTAATGTCATCAGTTAAGGCAGGAACCGGCCATCTGGATGTGTACGTCCTGGTCACAGGAGATATGATGGCTTAGCTTGGGCTCAGAGGCCTGACATCATAGCATCTTGTAATCATATCTGGTACCTCTCTCTCAGAAATTTAAACTTGGCTCAAATCTCCAATTTTATAACTTGTGTCACTTGAGTGCCCTCCCCATGATCTCTATAAATTCCCAGTTTTACTTCCTGATGTTTGCTATTGTCTCCATTTTGGGGTCCACACAGATTCTTGGGTTTTGCTTAGTACTAAATGTAAAAACCAAACTACTCTTCTTTAATGTATTCTACAAAAAATAAAGTCACATCAAGCATATGATACATTTTTTAAGATTTATTAAATATTTGCAGGGTCATAGAGAGGAATGAGGTCTCTCACTGTATAACATTTTTCCGTCTTGCTTGTTCCCTCTCATGATTACCTTCCTTCCAAAACCTTTTCTCCTAACAAGTGATCCTCTCAGCAATATTTAGCTCTCTGGAAAATGTGTGATAATCTACTTTCATCCGACTTACATGCCACCCTCACTTTTTTCTTTTCTGAAGACTGGCTTCTCAAAGCCCACTGGCTTTTCCCAACTCCTCTAGAATTTAGGGAAATTATTTTTTCTTAATCTCTGTATCCTTATCCCAAAAATTTTAAGGTTACATTTAAAAGGTTTGCTTCCATATTTCTCTCTTCCATTGTGAGGAAGGAAGAGAACTGATTTGTTCTATTCATTGCTGTATCCCTAGTGTTTAGCACAATGCTTAACATATAATAGGTTCTTAATAAATGTATGATGAACTGTCTTTTGAACACATCTTAGAAAGCTTTGAGCTAGTGCTCATGCTAATGTTTTCAAGGATTATGCGTCTGGTCTGTGGGTAAGCCATTTCCTTTTGTTCGGTTCTGTAGTCAAAGTTTATACCACAAAGTCATGTTAACTTATACTTTGTAAGCACAATATGTATCCTCTGCCCTATGTAGTAAAAATAGATGAAAAGGACTGAGAAAAGCTACCTAATAAAAACAAGCACTGTTTTAAGCACTTTATGCATATTATCTTGTGTTCTCACAACACCTGTGAAGTAGATATTATCGTCTCTATTTTCCAAATAAGGAAGTTGAGGCACAGTGAGGTTAGGTAACTTGTTGAAAATCACATACCTAATAAGTAGAATAAGTTGAATTTAAGGCTAGACAGTCTATTCTAAGAGCCCTGCTCTCTTAGTTACTATGCAATATTGCCTTCAGAGCACAAGAATTGGGTTTTCAGGTACAGATTATAAAGGCTTAGCGTTAGAAAATGTAAACTTCATAAGGCCTAGAATAATCAGAGAATTCTGCATGAAAGAAATGTACATTGAAAGGCAAACCGATTTCTATTTTTCGTTTAACTCCATTTGGCCAGATTTTCTTGCTGCCACGAGCCAATTTATGCAAAATTATAACCTTTAGATTGATGGCCAACAAAAGCCAAAGTGGTTGGCACCAGATGGATCACCTGACCTATCTGCTACTGTGTGAGCCTTTTCAAGTAGTTTTTATATTCTTGGAATTGGCATGATGGTACTAGGTCACCTGGTTTGTCTGAGTTTCAAAGGGATGAGAAATGCCTTGGCATTTACAACTGAAAAACAAAATTCAACTGGTCATCTGTTATCTCTTTGGTGATGCTTATCAGGGTTCAGATTTTAGTACCAAGGAATGTTAAAGCCAGTTTGACATTTTAAGTTATTTGCAATTCCTACAAAAGTGCTCATACTCAGAAAGTCTCTCTTCTAAATATTCAGCTAAAATATTTTAAAATATAAAAATATTTCATAATTTACCCTTAAATATGCCGAAATGTAACTCAAAGATAATCTAACTTTTCTTATTTAGGAATATGTATATATTCCTAAGTGTGCTACAAAGGAGAAAAGAGAGAAAATAATTTTAAATTAAATATGTATTAGATATGTAGATGCTCACGTACTTCTACACTTGAAGTTAAAATAGTCACTTGTACTCACACATAGAAAACTATAGATACAACATCTACACTTGCAAACTGTAGAGTGGTGTGCTGATAACTTTAATGCAATGAGCTTTATTGTCATTTGTGAGATAACTGTCTTAACTGGTGAACAATTCTTCCTTATGTTGTGGAAAAAAAAAAAAACTGGACCCTTTCCTTACACCATAAACAAAAATTAACCCAAGATGGACTAGAGACTTAAATGTAAAACCCAAAACTATAAAAGTCCTGGAAGACAATCTAGGCAATACCATTCAAGACACAGGAACTGGCAAAGATTTCATGATGAAGATGGCAAAAGCAATTGCAACAAAAGCAAAAATTGGCAAGTTGGTTCTAATTAAACTAAGGTGCTACTGCACAGCAAAGAAAACTATCAACAGAGAAAACAGACATCCTATAGAATGGGAAAAAATATTTGCAAACTATGTATCTGACAAAGGTCTAAAATCTAGCATCTCTAAGGAACTTAAGCAAGTTTATAAGAAAAATACAAACAACACCATTAAAAAGTGGGCAAAAGACATGAACAGACACTTTACAAAAGAAGATATAGATGCAGCCAACAATCATAGGAGAAAAAAGCTCAACATCACTGATCATTAGAGAAATACAAATCAAAACCACAATGAGATACCATCTCACACCAGTCAGAATGGCTATTATTAAAAAGTCAAAAAATAACAGACACTGGCAAGGTTGCAGAGAAAAAGGAATGCTTATACACTGTTGGTGGGAGTATAAATTAGTTCAACCATTGTGGAAGACAGTGTGGCAATCCCTCAAAGACCTAAAAACATAACTACCATTCTACCCAGCAATCCCATTACTTGGTATATACCCAAAGGAATATAAATTATTCTATTTTAAAGACACATGCACATATTCATTGCAGCACTATTCACAATAGCAAAGACATGAAATGAACCTAAATGCTAATCAATGATAGACTGGATAAAAAAATGTGGTACATGGACACCATGGAATACTATGCAGCAATAAAAAAGAATGAGATGATGTTCTTTGCAGGGACATGGATGGAACTGGAGGCCATTATTCTTGGCAAATTAATGCAGGAACAGAAAACCAAATACTGCATGTTCTCACTTATAAGTGGGAGCTAAATGATGAAAACACATGGACACAGAGAGAGGAACAACACACACTGGGGCCTGTCAGAGAGTGGAGGGTGGGAGAAAGGAGAGGATCAGGAGAAATAACTAATGGGTACTAGACGTAATACCTGGGTGATAAAATAATCTGTACACAAGCCCCCATGACACAAGTTTACCTATATAACAAACCTTCATGTGTACCTTTGAACTTAAAATAAAAATTAAAAAAAAGTTTTCATTGGCGTGAATATCTGGTGAGGTATCCAAAGATAGGGAGGAACATGGTCACATTGATTCTTGGTTGTGTGGTTGTATAGGAAGTCCAGCAACCCTTACCCACTCCTGTAACTATCTCTTTCCTCCCCAGTAAAAAAGACTTTAAGCCAAGAAAAATGACTAGAGTTTAAACAAATATATATAACAATAAAAGCATCCTTCACCCAGAAAGATATACCAATTTAAAATTTGTATGTACCTAATAACATAGCCCATAAATATAGAAAGTAAAAGTTTACGAAAATGCAAGGGAAATTTTGCAAATACACTATCATAGTGAGATATTTTACATACCTCTCAGTATATAACAGAATAAGAAGATAAATGATCAGTAATGATATAAAATATTGAACCATATAATTAATAATTTGACCTAATAGAAATACATACAGTAGTGTACTGGAGTCAGCTCATACTGGCTTGTGAGAGTCACATGTGTGCATCTCTTCCCAACTTCACATTTATTATATCATGTTGTCAGCTTGAAATTGACTATGATGGGAGAATTCACACTATGAAAAATTGGTCCAAGAGTATATGATTTCTGGGTATCTGTGCGTTTTTTTTTGTTTGTTTGTTTGAGAGCCAGTCAACCATTTATCAGCATTCCACTGCATGTACAAAGCACTGAACTTATGACTTGCTGACTACACATTCTTTTCAATTACATATGGAAATCCTTCCCAAATTGACCATATGCTGGTCCATAAGGCAAATATGAATAAATTTCAACAAATTTAAATTATACAAAATGTGTTGTTTGGTCTCAATGAAATCAAGCTAGAAATCAATAAGAAAATGATAACCAGAAAATTATGAAACATTAGCAAAATATGCAATATATTACTTTATAATTTATAGGTCAAAGAAACATAGTGTGAATTAGAAAATGTTTTGAACTGAATGATAATGAAAGTATATATCAATACTTGTGAAATGTAGTTTAAGCTGTGGTTAGAGGCACATTTGTAGCTACTAATACATTACAAAGAAGATAGTAAAAGTTAATGATATAGACATCTATTTCAAGAAGGTAGAAAAGAATCAGCAAATTAAAATCAAGGAATATAGAAGAAAGTAAATAATAAAGATAAGAGCAGAAATTGGATAGAAAACAAATGTACAGAAACAAATGTAGAGAAATTCTGCAAAGCCAAAGGTTGGTTTAAAAGGACAAATTAAGTGATAAACTTCTACCAATATTGTCCAAGAAAATAATCATTGTCTTTATGACAAGGAGAAAGGCACAAATAAAATCAGACATGAAAATAGGAAAATCCAAATTGATACTTCAAATGTAAAAAATATCTGAACAACTTTATAACAGTAAATTTGAAAATTTAAATGGTATAAACAAATTCCTAGGAAAATAACTTATCAAAACTGACAGAAGAAATAGAAAATTATACCTGCATATCATCTTATACCTAATAACGTGGTTGTATTGTTGTGTACTTATTATTTTCTGCTGATTTTTTCACTTATCAGTATTATATATACAATTGCATATAAAATCACATTCCTCACGCTTGTTACTTTTAATGTCTATAGAAAGCCTCTTTGTTACTGATATGATTTGGCTGTGTCCCCTCTCACATCTCATCTTGAATTGTAATCCTCATAATCCTCACGTGTTGAGGGAGGGACCCAGTGGGAAGTGATTGGATCATGGTAGCAGTCTCCCCCATGCTGTTCTCGTGATAGTGAGGGAGTTCTCATGAGAGCTGATGGTTTTATAAGGTGCTCTTCCCCCTTTGCTTCCTTCATACTTCTCTCTCCTGCCACTTTGTGAAGAAGGTGCCTGCTTCCCCTTCCACCACCATTCTAAGTTTCCTGAGGCCTCCCCAGCCATGCGGAACTGTGGGTCAATTATACCTCTTTCCTTTGTAAATTACCCAGTCTCAGGTATTTCTTTATTGCAGTGTGAGAATGGACTAATAGAGTTACCATATCAATAATAAAAGGCATTTGGACTCTTTCCTATTTTTGATAATAGTTGTTTAGAAAACTGCCATGGGAATTGCAATACAAATCAGTTTTTCCCCCTTTGGTTATTTCCTGGGTGGTATGATCTCCATAGTGGAATTATTCGGAGAAATATTATGAATGGTTTATTTATTCCTTTCATATATTGCCAAGTTACTCTTCTGTAAAATGGAATCAATTTACAGTACCACTAGCAATATATAAGTGCACTCATTCTCCCTAATTCTCACTAGCGACTTTATACACTGTGTTTTTGATAGTTCGGTAGATAAACAATGGAAGCTTTAAGTTGTTTTAATTTGCATTCATTTAATTGCTATTGAGGGTTTATCTTTTTTTCTATTTCAATGTCTTTTATATAAACTGCATATTCATCATCTTTATTAACTTATCAAGTAAAATCTGAGTATTAGACTGATATATATGCATTTTTTTATTCAGGTTGGGTAGTTAGCCTATATCAGTTACATTTTTCTCATGAATTTTCCAATGAGGATATTCATTTCTTCTGGTATTCATTTTATTACATTTCATAGCTTAGCAGCCTTTTTATTTTTAAGACATTTGAATACATTTATCTTGTATGTGATGATATACTCCATTTCTTAAACAGTCAAAAATATATTTCTTTTCCACAGCTGGAATAAATATGATATTTCACAGTAAGCTACCTGGTTCACTATCCCCCAAATCTTTAAATTCTTATAGTTATAGCACTTAACCTTTACTCATACACCAACCCTGAGCTGGATTAATCCATTTTCTACTAACTTGCTCTCTGCTTCTTACCTGTAATTGTCTTTATACCTTGCACAGCAGTTTTATAACAAAGCCTCTCCTTTGATAATCTACCTAGTACCCCGATTCTTCTAAGACTGGGAGTTTGCCTTTTTCTCCCGTTTTTTTTAGGAACTTGAGTTCTGCTTCTCAATCCCAGGATAAGCAACTGGGACTAGAGCACCTGCTGCCACAATCCCACATATCAACTTTCTATCCAGATAATGTCTGTTTCCCTTGCTGCTCACATTGCTGTTTTTTACCTGTCTACCAGATCACCAACACCTTACTGCTTTCCTGGCCTTTCCTAATACTAGCTGCTTACCTACACTGCCATTTCCTATCCCAAGATTCTTAGACATTGTTCTGCCCGGCTGGATTTCTTCCCCACTGCCTTTAACTGAATCGGTCTTGCACTAATGTAGTGAATACATTTAATTCTCAGGTGCTAACTTTGTTTGTCTGACCTCTCCTGACACTGACTGAATTTCAATTTTTAAAAATAATTTAACTTTATAATTTAACAATATATACTTTGTCATAAAAGCTATGCATATTATCTGGAATTTGTTGCACATGTATAAGATATAGATCTCAGTTACTTATTAATTTATTGATTACCATATACATAACTAGCTGACAAAACAACATTTATTAATGATTCTTTTCTCCATTTATTAATGATTTTTATTTTCATTACATACATTTTTCCGTAGCTTTAGTTCTTATAATAATTTGAATCAATTTCTGGATGCTTTATTCCACTGATCAGTCTCCTTCATTTAGTTATAGTATCACATAATTCTGACAACTGTGTTTTCTAGTATGTGTTTGTGAATTTAAGTACTTTCATCTTTATTTAATCTTTCTGACAATGAGAAAGGCATATTTCTTTATTTAAATCTTCCATTTTTTACTCATTAGGGTCTTGATTTTCTTTGTTTCACACACTTAATTGTTGCACAAGTACTTAGTGTTTCTAGTAACTGTTGTGAAGGGATTTCATTTCCTTTTTGGGTTATTCATTGTATTTTCTGTATTATTAGTATATAGGGATATATTCAATTTATTTTTGTAGATTTACTTCCTTCCACAACTCTGAAAAACTCATTTATTACTGCTGGTAATTTTTTGGTTGACTTCTTTGGATTTTCTGAGTATATATTCATGTCATAAGTAAAAAGTGTTTTTTTTTGGTATCATATTTTGCTAAACATAACTTCAATTCTTTTTTTTTTTTCCTCTGGTGATCATGGTAAATATTCCTTTAAAAGAGAGTGGTGACTAAGGAAAGAAAAATAACTAGCATTTGTGGAGTGCCATTTTGCCTATTCTTGATCTTAGAGAAGGTAATTCTAGTCATACTTCTCCATTAAATATATTGTTGATACTATTTTTTAAATGTGCCCTTTTCACGTTAGGAATGAAAACATTTAATTTTGTTAATGAAATATGTTGAATGTTATCCATATTTCTTGGCAGCTATTGAAAAGCTGATTTAAAATATTGTCCCGTTGAGAGACAGGACTAGCTGGATTTCCTAGGCCAGCTAAGAGTTCCTAAGCCTAGCTGGGGAAGGTGACCACGCCCACCTTTAAACATGGGGCTCCTAACTCAGCTGACACCCAACCAATCAGATAGTAAAGAGAGCTCACTAAAATACCAATTAGGCTAAAAGCAGGAGGTAAAGAAATAGTCAATCATCTGTCGCCTGAGAGCACAGGGGGAGGGACAGTGATTGGGATATAAACCCAGGCATTCAAGCCGGCAGTGGCAACCCCCTTTGGGTCCCCTCCCGTTGTATGGGAGCTCTGTTTGCACTCTATTAATAATCTTGCAACTGCACACTCTTCTGGTCCGTGTTTGTTCCAGCTTGAACTGAGCTTTCACTTGCCGTCCACCACTGCTGATCGCCACCATCACAGACCCGCCACTGACTTTCACCCCTCCAGATCCCGCAGGGCGTCCGCCTGGCTTCTGATCCAGCGAGGCACCCGTTGCCGCTCCTGATCAGGCTAGAGGCTTGCTATTGTTCCTGCACCGCTAAGTGACTGGGTTCATCCTAATCGGGCTGAACACTAGTCGCTGGGTTTCACCGTTCTCTTCCGTGACCCACGGCTTCTAATACAGCGATAACACTCACCGCATGGCCCAAGGTTCCATTCGTTGGAATCCATGAGGCCAAGAACCCCAGGTCAGAGAACAAAAGGCTTGCCGCCATCTGGGGAGCAGCCCGCCACCATCTTGGGAGCTCTAAGAACAAAGACCTGCCGGTAACACCATTAACACATATACTAGCCTTGTATTCATGGCATAAATAGCAACAGTCATAGTTGATAGATTTTTATTATGATAAAAAAATAACAGATTCTCTTAACAAATTTTTAAGTGTGTGATACAGTATTGTTGACTATAAGCTCAGTGTTATACAGCAGATATCTACAACTTTTTCATCTTGCATAACTGAGATTTTTTTACCCATTCAAAAATTTTCTACTTATCCCTGCCACCAGCCTCTGGCAACCAGCATTCTACTTTCTGCTTCTGTGTGTGACTATTTTAGATAGTTCATATGAATGGAATCATGCAGCATTTGTCCTTCTGTGACTGGCTTATTTCATTTCACATAATGACCTTAAGTTTCATTCACCTTGTCTCAAATGGCAGGATTTCTTTTCTTCTTAAGGCTGAATAATATTCAAATGTGTATTTATGTGTGTCTCTCTATATAGCTCACATTTACTTTTTCATCTAATAAAGAACACAAGTGTTTTACATATCTTGGCTATTTTAGGTAATGCTGCCTTGACCATGAGAGTTCAGATATCTCTGCTAGATATAATTTCATTTCTTTTTGACATATACCCAGAAGTGGGAGTGCTGGATCATATGGTAGTTCTATTTTTAATTTTGTGAGCAACATCCATACTGTTTTCCACAGTGGCTGCATCATTTTACATTCCCACCAGAAGTGCACATGGGTTCCCTTTTCTGCACAATCTAACAGTTGTTTTCTTTTATCTTTTTGATGATAGCCATCTTAATAGGCAGAAGGAGATATCTCATGGTCATTTTAATTTGCATTACCCTTATGATTAGTGATGTTGAGCATCTTTTCATACAGCTGTTGGCCATTTGTATGTCTTTGACAAAATGTCTATTCAGGTTCTTTACCCATTTTTTTAATTGGGTTATTAGTTTGCTTGCCATTGAATTGAGTTTCCTTATGTATATTAGATATTAACACCTTACCAGATATATGATTTGCAAATTTTTTCCCATTCTGTAGTTTGCCTTTTTAGTTCATTGATTATTTTCATGATGTGCAGAAACTTTTTAGTTTGATGTGGTCCCACTTGTTTATTTTTGTTTTTGTTACCTATACTTTTGGTGTCCTAACCAAAAACATCATTGTGAAGACCAATGTCAAGAAGCTTTCCCTGCTCCATGTTTTCTTGTAGGATTTTTACAGTTTCAGGTTTTATGTTTAAGTCTTGAATTGATTTTGAGTTTATTTTTATGTATAGTTTAAGGTAAGGTCCAATTCCATTCTTTTGCATGTGGTATCCCATTTTCCTAGCACCATTTATTGAAGAGACTATCCTTTCCCCATATGTGGTGACTTGGTGGAAGAATAGTTGGCTGCATATGCATAGGTTTATTTCTGAGCTCTATATTCTATTCCATTGGTCTGTGTACTTGGTTTTATGTCACTGCCATGTTGTTTGATTACTATTACTTTGTAATACCATTTGAAATCAGAAACTGTTTACTCCAGCTTAATTTCTCTTGCATGAGATTGCTTTAAGTAATCAGGGTCTTTTGTATGGTTCCAAATGAATTTTTTTTTTCACCCAGGCTGGTGTGGTCTCGGCTCACTGCAACCTCCGCCTCCCAGGTTCAAGCGATTCTCCTGCCTCAGCCTCCCAAATAGCTGGGATTACAGGCATGTGCCACCACACCTGGCTAATTTTTTGTATCTTTGGTGCAGATAGGGTTTCACCATGTTGGCCAGGCTGGTCGTGAACTCCTGACCTCGTGATCCACCCGCCTCGGCCTCCCAAAGTGCTGGGATTACAGGCATGAGCCACCACTCCCAGCCGATTCCAAATGAATTTTAGGATTGCTTTCTCTATCTCTGGGAAGAATACCACTGGAATATTGATAGACATTTCACTGAATGTGTAGATTGCTTTGGGTAGTATGGACATTTTAACAATATTAATTCTTCCCAACCATGAACAAGGGATATCTTTTTTTTTATTTATTTGTGTGCTCAATTTATTTCATTAATGTTAACAGATTTCAATGTCTAGATCTTTTACATATCTATATCTATATCTATATATCTCTCTATATATCTTCTCTGACAATGATGGAATAAAACTAGAAATCAATAATTAGAGGAATTCTGGAAACTATACAAATATATGGGAATTCGGCCAGGCACAGTGGCTCACGCTCGTAATCCCAGCACTTTGGGAGGCCGAGGCAGATGGATCACTTGAGGTCAGGAGTTCGAGACTAACCTGGCCAACATGGTGAAACCCCATCTCTACTAAAAATACAAAAATTAGCCAGGTGTGGTGGCTCATGCCTGTAGTTCCAGCTACTCAGGAGGCTGAGGCAGGATAATCGCTTGAACCTGGGAGATGGAGGTTGCAGTGAGCTGAGATCATGTCACTGCACTCCTGCCTGGGTAACAGTGTCAGACTCTACCTCAAAAACAAAACAAAACACAAATGTATGGGAATTAAACATTGTGATCTGAATGACCAGTCAGTCAGTGAAGAAAATAAGAAAATTGAAAAATTTTAGCAAGGTCTTAGAATACAAAATCAATGTGCAAAATGTGCTAGCATTCCTATAAAACAACTACAGTCAAGCTGAGAGTCAAATTAGGAATGCATTCCCATTCACAATTGCTATTAAAAAATACCTAGGAATACAGACAACCATATAAATGAAAGCCCTCTACAAGGTGAGCTACAAAACAGTGCTCAAAGAAGTCAGAGATGACACAAACAAATGGAAAAACATTCCATGCTAATAGATGGGAAGAATCGATATTGTTAAAATGGCCATAGTGCCAAAATAATTTATAGAATCAATGCTATTCCTATTAAACTATCATTGACATTCTTTACAGATCGAGAAAAAACTATTTCAAAATTCATATGGAACCAAAAAGTAGTGCAAATAGCCAAAGCAATCCTAAGCAAAAAGAACAAAGCTGAAGACATGCTACTTGACTTCAAATTATACTATAGGCATACAGTAACCAAATCAGCATGGTACTAGTACAAGAACAGACACATAGATCAATGGCACAGAATAGAGAGCTCAGAAATAAGACCATACCTACAACAATCTGATCTTTGACAAACCTAACAAAAACAAGCAGTGGGGAAAGTAATCCTTATTTAATAAATGGTGCTGGGATAACTGGCTAGCCATATGCAGAAGATTTAAACTTGACCCCTTACTTACACCATATTACACAACAATTAACTCAAGATAGATTAAAGACTTAAATGTAAAATCAAAGCTATAAAAGCCCTGGAATACAATCTATGCAATATCATTGTGCATATAGATATGGGCAAATATTTCATGACAAAGACATCAAGAGCAATTGCGACAAAAGCAAAAATGGACAAATGGGATCTTATTAAACTAAGGACCTTCTGCACAGAAAAAGGAACTATCAACAGAAAGAGCATACAACCTATAGAATGGTAGAAAATTTTTGCAAACTATGCAAAATAGATATCTGACAAAAGTCTAATATCTAGCACCTATAAAGAACTTAAATTTATTAAACCATTAAAAAGTGGGCAAATGACATGAACAAATACTTTTCAAAATAAGACATACATGCAGCCAATGATAATATGAAAAAAAGTTCCACATCACAGGTTATTAGAGAAATGCAAATCAAAACCACAGTGAGATACCATGTCACACCCGTCAGAATGGCTATTACTTTTTTTTATTGTTATTTCAATAGTTCTTGGGGAAATGGTAGTGTTTGGTTACAGGGATAAGTTCTTTAGTGGTAATTTCTGAGATTTTGATGCACCCACCACCTGAACAGTGTACACTGTACTCAATGGGTAGTCTTTTATGCTTCACCTTCCTCCCACCCTTCCCGGCTGAGTCCCCAAAGTTTATTGTATCATTCTTATGCCTTTGTGTCCTCATAGCTTACCTCCCATTTATAAGTAACATACCATGTTTGATTTTCCATTCCTGAGTTACTTCAGTTACAATAATGGTCTCCAATTCCATCCAGGTTACTGAAAGTGCTATTACTTTGTTCCTTTTAATGTCTGAGTAGTATTCTATGGTGTATATATACACACCACATTTTCTTTATTTACTTGTTGATCAGTGGGCATTTTGGCTGGTTCTATATTTTTGGAATTGCGAATTGTGCTGCCGTAAATGTATGTGTGTGCAAGAATCTTTTTCATATAATGACTTCTTTTCCTCTGGGTGGATACCCAGCAGTAGGATTGCTGGATCAAATGGTAGATCTACTTTTAATACTTTAAGGAGTCTCCATACTGTTTTCCATAGCAGTTGTACTAGTTTACATTACCATAAGCAGTGTAAAAGTATTCCCTTTTAACCACATCCACACCAATATCTATTATTTTTGATTTTTTAATTGTGGCCATTCTTGCAAGAGTAAGCTTGTATCACATTGTGGTTTTGATTTGCATTTCCCTAATAATTAGTGATGCTGTGCATTTTTTCATATGTGTGTTGGCCACTTATATATATATTTTGAGAATTGTCTATTCATGTCCTTAGCACACTTTTTGGTGGGATTATTATTTTTTTTCTTGCTGATTTGTTTGAGATCCTTGTAGATTCTGGATATTAGTCCTTTGTCAGATATATATAGATTGCGAAGATTTTCTTCCACTCTGTGGGTTGTCAGTTTACTCTGTTGATTATTTCTTTTGCTCTGCAGAAGCTTTTTAGTTAAGTCCCATCTATTTTTTTTATTTTTTATTTTTTTATTTTATTATTATTATACTTTAAGTTTTAGGGTACATGTGCACAATGTGCAGGTTAGTTACATATGTATACATGTGCCATGCTGGTGTGCTGCACCCATTAACTTGTCATTTAGCATTAGGTATATCTCCTAAAGCTATCCCTCCCCACTCCCCCCACCCCACAACAGTCCCCAGAGTGTAATGTTCCCCTTCCTGTGTCCATGTGTTCTCATTGTTCAAATCCCACCTATGAGTGAGAATATACGGCGTTTGGTTTTTTGTCCTTGTGATAGTTTACTGAGAATGATGACTTCCAGTTTCCTCCATGTCCCTACAAAGGACATGAGCTCATCATTTTTTATGGCTGCATAGTATTCCATGGTGTGTATGTGCCACATTTTCTTAATCCAGTCTATCATTGTTGGACATTTGGGTTGGTTCCAAGTCTTTGCTATTGTGAATAGTGCCACAATAAACATACGTGTGCATGTGTCTTTATAGCAGCATGATTTATAGTCCTTTGGGTATATACCCAGTAATGGGATGGCTGGGTCAAATGGTATTTGTAGTTCTAGATCCCTGAGGAATCGCCACACTGACTTCCACGATGGTTGAACTAGTTTACAGTCCCACCCCAGTGTAAAAGTGTTCCTATTTCTCCACATCCTCTCCAGCACCTGTTGTTTCCTGACTTTGTAATGATCGCCATTCTAACTGGTGTGAGATGGTATCTCATTGTGGTTTTGATTTGCATTTTTCTGATGGCCAGTGATGGTGAGCATTTTTTCATGTGTTTTTTGGCTGCATAAATGTCTTCTTTTGAGAAGTGTCTGTTCATGTCCTTTGCCGACTTTTTGATGGGGTTGTTTGTTTTTTTCTTGTAAATTTGTTTGAGTTCATTGTAGATTCTGGATATTAGCCCTTTGTCAGATGAGTAGGTTGTGAAAATTTTCTCCCATTTTGTAGGTTGCCTGTTCACTCTGATGGTAGTTTCTTTTGCTGTGCAGAAGCTCTTTAGTTGAATTAGATCCCATTTGTCAATTTTGGCTTTTGTTGCCATTGCTTTTGGTGTTTTAGACATGAAGTACTTGCCCATGCCTGTGTCCTGAATGGTAATGCCTAGGTTTTCTTCTAGGGTTTTTATGGTTTTAGGTCTAACGTTTAAGTCTTTAATCCATCTTGAATTAATTTTTGTATAAGGTGTAAGGAAGGGGTCCAGTTTCAGCTTTCTACATATGGCTAGCCAGTTTTCCCAGCACCGTTTATTAAATAGGGAATCCTTTCCCCATTGCTTGTTTTTCTCAGGTTTGTCAAAGATCAGATAGTTGTAGATATGTGGCGTTATTTCTGAGGGCTCTGTTCTGTTCCATTGATCTATATCTCTGTTTTGCTACCAGTACCACGCTGTTTTGGTTACTGTAGCCTTGTAGTATAGTCTGAAGTCAGGTAGCGTGATGCCTCCAGCTTTGTTCTTTTGGCTTAGGATTGACTTGGCGATGCGGGCTCTTTTTTGGTTCCATATGAGCTTTAAAGTAGTTTTTTCCAATTCTGTGAAGAAAGTCATTGGTAGCTTGATGGGGATGGCATTGAATCTATAAATTACCTTGGGCAGTATGGCCATTTTCACAATATTGATTCTTCCTACCCATGAGCATGGAATGTTCTTCCATTTGTTTGTATCCTCTTTTATTTCATTGAGCAGTGGTTTGTAGTTCTCCTTGAAGAAGTCCCATCTATTTATCTTTGTTTTTGTTGCATTTGCTTTTGGGTTCATTGTCATGAACTCTCTGCCTAATCCAATGTCTAGAAGAGTTTTTCTGAGATTATCTTCTAGAATTTTTATGGTTTCAGGTCTTAGAGTTAAGTCTTTGATCCGTCTTGTGTTGATTTTTGTATAAGGTGAGAGATGAGGATCCACTTTCATTCTCCTACATGTAGCTTGCTAATTGTCCCAGCACCATTTTTTGAGTAGGGTGCGCTTTCCCCACATTATGTTTTTGTTTGCTTTGCCAAAGATGAGTTGGCTGTAAGTTTTTGGCTTTATTTCTGTGTTCTCTATTCTGTTCCATTGGATGAATGGAACTATTCATTTTCATACCAGTACCATGCTGTTATAGTAATTATATCCTTATAGTATACTTTAAAATCAGGTAATGTGATGCCTACAGATAGTCCTGCTTTGTCTACGTGGAGTCTTTTTACCTTCCTTCTGCATTTTAGGATTGTTTTTTCTAGTTCTGTGAAGAATGATGATAGTATTTTGATGGGAATTGCATTGAATTTGTAGTTTGCTTTTGGCAGTATGGTCATTTTCACAACATTGATTCTACCCATCCGTGAACATGGGATGTGTTCCCATTTGTTTGTGTCATCTATGATTTCTTTCAGCAGTGTTTTGTAGTTTTTTTGGTAGAGATCTTTTTGGTTAGGTGTATTCCTAAGTTTTTTTATTTTTTATTTTTTGCAGTATTGTGAGAGACGTTGAGTTTTGATTTGATTTTCAGCTTGGTCACTGTTAGTGTATAGCAGTGCTACTGATTTGTGTACGTTGATTTTGTATTCTAAAACTTTACTGAATTCATTTATCAGATCTAGAAGATTTTTAGATGAGTCTTTAGGGTTTTCTAGGTATACGATCATATCATTGGTGAACAGGGACAGTTTGACTTTCTCCTTTTCAATTTGGATGCCCTTTATTTTTTTTTCTCTTGTCTGACTTCTCTGATTAGGACTTCAGTACTATGTTGAATAGAAGTGGTGAAACTGGGCACCCTAGTCTTGTTCCAGTTCTCAGGGGGAATGCTTTCAGCTTTTTCCTGTTCAGTATAATGTTGTCTGTGGGTTTGTCATAGATGGCTTTTATTACCTTAAGGTATTTTGCTGAGGGCTTTAATCATAAAGCGATGCTAGATTTTGTCAAATGCTTTTTCTGTGTCTTTTGAGATGACCATATGATTTTTGTTTTTAATTCTGTTTATGTGGTGTATCACATTTATTGACTTGTTTATGTTAAACCATCCCTGAATCACTGGTATGAAACCCAGTTGATCATGGTGGATTGTCTTTTTGATATGCTGTTGGATTCGGTTAGCAAGTATTTAGTAGAGGATTTTTGCATTTATGTTCATCCAAGATATTGGTCTGTAGTTTTTTTTTTGTTGTTGTTGTTATGTCTTATTCTGGTTTGGGGTTTTGGGGTAATACTGGCTTCATAGAATGATTTAGGGAGGATTCCCTTTTTCTCTACCTTTTGGCATAGTTTCATTAGGATTTTTACCAATTCTTCTTTGAATGTCTGATAGAATTCAGCTGTGAATGCATCTGGTCCTGGACTTTATTTTCTTGGCAGTTTTTTAAAATTTCCATTTTGATCTCACTGCTTGTTATTGGTCTTTTTGGGGTTTCTAGTTCTTCCTGGTTTAATCTAGGAGGGTTGCGTATTTCCACGAATTTATTCATTTTCTGTAGGTTTTCTAGTTTGTATGCATAATGGTGTTCATAGTAGCCTTGAATGATCTTTTGTATTTCTGTGGTATCAGTTATAATATATCCAGTTTCTATACTAATTGAGCTTTTTTGGATCTTCTCTCTTCTTTTCATGGTTAATCTCACTAATGGTCTATCCATTTTGTTTATTGTTTCAAAGAACCAGCTTTTTGTTTCATTTATCTTTTGTATTTTTTTTTGTTTCAATTTCATTTAGTTCTGCTCTGCTCTTCGTTATTTCTTTTCTTTTCCTGGGTTTGGGTTTGGATTGTTCCTGTTTCTCTAGTTCCTTGAGGTGTGACCTTAGATTGTCTATTTGTGCTCTTTCAGACTTTTCGATGGAGGCATCTAAGGCTGTCAACTTTCCTCTTAGAATTGCTTTTGCTTTATCCCAGAGGTGCTGGGAACAAGCCCTAAGCCTGTCATAAACAGGCCTTAAAGAAACTGGCTGTAAACAGGATTTCTGCAGCAATGTGACATGCTCGTGATGGCTGTCACGCACACTGCTAGAAGTTGTTGGTTTACTAGAGTAGGGCAAGGAACACCTGGCCCGCCCGGAGCGGAAAACTGCTCAAACCACAAACAATAGCATGAACGGCCTGTGCCTTAACAACATGTCTTTGCTGCAGATAATCAGCCAGAGCCTTTTTCTCTACTCCTCGCTAAGAATGCTTTGTTTCCTGTAAGGAATGCTTTTAGTTAATCTATAATCTCTAGAAGCAATGCATATCACGGTTTACTCTCAGTAAATACGTGGGTCAAATTGTGTTCGTGGCTCTCAGCTCTGAAGGCTATCAGTCCCCTGATTCCCACTTTGCACTCTATTTCTGTGTCTTTGTCTTCAATTCCTCTAGCGCCACTGGGTTGGGGTCTCCATGACCGACCTGGTCTCGGTACAGAGGTTTTGATAAGTTGTGTCACTATTATTGTTCAGTCCAAAGAATTTTTAAATTTCCATCTTGATTTCACTGTTGACCCAATGATCATTCTGGAACAGATTATTTAATTTCCATGTATTTACATGGTTTCTTTTGGAGTTGATATCTAATTTTATTCCACTGTGGTCTGAGAGAATACTTGATATAATTTTGATTTTCTTAAACTTATTGAGACTTGTTTTGTCACCTTTAATGGTCTGTTTTGGAGAATGTTCCATGTGTTATTGAATACAATGTATATTCTTCTGTTGTTGGGTGGGATGTTCTGTAAATATCTGTTAGGTCCATTTGTTCCAGGTTATAGCTTAAGTCCATTTTTTTTGTTGACTCTCTGTCTTGATGACCTGTATAGTGCTGTTGGTGGAGTATTGAATTCCCTCACTATTACTGTTTTGCCATCTATCTCATTTCTTAGGTCTAGTAGTAATTGTTTTATAAATTTGGGAGCTCCAGTGTCAGGTGCATATATATTTAGGATTTTGATATTTTCCTACTGGACTAGTACTTTTATCATTATATAATGTTCCGCTTTGTCTTTTTAAACTGTTTTTGCTTTAAAGTCTGTTTTGTCTGATATAAGAATAGTTACCTCAGTTCACTTTTGGTGTCCATTTGCAAGGAATATCTTTTTCCACCCCTTTACCTTAAGCTTATGTGAGTCCTTATGTGTTAGGTGAGTCTCTTGAAGACGGTATATACTTGGATGATTAATTCTTATCCAGAATCACTGTTACTAAAAGTTAAAAAATAACAGATGCTGGTGAAATTGCAGAGAAAAAGGAATGCTTATACACTCTTTCTGGGACTGTAAATTCATTCAACCATTGTGGAAGACAGTGTGGAAATTTCACAAGGACCTAAAAACAAAAATGCCACTTGACCCATCAATCCCATTAGTGGATACATATTCAAAGGAATATAAATTGTTCTATTAAAAAGACACATGTATGCTTATGTTCTTTGCAGCACTATTCATGGTAGCAAAGATATGGAATCACCCTAAATGTCCATGAACGGTAGGTTGGATTTTTAAAAAGTGGTAAATATATACCGTGGAACACTATGCAGCCATAAAAAACAAAATGGTCATGTCCATTGCAGGGACATGGGTGGATCTGGAGGCCATCATTCTTAGCAAACTAACATAGGACTCTAAAATCAAATACTGCATGTTCTCACTTATAAGAGGAGCTAAATGATGAGAACATATTGACACATGTAAGGGAACAACACACACTGGGGCCTATCAGAGGGTGGAGGGTGGGAGGAGGGAAAGGATCAGGAAAAATAACTAATGGGTACTAGACTCAATACATGTGTGACAAAATAATCTGTACAATAAACACTCATGACACAAGATTACCTACACAACAAACCTGCACATGTAGCCCTGAACTTAAAATTTAAAAAAATTTTAAAAATACAGGCCAGTATCAATGATGAACATTGATGCAAAAATCCTCAACAAAACACTAGCAAACCAAATTTACCAATACATTAAAAAGACCATTCATCATGACCAAGTGGTATTTATCCCTGTGATGCAAGTATGATTCAACATTCACAAATCAATTAAAGTGATACGTCATAACAACAGAAGGAAGGACAAAAACCACATGATAATTCAATTGATGCTGAAAAAGCATGTAATAAAATTCAACATTCCTTCATGATAAAAACCCTCAAGTGACTGGGTATAGAAGTAACATATCATGACATAATTAAAGCCATATATGACAGATCCACAACTAGTATCACACAAAATGGGAAAAAGCAAATTCTTTTAAGATTCGAAACACAACAAGGATACTGACTTTCACCACTGTTATTCAACATAGTACTGGTAGTCCTAAATAGAGTAATCAAAAATGAGGGGGGAAAAGGGCATCCAAATTAGAAAGGAAGAATTCAGATTATCTTTGTTTTAGATGATATGATCTTATACTTGCAGAAACCTAAACCTCCACAAAAAACTATTAGAATTGATAAATTCAGTAAAGTTACAGAATACAAAATCAACATACAAAAATCAGTAACATTTCTATATGCCAACACTGAACAATCTGAAAAGGAAATGATAAAAATAATCTTATTCACAACCACACATAAGATTAAATATTTAGGAATTAACATAACCAAAGAAGTGAAATATCTATATAATGAAAACTGTAAAACACAAATAAAAGAAATTGAAGAGGACACACAAAAATAAGATATTTTATGTTCTCGTATTGGTAGAATCAATGTTTTTAAAAGTTGCGTATATGCATTCAATGCAATTCCTGTCCAAATACCAATGACGTTATTTACAGAAATAGAAAAAAAAATCCTAATATTTATATGGAACCACAAAAGTCCCAGAATAACCAAAGCTATTCTAAGCAAAATGAACAAAACTAAAGGAATCATATTACCTGGCTTCAAATTATACTGCAGAGCTATAGTAACCAAAACACTATGGTACTGGCATAAAAACAGACACATACATTAATGGAACAGAACAGAGAACCCAGAAACAAATCCACACACCTCCAGTGAACTCATTTTTGACAGAGGTGCCAAGAACTTATACTGGGGAAAAGACAGTCTTTTCAATAAATGGTGCTGGGAAAACTGGATATCCATATGCAGAAGAACGAAACTAGACTCCCATTTCTTGCCATATACAAAAACCAAATCAAAATGGATTAAAGACTTAAATCTAAGACCCCACACTATGAAACTGCTACAAGAAAACTTGGGGGAAACTCTCCAGAGCACTGGTCTGGGGAAAAATAACTCCTTAAGCAATACCCCACAAGCATAGGCAACCAAAGCAAAAATGGACAAATGGGATTATATTAAGTTAAAAGCCTCTTCACAGCTAAGGAAACAACAAAATGATGACACAACCCATGGAATAGGAGAAAATATTTGCAAACTACCTATCTGACAAGGTGTTGGTAACCAGAATATATAAGAAACTCAAATTCTGTAGAAAAAAAGGATATTAATTTGATCAAAAATGTGCAAGAAAATTTTAATAGACATTTCTCAAAAGGAGACATACAAATGCAAACAGGCATATGAAAATGTGCTCAACATCATTGATTATCAGAGAAATGCACATTGAAACTCCCATATGATATCATCTCACCTCAATTAAAATGGCTTATATCCAAAAGTCAGCCACTAACAAATGCTGGCGAGGATGTGGAGAAAAGGGAAGACTCCCACTCTGTTGGTGAGAATGTAAAATAGTACAACTACTATAGAGAACATTTTGGAGGATCCAACAATCCCACTGTGGAGCATATACCCAAAGAAAGGAAATAAGTATCTGCACTCCCATGTTTGTTGAAACACTGTTCCCAATAGCCAAGATTTGGAAGCAACTTAAGCGTCCATCAACAGATTAATGGATAAAGAAAATGTTGTACCTGTACACAATGGAGTATTATTTAGTCATTAAAAAGATCAAAATGGATGGAACTGGAGATCTTTATGTTAAGTGAAATGAGCCAGGCACAGAGAGACAAACATCACATGTTCTAATTTATTTGTGGGGTCTAAAAATCAAAACAATTGAACTCATGGACATAGAGAGTAGAAGGATGGTTGCCAGAAGCTGGGAAGGGTAGTAGCAGAGGACCAGGAAGGGAATGTGGGGATGGTTAATGGGTACAAAAACATAGAAAGAATGGGTACAAAAACATAGAAAGAACATAAGATCTACATTTGACAGTACAACAGGGTTACTATACTCAATAATAACTTAATTATACATTTAAAAATAACAAAAAGGTGCAATTGGATTGTAAAACAAAGGATAAGTGCTTGAGGGGATGGATTCCTTATTCTCCATGATGTGATTGGTACGCATTGCATGCCTATATCAGAACATCTTGTGTACCTCACAAATATATATACCTACTATGTACCCACAATAATTTATTTTAAAAATTAAAAATTATTAGCACAATAAATAAATTGAAGTGAAATATATATATGATATATTTTCAATCATCTCAAATTTGTTAGACTTGTTTTTTGGCCTTACATATTCTCTGTCATGGAATATTTTCTTTATACGCTTAAAAAGACTACATGTTCTGATGCTGTTGAATAGAATGTTCTGTATATGTCTGTTAGGTCCATTTGGTCTATAGTGTTGTTCAAGCCACTTGTTTTCTTACTCATTTTCTCTTTGGATAATCTGTCCATTGTTGAACATCGGGTATTGAAGTGGACTGTTATTTTATTGCTGTCTATTTCTCCCTTCAGTTCTGTTAATAAATACCTTATATATTATATTTAGGTGCTCCAATATTGCATACATAGATGTATTTACATTTGTTACATCTTGTTGATGAATTTACCCCTTTATCATGATATAATGACTTTCTTTGTCTATTGTGACAGTTTTTGACTTAAAGTCTGGTTTTTTTCTGATGTAAGTAAAATAAATGTAGCCAACTAAGCTCTCTTTTAGTTACTATTTGCATGGAATATCTTTTTCCATTTCTTCACTTTCATCCTCTCTGTGTTCTTAAAAGTAAAGTGAGTCTTCTTACTTAGCATATAGTTGGATTCTAATTTTAAAATCGATTTAGTCACTCTGTTTTTTTATTGGTAAATTTAATTCATTTATATTTAAATAACTTATTAATAGGTTAAGTGTTTATTATTGCCATTTTGTTAATTGCTTTCTGACATTTTGTCATTCCTCTATGTCTTTCTTCCTCTATTTCTGTGTACCTTTGTGATTTATTTCTGTAATGGTATGCATTGATTTCTTTTTTTATCTTTTGTGTATTTACTACACATTTTTTTCTTTGTGATTACCATGAGACTCATGTAAAACATCTTAGACTATTACAAGATGTTTTATGAGTCTCATGATAATCACAAAGATTACTATTAAAGCTGATAACTTTGAACATGTTAAAACAACCTTACACTTCAACTTTTTCTTCCCCCCATTTTATGTTATTGATGCCACACTTCATATCATTTATATTGTGTATACTAAAAAGTTATTATAGTTATTTTCATACCTTTTTCTTTTGACTTTTGTGCTAG
The DNA here is from genome assembly GCF_000001405.40 of Homo sapiens. Taxonomy (NCBI): domain Eukaryota; kingdom Metazoa; phylum Chordata; class Mammalia; order Primates; family Hominidae; genus Homo; species Homo sapiens. The sequence continues at coordinate 121,371,222 of NC_000023.11, forward strand.
AGTCAAACATGATTTATGTACCACATCATAACGTAAGAGTTTTTTTTTTTTTTTTTAACGGAGTCAGGCTGGAGTGCAGTGGCGCTGTCTTGGCTCACTGCAACCTCTGCCTCCTGGTTTCAAGCGATTCTCCTACCTCAGCCTCCCGAGTAGCGGGGACTACAGGTGTGGACCACCATGCCTGGCTAATTTTTGTGTTTTTAATAGAGATGGGGTTTCACTATGTTGGCCAGGCTGGTCTCGAACTCCTGATCTCGTGATCTGCCTGCCTTGGCCTCCCAAAGTGCTGGGTTTACAGGCGTGAGCCACTGCGCCTGGCCACATTAGAGTATTCTTAATTTGACTATGTTTGTTTTTTGGGAGTTTTCTACTTTTCTCTCTTTTTGTTGTTAGTGTCCTTTCTTTTCAACTTGCAGGCCTTTCTTTAGCATTTCTTGTAAGGCAGGTCTAGGGGTGTTTAATCCCCCTAGCTTTTCTTTGTCTGGGACAGTCTTTATCTCTACTGCATATCTGAAGGGCAACTTTGCCAGATAAAGAACTACTGATTAGCAGTTTTATTATTTTATCACTTTGTATATGTCATCCTACTCTTTTAGCCTGCAGGACTTCTGCTGCAAAATCCTCTGATACTCCAGTGGAAGTTGGTTTGTATGTGACAAGCCTGTTTTCTTTTGCTGCTCTCAAAATTCTCTCTTTGTCTTTGAATTTTGAGAATGTGCTTATTATGTATCTTGAAGAGGTGTCTTTATGTTTAATATATTTGGGGCTCTTTACCTTCGTGGATCTAGATGTTCACTTCCTTCAGATATGAGAATTTTTCTGTCATTATTTACTTAAAGAAATTTTCTGCCCCTCTTGTCTCTATTCTGTTGGGCCTCAAATAATGTGTATATTGGTCCATCTGATTGTGTCTCATAAATTCTGTATACTTTCTTCATAATTTTTTATTCTTATTTCCTTTTGTTGTTTTGACTGAGTAATTTTGAATAAGCTGTCTTTGAACTCACTGATTCTTTTTTTGTTTGAGTCTGCTGAGGAAGACATCTGTGGAATATATCAGTTCAGTCATTGAATCGTTGCGTTCTTTAGCTCCAGGATTTCTGCTTGGTTATTTTTTAATGTTTTTTTTTTTTTTTCTCTTTGTCGAACTTGTTGTTCTGCTCATATAATGTTTTCCTGATTTTGTTTGGTTGTTTGTCTATCTTGTACTTCGTAGTTTTTGTTTGTTTTTGTTTTTTGTTTTTTTGAGACAGGGTCTCATTCTGTTACCCAGGCTTGAGCGCAGTGGCATGAACACAGCTCACTTCAGCCTCAACCTCTGGAGCTCAAGTGATCCTCCTGCCTCAGCCTTCCAAGTAGCTGGGACAAGAAGCTGGGACTATAGGCATGTACCACAATGCCTGGATATATTTATATTTTTTTGAGATGGAGGCTTGCTCTGTCCCCCAGGCTGGAGTGCAGTGGTGTGATCTTAACTCACTGCAACCTCTGCCTCCCAGATTCAAGCAATTTTCCTGCCTCAGCCTCCCGAGTAGCTGGGATTACAGGCGCCCACCTCCACGACCAGCTAATTTTTGTGTTTTTAGTAGAGACAGCATTTCACCATGTTGGCCAGGCTGGTCTCAAACTCCTGGCCTCAAGTGATCTGCCCACCTCGGCCTCCCAAATTGCTGGTATTACAGGCATGAGCCACCTAAGTTTTAAATATTTTGTAGAGACAGTCTCACCACGTTGCCCAGGCTGGCCTTGGACTCCTGGGCTGAGGCAATCTTCCTGCATTGACCTCTCAAAGTGTTGGGTTTACAGGCGTGAGCCATCGTGCCTGGCCTCCCTGAACTTTTAAAGATCATTATTTAAAATTATCAGGCGTTTCATAGATCTCTATTTTTAAGGTCAGCTACTGGTACTTTATTCTGTTCCTTGGGTGGTGTCATATTTCTTTGATTATTCATGATCCTTGTAGTTTTGTGTTGGTATCTGCACATTTGAAAAAGTAGGCACCTCTTTCAGTCTTTACAGACTGGGTTTGGCAGGGAAGCTGACTTTACCAGTCAGCTTGGCTAGAGGGTCTTGTTGGGTCAGCAGATGGAATCCGTGTTCGGACTTGGGTCTGGAGTTCTTGGGCAGGCTGGCCTTGTTTTAGGGCCTGGTGCCTAGGTTCACTATAGCTGGCCTTGTGTACGGATCTGCAGGGCCAGGCCTTGAGCTCAAGCCTGTACAGGTAGGCCTGGTGTCCTGGTTCATAGGGTTGAGCCTGGCTCTGGGTACATGGGGTTCAACCTTGCAGGGAGGTAGAACTTGAGCCTGAGTTGGGGAGGGTCAGCTTTGTGTGGGGGTGTGCTTATGTTTTGGGTCCACAGGAGCCAGTCTGACACCAGAGTATGTCTGGAGTCTGAGACTGTGGGGTCTGGTTTGGACCTGGGTCATAGGGGCTGGCCTGAAGTCTGGGTCCACAGATGCTGGCCTAGAGCCTTGGGCCACAGGAACTTGCCTTGTGTTGAGGTTGGCCTAGGGCCTGGGTTCACAGGTGCCAGTCTGTGTCCATGAGGGCCTGCTGGGAGCCTGATGCTGTCTGGGCTGGCTCAACACTGGGTGGGCCTGAAGCCTTGTTCCACAGAGATGGGCCCGGAGCCTGTGGCTGTGGTAACTAGCTTGGCATTGGGGTGGCCCTAGAGCCTAGGTCCATGGGTGCTTGCCTGGTGCTGGGGTCTATAGATAAGGTGAATGCTTATCCACTGTCATTCTTCCATGTGGAGGATGTGTCTGTCCATGCTACACTGTGAGGGCTTTGGGGAGGGGTGGTGTGGTTATTTGTGTAACTGTCTCACACACCACATACCCTTTTCAATGCATTTTATTTTATTTCATTGCTCCACCCAGTTGCTGCAATCACTTACATAGATTCCTTAACTGTTGTGAAGGTACTTTCATGAGTGGGTAATTTTTCAAATTGATGCTTCTTTGAGGAGTCCAGCACTGGATGCTCATATTCCAATATCTTGCTTCATCACTCTTCAATCGTTTTCTTTTAAAAAATAGTAAATGTCATGTAATTTGGTTTGGGGAACTGACAGGCAAGTTCTAGCTGACTAATTGATGAAGATGCAGAAGAGGCTGGCAATTTACAATTTTGAAAATTTTAAATAGAAAAATCTTGATTGGAATAATTGAGTTAGGGCCAAATGCTCAGACTGTCACATGCAGAGAAGCATGAGTTCTGAAAATACATATATTTGACCCTTTTCTTTTTGTTTTGGCCTTCAGCCCTTCTACCTATTAGATGATGGAAGACTTTGGACACTTTGGTAACTTGGGATGGACTCTAATTTCAAATTGCTCTGATCTTAGACTAGTTTTCTTTTTGGATATGGTTTAATGTCTGTGAGCGCAATAAGGAAGTCATTGGCTTGAACAGATTTGTGGCTCGGTGCTGAGGAAAAGTAGAATTGTGGATCCATGCCCAGGATGGATGTGTAGGAACAAACAGTTGGTGGCTGTGAACAAAGAGAATAATTTTTTACAAGGGAGTATTTCTCAGCATTTTACATCCTCTAATTTGAAGACTTTAGGGTTTCTTTTTCTCTTTAATCATTTTAATTGCATTCTTCTTTTAAAAAATCAAAACGTAGATGAGACCAATAACTCCAACCTCAATTTTTATTGGCACACGCGTGTGTGTGCATGTGTGTGTAAGAGTTCATGTGCATACACATGCATGATCACAAAATAGGTTTTATTCTGTACACATTGTCTTGAAACTTTTTTCTTCACTTATCAAAATGTCTTGGTGCAATATTTATGCCATTGCGTGTATATCTAGCTCATTCCTTTTACTAGCTTTATATTATCCTATAATATAAACATTCTATATTTCATTTGCTATTCTTTTATTCATGGGCATTTTTGTTATCTTCAAATTTTCAATACTAAAAACAAGACCATAATCAACAATTCTGTGCATGGCCCTGTGTGCATAGATGCAAGTATTTCTATATGGAAGACACAGAGTTTACTTGCTAAGTACAAGCAATTGCAAATTTGCAAGTTGCTTTGGGTACAAACAGTCTTGCCAACTACATATTACTCAATTGGTCTCCCAAACCTTTCGCAGCATTTACTCCATATTCCACCCAAACCTTGACAAAATCAGTTTTTAATTTTTGCAAATAATAAGTAATAAGTACAGATGCTCCTCAACTTAAAATAAAGTTATGTCCTGATAAACCCGTTGTAAGTTGAAATTATTGTAAGTTGAACATGTATTTAATATGCCTAACTTAGCAAACATAATAGCTTAGACTAGCCTACCTTAAATATTCTCAGAACACTTGTATTAGCCTACAGCTGGGCAAAATCATCTGGCGACACAGTACACTATAGCGTATTAATTGTTTACCCTTGAGATCATGTGGCTGACTTGGAGGTGTGGCGCACTGCTGTTGCTCAGCATTGTAAGAGAGTATCATACCACCTTCTACTGAATGTGTATCACTTTTTTACCGTCACAAAGTTGAAAAATCATTTAAGTTGAACCATTGTAAATGTGGGATCATTTGTAATAGCTCATTTTTCTGATTATTAGTTCCCCGATTGCTAGTGAGTTGATCATTTTTTCATCTCGGTATTGACCACCTCTATGTCCGCTTCTGTAAATTGCCTGCAGAAATCATCTGCCTATTTTTCTACTGGGTTGTCTTTTATTTTATGGATTTGTAGGAGTCTTTTGATCACTCATTGTTAGTTGAATGTATTTTAGATACCATCTCCTAGTATGTTGCTTGCTTTTAACTTTGGTTTTGATATTTATTGCATATCATTTTTATATTTTGGTATTATCAAATTCATTTTGTTCCCTGTGGTTTTTGCTTGTGTGAATTATTTTTAAATGACATTTTAAACATTAAACATTTAAATGACATTTTAAACCACTATTTTCTTCTAGTGTTTAAATTAAATGTTTAAACATTAAACATTTAAATGACATTTTAAACCACTAAAAATATTTTCTTCTAGTGTTTTTATAAAATTATTATTGATTTTTACTTACTTTTAAGGGTTTGACATGTTTGGAATATGTATTTTTGTGTGCATGAGCATATGTCTGTCTGTGTATTTGAGGTAAGTGAGGTTAATTTTTTTACTCAAGTTTTAGGTACATTAGGTTCCAGGCAATTCAAGATATATATTTTTTCTCTTTCTCTTCCCCAACTGCCTCTACTCTCCTAATACCTGAATCATCCACCCCATACCCATGTTTGCTTTCTGGTTCTTATACAACATATACTAGATTTTCAGTCAACATTTCTATTTGGTCATCTTTCAGAATCATTCCTCTAGGAGGCTCTACAGATGTAGAATACATAGTTCTTGCTCTCAAAAACCTGGAAAGATTAAGAGGCTATCCAACGTCAGAATAAGCAAAAGCTCAAGGTTGTGATGTCAGACCTATTGCAAGAGGAAGGAAAATAGTATTTGTTAACAATAGTATTCGATAAATAGTATTTGTTAACATGAAATGTTGTGTATAAGGTGTTCACAGATTGTTTCAAGAATCTCAACGTTCCTATGAGATAGATATTATTACCCCCCTGTATTAGTCTGTTTTCATACTGCTATAAAGAACTATCCGAGACTGGGTAATTTATAAAGGAAAGAGGTTTAATTGACTCACAGCTCCACATGGCTGGGGAGGCCTCAGGAAACTTAAAATCATGGTGTAAGGCAAAGGGGAAGCAAGGACCTTCTTCACATGACTGCAGGAGAGAGACAGGCTAGCAAGAGCAGGGAAAACTGCCTTATAAAACCATCAGATCTTGTAAGAATTCACTCACTATTACCAGAACAGCATGGAGGAAACCACCCCCATAATCCAATCACTTCTTACTAGGTATCTCTCTAAACACTTGGGAATTACAATTCAAGGTGCTATTTGGGTGGGGACACAAAGCCTAACCATATTACCCCTGATTTATACATGAAGGAGAAAGTCGGGTCCATAGTGGTTGAGGAAGTTGGGTTCACAGTGGTTAAAGACCTTGTTTAAGGTTACCTGAGTGGTATATCATGAGTGTCAGAGTTCGCCATAGAAACAGAACTAATAGGACGGGTTACATGTCTATAAAATACCTTCACAGAAACATTCAGATTAGCAGACTAGGACGGCACCGTATCCTAACCAAGTTGATATGTAATTAACCATCACAAGTGGTAAGGGTAAGAAATGAAATGTAAATTCCTTTGTAAGTGGCTCCAACACCTCCATTTATAACTGCAGGGATCCTGTTTTGTTTCCCTGTATCTGTGTTTTTGCTTTGCACATAGGTATATTTTGTTAATGGATGAATCAGTGAAATTCACTTCCTAAAGAATTGAATTTATTGTCTTCCTGGACTCAGCTGTCTGAGATCAGCATATTTACTTTAGGATTTCTGCTGTTCCAACTGACTAGTTGGCTTCATACTTAATTGAACATCCAGAGTCTTGGAACTACTTTGCCTTCCAATGCCCTGCCTGTCCTTCCTCATAGAAATATCTAGTTTTGGATCTCCTCTCTGCCTGTCTTTTACATTTAGTAAAACCTGATGTTGTTCCCTAGTTTAGATGCCTTGGTTCCTTGCTTTGCTTGGTACTAAATTCCAGGACCCAGGCATTTTTAGAGTGTCCTGTTCCCTTTTATCCCAAATCCCAGGTCAGGAACTCAAGGAAATCATGGTGGAAATCAGTGATCATGGTCCACGATTAGTTTAAACAAGCAGGATATTGGGCTGAATCTATACTGAGATCAGGGATACCCCTGGAATTTGATCTGTTACTCCTGTTGTTTTTAATAAACCTCTGGCACAAGCTTCGCTTGTCACAATATTCTTTCTACTAATATATGAACGTAGGAAAAAGAGTTGAATTGAAAGAATTACTAGTTGGACTACATGTAATTTTGATTTTATGGTATTTGTTTATGAAAATGTAACAGTCACCCTGGCACTATCTTATTTAATATCTGCTAAAAACGTTGTTAAGAAGTGAATTAAATAAATGGCAAGGAAACCCATTGCCAGTCATTAACTCTTAAGAATTAGTGAGAATGTAAACAATCATGACGGTAAATTATAGTTCCTGTTTACCCAATAGAGTATAATTCTTTTCAAAAGGTATTGTTTCTACAGTATTTGGACATCAGACAATATTCTGTGCTGAGGTCTAAGAAATCAATGAGGAACTTAACACTCTTAAGCCTTGCTTTACATCTCCAGGCTGATTCTTTCCTGGTTAAATGAAGTTAGACCACTAGATTTGTGTATGCTCAAACTTAACAACTGATAAAGAAATTTATCTTTTAAAAGGACAGAGAAAATAAATCCCCCCAAAGGGTAAGTTTGGAGTACTTACTTGGAAAGAGGACTAGTCTCAGATTATGTCTCATTCTATGTCGTACCCAGTGTTCTCAGTGTTGCTCTCAAAAGGCATTTCCTAGAAACATTCTAGGAGAATAATAAGACTAGCCCTGAAGGACAGTTCCCTGGCTTTGAATTATTTCAGTACTTACATTGCTTTGAAATATTCTGTAGTTGAAAGAACTTGATTATAATTCAGTCATTCAACAAATACATATTGAGCACCTAATATGCACCACACACTGTTCTAGGCATTTGGGGATAAACCAACAAATAGCAATCTTAGAAGCTTTATCCCTGCACCAGCTACCCTCACATAGGATCATGGTTACCTTTGTCTTACTAATGTTGCTGCTTCAGTTTCTATATAGCTGACCTACTGAGCTCTGAATTTCTTTCTACTTTGCCCATGAAAACTTGCCTGATCCTGACATATAGTGGAGTCAGAGAGGATGGATTTCAATCTTGATTATATAAATGTTTCTAAAAAGTAAAGAAAAATTTACTTTTTATCTTTTGTTTCCTTCCCTACAGTTCACATAGCAGACCTCCATAGAAGCCTGTATACAAAACAGCAGAGGAGGGTAAAATCCTGTGCTCCAGAAACACATAAATCTTGGCTTTGTCACTTTACTGGGTGTGTAACCCTGGGCAAGTTAGTTAATCTTTCTGAACATTAGTTTCCTCATCAGTAAAATGAGAAAATCATCAATCACCTAAGAGGAAGAGCTGTGAGGAATTTTAATAACGTTATTTTGCAAGTAAGATGTCCGGCACATAGTGCTCCATAAATGACATCTATTGTTATTGTGTTATTGCATATACCTTAGAAGACAGTAAGGATTTTAAGGCTTGACATATTCCAACAGCAGAGGGTATTAATCAGTGAAGCTAACCATTCCTTTGCTCCATTCTTCTCCTTGGGCCCATATCCTACATTTGCTATGCTCATATCTCTTTATTTTAGTGGTGAGGCGTCTGGAGTTATCTTTGTGTGTGTGTGTGTGTGTGTGTGTGTGTGTGTGTGTGTGTTTTCCTCCTGTGGCTATCTTGATGTAAAATGCTGACAGTGCTGAATTGTTCAAATAAGGTAAGTAGCAATTCAGCAGAGGCTTATTGGCCAGGAACTGTTTGAAGATATGTGATCTTTGGAATACAAGGGATTTTAGTGACAGGAGAGGGAATTATGGATGGAATTAGCTTGTCTGATTCAAGTTTTATAGAGGTCTTTTGGTAGTCCTCATTTGGATAGTAAACTGAGTTTGCTTGATTAGGCAAATTCTAATTGATCACACATTTCTACCCATCATGGTTTAAGAGCTATGAGGGAGAAGAGAAGGAAAACAATAAAATAAATGAAGAGACCTTATTTATTTTTTCAGATTTGCCACTGACTAGTTGTATGACCTTAGGTTGGATATTAAGAAATAGTTGAAGATGTTTGGGTTGGAGAAGAGTAAGTTCAGTTGTCCTACAACAAGTAACTTTTACTAAGTGGCCTCAAGATATAAGAACTGGGACAAATGGATAGAAACTACAGTAAATATAGTCTTTGACTCAATAGGGGAGAGAAGTATAAAAAGGGAAATAAATGTCTTTCTCAGTGAGTAACTGGGATTCTTCAAGCACCTTCAGGATTCTTGTAGAGGGAATTCAAACATCTGTTGGAGAGTTAGGCGATATTTTTAAGGATCTTTCCAATCCTGAGGTTCTATTTTTAGTCATTTTACTTTTTTAGACCTAGTTATCCCCTCTGTAAAATGAGAAGCATGAATTATATGACTGTGTACTTGCTTTCTACCTCTAACACTCTACGGTTTGTCTGATGAGCAAGAAAAAGACATGGAGGGAATTCAAGGTAGATTATTTTTTTATGACTGTTCTGGGACTTGTCTTTGTGGGTCATGAGGCAAGCCAGTTATACAGATACAGAGGAAGAGGCCCAACTGTCTCTGTTTGACAGCTTCCTGCATCTACCAACCCTTTAACACCTTTATTCTCTTTTTAATATTAATTTTAGATAATCTGTCTTTTTTCTGTGGTAATTCATGAATTTTGCCAGTTATGTGAAGGTAGCTAACTTTTTTATTTCTACTATAGTAATTTCTACATATCATCACCATAGAGAAATTCAAAGCAATGTGTTCCTTCAATTTCCTGTATTTTCCCCTGAAGCAAATTATCACTCAGGTCTGCTAATTACAGCAAAGCCTTTAGCTGTATAGAAATTTTATACACTTTCCGTCTATAAGACCCACATATGAGCAATGGACTCTGTAGTTACCTAGAATGTAGAATGAAATATTATGGATCCAGAAAAAGAAGGAAGGAGTTTAATTATAGATAGCACAATTTCCATGGTTTAACCTCAAGGATGGCATTAGAGCTGAAAACCAGCTACTTAATTTGAGGGGGTTCAGTGCAAAATTAAAATGTGAGCCCCCTTGTTCAAAATACAAGAAATAAAAGCCATATATGACAGACCCACAGCTAGTATCATACTGAATGGGGAAAAGCTGAAAGCCTTTCCTGTAGGATCTGGAAGATGAAAAAGATGCCCACTGTCACTTATTCAGCATAGTACTGAAAGTCCTAGCTAGAGCAATCAGATGAGAGAAAGATACAAAAGACATCCAGATTGGAAAGGAAAGAGTCAAAATATTCTTGTTTGCAAATGATATGATCATATATTTGTAAAAATCTAAAGACTCCATAAGAAAACTATTAGAACTGATAAACAAATTCAGTGAAGTTGTAGGATACAAAATCAACGAAGCTCAGTAGCATTTCTTTTTTCTTTTTTTTCAAAATGTATTTTTTATTTCTGTTGAAGTAATGTGAGACATCAAGATAAGGTATCAATGCATTCAAACAAAGAAAAGATAAAGTATCAAAGGTGAAACGAGGGTGACTTTTAACCATACCATTTACATGTTGTTAATTACCATTAATAACAATGGGAAAATTATAAATATAAAATTCTATCTATAGGAAGCCATTGATCTCAGGGGTAGGGGAAATTGTGCTTAAGAAATGGTTTCTTCTCTTGCCTCATGTAGAAGATGCTGAGATATTTTTAGAATCAAGTCAGTAGCATTTTTGAAAATGTATTTTCACTTTTTTAAAGAATCTGGTTAGTTTTTTAAATAGTTTTTTTTAATACTTTAAGTTCTAGGGTACATGTGCACAACGTGCAGGTTTGTTACATAGGTATACATGTGCCATGTTGGTTTGCTACACCCATCAACTCGTCATTTACATTAGGTATTTCTCCTAATGCTATCCCTTCCTCAGCCCCCCACCCCAGGACAGACCCCGGTGTGTGATGTTCCCCGCCCTGTGTCCAAGTGTTCTTATTGTTCAATTCCCACTTATGAGTGAGAACATGCGGTGTTTGGTTTTCTGTCCTTTTGACAGTTTGCTGAGAATGATGGTTTCCAGCTTCATCCATGTCCTTGCAAAGGACGTGAACTCATCCTTTTTTATGGCTGCATAGTATTCCATGGTGTGTATGTGCCACATTTTCTTAATCCAGTCTAGCATTGATGGACATTTTGGTTGGTTACACGTCTTTGCTATTGTGAGTGGTGTCGCAATAAACATATATGTGCATGTGTCTTTATAGTAGCATGATTTATAATCCTTTGGGTAAATACCCAGTAATGGAATTGCTGGGTCAAATAGTATTTCTCGTTCTAGATCCTTGAGGAATTGCCACACTGTCTTCCACAATGATTGAACTAATTTACACTCCCACCAACAGTGTAAAAGCATTCCTATTTCTCCACATCCTCTCCAGCATCTGTTGTTTCCTGACTTTTTAAATATCACCATTCTAACTGGTGTGTGATGGTATCTCATTGTGGTTTTGATTTGCATTTCTCTGATGACCAGTGATGATGAGCATTTTTTCTTGTGTCTGTTGGCTGCATAATGTCTTCTTTTGAGAAGTGTCTGTTCATATCCTTTGTCCCCTTTTTGATGGGTTGTTTGTTTTTTTCTTGTACATTTGTTTAAGTTCTTTGTAAATTCTGGATATTAGCCTTTTGTCAGGTGGGTAGATTCCAAAAATTTTCTCCCATTCTGTAGGTTGCCTGTTCACTCTGATGGTAGTTTCTTTTGCTGTGCAGGAGCTCCTTAGTTTAATTAGATCCCATTTGTCTATTTTGGCTTTTGTTGCCATTGCTTTTGGTGTTTTAGTCATGAAGTCTTTGCCTATGCCTATGTCCTGAATGGTATTGCCTAGGTTTTCTTCTAGGGTTTTTATGGTTTTAGGTCTAACATTTAAGTCTTTAAAAAAACTCAGCATTTCTGTATGCCAACACTGAACAGTCTGAAAAAGAAATAAAAACAGTAATCCCATTTACAATAGCCACTCATAAAACTAAATACCTAGGAATTAACTTAACCAAGCAGTGGAAGATCTGTATAATGAAAACTACAATACACTGATAAAAGAAATTGAAGAAGACACCACAAAAATGGAAAAATAATCCATGTTTATGGATTGGAAAAATTAATATTGTTAAAATGTCCATACTACCCAAAGCAACCTACAGATTCAATGCTATCCCTATGAAAATACAAATGACATTCTTCACAGAAATAGAAAAAACAAGCCTAAAATTTAAATGGAACTACAGAAGACCCAGAATAGCCAAAGCTATTGTAAGCAAAAAGAACAAAACTGACTTTTCACATTACCTGACTTCAAATTACACTACAGAGCTATAGTAATCAAAACAGCATGGTACTGGCATTAAAACAGACACAAAGACCAATGGAACAGAATAGAGAACCCAGAAACAAATCCATACAGCTAAAGTGAACTCATTTTTGACAAAAGTGCCAATAACATACCCTGGGTAAAAGACATTCTTTTCCATAAATGTGCTGGGAAAACTGGATATCCATAAGCACAATAATGAAACTGGACCTCTATCTCTCACTATATGCAAAAATCAAAGTAAAATGGATTAAATACTTAAATTTAAGACCTCAAACTATAAAACTACTAAAAAGTAGTAAAATACAATACAATAAATAAAATAAAATAAAATAAAATAAAATAAAATAAAATAAAATAAAGTAAAATAAAAGAACCATAAGGGAAAATCTCCAGGACATTGGTCTGGGCAAAGATTTCTTGAGCAATACGCCAGAAGCATAGTCAACCAAAGCAAAAATGAATAAATGGGTTTATATGAAGTTGAAAAGCTTCTGGTCAGGCACAGTGGCTCACGCCTGTAACCCCAGCATTTTGGGAGGCCAAGGCAGGCGGATCACCTGAGGTCAGGAGTTCAACACCAGCCTGGTCAACATGGTGAAACCCTGTCTTTACTAAAAATACAAAATTGGCTGGGCATAGTGATGCAGCTGTAATTCCAGCTACTCAGGAGGCTGAGGCAGGAGAATTGCTTCAACCCTAGAGGTGGAGGTTTGCAGTGAGTCCAGATGGCACCATTGCACTCCAGCCTGGGTGACAAGAATGAAATTCTGTCTCCAAAAAAAAAGAAAAAAGAAAAAAAAAGTAAAAAGCTTCTGCACAGAAGAGAAAACAATTAATAAAGTGAAGCAACAACCCATAAAATGGGAGAAAATATTTGCAAACTACCGATCTGACAAGGGATTAATAAACAGAATATATAAGGAACTACAGCAAGTCCGTAGGAAAAAATCTAATAATATGATCAGAAAGGGCAAAAGACTTGAAGATACATTTCTCAAAAGAAGACATACGAATAGCAAAGAGGCATGTGGAAAGGTACTCAACAGCATTGATCAACAGAGAAATGCAAATCAAAACTACAATGAGATATCACCTTAACCCAGATAGAATGGCTTGTATCCAAAACACAGGCAATAACAAATGCTGGTGAAGATGTGGAGAAAAGGGAACCCTTGTACACTGTTGGTGGGAACTTAGTTAGTATAACCACTATGGAGAACAGTTTGGAGGTTCCTCAGAACACTAAAAATTGAGCTACCGTGTGATCCAGCAATCTAACTGTGGGGTGTATACCCAAGGAAAGGAAATCAGCCTATCAAAGAGATTTTTGCACTCTTGTTTGTTGCAGCACTGTTTTCAATAACCAAGATTTGGATGCAATCTAAGTGTTCATCAGCAGATGAATAGTTAAAAGAAAATGTGGTTCATATACAAAATAGAGTCCTATTTAGTCATAAAAAAGAATGAGATCTAGTCATTTGCAACAACATGGATGCAAGTGGAGACTATTAAGTTAAATAAATCAGGCACAGAAAGACAAACATTTCATGTTCTCACTTGTTTGTGGGATGTAAAAATCAAAACAACTGAATTCATGGAGATTGAGAATAGAAGGATGATTACCAGAGTCTGAGAAGGGTAGTAAGGGGCTGGAGGGGTTGGGGGGTCGAAGTGGAGGGGAGGTGGGGATGGTTAATGGATGTAAAAAAAATATAATGAATAAGACCTTCTCTTTGATAGCACAGTAGGGTTACTATAGTCAATTATAACTTAATCGTACATTTAAAAATAACTAAAAGAGTGTCATTGGATTGTTTGGAATGCAAAGGATAAATGCTTGAGGGGATGGATACCCCATTCTACATTAATGTGCTTATTTCACTTTGCATCCCTGTGTCAGAACAGTTCATGTACCCCATAAATATATACACCTAATATATACCCGAAAATTATGCAAAATGAAACATATAAAAATGCAAGAAATAAGTGTCTTTTAAAAGTACGAAAATAGAAAGCTTTTTCTTTTCTTTCTGTTATTTGTGTCTCATTTGCTGTCTTGCTGTGTCTCACATTCTGTGGTGGTTTTTCATTTCCTGTTATGATTCCATGTAAAGAAAAATTAAAATTTTAAGTTATTAGCATGGGTTTTACTATTTATATTTATATTGTCACAATACCGTTTTAAATGCAAACATATGCATTTAACTTGTATAAAGAATCATCAAAATTACACAGTTTGCATTTTATAGCTCATGCATGCATATATTACTTTTGCCAGAACAGTGAAAACTTGCACAAAACTAAACTGTTTTAATTCATTTCTTGATATATGCACATTCTATCAAGACTCTCTAGATTTGGCTTACTGATGAGTAAAGAAGGACTGAAGGAAAAGAAATTATGGCTTGCCTATATTTTCCTTCCCATATCATCATTTTCCACATAAATGATTGGCTAATACAGGGAAGTAACAGAAATAGGAAAGCGTATGACAGTGTTCCTTGGTTATTCATGTTTCTTACAATGTCATTACTTTCTTTCTTCATTCAAAGAAGAAATCATTGTTTTGAAGCAAGAGTTTCTTTTTGCCTGTTTTTGTACTTTATTTAAGTGGAATTGTCTGTATGAACTCTGGCATTTTTCACTTAATATTAAGTTTGTGAGAGTCATCCATTTTGAATGTATTTGTAGTTCATTCTTTAGCTGTTTAGCATTTTTTGTGTGAATATGCTATAATTTATTCATTCTATTCTTGATGGACATTTGGCTAGTTTCCAGATTTGGGATGTAACAGAGAATAAATATGGGGACATTTGTTAGGAGGTTACTATAGAAATTCAAACATGAAGTGGCAAGGGCCTGGAGGCCTAGCTATTACACAGAAAAAAAAAACATGGATCTTATTCAAGTGGTACTTTTAACTTCACAAAAGTTGTGGGGAGAATTTAGTGTTATAATTTCAAGCAGGAACTGATGGAGCAGAGAAAAAATGGGAGCATTGCAGGGTATCAACCACACCTTACAGAGCCAGTGAACACTCATGTTCTTTGCCTCTCTATTTTAACAGGGTAGGTATGAGGGAGATTAATGGAAGAGGGGGAAATAGATATTGTTGTTTCTTTAGCATTGTGACCAGGGTTCATTAGAGAATATGAAAGAGGTGTCCAGCAAATTTCAGCTTTAGATATTTGGTGCTGATATGGTTAGGCTTTGTATACCCAACAAAATCTCATCTTGAGTAGTAATCCCCATAATCCCTACATGTCAAGAGAGAGACCAGGTGGAGGTAATTGAATCATGGGGTGGTTTCCCCCATACTGTTCTCATGATAGTGAGTTCTCATGAGATCTCATGGTCTTATAAGGGGCTCTTCCTCCTTCACTCAGCACTTATTCTTACTTCCTGCCACCTTGTGAAGAAGGTGTCTTGCTTTGCCTTTGCCTTCTGCCATGATTATAAGTTTCCTGAGGCATCCTCAGTCATGCTGAACAGTCAGTTAATTAAACCTGTTTCCTTCATAAATTACCCAGTCTCAGGCAGTTCTTTATAGCAGTATAAAAACGGTCTAATATAGTTAATTGGTACTGGTAGAGTGGGTTACTGCTATAAAGATATCTGAAAATGTGGAAGTGACTTTGGAACTGGGTTACAGGCAGAGGTTGAAACAGTTTGGATGGCTCAGAAGATGATAGCAAGATGTGGGAAAGTTTGGAACTTCCTAGAGACTTGTTGAATGGCTTTGACCAAAATGCTGACAGTGATATGGACAATGAAGTCCAGACTGAGGTGATCTCAGATAGAGATGAGGAACCTGTAGGGAATTGGAATAAAGGTGACTCTTGCTATGCTTTAGCAAAGAGACTGGCAGCATTTTCCCCTGCCCTAGAGATCTGTAACTTGAGAGAGATGATTTAGGGTATCTGGTGGAAGAAATTTCTAAGCAGCAGAGCATTTAAGATGTGACTTGGGTGCTATTGAAAGCATTTAGTTTTATGCATTTACAAAGAGATGGTTTGGAATGAGAACTTATGTTTAAGAGGGAAGCAGTCGATGAAAGTTTGGAAAATATGCAGCCTGACGATGTGGCTGAAAGAAAAAAACATTTTCTGGGGACAAATTCAAGCAGGTTGCAGAAATTTGCATAAGTAACAAGGAGCAAGATGTTAATTGCCAAGACAAATGGGAAAATGTCTCCAGGGCATATCAGAGGTGTTCACAGCAGCCCCTCCCATCACAGACGCAGAGGCCTAGTAGGAAAAAACTGTTTTGTGGGCCGGGACCAGGGCCTTGCTGCTTTGTGCAGTGTCAGGACTTGGTGCCCTGTGTCCCAGCTGTGGCTAAAAAAGACCAGTGTGGCTCAGGCCACTGCTACAGAAGGTGCAAGCCCCAGGCCTGGGCAGATTGCATGTGGTGTTGGGCCTGCAGGTACACCGAAGTCAAGAATTGAGGTTTGGTAACCTGCAGCTAGATTTCAGAGGAAGTATGGAAATGCATGGATGTCTAGGCAGACGTTTGCTGCAGGGGTGGAGCTCTCATAGAAAACCTCTGCTAGGACAGTGCAGAAGGGAAATGTGGGATTGGACCCACTCACAGAGTCCCCACTGGGGCACTGCCTAGTGGAGCTGTAAGAAGAGGGCCACTGTTCTCCAGACCCCAGAATAGCAGATCCACCAACAGCTTGAACCATGCACTTGGAAAAGCCACAGACACTCAACACCAGTATGTGAAAGACGCTGGGAGGGGGCTGTACCCTGCAAAGCCACAGGGATGGAGCTGCCCAAGGCTGTGGGAGCCTACCTCTTGCATCGGTGTGACCTGGATGTGAGACATGGAGTCAAAGGAGATAATTTCAGAGCTTTAAGATTTGACTGCCCCACTGGATTTTGGACTTATGTGGGTCCTATAGCCCCTTTGTTTTGGCCAATTTCTCCCATTCAGAATGGCTGTATTTACCCAATGCTTGTACCCACATTGTATCGTGGAAGTAACTAACTTGCTTTTGATTTTACAGGCTCATAGGCAGAAGGGACTTGCCTTGTCTCATATGAGACTTTGGACTTGGATTTTTGTGTTGATGCTGGAATGAATTAAGAGTTTGGGGGACTGCTGGGAAGGCATGATTGGTTTTGAAATGTGAAAGGGACAAGAGATTTGGGAGGGGCCAGGGGCAGAATGATATGGTTAGGCTTTGTGTCCCCATCCAAATCTCATCTTAAATTGTAATCCTCACAATCCCCACGTGTCAAGGGAGACACCAAGTGGAGGTGATTGGCTCATAGGGGCAAGTTCCCCCATGCTGATCTCATGATAATGTGTGAGTTTTCATGAGATCTTGTAGTTTATAAGAGGCTCTTCCCCCTTCGCTCGGCATATCTCTTTCCTGCCATCTTGTGAAGAAGGTACCTTGTGTTTGCTTCACTTTCTGCCATTATTACAAGTTTCCTGAGGCCTCCCCAGCCATGCTGAACTGTGAGTCAGTTAAATCTCTTTCCTTTATAAATTACCCAGTCTTGGGCAGTTATTTATAGCAGTATGAAAATGGATTAATATAGGTGCTTTCTTATAAAATGGAGTATGTATTCCTTAAATCTTGTTGTGCTTTCCAGAAGCACCACTTTTTCCCAGGATTTTTCCTAATAATTTTAGATATTCTGACAATAATGGCCAGACATGACACAGTAGCTAGAAATAGGACATTTTCCACCTTAATTAATTAATAGCACAAAGTGCTAGAGCCTGGCTTCCTTATGCCAACCTAAGTATCCAGGAGACAGAACAAGTGGCAGGAAAAATTATAGATTTGGTTATCTTCCCTGAAATTTGATTGTTATGCAGGTCAAAAAAAGCTATTTCCCAGTGACTGATGCACACTAATTGTACCCTCTTCCTTTTATCTATAATGCCTTCACTCCTTTGTGTATTTGGTAAACCAATACCCAATGTCATCTTATTTGTCAAGCTTTCCCTCACCCTTTTGACAAAATAGGTAACTCCCCACTTTTTTATTACTTAGCATTTTTATACATATCTGTCATAGAATTCATGTTGTATTTAGGTTATACAGGTCAGATCCCAGCCTTGAGTTGTGTTCACCAAAGCATTCAGAAAAGTTTGGAGCCACTAAGAATCTATTTGTTTGTAGGATTAAGAGCTTCCTGGAAAATAACTTATGATAGAGGTAAAAGGAATGAAGTCCACTTTGGGAGGCCAAGGTGGGTGGATCACTTGAGTTTAGGAGTTCGAGACCAGCCTGGCCAACATGGTGAAATCCCATCTCTACTAAAAATACAAAAATTAGCTGGGTGTGGTGGTGGGTGCCTGTAGTCTGGGAGGCTGAAGCAGGAGAATCGCTTGAACCCGGGAGGCAGAGGTTGCAGTGAGCCAAGATCACCCCACTGCACTCCAGCCTGGGCAACAGAGCAAGACTCTGTCTCCAAAAAAAAAAAAAAAAAAAAAAAAAGAAAGAAAAAAAAATAAGAAAAAGAAAAGAAAGAAATGGAGTCAAGAATGTGAGCTCAGGATAAAGTATGTTCCTTAACCCTAGGAACTTAGGGGGTAATTCTAGAGGTAATATGTTATTACTCAGATCTTTTTATTGCATGTCTGAAATAAGTGTGATTAAAATCCTCAAGAGCTGTTTCTTTTTTTTTTAATAATCAAATGAGCTCTTCAGAGTTTAAAAGGTTGGTAACACTGGTGGCAACTTAACATAGCTTTGGCATGGGGCATAGGTATCCATGGTATAGACATTAGTGCTGTACCCTTGGCACAGACTTGGTGCAGCTGATCCTGTTATCTTTAGTTGGCTTCAATCATGTGAATGCCACGTTTTGCTTTGGCAGCATTCAGGCATTGCCTTTACTAGCAGGGCAGGACAGGAGAAAAATACCAGATGCCACATGGTAGTCTGAGATACCCACGAGGGGTCCATAACTCTTTGAGAGGAATTTTGGGGAAATAAGGGACCAGCTTGGAGTTCTGCAGAATAGATGCAGGTAGATCCAGAGAAATGGATAGAATGGTAAAAGTGAGTTTCAGCTAATTGTTTACCCATATTTCTCCCTTACTGCAGTGGGGTTTGTTCATGGTAGGGAGTTTCTCGTTGCTTTATTTGCTCACAGTGGTTCCTTTCATCTCCACCCTTGTTGTTACTGACTCACTGTAGGCACAATATGTTTTACTACCCCATTGATTTGTGGTTTGGTCATGTGATTCTGGCTGATGGAACGTTGGAATGTGAGTGGACATAATGGCCTGATAATTCTTGGCCAGAGCCTGAAGAAATAACATGATTCCATACATTCCTCTTGGGTTTCTGACTTCTGCCATGAAAAATGCATGTCCCAATTATCCATTGCTCCTTCATCCTGGGTCCAGAGATGAAGAATGGAGCAAACCTGGACCTGACCTGAAACCTAGAGCCCAGTCTAGGTGAGATGAACCCAGCTGAGATCAGCCAAACTCCAGCTAACTCACAGACCCGTGTATGTAAAAAAAAATATAAATGTTTTAAACTACTGAGATTTTGAAATAGTTTGTAATACAACATTGTTACAGCAGAAACACGACTAATACAAACCATATCTTGGCGCTTTTGTAGCCATAAAAGCTAGCTAAATACCTAGCAAAAGGTGGATACTTCATAAATAGTTGCTGAATTAGTGAAGAAAAGTCTTTACAAAGGCTGGACTGATTATATCCTTGTACCTACTTCAATTATGTTTCAGTTATTAGAGCAAGATACCTGGGGGAGTCAAATAAGCCATTTATGGACCATTTTCTTTACTTCCAAACCAAGGCAGATGTCTCATAATATGTATCCTTCAACCCACAGAGTTGAAACTCTAGCCATAGGAAAAAATAATGACTTAATGCACAGCCACCCCACTCCAAAAGCACCCACCCCAAAAGCACTGTGCACGCCTTGTTGTTGGCAGTTCAGAAGGACTATCTCTGATTGTGGAGGTCAACTCTGAATAAAGCAAACAATCTTCCCTGTTACATTGTTGCAGTATGTGTTTTCAGATTAGCTCTTAGGACCCCACTGGTTTGGAGTTTGGATACCAAGTGTTCTGGAGGAGATGGAAATGGTGTGTATTGGGGTTGGTAAGAAGCAGAGAGAGGCAGCAGAAATGAAGAGGTGGCTTAAAAGGGGTGGAAACTTAAAAAATTGTCAGGGGTTGGAAGGAGGAATTACATACCAGAATATGAGTGCCCATTGAGGATACTGTAAGCCAGGTGGTCTGGAGAGTGGAAAGGAAGATAAGGTTTTACAATAAGAAAGAGTGATGCAGGCAAGCAGGTGGACTTCTTGCTGAAAAATGGAGGCCTTAGATGATTATATTAGATCAAACTAGCATGAGTATCTTGAACGAAATGTCACTTAGTAATTTCAGGCATTTTGCTGAGGCTTTGGTGACCCAAAGAATAATTTACTTTTAGGGAAAAACAACATATTCTTGTTTTAAAACACTGTTCTTAGTAATAGTCCTTGAAAATAAAAGAAACTTTAAGCATCTGTTTTTGAATGGTGCTCTAATCTCAGGGAAAAGTCCTGCTTTCCAAAGTTTAAATAGGATTTGGAATTCAGACAAAGTGTGATTAATTTTCTTGCTGGGATAGAGCTTGGAATTACATCTTATTAGCCCTTTGATTGTTTTAAAAATATCTACACCATATTATTTTCTTCTTATATCTTTGAAACTAAGAAACAAGGATAGAAAAATTGTGTCCAGATTAATAGAAGATATTATCTTGATTGTAGGATTTCTAAAATGAAATAACACCCACCAGTCACAAGCAGGTTCTTTTAAGATATTTTTTTTTCGCTTTGTTTAAACAATCACAGGATTTGAACAGTTATTTTTGTCTGAAGAATAATTTTATTGTGACTTACTGGACTTAGTAATGGATCATGAAAAAAGTGTTTATTAATGAGATTTTAATACTTTGGTATTTCTAATCAATAATGCTTAAAATACAAGAAAGGAATCAGATGTTACTTATCTTGGGCCAAGTTATTTCTTGAAAAGGCAATTAGTGATGTTTTGTTGTGTACATTTTGATCAGAGTATGAAATCTTAATGGCTCAGGGGTAAATAGTGGTTAACCAGTGGTTTTGAACATTGTTTAAGAGAGAGTTAGTATCTAGGATCTGTTTCCAATCAATTCTATTGTTTCAGTTTGAAGAAACAGCAGACGGCTTTGGTCAACAATTTCACTGATACTCTTATTTAACAACTTTGTATCAAAGTGACAAACCGGGTTTGACTGGCTTTGTTGTTGTTTTCCTTCTTTTCTCCTTCCTTTTCTTTCCTTTCTTCTTTTTAATTCCGGACGTTATGTATACATAAATTTGAGTCTTTACCTTAAATTGTTCCTAAACTTCTTACCAGTTGGTCTCCCAAACCTCACCCCTGTACTTGCTTTCTGATAACCTATTTTAACCTTAATTTTGATTCTAAAGAGAATGTATTTTATTAACATGTCTTCCAAAAATCAAATATATATGTTCCTTTCTATCTTATTAAACAGAATAAAGACTTCAGATACAATTGTAGGTGTCTACCATCTTTAAATAGGCCAAGCACACAAAAAGACAGGTTTACAAAATCAGTGAGTAAATATTTGCTTTTAGCTGGAGATGGTATCATTTTTTTTTAAGTTTGCAAGTAAGAAATTTGAAATGCAGAGAAGATAAGTGATTTGCCTAAGATCTGGTAAGAAATTAATGAACTCTTGACCCCAGTCTCTTTTTACATTTTATGATTTGAGTAGCAAAATTATATTTACATGCAACTCTCAGGGAAGTATGTTGCCCAATGTGAAATACTACTGATTACAAATGCAACATAGAGAATATGGATCTGAGGCCTGAGTACAAAAAAGAAAGATTTCCAGAATCTTCTTTCCCCCCAACCTAGTATTTCTCAACTGTATTTGTAGTCATTATTGCTTCAGTATAATGCTCTCTGTCTTTGTAGAAGAATATTGTTAGTCAGCTGTGAGAAGGCCAAAAGAAGCTATAGATGGCCAAATATCTGACTGCTTTTTGGATACTATTGATTGGGCATGGTCCATTATCTAAGAATAAGGATATCATTCTCTTCCTCCTTGACCATTCCCCTCCATTGTCCCAAGTCCTAAGACACTTTATTACTTTATTTTAAAATTTAACATGCACAGTTAGTTGAGAGTGTTCCTTCTGGCCTTTAATCTGGGAATGGTGTCCAAAGTGAATTGAAAGCAAAAGGAATTCTAGCTAAGAGCATTGGGCAGATGTTTCATGTTTATGTCTCTGATAGCATAAGCTTTGACCTTGGGTCTGTTCTTTTTAAATAAGTGAACATACTCAGTCACTACATCAAGTTTTTGGTATATAATAGTAATAATGATGCTAGCCTTGGGAGAAATGTAAATTTAGACCTGCTATGATTTTTTTTTATGTTTTGTGGGATGAGTATACTTGAATTACCTTTTACTATGTAACAATTTCTTTATATATCCATGACAGCTAAAACAAGCTATTTGGTTAGTCTGTGTGTATATATGTTTTTGCATGTGAAAAGAACTCCATGTAACTACGTTTCAGGAATGAGAAATTTAATAATCTAATGTTGACATTGTGTGCTTGATTTATCTGTTAGAGCCATTTTTCTTTTTCACTGTATTTTTAGTTACACTATCATCTAAATAAAATTAAAATGCTGTTTGATTTAGTTGTGTATGTCCTTTAATGGATTTTAAGAGCAATGTGCTAATAATGGACTGGCTTGTACTCTGGGAAGAAATGAAAGAAAATGCAATATAATTACAAAGAAGTTTTGTCTGTTCAGATTGATCCTTAGTCCATACCTGATAACCTTTCCTCTTTGCTTTCCTCATGTGTGTATGTGAGAGGCGTTGGGTTTGTAAGGGGTTGTGAGGATGCATGTGTTGTCGGGGAATATATTTTGCAGTGGGGTGAGTGGTTCACAAAGAGGGGGAGCTTCTAGATCTTTAAGATGTCCTCACTTTGCCTGTTTTACTGGCTTCTCAATGACACCAGCCCTGCTGATACTCTACGCATGTTTTAAGAGCTGCTTCTTCAGATAGGAAGGGTCAGAACTATCTCCTTTGTCAGAAAGTGAGCCTTTGTTTTGGTTTGTTAGTGTCATTACAGTCGGTCCTCTATATCCATGGGTTCTGCATCCATGGATTCAACCAACTACAGATCGAAATATCTGAGGAAAAAAAATTTAAAATTACACAACAATAAAAATAAAGAAAGAAACAACGCAGTATAACAACTATATAGCATTTACATTATATTAGATATTAAAAGTAATCTAGAGATGATTTAAATTATATGGGAGGATGTACATAGGGTATAGGCAAATCGTATGACATTTTATATAAGGGACTTGAGCATCTGTGGATTTTGGTATGAGGTGGGTGGAGGGTGAAAGTCGTGGTCCTGGAACCAATCTTCATGAATACTGAGGGATGACTAACTTGAACCTCAGTGTCCAGAAGAAATTTTGTTATTTGCTTTAGATTTCCTGGCTTGGAAGAGGAAGTATCTTCTCTTTGAATTCAGGGCCCTTTGAGGATGTTCATTTCAGTCTTTACTTACCTATTTGACTTTACAGGCCAATAGGTCCAAGCCTGGAGCAGTTTTGCAACTGGCAGAAATGCTGGGGATATGGGTTTTCTTCATATTTATGGCCATTGAGAAATTTTATCAAATGTATGATATACATATTATGTATGTGTATATATTATTTTGAAATAATAACGATTCCTCCTGTATGTCACTGTGTAATAGAAGGTTACAATATATATGTTTCTGTTTTAAGTTTCAGCAAAAAGGAGTGAAGGAGAGAAGAGAGAAGAGAAAAAAGTGCTTTATAGAAATGTACACTAGTATTTGTGGGTTTTAAGATTCTTAATATTCTTGTTAGAAAGTAAAATGGCTTCCCACAGTATGGATCCTTTCAGCTCTTAGTCTTTCAGGAGTAGCTATATTTAAATTATATTTTCATGTGGCAAGCATTTCATTTTTGCAACCGTGTTTGTTCCTTTTACTATTGCACGTAGAATATTTTTTCTTGGCTGGGTGCGGTGGCTCATGGCTGTAATCCCAGCACTTTGGGAGGCTGAGGTGGGTGGATCACGAGGTCAGGAGATCGAGACCATCCTGGCTAACACGGTGAAACCCCATCTCTACTAAAAATACAAAAAATTAGCCAGGTGTGGTTGCACATGACTGTGGTCCCAGCTACTTGGGAGGCTGAGGCAGGAAAATCGCTTGAACCTGGGAGGCAGAGGTTGCAGTGAGCCGAGATCGCGCCACTGCACTCCAGCCTGGACGACAGAGTGAGACTCCATCTAAAAAAGAAAAAAAAATGTTCTAAGTTAAATCTCTCCCTTTGCCATGAATTGTTTATCTCTGTGTGAAGCAAACCAGTCTGTTACAGATCATACTGGTGACTGTTCCAGTTTCCCTCCTAAAAACTGGGATTAGTCAGTGCCCTTATAGAAATCAACATCTGAGAACCTGAAGTTGATGCTGGATGTGGAATCTATATGAGAGAGGGAATTAACATATATCAACCCTTAAACATCCCCTTCCCCAACCCATTCCCAATAAAATATCAACCCTTTCCAAATGCAGATTTTCAAATCTTGATGTGATTAATGGAAATAGGCAGTCTGCTTTACAGCATGTTCCTCTGGTGGAGGGAGGCTGACTCGTGTCAGTTCAACAATAAAAATAGGGAGCACTAATATCCACAGAGTTTTTACAGAACGTGCCCCCATGTTGTCACCCTTTTCTTCCCTCTGTTGCTTTTAAATCAACCGATGTGCTCTCTCCTGGCCCTTCCCAGAAATTGTTTTTGCGTTGAATAGGCAGATGGTGGGTTGAGCTTTGAGAGACCAAAAAGGTCACATTTGTACTTCAGCAATTTTCTCTAGCTTTGTAGTGCAGATGACGGTTTATGAGTTAATATCTAGTAAACCTTCACTTACTGCAGTCGGATCTTAATTTTTAGTGTAGTTTAATACTTTTTTTTTTTAAAGAATTGTCCTTTTCTTGATTTCTCACGGTATTTGACCTCTTGCCTGACTGCAGCCATTCACCTTCACCCCATCTGCATATTCTGACCAATTTATAAATGGGAAGGAGGTCACACCATACCCAACCCAAATAAAGCAACTGGATTGAGTTGTGATAATTTTGCTAAGAAATGTGAGACAGGTATTGAAATGGGGAGAAATGGTTCTTGGCTAATCTCCACGCCTCTTGAACATGTTCAAAGCTATTCCCAAAAGAAATTATGAAGTCTCTTTCATAGGGAAGGGAGTTCTGCACCTGTTATTTTCCTTTTTTTTTTGTGGCACCTCATTGTAATCTGGTTTTGCCTATTCTTCTTGGGTGTCAGCTTCAGATCTGTTCTTATATGTATGTCTTCTTTCTTAAATTCTTTTTTGAGACAGTCTCGCTCTGTTGCCCAGGCTGGAGTACAGTGGCACAATCTTGGCTCACTGCAACCTCTGCCTCCTGAGTTCAAGCGATTTTCCTGCCTCGGCCTCCCGAGTAGCTGGGATTACAGGCATGTACCACCAGGCCTGGCTAATTTTTATATTTTTAGTAGAGACGGGGTTTCATCATGTTGGCCAGGCTAGTTTTGAACTCCTTATCTCAGGCAATCTGTTCACCTCGGCCTCCCAAGGTGCTGGGATTACAGGCATGAGCCACCATGCCTGACTCTCTTATATTGTTACATATATTTCTTTTTTCCATTTATATTTCTGGAGAAGTCAGATAATTTAGGCAGGATTATCTAAGGAAGTTGACCAAAAAGACACCCACAGTGCCAGAGTGAGTCTCTTTTTTATTCCTACCCGCTCAAATATTAGAAACTAGTAAACTACCCGTAGGTAATTTTACCCCTAGGAGGTATACCAAACATCATCTCTTTCTCCAAGACCTCTTTTTTTTTTTTTTTTTTCCTGGTGAAACAGAGTTTCATTCTGTCACCTAAGCTGGAGTGCAATGGCACAATCTCAGCTTACTGCAGCCTCTACCTCCTAGGCTCAAGTAATGCCCCCACCTCAGCCTCCTAAGTAGCTGAGACTATAGGCATAAGCCATCACGCGTGGCTTTTTTTTTTTGTAGAGGTAGGTTTCATCATCTCTACAAAAGGGATCACTTGAGCTCAGGAGTTCAAGACCAGCCAGGGGAACCCTGATCTCAAATTCCTGAACTCAAGCAATCTTCCCTCCTTGGCCTCCCAAAGTGCTGGAATTATAGGCATGAGCCACTGCACCCAGCCTCCGAGACCTCATTTCTGAGATCTCATTCTATAAGTTATTCCCACTATAAGTGATTTCAGTCTCCATTACATCCTTTGTCCTATCCTGAAAGTATGCTTGAATAGCTTTGATTAAAAATGAAATCTTCTCTTGGTGCTGGATTTTCAGATAAATAGTATACTATCTGTCTTTTTCAGTATAGTATAGTGGTTATAAGCTCAAACTTTGAAGCCAGATATCTTAGTTTGAATTCCAGCCATTCTAATGACAAACTGTGTGAACTTGGGTAAGTTACTTAATCTTTCTGTGCCTCGGTTTCCTCATTTGTAAAATGGGGGTAATAGTTGTACCTATCTCAGTGTTATTGAAGGATTAAATGAGTAAATAGATGTAAAGCACAGAGAAGTATGTGGCACTCAGTAGCTCTATTTAAGTATGTGTTATTATTATGTCCTTAGAGATAAACTTCACTATTCCAATTCATATTTGTCCACAGCACTTAACCACATTCCAACATACTATATGATTTATTTATTAACTTATTAGCTTTGTTTTCTACTATCTTTATCTTCCTCTGCTACTTTATAAGCTCTATGAGAACAGAAATTTTTATTATTTTGTTCATTGCTGTATATCCTCAGTGCCTAGCACGTAGTAAGTGCTCAATAAATATTTGTTGAATGAATGCATTGTAATCTGGATTTTTCTCTCACCAGTCTATGGGAATTGCTCTGGCAGAGGTCACCACAACTACAAAACATCTTAATCTCTCTCTCCCTTCCTCACAATATCTAATCAATGATGACATCCGGTTAATTGTATTGGGAAGTATCTCTCAAATCCATCTCTGTCCTGCCAGTTTCACTGCCACTACTTTGTCTTGTCCTGGCCATCACCTGTTTCTTTAGTCTTGCAATAGACCCCAATAAATTTTTCTTTATTCATTTTTGCTTTCTTTCAATCCACTCTCCATATAGCAGCTAAAGAAAGTTGTAAAAAATATAATTCAGATGATACCATGCTTTTTCTATAAACCTTTTATTAGCTTTTTGTTGTCCTATAGAGTAAAATCAAAGATCATTCCATGGTCTAAATGAAACTGTAAAATCTAGTTCTTTACAGAATGAAACTGTAAAATCTGGTTCTGTTTAATTTCAAAATACCATATAATACAGCAATTCCACTTCTAGGTATGTACCCAAGAGATTGAAACATATGTCTACACAAAAACTTGTACACAGTATTCATGGAAGCATTATTAATAATAGACAAAAGAGGAAACAACCAAAATGTCCATCAACTGATAAATGTGTAAACAAATGTGGTATATCCATAATATATCCACTAGAATATTATTCATCAATAAGAAAGAATGCAGTATTGACACATGCTACAGTAAATCTCACAAACATTATGCCTTGTGAAAGGAGCCAGACACAAAAGGCCACACATCATATAATTCAATTTTTGTGAAATATCCATAATAGGAGATACCATAGAGACAAAAATAGAATTAGTGGTCTTCAGGGCTTGAGAGGAAGGGAAGTGGCTACTAATGGGTATAAGATTTTTTGGGGGGAGTAAGAAAAAATGTTCTGGAATAAAATAGTGTTGATGGTTGCAAAACTTTATGAATGTACTAAAAAACACCACATTTTATACTTTATTATTTAGGTATTTAGTGTTTATTTATTTTTGGGACAGAGTCTTGCTCTGTTGCCTAGGCTGGAGGGCAGTGGTACCATCTCAGCTCACTGCATCTTCCACCTCCTGGGTTAAAGTGATTCTCATACTTCAGCCTCCCAAGTAACTGGGACTACAGGTGCCCACCACCATGCTTGACTACTTTTTGTATATATATATATATTTTTTTTGTGGAGACGGTGTTTCTCCATGTTGGCCAGGCTGGTTTTGAACTCCTGGCCTCAAGTGATCTGCCCACTTTCGTTTCCCAAAGTGCTGGGATTACAGGTGTGAGCCACCACACCCAGCCAATTTTTATGTTTTAAAAGCATGTTTTAAAGGCTATTTAAGTCATATCTCAGTTTAAAAATTCTAGACCTTTCCTACCCTCCAATGTCATCTCTTGACACTTTCTCGCTCACTTGCTATGCTACAGATACAATGGTCTTCTCTTAGTTTCTCAAACACCTCATGTTCTCTTTTATCTCAGGACTTTGACTACTACTTTTATATGCTATTCTGCGTGTTATAACACTCCATTATTGTCTGATTGTGTAACGGCCCAATGGGTTCACCTGTCCCGCTGCCTAGACAGAACCAATTTATCAAGACAGAGGATAAATTGCAATGGAGAAAGGGTAATTCACACAGAGCCAGCTGTGCGGGAGACCGGAGTTTTATCATTACTCAAATCAGTCTCCTCGAGCATTCGTTCGGGGATCAGAGTTTTAAAGATAATTTGGCGGGTAGGAGCTTGGGAAGTGGGGAGTGCTGATTGGTCAGGTTGGAGATGGAATCAGGGGGTCGAAGTTAGGTTTTCTTTTTTTTTTTTTTTTTTTTTTTTTTTTGAGACGGAGTCTCGCTCTGCCGAGTAGCTGGAACTACAGGCGCCTGCCACCACACCCGGCTAATTTTTTTGTATTTTTAGTATTTTTAGTAGAGACGGTTTCACCATGTTAGGCAGGATGGTCTGGATCTCCTGACCTCGTGATCCACCCGCCTTGGCCTCCCAAAGTGCTGGGATTACAGGCGTGAGCCACCGTGACCTGCCACTGAAGTTAGGTTTTCTTAATGTCGTCTATTCCTGGGTGCGATGGAAGAACTGATTGGGTTAGATTACTGGTCTGGGTGGTGTCAGCTGATCCAAGGAGTGCAGGGTCTGCAAAATATCTTAAGCACTGATCTTAGGTTTTACAATACTGATGTTATCCCCAGGAGCAATTTGGGGAGGTTCAGGCTCTTGAAGCCTGGGGCTGCATGACCCCTAAATTGTAATTTCTTATCTTGTAGCTAATTTGTTTATCCTGCAAAGACAGACTGGACCCCAGGCAAGAAAAGGGGGTCTTTTCGGGAAAGGGCTGTTAATTTTGTTTCAGAGTCAAACCATGAACTTAGTTCTTTCCCAAAGTCAGTTCGGCCTATGCCCAGGAATGAACAAGGGCAGCTTAAGGGTTAGAAGCGAGATAGAGTCAGTTAGGTCTGATTCCTTTCACTGTCATGATTTCCTCAGTTATAATTTTGCAAAGGTGGTTTCAATTGTGTGCCCCTCAAATTCAAATGTTAAAACTTAATTGCCAATGTGATAGTATCAAGAGTGGCGCCTTTAGGAGGTGATTAATTTATCAGGGTGGAATTCTCATGAATGGCCTTAGTGACTTCATGAAAGAGGCCAAAGACACTGCCCTGGTCCCTTTCATTTCTTCTGCCATGTGAAGTTGCAGTGAGAGGCATCATTTTTGAAGAGAGAACTAATCAGATACTGAACCTGCCAGTGCCTTGATCTTGAACTTCCTAGCCTTTGTAGTTGTGAGAAATAAATTTATTTATAAATTATACAGTCAGACATATTTTGTTATAGCAGCAGGCATGGACTAAGACAGAAATTGATACCAAAAAGCCGGGTGTTACTATAATAAATACCTAAAAATGTGAAAATGGCTTTGCAGCTGGGTAATAGAGGCTTGTAAAGGGCTATTCTAGTGACAGCTCAGAAGAAGATAAAGTAGGCTTAATCTTAGAGAATACTTAAGTGGTCATGACAGAATGCTGGTAGAAATATGGACAGTAAAGACAATTTTAATGAGGTCTCATATGGAGATGAAGAACAAAGTATTGGAAACAGGAGGAAGAGCCATTCTTGTTGAAAATTGACAAAGAACTTGGCTGAATTGCATCCATGTACTGGTATATTGTAGAAGGTAGTACTTAAGAGCTATGAACTAGGATATTTGGCAGAAGAAATTTCTAAGCAAAGTATTCGGAATGCTGCGTGGCTTCTCTGGACTGCTTGTAGTAAAATGAGAGAAGACAGAAAAAAATCAAAGATGGAATTCATAACCAAAAGGAAAGCAGAACTTGAAAATTTGGAAAATTCTCATTTTAACCATGTAAAGAAATAAAAACTGTAAGAACACCAGGGGTGTGGCCAAGAGAATGTTTGCTAAGGAGATCAGTATAAATAGAAGAATCCAGATGCCATTAATCAAAACAATGGAAGAATGACCCATAAGGCATTTCAGAGATCTTTGAGGCTACCACTTCTGTTAACAAGCCTACAGTTCAAGGGTCTTGAGGGCAGAGCAGTTTTAAGGGAGGGGCCCAGGGCACCCATGGGACCTCAGGGCTTGCAGCCCTGGGTGGCCTTGTTTCTTCTTTGCTGCATTCTAGAGCATGGTCCTTAGCCACCCCAACTGTGACTCAGGCATGCTCAGGTGGGGCTTGGGCCACCACTTAAGAGGGCACAAGCAGTTAACCTTGGTGCCATTCATGTGGTGCTTACTGCAGACATGCAGACTGCATAAGCTGTGGACACATGGCTGCTTCTACATATATTTCAAAGGATGCCTTGGAAAGCCTCAGGACCCAGGCAGAGAACTGGCCTAGGGTTGGGGCTGCTGCTGAGAGTCCTCACTAGAAAAGTACCCAATGGAGCTGTGGGATTGGGACTACCACAGAGAACCCCACACCAAAGCCAATACCCAGTGTAGCCATGGGGTCAGGGCTGCTACAGACAGCTCCCCTGAGGGCAATATCTAGTGAAGCCACGAGGATAGGGATACCCCTAGGCCCCAAGACTGGTAGAGTCACCAGTGTGCAGTTCCAGCCTTGGGGAGTCTCAAGCATGTGACTTCAACATGTGAAAGCTGCTGTGTGGGCTGAATCCAGCAAAGCCATAGGGGTTAAGGTTTCCAGGAGCCTCAGGGTACTCACACCAGTGTGTCTGGAAAGTAGGACATGAAGTCAAAGAAGATTACTCTCAAGCCTCAAGATTTAATCTTGTTTGTATTTGAGGATTTAGATTTATTTGAGACCTGTTACTCCGTTCCTTTTTCCCATTTCTTCCTTTTGGAATAGGAGTGTTTATCCGATGCCTGTTCCACCATTGTATTTTGGAAACACGTACATGATTTGACTCTGCAGGCTCAGAGCTAGAGGACGAATTTTCCTCAGGATGAATAGTACATTTAGTATCATAAATATCTCATTTAGATCATATTTCGATGAGACTTTGGACTTAGACCTTAAAGTTGATGCTGGAAAAAGTTAAGACTTTTGTGGCTATTGGGAGGAAATTAATGCATTTTTTTATGTGAGCACATGAATTTTGGGTGGCCAGGATGTAATGGTATGGTCTGAATTTATGTGTCCTTCCAAAATTCACATATTGGAACTTAAACCCCAAGACGATGCTATTGGGAGGTGGGGCCTTTGGGGAAGTGATTAATCCATGAGGGCTCCGCTCTCATTAATGTATTAATGCTTTTATGAAAAAGGTTGAAGAGAGTGCCCCAGTACCTTTTGCCCTTCTACTGGGACACAGTAACAAGGTGCTATTTTGGAAGCAGAGAACAGCCCTCGCCAGACGCTGAATCTGCTGGAGCCTTTATCTTGATTTCTCAAGTATCCAGACCTGTAAGAAATTCATTTCTGTTCTTTCTAAATTGCTTAATTTAAGGTATTTTGTTACAGCAGCATGAACAGAGAGACACTCATTTCCCATCTTCCTTAGCTAACTTGGTATTGTTTATTATTCAGGAGGTGAAACACTAGTTTTTTCTTCTTTCAGAAAGCTATCCTTGACTCTCTTCAAATTATGCTTATATTCTATTTTATACATTTCCTACAGAACCCTGTAATTTCTCTATTAAAATTACTTGATAATATCTGTTCTTCAGATTGGCTCAATAGACGATAAGCTCTATGAGATCAGAGACCAGATCTATCTTTGCTTACTCTCTTCTCCCACCCTCCTACCCTCTCCTTTTTTCAAAACTAACAAACATTTATCAAGGAGATACTGTTATGCCAGGCCTTGTGCTGGCTGCTAGAAATACAATAATGAGCCAAAAGAAATAATGCCAATGTTTCCATGAAGATTACTATTAAGTAGAACATAACAAAAAATTAAACAACAAACATATAACAAAATAATTTATTTTATTGATTCTGAAGTGCCCCTTTTTCACATTTTCACATCATCTACGTAATTGGGATGTATTCTATAATCAGTTTAACAAGGAAGCACTTTATTTCCTTTTTATTAAAATACCAAATCTTCGTAAGCATTGCAAATAAGGATGTCTTAGATTTGATGTGAAATAAGCTAGTTACCAAACATGTTAAATGCTGGAAAGTAAATAAAGTGATATGAAAGATAGTAAGATTAGAGGAGGATAGGCTGTTTTCCTAATAGTTACAATCATGGTTGGCACCTAGTATAAATATATCTTGAATTCATTATGTTTTCCATCTCTCTGCATAACCTCTTCTTCCCCTAGTACTTCCTATATTGTTTGTTTAAGGATACTTAGATTCACGAAGTTGCCAAAGGTAGAAACGTGTTTATGACTCAATTTTTGTCTACCCTAAACTCCTTTCAGTATACAACTGATCTTGGAAGTTCTGTTGAAATCATCATCCTTAGTATCTCCCATAGCCTTTCCCCATCCCCTCTATCCCCACTGCCAATGCTTTATAGTATCAGCCCATAATTGTTCACTTAGTAGCCTTCCAATTCAGTCTCTCTGATGTTATTCTTTTATTTCTTCAACCCATTCTTCACAAAGCATTCAAAATGATTTTCATACATAGCCAATCTGCTCCTCGTCCATCACTCTCCATCACCAAAGATCAATAATTCTTTGTATATATTTTGATTCTAGCCATTATCACCTTGTATCATTACCTGTAAGTCCAGGAGAACTGGGATCATGTTTATTTTAGTTCATCACTGTGTCCTGGCAATCTAGTACAATGCCAGGTACACAGTAGGTACTCAGATGGTTGTCAAATCAATGAATGATACGCCTTTTTACCTTAGCTATCTGAGCATCAACACAGATGTTTAAATATGAGAAGTTTATGAAACTTACTAGTCAAAACTAAGTATACCCAAGTGTGAACCTTTTTGCCTTTAGAGGTTCTCATATCTATGAACTTCTTTATAGTGTATCAATTTTCTTAGCTTTGCTAATTTTTTTGAGGGAGTAGTTAGTGGTAAATAAAAGCCTCAAACAAAGTGTACATGGGTGCACATCAATTCATATCATAATTATATGGGTTTTGACATGAAATCTTACCCCTCCATCCCCAACCCTGTCATGAGAATCAGTAGTGAAGCATCATGGCAATAATAAGAGGTGTACATTTTCATCCTGATATGGCATTCAGTAGCAGAGGTCTCTTAAGTAGAAGAAAATTTTTAGCCTATTAAAAGCTACCAGTTTTCTTACAATTCCCTTTCAAAATACAGCTAGTGTGTGACACTTGAAGTGGTCACATCAGAATGAAGTTGAAAAGGTTGAGAGCTTCCATGAATTACATAACAATAGTCTCTGTTTTTTGTCAGAGTTCAACATTAACAATTAAAAATCACCCCTCAGGGTCTTGGCTCAAGTCTCCTACTTGTAACAGGAGGTTTGTGAGTAAAAGAACATTCCATCTACTAGGAAGATGAAAGGAAATAATTCAGACTTATCTATTTTATGCTGAAAATCCATATTATCCGTGGTGGATTTTTAAAAACTTACCTTTACCGTCGTTTAAACTAAATACAGATACTGTTTATTTCCTAGTTGTAGAGGCAAAAAAATCTCCATTCCTTAAAATGAATTAACCTCAATGAGGTCTATGAATAGTAACCTCACTCATTTAAAAAATTAATGTTTTGTTTTTTATTATACAAATAATGGAATCTTTATTTTAGACAATTAAGACATTCAAACAAGAGGAAAGATGGAGAAATCATAAGTTCATCACCAACGATAACTGATGTTAACATTTTGGTGTTTGTACATGGTGTGTGTGTTTGTAACAAAAATTGGATAACACAATACATGTTATTTTACTTTATTCACTCAATGTTATATAATGAATATGTTTGTCAGTAAATATACGTATGCAATGTAATTTTTAATGGCCGTGTGAACCCAGTCAGGTCTCAGTTAATTTAGAAAGTTTATTTTGCCAAGGTTGAGGATGCACCTGTGACACAGCCTCAGGAAATCCTGACGACATGTACCCAAGGTGGTCAGGGCACAGCTTTGTTTTATACATTTTACAGAGACATGAGACATCAATTAATATATGTAAGAAGTACATTTGTTCAGTCTGGAAAGGTGGGACAACTTGAAGTAAAGGCAGGAAGACTCAAAGCGGGAAGGGAGCTTCCAGGTCACAGATAGGTGAAACAGGAAAGGTTGCATTCTTTTGATTTTCTGATTAGCCTTTCCAAAGGAGGCAATCAGATATGCATCTATCGCGGTGAGCAGAGGGATAACTTTGCATAGAATGGGAGGCAGGTTCCCCCTAAGCAGTTTCCAGCTTGTTTTCCTTAGTGATTTTGGGGGCCCAAGATATTTTCCTTTCACAGCTGCATAGTATTACACTATACAGATTTGCTACAGTGTAATTTTAAAATTTTATATTGTGGGTCTTTTAGGTTATTTCCAATTTACTAGCATTATTTAAAAATACATTTATGCACATTCATATTCATTTTTTAAAGATAGACTACCATATCAGTCAGGATAGGCTAGTTTATGTTGTGCTAACAAATATCGGGAAATCTTTATAGCTTAAACCAATGGTTTGTTTCTTGCTCACAATACAATTCCATTGCAGGTTGTTAGGGGAGTTCTGCTTGATAAGCAGGGATGCAAATTTACTGAGGCTCCATCATTTTCTGATGCTGCCCTCTCAATATGTGCTCCCATGAACACCTTGGCAGGGAATAAAAATGTAGAGAATTGTTTACTGGCTTTTAAATGCATCTGCCTAGAAGCGAAGTATTCATGCTTACATTTCATTGCCTAGAACTAGTCATATTGCTGCGTTTAACCTCAAAGGAATAGGAAAGTCAGTATTCCTATTTGTCCCAAAATAGAGTAAAACCACACATTTTCTCCCGTAATAGCTAAATGCTGAATTACATGCTGAAATAGGTATTACTGGTATGTAAATTTCATAAATCTTTGTGTTATCTATTGGGAAATTATTTTCCAGGCGGATAATATTTTATATTTAAACGATTCGTGATTAAGGAAACTTTTCTACACCTTCCATCATCAGTTCAATAATTTAGAAATATCTTTGACAGTGGATGAGCAAAAATGACATCTTTTTGTTTAATTGACATTTCTTTGACTATTTGGAGAATGTCAATTTTAATATATTTATATGGCTTAGTTTATCTCTATGGGTTTAGGGAAGGGGTAACATTGAGCATCATGCAGCAATGTTGTTATATCTGGACTGACTGCAACAGTGGAATGTATTTTAAAAGGTATAACTTGCTGTTGATATGGGAGAGGAGCAGGGAAGTGTACTGGATAGAGAAGGATGGGGTCCCTGGCAAGGGCTCCACCCTCGGGCCTTTGCCTATGGACCTAAGTGAGGATAGACACTCCTGTTTTTGCACCAAAATGTTGCATTTTCCAAGACCACTATGGCCCACCACGCCCCCCATCCTGTGCCCATAAGAATCCCAAGACCCTAACAGGCACACACACACAGGTGGCTGGATGATGAGAGGAGCAGAAGAGCACACCGACAGACACCAGCAGATGCCACAGACCATTGATGGTGGGACGACATGGAATTTAGACGGGGACAGTTGGAGGAGAATCCGGCCACTGGGCGGCCTGACTCTAGGGGAAGACCACCTTCCCACTCTATCCCCCTTCTGGCTCCCTATCCACCTTGCTGAGAGCAACTTCTACTACTCAATAAAACCTTGCACCCATCCTTTAAGGCCAGGTGTGATCCAATTTTTCCAGTACACGGGGGCAAGAACCCAGGATACAGAAAGCCCTCTGTTCTTGCAATAGGGCAGAGGATCTAATTGAGCTGATTAGTGCAAGCCACCTGCAGATGGCAAAACTGAAGGAGCACACTGTAACACACACCCACTGGTGCTTCAGGAGCTGTAAACACTCAACTCTAGATGCTGCCGTGGGATTGGAGCGCCAAAACACTCCCCACTACCTGCTCGTCTCATGCTCCCCCTAGGGGTTTGAGCAGTAGGGCACCAAAGAAGCCAGCCACACCCCTGTCATATACCTGCTAGGGGAATAAGGGAAATCCTCCCGTTTCACTGTGGGAATTAGTAATCTATTGGCGCTATTTTTTTCCTCCAATTTAGGATGCAATTGAATCCATAAATACAGTTATATTTGGAGTGAATATCATTTTCTCAATAATGAGATGGAAGGATATTTGGAAATTATGCATATTTGCTTAGTCAAGAAACGAGATTCTCTGTACTCAGATTTTAGAAATATGATAGTTTTGTAATTTTGTACAAATGCCTCATCTCACAATATTGGGGGCACTTTATTGTTAAAGACAATATCTTTTTGTTTTGATTCCCCATGTGTATAACCTAGAGCTGGGTATGAAGGTAGTAGATCAGTAAACATGTATTCAATGAAACTAATTGAAATGGAAAGGGAACCCATTTTTATGCATTTTTAAATTTTATTTTATGTCAGGCATTTTGGTTGAGGGATTATTCTAGAAAATACTTTTATGCTAAAAAAATTTCTAAGTAATTTGTAGTATTGTCAAGGGTAAGACCAAGCAAAAATAATGATATGTCCCTCCTTTTGTCTGTCGATGATGAGCCATGCTGAAAGACATTCTCTAAACCTGGATAGAGTGGACATTTATACTTCCAAAAATGCTTAAAAATATATAAAGTTTAGTAGTGACCATGGAAATTAAAGGCTTTCCATCTCTGGTCAGCTTCTTTTGAGATGGTATGCTAAGTACCCATAGCCTTAGAGTTGAGTCCTTCCTGAGGAGCTAAAGTTAACTTCATCACTTTGGCCTGAGCCCAAGGTAGAACGGAGTTAAAAAGTTTTCATTGCCTGAATTATAAGATACTGAGATGTTATGTCAATACATTGTTGCACTTTAACACAAGAAGCAATATGTTCCCAGACTGAGTAGATTTAATGTTAGTTTCCTTTTCTTGTGGATCTGTTTAGCATTTGACCCATACTGGTGAAGACTGGAGGTTGGGCATAAAAAGAAGGAATTAAGATTGTTCTCTTCTGAATTACTGACCTATCATGAAGCATTTTTCAATAGTTTTGGCAACATAATACCCAACCAAATGTTCAATTTTAAATGAAAAGAAATAATCAGAGGAATCATTGTGTGTTTGAGATAGCATAAATTCATGAGATTTTGTATGGCAAAGGTAAAACTTTTTAACTGGTGGGGTGAATAAGATATTGTAATAGACATTTATACTGAAATGTGTGTGTTTCTTTCTCTGTGTTCTTTGGTAAGAGAACAAATTCAGTTAAATACTCGTCTGCCTTAAGGCAAGGGGCTGGGCAAAATAACTTCTTGTAGTGCTATTGACAGTAACACTTAAAGATTCTAGGCAGTCTTCAGTATTTCAGGTAACAGCTAACTTTAGTTGAGCCTTATTCTTATTTTGGCCTTTGATGCTTCCCAATTTGTAGAGGTTAAGCATAGGCCTTTTTTAGTGATACATGATGTTTTACATATTTAAGGGGTACATGTGATATTTTATTACATGCAAAATGTAATATGCAATGATCACGACAGGATATTTGAGATGATCATTTTTATGTGTTGGCAACAGTTCAACTCCTCTCTTCTAGCTACTTTGAAATATATGATACATTGTTGTTAACTGTAATCCCTCTACTATGTTCTCAAATAGTATAACTTATACATTTTTTTCTAATTGTATCATTGTACTCATTGACCTCTCTCTCTTTATACTCCCTCCTGCCCACCCGCTCTTCCCAGCCTCTAGTGTCTATTATTCTACTCTCTACATTGAAAAGATCTAATTTTTTAGCTTCCAAATATGAATGAGAACAGGCAATACTTGTTTATCTGTGCCTAGGTTATTTCACTTAATGTAATGACCTCCAGTTCCATCCATGTTGCTGTAAATGACATGATTTCCTTATTTTTTTATGGCCAAATAGTATTTCACTGTGTATATACACCACATTTTCTTTATCCATTCATCTGTTGATGGACACTTAGGTTGATTGCATATCTTTGTTATTATGAATAGTTCTGTGATAAACATGCACGTGCAGATACCCCAGTGATATACTGATTTCATTTCCTTTGAATAGATATCCCTGTAGTGGAATTGCTGGGTCATATGGCAGATGCATTTTTAGTTTTTGAGTAATCTCCATACCATTTTCTATAATGATTGTACTAGTTTACATTCCCACTAACAGTGTATAAGAGTTCCCTTTTCTTTATATCTTTTTCAGCTTCTTTTTTTTTTTATCTTTTTAATAATAGCCATTCTAACTGGGTTAAGATAATATGTCATTGTTGTCTTGATTTGCATTTTTCTGATGATTAGTTACTTTGAGCATTTTTTCATCTACTCGTTGGACATTGCTATGTCTTCTGAGAAATGCCAATTCAAGTCCTTTGCAAACTTTTTAATAGGATTATTTGTTTTGTATTGTTCCTTATATATTCTGGATATTAATCTCTTTTTGGATGAATAAATTGCAAATATTTTATCCCATTCAATAGTTGTCTTTTTACCCTGTTGACTGTTTTCATTGCTGTAAAGAAGCTTTTTAGCTTGGTATAGTAGGTTTGTCTATTTTTGTTTAGTTGTCTGTGCTTTTGAGGCCTTAGCCATAAAATCTTTGCCTAGACCAATACTCTGGAGTGTTTTCCTTTTGCTTTCTTCTGGTGGTGGTATAGTTTTAGGTCTTACATTTAATTCTTTAATCCATCTTGAGTTGATTTTTGTATATACTGAGAGCTAAGGATACAGTTTCATTCTTCTGCATATGGATATCCAATTTTCCCAGCCTAATTTATTGAAGAGGATATTCTTTCCCATGTCTCATCTTCATGCCTATTTTGAAAAGCAGTTGGCTGTAAACATGTGACCTTACATCTGGGTTCTCTAATCTGGTCCATTATCTATTTTTATATCAATACCATGCTGTTTTGGTTGCTATACCCTTGTAATATATTTTGAAGTCAGGTAGTGCCATGCCTCCAGCTTTGTTGTTTTTGCACAGGATTGGTTTGCCTGTTTGGGCTCATTTTGGTTTCATACATTTTAGGTTTTTATTTTTATTGATATGAATAATGTCATTGGCATTTTGATAGGGATTGCATTGAATCTGTAGATTGCTTAAGGCAGTATGGACATTTTAACCATGTTAATTCTTCTAATTCTTGAACGTGAGATGTCTTTCCATTTGTTTGTGTCCTTTTCAGTTTCTTTTATCTGTATTCTGTAATTTTCCTTGTAGAGATTTTAATTTCCTTGGTCACACTTATTTGTTTATACTTTATTTTTTATAGGTATTGTAAATGATATTGCCTTATTGATTTCTTTTTTGGCTGTTCCATTGTTAGTATATGAACACATTATTGATTTTTTATGTTGATTTTGTATCCTGCAACTTTACAGAATTCGTCTATCAGTTCTAACAATTAAAGTCTTTTGGTTTTTCTAAACATAAGATTATGTCATCTGCAAAGAGGGACAATTTAGCTTCCTCTTTCCACTTTGGATTTCATTTATTTGTTTCTCTTGTATGATTGTTCTGGCTAGGACTTCCAGTATTATGTTGAATAGGAGTGGTGAAAGTGTGTTGTTTCAGTTCTTAGAGGAAAGGCTTGCAACTTTTCCCCATTCAGTATGATGTTAGCTATGAATTTGTTGTATATGGACTTTATTATTTTGAGGTATGTTCCTTCTATACCTACTTTGTTGACAGTTTTTATCATGAAGCAATGTTGATTTTTATCAGTTCCTTTTTCTGCATCCATTGAGATGATTATATGGTTTTAGTTTTCAATTTCATTGATGTAATGTATCACATATATTGACTTGCATATGTTGAACTATCATCGCATCTCTGGGATAAATCCCACTAGATCATGGTGTGTTGTCTTTTTGATATGCTGCTGCATTCTATCTCCTAGTATTTTTTGAGGATTTTTATGTCAATGTTCAGCAAGTATATTGGCCTGTAGTTTTCTTTTCTTCTCATTTTTGTATTCTTATCTAGTTTTGATATCAGGGTCATGATGTCTTTGTAGAATGAATTAAGGAGAATTCCCTCCTCTTCATTATTTTGTAAGAGTTTCAGGAGGATTGATATTATTCATTCTTTATAGTTTAGTAGATTTTGACAGTAAATCCATGCAGTCCTGGGTTTTGTGTGTTGGGAGACTTTTTATTTCTTTTTTCTTTTTTCATTTTACCACAGAAATTTATATTGTTCTAGTCAGTCACCTTGGGACACTGGAAGTTTTTCTTTCTTAACTCCCCAGACAGTGTTCACTGGTAAGGAAGTAGTCTACAATAGCTGCTACCTGGAACAAAAACGAAGAGCCTGATACAGCAACAGATATGAGAGGAAGTGATAGGAAGTTTCTCTCCCTGATTTACAAAAAGTAATTCAAAGACATGTGTGCAACGTTTCTAATGACAAGCTTAGGAATAGAAGCATCTGCCCTCTCCTTGCTAAGCTCTTCTTTTATTACCCATTTCTCTTCCTCCAACTCTATCTACTGTCTTTGACTCCTCTTCTTTAAGAATACCTGCCTTAGTGTGTGGGAGACTTTTTATTAGTGATTCAATCTCATTGCTTATTATTGTTCCATTCAGGTTTACTATTTCTTCCTGACTTAATCTTGGTAAGTTGTGTGTTACCTTGAATTTATCCATTTCCTCTAGATATTCCAGTTTGTCAGCATATAGTTGTTCATAACAGTCTCTGATGATCTTTTGTATTTCTGTGGTATCTGTTCTGATATCTCTTTTTTCATTTCTGATTTTGTTTACTTGGGTCTTCTCTTATCTTGGTTAGTTTAGCTAGTGGTTTATTAATTTTTTTTCATCTTTTCAAGAAACTAACTTTTCACTTGTTTGTTGTACCATTTTAAAGTCACTATTTTGTTTAGTTTTGCTCTTTATTATTTATTTCCTTCTGCTAATTTTGAATGTGTTTTGTTCTTGCTTTCTTGTTCCTTTAATTGCATCATTAAATTGCTTATTTGAAGTCTTTCTACTTTATCGATGCAGGCATTTCTTGCTATAAACTTTTCTTTTAGTGCTGGTTTTTCTGTATCCTACAGGTTTTGATACATTCTGTTTCCATTTTCGTTTGTTTTAAGAAATTTTTTTGATTGATCCAACTGTCATTTAGGAGCTTGTTGTTTAACTTCCATGTGTTTGCAT
The DNA here is from genome assembly GCF_000001405.40 of Homo sapiens. Classification (NCBI taxonomy): domain Eukaryota; kingdom Metazoa; phylum Chordata; class Mammalia; order Primates; family Hominidae; genus Homo; species Homo sapiens. The sequence continues at coordinate 121,413,052 of NC_000023.11, forward strand.
ATTTTCTAAAGTTCTCCTTGGTATTGGTTTCTCATTTTATTCCACTGTGGTCTGCGAGGATGCATGAAATGATTTTAGTTTTAAAAATTTTGTTGATAGTTGTTTTGGAGCCAGATATATGGTCTCTCCTGGCAAATGCACCATGTGCTGGTGAGAATAATGTACATTCTCAAGTTGCAGGGTAAATTGTTTTAAAAATGTCTGTTTGGTCCATTTTGTCTAAAGTCTAGTTTTTATCCAATTTTTCTTCATTGATTTTCTGTCTGGGTGATCCATCTAATGCTGAGAATGGGATATTAACGTCCCCCGCTATTACTGTATTGGAGTCTGATATGGTTTGGTTCTGTGTCCCCACCCAAGTCTCATCTCAAATTGTAATCTGCATGTGTTGAACGAGGTACTTGTAATCCCCATGTATGAGGGAGGGAGGTGATTGGGCTCATGGGGCAGTTTCCTCCATGTTGTTCTTGTGACAGTGAGTGAGTTACACGAGATTTGATGGTTTTATAAGTGTTCGATAATTCCTCCTTCAAATGCTCACGCTGTCTCCTGCCATCTTGTGAAGAAGGTGCCTACTTTCCCTTCTGCCATGATTGTAAGTTTTCTGAGGCCTCCCTAGCCATGCGGAACTGTCAGTCAATTAAACCTCTTTTCTTTATAAATTACCCTGTCTTGGGCAGTTCTTTATAGCAATGCAAAAACAGACAAATACGGAGTCTATCTCTGTTTTTAGATCTGATAATATTTGCTTTATTAATCTAGGTGCTCCAGTGTTGGCTAACTGTATATTTAGAATAATTCTTTCCTCTTGCTAGATTGATCCCTTTATCATTGTATAATAGCCTTCTTTGTATTTTTGTATTTATTTTTACGGTTTGGGTCTTAACGTCTGTTTTATCTGATATAAATGTAGCTCCTCCTGTTCACTTTTGGTTTACATTTGTGTAAAATATCTTTCCCACTGCTTTCTTTTTAGTTTATATGTCTTTACAGGTAAAATGTGTTTTTTGTAGGCATAATACAAATGGATCATGTAGTTTTTAAATTCATTCAGCCAATCTGTATCTATTAAGTAAAGAATTTATCCATTTACGTTCAAGGTTATTATTGATATATGAGGTTTGTTTCTATCATATTGTTAATTGTTTTCTGGTTGTTTTGTATATTCTTAGTTTCTTTTTTTCTTATTGTTTTTCATTGTGGTTTGCCATTGATCTATAGTGATATCATTTTTATCTGTAGTGATATCATTTTAATTCTTTCTTTTTCTCATTTATGTTTGGTTTACCATTGAATTTTATACTTTTGTGTGTTTTGTAATGGTAAATGTCCCCTCACTTCCAGGTTTAAGGCTTCCTTGATGATTTCTTGATGATTTCAGTCAAGTGGTGATGAATTCTTTTAGCTTTTGCTTGCCTGGGAAAGACTATATTTTCCTTCAATTATGCAGAAGAATTTGGCTGGTTGTAGTATCTTTGACAGTTTTTTTTTTCCTTCTTGCATTTTGAATATATCATCTCATGCTCTCCTGGCCTGTGAGATGTGTACTGAGAAATCCACTGTTAGTCTGATGAGGGTTCCTTTACAGGTGACTAGACATGTATCTTACTATTTTTAGAATTTTTTCTTTGTCATTGACATTTAGACATTTTGACTGTAATGTGCCACATAGCACATTTTTGTACTATATTTGTTTTGAGATCACTATGCCTCATGTATCTGAATATCGAAGTCCCTTGTTAAATTTGGGATGTTTTCTACTATCATATCTTTAAATAGGTTTTAGAACCCTTTTGCTCTCTCTTCACCTCCTGGAATACTGATAATTTATACATTTGGTCACTTTGTGATGTCCCATATATCATGAAGGCTTACTTAGTTCTTTTAAATTTATTTTTGTCTACTTGGTTATTTTAAAATACCTCGCTTCAAGTTCTGAGATTCTTTCTTCTTCTGGATGTAGTCTGCTCTTGAAGTTTTCAAATGTATTTTGTTGGTCAATCAATGAATTATTTAGTTCCAGAATTTCTGTTCAATTATTTTTTTATGATATCTCTGGTAAATTTCTTATTCATATTGTAAATGGTTTTTCTGATTTCTTTGTTTTTCAGAATTCTCTTGTATCTCATTGAACTTCTTTAATGACAATAATTTTAATTCTAAGATTTTGTGATTTTTTTTATTGGAATATGTCTCTGGAGAATTATTGTATTCCTTTGGAGGTGTCTTGTTTCCTTGCTTTTTCATGTTTCCCATGTCCTTACGCTGATATCTGTGCATCTGGTATAATAGTAGCTTCTTCCACTTTTTTGAATTTGCTTTTATAGGGGAACACTTTTTCCTGAGGACAAATCTATGAAGTTTTTTTGAATAGGGCACTTTGGTTTTCATTTTAGGTACAGGAAGTAGTAGAGTCTTTATATGATTTCTTTGGTTGTAAACAGCATCAGTGATATCTGTAATTTTCTCAGTGGCGTAGGATGCAGTTATTAGTGCAGGTTGTGTGGCAGGTTTTCTGTGTACTGGGATTTTAAGTAGGTCATGCTTTGCACCCCAGTGGTGGCAGCTGGGGCTGCATTTGGCTTTCCTTGGGCCAAATGGTATACACTGTGGTATACACTGGCATGGGTGGTAGTATGTTCAGGTGGGCTGATTCTTGGGCCTCCAGGTAGAATACTAAGATGCTGTTAGTGGCAGCCATGAACCGTGGAGGTGGAAAAGTTTTTGGGTCCCTGGATAGCTGGTGTGACATGGCAATGGCCATGGCAGTGGCAGGATGACGCTCTGGATCTCAACCAATGCATGGTGATGCTAGCAGTGGCTGTGATCGGCTTGGCAAGCCAGTCTCCAGGCCCACAGGTGGCATATGTAAGTAGTGCCTGCTGTTGTGGTAGTGGCCAGGTGGGTAGTCCCAACCTCAAGCCCCTGAGAAGAGTGTTTAGGTACCAATGGTAGTGGACTGGGCTGGGCAATGCCCTGTCTCCAGGAATGTGTGCTCTGACATAGGGTGGGGGGCATTGGCAAAGCTTAGCTATGCTGGTTTATCTTTAGGCCCCTCAATTGTGTGTACAGGTGCTGGTTGTGTGATAAGTAGGATTAGAGTGATCCCCAGGCCATGGACAGAATATTTGCATGCAGGTGTGCATTCTGTGCTGGGGATGGTGCCATCTTTAGTGATAGCAGCCCAGGCAAGTGAGTAGGGAGTGTGTTCACTACTCATTCCTTGGTCCCAGTGGTGCTTGCACCTCAGCTCTGGGTGTAGTAGCCTGTGATTGCTTGTCCTTAAGGTCTGGATTCAGTCAACTCTTCTGTTGTGTCTCAGTCCCAGTGCTGCTGAGCTCCAGGAGAGTGCACAGCCTGTTGGGGTGGGGCTCTAGGATTGCACCTCACTTTCACCTCAGTTCTAAAGGCATCTCAGTCCTAAAGGACTCAGTCATGCCTTTTCCCTGGGTATGGTATTCTGCAGTCATTTACAACTAAGCCCCAGGAGTAGCAATCCGTGCTCTTCTTGCACCTCAACCCTGGAGCTGATAGACTCTTAAGTCAATATGTAGTCTGTTAGGGGCAGAGCTCTAAAATGATGCCTTTCTGTAGCTGCATAGGTCTCAGAGAATGTGAGGGACCAAGCATGAGCTTCCTCCCTGGGGCAGTACCATTGTACAAACTCCTGGTAGCTGCCTATGTTATTTTCATGGCCCATGAGGGTCAAGGGGCTATCTGGTAGCTAGGATTACATATGTCCCTGGTGGAATGTGGACCACTGAGTGACTCATTTATCTTTTCCCCATATTGGGAAGTCACTGTCATCTCCCAGCCAATCCCAGTTGAGTAGGCTGCCTCATTTTCTTGTCCTTGCTTGCTTTAAGTATTGCCTGTCACACTTCTCTTGAATTCTGGTGTTCTCTCTTGGATGATCTATTCAAAGTATAATTACCTACTCGCTATTTTAGTCCATCTTAGTGGAGGAAGCAAGTACAAAATGCCTGTAGTCAGCCATCTTGAAGCCTTCCCCTGGCCAATTATTTTTATCTAAGCATAGCTCTTAAGGTAGAGTAGTGAATTACTATATGTCAGTCAGTTTATACTATCTATTAAATTTGAATACTCAGTATTGTTACACATATTAATATATGAAAAATTGTCCTTTTCCTCAGGGACCATGCAGTCTATTTAAATAGAGAAGCAAAAATCATCCCTGAGACAATTAGCAAGCAACCAGGTACAATTTGGTATGTTATTTATGTCAATAACAGCTTGTAGAAAGCTTTTTCTGTATGGATGGGGTGAATCAAATTGTAAAGGAGGTAGGCCTTGAGGAAAACCCTCTGGATAAAGAAGGATTTAGATAAGCTGCGGTTATAGTCAGAGGGAATCATAAGTAGGGGAGCCAGATATAATCATACATGCCAGAGATTTATCCCTGAAAGTTTTGTGTCCCTTTTGTTTGTTCAATAGCAACTTTCTCCTCCTAGGTGTCTTTATTGTTCTCTGTGAACTACTTTCCCAAATTAAATACTGTGGTAACAATTTGTCATACACCCAAGACACAGCATGGACAATCCTTGCAAATTGTTGGCACCTACACTCGAGAACTGGTTTCTGCTTACTTAAATCTGTTTTATATTGTTTATGATATCTAAACTCATTTTTCTGTTTCTTGCCCCAAACAGTGACACAGTGATAGAATAAACTGAAGCTGTTACTTGGCACCTGTAATTTTTAAAAATGAGTGTGTGTGTGTGTGTGTGTGTGTGTGTGTGTGTGTGTGTTTGTGTGTGTTCCAAATCCTATTAGATGTGTACAGTAACTCTACTGTTATTCCTGGAAAAATATCTTTGCTTTGATGAATCTATGAGATTTCTAATATAACAACATTCTTAGCTATTAAGACCCCTACTTAGAAGTTTGTTACCTTAGAAAGTTTTTCTTTATTCATGTACAAATTATATGCAGCAGTGGGAAGATGCATATAATACCCTGCCCAGGTCACTAGCAAGGATATTGCACCAAAAGAACTTTCTAAGGTATGGCAGCAAGTAATTGACAAATTTTACATGTTTCGTATTCAAAACCACATGTCATGAAAATTGTCAGGCATGTGCCTGTCTGTCTATCTCTTTCTCTGATCATTTCATCTTCCTTTTAAGCAATGATATTTGAATTCTTTATTTCTGAAAGATCTTTTATATTTAATTTGTCTGTATAAATTCACTTGGTGTGAAATTGAATGCAAAACCAGAACTTCTGAGCATGTACTTTTACTGATATTTTTCTTTCATTATATTTTTTGAGGAAATGACAATTTGGTAAGGGCTCAGATGCATCATAGCTACAAAAAGTATATCAGTACGTCATTATTTCTAAGAAAGCACCTCATTTGGGAGGTGGCAGTGATTTCAAAATTAATGGTGCCTGAGGTACTTGTGATCTTTAATATAAAGCTATACTCCCTTGGGCTTGGTTTTGAATTGTTTTTTCAAGTGTCCCTTGGGCTTTATGTCTGATCCTCTTTCAGAATCTACCCTTGGTGTCAGGGCAGCTGTCATATTATCTTTTCTGGATTGTAGTTTCTGTGAAAATGACACAGTGCTTGTGGATGTTAGAGTTTGATGAATAAATCTCTTTATAAGGATGACCACTGTAGACACTTTTGAAACAGACTATGCTAAATGAATAATAATCTGGGATATTGGAATATCAAATAATAGAACAATATAGTGATTACCTCCTAAAAGTGAGGCTAGATAAATCTATACATTGCATGTGTAAATATGCAAGAGGTTTGATGAGAAATGCTCAGGCATTAAACCTATCTCCACCGAAGATTGCATTCTACTATGAATTGGTAGTAATTATAATTATCTCACCCTTGTCTGTATAGATTAGTCCCATCCAAAATGAAACTTGATAATGAATTCCTTTGATATCCGAGCTTCTTTTGGACTACCTGTATTCAGATTCATTTAGGTGGCATGTACAGGGAGTGAGCATGATTCTTAACTTAATCCAAGTCAGACAAAATAGAAGCTTATATATGTTTCAGAAGAATTGCTTCTAATCTGGTGTAGTGTTGTCAGATTTCTCATTACACATAATATTGGCATCATATGCTTGTCTGAGAAGTTCTGTGCTCTTTTTTTACAGTACAGGTGCCCTCTTTCCACTTTAGATAGATTTTATAAAGAAAATGAAACATTTTTTAAGGATTATTTAATTTATGAACTAGTAACTAAAGCAGGTTGTGGAAATTTCTTGATTAGGAAGGAGAGATCTGTGGGTAACATGCCTCCATGTAGAAAGGCTTTCAAATACATAAATGAACAATACAATATTCTGATACAATTATAAAGCATCACAATTATAACCAGAAGAGATAATTATTAAGCCTGGTACTCTGTGCACAAGAAAAGCAAACTGACATTTATGTACAGTTGAGCCTTGAACAAAGTGTGTTTGAACTGCCTGAGTCCACTTCTTTAAGCAGGTTCCTGATCCTGTTCCTTCAGACTGGATGAGACCTCCCAACAGGGGTCCCCAGCCATCTACAGATGCATTGAGGCTGGCAATAGGTCAGTGCCCTACTGGGATGCAGCTTCCAGAGGAAGGGGCAGGCTGCCATCTTTGCTGTTTCTCAGCCTTCACTGGTGATACCTCCAGGTATGGGAATAACTGAGGAAACTAGAGTCTGGAGGGCACTCACAGAAAACTGCAGCAGTACTACAGAAGAGTAGCCAGACAGCTAAAAGTAAAACAAACAAAAATCAACAACAACAACCCACAAAAACCCCATCCAAAGGTCAGCAACCTCAAAGATTGAAGGTAGATAAGCTGTCAAAGATGATAAAGAATCAATGCAAAAATACTGAAAACTCAAAAAGCCAGAGTGACCCTTTTTCTCTAAATGACCAAAACACCTCTTCAACAAGGGCTCAAAACAGGGCTAAGGCTGAGATGGCTGAAATGACAGAAGTAGCCTTCACAATGTGGATAATAACAAACTTCACTGAGCTAGAGGAGCATGTTGTAACCCAATGCAAAGAAGTTAAAAATCACGATAAAACAACACAGGAGCGGACAGCCAAAATTGCCAGTTTAGAGAGGAACATAATTGACATGTTAGAGCTGAAAAACATGCTACAAGAACTTCACAACACAATCACAAGTATTAATAGCAGAATAGACCAAACGAATCTCAGAGCTTGAAGACTGGCTTTCTGAATTAAGAGCACATGTACCCCTGAACTTAAAAGTTGAAAATACAAAATAAAAATAAAGTGTGAAAATAAGAAAAGCAAACTGACACTTATGTGCAGTTGAGCCTTGAATAACGTGGGTTTGAACTTCATGAGTTCACTTATATGTGGATTTTCTTCTACCTCTGCCATCACTGAGACAGCAAGACTAACACCTCCTTTTTCTCAGCCTACTCAATGTGATGATGAGTAAGATGAAGACTTTTATGTTGATCCACTTCTATTTAATTAATACTACATATATTTTCTCTTCCTTACGACTTTGTTTTTTTTTTTTTGGTTTTCTTTTTTTTTTTTTTTTTTGAGACGGAGTCTTGCTGTATCGCTCAGGCTGGAGTGCAGTGGCGCGATCTCGGCTCACTGCAAGCTCAAGCTCCGTCTCCTGGGTTCACACCATTCTCCTGCCTCAGCCTCCTGAGTAGCTGGGACTACAGGCACCCGCCACTACGCCTGGCTAATTTTTTGTATTTTTAGCAGAGACGGGGTTTCACTGTGTTAGCCCGGATGGTCTCAATCTCCTGACCTCGTGATCCACCCACCTTGGCCTTCCAAAGTGCTGGAATTACAGGCGTGAGCCACCGATGACTTTCTTAATAACATTTTCTTTTCTCTAGTTTGTTTCATTGTAAGAATATAATATATAATACATATTACATACAAAATCTGTGTTAATCAACTGTTTATCAGTTCAGCTTTAGTCAACAGTAGGCTATTCGTAGTTACATTTTGGGAGGAGGCCAAAGTTATACATGGATTTTGAACTGCAGTAAGGTCAGTGCCACTAGCCTCTGCTTTTTTAAGAGTTAACTGTATTGTGATTTGAGAGACACTGAATGATCTACCACTTCAAAATCAATTCTTCCATTGACCAAGAATAGTTCCCCAAATTCTCACAATGGCAATATTGTACTTAGTCTATGGAGTGTCAGCATTAACATGTAAACATATTAACTAGATAAAGTAAGATATTCACTCATCAATAACATTCATTGTCACATTAGTATTTAAGTGTTTATCAAGCAGAGTTAATTATTGCCATAGAGGGAGTAATTCCTGAGGAAAATATGACCTGGGACAAGGATATTTTGGGAATAAAAGAGATATATAAATCATGGATTATTTCTAGGGTAGACAGGTTCAAAATGAGCCATCCCTATTGGGATGAGCTACGGGGTGAGAAGGAGGGTACATTGGGCTGCCAGGTCCAAAGATGAAAAAAGGGAAGGAAGGTGAGCTGTGTCAAAGACTGACTTTTCCCTACATCCAATCCTCTCTTTATACAATTCCTGAGGAAACATGATAATCCATACATGTAATGGTTCTCTCCAAACTCTTTATAGATTTTGAACTAGCTACTGGACCAAAGATTGTCATCAAAATGTGAATCACATATTGCTATGCATTTGGTTGAATCTTTTGAAGCAATTTTCTTAGAATGACAGAAATTTAGAACTGCTAGGGCCCTTAGAGAGCATCTACTCCCATGCTTTTCAAATTGTTTTTCCTGGAACCCTTTGCCCCTGAAAAAATTTCTTGGGGGCTCTATAAGGTGAAAGAGAAGGAATAACAGGGATAACACCAGATCCCCTACCTATAGTTCAGGTAGATCTGAGTTTGTTTGTTTTTAAGGGGATTCCCTTGGTTTAAAAAAATGGTTTAAAAAAACCACGAGTCTACTTTAATTTCTTCATTTAACAGAGGAAGAGTTTAAAGTAGAGTCAAACCTTCCTACTTCAGTATCCTATGGAAAGGCTAATCTCACTTAAATTGGAATTTTAAAATGCTGTTTAAGTATATCATATTAAAGATTGAGGTAAATGGGTGCTAGTAAGCAGAATGAAGTAATTTAATGAGAAAAATTAAAATTCAGACTAACTCTACATAAAATAATGAACCACAATAAATGGAAGTTTTGATTAGTGTGTAGGAACTAATTGCAGGACCCAGCTGAAAGCATATTGAAGGTATTGTTTATTTATTGAGTTTTGGTTTGTAAAAGTGACTGATTTGAGACTTGAATTATTCTTATAAATGACACCTTGGGGCCAGGCGCAGTGGCTCAAGCCTGTAATCCCAGCATTTTGGGAGGCCGAGGTGGGAGGATCAGCTGAGGTCAGGAGTTTGAGACCAGCCTGGCCAACATGGCGAAACCCATCTCTACTAAAAATAAAAAAGTATCTGGGCATGGTGGTGGGCGCCTGTAATCCCAACTACTTGGGAGGCTGAGGCAGAAGAATCACTTGCACCTGGGAGGCAAAGGTTTTGGTGAGCCGAGATTGTGCCATTGCACTCCAGCCTGGGTGACAGAGTGAGACTTTGTCTCAAAAAAAAAAAAAAAAAAAAAAAAAAAAAAAAAAAAAAGAGACCTTGACAATTTACAAAGGAAAGCAGCATCTGCAAAGTTGTGCTTCATTAGGATTTTAATATGACATCTGAATTACCAAAATTTTTCTAACAGTGGCCACAGTTTTGTCCTCACTGTGTCTCACGAATACCCAACACAATGATGCCCCTGTGATTTCCTCATGACTTCATTCCATCTTAGGCTACCACTACTCTCTTCTTTGCTTCTCTGAATCTTACCCATTCTTCAAGATTCTATTAAAGTTCCATCTCCTCCAGGAAGTCTTCTCTGACCACCTCAGCCCTCACTAATCTTGCCTTCCTCTCAGTAATTAAAGCACTTCTGGCCGGGCGTGGTGGCTCACGCCTGTAATCCCAGCACTTTGGGAGGCTGAGGTGGGCGGATCCACGAAGTCAAGCGATCGAGACCATACTGGCCAACATGGTGAAACCCTGTCTTTACTAAAAAAACAAAAACAAAAACAAAAACAAAAATTAGCTGCCTGTAGTCCCAGCTACTCAGGAGGCTGAGGCAGGAGAATTGCTTGAACCCGGGGGGCGGAGCTTGCAGTGAGCTGAGATTGTGCCTCTGCACTCCAGCCTGTGTGGCTGAGCGAGACTCGGTCTCAAAAAATAAATAAATAAATAAATAAATAAATAAATAAATAAATGAAGCAGTTTCTCTCCATGGTTGTCACTTTGCACAGCACATACTGCCTTGTATTCTTCTTTGGTGTTGGTATATGTTTGTCCCGATTACCTTTCAGTGCTCCAACCACATAATGTACTTTTTTAAAAGTAGAAGCCATATTAAATCCTTTTTGATCCCATCTTCCTTAATGATAGCTTGTTTATAGTAAGTGATTAGTAAATTTTTTTTGGTTAACTGTTATCATCACTTTCTTTAAATAGTCTTAGAGAACTTAGTTATATTTAAGCATGCATCCCCATAAAATAAGGAATTGTATATTTTTAGTTTTCAGATTCCTGTTAATTATGGTTTTTGGATTCTAAGATAATATGATTTAGTAAACAATATTCATGAGATTCAGCAGGAAATTCTGTAGGAACATAGAATTACTTTTCTAGTGCCTAGGTACTGTCTAAAATGCCCCTCAGCTTATTATGAATTTGTTCTGCTTCTGTCTTCTGAGTAATAAAAAAGGAAATGTTATAATTAACTATAAGAAAATATATATTATTCTAAAGGAAGCAATTTCTAAAGTGTATTTATATCCATCTCTGGACATATTTTGAGCCCAATTTGAATAGAAGATTATTACAGTCATCCAGCAAGACCCTTTATTCTAAGTAGTAACGGGTATTCTTAACAAATTTTCATTTTAAACCGACAGGAACTATTTCTTTTTCCCTGTAATTTCCTGACTTTGGGGTAAATATTCTATTTCTTTTAATCCTGGCAATGGTGTGGACATGCTTATAGGATTTACAGTTGAGAGTTGGAAATTCATCAGACGTGTCTAGGGTTTTTGAATAGAAAATAAATACCCTCATAGTCTAATGTGAAGTAGCTTAGGCATTCAGAAAGGTAGCTTTGCATTTAGACATGGTATATTGGGCAGTGAACAAGATCATTCCTTTGTGCTTATTAGACAAGGTGCTGGTAATTAGATTGATTAAATTGGAAGTCCCAGTAGGAAAGCAATTTTATATCTTTTATTGAGCACCACATGTCTTAGACCCTACATTTATTGCCCAGCATTCTTCCTTTCATTATTCCCCTCAGAAATTTTATGGCTGGATAAAATAATGGTATATTTATGCTGGTTAAAAATATAGACTCTACTACTTTGTAACCTCCAATGTAAATGATTGAGGCAAAGATCACCAATGGTTTCTAGAAACAATAGATAAAAGGCCCTTGGGGAAAATGTTTTATAATGTCAAAGCTTTACCCCAAATAACTTAAAATTTTACACAACAGTTTTAAGTATTAATAACTTAAAAAGTGCAAAGAGAAAAATGTACCTTTGAAAAGGAGGAATCTGATGGTCACTATCTTAATGAAAAATCAAACTTTGCCTCAATAGTGAAATAACCCAAAATTGTGTACACTGATACTTTGATGTGGGAAAAATGAATTACACAAAATCATCTCTGAAATATTCTAGCCCAAAAATGTTCAATCTGAGTCTAATAAAGCTTCTATATCTTAATGTTACTGTAAATCCAGGAAATGGAGGTACAAATTTAATAATACCACAAGGAAGTAATCAGACAAATTTATAATGTGAGTTATTCTATAGAATAGTAGGGCTGTACTCTTCAAAAAAGCCAATATCATAAAAAATGGCAGAACTAGATTAAAAGAGACAAAGAGACTAAAAATCAAATGCAATGTTTGAATCCTTATTGGGTCCAAGCTATTCAAAATAATAGCTATAAAATGTATTTTAGGACAGACTGATAACTGAGCTGGTTTAACCATCTCTTAATGAATCCTGAGACAATTTTCTGGTCTAAATTTCTATTGGCCTTCTTTGAAATGTGAAATGCACAGTATGTAGTTTTGAGTCATAGTTGCCAATATATGAACAATGAGAAAAATCCTAGTCAATATTTGACTTCGGTACTTATTTTCTTAGAGAAAAGAATTCTGTTTTTGTAGGCTATCCAGAGAGATCAAAAGAAGAGCAACAAAATGGGAGAGCTTTTTATTGTATCTTATTTTAGCTTTCATGTGTCATGTCTTCTATTTATTACTATTAACAACAAGTATTTATTGTGATCTACTATATGCTGAGCAGTGTTTTGCTGTTGGGGTATATCAGTGAAGAAAACAGGCAAAATACTGGAAGCTTAAATTTTAGGGTAGAAGAAAAAAAGTTTTTAATATGGTACATGGTGTTGAGTAATATGAAGAAGAATAAAGCAGAGAAGTGGAGTAGGGAGTGCCAGAGGATATGGTTTGCATTTTATAAAGAATGCTCAGGTAGGCCTTTGTGAAGAAAGTGACACTTGAGCAAAGATCTGCACTTATCTAGGGTAGTAGTGTTTTAGGCTGAGGTAACAGCTTTTAGCAAGGAGACAGTGTGACCAGAGCAGGACAAGAAAGACAAAAAGCATAGTTAGGAAATGAATTGAGAAATAGCAGGCAATTTGTACATGTAGGGTTTTATAGGTTCTTTTAAGGATTTTGATTTTTCCTCTAACTGAGATGGGGAGTGCTAGAGATTATTGAGCTAAGAAGTGACATGGAATAACCTAAGTTTTCATGACTAAAAATTGCCAAGATTGAAAGTAGTGATGCCTGTTAGTAGGCTATTGTGATAATCCATGTGAGAAACAGTGGTGGCTTGCTTTCAATAGGGCAGACTGGCATCTCATTTCCAGATGGGGTATGTGTCTTGCTGATATGTGCCTTGCTGAGCAGGGGAAGGGAACATGTAGACAGGCAAATGGGTGAGAGAACAGGCTTTAGTGAAACAGCTTATGCTCTCATGGGTTGGTGTAGTAAGGATGCATGAGTTTTCCATGGGTGAGTTGGTCACTGGAGAAGGTAGTTAAACCTGAACTGTCTTGCTGATACACCAATCCAACAGAATTACCCATTAACAGGTAGGTAAAGCATACTGTGAGCAGGTGGGAGTGATGGAAAATATTGAACAGGAGGCAGATTTCTTCTATTATAAAACTGCACACTATAGAGGCCTTTGTAGCAGTTTCCCCCCAAATTAAGAATCCCATTTGATGCCTGACGCTGAGAAGGTATCCATGGCTAGTCAGCATTAGCCAGAAAAACAATGGCAGTGAGCAAAGAGGGGATTATGACTGTGGGCAGTTGGGAAAAGATGTTTGTTCTTCTGCCACTATTTTCTTCCCAGTCCCTCAACATTAGCAAGTTAGGCATTGAATAGAGAAAGGGAGGAGGAATTCCAAAACAAGATTATCAATTCCCTCACCCCTTAGTTCTGGAAGGGAAGGGGAAGTGCAAATGAAGCCCACTCCATATTCTCACTTCTCACAGTGGTTCCTGGGCCCATAAGCCTGTCCAGTCTGAAAGGTGGAGGTTAGTGGCTAGTGCAGGAAAAGGGATAACATTTACATTGAATATGGTATTGGAATTTTAACTAGGTTAAACTATAACACCTGAAGGTGACTGCATATTTTTTTGAAGTAAGTCTGGGAGGCAGTAAGGCACCACAATGGGAATTTCCATGGAGTTAGGAGAGCAGTGATTAGAGGAAACTAATGCTACTCAGTTCAAAATGCTTAGTAAATTAATTATACATAGAGGACTTACAATGTGTAATTGACTTTATGTTGTCATATTTAATCTTTATTATCAACTTGGTTTTACAGACACACACAAAAATACTCCGAGACTTAGAGAGTACCGTGGTGTTCCATCTCGCATAGGTAACAAGTGGCAGAGGTGAGATTGAAACCCAGGCAGTATTATTTAGAACCATTATACTTAGTAGAGCAGTGGAATAGGAATTAAGCATTCCACTGCTGATAAGACATTTAATACTTATGTTTTTGTTTATTAGTTTTCATATATTTTGTATATGGAGAGTAAAATTTGCCTTATTACACTGGATGCATGTGGAAATAGAATGAGATGACAAATGGAAAATAATTTGGTAAGTAAAGCATTATTATATTATCATCTGTGTATGTATAGTATCCCATTATGAAGCAAAATGGGGAGACCAGATGTTTCAGAAAATGGGGAGGTTTAATATCTTCTTTTAACCTTTTCCTAAACCTCCACTCCCATCCTTGAAAGTTTATCTAATAAATTTTTTTCTTTCCTTGTGAGTTTACATCAACCAGCTGAAAATAGTAAATGACATAGAATGTGAATGCTGTGATGCATTATGAACCTAACAACAGCCCTATTCCCTTTGGGATTTTCTAAAGAGTGGCTATCTTTGAGCTCTCATTTTTTAATATGTCCCCCAAGTTTCTATTTCCCTTTGTATGCAGCTAATAGGGTCATAATTTGTCCACACTTATTTACTATTAGTGATCTGTTCTCTTTCAATAAGGGGTTTCTTGGGATTTGCAAGTGATTCATTCATTGGGCCAACTCATCAACTAAGGATGGAGAAGATAGAGATTTCTTGTATGTGCTCACTTTTTTCTTTCTTAATTTTAGTCTGAGGGAATACTCTTCAGTGTGTCCCAGGTCTTCTAGTTTAACAGTAGAAGGAACTCTGTGATAAAGGCAATCCGATACTATAGTGGAGCTGTTGGAATTTCACCTAATTGAGACAATTTTTCGCAAGGAACACTCAATTAGTTTTGCCTACTGAGGGCTCAGATGGACACTCTAGCCCTTATTAGCACTGATCCTCTTCCTTATAATATGGGTCACTAATCACCAGGTGGCTATCTCAGAGCAAACCCATCCCTCCTTGTAAAATAACTCACAGGACGTGTTCCAACATTGGCAGGCCAGGGTGTCATTGTTGTCTATAAAAGGACAATACATTCTGAGGAATAGTATGGGATGAACAACTCTAATTAATAAGCTGGAATAAATTAACCACATTTATTTTATAACATCAAACCTTGTTTTTATATTGATTTCCTCCCTCCTTTTAACTAGATTTTTCCTGTGGTGTGATTTAGTTATGCTCTAGTTCTCTACATTTATTTTTTCCTGGTAAGGTTGCTTATAGTTGGTATAAATCCATAGTTTACTGGTTCTGGAATTCATTCATTCACTATAATCAACATTATTTTTTGCCTTCATCTTGGAGTCATTTTAATTCTTTCTGGATTATATTATCTGAAATTTTTTAGTGAATATCCGTTGGTCATGAATCCTTTTGTTTGTCTGAAAATGTCTTTAACTTGCCCATGTTATTAAGATTGTTTTACAATCTTAATTGTAATAATATACCTCTAACAGTTATTTTACCTCAACAATTTTTAGATACTTTTGCACTATTTTCTAGCTATCATTGGTAGTGTTGTATAGTCCACCATCCATCTACTTTTTATTTTTGTGTGTATGTACATTGTCTTTTATTTCTGGCAGCTTTTAGTGTTTTTTTCATTGACTTTGTTATTCTGCAGTTTCACTGTGATAAGTCTTGGAGTGGATTTATTTTTTTTATCTTGAAGAAATATTATTCTTGTATCTGAAGATTCATTTATGTAACAATTCTGGAATATTCACAGCTATTGTTTCTTCAAGTATTGCCTGTCCCTATTCTCTCATTTTTCTGTTTGTAACTACAGTGAATGTATATTAGATGTCCTTATGGTATCTTTCATGTTTCTTAACCTTTTATATTTTACATCTTTGTTTCTTCCACATTCTGTGTTGCTTCTTCAGCTATGTTTCATTTGACTAATATTATCTTCAGCTATACCTATTCTGCTTTTTTACTATCGATTTATTTTTAGAATTTTATTTATGTATGTTACTTCTAGAAGTTCTTAGTTTTCTGGACATTTTAAAAATCTCTTGTTCTTTGTCAACTTTACTGATCCACTTATTCAACACTTATTTACTAATGCTATTGATACCCTATTTAAAACTTAAGCCTACTTATTTTATATTATGTATTCAGAAAGCCCAATTCAGAACTCTTTGGAAGTGCAGTTTTATAGTGTTTATGTGTGCGTTTGTGCATGTGTGCTTGTGCTTGCAGACTTTTGATCCTAGTGCCTAGCTTTCTTGTGTTTCTGTGCTTTCTGGTTGTAAATCCATGATAATGAAACCATATTTATGGGAATTCTGATGTCTATGTTCAAAGTAAATTCCTCAATGACTTTAATTTGTTTTTATCAAACACTTAGGTTTGGCATTAACTCAGTACCACTTAAAATAAATGTTCAACTTAGATTTTTTTTTTCATTTGAGAGAGAATACAGATTGAGACTCTAACCCCCTGAGAGTACTTTATCTTGTTAGATTCTCAGGGGGAGATTTTTTTTTTCTGGCTCACATCAAGATTGAGACAGGAAGGTATACTTGCTGTTTGCCTCTTTGGAGTGGGCTATTCTATCGTTTACTCTTTTGCATAAGATGTAACTCTTTGAGGTCCTGGTTTTGTTCCGGGGTCAGTTATTGGACTTCTGCCTTTGAGCACCCTGGGCTTTGCCATTCATGCCCTCTGCCTTGCATAGCCATCAAAATAGACAGTCTCAAGATAAACAGGAATCAGCATATGTCTTCATAGTAACTGAAACTTTAGTCTTCTCTTCTTTAGTAAGTTAGCTCTCTGAAGGTTCTTAGACTTTCTTTTTAGTTCATAGAAATGTGTGTGTTTTAACCAGTACTTTTAGTCATTTTGTAACAAGAAGGTTTTTTAGTATTTGCGGTATTCATTTTATAAATGAACACACAAACAAGTATTGTCAAATCTATAGGTATTTACTCTGTGAGGAATATGAAATTAATCTAATAACCCATAACCTCTCTCCTCATGAGTTTTTCTAATTTATCTGGGAAGGAGTTACGAGTAACCAGAGAATATTCTGAAGTCACACAATAGAATACTGAATTTGAATTTAAATACTAAGAGAAATTTCATTGTGGATTGGAGAAACCAAAAATAAATTCTTGGAGTAGTTTTAAAGAATTTGGGTAGGCAGAAAAGAGAATGCTTCCTTCCATCTTGTAGAGAGAATTTCATATATTAAACATATTGAGTAATTCTCTGGTTCTAATCTACTACATTACTATAAGACATAAAGAAAGATAAATGTATTACTGATGTCTGTGCCATAATAAACATTGGGAAATAACATCTGAGTATTTTATCTACAGGCTAGAGAGAGCATATAGTTGCATTAATTATTTTCACTTTTAGACAGTATAGCTAAAACAGTTCTGATATGGTTTGGCTCTGTGTCCCCACCAAAACCTCATGTCGAATTGTAATCCCCACATGTTGATGGAGGGTCCTGGTAGTGTGTCTGGAATTGGTGGGTTCTTGGTCTCACTGACTTCAAGAATGAAGCCGCGGACCCTTGCAGTGAGTGTTACAGCTCTTAAGGTGGCGCGTCTGGAATTTGTTCCTTCTGATGTTTGGATGTGTTTGGAGTTTCTTCCTTCTGGTGGGTTCGTGGTCTCGCTGGCTCAGGAGTGAAGCTGCAGACCTTCGCGGTGAGTGTTACAGCTCTTAAGGCGGCACGTCTGGAGTTGTTCATTCCTCCCGGTGGGCTCGTGGTCTCGCTGGCTTCAGGAGTGAAGCTGCAGACCTTCGCGGTGAGTGTTACAGCTCATAAAAGCAGTGTGGACCCAAAGAGTGAGCAGTAGCAAGATTTATTGCAAAGAGTGAAAGAACAAAGCTTCCACAGTGTGGAAGGGGACCCGAGCGGGTTGCCACTGCTGGCTCGGGCAGCCTGCTTTTATTCTCTTATCTGGCCCCACCCACATCCTGCTGATTGGTAGAGCCGAGTGGTCTGTTTTGACAGGGTGCTGATTGGTGCGTTTACAGTCCCTGAGCTAGACACAAAGGTTCCCCACGTCCCGAGCAGATTAGCTAGATACAGAGTGTCGACACAAAGGTTCTCCAAGGCCCCACCAGAGTAGCTAGATACAGGGTGTTGATTGGTGTGTTCACAAACCTTGAGCTAAACACAGGGTGCTGATTGGTGTGTTTACAAACCTTGAGGTGGATACAGAGTGCCGATTGGTGTATTTACAATCCCTGAGCTAGACATAAAGGTTCTCCAAGGCCCCACCAGAGTAGCTAGATTCAGAGTGTCCATTGGTGCATTCACAAACCCTGAGCTAGACACAGGGTGCTGATTGGTGTGTTTACAATCCCTGGGCTAGACATAAAGGTTCTCCATGTCCCCACCAGACTCAGGAGCCCAGCTGGCTTCACCCAGTGGATCCTGCCCCAGGGCTGCAGATGGAGCTGCCTGCCAGTCCCGTGCCGTGTGCCCGCACTCCTCAGCCCTTGGGTGGTCGATGGGACTGGGCGCTGTGGAGCAGGGGGTGGCGCTCATCGGGGAGGCTCAGGCCACGCAGGAGCCCATGGAGGGGTTGGGAGGCTCAGGCATGGTGGGCTGCAGGTCCCGAGCCCTGCCCCGCGGGAAGGCAGCTAAGGCCCCGTGAGAAATCGAGTGCAGCGCCGGTGGGCTGGCACTGCTGGGGGACCCAGTATACCCTCCGCAGCCACTGGCCCGAGTGCTAAGCCCCTCATTGCCCGGGGCCGGCAGGGCTGGCCGGCTGCTCCGAGTGCAGGGCCCATCAAGCCCACGCCCACCCGAAACTCCAGCTGGCCTGCAAGCGCTGTGTGCAGCCCCGGTTCCCGCTGGCGCCTCTCCCTCTACACCTCCCTGCAAGCTGAGGGAGCCGGCTCCGGCCTTGGCTAGCCCAGAAAGGGGCTCCCACAGTGCAGCGGTGGGCTGAAGGGCTCAAGTGCCGCCAAAGTGGGAGCCCAGGCAGAGGAGGCGCCAAGAGCGAGCGAGGGCTGTGAGGACTGCCAGCACGCTGTCACCTCTCAATCCCCCCTCTCAACAGGACACCCCAACTGCTGTTGGGAATTTGGCTGATGACCGCTCTAGCTACTTCCTGCTGGATGGGGTGAAGAAGGGGCCCTGCAGTTGTAGTGTCCTTCAGAGGGGAACTCTCTAAGCCAGGGGAAGTGCCAGCGGGTCGGTCCAGGGGTCCTCGGTAGAAGTTGTTAGTTGAACTCATTTGGGGTTCCATTTGTAAGACCATCTGTAGCATGATGGCCTCGATTCTAGAGGAAGCAAATTTGACAAGAAGGTTAAAAATACAGGGCCCAAAGGCGAGTAACAGCAAGATGGCTGCCACGAGACCTAGAAAGGGGAGAAGTCATGTTGCCCAACTCCAGAGATTGGTATAAGAATTTGAAAGGCGTTGTCTGATTTCAGAAGCCTTTTCCTGTAAACGCTGGGTGGCATCTCGTACTATCCCCTACTGGTTAGTGTAAAAACAACACTCTTCCCCTAAGAAGGTGCAGAGTCCTCCCTTCTCAGCAGTGAGGAGGTCTAGGCCTTGGTGGTTTTGGAGAGTCACTGCTGCCAAAGAGTCTATTTGGGATTGTAAAGTAAGGATAGATTTCGTTATTTCTTGCAAACTGTCTGAGAGGCAGATACGGGCTGAAGATCCACATAAGTAGAATATGCCTTGGCTGGGTAGATAGACATTTACCCTGGCTTTTAAAGGAGTAGGGTACACTGTTTTTTCTTTACTACTTCCAAGGAGACCAAAAGATTAGAAAAAGCTATGGAGCTGAAATCTATAAACTAGTTTCCTGAATTGATTAATTTATTCAAAACATATTTACTGGGTGCTTGCTATTTGCTAGGCACTCTTCTAGATGTTGTGGAAGACAAAGTTTGTGTCCACCAAAAAGAAATCAAACACAGAATATAAGCACTTACTTCTAAATGATAAATGCAAAGAAGAAAAATAAAGCAAGCTATAAGACAGAGTTATGAAGGGTATAGTGGTGGCTATTTTAGTTAGGGTAGTCAAGGACAATTGGTACAGATAACATATCTAAGCGTAGACCTGAATGAATGTAGTAAGCAAGCCATCTATATTACTATCTGGGAAAAGAGTATTCCAGGCAGAGAAAACAAGTACAAAAGTCGGCTGTGTTTTAAAGATTATTCAAATCAGTTCACTTAGTTGTTCATGAAGGTATAGCATTATTTCCTCTTCAGTCCATCTATAGCTGTTCTTTCCAGTCAGCTTAGTTTTAAGACTAATGGATGGAAATATCAGCTAACTCTTTCTAAACAAACTTGCAAGATAATTAGAATTTTAAGGAAATGCAAGGGAAATGACTCTTTTAAGTTAATTTTAGTATAATGGTGATAGTTTTACTTATGCAGTTTTGAGTCACGCATAATTAACATGATATGATTTCTGTAAAAGTGCTGAGTAATCAAGAGCTGTTTATTGCTTTATAAACTCTCAAATGATGGAAATTATTTCTTTTAATAAAAAATGAGGATATATAATGGCCTATAAAAAGAGGTTAATATGAGCTAGAGCACAATTCAAATTTATTCTTCAGAATTGATGGTAATAGTTTTATTTCAAAGAGAAGTGGACAATATGGCATTCCAGTGACAGAAGCACGTTGATATTATGGAAGATTTACAGAAAATGTCATCACTGGGATTAGTCAATGTGCTGTGGTGTTAACTTCACACTGGATAGCAGATGGCAGTGAGCTTCCATATAGAGCACAGTTTGGAGTTTGAATTTCAGGGTGTTTAGAGGCTATCCTTTTTTTTTTTTAATCTGATTCTGTTCACAAGGATGTCCATGTCCAATATTTATAGCATTTCATTATTCTCTATCAGATTTTTCTTTTTTCAGCTTTTATTTTAGAATCGGGGGTACACATGCAGGTTTGTAACCTGGGTATATTGTGTGATGCTGAGGTTTGGAGTTCGAATGAATCCATCACCCAGGTAGTGATCATAGTAACTGATAGTAGTTTATCAGCCATTGTCCACCTCCCTTTCTCTCCCCATGATTAATTCCAAGTGTCTGTTGTTCCCATCTTTGTGTCTATGTGTACCCAGTATTTGGCTTCCACTTATAAGTGATAACACGCAGCATTTAGTTTTCTGTTTCCACATTAGTTTGATTGTAATAATGGCCAGCAGCCACATCCATGTTGCTGTAAAGGACACAATTTCATTCGTTTTTATGGCTGTGTGGTATTCCATGGTGTATATGTACCACATTTTCCTTATCCTGTCCACCATTGATGGGCACCTGGGTTGATTCTATGTCTTTGCTATTGTGAATAGTGCTGCAATGAACATACGGGTACATGTGTCTTTCTGGTAGAACGATTTATGTCCCCTTGGGTATATACCAGTAATAGGATTTCTGGGTCAAATGGTATTTCAACTACAAATAATAGTTCTTTGAGAAATCTCCAAACTGCTTTTCATAGTGGCTGGACTAACTTACGTTGCCAAAAACAGTGTATGAGTGTTTGCTTTTCTGTGCAGCCTCACCAACATCTGTTATTTTTTGACTTTTTAACAAAAGACATTTGTTAAATGACTGATGTGAGATGATATCTCATTAGGATTTTGATTTGTGTTTCTCTGGGGATTAGTGATGATGATCACTTTTTTATATGTTTGTTGGCCGCTTATATGACTTCTTTTGAGAAGTGTCTTTTTATGTCATTTGCCCATTTTTTTAATGGGGTTATTTGTTTTTTGTTTATTAATTTAAGTTCTTTATAGATTCTGAATATTAGATTTCTTTTGCTATTTGCAAACTTTGCTGGATGCATAGTTTGCAAATATCTTCTCCCATTTTGTAGGTTGTCTGCTTACTCCCTTTCTAACTAAGCATCTCAGGTTTGAAATTCATTTTAAAACTCTTTTTCTTTAGTCTTAGATGATAGCCTTGAAATATGCTTTGAAACTTTTTCTCCCTTTTTCATTATACAGTACCTTGCACCATGCACACTCATCTAATTATATGGTTGCTTAGGAATTCCAGGGGCTAATCTTGGGACAAACCAGAAACAGAGTCCCTTTGGAGTCCTCCCACTTAAGGGGAATCACATTTAGTCCACCACCATCAGGCCAAAGTCGAAAAAACACCAACAAGACCTCTGGACAAGTAATTACCCAAGATAACCATCAGAACAAGAGACACAGACCTTGCGCTCTGTTCCACTCCTGCATATCTCTTATACCAAGTTTCTCTTTAAAAACCCTGTAATAAAATTTAAAACTTAAGATGATACTTTAGATGGATGGTTCACCATCTTCTGGTTTGCTGGCTCTCCAATTAAAGCTTGCTTCTCCTCCCACCAAACGTTGACTCTCATGTTTGGCTTTTGAGTGGCCTTGATAGTTTCTCTTGCTGTGCAGAAACTTTTTAATTAGGTCCCACTTGTCAATTTTTGTTTTGTTGCAATTACTTTGGGTGACTTAGCTATAAATTATTTGCCAAGGCTGATATTGACAAAGATATTTCATTCCTAGGATTTCTTCTAGGATTTTTATAGTTTGAGGCCTTACATTTAAATATTTAATCCATCTTGAGTGAATTTCTTTTAATGATGATAGGTAGTGGTCCAGTTTCATTCTTCTGGAAACCCACAGCCAACATTACACTGAACAGGCAAAAGCACTCCCCTTGAGAACTGGAACAAGACAAGGATGTCCACTGTCACCACTCCCATTCAACATAGTGATGGAAGTCCTAGTCAGAGCAATCAGGCAGGAGAAAAATAAAATGCATTCAAATAGCAAAGGAAGATGTCAAACTATCTCTCTTTGCTGACGATATGATTCTATACTTAGAAAACCCTAATTACTCTGCTAACAGGCTCCTAGAAGTGATAAACAACTTCAGTAAAGTTTCAAGATACAAAATCAATGCACAAAAATTAATAGCATTTCTATACACCAATTAACATTCAAGCTGAGAACCAAATCAATAATGCAATCCCATTTATAATGGCCACAATAATAATAAAATACCTAGGAATACAGCTAACCAAGGAGGTGAAAATCCTCTACAAAAAGAAGTACAAAACACTGCTGAAATAAATCAGAGATGACACACATAAATGGAAAAACATCATGCTCGTGGATTGGAGGAAATCAATATTGTCAAAACAGCCATACTGTGCAAAGCAAGGTACATTTTCAACGTTATTTCTATGAAACTACTAACACCATTTTTGACAAATAGAAAAAAAAAACTATTCTAAAATTAATATGGAACCAGAAAAAGAGCCTGAATAGCCAAAACAGTACTAAGAAGAAGAAGAAAAAACTGGAGGCATCACATTACCTGATAGCAAACTATACTAAAAGGCTACAGTAACCAAAACAACATGGTACTGGTACAAAAAACAGACACATAGACTAATTGAACAGAACAGGGAACCCAGAAATAAAGCTGCACACATACAACCATCTGATCTTTGACAAAGTCAACAAAAATAAGCAATGGAGAAAGCACTTCCTATTCAGTAAATAGTGCTGGGATAACCGGCTAGCTATATGCAGAAGAATGATACTGGACCCCTACCTATCACCATTATTCTGTATCTTTTAAATCTTGTGT
The DNA here is from genome assembly GCF_000001405.40 of Homo sapiens. Classification (NCBI taxonomy): domain Eukaryota; kingdom Metazoa; phylum Chordata; class Mammalia; order Primates; family Hominidae; genus Homo; species Homo sapiens. Next base: position 121,436,683 of record NC_000023.11, read on the forward strand.
TCTTAGGTTGTTACATATTTTGCCTGTTTTGCTTTGAAGTGTTTCAGCTTTCTGTACTTCTGTATGCGTTCTCTTCATTAAGTCTAAAATTTGCTTAAGGGTTAGGAGTACATAAACCCAGATAATTTATAGTACTACTTTGTTATGTCTTTTAACTAATCTAAAACAAGGCTGCTCCATCAACCGGTAATACTCATGCTAAACAAATTAAAGAATAAATAGAAAGTGGTAAGCTCAGGTATTTTTCTTGGAGCTTGTTCATAATGGAATAGAAATATATATTGGCAAGTATTCTGAGGAGTCAATATTGCAAAATGGAAAAAAGCACAGATTTCAAAGTCAGTGATTTTAGTTCAAATCCAGTCATTGCCATTTTAAAGCTTTATACCTGAAGCAAGTATAATCAGTTAGGATTCATTTAGCTGCCAGTGACAGGCAGCCACTTCAAAAATGGTTTACATAAAATGATAATTTATTGCATTATTTATTTCTGTTGTTCATAAAATTATATATATTTAACATGTACAACATCGTGTTTTGATATACATGTACATAAGGATGATTATTATAGTCAAGCAAATGAACATATTTCCTCACATAGTTACCTTTTTATCATGCTAGCTTCTGAAAACTATTCTTTTAGAGCATTTCCAGTGTATAATACAGTGTTACTAACTATAGTGATCATGCTGTATACTAGATCTTTAGAATTATGCATGCTACATAACTTCAACTTTGTACCCTTTGATCAACATCTCACCGTTTTCCCCACCTCCCTGCCTCTGGTAACCACTCTTCTATTCTGTCTCTATGTATTTGATACTTTTAGATTTTACATATTTAAGTGAAACCATGCAGTATTTGTCTTTCTATGTCTGTCATAGTTCACTTAGAAAAATGTCCTACATTTTAATCCACGTTGAGGTAAATGGCAGGATTTCCTTCTTTTTTAAGACTGAGTAGGAGAGGAGCCAAGATGGCCGAATGGGAACAGCTCCAGTCTACAGCTCCCAGCGTGAGCGACACAGAAGACGGGTGATTTCTGCATTTCCATCTGAGGTACCAGGTTCATCTCACTAGGGAGTGCCAGACAGTGGGCGCAGGTCAGTGGGTGCGCGCACTGTGCGTGAGCCGAAGCGGGGCAAGGCATTGCCTCATTCGGGAAGCACGAGGGGTCAGGGAGTTCCCTTTCCTAGTCGAAGAAAGGGGTGACAGACGGCACCTGGAAAATCGGGTCACTACCACCTGAACACTGCGCTTTTCCGACGGGCTTAAAACACGGCGCACCAGGAGGTTATATCCCGCACCTGGCTCGGAGGGTGCTACACCCACGGAGTCTCGCTGATTGCTAGCACAGCAGTCTGAGATCAAAATGCAAGGTGGCAGCGAGGCTGGGGGAGGGGCGCCCGCCATTGCCCAGGCTTGCTTTGGTAAACAAAGCAGCCAGGAAGCTCGAACTGGGTGGCGCCCACCACAGCTCAAGGAGGCCTGCCTGCCTCTGTAGGCTCCACCTCTGGGGGCAGGGCACAGACAAACAAAAAGACAGCAGTAACCTCTGCAGACTTAAATGTCCCTGTCTGACAGCTTTGAAGAGAGCAGTGGTTCTCCCAGCATGCAGCTGGAGATCTGAGAACGGGCAGACTGCCTCCTCAAGTGGGTCCCTGACTCCTGACCCCCGAGCAGCCTAACTGGGAGGCACCCCCCAGCAGGGGCACACTGACATCTCACACGGCCGGGTACTCCAACAGCCCTGCAGCTGAGGGTCCTGTCTGTTAGAAGGAAAACAAACAGAAAGGACATCCACACCAAAAACCCATCTGTACATCACCATCATCAAAGACCAAAAGTAGATAAAACCACAAAGATGGGGAAAAAACAGAGCAGAAAAACTGGAAACTCTAAAAAGCAGAGCTCCTCTCCTCCTCCAAAGGAACGCAGTTCCTCACCAGCAACGGAACAAAACTGGATGGAGAATGACTTTGACGAGCTGAGAGAAGGCTTCAGACGATCAAATTACTCCGAGCTACGGGAGGACATTCAAACCAAAGGCAAAGAAGTTGAAAACTTTGAAAAAAATTTAGAAGAATGTATAACTAGAATAACCAATAGAGAGAAGTGCTTAAAGGAGCTGATGGAGCTGAAAACCAAGGCTCGAGAACTACGTGAAGAATGCAGAAGCCTCAGGAGCCGATGCGATCAACTGGAAGAAAGGGTATCAGTGATGGTAGATGAAATGAATGAAATGATGTGAGAAGGGAAGTTTAGAGAAAAAAGAATAAAAAGAAACGAGCAAAGCTTCCAAGAAATATGGGACTATGTGAAAAGACCAAATCTACGTCTGATTGGTGTACCTGAAAGTGATGGGGAGAATGGAACCAAGTTGGAAAACACTCTGCAGGATATTATCCAGGAGAACTTCCCCAATCTAGCAAGGCGGGTCAACATTCAGATTCAGGAAATACAGAGAACGCCACAAAGATACTCCTCGAGAAGAGCAACTCCAAGACACATAATTGTCAGATTCACCAAAGTTGAAATGAAGGAAAAAATGTTAAGGGCAGCCAGAGAGAAAGGTCAGGTTACCCTCAAAGGGAAGCCCATCAGACTAACAGCGGATCTCTTGGCAGAAACTCTACAAGCCAGAAGAGAGTGAGGGCCAATATTCAACATTCTTAAAGAAAGGAATTTTCAACCCAGAATTTCCTATCCAGCCAAACTAAGCTTCATAAGTGAAGGAGAAATAAAATACTTTACAGACAAGCAAATGCTGAGAGATTTTGTCACCACTAGGCCTGCCCTAAAAGAGCTCTAGAAGGAAGCGCTAAACATGGAAAGGAACAACCAGTACCAGCCGCTGCAAAATCATGCCAAAATGTAAAGACCATCGAGACTAGGAAGAAACTGCATCAACTAACGAGCAAAATAACCAGCTAACATCATAATGACAGGATCAAATTCATACATAACAATATTAACTTTAAATGTAAATGGGCTAAATGCTCCAATTAAAAGACACAGACTGGCAAATTGGATAAAGAGTCAAGACCCATCAGTGTGCTGTATTCAGGAAACCCATCTCACGTGCAGAGACACACATAGGCTCAAAATAAAAGGATGGAGGAAGATCTACCAAGCAAATGGAAAACAAACAAAGGCAGGGGTTGCAATCCTAGTCTCTGATAAAACAGACTTTAAACCAACAAAGATCAAAAGAGACAAAGAAGGTCATTACATAATGGTAAAGGGATCAATTCAACAAGAAGAGCTAACTATCCTAAATATATATGCACCCAACACAGGAGCACCCAGATTCATAAAGCAAGTCCTGAGTGACCTACAAAGAGACTTAGACTCCCACACATTAATAATGGGAGACTTTAACACCCCACTGTCAACATTAGACAGATCAACGAGACAGAAAGTCAACAAGGTTACCCAGGAATTGAACTCAGCTCTGCACCAAGCGGACCTAATAGACATCTACAGAACTCTCCACCCCAAATCAATAGAATATACATTTTTTTCAGCACCACACCACACCTATTCCAAAATTGACCACATACTTGGAAGTAAAGCTCTCCTCAGCAAATGTAAAAGAACAGAAATTATAACAAACTGTCTCTCAGACCACAGTGCAATCAAACTAGAACTCAGGATTAAGAATCTCACTCCAAACCGCTCAACTACATGGAAACTGAACAACCTGCTCCTGAATGACTACTGGGTACAGAACGAAATGAAGGCAGAAATAGAGATGTTCTTTGAAACCAACGAGAACAAAGACACAACATACCAGAGTCTCTGGGACGCATTCAAAGCAGTGTGTAGAGGGAAATTTATAGCACTAAATGCCCACAAGAGAAAGCAGGAAAGATCCAAAATTGACACCCTAACATCACAATTAAAAGAACTAGAAAAGCAAGAGCAAACACATTCAAAAGCTAGCAGAAGGCAAGAAATAACTAAAATCAGAGCAGAACTGAAGGAAATAGAGACACAAAAAACCCTTCAAAAAATTAATGAATCCAGGAGCTGGTTTTTTGAAAGGATCAACAAAATAGACCGCTAGCAAGACTAATAAAGAAAAAAAGAGAGAAGAATCAAATAGACGCAATAAAAAATGATAAAGGGGATATCACCACTGATCCCACAGAAATACAAACTACCATCAGAGAATACTACAAACACCTCTATGCAAATAAACTAGAAAATCTAGAAGAAATGGATAAATTCCTCGACACATACAGTCTTCCAAGACTAAACCAGGAAGAAGTTGAATCTCTGAATAGACCAATAACAGGATCTGAAATTGTGGCAATAATCAATAGCTTACCAACCAAAAAGAGTCCAGGACCAGACGGATTCACAGCCGAATTCTACCAGAGGTACAAGGAGGAACTGGTACCATTCCTTCTGAAACTATTCCAATCAATAGAAAAAGAGGGAATCCTCCCTAACTCATTTTATGAGGCCAGCATCATTCTGATACCAAAGCTGGGCAGAGACACAACCAAAAAAGAGAATTTTAGACCAATATCCTTGATGAACATTGATGCAAAAATCCTCAATAATATACTGGCAAAACGAATCCAGCAGCACATCAAAAAGCTTATCCACCATGATCAAGTGGGCTTCATCCCTGGGATGCAAGGCTGGGACTATTATATATAATTATGTGCCAACATATTGGATAACTTAGAAGAAATGGATAAATTCCTAAAAAGATACAATCGACCAATGCTGAGTCAAGAATAAATAGAAAATCCGAACAGACCAATAACACATACATAGACTTAAGTAGTAATTAGAAACCTCCCAATAAGACAAGCCCAGGATTGGATTGATTTATTGCTTTATTTATATGAGAAATATATGAGTAGGACTGGCTGCAAACATAGTCTGAGCCAGAGATTAAACTGTGGTAATGGATTGCTTTTTTTTTTTCCTGCATTATTTCAATTCCTCATTCCAATTCATTGACTATGCCACTTTTGGAAGATTTAATTTTCTAGCTGACATTTTCCATGGGGTTTCTGGTTGCTAGCTCTCTAGGCTTATAACCTCAGAGTTAACAGTTCCAGCAGAAGAGAGTTCTCATTGCCACAAGTTCTGCAAAATGTCCTGGAATTGTCTTTTTGGCTTAATTGGACCAAATGTTCATCTCTGAACAGGTGTCAAAGCCCATACACGTGGCATATGCTGATCAGCCAGGCCTGGGTCACATGTCCTTGCCTGGAGCTGGGGTAGTCTAGAATGTGAAGCGGTGGTTCTCTGTAGAACAAAAGAAGTGCTGTTATCAAATGTAGAATGGGTCTTGAACAGGTAGAAGAAGCATATTTCCTTACATCACATATAAACCAACTGCCCAAATACTTTGTAAAGAAATGAATCTTTGGGAGCCTCAAGGTTTTTTCCTAAATGTATGATAATCTATCTATGATAGTCTAATGTCACTATGCCTACTTTGAAAGGTAAAGAATACATGGAATACTGACTAAAGTGTTCAGTGCATTTCCTGACACACTGTCTTGGTATTATCTGCTTTTGCATCAGATTGGATTTAGAAGACTGGCAACAATTAAACTACCAAGTCCATTATTTGGCTCATTTAATGGCTAAATAATGCAAGTTGGCTGAGCACGGTGGCTCACGCCTGTAATCCCAACATTTTGGGCGGCCGAGGCAGGCAGATCACTTGAAGTCAGGGGATCGAAACCAGCCTGGACAACATGGTGAAACCTTGTCTCTACTAAAAATACAAAAATTAGCCTGGCATGGTGGTGCATGCCTGTAGTCCCAGCTACTCAGGAGGCTGAGACAGGAGAATCGCCTGAACCCAGGAGGCAGAGGTTGCGGTGAGTCGAGATCACGTCACTGCACTCCAGCCTGGGCAATAGAGCAAGAGTGTGTCTCTAAATAAATAAATAAATAAAAACAAGGTTAAGAAGTAGTTCATTCTTCCTCAGTTGATTCAAACTTGTCCGAATAGACAATTTTCTTGGTTTATAAATGTATTACATAATTTTAAATTCAGCGTGCCCTTGTAGAAGGCACTTAGTTGTCAAAGACACATCTATATGTCCTTTCTCCAAGAGCTTTCATTTATTTTATTTTCAAAATATCTATTAAAGGAAATAAAATTGCTTAGAGACTTAACATGGTCTTCATCAAATGTTTCCAGTGCTGTGCTTTTGCACTAAATGTTCAAATAACTGGTCATAGAAATATGCCTATGCTGATAATCCTTATTGGTGCTCATTTCTAAACATCTGATGTCAAAACATCTCCTTAGAATATGATCTGATCTAAATAAATTAGATACGCTAAAATTATGATACATATTAATATGTTATAATTTTGCTACAGTGAGCATGATATAAATAGGCTCATTGTTTTACCTTTTCGATCAATGTAAATACAGGATACATGCTGTTTTCTCTGAACTATATTTATGTATATATTATCTATATTTTTGTTTACTAGCTACTGAGTAAAAATGTCATTCTTAACCTGTTTTCAGTAAGGTATGAGCTTGGAGTTGTTATTACAGGTTTGAAGACAGACTGTGCTGATGTATTTTGACACTCTTTTACCCACTGTTTGATTTTTTAATCAAGAGAACACATTTTCGAGACGGGTGCTGGTGGTAAAATGTAGGTTGTAGTGACACAAGAAATTTCAGAATAGTATACCCAAATAAAATGTGAACTCTTATTCATAGGATAATTGGCACTTTTCTATAACCAGCTAAACTAATACCAGAGTTTGAATGCTATAGACCCTCCTACATATCCTTCTGTTGCCTGCATAGTCTCTTGTAGCCTCTCTTAACCCATTTTTTTTTGTTGCTATAAAGGAATACATGAGTGAGTAATTTATAAAAGAAGAGGTTTATTTGTCTCACAGTTCTGCAGGTTGTACAAGAAGTATGGCACTAGCATCTGCTTCTGGTGAGGGCTTCAGGCTGCCTGCAGTCATGGCAGAAGTGGAAGGGTAGTAGGTATCATGTGGCAAGAGAGAGGGAGAGAGAGGAGGAAGTGCCAGACCCTTTGTAACAATCAGTTCTCACAGGAACTATAGAGCAAGAACTCACTCATTACTTTGAGAATGGCACCCCCATGATCCAAACACCCCCAATAAGGCCCCACCTCCAACATTGAGGATCAAATTTCAACATGAGATTTGGAGGGAACAAATATTAGAACTATATCTTTGCCTTCCTTTCACAGCCATAGGTGTGAAAATGAACGAGCTCTACAAAGGAAGGCAAAGATCTACTTTACATGCTAATGGAATTGTGGGTTGTAGTTGGCTCAGTGAAAATGTGTGCTACTTTCATTCATTGAACTCATTGCTTTTCAACATAGTCCATATTTTCATGTGTGTCTTTATTGCCTATCACCCTTACTGGAATGTTATGTGGTCAGATATGTTTTTCTGAGTAATTGACTGCAAGATCTTCAACCTCTAAAATAGTGCCTGGTGTATAATAGGCGGCCAATGAATATTTTCACTGAATTATAATTCAGTGATTATTATGTACCAATACTCAGGTTGTGGGAGGGACTCTGTGGAAAGATGTCCAACAGTGGTGAATTGTGCTGAAGCTTGGTAAAGAAGTCAATGGCAGAGATAAAGATATAGAGGTTAACTTTATAGAGATAAGACTGAAGGCACAAGACTGAAAATGACAAACTTATACATCCCCTAGCATTGTCTAGTATGTTTAAACTTTAACAAATGAATGCATCATAACACATAAAATCCTCTGCAAAGAAAAGAAAGTGTTTTTGTAAATCCAACATAGATACTTGACTAATCTTTGTAGAGTAGAGCTGTTATCATTGACCCATCTTCCCTTGAAATGTCTTTTTTCCCATTGCTGTTGGAAATGTTTTTTTTCCATTTTTATTGTCTCAAAAGTATACAATAAACTTTTTCAGAGAACATGGAAAGTTTGCTTACATATTCTAGTGTTATGTTGTTTAAAATCTTGTCAGTTATAACCTTAATACCATAAATGTTTATGGATACAGCCCATATAAACAAAAACCTTTTGGGATCCTCAATAAATTTTTAGAGTATAAACGACTCCTGAGACGAGAAAATTTGAGAACTGCTGCCATTTGGCTTATAATGCTTCTACCTTCTATTCCCCTCCACTCTTTCCTTCCTTAGACTTTACTGTCAAGTGTTTCTAATCTATTGGAATTTCTCTGAACCTTCCTTAATTTATTATATTGCTTCAGATACCTGCATATATGTTTTGCTTTCTTCTTGGAATGCCCCTTTTCACTTTCTTTACTCGTTAAACTTCTGTTCATTCTTAAAAGCTCAATTCTGGAATTGCGTGTTCTATGGTGCTTTCCTAGAATTTTCCTGGCAGACTTAGGTGCTCTGTCCATGATGCTAAGATAGCATCTCCTGCATTCTTCAATGATAGTATGTATGATACTTTATTGGAATGACTTTTTGTATATGTGTTAGTATCCCAAGAAAATTCTTTGAGGATATGAACTATGTTTTTAAAGAATGTTTTCCCCAAGGAACAGCATATTGCTTTCCACATAACCAGTGCACAATAAACATTTATTGAATTTATAATAAAAAACATATCTAATATTTATGGAGCACTTATTTGCAGGTATCGTTCTATGTACTCTAATATCGTTCTATGTATCTCAAATTAATCCTTACCTCATGAGGTAAGTACAGTTTTCATGTAAAGGAATAATAACATGATATATAACAAGGCTCAATAAATGTTATTACTATTATAGTCATTATCATAATCATCCCCAAGTTGGATTAAAAAAACTAAACACAGATCAATTAATTAACTTGCACAAAGTTACACAGATATTAAGTGGCATAACTTTGGATCCTGGAAGTGTGGCTCTAGTACCAAGGCTCTGAACCACTGTACTTATACTGATTGTGTATAAACAAGTGAATAATGGTGCATAAAAACAATTATGGAGATATCCCCATGGTTTGACAAGTCCAAATTTAACTAATCTATTTCTAGAGAAAGTGCTGCAGCCTCTTTAGCCAGAAAAGGATGGAAAAAAGTCATTAAGATCCTGTGAGGTGAAGAATAGTGATATATTATGGGGAAGGAGGTGACAGCTTAATACGAGATTTACCACAAGAGAATCAGTTGAAATGAAAATCTGCAGCATTTGCATAGAATCTGACAAAGGGTCAAGTAGGAAATAACCAGTTGCTTTATTTTGGGGAACAGGGAAATAAATACATGATATCATTATATCTTGAGAGTTTGAAACATTGTCCAACCTGTTGCCTCATGACCATGGGCAGCAGATGGCTCTTATCCTGGAGCAACCTAAGAATCAAGATAGAAAGAACAAATTCAACAGTGAGGAGATCAAGTTTGGACTAAGCACTGTTTTGCAGACGTTGCTGGGCTCAATGCTTGTAAACGAACTGCATAGGCATGTTTATTAATAGGACAATCAAGTTATATCAAGAATTAAAGACACATATGTGTAACATATAAACGGGGTTAACAATAATAATATGAGGTATTAGTAGGTTGAAGTGGCTTTCAGCTGTTCCTCAGAAGTATAGAGGCCCTGTAAAACCCTTTCAAAAGCTGTCAAAGTTGGGAGGGGTGACTGGACAGCGCTTCAAACCACATACTTCCACAGTAACCGAAGGATCTCTGCCTTTATCTTCTCATATAATGGGTTTTTACATATTTCAGTTGACCAGAATGGTCTTCCTGCAGCTAAAGTTACTTTCAAAATCATTTAGCTTTAGTCACTGAGTGCTTTCACATAACTTTTTGGTAATTGTCTTAGCTACTCCTTTCATAGTTGAGAAAACAGATCAGAGAAGTGGGATAATTTGCATAGGATCACAGACTAGTACATTGTGGAGCTGGGGCTCAAACACAATGTGTTAAATTCCAAGTGCAGTTATTTTTCTGTAACACCAGTGATGGCTACCTATGGTGGAGTATGTTTAACATTTAAGGGGAGTGTGGATATAAGGACCGAAGGGAAGAACACAATGCATAGTCTTGGCCCCAGAGTAGGTTCTGTTGACTCCCATAACTATATCTACCCATCTACCAGAATCTGAACTTATATACTTCACTGTCCTGTTTTTAGAATAAATAATAACATATACTCTCTGTACTCCTAATAAAATCAGACTCTTTACTTTTGCACTAGATCCTAACCATTTTCACTTACTCTAGAACATTACTTCAGCAATTATCTTGTCTCTTTCCAACATCATCACTTTTTCTTTTAACTTGATTATTCCTCTCAGTATACAAATATACTCTGTTTCTCCCATGTTAAAAGAAACCATTCTCTTGACTTCACACCTCTTTTCTCCACTAACTTGTACCTGATTTCTGTGTTTTCTTTTGCCTCAAAACTCCTTAAATTTGTCTGTACATGGTCTTCAAATCCTCTTCTCCCATTTCCTTTTAACCCATTTCAATAAGGCTATTCCTTCCATGACTCCACTGGTACTATTGTTGTAAAGGTCATTGATGACTTTCATTTTCATAGATACAGAGGTCAATTTTCATCTCTTATGTTACTTGTTTCAGTAACAGCAATTTACCCTTCTTGATACACATCTATTGTTTGGCTTCCAGGAAACTACACTCTGTTCCTTAGTACCTCATTGGTCATCTGTCTCTGTCTCCTTTGTTTATCCCTTCTATCCTTTTCTTCATGGCATCATAATGTAGTAATGCCCTTGGACTTAATCTCAGGACCTCTATTTTGTCTACACGCATCCCTTTATTGATCTCATTTAGTTTCACAACTTCAACTGCCATCTATGGGCCAAATACAATAATATATACTTCTTCACTCCACACCTCTGCCTCAAACTGTAAACTTACATATTCAACTGTTTACCTAATGTGTCTACTTTAATAACTAATAGGCATCTCAAATGTAACTTGTCCTAAACTGAACTCCTGATACCCCCCCCACACACCCAATATCTTTCCTCTCTCAGTAAATGGCAATTCCATCTGCTCAGTTGCTTAGATGAACAACTTGCAAACATTCTTGATTGCCTTATTTAACAGACCACATTCAATAATTCAGGAAATGCTGTCAGCCTTACATTCAAAACATCACCAGAATCCAATTACTTCTTCAAATCTCCTCTGCTATTATTGTTGTCTGAACCACCATCAGTTCTCACATGGATTATTTCAGTAGTCTCCTTTCTGGTGTCTCTGGCTTGCATTCTTGCCACTGTATAATATATTATCAATACAATAGCCAGATAATTATATTAAATTATAAGCCAAATAATATCTTTCTTCTATTCAAAACCCTCCAGTGCATTGCCATCTCTCAGTGTAAAATCCAAAGTCCTTATAATGACTTATAAAGCTCTACTTGAAATGCTCCTGTCTGTCCCATAGTTGATCTTTTCCTTCTCTCTCCTCATCAGTCCTTCTTTTCCAGACATACTGGTTGCCCTGCTCTTCCTTGAGCACACTGAACCAAGCTAGCTTTTGTATTTGCTGTTCCCTCTTTTTAGAATATTGTTCCCCAAATATCTAATGAGGCTTACCTTGTTGTTTCCTAAAAATCTCAATGAGGACTACCCTGTTCACCTCATTTATATTTGCAGCTCACTTCCTCTCCACTTGTAATTTCCTTCATCTATATTTTATTTGTACATATTACTTTTAACATTATATAAGTTATCTGCATTATGTTTATTGTTTATTGTCTATTTGTTCCCGACAGAAGATAAGCTATATGTGGCAGGAATTTTTGTTGTTGCATTCATGCTAAATCCCCAGTACCTGGAACGTAATAGGAACTCAATAAATATTAGATAAATGAATGAATCTGGAAAGGCAAATAAAAATAAGCTAAAGTATGGCACAGAGTCTTACATATGGTAGGCACACAAATAGTCACTTACCCTTTTAATTTTTTTTTTTTTTTTGAGACGGAGTCTCGCTCTGTCATCCAGGCTGGAGTGCAGTGGTGTGATCTCTGCTCACTGAAAGCTCCACCTCCCGGGTTCACGCCATTCTCCTGCCTCAGCCTCCCTAGTAGCTGGGACTACAGGCACCCGCCACCACACCCAGCTAATTTTTTGGATTTTTAGTAGAGACGGGGTTTCACCATGTTAGCCAGGATGGTCTCAATCTCCTGACCTTGTGATCTGCCAGCCTTGGCCTCCCAAAGTGCTGGGATTACAGGCGTGAGCCACCGCACCCGGCCTGCCCTTTTAATTTTTAAAAATTACTTCATGCAATGAGAACACAACATGAAATCTGTCTTCTTAACACTTTATTAAGTATACAGTATGGCATTGTTGACTATGGGTTCAATATTGTACATCAGATCTCTAGAACTTATTCATTATGCTTAACAGAAATTGTATGCCAGTTGATTAGTAACTCTCCATTTCCTTCATTCTCTAGCTTCTGGCAACTACTATTCCATTTTTTGACTCTTATGACATTGACTATTTTAGATACCTCATATAAGTGCAATCATGCATGTTTATCCTTCTGTGACTAGTTTTATTCAAACAGCATAATGTTCTCAAAGTTCACCCATGTTGTTGTATATTGCAGAATTTCATTTTTTAAGGCTGAATAATATTCCAATGTATGTATGTGATGGTTAATACTGAGTGTCAACTCGATTGGATTAAAAGATAAAAAATATTGATTCTGGGTGTGTCTGTTAGGGTGTTGCCAAAGGAGATTAACATTTGAGTCAGTGGGCTGGAAAAGGCAGACCCACCCTTAATCTGAGCGGGGCACAATCTAATCAGCTGCCAGCACTACTAGAATATAAGCAGGCAGAGAAATGTGAAAAGAGAGACTGGACTAGCCTCCAAGCCTACATCTTTCTCTCATGCTGGATGCTTCCTGCTTTAGAACATGGGACTCCATGTTCTTCTGTTTTGGAACTCGGACTGGCTATCCTTGCTCCTCAGCCTGCAGACAGCCTATTTTGGGAACTTGTGATCATGTGAGTTAATACTTAGTAAGCTTTATATATATTATATACATATATTAGTTGTGTCCCTCTAGAGAACCCTGACTAACACAGATTTTGGTACTAGAAGTGGTTCTAGAGGAGCAGAATATTAAGGATGCAGTTCTTTTGTTGGTTTTGGGGTTTCTGTAGTTGGCTGCTTAATATAATTAGAGCCAAAAATGCTAAGGGCTCTACTTCTAATAGTGTGGAGAACACTGATAGTCCTTGGCGTGAACTGTTTAGAGAGTTATGCAAATAAATGCATTTGACACTCTTGGTTTATCGCTTGTGAGAGGCAAGGAGTTTAGTGGCTCTATACATAATACCTTTGACCATATGTGGAGAACCAAAGAACATAATGAAGCTGGTTTGTTGCTCATAACTTTAGTGGACAAAGTGATGGAAGAGAATGATGAACTCAGGGATTCTGTCTCCCAGCTTCAGAAGCAAATACTGAGCCTCAAATCTGCTAAGATTGCCCTGAGTGAGAGTCTTATCTCCTGTGGAGAAAGAGCTGAAATTGTAGAAAAACAGATACAAGCTTTTAACATGTGAGTGACTGACCTGCAATGAAGGGCACATGCACAGCCTCATGAGGTGTGTACTGTTAAAATGTGGGCATTGATTGCAAAAGAATGAGACCCTGCAACTTGGAATGGGGACATGTGGGAGGACACTGATGAAGCTGGGGACACTGAGTTTATAAACTAGGATGAACTTTTTTTTTTTGCTGGAAGAAACAGCTTCCCCATCCCCAGTAATGGCAACATCCCCTCCCACCCCATGCTGCCATCAGCCTTTCCACCTTTATCTGAGGAGATAAACCCTGTGCTGCCTGAGGCAACAATGATGGCCTCCCCTGAGGCAGTTGCCAGGCAAGAGAATGTTGATTCTTCTCAGGAGCCACCCCCAACACCTCTGTTTGCTTCTAGGCCTATAACTAGACTAAAGTCCCAGCAGGCCCCTAGAGGTGAGGTTGAGAGTGTGACTCATGAGGAGGTGTGCTACACTCAAAAACAACTGCTTGAGTTTTCTAATTTATATCAACAGAAATCTGGAGAACAGGCATGGGAACGGATATTAAAGGTGTGGGATAATGGTGGAAGGAATGTAGAGTTGGATCAGATGAAATATGGATTAAACATTGGCCCATTGTGAGTGAGCTGGAAATGCCTGATCTCCCTTGGTTTAATGTAGAGGAAGACATCCAAAGGCTTAGGGAGTTTGGGATTGTGGAATGGATTAGTCACTTTAGACCTATTCATCCCAGCTGGGAGGGTCCAGAACATATACTTGTGACCCATACCTTGTGAAATAGATTTGTGAGGGCAGCACGTGCATCTTTGAAGAGCCCTGTAATTGCTCTTCTGTGTATGTCAGATCTAACAGTGGGAACCACAGTCACTCAAGTACAAAATTTAAATACAATGGGAATAATTGGATCTCAAGGTGGCAGGGACCAAGCAGCAGCACTCAACCATAACAGGCAAGGTGGGCATAGCTACCATAATGGACAGCAGAGGCAATGCAGCAATCAGAGTAATCTGACTCGTGTAGAGCTCTGGCATTGGCTAATTAATCACAGTGTTCCTTGAAGTGAAATTGATAAGAAACCTACTGCATTCCTACTTAATTTATATAAGCAGAAAACTTCTAGGTCAAATGGACAGAAGACTAATTTGAATTATAAAAACAGAGAAGCATGTCCCCTCAATCAGTTTCTAGACTTGAGCCAGTTTACAGACCTAGAACCCCTTGAATGAAGGGGAGGTTGTGTCTCCTTGAGGAAGGACCCCACTACATTACCAAAAATTTATGCAGTGAATCTTTCTCCCGTCCTTCCCCAAGGAGACCTCTGGCCTTTTGCCAGGGTAACTGTGCATTAGGAAAAGGGAAATGCTCAGGCATTTTGGGGACTACTGGGCAGTGGCTCTGAGCTGACATTGATTCCAGTGGAGCCAAAACGTCACTGTGGTCCTCCAGTTAAAGTAGGGGCTTATGGAGGTCAGGTAATTAATGGAGTTTTAGCTCAGGTCCAACTTACAGTGGGTCCAGTGGGTTCCCGGACTCATCCTGTTGACATTTCCCCAATGCCAAAATGCATAATTGGCATAGACATACTTAGCAGCTGGCAGAACCCCGACATTGGCTCCCTGATTGGTAGGGTGAGGGCTCTCATGGTGGAAAAGGCCAAATGGAAGCCATTAGAGCTGCCTTTACCTAGAAGAATAGTAAATCAAAAACAATATTGCATCCTTGGAGGGACTGTGGAGATTAGTGCTACCATCAAGGACTTGAAAGATGCAGGGGTGGTAATTCCCACCATATCCCTGTTCAACTCGCCCATTTGGCCTGTGCAGAAGACAGATGGATCTTGGAGAATGACAGTGGACTGTTGTAAGCTTAACCAAGTGGTGACTCCAATTGCAGCTGCTGTGCCAGATGTGGTTTCATTGCTTGAGCAAATTAACACAACTCCTGGTTCCTGGTATGCAACCATTGACTTGGCAAATGCCCTTTTCTGCATTCCTGTCCATTAGGCCTACCACAGGCAATTCACCTTCAGCTGGCAAGGCCAGCAATATACATTTACTGTTCTACCTCATGGGATTATAAACTCTCTGGCTTTGTGTCATAATCTTATTAGAAGAGAACTTGATTACATTTTGCTTCCGCAAGATATCACACTTGTCCATTACATTGATGACATTATGCTCATTGGATCCAGTGAGCAAGAAGTAACAAACACACTGGAGTTAATTGGTGAGACATTTGCATGCCAGAGGTTGGGAAATAAATCTGACTAAAATTCAGGGACCTTCTATTTCACTAAAATATATAGGGGTTTAGTGGTGTGGGGCCTATTGAGATATTCCTTCTAAGGTGAAGGATAAGTTGCTGCATTTGGCCCCTCCTACAACCAAGAAATTGGCATAACGCCTAGTAGGCCTATTTGGATGTTACTCTGGCCCATTTATTGAGTGACACAAAAGGCTTTCAGTTTTGAGTGGGGTCCAGAAAAGGAGAAGGCTCTGCCACAGGTCCAGGCTGCTGTGCAAGCTGCTCTGCCACTTGGGCCATATGATGCAGCAGATCCAGTGGTGCTTGAGGTGTCAATGGCTGCTGTTTGGAGCCTTTGGCAGGCCCCAGTAGGTGAATCACAGAGGAGGCCTCTAGAATTTTGGAGAAAGGCCCTGTCATCTTCTGCAGATAACTACTCCTCCCCTTTTGAGAGATAGCTCATGGTCTGTTACTGGGCCTTGGTGGAAACTGAACATTTGTCTATGGGCCGTCAAGTCACCATGTGACCTGAACTGCCTATCATGAACTGAGTGCTTTCTGACCGATCTAGCCATAAGGTGGGTCATGCACAGCAGCATTCCATCATCAAATGGAAGGGGTATATATATGATCAGGCTCCAGCAGGTCCTGAAGGCACAAGTAAGTTACATTAGGAAGTGGCTCAAATGCCCATGGTCTCCTCTCTCCCCTGCATTCTCTCCCCCAGCCTACACTGATGGCCTCTTGGGGAGTTCTCTATGGTCTGTTGACAAGGAAGAAAAGACTAGGGCCTGGTTCACAGATGGTTCATGATTTACAAGCACCACCTGAAAGTGGACAGCTGCAGCACTACAGCCCCTTTCTAGGACATCCCTAAAGGACAGTGGTGAAGGGAAATCTTCTCAGTGGGCAGAACTTTGAGCAGTGCACCTGGTTGTGCATTTTACATGGAAGGAGAAATGGCCAGGTGTGTAATTATACACTAATTAATTGGGCTGTAGCCAATGGTTCGGCTGGATGGTCAGGGACTTGGAAGAAGCATGATTGGAAAATTGGTGACAAAGAAATTTGGGGAAGAGGTATGTGGATGGACCTCTCTGAGTGGTCAAAAACTTGAAGATGTTTGTATCCCATGTGAGTGCTCACCAATGGGTAACTCCTGCAGAGGAGGATTTTAATAATCAAATGGATAGAATGACCCATTCTGTGCACACCACTCAGCCTCTTTCCCAGCCACTGCTGTTATCACCCAATGGACCATAAACAAAGTGGCCATGGCGGCAGAGATGGAGGTTATGCATGGGCTCAGCAACATGGACTTCCACTCACCAAGGCTGACTTGACTATGGCCAGTGCTGAGTGCCCAATTTGCCAGCAGCAGAGATCAACACTGAGAGCTCGATATGGCACCATTCCTCTGGGTGATCAGCCAGCTGCCTGGTGGCAGGTTGATTATATTGGAACCCTTCCATCATGGAAAGAGCAGAGGTTTGTCCTCACTGGAACAGACACTCCAGATATGGGTTTGCCCATTCTGCACGTAATGCTTCTGCCAAGACTACCATTAGTGGACTCAAGGAATGCCTTATCCACCGTCATGGTATTCCACACAGCATTGCCTCTGACTGACTAAGGCACTCACTTTAAAGCTAAAGAAGTATAGCAGTGGGCTCATGCTAATGGAATTCACTGTTCTTACCATGTCCCCCATCATCCTGAAGTAGCTAGATTGATAGAACGGTGGAATGGCCTTTTGAAGTCACAATTACAATGCCAACTAGGTGTCAGTATTTTGCAAGGCTGGGGCAAAGTTCTCCAGAAGGCCGTGTATGCTCTGAATCAGCATCCAATATATGGTACTATTTCTCCAATAGCCAGGATTTACACATCCAGAAATCAAGGGGTGGAAGTGGAAGTGACACCACTCACCATCACCCCTAGTGATCCACTAGCAAAATTTTTCCTTTTTTATTTTGGGACACTATGTTGTGCTGGCCTAGTGGTCTTAGTTCCAGAGGGAGGAACGCTGCCACCAGGAGACAGAATGAGTCCATTAAACTGAAAATTAAGATTGCCACCTGGACCCTTTGGGTGCCTTCTACCTTTAATCAACAGGCTAAGACAGGACTTACAGTGTCAGCTTGGGTGATCGACTTGGACTGTTAAGATGAAATCAGCCTACTACTCCACAACAGAGGTAAGGAGGGTATGCATGGAATACAGGAGATCCATTAGGGTGTCTCTTAGTATTACCATGCCCTGTGATTAAGCTCAATGGGAAACTACAACAGCCAAATCCAGGCAGGACTACAAATGACCCAGACCCTTCAGGAATGAAGGTTTGGGTCAGTCCACCAGAAAAAAAAAAAAACCAAAAAAAAACCCAAAACAAAACATGACCTGCTGAGGTGCTTATGAAGGCAAAGGGAATACAGAGTGGGCAGTAGAAGAAGGTATTCATCAATAGCAGCTACAACCACGTGATCAGCTGCAGAAATGAGGACTGTAATTGTTAAGTGTATTTCCTCCTTTTGTTGAAAACATGTTTGTGCGTCTATACACTTGTACTAAGAAAATATCTTCATTTTATTTCCTTTCTCCTGTATCATGTGACGTAAGATTTATTGACTTCATGTCAGCATTTAAGTATTGTTAACGTTATGTAATAGTATTTGGGTTGGCGATTGGTGCGTTTCTGGTTGTATGAAGAATAGTTGTATTATGTTAAGTGTAATTATGACCTTACTATTGTCTTTATTTGAAGATTATGTATGATCTCAGGAGATGTGTATGGGTTCAAGTTTACAAGGGGTGAAGTTGTTATGGTTTATAATGAATGTCAACTTGATTGGATTGAAGGTGTTGATTGCCTCTGAGGGTGCTGCCAAAAGAGTTTAACATTTGACTCAGTGGTCTGGGAAAGGCAGACCCACCCTTAATCTGATTAGGGCACAATCTCATTAGTTATCAGCACAGCTAGAATATAAGCAGGCAAAAAAAATGTGAAAAGAGAGACTGGACTAACCTCCCAGCCTACATCTTTCTCCTGTGCTGGATGCTTCCTGCCCTCGAACATGGGACTCTAAGTTCTTCAGTTTTGGAACTCAGACTGGCTTTCCTTGCTTCTCAGCCTGCACATGGCCTATTGTGGGACCCCGTGACTGTGTGAGTTAATACTTAATAAACTCCCCTTTACATATATATATATATAGTTCATTAGCTCTGTCCCTCTAGAGAACCCTGATAAATACAATATATATACAACAATTTCTTTATCCGTTCATCCACTGAAGGATGTATAGGTTGTTTCCACATTTTGCCTATTGTGAATAGTGCTTCAATGAACATAGAAGTGTTAATATCTCTTTGACATACTGATTTCATTTTTTTGAATATATATCTAGAAGTGGAATTGCTGGATCATATGAATGTTCTGTTTTTATTTTTTTAAGAAACATTGATAATCTTTACCATGGAAGCTGCACTGTTTTGCATTCCCACCAATAGTGTACAAGGGCTCCAAATTCTCAACATTCTTGAGAACACTTTTTTTTTTAATAATAGTCATCCTGACAGGTGTGAAGTGACATATCATTGTGGTTTTGATTTGCATTTTTGTGTTGATTAGTCATGTTGAACATTTTTTCATATACCTGTTGATCATTTGTAACTCTTTGGAGAAATGTCTATTTATGTCATTAGCTTATTCTTAAAATCAGATTATTTTTTGTTTCTACTGAGTGACAGGAGTTCTGTATACATTTTGGAGATTAATCTCTTATCAAATATACGGCTTACAAATATTTTCTTCTATTGTGTGTGTTGCCTTTTCACGCTGTTGTTTCCTTTGCTGTGTAGAATCTTTTTAGTTTGATTTACTCCCACTTGTTCAAAATATGTCAGTATTTCTGTAAATAAGTGGCAATCTACATTGATGACAAAGTATTTAGAATAAGCGGCATTAACATAGAGTGTGGATGGTAAAGGGAGACTTCCTAGAGGAGGGTATGAAACCTGAGAGTTCTTACTCTAACTTTCACTTCATGTTGACTGGCCTTGTTCTATGATATTTCCCTTCCTGTTACGTTTCGTGCTTCCATTTCCTGATACTTCTCATGGGCATGTTTAATCATAGAGGCAAGAGTCTTTAGAGGTAGTCTTGTTTATGCTCCTTGCTGACAGAGCTGTAAACTCAAAACATACCTGGAGAAGGTGAAAATCTACTTTTCATTCCCTAATTTTTATCTTAGAGGATTCTTTGCCCCTTTGAAAGTGCTGGGGAAAGAGAAGTGAACTCACAACATCATTTACATTTCTAAGTTTATGTCCACAATGTTAAAATTTATCTGATAAATAATAGGACATGAATTTGGTCCTGGGTTATTCTTCGTGAAATAACCTATGCTAAAAAGACTGTTCTAAAACAATTTTCTTTCTTTGAAAAAAACATGGGATGATTATTTCAGTTTCTGGAGGGTCTCTGTGGTTCTGAGACAAATGAAATCCTCTGGGCTATAAAAGTGCCAAAGTTGGCCCTAAAATATATTCCACTATCATGGGAGTGTTTAGTCTCAGAGTTGGAAGGAATATCGGAAATTATAGAGTTCACTTCACAAGAAAGTTTTAGGGATAATGTTAGATTATGTATTTTTAACCCCTTAAAATATTAAGGAAATGAAAGTTGTGTCAGGGCCAAAGTTTTACTAGTAATTTACTCGTGTATGTCCCATATATAAAGTAATAGTAGTATTAGGATGAGTAAGAATGACATCAGGTACTCTTCATTTTCTAGTGCTCAATCTGATGTCCAGCTGGCTCAGGAGTGAACACTCCCCCCATAGGATAGTGATGCACTATGCACTACAGTGAAATTTGCATTCTTTTCTAAAGCAGTGAACACTGATCATCACATCTAGTAAGGTAGAGATCTAGAAGGCTCAGAAAAGAACATAGCACTGTAACTTCTCTGCTCCCTCTATCAGAAAATGCTGCTGCTGCAACTGTGTAATGACAAGAGATGTTAGAACAGGATCTGTTGACACCTGGATTTTTGTTTAGTTCCTATGTATTGAGATACATATATTAAAGATACACTTGGTTTGAAATTATAGTAATTTGCATTGCTTGCTCTGCTAATTAATTACCTCAGGAAATCCAGTCTTTTTACTTAATCAGAACATTCAACCTCCTTGAAAGAGCTTGACATAAAGTCTATGCTGCTTTCTTCAGGAAGAATGTGATTTTTTACTTACTTCTCAAGCCCAAGAAATTAAATTTATTCTTTTCCAGTTGACTCTATTAAAGGTACTGCTTGTATTTATGGTCTGAATGAACCATAGACAATTTATAAATTAAAGTTGTTTAAACCTTTTCAGGATGATGGTGAAGGCAGGATAAGTTTTCTCATGTTGTGAGCATTTAGATAATTTTCAGGGAAGATATATATATATATATATATATATATATATAATCTCCTATATATATATATATATATATATATATATATATATACACCTCCTATATATCCTATATATAGATATGTCATATATATCCTATATATGTCATATACATATCCTATATATGTCATATATATCCCATATATGTCTCATATATATGCTATATATGTCATATATATATCCCATATATATATTTCTCTTCTGTGGTGGACTAATATTTATTTTTTGATTGCCAGTAATGGGGATAGATTTTTCTTTGTATGGAGAGTATTCTCTAAGAAGATATCATCTCATGCTGGTTCAATTAGTACTGAGTACTCTGGTATAAGGGGATATATAAAATGTGGAATTTCTTCCAACTCTGTTAGACCCCAAGAAGAGTATGTTAGGAATTTATCCTTAATGATAGACATGAGAAAGAATATAGAAATGGTACAACAAAAAAGTAGTGCTTATTATAGTAATTGGCGTGTGAGAAGCATTTAGTAAGTACTTGTTGAATAGATGAATGAAGTCATATGATTAACTCAAGTATTTACTGAGTTCTTAGTGATTGTCACCATGTAGTTGGTTCTTTATTTATCAGGAAAAAAATTACACACTGAGGCTTTTTTCATTGGATTGGGTAAGCAAATCTAATAAAGGACCTTCAAACAATTATACAACAAATAGCAAGTAGTAAAAATACAAGTCAAGCCATCTGGCTAATTCAAGGCCCATATAAGTCAGTCTGCATGTTTGAGATGATGTAGGGAATGCATCTAGGTATCCATAATATTTAGGGGCTGAATTAGCTGGATATTTTGGTTTAAGATTATTATGAATTGCTCAGTCTCTTCTGACTAAGGATAGGAAATAGAAAAATGATATGGTATTCCCCATTCCTGATAGCACTGTCCTATAATTGTTCTTCTCAACCCCCACACATCGATCAGTTCAAAATGAACATCTCTAATCCAAAAATATAAAATGCTCCAAAATCCAAAACTTACTGAGTGATGATGTGATGCCATAAGTGGAAAATTACACAAAGTACTTAACAAAAACTTTTTTCATTCACAAAATTATTTAAAATATTGTATAAAATTACCTTTAGCTATATGTGTAAGGTATATATGTAACATAAATAAGGTTCATGTTTAGACTTGGGTCCCATTCCCAAGATATATAAAAATGTTTACACAAATATGCCAAAATGCAAAAAGATCTGCAGTCTAAAACACTTCTGGTGCCATGCGTTTCAGATAAGGGATACTCAACCTCTTTATGCATACTATGTATATGCATATATTTGTTAGACATTTTACCCTATGCCAAAATGTTTATTACACATTTTACCCTATGCCAAACTGTTCTTTAATTGTCATTTTCTCCTCTGTTACCAATACTATTTTTGAATGCATTACTTTCTGCTGAAGTGATTGTGGAATACCTATAATCTGCCATGTTGTATGTCCTGTTCACATCAAATATTTTTAGTTCTGTTTTACTGGAAATTTTAAGGATGTGGAAATATATTTATACATGTAGGTTCATAGTAATGCACATTTTAATTGTTTCCAAACTAACTCTTTCAAAATATGCTACAAAGAGTGTTCTTTTTTAATTTTTATGGGTACATATTAGATTAACCTATTTCTAGGGTAAATGAGATATTTTGATACAGGCATACAATGTGTAATAGTCACATCAGGATAAATGGGGTGTTCATTACCTTAAGCACTTATCATTCAGTTATTTTTAGATGTACAATAAAGTGTTCTTCATTGTAGTCACTCTGTTATGCTATCAAATACTAGATCTTATTTATTCTCTCTTAAATTTTTATAACCATTGACAATCCTCAATTTCTGTCACCCCCACATCACTGCTCAGCCTATGGTAACCATCTTTCTGTTCTCTATCTCCGTTAAGTTTAATTGTTTTAATTTACAACTCCTACAAATGAGTGAGAACATTTGAAGTTTGACTTTCTGTGCCTGCCTTATACTTAATGTCCTCCAGTTCCTCACATGTTATTAAAATTACAGGATCTCCTTCTTTTTTAATGACTGAATAATACTCCATTGTGTATATATACCACATTTTTTTTTATCCATTCATCTGTTGATGGATGCGGGTTGCTTCCAAATCTTGGCTTCCAAATCGATTGCTGTATCATGTGGTAGTACTGTTTTTAGTAATTTGAGGAACCTCCAAACTGTTCTTCATAGTGTTTGTACTAATCTATATTACTATCAAAAGTGTATGAGGTTTCCCTTTTCTCCACATCCTTTCCAGCATTCCTTAATTATCTGTCTATTGGAAAAAGCCATTTTAACTATGGTGAGATGATATCTCATTATAGTTTCAATTTGCATTTCTCTTATAATCAATGATGTTCAGCAGCTTTTCATATACATGTTTGCCATTTGTATGTCTTCTTTTGAGAAATTCCTATTGACACTTTTGCACATTTATTTACAAAATTTTATTTTTAATTTTTGTGGGGGCATAGTAGGTATAAATATTTATAGGTATATAAGATATTTTGATACGGACATGCAATGTGTAATAATCGCATCAGCATAAATGAGGTATTTATCAGCTGAAGTATTACACACAATCCAATTATACTCTTTGATATGATTTGGCTCTGTGTCCCCACCCAAATCTCATCTTGAATTGCACTCCCATAATTCCCACATATTGTGAGAGGTGCCTGGTGGGAGATAATTGAATCATGGGGGGCAGGTCTTTGCTTTTCTCATGATAGTGAATAAGTCTCATGAGATCTGATGGCTTTATAAGGTGGAGTTTTCCTGCACAAGTTCTCTTTGCCTGCCGCCATTCACTTAAGATGTGATTTGCTCCTCCTTGCGTTCTGCTATGATTGTGAGGCTTCCCCAGCCACGTGGAGCTATATATAAGTCCAGTTAAATCTCTTTCTTTTGTAAATTGCCCAGTCTCGGGTATATCTTTATCAGCAGCGTGAAAATGGACTAATACAGTAAATTGGTGCCAGGAATGGGGCGTTGCTAAAAAGATATCAAAAAATGTGGAAGCAACTTTGGAACTCGGTAACAGGCAGAGGTTGGAACAGTTTGGAGGGCTCAGAAGAAGACAGGAAAATGTAGGAAACTTTGCAACTTCCTAGAGACTTGTTGAATGGCTTTGCCCAAAAGCCTGATAGTGATATGGATACAATAATCTCCAATTCCATTGATGTTGTTGCAAATGACAGGATCTCATTCGTTTTTATGGCTGAATAGTACTCCATTGTGTATATGTACCACATTTTCTTTATTCATCTGTTGATGGACAATTAGGATGTGTCCAAATATTGTCTATTGTAAGTAGTGCTACAAAAAACAAGGGTTCCATTTTCTCCACATTCTCACCACAATTTGTTACTGCCTGACTCTTTAGATCAAAGGCATTTTAACTGGGGTGAGATGATATCTCATTGTAGTTTTCATTTGCATTTCTCTCATGATCAGTGATGTTGAGCACCTTCTCGTATGCCTGTTTGCCATTTGTATGTCTTCTTCGGAGAAATGCCTATTCAAGTATTTTGTCCATTTTTAATTGGATTATTCATTTGTTCCCATATAATAGTTTAAGCTCCCTGTATATTCTGGTTATTAATACCTTGTCAGATGAGTAGTTGGAAAGTATTTTCTCCCATTCGGTGGGTTGTCTCTTCCCCTTGTTGATTGTTTCCTTTTCTGTGCAGAAGCTTTTTAACTTGAAGTGATCCCACATGTCCATTTTTGCCTTGGTTGCCTGTGCTTCCCGGGTATTAGTCAAGAAATCTTTGCCCAGTTTAATGTCCTGAAGTTTCTTCCAAAGTTTTCTTTTAGTAGTTTCTGAGTTTGAGGTCTTAGATTTAAGTATTTAATCCATTTTTATTTGCTTTTGATAAATGGTGAGAGATAGTGGTCTGGTTTCATTCTTTTGCACGTGGATATTCAGTTTTCCTAGCACCATTTTTTGAAGAGACTGTCCTTTCTCCAGTGTAACTTCTTGGCAACATTATCAAAACTGAAGTTATTGTAGATGTATCGATTTGCCTCTGGGTTTCCTAAACAGTTCCACTGATCTATGTGTCTGTTTTTATGCCAGTACTGTCCTGTTTTGGTTTCTCTAGCTCTGTAGTATAAAGTCAGGTAATGTTATTCCTGCAGTTTTGTTCTTTTTGGTCAGGATGACTTTGGCTATTCTGGGTCTTTTGTGTATCTATACAAATTTTAAAATTGTTTTTTCTATTTCTGTTAAGAATATCATAGATGTTTTGGTAGAGATTGCATGAAGTCTGTAGATTGCTTTGAGTAGTATGTAGATTTTTAACAATATTAACTCTTCCAGTCCATGAACATGGAATTTCTTTCAATTTTCTTGTTTTCTTCAATTTTTTTGCATCAGAGTTTTATAATTTTTATTGTAGAGGTCTTTCACTTATTTGATTAAGTAAATTCCAAGGTATTTTATTTATAGCTACTGTAAATGGGACTTTACTCTTTATTTCTTTTTCAGATTATTCATTGTTGACATGTAGAAATGCTACTAATTTTTGTACATTTATTTTGTATCCTATAACATTCCTGAATATGTTTATCAGTTCTAACAGGTTTTTTTTGGTGGGGTCTTTGAGTTTTTCCATATGTAAGATTATATAATTTGACTTTTTCCTTCACAAGATGGATGTTCTTTTTTTTTTTTCCTCTTGTTGGATTGCTCTAACTAGGGCTTTCAGTACTCTGTTGAATAACAGTGGTGAAAATGTGGATCCTTGTCTTATTTCTGAACTTAAAGGAAAGCTTTCAGTTTTTCCTCATACATATGATACTAGCTATGTGTCTGTCATATATGGCTTTAATTATGTTCAGGTATGTTCTCTCTATATCCAGTTTTTGAGGGTTTTTATCATGAAGAAATGTAAAATATTATCAAAGGCTTTTCAGCATCAGTTGAAATGATCATTTGGTTTTGTTCTTTATTCTGGTTATATAGTGTATCACATTAATTGATTTGCATATGTTGAACCATCCTTCCATCCCTGAGATAAATCCCACTTGGTCATAATAAATAATTTTTCTAATGTATTATTGCATTCAGTTTTCTAGTATTTTGTTGAAGATGTTTATACAGTATGCTTCAGTATATTGGACTATAGTTTTTTTTTTTGGTTTGTTTGTTTTTTTTTTAAGTGTCTTTGTCTGGTTTTGGTATCTCATAGGATGAGTTTGGGGCCGGGCACTGTGGCTCACTCCTGTAATCCCAGCACTTTGGGAGGCCGAAGCAGGTGGATCACTTGAGGTCAGAAGTTTGAGACCAGCCTGGCCAACATGGCAAAACCCCGTCTCTACTAAAAATAGAAAAATTAGTTGGGCGTGGAGATGCATACTTGTAGTCCTAGCTACTCGGGAGGCTGAGGCAGGAGAATTTCTTGAACCTGGGAGGAAGAGATTGCAATGAGCTGAGATTGCACTACTCCACTCCAGCCTGGGTGACAGAGCAAGACTCCATTTCAAAAAAAAAAAAAAAAAAAAAAAGAGTTTGGAAGTATTTCCTTCTCCTCTGTTTTTCAAAATAGTTTGAATAGGATTAGTATTAGTTCTTTCAGTGTTTGGTAGAATTCATTATTTAAGCCATTGGGTCCTGGGAATTTTTTTTTTTTTTTTGCTGGAAGGTATTTTATTACAGCATTGATATTGTTACTTGCTTTTGGTCTCTTCAGGTTTTCGATTTCTTCCTGGTTCAGTCTTTATAGGCTGTTGTATGTATCTGGAAATTTATCCAGTTCTTCTAGATTTTCCAATTTATTGGCTTATAGGTGCTCATTGTAGCCACTAAAGATCCTTTGAATTTCTGCAGTATGAGTTGTAATGTCTCCTTTTCTGTCTCTGATTTTATTTATTTGAGTCTTCTTTTTTTTTGTTAATCTGGCTAAAGATTTTTAAATTTTGTGTATCTTTTTAAAAAGCAACTTGTTGTTTTATTAATCTTTTGTATCATTTTCTTCATTTCCAATTCATTTTTTATGCTCTGATCTTTATTATTTCTTTTTCTCTACTAATTTTGTATTATTTACTTTTGCTTTCCCAGTATTTAAAAATACATCATTAGATTTTTTAATTTGACATATATCTTCTTCTTTTGAAGTAAGCATTTAAAGCTATAAATTTCCTTCTTAATACTGCTTTCATCGTATCCCATAGGTTTTATGTTTTTTTGTGTTGTAGGTATGTTGTGTTTTCATTATCATTTGTTTTATGAAAACATTTAATTTTCTCTCAATTTCTTTATTGACCCACTGAATCAGGAGCATATTGTTTAATTTCTATATGTTTACATATTTTCCAAAATTTCTCTTGTTATTGATTTCTAGTTTTATTCCATTGTGGTCAGAGCAGATGCTTTATATTATTTGAATGTTTTAAGGCTCTTTTTGTGATCTAAAATATAGTGTATTCTTGAAAATAATCCATGTGCTGAGGACAAGAATGTTTATTCTGCCGTCATTGGTGAAATGTTTTGTAAATATCTATTAAGTTCATTTTGTCTATAATGAAGGTTAATTCTGATGTTTCCTTTTTGATTTTCTGTCTGGAAGGTCTGTCCAATGCTGAAAGTGGGGTTTGGAATTATCCGGCTATTATTGTATTGGGGTCTGTTAACTCTCATAATATTTGCTTTATATATCTTGGTGCTCTAGTATTGAGTATGTATATCTATATTTAAAAATTGTTATGTCCTCTTGCTGAATTGACTTCTTTATTATTATATGGTGACCTTCTTTGTCTCTTTTTTTAGTTTTTGTCTTGAAATCTATTTTGTCTAAGTATAGCTACTCCTGCTCTTTTTTGCTTTCCATTGGCATGGAATATATTTCTCCCATCTTTTTATTTTTAGGATATGTGTGTTTTTATAGGTGAATTGTGTTTCTTATAGGCAACAGATCATTAGTTCTTGTTTTATTATTCATTCAGCCACACTTTGTTTTTCAAATGAAGAGTTTAGTCCATTTATATCCAGTATTATTATTGAGAATTAAGGATTTACTCATGCCATTTTGTTATTTATTTTCTGGTTCTTTTCTAGTCTTTTTCTCCTAATTTCTCTCCTTCCTCTCTTTCTTTTCTTTGGTGTTATGATTTATTTTCTTGGTATTTATTTTTTGTGCATCTGCTATATGTTTTCTGATTTGAGGTTAACAAGAGGCTTACAAATTTTATTTCATAACCTATTATTGTAAGCTGATTAAAACTTAATACTGTTTGCATAAAGAAGCAAAAAGAAAACTAATAAAAGCTGTGCACTTTACCTCCGTTCTCTGCATTTTTTTATTATTTCTGTGTATATCTTGTTGTACTTCTTCTGTCTTGAAAAGCTGTTATAGTTATTATTTTTGATTGGTTCATTGTTTTGTATTTCTACCTAATATGAGTAGTTTACACATCACAGTCACAGTGTCATAATGTTCTGTGTTTGTTTGTGTACTTACTATTATCAGTGAATTCTATACCTTCAGGTAGTATTTTCATTGCTCATGAATGTCCTTTGGGTTTTGATTGAAGTACTCCCTTTAGTGTTTCTGGTGTTGATGAAATCCCTCAACTGGTGTTGAGGTCTGGTGTTGATGAAATCCCTTAACTTTTGTTTGTCTGGAAAAGTCTTTATTTCTCCTTCATGTTTGAATGATGTTTTTCCCATATACACTTTTTTAGGGTATAAGCATTTTTTTTCTTGACCAATTTAAATATGTCATGCCACTCTTCTGTGATCAGTAAGGTTTCCACTGAAAAGCCTGTTGCCAGATATATTGGAGATCCATTGTATTTTGTTTGTTCTTTTCTCGTGCTGCTCTAGGATCCTTTCTTTATCTTTGACCTTTGGGAGTCAAAGATATATTCCAGCGCAGCTAGAATATAAAGCAGGAAGAAAAATGTGAAAAGAGTAGACTTATCTAGCCTCCCAGGCTACATCTTTAGCCCATCAAACATTGGACTCTAAATTCTTTCGTTTTGGGACTTGGCTGGCTCTCCTTTCTCTTCACCTTCAAATGGCCTAATGTGGGACCTTGTGATAATATGAGTTAAGACTTAATAAACTCCCTTTACATATATATATGTATATCCTATTCTGTCTCTCTAGAGAACCCTAATTAATACAGTAGGGGACATTGTATCTGGCCACTTTCCCTGTTTCATTTTTGTCCTCAGTGCTTTGATTTTTCAAATGGGAGAAAATGTCATAGTTACGACTTCTAAAGTCTCTCGCACCTCTAAAATTTGGTAAAGAAAGAGGTGGATTTTAATTTTTATAGGATTGTATTTTATCTTGCTTTTTGGTTATTCTGATATGTCTTATTGGAGTTGATGGATTTGCTAATCAAGCATTTTTTGAGAAATATAAATGACCTCATTTAATACAGTTTTTATGTTAATATGCTTTATTTATAAAGGATTCAGTTTGAGTAATTCAATTTGCAGCATGAATAGTTCAATTTCCACGTATGGTATAATTTGGGATACAGTTTAATACAGTTAAGAAGTGTCATAGAACCGGTGAAGCCTTTGGATATCAAAATCCAACAAATATTTATAAAAACATATAGAGCTCTTCCCTTAAAAAGCATAAAAATGTACCTAATAAATAGCAAGTAAAAGTGGCATTAAAAGTTGAAGTGAGGAACACTTCTGTTTATTGACTTTGGAGGTAACCAGTTTTGTCAGAAAAAAAAAGTTATCTAGGAGTTAAATTTTCTATACAAGTACATTTAACTGTATCTTAATTTTATACGTTTTTAATATATTGCTCACTTATAAATCATATATTAAAGAGAAAGCTATTAACTGTGAATTCTATGCTTTAAATCATGCAGTGTACTATTATTTGTTTAGACTTACGATTGCATTTATGAGTCCAGATGGCAGTTGCTATAAAAGGCAATTTGCCAAAAGTGTACCTAATTGATATTCATTTAATGTGCACAGAAGTCACATGACTTTATCATTATACTCCCCTATAATGTTGCCTTTCAGATACTCTGTGTACATACTTCGTGCTAATTCATTTTTCTCGGCATGCACACTCCTCCATCAAATTTTCCTTATTTACACATCTACTTACACCGGTTCCTGACTTTTAATAAAGTCCAGAAATGCATCAATCAGGGAAAATCACCAAATTGTTTCTTATGCACAAAAGCTGGTTGTTGATTGTAGTTATCTCAGTTAAAAGCCTTAGAGGATTTGAGGCTTTTTATGCAGCATTAAGGATACTTGGCTGCACACAATATTACAATTATTAAATCCTAGAAATTCTACATTGAATAAGAGAAAATGTATATGTATTTCAGGAGCTTATGCTTCACATCTACAAGGTTGCTAGTGGCAAATGTAATCCACACAAGCTATTTATATAAAGAAGATAATTTGACACATGGGGGTTTAATAATTTTTAATGTATTTAAAGGCATTGACTAACTCAACAGCATATAAATATACAGTTCTGAAGAAAGCTCTCTTCTCTGGGTACTACATCAAGAACAAAGATTGAGAGGTTTACCTTGAAAGTATTATTGAATATGTGGGAAAGGATACTTGGCTGCACACAATATTACAAGTATTAAATCCTAGAAGTTCTACATTGAATAAGAGAAAAATGTATATGTCTTTGAGGAGCTTATATTTCACATCTGCAAGATTGCTAGTGGCAAATGTAATCCACACAAACTATTTATATAAAGAAGATAATTTGACACATTGGGGTTTCATAATTTTTAATGTATTTAAAGGCATTGATTAACTCAACAGCATATAAATATACGGTTCTAAAGAAAGCTCTCCTCTCTGGGTACTACATCAAGAACCACAATTGAGAGGTTTCCCTTGAAAGTATTATTGAACATGTGGGAAATGTGGGTCCCTTGAGATGGAAGACACTTTAACTTTGGACCCTAGTGTTACTTTAGGAAGAATGAAAAAGATGAAAGAATTCCTAGAGAGTGGGAATAAAATTGTAGGAAACTAAGGCATATTAACATCAAGCTGCCCTTCTTTAAAGCAACTTATTAAAAGTCTCTGCTTATTAATAGACAGGGTTCTCTGATGTTCCTTATAAAATATGGTCTGAATATCAGTGCAGATCATGTATCCTTTCTTCAAAATGCTTGGGATCATATAAGTATTTCTGATTTCAGATTTTTTGGGGGTATTTTGGAATATTTGCATTATATAGTCATAGACTGCATAACAACCTTTTGGTCAGCAGTGGACCACTATATAATGATGGCCTCATAAGATCATAATGGAGCTGAAAAATTTCTATTGGACAGGTTATCATTGAATTACTATTTCTGTACACTACTAAGTATAGTCACATGCTGTACAGGTTCGTAGCCTAGGAGCAATATGCTATACCATATAACTTAGGTGGATAGTAGGCTATATCATCTAGGTTTGTGTAAGTACACACTATGATGTTCACAGATCAACAGAATGGCCTAACAATGCATTTCTTACTATGTATCCCCATCAATAAGAGATGCATGCCAGTACTTAACAAGTTGAGCATCCCAAATCTGAAAATCTGAAATCTAAAATGCTTCAATGAGCATTTCCTTTAAGTGTCATGTCAGTACTCAAAAAGTTTTGAATTTTGGAGCAGTTTAGATTTGAGAGATTTGCATTTGGTATAGTCAGCCAGTAATAATATCCCTTATAGTGGATGTCTTGCTGTGGAAGATATTCTCAGCAGGAGGACCATTAATTCCTCCAGCTCATGGAACAACTGCTCTGTAGATTTCAGTTATCCCCAATATTCCTCACTTCCCCCACCTGTGTTAGCCCATTTTGCATTTCTATAAAGAAATACTTGAAACTGGGTAATTTATAAAGAAAATAGGTTTATTTTGGCTCACAGCTCTGCAGACTGTATAAGAAGTATGGCATCAGCATCTGCTTTTGACAAGAAAGCTTTTAGTTATGAAGGAAGGGAAGGGGAGACAGAATGTCACATGATAAGAGGGAGCAAAAGAGAGGGGAGGAGATACCAGGCTCTTTTAAAAAATCAGATATCATGGTAGCTAATAGAAAATTCACTCATTACTATAGGGAGGGCATCACGGCATTCATGAGGAATCCACCCCCCATAACCCAAATGCCCCCTACTAGGCCCTACCTCCAACATTGGGGATCAGGTTTCAACATGAGATTCAATGGGAAAAAATACTTAAGATATATCACCTTCTGAAACTGATTCTGTTTTGAGGCCCATGAACATTTCCTGTGTGTGTGTTTTTTTTTTCTGATGAAACAAGAATATTAACAAAGTGATTCTCAGGCCCTCTTAAATGCTTAAATTTGATTATTAACAAAAGTATCATGAAAATATTGGGTTATAAAATGATAAGGCTTTATTATGTGCCACAACATATTCCCTGAGTCATTTAAGACCTCAATAAGAAACACTGTATTAGTTCGTTCTTATGCTGCTATGAAGGAATACCTGAGACCGGGTAATTTATAAAGAAAAAGGTTTTAATCAACTCACAGTTCCGCATGGCTGGAGAGGCCTCAGGAAATTTACAATGATGGCAGAGGGCACCTCTTCACAAGGTGGCAGGAGAGAGAATGAGTGCCCAAGAAGGGGGAAGCCTGTTATAAAACCACCAGATCTCGTGAGAACTAACTTACTATCACGAGAGCAGGATGAGGGAAACCACCCCCATGATTCAATTATCTCCACATGGTTCCTCCCACGACATGTGGCGATTATTTGAGCCACAATTTAGGATGAGATGGGGGTGGGGGGGAACACAGCCAAACCATATCAACAAGGAACATTCATAGTACAATTATTTGAGGAGGGCTTATTTATGAAGGGAATATTCATAAAGACATTGACAGGGTATATGGGAACCACAAGATTCAGTGTAAGAACCAAGAGAAATTGACACTGTTACTATCTCTAATCCTGAAAGACAGAGAAAGACAGTGGTTAATGAAACTCAAAGGGAGAGAGGTTTACGTAAAGCCCACTGCTTTAAAGAGCAGTCACTTTCTCATGAGAGGCACAGCCAAAGTAAAACCTCTTAAGAAGGGAACCAGAAAAATAAATACTCAACTTCACTCTTCTCTCCCTCTGGTCTTTGAGTGCACCCTATTGGCTCAACCCAACTGAAGAAGAAGATAAAGAAGAAAAAAAACCCCAGAATCCAGAGGTGTAAACATGTCAGATATATTTATTTAACATATATGATGTGCCTTACATCATATATGATAAAGAACCTATAGGTTCCTTATATATATTATTTCCTTTAATTCTCATAAAACCATGAGAGAATATTTTATTAGACCCACTGTACTGACGAGAAGTTGAAGCATAATGAGTTTAATTAATTTGACCTAAGTCACACAGATAATCACCTTAGGTCTAGTCTCATAAATATCTGTATTTCTCTATGAAACTTATTATTATTGGCTAGGGTTTATTGAGAGCATACTGATTTTAATTCTATTGACTATCCTAAGAGGTAGCTCCTGCTATTGCCATTAGACAAATAGGGAAACCGAGACACAGAGAGAATGTAATAACTTACTCAATATTATAGAACTAATAAGGGACAACAGCAGGACTTGGACCCAGGAAGTCTGATTCGAGAGCTCAAGTTGTTTGTTAACCACTATAATATAGCATCTGCTGACTTCTCATGTTTTTTTCTAAACTATTCTATTAGATTTGGTTTGTTTATTCTTTACATTATGAAGCATCAGTTAGAATAGTTTTTTGTTTGTTTGTTTGTTTGTTTTGAGACAGAGTCTTGCTCTGCCACCCAGGCTGGAGTGCAGTGGTATGATCTTGGCTCACTGCAACCTCTGCCTCCCGGGTTCAAGCAATTCTCCTGCCCCAGCCTACCAAGTAGCTGGGATTACAAGTGCGTGCCAACATGCCCGGCTAATTTTTGTATATTTAATAGAGCTGGGGTTTCACCATGTTGACAAAGCTGGTCTCGAACTCCTGACCTCAGGTGATCCGCCCGCCTCAGCCTCCCAAAGTGCTGGTATTACAGGCGCGAGCCAGCGAGCCCAGCTTAGAATAGTTTTTATGACCCTTTTTCTTTTAACTTATCTCCTGTCCCAGTCTTTAAATGAAAGAAATATCTACCTGTAAATACTTTGCTCCACTTCTTCATACCTTTCCCGAAGAAGGGAGAAATTCTTTCCTCTACCTTAGTAATAATAGCTTTCTGCTCCTGTGTGGACCAGACCAGTATTTTACCTCTAGGATTCTGGAACTGAGTTTCTGATCTGTACAATTACAATGGCAAGATGATCTTGGGCTGGTGATGAAAAATACCTAAAGTTTCATATTCTGTTGCAAAATATACCGTTTTCTTTCAGAATTAAACCCTGAACTACCAACATCACCACAACAACAAAACACTAGAGAGGGTGTTTCTAAATCTGTTTTAATAGAATTAAATAAGTCCTAAATAATATTAAATCATAGATCTCATGCTAAGTAATATTTTGTAATTTGTATCATTTTTAATACCTAAATAACACATGTTAACTTTAGAAAATACAGATAAATAGCAAGAAGAACAAACAAAGATCTCTAGTTTTACAACCTAGAGATAAGATTGTTTACATTTTGATGGAACTTTTTCTGGAATATTATCTAGTATATTCATTTGTATGAATTTATTTAGATGGAAGTTTATAATACTTTTAAAATAATTTTTAAAACATGAGTAATATATGCTCATTGCAGAAGAAAATGAAATAATATAGTTAAACAAAAGGAATCAAACTAGAAACCAACACAGAGAAAGCTAGTGTTAATGTTTTGGGGAATTATTCTACATTATTTTCTATGCATATATTTATGCATATATTTATATATACTGAAAACATTTCATAGAGGTAGAATCATGCTGTATGTTGGTTTCTGGTCTGCATAATATTCTTCTATTTGAGGGTACTGCCTCAATTTCTTTTTTTCTTTAATAAATATATTTTAAATACGTGAAGACATAAATATGTGAATATATATTTATTATACTTGTTAAAATAAATATATTTTAAATACATTAATACATAAATATGTGAATATATATATATATTTATTATACTTTAAGTTCTGGGATGCATGTGCAGAACGTGCAGGTTTGTTACATAGGTATACACGTGCCATGGTGGTTTGCTGCACCCATCAACCCATCATCTACATTAGGTATTTCTCCTAATGCTATCCTTCCCCTAGCCCCACATCCCCCAACAGGCCCCAGTGTGTGATGTTCCCCTCCCTGTGTCCATGTGTTCTCATTGTTCAACTCCTACTTATGAGTGAGAACATGCAGTGTTTGGTTTTCTCTTCTTGTGTTAGTTTGCTGATAATAATGGTTTCCAGCAACATCCATGTCCCTACAAATGATAGGAACTCATCCTTTTTTATGGCTACATAGTATTCATGGTGGATATGTGCCACATTTTCTTTATCCAGTCTATCATTGATAGGCATTTGGGTTGCTTCCAAGTCTTTGCTATTGTGAACAGTGCTGCAATAAACATACGTGTGCATGTCTCTTTATAGTAGAATAATTTCTAATCCTTTGGGTGTATATCCAGTAATGGGATTGTTGGGTCAAATGGTATTTGCAGTTCTAGATCCTTGAGGAATTGCCAGATTGTCTTCCACAATGGTTGAACTGGCGTGAAATGGTATCACATTGTGGTTTTGATTTGTATTTCTCTAATGACCAGTGTCGATGAGCTTTTTTTCATATGTTTGTTGGCTGCATAAATGTCTTCTTTTGAGAAGTGTCTGTTCATATCCTTTGCTCATTTTTGATGGGGTTATTTGTTTTTTTCTTGTAAACCTGTTTCTTTGTGGATTCTGGATATTAGCCCTTTGTCAGATGGATAAATTGCAAAAATTTTCTCCCATTCTGTAGGTTGCCTGTTCACTCTGATGATAGTTTCTTTTGCTATGCAGAAGCTCTTTAGTTTAATCAGATCCCATTTGTCAATTTTGGCTTTTGCTGCCATTGCTTTTGGTGTTTTAGTCATGAAGTCTTTGCCCATGCCTATGTCCTGAATGGTATTGCCTAGGTTTTCTTCTAGGGTTTTTATGGTTTTAGGTCTTACATTTAAGTCTTTAATCCATCTTGAGTTAATTTTTGTATAAGGTATAAGGAAGGGATCCGGTTTCAGCTTTCTGCATATGGCTAGCCAGTTTTCCCAACACCATTTATTAAATAGGGAATCTTTTCCCCATTGCTTGTTTTTATCAGGTTTGTGAAAGATCAGATGATTGTAGATGTATGGCGTTATTTCTGAGGCCTCTGTTCTGTTCCATTTGTCTATGTATCTGTTTTGGTACCAGTACCATGCTGTTTTGGTTACTGTAGCCTTGTAGTATAGTTTGAAGTCAGGTAGCATGATGCCTCCAGCTTTGTTCTTTTTGCTTAGGATTGTCTTGAATATGTGGGCTCTTTTTTCGTTCCATATGAAATATAAAGTAGTTTTTTTCTAATTCTGTGATGGAAGTCCATGGTAGCTTGATGGGGACAGCATTGAATCTATAAATTACTTTGGGCAGTATGGCCATTTTGATGATATTGATTTTTCCTTTCTATGAGCATGGAATGTTTTTCCATTTATTTGTTTCCTCTCTTATTTCCTTGAGCAGTGGTTTGTAGTTCTCCTTGAAGAGGTTCTTCACATCCCTTGTAAGTTGTATTCCTAGTATTTTATTCTCTTTGTAGCAATTGTGAATGGGAGTTCACTCATAATTTGTCTCCCTGTTTTTCTGCTATTGGTATATAGGAATGCTTGTGATTTTTACACACTGATTTTGTATCCTGAGACTTTATTGAAGTTGCTTATCAGCTTAAGGAGATTTTGGGCTGAGAGCTCGGAGGAATTAGTTATTACCCACCTTCTGAAGGCTACTTCTGTCAGTTCATCAAACCCATTCTCTGTCCAGTTTTATTCCCTTGCTGGCGAGGAGTTGTGATCCTTTGGAGGAGAAGAGGTGTTCAGGTTTTTGGAATTTTCAGCCGTTTTGCACTGGTTTCTTCCAATCTTCATGGATTTATCTACCTTTGGTCTTTGAAGTCAGTGATCTTCAGATGGGGTCTCTGAGTGGACGTCCTTTTTGTTGTTGTTGATGCTATTCCTTTCTGTTTGTTAGTTTTCATTCTAACAGTCAGGACGCTCTGCCGCAGGTTTGCTGGAGTTTGCTGGAGGTCCGCTTCAGACCTCGTTTGCCTGGATATCACCAGCGGAGGTTGCAGACCAGCAAAGATTGCTTCCTGTTCCTTTCTCTGGAAGCTTCGTCCCAGAGGGGCACCTGCCAGATGCCAGCCAGAGCTCTCCTGTATGAAGTGTCTGTCAGCCCCTACTGGGAAGTGTCTCCTAGTCAGGATAAACGGGGGTCAGGGATGCACTTGAGGAGAGAGTCTGTCCCTTATCAGAACTCTAATGCTGTGGTGGTAGATCCACTGCTTTCTTCAGAACTGCCAGGTAGGGACATTTAAGTCTGCTAAAGCTGTGCCCACAACTGCCCCTTCCCCTAGGTGCTCTGTCCCAGGGAGGTGGGGTTTTATCTGTAAGTCCCTGACGTGGGCTGCTGCCTTTTTTTCAGAGATGCCCTGCCCAGAGAGGAGGCAGTCTGGCCCTGGCCGCCATGGCCTTGCTGAGCTGGGTTGGGCTCTGCCCAGTTTGAACTTCCTTGTGGCTTTTTTTACACTGTGCAGGTGAAATCACCTACTCAAGCCTCAGCAATGGTGAACGCCTGTGCCCCAACCAAGCTCAAGCTCCGAGGTCAGGCTTAGACTGCTGTGCTGGCACAAGAATTTCAAGCCAGTGGATCTTAGCTTGCTCAGCTCTGTGGGGGTGGGACCCACCGAGCCAGACTACTTGGCTTCAGCCCCCTTTCCAGGGGAGCGAACATTTTTGTCTTGCTGGTGTTCCAGGCGCCACTGGCGTATGAAAAAAAACCAAAACCAAAACAACAACAACAACAAAAACCTCCTGCGGCTAGCTCGGTGTCTGCCCAAATGGCCTCCCAGTTTTGTGCTGGAAACTCAGGGCCCTGGTGGTGTAGGCACTGGAAGGAATCTCCTGGTCTGTGGGTTGTGAAGACCATGGGAAAAGCGCAATCTCTGTGCCAAAGTGCATGGCACAGTCCCTAATGGCTTCCCTTGGATTGAAGAGGGAGTTCCCCAACCCCTTATACTTCCCAGGTGAGGTGATGCCCCACCATGCTTCAGCTCACCCTCCTTGGGCTGTACCCACTGTCCAACCAGCCCTGATGAGATAGATGTACCAGGTTCCTCAGTTGGAAATGAAGAAATCACCTGCCTTCTGCATCGATCTCCCTGGGAGCTGCCGACCAGAGCTGTTCCTATTCAGTCATCTTGCCAGCAACCCCAGTATCTTATTTTTGATGTTTAGATTGTTATTTTCAAAAATATTTTATACTTAGTTTTGATAAACATCGTTATAGTTAAATATTTGTGATTTTTCAAGGTGATTTTCTTAGGCGAAATCTCAGAAGTAAAATTTCTGTGTTTAAAAAAGAATGGGCACTTTTAAGCTTTTGATTCATATTTTAAAATTACCTCTCAGGAAGAGTTACTAATTTACATTCCCACTGGTAGTATATGAGAATACTTATTTTTCCATGCACTTATCTATACTGAATATTATTTAAAAAGAGGAAAAATAACTAATTTAAGAGAATAATTTTTAAGAGAATAATTTTTGTTCATATTTCTTAATTATTCATATTTCTTAATTAAATAACTAATTTAAGAGAATAATTTAAGAGAATAATTTTTGTTCATATTTCTTTTTTTACCTGTATAGAAAAAGGTTTTCTATAGGTGGTGTGTGTGAATTATCTGTTTATGCAAGTGAAGGTATTTAGTCACAAAATATTATTTTATAGAATGACTGTGTAGCATTTAGAGGAGGCTAGAAAAGGGAGACAAATGGATCTGCATGGGCAAAGGGGCATAATTTTAAAAAGTATTTATCATAAGTTTAAGTAGTTGTAAAGAATGTAATTTCAGTGATAGTATAAACTTCTACATTTTAAAATAAAACATTCATTTTCCTCTTTTAAATGTTTCCAATGGAATCTAAATACTGTATTGATTTGATTCCTATATCATTTATTTTAAAATTACATAAATTAGTTCAAAATATATTAACGATTGTAAAGTTTACATCATTACTTTTTCTCCTTTAGCTCATTTTTCCATTCTACTTTTCCTAGGGTATTTTATCTTAATATGATTTAATTCTTAAAAACTAAATTGGTAATCTAATTATATTACTTTGGTAAAGTATGTGTGTATATATATATATTTAGATATATGTTATATCTAAAAATATATATATTATATATATGTATTATATATATTTATATAATATATATTTATATATAGATATATATTAGATGTATATTATATATAGAGAGAGATTTTTAGAATCCTCTATGTCTATAAAGCTCTAAGTGTTGAATTTTTTTCTTCTGGAATGAATTATTACAAATTATTAATACATAATTTATCAAATCATAAGCATTAATATTCTGGCAAATTAAAATATAAAATGTTATTGGAAATGTATCTCAATAAAATGATAGCTGTTTTTCAGTAGTTTAATATTCTAGATGAATTCCATTTTTTGTAAGAATGAGACAGATTTTATCATCAATTTTCAAACATTTTATTTTATTTTTAAAATACGTAAGCATAGGAAAAACTTGTTATCATACACGACTAAATTGGCACGAAAGGAATTTTCTCATAACAACGTCTCTTAATCTTTTGAAAACATTTTGAGTTCCCTGCCAAAAATCACTTATTGATTTATCATCAAAATTATTTTAATGATCTCTCAGCTAGCAATTCAATTAGGCCCTGCTTCAAGTTTGTTAAAAGTAAAGAATTAGACACTATTCAAGTTGCACAATGATGTTACTCAGCCATTAGTCATTCATTTTGTCAACTTCATTAAGATAATTTTAAATTGCCTCTTTGTTTGGCACACTATAGTTTTTTCCATCCTGTAATGCACTGTAATAAAATTGCTGATGGCTGAGAGCTGTGCTTTTCTTTGGTAAAGTCGGAGAAGGGGATTGTGAATGGGGTTGGACAAAGAGAATCTGTCAATTGCTGGTTAGCAGG
This sequence comes from Homo sapiens, assembly GCF_000001405.40. Classification (NCBI taxonomy): domain Eukaryota; kingdom Metazoa; phylum Chordata; class Mammalia; order Primates; family Hominidae; genus Homo; species Homo sapiens. The sequence continues at coordinate 121,477,125 of NC_000023.11, forward strand.
TGTAGTCTCAGGTAGACAACTATTAGTAAATAATTCATATGAAAGTTGAAGGTCTGAAATTATCCTAAAAATTTTCATTCTTTCACATATTATTTGAAAAGTTTTGCAATACCTCCAGGAGCATATGTACCGTGATTTATGAACTTTGATTTGAAACATAATGTACCTTTGCTTCATCTTCATTAGATTTCTTTCCTCCAATAAAATTTTGAAGTCTTCTATGGCAGAGACATTTGCTTATACTCTGTTTTCACCTGGCACGATTGTGGGCACATAATAGGGACACAATAAGTACAAATGACCTTCAACTTAACAATGGTTTGACTAGCAGTATTTTTTTAGTTTTATAATGGTTGCAACAGTGCTATGTATCCAGTGGAAACCATATTTTGAGTACCCATACACTCATACTGTTTTTTACTTTCAGTACAGTGACCAATAAATTACATGAGGTATTCAACACATTATTAAAAAATAGGCTTTGTGTTAGATGATTTTTCCCAACTGTAGGCTAATGTAAGTGTTCTGAGAATGTTTAAGTTAGCTAGGCTTAGCTATAATGCTCTATAAGTTAGGTGTGTTAAATGCATTTTTGACTTAGGATATTTTTAACTTATGATGGGTTTATTGTGACATAATCCCATTGTGAAGTTGAGGAGCAACAGTATTGCATTAATCTGAATAGGTTATTTTTTTTTCTATGAAGTGAGAAATGAGCTAAATATAAGAATAGTGGAGGAAAAACTCGATACAGTTCTAGGGGACAACAGGTTTGCAGAAGAGGAGCCCAATAAATACGGAAAATAAACAATAGGGTACAGTCAATCAAGGGCATATTTTTATTTGAGTCATGACCAAACATTTCTTTTTTTTGTAGTAAAATCAGTTGTAACTATAAATAACTTATGTTTTTTACATTGGACATTGTGGTTTTGAGCCAATCTTCTGCCTATCTCTATACCACTCATATTACAGGACTTTTTTCTTAAATATTTCCTGACTACCCCAGCCTTCTTTCATTTCTCTTTTTCAACTATTTATAACTTGTATCATATAATTTATTCTGTAATTACATACTGAACCAATATTTTTTGATATTTTGTCTTAAGTATTGCACATGGTAAATATCTTGTTAATATTTGTAGTGTGATTAAAAGTCCTTCAGAAGTTTAGTTTAGTGGCTTTGAAGGTTAAAAAAAACTGAAGTGCTTAGAAATACAAGTTGTAAACTACAAATAACTTGATTGAGAATTAGACTCATTAACACCTCCCTCTGCTTTTTGTTTTGTATTCTTTAAGCATCTTTAGAAACTATTTATTTTACTATCAATTAAAAGAATAATATTCTACTGTTTATGAAAAGAGGGATGACAATGGTCTTGATTACACTGTTATTTAGCAACTATATAATTACCAAATATAGACCCAGGTCTGTCACATATTTTGGTTGTTGTAGCTAAAGACCCATTAGGTTGTTGCTACTATTAAATTTTCAGTGTTATAAAGTCTTCCATCCTAATGTAAACATCCTAATGTTTATTAGTAGGGAAACATTTTCCCACATTGTATCTTCTTCCTTCTGACTGAGACATCCTGTGGAGTTACAGCAAGTCAGGAAAATGATCACACTTTTAAGTTACGAGTTTCCAGAAGTGTAAACTTCTATTATACTCCTATGATAAGCATTTTCTCTCTTCTACTAAATCAGTGTTTCTCAATAGGCTTGAATTCAATATAATAGGTTTGAATTTTAAAAGTTAATTTTCTTGAAATTTGGTTTTATAATAATCTTGTGTTTACTTAAGGCTAATCAAAGATAAAACAAGTGCAAAATAAAGACAGTGGCTCTAAAGCAAATGAAAGAGGGAGTTGATTTACTTATGACCCCATTCTTGAAAATCATTGCTCTACTTTGTAAACTAATTGAAATAATCTTTTTCCCATAAGCCGAGCATTGTCAGGCACAATACAGGCATTGGGAAAATGGTTTTTGAATGCTCAAATTAAAAGTGCAGTGACTGTTTATTACTACAATTCATTGTAGATTCCCCTATAAATTGGTAATAGAGCATATCTAGCTATTGATAATGATACTTTAGAACTTTATTTGAAAGGATAAAATGCTCATGTCATACTGTTGAGTAAACAAAGCAGATTAAAAACATGGTATTATTGGTATAATTATATATATATATATCTATATGTATTATACACATATGTATCTGTGAGTTTGTGTGGTTTAAAATATCAGGCTACATATTTAGATATGTTAAACTAGTTATACATTCCGATGATGAAATCTAGGTCAAATACCATAACTGCATTTTGATATTCCCTGGATCTCCTTATCTACCATAGTCTTGCTGTTACTTGAGGCAAGCTTGTTGTCAATCACCCCCATGCTGCTGTTCACATGATAGTGGGTAAGTTCTCATGAGATCTGATGGTTTTATAAGGAGCCTTTCCCTGTTTGCTCAGAACTACTCTTTGCTGCCACCATGTGAAGAAGGACATGTTTGCTTCCCTTTCCGCCATGATTATAAGTTTCCTAAAGCCTCCCCAGCCATGCGGAACAGTGAGTCAATTAAACCTCTTTCCTTTATAAATGACCTAGTCTCAGGCAGTTTTTTATAGCAGCGTGAGAATTGACTAATACAAGAAATTGATACCACAGAGAGTGGGGTGCTGCTGTAAAGATACCTGGAAATGTGGAAGTGACTTTGGAACTTGGTAACAGGCAGAGGTTGGAACAGTTTGGAGGGCTCAGAAGAAGACAGAGAAATGTGGGAAAATATGGAAATTCCTGGAGACTTGTTTGCTGGCTTTGACCAAAATGGGGAGAGCGATATGGACAATAAATTCCAGGCTGAGGTGGTCTCAGATGAAGATGAGGAAATTATTGGGAATGGGAGTAAAGGTTACTCTTGCTATGCGCAGAGACTGGCAGCATTTTGCCCCACCCTAGAGATCTGTGGAACTTTGAACTTGAGAGAAATGATTTAGGGTGTCTGGAGGCAAACATTTCTTAGCAGCAAAGTGTTCAAGAAATGACAGAGCATAAAAGTTTGGAAAATTTGCAGCCTGATGATGGGATAGAAAAGAAACACCCATTTTCTGGGGAGAAATTCAAGCCCAATGCAGAAATTTGCATAAGTAACGAGGAGCCAAATATTAATCACCAAGACAATGGGGAAAATGTCTCCAAGGCATGTCAGAGACCTTCATAGCAGCCCCTCCCACCAAAGCCCTGGAGGCCTAGGAGGGAAAATGATTTTGTGGGCCAGGCCCCGGGTCCCATGCTGGGCCCAGGGCCCCACTGCTCTGTGCAGCCTTGAGACATGGCGCCCTGTGTCCCAACTGCTTCAATGCCAGCTATGGCTTAAAGGGGATGACATACAGCTCAGGCCATTGCTTCAAAGGGTGCAAGCTCCAAGCCTTGGCAGCTTACACGTGGTGTTGGTGGGAGCACAGAAGACAAGAATTGAGGTTCAAGAACATCTGGCTAGATTTCAGAGGTTGTATGGATGTATGGAAATGCCTTGATGTCCGGGCAGAGGTGAGCTGCAGAGGTGAGCTGCAGAGGTGGAACCCTCATAGAGAACCTCTGCTAGGGCAGGGCAAAAGAAAAATGTGGGGTCAGAACCCCCACAGAGTCCCCACTGGGGCATTGCCTAGTGGAGCTGTGAGAAGAGGGCCACCATCCTCCAGACCCCAGAATGGTAGATCCACTGATAGCTTACACTCTGCACCTGGAAAAGCCACAGACACTCATTGCCAGCCTTTGAAGCAGCTGGTAGGAGGGCTGTATCCTGCAAATCCACAGGGGTGGCACTGCCCAAGGCAGTGGGAGCATACCTCTTGCATCAGCATGACTTGGATGTGAGACGTGGTGTCAAAGGAGATTATTTTGGAGCTTTAAGATTTAATTACTCCCTTGTTGGATTTCAGACTTGCATGGGGGCCTGTAACCCCTTTGTTTTGGCCATTTTTTTTCCTATTTGAAATGGGTGTATTTACGTAATGCCTGTACCTCCATTGTATCTAGGAAGTAATTAACTTGTTTTGTTTTTACAGGCTCATAGGTGGAAAGGACTTGCCTTTTCTTAGATGAAACTTTGGACTTGGACTTTTAAGTTAATGCTGGAATGAGTAAAACTTTTGGGGACTATTGGAAGGGCATGACTGTGTTTTGAAATGTGAGGACATGAGATTTGAGAGTGGCCATGGACATCAGTAGGACCGTGATGCCTGCCTGAGTCTCAGACCAGCAAGTTTTATTAAGGGTTTCAAAAGGGGAGGGGGTGTAAGAACAGGGAGTAGGTACAAAGATCACATGCTTCAAAAAACAAAAGGCAGAATTATTAGAAAGGGCCTAACAAAGATCATATGCTTCTGAGGGAACAGGACAAAGGGCAAAAGCAGAACTACTGATAAAAGTCCGACAAAGATCACAAGGCAAAGGGCAAAAGCAGAACTACTGATAAGGGTCTGTTCAGCATCTTGATAAACATCTTAAATAACAGAAAACAGGGTTCCAGAGCAGAGAACCGGTCTGACCACAAATTTACCAGGGCAGAGTTTTTCCCCACCCTAGTAAGCCTGAGAGTACTACAAGAGACCAGGGCGTATCTCAGTCCTTATCTCAACCGCATAAGACAGACATTCCCAGAGCGGCCGTTTATAGACCTCCTCCCAGGAATGCATTCCTTTTGGTGCATGTGATCTTTGTACCTACTCCCTGTTCTTACACCCCCTCCCCTTTTGAAACCCTTAATAAAAACTTGCTGGTCTGAGACTCAGGGGGGCATCACGGTCCTGCCGATACGTGATGTCACCCCTAGCAGCCCAGCTGCAAAATTCCTCTCTTTATGCTGTCTCTGTTTATTTCTCAGCTGGCCGACACTTATGGAAAATAGAAAGAACCTACACTGAAATATTGGGGGTGGGTTCCCCCAATATCAAGAGCTGAGTTTAGTAGTTGCAACAGAGATTCTATGGCCAATAATACATAAAATATTTACTACACAGACCCTTACAGAAAGAGTGTGATGACCCCTGTGCTATAAGAAAAATAGTAAACTTAGGAGTTATAAGGATTTTCTACTGGGTAGTGTCTCCGTATGTTCAGGCTGCTGTAACAACATATGGTAGACTGGGTAAGTTGTAAACAGCAGAAATTTATTGCTCACAGTTTCAGAGTCTGGGAAGTCCGATGTCAAGGCACCAGAAGATTCAGTGTCCAGTGAGGGACCATTCCTCATAAATAGTGCCTTCTGTGTGTTCTCACATGGTGGGAGGGTGAAAGGAGGGTCTAAAAAACTCCCCCAGAGCTTCTTTTATAAAGGCACTAATTCCATTTGTCAGGGAAAAGCCCTCATAACCTAATCACCCCCTAAAGTCCCCAACTGTTAATATCATCACCATGGGAGTTAAGATTCAACATACAAATTTAGGGAGGACACAAACATTCAGAATATAGTAGGTAGGTAGGAGAATTAAGGCTAGAATTAGGTCCTTTAACACTGATCCAATGCACTCTGCAGTATGCCTACAGTGTCTTCAACACTAATGGCAAGTGTTTTTTTTTTTTTTTTTTTTTTTTTTTTTGGTGCTGATACTAAACTTAGAACATAGTTCTGTTAAATAGTAAACTACCATTTTCCGGTTTGTATAAATTAGATTTGAAGTTGATATTTCCCAGAACAAACTTGTTATTGTGCAGCAAGTGGGCAAAAAGGTGGGTTTTTTTTCCTTGTTTGTTTGTTTTTTGCTTCCAACTAATTCACAGTGGTCCAAAATTTGTGGTTTTTCAATAGCCAATTTATAGCAGAATGACCAAACAGTGATAATTGCTGCCATTTATTATTATTTTTTCTTTCTTTCTTTTTTTTTTTTTTTAAAAGCAGGGTCTCGCTTTGTCACCTAAGCTGGAGTCCAGTGGTGTTAACATAGCTCACTGCAACTTCTAACTACTGAACTCAAAAGATCTTCCCAACTCAGCTTTTCAGGTAGCTGGGACTACAGGTGCATGCCACCATGCCTGGTTAATATTTTAAATTTTTTGTAGAGACAAGGTCTTGTTATGTTGCCCAGACTGGTCTCAAACTCCTGGCCTCAGGTGATTATCCTGCCTCAGCCTCCCAAAGCACTGAGATTACAGGCATGAGCCAACACACCTGGCCTATTTTCTTCTCTGTATTGCAAGTACTAGAAACTTTATATACATAATTATAGTGATTTTAAAATTTCCTCCCCTATTCCTTCACTACCCAAATTTCTTTAAAAGCAGATCTGCATTTATCTCTTGTATATATTGGCCTTCCCCATAAGCTTAAATTTGAAGAAAAGTCTTTGAAGCTAAAAAAAGAAATACATGTGAACCGTGCCATTATTTCATCTATTACTCATAACTCTCCTATGAAATAGATAGTATGCTCATTTTAAAGGTGAAAAAATTGTTATCTGTGACCTTAAGTCTGAAACAAATTATGGAATTTGAACTCAATTCTGTAGACCGTACAGGTTGTATTCATAATAATACATCATTTTGCCAAACTGTAGGAATGCAGTTCTAGAGAACTCTTACAAGAGTTCTTAAAATGGAGAAGATGATAGAAGGATGATATTGATATTCTCCAGGATAAGATGAGAAAAGAAGAAATCAAAATATTTGCTTTGATAGCTCATCATTATATTTACAAAGCTCTCTTTGTGGGTACATCTAACCCAGGTAATTTTAATTCCTTATTCCTGTGGGTCACCATCCATTTATTTCTTCCGGTGAGACAAAGTAGATTAGGTCTACTAGCATGGGAAAAGGAAACTGCAGTATGATTATGCAGAGTGTGGTATATTGGCTTTACAAAGAATAATTCATCTTTGTTGCACCATTTCTCAATGTCAGTATTCAGTGTTTTGGGGCTTGGCCAGATAATTGTCAGTAGAATGTATCTGTTATCAGAAGTTTCTGCTTGCTGAAAAGACCCAAGTTTCAGTCCTTTTCTTTTTTTTTCTTGCACTTCAAGACATGAACCATAGCTTTCGCTTAGATCACCTCACTAATCCAGTAGTGTCTCTTGATCCATATTTATTTCTGTTCTATATAGATTCTAGTAATCTCTCAGTCACAAAGAAAAAAAAGATTGAGTGACTCTGGAAATTCAGTCTCAATACTTGGAAAATAGCACCTTCATATTTAAAATATGAGAGCAGCTTATCATAGTGTAAGTTTGTGTAGCCAAATGGAATGAGGATGAGCTTTGAAGTTTGAAAGATGTGGATTAAAATGCTGTTTTCAACATTGATTAGTGATGTGATCTATGGCTAGCTGCTTTACCTCTCTGAGCCTCAGTTTTCTTATGTGTAAAATGAGGATAATTATATCTATCTCATAATATATATAACTCATGAATACATATACACAAACACAGAGAGAGAGAGAAAATACTTATAAAGAACAGTGGTAACACAAATTAATTTATGTAAAAGATTTAGAAAGGTACCTAATAAATGCTCAATAAATATTACATCTCAAATTATTATAATACAGGAAATAATCATTAAACATTTTGGATTTTGAAAGATCCTTTCTTATTTCAACCATGACAATTAGTATGTGCTTTACTGAAATCACTAAGACCTTATAGGTTAAAACCAAAAATCACAATCTTATTTTAAAGAGAGTATTTCTTCACTCAAGCTCTAAAAATACAATTGTGGGGACTAGCTTTGTAGACAGTGATTTAGGGAATGTCTTAATTTTTTTTTATAGAAGAACAGTGTATAATGGGGGTTTTAGGACACATTTTAATATTTTCATAGTTTAAATTTATTTTCTCTACCCATGAATATCTATTTTCTCATCTCAAACATTTTTATCCACTCACACCTCTTTTTTGTTGTTGTTTTTTTATAGCTACTGGTAGTACAGGTTGAGCATCCAAAATCCAAAAAGTCAAATCTTGAACTTTTTGAGTGCCCACATGATACTCAAAGGAAATACTCATTGGAGCATTTGGGATTTCAGATCTTCAGATTAGAGAGACTCAACCTGTAAGTGTAATGCAAATGCTCCAAAATCTGAAAAAAATTTGAAATCTGAGACAATTCTGGTCCAAAGGCTTGTAGATAAGGATTACTCAACCTGTAATGGGAAAAGTAATTGAATCATTTCACATTGGAAGAAGTGTGTTTAATTCTTAAATAGAAATATTACTGGATTTGGTGATACATGGAAGCATTTCAAAATCTGGTTGGTGCAAACTTTATTTCTTTACTTTCTTTCTAATGTTTTTCAGCTCACCATCTTTTGATGAGGTTTTATGCCCAAAAGACCTGAAAACAATAAGTAGAAATAGTTCCCATAGTGCCTGTGGTTTCTGACAAATACTTGGGTTTATAAAATTACGTTCTGTTATAGAAACACTTTACATTTGCCAATGATATTTTAAAAGAAAATGTTGATATTTTGAATATGACTGAAGAAGACATTCTGCTGTAATCACAGTCACCAGTTCCCCCCAAAAATATAAGAAAGAAAAAAGCCCTGGATGAATAGAAACAGCAGTTTTATTGTGCAAAAACTGAAACAAAAGCTTTATAAAAAATTTACTTGGCATGTTATAACCCTACTCTTCAGATAAATAATGTTTGAATTCTTTCTTTGTGCATCTTTTTTTCTTGCACTTGAGAAAGTGCATTTGCATGTGAATTGAAGAAAGCAAAATTATATTCCAAGGTTGATGAAAATAAATTACTGATTGGCTCTTGAACTGGGCAAACACTATCTGAGCCACTTTATCCACTTATTTTCAGCTTCCACATTAACTTAAACCTTTGCTTCAGTGAAAATAGTGTTTGTAGTATGAAGTTCTAAGCTGGACTGTATATTACTTCTTGATCTATAAAGGAAGAAAATGTCTTAACACCTGGCCCTGTGGGCATCCTTCTTTACAGGGTTGACTCTTAAAAAAATTATGAAGTAAGACAGAGGTCTTCTTTAGTACTGGTACTTCTTTCTGCAAGATACCCAGTGCCCTCATGAAAGTTCTCACTTTGATCCCCATTCATTCATGCCCTTCTAATTAAATGACTTATTCCCTTCTCTCAATTACAACTTTCATAGATAATATACTTGTGTCATCTTCCCTTAGGACATAATCTCAAATAGCTCTATTTTTCAGGCAGCTAACATAAAGGAATGAAAGAAGTCAAGTAGGAACTTTAAACAAAAGCAAAGCTCCTGCCTATCTAAAGGGAACAATAGATGATTGCTGCGTGGGAATATTGACTCTATATTGTGACATTGTTCAATCTTCCATGAAAAGCCAAACAATGACATTTTAAACAGTAACTTGTTTGTTTTATTAGTACTTTCAACCAGTTATTGTTGTTGTTGTTGTTGTTTTAACACTGTTCTGGATCATACTGTATGAGTTATATAAAGCTCATCTGTGGGCTTCTTGGAACTTGAAAAGCCACCAGTTTGTAACCTCTTTTTTAGGGAGCTTACGTTCTGGCTTTCGGCTCTGGGTGATAATGGCTTAATAACATAAATTGCTGTTATTATAATTTGTAATTTATATATTTATTTTTCATTTCTCCATTTGGTTATGAATTTATGAAATATTTAGTATACAAATATGACACATTGACTTTGGTTACTGTACTCAGCACTGGAAATTTAGTCTAATTTTCCCTTTCCCCAAGGATCTAAGAATTTAATGTGAGAGTACGAAGATAAACAATCACAAGGCAGCAAGATGAATGTCATGAGAGAAGGACATACAGTGTATAACAGTAGCACAGTAGAGAGATACCTAACTTTCTCAGTTAATACAATCTCTTAAACGAGTAAAATGACTCTCTCCCTTCAGCAGGTCTCCTACAGGAGATGCTAATGGCAGGTTATTCAGGAAACCTGACATGCCGGTGGAGGAGAGATTTGTGGGCAAATGGGCCTTTCAATTCCTCCTAACTAGAGCATTTTTGTCATTTGGAAATTGTAAAAGATGATGCTTTCATTTTACCCTTTGGCATCTAATGAGCATTATTTCTAAAGTGAAATGCTCAGAAGAGTCAATAGGCTATTCCCTTTTTATATTGCTTTGACTAGGTGTCCGCAATTCCAATCGTTATCAGATCATTTATTGCTCTGAGAATATCCCTTGACCAATTCATAGATTAATTTGTTGTTGATGGGCTATTCAGGAGATATTTCTACTTCTTCCATAATACAGAGAGGTGCTCACAGCTCAGGACATATTTGGTATTATGGCTTTGTATGAAATATTAGTATCTAAGAGGAGGAAATCAAAGTGAAACCTTGAGTTGGTTTCAAATTAAAACCAAATCTTCAATACTGTCAAAATTCTCAGCTTTCTTTACTGCAAGGGGAGTTCATGCAGAGAATAGATAAGAGTGTCCAGTAAATAAGTAGTTTTTAGATAAAACTACAAAATGAAAGCGCTCAACTGATGGATGGGAAATGTGATTTGTTTACCTTGAGTTGATATTCTATTTTATGGGAAGTGAGTTAATATCTGCCCTGTATACATACTGAAGTGCAAACAGGCACATTTTTAAAAAGTGTCCATTTGCCAATGAGTTTCTAGAACTTTAAGGAAAAATTAGTATTAGGTGCTGAGTTGTTGTTCAAAGAAAACTCCAGAAGCTTCAAACAGCAATAATGATTGGAGGTTGGAAATGGGATAAATACTTTCTTTACAAACCAACAGGACATATGAAATGTGCAGATGGCACAGTTTTTTCTGGTCTTACATGAACTCCTGAAATCCACAGAGTCCTCTGCAGATCAGGCTACTCTAAGGCTCGGAGCACCTCAAAGGGAAATTTCTCTAAGAAACAAGTTGTAGGTATTTAATTTTTCTACTCTCACTGGCCAAAGAAGCAATTTCAAACCTATAGAATAACCTACTGTTTGTCCACTTAGGCTGACCCTCAGCAGTTGACTGAAAGTATTTGGGGAGCTTCACGTTATAAGCATAGGATCTGGAACAAGCCACCTGGATTTGAATGCTCCCTCTGCCACTTGTTAGCTATGTGGCCATGGACTATTTGTTGAACTTGCTTGTACCTCAGCTTACTCATTTTAATTTTGTGGGTATAAATGTAAGGGGTACAAGTGCAATTTTGTTACATGGATATATTGTGTGATGGTGAAGTCTGACCTTTTAGTGTATCAATCATCCAAATAATATACATTGTAAGTATTAAGTAATTTCTCATCACCCACCACCTCCCATTCCACCACCCTTCCAAGTCTCATATGTCTACTATTTCACACTTTCTGGCCATGTATACACATTATTTAGTTCCCACTTATAAGTGAGAACATGCAGTATTTGACTTTCTGACTCAGTTTTAAAATAGGGATAGTAATTCTTATCTCACTGGATTTTTGTGAGGACTGAGAAACTGATATACTTCCTTGAACATGCTAAATATGCCATTATCATTAATCACATTCCTTTATCCACAGATTTCTTCTTCTTCATAATAGCCTAGTACCTCAAACATTTCAGGTCTAGAGAGACTAAGGAGGAAGACAGTTAGAAGGGGAAGGGGTCCAACTCATGATCCTCAAATTAGGCAATGTAGGTGGTCATCTGCTTTGCCTTTCCAATAAATAAGCCTTGTTCTCTGACATTTGTCATTCTCAGGAGGCTCTGAGTTGAAGACTTTTGTTTGTGTAGAAGTTTAAGGTGCTAATTTCCACTATAACTTTCAGTAGCTTCCAAACAAGAGCAGAGATATTTTTCACCAGAAACTCCTTGGTTCTGATTTTTCCAATATACTTGAGTCTGAGGAAATCTGCAGGGATGAAGGATATTTTATTTTAAGTCCAGACTCTACTGAGTTAGAAATCCTCATGTAGAGATAACTCCTAATGAGTACAAAGGGAACTTTGCCTAAAAAAAGAACTGCAGGACTTGGCCTACTGTGTATAGATAGTTATTCAAGAGAGTTTTGAAGATACAGTGAGCATCATTTTCCTTTCCCTGACCCCAGTGGGTGTCTTAAATAAAACATAGTAGTAGAGATCTGCATACTCTAAAGGACAAAACACTCATTTGGCCTAGTTCAACAGCCTGGACTTTCAAAACTATAAGAAGCCATTCTCTGAGAGAAGGAATGGCACAATGCATTTGAAAGTTTGTTATTTGATACACATTAACCATCTCCACCTCCCTGTCAGGGATAAAGCATTGATACAATGAAAAAGATTATAATTAGGCCCTGCACGGTGGCTCACGCCTTGTAATCCCAGCACTTTGGGGGGCCGAGGCGGGCGGATCACCTGAGATCAGGAGTTTGAGACCAGCCTGATCAACATGGAGAAACCCCGTCTCTACTAAAAATACAAAATTAGCCAGGCGTGGTGGTGGGCACCTGTAATCCCAGCTACATGGGAGGCTGAGGCAGGAGAATCCCTTGAACCCAAGTTGCAGTGAGCCGAGATCACGCCATTGCACTCCAGCCTGGGCAACAAGAGCGAAACTCCATCAAAAAAAAAAAAAAGATTATAATTGTTAAAATTTGGATTTGGATGTCATTACTGAAATGGAAAGGGAATTATGTCTTTTGCTTCTGATTTTTGATGAAGGGCACAAATATGTCAAATGTACTTTGACTCCCTGGGAAATATGAAATATAATAAAAATAAAATTAACAAAGTTATTATCAGTCAACGAAGCAATAGGCATATATTTATTCTTGAATCATTACCCAACAACAGTATCTCTCTAGGATGTATAGCAAATGTGGCTCCTGCTCTCAAAGTATTTACAGAATACTTTAAAAAATATGAAATTATATATAAAACAGTAAGTGGAACAGACTACATAATATATTATTCTGATCACTTTACATTTCTGAAAATCTTCCTAAGTCTCATGACTTATGTCAGTTATTTCCTACCAAAGTTTCACATAACACTAATTCATTCACACTGGGGTTTAAATGATTAATAGCTTATTCTTTCCAGATATCATGGGAACTAGGAGTAACAAATCACTGAGCATCATAAAGGTATAGGGGCTTGGGGAATGTGGTTTGAGAGAGGGAACAGTACAAAAAGAACCAATCACTATACAGATGCTTAAGACGGCTATCTGCACTACAACTTTGCCTCCGGCTGTCTTTCCTAAACTCCATGTGAATTTAGCCCTGAATAAGCATGGAATAGAAGCCTAGAAATGCTAAGCTGAATCTCAATTTTGGCCATGAGTCTTTAAAATTACTTATATATTTTTTGTAACATATGATTATTTGAGGACAAAAATTATGTTTTGTTTATTGTGGTATTTTCAGCACCTAACATGCTAACACATGATAAGTGCCTGATATATATTTAATATCTGTCAAAAAAGCTGCTCTTCCTTCATGTTTCTATTAGTCTATATGATCTTTTTCTCAGTTGATATTCCTCTGTTTGGCCCTGTAAATTATGGTGTTGCAAGGTTCCATACTCAGACCCTTATTTTCTTCTTCCACACACTTTCACTGTCCGTTTCTTCTTCAATGATCACCTTTTTCCTGATGACCAAATAGGGAAGATTAGCAACTAAAATTGTCGGAATGACCCTTGAAATCAAAGAAACCTGGGTTCAGATTCAAAGTTCTGTGTATCCACTGTGGGACCTAGAACCTAGGCATACTTAACTTTGATCTTGGGCTTACCCTTTGATTAAAAAGGGTTAATGATAATACTTAACTCCTAGAACTGTCATGACAATTAGATGAAATAAAAATAGAAAGTAAATAGTATAGTGCTGGGAATCTATTAAGCACTCAATAAATGTCAGCTTCTTTTACTTTTGCTTTTAAAACCTTATTAAGATATTTTAATTCACATGCCATATGGTTCACTCATTTAAAATATGCATTTCAATGTTTTTTTAAATAAATTTACAGGGTTGCATAACCATCACCACCACCTAATTTTACTGTATTTTTTTTCTCCCAGAAAAAAACAAAACCAAAACTGTAGTTATTGGCAGTCACTTTCCATTCTTCCCAAACCCGGCCCTGGGAAACCACTAATCTCCTTTCTGACTCTCTAGATTTGACTGTTCTTGACATTTTGTATAAATGAATTCATACAACACAGAATAATGTATTCAGGGTTCACTCATGTTGTAGCATGTGTAAGAACTTCATTCCTTTTTATTATTGGATTTGATTGTATTTATATACTGTACGTTATTTATCCATTCATCACTTTATGAATATTTGAGTTGTTTCCACTTTGTGGCTATTATGAATAATGCCACCATGAGCATTTGTGTACAAGTTTTTATGAGAACCTATGTCTTCACTACTCTTGGATATATACCTGAGAATGAAGTTGCTGGTTCATATAGTAACTCAATGTTTAAGATTTTGAGGAAATGCTATACTGTTTTCCAAAGTGGCTGCACATTTAACATTTCCACCAGCAATGTATAAGGGCCCAATTGCCCCACACTTTTGCCAGCAATTGTACCTGTTAATTTTTTAAATGTTAGCCACTCTATTAAGTGTAAAGTGGTGTCTCATTGTGGTTTTGATTCACATTTTCCAAATGACTAATGATATTTAGCATTTTTTCGTGTGTGTGCATAGTGGACATTTCTGTATCTTATTTAGAAAAAAGTCAAAACAAGTCTATTGCTTGCTTATAAATTGAGTTGTCTTTTTTATTGTTTAATTAGAAGTATGATTTATGTATTCTAGATACAAGCCTCTTATCAGATATATGATTTGAAAAATTTTTTCTCTCATTTTCTGGGTTGTTATTTTACTTCCTTAATAGATATTCTTTTTAATTTTTATGGGAACATAGTAGGTATGTATATTTATGGGTTACATGAGATGGTTTGATACAGACGTGCAAGGTGAAGTAAGCACATCGTGGAGAATGAGCTATCCATCGCCTCAAGCATTTATCCTTTGAGATATAAATAATCCAATTACACTCTTTAAAGTTATTCTGAAATGTACAATTACATTATTGTTGACTATAGTCACCCTGTTGTGCTATCAAAAGCAGGTCTTATTCATTCTTTCTAACTATTTTTTGTACCCATTAACCATTCCCACCACCACTTCCCCCACCACTACCTTTCCCTGCCTCGGGCAACGATTCTTCTACCCCCTGTCTCCATGAGTTCAGTTGTTTTGATTTTTATATCCCTCAAACAAAAGAGAAATGCAATGTTTGTCTTTCTGTTCCTGGCTTTTTTCACTGAACGTAATGACCTCCAGTTCCATTCATGTTGTTTCAAATGACAAGATCTTATTTTTTATGGCTGAATCATAATCCATTGTGGATATATATCACATTTTCTTTATCCATTCATCTGTCAGTGGATACTTAGGTTGCTTCCAAATCTTAGCTATTGTGAACAGTGCTGCAACAAACACAAAAGTGCAACTATCCCTTCAATAAATGGATTTCTTATATTTTGGGTATATACCCAGGACTGGGATTGCTGGATCATATGGTAGCTCTATTATTAGGTTTTGAGGAACCTCCATACTGTTCTCCACAGTTGTACTAATTTACATTCCCACCAACAGTGTTTGAGGGTTCTCTTTTCTCCACATCCTCACCAACAATTGTGATTGCCTACCTTTGAATATAAGCCATTTAAACTGGGGTGAGATAATATCTCATTGTAGTTTTGATTTGCATTTCTCTGATGATCAATGATGTTGAACACCTTTTCATATACCTGTTTGCCATTTGTATGTCTTCTTTTGAGAAATGCCTATTCAAATATTTTGTCCATATTTTGATAAGATTATTAGATATATTTATAGGGTTTTTGAGCTCCTTATAGATTCTGGTAGGTAGATGGGTAGTTTACAAATATTTTCTCCGGTTTTGTGGGATGTCCTTCACTTTGTTGATTGTTTTTGCCGTGCAGAAGCTTTTTAACTTTCTGTGATACCATTTGTTCATTTGTTCATTTTTATATTGGTTGCCTGTGCTTGTAGGATAATACTCAAGAAATTTTTGCACAGACCAATATCATGAAGATTTTCCCCAAAGTTTCTTTGTGGTAGTTTCATAGGTTGAGGTCTTAGATTTAAGTTTATTGAAGCACAAATCTTTTACAATTTTATGCAGTCTAATTTATTTTTTTAAATTTCTGCTTATGCTTTTGGTGCCCTAAGAAATCATTGCTCAACCCACTGTCATAGGCATTTCTTTTTGTTTGTTTGTTTTCACTTTTGTTTTGTGTGTGTGTGTGTTTTTCACTTTTATATTAAGTTCAGGGGTACACATGCAGGTTTGTTACATAGGTAAACTTGTATCACAGTTTTTTTTTGTACAGATTATTTAATCACCCAGGTATTGGGCCTAGTACCTATTAGTTATTTTTCTTGATACTCTTCCTCATCCTACCCTCCACCCTCTGCTAGGTCCCAGTGTGTGTTGTTCCCCTGTATGTGTCCATGTGTTCTAATCATTTAACTCACACTTACAAGTGAGAACATGTGGTATTTGGTTTTCTGTTCCTGTGTTAAATTTCTAATGATAATGGCCTCCAGCTTCATCCATGTCCCTGCAAATAACATGATCTCATTTTGTTTAATGGGTGCATAATATTTCATGGTGTATATGTATCACATTTTATCTCTTACACTTCAGTATACAGTCCATTTTGAGGTACTTTTTGTATACAGTGTGATATATGGGTCCAACTTATTGCTTTTACAAGTGGATATTAATTTCTCCCATTACCACTTGTTGGAAAGACTATTCTCTCCTGTTAGATTGTCTGGGCACCCTTGTCAAAAATTAGTAGACAATAAATACTTGGGTTTATTTCTGGTCTCTCAGTTCCATTCCATTGATCTATATGTCTATCCTTAGGCCAGTACTACACTCTTGACTACTGTAGCTTTTTCGTATGTTTTGAAATAAGAAAATATGTGTTGCAACTTCATTCTTTTTCAAAATTGTTTTGGCTATCCTGGGTCTCTTGCATTTCCATATAAAAATTTGGATTAGGTTGCCAATTTCTTCAAACATGGTAGATGGTATTTTTATGAAGATTATATTTAATCTGTATATCAGTTTCAGAAATATTGCCATTGTAATAATATTAAGTCTTTCAATTCATCATCATCAATGTCTTTCCATTTGTTTAGGTCTTCTTTAATTTCTGTCAGTGATGTTTTCTAGATCTTGCACTTTTGGTGTTGTATGATATGTATGTGTATGGTATGTGTGTCATATGGTATGTCTATATATACCAAAAACAAGGTTTTGATGTTTTGTATATTGACTTTGCACCCTACAACTTTGCTAAACTCCTTTTTTAGTTTTAATAGAATTTTAGTAATTTCTTTAACATTTTCTTTATACAAGAGCATATCATTTGCAAACAGAGACAGTTTTACTTCTTTCTTTCCGATCTAAATGCCAACTTTTTTTCTTGTCCAATTGCTCTGGGTAGAGTGTCCAATACAATATTGAATAGAAGTGATGAGAGCAGATGTAATTGTCTCATTCCTGAACTTAGGGGGAGAACTTTCAGTTCTACACCATGAATTATGATATTAGCTTGAGTTTTTCACAAATGCCCTTTATAAGTTTGAGAAATTACCCTTATATTCCTAATTTTTTATTGCTGTTATCATATAATGGTGCTGGGTCAAATGGTTTTTCTGTATCTATTGAGATTATTGCTTTATTCTCATATCATAGTTTATTACATTGTTTTTTGTATGTTGTATGTTGTATGTTTGTATGTTGAACCAGCTTTTCAATCCTGGGATAAATTTCGCCTACTTATAATGTGTAGCTATTTTTATATGATGCTGGATTTGGTTCATTATTATTATGTTGAGAATTTTTGTGTCAATATTTATAAAGGTTGTTGTTCTATTTTTCTTCCCCTTGTAACATTTTTGTCTTGAATTTGGTATAAGGGATGATATTGGCTTCATAGAATGAATTGTGATGTGTTCCTTTCTCCTCCTCCTCCACTCTCTCCTTTTTTTCTCTTCACCTTTTCCTACTTCTTTGTCTTTTTTTTTTTGGAAGAGTTTGTAAAGTATTGATGTTGATTCTTTCGTATTCATTTGGTAGAATTGAGCAGGAAAGCCAATTTGATCTTGACTTTTATTTATAGGAAGTTGTGAGATTACTGACTCAATATTTTTTACTTTTGGTAGGTTTTTTTTTGTAGATTTTTTCATTTCTTTTTTAAGTCAGTCTAAGTATTTTGTGTCTTTCTAGGAAATTGTGCATTTTCAGGGTTATCTAACTTTTTGGTAATTGGTTGCTCATAGTATTCCATTATAATCCTGTTTATTTTTATAAACATCCATCTTCTCTCTTCTTTCATTGTCATTCTAACCCAAGGTTTGCCAATTTTGATCTTTTCAATGATCAACTTTTACTTTTATTGATTTTTTCTATTTCTATTTTATTTCCTTAATCTTTATTATTTCTTTCCTTCTGTTTGTTTTATTGCTCTTATTTTTTATACTTTTCTAGTAAAAGGTTAGGTTGTTATCTTAATTTTTTTTCTTACTCTGTTGCCCAAGCTGGAGTGAAGTAGTGCAATCACAGCTCACTGCAGCCTCTACCTCCCCAGGCTCAGGTGATCCTCTCACCTTAGCATCCCAAGTAGCTAGGACTACAGGCATATGCCACCACATCCTGCCAATTTTTTTTTCTTTTTGTAGAGATGGGGTTTTCACATGTTGGCCAGGCTGGTCTCAAATCCTGGATTCAAGAGATCTGCCCACCTCTGCCTTCCAAAGTGCAAGGATTATAGGCATGAGCCACCACACCCAGCCAGACTTCATATTTTTTAATGTATGCGTTTACAACTGCAAAATTTCCATTAATCACTGTTTTACCTGCATTTCATATGATTTGGTATGGTGTATTTTAGTATACTTTTATCCCAAAGTACTTTCTAATTTCCTCTGTGATTTCTTCCTTAATCTATTGGTTATTTAGGAGTGCGTTGTTTTAATGTCTACATACTTGTTTATAAAATTTTCTTCAGTTATTGATTTATTGTTTAATTCCTGTACATTATAACAATATGTTTCGTGTAATTTTAATCCTTTTAATTTTATTGACGATTATTTTACGGTCTAGCGTATGATTTATACTGGAGAAACTTCCTTGTGTGCTTAGGAATGTGTATTATGCTGATATTGGATGCAGTGTTGTATAGATGGCTGTTAGGTCTAGTTAATTTATAGTGTTGTTCAATTCTTCTGTTTCTTTGTTGATGTTCTTCACAGATGATCTATTAATTATTGAAATTGGGTTATTGAAGTTTTCAACTATTACTGGGTTATTGTCTCTTTTCTTCTTCAATTCTACCAGTTATTGCTTCATATATTTTGGGGGCTCTGTTAGATTCATATATACTTGTACTTGTTATGTGTTCTTTATTGATTGACCCTTCTATCATTATAAAATATTCCTCACTACTTCTAGTAATTGTTTATAAAGCCTATATTGTCTGTAATTGGTAATTAAAACTATTTTCTGATTTTTATTTGCTTCTGAAGAATTAAAGGCCATGGTAAAGCTTTACTTATATAATGTTATTAGTTAGAGCATCTTATTTTTCAGATCCATTTGAATTTCAATCACTAAACATCATCCATGCTTTTCTTGGGAAACAGCCATGGTAACATAGCATGTTAGTATGGAAGTCATGGTCTTGGATGACTTTTTCCTTGTAGCCATCAGTGTGCTGTAACTGGTTAACACCAGCTTAACAGAGCCAATTTTACACATTTATTGGCAACTCTGCATTTGGTGATGTCATATTTATTTCTTGAAATCAGTCTAGATTAGAGTGTTTACACCACAAAAAAATAGCAGATGCTACAAATCAAGGATTTGCTTTTTGGAGAGCTATTTTAGAAGCACACACCACTTCTCATAGTTGACTTGTTTTAACCTACTTAACTATACTACTGGGTTTGTTAGGGGTTGTCAAGAATTCCTTCTATGTTGCATTGAATTTTTGGCATTCTTCAGTGCTTTATGTAGAAAACATACTTTTACTATATTTGTACTTAGGCAGTTCTGGAGTTATGAAATTCCTCAAGTCTCAAGCAAGTTGTTATTTCAATTTCAATGTCAAAATATTTGCCTCACTTACTTTGGACCTATGATTTCATCTTCATTTTTCAATTGGTATTTGCAATGTTTGTTTTACTATGATAAACGTTTTGAAAATGGAAGTTAATGTTCAGAGCTTCTTTGGATAAGGAAATTGGCTGAGCTAGGTGTATTTGTAATTATTTTCTTCTGTAGTTTGCTTATTTTTTGCAGATACAAATACACAGCAGCCATCTTCTGGAAAGCATAGGCAAAATACTTACATCTGACACCTGGCTGTGAATTACAATCAGGTACAAAATCAGCTTTTGTTCATGTGCCTTACTCCTACTTAATTTTGCTAAAAGTTTTTATTTTAAAGTTGCTCTTGTGTCATGATTTTTATTGTCAAACCTCAGCTCAACATGGATTCATTATGGCTGAGTTATGAAGTGCCCTTACAGCTTTCAGAATGGAAATCCTGGTCTTGTGTGCCTTTAGTAGAGCCAAGCTCTAAGGTGTGGCGGGATTATAGTTCATAAAAAGGTTAGGGTGACATTAGAAGCTGAAGGAATTGTTGAGAATCTCTTCATATTTTAGAGTTTCTTGCACAGAGAATTCATTTTCTACTTGAAACTTCTTTCATAAAATGAGATAGTTTTTCTAGGATGGTAATGAAACAAACTTTTGCAAATATATTCAAATCCTGGTTTGTTGTATACTAACCGTGTGACAGTGGTCAAATTTCATAAGTTCTTTGAAACTCAGTTTTTCTCAATAGAAATAGTAATACTTGCCTTACAAGATTATTATAAGATATAAATAAAGGCTATATGTATGTATGTTTGTATTCAACTAGCATCATATATATTCCTTACCCTTTAACTCCTAGTTTTTTTTTTAATCACATGCTTTTCATTTTCCAGGCACATTACTTTTTTAAAAAATCACATTTCTTCTTTGTATAGTTGAAGCAAGTAATTTATTCTAAGTGATCAGAATAATTCAATTGTTGGCAAAAGTATCTGAGACTTTATTACAATCATTTCTATAATTAACATTTTTATATGAAAGTCAAATTGCCTCAGAGATTTATATCATTTATTGTGTACTTACTCTTTATCAGATACTGTTCTAAATATCTTAAATGCATTATCTCCTTCAATCTTTACATTCTGAATAGTAGGTGCTATTATGATCCCCATCTTCAAGTTAAGGAAACTTAGTCACTCTCTCAAGTTGTACAGCTAAAACACATGATAAAGTTGAAATATTAACAAATAATTTGTCTCCCACACCTGTACCTTCAATTTTTGTTACTCAATTTGTGGCCTATGGAAACCAGTCCCTCTATCCTCATACCCCCATAACTCAATCAGGGAGATAAATTGAAATGAAAAAAAAATATATAAAACTGAGCTAGTGTCAAGTATTTTGAATCTAAAGAAAGAGGTTGGTGTTGTGGTTATTCTAATTTAAGGCAGCCTCAGGAAGGCCTTAATAAAATAATACATAGGCTTATTTTATTTTTGCTTATTGTCTAAAAGGAATACAAAGTAATATTCAAATTAGCAGGAGAAATTTTTGCTCAATCAAGAGTAGATTATTATATTAATTCCATGAAAAAATAATGCTCAACATGAGAGGGTTTATATGCCTGTTGGGAAAGCTAGTGACAAAATCGACAAAATCAGCTGTGGTTCTTGTTAGGGGGAAGGAAGAACTGAAATGAGGACATACACCTTCACTCTCTGAAAGAATTAGGATCTGCATGTGCCTCATCCAGAAACAGTGATGTCTGTGCCAATGAGAGTCTCTGTTAGTATTTAGCTGAAAAGGCCGGGAGTGATTAAGATGAGAACTATGTCTTCTTCTGAAGGAGGGTGGTGTTTCTCTAGGAAAGAGCAGCAGGAAGGGATTGGACTTGGGAACTTGAGAGAAGGGGCTGCTTAGAAATGAATGGTTACTGACGGAAGAGATAACAAAAGGAGATTGATGGAAACAGAATGTTCACATGGGACTTCTTTCAAGTTTCGATGGCCTTCCTTGTGCGGAACAATGGAATGGTCAATTCTAATAAACTTACAATTTCTGTTGCTCCCACACTGTGCTACTATTTTGAGATATACGTGGCCACTAAGTAAAGAATTTGAGGTAAGTCCATTATAGTCTAGTGTAAGTTTGGTATGGGGGAAGACCGGGAAACAGGTAGTAACTTCCTCCCGGTTATCTTGCTTAGATTCCAGTAGAGACAAGAATTTAAAGAAATAAGGCATTTCTGTGAGTTACCAAGTGTGGTCACTGTTTACTGAAAACAGTGGTGATACCTACTTACCAGAAAAGACCCTGAGGAGCTGTATGACTGAATTGTCTCAGGGGCTTGCCACATACAGATTAACTAGAAATTAAACATAATGGGAATAGCTGATGTTTTTGCTTACATCTTTTGCCTATTTTAAAACTTGAGTAATCTGCTTTTTTTAACTGATATATATATATATATATACTTATATATTTAACCTATGTTCTGGATAGGAGTCCTTTATCAGATATATTTATTGCCAATATCCCCTCTCACACCGTTGCTTACTTTTGCACTATCTTAATGGCGTCTTTGGATAAGCAAAACTTCCGAAATTTTGATAAAATGCAACTTTTCAATCTTCTCATCTTACAGTTAGTACACTAATATCTTATTTAATAAATCATTGCTTATCTAAAAGAAATGAAGACATTTACCTTTGTTGTCTTCTATATACTTTATTATTTTAATTTCCATACTTAGGTATATGATCCAACTATAATTGATTTTTGTATGTTCACAGTTTTTTCCATATGGAAATCCAACTGGCAAATCATCATTGATTAAAAAGAAAATAACTTCTCTATTTATTATATGTAGGTCTTATGCTTTGTGGAAAATCATGAGACACCATATATGCATGAATATATGTAGCAGGCAAAGTTTTGAAATAGCCCCTTCAGGTGTTACACACTAATCACTCAAACATGTGAATATGATTATATAGACTCCCATAATTATGATATATGGCACCGTGGGCCATATACTGGACAGATAGTATCTGGGTGGGCCTGATCTAATCATATGAGCCCTTAAACGCAGAACACTTTCTCCTATTGGTTGCAGAAGGAAAAGCCACTGAGATTTAAAGTATAAATATGACTCAATATACTGTTGCTGGTTTAATAATAAAAGGGGCCATGTGAGATAGTATTTGGGCTGCTGCAAGAAGAAGGGAACAGCCTCTCAAGCTGAGAGTCAGTAAAGAAATAGGGTCTTCAGACTTACTCCTTAAGGAATTGAATTGTGCCAATACCTGATTAGCTTGAAAGCAGATTCTTCCCCCAAGCCTTCAGGTAATAAGATCCCAGCCCAACCTATATGTTAATTTCAGTCTTGTGAGGCTCTGAGCAAAGAACACAGTCAACCCTCCTGGACTTCTGACCTGCAGAGCTGTGAGATATGAAATGGGTATTGCTTTATGTTGCTACATTTGTGATAACTTGTTATAAAGCAATAGAAAACCAGTATAGTCTGCCTCTGCGTTAGATACTCTGTTTTGGTAGTCTATTTTTCTATTTTTTACCAAAATAACAATACTACAGTATTGTAATTACTATAGCATTGATGGTTAGCTTTGATCTCTGATAGTGTATGTCATCACTCTTTGTTTTTCAAGATCATCTTCACTCTTCCTGAACTTGGATTTCCATGTAAATTTTAGAATCACTTTGTTAATTCTCCTCCAAAATAAAACACGTTTGTGTTTTACCTGTGAGTACATTAATAATTATCTTTAAATTTTGAATCTTCCAATCCATGAACATGACATATGCCCACGTTAAATGAGGTACTCTTTGATACTTCTTAGTAATGTTTTTTAACAGCTTAACTGAGGTATAACTTACATACCATAAAATTCACTCATTTTAACTATAGAATTTGATGGTTAATTTATACCATGAATAATTATTATGTCAGTCCATCATAATGAACATTGTTGTCACTTCAAAAAGTGTTCTCGTGCCTCTTTGCAATAAGTCCCCACTGCTACTCCCAGGCCCAGGCAATCCCTGACATGCTTTCAGGATACAAGGTTTTACCATTTTTAGAAATGTAATATAATAGAGTCCACAGTAAAAAGTCTTTTGTTTCTGGGTTTTTTCACTTAGCATGGTGTCTTTTATATGAATCCATGTTGTTACATGTAATGATATTTTGTGCCTTTTAATTTCTGTGTAAGTATTCAATTGAATGGATTTGTCACATTATGTTTAATCATGTATTTGGTGATGGACACTTACGTTGTTTCCATTTGGAGCAGTTATGATTTACACAGCTGTAAATATTTGCTCATATACAAGTGTTTTTGTGGACACAGGTTTTCATTTCTCTAGGACAGATAATGAGAAGTTGAATTTCTGGGTCATATAATAAGCTTATATTTAATATTTTAAGAAGCTATAAAATGGTTTCCTAAGTGGCAGTACCATTTTACATTTCCACCAACACATATAAGGGTCCCTGTTTCTCTAAATCTTCACTGACGTTTGTTGTGGCTGTTGTGTAAAATTGCATTGTGGTTTTAATTTTCATTTCCCAAATGGCTAATTATGATTAGAAACTTTTCATGTGTATGTATTTCATTTAATTATCTTCTATGGTGAAGTGGCTATTCAATTATTTTGCTTATTTTTTATTGGTTTGTTTTCTTACATTGGAAAACGTATGTATGTAATCTGGACACAAGTACTTTATTAGATATGTTTTGCAAATATTATCTCCCATTCTGTAACTTGTTTTTTATCATTTCATTACTGATGTCTTTTGAGGAGCAAAAGATTTCAATTTCAATGAAGTGTAATTCAATTCATCAAATTTTCTGTTTGTGCATTTTGGCATCATTTTTACATCTTTGCCTTACCCAAGGTCATAAGGAATTTCATGTTTTTTAAAGAAGTTTGATCATTTCAGATCTTACATCTATAAATTCAATACACTTTGAGTTAATTTTGTATATAGTGTGAGGTAAGCTCTTAAGTTCTGAAGTTCTTTTCTTTTTTTCTTATGGATCCAATTGCTGTATCACTATTTGTTGAAAAAACTACCTTTTCCTCATTGAATTGTCATCTTTGCCATAAATCAATTGACTACATATTTATATAAGGTCTTGTTTCTAGACTCTGTTCTATATGCTTATATGTCTATCCTTCTGCCAGTATTATGCTTTCTTAATTACTGTAGCTTTATGACATGCTTTGAAATCAGGTGCTATGACTTCCCAAACTTTTTTAATTGTTTTGGTTATTCTAGATACTTTTGGTTATTCTAGATAAATTTTAGTATTGACTTTTCAATATATGCAAACAAATCTTTATCAGTATAACATTAAATGTATAGATATATTTGCAGAAAACACACCCAATACTAAGTCTTTCAATCCATGAATTTGGTAGAGGTCTTGTATTCCTGTTAAATTTATTTTAAATACTTTATTTTTTATGTTATTTATCAAGAATGAGCTTTGGATTTTGTAAAATGCTTGTTCTGTATTGGCTGAGATGGTCATTTTGCAATTTTCTGGGTAAAGTTTATGTATAGCTTTTCTTACTAGAGTTTTTTTTAAAAACAGCCTTCTGACTGTATAAATAGAACATAGAAGTTTGAAACAATACTCTTTTTAGTTGTTGATATATAAAGTATACAGTTTTTATACATTGTATACATTAAGTTCAGTGAACTTAATAAACCCACTTAATAATTCTATTATAATAATTTATCTATAGATTCTTTTAGATTTTCTGTGTATATGATCTTATGTGTAAAATTATGTAACAAATAATGAGAGCTTTATTTATTTTGTGTTGTTAAGTGTTTTATTTCTCCTTATTTTCTCATTGCACTGGACAGGACCACAAGTAGATTGTTGAATAGAAAAGTTGACAATACATTCATTTTTGCTGACTTGTCTTATGTAGAAAGCTTACAGCGTTTCATCATTAAGTCCAGTAATTGCTATAGATTATTCATAGTCTTATATTGGTATAAGGAAGATCCCTTCTTTTCCTAGTCTGTTAAGAGTTGTTATGATGAACGGATTATTAATTTTATTATATGTGGTTTATACACCTCATGAGATGTTTCTGAATGTGATGAATTATATTGGTTGATTTTTGAATATTAAACCAACATGGTATACTTGAGGTAAATTCAAATTGATCATGAAGTATTATCCTCTTCTTATTAGCTGGGTTTAATTTGATAATATATTCTTTAGGCGTCTTGTTTCTATGTTCATAAGAGACATCGACTGGTAATTTTATTTGGTTTTAGTTCCCTTTTCAGGTTATGGTGCCAGGGTTTTTATGGCCTCATAAAACGATTTTGGGGGATAGTTTGTTTTTTTTTTCTTTTAAGCTTCTGTTATGTTAGATTTGTGGTATTAGTTTTCTAAATATTTGGAAAAATTCACCATGAAGAGTATCTTGGACTTAGAATTTCTTTTTTAGAAATAGTTTTTACTAATGAATGATTCAATTTATTTTGGTGAGTTGTGTTTTTAAAAGAATTTTCTCATTTCATATAAATACTCAAATATACTTAGATAAAGTTTACATAATATCTCATTAACTTTCTTATGTCTTGGGATCTATAGTTTTATCTCACTTTTATTCCCAAATATTGGTAATTTGTCCCATTTTCTCTTTACTTTTTGGTCATTCTTATCAGAATTTTACCAATATTATTAATCTGTTTTACTGAACTAATTTTGCATTATTTTCTCTGGAGTTTTTTTTATATATTTTACTGATTAATACTCTTTATTATTTCTTTTCTTCTGTATTTACTAGAATTAGCTTTCTATTCTTTTTAGGTGGAAGTTTAAATAATTGTTTTTCAGCCTTATTTTTCTTACAAAATACGCAATTAAGGTCTGTTTTTGCATTGCTATAAAGTAATACTTGAGGCTGGGTAATTTATAAAGAAAAGAGGTTTAGTTGGCTCACAGTTCTGCAAGCTGTACAGGAAGTGTGCTGACATCCGATTGAGGGAGCAAGAAAGAGAAGAGGACGTGCCAGGCTTCTTTTTAAATAACCAGATTTTGCAGGAACTCAGAGCAAGAACTCACTTATCACCAAGGTGATGGCACTAAGCCATTCATGAGGGATCCACCCCGATGATCCAAATACCTCCCACTAGGCCTCGCTTTCAATATTAGGGATTATATTTCTCCGTAAGATTTGGAGGGGACAAACAGCAAAGCTATGTCATAAGGTTACATATTTCCATCTTTATATAGTTCTAGCTGAATATAATAAAATTTGATGTGTGATATTTTTATTAATCTTTAGTTAAAATAGTTTTCACTTGTATTTTGATTTCTTCTTTGACCACATAGCTTATTTAGCTGTATGTTATTTAATACTCAGTTATTTTCCATTTAACATTTGTGATTGATTTGAAGATTAATTCCATTGGTGTCAGAGGATATAGTCTTAATTATATCAATATGCTGGCATTTAAAAATTGTTCTCCATTTTTTCTGTGAACATATATATGATATATATTTAGATATTATATATTAATACATTTATGTTAAATATATAATATATTTATCTTTATTAATATTATATTTATGTTACTATTACATATTAAATTAAAATATATAACATAAATATATTGTAAAATATTATCTATTTTATAATTTAATATATAAAATATATTTACAATTATATTCATATAAATAAATAAATAATTATGTATTTATAAAATAAATATATATTTTATGTGATATATATTTTATTTTAAATATAATATTTTGAATATGTATTTTATTTTTAAAATATATTTATTGTATATATATTTTAACTATAATATTTCATATAATATATACTTAAATATTAATACGTTAATATTAATGTTAAAATATATTATGAATATAGTATAAAATGTACTATATTTTATAATTGAATACATATTAAATATATTATAAAATATACTATATTTTATAATTTAATATATATTAAATATACTGTAAAATATGTTTATACTCATTATAAATATAAATATATATTTATATATTTAGAAATAGCTTTATATTATTTACATTTATAAAAATATATTTATATTAATAAAATATATTAATATTATATTTATATTTATTATATATTAAAAATATTATATATTTATTTTAAATATATAATATATTTAAATATAATATATTTATTTTAAATATATAATATATTTAAAATTTATATTATAAATTTAATTTATAAAATTATATTAAATATAAAATTATATTAAATATAAATTTTATAATATATTAAATATAATTTATAAAATTATATTATTTTAAATATATAATATATTTTCATTAAATATAATGAAAAATATAATTTTTCATTAAATATATATTTCATTAAATATATAATATATTTTCATTAAATAATAATATAATTATATATTATTTAAATATATAATATTATATAAATATAATATATATTTAATTATATATTTAAATAATATAATTAAAGATATATATATTAAATATATATTTATATAGTAAGCATTTATATATTTATATATTATATATTATGTATAATTCTCTCCAATACATGTGTCATATATATTATATACATCAAACATATCTAGATATAGATAAAATAGATATGAAATATTTTGGTGCACATAAATTAAGAACTTTTGTATCTTGCAAATTAAATGACATTTTAATAATTGTGAAATTTTATTTTATCTCTTCCACTGGTTGTTGTTATATAAACTTTCCTTTTCCTTGAAAATGAGAATTTTGCTGCTTAGAAGTCTCTTTAGGAACGTGAAATGGAAAGCCATAGAATGGAAGAAAATGTTTGTAAAATATATCTAATAAAGGGTTTGATTTTAGAATATATAAAGAACACTTACAAATCATGAATAAGAAGATAGGCAGCCCAATTAAAAAATGGGAAAAATATGTGAACTGACACATCGCCATAGAAGATATAGAGATGACAAATAAATACACAGAATATGCTCAATATCATTAATCATTAGAGAAATGAAAATTAAAATTACAATGAGGTATCTCTATATAAATTGTCAAATGACTAAAATCATAAAAACTGTTAGTGCTGACCGTGTTAGTAAGGATTTAGGGCACTAGAACTCATATACTGCTGGTGGGAACGTGAAATGGTGCAACCGTTGTGGATAACAGTTCAGCAGTTTCCTAAAATGATAAAAACACACATTCCATATGAATAAACACCATTCCACTCCTATTTAGTGAAAAGAAAAAAAATGCTTATTTTTAAACAGAGACCTGTACATGAATGCTCATCGTAACTTTATCTTTAATCCAGACATCTGATGTACCACATAACTATATGCTATGTACCCCAAAAAATGTTTAAAAGTATTTGAAACAACCCCAATGTCTATCAACAAGTGAATAGATAAGTAAAATGTGGTATATTTGCACAATGGAATACTGTATAGCAACAAAAAAGGATGCACTATTGATACAGTCATGTCTTGGAAATATAGTAATTTCAGCTCTGCACCATTGCAATAAGACACATATTACAATAAAGTGAGTCATACAATTTTTTTGGTTTCCCAATGCATGTAAAGTTATGTTTACACAATGCTTTGGTATAGTAAACGCACAGTAGTGTTATGTCTAAAAACACAACGTACATACATTTATTAAATAATATTTTATTGATAATAAGTGCTGACACAGAGACACAAAGTGAAAACATGGTGTTAAAAAAAGTGCCAATGGATTTTCTCAATGCAAATCTTCAATTTCTAAAAAATGCAATGCCTGTGAAGGACAATAAAGCAAAGTACAATAAGATAAGGTATACCTGTATATACAATAATATGGATGAGTGTCAAAATAATTATGCTAAGTAAAAGAAGCAAGACAAAAACGTTTATGTTTTATAATTTGATTTCTGTAAACCACTAGTAAATGCAAACTGCAATTGACCCTTGAACCACACAGGTTTAGACTACGTCAGTCTACTTATATGCTGATTGTTTCAATAAAAGTTACACTAAGTGCTCTTACCTCTGGTGTTTCCCCTTCTACCTCTTCCACCTCTGCCACACCTGAGACAGCAAGGACAATCCCTCCTCTTCCTCCTTTGATGATCTACTTTCACTTAATTAATAGGAAATATATATTTTCTTCCTTATTAATTTCTTAATAACATTTTCGTTTCTCTAGCTTACTTTATTGTAAAAATACAATATATAATACATATAACATAAAATATGTGTGTATTCATCCATTCTTGCATTGCTCTAAAGAACTACGTGAGAGTAATTTATAAAAAAAAAAAGAGAGGTTTGATTGACTCATGGTTTTGCAGCCCATACAGGTAATGTGGCTGGGGAGGACTCAGGAAACTTACAATCATGGCAGAGGGCAAAAAGGAAAGAGGCACATCTTACATGGCTGGAGCAGGAGAAAAAGAAAAAAGGGGAAGGTGCCCCACACGTTGAGACAAAAGGATCTCATGAGAACTCACTATAATGAGAATAGCAAGGGGAAAATACACCCCATGAGCCAATCACCTCCCATCAGGCCTCTCCTCCAACTTTGGAGATTACAGTTCAACATTAGATTTGGGCAGGGACACAACTCTAAACCATATCAATGTGTTACTTGACTGTTTATATTATTGTTAAGGCCTTCAGTCAAAAGTAGGCTATTAGTACTTAAGATTTTGGGGAATCAAAAGTTATATACAGATTTTCAATTGCACAAGGGTCAGTTCTCCCCACTCCCACATTGTATAATGGTCAACTGTAATATATAGTGACAGAAAGTAGATCAGTGGTTGCCTGTGAGTGGAGTCAGGGGAAGGTACACAGAGGTATGGAAACAAGACATTACCAAGGGGCACTGAGAAACATTTGGGGGCTAAGTACAAAATCTTTTTTTATTGATTTTGGTGGTGGATTCATGGGTGTGCATGTTAAAACTTACCAAGTTGTACACTTTAAATACAATTTTTGGGTTAATCTAATTCCTTTGCCGTTTCATGTAAATTTTTGAATTAGATTGTTTACATCTATAAAAAATAAGCTCTGATGAGATTGCATTAAAATATAAATTTAGAGAGAATTTACATCAAGTTGTGTTTGTTTTTAATTCAGTGTTATAACCTCTGCCTTTAATTGGGGATATTGAGACCATTTACAATCAATGTGCTCATTGATAAGATTAATTTCAAATCTAATATTTTGGTATTTGTTTTATCTTTGTTCCATTTATTCATTGTTTTCCTTTCCTGTTTATTTAAAGCTCTTGGGATTAAATATTTGTTATTATTCTAATTTATCTCTTTTTGGGGGCTGTCAGGTATAGCTTTTTATTTTAATATTTTATTGGTTGTTTAGGGTTTATAGTATACAACTTTAACTTATCACAACCTACCTTCAAGTGATATCATACGACTTAATTTATAGTATTTTTATAGTATTTATACCTATATACTTTCTACCCACTACTGACATTTTTGCTATTTTTATCATTTATTTTACTTCTACGTATGTTTTAAATCCTACAATACATTGTTATTACTTTTAACATATTTTTCAAATATTTTTTAAAATAAGTTAAAAATTCTTTTATATTTACCCAAATATTTACAATTTTCTGGCACTCTCTATTCAATTATGTAGATTCCTATTTCCTTGGGAGTCTATTTTTTTTCTCTCTGAAGGACTTTCTTTAACATGTCTGGTAATCAAGTCTGCTGGTGATGAATTACTTTACTTTTTAAAGTTTAAGTCTTTATTTTTACTTTCTTTGGAAATATATTGACACTGCCTATAGAATTCTTGGTTGACATCTCTCTTCCTTCCTGAAACCACTTTCAGTATTTTGAAAATATTTCTCCATTGTTCTCTAGCTTGTGTCCACACTATTTAATGGGTATAGATTTCCTGTTTGAGTAACTAAAATCTTCTAGAGTTAGGTGGTGATCATGAATGCACAACACTGTGATTATACTTAATACCATTGAATTGTAAACTTTAAAAATGGTTTAAATGGTGAATTTGTAGTTACACGTATTTTACCAAAATAAATAGTAGGCAAAGGACTTGAATAGATATTTCTTCAAATAATATATACTAATAATGTGTACATGCATCACCCAGATTCAACAGCTAACATTCTACCATTCATATTTTATTCAGCTCCCCACTTTTAAATTTTTGCTGATGTATTTGTAAAGCAAATCCAGGAGCCATGCTACTTAAACTGTAAATTTTTCATTGTGTATATTAATGTGATAAACTGTGCTGCTATGAATGTGTCCAGTTACCTAGTCCACTGCTTTCAACTACTGGCTAGTATTTCAGAGTATGTAAACAACCTTGTTTATAAATCTGTGTCCCCAGAGATAAACACATAGTCTCCAGCTATCCACGACCACAGAATTTATATGAAGACCAGCCTTATACGTTTTCACTTGTATCCTACACGAGGATTTCTCTGGGATATATACCCAGAAGTGAATATACAACCGTTACAGGTTCTTCTAGTAAAGTTTCTTACATTATAACATTTACTTTTCATAAAATTTATATTTTCATAAAACTGCTCTTCTATGCACTAGGTGGTATGAACCATCAGAAGGTTTAACAGCTCCTGAGTGAAGCCCCTCACAGCTCTTCACTCCAGAGGCTCCTGTTTTATTCCCTTTCTATGACCCACATCTTTGGTCATACTTATTTGGACATATGTCTTAACCTCTGAACTTTTACTGAGGGCAAGAAGTGGATATGAGTCACCAGATTTCAGAGAAGCTACTAGAGAGGTGGTTTAATAAATGTGAACACTCCAGAGTTGCTACTCTGTGACCTAGCTCCACATAGCTCACTGATGATCCGCAATTCCCACTAAACATGTTTTCTTCTGATTCCTACCACTGCCCTTCTACATAACCTGTGAGGCCAGCCTAGCCATGCTATTTCTCTCAAGAACTGTAGCAAGCCTCAATCTCCAGGGTGTTTATGTCATTATTAGGCTTTGGCCTGAGTTTCTTATCCTATGCCCAGGAGTCTCTAACTCCAAAGCAAATGTTATCATTGTTACATTGTACTGAACTCTTGATACTGGTGGTATGTGCTAATTACATAAAGATAGCTTGTGCATTTCCACTGTGTGGTATTCTCACATTTACACTGTTATACATACAGAGAAAAAGACAAGATTTTATTAATAAATAAGTTACTCCCTTGTTGGAGAAAGTCTTGGAAGGCAAGAAAATGCTATTAGAGGTTTGTCTTAATGAAGGTCTATGCCAACTTGGAAGAGAGCTTGAGAAGAAGTAACAGAAGTAATTGGCCAGACAGATAAGTAGCCATCATTAGAGGTGAGGGTGCTCTGAGAAAATTCTAAGAGTTAAAAAGGAGGGGCTGAAACTGAAGCCCAAGAAACAACATAGGAATAGAGGTCTGTAGGATAGGATCCCAAAAAACTCATTTATGATCCTGAGGTAGCAGGAGCATTCCTTCAACAGTTTTCTCTTCTATTGGACTTAGAACCTCTTTGGGGACAGAGGCTGTGTCTTCAACTGTGCATCATCCTAGGCTAGTAGCACAGTGCTTTACATAAAGCAGGTGCTTAATAAATTGTTTATCAATCAGTGTACCTTGTTAGATGTGTTAGTTTTCTATTGTTACTTTAATAAGTTACTACAAAATTAGCAGCTTAACAAACACAAATTTAATATCTTACCGTTATTTAGGATAGAAGTCTGTTATGGGTCTCACAGGAATAAAAGCAACGTGTCAGTAGTGCTGCATTCGTTTCTGAAGGCTATAGGGGCTTATTCATTTCACTGACCTTTCCAGCTTCTAGAGGACACATTTATTTTTTGTAGCCCCCTTTGTCAATATTTGTTTTTAATTATTTTTTAAGTTCTAGGGTACATGTGCACAATGTGCAGGTTTGTTACATATGTGTACATGTGCCATGTTGGTGTGCTGTACCCATTAACTCGTCATTTACATTAGGTATATCTCCTAATGCTATCCCTCTCCCCTCCCCGCCACCCCACGACAGGCCCCAGAGTGTGATGTTCCCCTTCCTGTGTCCAAGTGTTCTCATTGTTCAATTCCCACCTATGAGTGAGAACATGCAGTGTTTGGTTGTCCTTGCGATAGTTTGCTGAGAATGATGGTTTCCAGCTTCATCCATGTCCCTACAAAGGACATGAACTCATTCTTTTTTATGGCTGCATAGTATTCCATGGTCTATATGTGCCACATTTTCTTAATCCAGTCCATCATTGTTGGACATTTGGGTTGGTTTCAAGTCTTTGCTATTGTGAATAGTGCCACAATAAACATACGTGTGCATGTGTCTTTATAGCAGCATGATTTATAATCCTTTGGGTATATACCCAGTAATGGGATGGCTGGGTCAAATGGTATTTCTAATTCTGGATCCCTGAGGAAACGCCACACTGTTTTCCACAATGGTTGAACTAGTTTACAGTCCCACCAACAGTGTAAAAGTGTTCCTATTTCTCCACATCCTCTCCAGCACTTGTTGTTTCCTGACATTTTAATGATCGCCATTCTAACTGGTGTGAGATGGTATCTCATTGTGGTTTTGATTTGCATTCCTCTGATGGCCAGTGATGGTGAGAATTTTTTCATGTGTCTGTTGGCTGCATAAATGTCTTCTTTTGAAAAGTGTCTCTTCATATCCTTTGCCCACTTTTTGATGGGTTTTTTTCTTGTAAATTTGTTTAAGTTCATTGTAGATTCTGGATATTAGCCCTTTGTCAGATGAGTAGATTGCAAAAATTTTCTCCCATTTTGTAGGTTGCCTGTTCACTCTGATGGTAGTTTCTTTTGCTGTGCAGAAGCTCTTTAGTTGAATTAGATCCCATTTGTCAATTTTGTCTTTTGTTGCCATTGCTTTTGGTGTTTTAGACATGAAGTCCTTGCCCATGCCTGTGTCCTGAATGGTAATGCCTAGGTTTTCTTCCAGGGTTTTTATGGTTTTAGGTCTAACGTTTAAGTCTTTAATCCATCTTGAATTAATTTTTGTATAAGGGGTTAGGAAGGGATCCAGTTTCAGCTTTCTACATATGGCTAGCCAGTTTTCCCAGCACCATTTATTAAATAGGGAATCCTTTCCCCATTGCTTGTTTTTGTCAGGTTTGTCAAAGATCAGATAGTTGTAGATATGCGGCGTTATTTCTGAGGGCTCTGTTCTGTTCCATTGATCTATATCTCTGTTTTGGTACCAGGACCATGCTGTTTTGGTTACTATAGCCTTGTAGTATAGTTTGAAGTCAGGTAGCATGATGCCTCCAGCTTTGTTCTTTTAGCTTAGGATTGTCTTGGCAATGTGGGCCCTTTTTTGGTTCCATATGAACTTTAAAGTAGTTTATTCCAATTCTGTGAAGAAAGTCATTGGTAGCTTGATGGGGATAGCATTGAATCTGTAAATTACCTTGGGCAGTATGGCCATTTTCACGATATTGATTCTTCCTACCCATGAGCATGGAATGTTCTTCCATTTGTTTGTATCCTCTTTTATTTCCTTGAGCAGTGGTTTGTAGTTCTCCTTGAAGAGGTCCTTCAAATCCCTTGCAAGTTGGATTCTTAGGTATTTTATTCTCTTTGAAGCAATAGTGAATGGGACTTCACTTATGATTTGGCTCTCTGTTTGTCTGTTATTGGTGTATAAGAATGCTTGTGATTTTTGCAGATTGATTTTGTATCGTGAGACTTTGCTGAAATTGCTTATCAGCTTAAGGAGATTTTGGGCTGAGACGATGGGGTTTTCTAAATACACAATCATGTATAAGAGCTATTTATGACAAACCCATGGCCAGTGTCATACTGAATGGGCAAAAACTGGAAGCATTCCCTTTGAAAACTGGCAGAAGACAGGGATGCCCTCTCTTACCCCTTCTATTCAACATAGTGTTGGAAGTTCTGACCAGGGCAATCAGGCAGGAGAAAGAAATAAAGGGTATTCAGTTAGGAAAAGAGGAAGTCAAATTGTCCCTTCGTCAGTACTTCAAGCTATTAAAGATGAGTTGAGTCTCCCATTACATCACTTCCATTGTCCTATCTCCCTCTGACTCCTTTCTTCTGCTTCCCTCTTCCACTGTTATGGACCCATTAGGATAATTCAGGATAATCTCCCTATCTTAGAGTATGCTGATTAGCAACCTTAATTTCATTTGCATCCTTAATTTCCTATTGTCATATAACCTCAGGTTTTCTCAGGTTCTGGGGATTAGTATGTGAACATCTTGGGGCCCATTCTGTACACTACATGCGGTAATAACCCACAAACTACACCTGCCTCCACAAATGAGAATCTCCCTGAAAAATTATTTACAGATGGTATGTATTCTAATTAAGAAACCAGTGGCTATCAGGAACTCAGTGCTCCATGGGAAATTATAGGAATGATATGTTAGGGCAAAAGGTTGTGTGCCCGGGTAAGGCCCACAAGTTAAATGAACCTACTAGTCAGTTTACGATTATTATAGGACCTATGGCTAACTCCATTATTCTTTGCTCTATAGCCAAAATCCTGAATAAGGGGCTCCCTACCTATTGAACTAATTGGAGAGAACATGATGTTGAAGGATTTATCTCCTGTAAGAAGCTGGAATCTTGTTATTACTACTTATATAAATGAATTCTAACAGTGTTTCTCATTATAAGATGAGCTTCCTTTCTCCAGAAGGCCTCCAGAGAGAGAAGGGAGGTAGCATGCAAGTAGCACCAGCAGTAAAATAAGATTAGAAAAGTGTCTGTTTGGTGCTGACATACATTGACAAAAGCTCTTCATGTGAGGCATGGCTTTAGTAAAGCCAACTCCTTCACTGGGAGAATGTGTTAGTCTTAGGTAGTAGCGTCTGGCATACAAATACCAGCACAAATTCCATCCAATAAATATTGGCTCTTACCTCCAGACTAGTAAAAACCATGTCTGGGTACTATACCTACCGAGATGAACATGACCCCTCAGATTTGAAATGAGACCAGGATAGAAAATACAGCGTTTTCCTACTGGATTCTTGATAACCTGAGACAGTGAGTTCAGGCTAGAAAAAAGAAAACTGAGATGATTTATGTAAACATTGTGACAAGACAGTAGCATAGTAAAGTTGCCTGGTAGTAGCCAGGAAGTGAATGGTTTTCAAGGCACGTAAGAGAAATTTGTTGGAGAAAATTGAGATGATTAATACGTCAATTGATGTTTAAATGCAACCACATTATTTTAAAGATAATATAGATAAGGCATCTAAAACTCTAGTAAATGGTGAAGGATGGGAGACAGAGTGAACTAGGCAGGTTGGGGCAAGCCATGAGGAATGTTTTGGAGGAAACATCCTCTCCTTACTATGGTACCACCAGAATTGAACATGGGAAGATGAAAATGAATGAAAGGTCAGTTTGGGAAAGACTTTTAGGAGTACTAAGGAAATGTCCCTTTTTTCCAAATATAAGCCTATTGCACCCCAAGCATCCCTAACCTTCAGGGACATGTTGGAGTGATAATTTGTGAGGTGAAATTACTCCATAACTACCATTGGCTGGGGGGAGTGCCTTGATGACCAAAGCTGAAAGGGTGTGGCTTCTCATTGTCCTGAGGATTAGTATATACAAGGAGGGCAGGACTCTTGGTGCAGACAACTGGAAGGGTTTAACATAGCTGAGGTGATCAAGAAATTACAAGAGTCCAGTATACTTAGGAGACAATGAGCCACAAGCACCAAAGGGAGGAATACAATGAGGACCTTCTTTAAACTCAGGTTCAGGAGTGGTGGAAAGATCAGATGATCCTACCCAAGATTTGTCTTTACTTTATTGATTCCCTCACCCCGGTATCCTTCCTTTCCTTACCTGGCACAAACCTTATAGCCTCACCCATTCCTATTAAGCCTCCCTTCCCATTTATCCTCTATTCTCTTCCCCCAGCTTGGTGACATTCCAAGCTCACCTTGTTGCCCTTCCAGTTATAGAAGACACAGAGGAGAGTAAAATTCATGGGAGTTCAGATAACATACCTCCTCACAGAACTGCACCTACTTCATAAAATCAGAATGGAGGTAGAAGGGCCAGTACATTTTGACAATTACCACAGACAGAATAGGATCCTGAGACAAATGCAGCTACACCCAGGCCCAAGGGATGTTGTGGAACTATACCATTCCAAAAGACGATACCAACATGAAACACAGGTGATAAAGATTAAAATAAAATCAACAAGGTGATAGAGGCCACTCCTCACAGTAGGTATGTGTGTATCTCTGTCAGTTCTCTGATGATGGGAAGGGAAGTAAAGTAAAGGAAAAGGCAGTTATATGAAAAGAGAGGGAGGTAAGGCCCTGCAGGATTGAGAGCCAGAGTGACAGATCTACAGGATGACATTTGGGATAAGGACTACTAGGTAAGAACTGAGCACTGAAGACATATGTCTCTGTCCAACACCCTAACTCACATGCAAGGAGTAAAAAGGTCTTGATATTTATATGGGTTGGGAAAGGGGAACTTGGTATCAGGGTTTAGATTGCCAGAACTCAGATGGAAAGAGAGTGTGATTAGTGTGGAGTGGCAGTGACACCTCAAAAAGGAGGCAGACAAAGGAATCACCTTCAAAAAGGAGACAGACATAGGAATCACCTCCAGCCTACCTCAGCATGATGTTGTTTGCATCTCACCTTATTCTGTAAGCAACTATAAGACCTGCTATATTGTTATTGTTTATTTTTCACCTGCGTGTTGGTAGGAGGTGCTTCTTACAATTTTTGCTTTGCAAACATGTATTCCTTTATTTATCCCACCACTACTATGACCACCAACACTCACTGACTTACCAAAAGTTGGATAGATAATTGTCTTACTTGTTTTTATTAATCTTAAGTGTAGGTATAGCTCATGTTTATTTTAATATTTAATATAAGAAGTGTTTTTGGTTTTAGTCAGAAGTTTGGTGATGTTTTTGTGACCAGAAATACGCCATTAAGGACTTAATTATTGTTTGTATCAGTTAGCCTGTGGTAAAATTGTTTTCAGTATACTTTATTTTGCTTAAAATTGATGTGTCCCAGAGCCTATCAAGGGTGTTAAGTGAGAATTTATTAGAATGGCAAATATAAAAAAAAATAATGCCAAATGCTGCCAAGGATCCAGAACAGTAGGAACCCTCCTCCATTGCTGTTGGGAATGCAAAATAATAGGATCACTTTGAAAGACATTTCAACAGTTTCCTATACATCTAAAATAGTCTTAACCTTATGATCCAGCAATTGCACTCCTAGGTATTTACACTATACAATTGAAAACTTATGTCCCCACAAAAACCTGTGCATGAATGTTTATAGCAACTTTATTCATAATTGGCAAAAATTAAAAGTAACCTATGTCCTTCAATGGGTTAATAGATAAACAGTGGTACATTCAGACTATGGAATAGTATTCAGTGCTAAAAAGAAATTATCTATTAAGCCACAGAAAGACATAGATGGATGGATCTTAAATAAATTTTGCTGAGTGAATAAAGCAATTCTGAAAAGGCTACATAATGTATGATTCCAACAATATGACATGGTAAAGGCAATACTATAGGAATAGTAAAAAGATCAGTGGTTGTCAGGGAATCAAGGGGATAAGGGAGATTTAAATAGGTGAAGCACACAGGAGAATTTTTAGGGAGGTGAAAGTATTCTGTATGATACACTAATGATGCATGCTTGATTTGTGCATTTGTTAAAACCCATAGAACTGTACAAAACAGAGGGAACTCTCATGTAAAAGTAAATTATGTGCTTAGCTAATAAGAATGTATAATAAAGTATCAGTTCATTAATTATCATAAGTGTACCACACTTATACAAGATGTTATTAACAGAGGAAATTGTGGCCAAGGGTATATGGCAACTGTACTGTCTGCATATTTATTCTGGAGTAAATACATTTTAAGAACTCAACAGATATTTCAAAGAAAAAACAAGATTACCAAGATTACCAAGCTTATAGTTTTTCTCTACATGATGAAGAAAATGCAATTTTATCATGAGGCTATTATGACCACAAAATCATGATATAACTTCAGATGTAAGCATTGAAATGTGAGGAAAAAAATTGTTTTGTGATGGAATTAATAACTTGGAGAAAGTGCTCAAGGTTTCATGTATCTTGCAGACCGGAGCTAGGTAGCCTATCTTATTTTTTGTCTAATTTAGAATTCTATCTGTTTGTTTGTTTTTTCTTAATATGGGGTGTGATAGGTATAATTGCAACAGTTAACAGAGCAAATTGTCAGTTTGGCTTCCACTGATATTGGTCCCAGCTATTTCTGTCATTTTTCCTCCCTGGCCTCCAGATTCGGCTATAAAATGAGGCAGTTGCTTTAGATAATCTTTAGGAGTCCTTCTAACCCTAATATTCCTGAGTTCTAAAACTGATAGACCTCAATACTTTATTTTCTGCAAAAGAAATTAACTTCCTGAACTCCTAGGAAAACACACAGAAAGCAGAAAAAAGACAATTGCGTAATTGTGATTGAGGTTATTTCCTCAAGATTTCCTGGTAACATGAATACTTCAAACTAAATTGTTTATTTAAAAACTGTAATGGAAACCCAACTAAAGTTAATACTGAATTAACTTTTATTTTGAAATTGTTTTTAGCTCCAGGAGAAATAAAATGACGGAAAAACTCATAGGAGAGTTTTAATTTTATGAAAATAAAAAATAAATATATTGTATTTTAATTTTATATATTGTATTTTTATTTTCACTCCAAAACATCATGTTATTGCCATTCCCACCTATAATCTTGGTAATGTGACAAAAAAAATCGCTTTCAAGTGATCTTGAAATTCAGGACAATTTTTGAACTTTAAAGAAAGATTTAATTATGTTCACTTGACTCTATATGACAGAAAAACGTATCAAGCAGGTTTTTAGCATCTAAAATTAAAGAAATAGGCTTTATATTTAAAATACTATTTCCTGCAACTTGAAGTTATTTCAATTTTTTTTTGTATTTTAAAATTTATCCCACCATTTGAATAGCTTTGACGACCCCCGAAGAGGTCTTTTTGACATGAATTTTGTTTGAGCATTTTTGTTCTAATTTAAGTTAAAGCACATTAGAAAATCTCAGGTACATAACTTCTGGATCATGTGCTAGGGCATGCCCAAGTGAAAAAAGATGCCTATTTGGGATAACTTATCTTAATGACATATACAGTTTGTGTTTACTACTACCATGATTGTGAGCTAGATATATACATTTTAAGGAGTCTTTCATTTCCTATGCTCAGCCTTTTAAGATAAGTTCATAAATAGGCATCCCAGAAATGTCAAGGATGCTTTATAGTCTCTCCTAATTTCCTGTTCTGAAATTGATTTCTGTAAGTACTTTTGATACCTGTACTCATGAAAGCAAAAAATTAAATGGGAAACTAGATTTGCCATCTAATGAACTGCAAGCACCTTTAAGAAAGCACTGCTGACCTTCACTAAGATCATGTGGGAACATTTTCTGATAGAGTAAGGAGCTCTGTAATTCAGTTACCTTGTGATTTAATTCTGCTCTGATAAGCAGAAATTGCTAAACACTATCAAATTTTGCCAATGTCATTATGTTGGGGACTGTTCATCTCCTGGGACAGATCTGAGACTAGTGGGAACTAGTTACTTATTTCAGTTGGGGGGAACATGGTATTAATTGTTCATGAAGCTAAGGTTGAAGGTTTTCTTCAACCTACATTTGCTGATTGTCATGTGAGGAAAAAAATCTGTTGAAGAGACAACTGAACACTTCACTTCCTGCACCAAATGTCTTTTAGATTTAGGGACACTAAATAGGGCATGAATGTCTCCCTGAAAACACATCTTTGCTAATTCAATATTCAAAGCACATTTTTATCTTTGATCATTAAGAGAAAACATCTACAGCTGTGATGCTTATCTATAAGCAATAAACAACTAGGGTCACATTCCTTTGTTTGTCACCAAGAGTCACCAGGAACCTTAAGCTGTAATTACCCGTTTGCAGGACAGGGAATAGACCAAGGTGAGTTAGGTGCATAGGGCACAAATCATAAGAAAACACTCATTCTCAGAGCTGTGGCTCCTTTAAATGAGTGCTTCCTAAATTTTATTTCTTAGGTACTTCACTATCCTCATCCTAATCCTGGTGCTGTGCAATAGCCACATAACTATAAAACTGATCATATAGATTTGGATTTAAAGCAAACTAAGAATCTGATTTGTTTATGGAACATCAAAATGTTTTGAAAAATACTGTAATAATTTAATGTTCTATAAAAACTTAAAAATTTTAAAAAGCGAAACAAACCCTAAAAAGCCCAGTTGGACCAGTTCTGCCTATAACCATGCATACATTTGCTAAAACTATTGGAATTGAACAATACCAGAGCATGAAAATATTATTTAAGCCAAAAGAAAACTAAATTATAATTGTACTTTGGTTTGAATTCCTAATTTCCTTTTGATTGTTTATCTGTTGTATACATGGAAATAAACATGCAGCTGTATGAATGGATCTGCCTTGAATCAGTGGATTCCCCTGCTATAAAACTCACATCATTCTGTACCCTAGAACCCAGGTTTGAGTGCTGGGGACTGCCCTTTGTTTGAAAAAATAAATGAATAAATAAATACATATTATTTATTAAACAATATAATAATACAGTAACCTTGGTGAATTTATTTAGCTTATGTAAATCTTGGTTTCTTCATCTGAAAAATGACTAACATCTATACCATAGGTGTATTGGGGAATTAATGAGATAGCAAATGTAAAGCAACTACTGTGGAGTCTGAAAAATGGTAATTTCTCAAAATATTTTAATTATCATAATAAATGATGCTAGTGATTTGTGAGATGTGGTATTGGGAATGTCACTAATGGATGAGATCCCTCAAACTAGAGTTTTTACCTTAGAAACGCACTGCAGGACAGCAGACGATGGTCAGTAGTATTTTTTCACTTGTATCCAAGTTTACTTTTACATCACTTTCAAAAGCCCCTGTGCAAACTGATTTTTTTTTTCAAGATGACTGTCAACACATACCGTTCAGAAGGAGAAGGAGAAGGCCCTTAGGAAAAGAATGATAAAGAAAAGCAGGTTCCAGGGAGAGATTTTTCTTTTATCTTTCACAACAATCTATTATAGAGAGACTTCTGTGTTGGTAAAGCACATACACTTTTAATAGTTTTCTCTGAAATAAGCATTATTCATTAACTTTGGTATCAAACAGCAAGAAGAATACATTTCATCACTTCTATTGTCAGGCTAAGAGTGGTCACTATTGATTGGTGTTACTCATTCTCTTGTATATCATATACTTCTGCTATAAAGCCCTCTCCACAGGACTTGGAGCTTGATGATTCTATTGATTTCATTCAACTGACTAGTTTCCTGCTCTAATTTTGGTTACCTCTGTGACTTTATAGAACTTACAACCTTTTATACTTTCCCTGATTAGAATGCAATATGTTTTTGCAACAATGGCAAGTTGCAGTGGTGTATATTACTGATTTTAGTTAATGAAAAAATTGTTACTCTCCTTTCTTTCAATGGGCTATTGCCAGAATTTTGTAGCTGTAGGCCTATGTTTCTTTATGAAGATTCCCAGTACTTTAAGTACTTTAAGATTC
This sequence comes from Homo sapiens, assembly GCF_000001405.40. Classification (NCBI taxonomy): domain Eukaryota; kingdom Metazoa; phylum Chordata; class Mammalia; order Primates; family Hominidae; genus Homo; species Homo sapiens. Next base: position 121,520,948 of record NC_000023.11, read on the forward strand.
CCAGTACTTTAAGTACTTTAAGTGGTTGAGGAAGCATATAATGTTACAGCAAAAATATTTATTAAAAATATTTATCAACATTGTCCCAAGGATTATGCTTATGAACTAAGCAGATTTGCCAGTAATACTGTTGAGAAAGCAGACTCCATTTGATGAATAAGCAATTCCCTTGTAGGTTCTGTTCTATGATTTATGTGCTTTTGCAGTTTCCAGGTATGTGATAAACAATAAGTAGTACTTATTTAATTGCATCACAGTATCAATCCTTTTTTCCCTAATTGAGTGGATGCAGAGAAAAAAATAACTATGTGACTTTCCCAAGATAATGTTTTTAGATCAGTGTTTCTGAAAATGTAATTTGTGGATCACCTACGTTCAAAAAGTGAAAGTAAGTTACTTTTCCTAGTTGATAGTTCTGTCCAGTGCCAGCTCTAAGGACGATTAAGTCATCAGTGTTCCTTTAATGCTGTCTTACTACCCCTTTACTTCTTTTCACTTTTTATATGCCCAGCACCCAGGACTTGTTCCTCAGTTGCCCAAAGGTCTTCTTTTTTCATGCAATGCTCTGCACTTTCGTGCCCCAAACTTTCATCATCAAAACATTCTTTTCTAGTATTCTATTGTCTCAGAGAACTAACGGAGTTTATGTCCTTATGAACTGGGCAAACATGGGCCATGATTTAAGATGGGATAATAGGATTTCTCCCAAGTACTTTAAGATCAACATTGTTGGTCCAGCAGCATGTGTTATACTAGGAGTTGTTTAAGAAAGTGTTAGAATATGGATTTACTATCTCAACATTATTCGTTCTTCGGGAGAGTAACAAGAGACTTATGATGTATATGTATCCAGGGCAGGTGGAAATAGAGGAGTAAGGGTATAAAAAATACTTATGCCAACATTATTCTTCCGAACGTTCACTAAAAACATGACAAAGTCATTTGTTCTCAGAGATAATGATGGCACAGTGATATGCCACAAAACAGGATTAAAAGCTGCTTGGAACTGTTAATGGGATTAGGGTCTTTTTTGGAGGGAACAAAAATGTTCTAAAATTAGTTGTGTTGCAACAATCCTGTGAATATATTAAAAATCATTGACTACATACAATGGAGGAATTGTATGGTATGTAGATTAAATCTCAACAAAGCTGTTTAAAAGATGTGTTGTGTCAGCCCAAAAGCTTCTTAGGCTGATAAACAACTTCAGCAAAGTCTCAGAATACAAAATCAATGTGCAAAAATCACAAGATTCCTGTACACCAACAGACGAGCAGAGAGCTGAATCATGAATTAACTCCCAATCACAATTGCTACAAAGAGAATAAAATACCTAGGAATACAGCTAACAAGAGAAGTGAAGGACCTCTTCAAGGAGAACTACAAACCACTGCTGTAGGAAACCAAAGAGCACACAAACACATGGAAAAACATTCCATGCTCATGGAGAGGAAGAATCAATATAGTAAAAATGGCCATACTGCCCAAAGTAATTTATAGATTCAATGCTATTCCCATTAATCTACCATTGACATTCTTCATAGAATTAGAAAAAAGTTATTATAAATATCACATGAAACCAAAAAAGCCCCAAAAGCCAAGACAATCCTAAGCAAAAAGAACAAACCTGGAGGCATCATGCTACCCAACTTCAAACTATACTACAAGACTACAGTAACCAAAACAACATGGTACTGGTATAAGAACAGATACATAGACCAATGGAACAGAATAGAGAACTCAGAAATAAGACTGCACATCTATAACCATCTGATCTTCCACAAACCTGACAAAAACAAGCAATGGGGAAAGGATTCCCTATTTGATAAATGTTGCTGGGAAAACTGGCTAGCCATATGCAGAAAATTGAAACTGGACCCCTTCCTTACACCTTACACAAAAATTAACTCAAGATGGATTAAAGACTTAAAACCCAAAACTTTAAAAACCCTAAAAGAAAATCTAGTCAATACCTTTCAGGACATAGGCAGGGGCAAAAGTTTCATGACAAAAAAATATCAAAAACAATTACAACAAAAGCAAAACTTGATAAATGGGACCTAATTCAACTAAAGAGTTTCTGCACAGCAAAAGAAACTATCAACAACATAAACAGACAGTGTATAGAATGGGAGAAAATTTTTGCAATCAATCCATCTGACAAAGGTCTAATATCCAGAGTCTACAAGGAACTTAAACAAACTTACAAGAAAAAAACAAACAACCCTGTTTAAAAGTGGGCAAAGCACATGAACAGCCACTTCTCAAGACATTTAGGAGGCCAACAGACATGAAAAAAAGCTCAACATCACTGATTATTAGAAAAATACAAACCAAAACCACAATGAGATACCATCTCATGCCAGTCATAATGGCTATTAAGTCAAGAAACAACAGATGTTGGCGAGGCTGTGGAGAAATAGGAACACTTTTACACTGTTGGTGGGAATGTAAATTAGTTCAACCATTGTGGAAGAGAGTGTGGTGATTCCTCAAAGACGTGGAACCAGAAATACCATTTGACCCAGCAATCCCATTCCTGAGTATATACCCAAAGGAATATAAATCATCATATTATAAAGATACATGCACGCATATGCTCATTGCAGCACTATTCACAATAGCAATGACATGGAATCAACCCAAATGCCGATCGATGATAGACTGGGTAAAGAAAATGTGGTACATATACACAATGAAATACTATGCAGCCATAAAAGGGAATGAAATCATGTCCTTTGCAGGGACATGGATGGAGCTGGAAGCCACGATCCTCAGCAAACTAACGCAGGAACAGAAAACCAAACACCACGTGTTCTCACTTATAAGTGGGAGCTGAACAATGAGAACACATGAACACAGGGAGGGTAACAACACACACTAGGGCCTGTTAGTAAGTTTGGAGGGAGAGCAGCAGGAAAAATAGCTAATGTATGCTGGGCTTAATAACTACATGATGGGTTGATATGTGCAGCAAACCACCACGGCACACTTTTACCTATGTAACAAACTTGCACATCTTGTGCATATACCCTGGAACATTAAAACAAAATATATGTATTATGTTTACATAACAGAAATATTGATGCTTACTTTAAAAAGCTATGGGTTTATAGTGTAAGTTCTAGCTTGGGTTTTAGAATCAGACTGACCTGGGTTAGAATCTTAGACTCATCACTTACTTAATAGCTATATGATCTTAGGCATGATACTTACATCCTCTGAGCTTTATTTTCTTCACTTGTAAAATGAAGATAATATTTTACTATGGCCATTTTGAGGACTGCATGGACATCATGTATCTAAGGTGCTAAGCAGGATGCTCAGCACAATTATTATATATTAATATATTCTTTTTCTAACGTGCCTCTCTTCATTTTTTGAAGATAACTAAATTCCATTATTGCCATTTTAATTGCACAGATAGAAAAACAGCAAATTAATTGTAGAATCAGATAAAATACACGAAACTTCTTGTATTTCTCATTAGATTTTCCATCTATAAAATATAATTACCTAGCAGAGGTGGTATAAGGATTAGTATAAATTAAATTTCTCCAGTAAATGGCATTACATCATGTTTGGCATGTAGGTGGTAACCAGTAAATGCCAGTTCATTTCTTTATGCAGCCCTGAATAATGCCAAATCATGCTTAGCATGTAATAATGGTTTCAAAAAGGCTCTCAGGTAAAAATTAACAAAGATATTTCATTAAAAGTATTGGAAACCAGGCACATTAATTCAGTCATTTACTTGTTCATTCCTGTGATAAATACTTATTCAGTGCCTAGTATGTGTTAAAAATCATGTCAAATGCTGGAGATAATGAGGAATAAGACAGACATAGCCACCTTCAGCCCAGCTTCTATTTAATACCTTTAGAAAAATTCTTATGAATAATAGTAATTACTACTATGGAAAAAAAAACAGAGGATGGCCTGGAAATCTAGTGGAGGATCCCCTAAGACACTGAGAAAAATAGAGTTGGGAAGGCCTAAAAAGCATTCCCAAGAAAAAAATGTGGCATCCAAGCTAGAACCCATGTTCAAGATACAGGAAAAATGGTAATTTGTTTTTACCAATGCCATTCTTTGGTAAAGTGCAAGTGCCTGCTCAACATTTGAAGGTATTCCTTATTTCTGACTGTTTTTCAGGAGTCCAGTGTCTGGCTGTGCTATAATGATCTAGTGACAAAATGTTCTCTAGGACTGCCTTGAAACAAAAATTGTTTGGAAAATAATGTTGATGAAATTGCCTTTGGAGTTTGGGATACTGTAAAATGAATTATGTTTTGCATCTAATCTGTGCACAATCAGTGTAATTCTCCCAGGAGCTTAATCAGTATCTTCTTTTTATTTTTCATGTTGAGTTCTGCAGAAACAAACCTGTAAAGATAGGGGAAAGATGTTTTAAAATTTTACCAGATCTAGTCATAACAGACAGTACAGAGGAATTCAGATATTTTATCTGTGGCCTGTCTGTCGTGTGTATCTTGTGGGATAAATGGGCAGGACAGATAACCACACCTTTTATCAGGATAATTTATTTAAAAACAACCTGTATATAAAAATAGACACATAGATCAATGGATCAGAACAGAAAACCCAAAAATAAAGCCATATACCTGCAGCCAACTCAAAAGTTGACAAGAATATACACTAGAGAAAGGACACATCATTTAATAAATGGTGCTGGGAAAATTGGATAGCCATATGCAGAAGAATGAAACTACACCCCTGTCTATCACCATGTACAGAAATTAATTCAAGATGGATTAATATGTTAAATGTAAGACCTGAAACTATAAAAATCCTAGAAGAAACATTAGGAAAAACTCTTTTGGACATTGATGTAGGCAAATAATTTATGTCTACATTCTCAAAAGGTAGCACAACAAAAACAAAAATAGAAAAATGGGACTTAATTAAAGAGCTTCTGCAGAGCAAAAGAAATAATAAACAGAGTAAACAGACAATCTGTGGAATAGGAGGAAATATTTGCAAACAATGCATCTGACAAAGGTCTAACATAGAGAATCTACAAAGAATTCAAATAACTCAAGAAAAAAACAAATAACTCCATTAAAAAATCGGTAAAAGACATGAACAGATATTTTTCAAAAGAAGACATGCATGTGGCCAACAAACAGATGAAAAACTGCTCAACATCACTAATTATCAGAGAAATACAAATTAAAGCCATAATGAGATGCCGTCTTATACCAATCAGAATGGCTATTACTAAAAAGTAAAAAATAAATAAAAAATAAAAATAAAAAAACAGATGTTGGCAAGGACATGGAGAAAAGGGAATGCTTATACACAGTTGGTGGGAATGTAAATTAGTACAACCTCTATGGCAAACAGTATGCAGTTTTTTCAAATAACTAAAAATAGAACTATCCTTCCCTTCAGTAATCCCACTATTGGGTATCTACCCAAAGGAAAAGAAATCATTTTATTAGGAAGACACTTGCACTGGTATGTTTATTGCAGCTCTATTCACAGTAGCAAAGTCATGGAATCAATCTAAGTGTCCATCAGGAGCTAACTGGATTGAAAATGGTATTATATATATATATATATATATATATATATATATATATATATATATATATATATATTCTCACACACACACACACATCTTGGAATACTACTCAGCCATAAAAAATGAAATCATGTCTTTTGCAGCAACATGGATGAAACTGGAGTCCATTATCATTAGTGAAATGCATCGGAAACAAAAAGTAAAAAAGTAAAGGACAACATGTTCTCACTTAAGCAGGAGCTAAACAATGGGTACACAGAAACATACAAACATACAAAATGCAATAATAGACATTGAAGACTCCAAAAGGTGGGAGGGTGTGAGGGGGATGAAAGATTTGGGTATGATGTACACTCTTTGGGTGATGGGTATACTGAAAGCCCAGACTTCACCACTACACAGTATATCCACATGACACAACTATATTTGTAACACTAAAGCTATTTTAAAATTTTTTTTAAAAAAGAAAACATTATGCTAAATGAAAGAAGTGAGTCACAATAGACCACATATTGTGTGATTTCAATTACACAGAATATCCAGAATAGGCAAATCTGTTGCTTACAGCTGGGCATGGGGGTAGAATGAAAATTGGATTTCTAATGAGGTTGCTTTTAGGGGTGATAATTTTCTAAAATTAGATAGTGGTTATGAATGCACAACTCTGTAAAGATACTAAAATCCCTTAAATTGCACACTTTTAAATTAGGGACTTTTGTGTTATGTGAATTATATCTACATAAAGCTATTAATAAAAAGAATTACTTGATTTAGAAAAAAATAAAAATTAAAAATTAAAAAAATAAAAACAACCTATAACTAAGCCGATGTAAACATGACAAAATGGACTGAAATGTAGTCAGAACAATGGAATATAGCTCTGCTTATAAAAACTTAGTGAGGTCTTTCTGGTGTCTCCTGGCTAGCTTAAGATTTGTTGGAAGGTTCCATTATAAAATTAAGGTAAATACAATTGTAAAATTATGACATGCAAGGTGATATTCTTTGGATACTGTGCAAAATGACTAACAGATATTTGAACAAAAAAGGTTTTTAATTATTTATTTTTGCTATAGCCTCTTTCTGGATTCTTGCCTCCTTTGTGTGCAGTTAACTTCTTTTCTTTCCCTCTTTTTAAAAAATTTCTTTTTTTGCGGGGGAGGGGCAGAGGATATCACAAACAGAACTAAATAATAAAAACAAAAAATCCAGGTGCTATGACTTTTTCTGGGTCGTCGGCATGGTACATTATTCTTACCATAGCTTAAAATTATCAGATGCCAGAGTGGTATCTGTCTTATGTGATTTGAGGTGTAACACCTGATAAGTTCAGTTTTAAATAGAGTTAGAACTAATGCAATTTTAGAATCCAAATTTACCTTACCCTACATTAAGAGAATTTGGCATATTTAAGAAAACTTGTTCCTTTTACCAACACCTAAGAATGTTAAATGTGAGAATAATTCTTGGTCTTTCAAATAAAAAATCTGTTTTAGAATTGGTCTAGGAAAGAAACATGAATATAGTTCATGGATATATTCTGGGCTTTGAAATTCTTTTGTATAACTTGTGATCAATATATTATAGCAGAAGCATAAAAATATTTATTTAAAAAATGTTATCATTTGGCTATAAAGTCTGAACTCTAACCTGCCTAGAGTTATGTAGACTAGAAGCCCTGCTATAATTATACTTACCTGGAATTAAATTAAACACTTACCAGGTGATCCAATGGACAATTCCAAAATGTGTAAGATAGTAAGCCTCAAACTGTGTGGAAACTCAACTCTCTACCATGTTGGTATTGCCAGAATTCCTAGAGATTAAATCACGTTGCTTTAGAGAGGAAACCTGCCACTAGTTATCTATTGATTTCATTTTCCTGTGTGTGTGTGTGTGTGTGTGTGTGTGTGTGTGTGTGTGTGTGTGTTTTGCTACCGATGCTCCCTTTCCAAAATGTAAACCAATATTATATTTTATCTAGTTTGCTTTTTCTCTTATAACTTTCGTTTGCCATTTTTCTTCTGTACACTACACTTGTGTTTGGATGATGGTTGTAACATAACCAAGGCCATTAAGCTGTTGACATTGCACTGGAATCAGCTTTCTGAATGTAAATTATATTACATAGACCAAAAAATAAATGAAAAAAAAATTCTTTTGAATGAAAAGAAGTTACAGAATGTTGACAAAATGTAACTAATTTTGCATATACTTGTAATGATTGCTTTTTGCAATTCAAAATATCCCGTGCTATTAAATTTGTGTTTGTTAAAGTAAATCTATTTTCCTCAGATGAAATGCTTCACATTCAATTATATCAAAATTTCTCATCTATGACTCTTGATTTCAGACTTCACCATTTGTGCAACTATTAAGTTTGAGACAATTTAAAATGGAAATGTTTTTGAATTTTGGTAATTAAGGCAGAGGATGGTCACTATAAGCAAATAAAAAAACAATTATAAATGTCTTAGGCTTTTCAGAAAATATTGGTGTTAGGACTAGAACTCTGTTGAGATAAATTGGCTGTTTTTGTTTTTTCATTTTTGTTCTTTTTGTATATTTTTTTAAAAAATCCCACTTGCCTTAGTGAGATGCAATGTGGGAGTATAAAGCAGAGAACTTAACTGTGCTGTAGTCCAGGGGTCCCCAACCCCTGAGCCGCGGACTGGTACCAGGCCACACAGCAGGAGGTGAGCAGCAGGTGAGCATTACTGCCTGAGCTGCGCCTCCTGTCAGATCAGCAGCAGCATTAGATTCTCACAGGAGAATGAACCCTATTGTGAACCGCACATGTGAGGGATCTAGGTTACGCACTCCTTATGAGAATCTAATGCCTGATGATTGAAGTGGAACAGTTTTATCTCGAAATCATTCCTGCCCCCATCTGTAGAAAAATTGTCTTTCATGAATCCCATCTCTGATGTCAAAAATATTGGGGAATGCTGCTTTAGAGTACCCTTTTAGTGATACTGATTTTGAGGGGGTTAGGCAAGAGAGAACTAAAGGATAATAGGAATTTATGATAAATAGTGAATATAATTGTAGTCTGCCTTGTCCACCAATAGGCATAAAGGAAAGCACTCAGAGAATATCAAAGTTCAGTGCTGATACGTGGAGAATTATTTAACTCTAGCATTTCCAAAAGAATGCAAGGGTATGGCTGCTTTGACATCTTATCAAGAGCCAAATAGATGGAAGCATCTTGGGCTAATAAAGGTAGGTATATTGTGTTTTATACATTAAATATTCTGTGACATTTGGCACTTCAGAGAGATTAGACTGGGCCATATGCTTTTTCAGATTCTGTAAAGCAGAGTAGGCAGGAACTCAGTTTGAAAGTATCAGTGATGTTGGATTTATTTTCCCAATTATAGCTAAATGAAAAAAAAGTCTATGAAACAAATATTTTTTATAAATTTCAAAATATTATTGACAACATAAAAATGTATTTTAAAAAATCACTATTTGTAGTGGGTAGAATAGTGTCCTCCTTAAAACATGTCCACTAGAACCTCAAGTAGTGACCTTATTTGGAATAAGGGTCTTTGCAAATGTAACTATGAGTAAGGATCTTCAGAAGACATCATTCTGGATGAGAATGGGCCCTGAGTCAAGTGACCAGTGTCCTTATAAGGGACTGAAAAAGAACATAGAGATGGAGGCACAGGCCATGTGAGGAAGTCTTGGAAATATGTCTATGACATATTAATATAAAAAGCAAGTTGCTGAGCTGGATATAGAACAAAACTCAGTTGTGTACCCTCTACACATGCATGAAAAGTGTGTACCTACGTGTAAATCTGCCTCCACGTATAGTTTATATAATAATTTGGTTATCAGTTACCAAGTAACCAACCACTTCTAAATTTAACGGCTTGAAACTATTATTTTCACATTTCTGTGGGTCAGTTGCTATCATCAGGGTAGTATTTATTTGAACTTCTCACATATGTTTGTTGTCAGTGATGGCTGGAGTTGGAATGATCTGAAGTCTTGACTTGGCCTTAGAAATCCAATAGTTGAATTACATGTCTGGTGGTTGATGCCGACTGTCCACTGGGAGCTTAGTTGGAAATGGCCTACATATGGCCATTCTGTGCAGCTTGGACTTCTCCATAGAATGGTGGCTGGGTTCTGAGATGGAGTGCACAAAATCAAGCATCGTAAGATATCCACGTGGAAGCTGTAAGTCTTCTGGTTTCTGATCTGGCCTCAAAATCATACAGCATTATTTTTCTTATAGTCTATTGGTCAAAATCAAGCCATAGCACTAGTCCAGGTTCAAGGAATAGGGATTAAAAAAGAGTGTGTGTACTGCGAGGTATGGTTTATTAATAGGGCGCATCTTTGGAAACTAGCTGCCACATATAGATATAGAGAAAATCTGGAAATACTTACCTTATCTTTTAGCAATGTTTACTCCTTGGGACGGGTAGGATAGAAGAGCAGAAGGTTGGAGTGGGGGGAGGCTTTTGCTTTTCCATAGATGTCAGAAAAGTGCTTTATTAATTACTCTAGCTTATTTGTCATCTTTTTTCTCATTTCCAGTTAAAATATAACAGAAAAACAAATGCGAGATTCAGTTCGTGTGTGTGTGTGTGTGTGTGTGTGTGTGTGTGTGTAGGTGTGTGTATGCATGCATGTGTATTTCAGAATATCAACAAATTGGTAATTTCTGCATTTTTTAATTTTTTTAATTTTATTATTATTATACTTTAAGTTTTAGGGTACATGTGCACAATGTGCAGGTTAGTTACATATGTATACATGTGCCATGCTGGTGTGCTGCACCCGTTAACTCGTCATTTAGCATTAGGTATATCTCCTAATGCTATCCGTACCCCCTCCCCGCTCCCCCTACCCCAGAACAGTCCCCAGAGTGTGATGTTCCCCTTCCTGTGTCCATGTGTTCTCATTGTTCAATTCCCACATATGAGTGAGAACATGCGGTGTTTGGTTTTTTCTTCTTGCGATAGTTTACTGAGAATGATGATTTCCAATTTCATCCATGTCCCTACAAAGGACATGAGCTCATCATTTTTTATGGCTGCATAGTATTCGATGGTGTATATGTGCCACATTTTCTTAATCCAGTCTATCATTGTTGGACATTTGGGTTGGTTCCAAGTCTTTGCTATTGTGAATAGTGCCGCAATAAACGTACGTGTGCATGTGTCTTTATAGCAGCATGATTTATAGTCCTTTGGGTATATACCCAGTAATGGGATGGCTGGGTCAAATGGTATTTCTAGTTCTAGATCCCTGAGGAGTCGCCACACTGTCTTCCACAATGGTTGAACTACTTTACAGTCCCACCAACAGTGTAAAAGTGTTCCTATTTCTCCACATCCTCTCCAGCACCTGTTGTTTCCTGACTTTTTAATGATCGCCATTCTAACTGGTGTGAGATGGTATCTCATTCTGGTTTTGATTTGCATTTCTCTGATGGCCAGTGATGGTGAGCATTTTTTCATGTGTTTGTTGGCTGCATAACTGTCTTCTTTTGAGAAGTGTCTGTTCATGTCCTTCGCCCACTTTTTGATGGGGTTGTTTGTTTTTTTCTTATAAATGTGTTTGAGTTCATTGTAGATTCTGGATATTAGCCCTTTGTCAGATGAGTAGGTTGCGAAAATTTTCTCCCATTTTATAGGTTGCCTGTTCACTCTGATGGTAGTTTCTTTTGCTGTGCAGAAGCTCTTTAGTTTAATTAGATCCCATTTGTCAATTTTGGCTTTTGTTGCCATTGCTTTTGGTGTTTTAGACATGAAGTCCTTGCCCATGCCTATGTCCTGAATGGTAATGCCTAGGTTTTCTTCTAGGGTTTTTATGGTTTTAGGTCTAACGTTTAAGTCTTTAATCCATCTTGAATTGATTTTTGTATAAGGTATAAGGAAGGGATCCAGTTTCAGCTTTCTACATATGGCTAGCCAGTTTTCCCAGCACCATTTATTAAATAGGGAATCCTTTCCCCATTGCTTGTTTTTGTCAGGTTTGTCAAAGATCAGATAGTTGTAGATATGTGGCATTATTTCTGAGGGCTCTGTTCTCTTCCATTGGTCCATATCTCTGTTTTGGTACCAGTACCATGCTGTTTTGGTTACTGTAGCCTTGTAGTATAGTTTGAAGTCAGGTAGCGTGATGCCTCCAGCTTTGTTCTTTTGGCTTAGGATTGACTTGGCGATGCGGGCTCTTTTTTGGTTCCATATGAACTTTAAAGTAGTTTATTCCAATTCTGTGAAGAAAGTCATTGGTAGCTTGATGGGGATGGCATTGAATCTATAAATTGCCTTGGGCAGTATGGCCATTTTCACGATATTGATTCTTCCTACCCATGAGCATGGAATGTTCTTCCATTTCTTTGTATCCTCTTTTATTTCCTTGAGCAGTGGTTTGTAGTTCTCCTTGAAGAGGTCCTTCACATCCCTTGTAAGTTGGATTCCTAAGTATTTTATTCTCTTTGAAGCAATTGTGAATGGGAGTTCACTCATGATTTGGCTCTCTGTTTGTCTGTTATTGGTGTATAAGAATGCTTGTGATTTTTGTACATTGATTTTGTATCCTGAGACTTTGCTGAAGTTGCTTATCAGCTTAAGGAGATTTTGGGCTGAGACAATGGGGTTTTCTAGATATACAATCATGTCATCTGCAAACAGGGACAATTTGACTTCCTCTTTTCCTAATTGAATACCCTTGGTTTCCTTCTCCTGCCTAATTGCCCTGGCCAGAACTTCCAACACTATGTTGAATAGGAGTGGTGAGAGAGGGCATCCCTGTCTTGTGCCAGTTTTCAAAGGGAATGCTTCCCATTTTTGCCCATTCAGTATGATATTGGCTGTGAGTTTGTCATAGATAGCTCTTATTATTTTGAGATACATCCCATCAATACCGAATTTATTGAGAGTTTTTAGCATGAAGGGTTGTTGAATTTTGTCAAAGGCCTTTTCTCCATCTATTGAGATAATCATGTGGTTTTTGTCGTTGGTTCTGTTTATATGCTGGATTACATTTATCGATTTGCGTACATTGAACCAGCCTTGCATCCCAGGGATGAAGCCCACTTGATCATGGTGGATAAGCTTTTTGATGTGCTGCTGGATTCGGTTTGCCAGTATTTTATTGAGGATTTTTGCATCAGTGTTCATCAAGGGTATTGGTCTAAAATTCTCTTTTTTGGTTGTGTCTCTGCCCAGCTTTGGTATCAGGATGATGCTGGCCTCATCAAATGAGTTAGGGAGGATTCCTTCTTTTTCTATTGATTGGAATAGTTTCAGAAGGAATGGTACCAGTTCCTCCTTGTACCTCTGGTAGAATTCGGCTGTGAATCCATCTGGTCCTGGACTCTTTTTGGTTGGTAAGCTATTGATTATTGCCACAATTTCAGATCCTGTTATTGGTCTATTCAGAGATTCAACTTCTTCCTGGTTTGGTCTTGGGAGGGTGTATGTCTCCAGGAATTTATCCATTTCTTCTAGATTTTCTAGTTTCTTTGCGTAGAGGTTTTTATAGTATTCTCTGATGGTAGTGTGTATTTCTGTGGGATCGGTTGGTGATATCCCCTTTATCATTTTTTATTGTGTCTATTTGATTCTTCTCTCTTTTTTTCTTTATTAGTCTTGTTAGTGGTCTATCAATTTTGTTGATCCTTTCAAAAAACCAGCTCCTGGATTCATTAATTTTTGAAGGGTTTTTTATGTCTCTATTTCCTTCAGTTCTGCTCTGATTTTAGTTATTTCTTGCCTTCTGCTAGCTTTTGAATGTGTTTGCTCTTGCTTTTCTAGTTCTTTTAATTGTGATGTTAGGGTGTCAATTTTGGATCTTTCCTGCTTTCTCTTGTGGGCATTTAGTGCTATAAATTTCCCTCTACACACTGCTTTGAATGTGTCCCAGAGATTCTGGTATGTTGTGTCTTTGTTCTCGTTGGTTTCAAAGAACATGTTTATTTCTGCCTTCATTTCGTTATGTACCCAGTAGTCATTGAGGAGCAGGTTGTTCAGTTTCCATGTAGTTGAGGGGTTTTGAGTGAGTTTCTTAATCCTGAGTTCTAGTTTGATTGCACTGTGGTCTGAGAGACAGTTTGTTATAATTTCTGTTCTTTTACATTTGCTGAGGAGAGCTTTACTTCCAACTATGTGGTCAATTTTGGAATAGGTGTTTTGTGGTGCTGAAAAAAATGTATATTCTGTTGATTTGGGGTGGAGAGTTCTGTAGACGTCTATTAGGTCCGCTTGGTGCAGAGCTGAGTTCAATTCCTGGGTATCCTTGTTAACTTTCTGTCTCGTTGATCTGTCTAATGTTGACAGTGGGGTGTTAAACCCTTCCATTATTATTGTGTGGGAGTCTAAGTCTTTTTGTAGGTCACTCAGGACTTGCTTTATGAATCTGGGTGCTCCTGTATTGGGTGCATATATATTTAGGATAGTTAGCTCTTCTTGTTCAATTGATCCCTTTACCATTATGTAATGGCCTTCTTTGTCTCTTTTGATCTTTGTTGGTTTAAAGTCTGTTTTATCAGAGACTAGGATTGCAACCCCTGCCTTTTTTTGTTTTCCATTTGCTTGGTAGATCTTCCTCCATCCTTTTATTTTGAGCCTATGTGTGTCTCTGCACGTGAGATGGGTTTCCCAAATACAGCACACTGATGGGTCTTGACTCTTTATCCAATTTGCCAGTCTGTGTCTTTTAATTGGAGCATTTAGCCCGTTTACATTTAAAGTTAATATTGTTATGTGTAGATTTGATCGTGTCATTATGATGTTAGCTGGTTATTTTGCTCGTTAGTTGATGCAGTTTCTTCCTAGTCTTGATGGTCTTTACATTTTGGCATGATTTTGCAGTGGCTGGTACCGGTTGTTCCTTTCCATGTTTAATGCTTCCTTCCGGAGCTCTTTTAGGGCAGGCCTAGTGGTGACAAGATCTCTCAGCATTTGCTTGTCTGTAAAGTATTTTATTTCTCCTTCACTTTCGAAGCTTAGTTTGGCTGGATAGGAAATTCTGGGTTGAAAATTCTTTTCTTTAAGAATGTTGAATATTGGCCCCCACTCTCTTCTGGCTTGTAGAGTTTCTGCTGAGAGATCAGCTGTTAGTCTGATGGGCTTCCCTTTGAGGGTAACCCGACCTTTCTCTCTGGCTGCCCTTAACATTTTTTCCTTCATTTCAACTTTGGTGAATCTGACAATTATGTGTCTTGGAGTTGCTCTTCTCGAGGAGTATCTTTGTGGCGTTCTCTGTATTTCCTGAATCTGAACGTTGGCCTGCCTTGCTTGATTGGGGAAGTTCTCCTGGATAATATCCTGCAGAGTGTTTTCCAACTTGGTTCCATTCTCCCAGTCACTTCCAGGTACCAATCAGACGTAGATTTGGTCTTTTCACATAGTCCCATATTTCTTGGAGGCTTTGTTTGTTTCTTTTTATTCTTTTTTCTCTAAACTTCCCTTCTCGCTTCATTTCACTCATTTCATCTTCCATCACTGATACCCTTTCTTCCAGTTGATCGCATCGGCTCCTGAGGCTTCTGCATTTTTCACGTAGTTCTCGAGCCTTGGCTTTCAGCTGCATCAGCTCCTTTAAGGACTTCTCTGTATTAGTTATTCTAGTTATACATTCCCCTAAATTTTTTTCAAAGTTTTTAACTTCTTTGCCTTTGATTTGAATTTCCTCCTGTAGCTCGGAGTAGTTTGATCATCTGAGGCCTTCTTCTCTCAACTCGTCAAAGTCATTCCCTGTCCAGCTTTGTTCCATTGCTGGTGAGGAACTGCGTTCCTTTGGAGGAGGAGAGGTGCTCTGCTTTTTAGAGTTTCCAGTTTTTCTGCTCTGTTTTTTCCCCATCTTTGTGGTTTATCTACTTTTGGTCTTTGATGATGGTGATGTACAGATGGGTTTTTGGTGTGGATGTCCTTTCTGTTTGTTAGTTTTCCTTCTAACAGACAAGACCCTCAGCTGCAGGTCTGTTGGAGTTTGCTAGAGGTCTACTCCAGACCTTGTTTGCCTGGGTATCAGCAGTGGTGGCTGCAGAACAGTGGATTTTCGTGAACCACGAATGCTGCTGTCTGATCGTTCCTCTGGAAGTTGTGTCTTAGAGGAGTACCCGCCCGTGTACGATGTCAGTCTGCCCCTACTTGGGGGTGCCTCCCAGTTAGGCTGCTCGGGGGCCAGGGGTCAGGGACCCACTTGAGGGGGCAGTCTGCCCGTTCTCAGATCTCAAACTGCGTGCTGGGAGAACCACTGGTCTCTTCAAAGCTGTCAGACAGGGACATTTAAGTCTGCAGAGGTTACTGCTGTCTTTTTGTTTGTCTGTGCCCTACCCCCAGAGGTGGAGCATACAGAGGCAGGCACGCCTTCTTGAGCTGTGGTTGGCTCCACCCATTTGTAGCTTCCCGGCTGATTTGTTTACCTAAGCAAGCCTGGGCAATGGTGGGCACTCCTCCCCCAGCCTCGCTGCCACCTTGCAGTGTGATGTCTGACTGCTGTGCTAGCAATCAGCAAGACTCTGTTGGCGTAGGACCCTCCGAGCCAGATGCGGGATATAATCTCATGGTGCGCCGTTTTTTAAGCCCATCGGAAGAGCACAGTATTGGGATGGGAGTGACGCGATTTTCCAGGTGCCGTATGTCACCCGTTTCTTTGACTAGGAAAGGGAACTCCCTGACCCCTTGCACTTCCCGAGTGAGGCAATGCCTCGCCCTGCTTTGGCTCGCACACGGTGTGCTGCACCCACTGTCCTGTACCCACTGTCTGGCACTCCCTAGTGAGATGAACCCGGTACCTCAGATGGAAATGCAGAAATCACCCGTCGTCTGCGTCGCTCACGCTGGGAGCTGTAGACCGGAGCTGTTCCTATTCGGCCATCTTGGCTGCCCTCTCAATTTCTGCATTTTTTAAACCGTCCTAAGGCCTAAAGGAAGAAGGAAAACTTCCTAAAACAGGAACCACTCCTTGTCCTCCTCCTTATCTCTCCCTTTCACATGCAGACACACACACACAAGTAAATTTCACTCAATTTATATTACCTGTGTGAAAAAGTAATGCACCATGATCCAGTGGAATTCATTCTAGAAAAGCAACTAGTTTTTCAGTGTTAGGAAATGTATGGCCTATGTCATAATATTAATAGGTTTAAAAGAAGAAAATTATGTGATTATTTCAATGAATGTTAAAAATAAAACATTTTTATATAAAAGTCAATGAAATATAATTAAAAATATTTTTATAATTATAAAATATTTTTATATTTTATAATTATAAAAATATAATTATAGCCATATATAGAAAACAACAACAATAACAGAAATATAGGTTTTCAAAGTAAATCTCTAAAGCAATGTTCCTCAGATTATTTTCTATAGATTACTTGGCCATTTAAAGGCTCAATGAGAATAGGGTTATGTAACATCTGAGAAGTCCAAAATTTAAATAGTTAATTTAGTTGTTCTAGGTTTTCCAAATGTTTTTAACTGTGGAAATATCTCTTCTTGAAAGACATTAGTGTCCAGTCCTATCATGTTTCTCAGAATGTGCTGGCAAATGCTGCTCTAGAAGTTTTTTTATTATTGTCAGGAAAGTAGAAAAAGTATACAATAAATGGTGTTGGAAACAACTAGTTAGCCATTGTGAGAGAAATAAAGTGTATCTCTATTTCACTCCTTACCAAAAAATAAATATTAGATAAACTAAATCTAAACAACATCAGAAATCTACCAGGTGAAAAATTAGGTGACTGTTTTAATAATTTTGTGGTGAGGAGAACATTTGTGAGTCTTACTGCAAAGCCAGAAACTATAAAAAAGAAAATTGAAAGAATTATCCACATTCAAAAAGGACACAGGGATGAAACAAGAACAACAACAGAAATCATTCTTATTTCAAAAACGGAAACTATAGAGGATCATCATCCCTGCTACTATGACCACTTTATCCTTGAGCTCGTTGAGAAGGCATTGTACAGTCCAGTGAAAGAGGCTGTTTGTTATCTTTATAACTTATCATCTTGTCCACAGGATTATTAAGAAATTTCTTTCCATAAAGAGGGGAATTTGGGTGATTATTAGTAAAGGACACAGAAATATTCACATTCTTTGCCAATCATAAAATGCCAGTTTACATACTTCACCAGACTTCTTTGTCCACGAATCTTTCAATCTCAGATAATATGACAAAGTCCCAGACAATATGACCAAACTGTTAACTGCTGCTCAAGAATTAATATAAATCCATTTCTCAGATCATCTCTCCTTACAAGCAGAGTGGATAACAATAATGCTGCTAAAGTTATGTCCACAGGGAGAAGTTTCTTTCTTCACTGTTCTTCACGGCCACCGTTGAGTAGGACTGAAATGTTGAGGCAATATACTTCAAGAAAGTGCCAGCATATTGTGCATAGTTACCTAAAAATGCGGCTTGATTTTTCTTTCTCTTAAGGAGTCGTCCATAAGTTTGGGTAGAAGGAGTGATGGTAGTGTGATAAAGGTAGGCACGCTGGCATTGTAAGCCACCTGCTGCTGCTCAAGCAATTTACATGTGCCTTTAAGGCAATCCCTCAAAACCACTTCTACTTGACAATAGAATACTTTTTGCGCGTATATGATTTGTGAAGAAAACAAAGCTTAAAAGGTTTTTTCATTGTCAGGCTTTGAGTCTCTAGCAGGGCCAACCAGTAAGCCAAAATCTGTTTCCATGAAGGAGAATTGATACGTACTAGATAAGTCATAGTTGTGCTTTAAAATTTTAGGAGCTTCTACTGTGATGTTCTTATAAGGGATTGGACTTTGTACAAAATTTAATACAATCTAATACACTTCAAGAATTGGATGAGCTGTATCATAATGGCCAGTTGGCAAATTTGCTTGCAAGCACCGTAGCCTGTAATATCTGGAGATGCTTGTATTATTTTCATCTCTGTCTGAGGCCTTGTAGGCTACTTGATATATGAATTGGAGCAGCATACCCAAGCATAATTTTTGTAAAGTCCCATTGAGTGTTATACCTCTTTCTTAAAGTTTAGGAGAGTAAGGTGCAGGGACTTGTTCATTTTGGAAGGAAAATCACATTATTTACAACGAAATCACATTACCAAAGCCACTGGATCCCCAGTAACTTTACCTATGCTTTAGACTCCCTAATTTTCATGAGATGTATTCTACATTCTGATAGCCATGTGTCTGGTGTCTGATGAAGATGTCTAAGATAATTCCTACTACTTCCTGCTCACTTGGTCCTGTTATGCTGTCTTTATTAGTATCAACCAGTGTACTGTTCTGTGGGATGATAAAATGATCACTGTCCATGTAGACAAAATTGTGTCACAAATCTGTAGAGTTGATATACCTCTGTGGCAAGATGGTAAATGTTTAGTGCTATGCCTACCAAGTGAAAGCTAACATTTTTTTGTTCTTCAGTTATTGAGATAGGGGAAAAAGTATTTACCAGTGCTATAGCTTTATACTAGGTATTGGAAATTATATTGATTTGCTCCAGAAAACTGACTAGTCTACAACTGTGGCTGCAGTTGGAGTCATCACCTAATTAAGCTTAAAATAATTCATTGTTTTGCTCCAAGATGGCTTTGTCTTGTACACAGGTCAAACTGGTGATTTACATGAAGATAGAAAAGGAGGCACATATTTTAAATATTTGATGGTTCCATCAACCACTTTGATTTCCTTAAGTAGTTTTTTTATTTTAGTAGGAGAGGGAACCCAGGGGCTTTCCAAGGATCCCTCACCCCTTGAGTCAGGGAGCCAAATAAGGATTCTGCTTGTTGTGGAGTATGTCTATTCCAACTACATATCAGTAAATGGAATGGTAACCACAAGATGGTTTGGAGAATCCCGGGAATACAAAAGTCTTATCTACAAACTGAGCCTGTAATTTTCTTTTTTGACCAGAGGACTACAGTAGTGTTCTGAGTTCTCAGATATTAACTTTATTTCATAATTCCTGAAAAGTGTGAGAATTTGCTTTCCTTGGGGCACAGGAACACTGATAATGGCACAAGTCCTAGTGATTTTATAACAAAGACTTTCCTCAAGGATTCCCTGTCTCCCTTTCATTCAAAGTTGATGACTTTATTAACTTGCTTTAGGAACGAGACCTGAATGAGGGGCTTTGACCCATAATTTTGATGGTTCAAGTTAGAATTTTTAAACCAGAGTTAGAATTGTTTTCAGTTTTACCAGTCAAGTAAGACATTAATGGGCATCCCATCTGTTTGTCATAGGTACTGAATAATTAGTTTTCCTCTATCAAAGACCATTAAGAGTCAAATCAATATGATTAAAAATTTGACCTTGTTCATTTCATTAACCTTGCATACATTGCCTCTAGTTTTCAGGTACTGCTTTTTGGCATCTGCCACTTAAGACAGCATTACCCTTGTTGATATTAGGTGCCATTTTAAGTTGCAGCATCTGCTCCCTTCATCTTCAGGCTAAGGAGGACACCTGTCATAGCACTTTTCATAGATGCTGGTGTACCCTTCATCCGTGGATTTCTCAATGTCATGAGGAAGAAAGAGTCTTTTGGATCCTCTCATAGGATAGTTAAAAGGTAGGTTAGTATGTCACACATGATAATTCTATTCCAATGCTCCTACTTCTCTGAAAATTGGCATTTTTCCTCCAAATTATAGATAGGAATTTCTCACATCTTAACTTCATTTAGAGTAGGCCTATATTGAGTTTAGTCAACCAATCAAGCACAAAGAAATATAGCTCTTTAAATTAGCACCTGCAACCCAGAATTTCTGTTAAGTGCATTCGTATCTATAATATAAATTTACCTTGTTTAAAATTTTGTTCTCTTTCTGACCTCTCATCCTCAGAATATATTTTCATACCTATTCACCAGTAATTTGTTGTAATAACCAAGAGTCTTGAAATTATTTTGATATGTAATATTTTCAATTCAAGGTGTAACCTTGAAGTTTGTCCCTTTGAACATTCTGCCATCTAACTCCGGTTACATACAGGTCTCAGTGGCCTTAAGGGCTCTTAACAGGGAGGAAATAGGAAGAACTGACATTCACTTTCTATGTAACTGCCTCAGAAGTTGTTACTTGGTCTTCAGGTAAGTTGATTAGGGTAAGAGTTGGTTCTGTTAGCAAGGGAATTTAGTGGTATCTGGAGGTCAAAGTTTATCTCAGTCCTCCTATATGCTCTCTCAGTGATGTTTTGAGGCCGAGGGTTTTCTGAGCCATCTTAATAGTGATATTTGTTCTTGCATACTCATGATTACTCATGCTAGATGATGGAGCAAGTAAATTACTCAATCTTAGTGGATTAATAAAATACATATTTTTTCTAACATCACATTTATGGATAACTCTTTTCCAATTAGTGACACAAGGACCTGAGCTTATTGTATTGTGGATCTCTGTCATCTCAAATGTTTTTCATCTCTATTCACATGGATATGGGAAAGAGTGACCTGAGGATGCCAGAGAAGATTTTTGGAATCAGCCTTGGAAATTATATATATTAATTCAGTCCACATTACCTTGGCCAGGAATAGTCATGTGGCCCCACCAAGATACAAGGGAGGCTCTGTTCCCAAGAAGATAAAATGAAATTGGTGAATATCTGTGATAGTCTCTTCCACAGTCTGCTTTTCTGGTCACTAAATATCAATTTCGTGTTTCTTCCCAAACCTAGAATACACTCATCTCTCAGCAAGGGGAACAACCCATAGTTGCAACTCAAATCAATAGTGTATCAAATTAGAAGACAAAGATCTCTGAATGATAAGCACTATTCTCTAGTGCTTATCCCTGAACTGAAATACAGGTTACCTGCCTAACCCTCCACACTCTATATCCAGTGGTAGAGCAGGGATGTAATAATTTCAGTAAACTTTCTTATTAGAAAAGGGGAAAAATGGGAGACACACAATAGTCAATGGTGCATAAAAATTATCAAATTCTGCTAACCAGACAATCAAAGGTTCCCATTGTATTATTTAGGGATATTCAGGCTGAGCTTCTCTAAAAAAAAATAGCCCTAAAATTTCAGCAGCTTAACCTAATTTAAAGTTTTATCTGGACTCATAGAATGAGTTAGCAAGAATCTCTTCCTTCTTGATTTTTTTGGAATAGTTTGAGAACTGGTGTTAGTTCTTCTTTATCAATATGTTAAAATTCAACAGAAAAGCCACCCAGTACTGGGCTTCTCTTTATTGGGAGACTTTTTATTATCAGTTCAATCTCATGATTTGTTATGAATCTGTTGAGGTTTTCTACTTCTTCCTAATTCAATCTTGGTAGGTTGTATGTTTTCAGGAATTTATCCATTTTCTATAGGTTTTCCAGTTTGTTAGTATGTAGTTGTTCATAATAGTCAGTGATGATCCTTTGTATTTCTGTGGTATCAGCTATAATGTCTCCTTTTTTATTTCTAATTTTGTTTATTTGGTTCCTCTCTCTCTTTTTTTTCCTTGGCTTGACAACTTCATTCTTTTGTATGTGGATATCTAGTTGTCCCAGCACAATTTGTTTTAAAAAAACTAGTTTTCCCATTGAATTTTCTTGGCAAACTTGTCAGAAATAAATTGATTCTAAATCTAAAGTTTAATTCCTGAACTCTCAATTTTATTTTATTGTTGTACATTTCTATATATCTCTATATGCTAGTTCCACACTGTTTTGATTACTATAGCTCTGTAGTGAAATTTGAAATCAGGAAGTTCGAGTTCTTAATTTTGTTCTTCTTTTTCAAGATTATTTATGTTATTCTGGGTCCCTTGCAATTCCATATGAATTTTGAGATTAGCTTGTCAATTTTTGCAAAAATGCAATCCAGGAATTTGGTAAGGATTTAGTGAATCTAGACATCAGTGTGGAGTGTATTCCCATGAATTCATTACTATGTGGTCATAGAGAATGACTCTTTCTGAACCTGTCTTATCTGTTAAATGGGGATGATAAAAATTCTCTTAAATAATTTTAGTAATATTGTTAAAAAGATGAAATGAAATATGTAATAAGTTATTTTGTAAACTATAAAATGCTATGTAATTTTAAGTTGATTTAGGTTAATTTAATTATAATTATAAAATGAAGTACAAAGATAATTTTTCTTGTCTAATTTTGGAGCTCATGTAGGCCATCTCTCCTTTCCATTTTTCTAGTCTTTCATTAGCCAACAGTATCATGACCAGCATCATTAATTGATGAAATTTATTGAAACCTACTGTGTTCCAGACTTTGTGCTATCCACTGACGATATCCACTGAATCCTTATGGGGTGCACAGCAGTCAATTAATGTATAAATTTATTGAGACAAAATAGAATATTATTTTCATGAAGGTAGGAACTCAGTGAGGAAAGTTTAAGGACAAAATACAAATAAACATTGAATTATAATTTTTCTAAAAAGTATCAAGTAAAAAAGTGTATTATGATTCACACGTGAACACATCTTATTGCATAGACAGATAATCATAATTAGCATACACCAGTCAGTAATGGCTTGGTTTCTGATCTTAGTGGAATGGGGAAAAGTTTCAGTTTGGGTGATAGAATGCCTCCAACAAGTTTTATTCTTGAGAGGACTTCATTCAAGTACATGACTTCTGATTAGATATCTCTGCTTCATAGATTCTAGATCAATTGACATTGTTGATAATAATGTATGGTAGGATTGGGACATATTTGATCTTGGGATGAGGAAAATTTAATCAATACATGTCCCACAAGATCAGTTCTACTTTTACTGAGGTAAAAAAAAAAACCCTGATTATTTACTGATTTTGGAGAAATAAAGCCCCTTTTGTTTGATTGATGCTCTAGAGCCCCAGGAATTGTGACATTCTGATGAACCTCACAAGGCCATTGATGGTTTTGGTAAGAGATTGAAAGCCAATCGAACCAGATGACTTCCTGCAAGCTCACTTTGATATTTTAGTTACTAAAATTTTAGCCAAACACTTTTATTCCCCAAGATGAAAGATGGGAGGCATTGTTAGCATTCCTCTCCCACTTGGAAAGACAAAATTGTGACAGGATAACTGAAAGAAACGACAGACCCTTTGAAAGAAGTGGCAGGCTGCATTCCATACCATGAGCCCAGTGGGAATACTGTAAGACCCCAGAGTGTGAGAGGGGGATAATTTGCCTCCAAAATATACATTTTTACTAGGGAACCTGGCCATCCAGGCCATGGTGGAAGTCCTTAACCCTACCCAGCGCTGGAACTGATTTGGGAAGCACTGGGGAATATAAAAGTAGGAGCAGCAGTGAGAAGAGCCTTCCATGCATTTCCAGTCTCCAGCATTGACAGAGGGAAACAATTCCTGATCCTACCTCACAGAGGACTTCACAGAAGTCTGCCGGCGAACTCAGACTGTGGTCACGTGTTGAGAGAAGATCCCAAGTGAAATTCACAATATAATCTTAAGTGGGGATGAACTCCCCTTGCCAGGACTGTGGGGAGAATGGGAAGTATGTTGTAGCCATAAGTGCAGAAGCTGGTGTCCTTCGCTTTGCAGGCTGACTGGGAGGGGCATGGTTTGAAGGCTGTGGTTGCTGTTTCTGTAGGGAAGGTTGATGTCCTGGGACAGTTTTGAGTTCTGAGTTCAGACTGCCTGAAACTTAGTGAGTTGTTGCTCCTGGAACACTGCAGGTGTGTGATATTCCTTGCCAAGTGCATAGGAGCTGGGCAGGGTTTACAGATGCCTGCTACTCCCCACTTTCTGTGTGAACTCTTCTGTGCAACAGAGGCAGCTGTGCTCCTCCCTGGATCATTACTCCAACAGCCAGAGAACTAAACCTACCCCCACCCCGTGAAACCCCACTGAGGCCTCTGCTTGCCCTGCATATGGAAATCCAGAGTGTGGACCTGCCTGACCCAGCCCCCCGAATGGCTTTTCCTGTCCAACATTCCTGGTAACTAAACACAAAGGACAGAAACTTTTGGGGTCCTTATGGCCACACCCATTGCCTGAGAATCAGAGTAACTCCCCTGAGTAATATAAGGCAAGCACAAATCCCACTGCTGCTACCACTGTAGCTGGTGCTGTTTTTCAAGTGCCACCTCCTGGCTGTAAGCCTACCGATAATGTCTGTTACAGTATCTCCAGGTAGAATAACACAAAACCCAGGAAGGAGAAAATTTGTGTGTGATCTCAGCTATCACCATTACCTGCAGCACCGTGGCTAATAAGAGGTCTTGAGTCTGTCCACGTGACTAGTCCATTCCTACTACAACTGGCATTTGAGAAAGCCAACACAGTAAGGCTATTTATAACCAAGGAATCTCACAGAGTCTATGTAACTCTCCTGTCACCCCTATCAGAGCTGGTGCTGGTACCTGCTACTGGGAGACTTGAGGACAGGTCACATCTCTGGGTTCCTTGTAGACATTCCTCATTCCTCAGCACCAGCCTGGAGTGTGGCAGCCCCACCAAGCGGCTAGACCCAGAGGAGCAGCAGCATTCACAGTAGTCTTACTTTCAGAGATTCTGACTCCCAGGGGAAGGGGTAGTATAGGACACCAAGGGAACACCCCCTGGGACAAAAGAATCTGGACAACAGGCCTGAGTCTCAGAACTTTTTAAAAAATTTCCATTAACTGTATTTTATTTTGAAGAACAATTGGTTCCTAGGAAACTAACAGGGGAAAGATAATATTACGTAGGGGAAAAGGAAATAGTGTCAATTTAGGACATAGAGAACCTTGGGTTTGAATGCCAGCCACCAGTCACTGGGGGAGCAGTTGTGGTGGGGGAGCAGTTGTGGTTGGGAAGCTTAGCCAGGATGCAATCTTTGTGAGCCTCAGTTTCTCTTCATGTAAAAAGACAATAGATACAAAGAATCTGCAGAATACTTATAAGTAAGACAGATTATTTAGGTAAAGCACATAGCATGCAGTCTAATACAAAGTAGGTATTCAACAAAGAGTAGCTACTAATATTTTAAGACGACACTTAAGAACATTATATTTTTAATAACACACCTAAAACTTACATGACATACTTTTGAGAAAAGATGAATAATAGTGAAAGCAGCTTACCAAATATGAACCCACAGCAACCTATATTATTTTCCTACTTCCCCCAACCCTCAGAACTTACTGTTGGTGGGAAATTTCTTTCAGCAGAGGCACAGGTGTATTGCCAGGCTCAGCAGGAATAATCTGCAGCTCCATAATAACAGACAGGCAGCCCTTGTGCTCATGAAGGGTCTTGTAGAAGGGGTTGTCTTTTTCTCCCTCATCCACCACTGCAGACACAGTGGGGACTTCTCCCATGGAGGTCAGCATCGGTGCACCTACACACAGCCTTTCCAAAGCACTTCAGGGTGACTGCATCCCCACAGAAATAGTGCCCTTCAGGTTCAGGCTTGCATGAAGAGTAGAGTCACAGTTCCTCTCTACTTGGAACATCAACATTCTTCCAGATAAAAAGAAGTGCCTCTCTGATCTGAATAGCCAGAAAACTGGGTCAGGAGTGTGACTGGGAAGTGGATTGCCTTCCTGCTGGCCTGTCAGGGGAGCTGAGGTGGCTCCCATCCTTCCCCCTGATTATACCTCAGTGATTTCACTGAGAGCTCTCCCAGCCACCTCTATCAAGTCTGGGACCTCTACTCACCATTGGGTATTGCATTTACACACCTGCTTTAGCCACAACCAATTTCTGCCTAGGGACACCTCACCTACTGGACTGAAGCTTAACCTATTGAGCCCAGTAAATAAAATACTGGGGCAAATAAATTAATTAATTGATCAATTAATTAATGCACACCATGAAGGAACAAGATAATCTTCAAGAGACCATTCCTATTAAAACACCATAGGAGACAGTGAACTTGCTTACACACTGAGCACAGTGCTACTACAACCAGCATCTGAGAAAGCCATGATAAAAAGATTCTCTATAAGCAAGGAACTCATACAGATTTACCTCTGAAAGCATCAAGAGCTGAATTAGATTACAATAAACTATAAACATTAACGTCATATTCTTAAGTGGGAAAAAGAGATTAAAAAAACAGTTAATTCAAAAATAAATTCAAGAATAATTAGAAGAAATAGTCTACCCAAATGAGAAAAATCAGAAAAATAATTCTGGCAATATGACAAAAGATAGTTCTGTAACACCTCCATCAATAGATCCATACCAAGATAAAATATTTGAAATGCTACATAAAGAATTAAAAAGGTTGATTATTAAGCTACTAAAAGAGGTACAAGAAAAATGTGGAAATCAACAAAAAGAAAAAAGAATTCAGGATATGAATGAAAAATTTTCTAGAAATAAATATTCCAATGAAAAACCAATCAGAACTTCTGGAAATGAAAGACACATTTAGGGAATTACAAAATGCAGTAGAAACTTTTAACAATAGACTAGACCAAGTAGAAAAAAATAATTTCAGAGCTCAAAGACAAGACATTAGAATTAACCCAATAAGACTAAAATAAAGAAAAAGATGAAATGAACAAAGTCTCCAAGTAATATGGGATTATGTACAATGGCCAAACCTAAGACACACAGGTGTACCTGAAGGAGAAGAGAAAGGAAAATCTTTGGAAAACATATGTGAGGGAATAATTGAAGAAAACATCATTGTTTGCTAGAGATTTAGATATCCAAATAAAAGAATCTCAAATAACTCCTGGGAGATTCATTGCAATAAGGACATCACCAAGACATATAGTCATCAGCCTTATCTGAAGGTAACATGAAAAAAAGAATTCTAAGAGAGACAAAAGCATCAGGTAACCTATAAAGGAAAACTTATCAGACTAACAGCAGACTTCTAAGCACAAACTCTACAAGCCAGAAGGGATAGGGATCCTATCTTTAGCCTCCTTGAACAGAATAACTATCAGCCAAGAATTTTGTATCCAGCAAAACTAAGTTTCATAAAGAGAAATAAAGTCATTTTTAGACAAACAAATGCTAAGGTGATTTGTCACTACTAGACCAGTCCTACGAGAAATGCTAAAAGGAGTTCTAAATCTTTAAGCAAAAGGTCAGTATGCGCCACAGTAAAACCTCTTGAAAGCATAAAAACACAGGGCCTATAAAACAATAAGTCAACATAAAAACAAAATAGGTAACAGTCAACATGATGACTGAAACTGTACCTCACACCTCAATAGTAACACTGAACCTCTGAAAGCACCAAGAACCAAATTAAATGGCCTAAATGCTCAACATAAGAAATACAGATTGATAGAATGAATTAAAAAATTGCAAACCAAATACCTGCTGTCTTCCAAGAAATTCACCTAACATGTAATGATTTATTGAAACTCAAGGCAAAGGGGTATAAAATAATATCCCATGCAAATGGAAACCAAAAGCAAGCAAGAGGAGCTATTCTTGTATTAGATAAAACATACTTTAAAGCAACAATAGTAAAAAAAGACAAGGAAGGTCATTATATAGTGATAAAAAATTAATCCAACAGGAAGATATTACAATCTTAAATATATATGCACCTAACTCTGGAGCTCCCAGATTCCTGAATTACTATTAGACCCAAGAAATGAGATAGACAGCAACACAATAATAGTGGGGGACAGCAACACAATAATAGTGAGGGACTTCAACATTCCTCTAACAGCAGTAGACAGATCATTGATATAGAAAGTATACAAAAAATGGAATAAAACTGCACTCTAGAACAAATGGACCTAACATATATTAACAGAATATTCAACCCAAGAACTACAGAATATACATTCTTCTCATTAGCACATGAAACATTCTTCAAGATAGACCATGTGATAGGCTACAAAACAAGACTCTACATTTTTAAAACTTTAAATCATATCAAGTATCTTCCAAGACCACAGTAGACTAAAACTAGAAATCAAATCCCAAAGGGCACCTCAAAACTATATAAATACATGTATATTAACCAACGTAGTCCTGAATGGCTTTTGGTTTAATACTGAAATCAAGATGGAAAGTTAAAAAATATTTGAAGTGAATGCTAATAGTGACAAAAGTTATCAAAACCTTTGGGATACAGCAAAAGCAGGGCTAATAGGAAAGTTTATAGTACTAAATTCCTACATTGAGAAACTTGAAAGGTTACAAATTGACAACCTAATATCATATCTCAAGGAACTAGAGAAATAAGAACAAGCCCAAAGCTAGCAGAAGAAAAGAAACTAAAAGTATCAGAGCAGACCTAAATGAATTTGAAATGAAAAACAATACGAAAGATCAATGAAACAAAAAGTTGATTCTTAGGAAAGATAAACAAATAGACCATTACCTAGATTAACCAAGAAAGAGAGAGGATTCAAATACATTACAACCAACACCACAAAAATACAAAAGGTCAGCAGAGACAACTGTGAACCCCTCTATGCACACGAACTAGAAAATCTAGCAGAAATGGATAAATTCCTGGGAACATAAAACCCTCCTAGATTAAATTAAGAAGAAATAGAAACCCTGAACAGATCACTAACAATCAGTGAAATTGAATTAATAATAAAAAATGTTGTCAACAAAAAAGCCGAGAGCCAGATGGATTCACCATGGAATTCTACCAGACATTCAAAGAATAGTTGGTACCAACCCTACTGAAGTTATTCCAAAAGATTGAGAAAGAGGGAATATCCCCCAACTCATTCTATGCAGCCAGTATCACCTCCATACCCAAAGCAGGAAAGGGCATAACAACAATAAAAATAGTACAGAACAGTATCCTTCTTGATCAACATACATGCAAAAATCCTCAACAAAATACAAGCAAACCGAATCAAACAGCACATTAAAAAGGTAATTCACCATTATCAAATAAATTTCTATCCAGGGATGTAGGGATGTTTTAACATACACAAGTCGATAAATGTACTACATCACATAAACAGAATTTTAAAGAAACTATATGATCATCTCAACAGACACAGAAAAATTATTTGAAAAAATCCAGCTTCCCTTTATAAAAACCATTAATAAACTGGGCATAGAAGGGACATACCTCAAAATGACACCTCAAAAGTTATGAAAGACATATGTGGCAAACCCACAGCCATCATCATAGTGAATGGGGAAAACATTGAAAGCACTCCTCCTGAAAACTGGAACAAGACAAGGATGCTCATCTTCACCTCTTTTGTTCAGCATAGTACTGGAAGTTGTAGCCACAACAAACAGTCAAGAAAAAGAAATAAAGGTCATCCAAACTGGAAAAGAGAAACTCAAACTATCACTGTTTGCCAATGATTGTATACATAGAAAACCCCAAAGACTCATCCAAAAGACTACCAGATTTGATAAATTCCACAAAGTGTCAGTTTACAAAGACAGTGTACAGAAATCAGTAACACTGCTATATACCAACAACAAAGAAGCTGAAAATCATATCAAGAATGCAATTCCTTTTAAAATGTTGCAAAAAAATACAATACCTAGGAATATACTTAACCAAGAAGGTGAAAGATCTGTGCAGGTAGAACTACAAAACATTGTTGAAAGAAATCATAGATGGAAGGTGGTGAAATAGAAGTCTCCAACATTTTCCCCCGCACAAGAACACCAAGTTAACAACCGTCTACAAAGAACAAACGCCTTCAAAAGAACCAAAAATCAGGTGAACATTCGTAGTACCTGGGTCTAAATTTATATTGCTAAAAGAAGAACTGAAGATAGAAAAAAAAATAACAGTCTAGAATTGTTGACAGAAACCCTCCTTCAACCCCAGCAGCAGCAGGGTGCCAAGAGCATCTCTGGGCACTGGGAAAGAGAGAACAAAGCAATTGTGAAGACAATGAATTCGGTGCTGTCACATTAGAGCAGAATGGAAAACCAGACCAAACAGCTGACGCCTGCCCACAGAGGGAGCACTTAAAGCAGCCCAGGCCAGATTAGCCACAGGTGAGCTAGTGTCACTCCACCCCCAGTTTTAGGTTGCTTATAACATAGAGAGAGACTCTGTGTATTTAGAAGAAAATAAGAGAAAAGAGAAAGAATTTCTGCCTAATAATCTAGACAATTCTTCTGCATCTGTCCCATAGCATAAAGGTGGAACTCTACAAGTCTGCAAGAACCACAGCATTACTGAACTTGGGATGACTCCTAAGGCAGATAAAGCTTAGATTGCAATACCCAAGTCCTTTCAAATATCTAAGAAGACATCTCAAGAAGGACAGCTACAAATAAGCCCAGTCAGTGAACACTATAATTCTTTGCCCTTAAATGCCCAGGCACCAAAGAACATTTCCTAGCATCAACACCATTCAGGAAAACATAATCTCACCAAATGAACTAAATAAAGCACCAGGGAACAATCCAGGAGAAACAGAGTTAAGTGAGCTTTCAGACAGAGAATTCACAATGGCTATGCTGAGGAAATGCAGAGAAAATTCAAGATAACACAGAGGAGGAATTCAGAATTCTATCAGATAAATTTAGCAAAGAGATTGAAATAATTAGAAAGAATCAAGCAGAAATTCTGGAGCTTAAGTATTCAATTGGCATACTGAAGAATGCATCAAGGTCCTTTAATAACAGAATGGATCAAGCGGAAACAAGAATTAGTGGGCTGAGAGACAGGCTAATTGAAAATACATAGTCAGAGGACACAAAAGAAAAAATAAAACAATAAACCACACCAGCAGCATCTAGAAAATAACCTCAAAAGGGCAAATCTGAGAGTTATTGGCCTTACAGAGGAGGTAGAGAAAGAGATAAGGTTAGATGTTTATTCAAAGGGATAATAACAGAGAATTTATCAAACATAGAGAAAGATATCCATATCTAAGTACAAGAAGTTTATCGAACACCAAGAAGAATTTACCCAAAGAAGACTACCTCGAGATATCTAATAATCAAACTCCCAGTGGTCAAAAATAAAGGATCCTAAAGGCAGCAAGAGGAAAAGAAATAAATAAGATACAGTGAAGCTCCAATACATCTGGCAACAGACTTTCCAGTAGAAATCTTACCAGCCAGGAGAGAGTGGAATGATATATTTAAAGTGCTGAAGGAAAAAATTAAAAGTTGACCCTACAATAGCATATCTGGTGAAAATATCCTTCAGTCGTGAAGGAGAAATAAAGACCTTCCCAGACAAACAAAAGTTAAGGGATTTCGTCAATACCAGACCTGTCCCACCAGAAATGCTAAAAGAAGTACTTCAATCAGAAAGAAAAGAACAATAATGAGCATAATCACCAGAAGTTATGAAACTTACTGGTAATAGTAAGTACACAGAAAAACACAGAATATTATAACACTGTAATTGTGATGTGTAAACTACTCTTATCCTAGTAGAAAGATGAAACAGTGAACCAATAAAAAATAATAACTGCAACTTTTCAAGACATAGTCAATACAAAAAGATATAAATAGGTACAACAAAAAGCTAAAAAGCGGGGGTACAAAGTTAAGGCATACAGCCTTTTTTTTTTAGTTTTCTTTTTGCGTGTTTATTTATGCAAAGTGTTAAGTTGTTATCGGTTTAAAATAACGGGATAGTATTTGCAAGCCTCATGGTAACCTCAAACTAAAAAACACACAATGGATCCACAAAAAATAAAAAGCAAGAAACTAAATCATATCACCAGGGAAAATTACCTTCATTACAGAAAAAAAAGGAAAGAAAGAAAAAAATGGAGAAGACCACAAAACAACCAGAAAACAAATGACACACGGAAGGAGTAAGTCCTTACTTATTAGTAATAACGTTGAATGTAAATGGACTAAATCAAAAGACAGACTGGCTGAACAAATAAAAAAGAAAAAGACTCATTTATCTGCTGCCTACAAGAAACACAGTTCACCTATAAGACACACATAGACTGAAATAAAGGGATGAAAAATGATATTTCATGTCAATGGAAACAGAAAAGGAGCAGGAGTTGCTATACTTATATTAGACAAAATAGATTTCCATACAAAAATCTAAGAAGAGACAAAGTCAGTATATAATGATAAAGGGGTCAATTTAACAAGAAGATACAATTATTGTAAATATATATGCACCCAACATTGGAGAACCCAGATATATAAAACTTAGGGCTCAAGGGAGAGATAGGCCCTAATACAATAATAGTAGGAGACTTCAACATGCCACTTTCAGTATTAAACAGCTCTTTCAGACATAAAATTAACAAGGAAACATCAGCCTTAATCTGCACTATAGAACAATGGATCTAATCGATATTTAGAGACATTTCATCCAAGAGCTATTTAGAGACATTTCATCCAAGAGCTGCCAAATACATACTTTTCTTCAGCACATGGATCATTCTCAAGGATAGACTGTATTTTAAGTAATAAAACCACTCTGAAAACATTCCAAAAATTAAAATAGCATCAAGCATCTTCTTTTACCACAATGGAATAAAACTAGTAATTAATAACAAGAAAAAATTTGGAAGCTATGCAAATACATAGAAATTAAGCAATATGTTCCTGAATGACCAGTGGGTCAATGAAAAAATTAAGAAGGAAAATAAAAAAAATTTTTGAAACAATGATAATAGAAACACAACATGCCGAAACCTATATAATATATCAAAACCAGTACTAAGAGAGATGTTTATAGCTATAAGTGCCTACATCAAAAAAAGAAAAAGATTCAAATAAACAATCTAACAATGCATCTTAAAGAAGTAGAAAAGCAAGAGCAAACCAAACCCCAAACTGGAGGAAATAAATATTAAAGATCAGAGCAGAAATCAAAGAAATTGAAATAAATTAATAAAACAAAAAATTGTTTTTTAAAGTTAAACAAAACAAACTTCTAACCAGACTAAGAAAAAAAGAGGAAAGATCCAAATAAATAAAATCAGAAATGAAAAAGGAAGCATGACAATTGATACTGCAGAAATTCAAAGGATCATTAGTGGCTACTATGGGCAACTATATGCCAATAAATTGGAAAATGTAGAAGAAATAGACAAATTTTTAGATAAATACAACCTACCGAAATTGAACCAGGAAGAAATCCAAACCCTGAACAGACCGATAACAAGTAATGAGATTGAAGGTAATGAAAAGTTTCTTAGTAAAGAAAATCCCAGGACCCCATGGCTTCACAGCTAAATTCTACCAAACACTTAAAGAAGACCTAATAATAATCCTACTGAAACTATTCTGAAAAATAGAGGAGAGTGAATACTTCTAAACTCATTCTACAAGGCCAGTATTTCCCTGATCCCAAAACCAGACAAAGACACGTCCATAAAAAGAAAACTACAGGCCATTATCTCTGATGAATATTGATGCAAAAACCCTCAACAAAATACTAGCAAACTAAATTCAACAATACATTAGAACTATTATTCATCATGACTAAGTGGGATTTATTCCTGGGATGCAAGAATGGTTCAACATACACAAATTAATCAACATGATACATAGTATCAACAGAGTGAATACTAAAAACCATATGATCATTTTCATTGATGCTGAAAAAGCATTTGATCAAATTCAACATTTATTTTAAAAACCCTAAAAAAACTGGATATAGAAGTAATGTACCTCCACACAGTAAAAGCCATATATGACAGACCCACAGGTAGTATCATACTGAAT
Organism: Homo sapiens; assembly: GCF_000001405.40. Classification (NCBI taxonomy): domain Eukaryota; kingdom Metazoa; phylum Chordata; class Mammalia; order Primates; family Hominidae; genus Homo; species Homo sapiens. Next base: position 121,554,997 of record NC_000023.11, read on the forward strand.
GGAAAAACACTGAAAGTCTTTGTTCTAACATCTGGAAAACAAAAAAGATTCTCACCGTCACCACTGTTATTCAACATAGTACTTAAAGTCCTAGCTAGATCATCAGAGAAGGGAAAGAAACAAAGGGCATCCAAATTGGAAAGCAAGGAGTCAAATTATCCTTGTTTGCTGATGATATAATCTCATATTTAGAAAAACCTAAAGAGTCCACAAGAAAACTATTAGAACTGATAAACAAATTCAGTAAAGTTGCAGGATACAAAAATCGACATACAAAAATATGTGGCATTTCTATATATCAACAGTGAACCATGTGAAAAAATTTTTTAAAATTTCATTTACAGTAGTCAGATATAAAACTAAATACCTAGGAATTAAAGAAGTGAAAGATGTCTATACTGAAAACTATAAAACACTGATGAAAAAAATTGAAGAGTACATGAAAAAATGGAAAAATATTCCATGTGCATGGATTGAAAAAAAAATTAATATTGTTAAAATGTTCCTGCTACCCAACACAGTCTACAGATTCAATGCAATCCCAATCAAAATACCAATGATATTTTTCACAGAAATAGAAAGAAAAAGTCATATAATTTATATGGAACCACAAAAGACCCAGAATAGCCAAAACTATTCTAAAGAAAAAGAGCAAGCAGGAGGAATCACACTACCTGACTTCAGTTTGTGCTACGGAGCTAGTAACCAAAACAGCATGTTACTGACATCAGAACCAACACGTAGACCAATGGAACAAAATAAAGAACCCAGAAACAAATCCATACACCTACTGTAAACTCATTTTCAACAAAGGCACCAAGAACATACGCTGGAGGAAAAGACAGTCTCTTAAATAAATAGTGCCAGGAAAACTGGATAGTTGTATGCAGAATAATGAAATTAGACCCCTGTCTCTCATCATATACAAAAAATCAAATCAAAATGGTTTGAAGACTTAAATCTCAGAGTTCAAACTATAAAGCTACTACAAGAAAACATTGGAGAAAATCTCCAGGAGATTGGTCTTGGCAAAAATTTCTTTAACAATAGCCCACAAGCACAGGCAACCAAAGCAAAAATGAACAAAAGGGGTCACATCAAGTTAAAAAGCTTTTACACAGAAAAGAAAACAACAAAGTGAAGAGACAACCCACAGAATGGGAGAAAATATTTTCAAACCACTCATTTGAGAAGGATTAATAACCAGAATATACAAGAAACTCAAACAACTCTATAGGAAAAAAAACTGATCAAAACATAAGTGAAAGATTTGAATAGACATTTCTCAAAAGAAGACATACAAATGACAAATGGGCATATAAAAAGGTGCTCAATGTCATTGATCATCAGAGAAATACGAATCAAAACTACAATGAGATATCACCTCACCTTGGTTAAAATGGCTTTTATGCAAAGACAGGCAATAACAAGTGCTGGAGAGGATGCAGAGCAAAGGGAACCTTTGTACACTGTTGATGGAAATGTCAATTAGTATAATCACTGTGGAGAACAGTTAGGAGGTTCCTCAAAAAACTGAAAATGGAACTACCATATGATCCAGCAATCCCACTACCTTGTGTATACCCAAAAGAAAGGAAATCAATATATGGAAGAGATCTCTGCATTTCCATGTTTATTGCAGCACTGTTCACAATAGCTAAGATTTGGAAGCAACCTATAAATGTCCATCAATGAATGGATAAAATGTGGTACATAGACACAAGGGAGTACTTCAGCCTTAAAAAAAGAATGAGATCCTGTCATTTGCAACAACATGGATGGAACTGGCGGTCATTATGTTAAGTGAAATAAGCCAGGCATAGAAAGACAAACATCACATGTTCTGACTTATTTGTGGGATCTAAACATCAAAACAATTGAACTCATGGTCATAGAGAGTAGAAGGGTGTTTACCAGAAGCTGGGATGGGTAGTGGGATGAGGGGAAGTGAGGATGGTTAATGGGTACAAAAAACATTTAGAAAGAATCAATAAAACCTACTACTTGATAGCACAACAGGGTGACTATAGTCAAAAATAACTGTACATTTTAAAATAAAGAGTGTAATTGGGTTATTTACAACTGAATGAATAATACTTAAGGAGGAAAATAGTAACTATGTGAGGTGATAGATATTTTAATTAGCTTATTGTGGTTATTTCATAATTTATAGCTGTATCAAAACCACAATGTATACCTTACATATTTATAACTTTTATTTGTCAATTATACCTCAATAATGCTTCAATAAATGAAGTTAAAAGTGCCTGTCATTAGTACTCTTAAGCAAAGTTTGTAATTGTAATGAGCGGTTGAATTCTTTAAATCTATATTACTATGAATTAATATTAAATTACAGAAAATCTGAATACTGAATAAATATTCGTATGTTTTGGGAAACATATATGGGAAACCCGTTTATGACTTGCTGAAGCCTCCTTAGACTGATTTAATAGTAGCTAACACTTATGAGCACTTATTATGTGCCAAGCACTGTACTAAGTACTTTTCATACATCATTTTATTCAGTCTTCACAGCTACTGTATGAAATACACACTATTATTATCACCATTTAATAGGTCTAAGCTGAGGCTTAGGTATTTCAAGTAATTTTCCCAAGGTTACATAGATAGTAAGAAGCAAACCTGAAAGCTAATCCCTAGCTTTTCTGACTTCAAAGGCGGCCCTTTTAACCTCTTCATTCTATTGTCACATTTCTTATTAGCCAGGCACTGTATTAATTATTGCACCTCATCTCATTTAATGATCATAAAAATCTTATGAAGTAAGTGCTATTAGTAGCCAGATTTTACAGCTGAGAAAACCGAAGCTCAGATAATTTAATTTGCTGTAACACTTGCAGAAAATTAACTAAGAATCAGGATTCTCAAGTTTATCTGACTCCAAAGCTCATGTTCCTTCCACTCAGCAACTCACTCACTTTTAAGATTTAGCCTATCAATATTAATAAAGTGAGCATTTACTTTTATGGAACAATTTGAAAAGACTTGAAAAATCATCTCTTTTTCTAGTTTGTCGTGAGATCATAAATATCCCAAATTAGTAATATTGCTTAAGGACCACCTCCAGGAAAATCATATTTTTAACTTTTATCTGGTGATACTAATATTTATTAGGAATGTATGTTAATTACAATTCTCAATAATATAGTCTCTGATGGAGTGTGTGGTAGACACTGTGCTGTACCACTCAGATCCTCCTCAGGAATGAAGGATTATTCCCTTAGCTGCTAAGAATGAATAAGAAAAATGCCTCACTTAAGGAGCAGCTCATATCAAGAACTGATTGACAAAAGTTATACAGGCTTCTTTTCACACTCTGGGCCAATTCTGAAAGGCCATCTCAGTGGGATCATGGAAATCTTTGTTGGAATTGTATGGCAGCTGGAGTTTTCCTTTTGTCTAGCCTTGTTTTCTTCTACTAATTTCCACAGGTATTGATCTGGAGAGCACTCTCTTATACACTTTCTGTATGGTAATCTTTATCTCTGAGTTCACTTGCCAGAGAACCTGATTTGCAAAGGAAAGCATAGATGGAGCATTTGAAGTTAAGAGAAGACACGAGAGATGAGAAGAAAGACAGTAGGAAAGGTCATAAACTGGATACCCAGGACACAAGTAGTTAATGAGGTATCAAAAAATTGGTGGGGTGTGGGAAGACAATTTCATAGATTACAACTTTTTGTAATCTAACTCTGCCCGACCAAAGCAGTATTTAAGGATATACTTACAAAATGCCAATTGCATCAAACATTCAGTATACAGTTTATATAGTTATATATATATATATATATACACACACACACACACACACGCATGTATATATACACACATATATATTCACACACAGACATGTAGGTAGATAGATACACAAATAGTAAGCATATATATGTATATATATCTGCATGGATATAGTTAGCATATTTTATTCACGTGTCATGTGGCAGAACAGCCAGATTATTGACATTTTATTTTTTTCACCAGGTGTTTTATTTTGGCTTCATGTTGCAAGCCTCAAAAAAAGGAAGCTCTTTTGACTGTGCAGTGGGGAAAATAATTAAGTTTCATTCTGCTGAGAGGCCGTGTCAGCAACACTCAGTAAAAAATGCAGGGTAAGGTGTAGAATATGAAAATTGCAATGTGCTAACAAATGGAAAACTTTCCACTGTCAACAAATTAGAGTGCTCCAGTACTCTTCCAAACACTTCTTGATTATTTTTGCTTTTCATTGTGAATTCTGAGACCAGCCTGGAGTGAGGAGAAAGAGGAAGCCAAAGTAGAAACAAAGAACAACATTTCCTGTCCTTTTGGAAAACTTTCATAGGGCCACGTGGAACGTCCTGTCACGAAATATGCTTTCTGTCCTATTTTGTCTTAGCCTAGTGGGCAAGCTGAGATCTTCCAGAAGTGGATTTTGCAAAGACATCCAGGCTAGCTGGTAGTATGTCCCCATCACTATCTATAATGTAATTAAAGTTGTTATGTTTGTGGCTTGTCATCTATCCAGTAGGATTAGTATTCATCTTGAAAAGCAGAAGCTACTGAAAAGAATTAAGGGTTCCAAAAGCAACTTTGATGTGGAGTGTTCACATAAGGAACTCTAATCAGAATGTTAAAAAAAAAAAAAAAAGAAGACAAAGTACTTGCCCTTAAAGAGCTTGCAGTCTGTTTGGCAGCATCAAGCCTACATGCATGAGAAAAGTTGAAAATAGCAGATAATAATTTAATTCAGTACTTCTCAAAGTTGTTGTTTAAAGGAAAAGTCAGCTCACCAGAGTCTGTGGGAGCTTTTCTGAAAAACAAAACAAAATAAAACTTTACCAGTGAGATATTTCTTTAATGTTTCCTGTCTACTCAAAAATCCAGCCTATTTCTCAACATGTTCAAGTGTGTTTTACAATAAAAACTATTTCACCTGTTCACCAATCTTAAAGTAAAATTGACACCCCACGAAGATACAATGCATTTTTACTGTGGTTTTATGCTTTCCAACACTACAATGATGGGGATATGCATATCTCATTTTGAAAAGCATAATGTTAACTTGTATTTTCTCAGATTACCTCTTCGTGTTAGAGCACAGGTCTTCTTCATCTCAAAAGACTTTGGTATAGGTAGTATTAAGAAATGTGGTAAGCTGTTGAGAAAAATATTTTTGTGGAAGGGAGTCTCTAGTGTTTTTTTCTCTCATGTCTTTTTGGTAGCACTGTAAAAGTGTTATAAAGGCCAGGGAGGACTTCTACTCGGAAATGTGATAATAATTGGTTAGGAATAACTAGAAAGTAACCACAAGATAGTCTGCTTCATTTAGTCTTGAAGCAGACTATCAAGAGTGAATTATTTTATGCTTTTTTTGGTGATATTAGTATTCTATTGGTATTAACTGCAACAGATTATCACACATTTAGTAGTTTAACACAACACAAACTTATTATCTTACAGTTCTGTACATCAGGAGTCTGAAATGCATCTCACTGGGCTAAAATCAAGATCTGTGGCACATGGAACCACATGTGGGACAAGAGGTAGAGTAAGTTTGTGTTCCTTTCTGGGGGCTCTAGAGGGCATCTGTTTTCTTGTCTTTTCAAGCTTCTAAAGGCCTGGCCACATTTCTTAGCTCATGGCCCCATTCCTTTTTCAAAGCCAGCAATAGGTGTTCAAGCCTTTCTCACATTGCATTACCCTGAAACTGACACTTCTGTCTTGCTCTTTCGCATTTAACAGCCCTTGCAGTTACATTGGGCCCACCCAGATACTCCAGCATAATCTCCTTATCTTAAAGTGAAAAACTTATTAGTAACCTAAATTCCTTCTGATACCTTAGTTTTCCTTTGCCATATAATTTATCATATTCACAGGTTCTGGGGATTCAAGCATTGACATCTTTGGGAGACAATTATTCTGCCTACCATGTGCATTTAAATTGGCTTTCTCTCTCTGAGACTGGAGAAGAACCTTTTTCACCCTTGTATGTGCCTATTTCAAAATGGCAAGAAAATCTGTACTCCAATGGGAGAGGATTTTTATGAATGTATTCGTAAGTATGCTTGTGTCCAGGTTGAGCATTGATGAATAGAAAAATTAAAGGGCTTGCTTTTTGTAAGCTTTTGGCAAGTCTCTTTAGGAGAGACACATATTTTTGAAGATTTAGTAGATTTTTGTTTTGCTGTTTTGTTTTGGCTTGATTTTTTTAAATGGAGGACTTCCTGGGTAAGAAGAAGGAAGGATCAATCACATCATTCCTCCCTAGCATGCCATACAAATATTCTGATTTTTATGTGTGCCATCATGTGAAGGTGGTTGGGAAGCACTGCCTTAATCTACCTCTCTTCCCATGTGTGGTTCCATATGCCACAGACTGAAAAAACAGTGTTCTTTGTGTGAATGCCTGTGATATTTTGTGAATTGTTCAAATTCTGTCTCATACGCTTTGTTAATTATTTCTGATTTTTAAGTCTTATATTCCCATTTACAGCATAGTTTGTTCAATGAATGGAACCTATAATTTTTATTTTATTACTTATGTCGTGGATCTGAATAGGTTGCTCACAAGGAAAACACAGAATGATTTTTAAACTAAATTTGCAGAATGACAAAAATTTCTCCTATGATGAAAGAGTGTAGTAAGGGTTTGCTCTTGAGGTTCTGATGCCTGGCACTTAATGAATTGAATGAAAGACTTGTTATGATTTATTGCTCCTTAGGCTAGAAATACCAATCCCACCACTTGAGGAGCCTTCCTGATTGGTTTGGTATAGGGAATCGTTCCAGTCCAATATTCCCATTCAGTCTTATTCCCCTTCCCTTATATATGCTACCATAATCAGTGTGGTGACTAACTACCAATCAGATTTCAATACATAATGCTATACTTTTGAATATGTGTTAATCAGGCATTTTTGTTAGATATATAAGAAGCAGTTAAATATTAAATATGTACCAGATCTTTAGTATATCCTTTGTGCTAGTCATCTTTTGGAAGGCAGGGTTGAAGTAATCTGAGGGAATAGGGGCTTCATCCAACCTAGAGTAGTTAGCAACTGGTTAAGCGTGTGCTATGAGACTACTGCAGATTCAACCCCTTTAAGAACAACTTAGTTAAATGCATAATTGTATTTTTAATCATCAGTTTATTGATCTCTAACGATTGGCTGGACAATATGCTAAGCATTTTATATATATTATTGCATTTAAATTTTTCAACAACTATGTGAGTTAAACACTATTACTATACCCATTAACATTTAAAGGAACTGGTACTCAGAGAAGTTTAGTAAGTTGTTCAAGGCCATATAGACAATAAGCAGTAGAATCATAATTTAAGTTGTGATGTATATGAACTTAAGTTCACCTTATAGCAGAGCCTGTGAAAAAATCTTGGATCAAGGTAACTTATTTGGTATATGATTTAACAAGCAGAGTAAGATGGTAGAAAAAGACAAGAAAGAAGAAAAAGCTGACACAAGAGTGCATTTTTAAGTCACTACTGTGAGCAGCAGGGGCTGAATTACACTGAAACCTGAGAAGCATACAAAATACCTTCCAGAATAATCTACTTGAAAAGATAGCTAGAAAATATATTAACTGACTCTCATCCTCCAGTAGTTAAGGGTTGTCCCTGGGAGCATTAACTCAACTGCATTTCTGGGCTGCAATTTTTCTAGGAACAAATTGGCTCCAGAGGCATGAGAGAAGGCCTTGGGGCACAAAGCAGAAAGACCTTAAGCTTTACAGGCTTGAGGTAGGACAGCTGCCTGCAGAAAGTTGTCTGAACACCTGTGGAATTGTATGCCACAAAAGCAGCTGAAAGTAAAGATGGACTAAGTGGCTGTGGCATGGGGCACCAAAACCATCTGTTATGGAACCCTAATGCTTGTGTTCTAAACCCTGATTCTATTTAAAAACAAGCTGTTCATTCTTTCTATTTGTTGTACCCATTTTATAATCCTACTGGCAAAAGTTTCACTCTACATGTTTTCTAATACTTTCCCAATATATTAATTTTATTTTTCCCCAAATATTAATTGAACTCCTACTATGTTTCAGATGCCTTACAGTATTCTGAAGGCCTACAGACAAAAAAAAAAACAACTGTGTTGCCCTTAAGAAAATATTCATTTCAGTGATTATCTGACAATTACGTGTGCGTGCCTCAGTGAAAAATAACCACCATTACAGGACAAAGAACTAAAATGATTACTTAGACTGTGTGTGTGTGTGTGTGTGTGTGTGTGTCTGTGTGTGTGTGTGTGTGTGATATTCCAGTCTGTAAAGTCTCCATTTTGAAATTGTAAATGAAAACTGATTAGAATCAGAGTTAGAATTTGTTGGAATGTATGTAAAGATTTTAGGAATCAAGTAAGAAGGCCATTGAACGTGGAGGTGGAAGATTGGGGGTAGGTAAAACCTATCAGCATGTCAAGCTGTTTTTCTCCTGACAGAATATGCAGAATGTACTTGCCTTCACATTCCATAACCTTGAACTCTTCTTGACACAGCTATTAGAGCCAGGCCTTTGAATAGCCTGTCTCATAGCATTAGAACCCAATGTCTGATTTCCTGACAATGATCAGACCCTCAAAGTATATATATGATCGTGGGGTGGGTTTGTGTGCATACATTCATGCCTTCCTGTCTATATATTAAAGAATGAAAGACAGACATGGGCCAGATGTGCTTGAAATACTTAAACTGCTGTTCACAGTATATTTTATTATTTAAGGCCCAATGGGGCAGAATCCCAGCAATGTATTCTTCACATTAGTTTGAAATAGTATTTTAAAGCCTCACCAAGCTGCTCTGTGTTGTGAGTAATTGGTTGTGTGATATGAAGACTGTTGGAGAAGAAACTCTCTTCCAAAGTAATCTGTTCTACCAAAGTATTGCACTATCTTAAAATTCACCGTTAGCCATAACTTATTTTCCCACTAGTTTTCTTTGGGATGGTGACACTTAATTCCTTAATATGACACTTTGCCAAGAAAGACAGCATGGTAAAATGATGAGAGTAGAAGATGTAGATTCAGACTATGACTTTCAGTACCATTTACTGGGTAACAAGCAATTTATTCTCTCTAGGAAGATTATGTTTTTCAGTCTTTGAAAAGAAAGTTGATCATTCTTACTAGTCAACAGTAATGAGAGAATTAATGACGTGTGTGAATATGCCTAGCAGAGTGCCTATGCAGTAATTGCTCAATAAAAGCTAGTATTTTTTCCTTCATTCTATGAAAAGAAGGCTGAGAGTAGTGCAAGGGTTGCAGAAAGAGGGAGTAACAAGCTCAGAAATATGCAATTACTTTAGGACTGAGGACTAATCCTGGATTTTAGCTATTAGTAATGGCCAGTATGGTTGGAGGAAGAGGTAGATGTTTTTACAAAAGGCATAGACCCAAAAGCCTTTTTCCTTTTTCTGCCTATTGCCTTTTTCTCTCTTAGTTCTGTGCCTCATCAAGAGACTGTTAATTCAACTTAAGTTTTATGTAACATAGCAAGAATGATATAACCAGCTGAGCCTTGGAAGTTCTGTATAAACTGAAGGGAAGGTGCAGTTATACTCAAGAAGAATATCCAGCAGTTCAGTAGCAGATTGTTGCACTCCCTTCCCCCAACCACTACCTTTCCTCTGTAGGCTTGAGATGTGTGTTCATTTAAGAAAAGGTCAGGAAATAAAGCTTCAAAATTTTGGTCAGACAACTCCAATTAACTCTCTAGGACCAGACACCCTGCTCTTCATTATGCTGAGCAGTCATCAGAGTTCTCTGAGGTGAGGGCATACTAATGGCACTTGACAGGGTTCTCTGAGTCAGGTCGGGCATGCAATAGAAAGATAAGGGCAACAGAAACAACATGAATTAATTTTAGCCATCAGGGGTGAAGGGATCTTTATAAACAAAAAGAAGAAACCCCATTATTTAAAAAGGAGGCTGATACAATATAATGGCCTAAGCTATTGAAGCTTTGATTAAAATGTATTTATGCCTTTTAAGACATAAAGTAAGTCATAGGCAATTTGGAAAAAAAATACAACTTTATTTTTAGGGATAACAGTGTTTACTGATAGGAAACTGAGATAAGAAGTAAGTTTTCCAACTGAACTTTTCTATTAAATTTCTTTTTGATTTTGAGTATGACAATTTTTTTGATTTTGGATATAATAGAGTTGATTAAAAAAAAGAATTGTAGATTGGAAATTAGCATTCAGATGATCTGGGTGCTAATCCCTAATCTGCTCATGTTCAGCTATATAACTTTGAGCAAATAATTTAATCTTTATATGCAAAATAAATATATTTAGAACAGATGACCTCTAAAGTCCTTTTTACATCTAGCATTCTATAAATTTCTCTCTCAGTCAAGAAAATTACTAGTCAAAATGAGATTGTATATGCATTTGCAATACATTATCAGAAATTCCAGAGCTAAAGGAAACCCTAGAGTTAATCTTTTCTGAATATATTATGCTTCATTGACCTTAAAATATATTCAAAGAGATTTGCAATATTATCTATAAACTAGGCCAATTAAAATTTTAAGAAGGAAAAGCAAAATCCATTAGAAGGAAGAAATGTGTATGTTCAGAACCCATAGATGTATTAATGCCAAAGTTTGAACATGAAATTTGGTTCTGAGCAGCCTGGTAGCCAAGGGAAAAAGTGAACTAAATTGTGTTATATTTATCTCATTACCACCTAGAATGAAATACAAAACTTGGTATTGAAAAGGAAAGTTTTTTGACCCTGGCGTTAAAATTCTATAAGGATCTGTATATATGGGACTATGGATAACATCACACAATGAAAAATCTCTCTTAAAAAGTCTTGGAAACACATAAAACTGTTTCCTCATGTTAGTGTTCTCATCAGAAAGTTTGAGATAATTATAAAAAAATCAATAGATATAGATCTACAAATGGGCATAGATCTGGAAATGGAGATATTCTTTATCAAAGATGGAGAATCTATTAGCTAACATGGGCTAAAATTTCAGGGGTGGGTCAAGAGCCTCAAATAATATCCTCTGCACTAAATCTTTCTCTTTTCATCCGAGTTGACTTCATTATCAGGCAAGAGTGGCCACTGACAACTCTAGGTTCACATTCACTATGTAGTCAATGATTCCAGAGAAGATATCCTCTTTCCCAAGAGTCTAGGCAAAGTCCTGAACATAAATTTCATTAATCAAGCTTATATTATGTGCCCATCACTGCAGCGAGGGTAAAGAAATGCTTTCATTAGCCAGGTGTGGGTCAAGTGTACATCTCTGAAAGAAAGCTAGAGACGTAGGACAGAGGAAGAAACTGCTAGGTATCAATTACAATCAAATCATTCACAAAGTTGCTTGGTGAGCAGGAAATGATGGCAAGGAAATTTAATCGAACTGAAATGTTCAATGTAGCAAGATAAGATAGATTAATATATTCATTTTATCACAGAAATACCCTTACCAATTAGATGAGAGTTCTCATAGTTCAATGACCAAAGTTCCTTCTTCTCTATAAAATTAATATTTCCCCCCACCACTAAATATTTTCTGTGCTTCTTGACTACCAAACTCTCTCTTGATTGACAGCCATCCCTTAGATATATTAATACATTCAAAAAATATATGAACTCTTGTTGTCCTGGGAGTCTTTAGCAGACTGCATATATTTTCTCTGATCCTTTAGGTGTTCGTTCTTTTGTTTAATTCTGAGAGGGCAAAAAACCAATTTATTGGTTTCTTAATCAAAAGAAAAAATATCAAACATAGAATATCTGGCTTAGAATAAAACTGCCTCTGAATGGATCTATGTATTCCAATACAGTTTGACCATTAAACAGGATGGTTTTCTACATTGATTATATTTACAAAATTTCCTAATGTATTAAACCAATACTATGTACCAGATTCTGCCTTAGTGTCATTGGTCAGTTTAAAAATGAGTGGAATGTGATCCCTCTTTTAAAATTTATTGAGAGAGAAACATTTTATGCAAGTCACATAGAGGATGCATAATGGAATAGGGGTAATAGAGGGAGATTTTAAAATAAAAAAGTCAGCACTATGATATAGAGAGATTGTTTCAAACTACATGTCAATGGTATGTTTTTGACTTTGCAGTGTGTAGCACAGGTCTGAGGTCTGTTTATCAAATACTTCCTTATCATATGATCTTATTGCTATAGATATTCCACTTGCAACTTTTTAAAAGACAGCATCTTTTATATACTCTTATTGCAAAAGCGTTGTATGCATATTACATGAAAGCCAGAAAATACAAACTAAAGACCCAAGAAAACCCACATAGTTCCTCTAACGTAGTGGAAGCTTAATCATATTAAATTATTGTTTTATATGTCAATATGTATGCATTTCTGTATTTGTGTGTGTGTGTACACACACAAAGAAATTCTGTCACAAGGTACGTGCTGTTTTGTAACCTGCTTTTTTGCATACTTAAGAATATGTAAACATACGTGTGCATGTGTCTTTATAGCAGCATGATTTATAGTCCTTTGGCTTGGAACCAACCCAAATGTCCAACAATGATAGACTGGATTAAGAAAATGTGGCACATATACACCATGGAATACTATGCAGCCATAAAAAATGATGAGTTCATGTCCTTTGTAGGGACATGGATGAAATTGGAAACCATCATTCTCAGTAAACTATCGCAAGAACAAAAAACCAAACACCGCATATTCTCACTCATAGGTGGGAATTGAACAATGAGATCACATGGACACAGGAAGGGGAACATCACACTCTGGGGACTGTTGTGGGGTGGGGGGAGGGGGGAGGGATAGCACTGGGAGATATACCTAATGCTAGATGACGAGTTAGTGGGTGCAGCACACCAGCATCGCACATGTATACGTATGTAACTAACCTGCACAATGTGCACCTGTACCCTAAAACTTAAAGTATAATAATAAAAAAAAAAAGAATATGTAGAGTTTCTATTTGACTTGCATAACATTGTATTAGTATTCTCATTTCTGATAAGGAACATCTGATGCTTGATGTAGAAGTTTTCAGTCTTTGGCACAAAGTTTTGTTTTATCTTTATTTAATATCTTTGTTTAGCACTTCCTTCCTGGGTTTGTTTTGTCAGCCTTTATGAATTTAAGGATATTGTTTGTTTTTTCTTCATCATCACCATCATCATTATCAATAATATATATTGAATGTTTATTACATGTCAGCTACTTCTAAAAGTTTCACATGGATGCTCATTTAATACTTTAAAATTAGCTTTAAAGTGGTCAGTATAATTAGTGAATTTTATAAATGAAGTAAGTAATTCCAGAAATGTTTAAATGCTTACAGGAGGTATGTTTTGTTTTCTAGTCTCAACCACCTTTGATATGGTTTATCCTATTGCAAAAAAGCAATGATTGCCCTTTTTCTTCAAGCTAAGTTGATTTAAAAGTAAAAGCATTAAGTGTGGGTAAAACAGTCATTTTAAAATGATGAAAGATGCATTCCACAGTGATAATAAATATCTTCACAAAATAATTATCAAAAGATAATATAATAATGAATTATCAAATATGTGAAATATTTGATAAGTCACAGATTTGTAAAGCACAAATACGCATAAGTAATTAAGGGTATGTAATCTGAAACTAGATATCCTGGGTTTAAATCCTGTTTCTACCACCAATTAGCTGTGTGACCTTAACCAAATTATTTATCCTCCATTTTCACTTATTTTCTCATCTGTAAAACGAGATAGTAAACATATCTACCTCACCTCACAATATTGTTGTGAGGATTAAGTGAGTTGTTATATGTAAAGCACTTAGGATGGTTTCTGAAATATTGTGAGGGCTTAGAGTTTACAATTATAAACTGCTGAAAATATGAAGAGAGATAGAAATAGAAGTGTTTCTACCAATAAATTTCAGTCTATGAGAGAGAAGTAGAGAATAAGAATAAATATTTTCTGAATAACACAATAAGTGTGATATAATTAGACATATGCAATTTTATATTCTGAAAATCAAGAAGTCTTTTTAACGTAAACACCTGTGGTAGGCAGATGGATTCACAAAGATTCACCCTTGGAAGTGGTGAATATGTTATTTTACCTGGTAGAAGAGACTGTTATTTTACCTGGTGGAAGAGACAGATAAAGGTAAGGCATGCACTTTAAGATAGGAAGATTATCCTGGATTATCCAGGTGGGCTCAACCTAATCATATGAACCCTTTAAAGCGGAGAACATTCTCTGGCTGGTGTCAGAAAGATGCAGTAGAAGAACCAGAGAGATCAACAGAAGTTAGAGAAATTTGAGGGATGAGAAGGAATTGACAAAATCATTGTTGGTTTAGAGATGGAGGAGGTCATGTGACAAGAATGACAATCAGCAGGAAATTGAGAACCTCAATATTACAATTGCAAGGAATTAAGTTTTGCCAACAATCTAAATGAGCCTGGAAGTGAATTCTTCCTACATCCTCTCGATAAAAGCCCTGCCTGACTAACATCTTTATTTTGACTCTGTGAAACCCTAAACGGAGAACTAGTTGAGCCACCTGTGCTTAGATCCTTACCTACGGAAACTGTGAGATAATTAATTTATGTGTTAAGCTGCTAAATTTGTAGTAATTCGTTGCACAGCAATAGAAAACTAATATGGCACCACATTACTTTTATAAAAAGTGCATAGATGACAAAGCAAACCTCAAAAGAATCCCCTAGAGGGACAGCGCAAGATGGCTGAATAGAAGCCTCCACCAATTGCCCTCCCCAGAGGAAAACAAAATTGAAAAACTGTCCACACTGAAAGCCCCTTTATAAGCACCAAAAATCAAGTGAGTGATCACAGTATCTGGTTTTAATGCCATATCACTGAAAGAGGAACCGAAGATGGTAAGAAAGACAGTTGTGAATCACCTGCACCATCCTTCCCCCATTTCCCAGCAGCAGCCACGTGGCATGGAGAGAGAATCTGTGCAATTCAAGGAGGGAAAGTACAATGATTGTGGGACTTTGCATTGGAGCTCAGTGCTGCCTTGCCACAGCAGAAAGCAACACTAGGCAGAGCTTAGCTGGCACTCATGGAGGGAGCATTGAGACCAGCCCTAGACAGAACCTGGGTTCTGAAAGCCTTGCAACTGTGGGCAAAAGTACTCTGGGGTCCTAAATAAACTTGACAGGCCATCTGGGCCACAAGGACTGCAATTCCTGGGCAAGTCCTGGTGCTGCGCTGGGCACAGAGCCAGTAGACTTGGGGGGCATATAACCTAGTGCGACACCAGCCAAGGCAGCCAAGGACTGCTTGCACTACCCTTCCCCCAACCCCAGGCAGTGCAGTTTGAAGCTCTGGCACAGACTCCTTCCTTTTGTTTGGGGAAAAGAGAGGAAAGAGTAAAGAGGACTTTGATTTGCAACTTGGATACCAGCTCAGCCACAGTAGGATAGAGCACCAAGCAGAGTCTTGAGGCCCTCATTCTAGACCCTAGCTCCTGGGTGACATTCCCAGACATAGCCTGGGCCAGAAGGGAACTCTCTGCTTTGAAGGGAAGGACCCAGTCTGGGCAGAACTTATCACCTGCTGACTAAAGAGACCTTGGGCTCTGAACAATTAGAAGTGGTTGCCAGGCAGTACTTGCTGTGGGCCTTGAGTAAGACTCAGACACGTGCTGGCTTCAGATATGACTCAGGACATTCTCAGCTGTGTGCCTATGGGAAGAGACTCCTTCTACTTGAGAACAGGAAAAGGAAGTATAAAGGTGACTTTGTCTCGCACTTTAGGTCCCAGCTTGGCCAAAGTAGGGTAGAGCTGCAAGCAAGCACTCAGGGTCCTTGATTCCAGGCCTTGGTTCTGGGTGGCATTTCTGGATATGCCCTGGACCAGAGAGGAGCCTGTTGTCCTGAGGGGAGAGACTCACACCTGACAGCACTCACAACAAGCTGACTGAAGAGCCCTTAGCCCTTGAGGGAACATGGACAGTAGCCAGATAGTACTTGCTGTGCAACTGGGGTGGTTATGGCCATGGAGAGACTCTTCTGCATGTGGAAAAGGGAAGGCAGCATGGAAAGGACTTTGTCTTGTGGCATGGGTGCCAGCTCAGCTACAAGAGAATAGAGCACCAGGTAGATTCCTAGGATTCTGGACTCCAGATCCTGACTCCCAGATCTCTGGCATCTCTAGACCCATGCAGGGCTGGCAGAAACTCACTGCCCTAAAAGGAAGGGCACAGTATTTCTGGCCTCACCATCTGTGGTTACCACAGTCCTTGGTTGAGACCCAGTGCATGACTGGCTCCAAGTTTGACACACAACATTTCCAGTGGTGGTGGCCACAGTATTGCTACAGTCACTTCTTCCTCAACTCCACACAGCTCAGCAGAGAAAGAGAGAGAGAGAGACTCCATTCATTAATATTTGGAAGAAAGTAAGGGAAGAGGAAAATTATCTCTACCTGATAATCCATGGAATTCTTCCAGACCTTCCCTAAAACCACAAAGGTCATACTTCCATAAGTCTGCAAGGACCACAGCTTTACTGAGCTTGGGGTGCCCCCTAATGTAGATACAATTTCGGTGACCAAAATTTTAGATCACAACACCCAAGTCCTTTTTGAATACCTAGAAAGACTTTCCGAGAAGGAAGGGTACAAAACAAGCCCGGACTGCAAAGGCTGCAATACGTACCTAACTCTTCAGTGCGCAGACAACGATGAACAGCCACAGACATCTAGACCATCCGAGGAAACATGACCTAACCAAACAAACTAAATAAGGCACCAGGGACAAATCTCAGAGATAAAGAGATATGTGACCTTTCAGACACAGAATTCAAAAATAGCTGTGTTGAGGAAACTCGATGAAATTCAACATAATACAGAGAAGAAATTCAGAATCCCAGAAGAGAAATTTAACAAAGAGATTGAAATAATTAAAAAGAATTAAACAGAAATTCTGGAGTGAAAATGCATTTGACATAGAGAAGAATGCATTAGAGTCTCTTAACAGAAGAATTCATCAAGCAGAAGAAAGAATTAGTGAGCTTGAAAATAGACCATTTGAAAATACAGTTAGAAGAAACAAAAGAAAAAAGAATAAAAAGCAATGAAACACACCTAGAAGATCTACAAAATAGTCTCAAAAGAACAAATCTAGGAATTATTGGCCTTAAAGAGGAGGTAGAGAGAGATAGGGGTAGAAAGTTTTTTCAAAGAATGAGAACAGAGAACTTTCCAAATCTACAGAAAAACGTCAATATTTAAGTAGAAAAAGGTTATAGAACACCAAACAAATTTAACCCAAAAAAGACTACCTCAAGACATTTGATAATCAAACTCACAAAGGTCAAGAATAAAGAAACAATCCTAAAAGCAGCACGAAAAATAAACCAATAACATACAATGGAGCTCTAATATGTCTTGCAGCAGAGTTTTCAGTGGAAACTTTATAGGGCAGAAGATAGGGGCGTGACGTATTTAAAGTGCTGAAGGAAAAAAAAAACTTTTTAATCTAGAATAGTATATCCAGTGAAAATGTCCTTAAAACATGGAGGAGGAATAAAAAGTTTCCCAACAAAAAAAAAAGTTGGAAGAGGTCATCAATGCCAGACCTGTCCTACAAAAAAATGCTAAAGGGAATTCCTCAAGCTGAAAGAAGAGGACTTAATGAGCAATAAGAAATCACTGGTAATAGTAAGTACAGAGAAAATCACGGAATATTGTAACGCTATAATTGTGGTGGAGGTTCTAGTACTCAGATCTTGAGTAGAAAGACTAAAAGATGAAATGATCACACTAATAACTACAACAACTTTTAAAAACATAGATGGTACAATGAGATTGCATTAGTTCATTCTCACATTTCTATAAAGAAATCCCTGAGGACTCCTCAAAAAAACTACTATAATTGATAAACAAATTTAGTAAAGTTGCAGGATACAAAATCAACATAGAAAATCAGTAGCAGTTCTATATGCCAACAGCTAGCAATCTGAAAAAGAAATCAAGAAAGTAATCTCATTTACAATAGGAACAAATAAAATAAAATACCAAGGAATTAACTAAAGTGAAAGATCTCTACCATGAAAACTATAAAACATTAATGCAAGAAATTGAAGGGGACACAAAACAATGAAAATATATTTCATGTTAATGGATTGGAAGAATTGGTATTGTTAAAATGTTCATAAAACTTGTATTAGTCTGTTCTTGCATTGCTATAAAGAAATATCTAAGACTGGGTAATTTATTTTACAATAGGTTTAATTGGCTCACGGTTCTGCAGGCTTTATAGAAAGCATGATGCTGTCATTTGCTCTGTTTCTGGGGAGGCCTCAAGAAGCTTACAATCATGGGGGGAAGCAAAGGGGGAGCAGGCACATCACATGGCAAGAACAGAAGAAAGAGAGGGAAAAGATGCCACGCGCTTTTAAACAACCAGATATTGTGTGAACTGAGTGAGCTCAATCATCACCAAGGGGTTCAGGCCAAACCATTCAAGAGGTATCCATCTCTATGATCCATATACCTCCCACCAGGCCCCACTTCTAATACTGGGGATTACAGTTCACCATGAGATTTGGATGAGGACAAATATACAAACTGTATCACTACCCAAAGCAATCAACAGATTCAATGTGATTCCTATGAAAATACCAATAATATTCTTTACAGAAATAGAAAAATTAATCCTAAAATTTATATGGAACCAGAAAAGACTCATAATGGCCAAAACCACCTTGGACAAGAAGAATAAAACTGGAGGAGTCACAATCATTGACTTCAAATTACAATACAGAGCTATAGTAAACCAAAGATCATGGTACTGGCATAAAAACAGAAACATAGACCAATAGATCAGAATATAGAACCCAGAAAGAAATCCTGACATCTACAGTGAACTCATTTTTGATGAAGGTGTCAAGAACATACATTGGGGAAATGATAATCTCTTCAATAAATGGGGCTGGGAAAACTGCATATGTATATGGAAAAGAATGAAACTAGACTGCTGTCTCCTGCCATATACTAAAATCAAATCAAAATGGATTAAATAATTAAATTTAAGACCTAAAACTATGAAACTGCTTAAAAGGAAACTTTGGGGAAATGCTTCAGGACATTGGTCTGGGCAATTTTTTCTTTAGTAATATCCCACAAGCACAGGCAACCAAAGCAAAAATAAACAAATGGGATCACGTCAAGTTAAAAAGCTTTTTCACAACAAAGAAAACAATCCACAAAGATACAACCAACAGAATGGGAAAAATATTTGCAAACTATCCATCTGACAAGGGATTAATAACCAGAATATATAAGGAGCTCAAACTACTTAATAGGAAAAAAATCTAATAATCTGATTAAAAATGGGCAAAATATCTGAATGATCATTTCTCAAAAGAAGACATACAAAAGACAAACTAAAAATAGAGCTACCATATGATCCGACAACATCAAAGGGATATCTGCACTCCCATATTTGTTGTAGCTGTGTTCACAATAGCTGAGATTTGGAAGCAACATAAGTGTACATCAACGGATGAGTGGATAAAGAAAATGTGGTACATATACACAATGGAATACTATGCAGCCATCAAAAAGAATGAGATTCTGTCATTTGCAACAACATGGATGGAACTGGACATCATTATGTTAAGTGAAATAAGCCAGGCACAGAAAGACAAACATCACATGTTCTCACTTATTTGTTGGAGCTAAAAAATAAAACAGTTGTATTCATGGACATACAAAGTAGAATGGTGGTTACCAGAGGCTGGGAATAACAGTAGGTTAGGAGTAAATGGGGATGGTTAGTGGGTACAACACACTTTTTAACACAAATGATAAATGCTTGACGTGATGGATACTTCATTTACCCTAATGTGATTATTATGTATTGTATGCCTGTATCAAAATATTTCGCACCTACTATGTACCCACCTAAGTTAAATATTTTAAAAAGTTTAAAAAGAATCTGCCAGAATACATACATTATAAATCATGTTCTATAACACAAAGCAATACAACTACAAATGAATGTAAATAAAGATGCAGAAAACCAAATTACTTAAAAATGTTAATAATGAACAAAACTATTTTCCTAAATGAAAGTATACAAAGTGGAAAGCCTAACCCTATTTACAGAGAATTGGAAAAGTGTGGTTCATAAGGAATGAGTATGTTACAAGCTAGAACATTTGAGATAGGCAAAAGGTGTATTAAAAGGCAAATTAAAATCCCTAAACATCTTCATGAGCAGATTAAAAAATGAATCAATATTGTAACTTAAGAAGGTGGAAATATAATACATAAGTAGATCTATGCTACAGAGGAAGCTGTTAGTCAAAATAACATGAATAAATAAATTTTAAAAGCAGAAAAAAAGTAACAGTTTGTAAATAAATATTAAAAAAGATAAATCACTAATTTTGATAATAAACAAGGGCAAAAGTAGACAAATATACTGTGATAAGAATATCAAAAAGAGGAAATAGCAGCAGATATACAAGTTTTAAGACAATATATATCACTTTGCTAATAAATTTGAAATGTTTTTCTATGCTATATTAATTTCTAAAATTGAGTGAATAAAAGGTCAAAATCTAAGAAAACAATAGCTTAGGAAAAAAAATGAGAAAACCATTAAAAAATTCAGTCCAGATAATTTCACTGACAATTTCTTTCACACTTTCAATTAGAAAATGTTTCTGATGTAGTTTATATTGTATTACATCATAGAGTAAAACGGGGAGTTTTTGTTACAGAACCAGCAGCAGGCTGATAAGAAAACATGAAAGAGTTTAAAAAATAGTGACACAACTATACTTTTGAATACAGATGGGAAAATCAGAAGTTTGTAATTAATATATAGAACCCAAGATTAAAATAAAATAAGAATATAACATGAGCAAATAGATTTTGTTCCAGAGATGCAAGATAAGTATTAGAAAATCTGATGACATTTGCAACACTAATAAGCCCAAAAGAAAAATAAAACATATAATCATGACAGATGTTAAAAAAGAAAAAGAATGCAGTATTTATTACTGATAAAAAATAAAGTACAGATTTGCTTTATTAAAGTAGCAGCCAGAATCATATTTAATAGTCAAGCACTACAATTATTTCTGTTATAATCAGGAAGAAGACAGTAGTCTCAAAAACCATTAGTATTGTGTAAATCACTATTATATAAAATTTTTTGGAATTTCTCCTAAAGCAATAATACAAAATAATGAATCCAAAAGTGTAAATATGATTAAGTAACATGGCAAAATTACCATTATTTACTCATGATTGTATATCTAGAAAAAAAAGGAAGAATTTCTAAACCAAACAAAATAAGAAGCAATATGATGATTGAGTAAAATAGTAGGCTACTGCTATGGACTGAGTTATTTTCCCTCAACATTTATATGTTGAGGCCCTAATCCCCAATGTGATTATATTTGGAAACAGGGCATATAAGAAGGAAATTAAGGCTAAATAAGCTAATAAGGGTGAGGCCCTGATATAATCAGATCAGCATCCTTAAAAGAAAAGATGCTAGTGAGTTCATTCTCACTCTCTGAACATAAACATAAACAGAGAAGTCAAGTGAGTACATAATGAGATTGCAGACACCTGCAAGGCAAGAGAAGCAGTTTTAGAATAAAACCTAACTTGTCAATACCTTCATCTTGGACTTCCAAGCCTCCAGAACTGTGAAAAATACATTTCTATTGTTTAAGTCACCCAGTCTTTCATCTTTGTTATGGAAGCCTGAGATGGATAATACAGCTACCAATTTTAGGCAAAATGGGTAAGAATTTCACATAGCAGGTGCATGATGGCATATTATATTTATCTTCAACTTTTATATATGTTAATGTGTATAAAATTTTGTATCTTGGAAATATTTTAAGAAATATTTTTTAAAAGAGACAATGTAAGATGGCAAATACTTATGAAATAAGTAAAATCAGATTTAAATTACTATAATATTTTACAATTAGATAAAATGTGCAAATAAAATATAGAAGAAAGAGTTATATATATACACTCACAAAATAGCAACAAAAACATTAACAAACACGGTATAAGCAACAAATAAATAGAACCTATAAGACAAAGCTATGAAACATAAATGAGGGATATAAAAAATACTTGAATAAATGTGGAGATGTACTTCTTTCTCTGATTGTAAATATTTTAGTTACCCCTAAATTAATTAATACTAGTTTTGATAATCCCAATAAAAATTCCAGTGGGGCATTTTTGTAATTTGGAAAGTGATTTAATGTTTATCTGAAAGAGTAAACATATGACAATAGCCAGAAAAGGCATTGCCTTACCAGATTTCAAAGCCTATTATAAAGCTATCCAGAAATTAAAACTGCATTGCTGGCCTAGAAATGGAACAGATTGGAGCCTTAAGACAGGTTATTAAGTACATTAAGAATTCAGTAGCCATTGAAATTTACCACCACAAATCTGCAGTTCAGAATAATGATTAAGAATGTTTTTTAGAGTCAGGCAGTCTTGAGTTCAAACCCCTGATCTGTCATTTATTAGCTGTGTGTACCTTCATTAATTTCCTCAACCTATGTGAATATGAGTTTCATCATCTGTATAATGGGACAGTAATACTTACATCAGAATGAAATAATGTATGTGCCTGGTACAATTTACATATAGTAATACATAATTTACATACAGTAAATCCTCAATAAATGGTAGTTTCTGGATCCCTGTCTCACTCCTTGCATCAATATAAATTGCAGGTGAGTCAAAAGTCCACATATGTAGAAAATAAACAAAATAGAATAAAAATATAGAGGAATGGAAATATAATTATATTTTGAGGTAGTTATAAGCATGATGAAGAAATTGAAAATCATAAAGCAAAAAATAGTATATTTGTTATATAAGAAATAAATTCTGTGTAATGAAAATTAAATTACCATAATAAGTTGAATGACAGCAACACTATTGGGGAAAGGATATGCAATATATATGTCAATATGATTAATTTTATGTGAATATTTACGTTTCAATGGTTAGTTATTTGTGTTCCATATGTATGCTGTCTTGGTTTTAATACATTTTTTTTTCTGTAAATATTCATTAGCAATGAGTGGCCCTATATTTGTAGAAGACTTGAAATGAAGCTGAAGCAATTGAAACATGGGTCCTGTTTGCTAGATGGAATTATTTCCAGTTGCAGAGGGATGATGTTATTTCTGTTTGTCTAATGTCTTTATTAATGACTTTGAAAAGTAGTTAAATGACATGTTAATTAAATTTGAGGTGATAGTAAAGGAGAAAGCGTTGTGAATATCATTGAGATTCCAAACAATAACCTCTTTGGGAGAGGTTAAGGATATAAGCAAACTAGAAAGCCAGATTTAACCTATCAAGTAAAAGCAATCATGCAGGGAAAATGATCAAAAATAGATATTTTAGTCTAAGGAGAGTACTGACTGGAAATCAGCCGTGCTGTGAGCATTTGGCAGTCACTAGAATAGAATTAGGCTAAATAAAATTCTCAAGCAATGAGAAGATTCACACTGAATTTTTAACTTATTTCCAAAAAAAATGCATTTTACTTTGAAGTGTTGTTCTAAATGTTGGTGTAGCCCACAAACAAAGGACCATAGGCTTTAGGGATAGATCTTATGATCAGAAAAATGTCCATATCTGCTGCTGAGGTAAAAAAAAAAAAATCTCTACAGCATGGATGAAATTAGTTGTGTAAAGAAAACTTGATGAGCAATACCACATCTTAGAGAGTGTTTTGGAAAAAGGTAAATGATTAATCTGCATTTTAAAGTTAGTGTTTCCACTTACTTCAGAACCACCTGGAGTGCTTTTTAAAATGCAGATTTCTGGGCTCTAGCACAGACCAACTGAAGCAGAATCCCTGGATGCAGGCACATGTAATCTGCATTTTAAAGGAAGGTTGTTTTCTTTCTTTTTACATAATAACTTTGGGAACCATTGCTTAGTGTTATCTGTACGAAATTCCACTAAAATATGATGAATGGAAAATAACATACAAAATGGGAACTCTATCATACTATGGAAAGCTTTTGTAATGACTTGGAATACTATGGCACCGATTATTAGGAGTTAACCAACACCACACAAAGGAGAAGCATAAAATCATCAAGATTATTTGTGTACAGCCTCACAAATTGGATAGTACACAACTCCATGGTGAATTATTCACATAGATTACCGTGTGGATGGCACCCCCTAGAGTTTGCAGTGCAGATCTTAAATCAGTACATACAGATGTTCCCAGTTAGTACTAGCATAATTATATTTTGGAGCAGGGTAGTTCATTAATCTCTATCACACTCAAAATGAAAAGATTTATGTTTTCCATGGTTCGATTCACCAGACATTACAAATTTGGCATTCAAGATGCCTTGATGTTGAGATAAGGAAGTTACTAGAAATAAGAATATACCCTATTTTAATACAGTCACATTTTCATTCATAAATCAGTCTCCTGTTATTTAGACTTGAGTGAATCATAGTTTTATTACCTACAGAGTTGAGCACCAGAACTTGGACCAAGAAAGTTTGCACTAAAGCTATTGATCTAATGAAACCATCCTGAAACTATCAGCCAGCTTTGCCCTTGTTATGACTATAGCTGCCATACTGTCATATTACATATTTTCTGTGGTAAAGGAAAGAAAAAATTAGTTATAAGTAACTAAGAAAAGACAGAAACAGCTTGATGAGCTATAGATTCCATTTAGAATATTTTTCCCTCACATGCATTTTTTTTTTTTTTTTTGCACCTGCAACCAGATTGTAACCTTGAGAAGAATCTTGCCCACAAATTTAGAGGCCACAGTGGAAAATTTACTTCTGGGAGTAGGTCATCAAAAGAGCATGCTGAATCCAGATGCAGAGGAAATTAGAACTTTTGTTTGTTCTCTCTTTGAGGACAACTGTGCTCTCTGTGAAAATTACATAGCCCCTCCTTACACTGTTTCAGGGGGAGAGAAGCCTATTAGCAAAACAAGTAAGGGAGATATTGGAGCACAAAATTGGGAGGAGGAATTAGAAAAATGATTGAGTTTGAAAACTGCTGAGTAATTAGGGGAGGAAAAGGGGATGGAGAGCGACGATTTGTTACCTGAACTAAGAAAGCAGATGGAACTTACTGAAATGGTGAATAGCAAATAATAACTTCTCTCACAGGTTTCCCTTCTCCTGAAAATCACCTTTACTGGACCCAAATGCACTTTCTTTACTTGTCCTTATTTCTTTCCTTTCTTTTACAAATAAACTTCTGTTTACAAGTTTATTCTATGTTTATTACACAGTCCCTCTTTAATCCTTTAACCGCTAACCTAAATATACCTCACCTGAAATTTCTTCCCATCATTCTACTTAATTTGTACTCCTAAAAGTCACCAATGCCGTATCAAACCTATATTTCCCTGTCCAAATCTCTCTCCCAATGTGTTTCTGCTTTTATAAATATCTGCTGGCATTTCCCCCCCGTATAGCAACAGCATAAACATAAACAATAAAAACAATACCAATAACAACAAAGCAAATTATTTATTGAGCACTGCCAGGCACTGTCCCAAGCACTTTGTATGTGTTAACTCTTGATTGTCTCGACAACCTTAAAATGTAGGTACTGTCATATTCTTCATTATACAGATCAGGTAACAAATTTGGGAAATTTCATAACTTTCCCAAGTTCACATAAACTAGTAAATGGTGAAGCCAGGATTTGAACTCAGGTGTTCTGACATCTAAGTGTTTGACTACTTTTATAGGCTCTCCTTCTTTATGCCATATCACTTCAAACTCAGCATATCTAAAATTAAGTTTCTAAACCCCTATCCCTAATCCTAAGCAAAACTCTTTACTTTCTACATTTCTTTAATGAAATCACCATTTTCTCAAGTCTCAATGGTACCATCTTTAAGCATGGATAATGGAAACTAAGGAGTTTTCAGGGTTTTGATTTACCAATGCATGAGAATGTTCATCCAAAAACACATGAAAAACCTCTTTTAATGCAGAATGTATTTACTTTAATATAATATGTACTCAGGTCTATGAACATGCATTAATAATTCTTAAACATTCCAGATCTTTTTCAACATGCTTTCCTGCAAACAAACTTGGATTTTAAATGCTTAGCCAGGGTATGCAATATTTGGCAAAGATTCCTCTGCCTATGCTCTCCTTTAGTGACTCTCAAGCTTCATCAGGCATGTAAACACTCCAGTAACATGCATAAAGAAAAAGGCCCCAAATATATTCTTTCTCCAGATAAGAAGTTATATAAATGAAGAGTGCTCAACTTAAAGTATCTCTAGGTTAAGCAAGATAATAGGTTAAGTGTAGAGATGGGGGGGATTGTTATAGCTAAAAAATTTTAAATAATTTATATGGGAACGGGTTTTAGTCATTCAGATACTTCTCTCTTCCTCACCATGTTTGGAAATGCATAGGTCTTTGGCACAGGGCAGATCAACCTTCTCTGTAGTTGGATTGCTTTTTCATTTTTGTACAGATATTTTGGTGTTTGATAGACTTAGACAACCTTTATATTTTAGCATTGTTTAAAGAGCAAAGCATCAAACATGGGAGCTAGTATATTAAAAGGTGCTTTGCTCAATTCTGTCCTTGAACCTAAAATTTCAAGAGTTCATTCACCTACTATCAGTTGTTTTAAAATTACCCAAAATTGTAGCAATAGTTCTATTCTCTAGAAAAGGGAATTTATGTAACAATAGCTCAACATCAAGGTACTCTTGCTGAAGATGCTTCTGACTTTGTAAAATAACTGAGCCCTTTTTAGTTTTGTTTCCTATGATGCAGTAGGTCTGTGCCTTGTTCTCTAATACCCGCAGTTAGGGCCTTTCTCTTTTGCTTGATCCTTTGCCAAATACTGTAGTTATTTTAATATTGTATTGCTTCATTTTCTTTAACATTGTTTATTTCCAGAAACTGAAATCCACATCCGGAATTTTATTCCCCATGTCAAGTGCTATCTGATTTCTTTGACACTCGCTGTCTATCTGCCTAGCCCTTGGGGCTATCACATATTGGTCACACAAACTATACACTGCAAACTCTAGGGGACACCATTGTGCAGACTCTGATGTGAATAGTGCTCCTTGGAGTTGTGGAATGAGGCGGCACTAACTAGATCTTTACCTATTATGGACTGACACACTATCCTCCCTATCCACCATTTGAACACTTTGCTCCACCTATGTCAGGGAAATTTGTTTAGTCTTTATTACCAGACCTCGTTGACTTCAATTTTCTGCCTTCTTGGACCACCTATTAATGCCTGCTGCTTAAATTCTGCCAAAACCATAAATGCGGTCTTTTTTAAACCTCAGAATTGCACAGAAAAAGCCAAATTGTTAAAATGACAAAATTGCAAAACTCAATGGTATGCGAAAGAACTAGTTGTCAGTGTTCTGGTTTTCACTCTGTTCATATGAGAGAAATATACACATATGCAGTTTTGGTAGCTCACAATATTTATTTTTCTCATGGTATTAATTTCAGTAAGAAAGTTATTCTGTATTTATGCCATCAGACAAGTAAAACAAATTATAAATAATTTTGTCTTTTAAAATACGTATACTGTAGTAGGATAGCTTTTCAGAGGGCTTAAGAATAGAATCTGAAAAGAAACTACATTCTTTCTATAATTCCACTTAAAACACTAGTTGACTGAAAGGAGTGGACCACAATAGATAGTTTATATTATTTGGCTATTGAAAACTTTGTTTAGGCTATACCTATATGGTCATTTTGAATTTCTTTAAGAAAAAGGGTGAAGAGGAATACTGACCCCAGTTGCCATGAGAAAGCATATCATCTTTGCCTTAGATAATCATAAGTCACATATAATGTGACTCTTGCAATTAACTCTTTTGTAGAAATCTAGACATTTCCTAAAAGTGAGACACTAACCATTTGTTAAGTGGTACCAAACGAAGTTTCTAAAGTGTAGAGGTTACTTGAAAACAAAAAATCAGTGGGTTTGGTGAGCATTCACTTTGTGGTCCTCTGAAGGCTAGAAAATTTACTGCAGTAAATCATGGATTTATTAGTGTCTTTTCACTACTAACCGTAATGAGCTCCAAAATATACTTAAGGGCTCTATCCTCAAAGGTGTTTTTCTCTCAACTAGTTTGAAAACTCATTTCAGTTATACTTTTATAAAGTGTGGAGATGAAAGGCAGAGAAGAAGTAGGGACATCCTCATTGACTATAGAGTGACACAAGTGGTATCATTTCCTCACCTCACGTAAACTGCTTCATTGATGAAGTGTTTTGGATTGTCTTGTATTTTTGCAAAGTGTTGCTGATCGATACTGGCTAAGAGCACAGATCCATAGCAATCAGTCTGCTGTGAGGCAATTATATATAATTGAAACATGTAATTCTCTAGCCTGCTTAGTATGAATGAAAACCAATACCATAATATCTTTGTTTAAAGTTTATTTAGTGCAATGGAAGTCTTAAATATCTAAGATCCATGCTCCTTCTAGGTTGAGTACTTTTTTTTCTTCAGCTTCCTTCTGTAATTCCCCAAAGGTAGCTTTATTGTATTATCAAATTCTAGCTAGCTTGCTTCATTGGAGTTTATGATTTTGAAGCAATAGCAATCAGAGGCAAAGTTGATGGTATGGAAAGCTATAGCAAGAAACCTTTCCTTTTTTTCCTTTATAAAAAAAGCAAGGTACAGTTATTATTTTCAGTGCCAAGAAACTTTATTCAGAGAAAACTATTTTTGTATTAGTTAGTGGAAATACCAAAAAAAGGAATGTTTAGTGTCTGAAGCTCAAGTTCTCCATATTTTATCAGGTAATATTCAAAGAGGAGCAGTTTGGTAAGCTGTAATGTTTCTTGGAAACTTTCATTGGAAATAAATTGGCATGGGGCTCAAGCCAGGTCAAGGAGTCTAGACTTAAATATAGAATTGTTTGTTTAAATCAGAGATTACAAATTTAAATGTATTTAAGAACTAAGCAGGTAACATAAATTCATAAGGAAACTAGAAATGGGACATTTAGTAATGGCAGGGTGGGCTAGAGAATGTATCCCTCTTTTAAATAAATTTATTTGAGTTTGTGATAGTGTTTTAATGGATTTTACAACAGCATATCTATCCTCACATGGCAGCTCGTTAGACTATGGTAATAAAGAACCAAACTAGTAGGATATTAAATCATATTAAATCCTATGAGAAATCCTATAGTCAAGCTTTTAAACCAAGAGTTTCCCAAATGTGACGTAAGGACACTCCTGTCTTAATATCAGTCTCTCACCCCCTTTATAAGTGTCGGTGCGTGACAAACACACAATGTCTATATAATTCTTGAAGGGTTTTAATGATCTATGGAGAACAGTTTGGTAAATACTATTTTTAGGGAAATCTACTTAAAACAGCCATAAAAAGCCAGACAGTCAGTAACCTCTCTTAGATGGTATATAATAGGTCTTTTATCTCTGACTATACATATTCTGAAATACTAAGTACTTGGGTATAAACCCTTATGTATCTTAAAGCCAATTCAAAATAGAGGCTTGCAAGTTGAAATTAGTCCCCAGACAAGATGACACTTTTTGACTTCATACTCTTTCTCATCAGCTAAAGTGGATGTAATTCATTGTTTAGGGAATAGGCTAAGCTGTTACAATAAAGAGTCCAAAACAAGAGTAGGTTCCATCACGAAAGAAGTAACTTTCTGTCTCTCAGAACAGTCCAAGGCAGACCAGGGCAAGTAGCTTTGTCCTTAAGAAGACTCATGAGCTGCACGCTGCACTTCTACACACATCCCATTGTCCAGAACTTAGTAAGGTGGGCATGCCTAACTGCAGAGAGGCTGAGGAATATAGTTTCTAGCTGAGTAGTCATGTTCCCAGCTGAAACTAAGAAGAAAAGAATGAGTACTAGGAGACATTTAGGAATCTCTGTCATACCTAGGAAATAATTATGGTCATGGTACAGTGTACTAAAACATAGAAGATAAAATTTCTAGGTAAATAATTCAATTAAAATCCAGTGAATACCTATAAAAAACAAATCATTTGGTAATTTAATGAGAACAGAAGCTCCCTAACTTACAATGATTCAGTTATGGTTTTTTGAGTTTACAATGGTGTGAAAATGATATGCATTCAGTGAAAAAATACTTAAAATTGTGGATTTTGATCTTTTCCCAGGCTAGTGATATGTCATACCGTAATTTCTTGTGATACTAGGCATCTGTGTAATTATGAGGGTAAGCAACACATACTCTGTAGTGTGCTGTGTTGCCAGATGATTTTGCCCAACTGTAAGCTAATGTGAGTGTTCTGAGCATGTTTAAGATAGGCTGAATTTTCAACTTAACGATATTTTCTACTTACAATGGGTTTATCAGGACATCAGAAGTCAAGGAGCATCTGTACAATGATAAAGGCAAGTATATTTACTGAATAGGCAAGACTGCATGCTTTCTCTGTTGCACTGATAGCCACTTAGCCTGAAAAAATTGCTAGTGAATGTTTATATTTATTCAACATTAATATATTAGGAACTTTTGCTGTATCAGGCACTGTGTAAGTTATTAGACATGCCATGATGTGTATACATGGCTACTGCCCTGGAGATTATAGTATAGTGAGGAAATAGGGTGTTGGATAATCCCAGAATTTTAGAAGTAGGCATTTTATTTTTTCTTATAAAAAGTGAAATAGCATAAAGAACTTTTTTAGAAAAGAAAGTCGTACTCTTGGCATGCAATTCTAGTTAAATATGTTTTCAAGTTTTTCATTGTCCCTAAAGGAATAGATGTATTTTTTAAAGCAATAATGCTTCTATTTTTTTCAAGTCTCCATAGCAACAAAAAAATCTGAAGAAGAACGACAGAATACAGTCAGCCCTCTGTATCCAGGGGTTCCATATCTGCAGATTCAACCAACTACAGATCAAAAGTATTCAAAAAACCCAATAAAAATATCCGTACAAAAATAAAATAATACAAATTAGAAAAAATGTAGTACAACAACTATATACATAATATTTACATTGTATTACATTGTATCAGGTATAATAAGAATCTAGAGATGATTTAAAGTATATGAGAGGATGTGCATAGACTGTATGCAAATACTATGCTACTATGCCATTTTAGCTAAAGAACTTGAGCCTCCATGGATTGTGGTATCCTCAGAGGGTTCTGGAACAAATCCCACTTGGAAACCAGGGGACAGCTGTATATGATTTGTTAACAGAAGACAACTGTAAATGAAAGTGATATGCGATAGTGCCACTTTTCACATTTCCATGATTCTGTAATGCAACATAGTACAAGACCAGTCTGAGAGTCAGGAAAACTAGTTCTGGTCTTGTCTCTATTGCTTCAGTTTTATAATTTGTAAAATGGGGATAATGAAACTTTTTCCACCTATTTTTTATACTGTGAGGTTCAAATAAGTTAATATATGTGAAAATACTTTACAACTCCTAAAATAATGTTCATTTATTAGTATTATTGCTGTACCAAATTATGAATGATGTCAGGACATCTGGTATCCTTATCATAGAAAGCACTTTGGTTCTAATTTCTAAATTATGTTCCTTTATTCACAGTTTATATGTAAGGAATAGAGGGCAGGGAAATAGATAAAGTTGAAGGTGAGGCAGAGATTATGTAGGCCATGGCAATGAATTTGAATATATTTCAAGTGCAGTGTTAAACCATTAAAAGGTTTGAAACAGAAAAGTAGTGTGATATGAGTTGCTCTTTGAAAAGATTTACTCTGGCTACTTTGTAGAGAATAAACTTTAGGAGGCAAAATTAAAGGCAGTAAAAAGACTATTGGGAGACTTTTACAGTGGTCCAAGCAAAAAAGTATGATTTGGGCTAGGGTAGTGGCTGTAGGGATGGAGTGGATAGGATAAATTTGAGAAATGTTGGAGGTAGAGCTGATGGGATTAGCTAGTAATGACTCTATAAGCAAAATATTACTAAGTAGCATGTGTGATTAGATTGAACTTGGTACTGGGTCTTCTGTCTTTGATATGTGCCATGTACGGTTTTTGTTTGTTTGTTTCCAAGATGGAGTCTTGCTCTGTCACCTAGGCTGGCTCACTGTAACCTCCAGCTCTTGAGTTTAAGCAATTCTCCTGCCTCAGCCTCTGGAGGAGCTGGGATTACAAGTGCGCACCACCACACCCAGCTTTTTTTTTTTTTTTTTTTTTTTTTTGAGACAGAGACGCCCGGCTAATTTATTTTTATATTTTTACTAGAGACGGGTTTTCACCATGTTGGCCAGCCAGGCTGGTCTCAAACTCCTGACCTCGTGATCCGCCCACCTCGGCCTCCCAAAGTGCAGGAATTACAGGTGTGAGCCATCACGCCCAGCTGCCATGCACTGTTTTATACAAACAATTTATTGATGTCATACAGCCCACAAATTAGTGGAATGTTATAGGGAATTTGCTTCAGAGACCATTTCTTTGATTAAATGAAAATAGGGGGATTTATGTGGCTGACAGGTTATCAGGAAATTCTGATTAGCCAGCATTGGCAGTCAGAATTAGCAAGTTTAAGGTAAATATTTTATTATAAAAATATAGAAATACAATTTTTAACCAAAATATTTGCCAAAAGAATAATTTCAAGGTTAAACTAACTTCCATGAGCGGATGTGGGAAAGCAAAGTCTCAAGGATTAAATCTGGTTTTGGTTTGGGCTCCTAAGTAAATGGAACAAATTATGAGGTTATGTAAGACTTAGGCAGTAACTGGCTTGGGAGAGAGAATGAAAAGTTCTGTTTTGGATATACTGAGTTTGAGATGCCTGTTGGATACTCTAACCTGTGGAAGTCCTAAATAAGTAGTTAAAAATATAACAGAATTCCAGACATGAGGTCGTGGCAAAAAAATAGGACAATTGGTTTTGGATATGTGGTGATTGAGATGCCTGTTCTACATCCAAATATCAATTCCTTGTAGGAAGTTGAACGTATGTGTTTGAAGCTTGAGAACTTTGATTAAAAAAGATAGATTTGAAAGTCCTCAGTATATCTATGGCAATTAAAAAAACAGACAAGATTGCCCATCATCTGAAAATGTAGTGAAAATATAAAAAAGCACTTCCAGCACAGAATCCTAAGGAATACCAGGAGAAGAAAGAGGAAGACAATCCCTGGTGAGAAAGGTAACAGGAAAAGAGTATTTCTAGGAATAAAGATTTTGTCAATAATATCAAATGCTTCTGATAGGACAAGTATGATAATGTCTGAGGAATATCCATTGGATTTAATACAAGGAGCTTCTTGGTGAGAGGCGTTTTGGTGAATTACTGGGGGTTGAAACCAAATTTTGTTGAGATGGGTACTGAGTGTAGATTAGAAATGGGGATAGCAACTGTAAATGGTTCTTATAAGAAGTTTTACTGTAACCTGGAAGGGAGAAATAAGGTAGTAATTTGAGAGGGGTAGGGAGTTAGGTTTGTTAGATAGGAGAAATTGAGCTTAGTTAAATGCTGATGGGAAGGATTTAGTAGATAGAATCTGAAGATAAAAAAGAGGAAAAGGAACAATCTTAAATTTTCTTCTGAGCAAAGGAGAGGTGATGGGATACAAAGCATGAATGAGATTTTAGCCTTAGGCAGACCAAAGGTACCTCTTTCATTGTAATAGGAAGGCGGAAGAGAAGAATGAATGTGATTGCAAAAAAAGTTGCGAAAATAGTGATCAGAAAATAAAGTTTCTATTTTACGTGAAATGGAAAGCACATTAACCTACTAAGAGTGAATGGTGATGTAGCATGGTCAGTAATGAAAGAGAGAAAGAGAAAGGGAAATGGCTTAGCACAGTCCTGTCTTTGGTCTCACTCATTTCTACTTTTCCTACTCTTGAACTGTCTTCTCAAACTTATGGGTGGCAAGCAATACCTCTAGTAATTGTATTTTAATCTTCAAATTACATAGCCTTGGCAATTTTTTTCTTTCTTTCTGATTAAGTTGTGAGAGGCTGATTCATGAGTTGCTAGCCAGGAGTTGCTAGTCGGGAGCTACTAGCTGTTGAGTCCTTAGATGCCATTTTGAAACTTTTTCTGAAGGTTTTTCTTCTTAAATTGTGAACTAACTAACTTCCTTCCTTCCTTCCTTCCTTCCTTCCTTCCTTCCTTCCTTCCTTCCTTCCTTCCTTCCTCTTTTCTTTTCTTTTCTTTTTTCTTCTTCTTTCTTTTTCATCTTGCTCTATCACCCAGGCTGGAATGCAGTGGCGTGATCTCGGCTTACTGCAACCTCTGCCTCCCGGGTTCAAGCAATTCTCCTGCCTCAGCCTCCCAAGTAGCTGGGATTACAGGCGTGCACCACCATGCCTGGCTAATTTGTTTGAACTTTTAGTAGAGATGGGGTTTCACCATGTTGGGCAGGGTGGTCTTGAACTCTTGACCTCAAGTGATCCGCCTGCCTTGGCCTCCCAAAGTGCTGGGATTACAGGCGTGAGCCATCACTCCCAGCCTGAACATATTCTTAACAGGTCATTTTCAGATACTAGATCCATAGCAGGTCTGTGGGAGGACATTAAATGCATTTGCAGTTTTGTAGTCTTTACCAGATAATATATTATCAACTCCTGTTTGTTTCTGCATTTCTCTTTCCTCTGCTCCCCCTGTAAGAGAGACAGAATCTCAATGGTTAATCAATCACTTTGCCTAACCCTAGGAGACACTTCTGATGTTCTCAAATATTGTGTAGCTCTTTTCTATAGTATTTAGTTTAGTGCCATAGAGTAGTGATATTTCAGTTGTTCTAAAATCCACTTTCATTGTAGCTCCAGCGAGTCATTAAGTGGACCGATCAATTCTTGGATAACTCAGGCTCCTTAGCACAGTGCGATCATGTGTTAATCTTTACCTCACTCTATTATTTTCAACAATTCCTGATACAAGATTATCTTTAGAAGTTGTTGCTAAATTCCATTTTCCATTCACTTATTTTCTTCTGCATGTGGTATATCTGTTCTTTCTCTCCATTTAGTCCTCTCTAGTTTGTTCTCTCCTTCTTATATCTAAGTTTGGACAGCTTTTGCATATGAAGTCCATCAAATTTTTCTGCTACCACAACATTTTGAATGATTTTTCTATTCTGATGTGTCTTTCCTGTCTTCTTTGTATTCCATGGATATCTGTGTCATAGGTAAGCTTATATGCTAATTAATTAAGGTCAGTAATCCCTTAAGAAATCTTCCTGAACATTTATCTCAAATATATTGTACTAATCAGGATGCTGTGGTTAAAGAAACAATAAACCAATTCAAGGTAGTTTAAGTCAAAAAAATTTTAATTGGCTCACATAATTGGGTAGCCTAAGGGTAAATACCAGTTACTACTGTATCTGGGGCACTAATTCTCTCTGTGTATCAACATAATTTTAGGAGAGGCTGTTTCCATGTGGCAAGAAAGACGGCTACAGCCAGTCCTAAGCCTACAACTTTATAATTTGTAATTCATAAACAGTTTCTCTCACTCCCAATGTGAACATTGAAAAGTTATGGTAGAACTCTTATTACTCATTCTTGAATCACAGGCCTGTGTCTTGGATAGGGAATAAGATGTCATGATTGGCAGAGCCTGGGTCACATGTATCAATATATTCAGGGAAAGGTCAGGTGCTATGGGTAAACAGTCCCACTAGAACCATTTATAGTGTGAGTGATATGGCTACTCCAAGGAAAGAATGCTGGCAGATAAAATTAACATATCTATGAGAATTATGCTATTTACTCATATTTGCCATATTACTCTCCTTAAGAAGAAATTTTAACTTAAAAAATGGCAGTTACTCTGATAGTCCCTTAAGACAGAAATCTGAGGGTGTTTTCAAAATTTTATTGAACAACTTATATAGTGTTTACTATGTACACAACACTAATTTTAGTATTTTATAAAATTTAATCCATTAATCCTCAAAACAGCCTACGAAGTAGGCACTATAATTATGCATATTTTACAGGTGAAAAATCTGAAGCATAAAGGGTTTGAGCACCGTGACCAATGCCACATAGTCAGTTAATAGAAAATCCTAAAATCTGAACCCAGGCTGTCTGGCCCAGTGTCCATGTGCTTAACCATTTCATGCTACATATTATGCTTGCTCTTTGATATCTCCCACCTGCCTCATCTAATTTGGTCATAAACTGCTGTTGAGTATAGCTACATCATTAATAAGATGGCTCTATCCCATCTTCTATATCTCTACCTCCACTGTTGTCATTCTATTCTTCAGTCCCTGGTTCCTACCTCATGGGTTGTTTATGCATGTGTGTGTGTGTGTGTGTGTGTGTGTGTGTGTGTGTGTGTGTCTGGCCTAAAAAATATTATAGCATTTTAATTAATCTTTTTTCTTTGAGTTTATTTCTTTGCAATATGTTTTCCAACTTCCTCTAGGGCAGGATTTCTAAAATATAAGTCTAATCATGTTGGTTCCCTGATTAAAAGCTTTCATTTCCCAAAGTTTTAAAGTTAAAATCTAAATTTTAAACCAATTCTACTAAGCCCTATATGACCTAGCTTTTTCTGATTTTCAAATACTCTTTCCAGTCCCTCACTTTTGCCAGATTTTTCATATACATCTGCTGCCACTTTCCCACTTACGTCTCATATATCACCCCCATTATCTAGCTCTGTGACCTTTGGAGAATGCTAGGATCTGAATGTTTGTTTCCCCCCAAAATACATGTGTTGAAACCTAATCACCATGTGATGATGTTAGGAGGTGGGACCGAGAGAGGTGATTGGGTCTGAGGGCAGATCTCCAATGGATGAGATTAGTGCCCTTTCAAAACAGACCCCGGAGAGGTGCTTTGCCTTTTCCACCATAAGAAGACACAGAGAGAAGATGCCATCTATGAATCTGGAGACAGGTCCTCACCAGACACTGAATCTGCTGACACCTTGATCTTAAACTTCCCAGCTTCCAGAACCGCGAGAAATCAATTGCTGTTGTTTCTAAACTACCCGTTCCATGGTATTTTGTTACAACAGTGCAAATAGACTAAGAGAATCAACTTAATCTCTGATCAACTGTTTCCTCAACTCTAAAATGTTGGGATTAGACTAGAATAGCCCTGTGTAACTCTTTAGTCCTTAAAAAAAATGTGATCCTGATTATTTACTTATAAACTCTTTCACTGTGATGTATTTAGCTGTCTAGATCCTTCATATGCATCTTCAATAAGTTCCTGGGTATAAATTTTAGCTATGCCCTTGGAGGGATAAAATATCTTAATAGTTTTTTTTTCCACTTTGAGACTAATAAAGAAAATTCAAGGGAAATTCAATGCACACGTTTATTTTTTACACTAATTATTTAAGTGCTCTTTTATCAGTCTATGTCTAATCTCACCAATTATATAAGCTTTGAAAAAAGCTGTTTTCAAAGCATCTACAAACCCTTAATTCAGAGATTAGAATCCAATTTAAAATTCAGAATTTGCAAGGTTGAATGACTTATCCAAATAAATTAATTTTCATGATTATTTTCAATATCATCTTCAGTTAAACTGTGTTCATTTCTTCTGGTAACATCTACAGTGATCCCTTTCTTTTAGCCAACCGCAAATGCTAATTAACTCTAAAGGGCTGAAGTTTGTTTCTTGTCCTTTTCAGAGTTAGTGTTTTCCAAATCACTGTTGGAGAAGCAACATGAACTCAATGGCTAGTTGTTTGTACAGAGGAAAAGCAAATATGCTAATGAACTCTGTATATAGCTAGTGCAAGCATATTTTGAATCTCCATTCAGTTTTATTTATGATTTTTCTTCAAAGGATCTTGCTTTACTTGTGGAGTTTTTACAAGATTGAGGACTGAGAAGGGGCCACCAAGCAAGCTTCGGAAATGGGATTGCTTGCTTTTGTTGAATGCAAGACAAATTGATCTCTAATACTGTAATGCAAGATGTTCTTGAACAGAATTAGAGACTATGGGGAAAGAAGAAAAGGTAGAAATGATTTATTTTCTCTTGCCTCTTCTTGCTCCCATATTTGGATGTTTACCCTTGGTGGCATAGACTTTGGAAGCACGCTGATTAGAGTATGCCTCCTGACTCAGCTATTTCTTAGCTGTGACTTTGGAAAAAGTCCTTTAACCTCTTTAAGTCTCAGTTTTCTCGCAGTCAAGTGGGGATAATGAAAGTGCTTATCTATAGGGTTAAAATAAAGATCAGGTGACATAATGCATGTTAAGCGATGGACATAAAGTAAGCAATCAATAAATCTTAGCATCTGTTGTTATTGTTATTATTAAATATTGCTTAAATTCACTACACAGCAAATTTAATCCAAAGTTACTTTTGAAATATTTGTTCTCTTTTTAAATGTTCTTACTTGGCAGTTTCCTACCTCACTTCCCTCTTTTGCCTATTTCCCTGACACAGATTTTTTTAATCTTTCCCATTGCATGAGTGACTCAACTCTTTCCAAACTTGCCTTCCCAGTTAGCAAAGCAAAGACCCCGTAGTTTACCTAATCCGACCCTCTTAGAAAGCATCTCAGCAAACATTCAATAATACTTCAAGTGTGACCCTTGTGGGGTCTTGCCCTTTCATCTTGTGTTGTTTATCTGGACCTTTCATTCCTATACCCACCTCACTCCCCACCCTGCCTCTGTTCCTTCATCCAATAAGTAGGTCTCTTGCTAAAAATGGTTTTCTGCTACTAAGAAAAATATTATTTTTTTCCAGTGGTGCAAATATTATTCTCAACAGGCAGAGGATTCAGATATATCATATATATATATTCTAAGTAATTTCATTATTTGATAGTACCTTTGAAAGAGGAGAGTTCCCTGATCCCACTTGCAGGATGTGTGACAGGGGTGTGGCTGGTGTGTTTGGTCCCCAGTGATGCTCAAATCCCTGACAGGAGGGGGAGCCTGAAGACAGGCAGGTGTAGGAGCTGGGGTGAGAGCTTTAGGCTTGGGCCCCATGGTAGTGTCTAAGGGTGGGTAACTGCAGCCCCAGTGTTACTATCCTCTTTTAGCTTTGTCTTCTGCAGATGGCTTAAGCGTTAACCAGCTCAATGGACTCTCTGCTGTTTTGCAAGGGCAGAGGGCCAGTGTGACATCTTTCTGTATCCCAAGCTCTTGCCCAGCATCCCAGAAGAATCAGGTCACACATAGGCTTGAAGGATAAATGCGGGGTTTTATTGAGTGGTGGAGGTGGCTCTCAGCTGGATGGATGCAGAGCTGGAAGGGAGATGGAGTGGCTGGGGTTTGGGGTTTATATGGGTACAGGATAGGGGACCATGGTGGGCCGAAAGGCAACTTTCTGGGCAAAAAACAGAAATGCCTGTTCCCACTTAGGGCCATGGGTCTCCAGGCTTGAGGGTGGGGCCCTTACTAGGAAACCACCCTTTTTTACCTGGTATTTCCCTGTGTCCTGTCCATATCACCTGTAAGTCTCTGATCATACACCAGGAGAGGGCTTTTAGTTCTGGAGTAATGTGGTAAAAGAAGGTTAGTTTATGGCTTCCTAAGGTGACTTTTGATGGTTTAAATTTCTGTGCTCTGAAGCTTTACAGATGTTGCTTGGGTGTAAGATATACCTCTCTGTATGGTACTTTTGTAGTTTAAGCAATGTGGCATATTGGAAAAAGCCATACCTGAATCACATCTGGCTCAGATGCTTAAAGGCTCTATGATATGGAGCAAATGTCTTAACTCATCTGAACCTCAATACTGTCACTAGTGAAATGGAGATAAAAGCATATAACACATAAACTGATTTGGGGGATTAAATGCACTACAAAACTAAAGTATCTGGTACATAATGCACATAAGTGTTTATATAGTTATTTGTGTGTGTAACTGTTTAAAAATTTTGGTTACAGGTAATATGCAGAAACATGGCCCAACATGATGTGCAATAAATATCTGAGTATATGTGCTTCTAGAAGTTTTCTCCAAACCCACATTCTCAGAGATTAATTAGTTCACTCCCAAAATGCTTATCAAGTTATGTTCTCAAAATATTATTTTTTTCCTAAGTGGATCTCTGCAGTTAGCTGTTTATGCCTAAATCCTTCATTAGAACTCTTTTTATGCCAGCATGTATTTTAAAGCACCATAACTTGCATATAGCAGTCACATGATAGAAAAACATCTATACAGTAGAATATTATGCAACCATTAAAATTAATGTAGAAGAATAATTATTGATGTGAATAGATATTCATAATATATTATTGAGGAAAAAGCAGATTGCAGAGTCAAAGATTATAGAATTACATCATTATTACTCTACTTCAAAAACTCTCTCTCTATATATATAGACATGAAGGTTAATATATAGTTGTCCCTCAGTATCCATGGGAGATTGGTTCCAGGACCCCCAACAAGATACTAAAATCTGCAGATGCACAAGTCTTTTTTATAAAATGGCACAGTATCTGTATATAGCCTACATACATCCTTGATTGATTTATACTTTAAATAATTTCTAGATTACCTATATATATCACAATGTAAATGCCAAGCAAATAATTGCTATAGTCAATTGGTTTTATTTATATTATTTTTAATTGTTATATTATTTTTATTGTAGTTTTTAAAAAATGTTTTTGACCTGTGGTTGGTCGAATCCACAGATGCAGAGCTTATGAATACAGAGGGCTGACTGTATTAAAAAGTTGGGTAGCTATTTCTGGATATATAATGTTACGTATGATTCTTATTGTCTCTTTATATATTCTGTATCTTTAGAATTCTCACAATTAACTTGAAAAGTGTTTGCTATAAATAAAAATATTCTTGATAAAATAAAAAAGAGAGGACTCTATAGAAGGAGTTTATCTTAAAATGAGACAAAGGGTCAGATAAAAAGAAACCCGATTAGAAAGAAAGAAAGTAGAGGGAAAAGGTAAGCTAATGGCTAAGATCTACAAATCTTTATGCAACCAAATAAAAGAAAGTAACATATAGAGAAAAAAGAGAAAGCTTACTGTAAGAATAAATTCTTAATTTACACACAGTGAGGACTAATGAAGTACCAGGTCTTAAATATTGTAGTTCATCTTCTAGGGTGAGGATAAGAGCAGGAAGTAATTTTCCAAACTTAGGGAAGCAGCAGGTACCAGGATCCAGAATGAGGTAGGATTGATCACCATGGACTCAACTGAGGTATTATTATTTTTTCATGTACTAAACTATGCATGACCAAGTCTACCTGTAGGCCTCATGGTTTTAGACAAGTGAAGTTACCTCTTTTAGTTTGTTTTCTCATTCTGTAATTGCCCTCAAACACAGGAACTGTCTTATTGTCTCTAAGACTTCTGTGGACAGACTACCCAGCACAGAGTAGTTACATTATAAATGTATGTTGCAAACATGAACTACAAAATGAAGACATTAAACTAAATGTTTTCTAGATTAACTGTCAGTTCCAAATTTATGTTATTCAATAAAATATTTGTTGAGAAATTACTATGTGTAATAACCTGAGTTGTGCACAATAAAAGTACAAGTATGACCATTAAAATTTTCGAAGAGAAACAAGATATCTTCGTGGTTCTCTAGCATTTACTGATAGGCATCAATTTGTCTTTCATAAAATCATGTCTAGAAAGAGCATCTTAGAAATGGCTACAGCCAAATGAGTCTCTTTGGATGAACAAAGCATCTACCCTTCCTCCTATCTCCTCCTCTACTTGGAGAATCTAGGCTGGATCACTTAGAGAAAAACTTACAATCACTCAAATTTTCTTACCTTGGAGTGTGAAACAAAACCTAAGGTATTTACTAAGCAAAA
Source organism: Homo sapiens (assembly GCF_000001405.40). NCBI lineage: Eukaryota > Metazoa > Chordata > Mammalia > Primates > Hominidae > Homo > Homo sapiens. Next base: position 121,596,772 of record NC_000023.11, read on the forward strand.
GTTACCTCAGTCCTAAACTGCTTATCTCCAAGTCTAATGGCCCAAATTGCTACTCTTAGAAACAAAACAGAAAGGAAAGAAATGAAAAGAGTTTTTATAGTAACCATGTGTGTCACTAAAAAATTTTACCTTATATTTTTGTAATGTCCCTACATTCTGTGGGTAGAAGAGGAAAGAGGCTATGTCTACCCTCTCCTCTGCCCTCCAGATCAGGGCACTTCTCTACCTTGTAATCACATAATGCCTACAGTGGCTTGTTATTTTCTCTTTGGAAGTGTTTCTCCACTCTTAAAAATGAATGCTTCCTTTTGCCAAATATTAAAAAAATGCATAAACTTTCTATCCATTGTATATTAAAACGAGTGTATTTTAAATTCTTCAACTATAAAAATACTGATATCACTTCTTCAAAATAGGCAGGCTTTCTCCCACATCTCCTCTCCCCCAAATTATTGGTAATGAGGGATAAGAATGGGCAAAAGAACAACAGATCCTCCTATGATCAAATTATTGTCAAACTAGTCAGTAACTAAGTGACAAAACCATTGTATGAGACACATAGTAAGTGTTGTAGGAGTTTAAAGGAGAGACTTTACCTTGACTGGCCATGAAAGGATTCAGAAACAGGAAGGGATAAGAGTTGAGATTTGAAAGGTGGATAGAATATCAACAAGTAGAAGACAGGGGCATTAATGAAGTTGCAGATGGAAAGAAGCCCAAAATTTATGTGGAGAACAACAAGCAGACCAATTTGATTGAGTAAAAATTTCACCTAAGAACACAGTGGGAGATAAGGTTCACCAAGAAGTAGGAGTCATAAGCCAGAGCAATTGTGTTCAATCTCATTGTTTGTTTTGGCCCAAAATTCCTGAGTGATATGATAGACATCCATCAATAACATAAACCTACAATAGTAATTCTGACTTGGGAGTATGTGTGGGGAGTGAAGAGGTGTCTAGGATCCTAGGAAACATAAAGTAAATTATTGCGAACAAGCTATATTCTTTGTAAAATAAAAAAGACATCTCCTCATAATAAAGCATGCTCTCCCTTCCACACACAGTATTATTGTTCTAGTCTAGAGTGTCTTGAATACTTGTTTTAAGAGTTTATATGCGATCCTTGAAACTGGAATTCAGAGGCTATTCATTCATTAACTCACTCAATAAATGTTTATGGAGAAACTGCTATGTGACAGACAAATAGGGATATAAAAGTAAAAGATTGTTCTCTGATCTCACAGACTTTATGGTATAGTGAGAGACATAGGAATTAATTTATTAACTCAACAAGTAAGTATTTTAGGATTAATCATATGAAACTGCCAATACTTGATAGTTCTGATCTACGTAAACAACAGTGTCATATGGGTCAACCTAATGTAGTAACAGAATGTGAAGGAACGACATAACAACATGTGAAGGAAAAGTAGAGGGAACAATTAGAGCTTATAATAAGGGAACTTCATCGATTTCAAAGCGTCAGACAAGTTTTCCTTGAGAAAATGATGATTAAACTGAGATCTGAATGACTAGTGGCCCTTAACTACTTGAAGTGCAGAAGGGTATGAGTGTTTAGACCAAGTGAAGAACACAGCATAGTAGCACTCATGGAGTTCCTTCGCTTTTTTCCTTTTCTTTTAGAAGAATCTAATAAATCAAAAGTCTTCTTGGTAGAGTAATAAAAAAAGCTAGGCTAATAGGTTGATGGACTTAAACACCCTGAGAATAAAGGTCAAACAGCAAAGGATAGTTAGCAATGGCTAACTAGATGGCTAAGCTAGAGCAGAATCAACATTGAGAACAATGAGGACTGTATGAGTCAGGGTTCTCTAGAGGGAAAAACTAATAGGATAGATGTATATATAAAGGGGAATTTATTAAGGCGTATTGACTCACACAATCACAAAGTGAAGTCCCACAATAGGCTGTCTATAAGCTGAGGAGCAAGGAAGCCAGTCTGAGTCCCAAAACCTCAAAAATAGGTAAGTCGACAGTGCAGCCTACGGTTGGTGGCTGAAGGTTCCACAGCCCCTGGCAAACCACTGGTGTAAGTCTAAGAGCCCAAAAGCTGAAGAAGTTAGAGTCCAATGTTGGAGGGCAGGAAAGCATTCTGCATGAGGGAAAGATGAAGGCTGGAAGACATAGCCTATCTAGTCCTTCCACCCTTCTATGTTCCTCTGCTTGATTATATCCCAGCCATGCTGGCAGCTGATTAGATGGTGCCCACCTGGATTGAGGGTGGGTCTGCCTCTCCCAGTCCACTGACTCAAATGTTAAGCTCCTTTGGCAACACTCTCACAGACACACCCAGGAACAATACTTTGCATCCTTCAATCCAATCAAGTTGACACTCAATGTTAACCATCACAAGGACCTAGTTGCAAAGCAAGATATATTTCCTGCATACAGTTACAAGTAGTAAGTATTGTTGAAATCATCTGGTCTCTGGAATTAGGTCATTCCAATGGCTCTGAAAGTGGGAGTTTCTTTCTTTTCTGTGACAAGTCTATAAAAAAAATCTGATTAAACTTCAGCTAATCCCACATACAGTGTGATGGTCACATGAGAAGAATTGGAAGCTCATTGGTTTATTGGTGTCACTTTGTTGTAGCTTATATTAGATTCATTTGTCATCCTGACAGGTTGTTTTCTATTGAATATCCACCACTAAAGAAAGGAGGCAACATTTAATTGTCAATCATTTGCAAATATTTGCTCGAGAAAGTATGCAGGAGCTTCAATTGTTTGGAAAGAAGCTATTATTTGGTGTGACTCACTTTTTTATTTCTTTCTAAAGCTGTTGAATTTATTTTTCTCTGGTAGAGAGGGCCACTTCACTTAGTACAAAACAGAATTTAGCATTATATAGGATTAACTTAGGTGACGTTGAAAATATTCAGAAGTTGACATACCGAAAAGCCTTTCTACAAAGCATTCTGCATTACAGTATAATTCTATAATGGAGCTACATGAGGTTCTAGTGCCAATGGTTATTCACACAGATAGATCAGTCAAGAGACAATTTCTTTTTTTTTTTTTAACTTTTATTTTAGTTTCAAGGTTACATGTGCAGGTTTGTTATCTAGGTAAATTGCATTTCATGGGAGTTTGGTGAACAGATTATTCTGTCACCCAGGTAATAAGCATAGTACCCAATCGATCCATTCCCTCCCATCCCCCATCCTCAAGCACACACCAGTATCTGTTATTCCCTTCTTTATGTCCATGTGTACTCAATGTTTAGCTTCCATTTATAAGTGAGAATATTTGGTATTTGGTTTTCTGTTCCTACATTAGTTTGCTTAGGATAATGGCCTAAAGCTTCACCCATGTTGCTGCAAAGGACATGATCTCATTCTTTTTTATGGCTGTGTAGTAATTACTGTTGTATATATACCACATTTTCTTTATTCAATCTACCACTGATGGGCATTTATGTTGATTCTATGTCTTTGCTATTGTGAATAGTGCTGCAATAAATATATGTGTGCATGTGTCTTTAATTTAGAATAATTTATATTTCTTTGTGTATATACCAAATGGAGGGATTGCTGGGTCAAATGGTAATTCTGTTTTAAGTTCTTTGAGAAATTGCCGTGTTGCTTCCCACAATGGCTGAACTGATTTACATTCCCATCAGCAGTATATAAGCATTCCCATTAGCAGTGTATATGCGTCTGCAACCTTGCCAGCATCTGTTATTTTTTGACTTTTTAATAGTTGCCATTCTGACTGATGCGAGACGGTATTTCACTGTGGTTTTGATTTGCATTTCTCTGATGATTAATGATGATGAGCACTTTTTCTTATGCTTGTTGGCCACGTGTATGTCTTCTTTTGAAAAGTATCTATTCATTTCTTTTGCACATTTTTAAATGGGCTTGTTTGGTTTTTTGCTTGTTGCTTTTTTAAAGTTCCTTATAGATACTGGATATTAGGCCTTTGTCAGATGCGTAGTTTGCAAATATTTTCTCCCATTAGGTAGGTTTTTGTTTAATCTGTTCATGATTTCTTTTGCTGTGTAAAAGTTCTTTAATTAGGTCCCATTAGTCAATATTTGCTTTTATTACAGTTGCCCTTGGAGTCTTCATCATGACATCTTTGCCAGGGCCTAAGTCCAGAATGATACTTCCTAGGTTTTCTTCTAGAGTATTTATAGTTTTAGTTCTTACATTTATTAATCCATCATGAGTTTATTTTTGTATATGATGTAAGAAAGGGGTTCAATTTCAATCTTCTGAATGTGGCTAGCCGGTTATCCCAGCACCATTTATTGAATAGGAAATTCTTTACCCATTGCTTGTTTATGTCAACTCTGTTGAAGATCAGATGGGTATAGGAGTACAGATTTATTTCTGGGTTCTCTTTCCTGTTCCATTGGTCTATGTGTCTGTTTTTGTACCAGTACCATGCTGTTTTGGTTAATGTGGCCTTGTAGTATAGTTTGAAGTCAGGTAATGTGATGCCTCCAGCTTTATTATTTTTGCTTAGGATTTCTATGTCTGTCCAGGCTGATTTTTGGTTCTGTATTAATTTTATGATACTTTTCACTAATTCTGTGAAAAATGTCATTGGTGATTTCATTGAAATGGCATTGAACCTGTTGATTATTTTGGGCAGTACAGACATTTTAGCAGTATTGATTCTTCCTATCCATGAGCATGGAATGTTTTTCCATTTGTGTCATCTCTGATTTCTTTCAGCTGTGTTTTATAATTCTCATTCTAGAGATATTTCACCTCTCTCGTTAGCTGTACTTCTAGGTATTTCATTTTATCTGGCTAAGGTGAACAAGATTGCATTCTTGATTTGGCTTTCAGCTTGAATGTTCTTGATATATAGAAGTGGCACTGATTGTTATACACTGATTTTGTATCCTGAAACTTTACTGAAGTTTTTGTTTTTTTAAATCGTATCTGTGAGCTTTGGGGCAAAGACCATGATGTTTTCTAGGTATAGAATCATATTTTCTGCAAACAGAGATAGTTTGACTTTCTCCCTTCCTATTTGGATGTCTTTTCTTTCTTTCTCTTCCCTGATTGCCCTGGGTAGAACTTCCAGTACTCTATTGAATAACAGTCATGAGAGCAGACATCTTGGTTTTGTTCTGGTTCACAAGATGAATGCTTTCATCTTTTGACCATTCATTATGACATTGGCTGTGGGTTTGTCCTAGATGGCTTTCATTATTTTGAAATAAGTTTCTTCAGTGCCTAATTTGTTGAGGGTTTTCAACATGGATGGATGTTGGATTTTACCAAAAAGCCTTTTCTGCATCTATTGAGATGATCATGTTCTTTTTTTTCAGTTCTGTTTATGTGATGAATAACTTATTCATTTGTGTATGTTGAACCAACCTTGTATCCCAGGGATAAAGCCTATTTATTCATGATAGGTTAGCTTTTTAGTGTGCTTCTGGCTCTGGATTTACTTTGCTAGTATTTTGTTGAGGATTTTTGCATCTATGTTTATCAAGGATATTTGCCTGAAGTGTGTGTGAGAATTGTTTTATGGCCGATTGTGTGGTTGATTGTAGAGTTTGTGCTAGATGCAGATGAGAAGAATGTATATTCTTTTGTTTTTGGGTGGAGAATTCTGTAGATCTCTGTTAGGTCCATTTGGTCCAATGTCAAGTTCAGGTCACAAATATCTTTGTTAGCTTTTTGCCTCAATGATTTGTCTATTGTTATCAGTGGGGTGTTGAATTCTCCCACTGTTCTTGTGTGGCTAAGTGTTTCATAAGTCTCTCTAAGAATTTGTATTTTGAATTTGGGTACTATTGTGTTGGGTGCATATATATTTAAAATAGTTAAATCTTCTTGTTGAATTGAACTTTTACCATTACGTAATGACATTCTTTCTCTTTTTAAATCATTGTTGGTTTAAAGTATGTTTTGTCTGAAGTTAGAATATCAAACCCTGTTTTTTTTGTTTATTTCTTTTCCATTTGCTTGTTAGGTATTTCTCCATCCCTTTACTTTGAACTTTTGGGTGTCATTGCATGTGAGATGGTTCTCTTGAAGACAGCATAGCTTTGGTTCTTGTTTCTTTATACATCTTGCCACTCTGTGCCTTTTAAGTGTGGCATTTACCCCATTTACATTCTAGGTTAATATTGATATGTGCAGATTTGTTCCTGTCATCGTTGACTGTTGACTGTTTATTATGTAGGCTTAATTATGTAGTTGCTTTATAGTGTCAATGGTCTTTGTACTTAAGTGTGGTTTTGTGGTGGCCAGTAATAATCTTTCCTTTCCATAGTCAGTACTTTTTTAAGGACTTCTTGTAAGGTAGGACTGGTGGTGACAAATTCCCTTAGCATTTGCTTGTCTGAAAAGGATCTTACTTCTCCTTCACTTTTGAAGCTTAGTTTGGCTAGATATGACATTCTTGATTGGAATTTCTTTTCCTTAAGAATACTGACTATATGCCCCAAACCTCTTCTGGCTTGTAGGGTTTCTTCTGAAAGGTCAGCTGTTAGAACTGATGAGTTCCCCTTTGCAGGTGACCTACTCCTTCTCTCTAGCTGTCTTTCATATTTTTTCCCTTCTTGTTGACCTTTGAGAATGTGATGATTATATGTATTGGAGATGGTCATCTTATACAGTATTTCACAGTGGTTATTTGCATTTTCTGAGTTTGAATGTTAGCCTTCTAGCAAGGTTGAAAAAAAATTGTTGGCAATATTCTCAAATATGTTTTCTTTGTTGCTTGCTTTCTCTCCCTCTCCTTCAGGGATGCCAATGAGCTACAGATACATAATCCCATATGTCTCAGAGGTTTTGTTTATTTTTTGTACTTTTTTATTTAGTTTTGTTTGAGTTATTTAAATTATCTGTCTTCAAGCCATGAGATTCTTTCCTCAGCTTGGTCTGTTCTGCTGATTAACACTTGCAATTGTAGTATAAAAATTTTGTAGTGAATTTTTGAGCTCCATCAGTTCAGTTTGGTTCTTTTTTAAATGGCCATGTCGTCTTTCATCTTTTGTATCATTTTATTGGATTCCTTAGATTCCTTGGATTGGGTTTCAACCTTCTCCTGAATCTTGACAATCTTCATTCCTATCCAGATTCTAAAGCCTATGTCTGTCATTTCAAACATTTCAGCTTGGTTAAGAACATATGCTAGGAAACTAGTGCAATCATTCGGAGGTAAGAAAGCTCCCTGGCTTTTTGGGTTGCCAGTGTCCTTGCACTGTTTTTTTTTTTTTTCCCCCTCTTTGTGTGGGTTGATGGTACTTTAGCATTCAAAGTGGCTGTCCTTTGGATTTTTTTTTCTTTTATTTTGCTTTTACATTCTTTGATACTTTTGAGGGTTTGTTTGGGGTAAAAGGTGAGTTCAGTTTGTTGACTTCACTACTGAAAGATTTCAGGGGACCAAGGCTTAGTTCATCATTCTTGGACTGCGGGATATAACCTTTGGGGAAGGGCTGGTACTTGACCCTTGGCATTGTTTTCTGGTCTTTTGAGGTTAGAAACCTGCTGCACTAGGGTGTCTGAGATGTTCCCAGTCAGTCCCCTGGCAATAGCACTCCAATGAAGTGTGCCAGCCATGGTGCTTAGTCAGGGCAGTGGAAGCAGGATCCTTGCCTGTGTGTGCATGCCATCAGGAGCCACTGTGCAGCAGGGTTCTTGTGCATTGGCAGGGGTGGGGCACAGTAGAAGCAGGGTACTGGTGTCTGTGCATGCACTTGTGTTAGCAGTGGCAGAACAGATGGGTGACCACACATCGGTAGGGCCAGGGTACCAGCTTGCAAGGGCTGGGTGGTGGTTTCTGAGCACACTCGTTTGCACCAACAGGGAAAAGGAGATGAGGTCTGCCAGAGTATGTGTACCGGCAAAGTTGTGGGGGGTGTCCGTGGGCAAGTGCATGCCAGCCAAGTGGCAGGAGGAGCCTGTGGTTGGGGGAGGCTCTAAGTAGGTGGTTGTACCTTAGCAGGTTCCAGTCTGCTGGAGCTCTCTGGTAGTCAGGCACAATCTGCCTGTGAAAGTACTATGATGCTTCCTTGGGAAGCACCCTGGTTGGGCATCTGTGTCTAAGCCAGCAGATTGGGGGTGCTCAGAAAAACTGGCACCTTCCCACAAGCAAGACTGCCATCTTCTGTCCAGATGTGGCAGTCACCAAATGCCAAGGCCACTTAGAGGAGCATGGTGAGTCTTAGGAGATGGGTATCCAGGGCTATGCTTCACTGCAGTTGTTCCCACTCCAAACCTGCTGGGCTCCTCACAGGCTGGAGTCCTGTCCCTGCCTCCTTTCCATACAGCTCTCCCTTCCAGATCTAGTGCTCATGAAGGTCATGGGGGTGTCCTGAAGCTGGGATTTCAGAGGTCTATGGCAGCAGCATGCCACTCCTCGCCTGTTTAACTCACCCCTCTCCAAGGAGGCCAGGAATGAGTCCCAGTGCTCAGAAGCCCTGTGCAGTGTTCCCAGTTTCTTTCCCACTCAGCCTAGGTTCTGCATCCTCTCTCCATCCACTCTCCGTGCCTTCTCTCTGAAGATCTGTTCATAGTGTTCTAGTCTTCCTGATAGCCTGGTTTCTCATTGGGAGATGTTTGTCCAGGCTGCATCTAGTTGGCCATCTTGGCTCTTCTCTTCCAAATCTGTAATTTTGAATAGGTGATATGAAATTTGGTGAATGAGTTGAAGTTACAGAGTAGGGAAAATGGCACGACTGTGACTTGTTTTAGTAGCTGTAGAGATAAAAAATTAACCTCTCTGAATATCTCTTTTCTGATCATAAAAAATCTCAGCAGATGATAATTATACCTACCTCGTAAAGCATTGTTGTGATTATTAAACACAATGATGCATTAAAAAGGCTCAATAAATTCTGAGACAAGACTTTCCTCTTATTTGCACAAGATGTCCTCCTACTTACTCAACTGAGCTAAATACCTGAATGGTCTTCATCTGAAATTATGGTTAATAATAATGACCACCATTGAGCAAAACAGCTGATATATTCCTAGTTCTGTGATAGTCACTTGATATACACCATTTCTAATCCACATAGAAACCTGTTAGTTAGGTATTACTCTCTCCCTTTTATAGATGAAGGAAATGAAGCTCAGAGAAGTTAGCTTGCTCAGCATCACACAGCTGACCATATACATGGATTCAAATCTAGATATGTCTGCCTCTAAGCCAGTACATCTTTTCTCTGTAACACTATTTCATTAAACAACTTTAGCATTTAGGGAAAGGGCATTAAGAGGGCAGTGGGTGGTCTATTCTTCTTCTGTAGATACATTGTTTGCCAGCTCAACAAAGGTTAAAGATTTCCTTTCTGATATTGTTGCCTGGGTGAGCAAAAATTAATCTTCAATATTGTGTTCAAATAATTACTTCCATTCCAAATATTTTTTACTTCAGCTTAGTAAGTAGTTGGCCTTATACCTAGAGTAGTGTGTAGATCTATTTTTGTATCATTTATTAAATAACTGGGAAGGTGTCTCTACCGCCAATTTTTCTGTTTACTCACAATTAACTGACACATTTTTAAAGGGACTGCACTGATAGACAATTCACATGGGGCTGAAACTGAGGAGGTTTTGACAAGCTGTCAATGAGGAGATTGGCAAAGAAAGCAAAGGAGAAGACCTTATAAGTGGTAATGAGATGAGAGAAAAGAAAAACAAAAAAAAATAGGCTGTGATGTTGATAATAAACCTTTACACATGCTATTTTGTCTGCCTGGGATATCTTTTCACCTTTCATTACTAACTAAGCAATCCATACATTGTGTAAATAATTTAAATGGTAGATAGGAGAATAAGATAAGAAGTAAAGTTTTTGTCTTTTGTACCCACCCTCTTTCAACCCTGGCCCATCCAAGGTCTTTCCTTAGACATTTGTATATCTTTTCAAATATATTCTACAGGCAGAGAAGCCTATCTATCAATCTATTATGCTTATGAAAATGCCATCATACTACATGTCCTCTTTTGCATTTTTTTAAATCTCTCATGTATTTTGAAAACCTTTCTATGACAATACATATAGACTCACCTCTTTTTTTTTTTTCTTTTTGAGAGAGTCTTGCTCTGTTGCCCAGGCTGGAGTGCAGTAGTATGATCTTGGGTCACTGCAACCTCCACCTTCTGGGTTCAAGAGATTCTGCTGCCTCAGCCTCCCTGAGTAGTTGGGATTACAGGCAACTACTACCACGCCCAGATAATTTTTGTATTTTAGCAGAGATGGGGTTTCACTATGTTGGCTAGGCTGGTCTCAAACTCCTGACCTTAAATGATCCCCCTGCCTCAGCCTTCCAAAGTGCTGTGATTACAGGCGTGAACTACCACACCCAGCGACTCACCTCATTGTTATGGTTGTATAACATGGATGTATCATAGTGAATTCATTTATTCAAATACTTATTTATGGCTGTTTAGATTGGTTCTATTCCTTTTCTATTAAAGCAATCACCATTCCATTCATTTTAAATTCGTGTTCTTATTTTTATCCATATACCATCATTCAACATACAAAATCATACCCATTCCATTCTACATTTTAGCATCTCAAAAGATAGCACTTCATCAAATCAGGATATATACCCATATTCCTTTTCAGTGAATCCTGAAAAGCCCCTACCAAGTACTTTCAGGTGAATTGGTAAAGAAAAAGAAAATGGTTGAAAATAGGATGTGTGCAGTGGCTCACACCTGTTATCCCAGAATTTTGGGAGGCTGATGTGGGAAGATTGCTTGAGTCCGGGGCTTCATGACCAGCCTGTGCAACATGCTGAGACCTCATCTCTACAAAAGACCACCACCACCAACAAAAATATTAGCCGGGCATGGTGGCTCATGCCTATAGTCCTGCTACTCAGGAGCCTGAGGTGGGAGGATCACCTGGGCCTGGGAAGGTCAAGGCTGCAGTGACTCATGATGACACCACTGCACTCCAGCCTGGGCAGCAGAGTGTGATACTGCATCAAAAAAAAAGAAATGAGTGGAAACGACAAATTGGTCCAAAGGATATACTACTTGAAAATGAATATTTCTATTTATTCACAATTTTTTCACCTATTGGTCACATTAACATTCATGTACCATGAAGAATGAGACTTTCTGAAAGTACTGAAAAAGCAATGACCTAAAATTAGAAAAATTTCTTTAATATATATTAGGACCACTCCTAAACTGCAAAAAGTGCCTTGTTGTGTGTACAAGTATAACCACAACCAAAAAATCGAATGAATTCAACAAAATGATTGTGCCTTTACAATCAGTTTATGTCAACCAGATGACCCTTTGGTTCACTTTTATTTATGTTTTAATTATAAAATGTGTCCACTGTTCATATTTAAATACAGAAATGTATAAAGATAAAAAGTGAAAGTGTTTTCTCTCTGCTAATCTTAATCTGTTTAATGTCGCTGTATTAGTCCATCTTCACACTGCTATAAAGAACTACTTGCGACTGGGTAATTATAAAGAAAAAGGGTTTAATTGACTCACAGTTCTGTATGGCTGGGGAGTCCTCAGGAAAATTACAATCATGGGAGAAGTCTAACGGGAAACAAGGCACGTCTTACATGGTGGTAGGATAGAGAGAGCATGCAGGGGAAACTGCCACTTTTAAACTACCACATCTTATAAAAACTCCCTCACTATCATGACAGCAGCATGGAGGAAACCACCCCCATAATGCAGTCACCTCCCACCAGGTCGGTCCCTCCCTCCACATGTGGAAATTACTATTTGAGATGAGATTTGGGTAGGGACACAGAGTCAAATCATATCAGTGAATATAGCAGAATGCTTCAGGCTGGGTAATTTATAAAGGAAACAGATTTGTTTGGCTCACAATTCTGGTGCCAGGGAAGTCCAATAGGATGGCATTGGCAGCTGCTCAGTTTCTAGTGAGGGCCTTGTGCTAAATTACAACATGGTGGAGAAGTAGAAGCATGCATGCCAAAAAGACCAAACATAAGAGGCAACCTTGCTTTATAACAATGTGCTCCCTGGGGAAATAAATCAATTCCCGCAAGAACTAACACTGTCTTCTGTGAAAGAGAATCTATCTTAACAACCTAATCAGTTCTTAAAGGCACCACCCCCTCATTAACATCATATTGGGAACCAAGCTTTAACATGAGTTTTGGTAGGAGGAAAACATATTCAAACCATAACACTGCTTGTATAAACAATCCTGCTCTCTTGAAATCACTGCTGATGAAAGTTTGGTCTATAACTTTTTAGAATGTTCTTCTAGGCTTATAGAAATAACCTGTCATGAGTCATGTGATATAGTTTAGGTATGTTCACATGCTGAAATGTAATCCACAGTGTTGGAAGCAGGGCCTGGTGGGACGTATTTGGGTCATGGTGGCAGATCTATTATGAATAAATATATGTTTTTTCTGTAAAGACTGGGGGGCTTATGAGAGTAAGAGTTATATTTTGTTTATTTGTTTATTAGAAGGTCAAATATCACTGTGTTTACATCTCCAGTTAAAGTCTATTACATCCACTTTTATTGCATGCATGCTACTGGATGCGATGGCCAGAGAGTGGAAGTCGGATTTGTATGAAGGAGAAGGAACAATATCTGGTAATTGGTTGAAGACTGGGCACTGATAAAGGAGCAGCAGTAAGATGCATAGTGGAAAAGAAGATTCAGCAGAATCTATGAATCAGAGCCACAGAAAATTAGCAAAAACTTAAATTCCCAGGATATGCAGAAATATCAGATTAATATATTAGAGTCCCATGACAACTGTCCTTTTAAGGCAAATTTACCAGGACCATAAGGGGAGGGTAATTCCAGTTGACATCTAGATGTCAATGAGAACTAAATGATATGCTTTAAATTTTGAAAATGATCCATTTAAGGTAAATATAAACAAGAACAAAGGGATGTAGACTGCTATTTTATGTAGGCCATGTTTATTTTGTCTACCACTTTAACTTGCATATGTTAAGCAATATGCTAAATATCTGCTTAATGAAAAAACAGGAAGTGAAGGAGGGAAGGAAGAAAGGAAAGAATGAAGGGAGAGAGGGAGGGAGGAGCTAGGGAATGTAACTTATGGAAAACATTTTGAACAGGGCTTTAGTCTAGAGTAAAAAAAAAAGGTCCAATTAGAAAGATTTATTTAGGGATTTGGGGAATGCCATGAAGTGTTAGGTACAACCCTAATTTATGAATGTAAGATTATGTTGTTTAATAACATATCCCTCAGTGGTCCTCTAAAACAAAATTGAGCATTGTCCCAAATTCATTTATTCATGCATTTTCTAAATATTTTTAAACATCCACTGTGCAGGAAGTGTTCTCTAAATGTTGTGGAGGACAAGTGGTCTTTGCCTTTAAGGAGTTTGTAATCTAGGCCTACACACACGTGCACACAATTTAAATGGTTTAAGAGAACAAAACAGCAGTGAGCCACAGTAAGAAAAAAAAACCCAAAAAACATGAGTTTTCAAGTAAGACAGATATAACTTAAGATCCTGTCTAGCCATGTGAACAGCTCACAGTTCAGCAAACTTTTTTTCTGTGAAGGAGCACATAGTAAATACATGTATTTTTGGGTTTGCAGGTCACATATGGTCTCTTTCACATATTATTTATTTTAATTTACAACTATTTAAAAATATAAAACCAATCTTAACTCACAAACCATACAAAAACAGTCTTGAGGTTATATTTGACCAGAGATATTAGTTTGCTGGCTTTTGCTATAGATGATAAAATACTGTAGGATCTCAAGAAGGATACTAGCTAGTATGGTGAGTTTCTTCTAAAAGGCGATAACTTGAACTCAGTCTTAGAGAATAAATGGATCATAAATCTAATTTGCAGTGGTAATTCTTTTATCCCTAGAGCAAACAATATAAATGCTACACAACGTGTAACTCTGAAAAATGTATGGGCTACCAACTGTAAGTAACTAGAAACAGAATTTAGGAGGTAGTTTTTAATGCTTTGGATACTCCATGAGTTTCCTGAACCTACAGATGGGAACAGCACTCTGATTTTCACTCCTTCTGTGAGCTTACCCATAATAATTTTTCTCTAAATGCTAACAGTTAAAAAAAATTTTTATAAGGATCAAAAATTGAGAACCCAGCATATTTGAAAAAATAGCACATACATAACAATTATTGCTAACATTGTACTTAGTGCTGTGTGCCAAATGATATTCAAAATGACTAACATTCATTAACTCATTTGATCCTTACAATAACATTATGATAAAGATACTATTATTATCACCAGCCATTTTACAGATAAGAAACTGGGGCTTAAAGAGTTTAGGCAAATTACCCAATGTCTCACAGTTAGACAAATCTAAAGGTGTGATTTAAGCATAGGTAGTGTGACTCCAGATCCTATATTCTTAGCACACTTCTTCTAGTGGGCTCTAGAGTTTTAGGCAGATGAGATTGAAACTCAGTTTTATAAAATTAAAAAATAAAATTAATATAATTTCAGTCATATGAGTTGTGTATCAATACATTTCAAAGGATACACTGAAGTAAGACAATTTGTTTGTCTATCCAGAATTTTTGTGTTGTTTCATCGACATATACAGCAGATGCTAAATACTGTTGGGGGGTACCATAATCTTCTAATGCAGGCAGTAATGTCATGCTCATTTTACACCTGAGGAAACTAAAATGTAGAGAGATAAGGCAACTTATTCAAGGTAACATAGCTAGTCAATTGGCAGACCTAGAAATGGATCCCAAGCCTATCTGGTGCTGGACCCAAGTTTCAACCATCTTACGTATTACCTACAAAAAAATATACTCTAGTTGAAAAGATAAGAGATATAGCTAAGAAATTATTACTAACAATACCAAATGACATTTATAAAATGAGCTGAATAGACATTAAGTGTTGTGAAAATTCAAAGGAAGGCACTTTGGACTGGAGTGGACACAGAGAAGGTAGTGATGTTAATTTTTATGCCATTCAGTCCATAACAAAGCACAAATTGTGAGTTGAGAGTGGTATAGGGAAGCAAAAATACTATAAAGATACTTGATGATTTGAGACAATGACACAGCAGAAAAAGTTGTTTCTGCTGTAATTTTTTATTATGGAAAAATCTACACTAACAGTAAATGTTCAGACAATGAAGAACCAAAGAAAGGAATTGGGAAGTAACAACTGAAATCTACCTCCAAATGGTTACAAAATGAATCATATTAATAGCACTGGGCAAGAGAGATAAAGATGATACTACTTTGCTGCAATAATAGGCTTTCATACAATAGCAAAAAAAATTAGAATGATTAATGGGTGATTTTTACAAAAGAAACACTTGCTGTGTGGATACTGTCAGCATTTAACAGTATGCTTGTAATTTAACAGTTTTCATGCTATAGAAACCTGTTTGGTTTCTGTTCTAATAATTTTCTTAGAATATTAAAAATGTCACCATATTTTATACATCATTTTTCTTATAATTATCTATTTTGTGGCATGCTATATTTTGTTTTTCAGCCTCATAAATAAATATAATTTAATAATGTCTCTAAAATATGCCATTATCATCCATCAAGAAGTATGATATTATCTTGTCCCATTCATTTCTCTGGCATTCTATTGAAAACTATGTTTGATTTCTTTAGCAATTCCTGATAAGACAGATATTTTTCTTTATATTAGAAGGTCATTACAAATCTATGAGTAGATTAATGAAACTGCTAATTTTCCTGTCAAGAGAGGGCCACAGCTGTATCTGAAAGAGGTGTACTAATGGCATGGCACTAATGCAATTTCACAAACGACTTAATGGAGCACATAAAGCATATTTCCTTTATTAAATACCCATAGCCATAGCATGAAGTCATATCTTGCTTTACAGGCTGTGAAAAATATTTTTAATCAACTAAAAGATGAAGAGACTCTTCAAGGTTATGCAGATTAAGTTATAAAAACCCTGAAATGCATAATCCTCAATGAGTGTTTAGGAAGTAAATTTTCAATCAGAGATATTTGTTTAGATTGACAACATTTGTGAGTTTTTTAAGTTTCCAAGAGGATTTTAGAGAAAAAATTAAAATGTGAATATCATTTTTTAAAACCAAAATAGGGAAAATGCAAAGTTGTTCAAGGCTTATGCTCATTAAAAATATCTACTGAACTGTCCTTTTCACAGTAAAAAGACTCAAAGGAATCTAATATCACTGTGATCCTATATTTATGAGTCTTCTTCCAGTCTGGATCACAGCACAATTATAGCTATAGTTGTTTTTGTTTGTGTGTTTTAAATTTCCTGACCACCTACAAATATTTCTCAATGTGCTTGGTACAGTGGCCATCACTTTTATCTCCTTAGTGGTAAGGTATCAAAATACCTTTAGGTGCCAACTTTCTTCCCAGGAGATAAAGAACCATGTATATTTCATTGATTCATTAACTTAACAACTCAACAAATATTTTAGCTTTTATTATATGCTGGGCACTCTGTTAGGTGTTAGAGTTATAATGGGGTTCAAAATACTTCTAATAATAGACAAAGGTGTAGCTCTTTGTGACACTAAGGAAAGTGTCCCAAAGGAAATTTGCTATGTCTTTGATTGAGAATGAATCAGACAGACCTTCTGTCTCCTTAATAAATAATTGGAGGAGAAGGCATGTTATGGTTTGAATGTGTCCTCCCAAAAGCATGTGTTGGAAATGTATTCCCCGATGAAACAGTGTTGGGAGGTGGGATTTAATGGGAGATGTTTAAGTGATGAGGGTTCCACCATCATGAGTGAATTAATGCCAATTATGAAAGGAATTGAGGTTCTGAGTTCAGTATCTTCATCTCTCTTCAGTCTCTATTACCCTCTATTTGACTTCTTGTCATGGGATGACACAAGAAGGCCCTCACCAGATGTCAGTCCCCCAGTCTTGGACTTCTCAGCCTTCAGAACTGTATGAAATAAATCTCTGTTCTTTATAAATTACCCAATCTGTGGTATTCTATTATAGTAGCACAGAATGGACTTAAATAAAGTGGCAGTTTTACCTTGGGAAGAAATTATGCAAGAACTGGGAAACTGGAACTTAAGACAGAGTTCAGGGAGTTAGATGTGGCTGGAATTAAGCTATGGGCCTCTAATCAGGAGGTTGGAGTAAAGGTCAAAGAGCTTCCAGTAATCTGAGATTAGAGGCAAACTGAGGCTCTGTCATCCACGGAATCAATATCCATGAACTCTGCTTTACCTTGTGTATTTTCAAACTCTTATCTTGCCCCCTATAATAAATAATCATAGGCAGCATGATGAGTGTCAATGGTCAGAAAATTGAAGACCCTGAACCACTATAAAGTCTTCATCCAGGAATGATTAAAATTATTTTCAATATACTATTCATCCCAAAGCAGGAGAAACAAACCTTCAATTATGGGTGAAACCAAAATCAGTTTCTGCTTTAAATTAAAATATTCTCAGAACTCCATCAGGGTCACAAGATCTGAATGTTGGTCCCAGCTGCATTACTTCTGAACTGTGTGATCTTGTGCTTATTATATAACTTCCTGGAGATGCAGATTTTATTTGTAAAAAGAAGACACTGAAAATCAGCCCTACCTACATTTGCGATTGTGCTTAAAGAATCCACCGATGTTAAATATAAGAGCATTTTAAAAGTTCAGCAATATACAAATGTTAAGGAATATTTATTTGAGAATCTATCAAGCTCTGATTATAAGGTAAGCCTGCCTTAGTACTTGGACAGAAAGCTTCTTAACAGCCTGGGCTGAAAGTAACTGCAGGAGTGGAAAGTAGTTTTAGAGTTTACAGTAAAACTGAAAATGACAGATATTTTTATATTATTATGCAGGAGATGGAATTGCCAATTTATCAGGCAAGTTTAGGACTACTTCTTTCACTCTCGATAAATAAACTACGTGCTGAACTCTATATAAATACATTGTTTATAAAGAATGAAAAGCATTTAGATCTGTTCTGGGCTGCTGTGCCCTCTTTATAAAAGGTGTTTTGTCTAGTAGGTTGAAATTAAAGCCTTTGTACCGTATAAGATACGGAAATGCATTATCTACTCAATACAGGAGGACAGAAATAAAGGCCAGAGACCTAGTTTATGATTTCCAGTTAATGGTCTCCACCACTAAGATTTTGCACCATGGAAAGCATAGCAGTATATTCAGAATAAAAACAAAAGCAACAAAATCAAAAAGTGGACTTTTATCTAACCCAAAGATGACAACAGATGTTCTTCTGGGACATAAATATTTATAAAATGCTTATGATTCCCTCCTTTGTCTCACCTTGACTTTTAAAAATTTATACGTAATAAGTTCACCTATTCTTTACAAATCCATAGAGTCATATAACCATCACCAAGATGAACATACAGAATAATTTCTACATTCCAGAAGAATCCTTGTGCTATGTCTTTGTAAGCAAACACTTCTTCCTCCCACATTTAACCCCAGGCAATCCATTTGGTGCCCTTACAATTTTGTCTTTTCCAGGATGACATATACATCTAATCATACCTTGTATGTAGCTTTTTGATACTTGTTTTTTTTTTTTTACTCAGAATATATGTATTTGAGATTTATATGTTGTTGAATATATCAGTATTTTTTTATGGCTCAGTAGTGTCCCATTGCATGAGTGCACCACAGTTTGTTTATACATTCATCTGCAGGTGGACATTTGGCCATTTCCAGTTTTTGCTGATCATGAAAAAAACTGCTATAAACATTCTCATTCTGGCTTTCATGTAAACATAAGTTTGCATTTCTCTTGGATAAATACATAGGAGTAGGATCGCTAGGTCAAATGGGAAGTGTGTATTTATTGTTATCAGGAACTACCAAATTGTTTTCTAAAGTAGCTGTATCATTTTCCATTCCCATCAGCAATGCTAGACAGTTCCAGTTGCTCTACTCCTCTCCAAAAATTTGGTATTGTCATTATAATAGGTGGGTAGTGCCATCTCATCATGATAGTTTTTTTCTAATTTATTTATTTATTTAAATTGCCATATAAAAATGTATTAACCTATTGTGTATAATGTTATAAAGTACATATACATTGTTAAATTGTTAAATCCAGCTAAGTAATGAATGTATCACCTCACATAGTTATCATTTTTGAGGTGAGACCATCTAACACCCACTCTCTTAACATTTTTCAAGAATATATTGTCATTAACTATGGTCATCGTGCTGCATAACAGACCACTTGAATGTATTCTTCCTATCTAAATGCAATTGTGCGTCATTAGACCAACATCTCAACATCCACCTTTCTCCTAACCATCCTAGTCTCTGGTCACTACCATTCCACTCTCTACTTCTATGACACCAACTTTTTTGGATTCCACATATGAGTGAGGTTATGTTGTATTTGTCTTTCTCTGCCTGACTTATTTCACTTAACAGAATGTCTTTCAGGATCTTCCACATTTTCACAGATGAAAGGATTTCCTTCTCTTTTAAAGCTGAGTAATATTCCATTGTACATATGTGCCGTATTTTCTTTGTCCATTCATCTGTTGATGGACACTGAGGTTGATTCCATATCTTTTCTGTTGTGAACAGTGTTGCAATAAACCTAGGAGTGCAGATATCTATTTGACATGATGATTTCATTTCCTTAGGATACATACTCTCACCACCGGGATTGCTGGATTATGTAGTACTTCTAATTTTAATTTTTTGAAAAACCTCCATACTGTTTTTCTATAATGGCTTTATTAACTTACATTCCCACCAACATTGAGCAAGGGATTATTTTTCTCCACATCCTCAATTACACTTTTTATCTTTTGTCATGATGATAACATCCATTCTAACAGAAGTGAGTTAATATCTGATTGTGGTTTTGATTTGCATTTCTTTGATGATCAGTGATGCTGAGCACTTTTTCATATACCTCTTGGCAATTTGTATGTTTTCTTTTGAGAAAGGCCAGTTCCTCTTTAAGTGTTTGGTAGAACTCAGCGGTGAAGGCATTAGGTCCAGGGCTTTTCTTTGATAGAAGACACTTCATTACAGATTAATTCTCCTTAGTAACTACTGGCATGTTCAGGTTTCCTATTTCTTTATAATTTAATCTTCGTAGGTTTTATGTGTCCAGGAATGTTTCCATTTCTTCTAGGGTATCAAATTTGTTGGTGCATAATAGTTCCTAATTGTCTCTTATAATCCTGTGTATTTGTGTGGTATCATTTGTTACGACTCCTTTTTCAGCTTTGATTTTATTAGCTTGGTGCAAAAGTAATTGCAGTTTTGTACCATGAATTAAAATGATTTAAAAATCATTATAACTATGCTCAAACACATCTTTAGTAATCAAAATGGGAACCATTACAATTAACACATTTTTGCCAACAAAAAATAAGTTTGTTTATTTCTGTAGTAAAAAATTTGTGCTTTGGAATTCCACGAACTCTTGGAAAGCATTTTCTACATGCTGCTGGTTTTAGAAGCGTTTTCCCTGCAAAAGGTAGTTGAGATTCTTGAAGAAGTGGTTGTCAGTTGGTGAGAGGTCAGGTGAATATAGCAGATGAGGCAAAACTTCATAGCCCAATTCATTCAACTTTTGAAGCATTGGTTGTGCAGTGTGCGGTCACGTGTTGTCATGAAGAAGAATGGGGCCCTTTCTGTTGACCAGTGCCAGCTGCAGGTAGTGCAGTTTTTGGTGCATCTCATAGTTTTGCTGAGCATACATCTCAGATGTAATGGTTTTAATGGGATTCAGTAAGCTGTAGTGGATCAGACCAGCAGCAGGCCACCAGAGTGACCACCAAACAGTGACTGTCTTTTGGTGCAAGTTTGGCTTTGGGAAGTGCTTTGGAACTTCTTCTCAGTCCAAAAACTGAGCTGGTTGTTGCCAGTTGTATAAAATCCACTTTTCATCACACATCACAATCCAATCGAGAAATGGTTTGTTGTTGTTGCATAGAACAAGAGAAGATGATACTTAAAAATTATTATTATTTTTTTTAATTTTCAGGCAGCTCATGAGGCACCCACTTATTGAGCTTTTTTTCACCTTCCCAGTTGGCTTTAAATGCCAAATGACTGGAGAGGGTTGACATTGAGTTCTTTGGCAACTTCTTGTGTAGTTGTAAGAAAATCCGCTTTGATGATTGCTCTCAATTGGTTGTTGTCAACTTCTGATGGCCAGCCACTATGTTCCTCATCTTCATGTTTTTCATCTCCTTTGCAAAACTTCTTGAGCCACCACTGCACTGTACGTTCGTTAGCAGTTCCTGGGCCAAATGCGTTGTTGATGTTGCAAGTTATCTCTGCTGCTTTACGACCCATTTTGAACTTGAATAAGAAAATTATTTGAATTTGCTTTGTGTCTAACATTATTCCCATAGTCTAAAATAAACATAAAATAAGCAGCAAGTAATGTCATTAGCAACACACAAAAAAGTGAGAAATGCGCATTAAAATGATGTATAACATAACCACATTTATTTAATAATGTATTTTAATATCAAAAGTCAAATTCCAAAAAACGCAAAAGCTGCAATTACTTTTGCACTAACTTAACATTTTAATCTTTTCTATTTTCCAATCAGGTGGTATAACTAAAAGTGTTAATTTTATCTTTTCAAAAAACGTACTATTTTCTTGAATTTTAAAATTGCTTTTACCTTTATTTTATTTATTGTTACCATGATCTTTATTATTTCCTTGCTCCTACTAACTGTGGGCTTAGCTTGTTTATGGTTTTCTAATTTCTTAAGGAGCAGCATCAAAATTTTTTTTAGATCTTTCTTATTTTTGATGTAGGCCTTTATTGCTATAAACTTCCCTCTTAAAACTGATTTTATTGTATTACATAGATTTTGGTGGATGGTGTTTCCATTGTCATTTTTCTCCAGAAATTTTTAAATATCCCTTTAAATTTCTTCTTTGACCTATTGTTTGTTCAGAAGCAAGTTGTTTATATATTGTGAATTTTCAAAAATTCCTCTTCTGATTGATTTCTAGTGATACTATTGTGGTCAGAAAAGATACTTGGTATGATTTCAGTTTCTCTTAATTTGTAAAAAAAATTCGTAGCATAACGTATTATTTATATTGGAGAAAGTGCAGTTGAGAAGCATGTGTGTTCTTACAGCTGTTCAATGGAATGTTCTGCATATGCCTGCTAGGTCCATTTGGTCTAAAGGGTGATTTAAGTCCAATGTTTCCTTGTTGATTTTCTGTCTGAATAACCTGTCCATTGCTGAAAGTGGGATATTTAGGTCCCCTACTATAATTGTATTTCAGGCTCTCTTTCCTTCACATCCATTAAAATTTGTTTTATATATTCCAGTGCTCTAATATTGGATGTATATATATTTATAATTATTATGTCTTTTTGCTAAATTGAATCCTTTATGATTATATAATGACCATTTTTTTTGTCCTTTCACAGTTTTTGACTTAAAGTCTCTTTTATCTGTTATATCTATTCCTGCTCCCTTTCAGTTTTCATTTTCAATAGAGTATCCACTTCCATCCTTTCAGTTTTACTCTATCTCCGTCCTTACAAGTGAAGTAATCCTCTTAAAGGCAATACATAGTTTGACCTGTCATTTTTAATCCAATCGGTCACTCTACAGGTTGATTGGAGAATTTAATCTATTTACACTCAAGGTAATTATAGATAGCTAAGAAGTCATTATTGCTATTTAATTAATTGTTTACTAGTTGTTTTGTAGATTCTTGTTCTTTTCTCACATAATGTCTTGCTTTATAAGTAAGTGATTTTTCTCTAATTATATGTTAAAATTCTTTGCTTTTTATTTTCAGAGAATCGATCATAGGTTTTTTTTTGTGATTACCATGAAGCTTACATAAAACATAGTATAGTTATCACAGTTTATGTTAAGCTAATAATAATTTAACTTTGATTGAAAATGTAAAAACATGACACTTTTACTCTATTTCCACCTCCTACACATTTGAAATTTTTGATGCCATGATTTACATGTTTTTATATTGCATATTTTATTTTTATACTTATTTGTAATATATTTTTATCTTTCATATTAAAAATAATTTATACACTGTCATAGCAGTATTAGAGAGTCTTGAATTTGCCTGTTTATTTACTTTTACCAGTGAATTTTATACTTTCAGATGTTTTCGTGTTACTCATTGTAATCCTTTGTCTCTTCTTAAATAACTTTAGCATGTGTCATAAGGTACATCTAGTCATGATGAACTCTCAGCTTCTGTTTGTCTGGTAAAGTTTTTATTTCTTCTTTCTTCTTTTTTTTCTTCAACTTTTATCACTTTTATTTTAAGTTTTGGGGTACATATGCAGGATGTGCAGGTTTGTTACATAGGTAAACATGTGCCATGGTGGTTAGCTGCACTGATCAACCCATCACATAGTTATTAAGCCCAACATCTGTTAGTTATTCTTCCTGATGCTCTCTCTCTCCCCACGCCCCTAGTCATTAGGCACCAGTGTGTGTTGTTCCTGCTGATGTGTCCATATGTTCTCATTGTTCAGCTCCCACTTATAAGTGAGAACATGCAATATTTGTTTTTCTGTTCCTGCATTAGTTTGCTGAGGATAACAGCTTCCAGCTCCATCCATGTCCCTGCAAAGGACATGATCTCGTTCTTTTGTATGGTTGCATAGTATTCCATGGTGTATATGTACCACATGTTCTTTATCCAGTCTATCATTGATAGGCATTTGGGTTGATTCCATGTCTTTGCTGTTATGAATAGTGCCAATGAACATACATGTGTACATATCTTTATAAAGCTATCCTTCAGAAATAAATAAGAAATATATCCAAAGGAATATTGTATTAGTTTTTTCTCGTGCTGCTGTGAAGAAATACTCAAAACTGGGAAATTCATAAAGGAAAGAGGTTTAATTGAGTCACAGTTCTGCATGGCTGAGAAGGCCTCAGAAAACTTACAATTATGGCAGAAGGGGAAGAAAACATGTCCTTCACAAGGCAGCAGGAGGTAGAAGAATGAGAACCAAGCCAAGGGGAAGACTCATATAAAATCATCAGATCTCGTGAAAACTTACTCTCATGAGAATAGCAGGGGGGAAACTGCCCCATCATTCAGTTACGTCCTACCTGGCCCCTCCCACCAACGTGGGGATTATGGAAACTACAATTCAAGATGAGATTTGGGTGGGGACACAGCCAAACCATATCATCCCATGCCTGACCCCTCCAAAATCTCATGTCCTCACATTTCAAAACACAATCATACCTTTCCAACAGTCACCCAGAGTCTTAGCTCATTCCATCATTAACCCAAAATTCCAAGCCCAAAGTCTCATCTGAGACAAGGCAAGTCCCTTCCACCTATGACACTGTAAAATCAAAAGCAAGTTAGTTACTTGCTAGATACAAGTGATGTACAGGCATTGGGTAAATACACCCATTGCAAATAGGAGAAATTGGCCAAAACAAAGGGGTTACAAGCCCCTTGCAAGTCTGAAATCCAATGAGGCAGTAATTAAATCTGAAAGCTCCAGAATAATCTTTGACTTTATGTCTCACATCCAGGTCATGCTGATGAAAGAGGTGGACTCCCATTGTCGTGGGCAGCTCCACTCCCGTGGCTTTGCACAGTACAACCCTCCTCTGGGCTGCTTTCATTGGCTGGTGTTGAGTGTCTGAGGCTTTTCCAGGCACATGGTGCAAGCTGTCAGTGGAACTATCATTCTGGGGTCTGGAGGATGGTGTCTCTCTTCTCACAGCTCCACTAGGCAGTGCCCCAGCGGAGACTCTGTGTGAGGGCTCCAAATCCACATTTCCCTTCTGCACTCCTGTGATGGTTAATATGGAGTGTCAACTTGATAGGATAGTTTTGGAACTTGGATTGGCTCTCCTTGCTCCTCAGCTTGCAGATGGCCTATTGTGGGACCATGTGTTACCTAATTATTTTTTTCTCAGTGCGTGGCTTGTATTTTCATCCTCTTAGTAGAGTTGCTTCCAGAGATAAAGATTTTAATTTTGATGAAGTCCAAATTGTTAATTCATTAATTTAAATTTATTGTGTTTTGGTGTTGAATCTAAGAATTATTTGACAGATCCCCCCCACAAATATTTTGCTCCTGTTTTCTGCAAAAAGTTTTGTACTTTCTCATTTTAGATTTAAGTTTCTAATTCTTTTTGTATTAATGTTTATATAAGATGTGAGTAATAGAAATTCATATTTTGGATAAGGATATTTAGTTGTTCCAGAACCATTTACTGAAAAGTTCCACTGTTAGGTGAATGCAGAATTAGAATTGTTATTTCTTCTTGATGGAGTGACCCTTATTACTCTTATGTAATGTCCCTCTTTATTTCTGCTAATGTTCCTTATATGTGAGTCTACTTTGTCTCATATCAATATAGTTACTACACCTCTTTTTTATACTTGTGTTTGCCTGATATTTGTTTTTTTAGCTTTTTATTTTTAACCTATCAATGTCTTCTTATTTAAAGTGGGTTTCTTATAGAAAGCATATAGTTAGGTCTTGATTTTTTAAATGAGTCTGGTAATCTCCGTGTTTTAGTTTGTGTTCTCATGCCATTTAAATTTAATTTAATTATTTTTTGCTTGTGTTAGGACTATTACTTGATTCTTTCTTCTTGTTTTTTTTTTTGTTTCTCTGATCTTCATTTCCTGTCTTCTTTTTGATTATTTGCATACCATTTAGTATTTCATTTTAATTCATCTATTTTCTTTTGCCCATATACATTCATATTTTTAGTGGTTTCTCAAATTACTAAAATATGTATATTTATATTTTCAAATTTTATTTCACATAAATATTTTACCACTTTAAGTAAAATGTAGATGATTTTAAGCCATAGAATGCTCTTTTTTCTTTGTCCCTGATGTTCTAGTTGCCATATGCATTTTATTTACATGTATTGATACCCTCCCACAGGCAAAGTTATTGCTTTCAAGAGTCACACATATTTTAAAGAATTTAAGTGGAAAAATGCTTTATTACAGTTTGCCTAAATATTTATCATTTCTGTCAATTCTCTCATTCTTGATGTTCTAAATTTCCCTCTGGTATTAATTCTCTCTAGCCTGAAGAACTTCTTTTAGCATTTCTATAAACTCAAATCCACTGATGACAAGTTCTCTTAGTTTATGTTATTTGAAAAATGCCTGTAACTTTGCTGGATATAGAATTCAAGGTTGATATTTATTTTCTTTTAGGCTTTCAATGCTGTTTTTTAACTCTATTTTTGCCTCTGTGGTTTCTGATAAGAAATCCACAATTATACAAATGGCTGTTTTCTTATATATAATGTTGTATTTTTCTCTGCTTTTAAAATATTTTAATCTTTGATTTTAATCAGTTTGATTATGATGTATTTGGTCATGGTTTTCTTTGAGTTTATTCTGTTGGAGGTATCCAGTACTTCTTGAATATGTGAATTAATTAATTAATTAATTTATTTATTTTGAGATGGAGTCTCGCTCTATTGCCCAGGCTAGAGTGTGATGGCATAATCTCGGCTCACTGCAATCTCCACCTCCCAGGTTCAAGCGATTCTCCTGCCTCAGCCTCCCAAGTAGCTGGGATTACAGGTGCACATCACCATGCTCAGCTAATTTTTTGTATTTTTAGTAGAGTCGGGGCTTCACCATGATGGCCAAACTGGTTTTGAACTCCTGACCTCAAGTGATCCACCCGCCTTGGCCTCCCAAAGTGCTAGGATTATAGGTGTGAGCCACCGCACCTGGCCAATATGTGAATTTATATGTATTTAATCAAATTTGAAAAGTTTTCAGCTATTATTTTCTTCAAGAGTGTTTTATGTACTAATCTTTTCCTCTTTTCTTTCGGAGACTTCATGAACACAAATGTTAGGGTTTTGATATTGTCCAAAAGGTCCCTGAAGCTCTGTTCATTTTGTTGAAATTTGTTTTTCTCTGTTACTCAGATTATATAATATTTAATCATCTTCAAAATACTTAATAGTTTCTTTGTCCTCTCCATTTTCTTATTGTGCCCATCGCAATGAAGTTTTTATTTTAGATATCAGATTTTTCAGTTTCAAAAAAAAATTTTTTATTTTGTTATAATATCTGATCATTTGATTAAAACTTTTATTATTTCTTTAATGTGAAAAGTGTATATGTTACCTTGTGATGGATGATTATAATTTCTTTATTTGATAACTCCAACATGTGGTTTATCTTGGGAGTGGCATCTTTTGATTGTCTTTACCCTTCAGAATTGGCCAGATTTCCTTGTTGTTGTTGTTATGGCATGTACTTTGGGATTGTATCCTTGGAATCTTGAATGTTATTTTGTGAGAGTACAGATCTTCCTAAAATCTAGTTGAGAAAGTTAATTCTGTTAGCTTATTAGCTTACCACAATTGTGTTCAGACTGCCAGGTCTGTCTTGCTTTATGTGAATGGTAGCTTCAATGTCATTTCATTTTCTCTAGCCTTTGCTATTCTGTTTGAGTCTGACCATCCCATGTACCACTCACCAGTTACTCTGGGACTCAGGTTGTCAGATATTGTATTTCTCTTCTCAAAACTTCTGCAGTGTTACTCTATGTTGCTCTATGTCTGTTCTTTTCATGCACAGATTCAGGTGAGCTTGGGACTTAAGTCAGTTACTTCACAGAATTAGGTGGTCTCCTATTCCAGTTCTCTTCTCAGAGGCCTTCTCACCATATTCCCCAGCTCCCAAGAGCCACTTACACCAGTTTATCTGGCTAGAAAGAAAGGTTTTTTTTGTGGAGGGAGGGTTAGCATTCTGCGCTGTTGTGCATCTTTTCAACTTGGCTGCATTTGGAGTAAAGTGGCAATAAAAAAGAAAGAGAAAACAAATAAAAAAGGATATTTCATACACTCTTATTTGCATAAATTTAAGGGTTATAAGTAAAGTTTTGTTACATGGAAATATTGTCTAGTGGTAAAGTCTGGGCTTTTAGAGTAACCATCACCCAAATAATGTATATTGTAACCACTGAGTAATTTCTCATCTTTCATCCCCTACCACCCTTCTGAGTCTTCAGTGTCCATTATTCTACACTCCAAGTCTATGTATACACATTATTTAGAGCCCATTTATCAGTGAAGATATGCAGTATTTGTCTTCCTGTTTCTGATTGTTTCTCTTAAGATAATGAATCAGGACAAAGTATCACATTGTTCAAAGCGTTTATGAACAATGTGACACTTTGTCCTTATTCCTCTATCGAGAGAGCTCTTTCCTTGGAGTTTTAGATGGTGAGGCTGCTGCCACCACAGCAGTGCAACTTAGGGCATAGAAGTTTACCCAGGGTCAAGAATAAAGAGAAAAGAGTTATAAAAATGTAAAACAAGGCGGGCGGGGCGCAGTGGCTCACGCCTGTAATCCCAGCACTTTGGGAGGCCAAGGTGGGCGGATCACGAGGTCAGGAGATTGCGACTATCATGGCTAACACGGTGAAACCCAGTCTCTACTAAAAAATACAAAAAATTAGCCGGGCATGGTGGCGGGCGCCTGTAGTCCCAGCTACTCGGGAGGCTGAGGCAGGAGAATGGCGTGAACCCAGGAGGCGGAGCTTGCAGTGAGCGGAGATCGAGCCACTGCACTCCAGCCTGGGCGACTGAGCGAGACTCTGTCTGAAAAAAAAAAAAAAAATGTAAAACAAAATATGGGATTAAAAACAAGGAAATACCACTACATACCTATTAGGATGGCTAAAATAAAAAATATATATATTTGATAATATCAACTGCTAGTGAGAATACAGAACAGTAAGGACTGTCATCAACGAAATGTGGGAGTGCAAAAGGGTGCAATCACTTTGAAAGATAGTTTGGTAGTGTCTTACAAAGATAAATATAGTCTGGTAATATGATCCAGCAATTATACTTCTTGGTATTTATCTAAATGATATGAACTTACATCCCCACAAAAGCCTTCACATGAATGTTTATAGCAGCCTTATTTATAATTGCCAAAATGTGAAAGCAACTAATATGTTCTTAAATAGGTGAATGGATGAACAAATTTTGGTACATTCATACATTAAAATGTAGTGATGTTTTAAAGAAAGTGAACTCTCAAATCACAAAATCATAGATGAACATTAAATGCACACTGCTAAGTGAAACAATTCAGTCTGAAAAGGTTACATATTCTATGATTCTAATTACATGACATTCTAGAAAAAGCAAAACTATAGACAGTAAAAAAGATTAGTGGATGTTGGAGGTGGAGCAATATGGCTAAATAGAAGCATCCAACAATCATTCCATGCTCCAAGGAACACCAAATTTAACAACTATACATACAAAAAAGAGTACCTTCGTAAAAAACAAAAATTAGGTGAGCAATTACCTTACCAGTTTTTAACATCATATTAAATAAAGTGGCACTGAAAAGCATAAGATAGTCTTGAACTGTCTACACCTCACCTCCCCTACCCGCTAGCAGTAGCTGTGTACCACAAAGAATCTGTGTGTTTAGAGAATGGATACTGCAGTGGCTGTGAGACTTTTCATTGAAACTCAATGGTGTCCTGTCACAGTGGAAATCAACATCAGGCGGAAGTCAGCCAGGACCCATGAAGTCATAATTTAGATAAGCCCTAAGCAGAGATAAATTGCCCATCCCAGCTATTGGAACCTGAGTTCCAACAAGCCCCACCACCGAGGCTAAAGTTCTTTAGAGTCCTAAATGAACTTGAAAGGCCATCTAGACCACAAAGACTACAGTTTCTGGGCACGTTCTGGTACTGTGCTGGGCTCAAAGACAGCCAACTTGGGGTGCACTTGAGCTAGTAGGACACCAGCTACAGTTGCCAAGAGAGTGCTAGTGTCTACCCTCCCCCAACCACAAACAGAGCAGCTCAAAGCTATGGGACAGACACCATCCCTCTGCTTGAAGACAAGAGAAGTGAGAGTAAAAAGGACTTTGTCTTGCAAGTGGATACCAAGTAAGCCACAATAGAATAGAGGACCAGGCAGAGTCCAGAGGGCATCATTACAGGCCATAACACCTGTATGATATTTCTAGACATACCCTGAGCCAGAAAGCAACTTGCTGCCTTGAAGGGAAAATCCCAGTCCCAGCCGTACCTATCACCTGCTGACTAAAGCGCTCTCAGTCCTTAAATACTCACCAGTGGCAGCCAGCTCTGATTCTCACCCAGGAATACGAAAGAGTAAAAGGGGACATTGTCTTGCAGCTTGGGTACCAGCTTGGCCACAGTGGGGATAGAGCATCAGGTTGGCTCCTGGGATTCCCAATTCCAGGCCTTGGTTCCTGGGCAGCATTTCTGGTCCTGCCCTGGGCCAGAAGGGAGCCTACTTCCCTAAAGGAAGAGAATCAGGACAGGCAGCATTCATCATAAGCTGATAGAAGATCCCTTGGGCCTTGAGTAAACATCAGCAGTAGCTGGGCAGCACTGGCTTTGGCAATGGCCATGGGGAGAGATTCCTCTGCTTGAGGAAAAGGAAGGGAAGAGTGGGGAGGACTTTTTCTTGTAGCTTGAGTGCCAGCTAAGCCACAGGAGAATAGAGCACCAGGTAGATTCCTAAGGTTCCTGAATCCAGGCCCTGGCTCCCAGGCAGAATCTCTGGACCCACCCAAGGCTGGGGTAAACTTGCTGTTTTGGTGGAAAGGACAGAAGCATTTGGATTAGTGACCTACTGATTTTAGAGCCTTGACACCTTGAGTGAACATAGGCAGTAGCCAGTCAGTGGTCACTGTGGGCCTTGGGTGAGATCCAATGCTGTGCTGACTTTGGGTCTGACCCAGCATAGTTCCAATTGTGGTGGCTGCAAAGGTGCTTGTGTCACCCGCCTACCCATACCAGACAGCTCAGCCAAGTGAGAGAGACTTCATTTGTGTTTGGAAAATAAGGAACTACCAATCCTACTTAAACTATTCCAAAAAATAGAGGAGGGAATACTTCCATACTCATTCTTTGAGGCTAGTATTAACCTAATGCCAAAACCAGACAAGGACACATAAACAAAAATAATACTACAGGCCAATATAACTGATGAACATTGATGCAAAAATTCTCCACATAATATTAGTAAACTGAATTCCACAACACATTTTAAAAGTTTATTCATTATTACCAATTGGGATTTATCCCAGGCATGCAAGGATTGTCTAACATATGTAAATCAATAAATGTGATACGCTATATCAACAGAATAAAAGAAAAAAACATATGAGTATTTAATTTGATGCTGAGAAAGCATTTGATAAAATTCAGTATCTTTTCATAATAAAGCTATCATGAACATGCCTCAATACAATAAAAGCCACGTATGACAGACCCACAGCTAGTATCATAATGAAGGTGGATCTTCCTCTAAGATCTACAACAAGACAAGGATGACCAGTTTCACCACTGTTATCCAGCATAGTACTGGAAATCCTAGCTACAGCAATCAATCAGACAAGAAAAAACAAAAACAAAAACAAAGGGCAACCAAATTGGAAAGGAAGAAGTTAAATTATTTTTGTCTGCAGATGATATGATCTTATATTTGGAAAAATCTACTCTATCAAAATACTGTTAGAAATGATAAGCAAATTCAGTAAAGTTGCAAGACACAAATCATCATACAAAAATCAGTAGCATTTCTGTATGCCAAGTGTGAACATCTGAAAAAAAATCAAGAAAGTAATATCATTTATTATAGCTACAAATAAAATTAAATTCCAAGGGATAATCTTAACCAAAGTAGCAGAATATCATTATAATGAAAACTAGGAAACACTGATGCAAGAAATTTCAGAGAAGACGTACACAAAAAATGGAAAAATATTCTATGTTCATGGATTAGAAGAATCAATATTGTTAAAATGTCCATACTACCCAAAGCAACCTACAGATCCAGTGCAATTCCTATGAAAATACCAATGATATTCTTTCAACACATAGAAAAATAATCCTAAAATTTATATGGTACTACAGTAGTTTCGTAATAGCCAAAGCTATCCTGAGCAAAAAGAACAAAACTGGAAGAATCATGTTACTTGACTTCAAATTATACTACCGGATTTTTTTTTTTTTCAAAAAAAGAGCATGATAGTGGCATAGAAGGAGACACATAGACCAGTGCAACAGAATAGAGTATCCAGAAATGAATCCATACATCTTCAGTGAACTCATTGTTAACAAAGATGCCAAAAACAATCACTAGGGAAAGGCATTCTCTTTAATAAATGGATATTAAATAAATATCCACTTGCAGAACAATGAAACTGGATGCCTGTGTTGTACCATGTAGAAAAATCAAAATATTCAAATCTAAGACCTCACACTATGAAACTACTAAAAAAAAACATTACAGAAACACTGAAGAACATTGGTCTGAGCAAATGTTTCTTGGGTAATACCCACATGCACAGGCAATCAAAGCAAAAAGGACAAAATGGATCACATCAAGTTTAAAAGCTTCTGCACAGCAAAGGAAACAATCAACAAAGTTAAGAGATAACCTGGAGAATGGGAAAAGTTATCTGCATCCTATCCATCTGACAAGGGATTAATAACCAGAATATATAAGGAGCTCAAAGAACTCAATAGAAACAAATTATAATGCAATTTAAAAATGAGCAAAAGATCTGAATAAACATTTCTCCAAAAAGACATACAAATGGGAAACAGGTATATAAAAAATGCTCAACATTATTGATCATCAGAGAACTGCAGACCAAAACTACAATGACATACTATGTTGCCCCAGTTAAAAATAACTTTTATCCAAAAGACAGGCAATAATGAATGCTTGCAAGAATGTGGAGAAAAGGACATTCTTGTACACTGTTGGTGGCAGTGTCATTTAATAAAACCACTATGGAGAACACTTTGGAGGTTCTTTAAAAATACTAAAAATAGAACTACCTTGTGATGCAGCAATCCCACTGCTAAGTATACACCCAAAGGAAAGGACATCAGCATATTAAAGAGATATCTGCACTCCCATGTTTGCTGCAGCACTATTCACCTTAGCCAAGATTTGGAAGCCACCTAAGTGCCAACTGACAGATATGTGGATAAAGAAAATGTGGTACCTAAACACAGTAGAGTGCTATTCAGCTATAAAAATCTGAGATTCTGTCATTTGCAACAACATGGATGGAATTGTGGCCATTATGTTAAGTGAAATAAGCCAGGTACAGAAATACAAGCTTCACATGTTCTCACTTTTTTCTCAAAGCTAAAAATCAAAACAGTTGAACTCATGGAGATAGAGAGTAGAGGCTCAGAAGGATAGTATTGCAGGAGAATTGGGGATAGCCAATGGGTACAAAAATATACTTATGGAGAATGAGCAAGATTTAGTATTTCATAGCACAAAAGGGTGACCATAGTCAACAATAATTTAGTGCACATTTAAAAGTAATTAAAAGAGTATAATTACATTATTTGTAACACAGAGAAATAATAAATGCTTGAGGTGATGAAAACCTCATTTACCCTAATGTGATTAATGTGCATTGTATGCCTGTATCAAAATATTTTGTGTACTTCACAACACATACACCTACTGTGTACCCACGGAAATAAAAAAAAAATACTAGTGGTTGCATAGGATTATGGGAAGGGAGAGGTTGAATAAGTGAAGCACCTAAAATTATTTTTCAGTGGTTAACTTTTTTATATTATATATTCTTGTATCTGGTATGGTGGCTATTTAAATTATGAATTTCTCAGACCCCATAAAACTTTATAGGAAAGAGTGACTCTTACTGCACGCATATTTTAAAAATTATTTAGGAGATTAGGGGAACCAGGATTGAATGCAGGATGTGTTAAAAGAGTCTAAATGTGTTTTATTTGTATTCTAAAAGAATATGAATATATAAAATACCTAAAAGGAGTGAGGGAATAATGTGCTGGCATAGGTAACTTTGAAAATTGGTGGAGTCTATAAGACTAAATCAACTGGTAACCATATATAAACATTACACTCTACTTGATAATGTTGTTTTCTGTTGGGACATTGTTTGACAATTCTGAAATTACTATACATGTAAACTGGACAGGAAGAATTAAGTAAATGGATAGTAGGTGGTGGAAGCCAGGTTTTTTACTGCTGGATTGAGAGATCACAAATAAACAAGAGAATAGGATAGAATGATCAGTGTGTTAATGAATTAGAGTTGGAGAGATTAGTGTGAATTCGGGTTTAGCTTAATTCAGGTACAAATTGATATATACAGAAATATTTATAGATATATGTATATATATGGATTAGTGTATACCCATAAGATTTTTGCTCTGTCAGTTTATAAGGCCTAGAAGCAACAACAATCCTGTACCAGTGAGCACACCTATCACCCAGATCTTGGTGTGTAATGCCATTCTCCAACAAAAGGATCTAGAGACCCTTGGAGAAATGGCTGATTCTAAGGGTGTGGCAGGACATACATAAGATGAGCTTTAAGCATCTTATAGTGCCTGAAAGTGAGAAAGTACTACCCATGCCCCACACTTCAAAAAAATAACCAAAACACAAGGATTATATATATTAAAGGATACCAGGAACATACTGTATTAGTCTATTCTCACACTACTATAAATATATTACTCAAGACTGGATAATTTATAGACAAAAGAGGTTTAATTGGCTCACTGTTTTGCCTGGCTGGGGAGGCCTCAGGAAACTTAACAATCATGACAAAAGGTGTAGCAACGACCTTAATCACATGGTGGCAGGGGAGAGAAGTACAAGCAGGGGAAATGCCAGATGCTTATAAAACGATCAGATCTCATGATAACTCACTCACTATTATGGCAACAGCATGGGGGAAACCACCCCCATGATCCAATCACCTCCCACTGGGTCCCTCCCCTGACATGTGGGGATTATGAGGATTGCAATTTAAGATGAGATTTGGGTGGGGACACAGAGCCAAACCATATCATTCTGCTCCTGGCCCCTCCAAAATCTCATGTCTTCACATTTCAGAACACAATAATGCATTCCAACAGTCCCCCAAAGTCTTAACTCATTCCAGCATTCACCCAAATGTCCAAGTCCATAGTCTCATCCGAGACAAGACAAGTCCCTTCTGCCTATGAGCCTGTACAATCAAAAGCAAGTTAATTACTTCCGTGGCTGGGTGCAGTGGCTTACATCTGTAATCCCACCACTTTGGGAGGCAAAGGCAGGGGGATCATTAGGTCAGGAGTTCGAGACCAGCCTGACCAACATGGTGAAATCCCGTCTCTACTAAAACTACAAAAATTAGCCAGGCCTGGTGCACGCGCCTGTAATCCCAGCTACTCAGGAGGCTGAGGCAGGAGAATCGCTTGAATCTGGGAGGCAGAGGTTGCAGTGAGCCGAGATCACACCACTGCACTCCAGCCTGGGCGACAGAGTGAGACTCCGTCTCAAAAGCAAGTTAGTTACTTCCAATATACAATGGGGATACAGGCATTGGATAAATGCTCCCATTCCAAATGGGAGAAATTGGCCAAAATGAAGGGGCTACAGGCCCCATGCAAGTCCGAAATCCAGAGAGGCAGTCATTAAATCTTAAAGCTCTGAAATAATCTCCTTTAACTCCATGACTCACATCCAGGTCATGCTAATGTAAGAGGTGGGCTCCCATGTTCTTGGGCAGCTCTACCCCTGTGGCTTTGCAGGCTATAGCCCCCCTCTTGGCCGCATTCACTGGCTAGCATTGAATATCTGGATTTTCCAGGCGCATGGTGCAAGCTGTTGGTGGATCTACCATTGTGGGGTCTGATGGATGGTGGCCCTCTTCTCACAGCTCCACTGGGCAGTGCCCCAGTGGGGACTCTGTGTTGGGGCTCCAACCCATTTTTCTTCCAAACTTTCCTAGCAGAGATTCTCCACGAGGGCTCTGCCCTTGCAACAGACCTCTGCCTAGACATCCAGGCATTTCCATACATCATCTGAAATCTATTTGGATGTTCCCAAACCTCAATTCTTGACTTCTGTGCACCTGCAGGCCCCAAACCATGTTGAAAGAGTTGGGGCTTGTACCCTCTGAAGCAATGGCCTAAGCTATACCTTGGCCTCTTTTAGCCATGGCTGGAGCTGAAGCAGCTGGGATGCAGGGCACCTAGTCTTGAGGCTGGATACATCAGGGGGGGCTCTGGTCCTGGCCCACGAAACCATTTTTCTCTCTAGGCCTTCAGGCCTGTGATGGGTGGGGCTGCCATGAAGGTTTCTGACATTCCTTGGAGATATTTTCCCATTGTCTTGGTGATTAATATTTGGTTCCTTGTAACTTCTGCAAATTTCTGCAGCTGGCTTGAATTTATCCCTAGAAAATGGGTTTTTCTTTTCCATTGCATTATCAGGCTGCAAATTTTCCAAACTTTTACACTCTTTCACCTCTTGAATGCTTTGCTGCTTACAAATTTCCCCTGCCACATACCCTAAATCATCACTCTCAAGTTCAAAGTTCCACATATCTCTAGGGTGGGGCAAAATGCCACTAGTCTCTTTGCTAAAGCATAGCAAGAGTGACCTTTGCCTCCATTCCCAACAAGTTTCTCATCTCCATCCGAGACCACCTTAGCCTAGATTTTATTGTCCATATCACTATCAGCATTTTGGTCAAAACCATTTAACAAGTTTCTAGGAAGTTCCAAAGGTTCCCACATCTTCCTGTCATCTTTTGATATTTTCAGACTGTTACAACCTTGGCTCATTCTGCAGTTCCAAACTTGCGTCCACATTTTCAAGTATCATTATAGTAGTGCCACACTCTCAGCGGTACTAATTTACTGTATTAGTCCATTTGTACACTGCTGTAAAGAACTTCCCAAGACTGGATAGTTTATAAACAAAGGAGGTTTAATTGACTCACAGTTCTGCCTGTTTGGGGTGACCTCAGGAAACTTACAATCATAGCAGAAGGGGAAGAAAGGACCTTCTTCACATGGTGGCAGGAGAGAGAAGTACAAGCAGGGGAAATGCCAGATGC
The DNA here is from genome assembly GCF_000001405.40 of Homo sapiens. Taxonomy (NCBI): domain Eukaryota; kingdom Metazoa; phylum Chordata; class Mammalia; order Primates; family Hominidae; genus Homo; species Homo sapiens. The sequence continues at coordinate 121,633,636 of NC_000023.11, forward strand.
TTATAAAATCATCAGATCTCGTGATAACTCACTCACTCTGATGAGAACAGCATGGAGGAACCGCCCCCATGATCCAGTCACCTCCCACTGGGTCCCTCCGGTAACACATGGGGGATTATGGGCATTACAATTCAAGATGAGATTTGGATGAGGACATGGAATCCAACCATATCATCAAGTAATAGAGCTTACAATTGCCAAAGATAGAACGATTTGTAGAACAAAATAAAGTAGTATTTTATTATAACCTAAGGTATAAGATAAATATTCATAAGTACAGATATAAATAAATGATTGAACAAATAAATGTACAGAGAAGAGACAAATCACATAGGCAGAAGGATCATAAATAATTTATGCAGATGTTCTGCCCTTAAGGAGGTAGAAAATGGCTCCCCAAATCGGTAAGTTTGGTTTGCACATACTGTCTGACTTTCTTTCAAAGATTACATTATGAAAAAAGAGGGGAAAATAAATTTCCAATGAAGAAATCTAATAAACACTGCCTCAAGCCATGTGATCAAGGTTAACATCAAGAGTGTGAAGTCATATTGATACTATGTTCCCTTGATATGATGATATGAGAATGGCACTTTATAATCTTTCTCCCAAAAACCTATTACGTCAGTCTAATCATGAGAAAAGCATTAGACAAATCCCAATCGAGAGGCATTCTACAAAATATCTGACCGGTAATTTTTCAAATCTATTATTATCATCAGCAATGAGGAAAGTCTAAGAAACAGTTAATAAGTACCTAAGGGAACATGAACTGTTAATAAAGTATGAACTTTAACAGTAATGTATCAATATTGGTTCATTATTGTGGAAAATGTACCTTATAATCTAAGAGGTTAATAATGGGACTGATATTAGGTATTTGGGAATTCTCTATACTATCTTCACAGTAATTCTGTAATCTAAAACTGCTCTATATTAAATAAAAAAAACTGAAAGAATGAGGATTATGCTGTATTCTTCAGCTTTCAAGGGACTCTCTTAAATGTTCTCTGGCTGTAAATAGGCAGCTTAACACAGTTCTGCATTTATATCTCATCTTAGGTCAAATTCAGGATACAAACAGGAAAACAATATGTGAAGCTTACTGTTATTTAAGCTGTAACTATCATTCCCAACTGGTCTCCCATTTATTTTTCAGAGCCTTCAGGTAGAAACTTATATATTTTGATCAAGAATTGTACTTGTAATCAGTGGGAAGGATAAGGGGTAGCTGACTTACTCCGCCTTGGCTAGGATTAGAAAGCTCAACCCAATTTTTTATGAAGTAGATGATTTGCCAAAGTAATTGGTTGAAAGGAAAACATGAATGTATTTCCATGAATTTTTTTCAGACATCCATATTGTAGTCAATTTTTTTGCTTTCTAGGTGTTTATGCCCCACTGACCCACTCATCTTAATCTTTCTTCCAGCATCCCCCAAAAGGACCTATGGCCTTTTGTTAGGGTAATTGTACATTGGGGTACATTGGGGTACATTGGGGTAAAGGAAATAATTAGATCTCTTGAATACTACTGGACAATGTCTCTGAACTGACACTGCCCCCAGGAGACCAAGAATGCCACTTTGGTCTAGCAGTCAGAGTAGGGGCATGGAGGTTAGGTGTTCAATTGAGTTTTAGGCCAGCTTTATCTCAAGTGGAAAAAATAGACCACAAACCTGTCCTGTGGTCAGTTACCCAGTTTTGGAATGCATAATTGGAACAGATGTAGATATACTCAGCAGCTAGTCATAAGTCTGCATTAATTCCCTGGCCTGTGGAGTGAGAGCTATTATGTCGGTAAAGGCAAAGGGGAAGCCCCTAGAACTGTCTTTACCAAGGAAAATAGTAAAACATAAGCAATGTTTTCATAAAGGGACTGCAGAGATTAGTGCCACCGCTAAGGACTTGAAAGACACACTTACTTCCCAATTCAACCCACCTATTTTGCCTGTGCATAAGATGAATGGATCTTGGAGAATGACAGTGGATTATCTTAAGTTTAACTAGGTGGTGCCTCTGACTGCAACTGCTATACTAAATATGACTTCGTTGCTTGAATAAATTAACACATCCCTTGGTTCCTGGTATGCAGGTACTGAAATAACAAATACTTTTTTTCCTTACATGTTAAAAAGGCCCATGAAATCCAGCTTGCTTTGAACTGGAAAGGCCATCAACATACCATAACTGTCCTACTTCTAGCCCTATGTCATAATTTAGTTTGCAGGGATTTTGATCATCTTTCATTTCTACAAGATATTACCCTGCTCTTTTTCACTGATTACTTTGTACTGATTTGACCTGGTGAGCAAGAAGTAGTAGCTAGACTTACTGGTAAGATCTTTGCATATCAGAGGATAGAAAATAAATCTGACAGGCCAAGCACGGTGGCTCACGACTGTAATCCCAGCACTTTGGGAGCTGAGGCAGGCGGATTGCCTGAGGTCAGGAGTTCGAGACCAGTCTGGCCAACCCCATCTCTACTAAAAATACAAAAAAATTAGCCAGACATGGTGGTGTGCGCCTGTAATCCCAGCTACTCCGGAGGCTGAGGCAGGAGAATGGCGTGAATCCAGGAGACAGAGCTTGCAGTGAGCTGAGATCGCACCACTGGACTCCAGCCTGGGCGACAGAGTGAGACTCCATCTCAAAAAGAAAAAGAAAGAAAAGAAAAAAGAAAAAAAAGGCTGGGCACAGTGGCTCATGCCTGTAATCCCAGCACTTTGGGAGGCCGAGGTGGGTGGATCATGAGGTCAAGAGATTGAGACCATCCTGGCCAACATGGTGAAACCCCGTCTCTACTAAAAATACAAAAATTAGCTGGGTGTGGTGGCATGCTCCTGTAGTCCCAGCTACTCGGGAGGCTGAGACAGGAGAATCGCTTGAACCCAGGAGCCGGAGGTTACAGTGAGCCAACATCACACCACTGCACCCTAGTCTGGCAACAGAGTGAGACTCCATCCCTCCCTGCAAAAAGAAAGGAAAAAAAAAGAAAGAAAAAAGTCTGACAAAACTTCAGGAGTCCTCTATCTCAGTGAAATTTATAGGGGTCCATTGATATTAAGGATATCAAAATATTCCTTCTAAGTTGAAGGGTGAGTTGTTGCATTTGCATGATTTGCCATTTATGGAGTAAAGAGTACCTGACTTAGAATCAGAGAGCATGGATTTAAGTACTGCCTGTGACACCATGGAGAAGTCACTTCTCCTTTCTAGGTTAGTCTGTATAAATGCAAAATAAAAATGTTGGGCTAGAAGTTTATCTTTAAGATCCCTTCTAACTCTCAAGATTCTAGAATTCTAAAATTCTAAGTTGTTAATCAGTTTTCACTTGAACATTTCTAGTGACAAGAAACTCATTATCTGTAGAATTACTTAATTTCAATTGTATACATCTCTATTCATTGGAAAATAGTTTTCTTATGTAGAGCCAAAATCTGCATTCCAATAACTTCCATACATTGATCATAGAAGGAAATTGGAACAAATCTGATTTTCTCTTCTATGTAACAGTCCATCAGATATTTGAAGCCACTCACAATCCTATTTTTTGCTAGGCTCAATACCCCTAGTTCTTTAAGCTTTTCTTTGGATAGTATGGTTTCTTTCCACCTCACCATTGTGTTCATTCTCCTCTGAATATGTGATTTGCCAATATAGAGTTCAGAAATGACCTAGTCCCAAAGAATACAGTAGTTCATCTGGCTATTCTAGAGTATACAGGTCTATCATCTCACTTGTTTTACTAATCAAAGTTTTTGGATTGCATCTGTCTTATTTATTTTGGCTATGTAACATACTACTACAGACTGGGTAATTTATGACGAACAGAAATGTATTTTCTCTGAGTTCTGGGAGCTGAGAAATCCAAGATCAAGGTGCTGGCTTCTGGTTAAGACCTTCCTGCTGCACCCTCACATGGTGTAAGAGAAAGAAAGATGAAGACTATTTCAAGCCTCTTTTATAAGGTGTTTAATCCTATTCATGAGGGAGGAGCTCTCATTACCTAATCACCTCTTAAAGACCCCACCTCTTAATACTATCACATTCACAACACATGAATTTTAGAGATGACACATTCAAACTACAGCAGTATCCCAGGATCACATTAATTTTTAAACAGCTATATTAGACAGCTGAGTCATATTAATTGTGTAGTCAGTGTACTCAAATCTTAGTTTGTTGATATATGTGCTTGCAGATTCATGATTTTTTCAGTCTTTTGAACACTGTTATTTAGACCCGGGGCAAGATTCTATAGCAATCCTGGGTATAATTCTTCTTGTTAATTTTTTTGGTCCCTGCCTCTGTCATCCAAAGTGTTCACTCTGATTCAAGTTCCACATCACTGACAAAATCGTAAGCCAAACTGCAACATTTTTTTCAACTAATTAATAATAATTTGTGACAAGAATTACCATAAAATGCCACTGAAGTTTTAAGTTGACACTACTTCACATATTACCACATTCTTGTGAGGTATCTCAAACACAAATCAGTCTAAGTCTACCAAAACTCAGTTCATATTTTGCTATATTTTTGCATTAAGGGTATTGAGACAGGCTTTGTTTGGTGCCCTGCTAAAGGCCAGATATAGTACACTTACAACACTTTCCCTTATCTACCAGTCACTTAAAACCTACCAAAGAATAAATGAGATTACTTTGGTATAACTTGTTCTCCATGAATCCATGTGCAATCCTATAAAAGTGATCATAAAATCATCTTTTCAATGATAAAATGAACTGCCCCATCCATCTCTTTCCTTTAAAAAAAAAAGAATAACATTGATATGTCTCCAGTTTTCCCATGCTCTTCCCAGGGTTCTTGAGATATCACCACCCTTATATACAAACAGGGATAGTTTGTAGCTTGGTGAACAGTAGAAAAAGAATAGCCATAGAATCAGAGTTATGTTCAACATTTGACTCCATAATTTACTTGTTGTATAGAAGATTGCTTAATATCTCTTAGCCTTTATTTTTTCTTTGTAAAATGTAAATACTGCTGTCTACTTGGAAAGAAAAGTAATAAAACTTAGAAATGCTGTATTTAACACCTAGTTCATGGTACATACTAAGAAATTATGTTATTATTATTTATCTGAAATATACTTTATGTCTAGTAGCTTGACTTCATTAAAGATACAAATCTTACTCTCTTGATTAGAATTCCAATTTATTCTTCTTTATTACCACTTCAAACATTCCAATCCAAAGGTTATTTTCATGCCTAGTCTGGCTTTGGATTCTTACCCCATTGTTGCTTCAGGTACATTCTGAGCAGTGTCTCAGGTGCAGTTTCAGATCCAGAGGCTTTGAATCAGCTCTTCTTCTTGATGCTACATTTTGTGCTCAGAACACTCTCCTCCTTCCCTCTTTTATTTTCTCCTCCTTTATTTTCCCAGTAAAACATATGCTTGCCCAGATTCCTCTCTCTTGGTATCACAAATTCTCCCTTTGGGTTCTTTAGGACTTTCCAGGTTTTCATGTAATCCAAAATGAAATTTTGATGCTTGATTCCTCACTATTTCCTTGTTTTATAGTAGAAGGCTGTAGAATTTTACAAAGGAAGATTTCTCTGATTCACAAGTAACTATATCGAGTTATATTTTCCATGTTACCAAGTGACTAAGATGCATTTTGTAGATCTTTCTGATATGCTATGTTCCTTCATTAAAAACCTGCTTCATCCAAATATCTATTTTAGGTAAGCATAGGATGGAGCTGAAATGACTATATGCAGTATAAAGGCATTATACGCTTTAGTAATAATTTGGGGTAGAAGTCTTCAAGATAAAATAAAATCACTTTAGCATGATACAAGACTCCACATGATCTGGCCTTTGCCGTGATCTTCCTATAACCATAGCAATGTACAATTATAGTGTGTCTTATTTTCTTTATTTCTGTACCTTTGCACAAAATCATCTGTCTGTAATTATTTATTGGTATTCAAGAATTAGTTCAGTCATCACCTCCTTTGGTAAGTCTTCACTGAAGCCTTACGTTCCAAGTCTGAGTTAATGCATCACCATTGTGATCATGTAGCACTCTGTGTTTTCTTCTATTCAAGTACTTATTAGGTTATATGGTCTATTTACTTGTCTATCTTCCCAATAGTCTGTATGTTTCTCTAGGCCAGGGAATGTCCCTTATTCATTTCTGTGTACCCAGTATTTAAATAGCAAAGAGTGAGCAGTTGACAATTTAATTAGAAACATTTATCTAACAAATATGGAGACTGACAAGAGAGATCAGAATTTCTAAGGCCTGAGGCTGGAAGTGAGTGTATGCAAAGGACATTTACAAATGAATGTATTCAAATGGATATTGCAGTAGGGACTGGGGGAGAGATTTTTGCCATTTATTAAATAGTTCCAGTGGTTGTGTATTTATAGTTCACATGAATAGTGATATTTCTGCAAACATAACTATTTTTAGAGGGAAGAGCATACCATATTTTAGTCTGAGTCATACCAATTGGCCTTGTATGCACACACACACATATAAACACACAGACACACATATACTATTCCTGTCAAAGAGAAAGCTAGATCCCAGAAAGTAATTTAATTTTGTTGAATAAAACATGGTTTAAATTAATTGTTTGATTTTAAATTGTTGTTGAATTTTGACTCAATCTATTTAAATACCCCATATAAATAACATCGAGACTTGTCATACTTTCATCTTGTTGGAATATTTATATAGTATAGAGGCATGATACTCCTGAGAGAAGCAGTTTGGGAGAATGATCGTCTGAGGAACTGAATTCATTTAAATGCTTATTTATATCAAACAGGTGCATGTGTGTGTATAAATGTGTGTGTGTGTACACATAAAAACATTTCTGTTTTTTATTTATATGCTTACTTGCTCTATAATAGACATGTTTATTGTGTACTCAAGCAATAAAAAATGCTGAATATCCACTTCTTCATTTAATATACATCATTAGTGCACAGTGCCTGCTTGAAAGCTTTTAGGGAAATTATATATATGATGTAGTGCACTTGTAGAAATCTGCTACTTTGTAAATGGTCACGAGTGGTCAAGTTGAACTCTGTCAAATTGAAAGAAATATTTATATTTTGAGGTTGAGATAGGGTGGAATTTCAAAGAACTTCTCATTTCTATTCATTTGCATTTGTGTTATTTGAGTATTTTACTAAATTCTATTTTACTTTTGTAATCAGGATACAGGATAAAAAGCAATTTTAAAAAGACAGTGTCAAGTTACTTCTGACCTGAGTAGAACTAATATAGCAGTGAATCCATTAGATAGTATAATATCATGTAGATTATGACAGCCTTGCTAAGATTTCTTTGAGAGGTAATAAAATTAGTTTTCCTTTGGCTCTGTATTTTATATTAAATGAACACCATGCATACATTCAAATTTATAAAAATAGAGATTAGAAAAACCACAATAACTTCAGAATTAAATATATGTATAATCAGAATAAGGTTTGAGTCTGTAACAGTTGTACACAGGCAAATTTCCTTTGAAATTCACAGAGCCAACTATATATAAAAAAGGGAAAACTAGAAAATTGATTGGCACCATAGCCATCTACCTTATTGTATGAAGCCTTGATCTTCACAGTATCTTGACCTGCTTTTCATAGTTATTTTACTTGTTCCTGTTTTACTAATTCACACTTCTTGCCAGAGATAAAAATTGCCTTCTGTTGTCCATTGCCTAAGGGCACCACTTTCTTTACCTTTCAAGAGAAAAGACATACTAATTTGGTATAGTGCTCTCTGTCATCCATTTAAATAGTGGCCTTTGGAATATAACTACGGACATTTGTGGTTTAACTAGTAAAACAATGTATTAATTTATGATAAGACTTTTTGACTCAGTAAGAAAAGTAAGCAGTATTGTGGTGAGACTAGATGGTGCTGGGTATAAAATAGATTGAGATGGGGAGACTTGTAATACACATCTAAAATCACACATTTAATGACTCTTATCACTTAAAGCTTATACCATCTCTCAACGAGATCATCTATGGTTTGTTTGTTCATGTAAAACGGGATTTCCTGTTTATACAAGGAGAACAATGCTAACATGGTTCATCACAGTAATCCAAGGAGTCTGTGTATAAATTGCCACAAGAGGAAGAAGTATGTTTTGATGAGTCAGAGTAAATTAATCAGAAACATATTGGTCTGAGCTTGCTTTCACTTTGAGACACAGGAAGGATTCTAAATATTTCAACTAGAACATTGTAAGTTTAAGGATGCCATATCAAACTGAATTCATGGCATTTGGCCTGAGGCTCAAAAAGTTTGAAGAGAAAACAAGGTCACCCCCCACTATAGTTAGGGATGCATTTGTTACATTTGCTGATGGACAGATGAGCTCCTTTACATTCTGATTTTCCAGGGGTTTATTTTCGCCCATCATTAATTTGCTACAGTTTTCTGCCTCATAATTTATTTAGTTTATCTACTCAGTGACCATTTAGTAAGGAAAACAAAACCCTACATGATGATAGATAAATGTTGAAGAGGTTATTTTATATTAACCTAAATTTTTACTTTTAGTTTACCATAGATATGGAATAACGAGGACATCTATTATATTACCTGTTTTTTTTTATTTTCTGCACTAGTGCTCCCCATTATTAATGCAAACAATCAATACCTTGAATGACCAGCAATTTTACTCTTCCTCTTCCATGACATTGTTATTATTTTGAACCTTAACAGTATTGAAAGAGGATGTGGTCATTCTTGAAATTTATATAAATTCTTTGCTCTCTCTAGATCTATAGTAAAATGTAGTTGTAAGATTTGAGAATGTGCTCATCAGGAAAAGGAGGTCATATTTTTATTCTGCTTAGTAAGAAATGCTAGTGTGTACCAGCCAAACATTCCTCAACGCTATATGCCAAATTCTCAGGCTCATTACAATTTGTTTAATTTGTAACCACAGCCCATGATTCAAGGTGAAGAAATGTTGGTTATCTTATGTAATGGAACCTACTTATAGGGCCTCTCTTAATGAGAACTTAGGTAGCCAGAAGTTGGCAGGAACTGAAGTCTGATTTTGAGCAGTGTTACTCTGTCTTTTCTCAATAGCTAGAGTCTGAGTGCAAAGCTCATAGGAAATAAAACAAAGTCTATCTGTTGGGACAGAAGTTTCATAAGAATTGTCTTAGGCAAGATTTCTGGAGGCATAATCTTATTTTTAAAGGTTTCCTGAAAGTGCTGAAGTCATGGGTTCTGTACTTTAGGACAACATTATGACATTAGGAAAGTGTCAGCAAAGAGCAAATCCTGTTGTGGAAAACTCTTACTCTCATGAGCTTATCGATTTACTTTTCAAAATATTAGTTTTCTCAGAGGATTTTTGTACTTTGATTCTCCAAGAGCAACTAGCACTCCTGAATGAAGGTATAAGTCGTGATCTCAAGTTAAACATCCCTTGATATAAGTTTTGCCTGGATGTAATCATTATCAGAAAAATTACTAAATAGGCATGATGCAGCACTGCTACTGCTGTGAAAAAAAAAAACTTTTTCTTGGTAATGATTGAAGTCCTGCTAACATAGAGAAAGAAACAAATAGCATGTATCCAGAGCAATTCACTTCTTAAGGAGTGTTTGTGTGTGTGTGTGTGAATGTGAGTGTGTGTTTGTGTGTGAATGTCTGTGTGTGATTTATTTAAGGGTAGACTCTTCAGTTCTGTTTTCTTCTTCTAGGTTGAATCCTGAAGAAATAGCAGGAGGTAGATAAGTGAACAAGGGCTGGGAGGATGGGAATGAGTCCTGGGCAGGTAGAGCAGCATATGACAAATCCCAGAGATTTTAAAAAAAAGTGGACTTTTAAGGAACTAGAAAGAATTCAATACAGCAGGTGCATATAATACACTAGTATGAACAGGACATGTGAATCTGGAGAGAGAATCAGGGGCCAGATCATGAAGGATCTTACAAGCCAGTTTTTGAGTTTGAACCTTATTCTAAGGGTAATGGGAAACCATTGAAGGTTTAAGCAGGAAAAGCACATTAATCTAATAGTTAAAATGAGATGGCTACTATAATTATTATCTTATAGGTACAGTGTTCTACAGTTTACAAATAACTTTCCAAACCATTATCTAATTTAGTCTTCTTAATGGCTTTACAAAATAGATATGTTAATTATGATTATCATTCGCTTTGAACAAATAAATGAATTGAAGCTTGTAGGAATTCATGAATGTTCAATACTGTAATTGTCAAGAACTGTGAAATATCAGATTTTATTCTGCTTGTTGGAAGCTTAAAAATTTGTTTTTTCCCATTGCCCTTCAAGTATCACTGGAGTAATCTGATGTGGCTTAGGTGGCTGCTGCACATTCAGTAATGTACTTCGCAGATGGGGAACCCTGAGCTTAGGAAGCCTCAATGTTTTAACCTCCCCAACATTTGTACTTGGAGGAAGACATTGTCTTTATTATCCCAGACAACAGCAAATAGACCTGCTCTCTCTCCTAGAAGAATACACTATTTCCATCTTCCAAAGTTGTTTGCTAGCAAATATCTGTGAAAAGATAGTCTGGTAAAAATCTCTCAATGCTTCTAATCAGATGTGCAGAAAATGAGAAACTCATAGAGAATTGTCTCTTATCAATAATCCTTAGACTTGGATGCCAAATACCATGCTTGTCCTATACTCCTGTACTTGCATAAGATTTACAATTTTCTTAACATATTCACAACATTGAATAAAGTCGAAACCCTTATATAGAGACCAGTCTTCTGTGATATCAAGCAATTTTTGCTCATGACTACACAATTGTAGAATTAAGTAAATTGACACAGAAATGTTCCTGGTTTTTTTTTCCCTTGCCCTAGCATTTAGGAAATTTCAGTAACTTTTACTGTCTGAATTTAGAGAAGATAAAACTAAAGGATCATGGCCGAATGGTTGCTTTTATATTAAACTTTCAAAATTGCCCCGTCATGGTGATTGGAACTGCAGAACAACATCAATGCTGCCAGAACCATTCAATGTGAAAGGAAATGACAAGAGCTACAAGGAGCAAGAGAAATGATGAACTAGTAAAATTTCAATAAATAAAGTAGCTGCATTTGGTGTGTTCTTCAATATTTTAGGACATTGTATCAAATGTGGACAGTGTGTGGGTCATACCCAGTGGGAATACATCAATTTCTACTGTGTAGAGGAAGTGACAGACTTATATTAGTTTAAAAAGTCCTTAGAAAACTCTGTATCTATGAATTCAGGAAACAGGAAGAGAAAGGACCATGAGTTACTGATCACTTTCCATATCCCATATAATTTATTTAATTATAACAACTGTATAAGATCATCATTATTCTTATAATGAATATAAATGAATTTTGAGAAAACTAAATAACTTGCTTAAAATCGTACAGTTGATATGTGACCAGTCTTAGATTTGAGTTTAGGTAAAACTATCCATGCTTGTCTTCATTTTATGTCATCATACTACCTATGTATAAATTCTTACAATTTCATAGGATACTTAGAATTATTATTTCTCAAGAGGGAATGAAATACGTTGACATGGCCAAGTCAATATGTTGTGCTATTTGAGGAAACTTCAAAATATAAACAAAAGCAATAAGATAGGTCAGACAAAAAAGCAGTGGCTATGATAGGTTGGTGGTAGGAAAAAGAAAAATAATCAATGACTCTGTTTCTCAAGGTGGAAAAACCTAGACAACACCAATGTTTATGTGTATTAGCTAATTGGATGCAAGAAGATTTATAAATCCTACCTGCCCAATTCTGTCCGAAAGAATATGTTCATAATGGATATGTTTGCATTGTCTGAACTACTGAATCAGATCAACTACTGGGGATTTCATTACTCAGAAACAATTCATTATGGTAGTTAAAAAATATTGTGGTCCCATTGCTTGCATTTTCTGTAAGAAATTGGTCAATCCAGTGATAGAGTCCAGTGAAACAGATTATTTGGGTCCTGTGGACAAATTAATACATCAAAGTAGTAGTATAACAGGACATTTTTCCTTTTCAGGCCGTTGGAGTTGACTTCCTGTAGACACAGCTTTAATCTTAAGAGCCCAAAGAGCAAATGTTGCTTTACTCATTCTTCTTTCAGACCTTTAATACAGGCTGTGTATGATTTTGAGATATTGTAATAAGGAGCAGAATTGTATCTGTTTTCTAATGTCAATCAGGGAGCTATGCTATAATCTACAGATTCTCTAGGCAATTATAATCTTTTCAGACACTCATATCCTACTGTGTTGCTCCAACATGGACTCTGAAAAGTAATCTCTCAACACATTCCCAAGAAAATAAAAACCTCTGGAATGAAATGCACTAGTGGGAATGGAGTCAAGTTCATAAATAATCTGAACTAAATATCTCAATAAAGGCTGTATAGAATCAATTACAATGAAAAAGCTTCATACAATGAAAAAGCACACTGGGAAATGATTTGAGAGAATGGATAATTTCATTATTTGTTTGGATTTTGATAAATGTGTTTTCCACTTAGTAACTTTAATGAGAATCCTTGAAATGGAATTAATCATGTTAAATTTTTAAAAAATGAATTAAAGGAAATATTTTAAACAAATTAAAATTAACCTGTGAGGCTCATACAGTATACATAAGGCAAATATGTTTTTAAAATGGAAAAGTATAATAAATTGGTTGGGGAAAAAGTTGAAATTGTGCTTTAAAAAATTTCCATAAGTAACATATGATGTCTGAGGAATTGGTAATGTTCCTCATGCCTCCAAGCAGTTGACCTATTATATGGAATGAACTATATTGATAGTAATAAGGTCTTGACTGTCTTTTTAGAAAATCACAACTTTTAATTGATATTGGGGTTGCTGCAGCATATTCTTTTGGGAAGCCTTGTGAAATGCCATGGTGTTGGAAGAATTTATTATTTTTTATCAGAAGTTTAAAGCTTGTACAGGTAAGAATTTGGGGATGAGGACTATTATTTCTTCTTTCAATAGAAAAGGTTAAAAATAAACATACAAATGCAAAGTTATTATTTCAAGCAACTGCCAGATTGTCTTCTGAGCTAGTGATACTTAATAAACAGTTAATAAGGAAGTAAGTCTTTTTGACTGGCTCTTTAGAATTTTTCTCTTTTCTGTCTTTTATTTCCTCTCCTTTCCTTTCATCAGAAAATTGTTATTAAGCACCTACTATGTGTCAGGTGTTTGTGCTACACTCTAGTGATTTATTGGTGAACAAGAGTATGGCCCATATCATCTTGGAGTTTACAGTGTAATATAGAATATAGACATGTGAACACATTATAATACAGCATGATAAATGCTAAGATCGAAGTGCGGAGTAATATGTACACAGAGTGAAAGTATCTAAGTCTGCCAAAATTTCGGAGAAGGCTTTCTAGAGGAAATTAACATAGATGAGATATAAATGGTAAATAATAGAATAGTTAGCTAAGAGAATAATGGAGGAATTGATGTGGTTTTATAGAGAAAACGGATTATAAAAAGATTTGGACGTGAGAACAAGCTCAGAATCTCCAGTGCTGGAGAAGACAGCTTGAGGATGAGAGTGGTAATAGGTAAGACTTGGAGCAGGGGCAGACATGGTGGCTCACATCTGTAATCCCAGCACTTTGAGAGGCCGACGCGGGCAGATCACCTGTGGTCAGGTGTTCGAGACTAGCCTGGCCAACATGGTGAAACCCTGTCTCTACTAAAAATACAAAAATTATATGGGCATGGTGGCAGGCGCCTATAATCCCAGCTACTTAGGAGGCTGAGGCAGGAGAATTGCATGAACCTGTGAGGCAGAGGTTGCAGTGAGCCGAGATTGTGCCACTGCCCTCCAGCCTGGGCGACAGAGCGAGACTCCGTCTCAACAACAACAACAAAAGGCTTGGAGGGGAAGCAGAAGCTAAACAATAAGAACCATAAAGCCATGTATTAGACTTGATTACAAAAAGAAATCATTTAATAGATTTAAGCAGGGGAGTGACACAACCAGATATATTTTAAAAGATCACTCTTACTGTTGTGTGCAGCATAGCAAGGCAGAGTGGGAGGACAAGAGCAAAGGCAGTGCAGTCATTAAGGAAGGTGTTGTAACAATCCATGTGAAAAATGGAGGCATGAATTAGGGTTGTGGCAATAAAGGTGGATTCAAGAGATTTTGGAGTTACAATTCACAAGATTTGGTGATGTGTCAGCCAAGGCATGTGGTGAGAGATCAAAGACCCAGCAGCAGATGCTGTTTCTGGTTGAACATTTCCTAAAACAGGCAACACTGTTGGAGAAAGATTAAGGAATGGGAGGGATAATAATTTAGTTTTCCCAGTAAAGCATTCCACTGAAATAATTTAAGAAGCTGTTGGAAGTATGTGTGGAATCCATGGATTTGATAGTCATTAACATATGGGCAATGATTGAAGCCTTTTGAGTTGGGAGATCCCAGGGAGAGTATATTGACTAGCAGGAAAAGGGCTCAGAACAGATCCCTGAGAAGTAAGCCCTCATTTAAGGGATGGCCATATTAAAAGTAGCCATCAAAACAGGTTAAAAAGAGAGAAATCTGGAGAATGTGGTTTTGTGGAAAGCAAGGGAGAAAAATACCTTGAAAAAGAGCTGGTAGTCAATGGTATCTAAAGGTTCTATGATAAGGATTGTGAAAGGATCCATTAGATTAAACTACAAGGATGTCTGTGATTTTGGCAAGAATGATTTTGAGGTGGGTGATCAGTAGGACTTGATTTGTGAGCCTGTCATGACCCTGTTAATCAAAGCAGGATGTAGCAAAGAAACGGGCCAGAACTAGCAAGGACCAAGATGGTGATAAAAGAGACCTCTAGTTGCTCTCATTGCTCCTTACACACTAATTATAATGCATTTGCATAAGATACTCAGTGCCATGACAGTTTATGAATGATGCCATGGCAATGACCCAGAAGCTACCTTACGTGATTCTGGTAACTCCCTGCCCCTTTGCAGAAAGTTCTTGAATAACCCACCCCTTTGGTTAGCCTATAATTAAGAATGGGTATAAATACAGCTAGCCAGCAATTCATGAGTGCTACTCTGGGCCACTCTGCCTATGGGATAGCCCTGCTCTGTCTATGGAGCAGCCATTTTGCTGTACACTGTTACTCTAATAAACATGTTTTCTTTCACTCTTGACTTGCTCTTGAATTCCTTCCTGAGTGAAGCCAAGAACTCTCCCAGGTGAATCCCCATTAATACAAAAAAATCTTATTTCCACTCTATCCTGTTTGTCTCATTGGTAACATGTTGTGATGTTGTAATAGCACATCACAACCAGGATAGTGGCATTGATACAGTCAAGGTACAGAACATTTCTATCACCACAGGGATCCTTCATATTGCTCTTTTGTAGAGCACCACCCAGTCTCATTATTTCCCCCTACCTTCACCCGTTCTTATCATGTTACACTTTGTATGATATTGCCATTTAAAGAATACACATTGGGTACAGTGTAAACTGCTTGGGTGATAGGTACACCAAAATCTCACAAATCACCACTAAATAACTTACTCATGTAAACAAACACCACCTGTTCCCCCAAAACCTATGGAAATTAAAAAAAAAAACCCTTACGATGGTAGACTTGTTAATTTCCCCTTTTAATTATAATACATTTTGCTTTGTATTTTTTTTTAAATAATGTTATATAAATGAAATATACAGCATTTTAGGAATTGCTTTTTTTCATTCATTGTAGTTATCTGAAGATTCATCCAGAAAAGACATAAATGTATCATTCAAATGTGTATATCCAATGTGTATTTTCATAATTTCCCTTTCTCTCTTTTCCTGCTTTCTCCAACATCACAATATTAACAGGGATGGACAAAGTAAACCATTACCCATTTGACCAGTGGAAGAGAATGCAATGAGAACTGGAGAAAGTATCTCTAATCTTCACATTGTAGCAAGTTCCTATTTTCTCTAGAAGACAGTTGAGAAGAATGAGTAATGTGGGCTCTCCTGAGTTTAGTTTCACTTTTAATTAGTTCAGTAAGACCTCTTCTCTGTCAGGCAAAAATATAGGTAAATGGGTAATTAATTGTTTTGGCACTTTATACCTTCTTTTATCTAAATAACAGTGAGGACATCATTGGGCACTTCTCATATTTTTCAGAAATTAGAAGTATGTGAAAGCAGCAGGTTTTTCTTCATTTGGATAACTATAATTTCACACTTAACCAAATATTCTCTCTTCACTAAGTGTAGTACCAAGATAAGTGAAGTAAAAATGTAATGCCAAATAGCAATACCTACCCTATATTTTCACAAAAGAGGCAATTTAGATTAGATAGTCTTCTATGAGCTAATGGAATAATTGCACACTTGGAGTGTTCATATTTAGAATTGATATTATCTCCATATTATTGTGTTTCTAAGGAACCTGTAATCTTGGTATGTAGGCGATAAAACACTTTTCAGAGAGTGAAATTCTTCTCTAAGCCTACTCTGCCTCTGGAGTTTGTAGAAGGAAGTGCTATGTAACCGGGCTCATACCCAATAGTTGGCATGTATCTTGCCATTCTGCTAGTTTTATTTCCTTCTTTCTGTGGAGTAAATCTCAGAGATGAAACTTTTTAGTCCACTTTTCGTTCGCGGGAAAAGATGCTTTTAAAAAGGAATATGTAGCTAGAAGGTTGTGCAGTGGGGATTGCATGGATGCACATAGAAATGAAAGCATACATAGAAATGAAAACATGCATATGCATTCATGAATTCTGGCTAGTATCAGATTTAATGGTACTCAATTTGTTAGGCTCCCAGGATCTAAGTTGTTAGCAACCTGTCTGTAGTAGAGAAGAGTTCAAATTTAGGAGTCCAACACCCTTTTTAATATTGATAATGTTATATACCACAGGAGCTTCATGTTATTTCTGAGTAATACTCATTACAATGACTGGGAGACTCTTGCAGAGAAGATGGGCATGACAAGGCAATATACATAAAAATTATAGTCATTTAATAATAACATTTAAGTAGGGATTATACTGTTAAATTCTTTACATAAATTTTTGCTTTTTATGTAGACCGATAAATTATTTTCATAGAACAATGTGAAAGTTGGCATTTTGCACATTCTCCATCAGTGCATCCTTTTTTGGATGAAAATTTCATAGGAACAGTTTCAGAACTTATCCTAGGATATGACATCTCCAA
Organism: Homo sapiens; assembly: GCF_000001405.40. Taxonomy (NCBI): domain Eukaryota; kingdom Metazoa; phylum Chordata; class Mammalia; order Primates; family Hominidae; genus Homo; species Homo sapiens. Next base: position 121,650,824 of record NC_000023.11, read on the forward strand.
AAAGTTGGCATCCAGCTTTATTCAGCTTTATTACTAAGGTATGTGAGGCTAAGGATTTATGTGTTTGCAGATAATCTTTACAGATTCTCTAGGCCATTATAATCTTTTCAGACACTCATATCCTACTGTGTTAATTTTATTAAGTGAAATTCACAAAACATAGGATTTACCATTTTATAATGAACATATCAGTGACATTTAGTACATTCACAATTTTGTACAATCACCATCTTCATCTTAGTTCTATAAGATTTTTATCAACCCCAAATAAAACCCTATATCCATTAAGCAGTCACTCACCAATTCTTTTCTGTACCAGCCCTTGGCAACTACCAATCTGCTTTTGGTCTCTAGTCTTGATAGTTCATATAATGGACTCATACAATATGTGAATTTTAATGTTATAGTTCTGCATGCTTTTTGGGTACATGTGATATTTTGATACATGTATACAGTGTGTAATGAATCAGGGCTATAGGGATATGCATCATTTCAAACATTTATCTTTTCTTTGTGTTGGAAACATTACAGATTTTCTCTTTTAGCTATTTTAAATTGTACAATAAATTTTTGTTAACTATAATTTCCCTACTATACTATCGAATACTAGAACTTATTCCTTCTATCTAACTGTATTTTTGCACCCATTAACCAATTGTTTCCCCTTCTCTCATGTGTGACTTTTTTTTTGTCTGGCTTCCTTTACTTAGCAAAATAGCAAAATGTTTTTTTAAGGCCCAATCATGTTGTAACATTTATCAGTACCTCATTCCATTTTATGAGTGAATGATATTCCCATTGTACATATATACTACAGTTTGCTTATTCCTTCATCTGTTGATGGACATTTGGGCTGTTTCTCCCTTTTGAATTTTATAAATAATGCTGCTGTAAACTTTCTTGTATTTGTTTGAGTACCCACTTTCAATTATTTTGGGTATATACCTAGGAGTGGAATTACGGGTTCATATGTTAATCCTATGTTTAATCTTTTGAGGAATTGCTAAACTATCTCCACAGCGGCTGTTACATTTCCACCAGCAATGTACAAGGGTTCCAATTTCTCAGATGGAGGTTGGAATAAGGGAAGCTTATTTCTTGCATATAGTCACACAGAGACAGAATCGGGACTAGCATCCTGGACTTTTCAGTAATAGCCCATTATTTATTATATCATTCTGCTCCTCAGATATATAAGATAATATTATTTTGGAAACAGAGAAATAAGTAGTTATAATTTCTAGTAATGGAAAAAAGGCTTGATGTGTGCATGAATAAAGGAACAATGAAAGGGATTTGCCAAGAATTCTATCTGTTGTCAAATCCCTTAACTTGCATTTTATTGTTTGGCTAAATATCATAATAATTGACTTTCCAGATACTGATCTCAAAGTTTCCCTACAACATAATTAACCCTGCTAAATATAAAATTCAGTGATGTTTAGTACATTCATAGAGTTGACCAACCATCACTATATCTAACTTTTTTTTTTTTTTTTGAGACGGAGTCTCGCTGTGTCTCCCAGGTTGGAGTGCAGTGGCGCAATCTCGGCTCACTGCAAGCTCCGCCTCCCAGGTTCATGCCATTCTCCTGCCTCAGCCTCCCAAGTAGCTGGGACTACAGGCGCCCGCCAACACGCCCGGCTAATTTTTTGTATTTTTATTAGAAACGGGGTTTCACCGTGTTAGCCAAGATGGTCTCGATCTCCTGACCTCGTGATCCGCCCGTCTCGGCCTCCCAAAGTGCTAGGATTACAGGCGTGAGCCACCGCGCCCGGCCTATATCTAACTTTAAAACATTTTATCATCTCAAAAAGAAAGCTTGTACTTAATGATAGTCACTCCCCATTTTGCCCCTTCCACACAACCCCTGGCAATGATTACTCTACTTTCTATCTCTGTGGGTTTGCCTATTTTGGTAATGCCATGTAAAGGGAATCATACAATATATGATCTTTTATGACTGGCTTTTTCCACTTAGCCTAATGCTTCCAAGTATTGTCCATGTTATAGCATGCAATACTTCATTTATTTTTACAACTAAATAATGTTCCATTGTATGTATGTACTGTATTTGTTTATCCATTAATCAGTTGGTAGACCGTAAGGTTGTTTCCACTTTTGGGGTATTATAAATAATACTGACATGAGCATCCATGTACAGTTATTCTGCAAAAATGTGTTTGCATTTCTCTTTGTTATTTAGCTAAAAATTGAAGCACTGGATCTTATTGTAGCTATTTTGTTCAACCTTTAGGCAAACTGCCAAACTATTTTCCAAATGGCTAAACCATTAAAATATCACCAGCAATGTGCAAGAGTTTACATTTCTCCACATCATTGCCAATGTTTTGTAAAAGTTGTCAAAATCAAAATAGTCACCACTGTTAAGAAAACCTTGACAAATATAGATGAGAAAGATCATAAAGATAGGATTTTCATGCTTATAAGCCTGATTACAAAAAGACTGCAAAAACAGAAATCTACACAAAGACTATTACAACCTTATGCAAAAAAATACTTCTGGTAGAACATCTTCCCAGCAACTCTCTATCCACCCTCAGACTGGCATCACTCTTGTTTTTGATCTTTATAGTCAAGGCTGATTGTTTCAAAACAATTATGTCATCTTCCTCATTTTTGCCTTTAAAAGCCTTTGTCTTCCTTTATCTCCCTGAGTACATACATAGTTTACTATGACATATGTATTCGCATTATAATCCTTTATTCCCAAGTAAATATATTTTCTTTTAGAAAAATCTCTCCCTATTATCTAGGTTGATTTTTGTGGTGTCAGAAGTGGGATGTAGAAAACATCACAATTGGAAAGAATCAGTGATTTTTGGAGCCAGTGTATGGTACTCACTTGAGCCCTTTAAGTTCTCCTGTTCCATGACTCACTTTTTCTGCCTTGGTGAGTTTTCTGTCAGACTGAGCCTCCCTCCTTTTGGTAGAAGCTTTTTAATATTATTATGGATCTAGTTTGGATGAGGCCATCTTAATAAATGACCATATGTCACTCTGACATGCCTACTTCCATTACAATACTTAATCCCTATGTATATATATATACACACACACACACATATATACACACACACATATATATACATATATATGTATATAGGGATTAATTATTGTAATGGAAGTAGGCATGTCAGATATATATATCTGTACATATATATATTTAAAAGACTGTTTCTTATTTAGCTTGACAACCTATTATCTTTTTTAGACAATCTGGTGAATATGAACTGGTGTCTCATTGATTTTGATTTGCATTATTTGATGCATAATGATGTTGATGTTGAACAGTTTTTTGTGTGGTTATTGGCCATTTGTATATCTTTTTTGGAGAACTATCTATTCAGATCATTTTTTATTGTTTTTGTTTTTGTTTTTTCTTTGTTCTTTTTGTTTTGGGGGTTTTGGTTTTGTTTCTTTGTTTGAGACAGGGTCTCACTCTGTTGCCCAGGCTGGAGTGCAGTGGCACAATCGTGGCTCACTAGAGCCTTGACCTCCTGGACACAGGTAATCTTCCCACCTCAGCCTCCCAGGTAGCTGAGAATACAGGTGTACACCACCACATTCAGCTAATTTTCTTTTGTATTTTTTTTGTAGAGACAGAGTTTTGTAATGTTGCCCAGGCTGGTCTTGAACTCCTGGGCTCAAGCATCCACCCACCTTGGCCTCTCAAAGTGCTGAGATTACAGGCATGAGCCACTATGCTTGGTCCTTTTTGTTGTTGAGTTGCAACTGTTCTTTATGTATTCTGAATACAAATCCCCTATAAGATGTATGATTGGGAAGTGTTTTATCTCATTCTGTGGATTGTTTTTTCAGTTTCTTCTTGGCTTTCTTTAAAACAAAAAAGTTTTTAATTTTAATGAAGCCAAATTTATCTTATTTTTTTCTTTTGTTGCTTGCGCTTGGTGTCTAAGAAGGCTTTGTCTAAGACAAGGTCTTTGTGATTTATATCTATGGTTTTGTTTTAATAATTTTATATTTTTAGCACTTACATTTAGGTTTATGATCCATGTTGAGATTGTGTTTGTGCATAGTGTGAGGTTGGGGTCCAACTTCATTCTGTCATACGTATCATGAGTTGTCAGGTATCAAGGCGATCAATTAGGACAAAAAACCAAACTGAAAGTAACAATCAAGCCTTAATTCACTTGCTAACATACAGTAGCATGGAAGCAGGTGCCAGATCCCCCAGTATTCCATTTGTTTCCCAGAGAAGGGCATAGGGTGAAGACTAAGTATATCAGCACAGGTAAGGAATCATCTCTTTACTGAGTAATTCCCCCCAAAAAAGGGCCCCTGCTGTTTTATGGACCTAAGGCAAGGGCTTATCCTGAAAAACTACTACATACTAGAGATAATTGCCTTCAAGGTCCTTGATGAGGAAGTCTCTGTGTTGAGACACCTGGGACATAAAGATATGTGTAAGAGCATGAACAGTGAGGGTGGTGGGTGGTGGGAGTGGGAGTGGGAGCTAGGTCCTGGACTGCAACTCCCTCCAGAGCTTGAAATGCACTGGCTTTGTATCAAGTCTGGTGTGGGGAAGGCAACTTTCCCCTATGAAGCTTGCCAGACAAAGACTTTGTAATTGCTTATGTTCTGTCCTGAAAGATCACATAAAAGTCTGGCCTGCAGCCAAACTCCTCAGCATGTGGATATCCAGTTGTCCCAGATCTGTTTGTTAAAGAGGCTATCTCTTCCTCATTGAATTGTCTTAGTATCCTTGGTAAAATCAACAAAGATTTATTTATGGATTCTCAATTATGTTCCATTGGTCTATATGTCAGTCCTATGCTATTACTACACTGTTGTGCTTGCTGCAGCTGTGTAATATCTCTTGAAATCAGAAAGTTTGAGTTCTCCAAATGTATTATTTTTTAAGATTATTTTAGCTATTTTGGATACCTTGCATTTCCATATGTATTTTAAGATAAGCTTGTCAATTCTTAATTGCCTTCTTAACTATAAAACATTTTTTATCAGAATACTTTATTATAGTCTATATTTTTTAAAAAAATTAAAGCTTGGCTGGGTGTGGTGGCTCATGCCTGTAATCCCAGCACTTTGGGAGGCTGAAGCAAGCAGATCACCAGATGTCCAGAGTTCGAGATCAGCCTGGCTAACATGGTGAAACCCCGTTTCTACTAAATATACAAAATTAGCTGGGCATGGTGGAGCACGCCTGTAATCCCAGATACTGGGGAGGCTGAGGCAGGAGAATCGCTTGAACCTGGGAGGCAGAGGTTGCAGTGAGCTGGGATCCTGCCACTGCATTCCAGCCTGGGTGACAGAGTGAGACTTGGTCTCCGAAAAAAAAAATAAATAAATAAAATGAGGTACGTCATACATGGCAGCTTTATTAACAGTGATTAAACAGTATAATTACGTGGAATACCTCATTTATTATTTTTCTTGTTAAAGAGTAGATTTATTATTAAAGGCTTAATAGAAATCAGGGAGATCTTGGATTAACTACAAAAACATGTATAGACATATCACCTTATTTATTTGGAATGTTTTGTAGTACGGATGGAGTGTAAAGCAATCTGCAGAAATATTTAGAGAATGGAGGTTATTTGGTAGAAAGAAGAGAAACCACAAGGAAGGGTGTTAATGAAATATAACAATTATTATTGAAAAGCAGCAGCAATATTTAATGAAAAATAATTACCAATTTAGAATAAACCTCATGGTTGGTATCTTTAGTCTCTGAACTCTCGATAAAAGGAGAAAGCCATTATACCATTTTACAGAGATGGGAATTGGAGCTCAGGCATTGGAAGTGATTTACCACAAGTCACACAGTAAATCAGAAACAGCTCTTGATCTTGTCTTCCCTCATCATATGTAATGCTCTTTTCTCTGAACTAGATGTATTCTGTGGATATAAATTATCATTTTACTCAATATGAGGACTTGCCTTTCAGTTTAGAAACAAAATGACATGAGATTTCTTAATTCTATCATATTTGTGGAATTAACCACTTTATGCTGCACACCCAGCTCTTCACATACACTCACACACATACTTTATACACACACACATATATATGTGTGTGTGTATATATATATATATATATATATACATAGTCTAGTCCTTAAAGCATGTATGTGTGTGCGTGCGTGTGTGTGTGTGTGTGTGTGTGTGTATACACAAAGGCTTGAAAGATTAGTCAATCACTTTGAAGAACTTAACATCCAGCTGCTTAGATCTCCATACATATTTGAGGCAATATGAGAGCAAAGTAGCAAATAAACAAAAGAAAGTTAATGACCTTCATAACTATCACCATTATCATAATGGTGATGTCATTGGACTTGGCTGTGAAAAGCTTTCTATTGGGTAACAGGAGTCTAAAGCCAAGTCTTAAATTCATTGATATATTTAGTTTGCTAGATATACTATGCAACATGAGATTGGAGGCTACGTTACAGAAGGGTCATGCCCTATTTATTCCAGAATTCTCAGTGACTATTAAATTGCTATGTACTGAATGTGTGCTCAATAATATTAGTTAACTTCAATTAGGGGGGAAAGCATCCACACAGGGAGAACAGCATGTCTAAAATGTTAAGGTTGTCATGGAGAAGAGCGTTGCAAGGATTTGGAATACTGGACAATACTAGGTGACTTTTGATAGTACATTCTCACTCTACGTTTCACTGATGTTGTGGAAAATTGTACATTTTTTCCATGGTATCTTTTTCTAACACACATTAGCAGTTTACTTCTCAAATTGTTTCGAAGTGATGCTTGGATCAGATCTCAGATATAAATCTCTCTAGGAATAAGCTAAAAATTTTCCTGGGTGGGAAGATCCCTCCCTATTAATTGCCTGTTAGTAACAGCTGCAAAGAACAGCAAGAGAATTATGCTTAATCTCTAAAATGAACATAGGTCAAAAACAAAATTTTTTCTATTCAAGAATTTAGAATGACATATGATGTGTTCATTTCTACCTCATGGTATAGAGTAACATCCATGCAGAGACAAAAAGGCTTTATAAACTCTCCTATGTTGGCTTTAGCCAGCCATATTACAAGTATATGCTATTGGCCACAAGGTGGTTATTATGAGAAGGTATGGTGACTTGGGATAAATTCTGTCCCATAACCGACTCAACTTTCTTGCCTGCTCGATGTTCATTCAGATATGTCATCTATGTGTGAAATAAAGTTTTCATCTTGAACTATGTGAAATGACAACACTATAGCAGTCATGACACTTAAGAATTAATTTTATCTTGAACAATAGAGAGTATTAGTATAAGAGAGGTTACAAACTGGCGATCCTTGGGCTGATTTTGGCATGCACACACATACATTGCTTTAGCAAGAGTGTGTAGACCTCCACATGGCTGAAAAATTGGAAAAGTCTAGATATTTTACCTAAAAATCTAAATTTATGATTTCCTTTGAACATGGAAGATCTTGCCACATTGGTCTCACGTTCATGCTGGCAATAGTAAGCTAGAGTTAAGAAGCACCTAGGGCAGGAACTCTAAAACTTACCACAACTTCCACAAATCCTAAGTTTTAAACACCCAGTCACTTCACATATTTATGCAACAGGTTGGCCCCTGTAGGCCAGTGTTTGACACTGCCAAAAACCTTGTTATCTGGGTAAAACAAAGCTTGAATTAGTAAAAGATTAAAATTACAATACTTTTTAAAGAAAGGTAGCTGTTCTCTTCAAGCACATAATTTCTCATAGCATGAAACTAATTGTTGAATCATAGCTTGAATGTGTCTTACTCCCAGGGTTCTTAGAAATCATCCAGCCAAACTCCCTCATTTTAAATATGGAAAATCTGAGGTCCAACAAGGCTAAGCAATTTGCCTAAGATCTTTATTGAGAGTTTCTAAAATAACTGAGATCATAAATATTTTCATAAATATTTTAACCATTCTGCTAATTCCAGTTAATAGATATATTTTCAAACAGAACATGATTCAAATTATTTTATATTTTAATGATCCACCTCACATTCTCTCTCTTCTCAGAAGTCTTCCTTGACTAGTCTAACTTACCAGGGCGTCCCATCCTATGAACTACTTAAGAATGTATAATCCGTACGTCACAGTTGGACACTTAATCATTACTTAACTTCAGTGTATGCTTGTTAATCCAATGAGGTTATGAATTCCAGAAGGGCAGGAACAATATTGATATTCCTTTTCCCCATAATAGCATCAAGAATATAGTTGAGCACTTACTAAGTGCTTGATTAATAGTCATTGGGTTGAAAGGAATTGAATTGAATAACCATGGCTATAGCTCAAATCAAGAAACCCCATTTACTTGGATGTGCATAAAATAGCCAATCCCCTTCCTCCAATAGAGCAGGCGCAATACTTTAGCTCAGATACCAAGTTCGCTTTTTATTCTTTATCCTCCAGCCGCTGGCCAGCCCTGGACTCTAAGACATCAAGATATCAAGAGATATTCCTTTGACTAGAAAAATCAAAGAAAGCTCTTTGGCAAGTAACTTAGTGGAGAGATCTGGCAGATACTATCTTAACCTAATTGTCTTTTTTTTAACATTTAGAATTCCACAGTACTTTTACTGTACCGTTTCACAGCCTGTACCGCTTTGTACCTTGTATTACAACTTTCTCTCTTTTTTTTATTATACTTTAAGTTTTAGGGTACATGTACACAATGTGCAGGTTAGTTACATACGTATACATGTGCCATGTTTGTGTGCTGCACCCATCAACTCGTCATTTAACATTATGTATATCTCTTAATGCTATCCCTCCCCTCTCTCCCCACCCCACAACAGGCCCTGGTGTGTGATGTTCCCCTTCCTGTGTCCATGTGCTCTCATTGTTCAATTCCCACCTATGAGTGAGAACATGCAGTGTTTGGTTTTTTGTCCCTGCGATAGTTTGCTGAGAATAATGGTTTCCAGCTTCATCCATGTCCCTACAAAGGACATGAACTCATCATTTTTATGGCTGCATAGTATTCCATGGTGTACATGTGCCACATTTTCTTAATCCAGTCTATCATTGTTGGACATTTGGGTTGGTTCCAAGTCTTTGCTATTGTGAATAGTGCCGCAATAAACATACGTGTGCATGCGTCTTTATAGCAGCATGATTTATAATCCTTTGGGTATATACCCAGTAATGGAATTACTTTATATTATCACTATTAGTGGTAATTGAGTAGGACCTTACAGAATAAAAAGAGTTTACATAGACCAATGTAACAGAGTAGAGAACCCAGCTGTAAATCCATGCATTTAAAACCAACTCATCTTCAACAAAGGACATGGATGGAGCTGGAGGTCTTTATCCTTAGCAAACTAACACAGGAACAGAAAATCAAAAACTGCACGTTCTCACTTATAAGTAGGAGTTAAATGATGCGAATACACGGACACATAGAGGGGAACAACACCAACTGGGGCCTTTTGAAGGGTGGAGGGTGGGAGGAGGGACAGAATCATGAAAAATAATTGATGGGTACTAGGCTTAATACCTGGGTGATGAAATAAACTGTACAACAAACCCCCATGACACAAGTATACCTATGTAACAAGCCTGCACATGTATCCCTGAACTTAAAAGTTTAAAAAATTGTAAAAGTAAAAACAAAACAAAACAAAAATGGTGCCAAGAGAATACAATGGGAGGACAGTGTTTTCAATAAATTGTGCTGGGAAAATTGGATATTCATATGCAGAAGAATGAAACTACACCCCTATCTCTCACCGTACAAAAAAATCAATCAAAATGGATTAAAGACTTGAGTGTAAGCCCTGAAATTATTAAATTGTTAGAAGAAAACATTTGGAAAATTCTCTGGGACGTTGTTGCGGAAAGACTGTTTTGTGTAAGACCCCGAAAGCATAGGCAACCAAAGCAAAAATAGACAATTGGAATTACATCAAGCCAAAAAGCTTCTGCACAACAAAGAAAATAATCAACAAAATAAAGAGACAATCCATAGAATGGGAGACGAAAATTGCAACCTATCCATCTGACAAGGGATTAATAACCAGCGTATAGAAGGAGTACAAACAAGTCAATTGCAAAAATAATAGTAATAATAACCCACAAATAATCTGATTTAAAAATGGGCAAAGATATGAACAGTCTCCAAAGAAGACATAAAATGACGAAGAGGTATATGAAAAGGTGTTTAACATAATTGATCATCAGAGAAATGCAAGTGAAAACCACAATGAGATATCATCTCACCCCAGTTAAAATGGCTTGTATCAAAAAGTCAGGCAATAACAGATGCTGGCGAGGATGTGGAGAAAGGGGAACTCTTGTTACACTTGTTGGTGGGAATGTAAATGAGTACAGCCACTAAGGAGAATGGTATAGAGGTTTCTCAACAAACTAAAAATAGGACAACCATATGGTCCAGCAATTCCACTACTGGGTGTATATTCAGAAAAAAGAAACTCAATATATCAAAGAGATACCTGCACTCCTATGTTTACTGCAGCAATATTCACAATAGACAAGATAAGGAACTTAGCTGCCCATCAACTTAAGTGCCCATCAACAGATAAGGGAAAATAAAAATGTTTATATATAGAAAATGAAATATTATCCAGCCATAAAAATAATGAAATCCTATCATTTGCAGCAACATAGATGAAACTAAAGGTCATTATGTTACATTAAGTGACATGAGCACAGAAAAACAAATACTCACGTGAGAGCTAAAAATGTTGATCTCAGGAAGATAAAGAGTAGATTGGTTGTTACCAGAGGCCAGGAAGGGGAGGATGGAGGAGGAGAAAGGAGGAAAAAAAAGAGTATAAATGCATTTATTACTAGTGAACTGTACACTTAAAAATGATAAAGATTGTAAGTTATATACGTATATTTTACTTAAAAATATATTTAAAAAATAAAAAGAGTTCAATCAGGCAAAGAGGATAGTAGATGGATATCCAAATCAAAGGTAACAATGCTGAATTCACAAGTTCAAGAGAGCCTGGAAAGAGTAAATCCTCAGCATTTCTAGGAGCATCTAACTATACATACATCATTTCCTATTTGTAGTTTGTCACTTCTAGATCAGAAGTTCTGCTCTTTGTTACCCTGGAACTGCTAGACAATTCTTCATACACCATTGAAGTTTGGGAAATAACAAAAGAAATGATAATCAAACACAGGAAAATACATGTTTCTGTGTGTTTTTTGTTTGTTTTTGTTACATAAAGTATAGTTCCTCTGGCATTGCTTGGGGAGAAGGGGATGTCATTTCTGGGGATAAAGCTAGAAGAATAATTTTTCTTTTGCTCCCCTTACCCACTCAAAATAATAAAATTTTGTTTGGAGGCCTTGGATTTAAACACTTCCCTGATGATTGCTATTTTGCCATAGCAATTTTTTTTAATGAGAAATGAGTAACTTAATTCTCTGTATGATCTATTTTAGTATTAACTAAAAGCTTAGATGGTATATTGGTGTATTAAATCAAATTTGAGAAACTTCAGAAGATGATGACTATTACATTTGGCTTGTGATTTTCAGTTTGCTGTGGGATTGTCAACTACTCGATTTTGATACTGACAGCTCATTTCAAATGTAAAATCATAAATACACTGTCTGTCAGTTTTGATTTCATAATTTAAAAATTAGACCTGCCCTATCATGCTGTTTTGCAATTACTCTGACAGATGTTGACCCAACTTACTATAAAATGACCTGTTTTACTTCATTATTTCTTCATTATTTCTAGGCCTTATTCTGGCAATTTAAAGTCTATCTTAAAATTTCTTAGACAGAGTCTCCTGTTTTCTTGTGAAGAAGTTTATTAGAATCAGTGTAGTTATTTCTGAGTTTACTTAAAACTGAGGCTGTACATATTTAGATCATTCATAAAAATAGTGTTAGAAGTGTCAAAGTATTGCTTGAAAACTTACATATTGGGGCTTAACTATTCTAGATACATGTATGGCTAATTTGCTAATGAGGTAGGAACCTCTGAGGTTTCTCTGCTACCTATTTTAGCCCTTTAGCCTAGTAGCTCAAGAGAGCAGAACATAGAGAACCATGAGTCAGAAAGCTTGTGTATAAAATAAATGGAGAAATAGACTTCAGAGCAGAGGGGTAGCAACAGTAGCAACAGTTAGCTTGACTGGGGCCTATATGCTTTTGTCCCTTTGTCCTTCTACTCTCAAGCATTTATCAATTACCATATTCTAGGGACTGTCACATTCTGTAGTCTAAGTAATCTCCTAGATAACTGAGATACGAAGATAAATGATATAGGCCCTTAAGGAGATGCAGTTATGTAAAAATGATAGACAGAAATTCATTGTTACTTAAAGATTTTTATTATAGGCACAGCATGGATAAAATATTTGTGAGTGATTTAGGTTACTTAGATGTAGTTGTCGTGGAGGTCTTCATGCATAGTGCTTAGCACATACTACCCAGTGGTAACAGCTAAAATATATTGAGTATTTACTATAAGCTCATCACATGTACAAACTTTCTTAATTCTTAAAACAACCCGATAAACTAGGTACTCTTATTATCCTCATTTAATCGAAACCGAGGCAAAAAGAGGTTAAATAACTTGTCCATGGTCCCATAGCTAGTAAACAGTATAGTGAGGATTTGAGCCCAGGCAGTGTGGCTCCAGAGACTGTGTTCTTAATTACCATACTGCACTGAATCTCATTAAATTTTAGTTGATATATTTTGATTATTATCTGAAATTCTTTGCTTGAAGTGCCATTGTCAGTTGGTTGATATCAAAGTGTCATTTTTCTTTGTTTTCCACATTGATGGGAATTTTGTAATTTCTGTGCTATTATGAAATAAAGAATATTATGAGCTGTTTTACATTTTATAAGACGGTGATGATGATGACAACGATAATGATAATAATTACTATGTGCCAGGCGCTGTTAAAAATGCTTTACATTTCTTAACACATATATTCACACAACAACCCCATGAGATAGGTACAATTATTATCCCTGTATTACACATCAGAAAACTCAACTAAAGAAACTAACTTACTCCAGGTCATACAGCTAAAAAGCAACAAAGTAGGGATTCAAACCCAGGCCTTTTGCTTCCAAAGCCCATATGTGCATCCTTCACAGTACACATTTCATGAAATTTAGACAGTTCTATCATATTATTTTTCTCTTTATGGAGGGAGGAATATGTGCCCTCCACTCATATCCCCCTGCAAAGTTACTCCTAGTTCCTCCATTCTGCTTAGGAGAGCATAGTGGCATCTAGGAGATCGAGTGTCTAGAGCATATCCACACATATATCTCTTTCAGTTCCTTTGGTATAGAAGGTGTATGAACAAAATCTTCTCTTTGGGATTGGCCTTTCCTGTCATGGTGTATGTGGGGCAGTGGGGACAGTAATAGCTCTGAAGGAAGGACATAGAAAGTGTCAACAAACACATATTGTATATATACTTTGTGTCAGGCCCTTTTCTAGCATTGAGGCTATAGCATTAAACAAGACAGATAAGATTCCTTACTTGAGAGGCTGAGGCAGGAGAATTGCTTGAACCTGTGAGGCAGAGGTTGCAGTGAGTCGAGATTGCACCACTGCACTCCAGCCTGGCTGACAGAGCGAGAATCTGTCAAAAAAAAAAAAAAAAAAAGATTCTTTGCTCTCATATAGTTTGCATTCTAGTGAAGAAAGATGAACAATAAGCAAAATGCCACCTGTGTCATGCAAAAAAGTAGCCCAGAGAATAGGAATAGAGAATATCAGGAAATGGAAGGAGATGCTATTATTTTAGATAAGATTGTTAGGTCAGGGCTCACTGAGAAGAGGATATTTAATTTAAAAGATTAAGGATATGTTCACACAAAAACTTGTACATGAAAGTTCATAGCAGTATTATTTATAATATTAAAGATGTTGAGAGAAGCCCAATGTCCATCACTTGATGAATGGGGAAACAAAGTGTGGTACATTCATAAAATGGGATATTAGCCATAAAATGGAACACAGTTTGATGTATGCTACATCATGAATGAACCTCAAAGACATTCTAAGTGAAAGAAGCTAGACACAAAAGGACACATGTCGTACAATTCTATTTGTATGAAATGTCCAGAATAAGCAAAATCATAGAGACATAAAGTAGATTAGTGCCTGCCAAGGTCTGAGGACAGTGGGTAGAGAGTGACTGTTACTGTGTATGGAGTTTTTTTTGGTGGTGATGAAAGCATTCTCAATTTAGACAGTGGTGATGGTTGTAAAACCTTGTAAATATACTAAAAACTACTAAGTGATATACTTTTAAATAGTGAACTTGATAGTAAGTGAATTTTATCAACTGAAAAAGCCCCTCAAGACAAAGTCAGATTTGGGCAAGGTCTGAGCAAGTGTGGCTCAGTGAAGTCTTTCTAAAAGCAAGCAGGCTGCCCTTGGAAGTAAAAGGAGGTGGTAGGAACCCAGAGATTTTTCCAGGCTGAGGCCTATTTTCCAGCTATAAAGGCCACAGCTCCTGAATATGATGCAGGTGAGTCCCAGGACTCTCAGTGGATCACTGAGAGTCATGGTGTCGCAAAGATCTCTTAGAACTGTCTAGCCATTTTTGGGCACAGCACACAAGTCTGTCACAGTGTTGAGTGCCTCATTGAATAGTGCTTTACACAGATTAAAAAAAAAAAACACGGTGGCAAAGCCATTCCCAGATGGCTGTTTTTTTTTTTTTTATGACAATGCCTTGATGTTCAGATTCATAGTCATAACTACAGTGTGTTGCTCTTACAAGCACGGACTGAAAACTCCATTGTTGCTCTAGAGATCTGGCTAACTCCACCCCATATACCAAGTTTTCAGAGGTAAGAGATTGATGAATATACTGTATTCACATATTTAATAAAACAAAAGCCAGAAAGGACCTTGTCAAAAAACACTTGCTGGCAAATAATTCATATCACTTCTACATAGCATCCTGTTTACACTATGTATAATATTGACATTATCTATTATAATTGTGGATACACTAATGTCAAACTTATTCTTTAACATTTAAAAGTTAGTGTTTCTGTCTATCAATTGATGAATGAAAAAATTATAAAATATCCATACAATGGAATATTTTAACAGACAAAAAAGAATGAAGTACTGATATATGCTACAAAAAGAATTAACCTGGAAAATATTATGCTTAAGTGAAAGAAGGCAGACACAAAAGTTCACATATTATATAGTTCCATTTGTGTGAATGACAAGAATAGGCAACTCTATAGAGACAGAAAGTGTGTGTGCCAGTGTGTGAGGACAGGGGATGAATGGGGAAGTAACTCCTTAATAAGTACAGGGTTTCCTTTTGTTAAATTAAGTTTGGCCTAAAGTTGCCCCCTTACATATTTTAAGTTTGACCTAAAGGTTTCTCCATACATAGTGAACTGCAGCGTAACCAGATGTGTGAACAGACTCTAACCTAGGCTTGTGCAAATCACTGAGTTTTGGCCACTCAAAGGCAGCCACCTGTTTAAGTCTGGTTCAAATAAGGCAAACGCCAAGCTGTAACCAATCCAATTGTTTCTGTACCTTACTTCTTCTGTTTCCTGAATGTCGCTTCCCTTTTTCTGTCCATAAATTTTCCACCACGTGACTGCACTGGAGTCTCTGTGAATCTTCTGTGATTCTGGGGGCTGTTACACAGACCTTTCTTTGCTCAGTTAAACTCTGTTAAATTTAATTTGTCTAAGGTTTTTAGCACTCATGAAGTGATGAAAAGTTTCTTGAATTAGACAGTGGTGATGGCTGTGGAACTTTGTGGATATACCAAAACCACTGAATTGTATACCTTAAAATGGTGAATATGATAGTATGTAAATTATCTCAATAAAATGTATTTAAAAAATACTTCCAAAAATGGTGAATGAAGTAAAGGAGACAGTCATACAAATAGCTCAAGAAAGAGAGTTCAAGACAGAAGAAATAGCCAGTGCAGAGACTTTGACTTAAACTCTAGTGAAATTGGAAGTCATTGAAGATTTGAGTAGAGGGGAAACATGATCTGATTTGGGATTTTTTAAGTATTATTCCAGATCTTGTATAGAGAAGAGAATGCAGAAATGCAAGGTGTGAAACAGGGAGACTACTTAGGATTATTAGGATTATTGCTTTTGCAGTAATCCAGGCAAAAAATTATTATAGTTTTGACTAAAGTATTAACAGTGGAGGCAATAAGAAATGCTTAGATTTAAGAATACATTTTTAAGTTTGAGACAACAGGATTTCCTGATAAAGTCGATGTGGCGTATAAGAGAAAGTCAGTGATGACTCCCACTTTTTTGGCCCAAGCAGCTAAAAGAAGGGAGTGGCCTTTTACTGATAGGGAAAAGATTATGGTAATTATAGCCTAAGGATAGATATTTTGGACACATTACATTTAAGATGGCTTTTAGTTATTCAGTGGAAATACACCTGTATAGGATATAGGCTGTATCTCTTCTGATTGGCCAATGTCCATGCAATACTGATCCTTAAATATTTTAATATATTCTCTGTATATGAGTCTTGTATATGAGTTCAAGGAAATCGTCTCAGCCAACTATATAATCTGAGCATTTCATCAACATATGTATGTATTTTTAAGCCATGGGTCTAACTTTCTCAATACATTTACTCTTTAATGGAGAGTAAGGAACAAATAATCCTACCTCTTTGCTAAGGGGCACATGGATTGTGAGAGAGAGAATATGTTCTACTAGGGAGGCTTGCATATCAAGGGGGGACAAAGCTCTATCTATTTGAGCTGACTAGTGTAGTTTTAAACTGGATCTTTTCTCATTGCTAAAAAGAAAAGTAGTCTTTCTCCCTCCCTTTCTCAGCACATTTCTGTGAGAAACCTATTGTTTGTGGATCCTTCCTCTGTCCCTTTGATGGCTCTGTAGATATTTTTAAAGTCTAGGTAAGCTTCTTTCCAGCTTCATAACTGAGGAGTTTTCTTAAGGGCCTAGAAGCCACCTCTTTAAGAGGTAAACATCAAGTAATATAGTGTCCCTATCCCCCTGATGCTATAGGAGTGCCTTGCTCTGAGTTGTAACCACATATTTGTCTTAGTGATAGAAGTTATATTATACCTTCATATGAAGGCAATTAGCTAACAAAAATGGCTACCTTAGTTGCCAGGTCAATTTGGGATGAACTGTAAAAGAATACATAACAAATGGTGTTGTAATGTCCTTTTATAGGAGCACAAGTTACCTTCAATTTTGAGAACATATATATAACAGATTGTAGCCAGTAGGTGTTATATAGGGTGGAATTTCTTTCTGTTTTTGTAATCTCCTAGCTGATTGCCTATGATGCATATTGCAATCTGGTTTAGGTCTAATTCAATAATAAAGTGGTTTTCTTTCCTTTATACATCTTTTCTTTTTTTTTTTTTTTTTTTTTTTTTTTTTTTTTTTTTTTGAGATGGAGTTTTGCTCTGTCGCCCAAGCTGGAGTGCAGTGGCGCGATCTCGGCTCACTGCAAGCTCCGCCTCCCGGGTTCACGCCATTCTCCTGCCTCAGCCTCCTGAGTAGCTGGGACTATAGGCGCCCGCCACCACGCCCGGCGAATTTTTGTATTTTTAGTAGAGACGGGGTTTCACTGTGTTAGCCAGAATGGTCTCGATCTCCTGACCTCGTGATCCACCCGCCTCGGCCTCCCAAAGTGCTGGGATTACAGGCGTGAGCCACCGCGCCTGGCTATACATCTTTTCAAGATGATTCTCTGCCTCAGCAGGATGTCTTTAATTTGCTCAACACTGGCAATAAAGGAGCACTATTCTCCAGGAGCTTACAATCTGGTGGAGAAAGCTAGACAAATAAGCAGGTAATTAAATAATTAAATAGTAGGATTAAGTGGTGTGTTTAAGGAATAACAGTGTTATGATAAAATTAAAGAGGGATATTTAACACAGTCTTTGAGAGTCAGAGGAGGCTTCCTGGAGGAAGGATATCTTAGCTGAGACCTAAAGAACTAAAAATTAAAACAATTGAATTCATGGAGATAGAGAGTAGAAGGATGGTTACCAGAGGCTGGGAAGGGTAGTGGGGGATGGGAGGAGGCAGGATGGCTAATGGGTAAAAAAAAAATAGAAATAATAAATAAGACCTAGTATTTGCTAGCACAACAGGGCGACTTTAGTCAATAATAATTTAATCTTACATTTAAAAATAACTAAAAGAATATAATTGGATTGTTTGTAACACAAAGGATAAATACTTGAGGGGACGGATACCCAATTCTCCATGATGTGAATATTATGCATTGCATGCCTGTACCAAAACATCTCATGTATCCCATAAATATACAAACCTACTAAGTATCCACAAAAATTAAAAAACATAAAAGAATGAGTAAAATTAGAGTGCTCTGGATATGAAAGAAGAAATGAATATGTGTACAGCTGTGTGCAGTTTAGTATGATTATAGGGTGAAATAACACTACGTGTATTTAATATAGAAGTGGTTAGTGACAAGAGATAAGACTAGTACTTGCGTGCCTTATGAAGACATTTTAACTGAACTCAATAGGCAATGGGAAGACTTAAGGCAAGGCAGGAGGTGACATGATCAGATTTCTGCTTTAGAAAAGTCAACGAATGTGTCTCCAGTATAAAAAGTAGTTTGGGGTGGGGCCGGGTGGCTCACACCTGTAGGCCGAGAGGGGAGGATCACTTGGGGCCAGGAGTTCGAGACTAGCCTGGCCAATATGGCTAAACCCTGTCTTTACTAACAACATAAAAATTAGCCAGGGGTGGTGGTGCACACCTGTAATCCCAGCTACTTGGGAGGCTGAGGCACGAGAATCACTTGAATCTGGGAGGCAGAGGTTGCAGTGAGCTGAGATTGCACCATTGTACTCCAGCCTGAGTGATAGAGTGAGACTCTGTCTCCAAAGAAAGAGAAAAAAAAAGAACAGTAGTTTGGAATGGAAAAAGACTGAATGCAGGGAGACTTGTTGAGAGGACTATGCAATGGTCTAGGTAAGAGGGAAGGGTAACTCCTTCTAGGGAAGTGATGTAAAAATGGAGAATAATAGTGTATTCCAGGGATATTTAGGAGGTACAATTCAACTGGTGTTGTTTAGATGAAGAGGATGAGGCAGAGGGAGAAATTATAGTTCCCACAGGCACATTCTTTCCAAATTCCCATGCTTGGAAATCCTGTTTTTAAAATATTGAACTCATGTTGGCTTGTCCCCCAAGTTACTCATGTTATGTGAAACATAAATGATACCCAGCAGTAGAATGGGCCCCCACACACATTTTCTTGAGCAACATGAGATAAGGGCTCATGTTCAAATTTTCTTTTACCCTAAAGACCACAAGTAAATGGATCGTACTTGGCAGTACATTTCGGAGCAGTTCACCCTTTTTCAACTAAAACCCAAACTGATTTAACTACATCACGTTTGAGAGACATGAATTTTGTTGTTAAGGTCACAGATGCCAAAGGCAGCCCAAAGCAGAATACATTATCAAATAAACAATTAGCAATACAAATATTTATCCAAAGTAGCCATATATAGCATTCTGTTGATCATTATAAAGTGTAGCATCTGGGGTAAGAGAGTTTAGAAATAGGTAAGAAAGTAAAAGTCATCATATAAAATGTAACCCAGTAATTTTACATTTTAACTTAACACAGTAGGCCATGAAGAGCAAAATTTATTGTATCCAGTATGGTAGGGAAATGGAGTAAAATAGATAATGGCCTTCAAAATTATTCTCAATTAACCAGAATATACAGACAACATTATTATTGACTATAATTTCATCTATAGTTTTCAGCAATTCTTGCACAAAGTAGTCATTTAAAACTGTTTATTAAGTATATGAGATGTGCATTAGCAATTACCAAACATGATATAAAATAATTGATTAAGTGTACATAAACCATAACTAGACCATAGCCTATCATGATTACTTTTATAATTCAGTAGGCACTTTAGAATATTTTAAGAGTTGAGGGTCATGATAGTTAACATCAATGATTATTGACGTCTATTTTGGTTAGAAATGAAAAAGTGTTAAGTCTTTCCTTGGCACAGGACAGGCCCAGGAAGATTAACTTTTTAGTAAATTATTGTCATCATTCTGCTTAGTTACTACTTGACTTTCATAGTTGCCAGGGTGCTGAAATTACACTTATTCAAATGTCCTAATGGTTTGGCTTTAATACAAGCAAATATGTCTTGGCCTTTTGAGTTTCAAGACATATTCCCAAGACTTACAAGGTGTTTTATTAAATAATAAGTATTTCCTAAACATGGAATACTGTAATGCTTAACACCTAACCTCAGTTGATTCCAGAGTTTGCTATGAGAACTGACACGGTATCAGACAAAATAATAGTGTTGTTACCAGAATTACTTTAGTCAGTCAGTGTTTTCTTCCATGCCAGAATAAATAACATTAAAGTGGTACACATTTATGCAAGCTTATCTTTTCAAAAGGAAACACTTAAATAGTCATTATCTACTTAATGATAAATATTTTATGCTTTAAATCACGCCTGTAATCCCAGCACTTTGGGAGGCTGAGGCGGGCGGATCACGAGGTCAAGAGATTGAGACCATCCTGGCCAACATGGTGAAACCCCGTCTCTACTAAAAATACAAAAATTAGCTGGACATGGTGGTGCGCACGTGTAGTCCCAGCTACTCGGGAGGCTGCAGCAGGAGAATCATTCGAACCCAGCAGGCAGAGGTTGCAGTGAGCCGAGATCGCACCAGCGCACTCCAGCCTGGTGACAGAGCAAGACTCTGTCTCAAAAAAAAAAAAGAATAATCTTTGTATTCTATTCACACAGTTTTAAAAATTTGCTTTAACAAGGTTAGTTCCAAAAATAAGGCTATGTGTAAGTTTTTAACAACATAATAGATTTTTTTTAATGGCTGTGGATCAGTCAAAGTATTACCAGGAGACAAGATCTAACTCACTGTTTCAAGAGACTACTTAGAGACTAAGGGAACTAATTAGGGATGTGAAAGTTACCAGTAATGAACCACAATAAGAAGCCATTTCCTCCTTTAAGTTTGAAAATGCAAGGTGAGAGAATGGCGTTATTGAAGTTCAGAGAGAATTTGGAGCTGTGGAAGAGGGGCCACTCTATAAGAACTGTGACCATGGAGGAACCACAGTGAAACACGGGAAGGGAATGTGGGTGGGGCTAAATGTAGGATCCTCTCTTCTCAGACTTCTTTCTCTACCTCTTCCAGCCTTCCAAGCTCCTGCTGGTGCCACCTAACTAGAAGTGAGAACCTAATTAAAAGCCTGGAAACGAGTTCCAGTAATTATTTTAGAAAAGATGAGCCTTCCAAGAGCACAGAGCAGATCAAGAAAGGGTAGAGAATGGATCTGCAGAAGAGAAGATAGGGACAAACAGGGAATAAGTATCACAGCTTCAGAAGGTGAAACATCTTTTTTCTTGAGCACATCTGGGCTTCAAACCAATTTTTGAAAGCAAATAATGCCAGCTTCTATTTTAATGCACTAGTCAGTTATCTTGGGATCTTTGAAATCCTAAAACTTAGAGACTGAAAACAACCAGTTTGAAACACACAATGTGAGGACAACAGTTCTTCCAAATGGGTAGAAGAACTAAAGTAGCACTTTTCAGAGTGACTAAGATCCACTTTGCTTATAAATCAATAAATGAAATATCTGTAGATCATTTTGTGTTTTAGTGTTTTTATTCCCTATTTTTCTTGAAATAAAAAGCCCTTTCAGTTTATAATTTGTTTAGAAAAATAGAAGCTTTCTTATTATATGGAACATGGCAGTGCAAGTGTACTGATAAAGTGGTAACTAATGTTCATTGTCAGTATTGGGAGAAAAATCTGGTGTGAAAAGACTGGCACCAAATCAGAGTGTACGTGCCCTATCTACAGAGGGCAGTCACTAATCAATGACAGATTATTATTATTATTTGTCAAATGCTTAATATGTACCAGGCTCTCTTGGTATATTATCTAATTTAGTCCTAATAACAATTATATGAATTAGATATCATTATCTTCCTTTTGCAGATGAGGAAATAAAAACTCAGAAATAAAATAACTTCTGTGCAGGGATGTGAGTTTAGTTTTGTCAGATTTTATAAGTTTTCTTTTTTTTAAAAAAATAACCATTTTATTGTTATTTATTTTCCTTTTTTTCCTTTTTTATTCAGCCATTATTTCTTCATATAAGATCTCTGCTTCTTTCCCTGCTTTTTGTCCTCTGATTCTCATAATGCAAATATTAGTCTCCTTTGAAGTTCACCATAAGTCCCTTAGGCCATCTTTGCTTTAGTTTATTCTTATTTTATATAAAAGAGTATTTTTATTTTTAATTTTTGTGGGTACGTAGTAGGTATATATATATATGTATATATGGAATATATGAAATATTTTGTTACAGGCATACAATGTGTAATAATCACATCAGGATATATGAGGTATTCATTACCTGAAGCATTTATCATTTCTTTTTGTTACCAACATCCTAATTATACTCTTTAGTTATTTAAAAATGTGTAATGGATTATTGTTGACTGTAGTTGCCCTGTTGTGCTATCAAATACTAGATCTTATTCATTCTATCTAAGTATACTTTTGTACCAATTAACCATCCCACTTTCCCCACCTGCGTCCCCTCCGCCTTGCAGCCTCTGGTAACCATCATTCTACTGTCTATCTCCATGAGTTTGTTTTAATTTTTACCTCCCAAAGATTAGTGAGAACATGTGAAGTTTGTCTTTCTGTGCCTGGGTTGTTTTACTTAACATAATTTCCTCCAGTTCCATCCATGTTGTTTCTAATTACAGAATCTCATTCTTTTTTATAGCTGAATGGTAATTCATTGTGTATATAGCCCCCTTTTCTTTATCCATTCATCTATTGATGCTCACTTCAGTCATTCTTGTTTTTTTCTCCTTTGACTCAATGATTTCAAATAATCTGTCTTCAAGTTTGCTGATTCTTTTTACTAATAAAATCTACTGTTAAACCTCTCTAATGAATTTTTTAGCTCAGTTATTTTCCAATTCCAAAATTTATGTTTGATTCTTTCTAAGTAATTATCTCCTTATTGATATTTTATTTTGTTCATTCATTTTTTCCTGATTTTTTTTGTCTGTTTTCTTTTAAGTTATTGATCATTTTATGACAGTTATTTCAAATTCTTCTTCGGGCAGTTCATAGATTTGCATTTCTTTAGGTCTGATTTCTGGAATTTTATCTTATTCCTTTAATTGGGCCATGTTGCTTGTTCCTTTGTATGGCTCATTAATTTTTGCCGCAGTTTCGGCATTCGAAAT
The DNA here is from genome assembly GCF_000001405.40 of Homo sapiens. Lineage (NCBI taxonomy): Eukaryota > Metazoa > Chordata > Mammalia > Primates > Hominidae > Homo > Homo sapiens. The sequence continues at coordinate 121,674,128 of NC_000023.11, forward strand.
AACAATAGTCACTCCCGATCGTTGTACAGGGGAAGACCTTCGGCAATCTTCCCTGCTGGAAATTCTAGGACCTCTCAGACATTTTCTCATGTCTTACTTCCCCTTGCATCTGCCCCTGGAGCTGCAGCTCGAATGTGCTCCTTGCCTCTGTTCTCAGCAGTTTCCAAATTGGTATCAGTCCTATCAGCAGTCTATGTCAAGTGGAACAGAAAACAATCCCTCAGGTAGCACCCACAGAAGCCAGTACATTGTTGGGTCTATGGTCCACTCTCTTGTTTTTGTCCTGAGGGAGAAACCTCATTATGGCAGATTTCTTCCCAGTTGCTCCACATTGTGCTATATGGGAGACAGACATAAAAGGTTGTGCCAAATGTTACAAAGTTGCTTATTCCTTTTGTTGGAATCCATTCTTGTTTTTACAGTTGCCTGAGTACTTTAGCTTCTCACCAGGTCTCTACAGTTCTCACAGAGGTATTCCGGCACATATATTGTTGTTAACCCAGTGTCTCTGTGAGGGGAGGAAGGGCTGTAGCTTACTGTTTCACTCTCTTGAATATTCTTAGTTATTCTGAATACCACTAACGTTATTTGTATCCATAGGGTGATTATTGGTCTACAATTGACACCAACCCCAGACTGAAACAGAGACAGAGAAGCTAAAACTGTTGCATGTTTACCTGTGAGTCCTGGGGGTGGGGATGATTTAACACTTATTTAGCCTAATTATAGTGAATTCTCTAACATTTGAACCAGGGAGTTATATCATTCCAAAAGTACTCTTAAGTGTGGATTGAGGGGTTTGACACTGAAGGAGATACCAGATCAGATCTTCGCTCTGCTCTGGGTCTTAATACTATCTATGAAGAAGTCTCTCTCACTCATGAGATTCAGATTATTAATAACTAAGGGTAATTCCTATATCTTGTTCTTCCAGGGTTTAATGCCACTGTATACCCCAAATTAGACACCAATCCAACCCCTTGTAGGAGTTTTCTAGAGAACTGGGGACATTGGCCCATCAGTATGTGAAACCTCTATACTTTTCCCCCAGATCAATCAATTAAAGAGTTGTTCTTGCAGCTAGAGGGGGGTAGTTGTGGTGGAAGGGTTACTTTTTATTGTACGGTAGAATAACCTCAAGTAACATCACCAATTATATTTTCATCCTCATACATTAAGAGGGCATTTGAGCCAGTCTCCAATTTAGTAATAGAAGGAACAAAAGCATAATTTTAAGGGTAGGGATTCCAGAGACAATCCAGTTGGGTTCAAATCTGAATTTTTTTATGTACTGGCTGCATAACCTTAGTTAGGTTAAATAACTTTTCTATGCCATCTGTAAAATAGGGGTCATGATAATACTTACCTCACATAGTTGGAAGGATTAAATGAGTTATACGTAAAGCACCTGTAAATGTGCCTGGCATATAATAAGTATGCATTAGCTATTATCAATATTGAAAATTTTTAAAGAAAGGATACTTGAGCACTTCCACCCTGAGGCCCCTTGTGGATTGGCATTATGAACTACCTTACTATGGTCAGCTCTCCTCTTGTAGTATTTACGATTAAGAATCTCTTCTTTATTGGTCAATGTATGCAAACAAACTAATTTCTGTATACAACTATAGCACTGATTTATGTTGAAAGTACAAAGCTGCTGTCATGAATTCAATATACAGTGTGACAAGAAATGGTTTGACCCAGTAGAAATGACACACCTTCCCTTTATCTCTGTTTTCCCTTTCCACTTCATTCAGGTATAATTGTGTTCTAGAATGTACCCTGGACTAAGGGCCTAATACATCCCTTTATAGCTATGTTACTGAGTAAACAGCCTCTCTGAGTAAGCATTCATCTCATTTATAAAATGGTATTGAACCATCCCTTACTGCCTGGTAGGGTTGTAGTTAGTGAGGCAATAAGATAGTGGAAAATTATATCATTACATTGCAAGGAAAGATGAATGTAATGCATGCTTAATTTCATCTATACCACATAGCTACTCCAGCACTACTCCTACCACCACCATGGCTTATTCCTATTTTTCCTTCATGTCATTTCTCCAGAAAACATTTCCCTAAATAGTCCAAACTAGACCATTTTCATTATGTTTTATAGTATCATTCTGTTTATTTTTACATTACTTATCATGATTTGTAATTATAATTTTATTTATTGATTAACCAGTTTAATGTCTGTATCTTTTAGCGTGACGCCCCCTCATTTGTGGTCATTATGCAATAGACAGTATGGTAGCATTTTATGGAGTTTTGAGGGTAATTGGGGAGTGAGGTTCAACTTTCTTTTTTTTTTTTAACTTTCTATTTCCCCAAAGCAACATAGCTACAGACCATTTTAATGTGCCACTTATGCTGCCTGTTCTACTCTTTTTATTTTCCTTCCTCCACTGGAACTCATTTTTTCCCTTCTCATTTCTCCTCAGATGCAGACGTGACCTGGGTAGGGGGAGAATTTTTTAAAAAGACTCAGAGTTTAGAAAACACAAACAGGCCACCTTGATTTCTTTTCTTCTTTCCTGCTTCAAGTCCTGTGTGATGTAAATACTATAGTGTGGAAATATCCTGCTTGTGGGCTTGTAATTCTTTCAAAATACTGCCAACTGTTAACACCATCACCTATTCTAGCTATAATAAGGAAATTAAGCAGTGCATTTTTTTTAGGTTAGTAAATGGGATCTTTAGGACTCTCAAAACAAAAGGTTGACAGTTTAAGGGAACATGTGTTCAGAGTGGGAACACAGGCTGTGAACTAAACTCCTGTGAGGAAATAAATTAATGTATTTGCCTGGAGACTTTCTGTGCCTGAGGTTGACAAATTGATGAATTCTACATGCTTACCCTTTCTCTCAGTCACTCCATGAAATTTCTAAAAAATATCCACTAGGATGTCTTCCATTTGTGTTCTTCAAATGTATGACTTGAATCAGCAGGTTTTTAAAAAATCTCTGTCACATGTATCTCTCTTATTAGAATCCAGAAACCACAGAGAGGCTTATTGCTTATCTATGTGGAAATTGTAAAGAAATAAAAAAGAAAGAGATGTAAATTGATTTTACAATGGTGGAGCTCACCTTAGTTCCAGTAACCCAGTGCCCCCAAACACACTGCAGCAAATTTCAGTTTTCCAGCCCTACCACCACCTCTGCCATCTATCAAGAGGCTATGTGATGCTATTTAATTAACCTGGAGCTGCTTCTGCTGTTGCTGTTTCTCAGCTCTTGGTGTCTGTAGGTGTTCAGATACCCCATACTTCTCTATGAGTTCAGTCATTAAAAAAGACTTCTCTTTTTCCAGGAGTTTGTGGCCTTCATAAATTAAACAGGCCAATTTGCTGCACAGATCCTTCTTTTAGCTAATAGGTTTCTCCAGGCTTCCTGTGTAAATTATTGCTTCAACTAGTTTTTGCTTAAGCAGCTTCTCTAGAGCCCCAAGAGGTCTCTGATACAAATGCTGTCCATGGTAAATGAGGAGTTTGATTTGTTTCTTTCCTTTGATTTTTGCAAAGATCATAAATGCAGAGAATGTTGACTAAAGTATTAATTTTCCCTGTATCTGCTAGTCTTACTTTGAAATGAGACTAGCTTGCCATGGGAATCAATTTCAAATATGTTTCTAATTATGTGATTTCTGTTTATTTGGTATAACTGTTAGAAAGAATTGCCTGTTTCTGTCCACTTCAGCTCACTGTGTTATCCAGTCTCTGATTTCTTTGAAGGAAAATGAGGGGGAAAATATACCATGCATCTGAATGGATTATAATATATAAACCAAGGAGGGGGTAGAGTTTGCAAAACTTATACATTAATTTTTTAGAGCCAACACTTGAGGAACAGAACAATAAGTACTAGGAGAGAAAAGGAGGGAAATGAGAAAAGTTAGACCAGATTACTCTAAAGAAGTTTGTCCTTGCTAAGATTTCACATATCAGAAATAAAATTTCTGAAGAACTCAAACCTAATGATTACAAAGATAGATTTTTAATTTTTTTTCTTTTTAAGTTGTACCTATTTATGGGTACATAGTGACTTTTTGATACATATAATATGTAATGGTTGGATCAGGGTAATTAACACATCAATCTCAAACATTTATCATTTTTTTTGCATTGACAACATTTAATATCTTCTTTCTAGCTATTTGAAACTATATATTGCTGTTAACTATAGTAATTCAAAAGTGTCATAAAATACTAGAACTTATGCTCCCTATCTGGTTGTAATTTGTTGTTCCTTAACAAATTTCTCCCTATGCATCTCTTCCTCTTACCCTCCCCAGCCTCTAATATCCTCTGTTCTACTTTTTACTTCTATAAAATCAACTTTTTTTTAGCTCCCACATGTGAATGAGAACATGTAGTATTTAATTTTATGTTCCTGGCTTATTTTACTTAACATAACGTCTTCTTGTTCAATTCATGTTGCTGTGAATGACAGGATTTTATTCTTTTTTATGGCTAACCAGTATTCCACTGTGTGTATATGCTACATTTTCTTTATTCAGTCAACCGTTGATGGACTCTTAGGTTGGTTCTATATCTTGGATATTGTGAATAGTGCTGCAATGAACATGGGGCTGTAGGTGTCTTTTCAATATACTTTTAAAAATATATACCCAGTAGTGGGATTGCTGGATCATGTGGTAGTTCTGTTTATAGTTTTTTAAGGAACTTCCATCTTGTTGTCCATAGTGCCTGAGACAGTTTACATTCCCACCAATAGTGTATAAGAATTTCCTTTTCTCTGTATCTTTGCTGGCATTTATTTTTTGTCTTTTTGATAATAGCCATCCTAACTGGTTTGAGATGATACTTCATCGTGGTTTGCAGAAGAATGAAACAAGCCCCCTCTTACGACCCTTTACAAAAATTAACTTAAAATGTATCAAAGATCTAAATATAAGACCGAAATTCTGAAACTAATAGAAGAAAACATGCTTCAAGACATTGGTCTGGGAAAATATTTTATGGGTAAGACCTCAAAAGCAAAAGCAACAAAACCATTTTTTAAATGGGATTATGTCAAACTAAAGAGCTTCTGCACAGCAAGGGAAACAACAGAGTAAAAAGATAACATATAGAATGGGAGAAAATATTTGAAAACTACTGATAAGACAGGGGATTAATATCCAGAATATACAAGAAACTCAAACATTTCAGCACCAAAACCCAAACAATCCCATTTTAAAAATGGGCAAATGATCTGAACAGACATTTCTCAAAAGAAGACAAAAAAATGGCTAACAAAGATATGAAAACTGCTCAACATCACTAATCATCAGGGACAGGCAAATCAAAAAATATTTTTAATTCACAAATAATAATTGTACATATTAAATAAATAAACAAATATTTGTAGCAACCAAAAAAAATTGAAGATAAAGTTTGAAGTTGGGCAGATTTGAGTGTGGTAACTTATTCTGCTGCATTACCTATGTTTCCTTGGCTATGTCTCTACTCTTTATTTGTGAAATGGGTGTACTAATAGTAGTACTATTCCACAGGGTTATAGTAAGGGGTAAATTTAAAAATGTATGTAAAGTGCATCGTACAGTGCTTGGCTTATAGGAAGCATTCATTAAATGATAGCTGTTACTGTTACTATCATTATAAGCAGGCTAGATATATAGAATTAACATACTACATATTTTTCATCACATAAGAAGTAGTTAAAACTGATTTCATCACTTATATACCTGTGCAGTACTGAAAAACATCAGTGAAAATGTCTGTATCTCAGTTTTCTTGAATATCAAATATGCATAAGGATAGTCCCTACCACGTACAGTTTTAAAATTAAATAATATAACCTAGGTGAAATTTCAATTTTAACATTCTGGTACTACAGTAATTGCTGAAAAAATGTTAGTGGTTATTTCCATTACTCACTTGACCCCGGAAATCACTATCCTGTGGTTTCAAAATAAAGATTTTCATTTATTTTATTATCAAACATTTATTAAGCACCTACTTTGTACCAGACACTATTCTGACTATAGATACATCAACAAATAAAACTGAATATTACTAATCTTTTTGTACTTTTATTTTTTGAGGCAAGGATGCTAAACCCAATAAATAAGTACATTATGTAGTATATTAGAAGACATTAAGTACCGTGGGATAAAAAATGAGTAGGGTAAGGGATTGGGAGTGCTAGAATAAAAAGGAATAAGTGGTTACAAAATTCATTATGCAATGAGGGTAAGCCTTTCTGAAAAAATATCATTTGAGCAAAAATTTTAAAGAGTAGAGGAAGAAAGCCATGTAACTACCTAGAAAAAGTGTTCCTGGTAGCAGTAACATCCAGGAAAAACCTGATGTAACGGTAAATCTGGTATGTTAAACTAACAAATTTTCAGTATGCTTAAACTAGAATTATCATGGAGAAGGAATGTAGGAGATGATGTCAAAGAAGTTCAGGTGCCCAGATTGTGTATGGCCTGTACATCAATGTATGAAATTTGGCTTTTACTTTGAGTGAGGCCAGAAGCTGTTGGAGGGATTTGAGCAAAGAAGAGATGTAAGTTGATTTATCTTTCAAATAGATCACTACGGCTGCTATATGAAACATAGACCATGAAGGGATGATAAGCATGGAAGCAGGGTAACCAGTAAGAGAGCTATTAAAATAATCCAAAAGAAATGATGGACACTTGTACTAGAGTGGTACGAATGGAAGTGGTGAGATCTGGTTGGATTCTGAATAGTTTGAAAGTAGAACTGACAGGGTTTACTTACCCATCGGATATATGCTGTATACAAGAAAGGGAAACCATGAACAATGTCAAGGATTTTTGGCTTAAATGGAATTGCCATTAATGGAGTGTAGTGGACAGACTTTAAGATGGCACCATGTGATTCAGGCCTATGGCTCTTCACATCTTCTTATAATTGCCTTCTCTTGAGTGAGAGAGGAACCAGTGACTTCCTCCTAACCAATAGAATATGAAAAAAAAAATGATGATAGTAACTTTTAGGATTACATTACAGATATGATAGTCACTTCCATCCTGCTAACAGACTCTCTCCCTTGCTGGCTCTGATGAGGCAAGTAGATGTATTAGAGAGGTCCATGTGACAAAAAAAGAAAAAAAAAAACAGAGTGGCTTCTGGCAGGTAGCCAGCAAGTCTCTGAATCCTATCAAAAACAATGTGAGCTTGGAAGTGGATCCTTCTCATGTTAACCTTTTAGATTAGACCCCAAGCCTTGCTGATACCCTGATTGCAACCTTGTGAAAGGCACTGAAAGCAGAAAACTCAGCAAAGCTCTTTCCTGATCCACAGAAACTATAAAATAATAAGTTTGTGTTGTGCTAAGCGACTAAATGTCTTGTAAATTTTTATGCAGCAATAGATTATGAATTAAGAAAGGAAACAAATTTGTGGAAGTGAAGGTCAGGAACTACATGTTGAACATGTTAAGCTTGAGTTGCCTATTAGACATACAGGTGAAGATGCTGGATATGGGAGTCTGTATTTCAGGGGAGATGTCTAAGAAGAGGATAAAAATTTGAGTCAGCAATGTACAGATTGGATTTAAAAACATAAAATAGATGAGATCACCTATGAAGTGATTGTAGAGAAAGAAACAGTTCAAGGAGTGAGCCCTGGAATAGTCCATAGTAAATAAATGTAGAGAAGAGAAAAAACTAGAAAAAGTAACTTGAAAAGTTAATAATGTAAGAGGAAAATCAAGACAGTATGGTATCCTGAAATAAAAGTGTTTCCAGGGGGAAAGTAGTGATATAGAGTGCAAAGTGTTACTGATATGTTCAAGAAACATGAGGGATGAGAATTGACTGTGGGAATTACCAGTAGTTAATAATCTTACTTGTAAAAGTTAGCTTGGAGTAAATTCAGGAGAGAATGACTAAAGAGGAGTTGATGACAGTTGGTATAGACAATTCTTTTAAGGAGTATTACTATTAGAGGGAAGCAGAGAAATGAGTCAGTAGCTGGTGGAGGTAGTGGGGTTCAACGAAGGGGTTTTTTTCTCCCATAAAAGAAAAATTATGAATGATTCAATAGACAGAAAAAATGGGTGATATAGTAGAGAGAGGACACTGCTGAAATAGTCTTTGAGTGGGTAAGATGGGATGGGATCTAATGCATAAGAGAATGGATTGACATTAGTTATGAATACAGGGAAGTCACTTACTATACTAGAAGAGAAAGAAGAGTATATGATTTTAGATGCAGATAAGCAGGAGGAGGTGGTGGGTGTTTTGAAAACTTCTGATTGCATTAAGTCTTTTCAGTGAAGTAGGAAAAAAGCATCAGCTCAGAGTGAGGTTGAAGAATGAGGTGCTAAAAGTGTGAGAAGAAAAAAATGTGAAATAATAATTTAGGAAGATATCTGAGTGAATGAACTAGAAAAACAAGATAAAATTGTAGGGCAGCATTAAAGGCCTACTCGAAATTTGTGTCCTTGTATTTGTGGATATGTCTTCTTCTCCAGACATGTTCAGCTCCATGGTTACAGGCACTGAAGAGGTGAATAATTTGATTTAACCAAAATACCATAACTCACAGAAACCAATGGTCCACATTAGGAGGAAATTTTCCATTATTCTTCTCCATGGATGTTCTCAAAGACCTCCTAGATTTCCTAGTCTATACATTGGTTTTCTTAACACTATCCATCTTCCAAAATTGTTGGAGCCTAACCTTCACCAATGCTGACGTCTCTACAACTCATTCTGCTAGTCATAGTTGTCTTGAGTGTTACCTCGCTTCTAGTTGGAGAGCATGGAGGTCGTCTCTAAAGCCTGGAAAATCCTGGCAGAATTAAAATAAAGTCCCTGCTCACCACTAGATATAAATATCATCACCTCAGAATCGAAGAAATCTAAATGCCCCATTCACCATTTTTCTCTTTAAATTTGAAGGGAGAAAGATCTTTTTTTAAACTATTGCGCTTATTCAGAGATAACCCATCTGTAAAATTGCTCACTCTATATTAGAAAATATTTTAATCATATTTTCTAAAGCATACATACAACCATTTATGAGGCAGTGTTTGTGGTGCCAGCATAGCAGTGTCAGGAACAAGTCTAAAATAGTCATGCACTATGTCCAGAATCAGATCTTCCTTTCAATGATTTAATCCTGTATATTAAGTTTGGTATATCAATTAAGGCTTCTTCTTGTCTTCCAGGCTCAAAATATTTTCTGCCAAGTTGTATTAGCTGGGGTCATTTCAGTCTATCAGACATGGTTACGTCAACTAACCTTGACGTTACCTGGGAAAAAGCTGGGTATTTACCAATTCTTCTCCTAGGAGCTTCCTAAAGCCTATGAAAACCTGTAAATAAAAATAGACATTTGTGGTAGGGGTCTGGCTTCAGCCACCAAAAACATTGCAACTCAGGGCCCTTACAAAGCCTATAATGTTCAACTATGTCTTTAGCTTCCATTAGTATTAGATATGAAACTTACTTCCATGCACTAAAAGGAGGCACTCAGATGTTTTCCCCCAAATTAAAGAGACAGTTTGTTTCAAGGATAAATTTCCATTTATATATCACATCGCAGAGATTACCATCAGCCACTAAAATGGCAGTTTTCCAGATTGAATAAGTGGAAGATTCTGACTAAACTAGGAACCCCATTACTTTATTATTATTGCTGAGTAATAATAATAAGCAAGCCCTTATATTTGTATAGCTCAGTATATTAGTGGTTGGCAAACCATTATTAAGTACAGATTCATGGACCTCACTCTACATTCACTGAATCAGGGTATCTGGGGATGTATCCCAGGAATATAATTTTATCCAGATTCCAGAATGATTCTGAAATAAATTCAGTTTTAAGACTCCCATGGTTATGCTTTTTAAGTATGACTATATATTTTCTTCTTTCCTTTTTCCATAACTCCCTTCCTCCCTCCTTTCTTCTTTTGTTTCTTCCTTCTTAAATTAATTCACTCGTTTCCTCATGCATTTATTCATTTATAAAACAAATATTTATTGAGTGCCTACTAAGTGCCAGACACTTTGGGGATACAACAATGAATATGACAAACATGAATACTGCCTTAATGGAATTTATATTCAAGTAAGGGGAAATATTGACTTTAAATAAGTAATTAGAAATAAGTGAGAAAAACATTAAAGAGAAGCATATAATGCCATAGGAGTGTTCAACATACTTACACATAATTTTTACATAACTGTAATATAGTATACATACTATTTTACATCATTCATTTTCACGGAACTTCATAAATGCTGTTCTTTGACATTTGTATCATTATTCTCATTGGTAGACAGGAAATTTGAGATAGAACTACCCCAGGATTCTTGATTCTCATTGTCACTTAGAGTATGTGGGGATAAAAATATTATTCTCCCTTGCACTTTGGGTTTCCCCAAATGAATGATCTAGAAAATTTAAGTATTCCACTCTCAGGTGTCTTTTGTTATTTCAAGCATTAGTATAACACCCTTAAAATCCACCTTTTTATTATAAATTCATGCTCTTGTTCATTTTTTGTGAGTAATCCACTGCCCAACAGTGGCTTAAACAGATCATGACAGGACAGATGTGGCTATAGATTATTTACTTTTCAAGGGAATTATTATGAAATGTGCAAGGAAGGTGAATGTGACAGTCACCACAATCTATTTTGTTTTATATGTTCCAGAAATTGTAATATAACTGTTATTTGGAATTACCAAGCTCACACTGCTTTTTCTTTCTTGTACATTGTTGAGAATTTAAAGAACATTAAATTTCATAGGGACAGAAAATGTTATATCCCTATTTCTGTGAGTTGCATTCCCCAAAAAAGCAGACTCTGAGATAGAGGTGAGAATTCAAAAAGTTTATTGGGATCCACACTCTTGGGGAAGAGAATGGAAAAAAACAGGGTTGGGCAGAGGAAGAAGTTTGTCTCAAGTGCAGACACAAGATGGCCTCAATTGATTCTATGGGGAAATCGTAAACTGGGCTGGCCCTTGAGAATTGTCCCAAGTTCTACAAGGGACACTGGCCCTTTGTTCTCTGGAATTCACCAATGATTGGATATGGGCTGCCCAAGGAAGGAGATGTGATTTTAGGTGTGGTGGGTCTCTACGGTGAAGGTCAGTTCCTGGATAGAACTAAAAGCTAAGTGTTGTCAACAGTCAGCATCCTGGCTACTTGAGGAATAACTCCTTCAATCATGAAGGAATATATGGGTTAAGCAGTGCAGCATCTATTATAACCATTTTTTTCTCCATGTCATACCACACATTAAAGTAAATAACTGCATATAATTGACTTAAAAATCAGGATTATGGGAGAAGTAGCTGCCCGCAGTTTATTAGGACGTTCTAAGGGACAATTCATTCACTGAATAAATTAAGGCAGGATTGCACAGTAGTCAGAAGTTTTACCTATGTACTTAAAACACCATGGGTTTTAACCAAAACTTGTCCGCTGTCTTCTGTGACTTGGGGCAAGCTATTTCAGCAGACTGAGCTTAAGTTTATTTATCAAATGGGACTTTCAGTGTATCTTTTTTTTTTTTTTTTTTTTTTTTTTGGTAAGGACTAAATGAGAAAATGCACACAGAGCATGGTGTCTGCTTCATAGTAGGTCGTCTCTATAATCATTAAAAGATAATGTTTAGATCTGTGCATTGCAAGTCATTGTACTTTAGAAGCTCAGCTTATGTAAAACCATTCTTCTCAAAGAATCAAATAACATTTAAAAATCAACTTTATTGAGATATAATTTACATACCATACATTTGACTCTGTTGAATTCTACAATTCAGTGGATTTTTAATAGAATCACAAGGTTATCAACTATCATCACTATCTAAATTCAAAATATTTTCATCATCCAGAAAGAAACCCAACATGCAGTAGCAGTTATAGCAGTTACTACTCATTCATACCATCCCCCGGCCCTGCAACAACTGCCCAGACTCCAAGTTCCTGCCAATGATTAATCTACTTTCTATTTCCATGGATTTGCCTATTCTGGACATTTCACACAAAGGGAATCACATGTGGCCTTTTGTGTCTGTCTGCTTTTACATAGCATCATGTTTTCAGGGTTCATCCATGTTGTAGCATGCATTAGTAATTCATTCCTTTCTATGTTTGAATAATATTCTGCCATATAGATATATGCCATTTTTATCCAGTCATCAGTTGATGGACGTTTGGATGGTTTCTACTTTTTTGCTATTATGAATAATGCTGCTATGTATATCCGTGTACAGATATTTGTGTGAATACATGTTTTTATATCTCTTGATTTTAAAGCAAATTGTTGGGTCGTATGGGAACTCTATGTTTAACTTTTTGAGGAACTGCCAAACTCTTTTTAAAAGTGGCTGCAACATTTCGTATTCCCACCAGCTACATATGAGGTCTCCAAAAGACATCTGTCTTTTTGGTTATTGCCATCCTAGTGGGTGTAAAGTGGTATCACATGGTTTTGATTTGCATTTCCCTAATGACTAATGTTGTTTGAGCATCTTTTCATGTGCTTATTGGCCATTTGTGTATCTTTTTTGGAGAAATATTTATTCAGAAACTTTGCCCATTTTTATTGTGGTAAAATACACATGACATAAATTTACCATCTTAACTATTTTAAACTGTACAATTCAGTGGCATTTAGTACATTCCCAATGTTGTGAAACAATCACCACTATCTAGTTCCAGAACAATTTCATCACCCTGAAAGGAAACCCTGTATCTATTCAGAAATCATTCCCTGTTGTCCCTTTTCTCACATCCTCCCATAACCACTAATCTATATTATTTTTATCCTTTTGGATTTGCTTTTTCTGGACATTTCATGTAAATGGAATCATACAATATGTAACTTTTTTCTGTGTCTGGCTTCTTTCACTTACATACTGCTTTCAAAGTTCATCCATCCTGTAGCCATTATTAAGGTTTCATTTATTTTTATGGCTGGATAGTATTCCATTGTGTGGATATATCATATTTTGTTGATCCATTCATCAATTGATGGACCTTTAAGTTGGTTCTACTTTTTGGCTATCATAAACAGTGGTATTATGGATATCTGTGTGCAAGTTTTTGTTTGAACTCTTTTTGAAAACCCATTATTTTGGCTATTCACTCCTGAGTAGAAGTGATAGCTCTTATATGATTCTATGTTTAACTTATTGTGGAACCACCTAACTGATTCCCACAGAAGCTGCGCCATTGAACATTCCGACCAGCAATCTATGAGCGTAAAAATTTTTAAATATCCTAACAGCACTTGTTATTTCCTGTTTTCATTTTTAAATTAATATAGCCATCCTAGCAAGCATGAAGTGATGCCTCCTTGTTGTGTTGGTTTGCATGTCTAATGATGCCTAACATCTAAGGATGTTGAATATCTTTTAATGTGCTTGTTGGCAATTTTTTTGTCTTCTTTGCAGAAGTGTCTTCAAGTCGTTTCCCCACTTTATTAATTTAATTGTATGACTTTTGTTTTTTAGTGTAAGAGTTATATATATATATATACATACATATATATATTCTGGATAGTCAGGGCCTTGCCAAATACACAATTTGAAAATATCTTCTCTTATGCTGTGGGTTGGCTTATACTATCTTGATAGTGTCCTTTGATGTGCAAAGTTTTCAATTTTGAGGAATTCCGATTTATTTTTTCCATTGTTGCTTGTGTTTTTGGTATCACATCTAGGAAAACATCGCCAAATTTAAGATCATGAAAATTTACCAGAATGTTTTCTTTTAAGAGTTACATAATTGTAGCTTTTATATTTAGGCTTGCACTCCATTTTGACTTAATTTTTATGTGATATGAGTTAAGTACTCAACTTCATTCTTTTGCATGTGTCCCAGAACTATTTGTTGAAAAGACCATCGTTCTCCATTGAATTATCTTAGCACCTTTGTAAAAAATAAATTGACCGTAGATGTATGGGCCTATTTCTGGACTCCCAATTCTTAATTTCTTTTTTATTAATTTACACATAATACTTGTACATATTTATGGAGTACACAGTGATATTTTAATATATACAATGTATAATGGTCAAATCAGAGTAATTAGCATATTCATCACCTCAAACATTTATCATTTATTTGTGTTATGAACATTTAAATTCATCTCTTCTAGTTATTTGAAAATATATAAGTTGTTGTTAACTATAGTCACCCTACAGAGCTGTAGAGTGTTAGAACTTATTTCTTTTATCTACCTATAATTTTGTATCCTTTAGCCAACCTTCTCCTAGCTACCCTTCTCCCTACCCTTCCCAACCTCTAATAACCACTATTTTATGCACTACTCCTATAAGAGTGCTCCTTTTTAAATCTTCCACACGTTAGTGAGAACGTCTGGTGTTTATTCTTATATTCCTGGCTTATTTTGCTTAACATAATGTCCTCCAGGCTCATCAATGTTGCCACAAACGATAAGAGTTTATTCTTTTTTATGGCTGAATGGCATTCCACTCCATCTTAGCCAAAAGGCTAAGAAACAATATGGCTGAATAATATTTCATTATGTACATATACCACATTTTCTTTATACATTTATTTGTTGATGAACACTTAAGTTTTTTCTACATCTTGGCTATCATTAATAGAGCTGTAATGAATATGGGAAGACAGATGACTTTTTCATATACCGATTCCCCTCTTTTTGGATTTATACCCAGTAGTGAGATTGCTGGATCATATGGTAGTTCTATTTGTAGTTTATTTCAATTTTATCCATTTGATTAATATGTCTATTTTTATGCATTACCATTGTATTTTGACTATAGAGATTTGGAGTAAGTTGAAATTGGGAAGTGGTTGTTCAAGCTCCCTTGAGATTCTGTATGAATTTTAGAGTTGTGTTTTCTATTTCTGAGAAAAGGTCATTGGGATTTTGATAAGGATTGCGTTGAGTCTGTAGATGCTTTGGAGAGTACTGACAATTCAACAATATAAATTCTTCAAATCCATGAATATATTATGTTCTTCCATTTATTCAGGTCTTCTGTAATTTATTACACCAATGTTTGGTAGTTTTCACTGTACAAATCTTGTACCTCTTTGGTTAAAGTTTTTCTCATTTAAGCTGTTGTAAAAGGAATTAAAAAAATTATTGTTCAGATTTAAGAATTGCTAGTATGTCAAAATACAACTTACTTTTGCATGTAGAGTTTGTATCCTGAAACTTTTCTTACTTTGTTTATAAGCTCTATTAACAATTTTTAAAGTGTACAGTATAATATTGTTAACTATAAGGACAAATTTTTACAGCAAATTTTACAGCAGATCTCTAGAACATTTTTATCTTACATGGCTCAAACTTTATATCCATTGAACAGCAACTCACCATTTCCTCCCCTCCCTAGCTCTTTACAAACACCATTGTACTTTCTGCTTTCGTGTGTTTGACTACTTTAGTTACCTCATGTACATAGACTCATATTATATTTTTCCTGTGGCTGGCTTATTTCATTTAACATAATAGCCACACAATTCATCCACGTTGTCGCATATGGCAGAATTTCCTTCTTTCAGTGGTTGAATACTATTCCATTGTATGCATAGACCACATTTTCTTTGCCCATTCATCCATCAATGAACATTTAGGTTATTTTCATATCTTAGGTATTGTGAGTAATGCTGCAATGAACTTGGGAGTGCAAAAATCTCTTTGAGATCCTAATTTCAATATATTTGTTTTATATTGATTCCTAAGAAGGTATATATATGTATATATATGACTATCTAGCTCATGTTCTCTGAAAATAGAGATTAAAGCTTCTTCTTTTCTAATTTGGATACTTTTTCTTTCTTTTTTTCATAATAACTCTTTGTAGAACTTTCAGTACAATGTTGTGTGGAAGTAGTAAAAGAAGATATCCTTGTCTTGTTCCTGATCTTAGGAGAAAGGTTTCAGTCTTTCACCATTGAGTATGATGTTAGGTGTCAGTTTTTTATAAATGACTTTTATTGGGTTGAGGATACTTCCTTCTATTCCTAGGCTTTGGAGTGTTTTATCATAAAAGGCTGCTAGGTTTTGGCAAATGCTTTTTATGGATCGATAAAAATGATCAAGTCCTTTTTTCCCTTTTATTCTATTAATCTGGTATATTACATTTTCATTAATTGAATAGCTCTTTAATTTCTGGGATAAAGTCAATTTTGTTATGGTTTATAATCATTTTAATATGCTGCTTGATTCAGTATGCTAATATTTTGTTGAGAGTTTTTGCATCTATATTCTTTTTTTTATTATTATTATACTTTAAGTTTTAGGGTACATGTGCACATTGTGCAGGTTAGTTACATATGTATACATGTGCCATGCTGGTGCGCTGCACCCACTAACTCGTCATCTAGCATTAGGTATATCTCCTAATGCTATCCCTCCCCGCTCCCCGCACCCCACAACAGTCCCCAGAGTGTGATATTCCCCTTCCTGTGTCCATGTGATCTCATTGTTAAATTCCCACCTATGAGTGAGAATATGCGGTGTTTGGTTTTTTGGTCTTGCGATAGTTTACTGAGAATGATGATTTCCAATTTCATCCATGTCCCTACAAAGGACATGAACTCATCATTTTTTATGGCTGCATAGTATTCCATGGTGTATATGTGCCACATTTTCTTAATCCAGTCTATCATTGTTGGACATTTGGGTTGGTTCCAAGTCTTTGCTATTGTGAATAATGCCGCAATAAACATACGTGTGCATGTGTCTTCATAGCAGTATGATTTATAGTCCTTTGGGTATATACCCAGTAATGGGATGGCTGGGTCAAATGGTATTTCCAGTTCTAGATCCCTGAGGAGTCGCCACACTGACTTCCACAATGGTTGAACTAGTTTACAGTCCCACCAACAGTGTAAAAGTGTTCCTATTTCTCCACATCCTCTCCAGCACCTGTTGTTTCCTGACTTTTTAATGATTGCCATTCTAACTGGTGTGAGATGGTATCTCATTGTGGTTTTGATTTGCATTTCTCTGATGGCCAGTGATGATGAACATTTTTTCATGTGTCTGTTGGCTGCATAAATGTCTTCTTTTGACAAGTATCTATTCATGTCCTTCACCCACTTTTTGATGGGGTTGTTTGCTTTTTTCTTGTAAATTTGTTTGAGTTCATTGTAGATTCTGGATATTAGCCCTTTGTCAGATGAGTAGGTTGCAAAAATTTTCTCCCATTTTGTAGGTTGCCTGTTCACTCTGATGGTAGTTTCTTTTGCTGTGCAGAAGCTCTTTAGTTGAATTAGATCCCATTTGTCAATTTTGGCTTTTGTTGCCATTGCTTTTGGTGTTTTAGACATGAAGTCCTTGCCCATGCCTGTGTCCTGAATGGCAATGACTAGGTTTTCTTCTAGGGTTTTTATGGTTTTAGTTCTAACGTTTAAGTCTTTAATCCATCTTGAATTGATTTTTGTATAAGGTGTACAGAAAGGATCCAGTTTCAGCTTTCTACATATGGCTAGCCAGTTTTCCCAGCACCATTTATTAAATAGGGAATCCTTTCCCCATTGCTTGTTTTTCTCAGGTTTGTCAAAGATCAGGTAGTTGTAGATATGCGGCGTTATTTCTGAGGGCTCTAAAAGCTTATCCACCATGATCAAGTGGGCTTCATCCCTGGGATGCAAGGCTGGTTCAATATACACAAATCAATAAATGTAATCCAGCATATAAACAGAACCAAAGACAAAAACCACATGATTATCTCAATAGATGCAGAAAAGGCCTTTGACAAAATTCAACAACACTTCATGCTAAAAACTCTCAATAAATTAGGTATTGATGGGACGTATTTCAAAATAATAAGAGCTATCTATGACAAACCCACAGCCAATATCATACTGAATGGGCAAAAACTGGAAGCATTCCCTTTGAAAACTGGCACAAGACAGGGATGCCCTCTCTCACCACTCCTATTCAACATAGTGTTGGAAGTTCTGGCCAGGGCAATCAGGCAGGAGAAGGAAATAAAGGGTATTCAATTAGGAAAAGAGGAAGTCAAATTGTCCCTGTTTGCAGATGACATGATTGTATATCTAGAAAACCCCACTGTCTCAGCCCAAAATCTCCTTAAGCTGATAAGCAACTTCAGCAAAGTCTCAGGATACAAAATCAATGTACAAAAATCACAAGCATTCTTATACACCAACAACAGACAAACAGAGAGCCAAATCATGAGTGAACTCCCATTCACAATTGCTTCAAAGAGAATAAAATACCTAGGAATCCAACTTACAAGGGATGTGAAGGACCTCTTCAAGGAGAACTACAAACCACTGCTCAATGAAATAAAAGAGGATACAAAGAAATGGAAGAACATTCCATGCTCATGGATAGGAAGAATCAATATCGTGAAAATGGCCATACTGCCCAAGGTAATTTACAGATTCAATGCCATCCCCATCAAGCTACCAATGCCTTTCTTCACAGAATTGGAAAAAACTACTTTAAAGTTCATATGGAACCAAAAAAGAGCCCGCATCGCCAAGTCAATCCTAAGCCAAAAGAACAAAGCTGGAGGCATCACACTACCTGACTTCAAACTATACTACAAGGCTACAGTAATCAAAACAGCATGGTACTGGTACCAAAACAGAGATGTAGATCAATGGAACAGAACAGTGCATCTATATTCTTAAAGACTATTGGTGTATAGTTTTTGTAATATATCTTTGTTTTGCTTCAGTATCAGGGTAATGATGACCTCATGTTATGTGTTAACAAGTGTTCCCTCCTATTCCGTTTTTCAGAAAAGTTTTAGAATAATTTGGATTATTTCTTCTTTAAATGTTTGACAGAATTCAGTGACACTGATGAGGCCACCTGGTCCTGAGATTTTTAGTTTTGGGGAGGTTTTCGATTACTGATTTAATCTTTATACTTGTTACAGGACTATTTAGGTTTTCTATTTCTTAAATCAGTTTTGACAGTTTGTGTGTTTCTAGAAATGTGCTCATTTCATCTAGTTTATCTAATTTTTGGCATACAATTATTCGTAGTATTCTCTTGTAATCCTTTCTATTTATTTAATGTCAATAAGACTGTCCCCTCTTTCATTCCTGCTGTTAGTAAATTGTGCTGCACTCTTTTTCTTGGTCCATTTAGTTAAGTTTTGTCAGTTTTATTGATCTGTTCAAAATATCTGTATTTGGTTTCATTTACTTTATTATTTTTCTGTACTCTATTTGATTTATCATTACTATAATAGTTATTTCCTTTCCTCTGACACCTTTGAGTTTCATTTGCTCTCCTTTTTCTACTTTCATTAAGATGAGAACTTGGGTTAATATTTTAAATCTTACTTATTTTTCAGTGAGGCACTTTTCACTATGAGTAACCCTTTGGATACTACTTTAGGTGTTTCACATAAGTTTTAGTATATTGTGTTTTCATTTTCATTCATCTTTATGTATTTTCTAATTCCCCTTAAAATTTCTTCTTTCATCCTTTTGTTATTTAAGGCTGCATTGTTTCATTTCCACATATTTGTAAATTTTTCAATTTCCTTTCTATTATGAATTTCTGGTTTCATTGCATTGTGGTCAAAAAAATATTTTGGGTGATTTCAGTATTTAATTAATCTCAATAAAATTATTGAGACTTGTTTAGTGACCTAACCTATGGTCTATTCTGGAGAATGTTTTATTTCCACTGTAGAAGAATGTATACTTATATGTTGTTGGGTGGATTTTTCGGCATATCTTTCAGGTCTTCTGTGTTTATAATGTTGTTCAAGTCTCCTGTTTCCTTCTTTATTGACCTTCCATTTAATTGTTCTATTAGTGAATGTGGTGCATTGAAACCTCAAACTAATACTGTAGAACCATCTGTTTCTCCTTTCTTCATCTCCGTATATTTTGGAGCTCAGTTATTAGGTACTATATGTTTATAATTGTTATATCTTCATCATGAATGAACCCCTTTATCAATATATAATGTCTTTTCTGTATTATGCAATAATTTTTGCTTAAAGTGATTTTTTATTTGATATTAGTATAGCTACCTTAGCTCTCTTTTGGTTACTGTTTCCATGGAATATCTTTTTTATTTTTCACTTCAGCTTATTTGTGTCTTTAGATCAAATTGCATCTGTTGTATATCACATATAGTTGGATTATTTTTAATTCATTCTGTCACTCTGTCTTTTGATTGACAAGTTTAAGCCATTTTTTCTTAAAATAATCACTGATAAGAAAAAATTAACTCCTGCCATTTTCTATTTATATTTCTATACCATATATTTTTGTTCCTCGATGCCTCTATTTACTGTTTTTTTGGTGTGTGTTTGATTGATTTTTATTAGTGTGCCATTTCTATTTACTTCTCATTTTCTTTTCTATATATTTTAGTTGTATTCTTAGTAGTTACCATAAGGACCACAACTGATATTTTAAATTTAAAAAAGAAACGTTTGATTTAATCAACTTAGCTTCAATGGTAATAACACATGCTGCTCTTATACAGTGCTGTTGCCTTTCTTTTATGTTGATATTGTCACGTATTACATCTGTATATATTGTATGCCCACCAACATAGATTTATAATTATTGCTGAGGGAATTTATCTTTTAATAATATAGGAAATAAGAAAGGCATTACAAGCCAAAAATCATTTTTTCATATACCTGTTGGCCATTTGCCTGTCATTTTTTGAAAAATGTCTATTCAGATAATTGCTCATTTTTTAATTGTGTTGTTTTCCAAATATTGCGTTGTTTGAGTTCCTTATATTTAGGGGGTACTAACTTCTCATCAGATACATAGTTTGCAAATGTTTTCTTCCATCTAGGTTGTCTCTTTTACTCCGTTGATTATTTCCCTTGTTATATAGCTTTTTAGTTTTATATAATTCCATTTTTTAAAATGCTTATATTGCCAGTGATTTGGGGGTTATATTTTAAAAAACGATTACCCAGAACAATGTCAGGGAACGTTTACCTCATGTTTTCTTCTAGTAGTTTTACATTTTTCAGTTTTTACCTTTTAATATTTAATCTATGTTGGTATGATTTTGGTCTAAGATAAGGATCTAATTTCATTCTTCTGCATATGGATATCCAGTTTTTCCAATATCATTTATTGAAGAGACTGTTCTTTTCCTATCATGTGTTCTTGGCACCTTTGTAGAAAATGAATTGACCATAAATATGTGAATTTATTTCTGGCCTCTCTATTCCATTCCATTGGTCTATGTGGTTATGATTGTTCCAGGACCATGCTGTTTCAATTACTATAGCATTTTAGTAGATTTTGAAATTAGGTAGTGAGATGCCTCTAGCTTTGTTTTTTGTTTTTGTTTTTCTCAAGATTGCCTTGGTTATTAGTGGCATTTTGTGCTTCCCTATGAATTTTAGATTTAAAAATTTTTTTTTGTTAAAAATCATCTTCTTTTGAGAAGTGTCTGTTCATGTCCTTCACCCACTTTTTGATGGGGTTGTTTGTTTTTTTCTTGTAAATTTGTTTGAGTTCATTGTAGATTCTGGATATTAGCCCTTGGTCAGATGAGTAGGTTGCGAAAATTTTCTCCCATGTTGTAGGTTGCCTGTTCACTCTGATGGTAGTTTCTTTTGCTGTGCAGAAGCTCTTTAGTTGAATTAGATCTCATTTGTCAATTTTGGCTTTTGTTGCCATTGCTTTTGGTGTTTTGGACATGAAGTCCTTGCCCATGCCTATGTCCTGAATGGTAATGCCTAGGTTTTCTTCTAGGGTTTTTATGGTTTTAGGTCTAACATTTAAATCTTTAATCCATCTTGAATTGATTTTTGTATAAGGTATAAGGAAGGGATCCAGTTTCAGCTTTCTCCATATGGCTAGCCAGTTTTCCCAGCACCATTTATTAAATAGGGAATCCTTTCCCCATTGCTTGTTTTTGTCAGGTTTGTCAAAGATCAGATAGTTGTAGGTATGCGGCGTTATTTCTGAGGGCTCTGTTCTGTTCCATTGATCTATATCTCTGTTTTGGTACCAGTACCATGCTGTTTTGGTTACTGTAGCCTTGTAGTATAGTTTGAAGTCAGGTAGTGTGATGCCTCCAGCTTTGTTCGTTTGGCTTAGGATTGACTTGGCGATGCGGGCTCTTTTTTGGTTCCATATGAACTTTAAAGTAGTTTTTTCCAATTCTGTGAAGAAAGTCATTGGTAGCTTGATGGGGATGGCATTGAATCTGTAAATTACCTTGGGCAGTATGGCCATTTTCACGATATTGATTCTTCCTACCCATGAGCATGGAATGTTCTTCCATTTCTTTGTATCCTCTTTTATTTCATTGAGCAGTGGTTTGTAGTTCTCCTTGAAGAGGTCCTTCACATCCCTTGTAAGTTGGATTCCTAGGTATTTTATTCTCTTTGAAGCAATTGTGAATGGGAGTTCACTCATGATTTGGCTCTCTGTTTGTCTGTTGTTTGTATATAAGAATGCTTGTGATTTTTGTACATTGATTTTGTATCCTGAGACTTTGCTGAAGTTGCTTATCAGCTTAAGGAGATTTTGGGCTGAGACGATGGGGTTTTCTAGATAAACAATCATGTCGTCTGCAAACAGGGACAATTTGACTTCCTCTTTTCCTAATTGAATACCCTTTATTTCCTTCTCCTGCCTGATTGCCCTGGCCAGAACTTCCAACACTATGTTGAATAGGAGTGGTGAGAGAGGGCATCCCTGTCTTGTGCCAGTTTTCAAAGGGAATGCTTCCAGTTTTTGCCCATTCAGTATGATATTGGCTGTGGGTTTGTCATAGATAGCTCTTATTATTTTGAAATACGTCCCATCAATACCTAATTTATTGAGAGTTTTTAGCATGAAGGGTTGTTGAATTTTGTCAAAGGCTTTTTCTGCATCTATTGAGATAATCATGTGGTTTTTGTCTTTGGCTCTGTTTATATGCTGGATTACATTTATTGATTTGCATATATTGAACCAGCCTTGCATCCCAGGGATGAAGCCCACTTGATCATGGTGGATAAGCTTTTTGATGTGCTGCTGGATTCGGTTTGCCAGTATTTTATTGAGGATTTTTGCATCAATGTTCATCAAGGATATTGGTCTAAAATTCTCTTTTTTGGTTGTGTCTCTGCCCGGCTTTGGTATCAGAATGATGCTGGCCTCATAAAATGAGTTAGGGAGGATTCCCTCTTTTTCTGTTGATTGGAATAGTTTCAGAAGGAATGGTACCAGTTCCTCCTTGTACCTCTGGTAGAATTCGGCTGTGAATCCATCTGGTCCTGGACTCTTTTTGGTTGCTAAACTATTGATTATTGCCCCAATTTCAGCTCCTGTTATTGGTCTATTCAGAGATTCAACTTCTTCCTGGTTTAGTCTTGGGAGAGTGTATGTGTCGAGGAATGTATCCATTTCTTCTAGATTTTCTAGTTTATTTGCGTAGAGGTGTTTGTACTATTCTCTGATGGTAGTTTGTATTTCTGTGGGATCAGTGGTGATATCCCCTTTATCATTTTTTATTGTGTCTATTTGATTCTTCTCTCTTTTTTTCTTTATTAGTCTTGCTAGCGGTCTATCAATTTTGTTGATCCTTTCAAAAAACCAGCTCCTGGATTCATTGATTTTTTGAAGGGTTTTTTGTGTCTCTATTTCCTTCAGTTCTGCTCTGATTTTAGTTATTTCTTGCCTTCTGCTAGCTTTTGAATGTGTTTGCTCTTGCTTTTCTAGTTCTTTTAATTGTGATGTTAGGGTGTCAATTTTGGATCTTTCCTGCTTTCTCTTGTGGGCATTTAGTGCTATAAATTTCCCTCTACACACTGCTTTGAATGCGTCCCAGAAAACACATGAAAAAATGCTGATCATCACTGGCCATCAGAGAAATGCAAATCAAAACCACTATGAGATATCATCTCACACCAGTTAGAATGGCAATCATTAAAAAGTCAGGAAACAACAGGTGCTGGAGAGGATGTGGAGAAATAGGAACACTTTTACACTGTTGGTGGGACTGTAAACTAGTTCAACCATTGTGGAAGTCAGTGTGGCGATTCCTCAGGGATCTAGAACTAGAAATACCATTTCACCCAGCCATCCCATTACTGGGTATATACCCAAATGAGTATAAATCATGCTGCTATAAAGATACATGCACACGTATGTTTATTGCGGCATTATTCACAATAGCAAAGACTTGGAACGAACCCAAATGTCCAACAATGATAGACTGGATTAAGAAAATGTGGCACATATACACCATGGAATACTATGCAGCCATAAAAAATGATGAGTTCATGTCCTTTGTAGGGACATGGATGAAATTGGAAATCATCATTCTCAGTAAACTATCGCAAGAACAAAAAACCAAACACCGCATATTCTCACTCATAGGTGGAAATTGAACAATGAGATCACATGGACACATGAAGGGGAATATCACACTCTGGGGACTGTTGTGGGGTCTGGGGAGCGTGGAGGGATAGCATTGGGAGATATACCTAATGCTAGATGACGAGTTAGTGGGTGCAGCGCACCAGCATGGCACATGTATACATATGTAACTAACCTGCACAATGTGCACATGTACCCTAAAACTTAAAGTATAATTAAAAAAAAATCGTCATTGGAATTTTTATAGAAATTCAATTGAATTTGTAGATTGCTTTGAGTGGTGAGGATATTTTAACAATATTCATTCTTTCAATCCATGAATATGGATATCTTTCTGTTTATTTGTATCATCTTTCATCAATGATTTATTTCATTGATTTATTTCATCTATGATTTCTCTTTTTCAGTGTATAGGTTCTTCACGTGGTTAAATTTATTTCTAAGTATTTTATGTTTTGGTAGCTGCTATGATGGGATTTTTAAAATTTGTTTTTTAGATAGTTAGTTGTTACCTTGTAAAAACACTACTCACTTTTGTATGTTGATTTTTGTATCCTCCAACTTTACTAAGTTCTTTTATTAGTTCTAACAGTTGTTTGGTGGAGCTTTTAGGCTTTTCTATATGTGAGATCATGTCATCTGCAAACAGGGACAACTTTACTTTTTCCTTTGCAATTTGGATACCTTTAATTTTTTCTCTTGTCTAATTGCTCTGGCTAGGACTTCCAACTACTATGTTGAATAGAGCTGGTGAGAGTAAGCATTCTTGTCTTCTTCCTGATATTAAAGGAAGATTTTTACTTTTCACCATTGAGTATTATATTAGCAATGAGTTTTCCATGTATGGCCTTTATAGTGTTGAAGTACATTTCTTCCATACCTAATTTGTTGAGAGTTTTTACACAAAATGATGTTCAATTTTGTGAAATGCTTTGAGATGTTCATTTGATTTTTTCCTTCATTTTGTTAATGTGGTATATCACATTTATTGTTTTATGTACGTTGAACCATTCTTGCATCTCTGGGAATAATCTTACTTCATCATAGTGAATTATCTTTCTAATTTGCTGTTAAATTCTTTTTGCTAGTATGTTGTAAATAATTTTTGTGTCTATGTTCATCAGGAATATTGGACTGTAGTTTTCTTTTCTTATATTGTAATGTCCTCGTCTGGCATTGGGATCAGGATAATGTAGGGCTCATAACATCAGTGTTGAAGTAGTCCCTCCTCTAGAGTGCGAGAAGGATTGATATTAGCTCTTCTTTAAATGTTTGGTAGAATTCATCAGGGAAGCCATCATGTTCCAGGCTTTTCTGTGATGGGAGACTTTTTATTACTGATTAATCTCCTTACTCATTATTGGTCTGTTCAGATTTTCTGTTTCTTCCTGATTCAGTTTTGGCAGGTTGTATGTTTCTAGGAATTCATTCATTTCTTCTGTGTTAGTCAATTTGCTCGTTATAGTTGTTTGTAGTAGTCTCTCATGATTTGTTGTATTTCTGTGGTGTCAGTTGTGATGTCTCTTCTTTCATTTCTATTATTGCTTATTTGAATATCTCTATTTTTCTTCTTGTAAAAAATTTCCATTTAGTTAATTTTGGATATAAAATACTTGTACATATTTATGGGGTATATGTGATACTTTGATATAAGCATGCAATTTGTAAATATCAAATTAAGGTAATTGGGGTATCCATTATCTCAAGCATTTATCATTTCCTGTGTTAGAAACATTACAATTCTATTTTTAAGTTATTTTAAAATATAAAATAAGCTATTATTAACCATAGTTGTGCTATTGTGTTACCAAACACTGAATTTTATTCCTTCTACCTAACTGTATCTTTGTACCCATAAGTCATCTCCTCTTTATCCGGCCCCCATCCCCATTACTCTTCCCAACTTCCAGTAGCCATCATTCTTCTCCCTATCTCCGTAAGTTCCATTTTTATTTTAGCTCTCACATATTAGTGAGAACATGCAATATTTTTATTTCTGTGCCTGGCTTATTTTACTTAACAAAATGTCCCCTAGTACCATACATGTTGTTGCAAATGACAGGATTGCATTCATTTTTATGGCCAAATAATATTTTATTGTGTATATGTACCACATTTTCTTTGTCTATTCATCCATTAATAGACACTTATGTTGATTCCATATTTTGGCTATTGCAAACAGTGCTGCAATAAACGTGAGTACAGATGTCTTTTTGAAGTTATGATTTCCTTTTCTGTGGATATGTACTCAGAAGTGGTATTGTTGGATCATATGGTACTTCCATTTTT
Organism: Homo sapiens; assembly: GCF_000001405.40. Lineage (NCBI taxonomy): Eukaryota > Metazoa > Chordata > Mammalia > Primates > Hominidae > Homo > Homo sapiens. The sequence continues at coordinate 121,700,737 of NC_000023.11, forward strand.
AGATTCCTAAGGAACTTCTATATTATTTCTAATACTGACTGTACTAATTTATATTCCCACCAACAGTGTACGAGAATTTTCCCTTTACCAGGTCCTCACCAGCATTCATTATGGAATGTCTTTTGGATAAAAGCCATTTTATCTGGGGTGAGATGGTATCTCATTGTAGTTTTAACTGCATTTCTCTGATGGTTACGATGTTGAGCATTTTGCATATACTTGTTGGCTATTTGTATGTCTTCTTTCAGGAAATTTCTATTCAAATATTTTGCCCATTTTAAAATCAGATTATTTGTTTTCTCCTATTTAGTTGTTTGAGCTCCTTATATATATTCTGGTTATTAATTCCTTGTCAAATGGATAGTTTGCAAATATTTTTTCCCATTCTATGGGTTGTCTCTTCACTTTGTATGTTGTTCCGTTTGCTATGCAGAAGCTGTTTAGCTTGATGTGTTCCCATTTGTCCATTTTTACTTTAGTTGCGTATATTTTTGAAATCTTACTCAAGAAACCTTTGCCAAGACATATGACCCAGAGTGTTTTCCCTATATTTTATTTTAGTAGTTTCATAGTTTCAGGTATTGGATTTAAGTTTAATCTATTTTGATTTGAGGTTTGTATATAAGAAGAGATTGGGGTCTAGTTTCATTTTTATGCATGTGTATATCCAGGTTTCTTAGCACCATTCATTGAAGAGGCTCTTCTTTCCACAATATATGTTCTTGGCACCTTTTTCAAAAATGGGCTGACTGTAAATGTGTAGATTTGCTTCTAGGATCTCTATTCCTTTCCATTAGTCTAAGTGTCTGTTTTTATGTGAGTAGCATGCTATTTTGGTTACTATAACTTAGTACTATAATTTGAAGTCTGCTAATGTTATCTCTCCAGTTTATTCTTTTTGTAAAGGATTGCTTTGGCCATTCTCGATCTTTTGTGATTGCACGTAAATTTTAGGATTCTTTTTCCATTTCTGTGAAGAATATCATAGTATTTTGATAGGAATTGCATTAAATCTGTGGATTGTTTTGGGAAGTATGAATATTTTAACAGCATTCATTCTTCCAATCTATGAACATGGAATATCATCGAATTTCTTGCGTGCCCCATTCAATTTATTTCATCCATATTTTATAGTTTTTATTGTAGAGATCTTTCACACCTTTGATTAAGGTTATTCATAGGTATTGCATTTTATTTGTTGCTATTGTAAATTGAATTATTTTCTTGTGTTTTTTTCTCAAAATGTTTGCCATTGGCAAATAGAAATGCTACTGATTTTGTGTATGCTTTTTTCTTTGTTAAAGATTTGTCAGGTTTGTGTATATTTTCAAATAATTCAACTTTTGTTTTTAAAAAACTTTTCTAGTGCTTTTCTAGTTTTTATCTTGTTTATTTGTGCTCTTATCTTTTTTATTTTCTTCCTTTTGCTAAGTTTCCACTTACTGTCTTCTTTTTTTCATTCCTCTGAGAAATGAGGTGTAATTTCAGGCTACTTTTACAAAAGTTTCTGTTTTTTTGGTTTAGGCATTTATTGCTATAAACATTCCTCTAGGGACTTATTTTGCTGTATTATATAAGTATGTTATGTTTCCTTTTTATTTGTGTCAAGATATATTTAACTTACCCTCTTAGTTTCTTATTTGACTCATTGGTTGTTCAGGATTGTGTTACTCAATTTCCACATATTTGTGAATTTTCCAAAATTCCTCCTCTTATTAATTTCCAGTTTCATGTAATTATGGTCAGAAAAGATAGTCCGTATGACTTCAATTTTATTAAATTTTTAAGATTTGTATCGTGGCCCGATGTATGATCTATTGAGGGGAATGTTCCATGTGCTCCTGAGAAAAATGTGTATACTGTTGCTTATGGATGTAATGTTCTGTAAATATCTGTTAGGTACATTTGTCCTAAAGTGTAATTCAAGTCCACTCTTTTCTCATTATTTTCTAGGTGATCTCTCTAAGTTAAAAGGGAGAATTGAAGTCTCCTACTATCATTGTATTGCATTCCATCTTTCCTTTTAGATCTGCTAATATTTGCTTTATATATTTAGGTGCTCTGATGTTGCATGCATATACATTTAAAATTGTTATAACTTCTTGCTGAATTGGCCCTTTTATTATTGTGTAATGACCTTCATTGTATCTTTTTAGAGTTTTAAATTAATGTCTATTTTGTCTGATATAACTACACCCACTCTATTTTGATTTCCATTTGCATGGAATATCTGTTTTCATCCCTTCACTTTCTGTCTATGTGTGTTATTAGAGGTGAAGTGGATTCATCCAGGCAGGATGTAGGTGGGCCTTGCTTTTTAAATCCATTCAGCTATTTGATGTCATTTGATTGGAGAATTTAATCTATAATTATTGATAGGTGAGAACTTACTCTTGCCATTGTGATAATTGTTTTCTGGTTAATTCAAGATCCTTTGTTCCTCTCTTTCTCTGTTGTTAAAGTTTTATTTGGTTTGATAATTTTCTGTAGTTGCATGCTTTGAATCATTTCTTCTCATATTTTGTGTAACTACTAAGGATGTTTTGCTTTGTGATTACCATGAGGCTTACTTAAAACACTTTATAATAATAACAGGTTATATTAAGCTGATAATGACTTAACATTTATCACTCATACAATCAATATTCTTTTATTCTCTTCTCCCACATTTCTTTGTGATGATATATTTTGTATCTCTTATAGTACATATACCTCAATAAATTTAAGCTATAGCTGATTTTAATAGTTTTGTATTTTAATCTTCATACTAGAGGTATAATTGATTTTCACACCACCAGTGCAAGTGTCTAAGTTTTATTATATACTCGCTTTTAGTAATGTTTTATATTTTATATATTTTTAGGTTGCTACCTATGTCTTCTCTCAGCTTGAAGGACCCGTTTTAGCATGAATTGCAAGACAGTTTTAGTGGTGATAAATTACCTCAGCTTTCGTTTCCTTGAGAAGGTTGTTAATCTTTCCTTTATTAAAGACAGGATTACTGGGTATAGTATTCTAGTTTGACAGCTTTATTTTCCTTCAGCTTTTTAAATATATCATCCCATCCTATCCTGGCCTGCATGGTTTCTGTTAAAATATCTGCTGATAGTGTGATGGAGGTGTCCTTGTATGTAACAAGTTATTTTTGCCTTTTAGCTTTCAATATTTTGTCTCTATCTATAACTTTTGACAATTTGCTTATAATATGTCTCAGTGTGGGTTGCTTATGATTCATTGTATTAGTGTCTGTTGAGCTTCCTGGGTCTGGATTTCTCATTCCTTCCCAAGACTTGGGAAGTTTTCTGTCGTCATTTACTTGAATATATCATCTGCTCTTTTCTCTTTTTCTTCTTGTACTTTAATAATGTATACATTATTCTGCTTGATGGTCTCCCATAACTTTCCTAGGCTTTCCAACTTCTTCCTTATTCTTTTGCTCATTAGATTAGGTGATTTCTAATTACATGTCTTCGAGCTTGCTAGTTCTTTTTTCTCCTTGATATAATCTGCTGTTTAACCCCTCTATTGAATTTCTGAGTTCAGTTATTGTATTCTTCAGCTCAACTATGTATGTTTGGTACATTTTAATATTTTCTATCTATGTTCAAATTTTCAGCTTGTTTTTGCATTGCTCTCCTTATTTGTGTGAGCATCTTTATTACTGTCCTTTTGGATTCCCTGTCAGGCAAGTCACATATCTTCATTTCACTAGTGTCAGCTTCTGGACATTTATCTTGTTCTTTTATTTGGAACATAGTTTCCTGTTCATTCATTTTCCTTGACTATGTTGGTTCTGCACATTAGATAAGAGAACCACCTCTCCCAGTCTTGTTAGTGTGGTCTTTTGTAGGAGATATTTTTCCATAATTAGCTCAGCCAGTGATTCTAGGTGCCTCTTTTTGCTTTTCCAACTAGCTATCTTTGTTCTTAATGGCTCCAAGAAATTAGAGTGTCAAGTCTTGCTATTGCCTTGAGAAAGGTGGAATAGAACTCAGTTTTTTGGAGATGCAGTTGGAGGGGTTGGAATCTTAGATATGTACTCCAATTCCTTCTTTCCTTGCAAAGAATCTCAGAGCCAGTGATTATAATCCGCTTGTTCTGCCCTACACCAGTGGGAGGGTCTGTGGCAGTTTACCATACTCTTGATCAGATGGCTTACTTTGAACCTGGGGAAATAGCTGCTGAATGTTTACAAGTTTAAAAGTCATCTTTTGTTTTCTGTGGTCTAGGAGACTCAGCAGAGCACAGCTCCATAAACTCTCATAGCTAGATGATTTAGGATCCAGTTACTCAGGTAAAAGCTGTAAAAGTAGGGACGCTCAATGCATGCAAAAACTACTTCTAGTGAGAGCCTGCCAATATGGATTTATTGCTGCAGCAAGCCAGTGAAGAAGGTATGGGAGGTGAGTGCCTACTCTTCTATTTGAGGAAGCAGAAGTCTCACACTTTTGCAGCAGGGATGGATTTCTAGTTTGAACTTGTCACTAAAACAAGCTGGAGCGGGAGTTGCAGGGAGTGCCCATTTTCTTTTTCAGACACAGAGGTTTCCCAGGCTGCTTTCAAAGAGAGATTAGAGATGTTTATCTCTAGAGCAAGCCAGGGAAGAGGGTGCAGGGAGTGCCATTTCTCCCATTTTCCTGGCAGAAGCCTCTACACCCTTTGTATGAAGAGATTTTAGGGCTGGGATTATCTCTAGGGCAAGGCAGAGTGAGAGGTAAAGGAAACACTTATCCTGATCAAACAAGCAGTATTTTCACACCCTCTTTGCAGAAAGAACCTTCTGATATGGAGTTAAATCTGAAGTACACCAGTGAAGAAGGTGCAGGGAGTGTACTCTTTTCCTTTCAGGCACTATGAAGTCCCTTAGCATTCCTCTAATAAGAGACCACAGAAATTTATCTCAGGAGCACGCCGGGGAAGAAAATGTGGAGAGTACCACTTTCCTGTTCTTGCTGACAGAGGCCTCCAATGTCTTTATATAGAGATATTGTAGGCCTGGAATTATGATATCAGTAAGTCAAGGAAGAAGGTGCTGGGAATGCCCCTTCTCTGTTCAAGCAAGAAGTTTCATACCATCTTTGTGAGGACAGCCTTCTGGTCTAGAATTATTGCTGATGGATTCTAGGGAAAAAGGCACAGGGAGGCCCTCTTTTACCTTTCAGGCACAGAGAGGTACCCTAGCCTCCCTCTAATGAGAGACTGAAGACATTTATCTCAGGAGCAAGTCATGAAAGAAAGTGTGGGAAGTGCTGCCCTCCTTTCCTTGCTGGCCGAGGCCTCCAACCTCTTTCCAAGGAGAGATTGTAAGGGTGAAATTGTCACTGGAGCAACCCTGGAAAGAAGGCATAGAGAGTTCCCTCCATCCCGTTTAGGCTAGAAGACATTTATTATTTCCTATGTAGACTCCCATATACTGGTTTGCTAGAGGCCAGAGCCACAGGGAGTTGCTGGAGAAGCATGCAGCCAAACCCTTTCCAGAAGGAAATTTAAAGCTGGACTCATCCTGCAGACTACAACTGTTGGGAGTGCTTGTATGGCCAAACCCTTCCTTTGTTCTTTGTGCTTGAGGGAAATCCTGTGATGAACTGTTGCTGGCATTCCTCAAATATGGCTATTTAAGATCCCTCCTGCAGGGACAATAAAAATTGGACACTACATGTGTGGTACAAGCCCCTCACCTCTTGGGAAGAAGCTGGGAGTTGAGATTTACTTCCCATATTTAAGATGCAGTGCTCAGGGTGGTGTTAGTATGTAAGTGAATCTCCACTTTTTGTACCCATTTTGATGTGGATTTTTTTTTAGTCATCCTGTGTGTAGGAGTCTTTCCATTGCATTCTGGTTTTCTCTGGAGAGAATTGATCCATTTGTAGGTGCTTAGTCAGTGTGACTGTGAAATGAGAGCTAGTCATGAGCCTCCTATTCTGCCATGTGTCTCCAAAATTTCTTTTTTAAGAAAACATTTGGCCATGCCTGAAGGCACCCCTGCAGTCAGTTCTATGTATGGGTGGGCTGGTTCTCTGCCTCAGCAAGAATACAAGTTAGGTCTTTAAATTGTCATATAACATAATGTCAGATTCATCTAAAGCATATGGGTTTCACTTTAATCAATAGCTTGGGGCATCAGAATTCTAGACACTTTTGAGAGCTTAACCTTCAAGTGACTGCTATACAGATCCTGCCAAAAGTGCAATCGAGACAACTTATCTGGGAGACAATGCCTGTGCTATATTATCTACCAGTTTTTCTAAATTGTAGTTCTATCTCTATATCAAGTTAGATCTACAGAGTGTAATAGACCTTGGCTCTATTAACTGAGTACACAGTGAAAATACTTTCACTTGAGTTATAACATAATGCTTTGACCTTGAGTTTTATGAAGGGCCAGTTTGAGAAACAGATGTTTGATATACCTTTTCTATTTTTTCTAAAAACAAAACAAAACAAAACACCCTGGAAGGTACTGTGAACTCTGTTAATGTCTGTAAATAATAGAAGAGAATATAAAATTATCAAATATTATCCCTTGACAGTAATTCTTCACATTACCTTTTGAGAACATATAGCTCAAGACACACTTTATTTTGAGGGAGGAAAATGTGATACATATATTGCATCAGACGACTACTTTGGAAGGGCAAGGGTGGTGCTTCCTTTTGTACCTTGGATGAAAATGCAACACAAGGTTTGCAGAACAATGAAAACAAATTTAGAAATAAATATGAAAGTCTACTTTATTTTTAAGTGGTAGCCGGGTTTCTTTATCTAGTATTGGACTGTAAGTTTGGTAAGAAGCAATTTGGTAGGGGTAATTCATATTCCCTTTATGTTTTTACCCGAGGCAAATATCATAGTAAAGGGCTGCAACATTTTACTGTTCCAGGAGATGTCATTTTATTTGTGAATGGTGACCCATTAGTTGTGCAGTGCACAAGATGCTCAACCATGTATGGCACACCTGACTTGCTGTCTCCATCAGAGTTACAACATTTTGAAAAGCAGAATTAAAAATTTCCAGTAACTATATTTATTTAATATCTGTAAGCATATATCTGTTGCGTGTGTGTGTGTGTGTGTGTGTGTTTATGTGTACATACTTCTTGTATAAGGTTCTGACTGGGGCTTAAATCCAAATGGGAAGTTAGTTTGTGCTATATAATTATTTTGTTTTTTATTTTTTCTTTTTGACTTTACTTTCAATTTCAGTCAGGTACAGCCAAACATTTCTACCTGAATAATCCAGACTAATCAAGATGGTAAATTTTTCATAGACACCCTTTATCAGGTTCAGTAAGTTTTCTTCTATTCCTAATATGCTGAAAGTTTTAATATTAATTAAGTCACTGTTGAAGTACATTAAATATTTGTTCTGCATTTATCAAGATAATCATATGGTTTTAGGTTGACTATTATTATGGTGAATTTCATAAATTTAGTTCATAGTGATAAATCAAACTTGTATTGCTAGAATAGACTGTACCTGGTAATGATGCAATATCATTTTAATACTTTGGTGGTATTTCTTTGCTACTGCTTTATTAAGAAATTTCACTTCTGTATTCATGAGTAATATCAATCCCTAATTTTCTTTCCTTGTAATTTTGTGTCAGATTTTGGTGACAGTGTTATGCCAGCCCCATAAAATGAGATGGGAAGTGTTCTCTCTCCTAATTTTTGAAAGAATTTGTGTAGAATTGATGGTATTTCTTCCTTAAATGTTTAATATAATTCACTAGGGAAACCATATGGTCCTAGAGATTTATTTGTGTGAAGGATTTTGATTTTGGATTTATTTTCTTCAATAGATAGATATTTACATTTTATATTTTTTCTAGGATAAATTTTGTTAATTTTTGTCTTCCAAGTACTTATCATTACCTCCATGTTGTCATATTTTTCGGCATACAGCTGCTCATAACATCTCCACTTCATGTTTTTTGTTCTTTATTTTCTTTATTTTTTTTCTTAAACTTTTAAGTTCAGTGATACATGGGCCAGATGTGCAGGTTTGTTAAATAGATAAATGTGTGCCATCATGTTTTGCTGCAAAGATCATCCCACCACCTACTTATTGCGCCCAGCATCCATTAGCTATTCTTCCTTGATGCTCTACCTCCTCCAACAACCCTTCTGACAGGCCCCAGTGTGTGCTGTTCCCCTCCATGTGTTCTCATCATTCAGTGCCCACTTACAAGTGATAATATGTGGTGTTTAGTTTTTCTGTCCCTCAGTTTTCTGAGAATAATGGCTTTGAACTCCATCCATATCCCTGCAAAGGATATGCTCTTGTTTCTTTTTATGGCTGCATAGTATTCTATGGTGTATATGTACCACATTTTCTTTACCCAGTCTATCACTGATGGGCATTTAGGTTATTTCCATGTCTTTGCTATTATAAATAGTGCTGCAGTAAACATATACATGCATGCATCTTTATAATAAAATGACTTATTTGCCTCTGTGTATATAAGTAGGGATGAGATTGTTGGGTCAAATGGCATTTCTGCCACTAGGTCTTTGAGGAATTGCCACATTGTCTTCTACAATGGTTGAATTAATTTACACTCCCACCAGCAGTGTGAAAGCATTCCTTTTTCTATGCAATCTTGCCAGCATCTGTTGTTTTTTGTCTTTTTAATAATAGCCATTCTGACTCATGTGAGATGGTATCTCATTGTGGTTTTGATTTGCATTTCTCTAATGCTCGGTGATGTTGAGCTTTTTTTCATATTATTGTTGGCCACATGCATGCCTTTTTTGAAATGTGTCTGTTCATGTCCTTTGCCCATCTTTTAATGAGGTCATTTGTTTTTTTCCTTGTAAATTGGTTTAAGTTCCTTGTAGATTTTGGATATTAGACCTTTGTCAGATGGATAGATTGCAAAAATGTTCTCCCATTCTGTAGGTTATATGTGCACTCAGATAACAATTTCTTTTGCTGCACAGAAAGCCCAGAAGCACAGAAGCTCTTTAGTTTAGTTAGATCCCATTTGCCACTTTTCTTTTTGCTGCAATTGCTTTCAATGTTTTCATCATGAACTCTTAGCCCATGCTTATGTCCTAAATGGTATTGCCTAGATTTTCTTCTAGAGTTTTTATAGTTTTGGGTTTTACATTTAAATCTTTAATCCATCTTGAGTTAATTTTTGTATATGGTGTAAGGAAGGGATCCAGTTTCGATTTTCTGCATATGGCTAGCCTGTTACCCCAGCACAATTTATTAAATAGGGAATCCTTTCCCCATGTGATTGCTTTTTGTCAGGCTTGTCAAAGATCAGATGGTTTTAGATGTGTGGTCTTATTTCTGAGTTCTCTATCCTGTTCCATTGGTCTACGTGTCTGTTTTTGTACCAGTACCATGCTGTTTTGGTTACTGTAGCCTTGTAATATAGTTTGAAGTTGGGTAGTGTGATGCCTGCAGCTTTATTCTTTTGCTTAAGATTGTCTTGGCTATTCGCACTCCTTTTTGGTTCCATATGAATTTTAAAATAGATTTTTCTAATTCTGTGAAGAATGTCAGTGGTAGTTTAATGGAAATAGAATTGAATCTATAAATTACTTTTGGCAGCATTGCCATTTTCATAATGTTGATTCTTCCTATCCATGAGCTTGGAATGTTTTTTTCCATTTGTTTGTGTCCTCTCTGATTTCTTTGAGCAGTGGTTTGTAGTTCTCCTTGAAGAGGTCCTTCAATTCCCTTGTTAGCTATATTCCTAGGTATTTTATTCTTTTTGTAGCAATTTTGTATGTGAGTTCATCGATGATTTGGCTCTCTGCTTGCCTGTTGTTATTGTATAGGAAGGCTATCAATTTTTGCACATTGATTTTGTATCCTGAGATTTGCTGAAGTTGCTTAACAACTCAGGAAGATTTCAGCTGAGACAATGGGGTTTAGGATGATGTCATCTTCGAAAAAAGATAATTAGACTTCTTTTCTTCCTATTTGAATACCTTCTGTTTCTTTCTCTTGCCTGATTGCCCTGGCCAGCACTTCCAATATTATGTTGAATAGGAGTGGTGAGAGAGGGAATCTTTGTCTTGTGCTACTTGTCAAGGGGAATGTTTCTGACTTTTTTTTTTTAAGTTTTTTTTTTTAATTTTTTTCCATTTACTGTGATATTGGCTGTGGGTTTGTCATATAGGGCTCTTATTTTGAAGTATGTTCCTTCAGTACATAGTTTGTTGAAAATTGTTAATATGAATGGATGTTGAATTTTATCAAAGGTCTTTTCTACATCTATTGAGATAATCATGTGGTTTCTGTTTTTAGTTCTGTTTGTATGATAAATCACATTTATTGATTTGTGTATGTTGAACAAACCTTATATCCTGGGGATAAAGCCTACTTGATCGTGGCAGATAATCTTTTTGATGTGCTGCTGGATTTGATTTACCAGTGTTATATTGAGGATTTTTGCATTGATATTTATCAACGATATTGGTCTGAAGTTTTCTTTTTTGTTGTATCTCTGCCAGGTTTTGGTATGAGGATGATGCTGCACTCATAGAGTGACTTGGGGAGGAGTCTCTCCTTTTCAGTTTTTTTTGGAATAGTTTCAGTAGGAATGGTACCAACTCTTCTTTGTCCCTCTGGTAGAACTCAGCTGTAAATCTGTCTGGTCCTGGGCTTTTTTTTTTTTTTCCTGGTCGGTAGGCTATTTATTACTGCCTCAATTTCAGAACTCATTATTTGTCTATTCAGGAATTAAATTTCTTCCTGGTTCAGCGTTTGGAGGGTATATGCATCCAGGAATTTATCCATTTCTTCTAGCTTTTCTAGTTTATGTGCATATAAATGTTTATAGTATTTTCTGATTGTAGTTTGTATTTCTGGGGGTCAGTGGTTATAACCCCCTTATCATTTCTGATTGTGTTGATTTAATTCTTCTCTCTTTTGTTCATTATTAGTCTAGGCAGCAGTCTATTTTAATAATTCTTTCAAAAACCAGCTCCTGGAATAATTGATTTTTTAATTATTATTATACTTTAAGATCTAGGGTACATGTGCACAACATGCAGGTTTGTTACATGGGTATACATGTGCCACGTTGGTGTGCTGCACTCATTAACTCATCATTTACATTGGGTATTTCTCCTAATGCTATCCCTCCCCCGGCCCCCCAACCCCATGACAGGCCCTGGTGTGTGATGTTCTGCACCCTGTGTCCTAGTGTTCTCATTGTTCAATTCCCACCTATGAGTGAGAACATGCGGTGTTTGGTTTTCTGTCCTTGTGATAGTTTGCTCAGAATGATGGTTTTCAACTTCATCCATGTCCTTGCAAAGGACATGAACTCATCTTTTTTATGGCTGCATAGTATTCCATGGTGTATATGTGCCACATTTTCTTAATCCAGTCTATCATTGATGGGCATTTGGGTTGGTTCCAAGTCTTTGCTATTGTGAATAGTGCCGCAATAAACATATGTGTGCATGTGTCTTTATAGTACCATGATTTATAATCCTCTGGGTATATACCCAGTAATGGGATTGCTGGGTCAAATGGTATTTCTAGTTCTGGATCCTTGAGGAATCGCCACACTGTCTTCCACAATGGTTGAACTAATTTACACTCCCAACAACAGTGTAAAAGTGTTCCTATTTCTCCACATCCTCTCCAGCATCTGTTGTTTCCTGACTTTTTAATGATCGCCATTCTAACTGGTGTGGGATGGTATCTCATTGTGGTTTTGATTTGCATTTCTCTGATGACCAGTGATGATGAGCATTTTTTCTTGTGTCTGTTGGCTGCATAAATGTCTTCTTTTTAGAAGTGTCTGTTCATATCCTTTGCCCATTTTTTGATGGGGTTGTTTGTTTGTTTTCTTGAAAATTTGTTGAAGTTCTTTGTGGATTCTGGATATTAGCCCTTTGTCAGATGGGTAGATTGCAAAAGTTTTCTCCCATTCTGTAGGTTGCCTGTTCACTTGGATGGTAGTTTCTTTTGCTGTGCAGAAGCTCTTTAGTTTAATTAGATCCCATTTGTCTATTTTGGCTTTTGTTGCCATTGCTTTTGGTGTTTTAGTCATGAAGTCCTTGCCCATGCCTATGCCCTGAATGGTATTGCCTAGGTTTTCTTCTAGGGTTTTTATGGTTTCAGGTCTAACATTTAAGTCTTTAATCCATCTTGAATTAATTTTTGTATAAGGTGTAAGGAAGGGATCCAGTTTCAGTTTTCTGCATATGGCTAGCCAGTTTTCTCAGCACCATTTATTAAATAGGGAATCCTTTCCCTGTTTCTTATTTTTGTCAGGTTTGTCAAAGATCAGATGGTTATAGATGTGTGGTGTTATTTCTGAGGCCTCTGTTCTCTTCCATTGGTCTATATCTCTATTTTGGTACCAGTACCATGCTATGTTGGTTACTGTAGCCTTGTAGTGTTGTTTGAAGTCAAGTAGCGTGATGCCTCCACCTTTGTTCTTTTGGCTTAGGATTGTCTTGGCAATACGAGCTCTTTTTTAGTTCTATATGAACTTTAAAGTGGTTTTTTCCAATTCTGTGAAGAAAGTCATTGGTAGCTTGATGGGGATGGCATTGAATCTATAAATTACCTTGGGCAGTATGGCCATTTTTCACGATATTGGTTCTTCCTATCCATGAGCATGGAATGTTCTTCCATTTGTTTGTGTCCTCTTTTATTTCGTTGAGCAGTGGTTTGTAGTTCTCCTTGAAGAGGTTGGAATCTGATGTTTTTGAAGGGTATTTTGTGTCTCTATCTCCTTTAGTTTAGCTCTGATCTTGGTTTTTCCTTGTCTTCTGCTAGCTTTGGAGTGTATTTGCTCTCATTTCTCTAGCTCTTTTCATTGAGATGTTAGGTTGTTAACTTGAGATCTTTCTAGCTTTTTGATATGGATATTTAGTGGTATAAATTTTCCCCTTAACACTGCTTTAGCTGCATCCCAGAGATTCTGGTACATTGTCTCTTTGTTCTCATTAGTTTCAAAGAACTTCTTGATTTCTGCCTTAATTTCATTATTTACCTAAGACTCATTCAGGAGCAGGTTGTTCAATTTCCATGTAGTTTTGTGGTTTTGAGTGAATTTCTTAATCTTGAGTTCTAATTTGATGTTTTGTGGTTTGAGAGACTGTTTGTTATAATTTCAGTTCTTTTGCATTTGCTGAGGGGTGTTTTACTTCCAATTATGTGATCAATTTTAGAATTAGTGCCATGTGGCAATGAGAAGAATGTGTGTTCTGTTGTTTTGGGGTGGAGAGTTCTGTAGATATCTATCAGGTCACCTTGATCCAGAGCTGAGTTCAGGTATTGAATATCTTTGTTAATTTTCTTGATGATCTGTCTAATATTGACAGTGGGATGTTGAAGTCTCCCACTATTATTGTGTGGGGGTCTAAGTCTATTTGTGTATGTCTAATAACTTGCCTTATGAATATGGATGCCCCTGTATTGGGTGATATATTTTTATGATAGTTCTTCTTGATGAATTGAACCCTCTACTATTATGTAATGCCCTTCTTTGTCTTTGTTGATTTAGTCTGTTTTGTCAGAAACTAGGATTGCAACCTCTTCCTTTTTCTGTTTTCCATTTGTTTGGAAAATTTTCCTCCATCCCTTCATTTTGAGCCTATGTGTCTTTGCATGTGAGATGGGTCTCTTGATGATAGCATACCAGTGGGTCTTGGCTCTTTATCCAGCTTGCCATTCTTTGCCTTTTAATTGAGGAATTTAGCCCATTTACATTTATGGCTAGTATTGTTGTGTGTGAATTTGATCCTGGCATTATGATGCTAGCAGGTTATTTTGCAGACTTGTTTATGTGTTTGTTTCATAGTTTCACTGGTCTGTGTACTTCAGTGTGTTTTTGTAGTGGCTGGTAACGGTTTTTCCTTTCCATACTTAGTGTCTCCTTCAGGAGCTCTTGCAAGGCAAGCCTCGTGGTGACGAATTTCCTTAGCATTTGCTTGTCTAAAAAGGATCATATTTCTCCTTCACTTATGAAGCTTAGTTGAGCCAGATATCAAATTCTGGGTTGGAAATTCTTTTCTTTAAGAATGTTGAATATTGGCCCCCAATCTCTTCTGGCTTATAAGGTTTCCACTGAGAGGTCCACTGTTAGTCTGATGGGCTTCCCTTGGTAGGTGTCCTGGCCTTTCTCTGTGGCTGCCCTTTACATTTTTTCTTTCATTCGAACTTGGAGAATCTGATGATTATGTGTCTTGGGGTTGATCTTTTTGTGGAGTTTCTTACTGGAATTTTCTGAATTTCCTGAATTTAAATGTTGGCCTCTCTTGCTAGGTTGGGGAAGTTATCCTGGATGATATCTTGAAGTATGATTTCCAATTTGGTTAAATTCTCCCCCATCTCTTTTGGGTACCCCAATCTGTCATATATCTGTTTTTTTTATACAGTCGTATATTTCTTGGAGTTTTTGTTTGTTACTTTTCATTCTTTGTTTTCTATTCTTCTCTAACTGCTTAATTTCAGAAAGATAGTATTCAAGCTCTGAGATTCTTTCCTCCACTTGTTCTATTCTTCTATAGATACTTGTGATTGCATTGTGAAGTTCTTGTGTTGTTTTTTAGCTCTATCTGGTCAGTTATGTTCCTCTCCAAACTGGCTATTCTGGCTATCAACTCCTATACTGTTTTATCAGATTCTTAGGTTATTTGCATGGGTTACAACGTGCTCCTTTAGCTCAGCAAAGTTGGTTATTACACACCTTCTGAAACCTACTTCTGTCAATTCAGTCATCTGAGCCTCAGCCCAGTTTTGTGCCCTTGATGGAGAGGTCTTGCAGTCATTTGGAGGATAAAGGTACTCTGGTTTTATAGTTTTCAGCATTTTGTGTTGATTCTTTCTCATCTTTACGGGATTATCTACCTTCAGTATTTGAAGCTGCTGACCTTTAAATGAGGTTTTTTTCAGTGGGGTGTTTTTTGTTGATGTTGTTGCTAGTGTTTTCTGTTTGTTTGTTTGTTTGTTTGTTTTTCATTTAACAGTCAGGCCATTCTTCCATAGGGCTGCTGCAGTTTGCTGGGAGTTGGTTCCAGACCCTAGTTGCCTCAGTTTTTCCTGTACCTGGAAGTATAACCAGTGAAGCCTACAAAACTGCAAAGATGGCAGCCTGCTCCTTCCTCTGGAAGCTATGTCCCAGGGGGACACTGACCTGTTGCCATCCTGAACATGCCTGTAGGAGGTGCCTGGAGACCCCTGCAGGGAGGGCTCACCCAGTCAAGATAAACAGGATCAGGAACCTGCCCAAAGAAGCAGGCTGGCTGCCCTTTAGTAGAGCAAGTGCACCGCATTGGGGGCACCCTTCCTCATCCAGACTGTTTGTATTCTCCAAAAGCAGCAGGCTGGAAGAGCTGAGTCTACCAAATTTCAGAGATGACAGCCCCTACTCCCACTGGGAACTTCATCCCAGAGAGAGAAAAGAGCTCTGTCTGTAGAACCCTTGCTTGAGGGGCTGAAGCCCCTGCAGAGAGTTCTCACCCAGTGAGGAGGAATGGATTGGAGTTTTGCTTAAAGAAGCAGTCTGGGCACTATCTGGAAAGGCAGCTGTGCTGTGCTGTGGAGGACTCCTCATCTAGATCACCCGTATTCTTCAAAGCTGACAGGCTGAAACAACCGAGTCTACCAAATCTCAGAGATGGCAGCAGCCCCTCCCCTTGGGAACTCAGTCATGACTCAGGCAGACTCCAGCCTGCTGCTGCTGGATGGCTTGAATTCCAAGCCAGTGGGTCTCAACCCAAGAGCCATCATGGAAAGGGTCCCAATGAATGATGCCACTTGGCTCCCTGGACTCAGCCCTCTTCCTAGTGACATGCACAGATGGATTTCCTGCCTTGCTGCAGATCCCAGGGTGGGAGTATGCAAAACTTCCATGTCTCTGTGTGTGCCTGAGTGGCTGCTCTGCCAACACTCCACACAGCTCTGTGTATTGCACTCAAGGTCCTGGAGTGTGTGCTCACAAGGGGATCTTGTGATTGGCAGGTTGCAAAGATCTGTGGGAGGAGTATGATTTCCCAGGTGGGGTGACACAATCACTCACCTCTTCTCTTGGCTGGGGGTGGGAGTTTGCTTGGCTCCCTGATGCTCCTGGATGGGCTGTCACCCCACTCTGCTTCTCTTCACCTTCTGTGGGTCGAGCTGTTTGCCTAGTCAGTTTCAATGCGAGAACTGGATATCTCAGTTAAAGGTGCTGAATTCACTCACTCCTTTTATTTCTCTGTGTAAGGACCACAGACCACAGCTGCTTCCAATTGGCCATCTTGGCCTCTCCCGATTTTATATTTTTAATGTCTTCAGAAACTATGATGATGTCCCCTCATTCTTCATGCAAGTAATTTGCACTGTATATCAGTCCATTTTCATGCTGCTGAGAAAGACATACCCGAGACTGGGTAATTGACATAGGAAAAAGGGTTTAATGGACTTACAGTTCCACGTGGCTGGGGAGGCCTCACAATCATGGTGGAAGGCAATGAGGAGCAAGTAACGTCTTACATGGATGGCAGCAGGCCAAAACAGAAAGCTTGTGCAGGGAAACTCCCCCTTATAAAACCATCAGATCTCATGAGACTTATTCACTATCATGAGAACAGCACGGGAAAGACCTGCCCCCACTATTCAGTTGCCTCCCATCAGGTCCCTCACACAAGATATGGGAATTCAAGATGAGATTTTGGTGGAGACACAGCCAAACCATATCATTTTGCCCCTGGCCCCTCCCGTATCTCATACTGACACATTTTGAAACCAATCATGCCTTCTCAATAGTCCCCCAAATTTTAACTCATTTCAGCATTAACTCAAAAGTCCACAGTCCAACATCTCATCTGAGACAAAGCAAGTCCCTTCTGCCTGTGAGCCTGTAAAATCAAAAGCAAGATAATTACTTCCTAGATACAATGGCGACACAGGCATTGGGTAAATACACCCATTCCAAATGGGGGAAATTGGCCAAAACAAAGGGTCTAAGGCCCCATGCAAGTCTAAAATCCAGCGGGACAGTCAAATCTTAAAGCTCCCAAATGATCTCCTTTGACTGTATATCTCACATCCGGGTCAGGCTGATGCAATACGTGGGTTCCCGTGGTCTTGGGCATCTCTGCCCCTGTGGCTTTGCAGGGTACAGCCTCCCTCCCAGCTGCTTTCATGGCCTGGTGTTGAGTGTCTGTAGGTTTCCAGGCACACAGTGGTGCAAACTGTAGGTGGATCTACCATTCTGCAGTTTGGAGAATGATAGCCCTCTTCTCACAGCTCCACTAGGCAGTGCCCCATTGGGGACCCTGTGTGGGGCTTCAACCCTATATTTTCTTCTGCACTGCCCTAGCAGAGCTTCTCCATGAGTGCTCTGCCCCTGCAGCACCCCTCTTCCTGGACATCCAGGCATTTCCATACATCCTCTGAAATCTAGGCGGAGGTTCCCAAACATCAATTCTTGACTTCTGTGCACCCACAGACTCAACAACGCATGGAAGCTGCCAAGGCTTGGGGCTTCCACCTTCTGAAGCCGTGGCTCAAGCTGTATCTTGACCCCTTTTAGCCATGGTTGGAGCAGCTGAGACACAGGGTGCCAAATCCCTAGGCTGCACATAGCAGGGGGGCACTGGGCCTGGCCCAGGAATCTATTTTTTCATTTTAGGCCTTCAGACCTGTTATGGGAGGGGCTGCCATGAAGACCCTGACATGCCCTGGAGACATTTTGTCCATCATCTTGGCGATTAACATTGGCTTCTTGTTACTTATGCAGCCAGCAGAGATTTGCATAAGAAAGAAAATGGGATTTTCTTTTCTATCACATTGTCAGGCTGCAGATTTTCCAAACTTTTATGCTGTTTCCCTTTTAAAACTGAGTGCCTCTAACAGCACACAAGTCACCTCTTGAATGCTTTGCTGCTTAGAAATTTCTTCTGCCAGATACCCTAAATCATCTCTCTCAAGTTCAAAGTTCCACAGAACTCTAGGGCAGGGGCAAAATGCTGCTGGTCTCTTGTGACATCACAAGAGTCACCTTTGCTTAAGTTCCTGACAAGTTCCTCATCTCCATCTGAGACCGCCTGGATATCATTGTCCAAGTCATTATCTGAATTTTGGTCAAAGCCATTCAACAGGTCTCTAGGGAATTCCACACTTTCCCACATTTTCCTGTCTTTTTCTGAGCCCTCCAAACCGTTTCAGTCCGTGCCTGTTACCCAGTTCCAAAGTCGCTTCCACATTTTTGGGTATCTTTTCAACAGTGCCCTACTCTACTGGTACCAACTTACGGTATTAGTCCGTTTTTACACTGCTGATAAATACATACCCAAGACTGGGAAATTTACACAGGTAAAAGGGTTTAATGGACTTACAGTTCCACATGGCTAGGGAGGCTTCACAATCATGGCAGAAGGTGAGGAGGAGAAAGTCGGAGCAAGTCACATCTTGCATGGATGTCAGCAGGCAAAAAAAAAGCACTTGAGCACTTGTGCAGGGAAACGCCCCCTTATAAAACCGTCAGATCTCATGAGACTTATCCACTATCATGAGACTATCACAGGAAATACCTGCCCCCGTGACTCAATTACCTTCCACCAGGTCCCTCCCGCAACACATGGGAATTCAAGATGAGATTTTGGTGGGAACTCAGCTAAACCATATCATAATGTTATTCCTTTTCTCTATCAGTATTACTAGTAATTTATTATTTTTATTCAATTTTAAATGAAAATGCGTGACTGTTGATATTATGTGTCATTTATTCAATTTCTATTTCATTGACTTTAGTTATCATTAATTTATCTTTTCTATTTATTTTGGGCTCAATTTGCTCTTCTTTTTCTGGGTTCTTAAGATTAAAGCTGAGGTCACTAGTTTTAAACATTTCTTCTTATTTCCGGATTTACCAGGGTATAAATGGTAAATAAACATTGAAGCTATTTACTGTGTACAACATGACATTTTGATATATGTATACATTGTGAAATAATTATCACAATCTAGCTAATGAACCTATTTATCACTATACATAGTTTTGTGTGTGTGCGTGTGTGTGTGTGGTGAGAACATCTAAGATCTACTCTCTTCGTATATAAAATACAGTACTGTTAGCTGTAGTAACCATGCTATATATATTAGATCCTCCAAACTGATTCATCTTATAATTGAAAGTTAGTACCCTTTGACCAACATCTCCTCATTACATCATTAGTCACAATAGCCAAGACATGAAAACAATCCTAGTATTTATCAATGGATGGATGGATAAAAAATTGTGTGTCTCTGTGTGTGTATTATGTAATAATAATAATTGGAATATTGTTAAGTAATAAAAGGAAGAAAATCCTGCCATTTGCAATAACATTGATGAATCTTTAAGGCATTCCACTAAATGAAGTAAGTCGGAGCGAGAAAGACAAATACTATACAATCTCACTTATGTATGAAATTCAAAATAAAAACTTTTTCTTTTTTTTTTGATTTAAGCATTTCAAGCTATATGTTTACTTTTTAGCACTATGTTAGCTGCATCCACATTTTTTTTGAGACAAGGCTTGCTCTGTCACCAAGGCTGAAGTGTAGTCTTGTGATCACAGCTCATTGCAATCTCCACCTCCTGGGTTTAAGCAACCCCCCAACCTCAGCCTCCCAAATAACTGGTACTACAGGCGTGTGCCACCACAACCAGCTAATTTTTGTGTTTTTTGTAGACATAAGGTTTCTTCATGTTGCCCAGGCATCCCACAACTTTTGATATGCTCTGCATTCTTTACAATTTAGTTCAAAGTAGTTTCTAATTTTTCATATAATTTCTTTGAATCATAGATATATCAACTAACTGTCAAGTATTTCTGGATATTATAGATAATTGATTATTATTGATTTGTAATATAATTCCATGTAACCACTGAGCAGACTTTATATGATTTCAGTCCTTTGAAATTTACTGAAGCTTGTTTTATAGCTCAGAATTTGTTCTGCATTGGTGAATATTCTATGTAAATTTGAATAGATTGTGTTTTCTGACTTACGTACATTAGATCAAGATGAGTAATATTATTGTTCAAATCTATATTTTACTGGTTTGTCTACTTGTCATATCTTTATGAGAGAAGCATTAAATATATGTTTATGATTGTGCCTTTATATATTTCTTTTTAAATTTTTTTCAGTTTTTATTTTGATATTCTGAAGCTTTCTTCTTAGGTGAATACACATTTTGTCTTCTTGATAAAGTAACCACTTTATTAATATGAAAAGACTCTCTCACTTTCTCTGGCGTTACCCTTTTCCATACAGTCTACATTTTCTGATATTAATACTAGTACTGCCATGGTATGTCTTTCTCCATTCTTTTAATTTCATTTATGTTCCTATATTAAAAGTGTATTTCTTGTAAAACACAGAGTTGGGCTTTGCTTTATTTTTTTTATCTGATAATCTGATTTTCAATGGTTGTGTTTTAGCCCATTTATATTTGGTATAATTTTTCCTATGGTTTGGTTTAGTTTACCATCTTGCTATTTGTTTTGTATTTGTGTAGTCTCTTTGTTTTTCCATTTCTTCTTTTCTTCTCTCTTTTGTGTTAATTAAGGTTATTTTGGCATGTGATGTTATTGCTTTATTGAATTTCAGCTATATTTTGTGTTATTTTTAGTGCTTTTTCTAAAATATGATAGTATAAATCCTGAACTAATTACAGTCTAATTTCACATATCTCACTAGTTTATATACAATATAAGAACCTTACATTTGTAAAATTCCATATCTCCCTTCCAATATATATAATCTGGTGTAATATAGTTTACTTACACATACGTTATAAAACCCTCAATTTATTGCTATAAACATATATGTAATCTTTGATTTTTTATTTAATATATTTAAAAATATTTAACCATGTACTTACCCTTTCTGCTGCTCTTCATTTTGTTCCTGACAATTTACAATTCCATCTAGTATTATTACTTTTTTTCCTGAAGAACATTCTTTTGCATTTCCTGAGGTATACTCCTATTGGAAACAACTTCCTTGGCTTTTGTATGTCTGCAAATGCCCTGATTTAGTCTATTTGATGGAAAATATATTTTCAATGTATAGAATTATAACTTAATATGTTTTTTCAACACTTTATATATGTAATTCCATCACCTTCTACACCAACTTACTTTTTATAATAATTCAGCTGCCATTCTTATTGTTGTTTCCATCTATGTAGCATTTAGTTTTTCTGTGGAAGCTTTTAAGCTTCCATTTCATTTTCATTAGTTAGCAGCCATTTTACTATAAGCACTCAGCTGGGGTTTTCTTGTATGTATCTTAATCAGGGGTTGCTGAGGTCCTTGTTTCTGCAGGTTGCTATGTTCGAAATATTGGTTGTCAAAAATTTCCCTGCCCCTCCCAATATGGTATGGTACTCTTCTCATAAACAGGTTAGAGTCTATTATCACCTTCCTTGAATCTTAATTGTCTTTGTGAGTTTTTGATCGATATTATACAGTGGAAGTGGTGCTGCTTCCACTTCCAGGAATCATCAGAACCTGTGTACTTCCTCTTTTGCTCTTGGAAACCACATGCTCTTTTGTAAGAGAATCTGTCTCATTCTTCTACTAGGGAGAACATGTAGAAAAACCCCAGGGGATGAGAAGCCTTCTGGCAAAAAATCTATAGTACAGAACTAAGGTGACCCAACTGAACTCCCAGTTCAGTAAAATTATATGAATAATTCCAACTGATGCCATTTGGATCAGAACACCTGCTGCGTCAATCTGTAGAACAGTGTGAAATAAATCATTGTTATTTTAAGTTACTGGCTTTTGTAATGTCTGTTACAGAGTAATAGATAACTGAAACATAACTGGCATCCAGAAGTGGGGTGTGTCTGCAACAAAAACTTAAAATATATGTCATTGTTTTTGAACTGAGTAACTGGAAGAGTGGTAAGGAAACTTACTGAAGGGTAATAGAGATGTGAGAAAATTACTATTGTGGGCTGCAAAGGGGGGATTTGTATTATATATGGGAAGAAATTTAGTACATAATGATAAACGGGTCAGTATATAATGATAAATGGGTCAATTCAGCAAGAGGATATAATTATTACAAGTATATATGCACCCAACTTTGAAGCACCTAGATATATAAAGCTTAAAGCTCAAAGGAGAGATAGGCCCTGATACAATAATAGCTGGAGACTTCAACACCCCACTTTCAGCATTGAACAGATCTTTTAGAAATAAAATTAACAAAGAAACATTGCACTTAGTCTGCACTATAGACCAAGTGAACCTAACAGATATTTATGGAATATTTCATCCAGTGGCTGTAGAATACACATTCTTTTCCTCGGCGCATTGATCATTGTCAAGGATAGACCGTATATTAGGTCTCACAAAACAAGTCTTAAAACATTCAATAAACTGAAATAATGTGCAGCATCTTCTCTGAACGCAATGGAATAAGTCTAGAAGTTAATTACAGGGGGAATTTTGGAAAATATACATGCCTCATCTATGACAAACCCACAGCCAACATTTTACTGAATGGGCAAAAGCTGGAAGCATTTCCCTTTAAAAGTAGCACAAGACAAATATACTGTCTCACAACACTCCCATTCAAGATAGTATTAGAAGTCCTAGGCAGAGCAATCAGGCAAGAGAAAGAAATAAATGGCATCCAAATAGGAAGAAAGGAAATCAAGCTATCCGTGTTTACAGACAACATGATTCTATATCTAGAAAGCCCATAGTCTCGGCCCAAAAGCTACTTCAGTTTGTAACTTCAGTCAAGTTTTAGGATACAAAATCAATGTACAAAACTGGTTAGCATTTCTATATACCAACAGCCAAGCCAAGAGCCAAATCAAGAAGGCAATACTATTCACAACTGCCACAAAAGGAATTAAATACCTAGGAATACAGCTAACCAGAGAGGTGGAAGATCTCTACAATGAGAATCACAAAACACTGCTCATAGAAATCAGAGAAGATCCAAACAAATGGAAAACAAATCCCATGCTCATTGATAGGAAGAATCAATGTCATTAACATGACCATACTGTCCAAAAGAATTTACAGATTCAATGTTATTCTTATCAAACTACCAATGACAATCTTCACAGAACTAGAATTTTTTTTTAATTCAAATGGAACCAAAGTGACCCTGAATAGCCAAAGCAATCCTAAGCAAAAAGAACAAAGCTGGAGGCATCATGTTACCCGACATCATGCTACCCAACTTCAAACTATACTACAGGGCTACAGTAACCAAGCAGCATGGAACTGGTACAGAAAGAGGTATATAAACAAACGAAACAGAATAGAGAGTCCAGAAATAAGGCCACACACCTGTGATCATCTGATCATTGACAAAGCTGACAAAAACAAGCAATGGGGAAAAGACTTCCTATTCAATAAACAGTGGTGGGACAACTGACTAGGTATATGCAGACAATTGAAGCTGGACTCTTTCCTTACACCGTATACAAAAATCAACTCAAGATAGATTAAAGACTTAAATGTAAAACCCAAAACAATAAAAACCTAGAAGACAACCTAGGCAATACCATCCTGGACATAGGAATGGGCAAAAATTTCATGAGAAAGACACAAAAAGCAATTGCAACAAACAGCAAAAATTGACAAATGGGATCTAATTAAACAAGAGCACAACAAAAGAAACTATCAACGGAGTAAACAGACAATCTATAGAATGGGAGAAAATATTTGCAAACTATGCATTTGACAAAGATCTAATATCCAGCATCTCTAAGGAACTTAAATTTACAAGAGAAAAAAATTTCATTAAAAAGTGGACAAAGGACATGAACAGTCACTTTTCAAAATAAGACACAAATGCAGCATACAAGCATATGAAAAAAAGCTCAATGTCATGGAGCATTAAAGAAATGCAAATAAAAACCACATTGATATATCTCACACCAATCAGAATGGCTATTTTTAAAAAGCCAAAAAATAACAGATGCTAGCGAGGTTGTGGCAAAAAGGGAACACTTATAGACTGATGGTGGGAGTTAAATTAGTTCAACCATTGTGGAAAGCAGTATGGCAATTCCTCAAAGAGCTAAAAACAGAAATACAATTTGGCCCAGCAATCCCATTACTGACTATATACCCAGTGGAATATAAAGCATTCTTCCATAAAGACACACACATGTGAATGTTCATTGCTATTCACAATAGCAAAGACATGGAATCAACCTAAATGCCCATTAATGGCAGATTGGATAAAATATATGTGGTACATACACCCATGAAATACTATGCAGCTATCAAAATGAATAAGAGAATAAGAGCATGTCTTTGGCAGGAACATGGATGGAGCTGGAGGCTATTAACCTTAGCAAATTACTGCAGAAGCAGAAAACAAAATACCACATGTTCTCACTTATAGGTGTGAGCTGAATTATGTGAACTTATGAACACAAAGAAGGAACAACAGACGCGGGGGTCTACTTGAGTGGAGAGTGGGAGAAGGGAGAGGAGCAAAAAAAGTAACTATTGGTTACTAGGTTAATATCTGGGTGATAAAATAATCTGCACACCAAACCCCTGTGACACGAGTTTACCTATGTAACAAACCTGCACATATATCCCAAACTTAAAATAAAAGTAAAAAAAAAATGTATAAAGTTCATGTAAAAATTATTTTAAAAACTTAGGGATATGTACATGGAAAAATTGGTATCCTTATTCCTACATTTGATGGACTATCCTAAAATTCGAGATAGACACAGTGTCTATTTCTTGATAAAGTAGATTTATGATGAAAAAATAGAAAAAATATTTATTTTGCCTTCGTTTTTTAAAGGTATTTTGATTAGTATAAGCTTCTGGTTGATGGTGTTTTTTTTTTTTTTCTGTCAGGAGTTTGAATATGTCATTTCACTGCCTTCTTACCTCAATTGTTTTTTATTAGAGATCAGCTGTTAAATCTCATTGGATTCACTTATGATTAATCATTTTTCTTCTGCTACTTTCAGTATTTTCTCTTTGTCTTTCACCATTTTGACTATATTGCGTCTGGCTGTGTATCTTTGCGTTGATTCTACTTTCATTCATTGAATTTCTTCAATGTGGTGATGAACTTTTTGCAAATTTGAAAAGTTTTTGGCCATTATTCCATTATCTCTGTCATTTTTAAAATGTTTCTATTTACTGATTTTTCTTTTTTTTGAAACAAAATTTCTTGCTTCTTTACATGCCTATTCAATTTTATTCTGTCCTGGACATTATGAATATTATATTGTTGTGTGTCTGGCTATACATGGCTCTCTATAAAGAGTGAAGATATTTGGAATCACTTGTATCCTTTAAATCTCTTTTTAAAGCTTTCTTAGTGTAGGTCTAGGTTCTTCTTTACTAGTGCCAATTTAGTTTCTCTTCTATGTTGCGACCTTCGTGGTGTTCATATTGTATTCTTTGGGTGTTCATTGATGTCTCTCAACTCTAGTTGCTGCTAAATCAAACATCTCTCAATCTCATGTGAGCGCTGGTAGTTGTTCAACTGACTGTTTTCCTCTGGCTGTTGTCCTTACCTGGTATTTGTTCTTTGCATGGCCTAGTGAAGTCTCGTCCTATGAACCTGAAGCTCAGCATTTGCCCAATGATGCATGAGAACTCCAATGCAGATTTCTAGAGTGTTTCTACTGGGCTCTACTTCCAAACTGATATTCTCCCCCCAATTTTTGGATGTCTCAGTCTCCCTGAATTTGGATCTCATTCTCTTCATCTCAGGCAAGACTTTATAGACCTGGACATTTTACAGATTTAGTTAATAGCAGTTCATTAGTTCATCACTAGTGTCAAATATTTTGAGGGTAGAATCAGGTATTCTCCTTATTCAGAGTTTATTTCTAATGCACATTTGAAAATCTGGTGATCTCTGTATGCCTTAGAATCTACCTATCAGATTTATGAATCAAAGAAGCTTTCTGTTGTATGTTTCAGAAACCAACGTCTTAGATCACTGGGGAATTATCATTGCTCTGTAGCTTTACCTCTGGTTTTCTAAGCCAAGGTTTATGTATCTCCATTCTGCTACTGTGCCCCAAGATTTTTTGGTGGGCCATATACCTTAGTGAAGCCTAGTATATTTCAGGATCTCATATTTGGTTTAATGTCTGAAACTTTGATATCATTTAGTCAGTAAGGGCCTTGTTCACCTTTGAAGGGCCTCTTAGCTCTCCTATCCTGTCACCAGCCTTTTGGTATACTGTCACTTTGTACTTAGGGAAAGTTCCATGGGAAAGGATCAGCAAGATAGTGCAGACTTGCTCTGTGACTAGGGCTTTGTTGGACTGTACTCCAACATTCTAGTCCACATGTGGTGAATAAAAGTTTGTTTACATATTGGTCTGGATTATCCTTTCACCAGTCTATGACAAGTTTGCTGTTCTTCCTGCCTTGCTCAAGAGAGAAAGCAGGTGTATGTGTTTTATTTTTCCTAAGAAGGGCTCATAGCTTTATATAATTCAGATCATTTCAGGTTCCTTGCATCCTTGTCTCCTCAATATGTCAACATATTCTTATTGTAGCTTATACAACTTGTTCTCATATTAAGGGTGAGGAAGATATTCTCTTGTGATTTTCTAAATCAACCAAAAGTATAAGTCTCCCATTAAATATTTTGTCTTTTACTTCACGTATTTTTCCTCCACCCCCACCCACCACAATTTAAACTCTGAAAAGAAATGTACTCCTATGACTTTCTGCTTTTCTATGAAAAGAAAACTTTCAGTGCGGTATTTTCCACATGTAGGTCACCTCACCTCAGAGGCATCATTTTAGGAAAAGCATGAAAGATCTCCAGCAACTTGTTGAATTAAAAATAACTCTTACCCAAAGTGTAATATTGCTATTAAAATTGGAGTAATAAGCAAAAAGTTATTAGTGCCAAGAATAAATACCCAAAGTCTGATATTTATCATTGTTTTCCTTTAATTTCTGAACTGACAAATGATAATTGCTCAGGCAATTAAAATAATTAGGGAAATTTGGAGGCACAAAGGGATAAGGCTTTTAGAAGTGCAATGTAAATGCATAAGGAAAGATTCATGTATGGTTGCTGAACCTTATCCTAGAGCAGACTGATTACCAGGTGCTTTTTAGTGGGCCGACGATTGATAGATTACATGCCATCTGAATTCTGTCTGGGAATGAGGCTTACTGGAAGCATAGTTACCTCACAATGTAAGTCTAGTTTTAAAGGAGGCTTTTGTCCTTCGCCCACTTTTTGATGGGGTTGTTTGTTTTTTTCTTGTAAATTTGTTTGAGTTCATTGTAGATTCTGGATATTAGCCCTTTGTCAGATGAGTAGGTTGCAAAAATTTTCTCCCATGTTGTAGGTTGCCTGTTCACTCTGATGGTAGTTTCTTTTGCTGTGCAGAAGCTCTTTAGTTTAATTAGATCCCATTTGTCAAAGTGGGCGAAGGACATGAACAGACACTTCTCAAAAGAAGACATTTATGCAGCCAAAAAACACATGAAAAAATGCTCATCATCACTGGCCATCAGAGAAATGCAAATCAAAACCACTATGAGATATCATCTCACACCAGTTAGAATGGCAATCATTAAAAAGTCAGGAAACAACAGGTGCTGGAGAGGATGTGGAGAAATAGGAACATTTTTACACTGTTGGTGGGACTGTAAACTAGTTCAACCATTGTGGAAGTCAGTGTGGCGATTCCTCAGGGATCTAGAACTAGAAATACCATTTGACCCAGCCATCCCATTACTGGGTATATACCCAAATGACTATAAATCATGCTGCTATAAAGACACATGCACACGTATGTTTATTGCGGCATTATTCACAATAGCAAAGACTTGGAACCAACCCAAATGTCCAACAATGATAGACTGGATTAAGAAAATGTGGCACATATACACCATGGAATACTATGCAGCCATAAAAAATGATGAGTTCATGTCCTTTGTAGGGACATGGATGAAATTGGAAACCATCATTCTCAGTAAACTATCGCAAGAACAAAAAACCAAACACCGCATATTCTCACTCATAGGTGGGAATTGAACAATGAGATCACATGGACACAGGAAGGGGAATATCACACTCTGGGGACTGTGGTGGGGTCGGGGGAGGGGGGAGGGATAGCATTGGGAGATATACCTAATGCTAGATGACACGTTAGTGGGTGCAGCGCACCAGCATGGCACATGTATACATATGTAACTAACCTGCACAATGTGCACATGTACCCTAAAACTTAAAGTATAATAATAATAATAAAAAAAAAAAAAAAAAAAAGGAGGCTTTTGAAGATCTTGGGATTTATATTCTATAAATACCGTGATGATAAAGGATGGTTTTCAGAACCCACATTTGTTCAATATCGTATGAACTTTTAGTGTGTTTTTGGAATACATTATTTTGTGCTGTTTTTAAATGAGGATAAGAAAAATATGAGCAAAATCCTTGGATGGTCTTAACATTTTATCATGCTTATCCACTTTGTGAGCTGCAGGGGGCAATCTGAGGGAGGCTGTGGAAACAATTAAAAGATTGACAGTGGCTTTGTAAGAGAAATGAGAGTTTCTGTGAGAAATAGAATATTCCTGGGTAAGATAGGATAACCTTAATTTAGAGAGAGTATACATTAAAATAAATCAAAGTGACATCAACCGTGAGAACTATTTTGGTGTTTGTGTGCACAATAACACTTAAGCTATTCCATATTCTGATGGGATAGTGACAGCTGAGGTTGGCATCAGAAATTGATGATACTAATTTCTAAGAAGAGACTATCTCAGAAGTAAGTAGATGGTATTTTATTAAAATTTTGTAAAATGTGTACTATTAGGCATGACTTATTCATTTCAGTTATACTTTCCATTAAGTTATTCACTCAGAATATTACAGTCAACTACTGATAGCTGTATGCAACAATAGCAAATTATTTATCTCAGGCAACACTCCTTGACTTAACTAATTTAAAGGTATATTCCCTTTAAATTAAAATTGGCCTTTATCACATAGAAATTTAATCTTCTCCACAGAAACTCATTTATCATATTAAACTTGTGTCATGCAGGACATGAAATACTTTTGTGCACAATTCCTATTCACCTATTGTCCATACACAGGTGAAGTTAAATGGATTCAACTCATAGAAAAACTTAGAAGATGATAAAGTTTGAAAGGAGAGTATTCAGGAAATTTAGACAAGAGAGGGTTTCACTAAAAATTATGCTAGCTGATATTAGTATCAGCAACAATCATTTGGGAGAGATGCTTGAATGTGATAAGCTGGGAGGCTTATTTCAAAAGTAAATTATTATGCCATTCTTCTTTCCATTACTTAAATATGATGAATGACACTAAATAAATGACTTTGATTTGGAAAATAACTCTCCTAAATGATATTAGAAAAGTGTTTGGAATAACAACACCAGTCAGTCAACAGTATTTATTGAATACTCACTTTATGTTGATTATGTTATTAAGCAGAAACATTTGAATGTCTCCTCTGTGCAGATTACACTGTAAGCTACAGGAAACATTTATCCAGGCATTATAAAATAAGTGGAATATCTGTGAATAAACGGAAGGCATAGTCCCTACCTATCAAGTAAATGCAAATGAATATAGCATTGAAACTAAGTGTGTGTACACAAAAAGCAAAGGAGTGATATGAGTAGGGTAAGCCTAACTTGAGAAGGTACCAACTTGGTTGACATACAAGTTAAAACTCTTAAAGCCTTAGGAGGTATGTTCCATAAATAAAGCTGTTTTGAAGTTCCACCAGAGTGTTATTTCTATTCAAAAAGCAATTCGGTTGCCTTAACCTACTCAAAGTAGAAATAACCTTTCAGATACATGAATGCATTTTTCAGTATAGTTTCTCAGAAAAATTTTACAAGTTCTTTATATTTTGATTTTTTAACTTCATTCTAATAAGTGAATAAAAAGTCAAAAACTTTTTTGTGTCGAAAGCTGGACTAGTCTGCTAATGATTATGCCAAGGAAAGACAAAAGTCTAAAATACATCGGTGTCATTTTACTGCTTGCTTTCAACCAAGGGACTCAAACAATGGTTGTTGTACTGTGAATACATAAATGTTTAAAACCATTCCACGGATATATGCCCTCAACAATTCTTCCAAACTATTCCTCTTAGCCTTCTTGAAGATAAAGGTCTTTGCATATTTTAAAATCTTGGATATAATTTCATTGCTTTGTGATAAGGGCTATAGAAATGCTGAGTTAGAATATAGTGAAAAAAAGCTATAGTTTGTGATATTGGGAGGAAAAAATAAACAACTTTTCAGATGTCTCTGGTAGCAAGAGTCTCTCTAACCAGGTACATACATGTTTCAAATGTGGATTTAGATAAACCTTGTTTTTATATCAACTTTGTTATGAAATGTACTTAGTTTATCTCATATGTTTTTCTAATTTGTTAAAGGTGGATGTGGTATCATTTTTTGGAAGTAAGGAATAACATGTAGAAAGTCCAAATGTTTCTCATATACAATTCAATTTCAAAAGAAACATTAATTTAAATCACCCTTTGAAGCTAATCAGAAGACTTTTCTATGAAAACAGCTAGCTTAGCTCCTTGGAGTTAACTCTGAATGTGGTTTTGAAATTTAAACCTGCACGTGTGATTCAAATATGTTTTTATTGTTTTAAAGGCCCTAATATCTTTTTTAAAAAGGAACAACCTGCAAGCCAAATGATTAGATAATAAATATGTGTATTTCAGGGGGTAAGCAGAAGGTACTTAACATACTGTCTAATTGTTTTTTCCTCCTGTGATTTCTATGCCACACAGAAGCTCTGACAGTAATAGTTATCCATTTTTCATGCCATTCAAAAAGTTCTAGTAGGAGGTCTTCAATTTTTAGTGATACTTTAAATAAACTATGATGGCATTCTGAAATATATCTAGGTTGGGATTTCTTTCCAAGCTATTTTTTGAACAGAAACCTTTTCAAGAAAGGAGCTTTTCCAGGATCTACTATGGAGTCTCTCGCCAAGTGCCTCAATGAAAAATCCATTCACAGCCTGCCCTACAATGAACCATTTAGAGTGGTTTAAATGATTGTGCTACAACTATCCAATATGAACGTTTAAAAACTGGCAATAGTGTATCTGTCCTTCCAAGGTAAATTAAGTAGTGTGACAGAATCTAAGATATAAGAATACTATATGGAGGTTGCTGTTTTGCCTCTGGTGAAGCTGTTAGCCACTGAATTTTACAAAGAGAGGAGGACTGGGGCTCAGTGGAAATAAGTATACTCAGGTATTAGGCATAGTCAATGTTAACCCTGAGAGGTAAGAAAGCTACAATGAGGTTGAGTGGATATATAATTGTAGTAATTTACTCCTAGATTAATGTAGACAGAACTACAGGTATGATATATTTATATATAGGTATATTCCTCATCTACTCAGTTGCCATGTACACAATAGCATTATGAGATCATAACAACCATTGTGAAAGGGGAAATTAATTTGTCTGCCTGATGCAAAATTATCAGGTTGATTAATTGATGGCTATATCCTCTGCCAGATAACAAACTTTTCATGTCATATAAGTTCAGGATTTTGAAAGTATTTTATTACTAATAATTATGAGAAAATAGGGATGACAGTTAACTACGCCCTTCTTTGAAGAGCTCATCTATATTGGTTTGGTATATTCTTCTACATGTTCTTCTCTTAATGCTCTGATTTTTCCTTTTTATATTCTTTAAGGACAACTTTTCACATATTTCATAACATTTGTGTTCCTCACTCCTCAATTCATAACTCTCATGTATATCTACTCCAATGACTGAAATTTAATAGTTTTATTTCTTATTTACTTAAAGATTTATATATCTATATAGTTCTATATATTACCCTTTTATTTATTTCTGGACACTTCTTCATATTTATTTTATTTTTGCAATTTTTATGAATAAATCTGTAGAGTTCAAATTCTATGTATAAAATCAAACACATCATTACTTCCCTCTCCACTTCTCCAAACCTGTATTCTTATGCTCTTATTTTCTGTTATGATTTCACCATCTGCCCAGTCAGCACACATTACAAATTTAGCCCTCCTTATTATTATTTTTTCATATTTCCTCCCTTCCTCAAACAATCAATCATTCACAAAGTCTAACCTATTTTTCCCTTAACAATATTTTATCCATCTCCTCTTTCATGTTCCAATTATATCATTCCAGTTCTGGTTCTCATTTTCTCTCAACTATTCATTTCCCAGCAATGGCTATATATATGCTTTTTAGAAAATATCTTAAACTTCCCTCAAGGACCCACTCAAATGCATCTCCTCAGTAAATGCTAGTAGAAGGCTGTCTTCTCTTTGCTCCTGTTTTCTTGGTTGTACACGTGCTATGATATCTAACTAGAGCCAATATATGCTTTCCACATTTGTGCAGAGATTTTAAGTTCTAAGATCGTATGGGCCATACCATATATTTTCCCCCATTGGGCCTACCTCTACACCTGTGTGGAGTAGAAATTGTATACATATTTGCTTAGATAAACTGAACCCAGAAAATTTTTCATAGTAAAGAATTTCATTGCTTTGAGGAAATTGGTCTTTGTTTTATATGGAGAAAAATATATCAGAAATTATTTGATTGGGGAATATATATTTTCTATAAGATGAAATGTAATCGTTTTATGTCTTGTTTACAGGTTTACTCAGATTTTATTTGTCTCTTTTGTTTTACTTATTTGAATGAACTCATCAAATAATAGTTATTGTTTTGCTCAGTTGTTGCATAAAACAGTAGACCTTTCAGATGATTATTACCATAAGGAATTACTGAATAACTGATGTTTCACAAAGATAACAAGGTACTGGGGTTAAGACTGTTCTGAAAATTCTGAAATGTTCAAAGTGCAGGCTTTTGCAAAATTCTGTTGGCAAAGTACATCACTTGTGGGTAGCAGTCTTTCAAAAGAAATAATTGTAGTTAGCACTTTCAAAGTAGTCTAATGGCCTCTGAATGCCTTCCCAATGAGTGGGGTAATGTATTACTGGACTACCAATGGTTTTGCCTTTTGTGTGACCTCACCCAGTTTTTATGAGATGAAAATCCCAGGATACTCATCATTATTCATGCATTACAATTGTTCATTCTCTTTCTTTCTTTTTATGACAATTTCCCCTGCCGCTTTCACTATTCAGAGGAGAAGCAATCTTGGAATGAATTTAAAAACTGAGATTTCCTAATACATGTGGGGCTTAACACCTAGGTGATGGGTGGATAGGTGCAGCAAACCACCATGGCACACATTTACCTATGTAACAAACCTGCACGTCCTGCACATGTATCCCAGAACTTAAATTTAATTTAACTTTTAAAAAACCCTTAGATTTCCACAGGGCCGCCCATCCAACTTTTATATTGCAGGAATTATCTATCCAAAATGAAACAGTGGAATACTTCAGACAAGTGGACTTAACGCTCTTCACATTTTCAAACAGCGTGAATAACACAGCCAATTTGGCTTTAAATGCATCTTGTTATAGATGATTTGGCCATTAACCTTGGCAATGTCAATCTGTTCTCACCATCATATTCCATAAAATTAGAATTCTTGATAATAGTTAGAGATGTACTTTGTAAGGATTAATGCACTACTGGATTCTGAAAACACAATAGGAGGGAGAGAGATAGAGGAGTGATGGGAGTAGAGGAAGAAAGAACTAAACAAGACAGAAAAAGAACAAGAGGAACAAATTAAACAAAGAATTAGACATATGAGGATAAGTATATGAAAAAGATGAAAGAATGACACAAACAAGTAGATATATGCTGATAAAAATACCCAAAATCTATTAGGGCACAGATTACTGACTGGAATAGTGAGCTTGTAGTACTTCAGAAGACTGAAATCTCTTACATTGCTATAGTCATATAATATAGGACATATATTAAGTTCCTACAGCGCCTGCTAAAACAGTCTACTGAAGGAGCTGTGGGTTAGATGACTTTCTCCTCTGGCCACAGTTGATTGAACCAGGAGCATACATCCGTTCCAGAGAGAACCATTCGTATTCTCCATGCTAGGAGTTTGGAATTGGGTTATTGCAATTCCAGTTAATTTCTTTTGTGACTAACACTCAGTAACGGACACTGAGAAGATCTAGATTTAGGAACTGAGGTTGTCATTTTGGATCAACCATGCATAGTTAACATGAGAAAATGGGTTTTCAGAGAGAGAGAGAGAGAGAGAATACTAAAGCAGCCTCACAGAGAGAATTGGAGACAAGCGCTTATATAGTTCCAGAGACAGGAAAATATCCTACATGATCTTTTAAAGTAACTATCTCCTTCTCCCCACAGTTAACTACCATGACTAAAGATATTTTTACTATTTTTGAACTTTATTTGAATATATGTATTATTTTATATGTTGTTTCATTGACTCTACATTATGTTTGTGAGTTTTATCTATGTGTTTGCTTGTAGCAGTAGTTCATAAATTATCATCACTATTTAGTATTACATTGTATGAATTTTTACTATTTATGGGTATTTTGGTAGTTTCTAGTTTCTAGTTTGATGACATTAAAAATTAAGCTGTTAAAAGCACTCTTATATATGTCTTATAATATATATGTGCACCAATTTCTGTTGGGTAAATACCTAAGAGTGAATCCTATTTTTTTGACTCAATCCAATTTAGATATCATTTTCTCTACGAAGGCTTATATGCCCCCAAATCAAATTAGGACAATTGATCTTCTCCTGTGTGGCCATAGAAGCCTCCACTTCTTTCTAAGAGAGCACTTAGCAACCTGTGATGTAATTTGTTTGCATCCATGTTTTCACCAAGAGTGTAAGATCCTGTCTTACATAAAGGCGAGGACCTTGTCTTACTAATCCTTGGATCTTTGGTACATAGCAGAGTTGCTGGCACATGGGCAATCAATGTGTGTTTACTTAAGTGTAAATATTAATGCAACCATATAGGTAAAAGACCTATATTGATGGACTGACGAGTACTAGAGATCTGGAATTTATTATTATTATTTATTTTTTATTTTTTATTTTTAACTTGTGTAGGTACATGGGAAAGTATTAATTTAATAAATAAATTAGTAAAATTTATGAGCACATGCTGTATACCCAGACTAATGCTAGGTGATGTTGTGGATGACAAGTAATAAATGAGAAGATTCCTGCTCTCAAGTACTATGAAGTTTTGCTCAGGAGAATAAATTGATATTTTTGAAATTATCTTAAACCAATATAGTAAACTTTTTGGTAAAATGGCTATTAGTACAATTCAATTTCAGGGAGTGAAGAGATTACTGAAGTTGAAGAATACTGAAAGATGAGCCAAGATGGTTGTTGAAGGAGGTTGTCCCTTAGTTTAGAAAGGAATGGAGAATAAAATAAATAGGACAATGATCTAAGATATGGTAAATTTAAATTTCACAAGTCTCATAAATTCTGTGGAATAGAAAGTCTTTTAAGACATATTTGGTTTATTCCTAGACTAATAAAGATGTGACCTACTCACAGAGGCTTCAGGTGTTTTGCGAAGTACATTGGCTTTTATTCAACGTGCAGTGGGACTCCAACTAAAGTGTTTCAGGAAGGTAGGTAATATAGTTTTATATTTTGTACAAGTTATGAGGGTCTGAATCATGGCAGTGATGGTAAAAGCACTAAAGATACAGAAAAACGTGAACATTATTGAAAGGTAGAATAAATAGAACATGGTGGTAATAAGCTAAGGTGATGAGAGGGTGCTTTTTAATAAACCAAATAGGGAACTATAGATATGCTTTTGAAAACAAGTATCAATGGCCCTAAATAGTTCAGTGGAGTAAGTCAATGTGTAATCACTTTTAATAATGATATCCTTCATATGGCTATGGGGATAATTTAGCTGTATTTAGAGTTTGACAACACAATTATTACATTGAAATAGTTCTTTGTTCTATTAAAAATACTTGCACTGAGGTCTCATCAAAGGCTTTATGAGTCATTTATTTATGTATCTTGGGCATAATTCGTACTTTGGAACAAAGGAGCAACAGGCAGTTTTCATTGACAGTTTCAGAAATGTCTTTACTGGAGTTCTTGGGCTTTAAGGGTTGTAATAACTCAAAATGACTTTAACGCTACTGCCTTAGTAGTAGTGTCCCACTCTAGCTGTGCATGAGAATCACATGGGCAGGGACAGGCTTTAAAAATGAAATTGCCAGAGGTGGAGCTAGAGCACCAAACAGAAGCTTCCAGTGATCACTTCCCCTGCAGGAACAACAGATTGAACAACTATCCACACAAAAAAGCACCTTCATAAGAACAAAAAATCAGGTGAGCAATCACAGTACCTGGTTTTAACATCATATTAAGGAAAGAGGCACTGAAAATGTTAGGAAAGACAGAATTGTATGGCCTACACCAGCCCTACCCCATCCCTTGGCAGTGGTTGCATGGCATGGAGTGCTTGGGGAAGAGAGAGTGTAGTGATTGTGGGAATTTGTTTTGGAACTCAGTACTGCCCTGTCACAGTGGAAAGCAACAAGGGGCAGAATTTAGCTGGCACCCAAGGAGGAAGCATTTAGACTTGCCCTAGTCAGAGGCAAATTCTCTACCCAGCTGTCAGAGCCTGAGTTCCGGCAAGCCCTGCCACCATTGGCTAAACTTCTCTGGGGTCCTAAATAAACTGAAAAGAGCCTAGATCACAAGAACTGCAATTTCTGGGCAAGTCCTTGTGCTGTTCTGGGGTCAGAGCAAGTGGACTAGGGGTGCCTGTGACCTAATGAGACACCATCTGGGATGGCCAAGTGAGTGCTTGCTTACCCCACCCTCAACCCCAGGCAGTGAAGACCGCAGCTCCAGGAGAGGGTCCTTCCTTCTTCTTGAGGAGAAGAGAGGGAGGAGTGAAGAGAACTTTGTCTTGCAACTTTGATACCAGCAAAGCCACAGTAGAATAGGACAAAAAGCAGAGTCCTGAGGCCCCCATGCCAGGCCCCAGCTCCTAGATGACATTTTTAAACACACATTAGGCCAGAATGGAACCTGGAGCCTTGAAGAAAAGGACTCAGTACAGGCAGGATTCATTGCCTGCTGACTAAAGAGCCCTTGCACCCTGAATAAGCAACAGTGGTATCTAGGCACTACTTGCCATGGGCCTTGGGTGAGAGTCAGAGTCAAACTGGACTCAGGTGTGGCCCAGCATATTCTCAGCTGTGGTGGCTACAGGGAGAAACTCCTACTTGAGGGATGGAGGAAAGAGTAGAAGGGGAGTTGTCTTGCAGCTTGTATGCCAGCTTGGTCACAAACAGTAGAGCACCTGGCGGGCTCCGGGAGTTCCCAGTTATTGGCCTTGGCTCCTGGATGGCATTTTTGGAACTGCCTTGGGCCTCAGGGGAGACTACCACCTGGAAGGGAGAGACTCAGGCCTGATAGCATTTACCACTAGCTGACTGAAGAGCCCCTGGGCTTTGAGAAAATATTGGCAGTAGACAGGCAGTACTCACCATGGGCTTGGTGTGGTGGTGCCCATGGAGAGAGACTCCTTTGCGTAAGGAAAAAAAAAGGGAACAGTAGGAAAGACTTTGCCTTGCAGCTTGGGTACCAGCTCAGCCGCTGCAGAATAGAGCACCAGGCAGATTCCTAAGGTCCCTGACTCTAGGCCCTGGCCCCCAGACAACATCTATAGACCAGGCCAGGGCTGGGGGAATATGCAGCCTTGAAGAGAAGGACACAGGCCTGGCTAGAGTTGCCACCTGCTAATTGTAGAGCCCTTGGGCCTTGGAATGTATATTGCAGGTAGCCAGGCAGTGCTCACCACAGTTCTTGGGCAAGACCCAGTGTTGTGTTGGCTTCAGATCTGAGCCAGCACAGTCCTAGTGGTGGTGGCCACAGGGCTTCTTGTGTCACCCCTCCTATAGTTCCAGGCAGCTCAGCACAGACAGACTCCATTTGTTCACGAGGAAGTAAGGGAAGAGAACAAGAGTCGCTGCCTAGTAATCCAGGTAATTCTTCTGGATCGTACCCAAGACCACCTAGGTGGTCCCTCTATGAATCTGCAAGAGACACAGCATTACTGGGCTTGGGGTGCCACCTAACAGAGATACAGCAGCAGTGATCAAAGACTTAGATCACAACACCCAAGTCCGTTTGAATATTTGGAAAGCCTTTCCAAGAAGGTTGGATACAAATAAGCCCAGACTCTGAAGACTACAATAAATACTTAACTGTTCAATACCCAGCCACTGACAAATGTCAACAAGCATCAAGACCATCCAGGAAAACATGACTTAACCAAATGAACTAAGTAAAGTGCCAGGGTAATAATCCTAGAGAGAAAGAGATATGTGACTTTTAAGATGGAGAAATCAAATAGCTGTTTTAAGGAAGCTCAACAAAATTCTAGATAACACGAAGACATTCAGAATCCTATCAGATAGATTTAACAAAGGCGTTGAAATAATTAAAACAAATTAAGCAGAAATTCTGGAGCTGAAAAATTAAACTGACATGCTAAATAATACGTCAGAGTCTCCTAACAGCAAAAATAATAAAGCAGAAGAAAGAACTAATGAGCTTGAAGACAGGCTATTTTAAAATACAGTCACAGAAGAAAAATGAAAAAAGAATAAAGCACACCTACAATATCTAGAAAATAGCCTCAAAAGGGCAAATCTAAGAGGTATTGGCCTTAAAGAGGAGGTAGACAGAGATCAGTGTAGAAAGTTTATTCAAAGGGATAATGAGGGAAAGCTTCCCAAATCTAATAAAAGGCATCGATATTCAAGTACAAGAAGGTTATAGAACACTAAGCAGATTTAACCCAAAGATCACCTCAAGGCATTTAGTAGTCAAATTCCCAAAAGTCAAGGATAAATAAAGAATCCTAAAGCCAGCAAGGGAAATTTGCAAAGTTTTGAATCATTATTTCTTCAAATGTTTCAGTTATATTCTCTTTTATTTCCTTAAATGTTAGAAATTTTATTGTCTCGTAGATCTCTGAAGCCTTGTTCGTTTCTTCTTAGTCAATTTCTCTCTCTCTTTTTTTAAAATATTTTTTATTTTTTATTTTATTTTATTTTATTTTTTTCCAAGATGGAGTCTTGCTCTGTCACCCAAGCTGGAGTGCAGTGGTATGATCTTGGCTCACTGCAACCTCTGCCTCCCGAGTTCAAGTGATTCTCCTGCCTCAGCCTCCCGGGTAGCTGGGATTACAGGCACATACCACCACACCTGGCTAATTTTTGTATTTTTAGTAGAGATGGGATTTCACCATATTGGCCAAGCTGGTCTTAAATTCCTGACCTCCGTGGTCTGCCAGCCTTGGCCTCCCGAAGTGCTGGGATTACAGGCATGAGCCACCGCACCTGGCCTGTTTTATCTTTTTTAAATAGTGTGAATTCTACTGATCTGTCCTGAAGTTCACTGATTCTTTTCTCTGTCTTCTCCATTCTGTTATTGAACCCACCCAGCCTGGTCTTTGAGATACCTAGTGCCAGCAATCTTCCCGGTCAATCTCTCTCGGTGCTGCTGGAGTATGAAAGCACCAGCCTGGGCCATATTATACCACTGAGTAGAGGGTTGATAAATGTTGTTTCTGAATCACTCTCTGC
The DNA here is from genome assembly GCF_000001405.40 of Homo sapiens. NCBI lineage: Eukaryota > Metazoa > Chordata > Mammalia > Primates > Hominidae > Homo > Homo sapiens. The sequence goes on from NC_000023.11 coordinate 121,740,294, forward strand.
ATCTGGATTTGGAGACAGGAGACAACAAGCCTGTTTGTCTTCTATTGCACAGTGGTATATTGGGAGATACCAGGCCTGGATTGTCTTCTGCCACTTGGGGATAGGGCTAGAATATATGAGATTTTGGCTGGTTTTTGCTGCTGGATGGAGGGCTGGGAGATGCAGGGCTTTGATCTTTGTCAGCTTCAGAGGGGTGCCCAGGAAATGCTGGCCCTGCTAGCACCCCGTGTAAAGACGTAGCAGACTCCTGCCGCAATCAAGTGGGAAAGGCAGATAGAATAACCTGCCTTGTCTCTGCTAGCAATAGCAATGTGGTCAGTGTGGCTCCATATTTTAAATAATTCAGCTTTACCTCTCTTGTTTATTTTTCCTTTGTCTGTATATAATGTCTAATAGGGCTAGCCTGCAAATTTCTCTTTTCTATGTAAGGTGTCACATAATATGTTTCATGCAGGGAATTTCCTAAATTTTAGTCTTCAGAGTTATATGAAATGAACTTGTTATGTGCACTAGATACGTTGTAAAAATTCAATCTTGTATATCAGATTGACTTAGAACAATGATATATGCTTTTAGCATTTTGAAAAAATACATTGATTTTTTTCAAGATAGTGAGAAACGTTTTTCTCTCAGAATCACTAGAGAAGGCAAGTTAGGATAAATTATCTTTTAAAGGCTGAGGAATTTCTGTGATGCTAGCCTAATAGGTTTCTTTGAAAAATCGGCAAATTGATGTACGTCACTTCTCACATACCTAGTTCATATCCTAGGAAATGACCTTGGACAAAAAGTTTATAAATAATTTCTCTTGTTATTATTAGCTATTCCAACTCATTGCCTCTGGTAACTGCATAATAACATTGCAGCCCCAAAGTTGGTGTGTGTGTGTGTGTGCAGGTACACACTTGCACTTATGAAAGAACTAAACTGATCTGCATGAAAGAGGGTACTTATGTTGCTCTCATGATGTTCTAGATTACCCAATACCTTGGGAGTACATTCTTTATAGAATGTATATTATTGGCTTTTCTCACTAATGTCAGAATCCTGAAAAGTCAACTGACCTAAATGACACATTAAAAATATATATATATTTATATATACTTACTATGTATTTGGAAAATGTAATAAAATAAATCACCCAAGGCTTCTGATTCAGCAGGCTAATTTTATAAAAATTATTAAATATTATGTTTTCAGTAATAGAATCTCAGATAAACGTAGTCATATTTGTTACTGTACAATGATTGTAACAGAAAAGTTTGAAGTTAGATATAACTAATTATCATTTATTCATTAATTTCACAAATTTTTATTGAGCACCTAGTATATGCTATACCTAAGCTAAGAATATAAAGATCAATAAGACACTGAAGATGATGTTCAAGGGAGTAATTTTAATGTTTTAAATTAAATCATTAAAATGATTTTAATGGGCAACACAATCTGCTAGTTCTCTTTTGCTCATTGAATTTGACCTATGCATTATGCAGTACATTTTCGTGCTACTAATGTATAGTACTACAAAGAAAAATTTTGCTAAGACATGAGCTAGATTTTGTGTTGGCTAGATTGGTTTTCTGTTTGAACTTTCTGTTTATTTGATTTCAGTGAGAAAGTTGATACATCGACAATATTAATGGCATTTTTGAATAACAGAAATTCTATAATCCTAATGGAACAGCTATTTTCATCCTGTGTATCCTTTTCTTACCCTTATCCACTTGGACACACACATTTTTACATAATTGCAATTTGCTGTACATATTGTTCTTTTTTTTTTTTTTTTTTTTGCTTTGCATTTAAAATGGTATAACTCTTAACCATGTTTCTTGTAAGGTAAAACACTCTGAATGGCTCCATAACAATATAACGTTTAGAGGTTTTATCTGCAAAAGGCCAAACAATAGATTTCACCATTTTTCTCTTAGTGAATTAATGTTGTTTTACATTTCACAAGTCATTTCCCTGAGGTGGTGTTTCAGCCTTGGGTGTGTATTATTTGGGCTGGTATATTAAAACGTTATGAGTATAGGCTTTTCTCAGAATTCAAATGAGCTTAAAGTTCAGTCTGTATAGATGGATTGTTTCATTACCTGAAATAATATTGAGATGGATTGTTTCATTACCTGAAATAATAATATTCATGTTACAGTATCTCTATTGGACAAACTTGGGGATGGGATTTGCATAGGGATACTCTTCCTTGTTTTTTACTGTAGGATAATTCTCACAATTTGAAATACTTTTCACCTTATCTTTTTGTACTTTATAAGGTAGCATTTCCTCATAACTGTGTTTTTGTTCCTGTTGTATAAATTAGATGCTTATCGTAATTAAGTGAATTGTGTTGAAAGTTAGTCTTTAATTGAAGGGCAATAAATCACACAGTTTCTGAATATTGCAACCATGGGATACAGGGATAATGTTAGTTACCAACAGTAGTGAATATTGGTCTCTACACTTTTATTTTCTTGTTGATTTTTGATAAAATAAATAACGTTATTAAGCTTCATAGTAATGCAGTTACTCAATGACTTGTCTCATTTCAATTAACTAGTTTCATTTAAGTGGAATTTATTAGAAAACAGTGAAATCTTCTATACTTGTCAATTCCAAGCTCTTCAACATCTAAATCACATTGTGTTGAGTTGTTTGCTTAATTTAATTTTTTTTCCTTGAATACCATACTTGGAGCCAACTTTGTAAACTGTCACCTCCCATTCTGCAAATGAATATGATAATTACTGTTTTTTTTATGGAAGGATCTTGGATTTTAATGAAAGGATGAATTGCTTCTCTCAGCAATATTCCAGGGATATTAACTTGTAGAATCCTGATTAAAAATATGTCATAATATGTATTCCTGAGGAACAACGCTTCCTGCAGGAGGGTAGAAGAGAACTTTGTATAGCACTGCACTTGGATCCTCTTATTTATTTTATCAGGGAGGTAGCATAATACACTTTAAAATGGATCTGAACAAATTTAAAAAGGGAGATATTTGGTGCAATTTACTCCACCTAAACTTATTATGTGTATATGCTGTGTTATTGCCATATGGCCTTTCACACCAAGAAAGCCAACATTAACCCTATGCTCAGAACATCTAAGGAGAGGTCTTTTTCTTTCCTAGCTAAAATCCTAATTTTGTTTATCTAGGAAGCTGGTACTAAATTTTTGACCAGGTGGAAACTGTTCTCTGATCAAATTAATTTACTGCTTTTCTCATTTTTAAAAAACTTGTGAGATTTATTGTTAATTGGACCTTAAGTCTCTTTATCAGTTAAAAAAAACTTGCTTTCTCAGCTGTCTAGATTTAAAGTGAAAACGAAAGAAAATAAACAAGAACAGATAAATCATGAGATAGAGAGCTGAATGTACTAAAGGCAAAAGCAAATGGGGAACAGTGGGCAGGTTATAAATTTGTTTAATTATTATGACATTTATTAATTGTTCCAACGAATAAAATTGACTAGCATATTGGCAATACGAAGTCTGAACTAATGCAAGATTTTTATTCGACCCAGGAATGAAGAGTAATTGCCACAGACATATTTTACTTGTGTTTATTAAGGGTCTCTTTGCACACAAGTTGCATGTGGCATGGTAAAATATTAAATTAAAGGAATATCCCTTCCCTTAGGGACATTCTAATCATCATTCCTCTCCCTCTGAATTGCGTCTAGATAATGACAAAGTGTTAGAATGTATATAGTGCTCTCTTGACAACAGATTTCTAAGCCAAGTATTGGACTAAACTGTACCATGAATTGAACATGATAAAAAAGTCATACTAATTAAATAAATTCTGAATAATCTATGTATCATCAATCATCTATCCGTATATCAGATAGATAGATAGATAGATAGATAGATAGATAGATAAATAGATATAAACCAGGAATCACAGTCAACTTTTAAAGCATACACAGTGAAAATGATTTTAAAATACAAATCATATACTTTGTGTAAGTTTAGAATATGTGATGGTTAACTTTATCTGTCACCTTGGCTTGGCTAATAGATGCCCAGATAGGTGGTTAAACATTATTTCTGAATGTGTCTGTGAACGTGTTTCCAGAAGATATTGGCATTTGAATCAGTAGACTGAGTAAATAAAATCACCCTTACCAATGCAGGTAGGCATAATTTAATCTTCTGGGGGCCTGAATGGAAGAAAAAGGTAAAGAAAGGGAAAATTCACAGTCTGCTTGAGCTGAAGCACCCATCTTCTGCCCTTGGACATCAACACTCATTGTTCTCCGGCCTTTGAATTCACACCATTGGACCCTGATTCTTGGGGGCTTCAGACTTTAGCTGGGACTTATATCATTGCCTCCCCTGGTTCTCAGGCATTCAGTTTTGGACTGGAATTGTACCATCAGCTTTCCTGGGCCTCCAGGTTGCAAACAACAGATCATGAGACTTCCCGGCCTCCATAATCACATGAAACAATCACTCATAATAGATCTCTTTCTATATGTCTATGTATATCTTATTAGTTCTGTCATTTTGGAGAACACTGACTAATTCAGAACTGGAATGAAACTGTGACTTTTATTAATAAGTAAATAAAATCAGAAGTAAATGACAAGTCATTAGGTTTTATCTATCTTGGCTTTTTCTAGCTTATCTATACTTCCTTATGTAAACTTCCAAATCACTTTATCTTTATCTCTCTTGTACTTTTACTGTCACTTTTTTAAAAGTTCGAATTTTATTACAGATTAAAGGGTACACATGCAGATTTGCTACGTGGGTAGATTGTGTGGTGCTGAGGCTTGAGATGCCAGCAATTCCCTCACCCAGGCTGTAAGCATCATACCTAACAGGTGGCTCTTCAGCCCATACCCCACTTTATCTAGTGATTCCCAGTGTTTATTCTTCCCATCTTTTTGTTCATGTGTATTTAATGATTAACTCCCACTGGTAAGTGAGAACATGAAATATTTGCTTTTCTGGTCTTTTGTTAGGTCACATAGGATGTTGCTCCAAAGGGCATGATTTCCTTCTTTGTTATGACTGCATAGTATTCCATGGTGTATATGTAGCTTATTTTCTTTATCCAATCCACTCTTGATGAGCACTTAGGTTGATTCCACGTCTTTGTATTGTGAATAGTGCTATAATAAACATATGAGTGCATTTGTCTTTTTGATAGAATGAATTATTTTCCTTTAGATATATAATCAATAATGAGATTGCTGGGTTAAATGGTAGTTATATTTTAAGTTCTTTGAGAAATCTCCAAACTGCTTTTTGCAGTGGGTGAACTAGTTTGCCTTCCCATAAACAGCATTCCCCTTTCTCTGCAGCCTTGCCAACATCTGCTGTTTTTTAACTTTCTAATAATCACCAGCAGTAATCTAACCAGTGTGAAATTGTATCTCATTGTGGCTTTGATTTGCGTTTATCTGATGGTTAGTGATGCAGAGCGATTTTTATATGTTTATTGGCTGCATGTGTATGTCTTCTTTTGAGAAGTGTTTGTTCATGTCCTTTACCCATTTTATAATCAGACATTTTGGTTTTTGCTTGTTGATTCATCCAGTAAGATCCACCCAAATCATCTAGGAAAATTCCCCTTAAAGTCAACTAATATGGACTTTAGTTATATCTCCATAATATCTTTATAATAACATCCACTTTGTGTTTTATCAACTGGGGATTTTGTTAGCTAAGTTGACACATCAAAAAAGTCATCATGCTAGTAAGCATCAATAAATAAATGTTTGAATGGATTAAAAGTACTAATTACAAATAGACGATAATTTAGTGCATTCCAAACTAAGACATAGATTAGACTTTGATCTAATTTTCAAAAGGCATTGAGATTAGACTTGATGTACATGCCACTCAGAGTTTAGAACACATATTTGTAATAAAACAATTTTTGTTCTGGAGGAAAAGATCTGTAAATGACTTCACATTTTCTAGAAAGCTGACTAACTGTGATATGCTGCTTTCAGTTTAACAGCTTCTCTATTTAACATCAAGATATGTTAAATGATGGCTCAGCATGTGGAAAGAGAGGTTTCTCAGGAGGATAAGAAGAGGGGTATGACCAACAAGAGATGGATTCGGTTTTGATGTTTTTGACTATGTTAGTTTCCTTATATTCGCTTCCAAAAATTCAGCTTCACTTTTTGATATATTTTTGAAAATCCTCTGGTAGGAGGTTTACACACAGATATTTAGCTTGGTCTATGCAGTGCTTGAATTATGTCTTGGATTTATGTTACAGATAACCTGTGAATAGTTCTGTAGGGAGATGTAGTTGTGAACAAAAACTGTGAGTGCACAGTTCACCAAGAGCAGCCAAGGATGTTAAAGTCCCTATTGCAGTGGAGATGTTGTGTGCATATGGTAGAAACTTCAGTTTGATGGAAGAAAATATCCAAATTATACAAACCATAGAATAAAATACCACATGTGAAGTTTTTATTTTTTTAGAATTTTTCTAAACCACATTTAGAATCATGTGAAACTTGTTCTGGTTCAATAATACTTTGCAGTGAGTAATCCAGGGACAAACATTTAACTATTGTAAGAAGAATCCATGACCCTAGTCCTGAAAATATTATGGCTGTGAATTTTATAACCTACAGAATGTAATTCTAATCTCGGCTTTTAAGAGCTTGTGAAAAAGCAGAATTATTTCACCGTAAGATAGTTTATAATACTGTATTTTTACAGTATCTTTTCTATGTCTAAATATGTTTAGGCAAACAAATACTTATCATTGTGTTACAATTTTCTGTAGTATTCAGAACACTAACACACTGTTCAAACATTTATATTAGGAGCAGTGAGCTATACCATATAGCCTAGGTTGATAGTAGGCTATACCATCTGGGTTTCTGTAAGTACTCTCGATGATGTTTGCACAACGGTGAAATCACCTAATGGCATTTCTTAAAACATATCCCATCATTGAACGATTTGTGAATGTAATCCAGAGCAAAAGTCTGTTGTAATGAAGTAGAACTGTTGTGTTCAGAGGAAGGATTGGTAGAATCTTGGCTCTTAAGGGGTGCTTGGCATCTTAGTCTCTGGCATTTTCTCTACAGTTGGTTCAGGAAATGCTAATGCATGCTAAGCCATCTCATGTTGTAGTGCTCTAGATTAGGAAGCGGGCTTTGAGGTTCTTTGAGTTCTTTACAGTTTCCAGGAATAAGAAAGAAAAATGCAGCACTTACTGAATCATGTAAGACTTAATATGCAGCATAATACTGGTTCTGTTTTATCTTCAAGTTTCAAAGTCTGAGGCAAGCCTTAACACAGTTCTAACTTTTCAAAGTGTTTTAATTCAGCAACACTCAGCCCCACAAATGTTAATCAATAGTCCTAGCTATGCCATAAGTAAAGCATGAGACTTAAGAAAAATGACTTGGGTCTCAGTTTCCACATACACACATAGAGTGAAAATAATAATGCCTGCATTCGTGGGACATTTCTGAAGATGAGAGTAGAACATTCAAAAGCTCTTCAAAAAAGTAACTTCATTACACAAATAATGATGCTGCTAATATCCGGGATCATTATCATCTAAGAGTGTACTTTGCAATTCCAATCCAATAGGTTGAGAAAAAGAATTTTCTTTGAAACGGAGAATTATAAGAGTAATTATCCAAAAATTATTTATGATTAGCACATAATCTACTAAATAGTGTGCTAGGCACTGGGGATACAGAGCTAATAATAACTTCACTAATTTTGTAGCCTTGTGTAAATCACGTGCTCTCTCTGAGATTGTTTTCTTATTTATAAACTGCAGCTAATAATTCTTTTCTTAAGAACGATTTCAACAACATGGTGAAGTATAAAGTTTCAGTCTTCATTCTCCCACTGAAACTCCTACTTAACAATGATATGCAGTCCAAATACCTTTATGAGAGGCCCAGAATCCTGATAAGAGGTTGTGGTAATCCAGAAGAGCACAAATCTGAGGATAGGTGCATTGAAATGAATAAGAAGAGTTTCACTTTATGCACATTAGCCCCTTCCCTAAGCTGACACAATTTAGCATCAAGGAAGATCACTTCAGTCTACAAATTCTCTTATGGTAAGGAAGAGAGAGTGGAGCATGCATTCAACATCCTGATTTTTCAGTGCACTGCCTAAGGGGCCTGTTTTTGTCTCGTCTCACATGGACAATTGACAAAACTGCGTAATTCAGATGCCAGGGAGCAGTTAAGAACAAAGGAAAAGGGATAGGAAGCTTTCTGTGGCCAGTGTGGCTCTATGAGATTTAGAGAAGGTGCAGAACCTGAGATTTCTCTCACAGGAGAGAGGGAAAGGAGTAGAGCATGCTTCCAAACTCCAACCTTACAGTGTGTTGCACAAGGGGCCAGTTTCTGTCTCACTGCACCTAGAACACCAACAAAGCTGACATAGTTTGGTGGGGGCAGCTATACATAAAGAAAAAGAAGATGGTGGCTTGTGATGCTTAGCATGACTCTGCTAGATTTATGTCGTGCAAGGGTCCCAATGGGAGGTAAATGAATCGTGGGGGCGGGTCTCTCTCATGCTGTTCTCGTGATAGTGAATAAGTCTCATGAGAGATGATGGCTTTATAGAGGGGAATTTTCCTACACAAGCTCTCTTGCCTGCTACCGTGTAAGATGTGCCTTCCCATGTAAGAAGTGCCTTTGCTCTTCCTTCACCTTCCACCATGATTGTGTGGCCTCCCCAGCCATGTGGAAGTGTGAGTCCATTAAACCTCTTTCCTTTGTAAATTACCCAGTCTTGGGTATGTCTTTATTAGCAGCATGAGAACGGATTAATACACCCTCCAACTGACTGACTGGCCCCCTCCTCTCTGCCAAGGGGATTTCAATGGAACCTAAAAAAAACTAGTTCAGGCCATGGTGGATGAGGGAGTTGTACATGCCTCATTGTATTATTCTCCCTTTGGAATTCAGACACAACTGACAAACATTAACATTAAGACATAAATCTTAAGATTAACAAAACAGTCTCTTTGTAGCAATAAGATACCAAATTCCAACTTGAATCTAGTATAGTGTCACCTGATAGATGGCAGGCCCTGAAAGAAATGAAAGTATTTTACCCTAAAACGTATTCCTTTGACATATTTTGAAATGGCCCTGCAAATATTTAACTAAGAGTCTGGTACCTTTTAAGATCTGCAAACAGACATTGGCCATCTATTCTCCCTGAAGCCTGCTACCTTCATCTACATAATAAGAACCTTGGCTTCCATAACCCCCTTATCTTAACCCAAGCATTTCTTTTTTTTTTTTTACTTCCAATCTAGGCAAAGCTCAACTCTTTTTACTTTCTTTTTTTCTTTTTGAAACAAAGTCTCACTCTGTCACCCAGGCTGGAGTGCAGTGGCGCGATCTCAGCTCACTGAAACCCCCACCTCTCGAGTTCAAGTGATTCTCTTGCCTCAGGCTTCCAAGTAGCTGGGATTACAGGCACCTGCCACTATGTCCAGCTAATTTTTGTATTTTTAGTAGAGACTGGGTTTCGCCATGTTGGCCAGGGTGGTCTCGAACTCCTGACCTCAAGTGATCCGGCAGTCTTGGCCTCCCAAAGTGCTGGGATTACAGGCATGAGCCACTGCGCCTGGCCTGCTTTCTTTTTTAATTTTTAATTTTTGTGGGTACATGGTCAGTGTATATATTTATGAGGTATGTGAAATATTTTGGTACAGGTATGCTATGCATAATAATCACATCATGAAAAATTGGATATCCATCCCCTTAAGCATTTATCCATTGGGTTCAACCAATTACCAATCAAGAAATCTTTGAATCCACTTATGACCTGGAAGCCCCACTTCATGATGTCCTGCCTTTCCAGGCTGAACCAAAGTAAAATTTACATGTACTGATTTATGTCTTTGCCTGCAACTTCTGTCTCCCTAAAATGTATAAGATCAAGCTGTAACTCAACCACCTTGGGCATATGTTCTGAGGACCTTCTGAGGCTGTGTCACAGGTCATGGTCCTCACATTTGGCTCAGAATATATCTTTTCAAATATTTTACAGAATTTGGCTTTTTTGTTAACATTGAGTAGTAAGCTACCACTTATTTACTGCTAGGCTTTATGAAAGACATTGTACATATGTAATCTCAATTAATCTCACAACCATCAAGTAGAGTAGGTGGTATCATAATCTTCATTTTATAGAAAGTAAACTTAGGCATAGGGAAGTTAACTTGCTGGAGATCCTAAAGCTAATTAATTTGTGGCAGTTATCTGTCTCTTACTTCAAAGCCTGTATTTTCACCGGCTACTGTTTGAAAACAATTATTTTTTCCAAAGTTTTATCTTCATGATAAAGCAATAAATGATTAATTTAGGACAAGACATTCTCTAACTAGAAGAAAGAACTCCCAGTAGGCAGTCTAGTAAGCAGATGGAGGTTTTCAAGTTCATGGGGCCTATCCATTAGGTAGGTAGGACCTTCCGAACAATGTGTTCTCCATCTCTATCTCTCCCCTGACTAACTTGTCTAGATTTTGTACTCTCGTGAAAATGTGGAGGACTCAGAAGTAATGACACATTCCCTATAGTTAAGAATATTATAATCTAGTTGCGGAGAAGACTTAAGAAGAAAATAGCACAAAGGGGATATAGAATGGTAAGGAAGGGAAGGGCTGAGTAGGAATTGAGTATTAAATAGTATTTTTTGGAAGAGATGAGGCTTGAACTTGGCAGTGATAGGTAGAAGCAGGATATAACACATCTGGAAATGTGTATAATGTGAACAAAGGCACAGAGGCATGACTATAAGCATGGTGTTTAGAGAAGGACTTTTATTTCGTTAGTTTTTGATACTCTAGTGAAGTAAAAGTATTTGATCTATTTTGTAAGAAATGTTTTGTCTCCAGTAATCTCAGATGGTCCTAGATGGAATCTGAGTAATCGATATTTTGGCAACTACTCTAAGTTTCAACAATCTCTATGCAATGAACTTTTAAAGCAGTGTTAGTTTATTAGCAAGCACCAGCTTTCCTCATAAAAAGGGTCTATTTTAGAGAAATACCTTAATAAGCTTTCAGTTCCCAAGACCTCATAAGACAATAATTTTTTGAGTGTGTGTGTGTGTGCATGTACATGTATGTTTTATAGGAAAGTAGCCAAGGAATTTTTTATATTTGCTGTCATTAGGGAGAATAAGTGATGAGTAAGAGGGAAAGAGGGAAGCAAAAAGAAAGGAAAGTCAGAGAAGATAGAACTTTGGAGTGGGTGAGTTGAAGGGCCACTGAAACTCCACTGGTGGTGGAGTGCAAGTGTTGATATTTTAAGAGAGGAAGCAGGATCCTAGGCGTCTGTGGTAGTCAAGACATTACAATACACAAAAGAATTGCAAGACTGCAGTCAATAGCCATGGAAGAAAGAAGCTTATGACAACTTTACATAGATTTCAAGAATCAGGGAGATCTCAACTGAAATTTGACCTACGTCTAAGTTTCTGTCACTTGAGATTGTGCATCCAGTCCCCAAATTTTTACACGTAACTCCATTTGTGTGTATATGTATTGTGATCGTTTATATTGATTGTCAACTTGATTGGATTGAAGGATGCAAAATATTGTTTCTGGGTGTGTCTGTGAGGGTGTTGACAAAGGAGATTAACATTTGTGTCAGTGCACTGGGAGAGGCAGACCCACCCTTACTCTGGCTAAAGGGTAAGCACCATCTTATCAGCTGCCAGTGCAGCTATAATAAAGGAGGCAGGAGAAGATGGAAGAGAAGACTTACTGAGTCTTCTGGCCTTCATCTTTCTCCCATGCTGGATGCTTCCTGGCTTTAAACATCAGACTCTAAATTCTTCAGCTTTTGCACTCTTGGACTTACACCAGTGGGTTGCCTAGGGCTCTGAGGCCTTTGGCCACAGACTGAAGGCTGCACTGTCGGCTTCCCTAATTTTGAGGTTTTGGGACTGGGACTGATCCACCCCTGGCTTCCTTGCTCCTCAGCTTGCAGACAGCCTATAGCGGGACTTTACCTTGTGATCATGTGAGTCAATTCTCCTTAGTAAATTCTCCTTCATATAGACATATCTCCTATTTGTTCTGTCCCTCTAGAGAACCCAGATTAATACATGTACATATGTGAAAATGTTTGTGTTTCCGGAACTGGCCTTTTGAGGATTAATTCGCCAATTTATTATTCAACTTGCCAGATAACACTTATTGTGTGATGCCTATTTTATAATAATAATTATGCAAGAGTAAAAGTTTCTTTCAGAGGACAGTAAATTATTAATGTATTTCTCAATAGTCCAGTGTATAAATATGCAGATTGTAGTCTGTTGAATTACTTTATTTCATAGTTTTTTCTTTGGTGACAAGCTGCTCTTACTAGGGAAATTTCTTTTCTTTTGAGATAAAAAGAGCAATTTTTTTTCAAGTCAATAGTAAAGAAAGCCTATCCCCTTTCAAAATGTGTTTAATATATTTGCCATTGATATCCTGATGCAATGTATAATATATATTATAGCTGTACTCCTGAGCTTAGGTATTGGCATTAAATAGAAATAGCAAGTGTATTAAGTAATGCTATGGTCAACATCAGATTAGGTGGGCAAAAAGGAATGAAGCAATGAAATATTTTCAGCTATAATACTGACAAGGGCTTGAAGTCAATCTCTTCATATTAGTTAGATACTGTTTTCTTGTTTAATTTTTGCCCCTTGAGCAATTACTGTATATTCCACAGGAGATAAATATCATACACTGAGCTATGTGATGTGTAGCTATGGTGATGTGGCATTTGAGATATAAATTAAAGGTGGAATTAATCACTTGAATCAAGATTGTGTGCTTCTTCCACATTCTTCCTGGTCTTCTTCCCTAATCCACATTTGTTCACTGTTAACAAGATATTCTTTTTATGTCTATGAAAAAGCAGTATGGCCTGATAGATACTGTTTTTCAGAAGTTTCAGAATGGAAATGACAAATTTGGCAAAGGAAAAGATCCAGAATTAACTGACAACATAGAAAAAGAACTGCATGTTTTATTCTCTAACTTCAAATAAGCTATCACAGAAGTGGTCATTTCAATTGCTAGTTGTGTAGAGCAAAGTTTCTCAACTTCATTATGCAAATGAATCACTGAAGTATCTGTTTAAATGCAGATTTCTATTCAGTAGATCAGAAATAGGGCCCGAGATTCTGCATTTTTTATTATACTCTAAGTTCTAGGGTGCATGTGCACAACGTGCAGGTTTGTTACGTATGTATACATGTGCCATGTTGGTGTGCTGCACCCATTAACTTGTCATTTACCTTAGGTATATCTCCTAATCCTTTCCCTCCCCCCTCTCCCCACCCCACGACAGACCCCAGTGTGTGATGTTCCCCTTCCTCTGTCCAAGTGTTCTCATTGTTCAGTTCCCACCTATGAGTGAGAACATGTGGTGTTTGGTTTTTTGTCCTTGTGATAGTTTGCTGAGAATGATGGTTTGCAGCTTCATCCATGTCCCTACAAAGGACATGAACTCATCCTTTTTTATGGCTGCATAGTATTCCATGCATTTTTAACAAGCTCTGGGAGTGCTGATGCTGGTGGTCTGTGGACCACACTTTGAGTAGTTTATAGTAGTGTATGATATCACTTCTTTCTTATTTGTTGAGATTTGTTTTATGGCTCATAATATAATCTATCTTTGTGCATATCCTGTGGGCCCTTGAATAAATTGGGTATTCTGCTGTTGTTTGGTGGAGTGTTCTGTAAATTTCAATTAGATCTTGTGATGATGCTATTCAATTCTTCTATATTAATGGTAATCTTATGTCTAATTGTTCTAGCCAACTGTTGAGAGAGGGTTTTTAAGGTACCAATTATAATTACATAGTTGCCTATTTTTCCTTCCAATTCTATCAGTTTTTGCTTCACATATTTGGACCTCTGTTTTTTTGGTTTGTACTGTGAACCCCAAAAATCTGACACAGGTCTCAGTTAATTTAGAAAGTTTATTTTACCAAGGTTGAGGACATGCCAGTGACACAGCCTCAGGAGGTCCTGATGACATGTACTAAAGGTGGTAGGGACACAGCTTGGTTTTACATATTTTACTGAGACACGAGACATCAATCAATATGTGTAAGATAAACATTGGTTCAGTGTGGAAAGGTGGGACAACTCAAAGTCGGTGAGGGGGCTTCCAGGTCATAGGTAGATAAGAGACAAATAGTTGCATTCTTTTGATCTTCTGGTTAGCCTCTCCAAATGAGGCAATCAGATATGCATTTATCTCAGTGAGCAGAGGGGTGACTTTGCAAAGAACAGGAGGCAGGTTTGCCCTAAGCATTCTCAGCTTGACTTTTCCCCTTAGTTTAGTGATTCTGGGGCCCCAAGATTTATTTTCCTTTCAGAGTAAAAACTTAGGATTGCTATTTCTTGTGGGATTGACCCTTTTATAATTGTACAATGTTACCCTCTATCTCTGGTAATTTTCTTTGTTCTGAAATCTACTTTACATGATGTTAATGTATCCACATTATTTTATTTTGATTAATGTTTGCATTATATAAATTTTTCCATTATTTCACATTAAACTTGACAATGTCATCATATTTGAAGTGAATTTCTTGCAGACAGCATATGCAGTAGTTGGGTCATAATTTTTAAACCCTTATGTTAATCTTTGTGTTTTAATTGGTATATTCAAACCATTAGCATTTAAAGCAATTATTGATCCATTTATTTTTTGTTTTCAATTTTTTTTCCTCTTTTTGGCTTCTTCATTTCCTTTTTCCACCTTCTTGTAAGTTTCTATAACTTGTTTTTTTTACAATTTTATTTTAACTTACTTATCCTGTTTCCACATGAATCATTTTGTGTAATATTTTTAGTGGTTGCTCAAGATAATACATTATGTATACACAACTTTTCAGTCTGTTGGTGTCATAATTTTACCAGTTTAAATGAAGTGTAGAAACTTCATCTCCATTTACTATTCCCCATTTATAATTCAATAGCCTTAAATATTTTCTGTGTATGTATTTAGAGCCACATCATACAGTGTTACAATTTCTTCAACATTTCATCATAATTTAGAAAACTCAAAAGAAAAGTCTATTATATTTACTCATTTCCATTTGGTTCTGTATAAATTCTACTTATTTGATAAAAATTTCTTGTTTTCATTTAAGGTTATTAATAATTGCTTGTTGAAGCACGCTTACAATGCCTGCTTTAATGTCTTTATCAGATAGCTAACCTTTCTGTAACCTCAGCGTTGGGGTTGTGGGAATCAAGGGACAGGAGAGACCAATGGGTGGGACAGGAGGATTTTATTAGGTGGCCACCAGGTCAGCAGATTAACATCCAAAGGCTAAGCCCCAAACAAAGACAGGGCCTGACTTTTATACATGCAACCGAAGGGGGTTGGCCAGTTAGTGGTGCAAAACCTGCAGGGCGGGCAAGCAAGCTTACAGAAGCAGAACAAAGGCAGTTTATCAAACAGTGACAGGTGTTGCAACTCAGGAATGTCTTGTGACCTTCATCATACTGCACAGATGAGAAAACAGGAACTTACAAAATCCTTACAAACTTACAGAAGTAGTTAAAAAATAGTTATGACAGCAGAACAAAGAATAATAGTACGGGGAAAGAATTCAAAAGGGGGAAACTGATAAGAATAACTTGTTTTTCTCATCCCTGCTCCTGGAACCCATTCCTTCTGCCCCCCCGGCTCTGCTAATAGTGCTGTCAAAGCCCTGACAGAGCCCTGCCTTAGAGTGAGACAGCCCAGGATAGAAAACTTGTTTTTCTTCCTTTTTTTATTTTACATCTCCTGCTTCATTAGCATATATTGGTTTTATTTTTTTCATTTGTTTCAAGATTCTACTGATCTTCAGATGCATTATTTTATTTTCAGACATTTACAATTTTGTACTGTGAGACTGTGGGTCTTTTTGAAATATTCTGCTTACCTGGCTTTCACTAACATCTCTCCAACAGAGAAAGGGAGTGTAACAGTGCAGTAAGGGAGTGCTTGTTACACCCTAGTGGGGTTGAAAGTCCTAGTTATCTACTCAGTCTTCTCTGACACGATATGGTGGGAAGGTTGTGGTGATTTGTTACACCCTGGTGAAGGTAATCTTTTTGCTTCCCCACAAGGTGTTTGTTGTCATGGATAATGTTGAGGTCATAGTTTTTTTCCATGGTGTTTAGCTAAAGTAGAGCCATTAGGGCCGAAGAGTTTCTGTTCTTTCTGGGCTGCCTCTATCATAGCCTGTTGACCACAGAGAGAAGGGTTTTATCTTTGCTTTTTGTCTGCACTCATTGACATTTCCAGATTGCTGGCTTCTTCAACTACACATCTGCAATATACATGACAAAACTGAATTGCCATATACAGAAGAATGAAAGTGGACCTATATCTCTCACCATATACAAAAGTAAAGTCAAGATAGATTAAATACTTAAATGTAAGACTTGAGACTATAAAAATATTAGAGGAAAAACCTAAGGAAATCTCTTCTGGGCATTGGTCTAGGCAGATAATTCATGACTGAGACCTCAAAATCACAGGCAACAAAAACCAAAAAAAAAAAAAAACAACACCCAAATGGGACTTAATTAAACTAAAAAGCTTCTTGCACAGCAAAATAAATAATCAGCACAGTGAATAGATAACTTGCAGAATGGGAGGCATCTGACAGGCCACTGATATCCAGAATTAATAAAGAACTCAAACAAGGCAAAAAAATTTCAAATAATCCCATTAAGAAGTACACAAAAGACATGAATGTACATTTTTCAAAAGAAGATATAGTAATGACCAACAGGCATATGAAAAAATGCTCAACATTACTAATCATCAGAGAAATGCCAAATAAAGCCATGATGAAATATGGTGTTATGCCAGTCAGAATGGCTGTTATTTAAAAGACAAAAAAATAACTGATGTTGGTGAGGATGAGGAGAAAATGGCATGCATATGCACCATTGGAGGGAATGTGAATAAGTACAACTTCTATGGAAAACAGTATGGAGACTTCCCAAAGAACTAAAAATATAACTACCATCAGATCCAGCAATCACACTACTAGATATCTTCCCAAAGGAAGATAAATCATTATATCAAAAAGATACATGCACTCATATGTTTATCACAGCATTATTCACAATAGCAAAGATATGGAATCAACTTAAGTGTTCATGAAGAGATGATTGCATAAAGAAAATGTGATAGACAGACACACAAAATTGTACACTATTCAGTCATAGCAGAGAGTAAAATCATGTCTTTTGCATCACCATGGCTGAAACCGGAGGCATTTGTTTTAAGTGAAACAGCTCAGGTACAGAAGACAAATACTGCATCGTTCTCTCTTATAAGTAGGAGCTAAATAATGGGTCCAAATGGACATAGTTTGGAATGACAAACAACAGACTCAGAAGGGTACAGGGATAGGAGGGGTTGCATGATGAGAAATTACCTAATGGATACAGTATACATGATTTGGGTGATGGAGTGATGGATAACCCTAAAAGCCTTAACTTTACTGCTATGCAGTCCATGCATTAAAAGAATTATATTTGTATCCCATAAATATATACAATTAAAATTTTAAAAAAGAAAATCCAAATAACTTACCACTGTGTTCACTGTATTGTTCCATGGGTCCTGAAGTTTCTAGCTGGTTTCTTCTCTTCACTCATGGGTTTTCTTATGTTTGCTAGATAGATATATATGTGTGTGTATATATATATGTTATATATATTATATATGTCTTATGTATGTATTTATATATGTAAGTATCATATATAATTTCTAGGATTGTTGTACTTAGTGCTTGAACTTAGGGAGGACTAGGAGAAAATTATTTTGGAAGTATAAATCCTTATTATCCAATTTTGTAGATGATGAACAGAGACTAAGATAAGGTCAACAACTTCCCCAAGATCATATTGCAAAGTAAGCAGAAGGGCTAGGCTTCTCTCCTTTTAATTTATCTTAATCTATCTTCCTCAAACAATGTTATAAATATCTTATAATGCTTTACTTCCCTCTTAGGTTCTTCAATTTTATCATCAATGAAAAATTTAGAAATAATATGTATTGTCACACTTGCTTTTAGAACTACATGGGCTGCTTTTAAATGTCCAATTAGCCACGGATTGATTATTACTGATTTAGAAAATTATAGTTTAAAAGTCTTGAAAGTTAATTTAATTTGATTTTTTTGCAGTTCAATCAAACATCAGCCTGAGTGCTAGTGTTTTAAACAGTTTTTTAATCATTTTTCCTTAATCATTAATTTTATGCATTGAATATTTTTATTTGCTGTGTTTTCAAAGTAGAGATTATTTAAGTAAGTTCCACTAGTATATTTAAATTATGATTCTATTTATAAACTACACAGAAAACTTTTTTGGAACAGGTACTGCCTAATGGTGAGTTGATAACACAATTTTTCAAGCATGAAAGACAAGTCATTGTGCATTTCTCTTTGTGTGATGTGAAAGCCACTAAGGTGAGTATGATCCTTCATGCCATCATCTGTCATTTTCCAAACCAGTCCCACAAAGGAGTTTTCCTCTACTTCCTTCTCAAAATACAGTTTGGATCCATTAATGTTTTAGATTTATAACCCTTATTTCTTATCCTGCAGAGTAAAGAGCGAACTGTCATGTACCTGCAGAGAAAAGCATTTTGTATAATAAAGTAGAAAGAACTGACCCTCCGTACACTAGTCATTTCCCCATTCTCCATACTAAAGTTCCCTTACCTTTTAAGCAGCTATTTTAAGAACACATCAGACTATAACAACATTACCTAAGTGCTAGTGAAGCTCAAAGTTATAAACAGGCTTAAGTAAAAATTTATGTAAGATCACGGTAACTAGTGTATTATGAAAGGGTTATAATAAGAATGATATATTGAGCCTCTCATCCGTTAAGTGGCCTTATAGGGCCTGGGATAGTCAAAGCCCCTAAACGGGTGACAATCTGGCTATAAGTGTCTACATGTATCATGATGAAATAAAGTTTGGGAAGAACTGATTTAGGTACATTAACAGAGTCTTCATGTATTTATTTATTCATTCAACTTAGTTAATAAGCAAGCTCTGAGGTAAGCAGTCAAATCTTATTTTAATATCTAAGGAGAAACTAGGGCACTTGAAGTAGGATACTAATATTTAAGGTTGTTGCCACATTTTCATAACATATTGCTTAGTACCACTTTTACAGACAAAATAAAACACTAGAGGAGCAATATATAGTATTGGATAAACCTAAGGCTCTGGAGTAAGGCAGAGCTGGGATTAAGTCCTACCTTGGCCATTTACTAGCGGAATAGAGCAGCAGTTAATAATATAGTCCTTGAAATCATCTGTGTGACCTATGATGAGTGATTCAACCTTGTTATGTCTCATCTACTAATCTCTAAAGTGGTACTAATGGTAATAACACACTTCACAGGTCACTTTAAGATTAAAGGAGTAATATGTGGTAAGCAATATGAATAGAACCCGGCACTTAATAAGTGTTCAATAAGTATTGTTAATAAATGAAACTGTGATTTTAATTATTAGCTGGATTAGATAGACTATAAGCTAACTAATTGACCGATTTTATGGTTAGATGAGTAAACCCAGTGATAGTATTCTTTCAAAAAGCATGGTTTTTGTCATTAAGCGAGTGGAGTTGTGTGTTTGTGTTTTGGAAGTGGGTAGTATAGGAGGGAGGTGACAATCACATCCCTTAACTCCTTTAAATTTTAATCAATTACATAGACACAAGGAGCCAGATTGAGATTAAAAAAAAATACCAATTCCATTTACAGAAAGCTGGACTGAATTCTACAATTCAAGATCCTATGCATAAGTAACAAGTATGTATGTTCTTGTTTAGAATTGTTACAACTTCTGTGTGGAACCAAGTTTAATAAATTGGCTTTATATATTTATTACCAAAGTATATTCACCTGGACGTGTTCTGTCATGCCTTATTAAATGTCAGTTCCACTCAAAGGAAACAGTTGCCACCTCAATATGAAAATGATATCCTTGGCTACATCTTGAAATCTTATCTTGAACAGGGCAAGGTAAAGATAAAGGAATAATCAACAACTACCCCCAATACTGTGTCTTATTATTAAGTGTTTGCTCTATTAATCTTGTTAGCTTGTGTTATTATCTGAATCTCCAAGAGTGAGCTTATTCAGTAATGTCTAACTAGTGGATACTTTACTTTAGAGAAATACAACTTTATACCAAGGTCAAGTTGGCCCTCTGTGTGGGCACCTCAAGTCTCCTTAAATTCACTAAGTTGATTAAGCTTTCTCTAGGAAATAGTCGTATCTTTAGATGCTATGTCCCAGAGAGATTCCCTAATAAGAAAGACTGTATTTGGAAGACAATTGAATATAAGAAAGAACACATTTTTATGCACTTGCACCAAATCATAATAACCAGAACCCATGTGTACAAAGGGCCAACTGTATATAGACAAATGCAGAATAATGTAATACTGTATTGGTGGTACACAAATCACATTTAATTTTAGTGTACATAGTAAAAGACAAAAGTATTAAGAATAATTATAAACAAAAAATTATGGATGGATATATACTATAAAAATAAGCAAATTATGAGATGAATAACATAGATTTTGTGGGGGGGAGAAGTAAAAGTGTACAGTTTTATATGCAATTGAAGTTAACTTGCTATCACCCTAAAACAGACTGTTATAAGAAGTTTTATGGAAGCCTCATGGAAACCACAAAGAAGAAAAAAAACTATAGAAGATACACATCAGATAAAGAGAAAGGAATAAAAGTATATCACTACAGAATATCATCAAGTCACAAAGGAAGATGGCAAGAAAGGAACAAAGGTTACAAAGCAGACAGAAAATAACAAAATGCCAATAGTAAGTTCTTACCTATCAATAATTACTTTAAATGAAATGAACTAAACTCACTAATCAAAGACACAGAGTTGCTGGATGAATATATAAAACAAGATTCAACCATATGATGTCTAGAAGAGACTAACTTTAGATATAAAGACATATCCTGAAAATGAAGATATGGAAGATATTCCATGCAAATTATAATTGAAAGAGAGCAGAAGTGGCTACATTTCTATGAGAAACAAATGGCCTTTAGATAAAAAACTGTCACAAAAGACAAGAAAGTCATTACTTAATGATACAAGGGTCAATTCATCAGGAAGATAAAAGCAATTATAAATATATATGTACTCAACATAAGAACACACACATATATATACATATAGCAAAAATTTACAGATCTGAGGATAGAAATAGCAGTATAATAATAGTAGGAGACTTCAATACCTCACTTTCAATAATGGATAGATCATATAGACAGAAAATCAATAAGAAAGCAGCAGATTTGAACAACACTATAGACCAAATGAACCTAACAGACATATAAAAACATTCCACTAAACAACAGCAGAATATACATTCTTCCTAAACACATAGACCTTTCTCTAGGATAAAAATCATATTTGGTCTCAAAACAACACTTAAAATTTTATGACAATTGAAATCATACCCTGTTTTTTTACAATCACAAAGGAATGAAACAAGAAATCAGTAACGAAATAAAAATGAGATAGTTCACAACTACATAGAAATAAACAGCACACTCTTGAACAAGCACTGAGTCAAAGTAGAAATCAAAAGAGAAATTAGAAAATATCATAGGCGGGGCATGGTGGCTCATGCCTGTAGTCCCAGCATTTTGGTAGGCTCAGGCAGGTGACTCGCTTGAGCTCAGGAGTTTCAGACCAGCCTGGGCAACATCTCTCCCCAAAATACAAAAACATTAGCCGGGCATGGTGGCAGGTGACTGTTGTGTCAGCTACTCAGGAGAGTGAGGTGGGAGGATCTCTTGAGCCTGGGAGGCAGAGGTTGCAGTGAGTGGCGATAGCACCACTGCACTCCAGCCTGGGTGACAGAGAGGGACGCTTTCTCAGTAAGAAAAAGAAAAAAGAAAAAAATATATATATCTTTAACTAAATGTAAATGAAAACAAAACATACCTAAACTTATGATATTCAACAAAAGCAGTAATAAGAGAGAAGTTTATAGCAACAAACACCCACGTAAAAAAAGAGAAAAAATCCCAAATAAACAGCCTAAATTTTAACCTTGAGCAACTAGAAAAACAAGTAAAAATTAAGCCCAAAGTCAATAGAAGGAAGAAAATAAGTAAGATTAGCATAGAAATAAATTGAGAATGGAAAAATAATATAAAAAATCAACAAAATAGGGGTTCTTTTCATAAAAAGATAAAGAAAATCAAGGAATCCCTAGCTAGATTAGTAAGAAAAAGAGAGAAAACTCAAATATATAAAACCAGAAATGAAAGTGGAGACATTACAAATGATACCACAGATAAAAAAGATCATAGAGGACTTTTCTGAACAATTATATGCCTACCAATCAAACAACCAATTCTTTAAATTCTTAGATGCATACACATCATGAAGATTGAGCTAAGAATAATGGAAAGCCTGAGCAAACAAATAACAAGGAGATAGAAACAGTAATGAGAATCCTCCCAATAAAGAGAAGTCCAGGAGCAGATAGCTTAACAGGTGAATTCTACCAAATATTTAAAGAAGAATTAATACTAATCCTAAACTCTTCACAAAAATAGAATACATAACACTTCCAAACTCATTTTATGAGGCCAGCATCATCCTGATACCAAACTAAGACAAAAACACCACAACAAAACGAAACAAAAATAGGCTAATAGACCTGATAAGCATGGATGCGAAAATTCTTAACAAAATAGCACAACACATTCAACAGCACATTTAAAGAATCTTACAGTATGACCAAGTGGAATTTATCACTGGGATGCAAGGGTTCTTCAACCTGCAAATTAGTCAGTGTGACATATCACATCAACAGAATGAATGAGAAAATTACACAATCATATTAATAAGTGCAGAAAAAGCATTTGGCAAAATTTAACACTTTTTTTATGAGAAAAACTCTCAGCCAACTAGGTATGCGTGGAACTTAGCACAATACAAATTATTTATAAAAAACCAACAGCTAATATAATACTCATCAGTGAAAAGCTGAAAGCTTTCCCTCTAAGATCTGGATGAAGGAAAAGATGCCCATTCTCATCACTTCTAGTCAATGTAAGACTGGAAATCCTAGCCAGAGCAATTAGAGGAAAAAAGACATAAAAGATAACAAAACAGGAAAAGAAGTAAAATTATTTCTTTATAGATGACATGATCTCATATGTGGAAAACCCTATAGAACCCAAAGGGAGGAGAAAACTGTTCGAATTAATAAATTTGGTAAAGTTTCAGATTACAAAATCAACATAAAAGTCATTTGCATTTCAATACACTAACAACAAAGTTAAAAGAAAATTGAGAAAACAATTCCATTTATTATACAATAGCATTAATAAGAATAATATGCTTAGAAAAATAACTAACCAAGGTGGTGAAAGACTTTTGCACTGAAAACTATAAAACATGAATGAAAGAAGTAAAACATAGCACAAATAAATAGACATACCGTGCTCATAGATTGAAAGAATTGATGCTGTTAAAATGTTCGTATGACTCAGCATATTCAGCAATCCCTCTTCTGGGTATATATCAAAAGAAAATGAAGTCAGCACTTCATATGTGTACACATGTATATAATGTTATATTTTTCAGCCTTAAGAATGAATTCGATCCTACCGTTTGGAACAATGGTCTTGGAGGACATTATACTAAGTGAAATAAGCTAGAGACAGAAATAAAATTGCTACATGATCTAACTTATATTTGGAAACTAAAACAAAGAGTAGAATGGTGGTTACCAGGGATAGGAGATAGAATAGGGAGATGCAGATGAAAGGGTACAAATTTGATATTATGTAGGATGAATAAATCTAGAGATACAATGTGCAACATGAGGACTATAGTTAGTTATATTGTATTGTATCCTGGAAATTTGCTGACAAATTTGCTGTGTTTTTACCACACACAGAAAAAAGTGGTAACTATGTGGGATCATAGATAATTTTATTGACTATATTAATCATTTCACTTTGTATATGTATATCAAACTTACACATTGTATATTTTAAATATATATACACCTATGTATATATAATTTAAAAGGATATATACTACCCAACTAATCTACAGAGTTGATGTAATCACAATCAAATTCCAAACAGCAAATTTACTGATGTAGTAAAACAATTTTATCATTCATATGGAACCACATAAAAGATCCTGAGCAGCCAAAGCATCTTTGAAGAAAGAGGAGAAAACTGGAGACATCGAACTTCCCAATTTTGAAATATCATACACAGCTACAGTAATAAAAAAAGTATGGTGCTAGCATCAAAACAAACATATAGATCAATAATAAAAAATAGAGATATCAGAAATAGGCCTACTCACATGATAAACTAATTTTTGACAAGGGTGCCAGGAATACACAATACAAAAAATGTAATATTGACAATAAATAGTGTTGGGAAAACTAGATATCCAGATGCAAAGGAATGAAATTGGATCCTTATCTTACACCATACACAAAAATCAACTCAAAACGGATTAAATAATTAAATGTAAGACCCATAAATATACAACATGTAGAAGTAAGCATAGGAAAAACTTCTTGTAATTGGCCTTGTCAGTGATTTTTTGGATATGATCTTGTATACGCCAAAGCACAATGAAGAGAAGTAAAAATAAACAAGTGCAGCTACATCAAAATAAAAATCTTCTGCACAGCAAAGAATACGATCAACAAAGTGAAAAGGCAACCTTTGAAATGGGAGAGAACATTTGCAAACCATGTATCTGTTAAGGGGTTAATATCCAAAATACGTAAGAAACTTCTACAAGTTAACAGCAATAAAACAAATAACCTGATTTAAAAATGTACAAAGGATTTGAATAAATATTTCTTTTAGAAGGACATACAAGTGGCTAGCAAGTATATGAAAAGGTCATCAGAATCATCAATTATCAGAGAAATGAAAACCAAAACCACAATGAAATATCACCTTACATCTGTTAGGATGGCTTTTATCTGAAAAATAAAAACATAAAAGATAAGTGTTGGCAAGGATATGAAGGAAAATGAACACTTGTACACAGTAAATGAGGATGTAAACTGGTACAGCCACTATGAAAAACAGTACGGAGGTTCCTCAAAAAATGAGAAATATAACCTCTATATGATTCAGCAATCCCACTTCTGGATAAATATCCAAAGAAACTAATTAGTATGTCAAAGAGACATAGGTACTCCCATGTTCACTGCAGCATTATTCACAATAGTCAAGACATAGAAGCAAGTAAAATATCTATTAACATATGAGTGAATTAAAATGTGTTAAAGTATATAAACCTTTTTAAATATATCCTACAGCTAGATAATAGGACGAAATTCCAGTGTTCTCTAGCACTGTAGGATGACTATAGTTAACAATAATATGTTATAATTCAAATAGCTAGGAAGAAGATATTAAATATTTCCAACAAAAATAAAGTTTGAAATGATGGGTACACTAATTACTCTGATCTGATCACTCTAACTTGTATGTATTGAAAAATTACTATGTACCTCATAAATATGTACAAGTGTTATGTATCAATTTAAAAACAATATATTTTAAAATGTAGTATATACATAAAATGCAATGGTATTTTGTCTTTAAAAAAAGAAAATTCTGGGGCTGGGAGCAGTGGCTCACACCTGGAATCCCAGCACTTTGGGAGGCCGAGGCGGTTGGGTCACCTGAGGTCAGGAGTTCGAGACCAGCCTGACCAACATGGAGAAACCTCTGCTAAAAAAAAAAAAAAAAACAATACAAAATTAGCCGGGCGGGGTGGTGCATGCCTGTAATCCCAGCTACTCGAGAGGCTGAGGCAGGAGAATCGATTGAACCCTGGAGGCAGAGGTTATGGTGAGATCGCGCCATTGCACTCCAGCCTGGGCAACAAGAGCGAAATTCCATCTCAAAAAAATTATAATAATAATAAATAAAAATTCTGCCATTTGCAAAAAGCTCAACCTGAAAGGCATTATGCTAAGTGAAATGAGCCAGACACAAAAGGACAGATATGACATAATACCACATATGCAGTTATTTCTGTTGGGCTATAACCTATTTTATAAGTGTATTAATTTATTAGATTACAATTTGCTTTTTTATGCTTACTATATTTTTTAATCTCCTCTAGTCCTTAATATTGTTTGCTGTGGTCTGCATTATCTCTGTCTTCGTTCCTTTATTACACGTACAAAAGTTTACATATTTTATTGCCTCTTTTTTACAGAAAAAAACCTCTTGAGTTTACTTATGGTGCCACATTTTTCTAGTTTGTAATACAATTAATTTCTCTAATTATTTCATTACTATTCTCTCCTACTCCCCAAAAAGTGATATTACTATTTTCTAATTTATTGATTGAATAAGCACTTTATTTTCAATTTTCTTATTTTATTATAAAGGCATTTAGAATTATTTATTTTTCATTTGTGAGTAGCTATGGGCCAAATATGAGTTTACAAGTTTTGTAGTCATCATTTTCATTTATGTTTTTTATTTATAACTATTTCAAACATGTGGACAGTCACAGAGAGAATATAGTAATAAACACAATGGTTTATAAAATCTTCTTGTTATTCCATATTTATTTCAAATAGATTTTGTTTAAGAACTGTAACCTTAGAGTTCAGCTGAGGTCCCATGCCTACCCTTGCCTAAGTTTAATTTTCATCCATGTCTTTCCTTAATATAAATTTTATGTTTATCTTTCACATGTATGGTATTATACATTTACTATATGCTCAAATAGCTACACACAATATATAATGTTCTTTTATAGGATTTTATAACTTTATATAAATTGTATCATTCTGTAAGTTTTGTTTAGCAACTTTTTTCAGTTTATCTTTATTGATACACATGACTCTAATTTTTTCATTTTAATGGAGATATACTATATTTTCATTAATGTACCACATTACAGTGGAGATATGCTACATTTACATTAGTGTACCACATTTCATTTTAGAAATAAGAACATCAATCAATAAAATTGAAATGAAATGAAAATTTTAGAAATAACATTAATCAAGAACATCATCAATTTTATTGATTAATGTTCTTATTTCTAAAATGAAAATTCTTATTTATACTCCATATACACCTGTACAGTAATTTCTTTAGGGTATATTTCTATATGTGTAATTGAAGATTCCTAAGGTAAAATCATGATGAACTTCATAAAACTTTTACAAATTATTGTGATAACATATACTCTTATGAGAAGTGTATGAAAATTCTCATTTCCTATTTCTTCACATCCCTGTACCAAAGTCATGGTGCAGGGAGTATATTAAAATACTTTGCCAAGCTATGGATGTGAAATGATATTTCATTCTCTTGGATTTTGCATTCTCTTTACTAATAATGAAGTTATCCACTATTTGTATGTTTATAGGCCATACAGCTTCTTCTGTGAATTACCTGTTCATACCTGTTTGCCTATTCTCTCTCTCTCCCTACAACAAACTAACCATCTCCATTGTACTTATTTTATAATCAAAATTTAAAAATGCTGGTGAAACAACCTCATTAAAAAATGGGCAAAGGACATGAACAGACGCTTTTCCAACGAAGACATACATGCAGCCAACAAGAATATGAAAAAATGCTCAATATTACTAATTATTAGAGAACTGCAAATCAAAACCACAAGGAGATACCGTCTCACACCAGTCAGAATTACTATTACTAAAAAGTCAAATAATGACAGATGCTAGCGAGGTTGTGGAGGAAAAAAATGCTTATACACGGCTGGTGGCAATATAAATTATTTCAGCCATTGTGGAAAGCAGTTTGGCAATTTTTCAAAGAACTCAAAGCAGAATTACATTTGATCCAGCAATCTTATTAATGGGTATATATGCAAAGTACTATAAATCATTCTGCCATAAAGACACATGCATGTGTATGTTCATCACCGCTGTATTAACAATAGCAAAGGCATGGAATAAACCTAAATGTCCATCAATGGTAGACTGGATAAAGAAAATGTGGTACATATACTTCATGGAATAGTATACAGCCATGACAAAGAATGAGATCATGTCCTTTGCAGCAACACGGGTGGAGCTAGAGTCCATTATCCTAAGCCAACTAACACAGGAACAGAAAACCAAATACCACACGTTCTTACTTATAAGTGGGAGCTAAACATTGAGTACATATGGACACAAAGCAGAGAACAGCAAACACTGGGGCCTACTTGAGGCTGAAGGGAGGGAAGAGGGTGAGTATTGGAAAACTACCTGTTTGGTACTCTGCTTTCCACCTGGATGATGGAATAATCTGTACATCAAACCCTCGTGACACAAAATTTACCTATATAACAGACCTGCACATGTATCCCTGAACCTAAAATATAAGTTATAGAAGAAAAAAAAAAGTTTATTATGAAAGTTTCAGACAACATAAAAGTTTGTATGGAAAAGCATGAAAAATTCACTCAAGTCTGTACTATACAACTACTCTTGTGTTTAGTGACCTCTAGCTACTCCAAAGTGACTTGGTAGTCCATACCTGATTTCTTCATGTCTACCTCTACGGTGGCTACCTCTTTTTCTGATATTCTGTCAAAAGTGAGACAGTTCATGTATTTCATCTCTCTTTGGTGAGACTTGTCACTTAATTTTTATGGATGGTTTCCTTGTAAACCCAGGTCTCTGAAGGGCTCAAGAAAACTGAGAAATTTAAAGCTTATTTGGCTTTTTATCATTATTATTGGGGAACAATAATCTATCCAGTTTTTTATGCTCTAAATGAAAGCAGAAGTACTAATTGTCATTATTTTGGTTATGCCTTTATTGAGATAGCATTCACATATCTAAAATTCCCATTTAAAATTATGTAGTTAAGTGTGTTTTAATATTTTCACAGATTCATGCAGCCATCACTACCTTCCAATTCCAGAATATTTCTATCACCCCAAAAAGAAGCCCCCTACTCATTACCAGTTAGTCTCTATTGTCTGATAGCCCCATCACACTGGGAGCCACTAATCTGTTGTTTATCTTTATAGATTTGCCTATTCTAGACATTTTACATAAATGGAATTATACAATGTGATGTTTTGTGTTTGACTTCTTTCAGTTAACATGTTTCCAAACATGTTTCCAAGGTTTATCTATTTTGTAGTATGTATCAATACTTCATCCCATTTTATGGCCAAATAATGTTCTATTATATAGATATACTACATTGTGTTTATACATTGATCAGTGGATGAACATTCGTGCTGTTCCCATCTTTTGGCTTTTATAAATCTGCTAAGAATATTTGTTTACAAGTTTTTGTGTGGACATATGTTTCCATTTCTCCTGGATATGTACCTAGGAGTAGAATTGCTAGGTCAAATAATAACTGCCTATTTAACTTGCTTTGAAGATATTCCAGACTGGTTTTTGAGGTAGTTGCCCAACATTTATTTTGAAGGATATTTTTTCATTTTCTAAAGATCTAGGATGACAGCCTTTTTTTATCTTTCAACATTTTAGAGTTGCTCTTCCTTCTTTTGTTTTGTAGTGTACATGTATTTATTTATTTATTTATTTATAATTTCAATATGGGTACAAGTGGTTTTAGATTACATGGATTAATTTTAAAGTGGTATATAGTCTGGGCTTTTAATGTACCCATCATCTGAATATTGTACATTGTACCCAATAGGTGAATTTTTAAATTTCTCACCCACCTTCCTCTCTTCTGAGACTCTAATGTCTCTGAATGCCTTTGCATACTCATAGCTTAACTTCCACTTATAAATGAGAATATGCAGTATTTCATTTCTGTTCCTGCATTACTTCTCTTAAGATAATAGCCTCCAGTTCCACCCAAGATGCTGCAAGAGACAATTTTTTTTTTCAGGCTGAGTAGTATTCCATGGTATGTGTGTATATATATATATATACCATATTTTCTTTATCCATTCTTTGGTTGGTCCACACTTAAATTGATTCCTTATTTTTGCAAGTTGTGAATTTTGCTGTGGTAAACACATGAGTGCAGGTATATTTTTAATATAATGACTTATTTTCTTTTGGGTATATATCCAGTAATGGAATTGCTAGATTGAATGGTAGATATACATTTAGTTCATTGAGAAATCCCCATAATGTTTTCCATAGAGGTTATACTAATTTACATTCCCACCAACAGTGTGTTAAGTATTCCCTTTTCAGTGCATCCACACTAACATCTATTGTTTTTTGACTTTTAAATAACGGCCATTGTGACTGGGGCAAGGTGGTATCCCATTGTGGTTTTAATTTGCAGTTCTTTGATTCTTAGTGATGAAGAGCTTTATATATATACATATATATATATATATACATATATATATATGCCAATTTTATATGTTCTTTCGAGAAATGTCTGTTCATGTCATTTGCTCATTTTTAAATAAAATTAATTATTTTCTTGCTTATTCATTTGAGTTCCTTGTATATACTGAATATTAGTTCTTTGTCGGATGTATAGTTTGCAAATATTTTCTTCCATTTTTTTAGATTGTCTGTTTATTTGCTCGGTTATTTCTTTTGCTGTGCAGAAGCTTTTTTTTTTTTTTTTTTTTTTTTTTTTTTTTTTTTTTTTGAGATGGAGTCTAGCTCTGTCACCCAGGCTGGAGTGCAGTGGCGCAATCTTGGCTCACTGCAACCTCGGCCTCCTGGGTTCAAGTGATTCTCCTGCCTCAGCCTCCTGAGTAGCTGGGATTACAGGCCCACGCCACCATGCCTGGCTAATTTTTGTATTTTTAGTAGAGATGGAATTGCACCATGTGGGTCAGGCTGGTCTCGGACTCCTGACCTCGTGATCCGCCTGCCTCAGCCTCCCAAAGTGCTGGGATTACAGGCATGAGCCACCGTGTCTGGCCTTGTTTGTTTTTTAATACTAACTATCTGAACAGGTATGAGATAATATCTTGTTGTGGTTTTGATTTATATTTCACGATGATTAGTGATGTTGAGCATCTTTTCATATACTTGTTGGCCATTTGTATCTCATCTTTGGGAAAGTGTCCACTCAAATTCTTTGCCCATTTTTTAATAACCATTGTTGTCGTTTTTGTTGTTGAGTTATGAGTTCTTTATATACTCTGATTATTAACCCCTAATCCAATACACTGTTTGCAAATATTTTCTTCCATTCTGCAGGTTGTCTTTTTACTTGATTGTTTCTTTTTCTGCACTGAAGTTTTTAAGTTAGAGTTATTCCCTTATGTATATTTTTGCTTTTGTTACTCTGCTTCTTTTGTCATATTGAAGAAGTCATTGCCCATTCCAATGTCATAAGTCTTTTCCTTATGTTTTTTTTTCTAGTCTTATAGTTTTGGTACTTATACCTAGGTCTTTAATCTATTTTGAGTTAGTTTTTATATAATGTAAGAAAAGGGTCCAATTTCATTCTTTTGTATGTGGATATACTTTTCCCAATGCTATTTGTTAAAGAGACTATCTTTTCCTCATTGTGTGTTCTTGGCATCTTTGTTGTAGATTAGTTGCCCATATATATTGAGTTTATTTCTAAGCTCTCTATTTTGTGGTATTGATTTTTATGTTTGTCTTCATGCTAGTAGCATACTCTTAATTACTGTAGCTTTGTAATATGCTTTGAAATAAGGAAGTGTGAAACCTCCAGCTTTATTCTTCTTTCTCAAGATTGTTTTGGTTATTTTGGATCATTTGAGAATGCATATACATTTTAGGATGATTTTTTTTCTATTTCTGCAAAAGAAAAAAGACCTTTGTGATTTTATACAGATTGCATAAATTTGTAGATTGCTTTAGTTAAGATGAACATTTTAACAGTATTAAGACATCTAATCAATGAATACAGTATGTATTTTTATTTATTGATGTCTTCTTTAAATTATTTTAGCAATGTTTTGTAGTTTATGATGTACAAATCTTTTGCTTCTTTGGTTATGTTTATTCCTAAATACAGGTATTTTCTTCTTTTTGATGCTATTGTAAATGGAATTATTGTTGAATTTCTCCATTTGTATTGTTCATTGTTAGTATAGAGAAGCACAACTGATTTTTCAGCATTGATATTGTATCCTGCGACTTTGCTGAATTTGTTTATTAGCTCTAACAGAGTATTTTGTGAAATACTTAGGGTTTCTGCACATAAGAACATGTCATATGCAAAAACAGATAAATTTGTTTCTCCCTTTCCAATTTGTATTCCTTTTATTTCTCTTTGTTTCATAATTACTCTGGCTGTGAGTTCCAGTATTATGCTGAATGGAAGTGGTGAGATAAAACATCATTGCCTTGTTCCACATCTTGGAGAAAAACTTTTAGTTTTTTACCATTGAGTATAACATTAACTGTAGCCTTTTCGTATATGACTTTTATTATGTTGAGGTGATTTTTTTCTATTCCTAGCTTGATGTGTTTTTCTTTTAACATGACGTGTCAGATTTTTTGAATGCTTTTTCTGCATCAGTTGAGATGATCACATATTTTTCCTTCATTCTGTTAAAGTGGTGTATTACATTGATTGATTTTCATATGTTAAAACATCCTTGTATCTCGGGTAAATCTCATTTGGTCACAATATATAATCCTTTTAATGTGCTGTTGAATTCAATTTGGTAACATTTTGCTGAGGATTTTGGCGTCAATATTCATCAGGGATATTGGTCTGAAATTATTTTTCAATTTTTAAAATTCTGTTTATTTATTTATAATTGGCAAATGATAATTATGTATATTTATGAAGTAAAATATGATGTTTTGATGTATGTATACATTATGGAAAGATCCAATCAAGCTAATTAACATATCCATCACCTCACTAATTTTTCATTTTTTCATGATGAGTTCATTAAAATTCAATTCTAGCCACTTTGAAATATACAATACAGTCCTGTAGTATCTTTGTCTGGCTTTGATATTGGTAATGTTGGTCTCATAAAATGAATTTGAAACTATGCTTTCCACTTAAATATTTTGGAAGAGTTTAAAGGTTTGGCATTAATTTGTTTTTAGAATGTTTTTGTTTCAATAGCTTTAGAGATACAAGGGGTTTTTGGTTTCATGGATGAATGGTACAGTGGTGAAGTCTGGGATTTTAGTGCACCCATCTTTACCTGTGTAGTGTACATTGTACCCAGTAGGTAGTTTTTCATCCGTCACCATCCTCCCTCTCTCCCCACTTCTGAGTCTTCAGTCTCCATTATACCACTCTATGATTTTTCATACCATATCTTAGTTCCCACTTATAAATAAGAACGTGAGGTATTTGGATTTTCATTCCTGAGTCACTCCACTTAGAATAAGGTCTCTGGTTCCATCCAAGTTGCTGAAAAAGACATTATTTTATTCTTTTTTATGGCTGAGTAGTATTTCATAGTGTATGGCGGGCACACAAGTTGATTCTATATCTTTGCAATAGTGAATTGTGCTGTAATAAACATATGCTTCTAGATGTCTTTTTCATATAATGACTTTTTTTTGTGGGCGGGGGGTGGGCGGTAGATAACCAGTAGTGGGATTGCTTGATCAAATGGTAGATCTACTTTTAGTTTTTTGGGAAATCTCCATACTGTTTTCCATAGAGGTTGTACTAATTTACATTCCCACCAGCAGTGTACAAGTATTCCTTCTTCACCATATCCAGGCCAACACCTATTGTTTCTTGACGTTTTAATAATGGCCATTCTGGCTGGGGTGTTGTCTCATTGTACTTTCAATTTGCATTTCTCTGATGATTAGTGATATTGAGCATTTTTTCATATGTTCGTTGGCCGTTTATATGTATTCTTTTGAGAAATGTCTACTCATTTGTAAACTTTTAATAAGATTATTTGTTTTTTTCTTGCTGATTCATTTGAGCTTGTAGACTCAGGATATTAGTCCTTTATCAGATAATAATTGGCAAATATTTTCTCCCTTTCTGTGGGTTGTCTGTTTACTCTAATGAATACTTCTTTTGCTGTGCAGAAGGATTTTAGTTTAATTAGGTCCCATTTACTTATTTTTGCTTTGTTGCATTTGCTTTTGAGGTCTTTGTCATAAATTATTTGCCTAGGACAGTGTCCAGAGGAGTTTTTCCTAGGTTTTCTTCTACAGTTTTTAGGGTTTTAGGTCTTAGATTTAAGTCTTTGATCCATCACGATTTAATTTTTGTATATAATGAGTTTAGGGTTCCAATTTCATTCTTCTACATATGGCTATTGAATTTTCCCAGCATTATTTCAAATAGGGTGTATTCCCCAATTTATGTTTTTGTATGCTTTGTCAAAGATCAGTTGGTTGTAAGCATTTGGCTTTATTCCTGGGTTCTCTATCCTGTTCCATTGGTCCATTAATCTACTTTTACACCAGAACCATGCTCTTTTGGTTACTATCAACTTGTAGTATAATTTGAAGTTGGGTAATTCCTCCAGATTTGAAGTTGGGTAATTCCTCCAGATTTTTTCTTTCTGCTTGGAATTGCTTTGACCATTCGGGCCATTTTATGGTTCCATATGAATTTTGAGAATGTATTTTTCTAATTCTGTGCAAAATTATGTTGGCATTTTGAGGAACTGCACCATACTCATGCAGTATGGTCATTTTCATGACATTGATTCTTCCATTCCATGCACACAGCATGTGTTTCTATTTGTTTGTGTCATCTGTAATTTCTTTCAGCTCCTTTGTTATGGAGAACTACACTTCCTTGGTAATTGCTTTCAGCAGTGTTTTGGAGTTCTCCTTGTGGAGAACTTCACCTCCTTGGTTAAGTATATTCCTAGATATTTTATTCTTTTTTTTTTTTTTAGCTATTGACAAGGGGATTGAGTTATTGATCTGATTTGCAGCTTTGTTTTTGGTGGTGTATAGCACTGCTACTGATTCGTGTACATTGTCTTTGTAACCTGAGACTTTACTGAATTCATTTATAAGACATAAGAGTCTCTTGTAGGAATCTTTAGGGTTTACTAGGTGTAAGACTATATCACTGGCAAACAAAGATAGTTTGACTTCCTCTTTTCCAATTTGGATGCCCTTTACTTCTCTTTCTTGCCTGGTTACTTTGAGTGGGACTTCCAGTACTATATTGAATAAAAGTGGAGGAAGTCAACATAATTGTCTTGCTCCAGTTCTTAGGGGGAATGCTTTTAACTTTCCACCATTTACTATGTTGTTGGCTGCCAGTTTGTCATATATGGCTTTTATAATTTTTTTGTTTGTTTTTTTGAGACAGTGTCTCACTCTGTCATCCAGGCTGGAGTGCAGTGGCGCGATCTCAGCTCACTGCAACCTCTGCCTCCCGAGTTAAAGTAATTCTCCTGCCTCAGCCTCCTGAGTAGCTGGGATTACAGGCCCGTGCCACTACGCCCAGCTAATTTTTGTATTTTTAGTAGAGACGGGATTTCACCATGTTGGTCAGGCTGGTCTCAAACTCCTGACCTCGTAATCCACCTGCCTTGGTCTCCCAAAGTGCTGGGATTACAGGTGTGAGCCACTGTGCCCAGACGGCTTTTATAATTTTGAGATATATTGTTCTATGCCCAGTTTGTTGAGGATTTTTATCATAAAGGGATGCTGGATTGTATTGAATGCTTTTTCTTTGTGTATTGAGATTATCATGTGGTTTTTGTTTTTAATTCTGTTTTGTAATGAATCACATTTATTGACTTTTATATGTTGAAACATCCCTGCATCCATGGAATAAACCCACTTGATCATGGTGAATTATTTTTTGATACGCAGTTGGATTTGGTTTCCTAGTATTTTGTTGAGGATTTTTGCATCTATATTCATCAGGAATATTGGTCTGTAGTTTTCTTTTTTGTTGTTGTTTTTATGTTCTTTCCTGGCTTTCTATCAAGGGGATACTGGCTTCATAGAATGAGTTACAGAGGAGTTTCTCCTTCTGAGTCTTTGGGAATATTTTCAGTAGAATTCGTACCAATTCTTCTTTGAATGTCTGGTAGAATGTGATTGTGAATCCATTTGGCCCTGGGTATTTTTTGTTGGAAGTTTATATATGACGGATTCAATCTTGCTGCTTGTTATCAGTGTGCAGGATTTCTGTTTCTTTCTGATTCAAGTTAGGGGGTTGCATGTTTCCAGAAATTTACCTATTTTCTCTAGATTTTCTAGTTTGTGTGCATAGAGGAATTCATAGTAGTCTGGAATGATCTTTCATATTTCTGTGTGTCTGGTGTAGTGGCACATATTTCTGTGTGTCAGGTGTAATTTCTGTGTGTCAGGTGTAATGTCTCCATTTTCATTTCTAATTGAGTTTATTTGAATCTTCTTTCTACTTTTCTTGGTCAATCTAGCTAGTGGTGTATCAATTTTGTTTATCTATTCAAAGAACTACTTTTTGTTTTATTGATCTTTTGTATGTCTTGTTTGATTTTCATTTAGTTCTGTTCTGACCTCTGTTATTTCTTTTCTTCTGCTGGCTTTGGGTTTGGTTTCTTCTTGTTTAACAAGTTCCTTGAGGTGTAATGTTAGCTTTTCAATTTGTGATCTCTCAGATTTATAGGCACTTGACACTATAAACTTTCCTCTTAGCACTGCTTTTTCCATGTCCCAGAAGTTTTGATACCTTGTGTCACAGCTATTATTCATTTTGAAAATTTTTTCAATTTCTATTTTGATTTCATTGTTAACCCCAAAATCCTTCAGGAGCAGATTGTGTAATTTCCATGCATTTGTATAGTTTTGAGGTTACTTTTGTATTTTATTTCTAGTTTTATTACACTGTGGTTTGAGAAATTACTTCATATAATTTTAATTTTTTAACTTATTGAGACTTGTTTTGTGGCCTATTATATGGCCTATCTTGGAGAATGTTCTATGTGCTGATGAGAAGAATGTCTATCCTGGAGTTTTGGGGCAGAATGTTCTACAAATACCTGTTAGGTACATTTGCTCTAGGGTGATGTTTAAGTCTGGAGTTTCTTTGTTGGTTTTTTTTCTGCCTTGATAATTTGTCAAGTCCTGTTAGTAGAGTGTTGAATTCCCCCACTATTATTGTGTTGCTGTCCATTTCTTTTCTTAAGTCTGGTAGTAATTGCTTTACAAATCTGGGAACTCTGGAACTAGGTGCATATATATTTAAGATTGTTATACATTCTTGTTAAATGTATTCTTTATCATTATATAATGACCTTCGTCTTTTTGTTACTGTTGTTTTAAAGTTTGTCTTATCTAAGAATAGCTATCTGTCCTTGCTTTTGATTTCCATTTGTGTGAAATATCTTTTTCCACCCCTTTACCTTCAGTCTACAAGAATCCTTATGAGTTGGGTGTATCTCCTGAAGATATAAGGTATTCGGTTTGCATTTTTTAATCCATTATTCCAATCTGTATCTTTTAAGTGGAGAATCAACATTGACATTGAGATGTGAAGTACTATTCCAGTCATCACGTTGATTGTTACCTGGTGAGTTTGTTTTATTCATTGTGTTATTGTTTTGTAAGCCCTGTGAATTTTATGCTTTCAGGAGTTTCTATTCTAGTGTGCCTTGACCTTTTATTTCAACATTTAGAACTCCTTTTGTATTTCTTGTAGGGTTGATCTGGTAGTGACAAATTCCCTCAGCATTTGCTTGTCTGAAAAAGATTTTGTTCATCCTTCATTTATGAAGGGTAGTTTTGCTGAAAACAAAATTATTGGCTGATAGTTGTTGCGTTTAAGGAGACTAAAGATAGGACCCTGCTCCCTTCAGGCTTGCAAGGTTTCTGCTGAGAAGTCTGCTGTTACTATGATACATTTTCATTTATAGGTTACTGGATTCCTTTGTCTCACTGCTCTTAGAATTATTTTCCTCACATTGACTTTAGATAACCTAATGACTATATGCCTTGGCAATGCCCTTTATGCAGTGCATCTCCCAAGAGTTGCTTGAGCTTTTTGAATTTGAGTATCTAAATCTCTAGCAAGGCCATGGAAGTTTTCCAAGATTATTTCCTCAAATAGGTTTTCCAAACTTTTTGCTTTCTCTTCTCCTTCAGAAACCACTATAATCCTTGGGTTTGGCTGTTTTACACAAACACATGTTTCTTAGAAACTGTTATTTCCTTTAACTCTTTTTATTTATTTTTATCTGGTTGGGTTCATTTGAAAGCCTTATCTTCAAGCTCTAAAATTATTTCCTCTCCTTGGTCTAATCTATTGTTAAAACTTTCCACTGCATTTTATAGTTCCCTAAATGTGTCTTTCATTTCTATACGTTTTGATTGTTTTTTCTTCAAAATATCTATCTCTAGAAAATGTCTTATTTATATTCTGGATTTAAAAAATTCTTTAGGTTGCTTTTCATGTTTCTATTGTATCTCCCTGAGTAGCTTAATTATCAACATTTTGAATTCTTTATCTGGTATTTCAAAGATTTCATCTTGGTTTGATGAAATAAAATACAGATACAGATACAGAATTAGTGTGATGTTTTTGGGGTGTTTTAGAACCATGCTTTTTCATGTTGCCAGAATTATTATTCTGGTTTATTCTTGCTTGGGTAGACTATTTCTTTTAATAAGTTTTGGATTTATTTTTAATTTACTGTGTTTTGTCATTTTGGTTTTTGTCCTCCTTGAGGATATGACTTAAGTGTTTATAGTTTAATGTCACCTAGCTTCAGCTCTGGGTGCTTTCAGTGGCAAAGATTCTGTATGGGTTCCTTGGTTATAGAGAGTCATTGTGTGATAGCTTTCTCAGATGATAGTTTTAGTAATCACGTGCTGGATGTGTGAGCAGGTTTGCTTTCTCCTATGGGGCCTGTGACCAATGCCTGAGTTACCTGGCAGACTTCTTTGTGGTCCTCTCTAAGGTAGAATCAGAAAAGTCTTCCCTGCATCCCCACTGGAGACTGGGAGTGCACGCGAAGCATGTCCTGAGGTTTCTACTTCTCATATATTTCCTTCAAGGCAGTGGTTTTCCTTCTGGCCCAGGGTGTGTCTGCTTTTTGTTTCTTATGAAGGTGCTTTTTCTGTGTAGATAGTTGTTAATTTGGTGTCTTTGCAGGGAAAACAATAGGTGGAGCTTTCTATTCCACCATTATGCTTCACCCCTAATTGAGTGTCTTTTTTTACACACCCTTTCCTACCTGGAGTTTTTGCATTTTTTTTTTTTAGACACCATATCACTGTAGCATCCAAGCTGGAGTGCAGGGGCATGATCACTGCATTCTTTTTAATCTCTGTCATTCCTATATGCAAAAGAAGTCCTATTAGTTGTTTATAATGACTAATGCAACATACCTCATAATATGTATATTCAACATTTGTATTTCTTCTTTTGTAAGTGACCATGCTTGCAAAAATGATGTCTTTATTTTTTCTTAAGATTAATAATAGTAGGCTTGTTGTTTGACATGTACATTGCATTTTTCCTACTTTGTTAGCTATCTTTCATATATATATGTATATATACATATGTGTGTGTATATATTTGATTGTTTTATTTAAAAAATTATGATTTTAAAAAATCTTTGTGGGTATTTAAGGTGTATATATTTATGGGGTACATTAGATATTTTGATACAGGAATGCAATGTAAAATAATCACATCATAGGGAATGGGATAGCTGTTCCCTCAAGCATTTATCCTTTGAGTTACCACAATCCAATTACATTCTTTATTTTTAAATATATAATTTAGTTATTATTAACTATAGTTACCCTGTTGTGCTATCAAAGACTAGATCTTATTTATTCTTTCTTTCTTTTTTTTTTTTCTATCCATTAACCATGCCCACCTCCCTCCCAGCCCCTACTACCCTTCCCAGCCTCTGGTAACCATAAATCTATTCCCTATGTCCATGAGTTCAATTGTTTTGATTTTTCGATCCCACAAGTAAGTGAGAACATGCAATGTGTGTCTTTCTGTGCCTAGCTTACTTCACTTAATGTAACGATCTCTAGTTCCATCCATGTTGTTGCAAATTATTGGATCTCATTTTTTTTATAGCTGAATAGTACTTTGTTGTCATTATCTCTTGATGGACACTTAGGTAGCTTCCAAATCTTAGCTATTATAAACAGTGCTACAACAAACATAGGAGTGCAGATATCTCTTTGATATACTTATTTCCTTTCTTCTGGGTATATACCCAGCAGTGAGATTGTAGGATCATATGGTAGCTCAATTGTTAGTTTTTTGAGGAACCTCCAAACTGTTCTCTATAGTGGTTGTACTAAGTTACACTCCCACCAAGAGTGTATAAGTGTTCCCTTTTCTCCACATCCTCACCAGCATCCTGTCTTTTGGATATAAGATATTTTAACTGGGGTGAGATAATTTCTCATTGTAGTTTTGATTTCTATTTTTATGATGATCAGGATACTAAACACCTTTTTATATGTCTGTTTGCCATTTGTATGTCTTTTTTTGAGAAATCTCTATTCAACATTTTGCTCATTTTTGATCAGATCATTAGATTTTTTCTTAAAGAGTTGTTTGAGCTACTTATATATTCTGGTTATTAATCCCTTGTTAGATGGGTAATTTGCAAATATTTTCTCTCATTCTGTGTGTTGTCTCTTCACTTTGTTCATTGTTTCCTTTGCGGTGCAGACACTTTTTAACTTGATTTAATTCCATTTGTACATGATTGCTGTGTTTGCCTGTGCTTGTGGGGTATTGCTCAACAAATCTTTGCCCAGATCAATGTCCTGGATATTTTCCCCATTGATTTCTTGTAATAGTTTCATAGCCTGAGGTCTTAGATTTAAGCCTTTATTCCATTTTGATTTGATTTTTGTATATGGTGAGAGATATGAGTGGGGTTTTATTCTTTTGCATATGGCTATCCAGTTTTCCCAGCACCATTTATTGAAGAGATTGTCTTTTCCCCAGTATATGTTCTTGGCACCTTTGTCAAATATGAGCTCACTATAGGTGTTTGAATTTGTTTTGGGGTTCTCTATTTTGTTCCTTTGGTCTATGTGTCTGTTTTTATGCTAGTCCCGTGCTGTTTTGGATACTATAGCTCTGTAGTATAATTTGAAGTCAGGTAATGTGATTTCTTCAATTTTGTTCTTTTTTCCCTAAGATAGCTTTGGCTATTCTGCATCTTTTGTGGTTACATATAAATTATAGGGTTGTTTTTTCTATATCTGTGAAAAATTTCAATGGTGTTTTAATAGGGATTGCATTTAATCTGTAAATTACTTTGGGTAGTATGAACATTTTAACAATATTGATCTTTCCAACCCATGAAGGTAAAATATTTTTCCTATTCCTATTTTTGGTGTCCTCTTCAATTTCCTTCATCAGTACTTTATAGTTTTCATTATAGAGATCTTTCACCTCTTTGGTTAAGTTAATTCCTA
This sequence comes from Homo sapiens, assembly GCF_000001405.40. NCBI lineage: Eukaryota > Metazoa > Chordata > Mammalia > Primates > Hominidae > Homo > Homo sapiens. Next base: position 121,781,650 of record NC_000023.11, read on the forward strand.
ATATTTAATTTCATGTGTGTCTACTGTAAATGGGATTACATTTTTATTTCTTTTTTTGGATTGTTAACTGTTGGCATATAGAAATGCTAGTAATTTTTGTATGTTAATTTTGTATGCTGCAACTTTACTGAATGCATTTATGAGTTCTAGTAGTTTTCTTGTGGAGTCTTTAGGTTTTTCCAAATACAAGATCATATTATCAGCAAATGAGGATAATTTGACTTCTTCCTTTCCAAATCATGTGGTCTTTATATCTTTTTCTTGTCTGATTGCTCTAGCTAGGACTTCCAGTACTATGGTGAATAACAGTGGTGACAGTGGGCATCTTTGTCATGTTCCAGATCTTAGAGGAAAGGGTTGCAGACTTCTGTGTGCATCACCACTATGATTGCACTGGGTCATACCTGAAGCCAGCACAGCACTGTGTCTCACTCAAGGCCTGCTATAACCACTCCCTGGCTATAGCCTACATTTCCTGAAGGCCCTGGAGCTCCATGATTAGCAGGTGGTAAAGCCAGCCATGCCTGTTTCCTTCCCTTCAGGGTGGTGAGGCCCCACAAGCCTGGGCAGGATCAGAAGTGCTATCCAGGAATCAGGGACTAGAGCCAAAAATCTTAGAAGTCTACCAGGTATTCTGTTGTATTGTGACTTAGCTGGCACTCAAACCACAAGACAGAGTTCTTCCCACTCTTGCCTCTCCTTTCCAAAGGCAGGGGAGTCTCACTCATAGCCACTGTAACCTCTGGCCATGAGGAGGACTGCCAGATTATTGCCAATATTTCTTTAAGGCCCAATGGCTCTTAAGTCAGCTTGTGGTGAATGCTGCCTGTAGTGGGACTCACCCTTCAGGGAAATGGGCTCCCCTCTGGCCCACAGCTGGTCCAGAAATGTCATCCAAGAGTCATGTCCTAGAATGAGGGACCTCAAAAACTTGCTTGGCACCATAACCAACACCTATTGGTATTGGTTCCTAAAATGCAAGACAACACCCTTTTTTACTTTTCCCTCTGCTTTTCTAAGCGGAAGAGGTTTTGATTTGTAGTCACCACAGCTGGTAAAGTGCTGAGTCTAATCTGAAGGCAGCATGTCTCAGTGGCTCACCAAGGCCCTTGATGTAATACTTGAGTATTACTGCTGGTTATTTAAGGCCCAAGGGCTCTTCAGTTAATGGGTATTGAAGGCTGGCAGGATTGATTTGTTTTCTTTAAGGAATCAGCTTATCTTCTGGCCCAGGGTGTGTCTAGAAATGTCATCTGGGAGTTAGTGCTGGGAACGTGGGCCTGGTAACTCTGACCAGTGCTCTTTATTTCTGTGGCTGAGCTGGTATCCAAGATGCAAGACAAAGTCCTCCCCACTCTTCCCTCTCCTCTCCTCAAGCAGAAGGAAGTAATCTCTTTTGGAGCCACGAGCTGTACAGCCTGAAAGTAGGGAAGTGGTGATGCCAGCCCTCTCTTGGCTGCCTCATCTGGTGCCTCAGTATGTCACATGTTCCCCCAGTCCACTGTCTAGGCTTAGTTCAACATTAGGAGTTGCCTAAGAGTTGCAGTCCTTATGGCCTACACTGTCCTTCAAGTTTACTTAGAGGCCAAGAGCACTTTGACTCTCGGTGGAGAGGTTTGCAGGCATTCAGATTCTGACCGCTGGTATCAGCAATTCCCCTCTGGCTATGACTGGTTTAAATGCTCCCTTTCTGGGAGGGCATCAGCTGAATTTGGTCTGGTTTTCCTTTCTGCTCTAATGGAACAGTACTGAGTTCAGTGCCTCACAATTACTGTGCTCTCCCTCCACCATCACCCAGAGATATTCTCTGCTTCATGCTACTGCTGCCAGGAGGTGGGGGAGGGATGGCGTTGGTGATTCAGTACTGGCTTTTCTACTTCTTTAGTGCCTCTGTCAGCGATACGAAGTTAAACCAGGTACTGTGAGTGCTCATCTGATTTTTAGTTATTATGAAGGCGTTTTTTTCTGTGTAGAGAGTGGTTTACTTGGTGTACTTGTGGGCATGGGGAACGAACGGTTGAGCTTTCTATTCACCCATGTTGCTCCACTTCTCCTGATTGTATTTTTCCTACATATTCTTAACATTTCTTTTTAGTCCAATTTATCAAACATTACCAGTTATTTCTGATTTTAATATTTTTCATATTTACAAATGACTCAAATCATATCAGTAAGAAAGATCACCTAATTTTTTTCTAGTGTGTTTATGTTTTATTTTGTACTGAAATCTTTGAATGATCTGGAGGTTGTTTTCATAGTAAGGATAGAAGCATTTCCTGTTTGTTGCTACATGACTGCTTTTCCCCCTCAATACCATTTATTGCATACATTTATTTTTCTTTGTTGATTTGAAATTCTACAATTAGCATACATAAACGTTTGGTGTATCCTTAATTTTATTTCAAAAGCCTATACTGTTCTATTGATGTGTCTGTTCTCGTACCAGTAACAGTTTGTTTCAAGTAATGTCACTAAATAATACATTTTGATATCTGTCAGGACCAGTAGTTTTCTACTTTTCTCATTTGTTATCTGTTTTTTTAAGAATAGGTAGGGATGTTCTTTCACTTACAGTAATAAAAAGTCACATTTTCCTAGTAGACATTATAAATTATAAAATATTATAGAAGGGTAAATATGAACTTTAAACCCACTTTGTTAAATTTCAAGTTGTAATCCATAGAAATTTCAATAGAGAAATACAGGAAAATGGAATTTACTATATGAACACCTCCATCCAAAAGTAAATATTGCCTTTGATTTTTTCAAGCTTTTAACTTCAAAAAATATGGTTTTATTACTTTTAAATAGAAACTATGTTTTTATGGGTTTTTGTGTTTTATCTCATTAGCTTTTTGCTGCTCCTGTGGGTTATTATCATTTGTTGCCATGATATTTTTCATTTAGTTACTGTCAACTTATAGGAAAGCTGTTAATTTTGTAATTATTTTTCTTACAGCTAACCATATAGAATTTTATTTTCTCTAATAGATTTACATTTCAATATATTGGGTTTTTCAGGTAAATAATACTATATTGTGCAATTATTACAACCTTGCTACTTTATTTTAAAAATGTAACTTCTATTTTGTTCTATCTTTAGAAGTACTAAAAATGCAAATGCTAGTAATTAAGAGAAGGGAATGTTATCTTGCTTATGATTTTAATGGGTAGTGAGGTGAGGAAAGGGACAATTGGTGTACTGCACTCAATCTACCATCTTACTAGTGCATTGATCCAACTATTGTCAACTATTAATTCAGCTTTTCTTCCAAATGTTTTATATTAAAAGTAAATTTCTGGAGCCGATTCTTTGATATGCTTTCAGATGATCAAGGTCACATCATACATTTGAGGGCACACATTTCTGGTCTGCTAGGATATATTATCAAAAGGAAGAAATGGATATTTGGGATAAAAGTCTAAAAGTTTAACATATAAGACATATAACATGTAAGACATCCAAAAGTCTTCTATGTTGGATATGAAACTATTAAAAATAAACAAAACTGACAATAGCGAGTAATGGCAAGTATCTAACGGTACTGAAACCCTCCTACATTTCTGGTAGGAATACAAAATGGTAGGGCAGCCACTCTAGAAATGAGTTTGGCACTTTGTTATAAAATTAAACATACCCTTTCAATATGACACGGCAATCTGACTCCTGGGTATTTTCCCTAGAGAAATGAAAATTTATATTCACACAAATAACTGTACATAAGTGTTTATAGCAGCTTTACTCAAAATAGTGGCAAACTGGAAACAACTCAAATGTGTCTCAAGTGGGAGATAGTAAAACTGGCACAACCATACAATGGAATACTACTCAGTAATAAAAGTAATTGAACTCCTGATACCCATAACAACATGCATAGATCTCAAATACGTATGCTAAGGGCAATAAGCCACATTCAAAAGTTTACATATGATTACATAAGATTCCATTTACGTGTCACTCTGGAAAAAACAAAACTACAGGGATCAAGAACAGTGTGTTGCCAGGAGTTGGGGTAGGGGTAAATCTTTACTATAAAAGTACAGCACAAAAGTGAATTTTTCTATATGCAAATTTAACAATAAATTTTAAAAATCCTGTAAGCTAATACTTGCTTCTCTATTTGGTAATTTACCTGCTAGGAGCAGAGGCCAACTTAAACACATCTGTGAGAAAAGTCTGAATTGGAAATTTTCTGCTTAATGCATAAGGCATATGAAACTTTAACATTTTCGTTTCATCCAGACATTTTTCATAAAAATTATTAAGGTTTTAAAATGATATAAAAGATTTAATGAGAGATAAAACAAAGTGTAACTGGCCTGTAAGTGTGAGAAATTGAGAACATGTCCTATATTGGGCTGAAATTTAGGTATCAGCTTACATTAGATATAAGGTTTATTTTTCATTAATTAGATTTAAAGTTCTGCAAATTCCTATGTTACAATTTACACCGCTATTCAAATAATAATAGTAATACCTATAGAATAATCATCGACTTCTTTTGAATCGTTCCTTTGTGTCATTTTTAGCATGATAACATTTTAAACTATTGACATTAGAGCACAGTTTAGTTTCTTCCCTCTTAATCTTCTCATTCAAAGGAAATTAAAAGATGTTTGCCATACACTTCTTATAAGTTTTGGAGACAGCCCAGTCGAATGTCTTGGACCACTCTACATTATCTCATTTGGGATGCTCTCATTTTCCTTGGTATATTCTGTAACCAGAAAAATATGTCGTGTTTCCATCCAGATAATCAATCCCCTTCTAGCAGGCAACCTGAAATTCCAACATTGTACAGTCTCCTGAAGCAATAATGCATACATCTTGCTCAGTCTTTCCAGAAAACAGATATTCTACCTGGAATTGTCAGGAAATAAATGTGTTACAATAGCTGTAACAAAAAAGTAATCATTTCAACCTCCTTCCTTTAGAAAGAACTATTCTTTTAACAACCGAAATCAGAAATTTATAAAGGAATAATCTTTACTGGTTGCTGTCAAGAGTCATAGTAGAGCATATAAGTATAGTAGCATTCTCTTTTGGAAAACAGAGAAATTCTTCCTGAAAGCAGGTTACATGTTTTTACACTTCTATACAAAGTATAAATTCAGGAGGAAAAATAAGTAAATATGCTACCACTCGGCTGATATGGTAGAGATAGTCTCATCAAGTTATTAGAATTTAGATTTTCTCTTAGGAAATTTTATGTTTGTTATGCATATGATTTTTAGACTTATCTTTATGTTATAGCTCATATGCAGATAAATGTATGACTAGTGGGGATCTTACATTTTTCTCTTTGAATTGTGGTGATAGAGCATATTTTGGAATAAACAAAACCAGATGTAGTAGTAAAGTTTATAGTCAAAAAGGGCATTCATTGCTGAAACTCTAGAAAGGTGCTGTGGAAGCAGGGGATCAAAATAATATAGAGATATAAAATGGAGAAGACTAAGGGCAGGGAGTTAGGATACAAAACAGAAGACATCTCCTCTTCACAGCCAAGTATCTTTAAAATTTTTCTTACTGTCTCTTCCACACTTATTCTTTCTTCATTGGATTGCAATATGACTTCCACCCTTACCCATCTAATAAAATTGTTCTTGCTAAGATCACCATTAATCTCTAATAGACACATCAGAGTCCTTATTTTACTTTATAGCTCTGTGGCATTTAACATAGTTGATACTGTCTTTGCGCTTGCAACTTCTAATTTTTGCACTAATTCAACAACTATTTAAAAAGCACATACTATGTGATATACCCAGTTCAGAGTCTAGGGGTATGGTATAGTAGGGCCCCAAACAAGCAATAATATCTGCCTTTACAAAGCTTTATGTTCTAGGGAAAATACAAATACAAACAAGACATACAAGTAAAACATTAGTATTTTAAATAGTTTAAGTACTAAGAAGAAAAAAAAATGAAGCAAGGAAGAGAAAATAATTGATAAGGATTGTAATTTGAAATAGGATGTTCAAGGAAGCCCTCACTTAGCTTTGAGCAAAAAACTCAAAGAAGGAAATAGTTTGGGTTTGAGCAATGTGACTATCTGGGACAAGAGCATTCCAAGCTGAGGGAAAGGCTCGGCTAAAGACTCGAGGAAGGAAAGGTGCCTGTTGTGTTCAAGGAACAGTAAGGAGGCCAGCATGATTGAAACAGAGAGGAAGGATGAGTAGTAGGAAATGAAGTAGGATATATAACAATGCTAGGGGAAAGGCGAATAGATAATGGGTGAAATGAGAAGCCATTTTAAGATTTTGAGCAGAAAGGACAAGCTTTGACTTACTTTTTACTCTTAGCAGGAGGGACAAGCTTTGACTCATGTACTTTGACTACTATGTTGATAATTAACTGAAGGAAGATAAAGGTATAAGCAGAATGACCAGTCAGGATGATATTGCATTAATCCAGACAAGACATGATGGTAGATCAAAGAAGGGTAGAAGTTGTATAAGTAATTAGAAGTTATTAGGTTCTGCTTATATGATATTTTGAGGTCATAGCCACAAAGTTTCACCCCTGAAACTAGAAATAATATAACATAAAATACTGATATACAGTTTTTACAAAATATGAAGAAATGGGCAGTATCAAGTAAACTGCTGGGAGTGTGAATTGCTATAATCTTTTGGTAAAGTGATTTTTAGCACATTAATATTAAAATAAACATTTTCTTTCTTCCCTTCCCTTCCCTTCTCTCCCCTCCCCTCCCCCCCTCCCTCCCTCCCTTCTTTCTTTCTTTCTTTCTTTCTTTCCTTCTTTCTCCTTCTCTTCTCTTCTCTTCTCTTCTCTTCTCTTCTCTTCTCTTCTCTTCTCTTCTCTTCTCTTCTCTTCTCTTCTCTTTTCTGAGATAGAGTCTCCCTCTGTCTCCCAGGCTGGAGTGCAGTGGTGCGATAGCCCACTGCAACCTCCACCTTCTGGGTTCAAGCAATTCTCGTGCCTCAGCTTCCAGAATAACTGGGATTACAGGTGTGTGCCACCACGCCCAGCTAATTTTTGTTTTTTTTTTTTTTTTTATAGAGGTGGGATTTCACCATGTTGACCAGGCTGGTCTCGAACTCCTGGCCTCAAGAGATCTGCCCTCCTCAGCCTCCCAGATTACTGGGATTACAGGCGTGAGTGACCATGCCTAGCCTAAGATACACATTTTTGATTCAGCATTTCCACTGTTAGCAATCTATCTTTCCTAAATGAAGTGTAGGTAAGATGTATACCACAACACTATTTTGAAATGAAAACAAGTGAATATTTTCCTTTTGTAAGGGAATGGGCAACAAATTATGGTATAGTTATGCATAATTTTAAAGAGAAATCATTATAACTATGTCTAATAACCCAGGAAGGTTTGTTCCCAAAACAATAGTTATGTGGAAAAAATTGTTGAAGAGCAATGAATACAAGATTTTGTATCCACATGAAGTGTGGAGAACCTAAAAATTGGCATTTTGGCATTTTGATGTATGTATATAATATGATAGAGACAGGCATCGAAGTGGTGATGATCACCATTGGAGTAGGGGTTGTTTGCTTGCTTAAACGAATCAACTAAAATGTTAACTTGTATGATGATAAAGATATGGGAGTGGGGAGAATACACATCACACTCATTGCTAAACAGGGTGATTGCTTCTTCTACTTTGTGACATTCAAGAACCAGTACAGTGTAGCTATTAAGAACACATGGTCTGTACTATGTATATGTATATGTACTATGTATGTATATGGTTTGAATCCTGGCTCCACTATTTACAGGGGTGTGATCTCAGTCAACTTTAGTACATCACTGAGAACTGCAGTTCCCTCGTCAGCAAAGCCAGGATAATTATACCTGCTGAATAAGGTGGTTGGAAAGGTTATATGAATTATAATAAGTTTAATGCTTAGAATATTCTCTGGTACAAAGTAACCATTCATATTAATGGCTACTGCAGAATAACAGGATTTATATGGATATCTCACTTACTGGAACATGATATTTTAAAAGAAGCATATATGTAGAGATCCAGTTTATGTGTTGTGAATGGAAAATATCTGGGGCCCCTTCAACCTGGGAGCCCCTCAGGCAAATCTGCCTCTCATTCAAAGTCATCCCTCTGCTCACAGAGATGGATGCATATTCTGATTGCCTGCTTTGGAAAGACTTATCAGAAACTCAAAAGAATGCAACCATCTGTCTCTCATCTACCTGTGACCTGGAAGCCCCCAGTGGGGGAGGGGGAGCTTACTTTGAGTTGTCTCCACCTTTCTGGACGGAACTAATATACTTCTTACATATATTGATTGATGTCTCATGTCTCCCTAAAATGCATAAAACCAAGCTGTGCCCTGACCACCTTGTGCACATGTCATCAGGACTTACTGAGGCTGCATCCTCAACCTTGGCAAAATAAACTTCCTAAATTAACTGAGACCTGTCTCAGATTTTCGGGGTTCACAGTATGTCATATTAATCAATAATTTACCATAAGAATAGGATCGTGGCAGCTTATTTTATTATTTTTTATAATTTAGAAAATTAATATTTATTATTCAGAGAAAAAGCAAAAACGTATTACAAATAATATATGCCTGCTATCGGGGTAAATAAAGACAAATGACCTCCAACTTACCATACAAACATATCTAAGGCCAAGTCCAAGATCTTAGCCAAATTCATTTCCACATTTCTTCAGCTATAACTAGAATGACTATGTAATTGATTATCCAAGCAAGGGCACTTTTTAGAGAGAAATAGTGCTTTGCAATTACACCTAGACAACAGATATTAATAGGGGCTTTAAATAAATTGGAACACATGGTCAGCCTGGCCCCAATATAATCTGCTTTGACATACCTGCATTCACTTACTATAGCCCACTATATCTATGCTTGCCTCAGATTCACAATGGCCACTAAGGACACCCTGATTGAGACCACCATCACTCCTCATTTGGATTATTCCAATAGCTTTCTAAAAGACCTCCCTTCTTCTATCCTTGCTTCCATTCACTCATCACAGTAGCCAGAGTCATATCATTTTTCTGCTGAGCTTTCTCCAGTGACTTTCTATATCACTCAAAGTAAAACACAGAGACCTTGCAAAGGTTCTTACATGGCCTGCCTCTGATTGTTCCCTACCTCCAACTTGGGTCCCATTGCCTCACAACCTTATTTCCTACTATTTCTTCATCACTCATTTGGCTACCAAATACAGGTCCCTTTTCTATTCTTCAAACATGACAGACGTGCTCCTACCTCAGGTACTTTGCACTTTCTGTTTCCTCTGCTTGAAGTGCTCTTTCTGCTAATATCTATGGAGCTTGCCCCCTCATATATTTCAGTATTTTTCTCAAATGTCTTCTTCCTCCTTATGAAGCCTACATGACCACTTTATTTTAAATTGCAAATCAATTGCTCCTCTGATACTCCTCATCCCCTTTTTCTGTTTAATTTTATTTCTTTATGTTCTCTTGCAATTCACTAGAATGTAAGCCCCTATTAAGTTGATAATTTTTGTGTTTTGTATTCACTGTTATATGCCTAGTATCTAGAGAAGTGCCTTCCATGTAGTGAGTGCTTAGTACATATTTGTTGATTGACAAACTTCACCTGCTTCCTCAATTTTGTAAAGCACACACTTGTGCTTTACAGAAACTAAACTGTGTTCTTTTGGGGCCATGCCTAATGACATAATTTCTATGTACATATTGCCTGTCCATTTTGAAAAAGCTCATGAGCCTAGTAAGATCCGAGAGCTATGTGGTATACCTATTTGCCTATTTGAAAAAGAAAAAGAAACAATGGTAAGTATTTAGAAGCTTCATCTCTCACATGCTTTTAAATAGGTGAGGTAAAAAATGGGAGTCTGTTATCTGCACTGGTGCAGATCTTTATTTTATAGCCACTAATTCCTCAGAGGAGTAATGAAGGATGACAGCACGAGAAGAGGGATCTCCAGACTCATTTTTGTGTGAGGCTTTGCCAAGAACAACATTTATCAGGGCAGTGCATACACCACGTAAGGGTGGGGTGGGAGGGCTGGGCAATGTGTGATTTGTTGCCACCACCAAATTAACTCTGCTCAATTGTGTTGTCTTTCCAATTTTACATCCTTGATTACACATTCATAAAACTGTCTCTTCTTTTAAGCATAAATACAACTGTTTTGAAAATATAATATAATTGTGCATGTTTATCAAGCACCTAATTTGTTTTACTTGCCAGTTACTAATTACATATGAAATATAAAGGAATTGCATGCCGTATATTCTTTGTAACTACTGCAGGAAACATTTTTGGTAGATTCCAATCAACATTGAAGTTTCAGGAAGTAATAGCCTGGTGTTGAACAATCCTGATAAACTCTTATCAGCTTGAACATCCAGGAATATGCAATTAATAGTTTTAATTGCTCTTTATATTCATCTGCAAAATATGGCACAGCAAGAACATATCCCATGTCTATTGTCGTCTGAGTTTTCATGCTAGAAACAAGTATTTTAGCCTAACTAGCTCTAGGTTCGTTAACTTTATCTATTGAGAGACTAAACTTCTTATGTCAGTATTCAAGTTCATCATTTGATACCTAGATTTACGTTTCCCAGGGTTATCCTCACAGTTTACCACAAACTCTGTGGCTTAAAAGAACAGAAATTCATCCTCTCACCATTCTGGGGGCCAAAGTCCAAAATCAAGGTGTCAGTGGGGCCACATTTCCTCAAGAGGCTCTGGAAGAAAATCTTTCCTTGCCTCTTGCAAAATCTGGTGACTGCCCAACATTCTTTGAAACTATTTGGGTTGTTCTCACTTCACCCCAATCTCTGCCTCTTTCTTCACATCACCTTTTCCTCTGTGGGTGAGTCCAGACTCTCAAAACTTCCTCTACTGATTTCTTGTAAGGATACATGCCATTGCATACACATATGCCAGATAATCCAGGATAAATTCCTCTCATGTCATTTGCCATATAAGGTCATATTTACCATTTTGGCATATAAAGTAATACTTACAAGATTCTAGGAATTAGGAAATGAATATATCTTTGAGCAATATTTTGTTCAGCCTACCACACTAAAGTAGGGCCTGACACATAATAGAAATGTGATAAATCTACTGACTTACAGGACTTGAGCAAGTTCTCTCTCACTCTCCTTCCCCCCTCCCATCTTTACTAAAAGAGGGTTGAATGGGATAATTCATCCGACTTGAAATAACGAAAGAACAATGATAAAGAAAGAAAAACACATGACATACCGATTAGGCCGTGTACAGGCTTGAGTTTGTTGTGTTTCATTCCACATCTCAGTCACTCATTACAAGAGACACGTACATATCTTTGCATTTCTGAGTTGGCTTACTGTAGCTTACTGTCAGTGCTTTAAAGGCAGTAGAATACAATTTGATAGACTTAATTTGCTAATTGTTTAAGAAACGCAAATGTTGTCATTGCAAGTACATATGTGAAGTGGAGGAAATATCTGTAACAGAATACTTGCAATATATATGTTACTAGTACAGAGCCCAACACTTCTAACCATGAAGAACAAGATTTTAATAGTTTTCTTCAAATATTATGAAAAAAAACACTGTAAGGAATGTAGACTATCACACCACAGAAAACACTTTTGGTAGCTAAAATCCTAATCAAGTGTAAATAGTTTGCAATAATTATTATTTCAGCACTTATACTTGTAATAATTAAAAGGAAACATATCACTTTAAAATGCATTTGATGAAATCTAAATGCCATCAAAATTTGATACCTGTTGTCATCTATTTTTAAAAATATGAGAATTCTTCTTTCAGAATTTCTTTATAGGAAATTCCTCCTTGAACTCATGTTTTCATTCAACTACGCTGAAGATTTTTGTCCTAATTTAATACGTTTGCATTAAAATCTTTTATTGGTGACCTCCTCACTGCTCTCTGAAAAAAATAAGTATTTATTTTATTTATTTTTTATTTTTATTTTTATTATTATTTTTTGAGACGGAGTTTCATTCGTGTTGCCAAGGCTGGAGTGCAGTGGCACAATCTCGGCTCACTGCAAACTCCGCCTCCTGGGATTAAGCAATTCTCCTGCCTCAGCCTCTGGAGTAGCTGGGATTACAGGCGTGCGCCACCACGCCCGGCTAATTTTTGTATTTTTAATAAAGATGGGGTTTCACCATGTTGGTCAGGCTGGTGTCGACCTCCTGACCTCAGGTGATCCACGTGCCTCGGCCTCCCAAAGTGCTGGGATTACAGGCGTGAACCACTGCGCCCAGCCAAAAAATATATATATATATAAGTATTTAAATAACAACATTTAAAAACTCCTATGACCATAAGATCCTAAGTGTTTAACCTTTTTCGAGTGTTATCATTACAATTATAATTATTATACAATTGCTCAAATAACTTAAATATATTAAACATTTAGTAAATGTTACTAAACAAGCCAAATAAGATTTTTTGAAAATGCTTCCACAAATGAGATAGTAGGTATTTTACTTTCAATTCATGTGTTTGTGAATGTTTAATATTTATTATTAGAAAGAAAGAGGGTTTAATGGAAATTAACAGCAAGAAGGAGAGGGTATTGGGACACTAGTAAGCATGGCCTTTGAAAAGATCTAATATGGATTCTATTTAAGTATGCTTCATTTACAGAGGATTCACAATAAAATTCTGTTAATTTTAATCTAACAAGTACATGACAGGAATGAATAAATGAGCAGATAAGTCATTGAGGAAAGAGCAAGCAGGAGACTCATGCCCAAGTTTCAAAAATAAATAAAGATTTACAGTATTCAAAAATCTTTCACCAAAACGTAGTTTCTTATGAGTCTTAAGTCTTTAAAATATAAAATGCTACATTTCCAGACATATCCTTCACTAAAGATGTGTTTTTTTTGTCACAAGTAAATGTGGAAGTTTTTTCCTCCTTGAAATCATGCAATATTTTCAAGTGAGACACAATCCAAAACAGGCGATTATGGGAGCAATTGCCAAGATCTTTCTTGTTAATAAGAATGGTGGCTGGGCGCGGTGGCTCACGCCTGTATTCCTAGCACTTTGGGAGGCTAAGCTGGGCGGATCACCTGAGGTCAAGAGTTCGAGACCAGCATGGCCAACATGATGAAACCCCGAGTCTACTAAAAATACAAAAATTAGCTGGGTATGGTGATGCGCGCCTGTAATCTCAGCTACTTGGGAGGCTGAGGCAGGAGAGTCACTTGAACCCGGGAGGTGGAGGTTGCAGTGAGCCAGGATCTCGCCACTGCATTCCAGCCTGGGTGACAGAGAGAGATACTCCTTCTCAAAAAAAAAAAAAAAAGAAAAGAAGAAAGAAAAAAAAAGAATGGTGAATGAATGAAATCTTAAAAGAGCATGCTTTATGGCAGGTCTGTATTATCCATGATGCCTTTACAGTTCTTAAATATTTTAATTATAAAATAGATTACTAAGACACAAAGCTTTGCAAATGTTTGTAACTTGGATATAAAAATACTACCACCTTTTATAATTGCTTTCAATTTTTACTTTTCATTATTTTGGGTATATAATAGTTGTGAATATTTATGTTGCACATGCAATTTTTACAGTATGGGAAAATGTGTAATGATGAAATCAAGGTAATTATGGTATACATCATCTTAAGCATTTATCATTTTTTGTTTAGGAACATTCCAATTCCACCCTTTCAGTTACTGTAAAATATAAAATAAACTATTGTTAACTATAGTCAACCTATTGTGCTACCAGACACTAGATCTTATTCATTCTACCTAACTGTAGAATGCATTACCCATTAACCATCCACATTTAGCCCCCCACTTCTTGCTATGAATCCCAGATTCTGGCTGGTAACCATCATTCTACTCTTTATATCCATGAGTTTGATTTTATTTTTAGGTCCTCAATAAAACTGAAAACGTGATGTTTCTGTTACTGTGCTTGGAGTATTTCATTTACCGTAATGTCCTCCAGTTTTATCTGTGTTTTTGCAAATGACAGGATTTCATTCTTTATTATGGCTCAGTAGTATTTCATTGTGTGTATATACTATATTTTCTTTACCCATTAATTCACTGATGGACATGTAGGTTGATTTCTTATCTTGGATACTGTGAATTTTGCTCCAACGAACATGGGAATGAAGACATTTCTTTAATAAATTGATATAATTTATTTGAGATATATACCCAGCAGTGGGATTTCTGGATTGTATCGTAGTTCTATTTTTAATTGTTTGAAGAACTTCCATAGTGGCTATACTAATTTACATTCCCACCAACAGTGTACAAGGGTCCCCCTTTCTCTGCATCCTCACCAGCATTTGTTATTGCCTGTGTTTTGGATAAAAGCCATTTTAACTGGGGTGAGATTATATCTCATTGCAGGTTTTATTTGTATTTATTTAATGATTAGTGATGTTGAGCAGTTTTAAATAGACTTGTTGGCTATTTATTTGTCTTCTTTCGAGAAATGTGTTTTCAAATCTTTTGCTTTTTTTTTTAATATGCAGGGATTTTATTAGGGAAATGCCTTTGAAAGAAAATAGCAAGGGAGCTAGAGAAGGTTGGAAGAGACATCAGATCATAGTGCAAGTCTGACCCCGGGTGAAAGAGACGGGACAGAGTTTGGGTGGAAGTGCCCTAGACTGTCATGCTGTGTAAGGAAGGTTTACAAGGCCATCAGGGAGTTCTTGAGCCAAAGTTGGCTGTTAGAGGAGTCTCACATCTCCCAGGAAAGGGCTTGTCTTGGTATTCTTGCTGTTCTCAGACATTAGTTGGATGCAGTTCATGGTAAGCGTGGCCTCCGTGCAAATGCAATAACAGATTTTCAGGAACCTCTTGGGATTTTGGTCAATTCCCCTGGAGGTCTATCAGGTGCATTTTCTTGGTCACCACAAATGGGATCAGCACAATAACTGGAATAGAGCAAGTCTCCATTTTGCTAGTTACTAATTATTTACTTACATACTACTACATTTAGGGTGTTGCTGATTTGTAGTTTCATAAATAGTGCTGCTTTGAGCATTGACATAATTGTTTCCTTAGGATAAATTTTTGGAATTGGAATGGTGGGGCAAAAGGATGTGAACATTTCACATTCTTTATACACGGTTGCAAATTGCCCTTCTGAAAGGTAAGACCCATTCATTATGACCCCTGTCCCTCATGGAGTAGAAGGTGCCTGCTTTCCCTACTCATTTGAGGTGCTTCCATGTTCCAGGCATATAAAAGGTCATGCTGTGCAATGCAGAGGACAGGTGGAATTCATGACACAAGCTGGTGGGAAAAGGAAGACAGAATGATTACAGTACAGTGTGGAATGATTTATATATGGGCTTAGCTTGACTGAGATGGTTAGTTTGGGAGAGTGGCATGGATGACCTGGACACAACAGAGGGAAGGCTTTACCTCATAACCTCCTCATGCCATCCATATGTTGGGGAGATCTTGTGTGTTTCCTGTAAGAGGCATTCTAGCCATAGTGTCAGATACTGAGCTTTATGGGAAAGCCTATGAATACCTTGCCCACTGCTAAATTTCTTTTTTTTTTTTTCTTTTAAGTTCTGGGATACATGGGCAGAACGTGGAGGTTTGTTACATAGATATACGTGTGCCATGGTGGTTTGCTGCACCTACTGACCCATCATCTAAGTTCCCTCCCCTTGCCCCCCACCCCCCAACAGGCCCTGGTGTGTGTTGTTCCCCTCCCTGTGTCCATGTGTTATCATTGTTCAACTCCTACTTATGAGTGAGAACACACTGTTTGGTTTCCTGTTCCTGTGTTAGTTTGCTAAGGATGATGGTTTCCAGCTTCATCCGTGTCCTCACAAAGGACATGATCTCATTCCTTTTTACGGCTGCATAGTATTCCATGGTATATATGTACCGCATTTTCTTTACCCAGTCTATCATTGATGGGCATCTGGGCTGGTTCCATGTCTTTGCTATTGTAAATAGTGCTGCAATAAACATACGTGTGCATGTGTCTTTATAGTAGATGATTTATATTCCTTTGGGTATATACCCAGTAATAGGGTTGCTGGGTCAAATGGTATTTCTGGTTCTAGATCCTTGAGGAATTACCATACTGTCTTCCACAATGGTTGAACTAATTTACATTCTCACCAACAGTGTAAAAGCATTCTTATTTCTCCATAGCCTCGCCAGCATCTGTTCTTTCTTCACTTGTTAATAATCGCCATTCTAAATGGCGTGAGATGGTATCTCACTGTGGTTTTGATTTGCATTTCTCTAATGATCAATGATGTTGAGCTTTTTTCATGTTTGTTGGCCACATAAATGTCTTCTTTTGAGAAGTGTCTGTTCATATCCTTCACCCACTTTTTGATGGGGTTGTTTGTTTTTTCTTGTAAATTTGTTTAAGTTCCTTGTAAATTCTGGATATTAGACCTTTGACAGATGGGTAGATTGCAAAAATTTTCTCCCATTCTGTAGGTTCCCTGTTCACTCTGATGATGGTTTCTTTTACTGTACAGAAACTCTTTAGTTTAATTAGATCCCATTTGTCAATTTTGGCTTTTGTTGCAATTGCTTTTGGCATTTTCATCATGAAGTCTTTGCCTATGCCTATGCCCTGAATGGTATTGCCTAGGTTTTCTTCTAGGGTTTTTATGGTTTGGGTTTTTATATTTAAGTCTTTAATCCATCTTGAGTTAATTTTTATATAAGGTGTAAGGGGTCTCATGTCAGTTTTCTGCCTAAGGCTAGCCAGTTTTCCCAGAACCATTTATTGAATAGGAGATCCTTTCCCCATTGCTTATTTTTGTCAGGTTTGTCAAAGATCAGATGGTTGTAGATGTGTGGTGTTATTTCTGAGGACTCTGTTTTGTTCCATTGGTCTATATGTCTCTTTTGGTACCAGTACCATGCTGTTTTGGTTACTGTAGCCTTGTAGTATAGTTTGAAGTCAGGTAGCATGATGCCTCCAGCTTTGTTCTTTTGTTTAGGATTGCCTTGGCTATATGGGGTCTTCTTTGATTCCAAATGAAATTTAAAGTAGTTTTTTATAATTCTTTGAAGAATGTCAATGGTTGTTTGATGGGAATAACATTTAATCTATAAATTATTTTGGGCAGTATGGCCATTTTCACAATATTGATTCTTCCAATTCATGAGGATGGAATGTTTTTCTATTGGTTTGTGTCCTCTCTTATTTCCTTGAGCAGTGGTATGTAGTTATCCTTGAAGAGGTCCTTCACAGCTCTTGTTAGCTGTATTCCTAGGTATTTTATTCTCTTTTTAGCAATTGTGATTGGGAGCTCATTTATGATTTGGCTTTCTGCTTGCCTATTGTTGGTGTAAATAAAAGCTTGTGATTTTTGCACCTTGATTTTGTATCCTGAGACTTTGCTGAAGTTGCTTATCAGTTTAAGGAGTTTTTGGATTGAGATGGTGGGGTTTTCTAAATATGAAATCCTGTCATCTACAAAAAGGGACAATTTGACTTCCTCTCTTCCTATTTAAAAACCATTCATTTCTTTCTCTTGCCTGATTGACCTGGCTAGAACTTCCCATACTATGTTGAATAGGAGTGGTAAGACACGGCATCCTTGTCTTGTACCAGTTGTCAAAGGGAATGCTTCCAGCTTTTGCCTATTCAATATGATATTGGCTCTGAGTTTGTCATAAATAGCTGTTATTATTTTGAGATATGTTCCATCAATACCTAGTTTATTGAGAGTTTTTAACATGAAGCGATGTTGAATTTTATCAAAGGACTTTTCTGTATCTATTGAGATAATCGTGTGGTTTTTGTCCTTGGTTCTGTTTATGTGATGGATTACATTTATTGATTTGTGTATGTTGAAGCAACCTTGCATCCCAGGGATAAAGCCAACTTCATTGTGGTGGATAAGTTTTTTGATGTGCTGCTGGATTTGGTTTGCCAGTGTTTTATTGAGGATTTTTGCATCAATATTCATCAGGGATATTGGCCTGAAGTTTTCTTTTTTTGTTGTGTCTCTTTCTTGTTTTGGTATCAGGATGAGGCTGGCTTCATAAAATGAGTTAGGGAGGAGTCCCTCTTTTTCAATTGTTTGGAATAGTTTCTGAGGAAATGGTAGCAGCTCCTCTTTGTACCTCTGGCAGAATTCGCCTGTGAATTTGTCTGGTCCTGGGCTTTTTTTGATTGGTAGGCTATTAATTACTGCCTCAATTTCAATTTGATACTGGTCTATTCAGGGATTTGACTTCTTCCTGGTTGTCTTGGGAGGGTGAATGTGTCCTGGAATTTATCCATTTCTTCTAGGTTTTCTAGTTTAGTTGCATAGAGGTGTTTATAGTATTTTCTGCTGGTAGTTTGTATTTCTGTGGGGTCAGTGGTGATTTCCCTGTTATTATTTTTTATTGTGTCTATCTGATTCTTCTCTCTTTTTTTCATTAGTCTAGCTATTGGTCTATCTATTTTGTTAATTTTTTCCAAAAAAAAAAAAAAAAAAACAGCTCCTGGATTCATTGATTTTTTTTTTGGAGGACTTTTTGTTTCTCTTCTTCAATTCTGCCCTGATGTTAGTTATTTTTTGTCTTCTGCTAGCTTTTGGGTTTGTTTGCTCTTGCCTCTCTAGTTCTTTTAATTGTGATGTCAGGGTGTTGATTGGAGATCTTTCTAGCTTTCTGATACGGGCATTTAGTGCTATAAATTTCCCTCAGCACTGCTTTATTTATGTCCCAGAGATTCTGGTATGTTGTCCCTTTGTTCTCATTGGTTTCAAAGAAGTTCTTCATTTCTGCCATAATTTCGTTATTTACCCAGGAGTCATTCAGGAGCAGGTTGTTCAGTTTCCATGTAATTGCGTGGTTTTGAGTGAGTTTCTTAATCCTGAGTTTTAATTTGATTGCACTGTGGTCTGAGAGACTGTTTGTTGTAATTTCAGTTCTTTTGCATTTGCTGAGGAGTGTTTTATTTCGAATTATGTGGTTGATTTTAGAATAAGTGCCATGTGGCACTGAAAAGAATGTATATTCTGTTGATTTGGGGTGGAGAGTTCTGTAGATGTTTATTAGGTCCACTTGATCCAGAGTTGAGTTAAAATTCTGAATAACCTTGTTAATTTTCTGTCCTGTTGATCTGTCTAATATTGACAGTGGGGTGTTAAAATCTCCCACTATTATTGTGTGGGAGTGTAAGTCTCTTTGTAGGTCTCTAAGACCTTTGTATGAATCTGGGTGCTCATATATTTAGAATAGTTAGCTCTTCTCACTGAATTGTTCCCTTTACCATTATGTAATGCCCTTTTTTGTCTTTTTAAAAAATCTTTGTTGGTTTAAAACCTGTTTTGTCAGAGACTGGGATTGCAACCCCTGCTTTTTTTTGTTTTCTTTTCATTTGCTTGGTAAATTTTCCTTTATCCCTTTATTTTGAGCAAATGTGTGTCTTTGCATGTGAGATGTGTCTCCTGAATACAGCATACTGATGGGTCTTGACTGTTTCTCCAGTGTGCCAGTCTGTGTCTTTTAATTGGGGCATTTAGTCCCTTTACATTTAAGTTTAGTATTGTTATGTGTGAATTTGATCCCGTCATCATGATGCTATCTGGTTATTTTGCCCGCTAGTTGATGCGGTTTCTTCATAGTGTCATTGGTCTTTATATTTTGGTGTGTTTTTGTAGTAGCTGGTACCATTTTTTTCTTTCCACATTTAGTGCTTCTTTTAGGAGCTCTTGCAAGGCAGTCCTGGTGGTAACAAAATCCCTCAGCATTTGCTTTTCTGGAAAGGATTTTATTTCTCCTTCATTTATGAAGCTTAGTTTGGCTGGATATGAAATTCTGGGTTGGAAATTCTTTTCTTTAAGAATGTTGAATATTGGCCCCCAATCTCTTCTGGCCTGTAGAGTTTCTGCTAAGAGATCCTCTTTTAGTCTGTTAGGCTTTCCTTTGTAGGTGACCTGGCCTTTCTCCCTGGTTGTGCTTGACATTTTTTCCTTCATTTTGACTTTGGAGAATCTGGTGATTATTTGTCTTGGGGTTGATCTTCTCACTGAGTATCTTTGTGGTGTTCTCTATATTTCCTGAATTCACATATTGCCTTGTCTTGCTAGTTTGGGGAACTTTTCCTGGGTAATATCCTGAAGTGTGCTTTTCAGCTTGTTTCCATTCTTCCCGTCTCCTTCAGGTACTTCAATCAATCGTAGGTTCAGTCTTTTTACAAAGTCCAATATTTCTTGGAGGCTTTGTTCATTCCTTTTCGTTTTTGTTTGTTTGTTTGTTTGTTTTGTTTTGTTTCTCTAGTCTTGTCTGCATGCCTTACCTCAGCAAGGTGGTCTTCAAACTCTGATATCCTTTCTTCTGCTTGGTCAATTTGGCTATTGATACTTGCGTATACTTCACAAAGTTATTGCGCTGTGTTTTTCAGCTCCATCAAGTCATTTATGTTTCTCTTTAAACTGGTTATTCTAGCTATCAGCTTTTCTAACCTTTTATCAAGGTTCTTAGCTTCTTAGCATTGGTTTAGAACATGGTCCTTTAGCTCAGCGTAGTTTTTTATTACCATTACCCATCTTTTGAAGCCTACTTCTGTCAATTCGTCCATTTCATCCTCCGTCCAGTTCTGCGCCCTTGCTGGAGAGATGTTGCAATCATTCAGAAGAGAAGAGGCAATCTGGCCTTTTGGGTTTTCCACATTTTTTTGTTGATTCTTTCTTTGTCATCTTCATGAGTTTGTCTGGTTTGGATCTTTGAGGCTGCTGATCCTTTGATGGGTTTTTTTGGGGGGCTTTTTTGTTATTGTTGATGCTGTTGTTGCTGCTTTCTGTTTGTTTGTTTTTCATTCAATGGACAGATCCCTCTTCTGTAGGGCTGCTGTGGTTTGCTGGGGTTCACTTGAGGCTCTATTCATTTGGTTCACTCCCGTGCCTGGAGATGTCACTCAAGGTGGCTGGAGGACAGCAAAGATGGGTGCCTGCTCCTTCTGCTGAGATATCTGACCTCGAGGGGCACCAAACTGGTGCCAGTAGGATCACTCCTGTATAGGGTGTCTGACAATCCCTGTTGGAGGGTCTCACCCAGTTGGGTGGCATGGGGAGCAGGACCTGTTTAACAAAGCACTTTGACTGTCCCTTGCTGGAGGGGCTGTGCTTCGCTGGGGCAAAACCCACTTGTCTGGGCTGCCTGCATTCCTCTGAACTACCAGGAGGAAAGGCTAAGTCTGCCGGTCCACAGAGACTGTGGCCACTGCTTCCCCTAGGGGCTCAGGCCAAGGGAGATCTGGGTTCTGTTCCTGAGTCTCCGGCTGGAGTTATTGGAGTTCTGCAGGGAAGCCCTGCCCAGTGAAGAAGCATGAGTCAGGGTCAGGCCTGAAGAGGCACTCTGACCACAGTTTGCCACAGCTGGTGTGTTGGGCTGCGGGGGGACACATCTTGGTACCAAGTCATGCAGCCTCCCTGGCTCCAGCAGGCGAAAAGCATGGCCTGGAGCTATAGAGATGGGTGCTGCCCTTCCCCCACTCAGGAAGCTTAGCATGTTAGGCAATTGTGAGTCCCAGTGCCAGGTGCTGCCCTGCCCCCAGTGAGCTCAAAGGGCTTAGACAGCAGGCAGCTGCACCTGTGGGGCTGGTCGCTGCTCCCCCAGAAAGCTCAGTAGGCTTAAGTGGATTCCAGCTGAGCGACTGTTGAGAATCTGCATGGCTCCGGGGTTGGGACACTAGGCCCCAGTGGCATGGGTTTGCGAGTGGGATCCTCCTGTCCGTGGAAGGAGCTTGGTTTCCCTGACTGGGTAGCATGCTCACTCACCTCTCCCTTGGCTGGGGGTTGGGGGCTCCCTTGCCCCATGTGGCTCTCAGGTGGGCCGCTGCACCACACTGCTCTTCCTTTCTCTCTGTGGATCACGCCAGCCTCCTAGTCAGTTCTGATGAGAGAACCTGGATACTTTGGTGGCCAGTGCAGGATTCACACGTTAATTGTGGTTCTTTTCGATGGGAGCCTCTGATCGCTGCTGTTTCCAGTTGGCTGTCTTGGCCCTGCCTACCCCTGTGCTTTTTTTTTAACCAGATTTTTTTTCCTATTGAGTTGTTTGAGCTCCTTATATATCCTGATTATAAATCCCTTGTCTGATGGGTAGTTTGCAAATACTTTCATTCTGTCGGTTGTCTTATTACTTGGTTATTTCTTTTGTTGTTCAGAAGCTTTTTAGCTTGATATGATCTCATTTGTGCATTCTTGTTTTGGTTGCATGTGCTTTTGACATTTTACTCAAGAAATCATTGCCCAGATGAATGTCCAGTAGTGTTTCCCCAATGTTTTTTTTTCAACAGTTTCATAGTTTTGGGTCTAAGACTTATGTCTTTAATCAGTGTTTTGATTTTTGCATATGGTGAGAGATGGGATCTATTTTCATTTTTCTGCATATGGCAATCCAATTTTCCCAGCACCGTTTATTGAATAGGGTTTCTTTAACACAGTGTATGTTTTGTCACTTTCATCGAAGATCAGTTGGCTGTAGGTATGTGACCTTATTTCTGGGTTTTGTATTCTTTTCAATTGGTCAATGGGTCTGTTTTTACGCCAGTACCACATTGATTTTGTTACTATAGCTTTGTCATGTAATTTAAAGGCAAGTGATGGAATGCCTCTAGTTTTGTTCTTTTTGTTCAGGATTACTTTGGCTGTTTGGTGTGGTTCCATATAAATTTTAGGATTTTTTTTCTCTGTGAATAATGTCATTAGTGTTTTCATAAGGATTACATTGAATGTGTAAATAACTTTGCATTCTATGGGCATTTAAACAATATTGATTCTTCCAATTAAATGAACTTGGAATATCTTTCCATTCTTTTGTGTTCTGCTCAGTTTCTTTTATCAATGTTTTATAATTTTCATTGTAAAGATCTTTCACACTTTTGATTATTTCTGGTTATTTTATTGCATTTGTAGCTATTGAAATGGGATTACTTTCTTGGTTTCTTTTTCAGATGATTCACTATCGGCATATAGAAACGTAACTTGCTTTTGTATGTTGATTTTATATCCTGAAGCTTTACTGGATTTGTTTATTATTTCTAATAGTTTTTTGATCGAGTCAAAGTTTTTCCAAATATAAGATATTATCTACAAAAAAGAATAATTTTAATTCTTCCTTTCCAATTTAGATGCCTTTTATTTCTTTCTCTCACTTAATTTCTCTGCATATGACTTCCAGTATGATGTTAAATAAAAGTGATAACAGTGGACATGCTTGTCATGTTCCAGATAGTAGTGGAAAGGCTTTCAGTTTTTCCCCATTCAGAGTGATATTAGTTGTGGGTTTGCTGTATATGACTTTTAGCATGTTGAGGTATGTTCCTTCTATACTCAGGTTTTGAGAGCTGTATTATAAAGGATGTTGAATTTTATTGAATGCCTTTTCAGCATCAATTGAAATGTTCATGTGGTTTTTGTCCTTCATTCTTTTGATATGATATATGACATGTATTGATTTGGGTATGTTGAACCATCCTTCCGTTCCTGGGATAAAACCCACTTGATTGTGATTGATGATCTTTTTAATGTATTGTGGAATTTTGTTTGCTAGTATATTGTTGAGGATTTTTGCATCAATTTCATCAGAGATATTGGTCTGTAGTTTTCTTTTTTTGTTGTTGTTGTGTCTTGAAATAGTTTGAGTAGTATTGGTTTTAGTTTTTATTTAAATGCTTGGTAAGAGTCAGCAGTGAAAGCATCAGGTCACGGGCTTCTCTTTGGTGGGAGACTTTTTATTACTGATTCTATCATCTCATTACTTATTACTGATGTATTTAGCTTTTGGATTTTTCCACAGTTCAATCTTGGTAGGTTGTATGTGTCTAGAAAGGTATTAATTCCTCCAAGTTTTCCAACTTATTGGCATACAGTTGTTTATAATAATCTCTAATGATCCTTTGTGTGTCTGTGGTATCAGTTGTAATGTCTCCTTTTTCATTTTTGATTTTATGTGGGTCTTCTCTAATTTTGTTGATTTTTACAAAACAACAACTTTTCACTTTCTTGATCTTTTGTGTGATATCTTCAGCCTCAATTTCATTTATTTCTGCTCTGATCTTTATTATTTCTTTTCTTATACTAATTTTTGGTTTGGGTTTCTCTTGCTTTTCTATTTTTTAAAGATTCAATGTTAGGATTATTGACTATTTTTTTTTTACCTTTTGATGTAGATGTTCATTGCTATAAACGTGCCTTTTAGTACTGTTTTTGCTGTATCCCATAGATTTTGGCATTTTGTATTTTCATTTTCATTTGCTTTAATAATATTTAAATTTTCTTCTTAATTTCCTCATTGACCCAGTGGTCATTCAGGAGTTTATTATTTAATTTCCATGTGTTTGTGAAGTTTACAGTGTTCCTCTTGTAACTAATTTCTAGTTTCATTCCATTGTATCAGAAATGATAATTAATGTTTTCAATTTTTTTAATCTGTTGAGACTTGTTTTGTGGCCTAACATATGGCCTATCCTTGAGAATGTTTCATGTGCTGAACAGAAGAATGTTTTCTGCAACTATTGGCTGAAATGTTCTGTAAATGTCTATTAGGTCTGTTTGGTCTATAGTGCAGATTAAATCTGATATTTCTTTGTTAATTTCTGTCTGGTTGATCTGTCCAATGCTGCAAGTGGGCTGTTTAATTCACTGAACTATTATTGTATTGGAGTCTGTCATTTTCTTTATCTCTAAAGAATATTTGCTTTATTTATCTGGGTACTCCAGTGTTGGGTGTATACATATTTTTAATTGTTATATCTTCTGGGCTAATTGACACTTTTATCATTATATAATGACCTTCTTTGTCTCTTTTTCCAGTTTTTATCTTGAAATCTATTTAATATTATATAAATAAATCCAATTCTGTTCTTTTTTGGTTTCCATTTGCATGGAATACCTTTTCACATTGCTTTATATTCAGTCTGTTTGTCATTATAAGTGACGTGAGTTCCCTGTAAGCAGGATATTAGCTGGGTCTTGTTTTTTTTTTAATGCATTCAGCCACTGTATGGCTTTGACTGAAGAATTCAGTTTATTTACAGTCATTGTTTCTATTGATAAGAAAATACTTACTACTATAATTCTGTTATTTGTTTTCTGATAGTTTTGTTTGTCCACTTTTTCTTTCTTCCTTCCTTCCTATCTTCCTTTATGAAAAGTGATTTTGTCTAGTAATATCTAGTTTCTTGCTTTTTAATTTTTGTTTATCTGTTATAGGTTTTTGTTTTGTGGTTACCATGAGGTTTGTAAATGACATTTTATATCCAACTGTGTTAAACTGATGAAAACTTAACTCTGATTACAAAGCAAAGAACAAAAGTCAATAAGAATGCAAAGAGAAGACTAAAAAAAGCTCTACATTTTAATTCCATCACCCTCATTTTTGACTTTTTCTTGTCCCTTTTTATGTTTTTTTAATATAAAATCGATTTCTTAAAATTTGTTGTAGTTATTTTTGATGGGGCTGCCTTTAAGTAGTCTTCCTTCTAAGGATTTACATACCACAATTACAATGTTAGATTATTCTGTATTTGTCTGTTTGCTTACTATTATCAGTGAATTTTATACCTTTTGATTTTTTTTTTTTGGTTTGTTTTCTGACATTCTTTTCTTTCCAATTGAAGAACTTCTTTCAGCGTTTCTTGTAAGACAAGTGTGGTGTTGATGAAATCTCTCAGCTTTTGTTTTTCTGTGAATTTTTATTTCTCCTTCATGCTTTCAGGATAATTTTGCTGGCTATAATATTGTGTGTTGGAAGTTGTTTCCTTCAGTACTTTGAATATGTCACTACGTTCTCTCTTGTCCTCTAAATTTTCACTGAGAAGTCTACTGCCATAAGTATCAAAGTTCTTTATATGCGATTTGCTTCTTTTCTCTTGCTGCTTTTAAGTTGCTTTCTTTATCCTTAAACTTTGAGAGTTTGATTAATATGTACCTTGAGGTAGTCTTATTTGGGTTTAGTCTCTTGGTGTTCTGTTACATTCTTGTACCTGGATATTCATATCTTTCTCTTGGTTTGGATCATTCTGCTATTATTTCTTTGAGTAAACTTTCTACCTGGATCTCTGTCTTTACATTCTCTTTAAAGCCAATAACGCTTAGATTTGCCCTTTTGAGATTATTTCCTAGGTCTTGTGGGTATACTTTATTCTTTTTATCGTTTTGTTTCTCCTATCACTGTATATTTTCATATCACCTGCTTTCCAGCTCAGTAATTCTTTTTTTCTGCTCCATCAGTTCTGCTGTTGAGAGACCCCAATGCATTTTTCAATTGACTCTTTCAGCTCCAAAATTTCTGCTTGTTTTTTAAAAAATTATTTCAATCTCTTTGCTAAATTTCTCTAATGGAATTCTGAATTCCTTCTCTATGTTATCTTGAAGTTCTTTGATGTTACTGAAAACAGCCATTTTAAATTCTCTGTCTGAAAAGTCACATAGCTCCATCACTCTGATTGGTCATTGGTGTCTTAGTTACTTTAGCGAGGCCATGTTTTCCTGGATGTTCTTGATGATTATGGATGTTCCTTGGCATTGAAGAGTTAGGTATTTATTCCAATCTTCACAGTCTTGCTTCTATGATCCTTTTTGAGAAGGCTTTTATTTTTATTTTCAAAGAAGGTTGAGTGTTGTGATCTAAACCTGTATTCACTGCACTTGTGTTTACACTAAGGGGTGACCTATGGCTAGGAATGCTGCAACTCTTGCCAACTCCTATATGCATAGCCCTGGTGGGCTTGTGTAAGAGAAGGAATAATTCCCTGAATTATAGGGCAAAGTCTCTCACTCTCTTCTCTCTCTTTCCCCTAAACAGAAGGAGTCTCTCTTCTCCCTGGGTTGCCTGAAGTTTGGGGAAGGATGACATGAGAAGTCCCATGGCCACCATAGCTAGCAATACACCGAGTTATACCTGAAGCCAGCATATTCCTGAGAGTTGCCCAAGTCTCATGGCAACTACTGCCTGGCTACTGTTGATGTTTATTCAAGTCCCAAGGGTTCTTTCATCAGCAGGTGTTGAATCCTGCTAGGCCTGAGTCTTTCCTTCAGAGGAGTGAATTTCCTTCTGGCTCAGGGTGGGTCTAGAAATGCCTTCCAAGTGCTAAGACCTGGAATAAGGATCTTCAGGAATCCACTTGGTGTTTTCTTTTATTGTGACTGAACTGGTAATCAAGTTGCAAGACGAAGTCCTTTGTACTCATCCCTTTTGTTTCCCTAAGCAAGAAGAGTCTCTACACAAGCTGCAGTGCCTGGAGTTGTGGGAGGGGTGATGTGAGCACTCTCTTTGCCACCACAGCTAGTGTTGCAATGGGTCATGCACGCCCCAATTCTACTGCTTTAAAACCAGCACAGATCCAGAGCTTGCACAAGGACTGTAGTCCTTCTGACCTAACTGCCACTTAAATTTATTTCAGGTCTCAGGCCACTTTAGTCTGCCAGTGGTGGGGCTAGCCAGGACTCAATTTCCTTTTGCTAGAGCTAAGAATTTCTTTGAGCACTGTGCTAGTCTCACTGCTTCCTCTGTGAGCACAAGCAGAATTCTGCCCCGTGTTATGGTATGCTGTGAAAGGGCAGCACTGAGTTCCAATACAAAGTCCCACATTCACTTCACTGTCCCTCTCCCAAGCACACAGATTCTCTCTTTGTGTGGTGCTAATGGGGATGGGGTAGGGGTGGTATATTAATGCAATACTGTCTTTCCTACATTGCTCAATGTCTCTTTCCTTGATATAATGTAACAACCAGTTACTGTGATAACTTACCTGACTTTTGGTTCTTATGAAGGTGCTTTTTTGCATAGATAGTTGTTCAATTTGGTGTTCCTGCAGGGAGACGATTGCTGGAGGGCTCTATTTGGCCATCTTGCTCTGCCTCCAGTCTAATATTTTTTAATAAGTGCCTCGTTGCTTTGCTTTTCTGATACCTTACCTATGAAGTCATGTATTAAAAATAATTCCTGAGGAGCTGAAGAAAGAAAGCCATTAAACAAAAGGTATCTGCACTCCCACTGCTTTTATTCTTTAACATATCTGATTTTCTTATTCACAAGGTCAACATACCCTGTTTCTATTCCACTCCTAATATAAATATGCATAAATCCTGTTGTGGGTTTATAGGACCTTGATTAAAAGAGACTTTAAATGCAACATTTGAAATTCTTACTTTGTCAGACTAGAGATTTTTATATCTAGCACAGTATAGTAAAAAAAATAGGGCTGGATGAGAGATATGATATTCTTAGTAAAATGTGTGGAGAATAAATACAGATACATTCTCAGGTAGTTCTATGTTAAGGAAGACATCACATGGAAGTTGAGGATCTAGAATTGAGTCTTTAAAAATATTTATGCTGCTGTTTCATTTGGAAAATGTCCCATTACACCAGGCTTATGCATACTCATCTGAAAACCACTATTGTAGTGACGTAGATTCACTAGAAGGCTGCATCCATACAATGTCAAAGGAATCAAATATTTGAATCAACACATTGACAAGTAATTTGTCAGTTAGGGTATGCAATCAGCTGACCAATTCAGGGAAAGAATCATTTAAATTAGCTTTTTTTGTTGTTTCATATAAGCCAGTTTATATGGGCCAAACCAATAATTGGCAAACAAACTTACTTTTTAAAAAATAGGCTTTATTTTTTAGAGCAGTTTTAGGTTCACAGCAAATTTGAGAGGAAGGTATAGAGATTTTCTATATACTCCCTGTTTCCACATATGCTTAGCATCTGCCATTGTTAATACCTCACACTAGAGTAGTACATTTGTTACAATTGATAAACCAACATTGACACATCATTACCACCCAAAGTCCTTAGTCTACATTAGGGCTCACTCTTGCTATTGTAGATTCTGTGGATTTAAAAATATATATATAATGACATGTATCCACCATTATACTATCAACAGAGGAGTTTTACTGCCCTAAAAATCCATCGTGCTCTACCTATTCATCCTTCTCTCTTCCTCAACCCCTGGCAACCACTCATCTTTTTCAATGTTTTCAGAGTTTTGCCTTTTCCAGAATGTCACATATTAGAATCATAATGTAGGCTTTTCTCATTGGCTTATTTCACTTAGTAATTTAAATTTAAGTTCCTCCATGTCTTTCAATAGCTCTATAGATAATTTCTTTTTAGTGCTGAATAATATTCCATTGTTTGGATGTACTACATTTTATTTATCCATTCACCTACTCAAGAAAGCCATCCAAGTTTTGGCAATTCTAGATAAAGCATCTATAAACATCCATTTACAGGTTTTCATGTGGACATAAGTTTTCAGCTTCTTTGGGTACACACCAAGGAGTGTGGTTGCTAGACTGTATAGTAAGAGTATGTTAGTTATGTAAAGAACCACTAACTGTATTACAAGGTGAATGAACCATTTTGCATTGCTGCCAGCAACGAATGAGAGTTCTTATTCCTCCATATCCTTGTATCTTCTTTGTTAATCTATCTGTAAAGGTCTTTGACCCATTACTTAACTTAGTTTTTAGTTTTCTTATTGTTGAACTGTAAGAGTTATTTATGTATTTTGAATTATAATCCTTTATTAAATGTCCTCTGCAAATATTTTATCTTGACCTATGGCTTGTCTTTTGATTCTCTTGACATTGTCTTTTGTGGAGCAGAACATTTTAGTTTTAATGAATACCAGCTTATCAATTATTTATTTCATGGATTGTGCCTTTGGTATTGTAGCTAAAAAGCCATTGCCAAACCCAAGGTCATATAGATTTTTTCCTATGTTATCTTCTAGGAGCTTTATAGTTTGCATTTTATATTTTGGTCTATGATCCATTTTGAATTAACTTTTGGGAAGGTTATAACATCTGTGTTTATATTTATTTATTTTTTTTGCATGCGGATGTCCACTTCCTCCAGCACAATTTGCTAAAAGGATTATCTTTTACTCATTGTATTGTCTTTGCTCCCTTGTCACAATTCAGTTAGCCGTATTTATGTGGGTCTATTTCCAGGCTCTCTATTCTGATTCATTGACATATATGTCTTTTATTTTACCAATACTACAATGTCTTAATTACTATATAGGAAGTTTTGTTGTCAAGTAGTGTCAATACTTCAACTTTCATCTTTTTCTTCAAGATCGTATTGGCTATTCTGAGTCATTTGTCTCTCCATATAAAGTTTAGAATCATTTTATTGATATCCAAAAAATAACTTTCTGGGATTAAAATTGAGATTCTCCTGAAACTGTAGATGAAGCTGGAGATAACTGACATCTTGACATTATTGAATCTACCTATCAATGGACATGGGATATTTCTTCATTTATCCAGTTATTCTTTTATTTCTTTCACCAGAGTTCTGTGCTTTTCTTCATATGGATCATGTGCATATTTTGTTTGATTTATACCTTATTATTTTATTTTTTGGAGTGCTAATATAAATGGTATTGAAGTTTTAATTTAAAATTCCACTTGTTCATTGCTGGTATATAGGAAAGCAATTGACATTTGTATATTAACTTTGTATCCTGCAACCTTGCTATAATCTCTTATGAGTAACACATTTTTTTGTTGATTCTTTTGGATTTCATACACACAGTCAACCATATCATCTACAAAGACACTTTTATTTCTTCCTTCACAATAGGTATACTTTTTATTTCATTTTCTTATTATATTAACTAGGACATCCAGTACAGTGTTGAAAGCAGTGGTGAGAGATGCCATCTTGGATTTTGCCTGATCTTAGTGAGAAAGTTAGTCTCCATTAAGTAAGCAGTTAGTTCTAGGTGTTTTGTAGCTATACTTTATCAAGTCGAGGAAGTTGCCTTCTATTCCTATTAATGGTTACTGAGAATTTTTTTAATCATAAGCAGATGTTGGATTGCATCAAATGCTTTTTCTGCATTTATTGATATGAGCATGTAATTTATTTTCTTTAGCATATTGATGAGACAGTTGACCCTTGAACAATGTGGAAAATAGGAGCACCAATACCCTGCACAGTCAAAAAGTCATGTGTAAGGCTCCAAAATCTTCACTAATAGCTGGCTGTTGACTGGAGGCCTTGACAATAACATAAACAGTTGTTTAATATATATTTTGTATGTCATATGTATTATATACAGTTTTTTACAATAAAGTAAGCTAGATAAAAGAAAATGTTATTAAGAAAACTGTAAGGAAGATAAAATATATTTACTATTCATGAAGTGGAAGTGGATCATCACAAAGGCTTTCATTCTTGTCTTCACATGGAGTAGTCTGAGAACAATGAGGTCTTCCTCATTGTTGGTCTTACACTCTCAAAGGAGATAGAGGAAGAAGAAAATTTGTGGTTTATATTTGTAGTTTAAGAAAATTTATATCAGTGGATCCACACATTTCAAATTCTTGTTGTTCAAGGGTCAAGTCTAATTGATTTCAAAAGTTGAAACAGTCTTACAAACCTGAGATAATTCCCACCTGGTCATGGTGTATAATTTCTTATACATTGTTGGAATTGATTTGCTAATACTTACGTGAAAATTTTTGAATCTATGTTCACAAGAGATATTGGTCCGTAGTTTTCTTATAATTTTGTCCAGGTTTTTGTATGAGAATAATGCACAGAATGGATTTGAAAGTAATTCCTCTCTTTCTATCTTCTGAAGGAGATTGCAGAGAAATGGTGTGGTTTTTTCCTTAGATGTTTGGCAGAATTCACCAATGACTTCACCTGTGCCTGGTGCTTTCTATGTCGAAAAGTTAATAATTATTGACAATTCCTTTAATAGACAGAGGCTTGTTCAGATTGCCTATTTCTTCTTGTATGAGTTTTGGTAGATTGTGTCCTTCAAGCAATTGGTCCGTATTATCTAGATTATCAAATTTGCAAGCATAGAGTTGTTCCTGGCATTCCTTGATTATTTTTCTAATGTTCATGGGACCTGTTGTGATGATCCCTCCTTAATTTTTGATCTTAATAATTTGTGGTCTCTCTCTTTTTTCCTTGGTTAGCCTAGCTAGAAGCTTATTCACTTTGTTGAGCTTTTGTCAAAGAACTGGCTTTTGCTGATTTTCTTTGTTGATTTTGTGTTTTCAATTTCATGGCTTTCTACTCTAATTTTTATTATTTCCTTTTTAATAAATATTTTGTTCACTTTAGACATATTTTTCTCTTCTTTTTCTAGTTTCTACAGGTGGGTGCTTAGACAATTGATTTTAAAATTTTCTTTTCTTTTGATTATAATATAATTTTTATTCTTTTTATATGACTAATACTTAGTAAAAATCCCCTTTTCTGATATATGCATTCAGTGCTATAATTTTCCCTCTAAGCACTGGTTTTACCGTATCCCACAATTTTGATAAGTTTTGTTAGTATTTTAAGGTAGTTCAAAATATTTATGAATATTTCTTGAGATTTATTATTTGACTCATGTGCTATTTAGAATTTTGTTACTTATTCTTCAATTATTTGAGGGTTTAACAGCCATCTTTCTGTTTAATTCCTAGTTTAATTCCACTGTGGTCTGAGATGTATGATTTATATTTTATATATTTGTAAAATACAGTCAAAGCATTTTATGTTTCACAATGTTGTCTCTCAGTATGAGCTTAATACAAATGCATGTGCTGCTGTTGTTGGGCGAAGTAGTATATAGATGTCAGTTATATCCAGTTTTTGATGATATTTTTGAGTTCAACTTTGTCCTTACCGGTTTTCTGCCGCTGGATCTGCCCATTTCTGATAGAGGCATGTTGTAGTCTCTAATAGTAGATTGATCTTTTTTCCTCAAGGTTCTGTAATATTTTACATCATATATTTTGACACTCCGTTCTTAGGTGCATACATATTAAGGATTATTACGTCTTCTTTGAGAGTGGATCACTTTATCATTGTGTAATGTCCCTGTCTATTTCACACTACTTCCTTTGCTCTGAAGTCGGTTCCATTTAAAATTAATATAGCTGCTCCTGCTTTCTTCTGATTAATGTTAATATGGTATGTTGTTCTTCATTCATTTACTTTTAATCTCCTTGTGTCTTTATACTTAATGTGGGGTTCCTGTAGAGTACATACAGTAGAGTCTTGTTTTTGATGCACTCTGTCAAACTCTGTCATTTAATGTGCACATTTAGATCATGTAATTCATGTAACGTAATTCGTACAAAGGTTCAAAGTGATTATTGATATAGTTGGATTCATATGTACATTTGTTACTATTTTCTCTTTATTTTACCTTCATTTATTTCTTGTCTGATACTCTTCCTTTCTTTATGTATGTACTACTGTCTGACCTATAACATTTTTGTTTTCCCTAAAGAACTGTTTGTTTAAAACTTTTATTGCAAGGCAGGTATATTTGCTCAAGTTTCTACAATTGTTATTTGTTTTGGAAGGTTTTTATTTCTCCCTCAGTTTTGAAGGATAATTTCACAGGATATAGAATTCTAGGCTGATGTGTTTTTTTCTTCTCTTAACACTTTCAATATTTCACTCCACTCTCTTCTTTCTTACATGGTTTCTGATGAATAGTTAGACTTAATTCTTCTCTTTGCTTCTCTATAGATAAGGTGCTTTATTTACCCCTCTGAGTTCTTTCAGAACTATTTCATCTTTGATAATTGTAGTTTAAAAATAATATGCCTAGGTGTAGCTTCTTGGCATTTGTTCTGCTTGGTATTCTCTGAGTTTCTTGGATCTGGGGTTTGGTGTCAGGCATTTATTTAAAGAAATTCTCATTCATTTTTGCTTTAAGTGTGCCTCTATTCCCTTCTCTATGTGTTTTTCCTTCTTGTATTAACATTTTCTAAGTTACAGTTTTTGCAGTTGCCTCACACTTATTGGATATTCTGTTGTTTTTCTTTATTCAGACTTTTCTGTTTCTCTTTTTTTCAGTTTTGGAGGCTTCTGCTGAGATATCCTCAAGCTCAAGGATTCTTTTATCAGCCATGTACAGTCTATTAATAAGTGCATGAAAGATCTTTCTCATTTCTATTACAGTGTTTTGATCTCTAGCATTTCTTTTTGATTCTTTATTAGAATTTTCCTCATTCTGTTTACATTGCCCATCTGTTCTTGTATGCTGTCTACTTTATCAGTTACAGCCCTTAGCATAATAAGAATAGTTTAAAATTCCCGGTCTGATAATTCTAGCATCCCTGCCATATCTAATTAGGTTTTGATGCTTGTTCTTCAAGCTGTATCTTTTTCCTTTTAATATGCTTTATAATTTTTTGATAGCCAGACATGATGTGTTTGTTAGGTAAAAGTAACTGTTAATTAAGCCTTTAGTAATGTGGTGGTAAGATGTGTGGGGAAGAAAATAATTCTGTAGCCTTTTTTATTTTATTTATTTTAAGGTTGGGGTACATGTGCAGGTTTGTTATATAGGTAAATTCATGTCCCAGGGGATTGTTGTACAGATTATTTCATGACCAAGTTACTAAGCCTAGTACTCAGTAGTTATTTTTTTCTGATCCTTTCCCTCAACCTACTCTCCAGCCTCAGGTAGGTCCCAGTGTCTGTTGTTCCTCTCTATGTATCCATATGTTCTCATCATTTAGCTCTAACTTATAAGTTAGAACATGCAGTATTTGGTTTTCTGTTCCTGTGTTAGTTTGCTAACGATGATAGCCTCCAGCTCCATCCATGTTCCTGCAAAGGACATAAGCTTAATCTATTTTATGGCTGCACAGAATTCAATGATATTTTATATATATATATATATATCCCACATTTGCTTTATACAGTCTACCATTGATGGGCATTTAGGTTGATTCCATGTCTTTGCTATTGTGAATAGTGCTGCAATAAACATACGTGAGCAAATGTCTTTATGGTAGAATGACTTTGGATATACAGCTAGTAATGGGATTACTGGATCAAATGGTAGTTCTGCTTTTAGTTCTTTGAGAAATGACCACACTGTTTTCCACAATGGTTGAATTAATTTATACTCCCACCAGCAGTGTATAAGCATTCTCTTTTCTCCACAACCTCACCAGCATCTGTTATTTTTTGACTTTTTAACAATAGCCTTTCTGACTCATGTGAGATGGTATGGCATTGTGGTTTTGATTGGCATTTCTCTAATGCTCAGTGATATTCAGCTTTTTTTTTCATATGCTTGTTGGCTGCATGCATGTCTTCTTTTAAAAAGTGTCTGTTCAATATGGTGAAACCCTGTCTCTACTAAAAATACAAAAATTAGCTGGGTGTGGTGGCGCGTGCCTGTAATCCCAGCTACTCGGGAGGCTGAGGCAGGAGAATCGCTTGAACCTGGGAGGCAGAGATTGCAGTAAGCTGAGATTGCGCCATTGCACTGCAGCCTGGCGATAGAGTGAGACTCTGTCTCAAAAAAAAAGTTAAAAAAAAGTGTTTGTTTATGTCCTTTGCCCACTTTTTAATGAAGTTGTTTGTTTTTCTCTTATACATTTGTTTAAGTTCCTTATAGATGCTGGATGTTAGACCTTTGTTGGATGTATAGTTTGCAAAAATTTTCTCCCATTCTGTAGGTTGTCTGTTTACACTGTTGATAGTTTCTTTTGCTGTGTGAAAGCTCTTTAGTTTAATTATATCCCATTTTGTTTAATTATATCCCATAGTTTAATTATATCCCATTTCAATTTTGGCTTTTGCTGCTATTGCTTTTGGCATCTTTGTATGAAAAAGTTCCTATGTCCAGAATGGTATTGCCTAGGTTGTCTTTCAGGGTTTTTATAGTTTGGGGTTTTACATTTAAGTTTTTAATCCATCTTGAGTTGTCTTTTGTATATGGTGCAAGAAAGGAGTCCAGTTTAAATCTTCTGAATATGGCTAGCCAGTTATCCCAGCACCGTTTACTGAATACAGAATCCTTTTCCCATTGCTTGTTTTTGTCAGCTTTGTCAAACGTGTGATGGTTGTAAGCGTGCAGCCTTTTCATGAGCTCTCTATTCTGTTTCATTGGTCTCTGTGTATGTTTTTGTACCAGTACTATGCTGTTTTGGTTACTGTAGCCCTGTAGCATAGTTTGAAGTTCAGTAGCATTATGCCACCAGCTTTGTTCCTTTTGCTTAGGATTGCCTTAGCTATTCTGTAGTCTTATAATTACATCATTGTGCACATGTACCCTAAAACTTAAAGTATAATAATAATAAAATTAAAATAAAATAAAATAATAATAATAATTACATCTCAGTCTTTAGTGAGCCTGTTACCCTGGACTGTGAACTTCTTATGAGCTTCTAATCCCCCCTCTTAGTTGATGCAGGATGGTTAGACTGGGCTGGAGTTGGGCATTTCTCTTCTCCTAGGTCACTTAGCCTCTGATAAAACCAACCCTTTAAGGGTTGCTCTGTGTATTTCAAAATGTTTCCTTTACCCTCTCCCTACTCTGATATTCACTGCGAGAATCTCAGGGCACTTTTGGAGATAAAACTTGTAAAAGCGAGTCCTATGCCCCACGGCTGGATCCACTGGAGTTTTAACTCTCAGAGTTGCCCACACTGAGCCTCCAGCTAGTCATCAATTATAGTTCAGGTTTTCCTACCCTAGCACTGGTTTCCTCAGAAGTTTCTGCTCTTTTAAATTGCGACTCTATATTTACCATCTCTGTCTTCAATTTTGGAGGCAGTAGTTTGCACTGAGACCTCACTTCATTTATGGCTCTAAGAAGAGTTAATTTTTCCATTTTTTCAGCTTTTAAAATCTGTATTTGGAGTTGTGGGGTTTTTTTTTGTAGGGGATGTTAGTCCATTTTGCATTTCTATAAAGGAATACCTGAGGCTGGGTAATTAAAAAAAAATGGTTTATTTGGCTCACGGTTCTGCAGGCTGTACACATATGGCACCAGCATCTGCATCTGCTCAGCTTCTGGTGAGGACTTAGGGAGCCTTTACTCAGGGTAGAAGGTGAGAGAGGGAGCAAGAGAAAAAGGAGGAGATTCCAGGTTCTTTTTTTTTTTTTTTTTTTTTTTTGAGTTGGAGTCTTGCTCTGTCACCCAGGCTGGAGTGAAGTGGTGTGATCTCGGCTCACTGCAACCTCCGTCTCACGAGTTCAAGCAATTCTCCTATCTCAGTCTCCTGAGTAGCTGGGATTACAGGCACACACCACCATGCCCTGCTAATTTTTGTATTTTTAGTAGAGGTGGGGTTTCACCATGTTGGTCAGGCTGGTCTCGAACTCCTGACCTTGTGATCCACCACCTTGGCCCCCCAAATTGCTGGGATTACAGGTGTGAGCCACCGCACCCGGCTGATTGTAGGTTCTTTTAAACAAACAAACAGCTCTCATGTGAACAAATAGAGTGAGATCTCACTCATTACCATGGGGACAACACCAAACCATTCATGAGGAGTCCAACCCCATGACCCAAACACCTCCCACTAGGTCCACCTCCAACACTGGAGATCACATTTCAACATAAGGTTTGGAGGGGACGCACATTCAAACCATATCAGGGATTTTTTTCAAAACATCCCTGCATTTTTTTTAATACAAATGGTTTAACTCTTTTGGACAGTGGATCTAAATATGCATGTTCATTACTGTAATTTTGTTTGCCTGTGGTCTCAATTTAAAACATTTAAGTAAAATATTTACAATATTTTAGTATTTATTATATTCTGAACTGACTAAACTAGATTTTCTGATCATTTTAAAGCATGGAAATCTGTAATAATGACTTGAAGAAAAGAGTCAAATTATGCATACTAAATGTCTTAAATAACATTTGAATTTCTTCAAGATTTTTGTTGAAAAAAATGCCACCTTCTTATATTTTGCAGCAACATGGATGGAATTGGAGGCCATTATCCTAAGTGAAATGATTCAAAACAGAAAGTAATAAACAACATGTTCTCACTTATAAGTGGGAGCTAAAACAACGGGTACTTGTGGACATAAAGTTGGAAATAATAGTAGACACTGAGGACTACAGAAGATGGGAAAGTGGGAGGCAGTGAAACATGAAATACTACCCATTGGTTACAATGTGTACTATTCAGGTGTTGGGTACACTAACAGCCCAGAATTATGCAATCCATCCATGTAACACACTTGTGCTTGCGCCCCCTAAATCTATAAAAATAATAATAAAAAGGAAATTGTCAGAAAAAAGTGACATAAAATTCTAATGTTAAAATTTTTGAAAAGCTTTAAGAAAAAAGCAGAAACAATGCTACATTCTATATGTCATTCTCTTCTTCAGGATGTGGAGCCACTTGAATATTTCTACTTATTTCTGGAAATCAGCAGGGTGCCATCAACTTGAATTTCCTCATGACCTTGATCATAGTGGAAGTTGAGGGTTTAAGTTATTCAATAGAGTCCTCATTGATTTAGCCTTTCATCAAATCTTGTCATGAAACATAGTAAGATTCTACCCCTTGAAAAAGAATACTTTCCTTGTTTTTTTTTTTTAGTTTACAGAAATGCCTTATACAATTTTTTTTTAATAATCAGTGATTTGGTGGAGGAAGAAAGCAACCAAAATTAGTGAAATAATTTATAGAGTAATTCGTGTATGTGTGTGTGTGTGTTTGTTTGGGGATCAGCTCACAATCTCATTTATTTTCAATTCTTGATTGACAAACAATAGTTTTGTATATTCATGTGTTACAATGTGACTTTTTTTTATCTCTGTATACATTATAAAAAGATTCAAGCAAATTAATATATTGATCACCTCACCAGCTTATCATTATATTCTTTCTCGTACAATCAAATGAAGATAAAGTGTTTTTTTTTTATTATTATACTTTAAGTTTTAGGGTACATGTGCACAACGTGCAGGTTAGTTACATATGTATACATGTGCCATGTTGGTGTGCTGCACCCATTAACTCGTCATTTAACATTAAGTATATCTCCTAATGCTGTCCCTCCCCCCTCCCCCAACCCCACAACAGGCCCCGGTGTGTGATGTTCCCCTCCCTGTGTCCATGTGTTCTCATTGTTCAATTCCCACCTATGAGTGAGAACAATGCAGTGTTTCGTTTTTTGTCCTTGTGATAGTTTGCTGAGAATGATGGTTTCCAGCTTCATCCATGTCCCTAGAAAGGACATGAACTCATCATTTTTATGGCTGCATAGTATTCCATGGTGTATATGTGCCACATTTTCTTAATCCAGTCTATCATTGTTGGACATTTGGCTTGGTTCCAAGTCTTTGCTATTGTGAATAGTGCCACAATAAACATACGCATGCATGTGTCTTTATAGCAGCATGATTTATAATCCTTTGGGTATATACCCAGTAATGGGATGGCTGGGTCAAATGGTATTTCTAGTTCTAGATCCCTGAGGAATCGCCACACTGACTTCCACAATGGTTGAACTAGTTTACAGTCCCACCAACAGTGTAAAAGTGTTCCCAGTTCTCCACATCCTCTCCAGCATCTGTTGTTTCCTGACTTTTTAATGATCGCCTTTCTAACTGGTGTGAGATGGTATCTCATTGTGGTTTTTATTTGCATTTCTCATGGTACTGGTACCAAAACAGAGATATAGACCAATGGAACAGAACAGAGCCCTCAGAAATAATGCCACATATCTACAACCATCTGATCTTTGACAAACCTGACAAAAACAAGAAATGGGGAAAGGATTCCCTATTTAATAAATGGTGCGGGGAAACCTGGCTAGCCATATGTAGAAAGCTGAAACTGGATCCCTTCCTTACACCTTATAGAAAAATTAATTCAAGATAAAGTGGTTATTGAAAGAATGTATTTTCTCATTTTCCGTGAATATTGGGTATACCATATATCTACAAATTCCTTTCTTTTTAAGTATATACCTAGTGCAAGTGGGTATCACACCAGTCCATATACTCATATTTACATATTCGTTAATAATAGTGCCTCTGAATTAATGAGAAGCTCTGCCTGTTTATTTTGCATATACTATAAAGTAAAAAAAAATGTTTCAGTTAGAATTCCGTTGG
The DNA here is from genome assembly GCF_000001405.40 of Homo sapiens. NCBI lineage: Eukaryota > Metazoa > Chordata > Mammalia > Primates > Hominidae > Homo > Homo sapiens. The sequence goes on from NC_000023.11 coordinate 121,821,488, forward strand.
CATGAAGAGAACAATTAAGGTCCCATATGAAGCATACTTTTCTACATAAATATATATTATAGTCTTTGACGTTGCAAAAGACAGGGTAGGAATTAGAACTTGGGTATTTGTAGATTAATTGATCTCTCCAAGGATTTTATTGGTATCTTATGTGGTATTTTGTCCCCTTACTTGAAAATAGTTACACTAAGTGACTTAAGTTTCTCAACAGGTCTTTCCAATATTTTTCCCATTTATATGCAAACAATGCTATTTGCTTATTTTGTGGAAGAGTATAACTGTCACATGATAAAATTAAATATATGTTCAATGTGTTTGTGATCCATTATTCTATTATAATAGCCAGTTATTGAAAAATGCTAATGGATCAGAGGCAGAACCCAATCTAAATGGAAGCTACAGATCAGCTTCAAAAGCACAATCTTTATCTAGGTAACTGAGTCATTCAGAAACCAAGTTTAGATCCAATCCCTTTATTAACATATAGCTTTAAATAAGTGGTGCAAAAGCTGAAAATGACTAATGTTCTTGTCATTTTTTAAGTCTCCTCTAACTTAAGGCTTGGTATATAATTATATCAATGCCAAATATCTTACGTGGGCAGCATATTATTTGTTTATGTTTGTTGCCTGGAAAATGAAAATAGATTTATTTTTTCACTTGTTGTAAATGCAATATATTTTCAGTTTAAAACAAAAGAAATAATGACATTAACATTAATACCTACAAGTAATAATCCAATATATAAATATCACCTATATTTCTACCATGCAAATAGAATTATAAAGACATTTTGATTGACATTCTTCCAGACAATTCTACTTTTTGCTTTGGCCATTTTCATTCACTCAAAAAATATTTATTGAACATCTAATGGAACACAAGGTAATAACATAATCTGCTTTTTCTTGTTGTTGTTTAGATCTCAAGTACATAGAATTTAGTTGCTCATACTGCTCAGTTCCTGTCATGTTGTCAGCATGAGCCTTGGCTACACTACTATTTTATTTTATATTTATTTTTCATTTTCCTATTTGTTCTCCAAAAGTATGCCTCTTCCCTTCTCTCCATAATTGATACCTACTTTAGTAGATTACATTATGTGATTCTAGTCTACATTCCATATAATTATTTGGATATATGTGTATTGTAAAAATTATACAGTGCTACTTTATGTGTGTGTTTTAATTTATGGAAAAAGTACGGTGCTTTAAATATATAAATCTTTTTTTTTTTTTTTACTTTTTACTGCTGCATAGGATTTTATTGTAATCCTGTTACATTTTGCATAGCCATTTCCCTAGTGATGGACAGTTTAAGTTCCACGATTTTACTTCCAAACAACACTGTGATTAACCTCTATTACATGTCCTATGGTTCTGTACTCAAGTTTATTTGGGATCTCTGGCTTATAGGTCATACATATAGTAAACATTAAATAATTACAGAAGTCATACATATAGTAAACATTAAATAATTACAGAATGCTTTTCAGAAAGCTTTTTTTTTTCTAGTATAGACCAACATGACAGTACATGAGTGCTCCTACATCCCCACCAGGTCTTAATCTTATCTGACTTTCTAAATTTGCTAATCTGATGGATATAAGGGGGTATTATGTAGTTATTTCAATATGTATTTTTATGATTATAAAAGGTTAAGCACTTATTAATTAACTAGCCATTTGTTTTCTCACTCTAAACCTTGTCTGCCTGTATTCCTTGTCCTTTTTTTCTATTGGATTTTCTGTCTTTGTCCTATAGGTTTGTAGGAATTCCTTGTGTATTCTAGATATAAATCCATTTTTGGCTTATGATATTGCATATGTCTACTCCTAGTCTGTCACCTGCGTGTTAACTTTTGGATGGTGTTAACTTTGGCTTCATTAGAACTGAAATTCTTATTTTGGGAGCAGGAGGCATATTCATGTTCCTTATGTTCCCATCATTATTTTTTTTATATTGTTTAAGAAGTTCTTCCAAGCACCTCAGCATTAGGTGCTGGAATTGTGCTCTTCCCCATTGCAAGCCTGGGGCAAGAGGAGGGCTGCTACAGCAGCAGTTTACCTTGGGTAGTGAAACTTGTTGCACAGGCTAGCTTAGTGACCTGGAACTCGTCTGCATGTGCTGTTGCTGCATGTCCCAGCTTGCTCCCCTAAGATCATTGTGCAGCATGGCTCTCTTTACTCCACCTCCAGGCAGAAATCCAGGCATCTGGAGCACCCACTTGCCTGGACCGGCAGCCTGAGCCACCCCACCCTTCATGGACACACATCATTGTGTAGCATGGCCTCTTCTCCATGCCTAAGCAGGTCTCCAGGCATTCAGAACACCTGCTCACATGGATCAGCAGCTTTACCCACTACCACCATTCCTGTGAAGAGATAGTGTTGCAGTGAGGCCCTCTCCACTTCATGCCAATGCACATCTCTAGGCATTTGGAGTAAACTCCCCTGGATCAGCAGCCTGAGCCACCCACCCTTCCTGTGCAGAGATCCTGGTGCAAGAGGACCCTTTGTGCTATACACCCAGACGTATCTCCAGGAATTCGGATCACCTGCTTGCCTGGTTTAGCAAACTGAACCCCACCCTTTCTATGCAGAGATCCTGGTGAAGGGGAGCCCTTTCGGCTACACACTGAGGTGGATCTCCAGTCATTCAGAGCATCTGCTTTCTTGGCTCAGCAGCCACAATCACTGCATCCTTCCTATGCAGAGATCATGGTGCAGAGGGGCCCTCTCTGCTCCATGACCAGGTAAGTCTCCAGGAGCCATGATTGCATCATTGCACTCCAGCCTGGTGACAGATCGAGACTCCATCTCAAAAAAAAAAAAAAAAAAAAAAGAAAAGAAAGAAAGAAACAACAAAAGTGACATTACAACGTATCCCACAGGAATACAAAAGTACGAAAGATCCTTACAGACTATTATGAACACCTCTACACGCAAAAACTAGAAAATCAGGAAGAAATGAATAAATTCATGCAAACACACAGTCACCTAAGATTGAATCAGGAAGAAATTGAAACCCTGAACAGACCAATATAGAATTCACAAATTGATTCAGTAATAAAAAAATCTACCAACCATAAAAGCCCCAGACCAGATGGATTTACAGCTGAATTCTACCACACCTACGAAAGAGTTGCTCTGAATTCTACTAAAGTTATTCTCAAAAGAATGAGAAGGAGGGACTCCTCCTAAACTCGTTCTAGGAGGCCAGCATCATGCTGATACTAAAACCCGCCAAAGAAAAAATGAAAAGAGAAAACTACAGGCCAATATCCCTGATGAACACAGATGCAAAATTTCTGAATAAAATACTAGCCAATTGAATCCAACAGCACATCAAAAAGTTAATTCACCATTATCAAGTAGGCTTCATTTCTGGGATGCAAGGTTGATTCAACATATACAAATCACTAAATGTGATTCACTACAGAAACAGAATTAAAAATGCAAACCATATGATCATCTCAATAGATATTGAAATAGCTTTTGATCAGATTTAACAACCCTTCAAGATAAAAATCCTCAAGAAATTAATCATGAAAGGAACATATCTTAAAATAATAAAGCTATCCATGACAAATCCACAGCCAACATCATACTGAAAGGGCAAAAACTGGAAGCATTTCCCTTGAGAACTGGAAAAAGACAAGGGTCCCCTTTCTCACCACTCCTATTTAACATAGTAATGGAATTTCTAGCCAGAGCAATCAAGCAAGAAAAATAAATAAATGGCATCCAAATAGGAAAAGAATAAGTAAGTCAAACTATCTCTCTTCATGGATGATATGATCCTATACTTCGAAATTCCTAAAGACTCTGCCGAAGGGCTCCTGTAACTGATAAACAACTTCAGTAAAGTTTCAGGATACAAAATCAGTGAAAAACATCAGTGGCATTTCTATACACCAATAATGTTTAGACTGAGAGCCATATCAAGAACTCAATTCCATTTAAAATAGCCAAAAAAATTAGCTAGGAATACATCTAGCCAAGAAGGCAAAAGATCTCTACAAGAACTATAAAACACTGTGAAAAGAAATCATAGATGACACAAAAAAAATAGGAAAAAAACATTTCATGCTCGTGGATCGGAAAAATCAGTATCATTAAAACGGCCATGCTGCCTAAAGCAATACACAGATTAAACACTATTCATATCATGCTACCAACATCATTTTTCACCAAATTGGAAAAACTATTCTAAAATTGATATGGAACCAAAAAAGAGCCTGATTAGCCAAAGAAATCCAAAACAACAAGAACAAAACCAGAGGCATCACATTACCCAGCTTCAAACTATACTATTATAAGGCTACCATTAACCACAAGAGCATAGTACTCGTACAAAAATGACACATAGACCAGTGAAACAGAATATAGAACACAGAAATAAAGCCTAACACCTACAACCATCTGATCTCTGACTAAGTGAACAAAAATAACCAAAAAAGAAAGGACTCCCTATTCAATAAATGAAGCTGGCTAGCCATATGCAGAAGAATGGAACTGAACCCTTAACTTTTAACATATGAAACATAAAAAATGAACTCAAGATGAATTGTAGTTTTAAATGTAAGAACTCAAACCATAAGAATCTTAGAAGAAAACCTAGGAAACACCATCTGGACTGGCCTTGGGAATGAATTTATGACTAAGTCCTCAAAAGCAATTGCAACTAACAAACATTGACAGCTGGAACCTGATTAAACTAAAGTGCTTCTGCACAGCAAAAGAAACTATCAACAGAGTAAACAATCTACAGAATGGGAGAAAATATTTGCAGTCTCTGCATCTGACAAAGATCTAATATACAGAATCTATAAGGAACTTAAACAATTGAACAAGTAAGAAACAAGTAATTCCATTCAAAAGTGTACAAAAGACATGAACAGACACTTCTCAAAAGAAGACATACATGCGGCTAACAAATATATGAAAATAAAGCTCCGCATCACTTACCATTATAATCTCACACTAGTCAGAATAGCCACTATTAAAAATTCATAAAACAACATATGCTGACGAGGCTGTGGAAAAAAGGGAACACTTATACACTATTGGTGGGAGTGTAAATGAATTCAGCAGCTCTGGAAAGCAGTTTGGAGATTTCTCAAAGAACTTAGAACTACTGTTCAACTCAGCAGTCTCATTACTGGGTATATATCCAAAAGAAAACAAATCATTCTACCAAAAAGACACATTCACTCTCATGTTGACTGTAGCAACATTTACAATTGCAAAGACATGGAATCAACCTAAGTGCTCAGCAATGGTGAATTTGATAAAGAAAATGAGTGAACTCCCATTCACAATTGCTTCAAAGAGAATAAAATACCTAGGAATCCAGCTTACAAGGGATGTGAAGGACCTCTTCAAGGAGAACTACAAACCACTGCTCAAGGAAATAAAAGAGGATACAAACAAATGGAAGAACGTTCCATGCTCATGGGTAGGAAGAATCAATATCGTGAAAATGGCCATACTGCCCAAGGTAATTTACAGATTCAATGCCATCCCCATCAAGCTACCAATGCCTTTCTTCACAGAATTGGAAAAAACTACTTTAAAGTTCGTATGGAACCAAAAAAGAGCCCGCATCGCCAAGTCAATCCTAAGCCAAAAGAACAAAGCTGGAGGCATCACACTACCTGACTTCAAACTATACTAGAAGCCTACAGTAACCAAAACAGCATGGTACTGGTACCAAAACAGAGATACAGATCAATGGAACAGAACAGAGCCCTCAGAAATAACGCCGCATATCTATAACTATCTGATCTTTGACAAACCTGAGAAAAACAAGCAATGGGGAAAGGATTCCCTATTTAATAAATGGTGCTGGGAAAACTGGCTAGCCATATGTAGAAAGCTGAAACTGGATCCCTTCTTTACACCTTATACAAAAATCAATTCAAGATGGATTAAAGACTTAAACGTTAGACCTAAAACCATAAAAACCCTGGAAGAAAACCTAGGCATTACCATTCAGGACATAGGCATGGGCAAGGACTTCATGTCTAAAACACCAAAAGCAATGGCAGCAAAAGCCAAAATTGACAAATGGGATATAATTAAACTAAAGAGCTTCTGCACAGCAAAAGAAACTACCATCAGAGTGAACAGGCAACCTACAAAATGGGAGAAAATTTTTGCAACCTACTCATCTGACAAAGGGCTAATATCCAGAATCTACAATGAACTCAAACAAATGTACAAGAAAAAAACAAACAACCCCATCAAAAAGTGGGTGAAGGACATGAACAGACACTTCTCAAAAGAAGACATTTATGCAGCCAAAAAACACATGAAAAAATGCTCATCATCACTGGCCATCAGAGAAATGCAAATCAAAACCACAATGAGATACCATCTCACACCAGTTAGAATGGCGATCATTAAAAAGTCAGGAAACAACAGGTGCCGGAGAGGATGTGGAGAAACAGGAACACTTTTACACTGTTGGTGGGACTGTAAACTAGTTCAACCATTGTGGAAGTCAGTGTGGCGATTCCTCAGGGATCTAGAACTAGAAATACCATTTGACCCAGCCATCCCATTACTGGGTATATACCCAAAGGACTATAAATCATGCTGCTATAAAGACACATGCACACGTATGTTTACTGCGGCATTATTCACAATAGCAAAGACTTGGAACCAAGCCAAATGTCCAACAACGATAGACTGGATTAAGAAAATGTGGCACATATACACCATGGAATACTATGCAGCCATAAAAAATGATGAGTTCATGTCCTTTGTAGGGACATGGATGAAATTGGAAATCATCATTCTCAGTAAACTATCGCAAGAACAAAAAACCAAACACCGCATATTCTCACTCATAGGTGGGAATTGAACAATGAGATCACATGGACACAGGAAGGGGAATATCCCACTCTGGGGACTGTTGTGGGATGCGGGGAGGGGGGAGGGATAGCATTGGGAGATATACCTAATTCTAGATGACGAGTTAATGGGTGCAGCGCACCAGCATGGCACATGTATACATATGTAACTAACCTGCACAATGTGCACATGTACCCTAAAACTTAAAGTATAATAAAAAAAAAAGAAAGAAAATATGGTACGTATATACCATGAAATACTACACAGCCATAAAGAATAGTGAGATCATGTCCTTTTCAGCAACATGGAAGCAGCTGCTGGCCATTATCCTAAGTGAATTTATGCTGAAACAGAGAACCAAATATCACATGTTGTCGCTTATAAATGGAGGCTAAACATTTGGTAATCATGGATGTAAAGATGGATACAGTAGAAACTGCGGACAACTTGAGGGGAGAAATAGGTATAGAAATGGTTTAAAAACTAGGTAACTAGTGGGCACTATCTTCAGTACCTGGGTGAAAAACCATTCATACCCCAAACCTCAGCATTACACAATATACCCAGATTAAAAACCTGCATGCATGTGTACTGCCTGAATCCAAAATACAAGTGGGAAAAAAAGAAACCTGGAGAGGGGAAAATAAAAAGAGCAAAGGGTTTGGAAGAGCCATTCTCTCCCGGACCACAAATGATCTTTTCCTATTTTTTACAAGTTGGCAGATACTCCTGACATTATATGTAAGACGGTTTTGTTTTTGGAAGAGATAGAGGAGTTAGAGGGGAAAAAAAGTACTCTTTCCACAACGTGAAGATCACAGAGATACTTTCTCATTATTTTTCTTTAGTGGGTTATAGTTTTATTTTTTCTTGTCTTGTTGTTTGACCCCTGTACAGTTTTTTATAACTTGTGAGGCAGAGATCGACCTCTTTTTTCTCCATAGAGTAAACTACGTTTGGTAAGACATTTACTAAATAATTCATTTTTTTTCACTGATTTGTTATACCACCTCTGTTCTATTGGTTTTTTAGTTACTAAAATAAAACATTGCTTTTATAATAAATTCTGAATATTTATCAGAGAAAATACCCCACCCTACTTTTATTTATTGTTATTGTACATTTTCTTACTTGCAGACTTTCTCATTTCATATAATTTTAGATCAGATGATCAGCTTTCAAATGAAATATTACTGGGATTTTATTGAAATTAAACTAAGTTTATAAGTTAATATAGAGGGCATCAATATTTTAATATCACTATGTTATCACAGTTAGAAACATGGTGAATCTCTTGTTTTCTTCCAAGACTTTCTTCAGTCAAAATATATCAAAATTATTAATATTTTAAATAGATTATTCTTTGTGTTGTGGTAGGAATAAAGTGGCGAGATAAGAGTGGAACTGAGAGAACTCTAAGGAAGTTATTGCAGTAGTCTTAGAAAGTGATGGTAATTCGTTCTTTGGACTAATGTGGCAGTAGGAATGGAGTAAAAAGGACAGATTCAGGACATATTTTGGTGATCAAAACAGTATATAACATTTCAGTATGGGTAAATGAACTGTGATAAAAATTTCAAAACATTTCTGGTTTGTGCAACTTGGTAAATGGGGATGCCATTACTGAATAGGGGCAACTTTGCAGGGGCTAGAACTTATGGGAGGCATATTAAAAGTTTCATACAGGGCTGGGCGTGGTGGCTCACGCCTGTAATCCCAGCACTTTGGGAGGCTGAGGCGGGTGGATCACCTGAGATCAGGAGTTCAAGACCAGCCTGACCAACATGGAGAAACCCTGTCCCTACTAAAAATACAAAATTAGCCAGGTGTGGTGGCACATGCCTGTAATCCCAGCTACTCAGGAGGCTGAGGCAGGACAACTACTTGAACCCGGGAGGCGGAGGTTGCGGTGAGCTGAAATCGTGCCATTGCACTCCAGCCTGGGCAACAAGAGCAAAACTTTGTCTCAAAAAAACAAAAAAAAAATCTCATCCAGACTGATTTTTTTAAAGGTGGTATGAGAACTCTATGTTTACCGTTACTAGGCAAATGGAATCCATGTGAGATTATAGATTAATAAGCACTGGGAGATTCTAAATCAAAGTTACAAATATTATATTATTACTATTACATTTTAAGTAGTTTTGCTCACATCTGACATTTGGTTTCTACATCTGAACATCCTGAAATATTATGAATGCTGAATTAGAAATTTCTAAGTTTATGTTACAGATATGCCATTTTTTAGCTTTTTGCACTTGAGGAAATTACTTGCATCTATAGATGAGATCTAACTAATAACATATAATACTAGGATTGTTGTAACTTGTAAATTACATGGCAGTAACACTGTGATTCCTGATATCTCACTTCCTTTACACTGATGGACTTCATTTTATAAAATTGATATATAATGTGCAGTTTTCCTGGAGTCATTTTCAAATGTATTAAAAATATGGTAATTTTAAGGAATCCTATAATGAACCATCGTGTAAAATGAAACACCACTCTCAGTTTTTTCTTTTTCCCCAATTGTCATATAGTTGTCATTTCATGAATATGGTTTTTATTTTAAGTAAATCTATTTATTTTAAAAGCTAAATATAAGCAACCTAGAAACATACCTCAAAGCACACTATTCTTTAGGGAAAAAATAAAAAGTAAATGCTAACACACAAAAGTTGAAGAAAGCACAGTTCTAGATTTTAATTTAGGACTTGTGGAGAAAGGAAGAATGTGTTTACTTATTACAGGTATTTATTGTGACAGATATCATCATACAACAGCAGTGTTTTAAGTCGTTTATTCCATGCTGTGCTGTCAGCTGTGATAATTAGAAATACATATTGCTCCATGAGAATTTTAAAAAACGAATGACCATTATTTTGAGTGACAATTGTTATCAAATTGTGTGAAGTTAAATCTTTGAGAATTTGCTGTAGTAAAAGAAGCTTATGGGGATGGAAAATGTCAAATGTAAGAGAGTTATTTAATAGCATTTTTTGTTTTGTTTTGTAAAACTAACAAACTTTAGGAAGTTTTAGAAAATTTGAAAGTGGAAATATGCATAAGCAAATAAGATAGAACACAGGTAGTCAATATCAATTAATATTTTACATGCTCTTGCAGTTTTTTCTATGAATTGTTTTATGTAATTAAGATAATACTGTATATACATTTTTGCATCCTACTAGTTGTTTTTGAAGTTATATAAATGGTATTTATCTGAATTATTAAAAAATCCTTTTAGATATTACTTTTAATGGTATCAAAGATTCTATTGAATATATGTATTCTCGTTTATTTAACAAATCAGGAGTTATTGGTCATTAGAGTTGGTTACAATATCTACACATTTACAAGTTTCCTATTATTGTACTCTCCAGTATCTCTCACCCCTTCTCCTGAGATTGCTTACATACCTACTCTAGCCACATCCTTCCCAAAGATTCTGTCATGTTCTGGCAAGGCCTTAAGCTTCAGGCCATAGTTGAATGGTTAAACTGTTAGCATCTGACCTCAAACTTAATTATTTTCTCCCCTAGAAAGTTTTTGGATTTGCAGTCTAAGAGAGCACCCTCCCTCTATGGTTAAATGTATAAATTAAGTCCCTGGAAGCTGTGTGAAACTATAAATAGTGTCACGTGGCAAGAAGTGATTTGTGATGAAAGTCAATTAAACAGCTATTCAAAGAAAAATAGTTCTGAGAGACAAATTTGAATTCCTGCTCCAGTTGCTCCTGAAGTAAAGTGACCCCTATAGATTCCACAGCTTGGCTTTTCAATCCTTCTTTGAATCAATAAACTAGTAATCTCTTCATATTAAAAGCTAGTTTTAGTTGAGTTTCTGAAACTTTCAACAAAAGGAGCCTGAATTTAAACACTGTATTGAACATCTTTGAGCATAAAACATGGTCCAAATTTGAAATTAATATCTTACAATAGAGGAGTATCCAAAAATTCTGGAAACTTTTGTATATTTTAAAGTCTCTAAATAAGGGGATTTATATATCACAATGTTGAAAGAAACTGAAGGAGACAGTCTTGATAAGACATAGAGTTTTAGCTTATTGCTAAAGAAAATTCATTGTGAGAAAGGTGGACAAGGAATTACAATAAGGTAAAGAAGCAATTAAATCTCATCATGAAAAAAATCTGGAACATTATTAAAGTTTCTGTGGAAAAGGACATATATTATAAGGAATGCACAGAAACCGCAGATACTCAACATTTGGTATGAGTTCTACTAATATCAACTGGGGCTAGATAACATTTATGAGTTTTGAGGAAAACAGATTGTGTAACATTATGTTTTCAGAATGGCATGAAAATAATGCAACAGTGTCTAGTATGGCCAAGTCTCTGTTACTTAAGGATTTTTCATCACTTAATCACAAAGCAGACATAAAGAAACTTGTTTTAGTGTATCATCAATGACAATTTTTCATCAAAACTTTTAATAAAGTTGCATTCTATCAATATTATTGTGTAATAACTGACAGTGGATTAATAACCGAATATATAAGGAGTTCAAGCAACTCCATAGAAAAAAATCCAATTAAAATGGACACAATATTTAAATAGATATTTCTCCAAAAAAGACATACAAATGGCAAACAGGCATATGAAAAGGTGCTCAACATCATTGGTCATTGGAGGAATGCAGATCAAAACTACAATGAGATATCATCTCACCTCAATTAAAACGGCTTATATCCAAAAGACAGGCAATAACAAATGTTGGTGAGGTTGTGGAGAAAAGAGAATCCTCATGCTCTGTTGGTGGGAATGTAAATTAGTGTAACCACTATGGATAACAGTTTGGAGTTTCCTCAAAAATCTAAAAATAGAACTACCATACAATCCAGCAATCCCACTGCTGGGTATGTAACCAAAAGAAAGGAAATCAGTATATCAAAGAGATATCTACACTCTCATGTTTGTTGCAGCACTGTTCACAATAGCCAAGATTTGGAAGCAGTCTAAATGTCCATCAACAAATGATTGATTGGATTTAAAAAATATGGTACATATACACAATGGAGTACTATGCAGCCATACAAAAGAATGAGATCCTGTCATTAGCAACATGGGTAGAACTGGAGGTTATTAGGTTAAAAAAGTCAGACACAGAAAGAGAAAATTTGCATATTCTCATTCATTTGTGGGTGCTAAAAATTGAAGCAATTGAACCCATGGAGTGAGAGGGTAGAAGGATGTTTATGAGAGCCTGGAAAGGGTAGTGAGGGTTGGGAGGGAAGTGGGGATGGTTAATGGGCAGAAAAATGCATGTAATTAGAAAGAATAAAGAAGAGCTAGTATTTGATAGCCTAACAGGGTGATTATGGTATGTAATAATTTAATTGTCCATTTTTTAAATAAATAAAAATGTCTGTAACCCAAAAGATAAATCCTTGAGGGGATGGATGCCCCACTTTCCATGATGTGGTTATTGTTTGTTTCATATCTGTATCAGAGTATCTAAAGAACCCCATAAATGTATACACCTACTATGTACCCACAAAATTGGAGGAAAAAATAAATAAATAAATAAATAAATAAAAATTAGAAGGATTTTTAGTCTTGTAACGAGTTTTTCAGCATGATATGCTCTGGCTCAGAGAATATCTTTGAGATGGTGTAGATCAAAACAGATATTAATCAAATTGATCACTCATTTCCTTTACCATTTGATTGTTTTGTGTAACTTTATACTTTTTCCCAACGATGAAATCTATCTTCAAAGGATGAAGGTTCGTTACATTTGAGTATATATAAAGAAAGACTAAAATGTCTAAAGTCTCGAGAAAAGCTTTTCAAATATGTTTCTGAGTAGTAGTTGTGCTACTGTAATAATTACACTGCCTATGAAACTGACTAGTTTGAAGTGAATGTCACTTCTTTGGTTACATGTGGAGAAAGGTGCATCATTTTGCTTGTGCTCATATGTTTTAAAAGCCTAGCCTAAATTTATCCCTTTCTGAAGTTAACTTAGCAACTGAAGCCAAATCTTAATTAGTGACAAAAGCTTCTATGATAGCACAGTGCCTTGCTTATAAAATGCCCTTTGCAAATATTTATTGAATAAATGGGAAGACTTCTCCAGTCTTATCCATCCCTCAGCCTTCAGACTACATACTTCATTCAGATGTCAAGAAAGTGTTCCCTATTTCTCTTTTCAGGCATGAAAACTTTTTTTTAATTTAATTAAGCAGCCCCAAACTCCATATATCAATTAACATGTTTCTACCTCAGCAAAAGGTTTTTTAAGAATTTAGTTCAATTACATTAAAACAATGACGAGTTCCCTTACTAAGTAGAATAAAAAAATACATAAATAGATTAATCATCTGTGTAAAAGGCTTCATTATTACCTACCCTCCAGAGAGCTTTCCCCTGCCTACACCATCCAAAAATATAGAAAGATTTTTGTGGGAAAGAACACAATCTCTGCCCACCAAGTTGGATCAGCTGGTTGCAACATTTGCTTCAATTACGTTATTGGTAAGCCCTTTAATACTGGATCATAGACTGAATGGAAGTGTCTGAGATGCTCTCTTCTCTTGGTAAGGTTCCCAACCTTCATTCCATCTATTATAGTTTCCTTTTCCACTCCAGCAAACTCATAATACTGAGAACCTAGGAGGTTTATGCTTGAACACACAGTTGTTCCAGACTTACTGTATATAAGAGGTTTATGAGGTAGCCATATGGTTGGAAGGTAGACTGAAGGATTTGTCTTTTTTTGTTTTGTTTTGTTTTGTTTTTTTGAGATGGTATTTTGCTCTTGTCGCCCAGGCTGGAGTGCAATGGTGCTATCTCGGCTCACTGCAACCTCCGCCTCCTGGGTTCAAGCGATTCTCCTGCCTCAGCCTTCTGAGTAGCTGGGAGTACAGGCATGCGCCACCACGCCCAGCTAATTTTGTATTTTTAGGAGAGACAGGGTTTCACCATGTTGGTCAGGCTGATCTCGAACTACAGTTGCATTCACAGGGGACTCATATTGTTTTTTACTTACTCTGTCTACTTATTTGAAATAGCTTTAGGAAGCACTAACGGAGATTTTGGAGTACTTAACACTCATCCCCAACCACTCCTTGGTTTTACCACTGTCTAAAAACCATCACATTTTAATAGCAATAAAATATATACTTAACCCTCTTGTTAGAACTAATGAAAACCTCTTGGTAATAGAGATGAATTTCTAAGTCCAGATGGTATATGCAATTGGAGTAGACCTTCATCAGATCGAGTTCCAATAATCTCAAAATATCAGGCACTCTGGAAAGAGTAGGAAGGAAAGGGAGAGCAACTCTGCCAGGAATAGTGAGGGAAACCCACTAGGGGAACAGTGAATCTAAGGATCAAAAATTCTGAATTTTAAAATTTTGATAGGAAAGATAACTTTCATAATTTTAATTTTGCTGTAGTCATATATATATTCAATATTAGAGTTAAAATAAAGCAATGAAGAGATGTGTTAAGGCATGATAGAGAACTTTGAGAACTTTGGAACACATATTAGAGTATGCCTAAATTTATTTCCTTTTTAGCTGGAACTAGTTTATAAAATTAATACATATCCTTCAATATATGAGGGAATAGAAGAGAGAATAAGTAAGTTTGGATTCTGAAAAATGGCAAATATTTCTTGAAGCCCCTGAACACCTGCATTTTCTAACATGAGTAGAAAGATATTTAAATCAGTAGTAGACTATTTTCTAGCAGAAAAATTTTATGTGGAGATATTGTATGACCCTGGAACAGAGTTTGTTTCCTGTTACTCATTAATGAAACCTGAAAGGAAAAAAAAGAAAAGTCCATTGAAGTAGAAAGGTATCCAGAGAGGCTCACAAAGATCAGTGGGAAACAAGACTAGGGAGGGCCATTTAATATATAATGACTGGCTGAGACTGTCCTAGGTTGCTCAACTAAGGTTTTTCCTCACTGTTAGCGTCTGCCCTTCTCCCTGTCTAACAGCACTAAGTACTCAGTAAGATGACTGGCTATACCCTGGCCAACAGGTTGCCTTACTGTAATCTCTTATTCCTATGTTTGTTTATCTGTGAACTTGCAGTTGACCCTAATACCCACCCTCACTTTTCATATCAAATAAATTCCCTTTCTATTTGCTGAATGCTGGAATTGGGGGCAGGATTCAGTAGGACACAGTACCCACCCTATCCGCCACCATGGCATTGTAAATGAAGGATGTTATAAACTAGAAAAGAAAATTTACATATAAAATCAGCTTTTTGAGTTCAGTAATCTCTTGTATCAGCTGTAATTTCCTGAAAATGTTTCAGACAATATCTCAGCGTTATTGATGTAGAATTTGTTATCATCCACGGCAAAAATTACTCAAAGTTAGTCTATCCATGTCACATCTGCTCAGAACTACTGCAACTGAGTCCTAAGTATTGTCCTAGTCTCTCTTCTTAATTTTGTTTTATTATTCTCTATATCTATAGCCTTGTGCAGAAGTTTCACAGTTAAAATCGGGGGACAAGGGTAGAAATCATACATACACTCACCAAGGAAAGACTGAAAATATTTTTCTAAGTCACTATAGCACAGCTGAAACAGATAGATGGGATCTCTGCCTTTTTTCCTTCAGGAGTTTCCTTTGCTCCAGGGAATGTCAACTCCACTGTGACTGAATGGCTCACCTCTGATGTTCTTTGCCATCAGCAGAAAGCTATGTCCCATTGCTTGGCACAGAGTTTCCCTCTCTGTTCTTTGGGCGCTGCTTCTTCCCAGCAGCTGGGAAGGTATCTTGCTTTTGTCAGCATTTTCTTTGAAACTTGTCAAGTGGAGCTCAACTGCCTGTTAGAGCAGTGGTGATGTCATTTTGTATTCTTTCAAGAGTCTCTAGTTTGAGTTTGGGAAGTGGGAGGTGGCTGAGCATTATTTGGATACTGTAGCTGTGCCAAAGAAAGTGCAGGTGAAGACCAGGCAGAACTTTTCTTCAATAGACATTAAGATTAAATAATTCCACTCTGATGGCAACTGCAACATGAGAATTTCTTTCCTTGTTCTCATAACAATTTCTTCTCTTTTGCTGTTTAGAACCAAAAACAGTCATGTAGATAATGATTTTTAAATATTTTTTATCTGATGTGCAGCAAGTGATACAGTTTATATTTCAACACATGTATAAACATATACATAACTGAAAGTATTTCATAAAACACCTTTACTAATGTGAGGCTTTCTGATATTTTATATTCTATCCTATTCTATTAAAACTCTGCTTGTGACCCAAACAACTTATTTTACAGCCCTATAAGGGGTTTCCACCTACAAATGAAATAAATTGATCTTGTCCAATAACGACTTGATTAATGAATTTCTTCTTTTGTTTGTATTTATCACCTTCTTGTTTTCTTAATTTAAAATTGATTTATTTCAATCTCTGTGAAGACAACTAGGCTCTACATTTATACAGTTTAAAATCCAGGAACAGAAAAGATAATCTCCTGTGTTACTGGTATTTCCTACATGTATGCTCAGTAGTATGGTAAAACAACAAAAAGAGCACCGGATTGGGAGTGTCAGTCCTGGATTGGACATTATTTATCTTAAAGAACTTTAAGAAATCTCTTCCCTTCCTTAGATCTCAATTTTCTCAACTGTACTATGAGGAGATTGGATTATAATTGACTTAAAAGGCCTATTTTGAGAGAATTAGTGATTTTGTGTCATTTCTTTTAGGGAATTGCTATTGTGATGATGAGAGATAATATGTGAAATAAGCCTATGCAAGATGTTTTGGCCCTCATTTGTTTATAACAACTGGTATATTTTATAACTACTTCATGCCTCAGTACTGTGCCAAATAGGTGCAGGACAAAGAAAATATAGTGAGCGAATATGCTTGCAGAAATAAAAGTATCTGAGCCCATAGAACTCTGCTATATTAATCTAAGTGGGAAGGACCCTTAAATTTATAGTATAGTCTAAGGCACTAGTTGACTGTCTTTGAGTATCACTTTTCCTATTAATAAAAAATCATTTGGGAGCCGGAGGCGGGTGGATCACTTGAGGTTGAAAGTTCGAGAGGAGTCTGGCCAACATGGTGATTTTGAATACCCCACCAGGAGTGAATGAGAATTTCTGTTGTGTCACATCCTAGTCAGCTTTTGTTTGTAGTGCTCTCACGTATTTGCCATTCTATTTAATAGGTGTGTTCTAGTATCTCATTGCTGTCTTGACTGTCAATTCCCCAGTGGCATATATTGTTGAATTTCTTTTCATATACTTTTTTTTGTCATCATTATATCTTCTTTGGTAGGGGTCTGTTAAGATTTTTTTTTCCATTTTTAATTGGGCTGCTTGAGTTTTTATTATGGTTTTACATGTCCTTTCTGTATTTTAGATAAAAGTCCTTTATCATATATGTATTTTTCAAATATTTTCTTGTAGTTGGTGGCTTGTCTTATTCATTCTCTTAAAAATGTCTTTCACAGAACAGATTTTTAAATTTTTACGTTTTAATGAAGCTCAAATTGTCAACTTTTTTTCATGGATTGTGCTTACAATGTTTTATCTAAGAAGTCTTGTTTAAACCCAGGATCACCTGGATTTTCCCCTATCTTATCTTCTAGAAGCTTTGAAATTTTTTCATCTTACATTTAGGTCTCTAAGACATTTTGAGTTAATTTTGTGAACAGATTAAGGTCTGTTTCTACATTCATTTTTTTTTTTTTAATGTGGATGTTCACTTGTTCTAGCACTTTGAGAATAAGGTCCACCCTTCTCCCTCTAGAATCACAAGCCCACACTGGGAACACAAACTGCCACAATGCTGGGGGCTGAGGTGTGAGGCAAAGTAAGATAAAGTATTACAAAGCTCTTCTTCTGAGTTTCAGTCTTATTTTTCTTGATTAAGCATTTACTTGGTTTCTGTAAGCCTTTGACTATTTTTTCAGAGTTCTGACAGTTTATTGTGACAGTTTTGCCAGATATTTTAGTGTTCCTTTGAAACGATAGGCCCTTGGAATTTCCCATTCTGACATTTTCATGCCATCTTGTACCTGCTGACAGTTTTGTAACTAATGTTTTATTGTTCCACTCATTTGTTTACATATTGTCTATGGCTACTTTTGCACTACGATGGCACTGTTGAGTAGTTGTAAGAGAGACCTTATGACCCCAAAGCCAAAAATAATGTTCTCTTTTCCCACTGAATTGGAACACCACTTTAATCTTAATTAAATATAGACTCATGTTCCTGTGCCTACTATTAATTTTTTATGGCCAGTAAGTCTATTCTAGTAAGATTAGCACAATGTTTTAATTATTCCACTTTTATAGGTAATATCTATCAATAAAGTCTCATTTCAGTAATGTTTTTATAATTTTTCATTATACTGTCTTGTCTCTGCTATAGATGATCATTAGAATTATTTTATCAAGACTTTTCCTACTCTCCACAATCCCCGTGAAAATTTGAATAACATGTGTCATCTAATCTTTGCGTTTTTCTTTCTAAGAAAATAATGGATGTCAATTTCTTTATTTTTATTTCTCACACTAAATGTTTCTCATTTAAATTGAACTGGTATATTTTTATTCTATTCAATCCATAGAATTTAATATTTTAGCGTGATTTTGTATAGGTTAATTAATTCATTGTTCAATAACGGTTATGATATACAAGCACCATTTTGCTCCATATTTTGTTAGGAATGCTTCTGGTGCTCTGATAGATGAAACAGGTTTCACCTCCTGTGGCAAATGCTGTATACTGGTTATATCTACTTAACGTACTAGATTTAGAGGGATTTTTAGGCCTGTTGCAACTCAGCTGTAAAGGTAAGTTTCATAGTTGAATTTTACAAGTTAGTGAATGTGGATAGAAAATAGCAGCACATGACTGAATTTTACATACCTGTTCTTCTATTTTAACACTGTGACAAATAGCTACTCATTTCCCTTATACATTCTTAACATGATAAAGAAGCTTTCTCCAAATTTCACTTCACTAAGAGTGTTTTCTGTCAGAAATTGGTGTTGAAGTTTATCAAATGCCCTTTAGCAACTGTCAAGACTCATATGGTTCTTTATTAAAATACAATAGTATAAAGAGTAGGTTAAAGATTTTCTAATTCTAACTCATCTATTATTTCCTGTGATAAAATCAGTTTGGCTAACATGTTTGTTTTTTTTGTTAATATGTGACTAGATTGATTTGTTAGATATTTGGGATTTTCATGTTGTGTTTATTAGTGAAATTTATCAGTATTTTGATTCTTTTTGTGACAGTGTACATCAGATACACCAGCTTGTTAAAAATAATTTTAAGCTTTTATCTTTTTGTCCTGTACTTTGTAACATTTTGGATGAAATAAAAGTATCTCTTAGTTTGAAGTTTGAAATAGCCTATATAACAGTGTTGTAAACTAGTGTCATTCTTAGAGGTAATTCTTTGAAAAATTTTTCAGTTGCTTTCATGGATGTTGGTATAATTTTATACTTTTTTAAAGTTAATTTAGTCATATATATTTCCCAGTGAAATAATTTACTAAATAAGTTGTTTTTATTGGAATGGAGTTGAACACTTGTATTTTCTCCTCTAATTTTATTAATTAGCATTTATTTTATCATAATAATACATAAATATAGATTTTTTAAAAAATTACATGGCACATATCCTTTGCCCACTTTTTGATGGGGTTGTTTGTTTTTTTCTTGTAAATTTGTTAGAGTTCATTGTAGATTCTGGATGTTAGCCCTTTGTCAGATGAGTAGATTGCAAAAATTTTCTCCCATTCTGTAGGTTGCCTGTTCACTCTGATGGTAGTTTCTTTTGCTGTGCAGAAGCTCTTTAGTTTTATTAGATCCCATTTATCACTTTTGGCTTTTGTTGCCATTGCTTTTGGTGTTTTAGACATGAAGTCCTTGCCCATGCCTATGTCCTGAATGGTATTGCCTAGGTTTTCTTCTAGGGTTTTTATGGTTTCAGGTCTACCATTTAAGTCTTTAATCCATCTTGAATTAATTTTTGTATAAGGTGTAAGGAAGGGATCCAGTTTCAGCTTTCTACGTATGACTAGCCAGTTTTCCCAGCACCATTTATTAAATAGGGAATCCTTTCCTCATTTCTTGTTTTTGTCAGGTTTGTCAAAGATCAGATAGTTGTAGATAGGCAGCATTATTTCTGAGGGCTCTGTTCTGTTCCATTGGTCCATATCTCTCTTTTGGTACCAGTACCATGCTGTTTTGGTTAATGTAGCCTTATAGTATAGTTTGAAGTCAGGTAGCGTGATGCCTCCAGCTTTGTTCTTTTGGCTTAGGATTGACTTGGCGATGCGGGCTCTTTTTTGGTTCCATATGAACTTTAAAGTAGTTCTTTCCAATTCTGTGAAGAAAGTCATTGGTAGCTTGATGGGGATGGCATTTATGCAGCCAAAAGACACATGAAAAAATGCTCATCATCACTGGCCATCAGAGAAATGCAAATCAAAACCACAATGAGATGCCATCTCACACCAGTTAGAATGGCGATCATTAAAAAGTCAGGAAACAACAGGTGCCGGAGAGGATGTGGAGAAATAGGAACACTTTTACACTGTTGGTGGGACTGTACACTAGTTCAACCATTGCGGAAGTCAGTGTGGCGATTCCTCAGGGATCTAGAACTAGAAATACCATTTGACCCAGCCATCCCATTACTGGGTATATACCCAAAGGATTAGAAATCATACTGCTATAAAGACACATGCACGCATATGTTTATTGTGGCACTATTCACAATAGCAAAGACTTGGAACTAAGCCAAATGTCCAACAATGATAGACTGGATTAAGAAAATGTGGCACATATACACCATGGAATGCTATGCAGCCATAAAAAATGATGAGTTCATGTCCTTTGCAGGGACATGGATGAAGCTGGAAACCATCATTCTCAGCAAACTATCCCAAGGACAAAAAACCAAACACCGCATGTTTTCACTCATAGGTGGGAATTGAACAATGACAACACATGGACACAGGAAGGGGAACATCACACAGTGGGGTCTGTTGTGTGGTGGGGGGACGGGGGAGGGATAGCATTAGGAGATATACCTAATGTTAAATGACGAGTTAATGGGTGCAGCACACCAACATGGCACATGTATACATATGTAACAAACCTGCACGTTGTGCACATTTACCCTAAAATGTAAAGTATAATAAAAAAAATTACGTGACACAAAAAGAGTTTCAGGGAATAACAACAGTAGCCTGCGTCAAACATCCCCACTCCTCAGCCCTGTTCTCTAAATATAACAATTTTAAATCGTTTAAGGTTTTTCTTAGTATCACTTCCACATTTCAAAGTAATATGCTTACACTATTTTCATTTCATAACTTTAGAAATTATATATACTTGTTTCCTTGTGATGGTATAGAAACATTTAACTCTATAACACCATTCAAATATTTTATTTTTCCATCTTCCAAATACAATTATAATTTTGAATAAAATTTGTGTTTATATTATTATGTCCATGTCAATATCATTAACTGCTAATCCAACCACTGTTAGGTTATGAATTTCTTTTATACAACTTTTGAGTTTTCATGCAACTAATAATTATCTTGTTTTCTCACTAATGAATTTTCACTAATTGTTCCAACAGGTATGTGAAATGCATATTAATATTATCTTCTAAAAAATCAAATGCATAGTTTAATGTGGCATTTCTATTTTTTCCCTGGAGACCGTTTTTCCTTCTTAAATTCTGCATTCTTCTACACTATTCCACAATCATTTATCTCTGGGTATACTGAAGACCCATCATTCTAGCCGTACTTTCATTCACCTCCTATGTTGTACCTCAAGTTTTCTGAATCGCATGCCTGTTCTGTTTTTAGTAACTATTTCCTCATTTTCATGGAGCAAATTTAACAGTAGATTTCTGTGAAAGGAAATGCAGACGGTAAAGTTTTGAGCCATTGCACATTTGAAAATCTCTTTACACTCTTCTGAAACTTGAACTAGGGGAATGGTACTATCAGAATGTTAATGGCATTATTTAATTTTCTTCTCGTTTCTAGTATTACACCTGAGAACTTTGATGCTATTCTGCCTCTCGTTCCTTTTAGGATCATCTTTTTTTATATCCAGTGTTCCGAAATTTCACAATATTGAGATTTTGGTGTAGACCTTTTCCCAGTCCTTTTGTTAATACTCTGTTGGATATTTCCTTTACGTGACTAATGTCTTTTAAGTTTATGAAATATTTTCATTTTATTTATTTGGTAATTTTCAACCATTTTCTTAATTTTTAAAAAATGTGAGGTAATTCTACTAATAGGATATTATACTTCCTGTATTAATCTTTTAACTTAAAAGAATTTGATATTGCTCATTGTCCAATTTTTATTGTTTTTGTTTTCATTGGTATTTAAACTTCTAGGAAATATCCTTGACTTTTCTTCTAACATTTTTAACTTTTAGAATTGTGAGTTTATTTTTAAATTCCAGGAGCTCTATTTTTCCATGAGTTTTCTCCATTTTGTAACAACCTGTTCTGATTTCAAAGACAAGTTCTTCAGCTTTTGGACTCTTGGACTTAGACCAGTGGTTTGTCTGGGGCTCTAGGGCCTTCTGCCACAGACTGAAGGCTGCACTATCTATCTGCTTTCCTACATTTTTTTTTTTATAAACTTTAAGTTCTGGGGTACATGTGCACAACGTGCAGGTTTGTTACATATGTATACGTGTGCCATGTTGGTGTGCTGCACCCATTAACTCGTCACGTACGTTAAGTATATCTCCTAATGTTATCCCTCCCCCCTCCCCCCACCCCACGAAAGGCCCCAGTATGTGATGTTCCCCTTCCTCTGTCCAAGTGTTCTCATTGTTCAATTCCCACCTATGAGTGAGAACATGCGGTGTTTGGTTTTTTGCCCTTGCGATAGTTTGCTGAGAATGATGGTTTCCAGCTTCATCCATGTCCCTACAAAGGACATGAACTCATCCTTTTTTATGGCTGCATAGTATTCCATGGTGTATATGTGCCACATTTTCTTAATCCAGTCTATCATTGATGGACATTTGGCTTGGTTCCAAGTCTTTGCTATTGTGAATAGTGTCACAGTAAACATACGTGTGCATGTGTCTTTATAGCAGCATGATTTATAAACCTTTGGGTATATACCCAATAATGAGATGGCTGGGTCAAATGGTATTTCTAGTTCTAGATCCTTGAGGAATTGCCACACTGTCTTCCACAATGGTTGAACTAGTGTACAGTCCCACCAACAGTGTAAAAGTGTTCCTATTTCTCCACATCCTCTCCGGCACCTGTTGTTTCCTGACTGTTTAATGATCACCATTGTAACTGGTGTGAGATGGCATCTCATTGTGGTTTTGATTTGCATTTCTCTGATGGCCAGTGATGATGAGCATTTTTTTCATGTGTCTGTTGGCTGCATAAATGTCTTCTTTTGAAAAGTGTCTGTTCATGTCCTTCACCCACTTTTTGATGGGGTTGTTTGTTTTTTTCTTGTATATTTGTTTGAGTTCTTTGTAGATTCTGGATGTTAGCCTTTTGTCAGATGAGTAGATTGCAAAAATTTTCTCCCATTCTGTAGGTTGCCTGTTCACTCTGATGGTAGTTTCTTTTGCTGTGCAGAAGCTCTTTAGTTTAATTAGATCCCATTTGTCAATTTTGGCTTTTGTTGCCATTGCTTTTTGTGTTTTAGACATGAAGTCCTTGCCCATGCCTATGTCCTGAGGTTTTGGGACTCGGACTGGCTTCCTTGCTCTTCATCTTGTAGATGGCCTATTGTGGGACTTCACCTTGTGATTGTGTGAGTCAATACTCCTTAATAAACTCGCTTTCATATATACATCTATTCTATTAGTCCTGTCCCTCTAGAGAACCATGACTAGTACAGCTATTTAATGTCATTCTATGTAAAGAGGAATTAAAATCTTAAGTTATTAACATAAATATTAAAGCGCATCTTTATATTACAAAATGCCAATTTTAAGTGCAAATAGCATTTAAACCATATGTGAAATCACTAAAATTATACAATGTATATTTTTTAGCTCATACCTGCATACCCCAATAGTGAAAATGCTGCATAAACTGACTGAACTGTTTTTGTTTCAGTTTTTCCACATATGCACTTTCTACAGACACTCTCTACCCATGACTTAGTGGTTAGTAGGAAGCAATAAGTAAAAAATAATAGTACGTTGCTTTATCTTTTCCTTTCTTTCTTTCATAATTTTCAATGTATTTGGCTCACACAGAGAGGTAACACAAACAGGATCCTTTGGTTATTTTCTTTTCTCAGAATTCCATTATTTTTTCTGCATTTGGAGTAAGTTCTGGTTGACACCAAAATCCTGGCCTCTAGTGGTTATTAGCGCCCATGTTTACTTAGACACAGGTGTGACACACTTAGCTTACACTCACTTGGAGTCTTGCTGAAATATCGCACATCATGGATCCACTGGAATTTTGTACTCATAGATCAATCATTATAAATGCTATATGCAAATGAGGTGGCAGGGTAACCGTAGGGGAAATACGTATTGCATATCTCACGCACATGCTCCATTGTCCCACAGAGTTTCAGCTATAAAACCCAAGTTCACAGGTATAATTAAGAATATCCAGACAGCAGCAGCAGAAGCTTTACAGCAAATGTTTCGAGAACAAGACTGTGCAGTTGCATAAGTCACATACCCATGAAGCCTGTCCTGATTGCATGGGATCTTACACTTTTTGCTGTATTCTTTCTAACTTCAATTTAATGCCAGTTTAATTATTTTTATTCTTGTTCATTTAAAAAAACATATTTCAGTCTATAGATTTTGAGTACAACGTTAGCTGTACCCTGTACATTTGGTGTCTAATGCTCACAATTTTTCTACCCTATAATTTTGATTTCCTGTTTAACCTAAGAGTTACTTAGCAGTATAACTTTTGGTTCTATAATGATATATCTTATTCTATAAATGTGTCTTTAGAAAATGTCACATAATTTATTCCCTTAAATAAAATTTAAATCCAAGTCTATTGTAGATTGAATTGTGTACTCTAAAAATATATGTTGAAGTCTTAACTCCTAATATCTGTGATTGTAACCTTATTGGGAAATAAGGTCTTCCCATGTGTAATCAAATTAAGATGAGGTCATACTGAATTAGGACGGGTCCTCATCCAGTGATTGTTGTGTTATGAAATAAAGAAGAAGGAGATTTGGACACTGAGACACAGGAAGGAAGGGCATGGGAAGATGGAGGCAAAGACGGAATTTATGCTTCCACCAGCTGAGGAATGCCAAGGATTGCTAGCAACCACCAGAAGCTAGATGAGGCAAGGAAGGTATCTCCCGTAGGACCTTCAGAGGAAGTATGCCCTGAAAACAACTTGATGTCAGACTTCTAGCCTCTAGAACTAGGAAAGGATTGATTTCTGTTGTTTTAAGCAACCCTATTTTTGCTAATTTGTTATGGAAGCTCTAGGAAACTAACATAGATTTTGGTACCAAGAAATGGGATGCTGCTATGACAAATACTTAAAAAGGTAGAAATGGCTTTGGATTTGGGTAATGGGTAGAGACTGGAAAAAAATTGAGGTAGATGATAGAAATGCCTCTATACTTGTTGAAAATATGGAGGTTGAAATGCTTCTGGTAAGTTCTCAAATGGAAATGAGAAACATGCTATTAGACACTGGAAGAAAGGTAATCCTTGTTATAAAAAGTCAGAAAACATGACTGAATTGTCTTCTTCTGTTGGATGGAAAGTAAAACTTGTAATTGATAAACTTGAATATTTACCTGAGAAAATGTCCAAGTAGAAGGTGGAAAGGAGGGGTCTGGTTTCTTCTTGCTGCTTGTGGTAAAATGTAAGAGGAAAGAGAAAACTGAGGAAAAAAGCAAGTAGAATTTGATGATTTAAACAATTTTCAGCCATTTATATTGCAAAAGCTGTTAAGACACGCTCTTTAGAGAACAACGGTGTGGTGGGATAACTTTCTACTGGAGAGATTAGGCGTGTGACACCTGGATCCAATTAACCACCTCTGCAGAAAGCCAAGAAAAGAAATAGGGTTATCCAGGAAAGATCTGTGGAAAATGCTCATGTCTAATGGCATGGGATCTTTTGACATACATGAAAGATGCACATGGAATATTAGAATGTTATACCACTACATACACTGCCAGCTTGGACTGAAGGGAACAGAGATG
Organism: Homo sapiens; assembly: GCF_000001405.40. Classification (NCBI taxonomy): domain Eukaryota; kingdom Metazoa; phylum Chordata; class Mammalia; order Primates; family Hominidae; genus Homo; species Homo sapiens. Next base: position 121,847,554 of record NC_000023.11, read on the forward strand.
GCATGAAATGAAGAAAGGCTGTGCAACCTCTGAAATACTGCATGAGGAAAACAGACCGATAAAGCTACTTGGCTGCAAACATCTCTCATCTTTCAAGAAAAGGGATGAATGACTCTGAGTGTGGTTTAGAGGTCAGCGGATCTTATTCCCTTCTGCTTAAGGGGATGGATACCCCATTCTCCGTGATGTGTCTATTTCATATAACATGCCTATATCAAAACTTGTCATGTACCCCATAAATATATGCACCTACTATGTACCCTCAAAAATTGTTTTAAATTAATAAAAAGAAACTTAAAAAAAGGTCACTGGGGACAATGGGGCATCTGTAGGCCCAGAGTCTGGAGTTTCAAACCACAGAGGATTATTCTCAGGTTGGGAAACTTACTGGAGTTTGCCTCACTCAGTTTTATATTTCATAGGACCCATAATCCCTTTATTCCTTTTGATTTCTCCCTTTTTTAGTGGGGAAATTTATCATATTTCTTTCCCACTATTGTATTTTGGAAGCAGTTAACTTGTTTACACAGCCCCACAGTAAAAGAGGAAATTTACCTCAGGATGGACCACACCAAGTGTATTACTAATACCTGATTTAGATGATTTAGAAAATTAGATTTAAGTCTTTCTGAGTTGATAATATTTAGATGAGATTTGGGACTTAGAGTTTATGCTGGAATGGTTTAAGGCATTAAAGAAAGATAAAAATTTGTGTGGGAGTTAAGGGTTGACTGCTATGTGTTGAATTTTGCCCCTCCCTAAAAGGGATATACTCAAAGTTCTATTTTCCAGTTTCTGTGAGTGTGACCTTCTTTGGAAATAGGGTCTTTTGTAGATGTAATCCAGTTATGATGAGGTCAAGCAGGCACTCATCCAGTGAATGGTATCTTTGTAAGATAATAGAGAGGAATATTGGACACTGAGACACAGAGGAGACACATGAGAAGGAAAGCAATGGGAAGATGGAGGGAGAGACTGGAGTTATACTACCACAAGCAAGGAATGCCAAGGATTGCCAGCAACCATCCAAAGCTGGAAGAGGCAATGAAGAAATCTTCCCTAGAGTTTTTAGAGGGAGGATGATTATGCCGATACCTTGATTTCAGATTCCTGGAATGGTGAAATAACACATTACTGTTGTTTTAAACTACCTAGTTTGTAGTACTTTGATATGACAGCCCTACGAAACTGATATAAAATCCAAACCTGAATTTTGTTGAATTTAAGACAGATTACAAATTCAGTCTTAATCAGGGCTAATACTCCCAAATCCATCCTGAGTTACAAAAGATGCCAGCAATATATCAAATGAGACATTTGTGAAGGCCCTTCTGGAGTTTGGCTGATGCTGCTGCTGCTGCTTAATTGTTGAAATCTCTATTATTCCATGTATATTGGTGGCTTTCTTGATTCAGTGCACTTTTTAAAAACAGGGTCATTTTCCAAGTCTGAAAACCATGGCTTTAGATATCGTGCAATCTTTATAGTTGCCAGTGATTCATAAAATCACAAACTTCCCAGTCCTCCTGAGTCTAGGAAAATCTTCACTCTTTCTAGCGCTTATCATGTCTTTTTTTCAGGCTTGTTCTCTCCCTCTCTCTCGCTGTCTCTCTCTCTTTCTCCTTCTCTTCCATCTCCTCCTCCTCTCCTTGCCCCCCACTACTACTACTTCTTTCTCCTCCTTCTTCTTCCTCCCCCTTCCTCCTCCTCCTGCTCTTCTTCTTCTTCCTCTTCCTCTTCTTCTTCTCTTTCTCATTCTCCCTAGTACCTCTTCCTAAAGGATATTTAGAAAATCTATAGGCTGGGCACAGTGGCTCACGCCTGTAATCCCAGCACTTTGGGAGGCTGAGGCGGGTGGATCACGACGTCAGGAGATTGAGACCATCCTGGCTAACACAGTGAAACCTGTCTCTACTAAAAATACAAAAAATTAGGCGTGGTGGCACGTGCCCAGCTACTTGGGAGGCTGAGGCAGGATAATCACTTGCACCCTGGAGGCGGAGATTGCAGTGAGTCGACAGCCAAGATCACGCCACTGCACTCCAGCCTGGGTGACAGGGCAAGACTCCGTTTCAAAAAAAAAAAAAAAAATCTATAATCTGTATTGTCTTTAAGCGACTTGTATTTTGGATACATCAAACATGTAAGAAAAGGGAGCCAAGGCCTTACTAACTTCTTAAAATACAAGAAGGAAAAATCTACAGAGCAAGAATTCTTTCTTTCTTTTACTTTTTTAACAGCTACAAATATAAAACAGAGATTAACATAATAAATAATAGACTACCCTGTCATAGTTCCATTCATTTTTAAATTTTAAAATAATACGCCCACTTTCACAGTTTTATTGCACTGTAGTTAAATAATATAACACATATGATTTTTTGCTTAATGAGAATTTATTTGTATTTCTCAACGTCTTTGTGTGTTTCCATGTCAGTGATGTGATTGACAGAAAAATGTTACCACACACTTTAATGGTTATAGAGCATATTTGAAGAAAAAGGGTCCACAAGCTTACCCAGACATTTACACAAGTAAGAAAATCCAACATTTTATGAAACAGAGCTAAAGGATTTTCATGTCCCTGAGTCACCATGAGAATTTAGAGCTGCAAATGATACAGTCACATCGAGTAGAATTTATTCCAAGTGCAAGAATCTTTTGCCTTAGCCCACTAACTTTCTAACTTGTTGGACTGTGTCCACTTTTGCTCCCTTCCAATTCATTTTCCATACTGGAGTTAGAGTTATCTTCTTAAAAGGAAAATATACTTATAGATCTTTTCCAGTTTTTCCCATTACCCTTAGGATAAAGTCTGAAATCCTAAACATTGCTTACAAATACCTCAGCTTTCAAGACACTGCCTGCCTCTCCAGTTTCATTTCTTGCCAAAATTCCTCGAGAATTCTCTTATTTATTATACTGCAAACATCTTCCTTTGTGATGGAATACACAGTGTTTCTCTCTTTCAATATTTCATACTTGCTCATTCTTCTACTGGTGTTCTTTTCATAATCTACTATCTTGATAATTTTTACCTTCTTGCTTTTTGGGAAATTCTTCTGGATTCTTAGACTAGATTATATTATTTATATATTTAATTTCTGCCTATGCCTCTTAATTTCCCTCTTCCCCAATTTTACCTGTTATTAACAGCTTGCATTAGTGAGGTACATATGTCAAAACTGATGAGACAATATTGATAAATTATTATTAACTAAACTCCATAGGTTACATTAGGGTTTGCTCTTTGAGTTGTACATTCTATAGGTTTTGATAAACATATGAGACATCACGTATTCACCATTATGGTATATAGAATAGTTTCACTATCCTAAAAGTCTCCTCTGTTCCACCTATTTATTCCTTCCTCCTTCCTTCCCTGCAAATGCCTGGTAACAACTGTTCTTTTTACTCTCTCTATAGTCTTGCTGTTTTCTGAGTATCATGTAGTTGAAATAATATAGTATATTTGCTTTTCAGGTTGGCTTATTTCCTTTCGTAATATCCATTAAGTTTCCTCCATGTTTTTTTGTGGCTTGTTAGCTCTTGTCACTGAGTAATTATTTATTTTATGGATATACCACAGTTTATTTATCCATTCGACCATTGAAAGGCATCTTATTACTTCTAGGTTTTGGCAATTATGAATAAAGTGGCTATAAATATGCTAGTACAGAACTTTATGTGGACATGAGCTTTTCAACTCATTTGGATATATGCCAAGGAGCATGACTCATATGGTAAAGATATGTTTTCTTTTTAAAGAAACTTCCAAGCTGTCTTCCAAAATGACTTTACCATTTTGCATTCCCACCAGTAATAAATGCTACTTCATGTTGTTCCACATCATTGTCAGCATTTGGTGTTGCCAATGCATTTGATTGTAGCCATTGTAACAGGTATGTAATGATATCTCATTATTGTTTTAGTTTACAATTTACTAATGACTTATGATGCTTAGTGTTATTGTATATACTTATTTGCCATTTGTATATAGTCTTTGGTGACATGTCTGTTCAGATTTTGCCCATTTTAAAATTAGATATTTGTTTTCTTACTGTTAAATTTTAACTTATTTATATATTTTGTATAGCAGTCCTTTTTCAGTTATGTGTTTTACAAAGAATTTTTCCCAGTATGCAGGTAGTCTTTTCATTCTTTTTTTAAAATTATTTTTGAAACAGGGTCTCATTCTGTCCTCCAGGCTGGAATGCAGTGGTGTGATCTTGGCTCACTGCAGTCTCAACCTCCCAGGCTCAAGGGAATCCTCCCACCTCAGCCTCTCCAGTAACTGGGACTACAGGCACATGTCACCATGCCCAGCTAATTTTTTAAAATATATTTTTTAAATAGACACAAGGTCTCGCCATGTTGTCCAGGCTGGTCTCAAATTTCCAGACTCAAGCCATCTGCCCTCCTTGGCCTCCCAAAATGCTGAAATTACAGTAATAAGCCACCACGCTGGACCTAATTTTTAATTTTTGTGAGCACATAGTAGGTGTTGAACATACCTCAACATAATAAAAGCTATGTATGACAGACCTACAGCTATTATCATACTGAATTGGGAAAAACTGAAAGCCATTTCTGTAATATCTGGAACACAACAAGGATGCCACTTTCACCCACTATTATTCAACATAGCAGTGGAAGACCTAGCTAGGGAAATCAACAAGAGAAAAAAATAAAATACATCCAAATTGGAGTGGAAGAAGGCAAACTTTCTTTGTTTGCAGATGATATGATTTTATATTTGGAAAACCTAAAGACTATTAGAACTGATAAATTATTTTTATTATTTTAAGGTGGCTTTCATAGAGCAGAAGTTTGTAATTTTAACAGTAAGTTCAGCTTATCAATATTTTCTTTCATGGATCATGCTTTAGGTGTTATATCTAAAAAGTTATTGTCAAGATCACCTGGATTTTTTTCTGTGTTTTGTATTAGTCAGCTTTAGGTACCATGCAAAAATACCAAACACTGGTTGGCTTAAGCAAGAGAAATTTATTTTCTCACAGTCTGGAAGATGGAAGTCTAAATTCAGGGTTCCAGCATGGTTGTGTTCCTTGTGATGGCTTTCTTCCTAGCTTGTAGATGCCACCTTCTTGCTGAGTCCTCACAAGAAGAGGGAAAGAGAGCAAGCTCTCTAGTGTCTCATCTTATAAGAACATTAATCCTAGTAGGAACCCATCATTATGTCCTCAATTAATTTTAATTACTTCCTTAACCCAAATATAGTCACATTGGATGTTAGGGCCATAACATATGAATTTTGGGAGAAACAGCTCATGTCATAACAATTATATACTAGAATTTTAAAAGTTTTTCATTTTACATTTAGGTTTATAATCCATTTGAGGTAATTTATTTAAAAAACTGTAAGGGCTGAAGGGGATGTGTCCTCTAGTTCTATGATTAGGTCTCAGTCTTTTAGTTAGCCTGTGCCACTGGGCTATGACCTTCACAAGTTCTTCTCAAAGATTTTACACCACTTAGGTGAAATAGGAAAGTTATTTGGGAACCTTCCTGTCCCACTTAAGAGGTGAAAAATACCCTGGACTTGGATATTTCCCTTCCCTTAGGTCAGTTAGAGTTCTGAACAATTCCAGTGAAATTGCTTAGTGTTTTTTTCTCCCTACCTTTGTTGACATGTAATTGACAAAAATTATATATATATATATACACACACACACACAGTTTACAATGTGATTGATATACACATACATTATGAAATGACCACAATGAAATTAATTACACATTCATTACCACACATAGTTACTATTGTTTCGTGTGTGTGTGTGTATGCATAGTGTGATGGCAGATAAGACCTGCTCTCAGAGATAAGCAAGATGGCTAACTAGACACATCCAGGAGAAACATCTGCCACCAAGGGACTGGGACATTGTGAAGACCTGCACACTCCTAGAAGATTTTCAGAGGGAAGGCATTGAGAGTGGATGGAGGGAAGACACAGATGCTGGGCTGAAGAGAAGGAAGCTGGGAATCCTACAAAGGGTTACCGCACACTGGGACTTAATCCTGGTCCCCAGAGACTCCTGTGTGAAGGGGTGAGTTAAACGGGTAAGGAGCAACCCACTCTCACCATGGCCTCTGGAATCCCAAGAGGAGGAGACCCCACAAGCACCATGGACACCTGAGTTGGCAGGGAGAGCTGCTTACAGAATTGGAACGGGCAGAACTCCAATCAATGTGGGGACCAGAGGGTTTGGTGTAGGAGGATCTATAGTGGAGCATGGCTGGGGATGCCCATGACCCTAGGCTCGGCTTACTCCCATAGGAGACCTTAGACATAGAGGAACTCTCAGACTTGAACTCTACAGGGTGGTGTTGCCGGTAAGATGGGCCCGGTCAGACCTGAGCACTCCTCAGTCGGCTGACCTCTCCAGGGTCCCCAGCGTGGCCACGCCTGCTTGGAGCACAGCCTCGGGTGTCAAGGGGTGATAACTCCTGGGGGCCCCACATCACAGCTCTTGCACTGGTGAACCATGCCTGACCAGCAGAGAGGTCCAGCAGAGCGTCCCCTGTAGGATACGCACCAGCCCACTCGTACCCTCCTCCAGCTACAGCTTTCCCAGTGCTGCTATGCCTGCGTGCACTCGCCCGGGGCCACCCACCATATCACTTTGCTGGTGCGTGTGTGCGGGAACGGACCTTGGCTCCCCTTCTCCCCCAGCGTGTGTGTGCAGGTGGACCATGCTGTGCCACTGCTGCCAGCATGAGTGCACCCCATGCCCTCTCTCCCTGCCACACCACCATTGCCTTTGGAGCGTTGCTGGGAGGAAAGTCTGCCAGCCTCGTTCCCGCCAGTGCCCCTCTCCTGCGCCAGCACTGCTGCCAGCACAAAATTAGCACAGGAACAGCTGCCCCAACTCCATCCTGATCAGCCACCGCCACCCACGTGAATGTGCACAGAGGACACACACAGCCCTGTAGCCACCAGCACTGTTGCCTCCGTGCCAACAGCACGACAAGCACGAAGGCACACACAGTCTGTGGCAGGGGCACCTCGCCACCCTGAGCCATGCTGCCATCACCTGCAACAAATGCCCACACAGAGGCCAGCACCCTGGCACCCACTAGCACCCTGTCGCAGCCAAGAAGCATGGACCGCACTGTGCTGCCTCTGCTGCTGATCCTGGCATGCATAAATGAGGACGGAGCCCGCTGCCACTGCCCTTTGAAGAACTTTGGCTGGCACCACCCAAGTTGTGACCAGTGGTCCAGGAGCACCTCAGCCCCTGCAGTGCAGCAAATTCCTAATCTCCAGGAGCCAAATAACAAAGCCAGGGCCTGATACCCGCTCCTCAGAGTTATAGAACCCAGTCCAGGAGTCCTGAGCTGAGCCTTGGCCCCCTAAAATCTTCAGAAACAAAGCCAGTTGACTGAACCCATCTTATACTAAAATCAAACAGTCAAGGTCATCAAATACGATAAAAGAAAAAAAACCCAAAAGACAGCAACTTCAAAAATTGAAGGAATATCAGCCTGGAAAGAAAAGAAGAAACCAGCATATAACTCCAAAAGCCAGAGTATCTTCTTTCCTCTGAATTATCACACTACTTCTCCAGCAAGGGTTCTTAACCAGCTGGAGATGGATGAAATGAAAGGAATAAAATTCAAAATATAGGTAGGAATGAAGATCATCAAGATTCATGAGAATGTTGGAACCCAATCCAAGGAAACTAAGAATCATAACAAAACAATATGGGAGCTGACAGACAAAATAGCCAGTATAGATAAGAACATAACTGACCTGATAGAGCCGAAACACACACTACAAGAGTTTCATAATGCAATTGCAAGTATTAGAAGCAGAACAAACCAAGCTGAGGAAAGGATATCAGAGCTTGAAGATGGGCTTTCTGAAATAAGACAGTCAGACAAGAATAATAATAATAATAAAAAAGAATAAAAGGAATGAACAAAAACCTCTGAGAAATACAGGATTATGTAGAGTCCAAATCTACAACTCATTGGTGTCCGTGAGAGAGATGACAGAAATGGAACCAACTTGGAAGACCTATTTCAGGATATCATCCATGAGAACTTCCCCAACCTAGCTAGGGAGGCTGACATAAAAACAGATACGTAGACCCAAGAAACAGAACAGAGCCCAGAAATAAACCCATGCATATATGGTCAACTAATCTTCGACAATGGCACCAAGAAGACATAATGAGGAAAGGATAATCTCTTAAGTAAATGATGCTGTGAAAACTAGTTATCCATATGCAAAAAAATGAAATTGGTCCATTTTCTTACACATATACAAAATTAACTGAAAATGAATAAAAACTTAAATTTAAGATGTGAATCTGAAATAGTTTCTTTTGAGGGCAGGCCTTGGTAAGAACAGAATGCTCTAGGTGTATTACAAAATGGCTACCTATTATTTTCGCCCCTCCCTGCTGGAAGTATGAGGATATTTTTCTCTGATCTTCACAGTGAGAACATGGTAGGGCTTCTGGAATTAAAACTCATGAAAATATGGGCCCCTTATTGTCAGACTGGGCCCCTTTACTGTTTTTAACCCTCACATTTGTCCACACATTGCCTCCGGCATTTTATCAATTATGGTGTAAGAAAGATTTCCTGTCTTGGTTCTGGTTCCCATGGAGGTGTCTGCTCTCGGGCTTCTACTCCATTGAGTTGTGATTCTCATTATCTACCTGTCTGTTCCTTCAATTTGGGGAATAGCACTTTGCCTTGTGACCTCACTTCTAGGTTAGCTCTAAGAAGAATTGTTGATTTTGTTTGATAAGATTTTTTCTTGTTGTAGGATGGAAGTGATGAATTCCAAGCTCCTTACATGCCAAACTGAAAACTAAAGTCTCCATTGATTACTTTTTATTATGCGATTAATGTGTAAACATATTTATTATATTAAGGGTGAACATGTTACCAAATGGTAGTCTCCTTTGATAACCTCCCCTAAATCTTCGTCCCCATGTTCACTTCAGAGATAAGCATATGGGTTTGGTCTGTAACCTTTTAAATCATTGTCAATGCATTAATATATATATAAAACTGTACCCACGCAAAATATACAGGACTATTTACTGTCATTTTTGTTTATTTTTACCTTCTCTCTTCTTTTAATTAAACTTGTCAGTTTGTATTTTAATAGGTTTTTTTGAAATTACTAAATTTTTTTGTTCTATGGATGATATTTTTTCTCTCCTTGTCTTCAGCTTCTATATGTATTAATTTTTTCAGCTTGATACATGTTCATTTCTCTGTATTCTTTCTAGTTTTATATTCCAATACTTAATTCATTATTTTTAATATTCAAATACATTACTTTCTTAATAAAACATTCACTACATCAGACAGGTACTGTTTATATTGTTTACTTCTAAATACATTTTAAAAATTCTTCTTCAATTTATCTTTGATGAAAGAGTATTTTAGAAGTGCATTCTTTTAGTTTTTGTATAGAATTTATGGATCACCTTTTTAAAAATGATTGCTAAATTTTTGAATTGTAGTGTGTGGATATGGTTGGTATGATGTGATTATTTCTAATTTGTCAGGACATCCATGTGAATTTCTGCAAGTGTTCCAACTATGTTTTTTTACCTTACCTTCAAATCAAGAATATGTTTTATTTTAAATGTACTCATTCATGTGATTACTCAAATCCTCTATAAATTTATTTGATGTATTTAATTATTGGTTTCTAAGAAAGATCTGCTCATGTCTCTTACCATATTGCATACTTTTTCAAATTCACCTCGAGGGTAAATCAATATTTGCTTTCCTTTAGTAAAAATATTTTGAGAATGTAAATAAATGTTCATGACTTTTATATATTTTATTTGATTTTTCTTTACCAACACATAATATCAAACTTTGTTTCTCTTAATGCTTTCTATGATAAAAACTATTTTGTCTACACCTACTTTTATGTTTAACATTTACCTGGTACTTTAAAAAATTCATTTATTTTCCACATTTTTGTGTCATTTTAGTTAGGTGCCACACTTATGAAAAGCCATTCTTGAACTTTTTAGAAAGCCAATTTGAAGATCTTTGACTTTTAATAGATGAGATGAACCAATTAGCATTTATCTGAACACTGGCTTATTTGGCTTTATTTCTGCCATTGTATTTTGTGCTTCCCTTTAATAATTTTATTCCATATTTATGTTGGGTGATCAAATTTATTTATATTATTTATGCTTTAAGGAGGTTCTATTTTGGTGTATTTTGAGGATTTGTTTCAAGATTTAGAACTCCTCTTAGGAGTTCTTATAGTGCTGGCTTGGTAGTGGTGAATTCTCTCAGCATTTTTTTTTGTCTGGAAAAGACTGTATCTTTCTTTCATTTATGAAGCTTAGTCTGGATAGAAAATTCTTGGCAGGTAATTGTTTTGTTTAAGGACGCTAAAAATAGGACCCCGATCCCTTCTAGCTTGTAGGGTTTCTGCTGAGAAATCTGTTAATCTGGTAGGTTTTACTTTATAGGTTACCTAATGCATTTGCTTCACAGCTCTTAAGATTCTTTCCTTCATCTTGACTTCGAATAACCTGATGACTGTGTGCCTAGGTGATGATCTTTTTGCGATGAATTTCCTAGGTGTTCTTTGAGCTTCTTGTATTTTGATGTCTAAATCTCTAACAAGGCCAGGGAAGTTTTCTTCAATTCTTCCCTCAAATATGTTTTCCAACCTTTTAGATTTCTCTTCTTCCTCAGGAACACCAATTATTCTCAAGTTTGAACATTTAACATAGTCCCAAACTTCTTGGAGGATTTGTTCATTTTTGAAAATTCTTTTTTCTTTGTCGTTGACAGATTTGGTTAATTCGAAAGCCTTGTCTTTGAGCTATGAAGTTCTTTGTTCTGTTTGTTCTATTTTGTTTCTTAGACTTTCCGGTGCATTTTGCATTTCCCTAAGTGCGTCCTTGATTTCCAGAAGTTGTAATTGTTTTTTTATTTATGCTTTCTATTTCACTGAAGAGTTTTCCTTTCATATCCTGTATCATGTTAACTTCATCTTTCTCTGGTCCCTCCTTGATTAGCTTAGTAATTGACCACCTGAATTAATTTTCTGGCAATTCAGATATTTCGTTTTGGTTTGGATCCATTGCCGGTGAGCTGGTATGATCTTTTGGGGGTGTTAAAGAACCTTGTTTTGTCATATTACCAGAATTGTTTTTCTAGTTTCTTTTCTTTTAAGTAGACTATGTCAGAAGGAAGATCTGGGATTTAAGGGCTGCCGTTCAGATTCTTTTATCCCACGGGGTGCTCCCATGATGTGTGTTCTCCTTTTTCCCCTAGGAATGGGACTTTCTTGGAGCTGAACTGTAGCAATTGTTTTTGCTCTCTTGGGTCTAGCCACCCAGTGGAGCTACCGGGCTCCAGGCCAGTACTGGGGAGTGTCTGCAAAGAGTCCTGTGATATGATCCATCTTCAGGTCTTGCAGCCGTGGATACCAGCACCTGCTCCAGTGGGGGTAGCAAGGGAGTGAAGTGGACTCTGTGAGGGTGCTTGGTTGTGTTTTTGTTTAGTGTGCTGGTTTTGTGTTGGTTGGCCTCCAGCCAGCAGATGGCACTTTCAAGAACACATCAGCTGCGGTCCTATAGGGAGGATGCAAGCTTGCCCAAGGGACACCTGGTTAAGTGTTCAGGTTTCTCAGGTGGTGGGCAGGGCCATAGAGCTCCCAAGAGATTATGACCTTCGTCTTCAGCTGCCAGAGCAGTTAGAGAAAGACCACTGGGTGTGGGCAGGGGTGAGCGTGTCTGAACTCAGCCTCTTCTTGGGTGGGGTTCACTGCAGCTGCTGTGGGCATGGGAGTGTGGTTCCCAGTCCAGTGGAGTTATATTCCCAGGAGGATTATGGCTGCCTCTTCTGAGTCATACATGTCGCCATGGAAGTGGGGGAAAGCTCGCAGTCACAGGCTTCACCCTACTCCCACAGAGCCCACAGTCCCAAAGGCCTGTCTCACTCCCACCATGCCCCATCAACAGCACTAAGTCTATTTCCAGGCAGCCAGTGGCCAGGGCTGAGAACTTGCCCCAGACCATAAGCCTCCCAGTTGAGAAAGCAAACAGACTCAGAGTTTTTCGGCATCTCAGGGAGCCTGCAAGGGTTATCCAGGTCCTTCAAAGTGTCTGTGGATTCTCTCAGCTTTCCTGGTATGTTTTTGCTGTAGTTCTTGGGACAAAAGTCCACAATCTGAGTCTCCACATGCTGCTCTGTCAATCCAAGTGGGAGCTGCAAGCTAGTCCTGCCTCCTATCTGCCATCTTAATCTGTCTCTGAATCGTAAGCTTGAGAATAGTCTTTTATGACTTACGTCCTGGTATTTGGATATGCTAGGGGTGGAAGTTGAGCTTCCAAGGCCCCAAGAAGCCCCAGGTTTTGCTGAGCATAACCCATGCAATAGCTGTTATGCTTGGAGTTGTATACTATTGGCTCTACCAGGATGAAATTGCACACTGGTGACTTTACTGATTTGAGGCCTTGGAGGTGACTCTATCCTCATGGCTCCTCTAGACATTGCCCTAGTGGGGTCTCTCTGCAGTGACACAGCCCCAGTGGCCTGCGTTCCAAGGCCCTTTAAGGCGTGCTTTGAAATGTAGGTGGAGGCAGTAATGTCCCCACAGCTCGTGCACTTTGTGCCCCCATGGAGATGGCACTGTACCAATGCTGTCATGGTTTACCATGAGTGCCTTCTGCAGGGGCAGCATGAGCCACACCTGGCTTTCTTGAGCCACAGCTGGAATGGCCAAGGAGTGAGTGCTGTACTGGAATGAGAGGAGCAGAGAGTTGAAATCATCCTGCTCCCAAGACCCTGACATTCTCAGCCTGTGATAGGTGGGGCAGTCCCAGAGATTCAGGGTTATTCTTTCATTGTCTTGATGAATAGTATCTGCTATTAATCTAATACTAATTTTCTTATCAAACTAATCTCCTTATTAAACAGTTGCTTAGCTATAGCCTTGGTAGGCTCTCCTGAACACACTTTTTAATTATATGGCTAGGCTGATAATTTTCTAAATTTTTATATTCTGCTTCTCTTTTGATTATAAAGTCTATCTTTAACTTTTTCTTCCTTCTCGCATTTTACTATAATCAGTTAAGAGAAGCCACGCAGCACCCTCAACACTTTGCTTAGATATTTCTTCTGCCAAATACCCTAGTTCATCATTCTTAAATTCTACCTTACCCAAAAGTGGTAGGATAGCAACACCGTTCAGCCGAGTTTTTTTTTTTTTTTTCACTTTGTAACAAGGATGGCCTTTCCCACAGTTTCCAATAAGATATTCCTCATTTTCATCTAAGGCCTCATCAGAATGGCCTTTATTATCCATGTTTGTACCAACATTTTGTTCATAACCACTTTGATAATTTCTAAGATTGAGGCTTTTTGTATAGCTCTCCTCTTCTTATGAGCTTTCACCAGAATTGTCCTTAATTCTCCACTTATGGCAATACAAGCTTTTTCCAGCATTAATTTCACAACTGTTCCTGTCCCTATCCATTACCCACTTCCAAGGCTGCTTCCACATCTTTAGGTATTTGTTATAGCAGTGCCTCCACTTCTTAGGACCAATATCTGTCTTAGTGTCTTTGTGCTACTATAAGATAATAACACAAACTGGGTTATTTATAAAACTATATGTCTATTTCTCACAGTTCTGGAGGCTAGGAAGTTCAAGATCAAGGTGCCAACAGGTTTGGTGTCTGGTGAGAGCCTGGTCTTTGCTTCCAAGATGGCATCTTATTGCTGCATCTTCCACTGGGGATGAACACTGTGTCCTTACATGCTGAAAGGGGAGAAGAAAGTGAAACCACTCCCTCAAGTCCTTTTATAAGGGCCACAATCCATTCATAAGGGTGGAGCCTTCATGACTTAATCACTTTTCAATAGCTCCTGACTCTTAATACGATCACTTTAGGGGTCAGGTTTCAACATATGAATTTTGGGGCCACATACATTCAGAAAAACTTTTATAAAAGAAATACCAATTCTTCACAAACACTTAAAAAAACAAAGATAAAGGAACATTTCCCAGCTCATTCTGTAAAGCCAGCATTGCCTTCGTATCAATCCAGATAATGAAATCAAAAGAAGATAAATCTATAGACCAATATCCCTTTTCCTCAACAAAATACTAACAAACTGAAACAAATAATATATAAAAAGAATTATTAAACACCATAGGCAAGTGGTATTTATCCCATAAATGCAAGATTTGCTCAACGTCCACAAATAAATTAATAAAATATTCAGTATCATTATAATAAAGGAAGGAAAATTTGTTATCTCCATAGATGCAGAAAAGGCTTTTGAAAAATTCAACATCCCTTAATGATTAACAAAAAAAAACAAAACACCTTTAAACCTAGGAATGAGAAGGAGCTTCCTGTGCCTGATAACAGGCATCTATAAAAGCACCCATTGCTACCGTCATCATTATACTTGATAGTGGAAGTCTGGATCCTCTCCCTGTAATATCAGGAATAAGATGAATATTTTGGCTCTAACTACTGGTATTCATCATTGTACTGGAGGTGCCAGCCACGGCAATTAGGCAGGAAATGAATTGAAAGCATCCATATCAGAAAGGAAAAGGTAAAACTACCACTATTTAGCATTAATAAAATAGTTCTTCAAGGTTGAAGGATACAAGACCAATATACAAAAATTCATTACATTTCTATACATTTGCAAAACTGTAGTTAAGAAAATCATTCCATTTACAATAGCAACAAAATAGATAAAATATCTAAGAATAAATTTAAACAACTTGTGGGTTCATTTTTTTTAGTGGCATACTCTAGAAATTACAACATGCATTCTTAGTTTAGTAAACCTAATATAAATTAGAATTTTTCTACTTCCTGGACAATTAAAAAACTTTAGAATAGGTTAACTTCATTTAATACCCTTGCATTTTGTGTTGTCTTTGTCACATATCTTAATCATACATAACCTGCAAATATTTAATGTTCCACATGATATAATTGTTATTTCCTTTAATGCTGGCCTGCTGATAATGAATTTCCTGGTTTTTACCTTAGAAAGTTATTATGTTGACATAATTTTAGAAATTGGCTGGGCATGGTGGCTCACACTTATAATCCCAGCACTTTGAGAGGCTGAGGAAGGAGGATTGCTTGAGCCCAGGAGTTTGAGACGAGCCTAGGCTACATAGTGAGACCCCATCTCTACAAAAAGTTTAGAAAAAGAAATTAGCTGAGCATGGTGGCTCACTCCTGTAGTCCCAGCTCCTCAGGAGGCTGAGGCAGGAGGATTGCTTGAGTCCAGGAGTTCCAGACTGCAGTGAGCCATGATCATACCACTGTACTCCAGACTGGGTGGCAGAGTGAGATTCTGTGTCCACAAAACAAAACAAAACAAAACAATTTGGTTTTAAAAATTACTATACATATGATAAAATGCAAAAAATTAAATGTACAGTTTGATGGGTTTTAACAAATACATACACCCATGTAACCACTACTAAATCAAGATGTGAAACATTTCTAGGACTCAAGAAAGTTATCTCATACCCCTTTGTAGCAATCACCCCAATCTTCCAGAGTAACCACTACTCTTTTTTTTTCAGCTGAATTAGTCTCTTTTTATTCTCCTGATAATCTCTTCCAAAGTTAACTACTTCCATTGTAGGTGAGGAAATGTATAAGACTTCATTTCAAATGTTGGCACTGCCATAAGCATGGTCTTTCCTTTTATTGCAACTCAGAATTAAAACTTTAGATTCTTGGATTTTTTATATTCCAGTCCTAGAAGTAATTTCCACTGAAGAAGTTATCTGACGACAGTCTTATTTTTCTAGTAGTGCCTTATAACCCGGCTCTAGCTTCTCCAGGAACACTACAGATGTATTTAGCTTAAATATATATTAAACTAAAAGGTACTCTCTGAAATGAGTTTAAATGCATTTTATTTTTAGACAACCTACATGACATGTTTTTCCTAAAGACAATGCCTCCACTCCGAGTAAGTCACAGTCAAAGTAAATGAAGAGCCCAAGATGACATCAGTTCCATTTGTCGTAAGTCCTGGTGTTATGTGGATGACAAAAAGCAGCTAGTTTTGATGACAGGTGATAAATTCAAAGTAATTGCCAAATTACTAGTTAATAATTTTTCATTTCCAAATCATCCTTAAAGAAAAGCATATGTAGGATCACAGTGTCCTCACAGTAGTCCAGTAGAGCAACAACGCTGTCAAGATTCTTGTTTTCACCAATAAAGAACTGGTAGATTTTGAAATTGCAAGGATGTGCTTGATTTGTTCAGCAACCCCTTTCATGAAAGGTTTTACTCTTTCTGATCTCTGTTCTTCATGTTTGCCTTTGATTGATTTGATTTCATGTAATATGTTATGCATTTCTTACAGGCTTCTTTTGTGAAGCTTGTTTCCTGTAAGTGATAGTGCATGACATCAACACCAGTGATAACTGTGCTTTGGGTTTCTTCACCCTCGGGGACTTCAGTAGAGGCGTTTCTACCAATGAGCGAGCCATCAGTGTTATCCTCTGTCCTACTGACTATCTTCCCCTCCACCTCCAGGCACGGCCCTTTTGTGATCTCCTGGTTCTTGTAAATCTCACTGTGGCTGATGAGGTCTGGATAGATAATCATGATGGTGGCTGAAGAGAGACAATGGTGGTGCTAGGTTACCAGTGGCGTGGAGCTCAGAGCTAATGCAGAGCAGCTGGAGCAGTGCTGAGGTAAGTGGGAGAGCGGGCAGAAAAGTCCGGGTAACCATCATTTTGATGTGTATCACTGCAGCTAAATTTTGTCTTTTTTAGTCATTTATATGCATGGGAACATGCAGTTAGTAGTCTTTTGTGTCTGGCTTTCTTAACATAAAATATTTTTGTTATTCATCCATGTTGAATGTTCAAATAGTTTGTAATTTTCGTTAATGTGTAGTCTTCCAGTGTATGAATGCATACAGTTCATACATTATCTTCTTAATGGGCATTTGTGTTAGTTTCAGATTTTAGCTACTGTGAATAGAGACGTATGCAATTTTTGTCTAAGTCTTTCTTTAGACATATGTTTTTATTTCTCTTGGAGAAACAACTAAGAGTGGAATTGCTGGGTGATAGGTTAGGTATTTGTTTAACTTATATGAGACTTGCTAGATCTGTTTTCCAAAGTGGTTTATACGTTTTACACTCACACCAGAAATGTATGTGACTTCAAGCTACATTGCATTTCACTCATACTTGGGATTGCCATTCATTTTAACTTTTGTTGTCCTTGTGTGAAGTGCTCTTTTGTGGTTTAATTTGCAATTCCCAGATGACAAGTGAGGCTGAGCCATTTTTATGTTTTAATTGGCCATCATTATCTATTCTGCTAGGTTTCTAATAAGATGTACTGTGGATTTTTAAATGAAGGATGTGTGTTTTTTTTGCTACTGAGTTGCAGTAATTCTTTATATATACTGGATGCAACTGTTTGGTCAGATTTATGTATTATAAATATCTCCAAGTCTATGGTCTGCCTTTTTGTTTTTATAATAATGCCTTCTGAAGAGCAAAATGTTTTAGCATTTATAGATATAGCATTTCAAGTTTTGCTTTTATGATTACTGCCTTTGTGTTCTGTTTAAGAAATCATTGCCTACTCCAAAATCATGATGGTATTGTCCTTTGCTTTCTTGTACAATGTTCATATTTTTAGTTTTTACATTTCTGTCCATGATCCCTCTCAATTTAATATTTGTGTATAGTGTGAAGCCTTGGGTTCAGTTTTTAAAAATAAAGCCAGCCAGATCACCTATCACCATTTCTTGAAAAAATACTCCTCTTTGCATTATTTTGGCATTATTCTCATTTCTGTTTAATGAACAGCTGCCAGTTTTATTATTACTATTTTTCTTTTCTTTTCTTTTTTAAAGATGGAGTCTCTCTCTGTCCCCCAGACTGGAGTGCAGTGGCACAGTCTCAGCTCACTGCAACCTCCACCTCCCAGGTTCAAGCGATTCTCCTGCCTCAGCCTCCTGAGTAGCTGGGATTACAGGCATGTGCCACAATGCCAGGCTAATTTTTGTATTTTTAGTAGAGATGGGGTTGCACCATGTTGGCCAGGCTGGTCTCGACCTCCTGACCTCAAGTGATCCACCCACCTGGGTCTCCCAAAGTGCTAGGAATACAGGCATGTGTCACCGTGCCTGGCCGTATTATTACTATTTTTCTGATTGTGCCTTTTTATCCCTGATTGTTTTTGTTTTAGAAGTTTTACTGTGATCTTCTGAGATCTGAATTTCCTTGTACTTATTCTATTTTGGGTTCATAATACTCTTGAATGATGCTTTCTGTTTTTGGTTTATTGAGAAAGATTTTTGAGTATCATTTACTCAAATATTGCTTCCTCCGTATTATTTCTCACATAGCTTTGTAGGTTGCCAATTAAATATATGTCAGGAGGACATCCCCTGTTTCTCTAAAACTCTTTTCTAAATGTTCCACCTGCTTTTTTCCTCTTTGTCACTGCATACATTTTTTTCACCTGTCAGTTTAATGGTCCTCACTTCAGCTGTGTTTAACATGCCATTTTCCACATCCATTGGGTTAACTTCAGTTGTATTCTTCTCTAATTCTATAGTTCTATATGTTTTTATAAATTTAAAATGTATGCTCAATTTTGTCACATTTTTCTTATATTTTTGAACATGTCATATCAGTTATTTAATTAATATTATATTACAAAAACTCAAAATATAGAACAACTGCAAGTTTATTGCACAGAATGTTCTTATAACCTTCACATAAATCCATCAATAATTTACATTTGGCATTTGCTTTGGTGCTCTGTGTACGTGTGTGTGTGTGTGTGTGTGTGTGATTATTATTATTTATTTTGCTGAACCTTTTAAGAGTGCGTTGTGTGTATGAACCTCTATAGTGGATTGAATAGTGGATCTCCAAAATATATGTTCACCTAGAACCTCAGAATTATGACTTTATTTGGAGTTAGTTATTTGCAGATACAATTAAGATAAGGAGCTTGAAATGAGCCCTTAAAGTCAATGAAGGATGTGCTTATAAGAAACAGAAAAGGAGAAAATACAAAAACGCAGAAGGAAACCATATGCAGTGGAGGTAGAGACTGTAATTATGGTGCAACAAACCAAAAGACGCCAGGATACACCAGAAGCTGGAAGAGACAAGGAAGAAGTCTCCCATAGGGACACCAGGAGGATCATGGTCCTGCTGACATTTTGATTTCAGGCATCTGGCCTCCAAAACTGAGAGAATAAACTTGCATTGTTTTAAGCTGCCACCATATTTGTACAGTAGTCCTCCTTGCCTGTGGTTTCATTTTCTGTGGTGTCAGTTAGTTACCTCCTGCAGTCAATCATGGCTTGAAAATATTAGATGGGAAATTACAGAAATAACTCATAAGTTTTAAATTGAATGTCATACTGAGTATTGTGATGAAATCTCGACATCCCACTATATGCTGCATTGGAATCATCCATTTGTCTAGTGTAACCATAGTGTATAAGCTGCCCACCTTTCAGTCATTTAATAGCCAACTCAGCTATCAGATTGACTGCGGCAATATTGCAGTGCTTGTTTTCAAGTAACCCTTATTTTACTTAACAATGCCCCCCAAATGCAAGGGTAGTGAGGCTGGCATATTATAACTGTTTAATTTTATTATTATAGTTGTTAATCTCTTACTGTGCCGAATTTATAAATTAAACTTTATTATAGGTATGTATGTATAAGAGAAAACATTGTATATACAATATTTGATACTATCTGCGGTTTTGAGCATCCACTGGCTGTCTTGGAACATATACTTCATGGAGAAGAGGGGACTACTTTAATAATACCTTACAGCAGTCATAGTAAACTAATTCAACCCCAAAATATTTCACCATGTATATCCTGGAGCAAAGATATTCTTCAATATGTGTACAGTACAATTATCAAGTGAGAGCAGTTAACATTGTTATGGCACTATTATCTAATATACACTTCTTACCTAATTTCTCCATTTGCCTGACTAGTACTATTTGTAGAATTTAATTTATTCAATTCAAGATCTAATCCAGAATTAAACGTTGCATTTACATGTCTTTAGGCTACTTGAATCTGAAATAGCACCTCAGTTTTTGTTTTTAAAACATTGATTTTTTTAAGAATATAGGTCAGTTGTTTTGTAAATTGTCCCTCAATTCTTCTCTGATTGTATTCTCATTTGCAGTTTCAAAACGTGTTGGAAAAAATATTATATGAATGATGCTATTTTTTTCACTGAATCACATCAAGAAGCACATGATGTTAAGCTGTCTCATCATTGGTGGTGTTAACTTGGATCGCTTGATTAAGGTGATGCCTTTCATATTTATATACTACAAAGTTAGCCCTTTTTAATCAATAAGTAATCTATTCAGAGATAAATGAGAACTGCATAAATATCTTGGTAACAAACAAGTTTTACCCAATATTGTTTTCCTCCATTGATGATTCTTGCCTTAATCAATTATTACCATGACAGTAGCAAAATAGTGATATTTTAGTTATCATTTCTTGTACATGTATTAGTTTTACATAGTAAACAAAAGCGTTTCCTCCTCTCATTTTCTCTTTCTCTCCCTTCTTTCCATCCATTCTTCCTTCCTTTCTATTTCTGTCTGTCTCTGTCTCTGTCTCTGTGCCTCTCTGTCTCCTTTGCCCTTCTCATTGTCCGTTTTTATTTATATTTCTTAATGTGTGGATTCATAAACTATTCTTTTCAATTGCATTATAATCTGTTACTGTCATTTTTTATTGTACCAGATTTAGCGAGTATGAGCTAACAATTTCTAATTTTAATCCAACATTTTAAATCACATG
This sequence comes from Homo sapiens, assembly GCF_000001405.40. NCBI lineage: Eukaryota > Metazoa > Chordata > Mammalia > Primates > Hominidae > Homo > Homo sapiens. Next base: position 121,868,417 of record NC_000023.11, read on the forward strand.
GTCTTCTTCATCTTCTCTGTTTACATATTCGTATTTACTTCCTTTCACAATCATAATCTTGCCTCCCTCCCCCAAAGGAATATATTTTCTTCTATGGGACACCAAAGATAATAGATTTTAATTTAGTTTTAGAGTTTTCCAAAATGTTTGTTGATTTAATTTTATTTTTGATTATGTATTAATTGAACATGCTTCCAGTTTTCAAAATTATATGAAATGATATATACAGAGAATTGCCACTCAATCTTCTCTTCTTCCCATATTATTGTCACTTCTTGCCTGTGGTTAACCAATTTCACTGGATTCTGGTTATCCTTGCGTTTATTTTTTAAAATATGTAAGTTATATGTTATTATATATGTTTTTCCCTTAAAATTTTTCCTGATAATCCATATCGGGCCATAGAGATCTCCTTTATTACTTCCTGCATAGTAATCCATTGTGTATATATATTAGGTTGGTGCAAAAGTCGTTGCAGTTTTTGCAATTACTTTTAATGGCAAAAACTGCAATTACTTTTGCACCAACATACATCGTTTAGCCCGAGAACTACTCACTCTGGGTCTCCTCTCCACTGAGGGCTGCACACATGCCGGGATGACCTGCCTGTGGAAAGGAGCTACAACTTCAGGTCTCCTGAGAGCTGTAGGTAGGTTAGTTTTGCATCGTTGATTTAAGCAATTTTCTATGTATGGGCGTTTACATGGTATCCAATAATTTGTTATATAACACATAATATCCCAATGCATGAAGGCACAAATATGTATTTTCTTGCTGTTGGTGGTGTATGTTGGGGGTGAATTCCTAAAGTGATATTGTTTGGTCAAAAGTTAAATGTATATGTAGTTTTGGGTTACTATTGGTAACTTTCCTTCCATAGGATTTGTACCATTTTGCTTTCCCATTAGCAATGTGTAGGAATGCCTGTTTCCCTGTAGCCTCCCCAACAGCTTGTGTTATCAAGATTTTGGATATTTAACAAACTTGAAGGTGAGAAATTACATTTATTAATTTGTATCTTATTTTTAGTAATGTTTAATAATTTATATGCTTCAGATTATTTTATATCTATCTGAGATTTATCTATTTAATATATCTGAGATTTATCTATTAATGATTCTTGCCCCATTTTCCATCAATTTTTGGTCTTAATTTATTTTTCTTTTCATAATGTGATTTTCCTTGATTATGTATTACAAATGTATTCTAGTTTGTCTTTTTACTGACACTGCTTACAGTTGGCATTGCTATTATTTTTGCTTTGGAAAGGTTTGCTAAATGAATTCATTTTTATTTTAGAGGAGTTAAAATTTTCAGTGTTTTCTTTTATTGTGTTGCAATTTTGGATCATTATTACAAAACATTGTTTTTTAGAGCCAGATTACAAATTACCCCACATTTTCTTCTAATGCATGTGATGGCAGCAGCGGCCAAATAGAGTAGCTGCTGCAAAGGTGCTAGCTGCAGTGGGGTATGCATGACTGGGACGGCTAACTCCGCGGAGCTGGCAGGAGCTGGGAACAGGCGGGAGCTCCACCCCCTTCCAAGTGGGTGGGGCATGAGCTTTGTGCTTCTGGGTGCAACTGCAGCTGCCCAGCCACGACTGCGGACCCAGGCATCCCTGTGGTCTTGGGGGCCCAGGAAGTCTCCCTGCCCCCGCAGGCTCAGAAGGGCCTCCTCCTGCTGCCTGGCCTCTCTCCACTCCCAGCATCCACTCTGATTTTGGAGGAAAGTTGTGGCCGAGCTCGGGCTCTGTCACGACCCGGCTGGGTGTGCGCACACTCAAGGCAGCACTGACATGCCAGCCCCTTGCCGCCTCGGCCCCACTCCGTAATTGGGACACTGACAAACATGGGAGGGAGGTCAAGAGGGGGCTGAGGGCGGCTTTGTGTGAGCCTGCAGGCACCCCTTGGCACGAACAGCCTGGGCACCATGAATGGCAGCAGTAGGCAGACAGGCTCCTGGGCAGAAAGGGGCACGTCCCTGGTGAAACCCCACCTTCAAGCCAGGGAGGGCCTGAAGCCTGGGGGCTGGGCTGCCAGTTGCACAGACCAGAGTGAGAACTTATGGTGCTTTTTCTGGGCCCGCCCATGGCCACCCGTAGACCAATCAGCACACTCTTCCTCCCCTGTGAAACCCATAAAAACCCTCAGAGTCACCCAGAATTGGACAGATGACAAGACAACCGGACTGCAGGGAGGAGCTACCCATTCAAGGTCTCCTCTCCAATGAGGGTTGCAGAGATGTTGGGGCAATTTGCCTGCAGATAGGAGCTACCCACTTGGGATCTCCTCTCTGCCGAGGACTACACACTTGATGGGATGACCTGCTTGTGGAGAAGAGCTACCCACTGTGGGTCTCCTCTCAGCTGAGGGTTGCACAGATGCCCAGACCACATGCCTGTGGAAAGGGGATACCCACTTTGGGTCTCCTGAGAGCTGTACTGCCACTCAATAAAGCACTGCTTCACCTTGCTCACCCTCCAGTTGTCTGCATACCTCATTTTTCCTGGATATGGGACAAGAACTTGGGACCAGACAGACAAATGGCAGGACTAAAAGAGCTGTAACACAAACAGGGCTGTAACCCCCACCCCAACACCACTGGCCACATTGTGGGTGACGAGAAGGAAAGAAGTAGAGAAGAGCTGCAGTTCTTTGGGGATTGCAAACCTAGGAGCTCCCTGAGCCAGGGCTGTGAAACCTTCTTTAGGGCTCTGCATTTCCGGGCATCATCTCCAAGCTTCCAGGTGCCACCGCATTCCCTGGTTCCTGAGGCAGAAGCTACTTGTGATACACTTGGTCTAGCTACAGCCTTGCAGGGAGCCGGAGCCTGTGCCAGTGCCTGGAGCTGCCCACCCCACCACAGCCAGCGTGCCTGGCCGTGCGCGGTGGCCGGACCCCACTTTTGCTTCTTCACACACCCCTCACCACTCTGCGCTTGGCCCAACCTTGGCAGGCATGGGATCCGGGTGGTAGCGAAAGCCGAGTGCAGCCTGTCAGGCCCACTGGGTGGAACAGGCTCAGCAGGCCCAAGCAAAACTTGGGCAAAGGTGCCACTGGCCATAGAGGTTGCTGGCTGGTGAAGCAACACCCTAAGGAACCTGGGAAACATGTATGGCTACATTTATATTTTACACTCAGAATTCTAATTCATTTGGATTTTTTTTTTTTTCTGTGTAGAGGGAAAAGTGTGAATCCATTTTTATCATTATCTAAATGACTGTTCAGTTGTTCCAACATGCTTTGATAAAATGTCCATATTTGTCTCTGTGATTTGAAATGACTACCTTTATCGTGTAGTAAATTTTACTATGTTCTTGGCTGTTGTATTTTCTATTATATTCCACTGGTCTGTTATTTCTTTACCAGTATAAATAACATGGATTCAATTGCAGAAACTTTATAGTATGTTTTAAAATCTGGTGGCACTATTCCTTTCCTGTTGCTCTTATTTTTATGGGTTGTCCTACGTGTTCATGCATATTATTTTTCACATGAACAACTCCACAATAGTTGGAGAAAAAAAATCTTCCTGGTATTTTATTAGAGTTGCATTAAATTTATGCATAAACTAAGAGATAAGAGAGACATAACATCTTGTTGACATTGACACATCATAATCAAGAACAAGCAATGTCATTTCATTTTTGCACATCTTCCTTTTTGTCTTCCAGGAGATGCTAATCATTTTCCTTATATAGTTTTTAAATCGTCTTCCCTTAGTATTACGTAGATTGTCATTATTTTAAAGGCTAATTCTGACAGCTTCATTATTTGGCATCTTTGTATTGTGCATATTTTTTCTTGATTTTAGATCATTTGATCTTGAGTCCTAGTGTGTTGGTTAATTATTTTTTACATTCAATGTAAGAAGTTACTATGTGTGATAAAATATAAAGAAAGATAACTTGAAGCTTTTGCATCTGACTTATAATCTAGGGAGAGATCCCTTTAATTCAGACACAGTTTGGGCTTATTAGAGGCTTAATTTCAGTCTTTCAGGTGGCTGGTCCATCTTTGGTGCATTCCTACAATACTGTAGATTACACACCTGCAAAGTAGATTATTTTACTAAGGCCAAACATCTTGACTGACTAGTCCTAAACTCCAATGTCTGTCCGTCTCCTTTGCTTCATAAGAATGCTGAAAGCTCTGCTCATATTCTTAGCTTTCTGGCCATCACTTGTGAACTTACAAATGCCTATGGAGGAATAATTAATAGTGCCAAATGTTGGACTCATTTCTTTGTGTTTCTCTTTTCTCTGGGATTTTGAGCCTTCAGATTCTAACTTTATTTATGACTTTCAGTTGCCTTCAAAAAGATTTTTTTCAAAACACCATTGCTTTTTGAAATACGTGTAGTTTCACAGGATGTTACCAAAATAGTACAGAGAGGTACAGTATGCCCTTCACCCAATTTTCTGCAACATCTACATTTTACATAGTTAAATGACAAAATCAAAATCAGGATATGAACGTTGGTAAAAGACGTGTGCATAGTTCTTATACCATTGTGTCCAGTGTGTATATGCATGAAATACCATTGCAATCAAAATACAGAGTTCCATATTTTAAAGAAACTACCTTAAGTACCTTATTTGGCTTTTCCATTGGTTCTTAGAAGTAAGGTTGATCTAATCCCAGCTGTATCATCATGGGCCAAAGCAGATCTTCTAAAATTAGCTTTATAATTTTTATTTTTTGTATTTTATATTAGGAAATTTTCTGACATTTTTCTAACTCTGAGATGATGTATATTGTGTAAAAGTTTAAGATGGAGTTTGAATAATTCTCTTTTGCTTCCCTATAGTGCCTAGTGGGGAGCCGGATAAGTAGTAGGAAGGAAAAACATAATTATTTAATGATATTTAACAGTAAGCTTCTTTCTGTAGTCATAGCTACAAAAAATGTCTTTATGGCACTGCATGTAAGCTGTAATCATCATTTCTAGTTTACCTACACAGCAGAAATGTAGTTTAACTTACTGTGTTGGTAGATTCAAGCCAATGAATCATGATTGGCTTGTTCTTCAACAATTTTATATCTCCATATACACACACCTAAAGGGTTTCAAAATGTTTCTAAAACCACCAAATTTAAGTCACATTGTGGACTAAGCTCCTGTATCACTGTGGAAAAACTTAAATTTCATCATGTGAGCATTTACTGGTGAATACATATTAGTGGCTACTCAGCAGAGCAGTGCTGCTTATTGAAACATACTTTAGGAAACACATGGTGTTATAAGTGCACATAATGGTTAAAATGTGAAAAGTAATATTTCAGGTGGAAAATGTCACCAATAGCCATGTGGTTAGTCCAGGGAACCAGTTTGTTAGAATTGTCTAGCTATAAGAATATTTATTAGAGTTTAATTCCATGACTTTGTATAATGGAAGGGAAGATAGAAGGAGGGGGAAGGCAGAAAGAAATTAGAAAAAGCACAGGGTAAGAAAATCAGTTCAAAGGCATATTATATAATGTACCAAGTCTTGGGCTTTCACATATTTTTAAATGGGATTATCAAATAAAGAGAAATCTGGACTTAGATAAGAAGAAGCTTTATTCAGAAGAAAGACTATTGCAATAGGAATAATACTCTGATGTTAGAAATCTGCAAGTGTCCCAAAAGCAAATAATTAATAGAAAAGGATTTTATTTTATAGAGAGGGGTAAGCAATAATTATGGGGAAGTCAGGCAAATGAGAGGAAATAATCAGAGGGGTCTGACAGGGAGTGTGTTCTACTGTAGTCAACTGCTCTCGGGATAATCTGATTGATTAAGGGAATATTTTCAGCCTTTTAGAGTTTTCTCAGGCTGAGAGCAAGCAGAGTTCAGGAGCCTGTAAGGAAAATAGAAGCCTGACTAAAGTTTGGTCAAGACAAAGCAGAAGGTAAGCAATTGAAAATTGTGGCCACCTGGTCAACAGCCAACAGTACACAAGGATGCTCTGTTACTAAAGGCTTTCTAGTGGACAATAAATGGCCTCTTGTTAGTTATGCTATGGAAGAAAGTTATTTATTTTTAATATAGTGATAATTTTACCTAGGTGACTTCAAAAATTTATTCTAACTTGAAGAACAATTTGTTTTATGATTCAGTAAGGGTTAGTATTTCTACAAAAAAAGACAAAGAGTTTGCCTTAATGTACATTCCCGGACAATAAGATTTGCTCCATCATCTAATCATTTTATATAGCACCTTTCAATAAAATTTAGTAAAATTCTTTAAAAGCAAGCTTTGCAACCATCATTTTATAGATTTTGTAAATGACTTATTCAGAGTTAGGCATTTCAGAATATTTATTATTTCAGACTGAACAGAATTGCTGTCTGTAGGATATATACTTCTTCCCTAGGAATGCAATAATAATAGTGTGGAAAAGATGTGCAGTAGTAACATTTAGATAGGTATCATGGGAAAAGTGAAGCTTAAAATTTACCCAGTGAAGAAAAAAAGAGAAAAGGTTTTGGTTAAATCTTATCAGACTCACCACTAGTCCATCAATTCAGTCAGCTTGGGAGTGATGTTACTTTTCAAGCTCTCATGAAAAGACTTCCTGATTTGTAAAGGAGGCAAATTTATTTATGTAAATTGTCTATTTGGCAGTACTTCTGCTTCTTTTAGTGTTTAGTCCCACCTCTGATAAGACAGGTCTAATTTCATTTCCATTAAAATGCAATGAAAGCACATTTATGAATTTAATAATTTCTTGCCTGAGTTTGATAGGAGCATTAAAGTTGTTAGCTATGGACTGTTGTTAATAAATATTGCTTTTTTAATTTAATTAAAGTAGACTAAGAGTTACTGGCCAATAATTTTTTTCTATAGATTATGAAAAAAAAAAAAAGAATTGGTAAAAGAAATAGCAATTTGCCCAAGGGTTTGTTTAATTGGACATTCCTGCTTATCTCATTGTCAAATTATTTTTAAACCTAAGCCTTTCTATATAATTTAAATGTTGCTTTACTTTGTTTTGCATAGCTTATTCATCTTCCTAAAAGGAACGTGAAGAAAATATGAATTTAGGCCTTGTAACACAGCTTGGAAAGAGAAAACTGACATTAAGAATTTTATTTTAATTTTTCTTTCAGAAGTCTTTCTTAAACACTTTTTTTGCTCATAATTTTTTACACTTTTATATGAACTGCCTATGTAAATATCAATTAATATGAACTGCCTATGTAAATATCAATTTATATGAACTGCCTATGTAAATATCAATGTTTCTGATAACTTAGTATGCCTCCAGGGTCCATAGCCTTCCTGATGAAGTAGTATTTAGCTGAAGCTTTTTTGCATAATCTGCCTAGTAAACAACTATTTGTTCTTCAACAAAAAAAAGGAAAATATATGCGAAAATTAGAAAAAAAATAAAGAAATACAAAAGGACTTAAAGATTATGAGAATCACTGGTAACAGAACTGATTTTGATTTCCTGTTCCTGCCTAAATTAAGTTTCTGACTCATCGTTGTTCTGCAAAAAATGAATTTACCTTTTTTTATCACTTAAAATCACGATTAAATTGATAGATCAGATGAGATAAACAAGTTTTGTGGTATAAAGAGGTGTATCTTTTGGGGCAAAATACTGAGAAAATTTATATACAAACCAGAAACAGTGGGTTGCATGAATTTAAAGTGCTAAAACAATATGTCTGCAACTTAGAGTTTCTTAGGCATAATTACTTAAAATATATAAATCCTGAATTTACAGTTTCTTAATTTCCTTGACAGAATACTGCCACACCTCTTAGTCAAGTCTAGCACATACCATATTTAATGGTCAACAATGAAGTGTGGATTGCATGTAACAAACCTGTACATGTACCCCTTGAATCCAAATTAGAATAAAATCGAGTTAAAAAAATACAATTAAAAATAATACAACTATTTACATGACATTTACATCTAATAGGTATTATAAGTAATTCTAGAGATGTTTTAAAGTAAAGTAGTGTGTACAGGAGGATGTGGCTCAGTTATGTGAAATTAAATAATTCAGATTTAAAGTTGTTGGAATTTAAATTATTCTGAACCTTCAGAGGAATGTGGCAATGTAGCCTGAGTCACTTGGCATGCAGCTGCAACTTCTGTAAATAATTAGGAAGACCAAGTGGCCCAATCAAATCATTGTAACTGGTCTTGTATGGAAAATATAATCCTGCTAAACATTTCTGTCTGTGTATAACTGATAAATACCTTAACCTCTCTAACTTGTAACACTGACCTCATTCATTTGGAGTCTGTGTTTCCTGGGTGTCTGTCCTCAAGCTTTGCAACTCAAATAAATAAGCTATATGCATAAAATAAAAAAAAATAAAGGAATATGGATGCGAATGTAAAATATCATCTGGTATCAAACAATTCTGAATGCCTAAATATGACTGGAACTTCTTCCAGTTTAATTGAAATATTTTGGATCTATTAATAAATGTGTAAACTTGCTTCCCTTTTTTATTATTTGATATATTCAACTTTAAGCTAAAGGGATATTCTAACCTATTTCTAAATACAATCTAAATTTACCATGCTTTTCAAAATTCCTATCAGTGTTACGTGCAGATCTTGGCAATATTTCGCATGTGGGATAGAAATCTATTTTTTAATCAAAATATATTTTTACTGTGATTACAGTCATGATATAAAATGAAATAAATTCAATAGCTAATAGAAAATATTTGAAACATACATGTGTATGTATGTTAAAATTCATACCAAATTAAGAAAGAAGAAAACATTATTAATTTGATAAATGTATCAAAACCATAAACCTAGAAAAAAAATTATACTTAATCGTAAATATTAATAATTTATCTAAAATCGGAAATAACACAGTGTTATTTTACTAGAAGATCTAACCATTGCATTAAGATAAGAAAGGAAGAGATATAAATATTGAAAAGATTGATACAAAACTGAGAATGAGAAGACTTTGAGGCAACATGGCTGAATAGGAACAGCTCCGGTCTACAGCTCCCAGCGTGAGCGACGCAGAAGACGGGTGATTTCTGCATTTCCATCTGAGGTACTGGGTTCATCTCACTAGGGAGTGCCAGACAGTGGGCACAGGACAGTGGGTGCAGCGCACCGTGCGCGAGCCGAAGCAGGGCAAGGCATTACCTCACTCGGGAAGCGCAAGGGGTCAGGGAGTTCCCTTTCCTAGTCAAAGAAAGGGGTGACAGATGGCACCTGGAAAATCAGGTCACTCCCACCCTAATACTGCGCTTTTCCGACGGCCTTAAAAAACAGCGCACCAGGAGAGTATATCCTGCACCTGGCTCAGAGGGTCCTACACCCACGGAGTCTCGCTGATTGCTAGCACAGCAGTCTGAGATCAAACTGCAAGGTGGCAGTGAGGCTGGGGGAGGGGCACCCGCCATTGCCCAGGCTTGCTTAGGTAAACAAAGCAGCCAGGAAGCTCGAACTGGGTGGAGCCCACCACAGCTCAAGGAGGCCTGCCTGCCTGCCTCTGTAGGCTCCACCTCTGGGGGCAGGGTACAGACAAACAAAAACACAGCAGTAACCTCTGCAGACTTAAATGTCCCTGTGTGACAGCTTTGAAGAGAGCAGTGGTTCTCCCAGCACGCAGCTTGAGATCTGAGAACGGGCAGACTGCCTCCTCAAGTGAGTCCCTGACCCCTGACCCCCAAGCAGCCTAACTAACTGGGAGGCACCCCCCAGTAGGGGCAGACTGACACATCACATGGCCGGGTACTCCTCTGAGACAAAACTTCCAGAGGAACGATCAGACAGCAGCATTCATGGTTCACAAAAATCCGCTATTCTGCAGCCACTGCTGCCGATACCCAGGCAAACAGGGTCTGTAGTGGACCTCTAGCAAACTCCAACAGACCTGCAGCTGAGGGTCCTGTCTGTTTGTTAGAAGGAAAACTAACAAACAGAAAGGACATCCACACCAAAAACCCATCTGTACATCACCATCATCAAAGACCAAAAGTAGATAAAACCACAAAGATGGGGAAAAAACAGAGCAGAAAAACTGGAAACTCTAAAAAGCAGAGCGCCTCTCCTCCTCCAAAGGAACATAGTTCCTCACCAGCAACAGAACAAAGCTAGACGGAGAATGACTTTGACGAGTTGAGAGAAGAAGGCTTCAGATGATGAAACTACTCCGAGCTACAGGAGGAAATTCAAACCAAAGGCAAAGAAGTTAAAAACTTCTTTGAAAAAAATTTAGGCGAATGTATAACTAGAATAACCAATACAGAGAAGTGCTTAAAGGAGCTGATGGAGCTGAAAGCCAAGGCTCAAAAACTACGTGAAGAATGCAGAAGCCTCAGGAGCCAATGCGATCAACTGGAAGAAAGGGTATCAGTGATGGAAGATGAATGAAATGAAGCGAGAAGGGAAGTTTAGAGAAAAAAGAATAAAAAGAAACGAACAAAGCCTCCAAGAAATATGGGACCATGCGAAAAGACCAAATCTACGTCTGAATGGTGTACCTGAAAGTGATGGGGAGAATGGAACCAAGTTGGAAAACACTCCGCAGGATATTATCCAGGAGAACTTCCCCAATCTAGCAAGGCAGGCCAACGTTCAGATTCAGGAAATACAGAGAATGCCACAAAGATACTCCTCGAGAAGAGCAACTCCAAGACACATAATTGTCAGATTCACCAAAGTTGAAATGAAGGAAAAAATGTTAAGGGCAGCCAGAGAGAAAGGTCGGGTTACCCTCAAAGGGAAGCCCATCAGACTAACAGCGGATCTCTCGGCAGAAACCCTACAAGCCAGAAGAGAGTGGGGGCCAATATTCAACATTCTTAAAGAAAAGAATTTTCAACCCAGAATTTCCTATCCAGCCAAACTAAGCTTCATAAGTGAAGGAGAAATAAAATACTTTACAGACAAGCAAATGCTGAGAGATTTTGTCACCACCAGGCCTGCCTTACAAGAGCTCCTGAAGGAAGCACTAAACATGGAAAGGAACAACCGGTACCAGCCACTGCAAAATTATGCCAAATTGTAAAGACCCTCAACAATACGAAGAAACTGCATCAACTAATGGGCAAAACAACCAGCTGACATCAAAATGACAGGATCAAATTCACACATAACAATATTAACTTTAAATGTAAATGGACTAAATGCTCCAGTTAAAAGTCACGGACTGGCAAATTGGATAAAGAGTCAAGACCCATCAGTGTGCTGTATTCAGGAAACCCGTCTCACATACAGAGACACACATAGGCTCAAAATAAAAGGATGGAGGAAGATCTACCAAGCAAACGGAAAACAAAAAAAGGCAGGGGTTGCAATCCTAGTCTCTGATAAAACAGACTTTAAACCAACAAAGATCAAAAGAGACAAAGAAGGCCATTACATAATGGTAAAGGGATCAATTCAACAAGAAGAGCTAACTATCCTAAATATATATGCACCCAATACAGGAGCACCCAGATTCATAAAGCAAGTCCTGAGTGACCTACAAAGAGACTTAGACTCCCACACAATAATAATGGGAGACTTTAACACCCCACTATCAACATTAGACAGATCAACGAGACAGAAAGTTAACAAGGATACCCAGGAATTGAACTCAGCTCTGCACCAAGCAGACTTAATAGACATCTACAGAACTCTCCACCCCAAATCAACAGAATATACATTTTTTTCAGCACCACACCACACCTATTCCAAAATTGACCACATAGTTGGAAGTAAAGCTCTCCTCAGCAAATGTAAAAGAACAGAAATTATAACAAACTGTCTCTCAGACCACAGTGCAATCAAACTAGAACTCAGGATTAAGAAACTCACTGAAAACCACTCAACTACACGGAAACTGAACAACCTGCTCCTCAATGACTACTGGGTACATAATGAAATGAAGGCAGAAATAAAGATGTTCTTTGAAACCAACGAGAACAAAGACACAACATACCAGAATCTCTGGGACACATTCAAAGCAGTGTGTAGAGGGAAATTTATAGCACTAAATGCCCGCAAAAGAAAGCAGGAAAGATCCAAAATTGTCACCCTAACATCACTATTAAAAGAACTAGAAAAGCCAGAGCAAACACATTCAAAAGCTAGCAGAAGGCAAGAAATAACTAAGATCAGAGCAGAACTGAAGGAAATAGAGACACAAAAAACCCTTCAAAAAATTAATGAATCCAGGAGCTGGTTTTTTGAAAGGATCAACAAAATTGATAGACTGCTAGCAAGACTAATAAAGAAGAAAAGAGAGAAGAATCAAATAGACACAATAAAAAATGATAAAGGGGATATCACCACCAATCTCACAGAAATACAAACTACCATCAGAGAATAATATAAACACCTCTACGCAAATAAACTAGAAAATCTAGAAGACATGGATAAATTCCTGGACACATACACCCTCCCAAGACTAAACCAGGAAGAAGTTGAATCTCTGAATAGACCAATAACAGGCTCTGAAATTGTGGCAATAATCAATAGCTTACCAACCAAAAAGAGTCCAGGACCAGATGGATTCGCAGCCGAATTCTACCAGAGGTACAAGGAGGAACTGGTACCATTCCTTCTGAAACTATTCCAATCAATAGAAAAGGAGGGAATCCTCCCTAACTCATTTTATGAGGCCAGCATCATCCTGATACCAAAGCTGGGCAGAGACACAACCAAAAAAGAGAATTTTAGACCAATATCCTTGATAAACATTGATGCAAAAATCCTCAATAAAATACTGGCAAACCGAATCCAGCAGAACATCAAAAAGCTTATCCACCATGATCAAGTGGGCTTCATCCCTGGGATGCAAGGCTGGTTCAATATACAAAAATCAATGAATGTAATCCAGCATATAAACAGAACCAAAGACAAAAACCACATGATTATCTCAATAGATGCAGAAAAGGCCTTTGACAAAATTCAACAACACTTCATGCTAAAAACTCTCAATAAATTAGGCATTGATGGGACGTATCTCAAAATAATAAGAGCTATCTATGACAAACCCACAGCCAATATCATACTGAATGGGCAAAAACGGGAAGCATTCCCTTTGAAAACTGGCACAAGACAGGGATGCCCTCTCTCACCACTCCTATTCAACATAGTGTTGGAAGTTCTGGCCAGGGCAATTAGGCAGGAGAAGGAAATAAAGGGTATTCAATTAGGAAAAGAGGAAGTCAAATTGTCCCTGTTTGCAGATGACATGATTGTATATCTAGAATACCCCGTTGTCTCAGCCCAAAATCTCCTTAAGCTGATAAGCAACTTCAGCAAAGTCTCAGGATACAAAATCAATGTACAAAAATCACAAGCATTCTTATACACCAATAACAGACAAACAGAGAGCCAAATCATGAGTGAACTCCCATTCACAATTTCTTCAAAGAGAATAAAATACCTAGGAATCCAACTTACAAGGGATGTGAAGGACCTCTTCAAGGAGAACTACAAACCACTGCTCAATGAAATAAAAGAGGATACAAAGAAATGGAAGAACATTCCATGCTCATGGATAGGAAGAATCAATATCGTGAAAATGGCCATACTGCCCAAGGTACTTTACAGATTCAATGCCATCCCCATCAAGCTACCAATGACTTTCTTCACAGAATTGGAAAAAACTACTTTAAAGTTCATATGGAGCCAAAAAAGAGCCCACATTGCCAAATCAATCCTAAGCCAAAAGAACAAAGCTGGAGGCATCACGCTACCTGACTTCAAACTATACTACAAGGCTACAGTAACCAAAACAGCATGGTACTGGTACCAAAACAGAGATATAGATCAATGGAACAGAACAGAGCCCTCAGAAATAACGCCGCATATCTACAACTATCTGATCTTTGACAAACCTGACAAAAACAAGCAATGGGGAAAGGATTCCCTATTTAATAAATGGTGCTGGGAAAACTGGCTAGCCATATGGAGAAAGCTGAAACTGGATCCCTTCCTTACACCTTATACAAAAATTAATTCAAGATGGATTAAAGACTTAAACGTTAGACCTAAAACCATAAAAACCCTAGAAGAAAACCTAGGCATTACCATTCAAGACATAGGCATGGACAAGGACTTCATGTCTAAAACACCAAAAGCAATGGCAACAAAAGACAAAATTGACAAATGGGATCTAATTAAACTAAAGAGCTTCTGCACAGCAAAAGAAACTACCATCAGAGTGAACAGGCAACCTACAAAATGGGAGAAAATTTTCACAACCTACTCATCTGACAAAGGGCTAATATCCAGAATATACAATGAACTCAAACAAATTTACAAGAAAAAAACAAACAACCCCATCAAAAAGTGGGCGAAGGACATGAACAGACACTTCTCAAAAGAAGACATTTATGCAGCCAAAAAACACATGAAAAAATGCTCACCATCACTGGCCATCAGAGAAATGCAAATCAAAACCACAATGAGATACCATCTCACACCAGATAGAATGGCGATCATTAAAAAGTCAGGAAACGACAGGTGCTGGAGAGGATGTGGAGAAATAGGAACACTTTTACACTGTTGGTGGGACTGTAAACTAGTTCAACCATTGTGGAAGTCAGTGTGGCGATTCCTCAGGGATCTAGAACTAGAAATACCATTTGACCCAGCCATCCCATTACTGGGTATATACCCAAAGGACTATAAATCATGCTGCTATAAAGACACACGCACATGTATGTTTATTGCGGCACTACTATTCACAATAGCAAAGACTTGGAACCAACCCAAATGTCCAACAATGATAGACTGGATTAAGAAAATGTGGCACATGTACACCATCGAATACTATGCAGCCATAAAAAATGATGAGCTCATGTCCTTTGTAGGGACATGGATGAAATTGGAAATCATCATTCTCAGTAAACTATCGCAAGAACAAAAAACCAAACACCGCATATTCTCACTCATATGTGGGAATTGAACAATGAGAACACATGGACACAGGAAGGGGAACATCACACTCTGGGGACCGTTGTGGGGTTGGGGGAGGGGGGAGGGATAGCATTAGGAGATATACCTAATGCTAAATGATGAGTTAATGGGTGCAGTACACCAGCATGGCACATGTATACATATGTAACCTGCACATTGTGCACATGTACCCTAAAACTTAAAGTATAATAATAATAAAAAAAAGACAAAAAAAATGGATTACCCCTCCTAAAGTATATATCAAATATTGAGTCACAGTTACACCTGCTTTGGGTGTAATTTGAAAGAAAATTAAAAACTTCATTTCCCATTTAAAAAAAAAAAGACTTTGAGGCCATTGTGATAAAATAAATGTATTTTACATGGGTGAAGAGCATGAATTTGGGGGGCCGGAGGGTATAATGTTGTGGTTTGAATGTGTCCCCCAAAAAGCATGTGTTGGAAACTTAATCATCTGTGCAACACTGTTGGGAGGTTGGGCCTAATGAAAAGTCATTAGGCAATGAATGTAGAATGAATGGATTACAGCCATTATCACAAGTGTGAGTTTATTATCTCAGTTGTGGGTTGACTATGAAAGGGGGAGTTCACCTTGTTTTACTTTCTCTCTCTCTCTCACGCTCTCGTTTCCTTCTAACTTCCACCATGAGATGGCACAGCAAGAAGGTCCTCATTAGATGCTGGCACCTTGATCTTGAACTACCCAGCCTCCAGAACTGTGAGAAATAAATTTGTTCTTTATAACTAAAAAAAAAAAAAAAAAAAACAAAAACTGAGAATGCTTTCCAATGATTTGATTGATCTGATGATAAAAATTTGCTATCATATTAGAAAGAATTTGCCAATGCAATCTGCAATACCTAAATAATAATATGTACTGAGAAAAATAAAGACGTATATCAAAAAGTATTCAAGAACTATAATTTCATTTTGGAGTAAACTTAAACAAATTTGGGAAAACGCTACAAAGAAAGTTGTGAAATTTATTGACAGATTTAAACAACGTTCTGAAGACCATTTTCCTTTCAATCTAAAAGTTCACGAGTTTATTCAAGTTCTGAAAATTTATTTATATTAATTCAATAATTTTGTCGTTTTCATTTTCTTTCTTCACTCTTCTTTAATTCCTGATAAACATTGTGCTTATAGAATTGAACCCCTATGTTACTTATTGTTGCTTTCATATTTTTCCTCTTTTTTTCCTCTCAAGGTAAATATATGTATTTCTTCAGTGTTATTTTCTAGCCATTCTATTGATTTACTTTTGTATGACGATTATGCTTTATTGTCTGGTGCTTTTAAATAACAATTTCATTTTCTTTTCTTTTCTTTTTTTTGAGACAGAGTGAGTTTCGCTCTGTCACCCAGGCTGGAGTGCAGTGGCACCATCTCGGCTCACTGCAACCTCTGCCTCCTGGGTTCAACCAATTCTCCTGCCTCAACCTCTTTAGCTGAGATTACAGGTGCCCGCCCCCAGGCCCCACTAGTTTTTGTATTTTTAGTAGAGATGGGGTTTCACCATGTAGGCCAGGCTGGTCTTGAACTCCTGACCTCAAGTGATCTGCCCGCCTCGGCCTCCCAAAGTGCTGGGATTACGGGCATAAGCCACCACGCCCGGCCACAATTTCACTTTCTAATTAAGGTTTTTATTTTGAGATAATTTTAGATTCCCATGGCAATTGTAAGAAATAATAGAAATACCATGCACCTCTTACCAAATTATGCCAATGATAAAATCTTACAAAACTATAATATAAATTATAACTGAGATGTTGAAATTAATACAGTCAAGATATAGAACATTTCCATCACCACAAAGATCCCTCATGTTATCCCTATTGAGTCAAACTCACTTTCTTCCCACTCCACTTTCTCCCTAACCCCTGGTAACCATTAATCTGTTCTCCATGTCTACAATTTTATAATTTCAAGAATTTCATACAAGTGGAATTACACAGCATGTATTTGGTTTGTTTACTCCGCATAGTTTTCTGGAGATTCATACAGGTGGTTGCATGTATCATTGGTTCATTCGTTTTTATTGTTGAGCAGTATCCCATGGTACAGATAAGTTATGCCACAGTTTGTTTATTCACTCATTGAAAGATATCTGAGTTGTTTCTAATTTGCGGCTACTATTATAAACACCTTACGTACCAGTGTTTGTGTAAATATTTTTTCCCTCTGGTATAAATGCCTCTGGTATAAATGGAGGGAAATAGCTGAATTTTATTGTACTTGAATGCTTAATTTTTTGAGAAATGATCAAACTGTTTTCTAGAATGGCTGTACCGTTTTATGTTCCCACCAGCAATATATTATGTTCTCATATTCCTCTGAGAATATTAATTATGTTATTTAAAATTTCTCTTTTCTAAACTATATTTATTCTGGGCTCAATATTCTGTTGTTTCAAAACTTACTGTTTTACTCTGCTGTTTTCTATCTTATGTGTTAAATCATGGTTGCTTCTTTTATACTTCAGAAGGAAATATTTGATTGATTATTGTTGATGTGTTAGAATTGATTTTCTCTGTAATTGTGTAGTCAGAGTTTTTTGATAAACTGCTTACCAGATGAGGAAGACTAAATGGAAGCTTTGTTTCTGAGGATGAAGCTAGACATTTAGAATGACAAGCTTTATTTTATAATGACTATATGAAGACTTAAAATATTAGGCCTGAGATACCCAAAGGCCAGACTGGGGAATGCTTCACTTCAGATATCAAACTCAATATATGAAAGCATAACTCTACCCATGGAGATAATCATTGCAATTTTGGTGCATATCTCTGTATCTGTGTCGGTGACTGTGTGCCTGTGTTTTGATTATGTGGCAGAAGGCAGGAAAATGGTCTTCCCATCTCTCTGCGCACAGGGGAGGATAGGATAAGGGTGGAAACTGGGCCAGTTTTTCCATACTCGTTAAAATTAACACTCTCATAACCTCACTTCTCACCATATTACTGTGTGGTGGAGTTGGACAGAATGAGATGATAGTGAAAACTAGCACAGTTTTTAGATAGACAGTCATTCATATTAGCTCCTCTATAGTCCCGTATTCGTGCTGACTTCAGAAATAGATATTCTCTGGGGTTTTCCCATGTGGATCAACTCCTACTTCTACTCTAGGTAACACAGTCACCATGAACAGAGCAGGGTAAGAAAGAAACCAGCCCCATGCTGTGTGCTTTCGATGTTCCCATATCACAAACACACAAATAAATAGTTAAATTTATATAGCAACTTCTGTCACTTTGCTTCTGGCAACCCTAATCAAGATCTCTTGTGGCTAACATTTAGCTCCAAGGAAAACACTTTTCCACCTATATTATCCTATGCTCAAACATGTCCAAATGCCAAAGAGTTTTGTGTACTGAAGACAGACACTGCTTCAGGGGGTGAGAAACATTTGAGTGCATTATGTAACAGGAAACATAAATTAACTTCTTTTTCCTCAAATAGCATAAATCCAATAGATTCTTGCTTAAGGAAGTATTATTTCTCAGTAGCGTCACGCATCCCTTTTCTTGCTTCTCTTTGTACTTCAAATCTTGTTTCTGGAAAGACAAACAAATCTACATGGTTTTGTAACCATTGCACAATGCAGATGAGAAAAATGTTGCTATATTAACAGTTTTTATTCCTTTTAAATTTGTGTATTTGTAGATGTGGCAAGCATTGTATTATGCTAGTTCTTTGCATTGGCAATTGGATGCACGTTAAAGGGTACAATTGCAAGTAGTTTTATATTTATAATATTATTTCATAAAATTTGTTTAAATTGTCAAAATATTCTAAAAATTCTAGCTTTGTTTAAATTTTTAACAAAAATTTTAATATTTATTAATATTTGTATTTGTCCTTTTAATGTTATAATTTTTAATATTATAGAAGAGAATAACTTTTGAAAGCATATATAAAATAACTGTTTTAATATAGTTTATTAATTTAATTTTATGAACATAAGTTCAAGATTTGCCCATTTTGAGAATGATTGTGTTTTATATTTTAATCTTTTGTAGCACACTATCAATAGCACAAGTCTTATATGAATATATTAATTTTAACAACATGGAAGACAGGAAAATTAATATGGTAGGAATATTCATAAATTAAGAAATGAGTATATCTGTATTTTATTATTCATCCAAATATCACTGACTAACCAATAGTAAGCCAAGAAGCATACATTAATAATTAAATTTATTTTTAATATTTTCCAAAATTTAGTCATATAAAGACATAATTCAACCATGCTTTTAAACTTTTTTCAAGGTAGAACAATATATATGATGTTTTATATGACAAATTGTTAGCCCAGTGTGGAACTCTTATACTCTTGCCAGGCCCCAAAATTGTTAAGGGTGTGTCCAGGCTCCCATTTGATTTCTGGTTCCAAAAATGTATTCAAATCTATTTGCTCTTTTTTTCTTCCTTAGTCTTTGAGGTACAAGTATTCACCTTGATATTTTCAGACATGGCTTATAAAAATAATTCTGCCCATTCTTCAGTAAAATACTTATACCTCAAAATAAATGTTTTATAACCTTTGTTGAATTTTTGCCTGATCTTCAATTTCTTTATGATCTTTGGGACCAATGTGTCCTCTGTGTTAAACCTAGGGCTTAGGTTAAAGTAACAAAGCCATATTATTGAGGGATAGAAGCCAGAAGTAGAGATATCTGCTAAGGTATGGCAGGATGAGAAGTAGCCTGCCTGAGATATCAAGAAAGAATTAGCACAGTCAGGTAAGTGGTGAGTCTTTGTCAAAAGAATTTGATTGAGAGCTTGTCAAGGAGATGATTAATGAGAAAGAAATTTAAATGCTAGCTATAGTCATATTGGATAAAAACCAAGATGATGTATTGCCATAAAAAAACTCAAATTCCCAGTAAAGAACTCTCCAGTATTTATAGGAACCCATGAAATTAGTCCTTTTGAACCTGGGTACTGTTTTGACATGCCATTCAGAATACCAAGAGGGGGACTTGATACAGGAGGATATAATAACGCTTTTTACCTAATCGATGGAGCAATAACGTTATAACAACCAACAAACCTCCAAAACATAAACAAGCAAACAAGGCAAAACCCTACTTTATAAGACTTAACAGCATATAAGAAAAATATCTCCTCTTACATTTGTATTTCATCTCTAGCTCCTCATAAACAAACAAACACTGAAGAGTAAAAGAGGATAGATAACTTGTATTTTATTTAAGCTCATCTGTGGAATGTTCTGCTAACCTGATTCAAATGCCAACATTACCAGCCAGTAATTCTCATTTCTCTTTGGTGTAGGCAACTCATGGGAAAGGTCCTCTTTAAGCCTTCTTAGCATTTGGGTTATGCTGATGTCACCATAGTTTTTGCTTTTTCTCTAATGGACTACAAGCTTCATGAAGGCCTGGACCATATCCACTTTGTTTTTTGTCATTATTTTCCCATATGTATATTTGCATAGTTTTGAATGAATGAATGGTTATGAGGTCACTGACTATGTAGAATTGTAGCCCAGGGCTATTTTAATAATTAATAAATATATTTAAAGGGACAGATAATTTAATGTTCAAAAGCATTTGTTAGAGCAACTTTATTTTGGGAGACTATTACAGGCACAGTGTTCTAGTAACAAACAATACATAAGAACAGTGAAAAAATAAAGAAGATTTAACATCTGTAAGAACAGTAAAAAATATAGAAGATTTTAATATCTGTTAAGAGATGAAAAAACCATTCAATCCCAGTCACTGTGAGTAAGAAATGAAAAGCATATTTTTCATGATTTTTATTTACTAAATAAAACCACTTCTTAATTTGCTCTGAGTTTCTGAATCTTCAACTGCTATAATTTGATTTAGGATCCAAAATTTTAATAGCAAAAGTGGTTCATCTGCACAGACATGTTTAGAGAATCACAGAGAAGGATCAGACACTTACTTTGAAGTCATAGCATCCTTTTACACTTAATTGTACACTAGGGTGTACTAATCAACAACTTCTCCTTCTTAAAGAACAAAGAAACTGACAGAAACAGCTCTCTACAATTAGGTCACAATTACCTTATTTCTCAGAAGGTTTTTTAAAAAACAGAGACAAACATACATTTCTAAAACACAGATGGCAAAAAAAAAGAGAAATCTGTAGAAGTATAGAATAAGGAATTGGCATTTATTCCTGTCTTCCAAAGCATGATTTCAGGAAAAGCCAAGCAAATCATTGAAGGTCTCTTCAGGAGGCCATTATATTTTAAATAATGGATTAGGGCTAAGACTCACTGCTTTTAAGAATCATGAGATTCTCAAAATATTTTTTAAATGGGTGTGTATATCTAGTGAGAGATAATGTTAACATTATCCAGAGACCAGGCTGTACCAGCCAACGTAGAGCATAGGGCTAGCAGGTCACTTCCAAGAGATAGGAGATTAATGATGGTTAATAACTGCAAGTTTTGATGGTGGAGTGAAAAGGCCAAGGTATCTGAAAAACACAATCAAGGCTGGGATTCTGGGTTTTGGGTTGACTTTTAGAAACTAAAGTGGCAATGGGCATAAGATTTAGAAGTAAATTAATTATGTATACAGAGGTTGTGTATGTATGTGTAAAACAGAGAGGGGGGTTGGAAGAAGGAATAGGATGGGGTGTGTGTGGCTGATACGTTTGGCTCTGTGTCCTCACCCAAATATCATCTTGAATTGTATTCCCATAATTCCCCCGTGTTGTGGAAGGGACTTGGTGGGAGATAATTTGAATCATGGGGACAGTTTCCCCCCTACTGTCCTCGTGGTAGTAAGTCTCATGAGGTCTGATGGTTTTATCAGGAGTTTCCACTTTTGCATCTTCCTCATTTTCTCTTGCCACCACCGTGTAAGAAGTGCCTTTTCCCTCCAGCCATAATTCTGAGGCCTCCCCAGCCATGTGGAACTGTAAGTCCAATTAAACCTCTTTTTCTTCCCAGTCTTGGGTATGTCTTTATCAGCAGCATGAAAATGGACTAATACAGTGGCATTAGTCACAGAATATTGAGTTTGCAGCTAAGCAGAAATTCAGTTAAAATAAATCATAAGTGGTATCAGAATTCACAGTTGTTACCTGGGTGAGTATAGAGTTAAGACAGGAATTTTGGTTAAAATTGGGCATAAAGGAATATGTGGGAGCAGCTTTAGATCAAATGACTCAAAGACCAAGGAAGGAGGCATGTTTCGTGGTACTTAAATATCCACAAAGTGAATTCTTTCCAACCAGAACAGAGACCATACTGTACTTCATATTTTGGATAAAATAAGGTGACTGACAAAGGATTAAGGCTGCACATGAGACTTTTAAAGGAGGCTGGATATTATTCCTATAATCACACTGGAAATAACCTAATACTCTAAGTCATGAATTTTCCTGACAATTTTGGGATAATTGTTTTCATCACATAAAATACTTTTTTTTCTCATTTCTTAAGAAAACTTATCAGAGAATTCATTTAATTATATATATGTATATATTTTTTCTTTAAAGTTTGATTAAACAACTTTTTAACAATAACCCATTGTTGTGAACCTTGATAGATCTTTGTGACTTTTTGGAATACTGGCATTATGACATGTAGTAAAGTTACTTATCAATTTGGTCTGTGAAAAACTGTTGTATGAGCTTCATTAGGACAGAAATTTGTTTCGCTATTATAATGAAAACTGTGTTTATAAAAAAAAATCCATGTTTTAAAACATTTATAAAAATCTAGATAATATAATAACCACCAATAATTTCATCATCATTATAAACAACTATTTAAATGATAATTAAATTATTGCAGTCTCCTGTGTATATCTCCTATTTTTATGTATCCTATTTCTTTCATTTCATAACATATCTTGAACATCTAAGAGTGGTATATAAGAAGAAGTAATGAGTTAAATCCTTAATGAAATACATATACAAATATACAGCAATATATATAATCTATCATATATGTATATTTCAAATATATATATCTATGTGTAAACAGTAGAGTGTGATTATGTTTTTTATAACTTCCCACAGAAAAGTCAAAAACAAAGGTGGAAACAGCATTTATAGTGTAATTAGGGAAAGATCACAATCCCAAACCACAGATTCTGAAAACTTAAGATCAAGTTGAGGGACAATCCCATCATCTGTCACATATTTCTTCTAAATTAATTCCATGTAGAATTTTGGAAAAGTAAAAGCAATTTGAGTTGTCAGTGATCCTTAACTTTTGTGGATGATACATTTGGTGGCAGAAATCAGAGAAAATAAAAGAGAACATCACTTTGAGGCCTACAAATGCACAAATGCAAAAAACAAAACAAAACAACAACAACGAAAAACCTGTGTGTCTAAATGAGCATTATTTTTTAACTACTCAGTGTTTATTCAAGAGAAATGACTTGGAAGCAAAACTAGGTAGGTAAGAGAATAGAAGGAGATACCTGAATTTTTCCTTTACAGCTGCTGAGCAATAGCAACAATAGCAAGTCAATCATAAAGCATCCAAGTGGCCTACTTGTGTTTCAGTGGTATTGAACGGATTCTAAAATTAAAAGAAAAAATTTTGCTTTTTCCCATTTTGGTTTACATTTATTGAATGTAGAATCAAAATATATCACTACAGAATGCTGTCGAAAACATAAAGGATGAAGTGTATGGAAGTTATAGACAATGTAGTTGTTCATAACTACACAGAGGAAAAACTAATCAGAAGAAGTTAGATTTGAAAACCAAGAAGAACCAAAGCCCAAACAGTGGGATAATTGATGTTTCTGATCAAACCACAAGTTAAACAGGAAAAATATATGCATGTTATGGACTGAATAATTGTGTGTTGCCCAAACTAGTAAGCTGAAATCCTAACCTCCAATGTGATAGTATTAGGAAGTGGGGACTTTGATAGGTAATTAGGTCATGAGAGTGGAGCCCTCATACATGAAATAGTGCCCTTATAAGAATAAACACAAAATAGATTATTTCTTTCTTTGCCGTGTAAAGATATAAGAAGACAGTTATCCGTAAGCCAGTAAGAGTGCTCTAACCAGACGAGATGCCTGCCAGAATCTTGATTTTGGAATTTCCAGCCTCCAGAACTATGAGAAATAAATGTTTGTAGTTTAAGCCACCAAGTCTCTGGTAATCTGTTATAGCAGCTGAAACTGACAAGACAATGCATGTTTAATTTTATGATTGAATAAAACTTTCCTGAAATCAAGAGAATCTTCAGTCTGTAGACTGAAATGTCTCACCGTATATCAGAAAAGAATTAAACAAGAATGATCCCTGTAAGTCTGAATTTGTTGGATGATGAGTATAAATAATTCCACAAACATCCAAAGAAGAGAAGAAAATAATTTACTAAGAGAAATAAGTCGATTTCAAGATTATCATCTTTAGCCACATTTGATGATGATATCAAAGGAAAATAGAAAAATGTCAACAGATGGGAAAACTTGATGACTCAAGAATTGCCTGCCCATTCAGAACGTGGTTCACTTGTAAAGTACAAAAAGGAGTACTTAAATATGTAAGAATAGCAATTACAATAATCACAAATGTTTATTAAAAATGTCGCTTTTTAAGTGGAGCCTTAAAAATGTCCTTGAAAATGTGCGTTACCTACTAAAAATTGAATTAAAATGCATTTCAGTAATGGAGAAGTCCTGGTGAGAAAACAGTGGTGCAAAAATTTTATTCACAATGACAAAGAACAAAATGTGGTAATGATGGTTTCAAAGCACAACTTTGTAATTAAATGTAATTGAAATAAATTTTGAAAACAGCTCACAAGCGTATAGATAATAATGGCATAATAGTATTCAGAAAATTAGAATACTTATAAGCATATTTCACTTTAGTAACCAATATATGAGTGAAAGGTGTATAAACATCACGACAGACATTGAAAAGGCTTGATGAAATTCAACACCCATTCTGATATAAGGTTTATAGATATTTCTACTGACTAATGCTTATTTCCTTAACACTTTTCTAAACAAAATCTAGCATCCATACATAACGAAAAGACCACAGAGACATTTTCAATAAAATAAAAGAAAAAACAAAGATTTGTTTTTCCTCTACCTTTAACATCGTTTTGTGTATTCAAATATACAAGATAAAAATATAAGAAGTTTGAGAAGCAGACAGACAAGTTATTTTTACATAAGAATTATCCAAAAAGCCATGTTATAAACTAGTGGAAACAGTAAGCAATAACAGTTAGATGGTGATTATAAAATTAGTATAGTATAGAATTAATAGATTCCTTATAATGCATCAAGCACAATTAAAGTTTCAAAGTCTATTGCCCATTTTTATATTACAGTATTAATCTTCTAAAACATATATATGTGCATATGTATATGAACACAAATATTTATTTAGATAAATCTTATAGAAGTGATCTCTTTCATTTTTGACTACATAAAAGTAAAACGTTATTTTCAGTTGGAACCAAATAATTTCTGGTATTGCTGTAATTATTGGAAAGTCTTCTGTATGCCAGAGTTATTGAAAGATTTCACTTGAATTCTATTTAAATAGTTCCTGGTTTTATTTTAATTTTTTATTTATTAATAACATTTAAAATGTGTGCTAATGTATGATGTGAATGAGGGATTTAGATTTCTTTTACAAGTGACTCTCCAGTTAGTTTACTTAATCTACTAAATAATTGTTATTTTATCCACTGACTTGAAATCATGCCTTCATCATAGACTAAAATAAGTACAAAATAAGTTTAAGCTTATGCAGTTCTTCAATACAACAGAAGAAAAGGAAATATTACCTAACTTATTTTTTGAGGCTAGTGAAATCTTAATACTATAGAAGTGAAAACCATAGGCCACTCTCACTCTAGTGAAAACATTCTAAGTGAAATATTAATAAAATGAACCTGAGTGTTTAAAAACATATTGTATCATTATCAACTTGGGGTCACTATAAGAATACAATATTTATTCGAGATGAATTCTTCTATTAAAATAATTAAATACATTTGCAGATTAATGGAGAAAAAGCATGTGCTCACCTAAAAATGCAGAAAAACTTACAATTATTAATAATTCAGTATACATTCATGCAAAAACTATTGACAAACTAGGAATATAAAAGAATAAAAATGATAATAGGTATTTCCGTACTCAATTCTGAAATGTTAAAAACATTCTCTGAAATCAGAGATAATTAAACTGAGAGCCCTAGCCAACAAAATAAGAAAAGGAAACAACGTATATTAGTATTACAAAGGAAACAATACTTATTTGCAGATGATAAGATTGTCTATAGTGAAAACCCAAATGAATTTACAAATAATATTATATTTAATGAAAAATATAATCAGTTTCTTAAATTCAAGATCTATATGAAAAAGTCAATTGCATGTCTCTATAGGCATACCTTGAAGATATTGCAGGTCCTGTTCCAGACCACAATATTTAAGTGAATATCACAATAAAGTAAATCACAGAAACTTTTGGTTTCCCAGTGCATATAAAAGTTACGTTTACACTATCCTGTAGTCTATAGCATTGTAGTATGTTTACACTATCTTATAGTCTGCAATAGCATTGTGTCTAAAAAATACCTTAATACCTTAATTAAAAGACACTTTATTTCTAAAAAAATGCTGACACAGAGATACCAAGTAAGCACATGCTGTTGGAAAAAATGGTGCTGATAGATTTGCTCCATGCAGCGTTGCCACAAACCTTCAAGTTGTAGAAACTGCAAGATCTGCAAAGTGCACTAGAGCGAAGCACAATAAAATGAGGTATGCCTGCATATCTGTAACCTCTTTAATGTAACCTCTTTGAAAAACTGCCAATATTCACTGGAGCTAAAGAGATATGAGTGTGTGTGATGGTTGATACTGAGTGTCAACTTGATTGGATTAAAAGATGCAAAGTATTGTTCCTAGGTGTGTCTGTAAGGGTGTTGCCAAGGAAGATTAACATTTGATTCAGTGGACTGGGAAAGGCAGACCTACCCTTAATCTTGGTGGGCACAATCTAATCAGCTGCCAGTGCAGCCAGAATAAAAAGCAGGAAAAAGAAGGTGAAAACACTAGACTGGCTTCACTTCCCAGCCTGCATCTTTCTCCCATGCTGGATGCTTCCTGCCCTCAAACATCAGACTCTAAGTTCTGCAGCCTTGGGAATCAGCTTTCTTGCTCCCCGGCTTGCAGATGGTCTATTATGGGACCTTGTGATCGTGTGAGTTAATACTCCTTAATAAACTCTCCTTCATATATACATCTATCTTATTAGTTATGTCCCTCTAGGGAACCCTGATTAATACAGTGTGTGTGTATACATATCATATAAATACATATATTTTACACACACACACACACACACACACACACACACACGCTTGATTGTTGAAAAACACAGCATGGGTTTGAACTGTGTAGGTCCACTTATACATGGATTTTCTCCTGCTGCTGCCACCCCTGAGACAGGAGGACCAACCATTCTTCCTCCTCAGCCTACTCAATGTGAAGGCAATGAGGATAAAGACATTTATGATGATTCACTTCTATCTAATGAATAGAAAATATATTGTCCTTATAGTTTTCTTCTTTACTTTTTTCTTTTTATTTTCTTAATAACAATTTTTCTCTCTAGGGTACTTATTGAAAAATCACACTATATAAAATATATAACATATAAAATTTGTGTTAATTTACTTTATGTTACCAGTAAGGCTCCCAGTCAACAGTACACAATTAATAGTTAAGTTTGAGCAGAGTCAATAGTTTTACACAGATTTTTGACAGTGCAAGGGATCAGAGCCTCTAACATCTGCATTGTTTAAGGGTCGAATGTATGAGTGTGTATCTGATACACACGCACTCCATATACATGTTTGTGTGTATGCGTGTGTGTGTATCTTTTCTATCACCCAGCAATACCCCACTTAAAAATATATGCAACAGAAATGCGTACATATATCCACCAAAGGACATGTATAAGAAAGTTCATAGTCTAAAACTAGAAACAATTCAAATATTTATCAACAAAATGGATAAATTATATTCACACAATTAAATACTATACAACAATGATGATGAACAAGTATTCTATGCAAAAATGAATACATTCACAAACATGATGTTGAGCAAGGAAGCCAGGTGTAAAGAGTACATAGTTTTTACTCTATTTATGTAAAATTTAAAATAAAATAGGCAGAATAATCTTTTATCATAAGAGTCATAATCACGGTTACTTTTGGGGAAAGTTACGGGTAATGAATGAAAGAGGCCCAGACAATTAATTCTTTGATTCAAAGTCCTGATTTAATTCAGCAGTCCTGTTCATTTTGTGAATATTTATCCAGTTATACACTTAAGATTTATGCATTTATCTGTATATGTATATGTTTATTGTTTATATGTTTACTTATAAACATGTATATAAATATGTATATTTATATATTATTCATGTTTAAGTGAAACTTAAAATATAATTATATAATTAATTTATTAAATAAATTATATAATAATTTAATTATATTTTAATTAAAGAGTTTCACTTAAACATTGCTATGGTTTGAATAGGTCTCTTCCAAAATTCAGGTGTTACCAATGTGATAATGCTAAAATGTGGAGCCCTTAAGAGGTGATTAAGCCATGAAAACTTTCTTTGAATGGGATTAAGGACTTAGAGTCTTCTGGCAGCTTTAACCTCACTTGACCTTCCGCCTTCCACCATGTAAAGACACAGCATTCTTCCCTTCTGGAATATGCAGCAACAAGGTGCCATATTGGAAGCAGAGAGTAGCTCTCACAAGACAACCAAATCTGTGGGTGTCTTGACCTTGAACATCCCAGCCTCCAGAACTATGACAAATAAATTTCTGTTCTTTATATACTGTACAGTCTGTGGTATTCTGCTACAGCAACACAAAACTGAGTAAAACAGAAATAGTTCAAATGTATTTTTAAAATTGAATGAATTACTTAAGAATATGTTTGGTTTTGCATCTTTTTGAGCACAATGTTGTCACGTGTATGTAAAAATGCAGTTTGTAATTCCTCATAATCTTCTTTCATGTGTCAATATAAAAGATGTATTTATTTTCCTTTTGATAGACATTTAAATTGATGCTATGACAGCTCTTGTTAATTTTTACTGGTGAATTTAAAAATGGGTTAATTGGAATGTCATTTCAGGTTCTCCAGTCAGCAGACACTGAAATGCCTACATGACTAAGAGATTTTTGTGGGGGTAATAAGGGTGCCTGTTGAAAGCAAAGGGGAGAAAGCAGAATTGGGCAGGAAAAGCCTTCAGACTTCCAGGTATATCTATGAAAGTCTAGGCCAACCCAGTGGGGAGATTTGAAGCTGGGATTTACCATTTGAGAGACCCTGTGTTGGGCAGAAATAGTTAAGGTGCCGTAAATGGAAGTTGTCAGCTACTGCACTCCTTGCAACTGAAATGCAAGTTATTTTGAAGTGCAAGTGATAAAGTGTACCCATATGGCTGCCAAAATGTGCCAGCAGGATAATCAAAAAAATTTTTATTTTTTTAAATTTTTTTATTTTTTTGAGACGGAGTCTCACTCTGTGGCCCAAGCTGGAGTGCAGTGGTGTGATCTCGGCTCACTGGAAGCTCCGCCTCCCAGGTTCACACCATTCTCCCGCCTCAGCCTCCCCCAGTAGCTGGGGACTACAGGTGCATGCCATCACACCTGGCTAATTTTTTTCTGTATTTTTAGTAGAGGCGGGGTTTCACCGTGTTAACCAGGATCATCTGGGTCTCCCGACCTCGTGATCCACCCGCCTTGGCCTCCAAAAGTGCTGGGATTAAAGGCTTAAACCACCGTGCCTGGCCTTAGGATAATCAAATTTTTAATTTTATAAGGTAATACTAATTACTTTCTAAATTAGTTGTACCAATTTATGTACTTACAAGCAGAATGTAAGATTTTCCACTGGCCCACACCTTTTCCAATATTATAGAAATTTAGACTTCCTAAGTTTAGAAACATGTACAAAACTTTTTATATTATTGTGTTAATAATAGCAAAAATCTAAACATAACCTAAATGTCTATCAACAATAAAATGAATAAGTTGCAGTTATGATCATACAATAGGCTCTTATGCAGCTCCACCTATCAATTTAGATAAACCTCAGAAAACATAATAATGTGTGAAAGAAGCAAGTCACAAAAATGTATACAGTATGATTCCAATGTTATAAAGGTCATAAACAGACAAAATGAAACAATATTTTGTTTAGGAACACATACATAGGTGTTAAAGCTAAAATGAAAAGAAAATGAATGATTAATTTTACATTCAGAATGTATCTGTTGAGAAGGAAAGAACACATAGGGTATTTATGGAGATAAATATATTCTATTTATATTACTTAGATTGAGTGTTTGCTTCATGATTGTATATGGGCTCATATGTTCATTTGTACATATTCTTCCAAACAATTGTTTAAATAATGTTGTATCTCACAACTGAAAATATTTTCAACAAAAGAAAAAGTGGTCCATACTCGCTGCTTCCTAAATATTAATGTAGCAGGAAATAGTTCACATTAAGAACTAGTGTTTCCAAAGATTACAAAAGGCTTGGAAGGACTTGGATAGCAGATTTTATGAGCACACAAGTCCTAAGACTCAAGCAGGCCTTTCAGGCAGTGCTTCCCTAAATTTTATTTGTTTACAGATCACGTAGAGATTTTGTTAAAATGTAGATTCAGCGACTCTGCCTCCTCTCACCCTCCATCCTCCACCTTCTGGTAGCCCCCAGTATCTGTTGTTCCCCTTTTTGTGTCCACCTCTTCTTGTCATTTATTTCCCACTTTAAGTGAGAACATGCAGTATTTGGTTTTCTGTTACTGCATTAGTTTGCTAAAGATAATGGCCTCCTATTGGGTACTAGGCTTAGTACCTGAGTGATAAAATAATCTGTACATCAAACCCCCAGGACATGAGTTTCCCTATATAACAAACCTGCACGTGTATCCCTGAACCTAAAATAAAAGTTTAAAAAAATGTAGATTCTGATTCAGCAGGTCTGAGGTGAAGCCTGAGACATTTCATTTCTAACATGCTCCCAGGTGATGCAGATGGATCCTACTAGTTTTTGAACCACATTTTGTGTTGCAGTGATTTAGAGCACTTGCTATAGAAACAGTACACAGGTGGGTTGAAGAGCGAAATCA
Organism: Homo sapiens; assembly: GCF_000001405.40. NCBI lineage: Eukaryota > Metazoa > Chordata > Mammalia > Primates > Hominidae > Homo > Homo sapiens. Next base: position 121,899,510 of record NC_000023.11, read on the forward strand.
ATGTTTATCCTTTACTAAGGAAATCACAATGGTAATCGAGATGAAAGGACAGAAATAAAAACAAATGAATTAGGAATTCGAATAAACTACAATAATGACAGAATTAAAGGAACGTACTTTAATCCACTGGGAAACATTTAGGGAAACATTTATAGTAGTTCCTTGAAGCAAGTTGTCAAAGGGAGGCAGAAAGCAATCTAATCTGGGCATTTGGAGAGTTGGTTAGTTTCCTTAATGTTAAATCCCTTTGGGTTTTTCCCCAAGCCCTGCAATACTAATATCTGTGAGCTCACCAATGAAAAACATGATTGGAGGGGCATTTTAATAGCAATATGCTCATTGGAAAAGATTATTCAAATAAAAGGAAAAGAAGCCTGTCTGAAATAAAGAGTTCACCGTACAAAATAAGTTTGAAAGAAAAAAAATCAACATATGTACAAAAATTAACAAACAAAATATCTGAAAAACACTATTAAAATTATTAGTGAGACCTTCTCCTATGCCACTATAAAACATAAAACAATAATTAACTTCAGTTGATATTCTAATCATCTCAGATTTTGAATTCGTGAGGACTGCATTAATACAATTTAAGCAGTGACGTGCTAGTAAATGCTTAACAATCAGGTCTCCCAAGAAAAGTAGATAGATGATGGTAGATAGATAGGTAGATAAGTAGATAGATAGATAGATAGATAGATAGGGTAGATAGATGATAGAGAAATAAATGTTAGAGTGATAAACAGAAATTTAGATATAGAAATATAGATATGTAAACATTATGAATGTTACATGTAAACATTTATTATGAATGCTACTAAAGATTTATAAAGGATGTATAATACATAATTTAAAAATAATCAGGTGTACATTACTCTGTATTGTAAATTCCTTTTATTAAATTCATTTTCCGGCAATGCTTTTTTTTTTTTTAATTTTTGCTAGATCCTTGTATTTATTGCCCTATTTTGGTTGCAAGTGACTAATGAGTATAGCTCTGGCATGAATGTTGATGGATGTTTCAGTTTCACTTTATTAAAGAAAAATAACAAAAATATTTTGGAGTTCACTTATTTGTTGATTATTTTGCTGAATCAAATAATACTTTTAGAAATCTAGAAGAATATTCCTCATTTTTGTGCTATTCATCCAAAAATAAGCTACAAGCACAACACATTCCTAAGTTTAATCTGCATTATTAACTTTTCTCCTTCACTTTCTTAAATCTAAACAATTAGCAAGTTCTGATCTATAGTGTTTCTGGTTTCCATGATGCAGGTACTCCTACCATGACCAAATCTCAGCTACCAGTGTGATGTCGTTAATAAGGGAGTTGGGAAAAGATTTATATTATATAGAATTTTCACTCTAAAGACAAAATAGAAATAAAAGATTTCAGGGCCTAGATGATAATAAAAGGTAGTACAATAATTAAAAAGCGATGTTTTGAGTATTTAACTTTTCAAACATCATTACATATATTTTGCTATAACTACATAAAATACATATAAAAACAATGAAATGTAATTTGACAAAATAATGGTAGTTATATTAGCGTGGCATTTTTTCTTTCTTTTTAAGTTTTCTGTAATATGGTTTGTTGCCTTTTTAAAAATAAACTTAGAATTTTATAACAATTTTAGATTTAGCAAAAAATTGTGAAGATAATAAAGAAAACTGCTACATACCCAACACCAAGTTTCCCTTATCATTATTTTACATTAGTATACAATAGATAAACCAATATTGATGCAATGTTATTAACTAAAATCTATACTATATTTATGTTTTATTAGTATGTATCTAATGTCCTTTTTCTACCTATAGATCTTCATTTGTGAGGGGTCTGGTTTTATGTTTTGCACACATTTTGAGTTATTTGTTTTTAATTGTTCAGTTTTAAGAGTCTTTTGTATAATTTGGATGCCAGTTAATCAGGTGTGTGTTTTATAAATATATTCTCCATGTTTGTGGCTAATCTTTTCATTTTCTTAATAGGTCTTTTGAAGAGCAGAAATTTTAGATTTTAATAAAATCCAAATTTGCAATGTTTTTGTTTTTCATGGCTCATGTTGTATCTAAAAATTCATCAATAAATGCAAGGTAATTGAGAATTTTTATATATTTTCTTGTGCAAATTTTATAATTTTACATTGTATTTTAGGTCAATAATTTATGTGAGTTAATCTTAGTAAAATTAACTATAATTTATGTGTCTAAATTCATTATTTTGCATATAGATGACCAGTCTTCCTAGCACCATTATTAAAAGGAGTATCTTTTCTTCATTGACTTCCCTTCATTGTCAAAGATCAAGTAACTGTAGGTGTGTGCGTTGATTTCTAGGCTCTCTATGCTATTCCACTGATCAAGTTGTTTATTATTTTGCCAATAACACACTGTCTTGATTATTGTCTTAACTTATGGTAAGTCTTGAAATTAGATAAGTTTAGTCTTCCAACTTTGCTTCTCTTTAATAGTGTCATCTATTCTAGGAATTTTGCCTTTCCATATAAACTTTAGAGTCAATTTGCTAATATTTACAAAATAGTTTTCTGGAATTTTGAATGTGAATTCATTGAACCTATAAATCAAGTTAGGGATAATTGGCATTTTAGTAATTACTGAAATAGAGATGTTGAAGTCTCCAACAATATTGAGAATTTGTGTATTTCTGCTTTTAATACTGTCATTTTTTGTCTCACTTACTTTGTGTCTTTCAATTCTTTATAATTTATTATTCTTATATTTAAGCCCTTTTGGTGTGGTGGTAAGTTGTGAGGGGAGGGAAGTCTTCTGTAATCTGATTAAATCTGTCTCTTATGGGCCTGTGTATCTGGGCTGTAACTTTCACAAGTAATTTCTCCACTGATACTGGTCTTTTTCCTAATAGCTACCCTGGAAAGCTAGAGAGGGCTGAAGTAGTAGAATATCTCTATGCCTCACCTGGGATAAGGTTCTGGTGTAGACTTTTCCCCTGATTGTAGGCATTTGTTATGGACAAAGCTCTGGGAGTATTTCACAACGATTACATTTCTCCTCCTCCTGACAGAACTACCAGGGTATCTTTCTGGTATTTTTCTGGGATTTCCCCGTGAGAATGTGGTGGGATTGCTGAAAGTAAAACTAATGAAAGTTTGGGGCACCAACTCATACTGAGGCCACCAGGAGTTTCTCACTCCCACACTGGTTGGCATTCAACCTCAAACACTTTGCCAAAATTACTATATAAGTGTTCCAACTAATACAGTTTGGGCTTCAGCAGCTTCTGTGTCATGTAAGTGTATTTTGGTTGTGACTCTCTGGTTTTGTATGATTCTCCAGATTTCAGGGTAGAGGTTTCTCATACCTTTTCAGTTTTATGATAGGTACAAGAACAGTTGATTTTAAGATTTTCAGCCTGTTATTTATTATAAGAATGGGAAGACAGCTTCCAAGGCCTGCATATGTTTGAGTTGAAACTAGGGTTTACATTTCATTTTTAATATAAACTAAATTGTATTTTACATAATTTCTGGCTTTTATTTTTACTGCTTATGAGTTTTATTAATTCATTGAATTGTGGATATATATATGTATACATGTTGCATAATCTTTACCTTTTTAACTATTTTATGTGTGCAATTTGGTGACATTAATTACATTCACAGTGTTGTGCAAACACTTGGGAAATGTTTCCAAAACGTTTGCATCAACTCACAGAGAAACCTTTTTACTCATTAAGCAAAAACTCCACCTTCCCACTTCTCCCAGCTTCTGATAACTTTTATTATAACGTCTTATCACTGTAATTTGCCTATTCTAAATATTTCATATAGGTAGAATCATACATTTGTCCTTTTGCATCTGATGATATATTTTATTTAGCATAATGTTTTCAAGAATCATTTATGGTGTGGCACATTCTGATAGAGACAGGAGGCAGCCAAGGGTTCCCCAGCAAAACTCTGCCTTCAAGCCTAAAACAGCCTGAAGGCTGAAAAACCAGATTGCTGGTCCCGGATGAAGCCTGCCCTTTCCCAGCTGACTCTTTCTGAATAATGTCCACCTGCCCACTAGGAGGATGGGGTGGAGGCCTGAGAAGTTCATGCCTTTTGCAGCAGGGAGGAGTCTGGCCTCTCCTGTTCCTGTGTGGTAACCTGGGATTCAATCGGTGAGATGGGGGTCTGTTAACAGAAACTTCTCTTGCTTTGCTGAGAGATTTTTTTCCTTTTTGCCCAATAAATTCCATTCCCCTTATCCTTCAAAGTGTCTGCATGCCTAACTTTCCTTGGTCATGTGACAAGAATCCACCCGTTTTTCCCTAAAACATTTTTGGTGCCCAACATGGGACTTGAGAAAGGGCGAGTACCATACAAACCAATAAATCCTTTTTTTTAAGTTCACTTCTAAGCCTTTTTCTTTTGGGGCCTCTTCTGACGTAGAGAAAACTGTGTACCACCCTATGCCAATGGCGGCAGGAGCATGCAGAATGGTCTGGCAAATGGCGACTTCCCTTCTCCCCTCCCGGCCAGGGCTGGGATGCATGGCCCGAGGGTGCCCAATGTCAGAATGGCCAGTGATTCATGCCCTGCGTCTATGGAGACTTCTTCTTCCCCGGACAAGGGATCCCACTTGGTTGGACAGCAATTAAGTTTATCTCCCTGGTGGAGGAACCATTTGCATAAGAATAAGAGATTTTTCCCCAGGCATCCTTTTCTTTTCTCCACCCTGTAAGCAGTTAACACAGCCCTGCATTTAAGCTGTCTTTTCCTTTTCTCCACTGGGTCAAGAGTTAACTTTACGTGAGTTTTCTTACCAGGACCCCAGCTATCACTGTATGTATTCCCTCTAAAGCTTTATTTATGAGAAAGGATTTGTGAAGTTGGTCTTAAACTGTAGCCAATCTGGTATGCTTTGCATGACTTTCTGTATGGCCAGTAGCAAACTTTGTTGCAGGTCTCCATCTTGTTTTATGTCCTTGGGAGCATGACCTGTAACCATGTGGCAATGTTTTATTTAGCCTCTGCCATTTTACAATGGTGGCTGGATTCAATCTTGGCTCAGGGAATGAGTTTTTGTCTGGCTTGATATCTGCGTGACCTTTACTATTTGTTGATTCTCTTCCCCTCCACAAACTGTCTTGGATTTTTCTTTCTCTGAGCCTTTAGTAAAGTTTGAAAGCCGGAAATATTAGCTGCTTGTTGTGGCTAAAGTTGGGTAATAAGGGGATTTAAAAGGATTTTCTTAAAGAGTGATCAGCTTAATTAAAAGTGGTTATTCAAGTTACAGGTATATTTAAAAGGCCTTTATAGTTTTCTTTTCTTGGACCTTGTTTTGCTGGAAGAAGTGTTTCTTTTTCCTTTTTTTTTTTTTTTTTCTCAGTTGACTGAATTACTTTTTTCCATTTTGCTTTGCTATTTTTAATGCACATATGAGAGGGGAGAGACCTCTTATGGTACCCCAGGAATTAAAAATGAATGGATCCCTCTCAAAATTTGTTCTTGCCTCCCAGTTATGCCTGTTTATTAGGCCTTAAAAGTTGCATGTTTTCCTAGACTTGTCTCTTAAAGGGCTCCCCTGCGAGGCCAATAATCCAAATAGGAGATTGGCAAATGAAAGGTCTTATGGTGACTGGGTTTTCTTCTGCCTGTCTGTGTAGTTATATATGTGTTGTATATGTGATGTTTATAAAAAGAGCTCTAATTAATTGGCCTAAAGGAAGACAAGCCATTGGATCAAATTTTTTTAAGAGAAGATAAACGCTGTGGTACTTTTAGTTCATATGACTGTAATCATTGAGAAATAAAAACAATATTAAAGATTATTGGTAAAATGCAGATGTTATCAAAATGTAAATAGGTGAACTAAATTATGCAGGTCAGATATTAGGTTTGCTAAGTGTTTTAAGGTTATAAAATGATTTTGGGGTTTTGAGAACCATTTGACTTGGCAGCTTTACAGTTGTTAAGGCCTGGGGACACGAATTAACCATGCCCTTAATTATGCTAGAAGGAGTCGAACCTTGGCTACAACTAACATATAATTAAAACAACTTCCCAGATCTTACATTAAAGTTAAAATTGCCAGGAGTCACCATTATAACATGTGATTGAACCATTGGAAATACTTTTACATGCAAGGTGTGTGAGAAGAGTAAGATGTGTTTTTAGTAAAAGATTATAAGAAGGTGTGGAAATGTAAATTATTCTTTACGGGTTAAATGATTTTTTAATTAGATAAGATAAAGCTGAAGGTTTGAACAATAATGGAAGGCCTGCAAAAATTAATCTTGCAAAAGAAATTCCATGGTGTGCATATTGACTAAATTCAAATGGGTATTATTATATGGTTTTTCTGTAAATTGAGCATTTGAAATGAAAGCACAACAAGATACTCTTAAGGCACTAATCTGCTCTTTAGCAAAATTTATAAAAGTTATAATAGATTTTTGCTTTTTTACATTTCTAAGTCATCATTTTGACAAAATAAATAAGTTATAGTAATCTGGAATTCTATTTCATAACACCAAGTGTTTTAAGCCTAACATGTGTAACAGGCTTCCCAAAAATCAAACTTCGGTTTCAAAATTGTCTTTCATGATGCCCAGCTTTTGGATGCTACAGAGGGCCCCTGGAGTATCTAATAGAGAGGTAAACAGGATTATTTAACATGCTTAGTTACATGGGATTGCCAAAATGGTGTTCAATATTCATTAGGTTCTATTTTGCCAAATAATACTAATATATGTTTCAAAATTGTGTGGGATTTCTAAAATTCTAATGTCTGAAGTATATGTTATTAATTATAATTAATGTTGCTATGTTATGATAAACAACAGAGATGACCGAACTTCTTTGTCAATTGTGTTTCTAACTGTAACTACCCTAGACATTTTGTTATTAACAGGTAATTGTCTTGTTTTGATCCTTTTCAACACATGGTTTATAATAAGCTATGGGACTCTGACCGGTGCTCTCAAATACAGATTTCTGGTAACTTTTGAGATTGTAACATTGGAATAAAGGAAAAACGTACAGGGCTCATAGTGATAAAATGTTCATGAATATCAAGCAAAATAAGAGTTATCTAAATGGATTGAACCCATAGAAAACTGAAGCAATCTTTTTGACTTTTGCTTGGAATATTGTTGATCCTTGTTTTGTTTTTCAGGGTCAAGGAAACTTATTTTGAACTATTTACAGCCTTTAATAATTGAGTATGTTATACGCCTGTGAACAAAATTTGGAGCATATTTGTCTCTCTCTCTGCCTGGCTTCTCCAGAATTTTGAAACTAGTTGTGAGTATTCTTACCTTATGGCAGTACAGTTGTTTGCATCAATGCAATATGAATCCAATTTCCTTTGCAACAGGATGCAATTGGAGAAACTGCTGGTTTATCAAGGCTTTGACTGGAAGGTGTATGCTTCCCTTTAAGCGGTCAAGCTTGACTTGCAGGGCCAATAAAAGCCCCTTGGGAAAACTGGCCTCATAACCTTGTCTATGCAGTCACTGTACAGGGTTTCTGAGCTATGGTAAGTAAAGAATGTTACTTTCTGACAGGCCCTGGAGCCCCATGTTTATCTGCTGACCTTAAGAAGAGAGGATTACCCATCTCTCAGGTATTTGAGGATACAAGCCCATGGCTGGGCTCAGCTTTAAATGGTCTTATCTGAGATTACTTGTGGAAGTGAGTTCCATCAAAGCCAATCTAAAAGGCCTATGTAGAAATAGTTATTCTTGCTGTACTTCATGCAAATAATCAGGCCAAGTATAAGCCTGAAATCTATTTTGCAAACAACTCATTCATATCATGATTTTTTTTTTAACAAAAATGAGGACTGGAGAAAGACAAATTATGTTTCAAAACATTTCATACATGTGTCATTAAATTCTAGACTAATTCATTGTTTTTAAGTTTTTGCCTACATTTTAAACTAACACTGCTTGTCCCTGTGAACCAACCAGCAATCTCTGACTGAAGCTCAGAAAGAACAAAAGGGAGGGGTGATGTAAAAATCTGGATCGATATTCTAGTTCTGGGCAATTATCCTGCAAATCCTGCTGGGTGATGGGAATAAATAGGATGCCCATAACCCAGAGGTTTCCTTTTTGTGGAAGTAAGACCAAGGGAGCTAACCAAAGCCAAGCCCCATTCACCCAAATCTGAGCAAGCATAACTGTAGCCACCAGTTATCTTGGCATGTCACAAGCCATCCTTTTCTCTCCCTTGTTGAAGGAGGACTCAATTCCACAGCTTCACCTTAGCATTTGGCTTATGATGAGGAGCCCATGCAACCCCCTTGAGACACATATTTGTTCCAAACTCAATTCCAAGCTTCAGGTCAAAGCCATAGGAAAGAAAACTGGATCTGGAAGATTCAGAGGCAGATGATAACTGAAGTTAAAAGGCACACTGCAGGTGAGCATGACTGATTCCTGCCAATTAAGCCAAGATTCCTGTTTCATGGATAAAGACCATACTAGCATCTATAGCATAAATGAGGTCTAGGGCTACTATGGACAGGGGAGATAGGGCATATGAGACTAAGCATGGATACTCCCATCCCCTATGCCCCTCTATTAATATGGGTAAAGGCACTGTGACACCCTTGGGTGGCACCTTTTCACAGTAACCAGGACTCGGGGATACAAGGACAAGGAAAGAAAGGGCAACACCTTGCTTTCTCTCCCTCACGTACCCTTGGTATTTGCTAGAAAGAGAAGAGAACTGGGGATGCCTCGCTCCCCTCTTTCTCAATGTGTAGCCACTTATTTTCAGTCTGTACCTTTTTCAAATACATCCTGAACCTCTTGGACTCCTTTGAAAAAAAATCCTTTTTTCTTCTTTCTTCTCATCTGTCCTCTCTTCACTGATAGGTAATTGTGTCTCCGTACTATCAGATACTCCCTTCGGATGCATCCTCCAAACCAGGAAAAGTTAATTTTCCCAACCTTAAACTGGTTGGCTTAGGATTGGGCTCAGGGGAAGGGAATCCAGAAGCCTGACATGCTGGCAAAAGGGTAAAAGGTTTTTTACCAGTTGGGCCTTTGGCCCCCCTCTCCCTGTACAAACTGGTAAAAGGCCTCACAATTTTTGAGCTGTTCTCTCTCCTGCCTTTTTTTCATTTTGATGTATGTTTTCTAATAATCTGAGTTGTCTCTTCTCACCTTCAGGCCATCAAACTCCAAATGGTCATGCAACTGGGGTCTCAGACAATGGCCCCTTTTGCTGGGAACCCTTAGTTTGGCCTCTGAGGGAGATTGGACTGCCATTTTCCCAAAACAGCACCCCTTGTCAACAGGAAGCAGTTAAAATCAGTGTTCATCCTTATCCTTATCCTTATTCTAATGGCAGTTAGATGTACTTCTTTAGAGGGGAAAATGATAGACACAGGAGGCAGCCAAGGGACCCAGGTGAAACCCTGCCTTCAAGCCTAAAACAGCATGAAGGCTGAAAAATTGGACTGCAGGTTCCGGATTAAGCCTGCCCTTTGCCAACTGATTTTTTTCTCAATAATGCCCACCTACACACTGGGAGGACGGGGTGGAGCCTTGGGAAGTTCGCATCATTTGCAGCGAGAAGGAGCCTGGCCTCTCCTGTTACTGTATGGTAACTTGAGATTCAGTCAGTGAGATGGGGGCCTGTGAATAGGAACCCCTCTTGCTTTGCTGAGAGGTGTTTTTTTTTTTTTTCCTAGTAGCTCAGTAAATTCCATTCTCCCTCACCCTTCAAAGTTTCTGCATGCCTAACTTTTCCTGGTCGTATGACAAGAACCCATTTTTTTCTACAATACCAGAAGTTCATTCCTTTATATGACTGAATAATATTCCATTGTATGTATATATAATTGTTTATTCTTCCATTGATGGATACGGCTGATTTCCACCTTTTAGCCATTGTAAACTGTGCTGCAATGAACATTGCTGTATCTGGGTCTCTGTATTTTATTATTTGGGGTATATAACTAGGAGTAGAATTGATAGGCTATATGGTAAGTATATGTTTACATTTTGGAAAAACTGCCAAATTGTTTCCACAGTTGTTGAACCATTTTGTATTCCAACCAGCAACACAAGAGGATTCCAATTTCTATGCATCCTCATGAATACTTGTTATTTCCTGTTTTATCATATTCATCTTAATGTGCTAAGTGATGTCTCCTTGTGCTTTTGTTTTGCATTGCTCTAGTGCAATAATAAATGGAACTAATGATGTTTAGAATCTTTCCATATGCTTATCACCATTTTCGTATGCTCATCTCCAAAAGGGGTGGCATATCTTTTTTGGACAAATATCTGTTCAAGTCTTTTGCTTGTATTATATGTGTTGTTTTTATTTTTGTCACTGAGTTTGTAGTCCTTTATATATTCTGAATATTTAATCCTTATAAGATATGTGATTTGAAAATATTTTCTTCTATTTTATAGGTTTCCCTTTTACCGTCTTGATAATGTACTTTGATGCACACACTTTTTTTTAGATTTCATTGAAGTACAACTTACCTATTTTTTCTTACATTGTTCATGCTTTTTGGTCTCATATCTAATAATCCATTGTCAAATACAAGGTCCTGAAGATTTATTCTATTTTTATTTTTCATTTTCCAGTTTTAACTTTTACATTTACATTGTTGATTGACTTGTGTTAAATTTTTATATTATTTGAAATAGAATTCCAACTCCTTTCTTTTACTTATAGATATTTAGTTGTCCCAGCAACATTTATTAATGAGATAATTCTTTTCCCATTGAATTAACTTGGAACCCTTTGATGATGGAAAAAACAAATTTAGCCAAAATATTTAGAGGGGTTTATTCTAAGCCAGTATGACTGACTGTGGCCTGGGGATACACAGTCTGAAGAGGTCCTGATAAAATGCACCCTAGGTAGTCAGGTTACAGTTTGGTTTTATATATTTGAGGGAGACAGAAATTGCAGGCAAAATCATAAATCACATAAGAGGTATACATTAGTTTGGCCTAAAAAGGCAAGACATGTTGAAGTGAGGGCTTACAAGTCATAGGTGGGTTTAGGGATTCTTTAGTTTGAGATTGGTTGAAAGAGTTAAGCTTTGTTTAAGTACTTGGAGTTAGTAGAAATGAATGCTTAAGATAAGATAAGAGGGTCTGTTATCTGTCATGTGATGCCATGCTAAACCCAGGTTGGAAAGTAAGCCACAATATACTGGGTCAGAAAAGACCTGTTTAATAAAATATTTATGATTCATAAGGTGAGACTTCCCAGGCCTCTTAAAAAGGAATTTGAGAAAGAAAATAAAAGGTCACAGTTTGGTCCTCACCTTGTTAAAAATCAATTGGCTTCAGATGCATGAATTATTTTTAGATCTCAATTATGTCACATTGGTCTACATAACTATCCTTATGCTGGTATTTTGGTATTTTGAATAGTGTAGCTTTCTAGTAAGTTTAAAACTGGGAAGTGTTTGTCCTCCAACCTTGTTCCTTTTCAAGATTTTCTTGGCTATTTGGGGCCCCTTGAAATTCCATATGAATGTGAGGATCAGCTTCACTGTTATGGCCAAAAAAAAAGAAGTGTGTTGGAATTTTTGTAGCAATGCTCATCTCAGATTGTTTATTACTGGTGTATAGAAAAAAAACCTGAATTATGCAAATTGATTTTGTACCCTTCAACTTTGTTGCATTAACTTCCAGCTCTAGTAGCTTTCTTATGGATTTGTTGGCATTTCATATACGTAGTGACAAAGACTCTCTTTGACCAAACTTGAATCTGATAGATATAAATTGAAGTCTCCAACTGTTACTGTATAGCTCTATTTCTCCAGTTTTGGCAATGTTTCCTTCATATATTTTGGGGTAGTGTTGGTTGGTACATAGATGCTTGTAATTGTTATATCTTCTTAGTGAATGAACACTTTTATCAATATATAATGTTCTTCTTTGTCTTCTGTAAAAGTTTTTTATTTAAAGTCTATTTATTCTGATATAAGTGTAAGAATTACTCTTCTCTTTTGATTGCTATTTGCTTGGAATATCTTTTTCCATCCTTTTAATTTCAATCTATTTTTATCTTTCTATCTAAGGGGAGTTTCTTGTGGATAGGACATAGTTAGATAATGTTTTCTTTTATCTGTTTTTTCATTCTCTGCCTCTTATTTGGCGAGTTTTATCAATTTACATTTAAAATAATTACTGACAAGGAATAAATTATTTCTACCAATCCAATGTATGTTTTCTGTTTGTCTTATACCAATTTTTTTGTCCCTCATTTCCTCCATTAAAGCCTTTTTTGTATATGATTTTTCTGGTGAGTGATTTTGATTCCATTCTCATTTCTATTTCTGTGTATATATTTTTAGATATTTTCTTTGTTGTTGCCTCTCTTAGGATATTTAACATCATCTTAATTTTTCAACAATCTAGTTGTAGTTAATACAAGCTTAACTTCAAGAGCATACACAATGTCTACTCTTATACATTTCTGTCCCCTTCCTATATGTTGTTTATGTAAATTACATGTTTATATAAGTGTTCAGTAACATAGGTATATAATAATTTTTATGAATTTGTCTTTAAATCCTGTACAAATTAAAAAGTACAATTAAAACACAAAATACAATAATATCGGCTTTAATTTTTCTCATGTATTCACCTTTATTGGAGATCTTTATATTTCATGCAGTATAGAGTTACTGTCCAGCATCCTTTCATTTCAACTTGAAATATTATCTTTTGGATTTCTTGTAGGGCAGCTCTCATGATAACTAACAAACTACCATAACTTTTGTTTATATGTGAATGTCTTAATATTTCCCATTTTCTGGAAGTCTCATTTTTCAAATATAAAATTCTTTCTTGACATTTTTTTTCTTTCAACACTTTAAATATTTCATTACACTTTCTATTGCCTTCCAGGTTTCTAATGAAAATACAACTGTTTCTCTTATTGAAGTTCTTCCATACATAATGAGTTGGTTCTCTCCTGCTGCTTTCAGTATTCTCTTTTGGTTTTTGTTTGGTATTTATGCCAATTTGATGGTGTTTCTCACTATGGATCTCTGAGCTTATCTTAAAGTTTCCTGAGCTTCTTGAATATGCAGATTTATATCTATCAAATTTGGGAAGTTTTAACCCATTATATTTTAAGAAATATTCTCTTTCCCCTTTCTCTGTCTTTTCTTTTTCTGGAATTCCTAAAATGTATATGATATTCCACTGGATGGTATTCCACAGTTCTCTTAAGCTCTTTTAACTTTTCTTCACTTTCTTTTCTCTTTCTTCTCCTCAGACTAAATAATTTCAATGGGCCTATATTCAAAGTTGCTTATTTTTTTCTTCTGACTACTGAAATCTGCTGTTGAATTCCTCTAATAATTTTGAAAATTTTAATCATTTTACTTTTATTCTCCAGAATTTCTGTTTGGTTAATTTTTATAATTTAAATGTGTTTGTGGATACTCTCATTTCTCATACTTATTTTTCTGATTTCCTTGATTGTTGTCTTTGTTTTCATTTAGCTATTTGAGCATATTTTTAAAAGTTGTCATGAAATCTTTATCTATTAATATCAATATGTGGGCTTCCTCTGGATGGTTTCTCTCAGTTTATTTTGTTCCCTTAAATGGTCCATACTTTCCTGATACTTTGTATGCCTTGTTATTTTTTTGTTGCAAACTGGATATTTGAATATTATAGTAACTCTGGAAATAAAATTCCTGCCAATTTCCCAGGTTTGCTTGGTTCATTAAGTGTTGCAGGCTGTAGTAGTCTTTTGATTAATGAGTTTTTTTAAGTATTTTGAAAAGTATGTATTTTTTCGTGTGTGGTTACTGAAATGTCTATTCATTTAGCTGTGTTCAGCTAATGTTTACAGAGACTTTCCTGAATGCCACAGACTAAAAAATAAAATAAAATAAACACCTCTCTCAGTCATTGCAGATTGTCATTTGGTTAGAGTTCTCTAACATTTATCCAGGTTTGGGCTTGTACTGAGCCTATCACTCAGCTCAAATTAAGTTTAGGGTCTTGTCAAGTCTTTGAGCATGTGTCTTGTCCTGGACTTGCATATGGCTTTATAAATTCTCCCATAAACATGTTTGCTTTTGAACAACCTAATTTCCCAAAGAACAACTCTCCCTAGATTTTTTCCCCAAGAATTTACATGGCCTATTCTGTGTCTTAATTTTACTCTTTTGTCCCAGGATTCTGCAGTTGTTTATTTACCTTACAATGTTGTCAAGTGATGACCACCACTTTTGTGGCCTGAGTGAGTTCTGAGTTAGTGACAAGCACCTTTTGTCCATACTTTAGGTAATTCCCAGAGAAGTTAAAGCAGACGCACAATAATTTGTGAGTAAGGCACACTTTGCTTCTTTTGTAACTTGGTAGAGGGTCCCACACTAGAAGGCAGGTTGCTGTATTCCAGCCTCTTGCTGAGCTGGGGAGCATATGGGGAAAGGGCAAGTGAAATGCAACCAATGTTTTATACCATTTTTAAGTAAGTTATCTTTCTTTTTCTTTAGTGTTTGACTCCTATAAAACTTTTATTTTTCTAGAGTTATGACGAAGTTGGTTCTGACAGCTTTTCCTTGCCTTTTGGTATTGCTGTGAGGACGATGGCAACTTGGAGTAATTGGTGCCATTTTGCTGATGTCACTCCTACATAATTTAATTTTAAATAATGAGAACAGTGAGTTCACACATTTTATGAAAATTTACATTCAACTCCCGTGAGCTGACTTGAACCAGTTTCAGCACACCTCTGAGTGAGTGTAAACTTATTTAAACACGCATTAGCTATACTTTGAATTGGAGCATACTATCCAAGCGAAACCATGACAATTGCCCTCAAAGAATCTTTATTGTTAAAAAAAAATTTACTCTACATAGGGCATTGTGACATATACATTAAAAAGAATAAAATGTAAAATTTCTAGGAACTTTAATCTGTTATTGATATTTTCATAAATCATCCTAAATATTCTCCTGATTATAGCATTCTGGTCCTTGGTTCCATCTTAATTTCTTTCTTTCTTTTTAGTGTGTAATAGTTCTATCATCTTTTCCTAATCAGAACTTTTTTTCTCCACATGATAAATTCAACCACACCCTGGGTTTCACATCTTATAGCTAGATGCCCCTAATCCTCTGCTTAAATCACAAAACTATTTGGGAATAGTATGCTGTCTTTCTCTCAATTTTTTGTGTTCTTGACTGGAATCCAGTAGTACTGCTTTTATATCAATTCTAAAATTAGCCACTTTTAAATGGCTGAAATATACCCTAGTGCAATTTTCAGTCAACAAGAGGGTTTAAGCAGCTTCGTTATATATTTTAAGAATTGGTGGCTGACCATGCTAAAATATTATTTTCTTACAGCGAAGGATTTATACAGTCAATTTATATATTATTGGTTGAAAAATAATCTTGACTTTTTAAATGAACATGTCTCATCTGTTGTACAAATTCCTATGAAACTTACAGGGAAAAGCAAAGGTGTCACTCCTATACTGTTCACATTTTAGTGGTACATCTTAAATAATGGGAGAAAATGATTATTGACCTGGATTTGAATCAGAGGCAACCAATCATTCATTGAATAGGTAAAGACTAGTGATGTGCTGCTTTCGATTTGCTAGTTAATTAGATATTACCAAAAAAGGTAAGATTATATAAGAACAAAACTACGTACCATAACACCAAGTTTAGGTTTTCATATCATTTCAAAACTTAGAATAAATAGAGTAATTTATGTATAGATACAAAAATATAAAAATAACAATCACTCCCTTCTATCCTCCAGTCACTCCTGTCACTATCGTTTTGATTTCAGTGACTTGCCAAAATGTATACATTGGTATAAGCTCTATTTTTAGATATATTTTTCTGTCTCAAGTAAAAATCACTGAGGCATAGAAATTTTTCATTTATTCACTGATTTGAAAATAATAATACATAGTGATTTAGCGGCATGTCAAAGGAGTATACAGTGCAGTCGCTTTCCAAGCTATAATTGCATGCAGTGCTTCAGTGTGAAGCAATTTGCTTTTAAACATGAGAGAGCATATGGCTCAAGGAGAGAGAGTTCATGTTAGAAGGTATTATCTCCATTCGTCACTCTGGAATCTCTCCAAAACCTTCTCTACATCCTCTAAAAAAGCAAGATATTGATCATAAAGCTACCATAGACCAATGTGTCTATGTCTACAGGATCACCTCAAAATTCATTGGAAAATAAGAAATATAAAGCTTTTATGGTATCAGGTGGTTATAAAAACAACAAAAGAACATTTTGGTTCAGTGGAGCTTGAACATTTGCTCAAATGCCTGAGTCACACATAGGCTGCTCCCATTCAAAAGTCTCCCAAACAAAATTTGTTCAGAGGTGAAGTTTTCAACCTAATGGTCCTATTATCTTGTAGCCTGAAGTATTGTGGAATCCTAGAGGATGATCGGGGTTAACTGTAGGATATACATAATCATCAATTCCTATGGTATCAAGTGGGCTTACTATAGTGTAGAGTAATTCCAGAAAGCCACTTATCTTACAATCATGAAAGTTTAGACCAAAGAGGAAAGCACAGACTCTTCGCAGATAAAAATAAAAATTGTATTAAAGCATATTATGCTTTAATGCCCTCCAAATGATTGGTATTGCTTTTCTTTGTAGCCCAGTATAATTTGAAATTATCACATAGATGTGTCCTAGGAAATGAGGAGCAGATTGGGGATAGTAAATATTTTTCTGTAAACTTCCTGGAGCAGTTTGTTAACTCTCTAACCAAGCTGGAGCAGCATATATTCTTCTCAGCTTGGGTCCAGGTAATACATAAATATCTACTTAACTCAAATAATACATTATATGTGCTGCTATATTGTATGGAAATTATCAGACTGCCTGGATGATCTAGTTTTTACATTTTCCATCACTTGTTAAGGTATATTGGTGGCATTATCTAAAACAAACTAGAAGAAGTGAACCAGTTACCCAATGCATTTTTACATGATAATGGCAAAATGCTTTTCAACTGCAATATTGATAGAATTTATAGTTCCATGGTGGATAGAAAGCCCAAAACATTTGCAGTGAAGACAGAGGGTTCCATAATAAAAAAGCACAGGGATGGAATGTTAGGCAATACAACTGGCAAAAAGTATTTGATCTTCTGTTTAGAGAGTTATATCACAATGAATTTGTTCACAGTTGTCGATATATTCCAGGTATATTCTAAAGGAAATGAATTATGTGGGAATATGATGACAAACCTCAGGCACTCTCTATGTAACTAAAAGTACCCTTGCCCCAGAATTTTTCACTTGTGATTTAATCTTAAACAACTGGTTTTAAAATTACATGTGAACTCATCTATCAAATGTTATCTCATTTTTGACCTTACCATTTTTGTCACATTGTAGATGGGAACAAAACTCTGTTTGAACTCTTTTGTTTGAGTTGTGTCCTGTTTCTTACTCCAAAGAGAGGCATTTTCTTCATCTTTAATAAGAAATGCTACAGTTTATACAATTGATGACTATTTAGGAAATACTTGACCTTTGCTATGATCACTATTATATATCTCCAAAGGTCTCCCTTAAGGTGTCAAAGAAATTAGCATTAAATTGACGAACATGCTTTCTTTTTCAGCTTATATGGCATGACCTTTGAAAACAGTGTTTGTTTTAGAAATCACTTACTATTTATTTCATTTATTCAAAATATGGACTGAATGTTTTGTATTTGTCAGGTGTTATCCTAAATCCTTCCACATACATCATTTCCTAATTCTCACAAAATCCCTTTTTAAGAAGAAACCGAGACATAGAGAGGTTCTGTAACCTAATTAAGGTCATGTATCTAGCAAAAGGCAAAGCAGTTATATGAACCTGTTATCTGAATGTTTGAGTTTTTTCACTATTTTCTACTATGCTCCAAATTATAAAAAATCTTCCCCAGCTGAAATACAATATTTTTAATGTACTGTTACTTATGAAGAAGTAACAGTAATATAGAAGCCTCTATACCAGGGTTTCTAAACCTGAGCACTCTTGATATTTCTGGCCAGATTTTTTTTCTTTTGTTTTGAGACAGAGTCTCACTCTGTCACCCAGGCTGGAGTGCAGTGGCATGATCTTGGCTCACTGCCACCTCCATCTCCCAGGTTCAAGCGATTCTCGTGCCTCAGCCTCCCAAGTAGCTGGGATTACAGGCATGTGCCACCACGCTCGGCTAATTTTTATATTTTTAGTAGAAATGGGGTTTCACCATGGTGGGCAGGCTCATCTTGAACTCCTGACCTTAAGTGATCCGCCTGCCTCGGCCTCCCAAAGTGCTGGGATTATAGGCATGAGCCATCGTGTTTGGCCAGATGTTTAAATAGTTATTATCAAGAAAAGACTTTCCTGTGCATTGTAAGATATTTAGCAGTATTTCTGACCTCTGTCCATTAGATACCAGTGGCAAACCCCACCCACTCCTAGTTGTAACAACCAGAAATAACAGCCAAATACATCTACAGACAGTGCTAAGTGTCCCAGGGGAGGGGGCAAGTAAAATAACTTTCCCTTTTAAGCATTGCTGCTCTAGAAAAAAAAAAAAAAAGCATGTTTCCTCTTTCAGACATCAAATATTATCATCTAATTTTATAGTTTTTAATAGCCAGGTAGAATCAGAAAATCATTACAAAATAAATTTGATGCTGTTATTCCCATATAAACTAGAGGAAGGTCAGTTTCTATTGCTTTAGTCTTGTCCTGTGTGATTATAAGGATTTTTAAAACTTAAGATAAATTTAATTATGATACCTTGTTATTGTGATAAAACCTAAGCTCCTTCTGAAAAAAAGCAAATACAGACATATTCTTGGAAGTTATTAAATGTAATCTTGGCCAACAATTATGGCATTGCTGAAATGTTCTTCAAAGTTACGATCTGAGGGGAAGTATGCAGAATACTCAGACTTTAGAGTTTTCTTGAAGCTCATGATGTAATCTTTATCTATAAATTAGGAAATGATGAAATTCCATTGTGTATCGATTCAGATACATAGTGGTATAATATCCCTAAATGTGTATTTAAAAAGCTATCTGGGTTTTGTAATTGGAATAGCTCCTTCTCCTTCAAATTTTGTATATTTTCCTCAGGAGTTGTCAAACTGTTAATTTTCCCTCTAGCTTCAATTTGAAAGCTATTCCAGTCTCACCAATCACCAGAAGTCTCACTGTCTCAGGGAGGACAGTCTGCTCACAAGTCTCCCCAATGGCTTTATGAAATCCTCATAATGTTTTGAAAGAAAACAAATTGCTGGACTAATAACTAAATGACAATCTCTATAAACTATAACATATAGTTATTTCTTCAAGGCTACGTGCTCCATTTTCAGTGACATAAGCGCAGTCTCAATTTTACGGTACTTGGGGCTGCTTCGTTTACTCGGCTAACTTACAAATTAAGAGAAAAAAAGGTTCACAATTGTCTTGCTAAAATCAGATAACATCTATAAAAGGTATTTTTGAGACATTGGCTTTTTGTAAACAAGTTAAAATTTAAATGGACCAGGGCCATGCCACCAGAAAACGCAGCCACATACTTCCTTACCTGTCCTTCTTAGGAAGGCCCCATTTGAGTTTGCTAGCAGTGTAAATTGCTCCCTATTAACTGCCGTTGTTATTTTTCCAAAATAAATAATATTTATTAAATATAGGGGCAATAAATAAACTGTTCATAATTATTTTTTTCCACCGAGGCTTCCTTTCCAAATGGTCCAAATGGCATGGCTCAGCTCTGACTCTTGTGTTGGCAGAGCTGTCATGCTTTCCAAAGTGCCCTGCCAACTTGTTTGTGTTTACATGTGCTTTTATTTCTTTGAGACTTGTAGAATAGCAATTAGGCAATTCCAGGTGGTGTGGTTACCAAAAGATAATCTCATTTTGGAGACACTAGATTCTTTACACACACTGAGGCTTTGTAATTCTCAGGGGTATAATTATTTTATTCTTGCTCTTCTTCATGCCGTGTCAATATCCCCTTCTGTTTTCATAATACTAAGTTACAGATTCTTTAATCTATTTCTCCAATTATGTTCATTCAACCATATAATCATTCTAAGAGGAGTGTCAGAAAACAACAACTACAAAACCCAACACAACATTGTACTGGACCAACATGCTGGGTTTATTCAACATTTAATTGCAGTATGTGTTACAGTTTCCAGTAATTCATTGTTTTTGGAAAACTAACAGGGAAATTTGTAGACATCCAGAATCTAGAGAGATCATATTTGGCAGGCAGTAGGCAAATCTCATTTTTCTCCATATTTTCAATTCATCCTATTCCATGCATCCCCTTACATTTAATACAGAGCATGGGCTAGGGTAGGTACACAGTAACTGTTTTATATTGCAAGTGTTTGCAATCCGCTAATGTAATACAGCAATGCCTGAAATAGTAACTCTCAAGCCTAAATGTCAATTCTATTCAGAAATATTTTCAAATGAGTCTCCTTTTTTAATGAGTGCTTCCTACACAATATTTCATGATACCATGGCATACCATGAAATATTAATGGATAGACTATAAAAAAGAAAGCCCCATGCTTACTCAAGTAACCTATGCGCAAATGTAGCAACCTGAAATGAGTGCTTATAAACAGCATAATACTGGCCCTCATTAAAGTCTGAAGCAAGGAAATGTGGTAGTTAGTGTCTCCAGACTGCATTTTCTGCAGTCAGTGATTTCCTCTCACTCAGGTTTCCAGAACTCTCATGCTACATGTCTCTTTTTTCTGTGTTCTCACAGCACTCTGTGCCTGTTTCTACCAGGGCACTTGTCACACAATAGAACACTGATTTACTTTTTCTTCTTTCCACTATATTGTATCCTGGCACCTAGAACAGTGGGTGATACAAAGAAACGTTACAGAGGAGTTTCTCAAGGAATGTTTGTTAATGAATGAATGAATCAAAGTAGCCTTTTAGGTAGGTCATCAGCAAGGGCATGACATAATAAATTTTTTATTAAAGTAGTTTCTTAATTTTGTTTCTAAAATCACGACATATTGCATGAACAACTTCTTATACCTAAGTTTCATTTGCTACAAGTACCTTGAGAATTGTGTTTGAGTGGAGTAGCAGTGTGGAGTAGGTGTAGTATTCCTCCTTGTCAAAGAGTTTATAGTCATAAATGGAATGGAGATGAAGCCTTTCCTGGAAGTGAAAGACAGGTACAGAAGTGGAGAAATATGACTGATTTGAAAACTGGAGGAAAGGCATAGTTCATTCTTCTCCTGATGGACATGAAGATGTATCAGACTCAATTTACTAGTTAGGTTAGAAGGAAACCTTGCAAGGCAGTGCTTTGTAGCTAAGTATTCTCACTCACTTGTGTTAATTAATTTCTCTGAATTATCACTTTTTATTCTCTTTGTAATGAAATAATAAGTATTTGGAGACCGACTGAGCTGAAAAAGAGAGAGATCACAAGCTTAGTTGCAGTGACACCTTTTGCCTCTCCATAAAAGTGAAACTGGCTGACAAAATGGAGAGCCTGGGACATCAGGGACAGGAGACAAAACAGCGCAGCAAGTATGCAGACAAGACGGCTGCTTTTGGTAATTAAAGATGGCCTGGTTAATACCGGGAGGTAACAAAGATGGCATGCTTAGTTATTTTATGTTTGCCTAAAATATTAAAAACTCTCAATATTTTTTCCCTGTAATCTCATAGGCTATCAATACTTTCTTGACAAATGTGGTCTTGTCTTTAGGCCTAAGTTTAGCTTTAAAATCAGATAGAAACATGGTTCTTTTATTTACCAGTCTGTTTCCTGGAATGGGTCCCTAATTTTAAATCTCCAATCCTTGCATTTCTGTTCCCCTTGTGAGAGCTCAATTCTCACTGTTGTCAGTGGAAGCAGTTGCTCTGTGTGGTGCAACGAGCCTGATGGATGGCTTTAATTTGCTAGTCCCAGACTGCCTTTACAATTGCTTAGGTCCTGGAGAGAGCTGGTCACCCCAGGCAGCAATCACTACCTCTGTGTTTCAACACCCGTCTCAACACCCTAAGTGTATGAGGATTGGTGCCAAAGAGAAGATACAGAAATAGATATTTCTTATGATTTTTTCAATACTGAGGGCTAACAGAGTGGGAGAAAATGTCTAGAGGCAGTTGCATCACATAACAATTAACCACAGTCTGCTATTTGCCACCATTTTCAGCCATGATGAAATAGAGGCTGTCTTCTCATCATGAGAGTGACATCAGACACAAAATGCAGACAACTCTTTATCAAATTTAAGGTTAGGACAAAAGTTAATTTGGATACACAGAGTGGGGTATTTCCTTCAAAAAAAGTTTCTATGCTACATAATTTATTTACTGTCTTGTCCTATTTAAATTCTTCCTCTTCATTCCTATTGCTCTTTGTTAATTAATTTACTTACATGTATTATGTTAATAATTGCTATATACACCGTTATTGGACCCTTATAAACTTGCCAGGAAAATAACCACTGGCTATAACCAGCGTAATACAGGGCAGAACCCTTATTCTTTCTAAGCTTTGACTTCTGTATTTGCCAAATGATTGGATTAGTTAAGAGGGATAGCCTACTCTTTAAGATGAGTTTATCAAACTACCTCCTTGTTGTGTAATTGTGCAATACAACTTAGCTTTTAAGGAGATGAGAGATTTATTATTTAACAGGGGTGTGGAAATTGAGGGCAATTAATGACCAAACCAGGACATTGCTTATTATAAATGTGATCATCATAACCAGGTTATGTGGAGAACTTCATAGTTTATGAACAATGTTCACATCTATTATTTCATTGAATCATCATAGGAACACGATGAGAAAATTTGGTCAGGGATTTATATTATCTTCATTTTACAGCACAACACAGAGATGAAAAAGATAAGTCACAGGATTTGGAATCAATATTTAGAGGATTTTAGTCCCTTTACTGTTTCTAGCAATTACACTGTGCTTTACTAAGAGCCTAACTTATATGTGTGGGTATATTTGCACTAGGAAGAATCTGGACAAAGAACAAATTGGAGAATTCAGAGAGCTATTTCAGGAATTTTCTACCAGACCTTCTCTGGTTCAAAGTAGTTGGCATTGCACAACTTCAGGCTCAGCAAACTCTTTAACATACCTGACTATAGGACAGGGAACTTTCAGTAGCTACAGGCCAACATTTTGTGCCTATTATGTTGCCTTTACTATTGTGCTAGACTTGACCTCCTGCCACAGTTATAACTGGGTCTTGTTCCTGGAACTCAGCCACTCCTATTAATCTCTTTTTGATTATCAGATCCTTGTCCTCTTATACTTAAGTTCCTGTTCTGTAATGTTTCAAGCACTTCCTAGACCCTCTAGGACAGGAGTCAGCCTAATTTTATGAATAACCAGTTTTGGATCACAACTATGCCCACTGTTTTGTGTATTTTCTCTGGCTGCTTTTGTGCCATGAATTCAGAGTTGAGTAGTTGGACATAGACTATGTGGCCTGGAAAACCTAAAAGATTTGTTGTCTGGCCTTTCACAGAGAG
Organism: Homo sapiens; assembly: GCF_000001405.40. NCBI lineage: Eukaryota > Metazoa > Chordata > Mammalia > Primates > Hominidae > Homo > Homo sapiens. Next base: position 121,923,023 of record NC_000023.11, read on the forward strand.
TTTGCTAACCCCTGTCCTAGGACCATACTTATACTTGCTTAAGACTTCTGACATTGAAGTCTCATCTTGAACCAAGCACAATGGCTAGCATCCTATAGCTTGAAAAGAGATTTCATTTGTATCTGTATGCTGCCTTGCCTGCCATAACTAATATGTATTATTTATCCCTGTATTTCAACTACCTCCATTTGACCTTGCTTTATCAAATAATGCTGGTGTCCCTCTTCTGGGGCTCACTGCTTTCCTGGGAGAGTATCTGTATTTTTTTCCCCACTATCTGTATTTTTAAATACTCTTTAAATAAGTTATTCTTGTAGAGTTAGAGTCCCATACCCTGCATCTTTGTCTATTATATCCCCTCAAATCTCCACTATTCAGTGTCCTGAATGTCTCATTGAATCCATTTCCAAGCCTGTCTTCTTCTTGTCTGCCCATTACAATTGATTTCAGCTATATTAAAACTTTCCTGAGCCACATGCCCTAGGAAGAATCTTGTAGGAAACAGGACAGATTGAAGTTAATTTGGAAAAAGTTCTTCCTAAGCTGTCACACTAGTGTCTTTCCAATAGATATATAGGACCAATATGGCAATTTCTTGGGACCACAGGACATGTAGATTCACCTGTAACTCAAAAGAATCCAGTTAAGCAGTCAAATTTAAGAAATACAAAGAACCCCTGCAAGAGCCTACAGAAGTAGATTATCCCTAAGACACAATCATCAGACTTTCCAAGGTTGAAGTGAAAGAAATAATATTAAAGATAGCTAGAGAGATAGAGCAGGTCAACTACAAAGGAAAGCCCATGAGGCTAACAGTGGACTGCTCAGCGGAAACCTCACAAGCTAGAAGAAATTGAGGGCCTATATTCAACATTTTTAACGAAAAAAATTTTCAACCAAGAATTTTATAGCCAGCCAAACTAAGCTTTGTCTGCAAAGGAGAAATAAAATACTTTTCAGATAAGCAAATGCCAAAGGAGTTCATTACCACCCAACCTGCCTTACAAGAGAGAGATCTTGAAAGGAATATGAAAAGGAAAAACCATTACCAGCCAATATGAAAACACACTTAAGTACACAGACCAGTGACACTATAAAGCAACCACACAAAGAAGCCTGCATAATAACCATCTAACAACAAAGTGACAGGATCAGATCTACACATATTAATACTACCTTTCAATGTAAACTAGAAAAGTGCCCCAATTAAAAGGCACAGAGTGGCAAGCTGGATAAAGAAGCAAGACCTAATGGTATGCTGTCTTCATGAGATGCATCTCACGTGCAATGACACTCATAGGCTCAAAATAAAGGGATAGAGAAAAATCTACCAAGCAAATGAAAATGATAGAAAAAACAAGGGTTGCAATCCTAATTTCAAATAAAACATACTTTAAATGAACAAAGATCAAAAAAGACAAAGGAGGGCATTACATAATAGTAAAATGTTCAATTTAACAAGAAGACTTAACTATCCCAAGTATATATGCACCCAATGCAGGAGCACCCAGATTCAAAAAACAAGTTCTTAGAGACCTAAACAAGATACAGACTCCCACACAATAATACTTGGAGATGTCAACACTCCACTTACAGTATCAGACAAATTATTGAGGCAGAAAATTAACAAAGATATTTAGGGCCTAAAATCAACATTTGACAAAATGAATCTAATAAACCTCTACAGAACTCTCCACCCCAAACCAACAGAATATACATTCTTCTCATTGCTTCATGGCATATACTCTAAACTTGACCACACCGTCAGACATAAAACAATCCTCAGCAAATACAAAAGGACCAAAATTATACCAAACATATTCTCAGACCATAGTACAATAAAAATAGAAATCAAGACTTAAAAAATTGCTAAAAACCATGCAATTACACAGAAATTGAACAACTTGTTCCAGAATGACTTTTGGGTAAATAATGAAATTAAAGCAGAAATCAATAATTTTATTGAAGCTAATAAAAACAAAGACACAACATACCAGAATCTCTGGTACACAGATAAGGCAATGTTAGAAGATAAATTTGTAGCAATAAATACTCACATGAAAAGTTAGAAAGATCTCAAATTGACAACCTAACATCACAACTGAAAGAACTAGAGAGGCAAGAGCAAACCAGCCTCAAAGGTAGCAGAAGAGAAGACATAACCAAAATCAGAGCTGAACTGAAGGAGATCGAGACCGAAAAAAACCATTCAAAAGATCAACAAATCTAGGAGTTGGTTTTCTGAAAAAATTAATAAGATAGGCCACTCAATTAACAAAGAAGAAAAGAAGAAGATCCAAATAAACACAATCAGAAATGACAAAGGAGATGTTACCACTGACCCTAAAGAAACACAAATAACCATCAAAGACTATTATGAACCCCTCTGTGAACACATAATGGAAAACCTAGAAGTGATGGTTGAATTCCTGGCCACATACACCCTCCAAAGACTGAAGCAGAAAGAATTTGGTTCCCTGAACAGACAAATAATGAGCTCTGAAGTTGAACTAATAATAAATAACATAAGAGAAAAACCCAGGACCAGATGAATTAACAGCTAAATTCTACCAGATATACAAAGAAGAGTTAGCACCATTTCTACTAAAACTATTCCAAAAGACTGTGGAGGAGAGATTCCTCCCCAGTTTATCCTGTGAGACCAGCATCATCCTTATATCAAAACCTGGTAGGCACTTTGGGAGGCCGAGGTGGCCAGATCACCTGATATCAGGAGTTCAAGACCAGCCTGGCCAACATGGTGAAACCCTGTCTCTACTAAAAATACAAGAATTTAGCCATGTGTGATGGCATGTGCCTGTAGTCCCAGCTACTCTGGAGGCTGAGGCAGGAGAATCACTTTAACCCAGGAGGCGGAGGTTGCAGTGAGCTGAGATTGCACCACTGCACTCCAGCTCTGGGCAACAGAGTGAGACTTCATCTCAAAAACAAAAACAAAAAATGAAAACAAAAACAAAAACCTGGTAGGGACAACACAAAAAAGAAAACATCAGGCTAATATTCTTGATAAAACTTGATGCAACAATCCTCAACAAAATACTTGCAAACTGAATCTAGTAGCACATCAAAAAGTGAATTCACCATGATCAAGGAGGTTTTCCTCCTGGGATGCAAGTTTGGTTCAACATATACAAATCAATAAATGTGATCCATCATATAAGCAGAACACAAAAATCACATAATTATCTCAATAAATGCAAAAAAGTCTTCTGATAAAATTCACTATTGTTTTATGTTAAAAATGCTCAACAAACTAGGTATTGCATAAACATACCTCAAAATAAGAGCCATCTGTGACAAACCCACAGCCAAAATCATACCAAGTGAACAAAAGCTGGAAGCATTCCCCTTGAAAACTGGCACAAGTCAAGGATGCCCTCTCTTATCACTCCTAGTCAACATGGTATTGGAAGTCCTGGCCAGAGAAATCAGGCAAGAGAAAGAAACAAAGGGAATCTAAATAGGAAGATAAAAAGTGAAATTATGTCTGTTTGCAGATGACATGATTCTATATCTACAAAATTCCAGAGTCTAAGACCAAAAGTTCCTTCATCTGATAAACAACTTCAGCAAAATTTCAGGATACAAAATCAACATAAAAATTATTAGCATCCGTATACATCAGGAACAGCCAAGCCAAAAGCCAGAGATCAGGAATGCAATGTCACTCAAAATTGCCACAAAAACAATAAAATACCTAGGCATACACACTAACAAGAAAGGTGAAATAGCTCTACAATTATAAACAATGCTCAAAGAAATTTCGGATGACACAAATAAATAGAAAAGCATTCCATATTCATGGATACAGAGAATCAATATTATTATCATGACCATACTGCCCAAAGCAATTATAAACATTCTTCATAGAATTAGAAAACACTATTTTAATATTCATATGGAACCAAAAAGGAGCCTGAATAGCCAAGGCAATCCTATACAATAACAGCAAAGCAGAAGACATGCTGCTGCCCAACTTCAAACTATATTACAGGGCTACAATAACCAAATGGTAGTGGTACAAAAACAGACACATGGACAAATGGAACAGAATTGGCAGCCCAGATGTAAGACCACAGACTTAACAATCATATGATCTTTGACAAAGCTGACAAAAACAAACAATGAGGAAAGGATTCCCTATTCCATAAATGGTGCTGGGTTAACTGGTTAGCCATATGCAGAAGATTAAAACTGTACCCCTTTCTTACACAATTTACCAAAGTCAACTCAAGATGCATTAAAGACTTAAATGTAAAATCTAAAACTATATAAAGATTGGAAGGCAACCTAGGTAACACCATTCTGGACATAGGAGCTGGCAAAGATTTCATAACAAAATGCCAAAAGCAATGGCAGCAAAAGCAAAAATTGAAAAATTGGATCTAATTGAACAAAAGAGCTTCTGTGCAGCAAAAGAAACTATCAACAGAGTAAACAGAAAACCTACAGAATGGGAGAAAACATTTTCAAACTCTATATTTGACAAGGGTCTAACATCCAGCATCTATAAGGATTTTAAATTTACAAGAATAAAACAAGCAACTGCATTAAAAAAGTGGGCAAAGAAGTGAACAGACACTTTTGCAAAGAAGACTCACGTGTGGCCAACAAGCATATGAAAAAAGCCCCTGTGTTTGGTGCTCCCAAAGTAATATAAATAATTCTGTCATAAAGACACATGCACGCATATGTTCATTGTGGCACTATTCACAATAGCAAAGACATGGAATCAACAAAAATGCCCATCAATGGTAGACTGGATAAAGAAAATGTGGTACATATACACCATGGAATACTATACAGTCATAAAAAATGAGATCATGTCCTTTATAGGGACATGAATGGAGCTGGAGGCCATCATCTTCAGCAAACTAACACAGAACAGAAAACCAATTACTGCATGTTCTCACTTATAAGAGCAAGCTAAATGATGAGAACACATGGATACATAGAGGGGATCAGCACTCACTGGGGCTTTTCAGAGTGTGGAGGGTGGAAGGAGATAGGCTCAGAAAAAATAACTAATGGGTATTAGGTTTAATTCCTAGATGAGGGAATAATCTGTACCACAAACCCCCATGACGCAAGTTTACCTATATAACAAACCTGCACTTGTACCCCTGAACTTAAAATAAAAGTTAAAAATAGTAAGAGCTAGGGCTGGGTGCAGTGGCTCACTGCTGTAATCCCAGAACTTTGATAGGCTGAGGCGGGTGGATCATGAGGTCAGGAGATCGAGACCATCCTAGCCAACATGGTGAAACCCCGTCTCTACTAGAAATACAAAAATTGGCTGGGCCTGGTGGCACATGCCTGTAATCCCAGCTACTCGGGAGGCTGAGGCAGGAGAATCGCTTGAACCGGGGAGTTGGAGGTTGCAGTGAGCCGAGATCGTGCCACTGCATTCCAGCCTGGTGACAGAGTGAGACTCACTCTGTCTCAAAACAAAACAAGACAAACAAACAAAAATAGAAAGAGCTGATCACTAGAGAAATGCAAATGAAAACCACAATGAGATATCATATCACACCAATCAGAGTGGCTATTCCTAAAAACTCAAAAAATGACAAATGCTAATTAGGTTGCATAGAAAAGGGAACACATACACTTTTCATGAGAGTGTAAATTAGTCTAACCATTGTGGAAAAACATTGTGGCAGTTCTTCAAAGAGCTTGATATGGTTTGGTTTTGTGTACCCACCCAAATCTCATCATGAATTGTAATCTCCAGATGATGAGGAAAGAACCTGGTGGGAGGTGATTGGATCATGGAGGTGGGTTCCTCATGCTGTTCTTATGACAGTGAGTGGGTTCTCACAAGATCCAATGGCTTTATAAGTGTTTGGTAGTTCCTCTCTTGCTCTCTGTCTTTTCTGCCACCTTGTGAGGAAGGTGCAGGCTTTCCCTCCTGCCATGATTGTAAGTATCCTGAGGTCTCCCTAATCATGTGGAATTATGAGTCAATTAAACCTTTCTTTTATGAATTACCCAGTCGCAGGTGTTTCTTTGTAGCAGTGTGAGAATGGACTAATACAGGAAATTGCTACCGGGAATGAGGCACTACCATAAGGATACTTGAAAATGTGGAAGCAGCTTTGGAACTGGGTAACAGGCAGAGGTCAGAGCATTTTCAAGGGCTCAGAAGAAGACAGGATGATGTGGTGGGAAAGTTGGGAACTTCCTAGAGAATTGTTGAATGGCATTGACCAAAATGCTGATAGTGATAGGAACACTATTCCTATCACTAGTGACAGGAAATTATTTGGAACTGAAGTAAAGGTCACTCTTGCTATGCTTCAGCAAAGACACTGGCAGCATTTTGCCCTTGCCTTAGAAATTTGTGGAAATTTGAACTTGAGAGAGATAATTTAGGGTATCTGGCAGAAAAAATTTATAAGCAGGAAAGCATTCAAGAGGTGACAGAGCATAAAAGTTTGGAAAATTTGCAGCCTGGCCATATGCCTGTATGCAATAGAAAAGAAAAGCCCATTTTCTGGGGAGAAATTCAAGTCAGCTGCAGACATTTGCATAAGTAATAAGGAGTAAAATGTTAATCACCAAGACAATGGGGAAAATGTCTCCAGAGTATGTCAGAGACCTTCATGGCAGCCACTCCCATCACAGGCCCAGAGGCATAGAAGGGAAAAATGGTTCTTGGGCTGGGCCCAAAACCCCACTGCTTTGTGCAGCCTTGGGACTTGGCGCCCTGTGTCTCAGCCACTCCAGCTTCAGTCTTGGCTAAAAGGGGCCAAGGTGCAGCTTGGCCTGTTGCTTCAGATGGTGCAAGCCCCAAGCCTTGGTGGCTTACACGTGGTGTTGGGCTTGAGGGTGCATGGAATTTAAAAACTGATGCTTGAAAACTGCTGCCTAGATTTTAGAGGATGTATGAAAATGCCTGGATTTCCAGGCATGAGTTTGCAGCAGGGACACAGCCCTCTTGGAGAACCTCTCCTAGAGCAGTGTGGAAGGGAAATGTGGGATTAGAGCCACCACACAGAGTCCTCACTGGGGCACTGCCTAGTGGAGCTGAGAAAAGGGCCACTGTCCTCCAGACCCCAGAATTGTAGCTCCACCAACAGCTTTCACCTTTCATCTGGAAAAGCCACAGGCAAATGACACCAGCCAATTAAAGTGACCAAAGGGGCTGTACCCTGCAAAGCCACAGGGGTGGAGCTGCCTAAAGACTTAAAAGGCCACCCATTGCATCAGCATATCCTGGATGTGAGATACGGAGTCAAAAGAGGTTATTTTGGAGCTTTAAAACATAATGACAGCTCCACTGGATTCTGGACTTGCATGGGGCCTGTAGCCCTTTTGGCCAATTTCTCCAATTTGGAATGGGAACATTTAGCCAATGCCTGTACCCTCATTGCATCTTGGAAGGAACTAACTTGTCTTTGATTTTATAGGCTCACAGGTGGAAGGGACTTGACTTGTCTCAGACGAGACTATGGACTTGGTCTTTGGGTTAATGCTGAAATGAGTTAAGGCTTTTGTGGACTGTTGGGAAGGCATTATTGGTTTTGAAATGTGAAACGGACATGAGATTTCAAAGGAGCCAGGGATGGAATAATACGGTCTGGCATTGTGTCCCGTCTAAATCTCATCTCAAATTGTAATGCCTAGGTCTTGAGAAAGGGACCTGGTGGGAGGTGACTGGATCATGGGGCCAGTTTCCCCATGCTGTTTTCATGACAGTGAGTGAGATCTCATGAGATCTGATTCCTTTTTAAGTATTTGGTAGTTTATCTCTTGCTCTCTCTGTCTTTCCTGCCACCTTGTGAAGAAGGTGCCTGCTTCTCTTCTGTCATGATTGTATGTTTCCTGAGGCCTTCTTAGGCATGAGTAGCTGTGAGTCAATTAAACGTCCTTTGCTAATAAATTACCCAGTCTTGAGCAGTTCTTTATAGCAGTGTAAAAGTGGTCTAATGCAGAGCTAAAAACAGAACTACCACTTGACTTATCAGTCTCACTACTGGGCATATACCCAAAGGAATATAAATCATTCCACCATAAAGACACATGTACACATATGTTCATTGTAGCACTTTTTGCAACAGCAAAGACATGGAATCAACCAGAATGTCCATCAGTTGTAGACTGGATTTAAAGAATGTGGTAGATACATACTATGGAATACCACACAGTCATAAAAAAGAACAAGATCATTTTTTTTGCATGAACATGAATGGAGCTGGGGGCCATCATCCTTAGCAAACTAACAGATGAACAGAAAATCATATACCGACTGTTCTTACTCATAAGTAGGACACACATGGACACAAAGAAGGAAACAACAGACACTTAAGAATGGAGGGCAGAAAGAGTGATAGGAACAGAAAAGAACAAAACTTAGTACCAGGATGAGGAAATAACCTGTACAACAAACCCCGTAACAGGAATATACTTATATAACAAATTTGCTTATATACCCCTGGACCTAAAACAAAAGTTAAAAAAGAAACAAATCCAGTAAAAATTGGCATATAAAAATGCAAGGGCCTTGTATCAGTCTATTCTCACACTGCTATAATGAGATTGCTCCAGACTGGGTAATTTATAAACAAAGAGATTTAATTGACTCTCAGTTTCGCATGGCTGGGGAAGCCTCAGGAAACTTACAATCATGGTGGAAGGCAAAGGAGAAGCAAGAACCTTCTTCACATGGCGGCAGGAAAGGAAAGTGAAAGTGCAGGAAAAAGCTGCCACTTTTGAAACCATCAGATCTCATGAGAATTAACTCACTATCATGAGAATAGCATGGGGAAAATTTCTCCCATGACCCAATAACCTCCACCTGGTCTCTCTCTTGACATGTGGTAATTATGAGAAATATAAGAATATAATTCAAGGTATAATTTGGATGGGGACACAAAGCCTAACCATATCATTTTGCCCCTGGCCTCTCTGAAATCTCATGTCCCTTTCACATTTCAAAACCAATCATGCCTTTCCAACAGTCCCCCAAAGTTTTAATTCATTCCAGCATTAACCCAAAAGTCCAAGTCCATAGTCTCATCTGAGGCAAGGCAAGTCCCTTCTGCCTATGAACCTATAACATCAAAAACAAGTTAGTTCCTTCCAATATACAATGGGGGTACAGGAATTGAATAAATCATCCCATGTTAAAAAGGGATAAATTGGCCAAAACAAAAGGGCTGAAGGATCCCTGCAAGTCCAAAATCCAACAGGATAGTCATTAAATCTTAAAGCAGCTAAATGATTTCCTTTGACTCCATGTCTCACATCCAGGGCATGTTGATGCAAGAAGTGGGCTACCAAGACTTTGGACAACTCTGTCCCTGTGGCTTTTTGCAGGGTACAGTCCCCCTCCCAGCTGCTTTCACGGGCTGGCATCGAGTGTATGTGGCTTTTTCAGGCACACGTGCAATCTGTCAGTGGATCTACCATTCTGGAATCTTGAGGACAGTGTCCCACTTCTCACAGCTCCATTATGCAATGCCCCAGTGGGGACTCTGTTTGGGGTCTCTGATCTCACATTTCCCTTCTGCACTGCCCTAGCAGAGGTTTTCCATGAGGGGTCCACCCCTACAGCAAAGTTGTGCCTGGACACCAGGCATTTCCATACATCCTATGAAATCTAGGCAGAGGATCCCAAACCTCAATTCTTGACTTCTGTGTACCAGCAGGTCCAACACCATGTGTAAGCTGCCAAGGATTGGGGCTTGCACCTTCTCAAGCAACAGACTGAACTGTACTTTGGCTCCTTTTAGCCACGGCTGGAATGCAGGGCACAAAGTCCTGAGGCTGCCTAAAGGAGCAAAGCCCTGAGCCTGTCCCAAAAAAACATTTTTTTATTCTAGGCCTCTGGGCCAGTGATGGGAGCGGCTGCTCTGAAGGTCTCTGACATGCTCTGGAGATATTTTCCATATTGTCTTGGGGATTAACATTTAGCTACTTGTTACTTATGCAAATTTCTGCAGCTGGCTTGAATTTCTCCCCAGAAAATGGTTTTTTTTAAAATCACATTGTCAGGCTGCAAATTTTCCAAACTTTTATGATCTGCTTCCATTTTAAACATAAGTTCCAATTCCAAACCATCTCTTTGTGAATGCATAAAACAGAATGCTTTAAAGAGCACCTGGATCACCTCTTGAACAATTTGCTGCCTAGAAATTTCTTCTGCCGGATACCCCAAATTACCTCTCTCAAGTTCAAAGTTCCAGAGATCTCTAGGTTAGGGGCAAAATGCTGCCAGTCTGTTTGTGAAAGCATAGCAAGAGTCACCTTTGCTCTAGTTCTCAAACAGTTTCTCATCTCAATCTGTGACCATCTTAGCCTGGACTTCATTGTTCATATTACCATCCACATTTTGGTCAAAGCCATTCAACACATTTCTAGGAAGTTCCAAACTTTCCAACATCTTCCTGTCTTCTTCTGCGCCCTTCAAGCTGTTCCAACCTCTGCCCATTACCCAGTTCCAAAGTCACTTCCACATTCTCAGGTAGCTTATAAAAATGTCCCACTACGTTGGTACCAATTTACTCTATTAGTCTGTTATCACACTGCTATAAAGATAACACCTGAGGCTGGGCGTGGTGGCTCATGCCTGTAATCCCAGCATTTTGGGAGGCTGAGGCGGGTGGATCACGAGGTCAAGAGATCAAGACCATCCTGGCCAACATGGTGAAACCCCGTCTCTACTAAAATTACACAAACAAAAAAAAAATTAGCTGGGTTTGGTGTCATGTGCCTGTAGTCCCAGCTACTTGGGAGGCTGAGGCAGGAGAATCGCTTGAACCCGGGAGGCGGAGGTTGCAGCGAGCTGAGATCGTGCCACTGCACTCCAGCCTGGTGACAGAGTGAGACTTTGTCTAAAAAAATAAAAATTAAAAAAAAATACCCGAGACCCTGTAATTTATAAGGGAAAGAGGTTTAATTGACTCATGGTTCCACATGGCTAGGAAGACCTCAGGAAATTCACAGGCATGGCAGAAGGTGACGGAGAAGCAAGGACCTTCTTCACATGGTGGTAGCAGAGAGAAGTGAGAGTGCAGGTAAAACCTGCCACTTCTAAAACCATCGGATCTCCTGAGAATTTACTCACTATCATGAGAATAGCATGGGGGACACGGTCCCCATGATCCATCCACTTCCACCTTCTCTCTCCCTTGACACAAGGGGATTACAAAAATTATGGGGATTAAAATTCAAGATGAGATTTGGTTGGGGACACAAAGCCTAACCATATCAGGCCTGATTATCATCAATGCTATAAATACCTGTATTCAGTTTTGGCCTATATTCAGGGATAAATATCAATCTCCACCTTTTATCCTCCCCCTCATTATTCCTTAGAATGGAATTTGATGAATTATCACACAGGATCAACAAGCAGCAACTAAAAGCTCTGTACTGAAAATAAAGAAGCTCCGTAGCTTAGGATTCAAAGTGTGATTTGAGTTTTAAAGTTTTCAGCAACCTCAAACATCTTAGTAATTTTGTGTGAAGCATATTTGTATTCTTGTAGAAATTTAGACAATGAAATGATTATGTAGTTTATGTAGTAGACAATCTTGCATTTACCAGCAACAGAGTATTCCCAAAGCCCTCAAATCAAATTGGTTGATTGAAAAACTAGTACATTTGTTCCATTGCCCCATTAGATATTACTAAATACATGATCACCATCTCACCAAGTCTGATTCTGTAGTGGTTTACCTGCTGGCGGCATCACATAAACAGATGACATGTTTCCTCAGGGTGGAAAGTGTTTTCACTAAGATAAACATAGTATTCTCATCTACTTTATGCAAGTATTTACACAAGGACCTGCTAGAGAGATTCAGTGTATAGGTCTTTGTTCTTATCACTGAGCTATAATTAAAATCTAGTAGTATTTCTGAATATTTGTATTGTTTAAAATGGATTAAAATGTAGAAATACTCCCTTTCCCACATATAACTTTTTGTTATATTTTATTGAAGAAAAAATTGTGATGGTCTGTAAAGCAGAATAATGTATTATCTAAGTAAGAATAATGTATCTGTTTAATTTTTTAATTTTATAGAAAATTTAGGCAAACTGAAAGGAGGTTAAAATATAATTTGTGAAGAATTGACCAGAAAGATTGGCAGCATTAACATTGCTGAACGTTTCTCTGACCTTAAACATCATGCTGGGGTGGATCTGAGCTCAGTGAAATCTTCTTGAACAAAATTCCTGAAAACTTTCATTATGTAAAAATCTTTCTCAACAACTAAGCGTACATTTCTCCCTCCTATAGAATATTTTGGAAATGTTGAGCAAAGATGGAAAAGAAAATGACAGGCATTGGGATTGGCTACTCATCAAACACTTCTATATATTTGGCTCTGAGTTGTATAGAATTTGATTTGTGGTTGTTCTCACAATGAGGTGCTTTCCCCCAGAGAGCATCTGGGAGCAATGCACCACTTAACACTTGAAGAAGATTGACTGACAATCAGGCTTCGATTCTTTACAAATATTGTATTTGTTTGAAAATAGCTAGATAGCAAGAATTAGTAGCACACTCATTTTTTTCCATTTTCAGATTGTAGAATGTTATTAAATATTAGAGGAAATTTGGAGATTAATTATTTATACCTCTTCATTTTGTAGATGAGAGAACTGAGGCACAGAGACTGAAAATTATGTCCCTTAGACACACAGTTATTTAGAAGTATAGCCAAGAATTGAATCAAATTTAATAGCTTTTCTTTTGCATAATTTTACTTTCCTTCTTTTTTGAACAGCAGATTTTATTTTGGGAAGGTGACATAGCAAGTAGAAAATCTCAACAGACTATGTATTCTATTTGAGTACTGACCTCAGAATGTGGGCAGAATCACACCATTTTACAGATAGATATTTGCCAAATCTCATTCCATGGACTGGCTCTACTGGCCTTTCAATAACTTATTTGTTCCATTCTAGAATTTATTTAACATTTGAATTATTAAAAGTATTCTGAACCAATATATATTATGTGAGTTTACCATTGCTGGAATGCAAGTCAGTACAAAATGGCTTACTTAAATGTTTTTGTCAACAGTGTGTTTCTCCTGATTAATTGCCCAGGCTAAATAAGGAGACTACTGAGCTGCTGAGTGGTCTTTATTTATGTGGATGAGGCAACTGGCAACTGCATACATGCCTTCTTCTCCCAGTAATCTAGGACATCAAGTGAGAAGAGAAGGCCCCAGATTGTGATTTGTGGATTGCCAACAAAATCATTTTATCGTTTTATTTTTTGGAGGAAAGGGAGCTACAGAAGCATTTCACTTTGTTGTGTTAGCTTTGTATCTAAAATATATATTTGAAATCAGATGTATACAAATTTGATTATTACACATTTGCACTAGAAATCATAGAAGTGGAAAGAAATAGCTAGACTGCTAATTTTCAAAACTATTTCTCCAGTAGCCCTGTTCTTACATAGAATGATAATATGCAATATAAATTAATGTAGAGCTACCTTACTTGAAGCAAGAGCCGAGAATTTGCCTTTCTGCCTGCTTGCCTTGCCAATATAAATGTAATTTATAGGTTTTACTGAGCTTTGAAAATTTTATAAAGAACAATTTTATAAACTTCAGATTGGAATACTAAGGAACAAATTTGTATATGGCCTATCAGTAAGATAAGAGCAAAGTTGATGCTGAGAACCAGAAACATACTGGTCACAGTTAAGTGTTCTTTATTCTACTTGTGAGCAAGAGAGTGATATGCTGGTGAATAAAAATTGAAATATCAAATTTTGAATAACTGAGTAACTCACACTGCAAATATATTCTGCCAGTCTGTGGCTTTCCTTTTCCATTCTCTAAACTGTCTTTTAAGAATTATGGTGAAGTACAATTTATTAATTTATTTTATTTTATGGATTTATTTTGTGTTTTAGGTGACATGTATAACAAAATCTTGCCTAAACTAAGTTCAGAAAAACGTTCTGCTATGTTTTCTTCTAGAAGTTTTATTGTTTTAGGATTCACCTTTAAGTCTATGATGTATTTTGAGGTGTTTTTTTTTTTTTTTTTCGTGTGTGTGTGTGGGGGCGTGTATGGGGTGAAGAATGGCTCGAGAAAAAATGCCTCAAGCACCTTTGTTTTGTTTGTTTTGCTTCTGTTTTGTGAATTTGGATGTCCCATTGTTCCAGTAATATTTACTATAGATACTATCTTATATCCATTTAATTATCTTTGTATCTTGGTCACAAATCAATTGACCATAATAGTTATCTGTGGACTGGACAGGATTCCATAAGACTGTCTGGCATGAGAGCTTTGCCAAATAGAGTCCTTTATGCTAGATAATGGCCAATCAGAGACTCCTTTAGGGTGCTGAAATGAAAGTCAAAACAGAAAGGTCAGGAACTGTGGGGAAATTAGTAAGGGTAGAGTGAAAAGGTACAGAAAGCAGTAGACAGAATACAGGAAAAAAATTGTCAAGAATTCAGATAGTATTAGGCAAATCGAAAACAGGAATTAAACACTGGACCGTCATAGTGGAAGAGCACTATACTTGAGGCTAATGCATCCCCACTGCTGAGGACACTGAGGTAGAATGAGTTGCTACTGCTGAGCTGTGTTCCACATGATATTCAAGTTATCTGTGAGACCACTTGTATTATTCAGATACTTTTCTGTCCTTTCTTCCTCCCTTCCATGTTCTTAATATGAATCCTACCCACCTGTATGTACCTCTCTTCCTTGTACCCAATAAGAATATGTAGTATGTACCAGAAGTAGTAGTAGACTTCGGCTCTTTCTACCTGGTATACTGCTACTCACAGATCAAGTATCTTCCAAAGTCACTTGTATTAGGGACTAGATTTTGAGAGGGACTTTTTTTTCTCTAGATTTACTGAGGTATAATTGAGAAGTAAAAATTATATACAGTTGGCTCTCTGCATTCACAGGTTTCATGTCTGCAGATTCAACTAACCACAGGTAGTTAATAACAGTGTATACAATACATCATTATTAACTGTAGTCACCATGCTGTACGTTAGATTCAAGGAACATAAGTATTTATTATATAACTGAAAGTTTGTACCATTTTACCAGCTTCTCCCTCTTTAGCCCATCCCCTGTCACCTGGCATCCAATCTTGTATTCTCTGCTTTTAGAATATAATAGATACCTCATATAAATGGAATTATGCAGCATTTTTACTTCTGTGATGGGTTAGTTTATTTAGATCATGGCCTCCTGGTTCATTCATGTTGTCAAAAATAACAGGATTTCATTCTTTTTTAAGGCTTAATAATATGTTCCATGTATATCTTCATTTAAAAAAAAATCCACTCATCCATCAATGGAAACTTAGGTTGTTTCCATATTTTGGCTATTGTAAATAATGCTGCAATAAACATAGGAGTTCAAATAGCTCTTCACAATATTAATTCTATTTTTTGGACATATACCCAAAAGTAGGATTACTGTATCATGTGATAGTTCTACTTTTAGTTGTTTGAGGAACCTCCAAACTGTTTTTCATAAAGGCTGTACCAATTTACATTCCCACCAACAATATAGAAGGGCTACCTTTTCACCATATTTTCACCAACACTTGTTACCTTTTGACTTTTTGATAATAGCCATTCTAACAGATGTGACATGATATCTCCTTGAAGTTTTGATTTGCATTTTCCTCATGATTCGTGATGTTGAGCACCTTTTAATGTACCTGTTGGCCATTTTTGGATGTCTTGTTTGGGAAAATGTCTATGCATGTTTTTGCTCATTTCTTAAATTTGGGTTGTCATTTTTTTCTATTTATATCATATGATTTCCTTATATATTTTGGATATAAACCCCTTATTAGATATATGGTTTCAAATATTTCCTCCCAAGTTCTGGGTTGCCTTCTGATATGGTTTCGCTGTGTCCTTACCCAAATCTCATCTTGAATTGTAACTCCCACAATTTCCACATGTTGTTAGAGGAATGCGGTGGGAGGTGATTAAATTATGGGGGTGGGTCTTTCCTGTGCTGTTCTTGTGATAGTGAATGAGTCTCATGAGATCTGTTGGTTTTAAAAAGAGTAGTTCCCCTGCACAAGTTCTCTCTCTTTGCCTGCTGCCATCCATGTAAGATGTGAATTGCTCTTTCTTGCCTTCCACCTTGATTGTGAGGCTTCCCCAGCCACATGGAACCGTAAGTCCAATTAAACCTCTTTCTTCTGTAAATTGCCCAGTCTTGGGTATATCTTTATCAGCAGCATAAAAACAGACTTGTTGTGGGAAATCAGGGACCCCGAATGGAGGGAACGGCTGGAGCCGAGGCAGAAGAACATAAATTGTGAAGATTTCATGGACATTTATCAGTTCCCCAAATTAATACCTTTATAATTTCTTATGCCTGTCTTTACTGCAATCTCTGAACATAAATTGTGAAGATTTCATGGACATTTATCACTTACCCAATTAATAGTCTTATAATTTCTTATGCCTGTCTTTACTTTAATCTCTTAATCCTGTTATCTTCATAAGATGAGAATGTACATCACCTCAGGACCACTATTGTACAAATTGATTATAAAATATGTGTGTTTGAACAATATGAAACCAGTGTACCCTGAAAAAGAACAGAATAACAGAGATTTTCGGGGAATGAGGGAAGATAACCTTGAGGTCTGACTGCCTGAGGGGTTGGGCAGAGTAGAGCCATATTTTTCTTCTTGCAGAGAGCCTATAGACAGACATGTGAGTAGGAGAAATATTGCTGAATTCTTTTCCCAGCAAGGAATATTAATAATTGAGACCCTGGGGAAGGAATGCATTCCTGGGGGTAGGTCTATAGACGGCCGCTCTGGAAGCGTCTGTCTTATGCAGTTGAGATAAGAACTGAAATACGCCCTGGTCTCCTGCAGTACCCTCAGGCTTACTAGGATTGGGAAATTCCAGCCTGGTAAATTCTAGTCAGACCAGTTGTCTGCTCTCAAACCCTGTTTCCTGTTAAGATGTTTATCAAGACAATGTGTGCACAGCGGGACATAGGCCCTCATCAGTAATTCTAATTTTGCCTTGCCTTGTGATCTTTATTGTCCTTTGAAGCATGCAATCCTTGTGCCCTACTCCCTATTCGTACACCCCCTCCCCTTTTAAAATCCCTAATAAAAACTTGCTGGTTTTGTGGCTTGAGGTAGCCATCACGGTCCTACCAATATGTGATGACACCCCCGAGGCCCAGCTGTAAAATTTCTCTCTTTGTACTCTTTCTCTCTATTTCTCAGACCAGCTGACACTTAGGGAAAATAGAAAAGAACCTACATTGAAATATTGGTGGCTGGTTCCTCTGATACAGACTAATACACCTTCTCATTTTGTTGATAGTTTCCTTTACTGCACAGAAATTTTTTTAGTTTGATGTGGTCCTACTTGTTTATTTTTGCTTTTGTTGCCTGTGCTTTTGGTGTTCTATTAAAAAAAAAATCATTGCCAAAACTAATGACATGGGGATTTTCCTCTATGTTGTCTTCTAGAAGTTTTACAGTTTCAGATTTCACATGTAAATTTTTAATTCATTTTGAATTATGTGTGTGGTATAATATAATGGTTTTTTATTACTTTTTCTGGCAGGTGGATAGTCAATTTGGTAAACACCATTTACTGAAGAAATTGCCCTTTCCCCATTGTGTATTCTTGACATTGCAAGGTTTCTGGGTCTTTTGTGTTTCTGTATATATTATAGGATTTTTTTTTCTATTTCTGTAAAAAATACTACTGGAATTTTATTAGGAATACCATTGAATCTATAGATTGCTTTGGTTAGTATGGACATTTTGACAACAGTGATTCTTCTGATGATATCTTTCTACTTATTTGTGTCTTCTTCAATTACTTTCATTAGTGTTTAATGGTTTTTAGTGTACAGATCTTTCTCCTCCTTAGTTAAATTTATTCCTAGGTATTTTATTTTTTTCTGCTGCGATTGTGAATGGGACTGCCTTCTTGATTTATTTGACACTTTTTTGTTAGTGCGTGGAAACACAAATGATTTCTGAATGTTGATGGATCTTGTGTCAGGACCAAGGCCAAACAGGGCTACAGCTGAGTCTACAGGAGGAATATGCCATTTTTACCCCTGTAGCTGGGACCATAGTTGGCAAATCTTCAAGAGTGCCAACTTGGTGCAGGCTTGGTGAGGAGGACTTCACCAAACAGTACTCTTCAACCATGGGCCCCACTGGGGTTTCACAACCTCCTACCTGGGTCCCAAACTCTCACAAAGACACTTGTACATACATGGCTGCCAGACTTTTGTTGCTGTGGAGGGTTATAAACAGATACCCTTTTATTCCTCCATCTTGCTAATTTTACATCCTCAGGGAATTTTACTTTTTCTGTGTTGTTTGAATTTTGACAGCAAGAATAAATTTATGTGTTATTTGAATAAAAAATTAAAATTCACTTGATTATATGTCTTTGTAAGTGGTTCAGTAATTTTTTCCCGCTGAAATATATATTCTTTTGCAAACATAATACTGTGTGAAATACTAGTTTATAGCGAGTCTTGAAATTGTGTCATGCACATACTACAATTTTGTTCTTTTAAAAAATTGTTTAGGCAATTGCATTTCTTCTGTATTTCCCTAACAATTACAGAATTACCTTTCTAAATTCTACAAAAGTCCTGTTGAAACTTTGTGTAAGATTCTAATGAACCATGTGTTGAGTGTTCAAGAAAGAAAACAACAACAGAAAGATTGTAATGAATATAGGTATATTTGTATAGCCTGGACACTATTACAACATTGAGTTTTCAAATGCATGAACAGACTATCTCACCATTTGTTCAGATTGTCTTAATTTCTTTAATCAGTATTTTGTATTTTTTTGCATATAGATCCTAAACATATTCTGTTAGATGATTAATAAGTGGGCATTTTAAGAACTTTTTGTGATGTTCTAAATTGTACTTATAAAATAGATTTCAGATTTTTCATTATTAGACTGTATAGAAATAAAATTCATTCTCTTCCATATCAGTTAATACCTTGTGACCTTACTAGCTCTAGTAGTTTTGTGTTATGGTTTTAAATTCTTTGAGAATTTTTACTTGATATTCATGGTATCTGTGAAGAGAACATGTTTTATTTCTTGTTTTCAATTTATATGCTTTTTATTTTTTTATTGCATTATGACACTGGCTGAGACCTCTAGTGTCATGTTGAGTTCTAGGGCAAAAGCAGACATTGCCTCTTTCATCATCTTTAAGAAAAGCATTTAATCTTTTTCACCATTAAATATGATGCAAAATGTTTTATTGCAGATGACCTTTATTAAGTTGAAGAAGTTTCCTTCTAATTTGCTGAGTGTTTTTGTCATAAACAAATATTGCATTTTCTCAAATGTTTTTTCTCCACTCATTAAGAGATCACTGTTTTTACTCTATTGATAACAGTGAAGGACATGGATGGATTTCTGATATTTTAATAAATATTTTATTATAGAAAAAATCCCTATTGGTCATGATGTATTATTTATTTTATATACTGATAGATCCTATTTTCTAAACTATTGTCAAGAATGTATCTATGCACACAGGGGTATAATGAACCATCGCTTTCTTTTATTAAAATGAAATTCTCTGGTTTTGGTAGCAGGGTTAATTATGTCTCCATAGAATAAATTTTTAAGGGTAGCCTCTTTAATATTCAGAGTTTTTGTAGAGTTGGTGTCATTTCTTTATTAAATGTGTGGTAGAATTCCACAATAAAACCAGCTGGGCTATAAGACGTGTTTGTGTATATGTGAGTGTGGCATAGTTTTAAAATTCAACTTAATTTAAAAAAATTAATATATATATATATGCACTGTAATGTATGTTATTTATTTGTTTCTACTTGAATAGTGTATGCTTTGTAAATAATTAGTCAGTTTCACCTACATTGTCAACCGTATTGGAATAAAGTTGTTTATAATATTCACATTATTTCTATTTTAAGTAGCTAAGCTGATCTTATTTGTTATATTGGTAATTCATGATTTCCTTTTAAAAAACTGATTAGTCTAGTATGAGTTTTATCAATTTCATTAATATTCTGAAAGAACCAATTTGTTTTACTGATTGTATCTATTTTTATATTTTTATATTTTATTGTTTTCCATTCTTATCTTTGTTACACCCTTTTGGGTTTACTTTGCTTTTTTTGTTTATTTTTTAGTTTTTATTCTACTTTTAAGAACTTTTTGCCAGGTAGATTATGCTTGTAATTCCAGCACTTTTGGAGGCCAAGGCAGGGGGATCACAGTAGTTTGAGACTAGCTTGTACAACATAGGAAGACCTCACCTCTACTAAAAAAAAAAAAAAAATAGCCAAGCATAGTGGTGCACATCTGTAGTCACAGCTAACACAGCTACTTGGGTGGCTGAGGTGGTAGGATCACCTGGCCCAGGAGATGGAGGCTGCAATTAACTGGGATCATATGACTGCACTCCAGCCTGCGTAAGTGAGACCCTGCCCCCCACCAAAAAACAAAACAAAACAAACGACCCCACAAAACTTTCTTCACTAATATTGATTGATATATAGGACTAGAATTTTCCTCTCAGAAATTTTATATGCTGTGTTTTCATTTCTTTTCCATTAAAGATGCATTCTAATCCTCCCTTTATTACTTCTTGCTCATGGGTTGTTTAGAAGTGTTAAAGTATTTGCTTGGAAGTGATGTAAGCAACATAGCATAGTAGAAAGCACTGGACCTTTCTTTTTCCATGAATGGACTGTTTCAGCAACAATTCATGCACAAATTGGCTCTGTGAAAAATCAGAACCTATTGAATGTTTTCTACACCCCAGGAGAATGTAAAAAAAAAAAAAAAAGACTTACCAAAGCTGATAGGGAGATTTGGGACACATTTTTTCCAGAGACCTTGCCCCTGGCACTGTGCCATATGATCAGAAAGAGACCCCCTTGTTCCAAGATTCACCCAGGAACAGGAAAGGATTGGTACATGTATCCAGTTCCCTAACTATTCTGAGGATTCTCCACAGAGAACTGCATCTTGTTTTGATAGTCGTGGGCCTCTGATGGGTCTGCATTAGTCTAGAAACTTTGGAAAGAATAGAGGTGGCAGCTTGGGCTGTTGGACACCATTGATCCTTGCCCTTGTTCAGCACATAGTAAATGGACCCAAAACTCCCAGCTATAAACTTCTCACTTTGGAGGAAAATAGTTGATTTATGTGTCCAGTGCCCCAACTTCCCTAGGGCTACTTAAAGAATTAACATTCATCTCACCTGTCTTGAAACTTTGACAGGCTGACATAGTCTAGCCCCCCAGGTGGTTACTAGGAGACAGGTGGTTACTAGGGCAAGTAGTTGCCAAATTTCCTAATGCCCCCAGATCAGCAGAGAGAGTGGACAAAGTCTATATCTGCCTGCTTATTCTTGGGGGAGGGACAGAGTTGGTAGAGACTCCAAAATCTCTGGCTAGGCTTATTTATGAAGGTCCTCTGTATGAGGCCAGTTTGTAAAGATGGGGAGAGGTGTGGAATTTGTCTAATATGCAGACACCAACCCAGAGATTTAAGAAAAAATAAAGATCCAGGCAAGGATGTTCCAAACAAGGAAACAAAATAAATCTCCAAATTGGCACTAACGAAGTAGCATTATATTATTTATCTGACCAATGATTAAAAATAACACAAAAAATCCAAAGACAGGGTACTTGCAATAATTCAGTCAGAGGAACACAAAGAAAAGTGAACAAAGGAAGAGAATTGTGGGACACCATCAAGAGGATATATGTAAGTATACTATGTTCTCTCTATATATAGGGAGTTTGCAAAGGAAAAGAGGGAAAGGACCAGAAAGCTTATTCAAAGAAATAATGGCTTAAAATGTCCCAAGTCTGAAGAAGAAAACAGACATTGTGAAACAAGGAATCGAAAGGACACCAAATAAAAAAAAAACACAAAGTAATTCACACCAAGGTGTATTATAATCAAATTGTGATTACAATAATTGTGATACAATCACAATTATAATCACATACAAAAAAACTACATAAGGCTCTCAATGTATTTCTTAGCAGAAACCTTGAGAACCAGAAGGGAGTAGAATGGAACATTCAGAGTGCTGAAAGAAAAAAAATGCCCACCAAGAATGTGATATCTGGCAGAACTTCTTCTGAAATATGGAGATACTTTCCCAAACAAAAACTGAAAACTTATCACCACAAGAACTGCCTTAGCGTAAATGCTAAAGAGAGTTATTCAAGTTCAAACAAAAATACAAAGCAGCAACGTAATTGCATAAGAAAGTATACAACTCACCGATAAAAATGAATATACAGAATAATATGGAACACTGCATCATCACCATGATGATAATGGGTAATTCAGTTTTAATTCTAGTATAAAAGATAAAAAGTATTAAAATGACTAAAAATAGATACACAATATAAAGAAATGTAAAATGCAAAGCAGTACCACAAAGTGGAGAGAAGTTAAAGTGTAGAGATTTTGTATGTGATTGAGGTTAAGTTTTTATCAGCTTAAAATAGACTGTTACAACTACAAGCTATTTTACATAATCTCTAAGGCAAACAGAAAAATACCTATAAAATTAACACAAAAGAATCATATGAAATATTTTAAAACAAAGAATTAGCAATACACAAAAGAGGACAGCAAGAGAGAAAATTACAGACAAAACAACTACAAGAATAACTTAGAATAACTAATAAAATGGCAATAGTAAATCCTTTTATATTACTAATTGCATTAAATGTAAATGGATTAAACCCTTCATTCAAAAGACATAGAGTAACTGGATTGAGAAAAAAAAAAAAGCACCTAACTACATGCTCACTCACTACAAGGAACTCACTATAGATTTAAGGGCATACATAGGCTGAAAGTTAATTTATACAAATGGTAACCAAATTAGAGCAGGGATAAACATATTTACATTAGGGAAAATACACTTTTATTCAAAAACTATCACAAGAGACAAAGAAAGACCTTTTATAATAAAAAATGTACTAATCTACCACGAAGATATCACAATTATAGATACACCCAAATTCAGAGATGTAAATATATAAAGCAAACATTGCAAGATATGAAGGGAGAAAAATACAGCAATACATTAATAGGATGAGATGTCAATTCCCCACTTCCAACAATGAGAATACCATCAGTACGGAAGAACAATAAAGAATCAGAGGACTTGAATAGCACTATTCACTAAATGTACACAACAGACAGACATATGTAGAACATTTTAATAAACAACAACAAAATACATATTCTTCTCAAGCGCACATGGATCTTTCTCCAGAATAGATCATGAGTTAAACACAAAACAAATCTTACATATTTTAAGAAGATTAAAATCATAGCAGGTATCTTTTCTGACCACAATGGAATAAAACTAAAAACTGAGAGCAGAAAGATAACTAAAAATTCACAAGTATGTGGGAAATAAACTCTAGAATTATCATTGTGTCAAAAAATAAAAAGGAAACTGGAAAATATCCTGAGACTTATAAAAAGAAAAACAGATGTCAAAACCTACAAGATGTAGCAAAAGCAGTTTTAAGAGAAAAATTAATAGTTATAAATGCCTACATTAAAAATAAATAACAATGTTAAATAAACAACTTCAATTCACTCTTAAAGGAACTAGAAAAAGAACAAACTAAGGACAAAGTTAGCAGAAGGAAGAAAATAGGAAAATGTAGAACAAAAATGAATAAAATAAAAATAGAAAAATAGTGAGAAAAACCAATAATGCTGAGTTTTTTTCTGAAAATATAGTTTGCAAAATGTTAACTAGACTAAGAAAATAGAGAAGATTCAGTAAGATCAGAAGTAACACAAGTGACATTACAACTGATGCCACAGAAATAAAAATGATTACAAGATACTATTATGCTACTACATAAGATACCACTATCCAATAGGCTGGATAACCTAGAAAGAAGGGGTAAATTTCTAGAAACATATAAATTACCAAGACCAAATAATGAAGAAACAGAAAATCTAAACAGACCTTTAATTAGTAGTAAAATTGGATCAGTATTCAGAAACCTTCCAACAATAAAAAAAAACAGGACCAGATGGCTTCAATGGTGAATTCTACCACACTTTAAAAATAATTAACACCAACATTTTTCAAATTGTTTCAAAAATTGAGGAAGAAAGAATACATCAAAATTTATGTTATGAGGCCAATATTACCCTGATACCAAAGTCACACAAAAATACCACAAGAAAAGAAAACTATAGGGCAATATCTCTAATAAATACAGAAGCAAAAATCAACAATAAAATACTACCGAGCTGAATTTAAGAGTACATTTAAAGGATGTGCTATATCATAACCTATATCATTGTCTGTATCACAACCAAGAGGGATTTACCTCTGGCATGTAAACATGGTTCAACATATGAAAATCAATTAATGTGATACACTACATTAACAGAATAAAGGATAAAATAAAAATTACATGATCATCTCAAGAGTATTTTACAAAATTTCATGATAAAAACAATCAATACGTCAAAACAGAAGGAAATTATCTCAGCATAATAAAGGCCATATATGAAAAGCGATACCTAACATCATACTCAGTGGTTAAATCTGAAAGCTTTCAAAGCTTTGGATGCCCACTCTCAAAACTTCTAAGCAAGATGTTACTGTAAATCTTAGATAGAGCAATTAGGCTAGAAAAGGAAATGAAAAGCATTCAAATTGGAAAGGTATATTAGGCCATTCTTGTATTACTAGAAAGAAATATGTGAGGCTGGGTAATCTATAAAGAAAAGAAATTTCATTGCCTCATCATTCAGCAAGCTGTACAAGCATCGCACCAGCATCTGCTTGGCTTCTGGGGAGGCTTCAGGGGGCTTTTACTCATGGCAGAAGACAAAGCAGGAACAGGCAAATCACATAGTGAAAGCAGGAGTGTGGGGGAAGTGCCACACACTTTTAAGGAACCAGATCAGTGAGAACTCACTAACATGACGATGGCACCAAGATGATGGTGCTAAAACATTCATGAATAGTACACTCCCATAATCTAATCACCTTCTATCAGGCTCCACCTCCAAGAGATTACATTTCAACATGAGATTTGGGTGAAGAAAAATACACAAACTATATAATTCTGTTTTAGCTCCACTAACAAAATCTCATTTCCTTCTCACACTGCAAAATACAATCATGCCTTCCAACAGTTTCCCAAGGTATTAACTTATTCCAGCATCAACTCAATCAAAAGTTCCAAGTCCAAAGTATTATTGGAAGATGCATTTTGTTCACCTGTGAGCCTGAAAAATCAAAACAAGGCATTTGCTTTCAAGATACAATGGAAATACAGGCATTGGATAAACATTCCCTATCTAAAAGGGAAAAATCAGCCAAAAGAAAAAGGCTACAAACCCCATGCAAGTTAAAAACCAAGCAGAAAAATCACTCAATTTTAAAGCTCCAAAATAGTTTTTTTTTTTTTTTTTTTTTTTTTTTGACTACATGTTCCACATCTAGGGAGCACTGGTCCAAGGGCTGGGCTCTCAAGGCCTTGGGCAGCTCTGCCCCTATGGCTTTGCAGGGTTCAGACTACATGGATGCTCTTACAGGTTGTTGAGTGTGTGTAACTTTTCTAGGCACAGGGTGCAAGCTGCCAGTGCGCCTACTATTCTGGAGTCTAGAGGACTGTGGCCCCCTTCCCACAGCTCCAGTAGGCAGTGTAACAGTGGGGACTCTTGGGCTACCAAACCCACATTGTCCCTCTGCACTGTTCTAGTAGAGGTTCTTTGTGGGGGCTTCACCACTTTTGGCAAGCTTCTGCCTGGTGATACAGGCTTTCTCATTCATCTTCTGAAATACAGGCAGAGGCTGCCAAGTCTTCTTCACTCTAGTACTCTGCAAGCCTACAGGCTTAGCACAACATGTAAGCCTCCAAGCCTTACAACTTGCATCCTCTGAAGAAGTGGTCTGAGCTGCATCTGGGACCCTTTGAGCCAAGGCTAGAGCTGGAGTGGCCAGGATGTGGGGAGCAGTGTCCCGAGGCTGCACAGTGCAGTGAGGCTGGGCCTGGCTCATGAAACCATTCAGTCCTTCTGTGCCCCAACATTTGTGACCAACGGGGCTGCCAAGAAGGTTTCTGAAATGCCTTCAAGGTCTTTTTCCCGTTGTGTTTGCTATTAGCACTTGGCTCTTTTTCAGTTATGCAAATCTCTCTAGCAAGTAGTTGCTTCACAGCCTGCTTGAATTCCTCTCCCCAAAATGGTTTTCGTTTCTCTACCACATGGCCAGTTTGGAAATTTTCCAAACTTTTACAATTTTAGTGATTGGTCTGTTTCCTATTTAAATATAGCTTTCAACCTTTAGGTCTACGTCTACGTCTCCTATGTCTGAGCATAGGCTGTTAGAAGCAGCCATTCAACATATTGAACACTTTGCTTATTAGAAATTTCTTCCGCCAGATACACTAAATCATTACTCTCAAGTTCAAACTTCCACTGATCCCTAGCATATGAACACAATTCAGTCAAGCTCTTTGCTAAGGGATTACACATGTGACCTTTACTCCAGTTCCCAAGAAGTTCCTCATTTCCATCTGAGATCACATTAGCTTCAGTTCTGTTATCCATGTCACTGTTAGCATTTTGGTCACAACCATTTAACCAGTCTCTAGAAAATTCCAAACTCTCCCTCTTATTCCTGTCTTCTTCAGAGCCCTCCAAACTTTTCCAACCTCTGCCCATTACCCAGTTCCAAATCTGTTTCCACATCTTCAGGTATCTTTATAGCAATGCCTGATCCTCAGTACCAATATTCTGTATTAGGCCGTTTTTGCTTTGCTGGAAGGAAAATACCTGAGGCTGGGTAATTTATTTTTTTTTAAATGGTTTAATTGGCTCATTATTCTGCAGGCTCTACAAAGTTGGTGCCACCATCTGCTAGGCTTCTGGGGAGACCTCAAGGAGCTTTTACTCACGGCAGAAGGCAAAGTGGAAGCAGGCATGTCATATGGTGAAAGCAGGAACAGAGAGGGGAAAAGGTGTTACATACTTTTAAAGAACCAGATGCTGCAAAAACTCTCTCACTATCATGAGGACAGTAGCTAGGGGATAGCACTAAACTATTCATGAAAAATACACAGACATAATCTAATTACTTCCCATCAGATCCCACCTCCAACACTGGGGATTACATTTCAACATGAGACTTCGATGGGGACAAATATCCAAATATATCAATATAACAAAATAAAATTATCCCTGTGTGCAGATGCCATAATCTCATATATAGAAAATTCTAAGAACTCTATTAAAAATTTTTAGAACTAATAAATGAATTCAGTAATATTTTACAGTACAAAATCAACATAGAAAATTTGTTGCGCTTCTGTTCTTTAATAACAAACCATTCAAGAGAATTTTAGAAAAGCAATCCCTTTTAAAATAGCATCAAAAAGAATAAAATACTTAGACATAAACTTTAAGTAGGTGAAAGACTTGTATACTTAAAACAACAAAACATTAAAGAATATAAACAAGGCACAAGCAAATGAAACACATCCTGTGTTCATAGATTGTAAGACTTAAAATGTCCTCACTACTCAGATCCATAAATTCAATGCTATCCCAAACAAAATCCCAATAATATTTTTTTACAGAAATAAAAAAATTCTAAAATTTATATGGGACCACAAAAGACTGAATAGTCAAATCAATCTTGAGAAGGAAGAACGAAGATGAGGCTTTGTTTCTTCTCCTGATTTCAAAACCTATTACAAAGCTTCAGTAGTTAAAAGTACTAGGTACTGTCATAAAGACTAGATGTAAATAGCTATGAAACAGGATATGACGCCCACAAATAAATTCACACGTCAACTGATTATCAACAAGAATGTCAATAATATGTAATGGCAAAAAATAGAGTCTCTATAACAAGAGATAGGCTTGGAAAACTGGATATTCACATGCCAAAAAATCAAACTGGTCCTGTATCTTCTACCATACTCTAAGAGAAACTCAAAGTAAGTTAACAATGTACATATAAGACCTAAAACCGTAACACTCTTAGAAGAAAACATAGGGTAAAATCTTCATGAAATTGGTCTTGACAATGATTTCAAGAATATGACACCAAAAGCACTGGCAACAAAAACAAAAATAAGCAAGTTTATGAGACTACGTCAAGTTCAAAGGCTTTATAAAAGGAAACAATGAAAAAAATGAAAAGGCAATTAATGTACAGGAAGAAAATACTTGCAAACCATATGTATGATAAGTGCTTAATATTCAAAATATAGGATGGACTCATAAAACAATAGTAAAAAATATAACTATTTTAAAAACAGGACAAGAACTTGAATAGACATTTCTTCAAGGCAGACATACAAATGTCCAATGGGCATATAAAAAATGCTCAACATAACTAATCATCATGGAAATGCCAATCAAAATCACAATGAAATATCACTTCACACCTGTCAGGATGAATATTATTTTTAGAATATGAGAAGAGTTCTCAAAGATTTGGAAAGATTTGAACCCTTGCACTCCTGTTGGGAATGCAAAATGATGCAGCTACTAGGAAAAACAGTATGGTATTTCGTAAAAATTTTTAATGCAGCTGCCACATGATTCAGCAATCCCACTTCCAGGTATATATAAAAATTTGAAATAAATATATTGAAGTAATATTACCATTCCTTTGTTAATTGCAGCACTATTTTCAATAGTCAAGATGTGGAAACAACCTGAATGTTCATTGAAAGGTGACTGAATAAATAAAATGTAGTATATAGACATACAATGAAATATGTATCAGTCTTAAAAAGAAGGACATTGTACAATATGTGATTAAGTAAATCTTGAGGGCATTAAGCTAAGTGAAATAAGGTAGTCACAGAAAGACAAATACTAAATGGTTTCACTTATATGAGATATCAAAAATAGTTAAATTCATAGAATCAAAGAGTGAAATGATGCTTTCCAGGGCTGGGGAGATGGAGAAATGGGGAGTAGCTAACCAATTGGCATAAAGATTTAATCAAGCAAGATAAGCTCTAAAGTTCTGTTGTACAACATTATACCTAGAGTCAACAATCATGATTATGAACTTAAGTATCTTAAGAGGGTAGCTCTCACGTTGTGTCCCTACTATAATAAAAATAAAATAAAATAAAACAAAACAAAATAAAATAAAATAAAATAAAATATGGCCACCAATATGGTCTACCTTGGTTTATGTTCCATACACATTTGTAAAGAATGTGTATTCTGTTGCATTTGTGTGGATGGTATACAGATGCCAATTAGGACAAGTTGGTTTATCAAATTGTGAAAATCATCTATGTATTTAATAACTTTCTTCTTTTTGTGTTAATTATTGAAAGGAATGTTAAAGTATTCGACGATTTTTCTAGATGTTTATTTTTTTAAGATTTCTCAAATATTTTATTTATTTTGATACTCTGTAATTAGGGGCAAAAATATTTAGAAATTCTGTTTTCCTTGATTAATTGTCTCTTTATCATTTTGAAATAATCTTCTTAATTCCCTGGCAATATTCACTGTTCTAAAATGTACTTTTATAATAAAATGGCTACTCTGGTTTATTTTGGTTAATATTAGCCTGGCATTTTTTTTTGTCTTTGGTTTTAAATTACATATATCTTTATATTTAAAGTGTATTTTCATAATAAGCATATACTTAAGTCTTTTCTTAATCCAATCTGACAATCTGTGTCTTTAAATCTTGGTATTTGGAATATTTATATTTTATATAATTATTGATATCATTTGGTTTAAATTTATCATTTTGCTATTTAATTTCTATTTGTAACATTTACTCTTTTTCTTCTTTTTCTTATACTTGTGGATGAATTGGGTATTCTTTATAATTTCGTTTTATATTCCTTATAGCTGTATTGGCTGTAGTTCTTTTATTTTAAAGTGCTTTAATAAGAGTTTGTTGTACACATTTCTATTTTATCAATTTACCTTCCAATTAAAATATACCACTTAATGTTTATTGTAAAAATATTGTTAGTATGTTTCCACTTTCCCTCGTTTTGCCTTTGAGATATTATTGTCACACAATTTACATCTATTTTATTATTAATAACAGTGTATGTCATTATTACTTTTGCTATAAATAGTCAATCATTTTATAATAATTCTGGAAATGAAAAAAGTACATGGCTTATTTATTTAGAATTTTTAAATTTTAGAGCTCCACATTCCTTTTGGTGTATCTAATTTTACATCTGGTATCCTTTTTCTTCTGGCTAGAAGAGTATAATGTTTTTGTATTGAAAGTTTGTTGTTGTAAATTATTTTTTATTTGTATTTTCCAATATTCTTTATTTTTTCTTGTCTTTGTAAGATTTTTGTCAGGATGTAGATTTATAGGTTGACGGTTGTATTTTATCAATACTTTAAAGATATTGCTTCGGTGTTGCCTGGATTTCATTTTTCCAATGAGAAGTGTGATATCATTTTTATCTTTGTCGTCTTGTACACAATGTGAGTTTCTTTCATTAGATACTTTTAAGATTTTTTCTTTATTAAAATTTTTTAACAATTTGATTATGATGTTATTTGGTGTAGTTTTGTTTATATTTCTTTTGCTTGGGGTTCTTTAAGTTTGCTGGATCTGTGGGTTCGTAGCTTTTATTAAAATAGAGATATTTATCATTTATTTATACTATTATATCATTTTGGGAGGGTTTCTTTTTTATAATTTTGTTATTTTAAATATTTGTATGTACACAGTAGTTGTATATATTTATGGGATACCTGAGATATTTTGATACAGTCATGCCTTGTAAAATAAGCATATGTAAGAGTTGGGTATCCATCCCCTCAAGCATTATTCCTTTGAGTCACAAACAATTCAATTATGCTCTGAATTATTTTAATATGTACAATTAAGTTATTGTTGAGTATAGTCACCTTGTTGTGCTA
This sequence comes from Homo sapiens, assembly GCF_000001405.40. Lineage (NCBI taxonomy): Eukaryota > Metazoa > Chordata > Mammalia > Primates > Hominidae > Homo > Homo sapiens. Next base: position 121,953,972 of record NC_000023.11, read on the forward strand.
TCAAAGAGTAAGTCTTATTTATTCTTACTAACTATTGTTTATGTACCCAGTAACCATGTCCACCTTCCCCTCAGCCACCTGCTACACTTACTGACCTCTGGTAACCATACTTCTACTCTCTATGTCCATGAGTTGAATTGTTTTAATTTTTAGATCCGACAAATAATTGAGAACATGCGACGTTTATCTTTCCTTGCCTGGATTATTTGATTTAACATAATCATCTTCAGTTCCATCTATGTTGTTGCAAACAACTGGATCTCATTTTTTATGGCTGAATAGTACTCCGCTGTGTATATGTACCACATTTTCTTTATCCATTCATCTGTTGATGGACACTTAAGTTGCTTCTAAATATTACCTATTGTGAGCAGTGCAGCAACAAACATAGGAGTGCAGATATTGCTTTTATATACTGATTTTCTTTCTTTTGAATATATACCCAGTGGTGGGATTGCTGGATCATATGATAGGTCAATGTTTAGTTTTTTGAGGAACCTGCCAACTCTTCCCTGTGGTGGTTCTACTAATTTACATTCCCACTAACAGTGTACCAGAAATCTTCTTTCTCCATTCCAGAATTTGTTATTGCCTGTCTTTTAGATATAAGCCATTTTAACTGGGGCAAGATGATATCTCATTGTAGTTTTGATGTGCATTCTATTATATCAGTTATTTATTTATTTTCTTTTTTCTTTCCTTCAATGACTTCAATGACACGTACATCAGATAAATCAAATTTGTCTCATAATTCAGTGATGCTCCACGCATTTTAAAATTACTTTTCTGTTTGTGTTTCATTTTCTCATTTCTATTACTTTAACTTCAAGTACACTATCTTTTATTCTGCAATGTCTAACCTGCTGTTAATCCATTCTTAAGAATTTATCTTCTCAGACTTCATAATGTTCATTTCTATAATTTCAATTGGTGTTCTTTTTATATAATTTACATAATTTTTAATTTTTTTTTTACTCTCTATATTTTAAAAGGTATAGATATAATTATACTGACTGGTTTAATGTCCCTATCTACTAATTCTATCATCTTCAGATTATCTGTCAAATTATTCTGCTTCTTTGAATACCTGGTAATTTTGGGTTGGATGCCATACATTGTAAATCTTGGTTTCTTCCATGCTGAACATCATTTCTTTTAAAAAATATTCCTGAAATTCTTTGTGAGACACAATTACATTTCTTGGAGACAGTTTGATTATTTTGTGAAGAACTGAAGGAACAATGCCTTTGTCCTGAAATTGGTTATATTTTTCTTTGTGTCTTAGTCTTTTTGTTTCTTATTGTCTTCATAATTATGTGTGATGTCTGTGCTCTGCTTTGTACTTCCCGCATTTTTTTCTATTACTCATAGAACCTCTTGCTGTGGTATTGATTATAAATTTCACAAACACCAACCTAGCAATCTCATTTAAAATAGAAAAGTTGCTTCATTCTGTGTATTTTTATCAACCACAGAAAGGATTCTGATTTGCCTTCTTAAGGGATGTAACCGTTATTTGAAACAACCATTATTGCTAGGAATTAAGTGTTATGTTTAGACTGGCCTATTCAGAAGAAAGATGATAGGAAATAGTACTGAGTACACATACAACAAAACAATAGCTTCTTAAATGTACTACATCAGAGTAATATTATTATGCTCATATATTGCTGGAAGGTAATTAAGTTATAAGCTTCCTGGAAATAAACTTTTAAATATGTTTCAAAAACCTTAAAATTGTTGATATTTATGGCCTAGCAATTCCATTTCTGGGAATTGACATTACAGAAATATTGAGACAGACATATCAATGTTTACATAAAAGTATATTTATTATAACAGATAACAGAAAAATTCAAAACATTTTTAATGCCCATTTTTAGGACAATGTTTAAATAAAATATGGGATATCTATCTAACAGAATATAATGTATTATTAAAGTATTGTTTAAAAATATTTGCATTTGATCACTTTTTATTTACTCATATTATGTTGAAATTAGAATTTCAATAGTAAAATTGTATCTGCACATGATAACTTCAGCGATTGTAATATATATGTGTGTGGTGTATGTGCACACATTAGAAAAATCACCTTCAGGAACTGTCCAGATTAAAATACACTGACAAATTAACAGTAAATGTCACATTACAATAGACTTTTGGGGGATTATTTTTTCTTATAGTACTTTGCAATTTCCAAATTTTCGACAATGAACATGTTACCTTTAAAGTCCTTTTTTCTAATGTATATGAAAAATATTTAGAACTCAGTAATTATTTATATTGCTAAGAACAGAGGCCAAAATGTAGAAGACATTCATCCTCTTAGCAACATTGACTGGTTCAGGCGTGAATAAATCACACAAGCAGGCTCAATAAGACTTTTTCCCTGGCATTGACACACGGCCTATAGAACTTCATTCTATTCAGGTCTGTTCCTGACCAACATTTCTGTACATGTTTGTCACTGGTCACAGAGAAGACTTGGAGAAAATTGAATTGGTTCAGCATAATCTTTCTCCACAGTTAGAACTTTACATGTCAAAGATTATTTTAGGCTTATATTATTTTGAAGAATATAACTATATATTTATTTAGTAACTTTCTTCATGCAACTCAAATTGTATGAATTACTTTATTCTTCATTTTTTAAAAAACTTTCTAACATACACAAATGTGAAGGATAGTGAAATTAGCTTCCAGATATCCAATATCCCAATGGTAGAATTTTCAAGCTTAGATGCTCATGTTTCATCTACTCCTCTTCCTTATTTTTGAAAAATATGTTAAAGAAAATCCAAGACATTCTGAAGTTTCATTCCAGTATACTTCAGTGTGCATCTCAAAAGCCATGAATATTTATTTACATAAACACAATGCCATTAGCACATATTTGAAGTTTGATAAAAAACTATTTTGTGCTCGGGGGACTGACATAAAATAATTAGCACCCTCAGAAAGGGTTAAACAACTTTAACAGAACTATTTACAAATACATCGGTGAAAATTAGGAAAACCAACAAGGGAGAGGGCAGTATTGTGGGACAAACAGCATCAAGAGCCATTAACACTAATATGACTAAAGAACAAAGGAGAGATAGGTAATTAACAAACTCTTGAGGCTCTACTGTGAAAGGAAAATAAATCTTGGGGCCCCAAAATCACTAAGGTGAAGGGAAAAGTCAAGCTGGGAACTGCTTAGGATAAATATGCCTCCCATTCTGTTTAAAGTTACCCCTCTACTCACTGAGATAAATGCATATCTATCTGATTGCCTCCTTTGGAGAGGGAATCAGAAACTCGAAAGAATGCAACTATTTGTGTCTTATCTACCTATGACCTGGAAGCCACATCCCTGCTTCGAGTCATCCCACCTTTGTTTTGAGTTGTCCTGCCTTTCCAGACTGAACCAATGTTCATATGTTGATTGATGCCTCATGTCTCCCTCACATGTATAAAACCAAACTGTGCTCTGACCACCTTGGGCACATGTTGTCAAGACCTCCTGAGGCTGTCTCAGTGGTGCATGTCCTCACACTTGGCAAAATAAACTTTCTAAATTAGCTGAGACTTGTCTCAGATAGTTGGAGTTCACATTTTTGTAACCACGGAGGGATTCTGAGTGGATATTTCCCTGACATTTGACAAATCTCCTATCAGTGCTTGGTAGAGCATGAGCTAACTTTATGGCTGAAACCAATAGGACAATTTGTTCAGGTCTGGGGGGAGGTGCAGCTCATCCAGAGAATCCCTAATCTCCCAGAATTTGGTTGAGATATAAAGTTTATTTTGCTCTTCAACTTCCCTTTTTCTTTTTCTTTTTTTTTTTTTTTTTTTGGAGTTTTACTTGCTTCCAACAAGGAAGACAAGATTTCCTGCTTCCATGACAATAGAAGGCAGATAACCCCTTTATGGAGTTTGAGCTTGCTCCCAGCAGAGGATGAGTTGAGTTTTTTCCCTGCTGCTAGATGGTAGAGGACAGTATTCAGCCTGAGACCCATCCCTAGGTAAGTAGCTAAATTGAAGTTTTTGTCTTGGTGAAGTTTAACAACCAGCTGGTCTTAACTTCTCCTTACCATTAGAACACTCAGCCATAACATTGTTGGGGTTTTTGTCATTTGTTCTGGTCTTTCTCCCATCATATTCGATCAACTTTAACTGACTTGGTCAAATCTGAGTGAGAATTCCAAATTATGGGTAACAAAGCCTGTCTAATTTGACTAAAATTCCTCACAGTGGCTGAAGGAAAAAACAAACAAACAAACAAAAAACCCTAAAAACCCACGTGCTTGGTTTCTGTGTTTGCTTCCTGTCTTAAAAAAAAATGTTCTTTTGTTTACTTATCTTCCACTCTTATACCTCCTTCCCCCTTTGCCATCTGGAGTACCAAAAAATCTAGAGAAGGCTTCCAATGACTTGAACCCCTTTAAAAAATTCAGAACAAAGACACCACTCACCCCTTTTGGGATGTTCTGTTTGCTTTGCGGACTTTTAAGAGTCTTGGGAAGATTATTCTTAGGTCTAAAGCTCTGCTTTCCTGTATTGCATAATGTGATCTTTTTGGCTTTGGAGCTACCAGAGATTACCTTGTACTGTGAGAGTACTTAACCTTGGCATGTATAATGGCAGACAAGAGCTACAAACTTAGGGGTGGCTGAGCACAGTTTACAGGAAGTGGTCTTGGCTGTTGTTGTCATTCTCCTAGGAAGTCTTCATTTAAGGATCCTAATTCTAGTTTGGACATGCATTCTAAAGGGTCTTTTCTATTGCTTTTTTTACCAAAATTAATCTCAATTCAGCTTGTCGGTGCACATTTGTGTGAGGAACTGAATTGTTTTCATAGGTAAATGAGAGATTGAGTTTTCTCATCTCCGAAGAGAAAGGGCATTTTGCTTCTCTTAGCTGAAAGGCATCACTGGGTGACTGGGAGCTTCATGGAAACATCTGGGGGATTCACCCCCCAGAAAGTGCAGTGGCCCTACAGGGAAATCCCCCAAAAAATTAATTAAAAAAAACTCATCCTGGAAATGCATAGAAAGGCTGATGATCCAGCATTTAGAGCCCTCTCAGAGGTCATAGACTTCTTGAGAGAGAAACTGATAAACCTAAAAGGGTGGAAATGACTCAGTGGTGACACACTGTAGCATCCTGCCCACAAGCAACACACAAAAGTTCACTACACAAAAACCCTAGGCCACAGCTGAGCTCCTCCTTTTAATGAAAAATGGGAAACAAATAATCTAAGAATAAAGATAAAACAAAGAAAATGACCCCCTTTCAAGCATTCCATAGGTTGTAATGATGTAAAATGTAATATGGTCTTTGTGCACATTTACATTAAGGAAAAAGAACCCTAAGGTCGACCTGCAAACTACAGAGTTCCCAAGTTCTCTTTTTCTCTATTTTCTTTTCTGCCTGCTTTAAATCTGCTGTTATTTTTCTATTAAGATAAGAATCACTGTTTGGATTCAACAGGGACTTTTGCAAACTGGTGAATTTGTATTTATCTCATGGCTAAACTTCTGAAGTAAATGATATAGGATCTTTGTGTGTGTATGTATATATATGTGTGTGTATATATTTAAAAGGCCTTCATAATTTCTATATTTTATGTTTAATTGGCAATTAAATCATTTTTAATTTCCCTCTAGCACACCAGACTTGTTCTCTCCATAGCTTATGATGCAAATTTTGCTATTTGATTTTCACACGAGTTGTTTCCCTTAATATGCAAATTTAAGGCTATTCAGCTCACAACTGCCTAGGGTTGTAAAACAGGTTATTAAGAATTTAAAAATCTAAGATAAGCAAAAAATGGTCTTTATGAATCCATAAGATGTACTTCTGTCAGAATGCCTAATACATCTATGTAATTATGTGTTGTGTACACAATGTTTTACTACCACAAATATATAAAAGAGCTCTAATTAATTGGCTTAAGAAAATAAAAACAATTGAATCAAATACTTCATCAGGAAAAAATTGTCAAATGCTTTTTTCAAGTTTACATAATTTAAGTAAAATCTTTAATAAATAAACTAGCTTGGTGAAGTGATGTTAGAAATGTCTTAAGAACTGCACGTATACATTTTGTTTGCATATATTAATCAAGAAATTTTATACTTATCCTTACCAAATACTATAAGGTGTCAAAATTTGGCATAGAAATTACAAAACTATAAAACCAATCCAAGACAGAATGATCTTTGCTTATGTAATTTTTAATAAATAAGACATTGATATTGGTTTAATGAAAATAGTTACATCTTGAATTTAGTAAGATTATGATAACTTCTAATTTTGTGGCTTAGGTGGTCTAGTCCACAGACAGTAAGGTTTGCTTTGGAAAAAGACTGTTACAGTCTTTGCTTCAAAGCTAAACTATAAACTGAGTTTCTCCCAAAATTAGTTCAGCCTATGCCTAGGAATGAACAAGGACAGCTTGAAAGTTAGAAGCAAGATGGAGACAGTTCAGTCTTAGTTATAACTTTGCAATGGCAGTTCCATAACTTTAAATAATGACTATTGCAGTTTTCATGAATAATCTAGGTAAACAATTAAAATAATTAGGTAAATGTAATAGGATAAATACTTGTAGACAAACTCATTCCAATTTTGAATCTAATGTTAAATTAAATTAAATAATAAATAGTTCATTATTTGGGTATTTTCCAGTAAAATTCTACTGTAGGAAAACATTCTTTCTTATAAAAAGTATGTCCTTTTTAAAAATATGAACAATTTTTTTTCTAATTCAAAGTTTATTTAAAGTCTATGTACAAAACAAAGTAAAAGGAACCAGGAAATAAGACAGATATAAAGAAATTCTTATAAATAAAGAGTTTTTTAAAATAAGAAAGCTTAAAGAGAAATAAGTTTATATGAGAAAAAATATTGTACGGTACATTTAGTCCTAGAATAAAAATGACTGGTTGTTTCTGATAGAGGGATGTTCTGGACAAACAAGAAAATCCAAGCATGTCATGAACAGTTGGTGTAAGTCATAATAAGAGGATTTATAAAAGGAAAAATACTTTTATATGATCAAGTTGTCTATAATTAAGGAAAATTTATAATGGTCTTTCTAGAGATTGGGATCGATGTAAAAACACTTATACATTGATTTTCTAAGGTATTAATTTACTCTTAATAAATTATAAGAGGTTTTAATTATTTTAACCCAAAGTTCAACTTTTATTGCATCTCACTGTTTTTGGTTTTCTCCTCCCTCTTAAAGAGTGCTAAATAGTAATGCTCTCCTTCAACTCATTTTCAGCTCATATAAGTTTTTTTTCCTCAAGTTCTGTTTATTGTAGCCTGAGGCTAAAAATATTTTCTAAAAGATCTAAAGGAAATGTTTTCTTCCAACATAATATTCTGTGCAGTGCAGAAAGTCTTTTCTTTTTCATTTTGGCCTAACAGATTTTATGGTTTATCAAAACAATTCCTATGCCATTAAGTTTTGGCTCACTTAGGAGAAAAGCTGAGATGATTTTTTTTAATTAAGGTTATTACCTCCGTGTATCTTTCTGTATGTTCTTTTAAAGTACTTGTGACATTGAGTTACAGGGCTTTGACTCCCGGGCCTAAAAATGACATCAAGTCCTGCTAAATATTAAACACTGACAGCAACTAAAGCCTCTTCTTCAGGCCCAGTAGAAGATGCCAATCAAAATAAACTGCATTCCTGAAACATAGGGCCAGAAATTAAAGTTATTCAACTCCTCAAGGCCCAGGGACTATTGCAAAAGAGGTGGGCATGTGAGATTGTAAGGGCCGATTTAGTTTCTCTATAAATTAATCATTAACACCAAAAGCACACTGAAGCAACATCAGCATATGGGCCCCTGTGTCAGATTAACAAAGTTTTCTTGAAGCAGTAACCAACTTCTTAATAAAGGATACAAAGTTTATAAAAGGCTTATGGAAGTTATATTGTAACTGCCCAATGGGTTCACCTTGCCCACTGCCTAGACAGAGCCAATTTATCAAGATGGGAATTGCAATAGAGAAACAGTAATTCATGCAGAGCCAGCTGTGTGGGAGACTGAAGTTTTATGATTACTTAAGTCAGTCTCTCCAAGTATTTGTGGAGCAGAATTTTTAAGGATAATTTGGTGAATATGGGGGAGGCCAATAAATTAAAAGTGCTGAGGGGTTGGGTTGGAAATGAAATCATGGAAAGTTGACGCTGTCCTCTTGCACTGAGTCAGTTCCTGGGTGGGGGCCCCACGATCAGATTCACCAGTTTATCAATCTGTGTGGTGCCAACTGATCCATCAAGTTCAGGTCTGTAAAATATCTCAAGCACTGATCTTAGGAGGAGTTTAGGGAGGGTCAGAACTTCCAGCCTCCAGCTGCATGGCTCCTAAACCATAATTTCTAATCTTGTGGCTAATTTGTTAGTCCCATAAAGGCAGTCTATTCCCCAGGCAAAAAGGAGGTTCATTTTGGGAAAGGACTGCTATCATCTTTCTTTTAAACTATAAACTATGAACTAAGTTCTTCCCAAAGTTAGCTCAGCCTATGCTCAGGAAGGAACAAGGACAGCTTAAAGGTTAGAAGCAAGATGGAGTCAGTTAGGATAGATCTCTTTCACTGTGTCAGTCATAATTTTGCAAAGGTAGTTTCAATATCTTATGGTCAAGATTAAAATTTTATAGATTGTTTATAAAATTTTGAAAAACAAATTTAATTGGCTTTATGCTGTCTTTATTGGGGCTTATTGTATAGAAAATTAAGTCTCCTCTCAAAGAATGAAGATTTTTGCCTTTTTTTTTTTAAATCCTCGAGTTATGACTTTGGTCAAATGAATAACTTATTTTATAATGACCTGTGATATCAAGTGTTTTAAACCTTTGATATTTGATAACCTTTCAAAAATCAAATTAGAAATTGTGTCTTTTTCTGATCTAGTTAATCATTTAAGATATTAGTTTCCCTAAATTCAAAACATGACATAATTTGGCTTATTTGGTATAAAATTATACAGTAAGCACTGTCAAATATGAAATGGTGTTTGGTTTTCTTTGGGTTGTATTTGTATAAATGTATTATTGATATGTGTTCCAAAATCATGGGAAACACCTATAATCCTGTAATCCTGATATGACTTAGTGTACATCATCAGTAATAATTATAACTATTATGTTAAATTATTATGTGCCACAGAGGTAACAAATTTTCTGGTCAGTTTTGTCTTTGACTATGCCTGCCCTAAAACATTTTGTCATCCATGGACAATTGGTGCCTTGTTTGGTCCTCCTTAGAAGGTGGTTTCATAATCAGTTATAAAACTCTAATAGGTGCTTTTGAATGCAGATTTCTGATAACTTTGAGAGGGAAAACTTTCAGGACTCATGGGGAGCTGAAATGTTCATGAATATTAAGCAGAACAGGAATTTACTACAGAGACTGAACTAACAGAAAACTGAAGTATCTTTTTATATTTTTGCTTAAAATGTTGCTGACCCTCTGTTTTTTTTTTTTTTCAGAGTCAAGGAAACTTTTATTTTGAGCTATTGTAAGGTTTCAACAATTTAGTATACTCCTATGAAGAAAATTTGGAGCGTATTTGTTTCTCTTTACCTGATTTCTCCAGAATTTGGAAACTATTTGCGAGTAGTCTTAACTTACAGCAATATGGCTATTTGCATAAGTGCAAATAAAAATCTGTTATAATTTGTAACAGGACACAATGGGAGAAACTGGTTATTTTACCAAGGCTTTCACTGGAATGATGTGCTTTCCTTTAAGAAATCAAACTTAACTTATGGAGCCAATAAAAACCCATTGGGAAAACTGGCCTCATACCTTGTTTACACAGCCCATGTACAGGGTTCGTGACCTGGGGTAAGTAAAGAATGTCACTTTCTGACAGGCTCAGGAGCCCTAAGTTTATCTTGGGACCTTAAGAGGAGAAGATCACCCAACTCATGGGTATTTGATGGTACAAATCCATGGCTGGGCTCAGCTTTAAAAGAGTCTTATCTGAGATTCCTTCTATAGGACAAAGTTCCATCAAAGCCAATTTAAAAGCCTATGTAAAAAATAATTATTCTTACTTCACTGTATATAAATAATCAGGACAAGTATAATAAAGCAAACCAGTCCTACCATGATTTGTCTTTAGTAAAAATGGAAACTGGAGAGAGAAAAAATATGTTTGAAAAACTACAGTACACCTGTTGTTAGATTCTAGTCTTGTGAAATATTTTTCAATGTTTATTATTTTTCAGTTTGGATCAAATTCTAATTTCTCTTGGCTACAATTCTTCAAAATTATGTTTTCAATTATTTTCCTTCTTTTTTTCCCCATTTTTCCTTATTTGGAGTAACTGAGAACTTAGCTGTGCTTTCACAAAGCCCTGCAAACTGATGCTAGACAAATTAAACTTCAGAGGAAAATAACAGCAACCTATTTACACACATAAGCCACTTTCATACCTGCCTACTGATATATTAACTTCAGAATAATGTGGCCTATATAAGTTTTCCAGGACTGTTCTTTTTTGTTGTTGTTGTTTTTCTCCCTTCCTTCCCCTATTTTATCTTCATAGGATGTGAGACTTCACAACCTGCTAAATATTAGCTTTCCTAATAACTCTGGACATATCCATCTAGGAATGAACCTTCTTAGCCATGAGGGATTAGAGGAAGCCTGAGGCCAGAGACTCATTTTCTTCTAAAATGCTTTCCCTGAAATATTTTTAAAAAGAAAAGGAGAAAAATTTGAAAGAAAATAAATATTGGGGCCCCAAAATCACTAAGCTAGAGGGCAAAGTCAAGCTGGGAACTGCTTAAGACAAACCTGCCTCCCATTCCCTTCAAAGTCACCCCTCTGCTCACTGAGATAAATGCATACCTGTTTGCCTCCTTTGGAGAGGCTAATCAGACACTCATAAGAATGCAACTATTTGTCTCTTATCTACCTATCACCTGGAAGCCCCCTCCCCACTTTGAGTCATTCCACCTTTGCTTTGAGTTGTCTCACCTTTCCAGACTGAACCAATATTCATCTTACATATGTTGATTGATGTCTCATGTCATCTGCACATGTATAAGACAAAACTGTGCTTTGACCACCTTGGACACATGTCATCAGGATCTCCTGAGGCTGTGTCACAGGGGCATATCTTCAACATTGTCAAAATAAACTTTCTAAATTAACTGAGACCTGTCTCACCAAAATGGCAGGTGTTTACTCACGGTGACCAACCATCTGTTTTTTTCTGGGGCTGTGGAGTTTCTTGAATGTCAGGCTTTAGGTGCTAAAACCGAGAAATTCCTGGGGAAATTGGGATGGTTTGGTACCTTACGTCCACAGTCCAGGAACTATCTTTGGCAGAAGTGTGAAACCAACATGGCCAGTTCTCTGGTCTCCTGCTGGCACATCTCATTGACCAAACCAAACTGGGAACTGAGAGCAAGTGTTTCCTAATATGTAAGACATACAGATCAGCCTTCATGAACAGAGAATAGGTGGAGAATGAATTGGGAGAGTTAAGGTAATATATACCAGCACTGTATTCACCTAATATTGGTTACTATTCAAAGAGTGACTGTCTAAAAGAGTATCTATTTGAATTTCTTTTCTTAAATCTGAATCTAACACATCATATTGGGTTTAATTAATGTCTTTTACATTTTTAACCCCAAACATGCTCCCCTTCCTTGATTTTTATTTTATTCTTTATGCTAATAACCTGTTGAACAATCAAGCTCAATTCTATTGTAAGATACCTCATAATCTGTATTCGTTTGCTTCTCCATGATTTTGTTACAATTGTTCCTCTACTCCTTTATTTTCTATAATTAAGTAATTACCTATTAAGGCTTGATTCAGTCTAGGTTAAACTTTATGGGCAAAAATACATCATAGGTGGTGATTTACATTTCATATTGTATCATATCAAGAGACAAATAATGCCTGGTTTTCTTAACTTACTGATGTCAAGAGTGTTCAGTGGATTGAGATAATATCATTATGATTCCTCTCTTACAAATTTTTTTATAAATTGTTCATCTATTGGTTTCATTCATTGATGAATGTTAACTGAATCAATTATTTTATTAGCGATTGCAAAACTTTTTTTTACTTTCTGTCATTTCTTTTACATGTGTTAGCTCTACGTCTACTGAAAGGAAGTCATTTTAGTCATAAACTAGGGCTTTTTTGATAAACTGAAAGGCAGTCCATATAGTTAAGTCAGGATGAATTCTTAATGTTTAAAATTGTCTATCTAGACAATAAGAGATTGGATCCCTACCTCTAATGGTAACTGATTCTATTTTTTTATTTTTCTTTTTTGAGCATTAATTATGGTTTTAAATATATTCAATAGATTTTTTACTATAAATAGTTTTAATACATACTTACTAAACTACATACTTTAACTTCAGTGAGTTTAGCTGAATTAGATATTATAGATGGTCCATCGTGTTCTATATCATAAGGGAAAAACATACATCCTGGTTTGTCCTGAAATTCCAGTTCATTCTTGTTTTCCTTTCCTAATTATCAATACCACCTTCTTTCTTTCTTGGGTCCTGATTTGTATAATAAATTATGTGCTTGCTTTATATTATAGATGTCACTACATTAACTCTATATCTTAACGTTCTCCAATAGAACTCCAGAGATAGTTTACATGAGCTAAACAAACCTTGAAAGATATTAGCTGAAGAGACAGAGGTAGAAAGGCCATAACTGTGTTTCCAGATAGGTTCTCTGTGACCTTTTCAGCTTCTAAGCTCTTAAACTTTTTGGGGACTGCTAAGATGATATATTCATTCATCAGACACGGAAGAGATGTGTTGATCCTATTTCTATGATACTTTCTGTTAGAAGTGTTGTATTTCTCACATCCGCAGTTACTCATTAAATTTAGTTCATTTTTTTTTTTTTTACTCTAACGATTAGCCTAATGATCAGTGTGTGCCTGCAGAAAGTAAATTCAATAGCCTCAGTGCCTAACAAGGGTAAAAATAGGCACAGTGTTCCTTCCTTTAAATTACAGGGCAATTTAATACTTCATCTCCAGAAAGGAAGAAAGTTTAGAACTGGTAAATAGCAACTTATATAATGTTTAAGTTAAGGAGTATTTAACTTCAATGTTGGTTACTAAGAACTGATTTTGAAAAAATATGTTGTTTAGAATTTTTAAAATTATCTAGGGATCTTGAATTACATTTATAAAGGTTTACAACATATAGTGATTCAATAGATACAGGGAGAGGTTGTTTTAAGGGCTATACAAGACAGTATCTCAGTTTTCTCTCATTTTTGCTCTCCTTTAATAAAAATTCCTAGGTGACTTTAACTCCAATGTCTACCCTCATAAATTGAACATTATTGAAGGCCCACTTTCCAGTGTCATGAGAAGGGAAGCACGATCATGAAATGAGCAAAGAAGGCCAGATAATCTTTAGAGGTCCTACAATCCATATTCCCATAATTGGCATCTTTTTTGAAGAAAGTCAATGAAAGAAAAGAAAAGTACATATTAATTATTTAATGCATTTAACACTTAAATATTGAGAATTCGCTCTTCACTAAGCATTGTTATTTGTACTAGATATTCAGTGGTGAATATGACAGCATGCATAGACCTTCCACTTTAATAAAAGGAGACAGAGAGTAAGTAAAAAAAAAATAAATGAAAAAGAAAATGAGACTTCTGTTGCTGACTAAAATGGGGCAAGTTACTGTAGTCTATTTCCTTAATTGAGTACAACCAAAAATTATGGACAGAATACAAAAAGAAAATTCCTGGAAATATCAAAATATAAACAATAGCAGGCAAAAATATTTTACTTAAGTTTTCCCCCTTGTTTATCTCCTGGCTTTGACCAAATTGTGAACCCTATCCAAGAACTTCACTTTGAGTACAGAAACCAAAACCTCTGATAGAAACCATTTCCTTCTAGTCAGTGGACTGATAAAAGAAAACCCTGTAAGGCAGAGAGTGTTTGAAGAATCCATGCACTGTTTTATTTTTATTTTTTTCTATTTATTCTCCCTTGGCCTTTCCCTGAGGAAAGTCCCAGAGAAGAGGCTGCACAGGTTCAGTGGCATTAGAAAGACTATGTAGACACCTAAAATCCTGAGAGAGAACCTGTGCTTTTACCTAGTGCAACCTGGAAAAGAAAGGCCCTGTGATCTGAAGAGTGTTGGGAGTATCTTGAAGGAGACAGAAATAAATGTTTTCTAAATTCTGTGTATGAATCAACACATGTTCAGGCTCATCCCCAAGCAACACATATATAAAAGAGAACAAACAAAAAGTATAATGACAAAAACCCCAAGAATTAAGCTGCAATACACAATGTCATGCAAAATACAAACTAACCACTGAGAAGCTCATGTGAAGGATAGACCTGATGAGGGTAGCAAAAACTTTGAAAACTGAAAAGACATTGGTTCCATTGCCCATATAAAATGTGAAGCAACATACGGTCTGAACTGCACCAGGTTTATTGCTTGCTAAAACAAACAAAAACAGAAAACCCCACAATACTCTCTAGACAATTTTAACAAGGCAAGGAATCTCGCAACAAGGTCCAGAATACAATCCCACACTATAGGACATATAAAGAACTAAGAAAATATGTCCCATTCTCAATGGAAAAGAAAATAAAAAATGTAAATGCTAAGATGACCCCGATGATGGTATTATAAAATAAAGCATTTAAAGCAGCTATTAGGCCAAGCGTGGTGGCTCACGTCTGTAATCCCAGCACTTTGGGAGGTCAAGGTGGGCGGATCACCTGAGGTCAGGAGTTCCAGACGAGCCTGGCCAAAATGATGAAACCCCATCTCTACTAAAAATACAAAAATTATCCAGGCGTGGTGGCACATGCCTGTAATCCCAGCTACTGGAGAGGCTGAGGCAGGAGAATCGCTTGAACCCAGGAGACGGAGGTTGCAGTTAGCCGAGATTGCACCACTGCACTCCAGCCTGGGTGACAGAGCGAGACTCCATTTAAAAAAAAAAAAAATAAGTAAAAATAAAAGCAGCCACTGTAACCATGCTCAATGAAGTAAAGGTGAACATTCTTGTAATGAATGGAAAACAGTTCTTAGCAGAGGATATAAACTGAAAAAATAAAAACTTCACAGCTGAAAACAGAACTGTGACATAACTAAAAATGTGTTACTTGTCAGTGTGTTGATAAAATTATTTTATGATAAATTCCATTTTCAAAACTCTTAGTGTTTGTGGAAGAACACTATATTAATTTAGCTAGAAACTCAGTGAAGATAAGCAGTGAGGAGAAAATACAAATGAAATACAATGCTGACTTAAGAGAATTGCTGTAGATTAGACTTCAGTTTGGGACAGATAAACTTGCAATGACATTTTAGGCACTGACTAGAGATGTCAAACCTGAAGTTTTGTGTAGAAGTATTGTGTTCTTGGATGACAATATAAAAGCAAGGGTCCTTGGTATATAGTGATATTTAGAGCCATTGGATTTTAGGAAATCACATAACATGAAAATACAGATAGGTTTTGGGACATTAACAAGATGGCAGAATAGATCTTTCCAGCACTTGTTTCCCCACAGAAACATCAATTTGAACAACTATCCACGTGTAAAAATATCTTCATAAGAGCCAAAGAAAACAGGTGAGAGATTATAATGACTGGGTATAGCACAGAAATAAGGAAAGACACATAGAAAATAGTAGGAAGGAAAGTTTTACATTACTCACCTTACTTCTCTGAATCATAGCATCATAAAGAGAGATATTCCCTTCTTGGGGGAAGGGAAAGAAAAGGAGCATGAAACTTTGCCTTGGATCTCAACATCAGCTCCATTCCAGTAAAATCTAGTGCTGAGAAGGCCCCAGTGGCCCCACGTTTCAGGCAAGTACCTATGGACTGAGGCTTCATCAGTAGGCTGGATCCCATAACTTCAGGCTCCAGGCTTGCCTGAAAGACATGGTCTCTGGGCCTGCCCCACTGCCAGGCTGTACCCAGTGGTGCTGGGTCAGTCCCAGGAACAGGCCAGAACACACAGATTCTGACTCTATGCTTATCTTTATACCACCTCCAGGACCAGGGCAGCTCTGTTGGCTCTGGACTATAGACCACCTCCAGCACCAGGATGGCTCACATGGCCCCAGGCTTCAGACCTACGTAATTATTTAGGCCAGCTTCTCTAACTGTAGTCATCAGGCCAGCACACATTGACTTAGCCTCCAGGCTGGCCCCTGCATATAGACTCCAGGCCCACCCAGCACCAGGTCACCCCTGTGATCCCAGACTCCATGCCCAACACAGGTTTCAGACAAGATCAGAGACAGATAGGTCTACACAGCCCTGGGTTTCAGGACTGCACAAGTGCCAAGTCAGTATCTCTGGACTAATGCAACAGACTGGAATCCATGAACACAGTCTTCAGATCTCCCTAGTACCAGGCCTATCCTTGCAGCCCCATAATCCAGGCTAGTCCCTGCAGCCCCATGCTTCAGCAGACCTAAGGTTTAGGCCTTGTTAAGCAGACCCAAGGTTCAAGGTCATCCTCATA
Source organism: Homo sapiens (assembly GCF_000001405.40). Taxonomy (NCBI): domain Eukaryota; kingdom Metazoa; phylum Chordata; class Mammalia; order Primates; family Hominidae; genus Homo; species Homo sapiens. Next base: position 121,970,511 of record NC_000023.11, read on the forward strand.
GACCCCAGCACTGGGCCACTCCTCATATACCTAGCTTCCACAATTGCCCCTGTGGAATCAGGTTTCAGGCCAACCTTTACAGAGCTAGTTTTCAGGACAGCACAACACACCCAGCTTCTGGGCTTGCTTCTGTGGGCCCAAGCTCTAGGCTAATTCACAAAGCACCAAGCTCCAGCCTAGCCTACATGGCACCAGGTGCCAAGCTAGCACTGTTGATATCAGGCTTCAGACTGGCTCTTACAGACACAGGTCCAACACCTACCCCAGTGCCAGAGTAGCGTCAGGCTCCAGTTAAGTTCCAAGAGATCCAGACACCAATGGACACAGGTCCAGACAAGTTCTGGCAGACCCAGGGTTCAAGCCTACTCCAGTAGACCCCAGTCCCAGGCTGGCTCTCATAAACTGAGTCTCTAGGACCACCCCTGTAGACTCAGGCTTCAGGCCACCCCTTTGGAACCAGGACCCAGGCCCACTCTCATAAACAGTCTCTATGCCAACCCTCAGTGCTATGCTAGTTCTCATGAACACAGGCTCCAGATCTACCCCAGCAACTGGCCAGCCACTGCAGACTGAAGTGCAAAGCCCACTCCCATGGACCAAATAAAAAAGTCTACCCAAGTGAATCCAGGCTCCAGGCTGAATCCCATAGACTCAGGCATTAGGCCTGCCTACCTGCTAACCAAGGCACCATGCCAGCCTGCCCAAAATCCCAAGTAGCAAGCCCACCTGTGAACCATGCCCAGACAGGCTTCCCAGATCTCTGGGTTGGCTGACTGGTAAAGGGCTTTCCCAAACAAAGCCAATCTGCAAATACTGGAATAAATCCCTACATTTTTCAGTGTGCAAATACCCGTGTATTGCCATAAGGATCAAGGACAATTAGGGAAGCATAACATCACAAAAGGAACAAAATAAAGTACCAGTAACTGACCCTAAAGAAATGCAGCTGTATTAAATGCCTGACAAAACATTGAAAATACTTGTTTTACAGAAACTCAAAAAACTTTAAGAAAATATATAGAAAAAATAATAAAATCAAGAAAACAATAATATAACACAATAAGAAATTTTTAACAGAGAAATTAAAATTGCAGTCAGACCTTCATATTCATGGGTTCCACATCCATGACTTTAACCAACTGTGGAACAAAAATATTTAAAAAAGGAGATGGTTGCATCTGTACTGAACATTTACAGACTTTTTCCTTGTCAATATGTCCTAAACAATACAGTATAATAACTTTTTACATATCATTTACATTTTATTAGCCATTATATGTAATCTAGAGATGATTTAAAGTATATGGGAGGATGTGCATAGATTATATGCAAACACTATGCCCTTTCATGTAAGAGATTTGAACATCCACAGAATTTGGTATCTCTAAGGGTCCTAGAACCAATTCCCCATGGATACCAAGGGATGGAAAAATCAAAGGAAAATTCTCGAGCTAAAAAATATAAAATAAAAATTGTAAAATAAAATAGAAAACATTAACAGTCTTGATCATGCAAACAAATCTGTGAACTCAAAGACAGGTTATTTAAAAATATAGTCAATAAAAAAAGATAAAAGAAGGAAGATTATCATCATAATTATGGAAAAGTATCAAAAGAGCAAATATTTGAATTATAGGAGTTAAGAAGGAAAAGAGAGTGACAAAGATCAGAAAACTTATTTTAAAAAGTAAGAGCAATAAACTTTCCAAATCTGAGGAAAGATATTAATATCCAGGTATAGGAAGCTCAAAAGTCTTCAATCAGGTTTAATACAAACAAGATTACTTAAAGACGCATTATAATCAAACAGTCAAAAAGCAAGAACAAAGAGAGGATTCTGAAAGCAAAAATTTAAAAAAAAAAGCATGTAATATATATGGGATTTTAATAAGGCTAGCAGCAGATTTCTCAGCATAGACTTTACAGTCCAGGAGCTAATGGAATAATATATTCAAAGTCGTGAAGAAAGAAAAAAAATACCCAGCCAACCAAAAACCTTGCGAAGTTATTTTATATAAACCTTATAGTGACCACAAAGCAAAATCCTCTAGTAGATACACAAAAGATAAGTAGTAAGGAATCAAAGCATAACACTAGAGAAACACACCTAATCACAAAAGAGGAAAACAAGAGATTAAGAAAGTAGCAAAGGAAATTACCTTGAATGAAAATTGATTAATTTATTTGACAAAAAATATATAGAATGGCTCAATGAATTAAAAAAGCACTTCCCAACTATATGATGCCTACGAAACACTCAAGTTACATTTAAGGACAAACATAAACTAACAGTGAATAGTTGGAAGAAACTTACCTCATGAAAATGGAAATGAAAAGAGAGCATTCATGGTTTTGTACGTAGCAGAGCAGCTCCCTCGCTGCCATCTATTGAAAGTCAGCCCTTGACACAAGGAAGAAAGAAAAAGATAAGAGAACGGGGTAGCTACAATTATATTAGACAAAATAGATTTAAGAACTGTAAAACAAGATAGTTTTAATAGAAGAATAATTAGGTCAATTCATCACAAGGATATAACTATCATAAATGTATTTGTATCCAACATCAAAGCACCTAAATATATAAAACAAATATTAACAAATCTGAAAGAGAAGATAAACTGTAATACAATAATTGTAGATGACTTCAATATTTCACTTTCAACAATGAGCAAATCATCATAAAAGGAAATCAATAAGAAAACATTGGACTTAAACTACACATTGGACCAAATGGACCAAATACACTTATACGGAACAGTATATATGCATATACTGTTCCATCTAACAGCAGCAGAATACAGATTATTCTCTAGTGTACCAGAACATTTACAAGGATCTTTCCTGTGGTAGGCCCCTAAACAAATTTTAACAAATTTAAGAAGATTGAAAGAATATCAAGTATGTTTTCCAATTGCAATGGTATAGAACTAACAATCAATAAGAGGTGGGATTTTGAAAAAATAATAAAAACATAGGAATTAAACATCATGTTTCTGAACAACCAATGGGTCAAAGAAGAAAGTAAAAGAGAAATATAAAAAATATCTTGGGGCAAATGAAAGAGAAATGCAACATATCAAAACTTATAGGACACACCTAATAAGTTTTAAGAGGGAATTTTATAGATATAAATGCCTACATCAATAAAAGAAGAAAGATCTCAAATAAACTAACATTACATTTCAGTATACTGGAAAAACATGAAGAAACTATGTCCAAAGTTAGTAGAAGGAAGGAATTAATAAAGATCAGAGCAGAAATAAATATAATAGAGATTAGAAAAACAATGGAAAAGAACAAAGAAACTAAGAGTTGAGTTTTTAAAAATGTAAACAAAATGAATAAACATTTATTTAGACTAAGGACAAAAGAGAAGACTCAAATAAAACAAAATAAGAAATGAAAAAGAGACATTACAACTAACACCACAGAAATATAAAGGATTATAAGAGATTACAATGAATAATTATACACCAACTAATCAATAACCTAGAATAAATAGATAAATTCCAAAGCACAACCTACCAAGACTTAATCATGAAAAAAAAATCCAATGAGAAAAATAATGGATAAGGTGAGGGAATCAATAATTAATTCTCCCACCAAAGAAAACATGATAGCTTGACTGTTGAATTCCAAAAAAAAGGTTAAGAAAAACTAATATCAATATTTCTCAAACTCTTCCAACCATTAAATAAGAGTAAATAACTCCCAAACACATTTTTCAGGGCCACCACCACTCTGATACCAAAACCAGACAAGGGCACTACATGAAAACTACATACTAATATCTCTGATAAACAAAGATGCAAAAATCTTTCACAACATGCTAGCAAACTAAAGTCAATATAGCACATTAAAAAAAAATTCACCATGATTAAGTGGGATTTATCCCAGAAGTGCAAGTATGATTCAACATATGTAAATTGATAAATGTGACATACCACATTAGGTAAATTATTATCTCAATAGATGCAGGAAAAGCATTTGATAATATTCAACATCGTTTTATAATAAAAACACCCTGTAAATCAATGCGATGGTTAATATTGAGTGTCAACTTGATTGGATTGAAGGATGAAAAGGGTTGTTTCTGGGTGTGTCTGTGAGGGTGTTGCCAAAGGAGATTAACATTTGAGTCAGTGGACTGGGAGAGGCAGACCCACCCTCAATCTGGGTGGGCACCATCTAATCAGCTGCCAGAATAAAAGCAGAAATGGAAAGAGCCGACTTGCTGAGTCTTCTGGCCTCCATCTTTCTCCTGTGCTGGTTGCTTCCCACCCTCTAACATCAGACTCCAAGTTCTTCAGCTTGTGAACTCTTGGACTTACACCAGTGATTTCTCAAGGGCCCTCAGGCCTTTGGTCACAGACTGAAGGCTGCAGTATCAGCTTCAGTACTTTTGAGGTTTTGGAACTCAGACTGGCTTCCTGGCTCCTCAACTTGAAGACAGCCTATTGTGGGACTTCACCTTGTGATCGTGTGAGTCCATTTTTCTAATAAACTCTTCTTCATATATTAATCTATCCTATTAGTTCTGTCCCTTTAGAGAAATCTGACAAATACAGATTTTGGTACCAGGAGTGGTTCTAGAGAAACAGAATTTTAAGGATAGGTTTATTTAGTTGGTTTTGGGGTGTCTGGAGTTGGCTGCTTAATCTGATTAGACTCCAGAATGCTAAGGACTCTATTTCTAACAGCAATACTAAATTACTATTTACTAATTAAATTAAATTACTATTTACTAATTAAATTAATATTTACTAATTACTATTAGTAAATAGTAAATAGCACAGAGTAAACTGATGGTCCTTGGCTTGAACTGTTTAGAAAGCTATGGAAAATAAATGTATTTAATTCTCCTGATTAACCACTCTTGAGAAGCAAGGAGTTTAGTGACTATATATGTGAGACCTTCAACCATATGTGGAGACCCAAGGAATATAATAAAGTTGGTTTGTTTCTCTTAAGTTTGCTGGACAAAGTGCTGAAAGGAAATGAACTCAGGGATTCTAACTCCCAGCTCCAGAAGCACATACTGAGCTTCAAATCTTCTAAGATTGCCCCAAGTGAGAGTCTTACATCCTGTACAGAAAGAGCTAAAATTGTGGAAAATCAGACACAGCTCTGATTATGAGAGTGGCTGACCTGCAACAAAAGGTGCACACATAGCCTCACCAGCTGTCTACTGTTAAAGTGAGGGCATTTATTGTAATAAAATGAGATGCTGCAACTTGGAATGGGAACATGTGAGAGAACCCTGAAGAAGCTGGGGACACTAAGCTTGTAAACTTCAACGAGCCTTTTTCCCAAAGGAAACAGCTTCCCCATTCCCAGTGGTGGCAACATTCCTTCCCTGACTCATGCTGCCATCAGCCTTTCCACTTTTCTCTGAGGAGACTAACCATGCACTGCCTGAAACAACAGTGATGGCCTCCCCTGAGGCAGTTGCCAGGCAAGACAATGTTGATTCTCCTTAGGACCCAACCCCAACACCCCCGTTTGCTTCTAGACCTATAACTAGACTAAAGTCTTGGCAGGTCCCTAGAGGTGAGGTTCAGAGTGTGACCCATGAGATGTGCTACATTCCAAAAGAACTGCTTGAGTTTTGTAATTTATATAAGCAGAAGTCTGGAGAACAGGCATGGGAATGAATATTGAGTTTGTGGGATAATGGTGGAGGGAACATAAAGTTGGATTAGGCTGAATTTAATGATTTGGGCCCACGAAGCAGAGGTTCTCCATTTAATGTCACAGTGTGGGGAGATAAAATAGGTTCTAATAGTTTATTTGCTTAGCTAACTGCAATATGAATCAAAAGATGGCCCACTGTAAGTGAGCTGGAAATGCCTGGTATCTCTTGGTTTAACACAGAGGAAGGAATCCAAAGGCTTAGGGAGATTGGTATGGTGTAATGGATTAATCACTTTACACCTACTAATCTTAGCTGGGAGTGTCCAGAAGATACATCCTTTACCAACATTTTGCAAAATAAATAATGTGAGGGCAGCACCTGCATCCTTGAAGAGCTCTGTGATTGCCCCTCTCTGTATGCCAGATTTTACAGTGGGAACCGCAATCACTCAACTACAAAATTTAAATGCAATGGGAATGATTGAATCCCAAGTTGGCAGGGGACAAGTGGTGGCACTCAACTGTTAAATGCAAGGTGGGCATAATTACCTTAATGGACAACAGTGGCAAAGCAACAATCAGAATGATCTGAGTTGTGTAGAGCTCTGGCATTGGCTAATTAGTCATGGTGTTCCTAGAAATGAAATTGATAGGAAACCTACTTCATTCTTACTTAATTTATATAAGCAGAAAACTTCCAGGTCGAGTGGACAAAAAACTAATTTGAATTATAAAAACAGAGAATCATGGCCCCTCAATCAATTTTCAGTCTTGAACCAGTTTACAGACCCAAAACCCCTTGAATGAAGGGGAGGCCAGGTCCCTTTCAGGAAGGACCCCACTATACTATCAACAATTTGTGCTGTTAATCTTTCTCTCATCCTTCCTCAAAGAGACCTCTGGCCTTTTACCAGGGTAACTATACATTGAGGAATGGGAAATGATCAGACATTTTCGGGACTACTGGACACTGGCTTTGAGCTGATATTGATTCCACGGGACCCAAAACGTCATTGTGGTCCTCCAGTTGAAGTAAGGTCAGGTAATTAATAAAGTTTTAGTTCAGGTCCAACTTATAGTGGGTCCAGTGTGTCCCCGGACTTATCCTATGTTCATTTCTCCAGTGCCACAATGCATAGTTGGCATAGACATACTGAGCAACAGGCAGAATCCGGACTTTGGCTCCCTGACTGGTAGGGTGAGGTCTATTATGGTGGGAAAGACCAAATGGAAGCCATTAAAGCTGCCTCTACGTAGAAAAATAGCAAATCAAAAAAAATCACAAACATTAAAAAATTAAAAATAAATTACATCGCGATTTATTTAACCAAGGAAGTGAAAGATGCATATACAGAAAACTAAAAAAGAGAGATTAGTGCCACCATTAAGGACTTGAGAAATGCAGGGGTGGTGATTCTCATCACATCCTCATTCAACTTTCCCTTTGGCCTGTGCAGAAGATGGATGGATCTTGGACTATGACAGTGGATTATCGTAAGCTTAACCAAGTGGTGACTCCAGTTACAGCTGGTGTACTAGATGTGGTTTCACTGCTTGAGCAAATTAACACATGGCTCGTATGTGTTATGGCTGCATATCTCTTGGTACCTGATATGCAGCCATTGATTTGGCAAACGTCTTTCTCCATTCTTGTCCATAAGGCCCACCAGAAGCAATTTGCCTTCAGCTGGCAAGGCCAGTAATATACCTTTACTGCTGTACCTCAGGGGTATATCAACTCTCTGGCTTTGGTTCATGATCTTGTTCAGAGAGATCTTGATCAATTTTCCCTTCCACAAGATATTATACTGTTCCATTACATTGATGACATTATGCTGACTGGATCCAGTGAGCGAGAAGTAGCAATTCACTGGACTTACTGGTAAGACATTTGCGTGCCAGAGAATGGAAAATAAATCCTACTAAAATTCAAGGACCCTGTACCTCAGCAAAATTTATAGGGGACTGGTGGTGTGGAGCCTGATGAGATATTCCATCTAAGGTGAAAGATAAGTTGCTGCATTTTGCCCCTCCTACAACCAAGAAAGGGGCACAAGGCCTAGTGTGCCTATTTGAATTTTGGAGGCAACACATTCCTCATTTGGGTATGTTACTGCAGCCCATTTATCGAGTGATTTTGGAGCAAGGTCCTGCCATATTCTGCAGGTAACTACTCTCCTTTGAGAGACAACTCTTGGCCTGTTACTGGGCTTTGGTAGGAAATGAATGTTCAACTATGGGTCATCAAGTCACCATGCAACCTAAACTGCCTATCATGAACTGGGTGCCTTCTGACCCATCCAGCCATAAAAGTGGGTACATCATCAAAGGGAAGTGGTATATAAGTAATTGGGCTCCAGCAGGTCCTGAAGGCACAAGTAAGTTACATGAGGAAGTGGCTCAAATGCCCATGGTCTCCTCTCCTGTTACCCTGCCTTTTCTCCCCCAGCCTACACTGATGGCCTCATTGGGAGTTCCCTATGATCAGTTAACAGAGGAAGAGAAGACTAGGGCCTGGCTTACAAATGGCTCCCCAGGACAGGCAGGCGCCACTTAAAAGTGGACTACTATAGCACTACAGCCCCTTTCCAGGACATCCCTGAAGGACAGTGACAGAGGGAAATCTTCCCAGTGGGCAGAACTTCAAGCAGTGCACCTCCTTGTGCACTTTGCTTGGAAGGAGAAAAGGTCAGATCTGCGACAATATACTGATCACACATCTGTAGCTTACAGTTTGGCTGTCAAGTCAGGGACTTGGAAGAAGCATCACTGGAAAATTGGTGACAAAGGAATTTGGGGAAGAGGTGTGTGAATGGACCTCTCTGAGTGGTAAAAAAAAAAACTGTGAACTGCTTGAGTGAGTGCTCCCCAAAGGTTGAACTCAACTGAGGAGGATTTTAATAATCAAGTGGAAAGGATGACTCATTCTGTGGACACAACTCAGGCTCTTCCTCCATTCACCCTTGTCATTTCCCAATGGGCTCATGAACAAAGTGGCCATGTTTGCAGGGATGGAGGTTACACACGGGCGCAGCAACATGGACTTCCATTCACTAAGGCTGACCTGTCTACGGCCACTGTTGGTTGTCCAATTTGCCAGCAGCAGAGACCAACACTGAGCCCTTGATATGGCACCATTCCTTAGGGTGATCAGCCAGCTACTTGGTGACAGGTTGATTATATTGGACCTTTTCCATCATGGAAAGGGCAGGGGTTTGTCCTCACTGGAATAGATACTTACTCCAGATATGGGTTTGCCTATCCTGCATGCAATGCTTCTGCCAAGACTACCATCCATGGACTCACAGAATGACTTATGCACTGCCATGGTATCCCACATAGCATTGTCTTTGACCAAGGCACTCACTTTATGTCTAAAGAAATGCAGCAGTAAGCTCATGCTCATGGATTTCACAGGTTTTACCATGTTCCCCATCATCCTAAAGCAGCTGGATTGATAGAATGGTGGAATGGCCTTTTAAGTCACTATTACAATGTCAAGTAATTGACAATACTTTGCAGGGCTGGGCAAAAGTTCTCCAGAAGGCTGTGTATTCTCTGAATCAGCTTCCAATATATGGTACTGTTCCTCTCATAGACAGGATTTACGGGTCCAGGAATCAAGGAGTGGAAGTGGAAGTGACACCACTCACCATCTACTCTAGTGACCTACTAACTAAATTTTTGCTTCCTGTTCTCGTGACATTACGTTCTGCTGGCCAAGAGGTGTTAGTTCCAGAAGGAGGAACACTGCCACCAGGATACACGACAATGATTCCATTAAATTAGAAGTTAAGATTGCGACCTGGACACTTTGGGCTCCTCCTAAGTCAATAGGCTAAGAAGGGAGTTACAGTATTGGCTGGGGCAATTGACCCAGAATATCAAGATAAAGTCATTCTACTACTCCACAATGGAGGTAATGGAAGAGTATGCGTGGAATACAGGAGATTCCTTAGGTCATCTGTTAGTATTATTATGCCATGTGATTAAGGTCAATGGGAAATGATAAAAGCCCAATCCAGGCAGGACTACAAATGGCCCAGAAACTTCAGAAATGAAGGTTTGGGTCAATCTGCCAGGTAAAAATCCATGATCTGCTGAGGTGCTTGCTAAAGGCAAAGAGAATACAGAATGGGTAGTAGAAGGTATCATCAATACCAGCTATGACCATGAGACCAGTTGAAGAAATGAGAAATGTAATTGTCATGAGTATTTCCTCCTTATTTTATTAGTAACAAGTTTGCACATGTATACACTTGTACTAAGAAAATATCTTCATTTTATTTATTTCCTTTATCATGTGATATAAGATTTATTGATTTCATATTAGCATTTAAGTGTTTTTAACTTTATGTAACAACATTTAGGTTAAGGATTAGTGTGCTTCTTCTTGTAAGAAGGATAGCTGTATTATGATAGGTGTCATTATGACCTTATTATTGTCTTGATTTGAAGATCATGTATGATCTCACGAGATGTGTATGAGTTCAAGTTGACAAAGCGTGGACTTGTGGTGGTTAATATTGAGTGTCAACTTGATTGGATTGAAGAATGCAAGGAATTGTTCCTGGGTCTGTCTGTGAGGGTGTTGCCAAAGGAGATTAACATTTGATTCAGTGGACTGGGACAGGCAGACCCACTCTCAGTCTGGGTGGGAACCATGTAATCTGCTGTCAGCATAAAAAGCAGGCATGGAAAGAGCAGACTTGCTGAGTCTTCTGGCCTACATTTTTCTCCTGTGTTGGATGCTTTCTGCCCTCAAACATCAGACTTCAAGATTTTCAGCTTGTGAACTTTTGGACTTACACCAGTGATTTGCTATGGGCTCTCACGCTTTTGGCCACAGACTGAAGGCTGCACTATTAGCTTCACAACTTTTGAGGTTTTAGGACTCAGACTGGTTTCCTGGCTCCTCAGCTGGAAGTTAGCCTGTTGTGGAACTTCACCTTGTGATCATGTGAGTCAATTTTTTCTAATAAACACTCCTTCATGTATTCATCTATCCTATTAGTTCTGTGCCTTTAGAGAACCCTGACTAATACAATCATGTATAGAAGGAAGTTACCTTAACACAATTAAGGCCACATAGGATAAACTGACAGCTAACATCATATACAATGGTGAAAATTTGAAAGGTTCTTTTCTAAAATAAGGAACAAAATAATGGCACCCACTCTCACTACTTCTGTTCAACATAGTACTGGAATTCATAGACAGAGCAATTAGATAATAAAAATAAATAAAAATCTTCCAAGTCAGAAAGTAAGAAATTAAGCTTTCTGGGTCTGCAGATGACCTCATCTTATATGTAGACAATCTTTAAAAACATCTCCCAAAACTGATAGAACTATTAAATGAATGCAGTAAAGTTAAATGATACAAATGAACTTGCAAAAATTAGTGGTGTTTGTATTCACTAACAATGAAGTCTTTAAAGAAAAGAATTCACGAAAACAATCCCATTTCCAAAAGCAAAAAAAATAATAATAATAAATTACTTATCAATATATTTAACCAAGGAAGTGAAAGACCCATATACTGAAAACTGAGAAACATTGATGAAAGAAAATGAAGAATACACAACTAAATTGAGAGATATCCTATGTTAATGGATTGAAAGAATTAACATTGTCAAAATGCCATTACTACCCACAGAAATCTATGGATTCAGTGCAATTCCTATCAAAATTCTAATGACGATTTTTACCCAAATAGAAAAGAATTTTCAAATTTGTATGGAACCACAAAAAACCTTGTATAGTCAATACAACCTTGAGCAAAAATAGTAAAGCTGAAAATATTACACTACCTGACTTCAAAATATACTATAAAATGATAGGAATTGAAACAGCATCATACTGTCATTAAAACAGACACATAGATCAATAGAACAAAACAGAAAATCCAAAAATAAATCCATATAATTAAGATGTATTTATTTTCAACTAAAGTTGCAAGAACATGGGATAGGGAAAGGTTAGTCTCTTAAATAAACGGTGTTGGGAAAGCTGGATATATACATAAAGAAGAATAAACTTAGGGTCGTATATCAAACCATATACAAAAATCAAATATAATAGATTAAAGACTTAAATACAAGACCTGAAACTGTAAAGCTACTAGAAGAAAACTTAGAGAAGAAGGCTCATGGCATTGGTCTGCACAATAATTTATTTGACCTCACTCCAACAGCACAGGTGACAACAGCAAAAGTAGACAAATATGATTACAACAAACTAAAAAATTTCTGAGTATTGAAGGAAACAGAGTGAAGAGACAACCTATAAAGTGGGAAAAATATTTATAAACTATACATCTGATAAAGGGTTAGTACCTAAGAATTTATAAGAAACTCAAACAACTCAATAGCAAGAAAACAAATTACCCAATTAAAAAAATGAGCAAAGGGCCTGAATAGACATTTCTCAAAATAGGCTACAGATGGCCAACAGTTGTATTTTTAAAAATGCTTAATCTCTATTGTGTAAATGCAAATTAAAACCACAGTGTGATATCACCTCCCACCTTTTGGAATAGCTATAATGAAAAACATGGAAAATATGTGTTGGTGAGAATGTGAAGAAAAGAGAGCCTTTGCTCACTGTTGATGGGAATGTAAATTAGTAGAGCTATTATGGAAAACAGTACAGAAATTTCTCAAAATTTAAAAATAGAACTACTGTATGGTCCCATAATTCCACTATGGGACATACTTTCAAAACAAATGAAATCAATATCTTGAAGAGATATCTGCCCTACCATGTTCATTGCAGCATTATTCACAATAGTCAAGATATGGAATAAACCTAAGTGTCCATCAACAGATGAATGGATAAAGAAAATATATATACACGATAGAATACTATTTAGCCTTTAAAATGAGGAAACCTTGTTATTTGCGACAACATGGATGAATCTGTAGGACTTAAAACTTAACGTTAAAAGAAATAAGCCATGCACAGGAAGACAAACACTTCACAATGTTACTTATATGTGGAACTAAAAGAGTTAAAGCCACAGAAGCAGAAAGTATTAGGGTGGTTTTCAGGTGTTGGTGAGTAGAGACTTGGGAAGATATTTGTCAAATAATACAAAATTTAAGTGAGACAGAAAGAATAAATTCCAAAGATCTACAATACAACATGGTGACTATAGCATATATATTTTTTCATATGTGTATACATGTTTTCATACGTGTATATATATATATATATATTTGTGTATATATATTTTCTGTATCCATTCATCTGCTAATGGACACTTAGGTTTATTCCATATCTTGACTATTGTGAATAATGCTGCAATGAACTTGTGAGTGCAATGAACATGAGAGTGCAACTATAGTTAATAACAACATATTATTTTTCCTGAAAATCACTAAAAGAGTAGATTTTATGTGTTCTTATCACAAAAATAATAGTATGTGAGGTAATATATATGCTAATTAGCTCTATTTAGCCACTCCACAATGTATGCATAATTCATAACAACAGGTTTTACATGATAAGCATATACAATTTTTATTGGCCAATTTTAAAAATTAACTATATTTTAAAAGTGCAGATGTAAATTAGCAGACATTCCAGGAATAAGTGTGAGTCACTCAATCAGAAGAAGCAGGACAAAAAAGAGAAATCTGAGGAGTAGAATCCAGAGAACTAGAAGGAAAACCAAAAGAGCATGGTGTCATGGAGACCGAATGAATACTGAATTTAAAGAATAATATAGTGATCAACAATTTATTGGATGCTGCTTAGAGATTTAGAAGTTGAGAACAGAGAGGTATCCATTTGATTTAATAAAATGGAGGTCATTGTTAACATTTTCAAGAATAGATTAAGTAGAGTGGTGATAAGAAAACTCAATTGAAGTGGGATGATGAGACTGGGAGGTAAGGCATATTATTTGCTATTTTAAGAAAGTACTGAATGTTATCCAGATTTTGAGAAAATTTTCTAAGCAGGGAAATGAATAAGTATTTTGTGGAGAAAATATAGTCAAGGGGGGAATCACACAATACTAGAACTTGATGGACCCAACTGGAAAAACTGAGGTCCAGACAGAGAAAGTAACTAGCTAAATATTGAGTGGTGGCAGTTAATTTTATTCTTTTTAATTTTTTTCCTACTTATGTCTGAAAAAATATTTCAAAAGGTAATGATACGGTTTGGCTGTGTCCCCACCTAAATGTCATCTTGAATTGCAGCTCCCATAATTCCCACATGTTGTGGGAGGGACCTGGTAGGAGATAATTGAATCATGGGGGCGGTTTCCCCCATACTGTTCTCGTGGTAGTGAATAAGTTTCATGAGATCTGATTGTTTTTTAAGGAGAAACCTCTTTCACTTGGTTCTCATTCTCTCTTGTCTGCTGCCATGTAAGACGTGCCTTTCACCTTCTGCCATGATTGTGAGGCTTCCCCAGCTACGTTGTGAGTTCATTAAACATCTTTTACTTTATAAATTACCCAGTTTTGGGTATGTCTTTATCAGCAGCATGAAAACAGACTAATAGAGGTAATATATTTACTTGTTTACTTTTATGCACATTTAAATAAACAAACTTAGAATGTTTAATCCACAGATAGTAGCACTACTATGGACCTGTTTCAAGCACACACTATTAGAGTACAGTTTACAATTCAATGTATATTTACCAACCACCAGCTATAGAAAAGGCACTGTTGGAAATAAAAAGTATAATACTCATCTTCTGTCCTCAAAGTGTATAGACTCTAGTATGATATACCAGATGAATAAGATATACATAAATACCTTTACTAAAAAAGGTAAGTTAATCCAATGTCATGTTCCGTACTCTCTTTTATGACATTTCCTTCATATGTGTGTGCTTACTGCCGTAGTGAGTTGACTGTCTGTCTCTTTTAACAAACTGTAAGTTCCTGGAGGGCAAGAACTGTCTTGCTATCTCTGTGCCTTTCCTTTCACTCACCCTCAGTACTCAGGACATGTCTGTACATAATGATAACATATTCTTATTTATTGAGTTTAATTGATGAATTAAAATTATAATGAACAATGAAAGTGTGTTGATGGTCAGGATATTGTAGTGTTCTTCCAGAAACACTTTTCTGGATGAAAATAAAATTTACAGTTAAATACTTTCTTAGAATACTAACAAGTAATACATTTTATTCTAGTAAGTAGCAGATCTGTAACTACAATTTAACACTTTTGACTTCAGTATGAATGAGATGTAAAATACAGTTTGAGAATTTCCATCATTTATACATCTACCCGTTACAATTAGTAGACATGTTTAAAAGTCTTTGCACTGATTTACATACCCACTCCATCCTTGTGATGTAGGTGGACAATGTGTTTGCGGTTCCCCTCATTCACTATAAGTTTCTCCAGTTAAAAACCATGGACATAGGAATGGGAAAAATTTCATGACAAAGACACTAAAAGCAATTGCAAAAAGCAAAAACTGATGAGTGGGGTCTAATTAAACTTAAGAGCTTCTGCACAGCAAAAAGAAACTATCAACAGAGTAATCAGGCAACCTAAAGAATAGGAGAAAATATCTCAAACTATGCAACTGACGAAGGTCTAATATCCAGCATCTATAAGGAACTTAAACAAATTTACAAGGAAAAAAACAACCACATTAAAAAGTGGGCAAAGGACATGAACAGACACTTCTCAAAAGAAGACATACATGTGGCCAACAAACATATTAAAAAAAAGATCAATATCACTAATCATTACAGAAATGCTAATCAAAATCATAATGAAATACCATCTTACACCAGTTAGAATGGTTATTATGAAAAGGTAAAAAAATAACAGACCCTGGCAAGGTTGCAGAGAAAAGGAAACACATATACACTGTGGGTGGGAGTGTAAATAAGTTCAATCCTTGTAGAAAGCAGTGTGGTGATTCCTTAAAGAGCTAAAAGAACAACTAGCATTTGACCCAGCACTCCCATTACTGGGTATATACCCAGAGAAACAGAAATGATTATACCATAAAGACACACGCATGTGAATATTCATTGCAGGACTATTCATGATGGCAAATACATGGAATCAACCTAAATGTCCATCAATGACAGATTGAATAAAGAAAATGTGGTTCACATACTCCGTGAAATACTATGCAACCATAAAAAAAGATCACATCTTTTGCGTGAACATGGATGGAGCTGGAGGCTATTATCCTTAGCAAACTAACACAGTAACAGAAAACCAAATACTGCATGTTCTCACTTATAAGTGAGAGCTAAATTATAAGAATGTATGAACACAAAGAAGGAAACCACAGACACTGGGGCCTACTTGAGAGGGGAGGGTGGGAGGAGGGAGAGGAGCAGAAAAGGTAACTATTGGGTACTGGGCTTAATACCTGGGTGATGAAATAATCTGTACAACAAACCCCCATGACACATGTTTACCTATGTAACAAACCTTCACAGGTACCTCCAAACCTAAGATAAAGTTTTAAAATGAATCTCTGTTACTAAACAGACAGGTTTGAAAGTAGGTATTTCTGTTGCTTTTCTTAAACAATTTATTGAAAAATTTCACTTGCTTCCAATTAGTAACCTCACTCTTCTCACATATCTGTTTCCTAAAATACAAGTAGATACATGTCACTTATATTTTCTATTAAGTTGACTAGTTGACATTGTATATACAAAACAATCAGTGAAGGTACTAATTTTTCCCCTATTTCTTGCCAGTTGAAGTGGTATCACATGAAAATAGCCCACAATTGATCTCTTAATTTAGTGAAAGTCCTTGGTTCAGGATGAGGTTGGAAATTTATGATCAGGCTCTGTCTTAATCTACGAGACAGAATTTAATCAATTTCCTATATTCTGAGCTAGATATTAAGGAAATTATGAGTATAGAAACAGTTAAAATAAATAATATCAATAAAATAAATACAATTTAACCATTGTTGAAATAAATTAGTAAAAGGGCAGAAAGAGTGAAGTTATTTGAAAATTTGAGGAAAGTCTTCTCTATGACTTTTAACTGCTCTAAGACAAAATATAATTTTCTAATCCTCTTACACAAGTCTATCTGCAAAACAGCATGCTTACTCATGGTGCTCTCAGATAAGTGAAATTAAAGACATATGTTAGGAAGTGGGCAGGGAAATGGATTTGGAATAATAACAATTCTGTTTCAAGATGGAATCTGATGAAGAGCTATTTACATAAGTGCCTCCTGGTGCTTATAAGAGTTGTTAGTTGAGGAGGAGTGGGAAAGTAAGGACAAACTCCTAGGGCTTCTTAGCTAGAAAATTGCCTGGAGGAGGCCCACTAAGGGACTGGGACTGGAGGCAAAGGTACTTTCTAGATGAGATCACGCAGTGTGAATAGGCCTGCTGCTTGTATCAAGCAAAACCAGGATACAAATTCTGCATGGCTTTCTGAGGAATTAGCAAATAGAGATGACTAAGAAGAGTCTAGATTTCTTTTTATTTATTTTCTGTGGATACATAATATGTGTATATATTTACGTGTTACATAAAATATTTTGATACTGACATGCAATACATAATACTCAGGTCAGAATAAATTGGGTATCCATCACCTCAAGCATTTATCCTTTGTGTTTCAAACAATCAAATTATATTCTTATAGTTATTTAAATATGTACAATTAAATTATTTTTGACTATAGTCACCCTGTTGTGCTAGCAAATATGAAGTCTTATTCATTCTTTCTATTTTTTGGTACTGATTAACCATCTCAACTTCCTTCCTCCACTCCCACATTACCCTTCCCAGTGTCTGGTAACCATCTTTCTTTTCTTTATCTCCATGAATTCAATTATTATAACTTTTAGCTTCCACAAATAAGTGAGAGTATGCAAAGTCTGTCTTTCGGTGCCTGGATTATTTCACTTAACGTAATAACCCCCAGTTTCATTCATGTTGTTGCAAATGACAGAATCTCATTTTCTTTAATGACTGAATAGTGCTCCATTTTGTATAAATGCCAATTTCCTTTATCCATTCATCTGTTGATGGATACTTGAGTCGCTTCCAAATCTTGGCTGTTGTGAACAGTGCTGCAATAAACATGGGAGTGCAGAAAACTTTTCGATATATAGATTTCCTTTCTTTTGGGTACATACCTAGGAGTGGGATTGCTCAATAGTATGGTAGCTCTATTTTTTTTTAAGGAACATGCAAACAGTTCTCCATAGTGGTTGTACTGATTTACATTCCCACTAACAGTGTAAAAACAATTCATTTTCTCCACTTCCTAGCCACTATTTGTTATTGCCTGATAAAATGGGTTTTGAATAAAAGCCATTTTAACTGGAGTGAGAAGATATCTTATTGTCATTTCTATTTGCATTTCTATGATGATTAATGGTGTTGATCATCTTTTCATTTAGCTGTTTGCCATTTGTAGGTCTTCTTTTGAGAAATATCTACTCAGGTCTTTTGCCCATGTTTAATTAAATTAATAGATTTTTTCCTATTTAGTTGTTTGAGCTCCTTTTATATATATTCTGGTTATTTATCCCTTGTCATATGGGTAATTTGCAATTTTTTCCCCATTCTGTGGATTGTCTCTTTACTTTCTGCATAGTTTCCATTGCTGTGCAGAAGTTTGTTAATTTGATGTGATCCCATTTGTCAATTTTTGCTTTCATTGCCTGTGCTTGTGGGGCACTATTCAATAAATCTTTGCCCAGTCCAATATCCTGGAGAGTTTCCCCAAAGTTTTCTTTTAGTAGTTTCATAGTTTGAGGTTTTAGATTTAAGTTTTGAATCCATTTTGATTTGATTTAGTTTTTCTATCTGGTAAGTGATAGGATTCTAGTTTGGTTCTTCTGCATATGAATATCCAGTTTTTCCAAATATAAGAGCGTATTTACTAACAAGGATAATTTGACTTCTTCCTTTCCAGTTTATACACCCTTAATTTCTTTCTCTTGTATGCTTGCTTTAGCTAGGACTTCTAGTACTATGTTGAATAACAGTGGTAAATGTGGGCATCCTTGTCCTGTTCCTGATCTTAGGGGAACAGCTTTCAGTATTTTCCCATTCAGTATTATACTAGCTATTGGGTCTGTTGCATATGGCTTTCATTATGTTGAAGTATGTTCCTTCTTTACCCAATTTTTTGAGGATTTTTATCCCGAAGGAATGTTTAAATTGATCAAATGCTTTTTCATCATCAATTAAAATGGTCATATGGTTCTTGTCCTTCACTCTGTGGATATGATGTATCACGTTAATTTTTTTGTGTATGTTGAACCATCCTTGCATCCCTGCGATAAATTTCACTTGGTCAAAATAAATAACCTTTTCAATGTGTTGTTAAATTCAGTTTGCAAGTATTTTGTTGAGGTTTTTTGCATCAATATTCATCAGTGATATTTGCCTATAGCTTTCTATTTTCAATATATCTTTGCCTGGTTTTGGTAACAGGCAAAAGAATATTGGCCTCATAGAAAGAGTTTGGAAGTATTCCCTCCTTCTCTATTTTTTGGAATATTTTCAGTAGGATAGGCATTAGTGCTTCTTTAAACGTTTAGTAAATTTCAACAGTGAAGTCATTGGTTCCCGGGCCTTTCTTTGCTGGAAGAATTTTTCTTACGGCTTCAATTTCATTACATGTTACTGGTCTGTTCAAGTTTTGGATTTCTTCATGATTTAAACTTGGTAGGTTTCATGTGTCTAGGAATTAATCCACTTCTTCTAGTTTTCCAATTTATTGGCACATAGTGGCCACCAATTATGCTATGAATTTTGCAGTGGCAGTCGTAATGTCTCCTTTTAAATCTCTGATTTTATTTATTTAGGCTTTCACTCTTTTTTTCTTAGTGTAGCTAAAGGTTTGTCAATATAGTTTATCTTTTAAAAAGCCAACTTTGGGTTGATCTTTTGTATTGTTTTGTTCATTTTGAATTCATTTATTTGTGCTCTGCATGCAGGACACAAAAAGTGTCTAGATTAGAATGATGGTAGAGTTTATGAACTGAGAGACATAATGACATCACTATAAACTATAGGAGATCAGGGCTTTTGTATCTTGTTCACTACAAAAAACATAGCAAATAATCTATGCAAAAATGATCTTGGGAACTAACTAGATTTGAGACTGGACAAATGAAGAGGTGAAGAAGAGAGTATCAAAGCGAAATTCCAACGTTCTGAGTTAGGATAACTTTTATTCAGTTGGCAGGTCTCATTTATGAGGATACCTCTACTGGAAAGTATAGAACAATATGACTGTGGCCCTCAGTTGAGAGAGACACCCACATCTCACTCCCATGAAAAAAATTAGATGGATTGGTTGAGCTGTCATTTGCAGAACCTGACATTCTCTGTTCACTACTCATAAATTTCTCATCTGGTGACATAATGCATTTTAGTTTCTGTGAATTCAATATAAGATAATAAAGCAGTTTAGAATTGTGTCTCTATGATAAAATTTACAGAACCCCAAAATATCTAGTCATTTTAGTAAATTGCATATATAACTCAATAATGCTGAATATATGAAATGGTACACAAAAAACATTAAAGCAAATAACAAAAATTTACTTAAAAATTAACTCATATTTCAGCACCAAACATGATGCAGATTATCTCCATTTGGAATTACAAATATAAATAAAAGTCTTGGAAAGTTTAGCGTCTTTACATGCTGTAATGGAAAAGGAAACAAGGCTCACAAACTCAAACAGAAATTTATCATTTTGCAAGCAATGTGGAAAGGACTCTCTTTTCAATAAATGGTGCTGGGATAACTGGCTAGGCATATGCAGGACCACTTCTTTACATCGTATACAAAAATCAATGCAAGATCGATTAATGATTTAAATGTAAAACTTAAAACTGTAAAAAAAAAACCCTGAAAGGTAACCTAGGAAATAGATTATCTGGACATAGGACCTGGCAAAGATTTCATGATAAAGATGCCAAAAGCAATTGCAACAAAAACAAATTTGACAAATAGGACTTAATTAAACTAAAGAGCTTCTGTACAACAAAAGAAACTATCAACAGAGTAAACAGACAACCTACAGAATGGGAGAAAATATTTGTATCTATGCATCCAACAAAGGTGAAATAACAAGTCTATAAGAAACTTAAATTTATAAGCTAAAAAACAAACAACGCTATTAAAAAGTAGGCCAAGGGCATGAACAGACACTTTTCAAAGAAGACATACATGTAGCCCACAAACATGAAAAAATGCTCAACATCACTAATCATTAGAGAAATGCAAATCAAAACCGCATGCGATACCATCTCATACCAGTCAGAATGGCTATTATGTAAAAGTTAAAAAAAAATAACAGATGCTGGAGAGGTTGTGGAGAGAAAAGAAAGTTTATACACTACCAGTGGGAATGTAAATTAGTTCACCTATTGTGAAAAGCAGTGTGAAGATTCCTCAAAGAACTTAACACAGAATTACCGCCAGGAATGGTGGCTCACACCTGTAATCCCAACATTTTGTGTGGTTGAGACAGGTGGATTGCTTAGGTCCAGGAGTTCTAGACCAGCCTGGGCAACATGGTGAAACCCTGACTCTACAAAAAATACAAAAATTAGCCTGGTGTGGTGGTGCATGCCTGTAGTCCCAGCTCCTTTGGAGGTTAAGGTTGGAGGATTGCTTGAGCCTGAGAGGCAGAGGTTGTAGTGAGCCAAGATCACACCAATGCACTCCAGCCTGGGTGACAGAGTGAGACCCTGTCAACAAAACAAACAAACAAACAAACAAACAAACAAACCAAAATTACCATTCAACCCAGCAATGCCATTATTGCGTATACACCCAAAGGAATATAAATTTTGTGTAATTAAATATTCTACCACAAAGACGTATGCACATGTATGCTTACTGCAGCAGTATTCACAATAGCAAATACATGGAATCAACCTAAATGTTCATTAATCGTAGACTAGATAAAGCAAATGTGGTACATATACACCATGGAATATGACACAGCCATAAAAAATAGTGAGATTATGTCCTTTGAAGCAACATGGATGGAGCTGGAGGTCATTATCCTAATGCATAATGCAGAAACAGAAAACCAAATACCACATGTTCTCACTTATAAGTGGGAGCTAAACCATGAGAACACATGAACACAAAGAGCAGTACAGCAGACACTGGGGCCTACTTGAGGGTGGAGGGTGGGAGAAGGGAGAAGATCAGAAAACTATCAGCTGGTATGTTTACTACCTGGGTGACAAAATAATCTATACACCAAATCCATCACGCAGTTTACCCATATAAAAAACCTCCACATATACTTTTGAAAAGAAAGTAAAAGTTAAATAGAAATTTATCATTTTGAGGGAAAAATCTATAATATATTAAGTTTGTTTCTGTAACATTTTTCCTCTTATGCAGTTAAATATTTTTATCAGGACATTTGTAGCTGTGATTACAAAAAATAGTATAAATAGGAAAAAATAATAAGGACATTCTAACATCTTACTTAAGAAATATAAAACTAGAAATGTCAAGGGACAGGAGCACCTAAGCCAAAGAAATGTTAGACCTCTTTAAATATCTTAAGAGAAGTGTCCAACTTAATGAATATTATGCTGGTATTCAAAATTGATGAAAGATGAAATGGAATGTTTTATGTGACTTAACCTTACCCATGTCTGTCCATTCCAGTGGACATTTGTTTTGATTGTTCCTTTTGATTGCTGGGTTGAATCAATTTTCTGGCAGGGTTGCAATTAGTCTGTATTTTCTTTTTTAGTATAAATAAAATCAGTGTGATGATAAAATGTTTAAAGATGAGTGGTGGATTTTTCATTAGGTAAAGAGCATGGTACCTGTACAAGCAACTAAAAGTAAAAATACAGAAATGGAAGAAAACTGTATCACTGTTTAGTCTTTTATTATTTCATGTTCTCATGGCCACCAAATCTTTTTATAAATAATTCAGTATTTATCCAGCAGTATTGTAGCCACTCAATACTGACTTTTAATGTTAAACATATGGGCCAGTGAAAGAAGAATGTGAAATTTTCCCTAGACTAGTTCCAGAAAATTAACTCAGCCTCCATTCAGGATGCCCTTACATAGAACAGCAGAAATTGTCGTGTATATTTGACCTTTATACATGTCTATATTCCTCAAAATATCTTTCGCACAGGCCTTCTATGGCATTACTCTTCTCTTTTCCTTTGTCTTAATTTTTTCCATCTAGAGAATTATTTATTCAGGAATCCATTGTATTTTGTTCCCTCAGAAGGTAAGAAAAAATACTTCAAAAATTAGAACAGAAGGAGGAAGTAAAAAATGAATGGAGATTGAAAATATTCAAGCCAGAGGAAATGAAAACATAATCCTAGAGTCATAAAGTAAAAGAACTAGCAGGAATTCTGTAGTTTAATGCAAATATTTTAGTTTAAAGATAAGGTGGGGTAAAGTAGGAAGAGCCATATGACTTGTAAGGCTCACACATGTAATTTGCAAAAGATCTGATACAAGAACTCAGATCTGCTTGACTTTTTAGCATTTGCTTCACTTCCTTCATTGTTTTATCAAGAACTTTCTGAGTAGCGTTTATAGAGGCAGCCTCATTGCATAAAAGAGCAACAGCTGCAGGAATCTAACACAAAAACGCACTGCGGTAACCGAGCCCAGAAGGATTCCTTTCTCCAGCAAAATTCCTTGGCAGGCTACAGAATTAGCTGGTAGGGATGTGTTATCGATTGACATTAGTGAATAAAGTAATTGCCACCAATAGATTCCTCCCTTTTTTGTTTCTTTTAGCAGATTCACTCATTATCTTTTCGTACCCATAGAGGAGCAGTGACAGTAATATCCGCCTTATTAATGTCTTTTTTGCAACTGAACTGTCAAGATCATCATAAATAGTTTTCTATTAATCCCAGAAAAGATTTAGTAAAAATAGACAGCAAAGATTGCAAATGAAAGTTTCAATGACATGAAGATTTTATGCTTTCTTTTTATTATTAAACAACATTGTTATGGTTGTTATAGTATAAATGACAATATCCATGTACTTAAAACTGTCAGAAGCAGAAAAAAAATCTTATATATACTTTAAAGCAACGATAATTAAAAAGTCTCAATTTATTTTTTTCTGTAAGATTTGTCATTAATATTTTTTTCTTTCTAATTTATTTATTTAGAATTATAAACAAAACCTTACATTATTAACTAGTTTTTAGCTCTAAACTTCAGCTTGATTTTACCCATTGCCTAGTTTCATCTGCCAGGTCAAAGAAGCTGGCCATTTTTTAAATGAGTGTGCATAATCCTTAGGGTTTTAATAACCATTAACAACATCAGGCCCTTAAGTTTCTATGGAGATGATGCTTATTTGTAGATCTAAGATTTGAAGCATAAATTCTCACATCCAGAACAACCGAAGCTCATATTATGAAGATTGTCTGATAATTACATCTTTTATACCCTTTATCTGATATCTGAAAATTTCCAAGGTAGTTTTAGTGGGATAGCCAATATTTTAGGAGCTAAGCATTCATTATTAAAGCAAGATTTCTGAGAAGCCATGTTGTTTAGAGAAAAAAAGAAAAAGAATATAGATAAATAAAGGCAAGGCAAGAAAACGTTTGATAAACAGCTGAATTCTTTAGATACACATTGTTGGAACTGCTTTTTATTTGAAACGTGTTAGCAATATATATATTTCATAAGAAATTTACAAAACAGCAGATGCATTAAAAGCTATTATATAAAAAAGTCTATACTTGAAAAACAAGTAATTTCAGGAAAAATAAGTAGGCATAAGACGATGGGTTGAGGCCAGGCACGGTGGCTCATGCCTGTAATCCTAGCACTTTGGGAGGCCGAGGAGGGCGGATCACCCGAGGTCAGGACTTTGAGACCAGCCTGGCCAACATGGCAAAACCCTGTCTCTACCAAAAATACAAAAATTATTTGGGTGTGGTGGCATGTGCCTGTAATTCCAGCTATTAAGGGGTCTGAGGCAGGAGAATTGCTTGAACTTGGGAGGCGGAAGTTGCAGTGAACTGAGATCATGCCACTGCACTCCAGCCCGGGCAACAGAGCAAGATTCTGTCTCAAGAAAAAAAAAATTAAAAAAAAGACAAAAAGACACTATGAGTTGAAACTTAGTTAACACGTCTCTCAAGAAATGGCACTTGCTGAAAACTCACAATGTCTATTTTCATAATATTCCTAAACTTTGAGATACATGTTATTGGTAAAGACTTCACCACTTCTTTTGGAACCACTGTATATAAAAAGTGAATAAGTAAATCTGGATTGGAAAAACCATTACTCAGACTTAGTATCATAAGCAAGACCTTGATTTTATATATAGTCATTCTCTGCCCTAAAGAATTGGATGGATTCTGCTCTAATTTAAAGTATAATTCACTATCACTCAAATGCTACTTTACCACAATGTTCATCACAGAAAAATAAGCAAGACAATAAACTCAGCAAAAGGATTGTAAACTTTGCAGAGTGGATTTTGAAACATAAGGAAACTGGTTTTCATTTGGATGTGGATTTCTTTATACTGCTTAGTTTGAGCTTGAGGTTAATTGTTAATCCCGTTACTGTTAGCTCTCTTTTATAATGTCTCGGATACTTTGGTTCATTTTGAATGGATCTAAATTATATCCATAGTTGCACTAACTCTTTGTGGTAATTTGTAGATAGAAGCATCTATTTGCAAGGGCCAGGTGGTTGCAGATGGGTCACAAAGAATAACTTTTCGATTCGTAGTGAAAAACATAGAGACACAAATTAAATGATAAGCTCTTGTATAGGAGAAAACACTCACAAACAACAACTAGAAGGGTCAGCATTTTTTAATGGGTTCCCTTTCTTTGGCTCTATGGAGAGTATCTCAGTAAGATATTACCAGCGTTAAAATCATTACCCAGTATATGGGCAGATGGCCGGCTGATAATTGTTTATGGGGACAGATGGCAGTTCCTTGTACCCTCTTTTTAGTTTCTGTGTTTTTAAAGCTCAGCAGTTGCAATGTGAAGCCTTCATAGGACCATAAAATACAAACCACTTTAAATAACTCTGAACCAGGGTTTTGACTGATGTGCTTAAAAGAAACAGTCACAGTTTGAAACTCCCTCTGCAAAGAGATACTAGGTGTATGGCCCTGCAGGTTATAATTTATAGAAATAGCAGGCTAATTTGGGCTATGTCTACACATAGACATACAAACTGGCATAAACAAAATAAAGAATTGAATCCAGTCAGGTATTTTACCCTCTACCAGGAAGGCAAATTTTTAGTAAATACTTAATAATCAAACACCAGCACGTGTTGAGCATTTGGCTAGGGTTCGTGAGAGGTACAAGAGAAGTTCCATATCTTGTGCTGACTTCAGAAGATAATCTATATGAGGAGTGAAAGGATAAATAGAGAGAGATCATTGCAATACAAGGCAGAAGGTGTTAAATGCCAAGTGACAGAGACAATAGAGCTAGAGAAGATCAAATAGAGAGCGATCACAGTGGATATGAACATTTACTGAATACAGGTAGCCATAGGCTGGGCAACAGAAAGATGAGTGAAAGTTTTGCTGGTGGAGAAAATGTCATAAGCAAAGACACAGAGCAGGACGTACAGACCAAGCCTGAAAATTGTCTTCTTGTTTATTGCACACTATTTTTATTTCTCCTATTTTAGTCTCCTTTTATAACATGGTAAGAGATGGTAAACGATGTACCTTTTTAAATTAATGTAAAATAATGATTTAAAAGATTAATAGCTGAGCCAGAATATGTGGGAACTTGAATTCTGGAACCCTGATTTCAGACATTGTCCTTAAAATAATTGGGAGGGCTACTAAATGATTTTAAGCAAATATTAAGTTTTAAAATGCTATTTTTGGGAGATATGTCTGGTAGACAGGTGGAATAGATTGGGGAGGGAGAGCCTAGATGGAGCTCATTTAGGAAATTGTTGCTATATTTCAGACTAAGTATCTAAAATAAGGTAGAACCCATGAGGAAGAGAAGAAAGACAGTAGCCATTGTAAAAGAAGGGTGAATATAATGTGTGACTGTTTGCATGTGAACAGCCGACAATAAAAGCAAGAGTCAGAGCAAATGTTTATGGCTTAAATGATTAGAAAAACGATTTTGCTTTCTGGCAATAGAAGTTAAAAAGACTAGGAAGGAGGAGGGAATCGTACATTTGGATTATTGTTTGTAATGCTATTGAGACATCAAAGTGGAGATGTGTAGAAGTCAGGTGATGATTTGGAGAAAAGACAGATTTTGAGGTAAAGATTATGGAGTCAGTTACTAAGAGTAATAGGTGAAATGATAAAGGTGGATGAGATCTAAGGGAGAAATGAATAAAGGAAATAGCAGTGTAATAAAGACTAAAGCTTGTGAGCAATACCAACTTTTTAAAACTAGCTGTTAGTTTTGTTTTCAGAACTAAATGTAATGCTTTTTTTTCTCTCCTTAAATACATATATGTATGACTGTGTTTATGTACTCATGTATGTTTGTGGTGTCTGAAAGTCAAACATATATTAGTGCGTTCTTAGTGAATGCAGAATATTGATTTCTTTTTTCTAATTTTATTTTCCTTTTGGAAATAATGGCATAAAGTTTGCTGGCAGCACAATCCCTTAGCTGAATATTACATTAAAATGAGGCCACTGAAAATAAATAACAACAGACCACTGCAAATAAAAAACATGGATGCTTGCTTGTATCAGCAGAAAAAAATGTAGTTTTGATTCAACTGAAATTTTTTTCTGCATTTTAAATAACACAAACACATTAGTAGCAATGTTATAATAATAAGTTTATTTTCCACAAGTGGTTCTTATCAGGGACTACAACAATAAATTTTACAGCAATTTTGCTGTTTTTAAAACTTTTTTGCGTTAATCACATGTGGTGATTTTCTTTTGTCTTTTTTTCTTTTCTTTTTTAAATATCTTAAAAAAAAAAAAAAAAAAAAAAAGAACCAGGACACCTGTGGAGAACATTCAGGTTTGTTACACAGGTATATGTGTGCCATGGTGGTTTGCTAAACCTATTGACTCATCCTCTAAGTTCCCTCCCGTCACCCCCCACCACCCAACAGGCCCTGGTGTGTGTTGTTCCACTCTCTGTGTCCATGTGTTCTCATTGTTCAACTCCCACTTTTGAGTGAGAACATGTGGTGTTTGGTTTTTTGTTCCTGTGTTAGTTTGCTGAGAATGATGGTTTCCAGCTTCATCCATGTCTCTGCAAAGGACATGATCTCATCCTTTTTCATGGCTGCATAGTATTGCATGGTGTATATATACCACATTTTCTTTATCCAGTCTATCAATGATGGGCATTTCGGTTGGTTCCATGTCTTTGCTATTGTAAATAGTGCTGCAATAAATATACGTGTGCATGTGTCCTTATAGTAGAATGATTTATATTCCTTTGGGCATATACCCAGTAATGGGATTGCTGGGTCAAATGGTATTTCTGTTTCTAGATCCTTGAGGAATCGCCACACTGTCTTCCACAATGGGTGGAACTAATTTACATTCCCACCAACAGCATTAAAGTGTTCATATTTCACCACAGTCTTACCAGCATCTATTGTTTCCTGACTTTTTAATAATCGCCATTCTGACTGGCATAAGATGGTATCACATTGTGGTTTTGAATTTATCTGATGATCTGTGATGTTGAGCTTTTTTTCATGTTTGTTGGCCACGTAAATGTCTTCTTTTGAGAAGTGTCTGTTCATATCCTTTGCTCACTTTTTGATGGTGTTGGTGTTTTTTTCTTGTAAATATATTTAAGTTCCTTGTACATTCTGGATATTAGAACTTTGTCAGATGGGTAGATGGCAAAAATTTTCTCCCATTCTGTAGGTTGCCTGTTCACTCTGATGACAGTTTCTTTTGCTGTGCAGAAGCTCTTTAGCTTAATTAGATTCCATTTGTCAATGTTGGCTTTTGTTGCAATTGCTTTTGCTGTTTTTGTTATGAAGTCTTTGCCTATGCCTATGTCCTGAATAGTATTGCCTATGTTTTCTTCTAGGGTTTTTATTGTTTTGAGTTTTACATTTAAGTATTTAATCCATCTTGAGTTAATTTTTTTATGAGGTGTAAGGAAGAGGTCCAATTTCAGTTTTCTGTATATGGCTAGCCAGTTTTCCCAACACCATTTATTAAATAGGGAATCTTTTCCCCATTGCTTGTGTGTGTCAGGTTTGTCAAAGATCAGATGGGTGTAGATGTGTGGTGTTATTTCTGAGGCCTCTGTTCTGTTCCATTGGTCTATATATCTGTTTTGGTACCAGTACCATGCTGTTTTGGTTACTGTATCCTTGTAGTATAGTTTGAAGTCAGGTAGTGTGACACCTCCAGCTTGTTCTTTTTGCTTAGAAATGTGGCTATACAGGGTCTTCATTTATTCCATATAAAATTTAAAATAGATTTTTCTAATTCCTTGAGGAACGTCAATGGTAGTTGGAAGGGAATAGCATTGGATCTACAAATTACTTTGGGCAGTATGGCCATTTTCACAATATTGATTCTTCCTATCCATGAGGATGGGATGTTTTTCCATTTCTTTGGGTCCTCTCTTATTTCCTTGAGCAGTGGTTTGTAGTTCTCCTTGAAGAGGTCCTTCACATCCCTTGTTAGCTGTATTCTTAGGTATTTTATTCTCTTTTTAGCAATTTTAAATGGAAGTACATTTATGATTTGGCTCTCTGCTTGCCTATTGTTGGTGTAAAGGAATGCTTGTTATTTTTGCAAATTGATTTTGTATCCTGAGACTTTGCTGAAGTTGCTTATCAGTTTAAGGAGTTTTTGGGCTGAGATGATGGGGTTTTCTAAATATAAAATCATGTCCTCTGCAAACAGAGACAACTTGACCATCTCTCTTCCTATTTGAATAGGCTTATTTCTTTCTCTTGCCTGATTTCCCTGGACAGAACTCCTAATACTATGTTGAACAGGAGTGGTGAGAAAGGGCATCCTTGTCTTATGCCAATTTCAAAGGAAATGCTTCCAGCTTTTGCCTATTCAATATGATATTGGCTGTGGGTTTGCCATAAATAGCTCTTATTATTTTGAGATATGTTCCATCAGTACCTAGTTTATTGAGAGTTTTTAACATGAAGGGATGTTGAATTTTATCAAAGGCCTTTTCTGTATCTATTGAGGCAATCATGTGGTTTTTGTCTTTGGTTCCGTTTATGTAATGTATTATATTTATTGATTTGCATATGTTGAACCAGCCTTGCATCTCAGGGATAAAGCCGACTTGTTCGTTGTGGATAAGTTTTTTGATGTGCTGCTGGATTTGGTTTGCCAGTATTTTATTGAGGATTTTTGCATCGATGTTCTTCAGGGATATTGGCCTGAAATTTTCTTTTTTTGTTGTGTCTCTTCCCGTTTTTGGTATCAGGATGATGCTGCCTTCATAAAATGAGTTAGGGAGGAGTCCCTCCTTTTCAGTTGTTTGGAATAGTTTCTGAAGGAATGGTACCAGCTCCTCTTTGTATTTCTGGTAGAATTCAACTGTGAATCCATCTGGCCCTGGGCTTTGATTCTTGTTGTTGGTAGGCTATTAATTACTGCCTCAATTTCAGAGCTTGTTATTGGTCTATTCAGGTATTCAACTTCTTCCTGTTATAGTCTTGGTAGGGTGTATGCATCCAGGAATTTATCCATTTCTTCTAGATTTTCTAGTTTATTTGTGTAGAGGTGCTTAGAGTATTCTCTGATGGTAGTTTGTATTTCGGTGGGGTCAATGGTGATATCCTCTTTATCAATTTTTTTTTTTTTTTTTGAGACAGAGTCTTGCTCTGTCGCCCAGGCTGGACTGCAGTGGCACGATCTCGGCTCACTGACAACCATCTCCCCGGTTCAAGCGATTCTCCTGCCTCAGCCTCCTGAGTAGCTGGGACTACAGGTGCATGCCACCATGCCCGGCTAATTTTTTGTATTTTTAGTAGAGACGGGGTTTCACTCTGTTAGCCAGGATGGTCTCAATCTCCTGACCTCCTGATCTGCCTGCCGCAGCCTCCCAAAATGCTGGGATTACAGGCATAAGCCACCACACCCGACCCCCTTTATCATTTTTTATTGTGTCTATTTGGTTCTTCTATTTCTTCTTGATTAGTCTAGCTAGCGGTTTATCTATTTTGTTAATTTTTTCAAAAAAAAAAACACAGCTCCTGGATTCGTTGAGTTTTTGGAGGGTTTTTCATGTCTCTATCTCCTCTATTTCTTCTCTGATCTTAGTTATTTCTCATCTTCCGTCAGCTTTTGGATTAGTTTGCTCTTGCATCTCTAGCTTTTTTAATTGTGATATTAGAGTGTTGATTTGAGACCTTTCTTGCTTTCTGATGTGGGCATTCAGTATTGTAATTTTCCCTGTTAACAATGCTTTAGCAGTCTCCCAGAGATTCTGGTACATTGTCTCTTTGTTCTCATTAGTTTCAAGGAACTTTTTGATTTCTGCCTTAATTTTATTATTTTCCCAGACATCATTCAGGGGCAGGTTGTTCAATTTCCATGTAGTTGTGTGGTTTTGAGTGAGTTTCTTAATCCTGAGTTCTGATTTGATTTCATTGTGTCTGAGAGACTGTTATGATTTCAGTTCTTTTGCATTTGCTGAGGAGTGTTTTACTTCCATTTATGTTGTTGATTTTAGAATAAGCGTCGTGTGGCACTGAGAAGAATGTATATTCTGTTGATTTGGGGTAGAGAGTTCTGTATATGTCTACCAGGTCCACTTGATCCAGTGCTGAGTTCAAGTCCTGCATATCCTTGTTAATTTTCTGTCTCATTGATAGGTCTAATACCGACAGTGGGGTGTTAAAGTCTCCTACAATTATTGTGTGGGAGTCTAAGTCTTTTTGCAGGTCTCTAAGAACTTGTTTTATGAATCTGAGTGCTCCTGTATTGGGTGCATATATATTCAGAATAATTAGCTTTTTTGTTAAATTGTTTCCTTACCATTATGTAAAGCCCTTTGTAGTTTTTTTTATCTTATTTGGATTAAAGTCTGTTTTGTCAGAGACTAGGATTGCAGTCTCTGAGGTTTTTTTTTCTTTCCATTTGCTTGGTAAATTTTCCTCCTTTTATTTTGATTCTGTGTGTGTCTTTGCATGTAAGATGGGTTTCCTGAATACAGCACACCACTGGGCCTTGACTCCTTATCCAATTTGCCAGTCTGTGTCTTTTAATTGGGGCATTGAGCCCATTTACATTTAAGGTAAGTATTGTTTTGTGTGAATTTAATCCTGTCATCATGATGCTATCGGGTTATTTTGCACACTAGTTGATGTCGTTTTTTCACAGTGTCATTGGTCCTCATGTTTTTGTGTGTTTTTGCACTGGCTGGTACCAGTTTTTCCTCTCCATATTTAGTGCTTCTTTCAGGAGTTCTTGCAGGCTAGGCCCGGTGGTAACAAAATCCCTCAGCATTTGCTTGTCTAGAAGGGATTTTATTTCTCCTTCACTTATGAAGCTTAGTTTGGCTGGATATGATATTCTAGGCTGAAAATGCTTTTCTTTAAGAATATTGAATATTGTTCCTCAATCTCTTCTGGCTTGAAGTGTTTCTTCTGAGAGATCTGCTATTAGTCTAATGGGCTTCCCTTTGTAGGTAACCTGGTCTTTTTCTCTGGCTGCCCTTAACAGTTTTTCCTTCATTTTGACTTTGGAGAATCTGATGATTATGTGTCTTGGGGTTGATATTCTCATGGAGTATCTAAGTGGTGTTCTCTGTATTTCCTGAATTTGCATGTTGGCCTGTCTTGCTAGGTTGGGGAAGTTTTCCTGGATAACATCCTGAAGTGTGTTTTCTAGCTTGTTTCCATTCTCCCTGTCTCCTCCTGGTACTCTAATAATTGTAGGTTCTGTCCCATATTTTTTGAAGGCTTTTTCATTCCTTTTCATTCTTTTCTTTTCTATTATTGTCAGCATGTCTTATTTTAGTAATTTGGTCTTCAAACTCTGATATCTTTTCTTCCACTTGGTCGATTTGGCTTTTGATACTTGTGTCTGCTCCACGAAGTTCTTGTGGTGTGTGTTTTCAGCTCCATTAGTCGTTTAGGTTCATCTCTAAACTGGTTATTCTAGTTAGCAGTTCCTCTAACCTTTTATGAAAGTTCTTAGCTTCTTTGCAGTGGATTAGAACATGCTCTTTTAGCTCATTGTAGTTTTTTTATTACCCATCTTGTAAAGCCTACTTCTGTCAATTCATCCATCTGATCCTCTGTCCAGTTCTGCGTCCTTGATGGAGACCTGTTGTGATCATTTGGAGGAGAAGAGGTATTCTGGCCTTTTGGGTTTTCATCATTTTTTCATTGATTCTTTCTCATCTTTGCGAGTTTGTCTAGTTTTGGTTTTTGAGGCTGCTGACCCTTGGATGGGGTTTTTATGGGGGCCTTTTGTTATTGTTTTTGTTGATGTTGTTATTGTTGCTTTTTGCTTGTTTGTTTTTCTTTCAATAGGTCCCTCTTCTGTAGGGCTCCTGCAGTTTTCTGGGGGTTCACTTTAGGCCCTATTCATCTGATTTGCTCCCATGCCTGGAGACGTCACTCAAGGAGGCTGGACAGCAGCAAAGACGAGTCCCTGCTCGTTCTTCTGGGACCTCTGACCTCGAGGGGCACCAGCCTGATGCCAGTAGAATCACCCCCGTATATGGTATCTGACAACCCCTGTTGAAGGGTCTCACTCAGTTGGATAGCACAGGGTTCAGGACTCGTTTAATGAAGCACTTTGTCCCTAGGTGGAGAGGGTGTGTTTTGCTGGGGGGAAACCCAGTCGTCTGGGATGCCCGGATTCCTCAGAACTACTAAGAGGAGAGGCTAAGTCTGCTGGTCTTAAGAGACTCTGGCCACCCATCCCCCTAGGTGCTCAGGCCCAGGGAGATCCGAATTCTGCCCCTGAGCCTCTGGCTGGAGTTATGGGAGATCCTGCAGGGAAGCCCTGCCCACTGAGGAAGGATGGGTCAGGGTTAGACCTGAAGAGGCACTCTGGCTGCAGACTGCCACAGCTGGTGTGTTGGGCTGTGGGGACAAGTCTTGGGACGAAGCCTTCCATCCTCCCAGGCTCCAGCAAAGAAAAAGTGCAGTTTGGAGCTATAGAAGTTGATGCTGCCCTTCCCCTGCCCAGGGAGCTTAGCTTGTTAGGCAGTTGCGAATCCCAGGGCTGGCTGCTGCCCCTCCCGCAAAGAACTCAAAGGGCTTAGACAGCAGGCAGCTGCGGTCAGTGCTGGCCGCCCCTCCCATCAGGAGTTCTGTAGGCTTAAGCAGATTCCAGCTGAGACACTGTAAGAATCTATGTTTCGGGGTTGGGATGCTATGCCCCGGTGGCGTGGGTTCATGAGTGGGATCTTCCAATCCATGGACTGCACAGTTACGTGGCAAAAGCAGAGTTTCCCGGCTGGGTAGCATGCTCACTCACCACCTCCATTGGCTGGAGGGAGGAGGGTTCCCCTTCCCCATGTGGCTCTCAGGTGGGTGGCTGCACCGCACTGCTCTTCCTTCTCTCTGTGAGTCACGTCAGCCTTCTAGTCAATTTTGATGAGAGAACCTGAATACCTTGGTTGCCAGTGAAGGAGTCAAATGCTTATTATGGTTTTTTTCTATGGGAGCCTCCAACCGCCCCTGCTTCCAGTTGGCCATCTTGGCCCTGCCCCCCTGTGATTTTTATTTATTTTCAACATAGCTTAATTCTGCTTTAATTCTCCAGAATTCTTGCCAGATATCAAATTCAGGAGGTATAAGTACCACTCTCCTCCCCCTCAACACACAAAGTGGATATACATTTTGCGTTAAAACTGTGCACATTGGAGAAGAAATAGCCTAAAAGCATTGCAAAATTCTTGATAGGGGGGTGGATACTGCTGTTTATTCACTTGGTCCTGACCCAAAATGATAGGCAGTGCTTCAATTGGAGGAGACATTTAAGACTTATAGTGGGCTCTGTGGTATTTTATTTAAATATTATTATTATATAGAGTTTGAAGGGGCCTAATCTCCACATTGTTTATACTCAAAGCAAGGAGACACAAATCTATGCTTGATTTTACAAAGTGATAGAGAATCACAGCCATGCAAGTTAGTTCATTGTATTTTGAGAAAACTGTGCAGGAGAAAGTCCTTAACTATATTAAGCTTAAATCAGTACCTCAACTATGAGAGACAAAAAAGATCAAACTGTTTTTTGACTTTTCAGTTGTATTTTTAATTTGGACTAAGTGTTACTTCTCTGCGCCCTTTTACCAACCTGTGTTTGATGCTATAATAAAGTTTCCCAACAATCAGTTAATATCTGTAGTGAGGAGGTGCATGGATGTAGACTGTGAGCTCTTTGAGTGCAAGGAATATACTTTTCACTGTAACCCCTATAAGTAGCAGTTAGCGCAGTGCCTGTTACACAACAAGTGGTGTGTAAATGTTTGATTAAAGGAGGATGGGAGGAAGGCTTGGGGGGAGGAAAATGGAAGAAATATATAGCAGGATAATAATTTATATTATCTTTGCTGATTTTGATGTTTAATAGGGCAGACTCTTTGAGTGCAGTGTGTCTTGGTTAGCACATTTTATATATTTATATAAATATGACACATATAAATATGGTATACTTGTTTATATATATTTAGATATATAAATAATTATGTATAATATATTATATCAATATGAATGCTAAAACTACACATAGTGTCTCTAGTCTAGGCTAATCTTGACATTTTGTACACAAAGATGTATTTTTCTTTGAATGACAGGACTTTATGTTAATGAAACAATAACTTGAGATGCCTAAAACTCACTTTTGGCATTTTGTCACTAAATTTTACTACTGTTATTCCACCTAGATGTATCCAATCCCAAGTGGTATTACTTGAGGGAGAGGTAAGAAACTCTAAGAGTTCATCATGGTCCCATGAATCTTGAAGGGCTTAAGAACAAACAAAACAAGCAAAAACATTGAAGCCCTCTGTTACAATGTAGCTACATTATTTAGAAAAAAAAAAAACCCATACAGATTAAATAAGTCAGTAATGGCCAAGGTAAAAAGAAAATTTCTATCCTTCTTTTAAGTCGCCTAAAATAGTCTGATGTTTCCTTGGGTTGGCGGAACTTTGACATGTTATCTTTGTACTGATGGGGTCGGGGGAAACTAACTTACACATAATTATTATGGATGCCCCGATTTTCATTTGGACTTAGAGTTTCATTGTCATGTATAAATTCCAAGACAGTGGAAATGCTTATTAGATTTCTGTCTGGACCCCATTTGACATCCTGATAAACAGAGGAAGTATCTTCAAGTCTGGTAAATAACTACATTAGCAGGCAGGAAGAGGTATTAAAAGTCTGTATTTTCTATGCATCAGTCCAGCACAGTAGAAAGAGGTCTTCAGGACATTGTGCTAGTGAGAATAATCAACCAGGAAGCCAGCTACTTTCAGAAGTTTTTTAAAATTTAGTACATGGAAAATAAGACAGGCAGTCTCTTTTATGGCAAATGCTTTAGTGTTATACAAAAGGATAAGAATATTAGCATATTGGGAAGGGCATTAGAAAGAGGAGTGGAAGAGGTCAAATAGATGGCATCTGGATGTATAGGAAAAGAGACTGAAAACAATTTTAATGAATCAGGAAAATTAAACAAAACTATTCAATGCAATATTTAATCATTTCCAAGTACAATGTAATGCTGATACCGAGTACACATATATTCCCTCCCATAAATGCATATATGCCTTAAGCCCACCCATGTACACTCAAGCACATCTATACTCTCATCAATTCAACCATACTGTAAAGTCTGCACAGGTATATGCATATTCAAATGTGTGTGACAAACACTGTCAGAATAAAACCATGAAAAGAGTAGTCTACTTCAGTTTGTAACTGGTGGCATTCTTTTTTTTTTCTGCACAAATAAGTATACTGCTATTGTATTCCAAGAACACTTTCACATATTAACTCGTTTTATCCTCACAACAATCCTATGAAATAGGTACCATTATTATGATTCTCCATTTAAGAGATGAGCAAACATCATCATCATCAACATCCTCATATTTCAGTTACTGTGATATCAGCTCTTGAGATATTTAGGATATAGTTGGGATCTTCCCTGGGAAAGAGGCCTACTCAATAGAGAGAGGATGGATGAACCCAGCCATTAGCTGACCTTGTGTCTTCTTGCCTTTCACAAATACTATTTGATTTTTTATCAAGTATTCCCAAACCTCAAGCTTCACTTTCTCCTTTAGTAACATAAAACCTGCTTATTTTAGCCTCTCCTTTTACTCCTCTCAGAGTCCAGAGTATGTGGGAAAATGTTCTCTCTTCTATTTTTCTGTTGAGGTTGCTGTAGCATACTTTTTTTTTTTTTTTTTTTTTTTTTTTTTTGCTTATTGAAGCACCTAAATTAAGGAATTTCACAGCAGGTTAACCTGTTCTTCCACTCGGCACATCACTGACTGTCACCTTAGCAAGCAGTCCTTGTTAGTAAAGTCTGATAGGTTTTAAGAAGGTAGTGAACCACCTTAACTACAATAACCTTATTAAGACAAATGATGGCCTTTTGGATTTGGGACTGAAATAAGCCATTCATCCTGTGTTTCAGCTGAAATACTGTAGAGAAGGAAAGGTGCCTATAGCAGCCCAAATTTGAAAAAAGGCTGTATCTGATGCCTTTCCCTTGGAATTTCAGAAGTGACAGATCATTGGGAAAAATAAGAAAACCCATCCAAACTTCTG
This sequence comes from Homo sapiens, assembly GCF_000001405.40. Taxonomy (NCBI): domain Eukaryota; kingdom Metazoa; phylum Chordata; class Mammalia; order Primates; family Hominidae; genus Homo; species Homo sapiens. The sequence continues at coordinate 122,007,859 of NC_000023.11, forward strand.
CAACCTGAAAATACTCAGTTTGAAATGTATAATAATGAAATATATATGAATCATAGGGCTTGGTTGAACCAAAGCTTTTCTGGATTGAGAAGGAATTTGGAAATCTTGTAGTCCAGTGGCTTCCATCTCCTTACTTGTGTAATAGAAGAAAGAAGTGGACCATATCTAATTTATCTTTGTCACTTTAACAACACCTGACATAATGTCTGGCACATTTAGGGTTCAATACATGTCTGTGGAATTGTTTTATACTGAGAATTATGAGTGACCTGTTCAAGAGTACACAGCTAGTAATGGAGAAGACTGTATTAGAACCCTCCTCTGATATCTGCTACCTGTGCTTCTTGCAATTTACAACAGGAAGAGCCAATTATTATTATTATTTTTTTGTTGTTGAGATGGGCTCCTACTATGCTTCCCAGGCTGGTCTTGAACTCCTAAGCTTGAGTAATCCTCCCACCTCAGCCTCCCCAGTAGCTGGGATTACAGGCACATGCCACCATGCCTAGCTAGGACAGGGACTATTTTGAAAGTCACATTTTGAACCCCTGGAATGTTAACCTATACAAAAGCCTCCTCAACTCCAGATGGATGTTAAGGTGAACCTTAGTCATGTCCTTTGAAACCGCATGGTAATAGAATTTGGAGTATTTACTTCTTGGCACTCCTCTTAACCTTTGTTTGTTTTCAAAATGGAAAAGCCACGTGACTCTCCAGTTCATAGCTGTGAAACTCAATTATTTTTTTCAGGGATACACAGTTTAAAAAGTTTTAAATATAAGCAAATTCATCCAGAGAGGACAATGTCCTCATATTTCCATTTTCTAGGAGTTCAGTCTACAAAGATACAATTCTTCATTTTAGCCATAATTAATTACTTTGAGAGTATGACCTATTTCACCTACGGGACCACAAAGAAAGCACAGAAAGCAGGCCAAGTTATAACAAAGCATCCTTCCCAGCATATTGCAAGCAGCAAGTGACATTTAAGGGAATAGCCACACAGCCTCAGTCAAACAGTGCATTCTCACAGGTTAATATTATTGGAATTATTAACTTCTGAATTGCTTCTAGAAGGATCTACTTTGCACATGACAGGACTCCTGTGGTTAACTGGGAAAAAAAAAAACCCGTAAATTACTGAGCAACACACATAATTAAGGAGTAGAGCAGGAAAGGAAAAGGGTTGAGGTGTTTTTGAATGTGCGGTCACCACAGAGAAAAATTAAGCAATATAATAAGGTGACCAAAACCCAGGTGTGCCAGTCTTTGTCTGCCCCAATCCCAATCAGCTGCAGTTCTGAGAATTTTCCACCAACAAAAGTATTAGAAGTGCCCAGTCCTTGAGCCAATTCTGACAAAAACAGCCAGAAGGTCATTAATAACAGTGAGAGCCTTAGGTGCTAGGCATTGTTCAATACTCTTGAACAGATTATTTTAATTTTTAAAATAGCCCTATGAGGTAAGGATTATTAACCATTTTATAGGAGTAAACTGACACACAAAGATGTTAAATAACTTGCTCACATGTCTCAGTTAAGACAATTCTGCTATAAGTCCCCCAAATTTCAGTGGCTTAACAGAATAGTTATGTCTTGCACACAAAATTTTACACAGTTTGTAAATGGCAAAGTACCTTGCTCGGTGTCCCTTGCTTTATAATTAAAATTGAATTAATTTTCCAAGTCACCACTATTTATTTTTTACACAATGAATTACTTTTATTTCTGTACTCGTCCATATTTCAGCATTTAGTAGTCCTAAACAGAAAGTGGAGAAATACAACAATTTGCCGGGAAGTCAAGCCCACCAACAATGATCTGCTGGGCACACCAAGTTATTTGTTAAACCCCTGCTGAGGAGCTCGTGAAGCAGCAGCACCAAAACCAAAGTATGCGCCAAATTTAAAGTTCTTTTTGTTCCAGTTGTCAGATTCCAGACTAGGCCACAATGGACTGCAAGGATGACCAAAAGAAAGTCCTGTTTAATACTTATCCAATTTTTAGAAGCAAAAGCAATTACAGAAAAAGAAAATACTTCAGAGGGATCATGTGTGCTTACACATATCTTCATGTGGCCTTTTTCCAAGTTTAACCACCAAGGACTCTGACAGCTGAGAGTTCTGAATAAACTTGGTGACTGTAATTTTCACCTTATCAAAACCTGAGCTAAAAAAACCCATCAGCTGATGATGACAGCAGAGGGTGATTGAGCTGAGGACTCAATATGCATTTCTTAGGCTGATGGAGAGTGAATAAATGCAGTTCCAAAATGTAACCAGAGCAGTTAGAGAGTCTTTGCAACCTTACCTGATGGCTTCTGGTCAAAGCAAGGAAGTGTCATGGAAAGCATTGTGTAGTGATGGTACAAAAAGGAACTTGAGGAAGAGGGAGAAAAAAGCAGCACCTCTCCATAAAGGTGGGGAAGAAAAGATATGGGGAAAGCACTAAATTACTCATTGATGGCCAATCTCAGAGGGGATCAGAGGGGTTACAATCTATGCTTTGGCCAAGAGTGGAAGTGGAGGAATGTAGGGACAGGACATATAGCTTGGAGGGGGCATCATTTAAGACTTAAAGGAAGATAGCAGGGATGCATCTGAAGCACCCCACACACCCACCATTAGTCCCACAGGCTGTGACCTGAAACCTTCACATCTAATCTAATCTAACAAAGCCCCAGGCTAGAGGGCTATTGCAGGGAAGGTGAGAAGCAGGGGTGAGGGCTAGCAAGAAAAGGCAGAGATCTCAGGCCATGTAATTAGCAACAACGTGATTGTGTAATATGTCTTTTCACAGTTGAGTTAGATGTGTCCCGCTAGTTATGATGGGAACAATTTAAATATATTGTATTCATTCCAGAAGTTCAACTACGTGGACAGTGGTTACACTTGACAAGATGATTTGTTATAGAACAACTTATGTATTTGAAATGGACAAAAATTTAGTGTCACTTACAGTATCTTAAGGTAAATTTCCTTTGAATAGGAATTCCCTTTCCAGTACTTTGAGGTCTACAAGACATATCTAGAAAATTTACTACTGTGGAAAATGAAGACTCCTTAATTGAAAGGTGGGGGGAAGGAGGAAGCTCTGTGTTCTTTTATTTTTGATTAATTGCTGTAACACAGACCTTCAGTTGGCTGAGGGAGTTTCATATTTTCTTTAGACATCATTAGGTGCCACAGCTCTTGCAGGAAAACTTTAATACAACATGAATTTTGCCATTTTGATAGCATTGATATGGCTCTTGGGTCCACTACTCCGTTAGAACTATTGATTGTGAGATATATATATATATGTATTACTCAATCATGAAAAGAACAAAATAATAGCATCTGCAGTAACCTCGATGGAATTGGAGACCATTATTCTAAGTGAAGTGACTCAGGAATGGAAAATCAAACATTGTATGTTGTCACTCATAAGTGGGAGCTAAGCTATGAGGATCAAAGGCAAAAGAATAATATGATGGACTTTGGGGACTTCGAGGAAAGGGTGGGAGTGAGGTGAGGGATAAAAGATTACATACTGGGTACAGTGTACACTGCTCAGGTAATGGGTGCACCGAAATCTCAGGAATCACCACTAAAGAACTTATTCACGTAACCAAACATCACCTGTTTTGCGAAAACCTATTGAAATTAAAAAAAAAGAACTATTGACTCCATTCATATTAAATTTTGTTACAAATTTTACAAAAGGGAATGATTTAGATCCATATTTTATTTTAACGCTGTATATTTGGTTTTCATAAACATTCTGAGCCCGTGGTGGCTGCCATCTTGCATTGCTGTCCTAACTCACCATTATTATCGCAAAACAGATACAGACATGTGCTGCATAATGAGGCGTCAGTCAATGACAGACGGCATATATCACAGTGATCCCATAGGATTATGATGGGGCTTAAAAATTCTTATTGCCTAGTGATGTCAGTCATAGTTGTCCTAAAGTTGTAGCACAACGCATTACTCACAAGTGGTGATGATGGTGTAAAAAACCTACTCTGCTGCCAGTTGTATAAAAATAGAACACATATTATACAAGTATGTATAGTACATAATATTAATACTTGATAATGATGATAAATAATTATGTTACTGGTTTATGTATTTACTATATTTGGTTTTTTTTGAGACAGTCTTGCTCTGTCGCCCAGGCTAGAGTGCAGTGGTTCAATCTCTGCTCACTGAAAAGTTTGAACCTGTTCACTTCCCAGGTTCAAATGATTCTTCTGTCTCAGCCTCCTGAGTAGCTGGGACTACAGGTATTAGCTACCATGCCCAGCTAATTTTTGCACTTTTAGTAGAGATGGGGTTTTTCCATGTTGCCTAGGCTAGTCTCGAACTCCTGACCTCAAATGATCTGCCTGCCTTGGCCTCCTAAAGTGCTGGGATTACAGGCGTAAGCCGCAGTGCCCAGCCTGCATTTACTATAATTTTAAACATTATTTTAGAGTGTACTCCTTCTACTTATTTAAAAAAAAAAGTTAACTGTAAAACAGCCTCAGGCAGGTTCTTCAGGAGTTATTCCAGAAGAAGACATTGCTGTCATAGGAGATGACAGCTCCATGTGTGTTATGGTCCTTGAAGACCTTCCAGTGGGACAAGATGAGGAGGTGGAAGGCAATAATACTTACGATCCTGACTCTGTGTAAGCCTTGGCTAATGTGTGTTTATGTCCTACTTTTTAACAAAACTTTTAGGAAGTTGAAAAAAAAACTAAAAATAGAAAAAGCTTATAAAATAAGATTAATGAAAGAATGTATTTTGTACAGGTGTATAATGTGTTTGTATTTCTTAATTGTTAATATAAAAGAGTTAAAAAGTTTATAGGCTGGGCACAGTGGCTCACACCTCTTATCCCAGCACTTTGGGAGGCTGAGGCAGGTGAATGGCTTGAGTTCGGGAGTTCGAGACCAGCCTGGGAAACATAGTGAAACCTTGTCTCTACGAAAAAATTAAAAATTAGCTGGTCATGGTGGTTTGGGACTGTAGTTCCAGCTACTCCTGTGGGTGAGGTGGGAGGATCACTTGACCTGGGAAGTAGAGGCTGCTGTAAGCCACGATCACACTACTGCACTCCAGCCTGGATGACAGAGTAAAACCTTGTCTCAAAAAAATGTTTATAAAGGAAAAAAGTTACAATTAACCTAAGATTGAAGGAAGAAAAACATTCTTTTATAGATTTAGTGTAGCCTAAGTGTACAGTGCAGGCCTTCACAAAGTCACTAATCACTCAACAACTTACCTACAGCAGCTACCAATCTTGCAAGCCCTATTATACAGTAAGTGCTCTATACAGGTGTACTTTTAAAAATCTTTTATTGCATATTTTTGCTGTACCTTTTCTATGTTTAGATGTTTTTAAATACACTAACACTTACTATTGCGTTATAATTGCCTACCATATTCAGAACAGTAACATGTTGCACTCTTTTTTAGCCTAGGAGCAATTGGCTATATTATATAGCCTAGGTGTAGAGTAGGCTATACCATCTAGGTTGTAAAATATACTCTATGATGTTTGCACAACAACCAAATTGCCTGAGGACAGATATCTCAGAACATATCCCCATCATTAAGTGGTATATGACTGTACTTTAAAAGTACATATTTTGCCCATATTTGGGCAAAAGCTAGTCATGTCCCTAGCTTTTGCCCAAATATGTGCAAAATATGTACTGTTATTTTATATACAGTATATATACAGTATATACATTATGTATTTATATACAGTGTATATTTTATAGCTTAATATAAGGATGAATATATTACCTCTATGGTTGTGCTAATTATGAGGTAGCAAATGTGTTTAAATTGTTAATATAACTATATATAGACTTAACTATTAATTTTGGAATAATAAATAAGATGGGCCATAATAATAATAGAATTCTAAACATGTCAGTCATATCAAAGTGCTTTATATATACTCTTACTTAACTCTTACAACTTCCTCCCTTAAGGTAGTACCATTAATATTGCCACTTCAAAAATGTTGTGAATACATTTCTCTCTGTAAATAATTTATTTGTAATATGTTATTGCGAAATGAAATGAATTATGAAAATGCACTGAAGGTATATATAGTATGGTGACTTATTATAAGTCAAACTCCTGTGTACCCAACCCAAGTTAGGAAACAGAATCATACCACCAACCCCATAAATCCTTCCAATTTTGCTGTCCCTTCAAAAACTTCTCCCCTCTCCCTCTAAAATAACACCTATCTTACTTTTATAGTAGCAGCTTCCTTATATTTATTTAGAGTTATCAATTTTTATGAAACATTTTTATAAATTTTATTTAATCAATATGTTTTTCCTGTAAACCTTTGCTTTTATTAAAACTTATTTGGTGGAGGATCCGAAGAATATACTGTATACTCATGATGTAATTAAGCACATTTTTCTGTCTTTAGTCTTTTCTGCAAATTGGAGGCTGGACCTGAAGTCTAGCTCAGGTTAGACTCAGTTTTGATCTTTTTAGTAAAACTGTAGGTGGTGTTGTGTTTTTTAATCATAAAGAACATGACATTTGGTTCTCTATTTGTGATGTTGCAGCTACTAATGCGAACTGTCTAGACTGAGTAATTCATTACGATTGAAAATGGCAAAAGTTCTAATTCTACTATCACTTGTTTACTTATAAACAGATGCATCACTTCATCTCCTAATTCATTATGGAGGGGTAAAATTCATAAAGAAGTGGCAGGATAAATGCTTCATCTTTTCCTTTATTTACCTATTTCAACATAAAATAAGGGTGAAGCTCCAAAGTTGAACAAGTCACTTATCTTCGAATATAAATATGTACTCACGGATTTAACGTATTTAATCGTTCTAATTCATTGTAATGTTTGTTTTAAATTTTCAGTTGTGACATCTTAAGTTATGCAATTTTAATCATTTTATGTGTACAATTCAATTCAGTGGTATTAATTATATTCACAATGTTGCATAACCGTCATCACTACCCACATCCTAGTTTATGTGTGCTTTTGTCTTGATAGTATATTGGATTGCGTCAAATGCCTTTTGTGCACCAAGGAGAAGATCATGTGTTTTTTTTTTTCTTTTGTTCTACTAATGTAGTATATTACATTGATTGATTTACTTATGTTGAACTACCCTTGTATACCTGGGTTAAATCCCATTTGGTAATGGTGTATAATCCTTTAAATATGCTGTTGGAATCCATTTGTTAGTATTTTCTTGAGAATTTTTGCATTTAACTTCATAAGAAATATTTGTCTGTAAATTTATTTTGTTCTGATATCTTTTTCTGGCTTTGGAATCAAGGCAAGGCTAACCTCATATAATGAGTTAGGAAGTGGTTTCTGCTCTATATTTTGCAAGAGTTTGAGAAGAATTTGTGTTATTTGTTTTTTAAATTTTTCATAGGTTTTTAATTACTGATTCAATATATATATTGTTAAAGACCTGTTGAGTTTTTCTGCTTTTTATTGAGTCAGTTTAGGTAAGTTCTTCATTTCTAAGTTTTCTATTTCATCTAGTCTACCTAATTTTTGGGGTACAATTGTTCATATTATTCTCTAATAATTATTTTATTTTGTATAGTTGGTAATATATCTAATTTTAGTTATATATGCTATTGCTGATATATTAAAAATGATTCTAAAGACCCAATAAATGAGGAGATATACTTTATTCATTAACTCAAAGACTAATTGTGATGAAGATGGAAACTCTCCTCCAAATAAACCTATAGAGTCAAATTAATGTCAATCAAAATCCCTACAGGATCTCTGTTCAAAAATTTAAAAAATACTAACCCTACAATTCATATGAAAAGGCAAATGTACTAGAAATGTTCAAACATTTTGAACAATACATAATTTCAAAACTTTCTCTAAAGCTGAAGTAATCAAAACAGTGTGGCATTGATTAAAAAAAAAAAAAGATCAAGGGAACAGAACAGAGAGATCAGAATTAGACCCACAGAGATATGACCATTTGATTTCTGACAAAGGTGCAAAGGCAATTAAATGGAGAAATAATAATATTTTAAAGAAAATATGCTGAAACAATTAGACATTACCATTCAAAAAAAGAAAAAAGGAACCTTAACATAAATCTCATGCCTTATGCAAAATTAAAATTGGACTATAGCCCTAATAGTAAAATAGAAAACGATAAATCTTATGGAAGAAAACACAGGAACAAATGTATTTGAAGTTTGGGTTTGGCCGCATATTTTTTTTAATAGGGCACCAAAATGATAAGTACGGAAAGGCTGCTGAATAAAATATAGAATACTCCGTTAAATTTGAATTTCAGATAAATTATTTAAAATAGTATAAGTATTCTCGAAAACGTGTATTTTTCTTTGTTAAATTTGGTAACCCTCAAGATAGAAAACAGACCAATGATTGCTAGGATCTGAGAGTGGGGGGATAGGGATAGAATACAAATGGGTATGGGGGAATTTAAAGGATAAAATAAAGTTCTATTTCTTGATTGTGGCGGGTATTATATAACTGAAGGTGTTTGACAAAGCTGGCATAACTAAATGCCAAAAAGGATACATTTTACTATATTTAAAGTATACCTTAAGTTTGAAAATTAAAAAAATAATAGTAAAATGGTAATTATATAATTTAGGCAGATATACAGTTGTGCACTGCAAAATTCTTCAATTTTTTCTGAATACTGGAATTCTTTCATAATACAATAGTGAGGATAAAGTTAAAGAAGGTCATAAAGCAAACAAATAAAACAGAAAATAAAAACAGTTCTACAGGTTAGGGAAGTTATCTACTATTTCAAGAAACAGCTATTCTAGGGAGATAGCAAATGATTTGTATTTGTTGTGGCCATATTTGTCCTTAAAGTTCTTGGTGTAGCTGTTTCTAATCAGGTTGTGTGAGGCTAAAAAGGTCCCAGCAACATGTTCTCCAACTTATAAAATACCAAAACTCACATCTTCTTATTATTGGAGTTATTAGTGGTTTTTCCGAGATCAGAATAATTCTTGTGATCCCACACTGTTTTTTCAGGGCAAAGGTTTGAGTAGATGAAAGCTCAAATTTTTTGGTAAGGCCAACTTTACTTATTTCAAAGATAAATTTCTTGTTGTTTGTGCCATCTATAAAGCATATTTGCCCAATTTCCACAGCAGATTTGTGCGTACTTCAGTTAATGTGTTCTGTTTGGGGGCAACAACATAGAATGGTCAAGGGTAATGGTTTGAAAATACATTTTTTTGTTAAAATATGTATCTTCTTATGCCATTATTTTAAGAAAGGAGTAAAAATCAGGTTGGTATATCTGGAAGAGTAACCCAATTTTATTTGCTTGAATATATTAGGATGTTTTATGTATATTTAAATCCAAAATTTTACTAGTTTATGTCTACATACAGGCCTATTTTTCTATTAATTTATCCAGAACAAAAGTTGACATTTTTCTTCCTATTCTTAAGCATTGTTTCCTTAGATCCAGAGAATTTCATTTCTGATATTTAGTTATTCATTTCAAATAGTTTTGTTCCCTCTTTAGGACACCTAAACTTTATAGTTTCAATTTCCATTTTCCATGCTTATTTACTGATTTATACTTTGCTTTGTTTTATACTCATTCTTAATTTTGAAGAATGCAGGGTAAAGACACAATAATAGATTTTCTTCATATCACACATTTATGTCAGTTTTTGTTTTTTTTGGATTTCTGTTCTTTTTAACCACTGGCACATTTGCATCTCCTTGTATTGTTTTTGTTACCTATATCTTTCTGTTTCTCTGTGTTTTTTTTAATTATACTTAAACATTATTTTAAAGAGACAGGGTCTCAGTATGTCGTCCAGGTTGGAGTGCAGTGGCTATTCACAAGCACAATCATAGGACACTACCGCCTCAAACTCCTGGGCTCAGGTGATCCTTCTGCCTCAATTTCCTAAGTAGCCAGCACTACAGGTACATGCCACCATGCCTGGCTCATTAAATATTTTCTCTGTGATGCCATAAGCTTGAGCCTAAAAGACTGTTTCTTTTTAAAATTGTATTGAAGAATCAAAGCATAGAGAATCTTTAGCACTTTTCCATGGGCTGCTTGTAAATGTTTTCTCTTTTCTCTCCTTGGACCTACTTAGTGGCCACTGGGAGAAGACTGCCAGATAGTCTGAATCATAAATACCAATAAATAAAACTGAAACTCTCTTCTAAAAGAGCAAATACCTGGCTCAGAAGCAGTTATTACAATTGAGAGATAGGTATACCACTTCATACAACCATTTCACAACATTTTCTCATTTTTAAAGTAGTTAAAATAAACAAGCTAATGCACACGAAATAAAAAAAAACATGGCATCCCTATCCTTGGACTTTAAACTGGGAGAAAGATTTGTGTGGTTGTTTCCTAATTCAACTTCTGAAGTAACAGATACATTTACATTGTGCAGCTCTGCAATTTTCTACCACTTATTTTCTGACACTGGGATAGGAAAAACACAAACATAAAAATGAAAAATTGTATCTACAAGTCTTCACTACTACCTGTGCTCTTCACATTTCTTATTTGATGTACATCATTATAGTTGTGAAAACCATACTGCCAAGGAGAGGTACTAGGTGTGTGGCCTGTGCATCATATTTTGTCTTACTCAAGATTGGTACTTGAGTAGTAGAGGACTAGATATAAATATCCTAACTGACCTTGGATATTTGTTTTGGTGCCTATTGCCTGACTGAAAGCACCTTATCAACTTTAAGCCCGAGTTTGCCGTTTCAAGTAGAAACTCATGTTTCAGCCGCTGGTTGTTAACCTTTGTTCAACTCCTTGGATCTTTTATTTAGTAGACCTTCCTTCCAAATTCTGATATTCATTTTCAGTGTTTTTTCATTATTATGAATTTTTTTTTACTTTTTCTATATATTCATAGATAATTTAATAAGAAAGTAGGAAAGAATAGGGTATAAACTTGGTTACATATACATCATTTTAAAGTGCTTTCCTGAATGTTCTCAAATGTGGGCTTGAACTTTCTGACCCTTGGCTTACTTGTCATTTCTATCATACCCTCTTATTTATCTTTTGTTGTCTGTTATCTATTATCTATCTATCTATCTATCTATCTATCTATCTATCTATGTGTCTATTATCTCTCTGTCTATGTATCTATTTATCTTTAAATTTTTATTCTGGTAGAATACATATGACATAAAATCTACCATTTTAACTGTTTTCACGTGTACAATTTGGTGATATTAAGAACATTCACATTGTTGTGCGACTGTCACCACTATCCATCTCCAGAACTGTCATTACCCCAAACTAAAAATCTGTACCTATTAAATAATTCTCTATTCCCCACTACCAACAATTGCTGGTAACCACTATTCTCCTTTGTGTCTCTGTGAATTTAATATTCTAGGAAACTCGTATAAGTGGAATTATACAATATTTGTCTTTTTGTGCCTGCCTAATTTCATTTAACATAATGTGTTGAAGGTTTACCCATATTGTAGTGTATATTATAATTTATTTTTTAGACAAAATAATATTATATTGTGTGTATATATCACATTTAAAAAATCTATTCATTCATCAATAGACATTCAGGCTGTTTCCAGATTTTGGCTATTGTGAATAATGCTGCTATGAACATTGGTGTATAAATATTTGTTCAAGTTCCTTTTAAATCTTTTGTATATATACCTAAATGTAGAGTCACTGGATCATAAGATAATTCTATGCTTAATTTTTTGAGGAACCACCATAATGTTTCCCACAGTAGCTGCACAATTGCACATCCCCACCAACAAGAGTTTCAGTTTTTCCACATCCTGTCAATATTTGTCATTTTCTCTTTTGTTTTGGGTAATAACCACTCTAATGGGTGTGAACTTGTATTATATTTTGGTTTTGATTTGCATTTTATTAATAATTAGTGTTCTTGGGCATCTTTTCATGTCCTTATTGGCCAGTCAAATATCTTCTTTGGAGAAATGTCTATTCAAATAATTTGCCCATTTTTAAACAGAGAATTGTTGTTGTTGTTGTTGAGTTGTAGTGTATTCTGCTGAAGGAATCCCTTTAGTATTTCTTTTAGAGTCTTTCTAGTGGTATGAAGTTACTTCAAGCTTTTAAAATCAGGGGAAGTCTTCATTTCTCTTTTGTTTTTGAAGGATAGTTTTGACAGTTATAGAATTCTTGGTTGACAGTTGTTTTTTGGGGCTTCCACAGTTTTACATGAGAAATATGGTGCTTATCATGTTGGTAATCCCTTGTATGTGATGTTTCACTTCTCTCCTGCTGTATTTACGATTCTCTGTTTGTCTTTCACCAGTTTGATTATAATATGGTAATGTGGGTCTCTTTGAGTTCATGCTACTTGAAGTTTATTTACCTTAGCTTTATAGATTCATATCTCATGAAATATGGGAAGTTTTTAGCCGTTATTTATTCATAATATTATTTCTTCCTGTCTTTCTCTCTTCTCCTTCTGGAACTTCTAAACTGTATATGTTGCCCCACTTGATGGTGTTACACAAGACTCTTTAAGCTTGGTTCACATTACTTTGTTCTTTTATCTTTCTCCTTGGAGTCAATAATTTTAACTGTACTATCTTCAAATTCACTTATTCTTTCCTCTGTCTGCTCCGGTTTGCTGTTGAACCACTCTCATGAATTTTTGATTTTAGTTTTCATAATTTTCAGCTCCAGAATTTGTTTTTTTCATAATTTCTATCCCTTTATTATATTTTCACTTTGTTATATATTGTTTCCCCTATTTTCTTTAGTTCTTTGCCTATGTTTCCTTTAGCTCTTTGAATATATTTAAGACAGTTGTTTTAAAGCAATTTTCTAGTAAGTTCAATGTCTAGACTTCCTCAGGTATAGTTTCTTTATTTTATTTCTTTAAATAGGCCATACTTCGCTGTCTGTTTGTATACCTTTGGTTTTTTTTGGGGGGCGGGGGTGGGGGTTAAATGCTGAACATTTGAATATTATAATGTGGTAACTCTGGAAATCAGATTATCCCCCTTCCCCAGGGTTTACTGTTTTGTTTTGTTGTTGTTGTGGAAGGCTAGTAGTCCTTTTGTTTAGTGACTTTCCCAAACTATTTTGTAAATTCTATATTCATTGCTATGTGTAAGTTACTTCCTTATGTATGTGTTTCCTTAACATTTGACAGATAGTTCCTTGAATGCCAAGAGCTAAAAAGATCCAAAGAACAAGAAACAGACTAAAAAGTCTCACTTCTATTAGTCTTTGTAGATTTGCTTTGTACAAAAGCACTTCTTCCATATTTAACCATTATTGAACTGACCTTAAGGATCAGTCTTAGTTGATAGCATAGCATCATCTCAGGTCTTTTCTCTGCATGCATGTGGCTTTCTAAATTTCCCTGTATATATGGGTCTTTTATATATATGTTTTTTAATTTTAAATTTTTCTTTATAGATGTAGTGGAGACAAGAGTGGTTTAGTTACATGGATATATTCCCTAATGGTGAAGTCTGGGCTTTTACTATAACCATTATCCAACTAGTGTACATCGTATCCATTAAATAACTTATCAACCTTCATTTTTTTCCCATCCTCCCACTCTTCCAAGTCTCCCATGTCTATTATTCCACTTTCTATACATGTGTATACACATTATTTAGCTCCCACTCATAAATGAGAACATGCAGTATTTGCCTTTCTGTTCTTGAGTTATATCACATAAAATAATGACCTTTAGTTCCATCCACGTTGCTGCAAAAGACATATCACTCTTTTTTATGGTTGAGTAGTATTTCATTATATACATATATATATATATCACATTTTCTTTACCCAATCATTAATTAATGATCACTTAGATCAGTTCTATATTTTTACTATCGTGAATAGTGCTGCAATAAACATACAACAGTGCATATATTTAATATATAATGATTCTTTTTCTTTTGAGTAGATATCCAGTAGTGGGATTATTGTTTGGAAGGAGTGCTTCTGTACAAAGCAAATCTACAAAGACGAAGAGAAGTGGGTCTTTTTAGTAGTGAGATCAAATGGTAGTTCAATTTTTAGTTCTTTGAGAAATTTCCATACTGTTTTCCATAGAGTTTATACTAATTTACATTCCCAACAATAGAGTATAAAGGTTCCCTTTCTTCTGTATCCTCACCAACATCTGTTATTTTTTGGGTTTTCAATAATAGTCATTCTGAATGGTAGAAGGCGGTATTTCATTGTGGTTTTAATTTACACTTCTCTGATGAATAGTGATGTTGAGCACTATTTCATATGCTTCTTGGCCATTTGTATTTCTTCTTATGAAAAATGTCTGTTCATGTCCTTCGCCCACTTTTTAATGGGATTCCTTGGATGTTTTTGTTGTTGTTGTTGAGATATTTTGAGTTCCCTGTAGATTCTGGGTATTAGTGCTTTGATGGGTGCATGGTTTGCAAATATTTTCTCTAATTCTGCAGCTTGTCTGTTCACTCTGTTGATGATTTCCTTTGCTGTGCAGAAGCTTTTTAGTTTAATTAAGTTACCGTTGCCTATTTTTGTTTTGTTTCATTTGCTTTTGAGGTCTTAATCATGAATTATTTGCCAAAGTTAATGTCCAGAAGAGTATTACCTAGGTTTTCTTCTAATATTTTTATAGTTCCAGGTATTATATTTAAGTCTTTAATCCACCTTGAGTTCATTTTTGTATATGGTAAAAGATAGGGGGCCCAGTTTCATTTTTCTGAATGTGTCAATCCAATTTTCCTGGCATCATTTGTTGAATGGGGTGTCTTTTCCTCAGTATATGTTTTTGTAGACTTGGTCAAATATCAGTTAGCTGTAGGTATGTGGCTTTATTTCTGGGTTGTCTATTCTGTTCCATAGATTTATGTGTCCATTTTTATATCAGTGTCACATCATTTTGGTTACTATAGCCTTATAGTATAATTTGAAGTCAGGTAATACGATGCCTTCAGCTTTGTTCTTTGTGCTTAGGATTGTTTTGGCTATTCGAGCTCTTTTTTGATTCCATATAAATTTCAGAATTGTTTTCCTAATTCTTTGAAAAATGTTGTTGTTATTTTGATAGCAATCACATTGAATCTATAGATTTTTGGGGGGCAATATGGTCTTTTTAATGATATCGATTCTTCTGATTACACAGGTCCTTTTAAATGTACTGATTCCCCAAAAGTCTCTCCTCTTTTGGGTGGAATATACTTGGGTGGACTATTGTATGTTTTTTCCATAATATTTTGCTCCAGATTTTTCCTGGATATTCTAGCTTGCAGAATGTTTTTGCAAAGCCTGTCATTTTTTCAGCCTGACCTCTAAGTTAAGGGAAACAGGTATGATTATCTTGTGTCTATTCCTCAAGTATTCTCCAGGAAGGTTAGAACAGGCATATACAATAACTTGTGAATGAAGCCTGTTCTGCTCCCTTTATATCCTGAAATCAGTCTCACACACTGGGAATGCAGGCTTCCTTCTTCAAGATTATTACCATAGTAGAGAGAGCATGCCAAGGGCTACTAAAAATGCCACAAAGTTTTATGTTATGAAATTGCCCTTTTCTTGATTCACTGTTTTCTTAGTTGTTCTAAATCTTTGACTGATAAATTCTACTTTTTAAATTTTTTAAAAATATTTTTCTGTGGGGGAACGAGAGCTTGGACCTGCCAATAATGACATTTTGCTGTCATAATGCCCCTACTGTAATCCTTTTTGAGGCTCACTTTCCCATACTTGTTTAATAAATTTGGCTTCAAATTAGTCTGTGAGTTCTTTTAACATGACCCTAATAGTTCTTTGTAGCATACTCACTATTTTATATGATAATATGTGCCTGACCTGGAAACAGCCAATTATTTAAAATGCTTTTCTTTTGATGGAACATGGTGTTTCAAGTCCACAATGTGAATGTTAGAGTGCTTATTGCTTCTTGTTTAATGTTTCTAGTGTTTTCCATGGATAGAGCTGGAGGAGATAGTTAGATATGTAGCTAGACAGAGATAATACCTCATGAGTTCATATGTGTACTTTCAATTCCAATTCAGGGCTACATCGTTTTTACTTAACATCATCTATATTATATCTTTACTTTCTTCTATTCCCAACCAGTTTCAGCTGCTATTCTCAGTTCAAGTCAGCTGTATTTCTAGTGAACGTTTTTTTTTTTTCTATGTGTTCTTAGGTTAATCAAATGCCCTGCTGTTTCCTTTTGCTTTATTCTGCACAATTCTTGATATCATGCTGTTCTTACCATGTTGGTATCAATCATGCTC
The DNA here is from genome assembly GCF_000001405.40 of Homo sapiens. Classification (NCBI taxonomy): domain Eukaryota; kingdom Metazoa; phylum Chordata; class Mammalia; order Primates; family Hominidae; genus Homo; species Homo sapiens. The sequence goes on from NC_000023.11 coordinate 122,024,109, forward strand.
ATATGCTTGTATTTTGGGATCGTGGTAATATCTTGTTACCTACTTTGTTGCAAGTGTTGCGCATGAGTTTTCAATTTGATATCTAGCTGTTATGTTTATTTCTGAGAATTTAGAGATTCAAAACCTGTGCTGCTATTGTCATCATGTTCCCAAATCCTTTCCTGTAATTATCATTTTGTGTTTAAGGAAATTGACGCACAGAGAGATTAAATGACTTGCTCAGTGTTACAGAGCAATTATCAAGGCCAGGATTCAAGCCCTAAAAATTTAACTAGAGATATAAGTTTAACTTCTACTCTGCTGCCTCATCAACAAAGTACATCTTTATAATTGCCTAGGAGGAGGACTCTTTTTCATCTTTCTTGTGCCTATGAGTTCATAGAAAGGGGATTTTGTTTCTATTTGATTGAGGAAGGGAGTTACGGAGAGGAGTTTAGGGGAGAATATTTCCAGTTTCTCTCTCCATTCCTACACTCTCCTTCTCAAGGATTGCGTTTTATCCAAAAAACAAAATAAATGTGTAGAAAAAACAAGGCAAGCTTATTGAAAGCTCTTTGGTCTCTCTCTCTTCTTTTTCCTGTCTTGGACTGTCAGTTCTGGTGGCTTCCTCCTGCAAACCCAGCTACTATTTTGTCATTTTTCTAATTTATTCAACTGAACTACTAAAGTATGTCTACCTTTTACTAGAAGCTAGTTATCTCAAAAATTGGTTTGTAGTGAGGGAGTAGGAGGCCAAATTTTAGCTTTAGAAACAAATCTAGTTTTTAAATCTAGACTTATTACAGATAAAGCTGATTATTTATAACTCCATTTAGCTTGTGCCCTTACTCAGTCCAGCAAAGGGATAAATATTTGTCATGTGAAACATCATAGAATCTTAGTTGTTGAGAGGAAGTTTTATTCTTGCCTTATCTAACCAGTTGTTTGATAATCCACAGCCAGCACACCATATACAGAGGGCTAAGCATTCAAAATTGCCTCTTTTGAACACTTGTAATTACATGATTCTCTTAAGTAAAAATGGCTGGTTTTACCTTTTCAAGTATTTCTTCATTTTCCTATTTTTAATAGGCATAGAAACAATACAATGTAATGGTTAAGAGCCAGAACATTGTATCAGACACATTTATAGCCTTGGGACCTTGGATGAGCTACCTCTAGATTCTGTTAAGCTCATGTCTTTATCATTAAAATGGGGCTAACTGTGGCTTTCTAATAATGTTCTCATGAGATTTAAATTAGATCATATATGGAAATCTCATAGCAGCTCCCAAAGTAAGGGATGAAAAATATTTGTTTCCCTCTATTTTCTTACTAGACACTTTCACTTGGTTGGCTTATTTCATATATAAAACCCCATATGTTAGGCATTAATCTTTCTAAGGACCAGCATCATTACCTAGGAGTGTGTGGCTATGACATGCTGCCTTACTCTTTAAGAAGATACTCATCTTCAATAGAAGAAACTGTATCTGTGGAACAGTAAAAAGGCCAGACACTGTTCAAGATATGTAACACAAAAAGGAAGCTGGTAGGGGAGAAACAAGCTGGAATAAGGCCAAAATTTAGAAGCAAGTTCAGACAAAAGAGTAGTGTAGGCTTCATTGCCAAAAGGAGTGATGGAAGTGCCATGGACCTAGAGGTAGAATCAGCAACAGCTCCAGGTTCAGGCTAGATCAGAACACAAGTAGAGCAAGAACAGAGAGATATCAAATTACCCAGAGCCACTGGGGGACCTGCTGCATTAAGAGGCACCTGGATATCTCACCTGCAAATTGAGTACCTCAACTGTAAATCCCTCAGAAGCTCCAGGAAAATGCAGAGGTTGTTTTGTGGTTGTATACTCATTTTCCTTCTCATTGTGGCCATGGGACTTACCATCAAGCATCAAAGCAGATAAGAGGAAAGACATCTTGTAAAGTAAGAAACAGCAGGACAGAAATGTGGAGGGCCTACACCTAACAGAATGTTCACTGTTACCCTACTCCTTGGTTCCCAGGTGGAAGAAAAAGAAAGTTTTACAGATGTATATTTCTCGAAACAAGTAGGGCATCACTAAAATCTTAGAAATCTTTGTTAAATGGAAATTTCCATCACAACCATTCAAGATATGTTTACTGTGACACAAGAGCTAGGCTACACTTTTGGTGAAGGGCAGCAATAACATATGGGGCCTACAGGCTACTTTAATACAATCATAGTAGGCTGTGGTGTTTCAGTCTGTAATTGTAAACGTTTGCACAGGTCAGGCTTTCATATAGTCCAAGTAGGTAGTTCCATACATAGTGAGCTTGGAAGTACCCTGGTACCAACAGATTCCTTTTCCATCTGCTTGCTGAAAACAAAATTATTTAGCTAGTGATAAAGCATCTTGTTCCTTAAGAAGAGAAATGCTATGAAACAAACAACAAATAAGAAAGGGAGAAAAGGAGAATAAGAGAGGATAAATTCAGAAAGCCCAGGGTATGGGTATTAAGTGATGGACAGGAGATTGAGTGTTATAATTCAGTTGAAAGAAGGAGGAGGCCTAACGGGTGTACACACACACACACAGCCTTTATCTTTTGTCCTTGAGTTGAACCTATCTGTTATTTTTCCATTTGTATGGCAAGGCAGAGTCCATTGCCTGTCAATAACCTAGTATTGGGCACCTGCTGAGCCAAGACCTGTAGTACAAATGTTCTCCAACCTTCAAACAGAAGGTATTTACTCTTGCAGACAAACAGCCTGGCATACAACTTATGTTTCAACAGTTTAAGTGGTATTTAGCTTTCCAGGCCAGTCTTCCAGAGCCCATTTGTTTGCTAAGCAGTAAAACTAATAGCATAAGCTTGAGAGCTGAAATCCAAAGCCAGTGGACAATTTAGAGAGGAAGAGAGGAAGTCCAGGAAGAAGAAAAAGTAGGCGAAAGAGTACAGATTATAGAGAAGAAAAGATGATTGAAAGGGAAGTATCAGAAGTCATTGCCAGAGCCCGTAAGTCTCGTGCCTATATAAACTCTGGCCTCTCATTCTTTTCAGTCTATTTTCTACCTTCTTGCTGGAGTGATAGAAGACAGCTATAAATAAAACCATGATGCTCTACTGCTTATAAGTTGTATCAATGGAATAAAAATCTAGAGCTTGCAAAATCCAATGTGATTTGGATTCTACTTACATACTTAATGTAATGATTCTTTCACTCTTCCTAAGAAATCTGGTTTTCTTTCAGATCCTTGAAGATGCCCAATTCCTACCTATAGCAGTCTTATTCTAACCAAGCAAGAATAGGGATTGGAGAAAGTGATATTCATATAAACTGCTATCTGCCCTTCAGGTCTCAGCTTAAATGTTTTTAATCAATATTGTTTTTATTGATATCCCACCCTAAAGCTCCCAATCTTGATCAGTATTTCTTATTATACACTCTTAGAATATCCTTTATTTTCCTGTGTGGTGCTAATCAGAATTATATAGTTTTGTGACTATTCTTCTATTTCCTGTTTTTCCTACTAATCTGTAGCCAGCATTAAAACAATAACAGCACTGATTATTCACTGTTGTGTTCTCAGCACCTAACCTAGTGCCTGGCTCAAAACTATATTGAATAAATGAACGCATGCATGAAGAAATACATGGTCCAAATAAGAAGTTTTTTTAACTTCATATATGCTGTGTATGAGTCATGAAGTTTCTAGTAAAACTTTAAAATAGGCACTAGAAGCCTGTCATGCTCCAAATAATCCTCTCTCCCAATATCCTAAGTGCCCTTATGCTACTTGAAACCTCCTAAGTTTTTCCTCCTTTCAATTCAGCCCTACTAACTAAGTGCTCAATATTCTGAAGTTTTTCTAGCATCTCATTCTTTCTTCCACTTATTGAGATCACATGTTCCCTTAAAAACTCCACATTACAATTTTTTTAAAATTATACTTTAAGTTCTGGGGTACATGTGCAGAACGTGCAGGTTTGTTACAGAGGTATACATGTGCCATTGTGGTTTGCTGCACCCATCAACCCGTCACCTACATTAGGTATTTCTCCTAATGCTATCTCTCCCCTAGCCCCCCACTCCCGAACAGGCCCAGGTGTGTGATGTTCCCCTCCCTGTGTCCATGTGCTCTCATTGTTCAGCTCCCACTTAGGCGTGAGAACTTGTGGTGTTTGGTTTTCTGTTCTTGTATTAGTTTGCTGAGAATGAGGGTTTCCAGCTTCATCCATGTCCCTGCAAAGGACATGAACTCATCCTTTTTTATGGCTGCATAGTATTCCATGGTGTATATGTGCCATATTTTCTTTATCCAGTCTATCATTCATGGGCATTTGGTTTGGTTCCAAGTCTTTGCTATTGTGAATAGTGCCACAATAAACATACGTGTGCATGTATCTTTATAGTAGAATGATTTATAATCCTTTGGGTATATACCCAGTAATGGGATGGCTGGGTCAAATGGTAGTTCTGGTTCTAGATCCTTGAGGAATCGCCACACTGTCTTCCACAATGGTTGAACTAATTTACACTCCCACAAACAGTGTAAAAGTGTTTCTATTTCTCCGTATCCTCTCCAGCATCTGTTGTTTCCTGACTTTTTAATGATCGCCATTCTAACTGGCATGAGATGGTATCTCATTGTGGTTTTGATTTGCATTTCTTTAATGACCAGTGATGATGAGCTTTTTTTCATACGTTTGTTGGCAGCACAAATGTCTTCTTTTGAGAAGTGTCTCTTTATATCCTTCACCTACTTTTTGATGGGATTTTTTTTTCTTGTAAATTTGTTTAGGTTCTTTGTAGATTCTGGATATTAGCCCTTTGTCAGGTGGATAGATTGCAAAAATTTTCTCCCATTCTGTAGGTTGCATGTTCACTCTGATGATAGTTTCTTTTGCTGTGCAGAAGCTCTTTAGTTTAATTAGATCCCATTTGTCAATTTTGGCTTTTGCTGCCATTACTTTTGGTGTTTTTGTCATGAAGTCTTTGCCCATGCCTATGTCCTGAATGGTATGGCCTAGGTTTTCTTCTAGGGTTTTTATGGTTTTAGGTCTTATGTTTAAGTCTTTAATTCATCTTGAGTTAATTTTTGTATAAGGTGCAAGGGAGGGGTCTAGTTTCAGTTTTCTGCATATATCTAGCCAGTTTTCCCAACACCCTTTATTAAATAGAGAATCCTTTCCCCATTGCTTGTTTTTGTCAGGTTTGTCAAAAATCAGATGGTTGTAGATAAAAACTCCACATTACGTTTTATGGGGCATCTTCTTTTTGGGTGCTTCAGTGAAGATGGAGAGAGAGCAACAGGAAGGTGGAGGGGAACAGAAGGCACCTGATGAACATTTGTTTATATTGGTTAATGTGTGTTCATTTGTAGACTCCAAGACAGTTATTGCTGTAGACCAGGAATTGACATTTTTTTTTGTAAATAGCCAGATAGTAAACATGTTCAATTTTTCAGGATATGCATTCTTAGTTAAGCTACTAAATTCTGCTGTTGCAATGGAAAAGCAGCTACAGTTAATATATAAAGTGATAGGTGTGGCTGTGTTGCAATAAAATGTTATTTACAAAAACAACCAGCAGGCTGGTTTTGTCCCAAAAGCCATAGTTTATCCACTCCTGCATGTAGAGAGCTATTGACCAGAGCAGGGGCTTTGCCTCATCACCTCGTGCCTGATTTAGACATGCCTCAGATGCGGGGGTATCCCCTGAGGAATAATTCCTTAGTGGCAAGGTCAGATGGAATGTAGGACACTGAGAACACAGATATCAGGCCTTTTTTTCCCTCTCTGACACAAACCTTATAAATGAGTAGTGTATAAGTGGAGGAGTGGTCAATCTATTGTACCATTTCAAACCCTGACCTTTCTACAGCAAGCGTAATTACAGGTAAAACCACTACTCGATTAATATATCAAGGGATCTGATCTTTTGTATCTTATTTTTATGTATGTGAATTGGATTTCTAGAGAACTGAACAGTACTTGAAATCCTTCAGGCATATCACAAGCTTGGGAACAAATATATGCAACTTACTGCTGTGGGTTTTTTCCCTTGAAGAATCAAAGAGAGGAAAGAATATGGAGTTGGTTAGTTATGTAGGAGCTCTGTGAGACAACAAAGGCCATGCTAGGGAATAATACATAAAATGAACCAGTTCAGATGATGTTGGTGATTTAATCTAGGGCCGTGTGGCATAAATTTACATACTTGAGTCCAGAATATTACCTTGGGCTCTAAGCCAGATGTTGCCCCTTCAAAACAGGCACTGGATGCTGCAGGAGATACCCCTTTGCCAAATGGCATTATCCATGAACAAAACCCTCTCTACTCCCCTTTGCTGGGTATTGGAGTATCTTCTCGTGGAGTGTTAGGAGCAAAACCAATACAATAAATTTAAAGTATGAACACAACTTCCTAATTGGGCATTTACATCCTAGTTGAATGAAGGTCTAGGGGCATCCTGACTTTGAATACCAAAATCGAGCTAACATATTTATGATACTCTTCTGTTTGAATATGTCATAAAGCTTTAAAAAGTAGACTCTGGAATCACAGAGCCTAAGTTCAAATCCTGGTTGCTCACTTACTATGAGACCTTGAACATATTACTTAAGCCCTCTGTTTCTTGGTTTCTAAAACTTTAAAATTAGTTAAGTTGAAATAATACATGGGAAGTGCTTAGTTCACTACCTGGCACACAGCTTTCAAGATGTTAGCTATTCATATTATTGTTTTACTTTTTACCTTCCTGAGCTATTGCCAATGTTAAGGTGAGAGTGTATGGAATAGTATGAAGAAAGTGGTTTTGAAATCAGACAAATCTAAGTTTAAATACTGTTTCAAATATTCATTAGCTGTGTGACTATGGGCAGGTTATATACATTAGCTTATTTATCAATACATCATTCTGTTTTCTCTTTTATAAAACAGGAATAATGTTATGAATGTATTATGAATAGAAATAATAATAAATAGGAGGATCCAATCTAACTAAATGTTAATTCTTGCCTTAAATCTGGCTGGACCTTGAAATAACTTATTTTTTAAATTTTAAAATATTTGTATTTTAATAGCTTTTGGGGTACAAGTGTTTTTTTGTTGTTGCGTGAATGAATTATGGAGTGGTGAATTCTGAGATTTTAGTGCACCCATCACCGAGAAGTGTACATTGTACCTAACAGGTAGTTTTTTTCCATAGTCCCACTCCTACCCTCCTCCTTCTGGGTCTCTAAAGTCCATTATATCATTCTTACGCCTTTGTGTTCTGATAGCTTAGCTCCAATTTAAAAGTGAGAACATATGGCTTTAGATTTTCACTCCTGTTACTTCATCTAGAATAACAGCTTTCAACTCCATCCAAGTTGCTGCAAGATACATGATTTTGTTCCTTTTTATGGCTGAGTAGTATTCCATGGTGTGTATATATACCACATTTTCTTTATCTACATATTAGTTTATGGGCATTTTGTTTGGTTCCACATTGTTACAATGATGAACTGTGCTGCTATAGACATACATGTACAAATGTCTTCTTCGTATAATGAGTTCTTTTCCTTTGGGTAGATACCCAGTAGTGGGTTTTCTAGATTGAATAATAGAACTACTTTTACCTGTTTAAGAAATATCCATACTGTTTTTCATAGAAGTTGTACTAATTTACATTCTATCCAGCAGCGTAAAACATTCCCTTTCCACCACATTCCCAACAACATCTATTATTTTTCTATTTTTTGATTATGGGCATTCTTGCAGGAGTAATGTGGTATCCCATTGTGGTTTTGATTTGCATTTCCCTGATCATTACCAATGACGAGCATTTTTTCTTATGTTTTTTGGCCATTTGCATATCTTCTTTTGAGAATTGTCTATTCATGGCTTTTGTCCACTTTTTTCTTAATTGCTTTTTAAAATTTTTCTTTTTTATTTCAATAAGTTTTTGTGGGACAGGTGGTGTTTGGTTACATGGATAAATTCTTTAGTGGTGATTTCTGAGATTTTGATGCATCCATCAACTGAGCAGAGAGCACTGTACCCAATATGTAGTCTTTTATCCTTCAGTCCCCTCCCACCCTTCCCCCGAATCCCCAAAGTTCATTGTAACATTCTTAGCCTTTTGCATCCTCATAGCTTAGCTCCCACTTATGAGTGAGAACATACAGTGTTTGGTTTTCCATTCCTGTGTTACTTCACTCAGAATAATGGTCTCCAATTCCATCCAGGTTGCTGCTACTGCCATTATTTCATTCCATTTTATGGCTGAATTGTATTTCATGGTATATATATACACATATATATATATACACACACACACATATACACACATATATATCACATATTTATCCACTTGTTGATTGATTGGCATTTGGACTGGTTTCATATTGTTGTAATTGTGAATTGTGCTGCCACAAACATGCGTGTGCAAGTGTCTTTTTCATATAAAGATTTATTTTCCTCTGGGTAGATACCCAGTAGTGGAATTGCTGAATCAAATGATAGATCTACTTTTAGTTCTTTAAGGAATTTCCACACTATTTTCCATTGTGGGTGTACTAGTTTACATTTCCACTAACAGTGTAAAAGTGTTTCTTTTTCACCATATCCATGCCAACATTATTATTTTTTGATTTTTTTTATGATGGCCATTCTTGCAGGAGTAAGGTGGTATCTCATTGAGGTTTTGATTTGTATTTCACTGATCATTAGTGATGTTGAGCATTGTTTTAATATGTTTGTTGGCCATTTGTGTATCTTCTTTTGAGAATTGTCTATTCATGTCCTTAGCCCACTTTTTGATGGGATTGTTTATTTTTTTCTTGCTGATTTGTTTGAGTTCCTTGAAGATCCTGGATATTAGTTATTTGTTGGTTGCAGAGTTTGCAAAGATTTTCTCCTACTCTGTGGGTTGTCTGTTAACTCTGCTGATTATTTCTTTTGCTGTGCAGAAGCTTTTGAGTTTAATTAAATTCTATCTATTTATCTTTGTTTTTGTTGTAATTGCTTTTGGGTTCTTGGTCATGAAGTATTTGCCTAAGACAGTGTCTACAAGGGTTTTTCTGATGTTATCTTCTAGAATTTTGATGATTTCAGATCTTGGATTTAAGTCTTTGACCCATCTTGAGTTGATTTTTGTGTAAGGTGAGAGATAAGGATCCAGTTTCATTCTTGTATATGTGGTTTGCCAATTAGCCCAGTGCCATTTGTTGAGTAGAGTGTCCTTTCCACAGTTCATGTTTTTGTTTGCTTTGTCGAAGATCACTTGACTGTAAGTATTTGGCTTTATTTCTGTATCCGGTATTCTGTTCCATTGGTCTGTGTGCCTATTTTTATACCAGTACCATGCTTTGCCCATGTTTTGATGGGATTATTACTGTTATTATTATTATTTGCTAATAAGTTTGAGCTCTTTGTAGATTCTAGATACTAGCCTTTTGTTAGATGAGTAGTTTGCAAATCTTTCCTTCCACATTGTAGGTTGCCTGTTTACTGATTATTATTGCTATTATTTTTGCTGTGAAGAAGCTTTTTAGTTTAATTGGGTCCCATTTATTTATTTTTGTTCTTGTTGCATTTGCTTTTGGGGTTTTAGTCACGAATTCTTTGCCTAGGCCAATGTCTAGAAGAGTTTTTCCAATGTTGTCTTCTAAAACTTTTATAGTTTCAGGTTCTATATATAAGTCTTAATCCATCTTAAGTTGATTTTTGTTTAAAGTTGGAGATAGGGATCCAGTTTCATTGTTCTACAAGTGGTTTGCCAGTTTTCCCAGCATAATTTATTAAATAAGGTAATATTTTTGTATGCTTTGTTGAAAATCATTTGGGTGTATGCACCTGGCTTTATTTCTGGGTTCTTTATTCTGTTCCGTTGGTCTATGTGCCTGCTTTTATACTACTACCATGCTGTTTTGATAACTGTAGCCTTGTAATGGAGTTTGAAGTTGGGTAATATGATGTCTCTTGATTTGTTACTTTGCTGAGGATTGCTTTGGCTATTCAGGCTCTTTTTTTATTCCATATGAATTTAAAGATTTTTTTTTCTAATTCTGTGAAAAATGATGTTGATATTTTGATGGGAATTGCATTAAATATGTAGATTGGTTTGGGCAGTATGGTCATTTTCGCATATTGATTCTTTCAATCCTTAAGCATGGAATGTGTTTCCATTTGTTTGTGTCATGTATGATTTCTTTCTGCAGTTTATGGGAGTTTTCCTTGTAGAGATCTTTCACCTCCTTGGTGAAATTCCTAGGTATATTCCTAGATATTTTCCCTTTTTTGCATCTGTTGTAAAAGGAAATGAGTTCTTGATTTGATTCTCAGTTTAGTTGTTGTTGGTGTATACCAGTGCTGCTGATTTGTGTACATTGATTTTGTAACCTGAGACTTTACTGAATTTGTTTATAAAGTTCAGGAGTCTTTTGGAGGAGTCTTTAGGATTTTCAAGGAATATAATCATAGCATCTGCAAACAGCAATAATTTGACTTTCTCTTTTCAATTTGGATGCCCTTTATTTCTTTCTCTTGCTTAATTTCTCTGGCCAGGACGTCCAGAACTAAGTTGAATAGGAGTGGTGAAAGTGGGCACCTTTGTCTTTTTTCTGTTCTCAGGGGAAATGCTTTCAACTTTTCCCCATTCAGTATGATATTGGCTATGGGTTTGTCATATACGGTTTTTATTAATTTGAGGTAAGTATCTTTTTTGCTTAGAGAGTTTTTATCATAAAGGAATTCCAGATTTTGTTGAATGCTTTTTCTGCATCTACTGAGATAATAATTTTTTTTTGTTTTTAATTCTGCTTATGTGGTACATCACATTGATTGAATTATGTATGTTAAACTATCTCTGCATCCCTTGGATGAAACCGAATTGATCACGATGTATTATCTTTTTGATGTGCTGTTGGATTCAGTTAGCTAGTATTTTGTTGAGGATTTTTGCATCTATGTTCATCAGGGAAATTGGTCTGTAGTTTTCTGTTTTTGTTGTGCCCTTTCCTGGTTTTAGTGTCAGGGTGATACTAGCTTCATATAACGATGTAGGGAGGATTCCCTCTTTCTCAGTCTTTGAATAGTTTCAGTAGGATTAGTACCAATCCTTCTTTGAATGTCTAATAGAATTCATCTGTGAATCCATCTGGTCCTGGGTTTTTTATTTGTTTGCAATTTTTAAATTACTGATTCAATCTCGCTGCTTGTTACTGGTCTGTTCAGGGTTTCTATTTCTTCCTGATTTAATCTAGGAAGGTTATATGTTACAAGGAATATATCCATTTCCTCTAGTGTATCTAGTTTGTACACATAAAGGTGTTCATAGTAGTCTTGAATGATGTTTTGTATATCTGTGGTCAGTTGTAATGTCTCCAGTTTCATTTCAAATTGAGGCTATTTGAATCTTCTTTGTTCTTTTTTTTTTTTTTTTTTTTTTCTTTGAGATGGTTCTTGCTTGGTCACCCAGGCTGGAGTGCGGGGCCCAATCTATGCTCACTGCAGCCTCGGCTTCCCAGGCTCAAGCAATCCTTCCACCTTAGCCTCCCATGTAGCTGGGGCTGCTGGCACACACCTACCACACCTGGTTAATTTTTTCATTTTTTTGTAGAGATGAGGTTTTGCCATGTTGCCCGTGCTGGTCTGAAACTCCTGAGTTCAAGTGATCTGCCAGTCTTGGCCTCCCAAAGTGCTGGGATTACAGGTGTGAGACGCTGCGCTGGGCCTTCTCTACTTTATTTGGTTAATATAGCTAATGGTCTATCTATTTTATTTAGTTTTTTTTTTTAACCAGCTTTTTATTTCATTGATCTCATGTAATTTTATTCTTTAAATTTCCTTTAGTTCTGCTCTGACCTGTTATTTCTTTTCTTCTGTTAGTTGTACATTTGTTTTGTTTTTATTTCTCTAGTTCCTTGAGGTATGACATTAGGTTTTCAATTTGTGCTCTTTCAGACTTTTTGATGTAGGCTTTTTGTACTATAAACTTTCCTTTTAGCAGTGCTTTTGCTGTATCCCAGAGGTTTTGATAACTTGTGTCATTATAATTGAATTTGAAGAACTTTTAAATTTCCATCTGGATTTCATTGTTAAGCTAGATGTCATTCAGGAACCAATTATTTGATTTCCATATATTTGCACAGCTTTGAATGTTCCTTTTAGAGTTGATTTCTAATATTATTCTGCTGTGGTCTGACAAGATATTGATATAATTTTAATTTTTAAAAATTTATTGAGACTTGTTTTGTTGCCTATAGTATGGTCTATCTTGGAGAATGTTCCATGTGCTGATGAGAAAAATGTATATTCTGAAGTTCTTGGGTAAAATGTTCTATAAATATCTGTTAAGTCCATTTGTTCTAGCATGTCATTTAAATCCATTGTTTCTTTGTTGACTATCTGTCTTGAAGATCTGTCAGTAGTATATTGATCTGTCTAGTGCTGTCAATAGTGTATTGAAGATTCCCACTATTATTGTGTTGCTTTCTATCTCACTTCTTAGGTCTAGTACTAATTGTTTTATGAATCTGTGTGTGAGCTCAACTATTAGGTGCACATAAATTTAGGATTGTAATGCCTTCTTATTGGATTGATTCTTTTTTTTCTATTTTTTATTTTACTTTAAGTTCCAGGATACATGCACAGAATGTGCAGGTTTTTACATAGGTATACATGTTTCATGGTGGTTTGCTGCATCTATCAGCCCGTCATCTAGGTTATAAGCCTCACATGCATTTGCTATTTGTCCTGATACTCTCCCTCCCCTAGCTCCTCAAAACTTGACAGGCCCTAGTGTGTGTTGCTCCCCTACCTGTGTCCATACGTTCTCATTGTTCAGCTCCTACTTATGAGTGAGAATATGCAGTATTTAGTTTTCTGTTCCTGTGTTAGTTTGCTGAGGATGATGGCTTCCAGCTTCATCCATGTCCCTGCAAAGGATATTATCTCATTCTTTTTTATGGCTGCATAGCATTCCATGGTGTATATGTACCACATTTTCTTTATCCAGTCTAACATTGGTGGGCATTTGGGTTGCTTCCATGTCTTTGCTATTGTAAATAGTGCTGCAATAAACATACATGTGCATGTGTCTTTATAGTAGAATAATTTATACTAATTTTGGTATATAACAGTAATGGGATTGCTGGGTCAAATGGTATTTCTGGTTCTAGATCCTACAAGAATCGTCTTCCACAATGTTTGAACTAATTTACATTCCCATCAACAGTATAAAAGCATTCCTATTTCTCCACAGCCTTGCCAGCATCTATTGTTTCTTGACTTTTTAAGAATCACCATTCTGACTGGCATGAGATTGTATCTCATTGTGGTTTTCATTTGTAATTTTCTAATGATCAGTGATGTTGAGCTTTTTTCCAAAAGTCTGTTGGCTGCATAAATGTCTTCTTTTGAGAAGTGTCTGTTCATATCCTTTGCCCACTTTTTGATGGGGTCTTTTTTTTTCTTGTAAATTTGTTTAAGTTTCTTGCAAATTCTGGATATTAGACCTTTGTCAGATAAATAGATTGCAAAAATTGTCTCCCATTCTATAGGTTGTCTTTCACTCTGATGATAGTTTCTTTTGCTGTGCAGAAGCTCTTTAGCACAATTAGATCCCATTTGTCAATTTTAGCTTTTGTTGCAATTGCTTTTGGCATGTTCGTCATGAAATCTTTGCCCAGGCCTATGTCCTCAATGGCATTGCCTAAGTTTTATTCTAGGGTTTTTATGGTTTTGAGTTTTACATTTAAGTCTTTAATACATCTTGAATTAATTTTTGTTTAAGGTGTAAGGAAGGGGTCCAGGTTCAGTTTTCTGCATATGGCTAGCCAGTTTTTCCAGCACCATTTATTAAATAGGGACTCCTTTCCCCATTGCTTGTTTTTGTCAGGTTTGTCGAAGATCAGATGATTGTAGATGTGCGGTGTTATTTCCAACATCTCTGTTCTGTTCTGTTGGGCTGTATGTCTGTTTTGGTACCAGTACCATGCTGTTTTGGTTACTGCAGACTTGTAGTATAGTTTGAAGTCAGGTAGCATAATGCCCCCCCAGCTTTTTTTTTTTTTTTTTTTTTTTTTGCTTAGGATTGTCTTGGCTATATGTGCTCTTTTTTTCATTTCATATGAAATTTAAAGTAGTTTTTTTTTCTAATTCCGTGAAGAATGTCAATGGTAGTTTGATGGGAAAAGCATTGAATCTACAAATTACTTTGGGCAGTATGGCCATTTTCACGATATTGATTCTTCCTTTCCATGAGGATGGGATTTTTTTTTCATTTGTTTGTGTCCTCTTTTATTTTCTTGAGCAGTGGATTGTAGTTCTCTTTGAAGAGGTTCTTCACATCCTTTGTTAGCTGTGTTTCTAGGTATTGTATTCTTTTTGTAGCAATTGTGAATTAAAGTTCATTTATGATTTTGCTTTCTGCTTGGCTATTGTTGGTGTGTAAGAATGCTTGTGATTTTTGTACAGTGGTTTCATATCCTGAGACTTTGCTGAAGTTGCTTATCAGCTTAAGGAGTTTAAGGCTGAGATGACGGGGTTTTCTAAATATAGAATCATGTCATCTGCAAACAGAGACAATTTGACTTTCTCTCTTAGTATTCGAGTACCCTTTATTTTTTTGTCTTGCCTTGTTGCCCTAGCCAGAACTTCCCTTACTATGTTTAATAGGAGTTGTGAGAGAGGGCTTCCTTGTCCTGTGCTGGTTTTCAAAGGGAATGCTTCCAGCTTTTGTCCATTCAGTATGACATTCACTGTAAGTTAGTCATACATAGCTCTGATTATTTTGAAATATGTTTCATCAACATCTAGTATATTGAGAGATTTTAACATGAAGGGATGTTGAATTTTATCAAAGCCTTTTCTGCATCTATTGAGATTATCATGTGGTTTTTGTCATTTGTTCTGTTTATGTAATGTATTACATTTACTGATTTGCGTATGTTGAACCAGCCTTGAATCCCAAAGAAGAAGCTGACTTGATTGTGGTGGATAAGCTTTTTGATGTGCTGCTGGATTGAGTTTACCGGTATTTTATTGAGGATTTTCCCATTAATGTTCATCAGGGATACTGGTGTGAAGTTTTCTTTCTTTGTTGTCTCTGCAGGATTTGTTATAAAGATGATACTGGCCTCATAAAATGAGTTAGGGAGGAGTCCCTCCTTTTTAATTGTTTGGAATAGCTTTAGAAGGAATGGTACCAGCTCCTTTTTGTACCTCTGGTAGAATTCAGCTGTAAATCCATCTGGTACTGGGCTTTTTTGGTTGTTAGGCTATTAATTACTGCCTCAATTTCAGAAATTGATATTAATCTATTCAGGGATTTGACTTCTTCCTGGTTGAGTCTTAGAAGAGTGTATGTGTCCAGGAATTTATCCATTTCTTCTAGATTTTCTAGTTTATTTGTTTAGAGGTGTTTATAGTATTCTCTGATGGTAGTTTGCATTTCTGTGG
Organism: Homo sapiens; assembly: GCF_000001405.40. Classification (NCBI taxonomy): domain Eukaryota; kingdom Metazoa; phylum Chordata; class Mammalia; order Primates; family Hominidae; genus Homo; species Homo sapiens. The sequence continues at coordinate 122,039,517 of NC_000023.11, forward strand.
GGTCAGTGGTGATGTCCCTTTTACCATTTTTTATTTTGTCTATTTGATTTTGTTCTTTTATTATTTAGTAGTCCAGCTAGCAGTCTATCTATTTTGTTATTTTTTTCTCAAAAAAAAAAAAAAAACCCAGCTCATGTATTCATTGATTTTTGAAGTGTTTTTCATGTCTCTATCTCCTTTAGTTCTGCTCTGGTCTTAGTTACGTCTTGTCTTTTGCTAGCTTTTGGATTTGTTTGCTCTTGCTTCTCTAATTCTTTTAATTGTGATGTTAGGGTGTTGATTTGAGATCTTTCTAGCTTTCTGATGTAAGCATTTAGTGCTATAAATTTCCCTCTTAATCCTGCTTAATTGTGTCCTAGAGATTTTGGTACATTGTCTCTTTGTTCTTGTTGGTTTCAAAGAACTTCTTGATTTCTTCCATAATTTCATTATTTACCCAGACATCATTCAGGAGCAGGTTGTTCAATTTCCATGTAGTTGTGTTGCTTTGAGTGGGTTTCTTAATCCTGAGTTCTAATGTGACTGCACTGTGGTCTCAGAGACTGTTTGTTATGATTTCAGTTCTTCTGTATTTGCTGAGCAGTTTTTTACTTCCAATTACGTGGTCAATTTTAGAATAAGTGCCATGTGGTGCTGAGAAGAATGTATATTCTGTTGATTTGGGGTGGAGAGTTCTGTAGATGTTTATTATGTCTACTTGGATCCAGAATTCAGTTCAAGTCCTGAATATCCTTCTTAATTTTCTGTCTTGTTAATCTGTTTAATATTGACAGTAGGGTGTTAAATTCTCCCACTATTATTGTGTGGGAGTCTAAGTCTCTTTGTAGGTCTCTGAGAACTTGTATTATGAATATGGGTGCTCCTTTATTGGGTGCATATGTATTTAGGATAGCTAGCTCTTCTTGTTGAATTGATCTCTTTACCGTATGTAGTACCTTTCTTTGTCTTTTTTGATCTTTGTTGGTTTAAAGTTTGTTTTGTCAGAGATTAGGATTGCAACCCCTGTTTTTTTTTTTTTTTTTCCGCTTTCCAATTGCTTGGTAAATTTGCTCCATCCCTTTATTTTGAGCCTATGTGTGTGCTTGCATATGAGATGGGTCTCCTGAGTACAGCACAACACTGGGTCTTGAATCTTTATCCAATTTGTCACTCTGTGTCTTTTAATTGGGGCATTTAGTGCATTTACATTTAAGGTTAATATTGTTATGTGTGAATTTGATCCTGTCATCATGATGTTATCTGGTTATTTTGCCCACTAGTTGATGCAGTTTCTTCATAGTGTCTTTGGTCTTTATATTTTAGTGTATTTTTGCAGTGGCTGGTACCAGTTTTTCCTTTCCATATTTAGTGCTTACTTCAGGAACTCTTGCACGGCAGGCCTAGCAGTGATGAAATCCCTTGACATTTGCTTGTCTGCAAAGGATTTTATTTCTCCTTCTCTTATGGAGCTTAGTTTGGCTGGATATGAAATTTTGGGTTGAAAATTCTTTTCTTAAGAATGTCAAATATTGGCCCCCACTCTCTTCTGGCTTGTATTGTTTCTGCTGAGCGATCCGTGTTTAGTCTGATGGGCTTTCCTTTGTAGGTGAACTGGACTTTCTCTCTGACTTACCTTAGTATTTTTTTCCTCCATTTCAACCTTGGAGAATCTGGTGATTATACGTCTTGGGGTTGATCTTCTCATGGGGTGTCTTACTGGTATTCTCTTTATTTCCTGAATTTGAATGTTGGCCTGTCTTTCTAGGTTGGGGAAGTTCTCCTGGCTATTATCCCGAAGTGTGTTTTCCAACTTGGTTCCATTCTCCCTGTCTCTTTCAGATACTGCAATCAATTGTAGGTTCAGTCTTTCTATGTAGTCCCATATTTCTCTTAGGCTTTGTTTGTTACTTTTAATTCATTTTTCTCTAATCTTGTCTGCCTGCCTTATTTCAGCAAGATGGTCTTCAAACTCTGATATTCTTTCTTCTCCTTGATCGATTCAGCTGCTGATACTTGTGTGTGCTTCAAGATGTTCTAGTGCTGTTTTTCAGCTCCATCAAGTCAATTATGTTCCTCTCTACATTGGTTATTCTAGTTAGCAGCTCCTGTAACCTTTTATCAAGGTTCTTAGCTTCTTTGCATTGGGTTAGAACATCTTTTTTTAGCTCAGCAGAGTTTGTTATTACCCACCTTCTGAAGCCTACTTCTATCAATTTGTCCATCTCATCCTCCTTCCAGTTTTTGCTGGAGAGGTGTTGTGATCATTTGGATGAGAAGAGGCACTCTGGCCTTTTGGGTTTTCAGTGTTTTTTGTTGTTGTTGTTGTTGATTCTTTCTCATCTTCATGAGTTTGTCCATTTTTGATCTTTGAGGTGCTGACCCTTGGATGAGGTTTTTATGGGGACTTTTTTAGTTGATGCTGTTGTTGTTGCTTTCTGTTTTTTTGTTTTTTCTTTTAATGGTAAGGTCCCTCTTCTGTAGGGCTGCTGTGGTTTGCTGGGGGTTCCCTTCAGGCCCTATTCATCTGGTTCACTCCTGTGCCTGGAGATGTCACTTGAGGAGGTTGGAGAACAGCAAAGATGGGTGTCTGTTCCTTCTTCTGGGATTTCTGACCTCTAAGGGAACCAACCTGATGCCAGTAGGAATGCTCCTTTATAGGATGTCTGACAACCCCTGTTGGAGAGTCTCACCCATTTGGGTAGCACAGGGAACAGGACCCATTTAATGAAGCACTTTGGCTCTCCCTTGGTGGAGGGGAGGTGCTGCTCAAATTTCTCAGAACTAGAGGGAGAAATGACTAAGTCTGCTGGTCCGTGGAGACTATGGCCACCCTTCCCCCCAGGGGCTCAGGCCCAGGGAGATCAGAGTTCTGTCCCTGAGCCCCTGTCTGGAGTTGGAATTCCTGCAGGGAAGCACTCCCCAGTGAGGAGGGATGGGTCAGGGTCAGGCCCAAAGAGGCACTGTGGTCACAGCTGCCATAGCTGATGTGTTGGGCTATGGGGAATACCCCTTGGGACCAAGCCATCCAGCCTCCTTGGCTCTAGCAGGGGTAAAGCATGGCCTGGAGCTATGGAGATGGTTGCCACCCTTCTCCCACCCCGGGAGCTTAATGGGTTACACAGCTAGCAGTCCCAGTGTTGGCTGCTGTCCCTCTCCCAAGGAGCTCAGGTGGCTTAGACAGCAGGCAATTGCCCCTTTTCTGGGGAACTCAGCAGGCTTAAGCAGATTCTAGGTGAGTGGCTATTGAGTGTCTGCACAGCTCTGTGGTTGGAACCCTAGGCCCCCATGGCGTGGGCTCATGAGTGGGATCTTCTGATCCATGGGTTTCACAGTTCTGAGGAAAAAGCATGGCTTCCCAGGCTGGGTAGCATGCTTACTCACTGCCTCCCTTGGCTGGGGGTTGGGGGCTCCCCTGCCCTTTATGGATCTCAGGTGGGCTGCTTCACCACACTGCTCTTCCTTCCTCTCTGTGGATCACGTCAGCTGCCTAGTCAGTCCTGATGACAGAACCTGGATACCTTGGATGCCTGTGCTGGATTTGCACACTCTTTTTGTTCTTTTTGATGGGAGCCTCTGATCACTGTTGCTTCTAGTTGGCCATCTTGGTCCCACCCCTTAACATTGATTCTTTTATTGTTGTATAGTGACCATCATTGTCTTTTTTTACTGTTGCTGCTTTGAGGTCTGCTTTTGTCTGATTTAAGAAAAGTTACTACTGTTCAATTTTGGTTTCCGTTTGTGTGGAATATCTCCCCCCGCCCAACTTTTAGCTTGCGTTTATAGGAATCTTTCCAATTTGGAGAGTCTCTTGAAGACATCAGACATTTGGCTGGTAGTTTTTTATCTATTCTGTGATTCTATATCTCTAAAGTGAAGCATTTTGGCCATTTAGGTTCAATGTAAATATTGAGATGTGAAGTACTGTTCTCTTTATCATGTTAATTGTTACTTAGATGTTTTTTAAATTGTATTTTTGTTTTATATGCCCTGTGAGTTTTAAGCTTTCAAGAGGTTCTATTTTGGTGCAGATCAGGCTTTTGTTTCAAGATCTAGAACTCCTCTTACCATATCTTGTAGTGCTGGTTTGGTAGTGACAAATTCCCTCAGCATTTGTCTGAAAATAAATTTATTTCTCTTTCATTTATGAAACTTATTTTTTGGTGGATACAAAATTCTTGGCTGACAGTTGTTCAGTTTAAAAAGGTTGAAAATAGAACCCCAATCCCTTCTGGCTTGTGAAGCTTCTGCTGAGAAGTCTTTTGTTATTCTCATAGGTTTTCCTTTGTAGGTTACCTGATGCTTTTGCCTTACTTCTCTTAGAATTATTTTCTTCATGTTGACTTTAGATAGCCTGATGAATATATGCCTTGGTTAAAATCTTTTTGCAATAAATTTCTCACGAGTTATTTGAGCTTCTTAAATTTGGATATCTAGGTCTCTATCCAGACCAGGAAAGCTTTCCTCATTTATTTCCTCAAATAAGTTTTTCAGATTTTGTTTCCCTTCTCCTTCAGGAACACCAGTTATTTTTAGATTTGGCTGTTTTACATAATTCCATGTTTATTGGAGATTTTGCTCACTGATTTTGATTTTTAAAAATTTTTGTCAGATTGGGTTAATTCAATAGCCTTGTCTTTGAGCTCTGAAATTATTTTTTCTACTTGTTCTAGTTTATTGTTAAAACTTTCCACTGCATTTTGTAATTCCCTAAGTGTGTGCTTTATTTCCAGAAATTCTGACTGTTTTTTCTTTATTATATCTATCAGTCTGGAAAGATTTTATTCATATCCTGAACTGCTTTTTAAATTTTCTTATGATGATTTTCACCTTTCTCTGATATCTCATTGAGTAGCTTAATAATCAACCTTCTGAATTCCTAATCTGGTATTTCAAATATTTCATCTTGTTTTGAATTCATTGCTGGATAGCTAGTGTGATCTTTTGGGGGCGTTATAGAATCCTGTTTTGTCCTACTACCAGAGTTATTTTTCTGGTTCCTTCTTAGTTGGGTAAGCTATTTCTTCTAAATATTCTGGAATTTATGTTTGATTTGACTGTTTCTTTTTTGTTTATTTTTTAATTTATTTTTTCCCCTTAAGAATGTGGCTTTAATGCTTATAGTTAATAATAGCTTAATTCAGTTCTTGGTGCTTTCAAGGGTGAAGACTCTGTAAGAGTTCCTTGGTTATAGAGAGTCTTTGTTTGGTGGTGATATACTTTGAATCTGTGTTCCTACCCAAATCTCATGTTCAATTGTAATCCTCAAGGTTGGAGATGGAGCCTGGTGGGAAGTGATTGGATCATGGGGTCAGTTTCTCATGATTTAATACCATCTTCCTTTGTGCTGCCGTTGTGACAGTGAGTTCTCATGAGATCTGGTCATTTAAAAGTGTGTGGCATCTCCCCCCTCTCTCTACCTCCTTCTCCAGCCATGTGAAACATCATGCTCCTTATTTGCCTTCTGCCATGATTGGAGGCTTCCTGAGGCCTCCCCAGAAGTAGAAGCCACTATGTGTTCTGTACAGCCGGCAGCACTGTGAGCCAATTAAACCGTTTTTCTTTATAAATTACCCAGTCTCAGGTATTTATAGCAGTGCAAGAATAGACTAATGCAGGTGGTTTTCTCATATGCTGGTTGTCGTAGCAATGTGCTCATTGTGTGAACAAGTTTACTGCTTCATATGGGGTGGGGATGGTAAAGGGCTCTTGAAGCCTGTCTCATTCCCCTGTGGCATGCTTTATTTATTTATTTACTTACTTATTTATTTATGTATTATTTATTTATATTTCCCCAGTATTTCATTTAATGATTTGATGGTTCAGGCTTCAGGCCAGTATGGTAGGTGTCCCTGGGTAGAAAGTGGCTGTGGCTAAAGCCGGTGGGTAAGTGCAATACCCCATGGTGGGCAGAGGTTCTAGCCTTGACAGAAGTGGCTGGAAAAACTCTCAGTGAGTCACAGTGAGGTCTTATTAGGGGCAAAGGTTGGAGTCAACTCAGTTTCCCTGCCAAGTAAAGAGGAAAGTTACCTACTGGTCAGATACACTCCTGTCCTAGTGCTCCAGCTATTCAGATCAGACAGTTACCTCTTTTCATCTACATGAATGTTGATGTTTCAAGTAGAGAGGAATTGTGACTCTGTCTCTCATTCAAGCCTGAACTTGGAGGATGTTCCTCCTGAAGGGATGCCGTCACCCTGATGTGTTCCAGAAAAGCTGTCTATAGTTGCACCCATGCCAGGCTTTCATGGGAGAAGCCCCAAATGTGCTTGCAGTGTTGGACAAGGTGGGAAGGATGTCTCCTTCTCCAAGACTCTTCATGCGCACCAGAGTTGTCTGACTATTGGGTTAGACCTGAAATCTTTCCTTGCTGAGCCCAGCACTGCAATTATGACTCTATGGAAAGATACTTCCCACCAGTGGAAAGATCTAGTGCTCAAGGCCTGCCGTTCAGATTTTTTTGTCTCACGGGGTGTTCTTTTGATGTGGTGCACTCCCACTTTTCCTAGGAGTGGGAGTCCCTGGGGGCCAGACTATTGTGAATGTTGTCGCTCCTTTGGGTCTAGCTGCCCAGTGAAGTTTCCATACTTCAGGGTGGTGCTGGGAAATGTCTGCAGTGGATCTGGTGATGTGATCTGTCCTCACGTCTTCCAGTAATGGGTGGCAGCACCAGCTCTAATGAGAACGGCAGGGGAGTAATGTAGACTCTGAGATTACTTGGCTGTTGAGACCCTTAGTATGTTGGCTTTCATGATGGCCAGTTACAGTAGTAATAAACTGGTCATGTGGACAGACTCAGGAGCTCCTGGTTAGCCAGAGTGATGCAGGAAGTGGTGATAGCTGAGATTGTGCAGCCATTTTCTCCTTCCTGGGAGCAGTATTATTCTACCAAGAGATGTTGTAATGACCTGTGTTGGTTGGCCTCCAGCCAGGAGGTGGTACTTGCAAAACAGCACTAGCTGCAGTAGTAGTAGCGGGAGTTTTGCTTGCCTTATGTTGCCCAGGGTGGATACTCTGGTTTCTCAGGCAATGAGCAGGGCCTTATATAGTTCTTTCATATAGCTCTTAAGAGTTTCTGTCCTTTGTGTTAAGCTACCAGGGCAGATGGCAGGGCAAAATTAGGTGGGGGCTTGGTCAGGTAAGTTTGTGCTCTGAGTCTCCATGTGCAGGGCAAGCAGTAGCCCTTGTGGATGTCAGGTGATGGAAGCAGTTCTCAGGCCACTCAGTTGATGTTCCAGAGGGGAGTGTTGCTGCCTCTGCTGTGCAGAACAGTTCACACAGGGAATAGGGAGTAGCAGGCGGTGGTAAGCTGCACACAAATTCCACACACTTGGAAAATTATATCCACTCCTGCAGTGTTCCACTGGTAGCAGTGGGCTAAGTTCTGGACATCTTGCACTCAGAACTCACAACTGCTCTGAGTCATAAGCTTCTCCACGGAGATAGCAACCACAGCTTTCAGGCCATGCCTTTCCCTGTTCACTACAAAGCCAGGTGCCTGACTTCTGCACTTGTGGCTCCTGTACTCACAGATGCAGCCTGCTTTTCACTCTCTCTCACCCCGGCCCTGGCCGAAGGAGTTCATCATCCCCATCCAAGGTTATATCATAAAACCTACTTGGGAGCTTCTTTCAACCCGTGACCACTGCCTAAACTATTTGGCTGTCCTCCACAGGGTTCCCTGTGAGAAACAGTAAGGAATGGTTTCCCTCAGTCCACGCTGGAAACTGGGAGTGCATGCAAGGGTCTTCCTGCCACTGTTTCTACTTTTATATTCCAAGATAGTCCATAAGTCTATTACTGTGCTGGATAGGGTTAGGGCCTTTCCTGTGGCTTGGACTTTTAAGATCCTCGGTGGGGGGAGGGGGGCGGGGGAGTGGGGGTGTCCCAGAGGCTGTGCCTCCCCCTCACACTCTGGGGACTCACAGCCTTTTGCCTGACTCACTGTGTAGGTTGCAGCCTCCTACTTCCTTCAAAGGATCTGTAGATTCCTTTGGTTTTCCTGTTCAGTTCCTGCATCACTTTTTGAAAAAAGTTCACAGTGTGAATCTCTAGACACTGTTTTGTCCTTCTAAGTGGGAGAGGTATGTTAGCAATGCCTGTAATCTACCATCTTGGAAACAAAAAACAAATGATATAGTTTTAAAAGTAGAATATATTTTGTCCCTGTTTTCTGAGTTTTTCATAACACCCTGCATATATTGCAATTTATCCCTTTCCCTTTGAATTCCTACTAATGGTTTCCTAACTTAATTTCTCCATTCACAAAATTCTGGGTTTCATAACTCTTGAGACTGGGACCCTAAGGAAACAGAATCCAAGGAAGATGAAGTACTCTCACCTTGGATTGAGCAGCTAGGCTAAGGAAGCTGAAGGAAGTCAAGGTAATAAATAGAGCTAGAAAATGTATCCACTCTGACTTAGGGCTGAACCACTATCTTCTTTGGGGATTCTAAGGAGAACACACAGTTCTGCATCCCTCATTTCCAACACAGGAAACACTCTCCTTTTCCAAAGCTGTACACCTGTTGGCAGGTTCTTCTCCAAGTTTTTCCAATACCCTATCACCGTTTTCCCCATACCGTTCTAGAGTATCACCTTATAAGAAATTATATTATTTAGCCACCTCGGATTCAAGGCTTCTAGTATCACTATGTGTGAACACACAATCTGGCAAGGATTAGTGTTTCTATAAATGACCTGAGACTACCTGTAAGACCTAAAAACCCTTCTGAACCACCAAAGGAAGATATACTGAAATTAACTGAAAGAGAATTTAAGTACATGATTGTTGAGTCTTAAACTGTATTAAGTGACTTGAATTGTGCTCAAATTTTTTTAATGCTGCTAAACCCTCTGTGTTTCCATGGTAAATGTATAGAATACTCAGCCAAAACATTCATTCTGGTGCCCGCTGAAAGACCAAGGATGGGCTGTATTAGATTTGTCTACTGTAACAATCTGTCACTAAATAATATTGGGCTTGATAGCAACTTGCTGTTACAGTATATACTAAACAGAGGAATGCCTTCCTTGGAACAGAAGGTGGGATATTATTACATGTGCTATTACAAAGGTATGTTTACTCAGTGGCTTTTAATATCTCTGTGGGTAAACTTAGGTTTTCAAATAATGTTCTACTGAAGCCTCCCTTAGAAAAGAAGTCTGCTACATAAGTATATGCACAGGCATCTCTTGAGGATTGGGCCATAGCTAATCTTTGCCCTCCACACAATTATCTTATCCCATCCCGATTATCCAGCTTAATTTCCCACAGCTACCCAACAAAAGGTCTTGATTTCATTCAGGTTTACTATTGCCAATATTTTTGTGTCCATTCCTATTTTCACTCATATTGTTCTTTCTGCCTGTGATGCCCTTGCTTTTTCTTCTCTCTATCCAGCCAAATCATAGTAATTTTTCACAGCCCTTTCAAGATGTCTCTTACAAGAAGTCCTCCCTGACTTCTATTGCCTTCACATATACTATTCCCTCTCAGTGAAACATACTTTTTTTTTTTACAATCCTTATTCTCTGATTTGCTTGTGTTGGCATACATTTTTCACCTCAGGGAGACCCTCTCTGCCATATTAGAAATCAGCGTTTCTTAAAAGTGGAGCAGTGGGTTATTTTGGAGTAAAGTATTTAATATACAGACATGTGTGAACTCCTACAGCTATTTTTTAAATTAAATTATAGTTTAATGTCACCGTCAGTGAACATATTCAATAGGATTTGAATCATTTAAAATTTGTTGAGACTTGCTTTATGGCCTATCATGTAGTCTACTTGGGAGGTGTTCCATGTGCACTTGGAAATAATGTGAATGCTATAGTTTTTCAATTTGGTGTTCTAGAAATGTCAATTAGGTCATTTTTGTTAATTGTCACAGCAGATGCTGCTAGTACCTCATCCATATTCTTGACACTATCACATGCTCTGCTTTATTGGTAATTTGAAGTAACTCTGTGCCTGAGGGCTTTTTATAGAAAGATAGAAGTTTATGCTATCCGTGTTCACATGGCAGACCAGAAGTGCTGGAGAATGTATACCTTTAGGGAACAGCCCTTAACTGATTTATACACCTCTTGGAAGCAGGTGTATAAATATTCTATGTCTATTAGCTTTTGTCCCTCCCTTGGTTGGTATAATACTGAGAAAGCTGTATTGTTTGTTTGTTTGTTTGTTTGTTTGTTTTTTACCATTTTCTCAGAGGTTATTCACAAAATAAGCTCTTTTGCCCATAGGAGCACACAGCAGTAACTGACTCCTCTTTTCTTTAAAAATTCCTCAGTCACCTACTGATATTCCCTGGATCTCCCAAATCAATTACTGCTATTTAAATTCTTGCCTCCAGATCTGCTTCTGAAAAAGCAGGAAAGCCCAAACGAAAAACAATTTGTTTATAACTTTTGCATTCTCATGAGACTTTCTGTCTGCTTGTTTTGTCACTTAGTGAGAGAGGTGTGTTAAAATGTCTCCCAATCTGATTATGAGTTTGTATATTTCTCCTTTCCTGCTAATGTGTGCTTTATATATTTTTAAACTATATTATTAAGTGCATGCAGATTTAGAATTATTTCTTCCTATTGAGTTGTCTTTTTATCATTATTAAATTTGCCTCTTTGTCTCCTTCCAGCTCTATTTTCTTACCTTAAATTCTCCGATATTTAGTATGGTTAGATTAGCTTCCTTTGGGTTAGTCGTATGCATGATGTATTTTGTCCACCCTGTTAATGTCAAGTTTTATATTTTCCTATATTTAAGTATGTCACTAGTACACAGCATATATTTGGCTTTTATTTTCATATTTAGCTGACAATATTTGTCTTTTATTTGGAGTCGTTAGTCATTTTTATTTAATGTAATTACTGATATTTGTGGGTTTATATCTACTTTCTTTTGGACTAGGTTGTTTATATTTGTCTCTTTTTCTTTGCATTCTTTTGGATTAATCAAGTGTTTTTAATTCTATTATTTATTTTGTTGCCTCGCTGGTAATAAACTGTTTTCATGTTGTTTCATGATTACCCTGAAGATTACAACATGCATTTTTTCTCATTAAAATGTAATAGACATTAGTGTCTTTACTACTCTCCAAATAATGCACGAATCTTCTAATACTTTACTTCACCTTCTTCTTATGTTTTGTGCTATTGTTGCCAAGAATTTTGATTCTACACATTTATAAAGTCATGCAATTCAACAATATTATTGCTTTAAATGGTTACTATCCATTTAAATTTACCCTTTCAGGAGTTATTCATTATTTTTTCATCACTGTAGTTCTACTTTAAATTATTTCACTCTCATAAATATTTATTTTTTGGTATGCCTTTTATTGTAGATTAGATAGTAATTAAATATTTCAGCTTTTATTTATCTAAAGATGTTTTATTTTGTTTGCATGTATGAAGGATATTTTCACTGTAAGTTGAATGATGAGTTTACATTAATTTGCTTTCAGTCCTTTAAATAAGTCACATTTTATTCTTTCTTCAGTCCTTCCTGTGGAAAAAATCAGCTGTTAGCCTTATCAGTGTTCTTTTAAAGTATATAGCTCGTTTATTATTCATTCGACTGATTTTAACGTTTTCTTTGGTTTTCAGAAGATTTACCATGATGTGCTTTGTGTGTGTGCACATACATGTATGTGTGCGTGTGTGTGCTCACACACATAGATGGTCTCTTATCTATGGTCGATAGAATTAATCAATTTTGGAAAATTATTGGCTGATATTATTCCAAATAATCTTCTGATATATTCCCTTATCTTTTTCATGGATTCCAGTTATACATATAATGTGCTGTTTATATTTTTCATCCTATTTTTCTCTAAGCTTAATTCTCTACATTTTCTACTGACTTACCCTCCAGTTGACTATTGATCTATTCTACACTGTCTGCTCTGTTGTTAAACCAATCAAATTCTTAATTTGAGTTGTTTTATTTTTTAATTTTAGGATTTTCATTTAATTATTTTGGTCATGTATTAAATTGTCCATCTTTTTGTCTATATTCTTGAAGATATTCCATATAGTTATTTATATGTCTGTGTCTGATAACTTCAATATCTGGACCACCAATAGGTCTGTTTCTATTGGCTGACCTTTCTCTTAGGTTTCAGTCAGTTTGTCTCATTTCATACCATTCCTGTCAGTTATTTATTATTTATTGATATGGACATCATGCACAAACAATTGTAAAGTCTCTGGATCCTACTATTTTTACTTGGAGAGGAGTTACTTTTCTTCTTGCAGGAGGACAGAATATGGTCAAATCACTTGGATCCTATTGAAGTTGGTCTGTTTACATTTTGTCCTTTCTCTTAGATGTATCCCTTTCAGGGTCTTACCAGCAGGCTTTTGTCATTTACCAGGGTGTTTCTTCCTTTGTAGGTTCTGAAATCTAATTTTTTTCTTCTCTGCACCATGGCACTGATGAAGTCTCTGCTTAGCCTTTTATCTATTACAGGTACATTTAGTTTGGGTTCCCAAAATAATCCTCCATACCAGTGCAGCTTGGAACTAATAAAAATGCTTCAGCAGAAAATTGTGTGCAGAATGTTGGCCTTGCTTCTCTTTGGTTCCCTTTTCTCTGGAGTTTTGGCCCTTAAATAATAGCATTTTTGGTAGACCTGAACTCTAATATTTGTATTTTAAGCCCAGTGAGACTACTGTAAAGCTCAAGAAATCTGCAATCTGTTAGTTTTCATGTTCCTTGCCAGAATTGACAAATGTTTCAAGAGGGAAAATATCCACGATTTAAGGGTTACTCCAATGTGTCGTTATGTCTTTGAGAATAATGTTTGAGGTATTAGATGACTTGAGTACTCTCTGATACCTTTAGCCAGGTCTCTTTGTGTTTTATACACTCCAAAATTCCTCCATGTTCTCTTTGAACTTGACCCCTGAAGTCTTGGCTCCCTTAGGGGTTTTCTTACTTTATATCATTACAATTGTTTTGGTAGAAAGTGTTGTCTAATACCTGCTACTTAACCTAAATGAGAAATAGACTTTTGATGCTTTTATTATTAAGACTCTTCTTATTGCTTATAGAAGTATAGGTTAACAACTATTTTTTAGAACTTCGAAAATGTCATTACATTTTTCTATTGTTATTAATAGTCATATTGTTGCTTCTTTGATGCTAATGTTTTTTCTCTGCTGGATTTAATATTTTCCTGTTTTTCAATAGTTCCCTTATGATGTGCCTTGATGTTGTTTTATTTGTATTCATATTCTTGGGGTTTATAGTTCTTGAATCTGTGGTTCAATGTCTTTTATCAGTTTTGGAAAATTTCAGCAACTATATCTTTAATACTATTTCTGCCCAATTTTCTTTCACTTCTCCAATCAAATTTAATATTTGGTTATGTTATATTTTGTATTTACATTTCTAATACCACAATTGTGGATACAAGCACAAAGGCAAGAAATTCAGCAGATATGGCACATTCGTCCTATCAGGAGGCCCAACAAATACCCAAGAATATACAGATTGTGTGGGTCTTTCATTCATATAGAGCACGTACAGCTGCCAGATGAGAGTCAAGATGTGTGTGGATCACTTTGAAACAAAGATATCTTAGCTTTAGTTTTTCATAATTGAATATTATTCTGTTCATATAGGCCCAAGCCCTAGTTGCCAACTCATAGCTTCTCCAACCTAAGTGCAGTCTCACAAAGCAAACAAGGCAGATACAGACACATTTACATTTACACAAATCTGTAATTTCCAAGGCTCAGGCCCAACGTTAAGCCTTTATTCACATTAATCTATTTTTGTTTCTCTATGCTTCAAGATGAATATTATTTTCTGATTAATCTCCAATTAATTCTTTTTTTCATTTGCATCCACCTTGCTGTTTAACCTATTTTTTTATTTACTTTTAGTTAGCTTATTTCCAAATTCTGGAATTTAACATATGATTCTTAATTTTTAGTGTCTAGTCCTCTACCAATGTTTTTCTTTAATTTTTTTACTGTAATAGTTACAGCTATTCTATAGTACTTGTCTGATAACTCCATATATGAATCTGTTTTTAGCGTATTTTTTCTTTATTTTGTTAACTCTTTTTTTGTATATAGTTGGTTATATTTTATTAAAAGCTAAAGAGTTACATATAAAATGTAGATAAGTTTGAGGTTCTAGATGATGTTATCTTTCTTTAGAGTTGATTTAATTCTGAATCCAGTAAACAGCTAGATGAGGGCACTCACAATTCCAGATTTCCTTAACTGAGTGAGGGTTTGAGTGTCCTTACAAGCGTTCGCCTACTGAAGTTTATTGTTAATCTGGAGTGTAGCCCTTTAGCCTCTCAAATGAAAATCTGAGGTGTTTAAGAAGAACCTTCCCTTTTTATGAACTCTGAACACTAATTTGTAGTTTTTCAGTGTGCGTTTATGTGTGTGTGTGTGTGTGTGTGTGTAGAGAGACATATATGTGTGTAGTGTATATTACATTGCATTTGTAATGTTACAATGTTAATTTTTATATTTTATCTATATATTCTAGGTGTCCTCAATAGACGGATTGTTCTGAAAGTAACTAGTCATTTCTACCAAAGACCAATAAAGTGAAACTACACAGAAGTTGCAGACAAATCTGGACTGCAAATAGAATTCAGGATGAATAAAAAATATATTTCACAAAACCTACTTATATCATGGAGTTATCATAGTCAAATATTTATAAATATTTTATTATATGAAGGTGTTTATATTTTGAAAATATTGGTTGATGAATGGTGTGTCCTACTTTAAACACTATTTTTAATGTTTCCATTTGACTATTTTCACATAATTACCCTTTTTTTTTAGTGCATGTGTGAGTGAGAAAATATGCTTATCCATTAGTCAATGATGGGGCAACTTTTATATGCAAAACGCATTGCTAGATATGCCTCTAAATTTACTATTCCTATAGGACATCCAGCCATTTGGAGCATGATCCCAAAGGCCAGGAACAATTAAAATAAGTGGCTAAGTATCTAGGAGAGAATAAACAGATTTACAAGTGCTAATTTTATAAAATTCAATGCAAAAAGTAATAGCAAGTGACATAGCTGATCAAAGATTAGGGTATCATTTTATTTTCATGTAGTAGTTCAAAGCTGGCCCACCTGAGGATTTTCCTCCTTACTACAGCCTTATTAGACCAGTGCTATGCCAGCTAGCACATTCAAATATGCTACTTGTAGCTCCATTATGAGAATTGGAAGCAGAAAATTTAATGAAGAGGAGACAGTCACCCTGACGTCATTACTTTATTTATTCAACATATGTGTATTGAGTGCCTATTATGACCCAGGATTTCTTTGATGTGCTATGGGTAGAAACACATGACCCTGCTTCCATGTTACCAAAATATAACAAAATAATAAAAAATATAAGAATAGACAAGATTTTCATAGAGTACAGGCTGGGTAAAAAAGAAAGTGAGGCTAAGAGTAGTTTGATTATCTGGCAGAAAACATGGGGGTCAACAAACAAAGCAATTATGAGACTAAATAGAGTTGGTTAGATTGAAATGATGGTACAAAAGCTGGAACAAAAGGCATTTTTGGTGTATGAGTGATACTAGAGTTTTTGTTTTGAAGAAGTAGAATAGTTTCTGATAATCATTTGGTATCCAAGAAATAGCCATGGGAATGAATGTCTTAATGTATTGATTGTGATTTTATGGAGTCAAGAAAGTTTCAGGCCAGAGTGTTGAATGCTTCAACAAATGCAAATATCGGGGTTCTATGGTCTTTAGTTGAAACATGTGGTAGTGACTGCGATACTGCTATAAGAGGACAGATGAAGATTACAGAGCAGATAGCATGAGTCACAAAGGGACAAGAGTGCTAACACAAAGATGAATAAGTAATTACCTGGAAATGGCAATACTAACAATGGACTTTCAGAAGATAGCAGCTGATTTCTGTCATATTTCCACTATATAATATCCACTTTAATATCATGTTTAATAGAGGAGAAGAAATCAGAAGACCATAATTTTAATCTCATGTCTGCCATCTATTACTGTCACAATTGGAGTGACCATAAAATTTGTAATCAAAACTGGGTAACGTTGGAGAATGAAGCAGGATGCTGTTGAAAATTATACTAAGAAAGCAGATGTAACTTGGAACTGGCCAGGGCAAAAAAGAAAACATATGGTCACCATATGGGCAATTCATATTTTTTCATCTGTAAAGTGTGGAGAATATTCACTTTAAGACAACTATGTGAAAGTACCTAAGCCATTAGTGAGTGTTAAATTAATGTACACCAATTGGAGTATTTTTTGTACTGTCTTAATCCAGAAACTATAATCTCATTGAACTCAAGGGACACATCGATTTTTATTTGTAGTCCTGCATTAATTAATACAAAAATGATTCCAGTAGAAATCCAGTATGTGTAACTTTTGTTCTGCCTTTGCAGTTTTCTTTGTAACAGATGCTGTTTCCTCTTATACCTTGATTATTTTGAAATGAAACTTATCCTTAATACAGATAGAGAAATAGAGAAAATTAGCAAACTCAAGTAAACTGGATTACATGAGCAAGAATTTAGGAAATGAAATCCAGGTTTGCATTAGTGCCTCAGGATGAGAAATGCAGCCAATTCTTTTCCATTCAATTTTGTGAAGGGCTGTTCTGCCCTGTGGGCACTAAAACTGGTTGGTCTCAAACAGACGGAAATGCTATGGATATGACTGTGGCTTCCATTTTGCCAGCTCCTGGTGCTACTTAACCCAGATGCAAAGGGTCAAAGATAAGACTTAAGATTTCTCTATTGGATAATACAGAAACATGGAAGAGGACTAATTTAGGGTTAAAACATGGCACTAATCTTATCTGGATACTTGGCATTTCAATCACCCTTGTGACTTAAAAATCTTTTCTTGAAACACAGAAGAGTAGGCTTATTGTTCGTCATTCATTTGGTAAACATGTAAGAATTAATTTAATGCTTGAATTACTTCACCATCCTCAGTGACTGTTTCTCATTCACTTCTAAAATGGTCTTGCTTCATCCATGGCTGATCTCTTATCCAAGGCTGCTTCAAAAGTGACTTGGCAGCTTATATCACTTGTGACATTAACCTCAGATTAATTTTGGTTTCTCTTCTGCCCTATGGCTCTCATTTTGTTCTTTCAAAATTTCTTCTATTACTTTTTTGATAGTGAATGTAAGATTTTCAAGCATATATTGGTTGTCTGACTTAAAATATTCTATGCTCCTAATAGAATCATAAGTATTAAAAACAGAATTGGAAAAGACTCTGAAATCCACATAATTGAAATCTCTTCTCCTGTATCAAAAATTTGAATCCTCTCTGCAACATTCCTAATACATCATACACTCACTGTTTCCCATTACTTGGAGGATTTTTACCAAAATCTACTTCTTGATCTATTTTATTTCATCTTCAGGCAAGTATGACTGTAAGTTGTTTTTTTTTTTTTGTATTGAAGTAAAATCTATCTACCTGTGACTTTATTTGTTGATCCTTGTAAGCACTTGGGCTTATCCTGAGGAAAATAACAGCAGTCTTTAAGTGTACACAAAAAATATATCATACCTTCTCCAAAATCTTCCATAAATTTCATGTTTAGACTTGGGTTCCACCCTGCGATATCTCATTATGTACATGCTAATATTCCAAAATCTGAATAATTAAAAAATCTGAAACACCTTGTCTGGAACATTTTAAATATGGGATATGCAATTTGCACTAGCTTCCTGATCTCTGTAGGCATTGGATATTGAAAAGCCTTATCTAAGTCTTTGTCTGTTTGAACTATTGCTGTTTTCCATATCTTCTATTTCAAAAATAGGTGTTTTAAAATTATTCTTAGCAAAACCAAAAAGGGCATTGTGTAGTTCCATTTTGTGTCACTATAAAAAATACCTAAGTCTGGGAAATTTATAAAGAAAAGAGGTTTAACTGGTTCTGTAAGGTGTATAGGATGCACAGTGCTGGCATCCGCTTGGCTTCTGTTGAAAACTCAGGGAACTTTACTCATGGAAAAAGATGAAGTGGGAGCAACACATCACATGATGAGAGCAGGAGCAAGATAGAGCATGGAGGTTCCACTCTCTATTAAACAACCATATCTCATGTGAACTCAGTGAGAGTTCACTCATTATCATGAAGACAAGCACCAAGCTATTTATGAGAGATCTGCCCCCATGAACCAAACACCTCCCACCTGCAACACTGTGGATTACATTTCAACATGAGATTTAGAGGGGACACACATCCAAATCGTACAAGGCGCAGCAATTCCTTTTCCTGGAGATTTCTATCATCTTTTTGTTAAGAAAAAAGTTAATGGAATTGAGATGGTTATATAATAAGAGTTTTAAATTTATTGCATTAATAACCCCAATTTTTCATGTCTCCCCGTATCAACATTCTTTGTAAGTATCTTTTTATATTAACTCTATGGCTTACCACAAAACTCGCTTTGGCAAACAAAATATTTTTTTTTTCAAAAAAGGTGCAAACAGAGGCTTTAAAAAGTATTTGGTGTTTTTACTTCTTTTCTTGTTTTTCTGGCTTCGCCATGAAAATAAATGCCCAGGCTAGCCTGCCAGGTGGGGTGAGACATATGGCCCAGTCATGGCTATTATCCTGGTTGACGGCCAGACAACCACTAGATGTGTGTGTGAGCCCAACTAAAACCAGAAGAATGGCCCAGATAAGTCCATTCTAAATTATTAGCCCACAGGCTTATGAGCTAAATAAATACCTAGTGTTCTACATCACTAAGTTGGATTTGTTTTGTTATGTAGCATTATTGTAGTAATAGATAACAAATATACAAAAGTTTGATTTTGAAAGCTAAATGCCACTCTAGTAGAAACCTAAAATATGTGTTATTGACTTTTATAAAGGCAATGGGTAAAGAGTGGTAAAAGAGTTTGGAAACAGTAGAGACTAGAAAAGTGGTGAGGAAACTGTTAAAGCAGCCTGAATAAATGGCAAGCAGTGTTATCTAGTGGTGAAACATTTGGCAAAACATGTGGTAACATTGAATATGGAAAATATATCAAATTAACATTTATACTGGAACAAAGATATCTCCAGGCAAAATATTGAAAATGTCAACTGGATCTTACTGGCAGTGTATGATAAGATACAACAGAAAAGAAATGAGCTAAGTAAATAACTGCCCAGTTTGTGAGTAACATTTAGAGAGTCCCATAATTCCCTGGATTGGAAAATAACTTTTTCTCCTCTTTATCTTCTCAAGCTAGTAAAAAATCAAATCCAAGGAGCTGCCAGAAACATGTTCTTAGTACTAAAGACCAAGATAATTTTGTAAGACTCTTTGTTTAAATCTTTGAAGTAATTAAGGAGATGTTATATAGACTCTCTCAACTACAGAAAAGTGTTTCTAAGAATATTAAGAGCATTGTCTTATAGCAACCTGACAGGCCTAAAGAAACACTACGAAGTCTAGAGACAGAAGGCCATCTGAAAAAGAATTATGTCTGTGGCTTTTTTGCAATGGAGTGAGTTTGAACTGCGTTTATGTGAAGCCCAAAAAGTTTTAAAGATGTTGCATGGGAAATAGTGCTACCAGCCTTGATTAAAAGAGAATGAGACTATAAATTCTGATAAGCACTGGGATTTCAATATTCTATGCACAGGAAGCAGGCTAAGAAGGTGCTCAAAAATCATATTTTTAAATGCCTTCTCCAAAAGTGACTGAGCAGAATGGCAAAAGAATTATGTTTCAGACAACGAAGGTAAAGACCATGAAGAACAATGGACAGGTAAGCGACTCCAGGGAAGAGTAACGATGTAATTAAGGAGCATTCTTCACCCCTGTGTGGGGTCTTAGCCACGCTTGTCCAGCAATAATTACTATACACCAGTGCTATGTGCTTCCTTTTTATTTTTATTTTTTGTTTCTGAACAAGAGTCTTTATGTAGTTATCCAATCCCTGTATCATCACTGAATGTTGAGTGGCCAATAAATTGTTATTGGTCTTTTGATTAGGAGAATTGTTATCTGAGTCATATCAGCACGTGATAATAGATCATGAGATCCTAGATTCGGGGCCTGATGACCTGACTGAATAAGACTGTTGAGATCCTAGTTTGGGGGTAAGCATATTTTGCATGTGTGAAGGATGTGAATGATTGTGACAAGAGTGGAATATCATTTATGGAGTGTGTTAATGGCACTCTGTATCAATACTTCCTATGTCATTACTCATTGTAGGCTCTGGGCTTGACCTTGTGACTTGCTTTGGCTAAATGGATATTTAAAAACTCGATGCAAGCAAAGGATTTAAAAAGTACTTGTGTGTTTCTGTTTCTTTTCTTGCTACTCTGCCTTCAACATGAGAACATTCCTAATTTAGACTGCTGCATGATAAAATACATGTGGCTCCTATCACCAAACTATCAACTACCAACCACCAAACATATGAGTGAGCCCATCTAAGACCAGAAGAACCCATATGAGTGCAGCATAAATTGCCAACCCACAGACTCCTGACTTAAAGGCTTATTATTTTAAAGCTGTTGCATTATCTAGTATTTTGTTACACAGTGTTATTGTATCAATAAGTAACTTCTTTTTAAAAAAAGTTGGTGTATATTCAAGGGAGGAAGGGAGGGAGAAATCTATCATTTGGCAATTGAATCCCATACACCCCTTTGTCTGAGCTAGTCTATCTCATTTGAGTATACTTCAATAATCTAACAATGGGAAAATAAAGCAAACTATGGCTTAGATTTTATTAAAATAAATGTTTAATTCATTTTATTTGGCAAAAATAAATTGGCACACCAATATTAGCCCTGAATTATAAATTAGAATTTCATAATTCTGCCTACTCTAATATTTCTGAAGAGGGTTTTAGAAAATAATATTTTTACAATTTAAATAAAATTTAAACTTAATTTATGCCAACGTGTACTTCGTAAGACGAGATGGTTGAAGAAGAGGGCATCAGCACCAAAATGCTTCAAGTTGCTAAGACACTTAAGTATGCACTAAGTCTTAGGAATATAGGACCTCAGGTTCTATCTCTATGACTATCTTTCTGAGCTTTAGACTTCTCATCTAGTAAAAGGTAATGATGCTATATAACTAGAAGGGCTGTCCTAAAAATAAGAAGATATATATATATATATAGTACTTGGCATGTAATAGGCAAAAATAAATTATTAATGTCTTCTCAGAATTCTATGACTTTGTATGTTTTTTTCTTAAAACCCTGAAAGCGGGGGCAATATGGCTGATCAGGAACAGCTCCAGTCTGCAGCTTCCAGTGAGATCAACACAGAAGGTGGGTGATTTGTGCATTTCCAACCGAGGTACCTGGTTCATCTCATTGGGACTGGTTAGACAGTGGGTGCAGCCCACGGAGGGCCAGCAGAAGCAGGGTGGGGCATTGCCTCACTCAGGAAGCACAAGGGGTCAGGGAACCCTCTCCCCTAGCCAAGAGAAGCCCTGAGGGACCATGCTTCAAGGGACGGTGCTGTCCGACCCAGAGACTATGCTTTTCCCGTGGTCTTTGCAACCCACAGACCAGGAGATCCCCTTGGGTGCCTACATCACAAGGGCCCTGGGTTTTAAGCACCAAACTGGGTGGCCATTTGGGCAGACACCAAGCTAGCTGAAGGAGTTTTTTTCATACCCCAGTGGTGCCTGGAATGCCAGCGAGACAGAACCATTCACTCCCCTGGAAAGGGGGCTGAAGCCAGGGAGCCAAGTTGTCTTGCTCAGGGGTTCCCATCCCCATGGAGCCCAGCAAGCTAAGATCCACTGCCTTGAAATTCTCACTGCCAGCACAGGAGTCTGAAGTCGACCTGGGACACTCTAGCTTGGTGGGGGGAGGGGCATCCACGATTACTGAGGCTTGAGTAGGTGGTTTTCCCTTCACGGTGTTAAACAAAGCTGCCAGGAAGTTTGAACTGGGCGGAGCCCACCTCAGTTCTGCAAAACCTCTATAGCCAGACTGGCTTTCTAGATTTCTCCTCTCTGGGCAGGGAATCTCTGAAAGAATGGCAGCAACCCCAGTCAGGGGCTTATAGATAAAACTCCCATCTTCCTGGGACAGAGCACCTGGGGGAAGGGGTGGCTGTGGGCGCAGCTTCAGCAGACTTAAATGTTCCTGCCTGCCAGCTCTGAAAAGAGCAGTGGATCTCCCACCACAGTGCTTGAGCTCTGCTAAGGAACAGACTGCCTCCTCAAGTGGGTCCCTGACACCCAAGCCTCCTGACAGAGAGACACTTCTCAGCAGGGTTTGACAGACACCTCACACAGGAGAGCTCCAGCTGGCATCTGGCAGGTGCACCTCTGGGACAAAGCTTCCAGAGGAAGGAGCAGGCAGCAATCTTTGCTGTTCTGCAGCCTATACTGGTGATACCCAGGCAAATGGGGTCTGAAGTAAAAGTAAACCCCAAGCAAACTGCAGCAGACCTGCAGAAGAGGGACCTGACCATTAGAAGGAAAACTAACAAACAGAAAGCAATAGCATCAACATCAAAAAAAAAAAAAGGACAAACAAGCAAAAACTCCATCAGAGGGTCACCAACAGCAAAGATCAAAGGTAGATAAATCCATGAAGATAAGGAAAAACCAGCACAAAAAGGTTGAAAATGCCGAAAACCAGAATGCCTCTTCCTCTCCAAAGGATCACAACTCCTTGCCAGCAAGGGAACAAAACTGGATGGAGAAGGAGTTTGACAAATTGACAGAAGTAGGCTTCAGAAGGTGGGTAATAACAAACTCCTCTGAGCTAAAGGAGCATGTTCTAACCCAATACAAGGAAGCTAAGAACCTTGACAAAAGGTTAGAGGAATTGCTAACCAGAATAACCAGTTTAGAGAAGAACATAAATGACCTGATGGAGCTGAAAAACACAGCACAAGAACTTCGTGAAGCATACACAAGTATCAATAGCCGAATGGATCAAGCAGAAGAAAGGATATCAGAGAGTGAAGATCAACTTAATGAAATAAAGTGTGAAGACAAGATTAGAGAAAAAAAAATGAAAAGGAACTAACAAAGTCTCCAGGAAATATGGGACTATGTGAAAAGACCACATCTATGTTTCACTGGTGTACCTGAAAGTGATGGGGAGAATGGGACCAAGTTGGAAAACACACTTTAGGATATTATCCAGGAGAACCTCTCCAACCTAGCAAGACTGTCCAACATTCACATTCAGGAAATACAGAGAACACCACAAAGATACTCCTTGAGAAGAGCAACCCCAAGACACATAATCATCAGATTCACAAAGGTTGAAGTGAATAAAAAAATGTTAAGGGCACCCAGAGAGAAAGGTTGGGTTACCCATAAAGGCAAGCCCATAAAACTAACAGTGGATATCTCTGCAGAAACCCTACAGGCCAGAAGAGAGTGGGGGCCAATATTCAACATTCTTAAATAAAAGAATTTTTAACCCACCATATTATATCCAGCCAAAATAAGCTTCGTAAGTGAAGGAGAAATAAAATCCTTTACAGACAAGCAAATGTTAAGAGATTTTGTCACCACCAGGCCTGACTTACAAGAGCTCCTTAAGGAAGAGCTAAATATGGAAAGGAAAAACCAGTACCAGCCTCTGCAAAAACAAAGCAAAAGCTAAAGGCCATTAACACTATGAAGAAACTGCATAAACTAATGGGCAAAATAACCAGCTAGCATCATGACAGGATTAAATTTATACATAACAATATTAACCTTAAATGTAAATGGGCTAAATGCCCCAGTTAAAAGGCACAGACTGACAAATTGGATAGCAATTCAAAACCCATCAGCGTGCTGTATTCAGGAGACCCATCGCACATGCAAAGACACACGTAGGCTCAAAATAAAGGAACGGGGGAAAATTTACCAAGCAAATGGAAAGCAAAAAAAAAAAAAAAAAAAAAAAAGCAGGGGTTGCAATCTTAGTCTCCGATAAAACAGATTTTAAAACAACAAACATCAAAAAAGACAAAGAATGGCAACACATAATGGTAAAGGAATCAATGCAACAAGAAGAGCTAACTATCCTAAATATATATGCACCCAATAAGGAGCACCCAGATTCATAAAGCAAGTTCTTAGAGACCTACAAAGAGACTTAGACTCCCACACAATAATAGTGGGAGACTTTAACACCCACTGTCATTATTAGACAGATCAACAAGACAGAAAATTAACAAGGATATTCAGGACTTGAACTCAGCTCTGGATCAAGTGGACCTAATAGACATCTGCAGAAGAACTCTCCACCACAAATCAACAGAATATACATTCTTCTCAGCTCCACATTACACTTATTCTAAAATTGACCACATAATTGGAAGTAAAACACTCCTCAGCAAATGCAAAAAAACAGAAATCATAACAAACAGTCTCTGAGACCACAGTGTAATCAAATTAGAACTCAGGATTAAGAAACTCACTCAAAATCACACAACTGCATGGAAACTGAACAACCTGCTCCTGAATGACTGCTGGGTAAATAATGAAATTAAGGCAGAAATAAATAAGTTCTTTGAAACCAATGAGAACAAAGACACAATGTACCAGAATCTCTGAGACACAGCTAAAGCAGTGTGTAGAAGGAAATTTATAGTACTAAATGCCCACAGGAGAAAGCAGGAAAGATCTAAAATCGACACTTCTGACATCACGATTAAAAGAGAAGCGCCGGGCACAGTGGCTCATGCCTGTAATCCCAGCACTTTGGGAGGCTGAGGTGGATGGATCATGAGGTCAGGAAATCAAGACCATCCTGCCGAACATGGTGAAACCCTGTCTCTACTAAAAATACAAAACAGAAAATTAGCCGGGCATGGTGGCAGGGGCCTGTAGTCCCAGTTACTTGGAAGGCTGAGGCAGGAGAATGGCGTGAACCCAGGAGGCAGAGTTTGCAGTGAGCCGAGATCATGCCACTGCACTCCAGCCTGGGTGACAGAGCGAGACTCCCTCTCAAAAAAAGAAAAAAAAAAAAAAGAACTAGAGAAGCAAGAGCAAACAAATGCAAAAGCTAGCAAAAGAGAAGAAATAACTAAGATCAGAGCAGAACTGAAGGAGATAGAGACATGAAAGACCCTTCAAAAAATCAATGAATCCAGGAACCAGTTTTTGAAAAGATTAACAAAATAGATAGACTGTTAGCTAGACTAATAAAGAAGAAAAGAGAACAAAATCAAATAGACACAATAAAAAATGATAAAGGAGATATTATCAGTGATCCCACAGAAACACAAACTACCATAGAGAATACTGTAAACACCTCTACGGAGATAAACTAGAAAATCTAGAAGAAATGGATAAATTCCTGGACACATAAACCCTCCCAAGACTAAACAAGGAAGAAGTTGAATTCCTGAATAGACCAATAACAAGTTCTGAAATTGAGGCAGTAATTAATAGCCTACCAACCAAAAAAAGCCCAGGACCAGTCAGATTCACAGCCTAACTCTACCAGAGGAAAAAAGAGGAGCTGGTACCATTCCTTCTAAAGCTATTCCAAACAATTAAAAAGGAGGGACGCCTCCCTAACTCATTTTATGAGGCCAGTATCATCTTTATATCAAATCCTGCAGAGACACAACAAAGAAAGGAAACTTCACACAAATATCCCTGATGAACATTGATGTGAAAATCCTCAATAAAATACTGGTAAACCAAATCTAGCAGCACATCAAAAAGCTTATCCACCACAATCAAGACAGCTTCATCTTTCGGATTCAAGGCTGGTTCAACGTATAGAAATCAATAAATGTAATACATTACATAAACAGAACAAATGACAAAAACCACATGATTATCTCAATAGATGCAGAAAAGGCCTTTGATAAAATTCAACATCCCTTCATGTTAAAATCTCTCAATAAACTAGATATTGATGAAACATATCTCAAAATAATCAGAGCTATTTATGACTAACTTACAGTGAATGTCATACTGAATGGACAAAAGCTGGAAGCATTCTCTCCAGCTTCCAGAGAGGACAAGGAAGCCCTCTCTCACAACTCCTATTAAACATAATAAGGGAAGTTCTGGCTACGGCAACAAGGCAAGACAAAAAAATAAAGGGTACTCGAATACTAAGAGAGAAAGTCAAATTGTCTCTGTTTGCAGATGACATGATTCTATATTTAGAAAACCCTGTCGTCTCAGCCTCAAACTCCTTAAGCTGATAAGCAACTTCAGCAAAGTCTCAGGATACAAAATCAATGTGCAAAAATCACAAGCATTCTTATACACCAATAGTAGACAGACAGCCAAATCATGAGCAAACTCCCATTCACAATTGTTAAAAAGAGAATAAAATACCTAGAAATACAACTTACAAGGGATGTGAAGGACATCTTCAAGGAGAACTACAAACCACTGCTCAAGGAAATAAGAGAGGACACAAACAAATGAAAAAACATTCCATGGTCATGGATAGAAAGAATCAATATTGTGAAAATGGCCATACTGCCCAAAGTAATTTATAGATTCAATGCTATTCCCATCAAGCTACCATTGACTTTCTTCACAGAATTATAAAAAACTACTTTAAATTTCATATGGAACCAAAAAAGAGCTGATATAGCCAAGACAATCCTAAGCAAAAAGAACAAAGCTGGAGGCATCATGCTACCTGACTTCAAACTATAGTGCAAGGCAACAGTAAAAAACACAGTATGGTACTTGTACTGAAACAGATATATAGACCAATGGAACAGAACAGAGGCCTCAGAAATAATGTTACACATCTACAACCATCTGATCATTGACAAACCTGACAAAAACAAGCAATGGGGAAAGGATTCCCTATTAAATAAATGGTGTTCAGAAAACTGGCTAGTCATATACAGAAAACTGAAACTGGACTCTTTCCTTACACCTTATACAAAAATTAACTCACAGTGGATTAAAGACTTAAACATCAGACCTAAAACCACCAAAACCCTAGAAGAAAACCTGGGAAATACCATTCAGGACATAGACATGGGCAAAGACTTCATGACAAAAACACCAAAAGCAATGGCAACAAAAGCCAAAATTGACAAATAGGATGTAATTAAACTAACGAGCTTCTGCACAGCAAAAGAAACTATCATCAGAGTGAACAGGCAACCTACAGAGTGGGAGAAAATTTTTGCAATCTATTCATCTGACAAAGGGCTGATATCCTAAATCTACAAGGAACTTAAACAAATTTACAAGAAAAAAAAAAACAAACACCCCATCAAAAAGTAGGTGAAGTATATAAACAGACACTTCTAAAAAGAAGACATTTAGGTGGCCAACAAACATACGAAAAAAAGCTCATTGTCACTGGTCATTAGAGAAATGCAAATCAAAACCACAATGAGATACCATCTCATGCCAGTTAGAATGGTGATCATTAAAAAGTGAGGAAACAACAGATGCTGGAGAGGATGTGAAGAAATAGGAATGCTTTTACACTGTTGGTGGGAGTGTAAATTAGTTCAACCATTGGTGAAGGCAGTGTGGTGATTCCTTGAGGATCTAGAACTAGAAATACTAGTTGACTCAGCAATCCCATTTCTAGTTACATACCCAAAGGATTATAAATCATTCTACTATAAAGACACATGCACACATATGTTTACTGCAGCACTATTCACAATAGCAAAGACTTTGAACCAACCCAAATGCCCATCAATGATAGACTGGATAAAGAGTGGCACATATACACCATGGAATACTATGCAGCCATAAAAAAGGATGAGTTCACGTCCTTTGCAGGGACATGAATGAAGCTGGAAGCCATCATCTTCAGCAAACTAACATAGGAACAGAAAACCAAACGCCGCATGTTCTCACTCATAAGTGAAAGTTCAACAACGAGAACATATGGGCACAGGGAGGGGAACATCACACGCCGGGGCCTGTTGCAGGGTCGGGGTCAAGGGGAGGGATGGCATTACAAAAAATACCTAATGTAGATGATGGGTTGATGGGTGCAGCAAACCACCATTGCACATGTATACCTATGTAAGAAACCTGCACATTCTGCACATGTATCCCAGAACTTAAAGTATAATAATAATTTTAAAAACCTGAAAACAAATGATATCTGTAGATAAAATATTTCATATGCAAAATATCAGGCGAAACTTATTTCCTTATCATAATTGCAGAGCTCAGCTTACTTACTTCAAGGGTCCACCACAGTTTTACCTATTTTAAGGGTTAGGCTTCATCCTTGGATGGGAATCAAACAGTTTGGGGTTATGGAAAGAACAGACACTTTGGGTTAAAATTCCATTTTGTACAACTTGTCGATTTGGTAACCATGGACAAACTACTTAACCTCTCTGAGCTTCACTTTCTATTTTTATATAGAGAGTTTTGAAGATTGAGATATTCAATGTAAAGCTCTTAATGCAAAATTGAAAGCAATGCATGGTAGCTAATACTATCATTTGTCAATGCAATAAGAATATTTTATTATCATAATATGCTTTACATGATATTTTCATCTTTGTTGTTGTTGTATTAGCTATGATACAGTCTGTTTTCTTTTTTGGCTTTTTGAGAATTGGAGCTCCTACTGAGAAGTTTTCGAGCTTTCACAGATCTTTTCACTTTCTGGATCCTAGTTCCTGTGAGTGTTTCCAAAGGCAAAATGGCATTTCAGAAGCAATGATAAGTGTATTTCTAAAATAGAACACATACCACGCAGTTTCTTAGGACAGAACAATATCCTGGTGAGAACAGCTGGGCTGGTTAGGGAAACAAATGGTCAAATGCAATTCTCGAGGATGCTCTGTAAGGCTGAGGGCAATAACAACCACATGAGCTTTGTTCCTTGATATTTTCTTTTAGTTTCCCAAAGTGCTTTGCCCCTTTTTCCTGTAAGTGTAATCTCTGTACCTAAGAGTGAAGTGAAGACAATTTCTTGCCAGGATTATGAGCAATACTTTAATGATTAGTCAGCAGCACTAACTACTTATACTGTTTGGGGAGCATCTAAGAGCATCTTGAAGAGGTCCCAGAGAGGAGACATTCTCTCTTAGAGCTAACGCCTTTGTTCTTTTGTGAACTCACTATGCTTTATTTCTCTGTCAGCTTTAAACGCATGTGTTGATCAGCAAAAGGATACCCATTACAAAGCTAATTACTATTATTGGCCTATATGTATCATTCAGGTCATCTTCCCAGTCTCTCTGCTTCTTAGTAGTTGGGGCAAGTAGCCAATAATTGAGAAAAATATTTCACTTTCAATTGGGTCCACTCTGGAACTGGGTACACAGCAATTCCTGGGAATGTGAAATGCTGAGTTTGGAACCTGGAGTGGGTGCTTTATATATGTATGCAGTAGTGGCAGGAGGTCTTGCTTCAAGTGCTTATCTTCTCTCTCCAATTGTAACATAGGTCTCTTATGGGTAGAAACCATGAGTGTGTTTTATTGTTTTATAACCACTGCTAGCAGCCTAGTGCCAGAAACATATCAATACATACTCATTTATTGATAGCTTATAAATATTCAAGTATCTAATATTAAAAATGCATTTTTCTCTTATATTAAAAATGAGTCATGTGTCTATCTTGCCTTTCAAAACTATACATCTCCAATTTGTCAACACTTTTCTTATATATGTTCATAGCTAAGTGTACCTGTTATGTTCCAGGCACTACTGTGATATACTTTATTATCTCATTTAATTATCCAAACAACCTCACAAACTAGTTATTCTTAGTTTACTAATGTGGAAACTGAAACTCAAAGAAGTCAAGTGACAGAATAGATGTTTTAGTCTAGCTTTTTCTAACTCCAGACCAGTGGTTAGAGCTGAAATATCATTGTGCTCAGAGATAAGCCAGTGCTCCCATGAAGCTTAAGTCAGCCTAAATTGTCCTTCAATTCAAGTGCAAAGATTTAGTCGTGGTGAATTCAGTAAATCTTTGACTTTTTTCCAGCTTTCTTAGTGTTGCTGGTGTGGAGTGAGAAGCCTCAAGTGACTCCTCAGTGGAAATAGGGTTTGCTGAGATATGAGGAGTTAGAGAATATAATAAGCCTCTACCATTGTAGCTCTAGCTCAAAGCAACTACAGTACTTCTCCCAATCTTTCTGTCTGAATACACAACTCTGAAGTGTGTAGTTATGACCATGAATACACAGACACAGAGCATAGGGTGTATATAGTGAGGAGAGATGTGGCTGACCATGTAGACAGGCAGCATATCATGAAAGGCTTTCTTTTCCATTCTAATGACTTTGAAAATTGTCCTGTAGATAATGGGAAGCCAATGCATGATTGTAAGTAAAGAAGTAACTTGACCAGACACATGTATTAGAAATATCACTGTCTCTGTAGGCAGTGGCAGGCATATATTTGAAATTGAACTGCTTATTGCAATATAATTGAGAGGAAGACTACTGTAACAGTTGAGTGGAATAAATGGGGGGCTGTCAGGGTAGAACACACAGGGTCAATTACCGAGGTTCTTATGATGTTGAAATAACTGGAGTTAGTGATCAACTGGCTGTTCAGCATTATAGTAAATACAGCAGAAGTGAGAGTGGAGGAAATAATTAGGAATTTAGTTTTAAACGTGTTGAGTTTGAGTTGCATATAGGGCATGATGAAAATGTTGTTAAATAGTAGCCTGCAAAAATCTAGTTCTAGGAATTGGTTTGGATTGGAAATGAAACTTTCAGAATCATCCGTGTATAATAATAATATAATTCTTAGGAATGGAAGAGACAGCTGAGGGAGAGACGGCAAAGTAAGATGGGAAAAAAGCCAAGGAGAGAACTCTGGGAAGAGCAATGGCTTAAAGTGTTGGTGGTTTTAGTCAGTCAATGGCCTTTTCATGAGCAAACAGCGTGTTTATACAGCATTAGGCATGCTAAGGGTGGAGGAGGGATAATAAAGTAGTAGGAGATGTATCTGTGATCATGAAGCATCTGTTATGTACTTTCTTATGTTAGATATCCTGTATACTACAAGGAATTAAGTTTTATCACAGAAGCCAAGAGAACAATATTAAGGGTGTTCAACACTATGTGATGCCAAAGAGAGAGATGAAGATAGAAAAGTGTCCATTGTAATAGACCTTAGTTGTTTTGTGGAAAAACTTGGTTCAAGTTCATTTAAAAGGATGTGCACAATGTTTGGTAAGAGATTAAAGCATGATTGGTTTATTGCTTAACTATGGTCCTAGAAATTACAGTGAAATGATGCAGGAGTCAAATAGTAAGAAAATATGTAGTATGAGGAAAAGCGTATCAAACTGGTAAAATCTCATTTTACCTAAGATGATGCTACTCTTATACATGCAAAGACCCATGTTTCCAGTAACGTAATGGAATAGTGAAATTTAGGCATTGGTGAGACAGCTGGTCTGGTTTAGAAACATAGCATAGCATAGGAAGAGGAATAAGTTTTATCTGGGTGAAGTTAACTGAATCACATGAAGCTTAAATTTGTCATGTTGTTCATTCAAAATTACCTAAATGTTAGCTAGCTCAAAATATTATTTATTCATATAATTTATTTTAATTTTTAATTTTTGTGTACATAGTAAGTGTATATATCGATGGGTTACATGAGATATTTTGATACAGGCATGCTATGTGTAATAACCAAATTGGGGTCAATGAGGTATCCTTCACCTCAAGCATTTATCCTTTGTGTTACAAAAAAATCAATTTTACACTTTTAGTTATTTTTAAATGTACGATTAAATTATTTTTGACTATAGTCACCCTGTTGTGCTAGCAAATACCAGGTCTCATTCATTCTTTCTAACTGTATTCACTGACCATCCCCATTCCCAACCCCCTACGACCACCAATCTCAGCCTCAGGTAACCATTCTTCCACTCTCTATCTCCATAAGTTCAATTATTTTAATTTTGAGCTCCTCCAAATAAGTGAGAACATGCCAACTTTGTGTTTCTGTGCCTAGCTAGTTATATTTAATGACCTCCAGTTTCATCTGTGTTGCTGCAAATGACAAGAACTCATTTAAAAAAATATCTGAATAGTACTCCATTGCGTATAGGTAGCATATTTTCTTTATACATTTACCTGTTGATAGATGCTTAGGATGCTTCCAAATCTGTGCTTCTGGAATAGTGCTGCAGTAAACCTGGGAGTGCAGATATGTCTTCAATATATTCATTTCCTTTCTTCTGGGTATATTCCTAGGAGTGGGATTGTTGGATTGTATGGTAGCTCTATTTACAGTTTTTTGAGGAACCTACAAACTGTTCTCCGTAGTGGTTGTACTAATTTACATTCCTACCAACAGTGCACAAGGATTCCCTTTTCTCCACATGCTCACCAGCATTTGCTATTGCTTGACTTTTAGGAAAAAAGCCATTTTAACTAGGATGATATCTTTTTAACAATGATATCTCATTGTAGTTTGATTTTAATTTCTTTCATAGTCAGTGATGCTGAGAACCTTTTCATACACCTGTTTGCCATTTGTATGTCTTATTTTGAGAAATGTGTATTCAGATCTTTAGCTCATTTTTAAATCAGATTATTATATGTTTCTAGATTTATTAGATTGTTTGAGCTCCTTATATATACTGGTTACTAATCCTTTGTCAGATTTATAGTTTGAAGATATATTCTCCTATCCTGTGTGTTGCCTGTTCACTTTGTTGATTGTTTTCTTTGCTGTGTAGAAGGTTTTTAACTTGGTGTGATCCAATTTGTCCATTTTTGCTTTGGTTGCCTGTGCTTGTGAGTTACTATTACTGAATAAATCTTTGCCCATTCCAATGTCCTGGAGGGTTTCCCCAGTGTTTTCTTTTACATGTTTCATAGGATAGAATCTCAGATTTAAGTCTCTAATACATTGTTATTTGATTTTGGTACATAGTGAGGTATAGGGGTCTAGTTTCTTTTTTATTATTATTATTATACTTTAAGTTTTAGGGTACATGTGCACAATGTGCAGGTTAGTTACATATGTATACATGTGCCATGC
This sequence comes from Homo sapiens, assembly GCF_000001405.40. NCBI lineage: Eukaryota > Metazoa > Chordata > Mammalia > Primates > Hominidae > Homo > Homo sapiens. Next base: position 122,072,433 of record NC_000023.11, read on the forward strand.
TGGTGTGCTGCACCCATTAACTCGTCATTTAGCATTAGGTATATCTCCTAATGCTATCCCTCCCCCCTCCCCCCACCCCACAACAGGCCCCAGAGTGTGATGTTCCCCTTCCTGTGTCCATGTGTTCTCATTGTTCAATTCCCTCCTATGAGTGAGAATATGCGGTGTTTGGTTTTTTGTTCTTGATAGTTTACTGAGAATGATGATTTCCAATCTCATCCATGTCCCTACAAAGGACATGAACTCATCATTTTTTATGGCTGCATAGTATTCCATGGTGTATATGTGCCACATTTTCTTAATCCAGTCTATCATTAGTCAAATTGTCCCTGTTTGCAGATGACATGATTGTATATCTAGTTTCTTTCTTTTGTATATGGATATTCAGTTTTCCCAACAACATTTATTGAAGAAATTGTCCTTACCCCAATGTATGTTCTTGGCACCTTTGTCATAAATGAGTTCCCTGTAGACGTATGGGTGTATCTCTGTATTCTTTATTCTGTTCCACTGGTCTTTGTGTCTAATTTTATGTCAGTAGTATGCCGTTTTGTTTGCTCTAGCTCTGTAGTATAATTTAAAGTCAGGTAATGTGATTCCTCTTATTTTGTTCCTTTTGCTTAGGGTGGCTTTGTTTCTTTGGGTCTTTCGTGGGTTCCATATAAATTTTAACATTTTTTTTTCTATTTCTGCAAATAATGTCATTGGTATTTAGGTAGGGATTTTATCAAATCTCTAGACAGCTTTGGGTAGTAGGGGTATTTTGACAATATTGATAGTTCCAATCTATGAACATGAAATGTCTTTGCAATTCTTTGTGTATTCTTCAATTTCATGCATCAGTATTTAATAGTTTTAATTGTGGAGATCTTTGACTTCTTTGGTTAAATTGAAGGTGTTTAAATTTATTTGACCATAACTAAGATTACTTTAGATTACTTTATTTCTTGTTTTAGATTGTTCATTGTTGGCATATAGAAATGCTACCATTTTTTGTATGTTGATTTTGTATCCTGAAACTTTACTGAATTTGTTTATCAGTTCGAATGGTTTTTTAATGGAGTATTTTGTTTTTCCAAATATAAAATCATATCATCAGCAAACAAGGATAATTTGTCTTCTTCCTTTCCAATATGAGCACATATTCTTTCTTTCTCTTGCACTATGTAGGACTTCCAGTACTATTTTGAAGAACAGTGGTGAATTATGGGCATCCTTGTCATGTTCTAGATATTCAAGGAAAGACTTTTAGTTTTTCTCCATTTAGTATAATACTAGCTCTGGGTCTGTCATAAAATTCCTTTTTAGTATCAATTGTAATGATCATAGGGTTTTTGTCATTCATTCTGTTGATATGATCCATCACAATGATTGGTTTGAGTATACTGAAACATCCTTTTATTTATGGGATAAATCCCACCCGGTCATGAAGAGTGATCTTTTAATGTATTGTTGAGTTCAACCTGCTAGTATTTGGTGGAGCATTTTTGCATCAATATTCTTCAGTGGTATTGGAGTACAGTTTTTTTGCATGGGCACTGTAACTCCTTTGTTTTGGCCAATTTATCCCATTTGGAACAGCTGTATTTACCCAATACCTGTACCCCCACTGTATCTAAGAAGTAACTAGCTTGCTTTCGAATTTACAGGCTCATAGTTGGAAGGAAGTTGCCTTGTCTCAGATGAGACTTTGGACTGTGGACTTCTGGGTTAATGCTGAAATGAGTTAAGATTTTGGGAGACTATTGGGAAGGCATGAATGGTTTTGAAATGTGCGGACATGAGATTTGGAGGGGCCAGGGGTGGAATGGTATGGTTTGGCTGTGTCCCCACCTAAATCTCAACTTGAATTGTATCTCCTAGAATTCCCACGTGTTGTGGGAGGGACCCAGGGGGAGATAATTGAATAATGGGGCTGATCTTTCCTGTGCTAATCTCGTGATAGTGACTAAGTCGCACGAGATCTGATGGGTTTATCCAGGGGTTTCCACTTTTGTTTCTTCCTCATTCTCTTTTGCTGCTGCCATGTAAGAAGTGGTGCCCGCGTCAGCCCTTCACCATGATTATGAAACCTCCCCAGCCATGTGGAACTGTAAGCCAAATTAAACCTTCTTTTTTTTCCCCCAGTCTCAGGTACGTCTTTATCAGCAGGGTAAAAATGGACTAATACAGAGTATATCTCCCTCTCTAATAATATTCACTTTAGGTATCTGTGTGCTCAAGTGTTGTGTGCATACATATTTATAATTGTTATATAATTGTGCTTTATTGACCCCCTTTTCATTATATAGTGTCCTTCTGTGTCTCTTCTTACAGTTTTTCTCTTGAAATCTATTTTGTCTGATACAAGTATAGCTATTCCTGCTCATTTGTGGTTTCCAATGGCATGAAATACCTTTCTTCATCCCTTTATTTTCAGTCTATGTGTGTTTTTACAGATTAACTGTGTTTATTGAAGGCAATAGATCATTGGATCTTGATTTTTTATATACATTCAGCCACATTATGAATTTTTACTGAGAGTCTAGTCCATTTACAATCAACATTATTATTGATAAGTAAGGTCTTTTTCCTCCCATTTTGTCATTTGTGTGTGTGTGTGTGTGTGTGTGTGTGTGTGTGTGTGTGTGTGGTCTTCTCTTCATTCTTTTCAACCAGTCTTCCTTTTAGTGAAGGTGATTTTCTCTGTTGTTATGATTGAATTTCCTGCTTTTTACTTCTTGTGTATTCACTGTGTTTTTTGATTTGAGGTTACTATGAGGCTTTCAAATAGTATCTTACAACCGATTATTTTAAGCTAATAACAACTTAACACTTTTTTATAAACAAACAGGTAAGCAAAAAGAAAACTAATAAAAACTCATCCCCTGATTTTTAACTGTTTGTTGTTTCTATTTATGTTTTTGTACTCTGTATATTTTCAAATTTTGTTGTAGTTATTGTTTTTTATTTGTTCATCATTTAGTCCTTCTACTTACGTTAAGAGTAGTTTACCCACCACAGTTACAGTGTTATAAATTCCATGTGTTTCTGTGTACTTACTATTACCATTGAGTTTTGTATCTCCAGTTGATATCTTATTGCTCATTAACATCCTTTCCTTTCTGATTGAAGTACTCCCTTTAGCATTTTATGTAGGACAGGTCTGGTGTTGATGAAACCCCTCATCGTTTGTCTGGGAATGTATTTATTTCTCCTTCATGTTTGAAGGATATTTTTGCTGGATATACTATTCTGAGGTAAAAGGTGTTTTTTTTTTTTTTTCTCCAGCACTTTAAATATGTCATGTCAGTCTCTCCTAGACTGTAAGATTTTCACTGAAAAGTCTGCTGTCAGAACTATTGGTTCGCCGCTGTATGTTATTTGTTTCTTTTCTCTTGCTTTTAGGATCCTTTCTTTATTCTTGACCTTCGGGAGTTTGATTATTAAATGCCTTGAGGTAACCTTCTTTGGGATAAATCTGCTTTATGTTCTCTACACTTCCTGTTCTTGCATATTGATATCTTTCTCTGGGTTTGGGAATATCTCCGTTACAATTCCTTTAAATAAACTTTCTATCCTTATCTCTTTTTTCTACCTCTTCTTTAAGGCCAATAACTCTTAGATTTTCCCTTTTGAGGCTGTTTTCTAGATCTCAGAGGCCTGGTTCATTTTTAAATTCCTTTTTCTTATTTCTCCTCTGTGTATTTTCATATAGCCTGTCTTAATCAGAATAATGCTTGCTTCTGCTTGATCATTTCTGATATTAAAAGACTGATGCATTCTTCCGTATGTCAATTGCATTTTTTACTCTAGAATTTCTGCCTGATTTTTAAAATAATTTCAATGCATTTGTTAAGTTTATCTGATAGAATTCCGAATTCCTTCTCTGTGTTATCTTGAATTCTTCTGATTTTCCTTAAAACATCTATTTTAAGTTCTCTGTCTGGAAAGACACATATCTCTGTTTCTCTGAGATTGATCCCTGGTGTCTTATTTAGTTCATTTGATGACATCATCATGTTTTCCTGGATGGTCTTGATGCTTGTAGATGTTTGTCTGTGCCTGGGCACTGAAAAGTTAGATATTTATTGTTGTCTTCACAGTCTTGGTTTGTTTGTATCTCTAGCTGTGGGGAAGGCTTTCCAGGTATTCAAATAGGCTTGAGTGTTGTGATCTAAGCTGTATATTCATTAGGTGGGACCCCAAGCCCTGTGTCACTGTGTTTCTTGTAGACTTGTGGAGGTACTGCCTTGGTAGTCTTGGATAAGAACTGGTAGAATTCTCTGGATTACCAGACAGGGTCTATTGTTCACTTCTTTTACTTCTTCCAAACAACTGGAGTCTCTCTCTCTTTTCTGAACCACCTGGATCTGGGGGTGGAGTGACACTAGAACCTCTGTGGCCACCACAAGTAGGGCTGCACTCAGTCAGACCTGAAGCCAGCACAGCACTGGGTATCACTCAAGGCCTGCAGTAACCACTACCTGACTACTTCCTGTGTTCACTCAAGGCCCTGGGGCTCTGCAATCAGCAAGTGATGATCCCAGCCAGGTTTGTGTCCTTTCCTTCAGGGTGATGAGTTCCTCCAGTCCTTGGGAAGATTCTGAGGTGCTGTCCAGGAGATACTACCTGGAATAAAAAAAACCTTAGAAGTCTATGTGGTGTTCTATTGTGCTGCAGCTGTACTGCACTCGAAGCATAAGACAAAGTTCTTCCCACTCTTTCCTCCTCTTTCTACAGGCAGAGGAGCCTAACTTCAGGGCTACCACCACTATCAGCTTATGTACAGTACTGCCAGGGTACTGCTGATGTTCCCTTAAAGGCTAAGGGCCATTCATTCCACTTTTAATGAATGCTGCCAGACCTAAGACTCACCCTCCAGGGCAGTGGGCTCCACTCTGGTGCATGCTACATCCAGAAATGCTGTCCAAGTGCTAAGTCCTAGAATCGGAGACCCCAAGAGGATACTTGGTGCTCTACTTCCCTGTGGCCAAGCTGGTACGTAAGCTGCAAGGCAAAGACCTCTGCCCCCGCCGCCCCGCCCTCTTTTCTCTCTGATTTTCTTAAGCAGAAGGAGTCACTCCCCATAGCCACCACAGCTGGGAATGTACTGAGTCTCATCTGATGCCAACAAATTTAGAATCTTACCCAAGGCTCACGGCATACTACCTGGGTATCTCTGCTGGCTATTCAGGGAGCAAGGGTTCTTTAGTCAGCAAGTGACTGGTTCTGCCAGCACTGGGTCCTTCCTTTCAAGGAAACAGGTTGACTTCTGGCCAGAGTGTACCTAGAAATGTCATCTGGGAGCTAGGGCCTGGAATGGAAGCCTCACAACTCTGCCCAGTGCCCTATATCTTGCTGTGGCTGAGCTGGTATCCAAGACGCAGAACAAAGTCCTCTTTACTCTTCCCTCTCCTCTCCTCAAATAGAAGAAAGGGTTCTCCTTTGAGCCACAAGCTGTGCAGCCTGGGGTTGGGGTAGAAGTGGCACAAGCACTCTCTTAGTTGCCTTGGGTGGTGTCTCAGTAGGTCACATGGCTCCCAAGTCCACTGGTTCTGAGCCCAGTTCAGCACAAGGACTCATCTAGAAGTTGCTGTCCTTGTGGCCTAGACTGCCTTTCAAGTTTATTTAAGGTCTTTGCATTTTAGCCCACAGTGGTAAAGCTTGCCAGGACTCAATTTCTGACCATTGGGATTGGCAATTCTCCTCTGGCTAGGGCTGGTTTAAATACTCCTTCAATGTGCAAGTGTCAGCTGAGGTCAGCCTGATTATTTTTGCTTTCTGTTGTGACAGGGCAGCACTCGGTTCAATCCAATGTCTCACAATTGCTAAACTATCCCTCTACCAATCATATGGACTCTGTCTCTGCACCATGAAGCCACTGCCCACATAAAGGGGATGAGTGACATTGCTGATTCAAAACTGTCTTTCCTACTCTCTCCAGTGCTTCTTTCAGTAATCTGAAGTTAAAACCAAGTACTGTGAGTGCTCACCTGATTTTTTTGTTCTTATAAAGGTGCTTTTTTTGCAGATAGTTGATAAATTGGTGTCCTTGTTGGCAGGGAAGATGATCTGTGGAGCCTTCTATTCAGCTATCTTGCTCTGCCCCTCATCCTCAAAATATTTATTTTAATACTATTAACAACACTACATGAGTACACACTGTGTTCAACTCAATATTAGCCAAGATAAAGGGGCAGAGAGAACTTAAAATATGCATAGAAGCTTTATCTTCGTCATGGATTACCTTGGTATATATGCTTATGTTAGATATCTTATGCCCAACAAGAGTATATGTCCATATATACAGATAATCTATGAGAATGAATTGGAGAAAATTTGAGATTTCAACAGAAAATTGGCGTTAGATGACTCAAAGTTTCCTAGCTTAGAGTAAAAGGAAAGGGATAAAGAATGAATGATCCAAGAGGAGCAGGATTTTAACATGAAATAAATAGAAAGAGGCAAGACCAAAATAAAATAAAACGAACTCATTGAGATAGGCCTAGAAATAGTGAGAGAAAAGACTAGCCCTGTGTTTGCTGAAATTTAGGCATAGTTAGCAATTATGGGGCATTTGCTACACACTGGACTACTGACATTAGGTAAGCTTAAAATGTAGTCTTAATTTCAGAATAACAAAAAATACATAATATTTTAACTTAATTTATTGTTCACAAAGTTTCACAAATATGTCTATAGCCAGTTCAATGATAATTAATTTGGCCAATAAATCAGATTTTGTATTGATTCAATGTCTCTTATTAGACAATTTCTATAAAGCTTGAAAGTTTTAGCTTTCTTGCTGCCCTTACTTACAAAATATAATTGTGTCATGAATATGAAATATTAGTAGATATTTGTATGAAACTTAGACCCCAAGTTATTTAAAAATATATTTTTCACTTAGGAATGCTTTCATGGTGTATAGGTACCACATTTACTTTATCCAATCCACATTGATGGGCACCTAGATTGCTTCCATATCTTTGCTATTGTGAATAGCCCCAAGATGAACATATTGTTACAATCTTGCACATCTACCCCCATATTTAAAGAAAAGCTGAAATTAAAAAAAAAAATCAATGTGATTTTTACTCTTGGAAATTTCTGAAATCTCACAGTGTGCTAGTGTAATAAGAATCATATGGTGTATCATATTTATATTATATTTTAATATAGAAAAATATATATGAAATTATTAAAAAGAATGCTTTTGGCACGTTGTCGGTGGCTAAGTTGATGAACATATTATATGCAAAAGTTAGATGGTTACATGTTTACACTACCTGATAGAAATGGATTTTTAATCTACTCTCTGGTTTCTTTTAGTCCCAGGAAATGTTTCTTAATAGTATTTTGCAACATTTAGATATGACGTTTAAATATATCCAAAGAAATGTCATTGATTTCTTTCTCTGATAAGTAAAGAATATTACCAAGAGTTCCAAAAGAATAAAACTCTTGGGAATCAAGCTGTTTGTACCACAATACAGTCTTCTTAAGCAACACTGCTGTCTTATCTTCATTATAAAAAATAACCAAGATATCTCATCTCTGAAGTGATAGGTCATATATAAGAAATTCCTGATAATGAGTCACTTCTTAAGTATGTCATTTGAGCAAGTTGTTTAAAATAATAGAAATGCATCTCCTCCTCATCACTTTAGTCTGTTTTCTTAAAATCATCACACTTGGCTGGTGCCGTGGCTCACGCCTGTAATCCCAGCACTTTGGGAGGCCGAGGCAGGTGGATCACAAGGTCAGGAGTTCGAGACCAGCCTGGCCAATATGGTGAAACCCCGACTCTACTAAAAATACAAAAATTAACTGGGCATGGTGGCGAGCACCTGTAATCCCAGCTACTCAGGAGGCTGAGGCAGAAGAATCGCTTGAACCTGGGAGGTGGAAGTGGCAGTGAGCTGAGATCATGCCACTCATTCTGGCCTGGGTGACAGAGCGAGACTTTGTCTCAAAAAAAAAAAAAAATCATCACACTTACAAAGTCACATATCCCAGGACATACATGGTCTCATTCCATATATGTATAGAATCATGTTTTGCATTCATCACTTTATTTCGAGCTGTAGTATCTATACCACTATCTTTACCACTACTTTTATGCTTTCATGTACAAGTTTTTCACCACTGACCCATCTTTTTATTTAGGGACTTAGAAAATTATTAGAATTCAAATGGAAAATATAATAAAGTTAAATACTAATAAATTATTTGAATATATACTAGTCTATATAAACTGAATCATATTAAATAAATGTTAGCCAAAAATATTAATTTGTATGTATTTCTAACATGTACCTAAGCTTTAGAAATGCAAGAACTACTGAGACTATAGTAGTATTTATTGGGAAAATAGCTTATATTTTATATTTGTAAAATAAATATTTATCAAACTATTTTCTCATTTATATAAATTTGCTATACTTAAATATCTTATGCTATGCTAGTAAAAAATACAATGGAGGAAATAAATCACGATAGTAACTGCCCTCAGGAGCATGCAGTCCTATGAATAAGAGATATAGTTCCATATGAAACAAATGACATTCATTAATTGGGTCTTTAATGATCCCCCTTTGTCATCTTTGCAACATGTTGAACTTGAACTGGATGACTTGTTCTAAGAAAAATATAACCAGACATATAAGCATCAGCAATGGAAGAAATGATTCCTCTTTACCCTTTCTATACCTTTCAGTAAGGAAACCAAAGCATTGTGGCATAGTAGAAAGAACACTAAACTAGAAATATTTTTTTACATTTTGGCCTGACTTTACAAGTTACAGGCTGTGCAACAAGCCCCTTCACCTGTTTGGGGATAATTGTTTTTTTATATGTTGTGTGGTAGCTGAGTTCTGCCACATACGCTATCTATAGCTTATGCTGTCTATAGTTCTGTGGTCCCTGGATCCCTTGTCTATTCTCTGTGGAAGTTCTTTGTGAAAATATTCATCTCTAGTAGCTGTTCTGCAGTGAAAATTATTGAAAAAAAAATGATTCTACTCTTTCTCTTAGTGTGTAAACAGATATTGGTTTTCATCCTTTGAACTAGGGGGTGCGAAATTTTAAACCCTGTTTCCATTAGTTTCAGGAGATAGTTTGTCCTTTATTTTAGGAAGCAACCTCATTACTTCACTGCCAGCTGTGGAGGCTTTCTTGTTCTCCAGCCTTACATTTTGTTTGACATGTGTCAGCTAGGATTTCTAAGACACATGATAGATAATAACTGTTCCTTCCTTTGCAATTGAAATGCCTCCCCAGTTATTCATCAGATAATTTACCTAGTTTGTAATGGGTCTCTACTGAGGCTAGCAACAATGTCAATTAATTAAAATGAAACAATCAGCCAATAACAGATAAATGGATGTCAACTCATAAACGTGTGTAATGGGTCAGACTCCAAATCATCACCTTGCACTGGGGTATATGCCCTTGGCTCAATATTTGCTTACTATGAAATTCCCCAGATCTCATTTTCAGTAATGTAACTTAAGAAGGATTTCCCTGCGGTAAGAAATGAAGAAAAAAAATGCTCAGGTGTATGCCACTGGTCAGTTCATCAACATGCAGAAATGGTTGAGTTTTGTGTCACCTCACTACCACCTCCTCCCTTGTCATACCCAGAAACAGCTGAGAAGAAAATGTGAAAAAACAGCAAGCTGTTTCTTTAAAAGGATAACAATGGGAGCAGGAGGCTAAGACATAATCTTTCTAACATCTCTTATGCTTATGTGATTGACAAATAGAAGATTGTTAGAAAAAAACCGTGTATTCTATTTTTGTGTTTTTTTTTTCAGGGTAATATCTCTTTAGAGATGTAAAATGTGTAGAAACCAAATTTCGAGCAAGGTGAAGTGACTTGCTCAATGCACACACTATAAAAGTGACAAAATTAAGGTTTATAACTCAAACTTTCTGAATTCTACTCCAGGGCTTTCCAGCAGACATCACTCAAGTATTGATAATGTTTTATTTCCTATGTGCTAAAAGCCCAGGATGTCTTACTTTGATTGTAACACTGAACTGCTATCATCTGCCTACAAGCCACCATAACTTGCCTAAAGCCCAGGTAGACAGAGCTGCTAAAGAATATATTTTAAGCATGTATAAGAACCTACTCCCAAAATATATGGTTTTCCTATGAAGAGAAAAAATTATCTGATCCCCATCTTCAGTGAAGCAGGAAAATTATTTAAACAAACCTTAGCATCATGTATAAAAATTCGACTTCACTATTACAAAGATCAAGATCAGAAGCCTAACTCTGCCACTTGCTGTCAAATTTTGAACAGATCACTTTATCTCTATGAACATCAATTTCTTCATCTGTAAAACAGGAATGACTAACGTGCCCTTCAGAGAGTTATTATCAGGACTGAATAAATTAAATAATGGATGTTAAGCAGTTAGCAAGTATATGGCATATAATGTTTAAGACATGCTAACCACTATTTCTATCAACGCCCTTCACCCTTCATTCAAGTCTCTTCTAAAATGTGTATGTGAACATATATATACACACACAAACACACCTATATGTGCACAAATATATGTTTGTGTATATAAATACGTCTGTTTATATATATATGCATGTATCCATATATACACACACACATATGTTTCTTTTGTATCTCCATTGTTGTAAGGTAGGCTTCATAAGAACAGGAATTGTGGCTATATTGTTCATTGTTGTATTTCTAGCATGTACATCAGTACATGTATTTCTAGCATGTTATCCTGTGATGTATTCTCACAGGATAACCATACATCACATATTTATTTAATGAATGAGTGAGTCAAGTAGTCATTATATGTAGAGAGCCTTTGTGCTAGAAGAAGTGGTAACATAAAAAAGCTAATTATATTGAAATTCACTCTGGACTGTGGATATTTCATAATATTGCTACTCTCTTCCAATATTTGACATCCCCTATTCTATAAAAACCATCTTCAGTAATAGAAGGCAATTTATCCTTCTCTGCAATGCTTTCAAATATTTCACTCTCTTCTTGATTAATACATTCTCCTGATGAAATTTCTTTTTTTGCCATATGTTAAAATGTTTTTAAATTAAACTGAGCAATGTTATCCAGCTTGAGTATGATGAGTAGTTGTTATTCACCTTTTTCTGTATTTAAAGGATTGTAAACAAAAGATTAATAGGGACAATATGCGATACTCATGTCAAATTTCTGGGTTTTTTTCTTTTTTCTTTTTTTTTTTTTTTACTGTCAGTCTAGGTAAAGGATGTTTGCCTGATGCCTAGCTGCCTTCTTTCATCACCCTGCCCGTCTCCACCACACATAAGCACACACACATATAAACACATGATACATCCTACTTCCACGGTATTTCCTGCTATGTTAGGTTCCCATGCCTCTGGAAAGACAATGAACAAGAGATGTAAAAAGGGCACATACCCTAAGTGTAATTTTCACATCATACAGTTAAGCAAATACTAACACACTCTGCAAGGGAAGCCTGTTATTGAAATCTCTTTTCTACAGTTAGACATATTGGAGTTATTTCCTTGATCTTCTGATTTCTTTATGGTTGTCCTTATTTTATTTGAATAGCTCTGTTTCACAATGGTCACACATAAAGTGGGCGAAGGACATGAACAGACACTTCTCAAAAGAAGACATTTATGCAGCCAAAAAACACATGAAAAAATGCTCACCATCACTGGCCATCAGAGAAATGCAGATCAAAACCACAATGAGATACCATCTCACACCAGTTAGAATGGCGATCATTAAAAAGTCAGGAAACGACAGGTGCTGGAGAGGATGTGGAGAACTAGGAACACTTTTACACTGTTGGTGGGACTGTAAACTAGTTCAACCATTGTGGAAGTCAGTGCAGCGATTCCTCAGGGATCTAGAACTAGAAATACCATTTGACCCAGCCATCCCATTACTGGGTATATACCCAAAGGACTATAAATCATGCTGCTATAAAGACACATGCACACGTATGTTTATTGCGGCACTATTCACCATAGCAAAGACTTGGAACCAACCCAAATGTCCAACAATGATAGACTGGATTAAGAAAATGTGGCACATATACACCATGGAATACTATGCAGCCATAAAAAATGATGAGTTCATGTCCTTTGTAGGGACATGGATGAAATTGGAAATCATCATTCTCAGTAAACTATCGCAAGGACAAAAAACCAAACACCTCATGTTCTCACTCATAGGCAGGAATTGAATAATGAGAACACATGAACACAGAAAGGGGAACATCACACTCTGGGGACTGTTGTGGGGTGGGGTGAGAGGGGAGGGATAGCATTAGGAGGTACACCTAATGCTAAACGACGAGTTAATGGGTGCAGCACACCAGCATGGCACATGTATACATATGTAACTAACCTGCACATTGTGCACATGTACCCTAAAACTTAAAGTCTAATAATAATACAAAAAATAAACATAAAAAAATAAAAAAATCTTATTTATGACTAGTTTTTTGGGGAGTTTAGGGGTGGGTAGAAATCAGAAAACCAGAGGTCTCCACTCCACTGTAGGAAGTTTGCATAAACTAAAACATATTAAAAAGTTAAATCTACTACTTACCCACAAAATCGAGTAATACATTCCCAAAATGATGTAATAGTATAAGATTTAGCTCTTATTTTGGACCCATAACCCTACTCAATTTTTTTGAATATGCAAGTGCTGTTAAAAACATCAATTTCCCCACTCTTTAAAGTTTTACCGTATACTAATATTAATGTTCACCTCTCCCAGCTCAACAACTTAAAAGAGCAGTTCTCTAATTGTGAGTCAGCCTGTAGCTCTGACTACAATACAATGAGAAGTTGCGTGATAAACCAACATAAGCAGATAGCTGGATATCAAGCAATCTAGGTTCTATCCCTATTTCCACCACTAACTTGTGCCACCTTAGACCATATTTTCCTTCCTATATGTAGGTTGCATAATTTGTGAATGTTTATAATAGCTTTTAGTACCTAATTTATCATCAATACTCTAAGATTCTCTGAGAGTCTTTGGTAACTAAGAAAAGAGTGCTGGTTTGTTTTGCTTTGCCTAATTCTATTCTGTAACAACCTCATTACAAAGCTCATATCGTAGTTTAATTTGAATCCTTGCAACACTGTACCTAGCAAGGAATTACTTGTATCCTAGTTTGAACCACATCAAGGCTTTAAAGTAATGTTTTACTAATGTGACAATCATTCAGTATCTTAAATTTTTTTAGGAAATGTGTGCAGAATTATTACTTAAGTTAATCTTATTGACTAAATTAAATGGGGCACACATACACACTGAAGCTTCAAGTGTTTATGCCATTGATTATTTTAAAAGATAATGGAAGAATTAACATGATATTTACCATTCATTTCAAATAACATTTTCCATACAATAAGTGAAGAAAGAGAAGGTTTAAAATAATGGTTTTTCCTTATCCAGGAAGAAGTGGTCTCAGATGCTTGCTATTGAAGACATGGATGTTCTTAGTCCAATTCTCTTCCTAAAAGGATATAGAAGACAGTTGACTCTTTCTTATACATACACTCACCTGAATCTGAAGAATGAGCAAGAAACTGCCAAAAAGAACTCTGAGTAACCATATGCCTTCCTTCTGTTTGTCTACTATGCAAGACTATTCCATAGCATATTAAGATGTTTCCTCCAAACTAGCAAGTAGGATCTAGATTTAATCTTCAACTATTCAATACCGATTCTACAAAAGCATAGAGGTGAACAGAGTGCTGGGACCTACAGTGTCATTTCTTCCCCCTATTACCTTAATGAATGTAGCCAGTTTGCTTACTTCACTTTTGCTCTTGGATATTGACAACTGGCTGTCTTCTTCTTCAGGTGGTCAGGTGCTAGTTGTTACTCAGTGAATCCCCAGTTCTCTAGGCTTCTCTGAGAGATAGCCAAGACTTGTTTTCAGTCACCAATGCCTTTAATCAAACTCGCTTAAATAGCAACCCAGTTTTTACCACATGCCAAAGTCTATCACTGACAGAAATTTTAATGTTTCATCTAACCCACATCTCCCTCAAAACTTTGCTAAAATGCCATTTTTTTCTGTGATTACTTCCATTTATTTTTCTCCGTAGCTTTCTTCACCTTATGACCTATAATATAATGTACTAATTATGTTTGTTTTCACTTTTCCTACACTAGTACATGAGCTCTAATAAGGCAGAGGTTTTTGCCTGTATACTTCACTGATATATTCTTGGAACACAGAAGACTACCAGGTATATAGAAAGTGCTCATAAAAATTTGTTGAATTAATTAATCTAGCACAATTGATTTTATATCACACCTTTTTGATGTTGACAGTTATCTGAATTAAATAAATTGGATCCATACCTCCTTGTATTTCTGATAGAGTTTTAATGACTGGTCCTACCTCTTACAGATGAGGTCATCTCCCTTCATGTTCATAGTCTTCATGCTTTAGTAGCAGAGATTTTTCTTGGTTCTCCCCTTCTTTTCTCAGAAGTGTCCTGAATACTTCATGTATCACTCTAGTGGAGAAGAATCCAGGAATGGCCACGTTACAATACACATATTTTATGTTTCACAAAACCTGTCAATAAACTCACATTTTTGTAAAGCTTTTTGAAATTTGTTTCATTCAGTTTTTTGACTTTTCTCTGTACCATATTTTATCTTTCTCTCTTTATTTGAACACACACACTGGTATCCACAGGTGCATGTGGCCTCTTTTTTTTTTTTTAAGTTTATACATACACTTTCTCTCCTTGAAAACAGATAGCAAGTTTTCTTGAGGAGATTGCTCACTTATTATAGGCACTCTCCCACCCCTGTCTTACATCCCCAAATGGATTTAGTTCTCCTCAAACTATGCAAAGTCACCTAATTAAATAAAAGCCATCGTATTTCTAAGAAATATTATCTACCATGTGTTTCCAAAAGAAAAATGATCTGGAGAGCTATGGAATTTGGCATTCAAAGATCAGGATCAGAAGAGAGAATCTTCAGGATGTTGGAAAAATGAGAACACAAGCGTCATTTTTCCTTGTGTTTTTATTGGAAGCTTGATGGGGACTTTGGCTACATCTGTGCTGACTGCATAAGCACATACAAGAACAATGTGTACTTTCTCAGCTGAGTGGCTTTTTAATGTGCAGTTTCCTGCAGTGATTCTGCTTAAGCAAGGCCTTAGAAAAGATGAGGAACAGCTAAAGAACAAAACACACAGCATGTTACTCTGTGGCCTCATCAAAGGTATCTCAATTTAGAAGGTAAATTACAAGCTAAAAAAATCTGTGATTTGTATTCTTTCAAAGAAAGTAACAGAAAACTCAAGCAACTTTTTTTACATACATAATTTTTTCCTCAAAACACTCAAGTAATACAAAAACTAAGAAGTTCTGGAAAAGGGCCCATTTACTACTTCTAGCCTTCCTACCTTCAGTAGTTTGTCATGTAATGAAGGGGTCTATACCTCCTCACTTCCGTGGTGTTATGTTTAGCCATTGCTACACATGGTAAACTTGTTTTAGCCCCCAGTTGTTACAGTTTTAATAAATACTACCTGAAATTTCTATATGGAAAAATCTATTTTTCTTAAAACTTTCCCAGGTTTTCAGCATTCCTAATACCAGATCAAGTTCAGCATTCATTACATACTGTGCACAGAATCAGTATATCATGCCCTACTCAAATGATGCAGCCCTGGTGTGGAATATGGTGAATCTGACTGTATTACCCCCACTTTTTTGTCTTCTTTGGGGCTTTCTAATTCAAACATCAAGGCATTGGTAGCTTTGAATCTCTAAAAAGAGTGGCTAAAACTCTATCCCTTTTCCTTCTGAGACTCCACGCTTCTATCCAAATCATTCTTACACTTTTCCTGCATCTTCCAAGGTCTGGGGTGAACGCATTCAAAATGTTTGGTAACATGCTATCCTGAAAACTGTGTGTGCCTACGTATTAGTATATCACTAGCAAATAGAGTGTAGATACATATATGACAGAATTAAGAAATATCCCTCTCTGTTTTCCCTCTATATATGTGTATGTGTGTGCATTTGACAATAGATTTGTATCATTATTATATAAAGAACTCTTACAAATAATAAAAACAAATTCAAATAAAAATGAGCAAAAGACTTGGACAGACACTTGAATAAGTAGAAATAGAAGTGGCCAATAAAAACAAGAAAGATGTAAAATTAGCATTGATAATTATAAAAATTCAAGTTAAATACACAATGATATAGCGCTACATCCACTGGAATGGCTACAATTTAAAAGAATAACAACATTCAATTTTAGAGAGTTGGAGAGCTGGTAGATCTCTCGTATATTCCTGGTGGGAGCGCAAAATGGCACAACTTCATGACTAAAGAAACATGAAAACATGTGCCTACACAAAAATTTGTACAAAGATGCTTATAGCCACTCAGTCATGACAGAAATATGTTGAAAATTATCCATCTATCAGCTCCTTTAAGCACTTCTCTGTATTGGTTTTTCTAGTTATACATTCATCTAAATTTTCTTAAGAAAATGTGGCACATATATACCATGGAATACTATGCAGCCATAAAAAAGGATGAGTTCATGTCCTTTGTAGGGACATGGATGAAATTGGAAATCATCATTCTCAGTAAACTATCGCAAGGACAAAAAACCAAACACCGCATGTTCTCACTCATAGGTGGGAACTGAACAATGAGAACACATGGACACAGGAAGGGGAGCATCACACTCTGGGGACTGTTGTGGGGTGGGGGGAGGGGGGAGGAATAGCATTAGGAGATATACCTAATGCTAAATGATGAGTTAATGGGTGCAGTACACCAACATGGCACATGTATACATATGTAACTAACCTGCACATTGTGCACATGTACCCTAAAACTTAAAGTATAATAATAATAAAACAAAATAAAATAAAGAAAATTACCCATCTATTTATCAGCAAAAGAATAAATAAAAAACTGTAGAACCTCTACACATAAACTCCTATTCAACAACCAAAAAAAGACTACTGAGAACTGCAATGACATGAATGAATCTAATAAACACTATACTCAGTTAAAGAAGCCAGACCCAAAATAGTCACCACCATATGATTCCATTTTCTCAAATTCTATCTATAAAAATATAAATCAGAAAAGTGATTGCCTCTGTGAGGTGCAGGGGACACAAGAAAACTTTCTACGACGATGGCAATGTTCTGCATCTTGATTGGGGTGTTGGGTGTTAGGTGTAGACATTTGTCAAAACTAATCAAAGGGTGCATTTAAGATCTGTGCATTTTACTGAATGTAATCATAACTCAAATACATTTTTTTAAAAAATGTTATAACCAAAGTTGATTAGATATTAGCCTGAACGAAGTTTAGATACTGATTTTCATTTCTAAAGCTATACACAGTGGCCTTGCTAATTTCTATCTTAAATTAATTCCAAAATATAAGAGTCACACAGAAGAGCGAATAGTCAATTGTAATATGAAAAGGTGAGCAAACTTCTTTACATATAATACACGTGGAAAATTTTCATTTCTTTAAAATAAAACTGGAAAGTAGATCCTTATGATAGTTTCATATCTGATAAATATTGAAATTAAAATGTTAACTTATTCATTTATCAGGAAAACATATTTTTTGGAAGTACAATTAAAATCAAGGGAAGTTTTTTTCAATGTCTTTTTCCAAAGAACATCTGCCCACAGGTGAATCGCCATTCTCCCTGCTGAAGACAAAACACTGCCGCCACTGTTACAGCTACACTTTTCCAGTTAACTCAAGTATCTAAAGTCCCACTGAAAATTTCATATCACAAGACAGCATAATATATAAAATATGTAAAATCGGTGTTACTCAAGTTGAAGAGTATGGGAGAAGTCTGAGGTTCAGCCCTAGGTGGTCCTTTTGTGCCACCCCTCCCCAACCGACAGTTATACCTGAAGACACTGATTTCTTTGTCCAAGTCTGAGGCATGACTTTAAAAATCACTGAGCAATTCAAAGATGGGTATTCATAATAAAATGAGTATTCCTTTGGGCATAAAATGTATACACTTACGCTCTGAAAGCTGTTCAGCCACAAGAATCATTAGCAGGGTTAAGAAATATGTGTATGGGACTTATGAGTCATATAACAGTACATTAAAGAAGAGGAATAAAGACAGAAATGTGAGATGGAAATAATGGGAAGAGAGGAGAGATAAGCCAAAATAATGGGAAGCTTCTGGTGGTAAGCTTTAGATTGTTACTGCCAGTAACTGTTGATGAAGTACTAGTACATTAGATTTTTGACATATGTGCAAAGAATTTTTCTTTTATTTTCTTCTGAGCCTCAGTCTGGAGCATTTTATTCTTCAGGAGACTCTGGTGGCATGGCTATGTGGAGAACACCTGATTTAGATCAAGAGACAAGCCTAAATACTAGCCCTCAATTTCATGGAAAAAAATCAATTAATAAAAAAATTAACTGGTGTTTGGCTTCCAGAATATTAATTATCTCAGAGGCTCTGTAGGTCTGAGATAGATGGATAAGATCTACTACAAGTTGAAAGTAGATAAGAGACTTCTGAATGATAAAAGTGACAATGGGTGAATGAGTAAAGAGTAAATTGTCACCTTTATAAAGAATGTCCTGGAAGCTCCAGGGGTTAACATGTCTCTCTGAGCTGACTCCCTTCAGGTCTCTAAAAGAAAGGCCCACACAAAGTCAACCTAAAGCCAGAATTTATTCTGTTAACTCATTCCCTTTAACCACCCCCTAAAAATCCTCTTAATACTGATGTTCCAGCACCTGAGTCAGCTCTAGCCTGAACTGAGAAGTCTGCAAAGTTTATTTTGCAGATCCTTTTCTGTAGACCTCTTTGAGTGTTCCTCATCTCCTTTCGTGCCCATTTTATTTTCTATGTTCATGCTATTAATATGAAGAACACATTTCCATCAGTAGCATATCTTATTGTAACAACTACTATTGTTCGTAATAAGTCTTAAATATAACGGTGGGATGCTTGTTTACAGTTTCAAAATTCTCTCTCTCATAAGAACTTAATCTCACAGATTATAATCAGTACCTTACTCTAGTAAGTCCTTATTCAGCAATACCTGACTCCCTTAATTTTTCTCCACTTATCTTTCTCATTAAAATATAACTGCATTCTTTGTACAGAGCCAAACTCTCTGTAGAGTGAGTGTTGATGTTCATTTGGTAATGAGATGAACTAACATATCTCCTTTGGTAAGCAGCAACAAATTAAAGTGCTGTTAAACATGCCAGTTATGTACCTAGACAAGCAGATGACAATTCAAGTTTCACTATGATTCATTTACTATCTGACTTTGGGAAATGTATTAATATATTAATCATCTCTGAGCCTAAGTTTCCTTGTGTATGAAGTGTGAATCATGAACAAATCCCCAAGCCAACTCAACTTAATAAAGTGAGCACTAAGAGGATTAAATAGATAATGGATTTAAACAACTTATAGCATAGAACAGCAGCTATCATTTACTAAAATATTATTATTATTTTGAGAAGGAGCTTCACTCTTGTCACCCAGGCTGGAGTGCAATGGAGTGAAGTGATCTTGGCTCACCGCAAATTCTGCCTCTCAGGTTCAAACGATTTTCCTGCCTCAGCCTCCTGAGTAGCTGGGATTACAGGCACCCGCCACCACACCTAGCTAATTTTTGTATTTTGGGTAGAGATGGGGTTTCACCATGTTGGCCAGGCTGGTCTTGAACTGCTGACCACAGATGATCCCCCGACCTTGGCCTCCCAAAGTGCTGGGATTACAGGCGTGAGCCACGGTGCCCAGCCAATCTTACTTTTAATATTATTAATTGAATGCACATTTTAAAAATTCTTGGCTATTAGGCTCTGGGAAAATATAAATTGAGTCCTTTCACATTCTCATATCAAAATATGCAGGCAGCTGTATCATGTACTCAGATAGAAGGTTGGCCTTCATGGAAACTAGAAGACAAAAATTAATTTGGAAAATGCTTGGGTTCCTCAGAGTGAATTTTTCTGAAGCATAACGGCCCCCGTAGCTAAAGTAACAATCATGCACTCAGCAAACATTACTTAAGCATATTCTAACATAATGGATACTATTCTAGGAACTATGTACACAGTAGACTGTGTGGTGCCTCTGAAGAGCTCACAATTTTCATAGAGAATACATAGGGATATGTGTAAGTAGTGAGGAAATGAATCGAAATCAACTTGGGGAACAGTTGGAGGCTTTTTGGAGAAGCTGGCATTTGAACTGGTCCTAGAAGAATGAATAATAAAGAGTCCAACAGACAAATAAAAACAAGGTTATTGCTAATTTATGGGGGGTGGGGGGATTGAGGTGGTATCTATTTTTAAGTCTTTATTATAGCCCAAGGCAACATATAATCTTTTAAGTAATTCAACATCAAGATGGCATAAGCAATGGTGATTGTTTCTTTTGAATATGCATATAGATCTATCTGGCTGTGGGTGGGTTTCTTCCATGATATTTTGCATAGTTTTCCAGGGAACTATTAGGTATTCTACATTAACCATGCTTTTTTAGGGGAGGCTTTTCTTACCTCTTTAAATTCTATTTTGTAAATCATCACAGTTGGAATGTGAGGATGTGTTAACCCTAATGGAGGGTCCGAGTGAGAATATGATACTAAATTTCCGGTGGACCATTAAACAAAGGAAGTTGCAGAATATTATTTCCTAGAAAGCTGGCCAATCCTGGTGGTGAATTGATGAATTACACCAATCTAAATTTCAATTTAGGGTGGGGGAGGCAGATTAAGATGGCCAAATAGAAGGCTCCACTGATTGTCTTCCCCATAGGAATGCCAAATATAATAACTATCTACTCAAAAAAGTACTTTCATAAGAACAAAAAATCAGGTGAGTGATCACAGTGCCTGGTTTTAACTTCATATTGCTGAAAGAGGTACTGAAGAGGGTATGAAAGACAGTCTTGAATTTCCGACACCACTGCTCCCATTCCTGATTACTGGCCATGTTGGATGGAGAGAGAATCTGTTTGGTCGGGAAGAGCACAGCGATTGTGGGAGTTTGCATTGGAACACTGTGATGCCAACACTGGGCAGAACTCAACTGATACCTATAGAGGGAGCATTTAAGACGTCCTAGCCAGAGGGCAAACACCCATCCCAATGATCAAAACTTGAGTTTTAACAAACCTCATCAGTGTGGGCTAAAGTGCTCTGGGATCCTAAAGAAACTTGAAAGGCATTCTGGGCCACAAGGACTGCAACTCTTAGGCAAGTCTTAGTGCTATTCTAGGCTTGGAGCCACTGGACATGAGGCTCATGCTACCTATTCAGACACCAGCCAGGGCAACTAAAGGAGTACTTGTGCCATCCCATCCCATGACACTAGTCAGTGCAGCTTTCAACTCCAAAAGAGGCTCCTTCTTGCTGCTTGAGAAGAGGAAATGGGGGAGTAAAGAGGTCTTTGTTTGGAGACTTGGTTACTAGCTCAGCCCCAGCAGGACAGAGCACTGGGCAGAGTTGTGAGTGTGCCATTCCAGGCCCTAGCTCCCAGATGTCATTTTTAGACAAAGCATGGGCCAGAAGGGAACATGTTGACTTGAAGGGAAGGACCTAGTCCTGGCAGGACTCATAATCTGCTTACCAAAGAGCCCTTGGGCCATGAATAATCAGCAGCAGTAACTAGATAGTGCTCACCCTTGGCCCTGAAAGAGACTGACATGTGCTGGCTTCAGGTGTAGCCCAACACATTCCCAGCTGCAGTGGCTATGAAGAGATACCTTCTGCTTAAGAAAAGCAGAAGGAAGAGTAAGGGGGACTTTGTCTTGCATTTTGGGTACCAGCTTGTCCACAGTAAGGTAGAGCACCAAGTGGGCTCATGGGGTCCTGGATTCCAGGCCTTGGCTATTGGATAACATTTTTGAACTGGCCCTGGGGCAAAGCAGAGCCCACTGGCATGAAGGGTGAGGCCCAGGCCTGGCAACATTAATCACAAGCCAACTGAAGAGCCCTTGGGCCTTAAGTAAGCATTGGCAGTGGCCTGATGGTACCGTCTGTGGGCCTGTTTTGGCAGTTGAAACAGGGAGGGAAACCTCTGCCTGGGGAAAGGGGAAGGAGAAATGGGAAGGAATTTGTCTTGTGAGTTGAGTGCCTGGTCAGCCTCAGTAGAATGGAGCACTAGGAACATGTCTATGGTTTCTGACTCAAGGTTCTGGCTCCTGGATGGCATCTCTGAACCTGTCCAGGGCCCAGGGGTTCCTGCTGCCCTGAAGAGAAAAACATAATCCTGGCTGACTTCACCTACTGCTGCTTATAGAGCCTTAGGGCCTTGAGTGAACATAAGCATTAGCCATGTATTGGTTACAGTGAACCTTGGACAAGACCCAGTGCTGTGCTGGTTTCAGGTCTGACTCATATCAGTGCAAATGGTGATGACAACAGAGGTGCTTGTGTCAAACCTTCCCCAACTACAGTTAGCTAAGCACAAAGAGAGACTTAATTTGCTTAAGAGAAAGTAAGGGAAGAGAAAAAGAGTCTCTGCTTGGTAATCCAAATAATTATTCTGGATCTTATCCAAGGCCACCAAGGTTGTAATTCTATGAGTCTACAATAAACACAGCATTCCTAGGCTTGGGGTACCCCCCAGTGCAGATATGGCTGCAGTGACCAGAAACTTAGATAATAACACTCAAGTTACTTCCAATATATGAAAAGCTTTCCCAAGACAGCCGGGTAAAAACAAGCTCGAACTGTAAAGACTAAAATAAGTACCTAATTCTAGAATGTCCGTACACCAATGAACATCCACAAGCACCAAGACCATCCAGGAAAACATAATCTCACCAAAGGAACTAAATAAAGCACAAGGGATCAATCCAGAAGAGACAGAAATATGAAAATTTCAGACAGAAATTTTTAAAGAGCTGTTTTCAGGAAACTTAATAAAATTTAAGATAATGCAGAGAAGAAATTCAGAAGTCTACCAGATAAATTTTAAAAAGATTGAGATAATTAAGATGAATCAAGGAGGAATTTGGAGTTGAATATTGGAATTGACATACTGAAGAATGCATCAGAGTCTCTTAATAGAATTGATCAAGGAGAAGAAAGAATTAGTGATCTTGAAGACCAGAAATGTGAAAATACGCAGTCAGAGGAGACAAAAGAAAAAACAATAAAAACATGAAGCATTCCTGTAAGATCTATAAAATAGTCTCAAAAGGGAAAATCCAAGAGTTATTGGAATTAAAGAGGAGGTAGAGAGAAGAAGAGTAGAAACTTTACTTGAATGAATAACAGAGAATTTCCCAAACCTACAGAAATATGTCAGTTCTAAGCCCAAGAAGGTTCGAGCACATCAAGCAGATTTAACCCAAATAAGACTACCTCAAGGCATTTCATAATCAAACTCCCAAAGGTTAAGGATACAAAAAGTATCCTAAAAGAATCAAGGAAAAGAAACAAATAACATACAACAGAGCCTCAATATTTCTGGCAGCAGACTTTTCAGTGGAAACCTTACAGTCCAGGAGAGAATGGCATAATATATTTAAAGTGGTGATAAAAAAAAATTACACTAGAATAGTATACCTGGTGAAAATATACTTTGAACATGAGAGAGAAATAAAAAGTTTCCAGGCAAACAGAAGCTCAGGGGTTTAATTAACACCAGACCTGCCCTACAGGAAATATTAAAGACATTTCTTCAATCTGAAAGAGAAAAAATGTTAACGAGCAATAAAAAATCTTCTAAATGTACAAAACTCAATGGTAATAGTAAGTTTACAGAAATATACAGAATATTATAACATTATAATTGTGGTTTGTATACTACTAATCTTAAGTAGAAAGATAAAAAGATGAACTAAAAATAAAAATAACAACTTTTTAAGGCATTGACTGTACAATCAGATATAAATAGAAACAAACAAAATTTTAAAAAAACAAGGGGATAAAGTTAAATTGTAGAGTAATTATTAGTTTTCTTTTGGGTGATTTTTTGTCTCTTTATTCTATTGTTTAAGTTGTCATCAGTTTAAAATAACAAGCTGTAAGATAGTGTTTGAAAGCCTTTTGGTAGCCTCAAATTAAAAAAAAACATACAAATACACAAAAAATAAAAAGCAATAAATTAATCATATCACCAGAGAAAATTACCTTCACTGAAAGGAAAACAGGAAGGAAGAAAAGAAGGAAAAGAAAACAACAAAACAACCAGAAAACAAATTTTGTTTTTTCAATTTTATTTAGTTGTGCTCTGATATTTGATATTTCTTTTTCTCCTTGGTTTACGTTTGGTCTGTTTTTGTTTCTCTAGTTCATTGAGGTGTGTCATTACGTTGTCTATTTGTGCTCTTTCAGACTTTTTTGTTGTAGGCTTTTAATGCTATGAACTTTCTTCTTAGCACTGCTTTTGCTGTATCCCAGAGGTTTTGATAGGTTGTGTCAGTATTATCATTCAGTTCAAAGAACTTTTTAATTTCGATCTTGATTTCATAGTTGAACCAATGATCATTCAGGAGCAGGTTATTTAATTTCCATTTATTTGCATGGTTTTAAGGGTTCCCTTTTGAGGTGATTTCCAGTTTTATTCCACTGTGGTCTGAGAGAGTACTTGGTATAGTTCGGCTGTGTCCCCATCCAAATCTCATGTTGAATTCCCATGTGTTGTGGAAGGGACCCAGTGGGAGGTAACTGAATCATGGAGGCAGGACTTTCCCATGCTGTTCACATGATAGTGAATAAGAGTCACGAGATCTGATGGTTTTATAAACAGGAGTTCCCCTGAACAAACTCTCTCTCTTTGCTTGCTGCCATCCATGTAAGTCATGACTTGTTCCTCCTTGCATTTTGCCATGACTGTGAGACTTCCCCAGCCATGTGGAACTCTAAGTCCATTAAATCCCTTTCTTTTATAAATTGCCCAGCCTGAGGTATGTCTTTATCACCAGTATGAAGGCAAACTAATACAGAAAATTGATACCAGTAGAGTGGGGCAGTGTTGAAAAAAATCCCCAATATGTGGAAGTGACTTTGAAATTGGGTAGCAGGCAGAGGTTGGAACACTTTGGAATGCTCAGAAGTAGACAGGAAAATGTTGGACAGTTTGGAACTGCCTAGAGACTTGTTGAACGGCTTTGAACAAAATGCTAATAATAATTTGGACAATGAAATGCAGGCTGAGGTGGTCTCAGATGGAGATGAGGAACTTGTTTGGAACTGGAGCAAAGGAGCCAAATGTTAGTCACCAAGACAATGG
Organism: Homo sapiens; assembly: GCF_000001405.40. Classification (NCBI taxonomy): domain Eukaryota; kingdom Metazoa; phylum Chordata; class Mammalia; order Primates; family Hominidae; genus Homo; species Homo sapiens. Next base: position 122,097,700 of record NC_000023.11, read on the forward strand.
GGAAAATTTCTCCAGAGCATGTCAGAGGCCTTTGCACCATCCCCTCCCATCACGGGCCCGGAGGTTTAGGAGAAAAAAATGGTTTTGTGGGCTTGGCCTAGGGTATCTCTGCTCTGTACAGCCTAGGGACTTGGTGCCCTGTGTCCCAGCTGCTCCATCAGTGGCTAAAACAGGCCAAAGTACAGCTTGGGCTATTGCTTCAGAGGGTGGAAGCCCCAAGCCTTCGGGGCAGCTTCCATGTGCTGTTGAGCCCGTGGGTACACAGAAGTCAAGAACTGAGGTTTGGAAACCTCTGCCTAGATTTCAGGGGATGTATGGAAATGCCTGGATACCCAGGCAGAAGTTTTCTGCAGAGGTGGGGCCCTCATGGAGAACCTCTGCTGGGATACTGCAGAAAGAAAATGTGGGGTCAGAGCCCTAACACAGAGTCCCTATTGGGGCACCACCTAGTGGAGCTGTGAGAAGAGGGTCACCACCCTCTAGATCCCAGAATGGCAGATCTACCAACAGCTTGCACTGTGCATGTGGAAAAGCCACAGACACTCAATATCAGCCCGTGTAAGCAGCCAGGAGGGAGGCTGTATTCGGCAAAGCCACATGGGTGGGTTCACCCAAGACCATGGGAACCCACCTCTTGCATCAGTGTGACCTGGATGTGAGACATGGAGTCCAAGGAGATCATTTTGGAGCTTTAAGATTTGACTGCCCCACTGGATTTCAGACTTGCATGGGGCCTTGTAGTCCCTTTGTTTTGGTCAATTTCTCCCATTTGGAATTGCTGTATTTACCCATTGCCTGTACTCCCATTGTATCTAGGATGTAACTACTTGATGTAACTTTTGATTTTACAGGCTCATAGGTGGAAGGGGCTTGCCTTGTCTCAGATGAGACTTCGGACTGTGTACTTTTGAGTTAATGCTGAAATAAGTTAAGAATTTGGGAGACTGTTGGGAAGGCATGATTGGTTTTGAAATGTGAGAACATGAGATTTGGGAGGGACCAGTGGCAGAATGATATAGTTTGGCTGTGTTCCCACCCAAAACTCATCTTGAATTCCCACATGTTGTGGAAGGGGCTCTGTAGGAGGTAATTGAATCATGGGGGCAGGTCTTTCCCATGTTGTTTTCATAATAGTGAATGAGTCATGAGATCTGATGGTTTTATACAGAGGACTTCCCTTGAACAACCTGTCTCACTTTGCCTGCTGCCATCCGTATAAGATGTGACTTGCACCTCCTTGCCTTCAACTGTGATTACGAGGCCTCTCCAGCCATATACAAAATGTAAGTCTATTAAACCTCTTTCTTTTGTAAATTTCCAGTCTTGGGTATATCTTTATCAGCAGAATGAAAATGAACTAACAGAGTACTTGATACAATTTTGATTTTCTTAAATTGATTGAGACTTGTTTGTGGCCTATCAAACTGTCTATCTTGGATGATGTTTCATGTGCTAATGAAAAGAATGCATATGCTGCAGTTGTTGGATAATATATTCTGTAAATACCTGTTAACTCCATTTATTCTAGGATATAGTTTAAGTCCATTCTTTCTTTGCTGACTTTCTGTCTTGATGACTGGTCTAGTGTTGTCAGTGGAGTACTGAAGTCCACTCATATTGTGTTTCTGTCCATCTAATTTTTTAGGTCTAGTAGTAATTGTTTTATAAATCAGGGACCTTCAGTGTTAGATGCATATATACTTAGAATTGAAATATTTTCCTTTTGGGCTATTCCTTTTATCATTATATAATGTCCCTCTTTGTATTTTTAAACTTTTGTTACTTTAAAATTTGTTTTGACTGATATAAGCATAGCTGCTTGTGCTTGCTTTTGATGTCAATTTGCATGAAATATGTTTTCCACCCCTTTACCTTAAGTTTATGTGAGTCCTTATGTGTTAGGTGAGTGCCTTGAAGACAGAAGATACTTGGTTGGTGAGTTCTTATTCATTCTGCAATTCTGTATTTTCTAAGTAAAGCATTTAGGCTATTTACATTCAATATCATTGAGATGTGGGGTACTAGTCTATTTGTTGTTCTAGTTGTTGCGTGAATATGTGTTTTTTTTTTCATTGTGTTATAGTTTTATATGTCCTATGAAATTTGTGCTTTAAGGAGGTTCTATTTTGGTGTATTTTGGGGATTTGTTTCAAGATTTAGAGCACCTTTTAGCAGTTCTTGTAGTCCTGGCTTGGTAGTGCCAAACTTTCTCAGCATTTGTTTGTCTAAAAAAAGACCATATCTTTTCTTCATTTATGAAGCTTAGTTTTGCTGGATACAAAATTATTGACTGATAATTGTGTTTATTTTTTAATGAAGCTAATGATAGGACTCAAATTTCTTCTAGCTTTTGGGATTTCTGCTGATAAATCTGCTGGTAATCTGATAGGTTTTCCTTTATAGGTTACCTGAAGCTTTTGCCTCACAGCTCTTCAGATTCTTTTCTTCGTCTTGACCTTAGATAGCTTCATGACTATATCCCTAGGTGATAATCTTTTTGTCATGAATTTTTCAGGTATTCTTTGGGTTTCTTACATTTGGATGTATAGATCTTTAGCAAGGCCAGGGAAGTTTTTCTTGATTATTCTCTCAAATACGCTTTCCAAACTTTTAGATTTCTCTTTTTTCTCAGGAACACCAATTATTGTTAGGGATACAGCAATGGCAGTGCTAAGAGGAAATTTCATAGACTTAAGTGCCTACATCAAAAAGTCTGGAAGAGTACAAATAGACAATTTAGGGTCATACCACAAGGAACTAGAGAAACAAGAACAAACCAAACCCAAACCCAGCAGAAGAAAAGAAATAACCAAGATCAGAGGAGAATAAAGTGAAATTAAAACAAAAAAAATACAAAAGATAAATGAAACGAAAAGCTGTTTTTTTCAAAAAGATAAATAAAATTGATAGATCATTAGCAAGATTAACCAAGAAAAAAAGAGAGAAGATCCAAATAAGCTCAACTGGAAACAAAATCGGAGATATTACATGTGACACCACAGAAATACAAAAGACCATTCAAGGCTACTATGAACACCTTTATGTGCATAAACTAGAAAACCTAGAGGAGATGGATAAATTTCTGGATATATACTACCCTCCTAGCTGATATCAGAAGGAAGTAGAAACTCTGAACAGACCAATAACAAGCAGTGAGATTGATATGATAATTAATAAAATACCAACAGAAAAAAGTGCAGGACAAGATGGGTTCACAGCTGAATTCTATCAGATATTCAAATCCTATTGACACTATTCCAGAAGATAGAGAAAGGGGGAATCCTCTCTAAATTATTCTATTTAGCCAGTATCACCCTAATACTAAAACCAGGAAAGGACATAACAAAAAATGAAAACTACCGACCAATATCCCTAATAAACATAGATAGGAAATCTTTAACAAAATACTAGCTAATCGAATGCAACAGCATATCAAAAAGATAAGCCACCATGATCAAGTGGGTTTCATACCAGGGATGCAGGGATGGTTTAACTTATGCAAGTCAATAAATGTGATACACCACATAAACAGAATTAAAAACAAAAATCACATGATCATCTCAATAGATGTAGAAAAAGCATTTGACAAAATCCAGCATCTCTTTATGATTAAAACTCTTAGCAAAATCGGCACACAAGGGACATACCTCAATGTAATAAAAGCCAACTATGACCAACTCACAGCCAACATAATATGGAACAGGGAGAAGTTGAAAGCATTCTCTCTGAGAACTAAAACAAGGACAAGGATGCCCAATCTCACCACTTCTATTCAACATAATACTGGAAGTCCTAGCCAGAGCAATCAGACAAGAGAAAGACATAAAGGCATCTAAATCGGTAAAGAGGAAGTCAAACTGTCATTGTTTGCTTATGATATGATTGTATAGCTAGAAAACCATAAAGACTCATCCAAAAAGCTCCTAGAATTGATAAATGAATTCAGCAAAGTTTCAGGATACAAAATTAAGGCACACAAATCAGTAGCTATGCTATACACCAACAGCAACCAAGCTGAGAATCAAATCAAAAACTCAACCCCATTTACAACAGCTGCAAAAAAAAAAATACTTAGGAATATACCTAACAAAGGAGGTGAAAGGCCTCTACAAAGAAATCTACAAAGCACTGCTGAAAAACATCATAGATGACACAAACAAATGTAAACACATTCCATGCTCATGGGTGGGTAGAATCAATATTGTGAAAATGACCATACTGCCAAAAGCAATCTACAAATTCAATGCAATTCCCATCAAAATATCACCATCATTCTTCACAGGACTAGAAAAATCCATCCTAAAATTCATATGGAACCAAAAAAGAGCCTGCATAGCCAAAGCAATACTAAGCAAAAAGAACAAATCTGGAGGCATCACATTACTTGACTTCAAATTATAAATAAATTATATTTTACTTGACTTCAAATTATAAATAGAACAGCATGGTACTGGTATAAAAAGAGGCACATAGACCAATGGAACAGAATATTTAACCCAGAAAAAACCCAAATACTTACAGCCAAGTGATCTTTGGCAAAGCAAACAAAAGCATAAAGTGGGGAAAGGACACCCTATTTAACAAATAGTGCTGGGATAATTGGTAAGCCACATGTAGGAGAATGAAACTGGATCCTCATCTCACACCTTATACAAAAATCAACTCAAGATGGATCAAAGATTTAAATCTAAGCCTGAAACTATAAAAGTTTTAGAAGATAACACCGGAAAAACCCTTCTCATATATATATGAAGGAATACTCTTCAGCCATAAAAAGGAACAAATTAATGGCGTTTGCAGGAACCTGGATGGAACCGGAGACTGTTATTCTAAGTAACTCAGGAATGGAAAAACCAAACATCCTGTGTTCTCACTCATAAGTGGGAGCTAAGCTATGAGTATGCAAAGGCATAAGAACGATACAATGTACTTTGGAAACTCAGGGGAAAGGGTAGGAAGGGAGTGAGGGATAAAAAACTACAAATTGGGTTCAATGTATACTGCTCGGGTCATGGGTGCACCAAAGTCTCACAAATCACCACTAAAGAACTTACTCAGGTAACAGAATACCACCTCTTCCCCAGAAACCTATGGAAATAATTTTTAAGTCATTTTAAAAATTATTCACAAAAAGCTTGAGGCAGTATTGCAAAATAAGATTTTTTAAATGTAAAATTTCTTAGTTAAATCATTACACTACGAATGAGGATAAATAAAAAAATACATAACTCAAAGCATAAAGATTGGGTGAGTCAGACATTGGCTCTCATAATAGCAAGTCTGTGCCCTGTGCTCTTTAGTCTCTTACGAGTATAACTAAAGAGATGCACGGAGAGTCGTATTCTGCAACTTGAAGCAGATTATTATGAATGTTGGGACATAATTGTCTTGTTTCTCAATGCAAATGTTAGTGTAAAAAATTACAGAAATAGGTCTAGGGACAATTATTCAGACCATCTTCTGCTGTCCAATACAGTAGCCACTAGTCACATGTGGTTGTTTAAATTTATGTTTATTACGATTAAATTAAATTTTAAAATTCAATCGTTAGTGAGACTAGGCACTTTTCAAATGCTCAATAGCCACATGTGGCTAAAAGCTACTACATTGGACAGCACATATATAGAATATTTCCATCCATTGAACATTTCTTCCATTGAAGAAAATTCTATTGAAAAGTGCTGAGCATGTTGTTTTCTTTTTCTTTTGTCTTTGATGTGACGGAAACAGTTATACAAGAACGATGCATCAGCTGGCTGATTTAGCATTAGTCATGTGGTTGAATGGATATTTCATATTGTTATAAAAAGTGAAATTCTACCAGTTATACATTTAGTTTAATTTATTCATGTTCATGTCTAATCAAGCTAAACTTAAGACTGTTGCTGGCATCCTTTGTAATCAACTAAATTTAAATGACTATAACTATTTTTGTGTGACATTCTTTTTCCTGGCTTACTTTCCACCTAACAATGTGGACCTATATATAGATAAGAGAAATTAAAATGACTTTTATATGCCACATATGAGTATTGATAGCCCCATGACATCGGTATGCTTTGCAATGCTTTGCTAAAATAATTCTATATTTAATATTTGAGAATGGACAATCAATATATTTCCAACTTGTAAGATTTATTTGTTTCCATAGTTTTGTTTTTTATTTTATTAAAATGTTCTATTACACCTATGTTGAGTCCTTTTGTGACATTTAGAAATATTACTTAAACCAAGATTAATACCATGTTATAGGTTATTTATGTATGAGTTTATATGGTACAAAATATAGAAAATAAAAATATAAATAATGTTTCTGATTGAGTTAATTTTCTCAGAGAATTCAAGCAAATATTTCAATAATAGACTCTATAACATAAAAGAATAGCACACAGCATTCGCTTGCTTAAAATTTATCAAACAGAAAAATAATCCAAAGATAATTTTATAAATGAGAAAATAACTAACTAGAAATTGAGCACTTGAATGCAAAAAAAGTTGTGGTACTGATAATAAGGTGTGAGTTAACTTTGCATTGCAAATTAACATCAAATTATGCCACGAAAGATGGCATAATTTTTGAGAATGGATAGAAACATGATTTCTTCTCCTACTGCAGGTGTCTTGACACACACAGGATGATTGCTAGAGCAAATCTGATCAGATTTATGCATGAAACGTATTGCTTTAATAAAGTTGTTTTATTGTAAAAAAAATAGGCAAGAAATAATATGTTAGGAACAAAGGAAATTTATGGAGGTATCTTTGGTGCTTGCATGCCCAGTGATAATACCAGCTGGAAATTGTAGCAACCATGGTCCAACGGGGTTAAGCAACTATTCGCTAAGAACTCAAGGATGAGGGTCTGGGTTAACACACTTAACAGTCAATCTAGAACTCTTGAAGTTCTGGTATAAGATGATGGAAATATAGAATGGGTGTTTGAGGAAGAAGATAATAAGTATCAATTATGGCCTTGGGAAATTTAGAACAGTGGGAATTTTATATTGTTCTAGTGACCCCCTTTTATAAGTCTTTTGAAGATATTTCAGCTGTTCACCTTCTTAAAAGCTTTATGATGGATTGGATTTAGTTGAAGGCATGAGGAGATCTAAGGAGTGTAAAGGATGGACTATATCAGATCCTTCTTTTGTCTTGCCTCACAGTTTTGACACAATTGTTATGTTAGCCAGTGCTGTGGCAATCAAGTTAATCCTGCTGTCACTTGACAGAGACTTTCCTCAGGCACAACTGTACAAAGTATCTCTTTCTGCCCTGGGACTTTTATTTTCACATGTGCATGCACAAATCAAGAAATGCCAAGACTTAACATGCCATGGTGTAGCTCTTGACTAATGGGGAATAGAGGCTGATGAATACTTGTTCCCCTATTCTGTGCCCTAGGCAGAAAACTCTGAGGTGCATTCTACATATCTTCTCAGAGAGTTTCAGTGAAATGGAGCTTAGTTGTCCTCAGCGACCAGGATGGTAAGACGTCCTTACATTGGTTTTCAGTATTTTCATGTTTTAGTCTCCCCAGTCCTCTGCTCCTGTTAACTGACACTGCTTTCACCGCAAGCCTTTATTTTCAGCCTTTTCTTTCCTCAGAGTGGGTGGGGGGACTGGGGTAAGATAGAAATCAGCAGCTAATGTTTAAAATTGTAAATCAAGAAATAGCAGTATTAATAAATTGTTTAGAAAATGTGTTATAAGAATTAAAGAGCTAAAAATGGCTGCTTTTGTAGACAGAAAATTAGGAAGGAGATGGAGTGGGACATTAACTTATGGTTTCCTTTAAACATAGCACATTGGTTCTTGCCATCCAAAAATAAACCCAAAGTCACGTTAAATCAATATCCAAAAGAGCAATATACACATATATGTTATTTTCTTTTATCCATGTTTTCTGTTTGCATTGGTGTAATTTTATTTTCACTTGATTTGAGTAGTACTTGGAATGAAGTAGCTATTCAACAAATATTTGTTGATTTTAGTAACTTCAGGACATGGATAGGTTTTATATAAGGTGATCATAGCTCAATTGCCAAACTTCTACCACAAAATTCCTTCTATGTCAGGAAAAAGCTTACCATTTATTAAAGAGCCACAGCTAATTGCTAAATTAAATCTCACTCTACAACTTCTAGGCTCTTACTTACTTCATCTTGTCTGAATTCCTATTGAATTGCCAGACAGTGCCACAGTGGGCAGTCTTGCTGGCAAATTGCTATATTGTATAATATACCCTGTTCAGTCATTTATTATCTATTTCTTGTTTCCTAATTTCTGTGAGGGAGTTTTATGCTCGCGTCTAGAAAATGTTGTCAGGGAAAGTAAAGAATGCTGACCTCTGACTCTTATATCCTTCATATGGAATGTCATAACAGATAATCAAAAAATATTAATCATACAGGGGATTAACATCCAAAATACATAAGGAATTCAAACATCTGAAGAGCAGAAGAAACAATCTGATTTAAAAATGGGAAAATGATCTTAACAGACATTTCTCAAAAGAAGACAAACAAATGGCCAACAAATATATGAAAAAATGCTCAACATCACTAATCACCAGGGACATGCAAATCAAAACCTCAACGAGATACTGTCTCACCCCAGTTAAGATGGCTATTATAAAAAAGACAAAAAATAACATGCTGTTAAGGATGCAGAGAAAAGAAAGCCCTCATATACCATTGGTGGGCTTGTAAACTAGTATGGCCACTGTGGTGAACAGGATGAAGGCTTCTCAAAAAAATACAAATAGAACTCCCATATAATCCAGCAATCTCACTACCAGGTATTTATCCAAAGGAAAGAAAATCAGTACATTGAAGAGACATCTACACTCTCAAGTTTATTACAGCACTATTAACAATAGCCAGAAATAGAATCTACCTAGCCTTTCTCATCAACAGATGGATGGATAAGGAAAATGTGTTAATATATACCCAATAGAATACTATTCGACCATAAAAATGAGTGAAATCCTGCCATTAACAGCAACATGAATGGAACTGGAGGATGTTAAGTGAAATGAGCCAGGAACAGAAAATTAAACACTGCATGTTCTTACGAATATGCAGCAGGTAAAAAAAAAATGTTGATCCCATTAAAGTAAAAAGGTAGAACAAAGGATATAAGGAGCTGAAAAGGGTAAGAATAAGAGGCCATAAGGAGAGATTTGTTAAAAGATATGACATTACAGCTAGATAAGAGGAATAAGTTCCAGTGTTCTATAACACTATAGGATGACTATAGTTAGCAATAATATATACTTTCAAATAGCCAGAAGGAGAATATTGAGTATTCCCAACACAAATAAATAATAAAAGTTTGAGATGATGAATGTGCTAAGTACCCTGATGTTATCACTATACATTGTATGTATGAAAACATCATTATATAACCCATAAATATGTACAATTATTATGTGTCAATTAAAAAATAAAATACAAAAAAATTTTAAAGCACTTGATGGATTTAGAAAATAAATGTAAATAACAATAACAATGGAAATAAATATATTTATATTTATATTATTTATACTTATTTATATTGCCATTGCTATTTATATTTATTTGTATATTCTTGTATAATCTGGATATAAAAGAGTATACAAGGATATTTATTTGGATATCTTTGTATATTATGCATAGTTATATTCATTTAAATATAATAATTATATCTATTTATATTGATATCTTGATATTGATATTATATATAGCAAAATGGAACCATTATTAATATTTATTTATAATACTAATATAAATAAATAAATTATATCAATATAAATACCAACAATGGATTTTTATCAATAATAGATTTTGATACAGTACATTAGAGAATTTTTAAGATAAGGTCTTAGTCTCACAATAAGTTCACAATTTTTCTGTTTCTAACGTCAACTAACTTACTCCATATGTTGAGCCCACTGGTATAGACATATTCTAGAATTGGAGTTAAAGAGAAACTAGATGTGGAAAGGGCATCTATTTTCCAGTATGTCACAGGAATAGAGACGAGAAAGTTCCCTATATACACAGGCTAAATGTATGCATTCACACTGCTCCCTGGGTCATTCTCCTCCTTTTAAGTATATATCAGGTAGTCAGATGTTAACTCTGAGCCTATGTCCACAACAATTATATGTTTTTTAAAATGCATACAACAACAAATCATATTCTGAAAACTGCATTATTATTAGTGTCATAGTTGGTATGGTTATGTTTTATAGAGACAATACCTGTGCAGGAGAATGAAAGGGGTCAATTAAATAACTCCAGTTACATCTTTAGTCACTGATTAATTAAAATAATCTCTGATATTTTATTATACATTGCTCAACCCTGGAAAGACCTTATTTGTGTGTCTGTTTGAGTGTAACTATAACTGTTATCTCACACCAGTGGAAAGTACAATAAACAGCCGTGATCCTCTGAGGTTCTAAAGCAGGAAGATATGTACAAAAGAGGCTGAACATTAGGCCTGATTTGTTCCCCTTCAGATGGTTTTACCAAAGCCTCTGCATGACTACTGCCTCATTTTTGTACATTGCACAAATCTATTATTTGTACAACACAGACTTTTTCCAACACAAATCAGGATTTCAAAGAAAATTAAGAAAATAAATTTATGTATAATATCTTTATTATTCCTAGGGCAATACTGCAAAGCATGTGGAATCACATTGGTAGTATTGTGTTTGTGTGTGTGTGTGTGTGTGTGTGTGTGTGTGTGTGTGTGTGGCAAGGGGGTTATTGCTTGATAAGAAAGATGGGAAAATGTATAATCTTTTCAGAAAGGTAGACTCAAAGGCCAATGTGATGAACAAGATTTTATTAGCCCTGTAACCCTCATTAAGAAAAAGATAAGGTACCCTGAAAAAAATTTGTTCTCAGTAAGAAAAAACAGTGCATTTCTAGTGAATTGTAGCTCTTCATCATACTCATAATGCTCATTGCCACTGAAGGTAGCTTCATATCAACCTTGTCACACAAGGTCTCCCTGTTGAGCATCTTTACACATTCATTGTCAAAATTGCAGAATTTCATGTTGATAGAAATTTAATTGAAGTGATGTATAGGTCTTTAGTTCTCAAAATCTCACGAATCACCAATAAAAAACTTACTAATGTAACCCAATACCACCTGTTTCCCAAAAACCTATCGAAATAAAAAATTAAAATACAAATAAAAAAATAGTGAGCAAACAATATGGTCCATCAGAATTCAAGAAGGAGAAAATAAAAAAATAAAAAGTAATAATAATAAAATAACCTACAAGTGATAAGAAAATACAAAAAAGAGGAACAGAAAAAAAAAAAAAGAAAGAAAACACACTAGTGGCTAATGATGTTATTACATTTAATCAAGAATGAAGGCTAAACCTGTCCCTCCATCATTTCTTGCCTGGACGCAATAGCGTTCTTTCACAACTACTTAGCTAAAGCCTTGACCCTCCCCAAATTGTCTGTATTTATTCTTTAAAGCCCAAATAGTAAATATTCTAGACTTTGAAAGCCATATAGTCTGTGTTTTAATGTCTCAACTGTGCCATGGCAATGTGAAAGGAGATATAACCAATAAGTAAAAAAAAAAAAAAAAAATGGCTGTTTTCCAACAAAACTTTATTCCCAAAAACCATATTTAGCCTGTGATTAATAGTATTCTTACTCTTGATTTACAGCACAGCCACAGCAATTTTTCTTTTTTTTATTATACTTTAAGTTCTAGGGTACATGTGCACAATGTGCAGGTTTGTTACATATGTATACAATCTTTCTAGAATACTAATCTCAATTATGCCAATCTCCTGCTTAAAACCACTTAACTTCATTTCACTTTTTGGATTATATTTCAACTCCTTATCATGGCTTGCAACCATCCACACCTACTTCTCTAGTGCAAGTGTTGCTACTCCATTTTTATTTTTTATGTTCCAATAATAGTAAACTGCTTGTGGTTCTCCTCTTGACCCATCTTATTTCATACATATCTGCCTCCACTTGTGTTTCACTCTTTGTCCGGTATTTCCTTCTAACCCCTTTCTTAACCTGGAAAATGTCACATTCATCCTTTAGACTTGAGTGACATAACTTTTCCATAGATCTTTCCCTTTCCTTTCTTAATCACATCTTATTTGTTCCCATAGACCATACGTATAGACATCTCATTATATATTCAACAGCTTAGAACTTAGTAGGAGAGGTACTACAGTTTGTTGAAGTCACATTTTTTCATGTGTCAGATAAAAAAATTTATTTTTGCATTTCCAATTTCCTAAACAATCTTTAGCACAGAATGGTTAAATTTAAGGCCATTCAGGCAGTACTTCTGAAAATGTGGTGACGAGAAATCAGTGTATCATTTTCCCCAAAAAAACTACCATTTAACTGGTAAAAATTATCTTAAAGAAGAAATATTTAAAGCCTCTAAAAATTGTCTTAATAACTTAAGGGTATACAGGAAATGAAACAAAAAGGTTTATTCAAGAAAATCTGTTAAAAAAAAAAAGAAAAAAAGTACTGGTCTTACCAAGATTTTTATTTGTTTGTTTTGTTTTGACATTTGACCTACTCCCAACTCTTGTGCCCTCACCAGGTCCATATAATGAAACGTCTACTTCTAGCACTCTATACCTGACAAGTGCGGACAAAAATAACTGGATTCCTCTCCATAGAACTCCTAATCTAGAGCTACTGTATCATGCCAGAACAGGAAGACTATTAACATCTCTTATCAAATTTTCCAACCCCATATGTGTTATTATGGAAAAGTGTGACCAAGAAGATTCAAGGGCCCTGCTTCAAGTGTGTCAGGCTGTAAATACTGGAGCCCTGATCACCCACACCACAGTTCACTTGTAAACCAGAGGTTCCATGCTAGGAGCAGCGAGCCAAGAACACTCGGGACTGCTATTCCCATTCCCCTGCACATCGAGCAAGAATATCCCTCTGGGAAAAGCAAATTAGTATTTCTCCCACAGGCTCCAGGGTAGTAATATAAATGTTGTATCCGGGAGGACAGGCAGGTTTTATAAAAGGGGAGCTTGAAGCCCTGTCTGAGGAGATTGTATTATTTATAAGAAAACCTAAAGAAATTTATGTTTAAAGGTGTTATTGAAAACAATGGTGACAAGCAATTAACAGAGTCTGATAGTTCCAAGATACTAGTACAATAGCCTCTAATTATCCATGGGGATTATATTGCAAGATCTCCAGCAGATACCTGGAATTGCACATAGTACTGGATTTTATAACAAAGGAATCTTCTTTGTTGTTTCTTTCCCTAGTTCTGCCTATAACATTTCTAGCTATTCTCTTTTTTCTGAGGAACCCCAATTATTTTCAGTCTAACATTGTTAGACTTTATAACAAAGGTATCTTCTTTGTTGTTTCTTTCCCTAGTTCTCCCTTTGACAATAATTGGGGTTCCTGAGAAAAAAGAGAATAGCTAGAAATGTTATAGAAAGAACTAGGGAAAGAAACAACAAAGAAGATTCTAAACAATGTTGTTAGACTTTATATAACAAGGTTGTGTCACTATTATCATTGAGAATTTTTTAATTTCCATCTTGATTTCATTGTTTACCCAATAATCACTCAGAAGCAGGTTAATTTCCATGTATTTGCATGGTTTTGAAGGTCTCTTTTAGAGTTGATTTCCAATTTTATTCCACCGTAGCCTGAGAGAGTACTTGATATAATTTCAATTTTCTTAAGTTTATTGAGACTTGTTTTGCGGCCTATCATATGGTCTATCTTGGAGAAAGTTCCAGGTGTTGTTGAATAGAATGTACATTATGCAGTTGTTTAGTTCTGTAAATATATGTTAAGTCCATTTTTTCTAGGGTATAGTTTAAATGCATTGTTTCTTTGTTGACTTTCTGTCTTGATGACCTATCTAGTGCTGTCAGTGGAGTATTGAAGTCCCCCACTACTACTGTGTTGCTGTCTATCTCATTTCTTTGATCTAGTAGTAATTGTTTTATAAATTTGGGAGCGCCAGTGTCAGGTGCATATATATTTAGGATTGTGATATTTTCCTGTTGGACTAGTCATTTTATCATTATAAAATGTCCCTCTTTGTCTTTTTAAACTGCTGTTACTTTAAAGTTTGCTTTGTCTGATATAAAAATAGCTACCTCTGCTCTCTTTTGGTGTCCATTTGCACAAGATGTCTTTTTCTACCCCTTTGCCTTGAGTTTATGTGAGTCCCTATGTGTTAGATGAGTCTCTTGATGGCAGCAGATACTTGATTTGTGAATTATTATCCATTCTGCAATTTGTATCTTTTAAGTGGAGCATTTAGACTATTTACATTCAATGTCAGTATTGAGATGTGAGGTACTATGCCATTCATCATGCTATGTGTTGTCTGAATACCTTGTTTTTTTAAATTTATTTATTATATTTTGGTTTTATAGGTCCTGTGGGATTCATGCTTTAAAGAGGTTCTGTTTTGATTTGTTACCGGGATTTGTTTCAAGATTTAAAGCTCCTTTTAGCAGTGCTTGTAGTGCTGGCTTGGTAGTGGCAAATTCTGTCAGCATTTGTTTTTCTGAAAACAACAACAACAACAACAACAACAACAACAAAACTATCTTTTCTTTATTTATGAAGCTTAGTTTTGCTGGATACCAAATTCTTGGCTGAAAATTGTTTTCTTTAAGGAGGCTAAAGATAGGATCCAAATCCCTTCTAGCTTGTAGGATTTCTGCTGAGAAATCTGCTGTTAATCTGATAGGTTTTCCTTTATAGATTTCCTGGTGCTTTTGCCCCACAGCTCTAAAGGTTCATTCCTTAATGTTGATTTTGGATAATCTGATGACTACATGACTAGGTGATGATCTTTTTGGAATGATTTTCCAAGGTGTTCTTTAAGCTTCTTGTATTTGGATGTCTAGATCTCTAGCAAGGCCAGGGAAGTTTTCTTTGACTCTTCTCCTGAAAATGTTTTCCAAACATTTAGATTTATCTTCTGCAGGAATGTATTTATCTTCATCAATGCCAATTATTCTTATGTTAAATCAGGCCATTTAACATAATTCCAAACTTCTTGGAGGCTTTGTTCATTTTTTGAAATTCTTTTTTCTTTGTCTCTGTTGGTTTGGGTTGTTTCAAAAACCTTGTCTTCAAGCTCTGAAGTTGCTTCTTCTGCTTGTTCAATTCTATTGCTGAGACTTTCCAGGACATTTTGCATTTCTCTAAGTGTGTCCTTTATTTCCCGAAGTTGTGATTTTTTTTTATTTAGGCTATCTATGTCATTGAAGATTCCTCCCCTCATTTCTTGTATCATTTTTTTTTTATTTCCTTAAGTTGGACTTCACCTTTCTCTGGTGTCTCCTTGATTTGCCTAATAATCAACCTTCTGAATTCTTTTTCTGACAATTCAGTAATTTCTTCTTGGTTTGGATCCATTGCAGGTGAGTTAGTGTGATTTTTTTTTTTTTTGAGTGTGTTAAAGAACCTTGTTTTGCCATATTACCCGAATTGTTTTTCTGGTTTCTTCTCATTTGGGTAGCCTATGTCAGAGGGAAGATCTGGGGCTCAAGGCTACTGTTCAGATTCTTTCATCCCACAGGTTGCTTCCTTGATGTAGTACTCTCCTCTTTTTTCCTAGGCATCTGGCTTCCTGAGAACCAAACTCTGGTGACTGTCATTTTTCTTTTGGATCTAGCCACCCAGCAGGGCTGCCAGGCTCCATGCTCGTACTGAGGGTTGTCTGCACAGAGTCCTGTGATGTGAACCATCTTCGGGTCTCTCAGCCATCAGTCCCAGCACCTGCTCCAGTGGAGGTGGCAGGGGAGTGAAATGGACTATGTGAGAGTCCTTAGATGTAGCTGTTTAATGCGCTAGTTTTGTGCTGGTTGGCCTTCTGCCAGCAGGTGGCTCTTTCAAGAGAGCTTCAGCTGTGGTAGTACAGGGGAGGATCAGGCAGTGGGTAGGACCCTAGAACTCCCAAAAGAATATTACCTTGTCTTCAGCTACCAGGGTATGTAGGGAAGGACCATCAGGTGGGGGCAGGGTTAGACATGTGTGAGCTCAG
The DNA here is from genome assembly GCF_000001405.40 of Homo sapiens. NCBI lineage: Eukaryota > Metazoa > Chordata > Mammalia > Primates > Hominidae > Homo > Homo sapiens. The sequence goes on from NC_000023.11 coordinate 122,113,746, forward strand.
ACTTTCCTTGAGTGGGGCTTGCTGCAGCTGCAGCTGCTGTGGGGGATGGGGGTGTGGTTCACAGGTCAATGGAGTTATGTTCCCAGGAGCATTATGGCTGCCTCTGCTGTTTCATGCAGATTGTCAGGGAAGTGGGGGAAAGCCAGCAGTTACAGGCTTCACCCAGCTCCCATGCAACCCAAAAGGCCAGTTCCACTCCCACAATGGCTCCCCGACCCCCGCAAAAAAAAACAAAAACAAAAAACAAAAACACCGAGTTTGTTTGCAGGCAGTGGGCAAGCAGGGCTGAGAACTAGCCCCATGCTATCAGCCTCCTGGCTGAGAAAGTAAACAGGGCATTTGTGCCTTCCCACCTGTTGAGTCTGAACACCAGATTCACGCTCTCCCCTGAGTTCTGGCCAGGAAATTTTGTATTCAGTAGGAATTGTTATAAAGGTCAGCTTGAGGTTTCCTTCTCCCTGTGGTCTTTTCCCAGTTCCTCTGGCAGCCATCCCCAAGGACCCCTGTGAGACAAGTCAGAAATGGCTTCCCTGGGGACTGAGAGAGCCCATAGGGCTTTTCCTGCTGCTTCCTCTTCCCCTGTATCTCACTTGGCTCTCAAAATTGTTTCAGCTCCGGGTAAGGTAAAATCCTCCTGTCATCTGGACCTTCAGGTTCCCCAGTGAGGGTGTGTGTTTGAGGGTGGATGATCCTCCTTTCTCATTCTCACAGTTTGGGCACTCACAGTATTTGGGCTATCTCCCAGGTGCTACAGGAGCAATATATTATCTTCAAAGGGTCTATGGATTTCCTTGGCTTTACTAGTATATTCCTGCAGTAGTTCTTGGAGAAAGAATTTATGATGCGAGTCTCCACACACTGCTCTGTCTGTCTGAGTGGGAGCTGCAATTTAGTCCTGCCTCCTATCTGCCTTTTTTCTTGTTCCCTGATCGTTCCTTCTTGCCTATGTTGCATAGCAAGAACTCTGTCTTTACTGTAATCAGATCCAACAAACTCTGCCAATATATTATTATTTCTTTTCCTAATGGTCTTCCTGTGTCTGGAAGCCATGGCTTCGTGGTTAGTTAAAACCTTACTGCATTCCCTGCTTGAAAAATTCTTCCTAAGTTTGACAGGGCTAGAAAACACAAATTCCCTGACTGAATACTTGGGTTTATAGGTGAGAAAATCCAGTCCTACTTTCGCTCTTTGTTTCCCTGTATTTTAGTTGCTGGGGGTGCATAACCATGTATTACCTATTGGTCCAGTAGAAATACTGGATTCTGGAGGACAGTGCTCTGACACGGTAAAATATTTTCCTGGAGATGAACCTTTAGAAAGGTGTCTAGCTGCTTCCTTGTGATGAGGTATATTGTGATTTTTATAGATTCTTCAGTGAGACAACACTTGTCATAACTCTTTCACTGTAATATGGATCCCTTAGTCTAATATAATATTGTGAAGAGTATCACACTGGTAAATAAGGCATTTCATAAAACTTTGGACATTAGTCCTTGCAAAGGTACTTAGGCAGATAAGGTAAAGCCACACAAAGAATGAATGCAAAATTCAAGAAATAAGAATTCTAGCTCTCTCTCAGGTGAAAAGTGGTGTAACAGACACGCCACCATTTGGCAAGTTGGTCTCCTTAAAAGATAATAACACCTTAAGAGTTCAACATTTTCCTTTAATGTTGGCATATTGCAGTAGCACTAGCTAGATCATCCTTGGTAAGAGAGATAGCCTTCATGCCTACCACCCTAACTACCCCATTCATGGGTCCATCAAGCAAACACTAAGGCAACTGAGGAGAGGACCTGGCTGACATATGAAGAGAAATTCTGTATACATGGTTGTTATGTGACTCCTCTTCTACTTGATGTTCTGAGTAGCAATAAAAGTTAAAAATAAAAATTCCCACATTTTTTGCCCATTTCGAAAAAAATACATCATGCCTTTTCTATAAGCTTCCTTCTCTCAGATCTTCCGGTATTGTTTCTCAGAAGTCCATGGATAACCTTCCTCAGGCCATTATGTCAAACATGCAAAGTAAACAAGTGTCACACTGGTAGCTCTATCTACTGACAAAGGTTCCCATTCATCATTGTCTTTTAGATCCACTCCTGAGCGAGGCCATATTATGGCAGTAGACTACTTACAGCTATCGTCAACTTATCAAGCCCATCTATGTTTCAGTCGTTCCAAGGAAATTCTCTATGATAAACTGCCGTGGTCACTTCCTTTTTGGACTCTACAAACACATGTGCATCCATTCAGGGAAATTTACTCTCCTCTATTTTATTTTTCTCTTTCTAAAACTCATAATGTCTTGATTTTGCCTCTAATTCTTTCCTGGTCTGTATATCTTAGTATTTATTTCTTTGTCATTTTTTTTTCTAATTTATGTGAAATTTCACCAACTTTGTGTTCCAATCGTTATATTGAATCTTCATTTTGGATATATATTTATTTAAAGAGTGCTTTAGTTTTAATAATATTACAATTTCATTTGTATAGCTCATTGTTTTTGTTTCATGGAGGAAATATCTTCTCTTATAGCTCTGATGTGATTGGTCCAACATTTGCTTTTAGTTTTACTTCTATTCCCTCAATATTCCGTTCTTCAAATTAGTTTTTGAATAAATGGGTTATAAAAATTTTCCAATATCTTCTGTTTATCTGTACATTTACAAAACATTTTTCTGTCTTGTTTCAGTATTAGAGTTTATTGTCTAACATAACAGTTTTTACTTTTGTACAGACCATGCTCTATATTTTCGTATAAAACTATGTATATAAATCATAGTGTTCTGCCCCCAAACTTAACATAATTCCTTTTCTTTCACCTTTTCTTGGACACTTTACTGACTCATACTAGAGTTGATTCTAAAATAAGCAAATTTAGACTGTTTCTTTCACCAGCAGTTTTCAATGTAGCCCCTACTCCATGTTGTGGAATCCCTGTTTCCTTTTTCAATTCTTGGCAAGCCTAACTCTCCTGGGCTATGGCAAGGGCTGTGAGAGCAATTCAAGCAGTGGAATGCAAAAACAGAGTAATAATTCACCTTTTCCCAACAATAGGCCTCTGTTATGGGTTGACTTCCAAGCAATAACACTAGAGTGGATTAATTTGACAATGTATATATAAATCTGCATGTTTTATTAACTAATTACTAAGTGTTTCTTTTTTCCCTCCATTCCAGATCTGATTTTCCTGCTGGCCTTTATCCTTCTCCTATACCTAACAGATTTATCTCCACTCAAGACATTTTATTCAACGAAGAAATTCTCCAATCAGCTACATAAGCAGTATGAGCTTGGCAGCTGTAGTATAGACTTTTACTGAATTCCCGTTTTCAAAGTGGCACCCTTGCCTCCATTAATTTCCAATATCCCTGAGTCCAGATATAATATTCCTGAGTTCAGAGCCTTTCTGAAGCAACATATTCAATATGTGACCTCTAGTCTCAGGGCTGTTTGTTGGAGAAAAGGATCTGTAGGACTAACTGTAAAATATATGCACTTTCAACCAACCCTCTTGTTTATCAGCCTTTACACACACCACCAGTTTTGAGGTATTATGTCTCTCAGACTCCTGAAACTTTCTAAGGCTCTATAGATCTGATGGCTTTATTTCTTGTTGCCACCCCTCTCACACACTCCACTGAAATCTTTGCCTTCTCTAATCCATCCCCCCACCCCCCGCCCGTCTTCTGAAGTTAATGTCTAAATGCCTGTTTCTTTATTGCTATTTTAGTCAGGTTTCAGGAGAGAGTGAACAAAGATAAATGTTTGTATTATATTAACATATTTATCCAGAAGAATTCAAACACGTTGTATCTATATCCTGAAGATAACTTTATCAGATACGTTTCATTTAAGAATTAGACATGCATATAATTTTGTAATCTCTCCAGTGGCTCACTGAGCTAAATGAATATAAAGATGATCTGTGACATCTATCATCTCATTCATATTTAGGGTTGATTAATTAACCTAGTGAGCTATGTTGTTATCCACTTTTTTTTTCATAATAGCAACAAGTGAGTGCATTTATGCTCTAAACAAAAAATATGCCCAGACAGAGGAGAGTCCTTCTTCAGCCAAGTATTCATAAATATACAGGGCTTTGCTTAAGCTTCCAATGACCTCAATATCTCACAGGCAAATTATTTTTTTATTGGCTAGTATACTCTGAATCTTGATCTGTACTTGCATTTAAGTTTTAAAGTAACAACTGAAAAAAAAACAATCTAGGGGCTTACGTTTAAATATTATATCTATACGTATCAATTTTCTTTACAAAAATCTATCCTGTGAGATTTTACATAATTTTCAAACAGTTTAAGTCACTAGTCAAAATTATAACAGTCACAGGAAAGTAGATCAGATAGGAAAAACTGTTAAACTCACTTGAATGTTTTCAACAAGATTGACTATTCTGTTTTTAGAAAAACTGTTTTGCACTTCTCTTCACTATTTGACATCATCCTTTCTTTCAAATCTTATCTCTTAACTATTGCTCCTCAAGAATGCTACACTCCAGCGAATGTTATCAATATTTTTCTCTATCTGTATTTTACCATCCTGATTTCATATTTTCTTCCCATTATTTATTAGGATATTCATCTACCAACAACCTTCACGAAATTAAAATCTTTCCCTTCTCTAAGGTCCAATTAAATTGCCACTAAATGGCCACATAGCATTCATCCATCCTGAAACGATCCCAACTTATCCTGAAATTCCAGGATACCATTTTTATACCATTTTCATAGCTCCTACCTTGTATTACATCTATTTATATGCCTGCTTTATATTATTAGTTTAAATAACTAAAGCAGGTTGTTAAAAAAAACTTGGACTATGCAGTCAGATAAATCCAGGTTTGAATTAAAGCTCTGCCATTCACTATCTGCATGACTCTGGGTAAATCACTGATTTCATTATGAGCACCAAATTCAAGATTTGTAAAAGTGAAATAATAATAACGGTCTTGTAGGCTTCCTTTAATGATTAAATGTGATTGCATAATCTTAATACATACTACAACATTATGAATAATAATAAATGGTGGTTGTAAATTTGTTATTGTTTCTTCTAGGCTCTAAAAGGCTACATATGGAACCATGTCTGTTTTATTTTTAATTTCTCCCATATCACCTAGAAAAAAGGTATACATATAGTTTGCCTAATGACTGAATCAATCCCCTTAAAAGTGTTTTTAATCTGTAAATGTGATTGGGAACTTTTAGAATATATCGAGGATATTTTAACCATGATAGCCTCTGGCCCAGAAATAACAATCATAAATGAAGTGCTCCATGACTTAACATTTACTTCCAGGATTTGTTTCCATCTTATAATACTATGTATTTCCAGGAAAACTCAAAAGATACACTTTCATGTGTTCAAGTTATTTGTGATATATATATACATGAAATCCTAAGTCAATGTGGCCCTACCAAAAGGAGGGAAAAAATAAAAACTTGTACTTTCCTTTTAAAAAATCAATTTGTTCTCTACTTCAGCCATAGATACAAAAAATAATTTTTGTTGAAAAAATAGAGATATGGAGCATATTAATACTTTCAGACACTATCAGCAGAAGGCCAGAGCATGTGCTATGATTCCGTTGGCTGGAAGTTTGCACTTTATAGCCCTGCCAGAGAACAACCATGCAATGATTAGTATTCAACCATAGAAGGTATTTCCCCATTTCTGTTCATGAAACTTTTTAAAGCATAGATTTATTTGTCACAGATGTAGATACTTGACTTGCTTACAAAAAGGTATTTGTGTAAGCTTGCCAAGGAGCACATGTGACTGTCTCTGAATGAATGAGCAGTGTCATTACTGTCCTTCAGGGAGAGCACCTGCTATGGTGTCATCACCAATTAGCTCTTCTCTTTCTTCCCTTCTTCATCTCCAGTAGACATACTCTTCAGTTATTTGTATTTTAAAGCTTCACAGGATTGGTTTCCATGGGGAATTATGTGAATTATAACACTGATGAGCTTTCTAAAATGTGGCTCCTTAGTTAAAGAGAGTACACATTTTATGTCCTCTATGACACACTCTATGCGAGCAAAAGTATGTGTGTTTTTCTCCCAGGTTTATTGACATATAATTGACAAGTAGAAAATGTACATATTTAACATTTATAACTTGGTATTTTGATATATTTATATATGATTAAATAGTCACCACAATCATGATAATTAATATATTCATCACCTTACATAGTGACCATTTTCCTTATTTTTTGGTGGTGAGAACACTTAAGATCTACCCTTTCAGCAAATTTCAAGTATGCAACAGTATTGTTAACTGTAGTAATCATGCTGTACATTAGAGCTCTAGAACTTATTCAGCTTGAATAACTGAAACTTTGTACCCTTTCACCAGTATCTCCTCATTTATTCGTTCTTATAACCCAGCCACTGACAACCAACATTCTACTCTCTGCTTCTACAAGTTTGACCATTTTAAACTCCACATATAAGTGCAATCATGTAGTATTTGTCCTCCAGTGTCTGGCTTATTTCACTTAGCATGATGTCCTAAAGCTTCATCTATATTCACAATAGCCAAAATATGGAAGCAACCTAAATGTCCACTGATAGATTAATGGAAAAAGAAAATGTGACACACACACACACGCACACAATGAAATAGTGTGCAACCTTATAAGAGAAGGAAATCAAACATGGTTTTAAAAAGAAGTTTACCTGAGGATGTTACAAGTCAATTGTTAAAACAGTAAAATTCTGTGACAGACTAGATTGTTTTATAATTGGACATTGAAATTCATCCCCCACTCCTTACCCTAGTGAAAAAAAATTGACTTGAAAGTGGCTTCTAAGTAATTAGGAAAAGTAGGTTTATTCCCCCAAGCAGACCTTGGATGAGTATTGTGATATTCTCCTGATACAGAGTTGCAAGTCCGAATGAGAGATTGCAATGTAGTCACAGCATAAGCAAAACAAACAGCTGGTTATGAATGTGATTTTCTTGATCCACACAGTGTCGATCTACACAATGTTTTAATTTTTATTTAGTTATATATTTAAAATTAGGGAATTTCACATAATTTACCTAATTGGCTTTTTTGAACAAAAACAATGTAGCACTTGGTAGCATTGGAACTATATTCCTATATGACAATGTTTGGCTAGGACTGGATAATTGCCTTTAAGAGAGGCCCACCCTCTCTTCTCTTTCACAGTCTTCATTATTTCCTATTCTTTCTCCATCTCTAATGCTTAGTGTTGATTGCTATTTATAAGATGAAATATGGCCTTTAAGTGTGCAAGCCTTGGTACAATGTCTATGAGGTGCTTTTGTTGTATCTTATATTTCAGTTTCAAACAATAAATGTCTAGATGTATGGGTCTTTGTATGGAGAAAATAAAAGTCATCGGTATAGCCACATGTATTAATTTCCTATTGCTACTATAACAAATTTGTACACACTTAGTGATTTTAAAAAGCACACATTTATTCTCTTACAGTTCTGAAGGTCAGATGTCTGAAATTTGAATCTTACAGACCAAAATCATGGTGTGGACCAGGATAGTTCCTTTTGGAGCCTCTGAAGGGAGAATCCATCTCCTTGCCATTTGCATCTTCCAAAGGGTGCTATTGGCTAGTGCTTTGTACATCTCATAACTTCAACCCCTAGTCTCAGTGGTCACACATATTCGCACTTTGAATCTCTTACCTCCCTTTAATAAAGACCATTGTGATTACATTAAGCCCATCGGGATAATCCAGGATAATCACCTCATCTCAAAAATTTCAATTCGGGCTGGGAGTGGTGGCTCACGCCTGTAATCCTAACACTTTGGGAGGCCAAGGCAGGCAGATCATCTGAGGTCAGGAGTTCAAGACCAGCCTGGCCAATGTGGCAAAACCCCACCTCTACTAAAAATACAAAAATTATCCGGGCATGGTGGCAGGAGCCTGTAATCCCAGCTACTTGGGAAGCTGAGGCAGGAGAATCGCTTGAACCCAGGAGGCGGAGTTGCAGTGAAATGAGATCGTGCCACTGCACATCAGCCTGGGAGATAAAGCGAGACTCTATCTCCAAAAAAAAAAAAAAAAGAATTTTAATTTAATGACATGTGTAAAGTATCTCTTGTGTAAGATACTTGTGTGAGATAACTTATTCACAGGTTCTGGGGATTAGGATGTGGACACTTTTGGGGAACCATTATCCAGCCTACCAAATTATGTTCATTGCTCAGACCAACAATTCATAGAGATGAATTGATTGGTGTGAAAGGTTTATTTTAGTAAAGACTTTTAAGCTCATAAACAAATCTCTCATGATGAAGTAGCACAGAAATAGGAAGAGACAGGAAGCTATCTTTAGACATTCAACCAAAAAGTGCTTTTAATTGTGTTCAAAAATTTTGTAATTTAAAAATTACTCAAAATGATAAATTTATGAAAAGCTTTACCTTATACATCACAAGAAAATTGTAACTTTTGTCAATATTTTGATTACCAACGTCTCCCTTTAGAAACTTTCATTCAATAAGACATTCTCAGTTCACTCTTCCACTTCTTTTTTCATCTGTAAATGCAGCAATGAAGGATAATTTCTTAAAAAAAATTGTGCTTACAAAAATATCTAACTGTTCCTATGGATCAGAAATTGAAAAAAAGCAAAACATTAAGCTAGGGTTTACAGTATACTCTACTGAGCTTAAGCGCTGGAAGCAAGTAGAAGTGACTCAGAGTTTGATTACTGTAGAGGCCAGAAATACTGCTGGGAAGACTAAAGAAAGGCTCAGTGAGTGAAATCAGGCAGGGCTTAATATGGTGTTCTCCCCACCATGAAAATATTTGGTTAACGTTGTCCTGGAAAATTGTTTTTTTACATAATTTATTAACTGAAATGGTGGGTAGAAGCAGAGAAAGTTGTCAGAAAAAAATGACCTGTGTTAGTCAAACTGAAAGCTTAGTGACTGTGTCTTAGCCTGGATCTTCCAGGAAATAGAGCCTGAGGCAAAATGTTATTTTTCTTTATTATTACACAGTGTGAGCTTAGGAATGGGAGTAAGAGAAAAAGACGTAGGCACAGAAGAAGAAAGATTCAGTATCAGCGTGAGATGCCAAATTTGTCACCACTTGGTACTGAATACAACTAGATTTGTACAGAATCTTTCTGCAGAAAGCGAAATAATTACTTCATAGAAAAGTTCATCTTGCGGAGACAGAAATGTTTATATGCCATCTTCTATCTCTCATTGGTAAAAGTGTTACCCCTGAGATATTAATTCTAACACTTTGATAGTACACGTACTCATCCAAATGTCAGTGTCAAGAAGGCTTAGCAAAGGAATTGAAAGATGTAGTAAATAAATGATGTGAAGTACATTCAGATAGTTCACTTTTGAAGTTAGTTACTGAAGGTAACTGGATTAAGAATGACTGGCCAAAGGCCCTAAAGACAAATGAGGCTAAAAGAATCTAAAACAGTATATAAAAGCTCTTTGACACATCTTGGAATTGTTATATCTTATATGCTACCATCACATCATGATGCCAAACTCATTAATAGATGTCACTCTGAAGGAAAAATAAAAAAGAATCCCATTCAAAATGAGCCAGTTAAACAAAATATCAAAACACAGAAGAATAGATAACACTAACAAAGAAATCCAAGGAGATGTCATCAAGATGTCTGAATAAAGGTTCCCAGTATTCTCCTCCTTCACAAAGAAGGATGGAAATAACAAGTAGATAACTTAACATTGAATGGAGTGTCTAGGAGAGAACACTGGAATTAAGCAAGCAAGTGACAAAGGCCCTCTGAGACATGGAAACTCTGGATGGCAGCATAAAGAGGAAAGCAAAGTACCCAGCCAAGATTGGCTCGGATGCAAGAGAGACTTTTCATTGCAGGAAAAAGGTAAGTCCAAATATATAATGCAAATATTGTTAGAGCTAAATATTACTATCAGACTGAAAAGTTTCTGCACATCAAAGAAAACAATCAATAGAGGGAAGAGACAACCTGCAGAATGGGAGAAAGTATTTGCCAACAATTCATCTGACAAGAGATTAATATCCACAATGTATAAGAACTCAAAGTATGCAACAACAAAAAACCCAATTTAAAAATGGGCAAATGGTCTGAATAGATATTTCTCCAAAGAAGACATACAAATCCCAATAGGTATGTGAATAAATAAATGTTCAACATCACTAATGATAATGGAAATGCAAACCAAAAGCACAATGAAATATCTCACCTCAGGTGGAATGGCTATTATAAAATAAAAAATAACATATACTGGTATGAATGGGGAGAAAAGGGAACTCTTATATACTATTAGTAAGAATGTGTATTAGTACAACTATTATGAAAAACAGTATGGAGGTTCCCCAGAAAACTAAAAATAGAACTGCCCTATAATCCATCAATCCTACCATTAGGTACTTTTCCAAAGAAAATAAAATTAGTATATCAAAGAAATATCTGTACCCTCTCATTTATTACAGCACTATTAACAATAGCTGAGGTATGGTAGGGAATCAAACCAAATGCCCATCAACAGAATAATGGATTTTAAAATATGTGCAGTGGAATACTTCTCAGACATACAAAATAATTAAATCCTGTCATTCTTGACAGCACGGATGAGACTGGATGACATTATATTAAGTGAAAAATGTCATGCCCAGAAAGATAAACACCATATGTTCTCACTTATTTGTGGGAGCTAAAAAATAAAGCTGTTAGAAGTAGAGAGCAGACAGACAGAAAAAATGAAATAATGTATTTTGCAGCAACTTGGATGGACCTGGAGGCCATTATTCTAAGTGAAATAACTCAAGAATGGGAAACCAAATACTATATGTTTTCATGTATAAGTGGGAGCTAAGCTATGGGTTTGCAAAGACCTATAGAGTGGCATAACGTATATTCGAGAATCGGAAATGGAAAGGTCGGGAGGAAGGTGAGGGATAAAAACTACATACTGGGTACAATGTACACTACTCAGGTGACAGGTGCACTAAAATCTCAGACTTCGCCACCAAACAATTAATCCATGTAACCAAAAACCACTTGAGCCCCCCAAAAAAATTGAGGTAAAGAAAAAAAAAATATATATATATATATCTTAAATAAAAAGAAGTAGAGAGCAAAATTGAAGTTAGTAGAGGCTTGGAAGTGTAGGGGGCAGGGTGGATTGGGAAAGAAAATTGAGAGAGACTGATTAATGAATACAAAATTACAGCTAGAAATGAGTAATTGGTTCTAGTGTTCTATAGCACTGTGAGGTTACTATAGTCAATATACTGTATATTTTGAAATAGCTGGAAGAGAGAATTTTGAATGTTCCCAACACAAAAAAGGTGTTTTTGAGGTGATAGATATGCTAATTATCCTGACTTGACGATTACACATTGTATACATGTCAAAATATCACTCTGCACCACATACACACATTTTTATGTATCAATTAAAAAAGAAAAATCCAACAACTCAAAAGTTAAGAAATATAAATAAATTTACCCAGAACAAAGTATAAATAATCAAGCAATTTAAAATTACTACAAATTATATGTTTTATATTATCTAAGATTTCTTAAACTACAATCTGCCACATGTTTTTGTATAGCCAGGAAGCTAAAAATGATTTATATATTTTTAAATGGATGAAAAAATCACTATCAAAGTAATATTTTGTATTACATACAAATTTGATGAAATTCAAATATCAGTGTCTGTTAATAAAATTTTATAGAACCATAGTCATGATGTTTTTCATATTACATGTTATTTTATTCTTATTACAAAGGTGGAGTTGAGTAGTTGCAACAGAGACCATATAGTGTGCAAGGCCTAGTATTTGTATTATTGTCCCTTTACCTAAAATAAGTTTGTTGACCTCTGATCTATGACATAAAATAGGGAATAAATCCATAAACAAAAACAATTAAGTAAAAGTATATATCTATGAATCAAACACATATACATAAACTAATAAATAATTGGAAACTCAATAAAGAAAATATATGGTAAATTAAATTTTAAAAACACCCAAAAAATGAGATCAACTCTGTACTTGACACAGGCAGAAAAGAATGTATTGGAAGATAGTACTGAAGAATTAATCAGAACACATGGCAGAGTAAAAGAAGAAAATATAAAGAAGATAATCTGGAAAAATAAAAAAATAAGTGACAGAAGCAACACAAAATAAGTCACATATTTTAAGATTTAATTTAAATGAAATGCTCAGAATAGGCAAATCTACAGAGACGGAAATTAGATTAGTGTTTGCCAGAGACTCTGGGGAGAGGAGGATGGAGAGTGACTGCTAATGGGTAAGGAGTTTCCTTTTGTGGTGATGAAAATATTCCAAAATTAAACAGTGGTATTGACTAAACAACTCTGAAAATACTAAAAAACACTGAATTGGGCACTTTAATTGGCCAAATTGGGTAATATGTGAATTATATTTCAATGATGCTGTTATCTAGAAAATGATAAAAATGATAGAATGAGAGTGAATAACATCAGCCAAAGAGGAAAATACCAAGGGTTCTTTCTTTCAGAAATAAACACTTGAAAATCTAGCCCAAAAGTTCCAGGATTAACTCTATTAGATCTCTGAAAATTAGTCAAAGGTTTACCACAACAAAACCCCTTCCCCAGCTTGGTGGGAATCTTGAAGAGGGTAGCCCATGCTCCTAATGTGGGTTCCTTGCTCTGGAGGAAGAAGAGCAAATCATCTCAAATAATTATGTTTGTGTGTTTTGACCTATCTGAGGGCTCCAGGAAGAACTAATACAAAGGTTTTTGTCTTTATTTTGTCTAGCATAGAACTCTATCATGACAGAGAAGTGGCTACAAAGAGGGCATTCATAGAAAACAATAAAAGACAAACTAGTCACTGCATCCTGGGGCAAAGGATATTGCAAACAATAGATAGGCCAAACAGTCCGGGAGGAAAATCTGGGTAGGGAGAAACTTTGGATAATAAGAACTTTTATATTCAAGGAAATCTAGAAGACTATATGCATATCCAGGACAGGGTGCATGATCAGAAAAAAAAAAAGAAAACAAACAAACAAACAACTGAGATCTAGAGCTTACACTTTTGGTGGACTTTCAAGCTCTATGAAAGTAAGAAAGGGAGATTAAACCAGGGCTGAAAATTGCTTGGCTGTTGTGAAAGCAACACAAAGCCCAGTTAGGGAGATTTTTGTTTTTGTTGTTGACTTCAGATGTTTAAGGAAATCTCCATCAAATGATAAATGAAAAATAAGCTAAAGAAACAGAGACATCAATGATCACATACAACAAAAAATATTTAAAAAAAAATTTAGAAAAGTCATAACATACAGTGACATTCTTTGTCTTTTTATTTATTTATTTATTTTTTACCATTTTGACTTAAAGTCTGTTTTATCTATGTATAGCTCTTCCTGTTCTTTTTTGGTTTCTGTTTGTGTGAAGTATCTCAATCTCTTTACTTTGAGTCTATATGTGTTTTTGCAGCTAAAGTGTAATTCTTGTAGGCAGCATAGAGCTGTAGCATGTGTCTTTATTCATTCAGCCAGCCTATATCTTTTAACGGAAGAACTTAATCTATTTACATTCAGTGTTATTATTGACATGTGAAATTATGTTACCATCATATTGTTAATCATTTCCTGTGTTTTGTATCTTCTTTGTTCCTTTCTTTCTTTCTCATTGTCATTGTGGTTTGGTGTTATACTGTAGTGGTACCATTTGAGACCTTTGTCTTCCACATTTGTTTGGTTTACCAGTGGGTTTTATATTGTTACGTGTTTTCCTGATGGTAAGTGTCTTTTTGCTTCCAAGTTTAGGATTCCCTTAAACACTTCTTGTAGGATCAATCTAGTGGTGATAAATTCTCTCACTTTGGCTTCTCTGAGAAAGACTTTATTTATTCTTCATTTATGAAGGATATTTTTTCTCGATATGGTATCCTCATGAGGCAGTTTTTTTCCAGCACTTTAAATATGTTGCCAGATTTTTTCCTGGCCTATAAAATTTCTGATGAGAAATATGCTGTTAGTCTGATGTGGTTTTGTATATAGGTAAGTAGGTACTTTGATCTTGCTATTTTTAGTACCCTCTCTTTTGCTGTGAATTTAGACAGTTTGACTATAACATGCTGTGGAGAAGACCTTTTTGCATTATATCTATTTTAGAATCTTTGGCCCTCTAGTATCTGAACGTCTTGGCCTTTTGCTAAACTTGCAGCATTTTTATCTAATATTTTATTAAATAGGTTTTCTAACTCTTTCATTCTGTCATTTTCCCCAGGGACACTGATAATTTGAATATTCAGTCGCTTTATGTTGTCCCAAATATTATGAAGGCTTTACTCTTCTTTTCTTCTTTTCTGAATTATGATCTGGTGGAAGAAATTTCTAGGCAGTAAAGCATTCAAGATGTTATGTGGCTGCTTCTACACCTATGCTCAGATGCGGGAGCAAAGAAATGACTTAAAGTTAAAATTTATATTAAAATAGGAAGCACAACATAAAAGTTTGGAAAATTCACTGCCTGGCTATGAGACAGAGAAAGAAAAAGCATTATCAGGAGAGGAATTCAAGCAGACTGTGGAGCAACCACTTGCTAAAAAGGGAGAAATCAGCCAAAGTAAAGGGGCTACAAGATCCATGCAAATCCAAAACTCAGAAGGGCAGTGAGTACTTCTAAAAAGTACACAGGCACTCAAAAACCTAAGAGAGCAGCCACAGGAGTTGAACCTTGCAAAACCACAGAAGCAGAGCTGCCCAAGTCCTTGGGAGCCCACCCCTTGCACCAGTTGCCCTAGATGTGGGACATGAGTCAAATTATATTATTTTGAAGCTTTAAAATTTAATCACTGCCCTTCTGAGTTTTGGATTTGCATGGGTCTTGTAGCCACTTTATTTTTGCTGATTTACACATTTTGAATGGGAATGTTTACTCAATGTCAGTACAACCATTGTATCTTGGAAGTAAATAACTGAAGTAAATAACGAATTTGGTTTTACAGGCTCATAGGTGGAAGGAATTCATTTCCACATGACACTTTAGACTTTGGAGTTAATGCTGGAATAAGATTATTGGGGGACTATTGGCAGGGAATGATTGTATTTTGCAATGTGAGAAGAAAATGAGATTTGAGGGGCCAGCAGAAGAATGATATAGTTTGGATATGTTTCCCCTCTAAATCTCATGCCAAATTGTAATCTTCAGTGTTAGAGGTGGGGCCTGATGGGAGGTGATTAGATCATAGGAGTAGATGTCACATGAATGACTTAGCACCATTTCCTTGGTACTCTAATCATGGTAGTGAGTGAGTTCTCATGAGATCTCATGGTCGTTTAAAAGTGGGTGGCACTTGCCGCCTGACTCCAAGTGGCTCTATCTTGCTTCTGCTTTTGCTATGTGATGTGCAAGCTTCCACTTGGCCTTCTGCCAAGAGTTGAAGCTCCCTGAGGCCTCCCTAGGAGCTGAACAGATACTGGTCCCATGCTTCTTGTACAGCCTGCAGAGTCATGAGCCAATCTAACCTCTTTTCTTTATAAATTATGCAGTCTCACGTATTTCTTTATAGCAATGCAAGAATGGCATAATACATATGGTTACCTGGAACACTGGCCTTTGATTTTCTTTTTTTGTAGTGTTCTTGCCTAGTTGCTATCAGGCTAATGCTACCTCTGAAAATAAATTTGGAAAGGTTTCATTTATTTTAGTTTTCGGAAGAGCTTGAGGATTGGTGTTATTTCTATAAAAGTTTGGTGGAATTCATTTGTGAAACCATCTGGTCCTGGGCTTTTATGTGTTGCAAGGTTTTTGATTACTGATTCAATCTCCTTGCTTGTTATTGGAATGCCCAGATTTCCTGCTTCATGATTCAGCCTTGTTAGGTTGTATGTGTCTAAGAAGTTAGCCATGTATTTCATATTGTCCAATTTGCTGTCATGAAATTCTTCATAATAGTCTCATGATTCTTTTTATTTCTGTGGCATTCATGGCAATATCTACCCTTTCATTTCTCATTTTATTTGAGTACACTCTCTGTTACTCTTAATTAGTTTAAATTTGTCAATTTTGTTTACCTTTTCGAAATCAACGTGGCTTTGTTACATTTTCCATTGTTTTCCATGTTCTATTCCATTTCTTTCTGCTCTAATCCTTATTATTTCCTTCCTTCTCTTAACTTTAAGCTTAATTTGTTCTTCTTTTTTTAGTTCCTTTAGGTGTAAAGTTAGGTTCTTTATTTGAGATTTTTCTTCTTTGTAGAAGAAAGATCTTGTTTTTATTTATTTACACAGTTTATGTCTTTTGATTGGTAAATTTAATTCATTTATGTTAGAGTAATTACAGAAACTGAAGAACTTACCATTGCTATTTTGATCATTTTCTGCTTATTTTGTAATCATTTTGCTCCTCTTTTTCTCTCATATTGTCTTAGTGATTTGTTGATATTTTGTAGTGATATTCTTTAACTGTTAATTTTCTCTCATTTTATATATATTCTGTATGTATTTTTATGGTTACCATGGGACTTACACAAATATATCTAGTAGTTATAACAATCTACTTTAAACTGATAACAACTGAACAATAATCTCATACAAAAATTCTTCACTTTCATTCTTCCTTTATTTTAATTATGTCACAATTTGCATCTTTTTTATATTGTGAATAAGTAAACAAGTTTTTGTAACTATTCTTATTTTTAACGTTTTCATCTTTTAACTTTTATACTAAAATTAAAGGTGATTTGCACACCACCATTACTGTATTGTAGTCTTCTATATTTCTTTATATATTTGCATTTAGCAGTTATTTTTATACTTTCATGTGCTTTTTTGTTGCTGTTTGCACCCTTTAATTTCAGTTTGAAAAACTCCCTTTAGCATTTTGTTTTAAAGTTTATATAGTTGTGACTTACTTGCTAAATATATTATATATATATTTGCTATATATATATATATTTGCTATATATATATATATATATTTGCTATATATATATATATATAGGCCTGGGAAAGTCTTTATCTCTCCTTCATTTTTGAAGGACAGTTTTAGAAGGTATATCATTCTTAGCTGACAGTTTTTCAAAAAAATTTCAGCACCTTGAATATATTATTTCACTCCCTTCTGCCCTGCAATGTTTCCACTGAGAAATTCAGTAATAGTCTTATGTAAGCTTTGTCATACATCAAAATTCTATTTTTCTCTTGATGCTTTTCAAAATTGTCTTTTTATCCTTGACTTTTGACAATATGATTATAACATGACTCACTGTAAGTTTCTTTGGGGTCAGTCTATTTGGGATCTTTTGTACTTTATGAACTTGGATGTCTACTTTCCTCACCAAATATGGGACTCTTTTAGTCAGAATTTGTTTAATTAAGTTTTCTGGTTCTATCTTCTATCTTCTCTATCTTGAATTTTAACAATGTGTATTTTGGTCTACATGATCATGTGCCTTACTATCATAGGACTTTATCACTTTTTAATGTTACTTTTTTCTTTTCACTCCTTTAAGTAGACAATTTCAAGTGACCTGTCTTTGAGTTTGCTGATTCTTTCTTCCTGTTCAAGTTTTCTCTTGAAGCTCTATATTGAATTTTTAAAATTATTTATTCCTCAGCTCCAAAAGTTTTTTGTTTCTTTTTATGGTTCCCGTATCTTTGTGGATATTCTCATTCTGCTTATTTGTATCACTTTTCTGATTTATTTAGTTATCTATCTGTGTTCTGTCATATTACACTATCTTTTTTAAGATGATTATTATTTAATTATTTGTCACAAATCTATAGTCTCCATTTCTTTAGTATCTGTTGCTGGAGATTTGTTCTGTTTCTCTGGTAATGTCATATTTTTATAATTCCTTCTGTTTCTTGTAACTTTGTATTGGTGTCTACATGTTTGAATGAGCAACAATCTCTTTCAGTTTTCATAAACTGGTTTTGGAAAGAGACCTTCACGAATTATCCTAGCTAGAGATTCTGGGAGCCCCTTAAATATTTTCTATAGATATTCAAGCTCCAGTCCACTCTCTTTCACCTGGGAGACAAGTTTGCTCTTCTTTTCCCTAATGCAATGTACTGGTAGGTTTGGATATTGGATGCACGCTCTAATCTTCTCCCTTTCTCCTGAAGAGGGAAAAGTCTCAGGATTGTGTAGCTTTTCCCAAACTTGCAGAGCCAGGTAAGCTGAAATAAAACTGCCTGTTCTTTTTTCCCTAAGGAAGTGCACTGAAATATAATGAGGTTGGGTCCAAGCTCTGCTTCTCTCCCTTCCTCTTGTAGTAGAAGTCTCAGGATTGTGTACCTTCTCTCAATACAACAAAACCAAATAGGCTGCTGAGAGACACCTGATAATTTTTCCTCCGGAAGTGCATTAAAAGACCAGGAGAGTGAGTGAAAGTTCCATTTTTATCTCTTCCTCCTGAAGAAGAAATTTTAGGGTCGTGTACTTTATTTCAATCATACAATGTTATTCAGACTTCTGAGAGCCCTGACTGTTTTCTTTGTTCTTAGCTGCCCCCCAAGCATTCTAACTATGCCAGTTTCATCTGTGCTCTGAGTGAGGGGAGACAGACGTATCTCAGGCAGCACCCCAAAAGGCTAGAGATGTCATAAGCATGCTTCATTCATTCTTTCCCCTGAGGGAGAAATAATCGGTTGAGTGGATCTCTTTCAGTGCTGAGCTGTGCCAGCTTGCAGGGTGGACTGACATGCATAAAGTAAAACTGCTCTCCTTGCCCATTTCAAAATGGTATTTCTCAGTGTTGTGCTTGTCTGGGGAGTTGCAACATATGAATGGAATTCTCGCATTACTGTTAAGGTATTGTGGCTCATGTATCATTGTTTTAGCAGTGTTTCTGTGGGGAAGAAAATGGCTGAGACTTCATTTTCTGCCATCTTGTTGACCTAACTAAGCAGGATACATTTAAATATTAATAATGGTGATTATAATCATAATAATATAATAATGGCCTTTCTGTTCTAATTCTGGTCTTTAATACAAAACAATTCTAGTCTTTTATCAATAAGTGTGATATGATAGGCATAGTATACATGCATGCGTGTGTGTGTGTATATATACGTGTGTATCTTATAAAGATACCTGTATATTATTATTTAGTTAAACATATTTTTTCCTTTCAACTTCTCTCTTTTTTCTCTATTTTTTATTCTACTCATGAATAAATATTAATTCTTACTGAATAAGTTTTTGGAATATATTCAAATAAGTGTGTTGATAAAATACACTTTCTTATGCTTTATGTGGTAAAATAGATGATTATATTTTTCAACATTAAGCAATTTTTGCATTTTTCTAATGCAAAGAAAACCCCTTGATTTTGCTACAATTGAAATAATGTTTACTATTATTTTGCATGTCTTTTGCATTAATATTTATATTACAAATTCATCTTTAAAAAATCTATGTTAAAAGCAATAAAAAGATCATCCACATACCTTTCTTATTTCCTCTGTTCCCTTAAAATTTAATTACATTATGTTTTGCTGCCCTTTGAAAGTTTGACAGAATTCACTTAAGAAGTCAATTGTCACTTAGTATTGTGGGTGAGGGGGACATGTTATGCCTTAGGTACTCATAACAACTTGTACAACTCTTCTTCACACAATCAATTTTGGTAAAATATGCTACCAGAAAAACCCTATTTTATTTTGGTTTTCAGCTTTTTGTTATATATTGACATGGTTTGGCTGTGTCCCTACTCAAATCTCATCTTGAACTGCAGTTCTCATAATCCCCACGTATGGTGGGAAGGACCCAGTGGGAGGTAATAGAATCATGGGGGCAGTTACCTCTATGCTGTTTTCATGATAGTGAGTCAGTTCTTACAAAATCTGATGGTTTTATAAGGGGCACTTCCCCCTTTGCTCAGCACTTCTCTCTTCTCCTGCCATGTGAAGAAAGATGTTTGCTTCACCTTCTGCCATAATTGTAAGTTTCCTGAGGCCTCCCCTGCCATGTGAAACTGTGAGTCAATTAAACCTCTTCCCTTTATAAGTTACCCAATCTCATGTATGTCCTTATAGCAGAGTGAAAATGGACTCATACAGTAAATAGGTACTGCAGAGAGTGAGATGCTTCTATAAGGATATGCAAAAATGTGGAAGTGACTTTGGAACTGGGTATCAGGCAGAGGTTGGAACAGTCTGGAGGATTCAAAAAAGAAACAGAAAAAATGTGGGAAAGTTTGAAACCTTCTAGAGACTTGGAGGGCTCAGAAGACAGGAAGATGTGGGAATGTCTGAAACTTCCTAGAGCCTTGATGAATTGCTTTGGACAAAATGCAGATAGTGATATCGACAATGAAGTCCAGGCTGAGGTGGTCTCAGATGAAAATGAGGAACTTATTGGGAACTGGAATAAAGGTGATTCTTGCTATGCTTTAGCAAAGAGACTGGCAGCATTTTGTCCCTGCCTTAGAGATCTGTGGAATTTGAACTTGAGAGAGACGATTTAAGGTATCTGGCAGAAGAAATTTCTAAGCAGCAAAGCATTCAAGAGGAAGCAGAGCATAAAAGTTTGGAAAATTTGCAGCCTGATGATGCAATGGAAAAGAAAAAAACATTTTCTTGGGATAAATTCAAGCCAGCTTCAGAAATTTGCGTAAGTAACAAGAAGCTGAATGTTAATCACCAAGAAAATTGGGAAAATGTCTCTGGAGCATGTCAGAGACTATCATGGGAGGCCCTCTCATCACAGGCCTGAAGGCCTAGAAGGAAAACATGGTTTTGTGGGCTGGGCCCAGGGCCCCCCTGCTGTGTGCAGCCTCAAGACTTGGTGCTCTGTGTCCCCAGCTGCTCCAGCCATGGCTAAAAGGGGCCAAGGTACAGCTCAGGCCATGGCTTCAGAAGATTCAAGTCCCAAGCCTTGGCAACTTTCATGTGGCATTGGGCCTGTGGATGCACAGAAGAACTGAGGTTTGGGAACCTCTGCCTAGATTTCAGAGGATGTGTGGAAAAGTCTGGATGTCCAGGCAGAGGTTTGCTGCAGGAGTGAACTCCTCATGGAGAACCTCTGCTAGGGCAGTGGGGAAGGGAAATGTGGGGTTGGAATCCCCACACAGAGTCTCCAATGGGGCACTGCCTAGTGGAGCTGTGAAAAGAGGACCACCATCCTCCAGACCCCAGAGTGGTAGATCCACTGACAGCTTGCACTGTGCACCTGGAAAAGCCACAGACACAGGGCCAGCCCATGAAAGCAGCCAAGAGGGTGGCTGTACTCTGCAAAGCCACATGGGTGGATCTTGTATTGTAGACTCATCATTATACCAAGATGTAACAGTCTCTCATTGTCTGAGTTAATACCTGGAGTTCTTTGTCCTATATCCAAGAAGATTAAGAAGTGTAGCCCCAAGGGTGAGGTTGGAGTGAAAGTTTAATAAGTGAAAGAAGAAAGCTCTCCACCATTAGAGGGGGGGGCCTGGATGGGTTGCCTTCTATGAGGCTGGAGTCCAAGGTTTTTATGAACTGGGAAGGGGAAGGAATGTGCTTAGTCTGAGAGCTGTCTTGGAGAATGCATGACTCAATTTGGCCCAGGACCTTGGCCTGGGACTATTCAGAAAGCTTGGCCTGGGACTTTGGCCCAGGATCAATCAGAGGCTGAAGTGATAATTTACAGGGGCTGGGCTCACAGTCCAAAAGGGAAGTAAAGTGCCCACCAGAACCCACTGGCGCTCATGGTGTTCACGGTCACAAAAGTAGAAGAAACTTTTCTGGGAGCCCACTGATTATACAAAGGACAAGGCATTTCTATCTTAGGCCTTGCTCCTTTTTCTGAGTGAGCTGGAGATTTGCACAAGTTTTTGTCTGAGGTTCTATCTGTGAAGCCATGGGGATGTCTCCAGACACAACCTCCTAATCTAGTTTCCTATTGGTGCCTGCAGCTTGATTTTTCCACAGGCTGCCTTTGTGTTATGTGGGGATGAGGCACTGACCCATGGGTTGGGGGCTCTCCAGGGACCCTTCCCTTGCTGTCTACCTAAGGCAAGCTAGCTAACTCCTCTCAATGTGAGCCCACCTCTTGCATCAGCGTGACCAGGATGTGAGACATAGAGTCAAAGGAAATCATTTGGAATTTTAAGGTTTAATAATTGCCCTTTTGGATTTTGGACTTGTATGGGGCCTGTAACCCCTTTGTTTTGGCCAATTTGCCCATTTGGAATGGGTGTATTTACCCAATGCCTGTACCCACATTGTATCTAGGAAGTAACTAACTTGCTTTTGATTTACAGTCTCATAGGCTGAAAGGACTTGCCTTTCTTAGATGAGAGTTTGGACTTCGACTTTGAGTTAATGCTGGAATGAGCTAAGACTTTGGGGGACTGTTGGAATGGCATGATTGTGTTTTGAAACGTGAGGACATGAGATTTGGGAGAGGTCAGGGGCAGAATAATATGGTTTGGCTGTGTCCCCATCCAAGTCTCATCTTGAATTTTAATTACCATAATCCCCACGTGTTGAGGGAGGGACCCGGTGGGAGGTAACTAAATCATGGGGGCAGTTACCCCCATGCTGTTCTTGTGATAGTGAGTGAGATCTCACAAGATCTGCTGGTTTTATAAGGAGCATTTCCTCCTTTACTGTGCACTCTTCTGCCGCCATGTGAAGAAGAATGTGTTTTGTTTAACCTTTTGCCTTGACTGTAAGTTTCCTGAAACCTCCCCAGCCATGCAGAACTGTGATTCAATTAAACCTCTTTTGTACATAAATTACCCAGTCTTTGGTATGTCCTTATAACATGAGAATGGACATATATATATATATATATATAAATTATTATATATATGAGATATATATATATATAAATTATTATATATATGAAATATATATATATATATATACCAAAGGAAGTATTTTAATTTTCATTATGGATCTTGGCGTACTTTACTCTCCTGCTGTCTAGCTAAGCAGCCCACACAGGACAGAAATGGGTAGCACTGAGGAATTATCAGATTTTTTTCTATCCCCAATATTTCTGCCCCCCTCCCTAAGCCCTGACCCAACCCTATCTAATAATCGAGAATGGTTAGTATATCATTCTCTCTCTCAAAGAACAACTAAAATGGAAACAAGTCATTAGAGGACCAGTCCTCTTCTTAATAGGGCTTAGGAGCTGGTATGAGCTCTTTATTCACAATGGAGAGCTTCTCCTTCACCAAATCTGATAATATTGAAAAGAAATCTTCCTAGAAATTAGCATAAAGTAAATTCAAGCCAATAAAAGTCCAGTACAAATAAGCAGAGCCTGACATAATACACTGAAAATGGAGGTCATGTTGTAGAACATCCAAAAAGGAAATGATCTCAATTTAACTTGAACTTAATTATGAGTCTTTTTAATTGGTTATTAAAAAACATGATTGCCTTTTCAATATAATGTGGACATTTACCTTGATTCCCAAATGTGCCTTCTTCAGAGAAATAATATTGGATTGAATGAGACAACAGAACTAACTTAGAGGAAAATTTCTGAACTCCACCTGTCAGACACTATGAAGTTCCCCTTGATAATATCTTCTCCCAAATTATCTGCAAACAATTAACCATTAAGTCCTTTCAATTTTGCCTCCTGGATATTTTTTATCTTTATCCCTTTACATACATTCCCAGAGCCACTTAAAAACATTTAATTGACAAATTAGAGTTGTATATCTTTATGAGCTACAAATGATGTTGTGATTTATGGACACAATGTGGAATAATTCAATCAAGTCGATTAGCATACTCATTAATTCTTATCTTTTTCATGTGGTGGGAACATTTTAAATTTACTATCTTAATTTTGAAGTTAGAAAACTGTACAATATGTTATTAACTATATTTACCATATTGTACAATAGATCTAAAAAGATATATATTCCTTTTGTCTTCTTTTGTCTAAATGAGGCTTTCTACACTTTGACCATCATCTCCCCATTTCTCTCACCCCTCAGCGTCTGATAACCACCATTCTACTCTCTGCTTCTATGAGTTGTATTGTTTTAGATTTCACGTATAAGCGAGGACATGTGGTATTTGTCTTTTCATGCCTGGTTTATTTCACTTAGTATAATGTTCCCAGAGCCACTTCTTTAGTCTAGGCAGATACCATCTCTTATGTAGCTTTACAATACCCATCTAATATCTCTCCCTGTAGTCTAAATCACCATAGATTAATAGCACATAATGTCAATGGAGTGAATTTCTAAAACACAAATATAATAATTGTATTCTACCTATAACTCCTCATTATATCCCCATTACCTCCTCTAGAGAACCTCATCTTTTTTCATAAGAGCCTATATATCGCTCCCATAGCATTATGTGCTTAACCATAGTATTGTACTTAGAAAAGTAAATGAGAGATCATAATAGATTGTGACTTCCTTCAGGGAAAAATATGCCATTATTGCATTCCCAGTACACATAAGAAGCACTAAGAAAGTTTCTGATGAATGATTAGAGTCATTCTAATATCTGGGTTAGACACCATGATTAATGAGAATTTGAAATTTATAATTATAGCTACCATAAACCTCTTTAACTTTATTTTATTAATAACAGTAGCTATAATGTATTGACTACATATCTTATACAAAGTTCCGGTGTTAGAAAACAAAGAAAACCTTTGCATTGAAACTGTGACTTTACGGTGCCAAGACACACAACGAAAAGGCTGAAAAGTCATTCTTCTTGGCCTTTAATCCACATAGTTTTATATATATAATTACTTGAAATTCTATAATTTCCAGAACAAATTGATGAAGTCTGGCTTTTCTAACCAGCTTTATTTATATTAAAATAATATTTTTTATTTAGTGTTTGATTGTATTTAACATTTAATGCAAGCAGGAGGAGCATGGTTGAAGTATTACAGGGGATATACAAAATTTCACTGACATAATTTAAATATTTTCCTCTCAGTACATCTTGAATTAGATGTGAAGAAGTCTTGGGTTTCTGTCACTGTTCAGATAAAAAAATACTTGGAAGGCAAGATGATGTCAGTCTTTGTAATTCAATAGAAACACAAAGAGCTCATTTAATTATTTCTTCTCATTTCTTTTGGAAATCATGTTATTTTACCAGCTGACTGAGAGCAGAAACTAACAGCCAGTTCATATTTAGTGGCTTTTAAGAAGTGTTCCAATTGCTGCTGTAGTGCTAAAGTATATATTTTTTCACAAACAGGAATCTCAACCTTCTTCCCATTTCATTATATTCTCTAGCTTTGCAGTTTAGGGATATAGTGGGCTATAATTTTCAGTGGATTATTATTATTATTACAACAAAGAATAATTTTTAGAACACCCTCTACAAAGTTGTTGGTTCAAAAGCAAATGCCTTTCTTCTATCTATATAAATGTAGTAGCCATTTGCACATGTTATTATTGACAGTTCAGAGAAGCAACTTGATTATATATTGAGTTGTTAAGAATGCTATACATGTATTTTATGTTACCATGAAGTTTAATATATTCAATAGAGTTCCAAAATCACTTGTCTATTCACATGGTAGAAATATAAACAGTTTAATTTGTAATACTGGTCATCACTATCACCATCATCATCATTATTTATTGAAATGTATGCTAGATTATTTACAGTATTAGATTTAAATATCTTGTTTAATAATACGTAGAATGCTGAAAGAATTTTAAAATGTTAATTTATGTTAAGAGCTCTCCTCTAAGAGACACTTGGAAAATACAGCTTTTGTGAGCAATTGCTGTTACCTAAAATTTCTGTAGGTATCATAGACTCTCATGATAAAATAAATTAAGTAGAATTTCTTTTGTGGCAGAAGTCATCTTAAGTTGTGAGATTTTAAGTCCAAGTCTTAATTACTTAAGGTCGCCTGTTGAGTGTACTGCCTTCTTCCACCAACTGGCAAGAAATAGATCCCAAGAGGTCTGCCTAGGGACAATACTCTATTTATTATACTTACGCTCAAGTAACTCAATTTACTGAAGGGGATGAATACACTAATAAGTATAAGACACATACAAAAATCAATAACATATTTAAATTAAATTTCTGGCCGGCTTTATTCACTCCTGCTCTTCCTCATTTTAATCTTGACCAAAGATTAGGGCAAGAAATAAATTGGATTACGTAGAAAAGGAGCAATAAAAAATGTTATATGCAAACTATGTTTCAGAAAAAAAAGAGTTACTCCAGGAATTCATATACTTGGCTGAGAACTCATCTGAAATACATGGAATACTTTTATAAGTCAATAATAAGGGGGAGTGGAGCCAAGCTGGCCGAATAGGAATAGCTCCAGTCTACAGCTCCCAGCGTGAGCGGCGCAGAACACGGGTGACTTCTGCATTTCCAACTGTGGTACCGGGTTCATCTCATGGGGGAGTGCCAGATAGTGGGTGCAGGACAGTGGGTGCAGTGCACCGTGCATGAGCCAAAGCAGGGTGAGGCATTGCCTCACCCAGGAAGTGCATGGGGTCAGGGAATTCCCTTTCCTAGTCAAAGAAAGGGGTGACAGACAGCACCTAGAAAATTGGGTCACTCCCACCCTAATACTGCGCTCTTCCAATGGACTTAACAAATGGCACACCAGGAGATTATATCCCACATCTGGCTAGGAGGGTCCCAGGCCCACAGAGCCTCGCTCATTGCTAGCACAGCAGTCTGAGATCAAACTGCAAGGCAGCAGCAAGGCTGGGGGAGGGGCGCCCCCCATCGCTCAGGCTTGAGTAGGTAAACAAAGCGGCTGGGAAGCTCCAACTGGGTGGAGCCCACCACAGCTCAAGGAGGCCTGCCTGCCTGCCTCTGTAGGCTCCACCTCTGGGGGCAGGGCACAGACAAACAAAAGACAGCAATAACCTCTGCAGTCTTAAATGTCCCTGTCTGACAGCTTTGAAGAGAGTAGTGGTTCTCCCAGCACGCAGCTTGAGATCTGAGAACGGGCAGACTGCCTCCTCAAGTGGGTCCCTGATCCCCGAGTAGCCTAACTGGGAGGCATCCCCCAGTAGGGGCGGACTGACACCTCACACGGCCAGGTACTCCTCTGAGGCAAAACTTCCAGAGGAATGATTAGGCAGCAGCATTTGCAGTTCACCAATATCCACTGTTCTGCAGCCACCACTGCAGATACCCAGGCAAACAGGGTCTGGAGTGGACCTCCAGTAAACTCCAACAGACCTGCAGCTGAGAGTCCTGACTGTTATAAGGAAAACTAACAAACAGAAAGGACATCCACACCAAAAACCCATCTGTACATCACCATAATCAAAGATCAAAGGTAGATAAAACCACAAAGATGGGGAAAAAACAGAGCAGAAAAACCGGAAACTCTAAAAATCAGAGTGCCTCTCCTCCTCCAAAGGAACGCAGCTCCTCACCAGCAACGGAACAAAGCTGGATGGAGAATGACTCTGACGAGTTGAGAGGGGAAGGCTTCAGAAGATCAAACTACTCCGAGCTAAAGGAGGAAGCTCGAACCAATGGCAAAGAAGTTAAAAACTTTGAAAAAAAATTAGACGAATGGATAACTAGAATAACCAATGCAGAGAAGTCCTTAAAGGACCTGATGGAGCTGAAAACCAAAGCACGAGAGCTACATGACGAATGCGCAAGCCTCAGTAACCGATGCAATCAACTGGAAGAAAGGGTATCAGCGACGGAAGACGAAATGAATGAAATGAAGCGTGAAGAGAAGTTTAGAGAAAAAAGAATAAAAAGAAATGAACAAAGCCTCCAAGAAATATGGGACTATTTGAAAAGACCAAATCTACGTCTGATTGGTGTACCTGAAAGTGATGGGGAGAATGGAACCAAGCTGGAAAACACTCTGCAGGATATTATCCAGGAGAACTTCCCCAACCTAGCAAGGCAGGCCAACATTCACATTCAGGAAATACAGAGAATGCCACAAAGATACTCCTTGAGAAAAGCAACTCCAAGACACATAATTGTCAGATTCACCAAAGTTGAAATGAAGGGAAAAATGTTAAGGGCAGCCAGAGAGAAAGGTCGGGTTCCCCACAAAGGAAAGCCCATCAGACTAACAGCTATCTCTCGGCAGAAACTCTACAAGCCAGAAGAGAGTGGGGGCCAATATTCAACATTCTTAAAGAAAAGAATTTTCAACCCAGAATTTCATATCCAGCCAAACTAAGCTTCATAAGTGAAGGAGAAATAAAATCCTTTACAGACAAGCAAATGCTGAGAGATTTTGTCACCACTAGGCCTGCCCTAAAAGAGCTCCTGAAGGAAGCACTAAACATGGAAAGGAACAACCGGTACCAGCCACTGCAAAAACATGCCACTTTGTAAAGACCATGGATGCTAGGAAGAAACTGCATCAACTAATGAGCAAAATAACCAGATAACATCATAATGACAGGATCAAATTCACACATAACAATACTAACCTTAAATATAAATGGGCTAAATGCTCCAATTAAAAGACACAGACTGGCAAATTGGATAAAGAGTCAAGACCCATCAGTGTGCTGTATTCAGGAAACCCATCTCATGTGCAGAGACACACATAGGCTCAAAATAAAGCGATGGAGGAAGATCGACCAAGCAAATGGAAAACAAAAAAGACAGGGGTTGCAATCCTAGTCTCCCTAGTCTCGGATAAAGTGGACTTTAAACCAACAAAGATCAAAAGAGACAAAGAAGGCCATTACATAATGGTAAAGGGATCAATTCAAAAAGAAGGACTAACTATCCTAAATATATATGCACCCAATACAGGAGCACCCAGATTCATAAAGCAAGTCCTTAGTAACCTACAAAGAGACTTAGACTCCCACACAATAATAATGGGATACTTTAACACCCCACTGTCAACATTAGACAGATCAACGAGACAGAAAGTTAACAAGGATACCCAGGAATTGAACTCAGCTCTGCACCAAGCAGACCTAATAGACATCTACAGAACTCTCCACCCCAAATCAACAGAATATACATTCTTTTCAGCACCACACCACACCTATACCAAAATTGACCACATAGTTGGAAGTAAAACACTCATCAGCAAATGTAAAAGAACAGAAATTATAACAAACTGTCTCTCAGATCACAGTGCAATCAAACTAGAACTCAGGATTAAGAAACTCACTCAAAACCGCTCAACTACATGGAAACTGAACAACCTGCTCCTGAATGACTACTGGGTACATAATGAAATGGAGGCAGAAATAAAGATGTTCTTTGAAACCAACAAGAACAAAGACACAACATACCAGAATCTCTGGGACACATTCAAAGCACTGTGTAGAGGGAAATTTATAGCACTAAATTCCCACAAGAGAAAGCAGGAAAGATCTAAAGTTGACACCCTAACATCACAATTAAAATAACTAGAGAGGCAAGAGCAAACACATTCAAAAGCTAGCAGAAGGCAAGAAATAACTAAGATCAGAGCAGAACTGAAGGAAATAGCGACATAAAAAACCCTTCAAAAAATCAAGGAATCCAGGAGCTGGTTTTTTGAAAAGATCAACAAAATTGATAAACGGCTAGCAAGACTAATAAAGAAGAAAAGAGAGAAGAATCAAATAGATGCAATAAAAAATGACAAAGGGGATATTACCACCAATCCCACAGAAATACAAACTACCATCAGAGAATACTATAAACACCTCTATGCAAATAAACTAGAAAATCTAGAAGAAATGGATAAATTCCTCAACACATACACTCTCCCAAGACTAAACCAGGAAGAAGTTGAATCTCTGAATAGACCAATAACAGGCTCTGAAATTGAGGCAATAATTAATAGCTTACCAACCAAAAAAAGTCCAGGACAAGATGGATTCACAGCCGAATTCTACCAGAGGTAAAAGGAGGAGCTGGTACCATTCCTTCTGAAACTATTCCAATCAACAGAAAAAGAGGGAATCCTCCCTAACTCATTTTTTGAGGCCAGCATCATCCTGATACCAAAGGCTGGCAGAGACACAACAAAAAAAGAGAATTTTAGACCAATATCCTTGATGAACATTGATGCAAAAATCCTCAATAAAATACTGGCAAACCGAATCCAGCAACACATCAAAAAGCTTATCCACCATGATCAAGTGGGCTTCAACCCTGGGATGCAAGGCTGGTTCAACATACGAAAATCAATAAATGTAATGCAGCATACAAACAGAATCAAAGACAAAAACCACGTGATTATCTGAATAGATGCAGAAAAGGCCTTTGACAAAATTCAACAACCCTTCATGCTAAAAACTCTTAATAAATTAGGTATTGATGGGACGTATCTCAAAATAATAAGAGCTATCTATGACAAACCCACAGCCAATATCATACTGAATGGGCAAAAACTGGAAGCATTCCCTTTGAAAACTGGCACAAGACAGGGATGCCCTCTCTCACCACTCCTATTCAACATAGTGTTGGAAGTTCTGGCCAGGCCAATTAGGCAGAAGGAAATAAAGGTATTCAATTAGGAAAAGAGGAAGTCAAATTGTCCCTGTTTGCAGATGACATGATTGTATATCTAGAAAACCCCATTGTCTCAGCCCAAAATCTCCTTAAGCTGATAAGCAACTTCAGCAGTCTCAGGATAATAAATCAATGTGCAAAAATCACAAGCATTCTTATACACCAATAACAGACAAACAGAGAGCCAAATCATGAGTGAACTCCCATTCACAATTGCTTCAAAGAGAATAAAATACCTAGGAATCCAACTTACAAGGGATGTGAAGGACCTCTTCAAGGAGAACTACAAACCACTGCTCAATGAAATAAAAGAGGATACAAACAAATGGAAGAACATTCCATGCTTATGGGTAGGAAGAATCAATATCATGAAAATGGCCATACTGCCCAAGGTAATTTATAGATTCAGTGCCATCCCCATCAAGCTACCAATGACTTTCTTCACAGAATTGGAAAAAACTACTTTAAAGTTCATATGGAACCAAAAAAGAGCCCGCATCACCAAGTCAATCCTAAGCCAAAAGAACAAAGTTGGAGGCATCAAAGTTGGAGGCATCACGCTACCTGACTTCAAACTATACTACAAGGCTACAGTAACCAAAACAGCATGGTACTGGTACCAAAACAGAGTTATAGATCAATGGAAGAGAACAGAGCCCTCAGAAATAATGCCAAATATCTACAACTATCTGATCTTTGACAAACCTGAGAAAAACAAGCAATGGGGAAAGGATTCCCTATTTAATAAATGGTGCTGGGAAAACCGGCTAGCCATATGGAGAAAGCTGAAACTGGATCCCTTCCTTACACCTTATACAAAAATTAATTCAAGATGGATTAAAGACTTACATGTTAGACTTAAAACCATAAAAACCCTAGAAGAAAACCTAGGCAATACCATTCAGGACATAGGCATGGGCAAGGACTTCATGTCCAAAACACCAAAAGCAATGGCAACAAAAGCCAAAATTGACAAATGGGATCTAATTAAACTAAAGAGCTTCTGCACAGCAAAAGAAACTACCATCAGAGTGAACAGGCAAGCTACAGAATGGGAGAAAATTTTCGCAACCTATCCATCTGAGAAAGGGCTAATATCCAGAATCTACAATGAACTCAAACGCATTTACAAGAAAAAAACAAACAACCCCATCAAAAAGTGGCTGAAGGTTATGAACAGATCCTTCTCAAAAGAAGACATTTATGCAGCCAAAAAACACATGAAAAAATGCTCATCATCACTGGCCATCAGAGAAATGCAAATCAAAACCACAATGAGATACCATCTCACACCAGTTAGAATGGCGATCATTAAAAGGTCAGGAAACAACAGGTGCTGGAGAGGATGTGGAGAAATAGGAACACTTTTACACTGTTGGTGGGACTGTAAACTAGTTCAACCATTGTGGAAGTCGGTGTGGCGATTCTTCAGGGATCTAGAACTAGAAATACCATTCGACCCAGCCATCCCATTACTGGGTATATACCCAAAGTATTATAAATCATGCTGCTATAAAGACACATGTACACGTATGTTTATTGTGGCACTATTCACAATAGCAAAGACTGGGAACCAAGCCAAATGTCCAACAATGATAGACTGGATATAAGAAAGTGTGGCACATATACACCATGGAATACCATGCAGCCATAAAAAATGATGAGTTCATGTCCTTTGTAGGGACATGGATGAAGCTGGAAACCATCATTCTCAGCAAACTATCGCAAGGACAAAAACACAAACACCACATGTTCTCACTCACAGGTGGGAATTGAACAATGAGAACACATGGACACAGGAAGGGGAACATCACACACCTCACACAACAGGGTCTGTCCTGGGGTGGGGAAAGGGGGGTGGGATAGCATTAGGAGATATACCTAATGCTAAATGACGAGTTAATGGGTGCAGCACACCAACATGGCACATGTATACATATCTAACAAACCTGCACGTTGTGCACATGTATCCTAAAATGTAAAGTATAATATTAATAATAAAAAAAGTCAATAGTAAGATAAATAACCAAATTAAAACTGGGCAATTTGAACAGCTGTTTTACTAAAAAGTCATGTGAATGAGAAATAAACACCTTAAAAGATGCTCACCATCATTCATAATTTGGAAAATGCAAAATTAATTCCATAATGTGATACCAATACACTCCCACTGAAATAGCTAAAATTAAAGAAAAAAACTGAACACTCTAAGTGTTGGCAAGGATGTGGTACAAATGGAACATGCATTACAGGTAGAAATGTAAAAAGGTACAAGAATTTTAAAAAACAGTTTGGCAGTTTCTTTACAGTTAAGCATATGCTTACCATATAACCAAAAATTCTACTCCAAGATATTTACCTACAAAACTGAAAGTGTTATGTCCACATTGACCTGTATACAAATGCTTAGAGCAGAATCATTTATAATACTCAGATAACCATGTTGTGATTTGAATGTGTTGCGGCAAAAGCATGTTAGAAACAATCCGCTATGCAACAGTTTTGGAATGTGGGGCCTAATGGGAAGTGCTTTTGTCACGAGGGCTCCACTCTCATGAATAGATTAATGCTGATTATAAAAGGGCTTGAGAGTGTCAGTTTGAGCCCTCACACACTTACTATAAATGGGATGTTTTCTGCCATGTTGTGATGCAGCAAGAAGGACTTCACTAGATGTATCCTCTAAATCTTGAACTTCCAAGCCTCTAGAACTGTGAGGCAAGTAAATTTCTGTTGTGTATTAATGTCCCAGTCTGTAGTATTCTCTTATAGCAGCACAGAATTGACTGGGAACATTGGCACCAGAGAGGTTGGGTGTTGCTATGACAGATACTTGAAAATGTAGCAGTGATTTGGAAACTTGGTAGTGTGTAGAATCTGGAACAGTTTTGAAGTGAATGCTGGAAAAAACCTGTACTGCTGTTAATGGAGAGTTGAGCATAATTTTGGTGAGGGATAAGAGGAAGAGAAATACTGTAGTGAGTCTGAGACTTCTTAGAGGATACTTAAGTGGTTATAATCACAATGTTGGTAGAAATATGAACAGTAAAGAAAATTTTGATGACGTGTTACACAAAAATGAGGGACAAGGTATTAAAAACTAAATTAAATATTACTCTTGTTATAAATTGGTAAATAACTTGGCTAAATTTTGTTTACACACTAGGCCTTTATGTGAGGCAGAATTTAAGAATAACAAACTAGGAAATACAGGGGAGAAATTTCTAAGCAGAATGTTGTGGGAACTACATGGTTTTTTTTAACTTCTTACAGCAAAATGAGAGGAAAAAATATTTAAATATATAGTTTAAAAGAGAAGCAAAGTGAAAAGATTTGGAAAATTTGCAGCCTGGCCATGTAAAAAATAAAAAATCATGTTCTGGAAAGAATATTAAGGGTGTAGCGTAGCTAAGCCACCATTTGCTATAAAGATTAATATGGATAGAAGGAAGCCATATTCTAATCACCAAGACAATAGAATGACCCCAATTTTATGACCCCAAATGCATTTCAGGTATTTTTGAATAAAGCTAGGACTTTGAGGGCAAGGTTTCCAGAGAGGCACCCATTGGAACTCGGCATTCACTGCCCCGCACTGCCTCAGGTGTCTGCTCCTCAAATTCCAACACAGCACCTCTCAGCTCCTCAAGGCATGGTGAAAGCAGGCCCAGGTGTAGCTCAACCCATCATTCTGGAAGTTACAAGCCATACACCTTGGTGTCATTCACGAGGTGCTAATTCCGTAGGCACATAGAGTACAAGAGCTGTGGGGCCATGGTGGTCTCCATCTGAATTTCAAAGAATATTTCAGACAACTTGGGTGACCAGAGATTCATCACAGGGTAGAGTCATCACAGAGAGCTCCTATTAGGGAAATGTCTGGAGGATCCATAGTGACCACCACAGAAAATCCTCACTAGGGCAATGTCTGATGGAGCCAGGGGAGTGGAGCATCCCTTAAAATCACTGAACTCTAGGGCCCCACCAGCATGCAATTCCAGGAACAGAAAGCCACAGGCATGAGACTCCAACTTGTGAGAGCTGCTAGATAGCCTGAGTTCAGCAATGCTATAGGATCAGGGCTGTCTGAGGCCTTGGGGGCCTAACTCCTGGCCCACTGTGCCCAGGATGTGGGACATAATTTCAAAAGGAAATTATTCTCCACCTATGAGATTTAATATTTTATCTATTTTATTGTAAACTTACTTGAGATGAGTTGAGTTACTCTTCTTTTCTTGCCTATTTATCCACTTTGGGATGGGTATGCCTATCCTATGCCTATGCCATCATTGTATTTTGGAAGTAGATAACTTCTCTTTTTGTTTTGTTTTGTTTCGTTTTGTTTTGTTTTGTTTTGAGATAGAGTCTCTCTCTGTCACCCAGGATGGAGTGCAGTGGCACCATCTCGGCTCACTGCAACCTCCACCTCCCAGGTTCGAGTAATTGTCCTGTCTCAGCCTCCCAAGTAATTGGGACTACAGGCGCCCACTACCATGCCCAGCTAATGTTTTTTTATTTTTAGTAGAGATGGGGTTTCACCAGATAACTTCTTTTAATTTCACAGTCTAACAGCTTGTGGGAATTTTCCACAGATTCAATCATGGCTTAAGTCTCACCCATATCTGATTTAGTTGAAACTCTGGACTTTGGACTTTTGAGTTGATGTTGGAACAAGTTAAGACTTTGGGGGCTATTGTAATGGAATGAATATGTTTTGTATGTAAGAAGAACATAAATTTGTGGAGGCAGGGACATAATGCTATAGTTTGAATTGTCCCCCCAAAAGCATGTGTTAGAAACTTAATCCTCAATACCACAGTGTTGGGAGGTAGAGCCTAATGGGAAGTATTTAGGTCATGAGGGTTTTAAGTTATGGGGGCTCCATACTCATTAATTGATAATAGCTGATTATAAAAGGGCTTGAGGCTTCAAGTTCAAGCTCTCATGTACTCTCTCACTATGTGATGCTTTCTGCCATGTTATGATGCAGCAAGAAGGCTCTCACCAAATTAGCCCCCTCAATCTTGGACTTTCCAGCCTCCAGAACTGTGAGCCAAATAAGCTTATATTGTTTATAAATCATCCAGTCTATAGTATTCTGTTATAGCAGCACAAAATAATCTAAAATGAACTGCAAGGGAAATAAATGATCATCAACAGATGTGATAAGCAAATTGTGATAAACATAAAAGGGAATTCTACTCAACAATAAAAAGGAACATACCGCTGATACAGACAACAGTTTAACTAAATCTCCAACACAGGATGCTGAGTGAAATAAGTCAGATACAAAAAGCTACAAATGTGTGATTCCACCTGTATGAAGTTATCAGAAGGCTATGTCTAATCTACAGTGGCAGGAAGAAGATCAGTTTACCTGGGACAGGGTCTGGGAGTCCCTTAGCCAAGTCCCAGGTAATTGACTAAGAAGGGACACATTGGAAGCATTTGTGGTTGATGGAAATTTTCTGTCTTGATTGTGGTAATGTTTACATGGCTACATAAATTTACAAAAACTTACTGAACTATATATTAATTGAATTTGTACATGTTATGCAAATTATATCACATACATAATACTATACATATATATACACAAAAATACACCTATTCTATTTCCTCACTAAAACACACCAAAACTAGTGAAGAAAGTAAAAGAGAGAATAAAACTCTTTAATAAAATTATAAAACAGCTAAAACCCGAAACCAGAGATAAGAAGGAACTAGGAGAGATAGAGTAAAATTTGGACCAAATAGAAAAGCTAGTACCGAATATATACCTCTATATGTGTCATATTGGTAACATTTTATTTAAAGTAAGTAAGAATATTGAAATAATAAGTTAATGATTCTTAAATTTCTAAGGCAATGACTATGGTGGTAGATGTTCTTCAAGGAAAATGCAATCTATCCTCATAAGAACTAGGATCTGGCTGGGTGCAGTGGCTCACGCTTGTAATCCCAGCACTTTGGGAGGCAGAGGCGGGCGGATCACGAGGTCAGGAGATCGAGACCATCCTGGCTAACACAGTGAAACCCTGTCTATACTAAAAATACAAAAAATTAGCTGGGCGTGGTGGCAGGCGCCTATAGTCCCAGCTACTCGGGAGGCTGAGGCAGGAGAATGTCATGAACCCGAGAGGCGGAGCTTGCAGTGAGCCGAGATCGCGCCACTGCACTCCAGCCTGGGCGACAGAACAAGACTCCGCCTCAAAAAAAAAAAAAAAAAAAAAAAAAAAGAACTAGGATCCACACAGAATGATAGTGGGGTAAACAGCACTGAAAAAGTTAAGTATTTCTATGGACTCACCATATTTGTTTTCCTCACACTCTTGCACGTGGTAGAAGGCATAGAGAATTTGTGACATTTGGGACTTTCTTGTTAATTATGCTCATCACCTACAGTAAAACATATATATTTCAAAGAGGGCTATGGTAAAATCTAATAGAAGATGGTTATCTACAGCTGATATAAAAGTACCTTTTGGAAAAAGATACTGCAATTGAAGTTCTGACTGACCTAGTTTACTCCTTTTACTCGTCTCCATTCTTATATTGACCAGATATCATGACAGGAAATGGAAAAAAGCAAGGTAAGGAAAAAAGTATATAAAAAACAGTATACGAAAAATATACCTCACAAAGAGTTACATGAAAAAACTGAGTATATTAGGTATGTTTTATATAAAAATGTTTTAAGTCATTAAACAGACCATGGACACCAATGAGTCAAAGTACATATAAGAGAGGCCAAACTAGTGATGTAAAAAAAAAATGGAAATACATGGAAAGTAAAGTTACCTTCATTTTGCATAGGAAAAATGAAGAACACAACCAGAAAAAATAAAAGCTGTATTAGAAACATCAATACTTATATCCTGATAGTCATCGATACAATTAAAAGAGTTGAAAAATCATGCAGATTTAGATAAAGATTGTTAAAATCAAAGCAATTTGAGGTGTCCTAAATACACACGTTAGTGATGGTGCTGAGAAAAATGTGTAAAAATATATTCACATTTATAATAGAAGAAAAATCAAAGATTTCAATTCGCGGATCAAAAGGTAATGCTTTGCAATAAAAATGTGATGATGGTTCATTTTTAGCTCTACAAAAAATACTATGAACAATTATACAGCAATAAATTAGACAACATAGAAACAATTAGAAAATTTTCTAGAAATAGGCAGATTACCCAAACTAACTACAAAAGAAAAAGAATATGAGCAGACCTATAACAAGTAAAGAGATTGAGTCAATAATCAAAAACTTCCAAATAAAGTAAAGCCCAGGAACAAATGGCTTCACAGGTAAATCCTACCAAACAACTAAAGAAGAGCGAATTGTTACCAAACTCTTCCAAAAATCTTAAAAACATGGAACACTGTGTAACTCAGTCTATGAGGCCAGGCATTTCCTGATAGAAAGGCCAAACTACAGTTCAAATTCCTTGTGAGTATTAATGCAAAGATCCTCAAGAAAATACTAGGACACTGAAGCAAGAAACTTATTAAAATTATTACATACCATAACCAAGTGGAATTTATGTCAGGAATACAAGTGTGTTTCAACATATGAAAATGAATTAATGTGATATACCAGATTAATAGAATGAAAAAAGATCAGTAAAAGCATTTGACAAAATTTAACATCCTTTCATGATAAATATATGGTAGAAACTCAGAATAGAAGGGAACTATCTCAACATGATAGAACATTCATAAAAGACACGTAGTTAACACAGTTAGTGGTGAAAGACTGAAAACATTTTCCCTTATATCAGGAACAAGACAATGATTCCCACTATAGCCACTTGTATTCAAAATTGTACTGGTAGTTCCAACTAGAGCAATTAAGGAGGAAAGAATCTAATGTGCAAAGGAAGGAATACAATTATCTCCATTTGTGGCTGCTGTGATCATATTTATATAGAAAATTCTAATGAATTAAAAAATAGAACTAATTTGTGAATTCAGAAAAGATGCAAGATATGAGATCAACACAAAATAGTAAGCTGTATTTCTATTCACTAGCAATCAACAATTCAAAAAAATTAAGAAAACTAATGTAAAATAGCACCGAAGAGAATAAAATAATTAGGAATAAATTTAACCAATGAGGTCCAAGACTTATGTACTGAAAACTACAAAACATTGCTGAAATAAATTTTAAAAGACCACAATAAATGGAAAGACATCCTGTGTCCATAGATTGAAACTCCTAATATTGTAAACATGACAAACACCCCCAAAGCAATGTATAGATTTAGTGCAATCCCTATGAAAAATCTAATGGCCTTTTTTTTTTTTCAGAAATAGAAAAGTAGGTCTTAAAATTCATGTGGAATTGCAAGGTATGCCAAATAGCCAAAGCAATCTTAATAAAGATAAACAATGTATGTGATTGCTTTGGAGGACACTTATTTCCTGATTTCAAAGTTTAGAACAAAATCAAAGTAATTAATATGGTTTTGCTGTGTCCCCACCCAAATATCATCTTGAATTGCAGTTCCCATAATTCCCACATGTCATGGGAGGGACCCGGTGGGAGGTAATTGAGTCATAGGGGCAGTTACCTCCATGCTGTTCTCATAATAATGAGTGAGTTCTCATTAGATCTGATGGTTCTATAATAAGCTTTTCACCCACCCTTCACTTTGCACTTCTTACTGCCACCATGTGAAAAAGGGCATGTTTTTTTCCTTTTCCGCCATGACTGTAAGTTTCTTGAGGCCACCCCAGCCTTGTGGAATGGTGAGTCACCTTTTTCTTTCATTAATTACCCAATCTTGGGTATTTCTTTGTAGCAGTGTGAGAATGAACTAATACTTTAAATTGGCATTTGGAGTGGGGTACTGCTATAAGGATACCCAAAAATGTGGAAGTGATTTTGGAACTGGGTAACAGGCAAAGTTTGGAACAGTTTGGAAGGCTCAGAAAAAGACAGGGAAATGTAGGAATGTTTGGAACTTCCTAGACACTTAGAGGGCTCAGAAGTCAGGAAGATGTGGGAAAGTTTGGAACTTCCAAGAGTCTTGTTGAATGGCTTTGACAAAAACACTGATAGTGATATGGACAATGATGTCCAGGATGAGGTGGTCTCAGATGGAGATGAGGAAATTTTTGGGAACTGGAGTAAACGTCACTCTTACTATGGTTTAGCAAAGAGACTGGTAGCGTTTTGCCCCACCCTAGAGATCCGTGGAACTTTGAACTTTAGAGAGATAATTTAGGGTATCTGGAGGAAGAAATTTCTTACCAGCAAAGCATTCAAGATGTGACAGAGCATAAAAGTTCAGAAAATTTGCAGCCTGATGATGCAATAGAAAAGAAAACCCATTTTGGGGGAAGAAACTCAACCTGCTCTGGAAATTTGCTTAAGTAATGATGAACCAAATATTAATCACCGAGGCAATGGGGAAAATGTCTCCAGGGCATGTCAGAGACCTTCACAGCAGCCTCTCTCATCATAGGCCCAGAGGCCTAGGATGAAAAAATGGTTTCATGGGCCGCGTCCATGACCCCTCTGCTGTGTGCAGCCTCGGGACTTGGTGCCCTGCATCCCAGCTGCTTCAGCTCCACCCACGAATAAAACTGGGCCAAGGTACAGCTCTGGCCATTGGTTCAGAAGTTGCAAGCCCCAAGCCTTGGTGGTTTATACATGGTGTTGGGACTGCAGGTGCACAGAAGTCAAGAATTGAGGTTGGGGAACCAGCACCTGAATTTCAGAGGATGTATGGAAATGCCTGAATGTACAGGCAGACATTTGCTGGAGGGGTGGAGCCCTCATGGACATCCTCTGCTAGGACTGTGCAGAAGGGAAACATGGGGTTGGAGCTGCCACACAGAGTCCCCACTAGAGGACTGCCTAGTAGAGGTGTGAGAAGAGGGCCACTATCCTCCAGACCCCAGAATGTTAGATCCACCAAGAGCTTGCACCATGCACCTGGAAAAGCCACAGAAACTCAATGCCAGCCCAC
Organism: Homo sapiens; assembly: GCF_000001405.40. Taxonomy (NCBI): domain Eukaryota; kingdom Metazoa; phylum Chordata; class Mammalia; order Primates; family Hominidae; genus Homo; species Homo sapiens. Next base: position 122,154,164 of record NC_000023.11, read on the forward strand.
AAAAGCAGCCAAGATGGAAGCTATACTCTGCAAAGCCACAGAGGTGGAGCTGTCCAAGGTCATGGGAGCCCACCTTTGCATCAGTGTAAACTTGATGTGAGACATGGAGTCAAAGGAGGTTATTTCAAAGCTGTAAGATTTAATGACTGCCTCGCTGGATTTCAGACTTGCATGGGGCCTGTAGCCTTTTTGTTTTAGCCACTTTCTCCCATTTAAAATGGGTGTATTTACCCACTGCCAGTACCCCCATTGTCTCTAGGAAGTAACTTACTTGATTTTTGATTTTACAGGCTCATAGGTGGAAGGGACCTGCCTTGTCTCACATGAGACTGGACTTGAACTCTTGAGTTAATGTTGGAATTTTGAGTTAATGCTGACTTTGGGGGACTGTTGAGAATGCATGATTGGGTTTTGAAATGTGAGGACCTGAAATTTTGGAGGGGCCATGGGCAAAATTATATGGTTTGGCTGTGTCCCAACTGAAATCTCATCTTGAACTGTAGTTCCCACAATCCCCAGATGCCATGAGAGGGACCAAGTGGGAGGCACTTGAATAATGGTGGTAGTTATCTCCATGATGTTCTCGTGATAGTGAATGAGTTCTCACAAGATCTGATGGTTTTATAAGGGGCTTTCCCCCCACTCTTTGCTCTGCACTGCTCCTTGCTGCTGCCTGGTGTAGAAGGACATGTTTGCTTCCCCTTCTGCCATGATTGTAAATTTCCAGAGGCCTCCCCAGCCCTGCAAGACTGTAAGTCATATAAATGTATTTTCTTTATAAATCACCCAGCCTTGGATATTTTTTCATAGCTGCATGAGAACAGACTAATACAGTAATCAAAACAATGAGGTACTGGCATGAAAATAAAAATATGTACCAATGGAACACACTGAAATTCAGAAAATACATCTAGCAATATATGATCAATTGATTTTTGCAAGAGTTCTAAAACATTCAATGCAGAAGAGAGAGCCTTTTCAACAATTGATGTTAAAAAAAGCTGGAAATCCACATGCAAAATAATAAAGTTGGACCCTTATCTCACATCATATACAAAAATTAAATCATAATGGATTGAAGACCTAAATTTAAGAGTTAAAACTATTAAACCCTTCACGGGGGCAAATTTTCCTGACCTTTTATTTGGCGAAGAGTTTTCAGATGGGGCACCAAAAGTTCAAGAATAAAACAAGAAATAGATAATTACACTTCACTGACAATTAAAACTTATGTGCATCAAAGAAAGCACTTTTAAGAAAGTAAAAAGTCAACTTTCAACATGGGAAAAAAATATTTGCAAATCAATATTTGGATAAGAATCTAGTTTCAGAATGTACAAGGGACTCTTAAAGCAACAACAAAATGTCAAACAAACTAATTTTTAAAATTAGCAAAAGACATTCTCCAAAGATATACAAATGTTCAATAAGCATATATAATAATGTTCAACATCATTAGTCATTAGGGAAATGCAAATAAAACCACAGTGAAGTGCTATTTCGTACCTTTTCATCTGCCCAAATTGAAAAAAAAAAGAGAGAGAGAAACAGATACCAGGTATTGCTGAATATGTGAAATAGAAACCCTCATGTATTTCAGCCCTGGTGAAACTATATAAAATGGTGTGGTAGGCCAGGCATGGTGGCTCATGCCTGTAATCCCAGCACTTTGGGAAGCTGAAGTGGGCAGATCACTTGAGGTCAGGAGTTGGAGACCAGCCTGGCCAACATGATGAAACCCCTTCTCTACTAAAAATACAAAAAAAAAAAAAAAAAAAAAATCAGCCGGGCGTGGTGGCAAGTGCCTGTAGTCCCAGCTACTGGGGAGGCCGAGGCATGAGAATCGCTTGAACCCAGGAGATGGAGGTGCAGCGAGCCAAGATCGCACTCAGCTGAGACTGCACTCCCGCCTGGGTGACAGAAGGAGACTGTGTCAAAAAGAAAATAGAAAAATGACGCAGTAGATGAGAAAAACAGTTTGATGGTTCTTCAAATAGTTAAACATAGAATTACCAAAAATACCTATCACCTACACTCCTAGATATATATGCCAAATGTTTGAAAGCAAGTATTCAAATGAAGACATGTATATGCATGGCCATAACACTATTTACAATAAATACAAGGTTGAAACAACTCAAATGTCCTTTAACTGGCAAAAAGAAAAATAAAATGTGGTACATTTATACAATGGATTATTATTTGGCCATACAAAATGAATGGGGTACAGGTACATGCTATAACATTGATGAACCTAAAAAATTATGCTAAGTGAAAAAAGATTGATGCAAAGGTGCATAAGTTGTATAATTCCATATATATGTAATATACATTTTTTGCAAATATATAGAGGTGGGAAACAGACTAGTGCTTTCCAGTAGCTGGTGGAAGGACTAAATTCAGAATAACTGCTTACTGGATAAAGATTTTTCTTTGGGTGTGATGACAATATCTTGAAACTAGACAGAGTTTTATAACATTTTGAGTACACTAATTGCCACAGAATGTTATTCTTTATAATGGTTAATTTTATGTTATATGAATTTTGATTCAATAAAAAAGCATGGTTCATGAAAGAAAAAGTTAGTAAGTTTAACTTTATCAAAATTAAAACTTTTGCATTCCTAAAACTGTTAAGTGGATGAAAAGTTCAGCCACAGACTGGTAAAAAAAATTGTCCAATTCCTATCTAATAAAGGACTTATATCCAAAATATACACAAAAAAAAACACACTTGAACACTTGAAACTCAATAATAGGAAAGCAAAAACCCATTTAGAAAGTGGCCAAAAGATTTGACAATAACAAATGCTGGTGATGACACATTACCATAAGAAATGTCATTCATTGTTATGTGAATATAAAATGGTAAAGTGCTTCCATTTTGGAACCATTTGGCAGTTTCTTTCAATACTAATCATAATCTTACCAAATGACCCAGTAATCCTGCCCCTAGATATTTACCTAACTGATTTGAAAACTTATACACACAAAAAAACTTATGTATATTTATCTATTTTATTTATAACCACACAGAACCAGAAGAAACCAAGATGACCTTTAATAAGTGAATACAGAAACAACCTGTAGTACCTTAATACAATGGAATATTATTGAACATTAAAAAGAAACAAAGTATCATGTCATGAAAACACATGGATAAACCTTAAATGCATATTACCAAGTAAAAAAAAAACATTTCAAAAAGCCCACATACTGTATAATTTCAATTAAATGACATTCGGAAAAAAGCGAAACTGTGGGGACAGTACAAAGATCAGTGATTGTCAAGGGATTGGATGCATGGGAGACAGGAATTAACAGGTGAAGCACATGGGATTTTTTTATGGTGGTGAAACTTTTCTGTATGATACTATAATGGTGCATACATGACATATGCTCATGTCAAAACCTGTAAAACTTCACAGTGTAAAGAGTGAACCTTAATGTACTCAAAATTTAAAACGTATTTAGGATGTTGGGAAATCACAGCATGAAATACAGACTGCAGTAAAAAATCTAACTTATTATAAGTGTTTGAAACAACATCACTGAATGGTTTGGGGAAGAGAGGTGCTGCCCTAAGTAAGGTATGAAATGAGTGATTTCTAAAAGAAAATTCAAAGGAGCTTCACCACACTCTACTTGATAGAGTTCTTTCCCATGAAGTTACAAGTTAATAATTCTAATGCTACTTTACAATTTACTATGTTTGAGTAATTTAGTAAAAGTACAGCAGATAATGTGAACCAATATTTTCAATGTTGGAGGGGAAGTTGACAGACCAGTAAGGATAGGAGGCTAGAATGATATACGTGTAATGAATCAGAGTTGACGATATCAGTATGGACTTATGTTACACTTAGTACACATACAGATGGTTAAGCATATAAACACTTATAGATACATGTAGATACATGTGTTAATGCATGCATATTTCCTTCCTCTGTCATCTGAAGGGACCTAAAAAATGGCACCAAAATAAGAATGAGCATACCTAGTGCCCCGGTGTTCATTTCTTATACCATTCTTTAATAAGATGAGCCAGGAATTTTGGAGAAATAGCCAATTCTATGATTGTTAAAAGCAATATATAAAATGAGGCTGGAACATACTGTAGCATTATAAACTAAGGAGGTCCTCAAAAAGAAAAATCTTCATTTCGATGGGACTATGCTGAAGGAACACAAGAACCAACGTAAAGACCTCCAATGCTCAAAGACAGAAATCAGCATGAGCAACAAAATAATTAGTAATGGATATAACCTAAGGTATAAAATTTGTATCCATGAGCCATACTTTTACAAATAAATAGTGAGTTATAAAATGAGAGAGAACAGATGCTTCTCTCATACAGAATTCCAAATAATTTATGTAGATAATCCAACCTCAAGGTGGTGAAACATAACTTTCTACCCCTTATGGTACCTAGTGACTTCCTTTCAAAGAGTACAGTATGGAAAGGGGAAAAACACAGTGACTGTACAGTGGAGAAATCTGAAAAACTACTTCAGCCAGGTTGGTTATGAAGGTCAACTTCAACAGTGGCAACTCATGTTAATAGTATGTACCCTTGATATTATAGAATGAAAATAGCACTTTACCTCTATGACCTTTCTTCCAAAAAATAAAATAACCACAGTTCAATCATGAAAAAACTTCACACAAATTTCTATTGAGGGACATGCTATAAAATACGTGATCAGTACTCCAGAAAATTGCCATGTTATCTAAAACAAAGAAATTCTGAGAAATTGTCACAGCCAAGATAAGTCTGAGGAGAACCAATGACTAAAAGTCATGTGGTAACCTGAATGAGATCTTGAAACAGAAAAATGGACAACCAGAATTTTTCAAATTACCTAGAAAGTAAACTTCAGGCTGGCTTCAGAGTTTTATTGAAACATCCGGTGTCAAAATATAACAACAGTTGAATGGAAAGAATAAGACAGACAATATGTGTGATCCCAGAATCTTATACCTAAGTTACAAATTAAATATTTAAAATATTTAAAGAATATATTGTCTAAATGAAAAGTAACACAAAATTTACAATACCCACAGAACATTTTCAAATATTTTCTTGAACTAGTCACTGGGTCAAATTAAATAACTCAGAACTTGGAAATGTGGACATGGGGGTATAAAAGAACCTGAATGGATGACTAATAAAACAATTACAGAATTGAGGACAAGCAATTGTGATTAAAGAATGGAACATAAAATGAAAATAATTGGCAATTTAAATATATGATGCAACTAACAATAATTACAAGATGGACGAAGAAAGATACCAGGACTTTGAAATTTGCAATTTTCTCCATCGTTTATATCTAGATGTTAGCTTTATGAGGGCAAATATTTTGTCTGTTTTGTTCAAAGATACCTGAAACGGCAGCTGAAATACTGTCTAGTACATCGTGGGTACTTAATAAATGTTTATTTAATGAACAACAGAATCAATAAATGCCATCTAACGCTGCCAAATCAATAAAAACAGGTTGATGGGAATCTGCACTCTGTACCCCCACCATGGATACTCTAGCTACTACCATAATAAGCTAGTTCAATCTCAGGGCCCTGGCGCCAAAGTCACTCTCCACACGGCAATGCTCTAGTCACCAGCTCAGCCACAATACAGCTTCAGACCTTAGAGTCAATGTTGCTCTGTGCATGCCCGTACTCCTCTCTCCGAATCCCCAGCTGCTTCACAAGCATTTACAACTCTTACATCATTACCAATGTGGCAACAGGAGTGCCTGTGCCCTCGGCATCAGTGCTACGACTACCCTCCACCCTAGAGTGATAGTCCTTCTATGCATGCTCATGTTTTAGGTCTCAGCTCTGTTACTGATCCTTGGATGGCACTCATTATACAGAAATCCCACTATCATGATGTGGAGGCCTGCAAGGCAGACCCAGTGCCAAGAGGGATATCCTCAGTTATAACTTCCCTGGTAGCAGAAAAGGAAATCAGAAGAACCCTAGTAGCTATTGTCACTGAAGACACAACAGCGCTAACAACCACCATACAACAGTACTGGCCACTAAGGATCCCTGGAATTGTCACTAACACTGACCTCAGCTAACAGAGCTGCATGGAGCCTATGTTGCTCCATCCTCATTAAAGTCAGAACTGCTGCACTCTACCCAACCAGTGCCCTCATACCCACCCATAGGGGAATATCTTTCTACATGAAAAGTAGCCCATATAGTCTCAAAGAGGTAACTGCTACATCAAAAGTGTAGATATGAATTTAAAGCAACAAAGAAATGAACAAACAAGGAAACATACCACAACCAAAATAATGCAATGATTTCCCTGTAACTGAACCCAGAGAAATGAAGGCTTGTGAATTGCCTGACAAACAATTGAAACTATTTCTTTTAAAGACACTGGCAAAATATTTTTTTTAATTTTATTATTATTATACTTTAAGTTTTAGGGTACATGTGCACAATGTGCAGGTTAGTTACATATGTATACATGTGCCATGCTGGTGTGCTGCACCCATTAACTCGTCATTTAGCATTAGCTATATCTCCTAATGCTATCCCTCCCCCTTCCCCCACCCCACAACAGTCCCCAGAGTGTGATGTTCCCCTTCCTGTGTTCATGTGTTCTCATTGTTAAATTCCCACCTATGAGTGAGAATATGCGGTGTTTGATTTTTTGTTCTTGTGATAGTTTACTGAGAATGATGATTTCCAATTTCATCCATGTCCCTACAAAGGACATGAACTCACCATTTTTATGGCTGCACAGTATTCCATGGTGTATATGTGCCACATTTTCTTAATCCAGTCTATCATTGTTGGACATTTGGGTTGGTTCCAAGTCTTTGCTATTGTGAATAGTGCCACAATAAACATATGTGTGCATGTGTCTTTATAGCAGCATGATTTATCGTCCTTTGGTTATATACCCAGTAATGGGATGGCTGGGTCAAATGGTATTTTTAGTTCTAGATCCCTGAGGAATCGCCACATTGACTTCCACAATGGTGGAACTAGTTTACAGTCCCACCAACAGTGTAAAAGTGTTCCTATTTCTCCACATCCTCTCCAGCACTTGTTGTTTCCTGACTTTTTAATGATTGCCATTCTAAGTGGTGTGAGATGGTATCTCATTGTGGTTTTGATTTGCATTTCTCTGATGGCCAGTGATGGTGAGAATTTTTTCATTTGTTTTTTGGCTGCATACAGGTTTTCTTCTGAGAAGTGTCTGTTCATGTCCTTCGCCCACTTTTTGATGGGGTTGTTTGTTTTTTTCTTGTAAATGCGTTTGAGTTCATTGTAGATTCTGGATATGAGCCCTTTGCCAGATGAGTAGGTTGCAAAAATTTTCTCCCATTTTGTAGCTTGCCTGTTCACTCTGATGGTAGTTTCTTTTGCTGTGCAGAAGCTCTTTAGTTTAATTAGATCCCATTTGTCAATTTTGGCTTTTGTTGCCATTGCTTTTGCTGTTTTAGACATGAAGTCCTTGTCCATGCCTATGTCCTGAATGGTAATGCCTAGGTTTTCTTCTAGGGTTTTTATGGTTTTAGGTCTAACGTTTAAGTCTTTGACACAAAAAACCCTTCAAAAAATTAATGAATCCAGGAGCTGGTTTTTTGAAAGGATCAGCAAAATTGATAGACTGCTAGCAAGATGAATGAAAAAGAGAGAAGAATCAAATAGATGCAATAAAAAATGATAAAGGGGATATCACCACCGATTCCACAGAAATACAAACTACCATCAGAGAATACTACAAACACCTCTATGCAAATAAACTAGAAAATCTAGAAGAAATGGATAAATTCCTCAACACATACACCCTTCCAAGACTAAACCAGGAAGAAGTTGAATCTCTGAATAGACCAACAACAGGCTCTGAAATTGTGGCAATAATCAATAGCTTACCCACCAAAAAAAGTCCAGGACTAGATGGATTCACAGCCAAATTCTACCAGAGGTACAAGGAGGAACTGGTACCATTCCTTCTGAAACTATTCCAATCAGTAGAAAAAGAGGGAATCCTCCCTAACTCATTTTATGAGGCCAGCATCATCCTGATACCAAAGCCTGGCAGAGACACAACCAAAAAAGAGAATTTTAGACCAATATCTTTGATGAACATTGATACAAAAATCCTCGATAAAATACTGGCAAACTGAATCCAGCAGCACATCAAAAAGCCTATTCACCATGATCAAGTGGGCTTCATCCCTGGGATGCAAGGCTGGTTCAATATATGCAAATCAATAAATGTAATCCAGCATATAAACAGAACCAAAGACAAAAACCACATGATTATCTCAATAGATGCAGAAAAGGCCTTTGACAAAATTCAACAACCCTTCATGCTAAAAACTCTCAATAAATTAGGTATTGATGGGATGTATCTCAAAATAATAAGAGCTACCTATGACAAACCCACAGCCAATATCATACTGAATGGGCAAAAACTGGAAGCATTCCCTTTGAAAACTGGCACAAGACAGGGATGCCCTCTCTCACCACTCCTACTCAACGTAGTGTTGGAAGTTCTGGCCAGGGCAATTAGGCAGGAGAAGGAAATAAAGGTATTCAATTAGGAAAAGAGGAAGTCAAATTGTCCCTGTTTGCAGATGACATGATTGTATATCTACAAAACCCCATCGTCTCAGCCCAAAATCTCCTTAAGCTGATAAGCAACTTCAGCAAAGTCTCAGGATACAAAATCAATGTACAAAAATCGCAAGTATTCTTATACACCAATAACAGACAAACAGAGAGCCAAATCATGAGTGAACTCCCATTCACAATTGCTTCAAAGAGAATAAAATACCTAGGAATCCAACTTACAAGGGACGTGAGGGACTTCTTCAAGGAGAACTACAAACCACTGCTCAACGAAATAAAAGAGGATACAAACAAATGGAAGAACATTCCATGCTCATGGGTAGGAAGAATCAATATCATGAAAATGGCCATACTGCCCAAGGTAATTTATAGATTCAATGCCATCCCCATCAAGCTACCAATGACTTTCTTCACAGAATTGGAAAAAACTACTTTAAAGTTCATATGGAACCAAAAAAGAGCCCGCATTGCCAAGTCAATCCTAAGCCAAAAGAACAAAGCTGGAGGCATCACACTACCTGACTTCAAACTATACTACAAGGCTACAGTAACCAAAACAGCATGGTACTGGTAGCAAAACAGAGATATAGATCAATGGAACGGAACAGAGCCCTCAGAAATAACGCCGCATATCTACAACTATCTGATCTTTGACAAACCTGAGAAAAACAAGCAATGGGGAAAGGATTCCCTATTTAATAAATGGTACTGGGAAAACTGGCTAGCCATATGTAGAAAGCTGAAACTGGATCCCTTCCTTACACCTTATACAAAAATTAATTCAAGATGGATTAAGGACACTGGCAAAATTTCAAAAATATATGGAAATAGTTTAACAAAATCAGGAAAACAATAAGATAAAACAACTTTTATAACAGAGAGGTGAAAATATTTTTTTAAAATAATCAGAAATTCTGGTGCTGAAGAATACAATAAATGAAATAAAATCACAATGGAGAGTATCAGCAGCAAAATTGATCAAGCAGGAAAATAAATCTGTAAACTTGAAAACAGGTTATTTGAAAATATATAGCAGAGGAAAAAATAAAACTAAATTAAAAAGAATCAAGAAAGCCTAGAATACTTAAGTGACAGCATAAAAATAACAAAAGAACTATTTGTTATATTACATGAGATAAGGTGAAAGAGAGAACAGGAAAGAAATCTTATTTTTAAAAACAATAGCTTAAAAATTGTCAAATCAAGGCAAAGATCTAAATATCCAACTACAGGGAGGTCAAAGGTTTCCAGTCAGATTAAATCCAAACTAGACTATAGAAAGACATATTATAATGAAATCTTCAACAATAAAAGATAAAACATCCTGAAAGCAGCAATAGAATGAAACAAGTCACGTATAAAGGAATTTCAATAAGACAAATAGACCAATTAAAGAGAATAAATAGATCCCAGAAATAAATCCACACATGTATGCTAAATTTTATTTTTTGAAAAAGATGCCAAGAATGCACTGTGGGGAAGTGATTGTGTCTTCAGTAAATGATATTGGGAACACTGGATATCCAAATGTAAAATAAAATTAGACCTGCATCTCACACCACATACAAAAATAAACTCAAAGGGTATTAGAGACTTGTATTAGTCTGTTTTTGCATTGCTATAGAGAAATACCTGAGACTTGGTAATTTACATAGTAAAGAGTTTAATTGGCTCACAGTTCTGCAGCCTGCATGGAAAGCATGATGCTGGGATCTGCTCAGCTTCTGGAGAGGTCTCAGTAAACTTACAATCATGGCAGAAGGCAAACGGGAGCAGGCAAATAACATGGCCAGAGCAGGAGCAATAGAGTAAGGGAGGAGGTGCTAGACACTTTTAAATAATCAGACATCATGAGAACTAATTCACTATCATGAGGAAAGTACCAGGAGGTATAGTGCTAAACCATTCATGAAAAATCTGCTCCCATGATCCAATTACCTCCCACCAGGCCCCACCTCCAGCATTGATGATTGCATTTCAATATGAGATTTGGGCAGGGATACACATCCGAACTGTATCAAGACTTAAATGTAAATTGTAAAACAAAAAACTACTGGAACAAAATATAGGGAAAAAGCTCCATGACATTGGCCTTGGGAATTACTTTTTGGATATAATGCCAAAAACACAGGCAACGAAAGCAAAACTAGATATGTGGAATTGCATCAAACTAAAAAGATTTGCACAGCAAAGGAAGCAATAAACAGAGTGAAGAGACAATCTATGTTATAAGAGAAACTATTTGCAAATCATATATCTAATAAGGGGTTAATATCCAAAATATATTAGAAACTAAAACAACTCAATAGAAAGAAAATAAATAACTTTAATTAAAATAAGCAAATGACCTTAACAGACATTTCTATAAAGAACACATACAAATGGCTAGCCAACAAGTATGTAAAGAAACACTCAACATCACTAATCATCAAGTAAATGTAAATTTAAGGAACAATAAGATATCACCTCACATGAGTTAGAATGACTATTAACAAAAAGACAATAAATAAATGTTGGCAAAGATATGGAGAAAAGGGAATACTTGCATATTGTTGGCAGGAATATACATTAGTACTACCATTATGGAAAACAGTATGGAAGTTTCTCAAAAAAGTATATAGAACTACCATGTTACCCAGTGATATGGTTTGGCTCTGCGTCCTCACGCAAATCTCATCTTGAATTGTAATGTGAATTGTAATCCCCATGTGTTGAGGGAGGGATTTAGTGGGCGGTGAGTGGATCATGGCAGCAGTTTCCTCCATGCTGTTCTCATGTTTCAATATCATGAAAACAGCCGCGTGGGGGTAACCACCCCCATGATTCAATTACCTCCCATTGGGTCCCTATCACAACATATAGGTTTTATGGAAACTACAATTAAAGATGAGATTTGGGTGGGAACATGACTAAACCATATCACCAAGCTAATACAGCGTCACTAGCTGATGTCAGCATGTGCCCAGAATTAGAATATTGATCCAGATTTTTACATTGCCCATTTCATTTCTTTCTTTTAATCTTCAGTCAGAGATCACAGATTAGTTCACAGGAATAAGCAGAGTCAGTCTAAATTTCAGGAAAAACCCCCTCAAAAACAACTAATGAGACTAGAATCTAATAACAGGTGTACCATAGTTCTTGAAACATAATTTTTTCTCTCTCCATTCTTCCATTTTTACTAAAGACATATCATACTAAGACCAATTTGCTTTATTATACTTGGCCTGATTATTTGTATAAAATGTAGCAAGAATAATTATTTTTCACATGGGCTTTTTAATTGGCTTTGATGGAACTCTGTTTCATAGAAGGAATCTCAGATAAGACTTTTTTAAAGTTGAGCCTAGCTATGGGTTTGTATTCTCAAATAACTTATGAGTTAGGTGAAGATATTCCCCATATGATGAATCCTTAAAAAATTGAAATCCTATAAACAGATAGTATCAGTTGTTATCAGAAAATGAGGATGGAAGAGGTAAGGGGAAAATGGGGAGAAGTTGCTTAGTGATTACAATGTTACAAATGGATAGAAAAAATAAATTCTGATGCTCTATTGCACAATAGGGTAACTATGGTTAACAGTGAAATATTGCACATTACAAAATATCTAGAATTGAGGCTTTTGAATGTTCTTATCACAAACAAATGATAAATGCATGATGTGATGTATAGACTCACTACCCTGGTTGGATTGTTATAAAACATATGTGTATACTGAAATATCAAATTGTATCCAATATATGTATAATTCCAATGTGCCAATGAATCAATCACTGCATAAGAAATAACTGTCATTTGATCCAGTAATACCACCTCCTGGTATATATCCAAAAAAATAAAATCAGCATGTCAAACAGTTATCAGCACTCCCATGCTCATTACAGCATTATCCACAATACTCAAGACATAAAAACAACTAAAGTTGTCCATGAATGGTGAATGAATAAAGAAAGTATCACACACACACTGGAATATTATTCAACCCTAAAATCAAAGGAAACACTGTCATTTGCAGTAACATTAATGAATCTGGAGAATACTATGTTAAGTGTCACAGTCCAGGTGCAGAAAAACAAACACACATGGTTTTACTTATATGTGGAATCTAAAATACACAAACTCAAAGAGACAGAGTAGAAGGGTGGTTACCAGTGGCTTGGGGTAAGGAGATTGGGGAGATGTTACTCATAGGTATAAGATTTCAGTCAGACAGAGGAAATAAGTTGAAGATATGTATTGCACACCATGGTGACTTTAATTAGTAACAAATATTGTATGCCTGAAAATTGCCAAGAGAGTACATTTTTAAGTATTTTCATCAAAAAATATTTGTAAGTATGTAAGACAGTGCATACATTAATTAACTTGATTTAGCCATTCCACGATGTATACATATATCAAAATATCATATTGTAGACCATAGATATACATACAACTTTTATGTTTCAATTAACAAAATAATTTTTAATGCACAAAATAAAAAAATTTAAAATTTTGGTTTATGCATCTTGCTTAAATTTTCAAGGCTATAATCTTTTTAATTATCAGAGGAATGAATATCACATACACAAACACGTATAAACAAACATAAAGAAGAAGTACAAACATAAAGTACAAACATAAAGAAGAAACATAAAGTACAAACATAAAGAAGAAAAACATGCGTTATTCCTAGCAAAATGTAATTGTAATGGCTCTTTTCAGCAAGGTAGAGAATATACTTTAAAATAACGCTTAGACATACGTTTTTATGCAGCAAAATAATTAAGCAGTAAAATACATAAAGAAAATCTGAAACAGAAAGAAACACTGACTAGCCCCTTAATGCATGCAGCCAAAATGAGTAAACATATGAATTCTTGTAAAACTTTAAGAAATACAAATCTGAATACTGTATGAACTTTTCCAAGATCAATAAAGTAGAAAACTTCAAATTGTTACTTACAACCATAACACTGACAACAAACCATTACAAAACAATACCCCCAAAACCCCTAAGAACTAATATCTCTAATAAATTTTGATGAAAATATCTTAAATATAACATTAGCAAATGAAATCAAGCATTTAATTAATCGTATATTAAACCATAACTAAGTGGAACATTTATAAAAAATGTAAGGATGATTCCATAAAGGGAAATCATTATTATAATTTACTATATCAAGAAACCAAAGGAGGAAAATATAGTTATCTCAATAAATTACAATGTGATATTTATTATAATTCATTATCCATTGCTGATTTTAAGACAAACCTTATAGAAATACATACCATCAATGGTGATATATTAGAAGCTTTCCCATTAAAATAAAACAGGAGAAATATATTTCTTAGCACTGTATCATTTTGAAAAGTTTCAGAATTACTAGCCAGTGTAATTGGACTAAATTAAAGTGTATTAGAAAATGAACAGTGATAACAAAATTATCATTACTTACAAATGACTAGATTGTGTATTTTGCAAATGGAGGAGAATCAACTAAAAAACTCTTAGAAACAAGATTTTAGCAACATGATTCGTTATAAACTTAATACAAAACACTGCTGAAATAAATCATAGATGACACAAACACATGGAAACTCATCTCATGCTCATGGATGGGAAGAATGAATATTGTGAAAACAACCATACTGCCTAAAGCAGTTTGCATATTCAATGCAATTCCCATCAAGCATGCCATCATCATCCTTCACAGAACTAGAAAAATCCATTGCAAAATTCATATGGAACCAAAAAAAACCCCACATAGCCGAAGCAATGCTAAGCAAAAAGATGAATCTGCAGGCATCACATTACCTGACTTCAAATTATGCTACAAGGCTGTAGTTACCAAAACAGCATGGTACTGGTATAAAAATAGGCATACAGACCAATGGAACAAAATACAGAATGTGGAAATAAAGCCAAATACTTACAGCCAACTGATCTTTGACAAACCATATGAAAACATAAATTGGGGAAAGGACACCCTATTCAATAAATAGTGCTGGGAAAATAGGCAAGCTACATGTAGAAGAATGAAAGTGGATCCCCATCTCACCTTATACAAAAATCAACTCAAGATGGATCAAAGACTTAAATTTAAGACCTGAAACCATAAAAATTCTAGAAGATAACATTGGAAAAACCCTTCTAGACATTGGCTTAGGCAACTACTTCATGACCAAGAACCCAAAGCAAATGCAACAAAAACAAAGATAAATAGATTGGAATTAATTAAACTAAAAAGCTTATGTGCAACAAAAGAAATAATAGGCAGAGTAAACAGACAACCCACAGAATAAAAGAAAATCTTCTCAAACTAAGCAACCAACAAAGTACTAATATCCAGAATCTACAAGGAACTCAAACAAATCAGCAAGAAAAAAAAATTAACGATCCCATTAAAAAGTGGGCTAAGGATATGAATAGACAATTCTGAAAAGAAGATATGCAAACAGCCAACAAACATATGAAAAAAATTCTCAAAATCACTAATCATCAGGGAAATGCAGATTAAAACCACAATGACATACCACCTTACTCTTGCAAGAATGGTCATGATGAAAAAATTAAAAAAAATAGACGTTGGTATGGATGTGGTGAAAATGGAACACATAAAGACTGCTAGTGTGAATATAAATTAGTACAACCACTATATAAAACAATATGGAGATTCCTTAAAGAACTAAAAGTAGAACTACAATTCGATCATCCCACTACTGGGTATGTACCTAAAGACAAAGAAGTCATTATATAAAAAGACACGTGAACATGAATATGTTTATAGCAGCACAATTTGCAATTGCAAAGATATGGAACCAACCTAAGTGCCCGCCAACCAACAAGTGAATTCAGAAAATGTGGTATATATACACCATGGCATACTCCTCAGCCATAAAAAAAAAACAAAATAATGTCTTTTGCAGCAACTTGGATGAAAAATAGAATATATTCTATTTCAGTCATGACTCAATGAGTTTAAAGTTAACTGGAACAAATATGTGAAAATATCCAGGATTTTTAAAAAAGGGGTAATGACACAAGACTACTAGTATTATATATCATTTTGGTAATACTCCAAGAATAGATCAAACAATGGAGCAGAATAGAGAAACCAGAAAATATTTTTGAGATTCAGTATTCTAAATAAGTAGTAAAAAGATGGATTACTTAATCAATTTTATAGGGATAATTTGGTTGCTATTTGGAAAAAAGTTAATAAACCTAGATTTTCATCTCAAACTTTACACAGAGATAAATTTCAGTTTAACAAAAAATATTTTTAAAATAAAATAGGATTCTGCATAATTCTTAAAAATGTTCTTTAAAAATCTTTGATGGGGAATGACTTTTCAAAACAAGATATGCAAACCATAAATCTATAGAAGAAAATATTTATAGTTTTTTATACAACACAACTTTAAAAATGCTATAAATTCAGAAGAGATAAGTTAAACTAAATACAAACATTTGCAGTATATTGACAGATAAGAGATTAATTTCTTTAATATAGAAAGAGGTTATACAAATGAATGTGAAAAATATCAAGTAGCCAATAGAAAAATGGGCAAAGTGTATGAATAAAAAGTATACAATAGAATAAAGAAAAGTAGCCCATAAGTGCATTGAGAGATGTTTTCTCTTACAATTCAAAAAATTCACATTACAATTGGCAAATATTTATTTATTATTATACTTTAAGTTTTAGGGTACATGTGCACAATGTGCAGGTTACATATGTATACATGTGCCATGCTGGTATGCTGCACCCATTAACTCGTCATTTAGCATTAGGTATATCTGCTAATGCTATCCCTCCCCCCTCCCCCTACCCCACAACAGTCCCCAGAGTGTGATGTTCCCCTTCCTGTGTCCATGTGCTCTCATTGTTCAATTCCCATCTATGAGTGAGAACATGCAGTGTTTGGTTTTTTGTCCCTGCGACAGTTTACTGAGAATGATGATTTCCAATTTCATCCATGTCCCTACAAAGGACAGGAACTCATCATTTTTTATGGCTGCATAGTATTCCATGGTGTATATGTGCCACATTTTCTTAATCCAGTCTATCATTGTTGGACATTTGGGTTGGTTCCAAGTCTTTGCTATTGTGAATAGAGCCGCGATAAACATATGTGTGCATGTGTCTTTATAGCAGCATGATTTATAGTCCTTTGGGTATATACCCAGTAATGGGATGGCTGGGTCAAATGGTATTTCTAGTTCTAGATCCCTGAGGAATCAACAATTGGCAAGTATTTAAAGTCAGTCACTCAGAGTTTAAAAATAAACCCAATAACAATCACTTATCAATCCTCCATGATATCTGCTTTAATTGAAAAATAAAAGAGTAAAGCAGAATTAAACTGAGTTATTTAACAGTGCTGGTCTAACACAGGATTGATTGTCCTCTGACCCCATTAGCAGATCATGTGTTCTTTGTGTGCAGCCTTACCTCAAAAGAAAAAGAAGAATTAAGCCAGGAATGGCCAGTTAATTCTTCTCAAGTTTACGAAACACATAAGTCATTCCAAGTCCATGAGGAGGTGGAGAAAACGCACACCTTGGTATTAATTAATTCCCCTCCACATGGATGAAATTATCAGATCTAGAAAAAGCATTTTTCTTCACTCATCTCCTGACTTTTATCATTTTAACCCTCTAATCTAAGCCATTACAACTATCATCAATCAGTGGTTTGGTTTGTCTATTTATACCACTCAGTGGAAGAGATCAGCTGTCTTCCCGGACAGTACTGCTCCCAAATTTATGAGGCTGATTCTCCTTAAACCAACCACTGATTCTTCTGATACCTTTCTGGGACTACAGTTGTCTGGTATAGATTTTGCCTACAGAAATTTCTGAAATAAATCAGAAGTCAGGTAAACTTTTATTCTTATTTTATCCCCAGCTGATGTTATGTCCAGTCACTTTGTTCAATATATCCTTTCAGAGGTTCTACAATGAGAATAAAAGACATCATTAAAATACCCCAACAATAAAACGCCAATAATAAGATAACACGGATTTGAAAATACAGCCTCATTATTTCTTGGGAAGAAATAAAACTCTCAAAATTAATTCTCTTAGAAAATTAGTGTCCAAACATATTGAAGTTCAAAGGATTTAAGGCCCTAAGTCAAATTATTTTACCCTTGCCAGTTAAGTTTAAGTAAATTAAAATTTTATCCAATTTATTATCCCTAAATCTTAGACAGATTGCTGATCAATACCTGAATAGAATTAGCATTCTTCTGACAACTTCAGCCTGGTTTCTCAGTGGTATACATATAATTTTTCAGTTTTCTTGGTTCCTTAATTGCCAAGTCTTTCATAAGGCTTGATTTTCAAATAATTCAAAGAATTCACAGAACACACAATTATCATAATGCCAGCAACAAACATACCAAATTTAATTTTTTAGAAGGCAACCCTATAGCAGTTATGCCAGGCAAAATCATGTTCCCACAATATAGTACTTTATGTCAAACAATGTAACAATGTTTGAAACATCATAGCATTTTATTCCTTACCGAGATTCTACCATTAACATTTTATTATGATTCACTTACAACATATCTATCTATCCATTTATTTATTCTTCAATCCATTCATCAGTTCATTTTTGGAAAATTCCAAAACAAATTTTAGACTAAGGTACAGTTTTTCTTTCATACATGAGTATGCATGCCATTAATAATAATTCAATGTTTAGTTTTAATGTTTTCTAACCAATGCTTCTTACTTTTAGTGCAGAGGTCTTGCTAAATTCACTTATTAGTTCTAATAGTTGTTTTGTATAATCTTTAGGTTTTTCTACATAAAAATTATGCCACTGCAAAATAAAGATAGATTTTTTTCTATGCCTTTACATATTTCGTTGTCTTATTGCAATGGCTGGAACAGCTAGTACCAGACTGAATAGAAGTGATAAGAATATGTAGCCTTGCCTTGCTCTATATCATAAGGAAAATCATTCAAAGTTTCACCACTAAGAATAATTATAGCTATGTGGGGTTTTTTTGTAGATACACAATTTCCAGTTTTATCAGGAATGGATATTGAATATTGTCTACATTTTCTTCTGCTAATATTATATGGTTTATCTTTTACTCTGATTATATGGTGGAATGCACTAATCAATGTTTGGCTGTTAAACCAGTTGCTATGGTCTGAATGTGTTCCCTAAAATTCATGTGTTGAAACCTAATGACTAATGTGATAGTGTTAAAAGGTGAGGCCTTTAGGAGGTGATTAAACCATGAGAGCGGCGCACTAATGAACAGAATTTGGGCTTTCAAAAAAGGGCTTGAATGAGTGGGTTTGTTTTCTGTTTTTTCACCATATGAGGACACTGTGTGAAGGCGTCATCCTGGAAGTAGAGACTGGGCCCTCATTATATGCTGAACTTGCCAATTCTTAATGTTGGACTTCCCAGTTTCCACAATTTCAAGTGATACTTTTATGTTCCCTGTAAGTTACCTAGTGTCCGATATTTTATTATAGCAGCAGGAATGAACAACGACATTAGTCTTTCACTTTTGAAACAAATTCTACTAATAACATATTAGGCCATATTATCCTTTTTATATAATGCTTATAAGGATTTCCTAATATTTCAAGGGAATTTTTAACATATATGTTTATAAGAAATATTGGTCTATATTTATATATATATATGTAACTCTCACATTTGGGCATTAGGGATATACTGAATTATAAAATGAACTGAAAAGTGTTTCCTTATACTTTATTTTCTTAATGAGTTTGTGTGTTCTTGTCATTATTTCTTGCTTAAATGTTTGACAGACTTCATCAGTGAAACCATCTAGTCTTGCATTTTTCAATGTGGGAAGTTTTTGATATTATAGTATATTCAATTCATTTTGTTGATGTAGGACTATCCATATTTTATGTTTCATTGTGTTAATATTGTCAAGTTGTATTTCTCTAGAATTTATATATTTATTAAAGTTGCTGAATTTCATGCAATAAGATAACCCATAATATGCTTATATTATATATATATATTTTTATTTCACTTTAAGTTCTGGGATACATGTGCAGAACCTGCAGGTTCGTTACATAGATATATATGTGCTATGGTGGTTTGCTGCACCTATCAACCCATCATCTACGTTTTAAGCCCCGCATACATTAGGTGTTTGTCCTAATGCTCTCCCTCCTCTTGACCCCCATGCCCTGATAGGCCCCGGTGTATGATGTTCCTGTCCCTGTGTCCATGTGTTCTCTTTGTTCAATTCCCACTTATGAGTGAGAACATGCGGTGTTTGAGTTTCTGTTCCTGTGTTAGTTTGCTGAGAATGATGGCTTCCAGCTTCATCCATGTCCCTGCAAAGGACATGAACTCATTCTTTGATATGGCTGCATAGTATTCCATGGTGTATATGTGTCACATTTTCTTTATCCAGTCTATCATTGATGGGCATTTGGGTTGGTTCCAAGTCTTTGCTATTATAAATAGAGCTGCAATAAACATACATGTGCATGTGTCTTTATAGTAGCATGATTTACAATCCTTTGGGTATATACCCAGTAACGGGATTGCTGGGTATTTCTGGTTCTAGATCCTTGAGGAAGTACCACACTGTCTTCCACAAAGGTTGAACTAATTTACACTCCCACCAACAGTGTAAAAGTTTTCCTATTTCTCCACAGCCTCGCCAGCATCTGTTGTTACCTGACTTTTTAATAATCACCATTCTAACTGGTGTGAGACGGTATCTCACTGCGGTTTTGACTTGCATTTCTCTAATGACCAGTGGATGATGACCTTCTTTTCATATGTTTGTTGGCTGCATAAATGTCTTCTTTTGAGAAGTGTCTGTTTATTTCCTTCACCCACTTCTTGATGAGATTGTTGTTTTCTTGTAAATTTAAGTTTCTTGTAGATTCTGGATATTAGACCTTTGCAGATGGGTAGCTTGCAAAAATTTTCGCCCATTTTGTAGGTTGCCTGTTCAGTCTGATTATAGTTTCTTTTGCTGTGAAGAAGCTCTTTAGTTTGATTAGATCCCATTTGTCCATTTTGGCTTTTGTTGCAATTGCTTTTGTTGTTTTAGTCATGAAGTCTTTGCCCATGCCTACGTCCTGAATGGTATTGCCTAGGTTTTCTTCTAGGGTTTTTATGGTTTTGGATTTTACATTTAAGTCTTTAATCCATCTTGACTTAATTTTTGTATATGGTGTAAGGAAGGGGTCCAGTTTCAGTTTTCTGCATATGGCTAGTCAGTTTTCCCAGCATCATTTATTAAATAGGGAATCCTTTCCCCATTGTTTGTTTTTGTCGGGTTTGTTGAAGATCAATGGTTGTAGATGTGTGGTGTTATTTCTGAGGTCTCTGTTCTGTCCCATTGGTCTATATATCTGTTGCGGTATCAGTACTATGCTGTTTTGGTTACTGTAGCCTTGTAGTGCTTATAATTTTTTAATGTCTGTAACATCTGTAGTGATAAACTCTCTTTCATTCCTGAAATTAGTAACTTGTTTCCTCTGTCTCTTTTTTTAAAATCATCTTACTTAGAGATCTAACAATTTTGTATATCTTTTCCAAAAACCAGCTTTTGGCTTTGCTAATTTTTTATGCTGTTAGTTTTCAATTTTATTGATTTCTGCTCTTATCTGTATTACCACTTTACTTCCACTTTCTCTTCTTTTCCTAGCTCCTTAAGGAGGAATGTTAAGTCATTTTTAGATTTCAGACCTACATTATTTTTCAAATAAACATTTAAAGGTGTAGATTTTCCTCTAAGCCCTGCTTTAGCTATGTGTCATAAGTGTTGATATGTTACATTTTTATTATAATTAATTTGGAAATATTTTCTAATTTTCTTTGTGGTTTCTTTTTTAGACCATGGATTATTTAGAAGTGTTTTGTTATATATAAAAATATTTTGTGTTTTCTAGATATCTGATTGTAATTGATTTCTAAATTAATTTTATTGTTCCAAGAGAATATACTCAGTATTTAAATCTGTTTAAATGTGTTGAGATTTGTTTTTTAGCCCAGTAAATGGTCTGTCTTGGTGAATGCCCCATATACACTTGAAGATAATTATATTATGAAGTTTAGGTAATAGCTTTCTGTAAATATCAATTGCATTTTGTTAATCAACAGTGTTGTTCAAACCATCTGTTTTCATTAATTTATATCTGGTTCTATCATTTTCTGAAAGGTGTTAGAGTCTCCAGCTGTGATTATGGGATTGACCACTTTTCCCTTTAATTTAGCCAAGTTTTGCTTCAGACGCATAACAATTATTATGGCTTCTGGTGAACTGGCATTTCTATTATTATGAAGTGTCTTGTGTTATGTATCTTTATCTCTTTATCTTGAAGTCTAATTTTGTCTGATATTAATTTAGCTCCTCCATTCTTCTTATGCTTACAATATTACCTTTTTGTGAGGTTTGTAAATCTGCAATGTTGACAACCCTATTTACTAGATCTTATTTGAAATTATTTTATTGCTTATTCAAAATATCTTCATTCACATTTACATTGTGAGCCCTGTATTTCATTACTGAATTGGGTTTTTTTCTTGTGAAATAAATAGTGTGCATGTTGTTTTGTAAACAGGAATTTTCAGTTCCAGGTCACAGTGGTTACTTCTACTGGTACTTACCGTGGAATAGCTGAGGCCTCTGAAACTTGTCTCTTAGAGAAGACATTTTTCCCCTCCGCTGTAATTGAGGGATCCAGACTCATGCTGAGACTGTATGTTTGGGAGTGGCTTTGTGCTTGTGAACAATCTTCAGGAATTCAAATTTGTCTCCTTCAGCATTGCTTCCTTGGTGCTGAATGCAGCAAGATCTAGGGCTATATTTTTAAGGCTGTAACATTTTTATCCAAATGCTGTAGAGCTCCACAATGTGTGAGAAATTCATCTGTCTTTTAATTTATTTTAAATTCAAGTTGTAGCCTGTACCCTAAATTCTCCACCATTTGGCTAAGGTTGTTCACAGATTTTTCTGAGGCTCACACCTTTGTTGAACTAATATTTGCTTGCAAATCCCTCTGTGGCCAACATCTTCTGAGGCCACTTCATGGCTAGATTTTGGCTGTCGTCCAGGCAGCCTCTTCCTTTGCCGAGATCCATAACTCTAAAAATTTCCACTATACCTTTGATGAAACCTGAAACCCTAAGTTTTCACATTTACTTAAGGCCTGGTTCCTGTAGCACCTCTGAAGAAACATTTGTGTATATATATATATATATATATATATATATATATAAACACTGCATGAACTTTTTTACAAAAGGTCAAAATGCTACATAGCTTGAGATCTAACAGTTAAAAACTAACTTCACAATTTTAAATCCATCCATTTTGAACGATTTAGTCCACTGTAAAGTTCAAGGTCAAAAACTCATGTTTCCTTTACTTAATATACCAAAGTTTAAGGTCTTCCATAATGCAAGAAGACTCGATCTCTCAGAATTACCTTGTCCCCAAAAGGTCTATTTCTCAATGTTTCTGGCTTAATAATGTGGGAAATAATACAAACAAATAAAGAAGATAAGGATCAAAAGACAACCTTTTATTACTGAACATGCGGATGTTGGAGAATGTGGCTTACTTGTATGTGTAAGTGAGGTTCCTGATATTATATTCTACTAGAATGCAAGGATAAATGATTCTGATCAGGGAGAAGAATTTCAATATCACAAATTATAGAGCTTGAACATTTTCTGGTGTCATAATACTAGCATTCCAATTGTAGTATGTTGTTCCTAAAGGAACAGAAGAGAAGAACTGCTCCCTGTAGACCACTCACTCCCAAGAGAAAAAGAGAAAAAAAAGGAGAAAACTCTGCTTGGCTGAAGAATTTTCTCCTTTTAAAAAAATCACTAATCAGATTTCCATTTTCCATTCCTTATCCCATTAGGTAAAACAAAACAAAACAAAAAACTGCAAAGAGACCAGGACTGTTATTCAAATAGATGTCCCTTCATATAGAAGAAAAGATTGGGACTCCAGATCCAAAATATAGCATTAAGTTACAAAAGCAAATTGTAACTGAATCTTGTCTTATTTCTTTAATTAAGAAAAACAATGCATACAACTTTAGCTATATAGACAAATGCCCTAAAGGATAGCCATATTTTTTGAGAAGTGAAAGGGAAGTAAGGGCAAGCATTTTAGACTGCTCTCTCCATATTGGGCTATGTGAGTAAAAAAAAAAGAGCTAAAAGAATATCTTGAGGGCGGGCAGCCTAATCAAAGCAACAGTATCTTAGAATGGGGAATACAAGTATTATGGTCAGTTGATCATCAATGCTAAGAAATAAATTGAAGACACAGGAGGAAAAAGAAAATGACTGTGGCCCCACCGATTTTCTCTTTTCTGGAATCTTTATCAACTAGTCCATGTGAATAATTCTGTATAGTTTAGATTTGAAAAAGATTGGGGGTAATCATTTTCTAAAACAGGTAAAAAAGAGCTAAAGAAGGATGGCAGTGTGAATAAGTATTGAGGTAAAGCAAAAAAGCATAAATCAAGCTCACACTGACTGCAGAAAACATTGTCTTTTACTTTTCTTAAAAATAGAGGCTAAAATTGATGAAAATAATGGTTGAAAATTCAAAAATTTGTTGAAAACCTGGAAGACTTGAGAATAGCAGTAAAGGTGGAGAAACAACTGTAGGGAAACAATTTTCTTAAATCTGACACTATCTAGAATATCTGTTAAAGCAGTTAACTTAGATAGGAATGTTTGTAATATTATGGGCTGATCAGATACCCAACCAACCTAATGAAATATATTGTCTCTTCTCTGGGAGTTTAGACTTGGGACACTGAAAGTCTACTCCAGGTAGTTTTGAAAATCTGAGCGGATAAGGGAGTAAATGAACAAAGAGAAGCAGAGAAGAAAGACCATGTGACCTAAGAAGTAGTCAGAGGCAGAGAGAAGTGAAGAAACAGAGAACTCAGTACCCTAGTACATTATGGCATTCTAATTATCAATTCTATGTCTTGTTGAGTCTGGATAAATTAATTTCCATGAGAGCTCTGCATCCTTACAATACTCTATCACCTCTATTCTCTCAACTTAATCTGACATATTTTACAAAGCAAATGTGTTTTTGTTTGGTTTTGTTTATTTTAGAAAAGAAAACACTAGGACTGGATAATATAATTGTTAAATGGCTTGAAAGTTCTAACTGAAATAATGGAACAATACATTTTTAATGGACCAAAATGCCATTTGTTCTGTGATTGTTTCAGGCAATATTTCGAATCCCAGAAGTAGTCACAGAGAAAATAGACAAGTGGATTAAGGCTTTTAAATTCTAAAATTAATTAAGCAATTAATTGACTAAGTAGATACTGTGGGGTCTTGGCATTAATTTGATAGTATAGTTTGAAGTACTATATGTGTCTTAAACTGCATTTCTTGAGAAGAATACACTCTTTTACTAAATCAGAGACTCTTCTCCTGAAATCAGTTCAATTTACTGAGGCTGTGATCTTTCCTGTCATTCCTGCAGCCATGTAGTATAAAGCAACAAATTAAATTGCCTGAGGTTAGAATCCAATTCTCTCACCAATAGATTTGGGAATAAGAAATTCATGCAACTCCAATGAAAGCTCATTCAGATCACATGATTTGATGTTAGTTGGAATCACACATTTCTAATTTCTAATAAACACCTTCATCCTGTAGCGTATTATTCATTTTCCATAAATTTAGGCATCTTAGAGATAATTTGCAAAATATACAATTTTGATTTGATTTTCTTCTATTTATTTAAATAAAGTAATAGAAGCAATTTTTCTTTAAAATATACTATAAGTTTATGTTGCGTTATCAACATTTTTCCTGTGAAATAATGTAGTGTAAAAGAATATTGAACTTCATGTGAGAATCACTGGTTTCCACTACAAATAACCTCTAACTGGCTATCCTGATTGACAGTGTGTTGGCTCCTTTCACTTTGTACAATTCCCTTCTATGTGTCTTCACTTAAATTTAATGCAAAAGCATCCATGAACAAACATATCAGAAGAGTTGCTCTTAATCTTTGATTTAAAAGTGTTTTCGCTTTAAGATGAGAAAGACTATCAGTTTCAAAGGTTCTCTAGATTTTGAGCATTTGAAGTCAAATCTATGGATAAAAGTGGAATTTGTGATTTGAATTGTATTTTTTTCACCTCTATGAATGACATCATACAGATATAGCCTTTATATTATTTCTGGAAGTATGATTCATATTCTGGAGTCTTATAGTGAAATACATTTGTAACAAACATTGTAACAAAATGCATTTTTGGTAAAACAAAAATATAAGAAAACTCTTTTGGGCATTACAGACTTAATATGATACTTGGTATTGAATACCTGCTAGGAAATAGAGTACCTTTTCAATTCTCAAAGAAATGTCACATGCTATTTAGTCTACATTTAGTGCTTCTCATTTCTGGCAGAAGTTTATCATCCTTAAATCCAGGGAGTTACATAACAAAATTTAAAAACTGTACTTCACAGATTCCTAGTGAATCCTTATGAGTATCTCATTCACTTATTTATTTATTCAAAAATATATCTTGAATGTCTACTATGTACCAGACACTATGCTAAGTGCTTTGTAGAAATGAACAAGAGGAGGAGGAGAGAACGTTGGATCATAAGGAGAAAAGGTTGGCTCTCTGCCACTGCTTCAACCTGAGGTCTTCTTTCACTGTTGTGTATTTTGAACTTTTGTAAAAGATTTTCATGGGTAAAACATGCAAAATCACTGGTATGGTTAATAATCAAGTACCAAAATACTCAATCCCTCACCATGTTAGCTACCTAAAAATTCAATAGATTTGCATGCCTTTTTCATTTTTGATAACATTATATTGTTTTGGATGCGTCACTTACATATTACATTGTAAAATTCTGTGTCTTTCAAAGTGTGTTTCCACTGAACTGAAGGATGATTCTAAACAGACTTAGAGCACTCTGTCTCCAGTACACAGAAAAATTCACAGACCTGCGCAATCTTTTGTATCTATTATCACAAACTTCACACTTATTTTTAAATATTATAAATAGTAAAAGAGAATAGCTCCAAATAACCTGTGAAAATGGTTAATTCCAGTTAATATGCGGTGTTTGGTTTTTTGTTCTTGTGATAGTTTACTGAGAATGATGATTTCCAATTTCATCCATGTCCCTACAAAGGACATGAACTCACCATTTTTTATGGCTGCATAGTATTCCATGGTGTATATGTGCCACATTTTCTTAATCCAGTCTATCATTGTTGGACATTTGGCTTGGTTCCAAGTCTTTGCTATTGTGAATAGTGCCGCAATAAACATACATGTGCATGTGTCTTTATAGCAGCATGATTTATAGTTCCTTTGGGTATATACCCAGTAATGGGATGGCTGGGTCAAATGGTATTTCTAGTTCTAGATCCCTGAGGAATCGCCACACTGACTTCCACAATGGTTGAACTAGTTTACAGTCCCACCAACAGTGTAAAAGTGTTCCTATTTCTCCACATCCTCTCCAGCACCTGTTGTTTCCTGACTTTTTAATGATCGCCATTCTAACTGGTGTGAGATGGTATCTCATTGTGGTTTTGATTTGCATTTCTCTGATGGCCAGTGATGGTGAGCATTTTTTCATGTGTTTTTTGGCTGCATAAATGTCTTCTTTTGAGATGTGTCTGTTCATGTCCTTCGCCCACTTTTTGATGGGGTTGTTTGTTTTTTTCTTGTAAATGCGTTTGAGTTCATTGTAGATTCTGGATATTAGCCTTTTGTCAGATGAGTAGGTTGCGAAAATTTTCTCCCATTTTGTAGCTTGCCTGTTCACTCTGATGGTAGTTTCTTTTGCTGTGCAGAAGCTCTTTAGTTTAATTAGATCCCATTTGTCAATTTTGGCTTTTGTTGCCATTGCTTTTGGTGTTTTAGACATGAAGTCCTTGCCCATGCCTATGATCTTTTTGTTGTTGTTGTTGTTTTGAGATGGAGTCTCACTCTTGTCGCCCAGGCTGGAGTGCAATGGTGCGATCTTGGCTCACTGCAACCTCTGCCTCCCAGGTTCAAGCAATTCCCCTGCCCCAGCCTCCCAAGTGGCTGGGATTACAGGTGCCCAGCAGCACACCCAGCTACTTTTTTGTAGAGATCGGGTTTCACCATGTTGGTCAGGCTGGTCTCGAACTCCTGACCTCCAGTGATCCACCCGCCTCAGCCTCCCAAAGTGCAGGGATTACAGGTGTGAGCCACTGCACCCAGCCTTCTATATTTTTATTTATGTATTTTTGGCATCTTTCCTAGAGAAGAATGCTTGAATTTCATTTCGTCTGAAAGAATAAGAATTGAATAAACAAGGAGAAAAAATTCTAAACTAGCAAGGAAAACAAAAAGGTATACAAAATATAAAGAGTATAAATACTCTCAATTTTTTTTACCTGTTAGTTGTAGCTTATTTTTTCAAATTACACCAGCTAACTGTACTTAAAGTACTCAAAAAACCAAAAAACTAAAAAGAAAAAAGAAAACAACCTAGCTTTTCTTAAACTGACAAAAATGTTTTCCACATTCAGTCTTGGTTATCAAAATCTAAATGTACTTTATTATGTTAACTATTAAGCAAATCCAATGAAAGCAACTGCCTATAAGAAAATACTTTACATTTTTGTTATAGGTTTGTTTTACATGAAAGTGTGCTGGTGTGGGTCTATGAACACACACATCCACAGGAATACATACATGCTGAACCCTGTTGAACACACAAGAGGCAAAATAAGTGAAATGCTGAGAATTCAGAAGCTTGTAGAGGTGACATAATTAGAGCCAGAAATTTTTTTTCCACATCTTGCTAAACTCAAAAGGCCGTGAATCTTTAGAAGTACTTTTCTCGTCAAATGTATCATTAAGCAATCCATGGTCTGACTCTTCAAGGTCATCAAAATTGAAAGAGGCCTGGTCAGTGGGAAGACATCCATGTGTATGGTATAATCTTTCTGGAAAGATTGCAGTTGATTTTGTCTTCCGAAAAGTTTAAACTCTGTGCTTCCACCATAAACAAGTTATCACAGGTTTGCAGAATATTTACTTAGGTTAGACTGCTACATGGCTTAAAAGGTCTTAAAACTCACTGCTTCTTCAAGCTGTAGGACTTTTTCGTTACCCTCAGAGCAAGAAGAGGGAGTACGTTCCTCACTTCTAGGTTGTGAAGAATCCAAAGTGGAGACAGTGTGCCTGGCACTGGGACTCAATCTCCATCACACGAAAAAATGAACAGCAAACTTTTTTGTAATGCATTAGCAAACTTTTTCTCTAAAGCACTAGAGAGCAAAGATTTTAGGTTTTGTGGGCTAGAAAGTCTCTGCCACAACTATTCAACTCTACTGTTGAAGCACTAAAGCACCCATTGGTAATATGTAAATGAATGAGTGTAGATATGTTCTAGTAATAGTATCTTTGCAAAAACAATCAGCTAGTCAGGCCAGATTTGGCTCACAGTTTGTAGTTTGAAGACCACTTGTGATATGGTTTGGCTGAGTCCCCAACCAAATCTCATCTTGAATTGCAGTTCCCATAATCCACACATGTCATAGAAGAGACCCAGTAGGAAGTGATTAAATCATGGGGGAGGTTTCCCCCATGCTGTTCTCGTGATAGTGGGTGAGTTATCACGTGATCTGATGGTTTTATAAGTGTTTGGCATTGCCCCTGCTAGCACTTTTTCTTCCTACTGCTTTGTGAAGAAGGTTCTTTGCTTCCCCATTGCCTTCTGCTGTGATTGTAAGTTTCCTGAGGCCTCCCCAGCCATGCTGAACCGTGAGTCAATTAAACCTCTTTCCTTTATAAATTACCTAGTCTTGGGTATATCCTTATAGCAGTATGGAAACGAACTAATACACCTTTTGTATATTCTATAGAGAGTTAGTAATCTTGTCATAGTGCCAACACTTGAATTTTTCATTATTGATTTTCAACCTCTCTCCACCCCTCTCTCTGCCTTTCTGTCTCTATTTGTCCTTGTATGCTTCACCAACTATATTTCAGTAAGTCTGCCATTGATCAGGGGAGCAATCATTTCATACCAACAATAGCTGAGCATCTGATCATCAGAAGGTGCATTCTCTTTAAATGATTTAGAGAGCCTTGCTCTCTGATGTTTGTGGAAGAGTAAGAAGAAGTAATGAGGGCTGAATGGAGGACAAGGAGTGTATTAGTCAGTTCTCATGCTGCTGTTGAAGACTTACCCAAGATTGGGTAATTTATTTATTAAAAAGAGGTTTAATGGACTCACAGTTCTACGTGGCTGGGGAGGTCCACAATCATGGTGGAAGGAGAAAGGCATGTCTTACATGGCAGCAGGCAAGAGAGAATGAGAGCCAAGTGAGAGGGGAAACCCCTTATAAAGCCAGCAGTATTCATGAGACTTATGCACTACCAGACAAACAGTAAGGGGGTAACCACCCCCATGATTCAATTATCTCCCACCAGGTCCCTCCCACAACACATGGGGATTATGGGAACTACAATTCAAAATGATATTTGGGTGGAGACACAACCAAACTATATCATTCTTCTCCTGGAACCTTCCAAATCTCATATCCTCACATTTCAAAACCAATCATGCCTTCACAACAGTCCCCCAAAGCCTTAATTCATCCCAGCATTAACTCAAAAGTCCAGAGTCCAAAGTCTCATCTGAGACAAGGCAAGTCCCTTCTGCCTATAAGCCTGTAAAATCAAAAGCAAGTTATTAACTTCCTGGATACAGGCATTGGGTAAATACACCTGTTACAAATGGAAGGAATTGGCCAAAACAAAAGGGCTACAGTCCCCATGCAAGTTCTGAAATCTAATAGGGCAGTCATTAAACCTTAAATTTCCAGGGGTCTCTGTGTGAGGGCTTTGACCCCACATTTCCCTTCCACACTGACCTAGCAGAGATTCTCAATGAGGGCTCCACCCCTGCAGCAAACTCTTTCCTAGATATCCAGGCATTTTCATACATCCTCTAAAATCTTGGCAGAGGTTCCAAAACCTCAATTCTAGACTTCTGTGCACCTGCAGGCTCAACACCATCTGGAAGCTGCCAAGGCTTGGGGCTTGGCCCTCTGAAGCCACAGCCCAAGCTCTATGTTGGAGCCTTTTAACCATTGCTGGAGCTGAAACAGCTGGGATGCAGGGCACCATGTACAGAAGCTGCATAGAGTAGGGGGGCTCTGGGCCTGTCCCACAAAACCATTTTTTCCTCTTAGGCCTCCAAGCCTGTGATGGGAAGGGCTGCCATGAAGGTCTCTGACATGCTCTGGAGACATTTTCCCAGTGTCTTCGTGATTAGCATTTGGTTCCTAGTTACTTAAGCAAATTTCTGCAGCTGGCTTGAATTTCCTCCCAGAAAATTGGTTTTTCTTTTCTACTGCATCATCAAGCTGCAAATTTTTTAAACGTTTATGCTCTCTCACCTCTTGAATGCTCTGCTGCATAGAAATGTGTTCCACCAGATACCCCAAGTCATCTCTCTCAAGTTCAAAGTTCCACAGGTCACTAGACCAGGGGCAAAATGCCACCAGTATCTTTGCGTAGCAAGAGTGACATTTACTCCAGTTCCCAACAAGTTCCTCATCTCCATCTGAAACCACCTCAGCCTGGATTGTATTGTGCATCTCAGTATCAGCATTTTGGTCAAAGCCATTCAACAAGTCTCTAGGTAGTTCTTCCCACATCTTTCTGTCTGCTGAGCCCTCCAAGTTGCTAGAAAGTTTCAAACTTTTCCACATCTTTCTGTGTTCTGAGCCCTCTAAACTGTTCCAACCTCTGCCTGTTACCCAGTTCCAAAGTTGCTTCCACATTTTCAGATGTCTTTACAGCAGCACCCCACTCTACTGGTACTAATTTACTCTATTAGGTGGTTCTCACATTGCTAATAAAGACTGGGTCATCTGTAAAAAAAAAAAGAGGTTTAGTGAAATCACCGTTCCACATGGCTGGGAAGGCATCACGATCATGGTGGAAGGTGAAAGGCAAGTCTTACATGGCAGCACACAAGAGAGAATGAGAGCCAAATGAAAGGGAAAACCCCTTATAAAACCATCAGATCTCATGAGACTTATTCACTGTCACAAGAACAATATGGGAAAAACCAACCACATGATTCAATTATCTACCACCAAGTCCCTCTCACAACACGTGGGAATTATGGGAGCTACAATTTAAGATGAGATTTGAGCAGGGACTCAGCCAAATCATATCACAAGTGGTCTTCAAATTACAAACTGTGAACCAAATCTGGCCATATAAAGGAGGCTTGTTTTCTGGAGGAATGCATGTGTTCTACCTATCCGCCTTAGAGTTTTTTGATATTATAGAGGTGTAGTCAACTACCCATGTAGTGTCATATGTTGAGCACTGCAAGACTTATTACAGAGTATTACCCTAGTCTTCTCACTTCTTAGCATCAACTGTTCAAAAAAAAGTTCTGGACATGTGCTCTCTTTAATCATAAATATTGAAAATTTCCTCCTTCCACAACTTAATTAAAATGCACTTCTATAAGGATGTTGATTGACTCCACATAACTTAGCAAGGAGCAGAACTCCAAAGAAAAAAGACCAAGGACAGTGAAAATTTGATAGAGAAGAAAAATACAAAGCATAAAGTGATTCCTAGGATGTCCTGGTAAAATTGTTGACTACTTCAGGCAGTCAAAGCTTATAATGAGTGTTTTAAGTGCCTGAAGGAATAAAATAAATTGCCTGGGGTAGCTTCTGCAGTGATGTTTTAACTATGAAAATGTGAGGAAAGAATGATGGCATATATAAGTTCAGTTTAAAAACTGATAATCAGGGTTTGCTCACCTACAGCCTATTTGTAACTATAATATCTGTTGAATGGTAGAAGAATAGTTGCAAATCCTCCTATAAAATATCCTACTGCATGCCAGGCCACATGTCAAGTGCTCAAAGCATGCCAGTAAAAAAGACATACTGTCTCTCTGTACACATCTTGCTTTCTCATACTTGCTTTCTCTCCTAACAGACTATTAAAACATAGTGTCATAAGTGCTACAGTATAAATAAATTCAGTGTGTGCTAAATAAGCACATAAGAAGGACTCCTAACTCTCATTTAGGTTCAAGGAATGCTTCCTGGAATAAGTTTTAGCTAACATGAGACTTGAAATATACATATTTCAGATTGAAGGAATAGCAAGTTGACAAGATCTAAAGTTGAGAGAAGCATAGCACATTTTTGGAACCAAAGGAGGTTCAGTTTGTTTTCAGAAAGAGACAACAGTGGCTGCAGAGAGCAGTGAGACATAGGCACGCTGAAGTAGCAGCATGAGCCAGTTTGTTTAGGAATATCAGCAGTTTGGAGTAAATATTGACCCTGACTGGTTTGCAAGCAAAATTGAACCCCACTCCTATTCCAGAAACCTCAAGAAATCCTCTATGGGATGGACTACATAGCCAAGTGAAAGCAGTGAGTCAGTCTAATTTGGGCATAAATGTCAGTGTGATTTCATTTTCACCCTTATGCTCATGAGGCCTGAGGACATTCAGCTTATATAAGATTTATTTCTAGCCAGGGCAGCAGGACATTTGTGGGTCACATAAATATCCCTCACTGACCTTTCCCTATTTACAGTTGGGGGTTAAAAATATAATTAACCACTGATGAAAAAGGACACCAAGTGAGTGTTTGATCACTAGTTGAGTGGGGAGCCAGGGGGAAATCTATCAAGCCCTGCAGCAAGGACAGTACAGCTAAAGACCTTTACACAGGATTTCTGTTGATACATGACATGGTCAGGCCTTAGGGACTCCTGGAGTGCAAGGCTGATAGCTAATAGTAGCCTCCTCTTCTAGCTCAGGCATGTGCATGCACGGAATAAACACTTGTTATCCATAATTTCACATGTTGTGATTCTTACAGAATTTAGAGTCTCTGATTACAATTTTCTAAGAATACAGTATAATTAGCACTAAAAGTAGATTGAATATTATTCAATTGTCCATTATTCAGTGCCTCAAAATCGTTATATGTAAGCAGGAATTTTTCTTGGTTCTTTCACCTAGCTCAATATTTTTGTGTGTAGCTGCCCCAATGTGAGTTCTTCAGAACACTTATTTCATGAATTACCAGAATTACGTGATCAAGTTTATTTGAGAAACAGTTAAACCATAGGTTTTGTCGTTGTTGTTGTTGTCTTATTTCTTATTGTAGAACTTCTGAGAGGCTTCAATATGCCAAGATGAATTCTGTATCTATGAAATAGGTCTACAGTATAAATCATCTGTTCCCCAGGTGACCCTGAAAGTTTTATAAGAGCAGATATTGTGTTTGTCATTCATTGCTACATCCCCATATCCAATGCATTGCTTTGCACTTACTAGGCATTTTAAATGTTTGTAAAATGAATGAAAAGACATTTTAAGAGATAATATTCCATGGAAAACATTTTGTAAAGCACTTTGTAAATATATTAACCAAATATTTCTGTCAAATTCCAGCTAGCTTATTCCATCATGTCAAGTAGTACTACCGTTTTGCTAAAATGTGTATTGATAGCACTTACAATGATGTTAGGAAAAGTCAAGATGTAATAGTGAGTATTGAAACAACAGGAAACTCTCAGAGAGAGGTTAGTGGATAAGAATCCTGCATAATTGGACTGTTTCAGCTAAACATTGTCTATAATTTTTACTCTGCTTCTAAAACATTTTTCAGTTGCTACGTATACATATAGTCAAAAATGCTACATAATGACCACAGAGTGATTATTCTCAAAATTTTCTTGGGATATTTATAAAGTAAGTTTGTTTGGTTGGTTCTTTTAGAATTTAGTTGTTTCTCAAATGAAAAATAAATACATAAAATCTCCTTGGAATGAAGATATTTCATAAATAAATTGGATATGCATTCTGGATGACAGATGCTGACTTCAGAAACCTTTTGTCGCTTTTTACTGGAAGCACCATCTTGCAATGCACAATATGCTAATAAGTCCTTATATGATTAGAGGAATCGCTGCCAGTTATTGATGTGAACAGACAGCAATTGCTAATCCCAACGCCTAGTTGTTTAGATCATGAAATAAAAACCTTTTAATTAAACTCCATAGCCAATTTATAATCACCTATGCACAGGGCATTCCTGAAAATTTTTGCTTTAAGCATTCAGTAAGTCCTTGGCATCTTGCCTTCTGTGATTACCCAGCTTAGGAATTCTACCACCATGAGTAAAATGCATGTGTACCCTATTCTTTTTGACAGACTAGGGATAACAGATAGAAAAAGTGAGTCTTATTTTCTTTTCTCCAACTGTTAATCATGATCAGGCTTCAGTACCATGAGAAGTGTTCTATATATTTCACTGGGGAAATTAATAAATTCAGTGGTTTTCTTTTTTTCTTTTCTTCTCTATAAGTATTCAAGGATTCAAACAATTGTGTTGCTTGCTTGCTTGTTTATTTAAGTGATGCAGGCTAGGATAGAGAACAAAATGATAGCAGTAACAGTTGAGAAGATGAGGTTGACATTTTGTGCTAAGTATGAGACATAATAGCTGAATGTGACCTTAAAGATTTTCAGATCTGTAAAGGATACACGGCCTTCAACATGGTGTCAACTGCAAATTTCTGTAGCTACCTAAAATACAGTTAAGCAAGATACTGAGGTGATCTGAGTGAAGTGGAAAAGATCGCCTTGATTAAAGTGCCTATTATGGCCTTACAGGGGGAACAGTATATTCCAAACCTATCATATTGTAGTTATTGCAAGAATTGAACATGGGGTGGGGGGAGGGAAACGCAACAAGCTGTAAGTCTAAACTGTTGTAAGAATTATGGAGAAGATTATGTCTATGAAACAACACCAGCCTACTGAATAAACAAGTGTTATCTCTTTTCCACTGCTAGGCTTACTAAAGGTAAATGTGCTGTGGCAATAGGAATATGTTTATGTGCACATGAAAAATCAATTACGAGCTAAAAATGTATCTTTAATACTTCTTAATATGCAGTGTTTGACACCCATCAGCCACAAGATATGCTAAGCATGGTTCACAACACCTCCTCAGAAATAGACAGCAATACAATAATAATAGGAGATGTCAATACCCCACCTTCAACAATGGATAGATCATACAGACAGAAAATCAATAAGAAAATGGAGAACAGTGGGCTTGAATAACACTATAGACCATATAGACCTAATGAGACAGCCAGGTGGGAGGGGATCCCTGGCATAATTCCAACCAGCCTGCGCACTGGGAATGTGCACTGGGGTGGAGCCACAGAAGTTCATGCCACTTGCAGCGGGATGAGCCTGGCCTCTTCTTATCCCGTGTGAAACCTGGGATTCAAACTGTGAGGTGGGAAGCACACCAGAGGAACTCTGAGAGAGTCCCTGTTCCTCCCCATTTTTTTCCTTTTCACCCAATAAAACCCTGCTTCACTTACCCTTCAAACCATCGGTAAGCCTAAACGTTCATGGCCACAGGACAAGAACTCCATCTTTACCTGAACTAAGGAAAAGTCCTGCAACAATTTTGTCTCCCAATGTGGGGCTCCAGAAGCAGTGAATGAAATGCAAACAAAGATATCTTTTCTCCTCTCCCTTCTGAGCCTTTTCATCCTCGGGATTCTGAGGCTAGGGGAATTGCCCCTGCCTGCCACTGCTCCCGGGGGTCAGGGGCCTTTTCATGGTCTTTTTTTTTTTCCTTTTTCGGGATGGACCAGTGAGCTGCAGCTCCCTCCCACCCTCCCGTCCCTGCTGGGTCTGGGACGCATGGCCCAAGGGTCCCATACAGCCAGCTGGCTGGTTTCGAGCTACCTGCTGCCCTAGCCTTCTCCTTCCCTGTCTAAGGGATTGAGCTTCATTGGCCAGTAATTAAACTTTTCTCCCTGGTGGAGGAACCAGTTGCATAAGATAAGAGGTTCTTCCCCAGGCATTTTTAAACTTGTTTTTTCCCTTCTCCATTTTGTCAGCAGTTAACTTTTAAAGTTTTTTTTTCCTTTTAGAAGACGTCTTACTAGGTACCCCCCAACTATCACTGTTTGTATTCTCTGCAAAGTTTTGGTTGTGAAATCAAGCCTTCATCTTGTTTTACATTCTGGGGGCATGGCTTGTAACTCTGGTGGCAAGGCTGTGTTTAGCAATCCTACTTTAAGGAATAAGTTCCTTTCTGGTTTGATATCTGCATGTTTTCTTAGCCCTGTCTCTTAAAGAACCCCACCCAGAGCCACAGAGGTTCATGCCATTTGCAGTGGGTTTTCTCCTGCCCGTCTGTATAGTTATACGTGTGTTTGTATATGATGTCTGTAAAGAGATCTAATTAGTTTGGCCTAAAGAAAGACAAGCACTTGGATCAAGTATTTTTTAAAGGGAAGATAAAAGCTGTGGTACCTTTCTGTTCATGTGACTTCAAGAAATAAAAGCAGCCTTAAAGATTATTGGTAAAATGCAGATGTCATTAAAATGGAAATAGGTGAACTAACTTATGTAGGTTAGATGCAAGGTTTGCTAAATGTTTTGAGGTTACAAATTGCTTTTTGGGTTTTCAGAACCGTGTCTTGCTTGCTTCACAATGGGTAGGTCCTGGGGACATATAGAACTAACTGCATTCTTAATTACGCTGGAGTCAACCTTGGCTGCACTTAGCACACAATTAAAACAGCTGACCAGGTTTTACATTAAAGTTAAAAATTTCTAGGAGTTACCATTATAACATGTAATTGACACTACTAAAAATAGATTTACATGCAAGGTGTGTAAGAACAGTAAAATTTGTTTTCTTTTTGGTAAAAGGTTATAAAAAAACATGAAATTGCAAATTTTTGCCTAGGGTTAAAGGATTGTTTTAAATAAGATAATAAAAAGCTGAAGGTTTGAACAAATGGTTAAAGAATTGTGGAAATTAATCTTGCAGAAGAGGTTCTCTATGTGAACATATTGAATAAATTCCAAGAAGGTATTATGTAATTTTTCTGTAAATTGAGCATTGAAATAAAAACACAAGGTTTGCTTAAGGTGCTAAACTGTTCTTTGGCAAAATTTGTAAAGGGCTAAAACATGAAGGGATGACGAATTTTATCAAAGGCATTTTCTGCATCTATTAAGATGATCACTTGTTTTCTGTCATTGGTTCCGTTTATGTGATGGATTATACTTATTGATTTGGGTATGCTGAATAGTCTTTTATCCCAGGGATGAAGCCAACTTTATCATGGTGGATAAGCTTTTTGATGTGCTGCTGGATTTGGTTTGCCAAATTTCAGTATTTTATTGAGGATTTTCCCACTGATGTTCATCAGGGATATTGGCCTGAAGTTTTCTTTTTTTTTGTTGTGTCTCTGTCAGGTTTTGGTATCGGGATGATGCTGGCTTCATGAAATGAGTCAGGAACAAGTCCCTCCTTTTCAATTATTTGGAATAGTTTCAGAAAGAATGGCACCAGCTCCTCTTTGTACCTCTGATAGAATTTGGCTGTGAATGCATCTGGTCTCAGGCGTTTTATGGTTGGTAGGCTGTTAATTACTGTCTCGGTTTCAGAAATTAATACTGATCTATTCAGGGATTTGACTTTTTCCTGGCTTAGTCTTGGGAGGGTGTATGTGTCTAGGAATTTGTCCATTTTTTCTAGATTTTCTAGTTTATTTGCATAGAGGTGTTTATAGTATTCTCTGATGGTAGTTTGTATTTCTGTGGGGTCAGTGGTGATATCCCCTTTATAATTTTTTATTGTGTCCATTTGATTCTTCTCTTTTCTTCTTTATTAATCTAGCTAGCATTTTGTTAATTTTTTCAAGAAACAGCTCCTGGATTCATTGAGTTTTTGAAGGTTTTTTTTGCATCTATCTCCTTCAATTCTGCTCTAATCTTAGTTATTTCTTGCCTTCTGCTAGCTTTTGAATTTGCTCTTTTAATTGTGATGTTAGGGTGTAAATTTGAGATCTTTTTAGCTTTTTGATATGGACATTTAGTACTATAAATTTCCCTCTTAAGCCTGCTTTAGCTGTGTCCCAGAGATTCTGGTATGTTTTCTCTTTGTTCTCATTGGTTTCAATAAACTTCTTGATTTCTGCCTTAATTTTATTATTTACACAGGAGTCATTCAAGAGCAGGTTGTTCAATTTTCACGGAATTGTGTGGTTTTCAGTGAGTTTTTTAATCCTGAGTTCTAATTTGATTTCACTGTGGTCTGAGAGACTGTTTGCTATGATTTTGGTTCTTTTGCATTTGCTGAGGAATGTTTTACTTCAAATTATGTAGTAGATTTTACAATATGTGCCATGTGGCACTGAGAAGAATGTATATTCTATTGATTTGGGATGGAGAGTTTATTAGATGTCTATTAGGTTCACTTGATCCAGAGCTGAGTTCAAGTCCTGAATATCCTTGTTAATTTTCTGTCTCGTTGATCTGTCTAATATTGACAGTGGGGTGTTAAAGTCTCCCACTATTATTGTGTGGGAGTCTAAGTCTCTAGTAACTTGTTTTATGAATCCAGGTGTTCCTGTATTGGGTGCATATATATTTAGGATAGTTAGCTCTTCTTGTTGAATTGATCCCCTTACTATTATGTACTGCCCTTCTTTGTCTTTTTTTATCTTTGTTGGTTTAAAGTCTGTTTTATCAGAGGCTAGGATTGCAACCCCTGCTTTTTTTGCTTTCCATTTGCTTGGTAAATTTTCCTCTAGCCCTTGTAAATGGTTATATTTTTTTTTTGCTTTTTAAAAATTTCTGAGTTGTTATTTTGGCAAAATAAATTTTTTGGTAATCTGGAATTCTATTTCATAACATCAAGTGTTTTAAACCTTGAACATTTATCAGCCTTCAAAACTCAAACTCTATTTTCAAACCTTTCTTTCCTGACACCTGACTTTTTGGATACTTCAGAGGGCTCCTAAAACATCCAGAAAAGAGGTAAACAGGATCATTTGTCATGTTTAGGTATGTGGGACTGCCAAAATAAAGTTCAATTATTTTTAGGTTATATTTTTGTAAATAATGCTAGTATATTTTCCAAAATTATATGGTATTCCTAAAAATCTAATGTCTAAGTGTATGCTATCAATCATGATTAAAGTTTTTATGTTAAGTTATTGTAAGCCATGCAGATAAACTTCTTTGTTAATTGTGTTTCTTTATTATAAGCAATGAAGATCAACAAACTTCTTCGTCAATTGTGTTTCTAACTGTAACTACCCTAGACATTTTGCTATTCACAGACAATTGTTGTCTTGTTTTAATCCTTTACAAAAGATGGTTTATAATAAGCTATAAGAACTGTAACAGGTGCTCTGCAATATGGACTTCTGATAATTTTAGAGACTGTAACGTGGGAATAAAGGAAAATGTACAGGATTTATGAAGAGTTAAAATGTTCACAAACATCAAGCAAAACAAAAGTTAACTAAATGGACTGCACTCAGAAAGCTGAAGCAATCTTTTTGACCTTTTCTTCAAATATTGCTGATTTTTGTTTTATCTCTCAGAGTCAAAAAAACTTATTTTGAACTATGTACATCCTTTAATAATTGATTAAGGTATACTCCTATGAACAAAATTTGGTGCATGTTCATGTTTGTTTTTCTCTATGTGGTCCCTCTAGAATTTGGAAACTATCTGTGAGTATTCTTAACTTATGGCAATATAATTGTTTGCATCAGTGCAATAAGAATCCATTTTTCTTTTCAAATAAGACACAATTAGAGAAACTAGTTATGTTACCAAGGCTTTCACTGGAAGATTATACTTTCCTTTCAGGAGTCCATCACAACTTGCAGAGCGTTTAAGAGCCCAGCATGGAAACTGGCCTCATACCCTTGCCTACATAGTCCCTGTACAGGGTTCCTGACCTGTGGTCAGTAAAGAATGTCACTTTCTAACAGGTCCAGGAACTCCAAGTTTATGTTTGGACCTTAAGAGTAGAGGATCACCCAACTCACAGGTATTGAGGATACAAACCCATGGCTGGGCTAGGCTTTAAAAGGTCTTCTCTGAGATTCCTTGGGGAACAGAGTTCCATCAAAGCCAATCCAAGGGGCCTATTTAGAAATAATTATTCTTGCTGCACTTTATGCTAATAATCGGGCCAAGTATGAAGCTAAAGTCTATTTTGCAAACAACTTAGTCCTGTAATGATTTGTTTTATTTAACAAAAATGAGGACTGGCAAGAGAGAAATCATGTTTCAAAACTTATCATATATTTGTCATTAAAT
The DNA here is from genome assembly GCF_000001405.40 of Homo sapiens. Classification (NCBI taxonomy): domain Eukaryota; kingdom Metazoa; phylum Chordata; class Mammalia; order Primates; family Hominidae; genus Homo; species Homo sapiens. Next base: position 122,194,972 of record NC_000023.11, read on the forward strand.
TCTAAACTCACTAATTGTTTTTAACTTTTTGCCTACATTGTAGACCAACCCTGCTTGTTCTTGTGAACCAACCAGAAATCTCCAGCTGCAGCTCAGAAAGAACAAAATGGATGGATAATGTAAATATCTAAATCAGTATTCTAGTTCTTGGCAATTATCCTGCAAATCCTGCCAGGTGATGGGAATAAATAGCATGCCCATCACTCAGAGGTTTCTCTTTGGGAAAGTAAGACCAAAGGAGCAAACCAAAGCCAAGCATCATGCACCCAAATCCCAGCAAGCATAACTATACCTACCAGTTATCTAGGTGTGTCATAAGACATCATTTCCTCTCCCTTGTTGCAGGAGACTCAGTTCTAGAGTTTCACCTTAGCATTTGGCTTATGATAAGGAGTCCATGCAATACCCTCTAAGACACATTTTTGTCCCAAACTCAATTCCAAGCTCAGAAAAGCCCTAGAAAAGAAAACTGGATCTGAGGGATCCAGAGGCAGATGATAATGGAAGTTAAAAAGCACAGCACAGGTGAGTGTGGCTGATTCCTGCCAATTAAGCCAAACCCAAGCTTCCTGTTTCATGGATAAAGGCCACGTTAGTATCCATGACATAAATGAAGTCTAGGGAATTCAAGGCTACTGACAGCAGGGGAGATAGGGTGTACACGGGCAAGAGTGGATAATTCCTGCCCCCTTGGACCCCTTGCTTCATTGGTGCAAGCTGCTTTGGTACCCATGGCAGTGCCTGCCAAGGTCAATGGGATGAGAGGGGTGCAAGGACTGAAGAGGGAAAGAGTATGCTCTTCCCTCTCTCCCTCACATACCCTGGTTATCTGCTAGGAAGAGAAGGAAACCTGGGATGCCCTCTCCTCTCTTTCTAGATGGATAGCCACTCATCTTCAGCCTATACCCCTTTTGAATGCATCCTGAACCCCTGGGACTCCTTTGAAAAAATGTCTTTGTTTTCTTATCTCCTCATCTGTTCTCCCTTCACTAATAGGTAATTGTGTGCCTGTACTACAGGACATTGCCCTCAGATGTGTCCTCCAAACTGGAAAGAGTTAATTTCCCAAACCTTAAACTGGTTGGCTTAGGATTGGGCTCAGGGGCAGGGAACCCAGAAGCCTGACATGCCAGCAAAACGGTAAAGTTTTTATACCAGTCAGGCTTTTGGCCTCCCTCTCCCTGTGCAAACTGGAAAAAGACCTCATAATTTTTTAGCTGTCCTTACCCTTCCCCTTGTTTTATTTTGTTACATGTTTTCTAATAACCCGGTTCATCTCTTCTTGCTTTCAGGCCATCAAACTTCAAACGGTCCTGCAATCTGAGCCTCAGAGGATGGTCCCTTCTGCTGGGAACACTTAGGCCTCTGAGGGAGATCTGACTGCCGTTTCCCCAAAACAGTGCCCTCCATCAGCACGAAGCAGTTAAGATCAGTCTTCATCCTTATTTTTATTGATGGCAGTTAGATGTACTTATTTAGAGGGGGGAATGAGACAGCCAGGTGGGAGTGGGTCCCTGGCAAAACTCCAACCAGTCTGCATACTAGGAATGTGCACTGGGGTGGAGCCACACAGGTTCACGCCATTTGCAGCAGGGAGGAGCCTGGCCTCTCCTCTTCCTGTGTGTAACCTCGGATTCAAACTGTGAGGTGGGAAGCACATCAGTGGAACTCTGGCCTTGCAGAGAGTCCCTGATCCCCCTTTTGTTCCTTTTCACCTAATAAAACCCTGCTTTACTCACCCTTCGAACTGTCTGCAAACCTAAACTTTTGTGGCCATGGGACAAGGACCTTGTCTTTAGCTGAACTAAGGAAAAGTCCTGCAGAACTAAGAGACATATTCAGAACATTTCGTGAAGCAGCAAAAGAATGCAGATTCTTCTGAAACGCACCCATAACATTCTCCAGGATAGATTATACATTGCGTCTCCAAATAAGCCTTAACAAATTTAAGAAGACTGAAATATTATCAAGCATATTTTCCAACAGCAATGGCATTAAGCTAGAAATCAGTAACAGGAAGAAAATTTAAAAATTTCACACATATGTGGAAATGAAGCAACACACTCTTGAACAACCAATCAGTCAAAGAAGGAAGAAAAAGAGAAATCAAAAAACATCTTCAGATAAATGAAAATTGAAACATGAGATACCAAAACATTCAGAATGCAGTGAAAGCAATTATAAGAGCAACATTAACAATGATGGACACTTAAATGGAGAAGTAAAATCTCAAAAAAACAACAACTTAACTTTACACTTTAAGAAAGTAGAAAGAGAACAAATTTCAGCACAAAGTAAGCAGAAGGAAGGGAATAATAAAGATCATAAATAAATAAATAAAAATTAGAAATAAATAAAATAGACATGAGAAATACAATAGAAAAGATTAATAAAGCTAAGAGTTAGTTTTAAAAAATATAAACAAAATTTAAAAAATTTTAGCTAGACAAGGAAAATAGAAAGAAGACTCAAATAAATAAAACTATAAATGAAAAAGGAGTCATTATAGCTGATATGACAGAAATACAAAGAATCATAGACAACTACTATGAACAGTTATATGCCAACAAATTAAGTAACCTGGAATAAATGGTTAAATTTCTTGAAACATACACCCTGCCAAGACTGAATCATAAAGAAATTGAAAAACTGAAAAGACCAATAATGAATAACCGCAAAAAGCCTATGACTTGATGGCTTTATTACTGGATTCTACCAAACAATTAAGGAAGAATTAATGCTAATACTTCTCAAACTCTTGAAAAGTAGAAGAGGGGGAGCTCTTTTTATTTCAAAGCATAAGGCAAGCATTACCTTCGTATCAAAGCTAGACAAAGACATTACAAGAAATGAAAATTCTAGACCAATATCCCTGATGAACATAGATTAAAAAAATCTACCACAACATACTAGCAAACAGAATTCTACAGCACATTAAAGGGATCATTCACTGTACTCAAGTGGGATTTATCCCTAAGATGCAGGGATGGTTGATCATACGCAAATTAGTAATTATGATATATCACTTTAACAGAATGAAGGATAAAAATCATGACTACATGAGTAGACGCGGAAAAAGAATTTGACAAAATTCAACATCATTTTATGATAAAAACTTTCAACACTTTTGATATAGAAAAAAATGTTACTGAACACAACAAAGGCCACAGACGACAACCCCACAGATAACATCATACTCAATGATGAAAATTTGAAAACTTCTCCTCTAAAATCAGGAGGAAGACAAGGATAGCCATTCTTGCCATTTCTGTTGAATATAGTATTGGAAGTCCTAGCCAGAGGATTTAGGCAAGCAAAAGAAATAAAATGCATACAAATTGGAAAGAAATATGTACAGTTGTCTCTGTTTGAAGATGAGGTGATCTTACACGTAGAAAACCCTAAAGATGCCATTAAAACACTGTTAGAACTAATAAATTCAGTAAAGGTGTAGGATACAAAATTAAGATAAAAAATCAATGATGTTTGTGTACACTATTAGGGTTCTCTAGAGGGACAGGACTAACAGGATAGATGTATATAAAAAGGGGAGTTTATTAAAGAGTATTGACTCACATGGTCACAAGGTAAGGTCCCACATTGACCATCTGCAAGCTGAGGAGCAAGATGGCCAGTACAAGTCCCAAAGCTGAAGAGCTTGGAGTCAAATGTTTGAGGGCAAGAAGCATCCAGCATGAGAGAAAGATGTAGGCTGGGAGACTAAGCCAGTCTAGTCTTTTCATGCTCTTCTGCCTGCTTTTATTCTGGCTCTGCTGGCAGCTCATTAGACTGTGCACCTGCAGATTAAGGGTGGGTCTGTCTTTCTCATTCCACTTACTCAAATGTTAATCTCCTTTGGCAACACCTTCACAGACACACCCAGGAACAACACTTTGCATTTTTAATGCAACCAAGTTGACACTCAATATTAATCATCACAAGTCCAACCCTTGTCAACTTGAATCCATACACATCTCTTGAAATCATATATAGTATTCAAATGAAGACAATAATAAGGTCATAATTACACCTAACATAAAACAACTATCCTTTGTACAACCAGAAATGCATAAATTCCCAACCCAAATACTATTACATAAAGTTAACCACACTTAAATGCTGATATGAAGTCAATAAATCTTATATGCATGATAAAAAAGGAAATAAAATGAAGACATTTTCTTAGTACAGGTGTATACATGGACAAACATGTTCTTAACAAAAAGGAGGAAATACTCATGACAATTACAGTCCGCGTTTCTGCACCTGGTCATGTGGTCATAGCTGGAATTGATGACTACCTTCTTCTACCACTCATTCTGTACTCCCTTTGCATTCAGCAAACACCTCAGCAGGTTGTGCTTTTTTATCTAGTGGAGTTACCCAAACCTTCATTATTAAAGGGTCTGGTCCATTTGTAGTCCTGCCTGGATTAGACTGTTGTAGTTTCCCATTGATCTTAACCACAGGGCATGGTAATACTAAGAGACACTCTAAGGGATCTCATGTATCCCACTCATACTCATCCTTACCTCCATTGTGGAGTAGTAGACTGATTTCCTCTTGATAGTCTGGGCCAGTCACCCCAGCCAACACTGTAACTCCCTTCTTAGCCTGTTAACTTAAAGGTAGGAGGAGCCAAAGGTGGCCAGGGGGCAGTCTTAACTTCCTGTTTACTGGAATCATTATGTCTCCTGGTGGCAGTGTTCTTCCCTCTGGAACTAAGACCTCCAGGCCTGCAGAATGAAATGTCGTGGGAATAGGAAGCAAAAATTTTGCTAGTGGGTCACTAGGGATAATGGTGAGTGGTGCCACTTCCACTTCCACCCCTTGATTCCTAAACCCATGAATCCTGGCTATGCGAGAAACAGTACCATATATTGAATGCTGATTCAGAGCATACACAGCCTTCAGGAGAGCTTTGCCCCAGTCCTGCAAAGTATTGTCACCTAGTTGTCATTGTAATTGTGACTTCAAAAGTCCATTCCACCCTTCTACCAACCCAGCTGCTTCAGGATAATGGGAAACATAACAATGAACTATCTGAAAAATAAATTAAGAAAACAATCCCATTTACAATAGTGTCAAAATAAAGTAGGAATAAATTTAACCAAGGAGTTGAAAGATCTATGCAGTGAAAACTATAAAATATTGATGAAAGAAATTACAAAACATGCAAATAAATGGAAAAATATCCCATATTTATAAATTGATATTGTTAACATATTCATACTATTCAAAGCAATTTACAGATTAAATGCAATCACTATCATAATTCCAATGAGATATTTTACAAAACTAGAAAAAAATCCTAAAATTCATATGGAACCACAAAATACCCCAAATAGTGAAAGTAATTTTAAGCAAAAAGAACAAAGCTGGAGGCATCACACTCTCTGATCTCAAAATCTACTGTAAGGCTATATTATGGTAATCGAAACAGCATGGTGCCAGCATAAAAGCAGACATTCAAACCAATGGAAAAATAGAAACCTGGGCAACACAGAGAGATCCTAGCTCTATGAAAAAGAAAAAAAAAAAAAACAAACGCTGGGCATGGTGGTACATGCCTGTGGTTCCAGCTACTCTGGAGGCTGAGGTGGGAGGATGATTTAAGTGCAGGAGTTTGAGCCTATCGTGACCGGTGATTGCACCACTTCATTCCAGCCTGGGTGACAGAGAAAGACCAGGTTTCCAGAAAAAAAAGAAAGAAAGGAAAAGAAAGGAAAGGATAGGAAAGGAAAGGAAAAAAGAAAAGAAAAGAGAGATTCCAGAAATAAATTAAAATAAATTTTATGGTCAACTGATCTTTTAAAAAGGTGCTAATAATATAAAATGGGGAAAGGACCGTCATAAATGCTGCTAGGAAAATTAGATACCCACATGTAGCAGAATTAAATTGGATCCTTGTCTCACACCATATATAAAAATCATCTCAAAATGGATTAAAGACTTAAACACAAGGCCTTAAAATGTAAAACTACCAGAGAAAAGCATCTAGTCAAACTTTTTGACACTGGTCTTAGCAAATATTTTTCTTCAGATATGGCACCGAAAGCATAGGCAACCGAAGCAAAAATAGATGTATGAAATTGCATCAAACTAAAAAGTTTCTGCACAGCAAACCATAACAGAGTGAATATATAAGCTACAGAATAGGAGAAAATATTTTCAAACTATACATCTGATAAAGGATTGATATTCAAAATATGTAGTGAACTCAATGAACTTTATGGCAAGAAAACAGACAGCCTGATTTTAAAATGGGTAAAGGACATGAATAAACATGTTTCAAAAGAAGACATAAAAAATGGTCAACAGATATATTAAAAAATGCTCAACATTGCTGATCATAGGAGAAATGAAAATTAAAACCTGATATCAGCTTACACCTATTAGAATAGCTGTCAATGAAAAGACAAAACATAACAAGTGCTAGTGAGAATCTGTAGAAATTAGAATCCTTGCACACTGTTGGTTGGAATGTAGATTAGTATAGCCATTGTGGAAAACAGTATGGAAGTTCCTCAAGAAATTAAAAATAGAACTACCATATGATCCAGCAATCCTGCTTCTTGGTATATATCCAAAGAAAATGAAGTCACTATGTCAAAGAGATATCTTCATTGCAACATTATTCATAACGGCCAAGATATGGAATCAACCTAAGTGTTCACTGATGGTGAATGAATTAAAAAAAATTGTGGCCAGGCGCGGTGGCTCACGCCTGTAATTCCAGCACTTTGGGAGGCCAAGGCGGGCAGATCATGAGGTCAGGAGTTCGAGACCAGCCTGCTCAACATTGTGAAATCCCGTCTCTACCAAAAAATACAAAAATAAGCCAGGCATGGTGGCGGACGCCAGTAATCCCAGCTACTGGGGAGGCTGAGGCACAAGAATTGCGTGAACCCAGGAGATGGAGGTTGCAGTGAACCGAGATTACACCACTGCACTCCAGCCTGGGTGACAGAGCAAGACTCTGTCTCAAAATAAATAAATAAATAAATACATGTACATGCATGTGTATGTGTAAAATAGGATACTATGCAATTCTAAAAAAGAGGATATCCTGTTATTTGTGACAGCATGGATGAACCTAGAGGACATTATGCTTAGTGTAATAAGCCGGCACAGAAGGACAAATACTGTATGATCTCACTTATATGTGGAATCCAAAAGTGAACTCATAGAAGCAAAAAGTAGAATGGTGGTTACTAGGGGCTGTCGTGGGGGGAATAGGGAGTTATTGGTTGAAGGGTACAATATTTCAGTTAAATAAGAGGGATACATTTTGCAGAGAACTATCATATACTGTAATGACTACTGTTAATAATAATATATTGTGTATTTGAAAATTGCTAAGAATGTAGGTCTTAAATGTGCTTATTACAAAAACATAATAAGCATGTGAAAGGGTTGTTAATTCACTCTAATCACTTTCCTATATATTATATATAATATGTATATATTATGTACCTATGTATATTATATGTATATATTATATATAATCAAAACATCATGTACTCTGTAAGTATATGAATATTTATTTTTCAATTATACTTCAATAAAGCTGGAAAAATATACTCTTTGCATAAAAGTTTGCAAACTTTTTTACTCATCAATTCTAGTAGTTCTGTGGAGCCCTGGGATTCTGTGAGGGTATCTCAAAGGCCACCTCACAGGCTATTAGATGTTATTATAAGCTCCTCACCTATTCCCATGCAAGTTCTTTGAATCTTTAAAGTAAAAGTAAATAAAAAATCCAAGCACCTTGTTTTTCTTTTAACAGCAGAATTTGTCCAAAAATATTTAAATCACTGACTTAGGCTTTAGTTTGTTTTTATTTATTTTATTTTGTGAAATATGCTCCAGAAGAGCCTTGATCTTTCTTCATTTTTATGAGACTGATATACTGAATATTTATCTCTAAGAAAACATTCAGTTACTAATTTCCAAAAGGTTTCTCAAAACAGACTTCCCAATTTGGGTAGTATAAATCATGGTTTGCTTTTTTCCCTGAAGCTTTCCTTCTGAAATGGAAAATGGGATACTTAATATTGAGAATGAAGGAAATGGTTTTGCTAAGAAAGATCACCTGCCTCTGTAATACTCAAATATGTTTCAAATTTAACTAATCCTACTCTATTTACCACGGAAAGTTGTTTGCTGGAGCAATTTTGCCAGCCAAGTGTGAAAAACATTTATTATTTAAAAAAATAATTACATATATAAATTTATAATTAAATAAATTATATTAAAAACAGAGAATACTCAAAACTCATAATGTGCTAATTATCGCGGGATATCTTTACTGCTATCTATATTCTCGAGGTTATGTACCTCTCTTGCATCTGTGTGGTTGAAATACTGTATAATGGTGCTATAGTTTGGATGTTTGACCCTCCAAACCTCATGTTGAAATTTGATTTCCAATATTGCAAGTGAGGCCTAAAGGGAGGTGTTTGGGTCACGGTGGCAGATCCTTCATGAATGGCTTGATGTCCCTGCTGTAGTGAGTCCTCACTTTATTAGTTCTCTCAAGAACTGATTGTTAAAAACACCCTGGCATCTCCCTCCCCTCTGTCTCAATTCCTCTGTCTCACCACGTGATCTCTGGCTCACGCCTGCTCCTTTGTTCTTTCTGTCATGAATTGAAGCAGTCTGAGGCCCTTACCAGCTGGAGATGCTGGAGCCATGCTTTATGCTACATGGTTATATAGCCTGCAGAACCATGAGCCAAATAAATCTCTTTTCTTTATAAATTACCCAGCCTCAGTATTTCTTTATAGCAACACAAACAGCCTAAGACAAATGGTATGCTGCTGTGCATTTATTCTCAAATCCTTGTTCCATGACATTAGGTTGATAGCTTGAAAACAGAAATTGGCAAATGCTACAAATTACAACTATCGTCTTCCTTGATTTGAAATGATGTTTCAACTTTCCCTTCATCCAGACTTAACTGATTTCTTTCTTATTTCTTCACTGCATTTCATTTTTTAAATCATGAAAACGCTTCTGTGCTAAGGCATAAAAGAAGAGATTTTATGCATTACTTCTCCTTAGATAGTTTTCTCCTAGTAAACACTGTTGTTGAGGGTGTGTCTGCTTCTGATCTAATGGGTATTTTTCATAGAGGTGATAGGTTGCCCCTATCACTCTAGAGTTCTGTGTTTCAGTTTATAAAATAAATGACAAAAAGAAATTGTTCATATCACAGTGCTAACAAACTGAGCTAACCAAGTTTTCACTTTGAAGCTGAAATGTTCAAGTTGTTAACCAGCTCACACTTGGTATTAAACCCTGGTGATTCCTTTAAGACAGTCATCCTAGGATAAGTAATCTCTGGTTTGTAATAACTTATTAGGAGTTATTAAGACAATATCTTTAAAATTTCTGCACTTTGGGGAAACCAGACTGTTTCAAATAAGATCTATGATAAGGTGATAATTCTTAGAACTTGTCCAATTCTGTACTAGGTGGGAACTGATTCTACAAGATAATCAGGTGACAAATCTGAGTGTCTAGTAAGTCATAGACACCTGAAATTCCCAGATCATATTTGAGCCTAGTAGTCCAGACTGTTGAAAGAAGCAACACTAAAAGAACATGTAGGGCAATGATTGTTTCACTATCACAAACTTAATTATGGTCCAGGGACCTTATTGAAGGTCTTCTTCAGATGTCAATACAACAACAACAAGTGCAGCAAAATATGATTTGCCCTCATTGGATTTTAAAAATCAATTTTTCTCTGATAGCTTACTAGATTGGAAAGTACTTAATAAGCTATTATTTTTAGTACTTAGTAAACTATATAGGACACATGGCATTGCCATATATATTCAATGGAAAAAAGCTTTTTTGTTTGTAATAAATATTTTCCTCTCCCCTACAAGTATTGTTTGGAGGGGATGGAATGTTCATAATTGTTTCTCTAATAACTTGCCAAATAAGCTTTCATAATTCAGCAGAAATATTAATAAATCATGACATCAATAATATTGATAGAATAAAGCCAAAACAGATGGTTAGATGTCAGTTAGTTCTTAGTTACTCAACAGTATCAGGAAAATATTTGACTGTAAAAATCCAGCTTCAATGTGGAAACAGTATGCACATATTCCTTTCTTACATGAATAAAAATGGCTTCCAAAATGGAATGAACTCATCCCACTTAAATGCCTGATCACTCAATGTCTAGCTTTCTGCAGCTCCCTTTCTGTAGAGAGGGTCGTTAGTACTTATTTTTCCAATGTTTTGTATAATTAGTTTCCTAATGCTACACTAAATGAGCAATGTACATGTGCAGAGACACTAATAAGCAGCTTATTTCCAATAAGTTTCATTCAGATTTAAAATGCAAATCTTGGCCCCCTCACCTTCCTATCACAAATATAATCACACCAATCCTTAATAAATATATTTTGTGCACATTCTAGAGCCCCCTTTCTTTGTTTGGCTACAATCAGCATTCTGTGAACATACTTTATGGAGTAGAGCAAGATAAAATACAAAGCAAAAAATAATTATCTAAATTAAAAATGATCGTATAAATCTAATGTGAAAATGTGTGCAACTTGTACAACTCTTAAGAGTGAAAGAAAGAATACATTGCATAATTTAAAAAGCCTTGCTACTAGTAGCTTATTACTTCCCACAGAGTCTATAAGAAAGTACCAAAAGCTGTTCTTCACTCTAGGTTTCAATTGTATCATTCAACTCATTGAGTTTCTAGGTGTGGGAGGGTTCAAGAGTGGTTCTCCTCCTCTCTTCTGAACAACATTTACCTCTTCAATTACTTTGAGTATCATAGCCAATTTTTTCATGGTAACTCAGGAACGGAAATCAGGAATACCAAATATTCTGCCATATGTGAAATAGTCCCAAATAATAAATGTTGATCCTGTGTCCCACATGACTTTTACATTTTCCACTGGAGATTCACGTAGGATAAAAGAAAAAAACTAATAACTATTTGAAGCTAGAACATAATTGTTTTGCTTACAAACAAAACTCTTTTATACATACTTAATTTACACTTACGTGAGAAATAAAATTACCAAGTGAACCAAGGAAGACTGTATTTTGTTTCGCTTGGGATATATGCAAACCTTATTCACCATTTAGAAAATGTCACCAAAGATAATGCAACTTGTGGTACTTGTGTCAGTAGTACAGAACACCTGTATCAGTATTTGTTACTGTCATATTCATAGTAATATCTCACATTAGTACAAGCACCTGATAGCTTTGTTATAGCTTCTACTATAGTTGTGCCCAAGTATTTGTATACTGAAGCACACATTATCTCATTGTAAATTTTATTTTGGTATTCATTCTTTTTTATGATAATTGAGGCAACATAATTTTTTTAAAAAACATGTGTAGGTAGGTTAGATTATCTAACAATTTAATTTCAGGATATTAAAAGGGAACACTGTGATATATTTATTGCAAGAAAGAGAGAATTCCATCTCACAGGACTGAAAAACACTGGTATATTTCACACTTGATACCATACTACAAAATTCCACAAAGGGAACTAAGTGTGTGCCTGAATTGATGAAATTCTGCACTAACATATGTACCTCTATCATCACAATACTCATGTACTCAGCACATCAAAGTTAATTCCCTTTCATAGTGTTATAGAGTGCTTCTTTGTAGCCCTTAACACAGGGGACATTTTCATTTATTTTTGTGGTTATTTGATCTAGTTTCTGTGAGGGTAAGGACTGTGTCTATTTTTGCTCACTATTTATTCCAAACACTTTGCATGAAACATTGCATATAGTAGGTGCTCCATGAATATTAACTAATTGAATAGATTAATGAAAAAGTTTTCTATCCCCTGCACCAATGGTAGGGGGCTGAAGACAGAAGTGGAAAGATGGGAAATTCAAAAATTAGATGACTTATTGAATATTTTAATTTAAAACATATTAATTCTGTAGTCATATTATACTCATAAATCTCCTGAAGGCATAATTATGGTTATTAAAATTATGGCCCTATTCACATGGTGAGGTACTCAATAATCTCCTATTATGTACCTGTTACTGACATGAGATTTTGAAGCACAAACTCTTCGTCTAAGTCAAAAGCCTCTGTTTAATACTACAAGGAAACTGAGAACAGAAGCATAGCTTAGGGATCTTTATTTCAAATTATAAATAAAGTTATGCTTATTATAGAAAAATTAAAAAGCATGGAAAACAACACAAAGAAAAACTAATTTCCTGTAGCTAACAGCAGGTCATTCAGCAATGACAACTTTTTGCTTGATTTTTAATTTTTTATTAATTTTTATGGAAATCTTTAAACTGATGGCAATATTCTTAGGTGTATATCTTGAGGAATTTTTATGTATGTTTAGGCCCATATAACCACAACTCATGTCAAAATATAAAATACTTCCAGCAGCCCTAATGGCTTTCCCATGTCTCTCCAGGGTCTGTATCTCTCACCAGATATGTTTTATTGTTGTGTAATATTCCATTGTATTACTATTTACTCTGTCAACAGTTGACAAACATTTGAGTTGTTTTCAATTCATGGCTATATCGAATTATCTGCTATGGATATAGTTGTATGTATCTTTTTTTATTATTATACTTCAAGTTCTGGGGTACATGTGCAGAACGTGCAGGTTACATAGGTATACATGTGCCATGGTAGTTTGCTGCACCCATCAACCTGTCATCTACATTAGGTATTTCTCCTAATGCTATCCCTCCCCTAGCCCCCTACCCCCTGACAGGCCTCAGCGTGTGATGTGGAAAGGATACAAACAAATGGAAAAACATCCCATGCTCCAGGATAGGAAGAATCAATATTGTGAAAATGGCCATGCTGCCTAAAGTTATTTATAGACTCAATGCTATCCTCATCTTTTTTTAATTTTTGTAGGTACATATTAGGTGTATATATTTGTGCAGTAGAATTTTTGTGAACAAAGACGCTCATTCTCTGTAGACGCATACCTAGGAATTGAAGGAATATAGTTTTAGTAGATTCTACCAGTTTTACAAAGTGGTTGTACCACGTATACCCTTGTCAGCAATGTATGACACGAGTTCCAATTGCTCTACATATTCTTACTAACACTGGTATCACCTGCATTTACAATTTTAGCCATTTTTGTAGGTGTATAGTAAGAGTCTGCAAGAGTTTAGTTTTATCTTTCTTGTTGATTAATAATGCAAAGAACTCTTAAATGTCATGTTTTTTAAGTTCACTGAAGAAATATACACATACTTTTTAAAAATTGAATTGTGCACGTGAATTTATAATCTCATATTTTAAATTTAAGAACACTAAATTTATCTGCACAAATGTAAAATGAATTCATTCTTTGTATAAGAAGTAAAAATATTACAGTCACTGTAAAACAAAGCCAAAAATAATCCCAGGTCCTTATGTCAGTTATGGATACGATAATATTATTTCCCCAAATCCAGGTAGCAAATTTTTCCTAATACCTTTTATAAAAGTAGAGGTCACGGGGAAATTTGATGGCCCAAAAGAGTGGAGAGACAGCAAGGCATATATACAGAGAATCACAACTTTACCAGAACAAAAAAAATAAAAGCAGAAACCAGTACAAGGGTAAAAAAAATAACTTAAGTTGTAATTGATAAATTGACAAGTTTGAGAGTTAAAAACCCCAGTCTTAGGGGCTCCTAACACTTCTGTGAGTTTTACCTCTGGGAGTCCTACCAGATTCTTGCAGTAGATTGGAGAAAAAAATCCTGTCATATTTCCAGCAGGGAGAGAAAAAAGTAGCTATTTTGAAATATGCCCAGAGCACTCCGTTTTTCTTAATAAGTCCTGCTCTCAAAAGAAACTATTTCACCAAAGCATAATTGACTAAAGTTTTACCAGAATCTAACTGACCTGAAAGAAAGACATGCCCAAAGACAGCCTCCTCTAGGCTTCCTATCTTAAGTAAGGGAAGGGAGAAACAGAGAAACACCTGTGTAGGTCAGAGGTTGGGAATAACAGCTCGTTTAGAGACTAAGACCTAAGCGTAGAACTGTAAAATGTTTCCCCACTCTCTACATCTTACCACCAAAGCAAAAGGGTTTACGCGTAATAATGTGGGAATACAACGCAAAGAACTGCATGGGTCAGGCCTTATTCAAGAAGCATCTAGAGAATTTCAAAGACAAGGAAAAAAAAAAAAAAGGAAGGATACCAAAGGAAATTTTAGCCTTTGACACTTAGAGTAAACAGTAAACACAACCTAAACCCCAGCCATATGAACATAAAACCTCTCACTGGAAGCTTATTTACACTCAGTTCCTTTTACTCAGAATATCGTCTTTGGCTTTAAGTAAAAAATTGCAGGGTATATCTGCAAATTTTTGCAGGTCAAATAGTCAAAATACACAGTTTGAGAAGACAGAGCTAGCATCAGAACCAAACTTAAATATGGCAGAGATATTAAAAGTATCATAACATAAATTTAAAACAACTATAAATTATATTATAGGGGTTCTCTTAGAACAAGTGAACAATGTGGAGAAACAGTTGGGTAATGTAAGCAGAGATGGAAACTGTAAGAAAGAATCAAAAGGACACGCTAGAAATAAAAATGAAGAATATTTTTGATGTGTTTATCAATAGATTAGGCATAATTGAGCTTGAGGAAATGTCAATAAAACTGAAATAATAGAGAATAAAATAGTGGACAATAATATTCAAGAACTGTTAGACAATTACAAAAGGTGTAACATATGCATAATGGAAATACCAGAAGGATAAAAAGAAAAAAAGAAATAGAAGAAACATCTGAAGCACTAATGACTGAGAATTTCCCAAAATTAATGTCGGACACCAAATCACAGATCCAGGAAGCTCGGAGAACCCCAAGCAGAATAAATATCAACAAACTTTATAGCATATTATTACTACAGAAAATCAGAGAGAAAGATAAAATTTTGAAAGAAACCAGAGGGATAAGACTTACCTATAGAGAAGCAGGGATAAGAATGACACTGGACTTCTTTTCAGAAATCACATAAATAATAAGATGAGAGAATATCTAAAGTGTTGAAGGAAAAATTCCATCAGCCTAAAATTCTATATATGGAGAAATTATCCTTATCAGGGATAAAGAGGGGAATTACGTAATGATATAGGTGTCAATTCTCCAAGAAGACATTACATCATTATAGGAAGGTTTGGATCTAACAACAGAGCATCAACATACACAAGATAAAAATTGATAGTACTGCAAAAGGAAATAGACAAATCTGCTATTATAGTTGGAGACATCAACACACTTTTCTCAGTAACTGACAGATTCAGGAAGATGAAAATCAGTAAGAACATATTTGAACTGAACAGCACCTTCTATGAACTGGATCTATTTGACACTTATAGACTACTTTATCCAATAACAGCAGAATACACATTCTTCTTTAACTCACGTGAAACAGTTGCCAAGATAAATCCATATTCTGAATCATAAAACATGTTAACAAATTTAAAAACACAGAAATCATACAGACTAGGCTCTTAGATCACAATGGAATTAAACCAGAAATCAATAACATTAAGACAGCTAGAAAATCCCTAGATACTTTTGAGATTAAACAACATACTTCCAAGGAATACATGGGTCAAAAAAGTATTCTCAAGATAAAATTTAAAATACAATATTTTAAACTAAATATAAATGAAGTTAGAACTTGTCAAAATTTGTGGGATGCAGTAAAATCAGTGCTTAAAGTGAAATATTTAGCATTGATTAGAAAAAAAAATATTAGAAAAAAAGAAAGATCTAAAATCAGGAATTGAAACTTCTACCTTAGGACACTAAACAAAAAAGAAGAGAAAATTAAATCTAAAGTAGACAGATGAAAATAAATAATAAAATGTGAATATTCTCACCCAAGACCATGTTATAACTTTGAATTTATGCAGGTCTCTATTGATATTAATTAGAAAAAAAATTATAGCTTTTACTCTAATTATTTGACACACTTCTGCTTAGATTTATTCTTAGGTATTTAACATTTTTGAAATAGCACTGCAGTGTGTTTCTTTGTAGACTTAGTATTTGTTGTTTTTAAGTATGCCCTACTAGATACAAAGTGTATGCTTCACAGCATTCAAGTGTTTCTTTAGTTCTGAAAAATTTTAGTTATCTCATTTTTTCTCAAACATTATCTTACTCCCTTCCCTCTATTCCCTCTACTTTCTCCCTCTGGAACTCTGATTTGAAAGAGGTTGGAATGCATAGATTTATTTTCCGTTTCCCTTAATATGTCATTGATATGACATCTCTTTATCCTTTTCTACTTTCTTCTGGAAAAATTTCCCGGTTCAGCCCTCCACCTCACTAATGCGCGGTTCTGCTTTTGTTTCTTGCTCTCTATATTTTTTACTATTCATTTTTTCAATCAATATTTAACAACTGTGTATTGAATGCCTATTATATATGCCTATTAGTGAGTGCTGTGAAGAAAAAAAAAAGCATAAAGAATGGAGAGTGAAGGAGGACTTTAGAAAAAGTGGTCAGAAAGGCCTCTCTGAGGAAGCGACATTTGAGCGAATACTTGAATCATGTAATGACATGGACCATCCAGTTACCAGAGAAAAGATTAGATGTAAATCTCAGAGGAGAAATGTACTTCAAAGAGGAAGTCAGTATAGCCAGAGCCTGCTGAGGAGAAAAATAATAAAAAATGATAGGGTTAAAGTGGTGGGCTTGGGCAGATTATACAAAGCACTGAAAGCCATGGGGAGCCCTTTTGATTTTATTCATGTATGACAGTCAGTGGAGTACTTTGAACAGTTCTTTGAACAGGGGAGAGGCATACTCTAATGTATATTATAAAAGGAAATTGCATGCTGCCTGATAAGAATAGGTTTTGGGAGGACAAGGATGGAAGCAAGAAGAAAAATTAGAAGAATACTACAGTAACTTAAGCAAAAGATGATGTTGGCTTGATCTTTGGGTTTCTAATTTCAATAATTTTTCCCATGAGCTCTAATTGCTGCTGCCATTTGGCTTAAAAGGGGAAGCAGGTATCTACAGCACAGGGACTACATTGTCCGGGTAAGTATGCAGAGATAGCCATATAACTACCCTGTCAGTTTTCCTTAAGTCTCTACCTGCTTCTGACTTCTTCTATCTCCAGATGTAAACCACCTCTTGTGCTGATTCTCCCTTTCTGATGGGATAATGTTCTCACATTTAATCTTGACTGCAGCTTCCTTCTGAGACTATCTTCCACCTGAGGCTTACTGTCTGCCTTCCAGTTTCTACCATACCTCAGAAATTCTCTCTCTCTCACTCTCTCCATATGTATGTGTGTGTGTATATGTATATGTGTATTTATTTATTTGATATATTTCTAATAATACCTATGATTTTATTGGTTTGGTGCCTGTTTTAGTCCATTTGTGCTGCCATAAAGAAATATCTGAGGCTGGGTGATTTATAAAGAAAAGAGGTTTTGGCTGGGGGCGGTGGCTCACACCTGTAATCACAGCACTTTGGGAGGCCGAGGAGGGCGGATCACAAGGTCAGGAGATCGAGACCATCCTGGCTAACACGGTGAAACCCCGTCTCTACTAAAAATACAAAAAAATTAGCCGGGCGTGGTGGAGGCGCCTGTAGTCCCAGCTACTCAGGAGGCTGAGGCAGGAGAGTGCAGTAAACCTGGGAGGCAGAGCTTGCGGTGAGCAGAGATCACGCCACTGCACTCCAGCCTGGGTGACAGAGCGAGACTCCGTCTCAAAAAGAAAAAAAAAAGAAAAAAAGAAAAAGAAAAGAGGTTTTATTGTCTAATAGTTCTACAGGATGTATGGCACCAGCATTTGCGGCTCATGAGGGCATTAGGAAGCTTCCAATTATGGGGGAAGGGGAAGTGGGGAGGAGGCACACCACGTGGTGAGAGGAAAAGCAAGAGAGAGAGAGAGAGAGGAAAAATCCCAGACTTTTAAACAACCATATCTCAAGTGTAGTAACTGAGTGAGAACTTTTCATCAAGTAGATAAGCCGTTCCTGAGGGATTTGCCCCCATGATATGATCACCTCCCACCGGGCCCCACCTCCAACACTGGGAATCAGATTTCAACAAGAGATTTGGAGAGGACAAACATCCAAACCTTATCAGTGCCAAAATGAAAAATATTTGTCTTTGTACTTAGACAAATGTTTAAAGCTAAAAGGTAGATTTTTAGACAATCTAAAAATGGTTCCTTGGGCAAAACATACCATATATGAAATTCCAGAGTTCTTACAGATTAGACTGTATATACACTTTTGGTGATCACTCTCAGCTTCTTTTTATTTTTGGCACTTGATATTTCAGAAGAAATTTAGTAATCTGATGGTTGATGTTGATTAGTAAACCCTGAGGCATTATCACCATACTGTAGCCATTCAATAGAAAGTTTACTCAAAAGTTCCTGTTGTCAGATAATGACAAGATCTACCATTCCCTGTATCTTTGCCTGGTGAGTTTTATGGGTAAGAGTACAAAACAAATGAGATTCATATCCACTAAGTACGGTTAGGTTTCTATGTTAAAGAGCCCCAGCCCAAAGCATTAGTTCTGAGCAGCCATCTCCAGGAAGGATGCTTTGGATTTCTAGAAGCCAGCTACTTTCTGGCCTGTCTTATTATGTATCTCCTCCAAAGTAGGGGCACTGCAGAACACAAAATTTAATGATGGAATAGGCTTCTGTCTTCTTTTAGCTTAAGGCTGCACAGAAGGCAGTATTAGAGCAGACCATTGTCTGTCCTCTATCATAATAATCTTAATACTATTATTCATATAAGAAATGCTCACCTGCAGATCCCTCAGGCATCCTTCTTGGGTGATGAACCCAAAGGGAAGATCCCTACAGATGTGCTGGGACACATCAGAGTTGTGCATAATAAATGAAGAAAGACATTGCAGTTCACGTCTCAGAGAATAGAGGCAATAATGTGAAATTCTCAGTAATGAGGTCGAGGACTTTTCTTTGAGAAAAATGGAGACAGAATAACAGTGAAAACTGCCGTCAGTGGCTTCTGAACACTGAAAGTATAAGATCGTAGAAAAGAATAGAGAAATTATATCTGCCTAGAGCCAAAAAGCATCAGAAAATAAGTAAAAAATTATATTTTAGTAAATAAGTGTGCAATCTCCATCAACAGTTCTCAAATGTTTTAGGTAGAAAGTTATCTTCATTGGGCCAGAATAAAAGAGCATTCATGCAACTACCAATCCTCCCTTGCTATTAAAAGCTACTTGTCCTAATGAATAGAGAGAATAACGCTGCTTTTGCTAGCAACCCATCAAGAAAGATGATACGTCTATTGCTATTTGATGCCTAAAATCCACCATTATGGTGTTACACCACTGTTAACAGAAATCCATCTGCAGACCCCTCACACTACTTACAAAAAATTACTTGCCTACACAAAACCAATCCTCCAAGAGTGGGGAACACCTAGTTGACAGCTGGAAAATACAGGGAATAAATATTGAGTGGACACACCTAAGCATAATTCTTAGGACTGATTGTAATCATATAACAATACAATTAGGATAATCATGATAATTCTCTTCTTTTAATATAATCTCAAAACAATAGTGAAACAGAGATATTGTCACAATCAAGAAAACACATTCAAACTAAACACTTTTCTCCTGTGAATCCAATAAGAATGACTCATCTCTATATAAATCCAAGTCTAACAATCACAAGATGCCCCCTCTCTTAAAAGATTCAGGCTTCTATGATAAAACACCTTAGACTGGGTAATATATAAACAACAGAAATTTATTGCTCACAGCTCTGGAGGCTGGGAAGTCCAAGACAATGGTGGCAAGTAGATTCAGGGTCTAATTATCATAGGTGGTAACTTCTGTGTTCTCACATGGTGGAAGGGGCTGCAGGGCTCCCTCAAACCTCTTTTATAAGGTCACTAATAATATCCTAAAAGCACCCACTTAATACCACCACATTGTGTATTACATTGAAACATATGAATTTTGGGAGAACACCAACATTCAGGCCATAGCACTCTCTGAGAATTAACCTTTCCTTTTCCTTTTTTCTTGCTCCTCCCTTCCTGTTTCTTCTTTCCCTCCCTTCATCAAAGACAATTCAACAACCTTATCTATGACATAATCCTAATGGGAAGACATTCCCAGTGACACTTGAATGACCCTATTCCCTAGGATGTATCCTGACCCACATTACATAACACCATTCTTTCTTCACAACTGAATTGCTTCCTCAGAATTTTAGGAAATAACTAGAAAATAGATAAGCAAAGAGGAAGTTTTATTGGAATCTTCCCCATCATTTGAATCTCACAAGGATTAAGGAACAGGAGATAGAAGCTTTTGTTGTAAGACTAGTATAAGACTTATAGCCCCTTATAACAACTATTTGTTGATTTAGTAGAAATTGCGTTTCACTAGCAGGGTCATTCATCAGTGAGGCACTAGCAGCAACGTGCACAGGAAAATCAATTTTCCAGAACACGCAGAGCTTACCAGAAGTCTTATGCTTTGAAGGCAGGAGATTCACTTTGGTCATTGACAAGTCAAAATGAAGAATAAAAATGAGCATTTTAAACCAAGGCTCACATCATCATTGCACTGTGTCAAGTTTTATCAGTTGAAGAAGTTTAACAAAAATTTTATGGATTTAGTAACCTTTCTATAACAGAAATAAAGTATTTGGGTTTCGGAAAATATGAAACACTCAGTATTTAAAATGATCTATATGGATATGAGTCGTTGTCATCATCATCACCATCATCGCCATCATCATCATTATTTGGCATTTTCATTAATTATTGATTGTAAAAGTGACAATATTTTATTACCCTCAAAACCATAATACAGAATCATACCATTTAATTACTCATTCATTAGCATTTTCATACCTATTCTCTACCCAACAATTTTTCTTCCACATTTAGAGTTTAGGGTAGGTAATATTGCAGTTAAGTTTTTTATTGAGAATAGAGCGCTCGCTACTACCCACTCTTCAATCTATCCCTGACTTTTGAAGAAATGTCATCTGAGAAAATAGCAGGTGAAATAAATCTTGAGCAGGGCTCTACATCCCTGAAATGAGTGGGACAGAGCAGTGGCTATCTTGAAAGGCTTTGGGATGGGGAAAATTATCCATATAGCCCCTGGTCAGAATGGACAGACTATGGATATTGGGTTATTTGGAATGGCACCTGGGTGAAGAAGGTTAGGTGTGTGTTTGACAATACTTAGAAATGACAATATTCAGAAATTATAAATGACAATACTTAGAAATCACTTACTTCTCAGTTTTACTGAGGGCTGACACTATAATATCTCACCACCATATTGACAATACCCTAGAAGTTGAAAGCCTGGAAGTCATTTAGCTTGAAAAGGTATAATTAGGCTATCAATACTTTTTCAATGACAAGCAATATCCTGCTTAGTAAATCACACTCATACAATATAATTTTGACTTTTAGTTTTACAGATGATAAAACTGAGGCTCAGAGAAAAAGGAATTCACCCCAGAATGCCAGGCAGAAAGTTGAGAGCTAGGTTTGGAAGCGAGGTCCTAGGAATCCCAGGCATGAGCATCTTTCAACATCGTTAATTGCTTCTGCAACTAGCAGAATATGAGATCAAGTATCAAAAGTCAAATACCATTCTTTGGCCAGGCGCAGTTGCTCATGCCTGTAATCCCAGCCTTTTGGGAGGCTGAGATGAGCAGATCACCAGGTTAGGAGATCAAGACCATCCTGGTTAACATGGTGAAACCCTGTCTCTATTAAAAGTACAAAAAAAGTAGCCGGGTGTGGTGGCGGGTGCCTGTAGTCCCAGCTACTCGGGAGGCTGAGGTGGGAGAACGGTATGAACCCAGGAGGCGGAGGTTACAGTGAGCCGAGATCATGCCACTGCACTCTAGCCCGGGTGACAGAGTGAGACTCCGTCTCAAAAAAAAAAAAAAAAAAATCAAATACCATTCTTTAAAATGTGTTTTCTTAAGAGTCCCAGGCTGTCCTGACCCAGGAAAGAATATATCTTGCATTTTCTGATTACATGCTATTCATCTCTGAAATCATGAGCCTCCATTACTCAGGAAACAGCTGCCTTCTAAAGCTGAATTTAATACTACTGACAACACTATTTCTTGAGAAACTGCTTTGGTTTCTTATTAATGGTCTTAATGGAATTAAAGACTTCAGGGCATAGCTCTTTGTCTCTGAGATATTCACTTTAACCCTTTCAGTTAGTAGCTGTTATTGTTGTTATTCCATTTTTACAAATAAAAACCTACAGTCCTAAAAGGCGATATGTTTCTTGAGGGCACACAGTCAATAAACTGTGGAATAGGGGCTAAACTTTAAATTCTACTTCTATAGGGCTTTGCAGTCTTTAGTCTTGACTTTGAATAACTCTCAGAGATATATGGGATGGAGACTAAGATTATTAGCTCCTCTGAAAATAAAATGAGTGAAAACCTCCATGAGTTATGTATGTGCTTCAGAATGCATGTGTGGTAGGCAGTAATAGAACCTGAGCCATTACCTCAAAGAACTAGGGTGGGAAAGAAACTGACAACAAAAGAGTCTATGCTTAGGCACAAAAATACTCCCTGAAATAGAAAATGTTAACTATCCAGGGGAAACAGAAGAAAATGAAGGTGGATGACTATTTTCTACAAATCCTTTTGAAAACCATCCACTGGGGAAGTAGCCATTCATTTTATGGAATTATGAGATATTTACATTTTATTGTTTATTCAAAACCAGGTACTGGAATGCAATAAGCAATGTGTGCTCATTTATGAAAAGGAGTGTTCAGTGAACAATCGGGTTTTAAACTTAATTCTTCCTATATAAGTGTATTTTGTGATAGGGCACATTTGTTCAATGGAAGAAATTGAGATTTTGTTCAACTTCAAATAGGTAGTGTAGCAAATATTTTTTATTCAGCATGTTTTGGAATAGATGGAATGCTTGAAAATAAAAAGTCTTTTAAATAAAGTGCTAGTTTTTGTTTACAGTGGTTTTCATTGTATGAAAACTAAGGTTCTTGAGGACTATAAGAAATAGAGTTTCTGAAAGTGCATCCATCAAGCAACTTTAAGAAGAAAATTATTTACCTGTGAAAACAGAACGTATTTTACTGCTGTGAGGATACAAAATAGCTGCTTGTAGGGTCCTGAATAATTGGCTATTTTCCTGGTGTGCTAGAAGATACTTGTGTCCATGCCTAGAATCCAATGCATAATCCCAGTTTCTACAACACAGGGAAAATTCTCTTTAATCTCAGCTCATTTTATTCTCTTTAACACATGAAGCCATCTTCATAAAACTTTTTCACCATTTTACCATCAGAATCAAGGATCTTCAGTGGATCTCAACAACTGGCACTAATGATTTTCCAGGAAGATTCCTCATGTATTGCAAATAATAGGACTTGGAGTCAGACAAAGTTGGATTCTAAACCATGCTCCGCTAATGTGAAATGTTTGCAAGTCATTCAAACTTTCCGAACGTTAAATTCTGCTTCTCTAAAGAAATGAGAATATGAATATGTACCTCAATGGTTATTTCTAATATTAAAGATGATGTTGTTTTAGACTGTTTTCAAAGTGCCCCAACAATTCCTTCCATTCTTGTCTGCGTGACACTTTTCAACATGACTTTGTACCTCCTTCCATTAAAAAGTGGAGTGTATTTCTCTACTTTTTAATCTGAAATTAGCCATTTGATAAACTTTGGCCAGTTGAACGCTAGCAAGCAATGTAAACGGAGGTTTTGAAAGTGCTTGCACATTGAGTCTGGTCCTCTTTTGGACCCTAGCCACCAAGTAAAAGAAGTGTAGGGTAGTCTTCTGGGTGATGAGAAATACATGACACATTCACCCCCATTGCTATAGTTGATAACAAGCCAATTCCCAGAAGCTACGTGCAGATGTATAAATGAATTCAGCCAAGATAAACAGGAGAACTATCCAGGTGAGCAGAGCCTAAATTCCCAAACTGCAAAATCTTGAAGTAAATAAATGCTTTTTGTTTAATCTGCCAAGTTTTGAAGCGGATTGTTATACAGTAAAAGTTAAGTGATACAAATGAATGCAGAGTCTCTTATCATCCATGGGATCTAGTAGAACTTTAAAAATAATATTTTTTCATCGTCCCTAACATGACTTGACCTGAAGTTTCAAAATTTTTGTTACTCAGCAACATGAACTTTTCTAAAGCTTTGGCATATCTGTTGTGCTTCTTTCTCTCTTTGCCTATGAACATCTACCTCTCCAAAATCCATGCTGAGATAGGAAATACTTAAGCATTGATTTCAAACAATTGAAATAAATAGTTTTAAGCATCGATTGCAAACTGCAACACCTCAACAAGGCTTTCTGTTTAGAAATGGGCATTCTGGTGTGTTGCAAAACATTTGGTGTTGTAATATGGCTTTAAATGACATCATGCTTGAAATAGTTTTATGCACACTGTACCCACTCTGCACTTGGGTCCCTGCTGTATATACAATATCTTGATTGATAACAAGAGATATGTGACTCTCACTCAATCAGTGCTAATGCAAATATTTCACTTCATTGAGTTACCAATACTTAAAAATAAATGATACCAAATTAACCATGAAAAATATATATATATATGTATCTTTTTAACGAATCATCCAGTGTTTCCTACTTTGAAGCTTTCATGAAGGTTTGAGAAGCTATTTTCACCAACTTCGAATAAAAGCCTATTAAAAAGAAGACTCTTTAATCATGAAAGCTTTGTTGGATACATTTTGTTTGTGGTGGATGTTTGCCTTTATATATGTTTTGTCCGTGGAGTTAATAACTAATGTTTTCCACTTCTTAAGATATGATAAAGTCAATGAATCACCATGAGTGGAATTTATTGTCTGGAACTGACAGAGGCAGGAGACAGTGAAATGCCCAGGCAAAAAGAGAATGGTCCCTGGAGAACCTCTGGCTTGCCCAGGTTATTGTGCACAGGGGGTTTGCCTACACATGCCCATGGTGAAAAATTCCATCCTTTAACACATGCACAGCAAGGGAAATAAATCAATGTGGAGTGGCTCAGACTAAGGGCCCGCATGCTCACTGGAAGAACGGGGTGGAACCAACAAGAATTTGCACCTTATGCAGAGGAGAGGCCTGGCCTCTGCAACTCATGTGTGGTGGCCTACTATTCAGTTTTTGAGGTGGAAACCTGTTGTGAAGGACCCCTCTTTTTGTTGAGAGCTTTTCTTTCACTTAATAAATTCCATCCTCCTTAACTTTTAATACGTTTGCATGCCTAATTTTTCCTGGTTGTGAGACAGGAACCCGGATTTAGCTAAAGGAGCAAAAAATCATGCATCATTTTCGTGGCCCATATGGGGACATGAGGAAGGGTGAGCAAAATGTGGACCCAAAAAATCTTTTTCACTTTCATTTCTGGGTGTTCTCGTCCTCAGACTTTTTCTCAGTGCAAGAGAAACTGCCCCTCTGCCATTGCACTTAGGGGTCAGGAATGTCAGCCTCAGTCCAACCCAGTCTTTTCTATGGCATTTTCTTTCTTTTCTTCAGGACTGTAATGGCACCTATCATTTCTTTTACAATACTGGGGGTGTTCTACCTCCACCCCAATGGCCAGGGGCACACACTCAGGACGCACGGGTGAGTGGCGGCTCCCTGTCCCTCTTCCCTCCTGGCTGGGGCACACAGCCATGTCTGCCGCATGTGTGTGCAATGTCCAATGGCCATGCCAGGTTGGAATGAGCCACAGCTGCTGCCTGGGCCCCAAGGCTGCCTCAGGGGCCCAGGACCAGCATGGCCAGCTGGCTAGTGTTTCCTGCCACACATCCATGGAGCCTTCCCCTCCCCCAGCCTTGGAGTCCAGCTGGGTCCCACAACAATTAAAAGTTTCTCTCCCTGTTAGAGAAGTCCATTTGCATAAGAATAAGAGGTTATTCCTCCAGGCATCTTCACAGCCCCACACTTAAGCTACATTTTTTTCTTTTCTCCACCCTGTCAGGAGTTAACTTTTATGTAAGAGGTTTTGTTCTTGAAAGCCATCTTATTAGAACAGGATCCCAATTCACAGGGCACCCTTTTTCCTTCCCTTGTTTGAGAAGGACCCAATTGCACAGTTCCACCTTAGCATTCAGCTTATGATAAGGAGGCAGCAGCTGGTCTGGTGAGGGACACCTGGGGCTTGATAAGTCTATGCATTCCCCTGAGGCAGTTCTTTGGTCACAAACTCAATTCCAAGCTTCAGGTCAAACAGCTAGGAAAGAAAATTGGATCTAAGGGATCCAGAGGCAGACAACAATGGAAGTTAATAGGTGCAGTGCAGGTGGGCATGATTAATTCCTGCGGATTAAGCCAAGCCTCCCATTTCATGGATAGAGGTTGTGTTAGTATCCATGGAATAAATGAGGTGCAGGGAACTAAAAGGCTACTGACAGCAGTCGGAAAGGGTAAGAGCAGATAATGCCATCCCCTATGCTTCCTATTAGCATGGGTGAAAGCCACATTGGCACCCATGGGCAGCACCCTGTTGAGGTTTTCAGGACTGAGGGATATAATGATAGTAAAAGGAAAAAGGATCCGTTTTCTTTCTCTCCCTTATGTACCCCCAGGTATTCACTAGGAAGAGAAAGGAACCAGGAACACCTGACTCCCCACTTTCTAGCTGAATGGCCATTCATTTTTCAGTCTGTCCCCCTTTTGAATGCATTCTGAATCCCTGGAGTTCCTTTGAAAACAAAAAACAAAAAACCAAAAAACCTTCTTTTCTCCTTTTTCCTCCTCTGTCCTCTCTACACAGATAGGTAATTGTGTCCCCATACTACAGGATACTCCCCTCAGATGCATCCTCCAAACTGAGAAAAGTTAATTTCCCACACCTTAAACTGGTTGGTTAAGAATTGAGCTTGGGGGAAGGGAACCCAGAAGCCTGACATGCCAGCAAAAGGGTAAAAGTTTTTTTTTTACCAGTCAGACTTTTGGCCTCTCTCTCCCTCTGCAAACTGGTAAAAGTGTCAGGCCTCTGAGCCCAAGCCAAGGCATCGCATCCCCTGTGACTTGCACGTATATGCCCAGATGGCCTGAAGTAACTGAAGAATCACAAAAGAAGTGAATATGCCTTGCCCCACCTTAACTGATGACATTCCACCACAGAAGAAGTGTAAACGGCCGGTCCTTGCCTTAACTGATGACATTACCTTGTGAAAGCCCTTTTCCTGGCTCATCCTGGCTCAAAAAGCACCCCCACTGAGCACCTTGCGACCCCCACTCCTGCCCGCCAGAGAACAACCCCCCTTTGACTGTAATTTTCCTTTACCTACCCAAATCCTATAAAACGGCCCCACCCCTATCTTCCTTCACTGACTCTCTTTTCGGACTCAGCCCGCCTGCACCCAGGTGAAATAAACAGCCATGTTGCTCACACAAAGCCTGTTTGGTGGTCTCTTCACATGGACGCACATGAAATTTGGTGCCGTGACTTGGATCTGGGGACCTCCCTTGGGAGATCAATCCCCCGTCCTCCTGCTCTTTGCTCCGTGAGAAAGATCCAACTATGACCTCAGGTCCTCAGACCGACCAGCCCAAGAAACATCTCACCAATTTCAAATCCGGTAAGCGACCTCTTTTTACTCTCTTCTCCAACCTCCCTCACTATCCCTCTACCTCTTTCTCCTTTCAATCTTGGCGCCACACTTCAATCTCTCCCTTCTCTTAATTTCAATTCCTTTCATTTTCCGGTAGAGACAAAGGAGACACGTTTTATCCGTGGACCCAAAACTCTGGCGCCGGTCACGAACTGGGAAGGCAGCCTTCCCTTGGTGTTTAATCATTGCAGGGACACCTCTCTGATTTGAAACGTGGGTGAATAAGGTGTCAGACCATGCAGGGATGCCTGCCTTGGTCCTTCACCCTTAGCCGCAAGTCCCGCTTTTCTGGGGAAGGGGCAAGTACCTCAACCCTTTCTCTCATTGTCTCCTACCCCTTCTCTGCTTTTCTGGGAGAGGGGCAAGTACCCCTCAACCCCTTCTCCTTCACCCTTAGCGGCAAGTCCCGCTTTTCTACTGGGCAAGAACCCCCAATCCCTTATTTCCACGCCCCGACCTCTTATCTCTGCACCCCAATCCCTTATTTCCACACCCCGACCTCTTATCTCTGTGCCCCAATCCCTTATTTCCACACCCCGACCTCTTATCTCTGTGCCCCAACCCCTTTTCCCACTTTTCTGGAAGGTAAGAACCCCCAAACCCCTTCCCTCCGTTTCTCTACTCTCTCTTTTCTCTGGGCTTGCTTCCTTCACTATGGGCAACCTTCCACCCTCCATTCCTCCTTCTACTCCCTTGGCCTGTGTTCTCAAGAACTTAAAACCTCTTCAACTCACAACTGACCTAAAACCTAAATGCCTTATTTTCTTCTGCAATGCTGCTTGACCCCAATACAAACTCGACAGTAGTTCCAAATAGCCAGAAAATGGCACTTTGAATTTTTCCATCCTGCAAAATCTAAATTCTTGTCATAAAATAGGCAAACCGTCTGAGGTGCCTGACTTCCAGGCATTCTTTTACACAGCAGTCCCTTCCTAGTCTCTGTGCCCAGTGCAACTCATCCCAAATCTTCCTTCTTTCCCTCCCGCCTGTCCCCTCAGTACCAACCCCAAGCGTCGCTGAGTCTTTCTAATCTTCCTTTTCTACAGACCAATCTGACCTCTCCCTTCCTCCCCAGGCTGCTCCTCGCCAGGCCGAGCTAGGTCCCAATTCTTCCTCAGCCTCTGCTCCTCCACCCTATAATCTTTTTATCACCTCCCCTCCTCACACCTGGTCCGGCTTACAGTTTCATTCCATGACTAGCCCTCCCCCACCTGCCCAGCAATTTACTCTTAAAAAGGTGGCTGGAGCCAAAGGCATAGTCAAGGTTAATGCTCCTTTTTCTTTATCCCAAATCAGATAGCGTTTAGGCTCTTTTTCATCAAATATAAAAACCCAGCCCAGTTCACGGCTCGTTTGGCAGCAACCCTGAGACACTTTACAGCCCTAGACCCTAAAAGGTCGAAAGGCCGTCTTATTCTCAATATACATTTTATTACCCAATCCGCTCCCGACATTAAATAAAACTCCAAAAATTAAATTCCGGCCCTCAAACCCCACAACAGGATTTAATTAACCTCACCTTCAAAGTGTACAATAATAGAAAAAAGTTGCAATTCCTTGCCTCCACTGTGAGACAAACCCCAGCCACATCTCCAGCACACAAGAACTTCCAAACGCCTGAACCGCAGCGGCCAGGCATTCCTCCAGAACCTCCTCCCCGAGGAGCTTGCTATAAGTGCCAGAAATGTGGCCACCAGGCCAAGGAATGCCTGCAGCCCAGGATTCCTCCTAAGCCACATCCCATGTGTGCGGGACCCCACTGGAAATCGGACTGTCCAACTCACCTGGCAGCCACTCCCAGAGCCCCTGGAACTCTGGCCCAAGGCTCTCTGACTGCTTCCCAGATCTTCTTGGCTTAGCGGCTGAAGACTGACGCTGCCCAATCGCCTCAGAAGCCCCCTAGACCATCACGGACGCCGAGCTTCAGGTAACTCTCACAATGGAGGGTAAGTCCGTCCCCTTCTTAATTAATACGGAGTCTACCCACTCCACATTACCTTCTTTTCAAGGGCCTGTTTCCCTTGCCTCCATAACTGTTGTGGGTATTGACGGCCAGGCTTCTAAACCTCTTAAAACTCCCCAACTCTGGTGCCAACTTAGACAACACTCTTTTATGCACTCTTTTTTAGTTATCTCCACCTGCCCAGTTCCCTTATTAGGCCGACATATTTTAACCAAATTATCTGCTTCCCTGACTGTTCCTGGATTATAGCCGCATCTCATTGATGCCCTTCTTCCCAATCCAAAGCCTCCTTTGCGTCCTCCTCTTGTATTCCCCCATCTTAACCCACAAGTATAAGATACCTCTACTCCCTCCTTGGCGACCGATCATGCACCCCTTACCATCTCATTAAAACCTAATCACCCTTAGCCCACTCAACGCCAATATCCCATCTGGCAGCATGCTTTAAAAAGATTAAAGCCTGTTATCACTCGCCTGCTAGAGCATGGCCTTTTAAAGCCTATCAACTCTCCTTACAATTCCCCCATTTTACCTGTCCTAAAACCAGACAAGCCTTACAAGTTAGTTCAGGATCTGCGCCTTATCAACCAAATTGTTCTGCCTATCCACCCCGTGCTGCCAAACCCATATACTCTCCTATCCTCAATACCTGCCTCTACAACCCATTATTCTGTTCTAGATCTCAAACATGCTTTCTTTACTATTCCTTTGCACGCTTAATCCCAGCCTCTCTTCACTTTCACTTGGACTGACCCTGACACCCATCAAGCTCAGCAAATTACCTAGGCTGTACTGCCGCAAAGCTTCACAGACAGCCCCCATTACTTCAATGAAGCCCAAATTTCTTCCTCATCTGTTACCTATCTCGGCATAATTCTCATAAAAACACACGTGCTCTCCCTGCCAGTCATGTCCGACTGATCTCTCAAACCCAAGCACCTTCTAGAAAACAACAACTCCTTTCCTTCCTAGGCATGGTTAGCACGGTCAGAATTCTTACACAAGAGCCAGGACCACACCCTGTAGACTTTCTGTCCGAACAACTTGACCTTACTGTTTTAGCCTAGCCCTCATGTCTGTGTGCAGCAGCTGCCGCTGCTTTAATACTTTTAGAGGCCCTCAAAATCACAAACTATGCTCAACTCACTCTCCACAGTTCTCATAACTTCCAAAATCTATTTTCTTCCTCATACCTGACGCATATACTTTCTGCTTCCCGGCTCCTTCAGCTATACTCACTCTTTGTTGAGTCTCCCACAGTTACCATTGTTCCTGGCCCAGACTTGAATCCGGCCTCCCACATTATTCCTGATACCAGACCTGACCCCCATGACTGTATCTCTCTGATCCACCTGACATTCACCCCATTTCCCCATTTTTCCTTCCTTCCTGTTGCTCACCCTGATCACACTTGATTTATTGATGGCAGTTCCAACAGGCCTAATCGCCACACACCAGCAAAGGCAGGCTATGCTATAGTACAAGCCACTAGCCTGCCTCTTAGAACCTCTCATTTCCTTTCCATCGTGGAAGTCTATCCTCAAGGAAATAACTTCTCAGTGTTCCATCTGCTATTCTACTACTCCTTAGGGATTATTCAGGCCCCCTCCCTTCCCTACACGTCAAGCTCGAGGATTTGCCCCACCCAGGACTGGCAAATTAGCTTTGCTCAACATGCCCTGAGTCAGATAACTAAAATACCTCTTAGTCTAGGTAGATACTTTCACTGGATAGGTAGAGGCCTTTCCTACAGGGTCTGAGAAGGCCACCGCAGTCATTTCTTCCGTTCTGTCAGACATAATTCCTCAGTTTAGCCTTCCCACCTCAATACAGTCTGATAACGGACGAGCCTTTATTAGTCAAATCAGCCAAGCAGTTTTTCAGGCTCTTAGTATTCAGTGCAACCTTTATATCCCTTACGGTCCTCCGTCTTCAAGAAAAGTAGAATGGACTAAAGGTCTTTTAAAAACACACCTCACCAAGCTCAGCCACCAACTTAAAAAGGACTGGACAATACTTTTACCACTTTCCCTTCTCAGAATTCAGGCCTGTCCTTGGAATGCTACAGGGTACAGCCCATTTAAGTTCCTGTATAGACGCTCCTTTTTATTAGGCCCCAGTCTCATTCCAGACACCAGACCAACGTAGACTGTGCCCCAAAAAACTTGTCATCACTACTATCTTCTGTCTAGTCATACTCCTATTCACCGTTCTCGACTACTCATACACGCCCTGCTCTTGTTTACACTGCCGGTTTACACTGTTTCTCCAAGCCATCACAGCTGATATCTCCTGGTGCTATCCCCAAACTGCCACTCTTAACTCTTGAAGTAAATAAATAATCTTTGCTGGCAGGACTATGCTGAATCTCCTTAGGCACTCTCTAATCAGATATTCTGAGTCGTCCCAATTCTTAGACCTTTTATACCTGTCTTTCTCCTTCTGTTATTCCATTTAGTTTCTCAATTCATCCAAAACCGTATCTAGGCCATCACCAATCATTCTATATGACAAATGTTTCTTCTAACATCCCCACAATATCACCCCTTACCACAAGACCTCCCTTCAGCTTAATCTCTCCCACTCTAGGTTCCCACGCCGCCCCTAATCCCGCTTGAAGCAGGCCTGAGAAACATCGCCCATTCTCTCTCCATACCAAGCCCCAAAAGTTTTCACCGCCCCAACACTTCAACACTATTTTGTTTTATTTTTCTTATTAATATAAGAAGGCAGGAATGTCAGGCCTCTGAGCCCAAGCCAAGCCATCGCATCCCCTGTGACTTGCACGTATACGCCCAGATGGCCTGAAGTAACTGAAGAATCACAGAAGAAGTGAGTATGCCTTGCCCCACCTTAACTGATGATGTTCCACCACAAAAGAAGTGTAAATGGCCGGTCCTTGCCTTAAGTGATGACATTACCTTGTGAAAGTCCTTTTCCTGGCTCATCCTGGCTCAAAAATCACCCCCACTGAGCACCTTGCGACCCCCACTCCTGCCCGCCAGAGAACAACCCC
The DNA here is from genome assembly GCF_000001405.40 of Homo sapiens. Classification (NCBI taxonomy): domain Eukaryota; kingdom Metazoa; phylum Chordata; class Mammalia; order Primates; family Hominidae; genus Homo; species Homo sapiens. The sequence goes on from NC_000023.11 coordinate 122,227,615, forward strand.
CCTTTGACTGTAATTTTCCTTTACCTACCCAAATCCTATAAAATGGCCCCACCCCTATCTCCCTTCACTGGCTCTCTTTTCGGACTCAGCCCGCCTGCCCCCAGGTGAAATAAACAGCCATGCTGCTCACACAAAGCCTGTTTGGTGGTCTCTTCACACGGACGCCCATGAAGAAAAGGAATGACAAGGACCACTGTTTATATTCTCTGTAAAGTTTTGGTTAATGAAAAAGGATTTATGAAGTTGTTCTTAAGCTGTAACCAATCTGGTGTGCTTTGTGTGTCTTTCAGTATGGTTCTGTTAGAAAAAAAGGGGTACCTTAGGATATCATGTGGGCCAAGGACCCCATAAGCCCACTGTTTAAGTCAGCCCTGCAATCTGGTCAGTAACAAACTTTGCTGCAGGCCTCCATCTTATTTTATGTCTTTAGGAGCATGACCTGTAACCATATGACAGTATTTTGTTTTAGTCTCCGCCATTTTACAATGGTGGCCCAGGTTCAATCCTGGCTTGGGGAATGAGTGCTTTCAGGTTGATATCTGCGTGACTTATGCCATTTGCTAATTCTCTTCCCCTCTCATGAACAAGTTCTAGCTTCCTTTCTTAAATCATCCTTTCCCTGAGCCATAAAGGTTCTAGATTTTGTAAAAAAACTGCTTACTATGTCTTGAAAATATCTTGTATGCTCACAGTTAAGACATAACTTTAATTGAGACTTGTTGGTTTCACCTGTGAGGTTACTTTTGATAAAATTCAAAATCCAGAAATATTGGCTGTTTGGCATGGCTAAAGTCAGGTAATAAGAGATTTAAAAGGACTTTCTTAAAGAATGCTCAGCTTAATTAAAAATGGATATCCAAGTTATAGGCATATTTAAAAGGCCTTTATGTTTTTTCTTCTTGGATCTTATTTTGCTGGAAATAGGTTTTAATTAGTTGACTGAATTACTTTTCTCCATCTTGTCTTGCCATTCTTAATGCACGCTTGAGAGTCCCTAAGGTAATTTCTGATTGCCTGGGACTCCTTGGGAAAAACAAAAAAGGTGCCACAGATTCCATTTTGGGAGCAACCTCTGTTTTCCTTATGGAACCCCAGGAATTAGATGCAGATAGATCCCTCTCAAAATCTAGTTTTGTCTTCTACCTATACCTGTTTATTAGTCCCTAGAAACTGCTTGTTTTCCTAGCCCTGCTTTTAAAAGGCCCCACTTGAGACTAGTAATCCAATTGAGAGATTGGCAAATGAAAAATCTTATAACTACTGGATTTTCTGTTTGTCTGTGTAGTTATATATGTTGTATGTGATGTATATAAAAAATAGCTATATTTAATTGGCTTAAAGAAAAATAAGCTCTTAGATCAAAGTTTTTGAAGGAAAAGTAAAAGCTGTACTGCTTTTTAGTTCACATGACTAATCTTTGAGAAATAAAAACAGTCTTAAAGATTATAGGAAAATACAAATGTCATTAAAATGTAAATAGGTGATCTAAATTGTGCAAGTCAGATACTAGGTTTGCTAAATGTTTTAAGGTTGCAAACTGCTTTTTTGGCCTTTGAGAGCTGTTTGACTGGCCACCATGCCCTTAACTATGCTGGAAGGAATCAAACTTCATCAGCACTTAATGCATAATTAAAACAACTTACCAGGTTTTACACTAAAATTAAAATTTGCCGTTTAATGGTAAAGAATTATCATTATAACATGTAATTGAGACCACTTAAAATGGATTTACATGCAAGGTGTGTAAGAATGGTAAAATGTGTTTTTAGTGAAAGATTATAAGAAAGCATGAAAATGGAAATATTTGCCTAGAGCTAAAGGATTGTTTTAAATTAGATAAAATAAAGCTAAAGGTTTAAACAAGTTATGGGATGTTTTAAAAAATTAACCTTGCAAAATAAATTCAAATGGATATTATATGGTTTTTCTGTAAATTGAGCATTGAAGTAAAAACACAACAAGGTTTCCTTAAGGCACTAATCTGCTCTTTAGCAAAATGTGTAAAGCGTTATAAAAGTTTTATAAGAATCTCACCTCATGGTTAAACTGGTTAAGTTCGGATAGAATTGTCTATAAGGTTTCATTAGAAAAGCTGGGATTGACATAAACGGTAAACTAATGTAAGTGTTATATTTGGCTTTCTCTCCCTTGTACAAGATTTTCATATAACAGTAAAGGATAATGAATGATTTTCATTTGCCTTGTGGATAGACTGTCAAGGAGAAGAAAGAGAAGACAGGAGACAAACTGTTTGGAATGCGAAGTCTTCCCTCTTAAAGAGTTAAGTTTTTTGCTATTTAAACATTTTTTGAGTCATCATTTTGGCAAAATAATAACTTAGGGTAATCTGAAATTCTGTTTCATAATATCAAGTGCTTCAAAACTCTAACATTAAACAGGCTTCCCAAAATCAAATTTTAGCTTCAAGGTTGTCTTTCTTGACCTCTAGCTGTTGGATGCTAGAGAGGGCCCCTGGGGCATCCAAAAGAGGTAAACAGGATTAATTGACATGTTTAGGTACGTGGACTTGCCAAAATGATGCTTAATCTTCTTCAGGTTATATTTAAGTGAATAATATTAATATATGTTACAAAATCGTATGGGATTCCTAAAATTTTTAATGTCTGAGCATATGCTATCAATCATAATTAAGGTTATTATGTTAAGTTATTGTAAACCACAGAGATAACCAAATTTCTTTGTCAATTGTGTTTTTAACTGTAACTACCTTGGATGTTTTCTTATTAACAGAGAATTGTTGTCTTGTTTTGATTCTCTTCAAAAGAGTTTATAATCAGCTGTAGAACTGAGAGACAAGTGCTCTCAAATGCAGGGTTCTGATAACTTTGGAGATTGTGACGTTGGAATAAAGGAAAAAAGTACAGGACTCATGAAGAGCTTAAATGTTTATGGATATCAAGCAGAACAATTGTTAATGAAATGGACTGAACTAATAGAAAACTGAAGGAATTTTTAACAAACTTTTGCTTAAAACATTGCTGATCCTTGTTTTACAGAGTCAAGGAAACTTATTTTATGCTATTTGCAGTCTTTAATAATTGAGTAAGGCAGAGTCCTGTGAAGAAAATTTGGAGCATGTTTGTTTCTCTCTGCCTGTTTCCTCTAGAATTTGGAAACTATCTGTGAGTATTCTTAACTTATGGCAACATGATTCTTTGCACCAGTACAACAAGAAGCTATTTTCTTTTGCAACAGGACACAATTGGAGGAACTGGTTCTTTTACCAAAGTTTTTACTAGAAGGATATGCTTCCCTTTAAGGAATCAAGCTTGGCTTACAGAATTGATAAAATCTCCTTGGGAAAACTGTACTGATAGCATGTTTACACAGTCTCCATATAGGATTCCTAACCTGTGGTGAATAAAGAATGTCATTTTCTAACAGACCCAGGAACCCCATATTATTAGGACCTCAAGAAGAGAGAAATTCACCCAGCTCATAGGTATTTGAGAGTACAAACCCATGCCTGGGCTCAACTTTAATAACTCCTATCTGAGATGCCTTGAGGAACAGAGTTCCATCATATCCAATTTTAAAAACCTATGTAAAAATAATTGTTCTTGCTGCACTTTATGGAAATAATCAGGCTAACTATAAGACTAAAGTTTATTTTGCAAACAACTCAGCCCTATCATGATTTTTAAATTAATTAATTAATTTATTTTTCCATAGGTTATTGTGGTACAGGTGGTATTTGGTTACATGAGTAAGTTCTTTGGTGGTGATTTGGGAGATTTTGGTGCACCCATCACCCGAGCAGTATACACTGTACCATATTTGTAGTCTTCTATCCCCCGCCCCCCCGTCCATTCTTCCCCCCAAGTCCTCAGAGAGTCCATTGCATCATTTTTATGCATTTGTGTCCTCATAGCTTAGCTCCCACATATTGGTGAGAATATACGATGTTTGGTTTTCCATTCCTGAGTTACTAAGAATAATAGTCTCCAGTCTCATCCAGGTTATTGCAAATGCTCTTAATTCATCCCTTTTTATGGCTGTGTAGTATTCTATCATATATATATATATATATGTGCATGTGTATATATATATATATATATATATATATATATATATATATATATACCATAGTTTCTTTATCTACTCATTGATAGATGGGCATTTGGGTTGGGTCCACGATTTTGCAATTGTGAAATTTGCTGCTATAAACATGCATGTGCAAGTATCTTTTTTGAATAATGAATTATTTTCCTCTGGGTAGATACCCAGTACTTGGATTGCTGGATCCAATGGTAGTTTTACTTTTAGTTCTTTAAGGAATCTCCACAGTGTTTTCCATAGCAGCTGTACTAGTTTACATTCCCACCAGCAGTGTAGAAGTGTTCCCTGTTCACCCCATCCATGCCAGCATCTACTGTTCTTCGATTTTTTGATTATGGTCAGTCTTGCAGGAGTAACGTGATACCACACTGTGGTTTTGATTTACATTTCCCTGATCATTAGTGATGCTGAGCATTTTTTTCACATGTTCGTTGGCCATTAGCATATCTTTTTTTGAGTATTGTTTATTCATGTCCTTAGCCTACTTTATGATGGTATTTTTTGTTTTTTTCTTACTGATTTGCTTGAGTTTGTTGTAGATTTTGAATATTAGTGCTTTGTCAGATGTATAGATTGTGAAGATTTCCTCCCACTCTGTAGGTTGTGTTTACTCTGCTGACTGTTCCTTTTCCCGTGCAAAAGTTCTTTAGTTTAATTAGGCTTCAGCTATTTATCTTTGTTTTTATTGCATGTGCTTTTGGCTTCTTGGTCATGAAATCCTTGCCTAAGCCAATGTCTAGAAGAGTTTTTCCAGTGTTATCTATTAGAATATTTCTGGTTTCAGGTCTTAGGTTTAAGTCCTTAATCCATCTTGAGTTAATTTTTGTATAATATGAGAGATGAAGATCCAGTTTCATTCTCCTACATGTTGCCAGCCAATTATCCCAGCACCATTTGTTGAAAAGGGTGTCCCTTCTCTGTTTTTGTTTGTTTTGTCAAAGATCAGTTGGTTGTAAGTACTTGGGTTTATTTCTTGGTTCTCTATTCTGTTCCATTGGTCTGTGTGACAATTTTTGTAACAGTACCATGCTGTTTTGGTGACTATGGCCTTATAGTATAGTTTAAAATCAGGTAGTGTGATGCCTCCATATTTGTTCTTTTTGCTTAGTCTTGCTTTGGCTATGCAGGCTCTTTTTTGGTTCCATATTAATTTTAGGATATTTTTATAAGTCTGTGAAGAATGATGGTGGCGTTTTGATGGGAATTGCATTGAATTTGTAGATTGCATTTGGCAACATGGTCATTTTCGCAATATTGATTCTACCCATGTGGGATGTGTTTCCATTTGTTCATGTCATCTATGATTTCTTTCAGCAGGGTTTCGTAGTTTTCCTTGTAGAGGTCTTTCGACTCCTTGGTTACACATATTCTTAAATATTTTATTTTATTGCAGCTACTGTAAAAAGGGTCGAGTTCTTGATTTGATTTTCCATTTGGTTGCTCTTGGTGTGTAGAAGAACTATTGATTTGTGTATATTAATCTTGTATCTGCAATCTTTGCTGAATTGTTTTATCACTTTTAGGAGCTTTCTGGAGGAGTTCTTAGGGTTTTCAAGGTAAGCAATAATATCATCAGCAAACAGTGACAGTTTGACTTCCTCTTTACTGATTTGGATGCCATTTCTTTCTTTCTCTGATTGCTATCTGATTGCTCATTTCTATCTGATTGCTCTGACTAGGACTTCCAGTACTATTTTAAAGAGGAGTGGTAAGAGTGGGCAAACTTGTCTTGTTCCAGTTCTCAGAGGGAATGCTTTCAACCTTTACCCATTCAGTATTATGTTGGCTATGGATAGATGGCTTTTATTACATTGAGATATGCCCCTTGTATGCCAATTTTGCTGAGAGTTTTAATCATGAATGGATGCTGGGTTTTGTCGAATGCTTTTTCTGCATCTATTGAGATGATCATGTGATTTTTGTTTTTAACTCTGTTTATGTGGTGTATCACATTTACTGTCTTGCCTATGTTAAACCACCCCTGCATCCCTGGTACAAAACCCACTTGATCGGCCGGGCGCGGTGGCTCACGCCTGTAATCCCAGCACTTTGGGAGGCTGAGGCGGGCAGATCACGAGGTCAGGAGATCGAGACCATCCTGGCTAACAAGGTGAAACCCCGTCTCTTCTAAAAATACAGAAAATTAGCCGGGCTTGGTAGCGGGCGCCTGTAGTCCCAGCTACTCGGGAGGCTGAGGCAGGAGAATGGCATGAACCTGGGAGGCGGAGCTTGCAGTGAGCCGAGATCATGCCACCGCACTCCAGCCTGGGTGACAGAGCAAGACTCCGTCTCAAAAACAAAACAAAACAAAACAAAACAAAACAAAACAAAACACCCACTTGATCATGGTGGATTATCTTTTTGATATATTGTTGGATTCGGTTAGCAAGTTTTTTGTTAAGGATTTTAGCATCTATGTTCATCAAGGATGTCAGTCTGTAGTTTTCTTTTTTGGTGATGTCCTTTCCTGATTTCGGTATTAGGGTGATTCTGGCTTCATAGAATGAATTAGGGAGGGTTCCTTCTTTCTCTATCTTGTGGAATGGTGTCAAAAGGATTGGAACCAATTCTTCTTTGAATGTCTGGTAGAATTCTGCTGTAAATGCATCTGTTCCTGGACTTTTTTTGTTGTTAATTTTTTAATTACCATTTTAATCTCACTGCTTGTTATTGGTCTGTTCGGGATATCTAATTCTTCCTGATTTAAGCTAGGAGGGTTGTAGTTTTCCAGGAACTTATCCATCTCTTCTAGGTTTTCTAGTTTATATACATAAAGGTGTTCATAGTAGCTGTGAATGATCTTTTGTATTTCAGTGGTGTCAGATGTAATATCCCCTGTTTTGTTTCTTGATTTATCTTGCCAATGTTCTATCAATTTTATTTATCTTTTCAAAGAACAAGCTTTTTGTTTCATTTATCTTTTGTATTTATTTTTGTTTCAATTTCATTTAGTTTGGCTCTGATCTTGGTTATTTCCTTTCTTTTGCTGGGTTTGGGTTTGACTTGCTCTTGTTTCTCCAGTTCCTTGAGGTGTGACCTTAGGGTGTCAAATTGTGCTCTTTCAGTCTTTTTGATGTAGGCTTTTATAGGGCCAAGGACTTTCCTCTTAGCACCGCCTTTGTTGTATCCCAGAGATTTTGATAAGTTGTGTCATTATTGTCATTCAGTTCAAAGAATTTTTTAATTTTTATCTTGATTTACGTGTATTTGTATGGTTTTGAAGGTACCTTTTGGAGTTGACTTCCAGTTTTATTCCACTGTGGTCTGAGAGAGTGCTTGATATAATTTCAATTTTCTTGAATTTATTGAGGCTCGTTTTATAGCCTATCGTATGGTCTTTCTTGGAAAAATTTCCATGAGCTGTTGAACAGAATGTGTATTCTTTGGTCTGTATATATCTGATAAGTCCATTTGTTCCAAGGTATGGTTTAAATCCATTGTTTCTTTGCTGACTTTCTGTCTTGATGACCTGTCTAGTGCTGTCAGTGGAGTATTGAAGTCCCCCACTATTATTGTGTTGCTATCTATCTATCTCATTTCTTAGGTCCATTAGTAACTGTGTATAAATTTGGGAGCTCCAGTGTTAGGTGCATATATGTTTAGAATTGTGATATTTTCCTGTTGAACAAGGCCTTTTACCATTATATAATGTCCCTTTTTGTCTCTTTTAACTGCTATTGCTTTAAAGTTTGTTTTCTCTGATATAAGAATAGCTACCCCTGCTTGCTTTTGGTTTCCATTTGCATGAAATACAATTTCCCCCCATTTACTTTAAGTTTATTTGAGTCCTTATCTACAAGATGAGTTTCCTGAAGGCAGCAGATAGTTGGTTGGTGAGTTCTTATCCACTCTGCTCTTCTGTATCTTTTAAGTGGAGCATTTAGGCCATTTACTTTCAGTGTTAGTATTGAAATGTGAGGTACCATTGCATTCATCATGCTCTTTGTTGCCTGTATACTTTGGTTTTTTTGTTTTTAGGTTTTGCTTTTTAACTTGTGTTTTTGTTTTATAGGTCTTGTGTGGTTTATGTTTTAAAGAGGTTCTGTTCTGATGTGCTTCCAGGATTTGTTTCAAGACTCAGAGCTCCTTTTATCTGATCTTGTAGTGGTGGCTTGGTAATGGCAAATTTTCTCAGCATTTGTCTGAAAAAGACTGTATCCTTCCTTTATATATGATGCTTAGTTTCACTGGATACGAAATTATTAGCTGATAATTGTTTTGTTTCAGGAGGCTGAAGATAGGGCCCCAATCCCTTCTAGCTTGCAGGGTTTCTGCTAAGAAATCTGCTGTTAATCTGATAGGTTTTCCTTTATAGGTTACCTGGTGCTTCTGTCTCACAGCTGTTAAGATTCTTTCCTTCATCTTAACTTTGGATAACCTGATGACAACGTGCCTATGCAAAGATCTCTTTGAGATAAATTTCCCGAGTGTTCTCTGTGCTTCCTGTATTTGGATGTCTAGGTCTCTAGCAAGGCCAGGGAAGTTTTCCTGGATTATTCCTGCAATTATGTTTTCCAAGCTTTTAGAATCCTCTTCTTCCTCAGGAATACTGATTATTCTTAGGTTTGGTCATTTAACATAATTCCAGACTTCTTGGAGCTTTTGTTCATATTTTCTTTTTCTTTGTTGGTTTAGGTTAATTCTAAGACCTTGTCTTCGAGCTCTAAATTTCTTTCTTCTACTTGTTCAATTCTATTGCTGAGACTTTCCAGAGCATTTCACATTTCTAAAAGTATATCCAAAGTTTCATGAATTTTTGATTTTTTTTCTTTAAGCTCTCTATTTCCTTAAATATTTCTCCCTTCACTTCTTGTATCCTATTTTGGATTTTCTTGCATTGGGCTTTGCCTTTCTCTGGTGCCTCTCTTATTAGCTTAATAACTAACCTCCTGAATTCTTTTTCAGGTAAATCAGAAATTTCTTGCTTTTGATCCATTGCTGGTGAACTAGTGTATTTTTTGGGGGGGATGATGAGGAGCCTTGTTTTGTCGTATTACTAGGGGTGGTTTTCTGGTTCCTTCTCATTTGGTTGGGCTGTGTCAGAGGGAAGGTCTACAGCTGAAGGCTGTTGTTCAGATTCTTTTATCCCACAGGGTGTTCCCTTGATTTAGTACTCTCCCCCTTTTCCTTACTTTGGCTTACTGTGAACCGAACTGCAGGGATTGTTGTCTCTCTTCTGAGTCTAGCCACCCAGCGAGTCTACCCAGCTCCAGGCTGGTACTAGGGGTTGTCTGCACAGAGTCCTGTGACGTGAACCATCTATGGGTCTCTCAGCCATGGATACCAGTGCCTGTTCCAGTGGAGGTGACGGGGTATGCAATGGACTCTCTGATGGTACTTAGCTTTGGTGGTTTAATGTTCTATTTTTGTGCTGGTTGACCCCCTGCCAGGAGGTGGTGCTTTCCAGAGAACATCAGCTGTGGAATTATGGGGAGGAACTAGCAGTGGGCAGGGCCTTAGAACTACCAATATTGTATGCCCTTTGTCTTTCCTACCAGAGTAGGTAGGGGAGGACCACCAGGTGGGGGTAGGGCTAGGCATGTCTGAGCTCAGACTCTTCTTGGGCAGGTCTTGCTGCCACTGCTGTGCTGTGGGGGATGAGGGTGAGATTCCCAGATCACCGGAATTGTGTACCTAGGAGGATTATGGCTGCCTCTGCTGAGTCATGCAGGTTGTCAGGGAAGTGAGGGAAAGCCAGCAGTCACAGGCCTCACCCAGCTCCCATGCAAACCGAAGGGCTGGTCTCGCTCCCACCATGTCCCCCCAGACCGTTTCCAGGTGGAGAGAGAGATGGGCTTGAAAACCTGCCCCAGGCTGTCTGCCTCCCAGCTGTGAAAGAAAGGGGCTTGCTTCTTCCCCTACCTGTGGAGTCTGCACACCAGATTTGCGCCCTCTCCAGAGTTCTGGTCAGAAAGCTTTTCACCCCTTTCAAATTGTTAAAGTTCAGCTAGAGATTTGCTTCTCTCTGTGTAGCTTTAGCCCCTGCTTTTCTCCTGTTGGTTTCCTGTGGTGCCAGGAAGGAATGGCCTGCTAGGGGACCCAGCTAGCTCCCAGGGGCCTTTCTGCTGTTTCCTCTACACCTGTATTTCACTTGGCTCTCCAAATTGACTCAGCTCAAGGTAAAGTCAGAAACTTCTCCCACAAACAGACCTTTGGCTTCTCCTGTGCGGGTATGTGTTCAGGAGAGGAGGGTCTCCCTTTCCCACTTCTGCAGTTCAGTCATTCACAATTTTGGGGGGGTCTCCTGGGTCCTGCAGGAGCAGTCCGCTTCCTTCAGAGGGTCTGTGGGTCCTTTGGGGATTGCTGATTGACTCTTGCAGTACATCTGGAGTTAAAATTCACAATGTGAGTCGCTGCCCACTGCTCTGTACGGAGCTGCAATCTAGTCCTGACTCCCATCTGCCATGATCTCCCATGATTTGCTTTCAACAAAAATGAGGACTGGAGAGAGAGAAATTATGTTTCAAAAATTATCCTACATTTGTCATTAAATTCTAGAATCATTAGTTGTTTTTTGCCTACAATTTGGACTAATCCTACTCATTCCTGTGAACCAACCAGAAAACTCTGGCTGCAGCTCAGAAGAAACAAAAGAAATGTGTAGTGTAAAAATCTGGATCAATAGTCTAGTTCTGGGCAGTTACCCTGCAAATCCTGCCAGGTGATAGGAATAAATAGGGTGTCTGCAACCCAGAGTTTGGTTTTTTTGTTTTTTGTTTTTTATAAGACCAAGAGAGCTAACCAAAGTGAAACCCCATGTACCTAGATCTTAGCAAGCATAACTATAGCCACCGGTTATCTGGGCATGCTAGCAGCCTCAGAATTTTTAAGCTGTCCTTGCCCCCACTTTTGTTTCATTTTGATATATGTCTTCTAATCATTTTGTTTGTCTCTTCTCACCTTCAGGCCATTGAACTCCAAATGGTCAAGCAACCGGAGCCTCGAACAATGGCCCTCCTTTTACCAGGGATCCTTAGATAGGCCTCTGAGAGAGATCTGACTGCTGTTTTCACAATACAGCACCACCAGTCAGCAGAAAGCATTTAAGATCAGTTGTTATCGTCCTTATCCTTATCCTTGTCCTTGTCCTTGTCCTTATCCTAATGGCAGTTAGATGTACTTCTTTGGAGGGGGTAATGATAGAGGCAGGAGACAGCCAAATGTCTAGGCAATTAGGGAAGGGTACCCAGAGAACCTCCAACCCATCTAGGTCATTGTGTGCAGGGGTCTTGCCTAAACATGCCCACAGTAAAAAATTCTCTCCCTTAACACATGCACAGTACAGGAAATAAATCAGTCTGGAGTGACTCAGACTAAGGGCCCACATGCTCACTAGAAGAATGGGGTGGAGCCACCAAGAATTTGTGCCTTATGCAGGGAAGGAGGCTGGCATCTTCAACTCATGTGTAGTGGCCTAATATTCAATTTGTGAGGTGGAAACCTGCATCTAAGACCTCTCATTTTGTTGACAGCTTTTTTTTTTTTTTTTTTTGATTAACAAATTCTGCCCTCCTTACCTTTTAATGTGTCTACATGCCTAATTTTTCCTGGTTGTGAAACAAGATCCCAGATTTAGCTGAACTAAGGAGCAAAAATCTTGCATCCAAAATACCATAATTAAATAGGAAACAAACTGGAGCACGCTTTAAAGACAGATGCAGATTTGAATATTTTCTTAAACCTTTGAGAATAAAGATACATCTATTTAAGATCTTCTCAGGGACAAACATTAGCTTTTTTCAATATTTAAATGTAAACATCTCTACCCATACATGAAGGAATCCCAACAACTTAATATTTAGCCATTATGGTGATTGGAAGTTCTCTTATATTTTGCTGGTAATTTAACTCTCTCACTACCACAGGGTTCTTTTGTTTGCTTGGCTGTCTACTTTCCTGACTGAAAGGACAAACCCTTATTTCTGACCTTTCTGCTGTTAACCTTTTTGGCTCAGTCAGGATTGCCTTCAATTTCCTTTGAAGGTAAAAGTACACTTTAGCAAGTAGAAGGCATAAGTAAGCAATAGACTTGTTCAATGAATCACTGAATGAATGAAAGAATCCATGACTACTTTATTATCATCTTTTTTTTTTTTTTTTTTTTTTTTGAGATGGAGTCTCACTCTATTTCCTAGGCTGGAGTGCAATGGCATGATATCAGCTCATGGCAGCCTCTGCCTCCCGGGTTCAAGCGATTCTCCTGCCTCAGCCTCCCAAGTAGCTGGGATTACAGGCAGGAGCCACCATGCTCTGATAATTTTGTATTTTTAGTAGAGACGAGGTTTCACCATGTTGGTCAGGCTGGTCTTGAGCTCCTGACTTCAAGTGATCTACCTGCCTCGGCCTCCCTAATTGCTGGGATTACAGGCCTGAGCCAACCCTCCAGCCAATTATCATTTCTTTCACTTTGCTTTACTTCTAAAGACATTTTACACTTGTTTTGAGTTTCTTTTCCTTTTTTTTCTTTTTCGACATTTGTTTTAGATTCTGGGGATACATGTGAAGGATTTTTACAAAGGTATATTGTGAGATTCTGAGGTTTGGGGTATGAATTATCCCATCTCCTGTAGTACCCAAAAGGTAGTTTTAAATTATTTCCCCACTCTACCCTCTTATATTCCCCAGTGTCTATTGTTTCCATCTTTATGTCAACATGTACCCTTTGTTTAGCTCCTACTTATAAGTGAGAACATGCAATATTTTATTTTCTGTTTCTGCATCCTTTCACATAAGATAATGGCTTCTAGATGCATCCATGTTGCTGCAAAGGACATTATTTTATTCTATTTTTATGGCTGCATAGTATTTGATGATGTATATGTACCACATTTTCTTTTTCCCATCCACAATTGATGGGCACCTGGGTTGATTCCATGTCTTTGCTATTGTGAACAGTGCTGTGAAGAACATATGGGTACATGTGTCTTTTTGGTAGAATGATTTATTTTCCTTTGAGTATATACCAAGCAATGGGATGGGATTGTTGGCTCAAATGGTAGTTCTGTTTTAAGTTCTTTGAGAAATCTCCAAACTTTCCACAGTGCCTGAACTAATTTACATTTCTGCCAGCAGTGTTGTAAGCATTCCCTTTTCTCCCCAGCCCCACCAACACCTTATTTTTTCCTTTTTTTTTTTTAAAGCCATTGTGATTGCTGTGAATTTGTATCTCATTGTGGTTTTGATTTACATTTTTGAGTTCCTTTTGTTTTGGACTCACTTTTTCCATTTCTGTGTCTTAGCAGTATAAAATAGAGATTATGATTGCCTGGTGTACCTACATGTTAGAGTCATGAATACTTGAGAACAACTTTTACTTTGAAAGCAGTATTTACAATTTTTTTATCAGTATTTGCCTGTTAAGTGTTTACTGATTACATTGTGTTAAATTGTTTTTAACACTTATCACTCAGAGAGCAAAAGTATTTGATAGTTTGAGACAAACTGCTTAAAGAACTTGTAGCTGCAAATCAATGCTGTACTAGGATATCATTTTAAAAACACATTTAAACTAAGCATATGATTTTCCAACAGACTTATTTCTCAATGATTGTTGAAAACTAAAACTTCCCTGGCCATCGTGAAATTGTAGTAGAATATATATATAGAAAGCTTGGTGCTGTTTAAAAACAGTTACTTCAGTGACTCCTTATTGCTTACAGTATAGAGTTCTAAATTCTTATCCTCAATACATAAATCCATAGTCTCCTGCTTTACCATTAGTCTCCCTCATGAACTCTAAAGTAGAAGCTTCTTTTCACTTACCCTCAATATAGTTTGTACTCTTTTTATAGCTCTATTTCCATGCATTTTTATTCAATTCCTTTGCTTAAGATGGTCTCACTAATCCTTTCTTTTTGTAATTATTATTATCAAAAATTTTGATATTAAATAATTTCATTGAGCACATGGTAACTATACAATGTTATTTAAGTACCTGACATTGATTTTCTCCTTTAATTCTTCTGATAACCCAATGCAGCAGATACTATTATGATCACTATTTCACAGATAAGAAACCTGAGACCAAAAAGATTACATAGCTTGTTCAAAGTCCTGATAATACACACTATATAGTGGCTGAGCTTGATTTCAAACCCAGTTTTATACTGATACAAGAGTTTTGACTCTTGTGTTATTCTACCTGGAATCAGCACCCTCAAAACACTTTTGTTTCATATTATAACTAATTAAAGATAGTAAATGGTTCTCTGGTGCAGGTTTTTTGCTCCTTAGTTCAGTTAAATATGGGTTCTTGTCTCATGGCCAGGAAAAATTAGGCATGTAGCAGATTGAAAAGTGAGGAGGGTGGAATTTACTAAGCAAAAGGAAAACTGTCAACAAAAAGAGGGGTCCTGCACACAAGTTTTCACCTCACAAGTTGAGTACCAGGCCACCATACACGAGTTGAAGAGGCCAGCCTTCTTCCCTGTATGAGGCGCAAATTCCTGGTAGCTCCACCCCATTCTTCCGGTGAATATGCGGGCCCTTAGTCTGAGCCACTCCAAATTGATTTATTTCCTTTACTGCGCATGTGTTAAGGGATGGAATTTTTTGCCGTGGGCATGTTTAGACAAACCCCTTACACACAATGACCCGGGTGGGTTGGAGATTCTCCAGGGATACTTCCCTATTTGCCTAGGCATTTGGCTGTCTCTGCTTCTATCATTTTCACAAATAAATATGATCAACTGTTGAAAAAGAATTTGTCTCAAAATATTATCAGTGTAAAAGCATGACCTTCTCTTTGTGTCTTAACCACAACCATGGAGCCTAGTTGTTCCAAATAAAAGGCTAGTCTTGAAACACTGTCAATATGGTGAGAACTGATCCTAGTTGGGGGCCAAAAACTTAGGCATAAATAGTGTTTTCCATTACTTCAAAATACCATCAATCACAATAAAATGATCAGTTATTTTGAAAACAAACAACTTATTGCCCTTGTTTCATTGAAATAGATAACTGATTTTAAGTCAATCCATTTATGTAAATATAACCTTTGAGTAATGGCAGTCGTTAATTTTGGGAATGACTTACATTTCATTAACTTGGACACACATTTTTTTCAAATGCATTCTGCATTATTAATGCATTTAGAAGAGATGGTATACTAATAACCTCTTACATGTTTATATAAGCATAACATTACATTGCAAAAGTATTATATGTAGAATTTCTCATATAATCCTAACAACAACCTTTGAATTTCTTTTTCTTATTTTATAGTTAAGTTAATTGATGTTCAGTGAAATTAAGTAGTTCACCCAAGGTTATACATTCAGTACATGTCAGATACACCACTAGAATTAAGGTATCTAACTCTCAGTCCAGTGCCGTTTCCATTTCACCAATCCAAGCATCTTTTCTCTCAGAGAAAGGTGAGAGGGTCATCACCTTGAAATTCTTTCTTTAGAAAGACCTTACTTCATTACTCTTTTCTTATTAATATTCACATTTCCTTATGTCTCTTAAATCATGACCTCTGTCACCACCAAAGACATCCTGAGTTTATGCTTCTCCTACCATGGTAGAACCATAGCTTTCTTTATAGAGAAACTTTTATAGGCAATTTTTGCGGTGTTTGTAAGAATGCTATTTTAGAAATAGCAGTTTTTCACTGATATAGAGGTAGTCTGTTCTGACTATTAGAATAAAATGTGAACAATTCTGAATAAAAAAGCAAAGTTGCATAACTGTGTCATATTTTTCTGGGCTGAGTTTTTTAAACAGTAGGTCTAGGAAATTGAATAGAACAGGGTTCTCAATGGATCCTGGATGTGCTAACTAATTAGTATGAGTATCGAGATCTCTTAGGAGCCTATGTGGAAAGTGATAAAGATGAAAAGTCATATAGCGCAGCACTGCCCAATGCAATTATAATGCAAGCTATATATATAATTTTACATTTTTTTGTAGGCACAACTTAGAAAAATAAGCAAGTAAAATAAATTCAATAATATATTTTGTTTAACCAAATATGTCCATATAGTATAATTTCAACATGCAATAAGTATTTTAAACATATTAAGTATATAAGTATATATTTTACACTCTTTTTTTATGCTAAGATTTTGAAATCTGGTGAGTATTTTTTACATTTATAGTTTATATCAATTTGGATCAACCATATTTCAAGTGTTTATTAGCCACATACAACTAGTATCTACTGTATTAGACAACAAAGTCTGGAAATTTTTTTGAAGACTGTTCCATACATGGCCATGGAAATGCTGAACTGTTGCTACCATTTGGAAAAGAATAAAGGTATATTTTTAGGCCTCAAGATATGAGGGTTCTTATAAGGCTGATATAGAAGTAGACTAAAACAGAGTTTATCAACTCTGTTTATCAACTTCAGCACTATTGACATTTTTGGCTGAATAATTATTTGCTGTGGTGGGGCTGTCTTGATCATTATAGAATATTTAGCAACAACTCTGGCCTTTTCCCAATAGATGTCAGTTGGACTCCTTCCTAGTTGTGATAAGCAAACATGCCTTCAAAATATGTTAAAAGGCCCTGCAGTGTTATGGGGGTGGGGAATGTCAACCTCTGGTTCAGAATGACCGATCAGCCAAGCAAAGTTTTTTAGACTTAGGCTGGGTGATACACAAAACGAGGATTCTCAAATTCTGAGCTCTGAATGTCAATTTTCTATTCCATTGTCAATGTGTGCATCTTAGATGGATGGATAAGAAGACTAACAGGACTTGGTGATACTTTTAGTATTTGCTATTATTTAAACCAATGATTTTAAGCCTGGATTGAACTGTTTAGCTTTTCTTTCTTAAAAAGTTAGAAAAGATATTCTTGAACCTCTCCCAGCAGTAAGTGGAGGAACAAATAAATGGTGGATGGTTCAAAGAAAACTAATTTAAACTGGGGAAAACAGATATGTATCTTGCAAATGGTAAATTGTGAAAGGTTATAGGTATGTATACTTTTTCCAGTCCATGACACGTTAGCCAACCCTCCAAAATCTGACATCCCTCTACCTTCCAAAAGTATCTCTTACAACCCTCCAATAGAAGCTTAAACCAGTCAGCCAGATCTCCTTATGGTTTGCTGAGTGTACCATGGTCTTTCCCACAGTCATGCATTTATTTATGCTGTTCCTATCATGGAGAATGCATTCTCTGTTTCTTTTTACTATCTAAATTTAATTTATTTGTAAAATCCTGTTCAAGCCCTAGCTTATTCTACAAGCCATCTCTGACTTAATTGACTTATGGTGACCAACCTTTTTTCTTTTATGCTGTGAAAGTATAATGTTAAGTCGGTAGGTGTTATTTTGTGTGGACTGGTCTTGTATCTATGTAAGACAGAAAAGTTCTTGAAGGACAGGGGCTGTAGTAGTTTTTTTTCTTTTCCCAAATGCAAAATCACACAGACCCCCTAGAAAGTAACTGGCAGTGTGTTCCAGTGTGAATTATCTGAGAAGCAGATTCTCAATTGGAGTTTAGTGAGATGGATGTTTATTAGGGAGTGGCCATGAGTCAACAACTGTAGAAGGGAGGAGAAGAAAGTAGAACTGAGCAGAGGGAGACATTGAGCTACAATGTAGATACAAAAGCCTCAGCCAACCTCACAGGGAGCTGTAGAGCTAAAATGGCTCTCACTGAGCCAAAACTGCCAGACTTTTATAACCTCACCTCAAGTCACTGTGTAACTACCCAATGGGTTCCTTTTACCCACTGCCTAGATAGAGCCAATTTACCAAGACAAAGGAATTGCAATGGATAAAGTGTTCAATTAACACAGAAACAGCTGAATGGGAGACCAGAGTTTTATTATTACTCAATTCAGTTCTCCACAAAATATGGAGACTGGGGTTTTTTAAGGACAATTTGGTGGGTAAGGGGCTATGGAGTGGGGAGTTCTAATTGGCCGGGTCAGAGATGAAATCATAGGGAATCAAGGCTGTCCTCTTGCACTGAGTCAGTTCCTGGGTGGGGACCACAAGAGTACATGAGCCAGTTTATCTGGGTGGCACCAGCTGATCCATCAAGTGCAGGGTCTGAAAAATATCTTGAGCACCAATCTCAGGTTTTATAATAGTGATGCTATTCTCAGGATCAATGGGAGAGGTTTAGAGTAATGTGGCCTCTAGCTGATGACTACTAAACCATAATTTCTAATCTTGTGGCTTATTTGTTCTACAAAGGCAGTCTGGTAACTAGGCAAGAAGGGGGTTTGTTTTGGGAAAGGGCTATTATCATCTTTGTTTCAAAGTTAAAGTATAAACTAAGTTCCTCCCAAAGTTATTTCTGCCTGTCCCCAGAAATGAACAAGGGCAGCTTGAAGTTTAGAAGCCAGATGGAGTCGGTTAGGTCAGATGTCATTCACTGTCATAGTTTTCTCAGTTATAATTTTTTAAAAGGCAGTTCAAATTGAATATTGGCTTTCCCTAGCATGGTATGACCTTGGGCAGTTCCTGAAAGGGCTGAGTGCACTCCCAACAGCTAGGGCAACAAATACTTCTGTGAAGGGGGATCTAGATGATACATTGCCATGTTTATCAAAGTGATAGTTGTATAGAAAAGGTTCAGTAAATGTTTGTTAAATGCTATAAAACCTTGCCGTGGTGCTAACTAGCAGCAGAATGAATCAGGAGAAGTTTTGTCTGTTGGTCTGATTGGGTGGGCCTATTTGATAGCTAAGCAGATGGCTTCTCTAAGGAGCACTCCCTTTCCAGGACAAGAGAAAGGATTGCTTGTAATACACCCCAAATTACTGCTTCAAGGATTAACTATTATAATTGTTTTGAAGAATATATAGTAAATATTACATTATCAAAAAGATTTTGAGACTGAAGCAGCATAAAAACTGCTGGGTATGTAAAAAATCAAGTTAGCTAAGTACAGGTGCTGAAAGACCATGTATAAGCTTGTGGGATCAATGACATTAAAAAAAGAAAAAAGCCAAATCCTCAGTTCATTAATTGCTATTTCCATTCTTCTACAGACAAAAGAAAGAATGGTTGAGATAGGATGGTGGGAAACACATTTATTTAGTTAGTATTATATTTGAAATCATTTATATACTTATCTGTTTACCCTTGCAGTAATCCTTAGAAATAGACAACACTACCTGTACTTTAGCAGATGAGGAATCTGTAGCCCTGATATATATATATATTATCCCTGGGACCATCACCTTACTAGTTATCATTATCATCATCACCATTCCTAGGACGTACACAGTGCTACTTTGTGCTAGCCACTCTTCGAAGTGTTTTCCATATATGAACTCATATCCTTCTCATAACTGCCTTATAAATTAGGAGCTATTTTTAGTCACACTGTAAACAAACAAAC
Source organism: Homo sapiens (assembly GCF_000001405.40). Classification (NCBI taxonomy): domain Eukaryota; kingdom Metazoa; phylum Chordata; class Mammalia; order Primates; family Hominidae; genus Homo; species Homo sapiens. The sequence goes on from NC_000023.11 coordinate 122,247,009, forward strand.
AAAAAATCCTAAGTGCCCCCCAACCCCCTTGGAACCAACTAAACTAACAAGCTCTGAGCCAAGGAAAGCCAGGAAAACTGAATTCCTGGCCATGTGGAGAAGGGAGATTGGACACGTCTCATTAAAACCTCTCCCTTTTGGAGTTAAGGGACAACTAACCAGCATTAACATTAAAGTAGACATCGTAATCCTGACAAAACAGACTCCTTGGCAGTAAGAAACCAAATTCCAACCTGACTCTGGTATAGCATCACATGATACATAGCTGACCCTGAAGAAAATCAAAATAGTTTACCCCAAAATACATTTCTTTGACATATTTCGAAATGGCACTGAAAAGCCATCTTTGTGAGAGAAATTTTACATCTGTAGAGAGTCTCCATTAATGCAGATAGGCCTTTCCCAGATCTGGGAGAGATTAACTAAGAATCTCACACTTTTTAAGATCTCCAAAAACACATTTACCATCTATTCTGGCCTCATCTATATAACAAGAACCTTGGCTTTGCCACCCCTCTTATGTTAATTCAAGCACTTCTTTCTACTGACTTCAAGTCTTTAGCTTAACTCTCAACCAATTGCCAATCAAAAAATCTTTGAATCCACCTATAACCTGTAAGCCCCTCTGCTTTGAGATATCCCACCTTTCAGAGCTGAACCAACATATACCTTGCATGTATTGGTTTATGTCTTTGCCAGTAACTTCTGTCTCCCTAAAATGTAGAAAAGTAAACTAAACTAACTTCTCAGGACCTTTTTCAAACAGATCCTTGGACCATGGTCACTCACATTGGCTTAAAATAAAGCTCTTAAAATATGTTACAAAGTTTAGCTTTTTCATCAACAACATTTATAAGTAAAGTAACTGAGGAACAGAAAGGTTTAGTAACTTGCTCAATGTCAAAATATAGTGGCAAACCAGAAGTTTGAAATCAGGCAACTTGTCTCTATTATCTGTCCTCTAAACCACTATGTGAACTTGCCTAACTAGTAAGAGGCAGAAATGGGGAAGGAAAACTAGTCTGTCTGATTCCAGAAACTGCCATTTTCCACTACACAAAGGTGACTCCAAAGGCACCGTGCTTGTACAATTTGGGAAATCATTCTCTTTTGATTGATTGTAGGTAGAGTCTACATGGAAAATTGGTAACATAATTGTTAGGTGACCTTTAGGAAAAAATACGCATTTTTCAGGTATTTGAAGGTGATTTTTCATGAGAAATTATGGGATTTCTACAAAAGTGACTGGGAATCAGATCTCACATTTGGTACCTTCTAAAAAATAATATTCTTTTTATTCTAATTAGCACAGCCATCAAAGATTTCTGAAGCTTATTTGGCCTTGTCTAGAACATGCTGCCATGTATGACTGCCCCAAGTGACAGGAGAAAGCCAAAAACAAGACCCAGCAATGGAAGTTTTAGCAGGATTCCAGCTGTCAGAATTAACCATGAGCCAACTCCTATAGAATAACCATCCAATTGTATCCTCCATGCTTAGCCTGTTTGTCCAAGTAAATTGCAGACTTATCCAGAACAGAGACTGTGTATTATTTGTATCCTTATCCCCTTCTACAATAGAGGTTAAATGAGGTTTTGAAACCATGGAAACTTACTGGTAACTGTATCACAATGCTCATATTTTCTTGACCATGTTGAAAACACATTTTTTTCCCAACCCAGTATAACATGTTAAAATGGAATACTTTCAATCTCAGTGTTTCTGCAGTGGCCTTACAGTCTGAGAATAGTACAATATGTGCTATGTATGATCACATTCTAAAGCAATGGGCTATATGAAAAATCTAGACCACAATACCTTGCTAATATATTGTGAAACAGGTTTTGTTGCCACTAGCCAGCCCATGATTTCATGCAGGGCTAAGGAGGAGGAATGTATTAACATTGTGACTTTGAAGAATCTGGGATGAGAATGTATAAATTGCTTCCTGCTTGGAGTTCTTTCCACTACATTCCATAAACTACATAATGCAGAATCTCCATGAATATCACATTGGGTATTTTCTGTGAGTAGTTCAGCCCCTAAAGTCTATCAACCTAGGAATTTCCTTTCCACAGGGAAATTACAATTATCCTCAGCCTCATCCAGATTCTGGTAGTCTATATACTTTTCCAACAAAATTAAGACTTTGGGGGCAAATTATACCTATGTACTAGACTTCATGTCAGCACAATGTACAATGAATACCAATACTATACTCAAATGTTGTTGGGAACCAAAATGTTGAGGCCAAGAGCTGGCTTATTACTGAAAATGGGGTGGGACTTATACTTAAGACAGAGTCTGTGCATCTTCTGTAAAGCGGGTGAACATACTAAAAGTGGGCCAATCTAAAGGATCAAAAAATCATCAACTGATCTTCCTTTTGCCAGAAAAAGCAACAACAAATTATCAAAGACAGTTTGCAAAATAACAGAGAGATAAGGCTGGGTTGAGTATGGCCTGAATTTCCAGAGTTCAAATTCACTAGTGAATTCCAACTCATTATTAATCAATGGAATCCAAATTAAAACATTTATTTTACATATCACATCAGAAAAATATTAAAAAGAATGATAATGCCTGGAGATGGAGATGGGAGTGTGGAGATTTAAGATATGTAATAGACTAGTGATGAGGTTATACATTGGTACAATATTTATGAAATTTAATTATAAAATAACTGAAAAGTTTTAAAAATTTGGTATATTCCTTAATACAGACAATCCACACCTAGGAAAGTGTCCTACTGGAAATATAGATGTAGGTATAAACATAGATATTCAGTGTAATATTATTGTGAAAGAAAAAACAAAACCTATATGATCATCATTAGGAAGTTAATTTAGTAAATCATGGTCTATCCATCTAATTGAATGCTATAGGTCCACTAAAATCTATGATGTCTGTTTATATAAATAAACACAAAATGATGCCTAAAACATTATGTGAAAAGTTCAGTTTGCATATCATTGTGTATAGTATAATCCAATTTCATTAAAAATACCTTTAACATGTAAATATAACTATGCATGCATGTGCATATACTACACAGGAAAAAGTTTTGAGAAAACACATTGAACATTCATGGTCTCCCTAGAGATCAAGGAACTCCACATTATGAAATCCTGCCACATCCACAGTCCCACTAAGTTAGGCATTATACATTATTTGGGCAGATTAAAACTATTTGTTTTTCTCTTGTCTTCCTCTTCAAATTTTTCACACTCTAGCATTTGCAAAAGTAAAAGTTTTATTTTTTCCTTCTAAATTTTTAAGAGGTGTTAGCAGTAATATAAATTTTTACACATAATGTTTCTGATATATGCTAAGGCAGAAATTATACACCAAAATTCCTGTTTTACTCACCAGATATCTTGCACATAATGACATAGACTGCCCTATGTTGAGGAAAATTTTAAGATATTCACAGCTAACTACTGAGTCAGCCCATATTCAGAAAGGGAACAATGCCAAGCAATACATTTATTTGACTATGTCTCACTGGATATATGGACCAGAACATCAGTGCTACCACTATCATTTTAGCACAGATTATTATTATTTTTTTCTTTTGAGATGGAGTCTTACTCTGTTGCCCAGGCTGGAGCGCAGTGGCATGATCTCAGCTCACTGCAGCCTTTGCCTCTTGGGTTCCAGCGATTCTCTCACCTCAGCCTCCTGGGTAGCTGGGATTACAGGCGCACACCACCACACCTGGCTAATTTTTGTATTTTTAGTAGAGATGGGTTTCACCATGTTGACCAGGCTGGTCTCAAACTCCTGACCTCAGGTGCTCCGCCCACCTCCACCTCCCAGAGTGCTGGGATTACAGGCATGAGCCACTGTGCTGGGCCTACAGATCATTTTTTTTACAACACATGTGGAACTCACTGAAAAAAATGCAGTTTCAATCAAATGGGACTGCCAAACCTCAAATTGTATGTCTTTGACAGGGATTAAATGATGTCAGTTGTATTGAATTTGGTATTAGTGTTTGGTGGGAGTAATCTCAAAAGCCTTTTTAAGTAGATCCAATGTCACTGGTTTAACTAAAGTATATAAATTCAGGAGGACTAGTCCTAGATTTGTTACCATAGATATTTTCCCAAATGTCCCTCCTTCATAAAAATGTCACCTTTCGTAACTCTCAGTAATTTCTTTTCAGGTTGTAGGCAGGTCTCCATTTAGCAAATGGTGTTCTCAGTAAGGTTTTTTCTTCTTCAAGGTACTCTGGATGTTGCCATTAATTATATCCTCACAGTATACATTGTTAAACATTTTGGGATTCATTTTGCTTATGGGCATAATTTCACAAAGCCTCTTCTAATGGCTCTTGGTTGGGCATTGAGACACCAGATTTATTTCTCTGAAGAAAAAGAATATCCTTAATATGCCGTAAGATGTGGTTTGGGATATTTGTATGGTAAAGATGATTCTGAGGATAAAGGTGACTTTTTCATTCAAGTTGACTACATATTGATTCATCTTAGAGAGAGAAAAAAGGAAAAATCAGATCCAAGAAGGCTTTCAAATGCATTCCCAGCGCGTTTCACAAAGACAGTTTTAAGACATTTTGAGAAGAAGTATATTTTATGTTTGAAGTTAACTTTTCAATAAGGAATTTTGATTGCTTGGAATTTAATTATCTCTTTGAGGTAAGAACATATTTTAGTAAGCTCAAGAATAGTTTTCTAATTCATTTTAATTCCTGGGAATTGATAATGTAAGAAAACAAACAAGGTAGCCAAGAAAGTGGTCTTCCTTATTGCAGAGACAGAAGGCAACAAATTAGTATTAATTTGTTATGAATGCATCACAGAAGGTACAAGCAAAATTCCTGTTACATATTTGAAAATAACAACAGAAATTTGCAACATTATCTGCCATTAAATATGTGCAGAGAAATCAGGGCTAGTATTGTCTTAGAGGTAACTTGAAGGTTACTTGAAGGTTACTTAAAGGTTACAGGCTGGCCAAGTGGAACTAGGCCAATACTTGCAGCCTTACTTTGTTTTAAGTTAAAATATAACAACTCTATGGAAATGACTTGTCCAATTGTTCAATCCTTGCTAAGTCTCTAGCACACATTTTTATTCTGTTGATACTTATTTCGTGTGTGATAATAAACTATGTAATTTAAACAGAATGTTAAATTCAAAGTATTCAGAAAACATTTTTGGATGTATTAGGTAAATGCATCAGACCATGAGGAGGTATCCTGGAAACACTACTGACACCTCATAAAGTGAACTTCATATATGTATATATGAAGGGCAGTTTATTATGTAAACAATCTCACATGATCACAAGATGAAGTCCCACAATAGGCCGTCAGCAAGCTGAGGAAGGAGGAAGCCGGTCCAAGTCCCAAACCCTAAAAAGTAGGAAAGCTGACAGTGCAGCTTTCAGTCTGTGGAGGAAGGCCTGAGAGCCCCTGGCAAATCACTGGTGTAAGTCCAAAAGTCCAAAAGCTGAAGAACTTGGAGTCTGATGTTTGAGGTCAGGAAGCATACAGCACAGGAGAAAAATGAAGGCTGGAAGACTCAGCAAGTCTGCTCTTTCCAACTTCTTCTGCCTCCTTTATTCTAGCTACATTGAAAGCTGATTAGATGGTGGCCACCCAGATGGAGGGCGGGTCTGCCTCTCCCAGTCCACGGACTCAAATGTTAATCTTCTTTGGCAACACCCTCACGGACACACACACCCAGGAACAATACTATGCATCCTTTAATCCCATCAAGTTGACGCTCAATATTAATCATCACATCACTGTATTTTCTTCTATTAACGCAGTATATGCACTTTTATGTATGATTCTATGCATGTAGGCTTCCTGGAACAACCATTTGGATGAATTCAATTGTCCAGTCAACATATAATTAATTCTGCAAACAACTTACTTGGCATTTTTACTATGGAATGGTAAAAAAAAAAAAAGTGACCTAATTGCTTTGAAACTGCTGATTTTTGTGTATCCCTGTCATTGGAATTACAGGTGCGGTATTCACAGAAACTGTACCATAGCATTGGAAAAACAGGGAAAGACAAGATCATCTCTTCTTTATGTTTTGTTAACACTTGTCACCCTTAAGATGTCTTTTGTTGTAGGAGCTTAACAAATATATCTTTGTGATGGATGGAGGTAACCCAAGTGAGTACAAATAAATTATGACAGACAAGATAACTTTTCTTACCTCCTCATGCAATGGTAATATTTGTAGAATATGTTGTCAGTTTCCAAACAAAATATGTCAAAGAATAAACTTCCAATAAATATCCCCAGATATTCTAATCACGGCTTTAAATAGGTAACATGGTCTTTGTGGAAATAAGAGATCCAGTTGATGACAAAGCAACGAATGAGACTGAATGTCAACAAAGTTATATGAAAGGTATTTATTCACCTGAGGACAGATTAGAAAGGTAGCAAACACTTGGGAATATTTTATCTTTGGAAAAATAATGAAGTATTTGATCATAAAGATCTGCTAAAGTAAAATAGAGCATATGCCTCATGACATTTAATTAATCATTAATTTCATGCCTGTGTATTGTGGGTTAAAAAGATGTTTTCAATATGAATTGATCCAAAACAACTCTTTAAGTTAGTATTATTAAAATACATCATTTATATAACAAATTTTCACAGCCAGAGAATGTGGAAGCATAAAATGCCAATGGTCACTGTATCTCAATTCATTTTCTGCCAACTTATTTTCTCTCTGATTGCTGTGAGGCTAATATTAGAGTCGGTTACATCCTCTATTTCCTAAGTTGCCTATGTGAATGTTAGTAAAAAAATAATAATTTTACTTCACTATCTGGTGAATGTTTGAACTATATGTTTATGAATGAGGAAAGTGAAACAACAAAAATTTCCTTTGTAGGTAAAATTCAGGGTGTTCATTGGAAAAAGGGCTATTTTAGATAAGACATTTTTATTTATGAAGGATAAGTTGAAATACAGTATTGGAATTTAAAATCATTCATGTAAAAGTTAATGGGTCTGTCCTTTGATTATATAGCCAAGGCTGAGTTCTTAATAAAAATGCTAAAATGATCATTAATAACATTCTGTACACTGATATCCCATCTGGAAGTTATCACAAATGCATGTTCTGGAGTGCTAAGTTCATAATTATTTTAGAGAACTGATTTAGGTATTGTAGAGAGGCACTAGATATTCTTTTATTTACAGGTGACATGATTTTATTATCCATAACTTTCCATCCACTGAATAGTGAGACATTTTTTCTGAATGAGGACTTATAGTATTAATAATTAGCTCAAGGATATTGGTCTAAAATTCTCTTTTTTGGTTGTGTCTCTGCCCGGCTTTGGTATCAGGATGATGCTGGCCTCATCAAATGAGTTAGGGAGGATTCCGTCTTTTTCTATTGATTGGAATAGTTTCAGAAGGCATGGTACCAGTTCCTCCTTGTACCTCTGGTAGAATTCGGCTGTGAATCCATCTGTTCCTGGACTCTTTTTGGTTGGTAAGCTATTGATTATTGCCTCAATTTCAGAGGCTGTTATTGGTCTATTCAGAGAGTCAACTTCTTCCTGGTTTAGTCTTGGGAGGGTGTATGTGTCGAGGAATTTATCCATTTCTTCTAGATTTTCTAGTTTATTTGTGTAGAGGTGTTTGTAGTATTCTGATGGTAGTTTGTATTTCTGTAGGATCAGTGGTGATATCCCCTTTATCATTTTCTATCACATCTATTTGATTCTTCTCTCTTTTCTTCTTTATTAGTCTTGCTAGCGGTCTATCAATTTTGTTGATCCTTTCACAAAACCAGCTCTTGGACCAATATCCTTGATGAACATCGATGCAAAAATCCTCAATAAAATACTGGCAAACTGAATCCAGCAACACATCAAAAAGCTTATCCACCATGATCAAGTGGGCTTCATCCCTGGGATGCAAGGCTGGTTCAATATATGAAAATCAATAAATGTAATCCAGCATATAAACAGAACCAAAGACAAAAACCACACGATTATCTCAATAGATGCAGAAAAGGCCTTTGACAAAATTCAACAACGCTTCATGCTAAAAACTCTCAATAAATTAGGTATTGATGAGACATATCTCAAAATAATAAGAGCTATCTATGACAAACCCACAGCCAATATCATACTGAATGGGCAAAAACTGGAAGCCTTCCCTTTGAAAACTGGCACAAGACAGGGATGCCCTCTCTCACCACTCCTACTCAACATAGTGTTGGAAGTTCTGGCAAGGGCAATTAGGCAGGAGAAGGAAATCAAGGGTATTCAATTAGGAAAAGAGGAAGTCAAATTGTCCCTGTTTGCAGATGACATGATTGTATATCTACAAAACCCCATTGTTTCAGCCCAAAATCTCCTTAAGCTCATAAGCAACTTCAGCAGTCTCAGGATACAAAATCAATGTACAAAAATTACAAGCATTCTTATACACCAACAAGACAAACAGAGAGCCAAATCATGAGTGAACTCCCATTCACAATTGCTTCAAAGAGAATAAAGTACCTAGGAATCCAACTTACAAGGGACGTGAAGGACCTCTTCAAGGAGAACTACAAACCACTGCTCAATGAAATAAGAGAGGATACAAACAAATGGAAGAACATTCCATGCTCATGGGTAGGAAGAATCAATATCATGAAAATGGCCATACTGCCCAAGGTAATTTATAGATTCAGTGCCATCCCCATCAAGCTACCAATGACTTTCTTCATAGAATTGGAAAAAACTACTTTAAAGTTCATATGGAACCAAAAAAGAGCCCGCATCACCAAGTCAATCCTAAGCCAAAAGAACAAAGCCGGAGGCATCATGCTACCTGACTTCAAACTACACTACAAGGCTACAGTAACCAAAACAGCATGGTACTGGTACCAAAACAGAGATATAGATCAATGGAACAGAGCAGAGCCCTCAGAAATAATGCCGCATATCTACAACTATCTGATCTTTGACAAACCTGAGAAAAACAAGCAATGGGGAAAGGATTCCCTATTTAATAAATGGTGCTGGGAAAACTGGGTAGCTATATGGAGAAAGCTGAAACTGGATCCCTTCCTTACACCTTAAACAAAAATTAATTCAAGATGGATTAAAGACTTAAACGTTAGACCTAAAACCATAAAAACCCTAGAAGAAAACCTAGGCATTACCATTCAGGACATAGGCATGGGCAAGGACTTCATGTCTAAAACACCAAAAGCAATGGCAACAAAAGCCAAAATGGACAAATGGGATCTGCTTAAACTAAAGAGCTTCTGCACAGCAAAAGAAACTACCATCAGAGTGAACAGGCAACCTACAAAATGGGAGAAAATTTTCGCAGCCTACTCATCTGACAAAGGGCTAATATCCAGAATCTACAATGAACTCAAACGCATTTACAAGAAAAAAACAAACAACCCCATCAAAAAGTGAGCGAAGGACATGAACAGACACATCTCAAAAGAAGACATTTATGCAGCCAAAAAACACATGAAAAAATGCTCACCATCACTGGCCATCAGAGAAATGCAAATCAAAACCACAATGAGATACCATCTCACACCAGTTAGAATGGCGATCATTAAAAAGTCAGGAAACAACAGGTGCTGGAGAGGATGTGGAGAAATAGGAACACTTTTACACTGTTGGTGGGACTGTAAACTAGTTCAACCATTGTGGAAGTCAGTGTGGCGATTCCTCAGGGATCTAGAACTAGAAATACCATTTGACCCAGCCATCCCATTACTGGGTATATACCCAAAGGATTATAAAGCATGCTGCTATAAAGACACATGCACACGTATGTTTATTGCGGCACTATTCACAATAGCAAAGACTTGGAACCAACCCAAATGTCCATCAATGATAGACTGGATTAAGAAAATGTGGCACATATACACCATGGAATACTATGCAGCCATAAAAAAGGTGAGTTCATGTCCTTTGTAGGGACATGGATGAGATTGGAAATCATCATTCTCAGTAAACTATCGCAAGAACAAAAAACCAAACACCGCATATTCTCACTCATAGGTGGGAATTGAACAAGGAGAACACATGGACACAGGAAGGGGAACATCACACTCTGGGGACTGTTGTGGGGTGGGGGGAGTGGGGAGGGATAGCTTTGGAAGATATACCTAATGCTAAATGACGAGTTAATGGGTGCAGCACACCAGCATGGCACATGTATATATATGTAACTAACCTGCACATTGTGCACATGTACCCTAAAACTTAAAGTCTAATAATAATAATAAATAATAATAATAATTACCCAAGAAACTCTTCATGTGACTATTTTCACCTTTTAGTGAGTTTCAAAATATTTATTTGCGTAGGAATAAATCATACTATGGTATAGTGCATACTCCTTTAAATATGCTTTTGAATTTGATTTACTAGTATTTTGTTGAGAATTTTCATGTCAAAATTCATAGGAATATTGGTTTGTAGTTTTCTTATAGAATGTTTGTTTGGTTTGGATATAAAATTAACGCTGGCCTCATAAATAAGTTTGGAAGTGTCCCTTCCTCCTGAAATTTTTGGAAGAGTTTGAAATGGATTGAAAAGAATCAGAGTTATATTTTCTTTGTAAAAAATTTGTTTGATTTTTATAAAAAACAGTCTTCTAATTGTAGCATTTACATTTATCATACTCATGGTTAAAATAGATTTGGGTTTTCTAAATTTTTACAGCTTTATTAAGGCATAATTGACATATAAATGGTTGTACATATTTAATGTGAACAATTTGATGAGCGTGGACATATGCAAACACCTATTATACCATCACCATAATCAAAATAATAAAATATATGACATCTTCCAAAGTTTTCTGGTGTCTTGTTTTCATTTTGTGGTAAGTACACTTAAAATGAGATGTACCCCAATATCCCTGATGAACATTCATGTAAAAATCCTCAACAAATTTCTGGCAGATTGTCTTCAAAATCACACAAGAAGGATTATCCACCATGATCAAGGGGAATTTATCCTGGAGATACAAGTATAATTGACCATGTACACAATTCAATAAATGTGAATAAACTACATTAAGAAAGTGAAGGATGAAAATCACATGATCACCTCTATAGATGCAGAAAAAGCATCTGGCAAAATTCAAAACTCTTTTATGATAAAATTGGACAACAAACTAGGTACAGAGGAAATGTACCACAACATATAACGGCCAAATATGACAATCCCACAGCTAAAATTATATATATATAATATAAAATTATATATATATATATAAAATCTTCTTTAAATATGTAAATATGTGATAGAAATCACCGATGAAACTACATAGTCCAGGACTTGTTTTTGTTGGGGGAATTTGGATTATTTTCTCAATTCCTTATTAACTATAGGTCCCTTCAGACTTTCTAGTTCTTTATGATTCTCTCTTGGTAGGTTGTGCATGTCTAGGAATTTTTCCATTTTATCTAGTTTATTCAAATTGTTGGTGTACTCTTATTATCCTTTTATTTACATAAAATCAGTCATAATGTTCCTAATTTCATTTTTTTGTTTAGTAACTTTAATCTTTTCTCTTAATCTAGCTCAAACTTTGTTGATTTATTGATCTTTACAAAAAATAACACTTGGTTACGTTGATTTTCTCTATTTTATATTTTCTATTTTATTATGTTCACTTACATCATTATTATTGCCTTATTTCTTCTAGCTTTGGGTTTATTTTATTCTTTTCTAGTTCCTTAAGGTGTAAAGTTAGGTTATTTATTTAAAACAATTTTTTTTTTTTTTTGAGACAGAGTCTCACACCGTCACCTGGTCTGGAGTGCAGTGGCTCACTGCAACCTCCACCTCCTGAGTTCAAATGGTTCTTCTGCCTCAGCCTACCGAATAGCTGGGATTACAGGCGCCCACCACCATGCCCAGCTACTTTTTTGTTTTTTTTGTAGAGACGGGGTTTCACCCTGTTGGCCAGGCTGGTCTCAAACTCCCAGCCTCGTGATTCACCCACCTCGGCCTCCCAAAGTGCTGGGATTACAGGCATGAGCCACCGTGCCCGGCCTCTTCCTTTTTAACGTAAGCATTTATAGCTATAAATTTATCTCTTAGCAATACTTGTGCTGTGTTGCATATGTTTTGGTATGTTCTGTTTTGTTTTCATTTGTCTCATGATATTTTTAAATCAATCTTGTAATTTTTAATCAGCCTTTGCCTCATGGGTCATTAAGAATGTGTTTAATTTGCACATGTTTGTGAATTTTCCAATTTTTTTCTCTGTTACAGATTTCTGGTTTTGTTCCAACATATTGGAAAAAATACTTTGTATGATTTGAATATTTTAAAAATTATTGAGATTTGTTTTGTGATTAACCTATGGTCTGTCCTGGAGAATGTCCTACGTGCATTTTAGTAAAATGTATATTCTGCTGTTCTTTGTTGGAATGTTCTACACATGATTGTTAGGTCCAATTGATTTATAAAGTTTTTCACATCCTCTATTTCCCTACTTATTTTCTGTCTGGATGTTCTTTCCAGTATTGAAAGTGGTGTATTAAAGTCTGCAACTACTATTGTTGAACTGTCTTTTTTCCCTTTAATTCTGCAAATATGTATATTATGTATTTTGGATCTTTGATATTTGATGCATATGTAATTATAATTGTTACATCTTCATAAATTAATCCTTTCATCAATATATTAGGTCCTTCTTTGTCTCTTGAAACAGTTTTAGCCTTGCAATCTATTTTACTTAAAATTAATTAAGCCACCTGTGTTCTCTTTTGGTTACTATTTGAATGTAATGTATTTCTTAATTTTTTAACTTTCAAACTATTTGTGTCTTTACACTTAAATTGACTCTCCTATGGACTACATATAATTGGGTCTTTTTTTTCTTTTATCCATTGTGCCAATATATGACTTGATTGGAGAATTATTCCATTTAAATTTATTTACTCAAAAAGGACTTAATTTTATCATTTTAAAATTGTTTCCTGTATATCTTACTGATTTTTATTCCTCATTTCCTATTTTATGTGTTTAGTTAATTTTTTGTAGTGACACCTTTAGATTCATTCTCATTTTCTTTTTTGTATATTCTATAGATATTTTCTTTGTGGTTTCCATGGAAATTATGTATAACATCTTAAAATTATAACAATCTAATTTGAATTGATACTAATTTAACTTTGATCACATACCAAAACTCTACTCATATACAGATCCCCTGACTATATGTTATTTTTTATTTTTCTTGTAATTTTTAAAATTATTGTGGGCAACTAGTAGGTTTATATCTTTATGAAGTACATGCAATGTTTCCATACAGGCTTGCAATGTGAAATAAGCACATCATGGAGAATAAAACTCTCATCCCCTCAAGCATGTATCCTTTGAGTTACAAACAATCCAATTACATTCTTTAAGTTGTTTTAAAATATACAATAAAGTTACTATTAACTATATTCACCCTACTGTGATACCAAATAGTAGGTATTTTTCATTCTTTCTAATTTTTTGAACCAGTTAACCATCCCCACCTCCCCGCCAACGCCCTGCTACCCTTCCCAGCCTCTGTTAACTATCCTTCTACTCTCTATATACATGAGTTCAATTGATTTGATTTTTAGTTCCCACAAATAAGTGAGAACATATGATGTTTGCCTTTCTGTGCCTGGCTTATTTCACCTAACATACAGGTCTCCAGTTCCATATATGTTGTTGCAAATGACTGGATCTCATTCTTTTTTTATGGCTGAATAATACTTAATTGTGTATATGTATCACATTTTCTTTATCAATTCATCTGCTGATGGTAACTCAGGTTGCTTCCAAATTTTAGTTATTGTCAACAGTGCTGCAACAAACATAGAAGTTCAGATATCTCTTCGATATACTGATTTCTTTTCCTTGGGGTATATACCAAGCAGTGAGATTGCTGGAACATATGGTAGTTCCATTTATTGTTTTCTGAGGAAATGCCAAACTGTTCTCCATAGTGGTTGTACTAAATTACATTCCTGTCAACAGGGCATGAGAGTTCACTTTTCTTCACATCCTCACCAGCATTTGTTATTGCCTGTATTTTGAATATAAACCATTTTAATTGGGGTGAGATGATATCTTATTGTAGTTTTGATTTGCATTTATCTGATGATCAATGATTTTGAGCATTTTTAATATGCCTGTCTGTTATTTGTATATCTTCTTTTGAGAAATGTGTATTCAAATTTTTAGCCCATTTCTTGATGTGATTATTATAATTTTTTCCCTATACATTTGTTTGAGCTCTTTATATAATCTGGTTATTATTTCCTTGTTAGATGGGTAGTTTGCAAATATTTTCTCCCATTCTGTGGGTTGTCTCTTCCCTTTGTTGATTGTATTCTTTATCGTGCAAAAGCTTTTTAACTTGCTGTGATCTCATTTGTACATGTTGCTTTAGTTGCCTGTGCTTGTAGAGTATTACTCCAGACATTTTTTCCCAGTTCAATGTCCTGGAGATTTTCTGAAATTTTTTTTTGTAGTAGCTGCAGAGTTTGAGGTCTTAGATTTATGTATTTAATCTATTTTGATTTGATTTTTGTATATGGTGAGAGATAGGGGTGTAGTTTTATTCTTTTGCATACAGATGTCCAGTTTGCCCAGCACCATTTACTGAAGAGACTGTCTGTTCTCCAGTGTATGTTCTTGGCACCTTTAACAAAAATAAGATCACTGTAGGTGTGTGGATTTGCTTCTGGGTTCTCAATTCTGTTCTATTGGTCTATTTTTATGCCAGTATCATGTTTTTATGCCAGTATCATGCTGTTTTGGTTACTATAGCTCTATAGCTTCAAATTTGAAGTCAGATAATGTGATTGTTCCAGTTGTTTTGTTTTGTTTTGCTTATGAAAGCTTTGGATATTCTGTGTCTTCTGTGGTTTCATATAAATTTTAAGATTTTTTTTTTCTATTTAAGTGAAGAATGTCATTGGTATTTTGATAAGGATTGCATTGATTCCATAGGATGCCTTGGGTAGTATGGACATTTTAACAATATTAATTCTTTCAATCCATGAACATGGAATATTTTGTCATTTTTTGGTGTCCTCTTCAATTTCGTTTATCAGTGTTTGATAGTTTTTATTATAAACATTTTTCACTTCTTTGGTTAATTCCTAGGCATTTAATTTCATGTGTGGCTATTGTAAATGGGATTGCTTTTTTTATTTCTTTTTCACATTGTTCACTGGTGGCATATAGAAATGCAACTGATTTTTGTATACTGATTTTGTATCCTGCAAGTTTACTGAATTTATTTATCAGTTCTAATAGGTTTCTTGTGGCATCATTTTTTCCAAATATAAGATCATATCATCAGCAAACAAGGATAATTTGACTTTTTCCTTTCTAATTTAAATGACCTTTATATTTCTCTCTTATCTGCTTGCTCTAGCTAGGAATCCCAGTACTACGTTGAATAGTGGTGATGACAATGGGAATCCTTGCCATTTTCCAGATCTTGGAGGAAAGGCTTTGAGTTTTTCCCCATTGAGTATGACACTAGTGTGTCTGTTGTATATGACTTTTATCATGTTGAGGTATGCTCTTTCTATCCCTAGTTTTATGAGGGTTTATATCATGAAGCGATGTTGAATTTTATCAAATGTTTTTTCAGTATCAATTGAAATGATTATATGGTTTTTATTATTCTTTCCATTGATATGATGTATCATATTGATTGATTAATTTGCATATGCTGAACCATACTTGCATCCCTGGGATAAATCTCACTTGGTCAAGATGAAAAATCTTTCTAATGCATTGTTTTATTTGGCTTTCCAGTGTTTTGTTGAGGATTTTTGCATCAATATGCATCAGAGATATTGGTCTGTAGTTTTCTATTTTGGATGTGTCTTTGTTTTTGCTATCAGGGTAATACTGGCCTCATAGAATTAATTTGAAAGCATGGCCTCCCTCTCTATTTTTTTGAATAGTTTGTGTTGGATTAGTATTAGTTCTTTTTTAAATGTTTGGTAGAATTAGTTCTTTTTTTAAATGTTTGTTAGAATTCAGCAGTGAAACCATTGGGTCCCAGGCCTCTCTTTACTGGGGTATTTTTATTATGGTTTCTACCTTGTTACTTGTTATTGGTCTGTTCAGGTTATGGATTTCCTTCTGTTTCAATCTTGGCAGTTTGTATGTGTCTAGGATTTCGATTTCTCTATTTCTTCTAGATTTTTCAACTTATTGGCATATAATTGCTCACATATAATTTTTCAACTTATTGGCATATAATTGGCATATAATTGCTCACAGTAGCCATTATTTATCTTTTGATTTGCTGCAGTATCAGTTGCAATGTCTCCTTTCTTATTCCTGGTTTTATTTATTTGGATCTTCTCTTTTTTTTTCTTTGTTAGTCTGATAAAGTTTCGTCGATTTGGTTTAACTTTTCAAAAAAACAACTTTTTGTTTCATTGATCTTTTGTATTTGTTTATTTCAATTTTATTTATTTCTCCTCTGATCTTTATTATTTCTTTTCTTCTACTAATTTTGGGTTAGTTTTGCTCTTGCCTTTCCAGTTACATGCATTATTTAAGTGTTTATTTGAAGTTTATCTTCTTTTTTGATGGAGGCACTTATAACTATAAACTTCCCTCTGAGTACTGCTTTTTCAGTATCCCATAGGTTTTCGTATGTTGTGTTTTTATTATTATTTGTTTCAAGAAATGTTTAAATTGTCTTCTTAATTTCCTCATTGACTCACTGGTCATTCAGGAGCATATTGTTTAATTTCCATGTATTGTATAGTTTCCACAATTCCTTTGGTTACTAATTTCTAGTTTTACTCCATTGTAGTGAAAGAAGATGTTTGATATTATTCAAGTTTTTAGACTGTTTTAAGACTGGTTTTGAAAAAAAAAAAATACTGGTTTTGTTACCTAACATATGTTCTATCCTTGAGAATGATTCATGTGCTGAGGAAAACAATGTGTATTCTGCAGCTCTTGGATGAAATGTTCTGTAAATATCTATTAGATACATTTGGTTTACAGTGCAAATTGAGTCTGATTTTTCTTTGTTGATTTTCTGTCTGAAAGATCTGGCCAATGAAGAAAGTGGGGTGCTGAACGATTCAGCTATTATTGTATCACAGACCATCTCTCTCTTTAGCTCTAATAATATTTTCTCTATCTATCTGGGTGATCCAGTGTTGGGTACATATATATTTAAAATTGTTATATTCTTTTGCTGAATTCACTACTTTATCATTATATAGTGACCTTCTTTGTCTCTTCTTGTAGATTTTGTCTTGAAATCTATTTTTTCTGACATAAGTATAGCAATTCCTGTTGTTTTTTGGTTTCCATTGACAGAATATCTTTTTCCATCTCTTTATTTTCAGTTGTCATTTGTCTTTATAAGTAAAGTATATTTCTTGCAGGCAACAGATCAATGGGTGTTGTTTTTGCATCCATTAAGCCATTCTATGTCTTTTGAATGGATATTTTAGTCTATTTGCATTTAATGTTATTATTGATGAGTAAGGACTTGCTCTTGCCATTTTGTTATTTGCTTTATGGTTGTTTTGTTGTCTTCTTGATTTTCTCTGGTGATTGGATTTATTTTCTTGCTTTTGTTGTTGTGTATCCATTGTAGTATTTTTTTTTTTTTTTGGTTTGAGGTTACCATGAGGCTAGCAAATACTACCTTATAACTTATTATTTTAACCTGATAACAACACTTTTGCATAAGCAAGCAAAAATAAAACAAATAAAAACTCTGTTCCTTATATTCATTCCCCTACTTTTAAACTTTTTATTGTTTGTAATTATATCATATTGTGGTGATAATGTCTTTAAAAGTTGTTGTAGTTATTACTTTTGATTGGTTCATCATTTAGTATTTATACCTAGGATAAGAGTAGCTTACACACAACAGTTACTGTGTTTAACTGTCTGCTTTCTGTGTATTTACTATTACCAGTGAGGTTTTTTTTTTTTTTTTTTTTTTTTTTTTTTTTTTTACTTTCAGGTGTTTATTTATTCCTCATTAATGTCCTTTTTTATCTGACTGAAGTACTCTTTTTACCATTACTTGTAGGACAGGCCTAATAAGGATGAAATCCCTCATCTTTTGTTTGTCTGGGAAACCCTATTTCTCCTTCATGTTTAAAGGATATTTTCACGGGGTATACTATTCTTGTTTTTTCTTCAGCATTTAAAATATGTCATGGCACTCTCTCCTGTCTGTATGGTTTGCACTGAAAAGTCTACAGCCAGATGTATTAGAACTTCATTGTATGTTACTTGTTTCTTTTCTCTTGCTACTTTTAAAATCCTTTCTTTTTCCTTCACCTTTGGGAGTTTGCTTACTGAATGCCTTGAGGTAGTCGTCTTTAGGTTAAATCTACTTGGTGTCTATAACCTTCTTGGACTTGCATGTTGATACCTTTCTCTAGGTTTTGAAATTTCTCTGTTATTGTGCCTTTGAATAAACTTTCTACTCTTATCTCTTTCTCCACCTCCTCTTTAAGGACAATAACTTTGAAATTTGTCCTTTTGAAGCTATTTTCTAGATTCTGTAGACATGCTTCATTGTGTTTTATTCTCTTTTCTTTTGTCTCTTCTGTGTATTTTCAATTATCCTGTATTCAAGCTCACCAATTCTTTCTTCTGCTCGATCCATTCTGCTATTAAAGAACTCTGATGCATTCTTCAGTATGCCAGTTGCATTTTCAACTGTGCTTGATTCTTTTAAATGATTTCAATCTCTTTGTTAAATTTATCTAATACACTTCTGAATTCCTTCTCTGTGTTACCTCGACTTTCTTTGAGTTTCCTTAACACAGCTATTTTGAATTCTCTGTCTGAATGGTCACATATCTCTGTTTCTTTGGCATTGTTTCCTGGTGCCTTATTTAGTTTATTTGGTTAGATTTTATTTTACAGGATGGTGATAATGCTAATAGATATTCTTTGGTGTCTGGGCATGGAAGGATTAGGTATTTATTACAGTCTTCACTGTCTGGGTTTATTTGTAGCTCTCCTTGGGAAGGACTTTCAGATATTTTGAAATGACTTGAGTGTTGTGATCTTAGCTGTATCTGCTTTAGGGGACACTTCAAGCCCAGTAATACTGTGGTTCTTCCAGACTAATAGAGGTGCCATCTTGATGGTCTTGGAACAGTTCAGGAAGAATTCTCTTCATCACCAGACAGAATGTCTTGTTCCCTTCCTATACTTCCTCTAAAACATACAGTCTCTCTCTCCATTCTGAGCCACCTAAAGTCTGGGTTCAAGTAACACAAGCACCCCTGTGGCCACCACCACTACAACTGCACTGGGTCAGACCTGAAACCAATGCAGCACTGGGTCTTGCTGAAGGCCTGCTTTAATCACTCTCTGTCTACTGCCTATGATCGCTTATGACCATGGGGCTCTACTATCAGCAGGTGGAAAAGCCAGCCAGGCCTATGTCCTTCCCATGATGGTAGCAATGTCCCCCATTCCCTGGGTGGGTCTAGAAGTGTCATCTCGGTTTCAGGGACTAGAGTGAAGAACCTTAGAAGTTTACTTTGTGTTCTATAGTATTGTGGCTGAGGGGGCACTCAAACCACAAGACACAGTTCTTCTCACTCTTCCTTCTTTTTTCCAAAGGCACAGGAGCCTCACTTTATAGGAACTACCACCCCAAGCCATGAGGTGTCTGGCAGTAGCCAGTCTACCACTGAGTTTCCCTTAAGGCTTGAGATCTTTTAAGTCAGTTTGTCATGAATGCTGACTGGTCTAAGACTCACCCTTCAGGACAGTGGGCTCCCCTTTGGCCCAGGGCAGATCCAGAAATGCTGTCTAAGAGTCAATTCCTGGACTCGTGAACTCTAAAAGTCCACTTGGAGTTCTGTCCCAAAGGGGCCATGCTGGTATCTAAGGTGCAATATAAAGTTCCCTTTACTTTTCCCTCTGCTTTCCTCACACAGGAATTTTGCCCTAAAGCAACCAAGGCTGGTTATGTGCGAAGTCTCACCTAAAACCGGCACACCTCAGAGGTTCACCCAATGCGTTTGATGTGGTACCTTGGTATTGCTGCTGGTTATTCAAGGCCCAAAGTCTCTTTAGTTAGCCAGTGATAAATGCTGCCAGGACTGGTCTTTTCCTTCAAGGCAGCAGATTCCCTTCTGGCCCTTGGTGTGTCTGTATATGTCTGGGAGCCAGGGTCTGCAATGAGGGCCTCAGGACTCTGACCAGTGCCCTATCTTGCTGTTGCTGAGCTGGCATCCTAGATGCAAGACAAAGTCCACTTCACTCTTCCCTCTCCTCTCCTCAAGCAGAAGAAAGGGGTCTCTTTGGAGCTATGAGCTGTGCAGTCTGGGCGTAGGGGAGGTGTGAATGCCAGCACTCCATTGGCTCTCCCAGCTGGTGTCTCTGTATGTTGTGTGCCTCCCCCAACAGTCCACTGTTTCTGGGCCTAATTTAGCACTAGGATTTTCCTAAGAGTTGCAATCCTTATGGTGTAGACTGCCTTTCAAGGTTACTTAGAGAAACAGAGTCCTACAGTGCATGGTGGTAAAGCTTGAGAGAACTCAAGTTTCAACCACTTCAGCTGGTGATTCCCCTCTGGCTAGTGCTTGTTTGTATGCTCCCTCCATGGGCAGGCATCAGCTAAGTTTGGTCCAGTTTTTCTTTCTGCTCTAACAGGACAGTACTGAGTTCAGTGTCTCACGGTTGCTGTGTTCTCCCTCCCCCAGGGCCCAGAGAAGTTCTGTGCACCATGCTGCTCCTGCTGGGGTTGGAGGAGTGGTGGCACTGGCAATTCAGAACTGTTGTTTTATCTCTTCAGTGCCTCTTTCAGCAATATGAACTAAAAACCTGGTAATGTGAGTGCTCATCTGATTTTTCCTTCTTATGTGGGTGTCTTTTCTGTGTAGATAGTTGTTGGTGTCTTGGTGTCCCTGTGGGGAGACAATCAATGGAGCCTTTGGTTCTGCAATCTTTGGCTTTATGTTACTAATGTAACAAATTGCATGTTTATACAATGTGTGCTCATTATTGTAAATTCATACTTATTTTTATGCTTTTATCTCTGAAATCCTGTAAAAAATCAAAAGTGGAGTTAAAAATAAAAGTATATCATATTTTCTTAAGTATTTCTCCATGTATTTACTTTTACCAGGGATTTTTATATCTTCTTATGACTTCAAGTTACTGTCCAGTTTCCATTTATTTCAAGTGGCAAAAATCCATTAAACTTTCTTGTAGGGCACCTCCAGTGGTAACAAACTCCTTCATCTTTCGTTGATCTGAAAATTTCTTAATTTCTCCCTCATTTTTGAAAGACAGTTTTGCTAGCCATATAATTCTCTGTTGACAAGTTTTTATTTTTTCAGTGCTTTGAATATATCCCCCTATTGCCTTCTAGACCTCAAAGTTACTGCTGATTAAGTGATAATCTTCTTATAGAGAATCTCTTGTATGTGATGAGTCATTTACCTCTTACTAGTTTCAAGATATTCTGTCTTTGCCTTTTGACAGTTTTATTATAATGTGTCTCCATGTGTGTCTTTTTGTGTTTATTCTATTCAAAGTTTGTTTGGCTTCTTGGATCTGTAGATTCATGTCTTCTATAATTTGGGAAGTTTTGGCTGTTATTTCTTCAAATAATCTCTGCCCTTTTTTTCTCTCTTTTTCTTCTTAGACTCTTTTGATGTATGTATTGGTTCATTTGATGTTATCCCCCATGTCTCTGAGGGTCTGTCACTTTTCTTCACTCTATCATTCTTCTCTGCAGATGTGATAATTTCAATTGTCTTGAATTCAAATTCATTGATTCTAAGTTCTGTTTGCTCAAATCCACTGTTAAATCCCTCTGCTGAATTTTTGAATTTAATGACTGTATTGCTTTCAGGACCAGATTTTGTATTTTGTTCCTTTATGTAATCTCTATCATTTTGTTGATATTATTATTTTGTTCATATATAATTTTCCTGATTTCTTTTACTTTTTCTTTTTTTTCTTTAGCTTTTTGAGCATATTAGAACAGTTGTTTTAATGTCTTCCTGTAGTAATTCTGATGTCTTTGTTTCCTCAGGGATTGTTTCTGCAAATTTATTTTCTTCCTGTGAATGGGCTATGATTTCCTGTTTCTTTGTATGCCTTGTGATTTGTTGTTTTTGTTTTTAGAAATTTGGCATTTGAAAAAAACAGCCTTCTTTTTCAGTCATTGCAGTCTGCCTCTTCATTGACTACTTCAATGAAACAGACATTCCTTCATCCAGCAGATTAGTAGCAACATGCACAGTTAGCTATGGGACCTAGGACCCTACATCAACATTCAGATATAATGTTTTTTATTTCATTTACACCTTCCAAAGTTCATGCATATTGCTCTTGTGATAAACTCAAACCCAAAATGATACATCTTTTAAGTTTAGCTAGACTGACACATTGTGAAACCACCATGATCACTCAGGAGAAGTATTTACTAAGGGGACTGAAAGCAAAAGAAAACTATGCACTATATTATGTAATATGAGGGATTTTGAAGTTCTGATGCATGCATACACAATTTGAGTGTGGCAAGCTAAAATCCAAAAAATTTTAAGTATGTGGCATTATGTCTGTTGGATAAATTGAACAAAGTCTACCCTAATTATGACCTCATAATTTCAATGACTGAGATGTTGCAATAGATTACATAGATAATATTTGCTAGTGATTAAATGCAGGTTTCCAGAGAAAAACACTCTTTTTTCCTAAAAACTTAATAATTTTCAATGTTCTCAAGGAAGTTCTCAAAGCTGGCTAGCTTGATAAAATGATATAAAAGAAAGGATAGCAACATAAAACCTAAGTCAGGATCTCTCTCTCTCTCTCTCTTCCAGATTCTCCTTTCTCTCTCTCTCTCTCTCTCTCTGTGTGTGTGTGTGTGTGTGTGTGTGTGTGTGTGAATGTACATATAGTCTGGAACTGAAGAACTAATGCAACAGGGCAGGGCTCTCTGGTGATTACTGGAAAAGTCTATACTGTAGTTACTCTGAGAGTTGTCAGAGAAGTTTTGTGGGCCTTGAAATCAGAGCAACCACAGCCTCCTTTCCTCAAGCCATTCTAATTCAGTCCAATGTAATTAATTTTAATTAATTGATCACCCACTGGGTTGCCATGGGCTATGATCTATTTTTTTAATGAACATGACTGGCAAGTTCAAATTCATGTGAAAATAACTGGAGGGAAGAAGCCAGATTAGTCATTTCTAACCTCTTCCCATGATACTTACCACAAAGAGAACATCTTATTGCTAGAGTTACCTAAATGGTAAAGTTCATGTGGGCTTTTTGTGACATCTATGATACTGTTAGAAGTACATGCTAATTACTAAATATGGGCATAAGTATAATTTATATAATAAGACAGCTGAACCAGTCATAAAAAGTAATCTCCGGCTCACGCCTGTAATCCCAGCACTTTGGGAGGCCGAGGCGGGTGGATCATGAGGTCAGGAGATCGAGACCATCCTGGCTAACAAGGTGAAACCCCGTCTCTACTAAAAATACAAAAAATTAGCAAATTAGCCGGGCGTGGTGGCGGGTGCCTGTAGTCCCAGCTACTTGGGAGGCTGAGGCAGGAGAATGGCGTGAACCCGGGAAGCGGAGCTTGCAGTGAGCCGAGATTGCGCCACTGCAGTCTGCAGTCCGGCCTGGGCGACAGAGCGAGACTCCGTCTCAAAAAAAAAAAAAAAAAAAAAAAAAAAGTAATCTCCTCAGTTGGATTTGGACTGTGAACAATTTGCTGAAATTATGACATTATTTTTTAAAAAATTAGACCAGTTCAGGTCCAATTAAAAAAAATAAACTTTTCAGAAATTCAACCGAATGACAAGCTGATTGGTCACTGGATATTTACTATCAGATAACTAAAATTTTTCCCTCAGGGAATCTGCCCCAAATACGTCTGTTTCCTCTGCTACGTGTTTCTCGTCACATGCAAACCCACTAGTTATCTATTAATATGAAATTTACCATGGGGATTCCTACAGGATGTAGCAGGCAAAATGAGTAAATTTAACCCGACTCTGCAATTTGTTTTTTTCTTTTTCAGCTATCTTCAGCATTGAGAGATATCTTTTTACTTCAGCCCAACTGCTTAATTTCCCGATAGAAATTTCTTCAATTGCCTTCCAAATAGAATGCACCTAACTCTTGATTGTCGTACAAATGAGAGAATAGAGTTGAAATAATGTCAGAGGCATTCATATGAACTTCAAAATCCCTCATATTACATAACATAGTGCATAGTTTTTTTATGCTTTCAGTCCCCTTAGCAAATGCTTCTCCTGAGTGATCATGGTGGTTTCACAATGTGTCAATCTAACTAAACTTAAAAGATGTATAGTTTTGGGTTTGAGTTTGCCACAAGAGCAATATGCATGAACTTTGGAAGGTGTAAATAAAATAAAAAACATTATATCTGAATGTTGGTGTAGGGTCCTAGGTCCCACAGCTGATTGTGCATGTTGCTGCTAATCTGCTGGTTCACCTAGTTGACATGGGGTTGCAGCTGGTACCACAACTCTCCAACATCTACCAGATTTCTACCTTCAACTTCTCCAAGTCCTGAGCCAAGCATGTGTATAGCTGCGTGGCAAGCACAACAGCTCATTCGGCAGTTTAATCGTGTTGTTGAGGATAAAGGCGATGAGAGACAAATATGGATATCAGTTAGCCCTCGTATGTTCTATTCCTTGTGAGTTCCAATTTTTTTTTTCTCATGGGATTCATTTTGTTCACACTCCCCTGTGTGACATCCAGATTTTTCCCAACCCCTTGGCTCTGCTGAATAAGCAACATCAGACATATCACCAGACACAGGGACAACAGCCTGCCTCGGGAATGTTCAATTTCTTCAATTTCCTAAGATCTAAACCTTATATAAGCCTCTTATTCTCTAACACTCAGTGATTCTGCATCTCTGATTGAACTCTAACTGAAACATGTTACACATAAATTACATTGTCCCTAACTTGGAGAATTTTTTAAATATGGTTTGTGGTAGATGCTCCTCCTGCTTTTCAGGACAATTATGAATAGCATTGTAATTCTTTTGCTAGACCAGAAATTTATGTATAAGGAATCGCTTCCAAATACTAATTCTATAAAAAATATAAGTGTTTGCAGTTCCATTTATTAGCTAGGACATTTGGCATTCTTCTAAATGAAGATCTTACTATTTTGTAGCCCAGGGCAATGGTTTGACCTTTTCAATATTCCATAATTAGATTGGCTTCAATTCTACTTTGCCTTCTGTTTACAGTCTAAGCAGCCTCTGGGAAAGGGGCAGAGTGGCCAGCTGTTCACAGTTGAAAATATTTTAAAGGTCAAAGAAATAGAGCATTTCAACTGTCTATTCTACTCAAATGTATTCACTTTTGTTTTTCATGGGAACCTAAATAAATAGAAAATGCAGTGTCTGTAAAACAAAGATGAAATCACTAAATGTTTCTACTTTATTTCAAAAATTTCTCAACTTACCTAGGTAGATGTCGCAACCTTTAAACAAAGAGAGGTGCACTTCTCAAACTATTTTTGTCTGTGTCTTTCTTTCTTCTGTCATACCTCCTCCCACTTGCAGCATACCTCTCTCTGCTTATTTGTATAAAATAGGATACCTCAACAAAATTGAAATGAAAGTTTAATGCTTCCATCTAATAAAATGAATGAAGTGATGCTTGCTTTGTGATACAGAGTCATATTTGAAGAAGTGCAAATGTTAACAGACTGGATTGTTCTAGTTAACAGAATTTGTGTGTTTAACCACAATCCTTTACACTTTAACCTGTTTCTAAGCTATTTAAACACATTTTCTGCTTAATGAGTAGATTTTAATTAATATCATCCTATGCTGCCTTGATAATTAAGGGAATCACATTATTATTAAGAGTGATTTTCTAGAATTGGATTTGGAGAAGATGTGAATTCCTAAAGGACATACTGACCTCATAGTATAATAGGCAAGTTGTTTTTGTTGTTGCTTATCTGCTTGTTTAGCTGGTTTTTCACTCAGCTTAATAATAAAACAAATTTTTAAGAAGAATATTTCTTTCCCTTGTAAATATACAAAGACAATTCATGGATAAATTAATATTCTGGTTGACTTGATAAAAAATAATTGAGGTTTAACTGGTTAGGGATTTCTATAACCTAAATTTGAAATCCAAAAATATTCTTAGCATTTATTAAAAATTCTTTGAGAGATAATTAGAGACCCAGAACTATTTAATCAGCAGCATCATTGCTAACTCTATTGAATGGAGTTGCTAAATTTAATTATTTTGTGAGATTAATATTTTTTCCCAGGACTAAAATTTGTCTTTGTGTTAATATATACTATAGAAAACTTATGGTTATTTCCAAAGAGAAGGAATTGGGTTCCTTGCCAAGCTATCTAGACTTGAAATTCTGGGAGACAGCTCTTATCTGATCTACCTCAGGAACTAATTGATAAGAGAGGCAAGATACCATCTTGAGAAAATATGTGGAAATGGTGTGCCAAAAGGTTCACATTTTCTTCAAGGAATTGGAGTAGTTTAAAGAAGCTAAGGGCATGACACTGCAGTGTTACACAATCATGCTTGCTTACAGTACTCTAAAGTAAAGATTTTTATGGCAAGAACTACAAGCTGATAACTTTCACAAGGGCTACCTGTTCATCTGAGGGAGTAGAACAACCTAGAAAAGCCCTAGAAACAAAGTTACAATTACATACACCTTGAAGGAAACAAAGACATAGCAAAATATCAAACTACTGCTGCAAAAGAATAATACACACACACACACACACACACACACACACACACACACACACACACACACACAAAACACCATCAGGAATGCCAGGAGTCATGCACAAAGGGGAAGCTACTGTGATTTTGTCTATAAGGTCTTCTCTGAGACAAGCATATAAGTCATAGTGATACTACCCAGAAGTCACCAGACCTGGACTCTTGGAGTCATTCACCAAGGGGAAAAATGGTTATTGAGATACTGCAATTCTTTTGTGAATCAACATGATCAGAGAAAGACTGGACAAATTTTACCTAGTATGGAAATGATAGCAAATGATGACTTTTGTGTTTCTAGACATTCTATAAAATAAGAAAGAGCAGATACCAAAAAAAGAGCTCTTGTTAATTCTTCACTCATAGATAAATAGCATCCATTGACTGATTTGGATATATTAGGTTCTTTTCTATGCCCCTATTGACAATGTGGTATTAGGCAATGCTTTGCTGGGTGTTATTTTTCACTGGGCACTTTACCCTTAATGTTAACAAGTACACAGATTTATTCCAAATGTGATAGAAATGCAGTTGTGGTTAACCAACTCAAGGCTACAGCTTAATTCCCAGAGTGAACTACAGAAAAGATTTAATGCAACCCTGAAGGGAATAATTAAAAAGTATGTGGATAATCTTGCTAATAATTTAGATGTTTTATCACTTCTGTCATTTACATATAGAGAGGTCTCACAGAAATTATTTCATTTTTTATAATACATAATTTTACATGGAAGAAAATAAGAAAGTACTTTTGCCTCAATAACTAGATTATCCATGCAAATACATTACACTAAATTGTAGAGTCTAATATACATGTCATCATTCACCATTTTTAGGGTAAATCATTTAAATATCAACGTGCTAATAGTTTACCATATTTATATGATTCTTCAGAAACATCATACATGGCTCACTTTTTATATGTTTTATTATTTAAACTACCCTTTTGATTTATATATTATTTAAAATTTTAAAGTTTTGCACATATCAACTAAAACTGACACATATGTTTATCTATAATAAAAAGCACAATTGGACACATAGCTTTATTTACACATGTATACTTCACATACGCTATGCTATACTATTATATTAATATTAATACCAAATGCCAACTTGTTTCCAGATAGTAAAATTTATGAAGACTTCTCACTATTGGCCAAATGAAACAAGTGAAAGGTTGAAAAATAATTGGAAGATATTCTTGTATGCTTAAAATAACTGATGAAGAAAGTTAAAGATCAGAAAAATGCAAAAAGGCTACAATTTACTGGAAGGACTAGGAACTTTAAGAATATTATGTGTCAATAATACGCATATGTTAATCATTATAGGTTTATAAAAATGTTTTAGAGAAAACCAAAAATATCAAAAATTCACTAACAACCTAGAAGTAACAAATTTATATAACAACAAATATTAGAATTTTTGAAAAAGGAAAGAATGTTATTCTTGTGCCTGGAATATTAAAGATATTGCAGATTACTGAAGAGAAAAGTGAAGATTACTGGAGAGGCCAACTTATGATTCTAAACTAGCTAGACAAAGAGTCTTATGGAATTTCTGTTGAATAAGTCACCAGAGAAACTTCAAGTGATATATACAAATTAAGCTAAACTGACTTTCTCAAATACTAATACACATTGGAATTCCCTAAGGGTTTGTTAAACATAAAATTATTGAGCTCTACCACTATAGGTACCTATTAAGTGGGTCCATTATAGAGTCCATGTTATACTATTAAACAAAACTCTTGATTAACATAATGAAAGGATTCCAACTAAAAAATTTCAGACACACAGGAAATCTTAGAAAGTTTACTTCTAGTGGTCACTATGAGATCTGATGGTTGGGAAAACCCCAAATTAAAAAAAAAAAAGAAATAATCGCATTCTTCGTCATCTCCTAGAAGAATAGCCCCAGATATACTGAAGATAATCTGAGAGCACTTTCTAGTGCCATTGTTTACATAAAAAAGTTGTTCATTTTGATGTAGTCCAATTTATTTTTTATGACATGTACAGAAGAAATATATTTGTGCTAAGAGAAATTATAGATGTATTTCACTAAAAAACATGTAGAACCAATTTGATTGCCTATATGGAAAGGATGATAATTAAATTAGGGCACAGATTTCTAAAATGAATGGAGAGGTTTGAGATGAAGTCAGAATAATGGTAAGATAGTAAAATAAGACATTAATCAAACTTCTCAGAATTTCTAATTTTCTCCCTCAATCTTGTTTCTAAGTAGAAGGAATAGTAAATCCTATATGTATCATAGATAATTAAATTATATGATACTATGCCCAAAATTAATGCACTATTTGACCAATTGGGGACTGCTAAAATTATTTCAAATATAGATTAGATAATGGCTATTACTTATTTATTTATTTATTTATTTTTTATTATTATACTTTAAGTTTTAGGGTACATGTGCACAATGTGCAGGTTAGTTACATAAGTATACATGTGCCATAGACTGGATTAAGAAAATGTGGCACATATACACCATGGAATACTATGCAGCCATAAAAAATGATGATTTCATGTCCTTTGTAGGGACATGGATGAAATTGGAAATCATCATTCTCAGTAAACTATGGCTATTTTTTTAAAACAGCATTATTGATATGTAATTTACAAACCATATAATTCATTAATTTAAATTGTAAAATTTAGTACTTTTTACTGTATACACATATTTGTAGAGCAGCCATAACTGCAATCTAACTTTAGAACATACTCATCACTCCAAAAAGAAACCCGAAAGCCATTAGTAGCAATTCTTCATTCTACCTCCCCATTTGTTTCTCCTGAGGTAAACAATAATCTACTTTATATCTCAATACAATTACCTATTCATTCTCTTTTATATAAATCAAATCATACAATATTTGTCTTTTGTTTGTGAAAGAAACAAGTCTTTCACATACCAAAATATTTTCAAGTTGTATCCACGTTGTAGAATGTATCAGAACTTCATTACTTTTTATTGCCAAATACTATTCAATTGTATAGATAGTTGCTTCACGTCCCAGCCAACACTGGTTAGTGTCTGTATTTTCTATTATAGACAACCCAGTGAATGTTAATTAGAGCCTAATTATGGCTTTGTTTCTTATTTATATAATCACCAATGAAGTTAAGCATACTGGCCATTTGTATCTCTTACTGGCCATTTTTAATCTCTCCTTGGAGAAATGTCTATCAGGTAATTTACCATTTTTAAAATTCAGGCTATCATCTATCTTTTCATTACTGAGTTGTAAGCATTCTGTTTATATGCAGGATATAAGTCCTTTATTAGATATATGATTTGATAATATTTTTCCTCATTCTCTGACATATTTTTATTTTCTAGGTGGTATTTACAGCTTAGAAGTTTTTCATATGATGTAGTTCAATTCATTTATTTTTGTGGCTTGCACTTTGTGTCATATTCAAGATAAAATTGTCTACACCAAGGTCATGAAAAGTTAATTTTCTTCTATAAGTTTTATAGTTTTATCACTTACATCTGGGTCTATGATCCATTTTGAGTTAATCTGTAAATTGTTTAAGGTAGGCCTCCAGCTTCATTCTTTTACATGTAAATATCCAGTTATCCCAGTAATATCTTTTAAAAGGAATATTATTTCTCCTTTTTAAAGTCATTATACCTTTGTTGAAAATAACTGACCTTGTATTCTAGGGTTTATTTCTAGACTCTCAATTCTATTCCATTGATCTACCTGTCTATCCTTATGTCAGTACCTCTCTGTCTTCATTATTGCATCATTGAAACTAGTTTTAAAAGTGGAAAATATGAGTCCCCCAAAGTTTCATTTTTTTTTCTTTTTTTTTTTTTATGTTATTTTGGCTAACTTGGATCCTTTGCATTTTTATATACATTTAAATTTAATTTGTCAATTACTGCACAAAATGTATTTGGTATTTTGACATGAATTGTGTTAAATCTGCAGATCAAATAGGGCAGTACTGCCATTCTAGAATTATTAAGTCTTTCAATCCTTGAACATGATGTACTTTTTAATTTATTTGTGCCTTTTTTTTCTTTCCTGAAAGTTTTATAGTTTTCAGTGTATAACTTTTATTAAAGTCATTTCTAGGTATTTTATTTTTCATGCTATTAAAATTGCAATTGTTTTCTTAATTTTATATTCAGATTGTTAATTGCAAATACTCAGAAATACAATTTATTTTTGAATATTAATCATGTATCATGCAAACTTATTGAACTCATGTTAGTTCTAAAAGTATTTTATTCATTTCCTTAGGATTTTCAATATACAAGATTATGCCATTTTTAAGTAGACGTCATTTTACTTCTTTCTTTCCAATCATAGTACTTCTTATTTATTTTCATTGTCAAATTGCTATGGCTAGAACCCCTAGAAAAATATTGAATATAATTGGTGAAAGCAGATATACGTGACTTCTTTCTGATCATAGGGATAAGTATTAAGTATGAAGCTAACTGAGAAGCTTTTGTAGATGGACTTTATTAGGTTAAGTTCTTTTTTTATTTCTAATTGAATAAGTGCTTTTCTTTTTTATCATAAAATGATTTTGGATTTTTGTCAAATGCTTTTTCTGTGTCTATTAGGATGATCATGTGTTTTTTGCCTTTTGCTCTGTTAATGTGGTCGATATGGTGTACATTAAGTGATGTTACTCACATTTCATTTCTGGGATAAATCCCACTCAGTCATGATGTATAATACTTTTTATATGTGGTTGCATTTGGTTTTCTGGTTGCTTTATTGAGAATTTTAGCTTTTTCATTCATTAAGAATATTGATTTGTATTTTTTTTCTTTTGAAGTCACTATCTGATTTTACTTTCAGGGTAATCATAGCTTATTAGAATGAGTTGAAATTTTTTTCATCCTCTTTTATTTTCTGGAAGAGTTTGTGAATAATTGGTACTAATTATTTTATTTTTTGTAGAATTCACCAGTAAAGCTATCTAGACTTGGGCTTTATAAATGAAATTATATCATTAGTAATTCAATTTCTTTCTGATTTTTTTTATATACCCAATATGATTTGCAATTTTTTCTTGAGTCAGTTTTGGTAGTTAGAGTAGGAAAAAAAAAACATCTTTGGTTCTTCCTATACATATTGTGAGTTGGTGGCAGTGGTGGGATTTTCTAGAATGGTTCTGGCTCATGGAGGCATGTAGTTTAGGAACAAAAAAAATTAAAAAATTAGGGAATGAGAAACTTTTGATTTTGGGGTGGCCACATGGTGACCCATGGTATAGAGCAGCAGCTGTGCTGCAATCAATTGCTAAAAGTAAAGGTTACCAGTGGAATTCAGAATTGATCCAACTCCCAGGGTTTAATTCACTGGACATATAAGAAAATGCAAGCTACTAACAATAAAGCAAAACATTCAAATTCTTGGTTGTAGTTATTTTTTATGGCTAAAAGAAAATTCAAAGGATGTGCCTGGTTGCATCTTGGTGCTAGATCAAGCTCAGAATTCAGTGAGTCCGAACTTGGGCCACTAGCTTCAAAGCTGAGCCCCAAGGGAAAAAATATACAGGACAACAGAAAGCAGCTGCAAGGCTTCTGGTTACCAAGAAGGTAGTCAACGTAGGAGAAGGGTAAAACCAAGAAACTGTTGAAACCAGAGGGTATATGGTGAAGGAATTGTTTCATTTTGAAGACCAGTATTATCAGATTCCTGAGAATTTTTTAATTAAAATAGATTGTGAGAATAACTAATTTAGGAGCAGCATCTTTGGTTTTAAATGCTATTAGGAGCATATTTGGCTTGATGCAGGACCCACAGCTCACTATGGAACAATCACATATGGCTGTATGTGATTCAAACTCACAGGAGGTTATTTCTGAAGGAATTGCCAGCCTAGTGGACTGAATGAAAGCCACTGTAGAGTGTTGATCCCGAGAGTAAGGATGCCAAACCACCCTCCTGCCTCAATAAATACCAAGTGGAGCACCCCAAATGAAGCACTTGATATACTTCTCATGCAGGCCATTTAGAACTGGTTCATGATGACAGAAATATTCACCCAGGAAATCTGCCCATTACCAAGGTCATGGTAAATATTGTGCACAAGGAGGGCCTTTTTAATGTGGATTTCCCCTATAACTTTGCTGCTGTGCAATGGAAAAACAGTTCAGGAAGTCTTACCAGATTTTCTTTCTCAGCTTCTTTTCATGATTCTTACAGGCACAAAAATAAGGTTAATTAACAAGGGAATAGTGAAAGGCAGAAGTGAGAGTCAGACTCATTCAAGGAAGGTGGAAATTTTAAAGGGTTATTTTAAAATAAGATGAATAAAACAAACATTAATCAGAGCACGGCAACAAAAGGAAAAAGAAAGGTAGAAATATTAAAAGGATTATTAATAAATTAGATGAATAAAATGGAAATTGATGGGCTTAAAACAAAGGTTTTAATACAACACTATCAAAGCTTGGGTGAACCAAAGGGAGCCCCTGGTTGTCCTGCAACATTAAAGGGATTAAACAAATTAGCTCTATTTTCCCCAGTTTGGAGAAATTTTAAAAGTCAGAAGGCAAAGATTATAATGAAAAATCTGATCTGTAATTGCCTAGGGCAATAATGAGGCAGATTAATAAAAATAAAGATAGACAAAATAGCTAGAACAAATTGGTGTAATTCCCTGCTGGAGACCCAATGCCTTCTGCACTAGACTGGATAAAATGCTCAAAGGGGAGGAGAAGAGAAGTTCCTGAAACTAGAACACAAATGTAAAGGTAGGGGAGGGAGGCAGAGCAGGATGGTCTAATAGAAAGCTCCACCTATTGTACCTCACACAAGGACACCAGTTTAACAACTATCTACACAAGAAAAGCACCTTCATAAGAAGCAAAAATCCGGTGAGCATTCACAGTCTTGAACTGCTGATGCCACCCCTCCCCTACTCCCCTGTAGCAGCAACATGTTGCAGAAAGCATTACTGTGTTCTGGGGTGAAGGGAGCACTCAGCAATTGTGTGACATTGAACTCAGTGCTGTCCTGTTATAGAAGAAAAGAAAAACTGACCTAACTCAGATGATGCCCACCCATGGAGCAAGCATTCAAACCAGCCCTAGTCAGAGGAGATTTTATGATTCTAGTGGTTGGAACTTGAGGTTCTGCAGCCGAAGCCACTGCAGGTTAAAGTGCTCTGAGGTTCTAGGTAGGCTTTGGTGGCAGTCTAGGCCACAGGAACAGCACCATTTACATGACTATTGGTGCTGAACTGAGCCCAGATTCAGTTTACTGGGAGGGGCATGTGACCTACCAAGACAGCAGGGGTGGCTAGGAGAGTGCTGTCATCACCCTTCCCCCAACCCTAAGCTGCTGATTGTGACCTACTGTTATTTTGGGTCTTTGTAGTTTCACATAAATTTAGAATTTTTTTTTCTACTACTGTTAAGAAAGTCATTGGTATTTTAATAGGTATCACATTAAATTTATAGATTGTTTTGGGTACCATGAACATTTTAACAATATTGACTCTACCAAATCATGAATATGAAATTTTTTTTCATTTTATTGGTGTCCTCTTGAATTTCTTTTATCACTGCTTTACAATTTTCATTGTAGAGATATTTTACTTTTTTGGTTAACTTAATATTCTTAGGTTTTTTTTGTCGCTAAGGTAAATGAGATTACTTTTTAATTTTTTTTCAGATTGTTTGCTGTTAGCACATAGGAATGGTACTGATTTTTTTACGTTGATTTTGAATCCTGCAACTTTACTGAATTTCTTTATCAGTTGTAATAGTTTTCTTGTGGAGTCTTCAGGTTTTTCCAAGTAAGAGATCATATCATGTGCAAACAAGGATAATCTAACTTCTTCCATTCCAACTTGGATGCCCTCCATTTCTTTCTCTTGTTTGATTGCTGTAGCTAGAACTTCCAGTACTAGCTATATGCATGGTGTAAAGGGACATCCTTGTTATGTTTCAAATTTTAGGGGAAATGCTTTCAGTTTTTTTCCCACTCGGTGTGATACTAGCTCTGGGTCTGTCATATACAGCTTTATTATGATGAGCTATGAACAGAAAACTACCAGAAAACAAATAACAAAATGACAAGAGTAAGTCCTTACTTATCAATAATAAAATTAAATGAAAATGGACTAAACTCTTCAATTAAAAGACTTAGAGTGGTTGAATGGATAAAAAAACAAGATCCAATAATGTGTTACCTACAAGAAAGACACTTCACCTATAAAGACACAGATAGACTGAAAATAAAGGGATGGAAAAATATATTTTATGCAAGTGGAAAGAAAAATAAAAGCAGAAGTAGCTATACTTATTTCAGACAAAATCAATTTTGAGAGAAAAGCCATAAGAAGAGAAAAAGATGCTCACTATATAATGATAAAGATGTCAATTTATCAAGACAATATAACAATTTTAAGTACATCTGCACCCAACACTGAAGCACCCAGATGCATAAAACAAGTATTGTTAGAGGTAAAGAGAGACATAGATTCCAATACAATAATAGCTAGGGACTTCTACCTTCCACTTTCAGCATTGGACATGTCTTTCACACAGAAAACTAATTTTAAAAAATTGCACTTAATCTACACTATAGAACAAAGGGATATAACATATATTTACAAAATATTTGATCAAACAGCTGCAGAATACACGTTCTTTAGCTCAGTACATGGATTATTCTCAAAGATAGACCATAAGTTAGGTCACAAAGCAAGTGTTAAATTATTCAAAAAGTTGAAATAATATCAACCATCTCCTCAGACCACAATAAAATAAAACTAGAAATTAATAGTAAGAGAAATTTTGGAAACTATGCAAATACATGGAAATTAAAAATATGTTTCTGAATGACCAGTGGGTCAATAAAGAAATTAGGAAGGAAATGTAAACATTTTTGAAACAAATAATAATGGAAACACAAAATACCCAAATCTATGGGATACAGCAAAAGTAGTACTCAGAGGGAAGATTACAGCTATAAGTGCCTACATCAAAAAAGGGGATAAACTTCAAATAAACACTTTAATATTGCATGTTAAATAACTAGAAAAGCAAGAGGAAAACTAACCCAAAGTTAGTAGAAGAAAAGTGATAATAAAGATGACAGTGGAAACAAATGAATACAAAATAAAGAAAAAAACTACAAAAGACAGCTGAAACAAAAAGTAGTTTATTTGAAAAAAATAAATAAATTTGACAAACCTTTGGCCTGACTAACTATAAAATAGAAGACGAGATAAAAATAAAATCAGAGTTGAAAAAGGAGACATTACAACTGATATTACAGAAATTAAAAAATAATAATTACTGGTTACTGTGAGCATCTATTTACCAATAAATTTAAACATCTATAAGAAATGGGTAAATTCCTGGATACATACAACCTACCAAGATTGAACTAGAAATAAATTCAAAAGCTGAAAAGACCAATAGCAAATGACAATATCAAAGCTGTAGTAAAAATTATTCCAGTAAAGAAAAGCCGGGGACCTGATGGCTTCACTGTTGAATTCTACCATACATTTAGAGAAGAACTAATACCAATCCTAATTAAACTATTCTAAAAAAATAGAGGAGGAATAAATACTGCTTCTCTGTTTTAAAACTCATTCTATGAAGTCGGTATTACCCTGATATCAAAACATTAACAAAAAACATCAAGAAAAAAACTACAGGCCAATATCTTTGAGGAATATTAATAAAAAATTATCAACAAAATACTGGCAAATCAAATCCAACAATGCAGTACAAAGACAATTAATCATGACCAATCACGATTTA
Organism: Homo sapiens; assembly: GCF_000001405.40. Lineage (NCBI taxonomy): Eukaryota > Metazoa > Chordata > Mammalia > Primates > Hominidae > Homo > Homo sapiens. Next base: position 122,283,583 of record NC_000023.11, read on the forward strand.
TCACTAGTATGCAAGGAGTGTTCAACACACATAAATAAATAAATGTGATAAATCAAATTAACAGAATGAAGAACAAAAACCACATGATTATTCCAATTGATGCTGAAAAATAACATGATACAATTCAACATCCCTTCATAAAAACCCTCAAAAATGGTACACAAAGAGCATAAGAACATAGCTCATAAAAACCCTAAAAAAATGTGATAGAACATAGCTCATCATAATAAACACATATATGACACACCCAGAGCTAGTATCATACTGGATGGGAAAAAACTGAAAGCATTTCCCCTAAACTTTGAAACATAAGAAGGATGCCCGCTTGCACCATGCATATAGCTACTACTGGAAGTCCTAGCTACAGCAATCAGACAAGAGAAAGAAATGGAGGGCATCCACACTGGAATGGAAGAAGTTAAACTATCCTTGTTTGCAGATGATATGATCTCTTATTTGGAAAAACCTGAAGACTCCACAAGAAAATTACTACAATTGATAAGGAAATTCAGTAAAGTTGCAGGATTCAAAATTAACATAAAAAATCAGTACCATTCTTATGTGCCAACAGTGAACAGTCTGAAAAAAATTAAAAGTAATCTCATTTACCTTAGCCACAAATAAAATGTAATACCTAAGAATATTAAGTTAACCAAAAAAGTAAAATATCTCTACAATTAAAATTGTAAAGCAGTGATAAAAGAAATTCAAGAGGACACCAAAAAATGAAAAAGTACTTCATATTCATGATTTGGAAGAGTTGATATTGTTAAAATGTTCATGGTACCCAAAGCAATCTATAAATTTAATTCAATACCTATTTAAATACCAATGACTTTCCTAACAAAAGTAGAAAAAAATTCTAAAATTTACATAAAACTATATATACATTTAGTGTTGTAATGTTGAGGGTAGAATGGGGCTTATGGCAAAAGCCTGTGAGCTCTTCCCAATGACCACTGGAACTTTGGACTAGAGAATTCAAAAGGTTTATACAAAACCACGCCACCTGGGAAGTTCAAGGAGAAGATACAAACAGGAGGCCTCTTTTCCACTAGTGCTGAATCTGGAACTGTGCGAGGAGCTCTTGGATTCTATCAACACTTGGACAGTGCCATATAAGCGGCTATCAACTGCCTGACAAAGAGAGTCTTGGTTTGTAGACCATGGTTCCAAGGTGAAAAGAAACTTCATCTTATTTGGAGGGATGTCACTGATTGAAGAAAGTACAAACAAATAAACTCAGTGTGCTAGACTGTATGATCTCTTTCTAGCAATGATGGAAGTATTGAACAGTGGTAAAAGTGCCTATGTTTGGGTTTTTACTGACTCATGGGCAGAGATCAATGGCCAGGCTACATGGTCAGGCTGGAGAACAATGGAAACCTACTGTATTAAAGGGGACTTCCTAATGGGCCATGGCTCTATGAAAATTTGAGAGGTGCATTAGAGTAGAACAGGCTGATGCCCATCAGAAGAACTTCAGGTTCTGAAGGTGATTGGAATCAACAAGCAGATATCCATGTGTGTTCACATCATGTTTTATTCAGTGAGTAGATGTGGAAGAGCTGCAGCAATGTCAAGATGGCCTGAATCTAGATATATTCCTTTTGTGCCTTCTCAGGCACATAATGCCAATAAGAACTATTTCATGGCCAGGCGTGGTGGCTCATGCCTGTAATCCCACCACTTTGGGAGCCTGAGGTGGGTGGATCACCTGAGGTCAGGGGTTCGAGACCAGCCTGGCCAAGATGGTGAAACTCAGTATCTACTAAAAAAAAAAAAAAAAAAAAAAAAAAAGGAAAAAAATTAGCTGGGGGTGGTGGCCCATGCCTGTAATCCAGCTATTCATGAGGCTGAGGCAGGAGAATTACTTGAGCCTGGGAGGCGGAGATTGCAGTGAGCTGAGATTGCATCATTGCACTCCAGCCTGGGCAACTGTTTTATCTGAGAGCAAAGAAGAGAAAGACTGCAAATGGATGTGGCACAGATTCTCTGGAGCAAAGGCCCTAAACATAGCTATCAAGTGAGACTGATGCTGGTAATCCTGGGAGGTTACAAATGGGTCTTGACAGGAATAGACACCAACCCTGGATAAGTCTTTGTTTATTTGGTGGAAAATGCAACTGCTCAAAGTGCTACAGAAGGACCAGAACAGAAGATATTGCACAAGTTTGAAGGGTCAAGTCACATTTCCTCAGACCAAGGAACACATTTCATAGTCCATAATGTCCAACAATGGAAGAGAGATATTCTCTCCAGAATAAGTACGATAAAGATGTGGAATGGTGAAAAAGAAAATAAATGATTTCAAGCAAGAAATGTGCATCTCCTCTAAATTATCAGGCCCAGAGGTGAATGAAAATGAAATAGCAGTCACATCCCACTTTCCCACCTTAAGTAATCATCTATTGAATCTGTTTGCTATGTGAACTCTAAACTAGTTGCTGCCACCAGTAGCTAAAAATTAACCCAATAATGCTGCATGCTGGACACTGTAACTTGCACCCTATAGTTCAACAATGTACAGTCAATTACTAACCAGTGTTATTTATGTAAATCAATGGGAATTTCTGACAGATATCTTTGTATCATCGTACTCCTAGTCCCCCTTTTTGCCTTTAAAATCTGCTGATCAATAAAGGCTCATCAGAGCTTATCTCCAAGGGTACTTGGGTATTAGTCTTCTGGGCAGCTGTCCTTATCTTGACACAAGTAAACACTTTAAAATATTTTGTGCCTCATTTTCTTCCTTTTGGTCAATCTTTCTGGGACTGTGAACAGGTTTCAGAGCGAATCCCCTTCCAGCCATTTGATACTCCTCCCAGACTCAATGCCTGGCCAACCAGAACCCCTTTAGTTCTTTCAGCTCTGATGACATTGAGTGTAAAGTGTGAGTTCTCTTGAATTTGGACCTTCCCACTCTTTGGTTATGTCTATACTTTGCTTGAACTGTTCTTTTCAACCCTCCCTTTCTAGAATGGAGATTTCCATCTCTGTCTACAAGAAGGAGATTCAAGTTTCAGGAAAAAAAAAAAAAAAGAAAACTGCCTTCTATGCCTCTGCTTCAGGACAGAATGTTTGGGTTATGGTCAGGCAAATAACTCTACAGATAATTTCTGCCTTCTCCACCTGTCTCACAGCAGGAAGTCCGGGTATTGGCAGTCTAGCACTGATGGTTTCACTTCTTTTGACATTAAATTAGATAGCATGCTTTTAAAATTGCAGCTGCCTTCTATTGATTGTAATTTGGACTTGTCTTTTTATTTGTGACCAATACCTGTTAGCTTCAAATTAGAATTTATGAATTGCATCTTTAACCATGGCCATTTTAACTCTTGTCCTATTCCTTGTGGAGTTTCTTCTGAGCTTCACGGTAACCAAGCAACCCATTTCACATGTCAAATAATTCAGTCCATTTAAAACATCCAGCCAATATTTTCAACATTTTCATTGTGCATACCACCTTCAGTCTTCTGGATTGAAAGAATACACAAATGGGATAAAAAAAATTAATTGGTTCTTGATTTGATTCTCTGCCTGGTCACTGTTGGTGTATAAAAGAGCTACTGATTTGTGTACATTAATCTTGTATCCAGAAACTTTGCTGAATTCTTTTATCAGTTCTAGGAGCTTTCTGGAGGAGTCCTTAGGGTTTTCAAGTTAAATGATCATATCGTCAGTAAACAGGAACAGTTTGACTTCCTCTATATCGACTTTGATGCCCTTTATCTCTTTCTCTTGTCTGATTGCTCTGGCTAAGGCTTCCAGTACTATGTTGAAGAGGAGGGGTGAGAGTGAACATCCTTGTCTTGTTCTCATTCTCAGGGGGAATTCTTTCAACTTTTCCCCATTCAGTATTATGTTGCCTGTGGGTTTGTCATAGATGGCTTGTATTACATTAAGGTATGTCCCTTCTGGAGGCATCACATTTCCTGATTTCAAACTATACTATAAGGCCACAGTCACCAAAACAGTATGGTATTGGTATAAAAATAGGCACATAGGCCAATGGAACAGAATAGAGAACCCAGAAATAAACCCAAATATTTACAGCCAACTGATCTTTGACAAAGAAAACGAAAACACAAAGTGAGGAAAAGACACCCTTTTCAACAAATGGTGATGGAATAATTGGCTAGCAACATGTAGGAGAATGAAACTGGATCCTCATCTATCACCTTATACAATAACTAACTCAAGATGGATTAACGACTTAAACCTAAGACCTGAAACTGTAAAAATTCTAGAAGATAACATTGGAAAAACCCTTCTAGACATTGGCTTAAGCAAGGATTTCATGACCAAGAACTCAAAAGCAAATGCAATAAAAACAAAGATAAATAGCTGGGACATAATTAAACTAAAGAGCCTTTGCATGGCAAAAGGAACAGTCAGCAGAGTAAACAGATAACCTACAGAGTAGGAGAAAATCTTCACAATATATACAAGTGACAAAGGACTAATATCCAGAATCTACAACCAACTTAAACAAATCAGTAAGAAAAAAAATCAATCCCGTTAAAAAGTCGGCTAAGGACATGAATAGACAATTCTCAAAAGAAGATATACAAATGGACAGCAAACATATGAATAAATACTGAACAACACTAATGATCAGGGAAATGCAAATCAAAACCATGATGCAATACCACCTTACTCCTGTAAGAATGGCCCTAATCAAAGAATCAAAACACAGTGGATGTTGGCGTGGATGCAGCAATCAGTGAACACTTCTATGCTGCTGGTGGGAATGTAAACTAGTATAGCTGCTATGGGAAAGAGCGTGGAGATTCCATAAAGAACTAAAAGTAGAACTACCATTTGATCCAGCATCCCACTACTGGGTATTTACCCAGAGAAAAAGAAGTCATTATTCACTAAAGATACTTGCACACATGTTTATAGCAGCACAATTCACAATAGTAAAATCGTGGAACCAACCCAAATGGCTATGGATCAATGAGTGGATAAAGAAAGTGTTGTGTGTATATATATATGTGTGTATATATAGATATGTATATACATATATGTATGTATATATGTATATATAGATATGTATATATGTATATACATATATGTGTATATATGTATATACACGTATGTGTGTATATGTATGTGCATATATATGTATATGTATATATGTATGTGTGTGTGTATATATATGTGTATATATATATGATAGAATACTACTCAGCCATAAAAAGGAACGAACTAACAGCATTTCTAATGACCTGGATGAGATTAGAGACTATTATTCTAAGTGAAGTAACCCAGGAATGGAAAACTAAACATCATATGTTCTCACTGATATGTGAGAGCTAAACTGTGAGGATGCAAAGGCATAAGAATGATACAATAGACTTTGGGGACTTAGGGGGAAGAGTGGGAAGGAGGCAAGGGATAAAAGACAGTTTGGGGACTTGGGGGGAAGAGTGGGAGGGGGGCAAGGGATAAAAGACAACACATATGGTGCAGTGTATACTGCTCAGGTGATGGGTGTACCAGGATCTCACAAATCTCCACTAAATAACTTACTCATGTAACAAAATACCACCTGTATCCCAATAATTTATGGAAAAATAAAATAAAATAATCAATTGGAAAAGCTTACGGAAATGTTTAACCTTCTCTAGCCTAAGGCTGTTCCATTAGTATTGCTTAACTTATGTTCTACCTCACTTAGAAAACATCAACTTTCTTCTTTTAAAATAATAACAGAAAGGTCCATCTGCCAAGATGAGGGAGGCTACAAATCAGTTCTCCTTAAAGGCAACATTCGTCATTATATTCCCAAGGCCTTATAAAACTTCACTAAAAAATCTAAACTAAAGATTCTTTTAACAATGAGCTCCTGGGAGACAAAGACGTCAAAGATTATGGCCTCCAACCTGAATATTTTGTTTGTTGGAAATGTCATTGAATATAAGGTTTCCTCCAAACTCATTGGAAAGAACCATATCAGATATTATTGACCAATCCCTGTTCTGCCAAACCAAAGGGCAGTATTTCTTAGAATATTTGATCATCCTCTATTTGTATAAAGCTCTGAAGAAAACTAACACTGTCATAGTTTCCTCAAACTTTTCTCTAGGTGTAACCAGTGATCTAGTTTAAACAGAAATTCTATTTTGAGGACATTTACAATTACATGGCCAGACATCAAGAAGATAGCTTAATGTATTTCATTGAGAGAATGCTTTTTCCATAGCAAGATGTCATAATCCATGAAAACATGATTGGAAATCTTTCTTAGGAAATATTGCCAATAAAACCACTTCTATCCCATTTTAACAAAAAGCTACTGATTTTTGGCTAAGGTTATACTAAAAAACCCCATTGCTTTAGATTATATATCAGCTGAGCAAAAGGCTGTATATATGGTGGCAAACACCTTTTGTTGCATATATAAATAGTTCTCATGAAGCAGAAACTCATCTAGAAAAAAATGAGAATAGCAGCCCCTTGGTTACAACAAGCCTTTAAAGAAGAATCTGGATTTAATTTTCTTCATGATGTTTTAAGTTGGCTCCATATTGAAAATGAAGAAAGGTCTTTTTGTTGTTGTTCTGGCATACAAATTTTCTTTTTATAATACTTATGTGCATTGTATTTCTACTATTCAAATGATTAATGCGATGCATCTCTCATCATCTTACTTCTTTCAAATAACTTAAAATCATATTTCAAAGACTAGAGATAATTCAATAAGCAACAGCAGCTATGTAAATCAATAATTTGACTGAGGTCTCACTTTTCACACTCTATGATGCATTCCCAATTTGGCTTTTGGGTGCAACTAAAGTTCCTCACTGAAATGTCTCCTCTTTCTTCCCAATGTGGGATAGGACTATCCAGGATTGAGCCTTCCCAGCAACAAGGGACAACTCAGGGAGTGGGCTGTACCTTCATCTCATCTGGGGCTAAGGGTAAATGCAGCTATATTGTCTGGTAAAAAAAAAAAGGCTCACTAGTTCTGCACCCATGTAACTGTACCCTATGTAAATGAAAGTGGACTGATAGGAAGTTACTTGCTAGACTAGTATTGCTGTCTGTAATCTATCTAAATCAGGATATTGGCAGATCTTAATGTCCCTTCCAATTGTGAAAAAGTTTGGGTATTAATGGGTAGTAGGAATAGTAGCTGAGAGTAAAGGAATGAATAAATTGATTATGTAACGAGGCTCAGAGCAACAGAATAATATTACCTCTTAGCTCAATAATACCAGATGCCTGAAAGGGTGAAGTAATGTGTTCGCCAAGACCACTCCTGTCTTCAAAACTTGACAAAATCAAATGGAAACCTGTAAACTTGAGTGGCCTCCCCTGGGAGACATTTTCATAAAATATGAAGATGGACTGGACTAATTATCAATGAATAAATAAAATTCTAGTATCATGTTGGTATCTTTTGACTTACATGATTCCTTTGCTGTAAGAGATTTATGTTTGAGGACTGGGGGTAGACTGTAATATTGTGAAACATATATTTAGTATTTATTCAAGTTTCCTGATATACAGTTCCTAAAACTCTTAGGATCTCAGGAGTGATGAGTTTCGTTTGTATGCTAATGAGAGGACCTATGACTAGTGGTCTTTAGATGGTCTCAGAATTGGGGCTGGCAGCCAGAAAGGCTGGGGTATAATTAGAGGTCTGGGACTTTTAGCCCCTCTCCAAGCTGGAGAGGTGATAGGGCCTGAGCATTGAGTTAATCAACAATGATGTAAGCAAACATGCCTATGTAATGAAGGCTCCATAAAAATCTACAAGGACAGGGTTCAGATGAGCTTCTGGATTAGTAAACACTTGGAGGTTTCTAGAGAGTGGCACACCCCTTTTTCCATATATTGAAGAGGCCCTGTGCATGTCTTCCATCTGGTGATTCCTCTGTATCCTTTGTAATATCCTTCATCATAAATGAGCAAATAAAAGTAAAGTATTTCCTTGAGTTCTGTGAGCGACTCCAGCAAATTGAACCCAAGGTGGGGATTCATGGAAACCCCAATTTGCAGACAGTTGGTCTGAAGTATAGGACAGGCTTCTACTTCTGAATTCTATTGAGTTTTCTTTTGTTATTAGTCAGTCTTGCTAAAATTTTAAAATTTTGTTAATTTTTTTCAAAGGACCAACTTTGTGGTTGTTAATTTTCCTCTATTGCTTTCTTCCTGATTCTATACTTAATTAATTCCAGTTCTATTCTTTGCTCTTCCTTTCCTTTTACCTGTGTTGGTGAAAATTCACTTTTATTTTTAGTTTCTTAAAGTGAAAGATTAGATTATTGATGCAAGCCAATTTCTTCTTCTTCAATAGAGACATTATCAGTAAAAAATTCTAATTATTTATTTAGCTGCAACCCATAAGTGTTGGTGTGTTCTTTTTTCATTCATCTAAAAGTATTATTAAATTTCCCTTGTGATTTCTCTTTCAAGTTAATTGGAACTTTGTTGTTTAATTTTCACGTACTTACCAAATATTTTTATAGTATGAATTTTTGTTTCATTGTAATTGGAGAACATACATTATAATACATCAATTCTTTTTAATTTATTTAAACTCATTTTGTAACCAAGAATGTTGTCTATTTGAAGACTGTTCCATGCGGACTTACTTGAGAAGAATGTCTATTCTGCTTTTGTTAGATGGATTGTTCTATAGATGACTGTTAGTTTTATTACGTCTATAGCATTGTTCAAGCCCTCTGTTTTCTCACTGATCTTCTGTGTAGATTTTCTATCCATTTTTTAAAGTGGGGTATTGAAGTATTATATATTATTGTTAAACTGTCCATTTCTCCTTTCAATTTTGTCTGTTTTTGCTACATGCATTTTGGGGCTCTGTTTTTAGATTCATAAGTATTTATTTACTGTTATATCTTCCTGATGGAGTGACGTTTTATTATTTTAAGATGTCGTCTTTATCTCTAGTAATATATTTTGTTTTTTAAGTATACACTTTTTGATGTTAACATAGCCATTCCAGCTCTGTCATGGTTACTGTTTGCATGGTTTAACACTTCCATTTTTTTTTACTTTCAGTATGCTCGTGTCTTTAAATCCACATAGTGTCTTCTGTAGATTGCATATAGTTGGATTTTGCTATCTTATCCAGACTGATAGCCTATTTTTTGATTACATTGTTTAATCCATTTATATTAAATGTTGTTATTGATATGGATGGACTTATTTATGCCATTTTACTTTTTGTATTCTAAATATCTAATTTTTTTATGCCTCTGTTTCTCATTTACCCCTTATATTACTCCACTTTTGTAGTAAGTTAATAGTCTTTAGGATAGCATTGCTATGACTTTAATAATTTTTATAGTATATTTTTGAGTCACCATTTTTTATGGTGGTTCTAAGGATTACAGTGTTCATCTTAATTTTTCAGAATCACTTTCAGATTTGTATTTACTTAATTTCTGTAAGATATTAGAATATTATTCTTATATAACTGTACTTCCTTCTTCCCCTTTTAATGTTGAGATATGTATGAATATGAAATATCTAATATAGTAATATATTCTATTAAGATATTATTCTACATAATATATCACATATATTATGTAGTATATACTAATAGTATATGTAATATACTATTTATACTATAATATATAATATACATATTATGTATATTATATATACATACATGTAATATACATATGTATATTATATATTATAATTATATATCATCTCTAATTTAATAATACAATAATTACGCAAATTATTGTTTTTATATTACAATAATATAACAATGACACAGATCACCCTTGTATCATAGTATATATAATAATGTATAATATATAACATATATTGTTATAATTATTTCTTAATTTTACATATTTTAATGCTATAAAAAATAAAGCAGATATAAGTATACATCTGTTTTATTTTTATAGCATTAAAATATGTAAAATTATATTTTATAATTAATAATATAAGAAATATAGATTTCTTATATTAATTTTTTTATTTACCATTTCTGGTTTTCTTCATTCACTCTCCTGGATTCACATTACCATCTAGTGTTATTTTCTTACTCCAATATAGCTTCGGTCTTCCCTGCCTCCTTAATGCTGTTATTGTCAAAATACTTCTTTATGTAGCATTGTTATATGTTATAGCATCAACAATACAATTAGATTAAGATTGTTTTATACAATTGTCTTTAATAAAATAAATATGCAATTTTACTGTCATTTGTATTTCCTACATAATTCCCTATAATGATACTTTTTTTTTCATGTAGATTTAAGTAGTTGAGTTGTATCACTTCCTTTCAGCCTGAAAATTTCATTGTTATGATTTGCTAGTATGGGCTTGCCAGCAATAGACTTTCTCAATTTTCGTTTATCTTACCTTCACTTTTAAAAGCCAGTTTTGCTAGATTTTAAGTTTCTTAGTTGATATAGTTTCTTTTTTTTCCCGGCACATTGACTAGGTAATCCCCCTTCTTTCTGAACTCCATTGCTATCTTAGATGTTTTGGTTGCTATAACAAAATGCCATAAACTAAGTGGCTTATAAATGACAAAAATTTATTTCTCACAGCTCTGAATACTAAGAAATACAAGATTAAGACATCATCAGATTCAGTGTCTAGTTAGGGTCTGCTTCTCCGTAGATGGTGCCATTTCACTGCCTGCTCACATGATAGGGCAAGCTATCCCTCAGGATTTTTTGTTTGTTTGTTTACTTTAAGTTCTGGGATACATGTGCAGAACATGCAGTTTACATAGGTATACACACACGTGCCATGGTGGTTTGCTGCACCCATCAACCTGTCATATACATTAGGGTATTTCCCCTAATGCTATCCCTCCCCTAGCTCCCACCCACCAACAGGCCCGGTGTTTGATGTTCCCCTCCCTGTGTCCATGTGTTCTCATTGTTCAACTCCCACTTATGAGTGAGAACATGCGGTGTTTGGTTTTCTTTTCCTGTGTTAGTTTGCTGAGAATGATTGTTCCAGTTTCATCCATGTCCCTGCAAAGGACATGAACTCATCCTTTTTTATGGCTGCATAGTATTCCATGGTGTATATGTGCCACATTTTCTTAATCCAGTCTATCGTTGTTGGACATTTGGGTTGGTTCCAAGTCTTTGCTATTGTGAATAATGCCACAATAAACATACGTGTGCATGTGTCTTTATAGCAGCATGATTTATAGTCCTTTGGGTATATACCCAGTAATGGGATGGCTGGGTCAAATGGTATTTCTTGTTCTAGATCCTTGAGGAATAGCCACACTGTCTTCCACAATGGTTGAACTAATTTACATTCCCACAAACAGTGTAAATCGTTTCTATTTCTCCACTTCCTCTCCAGCATCTGTTGTTTCCTGACTTTTTAATGATTGCCATTCTAACTGACATGAGATGGTATCTCATTGTGGTTTTGATTTGCATTTATCTAATGACCAGTGATGATGAGCTTTTTTTTCATGGGTTTGTTGGCCACATAAATGTCTTCTTTTGAGAAGTGTGTTTATATCCTTTGCCCACTTTTGGATGGGGTTGTTCTTTTCTGGTAAATTTCTTTATGTTCTTTGTAGATTCTGGATATTAGCCCGTGGTCAGATGGATAGATTGCAAAAATTTTCTCCCATTCTGTAGGTTACCTGTCCACTCTAATGATAGTTTCTTTTGCTGTGCAGAAACTCTTTAATTAGATCCCATTTGTCCATTTTGGCTTTTATTGCCATCGCTTTTGGTGTTTTAGTCATAAAGTCTTTGCCCATGCCTATGTCCTGAATGGCATTGCCTAGGTTTTCTTCTAGGGTTTTTATGGTTTTAGGTCTTATGTTTAAGTCTTTAATCCATCTTGAGTTAATTTTTGAATAGGGTGTAAGGAAGGGGTCCAGTTTCAGCTTTCTGCATATGGCTAGCCAGTTTTCCCAATACCATTTATTAAATAGGGAATCCTTTCCCCATTGCTTGTTTTTGTCAGGTTTGTCAATGATCAGATGGTTGTAGATGTGTAACATTATTTCTGAGGCCTCTGTTCCATTCCATGGTCTATATATCTGTTTTGGTACCAGTATCATGCTTTTTTTTTTTTTTTTAACTGTAGAATTGTAGTATAGTATGAGGTCAGGCAGCGTGGTGCCTCCAGCTTTGTTCTTTTTGCTTAGAATTGTCTTGCCTATAAGAGTTCTTTTTTGGTTCCATATGAAATTTAAAGTAGTTTGTTCTACTTCTGTGTAGAAAGTCCATGGTGATTTGATGGGAGTAGCATTGAATCTATAAATTACTTTGGGCAGTACGGCCATTTTCACGATATTGATTCTTCCTATCCATGAACATGGAATGTTTTTCCATTTGTTTGTGTCCTCTCTTTTTTCCTTGAGTGGTGGTTTGTAGTTCTCCTTGAAGAGGTCCTTCACATCCCTTGTAAGTTGTATTCCTAGGTATTTTATTCTCTTTGTAGCAATTTTGAATGGGAATTCACTCATGATTTGGCTTTCTGCTTGTCTATTATTGGTATATAGGAATGTTTGTGATTTTTGCACGTTGATTTCGTATCCTGAGACTCTGCTGAAGTTGCTTATCAGCTTAAGGAGATTTTCAGCTGAGACGATGGGGTTTTCTAAATATACAATCATGTCATCTGCAAACAGAGACAATTTGACTTCCTCTCTTCCTATTTGAATACCCTTCATTTCTTTCTCTTGCCTGATTGCCCTGGCTGGAACATCCAATACTATGTTGAATAGGAGTGGTGAGAGAAGGCATCCTTGTCTTGCTTTGGTTTTCAAAAGGAATGGTTCCAGCTTTTGCTCATTCAGTATGATATAGGCTGTGGGCTTGTCATAAATAGCTCTTCTTATTTTAAGATACGTTCCATCAGTACCTAGTTGATTGAGAGTTTTTAGCAAGAAGGGGTGTTGAATTTTATCAAAGGTCTTTTTTGCATCTATTTAGATAATAATTTGGTTTTTGTCATTGGTTCTGTTCATGTGATGGATTATGTTTGTTGATTTGTGTATGTTTAATCAGCCCTGCATTCCAGGGATGAAGCCGACTTGTTCATAATGGATATGCTTTTTGATGTGCTTCTGGATTTGGTTTGCCAGTATTTTATTGAGGATTTTCACATCGATGTTCATCAGAGATATTGGCCTGAAATTTTCTTTTTCTTTTTTTGTTTTTTTTTGTTTTTGTGTCTCTGCCAGGTTTCGGTATCGGGATGATGCTAGCCCCATAAAATGAATTAGGGAGGAGTCCCTCTCTTTCTTTTTTTTTTCTGAGATGGAGTCTTGCTCTGTCACCCAGGCTGAAGTGCAGTGGCTGGATCTCAGCTCACTACAAGCTCCGCCTCCCGGGTTCTCGCCATTCTCCTGCCTCAGCCTCCCAAGTAGCTGGGACTACAGGTGCCAGCCACCACATCCGGCTAATTTTTTGTATTTTTAGTAGAGACGGGTTTCACTGGGTTAGCCAGGATGGTCTTGATCTCCTGACCTCATGATCTGCCCATCTCCGCCTCCCAAAGTGCTGGGATTACAGGCGTGAGCCACCGTGCCTGGCCCCTCTTTTTCTATTGTTTGGAATTGTTTCAGAAGGAATGGTACCAGATCCTCTTTGTACCTCTTCTAGAATTCGGCTGTGAATTTGTCTGTTTCTGGGTTTTTTTTGGTTGGTAGGCTATTAATTACTTTCTCAATTTTAGAACTAGTTATTAATCTATTCAGGGATCCAACTTCTTTCTGGTTTAGTCTTGTGAGGGTGTATGTGTCCAGAAATTTATCCACTGCTTCTAGACTTTCTAGTTTATTTGCATAGAGGGTTTATAGTATTCTCTGATGGTAGTTTGTATTTCTGTGGGATGAGTGGTGATAGACCCTTTATCATTTTTTTATTGTGTCTATTTGATTCTTCTATCTTTTCTTCTTTATTAACCTGGCTAGCGATCTATCTATTTTATTAATCTTTTCAAAAAACCAGCTCCTGGATTCATTGATTTTTTGAAGGGTTTTTCATGTCTCTATATCCTCCAGTTCTGCTCTTAGTTATTTCTTGTCTTCTGCTAGCTTTTGAGTTTGTTTGTACTTGCTTCTCTAGTTCTTTTAACTGTGATGTTAGGGTGTCAATTTTAGATCTTTCCATCTTTCTGAAGTGAGCATTTAGTGCTATAAATTTCTCTCTAAACGCTGCTTTAGCTGTGTCCCAGAGATTCTGGTACGTTATGTCTTTGTTCTCATTGGTTTGAAAGAGCTTATTTATTTCTGCATTAATTTCATCATTTAACCAGTAGTCATTCAGGAGCAGGTTGTTCGGTTTCCATGTAGTTGTGCAGTTTTGAATGTTTCTTAATCCTGAGTTCTAATTTGATTAAACTGTGGTCTGACAGACTGTTTGTAATGATTTCCATGCTGAGGAGTGTTTTACTTCCAATTATGTGGTCCATTTTAGAATAACTGCGATGTGGTACTGAGAAGAATGTACATTCTGTTGATTTGGGGTGGAGAGTTCTGTAGATGTCTATTAGGTCCACTTGGTCCAGAGCCGAGCTCAAGTCCTGAATATCATTGTTAATTTTCTGTCTCGTTGATCTGTCTAATATTGACAGTGGGGTGTTAAAGTTTCTCACTATTATTGTGTGGGAGTCTAAGTCTCTTTGTAGGTCTCTAAGAACTTGCTTTATGAATCTGGATGCTCCTGTATTGGGTGCATATACATTTAGGATAGTTAGCTCTTCTTGTTGCATTGATTCCTTTACCATTATGTAATGCCCTGGTTTTTTTTTTGTTTTGTTTTGTTTTTTTGTTTTTGATGTTTGTTGGTTTAAAGTCTGTTTTATCAGAGACTAGGATTGCAACCCCTGCTTTTTTTTTTTTCTTTCCATTTTCTTGGTAAATCTTCCTCCATCCCTTTATTTTGAGCCTATGTGTGTCTTGGCACGTGAGATGGGTCTCCTGAATACAGCACATTGATGAGTCTTGACTCTGTATCCAATTTTCCAGTCTGAGTCTTTTAATTGGAGTGTTTAGCCCTTTTACATTTAAGGTTAATATTGTTATGTTTGAATTTGATTCTGTCATTATGATGCTAGCTGGTTGTTTTGCCCATTAGTTGATGCAGTTTCTTCATATTGTTGAGGGTCTTTACAATTTGGAATGTTTTTGCAGTGGCTAGTACCGGTTTTTCCTTTCCATTTTTAGTGCTTCCTTCAGGAGCTCTTTTAGGGCAGGCCTAGTGGTGACATAATCTCTCAGCATTTGCTTGTTTGTAAAGGATTTAATTTCTCCTTTGGCTTATGAAGCTTAGTTTGGCTGGATATGAAATTCTGGGTTGAAAATTCTTTTCTTTAAAAATATTGAATATTTGTCCCCAGTCTCTTCTGGCTTGTAGGATTTCTGCAGAGAGATCTGCTGTTAGTCTGATGGGCTTCCCTTTGTGGGTAACCCAACCTTTCTCTCTGGCTGTCCTTAACATTTTTTTCTTCATCTCAACCTTGGTGAATCTGACAATTATGTGTCTTGGGGTTGCTGTTCTTGAGAAGTATCTTTGTGGTGTTCTCTGTATTTCCTGAATTTGAATGTTTGCCTGTCTTGCTAGGCTGGGGAAGTTCTCCTGGATAATATCCTGAAGAGTGTTTTCCAACTTGGTTCCATTCTCCCTGTCACTTTCATGTACACCAAACAAACATAGGTTTGGTCTTTTCACATAGTGTCATATTTCTTGGAGGCTTTGTTCATTCCTTTTCATTCATTTTTCTCTAATCTTGTCTTCATGCTTTATTTCATTAAGTTGATCTTCAATGTCTGATATCCTTTCTTCTGCTTGATCAATTTGGCCATTGATACTTATGTATGCTTCACGAAGTTCTTGTGCTATGTTTTTCAGCTCCATCGGGTCATTTATGTTCTTCTGTCAACTGGTTATTCTAGTTAGCAATTCCTCTCACTTTTTTTCAAGTTCTTAACTTCCTTGCATTGGGTTAGAACATGCTCCTTTAGCTCAAAGGAGTTTGTTATTATCCACTTTCTGAAGCCTACTTCTGTCAATTTGTCAAACTCATTCTCCGTCCAGTTTTGTTCTCTTGCTGGTTAGGAGTTGTGATCCTTTGGAGGAGAAGAGGTATGTTGGGTTTTGGAATTTTCAGCCTTTTTCCGCTTTTTTTTTTTTTTTTCCATCTTCGTTGATTTAGCTATCTTTTGTCTTTGATGTTGGTGACCTTCGGATTGGGTTTCTGTGTGGACTCCCTTTTTGTTGATGTTGATGCTATTTCTTTCTGTTTGTTAGTTTTCCCTCTAACAGTCAGTTCCCTCTGCTGCAGGTCTGCTGGAGTTTTTTGGAGGTCCATGCGAGACCTGTTTGCCCGGGTATCATCAGTGGAATCTGCAGATCAGCAAACATTGCTGCCTGTTCCTTCCTCTGGAAGCTTTGTCCCAGAGGGGCACCCGCCAAATGCCATCTGGAGCTCTCCTGTATGAGGTGTCTGTAGACACCTGCTGGCAGGTAACTCCCAGTCAGGAGGCATGGGGGTGAGGGACCCACTTGAGGAGGCAGTCTGTCTCTTAGCAGAGCTCCAGCCCTGTGCTGCCAGATCCTTCAGAGCCTGCAGGCAAGAACGTTTAAGTCTGCTGAAGCTGCGCCCACAGCCACCCCTTCCCCCAGGTGCTCTGTCCCAGGGAGATGGGAGTTTTATCTATAAGCCCCTGAATGGGGCTGCATTTTTTCTTTTAGAGAAGCTCTGCCCAGAGAGGAGGAATCTAGAGAGGCAGTCTAGCTACAGTGGCTATGCCGAGAGCTGTGGTGAGCTCCGACGAGTTTTACCTTCCTGGTGGCTTTGTTCACCGTGAGGGGAAAACGGCCTACTCAAACCTCAGTAATCACGGATGCCTCTGGGGTCTTTTTTATAAGGACACTAATCTCAATCATGAGAAATCCATTTTCATTACTCATCACCTACTTCCTATACAATTAACCTGGGGTTTAGGACTTCAATGTATGAATTTGGAGAGAAAACAAACATTCAAATTATAGCAATAATTTATGATGATATATCAGCTGTAATCTTATTGAGCTTCTCTTGCATGTAAAATGCCATTTTTCTCTTTCTGCTTCCAAGATATTTTGTGTCTATCAATTGTTTTATTATAACATGTCTTGCTGTGGAACACTCAGTGTTTAACCTATATGGAATTTGTTAAACTTTTTGAATGTCTACGTCATTTTTAATTAAATTTGAAAGTTTCAGGAGGTATTTCTTAAAATATTTATTCTGCTTGTTTTTCTCCTCTCTTGTACTCACATTACATGTATATTAATAAGCCCAATGTTGTCCCACATTTCTCTAAGGGTGTGTTTATTTTTATTTACTTATTTTTCTCCACCAACGTATCTCCAAGTTTCCTGATTCTCACTCAACAAGTTCTAATATACTGTTGAACTTCGTTAGTAATTTGTAAACACATTTTATTTTTAGAGATGTTTAAGTTTCACAGAAAAATTGAGTAGAAAGACCATAGATTTTCTATACACCACTTGCCTCCGCACATGCATAGCCTCCCACATTATCCATATCCTTTACAAGGGTAATACATTTGTTACAACTGATAAATTTACATTGACAGTATCATCACACAGAGTTCATAGTTTATATTAGAGTTTATTCATTGTGCTGTACATTCTATGGGTTTGGGCCAATTTGTAAAGACATGTATCCACCATTATGGTATTATACATAAGAAATTAATGGCCTTAAGATTCCTGCGTGCCCAACCTATTTATCCCTCACTTCCTGCTAACCCCTGACAATCACTAAACTTTTTTCTATCTCCATGGTTTTGCCATTTCCATAATGTCATATAGTTGGAGTCATACAATATGTAGGCTTTTCAGATTTACTTACTTCACTTAGTAATGTATTTTTGAGTTTCCTCAATGTATTTTCTTGGATTGAGAGTTTATTTTTAGTAATAGATAATATTTTATTATCTAGATGTACCATAATTTATCTACTCACTTACTGAAATATATCTTGATTAATTCTACATTTTGGCAATTATGAAAAAAGTTGCTATGAACATCTGTGTGTAGGCTTTTGTGTGGACATAGTTTTCAGCTCCTTTGGATAAATACCAAGAAGCATAATTGCTGGATCATATGGTAGGAGTATATTTAGTTTTGTAAGAAACTGCCAAGCTATTCTCCAAAGTGCCATATAATTTTGCATTTCTATCAGCAATGAGTGAGATTTCTTGTTGCTACACATCTTCACCAGCATTTTTGATATTGTCAGTGGTCTTAACATTAGCCATCCTAATAGGTGTGTATTGGTGTCTCATGATTGTTTTAATCTGCCTGTTCATAATTATATATGATGTAATCATATATACTTATTTGACTTTTGTATATCTTCTTTGTTGAGGACTCTGTTAAGGTCTTTGGCCCATTTTTAAAATTAGGTTTTTAATTTTCTTATTATTGAGTTTTAAGAATTCTTTGTACACTTTGAATAGCAGTTCTTTAGGTATGTCTTTTGTACACATTTTATTCCAGCCTGTGGCTTCTCTTTTCATTCTCCTAACAGTGTCTTTCAAAAGCCAGAAACTTTAATTTTACTGAAATTCAATTTATCAATTATTTCATGGGGCCAGATGCAGTGTCTCACGCCTGTAATCCCAGCACTTTGGGGGGCTGAGGTAGCTGGACCACTTGAGGTTATCATTCAAGACCAGCCTGGCCAACATGGTGAAACCCAGTTTCTACCGAAAATACAAAAATTAGCCAGGTGTGGTGGTGCATGCTTGTAATCCCAGCTACTTGAGAGGCTGAAGTGGGAGAATTGCTTGAACCCAGGAGGCAGAGGTTACAGTGAGCCAAGATTGCACCACTGCACTCCAGCATGAACGACAGAGTGAAATTCTGTCCCAAAAAAATATTTTATGGATTCTGAATTTGATGTTGTATCTGAAATGTCATTGACAGTGGGTACAGTAGTTTATACCTGTAATCCCAGAAACTCAGGAGGCTGAGGCAAGAGGAATGGAACATTTGAGGCCAGGAGTTAGAGACCAGCCTGGGCAGTATAATGAGACCTTGTCTCTTTAAAACTAAACAAAATTGCCAGGTGCAACACACTTTTAGTCCCAGCTATTTGGGTGACTGAGGCAGGAGGATCACTTGAGCCAAAGAATAGAGGCTACAGTGAGCTATGATCATGCCACTGCACTCCAGCTTGAATGACAGAGAGAGAGAGAGAGAGAGAGAGAGAGAGAGAGACCCTGTCTCACTAAAAAAAGAAAGCCATTGCCAACCCAAGGTCATCTAGATTTTCTCCTCTATTAATTTTGTGCTTTCATGCAGATAGTCATTCTAGCACAGCACCGCAGCACCATTTGTTGAAAAAGTTATTTTTTTCATTGTCTTCCCTTGCTACTTTGTCAAAAATCCGTTCATAATATTTATATGGATTTATTTTTGGGCTTTCCATTCTGCTCCATTGATCTATGTGTATTTTTTTTTTCAAATAACACACTGCCTTGAAAACTGAAGTTTTATAGTAAGTCTTAAACTTGGGTAGTATCAGTGCTCCAACTTTGTTCTTCTTCAATATTGTGCTGGCTTTTCTGCATCTTTTGCCTCTCCAAATACACTTCAAACCAGTTTGTCAATAACTACTATATAACTTGCCAGAATTTTGATTGGAATTGCATTGAATCTATAGATCAAAGTATAAAGAACTTAAAGCTGGACGGTATTGTGTATTCCTGTCCATGAACATGGAATATATATCTACTTATTTATTTATTTATTTTTCTTTTATTTATTTCTTCAGTTTTGTAGGTTCCTTCAGATATATTTTGAACACATTTTCTTAGATTTATACCAAGGTACTTAGTTTTGGGGGCTGCTAATGAAAATGGTATTGCATTTTAAATTTCAAATTTCCCTTGTTCATTGATGTTATATAAAAAAGTGATTGACTTGCATATATTAACCTTATATCCTGCAACCTTGCTATAATCACTTATTTGTTACTCCAGTTTTTTTGTTGATTATTTGTAATATTCTACACAGATAATCAAGTCATCTGCCAATAAAGACTGTTTATTTTTTCCTCCTCCAATCTATATACATTTTAATTTTTTCCTTATCTTATTGCATTAGCTCGGATTATTAAAACAATGTTGAAGAGCGGTGGTGAGGGAGAAAATTCTTGTCTTGTTCCTGATCTTACTGAGAAAGTTAGATTCTCACCATTAAGGCTAATGTTGGCTGTAGATTTTTTTTGTAGATTTTCTTTGTAAAATTAAAGAAGATTCCCCTTATTCCCAGTGTATTGATTTTAAAAATCATAAATGGGTGTTAGATTCATAAAATGTTTTCCTGCATTTATTGATATGATCATATGATTTTTTTTTCTGATGATGTCATATATTACAGTAATTGGTTATAAATTTTGAAACAGCTTTGCATACCTGGGGTAAATTCTACCTGACCATACTGTATATGTTTTTATACATTGTTGTATACAATTTGCTATTTGTTGAGGATCTTTGCATCTAGGTTTATGAGAGATATTCATCTGCATTTTTTATAACATCTTTGTCAAGTTTTGGTATTAGGATAATGCTGGCCTCATAGAATGACTTAGAACATAATGTCCATAGTTTGATTTTCTGAAAGAGATTGTAAAGAATTGGTATAAATTATTATTTGAATATTTGATATAATTCACCAGTGAACCTATTTAGGGCTAGGCTTATTTCTGTTTTGATAGGTTAAATAGTTATTCAATTTTATTAGTAGATATAGGCTTATTCAGATTGTCTGTTTCTTTCTGTGTGAGTTTGGTAGGTTGTGTCTTTCAAACAATTGGTCTATATCATCTAGGTTATCAAATATTTGGTCATAGAGTTATTTGCAATATTTCCTGATTGTCTTTCTAAAGTACATGAGATTGGTAGTGATGCCCCCATTTCATTTCTCATATTGGTAATTTCTGTCCTTCCTCTTTTTTAATAGTTACCTTAGCTAGAGGCTTATCAATTTTATTGATCCTTTCAAAGAACCAGCTTTTGGTTTCATTGATTTTCTGCATTAATTTACTATTTTCAATTTCATTGAATTCTACTCTGATATTTTCTTTTCTTCTGCTTTCTTAAAAATTAATTTTTCCTTTTTAAAACCAATTTTCTAACGTAGATTTTTAGATTATTGATTTTAGACCTTTTATATTCTAATATCTGCATTCCCTGCTACAAGTTTCCCACAAAGCACTGCATCCCACACATTTTGATAACTTGTGTTTTTATCTGCTTGTAGTTCAACATATTTTACATTTTTTCTTACATTTCTTCTTTGACCCATATGCCATTTAGATATGTGTTGTCTAATCATCAAGTATTTTGTAATTTTTATTACTTTCTCTCTATTATTGATTTCAAGTTTAATTCCATGTAATATGACAACAGACTGTATGATTTCTTCTTTTAAACTCGTGTTTTATGAATCAGAATGTGGTCTATCTTGGTGAATTTTCCATATTATATTGAGAAAATATGTATTTTGCTGTTGTTGGATGAAGTAGTCTATAGGTGCTCAGAATATCCAGCTGATTGATGGCGCTTTTGAGTTCTACTATGTCTTTAATAATATTCTGCATGCTGTATCTATCCATTTCAGAGGAAGGAGTGTAGAAGTCTCCTACTGTAATAGTGAAGTCAACTATTTCTCCTTGGTGTTTTATCATTTTTTGCTCTACATATTTTAACCTTATCTTGTCACTGATATACTCATTAGTAATTTCTATGTCTTCTTTGAGAATTATTCCCTTTAATCATTATTATGTATATCTCTATCCTTGATAATTGTCTTTGTTCTGAAGTTTGCTCTGTTGCAAATTAATATAGCAATTTTCCCTTTATTTTGATTAGTGTTAGTAGAGTATTTATTTATCTATCCATTTACTTTTAATAAATATGTATCCTTATGTATTGTTGTTGCACTTATTATTTTTAACCAATTCTTATTTGTTAGGTCATTTAATAAAAATCATAAAAGTTCATTTTAATTTAACCTTCATTGTTGCGGGAAGTCAGGGACCCCGAATGGAGGGACCGGCTGAAGCCATGGCAGAAGAACATAAATTGTGAAGATTTCATGGGCATTTATTAGTTCCCCAAATTTATACTTTTATAATTTCTTACGCCTGTCTTTACTGCAATCTCTGAACATAAATTGTGAAGATTTCATGGACATTTGTCACTTCCCCAATCAATACTCTTGTGATTTCCTATGTCTGTCTTTTGTTTAATCTCTTAATCCTGTCATCTTCATAAGCTGAGGATGTATGTCGCCTCAGTACCCTGTGATGATTGCGTTAACTGCACAAATTGTTTCTAAGCATGTGTGTTTAAACATTATGAAATCTGGGCACCTTGAAAAAAGAACAGGATAACAGAGATGTTCAGGGAACAAGGGAGATAACCATTAGGTCTGGCTGCCTGAGAGCCAGGCGGAACAGAGCCATATTTCTCTTCTTTCAAAGGCAAATAGGAGAAATATCGCTGAATTCTTTTTCTCAGCAAGGAGCAGCTCTGAGAAAGAGAATGCATTCCTAGGGGTAGGTCTCTGAAATGGCCGCTCTGGGAATGTCTGTCTTTTTTAGGATATGTGCTGCCAAAGCGAGCCCAGAATGTCTGTCCTTTATAGTTGCTGATAAGGGATGAAATAAGCCCTGGTCTCCTGTAGCGCTCCCAGGCCTATTAGGATGAGGAAATATCTGCCTAGTAAATTTTTAGTCAGACCGGTTGTCTGCTCTCAAACCCTGTCTCCTGATAAGATGTTATCAATGGCAATGCGTGCCCGAAACTTCATTAGCAATTTTAATTTCGCCCTGGTCCTGTGATCTCGCCCTGCCTCCATTTGCCTTGTAATATTTTATTACCTTGTGAAGCATGTGATCTCTGTGACCCACACCCTATTTGTACACTCCCTCTCCTTTGAAAATCACTGATAAAAACTTGCTGGTTTTGTGGCTTGGGGGTCATCACGGAACCTGCTGACATGTGATGTCTCCCCCGGATACCCAGCTTTAAAATTTCTCTCTTTTGCACTCTTTCCCTTTATTTCTCAGACTGGCCGACACTTAGGGAAATAGAAAAGAACCTATGTGAAAATACAATGAATTATCGGGGGCGGTTCCCCCAATACTTCATTTATTAATCTATTATGACATTCTTTATTTCTTCATGTAGATCTGAGTTTCTGACCTATATCATTTTCTTTCTCTCTAAAAATCTTTCTGTAACATTGCTTGCAAGGCAGGTCTATGGGTGAAAAAAAAACTATTATTTTTTTCTTTTTATCCAACCTTTGATTTCTGCTTTACTTATGAAGAATAATTTTGCAGGGTACCAAATTTTCTAGCTTAGTGTTTTTTTTTTTTCTCTTAACACTTTAAATATTTCACTGCACTCTCTTCTTTCTTGTAATGGTTTTAAAGTGAAGTCAGATCTAATTTTTATATTTACTTCTCTGTAGGTAAGTGTCTTTTATCCCCCTCTTGCTTTTTTCAATATTTTTTCTTTATCTTTGATTTTCTGTATCTTAAACATTTTATGCCTATGTTGGGCAAGGACTTCATGTCTAAAACACCAAAAGTAATGGCAACAAAAGCCAAAATTGACAAATGGGATCTAATTAAACTAAAGAGCTTCTGCACAGCAAAAGAAACTATGATGAGTTAATGGGTGCCACACACCAACATGGCGCATGTATACATATGTAACAAACCTGCACGTTGTGCACATGTACCCTAGAACTTAAAGTATAATAGTAATAAAAAAACCTTATGCCTATGTATCTTTTTTTGTTTCCTCAGGCAGTTATCTTGTTTGGTAATCTCTGAGCTTCTTGAATCTGTGGTTTGGTGTCTGACATTAATTTGGAAAAATTTTTACTCATTATTGTTTTAAACATTTCTTCTTTTTCTCCCTCTCTCTTTTCTTCTGGTGTATATTCATCACATATAAGTTACACCTCTTGTAATTGTTCCACAGTTCATGAATATATTTTTCTGTTTTATTCTCTTTTTTCTGTTTGCTTTTCAATTTTGGAGGTTTCTTGTGAAATCTGCCTAAGTTCAGAGATTGTGTTTTCAGTTGTATCTAGTCTAATAAGAAACTCATTAAAGGATCAAAGGCACTCTTCATTTCTGTTACTTTTTTAAAATTTCTGCTATTTATTTTAGGTACTGTCTTAGGATTTCTATATTTCCGCTTACATTGTTCATTTGTTCTTTCCACTGTCTATGTCTACATCAGCCTTTAGGTCCCTTAGCATATTAATCATAGTAGTTTTATATTCTTGATCTGACAATTTCAACATCCCTGCCATATCTGAGTCTGAGACTGCCATTTGTTCTTTTTAACTGTGTTTTGGCCTCTTTGTATGTCTTGTAATGTTTTCTTAATAGCCATGCTCTGATTAAACTCTATAAGTATAGGCTTTGGTTGATACTTTTTCCTGAGGGCAGGCCTTGTTAGGAAGAACAGAATGCTCTAGTGTATTTCAAAATGGTTCCCTTCCCCTCCCTCTGTCAGAAGCATGAGTGAAAGTTTTCTCTGATATTCACTCTGACCAACAGGTCGAGTTCCTTGAGGTAAACCTCACAAAAGTATAGAGTTCTTCCGTGACTGGATCCCCTTAGAGTTTTGAGATTCAGAGTTGTTCGTACTGAGCCACCAACAATTTGTCAATTACATTTTAGGGGTTTCCAACACAGCACTTTTCCCCATTGAGTATTTTGCTCTGGCAAGTTGTGACTCTGTGTATTTACCTGTCTCTATAATTTTGGGACGGTGGTTTGTCCTGTGACCTTACTTCTCTCACGAACCTAAGAAGAGTTATTTTTTTAGTTTTCTACTTGTTGTTAGTACAAATTAGCAACTTCTTAGCTTCTAATTTGTGGACCAGAAACTGGAAGTTCCTAGTGATTATTTTTAAAGAAATTCATTGTTGTACTTATAAACTTCAGGATTTTCATGCTTTTAAAATAATTCTTACATTTTTATTTATAATCTTTAATTGATGAGACAAAAAATTTTTCTTTAATTATTTTAACGTGGATTATTTCAGATATTTCAGCATATTTATAATAGCTGTTTTGAAATAATTGTTTGCTGTATCTTACATCTGTGTACCACGAAAGTCAGCTTTTTGCCAGCATTTTAACACTCTGTGTGTCAAACTTTCTGCTTTCTTTAAACTGATTATTTTTTTAAATAGGAAATGGAACATTTAAATATTAATAATATATTGTGGTGATTTTGGATCCTAACTACTCATTCCTGGGACTTTATGTCACTGCTTGCTCTTTTGCTTATTTTTTTAATGAATTGAATATAATAATGCAGTAAAATCTGTTTCCCCATAATGTGAAACCTCTGGTGTTTACAGCCTTAAGCATGCACACGAGTCTTCCTGACCACCACTGATGACTTTGGTCCTAGCCAGCCTCTCTTTGACTATCTTTTCCTGATATCCCTGTTAAGCTTTTGGTTAACCTGGAAATACTGGCATCACATCCAGGTGCTGGCTCTCACTAATTGTTAGTTGTTTGCTATATTGTGTCCAACAACTCCTTAGGGGCATGTATTAGTCTATAGTTTGATCCATTTAAAGTTAGCTTCTTGGCAGGGATCAGGTATTTCAGTTTTTGAAAACTTCTCTCACTCCCCACCAGCAGAACATCTATGTTATAGAGCAGTAACTCTGGTAGGTGGAAATTGAAGCTGGTGCTACCACTGAGCTATGGCCACCACCCACGTGGATCTTCTAGAGATCACATCTGGGAAGGATAAGATATTCCATAGCTCATAAATCTCCCCCGAATAACTCTTACATCCTTGAAACCTGGCATATGTGCCAGGTTCCATTTCATTGCCAAGCCCACCAGAGCAGGTCTTCTACAACACTGTGCTGTATGGGAAAATGGTACTTCACTCTTCACCAGCTGACTTGTCCAGGTAGTTCCCATGTATCAGGAGGTGGGGGTGGTGTAATGAGTCCTGCTTAGCTGGTGCCACCCACTAAATATAGGCCTTCTACAGCATAGAGCTGTAAAAAAAAAATGGCATCCTATGATGTTCAACAGCTTCTGAAATAGAATAGCTCTTCTATGCCAGGCATCCACGGGAGAAGGGAACTGTCACATAGCTGACAAACCTGCAGAATCAGTTTTTTCTAAAATACAGAGCTTTGTGTGCATGGGTGCAGTCTCTAGCTTGAATGTCATAGAATCTCACTGTTTTTGTTTAGTTTCCATATATTTTGTTGAATAAATGCTCCTCAGTTGGTTGTAAGTCCTTTGATCCAAGCTCTAAAAATTTTGAAAATTTGTGTTTGGTAAGTTTAATCAGCCTAATAGCTGTCTTTCTGGGTAAAAATTTTTATGGGCTCCTCACATTGCCACCCTTCCAGAAGTCTGTAAAGTTTATTGAAAATAGCAATAGATGAGGTGCATATGAAAAACTTTTAGATTTTTAAACACACATAACACACACACACACACACACACACACACACACACACACACACACACACAGTGTTCCATAGGCAAATCAGTCTGGAAACCTCTGTATTAAAAAAATCCAGCATTTTTTTTAAAATTTAAAAACAATAGATTACCTCAGAGTCATGCTATGCTTATGTACATTTCTGAATCTCCAGTACAATGATGCAGTATGCATTTTGTCCCAAATTTAAGTGACTAATAAACTATTTTGTTTTGTTTTGTTTGTGTTTTTGTTCGTTTGCTTATTTACTTGTTTTTCACTGGACATTTGTCAAGACTTATGTTATTGAAAATACCCTTTGAAAAGCCCCAATTTAACAAATCACCCTTTAAACCAATAATTTCACCTTGCTCTTTCCAATACCTGGTGGACAATTTACTCTGGTAACTGTATTATTTTCTATAGAACACATGGATTGCCTAATTCTATATATCCAGAGTATATATGACCATCTGGGGAAGTTCAGGGTGTTGCTAAAGTACTATTTGTCAAACGGAATTTATGGTGAAACTTGAAAGTGCCCATCTGAATTTCCAAATGTCAAATACCAAGGACACATGGTGATAAATGAACACAAAACTCCATTGTCAGACAAAGGGGACTATCAGGAATTGCCAGCTAAGTTATAAGCCAGGTCATTCTGAGTACTAACACAAAATCATGGAAGGGTTTATCTCCATATAAGGACCACAAGAGCTCCATTTCCTGAATTAATATGCCCATAAATTTGTTTAAACTTCAGAGTCTCAACAAATTTCTGAATATCTAAAATAGGTTTATGTTTATTAACAATATTTAAGAATAACTTTTTTAAATGAAAGAGTATGAATTTTAAGAATAAAAGAAAAAATATAGGTACATTTATTACACTGCCATCACCAGTAGTTGTGAATATTGATAATTGTTTATCTTACTTGAACCTCAGTTTCCTTATCTATAAACTGAGGATCATGATACTTATTAGGATTGCTTTGAAATATAAAGATAATATAAGGATAATCAAAAGCTTGGCAGATAGCATAACTACTATCTATTAACCCCAGCATTTGAGCCTCTTTCAATGTAGCTAATGATATATTTTGTACCAAATTTCAACATGTTTGTTTTAGGCAGCACAAATTTAACACATTCTTCATAACTAACATAATGTCTGGAATTTAGTGAGGATTAATAAAAGTTTATTAAATTTACAGAAAGGTACAAATGGAAATAAACATTTGTTTAATGCCTATAGTGTACCAGGTATTCTACATAAGTTATTTTCTAGAGTTTAATCATCACAACAATTCTGTCAGCACTATTATCTCTATTTAATAGATGAGAAAATAAAGGTTCAGAAATTTTATTTATTTTCTAGTACTCATCTAGTAAGGGGTGGAGCCAATATGTAAGTCTATCTAACTGCAAATCTTACATTTCTTCCAATATGCCAGGCTGCCTAGGGGCTATTTAATAAATTTGGGCACTTTTCCTACACCCAAATTATGCACGGCTGGCCAGGATATTATTTATGTTATAATATAATTTAAAAATGCAAAACTCCAATAGCATTTTGCCAATATGGCTATGGAATTTCCAGGTATTCTTGATAAACATTTAGTATATTCCTAAACGGGAGAATGCCCTGGCAGGTAAATTTTCTAAAAAATAGGATAGTAAAATCTAAACATCTAGCATCTTATGGGTCTACTCCCATTAAGTGAATACTGCCTTAATATAAATTTAGAGTATGAATATCACATTAAAGGAAAAAGATATGAAAACACCATGTAAATTTCCATTAAAGAACTTTCTTCTGTCAGATAAAAGATATATTTTAAAAATTTCAGTAGGAATAAAAAAGAGTAGGCTTCTATAGAATATCTACACCAAAAGCAGAAAACACAAGTGTGAAGGCTCTGGAATATCCCTCAGTATAGCTGGGAAGAATGAAAAATATCTCAAATAAAGAAGCATGTTATAAGTACAGCCAGCGTAGAGGAAACCAAAGATGAGTTTCTCTCCTTTAAGTTAACTGGATAAGAAATTAACAGCTGAAAATTAATACGTTCTCTCTGATGAAATGACAGAGATAAAGAGCACTATGCTTTAGAAGTGGCTGAAAGTAGAGATTTTTAGGTTTTAGGTGCCAAAACAGCGTTAGAAGCAGTAAACAGAGCTGAGAATAGTAAAGCACACTACAAATGGAAAAGTTGAGTGTAAACATAGAATTGAGGTAACTAATGATAAAAAAATTAAACAAATCATGTGATAATAACAGGGAAGATGTACATATATCTTAAAAATTGCTTCAAATGTTAAGTTTCCAAAGAAATGTTTAGTAAAAATATCAGAGAATTTGATTTACTTGTATTCTTGTCATTAATGTCATCACAGTATTAATCTTCAAGAAAAAAGTTATATTTAAATGTAGACTTACATTTTAATTTCAACTCTCAGTTCTCACTCCGATATAACTTGTCTGTGCCCCCACCCAAATCTCACCTTGAATTGTAGCTCCCATAATTCCCTCATGTTATGGGAGGGACCCAGTGGGAGATAATTGAATCACAAGGGCGGTTTCACCCATACTGTTCTTGTGGTAGTGAATAAGTCTCACAAGTTCTGATGATTTTATAAGGGGAAACCCCTTTTGCTTGGCTCTCATGCTCTTCTCTTGTCTGCTGCCATGTGAGACATGCCTTTCACCTTCTGCCATGATTGTGAGGCCACGCCAGGCACGTGGAACTGTGAGTCCATTAAACCTACTTGTTTTGTAAATTGCCAAGTCTTGGATATGTCTTTATCAGCAGCATAAAAACGAACTAATTCAGTAAATTGGTACCAGTAGAGTGGGACACTGCTGAAAAGATGTCTGAAAATGTGGAAGCAACTTTGGAACTGGGTAACAGGCAGAGGCTGGAACATTCTGTGGGGGCTCAGAAGAAGGCAGGAAAATTTGGAACTCCCTAGAGACTTTTTGAATGGCTTTGACCAAAATCCTGATAATGACATGGACAATGAAATCTGGGCTAAAAAAGTCTTAGATGGAGATGAGAATCTTGTTGGGAAATGGAATAAAGTTTACTCTTGTTATGTTTTAGCAGAGACTGGCACCATTTTTCCCCTGCCCTAGAGATTTGTGGAACTTTGAACTTGAGAGAGATGATTTAGGGTATCTGGTGGAAGAAGTTTCTAAGCAGCAAAGCATTCAAGAGATGACTTGGGTTCTGTTAAAGGCATTCAATTTTAAAAGTGAAACAGCATAAAAGGTCAGAAAATTAATAGCCTGACAATGTAATAAAAAGAAAATCCTGTTTTCTGAGGATAAATTCAAGCTGGCTGCAAAAATTTGCATAAGTAATGAGGATCTGAATGTTAGTCACCAAGACAATGGGGAAAATATCTCTGCGGTACATCAGAGACGTTTTCAGCAGTCCCTCTTATCACACGGCCAGAGGCCTAGGAGTAAAACATGATTTCCTGGGCTGGATCCAGGGTGTCTTTGATGTGTGCAGTCTAGGGACTTGGTGCCCTGGTCTCAGCCACTCCAGCTGTGACTAAAAGGAACCAGGGTAGAGAACTCAGGCCATGGCTTCAGAGTGTGCAAGCTCCAAGCCGTGGCATCTTCCATTTGATGTTGAGCCTGCCAATACACAGATGTGATGAATTGATGTTTGGGAACCTCTTCCTATATTTCAGAGGATGTGTGGAAATGACTGGATGTCCAGACAGAAGTTTGCTGCAGAAGTAGGGCACTCATGGAGAACCTCTGCTAGGGCAGTCCATAAGGGAAATGGGGGGTGGGTGCCCCCAAACAGAGTCCACACTGGGGCAGTGCCTATTGGAGCTATGGGAAGAGAGCCACCATCCTCCAGATCCCAGAATGGTAGATCCACCAACAGCTTACACAATGCACCTGGAAAAACCACAGACACTCAATGCCAGCCCATGAAAGCAGCCACAAAGTCAAAGGGACAGAACTTCCCAAGACCATGGGAACCCAACTCTTGCATCAGTATGACCCAGATGTTAGACTTGGGGTCAAAGAAGGTCATCTTGGAACTTTAAAATTTGACTGCCTTTCTGGATTTAGGACTTTCATGGGGCTTTTAACTCCTTTGTTTTGGACAATTTCTCCCATTTGGAATGGCTGTAACCCCATTGTATCTAGGCAGTAACTAACTTGCTTTTGATTCTACAGTCTCATAGTCAGAAGGAACTTTTCTGGTCTCAGATGAGACTTTGGACTGTGGACTTGAGTTAATGCTAAAATGAGTTATGACTTTGGGGTATTGTTGGGAAGGCAAGATTAGGTTTGAAATGTGAGGACATGAGATATGGGAGGGGCCAGGTGTGGAACAATATGGTTTGGCTGTGTCCCCACCTAAATCTCATTTTGAACTGTAGCTCCCATAATACCCCCATGTTGTGGGAGGGACCCAGTAGGAGAAAATGGAATTATGGGGGTAATTTCTCCCATATTGTTCTTGTGGTAGTAAATAAGTCTCACAAGATCTGATGGGTTTATCAGGGGTTTCTGTTTTTGCTTCTCTCTCATTTCTCTCTTGCTGCCACCATATAAGAAGTGCCTTTTACCTTTCACCTCCCACCATGACTCTGAGGCCTCCCCAGCCATTTGGAACTGTAAGTCCAATTAAACCTCTTTATCTTGCCAGTCTTGGGTATGTCTTTATCGGCAGCATGAAAATGGACTAATACACACTCTCTGGAAAAAACACCTTAATTATCTGACTAGCAATTTATAATGTAAGCCTCCACAGTTCACCTGGTATTAGATACCTGTGAAGGAACAGCAAAACGACCTATAAAATGGATCCTTTGATTATGCTTTAGTATCTGCATAATGGCAAATGTCACTAAACAATGGGTAAACAATGGGTAAAAACACTTATATGAGTCTGGAAACAAAAGCAATCTTGAATGACAAATATATTGTCTTAGAAGTTGTTTCTAAATTAATTTAACTAAATAATGATGTATTTGTTGGTTCTTATGCTGCTATAAAGATACTGCCCAAGACTGGATAATTCATCAACAAAAGAGATTTAATTGACTCACAGTTCCACATGGCTGGGGAGGCCTCAGGAAACTTACAGTCATGGCAGAAGGGGAAACAGGAACGTCTTACGTGGCAGCAGGCAAGAGAGAGAATGTGAGAGTGCAGCAAAAACTACCATTTATAAAACCATCAGATCTCATGATAATTCACTCACTATCACAAGAACAGTATGAGGGAAACTGCCCCCATAATCTAATGACTTCCCACCAAGTCTCTCCCTCAACACCTGGGGATGAGAATTCAAGATAAGATTTGGGTGGAGACACAAAGCCTAACCATATCCAGTGGTAAACTTAAATGTGTATCTCTATATATAAACACAGACACACACATATATATATATATGAAATGTACTGTATTTTTATATATACAATTATACAATTGCAGTAATGCCATTTATTGGAAGCTTTACAGAAACCCTAATGTGTCTGATTGATGGAACTCATTTAGCATTCCAAATATTCATAAGATAGCCTTTTTGTGTTTGAAATGCATTTTCAGTGAACAATTATAATGTTTTATAAGTTATGTGTTTTAGGGAAATCTATTCTTCTCTGTTTTATTTAGAACAAGCCTAATTTATCAGCACATGTGTGATCCGGGAGGGGCAAAAAGAGTGCCTTGAAAGCATTAACTAATGTAAGTTGCATGTCTATCCAGGCGGTACTGCATTTTATGTCTTTTGATGAATATATGCTATGAACTAAGAATATGAAAAGCTATGATTTATGAAGGCTTTCTTACAACATCCTCAAGAAATGATAGTTATTCCAAGATACATGCACCAGATGGTACATTATAAAATAAATTGTTAGTATTAAACCAGTGTTGTGTGCAATAAGTTTGTTCACAATTAAAATGCCTAGTGACTAATTTTTTGAAAAAGCTTGTTTTCAGAACTCTAGGTAATATGCCGCTAAATTTCATGATGCTTTCTATGTATGCTTTACTCTTAAGCTTACTCACTGAGTTGTAGTTAATTTGAAAAGATGCTCTGGACAAAGTGTGTGTGAATCTGGGTTCTTAAGGCAGAGATCAATGATGCTTTGTTTAGATTCGCTATTTCCTGACTTCCTCCTCACTGATCAAAGATGAATAGACATGACAGTGCTTCTTGTAATGCATTCAAATTTTATCTGTTAATACTCTTAATATGTAAAAAAATCAAAGGTTTTTTGTCTTCTTCCTATAAATGAATGACATGTCTTTAATTATTAATTAATTAAGTCCTTACAATAAGGAACTCTTCAGATGTGATGGCATTTTTTTTCCCACAACAATCCATAAAACACCATGCTATGGTTTCTCTCTTATATACAAAATACAATTAGAAAAATTGAGACATTTTACAGACAATTGTTAATCTCCACATATTATGGTTTAATTCCTTTTTCTGATTATGCCAAATCAGAGCATTTTAGAATCCAGGGACAGATATACCATGTCTCCTTCCAAGTCAGTAGTTGTAATATATCTGCATTCAATTATGCAACATTTCAAAATTTTTCGCTATTTCTAAAAGTAAAATCAGCATATTTGAGGTAACAGATGTCAGAAATTATCAAGGCCATTATAAGCTAATTATTTACCCAAATATCATCTTAAAGACAAAGTATTAAGAAATAATTATGGCTTGCTATAATACTCATTGCAGCCAATAGAAATTTATTTGAGGCCCAAAAACAAGTTTTTTTTTTTTTCAATTCACCCTGCTGTCCCACTTAACATTGAATCAGACAGTGAGACACCTACTTCCAGCTGCATGAAAAGTGAAAATGTAGAAAATTCTGTTGACTTATTGTTCTAACATCCCCTAAAAATCTTTCACTGAAACTTGTTCAACAATCTAGAAGAATGGTGTAATAATAATTACTAAGCAACATAATCACATTAGCTTCTTCACCTTCAAGATTGAGAAATCTTACACATTTCACCTTTTTCAAAGCAGGTATACTAATGCAATTTAGTTTACATGTTCACTAATACAACTTGAATTTATTTTTCTTAAGATTCTAGTGGTTTACAATAAATAGTCTATACTTTTTAGGCATGATAGTCTGGAGGCAGGATGCCAGACATGTATGAAAGAAATAGCTTTAGAACATGTGGAAAAAAGCAATGAAAACAACAAGAAGAAAGTTATACCAAGTCCTTTATGGCCAAAAAGGCACCTGTGAGGGTTATATTCTGTTTTATTCCATAATACATAGGTTCCATTTTGAATGCTAGCTTCAACTGATTGACCATGTGTAGTGCCATGCTGAAAAATAATCTTTAGCTATGTGAGGGCTCATCAGGAAAGGCTATCATGAAAAAATACTATCTGACATGGTACAGGAAGGGATAGCAACCTACCTGTATAAGTAATTTGTCACTCCGGCAATAGAAAACACATTCCTACTTCTAATAGTCCCTGGTTGAAGGAGAATCATTCAAGTAAACAAAGAAATAGTCAACAGGGAAGGGCAAAAAGAATTAAGAATAGAGACAACTGAAAAATGTACAACTTTATTCCCTGTAACCCTCTCAAAACTTAAAAATGCTTCTCCCTAAATACCCCACCTGAGTAGATTTACAGTTGTTTTTTATCTTTTTGAAACTTAAACTAATTAGGAAAAACAAAACTATGCTTTGTTATTCAGAAAAATAATTGTAGTAAATGACTGCATTTTATATTTTTGTCAACTCATTATTTTTCAAGTGTGCTAAATATATATATTTTAAACCTAGATGAAAAAAACTCTTTATAAAATGCTGTTTTACTTATTTGCAGCATTGCTCATATAAAAAATTAATTTTGTGACGTTTAAAATTGAGAAATGTCCACCAGCCTTCTGTGATCTCTGAGCCATCTGGGTTTTTCCTACAAGAGACAGAGCTTGCTTAGGGGTGGTAAACTTGTCTGCCTATGGTGAATATTCATATTAGATTTTATTCAAATTGATTGGCCACAATTTAGTGAACGTATGTTCTCCTGCAAAGCTGTTTTTCCCTTCCCTGAGATAACCATAAAAGGACCAAAAAAAAGGTGGCAGGAGAATAGATATATAATAGATTTTATTATCACTGGTCTGACAGTAGCAGCTGTCACATGAAGCTAGGTTTGCCAAATAATAATATATATTCATCATCACTAATGATCAGGAAAATACAAATCAAAACAACAGTAAGGTATTAACTTGTTCTTGTTAGGAATCCTATAATCTAGAAAACAAATGATAACAAGTGCTGGTTAAGACATGGAGAAATTGGAATACTTATACATTGTTAGTGGCAATGTAAAATGATGCAGCCACTATGTAAAAGAGTATGGAGATTCCTCAAAAAAATTAAAAATAGAATCAACATATAATTCAGTAATTTTACTTCTTGATATTTGAGATCTTTCAAAATAAGTTGAAAAAAGATCTCAAAGAGATGCCTGAACTCTCATGTCCATTGAAACATTATTCATTATATATATAATCTATACATTCAGTATATAAAACATACATATATTATATATGTACATATTCTATATATAGATTGATATATATTATATATGCATGATATATAGTGAACAATGCATCAATGAACATGCAGCATTATTCATGCTATATATATATATATATATATATATATATTCTGTATGTATAGATGATACCTTATTTCCCCACACATACACACCTTTTTCTATTTTAAATATATTTCTATAAACTCCAGATAATTCCCTACAATATTCTGCATTGTAATGGTGGTCCTAGATAGTGAAATAAGACAATACAAAATAAAATGGCAAGGGTTGTTAAAAAAAAAATAAGTAGAACTGTGATTATTTGCAGTTGATATGACCATATACATAGAAAGCAGAAAAGAATCTAGAGATAAAATACCAGAGTTAGTAAGAGGGTTTAGAAAGATTGCTTGATTTAAAACAATATTTAAAAAATCGATTGTTCTGAAGAGACTCTTCTTTCACCATTGTATATTCTTGCCACACTTGTCAAAAATCAGTTAACAATACACACATGGGCTTATTTCTGGGCTCTATATTCTGTTCTATTGATCTATGTATGTATTTTTATGCCAGTACCACATTGTTTTAATTACTGTACCTTTGTCATATATTCTTAAAATCAAGAAATGTTATGCCTCCAGCTTTCTTTTTTTTCTCAAGATTGTTTTGGCTCTTTGGGTCTCTTGTAGTTCAACATACATTTTAGGATTTTTTTTCTATTTCTTTTCATAAAAAATGCCATTCGGATTTTGATAGAGATTGCAATTGAATTTGCAGATTGATTTCGGTAGTACAGACATTTTAACAATAGTACAACTTCAACAAATGGTGTTGAGATAACTGGGAATTCACATGGAAAATAATAAAATTAAAACTTTATCATGCAATATACACAAAAAGCAACTCAAAGTAGAATTAAGACTAAAATGCAAGAGCTGAAACTATATAATTCCTGGAAGAAAACATAAACAAAAGCCTCATGTTACTGATTTTGGCAATTATTTATTGGATATGACACCAAAATCGTAAACAACAAAAACAAAAATGGGAAAGTGAGGCTACATCAAACTAAAAGGCCTCTGCAAAGCAAACAATTAACAAAGTAAAAAGGCAACTGATACACACTGATTAAATGGGAGCAAATAATTGCAAATCACATAGCTGATAAGGACTTAATATCCAGGGTAAATAAGAAAGTCCTGCAATGCAATGGTAATAATGATAATAATAATTCAACAAAAATGTCCAAAGGACTTGAATAGACATTTCTCTAAAGACAATATACAAATGGCAAATAGGTATATAAAAGGATATTCAACATCACTTCACTAATGATCAGGAAAATGCAAATCAAAACAATGAGATATTAACTAGCCCTTGTTAGGAATCCTATAATCCAGAAAATAGCTGGGCGCAGTGGTTCACGCCTGTAATCCCAGCACTTTGGGAGGCCAAAACAGGCAGATCACGAGGTCAGGAGTTCAAGACCAGCCTTGCCAACATGGTGAAACCTGTCTCTACTAAAAATACAAAAACTCGCTGGGCGTGGTGGTGCGTCCCTGTAATCCCGGCAACTAGGGAGGCTGAGGGAGGAGAATTGCTTGAACTCGGGAGGCAAGGTTTGCAGTGAGCCGAGATCCTGCCACTGTACTCCAGCCTGGGTAACAGAGTAAGAATCCATCTCAAAATAAATAAATACAATAAAATAAAAAATAAAATAAATGATAACAAGTGCTAGTGAAGACATGAAGAAATTTTAATACTTATACATTGTTAGTGGTAATATAAAATGGTTCAGCCACTACGTAAAAGAGTATGGAGGTTCCTCAAAAGAATTAAAAATAGAATTAACATGTAATTCAATAATTTTACTTCTTGATATTTGAGATCTTTCAAATTAAATTGAAATCAAGATCTCAAAAAGATATCTGAACTCTCATGTCCACTGAAGCATTATTCATAATAGCCAAGCTATGGAAGCAAACTAAGTGCCCATCTATAGATAAATGTATAAAGAAAACATGGTATACATATACAATGAAATACTATTCAATCTTTAAAAAGAGAAGAAATTTCTATCGCTTGCAACAGTGTAAATGAAACTGAAGAACATTATAACAAGTGAAATAAACCAGATTACAAAATGACACATACTGTATGATTCCATTTATATGAGCTATCTAAAATAGTCAAACTCATAGAAATGAGTAGAATGGTGGTTGCCAGAGATTTGTGGGATAAGGAAATGAGGAGCTGCTGTTCAACAGATACTTAGTTTCAGTCATGCAAGGTCAATAAAACCTAGAGATCTGCTATACAGCATTCTGCCTATAGTAAACAATACTTTGTTGTGCACCTGAAATTTGCTTAAAAAAAATCTCATGTTAAATATTCTTGCCACATTAAAAAAAGACAGTGTCAGAACAAGATGTTGGAATAAGAGACTACACCATTCTTCCCTGCACTGGGGAAACACCAAATTTTAGCAGCTATCTGCACACAAAAAAGTACCTCACAAGAAACAAAAACCAGATGAGCAATCACAGTAGCTGATTTTAACTTCCTATTACTAAAAGAGGCATTGATGAAGGCAAGGGAGACCATCTTGAGTTACCCACACCACCCTGCCCTCATCCTTCGTTAGCAACCAAGCAACACTGAGAGAGAATTTATGCATTTTGGGGAAGGAGAGCACAGCAACTGGGGGACTTTACATTGAACTCATTGCTGCCTTTTCATAGTGGACAATAAAGCCATGTTGGCCTCACAGAGTTACCACACATGGAGGGAACATTTGGACCAGCCCTAGCGAAAGGGGAATCACCCATCCCAGCAATCAGAAATTGAGTTTCTCAGCAAGCCTCGCTATCATGGGCTGAGGTGCTCTAGGTTGCTAGGGAAGCATGAAAAGCGGTCTAGGGCACTAGGAATGTAATTCCCAGGCAACTACTAGTGTTAAGTTTGACTTAGAGCCCGTGAACTAGGAACTAGGGTGACATGTGACACCAGCTGCCACAGCTAAGGGATAGCATGTTCCATCCTTCTCCCAATCCTGAGCAGTGCAGCTCATAGCAACAAAAGCAACTGCTTCATTCTGCTTAAGGAGAGAAGAGCAAAGAGTAAAGAGGACTTTGTCTTGCATCATAGATACCAGCTGAGCCACAGTAGGAAAGGACACAGGGCATAGTTGTGAGGCCCACTTTCCAGGGCCTGTCTCCCAGATAACATTTCTAGATACAATCTGGGCCAGAAGCAAACCTGCTGCCTTGAAGGGAAGGACCCAATCCTGGCAAGATTTACCTCCTGCTGCATAAAGTGACCATGGGCCCTGAATAATCACTAACAATACCCAGGGAGTACGCTATTGGCCTTGGGCTCTGAGATGTGCTGGCTTTAAGAGAGACGAAGCACATTTCTAGCAGTGGTAGCTATGGTGAAGCGGAATTTCTCATTCCATTTGAGGAAAGCAGAGCGAAGAGTGAAAAGGACTTTGCCTTGCACCCTAGGTACCAACTTGGCCACAGTGGGGTAGAACGACTTGCAGGCACTTGGGGATCCTGAGTCAAAGTTGAGGTGAGTCCCAGGCCTGACAGCATTCATGACAAGCTGATGGAAGAGCCCTTGGGCTTTAAGTGAATATTGGTGGTGGCCTGGCAGAACTTCTTATGGACTGATGGTGATAATGGCCACAAGGAGAAGCTCCTCTGCCTATGATTGGGGGAAGAAAGAGGAGAAAGAACTTTATATTGTGGTTTAAGTGACAGCCTAGCTGCAGTATAATAGAACATCAGGTAAATTGCTAAGGTACTTGACTCCAATCCCTGGTTCCCAGACAGCATGTTTTTGTTTGCAACAGGACACTATTGAGGAAACTGGTTATTTTACCAAGACTTTAACTGGAATGGTATGCTTTCTTGTAAAAAAATCAAACGACTTATAGAGCCAATGAAAGCACCTTGGAAAAACTGTCCTCATACCTTGTCTACACAGTCCTTGTACAGTGTTCCTGACCTGTGGTAAATAACGAATGTCACTTTCGGACAGGCCCAGGAGCCTCAAGTTATCTAGGGACCTCAAAAGGAAAGGAATGTGCTTAACTCATAGTTATTTGATGGTACAAATCCATGGCTGGGCTTGGCTTTAAAAAAGTCTTATCTGGGATTGCTTCTATGGAACAGAGTTTCATCAAAGCCAATTTTAAAAACTATGTAAAAAATAGTCTTTCTGCACTTTATATAAATGACCTGGCCAAGTATAAAAAAGCAAATTGGTTCTACCATGATTTGTCTTTAGTAAAAATGGGAAATTGAAGAGAGAAAACTTATGTTTCAAAAACTTAGTAAACCTGTTGTTAGATTCTAGTCTTGCCTAATGTTTTTCAATGTTTACTGTTTTCTACAGTTTAGGCCAAATTCTAATTTTTCCTGGATACAAGTCTCTAAAATAATGTTTCTATTTTTTCCTTCTTTCTTTTCTTTCTTCCCCATATTTTTAAATTTGAAATCACTGAAAATTAAGCTGTGGCTTCTTAAAGCCCTGTGAACTGAAGCTAGAAAACTTAAACTTCAAAGGAAAATAACAACAACCTATTCACATAAATAAGCCACTTTTATACCTGCATACTGATGTATGGACTTCAGAATAATGTGGTCCATATTAATTTTCCAGAATTGTTCTTTTGTTTGTTGTTGGGTCAGCAAAGTGGCTCACACCTGTAATCCCAGCACTTTGGGAGGCCAAGGTGGGTGAATCACCTGAGGTCAGGAGTTAGAGTCCAGCCTAACCAATATGGTAAAACCCCATCTCTACTAAAAATACAAAAATTAGCCCAGTGTGTTAGTGTGCACTTGTAATCCCAGGTACTTGGGAGGCTGAGGTGGGAGAATCACTTGAATCCAGGAGTGGGAGGCTGCAGTGAGCCTAGACTGTGCCACTGCACTCCAGCCTGAGTGAGAGAGCGAGGCTCCATCTCAAAAAAAAAAAAAAAAAAAAGAAAAGAAAAAAGAAAAGTAAAAGATAATTGAACTATACCCATAAAGAGATAAGGCATAAGAATTATATAATGAATTTGAGGACACGGGGAAGGGTGGAAGGGTGCGAGGGATAAAAGACTACACATTGGGTAAAGTGTGCACTGCTCAGGTGAAAGCTGCACCAAAATCTCAGTAATCACCACTAAGAACTTACCTATGTAACCAAATACACGCAGAGTAAAAGCCAAAGTCCTTACAAGATTTATAAAGCCTTACATAATCTGGCTCCTTTATCTCTCTGATTGTCATTTTTTCCACTCTTCTCCTTGCTTTCTCATGTTCAGCAAATGCTGGTAAGGATGTGGAGCAACAGGAACTCTCCTCATTGATGGTGAAAATGCAAAATGTTACAGCCACTTTGGAAGACCATTTAAAAGTTTCCTAACAATCCAAACATACTCTTACTATACAATTGAGCAATGGTGCTCTGTAGTATTTATCCAAAGGAGTTGAAAACTTTCTTTTCGTACAAAAACCTTCCCACGGATATTTGCAGCAACTTTATTCATAATTTCAGAAACTTGGAAGCAACCAAGATGTCCTTCAGTAGGTAAATGAATAAATAAACTGTAGTGCACCCAGACAATGAAATACTGTTCAGTACTAAATAAATGAGGTATTAAGCCATAAAAATGTGTGGAGAAACCTTAAATACGTATTACTAAGTGAAAAAAAAACAATCTGAAAAGGCTCTATGACTTAAACTATATGACATTCTTGATAAGGAAAAATTGTGAAGACAGTAAAAAGGTA
Source organism: Homo sapiens (assembly GCF_000001405.40). Classification (NCBI taxonomy): domain Eukaryota; kingdom Metazoa; phylum Chordata; class Mammalia; order Primates; family Hominidae; genus Homo; species Homo sapiens. The sequence goes on from NC_000023.11 coordinate 122,324,457, forward strand.
AGTGGTTGCTAGGATTTAGAAAGGAGGGAAGAATGAATAGGTGGAGCCCAGAGAAATTATAGGGGTGTGAGAATATTCTGTATGGTACTATAATAGTGGATGCATTATACATGCAAATTATACATTTGTGCAAACCCTTAGAACATACAATACCAAGAGTAAACCTAAGGTAAACCATGAACTTTGAGTAATTACGAGGTTTCCATGTAGGTTTACAATTCAAATGTAAATATACCAGTCTGGTTGGAAATGATGATAGTGTGGGAAACTGTGCATATGTCAGGGCAGGGATTATATGGGAAATCTGTATATCATCTTCATAATTTTCCTGTGAACCTAAAACTTCTCTTAAAAAAGTATTTTATCAAAAGATTAGAAAGCTATACACCAAAATGCATACATCAATCATGTATAGATTGTGCCATTACAAATAATTGTGTGCTTTTTCTGTATTTTTTTTTTTTTGAGACAAGGTCTGGCTGTATTGCCCAGGCTGGAGTGCAGTGGTGCAATCTTGGCTCACTGCAACCTCTGCCCCCAGGGCTCAAGCCATCCTCCCACCTTAGCCTCCCGAGTAGCTGCAACTACAGGTGTGTGCCACCTGGCTAATTTTTGTACTTTTTGTAGAGATGAGGTTTCACCTTGTTGCCCGAGCTGGTCTCAATCTCCTGAGCTCAAGAGATCAGCCCACATCAGCCTCTCAAAGTACTGAGATTACAAGTGTGAAACACTGCACTTGGCAGCTTTTCTGTGTTTTCTAATTTTAAAAAATGATTATGAATTACTTTTGTAATTCGTACAAAAACCTTTAAGTTTTATTTGAGTTAAAAATAGTATAATAGCCTTTTTAGCTGGCAATCTACATGTAATACAGCTAGTTTTCCTTTATCAGTCATATTAATAGTAGATTAATATTTTCTCAAATATTTGTTCAAAGTTTTATTAAAGCATTACATGTTCAATCACATTATTTCACCCAATCCTGGAAACAGGCAATCCCACTCAAATAAGCCTTCATTATATCATGGTGCAGAGAGTTTTCGTCATCAGCCTAATATGTTAAGGACTTTCTGTAGACAAATATATTTCTTAGGATATGTATCATTTTCTTTGTTTAAAGGACAAGTATTTTTATTTTTTATTTGTTTTACTATTTTTTCTGTTCAACAAGGCTGACTAGGGACATCTGATGCCAGTTCACAGAAAGAGTAACAAAGATACCAGTGAACAGACAACATCTGAACAGAAAATTGAGGAAAGAGAGTAAAGACCGTTTGGATTGCCCATGGAAAGAAGCTGGAACGCAGAAACAAAAATCAGCAAGAGTCTGAAAGAAATCAACTCTAAGGAACTCAGAGCCCTATGGAAAGAATAGGTAGGAGTGCTTCTCTGCTCCTTTCACCCTTCAGACAATCTGCCAACCACTAAACTGTTGGAGAACCCCTCTTTTCTTGATGACCCAGGGCAACATTATTGGTTACAATCTGAGAACTTCCAGGGGACAGAGAACCAGGTGACCAGCTTGTGCAGGTGTGCCTTTTCTCCCTTCAGACCTGAACTGAAACAGCAGGAACTATATTGATTGTGCACCCATGGTGACACTCAGCTCTCCCTGGGGATTCTCTGTCCTTGAGCCACCACAACATCATATCCCCTGTAAACATACCCCACTACCTGCTCTGACTTTGGCAAGAACAGGGGACTGGTGGGTCCCCTGGGAACTGTGGGACTTGTGGAGATCTAACCCTCAGTGTGGGGTGCCATTAAGGGAGGGAGGAGTACAGTCTACCAAAACATCCCTTGGGACAAAGGAAATGTAGGAATGCAACCAATTACCTAAGGAGGCAGTACTGACACCCAGGAACAGACATGAAGAGGGGATCATCTACTCATCCTTCCCATACACCGTTACAGATACAGCAGTGGTTCCTCCCAGAAAGCACTCACTGAGTCTTTTTTTATGCTTTCTATGGTGGCTCCACTACCACTGAAAGTGAGCCTATGCCAGCTTGGGTTTCCATAAAGGATCAGGTACAACTACCCCTCCTTACACAAAGTGGCATGACCTTGGCAACAGAGGACAGACCACGAAGTTTCCTGCTCTGTATTGGGAGGAAAGGCTCTGCTCCAAGCCCTATATTGGTGGTAACCATCAGAGAGACATATCTGTGGCCCACAGCCACACTGAAGCCAGGAACCAAACGATAAAGTATAGCCTTTATAAACTGAAGTTCACGATCCCCACAACAGGGGCAACATGATTTCTTCCCACCAAACCCATAGGGGAAGACGAATTCACTCTGCACCAGCCTGCCTGCCAGCTCTTGCTCTTAAGTGCAATTTACTGAAATGCAGCCACCAAATAAAAAACTGGCTACCAAAAGGGGTTAGTGCTAGTCCACAAGATAAACTTCCTGAGACCTCCATACCCAAAGCCCTGCAGGAAATAGTGTGTCAGCTTTTGTATCCAATAGACTGCTACGACAAGTAGCATCTGAGAAAGCCACTACAAAGAAGCTATCCATAAACAAGGGACGAATGCAGAGCCTTGATCCCCTCAAAGCACCCAGAAAGGAAGCCAAACAACCATGACACAGCACACATCACAGTCATACCCTCGAGGGAAAAAAAATTAAAGCCTCACCCAAACAATAGTAAATGCATAAATGAGAAGTGACAGCTCCTTCAGATGAGAAGGAATCAACACAAGAACTCTGACCCAATGACCACAGAATATACATTCTTATCTGCACAAAGAACATTTTCTAAAATTGACCACATGCTCAGTCATAAAATAAGTCTCATTAAATTAAAAAAAAATTGAAATAATACCAAGCATCTTCTCAGACTACTATGGAGCAAAACTAGAAATTAATACCAAGAGTAACGCTTAAGACCACACAAATACATGGCAACCAAACAACTTGCTCTTGAATAACTTTTGAGTAAACAAATAAATTAAGGCAAAGATAAAAAATTATTTGAAACTGATATGGTTTGGCTCTTTGTCCCCACCCAAATCTTATCCCGAATTGTAATCCTCATAATCCCCATGCGTCGAAGGAGGAATTTCGTGGGAGGTGATTAGATCATGGAAGCAGTTTTCCCCATGCTGTTCTCACAATATTTAATGAGTTCTCACAAGATCTGATGGTTTTATAAGGCAGTTTTCTCTGCTCTCTCTTGCATTATTTCTCTGTTCTGCTTCCTTGTGAAGAAAGTGCCTGCTTCCCCTTCTGCCATGGTTGTAAGTTTCCTGAGGCCTCCCCAGCCATGCAGAACTGTGAATCCATTATGTCTCTTCCCTTTATGAATTACCCAGTCCTGGGTATTTCTTTATAGCAGTGTGAGAATGGACTGATACAGAAACAAACGAAAATAGAGATGCAACACAAACAAACTTTGGGATATAGCAAAAGCATTGTTAAGGAAAGTTTTTAGCACTTAACGCCTACATCAAGGACATAGAAAGATCTCAAATTAACAACCTAACATTGCACCTAAAGGAATTAGAAAATGAGAGCAAACTATACACAAACCTAGCAGAAGAAAAGAAATAGCAAAGATCGGAGCATAATTACACAAAATTGAGAACCAAAACACCATACAGAGAATAAATAAAATGGAAAATTGTTTTTTTGAAAGAATGTACAAGATCAATAAACCACTGGCTAGATTAATTAAGAAAAAAAAACAGAAGATCTAAATAAGCACAATCAGAAATGAGAAAGGTAACATTATGATTTATACCATCAAAATACAAAAGATCCTCAGAGATTGCTATGAACATCTCTAATCTAGTATGTGCACAAACTAGAAAACCTAGAGGAGATTGACACATTTCTTAAAAAACACAACCTTCCAAGATTGAGCCAGGAAGAAATTCAAATCCTGAACAGCCAAATGAGTTACAAAATTGAATCAGTAATGAAATTTCTACCAATAAACAAAAAGCCCTGGACCAGAATAATTGACAGCCAAATTGTACCAGCTATACAAAGAAGAGATGGTACTAGTCTTAATAACACTAGTCAAAAAATTGAGGAGGAGAAATTCCTTCTTAACTCACTCTGTGAAACTAGTATCATCCTGATGCCATAACCTGGCAAGGGTACAACAACAAAAAAAGAAACCTACAGGCCAATATTCCTGATGAACACAGATGCAGTAATTCTCAACAAAATATGAGCAAACTGAATCCATCAGCACATCAAGAATTTAATTCATCATGATCAAGTGGGCTTTATTCCTGGGAGGCAGGGATGGTTCAACATACTCAAATCAAGAAAAGTATTTCATCATGTAAACATAATTTCAATAAATGAAAAAAAAATTCAATAAAATCCAACATTTCTTCATGATAAAAACCTTCAACAAACTAGGCATTGAAGAATCTTACCTCAAAATGATAAGAGTCATTTTCAACAAACCCACAGCAAACATCATAGTGAATAGGCAAAAGTTGGAAGCATTTTCCCTAATAACTGAAAAAAAGAAAAGGATGTCTACACTTCCCACTCCTATTCAACATAGTACTGGAAATCCTAGCCCGAGGTATCTTGCAAGAGAAATAAAAGGTATCCAGACAGAAAAAGAGGAAGTCAAATTACCTCTGTTTGTCAGTGGCATGATTGTATACCTAGAAAACCCTACGGATTCCTCCATAAGACTCCTAGACCTGATAAGCAACTTCAGTAAAGTTTCAGGATACAATGTCAAGGTACAAAAATCAGTAGTATTTCTACACACGAACAATGTTGAAGCTGAGAACAAATCAAGAATGCAATCCCAATTACATTTGGCAGAGAAAATGGAATACCTTGCAATACATTTACCTCATCTTGGAGAGATGAAATATCTCTACAAGGAGAAATAAAAAGGACTGATAAAAGAAATCATGAGTGTCACAAAAAAATGGGAAAATATTCTATGTTCATTGATTTCAAGAATGCATAATTCTTAAAAATGGTCATATTTATACCTTTACATTATTGAAGAGAAAATAAAAATAATTTAAAAAATGATATTTCCCAAAGCAATCTACAGATTCAACAAAATTCCTCTTAAATACCAATGTCATTTTCACAGAATTACTTTTAAGAAGTCAATTATAAGGTTCATATGGAACCCAAGAAGAGACTGAATAGCCAAATCAATCCTAAACAAAATGAACAAAGCCTGAGACATCATATTACCCATCTTCAAGCTATACTACAAGGCTATAGTAACCAAAGCCACATGCTACTGGTAGAAAAATACACACATAGTTCAGTAAAACAGAATAGAGAATGTAGAAATAAATCCACATACCTACAACCAACTGAACTTTGACGAAGTCTACAAAAATAAATAATGGAAAAACTATCCTCTATTCAACAAATCTTGCTGGGGAAACTGGTTAGCCATTTCCAGAATAATGAGACTGGACCCCTATCTCTCACCATACACAAAAATTAACTAAACATTGAGTAAAGATGTAAATGTAAGACCAGAAACCAGAAAAGTCCTAAAAGAAAACCTAGGAAAATTTTTCTGGACATTGGTCTAGGCAAATAATTTATGAGTAAGACCTCAAAAGCAAATGTAACATAAACAAAGACAAATAGGACATAATTAAACTAAAGTACTTCTGGACATAAAAAGAAGCAGTAAACAGATTAAACAGTCAACCTACAAAACGGAAATAAATATTTATGAACTATGCACCTGACAAAGTACTAATATCCAGAATCTATAAGCAATTTAAATCAACAAGAAAAAAATAACCCCATTAAAAAGTGGACAAAGGACTTGAACAGACAATTCTCAAAAGACATAAAAGTGGTCAACAAACATATAAAAATGTACAACATTTCTAACTGTCAGAGAAATACAACTCAAAACCACAATGAGATACCATCTCACATCAGTCAGAATGGCTACTATAAAAATAGCAAAAAATGACATATGTTGATGAGGATGTGCAGAAAAGGGAATGCATATATACTGTTGGTCAGAATTAGATTATTTTAGTAACTGTGGAAAGCAGTTTGGAGATTTCTAAAAGAACTTAAAACAGAACTACCATTTGACCCAGCAATCCCATTACTGGGTATATATCCAATAGAAAATAAATTATTCTACCAAAAAGACACATACACTGACATGTTTACTGTTGCATAATTCACAATAGCATAGTTATGGAATCAACCTCTGTGCCTATTAACAGTGGATAAGATAAACAAACTAAGGTACATACACACCTTAGACTATTACACAGCCATAAAAAAAGAATACAATCATGTCTTTTGCAGAAACATGGATGCAGCAAGAGGCCATTATCCTAAGTGAATCAAGACAGAAAAATAAAATCAAATACAGTGTGCTCTCATTTAAAAGTGGCAGGTAAACAAAGGGTAAATTATGGACATAAAGTTGGAAACAATAGACCCCGAGGATTACAGAAGGAGACAGGGAGGGAGGTGGGTAAGGTTTGAAAAACTGGGTACATAACGAAATGAAGGCAGAAATAAAGATGTTCTTTGAAACCAACGAGAACAAAGACACAACATACCAGAATCTCTGGGACACATTCAAAGCAGTGTGTAGAGGGAAATTTATAGCACTAAATGCCCACAAGAGAAAGCAGGAAAGATCCAAAATTGACACCCTAACATCGCAATTAAAAGAACTAGAAAAGCAAGAGCAAACACATTCAAAAGCTAGCAGAAGGCAAGAAATAACTAAGATCAGAGCAGAACTGAAGGAAATAGAGACACAAAAAACCCTTCAAAAAATTAATGAATCCAGGAGATGGTTTTTTGAAAGGATCAACAAAATTGATAGACCACTAGCAAGACTAATAAAGGAAAAAAGAGAGAAGAATCAAATAGACGCAATAAAAAATGATAAAGGGGATATCACCACCTATCCCACAGAAACACAAACTACCATCAGAGAATACTACAAACACCTCTACGCAAATAAACTAGAACATCTAGAAGAAATGGATAAATTCCTCGACACATACACCCTCCCAAGACTAAACCAGGAAGAAGTTGAACCTCTGAATAGACCAATAACAGGCTCTGAAATTGTGGCAATAATCAATAGCTTACCAACCCAAAACAGTCCAGGACCAGATGGTTTCACACTCTAATTCTACCAGAGGTACAAGGAGGAACTAGTACCATCCCTTCTGAAACTATTCCAATCAATAGAAAAAGAGGGAATGCTCCCTAACTCATTTTATGAGGCCAGCATCATCCTGATACCAAAGCCAGGCAGAGACACAACAAAAAAGAGAATTTTAGACCAATATCCTTGATGAACATTGACGCAAAAATCCTCAATAAAATACAGGCAAACCGAATCCAGCAGCACATCAAAAAGCTTATCCACCATGATCAAGTGGGCTTCATCTCTGGGATACAAGGCTGGTTCAATATACGCAAATCAATAAATGTAATCCAGCATATAAACAGAACCAAAGACAAAAACCACATGATTATCTTAACAGATGCAGAAAAGGCCTTTGACAAAATTCAACAACGCTTCATGCTAAAAACTCTCAATAAATTAGGTATTGATGGGACGTATCTCAAAATAATAAGAGCTATCTATGACAAACCCACAGCCAATATCATACCGAATGGGCAAAAACTGGAAGCATTCCCTTTGAAAACTGGCACAAGACAGGGATGCCCTCTCTCACCACTCCTATTCAACATAGTGTTGGAAGTTCTGGCCAGGGCAATTAGGCAGGAGAAGGAAATAAAGGGTATTCAATTAGGAAAAGAGGAAGTCAAATTGTCCCTGTTTGCAGACGACATGATTGTATATCTAGAAAACCCCATCGTCTCAGTCCAAAATCTCCTTAAGCTGATAAGCAACTTCAGCAAAGTCTCAGGATACAAAATCAATGTACAAAAATCACAAGCATTCTTATACACCAATAACAGACAAACAGAGAGCCAAATCATGAGTGAACTCCCATTCACAATTGCTTCAAAGAGAATAAAATACCTAGGAATCCAACTTACAAGGGATATCAAGGACCTCTTCAAGGAGAACTACACACCACTGCTCAATGAAATAAAAGAGGATACAAAGAAATGGAAGAACTTTCCATGCTCATGGGTAGGAAGAATCAATATCGTGAAAATGGCCATACTGCCCAAGGTAATTTATAGATTCAATGCCATCCCAATCAAGCTACCAATAACTTTCTTCACAGAATTGGAAAAAACTACTTTCAAGTTCATATGGAACCAAAAAAGAGCCCGCATTGCCAAGTCAATCCTAAGCCAAAAGAACAAAGCTGGAGGCATCATGCTACCTGACTTCAGACTATACTACAAGGCTACAGTAACCAAAACAGCATGGTACTGGTACCAAAACAGAGATATAGATCAATGGAACAGAACAGGGCCCTCAGAAATAATGCCACATACCTACAACTATCTGATCTTTGACAAACCTGAGAAAAACAAGCAATGGGGAAAGGATTCCCTATTTAATAAATGGTGCTGGGAAAACTGGCTAGCCATATGGAGAAAGCTGAAACTGGATCCCTTCCTTACACCTTATACAAAAATTAATTCAAGATGGATTAAAGACTTAAACGTTAGACCTAAAACCATGAAAACCCTGGAAGAAAACCTAGGCATTACCATTCAGGACATAGGCATGGGCAAGGACTTCATGTCTAAAACACCAAAAGCAATGGCAACAAAAGCCAAAATGGACAAACGGGATCTAATTAAACTAAAGAGCTTCTGCACAGCAAAAGAAACTACCATCAGAGTGAGCAGGCAAGCTACAAAATGGGAGAAAATTTTCACAACCTACTCATCTGACAAAGGGCTAATATCCAGAATCTACAATGAACTCAAACAAATTCACAAGAAAAAAACAAACAACCCCGTCAAAAAGTGGGCAAAGGACATGAACAGACACTTCTCAAAAGAAGACATTTATGCAGCCAAAAAACACATGAAAAAATGCTCACCATCACTGGCCATCAGAGAAATGCAGATCAAAACCACAATGAGATACCATCTCACACCAGTTAGAATGGTGATCATTAAAAAGTCAGGAAACAACAGGTGCTGGAGAGGATGTGGAGAAATAGGAACACTTTTACAGGGTTGGTGGGACTGTAATCTAGTTCAACCATTCTGGCAGTCAGTGTGGTGATTCCTCAGGGATCTAGATCTAGAAATACCATTTGACCCAGCCATCCCATTACTGGATATATACCCAAAGGACTATAAATCGTGCTGCTATAAAGACACATGCACACGTATGTTTATTGCGGCACTATTCACAATAGCAAAGACTTGGAACCAACCCAAATGTCCAACAATGATAGAGTGGATTAAGAAAATGTGGCACATATATACCATGGAATACTATGCAGCCATAAAAAATGATGAGTTCATGTCCTTTGTAGGGACATGGATGAAATTGGAAATCATCATTCTCAGTAAACTATCGCAAGAACAAAAAACCAAACACCTCATGTTCTCACTCATAGGTGGGAATTGAACAATGAAAACACATAGAAACAGGAAGGGGAACATCACACTCTGGGGACTGTTGTGGGGTCGGAGGAGGGGGGAGGGACAGCATTAGGAGATATACCTAATGCTAAATGACGAGTTAATGGGTGCAGTACACCAGCATGGCACATGTATACATATGTAACTAACCTGCACATTGTGCACATGTACACTAAAACTTAAAGTATAATAATAATAAAATTTTAAAAAAACAAAAACAAACAAAAGAGAAAAACTACCTATTGGATACTATGTTCACTATTTGGTTGATGGGCTCAATAGAAGCCCAAGCCCCAGAATAATGGAGTATACCCATTCAGTAAACCTGCAAAGCTAGCCCCTGAATCTAAAGTTAACAAAAAAGGCTATTTATTTCTTTATTTTTGTTGGTGGTAGTGTATTGTTTTGTTTTTATCAAAATCATCATCTCTTGTGACTTGGAAAATAAACAAGCTTGTAGTAAGGCCATCATTGCACAACTGAGAATAAATATCTGGATCCTTAGAAATTTCTATGGACAGTACCTAAGATGGGGTGTCATAATCACTAAGTATATAAGCAACATAGGTACTTATTCTCCTATTACACTGCTTCAGATCATTCTCTTTTCTGCATGATACAAATCTTTAGCAGGTCCATGTGCTTCATTTCATGGCATTAATACTGGCTTCTACTATCTTAAAAGTTTTCATGTGTCAGCTTCACTGGCTTAGAATTTTGGCTTACAATTTTTGTCTTATATTGGGTAACTTACTCCCAGCCTATTTATCTTTCCATTCCTAACAAAGCAGCCCTAGTAATTCTCTCCAAAGCGTCACAGAATGAATAAAATAATGTACGCAGTACTTCCTTGCAAAAGATTAACTGCGTTCTCCATCTCCCATCTATTAATCCAAGGAAGAGGCCAAATAAATTAAAGAGAGTTGGTGCATAGAGGTTGGTGACATAATTAGAGAACAGTTATTCAAAGGCAGCCATTACCAGTACTGTGCTGGTAAACCAGTTCTGTGGGGGCAGGGGGAAAGAGCCCTGAGTTGTAGCATTTGCCTATTTCTATTTTGCAAATACATCCTCCATGACTGTATTAGTAAGGGTTCTCTAGAGGGACATAACTTTGTATATATATAAAGGCGAGTGTATTAAGTATTAACTCACATAATCACAGGGCTCCACAATCGGCCGTCTGTAGGCTGAGGAGCAAGAAGAGCCAGTACAAGTTCCAAAACTGAAGAACTTGGAGTCCAATGTTCAAGGGCAGGAAGGATCCAGCACAGGAGAAAGATGTAGACTGGGAGTCTAGGCCAGTCTCTCTTTTTACACTGTCCTGTCTTCTTACAGTCTAGCCATGCTGGCAGCTGATTAAATTGTGCTCACTCAGATTAAGGGTGGGTCTGCCTTTCCCAGCTCAGGGACTCAAATGCTAATCTCCTATGGCAACATCCTCACAGACACACCCAGGATCAAAACTTCGTATCCTTCAATCCAATCAAGTTGACACTCAGTATTAACCATCACAAGTCCACCCCTTGTTAACTTGAATCCATACACATCTCCTGAGATTATACATAATCTTCAAATAAAGACAATAATGTCATAATTACACCTAACATAATACAACTATCCTTCCTACAACCAGAAACACACTAATCCCCAACCCAAATACTATTAGATAAAGTTAGCAATAATAAGTATTGTTACTGTTGCTGATGGGAAGTCAATAAAGCTTATGTCACATGCTAAGGGAGAAAGGAAATAAAATGAAGGTATTTTCTTAATACAAGTATATATATGTACAAACATGTTTTTAACAAAAGAATGAGGAAGTACTCATGACAATTACAGTCCTCATTTCTGCAGCTGGTCACGTGGTCATAGAGAGCATTGATGACTACCTTCTTCTACTACCCATTCTGTATTCTCTTTGCCTTCAGCAAGCACCTCAGCAGGTTTTTTTTTCTTTTTTTTTTCTGTTTTTCCTGGTGGACTAACACTAACCTTTATTCCTGAAGGGTCTGGGTCATTTGTATTCCTGCCTGAAATGGGATGTTGTAGTTTCCCATTGACCTTAATCACAGGTCATGGTAATACTAAGAGGCACGCTAAGGGATCTCCTGTATTCCATGCATACTCTTCCTTACCTCCATTGTGGAGTAGTACACTGATTTCATCTTGATAGTCTGGGTTAATCACCCCAGCCAACACTGTAACTCCCTTCTTAGCCTGTTGATTTAAAGGTAGGAGGAGCCCAAAGTGGCCAAGTGGCACTCTGAATTTCCAGTTTAATGGAATTTTTGTTGTGTCTCCTGGTGGCAGCATTCCTCTCTCTGGAACTAAGACCTCTAGGCCAGCAGAACAAAATGTCACGGTAAAAGGAAGCAAAAATTTTGCTAGTGGATCACTAGGGAAGATGGTGAGTGGTGCCACTTCCACTTTCACCCCTTGATTTCTGGACCTGTGAATCCTAGCTGTGAAAGAAACAGTCTCATATATTGGACACTGATTCAGAGCATACATGGCCTTCTGGAGAACTTTGCCCCAGCCCTGCAAAATTTGCCACCTAGTTGGCATTGTAATTGTGACTTCAAAAGGCTGTTCCAACAATCTATCAATCCAGCTGCTTCAGGATGATGGGGAACATGGTAAGACCAGTGAATTCTATGAGGATGAGACCACTGCCACACTTCTTTAGTCATAAAGTGAGTGCCTTTGTCAGAGGCAATGTTATGTGGAATAACGTGATGGTGGATAAGGTATTCTGATTCCATGGATGGTATTTTTGGCAGAAGTATTGAATGTAAGACAGGCAAACCCATATCTGGAGTGTCTATTCCAGTGAGGACAAACCTCTGCCCTCACAAACCTATTTCACAAGGCATTGGTCAAGGGTATATAATCTGGACCCTCCCAGCTGGGATGAGTAGGTCTAAAGTGACTAGTCCACTCCACCATCCCAATCTCCCTAAGCCTTTGGATCCCTTCCTCTACATTAAACCAAGGGAGATCAGGCATTTCCAGATTGCTCACAGTGGGCCATCTTTTAATCCATATTTTAGCTAACCAAGCAAATAAACTATTAGAACATTTTTTAACTCCCCAAGCTGCAACATTAAATGCAGGGTCCCTATTTAGTGGGCCCAAAGCAATAAATTCAGCCTGATCCAACTCTATGTTCCTTCCACCATTGTCGCACAACTTTAATATCCATTCCCATGTCTGTTCTCCAGGTTTCTGTTTATATAAATTAGAGAACTCAAACAGTTCTTTTCGAGTGTAGTGCGCCTCCTCATGGGTCACACTCTCAACCTCACCTCTAGGGGTCCGCTGGGACTTTAGTCTAGTTATAGGTCCAGAAGCAAACAGGGGTGTTGGGGGTGGCTCCTGAGGAGAATCAATATTATTTTGCCTGGCAACTGCCTCAGGGGAGGCCATCACTATTGCCTCAGGCAGCACAGGGTTTATCTCCTCAGATAAAGGTGGAAAGGCTGACGGCAGCACGGATTGGGGAGGGGATGTTGCCACTACTGGGGTGGGGAAGCTCTTTCTTCTGGCAAAAAAGGTTCATCAGAGTTTGCAAACTCAGTGTCCCCAGATTCATCAGGGTCCTCACACATGTCCTCATTCCAAGTTTCAGGGTGAAATTCTTTTCCAATCAATGCCCTCACGTTAACAGTAGACACCTGGCGAGGCAGTGCATGCACCTTTCTTTGCAGGTCAGCCACTAGCATGATAAGAGCTTGTGTCAGTTTTTCCATAATTTCAGCTATTCCTCTACAGGAGATAAGACTCTTACTCAGGGCAGTCTTAGCAGATTTGAGACTCAGTGCCTGTTTCTGAAGCTGGGAGATAGAATCCCTAAGTTCATCATTTTCTTTCATCACTTTGTCCACTGAACTTAGGAGCAACCAACCAGCTTCACTATGTTCCTTGATTCTCCACATATGGTCAAACGTATTATATAGAGTCACTAAACTCCTTGCCTCTCATGAGTGATGAATCAGGAGTGTCAAATGCATTTATTTTGCATAACTTTCTAAACAGTTCACGCCAAGGACTATCAGTGTTCTTCATACTATTAGAAGTAGAGTCCTTAGCAATTTTGGGTCTAATCAAATTAAGCAGCCAACTCCAGAAACCCCAAAACCAATTAAAGAACTCCATATTTAATATCCTCTTCCTCTAGAACCACTCCTGGTACCAAAATCTGTATTAGTCAGGGTTCTCTAGAGGGACAGAACTAATGGAATATATATATAAATGGGAATTTATTAAGTGTTAACTCACAGTATCACAAGGTTCCACAATAGGTTGTCTGCAGGCTGAGGAACAAGGAGAGCCAGTCCGAGTTCCAAAACTGAAGACCTTGGAGTCTGACGTTTGAGGGCAGGAAGCATCCAGCACGGGAGAAAGATGGGAGGCTGGGAGGCTAGGCCAGTCTCTCTTTGTACATTTTTCTGCCTGCTTATATTCTAGCCACGATGGCAGCTGATTAGATTGTTCCCACCCAGATTAAGGGTGGGTCTGCCTTTCCCAGTCCACTGACTCAAATGTTAATCTCTTTTGGTAGCCACTCTTACAGAAACATTCAGGATCAAAACTTTGTATCCTTCAATCCAATCAAGTTGACACTCAGTATTAACCATTACAATGACTAATATCAAGGTACTAGTGTGACATTGCTTACATGTGGGAAGATGTGGTAAAAATTGGCTCTCCATATAAGCAGTCTTCATATTTCACTGTTACTTTGGGATAACCTACTGAATTATAATATGTTTTACTTTGTTAATCATTTGTACTTCAGTAAAATCTATGCTAAGTATTTCTCTAACCATGATTAGGGTACTTGGACAAACAGCACCTTGCCACAAAGTTTTCAAAATGTAGAAGTCTAGGTCCCATACCAGACTTAGAAATGTACCTTAACATTAATAATTTTAACATCTCTCCAGATTATTCTGATCTACACTAAAGTTTGCTATGCAGTGTCTCAAATGCTCAGTTCCATTTAGCTAACATGCAAATATGTACAATTGGAAACTGAAACAGCAAAAGCTGCTAATGTTCAGTCCTCCAAAAGAGTAGATTAATGGTTAATACCATAATCTCCAAAATATCTGTCCTCATCAAATTTAATAAAAATATTTATCTTCATTTTCTCCAGTTTAGAATGGAATTCAAAGAATACATTCTGTATTTTTTTGCTAGTACAGCCATAGCAAATTATCACAGACTGGGTGGCTTAAACTAGAGAAATTTATTTTCTCACAGTTCTAGAGGCTAGAAATTCAAGGTCAAGATGTTAGAAGAGTTGGATTTTCTTGTGCCTCTCTTCTATGGTTGTACTTTTTTTTTTCCACGTGGTCTGATATTGGTTGCATGTCTGTGTCCTAATCTCCTCTTATAAGGCCAGTAATATTGCAGTATACCCTACTCCAATGACCTCTTTTAACGTTAATTGTCTTTTTAAAGGTGATATATTTAAATACAGTTACATTATGAGGCACTGGAGATCAGGACATCAACAAATGAATTTGATGAACATATAATACAACCCATAAAAATTTGCAAATAAACTCTAAGTAAAAAAATATGTAGGAATTTATATAGAGCCATTATATGTGACACAGAGATTTAAGCCTTAGAATATTGAATCATCTTAGCTGAAATATATCTGGCATCAACACATGTTAGTATCTCTGTCACACTGAGCCATCAGCTTGCAGAATGTCTCTGGCATGAATCCAAACACACAGTACTTTAAATTTCATGGAACAATTTATTCACTTAAAAAGATGAGGACTAATTTATAAACATCACTTAAATGGCTGAGGGCAAAATTGTACTTATTCTTCAGTTGATCAACATTTTGATTAATAATATTGGGGTTGTGGGGCAATCTGTTATTGAATAACAATCTGAAACCTGTTATGGTTTGTACAATGCTATTCATAATAGATATAATTTGCACCCTCTAACATAAGAAATTTGCCAAAGAAGAGATGCTATTGATAGACTGTATCAATGCATTTTCATACCGCTTTGAAGAAATACCTGAGACTGGGTAATTTATAAAGAAAAAAGGGTTTAACAGACTCACAGTTCCACATGGCTGGGAGTGCCTCACAATCATGGCAGAAGGCAAAGGAGGAACAAAGGCACATCTTACATGGGAGCAGGCAAGAGAACATGTACAGGGGAATTGCCCTTCATAAAACCACCATATCTAGTGAGACTTATTCACTATCATGAGAAAAGTCACCCCATGATTCAATTACTTCCCACTAGGTTCCTCCCATGACATGTGAGTATTATGGGAGCTACAATTCAAGATGCGATTTGGGTGGGGACCAAGCAAAACCATATCATTCTGCCTCTGGCCCCTCCCAAATCTCATGTCTTCACATTTCGTAACCAATCATGCCTTCACAACAGTCCCTCAAAATCTTAACTCATTTTGGCATTAAGTCAAAAGTCCACAGTCCAAAGTCTAATGGCAAATCTCTTCCACCTAGGAGCCTGTAAAATCAAAAGCCAGTTAGTTACTTCCTAGCTACAATGGGGGTACAGGCTTTGGGTAAATACACCCAATCCAAGTGGAATAAATTGGCCAAAACAAAGGGGTTACAGACCCCATGCAAGTCCAAAATCCAGCAGGGCAGTCATTAAATCTTAAAGCTCCAACATAATCTCCTTTGACCCCAAGTATCACATCCAGGGCACGTTGATGCAAGAGGTGGGTTCCCATGGTATTTGGTAGCTCTACCTCTGTGGTTTTGCAGAGTTCATTCCCCCTTCCCGGCTGCTTTCCCAGGCTGGTGTTGAGTGACTGCAGCTTTGCCAGGCACACGGTACAAGCTGCCAGTGAATCTACCAGTCTGGGGTCTGGAGGATGATGGCCCTCTTGTCATAGCTCCACTAGGCAGTGCCCCTGTTTGGAATCTGGGAGGGGGCTCCGACCCCACGTTTACCTTCCCCACTGCCCTAGCAGAGGTTCTCCATGAGTACTATACCTCTGAAGCAAACTTCTGCCTGGACATCCAGGCATTTCCCTACATCTTCTGAAATCTAGGCAGAGGTTCCTAAACCTCAATTCTTGTCTTCTACACACTCACACGACCAACATCATGTGGAAGCTGCTGAGGCTTGAGGCTTACAGCCTCTGAAGCCACAGCCCAAGCTGTACCTTGGCCCCTTTTAGTTATGGCTGGTGTGGCTGGGATGCAGGACACCAAGTCCCTAGGCCCTAGGCTGCACACAGCAGAGGGGCCCTGGATCCCATCCAGAAAACCCTTTTTACCTCCTAGGCCAGGCCTGTGATAGGAGGGGCTACTGCAAAAGTCTCTGACATACCCTGGAAACATTTTCTCTATTGTCTTGGAGACTAGCATTTGATTCCTTATTACTTATGCAAATTTATGCAGCCAGCTTGAGTATCTCCCCAGAAAATGGGTTTTTCTTTTCTACTGCATCATCAGGCTGCAAATTTACTCAAACTTTTATGCTCTGCTTCTTTTTGAACACTTTTCTGCTTAGAAATTTCTTCCACCAGATATTCTAAATTATGTCTCTCAAGTTCAAAGTTTCACAGATCTCTAGGACAGGTGCAAAATGTCACCAGTCTTTTTGCATAGCAAAAGTGACCTTGACTCCAGTTCCCAACAAGTTCCTCATCTCCATCCGAAACCACCTTAGCTTGGACTTCATTGTTCATATCACTGTCAGCATTTTGGTCAAAGCCATTCAACAAGCCTCTAGGAAGGTCCAAACTTTCCCACATTTTCCTATCTTCTTCTGAGCCCTCCAAACTATTCCAACCTCTGCCTGTTACTCAGTTCCAAAGTGGCTTCCAAGTTTTTGAGTATCTTAATAGCAGTACCTCACTCTACCAGTACCAATGTACTGTATTAATCTATTTTCATGCTGCGATGGAGAAATACCCAAGACTGAGTAATTTGTAAAGAAAAAAAGGTTTAATGGGCTCACAGTTGCACATGGCTGGGGAGCCTCACATTCATGGCAGGAGGTGAAGGAGGAGCAAAGGCACATCTTACATGGCAGCAGGCAAGAGAGCACGTGCAGTGGAACTGCTGTTTATGAAACCATCAGATCTTGTGAGACTTATTGACTGTCATGAGAACAGCATGAGAAAACCCACATCCATTATTTAATTACCTTTCACCAATGACACATGGGGTTACAGGAGCTGTGTCCCCACCCAAACCATATCAGCGATTTTGATTTTTTTCTCACATAGCCTTAAAATACATTGTTCAATTCTGGATGGATCTTCTATTACTAAGTCTCTTGCCTTACTGCATAGTATACAAAATTTGTGTGTCAAGCTTGTGATTTCAAATAATCACCATGAGTGCTTTACCATTCACTCATTTATTTCTTCATTCAACATCAAACAAATATTTGTTGGGCAGCTATTGTATATTTATGTGTGAAGAGCTGGAGAGTACAGATGTGAGTAAGTCATGGTCCTGTATTAGTCCATTTTCCACACTGCTATAAAGAACTATCAGAGACTGGCTAATTTATAAGGAAAAAAATAATTTACTCACAGTTCCACATGCCTGGGGAGGCCTCATAAAACTTGTAATCATGGTAGAATGCAAAGGGGGAGCAAGGACCTTCTTCATATGGCAGCAGGAGAGAGAGAGGAGAGACGGGGGAAACTGCCAAACACTTGGAAACCACCAGATCTCATGAGATCTCACTCTCTGTTATAAAAAAAGCATGGGGGAAACTGTTCTCATGATTCAGTCACCTCCTTCCAGGTCCCTCCCTCGACATGTGAGGATTATAATTAGAGATGAGATTTGAGTGAGGACACAAAGCCAAACTACATAATTCTGCCCCTGTCCCCTCACAAATATCATGTCCTTCTCACATTTCAAAACACAATCATGCCTTCCCAACAGTCCCCCACAGTCTTAACTTATTCTGACATTTACTCAAAAGTCCAAGTCCAAAGTTTCATCTGAGACAAGGCAAGTCTCTTTCACCTATAAGCCTGTAAAATAACAATAATAAAAAGTTAGTTACTTCCAAGACACAATAGAGGTACAGGCATTGGGTAAATGTTCTCATTCCAAAAGGGAAAAATTGGCCAAAACAAAGGGGCTACAGGCCCCACACAATTCTGAAAA
Source organism: Homo sapiens (assembly GCF_000001405.40). Classification (NCBI taxonomy): domain Eukaryota; kingdom Metazoa; phylum Chordata; class Mammalia; order Primates; family Hominidae; genus Homo; species Homo sapiens. Next base: position 122,343,154 of record NC_000023.11, read on the forward strand.
CCAGCAGGGCAGTCATTAAATAGTAAAGCTCTAAAATAATCTGCTTTGACTCTATGTCTCTTATCCAGGGCATGTGCTGCAAGAGGCAAGCTCCCCCGACATTGGGCAGCTCTGCTCCTGTGGCTTTGCAGGGTACAGCCCCCAAGACTGCTTTCACAGCCTGGCATTTAGTGCCTGCAGCTCTTCCAAGTGCATGGTGCAAGCTGTTGGTGGATTTAACATCTTGAGGTCGGGCGGATGGTGGCCCTCTTTTTAAAGTTCCACTAGGCAGTGTCCCAGTAGGGACTCTGTGTGGGGGCTCCAACCCCACATTTCCCCTCTGCACTGCCTGAGTAGAGATTCTCTATGAGAGTTCTTCCCCTGCAGCAGACTTCTGCCTGGACATCTAGGTGTTTCCACACATCCTCTGAAGTATAGGCAGAAGTTCCCAAAACTCAACTCTTGCTTCCTGAGCACCTGCACACCCAAAACCACTTGGAAGCCACCAATGCTTGGGGCTTGCACCCTCTGTAGCAACATCCCAAGCTGTACCTTGGCCCCATTTAGCCATGGCCAGAGCTAGAGTGGCTGGGATGCAGGGTCCCATGTCTCGAGGGTGTACAGAAGAGCAGGGCCCTGGGCCCTGCCCACAAAACTATTTTTCCCTCCTAATCAGCTGGGTATGTGATGGGAGGGACTGCCATGTAGATCTCTGAAATACCCTGGAGACATTTTTCCCATTATCTTAGCTATTAGTGTTATAGGTAGACAGTCTTGAATGGGGGCAAGAGAGGGCTCTCCCCCATCCACTAAGAATGTTGAGTGATGGTTCTACAATTATCACATTGCTTCTCTAAAAGTGATAAATTGGCAGTCAGTGCCAGGAAGAGGCCATTTTCTTACGATCCAAATCTATTGCACTGAAGTGTTAATTGACTGCAGATGCCAGGGAGAAGCAACTTCCTGGGCATGTGCATTAACAAACAACATGGCCATGGAATACTATGAAGTCATAAAAAAGAATTAGTTCATGTCCTTTGCAGGGACATGGATGAAGCTGGAAGCCATCATTCTCAGCAAACTAACACAGGAACAGAAAACTAAATTCCACATGTTCTCACTCCTAAGTGGGAGTTGAACAATGAGAACACATGGACACAGGGAGGGGAACATCACACGCTGGAGCCTGTCAGGGGTTGGGGGGAAATGGGTGGGAGAGCATTAGAACAAATACCTAATGCGTGTGGGGCTTAAAACCTAGATGATGGGTTGATAGGTGCAGCAAACCACCATGGCACATGTATACCTATGTAACAAACCTGCACATTCTGCATATGTATCCCAGAACTTAAAGTAAAAAATAAATAAATAAATAAATAAAAATAAAAAGAGACAACATGGCAGAGTACAACTTTTCAGGCACACACCACCAGAAAAGGGAAGAAAGCCTCAGATGGGCATTCATACAAGTTCCTATGCACACTGCATGTGCTTATCTCACCAGGCTAAGGAGGGAACTGCACATGTGGGCAGTCCAGCCTAAGAGAAGAATATTGGGAAAGGGACCAGTCTATAAAGCCCTAGGATCAAGGTTAGACACCACACTTGTCCTTCAAACTGCCCACTTGGATCTCTTCCAAGTGTACTTTCTTTTCTTTCCTATCCTAAAGTCTTTTTAAATAAACTTCCGCTCCTGCTCTGAAACTTGTCTCAGTCTCTTTTTCTGCTTTATGCCCCTCAGTAGAATTATTTCTTTTGAGGACGCAAGAATTGAGGCTGCTGTAGACCCATAAGGATTCGCCACTGGTAACTCAGATACCTTCCCTCAGTAACATTAACATTTGGCTTCTCTTTACTTATGCAAATTTCTGCAGCTGACAGCTTGAATTTCTCCCCAGAAAATTGGTTTTTCTTTTCCACCACATGGTCAGGCTGCAAATTTTTCAAACTTTTAGGCTCTTCTTCCCTTTTAAACATAAGTTCCAATTTCAGATCATCTCCTTGTGAGCACATATGACTGTACACTTTCAGAAAAAGCCAGGTCACATCTTGAATGCTTTGCTACTTAGAAATTTCTTCTGCCAAATACCATAAATCTTTTCCCTCAAGTTTAAAGTTCCAAAGATCTCTAGGGAAGGGGCAAAATGCCACCAATCTCTTTGCTAAAATATAACAAGTGTGACCTTTGCTCCAGTTCCTGATAAGTTTCTCATCTCCATTGGAGACCACCTCAGCCTGGACTTTATTGTCCATATCATTATCAGCATTATGGTCAAAACCATTCAGCAAGTCTCTAGGAAGTTCCAAACTTTCCCACATCTTTCTCTATTCTTCTGAACTTTCCAAACTGTTCCAGCCTCTGCCCATTACCCTGTTTAAAATCACTTCCACATTTTCAGGTTATTTTCATAGCAATACCCCACCACCTGGTACCAATTTCCTGTATTAGGCCATTTTTACCCTGCAACAAATAACTACCCAAGACTGGGTAATTTATGATGAAAAAGGTTTAATTAACTCACAGTTCTGCATGGCAGGGGGACCTCAGGAATCTTATAATTATGGTGGAAGGTGAAGGGGAAGCAAGGACCTTTTTCACTTGGAGGCAGGAGAGAGACAGAGAGCAAGGGTGGAACTGCCAACTGCCAAACACTTTCAAACCATCAGATCTCATGAGAAGTCAGTTTCTATCATGAAAACAGCATGAGGGAAACTGCCCTCATGATCCAATCACCTCCTGTGAGCTTCCTCCCTCAACATGTGGGGATTCCAATTTGAGATGAGATTTGGGTAGTGACACAAAGCCAACCCGTATCAGTTCTGTCCTCAAAGCTCAAAGTTTGATGTAGGATACAAGTAATGAAAATGTGCTATGATAGACATAGGATCAGAGTGTTAGAGAGGAAGAAAAGATATCGATTAGCTTTGCTTGACATAAGTAAGAGATGTCTCATAGAGCAGTGGTCTCCAACCTTCTTGGCACCAGGCACTGGTTTTGTGGAAGACAGTTATTCCATGGGAGGAGGGGGAGATGGTTTTGGCATGAAACTTTTCACCTCAGATCATCAGGCATTAGATTCTCATAAGGAGTATAAAACTTAGATCCCTTGCATACACAGTTCACAGTAGGGTTCACACTCCTATAAGAATCTAATGGTGGCTCTGATCCGATAGGAGGCAGAGCTCAGGTGGTAATGCTTGCTCACTTGCTGCTCACCTTCTGCTGTATGGTCCACTTTCTAACAGGCCATGGACTAGTACAAGTACATGGCCAAGAGGTTGGGGATCCCTTTCATAGAGGGTATTATCTTTTATCTACATCTTAAAGAATGTTTGGAAGGTTGCTAATGAGAAAAAGGGAGAAAGTCCACTGTAATGACAGCAAATAGCATGCAAAACACAATGTTACTTAAGAAAATTGCAACTGATTTAGAAATGTAATAGTGAGTGATGGATCCTAAAATTGTAGACTAGATGATCCTAAAAATGTACACAAAGTTCCTTCAGAACTTTGTATAATATCCTAAGGAATTTGAATTTTATTCCAGAAGCAAAAATAGGTTTTAGCTGCGAAGTAACATGGTTAGATTTGTGTTTTAGAAAAGCCTCGAAACTGGGCCACTGTTCTTCCCCTACTCCAAATTTCTTCCTCACATACTTCTTCATCTCAGTTAATTCCATCTTTCCAGCTACACATGCTAGAATCCTTGGAGTTATACTTGGATTACATTTTCTTTTATGCTGTACGTTCTTTCAGGATATCCTCTAAATTATATTGTAAAATTATACCCACAACCTCAACACATCTCACTCCCCTTTACTGCTACCAAGTCACCATCAAGTATTACTTGGATCAATGCAATAGCCTACTAATTTGTCTGTGTTTCTATTTTTGCCCTCCCATGGGTTTGTTCTGAATATAGAAGTCCTAGCAGTCCTGTCAAAATGTTAGATAGAATGATTAAGATCTTGTATTTGATAGTACAACAGAATGACTACAGTCAAAAATAATTTATTGTACATTTAAAAATAACTAATAGAGTGGAATTGGAATCTTCCTAACACAAAGAAATAGTAAATGATTAAGGTGATGGATACACAGTTACTCTGATGTGACTATTATACATTGTATGCCTGTATCAAAACATCACATGTACCCTATAAATATGTACACCTACTATGCACCTATAAAATAAAAAAATAAATTATATATAATTTAAGAATAAATAAATGAATAGTAACTACTAAAAATGTTATTCAGATCATGTTACTTTTCTGCTCATATCTAACCATTGGCTTCCTATCTCACTCAGAGTACAAGTCAAAGTCCTTACAATGAACTACGAAGTCTTAAATAATCTGAGTACCTCTTAGTTCTCTGACTTCATCAGTAACTATTCATTTCCCCCCCCATTTTTTCTGCCACAGATTCATTGGCCTCCTTGCTGTTCCTAGACTATGCCAGGAACATTTCCACCTGAGGGGTTTTGCAGTTGCTGTTTTCTCTATCAGAAATGCTCTTCTCCCAGATATCTGTATGAGTCTTTCCCTCACCTATTCAATCATAGGTCACTATGGTGTAAGTTTTAAACATCCTATTCAAAATTTCAACCATTCTTTAGCACTGTTATTCACCTTCCTTTTTTTTCCCATGACATTTATTACCTCATGGTATGCTATATCATTTAATTATTTATCCTACTCATTTTTGTGATCTCCCACTAGAATATAAGCTCCATGAAGGCAAAATTTTGATTTAATTTTTGAGTATAACACAATTCCTAGAAAAGTACCTGGAGTAGAAAGAGTTTAATAAATATTTGTAGAGAGTTCAATGAAATTCTAGACAATGGTTTAAATTGAGGAGGCAAAATCAGTGAGAAAAATGTAATAATCCAGGATGTCTGTATTAACTATTTACTGAGCTAAACATCTACCATGTGTTTCATATTTATCTGGTTTCCGTGAAGAGTAGAAATAGATGAGAAGTCTCTATAATAACTATTATGTGGAATAAAAGAATGTTTTCTGCCAAACTGGCGATCTATTAATTGTTCTTACATCCTACTGTACTGTCTTTCTTCCTGCCTTGCAGTAATCATTTTTAAATCTTTTAATCACATCCATTCACTTCTAGTTTTTAAATTTTTTGTTTCTTTGCTGTACCTTCACCTTTGCTGGCCAATTCTCTCTTTTGACTATTATTTTTTTCAAATGTTACATAGGTTTATCTTTGAGAGACAGAAGCTGACACAACTACACAATTTGCGTCTGTGCACAAACCAAATAATAGGTATGCAGTGACCAATCCAAAAAAAAGAAAAAGGCTGAAAGAAATGGCATGATTAGTTATTGATAACGATGTGCATAATTTATTTACATAATGATTTATGGGATGAAGAGCTAGAGGCAAAGTTTATACTTTATGTAATTACTCATAGTTAAAATACCATGGTAACTTTGACTTTCATTTGGGGATGGTTCTTTTTAAAGCATGGATAATCAAAATGCCAGCACATTAGACCCTTGCAAAGGGTTTTGTATGTGTATGTATTTCTTAAAAGTATATGCACACATATGTAATATTATTCATTTTAGTAGGTTTACGTTTTACTGAAAAACTATCATGATGTATTAAAACCTGTGAGATTTATCCTTTTTTAACTATGTCATACTATAATGGTATAATACATACAGTACTGTTTCCAAATTCTCTATTATATTGAACATTCTGTTGTTCTTCACCTATAACAGTAACACACATTCTTAATTTTAATAGTTTCATGTTAAGCTCTAATATCCAGTAAGGCAAGTGTCTCTCCTTGTTTTCTTGACGCTTTCCTCTTACTTAAAAATTATAGAATCATTGGAAAAAAACTTGGAATTTTTATTTAATTGAACTGAATATATAGTTTAATTTTAGGGAAATGAGACATGTTCAATATTTTTCCACTTAATACTCCAAACATTTGGGATGTTAAAATGACTTTTATAACTATTTAATACTTTTTTTTAGAAATTTTACATACCTTTTGTTGAATTATTTTCAGATACTTTGCATTCTGTGATACTATTATAAAAAGTATCTTATTTTCAAAATTTAATTAAAATTTTTGTTGAGGTAAACTATATATATGTATTTTACCATCTTTGTCATTTTAAGTGGACACAGTTCAGTGGTAATAAATACATTTGTTTAGGAGGCAGAGCAAAATGATGAAATAGAAGGTTCCATTCGTTGCTCCCCCACCCCACAAGGACATCTATTTAACATCTACACACACACATACATAAATCTTCATAAGAATAAAAAATCAGGTGAGCTGTCATAGCACCCAGTTTTTACTCCATATTGCTGAAAGAGGTACTAAAGAGATAGAAAAAACAGTTTTGAATTACTGATGTTACTCCTCACCCACCCCCGAGCAGTGGCTGCATGGTGTAGAGGGCATCTCTGGGTGCTGGGAAGGGAGCACAGAGTAACTGTGAGGTATTGAACTAAGTGCTCTCCTGTTAAACCAGAAAAAAAGCCACACTGACCAAACTCAGCTGATACTCACCCATGGAAAGAGCATTTAAACCAGACCGGACACAGTGGCTCACGCCTACAATCCCAGCACTTTGGGAGGCCAAGGCGGGCAGATCACGAGGTGAGGAGATTGAGACCAGTCTGGCCAACATGGTGAAACCCCGTCTCTACTAAAAATACAAAAATTAGCTGGACGTGGTCACACGTGCCTGTAATCCCAGCTACTCGGGAGGCTGAGGCAGGAGAATCACTTGAACCAAGGAGTCGGAGGTTGCAGTGAGCCTAGATTGCATGACTGTACTGCAGCCATAGCTAGAGGAGAATTGCCAATCCCAGTGGTCAGAACTTGAGCTCCTCCAAACCCTGCCACTAAGGGCTGTAGTGGTCTGTGTTCTAAATAATCTTGAAAGGCAGTCTAGGCCATAAGAACTACAACTCATAAGCAAGTGCTAGTGCTAAGCTGGGCCCAGAGACTGTGGACTGTTGGGAAACACAACCTACTGAGCCACAAGCTGGGACAGCCAAGGGAGTGCTGAACCGCCCCTCCCCTAACCCAAGGTGCGCAGCTTACAGCGCAAAAAGAGACCCCTTCCTTCCACTTTAGGAGAGGAGACGGAAGAGTGTGGAGAAGTTAGTCTTGCATCTTGGATAAAAACTAAGCCACAGCAAGATCAGGCACTGGTCAGACTTGTGATGCCCCCATTCCAGGCCCTAGCTCCTGGAAAACATTTATAGACACACATTGAGCCAAAAGGAAACCCACTGACTTAAAGGGAAGGACCCAGTCCTGGCAACATTTACCACCCGCTAATTGAAGAGCTCGTAGGCCCTGAATAAGCAGCAGCAATACCCAGATACTATGTCGAAGGTTCAGGGTAAGCCTCTGAGAACTGCTGGCTTCAGGTGAGACTCAGCCCATGACTAGCTGTGGTGGCTATGGGGCATAATTCCTTCTGCTTGAGAAAAGTAGAGGAAAAAGTAAAGGAGACTTTGTCTTGCACTTTAAGTACCAACATGATCACAGAACGGTAAAGAATTAAGTGGACTCTTGGGTCCCCAATAACAGGACTTTACTCTTGAATGGCATCTCTGGACCTGCCCTGGGCCAGAGGGAGGGAGATCCCGTTACCCTGAAGGATGTGCCTCAGGCCAGGCAGCATTCACCAGGAGCTGACTTAAAAGCCCATGGGCCTTAAGGAAACATCAGTAGTAGTCTGGCAGTACACCCTGTGATCTCTGGTGGTGGGGGCTATCAGGGTGAGGCCCCTCTGCCTTTGGAAAGGGGAGGAAAGAGTGGGAAGTACTGTCATGTGATATCAGTGTCACCCAGTCACAGTACAATAGAAAACCAGGTAGATTTCTAAGATTTTTGGCCCTAATTCCTGATTCCTGAACAGCACCACTAGACACACACAGCATCTGGGGTAACTTGTCACCCTGAAAAACAAACAAACAAACAAAAACCACCACAGGCCCGATTGGCTTTGCCATCTGCTAATTGCAGAGTCCCTGAGGGTTTTGAGTAAACATAGACAGTAGGCAGGGAGTGATTAGAGCAGGGCTTGGACAAGACCCGGTGCTGTGCTGGCTTTAGGTCTGACCCATTTTAGTCACAGTGGTGGTCGCCACAGGGGTGCTTGTATTATTCCACTCCCAGCTTTAAAGGGCTCAGAACAGAGAGAAAAAGACTCTGTATGTTTGGGAGAAACAAAGGAAAGATAAAAAGAATCTGTTCCTAGTAATCCAGAAAATTTTCCCAGATATTGTCCAAGACCATCAAAGTAACACCTCTATGTAATGGTGAATATTAAGTGTCAACATGATTGGATTGAAAGATGCAAAGTATTGTTCCTGGCTGTGTCTGTGAGGGTATTGCCAAAGGAGATTAACATTTGAGTCAGTGGACTGGGAGAGGTAGGCCAACCCTCAATCTAGGTGGGCACAGTCTAATTGCTGCCAGCACAGCCAGAAAAAAGGCAGGCAGAAGAACATGGAAAGACTAGACTGGCTGAGTCTTCTGGCCTCCATCTTTCTCCTATGCTGGATGTTTCCTGCCTTTGAACATCAGGCTCCATGTGCTTCAGCTTTTGGACTCTTGGACTTACACCAGTGATTTGTCAGGAGCCCTCGTGCCTTCGGCCATGAACAAAAGCCTGCACTATCAGCTTCCCTACTTTTGAGGTTTTTGGGACTCGGACTGTCTTCCCGGCTCCTCAGCTTGTAGGCAGCCTATTGTGAAACTTTGCCTTGTGATAGCGTGAATCAATTCTCCTAATAAACTCCCCTTCATATGTTCATCTGTCCTATTAGTTCTGTCCCTTTAGAGAACCCTGACAAGTACAATCTGTGAGTCTCCAAGAACCACAGCATTATGGGGCTTGAGGTGCCTGCTAAAAAGGAAAAAGCTTAGATCACAATACCCAAGTTATTTCAAATATCTGAAAAGCCTCTCAAAGAAGGACAAGTACAAACAAGGCCAGACAGTGAAGACTACAATAAATACCAAAATCTTCAATACCCAGACACCAAAGAACATCTACTAGCAACAACATCATCTAGGAAAACATGACCTCACCAAATAAACTAAATAATGCACTAGGGAAAAACTTGGAGAAACAGAGATATGTGGTCTTTTAGATAGAGAATTCAAAATAGCTGTGTTGAGAAAATACAAAGAAATTAAAAATATAACACAGAGAAGACATTCAAAATTCTATCAGATAAATTTAACAAAGAGATTGAAATAATTTAAAAGAATTAAGCAGAAATTCTGGCGGTGAAAAACACAATTGGTGGACTGAAGAATGCATCAGAGTCTTTTAATAGCACAATGGATCAAGCAGAAGAAAGAATTAGTGAGCTTGAAGACAGGTTAATTGAAAATATACCATCAGAAGAGACAAAATGAAAAAGAATAATAAACAATAAGGCACACCTACAGAATCTAGAAAGCAGATCCAAAAGGGCAAATTAAGAGTTATTGGCCTTAAAGAGAAGGTAGAGATAGATATAGGAGTACAAAGTTTATTCAAAGGGATAACAGAGAACTTCCCAAACATAGATAAATATATTAATATTCACATACAAGAAGATTATAGAACCCCAAGTCTATTTAACCCAAAGAAGCCTACCTCAAGGCATTTAATAATCCAAGTCCCAAAGATCAAGGATAAAGAAAGGATCCTAAAAGCAGCAAGAGAAAAGAAACAAATAACATACAATGGAGCTCTAATACATCTGGCAGCAGACTTTTCTGTGGAAACTTTGCAGTCAGGAGAGTAGGATGACAAAGTGAAAAACAAAAAGCAAAATACAAAACACTTTACCCTAGAATAGTATACCCAGTGAAAAAGTCCTTCAAACATGGAGACATATAGAAGTTCCCAGACAAACGAAAGCTGAGGGATTTTATGAACACCAGACCTATCCTACAAGTAATGTTAAAAAGAGTATTACTTTTAATGGCAAAAACTGCAATTACTTTTGCACCAAACTAATACTTAAGTTAGAATGAAAAGGATGTGAATGAACAATAAGTAATTACCTGAAGGTTTAAAACTCACTGGATATATCTCCCAATGCTAGATGATGAGTTAGTGGGTGCAGCACACCAGCCTGGCACATGTATACATATGTAACTAACCTGCACATTGTGCACATGTACCCTAAAACTTTAAGTATAATAATAAAAAAAAACTCACTGGAAATAGTAACTACATACAAAATCACAGATTATTATAACACTGTAACTGTGAGATATAAACTACTCTTAAGTAGAAAGACTAAATGACGAACTAATAAAAAATAACTTTTCAAGGCATAGACAGTACAATAAGATATAAACAGAAACAACAAAAAGTTAAAAAGCAAAAGGACATGTTAAGGCATCGAGTTTTTATCAGTTTTCTTTTTTTGTTTGTTTACGCACACAATAAGTGGTTATTTATCAGATTAAAATAATAAGTTATAAGAGAATTTGCAAGCTTCATGGCAACCTCAATTGGAAAACATACATATATATGATATATGTATATGTTTATTATATATATATATCATATATATGATGAAAAGCAAAAAAAAAACCCTAAAACTAAATTATATCACAAGAGAAAATTACCATCACTGAATAAAGACATTACAACTGATAAGACAAAGTTTCAAAGGATCATCAATGGCTACTATGAGCAACTACGTGCAAATAAATTGGAAAATCTAAAGGAAATGGACAAATTCCTAGGCACATACAACCTACCAAGAGTGAGTCAGGAAGAAAGCCAACACGTGAACAGATCTATAACAAGTAAGAAAATGAAAGTTATAATAAAAAGTGTCCCAGTAAAGAAAAGCCTGGGACCCAATGGCTTCACAGCAGAATTCTGCCAAACATTTAAAGAAGAACTAATACCAATGAAACTGAAGCTGTTAAAAAAATAGGGAAGCAGAGAATATTTCCAACCTTATTCCATAAGGCCAGTATTATACTGATAACAAAACCAAAGACGTATAAAAAATAAAAAACTAGAGTCCAACATCTCTGATGAATACTTATGCAAAAATCCTCAACAAAATACTGGAAAACCCAACTTAAAAATGCATTAGAAAGGTCATCCATCATGACCAAGTGGGATTTATTCCTTGGATGCAAGGATAGTTCAATATATGCAAATCAATCAAGGTGCCACATTATATCCACAGAATGAAGGATCAAAACCATACGATTATTTCAATTGATGCTGAAAAAGCATTTGATAAAGTTCAATGTCCCTTCATGATAAAAACCCTCTAGAAACTGGGTATAGAATGAATAAACCTCAACATAATAAAAGCTATATAGGACAAATCCACACCTAGAATCATACTGAATGTGGGAAAACTGGAAGTCTTTCCTCTAAGATCTGGAAAACATCAAGGATACCATCTTTTATGGTTTTTCAACATAATACTAGTAGTTCTTCCTAGAGCAATCAGACAAGAGAAAGAAATTAAAGGGCAACCAAATTGGAAAGGAAGAGATCTAATTATCCTTGTTTTCTGATGACATAATCTTATATCTGGAAAAAAACTAAAGACTCCACACATGCACAACAAAAACATTAGAACCAATAAGCAAATTCAGTAAAGTGGCAGGATAAAAAAAATCTATGCACAAAAATAAGTAGCATTTTATATGCCAACAATGAACAATATGAAAAAGAAATAAAAAAGTAATCTCATTTATAATGCCACAAATAAAATTAACTAGGAATCAATTTAACCAAGGAAGTCAAAGATCTCTATATTGCAAACAGTAAAACACTGATGAAAGAAATTGAAAAGCATACAAGAATATGGAAAGATGGAAAGATATTCCACGTTTATAAATTGGAAGAATTAATATTGATAAAATGTCCATGCTATGCAACGCAATCTACAAATTCAATGCAATCTCTATCTAAGTTCCAACGACATTCTTCACAGAAATAGAGAAAAGCATTTAGAAAATATATAGGGAACTACAAAAGACCCAGAAGAGTCACAGTTATCCTAAGCAAAAGGAACAAAACTGGGGGAATGACATTACCTGATTTCAAATTACGTTGCATAGCCATAACAAAATCTGATGAAGATAGAGAGTATATTGGTATTTTTATGACAGTGTCATAGTGTAACCAAAACAGCATGACACTGGCATAAAAACAGACACATAGAGCAATGGAACAGAATAGAAAACCCAGAAATAAATCCACACACCTACAGTGAACTCATTTTTGACAAAGGTGCCAAGAACATACACTGGGGAAAAACAGTCTTTTAAATAAATGATGCTGATAAAACTGAATATCCATATGCAGAAGAATGAAACTGGACCCCTATCTGTTGCCATATACAAAAATCAAATCAAAATGAATTGAAGACTTAATGTAAGATGTTAAACTATGAACCTTGTACAACAAAACTTTGGGAAACTCTCCAGAACATCGATCTGGGCAAAAATTTCTTGATCATAAACCCATAAACCCAGGCAATCCTACAAAATGGACAACTGGGATTATATCAAGTTAAGAATCTTCTGCACAGCAAAATAAACAATCAACAAAGTGAAAGGACAACCCATAGAATGGGAGAATATATCTGCAAACTACCAATCTGACAAGAAATTAATAACCAAAATATATAAGCAGCACAAACAACTGTATAAGAAAAAAATTAATAATCCAATAAAAAACCAGGCAATATATTTGAATAGACATTTCTCAAAAGAAGACATAAAAATGGCAAATATGCAACTAAATAGGTGCTCAACATAATTGATTATAAGAGAACTTTTAATAAAACTACAGTAAGATCACCTCACCCCAGTTAAAATGGCTTATATCTAAAAACAAGCAATAACAAATGTTGGCATGGGTAAAAGGGATCCCTTGGTACACTGTTGGTGGGAATGTAAATTAGCATAACCAATATGGAGAACAATTTGGAGGTTCCTCAAAATAACTGTATAACCTATAACCATATAACCTAGCAATCCCACTCCTGGGCATACACCCCCCTCAAACAGAAAATTATTATATCAGACAGATACGTGCACTTCCATGTTTGTTGCAGCATTGTTTAAAATAGCTAAGATTTGGAGGCATCCTAGGTGTTCATCAACAGAGGAATAGATAAAGAAAATGTGGTACATATATACAATGGAGTATTATTCAGCCATACAAGAGTGAAATTCAGTCATTTGTAACAACATGGATGAAACTGGAAGTCGTTATTTAAAGAGAAATATGCTAGGCACACAAAGACAAACATCACATGTTCCCACTTATTTGTGGGATCTAACAATAAAAACAATTGAATTCCAGGAATTAAATCGTGACCCTGTAGTTCCATAATTGATGTTTGTGTTTGGTTTGTTGTAAATATAAATTAACTCCATTTTGAGATATATCAATTTTACAGTTTCTTTTAAAAGCCAATAAAAGTATCCATAAATATTTATTATAAAAATGAATTAATGGACATAGAGAATAGAAGAATGTTACAAAAGCTGGGAAGGGTAGTGTGGAGGGGACATGGAGATTGTTAATGGTTACAAAATAATGGTTTGAAAGAATAAATAAGACCTAGTATTTGATAGCACAATAGGGTGATTATAGTCAATAATAAGTTAACTGTGCATTTCAAAATGTTATAAGGTATAATTGGACTGTTTTTACCTCATAGGATAAATGATTTATGTAAAGGATCCCCCATTTCCATGATGTAATTATTTTATATTGCATGCCTGTATCAAACATCTCATGTGCCCTATACATTTATATACCTACTATGTTCCCACAAAAATTAAAAATTAAAAAAATTAAAATAAGATATTTTAAAATACATTTTTGTATGTTTTCGTTCACTTGCTGCTCTCCTTCATGATCTCTGGTAACTACCAATATGCTCTCTATCTTCATGAGATTCACTTTTTTAGCTTCTTTATAATTACATTTTATAGTTGCTTTTATTTTAAAATCAATTTTGGTAATATGTATCCTTTAATAAAAGTTGTCATATATTTCAAATATATTGGCTAATAGTTGTTCATTATAGCTCTCATGATTCTTTTAATGGTTATTTGTATTTAAATAATTGTTTCATAATTAGTGTTATTTAATTATACTGTCTCTCAGTCATTTTAAACAATATTGACATTATTTTTTCTATTTCTTTTTTTAATTTTTATTATAAGTTCAGGAGCACATGTGCAGGTTTGTTACACAGGTAAAATGTTTCATGGGGTTTGTTGTACAGATTATGTCATCACCAAGGTATTAAGCCTAGTACCCATTAGTTATTATTTCCAATCTTCTTTGTATTAGTTCATTTTCATACTGTTACAGAGAACTGTTCAAGACTGGGTAATTCATAAAGGAAAGAGGTTTAATTGGCAAACAGTTCTGCATGACTGGGGAGGCTTCAGGAAACTTACAATCACGGCAGAAGGTGAAGAGTAAGCAAGGTACCTTCTTTACAAGGCAGCAGGAAGAAAAAGTGCCAAGTGAAGGGAATTGAGCCCCTTATAAAACCACCAAATCTCGTGAGAACACACTATCATGAGAACAGCATGAAGAAAGACACCCCTATTATTCAGTTACCTCCACCTGGTCTCTCCCTTGACATGCGGGGATTATGGGAATTACGGGGATTACGATTCAAGATGATATTTTGGTGAGGACACAAAGCATAACCACATCATTCTGTCCACGGCCCCTTCCAAATCTCATCCTCCTCCTATCCTCCAACCTCCAATAGTCCCCAGTGTGCATTATTCTCCTTTATGTGTCCAATTGTTCTTATCATTTAGCTCCCATTTAAAAGTGCGAAAAAGCAATGTTTGGTTTTCTGTTCCTGTGTTAGTTTGTTAAGGATAATTACCTCCAGCTCCAACCATGTCCCTGCAAAGAACATAATTATGTTCTATTTTATGGCTACATAGTATTCCACGGTGTAATGTGTACCACATTTTCTTTATCCAGTCTATCATTGATGGGCATTTAATTTCATGTATTTGCTATTATGAATAGTGATGGAATGAGCATACATGTGCATGTGTCTTTATAATAAAATGACCTATATTTTGGAGGGCATATACCCAGTAATGGGACTGCTGTGTTGAATGGTATTTCTCTCTTTAGGTCTCTGAGGAATCAAAACACTGTCTTCCACAATGGTTGAACTAAGCTACACTCCCACCAACAGTGTATACGCATTCCTTTTTCTCCACAACCCCGCCAGCATCTATTATTTTTTTACTTTTTGATAATAGCCATTCTGACTGCTGTGAGATGGTAACTGATTTTGATTTTGATTTGCATTTCTGTAATGATCAGTGATGTTGAACTTTTATTCATATGATTGTTGGCCACATGAATGACACTTTTCTTTTGAAAAGTGTCTGTTTATGACTTTTACCCATTTGTTTATGGCATTTTTTTTCTTTTGAATTTAAGTTCCTTACAGATGCTGGATATTACACCTTTGTCAGATAGATAGTTTGCAAAAAGTTTCTCCCACTATGTATGTTGTGTAGTTTACTCTAAATTTCTTTTCCTGTTCAGAAGCTCTTTACCTTAATTAGGTTCTGCTTGTCAATTTTTGCTTTTCTTGAAATTGCTTTTGGCATCTTCATCATAAAATCTTTACCCGTGCCTAAGTCCTGAATGGTACTGCCTAGGTTGTTTTCTAGGGCTTTTCATTTTGGGTTTTACATTTAAGTCTTTAATCTATCTTGAGTTGATTTTTGTATATGGGGCAAGGAAAGGATCCAGTTTCAATCTTCTCCATATGGCTTGCCAGTTATTCTATTACAGTACCATTTATTGAGTAGGAAATTCTTTCTCCATTGCTTGTTTTTGTCAGGTCTGTCAAAGATCAGATAACTGTAGGTGTATGGTCTTATTTTTGGGTTTTCTGCTCTGTTCCATTGGTCTGTGTGCCTGTTTTTTGCACCAGTACCATGCTATTTTGGTTACTGTAGCCCTGCGGTATAGTTTAAGGTCAGGTAGCATAATGCCTCCAGCTTTGTTATTCTTGCTTATAATTGATTTGAATGTTTTGGTTCTTTTTGGGTTCATGTGAATTTTACAATAGTTTTTTTTTCTATCCTGTGAAGAATGTCAATTGTGGTTTAACAGAAATAGCATTAAATCAATAATTGCTTTGGGCAGTCTGGCCACTTTAATGATATTGATTTTTCTTATCCATGAGCATGGAATGTGTTTTCATTTGTTTGTGTCATCTCTGATTTCTCTGGGCAAAATGGTTTGTGGTTCTTTTTGTAGACATCTTTCACCTCCCCACTTAGCTGTGTTCCTAGGTATATTTATTCTTTTTGTGGCAATTGTGAAGGAGTGTGTTCCTGATTTGATTCTTGGCTTGACTTCTGATGGTGCATAGGAATGCTAGTGATTTTTGCACATTGATTTTGCATTTTGAGACTTTGTTGAAGTTGCTCAGTAGCTTAAGAACTTTTGGAGGGAGACTATGGGGTTTTCTAGATAATAGGATCACGTCATCTGTAAACAGGAATAGTTTCACTTACTCTCTTCCTATTTGGATGCACTTTCTTTCTTTCTCTTGCCTGACTGTCCTGGCCAGGACTTCCAACAGTAAGTTGAATAGGAGTGGTGAAAGAGGGCAACCTTGTCTTCTGCCAGTTTTCAAGGGTAAAGCTCCCAGCATTAGCCCATTCAGTGTGATACTGGCTATAGGTTTGTCATGGATGGCTCTTATTATTTTGAGATCTGTTTCTTCAATACCTGGCTTATTGAGAGATTTTTAGCGTGACAGGGTGTAGAATTTTATCAAAAGCCATTTCTACATCTATTGAGATATTGATGTGGTTTTTGTCTTTAGTTCTGCTTATGTGATGAATCACATTTATTGATTTGCATGTTGAGTGAAACTTGCATCCCTGGGATAAAGCCTACTTGATTGTGGTGGATAAGCTTTTTGATGTGCTGCTGGATTTAGGTTGCCGTATTTTGTTGAGAATTTTTGCATCAATGTTCATCAAGGCTATTGACCTGAAGTTTTCTTTATGTTGTGTCTCTGCCAGGTTTCAGTGTCAGAATGATGTTGGCCTTATAGAATAAATTAGGGAGGAGTCCTTCCCTATCAGTTTTTTGGAATAGTTTCAGGAGGAATAGTACCAGCTCTTCTTTGTACCTCTGGTAGAATTTAGCTGTAAATTCATCTGTTCCTGGGCTTTTTTTGGTTGGTAGGCTATTTATTACTGCCTCAATTTTAGAGCTCATAATTGGTCTGTTCAGTGATTCAATTTCTTCCTTGTTCAGTACTGGCATAGTGTGTGTGTCCAGGAATTTATGCATTTCTTCTCCCAGATTTTGTTGTTTATGCTCAAAAGGTGTTCATAATATTCTCTGATGGCTGTTTGTATTTCTGTGGGGTCAGTGGTAATATCTCTTTTGTCATTTTTGATTGTGTTTATCTGAATCTTCTCTCTTATATATTAGTCAAGCTAGTGGTCTATTTTATTTTTTTTTCAAAAAAACAACTCTTGGATTCATCAACCTTTGTAATGGTTTCTTTTTGTCTTAATCTTCAGATCAACTCTGATTTTGGTTATTTTTTTTTTTTTTTGGTCTTCTGCTAGATTTGTGATTTGTTTGCTCTTTGTTATCTAGTTATGCTAGCTGTGAAGATAGATTTTTAACTTGAGATCCTTCTAACTTTTTGTTGTGGGCATTTAGTGCTATAAATTTTCCTGTTAACACTGCCTTAGCTGTGTCCCAAAGACTCTGGTATGTTGTATCTTTGTTCTTGTTAGTTTCAAAGAACTTCTTGATTTCCACCTTAATTTCATTATTTACCCAAAAGTTACTGAGGAGCAGGTTATTAAATTTCCATGTGATTGTATGGTTTTAAGTGAATGTCTTAGTCTTGATTTCTAATTTGATTGCATTGTGATCCAAGAGACTGTTATAATTGTAGTTATTTTCTATTTTCTGAGGAGTGTTTTACTTCTGATTATGGAATTAATTTTAGAGTATGTGCCACATGGCAATGAGATGAATGTATATTCTGCTTTTTGGGGGTGGTTAGTTCTGTAGACATCTATCAGGTCCATTTAATCCAGTGCTGAGTTCAAGTACTGAATCTTTCTGTCTCAATGATCTGTGTAATATTGTCAGTGGATTGTTAAAGTCTTCCGCTATTACTGTGTGGGAGTCTAAGTCTCTTTGAATAACTGTAAGAATTGGCTTTATGAATCTGGGTGCTCCCGTGTTGGGTGCATATATATTTAGGATAATTGAATCTTCTTGTTTCATTGAACCCTTTACCATTATGTAATGCCCTTTGTGTTTTTTTTAATCTTTGTTGGTTTAAATTCTGCTTTGTCAAAAACTAGGCTTGCAATCCCTCCTTTTTTCCTGTTTTATATTTGCTTGGTAGATTTTTATTCATTCCTTTATTTTGAGCCTATGTGTGTCATTGCAAGTGAGATGGGTCCCTTGAAGTTAGAATACTTAATGACTCTTAGTTCTCTATCCAGCTTGCCACTCTGTTTCTTTCTGTGTCTTCTAATTGGGGCATTTTGCCCACTTACATTTAAGGTTAGTATTGATATGTGTGGATTTGATCCTGTCACTATGATATTAGCTGGTTATTCTGCAGACTTGTTCATGTGGTTGCTCTATAGTGTCACCTGTTTATGTACTTCAGTGTGTTTTCGTAGTGGCTGGTAACAATAGTTCCTTTCCATATTTAGTGTTTCCTTTGGGAGCTCTTGTAAGGCAGGTCTGATGGTAACAAATTCCCTCAGCATTTGCTTATTTGAAGAGGATTTTATTTATTTTTTGCTTATGAAGCCATTTTGGCCACCTATAAAATTCTAGGTTGGAATTGCTTTTATTTAAGAATGTTGAATGTTGGCCCCCAATTTCTTCTGGATTATAGGGTTTCAGCTGAGAGGTTCACTGTTAGTCTGATCAGCTTCCCTTTGTAGGTGACCCGGTCTTTCTTTCTAAAATTTTTACTTTCATTTCAACTTTGGAGAATCTGATGATTATGTGACTTGGGAACAATCTTCTTGTGAAGTATCTTACTGAGGTTCCCTGCATTTCTGGAATTTGAATGTTGGCCTCTTTGGCTAGGTTAGGCAAGATCTCAAGGATGATATTCTGTAATATGTTTTCCAAGTTGGTTTCATTCTCCCCATCTTTTTCAGACATATCAGTCAGTCATAAATTGAATCCCTTTACAAATCCCGTATTTCTCAGAGGTTTTTTTTCCTTTCCATTCTTTTTCTGTATTATTGTCTGTCTGTCTTATTTCAGAAAGCCAGTCTTCAAGTGCAGAGATTATTTCCTCTGCTTGGTTTATTCTGCTATTAATACTTGTGATTGCATTATTAAATTCTTGTAGTATGTTTTTCAGCTCTATCAGGTTGATCATGTTCTTCTCAATACTGGCTATTTTGTCTGTAAACTCCTGCCATATTTTATCATGATTTTTAACTTCCTTACCTTGTGTTACAACATTCTCCTGTAGCTCAAATAACTTGGTTCCTATAAATATTCTGATTTCTATTTCTGTCATTTCAGCCATCTGAGCCTCAGCCTAGTTCTGAACCCTTTCTGGAGAGGTGATGCAGTCATTTGGCAAAAAGAAGGCACTCTGGCTTTTGGGTTTTCAGCATTTTTGCAATGATTCTTTTTTGTCTTTGTGGTCTTATCTACCTTTAATTTTTTAGGTTGCTGGCCTTTGGATGGGACTTTTAATCCTATTCAATGACCTTCAGGGTTTGATTGTGGCATAAAGTGGATTCAGCCAACTGGCTTCATTACTGGGAGATGTTAGGGGCCAACACTCAGCTCCCAACTCCTAGACTGCATGTTCCAACTCTGGGGGATTTATATTGGGCCTCAGCTTTGTTCTCTGGCTTTTCAAGGTTTGGAGTCCACTGTGCTGGTGGGGGGCTGATGTGCAGCAGGTGCAGCAGAGTGTTAGCAGATACAGGGATGCCTTCCTTTGGGTATTCACCACAGTGGCAGAGGCAAGGCAGCCAGCGGTGGAAGCTGAAGGCCCCTGCTGGAGACTGTGGGCTGTTGCACTGCAGGTGGTGTTGGCTTGGGACAGCACGGGTCTTGGTGCCTTCTCTCCGCCCTGCAAGCAAGAGTGATCACTCAGTGTGTGGGAGGATCTGCTGTTCTCTGTGCAGCATTAGCACAAGGGCAGGGCAATGGGCGGGGAGAGGCTTGCTGGCTCTTTGCCTGCCAAGGCTCTCTCTGCAATGGCAGTTGGTGGGGTTGTGGGGGTGTATTGCACTCCTGCATGCTGGTGGAGCAAGTAAAGCAAAACCCGCCCTTGCAGACACTCACCAGAAAACTGATGTGGGAAGTTGCCATGAGCTTGGGGAAAACTGCAGTATGGGGCAGGGTTGGGGGTTGGGTATGCAGGCTCATGTGGGGCGGTGAGGGCTGCCTCACTTGAGCTCTACGCTAGTCAGGCACCATCTGCTGGTGCAGACGCTATGATGTGGGCCCCCAGGACACTTGAGACTGACCTGTATGCAGGCATGGTCATGCTGGGGCCCTGGAAGAGGCCATCAGACAAAGGAGTGCTAGGTCAGAGCAGCCCGGTCTGATGTGCAAGACAACTGCAGAGATCAGATCCAACGGTTCTGCTAAGGCTAAAGTTTCTTACTTACGTGAGCAAGTTGAGCCTAGGGGGATGGCCATACCTGGCTGTGCTCCACTACAAACACTCCTGCACCAAACCCTCTGGGCTCCACATCAGCTGGCTTGCTGCCCCACCACTTTACTTGTTTCCTGGTGGCTCCACTCTAGAGAGATGTGGTTCAATTAGCCCAGGATGGAAGGTTTGTGTTGTGGGCCTTAGCCAGGGATTCCCTGTCTGGTGATGAGCAGTAGCAGGTATGTGGGACCTTATCATGGGAGATGGACTGGCCTCCTCTCCTTGGGTCGACTGTAGCTTGTTGGAAGTGAGTATAAGGTACTTAAGGTCTCCGCTCCTTTGTTAGTCCCAGGGTAGCAAGGATAGTTTCACTGCAGAGGCAGTGACAGAGAGGCTTTCATTTGCTCCTGGAAGCTCTGTCCAGGGAGTTGCTGAGTTGCTACTGGTTAATAGCTCTTGTGGAGGGTGGCTAGAGGCCCAGGCCTGGAAGACCTGCCTGGTAAGGAAATATGGAAATGGGCACCCATTTAACTGTTTGGCTACTTTTCCTAGGGCGGCTGTGGTATGGTGAGGGTTCACTCCAGTCCCTAATTGCCCCTGCTTTTCCAGTACCTGGAGATATCACCAGTGAAGGCTGCAAAACAGCATAGATGGCAGCCTGCCCTTCCCTCTGGGAGCTCCATCCAAGGCAGGTTTCAAAGCTGTGTCAGCTGGAGAACAACAGTGTGGGTGGCTGGAGGCCCCAGTTGGGAGGTCCTGCCCAGTGAGGAGGAACGGGTTTGGGGGCATGCTTTAATAAGCAGTCTGGCCACATTTTTGTAGAGCAGCTGTGTTGTGCTAGGGGCCTGTCTCCATCCCCCTGTCACCTTGGACTCTCTAAAGCCCGAAGGCTGGAAGAGCTAAGTTGCCCAAACAGCCAAGATGGCAGCCTGCCCCTTTTGCTGGGAGCCCCATCCCAGAGAGATTTCAAATCTGTGTCAGCTAGAGGACATTTGTGGGGGTGGCTGGAGGCTCCATATTGAAGGTTCTGCCAAGTAAGGAGGAATGATGTTGGGGACCCACTTTAGAAAGCAGTTTGGTCACATTTTCACACAGCAGCTTTGTGCTGTGTTGGGAGACTGACTCTGTCGCTGGATCGTCTTGGACTCTCCAAAGGCTGGAATGGCTAAGATGTCCAAACAGCAAAGATAGTGGCCTGCTTCTCCCACTGAGATCTCTGTCTCAGAGAGGTGTAACAGTGCTACCAGTGGCTGGCTGGAATTTCAAGTCAGTGAGTCTTATCCTGTAAGATGCCATGGAAATAGGGCTGCTCAGCACCCTGGATTCAGCATCTTTCCTAGCAGTATGGATGGGAGTCTCCCATGAAGCTTTGCCAGACTTGCAGCTACTTTTTCCAGGAGGCCCAGAAACCCCAAGTATCTAAGGCTCCTGGGTCTCTGCACATGCCTGAGCAGCTGCTCTGCTGAGACTTCATGTAGTTCTGTGTGTCAGAATGAAGGCCCTGGTGAAGTGGGTTTATGAGGGGATCTCTCTCATACACTTTGTGACTTGAAGGTTGCAAATATCCATAGGAGAAGTGTAGGTTTCTGAGTTTGCACATTCACTTGCTACTTCCCTAGGTGGTGGAGATTCCCTTGGCTCTGTGTCACTCCTGCATGGGCTGACATTCTCCCTCATTTTTCTCTCTTTTCCATGTGGTCAAGTTGTTTCCTTGATTAGTCCCAATGCAAGTACCTGGATGTTTCCATTAAAGGTATTGTATTTACTCACCCCTTCTATTCCTCTCTATGAGAGCCATGCACACTAGCTGCCTCTAGTCAGCCATCTTGGTCCCCTCCCCTTTGTCTATTTCTATAAGTATTTTAAAGAACCCACTTGATTTCATTGAGATGTATTACAAATTACTACATAGACTATCACATGACTTCAAAGTTAACTGAAAAACAATTAATTATGTATTCTGTTTGCTTATTTTTTGAATTTCTTCCTAAATATATTTTCCTATTAACATTAGCTAATATACATTTAGGACATCTATATTATATGCATTTAAAACATGATTATCATTAACAGTAGAGGATATACATCCCCATTTTAAAAACTCTTTTCAACAATTTCAAATATTTTATATTTGGCTGACTTATAAGGGACAATTAGATCTTCTTCTTCTTTTATTTTATTTATTTATTTTTTCTTGAGATGGAGTCTCGCTCTGTCGCCCAGGCTGGAGTGCAGTGGTGCAATCTCGGCTCACTGAACCTCTGCCTCCTGGGTTCAAACAATTCTCTCGCCTCAGCCTCCCGAGTAGCTACAGGTACACGCCACCAGGCCTGGCTAATTTTTGTAGCTTTAGTAGAGACAGGGTTTCACCATGTTGGCCAGGCTGCTCTCAAACTCCTGATCTCAAGTGATCCGCTGCCTTGGCCTCCCAAAGTGCTGGGATTACAGGTATGAGCCACTGAGCCTGGCCAGATGTTCATTATTTTTTAATCACATATGTGGCTGACAAATGGATTCCACTAACAATAGGAAAATTAGAATTGTCTTTGTTTCATTCATGTTTGCATTATTAGTATTATCTTCAGCTTGCAGTTTTATTTTTTTCTTAATACATTAATTGCATTACAATAAAAACAAACAAATAAAAGTGTGTCTATTGCCAAATTTCTGCACTGTACAAAGGATGAAGCACACTCCAAACAATGGGAGCATCTGCAAAGGTCATAGGTAGAGAAAGCACAAAACATATTCTATTAAAGAAGCAGAAGTCAATAAGTAGAGAGTAGAGAGAAAATATTTTCAGGCAAGGTGTTAGGAGCAAGTTTTTTCTCCTAATTAGAGCATATTTATCCTCAAGGGTCTCATATTAGTGTTTGTCAAAAGCATAGAAAAAGTAGATGTTATAATCTATGGTCTTACAAATCATCTCCTTAATAATTCCATGTATGTCCCATTCCTTTTGCAAAATTTGGGAAACATGACGCATAAATCCTATCTAGCAATTTATAAGAGAACGCTACATTTCTCCTGATTTCTCTGTCACTTGATATGGAAATTAAGATATTAAAGTGACCATAATAATGTCTCATCTAGAGAATAAAACAGGGGGAAATAATTAGGTAAGTTTTCCTGCAGTGATCACTACAACATAAGGGGCCCAGAATAATTCACCATAAATTTGAGCATCCTGCTTTCAGAACTTTCCTCAACAATGACATCTGCAAAGAAGGATTTTAGTATGAGTAATCTCTTGGCAGTAGTTAATATAGATTGAAGTAGCAAAAATAGAAAGCATGAAATTTGAGTAGAATATAGATATAATCATCCAAGAATAAGATAATGAAGCTTGTAATAGGCTAGAGGCAATAAGGCTGCTAGGAAGAAAAGCAAAAAAATCACAGGTTCTGATTCCTGACAAGATGGTAAACTACCATCGGTTGCTGGCTTCCTACCATGAACCAAAAACAGAAACTCCAGGAGACTGACAAAAGGATTTGATGAATCTATTAAATTAATACAACCTATGAGAATTTTGCAAAATTATAGAAGTTGACTGTGTCCTAGATTGAGGGGAGAAGAGAAAGAGTTCATAATAGTTGAGACTGGAATCATGGATCAAAGATAAGTTAGATGAGAAGGTTTAATATTTGGCTCTATTTTTTAACATGTCCTTTTTTTCTCCTCCCATATTTACCTAGGCACACAATTAGCTTACCTGTCAGCATTTACAAGGAAGAAAAACAGCTCACAGGGAGGAAATATTTCAAATGTAGCGTACTGAAAAGCTTGACAAATTCCCTCCACAGAAAGCAACAATGGAATTCAACAAAAGGATAAGAAACAATTTCAGAAGTCTGTAAATCAACAAAAGCATAAAACAAATGTAGAGGTGTTTATCCGTGGAAAAACGACCAAATTTTGGCTAAGAACAGGGGGAATATGTGGCATTCTTGCTTGGGGCTCTTCCTATTAAGCTCTAACAGCTCAGCTTGTTCAGTAGTTATACCAGGACCTTACTCCGAGATCAAAGTTGCTAGGTTTCATGACTTACCCTGAATTCTCATTAGAAACAATGAATGACAGAGGCAATGAAATAACATATTCAAAAGTCTGAAGGAATAAAACTGTCAACCAAAAACTGTATACAGCAGTATGTGAAAATGATAATAAACTCTGACCAAGTGATATTTATTGCACAAATGTAGGGCTGGCTTAACATTTAAAAATAAATAAATGTAATTCAACACATGAACAAACTACAGAAAACCATATAATCCTTTCAATAGATTCATAAAAGGCATTGGAAAAGATAAAGGGTAAATTCCAGAAAAAAAACTTACAGCAAAGTAGAAAAAGAAGATAAATTCCTCAACCTGATAAAGGCCCTCTATAAAAAATTTAATCTGACATCATACTTAATGATAAAAGATGGAATGCTTTCCCTCTAAGATTAGGAACAGGATAAGGATATCTGCTTTCAACACTTTTATTTAATATTGTACTGGAGGCTCTATCCAGTGTAACCAAGCAAGAAAAAGAAGTAAAAGTCAGACAACTTGGAAATAAAAAAGTAAAACTCTTGATTTACAGACGGCATGGTAACCTATATAGAAAATTGAATGGAATTTACAGAAAAGCTATTAGAACTAATAAGTAATTTCAACAATTTTAAAGAATAAAAGGTCAAATACAGAAGTCATTTGTCTATATATTAACATGAAAAATTGGTTACTGAAATTTTGCATCAAAAAATATTTAGTAATGAATCTGACAAAAGGAGTGAAATATTTGTACACTGAAAAGTGGAAAACATTGCTGAGATAAATTAAATAATGCCAAAGTTAGTGAAGACACACACCTTGTTTACGGTTTTGAAAGACTCAAAATTGTTAACATGCTAATTTTCTTCAAAGTGATTTTTTCTTTTTTTTTTGAGATGGAGTCTCACTCTGTTGCCCAGGCTGGAGTGCAGTGGCGCGATCTCGACTCACTGCATCCTCCGCCTTCTGGGTTCAAGCGATTCTCCTGCCTCAGCCTCCAGAGTAGCTGGGATTACAGGCATGCACCACCAGGCCCGGCTAATTTTTTTTGCATTTTTAGTGGAGACTGGGTTTCACAATGTTGGTCAGGCTGGTGTCAAACTCCTGACCTTGTGATCTTCCCGCCTTAGCCTCCCAAAGTGCTTTGACTACAGGTGTGAGCCACTGGGCGTCTGGCCCAAAGTGATCTACTGATTTATCATAATTCCAATCAAAATTCTAAAGGAAATTTTTTGCATAAATTGGCACACTGATTATAAAATGCACACTGAAATGTAACGGAACTGGAATAGTTAAAATTAAGTTTTGAAAAAGAGCAAAGTTTAAGGACTAACTTTACCTCATTTAAGACTTATTATAAAGCCAAATACTCAATATAGTGCGCCATTTAACAAAAAATTGACAAAGAGATCAGCAGAACAGGATAGAGAGACAGAAATGGACCCACACATACATATAATTCAGTTAATTTTTTATGAAAATATAAAGACAATTCATTGGAGAAAGATTTTTTAACAAATATTTCTGAAACAACTCAATAATTATATTTAAACGTGAAACATATCCATAACCCACACCATACACAAAAATTAAATAAAATGGATTTTAGGTCTAAATGTAAAACTTAAATCGTAAGACTTATAAAAACTCATAGAAAAAATCTTTATGATCTTTGGTTAGGTAAATATTTTGCAGGCATATGACCAAAAGCACAATCCAAAGAAAAAAATTGATAAATCAGAATTCATCAGAATGTAAAACTTTGGCTGTTGACAATGCACCCATAAGAGAGTGAAAAGCAAGCCACAGACTAGGAGACCATATTTGCATATCATATTTTCACATGCAGAATATATTAATACCTCTCAAAACTTAATGAGGAAACCGCAATTCAGTAAATAAAGAGAAAAGGATGTTAACAGGCACTTCTCACAGGAAGATATCTGGATGACACATAAGCTCATGAAAAAATGTTCGAAATCATTAGTCATTAAAGTGATGCAAACTAAAACTATAATGTGATTCCCCTGCACACCTATTACAATGACTAAAATTTGAAGAAGACTGACCATACCAATTGTTGGACAGAATGTAGAACAAATGGAACTCTCATACACTGTACACTGGAAAGTTGGGGTACAACCACTTTGGAACACTGTTAGGCTGTTTCCCAAAAAGGTAAACATACACCTACCATATGATCCAACCATGTGACCGCAAGGAATTTACTCAAAAGAAAATGAAGCATATGTCTATATAAAGACTTTTGCACAAATGTTCGTGGCAGGTTTATTTGTAATAATCAAACGAAAAACAACCCATTCATTAATGAGTAGATAAATACAATGGACACACAGTTGCATGGATAAACATATCCATATAAAGAAATACTATTTAAAAATAAAAATGTGAGCTAGTAAGACATATAACAATATCAATAAATATTTTAAAATTATACTAATTTAAGGAAGCCAGGCAAAAATGGGACATAAAATGTGATTCAATTTAACTAGAAAATGCAAACTACAATAAACAGAAAGAAGAGCAATGTTTGCCTAAAAAAAGGAGGTGGGGAAAAGTGGGAATCAAGAATCAGGATCACAAAGAAATATTCAGGAGTTATATGGATATGATTAGTATCATGATTGTGGTGAGATGTGTTGGAAAAATATATGAATGCAGACATAGAGATATATAAATATCGATATAGAAAAAGACACACACTTTAAATATGTACAGTTTATTTTATGTCCACTATACTTCAATTAAATTGATAAGAGAAAGAAAATGTGCCAGGATAATATGACAAACCATACACATAGGTTAAATCCAGGTGTATTAAAATATTAACTGTAAAAAAGTATAAAAAGAGGCAGTAAAATTTTTAAAATGTTTTGGACGCTAAATTTGGAATGACTTTACAAGATACAAAATGCACATACTATAAAATAAAATATTAATGTATTTGACTACATGAAACAAGAATTTCATTTCATGAAAGACTCCCTGGGTGAAGTTATTAGATGGAAAATAGGAAAATAATTTTATAATGTTAAAGCCCACAATGTATTTATTGTATTGCATTGTAATCATTTAATTTAAAAAAATTGATTTTTTACAAATTAAATGATTACAATTCTTATTTTTAATTTTCCTGAGTGCATATATGTATGGAGTACCTGAGATATTTATGTACAGGCATGCAATATGTAATGATCATATCATGGAAAATTAGGTATCCATCACCTCACAATTTATCCTTCTTGCTACAGACAATCCAATTATGCTCTTTTAGCTATTTAAAAATATACAGTTAAATTATTATTCAGTATAGCCTCCCTCGTGCTATCAAGATTAGGTCTTATTCGGTCTTTCTTTTTTTTTTGTACACATATTAGGTCTTATTATTAATTAGGTCTTATTCGGTATTATTCGGTCTTTCTTTTTTTTTATTAGGTCTTATTAGATCTTATTCGGTCTTTTTTTTTTTTTTTTTTGTACACATTAACAATCTCAACCTTCCCCTCAACCCTCCACCTTCCCAGTCCCTGATAACAATCCTTCTAATCTCTATGTCCATGAGTTTAATTGTTTTGATGTTTAGATCCCAAAAATAAGTGAAAACATGTGATGTTTGTCTTTCTGTATCCGATTTATTTCACTTAACATAATGACCTTCAGTTCCATCCATGTCGTTGCAAATGACAGAATCTCATTTTTTTTTTTGTTATGGCTTAATGGTACTTCATTGTGTATATATACCACATTTTCTTTATTCATCTGTTGACAGACATTTTGTTTGCTTCCAAATCCTGGCTATTGTGAACAGTGCTGCAAAAAACATGGGAGTGCAGATATTTCTTCATTATACTGTCTTCCTGTCCTTCAGGTATATAACCAACAGTGGGATTGCTGGATCATATGGTAGCTCAATTTTCAGATTTTGAGGAACCTTCAAACTTCTCCATAGTGGTTGTATGAATTTACATTCCCATCAAGAGTGTACGACGGTCCTCTTTTCTCCACATTCTTGCCTACATTTGCTACTGCCTGTTTTTGGATGTAAGTCATTTGTACTAGGGTGAGATGATATCTCATTGTAGTTTTGTTTTACATTTCTCTAATGATTAATGATGATCACCTTTTCATATACCTGTTTGCTATTTGTATACCTTCTTTTGAGAAATAGCTATTCAAATATTTTGACCATTTTTTGATCAAATTATTACATTTTTTCCCTACAGAGTTGTTTGAGCTCTTTACATATTCTGATTGTTTATCCCTTGTCAGATGGGTTGTTTGCAAATATTTTCTCCCACAATATAATATTTGTCTCTTGACTTTGTTGATAGTTTCCATTGCTGTGCAGAAGCTTTTAACTTGATGTGATCCTGTTTGTCCATTTTTGTATGGTTGCCTGTGCTTGTGGGGTATTGCTCAAGAAATTTTTTCCCAGAAGAATGCCCTAGAGAGTTTCTCCAATGTTTTCATGTAGCAGTTTCATAGACTAAAGTTTTAATTTTAAGTATTTAATCCATTTGAATTTGATTTTTGTATAAGGTGAGAGTTATGGACCAAGTTTCATTCTTTGGCAGAAGGATATCCAGTTTAACCAGCACCATTTATTGAAGAGGCTCTCTTTTACCCAGTCTATGTTCTTGGTAGCTTTTTTGAAAATGAGTTCGCTGTAGCTCTGTGAATGTATTTCTGGGTTCTCTATTCTGTTCCGTCAGTCTATGTGTCTGTTCTTTTGCCAGTACCATGCTGCTTTGGTTATTTTAACTCTATAATGTAATTTGAAGTCAAGTAGTGTGATTCTTTCAGCTCTGCTCTTTTTGCTCAGGATAGCTTGGGATATTCTGGGTCTTTTGTGATTCCGTATATATTTTAGGATTGTTTTTTCTATTTCAGTGAAGAGTGACACTGGAGGCCAGGCATGATGGCTCACACCTGTAATCCCAGTACTTTGGGAGGACGAGGCAGGCAGATCACAAGGTCAAGAGGACAAGGCCATCCTGGACAACATGGTGAAACCCCGTCTCTACTAAAAATACAAAAATTAGCTGGGCATGGCACCTGTACTCCTAGATACTTGGGAGGCTGAGGCAGGAGAACTGCTTGAACATGAGAGGCGGAGGTTGCAGTGAGCCGAGATCATGCCACTGCACTCCAACCTGGCGACAGAGTGAGACTCCATCTCAAAAAAAAAAAAAAAAAAAAAGTATTGGAATTTAGATAGGGATTGTATCAAATCTCTAGATTGCTTTTGGTAGTATGGCCATTTTAGCAATATTAACTCTTTCAATTTGTGAACACACAATATCTTTCCATTTTTTGTGCGTTCTCCTTAATTTTTTTGTCAGTGCTTTATCATTTTCATTGTAGAGAATTTTGTGTCTTTTGGTTTAATTTCTTTGCAACTCAGTTTAGTTTTGTCTATTGTAAATTGATTTACATTTTAAATTTCTTTTTCAGATCATTCACTTTTGGCATATAGAAATGTTACTCATTATTGTATGTAGATTTGATATCCTGTACCTTTACTGAATTTATTAGCTCTTGGAGTTTTTTTATGTGGAGTCTTTGGGTTTTTCCAAATACAAGATCGTATCATCTGCAAACAAGGGTATTTTGACTTCTTCCTTTCCAATTTAGATGCCTTCTATTTCTTTCTCTGGTCTGATTGCTCCAGGTAGGACTTACAGAACTATGTTAAATAACAGTGGTGAAAGAGGACATCCTTGTCGTGTTCCAAATCTAAGAGGAAATGCTGTTAGTTTTCCCCCATTCAGTGCAATATTAACTGTGTCTATCATATATGGCTTTTATTGCATTGAGGTATGTTCCCACTACAGCCTGTTTTTTAGGGTTTTTACCATGAAGGGATGTTGAAATTTATCAAATGGCTTTTTAGCATCAATTGAAATAATCATATGGCTTTTTACCTTCATTCTGTTGGTATGATGTATCAAATTGATTTGTTTATGTCCAACTATCCTTGCATCCCAGGGATAAATTCCACTTCGTCATGATAAATGGTATTTTTAATGCATTATATATATATATATATATATATTTTATTATACTTTTTAAGTTATAGGGTACATGTGCACAACGTGCAGGTTTGTTGCATATGTATACATGTGCCCTGCTGGTGTGCTGCACCCATTAACTCGTCATTTACATTGGGTATATCTCCTAATGCTATCCCTCCCCTCTCCCCCCACCCCACAACAGGCCCCAGAGTGTGATGTTCCCCTTCCTGTGTCCAAGTGTTCTCATTGTTCAATTCCCACCTATGAGTGAGAACATGCGGTGTTTGGTTTTCTGTCCTTGCAATAGTTTGCTGAGAATGATGGTTTCCAGCTTCATCCATGTCCCTACAAAGGACATGAACTCATCATTTTTTATGGCTGCATGGTATTCCATGGTGTATATGTGTCACATTTTCTTAATCCAGTCTATCATTGATGGACATTTGGGTTGGTTCCAAGTCTTTGCTATTGTGAATAGTGCTGCAATAAGCATACGTGTGCATGTGTCTTTACAGCAGCATGATTTATAATCCTTTGGGTATATACCCAGTAATGGGATGGCTGGGTAAAATGGTATTTCTAGTTCTAGATCCCTGAGGAATCACCACACTGTCTTCCACAATGGTTGAACTAGTTTACAGTCCCACCAACAGTGTAAAAATGTTCCTGTTTCTCCACATCTTTTCCAGCACCTGTTGTTTCCTGACTTTTTAAGTGGTCTTTTGAATGCATTTTTGAATTTGATTTTACAGTATTTTGTTGAGAACTTTTTCAGTAAAATTTATCAGTAATATTGGCCTACAGGTTTTTTCTTTTCCTTTTTTTTTTTTATTTTTATTTTTTTGATGTGTCTCTGTCAGGTTTTAGTTCAGGGTAATGCTGGCCTCATAGAGTGAGTTTGGAAGCACTCCCTCCTCTTTAATTTTTTGGACCGTTTGAGTGGGCTTGGTATTAGTTCTTCCTTAAATGTTTTTTAGAATTCTACAGTAAGGCCTTCAGGTTGCAGGCTTTCCTTTACAGGAAGAGTTTTTATTATGGCTTTGATCTTGTTACTTGTTATTGGTTAGTTCAGATTTAAGATTTCTACGTGTTTCAATTTGGTAGGTTGTGTCTGTCTGGTTATTTATCTGTTTCTTTGAGATTTTCCAATTTATTGCCATATAGTTGTGCAGGGACCAGCCCCACAGGGTCGGTGCGTCTCTCCCCGTGTGCGGCATCGAGAGAGTGTAGAAATAAAGACACAAGATAAAGAGATAAAAGAAAAGGCAGCTGGGCCCGGGGGACCACTACCACCAATGCGCGGAGACCGGTAGTAGCCACGAATGTCTGGCTGCGCTGTTATTTATTGGACACAAAGCAAAAGGGGCAGGGTAAAGAGTGTGAGTCATCTCCAATGATAGGTAAGGTCACGTGGGTAATGTGTCCACTGGACAGGGGGCCCTTCCCTGCCTGGCAGCTGAGGCAGAAGGGGAGAGGAGACAGAGAGAAAGACAGCTTATGCCATTATTTCTGCATATCAGAGACTATTAGTACTTTCACTAATTTACTACTGCTATCTAGAAGGCAGAGCCAGGTGTACAGGATGGAGCATGAAGGCAGACTAGGAGTGTAACCACTGAAGCACAGCATCACAGGGAGACGGTTACGCCTCCGGATAACTGCGGGCAAGCCTGACTGATGTCAGGCCCTCCACAAGAGGTGGAGGAGCAGAGTCTTCTCTAAACTCCCCTGGGGAAAAGGAGACTCCCTTTCCAGGTCTGCTAAGTAGCGGGTGTTGTTCCTTGACACTTTTCTCCACCGCTAGACCACAGTCCGCCTGGCAATGGGCGTCTTCCCAGACGCTGGCGTCACTGCTAGAACAAGGAGTCCTCTCGTGGCCCTGTCTGGGCATAAGAGAAGGCTTGCGCTCTTGTCTTCTGGTCACTTCTCACTATGTCCCCTCAGCTCCTATCTCTGTATGGCCTGGTTTTTCCTAGGTTATGATTATAGAGCGGGCATTATTATAATATTGGGATAAAGAGTAATTACTACCAACTAATGATTAATGATATTCATATATAATCATATCTAAGATCTATATCTGGTATAACTATTCTTGTTTTATATTTTATTATACTGGAACAGCTTGTGTCCTCTGTCTCTTGCCTCGGCGCCTGGGTGGCTTGCCGCCCACATAGTTGCTCATAGTAGCCACTAATGATCCTCTAAATTTCTGTGCTATCAGTTATTATGTTTCCTTTCTCATACCTGATTTTATTTATTTGGGTCTTTTTTTTTTCTTAGCCTGGCTAAAGGTCTGTCAATTTTTTTATTATTTCAAGAAACAACTTTTTAATTGATCTTTTGTACCATTTTCTTCATTTCAATTTTATTTATTTATGCTCTTATATTTATTATTTATTTTCTTCTTCCAATTTTGGCTTTGGTTTGCTCTTGCTTTCCTAGTTTTTTTTTTTTCAAATTCATAGATAAGTGATTTATCTAAAGTTTTTTCATTTTTTAAAAATGTAGGCACTTTAATAGCTATACATTTTCCTCTTAGTCCTGCTTTTGCTGTTTTATAGGTTTTAGTATAGTGTGTTTCCATTATAACTTCTTTCAAACAATTTGCAAATTTCTTCTTGATTTTTTCATTGGCTCACTGGTCATTAAGAAACAGATTGTTTAATTTCCATGTGCTTCTATAGTTTCTAAAATTCCTCTTGGTTTTGATTTCTAGTTTTACATCATTGTGGTCAGAGTAGTTGCTTGATAATATTTCAATTTTTTGAATGTTTGTGACCTAACATATGGTCTCTCCTTGAGAATGACCCATGTGCTTAGGAGGAAAATGTGTATTCTACAGCTATTGGATGAAATAATCAGTAAATTTCTATTTGGTCCATTTGTTCTACAGTGCAGATTAAGTCAAAAGTTACTTTGTGTATTTTCTGTTGGAGAGATCTCTCCATTGCTGAAAATAGAATGTTGAAGTGTCCCACTATCATTGTACTGGGGTCTATCTTGCTCTTTAGCTCTAATATTTGCTTTACATATCTGGTTGCCCTAGTGTTGGGTGCATATATAGTCACAATCATTAATCGCCTTGCTGAATTGACCCCTTTAGCAGTATATAATGACCTTCTTTGTCTGTTCTTTTTCAAGATCTGGTAGGTATGCTTTACTGTTTTTTATTCTTATTTCTTTTGTCTTTTCTGACTTTGTATTTTCAAATAGCCTGTCTTCAAGCTGACTAATTCTTTTCTCTGCTTGATCAATTTGGCTATTAAGAGACTCTGATACAGTCTCCGGCCTACTAATTGTATTTTCCAACTCTAATTTTTGCTTAATTCTTTTTAATTACTTCAATCTCTTTGTTAAATTTACATGACAGAAGTCTGAATTTCTTTTCCTTGTTACCTCAAATTTCATTGAGTTTCCTCAAAACAGCTATTTTGAATACTCTGTCTGAAATGTCACATATCTCTGTTTCTCTAGTTTTGTTCCCTGGTTTCTTATTTAGTTCATTTGGTGAGTTCATGTTTTCCTGGATGGTGTTGAACTTGTTAATGTTATTTGGCATCTGGCATTGAAGAGTTAGGTAGTTATTGTAGTCTTCAAAGACTGGTCTTGTTTGTGCTTGTCCTTCTTGGGAAGGTTTTCCAGGTATTCAAAGGGACTTGGGTCCCAATCACAATAACAATGTGGTGTTTGTAGACTTGTGGAGGTACTGCCCACATAGTCTTTGATAAGATTCATTAAAGTTCTCTTATCAGGCAAAGATTCTTGTTCTTTTCTCTTACTTTCTCCCAAACAGAGTCAGTCTCTCTTTCTCTCTGTTTATCCACCTGGAACTGCGGTTAAGATGATGTAAGCACAACCGTGGCCACTATCACTAGGACTGCACTGGGTTCGACCTAAAACCAGCACAGCACTGGGCCTTTCTCCGTGTCCTTCCCTTCAGGGCTGTGAGTTCCTCCAGGACCCAAGCATGTCCAGAAATGCTGTCTAGGAACCAGAGATTGGAATTAAAAACCTTAGCAATTTCTTTGATGCTCTATTCCTCTTCAGCTGAGCTTGCACTCAAACCACAACACAAAGTTCTTCTGTTCTTTTCTCTCCTTTCCACAGGCAGAGGAGCCTCTCTCTGTGGTCATTATGAGCACCAGTCCATGGGGAGTTGTGCTTGGCACCCTGTAATGTTCACTTAAAGGCCAAGGTCTCTTCCATCAGCGTATGGTAAATGGTGCCAAGCCTGGGACTCATCCTTCAAGGACGTAGGTTTCCCTCTGGCCCATAGAAAGTCCAGAAATGCTGTCTAAGAGCTTAGGCCTTGACTCAAGGACCCCAAGTGCCTGCAAGTTTTTCTATCCCACTATGGCCAAACTGGTACCTAGGGTGCAAGGTAAAGTGCCCTTTACTTTTCCCTCTGCTTTTCTCAAACAGGAGGCTTTCACCATAGCCAGCACAACTGAGAATGTGCTTGGTTTCCCTTGTAGCCAGCACGTCTCATAGCCCAAGGCCCCTGGTGTACTTCCTGGGTATTCAGGGCCCAGGGGGTCCTTAGTCAGCAGGTGAAGAATCCTGCCAGAACTGGGTTCTTACCTTAAGGAAGCAAGTTCCATTTTGCCCCAGGGTGTATCTAGAAATGCCATCTGGGAGCTAGGCCTTGGAAAATTAGGTCTCACAACTATGCCCTGTTTCTTATTCTACTGTGGCTCATCTGGTATCCAAGATGCAAGACAAAGCCCTCTTTACTCTTTGCTTTTCTCTCCTTAAGGAGAACAAGGCACTTTCATTGTTATGA
This sequence comes from Homo sapiens, assembly GCF_000001405.40. Classification (NCBI taxonomy): domain Eukaryota; kingdom Metazoa; phylum Chordata; class Mammalia; order Primates; family Hominidae; genus Homo; species Homo sapiens. The sequence goes on from NC_000023.11 coordinate 122,378,701, forward strand.
GCTACATTGTCAGGGGTTGGGGGAGGACTGGTGCAAGCCATTTCTTAGCAGTGCCAGCTGGTGTTGCCCTAGGTCATGTGCCACCCTAGTTCACTGCCTCTAAGCCCAGCTTAGAACTACAAGTTGCCTATAAATGCAGATTTTGTGTCCTAGACTGCATTTCCAGTTTACCTAGGACTGAGAGAACTGCATCCTGCCATGGCGAGGCTTGCTGAAAAACTCAAGTTCCAACCACTGTGATGAGCAATTTCCCTCTGGCTAGGACTGGACCAAATACTGTCTCCATGCATGGGTGCTGGTTGGGCCCAACATGATTTTATTCTCCATTGTGACAGGGCAGCACTGAGTTCAACGTGAAATCCTTCAGTCACTGTGCTCTCCCTCCCCTACATATGTAGATTATCTCTCTATGCTTCATTGCCACTGCTGGGGTGCAAGAGAGGGGTGGATTCAGTGATCTGAGACTGTCTCTCCTGCTCTCCTCAATGCTTCTATTAGTGATATGAAATTAATACCAGGTACTATAATTGCTCACCGGAATTTTGGTTCTTATTTAGTTGTTGTTTTTTTCTGTGCAGATAGTTGTTAAAATTTGGTGTTCCGTCAAGGGACATGAACTATGTAGGCTTTTATTGCACCATCCTGCTCCACCCCTATTATATTTTATTTTAATCTATTCAGGAGGGATATGTGCATGTTTGTTACACGGATATATTGTGTAATGGTGAGGTTTGGGCTTCTAGTGTACCCACTATCTGAAGAGTAAACATCATACCCAAAAGGTAATTTTCCAACCCTCACTTCATTTAAAGAGTTTGCATTGTCTATTATTTCTATCTTTATGTCCATGTGAACCCATTGTTTAGCTCTCACTTATAAGTGAGAATCCCACAAGTGGTATTTGATTTTGTACTTCTAAGTTATTTCACTTTGGATAATGGCCTACAGCTCCATCCATGCTGCTGTAAAAGACATGTCATTATTTTTTTATGGCTGCATAGCACTCTATGGTATATAGATACCACATTTTCTTTATCCAGTCATCCACCGATGGACACATAAGTTGATTTCATGACTCTGCTACTGTAAATAGTTTTACAATAAACATACAAGTGCAGGTCTTTTTGATAAAATTATTTATTTTCTTGTGGGTAAATACCCAGTAGTGGGATTGCAGGTTTGAATGGTATTTCTATTTCTCATTCTCTGAGAAATCTCCATACTATTTTCCATTGAGGTTGTACTAATTTACATTTCCACCAGCAGTGTATAGGCATTCCCTCTTCCCTGCATTCTCACCAAGATCTGTTAATTTATGACATTTTAATAATAGCCATCTGACTGATGTGAGATGGTGTCTTCTTGTGGTCTTAATTTGCATCTCTCCGATGATCAGTGATGTTGATTAATATCTACAATATAAAGCAATGTGCTAAGGATATAAATAGACAAATCATAGAAAAAAAACCAAAATGGTTAACAAACATAAAACCTGATGTCAACTCTGTCATCAGAAAATTTTACATTAAAACAGCAATGCACATTGCTTTAGAGTACACCAATAAGAATATACACATGAGAAGGTATGAGGAAACTAAATGTTAGCAAAGATTAAAAAAACACCTGAAATCTAATACCTGACGCATGAGATACAGACTGGTACAGACATTCTGTTGAATAAATCAGAATCAGTAAACAAAATTATACACAAAGTCTATGCCCAATCTTACTCCTGGACTAATACCCAAAAGTAATATGTGTACAAATTCACAAAAGGTCACATACAAAGATATACATCACAGCATACCTTGTGGAAACAGCGTTAGTTGTAACTCTGAGGTCCATTATTTGGAAAAATAAGTAAAATATAGTAGTCATATACTATTGAATACTATGCTTCAATCTGAAGTAATGAACTTAAGGTCAAATAGCAACCTAATTAGATCTTTAAAATATGCTATTGGTTGAAGAAAATTAATCAATGATACCTATCAAAAATAACATTTACATGTGTTTCAATGTAAAGCATACCAATATAAACTGTTTACAGATACAAATGACATAAAATGATTTCCTATGGGGAGAAAGAGAAAAATGGAAATGGAGTCGATGATCAGATGAAAGAAAAAAGAAGATAAAAGTGAAATAAAACCAAAGAGGAATCCAGCAATGATAATATGCTATGGGCTGAAATGTACAATTGACTTGTCCCTGTGCATTTGATGTCCAAAATCCCGAAGCAAAAACAAACATATAAACAGATGAAGGGGAAGATATGAGAAATGTGGAATTTTATAAAGAAGCAAGTGACAGAATTTGACTCTTCTATGTGCCTAAAAATTCAGGTTGCCAAGGATGACACCCAAGATTTAAGCCCAGGTTGCATAAGAGATGATTGACTCGTGGATTGAAAAGTAATTGGAGTCTGTTACAATGCTTGCATTGGATAACAGAAATTCACTGAAGGTGGTTTCCTATACTATAATTGAGGAAAATATTCATTTTTCATTACACTCATCACTGAAAATGGCATGAATGTACCCAATGAAATTTTCTCAAAGCAAGAAACTATTAATTTTTACCTCTTAAGTTCCTAGCATGGTGCCTAGCACACATGAGGCACTCAAGAACTGTTCATTGAACTGAACATAAGTTTCAAAGTCATTTGTTGCGCTTATTTTCTCTGTTAATATGACATTAAAATAGCTGAAAAAAACATGTTTATAGAACAATGCCAACAGTTTGCCTATATCCACACAACAGTAAGGTATCTGGTTGTAAAGACAGGAAATGCAATAAAAACTACCACATAGGCTGAATTTTTGTTGTTTCTTGTTCAGTGTGATTTGTATAAACTAAATGATAGCTGTGAACAGAAACCAGATTTTCTGAATATTGTTTCCCACTTAGAATGTGCCAGATCAGTGTATACTTGAATATTGATTCCAATATTACAAAGTCAGAAAATTCATTTTCAAAATATTTGCCTATTTGCTTTCCTGAAATATGGGAGTTATTGATAGTAAATGAGAAAAAGTGACCAAAGATAGCAATGAATTCTTGTTGAACTAGTGGAGGAACTTTTACTCAGTTCAGTGCTTTGTAATTTATGGGCACCAGGTTTCAAGTGCCCTGAACTAAAAATAAGCCACCATAAAAGGGATGCAGGTTTTCTATTCTACTTGTATTACTGCTGTATTAAACCTATGACCTACAGGAAACACCACCATCATTACTGTCTGTTAATGATCATAGAACTCTGATTATGCAACACAACAGAATTTAAAATTTTTGACAACTAATGCTATTAAAGTGATATCAGTCATTTGTTTAAAGCTTTATTGTTTTGTGATAAGCATTTATATCTAATAATCTTACGACAACCTTATTACAAAAAAAGTCATTATTATGCCCACTAGCCAATTGCGTAAACTAAGTGACAGGAAAGTGAAATGGCTATCTCAAAGTCACGCAACTAATTAGTGACAGCGCTTGGGCTGGAACTCAGATCTTCTGGTACAATTCTCTACCTATAAAACTTTCTATAACCATGTTTTCTCCCTAAATATTGAGTATGAAAGGAAATAAAAACAGAATTGCTACCATATGTTTGCATCAGTTTCTGACTTTTTTAGGCCTTATTACTATTTTACAAGTGGAGAAACTGAAGTACAGAAAAAATTAAGGAATTTTCCAATGCACTCAGTTAATAAGGTCAAAAATTTAGATTAAAATACAGTCAGTCTGGTTTCATATATTGTCAGGAATGAAAGCACATTATACAGCTATTGTAATTAAAACCTTTTTCTATTGGTACAGGAATTGCCAAATTATCAGTAAAACAAAGAAAAGGGGGTCAGAAAGAGATATGTGCTTGTCAGAATACATGGAGGTGGAGTGTGTGATGAAGGTGGCTTTTAAATTGTAAGAATTGTACTGGGACAAATGGCTATATATTTGGGAAAAAATATGTTTCCCAGAATACAGCATTCAAAACACTAAATTCCAGATAAAGACTCTAATATGTAAAATCCATACAATAAATTAATATATATTTACAATCTTTTATGTTCTTTAATTAGAAAAATATTCTTAACATGAAAAATTAAGAGCCAAAAAGTAGAAGATGAATTTAATTACATCAAATTTACGCAGTTTTAATTTTTACCAAAAAAAAAGCCATAAGGATACTTTAAAAACAATTGATAGAGCTGAATATTTTGGACAAGTAAAATAAAAATTCATCCCAAAAAATGATTAGAAACTTCTACAAATTAATGAGGCATGCAAATAACACAAAACAAATGGTTAACAAAAATAAAAGACTGCTTATCTTTATTAAATGTGGAAAATGAACTTTTGAACCAAGAGATGCCGTTTTTAATCCATCCAGTTAACAACAAAAACTAAATAGTTTGGTATGTCAAACTTCATAAGCTGATGCAAACATACATCAGCAAATTATATAGTTTGGTATGCCAAACATCAGAAGCTCATGCAAACATACAGGAACAATTCCGTTTTTACTTTTCCTTCGTTTGCCAACTATAAGATGTTGACAAAGATAGCAGAAACAGAGTATAACAACTGACCCACTAGCAAAATCTGTATACAATACATCTATAAGATTGCCCAAATTTGCCCAGTTTCCTTCATCTCCATTGCAACTACCTCAGGATAAACTATCAACCTATCTTACCTGGGCCTGGGCTACATAATAGCCTAAAGTCCTGTATCCCTGTTTCTTCTCTGATCTCCTAATAAGTTATTCTATACTCAGGGTCCAAAGTCCACAATTTTAAATATACATCATTATTACTCTTCTTGTTTAAAAATCTTTGAATGACTTTCTGTTGCACTAAAAAGAAATCAAACTTTTTATCATGGGTTTTAAGGCTCTGTGAGATCTCTAACATGTCAACTTTTTCAGCCTCATCATATAGTACCTTATCCTTGTAGACTATACTTCAAATACACAGGACTTTCATTGTAGAAAAAGCCAAGCTTGTCTATATCTCTTCATCTTTGCATTTTCTGTTTCCTTTGCCTGGAATAATATTTCTTTTCTTTCTTTCTTGTTTTTGGTCTTGGGTCCAAATATCATTTTTAAAACTAGATCTTATCTGTATACCTTATATAATGTTAATTCCCACCACTTACATTTGTGCTATATCATAGCACACATTGCTACTTCATGTAATACTAATTGTTGCTTTTATTTGCTTACTGCTTATCTTTCTCTTAAGAATATAAGTTTTATCATAAACAAAACATTTCAGTCTCCTCAGCATACCTACTGCCTAGAATAGTTCCCGAAATATATAAAAACATTTTCAAATAAATAAACTGTCAATGGAAACATAGGTTGATACAATCATTTTAAAGAGAAATTTGACAATAAATATACACATATTCTATGACCTAGGAATTGTACTTTTAAGTATCTACCCAAGACAAACACACATGAAATATAGGTACAAGGGTGCTAATTTGACCATGTTTTGTAATAGTTAAATAATTAGAAAAAAATCAATGTTCATCAATTTAAAAATGGGTAAACATGCTATGACATATGTCCAATAAAGCTGTCTGAGCTCTAGACATTTCATTCACATTCTAGCCAATGGAAAGCAGAAGGAGCTGAGAAAGGCTCTGCGTCCTCCCTTAAAGATCACCTCTTGAAAGTAGCATGCAACAATTGTATTGTATCACATTGGCCAGAAAGTAATCATATGACAATATCTGACAGCAAAGGTGGCTGAGATGCGTAGTCTTTATTCACATAGCCATATGCCAAATTAACAACCAAAGTTTATCTCACTAGTTTCTGTATAACAGAAATTTTAATAATAGAAAATTGAAATTTGAAATATACTATTTATGATAATATTTAAACATATGAACCACGGTACTGGTATAAAAACAGACACACAGACCAATAGAAAAAAACAGAGAATGCAGAAATAAATCTACATATTTACAACTAACTGAACTTTGACAAAGTTGCCAAGAACATACAATGGGGAAAGGAAGCCCTCTTCAATAAATGGTGCTGGTTAAACTGGATGTGCACATGCAGAAGAAAAAAAACATAGACCCTTATCTCTCACCATATACAAAAATCAACTCAAAGTGGATTAAAGACTGGATATAAGACTAAAAACTATAAAACTACTCAGAGAAAATGAAGGAGAAACACTCTAGGACATTGGTCTGGACAAAGAACTTATGGCTAAGATCTTAAAAGCATAGCAACAAAACCAAAAATAGACAAATGGGACTATACTAAACTAAAAAGCTTCTGCACAGAAAAGGAAAAAATAAAAAGGGAAGAGACAATCTATTGAATGGGAAAAATAGTTGTAAACCATTTATATGAAAAGGGACTGATTTCTAGAATACAACTCAACAGAAAAAAAATCCTTTAGGAAGTAAGCAAAAGACCTAAATTAGACATTCTCAAAAGAAGACATACAAATAGCTAAGAGGTATGTGAAAAAATGTTCAAAATCACTAATCATCAGGGAAAGCAAATAAAAACCACACTGAGACATTACCTCACTCCAGTTAAAAATAGTTATCAAAAAGACCAAAAAAAAAAAAAAATCACAGGTGCTGGCAAGGATGCACAGAAAAGACAGCTCTTATACACTGTTGATAAGAATGTGAATTAGTACAGCCATTATGGAAAACAGCATGGAAATTTCTCCAAAAACTAAAAATAAAACTACCATATGACCCAGCAATCTCATCACTATTTATCCAAAGGAAAGGAAATCAGTATATCAAAAAGATGTCTCCACTCCCATATTTATTACAGCACTCTTCACAATAGTCAGGACATAGAATCAACCTAAGCGTCCATCAATGAATGAATAAAAAAATGTGATATTATACACACACACACACACACACACACACACACACACACACACACACCCCCATACAATGGAATGAAATCCTGTCATTTATAGCAACATGGATGGAACTGGAGGTCATTATGTTGAGTGAAATAAACCATGCACAGAAGAACAAATATCACATTTACACTCATATTCGGGAGCTAAAAACTGTTCATCTTATAGAGGTAAAAAGTAGAATAATAGTTACCAGAGGCTGGAAAGGCTGTATAAGGGGTAATAAAGAAATGGTGTAATGAGTGCAAACACACAGTTAACTAGAAGAAATAAGTTCTAATGCTTGATAGAAGAATAGGGTGATAATAGTTAAGAACAATGTATTGTATATTTCAAAACTGCTAAAAGAGAGTATTTGAAATGCTCCCAGTACATAGAAATGATAAATGCTAGTGGTGATGGATATCTTAAATACCTGACTTGATCATTACCCATTCTGTGCACATAACAAAATACCATATGCACTTCACAAATATGTTCATATATTATGACTCAAATAAAAATTGAGAGCAGTGTTGAAAGCAAATAAAGATTTTACTGAATAAACATTCATGATAAAGGACGGCTTTATAGGTTTGTAAACTGAGGAGTCACATGATGTAATGATCTTAGAAGGGCTTCATGTATAGTTAATGCTCTGATGTCACCATATAGAAATTGTTACCTTTTTAACAGGGACCCCACACATTTTCATGTTGTACTAGGGCCACAAATTATGTAGCTAGTCCTGTCTATGACACAAATTTTTCCCTTGCAGTTTAGCCACTATAGATATGATTCAGGGCTTGAATTTTCTTTAATTGTCAACTTCACTCACATTATAGAAATAACCTTAGTATAAAAGTAATGTGAGTCAAAGACAGAATATATAGAATTTTGAAATAAAGGGACCCAAAAGGAAACTATGAAGTTAATAAATAAAATAATAGGAACCCTGAGGGAATCTTTTAAGGGAACAAACAGCAAATGCACAATGCGAGTACAGTGCAAACAAATACATGACAGTGCTTAATGGACTTTCACCAAAACATCTTTCCTAAGAATAAAGCTGAAATTGCCTGTCTTAAAGGAAGACAATTTCTCAAACGTAGAAACAGAGTTCTTCCCAGCTAGGAAATGAGTTTCAAAGTTTTCAGGAGAGAGAAACAAAGTTTTCAGCATTTGTTTGTGTCAGATTGTTTACCCTGCTCTTTTACTTGCTTCTTCTTCACTGTGATGGTATTGTCATCAGGCTCTCCCTCCCATGCTGCATCTTAATTGAGATGAGATGGCAGAAAAGAGTTCATCCTTTGTAACTATAGTCTTCAACTAATTGATTTTTTTATTGTCCGTAATTAGGTAGACTTATTTCTCCCTTTTTACCTTCCCTCGCCAAATTTCTAGTTTTTTCTTCTGTCAGAATGAATGTATCATTGTGAAGGAGTCTTGGGATTTAATCCAATGTGACCTCAGAATCATGGAAAGAACTTTACTTCTGAGCTAAAAGTTTAGTAATTTTTAGAAATTTCATAAATTATTGTCTGAAAATAGTCACTAGTTATATATCTTTCTTTACAAATTGCAAAATGAAATTTTCTGAGGACATCTATGCTTATGTAAGCAATGTATATAATAACTAAAATATTAATAATTGTATTAAAGCATACGATGAGCTAAGTGTTCCTATAGACCCTATAGTAAGTACTGTTATTATGCTTTTTACATAAAGTGATTCTGATTCATATGAACAAATGAAAGAACATGCTTCAAGCCATATAGATATTAAGTTCCAAAACTCGGAAGTCGCAAACCCATGTATGCCTTTCTCATTAAATACAGGCAGGAGCCGTGGTCTTTCACCTTCAAATATTCATAGTGCCCAGTACTGTATCCTTCAAATAATAGGCACTCATAAAGAATATGGTGAATTAGGACCGTATTGTGCAAAACTTCTAGAGACACAACTCACATTGATGGCAAGAGAAATTCAACACAAAAACTCTAGGTTAAATTGAATTTTAGAACTAAGTGTCATCAATGAGGAACACCTGACAGCTATGAACATAAACCCAGATTGGACTGATAAATAATTGAGAAGTGAAATTCTATTGTGCCAAATCACACAAATCCTGAGATTTATTTGACACAGCACTTAGTTTTATGTTAACTTCCACAGAATAACATATTTATTTTGTATTCATCTTGAGAGTAAAATCTATGAGTTTCAGTAAAACTTTACTCAGAAAACCTACAGCTACTATTTGTTAGAAAACAAGAAACACTGAAAATAGATGAGGAAATGACTAAAGCATTCATTAACAAAAGATAGAAAACAGAACAAAAAATAAACCATTATAAATTGGAAGGAAATAATAAATATGGAAACAGATGAAACAGAAAATAAATGCGTATTATTCATCATCAATGATATCATAGCGATTATAAAATAGTTTTACTTTTAAAACTGTAGTAAAATATACATGACATAATATTCACCATTATAACCATTTTAAGTATACAGTTTTGTGGCATGAAGTGCATTTGCATTGTGATTAATGCTCAATAAACTTGGGTGTATTTACGTGTCCAGAATTGGTGGGTTCTTGGTCTCCCTGACTTCAAGAATGAAGCCGTGGACCCTCGCGGTGAGTGTTACAGTTCTTAAAGATGGTGTGTCCAGAGTTTGTTCCTTCTGATGTTCGGACATGTCTGCAGTTTCTTCCTTCTGGTGGGTTCGTGGTCTCGCTGGCTTCAGGAGTGAAGCTGTAGACCTTCCTGGTGAGTGTTACAGCTCTTAAAGGCAGTGTGTCCAGAGTTGTTTGTTCCTCCTGGTGAATTTGTGGTCTCGCTGACTTCAGGAGTGAAGCTGCAGACCTTCGCAGTGAGTGTTACAGCTCATAAACGCAGTGAGGACCCAGAGTGAGCAGCAGCAAGATTTATTGCAAAAAGCGAAAGAACAAAGCTTCCACCGCATGGAAGGGGGCCCAAGCCAGTTGCCACTGCTGGCTCGGGTGGCCTGCTTTTATTCCCTTATCTGGCCCCACCCACATCCTGCTGATTGGTCCATTTTTCAGAGAGCTGATTGGTCTGTTTTACACAGAGCTGCTTGGTCCCTTTTGACAAAGTGCTGACTGGTGCGTTTACAATCCTTTAGCTAGACACAAAAGTTATCCAAGTCCCCACCCGATTAGCTAGACACAGAGCACTGATTGGTGTGTTTACAAACGTTTAGCTAGACACAGAGTGCTGATGGGTGCATTTACAATCCTTTAGCTAGGCAGAAAAGTTCTCCAAGTCCCCACCTGTCCCAGAAGCCCAGCCAGCTTCACCTCTCACTGGCACTCCCCACAGGACTTTGCCGCACCCAGCCCAGGCACTCCAGCAGCCCAGAGGGAGCTCGTCCCAGACAATCAAGAGGAAATGAGGGGAAGCCAGAAAGAGAAAGAGAGGGAGGAGACCTGCTATCGTGGCCAAGGATCCCACGAAGAGGGAACGGTGGTCCACGCATGGGATTCAGCCTCCGATCAAGCCCAGCAGGCGCCAGCCAGCCACGTCAAGTGCGGAGCTTGCCGAGCCCACACTCACCTGGAACCCGTGCCAGCCCACGAGCGCTGCACGCAGCCCCGGTTCCTGTCCACACCTCTCTCTTCACACTTCCCCAAGAGCAGAGGGAGCCAGCTCTGGCCTCGGCCAGCCCCAGAGAGGGGCCCTCATAGCACAGCCGGGCTGAAGGGCTCCTCCAGCATGGCCAGAGTGGACGCAGAGGCCAAGGAGGTGCTGAGAGGGAGCGAGGGCTGCTAGCACGTTGTCACCTCTCATTTATATCTCTTTGACATACTGAATTTAATTCCAGAAGATATCTATCAAGAAGATTGTTAGATTATATGAAAATTTTAATTTTAGTTTTCTGAAGAAACTCTATGCTGTTTCCATAATGGCTGTATTAATTTACATACCCAGTAACAGTGTAGATATGTTCCCTTTTCTCCACAACCTTGCCAACACTTATCTTTCATCCTTTTTATAAAAGTCATTTCATCCAGCATGAGGTTATATTTCACTGTGGTTCTAATTTTCATTTGCCTGATGATCAGTGATGTTGAGTATTTTTTTATATACCTGTTGGCCATTTGTATTTGTTCTTTTGAGAAATGTCTATTCAGGTCCTTTGCTCAATTTTTAATTGGGATATTTGTTTACTTGCTATTGAGTTGTTTGAGTTTCTCATATATTTTGAATAACAGCCCATCATCAAATGTTTGATTTGCAACTAATTTCTCACAATACGAGTGTTTTCTCTTCTCTTTGTTAATTGTTCCCTCTGCTGTGCAGAAACTTTTTAGTTTTATGTGGTCCTATTTGTTTATTTTTGCTTTTGTTGCCTGTACTTTTGAGGTCATATCCAAAATATCATTGTCCAGACCATTGTTGTGGAGTATTTCCCTGTTTTCTTCTAGTAATTTCACAGTTTCAAGTTTTATGCTTCCATCTTTAGTTCATTTTGAGTTGAATTTCATACATGGTATGAGATAAGGGCTATCCAGTTTTCCCAACACCATTTATTGAAGTGACTTTATTTTCTCTATTGTGTGTCCTTTGCACCTTTGTTGAAAGTCAATTAACCATAAATGTGTGGGTTTATTACCAGGCTCTCCATCCAGCTCTATTGCTCAACATGTTTGTTTTTATGCCTTTGTCATGCCTATTGAATTAGTATAGCTTTGTAATATAGTTTGAAGTCAGGTAGTATAATGTCTCCAGCTTTGTTATTTTTGCTCAAGATAGCTTTGGCTATTCAGGGTCTTTTGGAATTTCATTTAAATTATCATTTTTGTTTTTTCTATTTTTGTAAAAAATGACATTAGAATTTTGATAAGGTTTGCACTGAATCCATAGATTGCTTTGGGTAATATGGATATTTCAACAATATTAATTCTTTCAATCCATGAACATGGTTTATTTGTCCATTTATTTGTGATTTTTTTCAAGTTCTCCCATTAATGTTTTACACTTTTTAGTATACAGATCTTTCACCTCCTTGGTGAAATGTACCTCTATGTATTTTTTGATGCTATTATAAATTGGATGGTTTCTTAATTTCTTTTGTAGATAATTATCTGTTAGTGTATAGAAGTGCTATTGTTTTTTTATGTTGACATGGTACCCTGCATCTTACTAAATTTGTTTATTAATTCTAACAGTTTTTAGTGAAGTTTTAAAGGTTTTCTCTATATAAAATCATGTCATCGGCAAACAGACAATTTCATTTCTTTTTTTCCTATTTATTTTATTTTATTTTTTCTTGCCTAATTGCCTTGGATAGGACTTTTAGTACTATGTTAAATAGAGGTCGTGAGAGTGGGCCTCCTTGTCCTATTCCTGATATTAGAGGAAAAGCTGCCAACTTTTCACTGTTGAGTATGATGTTAACTGTAGGTTTGGACATAATATATGTCCTTTATTGTGTTTATGTGCTTTACTTTTATAACTAATTTAAGAGATTTTAATCATAAGTGGATGCTAAATTTTGTTAAATGATTGATTTTTCTCCATCTGTTGAGATGATACCATGTTTTTGGCCTTCATCTGTATTATTCATAATAACCAGGATATGGAATCAACCTAGTGTCTATTAACAGATGAATGGATAAATAAAATGTTAGGTATATATATTCAACGAAATACAATTCAGCCTTTTTAAAAAAGGAAATTCTGTCATGTGTGCCACATGGATGTGCATATAGGACATTATGCTAAGAGAAATAAGTCAGACACAGAAAAACTAATATTGTGCTGCATGATCTCACTTATGCATTGAATGCAAGACTATTTGAACTCATAAAAGTAGAAAGTAAAAAGTAGTCAGCAAAGACTGGGGGAGGAGGAGCGTGAAACGGGAAGATGTTGGTCAAAGAACACAAAAGTTCACTTAGGAGTAATAAGGTTTTGAGATCTGTTGCACAGCATGGTAACTATAGTTAATAACTGTATTGTATATTTTAAAATTGCTGAAGATTTATCTTAAATATTCTCACAACAAAGAAATAGCAAGTAAGTTTGCTGTGCATGCTAATTATCTTGATTCAATCTTTCCAAAATGTATACATCTATCATAGTATCACATATACCCCATAAATATGTAAAATGATCATTTGTCAATTAATTTTTCAATTATTTGTCAATGTTTAAAAAAGTACATTCAAATTGGTGTTCAACCATCACTATCATCCATCTCTAGAAAATTATCACCTTCTCAAACTGAAACTCTGTACCCATTTAACAACTCCCTACTTTCTGCTGTTCCAGCCCTGAACAACTGCCATTCCGCTTCTGTCTCTGTGAATTTGATTAATCTAGGTACCTTATATAAATTGAATTATATAATATTTTCACATTTGTGACTGGCTCATTTCATTTAGCATAATGTTCAAGGTTCATCCATATTGTAGCATATATCAGAATCTCCTTACTTTTTAAGGCCAGATAATATTCCAGTGTATGTATACAAAACATTTTGTTTATTCATTCATCAATCAGTGGACACTTGGGCTGTGCCTACCTTTTGGCTATTGTCAGTAACACTGCTATAAACATGAGTGTACAAATTATCTGTTGGAGTTTCTATTTTCAATCCTTTAGGCTGTATACCAAGCAGTGAAATTGATGGATTATGTGATAATTATATGTATTATAAGCTGTTTTTAAAGCTCCAATAAAGTTCCATTTAAGAAAAATAGACAAAAGATAAAATTAACATTAGTAACCAGAGGGAAAAATACTTATAGAGTATATTAAAAATTCTAATAAAATTTTATGTACAAGTCATACAAATAAATTTTAAATTGAAATAAAAAATGACAATTATATATACGAAAGGAAAAAATATATATATATATATATGCACTCAGGAAGACAAAAAATTATTACAGATCGTAGAAGTGATTGAAATTTAGTCAAAGATTTACCACTAAAAGAAAAACAGTCCCAAACTGACTTATATGTAAATATTATTAAAATACTATGGAACAAAGAATACTAATTTTCATCAATATCAGATTACATAACAAATTTTATAGCTACCACCTTATAAAATAAAACTTACAAAACTGATTGAGAAGGAAAATGGCAGATAGGAGACAGGACTAACATGAAGCTCCCACTTGGACAAACAGAACAGAGTGTGGAGACTCACATCCTGAACTTTGGCTCCAAGAACCACTGCAGGAAAATACCAGGAAAACTGAAAGAGTTCAGAGCCTTTAAAAGAAGTAGCTTGCCTCTGTAAACTCTGTGAGTCTGCTGAAAATCTGTGAGTCACCAAAGTGTGAGAGAGGGAAAAGTCTGCCTCCAAACACATATCCCCACTGGGGAACCTGAAAATCCAGATCACAGGAGAAGAATTTAACACTACCTAGAGCTGAAATGAATTTAGGGAACCAATTGAAATATGAAAGTAGAAGAAGCAGTGGGAAGAGCCCTGTAGGCACTCTCTGTCCCCAGCTCAAGGCCTGGGAAGCCATCCTGACGTTCTCTCACAGAGGTCCTTGTGGAAGGCAGTCAGTGAAATTAGAAAAAGGGTCACAGGATGAAAGAAGCTTCTAGCAAAACTTTGTAATGATTTTGACTGAGCATGAATTTTCCTGAGTAGAATCAGGGGGATGGGGGTGTGCAAATGGGAAGTGCAGATACAAGCGCAGAAGCCACAGTCAAGGGTGCCAGCAGGCAGAGAGGGGCAACCCCTAAAAGCCTGCTTGCTTTTTCAGCAGGGAGGCTTGTAACCTGGGGAAAGATCTCAGCCCTGCATGTTGGCTGCCTGGATATAAACTTGGTGCTGTTGGCTGGGCATTGTGGGAGTGAGACTGGACTTGATGGCTGCATGGGAGCTGGGTGAGGCCTGTCATTGATGACTTTTTCCCACCTTCCTGGCCACCTGTATGGTACAGCAGAGGCATACGTAATCCTCCCTTGTACCATAACCCCATTGACCTGAGAACCATCTGTGATGGTTAATATGGAGTGACAATTTGATTGGATTGAAGAATGCAAAGTATTCTTCCTAGGTGTGTCTGTGAGAGTGCTGTAAAAAGAGATTAACACTTGAGTCAATGGAAAGAAAGAGGCAGACACACCTCAATCTGGGTGAGAACCATCTATTCAGCTGCCAGAGCAGCTAGAATAGAGCAGGCAGAAAAGAATGTGGAAAGATTAGACTTGCTGAGTCTTACTTACAGCCCTCATCTTTTTTTTCTGTGCTGGATGCTTTCTGCCTTCAAACACTGGACTCTAAATTCTCGAGCTTTTGGACACTTGGATTTACACAGGGCTCTCAGGCCTTCACCCACAAACTGAAGGCTACACTGTCAGCTTCCCTACTTTTGAGGTTTTGGGATTCGGACTGGCTTCCTTGCTCCTCGGCTTGCAGCTGGCCTATTGTTGGACTTCACTTTGGAATCGTGTGAGTCAATACTCCTTAATAAGCTCCCCTTTATATATACATCTATCCTGTTAGTTCTGTCCCTCTAGAGAAACTTAACTAATAAGCCACCCCTTCAACCCCCACAGTGGCCGCAGCAAGCCCTTCCCAAGGAGAGTCTGAGCTCAGACCCACCTGACTCTGCTCCCACCTTGTGGTTTTTCTCTACTCGCTCTGGTAGCCTAAGGCAAAAGACAAAAACTTGTGGAAGCTCTATGGTCCTGCCCATTGCCTGAGAAACCTCAATACTTACTCTGGCCAACATAGGGCAAGCTTGTATTTCCCTTCTACTACTGCAGCTGGTGCTCTCTTGAAAGTTCTACCTCTGTATTTTATTCTCTTTGAAGCAATTGTGAATGGGAGTTCACTTGTGATTTGGCTCTCTGTTTGTCTGTTATTGGTGTATAAGAATGCTTGTGATTTTTGTACATTGATTTTGTATCCTGAGACTTTGCTGAAGTTGCTTATAAGCTTAAGGAGATTTTGGGCTGAGACAATGGGGTTTTCTAGACATACAATCATGTCGTCTGCAAACAGGGACAATTTGACTTCCTCTTTTCCTAATTGAATACCCTTTATTTCCTTCTCCTGCCTAATTGCCCTGGCCAGAACTTCCAACACTATGTTGAATAGGAGTGGTGAGAGGGGGCATCCCTGTCTTGTGCCAGTTTTCAAAGGGAATGCTTCCAGTTTTTGCCCATTCAGTATGATATTGGCTGTGGGTTTGTCATAGATAGCTCTTATTATTTTTGAGATACGTCCCATCAATACCGAATTTATTGAGAGTTTTTAGCATGAAGGGTTGTTGAATTTTGTCAAAGGCCTTTTCTGCATCTATTGAGATAATCATGTGGTTTTTGTCTTTGGTTCTGTTTATATGCTGGATTACATTTATTGATTTGCGTATATTGAACCAGCCTTGCATCCCAGGGATGAAGCCCACTTGATCATGATGGATAAGCTTTTTGATGTGCTGCTGGATTCGGTTTGCCTGTATTTTATTGAGGATTTTTGCATCAATGTTCATCAAGGATATTGGTCTAAAATTCTCTTTTTTTGTTGTGTCTCTGCCAGGCTTTGGTATCAGAATGATGCTGGCCTCATAAAATGAGTTAGGGAGGATTCCCTCTTTCTCTATTGATTGGAATAGTTTCAGAAGGAATGGTACCAGCTCCTCCTTGTACCTCTGGTAGAATTCGGCTGTGAATCCATCTGGTCCTGGACTCTTTTTGGTTGGTAAGCTGTTGATTATTGCCACAATTTCAGATCGTGTTATTGGTCTATTCAGAGATTCAACTTCTTCCTGGTTTAGTCTTGGGAGAGTGTATGTGTCGAGGAATTTATCCATTTCTTCTAGATTTTCTAGTTTATTTGCGTAGAGGTGTTTGTAGTATTCTCTGATGGTAGTTTGTATTTCTGTGGGATCAGTGGTGATATCCCCTTTATCATTTTTTATTGCGTCTATTTGATTCTTCTCTCTTTTCTTCTTTATTAGTCTTGCTAGCAGTCTATCAATTTTGTTGATACTTTCAAAAAACCAGCTCCTGGATTCGTTAATTTTTTGAAGGGTTTTTTGTGTCTCTATTTCCTTCAGTTCTGCTCTGATTTTAGTTATTTCTTGCCTTCTGCTAGCTTTTGAATGTGTTTGCTCTGGCTTTTCTAGTTCTTTTAATTGTGATGTTAGGGTGTCAATTTTGGATCTTTCCTGCTTTCTCTTGTGGGCATTTAGTGCTATAAATTTCCCTCTACACACTGCTTTGAATGTGTCCCAGAGATTCTGGTATGTTGTGTCTTTGTTCTCGTTGGTTTCAAAGAACATTTTTATTTCTGCCTTCATTTCGTTATGTACCCAGTAGTCATTCAGGAGCAGGTTGTTCAGTTTCCTTGTAGTTGAGCGGTTTTGAGTGAGTTTCTTAATCCTGAGTTCTAGTTTGATTGCACTGTGGTCTGAGAGACAGTTTGTTATAATTTCTGTTCTTTTACATTTGCTGAGGAGAGCTTTACTTCCCACTATGTGGTCAATTTTGGAATAGGTGTGGTGTGGTGCTGAAAAAAATGTATATTCTGTTGACTTGGGGTGGAGAGTTCTGTAGATGTCTATTAGGTCTGCTTGGTGCAGAGCTGAGTTCAATTCCTGGGTATCCTTGTTAACTTTCTGTCTCGTTGATCTGTCTAATGTTGACAGTGGGGTGTTAAAGTCTCCCATTATTATTGTGTGGGAGTCTAAGTCTCTTTGTAGGTCACTCAGGACTTGCTTTATGAATCTGGGTAAAATACTTAAGAATCCAACTTACAAGGGACATGAAGGACCTCTTCAAGGAGAACTACACACCACTGCTCAATGAAATAAAAGAGGATACAAACAAATGGAAGGACATTCCATGCTCATGGGTAGGAAGAATCAATATCATGAAAATGGCCATACTGCCCAAGGTAATTTATAGATTCAGTGCCATCCCCATCAAGCTACCAATGACTTTCTTCACAGAATTGGAAAAAACTACTTTAAAGTTCATATGGAGCCAAAAAAGAGCCCACATCGCCAAGTCAATCCTAAGCCAAAAGAACAAAGCTGGAGGCATCACACTACCTGACTTCAAACTATACTACAAGGCTACAGTAACCAAAACAGCATGGTACTGGTACCAAAACAGAGATACAGATCAATGGAACAGAACAGAGCCCTCAGAAATAATGCCGCATATCTACAACTATCTGATCTTTGACAAACCTGAGAAAAACAAGCAATGGGGAAAGGATTCCCTATTTAATAAATGGTGCTGGGAAAACTGGCTAGCCATATGGAGAAAGCTGAAACTGGATCCCTTCCTTACACCTTATACAAAAATTAATTCAAGATGGATTAAAGACTTAAATGTTAGACCTAAAACCATAAAAACCCTAGAAGAAAACCTAGGCATTACCATTCAGGACATAGGCATGGGCAAGGACTTCATGTCTAAAACACCAAAAGCAATGGCAACAAAAGACAAAATTGACAAATGGGATCTAATTCAACTAAAGAGCTTCTGCATAGCAAAAGAAACTACCATCAGAGTGAACAGGCAACCTACAAAATGGGAGAAAATTTTCACAACCTACTCATCTGACAAAGGGCTAATATCCGGAATCTACAATGAACCCAAGCAAATTTACAAGAAAAAAACAAACAATCCCATCAAAAAGTGGGCAAAGGATATGAACAGACACTTCTCAAAAGAAGACATTTATGCAGCCAAAAGACACATGAAAAAATGCTCATCATCACTGGCCATCAGAGAAATGCAAATCAAAACCACAATGAGATACCATCTCACACCAGTTAGAATGGCAATCATTAAAAAGTCAGGAAACAACAGGTGCTGGAGAGGATGTGGAGAACTAGGAACACTTTTACACTGTTGGTGGGACTGTAAACTAGTTCAACCATTGTGGAAGTCAGTGTGGCGATTCCTCAGGGATCTAGAACTAGAAATACCATTTGACCCAGCCATCCCATTACTGGGTATATACCCAAAGGACTAAATCATGCTGCTATAAAGACACATGCACACGTAAGTTTATTGCGGCACTATTCACAATAGCAAAGACTTGGAACCAACCCAAATGTCCAACAATGATAGACTGGATTAAGAAAATATGGCACATATACACCATGGAATACTATGCAGCCGTAAAAATGATGAGTTCATGTCCTTTGTAGGGACATGGATGAAATTGGAAATCATCATTCTCAGTAAACTATCGCAAGGACAAAAAACCAAACACTGCATGTTCTCACTCATAGATGGGAATTGAACAATGAGAACACATGGACACAGGAAGGGGAACATCATACTCTGGGGACTGTTGTGGGATGGGAGGAGGGGGGAGGGATAGCATTAGGAGATATATCTAATGCTAAATGACGAGTTAATGGGTGCAGCACACCAGCATGGCACATGTATACATATGTAACTAACCTGCACATTGTGCACATGTACCCTAAAACTTAAAGTATAATAATAATAAATTAAAAAAAGAAAAATATATAACAAAAAAAAAAAGAAAGTTCTACCTCTGGCTGAAGGCCAACCAATGCAAGCCATACAACAACTCATAACAGAACACCACTGCTCCAAAGCAAGAGGAAACAACAGCTAATTCCACTGTTTGCAACATCCTGGCTAACCAGAGTTTCTGAGTCTATCTATGTGACAACTTCACTGCTAGCAAAACTAGCATTTGAGAAAACCAGTGCACTAAACAAAACTATAATCAGGGACACTCACAGAGTCCACTTTACTCCCCTGCCACCCCCACCACAGCAGGTGCTGGTATCCAAAGCTGGCAGAGCTGAAGACGGATCACATCATGGGACACTTTGAAGACATTGCCCAGCACCACAGTAGACCACTGGATGGCTAGACCAAAAGGGCAATAACAATCACTGCAGTCTGGCTCTCAGGAAGTCCCATCCCTAGCGGAAAGAGGAGAGCACCAGATAAAGGGATCACCTTGTGATACAAAAGAATCTGAACAGCAGACCTTGAGTTCCAGATCTTTCCACTGAAACAGTCTACCCTAATGAAAAGGAACCAGAAAACTAATTCTGGTAATATGACAAAACAAGGTTCTATAACACCACCAAAAGATCACACTACCTCTTCAGCAATGGATGCAAAGGAAGAAGAAATCTCTGAATTCCCAAAATAATTCAGAAATTTGATTATTAAGTTACTTGAAGAGGTATCAGAGAAAGGAGAAAAACAACTTAAATAAATTAAAAAAAAACACGATACAGATTTTTTAAAGGTCTCCAGAAAAATAGAGAGTATAAAAAAATCCAAATTTCTGGAAATGAAAGACAAGCTTAGAGAAATACAAAATACAATGTAATGTTTCAACAATAGACTAGAAGAAGTAGAAGAAAGAACTTCAGAGCTCAAAGACAAGGCTTTCAAATTAACCTGACCAGCTAAGACACAGCAAAAATAAAAATAAAGACTTCAAAAAATTTGGGATTCTGTTAAACAAACATAAGAATAATTGATGTTTCTGAGGAAGAAGAGAAAGCTAAAAATTTAAAAAACATGTTTTGGGGAATAACTGAGGAAAGCTTCCCTGGCCTTGTTATAGATCTAGACATCCAAATACAAAAATCTCAAAGAATACGCAAGAAATTATTCACAAAAATATCATCACCTAGACACATGGCTATCAGGTTATCTAAAGTCAAGACAAAGTAAAGAATCTGAAGAGATGTGAGACAAAAGGATCAGATAGCCTATAATGGAAAATCTATCAAATTAACAGCAGATTTCCCAGCAGAGACCCTACAAGCCAGAGGGGTTTGGGTTCCTATATTCGGCCTCCTTAAACAAAATAATTGTCAGCCAAGAATTTTGTATCTAGGGAAACTAAGTTTCAGAAATTAAGGACAGATAAAGTCTTTTTTAGACAAATAAATGCTGAGAGAATTTGACACTACCAAGCCAGCACTACAAGAAATGCTAAAAGGAGTTCTAAATCTCAAAGCTAAACCTCAAAATACACCAAAATAGAATCTCTACGAAACACTGCTGAAAAAAAAAACATCAATGACACAAACAAATAGAAACACATTTCATACTCATGAAGGGGTAGAATCAAAATTGTAAAAATTACCATACTGCCAAAAGCAATCTACAAATTCTATGCAATTCCCAGCAAAATGCCATCATCACCCTTCACAGAACTTAAAAAAAAATCCTAAAAGTCATATGCAATGAAAAAAGAGCCCACATAGCCAAAGCAAGACTAAGCAAAAGAACAAATCTGGTAGTATCACATTACCTGACTTCAAACTATACTACAAGGCTATAGTTACCAAAACATTGTACCGGTATAAAAATAGGCATGTCAACGAATGGAAAAAAGTAGAGAACCCAGAAATGAAGCCAAATACTTACAGTCAACTGATCTTTGACAAAATAAACAAAAACATAAAGTGGGTAAAAAACAACAACTTCAACAAATGGTGCTGAGATAATTGGCAAGCCACATGTGGAAGAATAAGTATTGTCCCTTGCAGGCTACTTCAACTGATACCTGTTCCTTTGAATTATGTTAGCCAAAGCCACTTTAAAAACTGCCCTTGCCCTGTGAATATTCGAGTTAGGTGAAGCAATGGGAAGCCTTTGCCCTCGTCCTTGTCAGAGGCTTTAAACAGATTAAACCCACAACCAGAATTCTTTAAGAATATATTCCATTTTTCTCCTTCTGGCACAAGGACTGTTGTTCTCAAGGCTGCTACTCATTTGGAGTACGGGGGATGACAGGTGACCAATTTAAAATGCTACAATAGTATTATCTTATGACAAAGTAACCACTTTGTTCTCCATCAAGACTTCACCTGGTTATTGTAACTTTTTGACTAAACTATAGGGTTCTTAAAAGTTGATTTTGATAGTTTTTGCTAGCTTATTAGTTGCTTTTGGAGAGGGATACAGACTTGCAGTTTTCTATTCTATTTTCAGGGACATCCACGGGTTTTTGAATTAGTGGATTTTTTTTTTTTTTTTTTTTTTTTTTGAGACGGAGTCTTGCTCTGTCACCCAGGCTAGAGTGCAGTGGTGCGATCTCGGCTCACTGCAACCTCCACCTCCTGGGTTCAAGCGATTCTCCTGCCTCAGTCTCCCGAGTAGCTGGCACTACAGGTGCATGCCACCACGCCTGGCTTTTTTTATTTTTTATTTTTTATTTTTGTATTTTTAGTAGAGACGGGGTTTAACCGTGTTAACCAGGCTGGTCTCGATCTCCTGACCTCGTGATCTGCCCACCTCGGCCTCCCAAAGTGGTAGGATTACAAGCATGAGCCACCGCACCCGGCCTAATTAGTGATCTTTTAACATAAAATGATTAAGATTTCTAAGAAAGCCAACTAAATATTTAAGACTATTTCTAAAAGAAGACATTAGTGAAAAACATTAGTACAACCTCTAGCCTGTTCCAATGATCCATCATGACAGTTCTCTTTTTAAACAATTACATTCCTCCTTTAATTAGTGCTATTTTAAAATTTAATTAAAATGCCAAAGTTTGGAGGGAAAGAGTAAGTAAATAAGAATAAACATATCTTTTTCAAAAGTATCATTTGTTCCTTTTCTCCATTTCTACCACTTTTATGCGTGTCTACCTTCAGATTGTCCTCCTTTTCTTTTTGGTAATAATTTCATTTCTTTTCATGGTTAATTTTGTGAACTTCTTTCTAAACTCTGCCTTTATGTTTTCTTCCAAAATCACTGCGATTCTATCAAAAGAGACCAGAGATAACTTTGCTCTCTAGGCTGATTGATGATAAGTGTTAATAATACCGGTGATTCAATTCTGTCATCACTTAGGTTTTCGAGCATACACAGCTTAGGGCAGCATCATAGAGGAGGGAATAACTCAGCAAACAGAAAGACAGTACAAAATGAGCTTGATTTCTTCTAAATCTCCTGATATTCCATAGTCATAAATCATAAATGGCAATTCCTTCTGGGTCCTTGAGTATAATTTAACACAATTTGTGGGCATCTTTTCTGCTGGAATTCTCCCCTTTAATCAGACAAAATCCTGAGGAAATGTAGTCATGGGAACACAAAGAATAGCAGGGAAGCTCATCTTCTTTCTGATTATATGGTCCCTCATGTATAAATACATGCCCTATTTCTTGATTGCCACTTATTTATTTCTCAGAGCATTATCTGTTACATCAGAATTGAGAATTGGTCTCTTATTTGTAGTATGAGAAAAAGTGAGCCCAAAGAATATCATATCGAGTCTCATAATTACAAGCCACAGAGTTTACATATCCATTATATGCTTCCAATATAAGTAATTTTTATAGAGAGTTGATAAATGGTAGCTTTATTTAGATTTACTGAAGAAAAGAAAGAGGTATATAAAAGCTACTAAAATGTGCAGAGCAAATTGAGAAGCAGGGTATTTTCATTTTTCTGAGAACAAAACCTTACTATGTAAATCAAAGCCACCACTGCTTTTTATCAATGTTAAGAGGCATATATCCACAAAAGAGAACCCAGTTCAACTAAACCAGGGTTACTCAAACTGTGCTCACTTAAAAACTAATGTAATAATAGAATCTAGCCATTAGTGCCACCACTATCAACAATCATCTGGAAGGGGCAAAGTATGCACTTAATAATTTTCCTGCTACTGAAGTGATTTTGGAAACTAAAATCCCTGAGTATATATGCTTCTGGCAGTAGAAATGCACCAAACAACCCTCTTAGACTGGATCTACAAATTACTTGGGAAAAGTTTTGCTGCCCTAATAACTTTACCAAATATTCCACATTTGTCCCCCAATCAAGACCTAACTCAAATTTCACCTTGTGTGTGAAAGCACCAGCTACAACAGGCCACAAGGATCTCTCTTTTCCAGAGTTCTTTTACACCTCTGATGAGTCCTACTCAATTTAGGAGTCCCCACGAACTGTCTTCATTTATTCTTCATTTTTACTGTCTGTGCAAGTCTTGTTTCCTGAATCAGAGCACAAGCTGGAAATGCTTCCTAGTTCTGTTATATCCCGCAAAGAATCTAAAAACGACTAAGCAATGTATAGACACTTAAAAATCTCCCTGCTTATTTATTAATATTAAAACTGACTTTGGAAACTTAGACAACATAGCTCTCAGGCATGTAAAACACCTTCCTTAAGTGAAGAATGTGTTACATTGCTGGAGGTATAAGCCCTATGGGAAATAAATCAAGCTAATCATAGCTATCTGTTTTAGCTGTTCTCGACCTTGGCTGCATACTGGAAAGCAGTTCGGAAGCTTTAAAAAGTATTGATGACTAGAATCTCTCCTCCAGAGATTCTAAAGTAATTTGTCGGATGTGCATTCTGAGCATTGGAATTTTTTAAAAATGTCTTACGTGATTCTAACGTGCAGCTAAAGTTGAGAAACTCCAGTCTATAACAATATAGTCTTTAACGTTCTCTGAAATATCTATTGTTTTTGTAACTGGAATTGTTTCTCCATAAACAAAACTCTAGTATAGAGGAAATATTATTTGCTGCTATATATTTTCTGTGATAAACACAATGAAACTACAATACGAAAAAATTGCAAGGCCAAATCTCTCCTAAGGAAAATAACAAAGATCCATAATCTTTATCTAGGGAAGGGAAATTGTTTCAAACAAGTTCCTTCTGACTTACTTACCCCTTTTATTCAGGACTTAGTTAATTTCAGATCATTTGCAAAAAAAAAAAAAAAAAAAAGTATGTCAGTTTTCCAGATGGTCATTCTCCGTAAGCTCTCTGATTTTCCAATGGCTAGAAATTTTGCAGTGAATAGCTAAAGATTTTTCCTAAGGATACATTCTCTATGTCTTTTGCTCCAGTGAACTCTGCCCTGAAAGCCTTTGCTATGGTTTGAATGTTTCTGTCCCTTCAAAATTCATGTTGAAACTTAATCCTCAATGCAATAGTATTAGAAGGTGGAGTGCGGGGGGCTGGGGTATAGGAGATAGTGGATTAGTTAGTACTCATATAAAAAACTTTGAGAAAGTCTGTTAGTCCCTTTTGCCCTTTTGGCCTTTCTACCACATGATAAGACAGGAAGAAGCATATCTTGGAAGCAGAGAGTGAGTCTTCACCAGATACTGAGTCTTCTAGTGCCTTGATCTTGGACTTTCTAGCCTCCAGATCTGTGAAAAATAAATTTCTTTTATTTATAAATTACCCAGCGTAAAACATTTTATTATACCAGCCCCAACAGACTAAGACAGTTATCATATTAGGAAAATATAAGATAAATTGGCATTCAGTTTAAAATAACTGAATATGAAATCTGGGTGATATTTTTATCAAGATTCTTTCACTTTTGGAAATGGGAAAGTTGATAAATCAGCTTCTTTATAGAGAAGCATAGTAGAGTAGCAAGAATCAACCCTCTAATAGTGTGATAGAACTGGTTTAAACCTAAATTCTAACATCCTTTTAAATTTATTTATTTAAAGAAAATTCTAGAGTTTTTTCCCAACAGCTTTTAAATTAAAAGATGGAAATGTTAAAGTACTCAACTGCAAAATATCTGTTGCTTTACTTGTAAAATGAGTATGATAATTCCTACATTGTTGAGTTATAAAGAATTTAAATGAGATGATATGTGCAATGGCTTCTAGCACATTGCTCACCCCATAGTTGTTTCTCAATAAAATTAAAAGGGAAGAGAAGAAAATGAATCCACTTACTTTAAAGATTAAGCAAATGGTGCCGAAATAGATACACAAACTTGTTTAAAGTCTCAAAGTTGCGGCATTATTCACAATAGCAAAGACTTGGAACCAACCCAAATGTCCAACAATGATAGACTGGATTAAGAAAATGTGGCACATATACACCATGGAATACTATGCAGCCATAAAAAATGATGAGTTCATGTCCTTTGTAGGGACATGGATGAAATTGGAAATCATCATTCTCAGTAAACTATCGCAAGAACAAAAAACCAAACACCGCATATTCTCACTCACAGGTGGGAATTGAACAATAAGATCACATGGACACAGGAAGGGGAATATCACACTCTGGGGACTGTTGTGGGGTGGGGGGAGGGGGGAGGGATAGCATTGGGAGATATACCTAATGCTAGATGACGAGTTAGTGAGTGCAGCGCACCAGCATGGCACATGTATACATATGTAACTAACCTGCAGAATGTGCACATACATGTACCCTAAAACTTAAAGTATAATAAAAAATAAAAATAAAAAAAATAAAAGGGAAGAGAAGAAAATGAATCCACTTACTTTAAAGATTAAGCAAATGGTGCCGAAATAGATACACAAACTTGTTTAAAGTCTCAAAGTTAGTAGGGCGCAGGTTGAGTGTTGGAGGCCAGTCAATAAATATTTAGTGAGTTGAAGTGTAATTCCCTATATGAAAAACTTCTTCCAAAAATTTTATTTCTAGGCTTAGGTGAGCTGCTTATTACTCACATTTGTGAAGCATCTGCCATGGATGTCTATATACATTTGTATCTGCTTGTCACTAGGTTAGAATTAAAACAATAACTACAAAGTTAATGCAGTTTTTCCCCTTTCTCTCCTGAGAGAGGCTGCCTAAAATTTTAAAGTTTTAAAAAGAAATTTAATTCCTAATTGATCCTTTTAAACATGTTATTAAATGAAAATTTAAGAGTTTTTTCTAATATCCTCTTTTTCAATAAAAGTAAATGGCCTTTTCTTGTTATTTCTCCATATACACATGCTCGATACACTATCATGAGAATGTATAGAATGGACACGTTGTCTTTTTTAAATTTTTTTCTTTCTTTAGATTTCTTATTGCTTTGTTTTTCGAATCCTTTCTAGATCCCTTACTCTTAAAAACTATTCATTTCATGACTGTAAAATGAATAAAACAGGCAAGAGAGGGATGTCTGCTATGATCACTATTGAATGCTGAAATAAATTTACAAGAAAAATCAATACGGCAAAAAATACGAGAAATGAGATAGTAATATAACAAGAGAATCAGGTAGAGAGCTGTGAATGAGACAATGCAAGAAGAAAAGGAAAATGAATAAAAAACACACAGTGAAAGAAGAAATTAAACTTTTTGAGATTAAATGATTATCTACCCAGCACATCCAAAACAATAATCTGAACATCTGTAGAATACAGAAGATGAATATTCAAGGTAGCTGCACGAAATTATCAACAGCTTTCTAATATACAGGTAATTGCCAATTAAATAATGTGCGCAAAAATATTCATAATAGTAACAATATATAAAGAATATAAACCAATATAAACTTTGAAATACTTTAAGAAAAATATACCAAAAGACCCAAAAGATTTGAAAATTTTACATGTTTATGGTATACTTTTAGCATTCATAAATTTAACAGTCATAATTTGAACTATACCCAAGCAGCCCTGATCCATTGCACATAATAGACTAGGAAATAAAATTAATTTTATCTATTGGAGCGAGGTACCCCAAAGCCAGTGTTTTTACCCTAATATGGCTATAGTGTTGTCTACTCATAATTGCATGTGGTTTTTAATTTTTTTTAACCACTCTTCAAAGGCAGTCAAAGTGAGCTTACAATGTAATCAGTATTTTAAAAAATATCTTTAGGCCAGGCGCGGTAGCTCACACCTGTAATCCCAGCACTTTGGTAGGCCGAGGCAGGTGGATCACGAGGTCAAGAGATTGAGACCATCCTGGCCAACATGGTGAAAACCCGTCTCTACTAAAAGCACAGAAGTTTGCCAGGCATGGTGGTGCGTGCCTGTATTCCCAGCTACTCAGGAGGCTGAGGCAGAAGAATTGCTTGAACTTGGGAGGCGGAGGTTGCAGTGAACTGAGAACATGCCACTGCACTCCAGCCTGGCGACAGAGCAAGACTTCGTCTCAAAAGAAAAAAAAGAAATTATATATATCTTTCAATAGTATCTCATCACATTTAGAATAAAATTCAAATTGCTTACCGTGGCCTACAAGGTCCTATGTAAATTTTCCTCCCTCTCTGTTTGATTACCCAGGCCCAGCCCTCTTTTTATTTCTCAGACATGCCAAGCCAAGCTTTTTTTCTGTCATAGAGCTTTACTTCAACATGGAAAACTTTCCCAGGTCTGATTTTTTAAATGCCACCTTCTAACCATCTAAAGTAGCCCCTAGTTTTTCTCCAAAAAATCATGTTTTACTTTACTATAATATTTCCCACTACTTGATTTTTTCATTCTTTGTTTATTGCCTGTCTTCCTATAATAAAATATAAACTCTTTGAGACAGGTGATTTCATCTATCTCATTACTATTACATTCCTAGAGTCTCAAACAGTGTCTGGCATGTTGTGGCTGGAGAACAAATAATTGTATATAAATTTATATATAAATGATACTTTGGTCATTTGAATAATTTTTTAGTTATTAGAATAATGCTAACATTAATATTTTATATATAAATATTTGACTATTTTTAAAAGACAGAAGAGACTCCTAGAAGAATAAATACTAGCACAAAAGATACATATATCTGAAGACTGTAGAAATGTGCTAAAAACTTATTTTAAGAAAGACTAATAACCTTGACTTTTATAAGCAATATATGAGAATTTGCATCTCTTTGACTTTTCAATAATATTACCATTTATTAGTTCATGATAATTTGATAGGCAAAAGGTTTATTATTGCTGTTTTAATCTGAAACTATTTGATAACTTAAAAGATTAAACCTGTTTTTAATACACTTATGCTTCATATAATTTTAATATAGTTTGATGAGTCATTTGTTCATATTCTTTACCCATTGTTTTTCTACTTAGGATACATTATTGTAGTAACTAAATGAAGAATGTATAGAATCTAGAATTTATAGCTAGACTGCATGGGTTTCAAATTCCAACACTATGAGCCTTGAGCAAGCTATTTTTCCCTTTTGTGCCTTCATTTACCCATATGCAAAACTGTGATAATAATAGTAGCTATTTCATAGGCTTGCCATGATAATTAAATGAGTCAGTACAGGTTTTAAAAAATAGAGCACTACCAGGCACATAGTAAATACCAAAAAAAAAAATCCATTATTTGTATTATTATTTAGATATAAAGATCTCTTAAAAATCAAATCAAACCTTTATCAAATTATTGAATACAGCTCCCCAGTCTCTCAGTTTGTTGTTTGCTATTTAATTTGGCTTATGTATCTTTTCATATATTGACATAAAAGTTATGTCATTTTCTGATACAGCATGATAGGCTCATCATTT
The DNA here is from genome assembly GCF_000001405.40 of Homo sapiens. Taxonomy (NCBI): domain Eukaryota; kingdom Metazoa; phylum Chordata; class Mammalia; order Primates; family Hominidae; genus Homo; species Homo sapiens. Next base: position 122,407,825 of record NC_000023.11, read on the forward strand.
ATGTTTGCTTTCTTTTCCTACTGAAGAACCATTGAAATTAGAGAAAAGAAACATATATGTCTATAGGAATGAAGAAATAAATTTCCTTTTCTCACAAAATATATATATACACATATGTAGATAATAAAAATGCATAACTATCTTGCTGTTTTTAGATGTGGAGATAACACTGTGTAGAAGATCTTAATGAATTTCAAAAACTTAAAAATGTAATTCCTAAATCCTGCTGCTTTAGGAATATTTGGTGAATAGTAAACTTTATGAGTATTAAAAGGTCTGAAAATAGTTTTATTTATCTCTCATGGTTGATTTATGATTCAATATAATTTTTTAAAAAATGTTAAATCGTAAAGCAGCAGGATACATGAAAAGTAACTTAGGTCTTACTTTTGGGTAAATTAGAATGAGTGTTCAACCCTAAAACTGAAAAAGGATAAAACAAAAACAGAGATTGGAACATTTATTACTTGGAGGCAAAACCATAGAGTTGGTTGGTTCAAGATTGGATTCAGTATTGTAAAGATTAGCAGACCTAGGGGCAATAAATACTGTAAGTGACTGAAGTTTCATGTACAGAAAATCAGTGTGAATTATCTTATGCAACAATTTCCTTTGTATAGTGTTCATAAATCCTCAGGATAAAAATGGAGGTTTAATCTATAAATAATTTCCGCTTTTAAGAAGTTACGGCTCCTAGTGTGGGTGTTAACAACCCAGAGAAAACAGCCTTTCATTTTTCTGGCATTACTGTTCGAGTTTTGTGTATTCTTCCTGCTAGATTCACACATATACACACGCTAAAGTGAAGCCTGTCAGTTGACATAATCTGCTGATATACACAGAGCTCAGAGACAGCTCCTCCACTGGAGAAATCTGTTGAAGAAAAGATAACTTTACAGATAAAAAGGAAACTCAATTCAACTGCCCACATAAGAAAATTTATTTCATCATTCCTAATTTAAAATGTGCAACAAAGGAATACTACTAGTGTTTGAAAATGATAGAGTAACACACACAAAAAAACTAAAGTAAACAGATAGAAATATTGACCCAAGGAAAAATAAAGATGCAAATTATTTGAAAAAATACACACACATACAACGCTATGATAAATACTGTAGAAGTTTCAAAAGGTATTGTATACATAAGAATATGGTCCTATGAAAAAGAATAAAGGAGTAAATGAGAGTACTTGGCAACTAATTCTATGGTACCAAATATAAAAATGGGGTATGAAGAATAAGATGGAGTGTAGGGAATTTCACACAAAGAAACTAAAGTATTAGAAAAGATAGAAACTATGAGAATAAAGGTAGGAAATACCTAATATCAAGTCATATGTTCAAACATTTAATCAGTATGTCACAGATACTTGATAAAATAGAAGGGATGAAATTCTAAAGAAATAATCTCAGAAAAGTTACCAGACAAGGAGAAGGACATGTGCCTTCAAATTGAAAAGGCCTGTTGTGTGCCATGCACACATTCTCAGTGACTGGTATATTTCACTTAGCATAATGTCTTCCATGTTTATCCATGTTGTTGGATATGCAGAATTTTCTAAGAATAAATAGATATTAAAATGTATGCTGATTTTGTATCTTGCAACTTCACTGAATTCATTTATTCAACCTAACAGTATTTTTGTGGATTCTTTACTTTTTTCTACAGATAAGACTGTCATGTATACACATAAAATTTGCATTCTTCATTTTTTATTTGGACACCTTAATTTTTTTGTCTTGCCTATTTGTTCTGGCTCGGACTTCTAGTACTATTTTGAACAGAAGTTGTGAGAGGTCATTCTTGCCTTGTTTCTGACCATAGATTAAAATTTTTAGTTTTTTACAATTGACTGTGATGTTAGTTGGCCATCCATCTATGGAGTTTATTTTTTGAAAGAACTTCCTTCTCTTTCTGGTTAATAATTTTTATGACAAAATGGTGCTGAATTTTGTCAAATGTTTTTTTCTACATCTATGCAGATGATCATCTAGTCTTTATCCTTCATTCCATTAGAGTGGTGTATTGCATTAATTGGATTTTGTATGTTGAACCATCCTTGCGTCCCATAGATAAATTCCACTTAGCCATGGAGTATGATCCTTTCAACATATTGTTCAATTCAACTTGCTAATGTTTTATTGAGAATTTCTGCACGTATATTCACCAGGGATATTGGCCTGTAGCTTTCTTTTCTTGTATCTTTGTCTAGCTTTAGTATCAGGGTAATACTGGCCTCATAATATGAGTTTGGAAGTGTTCAGTTTTTGTCAATTTTTGAAAGAGTTTAAGAAATATTGTTTTTAATTCTTCTTTAAATATTTAACAGAATTCATCAGTAAAGCCATCTGGTCCCAAACTTTCCTTTGTTGGGAGATTTTTGATTGTTGTTTCAATATTCTTACTAGTTATACTTGTATTTGAACTTTGTATTACTTCATGATTCATTCTTGGTAAGTTTAATGTTTCTAACAATTTATCCATTTATCTAACAGGTTCAAAAATGTAGTGCACTTTCCTTTTTGACATGGGTCAGCTAAACAGAGACAAATCATTAGAATTGTTTGCCCAGAGAAAGACAATCCTCATTGCAAAAGCCTCAGAATATTGCTTTACAGAGGGCATTCTGTCCATCTTTGGTGGTGCATATACTAAAACTATACATTCTAGAACATGATCAACAAATGTCTTTATATATTTTAATATGGATCATAGAGTAAAAATTGAAACAAAAACTAGGTTTAGGTATTCTAAATTAATCTTTGTGAAAATAGTGCCTAGACTTCTGTGAAGTTCTTTACTAGAGAATAAAAGCAAATCTTAACCTTAAAAAAAGTATTTATTTATTTATTTTAGATTATCTACAATTTTTTTGTATTTATGTAGCATCAGTTTTGATATTTATTCTTTTGTTTCTATTTTAACTTATTTGAGTTTTATCTTTTTTTAAGTCTAAAGATTTATCGATTTTGTTTAAAAAATAACAACACATCTTTTGATTTTTCTATTATTTGTTTATTTATGTTCCAATTTTTATTATGTCCCTTCTTCTGCTAAATTTGGGCTTAGGTTTTTCTCTTTTTCTTGTTCCTTGAGGTGTAAAGTTAAGTTGTTTATTAGAGATCTTTTTTCTAATGTAGGCATTTATTAGCTATAAATTTTCCTCTTAGATCTAATTTAGCAGAATCCCATAAGTTTTGATATGTTGTGTTTTCATCCTTATTTGTCTCAGAATATTTTTATTTTCCTTTTGATTTCTTCTTTGACCTATTTTTTTTTGTTAGGGAGCATGTGGTTTAATTACCTGAAATTCCTTCTGTTATTGATTTCTAATTTCATACTACTATCATCAGAAAAGATATTTTGTAAGATTTAAAACTTCTTAAATTTGTTAGGTCACAACATGAGACTTCACACATTGACATTTAAAGAATGTATTGTCAGGGAAAGTCTTGCTAATGTCATTTTGTTGATTGTTTTCTGACTGTCTTACATTTTTTTGTTCATCTCTTCCTCACTTGCTTTTTTCATTTGTGTTTTGTTGATTTTTTATTGAAATGTTTTGACTGCTTCCTCTTTTTCTGTGTATCTTCTATAAGTATTTCCTTTGTAGTTACCAGAGTGTTTACATAAAACCTTTATAGTTATAATAGTCTAAGTGCAAAACAACTTAACCTCAATCACATGCAAGAACTACACCTTTATTTCTCTCCCTCAACTTTGTATCATTGATATTTCAATTTACATATTTTTATATTGTCTACCCCAATCATATGTTAAAATGTATAGTTTAGTTTTTAATAATTTTGTCTTTTAACTTCTATTCCTGAATTAAGTAATTTACTCACCACTGTTACAGTATTACAGTATTTTGTATTTGTCTACATATTTACCTGTACCAGTGAATTTTCTACTCTCATGTAATTTTGTATCAGTACTTAGCATCCTTTTATTTCAACTTGAAGAGCTTCTTTCATTATTTCCTGTAAGGGAAGATTACTAGTGCTTAACTCTCTCAACTTTGGTTTGTTGGTAAAGTTATTATATCTCCCTCATTTTTAAAAGAAAGTTTGCCACTACTAAGTGTTCTTAGTTGTCGGTGTTTTTTTTTTATTATTATTATTATTTTTTGAGACGGAGTCTTGCACTGTTGCCCAGGCTGGAGTGCAGTGGCGCAATCTCGGCTCACTGCAAGCTCTGCCTCCCAGGTTCACGCCATTCTCCTGCCTCAGTCTTCCGAGTAGCTGGGACTACAGGCGCCCACCACCACGCCCAGCTAATTTTTTATACTTTTAGTAGAGACGGGGTTTCACTGTGTTAGCCAGGATGGTCTCGATCTCCTGACCTTGTGATCCACCTGCCTCGGCCTCCCAAAGTTCTGGGACTACAGGCGTGAGCCACCGCTCCTGGCTTTTTTTTTTTTTTTTTTTTTTCAGTACTTTGAACTTATTACCCCACTCGTCCCTGGCCTTCAAAGGCTCTGCCCAGAAATCTAACAATAATCATAAGTATTCTCTTCTATGTGAGAAATCATTTTTCTCATACTGCTTTGAAAATTCTTTGTCTTTGAACTTTGAGATAATTTTTCATGCTTATCCAACCTGTTTTCTTTGTTCTTAGTGGGCCCCAGGTATGTAGAGCATGACAAGTCCCATCAGCATTTTCAGATAAGTGACAATGAAGCCATTCCTTGGGCATCCCCTGGAAAAGTTGGATTATCAAAGGCTCTGTCCAATTATTTTCTTTCTCAGGAAGAAGTTGGAATCTGAGATATTAAGCCTATTTGCTTTGTACTAAGCTGGAGGAACCAGTTATGTGCCAGATCAAAATGCCATCTTTGTTCTCACTGGCCTTCAGCCATCTAGCATATGGCAGGTCCTGTCAACACTCTGAGAAAGGGAAGAGAGAAGGATGTCCTTTGAACATACCATCAAAAAACTGCTACATTGACCAAGTAGTTCCTTTTTCTCCCTCTGAATGGAGAACCTTGGAGATGGAGCGTTTAATCCTGGTTTTATGACACCGTGGCAGGAGTAGAGATTATGTTTAAAGAGTGTGTCAAATTTTTCTTCCAGCTTCAATGTAGATGGTTTCTCACTCACTCAGGGTGCAGGACCCTCTCAACTAGTATCTAAGTTTGTCACAAAGGAAATGTATCCATCTATTATTGTTAATTTAGTGTTTAGAGGGGGAAGGAGGATTCAAGGCTTTTTCTTTTACCGTCTTGTTGATGTCTACCTTCCTCAATTGTATTTCCATATGACAACAATAGGTAGTTTAAAAGTAGTACATTTAAAATAATACCATTTACGATGGCATCAAATAACTAGTAATGCATCCAATAAAAATTTAGAAACTCTACTACAGAGAAAACCCTAAAACATTATTGGAAAAAAATGTTTCAAACAACCATAAATGGAAGACTAATTCATATTAATGGATTTGATGAGTCAATATAGCCAAGATGTTAATTCTTCCAAAATTAATCTGTAGCTCTAATGCTTTCTTTATAAAACACTAGCAAGTTTATTGTGGAATTTGACACCCTCATTCTAAATTATTTAGCGATACGCAAAGAGACAAAAGTAGGCAAGATGATCATAAAGAAGAATAAAGTTGGTGGAATTACATTACTAGATGTCAAGGCTTATTATAGTAAGTTAGACACTGTAGTGTTTGCATTAGAATATCAAATAGACAAATGGAACAGGAAAGTCTAGAAACAATCCTTCAGACATAATGTCATTTGTTTGATACCTAAGTAGCATAATAGAAAGAGAAAATGGTGGTATTTGCAATAAAAGGTGCAGGATCAATTGGATAGTCATATGCAAAAAATTAGATGACTCCCCCTCATATTATACACAAAATCTAATCTCAGTATGATTAAAGATAAAAAATTTTAAAATACAATATTTGAGTTTCTAGAAATTGTCATAGAATATTTTCATGCATGTGGGTAGAAATAGATTTCATGAAGAAGGCACAAATATCTCTAAAATAAACAAAACATTTGATATATTGGACTACCTTAAATTTTAAGGTAAAATAAGGAGGACTATCTTCTTATTTGAAGGTAGTCCAATGTATCAAATGTTTTGATACATTACTTACATTAATTAAAATATGGTACATTACTTGTATTAATTAAAATGTACCATTAAAATGGAAAAGTCAGACCACACAATGGGAAAAGATATTTGCAATAAATGCAATTAACAAATAACTCATATTAAGATGACTAAAATAACTTCTACAAATCATCATGAACAAGACCAACAACTGAATAGATAAATGAGCAAAAGACTTGTTTAAAGATGATAAACATATGAAAAGGGGCTTAATTGATTTTGTAATCAAGACAATTTAAAATCAAATGATATGCTACTAAGCCTACAGAGGAATGACTGAAATTAATGTATCTGACAATAGAAAGTGTTAGCAATGCTATAGAGAAACTGAAAATCTTTTGATGCTGGTGTGAGTGCAAACGGATACATCCACCTTAAAAAAACTTCAGCAATGTGTACAAAGATGAATATATTCTTATCCTGTAGCTCAACAGTGGCACTTATAAGCATGTGCAATGTTGCACAAATAAATGTAGAAGAATGTAGAAGATGCATTTTTATGATAGCTGGAAACTGAAAGCAACCCAAATGTCACTGGAAGAATACATACATTCTGGTATATTTATCTTATAGTGGGATACCATCCTTCACCAGTCATTAAAGTTGAGCTACACAGAGCACTATGGAATCTCACAAACATTGCATTCAGTGAAATAGGGCAAATATCAACATCACAGAGTAAATATTATTTATTCTAGTTTAGAAAGGTCAAAATAGATAAAAATCAATCTGTGAAATGTTAAAAGTTAAAATGACATTTAGTTTTGTAGAAGAGGCAGAAAATAGTGATTGAAAATATGTATAAAAACAGCTTCTAAGTTGTTGCTAATGTTCTGTTACATGAATGTGAAAAGTCGTCAAGTGGACACCTGGAATATCTGTACTATTTTAATGTTATTAATTGTCAGAAAGAGGTTTTAATTGGCCTTCCTAATGTATTAACACTGGCACAGTCAGCCGAGGTCACTTTGTTGGAAATATTCAATGACCCTGTTTCAGAAGGGAGTATAGGTAGAGCTATGAGTGAGGGGAAATAATTAGGAAAACAAAATGTGCCATACAGGTAACACAAGAAGTGTCAGCTTGGGTGCAAATAAGCACCAAAAAAGTTAACTGAACCATCAAATGAGAAGGAATTGTGATAGAAGAGACAGGAGGGAAATGCTCATTTGAAAGTAAGAGTAAATAGTGCTTCAAAAACAACAAAGCATTGAACAGAATAAAATGCTGCCAAAAGCTCAGGTATAAGAATTGAAAGGAGTAAGTCACTTAAGGGTCACTGGTGACTTTACTGACAAGAGTTTTAGTGTCATTAGAGGGGCAGAAACGTGGTTGCTAGCAAAAGCCTGATTGTGGTAGGATGAAGAAAAAAAAATGGGAGCAGGAATGTGATAAAAGCTATGGACCTTCTTGCCTGAAAAATGCATATGCATGCATACACATAAAATAATTCCCTCCCTTTCAAGGGGTCTATGTATCTTTTGAAGCACATTTGTCAAGCCTAAGGTTTAATTCCGGATATTCTTATGAGGATCTTGCTTATGAAGAAATGAGACACCAATACTTAAAGTGAGAAAAATGATGGGAAATATATGAGGTTTTAATGTGTTTCTATTGGAGAATTTGAAAATAGTTATAAACTTTGAGTGACAGCAAATAGAGAGGAAGAGGCTGTAAAAGCACAAGACAGAGGAAATAACAGAAGGTCAAGGTTACTATCATAGAGAAAATAGGAAAGGATATAAGCAAGACCAAAGGCAGGGGCAATAAACAGTAGAATTTCCTCTTCTTCTGAGACTGTAGGAAATAATTTGACGGTAGGTGCAGCTATAAATAAACTTTTAGATGTGGGAGCATAAATTTGTTCAACTTCATTGCCATTAGTTTTCTTAATGCAGAAAGAAAAGTATCATCTGTATAACAATGGGAGAGAAGATAAAGAGATTGAGTAGATTGATTTTGAGATTCAGATAATCTTTCTGATATTTATCACAAGTGTTTTCATGAGCAGATGATTTGAGAATCACATTTTAGGTATTTACACTAAGATACAAAACTAAGACATAGTCCTTGCCATGGAGGAATTCGCAGCATAAATTAACAATGGAACAAGTTCCCTCACATGACAGTTACTATCTGAAATACCAGAATGAGGATTATGAAATTGGACCACAGTTCAACAGGGAGGAATATCTATCGTAGAAAAGGAGAATGATACATATGTGTCATACCTTTCACATGGGCAGTACCTTATTACTCTCATGTTACTGAAAACACATCATCGTTTATAAGATCCTATGAAGTCAGTAGTTTAGGAATGATCTCAATTTTATTCCAAATTGTATTTTACCTTTGAAGTAAAATCTCCTATAAGATTATTCTTTTATAAAGAAAGATTTCCTGTTTTGTTCTAACTGTACCTCCTTCAAAACAAAAAGGATCTTCTATGCTAGCATTACTTGTCTTGATTATACAGATGTTCTTCAGACTCTGAATTTCACTCAATCTTTCCAAACAAGTCTCATCATTTACTTCTACTGTACACACTCCATGGAATCCTTTTTGTAATTTTTTTACATAATGACAGGAATATTTTATTATAAAAAGCAAATAAGCACGCCTTGCTTATTCATACACAGGTGAGATAATGCATGGGTAACAAATAGCACTTAACAATAAAGGCAATTCTAATTATAATTTTATTACAAACTTTTGCTACCTTGTCTGATATTTATCTTTCTTTCCAGTGCTCCCTCCACTTCTTATCCTTTTTCAATTATTTTATTCATTTACTATAGACCTGTCAGTAGACCTCCACTAGCATTGTCTTAGTTGCCTACTTTATCCATTATCACATTGAGGATTGAAAAATTTCCTGTAATAGACTAGTATGTATGAAAATGATGCTGAAACATAAGCCAAATGATTTAACAGTGTAGTCAGTGTATCTGGCAAGAGAGTCATTCTAGAACTCTGAAATGGTACATCATGGTATAATAAAAAGAGATCAAGATGTGAATGTTAGGTTGCTTGGATTCTAATTTCTGATCTGCTACTAATGCTGCATGTACTTGGGCAAGTCACTTTACCATCCTACGCTTACTTCATAAACAGAAAAATACGTTGAGAGGTTGAGGGATTAGCACTCATCAGAATAATTTCTAAATTTGTTCCTCTTTGAATTTGTTTCTCTTTGAATTTGTAACTCTTTGGTTCATTCTCCAAATAATCTAGAACTGAGAGTGACCTGGGTTCTAATTTGGGCTCTACTGTTACTTAGCTGTAAGTTCTTGAGAAATCAAAATCTTTTGGGGTCACAGTTTCATCATGTGAATATTAAAGAAATCCTCTGCATCCTAAAACATGTAATACATACTTGGTGCATCGTAAGGGTTCAGTAAATATATGCTGTATACGAGTGGAGATATAATAGTGATTTTTGAAATTATTTTACTTGTCTGTTCCCCCATTTGCAAAGAGAAAAAACTTATATCCTTTGCTGTTACTCATTCATCATGTATCTTGCATAAGAAAAAAAATTGATTGAATTAAAATCATTATCACCATAGAAATTCCACACTTCGAGCATTCCTTCTCTAACTCAGAGAAATGAAAACATGTCAAAAGAGAAAATTCAACTACATTGTTGATCTCAAAAACAAGATAAATCTTTCTGTGAGCAATAAATGTAATATAAGTGCAAGTCAGTGTCAGACGTGACTTCTGGACTTTTGTTTAAAAAGCAGAAGGGACAGTTAGTTGCATGGCTCCTGTGAAGTCCATAGAATGAGGGTCTTAGCATAAATTAAGACAGGGATAGGCTCCCTGCTTGAAACTGGAGGCCATGTTGGGGTTGCCCTACTTGCAAATATAAGTTGAAAAATTCTTTTCTGGACTGATGCTTAGGACTACAATTTATTAAATGTTGAATGCCTAGGGAGTAGGAGGACATAATTATAACCTTATGACTACCCTCCCTGATTTCCCCAATATCATTATAGGGAAGGAGCCATGGACCACCAATGTATGATTTGGTTCTAGACTGGGGTCCATGAAAGCAGATTAAGAAAATTGGAAAACTTTTGGCCTGGTGCGGTGGCTCACGCCTGTAATCCCAGCACTTTGGGAGGCCAAGGCGGGCAGATAACGAGGTCAGGAGATCGAGACCATCCTAGCTAACACAGTGAAACCCCGTCTCTACTAAAAATACAAAAAATTAGCTGAGCGTGGTGGCAGGCACCTGTAGTCCCAGCTACTCGGGAGGCTGAGGCAGGAGAATGGCGAGAACCCGGGAGGCGGAGCTTGCAGTGAGCCAAGATTGCGCTACTGCACTCCAGCCTGGGTGACAGAGCAAGACTCTGTCTCAAAAAAAAAAAAAAAAAAAAAAAAGAAAAGAAAAGAAAATTGGAAAACTTTTAAATAAAGAAGGGTAAGGAGAGAGTAGAAAGTGATGGAGAGAAGATGAAAGAGACAGAGAGAGGGAGAGAGAGAGAGAACCATGTAAGAGGGCCTACAATCCAAAATATAAATATCCATAAAGATAATTGAGCCCTCCCCCTATAAAACAATATTAATTCATCCTGGAATAAATTAAAATATTAGAAAATCTGAAGGAATCTTTAAATATATTTGGGATGTACAAAGAAATAAAAGGTTTAACTTAAAAACTCATTGATTTTTATTCTTCATGTTTTTTATTCTTTTGTATTTATTATTTATTTATTTATCTATTTATTTATTTATTTTGAGACAGAGTCTCACTCTCACCCAGGCTGTATTACAGTGGCATGATCTCTCATCTCACTGCAACTTCTGCCTCCTGGATTCAAGCAATTCTCGTGCCTCAGCCTCTCATGTAGCTGGGACTTGAGGCGTGCACCACCACGCCCATCTAATTTGTGTATTTTTTGTAGAGAAAGGGTTTTGCCATGTCAGCCACACTGGTCTTGAACTCCTGACAACCAGTGATCCACCTGCCTGGGCTTTCCAAAGTGCTTGGATTACAGGTGTGAGACGCCGCAATCGGCCTCTTTGTGTTTTTAAATGAATGCATTGAAGTTTCTAAATATACCTCTGTGTGCCTCTTTAGCTGCTGACCACAAGTTTCGATGGGTAGTAATTTCCCTGTTGTTTCTTAATAGTCTGTTATTTCCAAATGTTTTCCTTCTGAACCTATGGGTTGCATAAGAGTACAGTTGTAACTTTTCAAATGTAGAGATATTTAACTAACTTTTTATAGTTAGTTTCTAATTTAATAGTTATTTTTTAGAGAAGGTGACCTCTCTTTTGATTTTGGAAATGTGTTGGAAATTCCATTAAGTCATCACTCTTTATAAATGTTCCTTGTGTACTAAAAAAGAATGCACATCCTCTTGTAGGAAGCATGACTCTATAAATATTATTAGTTATAATCTGACAACATTCTTCTTAAAATATTCTATATCCTTATTAATATTTTGGCCCCTCAATTGATCAGTTTTAGGGGAAAAGTGTGTTAAACATTTTAATTTTGATTGTGAGCTTGTCAGTTTCTCCTCATAAGTCTGCTTATTTTTTAAGGAGATAAAATTCCAAACATCAAATTAAAAACTTTAAAGTGCACAATTCAGTGGCATTTAGTACATGCACAAGGTTTTACAGTAATTACCACTATATAGCTCCAAAATATTTTCATCACTCAAAAGGAAACCCTGTACCTATTAAGCACTCTCTTCCCCCAGGTCTCTGGCAAACACTACTCTGCTGTTTGAATGTATGGGTTCACATATTCTAGATTGTTTCACATAAATGGCATCACACAATATACAACATTTTGTGTCTGGCTTCTTTCCTTTACCATGAAGTTTTGGAGGTTCATTCACGTTATAGTATATATCAACACTTCAATTGCTTTAATGGTTGAATAATATTTCTTTGTATGTATATACCACTTTTAGCATATGCATCCATCTGCATATGAACATTCGTGTTGTTTCCACCTTTGGCTATTGTGAATAATGTAGTTACAAATATTCATGTGAAAGTTTTTGCTTGAATACCTGTTTTTAATTATTTCGTATATACATCTAGGAATAGAATTTCTGGGTCATATTGTATTTCTATGTTTTCTATTTGAGGAACTGCCAAAATGATTTTCACAGTGGCAGAACCATTTTACTTTCTTATTAGCAAAGTATGAGTGTTCCAATTTCTTCACATCTTCACCAACTCTTGTTAAAATTTTTTATAATATAGCCATCCTAGTAGGTGTGAAGTGATAATTTATATTTGTGATTTTCATTTCTCTAATGTCTAATAAAGTTAGGTATCTTTTCATGTGCTTATTGGCCATTTGTGTATTAGTTTGGAGAAATGTCTATTCAAGGCTTTTACTCATTTTAAAATTAGGGTTGCTTTTCTTTTCATTCTTGAATTGTAAGACTTTGGATGTCCTGGATACTAGACTTATCTGACATATGATTTGCAAATATTTTCTCCCATTCTATAGGTCATATTTTCCACCTTTGTAATGTTTTTTGATGCACAAAAGTTAAATATTGACACAGTTTAATAAGTCTAACTTATCTGTTTTTTGTGGCTTGTGCTTTTAATGTCATATCTAAGAATCTATTTCCAGTAATAAAGAGATAGATAGATAGATAGATAGATAGATAGATATAGATAATAGAAAACATGGCAATGTTGTTAGTTGCCTTCAAGTTTATAAACTTCTAAGTTTGCTTAGAAGTTATACATTGTATAATTATTATTTCAGTTGTTAAGTTTAAACATATATTCCTATTAATTTTAGCCTATATGCTTATCAATGACTTTACTATTCTGCTTCAAACATGAAGCAGGCCATAGCACATTTTGACTACTCATTTAATAACCCACAATCCATCTTCCTACTATGACATGAACTTTTAAATTATCCTTTTAAATATGTCAAATGATACTTGTTTAGTGTAATAATTACAATTGTCAACATATTTTACCAATTTTTCTACTCACTGCTATTTCTTGGATCTCCACTCTATTTTCTAAATTTCCTATTATTTTTGTTAGAATATGTCCTTTAATATATTTTTTTTTCAGAATCTATGAGTGGTAAATTCTTCTAGCTTTGGGGATATCTTTAAAATCTCTTATTTTGACTTCATACTTGCATACTAGTTTAGCTAAGTGATTACAGTGTTTGTAAGTAATTTATTAATTTTTTTGTTAGCTTTTAAGACGTCACTTGTTTTACTGCAATACTTCTAGATATGGATTCATCTTTAATTGTTAATATAATGCTTAGTAATTGAAGGACATTTAAATTGTTGATTTTTCTATGATTCTGGGAAACTATTTACTATTTTCAAATACCACTATTCTGCCATATTTTCTATTTTATTATTTTTTCCCCAATTTTTCAGTATAAATTTGTTTCAAATATGGCAGTGATCACTAGTAAAAGCTTGTTCTTTCTTTGACATTGACTTTTACCTTTTGTTTCTTTACTATCTCTTGTAAGAGGAATTTTTGATAAGATTAAAATCAGGCACATGGAGAGGGCTATGTGTCACAATGGGCAAACACTCAGATGCTGAGTTTCCTGCATCTGTGAAACTAACACACTGTATAGTGACATACTTGCATCAATAATAATACCAGCAAAGTTATCAGGCATTCTTTCCTTTGGCGACTGTTCGTACTCTTGGAGTATCATGGATGTCGCTGGCATTGCCCCAGAAATCAGCTCCTGGCCTGTTGCTGAAGCAGTGTCCTAATAATCAGAAAGATGCTTGTGTAGCTGATGGTGTTTTCTGGACTTCACTTTACTCATGAGAGGTGTGGATATATCCTTGCAAATTCCAAAGTGCCAGGAAATCCAAAAGGGATTCGGTTGGAATCTGCTTATTACCTTATCTTGCACCCTGGCCTGGTTCCTGCTCCATGACTTGACTCTGTTGGATCTTGGCATTAACTCTGGCCAGGACCTGGTGACTGTTCCCTGTAATGACCTTCAGTTTCATTGGAAGGGGAAACTACAGATAATAGACATAGGAACCTAACAGCTCCCAGAAGCCAGACTGAGAAAGAAAAGCATAAAGGACACGCAACAGCATGATGCCTGAGGTAATTGGATTGTTGCTTTACCACCCTGGGCCTGTAACCTTTAGGAGTAAATACATAGAATAGGGATTTTATTGTACAGCATTTTGCTTGGCATATAACAGAAGAATTGAAGACATTTATTAAAGTATTTACTGAGAGTGCAAAGCACCCTAATAGTACCTAAATAACATCATTTTGTGGAAACTCTTTCATTTACATCTTACCCAAGCATTTTATCATTTACTTTGAGCAAATGTAAACATAATTAAACAAAAATAATAGCAACAAAAAATCATTTGTCATGAAATTTACATGTTTTGAATAGACCTTTAAATATGCCTAAATTTGTATTTATTCTCCATAAGTTCTTACTTTTTTTGGAATTTATTTTAAATTTGATATATATTTTAGTGAATATTTAGTGATAAATATTTTAATAAAAAAGAGATACTTTTTAACATACAAAAAATATACTCAGTTGATTTTTAAGTTATCTTATTTGCCTTCTTTAGTTGTGCAAAAATAGGCCCATCATCTTAAAACTTTGCTTGGCTTAATTCCTTAGTTATTCAATTGTCTCAACTGTTTGTGAGGTTAACAATTAGGAATGTTCAACAGAATAAGGCAAGATAATTGGGTCAATTCTACAGTTTGAGTTCCTCTTCACCCATTTGGATGCCCTTTATTTCGTTCCATTGTTTGATTGCTCTGGCTAGGACTCCCAGTACTATGTTAAATAGAAGTGGTAAAAGTGGGCATCTTTGTCTTGTTCCAGTTCTCAGGGGGAATGTTTTCAGCTTTTCCCTGTTTAGTACAATGCTGGCTGTGAGTTTGTTGCAGATGGCTTTTATTACCTTAAGGATGTGCTTTTTATGCCGATTTTGCTGAGGGTTTTAATTATAATGGGATGCTGGATTTTGTCAAATGATTTTTCTGCATCTATGGAGATGATCATGTTATTTTTGTTTTTTAATTCTGTTTGCGTGGTGTGTCACATTTATTGAATTATGTATGTTAAACTGTCATCGCATCCCTGGTATGAAGCCCACTTAATCATGGTGGATTATCTTTTTGATATGCTGTTGGATTCAGTTAATTAGTATTTTGTTGAGGATTTTTGCATCTATATTCATCAGAGATATTGGTTTGTATTCTGTTTTTGTTGTTGCTGTTATGTCCTTTCCTGGTTTTGGTATTAGGGTGAGACTGGCTTCATAGAATGATTCAGGGAGAAGTCTCTCTTTCTCTGTCTTTTGGAATAGTGTCAATAGAATTGGTACAAATTCTTCCTTGAAAATCTGATAGAATTCAACTGTGAATTCATCTGGTACTGGACTTTTCTGGTTGGCATTTTTAAAATTACTGTTTCAATCTCACTGCTTGGTATTGGTCAGTTCAGAGATTCTATATCTTCCTGGTTTAATCTAGGAGGATTGTATATTTCCAGGAATTTATCCATCTCCTCTCGGTTTTCTAGTTTATACATGTAAAGCTTTTCATAGTAGTGTTGAATAATCTTTTGTATTTCTGTGGTATCAGTTATAATATTTCCTGTTTCATTTTTAATTGAGCTTATTTGGATCTTCTTTTTTTCTTAGTTAATCTCACTAATGGTATATCAATTTTATTTATCTTTTCAAAGAACCATCTTTTCATTTTATTTATCTTTTGCATTGCTTTTTGTTTGTTTGTTTCTATTTTATTTAGCTCTGCACTGATCTTCATTATTTATTTTCTTCTTCTGGGTTTGAGTTTGGATTGTTCTTGTTTCTCCAGTTCTGTGAGGTGTGGCATTAGATTGTCTATTTGTGCTCTTTCAGACTTTTTGATGTAGGCATTTAATGCTATGAACTTTCCTCTTAGCACTGTTTCTGCTGTATCCCAGAGGTTTTAACAGGTTGTGTCACTATTATTAAGAATTTTTTAATTTCCATATTGATTGCATTGTTGACCCAATGATCACTCAGGAGCAGGTTATTTAATTTCCATGTATTTGCATCGCCTTGAGTGTTGCATTTAGAGATGATTTCCAATTTTATTCCACTGTGGTCTGAGAGAGTACTGGATCTAATTTCGATTTTCTTAAATTTACTGAGACTTGTTTTGTGGCCTATCATATAGTCTGTCTTGGAGAATCTTCCAGGTGCTGATAAAAAGAATGTATATTCTGCAGTTGTTGGGTAGAATATTCTGTAAATATCAGTTAAGTCCATTTGTTGTAGGGTATAGTTTAAGTCCATTGTTTCTTTGTTGACTTTCTATCTTGATGACTTGACTAGTGCTGTCAATGGAGTATTGAAGTCCCCCAATATTATTGTGTTGCCATCTGTCTCATTTCTTAGGCCTAGTAGTAAATTTTTTTTATAAATTTAGGAGCTCTAGTGTTAGGTGCATCTATATTTAGAATTGTGATATTTTCTTGTTGGACTAGTGCTTTTATCATTATATAATGTCCCTCTTTGTCTTTTTTAACTGTTGTTGCGTTAACATTTGTTTTGTCTGATATAAGAATAATTACCTCTGCTCTATTTTGGTGTCCATTTGCATAGATTATCTTTTTCCACCCCTTTACCTTAAGTTTATGTGAGTCCTTATATGTTATATGAGTCTCCTGAAGGCAGCAGAAACTTGGTTGATGAATTCTTATTCATTCTGCCATCCTGTATCTTTTAAGTGGAGCATTTAGGTCACTTACATTCAATGTTAGTATTGAGATGTGAGGTACTATTCTATTCATCATACCATTTGTTGCCTGAAAAGCTTGCATTTTTTTTCATTGTGTTATTGTTATATAGGTCTGGTGAGATTTGTACTTTAAGAAGTTTCTATTTTGGTATATTTTGAGAATTTGTTTCAAGATTTATAGCTCCTTTTAGCAGTTCTTCTAGTGCTGGCTTGTTAGTGGTGAATTCTCTCAGTATTTATTGTCTCAATAAGACTGTATCTTTCCTTCATTTATGAAGCTTAATTTCCCTGGATACAAAATTCTTGGCTGATAACTGTTTGTTTAAGGAGGCTAAAAATAGGACCCCAATCCCTTCTAGCTTGTAGGATTTCTGCTGAGAAATCTGCTATTAATCTGGTAGGTTTTTCTTCATAGGTTACCTGATGCTTTTGCCTCACAGCTCCTAAAATTCTTTCCTTCATCTTGACTTTAGATAACCTGATAACTATGGTCTAGGTGATGATTGTGATGAATTTCCGGGGTGTTCTTTGAGCTTCTTGTATTTGGATGTCTAGATCTCTAGCAAGGCCAGGGAAGTTTTCCTAGATTATTCCTTCAAATATGTTTTCCAAACATTTAGATTTCTCTTCTTCCTCAAGAACACCAATCATTCTTAGGTTTGGACATTTAACATAGTCCCAAACTTCCTGGAGGCTTTGATCTTTTTTTAAAAAAAAAAAATTCTTTGTTGTTTTTGTTGGATTGGGTTAATTTGAAAGCCTTGTCTTCGAGCTCAGAAATTCTGTCTTCTGCTTGTTTGATTCTATTGCTGAGAATTTCCAGTGCATTTGACATTTCTCTTAAGTGTGTTGTTGATTTCCAGAAGTTGTGACTGTTTTTTACTTATGCTCTCTATTTCACTGAAGAATTTTCTTTTCATATACTGTATCATTTTTTTAAAAATTTTTTTAAGTTGGATTTCACCTTTCTCTGGTGCCTCCTTGAGTAGCTTAATAATTGACCTTTTGAATTCTTTTTCTGGCAATCCAGAGATTTCACCTTGGTTTGGATCAATTGCTGGTGAGCTGGTATGATTTTTGGGGGGTGTTAAAGAACCTTGTTTTGTCATATTACCAGAATTGTTTTTCTGGTTTCTTCTCACTTGGGTAAGACTATGTCAGAGGGAAGGTCTGGGATTCAAGGACTACTGTTCGGATTATTTTGTCCCATGGGGTTACTCCCTTGATGTGGTGTTTTCCCCCTTCCCCTAGGAATGGGGCATCCTGAGAGCCAAACTGTAGTGACTGATTTTGCTCTTCTGGGTCTAGCCACCCAGTAGAGATAACATGCTCTAATCTGGTACTGGGAAGTGTCTGCAAAGAGTCCTGTGATGTGATTCATCTTCGGGTCTTGCAGCCGTGGATACCAGCACCTGTTCCAGTGGAAGTGACAGGGGAGTGAAGTGGACTCTGTGAGCGTCCTGTGTTGTGTTTTTGTTTAGTGCACTGGTTTTGTGTTGGTTGACCTCCAGCCAGAAGGTGGGTGCATCAGCTGCGGTCCCATAGGGAGGATGCAAACTTGCCCTAGGGACACCTGGTTAAGTATTCAGGTTTCTCAGGTGCTGGGCAAGGCCATAGAGCTCCCAAGAGATTATGGCCTTTGTCTTTGGCTACCAGAGCAGATAGAGAAAGACCACCACCAGGTGGGGGGCAAGGATAGGTATGTCTGAGCTCAGCCTCTCCTTGGGTGAGGTTTGCTGCACCTGCTGTGGGGTATGGGGGTGTGGTTCCCAGTCCCATGGAGTTGTATTCCCAGGGAGATTATGGCTGCCTCTGCTGAGTCATACAGGTTGCCAGGGAAGTGGGGGAAATGTGGCGGTTACAGCCCTCACCCCACTCCCAGACAGCCCATAGTCCCAAAGGCCAGTCTCACTCCCACCATGCCACACCAACAGCACCGAGTCTATTTCCAGTCAGCCAGTGGCCAGGGCTGAGAGCTTGCCCCAGAACATGAGCCTCTTCAATGAGAAAAAAAGCAGACTCAGTTTTTCCGTGTCTCAGCGAGCCTGCAGGGGTGACCCAGTTCCTTCAAAGGGTCTGTGGATTCTCTTCGCTTTTCTGGTATGTTCCTGCAGTAGTTCTTGGAGCAAAAGTTCATGATGTGAGTCTCCACATGCTGCTCTGTCCATGCCAGTGGGAGCTGCAAGCTACTTCTGCCTCCTATCCACCATTGTAACCTCTCCATTTTATTTATTCTGAACAAGTTTTGACACATGTTGAGATCTCTCACGCTAGCCTACATGTCTTTTAACTGAATTTTCTTATTTTCCTTTTCTGTCCCTTTATAAAAATATTTATTTATTCTGTTTGATTGGCAAGTAAAAATTGTTTCTTTGTATTGCATGTAACATGTTTTGAAATATGCATACATCTGAATGGCTAATTAACATATGTATTACCTGACATATTCATTATTTTTTTGTGGTGAGAACACTTAAAATACACTTTCTTAGTAA
The DNA here is from genome assembly GCF_000001405.40 of Homo sapiens. Taxonomy (NCBI): domain Eukaryota; kingdom Metazoa; phylum Chordata; class Mammalia; order Primates; family Hominidae; genus Homo; species Homo sapiens. The sequence goes on from NC_000023.11 coordinate 122,427,221, forward strand.
TTATTATAAATGCTATACATAGGAGAAAAACTACACTATATTGCTGTGGGCAACAACTTTTTACATTTGACTCCAAAAGCACAGGCAACAGAAACAAAAATAGAAAAATGGGATTACATTAAAATAAAAAGCTCCTGCATGAAAAAGGAAACTATCAATGGAGTAAAATGACAACTGACAGAGTGGGATAAAATATTTGCAAGCCATTCATCTGATAAGGGGATAATACACAAAATATTTAACTAACTCAAACAAATCAATATCCAAGAAGACAAATAATCTAATTCAAAAGTGAGCAAGAGACTTAAATATACATTTCTTAAAAAATGCAAATGGCCATCGGATAGATAAAAAAAATGTTTAACATTACTAATCATTAGGAAAATGCAAATTAAAACCATAAGAAGATACTAACTCACACCTGTCAGAATGACTACTACCAAAGATGAAAGATAACTATTGAATATTGACAGGGATGTGGAGTATATGCATATACTCATATATATAATTTTTGTATGTTGATATTATATCTTTCCACTTTACTGAATTTGTTCAATACTTATAATATTTTGGTGGAATCTTTTGAGTTTTCTATGCGTGTCAGCATATCTGCACACAGGAACAACTTAACTTTTTCTTTTTCAATGTGGATACTTTTTTGTCTTTATCTTGCCTAATTGCCCTGGCTAGGACTTCTAGACCTAATATGAATAGAAGTGGTGAGAGTGGGCATCCTTGTCTTGATTCTCATCTTAGAGAAAGGCTTTCAATCTTTCACTGTTGAGTATAATGTTAGCTCTGCATTTGTCATACGTGGACTTTATTACGTTGAGGTACATTTCTTCTATACCTAATTTGTTGAGAAATTGTTTTAATCATGAAAGCAAGCAGAAGTTTGTCAAATGTTTTTTCTCCATTTATTGAGATGGTCACATGGTTTTTGTCCTCGATTGTGCTATTTTGGTGTGTCATATTTATGAATTTTTGTAGATTTGCATATGTTGAATCAAACTTGTATCCTAGGGATAAATATCACTTGATCAAGGTGAATGATCCCTATAATGTACTATTGAATTTGATTTTCTAGTATTTTGTTAAGGGTTTTTACATCTATGTTCATCACAGATATTGGTTTGTAATTTTCTTTTCTTATAGTAGTATCCTTACCTGGCTATGGTATCATGGAAATGCTGGCCTTGTAAAATGAGTTTGGGAAGATTTCCTCTTCAATTTTGTGAAGAATTTTGACAGGAATTGATATTAGTTCTTCTTTAAATGTTTGGTAACATTCAGTAGTAAAGTCATCAGGTCCAAGGCATTCTTTTTTTGATGAGAGAAGTTTTATTACTGATTTAATGTCCTTATTACTAGTCTCCTCAAATTTTTTTTATCTCATAATTCAGTCTTGGTAGGTTGTATGTGTTTAGTAATTTCTTCACTTATTTTAGGTTATCTAATTTGTTGGCATGTAATTGATGGTTGTAGCATCTTATGAGCCTTTGTATTTCTATGGTATTAGTTATAATGTCTCTTCTTTCACTTCTGATTTTATTTGAGTCTTCTCTTTTTTTCTCCTTAGTCTGAACATTTGTGGATTTTTGTTTTTCCTTTTACTAAATGAACACTTCGTTTCACTGCTTTTTCTATTGTTTTTCTATTCTCTATTTCACTTATTTCTGTTCTGATTTTTTTTAAACTTTTATTTTAAGTTCGGGGTATACGTGCAGGATGTGCTGGTTTGTAACATAGGTAAACATGTGTCATGGGGGTTTGCTGTACAGATTATTTCATCACCCAGGTATTAAGCCTAGTATCCATTAGTTACTTTTTGTAATCTTCACCTTCCTTTCACCTTCCACCATTCGATAGGCCCCAGTGTCTGTTGTTCTATTCTATGTGTCCATGTGTTCTCATTATTTAGCTTCCACTTATAAGTGAGACCATGTGGTGTTTGGTTTTCTGTTCCTGGGTTAGTTAGCTAAAGATAATGGCTTCCAGCTTCATCCATGTTCCTGAAGATGACATGATCTCATTCTTTTTTATGGCTTTATAGTATTCCATGGTGTATATGTACCACCTTTTCTTTATCCAGTCTTTCATTGATGGGCATTTAGGTTGATTCCACGTTTTTGCTATTGTGAATAGTGCTGCAATGAACATACATGTGCATGTGTCTTTACGATAGAATGATTTATATTCCTTTATGTGTATACCTGGAACCGACCCAACTGCCCTATAGGCTGTTCTTTTTGATACAGGCCTCTCATGAAAAGTATCAAAGAATCAAACCAGATTACTGCACCAGATGCCAGACCCTTCATCCACCATGATTGCTTCCTTGCCCCTCCCAAGTTTCTGTTTTGCTTACACATTGTTACATTTCTTACCTGCTATGTAAACCCCTGGTTGGATTTGAGACTGAGCTCCCATCTCCTCAGCTGCAGCACCTGATTAAAGCCTTCTTCCTAGGCAATACTTGGCTTTTCAGTGATTGCAGAAATGAGACTGAACCCCTGGTGTTTTGGTAACATACTCAGTAATGGAATTGCTAGGTCAAATGGTATTTCAGGTTCAGGTCTTTGACAGACTGTCACACTGCCTTCCACGATGGTTGAACTAATTTACATTCCCACAACAGTGTATAAGCATTCTTTTTCTGCACAACCTCACTAGCATCGGTTATTTTTTGACTTTTTAATAATCACCATTCTGACTGGTGTGAGACGGTATCTCATTGTGGTTTTGATATGCATTTCCCTAATAATCGGTGATGTTGAGATTTTCTTCATATGCTTGTTGGCCACATGTATGTCTTCTTTTGAGATGTGTCTGTTCATGTCCTTGCCCACTTTTTAATGGCTTTTTTTTTCTTGTAAATTTGTTTAAGTTCCCTATAGTTGCTTGATATTAGACCTTTGTCAGATGCATAGTTTGCTAAAATTTTCTCCCATTCTGTAGGCTGTTTACTCTGTTGATAGTTTCTTTTGCTGTGCATGAGGTTTTTAGTTTAATTAAATTCCTTTCGTCAGCTTTTGCTTTTGTTGTAATTGCTTTTGGCATCTTCATCATGAAATCCTCACACATGCCTATGTCCTGAATAGTATTGCCTAGGTTGTCTTCCATGGTTTTTATGGTTTTGTATTTTACATTTAATCCATCTTGAGTTAATTTTTGTACATGGTGTAAGGGAGGGGTCCAATTTCAATTTTCTGCACATGGCGAGCCAGTTATCCCAGCTCCATTTATTGAATAGCGAGTCCTTTCTCCATTGCTTGTTTCTTTCAGGTTTGTCAAAGATCAGACAGTTGTAGGTGTGCAAACTTATTTCCTGGTTCTCTATTCTGTTCCATTGGTCTATGTGTCCGTACTTAGGCCCACACCATACTGTTTAGGTTACTGTTGGTTACTGTAGCCCTGTAGCATAGTTTGAAGTTAGGTAGCACGATGCCTTTTTATTTTCTTTCTTCTACTAACATTGGGCTTAGTTTGTTTTTGATTTTCTAGTTTCTTGAGTTAAAACATTACATTATTTGAGAAGTTTCTTCTTTTGTGATGTAGGCATTTATTTTTATAAACTTTTATTTTACGACTACTTTTGCTACATCCCATATGTTTGGGTAGGTTAAGTTTTCATTTTGATTTGTATAAAATATTTTTGAATTTCTCTTTGATTCTTCTTTGATCCATTGGTTGTTCAGGATTATGCTGTTTCATTTCCATGTATTTGTTAATTTTCTAAAATACTTTTTCATTGATTTCTATTTCCACACCACTGTGGTTAGAAAATATACTTGATACAATTTCAAACTTCTTCAATTTGTTAAGACTTGCTTTGTGGTCTAACATGATCTATCCTGGAGAATCTTCTGTGTGTGCTTGAGAAAAATGATTCTTCGGTTGTTGTTGGATGGAATCCTCTATATATGTCTGTTAGGTCCATTTGGTCTAAAATTTAGTTTAAATCAGATATCTCCTTATTGGCTTTCTCTCTGGATGATCTGTCCATTGCTGAAAGTGGGATATTGAAGTCACCTACTATTATTGTATGACAGTCTATCAATCCCTTCAGATCTATTAATATTTGCTTTATATATTTAGGCACTCCAATATTGGATGCACATTTATTTACAATTGTTACAGTCTCTTGATGAATTCACCCCTAAATTACCATGTAATGACCTTGTTTTAAAAAAGTTTTTAAAAAGTTTAAAACACGGTAATTATATGGTAATACAGGGGTGAATTCATCAAGAAAATATAACTATTTCTTTTAAATTTTTTGACTTAGAGTCCATTTTGTCTTATATAAGTATAGTATTTCTGTCTCTTTTAGTTCTCATTTGCTGGGCATATCTCTTTTCATCTTTTCACTTTCAGTCTATTTCTGTCCTCAAAAAGTGAAGTCAGTTTATTGTAGGCAGTATATAATCTGCTCTTTTTTTTTTTTTGGCCATTGAGACACTCTGTAACTTTTAATTGGAAATATTAATCCACTTATATTAAGGTAATTACTGATAGGCAAGGACAGATTAGTGCCCTTTTTAAATTGTTTTGTAGATATCTATTCCTTTCATTCCTCTCTTGATGTCTTCCTTTTTGATTAGATGGTTTTCTCTAATGGTATGCTTTCATTTCCTACTTTTAATATTTTCTGTATCTACGTATATTTTTGCTTTGTGGTTACCACGATGCTTACATTCAGCATCTTATACTTATAATGGGCTATTTTAAGCTGATAAGCTCTCAGCTCTGATAACATAAAAGAAAATACTTTGGCTTCATCTTACCCACATTTTATATTTTTTAAAATAATTTACACCTTCCCGTATTGTGTTTTCCTTAAAATTATTGCACATGTTATTCTTATAATAGTTTTGTCTTTCAACCTTCAAACTAAAGATACAAATGATTTACACAACACCATCATGGTATTAAAGTATTCTCAAATTAACTTTTGCCAGCGAGTTTCTTACTTTAATGTGGTTTCATGTTGCTAATTAGCGCTCTTTTATTTCAGCTTTCAGAACTCCCTTTGGTACTTCTTATAAGACAGGTCAGCTGGCAATGAATTTCCTCAGCCTTTTTTTGTCTGGGAAAGACTTGATTTTTCCTTCATTTCTGAAGGACGGGTTTTTCAGTTAAAGTATTCTTGGTTGTAATTTTTTTCTTCAGCAGTTTGAATATATCTTCGTACAGTCTCCTAGCCTATAAGTTCCAGTTGAGAAGTCTGATGCTAGTCTTGTTGAAACTCCCTCATATATGGTTTGCTTTTTTCTTGCTGCTTTCAAGATTCTCTGTTTGCATTATATATTTAACAGTTTAATTATAATATCTACTGATACACTAGTTTAGATTGACTCTAATGATGACTTTTGACCTTTTTATACCTGGATATTTATATCTTTCACCAAATTTGTTTTTTTCTATTATGTCTTAAAGAATCTGTCTGGCCCTTTGTTTCACTCTACTTCTTGAATTTGTATAATTCAAATATTTGTTATTTTGCTGCTGCCCCAAATGTTCCTGATGGTTTCTTCATTTCCTTTTATTATTTATTTCTTCTGTGGTCGTGTATTTTTGAATAACCATTTTTAGTTCACACATTCTTTCTTCTAACTGAGCAATTCTGCTACTGATGATGTCTATTGCATTTTTTTAATTTATTGTACTACTTACTCCAGAATATCTGTTTCGTTGTTTTAAATTCCAATCTATTAAATTTATCAGTTTGGTCATTTATTGTCTGGCAGGCGTTATTGAATTGTTTTTTCTGTATTTGTTTAAAATTCAAGAATTAAAATAATTATTCTGAATTATTAGGTAATTCAAAAGTCTCCATTTTGGAGGGTTTGGTTACCCTATTAGTCCCTTTTCACACTGCTATAAAGATACTACCCAAGACTGGGTAATTTATAAAGGAAAGAGGTTTAATTGACTCACAGCTCCACATGGCTAGGGAGGCCTCAGGAAACTTACAATCATGGCAGAAGAGGAAGCAGTCACCTTCTTCACAAGGCAGCAGAAGAGAGAGTGAGTGCAAGCAGGAGAAATGTCAGATGCTTATAAAACTGTCAGATCTCGTAATATTCACTCATTATCACAAGAAAAGCATGGGGGAAACTGCCCCCATGTTTCAATTACCTCCACCTGGTCCCACCCTTGACATGTGGGGATTATTACAATTTAAGGTGAGATTTTGGTGGGGGCACAGAGCCAAATGATATCAGTTACTGGTGTATTTTTTTATTTGTATAAATTTCTGGGGAACAAATACAATTTTCTCACATTAATCGATTGTGTGGTAGTCAGGTCAGGGCTTGTAGAGTATTTATTACCTGAATAACATACATTGTGCCCATTAAGTAATTTCTCTTCATACATCCCCCTTACCCCCTCATCCTTCTGACACTCATATGTTTATCATTATGCTCTCTATGTTTATGTGTACACATTTTTAAAATCTCACTTATGAATAGGAACAAGTAATTTTTTTTTCTGTGTCTGACTTATTTCACTTAAGACAATGGTCTCCATTTCTGTTGATGTTGCTGCAGAAGACATGATTTCATTTTACTATGACTGAATAGTATTCCATTGTGTATCTAGACCACATTTCTTTATCCAATAATCTGTTTGTGGTCACTTAGGTTTTTTCCATATCTTCGCTATTATAAATAGTGCTGTGATAAGCATACCAGTTCAGGTGTCTGTTTGGTGCATAGATTTCTTTTCTTTGGGTAGATACTCAGTAGTGAAATTGCTGGATCAAATGATGGTTCTATTTTTAGTTATTTGAGAAATCTCTATACTGTTTGCTGTAGGGGTTGAACTAATCTACATTTCCAGAGACAGTGTATACACATTCCCTTTTCTCTGCATCCTTGCTAACATCTGTTGTTTTTTAAATTTTTTTTTTTTTTTTTTTTTTTTTGAGACGGGGTTTTGCTCTTGTTGCCCAGGCTGGAGTGCAATGGTGTGATCTCGGCTCACTGCAACCTCCGCCTCCCTGTTTCAAGCAATTCTCCTGCCTCAGCCTCCTGAGTAGCTGGGATTACAGGCATGCGCCACCATGCCCGGCTAATTTTGTATTTTTAGTAGAGACAAGGTTGCTCCATGTTGGTCAGGCTAGTCCCGAACTCCTGACCTCAGGTGATCCGCCTGCCTCAGCCTCCCAAAGTGCTGGGATTACAGGCATGAGCCACCGTGCCCGGCCCTTGAATTTCTAATAGCCATTCTGACTGATGTAAGATGGTATCTCAATGTGGGTTTAATTTGCGTTTCTCTGATGATTAGTAATGTTGAGCATTTTCTTACATGTCTTTTGGCTATTTGCATGTCTTCTTCTGAAAAAATATCTATTTAGGTCCTTTATCAAATTTTTAATAGAATTATTTGGTTTGTTACTGTTGTTGAATTGTTCGAATTCCTTGTGTATTTTGAATATTAGTCCTCTGTCAGATTGCAAATATTTTCTCCCTTTCTGCAGGTTATCTGCTCACACTGCTGATTATTTTGCTGTGCAGAAAATGTTTGATTATCTATTTTTCTGTGCAGAAGCTATCTAGTTTAATCAAGTCCTGTTTGTCTATTTTTGTTTTTATTATCTGTGCTTTTGAGGTATAGTCATGAATTCTTTGCCATGGCAAAGAAGAGTTTTCCATAAGTTTCCTTCTAGTATTTTTGTACTAATTGATCTTCCACTTAAGTCTCTAATCCATCTTGTGTTGATTTTTGTATATGGTGAACGTAGAGGTCCAGTTTTATTTAACCCAATTTTCCCAGATCTGTTTTTTAAAATGGGTGTCCTTTTCCCAGTGTATGTTCTTATTGCTTTTGTCAAAGATAAGTTGGCTATAAATACGTGACTTTATTTCTGGGTTCTCTATTCTGTTCCATTGATTTATGTGTCTATTTTTATACCAGTACCATAGTGCTGGGTTACTATGTTCTTGTAATATAATTTGAGATTAGATAATGTGATGCCTCAAGTTTTGTTATTTTTGCTTAGGGTTGTTGCAGCTATTCAGGTGTCTATTTGGTTCCATATAAAGTTTAAGATTGTTTGCTGTAATTCTGTGAAAAATGATATTGGTATTTTGATAGGGATTGGATTGAATATGTAGATTGCTTTGGGCACTATTGTATTTTATGACAAGATTAAGTTTTATAAATAAATATCATTTTAACTATTTTAATTCTTCCAATCTCTGAGCATAGAATGTTTTTCCACTTGCTTTTGTCATCTACAATTTCTTTCTTCAGTGTTTTGTACTTTTCATTGTTGACATCTTTCACTTCTTTGGTTAAATATATTCCTATGTATTTTATTTTTAGTAGGTATTATATATATGAGTGCCTGGTTGATTTTCTTTCCAACTGGGTTGTTTTGAAATATAGAAGCACTACTTATTTTTGTACATTCACTTTTATTCTGCAAGTTTATTGAATTCATTTATCAAATTTAAGAGATTTTTGCTAGAGTGTTTAGGGTTTTATACATACAAGATCATATCATCAGACAATAGGAGTAGCTTGACTTTGTTCAAATTTGAATTCCTTTTAATTCTTTCTCTTGCCTTATTTTTTCTGTCTAGGACTTTCAATACAGTGTTGAAAGTGGGCACCTGTGTCATGTTCCAGCTCTTAGAAAAAATGTTTTTAACTTTTGTACTTTCTGTGTGATGTGGGCTGTTGCTTTCTCATATATGGCCTTTACTGTTTTGAGGTATGTTCCTTCTATATCTAGTTTTTTGAAGGCTTTTGTGATAAAGAGATGTTGATTTTTTTCTACATTAGTTGAGATGACCATATGGTTTTTGTCCTTAATTCTGTTTATATAATGAATCACGTTTATTGCTTTGTGTATGTTGAGCCATCTTACATCCTGGTATAAAATGCACTTGATAGAAATGCTATCTTTTTTATTTGCTCTTGGATTCAATTTGCTAGTATTTTGTTCAGGATTTTTGGGCCCATGTTTATTAGGGGTATTGGTCTGTAGTTTCCTTTTTCTGTTTTGTTTTGTCCTTGTCTGCTTTGGGTTTCAGGGTAATGATGGCCTCATAGAACGAATTATCACTCCTCTTCAATTTTTTGGAACAGTTTGGAAAAAGTGGTACCAGTTCTTCTTTTAACATTTGGTAGAATTTGGCTATGATTCCATCTGGTCCTGATATTTTTCTTGTTGGGAGAATTTTTACTACTGATTCAATCTTGGGAGGCTGTGTATTTCCAATAGTGTATCTACTTCCTGTAGGCTTGCTAATTTTAAGCATATAGTTGTTCACATTAGTCTCTGATGATCTTTTTGTATTTCTGTGATATCAGTTGTACTTTCTTATTTTTCTTTTTGATGTTGTTTATTTGGATCTTCTACTTTCTTGCTTAGTTTAGCTAGTAGTTTATCCATTTTGTTTATCGTTTGAGCAAACTTCTCATTTCTTTCATCATTTGTATTGCTTTCCTTTTCTCTATTTCACCCTAGTTCTATTTTGATCTTTGTTATTTCTTTCCTTTTGCTGATTATGGGTTTGGTTTGTTCGTGCTTTTTTAGTTTGTTAATGTGCATAATTCTGTTTTTCATTTGTAATCTGGTTGATCATTTGTAACCTTTCTACTTTTTTTGTTGTAGGCATTTAATGCTATAAACTTTCCTGCTAGCTCTGATTTAGCTATATCTTTTAAGTTTTGGTATGTTGTGTTTACATTTTCATTTCTTTCAAAAATATGTCCAAAATTTATTTTAATTTCTTCATTGCCTAATAATCATTCAGAATAGTGATGCTTAGCTTCCATGAAGTTTCTCTTGTTATTAATTTTTTGTTTTGTTCCAATCTGGACTGATAAGATACTTGATATCATTATTTTTGAAAATTTGTTGATGCTTGTTTTATGTCCTAACATATGTCTTATCTTGGAGAGTGTTCCTCGAGATAATAAAAAGAATGTATAGTCTTCAGATTTGAGGTTATATTAGTCAAGGTTCTCTAGAGGAATAGAACTAATGGGATAGATATATACACGAAGGGGAGTTTATTAGGAGAATTGACTCACACATTCACAAGGTGAAGTCCCACAATAGGCCATCTGCAAGCTGAGGAGAAAGGAAGCCAGTCCGAGTCCCAAAACTTCAAAAATAGGGAAGCTGAAAGTACAGCCTTCAGGTCATGGCCAAAGGTCCAAAAGGCCCTGTCAAATCACTGGTGTAAGTCCAAGAGTCCAAAAGCTGGAGAACTTGGAGTCTGATGTTCAAGGGCAAGACGCATCCAGCATGGGAGAAAGATGGAGGCCAGAAGACTTAGGAAGTCAGTTTTTCCACGTTCTTCTGCCTGCTTTTATTCTGGCCATGCTGACAGCTGATTAGACTGTACCCACCCACATTGAGGGTGGGTCTGTGTTCCCAGTCCCCTGACTCAAATGTCAATCTCGTTTGGCAACACCCTCACAGATGTACCCAGGAACAATACTTTGTATCCTTCAATCCAATCAAGTTGGCACTCAGTATTAACCATCACAGGGGTAGAATGCACTGTAAATGTCTGCTAGGTTCATGTGTTCTCTAATTTAAGACGAATGCTTCTGTGTTGATTTTCTGTCTTGATAATCTGTCTAATGCTTTAAGTGGGATGTTGAAGTTCCTCACCGTTGTTGTATTGCTATATATTTATCTCTTTATTTCTAGTAATGTTTTATAAATCTGGGTGCATTGAGGAGTTTTTATCTATTATTTTATTATTAAGATTTCTAAGCTTTTTTAACCTCACCCCCCGGAATATCAATAATTAATATATTCAGTTGCTTTATGTAGTCCCACATGTCTTGAAGGCTTTATTATTATTTGTTTTCCTTTATTTTTGTCTGACTGGATTTTTTCAAAAGGACTACTTTCAATTTCTGAAATTATTTATTCTGCTTGGTCTAGTCTATTGATGAAGCTCTCAAATGCATTTTGTATTTCCTTCAATGAAATTTTCAGTTCCAGAATTTATGTTTGTTTTTTAATACATGTATCTGCTTGATAAATTTCTTATTCATATTCTAAATTGACTTTCTGAGTTCTTTGTACTGTTTTATAGTTTTTCTTGCATCTCATTGAGTTTCTTTAAAATCAATATTTTAAATTATTTATCTTGGATTATTTAAAACAAATTATTTTAATTATTGTGGGTACATAGTCAGTGTATATATTTATGGAGTACATGAGATGTTTTGATACAGGCACTCAATGTATAATAATCACATCATAAAAAGTGGGGTATCCAGCCCCTCAAGCATTTATCCTTTGTGTTACAGACAATACTATCTTGTATTTTGAGGGCTTCTTTTTCATTAGCGTCTACTGCTGTAGAATTACTGTATTCCTTTTGGGGTATCATATTATTTTGTTTTTCATTCCTCCTGTGTTTTTGATATCTGCACATCTGTTGTCATAGTTGCTTCTTTTATTTTTGAATTTACCTTTGTTCATAAGGGTAACATCTCTTTTGAAGATGTGAGTATGATATTTGTTGGGTATGGACTTTTGGCTTTGTTTCTAGGTGTGTGCAGTGATAAAGTCTCTGTAGGATTTCTTTGGCCTCAGTTTATTAGGGTGTGGCTATTGGTGGAGACTGGTGAAATTGTGCTGGGGACTGGACTGAAAGATGGGGCCTTCTGCAGGTTCCAAAGGTGGTGCTGGTGGGCTTTGTAGTCTATTCTTGTGACTTGGGGCAGTGTATGGTGAGACCTTTGTTGATGGTTCCAGGCAGGCCAATTCTTGGGCATCTGAGTGACTTTCTAAGATGCTGGTTGTAGAAGCAGTATACCAAGTGGGTGAGCAGGCTCTCATGCTCCTGGGAAGGCAGGCTGGCATAGTTGATGGTCGTAGCAGTGGTGGTTATATACTTTTCTGCTTCCCAAGTGCTGTACTCTTGTGTCGTCAGTGGTGACAGTGGTTGCAGTGGGCAGACCTCCAGGCCAGTAGGTGGCCCTTGCAGGTATGAGCCACCCAAGGTGATAGCAATAGGATGTAAATTCCTGACCTCTGTCTACCAGGAGACATGCTCAGATATCCCAGTTGGTAGATTGTGTTGTGGAACCCCACACTCTGTTTTAGGGAGAAGCAAAGCTGGGTGGATCCAAACTGGACAAGCTTGCACTCAGGTCCGCCAGTAGCAAATGCATGCACCAGCTGTGATGGAGGAGGCAGCAGGGAGGTATTCAGGCCTCAGGTGAAATGCTTGGGTGAGTTTTTACCACTGCTGCACTGAGGTCCTGCTACAGGCAGCATGTGGGCAGTCCCAGTGGCAACAGTTTTGGCCAGCGGTTGGAGGACTGTGTCCCTCTTCCACCCCGGTCCTTGTGGGGCTCCTTCACCTGTCCCAGCTGTCACAGTTGAGTTTGCTGTTTAGTCAGACCAGACAGTTTGCTTCTAGTCCATGTCTCATCCCTGTGCTATAGGAGCCCCCACCCAGCTCAAGCCCAGGCTCTGTGACACCTCTCATCCTGCTCAGTTCATGGGGATATGCTAGCAGCTGGGGTGCATGCCATGTTTGCTTCTTAGTCCTGGTTGTGAGATTCCATCCTCCACTCAAGCCCAGGCTTCATAAGCTGGTGCTCAAGTTTTTCTAATGCCTGGAATAGCACCACTGGTTCCCTGGACCATACAGAGTTTGTTAACAGCTAGGATCAAGAAAAATGTCTTACTGTAGCTGCTTAGGTTTCAGGGCATGAGCCAGCCACTCACTAAGTTAGATTCAGGGTTGAAAGAGTCAAGTTGCATTCTGGTGGCTGGATTTTACAATTCCCCAGGGGAAAAGTGGACTGCAGAAAGACACTCACTCACCCTCTCTCATAGTGGGGATTCACTCTCAGTTCCTGGTCTATCATGGTCATATAAGCTGCCTGTTTTTTTTTTTCCCCTTCTTTCTCAATTTTGGAGATTCCTTTGGCTTTTCTGTTGAATTCCTATGTTCCCTCTTGGATAATATATTCAAAGTGTGATTGCCTACCAACCATTTTCATTTTTCTAAAAGGATGAGGCATGCTAGAAATGCTTCTAGGCAGCCATCTTGGGAAAATTTTTAAAAAATTGCTGTTTTACTTTGTTTCTTTTGTTGTGTAGTGCTTCCCTGATTGGTGCTAATCTTTGTGGCTGTGTGCTGGTGTCTGTGGATTTGAAGAAGTCCCTATTCTATCTTTGCAGACTGGCTTTGCATGGGAAAGCCCTTAATTAGTCAGACTGTCTGGAAATTCTGGGGCTGCCATCTGGCCTGGTCCATGGATGGGCTTGCTGCTGGAGTTCAGGCAGGTTGACCTGGTGCCTAGGGCAGCAGCTTGGTGGGCCTGGTGCGTATTCCACAGGATTGGGTCTGGAGCCTGGATCCACTGTGGTGGTACTGGTTTGCAGGGGAGGGCCTGAAGCCTGTATTCATGAGGGCTGTCTTTAAACCTGTCAGGCATGGGCTGACCTGGCACTTGAGTAGGCCTTAAACCTGAGTCTGCAAGGATCAGCCGGGCATTGAGATTGACCTGGAGCCTGAGTCCATGGGGCCTGGCCTGGCATGGTACTGTGGTATGCTGGAGACTGAGTCCATGAATGTGAGCCTAGTTCCTTGGTCTGTGGGGAAAAAGACTAACCTAAAACCTGGGTCTTCCTGGGTATACCTGGATCCTAAGTGCTTGGGACAAGACTGGCTCCAGGGTCTATTGAAGTTGGCCTGGACTTTTGGTTTGCTGAAGCAGGCCCACTGGCACCTGGGGCCATGGGGATCAACCTGAAGCCTCTGGCTGGCCTGGTGCTGAGGCAGGTGTAAAGCCTGGGTCTGCAGTACTGGTATGGAGCTTGAAGTTACTGCTGCTGGTTGGCCTGATGCCCAGAGCCATGGGGGCTGGCCTGGGGCCCTGGGGCCATTGGGATAAGCCTAGAAGCTTGTTGTGTGGGTGCTGGTCTGAAGGCTAGGTACACAAGGGCTACCCTGGGTCCTAGGGCTATGGGAACAGACCTGGAACATGAGTCTACATGGGCAGTCCTGCATCCTGTGTCCATAGGGGCTGAACCAGCACTGGAGTCTACTGAGATGGGCCTAGCTCCAGAGTCTGCTGGAGGTTGGAGCTATAGGGGCCAGCCTCAAGAGTGGTGCTGCAGGGTCTCACATGACACTGGGCAGGCCTGGAGTCTGTGTGCATGAGTGTCAGCCTCATGCTTGAGGTCAGTGATGCCAACCTGGTGCTGGGGTAGACATGAAGTCTGGGGCTGTGAGTTAATATAACTCTGGACTGGTCTGGAACCTGGGTTGGTCTTGGAGTCTGGGGCTACAGGGCTTGTCCTGGTGCTAGGTGGGCCTGGAGTCTGTATCGGCAGAGGCTGGCCTGAAGGCTGAGTCTCCAGGTTCTGCTAGGGCTGAGTGGGTGGGACTAGTGTGGAGTGGGCCTGAAGTCTGGGGCCATGGAAGCCAGCCTGGTGCTGGGGACAATCTGGAGCCTGGGGTTTTGTCTGGCAGTATGTCAGGCCCTAAGACCAAGTCTGCCAGGCATGTGTGAAGCTCAGGGCTGTGGGATCTGGCCTGGCACCAGGGTAAGCATAGAGGCTCAGTCTACAATTACAGCCTGAAGTATTGGGCCTTGGGTTTGGGGTCTGCCAAGTGCTGAGTTTTACTGGCGCAGGCCCAGTGCTGGGATCTGAGGCAAAGTCCATTGTTCACTTGCATCTTCTTCCTTCACACAGAGGGTATATCTCTCTAGAATATGTTATCCAGGATTTAGGGGAAGTATGATGCAGACAATGTAAAACCGTCTCTCCTACCCTCTTCAATGCACTTTTTCTTATTTTTGTGCTACACCCAGGTGCTGTAATCTCTTGTGTTTATGTTTTCTGAATACCTATTATAGTTTCATTTCCACTCGTTTTGATTTTCAATTACTTTTTCTTTTTTAACTACTATAGCTATATTTATCTCTTCAAGAATGCAACTAATACATTCCATTATTTTGTCTTACTATTTAATGAAATGAGTTTTATCTGGAATAAATTTGTGTTCTAATTATTGGCTGACACTTCTAATATTATTTCATATGATTTATAATTTTTGTTTACACATTCATTTTGTGTGTGAGGTTTTATGTTTATGTTTTTTCCCTTTCTAGATCTACTTTACTCTTTCTAAACATTCCTTCCTTTCCAGTCATTTTTGTGTTTGCCTCTGCATGGCTCAGACCTTCAGTGCAAAACCATGTCTTGTAATCATTGTTAATATTTCCATTCTTGTAGTGATATTAAATTCCATAAATGAACCAGTGAAGAGTGTGATTTACTTTCTGGAACTTTACACATTCCCTATACCCATAGCTTCTAATCAAACATCTATCATGTCAAAAAGAAGTTTCTCAGCATCTTTGCATCTGTGAGGGTCCCTACTTTGTCTCCTGGCTTCAGGTATGACTGGCTCTAATATCCATATCTCAGATGCAGGACAGTATTTTTTCATTTCCCTGCAGAAACCCATCTGTTATAGGTCTGTGTATTTAGCCCGATTCTACATTATATTTCCATTCAATTTTTTTGTCATAAGGATGCTTATTTTACTTTCAGTCATAATTATGCTTTTTTAATTTTAAAAATTGTGTTATCCATGTATGTGAGACTTTTGTGTTGCTCAAAGCAATAAATATTGTTGTCTTCACCTTTTTCAATGCCTCAGCAGCTTTCATTAGATTTTGTTATTCCTCCTTTCATACAATACTTACCTCAGTTTTTACCACATACATGCCTGATTTTCTTCTCTCTCACTAGCTACTCCTCCAGCTCTGCTTTTGGCTTCTCCTCCAAAAGACCTCTATCATGTTGGAATTCCTTAAGATACAATTCTGGGTTTTCTTCTCTTCCCTAGCTATTCTCTTTCTAGGCGTTTTCAATAATTTCCACAGCATCAATTACTAACTATATGGAGATTCAGTTTTAAATGTATATCTCCAGCCTAGAAATTCCTCCTGGGCTCAAGATACCTATATCCAATATCTTATTTTACTATCTTTTATGCGTCTCACAGATATTTTAAATTGGATGTTAAAATTAAACTCTTGATTTCCTCCAAATTAGTTCCTCTCCAAGTCTTACTAATCTCAGAATGCAACAGCACCCTTCAATTACTCCCTCAAGCCAGAAAATATGAAGGCATCTGTGTTTCTATTATTTTCCTCATAGTTCACACACATATATACACACACGTACATACTTCTAACTCATCAGAAAATCCTAGTAATTCTACCTTCTAAATAGATTTGAATCCATATACTTTTCTCCGTGTCCAGTGTCACACTTTAGCACAGGCCATTCTTATCTCTTATATGGGTTGCCATGATAGCCTTTAATTGGTCTTCCATTTCTATTCCCCCTATTACCACCAGTTCACAGTAATTCATTCTAGACACAGTAACCAGGGTGATCTTTTTATGTAACCATGTAAATCTAATCATGTTACATTCCTGGTTAAACCTTTCAATGATTTTCAAATGCACTTGGAATAAAACTGAAAAAAGCCTTACCATGATCTACAAACTCTGAATAACCCTGCCCCTAAGTAACTCTTCTGTTTTACTTAGTACCATTCATTCCTTCATTCATTATATCCTTAATATGGCTTTTTATTTTTAGTTCCTAAGAGAAAACTACATCAGGGCTTTAGTTCTTGTTCTACAATCTTCCTTCAAGATTTTTTTTTTTTTTTTTACCAAGGAACTTGTATAACTGCTTCTTCTTGTTATTCCTGCCTCAGTGTATATGCTACCTGTACAAGGAGCCCTTTCATTTTAAATAATACCCCCCTTTATTCTGTTATAAAGCATCTTTGTTTTCTTCCACACATTTGTAAAATGCTGTTATTATTTGACTCACATATTTATTTAGAAAATTTTCCAGTCTTGTTCTTCATTATTATTGAATTCACACTGACCTCTAGCACTAAAATATCAAACACTTTCTATATAGTTTGAAAGCAAGTAATTGGTGACATATCATTTATATAAATAAAAAAGAGAAGCCAGTGGGTAAGCACCATATGAGGCTCCAAGTCCACACTCAGATTGTCAGAGAGAAGGTATGCCTAATTTCCAGGGAGACTTGCATGCCAACAAAAGAGAATATCCATTTTACATTCCTGTTTTCAAGACAATGTTTTATAGGAAGACTATTCTCATTTAAAAAGTTTATTAAACCATCGAACATTTGTGTCTACATTAACAAATATAGCATGCATGGCTACATTCAACATTATCTACTAAGTTTTGTTTGGGGAAAAATGTCCTTTTAACTCAAAAGACTATGCTTATATAACTGCTGTTATTATACACACACTTGACGTCTCTAAGAAATAAATTTAAATTCCTCTTCTTGTAATAGGTCTTTACAAAAACTTAATGGTACTTAAACTAGTAAATGACTTCCCAATATTTTGATTACTATGATTAAAATACCTGGCACACATAGCTTTAAGGTCAGTCAGTATCAAACTGTGAGCTGTGCAAGAAATATAGAATAGAGATCTATACGTGGACACTTTTTGTTTAATTGTCCTTTGAATAACATTCCAATGGCAATTGAATAGTGCAGCTGTTTGTAATCAACTTAGTACTGTGATCTCTTGAGAATGTATGATTTGTAACTGCTGCTGAATTTTGCATTTATGTTGGTCTAAATCAGGTTAGTTTATTTAAAAACTAGTGTGTTTTATAAGGGCAAAATATAAATAATAGCATTTATTAAAACTGCCTGTGATTTGTGAGCAATGTTATTCTAGAATTCCTTCCCACTCATCTTTCTGCTCAAAACAAGCTATTTTAAAATCATTTCCATGTAGCTAAACACGATGCTACTAACATGCTATCTGCAATATTCTAACTTTCCCAATTGAAGAGATGAACTTAAATGAGTCACATACATTCGATCAACTGGTGCTTTCTATGACCAAAAGCTTGCATTTGCCATATGTGTTGGGACGGGGAGGGAAGAGTAGAAAAAGTGAAACATCTATAAATAAAAGCTGTGATAGAGGCTGAATAAGGTTATAATTAACTTTTCTTAATCAATAAAACCACCTGTGAGTAAATATTATTGTTATTCTCATTTTAAATGTAAGGAAATGGAAACTAAGAGAAGTGAAATGGCTTGTACATCATCACACAGCTATGAGAGGCAAAAAGTTAAACCAGATCTGTTTCACTCTAAATCTTCACCTTTTAATGACCCTGCTATACAACTTCCCTAAGCTTTCAGAAGTTTAATGCATGTTTCTCACAAACATAAGACAAAAGTGGACAAGAAGCCAATATGAGGAATCCTTTTGGAAACTATTATATTATGCCAGGTTTTGAACTAGGGTGACCACAGTAAGAATGTTATATTTAGAAAATGAAGGAAAAAAATGGCTGATGGGAGGCAGGACTAACTTGCAGCTCCCATTCAGATTGACAGAGCAGCATGTGGAGACTCACTTTATAAACTTTTGCTCCAAGAACTACTGCAGAAACATTTCAGGAAAGCCAAGAGAATCCACAGACCCTTTAAAGGAAGCAGCTGGCTGCTACAGGCTCCATGAGACAGCTAAAAAACTGTGAGTGCCTGAAGTGTGAGAGAGGGAATGTCTGACCCTGAACACACAACCTCACTGGGGAACCTGAAGGTCCAGATCACAGGAGAAGGACCTTACCTGGAGCTGAGATGAATTTAGAGAGCCAAGTGAAATACAAGGGTAGAGGAAGCAGCAGGAAGAGCCCTGTTGGCACTCTCGTTCCCCAGGGAAGCCATTCCTGACTTTGTCTTGCAGGGCTCCTTGGGAAGGGATGCCAGTGGAATTAGGAAAAGACCACAGGGAGAAGGAAACTTCTAGGTGAACTTCGTAACAATTTTGACTAAATGCAAAGTTTCCTGGACACAATCTGGGGTAGGGAGTGAACCAGGAGTGCAGATATGAGCATAGAAACTGGTAGGTGGGGAGGCACAAAACCTGAAAGCCCTGCTTTCTTTCTCAGCAGGGAGGCTTGTAGTCTGGGGCAAAGTTCTCAGCCCTGCTCACTGGCTGCCTGGAAATAAACTTGGTGCTGTGGAGGGGCAGGGTCAGAGTGAGACTGGCCTTTCAGGCTGTGTGGGAGCTGGGTGAGGCCTGTCACTGCTCTTCTCCCACTTCCCTGGAGACCTCTATGACACAACATAATCCTCCCGGGGATGTAACTCCATTGGCCTGAGAACCACACACCTAGCCCCCACAGCAGCAGTACCAAGCCCTGTCTAAGGAGGGTCTGAGCTCAGACACACCTAACCATGCCCCCACCTGATGGTCTTTCTCTACCTGCCCTGGGAGCTAAAGACATAGGAAATAATCCCTTGGGAGCTCTACAGCCCTGCCCACTGCCTGAGAAACCCAAATACTTATCCAGGCAACTCTAAGGAGAGCTGGTATCCTCCCTATACTACAACAGCTGATGCTCTCTTGAAAGTGCCACCTCCTGGCTGGAGGCCAACCAACACAAAACCAGTGCACTAAACAAAAACACGACCAAGGACTTACACAGAGTCCACTTCACTCCCCAGCTACCTACACAAGAGCAGGTGCTGGTATTCACACCTGAGAGACCTGAAGATGGATCACATCGCAGGACTCTTTGCAGACACTCCCCAGTACCAGCCCAGAGCCAGGTTGCTAGCCACAGGGTTGCTAGACCCAGAAGAGAAATAACAATCATTGCAGTTTGGCCCTCAGGAAGCCCGATCCATAAGGAAAGGGGGACAGCACAATGAAGGAGCACCCTGTGGGACAAAAGAATCTGAACAACAGCCCTTGAGCCCCACATCTTCCCTCTAAGATAGTCTACCCAAGTGAGAACAAACCAGAAAAACAATTCTGGTAATATAACAAGACAAGGTTTGTTAACATGCACAAAATATCAAACAAGCTCACCAGCAATGGATAAAAACCAAGAATAAATCTCTGAATTGCCAGGAAAAGAATTCAGAAGGTTGATTATTAAGTTACTCAAGAGGCAACAAAGAAAGGCTAATATCAACTTAAATTAAAAAAAGATAAAAGATGTGGATGAAAAAATCTACAGAGAAACAGATAGCATGAAACAATCACAACTTCTTGAAATGAAGGACACACGTAGAGAAATGCAAAATACACTGGAAGTATCAGCAATCAAAGAAGTAGAAGAAAGAACTTCAGAGCTCAAAGAAAAGGCTTTTGAATTAACCCAGTCTGACAGAGACAAAGAAAAAACAATTTTAAAAAAATGAACAAAGCCTCCAAGAAGTATCGAATTAAATGACTGAACCTAAGAATAATGGGTATTCCTGAGGGAGAAGAGAAATCTAAATGTTTGGGAAGCATATTTGAGGGAAAAATCAAGAAAACTCCCTGGCTTTGTTAGAGATCTAGAAGCTTAAAGACCACTCCGGAAATTCATTGCAAAAAATCATCACCTAGGCACATAGTCATCAGGTTATCTAAAGTCAAGACAAAGGAAAGAATCTTAAGAGCTGTGAGGCAAAAGCGCTGGATAACCTATAAAGGAAAATCTATCGGATTAACAGCAGATTTCTCAGCAAAAAGCCCACAAGCTAGAAGGAATTGGGTTCCTATTTTTAGCTTCCTTATATAAAACAATTATCAGTCAAGAATTTTGTATCCAGCAAAACTAAGCTTAATAAATGAAGGAAAGATACCATCTTTTTCAGACAAATGCTGAGAAAATTTGCCAGTACCAAGCCAGCTATACAAAATTGTTAAAAGGAGCTCTAGACTGGGCGTGGTGACTCAGGCCTGTAATCCTAGCACTTTGGGAGGCCGAGGTGGGTGGATCACTTGAGGTCAGGAATTCAAGACCGTCCTGGCCAACCTGATGAAACTACATTCTACTAAAAATACAAAAATTAGCGGAGCGTGGTGGTGGGTGCCTGTAATTCCAGCTACTTGGGAGACTGAGGCAGAAAAATCGCCTGAACCTGGGAGGTGAAGGTTACGGTGAGTTGGGATCATGCCACTGCACTCCAGTCTGGGTAACAGAGAAAGACTCTGGAAAAAAAAAAAAAAAAAGCTCTAAATCTTGAAACAAATCCTTGAATACACCATAATAGAACCTCCTTAAAGCATAAATCTCACAGGGCATATAAAACAATAACACAATGAAAAAAAAGGTATTCAGGTAACAACTAGCATGATGAATAGAATACTACCTCACTTATCAATATTAAAGCAGTACAAATATGGAGCCAGCCCAAATGCCTATCAATCAACAAGTGCATAAAGAAAATGTGGTATATATATATTTCATGGAATACTACTCAGCCATAAAAAGGAACAAAATAATGGCATCCACAGCAACCTGGATAGGGTTGGAGACCATTATTCCAACTGAAGTAACTCAGGAATGGAAAATCGAACATTGTATGTTCTCACTCATAAGTGGGAGCTAAGCTATGAGGACACAAAGGCGTAAGAATGATACAATAAAGGACTTTGGGGACTAAGGGGAAATGGGTGAGGGGACTGAGGGATAAAAGGCTACACATTGGCACATTGGGTAGAGTGTACACTGCTCAGTGATGGATGCACCCAAATCTTGGAAATCGCCACTAAAGAAATTGTCTATGTAAAAAATACCACTTGTTCCCCAGAAACCTATTGAAATAAAAAATTAAAAAAATAAGTAAAATTAAAAAAAATCTTGTTTTAACAACAAAAAAAAAACACCAAATACATTCAAATATCCTTAAAAGAATAAATAAAATGAAAAACAAGCGAGATTACTAGAAGAGTACTTAGTGACTCATTGGACATAGAAGGATTGGACTGAGTCAATGATAAATGGGATAATGATAGTGACACTAGCAAAAAAAGTGAAGTCAAAAAGAAATGACCCTTAAATATATGAAGATATATTTATCACATATAATTAAAGAAATGCAAATTAATAATACACTGAAATACTCTGCTATCAGATAAGCAACAATTTGAAAATATGCCAAGACTCCGGTTTCAGCAATGACATGTGAAAGACCTTAGAAGTTGTCACTCTCATCCTTACAACAAGCAAAAAAAACCTGATAAACTGAAAATTAATGATTTTTCTTGGAACCATTAGAGAATTGAAGTAACGGAGCAAGTCAGCATCTGGAAATCTCTACAGATGAGAATCCAGAGAGTCATAGCAAAGATCTGCTTACCTAAAGCAAGAGTGGCTGGAACCATAATATGGTAGGACCACTTCAATGGTAATTTTGACTGCATTCATAGAGGATAAATGAAGAGGTGCAATAGAAGTGAGAATCTTATGGCAGCCCAGCTTTACGAAACTCCTACAAAATAATAATTTTACCTTCAGAAACCCCGGTAGGTTCTCACAGTAAGAATTCTGAGGAGTTCCCCTCCTGGCTTTAGCAGGAGAAGAAGAGTAATCATTGTGAAATATTCTCATGATGTCCTCCACAACAAAGAGCTGTTCTACAAGGAAAAAGACTACCAGAGCCTTATTCCGGTTGGCAGAAGGATATTCCTTTCGCTCCAGCCTTCCTGTCTCACCAAAGGACAACATGTGGTGGGAGGAGGTATACCACTGAATAAACACTTGTGAGGAGACATTTGGCCATTAAAATGTTGAAAATTAATCAAAATATTCTGGAAAGTTGTTCCTCTTTCATACCTAACACCACACTAACAAGGCCTAGAGAATAATTTATAGCCTTAAATAAATATATTAGGGAAAAAAATCTCATCTTAATGACCTAAGATTTCACCATAGAAAAATAACAAAAAATTTTAAGTAAAAAAAGGAGAAAATAGTGAAATTATAAAAATTAGAGCAAAAACCAATGAAACGGAACACAGAGAAACAATAGAAAAAAGAATGAAAATACAATCTGTTGTTATACAAATATTAATAAAATTGATACAAATCTAGCTAAGCTAAACAAGAATTTTTGACTTCACTTTTTTTGCTAGCATCACTATCTTAATGGGTCATTATTACTGATTGCATGTATTTTAAAAGGATAATAAAGAAATACCATGAACAATTTTTTACCACAAATTTGATCATTTAGATGAAACTGACAAATTCCTTAAAAGACACAAACTACCAAAAGTAATATAAGAGAAAAAAATAATCTGCAAGACTTGTATCTATTAAAAATTAAATCAATAATTAATAACTTACTAAAAGAGAAAGCAACAAACCCAGATAGTTTTGCTGGCAAATTCTATCGAATACTTACTGAGGAAACAGTATCAATTCTCCACAATCTTTTCTAAGAGATAAAAGAAGTAGGAACACTTCTTAATTCATTCTACGAGGCCACCATCCCCTTAATTCCAAAACCAGACTAAAGACATTACAAGAAAGGAAAACTATAGGCCAACATCTCCCTTGATCAGAGATGGAAAAATCCTCGACAAAATAGGAAATTGAATCCAGCAATGAATATATAAAATTATATACCATCATCAAGTAGGATTTCAGTTGTGTAACACTGGCTCGAGATTTAAAAATCAGGCCGGGTGTAGTGGCTCACACCTGGAATTTCAGGGCTGTGAGAGGCCGAGGCAGGTGGATCGCTTGAGCCCAGGATTTCAGGACCAGCCTAGGCTTTGAACAAAGCGAGACCCAGGCCCTGGCATGGTGGCTCACCCCTGTAATCCCAGCAATTTGGGAGTCTGAGGTGGACAGATTGCTAGAAACCCGAAGTTCAAGATCAGCTTGGGCAACATGGCAAAACCTCATCTGCACTAAAACTAAACTAAACTAACTAAATAAATAAATTGGACTAAATTTTAAAAAATAAATAAAAATTTAAAAAATCAATCTGTATAATTTCCTAAATCAACAGACTAAATAAGAAAAATCATACAATCACATCAATTGATACTGGAAAAATACATGACGAAATTCTTAAACTATTCATAGTTTTAGAAAATTTAATAAACTATTAATATAGTGTATTTTTTTCAGTGTGATAAAGAACATCTTCAAAAAGTTTATGGTTAACAAAGTACTTGATGGTAAGAAACTGGATATTTTTCCCTTAAGGTCCAGAAAAAGAGAAGGATATTATCTTTTATCACTCTTATTCAGTATCGTCTTAGCAGTGCCACATATTGCAATAAGACAATAAAATGAAATTAAAGTTGTATACATTAAAAAAAATAAAATGCCTTTGTTTACAGATGACATTATTGTACACGTAGAAACTTTTTTAAATCGACAACACGAAAATCTCCCAGGACAAATAAAAGACTATAACAAGGTCACAGGAATACAAAGTTAACATACAAAAGTCAATCTACAAAACTGTATTATACTCAGGTGACGGATACCCTAAATGCTCTGACTTTGATGACTATGTAATATATATATATATAAAGTATTATGTATTAAATACCTTTATACAAATAAAGGAAAGAAAAATAAATAAGAACTGATGGATAGATAGATTAGAAAGAAAGCTAGATTGATAGGTGTGTGTGTGTGCGTGTGTGTTTGTGTTAGTATATACCCACTCTGTATACCGTTTGCCTTCAGCAAGCACCTCAGTGGGTTGTGTTTTTTATTCGTGGTGGAGCGACCCAAACATTCATTCCTGAAGGGTCTAGGTCATTTGTAGTCCTGCCTGGATTTGGCTGTTGTAGTTTCCCATTGACCTGAATCACAGGGCATGGTAATACTAAAAGATGCCCTAAAGGATTTCCTGTATTCTACACATACTCTTCCTTACTTCCATTGCGGAGTAGTAGACTGATTTCATTTTGATAGTCTGGGTCAGTCACTCCAACCAACACTGTAACTCCTTTCTTAGCCTGTTGACTTAGAGGTAGGAGGAGCCCAAAGTAACTAGGTGACAAGCTTAACTTCAAGTTCAATGGAATCATTGTGTCTCCTGATGGCAGCATTCCCCCTTCTGGTACTAAGATGTCTAGGCTAGCAGAACATAATGTGGTGGGAACAGGAAGCAAAAATTTTGTTAATGGGTCATTAGGGGTGATGGTGAGTGGTGCCACTTCCACTTCCACCCCTTCATTAATGTACCCATGAATCCTGACTATGGGAGAAACAGTACCATATATTGGACACAGATTCAGGACATACACAGCCTTCTGGAGAACTTTGCCACAGCACTGCAAAGTATTGTCATCTAGTTAGCATTGTAATTGTGATTTCAAAAGGCCATTCCATTGTTCTATCATTCCAGCTGCTTCAGGATGATGGAGAACACAGAAAGACCAGTGAATTCCGTGAGCATGAGTGCACTGTCACACTTCTTTAGCTGTAGACTGAGTGCCTTTGTCAGAGGCAATGATCACTGTGAGCATTGGTGCCATATCAAAGGCTCAGTGTTGGTCTCTGCTGCCAGTAAAGAGGGCACTCAGTGGTGGCTGTAGCCAGATCAACCTTGGTGAGTGGAAGTCCATGTAGCTGAGCCCATGGGTAAACTCCATCCCTGCCACCATGGCCACTTTGTTCATGAGCCTATTGGGCAATGACAGGGGTGGCTGGGGAGAGAGACAGAGTGCTGTCCATAGAACAAGTCATCCTATCCGTTTGATTATTAAAATCCTCCTCTGCTGAGGTCACACTTTGGTGAGCATTCACATGAGATACCAATATCTTCACAGTTTTTGACCACTCAGGTCCATCCACATACCTCTTCCCCAAATTTCTTTGTCACCAATTTTCCAATTATGCTTCTTCCAAGTCCCTGACTATCCAGCCAATCATTGTCTATAGCCCATGAATCAGTATATGATCGCACAACTGGCCATTTCTCCTTCCGAGCAAAGTGAACAACCAGGTGCACTGCTCAAAGTTCTGTCCACTGGGAAGATTTTCCTTTGCCACTGTCCTTCAGGGATGGCCTAGAAAGGGGCTATAGTGCTGCAGCTGTCCACTTTTGGGTGGTGCCTGCATATCATGCAGAACCATCTGTGAATCAGGCCCTAGTCTTCTCTTCTTCTGTCAACTGATCACAGGGAACTACCCATGTGACCGTCGGTGCAGGCTGGGGGAGGGCAGGCAGATTGGCAGGAGCGGAGAACCTAGGCATTTGAGCCACTTCGTCATGTAACTTACTTGTGCCTTCCAGAACTGCTCGAGCTTGATCACATATATACCGCTTCCATCTGATGATGGAATGCTGCTGTGCATGCCCAATTTTATGAACAAATGGCTTAGAAAGCACCCAATTTATGATAGTCAGCTCAGGTCATATGGTGACTTGATGACCAATAGTCAAACGTTGTGTTTCTACTGTAGCCCAGCAACAAGCCAAGAGCTGTCTCTCAAAGGGAGAGTAGTTATCTGCAAAGGATGGCAAGGCTTTGCTCCAAAACTGGAGAGGCCACCACTGTTATTCACCTATGGGGGCGTGGCAAAGGCTCCAAACAGCATCTCTATCTGCAACTGACACCTCAACCACCATTGGATCCGCTGATCATATGGCCCAAGTGGCAGAGCAGCTTGCACAGCAGCCTGGACCCCTTCTGGAGCCTTCTCCTGTTCTGGACCCCACTCAAAACTGGCAGCCTTTTTGGTCACTCGATAAATGGGCCAGAGTAACACACCCAAATGGGAAATGTGTTGCCTCCAAAATCCAAATAGGCACACTAGGCCTTGTGCCTCTTTCTTGGTTGTAGGAGGGGCCAAATGCAGCAACTTATTTTTCACCTCAGAAGGAATTATCTCGACAGGCCCCACACCATTAGACCCCTAAGAATTTCATTGAGGTCGAAGATCCCTGAATTTTAGTCAGATTTATTTCTATCCTCTGGCACTCATATGTCTCACCAATAAGTCCAGCGTGTTTGGGACTTCTTGCTCACTGGATTCAATCAGCATAATGTCACCAATGTAATGGACCAGTGTGATATCTTGTGGAAGGGAAAAGTGATTCAGATCTTTGCAAAGAATATTATAACACAAAGCCAGAGATTTGATATGCCCCTGAGGTAGGACAGTAAAGGTATTGCTGGCCTTGTCAGCTGAAGGCAAATTGCCTCTGCTGGGCCTTATGGACAGGAATGGAGAAAAAGACATTTACCAAATCAATGGCTGTATACCAGTTACCAAGAGATGTGTTAATTTGCTCCAGCAATGAAACCACATCTGGTACAGCAGCTGCAATTAGAGTTACCACTTGGTTAAGCTTATGATGATCTACTGTCATTCTCCAAGATCCATCTGTCTTCTGCAAAGGCCGAATAGGAGAGGTGAACAAAGATGTGGTGGGAATCACCACCACTGCATTTTTCAAGCCCTTGATGGTGGCACTAATCTCTGCAATCCCTTTAGGGATGCGATATTATTTTGTATTTACTATATTTCTAGGTAGAGGCAGCTCTAATGGCTTCCATTTGGCCTTTCTCACCATAATAGCCCTCATGCCACCAGTCAGGGAGCCAATGTGAGGATTCTGCCAGCTGCTAAGTATGTGTATGCCAATTATGTGTTCTGGCATTAAGGAAATGACTACAGGATGAGTCTGGGGACTTACTGGACCCATTGTAAGCTGGACCTGAACTAAAAGTCCATTAATTACCTGACCTCCATAAGCCCCTACTTTAACTGGAGGACCACAATGACGTTTTGAGTCCCCTGGAATCAATGTCAGCTCAGAGCCAGTATCCACTAGTCCCTGAAAAGTCTGATCATTCCCCTTTCCCCAGTGCACAGTTACTCTGGTAAAATGCTGGAGGTCTCCTTGGGGAAGGATAGAAGTATTAACAGCATAAATTGTTGGTAGTGAAGTGGGGTCCTTCCTCAAGGGGACCCAGTCTCCCCTTGATTCAAGGAGTTCTGGGTCTGTAAACTGATTCAAGTCTAAAAATTGATTGAGGGGCTGTAATTCTCTATTTTTATAATTCAAATTACTCTTTTGTACAGTCAAACTCGAAGTTTTCTGCTTATTCAAATTAAGTAAGAATGCAGTAGGTTTCCTGTCAATTTCACTTCCAGGAACATCATGATTAATTAGCCAACGCCAGAGCTCTACACGAGTCAGACTATTCTGATTGCTTCTTTGCCTCTGCTGTCCATTATGGTAACTGTGCCCACCTTGCCTTTGACGGTTGAGTGCTGCCACTTGGTCCCTGCTGCCTCAGAATCCAATTATTCTCATTGCATTTAAATTTTCTAATTGAGTTACTGTGGTTCCCATTGTTAGATCTGGCATGCAGAGAAGAGCAATCACAGCAGAGCTCTTCAAGGATCCAGATGCTCACCTCATAAATATATTTCACAAAGTATTAGTGAAGGTTATGTCTTCTGGATGCCCCCCACCGGAACGAATAGGTCTGAAGTGACTAATCCACTTCAGCATCCCAATCTCCCTAAGCCTTTGGATCCATCCCTTCCCCTACATTAAACCACAGGAGATCAGGCATTTTCAGCTCGCTCACATGGACCATCTTTTGATCCATATTTCAGCTAACCAAGCAAATAAACTATTAGAACCTTTTTTAAATCCCTGAGCTGCAACATTAAATGCAGGATCCCTGCTTAGTGGGCCCATATCAATACATTCAGCCTGATCCAACTTTTGTTCCTTCCACCATTATCCCACACCTTTAATATCCATTCCCATGCCTGTTCTCCAGATTTCTGCTCATATAAATGAGAAAATTCAAGCAATTCTTTTGGAGTGTAGTGTACCTCCTTGTGGGTCACACTCTGTGTTTCACCTCTAGGGGCCTGCTGGGACTTTAGTTATAGGTCAAGAAGCAAACAAGGGTGTTGGGGGGCAGATCCTGAGGAGGATCAGCATTGCCTTGCTTGGCAACTGCCTCAGGGGAGGCCATCATGTTGCTTCAGGCAGTGCATGGTTAATCTCCTCAGACAAAGGTGCAAAGGCTGATGGCAGCCTGGACGGGGGAAGGGATGTTGCCACCACTGGGTGTGACGAGGCTGTTTCCTCTGGCAAATAAGGCTTATCAGAATTTAGGAGCTCAGTGCCCACAGCCTTATCAGGGTCCTCCCATACATCTCCATTCCAAGTTGCAGGGTCCCATTCTTTTCTAATCAATGCCCTCACTTTAACAGTAGACACCTCCTGAGGCTGATCATGCACCTTTTGTTGCAGGTCAGCCACTCTCATGATAAGAGCTTGTGTTTGATTTTCTGTAATTTTTTCCCTTTATCTACAGGAGATAAGACTCTCGCTCAGGGTAACCTTAGAAAGAATTGAGGCTCAGTAGGTGCTTCTGGAGCTGGGAGTTATTATCCCTGAGCTCATCCTTTTCTTTCTTCACTTTGTCCAGCAAACCTAGGTGCAACCAACTAACTTCATTATATTCCTTGGTTCTCCACATAGGGCCAAAGGTATTGTGTATAGAGCCACTAAACTTCTTGCCTCTCACCAGCGGTGAATCAGGAGTATCAAATGCATTTATTTTACATAACACTCTAAACAGTTCATGCCAAAGACTATCAGTGTTCTCCATACTATTAGAAGTAGAGTTCTTAGCATTTTGGGGTCTAATCACGTTAAGTGGCCAACTCCAGAAAACCCAAAACCAACTAAAGAAATCCATCCTTAAAATTCTCTTCCTTTAGAATGACTCCCAGTACCAAAATCTGTATTAATCAGGGTTCTCTAAAGGGACAGATAAAGTAATAGATGTATATATGAAGGGGAGTTTATTAAGGAGTATTGCCTCACAGGATCACAAGGTAAAGTCCCACAATAGGCCATCTGCAAGGTGAGGAACAAAAAAGACAGTACATGTCCCAAAACCTCAAAAGTAGGGAAGCTGACAGTGCGGGCTTCAGTCTGTGGCCGATGGCCCAAGAGCCCCTGGCCAATCACTGGTGTAAGTCCAAGAGTCCAAAAGCTGAAGAACTTAGAGTTTAATGTTGGAGGGCAGGAAGTATCCAGCACGAGAGAAATATGGAGGCTGGAAGACTGTGCAAGACAAGTCCTTCCACATTCTTTTGCCTGCTTTATTCTAGCCATGCTGGCAGCAGATTATTATGAGATAGTGACAACCCAGATTGAGGGTGGATCTGCCTCTCCCAGTCCACTGACTCAATTGTTAATCTCCTTTGGTAACACCCTCCCAGACATACCTAGGAACAATGTTTTGCTTCCTTCAATCTAATCAAGCTGACATTCAATATTAACTGTCACTAGGGAAAACTGGGTGTGAAGTATATGAGAATTTTCTGCACTATCTTCACAATTATTGTGTACATTTTATAACTCTTCTAAAATATGCAAAAACATTATTTAAAAATGTATGACAACTCATTCTATTAGTGAGGCTGTGAGGAAATATGCACTCATACGTACAGATTCACATTCTGGTGGGAATACAAATTGCTATAACTCTTATGAAGGGGAATTGGACGATATCTAACAAAAATATACATGGGTTTATCATTCAAGCCATCAGTTCGTCTTCTAGGAATTTACTCAGAAAATATACTTTCAACAGTACAAAAATACACAAGGTTATTTGAGGCAGCAATGTTTTGAAATACATAATGCTGAAAACATCCTAAATGACCTCACTTAAGACAATGGTTGAATACATTATGGCGCATCCACATAATGGGTTGTTATGCAACAGCAAAAAAGAATGAAGAAGAATAGATAAACTGCTATGGAGTAACATTCAGGATATATTATTAAATGAAAAACTTAAGTGCCAAGAGTATCTATGTTATGCTACTTTTGTGTAATAATTACATGAAAGTAACAGAACATTGTGCACAGATATCTGCTCATTTTTAGAAAAAAATAGGAAAGATAAGTTAGAAACTAAAAGGATTAGTTACTTATGAGGGGCGAATAAAGATAAAAGAAAGAATGGTAGATAGGAATGAGTTAGAAGGGATTGGGTGCAAGTTAGACTTTTCTAAGTATATCTTTCTGAATAGTTTTAATTTTTGCAACCAGGCTCATGTTTTACATACTAATAAATAAGTAGATATATGAAAACATAAACAAAAAATATATACATACATACATTTAACAAGGATGGGAGAGAGACTTGGAAATGAAGTACAAGCAGAAATAAATTAGACTGTTTGTCACATAAATAACATAAGCATAATCACATTGAAGGTAGGTAGGGAGATGGTAATTTACCCAAGTAATTCTTGAAGATACTATTTTGACTCTACAGCCTCAGGTTAAAGACATACAGAATGGTAAACAAATATTGTACTCCAAATAAGTAGGTTGACTTTTCATAGGAGCAAAGGGTTAGCAATTCTTAAACAAATTTATACATGTTCCAAGATTAAGCAAATCAGTTAATACATTGTGAAGAAGGAGAATCAATTTTCTCACTGTCTTTGAATGAATTACAAATGAGGAAACAAGAAAGGCTGGAATGAACCTTGTGATATTGGATTAGAATCAGTATGAATTCAGCATTTTAAACATATAAACACATAGCTATAGAAATAAAGATGTACATGGGTAAGTATATATATACTTATGTTCCCTAGCTCTGTCCATTAAGAGGGCCTAGAAGCAAGGATACTCTAGTACCAATGAGCACACCAAATGCCTAAGGAGGCTGAGTCTCAGCCTAGAGCCTAGCATAGTGCTTAGACCTGGATGTTCAATAAATGATAAATATCATCATCATCATCATCATCTCACTTTAGTATCATAAGGAAAGTTGACTGCATGTACAGAAAAACTTTAAACAAATGAAGGCAAGAGAATGAAGACACAAATAAAGAAAGGATAATTGAAGGGCCACACTTCTGATGGAGTAGGAAGGAATAGCCTTCCCTATGTAAGAAATTTTCACCTTGGAAAAAAAGTTACTTCTGCCTCTAAGAGAGGAGGGAGGAGAAGAAAATAATTGAAGACATATGTAGACATGTTAAGATTGAAAAGAAAATACCTTTAATTGCCTCAGAAAAAAATATGACTAAAGCCATCTAATTACAGCAAGGAATGTGGATGGAGAAGGGAATATTGGACAAGGTCAGGACCGCCACTTCTAGAGAAATGTGATACCGGGACAAGATATGACTAAAAATGTCTGCAGAGCAGCAGAGAGTGCCTACCTCAAGTTAAGTAACATGAATTTGCGGTGAATTCAGTGCATTTCATAATACTAGAGTTATTATTAAAAAGACACTGTTTATTATTTAATTGGTTTTGAATTGTTTCTTATGAATTAACTTTGTCTCTCCAATTATAACTTTCTTAGGCAAGAGGACATTTCTGACATAATGTTTATATCTTCCATTGCACTTATTACAGTGCTAGCGATATAACACATACCCAGCAGAAGGTTGATAGCATATAAACAACTACATTTTCAACTTGGCCTTTATGATGTCCCTGCTTCTGGATTTTGTTTAGTTCTTCTGCTATTTTCCAGGTAGGCCAGAGAGATGCATTAATTTCCTTATAGAAATCGGTTGATTACCAACAAAGTTCAGAGAGAAGAAAGGACAGCACAGACACTCTTGTGTTTACTAACAGTGGATCATATGTGGCAAACTCATCATGGGATAGCATCCGATAGTCCATGAATATATAGGATAATAAAATTTATTCAACATCCTCCTAAGAATAATGTAATTAAAAAAGAAATCCACTTCTCAAATACCCCAAATTTTACCCCAAAGTCTAATTGGCATTTGAATTATTCACTATCTTGAGTTACTCTTATCACCACTTCCTATCAGGGGATATCCAAGATATGACTACACCTTAAGTGCCAACCACTTCTCCAAGGTTGCGGACTAGTGATACCAGAGAAGCAAGTGCTCTCATCAGAAGAGGACATTTTGAACTGCAGCTTTTCTCCAGGCTCACAAGTTTAATTTCAGCCTAACAGCTGCACTGCAGTCCATGAAATATTTACATTGTTTCTTGCAAAATTATATACATTATTTACCATACCATCTATTAAATATTTACCACCTTTCCAAATACGTCATGTAGCACACTCCACTGCTCTTGTTTCTTTTAGCATTAAAATAGAAAAGGCCAAGCCCTGCAGGAGCCTGGAGAAAGTAGCTATGACAAAGAAGAAAGCAGAGGAGGAAAAATGTGAAAGGAAGCAGAAGGCAGCTATCTAAAAACAGGCTCAGTATTACACACTCCCTATTTTCTTCACTTTGCCTTCCCCTAACTGGAATGATCATTTCTTTCACTTGGAGAAGGTATTTTTCCCCCAATAATTTATATATACAAACAGCCTAATAGAAACTGTTCTGGAAATAAGCTATATTATCTTCAGGAGCCATATTCCAAAATAGCCAGGTATGTAAAATCATCTATTAAGAAAGGCTTATGGTGATATCAGAAGTCAAGACATCATCCCACCTTATTCAGAACTCTTCCCTACAGAAAACAGAATAATTGAATTAATTCGGTATAATATAATATAATATAATATAATATAATATAATATAAATGAAATACATTCAGCACTCCCTAAGCAATGCGATCTTTCACTCTCTGGTAAATATGAAAATTACTAATAGATGTGTTGTCAATAAGACATATATGGTACTTGTGATCAGTAAAAGGTGCCCAACTATGAAAACTGTTGATGGTGTCAGGGATGCAAAACAACAAAAGAACTAATTGGTTTCCAGTTAAGCAAGATTTTCCTTAACTTGCTCATTGTCCCCAAAGTAGGCTTTTTAGAGATTGCTAGTTAGCTACCAACTATGTATTCTCCTCTACTGAAATTAACAGAAACTTGATGTTTACAGGTACACACCAAAAGACCGTATTTTCCAGTTTTCCTGGCACCTGCAGGTAGCATATAAATATGTTTCCACCAATAGAAGTAAGTGGAAATGCTGTGTGAGACTTCCAGAGGTGCCTTTATAATGGAGGGATACATAGCTTGCTTGCTTTCTTCCTCCGTCCTGCTGTTTGAAAGCTGAAGATGATGACTGCTGCAGCAGTAGCCATCTTGAATCATAAAAATAAAGGCCATATCATCGGAATCAAACTGATAAAAACTGGACAAGTCTGGCGTTCTGATGATGGTGGAGCTGCCACACCATCCCTTAATGGTCTACCTCAACACTGGTTTCACATGAGAGAGAAATAACTCTGTCACATTTAAACTACTATAATTTAGGTCACTTCTACATGTAGCCAGACTTAAACTATACCAATACAACTAGGTGTATGCACTATTTCTCCCTCTCAACCATTTCAACCTACAAGTATTGTGTATCCTTATGTAGGTCTATTTGCTATCAATTTTTTTCTGAGCACAATTACTTACATCTTAGTGGTGCAAGTACTATGGGTAATTTCAGTCATGGTTATCTGTCTACTCAGCATGAAAGACTGTCTTTGTTTCTACTCATCTGAAGTCAGAGAATACCCTTCTATAGTAATTATGAACAACCTAAATTATTTTTCCTCCAATTTAGATTGGACTGGGTTACAAATGGGTTAGTGCTGCCAATATGCTGAAACATATTATTTATGTCCATATCCTTGGAGCTGTCAAGACCTTGCTGGTTAATTTTCATTTGTTGGATTGAGTAGTTATTTGCAACTACCATGCAGATATAAATGCATTAATACATTTGACTTAGACCCAGAAATTAAATTCCTAAAGCCTCATTTGTTTCCCATACAAAATAGTTTGAAAATTTTCTTAAACTACACTTCAGGTCAACAAACAATTTTTGGATGCTTATCATATGTTACCATATGTTAGGAAATATAAAGCATGCTTAGATGAGATTCAACAAGTCCAAAACACATAAGTAGAATCTCAAGAGGGAGAGGGGGCAGACAATTTGTTATTATTATCATTTTAATTGGTCAATAATATTGTGTGTTTTTATCACGTACAACATGATGTTTTGAAGTATATATATTGTGGAATGGTGCAATATCTCACACAGCTATCATTTTTGTGTAACATCACATAGCATCCATTCTCTTTACATCTTAATACACTATAACATTATTAACTATAGTCACCTTATTATACAATAGATCTCTTGAAATTTATTTCTCTAATTTAACCGTAGTTACGTATTCCTTGACCAATATCTCCCTATCTCTCCTCCCAACCAGCCTAGCTTCTAGTACACAGCATTCTACTCTCTACTTCTATGAGATCAACTTTTCTAGATTCCACAAATGAGTGAGATCATGCAGTATTTATTTCTCTGGGCCTGACTTATTTCATTTAATATAATGTCCTCCAGGTTCATCCTTGTTGTCACAAATGACAGGATTTCATTTCTTTTTATGGCTGAATAGTATTCCATTGTGCATATATACCACATTTTCTTTATCAATTAATCTGTTTATGGTCATTTAGGTTGACTCTGTGTCTTGGCTATTGTGTATAGGGCTGCAATAAACATGGGGGTGCAAATATGTTTTAGAGATCCTGATTTCATTTTCTTTGGATATATACCCAGAAATGGGATTGCTGGATCATATGGTAGTTTTATTTTTAATTTTTTGAGGAACCCCCATACTGTTTTTCATAATGGCTGTGCTAATTTACACTTGCAGACAGTTTTGAAGAAAGCATTTGAATTAAAATTATCCTTAAATGAATGGATACTGTAATTGCATTTTTGCACCAAATGTAGTCATCTATGGCATCAATACCTCTTTTTAAATTTTCTAGATTTTCTATTTTGCTTTTCTGAAATACATTGAATCACTTCATATTGCAGCTGGGATTTCCTGAATTCTCTACTTTTTAACATTGAAATTTCCCAAAGTGCATTGCAGGTGTTTTTATAAGAAGGATACTCTTTAAGATTGGATTGAATAGATCATAATAGCTTTTGATTAAGACAGATGGTTTCATAAACGTCTCCAAGACTATTTCTATACTAGCAACATCTTCGGAAGAATCAAGTAAATATCATTGACTTTGATTATTTTGATGTTTAAGGTGAACAGGTCTATTTTATGTCATTAATAATATAGACAATTGCCTGAGTTTTCCTCTTTGCAAGAGCGAGCAAAGCAAAAGTGTTCTCAAGGCTGCATTCATAAATGGTATACTGCTTTGTAGTTAACCAAATGCTGCAATATAAAACAAGATTGGTGAGAACATTAGCAATGAATGGCATTATTTTTAGATCTTGGCCAAATGTGATTTAGTTTGGTTTTGTTTAGCCTAATTTCTTGACTTAGACTGAGCAAGTCTTAGCTCTGTGCCCTCTTCAGTGTGGAGTTGGCCTTTATGCATTTGCATGTCACTTTTATAATTTTCTAATGTACAGACTTAATAGTTTCTGGCTCCCCATTGACTACTTTGGGAATGGGGACTAACTATCCAATCCTTGAATGAGAGTGTTAGAGATTCCAAGTCTACTTTATATATGTGAACACTGTTCTATTCTGTACCCCTTAATTGTATAACAGGATAGGCTGATGAAGGAAATACGGAACTTCGAATCAACTCAAAAGCCCAACCCAGTATACATTATACAGATGGTTTGCTGTATTCCCAGCCTGACCTCTGTTCTTGTCATTTGCAATCAATTATGAAATTGTGAATTACCTTACTTTAAATCTAGTGAAACTTACTTTAGAAAATCCATACATAGATCAGTATATTTTTGTTCAAAGAGCATCAAAAATACAGAGGATTTTCTTCTAATTTAAAGTGAGCTGTCATGTCACTTGATTCAAGTTTCTAATTGTGGGATGATTTTAAAATAAATTTTGGGAATTACTCAGTCTCCAAAAAGTATTCATCCAAAAGGATTGCAA
Source organism: Homo sapiens (assembly GCF_000001405.40). Classification (NCBI taxonomy): domain Eukaryota; kingdom Metazoa; phylum Chordata; class Mammalia; order Primates; family Hominidae; genus Homo; species Homo sapiens. Next base: position 122,463,933 of record NC_000023.11, read on the forward strand.
AAATCCAATGTCTAAAATGCACTGGAATGGTCATACTCTCAAGATGAATTACCTTTCTTTTTATATCCTAGTTGTTGTGTCTCTGCAGTTCTTCCTCTCTGCACCAATATACTTTCAATTGTACCTACTTACAGTGTTTTGGAGAGGATCTGAAGAGAGAGAGAGCTGAGGTCTAAGGTTTTAATGGAGATTTTGTCCAGACTGACTTTTTTTTTACTGATATTTTACTGCTTGAGATTAGAAAAGAGAAATATCAAAGGGCAACTCTTTTCATAACACTATTTTTCTTACAGTTTATCCTATATAGAAATCTGCTCAGTTCACTAATTTTAGGCAATTTTAAATCTATTTTCTACATTGGCATTTAGGAGTTATTTGAGTGCCAAAGTATAAAAGGGGGAATTACGTTCCTATATGTAATATAGGAACATAATTAATTAAAACACAAGCTTTATCGGTTCATCCATAGAAAACAAATTTATTTTAGAAAATAAGGAAATCAAGTGCTATTTAAAAGTACAAGAACAGTTTAATTTCACCAAAGAAATAAACCAACTCTGGCATTCAACCAACTCCACCAGCTTCCTTGGGGACTAAATTCTGTCTGCACATCAATGAAAGAATCAGTATTTGAGACACGAAGTAACTTTTGGCAGACATTGAAAAAGGCACCAAATGGTCTCTGTCTTTGCTGTGATCAACTGTGAAATGAAAACCTACCATTTAAATCACTTCTACTGAAACCTAATTCGTTCTCCTTCAGCACAATACAGAATAAATCTCAGTGCCCTCTGGCCCATGGAATTTTTCTTAAAATAAAGCCAACAATATGAAGTTTCTGTGGTTGGAACATCGTCCCAATCTGCACGTATACTTGATATCTCAACCATAGTTTGAAATCTAGTTTATCAGTGCATTGTCTGGTGTGTACAGTGCCAACCTCATTTAAGTGCTGGTTCTACCACTAGCTACCTAGTCAGGTCATTTTTCTTCTATGGCCTTCATTTTCTTCAGTGATAAATTTTAAAAAATCAAACTAATTTCAAAGATTTCTTTCAGCTTTTACTTTTTAAACATTTTATTTTTATTGCTACATAACAGATGTACATGTTTTCCTTCCAGCTTTAGGGGCCTGTGAGCCCAGCTGATTTTTCACTATATAAAACAGTTATTTGGTGGTATTTAGTCATGGATTTAAATTGTCTTTCCCTCCTCTCTCCAACTTTCAACTATCAAACACAATTTTACAAAAGAATTTAGCTACTGATATGTGAAATAGGACTGGTCTTACTTATTCAAGGAGTAGATATTTACCTTCATAAGGCAATATGCTCGTACTTCATACAAAAGCCCTCTGCAGAGAAGCAAGCCTCCAAGACACTTCATATTTGTGTTTCTTTGTCTTATGATAATTTTGTCTACATGCAACCTAATTCTTGGAAGTAAAGTATAGGATCTCTTACTGAAAGCAAGTATATTTTCAATGTGGTTTGGCAACTATAATAAAAAGTATACTTGGTTATTAAATATAACTATGGACTCCACAGCAAAATAATCTTATAAAAGAGGTGAAAACTTCCACTTGTAAAGATGAATGTGGTCATTGGACTTTAGGAGACATTGTATATACCTCTAAATGAGGGAAACCTCTGAAAACTACATTTAGGGTCAAGCAACAAAGGAATTTCAATACTAGGGAAAAGCAGGTGCTTAAGTTGATCAAATATTCAAAATTGATCAAATGCAATACAACATCACTGGAGTATCAAAATGGTTATGAAAAACTTATTTACTTCCTTAAACTAAAATTTATTTATTACTAAATTTATTGAGGCACACATACACACATATATATATTTTTAATATATATATATTTAATATATAAATTTTTAATATATATATTTAATATATAAATTTTTAATATATATATTTAATATATATATATTTAATATATATTTAATATATATATTTTTAATATATATATTTAATATATATACTTTTAATATATATATTTAATATATATACTTTTAATATATATTTAATATATATTTTTAATATATATATTTAATATATATTTTTAATATATATATTTAATATATATTTTTAATATATATATTTTTAATATATATATTTAATATATATATATTCTGTTGGCTTCAGATAAACAAGTAATCAATTTTATAGAAACATTTATGAGAAAATAGAATTCAATTAACAGAAATGTATTCAATACAGCCTTTATTAACAGAGTACCTCTACTGCATCTAAACAGGTAAATTTACCCAGAGTAAAAGAAAAGTCTTACTTGAACTGCATTTTGAGAATATGTAGTACTTTTGGGGAGAAATTGGATCCTCTTATGCCTCATTCTTTGCTAGGAATGTATTTTTCCTCAATATAACATATTGAGTATTTCATATTTCCTTGTGTTCTTTTGACCTATGTTCCCTAAATGTTTGATGTACTAGGCTCCTACACTAAGAGGGAACAAGACTTGATTTTCACTGACAAACACTGGCAGAAATTATTAATTATTCATGAGAAGCCAAAGTTAGGCAAATATGCACCAACTGTTCTATAGCTTCTGAAATAGAAAAACGGCTGACCAAATTAAAGAGTACACAGTGCTGTGAGGGCAACACAAACCCACTCAATGATCCAAAATGTGTTTTTTCTCGTTCATCCTCATTTCCTGTTGGCTTCAGTGCCAGATGTTGTAGAATTTCAAGCATATTGACATCCTCCAAATAGCTGTGTGAGTAATTGAAGAGTATGTTGATGTGTCTGTGTGTCTGTTTTTTCTTGGTGAGGTTTTTCTGTATCAATCTCTATATTTAAGTCTAAGAATATAGAACCTGAAATCAGTAAAAAGCGGTTTTGTTTGAAGTCAGGCAAAACTGGGTTTGAATTTACCTGTAAATTCTCATTTGTGTGACCTCAATTAGGTTGCCAAATTTGGTGTCTCAGTTTTCTCATCCATAGAAAAGGAATAATAATCGTGCAAATTTCATAGGGCTGCCTGATAATTAATTTATTTATATAAAGCACCTAGCACAATGCCTATGACAAAGAAAACATGCAGTAAATAATGATTATGACGTCAAAGATTCTTGAAGGTTGGAAGTTTTTGGAGAGACTTCAAAGTAAGAGAAAATACAAAGAAATGGCATTTTCCTCATGGGTTCAATATGTACTGAAATTTATATTACTTCACTTTTTAGGTGGCAAAGCAATGTAGTTCTTAAGAACTTGATCTCTACAACCAGATAGATTGGAGTTCAAATCCTGGCTTTACCAGCTGGTAATTTGGACAATATATCTATTATCTCTGAGGTATCATATTTTTGCATATAACAATAGTGGTTATAATAATTTCTACCTCACTGTGTAACGATCACTAAATGAGCACTAGATTCATATGAAGCATTTTGAACACTCCATATCATATAATAAGCAGGCAATAAATGGTAGCTATCATCATTATTGTCATGATGTTCCTCAACAAATTAGATAATTGTAGCAGTGCAAGAAACCTTAGTTATCGGGCTGGGCGCGGTGGCTCACACCTGTAATCCCAGTGCTTTGGGAGGCCAAGGCAGGCGGATCATGAGGTCAGGAGTTAGAGCCCAGCCTGGCCAACGTGGTGAAACCCCATCTCTACTAAAAATACAAAATATTAGCCAGGCATGGTGGCAGGCACCTGTAATCCCTGCTACTCGGGAGGCTGAGGCAAGAGAATCACTTGAACCCGGGAGGCAGAGGTTGCAGTGGGCAAAGAAAGACCACGCCACTGCACTCCAGCCTGGGCAACAGAACGAGACTCTGTCTCAAAAAAAAAAAAAAAAAAAAAAGAAAAAAGAAAAAAGAAACCTTAGTGATCATCTGGTCCACGAATTGAAAACCATCCTTTTACATATAGGGTAAATTATCCCAAAGAAGGGAAGTGAACAGACCTATTTCAATCATTTAGTAGTGACAAAGCTGAGTGTGAAATCTAGGTTTCTTGTCCCACAGTCAGTACTATTACCAGCCTATTGGAGATAATTGTAGAAATGTAGCGCCAGAAAGATTTTCCAAGCAGCTTTTGTGGGTTGCCATGGGTTCAGTCTCTAAACCACCTCTTGGGAATTCTTCAAATGTTATATCATCTTTTGATTTTCTCATCCTCTTTTGTTCTTTCATTAAGGATCCAATTATACCATATTCTTCTTTGCCCTAAGTAGGAGCTAAATGCTCCTGTTTTTCCGATAGATCAGAGGGCGTTCCTAAAGTTTTCAGTCTCACTACTGTGGTTGTTGGTTTAATCCTCTTCACTACCCCACTTCTGCCCCTAACAACTTACAACAAACACAACCTTAACTTTTATATGCATGTATTATCAATTCCTTTTGGTTTCTCTCTCCTATAAATTTTTTTTTTTTGTTTCCCTACTCCTCTTTTTTCTAAATAGCTCCTTTGAAGTTTTTAGTAGTTCAAACTAAAAATGTGTGGCTCTAAAACTCATCTTTGTTTGTTCTTTGAAGAACATGGTTTCAGAAATGGTTTGGCTAATTTTGCTGTCTCTGTGATTTGTTGAATTTTTGTAGTGAAATGCTTTGATTCCTTTCTCTTTATCTTTAGTGTATCTACTAGAGGCTTTTTCTTTGTGGTTACTGTGAGGCTTATATAAAACACCCAGATTCCCCAAATTGCAATATGGAATTATTTATTTTAAATTTGTGGTTAGTAGAAAAGTTGGAGTCAATGGACACATGGGTACCAAAAAAGAACCAAAATGATGGGAAAACCTAAAAATCCCTCTTAGAATCCTAGAGTTGGAAAACCTTTCCGACACTGTTAGTTCAGCTTCTCAGAAAAGAATCCTTGTTAACCCTGCCTATAAAACAGTCAGTGAATTTCAGGTTAAAAATCACAGCAGCAAGGATGCCTAGAGGTTATTTAATTTGACATAAGCATTTGCTAGATAAGAAGACAGAGGGAAAGAAGAAAAAAATCCACCCTCCAGGCTTCCAGCTCATTTCTCTAGACTGAAACAAAATAGGCAAAACAGTGGTTTTCTTCCTATTGAGTTTTTCTTTGGGGATTAAAGCATAATCAATGATTTATGTTTCCTTCGTTTTCACCAATACAGATTGATTGTTTCTGTAACATTTATCTAAGGTCTAAGCCAAGATGTTAACAGAGTAAGGGTGGGAGGCGATGTTAGATGAGATAGGAATAAGACGAAAAGGGAAATGTTTAAAGAAAGAAACTCTGAGAGTTTATATTGCCCAAAAAGCAACAATAATTATTAGGGTAACTTTTTTTTCCAATTGCTTTTCTTGGTTAGCTATTACTACAGAGCAGTGCGGTCTAATAGAACTTTCTGTGATTATAGAAATGTTTTATGTCTGTGTTGTCCAAAATAGGACAACAGTGGCTATTGAACACTTAAAATATGGATACTATGAGAGATTTAATTTTTATTTTATTTTAATTAATTTAAATTTAAATATCCATATGTGGCTAGTGGCTACCATATAGGACAGAGTAGTTCTAGAAGTTAATAGCAACAGCTTTTTCATTCATGCCAGATAGTTTTCCCTGTTTTATGTCAAGAAATTGCTCCTAAAGAAAAAACATATCTTTTCCTGACACATTTTATTATGACAAAAATTCGAAATGCTACCTCTCAGTTACCACAATATCTTAAACAGGATGTTTTTCTCTCTCAGAATACCTCACCTATCCCTATGCCAATGATCTGAATTGTAGTTTAAGTTGCATGGTAAGTATAATCTTAATTCATGTCTGATAGCAAGGCTTAGTTAAGCCCAGACTGCCTTTCCTTGCAGTAACTCTTTTCTATGGTATAGACTCTATCTGACCTATCTCTCAGAACCAGTATGAGCATCTACAGAAATATTTAGTTCAGAACAATTTTAAATAAAGTGTTATAAAAAAGATAAAGCAGGAATTATCCACATTTGACATATGAGGAAACTGAAGCCTAGAAAACGAAGTGACAAATTACGCTGATCTATTAGTGGTAGAGTCTGGATGAGAACACAGGCCTTTTGAATTCTTTCCCAGGGAATTTATAACTAGTGATTTCACATATTGCAATAGAGTGACCTTGTACATCCCACACATTTTTTCCCGTAGGGCCAAGGAAGGGGAAGGGGGACAATGCTACAAGTAACCACAGTAGCGGAGTTCAAATGGATATTATCATTTTCAATTGCTGATGTGGGCACTACAGAATCACAGTACAATTATAAAATTTCCTTGCCTACTAACACAAGTTATTCTAATATCACTTTGATATGGTTTCTATAAACAAATCTTCAATGTTATTTTATGCCATTGGGTAAATAATTGTGTTGCCCCATCATTTTTTATTTTCTAAAATGTGCACAAAAAGGTTACCCAACATATTTAAAATCCTATATTCCATTACTAAAATGGTTGAAAAAGTTTTTAAACAGATGCTTTTTTCAAGATTGTTTCTTTCCTGCTCAGATATAATTCAAGACAAATTAATGCATATTTTATGGCTAATCAGTACAGAAGTACATCTTAGAATTAACACATTATGCACATATTGCATAATTGGTGTTAGCTAGATTCTCCCTGCCCCAGTACTGTTTAAAAATATAGTTGAAACTTTGCAAAGCTCCCAGATGCGCCTCTCAGGCACCTCCCTTAGTTCATAAATTTAGTTAAGTGGTCTGTAACAAACAAACAAATTAAGCCCATATAAAATTTTTAGGAAAACAGACCAGTAGGTCTTAATCTATCTCATAGTACTCTGCTCTTCCATGTAACAAGGACTACTGAATGTTTTACATGATTTTTTTGCCTCTCTTTTTACGTATCACCATTGTTGAAGCATCAGTACCAGATAATTGTGTTCTCTTATTGGAGAAAATGTGTTGACAGCAGAGTAAGTCCTCAAACATCCTCTGCCGTATCTGGTTCAACTTGTCTTCACTACAGTGAATTTGCATTGTTTTTAACAGAGCTTAAATTTTTACTTATCAAAATCCTAAACTTTTTAGGTTTTGCCAAGCTGTTGTCAAATTGTCTTCCTCTTTCATCAGCCAGGTATCAAATATTATTGCAATATTTCTTAAAAGGGGGCCCATGGGACATCTACATAAGAATCACCTGAGAGAAGAAATTCATAAAATGCAGATTCTTGACCCACACTTTAGGTGAAAACCACAGTGATGTTTGGGAACCACTGCTGTAGGGAGAGCCTACTCTTTGCAGAGCAATCTTCTAAGTCTGGAGAAGAAGAAAATGACAATAGATAAGTATAATTCCTTAGATATGTAAGAAGTTATAATCCTCTGGCCATGACTCAAAAACCGTATGTTACCTTCAGATTTAAATTAATTTACAGCAGTAAGCAAATAAACAGAAGATATTGGGAAAAATTGTGGCAGAACCAAAACAATATTTTTAGCTAAAACAAGCATGTAACAGCTCTATATAGTTCATCTGATTTATTGCTACACAATGGCCATTAAAATTTCCGATCCAGGATACTATGCTTCAATAGTTTATATTTTTTTCATGGCCATCACAGCATTATTAACTTCATAAATTAAACAAAACATTACCACATACCAACTATATTAAAAGTACAAAATCTGGCACCGTAAGTCTAGGCTGAATATTAGTTCCTATGGAGGTGTCGGTGAGAAAGGGCTTGTGTCTTCACTTAAGATTTACCTGGAAATAGAGTATAATCAACCTACACATTTAACTACTACTAACTCTGTAATCTCCTTGTTTTTTCAGGAACTACTAGGTTGGTGCAAAAATTATTGTGGTTTTTGCCATTACTTTAAATGGCAAAAACCGCAATTACTTTTGTGCCAACCTAATATTAGGCCAACAGGGCCAGAGAATAGAGCATGCAAGTTGAATCTCTCTCTCTCTCTCTCTCTCTCTCTCTTCCCGTGTGTGTGTGTGTGTGTGTGTGTGTGTGTGTGTGTGTGTGCATCAAAGTAAAGTAACATATGCCTGAATCTTAATAAGAAACAAAATGAATTTTTAAATATTCTCCTATGGGATTTGCTTAAGTCTGAATTCTCATCCTTCGGTAGCAAATAAATCCAATGATTACAATATTCTGTACGCTTGTGAAGCAACAAATGTGAAACCAATTTACCTCTCATCATTTTAAACGTTTTTGAGCAGGAATAATTTTGAAAGAAGTTAACTTACGCCTACATATATACGTTATAAATGAAATTGTAGTTAGTTTCTTGAAATTAAACATATTTATTCTGCCTCCTAATTCAAATGTTTGATGTACACTAGTGCAGGAAAAGTAATCATTCCAATTTCAGTCCAGAATAGGACTCAACACAACTTGGACAAGAAAACAAGACTATCTCTATATTTAGAGGTATTCCTGTTTCTGCGTATCTTCATACAACAGCACTTACTTTCAACTAAGTCAGAGCATGATGATTGCCAAGACAGGTAATATCAAAGAATTAGACTTTATTCTATCCATCAGTGGGCTCTAGTCTAGTTTGGGAAGATAAAACCATTTCTATGGCAAAAATTTGATGTCTACAGGGCCAATGACAAGCAAATGGAAACTTATATAATCCGTACCATACATAACACCTAAAGAAACCATTGCTACAACTGCTAAGTGTCTGAAGAGATTAACCTGGAAGGGTTTCCTGGAAAGGTTTCCAGAAACTCATTAACTATATGCTAAGCACTGAGGATACTGAGACTATAGTAGTGAACAAATTAAATATGAGTTCTGACTTCACAAACCTTAGGCTGTGGAGAAGACTGACACTGAATAAGTAAAATAGATGTGAGGAATATTAAAAATTGTAAATACTGGTGCTATCGTGGCTCTAAACCAGTTTTGAGGCTACAAAAGGCCTCTCTGAGGAACTGAAGGCCTTGACACACAAATGAGCATCATGTGTCCCAGGAACTGACAGGAAACCAGCCAGACTGGAGCATAGAGCTTAAAGTAGAAACAGCAAAGAAAAAAATTAAATAGAATAAAAGAGAGAGAAACTATCAATTCACATGAATTGCAGTGAAAATAGGAGGTAAAACTGAAAATTGTGTCTTAAAGTAAAAATTAAATATGCAAAATGGAATCAAATGGCACTTTTCATATTAAGTGACCTAGAATTAAATGAAGATAACAATGTTTTTTCCTTTGTCCTGCTTTATTCTATTATGTAACTTGTGCAAGAGAAACTGGGTCCTATGGATATGCATCCAAGGGATATATATGAAAGAACCACCGACATTTACTGATCTCTGGATTTTTCCTTAAAAATTATGGTTAATATTATTTTTGATTGATAAATCATAATAGTATACATCTATGGGATACAATGTGATGTTTTAGTATATGTATACAATGTGGCATGATTAAATCAAGCTAATTAACATATCTATCGCCTCACTTAGCTTTTTTTTTTTATGGATTTAAACATGATTTCCATCTGTCCTGAAGGTTAAGTTGTTCCAGCATCTGCCAGATTATTTAGTCAATACATTGTAACTTATTTAAGATAATATTTCCAAATTTTTAAATCCAGAGTGTAAACACAGTCATTTAAAACTATTTAAATGTTTAATAAATAAAATATCAATGTTTTAAGATACATAATGCAATATATTCCATCAGTGATGTTTGGAGATCATTTAGTAAAGGCATGAAAGCTAAACTGTAAAGACTCACAAATGTTGATCTCATCACTTACATCTGACAAAAGACATTTCAGCAAAAGCACATTTGTATTTGAACATTTTCAATGACTTAAAGGAGACATAGCTAAGTTCTACAGACATCACCATGTGCCAAAATGTTGGGGAGGCAGGATATTTTTAGCAGATGATTTATAGATTGATTTCCTTCCAAGACAGATAAACAAGAGTACTGGGGCCTGAGTTGTTTTTCACAGAATATATGGTGGTTAGGTCACCAATGGGCCAAATTTGGAAAATAATACACTTTGAATCTGCAAGCTGCTATATAGGCACCCAAAACTAAAATTTTCAAAACCAGTTGGGTTATTAGGAATAAGTATTAGAATTCAAGCATATGATCCTTGGATAACTGTATACTATATTTTAGCCTACATCTTTGGCATATATCATATTAAAAGATACTGTAGAGCAAAACACTGAAAATCTGCTGGAATTTGCTAGATACAAGTCCAAATATTATTTCCGTTTACCTCTTTCTAATGATGATTAGTCTATACAATCCCTTTTAATATGACTCATATTCATTTCTTTCACATTTCATAGCAAAAATATCTACCTTTAGTTCTTCTATGATCATTATTCAAATGGCATAAGCCACATAGCCAGTCGGAACTTCAGCACCTTGTCATCAGAGAAGGTGGGGACATCTGCAACTTTATGAGATAGGGATTATGGGAAAGATACTTGGTTCATATAAATGCATATAAAGCATAGAAGTATGGGAGATCTGCCTGTGGTTTGGTCAAGCTTTTGTATCAGGGGAGGTCTGATATAAATGGTAAGTCACAGTAGCTTGATAGCAAATATGAAAAAGATAATGGACAACAGTGCCGTGACTCCCATGTATTGTCTCATCCTCAGTAAATGTGAGTTGGTTACTATAGGTCATGGAGTAAAAGAGTAAATATGGCTCCCTTAGGGGAATTGTGCTGCTAAACAAGGAAAGTAAGGCATATGGATGACGTTTAATTCCTGGCCCCCATCAGCTTGTGGATTGAGACTATTAAAATCAAGTTGTAAAAACATGAATGAACCTGGAGGACATTATGGTAAGTGAAATGATCTAGACACAGAAAGAGAAATACTACATGATCTCATACTTGGAATCTAAAGAAGTGGAACTCATAGAAGCCAACAGTAGAAGGTGGTTACCAGGAGTCACAGGGTGGAGGAAACAGAAAGATGGTCAAAGGGTACAATTGTGCAGTGATAAAATGAGTAAGTTCTGAAAACCGAATGCACAGCCTGGTGACTATAGTTAATAATAATATGTTGTATACTCGATATTTGCTGAGAGAAGAGATCTTAAGTATTCTCACCACAAATTAAGATAATTATATGAGGTGATAGATATGTTAATTAACTTGACTGTGATAATCATTACACAATGTATATGTATAGCAAAACATCACATCATACACATTAAATATATACAATTTTTATTTTTCAATTATACCTCAGTAAAGCTGAAAAGAAAAAGATCAAGGGACTTTTTCGCTAGTCAGAGCTGACTTGGTTGGACTAAACAAGATACCAGGTGTGGTGGAAGGCATTGTGTATAATGGGTAGGCCATGACACTGTAAATGCTTATCATGCCCAAAGGGGCATAGTATAGAAAGTGTCACTTTATGTAAAGGCTTTCTGTCTGCTGACCTTAACCACACTTAACCAACTGTTTAGAACACACTAGAAATCAACTTATTCCTAGACAAACCAGAGAGTTATAAGACTTTGCTGGGTACAAGAATTGTTCAGTTGAGGTATTCAACATTGGACAGTGACTAATGAATCAGTCAAATACTCAAATACTTTGTTTTGTGTAGCTTGCATATGAGTCATATACCTTAGAACTTCCTACCATTCACTGGCATGTCTGTGTGCCTCTTCTCATCATCCCCTTAACTTGGAATACCTTTTAATCTTCCTCCCCATTGGTAAATTTTTAAACCTTTAAGGCTTATTTCAAAATGTTATCTCCTCTGTGAAGGCTTTCCTGAACTTTCAGGTAGATTTGGTCCCATCAGTCTTTGTTTACCTTTCTGAGTTGCTCCCACAGACTGCACATTCCTTGAAGACACAATTAATCTCTTAACTATTCTTATTCCCCAACACTTAACACAGCATTTGATATATTAATAACTAAACTTTAGTAAAGCATACTGTATGCCAGAAACTTTTATAAGCACTTTAAATATATTAACTCATTTCATCTTCAATAACAACTCTATCATATAGTTATTGGAATTATATAATAGATCAAGGAACCAAAGCACAGATAAGTTAAACTTGATTCGAGGTCACACAACTTACAAGTTGCAAGCAAGATTTGAATTCAAGCAATCTGGCTCCAGGATTAGCAGGTATTCAGTAAATATTTGTGGAGGGCAATAAAATGTAATAATAGAAAGGGAATTTAGAAATCGCCTTAGAAATTCTCTTTTCATAAATGGAGAAATTGAGGCCTGAAAAGTTGGCAAAGATAGTGTTAGCTAATTAGTGGCAAAAGAGAAATTAGAATTTGGAGTGTTTAATTTTTCTCTGCTCAATGTTGCTCTCCTCAAAGGTTATTTCTAAGAAAGTTTAAAAATAATTTCCAAGAATTCATCAAAATTATCTCTCATTATCTGACTGAATTCAGTTCTCTTTACCTAAATTAAATTTGGCAAAAAAGGACGGGGAAAGAGATTACCTCTATTCATAGAAGCCAGGTCCTTCTGTCCTTGTTCTATCACTTATTGTGCATGTTTTTATTCAAATGCAAGTTAATGCCACTTTCTAAATCACAAATCCATTTAAATGGATCATTAAACCAATTCCTATGTTTCCACAGTGATGGATGATGCCCCTCTCTCTAACTTGCCCCCATAATGACCAACCTATATTGTGCACCTATTTTTAGTAGGCTCTTCTACATGACCTTTCATGCATATCCTCCAATTGTTTCTCTTATTTTTTTTTTTGTCCACTTCTCTGTATGCCTAGACCTGTGCATTCCCCTGAAATGCCAATCTCAGGGACCTTAGTGTTCTATTCAATTTATTCTAAATTTGACATTTGTTATCTATGTATAACAAGAGTCATTTCTCATGCTCAAGTGACGGGGTTGGCAGAAAGTTTTCTCCTTTGTGTGCAAAACTGACCGAGTGAATTATTTTCTTTTCCCCCTTCAAAAGAGGTTGAGAATGAGTGCATCTCTTAAAAAAAAAAAAAAAGTAAAATCTAATGGGTTGCCCTGATGGGCATATATTTCTTGTTAAGGTCTGGCTGACTCTCAGAGACTGTGTATGTGTAGTAATTTTTTTTCCTTTTATTTTGCAGGTAGAAGTATGATAGTTGAACTTTATTGTGCTCTAGAAAAAGCAATAAACCCTTCTGCAAACTTCATAAGATAGCACAGTAAAAGGAACTCTACACCAAGAGGACATTTTCCCTTCAAAATAACAAAGCAGAACACAAAGTAAATCAAAGCATATAAACGGAGAAAGGAATTCCGTTGCCTTTGAAATTGAACTCCAGAAATAATTTACTTAAAAAGAGTTCCTCAGATATAGCTTGAAGTCTAAAGACAATCATTGATCATCAACTGGTATTCTCTTACTCCATCAGCACTCCAGATACAAAGCAAGAGAAAACCCAGAGTAAAAAATTTAAATGGACAATATTTCATCTGCAACCTGGAAAGTCTTCTATGCTTGCTGTTGTATTGACTTTCCTACTTATCTCAGAAAATTGTGCATTTAATCATCTCTCTCTATTTTCTTTGACTCTTTTCCAGTGAGAGAGTATAAGATTGTTTACCTAAAGACCTCGAAGTCTAGCAAGATAGGAAGCAAGTTGTTACTTAAGCAGGTTGGGGGGGCATTATGGGCACAATGAAAATTAATCATTGGTTCTCTTTGCCTATCAAAATACATCGTTCACATAGGACCCCTTTCCCCAATAAATTTAGATCATGCCTACTCTAGAAAAGGAATCACAGCATTGTCACTTCTTGATGTTGTGAAGTAATTTGTAATGCGCAGAAATGATTTGAATACATGTCCCAACAGAGCTTTGTGAAGGAAACTCAAAGCTATTCTGACATAATAGCAAATGATAGCAGAGAAGGGACTGAAGCACTGCAGCAAACCCAAAATTGTTCCAATATTCAGCTGCTAGAACAAAAAAGAAAAGCCTCACTACTGAACCTTTTTCATTTCGTATAGCTGCTCAAAATTTAGAAAACTCATAGACCATAATCCATTAAAACAGCATCTATTACATCAAGTTCTAATTGCTAAACTTGCTGGTAAATCCTTGGGGTAAAGAGATTGGAACTCTTCCATTTTCAATAAAGATTATTTGTAAAACTAAAAAAAAATCCATGAGACAATCTGATAGATGTCTCATTATTCCTGATCTGTGTTCTTTTTTATTTCTTAGCCCTACCTCTACAACCGATTAAAATGCTTAGCCTAAATACTTTCACCATTTCAAAGAAACCACTACAAAAAGTGCTATTTTTTGGCCGGGCGTGGTGGCTCACGCCTGTAATCCCAGCACTTTGGGAGGCCAGGCGGGCGGATCACGAGATCAGGAGATCGAGACCATCCTAGCTAACACGGTGAAACCCTGTTTCTACTAAAAAAATACAAAAACATAATTAGCCGGGCGTGGTGGCAGGTGCCTGTAGTCCCAGCTACTCGGGAGGCTGAGGCAGGAGAATGGCGTGAACCCGGAAGGCGGAGCCTGCAGTGAGCCGAGCACGCCACTGCACTCCAGCCTGGGCGACAGAGCGAGACTGTCTCAAAAAAAAAAAAAAAAAAAAAAATGCTGTTTTTTTCCTGGATTTTATGAGGATAAAATTTAGATAATCTTTTAAAAATATGTACAATATACCAAACTATTTAAATAGACATTAGCATTTTCTGTTAAAGTACTGACATAGTATTTGCAACTATTTTTTAAATCATTTTTCTACTCTTGATCGTTTATAGTCAGAATTTCAGTCAAGTTTAGCACTATCCAAAAAAATCAGACAGGATGTGTTGCTTCACAAATAAGAAGCTACATGTAAGTCCTGAAGCACAAGGTTTAAGGAAAGGATTTCAGCAATGACTTATTCAGCAGATACTCATCATATTTCCTCTTGTGAGTTCTGTTATATAGTCCATATTCCTATGCTTAGAGCAGGGATTATTCTGCCTCATTGGCCTTAAACTACATCAGCCCTATAACCTCTACTTCCCCACAGGTTTCAGTGATCTCCCAATTCTGTCGCAGAAAGCTTTTCCAACAAAGTACACATTTATATTACAACCACACCCCATATGTCCTCCATGAACTCTTATTAATTCTCCAATACACATGCCATTTTATTGCTCTGTGAAGTCTTCCATGTTTTTTCCACGCATGCTTTCTCTGCTGGCCTCTGTGTATACCTCTATTATATCATATAGTTCTGTGCTTATCACGAATTTTTGATAATGCATTTCTGGCAATAAAGGAGAATAAAACAGACCCTCCAAAGAGTTTGGATGAATTAGAGCAAGGTGGCTTACCATCAGCATAAAATTTCTTCCTTAAAGATTAGTTTAATTTTATTTTAGATATAGGGGTACATGTGCAGGTTTGTTATATGGAAATATTGCATGATGCTGAGGTTTGGAATATAGATCCCACCACCAGGTAGTGAGATGCTACCAGGTAGTGATACAGATGCTCCCACCAAGTAGTGAGCACAGTACGGGTTAAGTAGTTTTTCAACCCATGTTTCCCTCCGCCATTCCTCCTCTACTAGTCTGCAGTGTCTATTGTTCCCATGTTTATATGCATGTGTGTTCAATGTTTAGTTCCCACTTATAAGTGAGAACGTGTAGTATTTGCCTTTCTGTTCCTGCCTTAATTCACTTAGGAAAATGACCTCCAACTGCATCCATGTTGCTGCAAAGGACATGATTTCTTGAAATCATATGTTTTATCCGGTAAAAATACCTTAAAATATTTCATGCTATGCCATTATGTGTCCTTTTAAATTATTTGTCATTAATAAAATTGAAGTTTAAAATTATTTCTAATGTTCAGCCTTTGTTTTGTGTTCTCTTTGCATTAGCACTGTACACATTCAGTTTAAGAATCACCTTTTTAGATTCCCAACAAATGGAAAAGTGATATTTGTATAATATATATATTTTGTAAAACACAAAACAATATGCAGCAGAAAAATTATTGCACTAAGCACATGTATTAGAAAAGAAGATTCTCAAGTAAATGACATCAGCTTCTACATTTTTTTCATTATACTTTAAGTTCTGGGATACATGTGCAGAATGTGCACGTTTGTTACATAGGCGTACACATATCATGGTGGTTTGCTGTACCCATCAACCTGTCATCTACATTAGGTATTTCTCCTAATGCTATCCCTCCCCTACCCCCACCCCCAACAGGCCCCAGTGTGTGATGTTCCCTCCCTGTGTCCATGTGTTCTCATTGACAACTCCCACTTATGAGTGAGAACATGCGGTGTTTGGTTTTCTGTTCCTCTGTTAGTTGGCTGAGCAAGATGGTTTCCAGCTTCACCCAAGGACATGAAAACATCCTTTTTTATGGCTGCAAAGTATTCTATGGTATATATGTGCCACATTTTCTTTAACCAGTCTATCATCGATGGGCATTTGGGTTGGTTCCAAGTTTTTGCTATTGTGAATAGTGCTGCAATAAACATATGTGCACATTTGTCTTTATAGTAGAATGATTTATAATCCTTTGGGTATATACCCAGTAATGGAATTGCTGGGTCAAATAGTATTTCTGGTTCTAGATCCTTGAGAATCGCCACACTGTCTTCCACAATGGTTGCTAATTAAACTAAAGAGCTTCTGCACAGCAAAAGAAACTATCATCAGAGTGAACAGGCAACCTACAGAATGGGAAAAAATTTTTGCAATCTATTCATCTGACAAAGGATTCTGGATTCTGTAGATCCAGAATCTACATGGAAGAAACTGCATCAAAATTGGGTGAAGGATATGAACAGACACTTCTCAAAAGAAGACATTTATGTTACCAACGAAAAAACAAACAAAAAAAGCTCATCATCACTGGTCATTAGAGAAAAGCAAATCAAAACCACTATGAGATACCATCTCATGCCAGTTAGAATGGGGATCGTTAAGTAGTCAGGAAACAACAGGTGCTGGAGAGGATGTGGAGAAACAGAAATGCTTTTACACTGTTGGTGGGAGTGTAAATTAGTTCAGCCTCTATTTTTAACAAAAAAAGAAGGGCAAATTAAACCCAGAGATAAAGGAAGAAAATAAACAATAAAGATCAAAAGAGGAATTAGTGAAAAAGAAAACAGAAATTTAGAAAATCAATGAAACTAAAATTAGTTTTATTGAGATTAATAAACAACTAGCCAAGAAATGGAAAAAAATGACAAAATATCAATATGAGAAATGACAGAGATGACATGACTATAGATTCTATGGATATTAAAATAATAACAGAATATTATGACAATAAATTTTAAAACTTAGATGAAATGGGTGAATCTTTTGAAAGACAGAAACTAACAAAAAGTCACTCATAAAAATAGAAAACCTGAATATCTTCATATCTATTAAAGAAATGTATTAATAATTAAATATCCTCTGAAAAAGCAAATACCAGGCCCCATGTAGAATCACTAATGAATTCTATCAAATATTTTGAAAAGAAATAATATTAATTCTTCAAGAACTTTAACAGAAAATTTGAGAAGGGAAAATATCTTCCAAATCATTTTATGAGTCCAACTTTAACCTAATACCAAAACCATATAAAATATTACAAGAAAATAATACTATGGACCAGTAATCTTCATGAGTATGGATAAAAAAACCTTTAACAAAACTTTAGCAAGTTAAATAAAACAATATTTAATAAAAACAATATGTTATAGCCCAATGGAGTTCAGTCTAGCAATGCCAGGTTAGTTTAACATTCAAAATCAATTAAATGTAATTCATTATGTTAATGAATTAATAAAAGACACAATCATCTCAATTTATGCAAAGTATTTGTCAAAACCAACATCTATACATCCATTTATAATAAAAAGTTCTCAACAAAACTAAAAATAGACGGAAATTTTCTCAACATGTAAAGGTTATCTATGATAAACTTACAGCTAACATCCATCATACTTACTGGTGAAAGACTAAATTATTTTCCCTTAAGATTACGAAAAAAGCAAGTGTGTCTGCTTACACCATTTCTATTCAACCTTGTACTGAATGTTCTAGCCAGTGCAATGAGGCAAGAGAAAAAAACTAAAGACATTCAGATTGGAGAGGGGAAAGTAAAACTTTCCTTATTCTCTTATGAGAGAATCACCAATGTAGAAAACCTGTGTGTTCTACAAATATTAGTTCTAGAATTAATAAGTAAGTTTAGCAAGCTTGCAGGATAAAAACCAATGTAAAAATATCACCAGTATTTTTATGAACTATAAATAAAAAAATAGGAAATTAAAATTTAAAACTCTTGCAGGAAGTCAGGGACCCTAAATGGAGGGACCAGCTGAAGCCATGTCAGAAGAACATAAATTGTGAAGATTTCATGGACATTTATTAGTTCCCCAAATTAATACTTTTATAATTTCTTATGCCTGTCTTTACTGCAATCTCTGAACATAAATTGTGAAGATTTCATGGACACTTATCACTTCCCCAATCAATACCCTTGTGATTTCCTATGCCTGTCTTTACTTTAATCTCTTAATCCCGTCATCTTCGTAAGCTGAGGAGGATGTATGTCACCTCAGGACCCTGTGATGATTGCGTTAACTGCACAAATTGTTTGTAGAGCATGTGTGTTTGAACAATATGAAATCTGGGCATCTTGAAAAAAGAACAGGATAACAACAATGTTCAGGGAACAAGGGAGATAACCTTAAACTCTGACTGCCGGTTAGCCAGGTGCAACAGAGCCATATTTCTCTTCTTTCAAAAGCAAATGGGAGAAATATCGCTGAATTCTTTTTCTCTGCAAGGAACATCCCTGAGAAAGAGAATGTGTCCCTGAGGGGAGGCCTCTGAACTGACCGCTTTGGGGACGGCTGTCTTTTACGGTCATAGCAGAGGGATGAAATAAGCCCCATTCTCCTGTAGTGCTCCCAGGTTTATTAGGACGAGGAAATTCCCACCTAATAAATTTTGGTCAGACCGGTTGTCTGCTCTCAAACCCTGTTTCCTGATAAGATGTTATCAATGACAATACATGCGTCAAACTTCACTAGCAATTTAAATTTCACACTGGTCCTGTGGTCCTGTGATCTCGCCCTGCCTCCATTTACCTTGTGATATCTTATTACCTTGTGATATCTTATTACCTTGTGAAGCATGTAATCTCTGTGACCCACACCCTATTCGTACACTCCCTCCCCTTTTGAAAATCACTAATAAAAACTTGCTGGTTTTACGGTTCAGGGGGCATCACGGAACCTGCCAACATGTGATGTCTCCCCCGGACACCCATCTTTAAAATTTCTCTCTTTTGTACTCTGTCCCTTTATTTCTCAGACTGGCCAACACATAGGGAAAATAGAAAAGAACCTATATGAAATATCAGGGGCTGAATTTCCCCCGATAAAAACATATCGTTTATGGTAACATTTAAGCACATGAACTATGGCACTAGCATGAAAATAGGCACATAGATCAATGAAACAGAATAGAGAACTCAAAAAGCCACATATCTACAGCCAACTGATCTTTGACAAAGTTGACAAAAACATACACTGGGAAAGGATGTCCTTTTCAATAAATGGTGCTGGAAAAACTGGATTTCCATATGCAGAAGAATAAAACTGGGCCCCTATCTCTCACCATATACAAAAATTGACTCAAGATGATTTAAATGTAAGAACTGAAAGTATTAAAATACTAAAAGAAAACATAGGGAAAACTCTTCTGGACATTGGTCTAGATGAAGAATTCATAACTGAGAACTCAAAAGCACAAACAACAAAAACAAAAATAGACACATGGGATTTAATTAAACTAGAAAGCTTCAGCACAGCAATAGAAATAATCAACAGAATGGACAAACAACCTAGGGAATGGGAGAAAATATTTGCCAAATACACATATGGCAAGGAACTGATATCCAGAATTTATAAGGAACTTAAACAACTCAACAAAAACAACAACAAAATAAATAACCCCATTAAAAAGTTGGCAAAGGACATGTATAGATTTTTCAATATAAGGCATACAAATGGTCAAAAAGCATGTGAAATAATGAACAACTTCACTTATCATCAGAGAAATGCAAAGTAAAACTAATCATAATGGCTGTTATTAAAAAGTAAAACAAAATAACAGATGTTGGTGAGGATGTGGAGAAAAGAGAACACTCATAAACTGTTGGTGGGAATGCTAATTAGGGAATCCTCTATGGAAAGCAGTATGGAGATTTCTTAAAGAACTAAAAATAAAACTATCATTCAATCTTGCAATCCCATTACCAGGTATCTACCCAAAAGAAAACGAATCATTATTTTCAAAAGATAACTACACTCGTATGTTTATCATGGCACTATCACAATAGCAAAGATATGGATTCAACCTGTACCCATCAATGGATTAATGGATAAAGAAAATATAGTATACATATACATACATAGAATGAAATACTATTGCACCATTAAAAATGAAATTGTATCTTTCACAGCAACATGGATGGAACTGGTGGCCATTATCTTAAGTAAAATAACTCAGAAGTCAAATACTGCATGTTCTTACTTATAAGCGGGAGCTAAACTGTGTGTACACATGGATGCAAAGTGTGAAATAATAGACATTGGAAACTCAGGTGGGAGTGTGTGGGGGAGTGAGGGATGAGAAATTACTTAATGGGTACAATGTACACTATGGCTCCACCAAACACCCAGACTTCACCAATATGCCATATATCCTTGTAACCAAAAAATAAAACATAGAAAATAATTAGGCAAAAGATGTGTAATCCTTGTACACTTAAAAATGCAAACACATTACTGAGATAAAATAAAAGCCTGAATGAGTGTAGAGATATCCTGTGTTTATGGGTTGGAAGACTTAATATTGTTAAAATGTTAGTTCTCAAATTGATGTAGAAATTCAATACAATCCCAATCAAGATCTCAGCAAGTCTTTTTGTAGAAATAGACAAGACAATTCTAAACTTCATATGGAAATGTGAAAGATGTAGAATATTCAAGCCAATTTGAAAAAGAATGAAGTTGAAGGAATTACATGGCCCTATTTCAAGACTTACTATAAATCTACAGCCATAAATATAGTGTGTTATTGGCATAAAGACAGACGTGCTTATTAATGGAACAAAATTAAGTACAGAAATAGGCCGGCTATAAAAGGTCAATTGATTTTTTATAGAGATTCAAAGGCAGGTCAATGGGGAAAGGATAGTCTTTTCAAAAACAAATATACTGGAACATTTAAATATTCATATTCGAAAACAAGAATGAACAAAAGAAAGAAGTCTCAATCAACACCATGCATCATAGACAAAATTTAACTCAAAATGATCATAGGACTAACTGCAAGTGCTAAAACTATAAACTTCATAAAAGGAAAGATAGTGTAAATCTTTATGGCCTTGGACTAGGCAATGGTGTCTTAGATACAATAGCAAAAATATCATCTGTAAAATAACACTGATAAATTGGAGTTTATTAAAGTTAGGAACTTATGTTCTCAGGTAAGAAAAAGAAATGACAAGCCACTGACTTGGGCAAACATTTTTATTTCACATAATACTTAATTTGTATCCAAAATATGTAAAATAATCTCAAAATTCAATAATAACAAAATAAATAATACAATAAATAACAGACAAAATATTTAAACAGATTCAGCACCAAAGAAGATGTAATAAGCACATAAAAAATGAACAATTAACCATTGAAGATGTACAAATCAAGACCACACACTTATTCGAACAATAAAAATATAAAAATGTGTGCTGTGTGCTCATACTAAGTGTTGGTGAGGATGTGGAGGACCTGGAACTCTCATATATACTGCTGGTGAAAAAGTGAAATTATACAACTATTTTGGGTAAGAGTTCCATAGTTTCCTAGAAAGTTAAATATCCTAAAAAGTTAAATATATATCTGTCTTATGATCCAGCCGTTCTACTCCTAGGTTTTTTACTCAAGAGAAATGAAAATGAATGTCTACACAAAGACTTGTACATGAATATTCATAGAAGCTTTTTGTATAATACCCGAAGGCTGGAAGCAAACCAAATGTCCGTCAAAGGGGGATTGGATAAATAATTGTTGATCCATCCACACATGTAATATTACTCATCAGTAAAAAGGAATGCATTATTAATACACACATCAACATCGAAGAATCTCAAAATAATTTTGCCGAGTGGAAGAAACTAGGCAAAAAAGAGTGTATATTCTGTGATTCCGTGTATGTAAAATTCTAGAAAATGCAAACTAACCTATATTAACAGATAGAATGTTTGCCTGGAGAGGGGATTTGTGGCAGGAGTGACACAAGAAAACTTTGAAGGTGATGGATATGCTCAGTATCTTGATTGTGTTAACAATTTCACAGATACATAATTGTATCACAACATTGAACTATACACTTTTAATAATGTGAAGTTTACTTTAATAAAGCTTTAAATACTCCATGAAAATGGTGCATACTATTTCATTGTATGTTAGTTATTTATAAGAACTAACATATTTTAAATTATTTTCTACTGGGTAAAAGTGATGCTCAAAATATTTTTCTACATTTAAGCCTGTGATTTTGTCTTCCCTTTGTAATACTGCTCCAGGCATCCAGTTTGAGAACCATATTCTTAATTCCCCTACTAATCACAAAGCAAGAATTCTGTCATAATACAAAGTGAACTTGAAGGCAGTGACTGGGTTTGTTTTACCTCTTTAGTCTTAGCTCCAAGCACAGTACCTGGATTAGTTGAATGAACTAGACTTTGATACACTGTCTCTTCTTTGTCTTACATTTGTCACATCGAATGACAATCATTCATTGATATTATAATGATATTACAGATACAGATATAAAATCAGAGGAAGTATTTTCCTCTTGGGGCTTATCTTCATTACATTACTTGCCTCATTCCCTCACCTGCAACGCTCTAACATACTTCCTCCAAAATTAGATATGGAAAAAGCTTGGATTATCTCAGATTGAACTCTCCTCTCTGACACTTAAAGCAATGTAGTCTAGAGTAGTTAACTTGGCATCTCCAAGTCTCAATTATTTCATTGTAATGTGGAGAAAATAATGCCTATTTT
Source organism: Homo sapiens (assembly GCF_000001405.40). NCBI lineage: Eukaryota > Metazoa > Chordata > Mammalia > Primates > Hominidae > Homo > Homo sapiens. The sequence goes on from NC_000023.11 coordinate 122,486,996, forward strand.
TAGGGTTGTATATACAATTCATAAAATGAGGCTCACAAAATACCTGAGCCATAGTAAACAGCCAACCAGTGCTAACTTTCTTCCCCTTGGGTTCCCACTATACATAACTCCCACATTAAAATTTTTCCATCTAGTGCTTTATCTGTTTTGGACTCTGTCCTCCTGTAAGTGAGTGCTATATATTAGTAAACAAATGCCTAATAGTTAAGCAACTTTTTCCAGATAATGGAATCCTTGTTTAGAATTATAGGGTGGGGAAAATGCAACACTATAGCAGGCTTTTGTGGATATAGAGGTTGGAGAGGGGAAGATGAGAACATGTTTTTGTCTACCCTAGACATTACACCACATAGACTGATGTTCATTATACCTATGCTCAAAGCTGGCCTTGACTTCTGCACATATCTCATGCTCAAGGTCCTGCTTCTTGCCCTATAGCCTCTCACGTCCAAAAAGCTATTTTTCTCCTATTAATATAGCTCAAACCTAAACCTTCTCATCCTTGAATAGAAACATATTTCCTAGACTAGTTCTACTGCAAAGAAATAACTTTTCTTAAGCTTAGTCTTGAATTTCTTGGCACATACAGGCAGGTGTTCTGTTCCTTAAGAATTTATCATTTCACTTTTTCTGGAAGAAGCAATAAAGGAAGAAAATAAAGACTTTTTTTTTCTTTCTACCAGTAAGTTCAGAAGATACCACAAGGAGTAGTATAAAACCCCCTAAAGGAGTAGTTGTTTAAAATGAGTAGATAAAAGGATTTTTCAGTCACTCTCACAATCCTAAAGCTCTGTTTAAGCCCATACCATGACAAACAGCTGAAACACTCGTAACCACCAATGTTTATTGACCGTTCACTCTGTACCAATACTATCTTAAGAATTTTATATGTAATGACACATTTAATTCTCAAAATAACTTTCCAAATTAGATACTGTTATCATTCTCCTTTAACAGATAAGAAAATGACAGGATAACAAGGGCTGAAATATAAATCACATTAAATCATATTGCTAGGAAGAAGCAAGGCAAGGAATTGAGCCTGATTAAGAATCTACACCTTTAATCCCTATAGTTGAACAATATGCTTGATTAAAGTAAAATTTCATTTAATCAGAACTCCACTAACTGAAGAAGTTCTTAAGTAAATGTCTTTTCTTTTAAGGAGAAAGAAGTACATCGTAAAATTTAAGCTCATGTTGTAAACTTTGTTTAAATCCAAATTTCTAGAAAAACAGCATATGATCCTTAGTCAACAAGCAACGAGTTAGTGGTAACTAGACTTTATTTATTAAGGGGATAAAATAGATATTGACACTTTAGAAAAATATCTACTAACAAAAAAGTAAAACAAATGAATTTTTGTTGTTGTTTCCAGCATATTAAATTAACAAGAACCACCATTTCTTATGCAATCTGTTTAACTGAGGTTTTCCTGTATAATGCCACTTCTATATATCTAGATGTCAGATTCCAAGTAGGCAAAATATCTGGCTATCTGAGTATTTTCCAATATTTATCTGGAAGGAAAACATAGCAGACAACTTTTCTTCAGAAATAAGGTATAAACTTGATATACAATGAAACATTACCTGTATATGTGTTTTGTTTAATATATTAGATATAATTAAACATATAATGAATATATGATATATATTGAAATATATAGGAAAATATATATTTTTCAATATAAATATATATATTTCAATATAGGAAAAATATATATTTCTATATATATAATGAAACAAAACATATGTAGAGATAATATATGACGTGATCACTATTGAATAGAGACTATCACTTGCTAATGCAACCTGCCACTTCAGAGATTAAAATTCTCTTAAAGAGAAAAGAGAGACTATTGTTTATTGATCAAAATTCTAAAGTTCACATCAAATATTTATCAATATGCAGAGAAAGTTTTCATAACAGAATGACTCAATGTGATGTAAAAGATAGTTTGATAAACACTGTGAAATAATACAAGTATGGACACTTGAGTACTGAAGTATTTAAAAGCACTAAAATTGGACTGTTAAAGTCAAAATCCTTGATGAGGTGATTTCACAACTGGCATTTGAACTAATAAAAATATTATGGAAGGACAATATTATCAACTTGAAATGCATACACTTGCCTTCCCAAGACGCTTTCTGTCAATTATTTAAAGTACAGGCTAGTTTGTGGCAAAATATCTGCTGTATGTTCTGGAAAAGTGACTTGGCAAAGGACTAGGCAAGATATTTATCATAAAACACGTATACATGAACAAAGTCCACCTCTAAAATGATCTTATAAAATATCTCATCTAATGATTTTAAAAGCTTTCATTATATTAATATGTTGTCTTGGAAAATTCTTATAGATGCTCATCTCTGCATATAGTCCAGCTTCTGTTAGAAAACCACTGGCCACAGTTTTCTTATCACGTATCAACTGATCAAGTATGCTCATACTATATTTACATCTTTTTTTTTTTAAAATTTATTTATTTTTATTATACTTTAAGTTTTAGGGTACATGTGCACATTGTGCAGGTTAGTTACATACGTATACATGTGCCATGCTGGTGTGCTGCACCCACTAACTCGTCATCTAGCATTAGGTATATCTCCCAATGCTATCCCTCCCCCCTCCCCCCACCCCACAACAGTCCCCAGAGTGTGATGTTCCCCTTCCTGTGTCCATATGATCTCATTGTTCAATTCCCACCTATGAGTGAGAATATGCGGCGTTTGGTTTTCTGTATTTATTTACATCTTTCTCTTCCTTTACATTTGTTTTCTTTCACACACTGTCTTTACTATATCCAAAAGTGGTAGTTTTCATAAAGATTTAGGATGAAGATCATCCACCTTCATTTTCTTCAGGTCATTCCTGAAGAAATTCTATCTACTAATTCTTCTATGTCATTTACTTCACTATATTCCTTTTAAATATATTTCTTTTGAATGCAGACATGCAAGCAACTCTTGTCATTTAAAAAATGAGAAAATGCTTGGTTGCATGGTCACAGAGATTTTCATGACAATCTAATTTAATCAACCTATATTTGAGTGCCTATTTTTTTTCCCAAGAAGGAGTTGATCATGCAGTAATTCAAAAACATTCATCTAATTTTTCTTTTACCTGCTCTAATTTCTACCAAATTCTGTTTAAAAATGTATTCTATTCTTCACTATCAAAAACCACTAGACTGCACACTTTAAATAGGTGAATGGTATGGCAATTATATGTCACTGAAGCAGTTGTTTAAAAATCTACTCTGTGAAAATTATTGCTATTTATTGAGCATTTCGCATATTTAGCATATGCTAAATGTTTTGCATATGTTGAATCATTTAATGTGGCACTCATAACCTATGTATCAGTAGAGTTTTTAAATCTATTTCCACAGATGAGCTGAGATTTCAAAATATTAAGTTACTTTCTAAAGGAAACATAGCTGATAAGTAATGGATCCAGGATTCCACCTAGGTTTGTTTGACTCTAAGGCCCCTATTCGTTTCACATTATCAGGCTGCCTCTGTGCCTATCTATCTACTTAGCAGAAGTAAGCTAAACCTTATGATTTCTTACAGTTGCTTAGAGTTGAAGTTTATGAGCTTTTAAATGCTTCTTGTATAATACCCGAAGGCTGGAAGCAAACCAAATGTCCAATTCCTTAGATTCTAGATTTCTGCTTATGGCTAGGGACGTGAAGGAACAATAGTTAGAAAAGTCCTGATTTACTTGGCTCTGGGAGATGGATTCCAATCCACTCTTCAAGAAGGGGTTTTCAACTCATACGGTTATACTCAGTAAGTATTTTTTACTCATGCCCCACAAATGGCAATGCAGACATATTTCTGTCTCTACTTTCTTGGAACTTGACATAAGCATAGGATTTATTGGATGTCTTTTTTTTCCCTGAATGCTGCTTTTCTCATACTCAATAGGTTGATTAGTCTTGAAAAATATCTTCTTTTTCAAATTTTATTTTAATAGCTTTTGGGGGTACAGTGGTTTTTGGTTTTATAGATAAGTTCTTTAGTGGTGGTTTCTGAAATTTTGGTGCACCTGTTACCCAAGCAGTGTACACTATAATCGACGTGTAGTCTTTAATCTCTCACCCACTTCCCACCCTTCTCCCTGAGTTCCCAATGGCCATTATATCATTCTTATGCTTCTGTGTCCTCATAGTTTAGCTTCCATTTATAAGTAAGAACATAGGATATTTGGTTTTCCATTCCTGAATTACTTCACTTAGAATAATGGTCTTCAGCTCCATCCAGGCTGCTGCAAATGCCATAATCTTATTTCTTTTTATGACAGAGTAGTATTCCATGTTGTACTTATACCACATTTTCTTTGTCCACTCATTGTTTGATGGGCATTTAGGTTGGTTCCATATTTTTGCAATTGCAAATTGTGCTGCTATAAACATACATGCGTAAGTGTCTTTTTCATATAATGACTTCTTTTCCTTTGGGTAGATACCCAGTAGTGGGATTGCTGGATCTAATGGTAGTTCTGCTTTTAGTTCTTAAAGGAAACTTCATACCATTTTCCACAGTGGTTGTACTAGTTTACATTCCCACCAGCAGTGTAAAAGTGTTCCATTTTCACCAAATCCATGACAGCATCTATTATTTTTTGTTCTTTAAATTATGGACTTGCAGGAGTACGTGGGATCTCACTGTGGTTTTAATTTGCATTTCCCTGATAATTAATGGTGTTGAGCACTTTTCATGTGTTTGTTGGCCATCTGTATATCTTCTTTTGAGAATTGTCTAATCTTGTCCTTTGCCCACTTTTTGTTGGGATTATTTATTTATTTCTTGCTGATTTGTTTGAGTCCCTTGTAGATTCTGGATATTAGTTCTTTGTCAGATCCATAGTTTGCGAATATTTTCTTCCGTTCTGTAGGATGTCTGTTTATCTTTTTCTAAACATGCACATTATTTTGTTTTCAGCTAAGAATTCAGGATTCCTGAAGGATGGTATCTGATAGGGGGTTTGAGTAGATATCTAGGAAGGGGCTTTTCGACATTAAGACACTATGGTGGACACATGCCAATGATCTCTGATAGTGCACAGTCACCAAGCCAAATTACCATAACTTCTTATCTATGTACAAAAAGCAGGAAAAGTCAGGAGAATGCAAAGACTTCAAGTCAAATGTATGATTGCCTCTAGGCATGGTAGCAACAATAAAGACATAGAAAATCAAATACCCTAAAATACCCTGACTTGATCATTTCACATTCTATGCATGTAATAAAATACCACATGTCCCATAACAATTTATACATTATAATAAATAAATATAATTAAAAATAATGTTTCTTTTTTGTGGCTATGAACATGTCTTTATTCTATTTAACGAATAATAATATAATTACACACTTTTAACAATGATTTTATATTTGGTCACTTTATCTCCTAATTAATTGCCATAGAGAGGCTTTTTTTAATTTTATTTTTTATTTTTATTTTTATATACTTTAAGTTCTGGGGTACTGTGCAGAATGTACAGGTTACATAGGTATGCATGCGCCATGGTGTGTTGCTGCACTTATCAACCCATCATCTAGGTTTTAAGGCATGCATGCATTAGGTATTTGTCCTAATGCTCTCCCTCCCCTTGCGCCCCACCCCCTGACAGGCCACAGTGTGTGATGTTCCCCTCCCTGTGTCCAGGTGTTCTCATTGTTCAACTCCCATTTATGAGTGAGAACATGTGGTGTTTGGTTTTCTGTTCCTGTGTGAGTTTGCTGAGAATGATGGTTTCCAGCTTCATCCATGTCCCTGCAAAGGTCATGAACACATCCTTTTTTATGGCTGCATAGTATTCTATAGTGTATATGTGCCACATTTTCTTTATCCAGTCTATCATTGATGGGCATTTGGGTTGGTTCCAATTTTTTGCTATTGTAAATAGTGCTGCAATAAGCATACGTGTGCATGTGTCTTTATAGTAGAATGATTTATAATCCTTTGGGTATATACCCAGTAATGGGATTGCTGGGTCAGATGGTATTTCTGGTTCTAGACCCTTGAGAAATAACCACACTGTCTTCCACAATGGTTGAATTAATTTACACTACCACCAACAGTGTAAAAGTGTTCCTATCTCTCCACATCCTTGCTAGCATCTGTTGTTTCCTAATTTTTTAATAATTGCCATTCAAACTGGCATGAGATGGAATCTCATTGTGGTTTTGATTTGCATTTCTCTAATGACCAGTGATGATGAGTTTTTTTCATATGTTTCTTGGCCGCATAAATGTCTTCTTTCGAGAAGTGTCTGTTCATATCCTTTGCCCACTTTTTGATGAGGTATTTTTTTTTGTAAATTCCTTTAAGTACCTTGTAGATTCTGGATATTAGACCTTTGTCAGATAGGTAGATTGAAAAATTTTCTATCACTCTGTATGTTGCCTGATCACTCTAATGATACTTTCTTTTGCCGTGCAGAAGCTCTTTAGTTTGATTAGATCCCATTTGTCTATTTTGGCGTTTTTTGCAATTGCTTTCAATGTTTTAGTCATGAAGTCTTTGCCCATGTCTATGTCCTGAATGGTATTGCCTAGGTTTTCTTCTGTGGTTTTTATGGTTTTGGGTTTTACATTTAAGTTTTTAATCCATCTTGAGTTAATTTTTGCATAAGGTGTAAGGAAGGGGTCCAGTTTCAGTTTTCTGCATATGGCTAGCCAGTTCTCCTAGCACCTTTTAATAATGGGGAATCCTTTCCCCATTGCTTGTTTTTGTCAGGTTTGTCAAAGATCAGATTGTTGTAGATGTGTGGTGTTATTTCTGAGGTCTTTGTTCTGTTCCATTGGTCTATGTATCAGTTTTGGTACCAGTACCACGCTGTTTTTGTTACTGTAGCCTTATTGTATAGTTTGAAGTCAGGTAGCATGGTACCACCAGTTTTGTTCTTTTTGCTTAGGATTGTCTTGGCTATATGGGCTCTTTTCTGGTTCCATATAAAATTTAAACTAGTTTTTTTCTAATTCTGCAAAGGAAGACAGTGGTAGCTTAATGGAAACATCATTGAATCTATAAATTATTTTGGGCAGTATGGCCATTTTCACGAAATTGATTCTTCCTATCCATGAGCATGGAATGTTTTTCCATTTGTTTATGTCCTCTCTTATTTCCTTGAGCAGTGGTTTGTAGTTTTCCTTGAAGAGGCCCTTCATGTCCCTTGTAAGTTGTATTCCTAGGTATGTTATTCTCTTTGTAGCAATTGTGAATGGGAGTTCACTCTTTATTTGGCTGTCTGCTTGTCTTTTGGTGTATAGAAAAACCTGTGATTTCTGTACATTGATTTTGTATCCTGAGACTTTGCTGAAATTGCTTATCAGTTTGAGGAGTTTTTGAGCTGAGATGAAGGGGTTTTCTAAATATACAATCATATCATCTCCAAACAGAGACAATTCGACTTCCTCTCTTCCTATTTGAATACCCTTTTATTGCTTTCTCTTACCTGACTGCCTTGGCCAGAACTTCCAATGCTATGTTAAATAGGAGTGGTGAGAGAGGGCATCCTTGCCTTGTGCTGGTTTTCAAAAAGAATGCTTCCAGATTTGGCCCGTTCAGTATGATATTGGCTATGGGTTTGTCATAAATAGCTCTTATTATTGTGAGACATATTCCATCAGTACCTAGTTTATTGAGAGTTTTTAGCATGAAAGGATGTTGAATTTTATCAAAGGACTTTTCTGCATCTATTAAGATTATCATGTGGTTTTTGTCATTGGTTCTGTTTATGTGATGGATTATGTTTATTGATTTGCCTATGTTGAACCAGCCTTGCATCCCAGGGATGAAGCTGACTTGATCGTGGTGGATAAGATTTTTGATGTGCTCCTGATTGGGTTGCCAGTATTTTTTTGAAGAATTCTGCATCGATGTTCATCAGGGATATTGGCCTGAAATATTCTTTTTTTGTTGTGTCTCTGCCAGGTTTTGGTATCAGGATGATGCTGGCCTCATAAATTGAGTTAGGGAGGAGTCCTTCTTTTTCTGTTGTTTGGAACAGTTTCAGAAGGAATTGTATCAGCTCCTCTTTGTACCTCTGGTAGAATCTGACTGTGAATCCGTCTGGTCCTAGTCTTTTTTTGGTTGGTAGGTTATTAATTATTGCCTCAATTTCAGAACTTGTTATTGGTCTATTCAAGGATTCAACTTCTTCCTGGTTTAGTCTTGGGAGGGTGTATGTGTCCAGGAATATATTCATTTCTTCTAGATTTTCTAGTTTATTTCCATAGAGGTGTTTATAGTATTCTCTGTTGGTAGTTTGTGTTTCTATGGGATCAGCGATAATAACTCCTTTATCATTTTTTATTGTGCCTATTTGATCCTTCTCTCTTTTCTTCTTTATTAGTCTGGCTAGTGGTCTATCTATTTTGTTATTCTTTTCAAAAAAACAGCTCCTGGATTCACAGATTTTTTGAAGGGTTTTTTTGAGTATCTCCTTCAGTTCTGCTCTAATCTTAGCTATTTCTTGTCTTCTGCTAGCTTTTGAAGTTAGTTGCTCTTGCTTCTCTAGTTCTTTTAATTGTGATGTTAGGGTGTTGATTTTAGATCTTTCCATCTTTCTGATGTGGGCATTTAGTGCTATAAATTTCCCTCTTAACCCTGCTTTAGTTGTCTCCCAGCAATTCTGGTACGTTGTCTCTTTGTTCTCTTTGGTTTCAAAGAACTTCTTTATTTATGCCTTAACTTCGTTATTTACCCAGTAGTTATTCAGGAGCAGGTTGTTCTGTTTCCATGTAGTTGTGCAGTTTTGAGTGAGTTTCTTAATCCTGAGTTCTAATTTGATCACACTGTGGTCTGAGAGACTGTTTGTTATGATTTCCATTCTCTTGCATTTGCTGAGGAGTGTTTTACTTCCAATTATGTGGTTGATTTTAGAATAAGTGCTACGTAGCACTGAGAAGAATGTATTATCTGTTGATTTGGCATGGAGAGTTCTGTAGATGTCTATTAGGTCTGCTTGGTCTAGAGCTGAGTTAAAGTCCTGAATGTCCTTGTTAATTTTCTGTCTTGTTGATCTGTCTAAAATTGACAGTGGAATGTTAAAGTCTCCCACTGTTATTTTGTAGGAGTCTAAGTCACTTTGTAGGTCTCTAAGAACTTGTTTTATGAATCTGGGTGCTCCCGCATTGGGTGCATATATATATTTAGGATAGTTAGCTCTTCTTGTTGCATTGATCCTTTACCATTATGTAATGCCTTTCTTTGTCTTTTTTGATTTTTGTTGGTTTAAAGTCTGTTTTATCAGAGAGATGGGTCTCCTGAATACAGCACACCGATGGGTCCTGTCTCTTTATCCAATTTGCCAGTCTGTGTCTTAACTGGGGAATTTAGCCCATTTACTTTTAAGGTTAATATTGTTATGTGTAAATTTGATCCTGTAATAATGATGCTAAATGGTTATTTTGCACATTACTTGATGTAGTTTCTTGATAGTGTCATTTGTCTTTATACTTTGGTGTGTTTTTGCAGTGGCTGGTACCGGTTTTTCCTTTCCATATTTAATGCTTCCTTCAGGAGCTCTTGTAAGGCAGACCTGGTGGTGAAAAAATCCCTCAGCATTTGCTTGTCTGGAAAGGATTTTGTTTCTCCTTCACTTATGAAGTTTAGTTTGACTGGATATTAAATTCTGGGTTGAAAATTCTTTTTTTTTCTTTTTTTTCTTTTTTTTATTATTATTATACTTTAAGTTTTAGGGTACATGTGCACAATGTGCAGGTTAGTTACGTATGTATACATGTGCCATGCCGGTGTGCTGCACCCATTAACTCGTCATTTAGCATTAGGTATATCTCCTAATGCTATCCCTCCCCCTCTCCCCACCCCACAACAGTCCCCAGAGTGCGATGTTCCCCTTCCTGTGTCCATGGGTTCTCATTGTTCAATTCCCATCTATGAGTGAGAACATGCGGTGTTTGGTTTTTTGTCCTTGTGATAGTTTACTGAGAATGATGATTTCCAATTTCACCCATGTCCCTACAAAGAACATGAACGAAGCATTCCCTTTGAAAACTGGCACAAGACAGGGATGCCCTCTCTCACCACTCCTATTCAACATAGTGTTGGAAGTTCTGGCCAGGGCAATTAGGCAGGAGAAGGAAATAAAGGGTATTCGATTAGGAAAAGAGGAAGTCAAATTGTCCCTGTTTGCAGATGACATGATTGTATATCTAGAATACCCCGTTGTCTCAGCCCAAAATCTCCTTAAGCTGATAAGCAACTTCAGCAAAGTCTCAGGATACAAAATCAATGTACAAAAATCACAAGCATTCTTATACACCAATAACCAACAAACAGAGAGCCAAATCATGAGCGAACTCCCATTCACAATTGCTTCAAAGACAATAAAATACTTAGGAATCCAACTTACAAGGGACGTGAAGGACCTCTTCAAGGAGAACTACAAACCACTGCTCAATGAAATAAAAGAGGATACAAAGAAATGGAAGAGCTTTCCATGCTCATGGGTAGGAAGAATCAATATCGTGAAAGTGGCCATACTGCCCAACGTAATTTATAGATTCAATGCCATCCCCATCAAGCTACCAATGACTTTCTTCACAGAATTGGAAAAAACTACTTTAAAGTTCATATGGAACCAATAAAGAGCCCGCATTGCCAAGTCAATCCTAAGCCAAAAGAACAAAGCTGGAGGCATCAAACTACCTGATTTCAAACTATACTACAAGGCTACAGTAACCAAAACAGCATGGTACTGGTACCAAAACAGAGATATAGATCAATGGAACAGAACAGAGCCCTCAGAAATAATGCCGCATATCTACAACTATCTGATCTTTGACAAACCTGACAAAAACAAGCAATGGGGGAAAGGATTCACTATTTAATAAATGGTGCTGGGAAACCTGGCTAGCCATATGGAGAAAGCTGAAACTGGATCCCTTCCTTACACCTTATACAAAAATTAATTCAAGATGGATTAAGGACTTAAACGTTAGACCTAAAACCATAAAAACCCTAGAAGAAAACCTAGGCCTTACCATTCAGGACATAGGCATGGGCAAGGACTTCATGTCTAAAACACCAAAAGCAATGGCAACAAAAGCCAAAATTGACAAATGGGATCTAATTAAACTAAAGAGCTTCTGCACAGCCAAAGAAACTACCATCAGAGTGAACAGGCAACCTACAACATGGGAGAAAATTTTCACAACCTACTCATCTGACAAAGGGCTAATACCCAGAATCTACAATGAACTCAAACAAATTTAAAAGAAAAAAACAACCCCATCAAAAAGTGGGCAAAGGATATGAACAGACACTTCTCAAAAGAAGACATTTATGCAGCCAAAAGACACATGAAAAAATGCTCATCATCACTGGCCATCAGAGAAATGCAAATCAAAACCACAATGAGATACCATCTCACACCAGTTAGAATGGCAATCATTAAAAAGTCAGGAAACAACAGGTGCTGGAGAGGATGTGGAGAAATAGGAACACTTTTACACTGTTGGTGGGACTATAAACTAGTTCAACCTTTGTGGAAGTCAGTGTGGCAATTCCTCAGGGATATAGAACTAGAAATACCATTTGATCCAGCCATCCCATTACTGGGTATATACCCAAAGGACTATAAATCATGCTGCTATAAAGACACATGCACACGTATGTTTATTGCGGCACTATTCACAATAGCAAAGACTTGGAACCAACCCAAATGTCCAACAATGATAGACTGGATTAAGAAAATGTGGCACATATACACCATGGAATACTATGCAGCCATAAAAAATGAAAATTCTTTCCTTTAAGAATGTTGAATATTGGACCCCACTCTCTTCTGGCTTGCAGAGTTTCTGCAGAGAGATCTGCTGTTAGTCTGATGTGCTTCCCTTTGTAGGTAACCTGATCTTTCTCTCTGGCTGCCATTAACATTTTTTTCTTCTTTTCAACGTTGGAGAATCTGATGATTATCTGTGTTGGAGTTGCTCTTCTTGAGGAGTATCTTTTTGGTGTTCTCTGTGTTTCCTGAATTTGAATGTTGGCCTGTCTTGCTAGGTTGGGGAAGTTATCCTGGATAATATCCTGAAGTGTGCTTTCCAACTTGGTTCCATTCTCCCTGTCACTTTCAGGTACACCAATCAATCATAAGTTTTGTGTTTTCACATAGTCCCGTATTTCTTGGAAGCTTTGTTTGTTCCTGAAACAAATAGTTACTTTCTAATTTTACTTTCAAATTAAAGCCAGTTTCAAATATATAAATGCTGCTGCCACACTAATTAAAACCAAGCATTTTATCTTACTTAAGCTACCATTACAGTTTCCTACCTGGACTCACTGTTCTTTCTCTTGGTCCTCTACCAATCATTCTTCTCAGAGAATTAACCACAGTTAGAACATTTTCTTGGATATCTAACAGAAACTAGTTCAAAGCAGGACTCTTGATTTTGACTTCCCTTCATCCTGTTTCTTCTACAGTGTTCTCCATCTCAGAAAATGCCACTATTATGTACATTTGCTAATACCAGAAATATGGATGTTATATACTACCACCTAGCATCTGATCCATTAATAAGTTAAGGAGATTTTACTCTAAAAAATATATTCAGAATTCAACTACTTGTCTCTACCTCCACCACTATCTCCTTAATCTAGGCAACCACCATCTCCCATATTAACCATGGCAATAACCTTCTAACAGGTCTCAGTGTGCCATTTACACACCCCTACACACAGTCTATAGTAGTCAGTGATATATTTGAACTTAGATTATTGTCCTCCTATGATTAAAAGTGTTTGAAGAGCAGCCATTGCCATTAGATAATATTAAACACAAACTGTTATTGTCATCTTCTGGGCCCTATATGATCTAGTCCCTATCTACTTCTCAAAATCAATCTCAAACTTCTCATTCTCCCACTTACTACACTCCAGGAACATTAAAATATTGACTGCTGTTAGAACAACAAGCATCCAATGTGCTTCAGGAACTTTTATATTCTATCCTACCTCACTGGCATGTTCATACCCCAGTTCTGGCATTACTAGCTCTTTTTCATCCATTTGGTTTCAGCTTACATGAAATCTTCTCAGAGATTTCCCTGATCACTCTAAGTAGCATTTTCTACTATTGCCAGTTTGTTGAAGCACGTGCTACTGTCACTACTAAAAATTCACAATTAGTTGGGGGATTATTTGATTAAAATCTCTCCCTCCAACGTCTTTTACATACCTCCTACACACATACTACAGTGTAAGTGCCATGACTCTCTGGTTCACCATTATATCCCCAGCTTTTAGCCCAGAGCCTAGAACAAAGTAGGTCTTCAATACCTATTTGTTGAAGTAAAGACACTGCCAGCTTATTTAGTCTACCACAGAAAACATGTACCATGATGAGGCTGCGGGGAAAGAAAAAGGGAGAATAGAAGGTCCAGAAAAGAAACATTTGTAAAATTATCCACCTGAGCATCCAGAAATTCTTTCCTCCGGGAGGACACGATCTTACTCATCAACTTCCTCAGGTGTCAGTAATCTTATAGGACCTTCCAGAGTGTTACTTCTAAGTAATTCAAGCCAAGAATGCACAACTGATTCTGTATAAGAAGATGTAGTTGAAACTTATCCAACTCGTATTTTTGCAACACATTTATTTATCCTCTAATTTCCCTTTATTTTTATTAGACACACTGACTCTTAGGAATAAAACTCAAGAAACAGCAGGTCTAAATTATAGACACAGCTGAGGATGTAGGCTTGTATCCATAAAACAAGGTTTCAACATTCCAAAGGTTCCTGGACCACAAGACAATTGAACATTAATCACCAAATCAAGTTGCACTATTACTTACTGAAATTCAGGGAATAAAGATGATTTTGTAATTCAGAATAAAAGACGTATCTGCATCACTGAAATGCCTCAATTATAGACTCATTTCATATATATATATAGTTACTTTTAGTGTCTCTAATAACATGATAAATAGACAAGAGTTATCTATAATAATACTCCAAACCTCATTGATATTTGAGTGAAGTGAACAGGAGCCAGATCAAAGTGTGCCTTATATGTCAGGCTCAAAACTTAAATTATTTTCTGAAACAATGTAGGACATTACTGAAGGGTTTTAAGTAGAGAAGCAATGAGATGAAATTTTAGATCATATCTTCTATAAAGCTCAATTTGGGAGCAATGAGAAAGGTGGATTGCAGAGGGCAGAACAATAGCAAAGAGACTATTCCAAAATTCATGTTGAAAAATAATGAACACCTGAAACTGTGCTAGTAAGAATGGAGAAAAGGGGATAAATTTGAGCAATAATTAGGATGTAGAATCAATTAAACCTCCACAGTAAGGGGGTTGGATGTAAGAGATAAGAAAAGAAGACAAGTAGAAGGTCGCTTCTAGGTGTCTCATTTGAGGAAGCAGGTGGATGGCAAGGCCATTTCTTCACACTTGAAGGCCACAGGAGGAGGAGCAGATTTGGGTACAAAGATCATTCTGGATATGTTAAATGGCTGGAAATATAAAAAAGAAAATGTTTCATTCTACTTTGTATTTTAATTCTACCCTTCTAACTTTCACCCATGGATGTATAGGATTATAGTCTCACACAAAGTACAATACAGAGCCAGACACTGGGCAGGTTCTCAAATATAGTGGTTGACTTGATTTGCACACTCCATAACTCAGGCTACCTACAACAGCAACCTGGGCAAGGAGAACGGGAAGGAAGAAGATGTTCTTCTAGCCTAATGGAGCAGGGCTGAAGTCTGCAAATTATCCCTCCTGTCAGCTAAGTTCCTTGAGCTTCTGAGCAGCTGCCTGGAGAGAAGGTGGGACTATACCATTTGCAGAGGCGTCTTGGTTGTCATGACTGCGAATTGTGCTGCAGCAAAGCTGCCTTTCCTAAACTCACTCACTTGTTTCCTTCTCTGGAGCTGTACTATGGCCAAGACACATCTGTGGCCCTGAAAGAAAAATAAGTGGAACTAGCTATTTCTTCACTGGAAATTTAAATAATAGGCAAAGCAGCTCTTCAATGCTGTACCCAATTACAGCACAGCCCAATCAGCTGCCATTTGTTGGAGTAAATGGACTATTTAGGGTAAATTTTAAAATAGGGCTTGCATATCCTACTAAGATGATTTTTACCGTACAATAGTGCCATATTGTTGCTGTATTTAAAGTACTCATTTTGAGTGTGTGGAGACTGTGACAGCAACTTAGAAAATTGTTTCCACTTGCCACTTTATCATACATCCTTCAGAATGATGCATGCCCCTTTTGCTCTCTGAACAGGCAAACAGATTCACCTATGAACAGTTAGCCTGATTTTTCACACTTTATACCCCATCAGAAGCATACATTGCCTAGGTCAGCTTCATCCTCACGGCCATTCCAGAATTCTTGACACTAGAGGTGGTCTTTACACAAAGAACAGATGTACTTTATTGACTTGGCCTTGAGACCCAAAAGATGGCTTTGGAGCCACGATGTGAAACTGCAAGGAATGAAAACCCCAGCAGAAGAAAGGAAATGTCTATTTTGGAATAGTTGGGCAATTTTAAATTCCTATGAGCTGTATGTTTACCTAGGCAGAATTGAGTCTCATTTATAGAATCCGAAAAGCTGTAGATCAGGCTATAAGCCTTGGAGCAGGGCTCTTGTCTTTGCTCTGATGTTCACTAGTTGTGCACTCTTGGGCTAGCTACTTTATCTCTTTAGATCTCATTTTTCCCACCTGAAAAGTTATGGAGCAGGAAATGATGGTCTCCATGTTTTTCCTAGAAAAAACATATTCTAAACCTAATCACATGCCTAGGCAGATGCCTACTTAATAGGTTAATAGTCCTAACCAAAACCTAATCTGCCCCCAATTAAATTTTATGTCAGTTTCCCACTGTTTTTGCAATTACTATTATTACAATAATCCTCTAAATGAAGGTAGTGTCTCCATTAGGTTCTCAACAAATTATAAACATGTATATCTCTAAGGATCTGCTCAGAGACAAAGATCCTAAGAAAATGGAACCCAGGACAAATACATTCTACATATATACTCTCCAGTGGTTTCAGAGCAGGGGCCCAGGAACCTGCCATGCATCAGTTCAAATCTGAATGTCAGCTCTGCTAGCTACTTGATATGGGAATCTTTAAAAGTAATTAAACCACTCTGTCTCAGTTTCATCATCTGTAAAATTAAGATAATAATAGTAATTGCCTTATTTGGTTGTGAGCTCATGAGATAATGCATATAAAACTTTCTACTTGGTACAGTGCCTTCACATAGGAAGTACTCAACAAGTGTTAGCTATTATTTTTTTAATGGCATTGAGCAGAATTGAAGAAGGATTATGTTACATACAGACAAGTGTCAATGTAAAATGTTATATTAAATTATCATTCATAGTATGATCTCTGAATGGCATATATGGAAAGACCTGCTGGCTGCAATATTGGACATCTCCATTTCCCAGCCTTGAAAAATAAGAGAAACTTAGTAGTTTTTACTTCTCACTTGCTCTGTATATCTTTAATAATTTCAGCTTTTATTTCAGATTCAGGGGGTACATGTGCAGATTTGTTAGATGGGCATATGGTGTTTTGCTGAAGTTTGGGATACAAATAATCCCATCACCCATATAGTAAGCTTAGTAGGCAACAGTTAGATCTTCAACTTTTGCCCCCTTCCACTTTCCCCTCTCTAATAACCCCTATTGTTTATTGTTCCCAACTTTATATATTATGAGTACACAATGTTTAGTTCTCACTTATAAATGGGAACATGCAATATTTGGTTTTTAATTCCTGCATTAATTTACTTAGGATAATAAACTCCAGCTGCATCCATGCTGCTGCAAAAGTCATGATTTTGTTTTTTTTTTTTTTGGCTGCATAATATTCCATGGTGTATATATACCACATTTTCTTTATCCAATGCACCATTGATGGACACCTAGGTTGATTCCATATCTTTGCTACTTTGAATAGTGCTGCAATGAACATATGAGTGCATGTGTCTTTTTGGTAGAATAATTTATTTTCTTTTGGATATATACCGAATAATGGGATTGCTAGGTCAAATGGTAGCTCTGTTTTAAGTTGTTTGAAAAATCTTCAAACTGTTTCTCACAATTGCTGAACTAATTGACATTCCTACCAACAGTGTGTAAGTGTTCTGTGGCTTCCTCAGCATTTGTTGTTTTTTGACTTTTTAATAATAGCCATTCTGACTGGTATGACATGGTATTTCATTGTGGTTTTGAGTTGTAGGTCTCTGATGATTAGCAACGTTGAGCACTTCTACAAATATTTGTTGTCTGCTTGTATGTCTTCCTTTGAGAAATACCTGTTTATGTATTTTATCGACTTTTTAATGGGGCTGTTTGGTTTTTGCTTGTTCAATTGTTTAAGTTCCTTATAGATTCTGGACACTAGACCTTTGTAGGATACATAGTTTGCAAATATTTTCTTCCATTCTCTAGGTTGTCTGTTTACTCTGCTGATAGTTTCTTTTGCTGTGCAGAAGCTCTTTAGTTTAATTAGATCCTAATTGTCAATATTTGTTTAGTTGCAGTTGCTTTTGAGGACTTAATCATAAATTATTTCCCAAGGCGAATATCCAGAATGATGTTTCTTAGGTTTTTTCCTAGGGTTCTTATAGTTTGAGGTCTTACATTTAAATCATTAATCCATTTTGAGTTAATTTTTTAATATGATGAATGGTAGGAGTACAGATCCATTCTTTTGCATATAGCTAGCTACCTATCCCATTTATTGAATAGGGAGTCCTTTCCCCATTGCTTATTTTTGTAGAATTTGTTAAAGATCAGATGGCTGTAGGGGTGTTGCTTTATTTATGGGTTATCTATTCTGTTCCATCGTTCTATGTGTCTGTTTTTTTTAACTATACTAGGCCGTTTTGGTTATTGTAGCCTTATACTATAGTTTGAAGTGACGTAATGTGAAGCTTCCAGCTTTATTATTTTTGCTTAGGATTACTTTCACCATTCAGGCTCTTTTTTATTTAATATGAATTTTAGAGTCATTTTTTTCTAATTCTGTGAAAAATGATGTTGGTTGTTTGATAAACATACTGTTGAATCTGTAGATTGCTTTGGGCAGTATGGCCATTTTAATGATATTGCTTATTTCTGTCCATGAGCACGAAATGTTTTTCCATTTGTTTGTGTCATCTCTGATTTCTTTCGGCAGTATTTTGCAATTCTTGTTGTAGAGATCTACGTACCTACTATGTACTCAGAAAAATTATAAATTAAAATAAATAAATAAGAGATCTTTCACCTCCTCAGTTAGCTGTATTCCTGGGTGTCTCATTTTTGTGTGTGTATATGGCTATTGTGAATGGGATAAACTACATTCTCGATTCAGCTCTCAGATTGAAACTTATTGGTGTATAGAAATGCTACTGATTTTTTATGTATGATTATAAACTACACTATACCTATTGACTTTCCTTTTCACTTTCTATAACGAGAATGAGAGGTAACAGAACTCTTACCCTCACCCCTCCTCCACTCTATTCCTATCAAGATATCAGATCTCATACTAGGTTATCTAGTCTGGCTAGTTTTCTGCCCTATTCTTTTTTACTCAGCATATTTCACTAGAATCTCTGCTCAGTAAAAACAGTCAGTGGGGTCACATAAGCATACTATTTCCTCTAGTACCTTCTCTAAAAAATGTAAAAGTGGAGGCTATCTCTAAATGAAGATGGGAACCCTGGTGACCAGACTTCCTTAAGAGGTATTAAAAAAAAATCAGCTGGTTTGAAGTGCTTTACTTTAGCCAACTAAACGGAAACTCATTTGATATGAAGGGGTCATTGATATGGTTAGGAGGAGAGATTTTCCCTTAAATTTAAATGACATAATTCAGGTTCATTTTACACTCTAATAGTCAATATTTTAAAAAGCGTAAGTTAAAAAATATTCATACACAGCTTTTAACCACATTTTAGGTATAGTTCTAATTGTGACAATATGCATTCTATTGTTTGTAGAATGCCTACACATTAACATTGTCTTGAGCTTTTATTGAGGAAATCAATAACATTTTGACATGTCAGAAATCACAGGTATTTAAGCTGTTTTTTTAAAATAACTATACATTGCTTCTATTCTATTTTAATTACCCAGAGCAAAGAACATTAGCCTAGAATGTTCTAATTGCATAGCTTCTTGTGAAACTAAAGCAGTCAATCATTGTGTTGTTGCAGAAAAAAAAAAGTGTTATGACTTGGGAAAGCCAAGTTTAAGTTTTTCATGGTACACATTTTTGAATTATTTTTCTTCATGTTGTTTTAGATAGCAATTTGTTTTAAGCAGTATTGCCCGCTGTGGACTGCAGAATGGATTTTGAATGTCAGACTGTTTGACTCTGGATTAATTCTCTCATTTGGTGATAACTCATTTCCTGCCTCTTTAGCTAGCATTTTAAAATATCTTCATTTGGCTTTCTATTGAAGAAGGTGGGAGGGTTAAGAGAGAGCTCAAAGAAAGAGAGTTCCTTAAGAAAAAGGGTTGCTAGAGGGGGAGAAAAGAAATAAAAGATTTAAGCCAAGATAAGAAATTGAGGTGCTCTAAAAATAAGAGGCAAAACATTCAATTTTTTTCTGGTCTAGAGAAAATCGACCAAAACATAAAATGACATTATTTGAGTCTAGGCAGGAAGGAAGATTATCAGAAGTGCCACTTGTAGTTGTATGTTCATTAGTAAGAAATGGATCTGCTATATTCAGTTGAAAATTTGCAGCTCCCCTGGGGATGAGACTTCAGATACATGCTAATCATTTGCCTGAGCCCTTAAAAGAATTCTCAGGGCACCTTTCCTTCAGGGTTTGCACATACCTCAAATACCCTATACTTTGAAACAGATACCAAATTTCCTCTAGCTTATAATTACAGGAAATAGCCACCTGCTTAACTTCAGTGTCTTTGCCACAAAGTGAGGTTATTTTAATAAATAAATATGTTAAATAATGTATACTTTTAGAAGACTATAGACACAAGCCTCATTTACAAAAGAAATCTTAGTTTAAGGACCTTGGGACTAGGACAGTGGTGAAGTGATTCATGGAAGCTAATTCCTACAACCTAGAAAGCAATCTGACTGGATAAGGCATTAGACTAGAATATAGAATTGTTATTCGTCAATTAGAAAATAGTAAAAAAAAAAACAAAAGAGAGAGAGAGGGAGAAATTAACAATACAATTTACAGTAGCATCAAAAATATGAAATATTTAGGGATAAAGCAGACTAAAGATCTGTAAGACTTGTTTACAGAAACTACAAAGTATGGCTAAGATAAATCAATGTACTAATTTTTTTTTTTAAATAGGAGAGGTTTTCTGTTTCTTTTTCTTCCATGTTATTTTGGGTTCAGGTTCCACCGCACTCCCTGATGAGACAGCTCAGAGTAGGTATTAATTACTTTGAGAAGCCAGGTGCACAATTCTCCTCTATCAGCTTGTGTAATAATACTCCAGGCAGCTTATCATTATTTCTGAAGAATCTTCATGCTGTTCTGGGCTTCAACATCAAGTAGCTAATGTCCTACAAACCTAAATGAATGAAAGGTGTCTCTAATAGAAGAAACTTTGGGCTTTAATGCAATGGGTTGTACCAAAATAAATCTTGCCCTCAAGTTCTTTCCTTTGCCAGTTTGAATGTTGTACTTATGATTTCTTAAAAATGAGATCCATCAGTTCTACAGAGAAGTAGCTGTACCTAGTTCCTGATGTCATGCAAGGAGGCAAGAGAAAAGGTGAGTACCTTGCAAAGAGGGTTAATGGAAGTTGTGGAAAAGTTGAAGAACATCTACAGGCAAGTCTTACTCTGAGCAAACAATTAGAGCAGGTGAGTTCCTCTGAAGAAGTCCCCCCACCACCACCTTCTCTTTCTGGCATCCTGTACCTTTCTTTTGTCTGTCCTAGTAGCAAACAATGCCTTCACACTGCACATGGCAGGTATTTGAGGGCACTGCCTCAAACTCTCAGATTAATTTTTCTTCCTTTCTTCTCCCCACTAGACTTAACTATAAACTATACTTCTCTTTCCAAATCAATTTTTTTTCAACTAGGCTCTAGTTTTATGTACAAAAAATAAAATAATCTGGTATTGCTCACTAATCAGAAATAACTATATAATGCCTAAATTTGCAATGTAAATAGTGCATCTATAAATCTCTAACAATGGCATTTCAATGGCATTTATATTAAGGTGTATAATGGGAAACTTGGGAAACTTAGGGAAGAGATTTTCTGTCACTATTTATATCCAGTTCTTATTCCATCTATATGTGATGGCAGCTTTGTTGCAAGCCAAATAGTTTCTGAAAATGACAAGTCCATGATAAATTCTATTTGCCAAGCTGAATTAAAGAGTCTGGATTAGGGGATATAATGGGACTAAGCTTTTGATTTATTTTTTTTACTACATATATTATTTGTCCATGATTTCTTTTCCATAAAAATTATAAAATGGAGGGATCACTGGTGCTTTTGTTTTTCTTCCTATTCAACTGTCCATTTTGACTCCTGGATATCAACAAATGTCTCTGGATATAGGCTCTGGACGTTTTTAACATCAATTCTCTCCAAGAAAAAGAAAAGAAAGAAAAAGAAAAAAAAATAGCTGCAGTTTTTAAGAAAAATAATTTCATTCGTATTTGTTTTATGTATATAATTTTAATAAATTAATTCCTTTCTGACCTAAAACATTAGCATATTAATCTTAGAGTAGGTAATAAGGATATGTTGTCTTTTCAGCTGTTTGAATTCAGCATAGCTGATTCTTTCCAATTATCTATTTTGCGGTTCTGCCACTCAGAAAAAAAAATGACAAGTTAGAGTAAAATATTAATATAAAAAAGGTAAGTTTGTAGATGTGAATCTGTTTTTAAAACATCATTTTTCCAGGCTTCCCAAATACATCAACCATCATTTTATTTATTTTCCCACTGCACTCCTAACCCCTTCTTCCTCATTTGTACCTAATTGTTTCTTCCCATCTTGACCCACACCCTAGAAGCAGTTCACTACCCCACAACCTTCAAACACTGCCAAATATTTGGAACATTTTTTTCTAGTCTAAACAGAGATAGCCTTGATACAGTGTGACTATTGAAAATAATTTCTCCTCAGGGAGGTCTGGTGCTCTTCTATCTGGAAGGTGAAATGTCCATATAGGCTTTTACATATTGTATTAGTTTGTTCTCACACTGTTAGTAAAAACATATCTGAGACTGGGTAATTTATAAAGAATAGAGGTTTAATTGACTCACCGTTCAGCATGGCTGGGGAGACCTCACAATCATGGCAGAAAACAAATAAGGAGCAAACTCACGTCTTACATGGTGGCAGGCAAGAGAGAGTGGGTGTAGGGAAACCACCCTTTATAAAACCATCAGATCTCATGAGACATTCACTATCATGAGAACAGCACAGAAAAAAACTGCCCAAATGATTCAATTATCTTCCACTGGTTCCCTCCCACAACACGTGAAGATCATGGGAACTATAATTCAAGATGAAATTTGGGTGGAGACACAATGTCTAACCATATCATTCTACACCTGGCCCCTCCCAAATCTCATGTCCTCACAGTTCAAAACACAATTATGCCCTTCCAACAGTCCCCCAAAGTCTTAACTCATTCCAGCTTTAACTCAAAAGTCCACATCCAAAGTCTCATCTGAGACAAGGAAAGTTTCTTCTCCCTATGCTCCTGTAAAATCAAGAGCAAGTTAGTTACTTCCTAGATACAATGAGGGTACAGGCATTGGGTAAACACACTCATTCCAAATGAGAGAAATTGGCCAAAACAAAGGGGCTACAGGCCCCGTGCAATTCCGAAATCCAGCAGGGCAGTCCTTAAACCATAAAGTTCCAAAATGATCACTTCGGACCCCAAGTCTCACATCCAGGTCATGCTGATGCAAGAGGTGGGCTCCAACAGCCTTGGGAAGCTCTACCCCTATGGCTTTGCAGGGTACAGCCCCGCTCCTGGCTGCTTTCATGGGTTGGCGTTGAGTGTCTGTGGCTTTTCCAGGTGCACGGTGCAACCTGTTGGTGAATCCACTATTCTGGGGTCTGGAGGATGGTGGCTCTCTTCTTACAGCTCCACTAGGCAGTGCCCCAGTGTGGGACTCTGTGTGGTGCTCTCGCCCAACAATTCCCTTCTGCACTGCCCTAGCAGAGATTCTCCATGAGGGTTCTGCCACTGTAGCACATCTCTCCTTGAACATCCAAGTGTTTCCATACATCCTCTGAAATCTAGGCAGAGGTTCCCAAACCTCAATTCTTGACTTCTGCACACTCACAAGCCCAACACTACATGTAATCCACCAAGACTTGGGTCATGTACCCTCTGAAGCCATGGCCTGAGCTATACTTTGACCCCTTTTAGCAATGACTGGAGCTGAAGATGCTGGGATGCACGGAACCAAGTCCTGAGGCTGCACACAGAAAGGTGAGGCTGGACCTGGCCCAAGAAACCATTTTTTTTTTTCCCTCCTAGGCCTCCTGGTCTGTGACAGAAGGGGTTGCCATGATTGTCTCAGACATGCCTTAGAGACATTTTCCCCATTGTCTTGGTGATTAAAATTTGCTCCTTGTTACTTACGCAAATTTCTGCAGCCAGCTTGAATTTCTCCCCAGAAAATGGGTTTTTCTTTTATATTGCATTGTCAGGCTGCAAATTTTTCAAACTGTTATGCTCTGCTTCCTCTTGAACACATTGCCACTTACAAATGTCTTCCACTAAATAACCTCAATCATCTCTCAAGTTCAAAGTTCCACAGATTTCTAGTGTAGGGACAAAATGCCACCAGCCTCTTTGCAAAATCATACCAAGAGTCATCTTTGCTCAATGCCCAAAAATTTCTCATCTCCATCTGAGACCACCTCAGTTTGGATCTTATAGTCCATATTATTTTCAGCATTTTGGTCAAAACCATTCAATGAGTCTCTAGGGAAGTTCCAAAATTTCCCACATTTTCTTATCTTCTTCTGAGTCCTCCAAATGATTCCAATCTCTGCCTGTTACACCATTCCAAAGTTGCTTCCACATTTTTGAGTATCTTTATAGTAGCGCCCCACTACCCAGTACCAATTTACTGTATTAGTCTGTTTTAACACTGCTAATAAAGACATATTTGAGGCTGTGTATCTATAAAGGAAAGAAGTTTAATTGACTCACAGTTCCACATGACTGGGGAGGCCTTACAATCATGGTGGAAGGCAAATGAGGAGCAAAGTTACGTCTTACATGGCAGCAGGCAACAGAGATTGTGTATAGGGGAACTCCCCTTTATAAAACCATCAGACCTCATCAGACTTATTCACTATCGGGAGAACAGCTTGGGAAAACCCACCCCTATGATTCAATTACCTCCCACAAGGTCCCTCCCATGACACATGGGGATTATGGGAGCTAAAATTCAAGATAAGATTTGAGTGGAGACACAAAGCCTAACTATATCATATGTCACAAGTGTTAAGTCAGTGCTCTCACCTGCTCCATGGTCTTTAAAGTAAATGGATGTATTTCCATTTAGCAATATAGAATAACTGCATGCCAGCCTTTATTAAAAAGAAAAGTGAGACTTCCAAATTATGTGCTTTTCAGCTGAAATAAATAATTTCAGGAAAGTTATACAGAGAGACTATCCAGTTCCACCTCTCCTCTAGATATGTATAATAGTCATTTCTTAGTTGCTTCCCCTGTTTCTTTTTCCCCTTTCTAACAGGACTTGAATTTCTCAGTCAAATATATTGGATTGGATTGACTTCACCTCTAGCCTTTTCTGTAAGAGGACTTTAATTGACTTAAGCCAATTGGTATATTCCCTCTCTGCAGAGATATTTTTGGCCCAGAGATGAACATATAAAAATTTTAAGCTATTTATATTTGAAGAAACATTTGCTGCGGGTTTCTGAGGAAGAAATTTTCTCTCACTTCAATGGAAGATACATAAAAAGATGTTCTTTCTCACACACTAAATATTAACAAAGAAGCTTAATAGACTCAGGAGCTACAGGCAGCCATATTTAGACTTAGAACCAGTCAGTTTTAGAGTGAAGCTAACATAATGAAATAAAATTGGAGAGTTAAAATTAAAAAGAATACTTCTTTATCATTAACCTGCTATTTCAATCTTTATCTAAAGTATAAGTTAACTCTAAAATTTGTGTGTGCCAATAATGTGTCTTCATTTAAGCCAGCGTGACCTTTGTTGCTGAAAATTGTTGTTACTTCCAACACAAAGCAAATTAGCCAAAACTGTACTCTAACATAAATGTACCTAAAAACTTAAAGCAGGAACACAGTAACTACACAGTCACCTTGGCTGAAATTCATTTTAGTGTTATAAACTCAGCCTTTATCAAGTGTTTTTATTTTAAGGATTAATTTGAAGATCTCATCTAAAACTGCTGTACAAATATCTTCTAAAGACATTGCCTACTATATTGCTCTTCTTCTGAGGAAAGGGTAGTAAACAATCCCACATTAAGAAAATAGGGAAAGATATGTTATTTCTGGAGAATGGAGGAAACAAAAATCTGTGCTCCTGGAGAAGGAATAGGACATACTCTTAAGTCCAGGATCTTATGCCAATACAAGGCATAGGAAAAGAAAGTTGCTCCCATACAAGATGTATCAGATATAAGGCACAGTTTGATTGCCACAAAGAAATACCAGTAATGCTGAGAAAGATTGAGTCCCAAATTCCAGATGCACAAGTCATAGCAAAGATTGCATCTAGACCAGCAGAACCCAGAGAAACCTCTTGTCCCTATGACAAGACTAGACTAACAAGTAACAGAAGTCTTGTTGTTAAACTCCAATGTTGGGGGCGGGGCGTGGCATACGCTTGTATAGTTGACAGACCTCTTTGGGGCAGAGAATGAAGCAGAAACACAGAGAAAACCCCTCCAGAAGTCAAGGCCCCATTCCAAACAAGGTAAAAGCAGTATAATGCTATTTGATATCTGTGGTTCACTGAAGGTAAAGATAGCAAGAAAAATATAAAAACCAGCTCAGTTCCTGAATAGATTGACCCAATGTCCTGTCAAGAAAAACTGAAAATATGCATAGTCTATGAGCCCTCAGATAGTTTATTACTTATATGCAACAACTACAAAAGTAGGCAAAGGTACCTGCTCCCTGTCTTCCTTGTCCCACAAGATGATAATGAAACAAAGGAGTACAGATGGCTACAAAACAGATGATGAGGTGCAGCTTGTGTCATGCAGCACCTAATTACTTTTATACTTGCAGCTCTATCCTAAAGAGGAAAAGACAGAAAGCCTCTAATGCCTTATTAAAACCTAAGAGGTGCTGAGAAACTGTCTCGTGATAGCCTCCTAGGAAGATAAGGAGGAGAGTGAGAAGTGGCCTTGCAGCAGGTTCTCACAAGCCTCCTATGTTCACATGTGCATATCACAATGCATTCTGCAAAGACAGGCTTTGTCTATGTGGCCTATGTGAATAACTGCAAGGTAATCAGGACATCAGCATAGAACTGTTCTTGTACACACAACACCCTAACAACCTAACAACTTAACAGAAGAAGAGACATGTCCATCTCTGGGCATAAATTATATTTACCTGACTCTTTACTGTTTCTAGATACAATATCTAGAATTAAATTAAAAATTACTCAGACAGACAAAAATATAGAAAAAATGGCTAAAGAAGTATGAACAAAATCTTCTAGAAATATGGAATTATGTAAAAAGACCAAATCTACAACTCACTAGCATCCATGAAAGAGAGGGAGAAAAAGCAAGCAACTTGGAAAACGTATTTCAGGATATCATCCGTGAAAATGTTCCCAACCTTGCTAGAGAGGCCAAGTTTCAAATTCAGGAAATGCAGAGAACCCCTGCAAGATACTACATGAGATGACCATCCCCAAGACACATAGTCATCCGATTTTCCAAGATCAAAATGAAAAAAAATAAAGTGTTAAAGGGAGATAGAGAGAAAGAGCAGTTCACTTACAAAGAGAACCCCATCTGGCTAACAGTGGAACTTTCAGCAAAAATCTACAAGCCAGAAAAGACAAGTCATTCTTTTCTTTAAGAATGCTTAATATCTGCTCATTCAAGCAAGAATTTCATATTCAGCCAGACTAAGCTTCATAAGCAAAGGATAAGATACTTTTAAGACAAGCAAATACTAAGGGAATTCATTACCACCAAACCTGCTTTATGAGAGATCCTGATGTAAAAGATAAATATGGAAAAGAAAGACCATTACTGGCACTACAAAAACACAATTAAGCACATAAATCATTGACATTATAAAGCAGCCACACAAACAAGTCTGCATAATAACAGGCTAACAAAAAATGATGGGATCAAATCTGCACTTATCAATATTAACCTTGGAATGTAAACGAGCTAAATGCCGTAAGTAAAATGCACAGAATGGCAAGTTGGATAGAGAAGCAAGACTCAATGGTATATTGTCTTTAACAAACTCATCTCTAATACAATGACACCCATAGGCTCAATGGAAAGGGACTGAGAAAAATCTACCAAGCAAACAGAAATCAGAAGAAAGCAAGGGTTGCTATTCTAATTTCAGACAAAACAGACTTTAAACCAACAAAAAATTTTAAAAAACACAAGGGTATTGCATAATGGTAAAAACTTCAATTCAACAAGAATACCTAACTAGCATAAATATATATGCACCCAACAGAGGAGCAACCAGATTAATAAAACAAGTTTCTAGAAACCTATGAAGAGACTTGGATAAGCACACAATAACAGTGGGAGACTGCAGCACCTCACTGACAGTACTAGAGAGATCATTGAGGCAGAAAACTAATGAAGATATGTAGGACCTGAACTCATTAATTGATCAAATGGATCCAATAGTCGTCTACAGAACTTTCCACCCAAGCACAGAATATATATTCTTTTACCTGCACATGGCACATGAGCTAAAATTGACCACACAGTCAGTCATAAAACAATCCCCAGCAATTAAAAAAAGAAGTCATACCAACCACACTTTCCGACCAGAGTACTATGAAAATATAAATCAATGCTAAGAAGATCATTAAAAACCACAGAATTATACAGAAATTAAACAACCTGCTTCTAAATGACTTTTAGGTAAACAATGAAATTAAGGCAGAAATCAAGAAATTCTTTGAAACTAATGAGAAGAAATATACAGCATATCAGGATCTCTGGGACATAACTAAATCAGTGTTAAGAGGGATGGTTATAGTGCAAAACACCAACATCAAAAACTTAGAATAACTTAAATGAACAACTTTAATATTACACCTGGAAGAACTAGAAAAGCAAGAGGAAACTAACCCCAAAGCTAGCAGAGGACAATAAATAACCAAAATCAGAGCTGAACTGAAATAAATTGAGCCACAGAAAAACCATACAAAATAACACATCCAGAATTTTTTTGAAAAAATTAGTAAGATAGATTGAGTACTAGCTAAATCAATGAAGAGAAAAAAAAGAGAGAAGATCCAAATAAGCACAATCGGAAAGGACAAAAGGCACATTACCAAAGACTCCATAGAAATAAAAAAAAAAATCAGCTGGGCACGGTGGCTCACGCCTGTAATCCCAGCACTTTGGGAGGCTGAGGCAGGTGGATCACAAGGTCAGGAGATCAAGACCATCCTGGCTAACATGGTGAAACCCTGTCTCTACTAAAAATACAAAAAAAAAAAAAAACATAGCATGGTGGCAGGCGCCTGTAGTCCCAGCTACTTTGGAGGCTGAGGCAGGAGAATGGTGTGAACCTGGGAGGTGGAGCTTGCAGTGAGCCAAGATCGTGCCTCTGCACTCTAGCCTGGGAGACAGAGCGAGACTCCATGTCTCAAAAAAAAAAAAAAAGAAAAATATATATATATACATATATATCCCTCAGAGACTAATATGAACATCTCTATGCACACAAGGTAGAAAACCTAGAAGAGATGCTTAAATTCCTGGACCCATACAACTTCCCAAGACTGAACCAGGAAGAAAGTGAATCCCTAAAGAAACAAATAATGAGTTCTGAAACTTAATCAGTAATAAAAATCCTGATGACAAATAAAAGCCCAAAACAAGAAGGATACACGGCCAAATTCTATAAGACATGTAACGAAGAGCTGGTACCATTCCTTCTGAAAGTATTCGCAAAATTGAGGAGAGATGACTCTTCCCTAACTTATTCAATGAGGCCAACATAATTCTGATACCAAAACCTGGCAGAGATATAGCAAAAAAGAAAAATTCAGGCCAATATCCTTGATGAACACACACAGAAATCTTAAACAAAATACTAGTAAACTGAATCTGGGAACACACCATAAAGCAAATCCACCATGATCAAGTAGGCTTTATCCCTGGGATGCAAGGTTCATTCAACATATGCAAATCAATTAAACTGGTCCATCACATAAACAAAACTAAAAAAATAAGCCACATAATTATTTCAATAGATGCAAAAACACTTTTGATAAAATTCATCATCTCTTCATGTTAAAAACCCTCAACAAATTAGGCATTGAAGGAACATACTTGAAAATAATAAGCCATCTATGAAAACCCCTCAGCCTACATCATAATAAATGGGAAAAAGCTGGAAGCATTCCCTTTGAAAACCAGAACAAGACAAAGATGCCCTGTCTCTCTCTCTCTCTCTCTCTCTCTCACCATTCCTCTTCACTAGAGTACTGGAAGTCCTAGCTAGAGCAATCAGGCAAGATAAAGAAATAACAGGTATCCAAATAGGAAAAGAGGAAGCCAAACTATCCATGTTTATAGATGATATAATTCTATACCTAGAATACCCCATAGTCTCTGCCCAAATTCTCCTTGATCTGTTAAGCAACTTCAGCAAATTTTAGAATACAAAATCAATGTATAAAAATCTATAGCATACCTACACACAAACAACATCCAAGCAGAGAGCCAAATCAAGAACACAATCCTATTTACAATAGCCACAAAAAAAGAATAAAATATCTAGGAATACAGCTAACCAGGGAGGAGGAAGATCTCTACAAGGAGAACTACAAACCACTGCTCAAAGAAATCAGAGATGACACAAACCACCGGAAAAATATTCCATGCTCACGGATAGGAAGAATCTACTTTGTTAAAATGGCCACACTGGCCAAAGCAATTTACAGATTCAATGCTATTTCTATATATCAAAGACATATTTCATGGAATTAGAAAAAAATTAAAATTCATATGGAACCACAAAAGAGCCAGAATAGCCAAAGCAATCCTAAGGAAAATTAAAAAAAAAAAAAAAAAAGCTGGCGGTATCACATTACCCAGTTTCAAACAATACTACAAGGCTACAGTAACCATAACAGCATACTACCGGTACAAACACAAACACACAGACAAATGTAATACAATAGACAACCCATAAATAATGTTGCACACCTGCAACCATCTGATTTTTGACAAGTTAACAAATGCAACCAATGGGGATAGGACTCCCTATTCAATCAATGTTGCTGGGATAACTGACTAGCAATATTCAGAAGTTTAAAACTATAACCTTTCATTATACCATATACAAAAATAAACTTAAGATGGATTAAAGATTCAAATGGAAAACCTCAAACTATAAAAACACAAGAAAACCTAAGAAATACCATTCTTGACATAGGACCTGGCCAATATTTCATGACGAGGATACCAAAAACAATTGTAACACCTTCAAAATGGAAGAAAATATTTGCAAACTATGCATCTGACACATCTGACAAAGGTCTAATATCCAGAAGCTATAAGAAACTTAAATTTACAAGTAAAAAACAACCTCTTAAAAAATGGGCAAAGGACATGAACAGACAGTTCTCAAAAGAAGACACACACAACCAAGTACATGAAAAAATGTTCAGCTCATTAATCATTAGAAAAATGCAAATCAAAACCACAATGAGATACCATCTCTCATGAGTCAGAATGGCTATTACTAAAAAATCAATAAACAACAGATGCTGGCAAGGCTGTGGAGAAAAAAAGAATGCTTATGCACTACTTGAAGGAATGTAAATTAATTCAGCCATTGTGGAAAGCAGTTTGGCAATTTCTCAGAAAACTTAAAACAGGATTACCATTTGACCCAGAAATTTCATTACTGAATATATATGCAAAGGAATATAAATTGTTCCACCATAAAGACACATGCATGTGTATGTTCATTGCAGCAGCAGTATTCACAATAGCAAAGACATGGAATCAACTTAAATGGCCATCAATGGCTGATTGAATAAAGAAAAGATGGTACATATAAACCATGGAATACTAAGCAGCCATAAAAAAGAATGAGATCATGTTCTTTGCAGCAACATGGATGAAGCTGGAGGCCATTATCCTAAGTGAAACAACACAGAAACAGAAAATCAAATATCAGATGTTCTCACTTTTAAGTGGGAGTTAATATTGGTTACATATGGACATAAAGAAGTGCACAACAGACAATGGGGCTTACTTGAGGGTGGAGGGTGACAATCACAAAAATATTTATTGAATACTATGCTTATTACCTGGATGACAAAATAGCCTGTACACCTAACCCCTGTGACATGCAATTTGCTTATACAGTAAACCAGCATATGTACTCCTGAACCTAAAAGAAAGTTTAAAAAATTTAAAAATTCTGAGACAATTAAAAATCAAACAAAAGAACACAATACATTGTCAAGTGACAATGTGAACAATAGAACATGGTTAAGAGATGACACAAATGTTATAAATATCAGACAAGTTATTTTTTAAAACCTACGACTAATATAATAGAAGACCTAATGTAAAAGTTGTATAACATGCACAAACAGTTGAGGGAGTCCATCAGATATGGAACCTACAAAAAAGAGTGAAATGGAAACAAATAGATGATTTCAGAGATAAAAAAACATTATTACAATGTCATCATAGGCATACAGGTTAGTAAAAATAATCACTGAACATAAAATTATCTAAATTAAAACAGTAAGTGAAAAAACAAGGGGAATGAAAACTAAAAAAGAAACACAGACCTAAGTTATGTCAGCAAAATGGCAGAAAAGGCATTTTCAAGTTCCCATTACACGACAGAAACGTTAAAAAAGAAGCAGGAAATGTCATAACCAACTTTTTTAGAACAATGAAAAACAGGAAAAGTTTACAACTACCAAGGAAATGCTGCATCAAGAAAAATACAACTTCAAAATTGTAGGAAAATTTTGTAGCATTTTTACTTGACTTTGCCCTATACCCTCCCCAGTTTGGCACCAGACATGAAGAAGATAGCCAATGTTCCTAGTCTGGGCCCCTTATACTTAATACTGGCGGGAACAGAGCATATTTTATTCACAAATTTTTGTGTACGTCTGTTACAACATATGTGAGTGCTACCTGAAAGACTAATGCAAGAAACTCACCACTCTTTCAACTAATTTGGAAGGGATCCAGGTCTGAAAAGTGTTTGGCATCGTTCCAAAATATTATAAGGCTGAAAAACAACCCAAAGATATCTGGAGCAAAACAATACATTAATATATCAGATATACACCCTACAGCCTATAAGAAAAAGCCAAGGTAACTGTTTTTTAAAAAAGCTTAGGGCTGGGAACGGTGGCTCATGCCTGTAATCCCAGCACTTTGGGAGGCCGAAGCAGGTGGATCATTTTAGCTCAGGACTTAGAGACTAGCCTGGGCAGCATGGCAAAACCCAGTCTCTACAAAAATACAAAAATTAGCCAGTTGTGGTGGTGTGTGCTTGTAGTCCCAGCTACTCAGGAGGCTGAGGCATGAGAATCGCTTGAACCCAGGAGGCAGA
Source organism: Homo sapiens (assembly GCF_000001405.40). Lineage (NCBI taxonomy): Eukaryota > Metazoa > Chordata > Mammalia > Primates > Hominidae > Homo > Homo sapiens. Next base: position 122,519,829 of record NC_000023.11, read on the forward strand.
GGTTGCAGTGAGCTGAGTTCGTACCACTTCACTCCAGCCTGGGCAACACAGTGAGACCCTGTCTCAAACAAAAAAAAAAAAAAAAGAAAGAAGAAAGAAGAAAGAAGAAAGAAGTTAGGATAGGATGCTCAAAATCACCACATTTATGGGAAAAATCAGCAAGCCAAACTGAAACCCAGGGAAATGTGCATCTATTAATAAGGTCTAAGAAGAACTTATGCTTTCACCTCAGGCTGATCAGTAGTTTCAGTGCAAGTGTAGTGTTGAAGGAAGGCCCCAGCACAGAGCCAGTCCGTGAAGCCTGGAAGATATTTTGGTGTATTAGTCTGTTCTCACACTGCTAATAAATATATACCTGAGACTGGGTAATTTATAAAGAAAAAGAGGTTTAATGGACTCACAGTTTCACATAGCTGGACAAGCATCACAATCATGGTGGAAGGCAAAGGAAAAGCAAAGGCATATCTTACATGGAAGCAGGCAAGAGAGAGAGTGCAGGGGAACTGCCCTTTGTAAAAGCATTAGATCTCATGAGACATTCACTATCATGAGAACAAGACAGAAAAAACTGCCTAAATGGTTCAATTACCTCCCACTGGTTCCCTCCCATAACACGTGAGGATTACGGGAGCGACAATTGAAGATGAAATTTGGGTGGAGACACAATGCCTAACCACACCTGGCCCCTCCCAAATCTCATGTCCTCACAATTCAAAACACAATTATGCCTTTCTAACAGTCCCCCAAAATCTTAACTCATTCCAGCATTAACTGAAAAGTCCACGTCCAAAGTCTCATCTGAGACAAGGCAAGTTTCTTCTGCCTATATGCCTGTAAAATCAAAAGCAAGTTAGTTACTTCCTAGATACAATGAGGGTATAGGCATTGGGTAAACACACCCATTCCAAATGGGAGAAATTGGCCAAAACATAGGGGCTACAGGCCCCGTGCAATTCCGAAATCCAGCAGGGCAGTCATTAAACCATAAAGTTCCAAAACGATCACTTCTGGCTCTATGCCTCACATCCAGGTCATGCTGATGCAAGAGATGGACTCCCACAGCCTTGGGAAGCTCTGCCCCTATGGCTTTGCAGAGTACAGCCCCACTTCTAGCTGCTTTCATGGGTTTGTGTTGAGTGTCTGTGGCTCTTCCAGGTGCACAGTGCAACCTGTTGGTGGATCTACTATTCTGAGGTCTGGAAGATGGTGGCCCTTTTCTCACAGCTCCACTAGGCAGTGCCCCAGTGGGAGCTCTGTGTGGGCTCCCACTCCACAATTCCCTTCTGAACTGCCCTAGCAGATGTTCTCCATGAGTGCTCCACCCCTCCAGCATCCCTCTGCCTGGACACCCAGGCATTTTCATACATCCTCTGAAATCCAGGCAGAGGTTCACAAACCTCAAGTCTTGACTTCTGTGCTCATTAGCACATGAATGTTGCTATGGCTTGGGGCTTGCACCCTTTGAAGCCATGGCCTGAGCTGTACCTTGGTCCCTTTTAGCAACGGCTGGGGCAACTAGGATGCAGAGAACTATGTCTCTAGGCTGCACATGGCAAGAAAGCCCTGGACCCGGCCTGGGAAACTATGTTTTCCTCCTAGGCCTCCAGGCCTGTAATGGAAGGGGCTGCTATGAAGGTCTCTGAGACTTATTCATTACCACTAGAACAGCACGGGGAAAACCTGCCTCCACGATTCAATTACCTCCCCACAACATGTGGAGATTATGAAAGGTCTTATGAGACTTACTCATTACCACGAGAACAGCACAGGGAAAACCTGCCTCCACGATTCAATTACCTCCCCACACATATGGGGATTATGAAAGCTACAACTCAGGATGAGATTTGAGTGAGGACACAGCCAAATTATATTGTTTGCTGTTTTTTAACTTACCATGAGCTAAGGGACAGAGACTCTAGTGATCAAACATGACAAAGAATATAACGTCTATAAAAACAGTTGGAAAAACTCACTGGAAAATGGACTACTACAAATTGCAACAACAACAAAAAACTAGCAAACCTTGGGGTATGGAGAAAATGTAATTTCCATTGTTACCATATTACAATATAAAAATATCTAGATTTCAACAAAAAAATTATGAGGCAAACAAAGGCATATGACTGTATATTCAATTAAAAGGATCAAAATAAATTGACATCAGCTATCACTGAGAAAGCCCAAACATTGGACTTACTATGCAGATATTTAAAATAAAATGTCCTTAAAACTATATATGAACAGAATGAGAATATCAATTAAAATTGAAATGATAAAAGGAATCAAATACAAATCCTTGATAATGAAAAGTACAATAACTAAAATGAAAAAAGAAAAAGTATTACAGGGTTCAGGACAGGTTGGAGTAAGAAGGAGAAAGAATCAGTGAACTTTAAGATATGCGAATTGAGGCCGGGAGCAGTGGCTCATGCCTGTAATCCCAGCACTTTGGGAGGCCAAGGCGGGCAGATCACGAGGTCAAGAGATCAAGACCATCCTGGCCAATATGGTGAAACCCCGTTTCTACTAAAAATACAAAAATTAGCTGGGCATGGTGGCGCGTGCCTATATTCTCAGCTACTCAGGAGGCTGAGGCAGGAGAATCACTTGAACCCAGGAAGCGGAGGTTGTATTGAGCCGAGATCATGCCACTTACTCCAGCCTGGCTACAGAGCGAGACTCACACACTCTCTCTCTCTCTCTCTCTATATATATATATATATGTGTGTGTGTGTGTGTGTGTGTGTGTGTACACACACACACACACCCACACACATATATGGCAATTGATATTATCCTGTCTGTAGAGCAGAGAAAAGTGAAATAAATGAACAGAGCCTAAAAGACCTATGGGACACCATGAAGCATAGCAAAGTGCAGATAATGTCAGTCCCAGAGGGAGAGAATAGAGAAAATTTGGCAGAAAGAATAATTAAAGAAATAAAATCTAAACACTTCCCACAATAATGACAGAAATAAATTGACCCATCCAAGAAGCTCAACAAACTTTAAGCACGATAAACTAATAGAGATCACACTAAGACACATTACAGTAAAACTGACAAAAGTCAAAGACATAGAGGATTTTGAAAGCATCAAGAAGAAGCAACTTATCAGATTACATACAAGGGATCTTTATTAAGATTAGCATGCACTTTCCTTTGGAAATCATGGATGCGAGTGGGATGATAAAGTGCTAAAAGAACAACAACAAAAAAAACTTGGATTGGAGGTTCAATATAGCTGACTAGAAACAGCTAGTGTATGCCACTCTCATGGAGAGGAAATAAAGTGGCAAGTAAATACTAGCTCTTCAAGTCGATTGTCTAAGAGACCACATCAGGATTCAGCAAGGAAATGAGGGGACCCACCAAGAACAGAGAGCAGTGAAGACAGGCGTTCATCCACACAAGACTGACATGGAACTTGGAGAAGCTCCCTAACATGAGGAAAGCCAGCTTAGGCTTCCAGTGCAGAAACTTCACCCCAGCTAGTGCACTGTGGTGGGGCACAGCTCTGCATTCATTTGGAGCAAAATTCCCAGAGGTAACAGACAATGCTTGACACCTTTGTGGGCCCCAACAGTGACATTCAGCATTGTTTGGGTGGGAGGGAAATGTGAGCGTGTTACACGTCTCACAGCTGTCAGTCTTCATTGTCCTAGCTGAGGGATGCTGCCCTCCCCAGTGAAAGGCCCACAGCATAGTCGCCCTGCCCTCACCTGAACATTTCACCTGGATCCCAGAGCCTTTGTGAAAACCCAACACCCACAGGCCTGTGATATACCCTCAGGCTTCTACCACCTAAGCATTCCACCTGCTTCTGCCAGACAGCTTGGTCAGCGACCCAAGGACAAGCCTGCCTCCACATCACAGCCAGTACTTGAACTCTGGGCTAGCAAAACCCCAGTCTAGCCCCTCCAGGACTCATACACTCTATTCAGCGGCCATCTAGGGGCCTGGGAACTGGGAAACTACCTACCCCATATCAACTCTGTGGGTACCTGACCACTTCTCCCAGGGCTGACCCAACCACCTGACACCACCATGACCAAAACCTACTCACATGGGCCAAAAAGTGGAGCCCTCCTGCTTTATAAAAAACAGCAGTACTGCCACATTGAAGAACAGGCATGCCATAAAGCTATCTGTATCAGATTGAGTGATAAGGTTATGACCTGAAACCACACCCATCGAAAGTCACAAAACAGGCGTTCCACATGACTCTCAGGCACATTACGGTCCAGAGAGACTACAGTGTGCATCTGAAATAGGAATCACAAGCACTGGAACACGGGTATGATAGGGAATTAGATTGCATTCCTGCCAATCAAAGATGTGGAGCCAGTGCAACCCCCTCACACTCCTACCCCTTGCAGATATCTCAGTATCTCAGTGCATTTCACCAGGAGCTCTTCTCAGCCACTTTCATAGCAGGTGGTGCCTGCACTCGCCATTGGAATATTTGTTGGCAAGTCAGGAGCTCCAGTTCTGTTCAGCTCTGTCCCACCCACCTCCATAGAACAGGAAGCCCAGGGCACTGGACACCCTGCAGTCCAGCCATTTACCTAAAAACCAGAAAGCACCTCACAGTAAACAAAGATCAGGTCCATACCCATCTGCTTGCATGGCAACTGGTTCTTAGTTGTCAATGCCATCTACTAGCCTGTAGGTTGAACCTCACAGCCCAAAACAAAACCTGCTGACAGAAATGCACAGGACTATAGAAACAAAGGAAAAATATTCTACCCAACACAACCTTCTCCAGATGACAAATCAGCATAAGAATTCTGCCACCACGAAAAATCTGAATGTTGTCACACCACCAAAGGTTAACTCTAGCTCTCTCGAGGTGGTTTCTAACCAAAATGGAGGAACATAGATTACATATGGAAAATTCAAAGCATACATTACAGGGACATGCAATAAAATCCAAAACATAGTTGAAAATCAGGACTAAGAAACCTGTAAAGCTGTAAAGTTGTCAGCTGGTTGTTTTGCAGTTCCTGTTGTGTAGTTGCGAGTCTGTGGGTATGTACCCAGGTGTGGTTGTATGGTAGGAGGTGTTGTTCCTATGTTTTCATGTTTAGAACACTCTTAAGAATTGCTTGGAAGACAAGCCCAATGGTAATAAATTCCCTGAGTGATTGCCTGTCTGAAAAATATGTTTTTTCTCTTTTGTTTATGAAGCTTAGTTTGGCATGGTATAAAATTCTTGGTTCAATTTTCTTTTCTTTGAGAATGCTGAAAATAGGCCCACAGTCTCTTCTGGCACATACAGTTTCTGCTGAGAAGTTCTCTGTTAGCCTAATGGGCTTCTCTTTTTACATAATCTAACCCTTTGCTCCAGTTTGCCTTTAAGATTTTTTTTTTTTTAGTTTGACCTTGAATAGTCTGGAAATAAAGGAAGGTAACAGTCTGGAAATAAGTCCAAAAAATAGAGGAAGAGGTAAACATCTGACAAAGAATCAATAAGAGTTACTGGAACTGAAAAAATCATTAAAAATTTCAAACAACAAATGAAGGTATTATCAACAGACTAGTTCAAGCAGAAGAAAGAATTTCAGAACTTTAAGCTTGCTTTTTCAAACTAACCCAGTTAAACAAAAATAAAGAAAAAAGAGTTTATAAAATAAACAAAGCCTCCAAGAAATATGAGATTATGTAAAGGGACCACCATATGAATTATTGGCATTCCTGATAAAGAAGAAAAAAACTGAACAACCTGCAAAACAAACTTGAAAGAATAATTCAAGAAAATTTGCCTAATCTTGCTAGAGAGGTAGATATCCAAATACAAGAAATCCAGAAAACACCTGCTAGATACTATACAAAATGAGTATTACCAACATACATAGTCACCAGAGTATTCAAGGTCAAACTAAAGAAAAAAATCTTAAAGGCAACTACAGTAAAGGGTTAGATCATATACAAAGAGAAGTCCATTAGGCTAGCAGAGGACTTTTCAGAAGAAATGTACATGCCAGAAGAGACTGTGGACCTATTCTCAAAGAAAAGAAAATTAAATCAAGAATTTTATACCACACCAAAATAAGCTTCATAAGCAAAAGAGAAATAACATCTTTCTCAGACTAAGAGAATTCATTACCACTGGGCTAGCCTTTCAAGCAATTCTTAAGAGTGTTCTAAATATGAAAACAAAAGAACAATACTACTTGCTACCATACAACCACACCTAGTTACATACCCACAGACTCTTTAAAGCAACTACACAATAGGAACTGCGAAACCACCAGCTGACAACTTTACAATAGGAGCAACATCTCACATACCAACATTAAACTTGAACGTAAATGGTCTTAACCCCCTCCTTAAAAGGCAAAGTGTCAAGTTTGAATTTATTAAAAAAACAAGAATTATTCACCAGCTGCCTTCCAGAGACCCATTTCCCACATAATGACACACATAGAATCAAGGTAAGGGTTGAAGAGACATCTATCATGCGAATGTAAAATAAAAAAGAAGAGGAGTTGCTATCCTTATATCAGACAAAATGGATTTTAAACCAACACAATTAACAAAGGACAAAGAAGGACGCTACATAATGATAAGGGTTAAATCCAACATGATGACTTAACTATCATACATACAAATGCACTGAACATTAGAACAACCAGATTCATAAAATAAGTACTTCTAGACCTACAATAAGACTCACAGAACCACACAATAAGAGTGGGGACTTCAACACCTCACTGACAGCATTAGAGACATCATCAAAACAGAAAACTAAAAAAGAAATTCTAGACTTAAATTTTACACTCGACCAGGTGGACCTAATAGACATCTACAAATTACTTCACCCATAAACCACAGAATATCCATTCTTCTCATCTGCACATGGAATATTCTCTAAAATAGACCATATGCTTGGCTATAAAGCAAGTTTCAATAGCCTAAAAAATAAAAAAAAATACCAAACACACTTGCAAACCACATTGGAATAAAAATACAAATCAATACAAAAAATAAGATCTCTCAAAATCACACACTTAAAGATAAATTAAACGACATGCTCCTGGATCACATTTTGTAAACAATAAAATTAAATAAAAAATTTTAAAATCCTTTGGAATAAATAAAAACAGAGACACAACATACCAACATTTCTGGGATGCAGCAAAAGCAGTGTTTGGAGGAAAGTTTATGATGCTGAATGCCTACATCAAGAAGCTAGAAAAATCTCAAATTAACTATCTAACATCACACAGAGAGGAACTAGAAAAATAAGAACAAACTAATCCCAAAGCTAGCAGAAGAAAGGAAATAACAAAACTCAGAGGAGAACTGAATAGAACTGAGACAAACAAAAAATAGGTTCTTTGCAAGAATAAACAAGATCAATTGACCACTAGCTAGATTAAGAAAGCAAAAAGTATTTTATTCTCTTTGAAGCAATTGTGAATGGGAGTTCACTCATGATTTGGCTGTCTGTTATTGGTGTATAAGAATGCTTGTGATTTTTGTACATTGATTTTGTATGCTGAGACTTTGCTGAAGTTGCTTATCAGCTTAAGGAGATTTTGGGCTGAGACGATGGGGTTTTCTAGATATAAAATCATGTCATCTGCAAACAGGGGCAATTTGACTTCCTCTTTTCCTAATTGAATACCCTTTATTTCCTTCTCCTGCCTAATTGCCCTGGCCAGAAATTCCACACTATGTTGAATAGGAGTGGTGAGAGAGGACATCCCTGTCTTGTGCCAGTTTTCAAAGGGAATGCTTCCAGTTTTTGCCCATTCAGTATGATATTGGCTGTGGGTTTGTCATAGATAGCTCTTATTATTTTGAGATACGTCCCATCAATACCTAATTTATTGAGAGTTTTTAGCAGGAAGGGTTGTTGAATTTTGTCAAAGGCCTTTTCTGCATCTATTGAGATAATCATGTGGTTTTTGTCTTTGGTTCTGTTTATATGCTGGATTACATTTATTGATTTGCGTATACTGAACCAGCCTTGCATCCCAGGGATGAAGCCCACTTGATCATGGTGGATAAGCTTTTTGATGTGCTGCTGGATTCGGTTTGCCAGTATTTTATTGAGGATTTTTGTGTCAATGTTGATCAAGGATATTGGTTTAAATTCTCTTTTTTGGTTGTGTCTCTGCCCGGCTTTGGTATCAGGATGATGCTGGTCTCATAAAATGACTTAAGGAGGATTCCCTCTCTTTCTATTGATTGGAATAGTTTCAGAAGGAATGGTACCAGTTCCTCCTTGTACTTCTGGTAGAATTCGGCTGTGAATCTATCTGGTCCTGGACTGTTTTTGGTTGGTAAGCTATTGATTATTGCCATAATTTCAGCGCCTGTTATTGGTCTATTCAGAGAGTCAACTTCTTCCTGGTTTAGTCTTGGGAGGATGTATGTGTCGAGGAATTTATCCATTTCTTCTAGATTTTCTAGTTTATTTGTGTAGAGGTGTTTGTAGTATTCTCTGATGGTAGTTTGTATTTCTGTGGGATTGGTGGTGATATCCCCTTTATCATTTTTTATTGTGTCTATTTGATTCTTCTCTCTTTTCTTCTTTATTAGTCTTGCTAGCAGTCTATCAATTTTGTTGATCCTTTCAAAAAACCAGCTCCTGGATTCATTAATTTTTTGAAGGGTTTTTTGTGTCTCTATTTCCTTCAGTTCTGCTCTGATTTTAGTTATGGAATCCAACTTACAAGGGACGTGAAGGACCTCTTCAAGGAGAACTACAAACCACTGCTCAAGGAAATAAAAGAGGATACAAACAAATGGAAGAACATTCCATGCTCATGGGTAGGAAGAATCAATATCATGAAAATGGCCATGCTGCCCAAGGTAATTTATAGATTCAATGCCATCCCCATCAAGCTACCAATGACTTTCTTCACAGAATTGGAAAAAACTACTTTAAAGTTCATATGGAACCAAAAAAGAGCCCGTATCGCCAAGTCAAGCCTTAGCCAAAAGAACAAAGCTGGAGGCATCACACTACCTGACTTCAAACTATACTACAAGGCTACAGTAACCAAAACAGCATGGTACTGGTACCAAAACAGAGATATAGATCAATGGAACAGAACAGAGCCCTCAGAAATAACGCCGCATATCTACAACTATCTGATCTTCGACAAACCTGAGAAAAACAAGCAATGGGGAAAGGATTCCCTATTTAATAAATGGTGCTGGGAAAACTGGCTAGCCATATGTAGAGAGCTGAAACTGGATCCCTTCCTTACACCTTATACAAAAATTCATTCAAGATGGATTAAAGACTTAAATGTTAGACCTAAAACCATAAAAACCCTAGAAGAAAACCTAGGCCTTACCATTCAGGACATAGGCATGGGCAAGGACTTCATGTCTGAAACACCAAAAGCAATGGCAACAAAAGCCAAAATTGACAAATGGGATCTAATGAAACTAAAGAGCTTCTGCACAGCCAAAGAAACTACCATCAGAGTGAACAGGCAACCTACAAAATGGGAGAAAATTTTCACAACCTACTCATCTGACAAAGGGCTAATATCCAGAATCTACAAAGAACTCAAACAAATTTACAAGATAAAAACAAACAACCCCATCAAAAAGTGGGCAAAGGACACGAACAGACACTTCTCAAAAGAAGACATTTATGCAGCCAAAAAACACATGAAAAAATGCTCACCATCACGGGCCATCAGAGAAATGCAAATCAAAACCGCAATGAGATACCATCTCACACCAGTTCGAATGGCGATCATTACAAAGTCAGGAAACAACAGGTGCTGGAGAGGATGTGGAGAAATAGGAACACTTTTACACTGTTGGTGGGAATGTAAACTACTTCAACCATTGTGGAAGTCAGTGTGGCAATTCCTCAGGGATCTAGAACTAGAAATACCATTTGACCCAGCCATCCCATTACTGGGTATATACCCAAAGGACTATAAATCATGCTGCTATAAAGACACATGCACACGTATGTTTATTGTGGCACTATTCACAATAGCAAAGACTTGGAACCAACCCAAATGTCCAACAATGATAGACTGGATTAAGAAAATGTGGCACATATACACCATGGAATACTACGCAGCCATAAAAAATGATGAGTTCATGTCCTTTGTAGGGACACGGATGAAATTGGAGATCATCATTCTCAGTAAACTATCGCAAGGACAAAAAGCCAAACACCGCATATTCTCACTCATAGGTGGGAATTGAACAATGAGAACACACGGACACAGGAAGGGGAACATAACACTCTGGGGACTGTTGTGGGGTGGGGGGAGGGGGGAGGGATAGCTTTAGGAGATATACCTAATGCTAAATGAGGAGGTAATTGGTACAGCACACCAGCATGGCACATATATACATATGTAAGTAACCTGCATATTGTGCACATGTACCCTAAAACTTAAAGTATAATAATAATGAAATTAAAAAAAATAAAGATGTTTTGGGGAAAATTAAAAAAAAGAAAGAAAAAAGTGAGAAGATACAAATAAGCACAAGCAGAAATGGCAAAGGTGATATTACAACTGATCCCACAGAAAAACAAAAGATCCTCAGAGACTACAATGAGCACCTCTGTGTAAACAAATTAGAAAACCTAGAGAAAGTGGATACATTTTTGGAAACACACAACCTCCCAGCACTGAGTAAGGAAGAAATTGAAACCATGAAGAGACCAATATCGAGTTCCAAGATTGAATCAGTAATACAAAACCTACCAAGCAAAAAGAGCCCTGGACCAGATGATTTTACAGTTCAATTCTGCCTGACATAAAAAGAGCTTCCATTACCAATCCTATTTAAACCATTACACACAAAAAAATGGAGATAGATGAAATCCTCTATAACATATTCTATGAACCCAGTATCACTCTGATAACATAATCTGTCAAAGACACAACAAAAAAAGAGAAAACTGCAGGCTGATATCCCTGGTAAACATAGATGTAAAAATACTTAACAAAATACCAGCAAATCCAATCTAGCAGCACATGACAAAGTCAATTTACCACGACCAAGTAGACTTATATGCTATGAGAGCAGTATTACCCTGATACCCAAACCAGACAAAGACACATTAAAAAAAGAAAGCTACAGGTCAATATACCTGATGAATATTGATGCATAAATCCTCAACAAAATACTAGCAAACTGAATTCAACATTACATTCAAAAGATCATCCATCATGACCAAGTGGGATTTATCTCTTGGATGCACGGGTGGTTCAGCATATGCAAATCAATCAATATGATACATCATATCAACATAATAAAGGATAAGATCCATATGATCATTCCACTTGATGCTGAAAAATAATTTGATTAAATTCAATATCGCGGCCGGGCGCGGTGGCTCACGCCTGTAATCCCAGCACTTTGGGAGGCCGAGACGGGCGGATCACGAGGTCAGGAGATCGAGACCATCCCGGCTAAAACGGTGAAACCCCGTCTCTACTAAAAATACAAAAAATTAGCCGGGCGTAGTGGCGAGCGCCTGTAGTCCCAGCTACTTGGGAGGCTGAGGCAGGGGAATGGCGTGAACCCGGGAGGCGGAGCTTGCAGTGAGCCGAGATCCCGCCACTGCACTCCAGCCTGGGCGACAGAGCGAGACTCCGTCTCAAAAAAAAAAAAAAAAAAAAAAAATTCAATATCGCTTCAAGGTAAAAACCCTTAGAAAACTGTGGATAGAAGGAACATACCACAACATAATAAAAGCCATATATGGCAGACCCACAGCTAGTATCACCCTGAATGGGGAAAAGCTGGAAGCCTTTTCTCTAAGATCTTGAAGTCGACAAGGATGTCCACTATCACCACTGTTATTCAACATAGTACTAGCACTCTTAGCTAGAGCAATTGGACAACAGAAAGATATAAATGGCATCCAAATTGGCAATAAGAAAGTCAAATTATTTTTGCTTACAGGTGATATAATCTTATATTTGAAAAAACCTAAAAGACCACATAAGGAATCTATTAGAACTAATAACAAATTCAGTAAAGTTGCAGGATACAAAATTGATATACAAAAAATCATAACATTTCTATATGTCAACAGAGAACAACGTGAAAAAGAATTCAAAAAAGTAATTCCATTACAATAGCCAAACATACATTTAAATACCTAGGAATTAACCAAACAAGGGAAAGATGTATGTAATAAAATCTATAAAACACTGATAAAAGAAACTTAAGGGGACACCAAAAAATGGAAAAATATCCCAAGTTCATGGATTGCAAGAATCAATATTGTGAAGATGTCCATACAACCCAAAGGAATCTACAGATTCAAAGCAATTTCTATCAAAATACCAATGACATTCTTCACAAATATAGAGATAACTATCCTAAAATTCATATGGAACTACAAGAGACATAGAATAGGCAAACCTATTCTAATCAAAAAGAAAAAAATCTGGAGGAATTTCATTACCTGACTTCAAATTATACTATAGAGCTATAGTAACCAAAAGAGTATGGTACTGGCATAAAAACAGACACACAGAGCAACAGGACAAAATAGAGAACCTACAAACAAATGCACAAACCTACAGTTAACTTAGTTTAGGCAAATGCCAAGAACATACACTAGGGAAAAGACAGCCTTTTCAATAAATAGTGATGGAAAAATGAGATATCCATATATGGAAGAATGAAACTAGACCAGTATCTCTCACCATATACAAACATCACATCAAAATGGATAAAAGACTTAAATCTAAGACCTCAAATTATGAAGCTACTACAAGAAAACATTGGGAAAACTCTCCAGGACGTTGGTCTGGGCAACAATTTCTTGAGTAATATTCCATAAGTACAGGCAACCAAAGCAAAAATAGACAAATGGGATTATGTCAAGTTAGAAAACTTCTGCACAGCAAAGGAAACAATCAGCAAAGTGAAGAGAAAACCCCTAGAATGGTAAAAAAATATTTGCAAACTCCCCATCTGACAAGGGTTTAATAGCCAGGATATATAAGGAGCTCAAACAACTCTATAGAAAAAAATCTAATAATTCAACCAAAAAACAAGCCAAAGATTTGAATAGACATTTCTCAAAAGAAGGCATACAAAAGGCAAACAGGCATGTGAAAAGTTGTTCAACATCATTGATCATCAGGGCAATGCAAGTCAAAATTACAATGAGATCTAACGTCATCCCAGTTAAAATGGCTTGTATCCAGAAGACAGGTAATAACAAATGCTCACACAGATGTTGAGAAAAAGGAACCCTTGTACACTGTTGGTGGGAATGTAAGTTAGTACAACCACTGTGAAAAACAGTTTGGAGGTTCTTCAGAAAAACTAAAAATTAAGGTACCATATGATCCAGCAAACCCACTACTGGGTACATAACCCCTCAAAAAGGAAATCAGTATATTGGTAAGATATGTGCACTCCTACGTCTATTGCGGCCCTGTTTACAATAGCTTAGATTGGACGTAAACTAAGTGTCCATCAACAGATAAATAAAGAAAATGTGGTACATATACACAGTCAAATACTATTTAGCTATAAAAGAGAATTAGATACAGTCATTTTCAACTATATGGATGGAATTGGAGACCATTGTGTTAAGTGAAATAAGCCAGGCACAGAAAGACAAACATTGTATGTTTTCACTCACTTGTGGAATCTAAAAATCAAAACAATTGAACTCATGGATATAGCGAGTAGAAAGATGGTTAGCAAAAGCTAAGAAGTATACTGGAACAGTGGGAAAGGATGTGGGGATTGTTAATGGGTACAAAAAATAGAAAGAATGAATAAGACCTACTATTTGATAGCACAATAGAGTGACAAAAATCAATGATAACTTATTATTACTTTTAAAAATAACTTAGAGTATAATTGGATTGTTTGTAACACAAAGGATAAATGCTTGAGGGGATGGATACCCCATTCTCCCTAATGTGCTAATTTCACATTGCATGCCTTTATCAAAACATCTCATGTACCCCATAAATATGTACACCTGCTATGTATCCATAAAAATTAAAAATATATAAATAAATATAAATAAATCTTTAAAAGAAAGAAGATGTAAAAATGACAGTTATATTAAATGGTGCTCAACATCACTCATCATCAGAGAAATGCAAATGAATATTACAATGCAATGCCATCTAACCCCAGTTAAAAAGGCTTATATTCAAAAGACAGGCAATAACAAATGCTGGTGAGGATGTGGAGAAAGTGGAGCCCTTGTACATTGTTGGTGCTATTGTAAATTAATACAGCCAGAACAGAGAACAGTATGGAGGTTCCTCAAAATACTAAAAATAGAGCTAGCATATGATACATCAATCCTACTGCTGGGTGTACATTAAATGGAAAGAAACCAGTGTATCAAAGAGATATCTGCACTCCCGTGTTTGTTGCAGCACTGTCTACAATATCCAGGATTTGAAAGAAATCTAAGTGTCCATCAAACAGAAGAATGGATACAGAAAATATGGCACATACACACAATGGAGTACTATTCAGCTATAAAAAATAATAAGATCCTATCATTGGTAACAACATGGATGGAACTGGAGGCCATTATGTTATGTAAAATAAGCCATGCAAAGAAATACAAACATCACATGTTCTTACTTGTTTGTGGGATATAAAAATCAAAACAATTGAATTCATGGTGGTGGTAGAAATATGGTTGCCAAATACTGGGAAGAGTAATGGGAGGTTGGGGGGGAAGATGGAGATGGTTAACTGGTACAAAAATAATAGAACGAACAAATGATGATATGGTATGGCTTTGTCCCCACCCAAATCTCATCTTGAATTGTAGCTCCCCTGTTGTGGGAGGGACCCAGTGGAAGATAATTGAATCATTAGGGCAGTTTTCCCTATACCGCTCTCGTGAAAGTGAATAAGTGTGACGAGATCTGATGGTTTTATAAGGGGTATTCTTTTTTGCTCGGCTCTCATTTTCTCTCTTGTCTGCCATCACATAAGATGTGCCTTTCACTTTCCACTATGATTGTGAGGGCTCCCCAGCCATATGGAACTGTGAGTCCATTAAACACCTTTCACTTTATAAATTTCCCAGTTTCAGCTATGTGTTTATCAGCATTGTGAAAACAGACTAATACAAATGAAATCTAGTATTTGCTAGCACATCACGGTAACTATAGTCAATAATAATTTAATTGTATATTTTAAGATAACTAACATTATACAATTGAATTGTTTATAACACAAAGGATAAATGCTTGAGGGGATAGATACCCCATTTTTCATGGTGTAATTATTATGCATTGCATACTATATCAACACATATCATGTACCCCATAAATATATACACCTACTATATATGCACAACATTTAAATTTTTTAAAGTATAAAAATAAAATAAAATTTATATAAAAATCAATGGAATGAAAATAACTAAAACAATTTTGAAAATAAATTGATAGGACTGAGTATACAAAATTTCAAGATATTCGATAGCTATACTAATCAAGTCTGTGATATTGTGCAAGAGATATACACAGGCATTAATGAGGTAGAAAAAGGAACCTAGAAAGAAATGAACATATGTGCCCAACTAATTTTTTGCAATGACATAAAGCAATTCATTAGAGAAAAAAATGGTCTTTTCAACATATTTTCTTAGAACAACTGAACATACATACGCAAAAGATATATAGCTCCTCCCTTAAGTCTCACACCTTATACAAAAACTACCTCAAAATAAACCAGAAACTTAAATGTAAATCATAAAACTATAAAGCTTTTAGTGAAAAAGTAGGAGAAAAACTTCAGGATCTAGGGCTAGGCAAGGAATTCTTAGACTTGACACTGAAAATGTCCAAGAAAATTTTATGAATTGGACTTCATCAAAATTACAGACTTCTGCTCTTCCAAAAACCACTATAAGAGGGTGAAAATACAAGCTACACATTAGACAAAAATATCTGCATGCTGCATATCTGAAAAAAAAACTTGCATCTAGAATATATAAAGAATTCTTGAAGCTTAACATCAGAAAGTAAACAATATAGTTAGAGAATAGGCAAAATATATGAGAGACATTTTACTGAAGAGGCTATATATGTGGCATACAAGCGTATGGATCTATGTTCAACATCATTAGCCATTGGAGGAAATACGAATGAAGGCCACAAAGAGATGCAACTTAAAACACACTTACTAAAATGGCTAAAATATAAGAAATTGTAATAACATAAAATTCTGATGAGGATGCAGTGCACCTAGATAATTGATACATTGTTGGTAGTACTGTAAGATAGTACAGAAACTAAAATCAGTTTGGCAGTTTCTGAGGAAACTGTTCATGCAATTACCATATGACACAGCAATTGCACTCTTGGGCATTTATCTCAGAAAAATGGACACTTATGTTCACACGAAATCCTGTAGATGAATGTTGAGAGTAACTTTACTTGCAATTATCAAAAATTGAATCAGTGCAAATGCCCTTCAATAGGTTAATGGTTAAACTGTGTACCTCTACACCATGGAATGCTACTCAGCAATAAACAGGAATAAGCTTTTGATACCTGCAAGAACTTAAATGAAACTTAAGGGAATTATGCTTAGTGAAAAAGGCAACCACAAAATATTACATGTAATGTGATTCCATTTATGCAGCATTTTTGAAGTGACACAGTTACCGAAATCAAACAGAGCAAATGGTAATCACATATTACATATACAGGAACAAACATAAGATTTACAGCATACTTTTGTCTGAATCCATGTTAGTGTGATATTAGTGAATTCATATCTTTAAAGTATTGAAGGAAAAACCTGTCAATTCAATTCTCTCTATTTTTGTATATTTAGCAGCACACTTCTAAATAACCCATGGTCAAAGAGGAAGCATAAGATATGCTAAATACCCTTTGAATTAAATGAAAACAGAATCACAATATATCAAAATTTGTGGGACACAGCTAAGGTAGAGCTTGGGGGAAATTTTATAGAATTAAATGCTTACATTAGTAAAGAATAAGAAAAGTCTAAAATTAATAATTAAATATTTCCCCTTAAGTAACTAGGGGAAGTAGAACATTTGAGACACAAGGCATGTAGAATGAAGGAAAGCAAGAGCAATAAATAAGTAGTAAAAGTAAAAACAATAAAAGAGAAATCAACAAAATTTAAAATAAACAACAAGGAAAATCAATAAAATGAAACTGATTTTTCTGCAAGATGAAAAAAGAATACTTCTAGTTGGTCAAATGAAGACAAAATAAAGCACAAAGAAACACAAATTACCAATATAAGAAATAAAAGAGGAGACATCACTACACATACTTCTGAAATTTAAAGCATAAGTGAATATTTTAAAAATTCTATGTCAATAAATTTAATACATAAAATGGACCACAACTCTTGAAAATCAAAAATTAGCAAAATTTATTGAAAAAAATAGAGTAACCCAAACAAATATAATTAGTAAACAAATACAATTTTCAGTGAAAATATTTTGCACAGGGAAAATCCACGGCTAAAAATGTCTTCAGTGGCAATATATAATAAACATTTAAGGAGAACTAAAACCAATGCTACAAGTACTCTTCTAGAAAATAAAAGAGGAGAGAAATTTTCAAATAATTTTATGAGGCCCAAATTCCCATGACACCAAGTCAGACAGAGACATTACAAGAAGAGAAGATTAAAGACCAAACTCCTTCACGAACTTTGACAAATAATTCTGAAAAAAATATGTTAGTAAATCAAATCCAGCAACATATAAGAAGGATAATATATCATGACCAAGTGGGGTTTATTACATGAATACCAGGTTGTTTCAACATTGGAAAATTAATCAATGTAATTCAAAATATCAACAAGAAAAAATCAAAATTATATAAGATTTATCTCAATAGATGCAGAAAAAGCATTTGACAAAGTTAACATCTATTCAAAAATTCTCAACAAACTAGGAATATAAGGAAATTTTCTCAACCTGAGAAAAGGCATGTCTGTAATATATACAGTTAGCATCAGACTTCCTGGTGAAAGACTTAATATTTTCTTTATTGTATCGGAAACAAGGTAAGGATGTGTTCACTATCACCACTTGTATTCAACATAATATTGTAGGTCCTAGCCAGTGCAATCAGGTACAGAAAGTAAGTAAAAGGCAGCTAAATTGAAAAAGAAGAAATTAAACTGTAATTATTTTCAGATGACATGATTGTCTATTTATAAAGAAATAATAATCTTTCAAAAAATCTGTTATACCTGAGAAGCAAGTTTTTCACCATCACAGAATGCAAAGTCAATATATAAAAGTCAATTGAAATTTTATACTCCACCAGTGAACAACTGAAAATTTAAATGAAGAAAACGGTACCATTTATAATAGTATTGAGATATGAAATACTCATAAATAAGCCTAACAAAATGTAATGCTTGTGTGCTTAAAACTATAAAACATTTCTCCAGTGGGATTTGACGGCATGATATCTCACAGAAAGTTCTCCACTCCCAGACATGGGTCCCTCGGCTTCCTGCCTTGAAAGCACAATTGCAGGCATTGTGGGAAGGTGAAGAGTTTCCCTAAGGATGACCCTTCCAAGCTGGTCCACCTCACAGCCTTCTTGAGATACAAGGTTGGCATGACCCACATCGTGAGGGGAAGTCAATAGGCCAGGATCCAAGGTGAGTACGAAGGAGGTGGTAGAGGCTGTGGCCATTGTGGAGACAACCACCCATGGTGGTTGTGGGCATTGTGGGATATGGGGAAACCCTTCGAGGCATCTGGACTTTCAAGACCATCTTTGCTGAGCACATCAGCAGTGAGTGCAAAAGGCGTTTCTATAAGAACTGACATAAATCTAAGAAGAAGCCCTTTACCAAGTACTGCAAGAAACGGCAGAAAGAGGATGGCAAAAAGCAGGTGTAGAAGGACTTCAGCAGCATGAAGAAGTACTGCCAAGTCATCCGCGTCATTGCCCACACCCAGATACGCCTGCTTCCTCTGCACCAGAAAGCCCACCTGATGGAGATCTAGGTGAACAGAGGCACTGTGGCTGAGAAGCTGGACTGGGCCCAGAAGAGGCTCGAGCAGCAGGTACCTGTCAACCAAGTGTTTGGGCAAGATGAGATGATCAAAGTCATCGGGGTGACCAAGGGCAAAGGCTACAAAGGGGTCACCAGTTGTTGGCACACCACAAAGCTGCCCCACAAGACCCACCGAGGCTTATGCAAGGTGGCCTGTATTGGGGCATGGCATCTTGCCCATGTGGCCTTCTCTGTGTCACACGCTGGTCAGAAAGGCTACCATCATGGCACTGAGATCAACAAGAAGATCTATAAGATCGGCCAGGGCTACCCTATCATGGACGGCAAACTGATCAAGAACAATGCCTCCATTGACTATGACCTGTCTGACAAGAGCATCAACTCTCTGGGTGGCTTTGTCCACTGTGGCAAAGTGACCAATGACTTTGTCATGCTGAAAGGCTATGTGGTGGGAACCAAGAAGCAAGTGCTCACCCTCTGCAAGTCCTTGCTGGTCCAGACCAAATGGCAGGCTCTGGAGAAGACTGACCTTAAGTTCACTGACACCACCTCCAACTTTGGCCATTGCCACTTCCAGACCATGAAGAAGAAAGCATTCGTGAGACCACTCAAGAAAGACCAAATTGCAAAGGAAGAAGGTGCTTAATGCCAGGAACAGATTTTGCACTTGGTGGGGTCTCAATAAAAATTATTTTCCACTGAAAAAAATTAATAAATACAAATAAAACATTTCTGTGAGAAATCTAGAAAGATCTAAGTAAGAGGAGAGATATACAGTGATCATACATTACAAAACAATATATTAAGATATCAAATTTCCTGATAGGAATCAAGACATTCTCAGTCAAAATTCCATCAGGCTGTTTTATTTTCATAAAAGTTATCAAGCTAAATATAAATTTTATATGAAAAAATCAAAGAACCTGGAATTATGCAAACAACTTTAAGGAAAATAGAATTCAAGGTATTTTACTATTTAATTTTAAGGCTTACAAGTTTATAATTATCAAGTCCGTGTGGCATTGATAAAAGGACAGACATAGAGATTTATGGAACAAAATAGAGAATCCAGAAATAGACATGGATCTATATGTCCCATTGATTTCTTTGACAAACTGCCAATATAATTCACTGGGACAGGATAGTCTTTTGAAAAATGTTGCTGGGAAATGTATGGATCTCTATTAATAAATGAACCTTGAACCATACATCAAACCACATACAAAAATTAATTAAAAATATATCATAACGTAAATGTAAAACTATAAAACTTCTAAAAGCAAACCTAGGGGAAAATATTCCTGAATTTTGACTATCCAAAGATATAGTGACTATGCAAGAATACAAACCATGAAAGAAAAGTAAACAATAAATAAGACATAATTAAAATTGAAAACTGTAGTTCTTTAAAACACAATTTTACAAACATTAAAAAGCCACAAAGAGAAAATATTTGCCAAATACATATCTGATAAAAGACCTATACACAGAATTTAAAAAGAAAACTACAACTCAATATTGTATGTGGTAGCCCATTTGCATTGCAATAAAAGGAATACCTGAAGCAGGGTAATTTAGAAAGAAAAGGGGCTTCTTTGGCTCATGGTTTTGCAGGCTGTCCAAGAAGCATGGCACCAGTATGTACTTCTGGTGACGGCCTCAGGAAGCTTATGATCATGGTGAAAGGTGGAAGGGGAGCCAGCATGTCACATGGTGAGAGAGGGAGCAAGAGAGAGAGGAGAGGCGCCACACTCTTTGAAATGACCAGATCTCGTGTGAACACGGAGTGAAAACTCACTCATTTCCACAAAGGAGGGCACCAAGCAATTCCTGAGGAGAGATATGTCCCCATGACCCCTACTAGGCCCCATCTTCAACATTAGAGGTCACACTTTAGCATGAGATTTGTAAGGGACAAAACATGCAAACCATACACTGTAGTAATAAGAGAACAAAATTTATAGAGGCAAGATTTGAAAAGATACTTTATCAAAGAAGAGATACAGATTACAAATAAGCACATGAAAAGATGATCAACACCATTAGCCATTACGAAAATGTAAATTAAAACCACAGTAAGATACCATTACACACCTACTATACTATAAAACTACCTAGATTTTTAATGCAAATACAAGAAGGAAGAACAAATTTAACTTCCATGCGTTGCTGGTAGGAATGCAAAGTATGCAAAGATCTTAAAAAAGATTTTGGCATTTTCTTCAAAAAATGAACATACACTTATCATATGACCCAGCCAGCTGAATACTAGTAATTTATCCAAGAGAAATAAAAAGATGTGTCCACACAAAGAACTTCACACAAATGATCATAACAGCTTTATTAATAATAGCCAAAAACTGGAAAGTGTCCAAATGCTCATCAAATAGTGAATGGCTAAACAAACTGTGGTAGACTTACACAATGAAAACTATTTAGCAATAAAAAGACTGATGCACACAACATAGAATATTAAAAGCCCTATTTTTAGGGTAAGAAGCCAGACACAAATTGCATATATATGATTTCATTTATATCACATCCTAGAAAAGACAAAATTATAGAGACAGATATCAGATCAGTGCCAGAAGCTGGGAGTGGGACTCCTGATTTCATTCAAAATAAAAGCCAGTGTCCTTCCAATATGACATCCCCATTACCTCTCTGACCTTATCTCCTACTCCTCTCTCATTCACTTCACCTGAGCCCCACTGGCTTCCTGACTCTTTTTTTTTTTTTTTTTTTTTTTTTTAGATGGAGTCTTGCTCTGTTGCCAGGCTGGAGTGCAGTGGTGACGTCTTGACTCACTGCAACCTTCTGCCTCCTGGGTTCAAGGGATTCTCCTGCCTCAATCTCCCCAGTGCTGGGATTACATGCACCCACCACCATGCCCGGCTAATTTTTGTATTTTTAGTAGAGACAGAGTTTCAGCATGTTGGCCAAGATGGTATCGATCTCCTGATATTGTGATCCACCTCAGCCTCCCAAAGTGCTGGGATTACAGGCGTGAGCCACCGCACCCGGACCCTCCTGACTAGTTCTAAAACACACTAGGCACACTGTCATTTTAGGGCTTTTGGACTGGCTATTTTCTTTACCTTGAGCATTTTTCTTTGAATACCTGGATGGTTTACTCTCTCTTGAGCCTCAATTCTTTATTCAAATGACATCTTCTGAAGAAAGCCCACCCTGACAATCTTATTTAATACTGATTCTTCCTTTCCACACATTCTAGATAATTATCATCTTCTAACATATTAAATAACTTACTCATTTTGTTCATTTTTGTTTGCCTTCCCCACTAGAATATGAGCATTATAAGAGCAGAGATTTTTGCCTGATTTATCTACTGGTTTATTCCAATCAAATAGAAGAGTGGAAGCTTGGGGCATAGTAGGCCACAATATTTATTAAATGAATAAATGCTACATAAATGTAACTGAATAATTATACTAACTGTAAGATTAAATTTGCTTTCCTCTCTTTTCATGGCCTTGAATTTTTATTGTAATTTTAATCATAATTTAGTTATTAACTTATTGAGATAGGATAATAAAAATATGTAACATATGGCTGTTAATAATTAAATATATATGTTTCTAAACAAATATTTAGAAATATATATTTCTATGTAGACAGAAATTTGTGTGTGTGTGTATGTGTGTGAAGAAACTCAAATACATTTTGAGAAAGAGTCTAGGTCTGAGCAAATAACACAGAGTGAAAATGGTAAATTTTCCCTTTGGCTAAATCTGCCTCTTGGTTCACCTCATGCAAGCTTTCTTGACTATTCCATCCCTGCCACCCCCCGCACACACATACTGATTATACTCTTGCTCCTCCATATCTCTTGATCATTCTATTTCTAGTTTATTTGATTGCATAAGTTGTCTACTTCAGTGATTGCCAAGCCTGGATGATCATCAGAGTCATTGAAGAAGCCCTAAAAAATACAGATGCCTATTCACTCCAAACATACTGAGCAATGATCATTAGGAATAGAAACCTGGGATCTGTATTTTTGAGTAGCTTGTCTGCATGATTTGGATAATCACCCAGACTTAGGGTGAACTTAATTCTAAATGGTCTAAATGGTCACTGTCTAAAATGTTTAAATGGCTCCTCACATGACTCTACCACTAGATTCCAAGTGCCTAAGTTTTGTAATAAGTTTTCCCGTGTCTCCGAGAAGACTGATAGGATAATAGGAACTTAAAAAAAATGGATGCTTGATGATCAGGACTAGTTAATCTTGATTTTTATCACAATATATTTTAAATAGGCAAATAATTGTAATTCTAATTTTTGAACAACAGATTTAAGTAGTGCTAAAGGCCCAAAGAAACGATTAAACATCATGCACAAATATTCCACATAGAAATAACTAATGTTCACATAATGATGCATGGCCTTTCATTTTATTACTATACATATTTTTTTCTATTAAATTATAATCATATGTACATAATATCCTATTTTTCTCTAATAGCATTAATTGTTAGCATTTCCCCATTATGTTAAATATACAACCATTAAAACATGCTTTGGAGACTCATATTACATCCTGTAACTTTATTTTCACATTGTTTTAGTGCAAAGCATTTATATTGGGCAATGAATACTCTTATACATACACACATGGCCATAATATGTCTGTTATGAAACTAATGCTTTGCAAATTATTTCTTCATGTTTCTTATACGTTATACCAGTGGAATTTAAATTTTTTAATATTATTTGTATGGTTTTACATATTATGAAGATCAATGATTAAAAATATTTTTTTCACAAAATGCCAAATAACATTTTCATCTATATATTTTTTGAAATTCTGAATGTCTTTTATGTAATCAAATGTATTGATTTTCACTTTGTTGTTTCTTGTATGATTACAAACTCTTTCTCATTAGGCCTAAATTTACCTATATTTTCTTCCAAGTGTTATTAGCTTTTCTTACTATAGATGCTCCTTGACTAAAAATGGGATTATGACCTGATAAGCCTGTTGTAACTTGAAAGAATTGTTAAGTAAAAATGCATTTAATATACATAACCTACTAAACATTATAGCTTAGCTTAGTCTATCTTAAATGTGCTCAGAACTCTGACATTAGCCTATAGTTGGGCAAAAATATCTAACACAAAGTCTGTTTTACAATAAAGTTTTGAATATCTCTGTAATGTATTAAGTACTGTACTGAAAGTGAAAAACAGAATAGTTGTATGGCTTCTCAAAGTACAGTTTCTACTGAATGTGTACTACTTTTGCTCCACCTTGAAGTAAAAAAAAAATTGTAAGTAAAACCATCATAAGTCAGGGACCATCTGTATATACATCTCTCATTTTTAGGGAATTTATTTTATTGTATTCTGTGAGATGAAGGTGTAACAGCATTTTTTCAGAAAAATAACATATTGCCCCAATGTATTACCTAAGTGTCTCAGTGTCAGCATTATTTATAACATTTAAAACACAAAAATTGAAAACATAAAGTCACAGGGAATTTATCAATGGCAATTACAAATAACTACAGAATAAAAATAAGCATATACATACACTTTTTCAGCATTTTATGGGTACAAAAACATTATTTGACATAACTAAAAAATCAGGGTATTCATATGCTACAACTTCCATTATCCAAATATAAAGTGGAAGAAAACACATCAAAATTTTA
This sequence comes from Homo sapiens, assembly GCF_000001405.40. Lineage (NCBI taxonomy): Eukaryota > Metazoa > Chordata > Mammalia > Primates > Hominidae > Homo > Homo sapiens. Next base: position 122,544,493 of record NC_000023.11, read on the forward strand.
ACAATTATTATCTGTACATCATCGGGTTATGGGTTTCATTTTTTATGCTCTGTATTTTATAAAATACATTTGATAAGCACGCATTACTTAAACAGCTTTTAGGCATTTAAAAAATCAATTACCTAATAACAGTCCAAAGGAAATAAACCTGGGCAGAAACTCATGTGAAAAAGATTCTGGGAATGTTTGTTGATCACAAGATGATTATAAAACAATGATAAACATGAACTAGCTATCCAGGAATCTACATTAACAGAAATATAATGGCCAATTTACGGATAGCAATAGTCCCACACATTTCTATAATGGCTGGTCAACAAAAATTATGTGGTCTTTTGTTCTGAGTTCTGTATTTTGGAGAGAGCATTAAAAAAACTAGAAAACATTCAGAAAAGGTTTACCAGAGGAGCTAGGTTTCTATCTTTTAAAAAAACAATTAATTAACTGACTAATTAATTAATTGTTGCAAAAATGGCTAAACAAACCAAAAATAAAAATCAGGACAAGACTAAGAGGGAAATTCATCTTCAAATATTTGAAAATTGTCTTAGACAAGAATTAGTTTTCCATCACCCCAAAAGACAGGACTGAAACTAGTTGGAGAAGTAGATTTTACCACAGCAGTTCAGATACGAACAAGATGGTCACCTGTCAGGACCAGTATATAAAGATTTCTACTTTAAGTGGCAAGGTAGATTGGATGTCCCAACATGTTTATTTCAAACTTGAAACTCTCTGACTCTAGGATTATCTAATCACTTTCACTTAGGAAAACATACTTTTCTATAACATTTATTATCATCTGGACAGGATAAATACAAATTTGACTTACTTATTCTTATGGCTATAAGTCTATTTTAGGCTAAGAATTATAATATTCATAAGAAAAAAGTGTATATTAATATTATGAAAGTTTCCAAAAAACAAAAAATTAAGTTAGAAAATGTTTTTAAATTTCGTCATAATATGCTCTAGAGAGTCATTCAAGTAATCATATTTCGGTTAGCATAAAGAATATGTATTATGATGCTGTCCATATGATACTCATAATGCTTTAGACATGGCAGAAAATATGAATTATAACCAAAATTCACAGTACAGTAGCATCACCATGGTATCAAAGGCCAACATTGTTCTCATAATTCATAGCAAATATCATGATTTAAGAACTAAATGTCACACAAACTTTTTTATTATGATGAAAGATGTGTAATTATACTTCTTGAAAGATATTCAATCTAGTGACATTAGAGATTATAAAGCAAAACAAGGGTACTACCAATTATAACTTCAGTTATTTATCAAAATGACATAAAACTTTTGTGCTCATATCAGAACTGTGTCTGTTTTGTCAATGTGTAGCCCAGATGACAGGTTCATTTTGAGTCCTTTCATTTGAACTACCTATGAGTATCACTAAATATCAATGGATATTGGGGCAATCACAGAATTGTTGGATATAGCCAGGTCAGCCATTGTGAAAACAAGAGCTCTGATGTCCTGACTAGATGGACACATTTATTTATCTATTAATCATTAACTAAGTTTCTCATAATTGTCATCTAAACCTCAAAGGTGATAGAAAGATATATGTTATCCCTGCCATTAAGTTGTTTACAATTTAATCAACATTATAAGGTTTGTGCACAAATAAATAATTCAGGACACAAGGTGATAAACACCCTAAAAGAGGGGAAATTAAGATGTACTTGGAGTTCAAAGGAGATAAATATTGCTTTTGGATAGGGAGAATATGAACAAAATAGTATTTAAGTAAAGCCATAAACAAATATTTAGAATTTGGACTTGGAGGGATATTCGGACAAGAGAGTAAGATATTACAGGAAAGAGGTGATTGTAACAACAACAACAAAACTGCTGAGATGTAAAAAACATTGGGTAATCATGAGCAGTGCTGAATAAATAAAGTGAGTGATATGAGGTAATGTACTGACAGATAAGACTGGAAAGATAAGTTAGGAGCAGAGGAATATGGGGAGTGCATTGCTAAACAACTTAAAATTTGTTTGGTGTGGAGGAGTTTCTAAGGGTTGGGCAATTAGTGACTTTAGGATGCCTCACCTCTCAGAAATGTCTTCACTGTGTGCCTGACAGGAGGAGTATATGGGCACATCTTCTTTTTTTTTTTTTTTTTTTTTTACATTTCTCTCTATCCTTTTATTTGTTTTGTTTAGTTTATTATTATTATACTTTAAGTTTTAGGGTACATGTGCACAATGTGCAGGTTAGTTACATATGTATACATGTGCCATGCTGGTGCGCTGCACCCATTAACTCATCATTTAGCATTAGGTATATCTCCTAATGCTATCCCTCCCCCCTCCGCCCACCCCACAACAGTCCCCAGAGTGTGACGTTCCCCTTCCTGTTTCCATGTGTTCTCATTGTTCAGTTCCCATCTATGAGTGAGAACATGTGGTGTTTGGTTTTTTGTCCCTGTGATAGTTTACTGAGAATGATGATTTCCAATTTCATCCATGTCCCTACAAAGGACATGAACTCATCATTTTTTATGGCTGCATAGTATTCCATGGTGTATATGTGCCACATTTTCTTAATCCAGTCTATCATTGTTGGACATTTGGGTTGGTTCCAAGTCTTTGCTATTGTGAATAGTGCCACAATAAACATATGTGTGCATGTGTCTTTATAGCAGCATGATTTATAGTCCTTTGGGTATATACCCAGTAATGGGATGGCTGGGTCAAATGGTATTTCTAGTTCTAGATCCCTGAGGAATCGCCACACTGACTTCCACAAGGGTTGAACTAGCTTACAGTCCCACCAACAGTGTAAAAGTGTTCCTATTTCTCCACATCCTCTCCATCACCTGTTGTTTCCTGACTTTGTAATGATCGCCATTCGAACTGGTGTGAGATGGTATCTCATTGTGGTTTTGATTTGCATTTCTCTGATGGCCAGTGATGGTGAGCATTTTTTCATGTGTTTTTTGGCTGCATAAATGTCTTCTTTTGAGAAGTGTCTGTTCGTGTCCTTTGCCCACTTTTTGATGGGGTTGTTTGTTTTCTTCTTGTAAATTTGTTTGAGTTCATTGTAGATTCTGGATATTAGCTCTTTGTCAGATGAGTAGGTTGTGAAAATTTTCTCCCATTTTGTAGGTTGCCTGCTCATTCTGATGGTAGTTTCTTTGGCTGTGCAGAAGCTTTTTAGTTTCATTAGATCCCATTTGTCAATTTCGGCTTTTGTTGCCATTGCTTTTGGTGTTTTAGACATGAAGTCCTTGCCCATGCCTATGTCCTGAATGGTAATGACTAGGTTTTCTTCTAGGGTTTTTATGGTTTTAGGTCTAACATTTAAGTCTTTAATCCATCTTGAATGAATTTTTGTATAAGGTGTAAGGAAGGGATCCAGTTTCAGCTTTCTACATATGGCTAGCCAGTTTTCCCAGCACCATTTATTAAATAGGGAATCCTTTCCCCATTGCTTGTTTTTCTCAGGTTTGTCAAAGATCAGATAGTTGTAGATATGTGGCATTATTTCTGAGGGCTCTGTTCCGTTCCATTGATCTATATCTCTGTTTTGGTACTAGTAACATGCTGTTTTGGTTACTGTAGCCTTGTAGTATACTTTGAAGTCAGGTAGTGTGATGCCTCCGGCTTTGTTCTTTTGGCTTAGGATTGACTTGGTGATGCGGGCTCTTTTTTGGTTCCATATGAACTTTAAAGTAGTTTTTTCCAATTCTGTGAAGAAAGTCATTGGTAGCTTGATGGGGATGGCATTGAATCTATAAATTACCTTGGGCAGTATGGCCATTTTCACGATATTGATTCTTCCTACCCATGAGCATGGAATGTTCTTCCATTTGTTTGTATCCTCTTTTATTTCATTGAGCAGTGGTTTGTAGTTCTCCTTGAAGAGGTCCTTCACGTCCCTTGTAAGATGGATTCCTAGGTATTTTATTCTCTTTGAAGCAATTGTGAATGGGAGTTCACTCTTGATTTGGCTCTCTGTTTGTCTGTTATTGGTATATAAGAATGCTTGTGATTTTTGTACATTGATTTTGTATCCTGAAACTTTGCTGAAGTTGCTTATCAGCTTAAGGAGATTTTGGGCTGAGACGATGGGGTTTTCTAGATATACAATCATGTCATCTGCAAACAGGGACAATTTGACTTCCTCTTTTCCTAATTGAACACCCTTTATTTCCTTCTCCTGCATAATTGCCCTGGCCAGACAGCGGATCTCTCAGCAGAAACTCTACAAGCCAGAAGAGAGTGGGGGCCAATATTCAGCATTCTTAAAGAAAAGAATTTTCAACCCAGAATTTCATATCCAGCCAAACTAAGCTTCATAAGTGAAGGAGAAATAAAATACTTTACAGACAAGCAAATGCTGAGAGATTTTGTCACCACTAGGCCTACCCTAAAAGAGCTCCTGAAGGAAGCACTAAACATAGAAAGGAACAACCGGTACCAGCCACTGCAAAATCATGCCAAATTGTAAAGACCATCGAGGCTAGGAAGAAACTGCATCAAATAATGAGCAAAATAACCAGCTAACACAATAATGACAGGATCAAATTCACACTTAACAATATTAACTTTAAATGTAAATGGACTAAATGCTCCAATTAAAAGACACAGACTGGCAAATTCGATAAAGAGTCAAGACCCATCAGTGTGCTGTACCCAGGAAACCCATCTCACATGCAGAGACACACATAGGCTCAAAATAAAGGGATGGAGGAAGATCTACCAAGCAAATGGAAAACAAAAAAAGGCAGGGGTTGCAATCCTAGTCTCTGATAAAACAGACTTAAACCAACAAAGATCAAAAGAGACAAAGAAGGCCATTACATAATGGTAAAGGGATCAATTCAACAAGAAGAGCTAACTATCCTAAATATATATGCACCCAATACAGGAGCACCCAGATTCATAAAGCAAGTCCTGAGTGACCTACAAAGAGACTTAGATTCCCACACAATAATAATGGGAGACTTTAACACCCCACTGTCAACATTAGACAGATCAACGAGACAGAAAGTTAACATGGATACCCAGGAATTGAACTCAGCTCTGCACCAAGAGGACCTAATAGACATCTACAGAACTCTCCACCCCAAATCAACAGAATATACATTTTTTTCAGCACCACACCACACCAATTCCAAAACTGACCACATAGTTGGAAGTAAAGCTCTCCTCAGCAAATGTAAAAGAACAGAAATTATAACAAACTGTCTCTCAGACCACAGTGCAATCAAACTAGAACTCAGGATTAAGAAACTCACTCAAAACCGCTCAACTACAAGGAAACTGAACAACCTTCTCCTGAACGACTACTGGGTACATAACGAAATGAAGGCAGAAATAAAGATGTTCTTTGAAACTAACGAGAACAAAGACACAACATACCAGAATCTCTGGGACGCATTCAAAGCAGTGTGTAGAGGGAAATTTATAGCACTAAATGCCCACAAGAGAAAGCAGGAAAGATCCAAAATTGACACCCTAACATCACAATTAAAAGAACTAGAAAAGCAAGAGCAAAGACATTCAAAAGCTTGCAGAAGGCAAGAAATAACTAAAATCAAAGCAGAACTGAAGGAAATAGAGACAAAAAAAGCCTTCAAAAAATTAATGAATCCAGGAGCTGGTTTTTTGAAAGGATCAACAAAATTGATAGACCGCTAGCAAGACTAATAGAGAAGAAAAGGGAGAAGAATCAAATAGATGCAATCAAAAATGATAAAGGGGATATCACCACCAATCCCACAGAAATACAAACTACCATCAGAGAATATTACAAACACTTCTGTGCAAATAAACTAGAAAATCTAGAAGAAATGGATAAATTCCTCGACATATACACCCTCCCAAGACTAAACCAGGAAGAAGTTGACTCTCTGAATAGACCAATAACAGGCTCTGAAATTGTGGCAATAATCAATAGCTTACCAACCAAAAAGAGTTCAGGACCAGATGGATTCACAGCAGAATTCTACCAGAGGTACAAGGAGGAACTGGCACCATTCCTTCTGAAACTATTCCAATCAATAGAGAAAGAGGGAATCCTCCCTAACTCATTTTATGAGGCCAGCATCATCCTGATACCAAAGCCGGGCAGAGACACAACCAAAAAAGAGAATTTTAGACCAATATCCTTGAACATTGACTCAAAAATCCTCAGTAAAATACTGGCAAACTGAATCCAGCAGCACATCAAAAAGCTTATCCACCATGATCAAGTGGGCTTCATCCCTGGGATGCAAGCCTGGTTCAATATACGCAAATCAGTAAATGTAATCCAGCATATAAACAGAACCAAAGACAAAAACCACGATTATCTCAATAGATGCAGAAAAGGCCTTTGACAAAATTCAACAACCTTCATGCTAAAAACTCTCAATAAATTAGGTATTGATGGGACGTATCTCAAAATAATAAGAGCTATCTATGACAAACCCACAGCCAATATCATACTGAATGGGCAAAAACTGGAAGCATTCCCTTTGAAAACTGGCACAAGACAGGGATGCCCCCTCTCACCACTCCTATTCAACATAGTGTTGGAAGTTCTGGGTACATGTTCTTCTTTCATAGGCTCTGAAACACTTTATAGTTTTGATTTGTGAAAGAGCTCAGAGACTAACCAGAGTGTACCTAAAGATCTGTGCTGGAGATAAATCTAATTTGCTTATTTCTCTTCCAGACTCCAGCACTTTTACTGAGGTTGCCACATACAGTGATTATTGAGTAGGGGTTGGGGAAAAAAATAATACCAACATCAGATTAAATGTAATAGTCAGAAAATGAAATCTTCAGCCAAACTATATAATTTACCATACGGTTTTGAATAATGTTATTTGTCATATTATCCATGCACATTCTTCTTAATGGATATAAGTAACTGACAGTGCCTATATTTTGATCCAGGAGTGAATGTAAGACTATCAAACTCTACCTCAGTTACCACATATATAGTCAATTTTTGCATTTGACATATGATGATAAGGCTCCCCAACAGAAATGCTGGAACTGAGTTAGTAAAATATACATAGGCTATGACACATGATTCACAGAGATAACATAGGCAATAAATAATGGTAATGTAATTGCAAGACAAGAAGCAGGCTGCTTCCCTTTAATCAAAACATATTGAGCACTTAACTTGTTGCCTAGCATAATATTGTGGGGTACAGCAATAGAAGAGATCTTGATAAATTGATCATATAATTTATTATTGAAATGAGAACACTTTTGATTTAAAAAATTCACTATTAAATTATAATGGAATAGCAAGTGGTATAACCTGGCCATTATGAGAAAACTAAGATGTATAGACATTCTGGATTTAGAGGACATGGTCTGTATCTTGCTGGAGTCAGCATGTCAAAAACTCTTACTATACAAACTAGCATGCAAGATGGTATGAGTTGAAAAACAAATAAGACTTCAAAGAAGGAACTATAACAATCAATAAAATAATATTTGATATTTAAACAGATGAGAAACTATCGACAAGACATAAAGATCAAGATAAAGGTAGATGCTGGAAGAAGTTTAAATAAAAGTAAAAAGGTTGAAGTGAAGTGAGTGTGAGGGGGAGCCTGAAGAAGTGTGATGGACCAGAGTCTACACTTATTTTGGAATGAGTGTCTGAATAGTATTTTTAAAAAATGATTTAATTGACTCCCATTGGCTGTCCTTGAAAAGCAGTTTAAGAAGATAACACTTCTTACTTCCCCTGTAAGAAGTGATTTTCCTCTTATAAAGCCAATTCCAATTATGGATTTCATGCATGTCAGGCTCAATAGGCAGGGATATGATTACATCGGAAAGTGGTATGCAATGTGTGCACTTTAAAATTACTCAGAGAATAATAGTTTGCAATCTTTATGTAAATCAGTAAGGCTTTCTGCCTCTATCACTCCCTCCCAGCATTGCAGGAGAAGTGCAAACCTCAGCCCTTTGGAAAGAAAAGCGATGATGAAATATTAATAAAGATTACTGACAAAGTAAGCAGTATGAATCAGGTTGTATAGAGCCATGGAACCTAGATGTTGAACAAATTTATTCAGCAACAGGACAAGTTATTCAGATGTTTTAAAGCAGATGACATCATCTCTATAAACTGCAGGGAGCTTTTGAGAGTGTGGCAGCATTTTGATTTAGGGGGAGGGGAAATTTGAAAGACGGGAGTAATTTTATTAGGATTAAAAAGTAGGCAAAAAGGAAGGAAAATTTTAATGAAAATCTCTCTGCACTTCTGCAAAATAGCATGGAGGCCTTCATTTCCTCTCTAAAATAGTTACACTTTCCTCAGTCTTGTCTTTTTGACCATCGTGGCAATTGATTTAAGTTATACATGCTCCTCTGCAAAAGGCTACTGTGCTGAGGCTTTCAGATCATATGCACATGTGACTGTCCAAAGTGAAATTTGTTTACAAAAATCAAGTAATAGGACTTGGACATTTCCAATGGTAGGTGAAACAAGTAAGTCAGAAACAATTTTACCCATGTTAATGGGTTTTTATTTTAAAGACTTAGCTGGTAACACGCTTTTGGGGAAAGGTCAGAAGGGAAATACTGTCTCTTAATTATAGAATTAACACATGTCTCGCCCTTCCTAACATTCCTTCTCTAAACTCAAGGGTTATTTATCCCTGGGGCAAGGTGTGGTGGTGGGTCAAGGAGAGTGGGAGTGAGAGGTTACAATTCTATTCAAGTATCTGAGGGACTTAATGGTCAACAGGAATGTTCAAAGCAGCCACTGCATGTCATCTCTGGTAACCCCTCAAGCATTGCAAGAATAGGTCGTGAGTGGAACGTTGCTATGTGTGTACCTGCCATATTCAGGTTGTGCTGTTGGTACTTTCTTTCACTACCTCTGAGAAAGTCTTCTCATTATCATTATTCCAACTCCATCACAAAATAAATTGACCATGAGAGATACTTCACATGGATAAATTTCAACATTGAGAAGTAAAATGAGGCAGCCTACATTAATCAGGAGATATACCCATTTTATGCATGAGAAATTTCAGGCCTAGAGAGGCCTCCAGTGACTTGTTCCAGGTCAATAAATGAGATACCAAGGAAAGACAAAAAATAATCTCAAGGTCTCCTAAATCCTAGCTGAGTTCCTTTCTTTGAAAGCATACTGCTGACTTGAAAGCTTTAAAAACTCTCATGGTCTCCTTTGATAGATATTTTCCTATAGGCTAGGAAGGTAACTAAGGTCATTTTTATAAAGCAAAGGGAATTAAAGAAGAAGACTACAGCTATTTCTCTAAGATTATAGTTCAGTTATATCTCTGACAGTGAATAACTCATGAAATAAGAAACTCAGATGAGAACCCAGGGGTTAGAGTGAGGGCATCCTGACTTCAAATTATTCAAAGGAAGAAGAGAACTTCCATTATTATATTCAAAGGACTTTAGAGGCTTGTTGTGGTACTGCTGCATAGGACCAGTAGATTTTTTTTTTTTTTTTTTTTTTTTTTTAGACAGAGTCTCACTCTGTCACCAGGCTGGAGTGCAATGGCACGATCTTGGCTCACTGCAACCTCCGCCTCCCGGGTTCAAGTGATTCTCCTGCCTCAGCCTCCCGAGTAACTAGGACTACAGGTGTGCACCACCATACCCAGCTAATTTTTTTATTTTTAGTAGAGACGGGGTTTCTCTGTGTTGGTCAGGATGGTCTCAATCTCTTGACATTTTGATCCACCCACATCAACCTCCCAAAATGCTGAGATTACAGGCGTGAGCCACCGTGCCCGGCCAGGGCCAGTAGATTTTTAAAGCCAAAAGAATAGTCATTCTTCATGACTCTGAGGATTTAATGGGACATAGACCTGGGATACCAAGATACAAGCTGGGACTGCAAAAGACCAACTAAGCTTTGCTGTAAATCATTAACTGCTATTAGTAAATACATTAAATAGATATGCTTAAAATTTTTTCTTTTACATGTGGACCATGAGCCTTCCAGAGAACCTTTCATTCAGTTAACTAATAGCATGGGTCAGGATCCTGCTATGCTATGCAATTCATATACATTGGCAAAATTAAAGTGATGTTTTTCTTTTATTGGCAGGCACTAAAGACTAATGAACTATGGAGACTATTAGTTCAAACGAACTATGAAGAATGCCAACATAAGAAATTTAAATATGCCCATAATTAATAAATTTAATAATCATTTCCTTCTTGTTAAGGGTATTCAGTCAAATCTGTTGTTCACAAAATAAGATGGATGTGTGTGTGTGTGTGTGTGTGTGTGTGTATATACACAAACATAAAAACTAGTGTGAACACATACACCCACACAAATTCCAACATAAATAAGAATATCAGACTTCCAGCAACTTCAATGCTGAACTGAGAAATAAACAGATAAACCTAAGATTTTTCTCATAATACTCCCATGAACTAAAGTTCAAGTCTTTTATACCATAAAGTATTTTATCCCTTTTTCAGATTCGTATATTGATATATCCGTATCTATCTATATAAATATATATACACCATTTTATATACACTTACTTATCTCATTGATATGGTTTGGCTTTGTGTCCCCACCCAAATCTCATCTTGAATTTTATTCCCATAATTCCCACCTATTGTGGGAGTGGCCTGATAGGAGAGAATTGCATCATGGGAGTGGTTTTTCCCATACTGTTCTCATGGTAGTGAATAAGTCTCAAAAGATATGGTGGTTTTATCGGGGGTTTCTGCTTTTGCACCTTCCTCATTTTCTCTTTGCCTGCTGCCATCCATATAAGACATGATTTGCTCTTCCTTGCCTTCCACCATGATTGTGAGGCTTCCCCAGACATGCAGAACTCTAAGTCCAATTAAACCTCTTTCTTTTGTAAATTGCCAAGTCTTGGGTATTTCTTTATCAGCACTGTGAAAATGGACTAATACAGTAAATTGGTACCTGTAGAGTAGGGCATTGCTGAAAAGATACTGAAAAATGTGGAAGTGACTTTGGACCTGGGTAACAGGCAGAGGTTGGAACAGTTTGGAGGGCTCAGAAGAAGACAGGAAAATGTGGGAAACTTTGGAACTTCCTAGATATTTGTTGAATGGCTTTGCCCGAAATGCTGATAGCAATATGGACAATAAGGTCCAGGCTAAGGTGGTCTCAGATGGAGATGAGGAACTTATTGGGAACAGGAGCAAAGGTGGCCCTTGTTGTATTTTAGCAAAGAGACTGGCAGCGTTTTGCTCCTGTCCTAGAGATTTGTGGAACTGTGAACTTGAGAGAGATGATTTTAGGGTATCTGGCAGAAGAAATTTCTAAGCAGCAAAGCATTCAAGGGGTAACTTGGGCCCCAATAAAAGCATTCAATTTTAAAAGGGAAACAGAGCACAGAAGTTTGAAAAATTTGCAGCCTGACAATGTGATAGAAAAGAAAATTCTATTTTCTGAGGAGAAATTCAAGCCAGCTGCAGAAATTTGCATAAATAATGAGGAGCCAATGTTAATCCCCAAGACAATGGGGAAGGAGTCTCCAGGGCATGTCTGATGTCTTCACGGTGGCTCCTCCCATCATAGGCCTGGAGGCCTAGGAGAAAGAAGTGGTTTCATGGGCTGGGGCCAGGGTCCCAGAGCTGTATGCAGCCTAGGCACTTGGTTCCCTGAGCCCAGCCGCTCCAGCCATGGTCCAGTCCTGAAAGGGGCCAATGTAGAGCTCAGGCCATGGCTTCAGATGGTGCAAGCCTCCAGCCTTGGCAGCTTTCATGTAGTGTTGAGTCTGTGGGTGCACAGAAGTCAAGAATTGAGGTTTGGGAAACTCCACCTAGATTTCAGAAGTTTGCTGCAGGGATGGGGTCCTCATGGAGAACTTGTGCTAGGGCACTGTGGGAGTGAAATGTGGAGTCAGAGCCCCCACACAGAGTCCCTACTGGGGCACCACTTAATGGAGCTATGAGAAGAGGGCCTTTGTCCTCCAGACCCCAAAATTGTATATCCACTAACAGCTTGCACTGTGCACCTGGAAAAACTGCAGAAACTCAATGCCAGCCCATGAAAGCAGCTGGGAGGGAGGCTGTACCCCGCAAAGCCACAGGGGCAGAGCTGCCCAAGACTGTGGGAACCCACCTCTTGCATCATCATGACCTAGATGTGAGACATGGAGTCAAATGAGATCATTTTGGAGCCTCAAGATTTGACTGCCCCGCTGAATTTCAGACTTACACTGGCCCTGTTGCCCCTTTGTTTTGGCCAATTTCTTCCATTTGGAGTGGTTGTATTTATCAAATATCTGTACCCCCATTGTATCTAGGAAATAACTAGCTTGCATTTGATTTTACAGGCTCATAGGCAAAAGAGACTTGTCTTCTCTCAGATGAGACTTTGGACTGTGGACTTTTGAGTTAATGTTGAAATGAGTTAAGACTTTGGGGAACTTGGGAAGGCATGGTTGGCTTTGAAATATGAGGACATGAGATTTGGCAGGGGAGAGGGGCAGAATGATGTGGTTCAGCTCTGTATCCCCATCCAAATCTCATCTTGAGTTGTACTTCCATAATTCCCATGTGTTGTGGGAGGGACCTGATGGATAATTGAATAATGGGGGCGGTTTTCCCCATCCTGTTCTCATGGTACTGAATAAGTCTCACGAGACCTGCTGGTTTTATCAGGGATTTCTGCCTTTGTGTCTTCCTCATTCTCTCTTTGCCTGCTGCCACTCATGTAAGACGTGGCTTGCTCTTCCTTGCCTTCCACCATGATTGTGAGGCTTCCCCAGTCACGTGGAACTCTAAGTCTAATTAAACTTCTTTCTTTTGTAAATTGCCCAGTCTTGGGTGTGTCTTTATCAGCAGTATGAAAACAGACTAATACACTCATTCTCCAATCTACAGAAGATTAAAAGCTGCAAATTAAAAAGTAAACACAAGTAAAGAAAGTTGTCAAATCAGGTGACAGACTGCAATGAAAAATGACAGACATTCTTGTAGCAGACTGGAGGATGAAATCTCTATGACTATACCCAAGCAACTAAAAGCATTGTATTTTGGGCTATTTGGAGTATGGATGACATATTTTAATAAATACAAAGAGCACAATATGCTACATGGCCTGATATTTGATGGTCATATTGATCTCTTTTTGAGTCATGAAGCAAGATATTTTTATATTCTGTTAGATTTTGTTTATCATCTTGTACATAAATTTGTATAAACTATAATGGGTATCTTGCTGATTTTCTAAACATTTCAGCTCTTAAAAAGGCAAGTTTTAGTTTTCTGGAAAGCTAACATTTTTAGAATACCTCTTTCCTTGATGATGCTGGATTAAAAGTAAATTACCATGTGTATATGTGTATGTGGGAAGAAATGTGGGAAGAAATGTGGAGTCTGAGTACACGGAAAGAATTTTAATGTGGACATCAACATATACAGAAGCAGAGCCCCTCCTAGGGTGTGTGTAGGGGGGTCTAGACTGAGGCCTCTGACTGTATAAACAACTTAATTTTAAAACCATATAAAATTAATGGGCTCATATGAAGTATAGTGGTTAATTGATGAAGATTTAGAATATTGGGCAGATCAAGATGATTTAGAACAATGGATACAGAAGAGTTACTTTTGCATTGGTTAAGGCAAAAAGTGTATGTGAAGATTCTTCATAGTGTTCAGGCACTGTCTCTTTCTGTTAAGGTCCAGAAATTATATCTTTGAGTGTTTTATTGTCAAATGTGTTATTTCTGACTAATTTCATATCTCTCACTAGGATAAAAAATAGCAATACCATTATTATTCATAATACTATGATTCTTCATGACCAGTTTATTTTAAAATAATGTACATCTTCCTGCTCCTGCAGTTCTCTAATGCCGTTTATTTAATGTTGGTTACACTATCACTCATGGTACTACCTCATCCATTCTACCCCTACCCCTTGTGAATACTGACTTCCAGTGCCTTTCTTAAAAGTTTATTACTATTCTTTGTTGATGATGATCACAAATGTACGTCTCATCCAGTGTATGCAGAAAAATGTGAGCAATAGTTTGTTTTATGGTCATGCTAAATGTATCAATCAGAATTTTATGATATAAAGACACATCTTCCAATAATGTCTCCTTTTGAACTCTTTAGACCATAATCAATACATTTATAGAATATAATCTTTTTCAATGTTGATAGCATCCCTGTATTTTACACATAGCTATCAGCAGGGAGGATAGACAAGGGACCCACAGGAAGAGTAAGAACAATGGTTCCATTTTCTCAAGAAATGCCCATCCTTCATCCAGCACAGCTTATGACCAACCTGAGAGAGTGTTATATTTTAACATCAGTAGAAAGCAAGAGAGGTCATTGTGGGGTAGTGGCCTCAATAGCCTACAGAGGAGACAGGTGCAGCAGCCACCTCCAGAGGACTGCCTAACACATGACACAAAGCCTATGGAGGACATAGGATGGCCATACTGGGTGCTAGCAGCATACAGCACACAGGGTAAATGTTCACACATGCAGATAAAGACCAAGTGGAAATGAGGGATCATCAGTTCTCAGAAAACTGAACTAATCCTGTGTCCATTTTGAAAGTCACCCCAAATCAGTATGTCGGCATTATTTGGGCTGTCAAATATCACACAATCTTGTGAAAGAAATACAGTGCTTGAGCTGAAATGCAGCCACTGTGCCCCAATATGATTCCATTGATAGGAAGCTTGAAGCATCCCAGGGTGTATTGTAAACTCCATATGCAGGGTAGTGGGTCTGAGAATAAATTAAAGGTGAGAAATTGGGATGGGGGCCCACTTGAGTCCCATTCAGACTCAAAACAAGTTGCTCAAACATCAGTATCAACCTTGGCCAGAACCAGGTACCAGAGAAGGATTTAGACAAATTTGAGGGAGAGACTTCAGGTCAGTGATACTCATAACATTCTGGAGTGCACTTCCCAAAAGGCTCTGTTGTCCCTGCCCTGTCCCAGTCACTGGAGGGTTACTTTATAAGCTTGAGGAGGAGGCTGGTCAAGATGGCCAACTAGAAGCAGCTACTGTGCACCATTCTCACAGAGAGAAATAGAAGCAGCAATTAATATACCACCTACAACTGAAACATCGAGGTATGTACATTGAGATTCATTAAAAGAAAAAAAAAAAAAGGCCTCAACCCATAGAGAACAGAGAAAAGCAAGGCAGGATGACCATCCACCTAGGAGTGACACAGAGCCAGGGGAGCATCACCCACCCAGGGAAGTGGTCCCAGGACTCACTTCTCACTGGGCAGGGCCACCCAACCTGGGCAGCACAACAACCCTGCCCTTGCCTGACTACTTCAATCGGAGGCAGCCCAGCAGAAAACAAAACAAAACAACAACAACAAACAAATAAAAAAACATGCAGACATAAGAAAAAAAACAATGCAAGAACTGCAGCAACTCAAATGGCCAGAGTGTCTTATGTCCTCCAAATGACTGCATTAGTTCTCCAGTAAGGGTACTTAACCAGCTCAGTTGGCTGAAATGACAGAAATAGAATTCAGAATATGGATAGAAACAAAGATCATCGAGAGTCAAAAGAACAGCAAAACCGAATCACAATAAAATGACACAGGAGCTGACAAAATAGCCACAATAAAAAAGAACCTAACTGATTTGATAGAGCTGAAAAACACACTACAAGAAATTCACAATGCAATCACAAGTATAAGCAGAATAGATCAAGCTGAGAAAAGAATTTTGGAACTTGAAGGCTGGCTCTTTGAAATAAGAGAGTCGGACAAAAATAAAGAAAAAACAACGAAAAAAAAACTCTGGAAAATATGGAATTATATAAAGAGACCAAATCTATGAATTATTCACATCTCTGGAAGGGATAGGAAGGAAAAAAAAACTTGGAAAACATATTTTAGGATATTTGCCCATGAAAACTTCCCCATCCTCACCAGGGAGGCCAATAGTCAAATTGAGGAAATACAGAGAACTCCTGCAAGATTCTACACAAGAAGATCATCCCTGCGATATATAATCATCAGATTTTCCAAGGCTGAAGTGAAGGAAAGAATAAAAAAGGCAGCTAGAGAGAAAGGGCAAGTCACCTACAAAGGGAATCCATAACACTAACAGCAGACCTCTTAGTCAAAAGAGATTGGGGGCCTATATTCAATATTCTTAAAGAAAATACTCTTGAACCAAGAATTTCATATTTAGCCTAACTAAGCTTCCTCAATGAAGGAGAAATAAGATCCTTTTCAGATAAGCAAATGCTGAGTGATTTCTTTACCACCAGACCCACCTTACAAGAGATCTTGAAGGAAGCACTAAATATGGAAAGGAAAGACCATTACCAGCCAATACAAACATACACTTAAGTACATTGACCAGTGACACTATAAAGCAACCACACAAACAAGCTGGCAAAATAACCAGATAACAACCCAATGACAGGATCAAATCCACACATATCAATACTAACCTTGAATATAAACAGGCTAAATGCCCCATTTAAAAGGCACAGAGTAGCAAACTGGACAACAAAGCAAGACTTAGTGGCCTGATGTCTTCCAGAGACCAATCTCACATGCAAGGACAATCATAGGCTCAAAATATAGGGAGTGAGAAGAATTTACCAAGCAAATGGAAATCAGAAAAGAAACAGGGATTGCAATCCAAATTTCACACAAAACAGACTCTAATCCAACAAAGGTCAAAGAAGACAAAGAAGGGTATTATATAATGGCAAAGGGTTCAGTTCCACCAGAAGAGGTAAGCTATCCTAAATATATATGCACCCAACCCAGGAGCACCTAGATTCATAAAACAAGTTCTTGGAGACCCACAAAGAGACTTAGATGGACACACAATAGTGAGAAACTTCAACACTCCACTGAGAGTGAGGCAGAAAATTAACAAAGATATTCAGGACCTGAACTCAACATTGAACCAAATGGATCTGATAGACCTCTATAGAACTCTCCACCTGAAAACAATAGAATATACATTCTTCTCCACTGAGCATGGCACATACTCCAAAATAGACCACAAAATCAGACATAACCTAATACTTTAAAAATGCAAAAGAATTGAAATTATACCAAACACACTTTCAGACCACATCAGAGTAAAAGTAGAAATCAACACTAAAAAATCATCCAAAACCATGCACTTACTTGGAAATTAAACAACCTGCTCCTGAATGACTTTTGGAGGAGCAATGAAATTAAGGCAAGAATCAAGAAATTCTGGAAAACTAATGAGAACAAAGATACAACATAAAATTTCTGGGACAGAGCTAAGGTAGTGTTAAGATAAAAATTTATGATGTTCAAATCCAACTTTCTTCATTTGCTGTTTACTGATCATTCAGTTGGAAATGATCAGACTTCACATCCATAATATTAGTTATATTGCTTGGATTTTATCATTTACTCTATAGTATTGTTACCTTCTCAGTTATACAATTTTTGTCATTAAAATATATGGTGAAAACTCTGACAGTCAAATTAATTTCTTATACTTTATATCTGTTTCTTTACTTAGAAAAGTTGCTTAATAATAAAAGCTTAGCCAGGCACAGTGGCTCATGCCTGTAATTCCAGCACTTTGGGAGGCCAAGAGGGGTGGATTACCTGAGGTCAGGAGTTTGAGACCAGCCTGGGCAACATGGTGAAACCCCATCTCTACTAAAAATACAAAAATTAGCCAGGTGTGGTAGTGTGCATCTGTAATCCCAGCTTCTCAGGAGGTGGAGGCATGAGAATCACTTTAACCTGGGAGGTGGAGGTTGCAGTAGTCTGAGATTGCACCACTGCACTCCAGCCTGGGCAACAGAGCGAGACTCTGTCTCAAATAATAATAATAATAACTTAATATTAATTTGCTCCCAAAACATTTATAGTACTAACTGCCCATGTCAAAAGTTTAGAAATATATCAAATTAACAACTTAACCTCACAACTAAAAGAACTAGAGAAACTAGAACAAACCAGCCCCTAAGCTAGCAGAAGACAAGAAATAATGAAAATAAGAGCCGAACTGAAGATTGAGACCAAAAATGTATTCACAATATCAATGAAAAAAGGAGTTTGTCTTTGTAAAAATTTATAAGATAGGTCACTAGGTAGACAAAGAAAAGAGAGACGATTCAAGTAAATAAAATAAGAAACAATAAAGGGGATTTTATTACTGTCACCGCAGAAATACAAAATACCATCAGAGACTACTATGAACAGCTGAATGAACAAAAACTAGAAAACCTAGAAGAGATGGATAAAATTCCTGGACACATAAACCCTCCCAAGACTGAAAAAAGAATAAATTTAATTCCTAAGCAGACCAAAACAAGCTCCATAATTGAATCAGTAATAGGCTATCAATCAAAAAAGCTCAGGACCAGATAGATTCACAGCATAATTCTACCACATGTACTAAAAAGTGCTGGTACCATTTCTTACTGAAACTATTCTAAAAATTTGAGGAGGAGGAGCTCCTTTCGAATGCATTCTATGAGGCCAGTGTCATCTTGATACCAAAACCTGGCAGAGACAAAACAAAAAAAGAAAACTTCAGATCAATATCCTAGATGAAACATTGACACAAAAATTCTCATCAAAATACTTGCAAACCAAATCAAGCAGCACATTTAAAAAGCCTAATCCATCACAATAAAGTAGGCCTTATCTCTGCAATGCAAGGTTGGTTCAACATATGCAAATCAAAAAATGTCATTCATCACATAAACAGAACTAAAGACAAAAACCACATGATTATCTCAATAGATGCAGAAAAAGCTTTCAGTATAATCCAATATCCTGTTATGTTAAAAACTCTCAATAAACTAAGTTTTGAAGGAACATACCTCAAAATATTAAGAACAATCTATGACACACCCACAGCCAACATTATACTAAATGGGCAAAATCTGAAGCATTCACTTTGAAAACTGGCACAAGATACACATGTCCTCTCTCACCACTCCTATTTAACATAGTATTGGAAGTTCTGGCCAGAGCAATCATGCAAGAGAAAGAAATAAAAGGCATCCAAATAGGAAGACAGGAGGTCAAACTATCCCTGTTGGCAGACGACATGATGCTATATCCAGAAAACGACATAGTCTTGGCCCAAAAGCTCCTTTAGCTGATAAGCAACTTCAGCAAATTATCAGGATAAAAATCAATGTATAGAAATCACCAGCATTCCTAGACACCAACAACAGCCAAGCCAACAGCTAAATCAGCACTAAAACCCCATTCACAATTGCCACAAAAAGAATAAAATACATAGAAAAACAACTCACCGGGGAGGTTAAAGATCTCCACAATGAAAATTAAAAAACACTGCGTAAAGAAATCAGAGATGACACAAACAAATGGAAAACATTTTATGGTCATGGAGAGGAAAAATCAATATTAGTAAAATGGCCATACTGCTCAAAGCAATTTATAGATACAATGCTATTCCCATCAAACTACCAATGACATTCTTTCCAGAACTAGAAAAAAACTATTTTAAAATTCATATGGAACCAAACAGAACCAAAAAAAAACAGCCCGGCTGGCCAAAGCAATCCTTTGCAAAAAGAACAAAGCTGGAGGCATTATGATGCTCGACTTCAAACTGTACTACAGGGCTACAGTAAACAAAACAGCTTGGTACTGGTATAAAAACAGACACATCCACATATATAATAAAGGCCCCAGAAATATGACTGAACACCTAAAACCATCTGATGTTTGACAAAGCTGCCAAGAACAAATGATGAAAAAAGGATTCCCTATTCAATAAATGGTTCTGGGATAACTGGCTAGCCAAATGAAGAAGACTGAAACTAGACCCCTCTCTACACCACATGCAAAAATCAACTCAAGATCCATTAAAGACTTAAATGTAAAACACAAAACTATAAAAACTCTGGAAGACAATCTAGACAATACCATTCTGGACATAGGAACAGGCAAAGATTTCATGACAAAGAGGCCAAAACCAATGGCAACGAAAGCAAAAATTGACAAATGGAACCTAATTGAACTATAGCTTGTACACAGCAAAAGAAACTATCAGCAGAGTAAACATACAAACTACAGAATGGGAGAAAATATTTGCATCTATGTATCTAGCACCTATAGGAAACAAACAAATTTACAAGCAAAGAACAAGCAACCCTGTTAAAAAGTGGGCAAAGGACATGAACAGACACTTTATGAAAGAAGACATACATGTGGGCAACACACATATGAAGAAAAAGTCAATATAACTGATCATTAGAGACAGGAAAATCAAAACCACAATGAGATACCATCTCACACCAGTCAGAATGGCTATTACTAAAACGTCAAAAAATAACAGATGCTGGCAAGATCCTGAAGAAAAGGAAACATGTGTACGCTGTTGGTGGGAGTGCAAAATTAGTTGAACCATAGTGTAAAGCAGTGTGACAAGTCCTCAAAGAGCTAAAAATATAACTACCATTCAACCTAGCAATCCTACTACTGGGTATATGCCCAAAGGAATATGAATTTTTCTACCATAAAGACACATGCATATGCATGTTCATTGCAGCATCATTCACAATAGCAAAGACATGGAATCAACCATAATGCCCATCAATGGCAGATTGTATAAAGCAAATGTGGAACATACACACCATGGAATACTATGAAGTCATTAAAAAAAATAAGATCAGTCCTTTGCAGAAACATGGATGGAGCTGGAGGCCATAATCCTTAGCAAACAAATGCAGGAACAGAAAACTAAATAGCATATGTTCTCACTTATAAGTGGAAGTTAAATGATGAGAACACATGGACACAAAGAAGGGAAGAACAAACATTGGGAGTCTACTTGAGGGAGGAAGGTGCGAGGAGGGAGAGGATCAGAAAAAATATCTATTTGGTACTAGGCTTGGTACTTGAGTGACAAAATAATCTGTACAACAAACCCTGTGACATGAGTTCGCCTATATAACAAACCTGCACATGTACTCCTAAAACTAACATAGAAGTTTAAAATAATAATTTAAAAATTTAAAAAGGAATTCATAATTTACTGATTATATCAAAATAATTAGCTGTCATAAAAATTGTGTTATTTAAAATAAAGCTTGAAAGAGTCAATCCAAAGTGCTGCATACCCTGAAGCATGGGGTATGGTCCAGGGGTCACCTTCCCTGAGTCTAAGGATGGTAATGTACAGAAGCATCCAAGAAAAAACAGGATGCAAAAAAAGACAATGAGCACCTTAGATTAAAAATCTAAAAAACATAGGTTTGGGCTCAAACTTTAAGATTTTCCTTAGAAAAATAAGATAAAATGTGTAGAGGTTAACTTGGAAGATAAGGAGTCCTGAAGAATGTAAATCGAAGGTACTAAAGCTTCAATTTTCTGGTTTTCCAAATGCCAATTATATATCTTTTATAACTATTCTATATAGCAATATGAGGATGTTGTAGATATCTGGGGTTTTTTTGTTTGTCCATTAACTTTTATTGTTAGGAAATATCCTCTTTAATTTTATGTGATTTCAGTGATTCTATTAATAAAGAACTCAGCCTACTCTAACATAAGATTGTATACACGATCTAGGATGACTAATCAGAGAAGTCTACCTCACTGAATACAGGGGTTGTTGCCAAAATTTATGTGACTCACACTGAGCAGAGTCTTTTGGGGTGAGTGCTGGGTGAGAGAATGTCTGACCCTTTTCTCTGGTATGGTGCTGCACAGAAGTATGTGAGCCTGGAACAGCTGGTGACCAGCTGTGCTGCCATGTGGAGAGATCATGCCTGATAAAGAAAACAAACAAACAAAAAAGCTGAAGTTAAAGAGACAGAGAGAAACAGAGACTTTATCTGATGATATTTGAAATGCCTAATGTAGGCACATATCCTGAACCCAAATGACTCATGTTTCCAGTCATGCTTCCAGTTAATGAGCCAATTAATTTCTTTTAATTTTAACTTGTGCTTGTTAGACATGGATTCCTACCCTCTTGCTAAAGGCAGAGTTTTCTTCAACTACCATGACTTTGAATACCAATACCTTAAAACTTCTAATCCCATCCATGACCTCTCTCTTGAGCTCCAGACATAGACATCCAAATAGCTTTTCATTGTCTCCACCTAGGTATTGGTGTGTTAGGCCTAATATGTCAAAAACTCATAGCTTCACCTCAAATTTAGTCATCTCCAGGATTTCTGTATCAATAAATTTCAACCCTGTCTACTCAGCTGCTCAAGCCAAACAACTAGATGTCACCCTTGACTTCTTTCTGTCATCACCAAACAAAATCCATTAGAAAGTCATGAAAACTCTTCCCCCAATATATATCCAAAGCATGACCACTCCTCTATGTCTCAACTTCTATAATCTTAATCCAAACTACCACCACTTCTCACCCAGAGTACTGGAGCTCAATACCCCATAACAAGTCTCCCTGTGCTACTCCTGTTTTTTTATATTCTGTCTTAAACAGAAATCAGAGTAATAGTCTTGAAACATATCCAAGTCACACCCTTGCTTAAAACTGTCTAATGCCTTCCCATCAAAATTCGAATAAAGTTCAAATTCTTAAAATGTATCAAAGAAAGTTTCTCATGATCTGCCCCTTGCCTCCCTGTCTATCCGTATGTTTCTATTCCTTTTTGCACACTATGCTCCATACATATTTACTGGACACATCACTACACGGCATTTGTACTCTTTCTTCTTCCCCACTTTACAAGTCCATCGCTATCATAATCGCTTTTATTTTCCTCATAGCATTCATCACTTGCTAAAATTATCTTGGTTATCAAATTGCTTATTTGTTTATCTTCTTTCTTTTCCAGCAGATGTAAGGTCCATGAAAGCAGGCATTTTTGTCTATCATGCCCACTATGGTAGAGGCATGATTCCCTGTGACTAACAGTAAAGTTGGATGAGAACTCAGATGTGAAGACTCAATCCAATTCTTTCTTCAAGAGACCAAAAATCTATTTTGAGAGACATGGAATACATTATGATATGTATTAAGATAGAGCACATTAAAATGTAATGCAATGCAGTCTTCAATTAGTTACAGTTGTTTGGAAAGGACTGAAAGTGATAAAATACATCATAAAAGACTAAGAATAGTCTAGCTAGGAGTCTTAAGAGGTAGTCATTACAGAGCAGGTGAATTAGGTACCTTTATCTCAGAGGGTCATGATAAATATAAAAGTTAAAAGTTAAATATACATGTGTGGAATCGGTGTTTTGTATCTGCCCAAAATTTGCTCTGTAAAAATTACTTTAAAATTCCCACATTTTGACTCTTGCTCTATAGCAGTTTTCCTTAGTGCTGTTCTGTTTTTTCAATAACAACGACAACAACAACAACAAAGACACTCACAACTCAGATACGTACATTCTGGTCTTTATTAACTTGCAAAAAGGACAACTTCAGATACAGATTTTGTTTCTTCTCACAGAAACCCCAGAAGTGATTGTGAATTGAGGAATGGCACTGGATCACTTCAATCTTCAATATATTGCAATGTAAATGTGTCTTAAATATATTCAAATTTGTGAGGAAGGGCCATGAAACATTCAAGAAGAAAATTTTATTGTCATTAACACGCAAACCCATCTTAGTGGATCCATGCACAAGACATTGGCTACAAATACCTAAAGCATGAATTATCAGTTGCATTGTGTGGGCTGCTTACAAGAGACAGAGATGGAAAGAGCCAAAAATACTTTTTAGGAATTTGATCAGACAAGAAAGACTACAGAAGCAATAGAATAAACCATACTGGGATATACATAGCCAGGAACAAAAACCGAAGACAAGGGCAGAAAATATGAGAGAGAGAAAATCATTCGCAGGTTCAGACTCAGACTGGCAGAGGCAGCAACAATGAGAGAAGCTATATACCTGCAGTAAGAAAGCTGAACACTATGAAATTTTTTCTTATGATATGACTCAAAATATATCAAAGTTTATCACAAGGTATTTATGCTGGATTGTACTTTCTCATGAGTTATGTGTGCTGAAAATTTCAAATCTTAGGTGAAAAGAACAAGGAATTAGCTTGTAATCCTGAAAAAAGAAAAGGATTCTAGCCTATTCTTGAAACCTTCAGGCTGCTTTGAGTGATGACTATGGAATGAAGCGTGCTGCCATCTCACCAAAGGAAGATTTGTCTGACTTTTTAAATTAGAGAGCACATGTGCAGAAGTATTTTTAAACAAACATATTGCAGTGTTTTATGCTATTTTAAGTATCATATAATAAACATATATCATTTTTATAAAAAGGAAACAGTAAACATCCATAATCTCATCACTACTAACATAAGCACTACTAACATTTGGTATATTTCCTTCCATTCTTTTTATTCCTGGTTAGAATTATTTCCTGCATCACCAGATTTGAAGTACAAAATAAGGTCACATTTCTTTTGGTATTCAAAGCCAAGGTCTGAATCTCATCTTACAAATATCAATTAGTCCTTTTTTTCCCTTAAACATTGCTTTTCTCAGTACTCCTCAGAATCCTTTTGGTGAGCACAATACTTTCATTGACTATTTAACCCATACTGTATACAATGAGAGCCAGGTAATTTTTGAAATGAAAACAAAATTGTTACTAAAAAGAGTGAATGAATACTCAGTGGCCAGTGGGCTAAAACAATGACTAGTGGACAAAACAGATGTGGAAAGCATTTCCATGGGTTCTCAAAATAAAGGAACTCTAAATTCTGGGCATTGTATTTTTTGATATTGCAAAGAAGCTGCAGCTTTCCTGTGAAGAACTGAAATGTATGATACAAATGAAACAAACACTAAGCACATTTTTGTCTCTCCTTTAGCTCTTTTTGGGTCTTTCCTTTAAGTATATTTTCCTCCTTAAGTATATTTCCATGGTGATTTAGAAGAGCAGCCAGAAGGAAGCAGAAAATAATTAAAACCTATCATCTTAAGCAAGAGTAGAGGTCAGTAGGGAAAGTCTGAATTCTCCCTAAGGTCTAATATCTAGCCCCAACATTTTCAACTATTTCATAATCTCAGAACACTTTGCTCAAATAATGTTTTATAGGTTTGCTAGGATTTGCACAAATGTCACTCAGTATATGTGACCCATTATGTTGATGGTAATCAAAGCAGTTTACTGCCTGTCACTTCTGCTTATGCTGATGTTACCACTATTGAATTACCATGCTCTGAAGGAAGTCAAGTGCCATGTGTAGGTCGAGTGCTAAATCTCTAAGTGGTATGATACATTGCAGATGCATTATGGACTTCTGGCAGGATTTAGAAGGTTTAGAACACCTTGCTGGTGTTCATCTCATATTAATGATCTGCAGGTTTGGATCCTACCAAATCCAGCATCTGGTGCAAAATCATGAAATCAGTAGCATATAACTTCAGAATCTGCATCTTTGTTTCCAATCCATCCTCTCATGTGGTGTGTCAAAAACCTTCATATTGTCCTCCTAATAACTAGAACTCCTTGCTGTGGTACAACATTGGAACTAAGCATGTCCCGTACTACTAGATTTTTCTCATATATTTCTCCCATTAGAAACATTTCTATTAAGGTTTCATTCTCTTGGAATCCTCCAAGAGAATGGAGGGCATTTTCAAGTAGATCGGGGTCGTCCAAGAGAATGAAGGAATGTTGCCATGGCAACATTTTGATGAGGGTGTCTAATATCTAGCCCAATTATATTAAACTATTTCTTAATCTCCTGACACTTTGCTCAAATTACATTTTACAAATCTGCTAATGCTTTCTCTAACATTATGATGTAATAAAAATCACATGGAATTGGGTGTGAATATAGATTACCCATGTGAAATTGGGAAATTTGTAGTAATTTTATGAACTTGGCTTTTTTTCTAATTATAAAAGTAAAGCATGGTCATTGCAAAAGGAAATGAAATGTGGGAAGATAGAGAAAACATAAAAAAGAGAAAAAGATCATCCATATTCCACCATCTGGAAGTAGCCACTATTAACATTTTGGCGTATACTCTTTAATGTACGTAGCTTAAATGAGGAAGTTAAGGCTTAAACCTGTATGGACACTGTGGTGATTAAGTAATTAAATAATATAATTAAAGCACCTCATATGATGCCTGACACACACAGAAGGCCCTCAATAAATCTAACTATAGCTTGTCAAACTATACGTTTTGTCCATGAGATAGGGACAGTCAAACCTGAGCACCCTTCTGTCTGCTAGCCTCTCCTGGAGCCCCAGCCTAGCTGTGCCTGCTTGCAGTCCAACCTCAGATGCTCAACTGAGCTGCCTCCCAGGGGCCCACATCTTAGCTTTTGGGCAGGCAAACCGTGCCTGTCATGGCTTGTCAAAGTAATTTTGCAGTTCATGTCTCATTTGAGTCCCCATTCATCACCCTGATATCAATGAAATCAACAATGTTACCATTATTCTTCTTCTGTACATAATTATTGTCACAAGTAGAGATTTTTAGGTCCTGAATATCTGAACATTTTCAATTCAGTACACCTGATTATGGACCAGGCCTTCTGCATGTGCCAATATTTCAACACATAAATTGAATGTACAATTAGGTTTGAAAACTTCTGCTTTAGAGATGTCACTTAGTGAACATTCAAAGGGCATGCCCCAAACCTTCTCCCGGGAATCTTGACTAAAATTCAAACCAGAGATCAAGCAATATGGCTGACTAGACACAGCTAGGAGGAACACCTGCCACTGAGGCACTGGGACACCAGAGAAGACTGGTGCACTCCAAGCAGATCTATGGAAGGAAGGCATTGAGAGTAGACAGAGGGAGGACATAGATGTTAGATTCAAGGAGGAGGAAGAAGGAAGCCCCACATGGGGCTATCACGCACCACTCATTCTTGGCCCCCAACGACTCCTGGGGAAGGGGTGAGTTCAGCAGATGATGAACAACTCATTCTTGCCATGGGTCTCTGGAATCCTGGCAGCAGGAGACCCCACAACACCCATGAACACTTGAGCTAGCAGAGACTGCTGCTTAAAGAGGTGGTAGGGACAGGACTCCAGCTTGTGAGGAACTCAGAGGGTTTGGTGTGGGAACATCCACAAGGGAGCAGATTTGCCATGCTCCCTTAGGAGACTAAAGCCTTAGGAGAACCGTTGGACCTGAATAGAGCAGGGTAATCTTGCCCATGAGATGGGGCCAGGACAACCTGAGACCCCTTCTGTCTGCTGGCCTCTTCTTGGGACCCAGCCTGGCTGTGCCTGCTTTCAATGCAGCCTTGAACACCCAACTGAGGTGCCTACCAGGGGCCCACATCATAGCTTCCTGGCTGGCAAACCATGCCTGATCATCATAGAGCCCCAGCAGATTGGCCCCAAACCACCTGCACCCTCCCCCCACAACAGCCTCCCCCCTGCCACTTTTCAGGCACACACTCACCCATGGCCACCACCCCACTGTTTTGCCAGTGTGCATGCGCAGGTGCACACCTTGCAGCCCCATCCCTGGTGGTGCATGGACACCAGCAGCCCAATCCTCCACCCCATGCCACCACTGCCACCAGCATGAAAATGTGCATGAAGTTCACCAGTGCAAAGCCTGCCAGTGCTCTGCCACCATGCCGACAGTAACTCAAGTACTAACGTGCACATGGATGCCAGCAACCCTGCACTCCCCCACAACCTTTTCCCACTGTGCCACCAACACCACCCTACTCTCCCTCCCCCACACTGTGCCACCATGGCCACTGCTGTCAACACCTTCACAGAGGCTGGCAACCCCAGGTCCACCAGCGTCCCACCCCAATGGACAAGCATGCACCCTGCTGTATTGCTGCTCCTGCTATCATGTGTGAATGATCACATATCCCACTTTCATTGCCCAAGAAAGCACTTTGGCTGACACCACGCTTCAGAGTGTTATGGCCATTGGTCCGGAACACCTTGATCTTTCCAATGCAGCAGGTTCCCAACCTTGAGGGGTCAAAAAAGCCAGGAGCCTGATACAAGCACCCCTGGGTTAGAGCAAGCAGCCCAGGAGTGCTGAAGTGAGACTTAATCCCAAGAAATCTACCAGAAATAAGGCCAGTTGACCGAACCAACCTTCTGTCACAATCAAACCACCAAGGACATCAAAGAAGATAAAAGCAAAGGAAAAAAAAAAACATCTAAAGAACAGCAACTTCAAAGATTAAAGGAACATCAGCCAACACAAATGAGAACCAGCACGAGAACTCTGGCAACTCAAAATGCCAGCGTGTCTTCATACTTTGAAATGACTGCATTAGTTCCCAAGCAATGAGTCATAACCAGGCTGAAATGAAATACAATAAAACGATACAATACATGGAATATGAAATGGCCATTTGAAGAAAGAAACAAACTGAGTTGATAATGTTGAAAAAACTCACTAAAAGAATTTCAGAATACAACTGCAATTATTAACAGCAGAATTGACTGAGCTGAGGAAGCAACCTCAGAGTTCAAATACTGGCTCTCCAAAATAACTCATCCAGACAAAAATAAAGAACAATGAAGAAGAATGAACAAAACCTCCAAGAAAGATGGAATTATGTAAAGACACCAAACCTATGATTCACTTGCGTACCTGAAAGACAGGCAGAGAAAACAAGCAACTTGGAAAATGGATTTCAGGATATTATCCATGAAAAATTTCCCAACCTCACTAGAGAGGGCAACATGCAAAATCAGGGAATGCAGAGAACCCTTGTGAAATACTATACAAGAAGACTATCTGCAAGACACATAGTCATCAGATTCTCCAAGGTCAAAATGAAAGAAAAAAACTGTCACAGGCAACTAAACAGAAGGGAGAAATCACCCACAAAGGGAATTCCATTAGGCTAACAGTGGACCTTTCAGCAGAAACTCTACAAGCTGGAAGAGAATGTGTGTCTATATTCAACATTCTTAAAGAAAAGAATTGCCAACAAAGAATTTCATATCCAGCCAAGCTAACCTTCAAAAGCAAAGGAGAAATAATATCTCCTTCAGACAAGCAAATGCTAAGAGATTTTGTTACCATGAGGCCTGCCTTACAAGAGGTCCTGGAGTGCTAAACACAGAAAGGAAAGGTTATTACTGGCCACTACAAAAATACACTGAAGTACATAGACCAGTGGCATTATAAAGCAACCACACAAAAAAGTCTGCCCAATGACCAGCTACATCACGATGACAGAAACAAACTTGCATATACCAATACTAATCTTGAATGTAAATGGACTAAATGCCCCAATTAAAAGTCACAGAGTGGCAAGTTGGATGAACAAGTATGTTAGGCCATTCTTGCGTTGCTATAAACAAATAACTGAGACTGAGTAATTTTTAAAGAAAAGAGGTTTAATGGGCTTACAGTTCTTCAGGCTGTGCAAGCATAGTACTGAGACCTCTAAGCTTCTTGGGAAGCCTCAGAGAGTTTTTATTCAAGGCAGAAGGCAGAATGGGAGCAGGTACACCACATGGCAAAAGCAGGAGCAAGAAAGAGTGAAGGGAGGAGGTGCCACACACTTTTAAATGGCCAGATCTTGTAAGAACTCACTATAACAAACAAAGTACAAAGCCATGAGGAAGGGATCCACCCCATGACCCAAACTCCTCTCACCAAGCCCCAACCCCAGCATTAAGGATTACAATTCAACATGAAATTTGCATGGGAACAATATCCAAACTATATCATTCTACACGTGCCCCCTCCAAAATCCCATTGTCCTTCTCACATTGCAAAATAAAATCATGCCCTCCTAACAGTCCCTCAGTCTTAACACATTCCTGCATTAACTCAAGAGTCCAAAGTCCAAAGTCTCATCTGAGACAAGGCAAATCCCTTCCATCTATGAGCTTTCAAAATTAAAAGCAAGTTAGTTACTTGCAAGGCACAATGGTAGTATAGGCATTGGATAAACATTCTCGTTCTCAGAACAGATAAATTGGCCAAAAATGGCCAAAAAAGGCCTGTAACCAGGCCCCATGCAAGTTTGAAACCCAGCAGGGCAGTCATGTAACCTTAAAGTTCCAAAATAATCTCCTTTGACTCCAAACCCGGTATCCAGGGCATCCTGGAGGAAGTGGGCTCCTAAGGCCTTGGGCAGCTCCAAACCTGTGGCTATGTAGGGTGTGGCCCCCATTGCTGCTCTCATGGGCTGGAGTTGAGTATCTGAAGTTTTTCCAGATGCCAGATGCAAGCTGCTGGTGGATCTACCATTCTCTGGTCTAGAGGATGGTGGGCCACTTCTCACAGTTCCACTAGGAAGTGCCCCACTGGGGACTCTGTTTCAGGACTGCAACCTCACATTTCCACTCTGTACTGCCATAGTAGAGGTTCTTTGTGTGGGCTCCAGAGATCCCTCATGGTGGCCAACAGGCATCTGCCTGGGCACTCAGGCTTTCTTACACAGGCTCTAAAATCTAGGTGGAGGGTGCCAAGTATTCTTCACTCTTGTACTCTGAATGCTGGCATACTTGACACCACGTGGAAGCCACCAAGGCTTATGGTTTGCACCTCTGGAGCTGAGGCCCAAGCTGTACCTGGGCCCCTTTGAATAAAGGCTGGAGCCAGAGAAGCCAGAATGTGGGAGTCAGTCCCCTGAAGCTGCACAGGGAAAACGGGCCCTGGGTTTGGCCCACAAAATCATTCTTCCCTCCAAAGCCTCTAGGCCTTTAATGGAAGGGGAGCTACAAAGGTCACTGAAATGCCTTTGAGGCATTTTCCCCATTGTCTTGGCTATTAGACCGTGGCACCCTTTTAGTTGTGCAGATTTCTCTAAAAGTGGTTACTCCACAGCCTGCTTGAATTCCTCTCCCAAAAACGTTTTTCTTTATCTGCCATATAGGCAGCCTGCAAATTTTCCAAACTTTTGCACTTTGCTTCTCTTTTAAATATAAGTTGTAACTTTAGAACTTATTTATTTCTCCCACATCCGAGTTAGGCTATTAGAAGCAGATAGGCCACCTATTCAATGTTTTGCTGTTTATAAATTCATTTGGCCAGATAACCTGGGTCATCACCCTCAAGTCAAACTTTCACAGATTCCTAAAGAGGGGACAAAATGTAGCCAGGTTCTTTGCTAAGTCATAATACATGTGACCTTTGCTCCAGTTCCCAATAAGTTCCTTATTTCCATCTGAGACCTTGTCAGCCTGAACTTTTGTATGAGTCTGTTCTCGCACTGCTATAAATACCTGAAACTGGGCAATTTATAAAGAAAAGAGGTTTAATCAGCTCGTGGTTCTGCAGGCTTTACAGGTTTCTGCTTCTGGGAAGGCCCCAGGAATCTTACAACTGTGACCAAAAGCAAAAGGGAAGCAGGAACATCTTCACGTGGCCAGTGGGAGACAGAGAAAAAGGAGAGATGCTACACACTGTCAAACAACCAGATCTCGTGAGATCAGGAGAACAGCAAGGGGGAAGTCAACCCCCATGATTCAATTGTCTCCCACCATGCCCCTCCTCTAACACTCGAATTACAATTCAACATGATATTTGGGTGGGGAGACAGAGCCAAACCATATCAACTTAACTGTTCACATTACTATTAACATTTTGGTCACAACCACTTAATGAGTCTCTAAGACTTTCCAAACTCTCCCTCAATTTTCTGTCTTCTTCTGAGCACTGCAAAGTCTTCTAACCTCTGCCCTCAGTACCAAAGCTGCTTCCCCTTTTTTAGGTATCTTTATAGCAATGTCATACTAGTCAGTGCATTTTTTTTGCATTGGATCATTTGTGCATTGCTACAAAGAAATATTTAATACCTGAGACTGGGTAATTTAAAAAGAAAAGAAGATAAATTGGCTCACTGTTCTGCAGGTTGCACAAGCATAGCATCAACATCGTTCAGCTTCTGACAATGTCTCAGGGACTTTTTACACATGGTGGACAGAGAAGTGTAAGAATACAAGGCAAAAACAGGAGCAAGAGAGAGAGAGTCAGGGGGAAGTGCCACACACATTTAAATGACTGGATCTCATGAGAACTCACTATAGCTAAGACAGCATCAAACCATGAGGGGTCTTACCACATGACCCAAACATCTCCAACCAGGCACCATCTCCAGTATTGGGGGATACAATTCAACATGAGATTTGAAGAAGGACAAATATTCAAACTATATCAAGAAGCAAGACCCAATAGTAGGCTGTCTTCAGGAGACCCATCCCACATGCAATAACACCCTTAGGCTAAAAGTAAATGGATAAAGAATAATCTACCAAAGAAACAGAAAACAAAAAAAAGCAGGGGTTGTTATTTTAATTTCAGACAAAACAGATTTTAAGCCGACAAAGATGAAACAAGAAAAAGAAGGACATTACATAATGGTAAGGGGCTCAATTCAGCCAGAAGAGCTAACTATCCTAAATATATTTGCACTTAACACAGGAGTGCCCAGACTCATAAATCAAGTTCTTAGAAACCTATGAAGAGAGTTAAATAGCCACACAATAATAGTGGGAGACTTCAACATCCTCCTGACAGTATTAGCCAGATCATCAAGACAGAAAACTAACAAAAATATTCAAGACATGAACTCAACACTTGACTAAATGAAACTAATACACATTTACAGACCATTCCACCCAACAACAACAACAAAAAAAACAGAATATGAATTCTTCTCATCTGCACATGAAACATACTTTAAAATTGACCACACAATTAGACATAAAACAATCCTCAGCAAATTCAAAAAACAGAAATAATACCAACCACACTTTCAGACTACAGAACAATAAAAATAGAAATCAGTAATAAGAAAATCAGTCAAAATCACATAATTACATGGAAATTAAGTAATCTGATCCTGAATGACTTTTGGGTAAGTAATAAAATTAAAGCAGAAATCAAGAAATTGTTTGAAACTGAGAATAAAGATACAGCATACTAGAATCTCTGGGACATAGCTAAGGCAGTGTTATAAGGTAAGGTTATAGCACTAAATGCCCACATGAAAAATGTAGAAAGATCTCTAATTAACAACCTAACATCACAACTAGAGGAACTAGAGAAACAAGAGCAAACCAATTCCAAAGCAAGCAGAAGACAGGAAACAAAGACAAAACAAAATCAAAGCTGAACTGAAGGAAATTGAGACATGAAAAACCATACAAAAGATCAACAAATACAAGAGCTGGTTTTTACAAAAAATTAGACAGGCAGACCACCAGCTGGACTAATAAAGAAAAATGAGAGATTATGCAAATAAACACAATCACAAATGACAAAGGGGATGTTGCCACTGACTCCACAGAAATACAGCAAAACCCTCACAGACAACTACAAGCACTTCTATGCACACAAGCTAAAAAACCTAGAGAAAATTGACAAATTCCAAGACACATATAACTTCTGAATACTGAACCAAGAAGAAATTGAATCCCTAAACAGACTAATAACCAGTTCCAAAATTGAATCAGTAATAAAATCTTGCCTACCAAAAAAAAGCCCAGGACCAGACAGATTCACAGCTGAATTATACCAGATGTATAAAGAAGAGCTGGTATCTTTCCTACTGAAACTATTCCAAAACACTGAGGAGCACAGAATCCTCCTAAGTCATTCTACGAGGCCAGTATCATCCTGATACCCAAACCTGGCAGAGACAACAACAAAAAATAAAATTTCAGGCCAATATCCTTGCAGAACATAGATACAAGAATCTTCAACAAAATACTAGTAAACTGAATCCAGCAGCACGTCAAAAAGCTAGTCCACCACAAATCATGCTTTTTGTCTTTAGTTCTGTTTATGTGATGAATCACATTTATTGATTTGCGTATGTTCAACTAATCTTGTATCTCAGGGATAAAGCCTACTTGATACAAATTTGGTTTAACATATGTAAATCAATAAATGTGATTCATCACATAAACAGAACTAAAGACAAAAAACATTATCACCTCAATAGATGCAGAAAAGACTTTCAACAAAATTCAACATTCCTTCTGGTTAAAACTCTCAACAAATTAGGCGTTGAAGGAACATACTTCAAAAAGAAAGAGCCATTTATGACAAACCCACGGCCAACATCATACTGAATGGGCAATAGCTGAAAGCATTCCCCTCGAAAACCAGCACAAGGATGCCTTCTGTCCACACTTTGATCCAATATATTATTAGAAGTCCTGGCCAAAGCAATCAGGTAAAAGCAAGAAATAAAAGGCATCCAAATAGGAAGAGAGGAAGTCAAACTATACCTATTTTTAGATGATATGATTCCATACCTAGAAAACCTCATAGCCTGTGCCCAAAAGCTGCTTGATCTGATTAAAAAAAAAGTCTCAGTACACAAAATTAACATACAAAAAATTGTAGCATTCCTATACACCAACAGCATCCCAGCTGATCGCCAAAGCAAGAATGCAATCCCATTCACAATAGCCATAAAAAGAATAAAATATATTGAAGGAACCTACCTCAAAATAATAAGAGCCATCTATAACAAACCCACAGCCAACATCATATTGAATAGGAAAAAGCTGGAAGCATTCCCCTTGAAAAACAGCACAAGACATGGATGCCCTCTCTCACTGCTACTATTCAACACAGTACTGGAAGTCCTGGCTGGAACAAATAGGCAATAGAAAGACATAAAGGGCATCCAACTAAAAATAGAGGAAGTCAAACTATACTTGTTTGCAGATGACATGATCATATATTTTAAAAACCCTATAGTCTTGACCCAAAAGCTCCTTTAGCTGATAAACAACTTCAGCAAATTGTCAGGATAAAAATCAACATGGAAATATCACTAGCATTCCTAGACACCAACAACAGATAAGTTGATAGCCAAATCAGAAACAAAACCCCATTCACAATTGCCACGCAAATAATAAAATACCTAGAGATACAGCTCACCAGGGAGGTTAAAGATTTCTACGATGAGAATTATAAAACACTGCTGAATGAAATCAGAGATAGCACAAACAAATATAAAAAACATTCCATGCTCATAGACAGGAAGAAATCAATATTGTTAAAATGGCCATACTGCCCAAAGCAATATATAGACTCAATGCTATTTCTGTCAAACGACCAATGACATTCTTCACAGAATTAGAAAAAAACTATTTTAAAATTCATGTGAAACCAAAATGAACCTGAGTAGTCAAGGCAATCCTAAGCAAAAAGAACAAAGCTGGAGGCATGTATTACAAACAACCCCATTAAAAAGTGGCCAAATACATAACAGACACTTTTGAAAAGAAGACATGCATGCAGCCAACAAGCATATGAAAAAAAACTCAATATTACTGACTATTAGAGAATTTCAAATCAAAACCACAATGACATACCATCTCATACCAGTCAGAATGGCTATTACTAAAGAGTCAAAAAATAACAGATGTCGTCGAGGTTGTGGAGAAAAGGGAATGCTTGTCCACTGTTGGTAGGAGTATAAATTAGTTTAATCACTGTGGAAAGCAGTGTGTCAATTCTTCAAAGAGCTAAAAACAGAACTACCATTCAACCCAGCAATCCCATTACTGGGTATATACCCAAAGGGATATAAATCATTCTACCATAAAACATGCATATGAATATTCACTGCAGAAATATTTACAATGGCAAAGATATGGAATCAACTTAAATGCCCATTAATGACAGACTGGATGAAGAAAATGTGGTATATATGCACCATGGAATACTATGCAGCCATAGGAAAGAATGAGATCATGTCTTCTGCAGGGACGTGGATGGAGCTGGGAGTTATCATGTTCTCAGTTATCAGTGGAAACTAAATGATGAGAACACATGGACACAAAGAGGGGAACAATGGACAATGGGGCTTACTTGATGGTGGAGAGTTGGAGAAGGGAGAGAATAAGAAAAAAAAAAAAAAAGTATTGTCTAACAGGCTTAGTACCTGGGTGATAAAATAATCTTTACAACAAACCTCTGTGACATGAGTTTACTCATATAGCAAACCTGCACTTGTACCCCTGAACCTAAAATAAAAGTTTAAAAAATATAACAAATTAAATTTAAAAAAGAATTAAATACCTCAGAATACAAGAATCAGAAGTGTGAAAGATCTCTACAATGAGATTTACAAAACACTGCTCAAAGAATCAGAGATAACACAAATAAATGGAAAATATTTCATGCTAATAGGAAGAATCAGTAATGTTAAGTGGCCATAAAGCCCAAGGCAAGTTACAGATTCAATATTATTCTTATCAAACTACCGATGACATTCTTCACAAAATTAGTGAAAACTACTTTAAAATTCATATGCAATCACAGATGAGCTCAAATTGCCAGGGTAATCTTAAAGAGAAAGAAGAAAGCTGGAAGTATCACATTACCCAACTTCAAACTACAGTGCAATGCTAAAATAACGGAAACAGCATGGTACAGGTACAAAAACAGACACATAGACCAATGGAACAGAATAGAGAGCGAGAAAGAATGCTGCACACCTACAACCATCTGATCTTCAACAAAACTGACAAAAACAAACAATGGGGAAAGAACTTTTTATTCAATAAATGGTGCTGGGATAACTGGCTAGCCATATGCAGAAGATTGAAACTGGACCCTTTTATTATACCATATACAAAATTCAACTCAAGATGGATTAAAGACTTAAATGTAAAACCTAAAACTCTAAAACCACAAGAAGAAAACCTAGGAAATACCATTCTGGACATAGGGCCAGGAAGATATTTCATGATAAAGATGCCAAAAGCATTGGCAACAAAAACAAAAATTGACATATGGAACCTAATTAAACTAAAGAGCTTCCTGCACAGCCAAAGAAACTATCAACAGAGTAAACAGACAATCTACAGAATGGGAGAAAACGTTTGCAAAATATGCATCTGATGAAGGTCTAATACCCAGCATCTGTAAGAAACTTAAACAAATTTATAAGCAAAAAGCAAACAACCCCATTAAAAAGTGAGCAAAGATGTGATGGACACTTTGCAAAAGAAGACATACACACAGCCAAGAAGCATATGAAAAAGGTTTGCATCAGTAAGCACTGGATAATTCCAAATCAAAATCACAATGAGATACCATCTCATACCAGTCAGAATGGCTACAATTAAAAAGTTAAAAAAATAACAGATGCTGGTGGTGTTGTGGAGAAAAGGGAACACTTATACACTGCTGGATGGAATATAAAGTTTTTCAGCCATCATGGAAAGTCTTTTGGTGCTTTCTGAAAGAATGTAAAACAGAATTGCAATTTAACCCAGCAATCCCATTACTGGGCATATACCCAAAGAAATATAGATCATTCTGTCATAAAGACACATATGTTCACTGTAGCATTATTCACAATAGTGAAGCCATGAAATCAATCTAAATGCCCATCAATGGCAGACTGGATAAAGAAAATGTGGTACATATACACCATGAAATACTATACAGCCATAAAAAGGAATGAGATCATGTCCTTTGCAGCAACATGGATGGAGCAACATGGATGGAGCCATTATTCTAAGTGAACTAACCCACAGGTGCAGAAAAACCACATATTTCATGTTCTCACTTGTAAGTGGTAGCTAAACATCGAGTACATATGGACACAAAGAAGTGAACAACAGACACCGGTCTTACTTAAGGGTGGAAGATGGGAGGAAGGTGAGGATCAAAAAACTACCTATTGGGTTTTATCCTTATTACTTGGGTGATGAAATAATCTCTACTCCAAACTCCTGCAAAATGCAATTTACCTATATGACAAACCTGCACGCATAACACTGAACTTAAAATAGAAGGTTTTTAAAAAAATAAAAGTTAACGCAGCTCACTACAAGGTAGGTGTTGGTGGGCAGAGACAATGAGATTCTGATACATACCCTTAAGAATCTTTGCCCCATACCCTATGTCTTTTTGTCATGTGCCGTGTCTATGCGTGTGATCCAATGTCTTCTACCTACCTATTGTTTCCAATAGGAAACAATAGCCCCAAGAGAGCAAGTCTGCATTCCTGATGTCTTTATGTACCCCACATTACTTAACATCATGTGTCGTACCCAGCCACAGAGCAATGAATGTTATTGACTCACCAAATGATGAATTTAAAGCAATTAGTCAATATTACACTAGCCCTAAGGGAAAATAATGTGGTATGCACTCGTTTTAAATAACCTCCATTTATGCATTGTTGTTGTAACAACCACTACCCTCAGGGCTGAATGACGAACAGCTCTCTCCATTTTTTATCAAATGATTTATTCTCCAGCCCCTCTTGACTATAGTCTACAAGTCTCTGATGATTGTCTTTAACTCATATAATGTAGCCACTGCAGACATTTACAGAGGTTGGCCTACAAAATTAATCTAGCCTCTTCCCTGCAGGCCTTCAGGTAACTCACCTACAGAAGTTATTTTATTACTCTCTTCTAGAAGCTCTGAAATGATGAAATATCAAGAACTCCTCTTAGCTGCCAATTCTTACACTGTCACTGTTATGTCTGTGGTCTCTGGAATCAGACTTCCTGGAGAAGAATACATTCTGTGACACTCACTAACTGCTTTAACTGATGTTAAAGACAAAGTTCCAACATTGTCTGTGTCTGATTTTTCTTATTTGTAAAATGAAAAAAAAAAAGTGGGAGGGGATAATATCAGTATCCATTGCATAGAGTTTTTGTGAGGATTAAATTTCATAATGCTTATAAAGAACTTAGCACAATGACACATGATATGTGTTCTGCAAGTATTAAGGAAGGGTAGTGTTACTGGCAGTGGCAGAAAAATGGTATGCTGGTGTCAGAACCATGAGAGCCAGGAAATTACACAGGGCTGTTCTGAAACAGAAGTCAGAGCAGGGAACAGGTACTGAATCTGAGGCACCATCAGTCCCAACACTGAAGAGGGGGACCTGATAGAGAGATGAGGGTCTGGCTTAGTCATGAGATTCTTACATACTTTCGGCAAATACCCACTGGTACAAATAAATAAATTAATCAAGCAAGCAGGTAAATGAGTACTCTTTGATAGATGGAAACGTGAAAGTTGCAATCTTTCCTGGAAACATCAGTGTTTCCTTCTCATGATGTAGTGTGAGAAATTTTGGATCACTGGTGCTTAACTGATTCAAAACAAAACCATGATTGGTTTGATTTGACCTTTTAACCCCCAAAGTAGCAAACTGGTGGATTAAGTGGCCAGTTAGTTTTCCCTGTGTGGGTGTGAGAGGAGAGAAGGCTATCATAAACCCGTAGTAGCTTCTCTCTAACTATATCACAACTATATCAACTCCACCAACGTTCAGGGTCAATGCCACTATGCAGCATCTCTGTTGACAATAGCTCTGTTACCTGATCTAAAAGGAGTGGAGGTGGCAACAGTCACGTCAACCATGAATCATCCCAGTTGCATCCCTACACTCTCCACAACACAAATAGATCTCCACCTCTCCCACTTTTAAAAGTATCATTAAGTGCTGTATTGTAGGTAGTCAGTGAAGGTCTCAGCTTCAAAGTCCACTTTGACCTTCAGGCTGCACAAGAACCTACTTGTCAGTGAGAATTTGGAAAGGTACATTTTCTCCTTCCTCACAGAAGAAAAATCATTGAATAACATTGTAAATTTTGAAAACCACAAGCTGAAATGTGAGTCTTTTGTCCTTGTACAGCTAACCTTTGTAATACTGACTGCTCATTGTTGTCTATACTACAGTTGCAGAGTCACAGACCAGGAAGTGTCCTGGCCAAATATATCATCTTGCCACTAGGTAGAACATTTTATCCTTGCCTTTCTTCTTGACCTAGTAATGTGAGTTACACTAGACTATGTTCATCTCTCCCCAGGAAAAGTCACGGGGAACCTTGCAGCTCCATTAATAATTTACCCTCATCCCACTTCTTTCCCACTCCTTTCCTCATTGCTGCCAATATGCGCTATAAATTCTTTTCTCCATCATGTTACTTATGCTGTTTCCTCCCCCTGAAATGCACTCCCTCCTCCTCCCTGCCTCTTCAAGTTCTAAGCATCTTTTAACACCTAGCTCAACTTCTACATCACTAATTATGCCTCTTATGCTGGTTCCAGCAAACACTGATTTTAATCTCCTATGAGTTGATATAACAGGAAAAATCATCATTAAGCCAAGTGTATTTAATTAGAAAAAAATAATTTCTGTATGTGACCAGTGGTAATATACATATAATTCTGGCCTTCTGGGTATAAAAGTCCTGGAGGACAATTTTACATTGGACACATATATTGTGCACAGATGCTGTAAACATATAAAGATTTGCTTACAACCCCCTTGAATCCCCAATTATTCAAATCCAGATTATATCTATCCAGTACCTATTTTATAGTTTAATTTCTTCTAATGAATATTTAACACTCATTTATTTCAATTTGTAAAAAGAGAGTAAAATATAAAAGAAGAGAAAAAGTCAATATGACACTTAAGAAAATTAAAATAAAAAAGAAACAATAAATAGAAACAATAAAGCAATTTGCCACCATTCTCTATTATCAGTCTTTACAGCAGCAAAACTAATTTTGGACCACACTTATTGATCTGCTGATTGTAATCTACTGTATCTGCTTCTCCGACTGTGTTTGGATCAGAAATTGAGATAAAAATAATGAGTTAACATCTAGGGTTTTCCAGACTCCAAATGTTCTATATAGATTTACTTCTTTCAACAATTCTGTGATAGGAATTTTATTCCCATTTCAGAGACAAACGAAGGGAAACCTAAAAAGTAAAAGTAAAGCAGCTTGCTCTTATTTGCAGTAGTTAGGTTGCAGAGCCAGAATTTAAACCCAAATCTGGCTTTACTCCAACGCTCATATTCACAACTGTTTTTCTATGTAGTCTCTGTTTCTCTGAGCTTGCTGAGGGCCCAAGTGGAGGGATTTACCCTATATCTGATCAGGGGTGGAAAATCAGAATCTTACAGGGTTATATGATGCCAATGTATTGAATACCATAGGTAAAATTAACTGTAAATGAGGCATCACTCTATGACATAAAAATTATGGACTTTGAAACCAGACATTGCTGGTTTACAGTTCCTTACTCTGCCACAAACTAGCTATGTGACAGTGGGCAACTAATTTAACCTCTTTTGGTCTCAGTATTTTTCTCACATCTGAGAAATGAGGTATTGAACTAGGTGATATCTCAGGTTCTTTCTAACTCTAATAGTCTATGAATTAAATATAAAAATTATTACTCCAAAAGAGACAGCTGCTAAGGATTTGCAATTAAACCAACCAAAAAAAAATTCTGGCTCAATATATTTAAATATAACTTAAATTTACTGTTTTGGCACTCACAATTTTGCCTTGCAAGTTAATACAGAAATAATGTGAATGGTAAGATTTCCCTCACTTGAAGAGGAACGTATCTCATTACAATGTCATCAAAACAAATTCAGCAGTTTAAAAGGCCAGAAATGTTACAGGAATTGACATTTACATCTTGAGTAAACGAGGTTATGGTATAGAAAGTAGAGTAGCTCTATATGTTTAAGAGGTTTGAGCAGAGAACTCTTCATGAATAAAACATTAGGATATAATGTGCACCCTAGTCTTTTGCACTTCCTTAGCCTCCCCATTTAAGAGAAGTATTCCTTCTAAACTTCCCTGTTTTGATTCTGGCTGTTTTCTGCTCTTACCTTGTCTAAATGTTTATACTGTAAACTTGTGAATACAAAGCCCTTCAGAAAGATGCAATAATTTACAACCAGATTTATAGCCATATGCCTTAAAATATGATTTAGCATGACTCCTTTTGTAGATTGATGCTAAATTACACTTCTTTCTTAGTGCTGAAACTATTAAAAGTCACAATGTCGTGTTAACTGCTGATCTAATATTTGATGGGAGTAAATGAATATTGGGGTGAGGCTCCATAGATGGAAAAAATAACTCTGTCTGCATTTGATTCATGACTCATCAGAAGTTGTTATCATCACTCAATCCCTTTCATTTCAAGGGGTCTCAGGTTGAAAAGTCTTGAGTAACAGAAGATTTGTATTGGGCAATATCATAAAATGTGAGCACGATCTGATATATAAATGCATTTGGGAAGGGAGACAAGTGAAAAAAAAATTCTGCTGTCTCATTACCTTGGTGTCTCATTTAAATCCAAGTTTTTAATGTGTTTAAGAGTAGTATGTTTGTGATTGTGTTATGTGTGTGTGTAAGATTAGGAGAGAAGAAGGAGGAGGAAGAAGAGGAGGAGGAGGTAAAATAAGGCTGGAAACTTAGAGACAAAGACAGAGATGGGGAGAGAGAGAGTTGGGGGGCAGGAACCAAAGAATATCATAAAATAGATTTTGTTGCGAAGCTCCTGCTTGTCTAACACCATGTTCCATTTTGGAGACTGTGGCTAAAACTGTGCTTTTACTTATCCAATAACCATTTACTTCTCTTCCTTTCAGATAGACTTTGCTTGATAAAATATGCTTAAGCCTAGGAAATGAATTATGATAGGTCCATTCCAGTATGGCAATTCCGTTCCTTTTTCCCAGTGATTGGACTAATGGAATATATGTGATATAACTCTGGCCCCTGAAATCTGAAAAGAAGTCTG
The DNA here is from genome assembly GCF_000001405.40 of Homo sapiens. Lineage (NCBI taxonomy): Eukaryota > Metazoa > Chordata > Mammalia > Primates > Hominidae > Homo > Homo sapiens. Next base: position 122,586,940 of record NC_000023.11, read on the forward strand.
CTGGAAACTTCTGAAAAAGATTTTCCTTCCCTAGAATCTCCCAGGAAGCTTAGATCTATCATGAGTCATCTCCTGGTACTGGGCATATTTTAGCTTTAGCAAAACTCAGGCTTTTGTTGTCCTGTGTTTCTTTCTGCTTTGAACATTCTCTATATAAGAATATAATACTTACAGCTATTTCAGCCACCTAGTGACCACAAGGAAAGAGAAAAAAAAAATTCCAGGGAGGCCCACTCAGTGTCCTGACATTATCATTCTGTTGAATTAATGCTAGAACTAACTATCTCTAGATTTTTCTTGCTTTAAAGAACACTAAATATCCTTGTGGTTTAAGTCAGTTAGTCTGGGTTTTTGTTATTTACTTGCAGCCATAAATATATTCAATGATATAAGAACCTGCCCAGAAATGTGACTAACTTCTAAATAGTTGGTATAAAATCAAACGACCAATGTCTATCATATTGGAGAATGTACACATTTCCAAATCTAGCTGTCCTTCATGACTCATATTTCAGCTCAACCTTCCATTTTTGGTCATACTGTCCCTCTGTCCTTTCAAGACCATCTCAACATACTGATAACACATTTTGGCACTTGACTGTGTAGATGCTTGTGTTCTTTTTTTCTATCTTGTAAATTTTTTGTCATCTCTTAAACAAGATTATAAATTCCTTGAGGGCAGTGTTTGGACTTTATAACCAACTTGGAACCTAAGAGAGTACTTTGCTTCTACTTGTTTAATTGGATAGTCACACTTTTCCCTGCCCTGCTCATGCTCCAAACTCTGAAACTCAATATTTCTCCTCAAGATGGATACTCATGGGATATTCTTTTACATCGGGTTCTGGAGTAAGAGTCTTCTGTTCCATTCTCCATTCCACAGTGCAGCTTCATGGGAGCAAGATTTAAATGAATAACACTATCATAGTAAATTGTAATATTTTTATTATCTCAGGCCTCTGCTTTGCCAAAGTCTTATGGGTTGTACATAAGCAGCTTAAGGGTGTAATCAAAGGAGAATAATGGCATATATTTTAATGATCCAAACAATAGCATATATACTTTGTCAAATCAATTTAAAGCCTTGACTAAATTCACACATGTTACCATTGTTCCAACTAGCAGTGAAGCCTTAAAACTTGTGAAGACACTCAAATCCTTTTTGGTATTTGTGTGTACTTTTCCTCGGCCTTAGGTCATAGTTTAAGCCAAGGTCACACACACACACACACACACACTCACACACACACTCACACACACACACACACTGCTTCTACAGACTGTACAACATTCTTAAAGTCTGAAAAAATATGAAGTCAGAATCATGAATTTTAGTATCCTGATTGACACATAGAAACTTTTATTTGTTTTTCTAAAAACATCTTCAACTGAAACACTGGATTTTTTACATCCCCAAAAGTAGATGTGCTTGCCTTCCATTCCTCTCGCTATAAACCAGGCACCTGTTTTCCCCCCTCCCCAAAATCATCAGCAACAAAAAGTGGATTCAATGGACAAATGGTGTATAATTCTCATTAGTGGAGGGCTTGAGTCCATGGCCTTCATTTTACTTTTGTTTCTTTACTGTCCATTCCTTCTTTCACTGTGATCGTTATATTTTATGTGAAGGAGTCAGAGATAATGTATTGCTTTGAGCAATTCTAAGATGAATATCATGGAAAACAGGCAATTAGAATTTTAGCACCTGCACAATTCAATTCTAAAGCACTTTAAACAACAGCGCTAAATTTACTATAGAAAAGCAAATGTTTATCTTAAATATGGTTTAATCCTCTTTTCCAGGAAGCTTATGTAACAAAAAATGCAGCTGGAGGCTATAGTGGCCCATTTATAACCATACTTGGGTTTGTTACCAAGGAACCTGTCAAAATCAGCTTAGCTCGTTCGAATGGCTTATTCTGGCTTGCTGTGTGTCTTTTTTCTCATTTGATTTTGGAGTTAAAACCGGTTTAGTGATGCCAGCTAAGGAATTTTTTTTTTTTTTTTACTTTGCCAACTGTGCAGGACTGGAATAAATGGAATAGATGTCTATCCACATGGTGCCATGTTTGAGGAGCTGCTCATTTATCTCCGCCTCTTCCCAGTACTCTCTTTACTGGGATGGTTGTGGATTCCCTCCTCAGAGTCATTATTTTGGGATAAAACAAAACCTACAGCAAGCTACATATGCCTTGTAAATATATCTCCTTCTTGGGAAATAAGCCAATGTGTTAGCCTGATTATGCCTAACTAGCAGAAAGAAAAAGAAGGTAGGTTATTGTGAGACTCAAATTCCAGTACTCAACCAAAATTTAGGCAGTCACATTTTGCTCCCTGCTTAGGAGGAGGCAGACCTAGGGTCAAACTAGCTATAGCTGATATTGCTTTCATCTTTGTTCTTCAGCACTTGGCCCCATTTTACTCCATGCTTATGATTTATTTCTTTCTTCATGAAGTAGGGTCATCCAATGATAACTCACTGTACAGATTGTCTATGACTTACAATGGTTTGATTTATAATTATTCAACTTTACCAACGTGCAAAGTGATACACATTGAGTAGAAACCATACTTTGAATTTTGAACTTTGATTTTTTTCCCAGGCTCATGATATGCAGTGGGATATTATCTCGTGATGCTGAGAAGTAGCAGCCAGCTCCAACTCCCAGTCAGTCACACAACCTTGAGAGTGGACAAACTTATGTTCTACAGTGTACTGTTGCCAGAGGAACTTGCCCAACTGTTGGCTAATGTAAGTGTTCTCAGCACGTTTAAAGTAGGCTAGACTAAGGTATGATGGTCAGTAAGTTAGGTGTATTAAATGCATTTTTTTCAACTTAGATTATTTTCAACTTATGATCGGCTTATCAGGATGTAACCTCATCCTAAGTTGAGGAGCATCTGTATTAGTTTTCTATTGTTGTAAAACACATTATGACACACTCACAGGCTTTAAACAATACCCATTTATTAGCTCAAAGTACTATATGTCATAAGTCCAAGTAGGCTGAACAGACATCCCTATCCTGGATCTCACAAGGCTGAAATTATGTGTGTTGGCCAAACTAGGCTCTTATCTGGACTATATGGGGAAGAATCCACTTCTAAGCTCACTTAGATTGTTGGCATAATTCAGCTCATTGTAGTTATAGAACTAAGATACCCATTTCTTTAAAGACTGTTAGGCAGGGACACTTCCAACTTTCTCTGGTCCTTTCACATGGTTCCCTGCATCTTCACTGCCATGAGCAGCATGTGCTTGGAAACTCTCTGACTTCTTCTTCTGCTACCAGCTTGGAGAAAACCCCATTTTTAAAGAGATCATGTGATTAGATTCAGCCCACACATATAATGTCCCTTTTGCTATGTAATGTGACATAACCACAGGAGTAATTCCAGGAAACTAAGTTATGGAGATCATAAAATTATGTCTACCACATCTTCACTTAATTTTTTATTAGGATAATTTGTCTTCACCTTTCTCCTGATTAAAATGTAAGCTTTACATAGTTTTAATATTTGATATTCATCTGTTATACTGGAAATAGTATATACCTTAGAATTCCCCCCAGAAGCCAGAATCTATAGAATACCTTTTCATTGTTCATAACCAGATGCTACAAGTCATAATACACTGAGCCCACAAAAATAAGATTACTGAATAAAGACATGTGGGGCAAAGTTGCATTCTCAACTTTATGTTTTTCCAGCTTTTGTTTTAAGCACTGGTATGATCATAAAGGGAGGCAATGAACTAGAAGGACACTTAAAAATGTTCTGTTGTAGGTTTTTTGTTTTGGCTTTTGTACACCTTGAATAATATGAACCCCTTTGAGTGAGCCTTAGGATATTGTTATGCCTTGTCTCCAATGAACATCATTAAGTCAGCATATTTTCCCAAGATTCTGAAAATCAAGCCAATCTTTTCCTTCTTTACTTTAGCCCAAGATAATTTCAGACATTCCCTGATAACCTGTGACAGTTCATTTTTATGAGTGAGGCTGAGAAAACTGCATGCACACCAATAGCAAGGAAAAGCATTTTGGAGGGCATGAATGGACACTCAGTTGCCCATGGAGAGTACTTAGGTGATGGGACACTAGGAGTCTGAGGTGAGAGAATCAGAGGCCCTGGTATGTAAACAGTGATGAATTGTTTTTTTCTTAATCTATATCACTGGAGAAAAACTGAAATTCAGTGTCATACAAATTTGATACTGTTTAAGGTAGTAAGGGGCCAAGGTCATATACCTACAAGGGTCAGAAATATAGAGTATATGGAGAAAGTCCTGTATAAGACAGAAAACAGAGTGAGGGAAACTCTGGTGAATGGGAAAGCACATGCTAAGTACAAAGTCACTATTCAGCTCCAGCAAATAGTTGCCATATGATAATTCACGAGTATTATTTTCTTATCTTCCAATTTTATAAATAAAGGCCTGAAATCAAGAGTTGTGTATGAAATCTCCTAAATTTTAAATGTTGGCAATTAAAATGCTGTGAGTAGGACTTCTGGTTTCAGCCTTGATATATGAAGATCTGGTGAGCCGTCACTTCCATTCTTACAACAACAACAAAAACAAATCTGGACAAAACTAAAAATAAATAACCTTTCTTGGACTCTTTAGATAACTGAGATCGCAGCAAAAACCATGACCCAAATACTTGGAGAAACAGGTCCATCTAGAGGTACTGCAACTGAGATCTGCTTATCTGAAGAAGAAGCCGCTGGAGACACAAACTAGCAGAAACATTTAAATGGTAATTTTGATGAATAGCTGGAAGCTGAGTGTGGACTAGCATTACAGTGAAAAACCCCTAGGGGCTACAATCCTGGAGGAGAGGTACATTTTAATGGGCTTTTCCTCTAGGAATTCCAGCAAGTTGTCAAGATGAATATCCAAGAAAAATCCTCTTGTGACTGTGGTAGGAGGAAGGGAAGAGTAACCATTTTGATATAGGCCCAGCACTTTCTCTGTAACAAAAGCCTTCTTTTCAGGGAAAATGGATTTGCCAGAATGCAATTCTGAAACCTTATACTGATGGGGAAAGATAATTTTTTCCTATCTTATTTCCCTCCAGCAGCCCTACAAACCTAAGAGGGTAAAGATAAATAGACAACCAGAGACTGTGCTTCAAGAAAATAGAGTGAGAAGGTTGTAGCCAGGGAGAGAAGAAGGGGAGGAGACTCCCTCACCAGCCCTTGTACAGGGAGCAAAACACTGATAAAGGTCACAGTTCAGGGACACAAGCACACTACAAGATTTTTAATTATAAGAGTATAGAATAACACTTCCCCCCCCACCTCACATTTGACCACTACATTAACAAAGCAGCTCCAATGTAATAACAGTGGTTTATTGATGAAACAGATGCAAGGGACAGAATTTTATTGAAGAAGGATACTCAGGGAAGCCCCAAAAACAATAGTGAAGACAAAAACAAGAATGCTACAGGAATATGAAGCCTCTGGTAGCTAAAGCTATTAATACAACAAATATTAAAAGCATCCCAGCTCCTAGCCAGATTTACATAAATTTTCACACTAAAGACCTATTAATTTCAATTCTTATTACTCAAAACAACATGACTTCTTTTCAACAAAAACTTACAAGGCACACTAAAAGATTTAAAAAAAAAATCTGAAGCAACAAAGAAAGTAAGCATCAGAACCAGATTCAGATATGACACAGATTTTAGGATCATCATACAGGAGATTTAAAATAACTGTGATTAATATGTAGCCTCTAATGGAACAAGGAGCAAACAACATGAAATAAAAATGAAGAACATAAGCAGAGAGATGGAAAGTCCAGGAAAGAATGAAAATGAAATGCTAGAATTCAAAAACACAGTAAAATAAATAAAGACCATATTCACTGGGTGGAAAAGTAAACAAAATATGGATGAGGAAAGAATCAGTGAACTTGAAGACAGATCAATACATACTTCTCAAACTGACAGGTAAATAATCAAAAGAATAAAGAAAAAAATGGAAACTTTGAGCAATTTGGGACAATAATAAAAAATAAAGCACTCATATATTTCAAATACAAGGAGGAGAAATAAAATAACATGCCAAAAAAAATATGTGAAGTAATAATGGTCAAGAACTTTTTCTAAAATTCAAACTCCATGTTCAGAATGGTCAAAGAATGGCAAGCAAGGTAAACACAAAGAAAGCAAAACAAAAATACATAGGCATATCGTATGCAAACTGTAGGAAAAAAAGATAAAGAGAAATTTTGGAAAGAAGACAGGAAAAAACACCTTATTTGTAGAGACACAGGATAAGAATCACAATGAACTTCTCATCAGAAATCATTTAAGCAAGATGACAGAGAAGATAAATGTTTAAATTGTTGAAAGAAAAAATATCCCACCCACCTAGGATTCCATATGCAAAAAAATAGTCCCTCAAAAGTAAAGTAGATTTTCAGACAATCTGAAACCTAGAGAATTAATCACCTGTGGACCTGCCCAGCAATGAATGTTAAAAGAAACTCTTCTTGCAGAAGGAAAATGATACAAGTCAGAAACTTAGATCTGCCAAAGGAAAGGAAGAGTATCAGAAAAGAAAGAAACATGGGTGAAATAAAATATTTCATTTTTCTTTATCTTAATTGATCTAAAAAATAACTTAAAAAAATAGTTATAATGTACATGGTATTTACAGCATATAGATAAAGCGAATGACTGAAATGTTATAAGGGACAGGAGGTAGGTTGGATTGTTTTCTCTTATAAGGCACAAACACTACCCAGGAAGTAGTGGAGTGTTATTTGAAATTGACATAGGTGAGTTTAAAACATATATTCTAAGCTCTAGGGCAACTACTATTTTTTTTAGAAAATTACAAATGATACTAATGAGAAGAGACAAAATGAAACTATATATAATGCTCAATTAGAATCAGAGAAGGTAGAAAAGAAGGAAAATAAAGAATGAAAAAGCAAATTAAATGGAGAAAACAGTTACAAACATGGTATATATTATTCCAACTGTATCAGTTTCCTAGGGCTGCTGTAACAAAGTACCAAAAAGTCGGTAACTTAGAATATAAGTTTATTATTTTACAGTTCTGGAGGCTAGAAGTCCAAAATCAAGGTATTAGCAAGGGCACATCCCTCTAAAACCTGAAGGAGAAGGATATTTTCTTGCCTCTTCCAGCTTCTGTTAGCCCCAGATGTTCCTTAGCTCATGGTAGCATAACTCTGATCTTTACATAGCGTTCTTTTTATCTCTTTTCACCTAGTCTTCTTCCTGTGCATATCTGTGTTTCTGTCCAAATTTCCCTTTTTCATAAGGACACCAGTTACATTGGATTAGGCCCTATATTAGTCAAGGTTCTCAAAAAGAAGAGAACCAATAGGATGTATGCATCTCTCTCTCTCTCTCTCTCTCTCTGTGTGTGTGTGTGTGTGTCTGTGTGTGTGTGTGTGTGTGTGCGTGCGCGCACGCACACGTGCGTGCACATGTATGTAGATAGATCCAGAGAGAGAGAGATTTTAAGGAATTGGCTCACGTAATTGTGTGGAGGCTGACAAGTTCAAAATCTGCAAGGTAGACTAGCAGGCTGGAAATCCAGGGAAGAGCTGATATTGCAGTTAAAATACAAAGGCAGTGTGCTAGCAGAATCCCCCCTTTCTCAAGGAGGTCAGTCTTTTTCTTAAGGCCTTCAACTAACTGAATAAGGCCCACCCACATTACAGAGGACAGTCTTCTTTACTCAAATTCTGATGAATTAAATGTTAATTCAACCCCAAAAATACCTTAATGGAAACATCTAGAATAGTGTTTGAACAAATCTCTGGGTACTCTGGCCAAGCAAAATTGGCACATAAAAGTAACCATCACAGGCCCACCATAATGACATCATTTTAGCTTGACTACATATGCAATGGCTATTTCCGAGTAAGGTCACGTTTTGAGGTACTAGGTGTTAAGAGTTCAACTTTACTTTTTGGGAGGACAATTCAATGCATAACATAAACTGTATCAACAATCACCTTAAATGTGACGGTCTAAATTAAAGACAGATTTTTAGAGTGGATAAAAAGTAAGACCCAGCTATATGCCGTTTATAAAGAAAAAAAAGAAAAACATCTGTTGGGTTTTTCCATTTTTATTTTACGTTTGGGGTAAAAGTGCAGGTTTGTTACATAGGTAAACTTATGTCATGGGGGTTTGTTGTAAAAATTATTTCATCTCCCAGGCATTAAGCCTAGTATGCATTAGTTGTTTTTCATGATCCTCTCCCTCCTCCTACCCTCCACCTCCAAAAGGCTCCAGTGTGTGTTATTCACCTGTGTCTGTCCCGTTTAGTTCCCAGTTATAAGGGAGAACATGTGGTATTTCGTATTCTGTTTCTGTGTTAGTTTGCTAAGAATAATGGCCTCCAGCTCCATTCATGTCCCTGCAAAGGACATGATCACATTCTTTTTATGGCTGCATAGTATTCCATAGTATATATTTCCCACGTTTTCTTTATCTAGTCTATCATTGATAGATATTTAGGTTGATTTCATGTCTTGCTATTGTTAATAGTGCTGCAGTGAACATAGGCATGTATGTGTCTTTATAATAGAATAATTTATATTCCTTTGGGTATATACCAAGTAATGGGATTGCTGAGTCAAATGATATTTCTGTCTTTAGGTCTTTGAGGAATTGCCACATTTTCTTCCACAATGACTGAAGTAATTTACACTCCCACCAACAGTGTATAAGCCTTCCTTTTTTTCCACAACCTCTCCAGCATCTGCTATTTTTTGACTTTTGAACAGTAGCCATTCTTACTGGTGTTAGATGGTACCTCATTGTGGTTTTGATTGGCGTTTCTACAATGATCAGTGACGTTGAGCTTTTCTTCATATGATTGTTGGCAGCATGTATGTCTTCCTTTGAAAAGTGTCCATTAATGTCACTTTGAATTTAAGGCAGATAGATTGAATGTAAAGGGACAGAGAAAGATATACCATGCTAACACTATTCAAAATAAAGTTGGAGTACATATATTAATATTTCAAACAAGACAAACTACTGAATACATAAGATTATCCAAATAAAAGAGGACATTACAAAATGATAAAGAAGCCACTTTCTGAAATTATAACATTTCTTAATGTGTATGAATAAAATAATAAAGTGTCAAAGTACATAAGGCAAAAAACTGATAAAACAGAAAGTAGATAGTTGAAGACTTCAAAATCAGTAATTGATAGGTCAAACAACCAGAAAATCATTAATGATAGAGTTGACCTCAACAGCACAATTAATCAACTTGACCTAATTGGCATTTATAGACTACTACATCCAACAACAGCAGATTACATATTTCCCTCACTTCACATAGAACATTCATTAAGATAAAAAATATTCTGGCTGGTGCAGTGGCTCACGCCTGTAATCCCAGCACTTTGGGAGGCTGAGGCAGGTGGATCACGAGGTCAGGAGTTCAAGACCAGCCTGGCCAAGATGGTGAAACCCATCTCTACTAAAAATACAAAAATTAGCCCGGCATGGTGTGGGCGCCCCTGTAATCCCAGCTACTCAGGAGGCTGAGGCAGAGAATTGCTTGAACCCAGGAGGCAGAGGTTGCAGTGAGCCAAGATCGCACCACTGCATGCCAGTCTGGGCGACATAGTGAGACTCCATCTCAAAAAAAAAAAGAAAAAAAATCTAAACCATAAAACATACCTTATCAAATGTAAATATTAGAAATTTTACAACGCTTGTTCCCAAACCACAATAGAGATAATCAAAGAATCAATGACAAAAAAGATAGCTGAAAAATTCCAAATATTTAGAGATGAAGAACATGCTTCTCAATAATGCATGAGTCAAAGAAGAAGAATCAAGAGAAATAAAAACTCATTTTGAACTAAATGAATTTCAAAATAGAATATATCAAAATTTATGGGATGAAAACAAACTAGTACTCAGAGGGAAATTTATATCATTAAATTCATACATTGGAAAAGAAGAAATATCTAAAATCGCTATCCCAGCAAGCTATATTATAGATTTATAGATGAACTAATTTAAAAGTTTATATGGCAAGGAAACAAATAAATAATAATAAAATAAAAGTTTATATGGGAAGGCAAAAGACCTATAACAGCCAGGGCAATAATTAAAAGGACAAAGTTGGAATACTCATATTATTAAATTCCAAGACTTGCCATAAAACTGTATTAATCAAGACAGAATAGTGTTGGAGTTAGAACAGACACACAGATCAGTGGCATTTAATGGACTGCATATAAAAAGATCCACACAAAGATAGTCAGTTGATTTTTGCCAGTGATGCAAAGACAATTAAATGGAGAAAAAACAGTCTTTTCCACAATGGTGCCAAAACAATAGAATGTCAAAAGGCAAAATAGGGAACCTAGGCACTAAATTTAAATCTTTCAAAAAATTAAATCAAAATGGATAATACACTTAAATATAACATGCAAAACTATAACATTTCTAGAAGAAAGCATAGAATAGAATCTGGATTTTTCGGTTTTGGTGGTTTTTTTTTTTTTTTTTAATAGAGCACCAAAATCAAGATCTATGAAAGAAAAAATTTGACAAGCTGGACTTCATTCAAGTTTAAAATGTTTGCCTTTTGAAAGACAATGTTAAGAAAATAAAGACAAGCCACAGACTAGAAAAAAGGTATTTGCAAATCACATTTTTTTTTTTTTCAGGCAGAGTCTCACTCTCTCGCCCAGGCTGGAGTGTAGTGGCACAATCTCACTCACTGCAATGTCTGCCTCCCGGGTTCAAGTGATTCTCCTGCCTCAGCCTTCCAAGTAGCTGAGACTACAGGTGTCCGCTACCATGCTGGCTAATTTTTTGTATTTTTAGTAGAGATGGGGTTTTACCATGATGACCAGGCTGTTTTTGAACTCCTGACCTCAAGTGATCTGCCTTCCTCAGCGTCCCAAAATGCCGGGATTACAGCAAATCATGTATTTGATAAAGGACTTGTATCCAAAACATATAAAATATTCTAAAACTCAACAATAAGAAAACAAACAATCCAATTTAAAAATAGATGAAAGATCTGAACAGACACCACTCCAAAGCAGATATACACATGGAAAATAAACATATGAAAAGATGCCCAAGATCATCTGTGATTGTAAATTAAAACAATGAGATACGACTATACACCTTTAGAGTGACTAAATGAAGTTTAAAATGAAAATATCGATCCTCAGTGAACATTTAGGATAGCAGGAACTCTTGTTCATTGCTGATGAGAATGCTAAATGGTACGGTGACTTTGGAAAACAACAAAACAAGTTTTTCACAAAGGTATACTAGTCTTACCATTTGATCCAGTAAACATACTGCTAGGTATTGGGCCACCCATTTGAAGACTTACGCCCACAGAAAACATTCCCATGAATGTTTATAGGAGTTTTATTTATAATCTCCAAAAACTAAAAGGAACCAGGAGAAACTTTAATAAGTGGGTGGATAAGCAAACTGCAGTATGTCCATACAGGGAAATACTGTTCAGTGGTAAAAAGAAGGTACTTTTAATCCACATGACAGTATAGCTAAATCTTAAATGTATATTTCTACATAAAAGAAACCAGTCTAAAAAGCCACATACCGTATAATTCCACTTACATCACATTCTGGACAGTAAACAGATTAATAATCATCAGGGGAAATCTTAAATGTATATTTCTACATGAAAGAAACCAGTCTGAAAAGCCACATACTGTATAATTCCACTTACATCACATTCTGGACAGTAAACAGATTAATAATCATTAGGGGTTTATGCAAGAGAAGAGGTTAAATAGATAAAGTACAGGGGAATTTTTTGGGTGGTGAAGCTATTCTGTATGATACTTTAGTGCTGGATGTATGACACCATGCATTTGTCAAAACCCATAAAACTTTATAGTACAAAGGATGAACCTTAATACATGCAAATTTCAAAAAATAATTTAAGAAGTCAAGGGGTAAAAGGAAGGAATGTGTACTATGAGGAGAGTATCTAATTGTATTTCAAACATGACCTAACCTCACTTGTGGGTGGAGAGAAAAGTGCTGACCTATATAACTTTAGAAATGAGTGGACTCTGTAAGACTAAAAACAAAAGGAACTATACATACGCACTGTACTCCAGTTAGTAGGGTTTTGTACCGAGGGACTAAGAGTAAACAATTCTGACAGTGCTATACAAATATATTGAGATTGAAGAATTAAATAAATGGATGGTGAATAGTTGGAGTTAGGTTGTCATTTTTGAAGTGGAAGTTCCCAGATAAACAAGAACAGGAAGCTAGAATTATCCATGTGGTAATGAACTAGAAGTTGGAGACATCAATATGAAGTCATGTTTCAAAAAATACAGGTTCAGATGGTTACACATAGGAATATTTATAGTTATTTGTATATTCACTGGATAGTATACATACACATATTTCAGGTGCTGTTTGTTGAGATGGCCTACAAGAAATGAACTTCAGTAACAATAAACAAACATCATACCCAGATCTCAATTTCTGTGAAAATAAATTAAAAAACACTCAAATAAGAATAGGCAAAGGCCATTTATTCAGAGTTTGGTGTAACAAGGTAGTAAGTTCCCATCACTTTTGTGTCGTCAGAGGCTCAAAGGCAACAGAGGACTGGAAGAGTTTTATAGTGGAAAAAAGAAGGCTCCAGATAAGCCCTGTTTGGGGGCTGTTCATATGGAGAAGTTGTAGGCAGGCTAACTAGAAGTGAAGCATATATGTGATAGGCTGGGGTGATAGTTTGCTTTATGGTTGATACTAAATTAGAAGTGGGGACATAAATTAGGGAAGCTGTAAGATATTAAGTCCTAGCTATTTGGTGTCAATTGTTACAGGAATTGTTTGGTTTGCTGGGCTGGTTGCTAGAGATAGTCTGACTTGCCACAAATCTAACCTATAGATAGTAGGCTAGTTTCCTGGGCTGTTAACTATAGATAATGGGTTGGCTTCCTGTGCTGATTACTGCAGACTGTGGGTCGGAGTCCTGTTTTTATATATGGTCTGGCTACTACCTGTTTGTGTATTCTGTTTTTCATTTTTAATACTATTCTATAGTAATAGTAGCCAAGGCCTCGTGGGAAAATGGCTGATTACAAGACTGGGACAAGAAATACACAAAATGAGCCTGGAGCATCTCGTGGTACTAGAAAGTGAAGTGAGTTCTATGAGTTAAAACAAACAAACAAAACCAACACAGTAATAGTCACATGTCAAAGGGACACAGGATCCAAGTGACGGAGCTTCCAATGGCCAAAACAGAAACAATTCGAGCAACAAAATAAAGATTTGATAAATACAATAATAAGTATTAGATCAAAATTCAAAGTATAAAATAAATTTCCATGGGCCTACATTGATACAAATAAATGATTGGGTACATAAATAAGTGAGCAGAATAGACAACCCATCCATACAAAATTCCAAATGGTTTATGTAGATACTCTTCCCCAAGGAAGGGGAGCATAATCCTGACCCCTTGAATGAAGGCTGCACATAATGACTTCCTTCCAAAGAGTACAGTATGGAGGGAGGGGAATAACTTTATGATGGAGAAACTTGAAAAATACAACCAGGTGACCAAAATCAACATCAACAGTCAAAAATCATGTTCATAATACGTACCCTTGATATCATATGATAAAAATGGCACTTTACCTTTCTTGTTTTTATCTTAAAAACATATAACCCCAATTTAACTAAAAGAAAAACATAAGACAAATCCCAGTTGAAAGAGTTCTACAAAATACATGATCAATCCTCCTCAAAACTGTCAAGATCATCAAAAATTAGGAACGTCTGAGAAACTGTCACAGTCAAGGACATGCAATGACTAAATGTAATGTAGTATCCTGGATAAAAGTACGCAATGGAAAAAAGTTAAATAAATATCAAAAATTCTGAATAAAGTGCCAACTTTAGTTAACAATGTGTTAAAATGAAAATGGAAATACAAGATACCAAAATCTATGGAATATGGCAAAAGCAGTACTAAGAGGAAAGTTTATAGCAATCAATGCCTATATTATTAATGTAGAAAAACTTCAACTAAATAGCCTAATGATGCACATCAAGAAACTAGAAAATTAAGAACAAATCAAGTGAAAAATTTAAAGAAAATAAATACTAAAGATCAGAGCTGAAATAAATAAAATTGAAACAAAGAAACAATACAGATCAATGAATTTAAAAGGTTGATTTATCAAAAAGATAAACAAAATTGAGAAACGTTTAGCTAGACTAAGAGAGCAGACCCAAATTCATGAAATCAGTAATGAAAAAGGAGACATAACAACTGAGCCCTCAGAAGTACAAAGAATCACTAGAGGCTATTATAAACTATAGGCTCACAAATTCTAAAACCTGAAAGAAATTGATCAATTCCTGGACACATACAACCTACCAAAATTGAACCATGAAAAAATAAAACAAAACAAACCAATAATACCTAATGAGATCAAAGCCATGATAAAACATCTTCTATCAAAGAAAAGCCTAAAATCTCATAGATTCACTGTGGAATTCTACCAAACATTTAAATAACTAATACAAACCTATTCAAACTTCAGAAAAAAATCAAAGTGGAGGGAATATGTCCAAACTCATTCAACAAGGCCAGCATTACCCTGATACCAATACCAGATAAGAACACAGCAAACAAAGAAAACTACAGAAGGATATCACTGGTGAACAAAAATGCAAAATCTTCAAAACTACTAGCAAACAGAGTTTAAACACACATTAAAAAGATTATTCAGCATGATTAAGTGAGATTTATCCTGGGGATGCAAGATGTGCAAATCAATAAATGTGATACATAACATTAACAGAATCAAGAACAAAAAGTATATGATGACTTCAACAAATGCTGATAAAGAATTTGAAAAAATTCAACATCCCTTAATGATAAAACTGTCATCAAAATGAGTATACATATATGTCATATATATACCCATTATTCAAAATAATAAAGGGTATATATGACAAATCCTTGGTTAATATCATATTGAATGTGGAAAAATTGAAGGCCTTTTTTTCTAAGGACGGGTACAAGAGAAAGACACCCACTTTCACCACTATTATTTAACATAATACTGGAAGTCCTGGCAAGAGCAATTAGGCAAGACAAAGAAATGAAGAGCATTTAAATAGAAAAGTAGAAAGTCAAATTATACTTTTCCAAAGACAATATAATGTTATACCTAGAAAAACCTAGACTCCATAAAAAAATTGTTAGAACTGATAAATAAATTCAGTCAAGTTGCAGGATACAAAATTAACATACAAAAACAGTAGCATTTTTATATGCCAATAGCAAACAATCTGAAAAAGAAACCAAGAAAGTAATCCCATTTATAATAGCTGAAAATAAAATAAAATAAAGAAGTGAAAGATCTCCACAATGAAATTATAATACATTGATGAAATAAATTGAAGAGGACACAAACAAATGGAAACATATTCCATGCTCAAGGATTGGAAGAATTAAGATTGTTAAAATGACAACACTACTCAAAGCAATTTAAAAATGCAATGCCATCCCTATGAAAATACCAATGACATTCTTTGCAGTAATAGAAAAAAAATCCTAAAATTTATACGGAACCACCAAAAACAGAATTGCCAAAGCAATTCTGTGTGAAAAGAACAAAGCTGGAGGCATCACAATACCTGACTTCGAAATTTACTACAAAGTTATAGTAATCAAAACAGCATGGTGCTGGCATAAAAACAGACACATAGAACAATGGAACAGAATACAGACCCCTGAAACAAATCCATGCATTTAAAATTAACTCATTTTCAACAGCGATGCCAAGAATATACAATGGGGAAAGGACAGTCTTTTCAATAAATGGTGCTGGGAAAACTGGATAACCATATGCAGAAAAATAAAACTAGACCCTATTTGCAGAAAAATAAAACCAGATCCCTATTTCTCACCATACAAAAAAAAAGATCAAATCAAAATGGATTAAAGACTTTAAGACATCAAACTATAGAAATATTAGAAGAAAACATTAGGGAAATGTTCCAGGACATTGGTCTTGGTAAATTTTTTTGTGTGTTAACACTTCAAAAACACAAGCTACCAGAGCACAAATAGGCAACTGGAATCACATTAAGCTAAGAAGCTTCTAAACCACAAAGGAAACAATAAAAAAAAACTGAAGAGACAACTTACAGAATGGGAGAAAATATTTACAAACTATACATCTGATAAAAGATTAATAACCAGAATACATAGGGAGTTCAAATAGCTCAATAGCCAAAAAAACCCCTCCAAATAATCTAATTAAAAATGGGCAAATGATCTGAACAGACAGTTTTCAAAAGAAACATCCAAATGGCAAAGAGTACATGAAAAAAAAAACACATCACTAATCATCATAGAAATACAAATCAAAACCACAATGAGATATCATCTCACTCCAGTTACAATGGCTATTTTCAAAAAGACAAAAAATAACAAATCTTGGCAAGGATGTAGAGAAAAGGGGAAACCCCATATACTTTTGGTAGAAATGTAAATCAGTACAGCCACTATACAAAACAGTATGAATGCTCCTCAAAAAACTAAAAATAGAATTACCATATGATCCAGTAATTTTATTACTGGTATATATCAAAAAGAAAAGGGAATCAGGAGGCAGAGCAAGATGGCAGAATAGAAAGCTCCAACAATCGTCCCCCCAACAAGGATATCAAGTTAACAACTACATACACAGAAAATCACCTTCATAAGAATGGAAAATCAGGTGAGCCCTCATAGCACCTGGTTTTAAATTCATATCACTAAAAAAGGCACTGAAGCATTAGAAGAAACAGTTCTGAGTTACCACCTCCAATTCTACCCCTCCCCCTCCCCCACCACACAGCAGCAGTGTGGTGGGAAGTGTTTCTTTGGATGTTGGATGAAGGATAACACAGCAATTGTGAGGCATTGAACTTAGTGCTGTCTTGTTAGAGCAGAAAGGAAAACTGGACCTAACTCAGCAGATGCCTGCCCACGGATGGAACATTTAAACCAGCCCTAGCCAGAGGGAAATTGCCAATTCCAGTGGTCCAAATTTCAGTGCCTGCAAACCTTGCATCCTAGGGATACAGAACTGAACTAGGCCCAGATACAGTGTAATGGGCATGTGGGGGACATGTGACATACAGAGACAGAAGCTGGGGCAGCCAAGGGAGTGCTGGCATTAACTCTCCCATAACCCTAGGCTGCACAACTCACAGCTCCAAAAGAGACCCCTTCTTTCTACTTGAGTAAAGGACAGGGAGGAGTAGAGAGGATGTTGCCTTGCATCTAGGATAACAGCCCAGTCACAACAGAATAAGGCATTGGTTGGAGTCATGGGGCCCACGTTCCCGCCCTGGCTCCAAGATAAGATTTCTAGACACACCCTAGGCCAGAAGGGAACCTGCTGCCTTGAAGGAAAGAACCTAGTCGTGGCAGCATTCATCACCTGCTAACTGAAGAAACTTTGGGCCCTGAGCGACCAGAAGCAAAAATTAGGTACTATACTGAGGGCCTTGGATGAACCTCTGAGACTTGTTGGCTTTAGTGAAGTCTCAGCACTTTACCAGCTCTGGTGGCTATGGGGAAAATCTTTCTCCTTGAGAAAAGCAGAGGGAAAAGTGAAAGAGACTTTGTCTTGAACCTTAGGTACCAGCATGGCCACAGGAGGGTAGAGAACTAACTGGACTCCTGGCATTCCCACTTTCAGGAATTGATTCTTGGATGAGATTTCTGAACCTTCCCTGGGTGAGAGGGGAGGCCACTGCCCTGAATGGTGAGTCCCAGGCCAGGCAGCATTCACAAGCTGACTTAAAAGCCTTTGGTCCTTAAGGGAACATCAGAGGTAAGTGTGGCAGTATTCATCATGGCCTGGGGTGGCAGTGGCTACATGGTGAGTCTCCTCTGCCTTTGGAAAGGGGAGGCAAGAGTGGGAAGGACTGTATCTTGTAGTTTGAGTGCCACTTTATCCATAACATAATAGAACACCAGGTAAATTTCTAAGGATTTTAGCTCTAGTTCTTGACTCACTGATGGCATTACTGGACCCGCACTGGGCCTAGGGAACCTTGCCACTCTAAATAGAATGTAAGCATGGATAGCTTTGCTACCTGCTGATTGTAGAGTCCCAGGGCCTTGAGCAAATATAGACAGTAGCCAGGGAGTTGTTACAGCAGGCCTAGGGCAAGACCCACTACCAGGCTGGCTTCAGATATGACCCAGTACATTCACAGTGGTGATGGCCATGGGGTGCTTGTGTCACTATACCCCCAGCTTTAGGTGGCTTGGAACAGAGAGAGCAATCTGTATGTTTGGGAGAAAGTAAGAAAGGAGAAAAAGAGTCTCTGCATGGTAATCTAGAGAAGTCTACAAGATCTTGTTTAAGACCATCAAAGCTATACATCCTTAAGTTTGCAAGAAAAACAGTGTTACTGGGCCTGGGGTGCCCCCTAAAGCAGATACAGCTTAGATTGCAAAACCAAAGTTCTTGCAAATATCTGGAAAGCCTTCCCAAGAAGGACAACTACAAATAAGCTCATACAGTAAACACTACAATACCTAACTCTTTAAAACCCAGACACTGAAGAACATCTGCTAGAATCAATACCACCTAGGAAAACATGACCTCACCAAATGAACTAAATAAGGCACCAGGGACCAATCCTGAAGAAATAGAGACATGTGACCTTTCAGACAGATAATTCAAAGTAGCCATGTTGAGGTAACTCAAATAAATTTAAGATAACATAGAAAACAAAATCAGATTTCTGTCAGATAAATTTAACAAAGATATTGAAATAATTAAAAAGAACAAAGCAGAATTTCTTGAGCTGAAAAATGCAATTACCATACTGAAGAATGCATCAGACACCTTTAATAGGAGAATTGACCAAGCAGAAGAAAGAATAAGTGAGCTTTAGAACAGGCTATTTGAAAATACACAGTCAGAGGAGATAAAAGATAAAATAATAAAAAGCACTAAAGCACACCTACAGGATCTAGAAAATAGCATTAAAAGGACAAGTCCAAAAGTTATTGGTCTTAAAGAGAAGGTACATAAAGAGATAGGGGTAGAAAGTTTATTAAAAGCAGTAAAAACAGAGAACTTCCCAAACCCTGAGGAGAGGATACAGAAAAGTGGGGAGTACTCTGTCTTGGAAATTATCAATATCCAAGTACAAGAAGTCTACCTCAAGGCATTTAGTAATCAAATTCCCAAAGGTCAAAAATAAAGAAAGAATCTTAAAAACAGCAAGACAAAAGAAACAAATAATATACAATGTAGCTGTAATACATCTGGTGGGAGACTTATAAGTGGAAACTTTACAGGCCAGAAGAGAATGGCAAGACATATTTAAAGTGCTGAAGGAAGAAAATGTTTATGCTAGAATAATATATCTGGTGAAAATATCCTTCAAACATGAAGGAGAAATAAAGACTTTTTCAGACACACAAAAGCTGAGAAATTTTATCAATAACAGAAATGTCTTACAAGAAATGCTTAAGGGAGTGCTTCAATTGGAAAGGAAATAACATCAATGAGCAATAAATAATCACCTGAAGGTACAGAACTCATTGGTAATAGTATGTGCACAGAAAAACTTAGAATACTACAACACTGTAACTGTGGTGTGTGAACTACTTTTATGTTAAGTAGAAAGAGTAAATGATGAACCAATTAAAAATAATAACAACAAAAACTCATCAAGACATAGTACAATAAGATAAAAGTAGAAACAGCAAAAGGTTAAAAATTGGGGGGGAAGAAGTTATAGTATAGAGTTTTTATTAGTTTTCTCATTCTTTTTTGTTTGCTTGTTTATAAAAATAGTGTTGTTATCAGGTTAACGTAAGGGGTTATATGACAGTATTTGCAAGTCTCATGGTAACCCCAAACCAAAAAACATACAATGGATACACAAATAATAAAAAGCAAGAAACTAAATCATGTCACCAGAGAAAATCCCTTTCACTAGAATAAGACAGGAAGAATAGAAAGAAGAAAGAGAAAACCATAAAAATACCAGAAAACAAATAGCAAAGTGGCAGAAGTAAGTCCTCACTTATCAATCAAAACGTTAAATGTAAATGGACTAAATTCTCCAATCAAAAGGTGACAGACTGGCTTAATGAATGAAAGTACAAGACCCATTGATCTGATGCCTGCAAGAAATATATGTCATCTATAAAGACATGCATAGACCAAACATAAAGGGATTGAAAAAGATATTCCATGACAAAGGAAGTAAAAAAGAGGAGTTACTATACTTATATCAGACCAAATAGATTTCAAGACAAAAAACTGTAAGAGAAAGAACATCACCATATAGTGGTAAAAAGGTTAATTCAGCAAAAAAAAAAAAAAAACAATCTTAAATATATATGTGCCCAACACTGGAGCACTCAGATATATAAAACAATTATTATTACAGCTAAAGGAAGAGATAGGACCCAGAATTTGACAGATCTTCCAGACAGAAAAGTGACAAAGAAACATCAGACTTCATCTGAACTATATAACAAATGAATCTAATGGATATTTATAGAACATTTCACCCAAGAGCTACAGAATACATATTCTTTTCCTCAGCACATGGCTCATTCTCAGAGAAACCATATATTAGGTCATGAAACAAGTCCTGAAACAATCAAAAACAATGACTTAGCATTGTTTAGTAGCATAAACAGTGCTATTAAGCATCTTCTCTGACCACAATATAATGAATCTAGAAATTAATAACAAAAGCAATTTTGGAAACTACACAAATGCACGTAAATTAAAACATGCTTCTGAATGATCATTGGGTCAATAAAGACATTAAATAGGAAATTGAAAAATTTATTGAAACAAATGATAATGGAAACAAAACATACCAAAATCTATGGGGAACAGCAAAAGTACTACTAAGAGCAAAAGTACTACTAATAGTTACAAGTACCTACATCAAAAAAAAGCAAACAACTTTAAGTAAATAATCTAATGGTGCATCTTGAATAATTTGAAAAGTGAGAACAAATGAAACCCAAAATTAGTAAAAGAATGGAAATAATAAAGATTAGAGCATAAATAAATAAAATTGAAATGAAGGAAACAGCACAAAAGATCAATAAAACAAAAAATTGGTTTTCTAAAAAGTTAAAGAAAATTGGCAAACCTTTAGCCAGACTAAAAAAAAAAAAAGAGAGAGAGGATCCAAATAAATAAAATTAAAAAGGAAAAAGGAGACATTATAACTGATACTACAGAAACCTAAAGAATCTTTAGTGGATACTATAAGCAATTATATGCCAAAAAATTTGAAAACCTAGAAGAAATGGACAAATTCCAGGATACATAAAAGCTACCAAGAATGAACCAGGAAAAAATCCAAAATCTGAGCAGACCAATAACAACTAATGAGATTGAAGCCTTAATAAAACAAATCCAAGTAAAGAAAAACTTGGGACCTGATGGCTTCACTGCTGAATTCTACCGAACATTCAAAGGACTAATACCAATCTTAAACTACTCTGAAAAATAGAAGAGGAAATATTTTAAAGCTCATTTTACAAGGCCAGTATTACCCTGAACAGAAAACTAGACAGATACATAAAGAAAAAACCAGACTAATGTCTCTGATGAACATTGATGCAAAATCCTCAACAACATACTAGTAATATGAATTCAACAATACATTGGAAATATTCTTCTTCATGACCAATGGTATTTACCCCTCAGATGCACAGGCAAATCAAACAATGTGACACATCATATCAACAGAATGAGAATAAGAAGTATGTGATCATTTCAATTCATGCTGAAAGAGTATTTGACATAATTTAACATCATTTCATGGTAAAAACCCTAAAAAACTGGGACTAGAAGGAACATAAATCAACATAATGAAAGCCGTATATGACAGACTCACAGCTAGTATCATACTGAAAGGGGAAAAACTAAAAGCCTTTTTTCCTGTAAGATCTATAACATGACAAAAATACCCACTGTCACCACTGTTATTTAAAATAGTACTGGAAGTCCTGCTCAAGCACTCAGACGAGAGAAAAATATAAAGGGCATACAAATTGGCAAGTGTGATGGTTAATACTGAGTGTCAACTTGATTGGATTGAAGGATGCAAAATATTGATCCTGGATGTGTCTATGAGGGTGTTGCCAAAGGAGATTAACATTTCAGTCAGTGGGCTGGGAAAGGCAGACCCACCCTTAATCTGGGGGGATACCATCTAATCAGTTGCCAGCACAGCCAGGATATAAAACAGGCAGAAAAATGTGAAAAGGCTAGACTGACTTAGCCTCCTAGCCTACATCTTTCTCCCATGCTGGATGCTTCCTGCCCTTAACATTGGATTCCAAGTTTTTCAGATTTGGGAATTGGACTGGCTTCCTTGTTCCTCAACTTGCAGACAGCTTATTATGTGACCTTGTGATTGTGTGAGTTAATACTACTTAATAAATACATCTACATCTATATATATATATATATATATATATATATATATATATATATATATATATATATATCCTGTTTTACTAGTTGTGTCCCTCTGGAGAACCCTGACTAAAACAGATTTTGGTACCAGGAGTGGTTCTAGAGAAACAGAATATTAAGAATGAAGTTCTTTCATTGGTTTTGGGGTTTCTGGATTTGGCTGCTTAATATGATTAGACCTCAAAATGCTAAGGAATCTACTTCTAATAGTATGGAGAACACTGACAGTCCTTGACACAAACTGTTGAGTGAGTTATGCAAAATACATGCATTTGACATTCCTGATTCACTCCTCATGAGAGGCAAGGAGTTTAGTGACTCTATACATAATATCTTTGAAAATATGTGGAGAACAAAGGAACATAATGTAGTTAGTTGGTTGCTCCTAAGTTAACTAGAGAAAGTGCTAAAAGAAAACGATGAACCTAGGAATTCTAACTCCTGGCTTCAGAAGCAGATACTAAGCCTCAAATCTGCTAAGATTGCCCCGAGTGAGAGTCTTATCTCCTGTAGAGAAAGAGCTGAAATTGTGGAAAAACAGACACACGCTCTTATCATGCAAGTGGCTGACCTGCAATGAAAGGTGCATGGACAGCCTCACCAGGTGTCTACTGTTAAAGTGAGAGCATTGATTGGAGAAGAATGGGACCCTGCTACTTGGAATCGGATGTTTGGCAGGACCCTGATAAAGACGGGGAAAGTGAGCTTGTAAACTCTGATGAACCTTTTTTTTTGCCAGAAGTAACAACTTCCCCATCCCCAGTAGTGGCAACATCCCCTCCCTGACCCATGCTGCCATCAGCCATTTCACCATTGTCTGAGAAGATAAACCCTATGCTGTCTTAGACAACAGTGAAGGCTTCCCCTGAGGCAGTTGTCAGGCAAGATAATGGTGATTCTCCTCAGGAGCCACCCCCAACAGCCCAGTTTGCTTCCAGACCTATAACTAGGCTAAAGTCCTGGCACTTCCCTAGAGGTGAGGTTGAGAGTGTGACCCATGAGGAGGTGTGCTACTCTTGAAAATAAATGCTTGAGTTTTCTAATTTATATAAGCAGATATATGGAGAACAGGCATGGGAATGGATATTAAGGGCATGGGATAATGGTGGAAGAAACAGAGTTGGATCAGGCTGAATTTATTAATTTGGGCCCACTAAGTAGGAATTTTACATTTAATATTGCAGCTCAGGGAGATAAAAAAGGTTCTAATAGTTTATTTGCTTGGTTAGCTGAAATATGGATCAAAAGATGGTCCACTGTGAGCAAGCTGAAAATGTCTGATCTCTCTTGGTTTAATGTAGAGGAAGGGATCCATAGGCTTAGGGAGACTGGGATGGTGCAGTGGATTAGTCACTTTAGACCTACTCATCCCAGCTGGGAGGGTCCAGAAGATATAATCTTAACCAATGCTTTGGGAAAGTGATTTGTGAGGGCAACACCTGCATCTTTGAAGAGCCCTGTAATTGTTCTTCTCTGTACGTCACATCTAACAGTGGGAACTGCAGTCGCTCAACTACAAAATTTAAATACAATGGGAATAATTGGATCCCGAGTTGGCAGGGGCCAAGTGATGGCACTCAACCATCAAAGGCAAGGTGGATATAGCTGCTGGAATGGACAGCAGAGGCAAAGCAGCAATCAGAATAGTCTGACTCATGTATAGCTCTGGCATTGGCTAATTAATAATGGTGTTCCCAGAAGTGAAATTGATATGAAGCCTACTGCATTCCTACTTAATTTACATAAGCAGAAAACTTCCAGATCTAATGGACAAAATAATTTGAATTATAAAAATAGAAAATTATTACCTCTCAATCCATGTCTAGACTTCAGCCAGTTTACAGACCCAGAACTCCTTGAATGAAGGGGAGGCTGGGTATCCTTGAGGAAGGACCCCACTATACTACTGACAGTTTATGCTGTTAATCTCTTTCCCATCCTTCCCCAAGAAGACCTCTGGCCTTTTACCAGGATAAGTGTGCATTGAGGAAAGGGAAATGATCAGACATTTTGGGGACTACTGGACACTGGCTCTGAGCTGACATTGATTCCAGGGGAACCAAAATGTCACTGTGGTCCTCCAATTAAAGTAAAGGCTTGTGGAGGTCAGGTAATTAATGGAATTTTGGCTTGGGTCTGACTTACAGTGGGTCCTTGGACTCATCCTGTGGTCTTTTCCCCAGTGCCAGAATGCATAATTGACATATACATACTTAGCAGCTGGCAGAACCCCCACATTGGCTCCCTGACTGGTAGGGTGAGGGCTATTATGGTGATAAAGGCCAAATATAAGCCATTAGAGCTGCCTTTACCTAGAAAAACAGTAAATCAAAAACAATATTTCATCCCTGGAAGGATTGCAGAGATTAGTGCCACCATAAAGGACTTGAAAGATGCAGGAATGGATGTTCCCACCACATCCCAATTCAACTGTCCTATTTGGCCTGTGCAGAAGACAGATGCACCTTGGAGAATGACAGTAAATTATTATAAGCTTAACCACCAAGTGGTAACTCCAATTGCAGCTGCTGTACCAGATGTGGTTTCATTGCTTGAGCAAATTAACACATCTCCTGGTACCTGGTATGCAGCCACTGACTTGGCAAATACCTTTTTCTTTATTCCTGTCCATAAGGCCCACTAGAAGCAATTTTCCTTCAGGGGGCAAGGCCAGCAATATACCTTTACTGTCCTACCTCAGGGTTATATCAACTCTTCAGCTTTGGGTCATAATTTCATTGGGAGAGAACTTGATCACTTTTTGCTTCCACAAGATATCATACTGGTCCATTACATTGAGGACATTATGCTGATTGGATCCAGTGAGCAAGAAGTAGCAAGCATACTGGACTTATTGGTAAGACATTTGTGTGCCAGAAGATGGGAAATAAATCTGACTAAAATTCGGGGACCTTCTACCTTAGGGAAATTTCTAGTGGCCCACTGGGGTGGAGCCTATCAAGATATTCCTTTTAAGATGAAGAATAAGTTGCTGCATTTGGCCTCTTCTACAACAAGAAAGACACACAATGCCTAGTGGGCCTATTGGGAGTTTGCAGCCAACAAATTCCTCATTCTGGTGTGTTATTCTGGCTGATTTATCGAGTGACTCAAAAGGCTGCCAGCTTTGAGTGTGGTCCAGAACAGGAGAAGGCTTTGCAACCAGTTCAGGCTGCTGTGCAAGATGCTCTGCCACTTGGGTCATATGACCCAGCAGATCCAAAGGTGATTGAGGTGTCAGTGGCAGATAGGGATGCTGTATGGACCCTTTGGCAGGCCCCCAAAGGTGAATCACAGTGGAGGCCTGTAGGATTTTTGAGCAAGGCCCTACCATCTTCTGCAGATAACTATTCTCCTTTTGAGAGACAGGTTTTGGCCTGTTACTGGGCTTTGGCGAAAATGGAATATTTAACTATGGGTCATCAAGTCACCACATGCCCTGAATTGCTTATCATGAACTGGGTGCTTTCTGACCCACCTAGCCATAAAGCCAATTGTTTGTCTGGATGGTCAGGGACTTGGAAGAAGCACGATTGGAAGATTGGTGACAGAGGAATTTGGGGAAGAAGTATGCGGATGGACCTCTCTCTGAGTGGTCAAAAACTGTAAAGATATTTATATCCTATGTGAGTGCTCACCAATGGGTGACTTCAGCAGAGGAGGATTTTAATAATCAAGTGAATAGAATGACCTGTTCTGTGGATATCACTCAGCCTCTTTCTCCAGCTATCCCTGTCATCGCCCAAAGGGCCCACAAACGAAGTGGCCATGGTGGCAATGATGGAGGTTATGCATGAGCTCAGCAACATGGACTTCCACTTACCAAGGTTGACCTTGCCATGGCCACTGCTGAGTGCCCTATTTGCCAGCAGGAGAGACCAACACTGAGACCTGGATATGTCCCCATTCTTCAAGGTGATCAGCCAGCTACCCGGTAGCAGGTTGATTATATTGGACTTCTTCCATTATGGAAAGGGCAGAGGTTTGTCCTCAATGGAATAGACACTTACTCTAGATATGAGTTTGCCTATCCTGCATGCAATGCTTCTGCCAAGACTACTATTCATGGACTCACAGAATGCCGATGGACACGGTGCTACTACGATTCAAGTTTCCTTCTCATTCCAGGACCTTAGACAAATAAAGGGGGACCTAGGCAAGTTATCTGATAACCCTTAGAGATATATATAGGCTTCTCAAAATTTAGCCCAAGTATTTAATCTTACATGGAGAAATTCTATACTACTTTTAAGCCATACTCTAATTGCTGCTGAGTAAAAGGCAGCCCTACCAACAGCAGAGAGATTTGGAGACAAACAGTGAATCTCCTATAGCGAGTAAAAACAGAAACTCAGTCAAAAGGGGAACGAGGGTAAAAAAGGGACAGGATCCCCATTCCCAAAAGGAAGAGAAGCAGTGCCACTTAAAAACCCAAATTGGAGCCCTGGTGATTCCATAAATGGGTGAAAAAACACATTCTGATATGCATATCGAAAGACTTGCAAAGAATCAAAACCAAGCCTGTTAATTACTCTAAACTGTCCTTGTTAAATCAGAAATCAGATGAAAATCTCTTGGCCTTTTTGGAAAGGCTGAGAGAAGCTTTAGTGAAACACACCTCCTTGTCTCCCAGTTCAATAAAGAGCAGGTTAATTACTCAGGCAGCCCCTGATATTGGAAGGAAGTTGCTTAAACAGGCCCCGTCCAAATATCTTTTTTTGTTTTTCTCACCCTCAAGTTGAAATTTTACAGTATGCAAATGATACTCTCCTCTGTGCCCCAACCGAGGAAGTCTCAGAAAGGCACGAAGGTGCTCCTCAGTTTCTTAGCTGAAAGGGAATATAGGGTCTCAAAGTCTAAAGCTCAGCTCTGTCAAACTTCAGTAAAGTACCTAGGTCTAGTCTTATCAGAAAGGACCAGAGTACCAGGTGAGAAAAGAATTGAGCCCATTTCCTCCTTTCCCTTTCTCAAAATTCTGAAACAGTTAAGGAGATTCTTAGGCATTACTGGATTTTGCAGACTGTGGGCATCTGAGTACTGTGAAATAGCTCATCCGTTATACTACCACCTCAAAAAAAAAAAAAAAACTTCAAGCAGTTAAAACTCACCTACTAACTTGGAAACCTAAAACTCAAAAGACTTTAACTAGCTAAAGCAAGCCTTTCTTAAAGCAACAGTCTTCAGTCTTCTTGTAGGGAAGGCATTTAATCTCTATGTATGAAAAAGGAGGGGAATTACCCTGTGAGTTTTAACTAAGGCTCAAAGTCCAGCTCAACAACCAGTGGGATACCTAAACAAGAAACTTAAATTGATAGCTATATAGGATGGCCCACCTGCCTCCAAGCAGTTGCAGTGGTGGCTTCACTGGTGCCAAAGGCCACTGAGTTAACCATGGGGAATAACTTAACTGCACCCCACACAGTATAGCAGGACTGCTTCCCTCTAAGGGAAGTCTGTAACAGATAATTGCCTCCTTTATATATCAAGCTTTGCTGCTAGAGGGATCTGCAGTCTAGTTGAAAACCTGCCCTTGTCTGAACCCAGCCACTTTCTCCCAGAGTAAACTGGAGAACCTCAACATGATTGTGAACAGGTAGTGGTGCAAACCAGTAAAAGAAATGATAAGGATTATTGTTTATATTCTCTGTTAAGTTTTAATTAATAAAAATGATTTTCTTAAAGAGCACTCAGCTTAATCAAAAGTGGATATCCAAGCTATACATATATTCAAAAGGCCTTTATGTTTTTCTCTTCATAAATCTTGTTTTTCTGGAAGAGGTTTTTTTTCTCAGTCAACTGAATTACTTTTCTCCACTCTGCCTTGCCACTCTTGGTGCATGCATTAAAGGCCCTAGGATAATTTATTGTGGTCTGGCACTCCTTGGGAAAACAGAAAAGTCTCCACAAATCCCATTTTGGGAACAATCTCTGTTTTCCTCATGGAACCCCTGGAACCAAAGGCAGACAAATCCCTCTCAAAATCTGATTTCTGCCTTCCAGCTATTCACATTTATAAGGCCCCCAAAACTACACACTTTCCTAACCCTGTTCTTAAAGGGCTCCATCCTGAGCAGCTGGATCTTCTTCTGTCTGTGTAGTCATGCATGTGTTATGTGTGTGATGTCTTAAAAAAAGAGCTCTAATTAATTGACTTAAAGAAGGATGAGCATTTGGGTAAAATATTTTTTAAATGTTACTAACACCGTTTATTTAGCCCATCATATCTAGCATATTACTATATCAAGATGCAATCAATATAAAAATGATTAATGAGATATTCTACACTCTTTCTCTATACTTTGAGTTCTAGAGTGTATTTTATACTTATAACATCTCAGTTTGAACTAGCCACATTTCAAGAACTCATAACCACAGGTGATTTTTTAAAAATTATTTTTATTATACTTTAGGTTGTAAGATACATGTGCAGAACATGCAGGTTTGTTACATAGGTATACACATGCCATGGTGGTTTGCTGCACCCATCAACTTGTCATCTACATTAGGTATTTCTCCTAATGTTATCCGTCCCTTAGCCTCCACCTCCTGACAGGCCCCAGTGTGTGATATTCCCCTCCCTGAGTCCATGTGTTCTCATTGTTCAACTCTCACTTATGAGTGAGAACACGCAGTGTTTGGTTTTCTGTTCTTGTGTTAGTTTGCTGAGAATGATGGTTTCCAGCTTCATCCATGTCCATGCAAAGGAAATGAACTCATCGTTTTTTATGGCTGCATAGTATTCCATGGTGTATATGTGCCACATTTTCTTTATCCAGTCTATCATTGATGGGTATTTGGGTTGGTTCCAAGTCTTTGCTATTGAGAATAGTGCCGCAATAAACATACATGTGTATGTGTCTTTATAGTAGAATGATTTGAAATCTTTTGGGTATATACCAGTAATGGGACTACTGGGTCAAATGTTATTTCTAGTTCTAGATCCTTGAGGAATTGCCACACTGTCTTCCACAATGATTGAACTAATTTACACTCCCACCAACACTATAAAAGCATTCCTATTTATCCACATCCTCGCTAGCATCTGTTGTTTCCTGACTTTTTAATGATTGCCATTCTAACTGCCATGAGATGGTATCTCACTTTGGTTTTAATTTGCATTTCTATAATGACCAGTGAGATTCTTTTCATATGTTTTGTTGGCTGCATAAATGTCTTCTTTTGAGAAGTGTCTGTTCATATCCTTTGACCACTATTTGACAGGGTTGTTTTTCTTCTTGTAAATTTGTTTAAGTTCTTTGTAGATTCTGGATATTAGCCCTTTGTCAGATGGATAGATTGCAAAAATTTTCTCCCATTCTGTAGGTTGCCTTTTCACTCTGATGATAGTTTCTTTTGCTGTGCAGAAGCTCTTTAGTTCAATTAGATCCCATTTGTCAATTTTGGCTTTTGTTGCCATTGCTTTTGGTGTTTTAGTCATGAAGTCCTTGCCCATGCCTATGTCCTGAATGGTATTACCTATGTTTTCTTCTAGGGTTTTGATGGTTTTAGGTCTTATGTTTAAGTCTTTAATCCATCTTGAGTTAATTTTTGTATAAAGTGTAAGGAAGGGATCCAGTTTCAGCTCTCTGCATATGGCTAGCCAGTTTTCCCAGCACCATTTATTAAATAGAAAATCCTTTCCCCATTGCTCATTTTTGTCAGGTTTGTCAAAAATCAGATGGTTGTAGATGTGTGGTGTTATTTGTGAGGCCTCTGTTCTGTTCTATTGGTCTATATATCTGTTTTGGTACCAGTACCATGCTGTTTCAGTTACTGTAGCCTTGTAGTATAGTTTGAAGTCAGGTAGCATGATGCCTCCAGCTTTGTTCTTTTTGCTTAGGATTGTCTTGTCTATGTGGGCTCTTTTTTGGTTCCATATGAAATTTAAAGTAGTTTTTTCCAATTGTGTGAAGAAAGTCAATGGTGGCTTGATGGGGATAGCATTGAATCTACAAATTACCTTGGGCAGTATGGCCATTTTCACGATATTGATTCTTCTTGAGTATGGAATGTTTTTCGATTTGTTTTTGTGTCCTCTCTTATTTCCTTGAGCAGTGGTTTGTAGTTATCCTTGAAGAGTTCCTTCACATTCCTTGTAAGCTGTATTCCTAGGTATTTTATTCTCTTTGTAGCAATTGTGAATGGGAGTTCACTCATGATTTGGCTCCCTGTCTTTCTGTTATTGGTATATAGGAATACTTGTGATTTTTGCATGTGGATTTTGTATCCTGAGATTTTGCTGAAGTTGCTTATCTGCTTAAGGAGATTTTGGGCTGAGATGATGTTGTTTTCTAAATATACAATCATGTCATCTGCAAACAGAGACAATTTGACTTCCTCTCTTCTTATTTGAATACCCTTTATTTCTTTCTCTTGCCTTATTGCCCTGGCCAGAACTTCCAACACTATGTTGAATAGGAGTGGTGAGAGAGGGCATCCTTGTCTTGTGTCAGTTTTCAAAGGGAATGCTTCCAGTTTTTGCCCATTCAGTATGATATTGACTGTGGGTTTGTCATAAATAGCTCTTATTATTTTGAGATTGGTTTCATCAACACCTAGTTTATTCAGAGTAAGGGGTGTTGAATTTTGTCGAAGGCCTTTTCTGCATCTACTGAGATAATTACGTGGTTTTTGTCATTGGTTCTTTTTATGTGATGGATTCTGTTTATTGATTTGTGCATGTTGAACCAGCCTTGCATCCCAGGAATGAAGCTGACTTGATTGTGGTAGATACGTTTTTTGATTTGCTGCTGGATTTGGTTTGCCAGTATTTTATTGAGGATTTTCACATCAGGGATATTGGCCTGAAATTTTCTTTTTTTTGTTGTATCTCTGCCAGCTTTTGGTATCAGGATGATGCTGGCCTCATAAAATGAGTTACGGAGGATTCCCTCTTTTTCTGTTGTTTGGAATAGTTTCAGAAGGAATTGTACCAGCTCCCCTTTGTACCTCTGGTAGAATTCAGCTGTGAATCCATCTGGTCCTGGACTTTTTTTGGCTGGTAGGCTATTAATTACTGCCTCAATTTCAGAACTTGTTATTGGTCTATTTAGGGACTCGACTTTTTTCCTGGTTTAGACTTGGGAGGGTGTATGTGTCCAGGAATTTATCCATTTCTTCTAGATTTTTGAGTGTCTTTGCATAGAGGTGTTTATACTATTCTCTGATGGCAGTTTGTATTTCTGTGGGATCAGCAGTGATATCCCCTTTATCATTTTTTATTGCATCTATTTGATTATTTTCTCTTTTCTTATTAGTCTGGCTAGCCATCTACCTTTTTTGTTTATCTTTTCAAAAAACCAGGTCCTGGATTCATTGATTTTTTGAAGGGTTTTTGTGTCTCTATCTCCTTCAGTTCTGCTTTGATCTTAGTTATTTCTTGTCTTCTGCTAGCTTTTGAATTTGTTTGCTCTTGCTTCTCTAGTTTTTTTAATTGTGATGTTAGGGTGCCGATTTTAGATCTTTCCTGCTTTCTCTTGTGGGCATTTAGTGCTATAAATTTCCCTCTAAACACTGCTTCAGCTGTGTCCCAGAGATTCTGGTACGTTGAGTCTTTGTTCTCATTGGTGTCAAAGAACATCTTTATGTCTGCCTTAATTTCGTTATTTACCCAGTAGTCATTCAGGAGCAGGTTGTTCAGTTTCCATGTAGTTGTGCAGTTTTGAGTCAGTTTCTTAATCCTAAATTCTAATTTGATTACAGTGCAGTCTGAGAGACTATTATGATTTCCATTTTTTTGCATTTGCTGAGGAGTGTTTTACTTCCAATTATGTGGTCAATTTTAGAATAAATGATGTGATGCTGAGAAGAATGTGTATTCTGTTGATTTGAGGTGGAGAATTCTGTAGATGTCTATTAGGTCCACTTGGCCCAGAGCTGAGTTCAACTCCTGAATATCCTTGTTAATTTTCTGTCTTGTTGATATGTCTAATATTGACAGTGGGGTGTTAAAGTCTCCCACTGCTATTGTGTGGGAGTCTAAGTCTCTTTGTAGGTCTCCAACACCTTGCTTTATGAATATGGGTGCTTCTGTATTGGGTGCATATATATTTAAGATAGTTAGCTCTTCTTGTTGCATTGATCCTTTTACCATTATGTAATACCCTTGTCTCTTTTCATCTGTGTTGGTTTAAAGTCTGTTTTATCAGAGACTAGGATTGCAACCCCTGCTTTTTTTTTTTTTTTTTTTTTTTTTTTTTTGCTTTCAATTTGCTTGGCAAATCTTCTTCCATCCCTTTATTTTGAGCCTATGTGTGTCTTTGCATGTGAGATGGGTCTCCTGAATACAGCACACCGATGGGTCTTGACTCTTTATCCAATTTTCCAGTCTATGTCTTTTAATTGGGGCATTTAGCCCATTTACATTTAAGGTTAATATTGTTATGTGTAAATTTGATCCTGTCATTATGATGCTAGCTGGTTATTTTGCCCGTTAGTTGATGCAGTTTCTTTATAGTGTCAATGGTCTTTACAATTTGGTATGCTTTTGCAGTGGCTGGTTCCAGTTGCTCCTTTCTATGTTTCATGCTTCCTTCAGGAGCTCTTGTAAGGTAGGCTTGGCAGTGACAAAATCTCTCAGCACTTGCTTTTCTGTAAAGGATTTCATTTCGCTTTCGCTTATGAAGCTTAGTTTGCTGGATATGAAATTCCGGGTTGAAAGTTCTTCTCTTTAAGAATGTTGAATATTCACTCCCACTCTCTTCTGGCTTGTAGGGTTTCTGCAGAGAGATTCACTGTTTGTCTGATGGGCTTTTCTTTGTGGGTAACCCGACCTTTCTCTCTAGCAGCCCTTAACATTTTTTCCTTCATTTCAACCTTGGTGAATCTGATGATTATGTGCCTTGAGGTTGTTCTTCTCGAGGAGTATCTTTGTGGTGTTCTCTGTATTTCCTGAATTTGAATGTTGGTCTGTCTTGCTAGGTCAGGGAAGTTCTCCTGGATAATATTCTGAAGAGGGTTCTCCAACTTGGTTCCATTCTCCCTGTCATTTTCAGGTACACCAATTAAATGTAGGTTTGGTCTTTTCACATATTCCCATATTTCTTGGAGTCTTTGTTCATTCCTTTTCATTCTTTTTTCTCTAATCTTGTCTTCATGCTTTATTTCATTAAGTTGTTCTTCAATCTCTGATATCCTTTCTTCGGCTGGATCAATTTGGCTATTGATACTTATGTGTGCTTCACGAAGTTCTTGTGCTGTGTTTTTCAGCTCCATTAGGTCATTTATATTATTCTCTAAACTGGTTAATCTATTTAGCAATTTGTCTAACCTTCTTTCAAGGTTCTTAGCTTCCCTGCATTGGGTTAGAACATCCTCCTTTAGTTCGAAGGAATTTGTTATTACCCACCTTCTGAAGCCTACTTTTGTGAATTCGTCAAACTCATTCTCCATCCGGTTTTGTTCCCTTGCTGGCAAGGAGTTGTGATCCTTTGGAGGAGAAGAGGTATTCTGGTTTTTGCAGTTTTCAGCCTTTTTGTGCTGGTTTCTCCCCATCCTCATGGATTTTTCTGCCTTTGGTCTTTGATTTTGGTGACCTTCCGATGGAGTTTTGTGTGGATGTCCTTTCTGTTGATATTGACACTATTCCTTTCTGTTTGTTACTTTTCCTTCTAACAGTCTGGCCCCTCTGCTGCAGGTCTCCTGGAGTTTGCTGGAGGTCCACTCCAGACCCTCTTTGCCTGGGTATCAACAGCGGAGGCTTCAGAACAGCAAAGATTGCTGCCTGTTCTTTCCACAGGAAGCTTCATCCCAGAGGGGCACCTGCCAGATGCCAGCTGGAGCTCTCCTGTATGAGATGTCTGTCAACCCATGCTGGGAGGTGTCTCCCAGTCAGGAGGCATGGGGGTCAGGGACCCACTTGAGGCAGTCTATTCCTTAGTAGAGCTCAAGTGCTGTGCTGGGAGATCCACTGCTCTCTTCAGAGCTGGCAGGCAGGAATGTTTAAGTATGCTGAAGCTGCACTCACAGCTGTCCCTATCCCCAGGGGCCTATTGAGGGGTAAGGGACTCCCTCAAAACATTAGGAGAAATGCCTAATGTAGATGATGGGTTGATGGGTGCAGCAAACCACCATGGCATGTGTATACCTGTGTAACAAACCTGTACTTTCTGCACATGTATCCCAGAACTTAAAGTATAATACAAAAAAACAAAAGAAAGGAAATCAATATACCAAAGTGATATCTGCACTCCCATGTTTATTGCAGCACTATTCACAATAGCCAATATATGGAATCAACCAATTTCCCATCAACAAATGAATGGACAAAAAAAAAAATGGTACATATATACAATGGAGTACTATTCAGCCACAAAAAAGAACAAAATCTTGTTGTTTGCAACAACATCGATGGAAATGGAGGCCATTAAGTCAACTAAGCCGAGCACAGAAAGATAAATATTGTATATCTCACTCATACATAGGAGCTAAAAACTTGGATCTCATGAATGTAGAGAATAGATCAGTGGTTGCCAGAAGTGTTGAAGGGGAAGGGGGGAGTTTGGGGATGAATGGGAACAAATAATAATAGTAATAATAATAATAAGTTATCAATATTGGTACATTAGTTATGGAAAATGTACCATAATAATATAACATATTCATAATGGAGAAAATAGGTGTGGAGTATATGGGAACATTCTGTACTACTGTCATAATTTTCCTGTAAATCTAAAACAATTAAAAAAACTAAACTTAAAAAAAACAAACAAACTGTGAGCTATAGCATAAGGTTAAACAAAACCACCTGCTGGACTCCAGAACGCTACCTCTAGTATAACATGACCACTGAGAAAAATAGGAACTGTCTTGGTCTTCTTCAGAGTCAGCATGAGCTTAAACACTACAGAGTGGGTACTGCTGAGTACCTGAGTCAGCGGAGACAACTAAAACCCTTTTGGAGGAGCCCCATCCACTGCTGCATTGAGACCAAGTAGGAATCCAGTGATCTGAAGGTGAGGAGGGAGGCGGGAAATGTATTTTAGGACTATAGTGCATAGCAGTTAAGCAGACTACTTCTAGAGCCGTTCATATGTGAAAAGAAGCTGCCTTTTGGGTCTTGTGAAGTATTTTGTGTAGGTACTCACCAATGGGGAATTATACCTTGCATCTGTAACTATGTACTTTGAGGTTTACAAACAGAAATAAAGGCTACGAACTTTTTAATTAAAATTCTATAGAATGCAAAATGATGGATCTAAAGAAGACCATTCCCACACTAGCATCACTGAGAAAAAATATAGCTCTGCCTAGATTGTTCACTTGGAGAGAAAAAAAAAAAGATAATCCAGGATAAACTATATGTGAAACAGAGAGAATTCACACTTTTTATGAAATTATTTTTTCTGGGATACACCCAGGATAAATGCATAGTGGGTAAACAGCTTAGTGAATGGAGAAAGAAAAAACCTGGCACAGGAAAAGTAATTGTCCTCATTTTGTGGGGATTAAGTCCTCCTTAGAGAAGTCAGTCACATAAAACCCAACCCAGGGGAAAGCCCAGCTTAAAACCTTTGGTCTGGTCTTGTATGCACTCTGGGATGATAGCCAGATTGTTTTACATCAATTGACAATGGACTCAAGTTGAATTGGGCCTGTGAATGGCTTGAGACTTAACAGGAAGTGTTTTATTTACGCATAACTAGGGTACATTTGTACAGTGCCCTATAATTATCTTTCTGGGAAAAAAAAGATGATTTCACATACTTTATTTCACTTTGATCTTGATCCTTTGAACTCTAAGATGTAAGAAAAGCATCTTTTATAATATTAATTACAAAGAGATAAGGAAACTCAGAAGGCAAGAGATTTAATAATTAGTTTAAAGTAACACAAACAGAAGAACACTGTTTTTGACTGGGTTGACTTTCTGCCCAGTGTTCTTTTTACTCTGCCATACTGCCTCTCATACGTGTCCTAGGACCTGACCCTGACTGGCTTCGCACATGTCCCAAGCTGTCCTAAAGTTTCAGAGAAAATAGTTCGGGTGAGCACACAATTCAGTCAGTAGTGATCCTTTATATAATTGGAACTGAAATAGCAGGGAAATCATCTAGGCTATAGGCATAAAATGACACCTGATTGTTTCCTTCTCACAGCACTACCTGTTATGTGAAAGAGCTCATGGCAACTTTTTCCTGTTGAGAACATTTTGAGGGCAATAGACTGGTGATTTGTCACAAGGACCTGAGTAAGATGCACTTTCAGCCAGAAATGTCAGTTATATAAAATCTTTTTTGTACAGTCATACCCCCTTACTGAATTACAGAATAAACTATATCATCTCTCAGACTCCTAATCAGGAGACTTGGCCTCAGGAAGACTTAGCCAAGCCAGGATATTTTATTCAGCATTTGAGTAATTGATCAATTAGATACCAGTGATCCGGCTCCTAGGATATTCATGGGTTTTTGCTTAATTTATCCTCACCCTGTAAACAGACATTTGCCATCAAGGAGGACAAGGGTTAGGGAGATAGCGAGAGGAGGCACAGACCCTGTAAATGGAGGTAGTGCAAATCATTCCGATTACCAAATGATTCCAGACCTCTTTATTTCTCTGTCAAATAAGGGGAACAATCTAGACATCCAAGTCAGCCATACTTTGGGAAATGATGCCTAAGTACAGTAGGAAAGCAGAAGAATCAGCCTCAGCATTTGGAGTAAAACAAAGTTTAAAAAGAAGCCCAAGTCTGGAGAGATATCAGGTCTCATTTTATTGTTGTTCTTCAAGTATTTACTTCCAGATATTTGAAATGTTACATATGAACACCCCAGATGGCAAAACTATGTCTAACTACCCAAATGATTTGACCTACTTAAAACACACTATAATAAAAGGAAACAGTTTGATACCAACATGTAAGGATTTTTCCCTCTTTAACCAATTGTTTGAGCATCATGTAAGGTAGGCAGCATAGTACTAGATTAAAAACTCATGTGGCTCTGACTGGAAGAATTGTGGGTGATTTTAAAATATATTTTAAGTTACTTGTGTTTTCAAATTTTGGTCAATGAAAATGTATTACTTCTGTAATTTTTAATGTAAAGTAATAAATATCTTATAAAATTTTATATCAGAAGATTTGGAAAATCTTAAAATGTCATCAAAAGATCTTTTGCTCATTATCCCTGTTTTAAAGCATACCTGGAGCCAAATTTACTAAACTAGTAGCCTTCTGGTTTACAAAGCACTTCATTACTTAAACCCCTTTATTTTACAGATGAGGCAACAAAAACCCAGGGTGGATAAATATCTTGCTCCCTGGCAGGGCACATAGCCAATTGGTGGCAGAGACTAAGAAGGATCACTAAAACTTGACATAATCATCATTTCATCTTTTTCCACTCTCCCTGCCTCTGCAACCCACTTCCCAGCACCTTGCTTCCTGTGATGTTATTGTCCTCAGGGTCCATTTTTGAAGAATTCTACTATAGATGAGTTGTTCAAAATTACTATATCCCTGGTAATGCATTGTTTGGAAAAAGTTCTATGCATCAGCCACATCTATGTACATATTATATTAGTCCATTCTCTCACTGCTATAAAGAAATAACTGAGAATTGGAAATTTATAAAGAAAAGTTTAATTGACTTACAGTTCTGCAGGCTGTACAGGAAGCGTAGCAGCTTCTAGGGAGGCCTCAGGAAAATTTAAATCACAGCAGAAGGTGAAGGGGAAGCAAGCACGTTTTCATGTCTGGAGCAGGAGGAAAAGAGAGAGGGAGGAGGTGCTATACACTTTTAAATAACCAGATCTCATGAGAAATCTATTACAAGAACAGTACTAGAGACATGGTGTTAAATTATTCATGAAGGATCAACCCCTATAATCCAATCACCTCCTACCACACCACATCTCCAACATTGGGGATTACAATTCAACATGATATTTGGGTGGGAACAGAGATCCAAACCACATCACTTACGCAGCTTATATTACACATTGTAAAGACAAAGGCCTTTGTCTTTCCCTGTCTCAGAAAAACACACACTGAGAAACTGCCCTCATCATTCTGTCACAGTGCCTGAAATACCCATCTCGTCATGCCTGTAGAGTCATAGATGAAATGTTCAATCAATCATCTAAAAGAAGATTATTGAGAACAAACCATGTGATAGGGACTACTTGTAGGATGTGGGAATTCAGAGACAAGCCTTGTCTCTTTCCCTTGAGGAGCTGAAATAATACCTGTAAAGGAAAGCAAGTAAACAGATTATTTAAAATTGTAATAAAGAAATAGGCCTTATAAGAAAGAAAAGTAAGGGCACCTAACCCCACGGAGGATACCCCAGGGCTTCTTGGAGGATGTAACATATAAACTATATCTCAAAAATGAAGAGGGAAGTAAAATGGGGAAAGTTGAGAGACACATCCTTAGAGTAGGAAACAAAGGCTCAGACACGTTAGAGCATGCTATTTATTGAGAAACTGGAAGTAATTCAGCACAGCTAAGGAAAGACATGACATAATGAAGTAATCAGAAATGAGAATGGAAACGTAAACAGGGGCAAGTAAGCAGGACCTTACACATGAGAACTTTACCAAGCATAGTTTCTGCTCCTTTCCTAATATAGCCTGAAATCAAAGAGGAGGCCACTCATAATGTCAGCATGACTCAACCTTAGAGCCACCCTGCCCCCATTAGCTGCATTATCAGTTACACATTGGATTAATTACTTAGAAAGCCAGCAACTTTTAACAAAAATGTGGTCTCTCCCACGCAGAGCATAAATTCATCCCATGAGACAAAATGGAGCCCCATATGGGCACAGATATTTAAACTGTGTGTTTACTCTCCGACTATTATAT
Source organism: Homo sapiens (assembly GCF_000001405.40). NCBI lineage: Eukaryota > Metazoa > Chordata > Mammalia > Primates > Hominidae > Homo > Homo sapiens. The sequence continues at coordinate 122,626,289 of NC_000023.11, forward strand.
CTAATTAGCAATCAGCAGGGCATAACCAGCTCTAGAGCTTCTACTAGCCCCCTTTCAGTCATTAACACTGCCTTTGGGCAGTAGTGGGGCTGAAAATAATATCATCTAAATGATTACTTAATTCAGACTTCCATCTGGAAGATCTATAAAAACTGCAAAGGGTTAGCAATTGTAAGAAGGAAGAAAAGAGCTAAGCTTTCTAATGTGCTACAGGTACCCCATATTTGAAAGAAATGGTGTGCCAGAGATCAGGGAAACTGCCAATGAATGATTTGAATGAGGGCATTTTCCACCTTAATTAACTAAGGAAGACTATGGCATAAGCACAATGTTTTATGATATTGCTTGCCATAGCTTACTGCCACTCATTCATGTGTAACACATTTTAAGAAAATATCTCCATCTTCTAATAGAGTGCTTCAGAAAAGCAATGAATGGTAATTGAGTGCTTAAAAGTGACTAGACTGGTGCCACTCACAAATGATCACTGTCTGAGGTGCCATGGCAAAAGTGGGACCTGGAACCAACTTTTTTAGTAACTCATTAAGTAACCTTGGAAAAGTTTCAGAGAATCTCTATAGTCCTTTGTTTCTTCATCTATGAAAGTTTGAAATGATTTTAAAAAGAGATGATAAATATTAAAATGTTAAAAATAAATATACAATGTGTTGATGAGAGTCTGGATATAAGTGAATCATTGAATGAATCATAGAACTTGAGAGCTGGAGGGATCTTAATGTTCATCAATTCAACCCACTCCTTTTACTCCGTATAGGGGTAAGAAATTTGACTCCATAGAGGGAAAGTGACTTGCTCAATGTCAATTTTTCACTGAGAACCACCTCTCACTCACCTTTAACTCCCACTCCTACTGACCACATTGTTTCCTGTCAGTGAGATTAAAAAAGGGATAGGTAAGACAAATTTAGTAAGAGAAAAATGAGGCAGAGAAGGCAGATTTTCTGAACTTGGACAACAGAGAGCAGTGGTAGCAATTAGAAATAATGTTGGTATTAATTGCCACTTAATAACAGTGAAGAAACCTAAGAATATCAGAACTTTGACGCAGACTACCTCCAACTCTTCCCTAAAAGATTCAGATGCAGGCAACAGTGACAATGGAAGACAAATAATGTTTGCTGGGGTTCTGACCACAAATTCCACTTGAGAAAGTTCTAGTGAATTGTATTAGATCACATGGAATACTTCCTTTTTCCATGATAGTTAAGTTTTGACTAAATCTGACCACCATATGTCCTGCTCTATAGAATTTCATCACTTCCTAACACCTCTATTGCTACCACTCTGGTTGAAGCCACTATCTCCTCTCACCAGATTTATTGCAGTCGCCTCCTAAGTGGTCTCCGTGCTTCCTCCCTTGCCTTCTATGATCCTTTTAATATGGTCAATGATTCTGTTAAAATGTAAGCCAGGTTATGTCGTGTTGCTACTTAAATCCCTCCAAACTCATCCCAGGGGCCTTCAAGGCCTTACATAATCTTTTTCCCTGTTATCTTTCTTCATTTCTTTCCTGTTACTCTCTACCTGAATCACTGTAACAATCACAGTGACTTCTGTGTTTGAACTACACCTCTAGGCCTTTTCATTTGTTTACTGTGTCAGGAATGTTATTTCCCCAGACATCTACTTACTTCCAAGAATCTGTACTCAAGTGTCACTTAAAGATGTCTTTCTTGATCTATATAAAAATAGCAACACCCACCTACCCTGTCCCATCCCCAGAACTCCCTTACTATGCTTTATTTTTCTTCATTTTACTTCTCACCATCTTTCTGTCTTCTGCACTGGGATGTAAGGACCTAAGTTCAGAAACTTGGGTGTTTTTGTTTTGTTTTGTTTTGTTTTGTTCACTAATGTATCCTAATCCCTAAAACAAGATCTGGCAAATAGTAGAAACTTAGTAAATATCTGTTGAATGTATTAATGATTGAGCAAACACTTAAAAATATCAATTATGTTTATGTGACAAGCACTGTACTAAGTGCTTCAAATTACTTGTCTCGATTGTTACACACAAAAACAACATCAGGAACCTACCATTGATTATTTCATTTATGGATGAGCAACCTGAGAGTTTAAGTAATTTGTCAAAGGCCACAGAGCTAGTTGTAGCACAGCTAGGATTCATTAAAATCCAAGTATGGCTGACTCCCAAAGCCCATGTGCTTAACTACCATAAAATATTGCCTCCATAGTTCAAATCTGAAGCTCAATTTAGCTGCCCTTCTTTTCTCTCTCCTTATTTCTCTTATTTCTCCTGTTTTATAGGAATAATTGACTTTGTATATACACCACTAACCAGGAAAAAAGTTCTTTCCTTGCCTACAGAATATAAGTCCAGCAAGTGATGGAATTCCAAGCAGGATATCATCTGGTTTCAGCAAATAACCCTGAATGCTGATGAGTTAGCATTGGAAAAGTATACAGATGCTGGGAGTATGCAGCACACAGCGGCCTGCCCAGTAGGTGGGCCTCATGTGACTTTGATATTTATGTAAGGCTTAGTATATCAGAGGGCTTTTGAATGTCCCAGGAATTGGAACACAAACAGCCACAGAAAGCACTGAGTTGAGTTTTGGTCATAAATTTCACATCTGTATGTCAAGCAGTCACCTCACTGAACATAATACTTGTATCAGTCCGTATGTCTGTTGACAGTGGTATTTTCTTGAGAAATAAGGCAGGTAAAAAATTATCTAGTCTCAACTAGCCACCTGTAGACTCTTGGAGGAAGATGTTAATTTTGAGTCTGGAGCTTTATCAAAAGCATTGGGCGGTCATGGGATGGCTGTTTCACACCATAGTAATTGATATGGTTTGGCTCTGTGTGCCCATCCAAATTTCATCTTGAATTGTAATCCCATAATCCCCATGTGTTGTGGAAAAGACCTGGTGGGAGGTAACTAAATCGCAGGGGTGGTTTCCTCCATGCCGATCTCGTGATAATGAGTGAGTTATCATGAGATCTGATGGCTTTATAAGCATATGGCAATTCCCCTGCTGACACTCATTCTTTCTCCTGCCGCCCTATGAAGAGGCACCTTCTGCCATGATGGTAAATTTCCTGAGGCCTCCGCAGCCATGCTTAACTGTGAGTCAATTGAACCTCTTTCCTTTATGAATTATCCAGCCTCAGGCAGTCATTTATAGCAGTATGAAAACAGACAAATACAGTAAAAGTTACCTCTATTCATGGATCCTGCCTTGAACAGTATTCAAATTTCTTTTATCTGTATTATCTCAGTTTAATCTTTCAACAACTGCTTTAGGAATGCAGATGAAGGAATCGAGTTGCTGAGTATGACAGCTAACACATGGTATCGCCTGGACTAGAACCAAGATCTTCTAATTCTCAGTCCAGTGTTCTTTTCTTCTTATCAAGCAACTTTTCTGGTACTTTGTACAATTTTTGCATTAATGATACACTGGTTTTTGATATATTCAAATTTTTTAACAAAGTATTATGAGTTTGTTCAATAGACGTGATATATGTAACCTCTTTTTTTTTTTTTTTTTGAGACAGAGTCTCACTTTGTTGCCCAGGCTGGAGTGCAGTGGCACCATCTTGGCTCACTGCAACCTCTGCCTCCTGGGTTCAAGCAATTCTCCTACCTCAACCTACCAAGTGGCTGGGACTACAGACGCATGCCTCCACCCTGGACTAATTTTTGTATTTTTAGTAGAGACAGGGTTTTGCCATGTTGGCCAGACTTGTCTCGAACTCCTGTCCTCAGGTGATCCACCTGCCTAGGCCTCCCAAAGTGCTGGGATTACAGGCATGAGCCACTGCGCCTGGCCAGTAACCTCATTTTTTAAAAATGTTTGTTGGTGCATAGCAGGTGTATATATTTACGGAGTACATGACATATTTTGATACAGTCATACAATGCATAATAATCTCATCAGAGTAAATGGGGTATCCATCAACTCAGGGATTTATCCTTTATTTGTGTTACAATCAAATTATACTCTTTTAATTTTTTTAAAATGTAGAATAAATTATTTTTGACTAAAATCACCCTGTTGTGCTAGTAAATACTAGGCCTTATTCATTCTATCTAAATATATTTTTGTATCCATTAGCCATTCTCATTTCCCTAGGCCCTGAAAACCCTTCCAGTTCCAACTATGTTGTTGCAAATGATGGGATCTCATTCTATTTTATGGCTGAGTAGTACTCCATTGTGTATATGTGCCACAATTTTTCTTAAGAGACAGGGTCTCACTCTGTTGCCCAGGCTGAATGCAGTGGAGTGATTAGAGCTCACTGCAGCCTTGAACTCCTGTGCTCAAGTGATCCTCCTGCCTCAGCCTCCCAAAATTCTGGGAATACAGGTGTGAGCCATTGCACCCAGCTCACACTTTTTTTCTTACTATTCATCTGTTGATGGACACTTAAGTAGCTTTCAAATTTCGGCTATTGTGAATACTACTGTAATAAACATGGTAGTGCAGATATCTCTTCAATACACTGACTTCTTTTATTTGGGGTATATACTTAGCAGTGGAACTGCTGGATCACATGAAAGTTCTATTTTTAGTTTTTTGAGGAACCTACATACTGTTCTCTATAAGGTTTGTACTAATTTACATTCCCACAGTGTAAGAGAGTTCCCTATTTCCACATCCTCACTAGCATTTATTATTGCCCATCTTTTGGATAAAAGTCATTTTAACTGGAGTGAGACATCTCATTGAAATTTTGATTTGCATATCTCTGACAATCAATGATGTTAAGCATCTTTTCATATACCCATTTGCTATTTGTATGTCTTCTTTTGAGAAATGTCTATTCAGATGTTTTACCTATCTTCAATCAGAGTCTTAGATTATTTTCCTATTGAGTTGTTTGAGGTCTTTATATGCTTTGGCTATTAATCACTGCCAGATGGATAGATTAAAAATATCTTCTCCCATTCTGTGGGTTGTCTCTTCACTTTATTGATTCCTTCACTGTAAAGAAGGTTGTTAACCTGATGTGATCCCATTTGTCCATTTGTGCTTTGATTGTGTGTGTACAATCAAGAAATCTTTGCTTAGACCAATGTCCTGGAGAGCTTCCCCAATATTTTATTTAAGTAGTTTCAAGTTTGAGGTCTTAGATTTAAGTATTTAATAAATTTTTACTTGATTTTTGTATGTAGTGAGAAACGGAGGTCAAGCTTCTTTCTCCTTCATATGGATAGACATTTTTTTCAGCACCATTTATTGAATAGACTGTCCTTTCCCCCAATATATTTTCTATGCCCTTTGTTGAAAATGAGTTTACTGCAGATCTGTGTATTTGTTTCTGGTTTCTGTATTCAGTTCCATTGGTCTATGTATCTGTTTTTATTGCAGTACCATGCTGTTTTGGTTTCTATAGCTGTTGTAGTATAATTTGAAGTCTGGTAATGTGATTCCTCCAGTTTTGTTCTTTTTGCTCAGGACAGGTTTGACTACTTTAGGTCTTTTTTGGTTCCACATAAATTTTAGGATTGCTTTTTCTATTTCTGTGAAGAATGTCATTGGTATTTTTATATAAATTGCATTGAATCTATAGATTTCTTTAGGTAGTATGGAAATTGTAACAATATTGATTCTTCCAATACATGAACACAGAATACCTTTCCACTCTTTGGGTTCTCTTCAATTTCTTGCAACAATATTTATAGTTTTCATTGTGCAGATTTTTCTCTTCTTTGGTTGTTTATTCCTAGGTACTTTATATTATTTGTAACTATTGCAAATGTGATTAAATTCTTGATTTATTTTATACTATTGTCATATAGAAATGCTACTGATTATTTTATGTATATTTTTCCCTTCTTTGGTTAAGTTTATTCCTAGGTACTTTATATTATTTGTAACTATTGTAAATGTGATTAAATTCTTGATTTCTTTTATACTATTGTCATATAGAAATGCTACTGATTATTTTATGTATCCTGAAGCTTTACTGAATTGGTTTATCAGTTCTAATGCTTTTTCGGTGTAGTCTTTAGAATTTTCCAAATATAAGATCATGTAATCTGTAAGAAGGATAATTTGACTTCTTCCTTTCTAATTTGGACACCCTTCATCTCTTTCTCTTGCCTGATTGTGCTAGCTAATACTTCCAGTACTATGTTGAATAAGAATGGTGAGAGTGGGAATCATTGTCTTGTTCCAGATCTCAGAGGAACAGTTTTTGGTTTCTCCCATTCAGTATGATACCAGCTGTAGGTTTATCATATAGGACTTTTATTGTTTTGAGTTATGTCCCTTCTTTACCCAGATTTTTCAGGGTTATCAAATTATTTTTCAGCATCTATTGAAATGGTCATATTGATTTTGTCCTTCATTCTGTTGATATAATGTATCACATGGATTGATTTGCATATGTTGAACCATTGTTGCATTGCTGAGATAAATTCTACTTGTTCATGATGAATGATCTTAATATGTTGTTGAATTCAGGATGCTAGTATTTTGTTGAGGATTTTTTCACCAGAGTTCATCCATGATATTTGCCTGTAGTTTTTTTTTTTTTTTTTTTTTTTGATGTGTCTGTCTGGGTTTGGTATCAGGTTAACAGTGGCCTTATAGAATGAGTTTGAATGTAGTCCCTTCTCCTCTATTTTTTGGAATACTTTTAGTATGATTGGTATTAGTTCTTCTTTAAATGATTGGTAGAATTCAGCAGGGAAGCCACTGGGTCCTGGGCTTTTGTTCACTGGGAGAAATTTTGTTATGGCTTTCATCTCATTACGTGTTATTGACTTGTTCAGGTTTTGGGTTTCTTCAAGGTTCAGTGTGATAGGTTGTATGTGTCTAAGAATTTATCCATTTCTTCTAAGTTTTTCAATTTATTGGCAGATGTTCACTCTTTAAAGCTTCTAATGATCCTTTGAATTTCTGTGGTATCAGTTGTAATGTCTCATTTTTTTCCTCTAATTTATTTATGTCTTCTCTGATGTTTTCACAGTTAGTTGGGATAAAGGTTTGTGAATTTTGTTTACCTTTTCAAAAAACCAACTTTTCATTTTGTTTTTTTTGTACTTTTTGTGTTTCAATTTCATTTATTTCTGTTCTGATTTTTATTATTTCTTTTCTTCTACTAATTTATGATTTGGTTTGCTCTTGCTTTTCTAGTTCTTTAAGATGCATTTTTGGATGTTTCTTTGAAATTTTTTACTTTTTTGATGTAGATGCTTACTGCTATAAACTTTCTCTTAGTACCTGTTTTGATGCAACCCATAGGTTTTGGTACACTGTGTTTCCATTTTCATTTGTTTCAATAAATTTTTAAATTTCTTAATTTTCTCCTTGACCCTGTGGTCATTTAGGAAAATATTTTTTAATTTCTATGTGTTTGTCTAGTTTCCAAAATTCCTTGTTATTCATTTTTCATTTTATTCCATTGTGTTCAGCTAAGACACTTGATATGATGTCAATTTAAAAAAAATTATTTAAGACGTGATTTGTGGTCTAACATATGGTCTATTTTTGAGGATGATCCACGTGCTCAGGGCAAGAATGTGTATTCTGCAACTGTTGGATGAATTGTTCTGTAAATATCTATTAGATCCATATTGTCTGTAGTGCAGATTAAGTTCGATGTTATTGTTGATTTTCTGTCTGAAAGATCTGTCCAATGCTGAAAGTGGTGTGCTGAAGTCTCCAGCTATTATAGTATTGGGACCTACCTCTCTCTTTAGCTCTAATAATATCTGCTTTATACATCTGTGTGTTCCAGTGTTGGGCACATATATATTTAAAATTGTTATATTCTCTTGCTGAATTGATCCTTTTATCATTATATAATGACCTTCTTTATCTCTTCTTATAGTTTTTGTGTTAAATCTATTTTGTCTGATATAACTACTCCTGCCCTTTTATGGTTTTCATTTTCATGGAAAATCTTTTTCCATCCTTGTGTTTTCAGTCTATGTGTGTGTTTATTGGGTGAAGAGTGTTTCTTACAGGCAACAGATCGTTAGGTATTATCTTTTTATCCATTCAGCCACTCAATGTCTTTTGATTGGAGAGTTTAGTCCATTTACATTCTATGTTATTCTTGAAAAGTAAGAACTTACTTCTGCCATTTTGTTATTTGTTTTCTGATTGTTTTGTGGGCTTATCTTCCTTCTTTCCTTCCTTCCTGTCTTTCTTTCAGTGAAGGTGATTTTCTCTAGTGGTATGTTTTAATTTCTTGCTTTTTAATTTTTGTGTATCTGCTCTATGTTTGATTTGTAGTTACCATAAAGCTTGAAAATAGTATCTTATAACCCGCTATTTTAAGCTGGTGACAACACTGATTGCAAAAACAAAATAACAAAAAGGAATGGAAAACTAATAAGAGTCATACACTTTAATTCCTTCCTTTGCTTTTTAACTATTACCACAGTGGGTTTTGTACCTTCAAGTGATTTCCTATTGCTAATTAATGTCCTTATCTTTCATACTGAAGAACTGTGTTTAGCATTTCTTGTAGAACAGGGCTGTTGTTGTTGAAATCCCCCAGTTTTTGTTTGGGAGTCTTTAATTCCCCTTCATGCTTAAAGAATATTTTTACTGGATATATTATTCTAGTATAAACTTTTTCTTCCTTCATCACTTTAAATATCTCTTGCCACTCTCTCCTGGCCCATAAAGTTTCCACTAGTAATTCTCCTGCCAGATGTATTGGAGCTCCATTATATGTTTCTTTTCTCTTGCTGCTTTTAGGATCCTTTCTTTATCCTTCACTTATGAGAGTTTAATTGATTATTAAATATATTGAGGTAGTCTCATTTGGGTTAAAGCTGCTTGGCATTCTATAACTTCTTGTACTTGAATATTTATATCTTTTCTTAAATTTGGAAAGTTCTCTGTTATTATCCCTTGTCCCTTCAAATAAACTTTCTACCTCAATCTCTCTCTCTCTCTCTCTCTCTCTCTCTCTGACACTTTCCTTCCTCTTTAAGGCCAGTAACTGTTAGATTTGCTGTTTTGAGGCTATTTTCTACATCTAGTAAATGTACTTCATTCTTTTTTCTCTTGTCTCTGCTGATAGTGTATTTTCAAATTGTCTTTAAGCTCACTCATTCTTTCTTTTGCTTGGTCAATTCTGCTGTTAAAGGACTCTGATGCATTCTTCTGTATGTGAATTGCAATTTTCAGCTCCAAAATTTCTGTTTATTATTAGTTATTTCAATTTGTTTGTTAAATTTATTGGATATGATTCGCAATATCTTGTTTGTGTTATCTTGGATATCATTGAGCTTCCTCAAACAGATATGTTGAATTCTCTGTCTGAAATGTCACATACCTCTGTCTCTCTGCGGTTGATCATTGGTGCCTTATTTAGTTTTTTTGGTGAGGTCATGCTTTTCTGGATAGTCTTGATATTTGTGGATGTTTCTCAGTGTCTGGACATTGAAGAGTTAAGTATTTTTTGTAGTCTTTACAGTCTGAGCTTGTTTATACTTATCCATCTTGGGAAGGCTTTCCAGGTATTCAAAAAGACTTGGGTGTTGTGATCTAAGACTGGTCACTGCAGGCATACCTGCTTTAGGAGGTAACCTAAAGCCCAATAGTGCTGTGGCTCTTACAGACCCATAGAGGTACCACTGGTCTTGGGTAAGATCCAGAAGAATTCCACGTATTATCAAGCAGAGACTCTTGTTCTCTTACTTCTCCCAAATAAATGGAGTCTCTCTCTCCGTGTGTGCTGAGCTGCCTGGATCTGGGCGATAAATGACAAAAGCACTCCTTTGACCATCACCACTGGGACTTTGCTGGGTCAGACCCGAAGCCAGCACAGCACTGTGCCTCACCCAAGGTCTGCAGTGATCACTGCCTGGCTACCACTTATGTTAACTGAAGGTTCATGGACTCTATAATCAGCAGGTGGCAAATCCAGCCACATTTGTGTCCTTCTTATCAGAGCGGTGAGCTCCCTATAGACCAGGGCAGGGTCTGGGGATGCTGTCTGGAAGACAGTGCCTGGAGTTGGGAACCTTAAGAATCTTCGTGGTGCTCTATTCTAATGTGGCTGAGCTGGCACCCAAGCCATAAGACAAATTATTCCCTCCCCTTTCCTCAAGCAGAGGAGTCTCTCCCTGTGGCCACCACCATCCCAGACCCACAGCAACTTCTGCCTGACTACTGCCAATGCTCACTCATGGCCCAAGGGCTCTTCAGTCAGCTTCTGGTGAATGCTGCCAGTCCTGAGTCTCTCTCCCTTCAAGGCAGTGGGCTCCCCTCTGGCTAAGGACAGGTTCAGAAATGCCACCCAGGAGCAAATGTCTGTAATTGAAGACCCCAGGAGCCAGCTTGGTGTTATACCCACTATGGCCAAGCTGGTACCCAATCTACAAGACAAAGTTCCCTTCACTCTTCTCTGTCCTTTACTCAGGCGTAAGTCTCTCCCCATAGCTACCACAGCTGGAAATGTGCTGTGTCGCACGTGGTGCTAGCCCAGCTCTGATTCTGACCCAAGGCCCATAGAGAGTACTGCCTGGTTCCCATTGCTGATTCTTCAGGGCCCAAGGTTCTTTAGTCAGCAGTTGATGAAATCTGCTAGGACTAAGTTCTTCCCTTGAAGGCAGTGGGTTCTCTTCTGGCCCAGTGTATGTCTAGAGTTGTCTGGGAGCTAGGGCCTGGAATGTGGACCTCAGGACTCTGCCTGGTATCCTATTCTAATGTGGCTGAACTGGTATCCAAGTTGCAAGGCAAAGTCCTCTTTACTATCCCCTTTCCTATCTTCAAGAAGAGGTAAGAAGTCTCTCCTGGAGCTGCAAGCTGCACTGCTCAGGTTTGGAGGAGGGGTGACACAAACACTTCCTTGGCCACCCAAAATGCTGTCCTCTTAGGACATGTGCCCCACATGTCCAGTGGCTCTGAGCCCAGCACAGCACCAGGACATGCCAAAGGATTGCAGTCCTTGTGGCCTAGACTGGCTTTTAAGTTTGAGACTCCAGAGCATTTTAGCCCTTGGTGGTGAGGCTTGCTGGTACTCAGGTTCTGACCGCCGGAATAGGTGATTACCCTCTGGCTGGCACTGGTCTAAATGCTCCACTTATGGGCATTGGCTGAGTTCTGCCCAGTGTTACTTTCCACTGTGATGGGTAGAAATGAGTTCTGATTCAAAGTCCCACAGTCACTGCGCTCTCCCTCCTCTAAGTGCACAGATTCTCTCTCCATGCCATGTGGCCACTGCCAGGTGATGGGGAAGGAGTGGTGTAGGCAATTCAAGACTGTCTTTTCTACCTCAGTGCCTCTTTCTTTAATATGATGTTAAAATCAGGTGGTGTGATTGCTCACTTTATCTTCGGTTCTTCAAGGTGCTTTTTTGTGTGGATACCAATTTGCTTTTCCTGCAGGGGGTACGATCACTGAAGGTTTCAGCCATCCTGCTCTGCCTCCCTCCTATAACCTCTTAATTGGAGTCACAGCAATAGTACTTCAAAGCCCAAATAGTACTTCCCCAAATTTTTGCTTCCACCAGTCTGGCCTAAGACCTTATGTTTCTGAATTCAGTTGAGCCATTGAAGGAAACTACATGAAATGGACATTAACTCTATATTATAAATCAAGGTAACTAGTTAGCTTCAATATGCCAGCAATACCTTAAAGGACAGGCCACTGGACAGATATATTTTAATGGAAAAAGGAGAGACAGGACTGCTCTGAATAAAGTGACCCATCCAAAAAGCCTAGGCAGCCAGAGGACAACATGGGAGCACACAGTACCTGGAATAGGAAAGAAAGACTATGTGGTGGGATGTGGGGCAGTGATGAATATGAAGACCAGGAAGAAAAGTAGTCTAGGAGTTCAAACCATGACTGGCCAATTTTGCTTTGGGCTAGCTCTGATAGAAACCAACAAATTATACCTTATGTGGAACATATTAAAAGGAGTCTTTAAAGGCAAAACATTATTTGTAAATACCACAAAAAAGAGAACAGAAAAGACACACAAAAAAGATTTGGCTTTCTAATGTACTTCAGTATGATACCCAGAAATGAGGAACTGGTTTCCTAGAGAGCTAATGAGCTACTAAATGTAGGCTGCAAACTGCAAATGATGCCAATCAGGAATGTTAATGGAAAACTATGCTGTGTGCTGCTTTTCTTATTCTATCCCTGAGGTAAAAGTTTTTAAAATACACACACACAAACACATGTATGAAAATACTAAAGAATTTTGCAAGAAAACACTAAAACCTCTACTGTTGTAAATGAAAAATGGAATATTTCAGTTTTTATCTTAATTCTTTAAATGTTCTATGTTAGTCATAATTTGGTCAATAATTACTTCTAGTGAAGTAAAAAAGAAACAACTTTTCATTGATATTCATGTAAAGAAACACTTTTAGAACATTTTCAATAACACATTTCTAGGGTGTAATCTTTTCACTCTGCTTTTGCAATACATATGGAACCTTATTCTGAAATCAAATGTTTACAATGGATTAGGAGATGTTAAGAGAAATGGTAGTACTAATCACACTAATTCCAAGACTCTTTCCTACTTATCCATCGTGTCTAAATGTCTTTGAAATTGGAACTTTTCAAAGGAATGTATTTTTTCTTTTTAGTTTCAAACAGACATAACTTCTGTAAAGTTTGTCATAATCTAGTAAGCATGATTGCTGTTAGCAAAGTACACCTTCTAGAGCTGAGAGGATAGATAGGTTTCTTTCTATATGGCAATTTCAATTGTTTTGTGGTGGTTGCTTAGGCATTGCTAAGAATTTTAAGGCTGTTTCCAGGTGCCGCCAAAAGGAATCCCATAATTAATTTATCATGTCCATGGCCGAAGGAGAAGAGAAATAGTATCACAGGTGTCAAATATTTACCATCTCTTCTCTGGAGAGTAGTTTGATCCTCTTAAGTCTGATGATGAAAACTTGTGTAACTGCTGCTAGTGGAGAGTGGTAGTTTCTGATGGAGTAGTAGTGTCAACTATTTGGCTCTCCTCAGGTGTACATAAGTATGGGGTGTGGAAAATAAATCATTGGTCTCATAAAAAAAGATAACACATATTGCTATCTAAGTTTCATAATCCTTAAGGAAAAATATGACTAGAGCAAGATTAAAAGAAATAAAAAATCTGGGGATAAGGCAATTCACCAGTCTTGTTAAAGTTGGCTGCTTTGATATACTTCTTAGCTAAACCTTGATTTTGTTTGGACTTAAAGATGCTAATTTTTTAATTTTTAGTTTTTGTGGGAATGTAATAGTTGTATACTTATAGGGTACATGAGATGTTTTGACACAGACATGTGATGTAAAATAATCACATTATGGAGAACGGTATAGCCATCACCTCAAGCACTTATCCTTTGTGTTACAAACAATCCAATTACACTCATCATTATTTTTAAATGTATGATTAAGTTATTATTGACTATAGTCACCATTTTAGGCTATCAAATATGTCTTATTTATTCTTTCTATTTTTTGTACCCATCTTCTAATATTCTTCCAGGCTCTATAAAGAGGCCTCTGGGCCTACCTACTTCCATGACAGCAAAAGCTAGCAGTTTATAGCTTTTATGCTGACGTTCCACATCTACCATCTTCCACTGCAGATTATTAATTGAGAAACTTGTGTCTTGCCTGACTCCTCCCCTTGCCCTTAGATAATTATTTCTCATTATGGGGATTTTTAGTAAAATCTTAAACTGTTTTTCTTAATCTATCTTTTTTCCAGGTTGGGAACATGCCAAAAAGAGGAATTATACTGATTTTTTTTTTCTCAGGATTCTCAAGATCTTATAAATCTCACTCTCCAATGTGATTATGGTCACCCAGGAAACAAAATTACTGATATTGTTTACCCTCTACTCACTCCTCTCTAACTAACCCTGTCTCAAAACTTATTACTTTACTCTGCCTAGTGAATACCTCATATACAAAGAAAATATATTTTAACCTAACACTTTTTTCTTACAATATTTCTTCCTATAAATGCCAAATTATTCCCTAAAGAATTACCACTTGTATTTATTTTTAATACTTGAAATATCCATTTTAAGTACATTAACCATTTTAATGGTTAGTATTATTTTCTTTCCAACATAAATACAGCTAGCACTAAGAAATTGTGTCCTTGTCAATACAAACAGAAATTCATTACCTGCTTTTGTCCTCCCTGATGCCTCCCTTCTAAACCCTATGGTACTGTAGCCACCACAGCCTAGGTTGAAATGCATACCACTGCAATGCAATATAAAAATTGCCTGATGTTTCACTTCCTTCTCTGGAATGCCAAAATGTTTTATTTATAATTTTAGCATACGGGGTTGCTACGAAAAAATTATAAATGTTGAATTATATTGTAATTTATCCTAATGTAGTTACCACTCAATTAAGATTATGTAATTAAAAATTATTCTGATTGGATCCTAATATATTGGGAATCAATGTGTATTATACCTTGCCTATTCAAATAAGAGGCCTAATGTTCTTGGGTAAGTCTGCTTTGCTTAAGGTAGATTTCATGAGAGTCATTCTCAAATCCATACTGCTATTCTTGGCCTATTGTTGACAACTCCTCCACAACCTGATTGCTTCTGGTATGGGTTGCTTTCTAAGAGGCCATCCCTTTCCAATCAAAGCTAAAGGAGATTCTGAGGACATCTACATGGGTTCCAAGCAATTGGAGAAAGTCTTAAGCTATTCCTAAATAGCTAAAGAAAATATCCAGATTATTGGAGAAAGTTGAGCTTGTGTCCTAAAATATCTGAAAATCTGCCTCTTTCTATATGCTTATTTGTGTTTCTTAAAGAAAAAAAGGCAATTAACAAGTAGGCAGCATGTAGTAGATCTCAATGACAGTATGAAAAGTGTCATAAAGGTTACTAATAGCTATTAAAGTTGACATGCTTGCAAATTCTGCTGTTTAAAATGAACTAGTCACCTCAAGTTTATCCCTTCTTAATTGCATTGGGATATATGAGGGAAAAGCACAATTATGGCTAGAACCCAAGGAATTCTTCATTTCCTATGTCCATTGGAGGGTCATAAGTAGGACTATTATACGATCTGTGTGACATGATGCAAGAAAGTATGAATACTATTAATTGAAGGATGTAAGCCCTGACCTAAGAGTCACGAGTCCTAGGTTCAAATCCTATCTCCATTACTCATGAGTGATGTGTCATTTTACTTCTCCAGGCTTCAGTTTCTTAATCTATATTGTAAGAAGTTATGCAAGATTATTATTGGGAATTTTCTTTTTTAATTTTTTCAGTTGACCTCAGGTTCACAGAACTGGATTAGTGATAAGCTTTTGTTCAACACATGCTTATGAAGAATATTGGGTGAAACCTTCATAGGGTTTACTGGCTTACTGTTGACCTATGTTTTTGATTTGTTAAAATTCTGTCAAGAATATCTTTATCAAGATGAAATGAATCCATAATCCAGAAGTGAATCCATAATTCAGAAAATGGCATTTCTACATCATTGTGGCAGTAGTTTTAACTCATTTTTGAAAGTATGGCTGGGCACAATTTTTTCCAGGTGGAGAAACAAAACTTGTCGACAATCTTCATTTCTGACATTCAAAAACATTTTCTTTTGTAGAGCTACGTAGGTACAATCCCAGGATGCCGATGGGCATTCCTGGTTTAAAGTACTTAAAAACTTTGTGAAATAAACGTTCATACACAGTCTCCAATCGCTGTTCTTTCATTCTGTCTTGAATCTATTCCAGTTGGACTTTATCCCTCTGCTCTTGAAAAGGTTCCCATTGACCTATGCCTTGCTAAATCCACTGGTTAAGTGTTGTGGATCATCTTACTCAACCCATCTCTCTCCCATTCCAAGAAAAAAAAAAATTGCTTTTTAGTTCCAGCCACCACACTCTGCTATTTCACTAACTACTCATCTTCAATAATCTTTGCCAATATTTCCTTGTGGCAGAAATGGCTACAAGTTCATTAAATGCATTTTCTTTTACTTTGGCACACAGTTTGACTACATTTCTCAGTCTCCCTTGAAGTTCCCTGTATCAATCTAAATGAGATTTTAATGGAAAATTTGCACCATAAACCTGGCCCATAAAATACTCCCACTCATGATCCTCTAAATTTATCTCCCTTCTATCAGCCTGATTCCCTGTGATAAAGATGAATATTGTGTCTTTGGAAACCAGGTATTAAAAAGCGTGGAACCATGAGTTAGATACCTTGGGGGGAAAATGTCTCTCCATCAGTAGCAACCACTTTGAAATTTATGTAAGCAAAAATATAAACTTTAAAAGAGATAGTATTTGCTCCTTAGAGCAACTAGTGTTCACTTTTAACTAATGTGTGCTTTATTTTTCTCATCACTAAACGTTACAGTGCCTCAGGCATTAGTATATGCACCTCTTATAATATATATATGATATTTTTAAAGATATTTAGCATTTGCTTGTTATGGCAACTAGTGCTCATTTAACTAATGTGTACTTTATTTTTCTGACCCCTAAATGTTACAGTGCCTCAGGCATTAGTCCATGTACCTCTTATTGGATATATATTATATAATTATACTTACATGTACATAATTATATAATTATAATAAATGTAATTTGTATAATATAAATTATATTAGATATTGACTACATTTTTCAGTCCCCCTTGCATTTCACTGTAGCCATCTAAATGAATTTTGACCTAACTATATGACAATAATGTTGAAAAGCAATTTTCTGGATTGTAAAGAATATAATTGTATAATATATGTAAATAATATATTTATATATAGTTAACTTCATTATGGTTAATATTGTTAATATTATAGTTATAGTTATTTATATAGAGATGGTTAGACGTTCCTTAAACCCATTTTCCTTTAACTTGGTGCACAGTTTGACTACATTTCTCAAACTCCCTTGCAGTTCACTATATTCATCTAAATGAGTTTTTGTTAATGGAAAATGTGAATCATAACCCTGGCCCATAAAATACTCCCACTCATGATCCTCTAAAATATATTTCCCTTCTATCAACCTGATGCACTATGATGAAGATTAATATTGTGTTTTTGGAAGCCAGGTATAATTATCTATTATAATAAATATATATAATTATTATAAATAATTGTATTTCTTATAATTATATAATATATAATTATATAATATACAATAAGAGGTACATGGACTAATATATGTATATAAGAGGTGCATATATTATATGCATATGAGGTACATTAGTTCATATAATTATACTATATTAGTTGCACTAATATTGCACTAAAAATATAATCATATATATTTATATAATATATATTATATAGTTATAATATTATATAGTTATAATTATATATAATTATTCTATATTATATAATATATATGATAAGAGGTACATGGACTAATATATATATTCCTATAATATGTATTTCTCCTTTTATGACCTCATCCAGACTATACATTGAGGACCCACACATTTCTATCTCTAGCCTAGATTTGTCCCCTAGATTTACCTGACATCTCTATTTGAATTAAAAGTTAATTTTTCCAAAATTGAGTTCCTAGTCACCCTCCTAAATCCTGTTCCTCACACTATTTTTCCCATCTCAGCTATTGGCCACTGTATTCTTCAGTCACAAGGCCAAAACCTTTGGCCTTAATCTTGATTTATCTTCCTTAACATCCTCACGTCAAATTTGTCAGCAAATCCTGATGGCTTTACCTTCAAAATATATACAGAATTCAACCTCTCACCATCTCCATCACTACTACCTTAGTCCCAAAATCATCACTTTTCACCTGGATTACTGTGGTAGTCTTCTAACTGGTCTCATGACTTCCTCTCCTACATCTCTACAGTATATTTATCAGACAAGAGGGTGATACTCTCAATATGTAAATTATATATTACTCTTTTGCTTAGAAACCTCCATATTCTCTCATTCCACCAATATCAAAAGCCAAAGTTCTTACAACAGCCTATGAGGCTACTTAATCTGACCTCCAGTCTTTCTTTCTACTAGTCTCCTTGCTTGCTTTTTTATAACCACAATGACTTCCTCACTGTTCCCTGAACATACCAAGCCCACTCCTACTCCAAGGCCCTTTGTACTTGCTATTCTCATAGCCTAGAATTTTCTTTCCCAATATATCTGAATAATCTCCTCACTTTCTTCAGCTCTTCTGTCAAATGCAAACTTCTCAGGCCAATCCTTACCACTCTAAATAAAATTATAAACCCCACCGCCTGCTCCATGCACGTTCTCTATCTGCTGTCTGCTTTATTTTCTTCTGCATCACTTATCACCATTCTATTTAACACTTATTTATACATTCTATTTAACACTTATTTTATTTTTACATTCCACCAACTATTAATAGAATGTAAGCTCCACAAGAGCAGAACTCCTGTTCAGCACTTTACTGCCAGCAGCAAGTACAAGCACATAGCAGGTTCACAATAAATATGAGTTAAACAAATGCATTTTGCATCACTGCTATCTTCAGTATTGTAATCAGTATCAAGCAGAACTTCTTCCACTATCCACAGATCCATGACCAAATGTTAAGGCAAGAAGCCATCCCCTTTGGTGTCAACTGCCTGTGTTTCCATGGCAGCCTAGAATCCTCCAGCCACTTAGCAAGGTGGCTTAAAACAGCTATTTCCCACGCTATTGGAATTGACATCCATCACACAGCTGTGGTATTGTGCTACTCAGGCTGTGGCTCAGGGGTCTGTCCCTAGGTCCGTTGGACTGGCTGTATTTATCTCCACTAACTTCTATTCAATATCCCGATAGCCTACTTGAGCCTCTGTTACTACGATAAGGGCCAATAAATACCACCATCTTTCTGTCATGTGCAGGGGTTTTTTCTTCCTTCCTTAGCTACACCTGATTGGTTCTTACAGCAAAGTCTTGAGAGAGCGAGGAGACTCTCATTTTGTTACTTTGTTTGTTCTCATTTTCATGACCTCTATCCCTTTGTGCTGAAATGTGTAAGTCCATATCTACTTACAGTTTTCTCTTTGGAAATTGATCACTCTCTGTCTGCTTGTGGTCTACTTTCCCCTAAAACTGTAGACAATCAGCACATTTTATCACTTTCTTGAGTACTGTATTTTGAGTATAAAATAGTCTTAGTAAATGTTTTTATAAAACAGAGTAATTATATAATATTTAGATTATTCCATGTTTGAGTTCTATGTACATTTAGAAGTCATATTTTCCAACACTTTCATTTTCCAGATGGGGAAACTAAGTCCCAGAAAAATTTAAACAACTATAGCACGTGTAAAGTGCTTTTACTTAGCATTTGCAAGGTACCTTTCCAAATATTATGTTTCAATAACCCCATGGCGCAATAGCTATTAGTATCATTTTACATAGAAGGAAACTAGAAACCAGTGCTCTGAAAGGTTGAGTAACTTCCAAATCTCACATACAGCAGAGGTAGGACTCCTGATCCTGTGCTTTTTTCCATCACACCCTGCTGCTGCTTACACATGCCTCAGAAAAAAAGAGGAGTATTAAGCTCTTAAGTTCGTGGGATGTAACGAGGGAGAAAGAAGAATTGTGCAGGGAACAGGTTGACCCACAGTGAAATTGATTATTTCTCCTGAAGAGCAGCCTTACTTCTACATCTTTGTCATGGCTCTTCTGGCAGCTGGTGTGGTGCCGATAAGTTGCTGAGGGCATAGACACAGAGACTAGTTCAGACACAAAGCAGCATGGGTGAGTCCATTGGTCCTTAAAGGAGACCTTGTCCCTATGCAGTCTCAGCACTGCCAGTTGGCAGACACAAGTAATGGTCAAGGCCACGCCATGTAACATTTTGTGGATTAGCAAGAAATATTAGAGTAGCTTTCTATGCTATATGGGGTGTTTGCTCTCTGAATTCTGCAGTCAGAGTAATATACCATGTACCTTTTTAAAATTTTCTTTTTCTCAGATGTTTTATTATTATTTTTTTTTTGAGATGGAGTCTCACTCTGTAGCCCAGGTTGGAGCGCAGTGGCGCGATCTCCGCTCACTTCAAGCTCCGCCTCCAGCTGGGACTACAGGCGCCCGCCACCACGCCCGGCTAATTTTTTGTATTTTTAGTAGAGACGGGGTTTCACCGTGTTAGCCAAGATGGTCTCGATCGCCTAACCTCGTGATCCGCCCGCCTCAGCCTCCCAAAGTGCTGGGATTACAGGCGTGAGCCACCGCGCCCGGCCAGATGTTTTATTTTTAACACTAAGATGCAGCAAGTTTGAATTGTAAAGCGTACCTGTGAGTGTATATTATGTATTGCACTACAAGATGTTAAGTTCTGCAAAAACTTGAGTTCAGGTATCAAATCTTCCCAGCCAGCACACTGTGCTGCTCCTTATGGCAAAATACTCTCTCAGCATGTAGCCTCCAACAACTTGGTAAGAATACCTGAAGTGTTGTCAACAGTGGTTAAATTCTCTACAGATTTCTATTTAGCCAAATAGGTCTAATGCAATAAAACTCTCCCTTTTTCATCTTTTCTCACCTAGATTCTGGAAGTTCCAAATGTATTTAGAGATCACATCAAAGATGCCATTGTTGAGCTGTATTATATTATTTATTGAAGGTACACTATTTAAACTTTGCTATGAAATTCAAGCAATTATCTTACACAAATTTGTAAATCCTGCATTTTGCCTTTCCCAGCAGTATCTTTGGCTTATTAAGCGTTTTCATCTGTGAACAAATGTGTTCAACACATAGCATCTTATCAGAGGGTGTGGATAAAACAAAGAGATAGTACTTGAGTACTATCTCTGTCTTGTACTAAGCTGTTTCCTACTCAGTTGTGCCTTAGGAAGTTTATCTGGATAATGAGACTAATATACCCCCCGAAAAAAAATGTTTAACTGTGTCATAATAAACCAAATGTATATATTTTTATTCAATTAACTTTTTTTCTGTAAACTAAAAATGCAATAGGAAGAACCACAAAGATGAACTGACCGGTAATTCTTCCCTTCAGAAACAATGACCAGAATTAGATCTTAAGACAAAAATGTATCTTTCATGCTGCTGGCATATGCTTTTGGGGAATAGAAAAAGGCATGCCAAAGAAACCGGAAGACTTGGGTAACTGTCGTTGCAGAAAATTTTCAAGAAGGAAGCATATTCAGCTACTGATTTATACAAACAACTTTTCAACTGGTCTTCCTTCTCCTTTGTTCCATTCTCCACACTGGAGCAATCATTTAAGAAATGGAAATATGAAAAATGTAAACCACTGTGATTCCCTTGCTTAAATTTGTTCAGTGGATTCATATTGCACTTTGGATTAAGTAAAAATTTCTTGACATAACCTAAATAACCTTGAGTAATCTAAACCCTGATTAATTCTCCAGCCTCAGCCAACACACTCTTCTTTACAACACTCAATATCCCAATCGTAATGAATTAACTTCCACTTGCATATGATGTTGCTTCTGTTGGAATACTCTTCCTAATGAGCTTCCACCCCTCTTCACCCAGATACCCATCCTATTGTACCCTTTTCCTTGATAGCTCACCACCTTCATTCTTTATGTCTCAGCTTAGATGTTCATTTAGAAACTTTCCAGACTATGTTAGGTAGCCCTATAATATGGTCTCATGACAGTGTATAAATCCTATATCATAAATCATAGTGTTTTACAACTGCTTGATTTAAATTTTTAATCTGTTTTGCTAGACTGTGAGCACCTTAAGAGCAGGGACTGTCTTTCATTCACTATTGTAATCGGTTTAAAATGGTAGCTAAGAGTGTAGACATTGGAATGACTGCCTCAGTTCAAATCCTTATACCACCCCATTTACCCTGGGAAGGTTACTAGATCTTTTAGTGTCTTAGTTTCCTCATCCACAAAGTGGCCACACCTACATCAAAAGATTGTTGGGATGATTACATGAATTCATAAATGTAATATGTTTAAAACAATGCTAGGAACAGAGTTAAGTGTTCAATAAACATTAATTGCTACTTGTTTTTATCCACAATACCTAACACAATGCCTGACACACAGCACTTGCTCAGTAAATGCCTGATGAATAAATGAATTCATTAATGAGTAAATAAGAAATAAAATTAAGTAGGTCTTATTGCTAACCAGTAAGTTCTGTGAGAGTAAGAACACAACCTATCTCTCTTAAGATTGAATTATTAGTGCCTAACAGTTTCAGGCACTGTGTAGCTCCTTAATCCCTATGAGTTACCTAAATTCATGAGATGAAGAACTGTGACTTTGTGTGTAGGTTTATTATAGTTATGGAAAATCATATTCAAATTTCAACAAATAAATTTGCTAAATCAAACAGAAATGTAGAACCCAAATCTTTCCTTGTAAACCATTGTATTATGTATTTTATTATCATTGGATGAAGAGTTAGATTATAATTGATTCTCAGTGAAACTAGCCAGCAGTATGACTCACAATAAAATAAAAGGCAAAAAAGAAGAATAAATAAAAAAGACACTCTCACAAAATTCCCTTCTGCTTTTGAAAACATTAAAGGCGTTACTTCCAAAGTGCTACTTTCAAGTGAATACCCCCACTGATTAGCACAAGTTAGCACTGATGGAAAATGGCTTTGAAAATTGAATTTGAACTTCCCAGCTGAACCATTAGCACTCAGGGGAAGACTAAACAGAACTGCTCTTCCCTGCTCAGGCACGCATGAGAAAGAAAGATGCACAATCCTTGACACAGCCTAGCAGAAGACAAACAGGGTTTTGCATTCTAGTGCTACAACTTATTAACCTTTTAATCCTGAGGAAGTTACTTGACCTCTCTAAGACTCTGTGTTTTCACCATGTAAAATGGAAATGAGATCAACATTACACTACTGAATTGTTGTAAGCATTAAATAATATATATGTGGAGTGCATAACATGATACTTGGTACATGGCAGGCACTCAAGAAATAGTAGCTATTTTTGACATTATGGACTTTAACTGTTGACATCTTAATTTGTTGTCTGGATCATCGGAGTAGTACAGTAGTCATTCACCAAGTGTAGACGCTTAGCGCATTGGCTACATTTTTCAGGATAGCATTTCTCTTTAAGCAGCATAGAGAGGCTCTTATGTCATTATATTTGAGTAGGGCATTAGAGTCTTGCCTGTTCTACTTTCTAGTTCTGTGATCTTGGCCAAGTTACTTATAACCTCTTTGTACCTTAGTTTCCTATTTCATAAGGTGGAGATACTGACGGCATCTAGCTCATAGGGTTGCTTTGAGGTTAAATAAAATTGTTTACTGTAGTCCTTAACAGGAGACCCAGCACATTCTACAAACTTAAAAAAAAGTTAGAAATAATAATGACATAAAATACTCATATCTGGCACTTGAAATCTACTTTATATTCTTTTGGTATAACGCATTGGAGAGTCACATGAAATTATACAGTCATGAGAAGAGTATTCTGAGTATGAAAGAGTGCCTCCATCTATTAAGCACCTACTATATCTGAGGTACTCTTCTAGGTGCCTTACAGACATTACTTTAATCCTCACAGCAATGGAGTGTGGTAAACATAATTATCTTCATTTTTAGAACATATATCCCAACTTCAAATTATACTGCAAGGCTACAGTACTGGTATAAAATAGGCACATAGACCAATGGAAGAGAATAGAGATAGCAGAAATAAAGTCAAATACTTACAGTCAACTGATCTTCAACAAAGCATAGAAAAACATAAATTGGGGAAAGAACACCCTATTCAATAAATGGTACTGGGAAAACTAGCAAGCCACATGTAGAAGAATGAACCTGGATTCTCATCTCTCACCTTATACAAAAATCAACTCAAGATGGATCAAAGACTTAAATCTGAGATCTGAAACCATAAAATTTCTAGAAGATAACATCTGAAAAAATTCTTCTAGACGTTGGCTTAGGCAAAGAATTCATGACTAAGAACTCACAAGCAAATGCAACAACAACAACAAAATAAATGGGACCTAATCAAATTAAAAACTTTCTGCCCAGCAAAAGAAATAATCAGCAGAGTGAACAGAAAATCCACAGAGTAGGGGAAAATATTCACAAACTGCATCCAACAAACGACTAATATCCAGATCTACGAGGAACTCAAACAAATTAGCCAGAAAAGAAAACTGAATAATCCCATCCAAAATGGGCAAAGGACATGAATACAATCCTCAAAAGAAGATATGTAAACAGCCAACAAACATTTGAAAAAATACTCAACATCATTAATTATCATGGAAATGCAAATTAAAACCACAATGAGATACCACCTTATTGCTGCAAGAATAGCCATAATTTAAAACTCAGAAAATAACAGATGGTGTCATGGATGTGGTGAATAGGTAACACTTTCACACTGCTGGTGGGAATGTAAATTTGTTCAACCACTATGAAAAACAGTATGGAGACTCTTTAAAAAACTAAAAGTAGAACTACCATTCTACCTAGCAATCCTACTGCTAGGTATCTACAAAAAAGAAAATAAGTCATTATATGAAAAAGATACGGGCACCACACATGTTTTTTTAGCAGCACAATTTGCAATTGCAAAAATGTGGAACCAGACTAAATGCTCATCAACCAACAAGTGGAAACAGAAAGTATTGTATATATACACCATGGAATACTACTCAGCCATAAACTGGAATGAAATAATGGCCTTTGCAGCAACTTGGATGGAGCTAGAGGCCATTAGTCTAAGTGTTGTAACTCAGAAATGGAAAACCAAATATTGTATGTTCTTACTTATTTGTGGGAGCTAAGCTAGGAGGATGCAAAGACTTAAGAATGACATAATGGACTTTGGGGACTCAGGGGGAAGGGTGGGAGGTAGATGAGAAATGAAAGACTACATATTGGGTACAGTGTACACTGCTCAGGTGATACGTGCTCCAAATCTTAGAAATCACCACTAAAGAACATCCATGTAACCAAAACCACTTGTACCCCCAAAAACTATTGAAATAAAAATAAAAATAATTTTAAAACACATCAAATATTTTAAGAAAGAAATCCAAGACAACACAACTAAGAAATGCAGTAGGAAAAAGAATTGAGATCTGACCCTAGTTCTGTCTGAGGACAAAGCCTGTGTTCTTTTCACTATATCTTTAATCAAATATTGTGAATCTGTTAACCAGATTAGCTATCTGTCATTGATGAGAGAGAGGACTCCTAAAGATGAGACAGAGGACAAGAATGTTCAAGAAGGAAGGAGGAAAAAAACCCTCAAACTTGGCTTGGCCTTAGGCTAGTATTATCAAAGGCTCTAGTCTCTGGCACTTTCTCCAGCTGCCTCAAGGTATACAGGTTTTGCTTGTGGTTTTTGGCCCAGGTTTATATTAAATTTTCAGCCTATAAAAACTTATTCTAAATCTCAATATCTTAATTTTCTTAGATATTAATAATATGATATTATTATTATTTTAATTTCACTATGTGAAATTTCTGACTTTCTTTGCTCTGCTTGTTGTCCTAATTTATTTTCTTTTTAATTTATATAGACTTTCCTTTCACTTTTTCATTACATGGCACTTCCTGTTTTCCCCACATTGACCTGATTTACTCTCAATACTTGCATTGCTGCTGATAACTGCACATCTCTACCGCGTGGCATTAGGAGAAGAATAACAGCTTCATATGGGGGGCAGAGAGTACTATTTAAATGTAGCACGTGGGCAATATGCCTTTATTTTTGTTTTATTTTGTTTTTTTGTTTGCACTATTTCATCTGCTTTTCCATCAGCTCCCTTGCCACTGAGGAAGGTATTTTAATTACATTTTTTTTTGTACATTAGAATCCAAGGTCCACTTCTCCCTTCTTATATTCTAGATGACGAGGCAGATCTGTGTCATCATGGGGATAGCCAGACAGAAAATTGCAAAGTTATCCATACTAAATAGATATACAATGAACAAGGTGCCAAAGCAAGGAAGTGACTCAGAAATGTAGCATCAAGGAAACTGAAATATTTCTGAAAATTCTAGAGCCTGTGAAACTAAATGGCAGACTTGCTCAGGTACTTAGAAAGTAGCCTATCTGAGAATCTCTGAAAATGCACAGAGATATGAATATGATGTGCTGTTGTAAAGCCTTTTCCAGTGGAAAAGCTAACAAGATAGTAAAATTTTAAATCTTCTCAGTTGTAAGTCTTGCCACATAGTGGAATCTTCTCTCTCAAGCCACTTTTGAAGCCAACTTCAGTAGCTCCAAAGGCACTTCAACTTATGTTACAATTCAGGGGAAGAATGTAGAAAGTTCACATTATTCCCAAATATTCAAACTTCTCCTTCTTCCTTCACCCATGGATCCTACCAGGTTAAATGGTGTTAACAAGCAGAAGAACTAAAGAGACAAGATGAGGGAACTGCTTTCAAATCCTCAGGAAAGTAGGAGAGCAGATTGAACATTCAGAGTCCGGCGCACCTAGATACATAGCTATTTCAGATTATGGTAAGACTTGGGAAAAAAAAAAACAATTTAAAAAACAGAGTTATTAAGAGATGCAGTCAGCAATTCAGTTATTACATAATGCATCAGATTCTCTTAATAGCAGAATTGATCAAGCAGAAGAAAGAATTAGTGAGCTTGAAAAAAGGCCATTAGAAAATACACAGAGAAGGTCCCTCCCAAAAGAAAACAATGAAAAAGAATGAAGCACACCTACAAACTCTAGGAATAACCCAAAGAGGGCAAATTTAAGAGTTTTGGGCCATGAAGAGGAGGTAGAGAAAGAGATAGGGTTAGAAAGTTTACTGAAATGGATAATAGAACTTACCAAAACCAAGGGAAAGATATCAATATTCAAGAACAAGTAGGTTATTATAAAACACCAAACACATTTAACCCAAAAAACCCTACCTCAAGGCATTTAATAATCAAACTCCCAAAGGTCAAGAATACAGAAGGGACCCTAAAAGTAGCAATAGAAAAGAAACAAATGACATTCAATGGAGCGCCAATACACTGGCAGCAGACTTTTCAGAGAAATCTTACAAGCCAGAAGAGAGTGCATGACATATTTAAAGTACTTTTATCTTAGAATACTTTTATCTTAGAATACTATATCCAGTGAGAATATCCTTAAAACATGAAGGAGAATTAAAGACTTCTCCAGAAAAAAACAAAAGCTGAGGGGTTTCATAAACACCAAACCTCTCCTATAAGAAATGCTAAAGGGAGTTATTCAATCATAAAAAAAAGATTCTAATGAGGAATAAGTAATCACCTGAAGGCACAAAACTCACTGATAATAGTAAGTAAACAGAAAAAAACCCCAGAATATTATAACACTGCAATTGTGGTGTGTAAACTACTCTTCCCTTAAGTAGAAAGAGTAAAAGATGAACCAATCAAAAATAATACCTACAACAGCTTTTCAAGACATAGACAGTATAACAGGAAAAAAAAGTCAAAAAGTGGGGGATGGGCAAAGTTAAAGTATAGATATTTAGTAGGTTTTTTTTTTTTTGCTTGTTTGTTTCTTCATGCAATCAAAGTTAAGTTGATATCAGGTTGAAATAATAAATTATAAGGTATTATTTGAAAGCCTTGTGGTAACTCCAAACATAAAAAAAAGTATAACAGATACACAAAAAATAAAAAGCAAGAAATTGAGTCATACCACCAGGAAAAAAACAAATCACTTTCCTTACAAGAAAGACATGAAGGAAGAGGAAAAGAAAGAGAAGACCACAAAACAACCAGAAAATCAATTAAAAATTGGCAAGAATAAGTCTTTACTTTTCAATAACAACATTGAAAATAAATGGGACTAAACTCTCCAATCAAAAGAGATAGAGTGGCTGAATGGAAAGAAACAAGACCCATTGATCTGGTGTCTACAAGAAACACACTTCACCCATCAAGACACACACGGGCTAAAAATAAAGGGATGGAGAAACGTATTCCATGCCAATGGAAACCAAAAAAACAGCAGGAGTAGCTATACTTACATCAGTCTAAATATATTTTAAGACAAAAACTATAAAAAGAGACAAAGAAGGTCATTATGTAATGACAAAGAGATCAATTCAACAAGAGAATATAACAATTGCAAATACATATGCACCCAAGACTGTAGCACCCAGATATATAAAGCAAATATTATTAGACCTAAAGAGAGAGATAGACTCCAATGCAATAGCAGCTGGAGACTTCAACACTCAACTTTCAGCATTGGACAGATCTTCCAGACAGAAAAATCAACAGCACAACATCAGAATTAATCCAAACAATAAACCAAGTGGAACTAATAGATATTTATAGAACATTTCATCTAACAGCTGCAGAATACACATTCTTATTCTCAGAACATGGGTCATTCTTAATGATAGACTATATGTTAGGTCACAAAACAAGTCTTAAAACATTCAAGAAAATCGAAATAATATCAAGCATCATCACTGATCACAGTGGAAATCAATAATAGGAGGAATTTTGGAAACTATACAAACAGATGGAAATTAAACAATATGCTTCTGGATGACCAGTGGGTCAATGGGGAAATTAAGAAGGAATTGAAAAATTTCTTGAAACAAATTATAATAGAAACAAAACATGCCAAAACCTATGGGATACAGCAAAAGCATAACTCGGAGGGAAATTTATAAGTGCCTATATCAAAAAAGAGGACAAACTTCAAATAAATAACCTAACAATGCATATTAGAGAACTATCAAATCAAGACTAAACCAAAGCCTAAATTAGTGGAAGAAAATAATAAAGATCAAAGCAGAAATAAATGAAATCGAGATGAAGAATACAAAAGATCAACAAAATGAAAAGTTGTTTTTTAAGATAAACTAATTTGACAACTTTACCCAGACTAACTAAGAAAAAAGAGAGAAGCCCCAAATAAATCAAATCAGAGATTTTAAAAAAAGGAGACAATACAACTGATATCACAGAAATTCAAAAGATCATTAGTGGCTACTATGAGCAGCTAAATAAATTTGAGAAATGAATATATTTCTAGACACACAGAACTTACTAAGATTGAACCATGAAGAAGTCCAAAACCTGAACAGACCAATAACAAGTAACGAGATCAAACCCATAATAAAAAGTCTCCCATCACAGAAAAGCCCAGGATGAAATGGCTTCACTGCTGAATTCTACCAATCATTTAAAGAATAACTAACACGGAAGTGAGGAGTGCCTCTGCCCGGCCGCCCCATCTGGGATGTGAGGAGCGCCTCTGCCCAGCTGCCACCCCGTCTGGGAAGTGAGGAGCGCCTCTGCCCGGCCACCCTGTCTGGGAAGTGAGGAGCGCCTCTGCCTGGCCACTGTGCAATCTTCCAAGTGTGAAGTGACAGCCTTTCTGCAGGTGTACCCAGCAGCTCCGAAGAGACAGCGACCATCGAGAACGGGCCATGATGACGATGGCGGTTTTGTCGAAAAGAAAAGGGGGAAATGTGGGGAAAAGAAAGAGAGATCAGATTGTTACTGTGTCTGTGTAGAAAGAAGTAGACATAGGAGACTCCATTTTGTTCTGTAGTAAGAAAAATTCTTCTGCCTTGGGATGCTGTTAATCTATAACCTTACCCCCAACCCCATGCTCTCTGAAACATGTGCTGTGTCAACTCAGGGTTAAATGGATTAAGGGCGGTGCAAGATGTGCTTTGTTAAACAGATGCTTGAAGGCAGCATGCTGGTTAAGAGTCATCACCATTCCCTAATCTCAAGTACCCAGGGACACAAACACTGCGGAAGGCCGCAGGGACCTCTGCCTAGGAAAACAAGAGACCTTTTTTCACGTGTTTATCTGCTGACCTTCTCTCCACTATTATCCTGTGACCCTGCCACATCCCCTCTCCGAGCAACACCCAAGGATGATCAATAAATACTAAAAAAAAAAAAAAAAAAAAAAGAATAACCAACACCAATCCTACTTAAAATATTCCAAAAACGAAGGAGAAGGGAACACTTCCAAACTCATTCTACAAGGTCAGTGTTACCCTGATACCAAAACCAGACAAAGACACATCAAAATAAGAAAATTACAGGTCAATACTCCTGATTAATATTGATGCAAAAATCCTCAATAAAATAATAGCAAACAGAATTCAACAACGTATTAAAAAGCATTCACATAACCAAGTAGGATGTATTGCAGGAATGCAGTTATGTTTCACCATACACAAATCAATCAATGTGATACATCAAGTCAAAAGAATGGAGGTGAAAGACCATATAACAATTTCAATAGATGCTGCAAAAGCATTTAAAAAAATTCAACATCCCTTCATGACAAAAACTCACGAAAAAAAAAAAAAAACTGGGTATAGAAGGAACATATCACAACATAATAAAAGCCATAAAATGACAGACCAACAACTAGTAACATACTGAATATAGAAAGACTGAAGGCCTTTCCTCTAAGATCTGGAACAAGACAAGGATGCCCACTCAGCACTCTTATTCAACATAGTGCTGGAAGTCCAAGCTAGTGAAATCAGACAAGAGAAAGAAATAAAGAGTGTTCAAAATGGAAGGGAAGAAATTCAAATTATCCTTGTTTGCAAATGATATGATCTTATATTTCACAAAATCTAAAGACTGCACCAAAAATCTATTAAAACTGATAAGTATATTCCATAAGCTCACAGGATAGAAAATCAACATAGAAAAGTCAGTAGCATTTTTGTATGCCAACAGTGAAAAATTGGAAAAAGACATCAAGAATTTCATCCCATTTATAACAGCTAAAAATGAAACAAAATATCTAGGAATTAACCTAACCAAAGAAGTAAAATATTTCTCCAATGAAAACCATAAAATATTGATGAAAGACAATAAAGACACAGAAAAGGGAAAGATATTCTATATTCATGAATTGGAAGAATCAATATTGTTAAAATGTCTCTACTACACAAAGCAATCTACAGATTCCATGCAATCCCTGTCAAAATACCAATGACATTCTTTGCGGAAATAGAAGAAAAGTTCTAAAATTTATATGGAACCACAAAAGACCCAGAATAGGCAAAGCCATCCTAAGTGAGAAAAAAAAAACAAAACTGGAGGAATCACATTATTGGACTTCACATTATACAACAGAGCTATAGTAAACAAACAGCATGGTACTGTCACAAAAACAGACACATAGGACAATGGAACAGTACAGAGAATCCAGAAACAAATTCATACATCTACAGCGAACTATTTTCAACAAAGGTGCCAAGAACATGCATTGGAGAAAAGTCAGTCTCTTCACTAAATGGTGCTGGGAAAACTATATTGATACGCAGAAAAATGAAACTACACCCTTATTTCTTGTCGTGTACAAAAATCAAAATGGATTAAAGACTTAATTCTTATACCTCAAACTATGAAACTACTATAAGAAAACATTGGGGAAAGTCTTCAGACATTGGATTGGGCAAAGATTTCTTAAGTAATACTCCACAAGTACAGACAGCCAAAACAAAAATGGATAAATGGGATCACACCAAATTAAAAAGCTTCTTCACAGCAAAGGAAACAATCGACAAAGTAAAGAAACCACTCACAGAATGGGAGAAAGTATTTGCAAACTACTCATCTGAAAAGGGATTTATAGCCAGAATACATAAGGAACTCACCTCTATAGGAAAAAAAATTTAATAATCTGGTCAAAATTGGGCAAAAGATCTGAATAGACTTTACTCAAAAGAAAACATGGAAAAGGCAAACAGGCAAATGAAAAGGTTATCAACATCATTGATCATCAGAGAAAGCAAATCACAACTACAATTAAATGTTATCTCATCCCAGTTCAAATGGCTTTTATCCAAAAGTCAGGCAGTAGCAAATGCTGAAGAGGACGTAGAAAAAATGGAACACTTGTACACTCTTGCTGGGAATATAAATTAGTACAACCACTATAGAAAACAGTTTGGAGGATCCTCAAAAAACTAAAAATAGAGCTACCTTATGATCCATCAATTTCCCTCCTAGGTGTATACCCAAAAGGAAGGAAATTAGTATATCAAAGAGATACCTGCACTCCCATGTTTACTGCAGCACTATTTACAATAGACTAGATTTTCGGGCAACCTAAGTGTCCATCAGCAAATTAATGGATAAAGAAAATGTGGTACATATACACAATGAAGTACTATTCATCCATAAAAAGGTATGTGATCCTGTCATTTGCAAGAATGTGGATGGAACTTGACGTCATTATGTTAAGTGAAATAAGCTAGGCACAGAAAAGCAAATATCACATATTCTCATCTGTGCGAGCTAAAGACTAAAACAATTGAACTCATGAAGATAGAGAGTAGAAGGAGGGCTACCAGAGGCTAGGAAGGGTAGTAGGTGTTGTGGAGGAGGTAGGGATTGTTAACGGGTGCAAAAAAATAGAAAGAATGAATAAGAACTTATAGTTGATAGCACAACAATGTGACTATAGTCAATAATTTTATTGTACATTTAAAAATAACTAAAAGAGTATAATTGGATTGTTTATAACACAAAAGACAAATGCTTGAGGTGATGGATACCCATTTACTCTGATGTGATTATTATGCATTGTATGCCTGTATCAAAACATCTCATGCAACCCATAAATAAATACACTTATTATATATCCATAAAAATTCAAAATAAATTTTAAAAATAAAAAAATAACAAATGCAGTCATTGGACTCCTGTTTACATTTCTATCACCTACTCTACTGATGTGTTTGTTTCAATTTATTCCCCTTTTCCTTTATTACAGCCAGTCATGCTTATCAATTTTAAAAAGCATGGATTTTACTAACAAAGTGAATTACCCACTTCAATTTCCTCAGGAACATCCAACCTTAAAAAATATCTTCACAAAATAATGGGCCTCACGAAGGAA
Source organism: Homo sapiens (assembly GCF_000001405.40). Taxonomy (NCBI): domain Eukaryota; kingdom Metazoa; phylum Chordata; class Mammalia; order Primates; family Hominidae; genus Homo; species Homo sapiens. The sequence goes on from NC_000023.11 coordinate 122,659,057, forward strand.
TATGGTGTCTGAGTAAAGTTTTTATTTAAAAAGTTGTCCTATGCGCAAAAAAAAAAAAAAAACTATAAACAGGACTTTAACTGACCCTAAATTTGCTAATAGTAATCCCTTGTTCTTGTATACTAGTCAAGTTCATCTTTTAGCCAGAACAGCTTTTCAGTGAAAACCACTGGATTAAACACAATGAAACGGGTGTTTCTGGCTGACTCAGAAACCAACTGTTATCAAGAACATAACCAATCTCTTCCCCAGTACAGGTTGGAAACTTGACCATGTTTCCATATCCACACCCCTGAATTTTTCCTTTCTTTTCCACATGCCAGAGCCAAAACCATCTTCTTTAAACATTACATCCCTACTCTGAATCATGACGACAAGAAGAAAGGTTCCCATGGAGAGATCATGACCAATACCTTTTTGCCTCTGCCTGCAAGGAAGGCATCGTAGGTAGCAGGGCTGCTTCTGTAGTGTTTGTTTGTTTGTTTTAATTAAAGCACATTGTTAGTGTAGAAATACTGAAGGGTGACCTCTGTTTTCCTGTATTCCACATTAGCATCTCCATGCCCAACCAAATGGAATTCAGTGCAGTTTGTAGGCATGCAAAGATGTATCTATCATAATACATGATGAATGACAGCTTGAAAACCATCACAGAAATATGAGCAAACAGTTCAGTCTCTTCCACAGAGATTTTCCACATGCTTAAAGAAAATTAGTTCTGTGCATCTATACCCTTTATATGTTTTTCCTTTTAATTTACATTTTAAGCTATGTAAGTATGTGTTATTTTCCCTCCATGATCCCTTCCTTAATGCTCTTTTGCACTAGATGACAGAGTGCAACTGAGGTTGCCACTGTTATTGCAACGGACCCTGAGTTAGGAAAGTTAAATGGTGCTCTTCCATCTAGTCATGTCTAAGCCGATTTAAAGTTTACTGATACTACACTTCACAATAGATTATGTCATCTAAGCACAACTGCTCTGCGGTACTCAAACTCTTAATCAGCCTTCAAAATCCATTTCAAAAAATTCATTTAACGTTATTATCTTTGTGGCTTTTCTATAAATGTAAAAGTATTTCAAGATAGTTTAAAATCAAAACGAAAAAATGGACTTTGTTTTTGAATGCTGTTTAAATTGCATGGGAAAATACTTTTGTTTGTTGTGGCTAGACTAGAGTAGAAACAGAGGCTAGTAGCAAACCTGGGAAGTGACTGTGGTACATGGTAAAGAGATAGTGGCTAAGTTGGGCAGCAAAGTATAAGGTATCCATGTAAAAGATCACCAAGTATCAGGAGAACCAGAACCTTATGATTTGGGGCTCATAGAATGGGTTTGCCAGATGTCAGACAAAAGAAAAGAATCAGATGCAGTGGCAGATCCTATAGCTATTGATAAGCAGTCTATATGTTACTAGTATCAACATACGGCTTTGTATTAGTTTTCTATCACTGCTATAACAAATTACTACAAAAAGTGGCCTAAAATGGCAACTGTTTATTATCTGACAGTTCTCTAGCACATCAGGCCAGTTAGGTTTGTCTGGGTATTCTGCTTGGAGTTTTACAAGGCCAAAATCAAGGTGTTGGCCAATGGCTTTTCTGAAGGTTCTCAGGAAGAATCTGCTTCCAGGATCATTCAGGCTGTTGTCCAAATTCAGTTTCATGCAGCTACAGAACTGAGCTCTCATGTTCTTGCTGATTGTCAGCTGGGCATTGTTCTCAGCTTCTAGAGACCTCTTGCCTTCTTTGGCTCCTGGCTCCTTTCATCTTCAAATCCATCAACAATGCGGAAAACTTCTTATGCTTCAAATCTTTCTTTCCTTTTCTTTCTGCCTGCTTTTAAGGGCTTCTGTGATTTTGTTGTCCCATCCCACTCATCCCACAGATAATCCAAGATAATATTCCTATTTTAAAATAAACTGATTAGTAATGGAACCACGGCAAAGTCTGTTTTGTTATTTAAGGTAATATATAAGGTACATACACAGTCCTGGGAATTATTGAGGGGAATCTTTTTGGAGGCAACAATACTACCTACCAAATTCATCCTGAAGTTTATGTGCATCCTAAATGCATGTACTGTGCAGCCTCTGCCATCATTAACTGCCCTTCACTCTTGCTAACTTCCCATATACATGATTATCTTCATGAATTCAGAAGTAAAAGCGACCAATGGAATCCTGCTGAGCTCTACTTCCCATAATCCTACTACATTTGTGAGGCAAACATTAAACATCAATTAGGCATCAAATTGGTTTTAAGTTCCCAAATTATTTAAAGAGTTTAAGAAAGTCTTTAACTGTAAATGACTATGTCAAGGGCTTCTTACTTGACACAATTCTGAAAAACAGTTCTTGTTTGGGTGTGAAAAAGAACACTTTCAAATAAAAGCCTTTGTGGTGTTCCCCAAACCAGTCACATTAATAAGAGAGGGAACGGTCCTTGGGCTAAAACCCTAAGACATTAAAAGTTTGGGAAGGAGATCTACATTGCATAGCATTTCCCCTACACCTAGACACATGCAGCTGCCTTCTTTGCAGGAGAATTCAAAGCTCAGGAGCCCTGTCTGGAAGAGGACTAGTGATGTCACTAAAAGGTTCTTTGAAAATCCATTTGTCAAAAAGGAAACGACCAAAAAAGCTCTAATCTATCCCTTTTGAAATACCTCTGTAATTGATTTTTTTCCTCTGGTTTTTATGAACTGACTATAGAACATGATTACAAGGCTGGCCTACTGACAGAATAAAAAAAATTATGAATCACACACAAAACACCAGAAATCACAGCACTGTCTCCTCAGGGATGTTCCAAAGTACTAATCCTAACAATATCTGATCCAAGTAGCTCAGCCATACAATTTCAGCATTTTGAAGTGTAAATTGATTTGGTGAATCATTTAAATTTACTTTATCTGATTATTATTAACATTGCAATAAAGGGTTTAAGAGTATGAAAAATTAAAATTCCTTTAACTCTCTTTCAGAGCAGCGACGTGTTCATTTGCAAGGCTTTTTCTGTCAACAACTGCAATTGGCCTGTCCATGTGTATTTGGAAGAGCCCTTCACTTAATGAGTACTACGTAATGGGGTTTGTGGGAGAGGGGGCTTCATTACCATTGCAAATCATTCACTTGCAAGAAAACATTGTCTACTTCATTTGCACAGTTGTTTTGTTTTAAACGCCTACCCATTAATGCTGTGTATCTCAGCAGACATGTTTACTTAAGGAAACAGTAGTTCTCTTAGATTAAGGAGTGTTTTTGAGATTCATTGAAATATTTTTCCCTTTGTGTGTATGATTTTTAGTTATAATTCAGTCCCCTCCCTGTTGCTTTCTTAATCCTAAATTAAGATACAGCTGTTTGATGGGCTGTATGCCATTTTCCTCATAGTTAATATTTCCTCTCCCCCAACACTTTCTGAACCTTCACCTTTAAAGACAATGAATTTGCTATGCTTGTGTTATATAGAGATGGTGAATCTTAATTATACTTTCAGACTACAGTGTCTGTGTCTAGCTGTGCATTTGAATGTTTCTGATCAAGATGTATATGCTCCAGTATATTTATTTTTAATCCCAAATTACATCTTTCTCAAGCCAAGACCAAATGTGAAATCATCAACTTTTATTTACAGACACCTGTCAAGGGTTTGTTAATAACTCCATTCTTGTACCTTTCTTGATATAGTTCCCTGAGAATTTCTCTTTGCCTGCAATCTGGGGGAAGACATGAGCCTAAAAGATTTCTCACTGAAAGGTGGATGTGCGTTTTGTGCTTCCCAAAGCTTACTAAGTGAGGCTCTCCAGGCTTGGCAAGTGTGAGGCATTTCCATGTGCTTCTCTGGATTTTTTTTTTCTGGAGAATGTAGGAGTGGAAAGGTGTGACAACTTCTCTCACTCATCATAAGGGTCATGGCTGACTGATACTGCTACAACAAAAGACAGGTTAATTACGGAAAAGGAAAACAAATTTATTTAATCAAAGCTTCATGTGACATGGGAGACTTCAGAAATGAAGACCCAAAAACCTAGGGAAATACGCCCATTTTTATTCTTAGATTTGTTGAAGAATGGAGAGCCATACAGAAACGTGACTGGATAAAAGGGGTATAAGCTAATGGTAACAGACTGATGGAGGAAAACACAGAAAAGCCTGTCTGTTCATATTTTTCTTGGCCTCTCTGTATAGCATTCCTTCCTCCTGGGTATAGGAAAGGACCTCTCTGGAATGAGGATCTTATGCCCTACTGTGAGACAAGGTAAGGCCAAGAATTTATTTATGGTCAGCTCCCACACAGAAAGGCTGGGGAAGGTAAGAGTAATATTTCTAAGTTTGATGGCTTGCTTTGTGAGAGAGGGATTCTGTTTCTATGACCCACCTTAGGGAAGAGGAATTCTGGCTTCTGTGACTCACTTCAGAGGAGAAAGAGGGATGAAATATAGGAAGGCAGAGGGAAGGTCAGTGAGAACTTGCTGCTGAGGCCTTCCAATCTCCTTTAGTTCAAAGTACTTAGCATGCCTAAGCTCCATACTTTGGGGTATTATTTTCTGAGCCTCAATAAGAATCATAATATATTTGAAGAAAACTTCCCTATTTAAGGAGATTTAATTTGAGAACTAAGCCAGATGCTCTCCCTTAGGCTATTCACAAAGATTACCAGTAGAAGCAATACAACATGGATTTAAGACATCTTCTAATGTGACTTCAAGCTAATTAAAGAGGTAAAAAAAGAAAGGCCTACAACATAGCATCCAGTGGAAGGAGAATGCTTCAAACTCACCCACAGCATTAGCTCATTTATTTCCTATTCTTTTCTAAGAAGTCACCCACAGAGGCTAAGATATGCTTTTTTTCTCCATCCTGCATGTGATTTTGACTAAAGGGATTGTATTTTAGATAATTTGAAAATCCAAAGATTCAGTCCAAAGAGACAATTCAGCATTCTTCTCTTGAAGACTTACAAAAGATGGTAATTGGAACGTGTATGTTTTTATGAATGGTTCCACAGGGAGCAAAAAAATTTTTTAAAGGATGAGTTTCACACAGAATGACCAGTAAGCAAAGATGGTGGAAGTATTTATTATTATAAAGTGCATGACCTTAGAGGTTATCTGTTGCCAATGTTATCTACACTTTATATAAGACTACTGGGCCTAATTTGTGGACACATATAGAGTATTTATGAGGACTATTAAAAAACCTTTCTGCTAAAGCAACACCAGCTCAAGAGTTTTTAGTTACAAATGAGTGTTGTTATTTGATGAGAGGAGGAAAATGTTAGTTGGTTAATTGCTATTTCATGAGTACGGGCTTCGAAATACTGAAGAGTTAACTAAGCAATCCCAACAACCAAAGTTTACGTAAATACAGTAGTTATTACTCTGTTTACATTGACAAATCTCTTTTCCATATGAAAAAATTCATATTTCCATATGACCTGAATTTATCTTATAAGATTCCTTATAAAATCCAAATTAAACTTTATGAAATTATAGTCATATTATCAGAAAACATGTCAACGTTTAATATATTGAACTTCATTTTATTTGAAAATCTAAAATTCTGAATACACAAGAACGATATTAAAAATAATGCCTACATAGTCCAAAAATGTTGTAAAGTGTCTTGGGTGGGGGCTGATGGAGATGTGGAGGGTAATTTATTTTGAAATCCAACTACAGTTTTCTAATAGGTACTTAAAATTTAATTCAACATCTAATTTCTCTCCCCTCCAAAAAGTTTTCCTCCCTAGTCTTCTTCATCTAAGTAATTGGCATCATTGGGTCAAGCAAAATGTGGACTTTATTATGATCTTGCTCCTCCTCTCACAAAATCTCCACATGTAATCTATCATCAAGTCCTATTTACTCTGGCCCAGACTATAAATTGAATTTGACCACAAGTCTTGAGGTGTGTCATCCAGCCCAAGCTGCCATAATTCCTCACTTGGACTACTGGAACAATATCCTAACTGTTCTCTCCCCTTCTGGTTTGACTCTCTGTATTCTAATCTCTAAAGAGTAAAATTAATATTTTTAAAATGTAATTCACATAGCACTCTCCTCCTCAAAATATTCCAATGGCCTCTGATTGTCATTGTACGTACAATAAAATCAAACTGCATATCACTTCAAGCCCTATAGACCTACTTTCTGCCTTTTTTTTTTTTTTTTTTGAGACTGAGTCTCGCTCCATTGCCCAGACTGGAGTACAGTGGCGTGATCTCAACTCACTGCAACCTCCGTCTCCTGGGTTCAAGCGATTCTCTTGCCTCAGCCTCCCAGGTAGCTGGGATTACAGGCACCCACCACGATGCTTGGCTAATTTTTGTATTTTTAGTAGACATGGGGCTTCACCGTGATGGCCAGGCTGGTCTTGAACTCCTGAACTCAAGTGATCTGCCCGCCTCAGCCTCCCAAAGTGCTGGGATTACAGGTGTGAGCCACCACACCTGGCCTCTGCCTACCTCTTTAACCTCATTTTGTAACACTCTCCCCCTCATTTACTACACTGTAGCTACAACAGCCATCTTCGCATTTCTCAAACAGCCTTTGCATTTTTCCTTTCTTCTGCCTATAATCCTCTGCCTCATATTTTTACAAAGCCACTTCTTTGTTGCCATTCCAGTCCAAGCTCAAATGTCTCCTTCACAAATAAATCTACTCTGAACTCTCAATCTAAAGTAGCTCCTAATTCATTCTCATTTAATTCAATAACATATTTTTTCTTCATGTTTGAGAGCAAGGACATCATCTCTCTTACTAGCTACTGTATCCTGAAAGTCTAAAATACTTTGGTCACATAGTAGAAATTCAACAGATATTTGTTGATTAGTTACATATCTTTGCCTTAGTTGAACACCACTGTTCCTTATTTTGCTTATTTTTATTGGCATTGTTTTATTTTCTTTTGTTTTTTCAAGTCACACTAAGACAGTTAGACTCGTTTAAAAAAATATTTTTGTTTTCCTCTCTGGCCAAGATACCTGGACCTACTATATAATCTGAAATATGGAATGTGTAAATAATTGAGAAGAATGTTCATATATATATACATATACACATACACACACACAGAGACATTATGTATACTCCAAATGCAGCTGCTTAAAAAAAAAACTGTTTCAAAGATTTTCTCCTTTCATTGAGAACATGGTTTTGCTACCATAAAAATGGATGCCACATTGAGTTGGTGATTTTATGTCTATGTGGGGATCCATTCTATCCCAAACTCAATTGTCCCTGTTAGGCCTAAATTTTTTTTAGACTTCTGGGTTTTTCCCAAGATTAGGAGCTTTGACTAAAATTAATCATATTAATATGTGATGACAAATTACAAACACCAACATTAGATGAGTAACAACTTTTTGCAAACTTTGGATGGCTGGATAGCAGAATTATTTTACCCTAACTGTAGTCCAAGTTCGGCATTGTAACTATTGGTTTGACCTAATGAAAGTAGATTATCTTCATTGTAGCTCACTTTTTTTTTTAACTTTTTCCAACTAAATTTTATAAGTAAACATGAGATTTGAACCAAAGTTACCAACTGAAAGTTACCAGCTCATATTTTTACATTATGGAGGGGAAAACAGTGGTGTTGTAATCCACTCACTACCCCCTGCAATCATCTCATGCCAAATTAGGGTGACACACACATCAAGAACTTGGCATATATTACCTTTAATTTGAATATTGTAAGGACTGTTACTTGACATATGCTTATAAAATATCTAAAGTTAAAAATCATGACTAATGAGGGCTAGCATTGATGGAATGCAGAGAGAAAGTACTGCATTGGGAATGATTTGTATTTTAATCATGGGCTGGGCAAAGTTGCATTTCAGTTTCTTTCCATCAGTAGGACGTATGTGAACCTAACAAAAATAACCAGCTATGAGCTATCTTATAAAAAGATGCTACTAAAGAGGGCTTCCTGCCAGGTGTAACTTGCCTTCATCTGGGATGCTAGAGGTATCCTGCCTCATCATCTCCAGAAAAATGTAACTGTATTTCTCAAGCAGAAGAATCTCAGAGAAACCCACAAATATACCAAAGGAAAGAAAGAATTAGCATTTGGATACTGACCACGCCCAGGTACTCCAATGGTTTGAAGTCTGAAGGAAAAAAAAATGATTGTGATTGTAACAATTTTATCTGGAAACTTTAATGGAAGGAAAGATTTAATTGGAATTTAGAAAACTTGAGCAATCTCAAAAGTCATAAATGGATACTGCCTCCTACCTGTCTATCCCAGGCAATAAACCTCACCATGTCACCAGAGGTGACAGAGACAAAATGTTGGAGTGGAAAGCAAAATGGAGTAGTAGCCAGAGGACTGGCTCTGTAACCTTGGACAAATCACTTAGCATCTCTAAGCCTCAGGCTTTTCACCTGTAAAAATGAAGAGGGTGGATCAATGAAAGAGTCTTTTCATGTCTGAAATTATAAATGCCTATAAAATTAATAGGAGGTACATGTAACTTAATCTAAATGAAAGCAATTTCTAAATTTTAAGGCATTCTGTGAAATGCTGATTCTTTATTTCAAGTTTTATGGGAGATGTAAACTAAGCTTTTTATAAAGACAGCATTAACTGGTAAAAAGCTACAGTATTGAAGTCATTCACAACCAGCCTCTAGTTTTACAATCGCTAAGAAATGAGGAAGTCATTGCAGTAGCATTCACATGTATTTTGCATTGTGTCCCCTCAATGACCATCTGTCTCTTTTCCAGATGATCTGGTAGGAGGCATGATTTGAACTTGCATGGCATATCTGAGCAGTGACGGAGAGAATGTATGCCTTTGCATAGACTTTTTTTTTCATCCTTATCCTTTGTCATGTTTCCTTTTCATTGTCCTTTATGAGTTTCAGCATTGCTGCACTCCTACACAGTACAAAGCGGGAAATTGCAGGGAGCTTATGTTTGAAGCAGGTTCACTACATGTACACCCTTTTCTCTGCTTTTTTCTTCTCTGGGCAAGTGTTGGGAGCATGTAAATGGGAACATGCACTAATAAAAATTCTCACTACAGTTTGTTCTCTGTGACTGTGACACTGGCTCTACTCCCTTATGCACTGGAGTACATACTGGAAGTCAGAAACCAAAAGGAGAGAAAAAACGATAAAATGAAAGATCAAATATTAAGTGAAAAAATAGGATACAAACCAATGTTAACAGTATGAATCTAATCTTTAAATGAAGAAGACAATCTGTATATACATACATGATATTAAGAAATATATATTTAGTGTTTATCCTGTTTCCTGACGTGCAGCTCCTAAAATCCTTGGAATCTTCGGAGGGTGAGTGACTTTTGTTTGCTGAAGAGATGACTGGTGTCTGGGGGTCCACAGATAGCCTCAGGATGGGGGCTAGTAACCAGAAAGACCAAGACAGTCTTAGAGGATTAATTTCTAGCCCCACTTCCCAATCTTTAGGAAGGGAAGAGAGGCTAAAAGTTAAAATGATCACCAATAGCCAGTGGTATAATTAATCATACCTGCATAATAAAGCTTCTATAAAAACCCAAAAGGACAGGGTCTAGGGAGCTTCCTGATTGCTGAACATGTGGATGTTCCTGGAGGGTGCAGAGAAAGCATGGAAGTTCTTCACTTCTCACATGCCTTGCCCTGTGCATCTCTACCACCTGGCTGTTTATCTGTATCCTTTCTAATATCCTTTACAATAAACTGGTAGATGTAAATAATGTGTTTCTCTGAATTCTGTGAGCTGCTCTTGCAGATTAATCAAACTTGAGGAGGAGCTCTCAGCAGTCTTGGTCAGTCAGACGTATAGGTGACAACCTACTACTTGCACCTGGCATCTAAAGTGGGCAGAAGTCTTATGGGACTGAGCTCTCAACCTGTGGAATCTGACTGATGCTATCTCCAGGTAGCCTGTGTCCCAATTAAATTGAATTAGAGGAAACCTAGTTGGTGTCTGCTGTAGAATCCCTTTGCTGGTGGGGAGAATTCCATATACGTTTTGCTGACCCTGAAGCATTCCATGCTGTGTTGAATGACTATGCAGGAGAGAAAGGAAAACACACTGGATTTTTTCCCTATATCTCTAATAGTATTTTTAACAAACACTATAAGGAAATATACACTATGTCTGTGCTCATCTGCAATATTTACATGTTCCATAATGAAACTGTATTAATTTACCCTACAAAAACTGTAGATGTTTTCTTTTTCAATAAAGAACTCCCTTAAAATAAAATAAAAGTAAACCAATAAAATAATAAAGCAATAAAGAAGGATTTCCTTTAACAAAGGATAAAATGTTACCTTTGTAGAAGGAGGGAACTGGAAACATACGCACCCTTTGGAAAGGAAATGCAAACTAATAATATTACCTGCCACATATAGTTTTCTTACTGTGTGCTAGGATCTATCTGAAACCCTTTACGCATTAAGAAGGAAACAACCCACAATATTAATTTTGGCTATTATACCGTTTTACCATGCTTCTTCAACAATTCCTTTACCTTATTTGTCCCTCAGCTTCCCTTTCTGGAAAATGAGAATAAAAACAGTGTTCTCTGTTTTTCTCTCTCCACTACCTGCTGTATAGACATGCTATTGTGCTCATTAAGATTCTATAAAATACTTCAGAGACTCTGAAATGTATTTTAACATTTCAGGAATAAAAACTTTCAACATAGTATTACTACAGACTCTATAAAACATTAGCCATTCTTTTAGATTATACTTTCTTCCCCAAATAATCGTTTGATCTTTTTATTTAAATATTGTACTCTTCAAGTGAATTGAGCCAGATATATTGCATTCTCTTGATACAGTTATTCAAGTTCTATTCCATACTATAACTGAAAAATGGGCTATTTCCCAGTAGACAATAATAATAAAAATGGTCCATCCTCAAATAACAAGTGCATTCAGATACCAGACAATATTGGGTTTTAAGGGAAACCCAGTTGAGGCTTTTATGAATATAAAATTTCTGACTTCCTTATATTGAATGTAGTTATGGTTGTTTAAATGGCCACAGTAAACATTATTAACAACACACACACATACTATTGTTTCCTTGGCACTGGGTTAATACGTGTCACTCTCTAGGCTTAGAGGAAGACATTTAATAAGAAAAAGTGAACAACAGTAGCTTTATTCTTCTGAATGAGCAAGCTGTTTATTAGCAAGATTCAGGTTCAGTTGGAGCCCTAGTTTTCCGCTAGCAACTTGAATTTCTGTCACATTCTATGAATACATGAGATATTATTCATTCATTAAGGTGCAACTATAAAGTCACCTAACTAACTTTGTTAGTTTGACCCTCTCTAAATTATAAGGATTACATTTACTTCCTTTGGTGAACGGTTCTTGAGATGTAAATGAACTCTGACACCCATGTCTGGCTTTCTTTGTGAAAACAATGCAAGCTCAGCTACTTTTCCATTCTGCCCCAGTTCACATGGACACAAACTTCCTTGGGGTGGAGACTGGGATTCAGTGGAGCTATAAACCGAAAGGGCTCCTGGTTTAGGGTCAATATAATACCCTGCCAGCCAATCCAACCCAGGTGAATAGCATTCTGAACCTCCTTATTTTCTATCCAATAAGGGAGGATGCTCACGAAAGGATCCCCTCCCAATCACTCAGCAACACAAGGAGATGAGATGGCCAGGTGAATAAAGAAGGTTATCTTTGATTGAAGAAACCTACGTATACATGCTTGCCTCCTTCATCCCAACCCACCCTTCCTATAATGTTGCATGCCCTCACACTGTCCTTGACTGTCCACTGTAAGCCTCTTTCTGGGCATACCCTTCTCCTTTGGGCCTCTTTCCAGTCCTTACCTCACTCTATGTTCTAGATCATTCCTTCTCTTTTCTCTTCTGTTTTTTTTTTTTTTTTTTTTTTTTTTTTTGTCTCATGGAGATAATCTGATGGACAATGCCAGCTATCCCTTCACCTGGACTATCTCCAAGATGTATTTCTCTTTTCCAAGGGTCTTCCATTTCTCAGAGGAGTAATGCTAATTACAGTTGTTATAGATGTTTATGGTACACTAGCAAGCTTCAAAATCCACAACTCAGGAAGATACCTACTTGTTATATGCACAGAGTAAGTACTACTGGGGTCTCTTATTCATTTACTCTGAATCCCTGAATAGATCCTCTTCTTTTTGCAGGGTTTTGCCTTCTTCAATTGTAAAATGGTGTTCATAAGTTCCAACCCCAAGTTGAAAAGTAATTATCAGGGAAGAGCTGGAAATTATCAGAGAACATCTAGACTAGAATGGCAAATAGGTTTCATCCCAAGGGTCAGCTTTGTTTTATTGATACTGGAAGTCTGCTTTGTAAAGTTAAAAATAATTCTGAGGCCTTGTCTACGGTCAATAGTAAAGAATGTTATGATTGGTTAGTTCTCTCTACTACTGGTGTGAAACAGGATGTGGCAGCCTGTGTGTCAGTTACGTTTTGTGTTTTTTTTCTTTTCATTTTATACATAGATATCTCAATTAATGATCTTTCTCTCTACATGACAAGACACAAGCATGATTGGAGATTTGAACAATTTATTGCTTAGAGATGCTAGCACCAGACAAGGCATATGTTCTACTTCTGTCTTCCTAAAAAAATTGTGTTTCCAGGAACTTCAGAATTTATAGCAGTGTCCCCTTGTACGGCAAATGTTACTCCTAGGCAGTGTTGGAGATGGCTTGAAACAGTACCTAAAAGCCCTATTTATGTAACTGTCGCTACTAAAGTCACTTTTTTTTCCAATAAAGGTAGTAAATATAATAAAACATAGCTGTGTTCCATGAGCAACAGGACATGGGAAGTTCTCATTAGCCACCAGTGTTGACATTGGTGGTAGTATCAGATTAACTCCCATTATCTGTTAGGAGGCAAGGCTGGACCATTAATAGAATAGTATATTTTTTGAAGAATAAAATAAAATAGAAGGATTACAGTTTGGACAAGTCCAGGAAGTATAGATCCTGATGCATAAGAGCTGGGATGAGAATTCCAGGTACCAGAGACACTAAGCTACAAAATGGGAAAGTAAAAAACCCCAATGTCAAATGTTTTCACCTCCACAGGTTATTTGGAAACAACCCTCTATGTAGAGTGTGTGTGTGCGTGTGTGTGTGTGTGTGTGTGTGTGTGAGAGAGAGAGAGAGAGAGAGAGACATTTGGTTGAAAGGTAGGCAGTATTCAACCCTAACAGAGCTGCTCATCTAGATTATCCAGTATTAGCCACAACTTCTACCATACTTGGTTGGGTTTAGAATCAATCTGGTTCATAATATCTGGCAGCTGTGTATTTGGTGTACAGCCACAAGGGGTTAGGGATGCTTAAAAAGTCATAAGCATGTTAACAATGGTTAGAGGCAGTGCTGAGGAGATCAACGATCAAAAGGCAGATTTCTCCCGCCTTCATAGAAAACACAGTCAATTGCAGCTTCTGGGCTGCAATGTCTGAAGCTAGATAAGCCCAGATTCCTGTTTCTAGGGCAGTGATACCAAAGGCAGCAGCACTTACTCGTCCAGATGACTTTTCTCTTTCATTATATAATTAAACTGGAAACTTGCTCTTAAAGATTAAAATTATAATTTAGGTCTAGGCCTCATAGTGGAACAAATTTTTTCCTGCCCTACTTACCCTATACTAGGACACTAATTAAGAATCTAGGATTTAGAATTAGTCAGGCTTCAGTTTGGGGAGGATATGTGAGTTATTTTAATGTTTTTGTCTCAATTTCTTCATTTTTCCCTATGAACCTGGATATCTCCTGGTATGCTTCATCTTAGTAATTGCCACCATCATATAACTAACCAGTTGCTCAAATCAGAAATCTCGGGGTATGTACTAGCTCAGGATGCCATAACAAAATACCATGGACTGGATGGCTTAAACAACAGGAAATTTATTTCTCTCAGTTGTGACAGCTGGAAGTCTGAAATCAAGGTACTGGCAGCTTTGATTCTGCTAAGGCCTCTCTCCTTGACTTGCAGATGACCGCCTTCTCTCTGGGTCTGAAATGTGGCCATTTTCTTAGAGTATAAGAATTCCTAGCGTCGACATTGCAGCTCTCACTTGGCTAGACAGAGCAGTGTGCAGAGGCTTGCATCATGAATTTTAGTGCCAGAACGACTGCAAGAACAAATCAGGAATCCCAAGAGGACCCACAGACCCTCTGAAGGAAACGGATTGCTCCTGCAGGACCCAAGAGACACCCCAAATACTGTGCTGGTGTTCATGGCTGAGACACCCATAGATGGTTCACATCACAGGACACTGTGCAGACAACCCCAGTACCAACCTGGAGCCTGGTAGACTTGCTGGGTGGCTAGACCCAGAAGAGAGATAACAATCACTGCAGCTTGGCTCAGGAAGCCACATCCATAGGAAAAGGGGGAGAGTACTACATCAAGGGAACACCCCATGGGACAAAAGAATATGAACAACAGCCTTCAGCCCTAGACCTTCCCTCTGAAAGAGCCTACCCAAATGAGAAGGAACCAGAAAACCATCTGGCAATATAACAAAACAAGGCTCTTTAACACTCCTCAGAAAATCACAGTAGCTCACCAGCAATGGATCCATACCAAGAAGAAATCCCTAATTTACCTGAAAAAGAATTCAGGAGGTTAGTTATTAAGCTAATCAGGGATGCACTAGAGAAAGGCAAAGCATAATGCAAGGAAATCCAAAAAATGATACAATAACTGAGCATAAAGAAAAAACAACCAAAACTTCAGGAAACATTGGACACACTTATAGAAATGCAAAATGCTCTGGAAAGTCTCAGGAATAGAATTGAACAAGTAGAATAAAGAAATTCAGAGCTTGAAGACAAGATCTTCAAATTAACCCAATCCAACAAGGACAAGGAAAAAAAGAACAAGAAAATATGAACAAAGCCTCCAACAAGTCTGGGATCATGTTAAACCACCAAACCTAAGAATAATTGGTGTTCATGAGGAAGAAGAGTAATATAAAAGTTGGGAAAACATACTTGGGGAAGTAATCAAGGAAAACTTCCCTGGCCTTGCCAGAGACCTAGACATCCAAATATAAGAAGCACAAAGAACACCTGGGAAATTCATCCCAAAAACATCATCACCTAGGCACATTGTCATCACGTTATCCAAAGTTAAGATAAAGGAAATAATCTTAAGAGCTGTGAGACAAAACCACCAGGTAACCTATAAAGGAAAACCTACCCAGCAGATTAATGGCAGATTTCTCAGCAGAAACCCTACAAGCTGGAAGATATTGGGAGCCTAACTTCAGCCTCCTCAAATAAAACAATTATTAGCCAAGAATTTTGTATCCAGTGAAACTAAGCATCATATACGAAGGAAAGATAGAGACTTTTTCAGACAAACAAAAACGCTGAGAGAATTTGCCACTACCAATCCACCACTACAACAACTGCTAAAAGGAGCTCTAAATCTTAAAAAAAAATCCTGGAATCACCTCAGAACATAACCCCTTTAAAGCATAAATCACCCAGGACTTGTAATACAAAAATAAAATTTAAAAAGCAAAAACAAAAACAAAAAAACAAGGTACACAGGCAACAAATAACATGATGAATGGAATGGTACCCCACATCTCAATACTAACATTGAATGTAAATGACCTAAATTCTCCACATAAAAGATACAAAACTGCAGACTCGATGAGAACTCACCAACCAACTATCTGCTGCCTTCAGGAGACTCACCTAACACATAAGGACTCACATTAACTTAAAGAAGTGGAAAAAGGCATTTCATGCATGTGCAAACCAAAATTGAGCAGGGCTAGCTATTTTTATATCCGACAAAACAAACTTTAAAGCAACAGCAGTTAAAAGAGACAAAGAGGGACGGACGTTATACAGTGGTAAAAGGCCTTGTCCAATACAAAAATATCACAATCCTAAACATATATGCACCTAAGACTAGAGCTCCCAAATTTATGAAACTATTACTAATAGACCTAAGAAATGAGATAGACAGCAACATAATAATAGTGGGGAACTTCAATGCTCAACTGACAGCATGAGGCAGGTCACCAAGATAGAAAGTCAACAAAGAAACACTGGATTTAAATTAGACCTTGTTACAAATGGACTTAACAGATATATACAGAACATTTCATCCAACAACCACAGAATATACATTCTATTCATGGAAATTTCTCCAAGACAGATCATATGATATGCCACAAAATGAGTGTCAATAACTTTAAGATAATTGAAATTATTTCAGGCACTCTCTCGGACCACAGTGGAATAAAACTAGAAATAAACTCCAAAAGGAATCTTCAAAACCATGCAAATACATAGAAATTAAATAACCTGCTCCTGAATGATCACTGGGTCAAAAACAAAATCAAGATGGAAATTAAAAAATTATTTGAACTGAATGATGATAATGAAAAAACCTATCAAAACCTCTAGGATATAGCAAAGGCTGTGCTAAGAGGAAAGTTCATAGCCCTAAATGCCTACATCAAAAAGGCTATAAGAGCACAAACTGACATTTTAAGGTCACACCTCAAGGAACTAGATAAACAAGAACAAACCAAACCCAAACCCAGCAGAAGAAAGAAAATAACCAAGATCAGAGCAGAACTAAATGAAACTGAAACAAACAAACAAAAAACAAATAAATGAAACACAAAGCTAGTTCTTTAAAAAGTTAATAAAATTGATAGACCATTAGCAAGATTAACTCAGAAAAGAAGAGAGAAAATCCACATAACCTCATTAAGAAACGAAACAGGAGATATTACAATTGACACCACTGAAATACAAAAGGTCATTCAGCATTACTATGAACACCTTTACTCACAGAAACTAGAAAACCTACAAGAGATGGATAAACTCCTGGAAAAATATAACCCTCCTAGCTTAAATCAGGAAGAATTAGATATCCTAAACAGACCATTAACAAGCAGCGAGATTGAAATGGTAATTTTAAAACTGCCAACAAAAAAAGAGTCCAGGACCAGACAGATTCACAGCAGAATTCTACCAGACACTCAAGGAAGAATTGGTACCAAACATTTTGACACTATTCCATAAGACAGAGAAAGAGGGAACCCTCCCTCATTCATTCTATGAAGCCAGCATCCCCCTAATACCAAAACCAGAAAAGGATATAACCAAAAAAAGAAAACTACAGACCAATATTCCTAATGAATATAGATGCTAAAATCCTTAACAAAGTACTAGCTAACCAAATCCAACAACATATCAAAAAGATAATCCACCACGATCAAGTAAGTTTCACACCAGGGATGCAGGGATGGCTTAACATACACAAGTCAATAAATGTGATACACCTCATAAACAGAATTAAAGACAAAAATCACATGATCATCTCAATAGATGCAGAAAAAGCATTAGACAAAATCCAGCATCCGTTTAGGATTAAAACTCTCAACAAAATCAGCATACAAGGGACATACCTCAATGTAATAAAAGTCATCTATGACAAAATCACAGCCAACATAATACTGAATGGGGAAAAGTTGAAAGCATTCCCTCTGAAAACTGGAACAAGACAAGGATGCCCACTCTCACCACTCATCTTCAACATAGTACTGGAAGTCCTAGCCAGAGCAATCAGATAAGAGAAAGAAAGAAAGGGCATCCAAATCAGTAAAGAGGAAGTCAAACTGTCTCTGTTTGCTAATGATATGATCGTTTACCTTGAAAACCCTAAACACTCCTCCAGAAAGCTCCTAGAACTGAAGAAATAATTCAGCAAAGTTTCCAGATACAAGATTAATGTACACAAATCAGTAACTCCTCTGTATACCAACAGCGACCAAGTGGAGAAACAAATCAAGAACTCAACCCTTTTTATAATAGCTGCAAAATAATAAATAAATAAAATGCTTAGGAATATACCTAACCAAGGAGGCAAAAGACCTCTACAAGGAAAACTATAAAACACTGCTGAAAGAAATCATAGATGACACAAACAAATGGAAACACATCCCATGCTCATGGATGGGTAGAATCAATATTGTGAAAATGACCATAATGCCAAAAGCAGCCTGCAAATTCATTGTAATCCCCATCAAAATACCACCATTTTTCTTCACAGAATTAGAAAAAAAATTCTAAAATTCATATGGAACCAAATAAAAGCCCACATAGCCAAAGCAAGACTAAGCAAAAGGAACAAATTTGGAGGCATCACACTACCTGATTTCAAACTATACTATAAGGCCATAGTCACCAAAACAGCATGGTACTGATATAAAAACAGGCACATAGACCAATGGAACAGAATAGAGAACCCAGAAATAAACCCAAATACTTATAGCCAACTGATCGTCAACAAAGCAAACAAAAACATAAAGTAGGGAAAGGACATCTTTTTCAACAAATTATGCTGGGATAATTGGCTAGCCACATGTAGGAGAATAAAACTGGATCCTCATCTCTCACTTATAAAAAATCAATGCAAAATGGATTAAGGACTTAAATCTAAGACCTGAAACTATAAAAATTATCGAAGATAACATTGGAAGAACCCTTCTAGACACTGGGTTAGGCAAGGATTTCATGACCAAGAACCCAAAAGCAAATGCAATAAAAACAGAAATAAATAGCTGGGACTTAATTAAACTGAAGAGCTTTTGCACAGCAAAAGAAAGTCATCAGAGTAAACAGACAACCCATAGAGTGGGAGAAAATCTCCACAATCTATCCATCTGACAAAGGACCAATATCCAGAATCTACAACAAACTCAAATCAGTAAGAAAAAAAGAAACAATCCCATCAAAAAGTGTGCTAAGACATGAATAGATAATTCTCGAAAGAAGATACACAAATGGCCGACAAACATATTTAAAAATGTTCAACATCACTAATGATCAGGGAAATGCAAATCAAAACCACTGTGTAATACCACCTTACTCCTGCAAGAATGGCCATAATAAAAAAATCAAAAAAACAGTAGATGTTGGTGTGGATTTGGTGATCAGGGAACATTTCTCCACTGATGGTAGGACTGTAAACTAGTACAACTACTATGGAAAACAGTGTGGAGATTCCTTAGAGAACTAAATGTAGAACTGCCATTTGATCCAGCAATCCCCCTACCAGGTATCTACCCAGAGGAACACAAGTTGTTATACGAAAAAGATACATGCACATGCATGTTTATAGCAGCACAACACACAATTGAAAAATCGTGAAACCAAGCCAAATGCCCATCAATCAAGAAGTGGATAAAGAAACTGGTATATATATATTATGGAATACTACTCAGCCATAAAAAGGAATGAATTAACAGCATTTGCAGTGATCTGGATGAGATTGGAGACTCTTATTCCAAGTGAAGTAACACAGGAATGGAAAACCAAATATCATATATTCTCACTGATATGTGAGAACTAACCTGTGAGAATGCAAAGGCATAAAAATGATACAATGGATTATGGGGACTTGGGGGGAAGGTTGGAAGGGAAGTAAGGGATAAAGGGCTATGAATATGGGGCAGTGTATACTGCTCAGGTGATGGGTGCACCAAAATCTCACAAATCACCACTAAAGAACTTACTCATGTAACCAAATACCACCTGTACCCCAATAACCTATGGAAAATTTAAAAAAAAGAATTTCTAGTATCTCTTTTTCTTATAAGGATACCAGTTTTATTGGATTAGAACCCCACCCTTATGGCCTCATTTAATATTAATTACCTCCTTAAAGGCCTTATCTCAAAATACAGTCACATTGGGGGTGAAAGCTTCAGCCTATAAATTTGGGAGAGAGCACAATTCAGTCCATAGTTGGGTAATTATTAACACTCATCCTTCAAAGTTAATGTATGAACAAGAACTCTTTCTTCTTACGAACAAAATACCTCTTGAATCAAACAAATTCACTCCAAATCTACCACAGCTAGCTCATTTGAGCTGTCAGGATCCCCTATTGTCTGAATAAATACAATCATCTCCTAACTGGTCTCCTTTCATCCACTCTCTTCTTGCTGTCTAATAGTTTCTTCAATCAGCCAGAGTAATCACTTCAAAACACACATTTTAAAAGGTGGTCCTCCTTTTTAAAACAATTTATCTGCCTCTCATGGCTTAAATTTTTTAGCACACAGATCATATGAGCTAGCCCTTCCCTAACTCTCTAGCCTCTGTGTACATCATGCTCATGCTTATTCTTTTTGCTCCTGCCATACTGGCCTACTTTCAGAGTTTTCCAAAAGCAACACGCTCTCTTACGTCCAAGCTTTTGCACATGCTATTTGCCTATTCCCACTCACTCTCTAAGGGGAGTCTTCCTTGATCTTCACAACTAAGGCAATCCCCCTAATTAGACATTGTTGTAACCATTTTTTAAGACATCACAGTTGCAATTTTAATTTATTTATAAAATTATTTTATTATTGTTTGCTTTTTCCACAAGACTGTAAGCCCCTCTAAAGTATTCTGAGAGGATTGAATGAGATAATGAATGCAATATACTTTATTCAGAGCCTGGCACTTAGTAAGTGCTAAATTGATTTTGGCTTTTATTATTATAATTGGGGTGGGCCAATTCTTAGTCATTGCATATTTCATTGGCTGAGCTTAGTTTTCAACCCTAGATTCATCGCTTGGTTTTTATATTTTTTGAAATACTACAGTGTCTAGTTCACAGTTAGCTCTTGATAATTGTTTGCTAGTACTGTTATTATTATGCATTTTCTGATTCTCTTCTAGGTAGAGTTCTGTCTTTGCCACTTGCTAGCTCTGTGACCTTGGGAAATTGGCCTAAGTTCTGTAATGATCATCTAATGATGAGATGACTTCAACCAGCTGCTATCTAAATTAGCCAATTACAATTATTTGGAGAAAATGGGTACTACAATATTGTACTGGTTCATTTCACACTGCTATAAAGGACTGCCTAAGACTGGGTAGTTTATAAAGGAAAGAAATTTAATTGACTCCCAGTTCCATATGGCTGGGGAGGCCTCAGGAAACTTACAATCATGGCAGAAAGGGAAGCAAACATGTCCTTCTTTCATGTGATGGCAGGAAGAAGTGCCCAGGAAAAGGGGGAAAAGCCCCTTATAAAACCACCAGATCTCATGAGAACTCATTCACTATCAGGAGAATGGCAGCATGGGGGTAACTACCCACATGATTCAATTACCTCCCACCCATCCCTCCCCCGACCATGGGAATTATGGGAACTACAATTCAAGATGAGATTTGGGTGGGGACATGGCCAAATGGAATCAGATATATTATTTTTCTTCCATCATAGTATAAGCAGAAGATTCATTATTTCCTTATTTGTAATTCTGGAAATCAAAATGTGTCTTAAAAATATATTTTATTTTTAGCTCCCACAAATAATAAGAACATGTGATGTTTGTCTTTCTGTGCCTGGCTTATTTCACTTAACATAATGATCTCCAGTTTCATCCATGTTGTTGCAAATGATTGAATCTCATTTTAAAGAATGTAATTGGATTGTTTGTAACTCCATGGATAGATGCTTGTGGGAGGGATACCCCATTCTCCATGACATGCTTATTTCGCATTGCATGCCCGTATCAAAACATCTAATGTACCCCATAAATATATATACAGCTACTATATACCCACAAAAATGTAAATAGTAATAATAATAAAAGAAAGAGAAAAAATATATTTTATATTCAAATAAACCCAACTATTGCCTTCACTACAAGAGAGCTGATTTCAGATTCACTTTGGGAGTCAACATAATTCTATTCTCTTCAAGTGCCAGGAGACTATTCATTAACATACATGTCCTCCAGTGATGTGGCTAGAAGGAGTGCTAACATGAGCTGCTTATTCCCTGGTGGGAGTACTCAGGCCTAAATGCATTCACCTCCATTCCCAGCTTGCCTTTGTCTTTTCTTTGGTTGACAGCTGGGCCTTCAACACTGACTGCAGATGGAGATGCTTTAAGATAAGAATATACAAAAAAATCCAAATTTCAAAAACATCAATTTGGGAGTGAATATTCTCATTACTGGATTCTGTCTTGACAAAATGATTAACCATAGGATTAATTTAAACAGTGATCTCTCCCAGTGAATTGAAGTATTCATTCACACATCATTAACTGAAAGGGAGGACTTGGAGAAAAGGATAGCCAGCTGAGAGGCAAGAGCAAAATCACTTCAGTTGCAGCATTAGGAACCATGTTATGACAAAACAATTGTAAATAAAAAGTAAGCAACTCTGAAATTAACTTATTTATTAACTCTAAAGTTAATTTATTATTGAAGAAAATAATATTTTTTATACATGTAGTGCAACCTATGTGTATAGTGTTTATAAAGTCTGCAGTAATGTACAGTAATGTCCTAGTCGTCCACATTCACTCACTGCTCACTCATTGATTCACCCAGAGAAACTTCCTGTCCTGCCAGCTCCATTCATAGCACGTGTCTTATACAGGTTTACTACTTTTTATCTTTATATATATATATTGTTGAGACAGGGTCTCACTCTGTTACCCAGCTTCCCAAGTATCTAGGACTACAAGCATGTGACACCACGCCTGGCTAATGTTTTAATTTGTGTGTGTGTGTTTAGAGATGGGAGTCTTTCTATCTTGCCCAGGCTGCTCTTCCACTCTTGGCCTCAAGCAGTCCTTGTGCCTCAGTCTCCCAAAATGCTGGGATTACAGGCCTGAGCCACTGCGCCTGGCCTTATACCATCTTTTTACAGTACTTTTTCCATGTTTAGATATGTTTTGATACACAATTTTAGAAATGCCTCCAGTATTTAGTAAAATCACATGCTATACAGCTTTGTAGCCTAGGAGCCATAGGCTACAACATGTAGCCTAGGTGTGCAGTAGACAATACCATCTATGTTTGTGCAATAAACTCTATGATGTTCCCATGACAATGAAATTTCTTAGAATGTATATCCATTGTTAAATGATGCATTACTATGAGTATTGTTAATATCAAATACTAGCTTTCTGAATATGGCCAGAGGCACTCCACAAGTTAAATGCAATATGTCTATGTAAAACATCTCCAATACAAAAAATATAAATTTCAAAACATCAATTTGGGAGTGATTATTCTCATTATTGGATTCTGTCTTGACAAAATGTTTAACCATAGGATTACTTGAAACAGTGATCTCTCCCAGTAAATTAAACTGTTCATTCACACACCATTCACTGAAAGGGAGGACTTGGCGAAGAGGACAGCCAGCTGAAGGCAAGAGCAAATCACTTAAGTTGCAGCTTTAGGAACTATGTCATAACAAAACAATTGTAAACAAAAAGTAAGCAACTCTGAAATGAGAAGGACATTATCACAGTATAATATTTTTAGAGAATGACATTGTCACAGTATAATATTTTTTTCTTCCATGAAAAAGTCAATTAGTAAAACAAGAGCAAAGTGAAAGGTAGTGAAAAAAATATATTCATACTGTCAAACAATGGAACATAAGATATTATGCAGAAGGTCTGTAGAGGAATGGGAAATGATTTATCCATTGGAAAAGAAGATTTAATGATATGAAATGTATGAACAATAGGCAAAACAGAGCAGGCAATAAAGTAGTATGCACAGTAGTGATCTATCCCACATATATATATATATATATGTGTGTGTGTGTGTATATATATATATATGTATGTGTGTATATATATGTGTGTGTATATATATATATACATACACACACACACACACACACATTTTGTTTAATTTGAAAAAGAGGCACACTAAATCATTAATATATCTGGGTGGTTGGATTGTAACTTTATTTTTTAGTCTTTATTTTTAAAAATTTTCTGCACAAGGAAACCATCTGTTTAATTGTTTCATTTCTGTATCACCTTAAGTGTCTGCCAATTTCTCATTAGGGGTGGAAAAGATAAAATAATAAACATTTATTAGATGCATCCTATGTATCCAGCAAATATACAAATATATCATATATTACTCACACATACATAATACATACATAGACACATGTCTATGTATAATAATACATACAGACACATTATATTACTCAGACACATACATATTACTCATACTCATACTCATAGACACATACACATTATATTACTCATAGACACATACATATATTACACACATATAATACATACATAGACACATGTCTATGTATAATACATACAGACACATTATATTACTCATAGACATACATATTACTCATACTCATACTCATAGACACATACACATTATATTACTCATAGACACATACATATATTACACATATATAATACATACATAGACACATATGATAATACACGGACAATATAATAATACATACATAGACACATACATACACACACACATATAGGTATGAACTACATCTTTCTTGACATGAGTAAAATAAAACATTGTTTCTTAGTCTTTACTCAGTGAATGTTTGACTGTTTGAATTAATATGACCAAGATAGCCTGTTGTCATTGCCAATTTGAAATATTTGTTAAAATATAAATTCATTTAACCCAACAAATGATCTGATATTGTAACACAAAAAACTGTCTTTTTAACTAAATTGGTAATAATAAATCCAGTCAAACAGGCGAACATTCAGCCTGTCAACCAGCAAATTAAAAATATCCAGATCTATCACATAGCTTGCACTACACAGATCTAAACCTACCACCTAGAACATCGTGTCTCTGAAATAGAGTTTCCACAATAAAAGCCCATCCTTGAATTATTCCAACATCCAGCCACTGTAACTACTGAGTATCTGTTAATCCATACTACTCTGCTCTGGGGCAAAACTAAGCAAAATACAGGTTTCTTGCACTCGCGGAGCCTGCATGCCAACAACACTTTACTTTTAGAATTTACTGTTATTTGTGAAAAATAGTTTATGTTGCCCCTTCTCTTCATTTGATGCCCTTCTCCCCCCCTTTTCTTCTTGTTTCATATTTCTTTCTTCTTTCTTTAACTCTTTTTATTTTATTATTATTATACTTTAAGTTTTAGGGTACATGTGCACAATGTGCAGGTTAGTTACATATGTATACATGTGCCATGCTGGTGTGCTGCACCCATTAACTCGTCATTTACATTAGGTATATCTCCTAATGCTATCCCTCCCCCCTCCCCTCACCCCACAACAGTCCCCAGAGTGTGATGTTCCCCTTCCTGTGTTCATGTGTTCTCATTGTTCAATTCCCACCTATGAGTGAGAACATGCGGTGTTTGGTTTTTTGTCCTTGTAATAGTTTACTGAGAATGATGATTTCCAATTTCATCCATGTCCCTACAAAGGACATGAACTCATCATTTTTTATGGCTGCATAGCATTCCATGGTGTATATGTGCCACATTTTCTTAATCCAGTCTATCATTGTTGGACATTTGGGTTGGTTCCAAGTCTTGCTATTGTGAATAGTGCCGCAATAAACATATGTGTGCATGTGTCTTTATAGCAGCATGATTTATAGTCCTTTGGGTATATACCCAGTAATGGCCCTTCCCCCTTTTCATACGCTTAGCTAACACCATAGCACTTAAATATGCCTTTATGGGATGCACGAATTTATGCAATTCTCATTCTTCGAAGCCTTCATTGGTGCTTCCCTGCCTTAAAGAAAAATCTGAATGCCCCTCAGTATGACATACGAGGCCCTTCATATATGCCCTTTACCTGTGACTCAAGGCTTATGTGCTCTTCACCCAGCCTTAAATTTCTTACAGCTTCCCAAATATGCCTCATCATTTTTGTTTGAGTTTTCCTCTTCTTCGTAAGCTATATGTAACCATAATTTCCTAACTCCTTCCTTTTCAATTATGAAAAAATAAAAACAGATTATAGAGAATAATGTAGTAAATGCCTATGAATATAAAGTCTGAAATTTTTTTCAAAAAACAGATACTTTATGCTTAAATTATTTTGTATTGTTCCTTTCTCACTAGCAATCACTTGTATAAATTCCAAGTGTATTTTTATCCAAGTTTTTACACATGTATTATGTGGATTTACGTCCATAAAACTAGTTTTAGAATAATGTTGTGTGATTAAAAATGCATACGAGTGTAACTTGCAACTTTTTTCTGCTCAATAAGATTTTATTTCAATTTCTAAGATAATTAGATATAATTCATTGAGACTCCATGATTCATCTAATCCCCTAGTGATGGATATTTTAGATTATTTCCCATTTCTGCTACAATGCTATATTAAGCATCCTTGTACACATTTTCTTATATAGATTTGTAAAAGATTTTCTAGGAAATCCAGAAGTTAAATGTATATTTTCATTTTTACCCCAATTTAAGTTTATTCCATTTGTTTCCCATTAAATGGTAACAATTTATATTTTCACCACTATGTTTAAGTGTTCATCTTTTCCCTCACCTTCTTCTGCATTTGATATTGCAGTCAGATATTTTAATTTTCAAATAACAACAATATGAATGTATCAAAATTTATTTCTTCACATGTTGATGAGCATTTGGTAAGTCCTAGTTTTTGCCTCTTATAGATTCAGCTGCTATGAAGATTCAAGAGCAAGTCTTTGCATGGGCATGTTTTCATTTCTCTTCAATAAATACCTAGGAGTAACACTGCTGTGTCAATCCCATGTCCAGAAATATGGAGAAGATGTATTTTTTTCCATTTCTTCCTTTACGTACAACTAAAATTTCTGGACATTATGTATAAAACAAACATAAGAAGTTTACAAAAGGTGGAGAGAAGAGGATGGGCCAGCTAGATATCTTGGAGCATAAGGAATAACATGGTGGTGAATACTCTTTTTACTTTATATATCCTGAGCTGAAGACCTGGTAATATGTTAACAGCAACAAACACAAGTAAAAAACCACCCTCCTGCCATCAAAAGTCTGCTCTCTCTAGCCAAAGGCCCAGAAAAGGAGCAACCTAAATGGAAAGCTTTTAGACAATAACTATTCCAGCCAAACACCACAGAGGAAACATGAACTCATTGGTAGTCATGGCCCTACCACTACCAGCATCAGAAAAATTTGACTGGGAAGCCTAGATTTCCATTCTTGCTAGGATGTAACAAGATGCTACAAAATGCCTGGTAAGGTAGCAGAGGGAGTCCATACTGTTATCCCCATCACTGGTAATGAACCTACCTCATGGTGTCAGCGGAAACCAAGTTGAGAGTTTAAACTTCTACCCGCACTGTGCAGTAATCAAGTAGCCCTCTCTCCCTCACAGAGGTGGTGTCAGGAGAGACCTAGTAAAAAGTCTAAAATTTCACCATTGCCCAGCTTTAACAAGGTTACTCATGCACCACCATGTCAGTGGAGATCGTGTAGAAAGCTGGAATGCCCATCCCTGCTCAGAAGTAATGAGGAGTCCCTCTCCTTGAGTGTCACCACAAACCAAGTAGGGAACCTGGACTTCTACCAGCACCGTACAGTAACAACGTAGTGTCCACTTCTATCACGCAGGAGTGTTGTTAGAAAAAAAACAATAAAACCAACTAAACACAATTTAAATATCACTGGCGTTTCAAAACATAATGCCCAAAGTATCTAGATTTTAATTAAAAATCACCCATAATATCAAGAATCAGGACTATTGAGATGAATGAAAAAGATAATTAACATACATCAACACTGAGATAACAGAAATGTTAGATTCATTTGATGATAACTTTAAAGTAACCCTAATAAAAATGCTTTATTGGGCAATTAAAAAATATGTGTAAAACAAAGAAAAAGTAAAGTGTCAGCAACGAAAGAGAAAATATCAGTAAAAAAAATGCAAAAAAGAAACAAATAGAAATTTTAGACCTGAAAAATGCAACAACTAAAATAGAAAACATCAGTATATGGGCTCAACAGAAAAATGGAGGGGACAGGCCTGGAGCGGTGGATCATGCTTGTAATCCTAGCACTTTGGGAGGCTGAGGCAGGTGGATCATGGGGTCAAGAGATCAACACCATCCTGGCCAACATGGTGAAACCTCGTCTCTACTAAAAATACAAAAATTAGCCGGGCGTGGTGGCATGTGCCTGTAATCCCAGCTACTCTGGAGGCTGAGGCAGGAGAATCACTTGAACCTGAGAGGCAGAGGTTGCAGTGAGCTGAGATTGTGCCACTGCACTCCAGCCTGGCGACAGAGTGAGACTCTGTCTCAAAAAATAAAAAAAAATAAAAGGAGGGGACAAAGGAAAGAATAAAAGAAATGGTAGCTAGAACAATAGCTATCCATCTGAACAACAGATATAAAGTAGACTGAAAAGTAAACAGAGCCTCAGGCACCTATGAACGTAAAAAGAAAGAGCTAGCATTTGTGTTATCATAGACTTGTAAGGCAAGGGGAAAGAGGATGAGACTTAAAGTATTCGAAAACAATAATGGCTGAAAACTTGACAAATTTGGTAAGAGACATAAACTCACAAATTTAAGAAGCTAAGCCAACAACAATCAGGATAAACAAATAAACAAAAATACATGACAAGACAGATCATATTAATCTTCTGAAAACAAAGGCAAAGAAAACATCTGAAAAGCAACCAGAGAAAAGTATACCTTAACTATAAGAAATCAATAATACAAATGGCACCAGATTTTTTATCAGAGACAATGGATGCAACCAGGGATGCAAGGCTGGTTCGATTTTCAAAAATCAATCAACCTACGAACTCTCAGCTAGAGCAATCAAACAAGAGAAAGAAATAAAGGGCATCCAAATTGGAAAACCAGAAGTAAAACTAACTCTGTTGGCTGATGATATAATCTTATACTTAGAAAACCCTAAAGATTATTCAAAAAGACTCCTAGATTTGATGAATTCAGTAAAGTCTCAGATCACAAATCAATGTATGCCAATCAGTAGCACCACTATACATCAACAATGACCAAGTTGAGAATCAAATTAAAGAACTCAATCCCTTTTACAATAGCTGCAAAAAATAATAAAATACCTAGGGATATAATTAACCAGGAAGGTGAAAATTCTCCAGAAGGAGAACTACGAAACACTACTGAAAGAAATCAGATGACACAAACAAATGAAAATACATCTTATGTTCACGGATTGGAAGAATCAATATCATGAAAATGGCCATACTGCCAAATAAATCTACAGATTCAATACAATTCGTATCAAAATATTAGCATCATTTTTCACAGAATTAGAAAAAAAAATCCTAAAATTCATATGGAATCAAAAAAGAGCTCAAATAGCCAAAGCAAACTTAAGCAAAAAAGAACAAATCTGGAGGCATCACATTATCCAACTTCAAATTATACTGCAAGGCTATAGTAACTAAAACCACATGGTACTGGTATAAAAGTAGATAGATAGACCAAGGAAACAGAATGAGAACCCAGAAACAACACCACATACCTATAGCCAACTGATCTTTCAAAAGTTGACAAAAATATACACTGGGGAAAGGACACCCTATTCAATAAATGGTGCTGGTTAAACTGGATAGCCACACAAAGAAGAATTAAACTGGATCCTTATCTCTCACCTTATACAAAAGTCAATGGAAATGGATTAAAGACAGAAATCTAAGATCTGAAGCCATACAATTTCTAGGAAATAACCTTGCAAAAACTCTTCTGGACATTGGTCTAGGCAAGGAATTATGACTAAGACCTCAAAAGCAAATACAACAAAAACAAAAATAAATAAGTGGGACCTATCTAAACTAAAAAGCTTCTGCATAGGAAAATAAATACTCATCAGAGTAAACAGACAACCCAAAGAATGAGTGAAAATATTTACAAACTATGCGTCCAACAAAGAACTAATATCCAGAATCTACAAGGAACTCAAACAAATTAGCAAGAAAAAAAAGACCATCAAAAAGTGGACAAATGATAGGAATAGACATTTCTCAAAAGAAGATACACAAATGGCCAAGAAACATAAGAAAATTGCTCAACATCACTAATCAGGGAAATGCAAATTAAAACCACAATGAGATACCACCTGATACGGCTTGGATCTGTGTCCCCACCCAAATCTTATATTGAACTGTAATCCTGATATGGTTTGGCTCTGTATCCCCACCCAAATCTCATGTTGTAGCTCCCATAATTCTCATGTGTTATGGGAGGGACCTGGTGGGAGATGATTGAATCATGGGGGCAGGTCTTTCCCATGCTGTTTTTGTGATAGTGAATGGGTCTCATGAGATCTGATGGTTTTAAAAATGGGAGTCTCCCTGCACAAGCTCTCTTTGCCTGCTGCCATCTACGTAAGATGTGACTTGCTCCTCCTTGCCTTCTGCCACAATTGTGAGGCCTCCCCAGCCATGTAGAACTGTAAGTCTAATTAAACCTCATTCTTTTGTAAATTGCCCAGTCTCTGGTATGTCTTTATCAGCAGTGTGAAAACAGACTAATACAAATCACCAATACTGGAGGTGGAGTTTGGTGGGAGATGATTGGATCATGGGGGCAGTTTCTAATGGTTTAGCACCATCCGTCTAGTGTTGTTGTCATGATAGAATTCTCACGAGATCTGGTTGTTTAAAAGTGTGTAGCACCTTCCTCTCTCTTTCCTTCTCCTGCTTCAGCCATGTAAGACATATCTAATTCTCCTTTGCCTTCTGCCATGATTGAACATTTCCTGAGGCCTCCTCAGAAGTCACTATGCTTCCTGCACAGCCTACAGAACTCTAAGCCAATTAAACCTTTTTTCTTAATAAATTACCCAGTCTCAGGTTTTTCTTTATAGCAGTGCAAGATCAGACTAATACACCACCTTACCCCAGCCAGAATGGCCATTATGAGAAAGTCAAAAAACAATAGATTGGTGTAGATGTCGTGAAAAGGGAACACTTACACACTGCTGGTGAGAATGTAAATTAGTATAACCTGTATGGAAAACAGTATGGAGATTTCTCGAAGAACTAAAAGTGGATCTACCGCTCAATCCAGGAGTCCCAATCTACCCAAAGGAAAAGATGTCATTATGTTAAAAAGACTTCTGAACACATATATTTATCACAGCACAATTCACAATTGCAAACATATGAAAACAACCTAAGTGCCCATCAACCAACGAGTGGATAAAGAAAATGTGTGTGTGTATTATATATATGTGTGTGTGTGTATGTATAAACATATATATACATATATGTGTATATTTAATGAAATACCACTCAGTCATAGAAAAGAATGAAATAATGTCTTTTGCAGCAACTTGGATGGAGCTGGTGGTCATTATTCTAAGGGAGGTAACTTAGGAATAGAAAATCAAACAGCACATATTCTCACATACAAGTGGGAGCTACACTATATGGATATGCAAAGGCCTACAGAGTGGTATAGTGGACATTGATGATTTAGAAGGAGGGAGGTTGGGAAGGGGTGAGGGATTAAAAACTACATATTGAGAAAAATGTACCTTACTCACAAGATGGGTACACTAAAATCTTGAACATCATCATTATACAATTCATCCATGTAACCTAAAACCACTTGTACCACTAAAGCTATTTAAATAAAAAAATCAATCTAATCCACCCTATTAACAGGTTAAAGAAGAAAAATGTATGTTATCACATCAATCATTGCAGAAAAAGCATCTGACAAAATTCAGTGCTCATTCATAATGAAAAAAACTCTCAGAAAATAGAAATATAGAGGAAATTCCTCAACTTGATAAAAAAAAAAGGTATGAAAAAACTACAGTTAACATTATGCCAAATGTTGAATAACTAAATGCTTTTCTCCTTCAATTGTGAATGAAGCAAGTGTGTCTATTCTCATCACTTTTATTCCACATAGTGCTGGAGGTTCTAGACATGCAACCAGGAAAGAGAAGGAAACAAAAGGCATGCAGATCAGAAAAGAAAATAATAAAACTTCCCTGTTTGTAGATGTCATGATTGTTTACATAGAAAACACCAATTAACCCATTTTTAAAATACTCCTAGAATAAATACATTCAAACAAGATAAAAGATCAACATACACAAATAAATGTTATTTCTATATACTAGCAATAAACATGTGGGCACTAAAATTAAAAACAATATCATTTATAATTATTTTTATAATTTATAATATAGTTTTATTTATAATGGCTTAAAAATGAGAAATACTTAGGTATAAATCTAAGAATACATGTGCATGATTTACATGCTGAAAATATACAATGTTGATGAAAGAAATAAAAGAATATCTAAACAAATGGTAAGGCAAATCGTATTCATTAATTAGAACACTCAAAAGAGTAAATGTCTTAATTTTCCCCAGATTGATAAATAAGTGTGATACAATTATAATCAATATCCAAATAAGACCATTCTAAAACTTACATGAAAATTTAAAATAACTAGAATAGCTAAAGGAAATTTTGAAAAAGAACACAGTAGGAGAAAGAAGTCCATCTGACCTTAAATGCTGCTACAGTAGTCAGACTTTGTGGTATTTACAGAGGGATAGGCACATAGATCAACAGAACAGAAAATATCCAGAAATAGATGAAAGCAAATACACCAACTAATTTTTGACAAAGGTGTAAAAGCAATTCAATGGAAAAAGGTTAGCCTTTACAACAAATGGTGCTGAAGTAATTGAACATCCATAGGGAAAATAATTGACTGGTCTCACACCTTGTACAAAACTTAATTTAAAATGAATCAAAACCTAAAATTATAATATAGAACTATAAAACTGGGGGGGAATGGAGAAACTCTTAAGGATCTAGAGTTAGACATAGATCTTAGATTTTTTACTGAAAGCATTATACATAAAAGGAAAAATTGATAAATTGGATTTTATCAATATTAAAAAATTTGCATTCTGAAATACTCTGTCAGGATGAAAATACAAGCTACAGACTGTGAGTGTACATTAGCAAAACACATATTTGACAAAGGACTGCTATCGAAAATATATAAAGAACTATCAAATCAATAGTAAAAAAAAATTCTATTAGAAAACAAGCCAAAAGAGTTCTGATTTACAGTTCAGCAAGCAGGAAGTCTGGAAGTCACCACTCTATCCTAATAACAAGTGAAGAGGTGAACAAATTGAAAAATCAATGACTCTTCCTGGATCTGTAAGAGAGTTGAGGTCACAGGGCAAACTGATTCCCCAACAATTGGAGAGACTGACAGGTGAATATAGAGAAACACAGTATAGTAGAGCAGAAACCCAGGAGCTGAAAGCTCTGTGGAATCTAGTGACAGGGTAAAAAAATTCTCAACTATAATTCACAAATTGCTAGAGACTCAGTGTGGACATCTCTGAGAACTAAAAACCCTAGGCATATCCAGTCATAATCATAATGGGGACTCACACATTTGTGAGTTTTATTTACTGAAGCCAAATCAAATTTTCATAGTTAATCTGAGAAAAAAAAATCCCCTTGTACTTCTGGTGGGGGTTGGAGGAGAAGAAACCATTTTAAAATGCACCAAAGCATTCTGTTCTTCTTAACAAGGTCTACTCTCAGGAGAAAGTAGTTAAGCAGAGCCTAACCTACTGGGCCTTTTCAGAGTCTAACTGACCTGCTGGAAAGGAAATATCTAACTCCAGCCTATGCTAGCCATCTTGCCCCACCACTAATGTGGGAAAAGAATGGGAAGCCCTGGTGAATTTCACAGTCCAGGGGCACATGATCATCTAAAGAACTGAGACCTGATCGTACTAATACAGAATGCTTCATCTTTCCCCATACCTTACCACCACACTCCTAAAGACCTATTTACAGTAGTCTTTTTACTTAGCATATAGTGTCTGACTATCAAGAAACATTACAAGACATACCAAAAGGCAAAAAATACACTTTGAAGAGACAGAGCAAACATCAGAATCTGGCACAGATATAGCAGGGACATTGGAATTATCAGACCAGCAATTTAAAACAATTATGATTAATATGATAAGGGCTCTAATGGGTAAAATGGGCAGTATGCAAGATCATATGAACAATGTAAGCAGAGAAATGAAAATTCTAGAAAACAAAAAAACACTATCAATGAAAAACACTGTGACAGAAAAGAATGTTTTTGATAGGATTATTAGGTGGACTGATGTAACTGAGGAAAAAACCTCTGAGCTTAAAGATATCTCAATAGAAACTCTAAAACTGAATGGCAAAGAGAAAAAAAGGACTGAAAAAAACAGAACACGATATCCAAGAACTGAGGGACAACCACTAAAGATTTAACATACACATAATGAGAATATAAGAAACCAAAGAGAGAGAAAAAGGAATGAAAAAATACTTGGAGCAATAATGACTGAGAACTTTCCCCCAAATCATTGTCAACCACAGAACCACAGATCCAGGAAGCTCATAGAATATCAAGCAGGATAAATGCCAAAAAAAAAAAAAAAAAAAACCTACACCTGTGCATATCATCTTGAAACTACAAGAAAATCAAAGACAGGGTAAAAAACTGTGAAAGAAACCAAAGGAAAAAAACAGCTGACCTATGAAGAAGCAAAGATAAGAATAACATCCGTCTTCTCTTCAGAAACCATGCCAGCAAGAAAAGAGTGAAATAAAAAAGTACTGAGAAAAAAAGAACACTAATCTAGAATTATGTGCCCAGAAAAAAATATTCTTCAAAAATGAAAGAGGAATATGTGGTTTTCAAAAAATTGAAGAAATGTGTTGCCAGTACACAATCCTTGCCAGAAATATTAAAAGAAACTCATTAGATGGAAAGGAAATTATATAGGTAAGATACTTGCATCCACATAAAAAAGGAAGAGCATCAGAGAAAGAATAGGTACAGGTAAAATAAAAACTTTTATTTATTATATATTATATATTTTTATTATATTTATATTTTAAATATATGCATTTTTTTGAGGCAGGGTCTTGCTCTGTCACCCAGGCTGGAGTACAGTGGCAGGATCACAGCTCACTGCAGCCTCAAACTCCTGGGCTCAAGTGATCCTCCTGCCTCAGCTTCCAAAGTAGTTGGGGCCACAGGTACACACCACTATACCTGGCTAATTTTTAATTTTTTTTGTAGAGATGGGGTCTTGCTATGCTGCCCAGGCTAGTCTCAAACCCCTGGGCTCAAGTGATCCTCCTGCCTTGGCCTCCAAAAGTGCTGGGCTAACAGGTGCTAGTTTTCTTATTCTTAATTAATACAACAGATGAGTCTTGTTCAAAATAATAATAGCAATGATGTATTTAAATATGTATGCTTATGTGTGTGTGGATATATATATACAGTTATGCATGCTTATGTATGATGATA
Organism: Homo sapiens; assembly: GCF_000001405.40. NCBI lineage: Eukaryota > Metazoa > Chordata > Mammalia > Primates > Hominidae > Homo > Homo sapiens. Next base: position 122,694,217 of record NC_000023.11, read on the forward strand.
TGTATGATAAAATGGATGGAAGGAGGAAATTTTAAAAAAATTATTTTTATTATTATTATACTTTAAGTTTTAGGGTACATGTGCACAATGTGCAGGTTTGTTACATATGTATACATGTGCCATGTTGGTGTGCCGCACCCATTAACTCGTCATTTAGCATTAGGTATATCTCCTAATGCTATCCCTCCCCCATCCCCCGACCCCATAACAGTCCCCTGTGTGTGATGTTCCCCTTCCTATGTCCATGTGTTCTCATTGTTCAATTCCCACCTATGAGTGAGAATATGCGGTGTTTGGTTTTTTGTCCTTGCGATAGTTTGCTGAGAATGATGCTTTCCAGTTTCATCCATGTCCCTACAAAGGACATGAACTCATCATTTTTTATGGCTGCAAAAATTTTTTTTGAGACAGAGTCTCGCTCTGTCCCCCAGGCCGGAGTGTAGTGGTGCGATCTCGGCTCATTGCAAGCTCTGCCTCCCGGGTTCACGCCATTCTCCTGCCTCAGCCTCCCGAGTAGCTGGGACTACAGGCGCCCGCCAACACGCCCGGCTAATTTTTTGTATTTTTAATAGAGACGAGGTTTCACTGTGTTAGCCAGGATGGTCTCTATCTCCTGACCTCGTGATCCGCCCGTCTCGGCCTCCCAAAGTGCTGGGATTACAGGCATGAGCCACCGCGCCCGGCCAAAATTATTTTGATATAAGACACTCACGCTATCTGTAAAGAGGTATATATTATTCGAAAGTGGGCTTAGACTACTTGTAAGTGTATATAGTAAATGCTACAGAAACCACTTTTAAAAAAAAGAAAAAAGTACAGCCAATATTCTAAGAGAGAAGACAAAATGGAATTGTATAAAATGCACAATTAAAACCACAAGAAAATGAAGAAGGGAAACAAAAATAGGACTAAAAAGGGCAACAAATATCAAATAGTAACAAATATGGTAGATATTCATCCAAATGTGTCAATAATCACTTTGAATGTTAATTGTCCAAATGCACCAATTAAAAGAGATTTTCAGAGTGGATCTAAAAGCCAGACCCATCTATATGTTGTCTGCTAGAAACTCACTTTAAATATAGGACACATTAGATTAAAAGTAAATGGATGGAGAAAAATATACATTGCAAACATTAATCAAAAGAATGTGGGAATAGCTGTATTAATCTCAGAAGACACAGACTTGAGAGCAAGGAAATTATCAAGGGTAAAGAAGGGTATTACATGTTGATAAAGGGGCCAATTATCGAAGAAGACATAATTGTCCTTGATGTGTCTGCACCTAACAACAGAACATCAAAATACATGAGGCAAAAACTGATAGATTTTCAAGAAGAAATAAATAAATCTACTATTATAGTTGGAAACTTCAACACCCCTTTATCTGAAATGAACAGATCTAGTAGTCAGAAAATTAGTAGAGCACAGTTGTACTCAACACCACCACCAACCAACTGGATATAATGGTTATCTGTAGCCCACTTCATCCAACAAAAGCAGAATGCACATTCATGTCAAGCTCCCGTTAGACATCCAGCAAGATAGAACTTACATTGTGGGCCATCGAATACACCCTAACAAGTTTAAAAGAACAAAAATCATTCAATCTCTGTTCTCAAACCACAATGGAATTAAACTAGAAATCAATAACATAAAGATAGCGGGGAAATCCTGAAATACTTGGAGATTAAACAACAAAGTTCTAGATAACACACGGGTCAATGAGCAAATATCAAGAGAAAATTTCTAATGTTTTGAACTAAGTGAAAACACAACTTAAAATTTGTGGGATGCAGCAAAAGCAACCTTAAAGGGAAATTTATAGGACTGAATGCACACATTAGAAAAGAAGATCTAAAAGATCTAAAATCTTAGAAGATCTAAGATCTAAACTTATATAAGCTTCTACCTTAGAAAACTAGCAACAGAAGAGTGAATTATCCAAAGTAAGCAGAAGAAAAGAAATAATTTAAATCAGAGCAGAAATCAATACAATTCAAAACAAGAAATTAATAGAGAAAACCAATGGAACCAAAAGCTGTTTTTTTAAGATAAATAAAATTGTTAGTCCTCTAGCCAATTAAATCTCTTTATTTTTTATAGGTCTATTCAGATTTTCTATTGTTCCTTCCTAGGAAATTTTCCATTTTGTGTAGATTATCTAATTTGTTGGCATATAATTGTTTATAGTATTCCTCTTTCATTCTAGAATTTAGTAGTTTAGTCAGCTCTTCTTCTTGGCCTGTCAAGGTAAATGTGTATTAATTTCGCTGATCTTTTCAAAGAACAAACTATTGGTTTCATTGCTTTCATCTAATATTTTTCTATTGTTTATTTAATTAACAATTATACTCTAGAGGTTACATTTTTCTTCCTTTTATTTGCTTTGGGATTATTTTGCTCCTCTTTTCCTAGCGTCTTAAGGTAAAAGACCACATTATTCATTTAGATGTGTCTTCTTTTTTGATGTAGGTGTTTACAGCTATAAATCTTTCTCTAAGCACTGCTTTAACTTCATTTCATAACTTCTGGTATGTTTTGTCTTCATTTTCAATTATATTCATCTTAAGTATTTTCTAATTCTCCATGTGATTTTTTTTTCATTTTTCAGTCATTCATTTTGTGTGTGTGTGTGTAGCATTGTTTGCTTTCAATTTTATTTTTTAATTAACAAATATTAATTGTACATATTCATGGGGTAGATAGTGAGGTGTTAATACACATAATGTGTAGTTTTGAGGCATTGGTTATTTATGGGTGTACTATTTAATTTCCACATATTTGTGAATTTGTCAAGTGTCCTTTCCTAATTTTACTCCATTGTTGTTAGAGAACATACTTTGTATGATTTAAATCTTTTTAATTTTATTGAGGCTTGTCTTATGACCTAACATATGGTCTATCCTAGAGAATATTCCACGTGCATTCAAGAATATGTGTTCTGCTGTTATTGGTCGGAGTGCTGTATGGATGTTTCTTAGGTCTAATTGGCATATAGTGTTCATGTCTGTTTTCTTATTGCTCCCCTGCCTAGATGTTCTATCTGTTATTGAAAATGAGCTATTGTTGGCCGGGCGCGGTGGCTCACGCCTGTAATCCCAGCATTTTGGGAGGCCGAGGCGGGCGGATCACGAGGTCAGGAGATCGAGACCATCCTGGCTAACACGGTGAAACTCCGTCTCTACCAAAAACACAAAAAATTAGCCGGGCGTGGTGGCGGGCGCCTGTAGTCCCAGCTACTCGGGAGGCTGAGGCAGGAGAATGGTGTGAACCTGGGAGGCGGAGCTTGCAGTGAGCCGAGATCGCGCCACTGCACTCCAGCCTGGGCGACAGAGCAAGACTCTGTCTCAAAAAAAATAAAAAATAAAATAAAATAAGAAAATGAGTTATTGTTATTGAATTGTCTATTTCTCCCTTGATTTATGTCAACTGTGTCTTTATTTTGAGGTTCTGTTGTTTGGTGTATATTTGTTTAAAACTATTATATCTTCCTGATGCATTGACTTTTTTATTATTATAAAATACCTCTTTTATCTCTAGTAATTTGTTTTAAAGTCTATTTTCTCTGATATTAGTCTAGTTATTTCAAGTTAATTATTGTTGTATGTAATATCTTTTTCCATCCTTTTACTGTCAACCCATTTGTACCTTTGAATCTAAAGTGTCCCATGTAGACAGCATATTTGGTTCTTGCTTTTCTTTTTCATCCAGACTGGAAATCTCTACCTTTTGATTGGGCTATTTAATCCATTCACATTTAATGTTATTATAATATCAATATATTTTGAATTACATGTTATGTTACTTTTGTTTTCTCTATGTCTCATGGGTTTTTTTTCCCTCTTTCTCTATTCTTCCTTATTGATTTCTTTTGCATTTAGCAAATATTGCCTAATGTAACATTTTCATTTCTTCAATTTTTTTGCTATATTTTTGTATGTTAAATCTGATATCTGGGTTCTCACAAAAAGTGTGTGCTATTTGCTTTTTTCTCTTTTTTTTTTTTTTTTTTAATGGAATCTTGCTCTGTCGCCCAGGCTGTAGTGCAGTGGCAAGATTTCTGATCACTGCAACCTCCACCTCCTGGGTTCAAGCTATTCTTGTGCCTCAGCCTCTCTGAGTAGCTGGAATTACAGGCGCCTACCACTATGCCTGGCTAATTTTTGTATTTTTAGTAGAGACAGGGTTTCGCCATGTTGGCCAGGCTGGTTTTGAACTCCTGACCTCAGGTGATCCGCCCACCTCGGCCTCCCAAAGTACTGGGATTACAGGCATGAGCCACTGCGCCCGGCCTGCTGTCTGCTCTTTGTATGTGTATACAGGTTGCACTTTCCATTTTCCTTGCATGTCTCGTAATTTGTTGTTAAAAACTAAGTATTTTAGGTAATACAGCAACTCTGGATGGTGATTCTTCTCCTCACATTTAAGGCTTGTTTTAGTTGTTATTTTATTCCTTGTTTATTTAGTGACTTGGCTAGACTGTTTGAATGAAGTCTAATTTATTCACTTAGTGTGAAGCCTTTGATGTTGTTTCTCAGGAGCTGCACACTGTCACCCCGGAATGACAGTGGTTTTATCAGAGCTATCATTGCATCTTTCTTTGATCTCTATCAACCTGTTTACTTCAGTTGGTATTAACACCCAGCCCTTAGGCCCCGCTAATTGCTGGCTGGTTGCCATTTTGTTTCCAGCAATGCCTTGGGCCATAAATTGCTCCTAGTATAATTCAATTAAATTTTGGCAGTGATTGTTTTTAGTGTCAGTCTGAGGTTTGCTCTGATCCCAAGAGTGTTCTTCTTAGCTATTTCTTTCCCTGTTCTTTCTAAAAAACTAGTTGACCCTATGAAGTAACTTCTTGTTCTCACTTAAGAACAGCTATTGTTTTCAAGAGCACATTTAGGCTTAAGTTTCCCCATTCTGTCATTCAAATAAAGTCAGTTTCTGACTCACTAGGAGTTCTGAGGCTGGGAAAACTGGAAGAAGCTAGGAGAACTTCAGAACTCTCTATTCTTATGTACTATTACTCCCCATGTAAAAAGTTCCTGAGCCATTACTCCAGGCACTGGCTCTGGGTAAAGTGGTAACCACTGAGTAAGTGGTAACCTCTAGTATTTTTTGCTTGCCTCTCTTGTTGTGGAATTTTAGTCCTATGAATGAGCTGGATCAAGTCTAGGGTATAGCCTTCATCCTATGAATGGGGACTCAGTGAAAGAAGGTGGGCCCCAGCATCTTGGACACACTGCCCAGAAATTTAGCCTCTTAAACTTGAAGATGTTGGGTCAAAAAGTGATGTCAGTATGCCCCTTCTGGAGAGATACCATGTTACTTGATTTTAAAACTGAGAGAAGAGAGAGCCCCATCTTGTTGGCCATACCTACCCAGACTAGAGATTTTGTCACACTCTGCCGGGAAGCAGGTCAGAATTCAAATACCACAGTCTCTTGCGGTTTGTAGTAAGTCTTAATAGGTTTTCTTTGAATAAAATGTTTCTTTGCTTTATGGCCTTGGGACAATATATCATTATTTTAATCTTTTTTATAAGTTTCACTATTTATGCTTATTTCTCTGGGGACTAGGTTCATAAAGCTCCATACACTGACATCTCAATACAAAATTCTTTTCCTTTATATTTTTGATCATATGTTATAAATCATGTTCAATGGTTGTATTATCTGTAGTGCCATGAGAGTGTGGATTATGTTTCTTGAGTTTGCAAATTATCTGTCATATGGAAAGTTTCCTGTTTGTCCACTTATTTGTTTGTTTGCTGGTTTGCTTAAACTCTTGTGTGTTTGTTCTATGAACTCATTTTCAGAAGATACTGTGGGTTTTTTGTTTGCCTGTTTGTTTTTTTAGGAGTCATGCGCATGTTCTGGCTTGTAGAGTTTTCTGTATGTAATCTTGAATTTGCCTTTCTTAGGCCCTATATGTTTTATCTTTTTGGACCAGTTTTAACATTGGTTTCTCTGCTCTAGTTTTACAATATGTTGGTATTTACCATATATTGCCAATATCCACAAATGGCTTAATATTCTGATTGCTTCTAGGTCACTCTTTTTTTATGTATTGCATGTGTCAAATGGCTCTTATTTCTTCTATGCTTAACATGGAGTACAAAGTTGTGCCAAAGGCCAGGCGGTGGCTCACGCCTGTAATCCCAGCACTTTGGGAGGCCAAGGCAGGCAGATCACGAGGTCAGGAGATCAAGACCATCCTGGCTAACAAGGTAAAACCCCATCTCTATGAAAAATACAAAAAAATAGCCGGGCATGGTGGCACGTGCCTGTAATCCCAGCTACTCAGGAGGCTGAGGCAGGAGAAACGCTTGAATCCAGGAGGTAGAGGTTGTGGTGAGCCGAGATTGCACCACTGTACTCCAGCCTGGGCAATAGAGCGAGACTCTGTCTCAAAAAAATAAAATAAAAAGTTGTGCTACAACCCATTTGTAGATTGGGTAGGCCCTTTCTGGCTCCATCTTATGTAGAACACCCCACTTACATTCTCTGGGGTTCTCATGTCCTCTCGCTTATCCTCTCAGCCTTAAAGCTTAATTGTAACATCCCTGAGCTGCTTACCTTCATCTCCCACTAAATACTCTGAGTTCCACTCATGATTCTACCACGTACATACAGGCATATCTCCATATATGTGGGTTCCACATTTGTGGAATCAACCAACCACTGATCAAAAATATTTAAGTCTACAAAGTTCCCAAAATCAAGACTTAATTTTGCCACATGCCAAGTACTGTGTTGAATCCACATAAGTAAGTTTACGTATAGACATTGCATTAGGTATTATAAGTAGTCTAAAGATGATTTAAAGTATATGGGAGAATGTGCATAGTTGATATTTCAAGAACTTGAGCACCTAAGGATTTGGGTATTCACAGGGGAGGAGTCTTAGAATCGATCCCTCACATATACCAAGGGATGGCTGCGTTCTCTTTTCTTATTTTTAAGCTTCACTAGTTTTGATGATGATGACTTTATTTAAAATTGTCATGCTTAGAGAAAGGGGTAAGGAAAAATTCCTACATATATTGAGTGTATTATCTTGACTCATTCTTTCCCGTTCTTTCCACTTCTTCACCTAGCTTTCTGCCGTAAAGCTAGGTTCAGATTTGTGTCCTCCAAGGAGCCTTACAGGAACTTCCAGGATGGCTTTGATGTCCTTCAATTATACTCTCCCACTCCTCTGAGCTTGCTTCCATTACACCACTTGTCACATTGCATTGTCTCCTTACCAAGCCAAGAAGTCCTTTCAGCAAGTATAACTTATTTTACTACTCTATATATCCCTAAGAACTAGCATTAGCCCCTCTCACACAGTAGCTTCTCAATATCTATTTTGTTTAATGAAGAAACGCCAGCACATATAGCCACTTATTCTTTCTTATCAGGAATCCAAAGTATAAACAATATCCACACTTCAGTACTTAAATATTATATGGAAAAAGCAAACTTCATTGAAAAACAAAAAAGAAAATCTTCCTAGAAATAATTTGATCTTTCTTACTAATTCATAAGTACCATCTATATCAGTTTACTCTCATTACTTTTGTTTAAAAAAATAGTTACCAAATTTGAATGACAGAATCAGTTTTTACAAACTATCAACCGATTGAAACAATGAATATATATATATATATTTTTGTTTTGTTTTGCTTTGTTTTTGTTTTTTGTTTTTTGGTTTTTTTTTTTTTTGAGACAGAGTCTCGCACTGTCACCCAGGCTGGAATGCAGTGGCACAATCTCAGCTCACTGCAACCTCTGCCTCCCAGGTTCAAGCTATTCTCCTACCTCAGCCTCCTGAGTAGCTGGGATTACAGGCACCTGCCACCACGCCTGGGGTTTTTTTTGTTTTTTTTTTTTTTTTTTTTTTTTTTGTATTTCTAGTAGAGACGGGGTTTCACTATGTTGGCTAGGCTGGTCTTGAACTCCTGACCTTGTGATCCGCCCACCTCAGCCTCCCAAAGTACTGGGATTACAAGCATGAGCCACAGTGCCTGGCCCAAAAATATACTTTGAAGGAGATGAAGAAAAATGGCTGAACAGAACCCCCCCAGCAATTGTTCCCCAACAAGAACACCAAATTGAACAACTACCCACACAATAAAACACCTTTATAAGAATGAAAGTATCAAATCAAAGAACCTGGTTGTAACATAATAGCAAGGAAAGCGACATTGAAGAGGGTAGAAAGGACAGTCTTATATTGAGTACACCCCTCCTTCTCCAACCTTAGGCATTGCAGAACAAAAAGAGAATCTGTGTGTGTTTGGGAAAGTGAGAGCAAAGTGAGTGTGGAAATTTGCATTGGAATTCAGTGTTGTCCTGTCATAGCAGAATACATCCCAGGGCAGAATTCTGCTGATGCCAATGGAGGAGGCATTTTGAGCAGCCCTGGGCCAGAGGGAAATCATCTTCCCCAGTGGGAAGAACTCAAGTCCCAGCCAGCTTAAACACCAGCTGACTAAAGTGGCCTGGAGACCTGAACAAATTTGAGTGGAAATCAGGCCACAAGGTCTGCAATCATTGGGCAAGCCCTGATGCTGCACTGGTCTTGGAGGCAGTGGGCTTGGAGTACAAATTGTGTGACACCAGCTACAGTGGCTAAGAGAGTACCTGTGTCAACCCTTCCCCAACTCCAAGCAGGGAAGTCTGGGGAGAGACTCCTTCCATTTGAGTGAAGAGTACAAGAACTTTGTCTTGTGATTTGGGTACCAGCTCAGCCGCAATAAAAATAAAGCACTATGCATATTCTCGAAGCCCTCAGTTCCAGGTCTTTGCAACTGGATGACATATCTAGACCCACCCTAGGCCAAAAAAGAATCCACTGCCCTGATAGGATAAATGCAGTTCCAGCAAGATTCACCACCTACTAATTAAAATGGACTTGGGCAGTGAATTAATAGCAGCAGCAGCAGCAGGCAGGTAGTAGTGGCTATGGGCCTTGGGTAGCCCCAGTAATGAACTGTAAGGCCACAAGCTTCAGGTGAGAACCCAGAGCAGTGACAGCTGTAGTGGTCATGGGAGTACCCCCATCACACCTCCCCTGTGATGGTTAATATTGAGTGGCAACTTGATTGCATTGAAGGATGCAGATTATTGTTCCTGGATGTGTCTGTGAGGGTGTAGCTAACAGAGATTAACATTTGAGTCAGTGAACTGGGAGAGGCAGACTGACCCTTAATCTGAGTGGGCACCATCTAATCATCTGCCAGCATAAAAGCAGGAATGGAAAGAGCAGACTTGGAGGTCTTCCAGCCTCCATCTTTCTCCCATGCTGGATGCTTCGTGCCCTAGAACATCCGACTCCAAGTTCTTCAGCTTGTGGACTCGTGAACCTACACCAGCAATTTGCCAGGGGCTCTCAGGCCTTTGGCCATAGACTGATGGCTGCACTATCAGCTTCCCTACTTTTGAGATTTGGGGACACGAACTGGTTTCCTTGCTCCTCAGCTTGCAGACAGCCTATTGTGGGACTTCACCTTGTGATAATGTGAGTCAATTCTCCTAACGAACTCCCCTGTATTCATCTATCCTATTATTTCTGTCCCTTTAGAGAACCCTGACTAATCCATCCCCCGACTCCAAGCAGCCCAGCAGGGAAAGAGGCTCCTTCTGATTAGGAGAAAGAGAGGAAAGAGCAAGAGATTCTGCCTGGTAGCCCAGAGAATTGTCTTCACCAAGTCAACCAAGTCTGCAAGAGTCATAGTGTTCCTGGGCTTAGGACATCCCCTAGTGCTGAAACAGCTGCAGTAGCCACAAGCTTAGGTCATGACAGTCAATTATTTCTGAATCCTTAGAAGGCCCTCCCTAGAAGGAATAACTAATTCTTCAATGCTCAGACAATGAGGAATGTTCACAAGCATCAGTAACATCCAGAAAACAAAAATAAATAAACAAGGCACCAGTGAATGACTCTTGACTGACAGAGACATGTGACCTCTCGGACAGAAAATTCAAAATAACTGTCTTGAGGAACTTCAGTAAACTTTAAGATAACACAGAGAAGGAATTTAGAATTCTATCAGAGAAATTTATCATAAAAATTAAAATAATAAAAAGCAGCAATTCTGAAGCTAAAAAAATTCATTTGACAAACTTTAAAATGTATCAGCCTCTCAAAAGCAGAACCGATCAAGCAGAAGAAAGTATTAGTGAGCTCAGAGGCTATATGAAATACACAATCAGAGGAGAAAAAAGTATAAAAAAGCATATCTACAAGATCTAGAAAATAGTCTCAAAAGGACAAATCTTACAGTTCTTGGCTTTAAAATGGATGTAGAGAGAAGAGGATGGAAAGTTGATCTGAAAAAGATAATAACAAAGAACGTTACAAACATAGAGAAAGATAGCAATATCCAGGTGCAAGGAGGTCAAAGAATGCCAAGCATAATTAACCCAAATAAGCCTACCTCAAAGTATATAATAAAACTCTCAAAAGTCAACGATAAAGAACAGATCCTAAAAGCAGGAAAGGAAATGAAGCAAATGATATATAAAGGAGCTATGTCTGGCAGCAGACTTACTAGAAACCTTACAGGCCAACATATTGAAATGAGATGGCATATTCAAAGTACTGAAATAACAAAAAGAAATTTCCAACCTAGAATATTATATCCTGCTAAATTACCCTTCAAACATGAAGGAGAAATAATTTGTTTGTTTCCCAGGCAAACAAAAGCTGAGGGATTTTGTCAACAACAGACCTGTTTTACAAGTAATGCTGAAGAGAGTTTTTCCATATGAAAGAAAAGGATGTTAATAATGAACAGGAAATTATCTAAAAGTAAAAAACCCACTGGTAAAAGTAAGTACACAAACAAATGCAGAATACTCTAACACTGAAATTGTGGTGTGTAAACAACTCATATGTTTAGTAGGAAGACTAAAAGACAAACCTATCAAAAATAATAACTATAAAAATTTCTAAGACATGGGCAATATAAAAAGATATAAATAGAGATAACAAAGTCAAAAAGTGGGGAGGGATGGGATGAAGTTAAAGTGTAGAGTTTTTAGTTTTCTCTTTGCTTGTTTGTATTTTTTTCTTTGTGATCAGAATTAAGTTGTTATCAGTTCAATATAATCAGTTATGTTATTTGCAAGCCTCACGGTAACCAAAAAGCAGGAACTTATAATTGATACACAAAACATAAAAAGCAAAAAATTAAAACATACTACCACAGAAAATCACTTTTACACAAAGGAAGACAGGGAGAAAGGAAGAAAGAGAAAACCAACAAAACAACCAGAAAACAAATAACAAAATGGCAGTAAAAACTACTTATCTATCAAAAATAACATTACATGTTAATGAACCAAATTCTTCAATCAAAAGACATAGATAGCTGAATGGATACAAAAGCAAGACCCACCTATATACTACCAACAAGAAACTCACTTCACCTATAAAGATACACAGAGTCTGAAAATTAAGGGATGGAAAAAGGTATTCCGTGGAAATAGAAACCTAAAAAGACCAAAAGTAACTTGTATCAGACAAAGTATATTTGTATCACACAAAGTATATCTAGATTTCAAAATAAAATCTGTAAAACAAGATAAAGGAGGTAATTGTATGATGACAAAGGGGCCAAATCAACAAGAGAAAAATAACAATTCTCAATATATATGTATCCATCACTGGCACACCCAGATATATAAAGTAAATATTATTAGAGCTCAATACAGAAATAAACCTCTAAACAATAATAGCTGAAGGCTTCAGCATCTCATTTTTAGCACTGGACATAGCATCCAGACAGAAAATCAACAAGGAAACATCAAACTTAATCTTCACTGTGGACCAAATGGACCTAATAAAAATGTACAGAACATTTGATCAAACAGCTGCAAAATACATAAGCTTCTCAGCCCACGGATTATTCTCTAGACTAGACCATACATTGGGCCAGAAAAGAAGTCTCAAAAATTCAAAAAAATTAAAATCATATCAATTATCTTTTCTGATGACTATGGAGTAAAACTAGAAATCAATAATAATAGGAACTTTGGAAACGATATAAACACAAATTAAACAATATGCTCCTGAAGCAGCATTGGGTCAGTAAAGAAATTAAGAAAAAAAATTAAAATGATCGAAACAAAGGAAAATGGAAACCCAACATAACAAAACCTATAGGATACAGCAAATGCAGGACTAAGAAGAAAGCTTATAGCAACTAATGCCTATATCAAAAAAGTAAAAGAAAATTCACATAAATGACCTAATGATGTATCTTAAAGAAGTTTGAAAGAACAAATCAAACCCCAAAATAGTAGAAGTAAAGAAATAATGGCCATCTCATGTCAATTAGAATGGCGATCATTAAAAAGTCAGGAAACAACAGGTGCCGGAGAAATGTGGAGAAATAGGAATGCTTTTACACTGTTGGTGGGAGTGTAAATTAGTTCAACCATTGTGGAAGACAGTGTGGTGATTCCTCAAGGATCTAGAACCAGAAATACCATTTGACCCAGCAATCCCATTAACTGGGTATATACCCAAAGGATTATAAATCATTCTACTATAAAGACACATGCACACATATGTTTATTGAAGCACTATTCACAATAGCAAAGACTTGGAACCAACCCAAATGCCCATCAATGATAAACTGGATAAAGAAAATGTGGCACATATACACCATGGAATACTATGCAGCCATAAAAAAGGATGAGTTCATGTCCTCTGCAGGGACATGGATGAAGCTGGACACCATCATTCTCAGCAAACTAACACATGAACAGAAAACCAAACACTGCATATTCTCATTTATAAGTAGGAGTTGAACAATAAGAACACGAGGACACAGGGAGGGGAATATCACACACCGGGGCCTGTTGGGGGGTTGGGGGCCAGGGGAGGGATAACATTAGGAGAAATACTTAATGTAGATGACGGGTTGATGGGTGCAGCAAATCACCATGGCATATGTACACCTATGTAACAAACCTGCATGTTCTACACATGTATCCCAGAACTTAAAGTATAATAATAAGAAATAATGAAGACTGCATCAGAAATAAAGTTGAGATTAAAAGAATTGCCAAAGATTAATAAAAGAAAATAATTTTTAAAAAAATAAGCAAAATTGACGAAACATTCGCTAGTATAAGGAAAAAAGAGTAACCCCAAATAAATCAGAAATAAAAAAGGAGACATCATAATGGATACCATCAAAATACAAAGGATCATTAGAGACTACTAGGAACAAATATATGCCAACAAATTTGAAAAACAAAAGTGGATAAATTACTGGACACATACAAACTACCATGATTGAACCAAAAATAAACAAGAAACCTGAACAGAGCAATGACAAGTAATGAGATTGAATCAGTAATAAAGTCTTCCAACAAAGAAAAATAGAAGACCAGATGGGGCCAGGCACAGTGGCTCACGCCTGTAATCCCAGCACTTTGGGAGGCTGAGGCGGGCAGATCACAAGGTCAGGATTTCGAGACCAGCCTGGCCAATATGGTGAAACCTTGTTTCTACTAAAAATATAAAAATTAGCTGGGCGTGGTGGCAGGCGCCTGTAGTCCCAGCTACTCGGAAGACTGAGGCAGGAGAATCGCTTGAACCTGGGAGGCGGAGGTTGTAGTGAGCTGAGATCACACCACTGCACCCCAGCCTTGGTGACAAAGCAAGACTCTAGTCTCAAAAAAAATAAAGAAATATATGAATAACCAGATGGCTTCACTGCTGCATTTTATTGAACTTCTAGAGTTGCCAGTTCTCCTCAAACCATTCCAAAAATGTAAAGCAGAAGGAATTCATCCTAACTAATTCTATGAAGCCAGCATATCCTTCATGGTAAAATCAGACAAGAATACCACAGAAAAATAAAACTACAGACTAAAACTGCTGATAAACGTAGAGCAAAAATCCAAATAAAATAAAATAAGATAAGCTAGGGCTGGGCGCAGTGGCTCATGCCTGTAATCCCAGCACTTTGGGAGGCCAAGGCAGGTGGATCACAAGGTCAGGAGTTTGAGGCCAGCACGGCCAATTTGGTGAAACCCCGTTTCTACTAAAAGTACAAAAATTAGTTGGACGTGGTGGCGGGTGCCTGCAGTCTCAGCTGCTCGGGAGGCTGAGGCAGGAGAATCGCTTGAACCTGGGAGGCGGAAGTTGCAGTGAACTGAGATAGCACCCTGCACTCCAGCCTGGGCAACAGAGCGAGACTCTGTCTCAAAAAAAAAAAAAAAAAAAAGCAATAGGAAACCAATTCCAACAATGCATCAAAAAGATAGTACACCATGATCAAGTGGGATTTGTCTCAGGAATGCAAGGATGTTTCAACAAATGAAAATCAATAAATGACACGCATTATATCAATACAATATAGGACAAAAAAAAGCATACTATCATCTCAATAGATATAGAAAAATGTTTTGAGAAAATTCAACATTGCTTCATAAAAACTTCTAATACATTAGATATAGAATATAAGTACCACAACATAATGAAGGCTACACATGAAAAATCCACAGCTAACTTCTTACTAAACAGGGATAAGCTTTCAGCTTTCTCTCTAAGAATTGGAAAAAGACAAAGATTGCCATACTCATCACTCTTATCCAACATAGTTATTGGAAGTCCTAAACAGAGTAGTTAGGCAAGAGAAAGAAATAAATGGCATTCGAATTGGAAAAGAGGAAGCCAAATTATCCCTGTTTGTAGATGAATAATTCTATCTATAGAAAAATCTAAAGACTCAGCCAAAAACCCTTAAAACTGACAAATGAATTCACTAAAGTGGCAGGATAAAAAATTTATATATAAAAATCAGTACTTTTTTTACAAGTACAATAAACTAGATGAAAAATAAATCAAGAAGGTAATCCCACTTAAAATATCTATAAAATAATGAATACCTAGGAATAAATTTTTTAAAGAAGTTGAAAAAAGTCTACAGGGAAAACTATATAACAATTATAAAGGAAATTAAAGTGGATACAAGCAAATAGAAGGATACAAATCCTATGCTCATGGATTGGAAGGATTAATACTGTTAAAATGGCAATACTACCCAAAGCAATCTACAGATTCAGTGCAATCCCTATCAAAATACCAATAATGTTCTTTACAGAAATAGAACAAAAATTCTGAAATTTGTCTGGAGCTACAAAATGCCTCTAATAGCCAAAACAATCATCAGCAAAAATAGAAAAACTGGAAGTATCACACTAGCAGATCACAAAATATACTACAAAGTTGTAGTGAACAAAATGGCAGGATACTAGCATAAAAACAAACATAGACCAATGGAGCAAAATGGAGAACCCAGAAATTAATACATATATTTACAGCCAACTGATTTTTGACAAAGGTAGCAATAACACTCATTAGGGAAAAGGACAGTCCCTTTAATAAGTGGTGCTAGGAAAACTGTATATCTACATGCAAAAGAATAAAACTAGACTTTCACCTCTCGTCCTACAGAAAAATCAACTCAAAGTGAATCACATGCCTGAATTTAAGATCCAAAATTATAAAATTACTAGAAGAAAATGGGAGAAATGTTTCAGGACATTGGTCTGGGTAAGATTGTATGAATAAGACTTCAAAAGTGCAGGCAATAAACGCAAAGGTAAACAAATAGGATTATGTTAGACTACAGATTTCTGCACAACAAAGAAAGCAATCAACAGAGTGTAAAAACAACCTACAGGATGGGAAAAAAATATTTGCAAACTAATCTTCCAACAGGGAATTAATATCCGGATTACATAAGGAGCTGAAGCATATAAAAAGCAAAAACACAATCCAATTTAAAAATGAGCCAGTGATTTAAATAGGGATTTCTCAAAAGAAAACATATAAATGACAGAGAAATATGTGAAAAAAATACTCCACATCACTAACCTTCAGGGAACTATAATACAGTATGGTATCATCCCACCCCATCTTGTATGGCTATTGTGAAAAAGACAAAAGATAGCAAATGCTGGTTAGGATGTAGGGAAGAAAGTAATCACACATTGTTGATGAGAATGCAAATGAGTAAAAGCACTGTCAAGAAAAGTATGGAAGTCCCTCAAAAAACTAAAAATAGAACTACCATATGATCCAGCAATCCCACTACTGGGAATTTATCCAAAAGAAAAAAATATCATATTAGAGACATCTCCACCCTTGTGTTTATTGAAGCACTATTCACAATAGTCAAGATGTGGAATGAACCTAGGTGTCCAATAACAGATGAATGGATAAATTGTGAGGGGTGTGTGTGTGTGTGTGTGTGTGTGTATGTATACGTATATATACGTTTATATATACGTATATATACACATATATACGTGTATATATACATATATACGTATATATATATGTGTATATATATACTTATATATGTGTATATATATGTGTATATATATACACGTATATATATATATGTGTATATATATGTGTATATATATACACGTGTATATATATATGTGTGTGTGTGTGTGTGTATATATATATACACACACACACACACTACTCAGCCATAAAAAAGGAAACCACGCCGGTCACAGCAACATGGATGAATGAAACAAGAGGACATGCTAAAGGAAATAAGCCAGGAACAGAAAGTTAAACACTGCATGTTCTCACTCATATGTGGAAGTGAAAGGCATTTGATCTCAGGAGGCAGAAGTAGAACAGAGGATACTAGAGACTGGGAAGGGTAAAATGAAGGGAAGGATAGGGACAGCTCTGCTAAGAGACACAAAATTGCAGCTAAATAGGACAAATAAGTTCTAGTGTTCTATGTCACTGAAGGATGACTATAGTTAGCTATATGTATATGTAATATATAATGTATATACATATACATATATAAAATATAGTTTTAGATGTGCATAGTGGCTCATGCATGTAATCCCAGGATTTTGGTAGGCTGAAGTGAGAGGTTTGTTTCAGACCAGGAGTTCAAGACTAGCCTGGCCAACATAGCAAGACCCTGTGTCTACAAAAAAAAATTTATTTAGCCAGGCATGATGGTGTACATCTGTAATCTTAGCTACTTGGAAGGCTGAGATGGGAGGAACACTTAAGCCAAAGAGTTTGAGGCTGCGGTGAGCTATGATCATGCCACTGCACTCCAGCCTGGGAAATATAATGAGACCCTGCTCTCTCTCCCTCTCTCTCTCTGCCTCTCTCTCTCCTTCTCCCTCTCTGTGAGTGTGCGTGTATGTGATTGTTTGTGTGTGTGTGTACTTTCAAATAGCTAGAAGGAGGATATTGAATGTTCCCAATAAAAATTTATTGAGATTATAGATATGCTAATTACCCTGACCTTATCAGTATATACTATATATATCAAAACACTACTTTGTACCCTATGAATATCTATAATTATTTTTCAATTAAGAAATAATGATAAAATAAATTATTTGCTGAAAGAAATTGCAAGGATTAAATTTTAAAAATTGTTATGGAACAGCAAAAAAGAAAAAAATTATACAAGCATTAAAGATTTATGTTTAATAAGTAGATTTTTACTGCTGCTGCCACAAAAAAGTGTATGAGATGATTGATATGTCAATTTCCTTCACTATAACAACCATTGTACTCCCTACAGCTATCCCATAATGTCATGTTGTAAACCTCAAATATAAATAATATTTATTAAAAACCCAAAATACTACCAAACTGAAATCAACATGTCTAAAAGGTCTTTCATGATGATTCAGTGAGATTCATTTCAGTGATGGAAGAATGATTCAACATATGCCAATCAATAACTATGGTACATCACATCAGTAGAATGAAGGGCAAAAATCATACAATCAATTCAATAGATGCCAGAAAAAGCATTTGATGACATTCAACATTCTTTCATAATAAAAACTCTCAACAAACTGGGTATAGAAGGAACATGCCTGAACATAAAAAGGCTATAGATAACAAACCCACAGTTAGTATCATACAGAACAAAGAAAAACCGAAAGCTTTTTCTCTAAAATCTGGAACAAGACAAGGATGCCCACTCACCAATCAACATAGTACTGGAAGTCCTAGCCAGAGCAAGTAGACAAGAGAAAGAAATGAAGGGCATCCAAATTGGAAAGGAAGAAGTTCAATTATTCATTTTTGAAAATTATATGATCTTATATTTAGAAAAAACTAAAGACTCCACCAAAAAACTATTAGAACTGATCAACAAATTCAGTAAAGTTGCAGAATACAAAATTAACATTAAAAAATCAGTTGTACTTCTATATGCCAACAGTGAATAATCTGGAAAAAAAAGCAATCCATTTACAATACCTACAAATAAATAAAATAAAATAAAATAAAATAAAATAAAATAAAATAAAATAAAATAAAATAAAATACCTAGAGATAAACTTAACCAAAGAAGTGAAAGATTTCTACAAAGAAAACCATAAAATATTAATGAAAGAAATTGAAGAGAACACAAAAAAAGGAAAGCTATTCTATGTGCATGGATTAGAAGAACCAATATTTTTTAATGTCCATTCCACCCAAAGCAATGTACAGATTCAATGCAATCTGTATTAAAATACCAATGACATTCTTCACAGAAATACAAAAAAAAAGACTATCCTAAAATTTCTATGGAACCACAAAACACCCAGAACAGCCAAAGCTATTCTAAGCAAAAAGAACAAAACTGCAGGAATCACATTACCGCACTTCAAATTATATACTGCAGAGCTGTAGTAATCAAAACAGCATGGTATTGCCATAAAAACAGACTCACAGGCCAATGAAACAGAATAGAGAACCCAGAAACAAATCTACACATTTACAGTCAACTTATTGTTTGCAACAATGCCAAAAACATACATTAAGGAAAGGACGGCATGTTTAATAAATGGTGCTGGGAAAACTGGATATCCATATGCAGAAAGATGAAACTAGATGCCTTTCACCATATACAAAAATCAAATCAAAATTGATTAAAGACTTAAATCTAAGACCTGAAACTATAAAAATACTGAAAGACAACATTGAGAAACACTCCAAGACAATGGTCTGGGCAAATATTTCTTAAGTAAAACCTCAAAAGCAAAGGCAATCAAATAAAAAAATAGACAAAGGAGATCAAATCAAGCTGAAAGGCTTCTGCGCAGCAACAGAAACAATCAAGAAAGTGAAGAGACAATACACAGAATGAGATAAAATATTTGCAAACTACCTATCTGACAAAAGATTAGTAACTACAATATGTAAGAGACCCAAATAACTAAATAGAAAAAAGACCATGGCACACATTTACCTATGTAACAAACCTGCACATCCTGCACATGTGTCCTGGAACTTAAAATCAAAGTTGAAGAAAAAAAAGAAAAAGAAAAAAAGAAAAAGAATCCAATTTTAAAATGTGTAAATGCTCCAAATAAAAATTTCTCAAAAGACGACATACATGGCCAACAGGTATATTAAAAAGTTCACCACTAATACTTAGAGAAGTGCAAATCACAACTACTATGAACTATCATCCCACCACAATTAAAATGGCTTTTATACAAAAGACAGGCAATAACAAACACCGTCAAGGGTATAGAGAAAGAGGAACCCTCATACACTATTTGTGGGAATGTAAATTAGTACAACCATTATGGAGAACAGTATAGAAAGTACTCAAGAAACTATAAATAGAACTGCCATATGACCCAGCAACCCCACTGCTGGGTATGTATCCAAAAGAAAAAAAATCAATATATCAAAGAGATCTGTGTTCCCTTGCTTATTGAGACACTATTCACAATAGCCAAGCTATGAAATCAACCTAAGTGTTCATTAGCAGATGAATGAACAAAGAAAATGTGGTACATATACACAATGGAATATCATTTAACCATCAAAAAGAATGAAATCCTGTCATTTGCAACATGTTTGGAAATGCAGGGCATTATGTAAAGTAAGCTAGGCACAGAAAGACAAATGTCACGTTCTCACTCATATGTGGGAGACAAAAAAAAAAAATGAACACATGGAGAGAGGGACAGAGTAGAATGATGGTACCAGAGACTGGAAAGGGTAGTGGAAAGAGAGGAATAAAGAGGGAATGGTTAATGGGCATAAAAATAAAGTTAGAGAGGAGGAATAAGATCTACTGTTCAGTAGCACAATAGGGTGATTATTGTTTAAAACAATTTATTGTATATTTCAAAATAACTTAAAGAATAGAATTGGAATGTTCCTAACTTAATAAAATTATAAATGCTTGAGGTGATGGATATCCCAATTATTCTGATTTGATCATAACATTTTGTGTATTTGTATCAAAATAGCACATGTAACCCATAAATATGTACAACTATTATGTATCCATAATTTGAAAAAACAAAAAAGGTTTATTTAGCATAAATATATGTAAATTTCTGTAATTTATGTAGAAATCATATAAGATATAAAAGACCTGGAATAATATCACTGCATCTAAAAAAGACATATTGTTCTGGTTGAATATATACTAAACATAAATTAATAATGAGATGTGACTACCAAAGGTTAAAGTGATTTTTGGTTACATACTAAAATTTCAATATGCAATGAAAGGCATGAGTAAATACTGGCTTCATTTCAGGGCACTGCATTTTAAGAGGACCACGTAAAAATATGAAAATTATATGCAAATATAGTATGTCCAGAGAAGAAAGACTAGAATATTGAAAGTTCTTGACATTGCATTAAATGAGCAATAGTTGAAGGAACTAATGTTTTAAAGTCTCCATTGTTTTATTAAAAATATAACTATATATAACCATAGATAAATTATATGTAAATCCATAATATGAGGCCCAGTTTACAATAAAAATGGCCTCACCATTTTTACAAGGGTCCTGTTTCTGGAACCAAAATTTCCAAAAATTTGTAGGCAATTACAAAACAAACAATCAAAAACTTTATTTTGCTGGGACTAGGAAAACCTATCAAGAGAGCCTAGTAACTCTAGCAGTCAAGTAAATTAGGCATAAGGTTATTTAGTATGATAAACAACAAATCTACCTTCCATTGGCAACTATAAAGACTTCTTAGTTCAGGTTAGTGGTCCTAAAACTTTTCTGCACGTTGCAATCACCTGGCCCCCACCTCCAGATATTCTAATTTAATCAACATGGGATACAACCTGGGCACCAGAATCTTTTAAAGCTCTCCATATGAATCTAACATGCAACAAAGTTTGAGAACCACTACTTTATGTTATTATTATTTGTAAAAATAAAATCTTTATTGCACCATCTACCGTGGGAAAAGTATATAGGGCAACTTTTTGTGGTGTGCCTAGTATCATAAAGCCCATATTATAGAGGAATTCTTCAACTCCAATAATACTAACAAAAGCTAAAATTAATTTAGCACTAAGATGACTTTTCCAAGGTCACATGTCTAGTAAATACTAGATTCAAGATTCAAAATCAAATTTAATTTAATATGCATAATGCATTGTATACTATATTAAAAGAGTAACAATGTGGTAATCATGTTATTAATAACTTGTCTGGGAATCATGTCTTGGTATATTGAATGATATTTTAAATGCACCCAGGAGCTTGTTATTTATAACAACCCTGTAGTGAATACACATTTATCTTCCACATTACTCTTGAGAACATGGTTTAGCAACAGTAACTCTTATTTAAAAGCCTTCAGGAGTGAATAGCTTAGAATGATTCAGTAAATGTGGCACAAACACCAAACTACTATAATTATTCTTAGACTGCATTAATAAAAATATGATATCTAGACTAGAGGGGTGGTTATCTGGGATCAGCTGTGGTCAGAACATACGAAAGTATTGTGTAAATTTTGAGGGGTCTACCATTCTTTTTTATTATAATAAGGTTTTGCTTGCTCACAATACCATATCTAAAACACTTAAGGCTGGATTTGTTTCAAAAATTCTATTTTTTCAGGATTTAGAAAGCTAATACAGTGTAATGCACTGTATATGACCAGTACACGCAGTGGACTTTAGGACAGTACCCTCTAATCAAACACATTAACATTTCTGTAGCAAAATCCATGAATATACATACTATTTAGCAATAATGAAAACTATATACACAGTTTTACATCAGTTCACTTTGCTGACAAAATATTCATATTAAGTGAGGTTGAGTGGCCAAATGATATAAGAAAGCTTTTAATTTCAGGGTTTTATTTTTGGTTTCTGAATTACATATAAGATATTACAGAATTGTATATGCCTGTATTAATAAAGATTCAAACAATACAGCAGGATGAAAAAAGAAAATAAAAAATATCTCCCCCCCTCTAGTCCCAGTTTCAGAGCAGTGATTATTTTTAAACCATTTATCTTTGTGGATTTCTTGCTGGTTAGTGCCACAACTCAAAATATTGTGTTTATTTTGCTCTTTATTGATTTATGAACTTTAAGATAATATATTAGCTTTATGCCAATGTATAATTAGCTCATTCTACTTTCCTACTTTCTTCCTACTCACCCACTA
Source organism: Homo sapiens (assembly GCF_000001405.40). Classification (NCBI taxonomy): domain Eukaryota; kingdom Metazoa; phylum Chordata; class Mammalia; order Primates; family Hominidae; genus Homo; species Homo sapiens. The sequence goes on from NC_000023.11 coordinate 122,716,674, forward strand.
CCACCACCCATACTCAAAAAAAGAAACCACCCTGCTACTCATATTTTTATTTTTAGGTATAACTGTGCTTAGTAAACTTCTTTTCCTAACCTTTTCATTTTAGATGGTATCATTACCTTCCTCTTTATATAAAATAGAATAAAATATTGGGTCTCATGCTTTTAAAAGGAGAACACAAGTATAGTAAAGAGACATAAACCAATATTATATAAGAAACATAGAGCCTCAAGAAGAGCAAACTCAAGGAAAAGATGGAAATTGTCCTCAAATAGTTTAAGAACTATCATGAAGGTTAGAGAACAGAGTGCTCTGTGTATCCTCAGGAGGGTAGCACTGGGAATAATAGATGGAATCTACAGAACAGATTTGGAATTATCATAAGCAGAAGTTTACAAGGATAATCAAAGACTAGTCAAAGAACGTGTAGACAGCTTCAGTAGATAGTGAGCTCCCTATCACAAAAGGTGTTTAAGCAGGAACTTGATAACCTCTTGTCAGAAAAGTTACAGAGGAATTCAAACGCCAATTGGGTAGCATGGACTAGAGGACATTTAAGGTCCTTTCCCACTCTAAAAGTCTATCACACAGTGGTTGCTTGATCTCTAGGATCTCTTATGGGTAAAACAAAATCTATATTCTCATGACGTTAGTCTCAGTAGCACTACGACTACAACATACTAGCCCATTTTTCAGTAAGTTAAGGACTTACCATATATTAAATCAGAACCCTAAATTCAGAATTACATACTTTTCTTCCAGAAGTCTCACCAGATGTGATTTTTGTCCCAAGGCATGCGTGCACAACTGGTTCTTTGGGAGCTAAAATATGTTTATGACTAAGCATAACTTTTATAACCCATAGGAAAACAAAAATTTTTTTAAAAAAAGAAAGATAATCAAGTCAGAAGAGATTATGTCTGAGGGTTAGATGCTAAGATTTGAGGGGCCAGGAGGATAGATTGCTAAGTCCTCAAGAACATCAAAGAAATCCTCATTTCTCCAATCTTTTGCCAATCGGAAAAACTGCTTCCAAATTTAAACCCCAAGCTTTCAATTTATTCTTCTGTGGTCTTGATGAGAAGATAGATATTCACAGGAGCTATACCACTGCAGGTAAGGGTGCCAGGGAATCTCCCTTATATACTCATCCTTGAAAAATGCAGAGGTGGATGGAGATATCTCAGGAAGATTTGTTAATAATGGGACATTTAAAAGTAGAGAAAGATCTTAACATTTGTTCTCCTACTACCTCAATTAATGAATTTTTTATTCCTTAGTTCCTTTTTTATATTTTCATTTAAAAACTTTAAACAAAGTCTACATAAACTTCACATCTCAATGAAATAGCAAAAGATGTTTGCCCTATTATGTTTAATTTTGCAGGCATGTCTATGGGAAAGATCAAGAGTAAGTATTCTCTTGCATATTCCTGCTTCATCTCCTCAGCATTTGCTATTATAGAATCTTAGCAGATAATGGTTCCCACTGAATGACTGGCTTACCCATGTGGTGCACTCATACCAATGTTTCTGAGTTTTCCATAGTACAAATGTATATACAATCTCAAATACGTGAGTGAAAACTGAATGTGTATACTGGAACATTTTCAAATGTGTTTGAATAATTCCAATAAAATGATATATTTTTCAGCAAAGTAGCAAAAAATGCGAAGCAATTTTTCTTAATGTTTTATATTTTCCTAAGGAACCAGAATACTTAAAAAATATTTTAACACTTAAAGTGACTCCTCCCCACATCATAGCTACCCACGCACATATACACATGCACACACACACACACTCCTGCTCATATTCAGAAACATTTCTCTAATCACAGATTTTGAACCAAAGAGCAAGTATACCATAAATCCATTTACTTTGGATGCAGGGTTGGTCATTAACTGGTTGAAGTAGGCCTACAGAAATAAATCCAAGTTGACCAAGAAGGAGTCTACTCACAAAGACTTGTTAATAGAATGACTTCTATTTAATCTAGAAAAACAAGGACTGAATGAGTGGAGTGGTGGATAGTTATAAATTCATAAGGGAGGTTAGGTGAATGATCTTGATCATTAAGCTTCTACAATATGAAACTACAGCAGAGATGCACAAACATAAATAAGAAATTTGAGGCCACTAAGTCTGCTCTCAAGGAAAGGAATCTTGTATCACATAGCAATAAGAGGATAAATTAATAGAATTTCCTACTTTAAGAGGCTATATCATCCTGAGTTTCAAAAATAATTTCAGTTATGTTCTGGATAATAGTCACAATAATGTATAGGCCACTCACATGATGTTTAAGTTGGGTTTTCATGGAACGCAATTGTGTCTTACTCTATTTTGTGTTGCTGTTTAACAGGATACCTGAGACTTAGTAATTTATAAGGAACAGAAATATATTTCTTTCAGTTCTGGAAACTGGGAAGCCCAAGATCAAGGTGCCTGCAGATTTGGTGTCTGATGAGGGCCTTCACTCTGCTTCCAAGATGGCACCTTAAAGGCTGCATCCTCTGGAGGGGGAAACACTGTTCACATGGCAAAAGAGCTGAAGAGCCAAGAGAGTGAGAGAAGGGTGAACTCTTCATTTAAACCAGCACAAATCCCACTCATGAGGGTGGAGCCCTCATAGCCAAATCAGCACTTAAAGATCATGGCAATTAAATTTTAACATCAGTTTTGGAAGAGACACGCATTCAAACCATAACAACAATCATCTTTGAAAATGCTCACCCTCAAGATATTTCTCATATTTTTGTGTGTTATTTGCTCTATTTATTGCTATCTATTTACAAACTGAAATCATAAGATGACTTGAAAACGTGCAGTGGGTAATATTGACAAAACTTTAAGCCAACCATTTATATACTTTTATCGTGGAATGTCCTGTGTCACTTTTATGTTCCCAAATGCCCTGTGCAGGATGTGGTGAAAGAATAAGATAATGAAGAGGTCTTATATCAAATAAATTTGATTAACAGAAGAACAAAATCAATCCACAGTTGGAGAATATGGGTGAAGGGCACATGTGGTCTCTCATACTATTTTTGCAAATTCCTTTGAATCTAAGATTATTTCAAAAATAGAAGTTTAAAAAAATCATTCCATAGTGAGCAAACCTTTGAGCAAACATGAAGAAATTAATAGAAGTTAAGAGACAGGAAATAAAGAGAATCTTGACCTGGAAAGAGACAGAATTTATAAATCAACCATGCTGGGATTTTTAACTTCTGTACATGACCCAGAGAAATTAAAAGTCCCAGCATGGTCTAACAGAAGTTTTCTTTTCTAATTCTTACTTCAAGAAGTAAGTAAGTATGAACGGGGACTACTGATCATCACAGAGATATTTATAGAGACCGACTGTTATCTAAATCTCTGGTTCTAAGAAGACAGGCTGTGTTCTGGAAGCCCATGACTAAAATGGAGCATAGGTTGTCCCATCCATGCACCAGTCCCTCATCCCTCTCCTGCCACAACCAAACCTGTCTAAGCGATTACTGTACTCTTATGTACCATGATGACATATCCTTTCATAATACTAGGGTGTATGAGGAGAGGGACTCCCATGCCAACAACTACTCCTAGGTAGAATTAACCTGCTTAACCTGGGAAGACTCACCCAAATCCTTTCTGTATGTATTGCATATCATCCTACTAGGCCTACCTAGACCATCCCTAAGATTATCTTCTCCCATAATAGATAAAGCAAGAATACAAAATTATTTTCACCAAGACAATGGGCTCTGCAGGGCTAAATCTAATAAGCTAAACAGGATGTTTCCTCTACACTCCTGGTGGCTTATTTTTGAATGCAAGCTCTTTTTTGGTACCCACAATACCACTGATTTCTGTAAACACAAATGCTTTACTTGTATGCGGACTGGAAATACATGTCTGTTGCTATGCAAGCCCTCCATAGAGGCCTTGTTATTGAATCACTTTTATAGTGAACGTTTCCAGTAAGTGTTGAGTACTAATTTTATTTGTCAATGAAGTCAATAATTGCCACAGAGAGGGTATGAGTTAGGGAGATGGGGAGAGAGGAGGGACAGAGCCTTCACCATGTTGTCCGGGGCCATATTGGGATTCAGATTGACTAATGACAAAAAGTTCCCTCTAGGCACCAGTGAGTCAGCTGACAAGCTGGCAATCACTCCCACAGTCTCTTTAAGCCTGCCTTTAAATAAAATTTTCTTAAAACTCCATACCTCTTCCTCTCATGTCACTTGCAACAAGATGAGTGTTATATTAGATTCCATCATATACTTTCAATTAAGGAGGCTTTGAAACATGTTGATGTAATTTGAATGCAGGTGTTTCATTTTTTTTGAAGGTGGGAAAATGATAGATTGCTCCTTTGGTGCCTAATGAACAGCTTGAGTCATTAACCAGGTAAATAAAGAAGGTATGGATGGCCCCTTTCTCCTTCATCATTTTAATTTTAATTTGCCTTATTACAGGGAGCAATTCTGCCACTGACAGCATATTTCCTATCCCTCCTGCCTGGGTCACCAACAGACAAGTAGAAAGTTTGCCAAGTCACAGTGAATATCTATATCATTAGCTCATCCCATATCTGGATTTTGGCTACTCATGACATCAAAAGAAGGTTACAAAAAGGTCATTAAAATAAAAAAAAAAGAAAAATGTATTCAGAAAAGAAGCCAAGGGTAGAGAAAATTCAGTGATGAACAAAGTTCCTTTAGGACTCAGATAGCACTAGGCTTCTGGGGTATATGGGTTGGGAGGTCAGGAAAGAATCATACATTTGCCCAATGTCTGAAGGCTGAGATAATATAGTATGGCCTTGGATGCAGCAGAAAAATGCTGAGAGATCTGCCCCCACCTCCTCAACCATCATCAGGCAACATTTCTTCCTCCTAATGGAGAGAAAAGAACAAATGTGGAGAGCCCTGGGTGAAGCAACATATTAGCTCAAGTTCTCTCAAGAGTGGTCCATGCTGTGTCTTTCATTATTAACTAAAAATCTTTTTACAAAAAAGGTAATAGTACCTACAGGTGGGAGGGACATAGAGGAATCATTAAAAGATGTCTAAAAGAGACTAAAGGTAAGCACAATTAGCAGTGTTGCCTTCAGCAAGTTCAACAGAGATCAGCCTTCTATGCAGAATCTCTGGCCTTCCTGTAATGCACACTATTGAGAGAGACCAAGCACCTACACACATATGGATTTCCAGGTTGGAAAATTTTTTCTTTGCCTCTCATAATGAGGTGTCAGAAATTACCCAAGCACCATCTTGCCATAGCTCAAAATTGTAAGATGAAGAAACAGTCCTGATATCTACCTGTGAGTCTAGCTTAATATCGGAAGATGATGAATCAGTCCTGATATCTACCTGTGAGCCTATTAACAGCAAAGCTCCATTCACTGCAATACACATTAAAGCACAAAATTTCTTGAAGTGTCTTCACAGCGTTTTCAGGCTAAGTACTTTTAAATGGCTCAGGTATGGCTAAGGTCAGGCGGTAAGAAAGGAATGTCAAATGGAAGACAGAAGCAGGTACATAATTAGTGGGTCCCAGTCCAAAATTAAAATGTAGGGCCTTTGTTTAAAAATTGTTAAGAATTTCAAGACAGTGATAGCAGAGCATTAAGCCAACAATGGGACTCTTCTGAGCACAGAGCTCTGTTTGACAGCACAAGACTCACCCATGAAGTGGGTTCTGGTGGAAGATATGGGTTTTTAAAGGAGATGTCTCTGAACAGTCAGTATCTCAGGACTGTATTTTTCCTCAGGTCGTCTATTTGCAAGAATTGTAGTGGGGCCAAAAAAAGAAGAAAGATATAAAGAAAAAAAATACATTGTGTTTTTGTCATTGTTGTTAGATTTTTGGTTTAACTTTTATTGATGTTCTTAATTCTTTAAACAGAATTATTCTGAAGAGGGTGGTGAGAAGATCAAATATAAGTTTGAACTGATATACGTGATCCACAATCCCTCCAGACAGGAGTAGAAAAAAAAACCCTCCATATTTGTGCATCTTTAGGCTTAATCACCATTCTGCATTGGTAATCCTAGATTCAACTACAGTTAAACTGTGCTGTGTTCAAATATTATATGGTGTTCCTGTGGCACCCTGAAAAATTCATACATTGCTTCTGTCAGGGGAAAAAAATGGCCTTAAGATACTGAGCCTGCTACTGTAATAGTTTCTGTGAAATATTTGTAGAAACAGTAAGGGTTTTTTCATCTTTCTAAGAGGGAGCCCCCTAGTCCCAAATAGAGTCTTGTAAGACCTGGAAACATGAAGCACACTGGTCCTGCCATGAAAACATAAGATGTAATGTTATAGGGAGAAAGAGGTCTGTTGCTTAAAAGGTCATCACAGATATGATCCCAGCTGTGTCCGTTAATTTTGTTTTCATATGATCACAGAATATTGAATACAAATCTTGTTTCAGAGAGAGCCTTGACCTTGGTGAGCCATCTTATAGTTCTAAAACTAATCATAATAAGATTTAAAAGAGAGTGGGTAGATGACTCAATATAATTTATCTCCAACCCAGACTTCTTTCCTGAGCTTTAGATTCATCTGTCTACCTGCATATAGAATATCTCCATCTGTACTTTCTTACAGGAATCTAAAACGCTACATATCCAATATTAAACTTCTCTCCCATTACAGTCCTAATCTTGTCCTTGCATCAGCATTCAACCTATTTATGCTGTTTCTGTCCAGTTGCATAAGCTAAGTCTTAAGAGTTATCCTTAATTCTTTATTCTCTCATTGTCAGTTCCTCAGGGCTGAAGTGCAAGTAGTAAAGTAATTTAAATATTAGGGAACAAAGTAAGTCATGTCTCAAAGATATATCACTATTGAGCCAAAAGAGTGATTCCAGAATGGGTTGTCAACCCATGTGGTGTGGGTAGATGAACAGGAGAACTATAATAACTGAAGTACAGAGTCAAATGGAGGTCAATGAACCAGTGGCAATAAAAGCAAGCAACAGTAAATAGCATCAAAAATAGATCTGGGTTCAAATCCCAATGCTACTGATTTGCTGTGTGGACAAAAGTAAGATTTACCCTTTTTTTGTTTGTAAAATAGAACAGTAGGCAGTAAACATTTTTGTTTTTGAGACAGGATCTTGCTTTGTCTCTCAGGCTGGAGTGCAGTGGTACGATTATGGCTCACTGCAGTCTTGACCTCTTGGGCTCAAGAGATCTTCCCACCTCAGCCTCACAAGTATCTTGGACCAAAGACGCAAGCCAGTTCACCTGGCTAATTTGTTTTTATTTTTTGTAATGACAGGGTTTCCTTAAGCTGTGCAGGCTGAGCAAACATTTTTCTAAAGGGCCAGGTAGCAAATATTTTAGGCTTTATAGGCCATATGGTCTCCATCACAACTACTCAACTTGACAATCATAATATGAAAGTAGCCAGAGACAACGTGCACATGTTTTGGTGTGGTGGTGTTTCCAAACTTTATTTGCAAAAACAGACAGCAGGCCATTTTTGACCCACTGGCAGCAGTTTGGTCACCCCTGGAATAGCCTATGCCATGTTAGCAAATTAACCTCCTTAAAGAGTGAACATAATGAAAGTGTATTTACTGCTCACACATCACATCAGAGTGGACAAGAATAACTTCCTCTGTCTTGTAGCTAATATCGTATGAAATACATGGTCTCTAAGGTGGCATAGAAAGGAAGGAGAGTACTGAAGGATCCCATCAATCCATGAAGTTACTTATATATTTTGTACTCATATCCCATTGGCCAAAATCCAGTTTCATGGCTCCAATCTACTGTATCTGAGCCTAGAAAAATGTACAGTAGTATATGAATGTTTGGTTAGCAACTCACAGTTGTTGCCATGTGAAGTGACAATAATTTCTGTCTTGTATGATTGTGAGGATTAAATGTTTATGAAACATTTAGCAAAGTGCCTGACACATAAGCAGCACTCAATAAATGTTCAGTCACTCCCAATTCCTTCTTTCTGATCATTTCACTAGTTGACAGGCCATAAAATGCCCTTCACACTCACACAGAGCTACTTACTGAATTAACACCCACATGCCTTTTCATACTCTCTTTCCTCAACTTTTCCCTCTTTGTCATTTCTACCTAATACCTATTCACTCATCTTCCATACTTTTGCTCAAATATGATGTTTCTTTCCTTTAACTTTCCCAGGCAGAGTGACTCGGGTCCCTGCTCTTATACCACCACGTAGTATACACCATAAGTAGGGTAACTGGCATTGTGTAATATTAATTGTACACGTATACCTTCTCCACCAGACTCTGAACTCTGAGGACAGAGCAATGTCATTCATGTCTGTACTTTGGCATTTAATATATATATACGCACACACACACACACACACTGACAGTCAGTAAGTGGTCATCGAACTCAATGGTGGGAATGTCAGGTTCTAGGCAATCTGAAGTCATGTTGGGAGGGTGTTGAGAAAAATGAGGACCATTCACTGCTTATGCCAGCTATAGCCTCAGTGTTTTATTGGTACCTCCACAGCATGAGGCCTGGCGAAGAAGCAGCACTTAATAAAAGTTTGCTAAAACCTGCATAAAGGAGAAAAGGGGAAAAGATGGTTATGGTTATTTGTCACTATCTAATCACCAAAATATTTTTCCTTTTTACAGAATCTAGTCTATCGAGGGGAAGAGTTGACCAAATTCAGGCAAAGCAATCTGTGTGAATAGTATATATATATATATATATATATATATATACCAGAACATATTTATTGTCATTCCAGAGTAGGTCTATCTAGAATAATTGTAAAGCCCCTGGAGCCAGCCATCTATATCCCAGGAAACATTGACCCTAAAACCTGGGGTTTCTCACTGCTGAGTGTTCAGCATTTCTATTTAGAGGACTTCCAGAGTAGCATCAGTACTATCTATTCTGCTACATCACTCACTCTCAGTAGGAATAAAAAAAAAGTACTGATTTTTAAAAAATAGGTTTTGGTTTTTCAGCTTACCTTTTTAAATAATGTGTGTTTTTTCATCCTCCACTGTATTTAGTGCTTCTCTATCTTCATTATTGTTATTAAAATAGCAATAACAATCAAAGCTGTCATTTGTTGCACACACTCATTGTGTCAGCTACTTTATACAAACCCTATTAACCACTTTGGAAATTTAAAAATACATCTCACTGCTGCTGCCACTGACTGAACAAAGCAGATTGGCCAGCACTTGTCATCAGAGTGTTTTTGTCCTTGTCCCCTCCAGCACAGCAGGAGCTTAACCTCAAGGGGCTGGAGAACAAAGCCTTAGCCCTTGTACCAGTCCTCCAGGGTTAGAGCACATAGCCCAGGAGTGCTGAGCTGAGTTGTGACCCCCTGAAGTAAGGCAGAAACAATGTCAGTTGAATCAACCCAACTTATACCACAGTCAGAACCCTCAAGGGCAACAAAGAATATAAAATTAAAAAGCCCCACCCAAAGGACAGTAACTTCAATCACCAAAGGAACATCATCCCACACAGATGAGAAAGAACCAGTGCAAGAACTCTGGCAACTCAAAAAGCCAGAGCATCTCTTTCCTCCAAATGACCATACTAGCTTTCCAGCAATAGTTTGTAACCAGGCTGAAACAGCTAAAATGACAGAGAATTCAGAATCTGGATAGCAATAAAGATCATTGAGATTCAGAAGAAGTTGAAACCCAATCAAAGGAATGTAAGGAGTCTAATAAAATTATACAAGAGCCGAAAGATAAAATAGCCATTTTAAGAAAGAAGCACACGTATCTGATAGAGGCGAAAAACTCACTACAAGAACTTCATAATATTATTTGAAGTACTAACAGCATAATGGACCAAGCTGAGGAAAGAATATCAGAGCATGAAGACTCATTCTTGAAGTCAACTCAAACAAAAGTAAAGAAAAAAAATTAAAAAGAATGAATAAAACCTACAAGAAATTTTGGATTATGTAAATAGACCAAATCCCTGACTCACTGGTTTCCCTGAAAGAGAGAAAAACAGCAAGCAATTTGCAAAATATATTTGAGGATATTGTCCACAAAAAATTCACCAACCTTGTTAGTGAAGTCAACATTCAAAGTCAGGAAAGGCAGAGAACCCTTGTGAAGTACTATTCAAGACGACCATCACCAAGACACATTGTCATCAGATTCTTCAAAGTCAAAGTGAAAAAAAATTAAAGACAGCTAGAGAGAAGGGGTAATTCATCTACAAAGGGAACCCCATCAGGCTAACAGCAGACCTTTTGGCAGAAACCACATAAGCCAGAACAGATTGGGGTCCTATATTCATCATGCTTAAAGAAAAGAAATTCCAACAAAGAATTTCATATTCAGCCAAACAAAGCTTTATAAAAGCAAAGGAGAAATAAGATCCTTCTCCAACAAATGCTAAGGAAGTTTATTACCAGCACACCTGCCTTACAAGAGGCCCTTAAGGGAGTGCTAAGTATGGAAATGAAAGACCAGTACTGACCACCACAAAACACACTTAAGTACGTAGACCATTGAGACTATAAAGCAACAATGCAATCAAGTCTGCATAACAACCAACTAACAAGAGGAGGACAGGATCAAATCTGCACATGGTAATATTAACCTTAAATGTAAACAGGCTAGATATCCCACATAAAATACACAGAGTGGCAAGTTGGAAAAAGAAGCAAGACCCAACTGTCTGCTATCTTCCACAGACCCATCTCACATACAGTGACACCCATAGGCTCAAAGTAAAGGAATGGAGAAAAATCTACCAAGCAAATAGAAAAAAAAACCAAACAAAACAAAACAGGGGTTGCTATTCTAATTGCTGACAAAACAAACGTTAAACCAAAAACGATCAAAAGGGACAAAGAAAGGCAGTACATAATGATGAAGAGTTCAATTCAAAAAGAAGATTTAACTATCCTAAATATATATGTACCCAACACTGGAGCACTCAGATTTATAAAACAAGTTATTAGAGAACCATGAATAGAACTAGATAACCATACAATAATAGTGGGAGACTTCAACATCCCACTGACAATGTTAGGCAGATCATCCAGGCAGAAAACTAACAAAGATATTCAGGTCCGAAACTCAACACTTGACCAAATAGACCTAACAGACACCTACAGAATACTTCACCCAACAACAGAATGTACATTCTTCTCATCTGCCCATAGTACATGATCTAAAATTGACCGCACACTTGACTGTAATACAACTCAACAAATTAAAAAAAAATCATACCAATCACACTCTCAGACCACAGGGCAATAAAAATAGAAATTAATACTAACGGGGTTTCTCAAAACCATGGAATTTCTCAATTACATGGAAATTAAACAACCTACTCCTGAATGACTTTTGCATAAACAATGAAATTAAGGCAGAAATCAATAAATTCTTTGAAATTAATGAAAACAAAGGTACAACACATGAGAATCTATGGGATACAGTTAAAGTAGCTTTGAGAGGAAAGTTTAAAGAACTAAATGCTCACATCAAAAAAGCAGAAAGATATCAAATTAACAACCTAACACCACACCTAAAGGGAATAGAAAAACAAGAGCAAACCAACCCCAAAAACAGCAGAAGAAAAGAGATAACCAACCCAGAGCTAAGCTGAATGACCCATAAAAAGGATCAACAAAACCAAAAGTTGGTTCTCTGAAAGAATATATGAGGTTGATAGATGACTAAACTAATAAAGAAAAAAACCCAGAATATCCAAATAAATAGAATCAGGCATGATAAAGGAATCATTACCATTGGCTCCACAGAAATTAAAAAAAAAAAACCCACAGAGACTATTAAGAACACCACTAGGCGCACAAACAAGAAAACCTAGAAGCAATGCATAAATTCCTGGAAACATAAAATCTCCTATGGTTGAACAAAGAAGACACTGAAACTCTAAACAGACCAATAATGAGTTTTGAAATTAAATTAGTAATGAAAAGCCTACCAACCAGAAAAAACCCTGGACCAGATGGATTCACAGCCAAATTCTAAAAGGCGTATAAAGAGGAGCTGGCACCAATCCTACTAAAACCATTCCCCAAAACTGAGAAAGGACTCCTCTCTAACTCATTCTTTGAGGCCAACATCATTCTAATACCAATACCTGGCAGAGATACCAAAAAAAAAAAAAAAAAAAAAAAGAAGAAGAAGAAGAAGATAACTTCAGGTCAATATCCTTAATATAAATAGATGTAAAAATCCTCTACAAAGTACTAGCAAACTGAATCCAGCAGCACTTCAAAAAGGCCATCCGCCACTGAATTAGTCCATTTTCACACTGCCAAAAATAACTGTCTGAGACTGGGTAATTTATTTTTTTAAAAAGATAGGTTTACAAACAACACATGTTCTCACTCATAGGTGGGAATTGAACAATGAGAACACTTGGACACAGGGTGGGGAACATCACACACAGCGGCCTGTCGTGGGGTAGGGGCAGGGGGAGGGATAGCATTAGGAGAAATACCTAATGTAAATGACGAGTTAATGGGTACAGCAAACCAACATGGCACATGTATACCTATGTAACGAACTTGCACGTTGTGCACATGTACCCTAGAACTTAAAGTATATGGAAAAAAAAAGGTTTAATTGACTCACAGTTTGGTATAGCTGGGGAGGCCTCAAGAAACTTACAATCATGGCAGAAGGTGAAGGGGAACCAAGGCACATTTTACATGGTGGCAGGAGAGAGACAGAGAGAGTAAGGGGGGAAGTGCCACACTTTTAAATGATCAGATCTCATGAGAACTCACTCACTATCATGAGAGCAGCATGGGGAAAATCTGCCTCCATGATCCAATCACCTCCCACCAGGTCCCTTCCCTGATAGTGAGATTTGGGTGGGGGCACAGAGCCAAATCGTATCAGCCACGGTTAAGTAGGCTTTATTCCTGGGATGCAAGGTTGGTTCTGCATATGCAAATCAATAAAAGTGATTCATCACAAAAAAAAACAAAAAAAAAAAACAGAACTAAAAACAAAACCACATGATCATCTCAATAGATGCCCTAAAGGCCCTAAAGGTTTTGGATATAATTTGGCAATCTGTCCTTCATGTTGAAAACTCTCATAAAACTAGGCATTGCAGGAACATACCTTAAAGTAATAAGAGCCGTCTATGACAAATCCATAGCCAACATCATACTGAATGGATGAAAGCTGAAAGCATTTCCCTTGAAAACCAGAAGACAAAGATGCCTACTCTCACCACTGCTAATCACCACAGTACTGCAAGTTCTAGCCAGAGCAATCAGGCAAGAGAACAAAATAAAAGGCATCCAGAAAGGAACAGAAAGTCAAACTACCCCTGTTTGCATACAATATGATTCTATATCTAGAAAACCCCATAATCTCTGCTCAAAATCTTCTTGATATGATAAACAACTTCAGCAAAGTTTCAGGATACAAAACCAATGTACAAAAATCTGTAGCATTACTATACAACAACAACATCCAGCCTGAAAGTCAAATCAATAAGGCAATTCCATTACAATACCCACAAAAAATAAAATAAAATACCTAGGAATACACCCAACCAAGGAAGTGAAATTGCTCTGCAATTAGAATTATAAAACACTGCTGAAATAAATCAGAAATATTACATGCTCATGAAAAGGAAGAATCAATGTCATTAAAATGGCCTTACTGCCCAAGGGAATTTACAAGTTCAATGCTATTTCTTCCAAAATGACATTGTTCACAGAATTAATGATTGTAAAATTCATATGAAAACAAAGAGCCTGAAGAGCCAAGACTATCCTAAGCAAAAATAAAAAAGCTGGAGGCATCACTCTACCCAACCTCAAACTATACTACACAGCTACAGTAACCAAAAGAGTGTAGTGCTGGTACAAAAACAGACTCATAGACCAATGGCAAAGTTAGAAAACCCAGAAATAAAGCCACACACTTTGCTCTTCAACTAAGTCAACAAAAAGTATCACCTGACCTTTGTCAAAGTCAACAAAAACAAGGAACAGGGAAATGACACCCTATTCAATAAATAGTGCTGGGATAACTGGCTAGCCATGTGCAGAAGATTAATACTATGCCCTTTCCTTTCACCATATACAAAAATCAAATCAAGATAGATTAAAGACTTAAATGTAAAACCTAAAAGTATAAAAATACAAAAAGAAAAACTCAGAAACACCATTTGGGACATAGATCCTAGCAAAGAGTTTATGATGAAGACCCCAAAAGAAATTGCAGCAAAAACCAAAATTGAAAAATGAGCTTCTGCACAGCTAAAGAAACTATCAACAGAGTAAACAGACAACCAACAGAATAGGAAAAAATACTTGCAAACTATGCATCCAACAAAGGTCTAGTATCCAGAATCCATAAGGAACTTAAACAAATTAACAAGCAAAAAACAAACCCACTTAAAAATGGGCAAAGGACATGAACAGACACTTCTCAAAAGAAGACATACATGCATACGTATGGCCAAGAAGCATATAAAAAAAACCCCAATATCACTAAACATTAGAGAAATGCATATTAAAACCATAGGGAGAATCCGTTCCACACCTGTCAGAATGGTTATTATTAGAAAGTTAAAAAAAATAACAGATGCTGGTAGGATTGTAGAGAAAAGGGAAAGCTTATACACTGCTGGTGGGAATGTAAATTAGTTCAGCCACCGTGGAAAGTAGTTTAGAGGTTTCTCAAATAACTTAAAACAACCCAGCAATCCCATTACTGGTTATGTACCCTAAGGAATATAAATTGCTCTACCATAAAGACACATGCACGTGTATATTCATGACAGCACTACTCACAATAGCAAATACATGGAATCAAACTAACTTCACATCAGAGGTGGAATGAGGCATCCAGATTGTTGCACTGGCACTGACTAGGCAGTTGGCATGACACACAGCGAGGAAAAGCAGGGTGGGGCGACGGCCCACCTGGGAGCAACACAGAGCAAGGGGAGCTCCCAACCCCAACCAAGGAAAGCAGTGAGTTATTGTGTGACCCCCACCTGGGAAACCATGATTTTCCCATGGATCTTTGCAATTCACAGATCAGAAGATCTCCTTGTGAGCCCACACCACGAGGGACTGAGGTCCGAAGCACAGAGCTCTGCAGACGCTTGGCAGCCACTCGGTCACACATAGAGACACAGGAGATTTTACATACTCCCACCCCGGGAATTCCAGTGAAGCAGGAGATCTGTCCATTCCCATAGGAAGGGGGCTGAAGCAATGGAGCCAAGCCGTGTCATTCAGCAGGCCCCACTCCCATGGCACCTAATAAGATAAGAACCACTGGCTTATTCCAGCTGGCCAGTGGCAGCAGGCTGGAGGTCCTGGGGGGAAAGGGGCAGCTGCCATCTCTGAGGCTCCAGTTGGCCATCCTGACCTGCTGACTCCAGAAAGTGTAGATTGTCCAGACTGTAAGGAACTCCCCACAGCACAGCATAGCTGCTGTGGCAGATCGTGGCCAGACTGCTTCAGTAAGTGGGACCCCAATCCATTCCTCCTCACTGGGCGGGGCTTCCCTGCAGGAATTTCGGCAACTCCAGACAGAGTTTTATGGACAGAACTCTGATCTCCCTAGGAGGAAGGTTCTTGGGGGAGGGGCACCCACAGTCTCTGCAGTTCAGCCAACTTAACATTTTCTGGCTCTGGAGAGTCCTGGCGGTCTAAACGAGGGGGTAACCCCCAGCAGAGCGCACCCATTCCACCAAGGGGAAGACAGACTACTTCTTTAAGTGGGTCCCTGATCCAGTTCCTCCTGACTGGGTGAAACCTCCCAAGAGGGGTCTCCAGACACCTCCTACAGGAGTTTTCAGGCGGCATCAGGTGAGTGCCCCTCTGGGAAAGAGCTCCCAGAGGAAGGAACACACTGCCATCTCTGCTGTTTTGCAGCCTCCACTGGTGTAACCTCCATGTGCTGGAAAGACCCAGATGACTAGGATCTGAAGTGGACCCCAAGTAAATTGCAGCAGCCCTTCAGACATGGGTCCTGACTGCTAAAAGAGAAACAAACAAAAAAACAAAAAGCAACAACAACAACAACAAAAGACCTAACAAAAACCCCATTCAAAGGTCAGCAACCTCAAAGATAGAAGACAGAAAAGCCCACAAAGATGAGAAGGAATCATTGAAAAAATGCTAAAAACTCAAAAACCCAGAGTTCCTCTTCTCTTCCAAATGACTGTAACACCTCTCCAGAAAGGGCAGAGAACTGGGCTGAGGCTGAGATGGCTGAATTGACAAGTAGGCTTCAGAAGGTGGGTACTAATGAACTTTGCTGAGGTAAAGGAGCATGTTCTAACCCAATGCAAAGAAGCTAAGAACCATGATAAAACATTACAGAAGCTGTTAACCAGAATAACCAGTTTAGAGAGGAACATAACCCACCTGATGGAGCTGAAAAACTCAATACGAGAACTTCACAATGAAACCACAAGTATCAGTAGCCAAATAGACCAGTGGAGGAAAGAATCTCAGAGCCTGAAGACTATCTTTCTGAAGTAAGACAGGCACACAAGATTAGAAAAAAAAGAATGAAAAGAAATGAACAAAACCTCCAACAAATATAGGATTATGTAAAAAGACCAAACCCAGGACTGATTGGAGTACTTGAAAGAGACGGGAAGAACAGAACCAAGTTGGAAAACATACTGCAGGATATCATCCAGGAGAACTTCCTCAACCTAGCAAGACAGGCCAACATTCAAATTCAAGACACAATTAGAAATGATAAAGGGGATATCACCACTGACCCCACAGAAATACAAACAACCACCAGAGAATACTAGAAACACATAAACTAGAAAATCTAGAAGTGGGTAAATTCCTGGACACATATACCCTCCCAAGACTCAACCAGGAAGAAATTGAATCCCTGAATAGACCAAGGAGTTCTGAAATTGAGGCAGCAATAAATACCCTACTAACAGAGAAAGCCCAGGACCAGACAGATTTGCAGTTGAATTCTACCAGAGGTACAAAGAGGAACTGGTATCATTTTTTTCTGAAACTATTACAAAAAATTGAAAAGGAGGGAATCCTCCCTAACTCATTTCATGAGGCCTGCATCATCCTGATACCAAAACCTGACAGATAAAACAAAAAAAGAAAACTCCAAGCCAATATCCTTGATGGAGATCAATGCAAAAACCCTCAATAAAATACTGGCAAACCAAATCCAGCAGCACATCAAAAAGTTTATCCACCATGATCAAGTTGGCTTCATCTCTGGGATGTAAGTTTGGTTCAATATACATAAATCAATAAATGTGATTCATCACATAAACAGAACTGAAGAAGAAAAACACATGATTATCTCAATAGACACAGAAAAGGCCTTCAATAAAATTTAATATCCCTTCAAGTTAAAAACTCTTAATAAATTAGGCATTGGAGGAACATATCTTAAAATAAAAAGAGTCATGTATGACAAACCCATAGTCAATATCACTCTGAACAGGAAAGAGCTCGAAGCCTTCCCCTTGAAAACCAACACAAGACAAGGATGTCCTCTCTCACCCCTCCTTACACAGTATTGAAAGTTCTGGCCAGGGCAATCAGGCAAAAGAAAGAAATAAAGAGTATTCAAATAGTAAGAGAGGAAGTCAAATTATCTTTCTTTGCAGATGACATGATCTTATATCTAGAAAACCCCATGCTTTCAACCCAAAAGCTTCTGAAACTGATAAGCAACTTCAGCAAAGTCTCAGAATGAAACATCAATGTGTAAAAATTGCTAGCCTTCCTATACAACAATAGGCATGCAGAGAGCCAAATCATGAATGAACCCCCATTCACAATTGCTACAAAGAGAATAAAATACCTAGGAATACAGCTAACAAAGGAAGTGAAGGACATCTTTAAGGAGAACTACAAACCGCTGTTCAAGGAAATCAGAGAGGACACAAACAAATGGAAAACCTTTCCATGATCATAGATAGTAAGGATCAATATTGTGAAAATGGCCATACTGCCCAAAGTAATTTATAGATTCAATGCTATTCCCATTAAACTACCATTGACATTCTTCACAGAATTAGAAAAAAACTATTTTAAAGTTCTTATAGAACCAAAAAGCCCATATAGCCAAGAAAATCCTAAGCAAAAAGAACAAAGCTGGAGGCATCACGCTACCTGACTTCAAACTATACTACAAGGCTACAATAACCAAAACTGCATGGTATTGTTACAAAAAAAGGCACAAAGACCAATGAAACAAAACAGATAATTATGAAATAAGACCGCACACCTGCAAACCACCTGATATTTTACAAACCAGACAAAAGCAAGCAATGGGGAAATGATTCCCAATTTAATAAGTGGTGCTGGAAGAACTGGCTGGCCATATGGAGAAAAATAAAACTGGACCCCTTCCTTATACCTTATATAAAAATCAACCCAAAATGGCTTAAAGACTTAAAGGTAAAACCTAAAACGATAAAAATCCTAGGGAAAAATCTAGGCAATACCATTCAGGAAACAGGCACAGGCAAAGATTTCATGATGAAAATGCCATAAGCAATTGCAACAAAAGCAAAAATAGACAAATGGCATCGAATGAAATTAAAGAACTTCAGCGCAGCAAAAGAAACTATCATCAGAGAGAACAGACAACCTACAAAATGGGGGAAATTTTGTGCAATCTATCTGACAAAGTTCTAATAACCATAGTCTACAAGGAACTTAAACAAATTTACAAGAAAAATAAAACAAGCAACCCTATTAAAAACTGGGCAAAGGACAAACAGACACTTCTCAAAAGAAGACATTAATGTGATCAACAAACATGAAAAACACTTAATATAAGTGATCATTAGAGAAACACAAATCGAAACTACAATGAGATGCCCTCCCATGCTGGTCAGAATGGTGATTATTAAAAAGTCAAGAAAGAGCAGATGCTAGTGAGGTTGCGGAGAAAAAAGAATGCCTTTACACTGTTGGTGAGAATGTAAATTACTTCAACCATTGTGGAAAACAGTGTGGCAATTCTGCAAAGATCTAGGAGCAGGAATACCATTTGACCCAGCAACCCCATTACTGGGTATAAATCCAAAGGAATATAAATCATTCTTTTATAAACTTGCACATATATGTTCATTGCAGCACTATTCACAATAGCAGAGATGTGAAATCAACCAAAATGCTCATCAATAACAGACTGGATAAAGAAAATGTGGTACATATACACCATCGAACACTATGCAGCCATAAAAAGGAATACAATCATGTTCTTGACAGGGACATGGATGGAGCTGGAAGTCATCATCCTCAGCAAACTAACACAGGAACAGAATACCAAACACCACATGTTCTCCTTATAAGTGGGAGGTGAACGATAAGAACACATGAATACAGGGCTGGGGAATCAACACACACTGGGGCCTATCAGGGGGAGGCAAAGGGAGGGAGAGCATCAGGAAGAATAGCTAATGCGTTCTGGGCTGAATACCTAGGTGATGGATTGTTCTGTGCAGCAAACCACCATGGCACATGTTTACCTATGTAACAGATCTGCACATGTAACCCTGGAACTTAAAATAAAAGTTAAAGAAAACAAAATGTAGTACACATACACCATTGAACACTACACAGCCATAAGAAATAATGAAATCCTGTCCTTTGTAGTAATGTGGATGGAACTGGATGCCATTATCTTAAGCAAATAAGTGCAGGAACAGAAAAGAAAATACTGCATTTTCTCACGTAAATGTGGGAGCTAAACACTGAGTACACATGGACACCAAGAAAGGAACAATAGACACCAGGGCCTACTTGAGGGTGGAGGGTAGGAGGAAGGTGAGAATTAAAAAACTACCTATTGGGCACTATGCTTATTATCTGGCTGATGAAATAATATGTACACCAAACCCCCACAACGTGCAAATTACTCATGTAACAAACCTGTACATGTATCACCTGAACCTATAAGTTGGAAAGAAAAAAAATAAAAATGAAATGAAAATACTTCTCTTGATCTGGAGACTCTTGATTCAGCCTACTGCTCTATTTGCCTTCCAGGGAAAACTACCACCTTATTAAAGCACTGAATAAGGGAATGTTTGCTCTCTGCCCCCATCCTTTGAGCCCCCATAATTTCAAGTCTTGGCCCTGACTGATATCAAAGCTCACAAGGAAATAGGACGCAGTATATAATACAATGGTTAAGAAAAAGGACTCAGAACTCAGACTTGTGTTCAAATCTCATCTCTGACACCATGTAGCCCTGAACCAGGTACTTGATTACTCTAACCTTGTTTCCTCGTGCATAAAATAAAACTAATGATAGTGCCTATTTCAGAAAGTTATTGAAAGAAGTAAACAAGATAGTACTGGTGAAGCACTTAGCAAAGTTCCAAGCAAGTATATGGGTACTCAATAAATATGAGTTGTTATTATTTTCACAATATGAATAAAATCGGCTAAAGGAGTTCATGAAGCAGTAGAACAATATCTTACCCTGGGGAGTGTGTGTGGAATCTCTTCTTGTCCTGGAAAGAATATCAGTATATCTGGCAGAGAGAATAATGAAGCGATCGGATCAGAAAGAAAACACTAAGGGATACAAGTTGAGCATCCCTAATCCAAAAAGCTCAAAATCCAAAACTTCTTGAGCACTAGACAGCTGATGGCTCTGGCAAGGGGAAAGAAGGGAAATAAGGAAGGAGTGTCCACTATTGAAAACCTGCTATAGAACATCAGAGATGATAGGTCAATTCTAACATGACTGAAAGTGATAAATACTTATGTGACATTTACAGATCCAATGCTAAGCACAAGACAGGATATGGGAAGAACGATCTTCAAAGTTGACAAGAATGATGGATGACAAATCCAAGGAATTCTAAGTTTCACAATGAAGAATAAGCATATTTTTCTCTAAAGGTGAAACAGGTAAAATAAAAGTAGTATCATCCGTGGTTGACAGAATCACATTATCTCAACATGTATTTTATTATTAAGAAAGGGAAAAAGGAGGATCAAGGGACATCTTGCACTCTTCAAATTGGTGGCAGCATAGATAATGGTTTATCCATCTGATACAGACCAGGGTAGCATTTCCCAAGTATTCATGCTCTAATGTGGAGAGCAGTATGAAGGGTTCTAAATGGTAAGAGTCCAGGAGTCTATGTATTAGCTTGAACTAAATCCTATATTTCTTATGTAACCTTTGGAAAGTTAGTTGACTACCCTGGGCCTCAGTTTTCTTGTCTATTAATTTCAAACTTCTTGTAGTTTGTTAAGAGAATCCATGGCTTGGTTGCAGTTTCAAAAAATAGTAGCAATCATAGTAATAATAATGACTGCCAACCAAACAGAGTGACTTTAATCACATTGTCCATTTGACTATAACCTCTTAAGAAAGGTTTCCATCTTAATTATAAAGATTTGAACTTTTTATGTAGTTAAGGTTTAAATGTATGTGGAATAAAATGTGGCAGAGTTTTATTTAATTAAAAAAAAAAAGAAAGGTTTCCATCAACTTGCCTATTGGGTCTTCCATTCCATTGCCTGGTGACCTCTACTTAAAGTGAGCCAATGTCTACTGGTGTTTCACTGAAGCAGAGGAATTCTCCTACTTTGGAGGCCTGTCATTTTTCTGACCAAATCCAGCACTCAACTCTTACAGAGCAATGTCTCTGTGAAATTGGAACTTTAAGAAACACAAGAACTGTTGATTGTTCAAGAATAGAATCCATTGAATGTGCTACTACCTAGTGTCTTCTCAGGCTAACTAATGCCTTTCTAACAAATGAGCATTGGAATAATAATCTCAGTGTGAACCACATAATTTGTTCTCTAAATGGAGCCATAAACACAAGTAGCACATTTATAACATTTCTGAGGTGCACATATGAAGGCCTAAATTTGTAGTGGTATCCCACAAGGTTGTGGAGAGGCAGAAAGGAAGAGGGAACTTGAATGAATTCAGCTCATGTGGCTCAAAATTATAAGAAAACTATGGGAGACTCAAATCTCTACTGAGAAGAAGTAAATACTCAAAGTCATAGCTTTAAATACCTGTCCCAGCTCTGAAATACTAACTTTCTTACATACAAAATGGGACAAGGGGTACATAACAGGTATGACTGATCTCTTGGGTAGAAGAAAGTACTGACATATAAACTATAATATGAAGAATAAATCATTTTAGGTGAGGTGATGTGGTGGGGGTGAAATATTCCAGATGAAAGGAGCAGAGAATATGAAGGCTTGGAGGCAAGAAAGAGAAGCATGATAGATTTGACTAACTGAATGTACAAAGGGAGCAGTGGAGAGCAACAAAACTGGAAATGCAGGCTGGATACAGAGAATAGTGGCCCTTCTGAGAAATAAATATTTGAAAGGAGGCTTGTAAAAATCTCATGGCATATAAGGGAAAGTTATTTATTTATTTATTTTTTTGTCTGTGGCTTACTGGCAAAGGGTCATTGGGAGACATTCTGACTGGAGACTTTTGCAGGGGAGACAGGAGAAGTTTTCTTGAGATTGTTTTTTAATACAGTTGACTAGAAAAAGATGGGAGGAAAAAGTCCCAAACATTGCTTCATACATAAATTTTAAATTTTCAGAAGTGTTCTGTTGCATAGCACAGTACCATATCACCAGTGATAGAATGCACTGTTTTCAGGACAAAGCCCTTTTCTCAAGGAAATCATAGGACTGACATCTGCCAAAGGCTGAAAGGAAGTAGAGTTGAGATATATGCATCTCAGCATAAATGGCACTCTGGTATACAGGTTTTTGCCTTTAGAATAGAGAGTTTAGTACACAGAAGATAAAAAACATAATGGTCATGGGTGCTAGGAACGTTAACATACATAAATGAAGCAGATCCAGATTAGCAAATCAATGTACAGTGAAGACAAGATCATGTAGACTCATCTCTCTCTGGTCTCCCCTAACTAATGTACAACTAGACACCCTAGAAACAATGTAAGATGGAACCAAAAGAGAAAACCAAAATGTGGAAGAGGAAGGTAGACTGGTGATGAACACAGAGACTGAAGAAACATCTTTGCAGCAGACTATCTTAAGACACTACCCAACAGAAAAAGGCAATCCAGGTCCAGCATCTACCACCTCCAACCCAACAACAGAAAGTGGTTCAGGTAGGCTCATTCCTCTGCTGGATTGAACAGCAATCCTGCTAACAACAGCAGGCACTTTCAGTAGCATCAGAAAAGGAGATTGAACAGGAGCCCCACTGACAATAAGCATCCAGAGGAAGCATTCTCCTACCCTGCTGGACCTGATACTTCTCTCTCCCACACACTGAAATAATCAGATAGCCAGGCAGCACCAGCAGGGGGAATCCTGCTACAAGCACCCAGCCAAGAATTGGTCTTTGTCTCCTGTCACTGAAAAACACTAGACAGCTGATGGCACTACAAGCACCCAGCCAGGGAAGTTCTCCTTATCTTTGCAGGCTGGAGGATTCTTTCTCCGACCTAGAGAGGCTCTTTCTGCCCCCTCAGGCAGCACTAGCAGGGATCATTTTGAGCCCCAGTGATATCAGAAAAACCAAACAGACCAAAATAATATTGCAAACATTCAGAAAAATAAATTGTCATTGGAACCACAGCCCAAAAAAGTAGGCCAGGACCTGTGTGTTAAATCTGAAAAGTGTGATCGCCTTCTGTAATAAAAGATTGAAAAGTACTCAAAGTCTTCTAACGTAATAGTCAAAATGTCCAAAATGTAGTAGAAAATCACTCATAATGCAAATAATCATGAAAACCACAAGTTAAATGAGAAAAGGCAATGAACTTATGCCAACACCAAGGTGAATCTGATGCTGGAATGATCTGACAATGATTTTAAACTAGCCATCATGAAAGTGCTTCAATAAACAACTATAAATTCTCTTGAAATAAATGTTAAAATAGAAAATTTTACCAAATGAAGAGAATTTTAAAAAATGGAAATCATACAAAGAATGGAGAAATACAAAACTCACTAGGTTGGCTCAACAGTGGAATGAAGATGACCCAGGATAAAATCACTCCACTTGAGGTCAGAAATTACCCAATCTGATTAACAGAGAGGAAATAAACTGAGAAAAAAATGAATGTCTCTGCAGCGATCTGACAGATAATGACAAAAATATCCAGTATTCCTATCATCAGAGTCCCAGAAGGAGAAGAGATAGTGGAACTGAGAAAGTATTTGAAAAAATAATGGCTGAAAATATCCCAAATTTGGCAAAATACATAAGCCTTCAGATTAAAGAAGCTAAAATAAATCCAAAACAGGATAGACCCAAAGAAATCCATGCCAAAAACACATCAGAATTAACTTTTTTTTTTTTTTTTTTTTTTGGTAGAGATGGAGTCTTGCTCTGTCGCCCAGGCTGGAGTGCAGTGGCACAATCTCGGCTCACTGCAACCTCTGCCTCCCGGGTTCAAGCAATTCTCCTGCCTCAGCCTTCTGAGTAGCTGAGAATACAGGTGCACACCGCCATGCTCAGCTAATTTATTTTGTATTTTAGTAGAGATTGGGTTTTACCATGTTGCCCAGGCTGGTCTCAAACTCCTGAGCTCAGGCAATCTGCCCACCTTGGCCTCCCAAAGTGCTACGATTACAGGCCTCAGCCACTGCACCTGGCTGAACAATTAAACTTCTGAAGAGTAATAGCACAGGTGTGAAGATAAATGTCAAGGGATATTCTGCCACAGTGTTTAAAGGCAATTAGAAGTAGTGGGAACTGGGATGAACTGAAGAGTTCATGTCCCATCTAAAGGGGCAGCCTGTATTCAGTTCCAGGTAGTTTTTTATATATATAGTATATATATGTATTATATATATATATTATATATATCTATAATAGATATATATTATATATTATATATATACAATAGATATATATTATATATTATATATATACAATAGATATATTATATATTATATATATACAATAGATATATTATATATTATATATATACAATAGATATATTATATATTATATATATACAATAGATATATTATATATTATATATATACAATAGATATATTATATATTATATATATTATGTATATATTATATCTATAATATATATTTTATATATATAATATATTATATATTATAGATATATTATATTATATATAATATGTATATTATATATAATATATTATATATATTATAGATATATATATTATATATATTATATCTATAATATATATGAAATATATAAATATATATGAAATATATAAATATATATGGGAAATATATATATGGGAAATACATATATATGGGAAATATATATATGGGAGATATATATATGGGAAATATATATATGTGGGAAATATATATACGGGAAATATATATATGGGAAATATATATATGGGAAATATATATATGGGATATATATGGGATATATATATGGGAAATACATATATATGGGAAATATATATATATATATATATATGGGAAATATAAATATATATATGGGAAAGTTGAAAAGAAAGCCAGGGTGCTCCCTTTTTTGGTACTCGTGAAAAGATTCAAATAACGCAAACTCCGTCCTGTGAATATGAACACTCCCAGCAGCCCCACCACTAACTGCAGTAAAAATCCTAAGCCAATCTCCTTTCCCCACTCTCTCATTTTCACACCAGCTTGGGAATGTTACCCTGATGTTTCCAGAAAGCCTCATTATGTAACTAATAAACCTTTTCATAACCTCTTGGTATGTGCGTGTATGTGAGTGTCATTATTAGCCTCTACATCCGGATGAAATGTTGGATGAGAGTCCACTGTGTTTCTGTAGAGTGAAACAACAAATAAGAATTATAGTGTTTACCTTAAAAATTTCCCATGACAAATAATTTCTGAAAGATCCCCTGAGCACACTAAGTGCTCAACAAGTAGCAATTATCAAAGCAAATAATATCGGTGAATGTAAGTTTTCCTTAGCCTTCCTTTCCTTTTTTGAAAAATGTGACTTTTCTCTCTTTCAAAGACAGGTGAACATTTTATTGAGTCCCCAGGCCCACGGAGTAGGTAGACGCAAAACCAGCTACTAGTAATTAGAACTGACATGGCTTGCTCTGTCACCTGGCTGGAGTGCAGTGGTGCAATCTCGGCTCACTGCAACCTCTGACTCCTTGGTTCAAGCAATTCTCCTGCCTCAGCCTCCCGAGTAGCTGGAATTAAAGGCACACACCACCACGCCCTGCTAATTTTTGTATTTTTAGTAGAGACGGGGTTCACCAGTTTGGCCAGGATGGTCTCAATCTCCTGACTTTGTGATCCGCCCGCCTCGGCCTCCCAACGTGCTGTGCCCAGCCTGATTTTTCAAATAATTAAGACTTATTTTTGTACACTACGTTATAAGAAAAGTAAGAGGCCGGGCGCGGTGGCTCACGCCTCTAATCCCAGCACTTTGAGAGGCCGAGGCAGGTGGATCACTTGAAGTCAGGAGTTCCAGACCAGCCTGGCCAACATGGCAAAACCCTGTCTCTACTAAAAATACAAAAATTAGCTGGGCGTGGTGGCACATGCCTGGATTGCACCAGCCTGAGTGACACTCCACCTAGGTGACAGAGTGAGACTCTGTCTCAAAAAAAAAAAAGAAAAAAAGAAAAGTAAGAAATGGCCCAGACATGGTGGCTCACGCCTGTAATTCCAGCACTTTGGGAGGCCAAGGCAGGCAGATCACTTGAGGTCAGGAGCTGGAGACCAGCCTGGCCAACATGCTGAAACCCCATCTCTACTAAAATTACAAAAATCAGCTGGATGTGGTGGCGCACGCCTGTGATCCCAGCTACTCGGGAGATTGAGGCAACAGAGTCTCTTCAACCCAGGAGGGGGAAGTTGCATTGAGCCAAGATGGCACCACTGCACTCCAGCTTGGGAAACAGAGCAAGACTCTGTCTCTAAATAAATAAATAAATAAATAAATAAATAAATAGAAAAGTAAGAAATGAAAGACCAAGAGGGTAAAATTTTTTTTCAGAGAAATAGAAAATCTAACAAACCCAACCTGTTACATTCAATGATATAATCTATCTGGCCTCCATAGCCACCATGAAGATGTTTGCACCCTCATATGTAG
Organism: Homo sapiens; assembly: GCF_000001405.40. Lineage (NCBI taxonomy): Eukaryota > Metazoa > Chordata > Mammalia > Primates > Hominidae > Homo > Homo sapiens. The sequence continues at coordinate 122,743,714 of NC_000023.11, forward strand.
GTGAAGTTCCTCAAATTTCCTAATGAATGTTCACCAAAGTTTTCATTATTTGTTTGCATGTTGAGATATCAGGAGGTACTTATAAGCTAAAATGATTAGTAAAGCCAGTGACTTTTTTATTATTTTTGTTTTGTCTTTTAAATGAGATAAAGTTATCTCCTTTTCTTTTTCTTTTTTTCTTTTTTTTTTTTTTTTTTTTTTTTTGAGATAGGGTCTCTCTCTGTCACCCAGGCTGGATTGTGGTGGCATGATCACAGCTCACTGCAGCCTTGAGTGCTTGGGCTCAAGCAATCCTCCTGCTTCAGCCTCCTGAGTAGCTAGGACTAGAGGTGTGCACCACCATGCCTGGCTATTTTTTTAATTATTTTTTTGTAGAGACAGGGACTTACCATGTTGCCCAGGCTGGTCTCCTGGCCTCAAGTAATCATACTGCTTCAGTCTCCCAAAGTGCTGGGATTATAGGTGTGACCCACTATGCCTGGCCCAAGGTTACTTCTTATCTATGATTAGACTCTACTTCAAATAGATTCATTGGGAAAACTGCCAACCAAGAATATCAGGTCTGACAAACCTTCCCTTTATAAACAAAGGCAAGATAAACAAAAACTGAAGAAATTTATCACCATTACCCCTTTCTTATAAGAAGTGCTAAAGGGAGTTCTACAACTTGAAAAGAAAACACACAAAACAGCAACATGAAAACATAATTCTCACTGGTAAAAGTAAACTTAGGTGAACACAGAGTATAGTAATACTGTAATTGTGGCAGTATTAGTCCATCCTCACATTGCTATCAAGAAATATCTGAAACTGGGTAATTTATAAAGAAAAGAGGTTTAATTGACTCAAGGTTCTGCAGTCTGTACAGGAAGCATGATGCATGGTTCTCTCAGCTTCTGGGGAGGCCCCAGGAAACTTAAAAACATGGCAGAAGGTGAAGGGGAAGCAGGCACGTCTTACATGGCTGCAACAGGAGGAAACGAGGTGGGGATGTCCTACACACTTTTAAATAACCAGATCTTGCAATAACTCACTCTCGCCACACCACCACCAAGGCAGGTGGTGTTAAACCATGAGAAGCTGCCTCCATAATCCTATTACCTCCCACCAGGCCCCACCTCCAACATTGGGGATTACAATTCGACATGAGATTTGAGTGGAGGAACACAGATCAAAAGTGTATGAGTGGCACATTAATACATTTTAACCCTATTATAAAAGTTAAAAGATAAAAGTATTAGATATAACTGTAACTATAAAAATGTATTAATTGATACATAATATTCCCACATAATATGATCAACTTCTGGAGTTGTATGACACAGCATAGTGTATAGAACACTACCGTATTGTATACTTGAAAAATTGCTGATAAAGTATATCTTAAAGGTATACTTTAAATTTTCTTACCCCAAAAGAATAAATTAATTAATTAAAGGAATGAGGCATCAGGAAACTTTGTAAGGTAATTATATTTATGGCCTTGATTATGATAGTTTCAAAGGAATATATTCCAAATTCATCAATTTGTATGCATTAGTTATGTACAGCTTTTTGTATGTAATCATACTTCAACAAATGGTTTTTTAAAACATTCAATGGGGCATTAACGAAATGAGTCCCCTCTCATACATATTTAATTACTGTACAAATCAATACTTAGGAGACATTTCAGAAGCATAAAAGGTAAATTTTTTTTCTTTGGACACCTGATTGATGACTTAATTTTATTTAATCAATTGCTCACCCCCCCAAACATGCACCCACTGTATTTCACTGTTTCATTTGTATCGAATCTTAGATTGGAGAAAGTTTCATACAAAAAACAGTAAATTTTAAATCCTTGGGTTTCTGATCCTCCAACATAATTTTCCAGGTGCTGCAGGGAAGCCCCAGGAACAAGATCTGTCCAAACTATGACATACGACAGCCTGTTATGATGCACAGAATTCTGCATCTCAGTCTCTTCATCAGATCAAAACATGGAAGTTACTTACCAAACGTAAACCTGATAATGTTGGGGTATGATGAGTACCCTTTCAGAATCACACATCCTAAATTGATATGAGAGCAGTGTATTACCTAGGACGTGGTGGATAGCAAATTTTGATGTGAATTTGGGCAAAGCTGAGAAAAGGAATCTGAAATCTAGAAATCGACAGTTAAGAAAAACCATAAAAGTTATCTAGCTTTGTTTCTAATGCAGAGATTTTGTTCTTTATAGCATATCTGAAGTCGGACCATCCAGCTTCCATCCTTAGCTTGCCATTGGAGGAAAGCCCATTGCTTCAAGAATTAGCCTAATCCATTGCCTTTGACTCAAATTATGAGGTATTTTTTCTCTCCACCAAGTCAAACTACAGCTTTCTCGCTCTGTATCTTCCACTGACTCATTCTATTTAAAAATTTTGGAGCAACAAAGAACAAGCCTCATTGTAAACCATTTTATATGAGAATTTACTTCAATGTCTACATTTTAAATAAACATAATGTTAAACCGACTGTGAGTAGCCACCAGAGTCCGTTTTCAGCAAAGATGAATAACCCTCTCCAGTCTTTATTTTTTCTATGATTAATTTTCAAAGTATGGAAAGATACCTTTTCTCAATGATCTTCTTAGAGAATAGAAAGAGTTTGAGGCCAGGCGCAGTGGCTCATGCCTGCAATCCCAGCACTTTGGGAGGCCGAGGCAGGTGGATCACAAGGTCAGGAGTTCGAGACCAGCCTGGCCAATATGGTGAAGCCCATTTCTACTAAAAATACAAAAATTAGCCGGGTGCGGTGGTGTGCACCTGTAATCCCAGCTACTCGGGAGGCTGAGGCAGGAGAATCGCTTGAACCCGGGAGGTGGAGATTGTAGTGAGGTGAGATCACACCACTGCACTCTAGCCTGGGTGATGGAATGAGACTCTGTCAAAAAAAAAAAAAAAAAGGAAAGGAAAGGAAAGAAAATTTGAGTCAAGTGAGAGTTAAATATTCAGGCAGTCAAACTAGGAAAAATCCAGTAGTTTTAAATCCTAGGCTATTAGCACTTTCTGATTATTGACTGGGTTATAAGTGGTGATCATTATTCTGTCATAAACAAATCTAAGGATCAAACAATACCACTGAGATTAGGAAATGGGAAATTGCTCACAGTGATCATTATTTCATCATGATTAACCAAAAAGTAATGGGTTTGGTTTTAAAGTAACACTTGGGTTTTTTCTGCAGTAATTTGCTACTTAATTACAAGGATTACTGTGAAAGCATACCTATGAGTTATGGCTTCAGCCTACTGGAAATCCTTACACACATCCATATACTAAGAACCCTATGGTTACCATGAAGCATCCTGCTAAGATCTGCTGATAGCATTTTCTGATAGACCTCTCTGGGTCATGCCACCAATTTCATGCTTTGCATAAATCTCATGTTGCTTAAACATTCTGAATAATCAGAATAAAATGAGAAATCTATTTTCATTAATTAAACATATTACCTAAACGTTGCATTAAAAATGCAGTATATTTTATCTCTTTTTCTTTTATAAGACATAAGGTAAGAGAATTAAAAGGAGGCAATTGGCATGTGGGAATGAATTTCCCCACTGAATGATTTTAAATAAATAAACCTTTGGGATCAATTTTCATCTACTGCAGGAAAAAGTATTGACAAAAGAAGATAAATGACAATTGCACACACACCCCAAACTATATTCAATGATGAAATTTTCAATATTTCTCAATGGGTGGTGTAAACAATCTCTATAGTCACCTGTACAATAGTCCTCAAAGTCATTAATGTCTGATTTCTCTAGAAGAATTTATCAAATAATGATTCATTCTCAAGGAATAACAAAGCAATTGGGGTTTGATGAGAAGTACAGATGACTCTAGTTCCACATGAGACTTAAAAGGTTCTATCACACATGAGAAAGTTACAACAGGAAAAATGTATTCCATGTCTCACATTAATGGCATTGTATTCAGTTACAGGTCTTCTTTGTAGACTTTAAAAACACAAGCTTGCCAAGTGAATACAAGCCAGACTTACTAGCCTTTCCCTAGGTGATCTTTTTATACAAACGTTAAATCAAAAATGCAGTATTTGACCGAGAAACAGCTGTGGGCTAACCGTAACTAAATGGTTGCCAGGCATAAAAAGACCAGGTTAGACTTAGCTGAGGTGTATAACCTTGGGCAGGTCAACCTCTTCAGTTCACCAGCTGTAAAATGAGTGGAGTCTTTAAGGTCCCTTCCAAGTTAAATATTTATTTAACGTTTTTACTCTATATATTGAACATGTCTTGGTCACTAACTTGTGTCTAACTAGTATCAAAACAAATCAGTTTTGATTGTACCTCCTAATCTTGGAAACACTTAACCAAGTAGTTTTTAAAACTAGCAACTAGCCTTCAGTTAACTTACTTTACCAGCTTTATGGACCTTAGAAAAAGTACCATTTTGGGTTTCATCTATATGACAAAACCAAAGCCATTCGGACATAAAACAAGGAAAGAATAGAGTACATTGAAGATGACCAAACTGTTTTTAAAGATAATTAAAGTTACAGCCACAGGGAAGATAGTCTACCTCACTCCTAAATCCCCTTTGGGTTAAGATCCTAAATTTGCTGTCCAATTGGCTGGTGGCTGGAACTGATTGATAGGTTTGGCAAATTCCACAGGGAAAGCTTTCTATGAAGGGAATTACTGGCTTTAAAAACACAGCTATTAACCTTGAGCATCTTTAAGCGCCCATCAATTAAGCATAAGCACCCTTAAGCTCCCACTGATTAACCTTTATTACCCCAAGTTGCTCCCACAGGCTCTCATACTTACTTAAAGACAAAATAGCAGAATGACAAACTGTAAAACTGTTAACCTTTTCATAGTGTATTTTTGTTAAATTGATGTAAAAAATACTTTATTGCCCTTGAAAATGTGTTGGCTGCCACAATAAAAAAAGTCCTAAGATGTCAAAAGTATTTGAGTCAAAGGCTCTGGGCAAAACTAACTTTAGGAGAAGCAATCTCCTGGCTAGAATAATTGGAAAGGCAATAAACAAAGAGTGAGCAGATCTGGATTTTAGATCAAATTTAGTATGAACAGAACAACCAAGGAGTCACCAAAATTCTCTGGCCCTCACTTTTCTCAGGTATAAATTGAGGGCAATTGTATTAGATAATTCTTAATGTCATTTTCAGCTGTAATATTCCATGAGCCTAATCTGTTCTTCTGTGATGAATTAACAGAATCTAATTCAACAAGCCATTTTATTTGGGTAAAGAATGATGAAGACAGGAGACATTACTATTCTGACTACATTTGGACATTAGGCAGTTACCAGAGTATAAACTGGGATCTATATTTCCAGAAGCCAAACTACAAGCACTCTGGCAACATAGCAGCAATGCAGCTTTTGAGTATTTCAGAGACCCTCACAGAATTTCTGGTATTTGTTGTCGTTTTATAGGTTTGCATTTATAGATATAGAACTTTTGAGGCAATTTCTTTGACCTACTATGTGTGCCATTTGGTAAGGTGCTACCAGGCAGAGATTGATTCCAGAAGAAAAGATTATGGACCTAAAAGTAAGATGTATTATGGATTGGATAAAGACAAATTCATCACAGATCATATAATTTTCCAACCAGTAAACCTTTTTCTATCATAGACAAAACTTTTTATAGCAAAAAATAGTATTTACTAATCAACATATTGATAAGAGTAACATATATATGTGTGTGCATATATATATATATATATATATATATAGAGAGAGAGAGAGAGAGAGAGAGAGAGAGAGAGAGAGAGAGAGAGAGATGGAGTCTTGCTCTCTTGCCCAGGCTGGAGTGCAGTGGTGTGGTCTCCGCTCACTGCCACCTCCGCCTCCCGGGTTCAAGTGATTCTCCTGCTTCAATCTCCCGAGTAGCTCGGATTACAGGCGCCTAACACCACGCCCTGCAAATTTTTCGTATTTTTAGTAGAGACAGGGTTTCACCATGTTGGCCAGGCTGGTCTTGAACTCCCGACCTCGTGATCTGCCTGCCTTGGCTTCCCAAAGTGCTGGGATTGCAGGTGTGAGCCACCATGCCCGGTAAGTAACATATTTTTTAACATCATAAGCCAGAGGTGAAATACTTTGAAAGTCCATTTAGGATTAAAAAGATAAGCCTGAGATAGGGGCTACACCTTGTAACAGTATAAAAGGAGTATTAAATTGCTCTCAAATATAAAATGTGAAATATTATTTTCTATAGTGACTCAATAGGAAAAGGTGAATAGTCTGGAGAGAGGAGAGGAAGTAGAAGAAACTAGAAAGAAAGTGGGAGGCTGAAACTTGAGCTGTTCAAAACAGTCCAGAAATTATTTAAGAAAAGGGTTATCATGTACTCAATTTAATATCCCTTGCACTGCTGAAATGAGATGCTCCTCACTCCCTACAACTCTTCCAAAAATGTTTCTATGAAGACCTGTATGAATGGGGTCTGTATGAAAATCAAGGAAAAGAGACTAAGCTCTAAATCTGACCCAGCATGGTGCAGAGATTAAGATAGATATGCAAGATGTAAAGAACAGAATCTAGATTAAAGCTAGAAATCAGTGCAGAAAAAAACAGAAACAAAATACCAAGCAATAATCATCTTTTTACCGAATTATTTCTTCTCAGATTCTGATAGCTCATCCCATTCTTCTTTCAGGGAATTTGCCTTTCCCCATTTTCTTATGGTTCTTTGGGGTTAGTCACAATACTCTATCCCACTTCAATTGGTCACAGAGGTGGTATACGACCCAGGTCAGGCCAATCATATTTTCCCTTTCCCTTGGCTACAGGTTCTGGTCCAGAGTGGCCCCACACATCACCAGATGGAGATCTTCCCTTTAATTTAGAAATATCAGATGGCACATGGAGTTAACCTTGTATAGATAATATTTTTTAAAGTTTTCTCAATTTCCTTTTTCAGATTATTATTAATGTACATAAATGCAACTGAGTTTTGTGTGTTGATCTTGTATACAAATTGGCTAAGTTTGTTTGTTAGTTTTAATGGTTTTTTGCTGGGATAATTGAGGTTTTCCACATATGAGATTATGTAATCTGCAAAGTGATAATTTTCAAGTCTTTCTTTCCAATTTGGATGCTTTTTGTCCTTTTCTTGCTGAAATGTTCTAGGAAAAACTTCCAACAATACATTGAATAGAAGTTGAATAGAAGTGGCAAAAGCAGGCATCCTAGTCTTGTTTCTCATCAGAGGAAAAAAGCTTGCAGTATTTCAGTATTGGGTATGATGTTAGCTGTGGGGTTTTGCATATATAGCTTTTATTATGTTGAAGAGATTTTCTTGCATTTCTACGTTGTTGAATGTTTTGCCATGAAAAGTTGTGATATATTTTCAAAAGCTTTTTCTTTACCAATTGAAAAGATTGTGTGTTTTTTAAATTCTGTTAATATTGTGTATTACATCGACTGATTTTCATATGTTGAACCATCCTTACATTACAGAAATAAATCTCACCTGTATTACTGTATAATCCTCTTAATATGCTGCTGAATTCACTTTATTAGTATTTTATTGAGGACTTTTTCATCAATGTTTTTCAAGAATATTCGTCTATAGTTTTCTTACAGTACCTTGCCTGGCTTTTGTATCAGGGCAATGCTTATAAAATACCCTTATAAAATGGGTAAGAAAGTATTTCCTATGCTTCACACGTTTAGAAGGGTTTCAGAAATATTGGTGTTAATTCTTCTTTAAATGTTTGGCAAAAATTAACATTGAAACCATTTGGTCCAGGGTATTTCTTTGTTGGGAGGTTTCTGATTACAGGATCTATCTCCTTATAAATTGTAGGTTGTAGGTATATTCATATATTCTATTTCTTTATAATTCATTCTTAGTAGGTTGTGTGCTTTTAGGATTTGTTCATTTCATAAGGGTTATTCAATATGTTTAGGTACAGTTGTTCATAGTACTGTATAAGAATCTTTTTGATTTCTGTAGAGTTAGTAATAATGTCCCCAATTTTATTTCTAATTTTAGTCATTTGAGTTGTCTGTCTTTCTTAATCTAAAGGTTTGTCAATATTCTTGATCTCTTCAAAGAATGTGCCCTTGGTTTTGATGAATTTCTCCATTGTTGTTCTAGTCTTCATTTTATTTATCCTCACTCTATTCTTTACTATTTCCTTCCTTCTGTTGCTTTGTGTTTAGTCTGTTATTTTTTTCTAGTTCCATAAAGGTAGGTCATTAATTCGAAATCTTTCTTCCTTCTCGGTGTGAGTGTTTTCCACTCTGAATCCAACTTGGCAAGGCTTTTGCTGCATCCCAAAATGCATCCTAATTAGTTATATTAGATTTTCATTTTAATTTGTCTCAAGGTATTTTCTCATTTTCTTTCTGTTTTCTTCTTTGACTCACTGGTTGTTTAATAAAGTGTTATTTAGTTTTCACCTATTTGTTAATTGTTGAGTTTTCATTCTTATGTTGATTTCTAGTTTCATTCTATTGTGACCAGAAAATAGTTTGTGTGATATTAATTTGTTTAAATTTATTTCAACTTTTGTAATTAACATATGGTCTATTCTGGAGTATGTTCTATGTGCACTTGAGAAAAATGTATATTCTGCTGTTGTTAGGTGGAGTCTCTGTATATGTATGTTATGCCCAATTAGTATAAAGTGTTGTTCAAATGTTCAAGTCCTGTATTTCCTTCTTGACCTTCTATATTTCTCCCTTTATTTCAGACAATATTTGCTTCATATATTTTAAAGCTCTGATTTTTGGTTCATATATGTTCATAATTATTACATCTTTTGGTGAACTGACCTCTTATCAATATATAATGAGCTTCTTATCAATGTATAATGAGCTTGTCTCTTTTAATAGTTGTTTACTTAAAATGTTTTTTCTTTTCTGATAACAATACAGTTACTACAGTTCTCTTATGGTGACTGCAAAGGGTCTTTAAAAACATCATGAAAAGTATGTATGATCAAGAAAAAAACTATACATGGATTTCAATTTTTTGCACCAGACTAAAATCATACTAACTTATAGCATGTCTTAAGAGGATCTAGTTTGAGGCACTAAGAAGAATAAGACATAAAGCAACATGAATTCTGTTAAAATTGAAGCAAGAACAAACATCAAATTTATGGTGAAGCCTGGGTGGGAGAATAGTGAAATTATTGATCCTTTATGAAAAGTTTAGGAGGACAGTGACCCAAAGATATCAGTGTTTACAAATAAATAGCTCATTTAAAGAAGGGATGAGATGATGTGGAAGATGAAGCCTACAGCCACAGACCATCCACATCTATTTGTGAAAAAAAAGATTATCTTATTTGGGCTCTAAATGAAGAGTACTGATGATTAACAGCACAAACAGCAGCTAATACCACATACATGTCAATTGGTTCAGCTTACACAATTCTGACTGAAAAATTAAACTTGAGCACACTTTCCACTCAGTGGGTGCCAAAACTTTTGCACCCAGATCAGCTGCAGAGAAGACCAGAGCTTTCAATGAAAATTATGAAGAAGTGGGATCAAGATCCTGAGGCATTTCTTTAAAAAATTGTAACAGGAGATTATAAAATATGGTATGATCTTGAAGACAAAGGACAGTATGACCCTGAGGCAAAGCATAATCAAAGCAATGGCCACCAAGAGGTGGAAGTGGTACAGTCAAGACCAGTCAAGACCGATGGTCATGGCAATAGTTCTTTGAGATTCCCAAGGCATTTTGTTTGTTGACTTTCCAGAGAACCAAACAGCGAAGACATCTGCTTTTTATGAGTGTATTGAGAAAGTTAGCCAAAGCTTTAGCAGAAAAATGAACAGAAAAAAAATTACCAAAGAGTCCTTTTTTACCATGATGATGTTCATTCCTCTCTTCAAACAAGAGTAGTTTTGCAAGAATGTCTATAGGAAATTATTTGGCATCCACATTACAGTACTGATTTGGCTTCTTCTGACTTTTTGTTTTCCGATCATAAAAATACATAAAGGTCAATCATTTTTGTTTGGTTAACAATGTGAAAAAGTCTGCATCAATGTGGTTACAGTCCCAGAATTCTCAGTTCCTTAGGGATGGACTAAATGGCTAGTATTATTATGTACAAAATGGTCTTGGCCTTGATGGAGCTCATGTTGAAAAAAAAATTTATATTATTTTTATCTTTTAATTTCATTTTTTTCATAAACTTTTTAAAGTCCCCTGATATTTGCATAAAACATCTTTTGTCCTTTCAAACTATTTGTGTCCTTAAATATAAAATGAGTTTTTTATAGAAGCATATAATTGAATTATGTTTTCAATGTTTCATTTTTTAAAAATTTCAACTTTTATTTTAGATGCAGGGGATACATGTGTAGGTTTGTCATGTGGTATATTGCACCCAGATAGTGAGCATAGTACCCAATGAGTAATTTTTTAACCCATACTCCCCCTTCCTACCTTCCCCTGTAGTAGTCAACAGTGTCTCTTTTTCCCACGTTTATGTCCATGTATGCTCAATGTTTAGCTCCTACTTATAAGTAAGAACATGTAGTATATTGTTTTCAATTCCTGCATTAACTCACTTAGGATAATGGCCTTAGGTTCCATCCATGTTGCTGCAAGGAACATGATTTCATTCATTTTTATGACTGTGTAGTGTTCCATGGCGTATATGTACCACATTTTCTTTATCCAATCTACTATTGATGGGCATTGAAGTGGATTCCATGTCTTTGTCATTGTGAATAGCGTGACAATGAACATACAAGTTTATATGTCTTTTTGGTATAATGATTTATATTCCTTTGGGTATATAACCAGTAATGGGATTGCTGGGTTGAATGATAGCTCTGTTTTAAGTTCTTTAAGAAATCTTCAAACCACTTTCCACAATGGCTGAACTAATTTACATCATCACCACCAGTGTATAAGCATTCACATTTCTCTGAAGCATTGCCGGGATCTGTTATATTTTAAATTTTTGATAATAGTTATTCGGACAGGTGTGAAATATCTCACTTTGATTTACATTTTTCTGATGATTAATATTATGAGCATTTTTCATATGTTTTTGGCCACTTGTATGTCTTTTGAGAAGCATCTGCTCATGTCCTTTGCCAGTATTTTAATGAGGTTATTTGTTTTTTGCTTGTTAAGTTTCTTATAGATCTTGGACATTAGATATTTTAACAAATGTTTTCCTGTATTAGTCTGTTCTCATGCTGCTATGAAGAAATAAATGAGACTGGATAATTTATAAAGAAAATAGGTTTAATTGACTCACAGTTTCACATGGCTGTGGAGGCCTCAGGAAATATACAATCATGGCAGAAGGCACCTCTTCACAGGACAGCAGCAGGGAGAATGAGTGCCAGCAGGGGAAATGCCAGGCACTTATATAACCTTCAGATCTCATGAGAACTCACTCACAATAAGGAGAACAGAATAGGGGAAACCACCCCTATGATCCATTTACCTCCACCTGGTCCAGCCCTTGAAACGTGGGGATTATTACAATTCAAGGTGAGATTTGGGTGGGGACACAGAACCAAACCGTATCATTCCACCCCGGCCCCTCCAAAATCTCATATTCTCACATTTCAAAACACAATCATTCCAACAGTCCCCCAAAGTCTTAACTCATTCCAGCATTAACTCAAAAGTCCAAGTCTGAAGTCTCACCTGAGACTAGGCAAGTCCCTTCCACCTATCAGCCTATATAATTAAAACCAAGTTAGTTACTTCCTAGATATAATGGGGGTACAGGTATTGGGTAAATACACTCATTCCAAATGGGAGAAATTGGCCAAATCAAAGGAGCTACAGGCCCCATGCAAGTCCAAATTCCAATAGGGCAGTCATTAAACCTTAAAGTTTCAAAATGATCTCCTTTGACACCATGTCTCATATCCAGGTCATGCTGATGCAATAGGTGGGCTCCCATGGCCTTGGGCAGCTGCTGAGACCAATTCGGTCAGGGAGACCCTAACCCAGCAGTGCTAGAGGAATTAAAGACACACACACAGAAATATAGAGGTATGAAGTGGGAAATCAGGGGTCTCACAGCCTTCAGAGCTGAGAGCCCTGAACAGAGATTTTCCCACGTATTTATTAACAGCAAGCCAGTCATTAGCATTGTTTCTATACATATTAGATTAACTAAAAGTATCCCTTATGGGAAACGAAGAGATGGGCCGAAATAAAGGGATGGGTTGGGCTAGTTATCTGCAGCAGGAGCATTCCCTTAAGGCACAGATCGCTCATGCTATTGTTTGTGGTTTAAGAATGCCTTTAAGCAGTTTTCCACCCTGGGTGGGCCAGGTGTTCCTTGCCCTCATTCCAGTAAACCCACAACCTTCCAGCGTGGGCATCATGGCCATCATAAACATGTCACAGTGCTGCAGAGATTTTGTTTATGGCCAGTTTTGGGCCAGTTTATGGCCAGGTTTTGGGGGTCCTGTTCCCAACAGGCAGCTCTGTCCCTGTGGTTTTGTAGAGTACAGCTCCCCTCCAGGCTGCTTTCATGGGCTGGCATTGAGTGTCTGTGGCTTTTCCAGAGGCACAGCACAAGCTATTGGTGGATCTAATATTCTAGGGTCTAGAGGATGGTGGCCCTGTTCTCATAGGTCCACTAGGCAGTGCCACAGTGGGGACTCTGTGCGGGGGCTCCAACCCCACATTTCTCTTCTGCACTGCCCCAGCAGAGATTCTCCATGAGGGTTCTTCCACTGCAGCACACCTCTGCCTGGACATCCAGGCATTTCCACACATCCTCTGAAATCCACACAGAGGTTCCCAAACCTCAATTCTTGACTTCCATGCACCTGTAGGCTCAACACCACTTGGAAACCACCAAGGCTTGGAGCTTGTATCCTCTGAAGCAATGGCCCAAGCTGTACCTTGGCCCCTTTTAGTCACGGCTGGAGCTGAAGCAGCTGAGATGCAGGGTACCGTGTTCCGGGGCTGCACAGAGCAGGGAGGTCTTGGACCCAGCCAATGAAACCATTTTTTCCTCTTAGGCCTCCTGGACTGTGATGGGAGAGGCTACTCTGAAGGTCTCTGACATGCCCTGAAGACATTTCCCCCATTGTCTTGGTGACTAACATTCGGCTCCTTGTTATGCAAATTTCTGCAGTCAGCTTGAATTTCTCCCCAGAAAATGGGTTTTTCTTTTCTATCACATTGTCAGGCTGTAAATTTTTAAAACTTTTACGCTCTGCTTCCTCTTGAACACTTTGCCACTTACAAATTTCTTCCACCAAATACCGTAAATCATCTCTCCCAAATACCGTAAATCATCTCTCCCTAGTTCAAAGTTCCACAGATCTTTAGGGCAGGGGCAAAATGCCACCAGTTTCTTTGCTAAAGCATAGCAAGGGTCATCTTTGCTCCAGTTCCCAAAAAGTTTCTCATCTCCATCTGAAACCACCTCAGTCTGGACTTCATTGTCCATATCACTATCAGAATTTTGGTCAAAGCCATTCAACAAGTCTCTAGGAAGGTCCAAACTTTCCCACATTTTCCTGTCCTCTTCTGAGCTCTCCAAACTGTTCCAACCTCTGCCTGTTACAGAGTTCCAAAGTCACTTGACATTTTAAGGTATCTTTATAGCAGCACCTCACTCTCTGTGGTAACAATTTACTGTATTAGTCCATTCTCACATTTCTATGAAGAAATACTAAGATTGGGTAATTTATAAAGAAAAGAGGTTTAATTGGCTCACAGTTTCACATGACTGTGGAGGCCTCAGGATACTTACAATTATGGTGGAAGGCACTTCTTCAAAGGGTGGCAGGAGAGAGAAAGTGCCAGCCCAGCAAGGGAAATGCCAGATGCTTATATAACCATCAGATCTCAAAAGAACTCACTCACTATTATGAGAACAGCATGCAGGAAACTGCCCCCATGATCCAATTACCTCCACCTGTCCCACCCTTGACACATGGGGATTATTACAATTCAAAGTGAGACTTGGGTGGGGACACAGAGCCAAACCATATCACTTACTCTCTAGAAAGTTTCTTTAGCTGCACAGAAGCTCTTTAGTTTAATTAGGTCCCACTTGTCAATCATTGTTATTGTTCCAATTGCTTTAAGGAACTTAGTCAAAAAGTATTTGCCAAGACCAATGTCAAGAAGGGTATTTCCTAGGTTTTCTTCTAGGATTTTTTATAGTTTGAGTTCTATATTTAAATCTTTAATGCCTATTGAGTTAATTTTTATGTGGTAAAATGTAAAGCTCTTGTTTTATTCTGCTGCATATGGCTAGCCTGCTATTCTTGCACCATTTATTGAACAGAAAGTCCTTTCCCCATTGCTTGCTTTTGTCAACCTTGTTGAAGATTAGGTGGCTGTAGCTGTGTGGCTTCATTTCTGAGTTTTGTATTCTCTTCCATTGGTCTGTGTGTCTGTTTATTTACCAGTACCATGCTGTTTTGGTTAATGTAGCCTTATAGTACAGTTTGAATTTGGGTACTGTGATACTTCCATCTTTGTTCTTTTTGCTTAGAATTGCTTTGGCTATTTGGGGTCTGTTTGGGTTCCATATAAATTTTAGAATAGGTTTTTCTCTCTTTTTTTTTTCTAATCCTGTGAAGACTGATTAGGATTGGTAGTTTATAAGAACGGTGTTGAAGCTCTTCATTGCTTTGGATAGTATGGCCATTTTAACAATATTTATTCTTCCAATCCATGAGTATGTAATGCTTTTTTTTTTTTTCATTTATTTGTGCCATCTCTGATTTCTTTCAGCAGTGTTTTGTGATTATTTTTGTAGAGATCTTTTACCTCTTTGGTTAGCTTTATTCCTAGGTACTTCAATTTTTTTGCAGCTATTGTAAATGGGATTGTGTTCTTCATTTGAGTCTCAGCCTAGAAGTGATTGGTGTATAGAAATGCTGCTGGCGGCCGGGTGCGGTGGCTCACGCCTGTAATCCCAGCACTTTGGGAGGCCGAGGCGGGTGGATCACGAGGTCAGGAGATCGAGGCCATCCTGGCTAACACGGTGAAACCCCGTCTCTACTAAAAATACAAAAAATTAGCTGGGCGTGGTAGCGGGCGCCTGTAGTCCCAGCTACTCGGGAGGCTGAGGCAGGAGAATGGCGTGAACCCGGGAGGCGGAGCTTGCAGTGAGCCGAGATCGTGCCACTGCACTCCAGCCTGGGCGACAGAGCAAGACTCTGTCTCAAAAAAAAAAAAAAAAAAAAAAAAAAAAAGAAATGCTGCTGGCTTTTGTACATTGATTCTGCATCCTGAAATCTTGCTAAAATCATTTATCAGTTCTCGTAGCCTTTTGGTGGAGTCTTTAGGGTTTTCTAAGTATAGAATCATATTGTCAGCAAGTAGAGATAGTTTGATTTCTTCTTTACCTGTTTGGATGCCTTTTTTTTTTTCTCTTTCCTAATTGCTCTGTGTAGTCCTTCCAGCACTATATGTTGAATAAGAGTGGTGAGAGTGGGCATCCTTGTCTTGGACCAATCCTCAAGGGAAATGTCTTTGGCTTTTACCCATTTAGCGTGATGTTGGCTGTGGGTTTGTCATAGATGATTCTTATTATTTTGAGGTATCTTTTGATGCCTAGTCTGTTGAGGGTTTTTGTCATGAAGAGATGTTGAATTTTATCAAAAGCTTTTTTCACATCTATTGAGATGATCGTATGGGTTTTTAAAATTCTCTTTATGTGGTAAATAATTTTTATTGACTTGTATATGGTGAACCCACCTTACCTCCCAGGAATTAAGCCTACTTGATTGTAGGTAATTGAGTTTTTGATGTGCTACTAGATTTAATTTTCTAATAGTTTGTTAAGGATTTTTGTATCTACGTTCATCAAGGATATTGGCCTGAAGTTTCCTTTTCTGTTGTGTCTCTGCCAGATTTTGGAATCAGAATGAAGCTGGCTTCATAGAATAAATGAAGGAGGAGTCTCTTCCCCTCAATTTTTGGGAATAGTTTTAGCAGAATTTGTAGCAGTTCTCCATGGTACTTCTGGCATAATCCAGCCTTGCATTTATCTGGTCCAGGGCTTTTTTTCAGTTGATATGTTTTTTATTACTAATCTAATTTCAGAATTTTTCATTGATCACTTCATTATATAACTTTATTCCTGGTTCAATCTTATTAAATTTTGTGTTTCTAAAAATTTATCAATTTCCTCTAGATTTTCTAATTTTTGTGCATAGAAGTGTTTAGAATAGACTCTGAGGATCTTTTGTATTTCCATGAGATCATCTGTAATGAAATCTTTGTCATTTCTGATTGCACTTGTTTGGATCTTCTCTCTTTTCTTTGTTAATCTACATAGTGGTCTATCAATCTTGTTTATTATTTTAAAGAATAAATTATTGGCTTCATTGACTTTTTGTATGAACTTTTGCATTTCAATTTCATTCAGTTCTTCTCTGATTTCCATTATTTCTTTTCTCCCACTAGCTTCAGGATTGATTTATGTTTTTCTAGTTTATCTATGTGCAATGCTAGAACATTAATTTCAGATCTTTCTAACTTACTGATGAGGGACTTTAGTATTATAAATTTTCCTCTTTTTTTAGCTACATGCCGAAGACATTGATACGTTATGACTCTATTTTTCTTAATTTCCATTTTTTTATTTTTGTCTAATTTCATTGTTCACCCAAAAGTTATTCAGTAGAAAGTTGTTTAATTTCCATGTTTTGTGTAGTTTTGAGAGATTTTATTGGTATAGATTTCTATTTTTATTGCACTATGATCTGAAAGTTAGCTTGTTACAATTTTGTTTTTTTGAATGCATTGAAATGTGCTTTATAACCAAGCATGTGGTTGATCTTAGAATATATTCCTAGTGTACCATCAATGACAAAAACAAATGAAAACACATCCCATGCTCATGGATAGGTAGAATCAATATTGTGAAAATGACCATACTGCCAAAAGCAATCTACAAATTCAATGCAATTCCCATCAAAATACCACCGTCATTCTTCACAGAACTAGAAAAAGCAATCCTAAAGTTTATATGAAATTAAAAAAGATCCTGCATAGCATGACTAAGCAAAAAGAACAAACCTGGAGGAATCACATTACCTAGGTTCAAAGGATACTATACGGCCACAGTCACCAAAACAGCATGGTACTGGTAAAACAAACAAACAAACATAGTCCAACGGAACAGAATAGAGAAATCAAAAATAAACCCAAATACTTACAGCCAACTGATCTTCAACAAAGCAAACAGAAACATGAAGTGGGGAAAGGACATCCTATTTAACAAATGATGCTGGGATAACTGGCAAGGCACATGTAGAAGAATGAAACTGGATCCTCACCTCTCATAGTATACAAAAATCAACTCAAGATGGATCAAAGACTTAAATCTAAGACCTGAAATCATAAGGATTCTAGAAGATATAATCAGAAAAACCCTTGTAGACACTGGCTTAGGCAAAGACTTCATGATCAAGAAGCCAAAAGCAAATGCAGCATGAAACAAGATAGATGGGACTTAATTAAACCAAAAATCTTCTGCAGAGCAAAAGAAACAATCAGCCAAGTAAACAGACAACCCACGGGGTGGGGAAAAATCTTTGCAATCTGTACATCTAACAAAGGACTAATATATAGAATCTACAAGGAACTCAAATCAGCAAGAAAAAAACAATTCCATAAAAAAGTGGGCTAAGGACATGAATACAAATGTTTCATATTTTTTTGCCCATTTGAATACAAAAAAAAGATAAATAAATGGCCAAGAAACATATGAAAAAATGCTCAACATCACTATCAGGGAAATGCAAATCAAAACCACAGTATGATACCACCTTACTCCTGTAAGAATGGCCATAATCAAAAAATTAAAAAATAATAGATGTTGGCATGGATGTGGTGACAAGGGAATACTTTTACACTGCTGGTGGGAATGTAAACTAGTACAACCACTATGGAAAACAGCGTGGAGATTTCTTAAAGAACTGAAAGTAAATCTACCTTTAAATCCAGCAATCCCAGTAATGGGTATCTACCCAGAGGAAAAGAAGTCATTATACAACAAAAGATACTAGTACACACATGTTTATGGCAACACAATTAGCAACTGCAAAAATATGGAACCAGCCCGAATGTCCATCAATCAATGAGTAGATAAAGTTAATGTGTATATATAAACACACCATGGAATACTACTCAGCCATAAAAAGGAACAGAATAATGACACTCACAGCAACCTGGGTGGAATTAGAGACCATTATTCTGAGTGAAGTAACTCAGAAATGAAAAAGCAAACATTGTATATTCTCACTTATAAGTGAGAGCTAAGCTGTGAGGATACAAAAGCATAAGAATGATACAATGGACTTTGGGAACTCAGAGGAAAGGGTGGGAGGATGTGAGGAATTAAAGACTATACACTGGGTACAGTGTACACTGCTTGGGTGATGGGTACAGCAAAATTGAAGAAATCACAACTAAAGAACTTATTCATGTAACCAAATACTACCTGTTCTCCAAAAACCTATTGAAATAAAAAAATAATAATAAAAAATAATATGTTCCATGTGGAGATGAAATGAATGTATATTCTGTGGTTGTTGGGAGCATTATTCTGTTAGACATCTATTAGGTTCAGTTGCTCAAGTGTCTGAATTCCTGTTTCTGACTTCCTTTGTGTTTAATTTTTTGTAGTGACACATTTTATTCGCTTTTTATTATCTTTTGTGTATAATGTATACCTATTTCATTTTTATCTTATGAGAATTATGTATAACATCCTAAATTTATAACTTACATTGATTAAATTGATAGCAATCTTCCTTTAATAATATACAAAAATTCTACTTGCATATGGCTTCACTCCCCTATACGTTGTTATTAATGTCACAAATGCATCTTTATACATCATGTGCCTATTAGTATAGATTTGTAATTATTGTTATACATTTCCTTTTTAAATCTTGTGGAAAATAACAAGTGGAGTTTAAAACCAAAATTAAGTTTTTTCTGCAAGGTGGCAGATTAGAGGCTTTGTTAGCATGCCTTAGCCACATGGAAATAGCAAAATAGTGTGTAGAGATTCACACCGTGAACTTTCATAAGAGAAGGTACATAGGATCGTAACATAAAAGTGATTAAAAACAGCAGATATGTTGAAGAATTTGGTAGGCAGCAGCCCACACTGTGGGTCTGCTGGAAAATTGCAAGTACCCAGTGTATAAGAGGGAAACAGCATGTCTCCATGATACACATTCCTACTGGGGAGCCAGAAAAATCCGGCCACAAGGAGCTACTGGACCCTACCAAGCACTGTATCTGATGTGGGAAGCAATGGAGATGTATTAAGTCAGGGTTCTCCAGAGGAACAGAACTAATAGAATATATGTATATATGAAAGGGTGTTTATCAAGGAGAATTGACTCACAGGATCACAAGATGAAGTCCCATGATAGGCTGTCTGCAAGCTGAGGAGGTAGTCAGTAGTGGCTCAGTCTGAGTCCAAAATCCTCAAAAGTAGGGAAGGCAACAGTGCAGCCTTCAGTGTATGGCCAAAAGCCTGAAAGCCCCTGGCAAACCACTGGTGTCAGTCCAGGAGTCCAAAGGCTGAAGAACCTGGAGTCTGATGCCCAAAGGCAGGAAGCATTCAGCACAGAAGAAAGATGAAAGCCAGGAGACTCAACAAGCCAGCTTGTTCCACTTTCTTCTACCTGCTTTGTCCTAGCCACGCTGGCAGTCAATTGGATGGTGCCCACCCACATTAAGGGTGAGTCTTCCTCTCCTAGTCCACTGACTCAAATGTTAATCTTCTCTGGCAACGCCCTCATAATACACACCCAAAAACAATACTTTACCAGCTATCTAGGCATCCTTCGATCCAATCAAGTTGACACCTAATATTAATTATCAGAGGGGAGTCCCAGAGGAGTGGCAGTGAAAGGGCTTTGCATGTGCTCTCAGACCCCAGAGCCAATAGAATGTAGCCATTTCAGACCCTAAATCATAGGGGTATTTGCTGAAATCTATCAACAAGCACGGGTAGCAGTCACTGGTTGGGCAAGTTTCCAGACAGATATTTAAAATCTACTCTCAAATGGGAGAAGAGCTTCCAAACCCAGAACTGAGGGATAAGAGTAGTTTGGAACTGAGAGTGGAACCCAAGCCACTGGGCATTTCATAGACCAGACCAGTGCTTGAAGTGCCAGAGAGTTTCCTCTGGTAAACAAAGACCAAGCATACATACTTCTGCTAACACCACAGCCAGTTCTTACAACAAGCACTACCTATTGGCCTGAAGGCTAAATTGCACAACCTAATACAACACTCCACTAACACAACTGAACAATTGAGGAAGAGATAAGCTTCTTAAGACCTTTATCACCCCTGCTTCACAGAACATTATGACACTACTGACATGCCTGCTACATTAGTACTGCAACTGGCATTTAAGAAGTCACCACACTAAGGCCATCTATAACCAAGTGATTCATAAAGTGTATTTGCCACAGAAAGCACCCAGAAGCAAAGCCAAATGAACCAACTCAACATATTT
The DNA here is from genome assembly GCF_000001405.40 of Homo sapiens. NCBI lineage: Eukaryota > Metazoa > Chordata > Mammalia > Primates > Hominidae > Homo > Homo sapiens. Next base: position 122,764,214 of record NC_000023.11, read on the forward strand.
TATACTCACATCCACAAGGGGGAAAAATATCCAGAAACAAAAGGGAATTCAAAAATAAGAGACCGTTTCTTTACATGAAAATGAACCAGTAAAACACTTCTGAAAGTATAAAAAAGGGGGTTAAAAGTCCCCCAAAGAATCACACTAACTCTCTAGCAATGGATCCTACCTAAAATTGTTGAAATATCAGATAAAGAATTCAACATATTGATTTTTAAACAGTTTAATGATATCCATGAGAAATATGAACACCAATACAAAGAAATGAGAAAATAAATCCAAGATATGAATGAGAGGTTTATCAAAGTAATATTTTTTAAAAACAAACAAACAGAGATTCCAGAAATGAAAAATTCAATGAAGAAATTACAAAATACAGTTTAAAAGCTTCAACAAAAGACTAGCCAAAGCAGAAGAAATAATCTCAGAAGACAGGTCTTTTTAATTAATCCAGTCATACAAAAACAAAGAAAAAAAACCAAACAAACAAAAATAAAGCCTTCAAGAAGCATGGGACTATGTAAAACATCCAAACCTATGAATCACAGGTATTTATGACAAAGAAGAAAAAAGAAAATCTAGAAAAGCTATTTGAGGAAATTATGGAGGAAAATTTCTCTAGTCTAGCAAGAGATTTAGACATCCAGATACAAGAAGCTCAAAGAACTCTAGCTAAACACATTGCAAGATGTACCTCACCAGAACATAGAGTCATTAGACTGTCTAAGGTTGAAGTGAAGGAAAAAAATCCTAAAATCAGCAGGGAAAAAAAATCTTGGCAATTATAAAGGAAATCCATTAGGCTAACAGTGGATTTCTCAATAAAAACCTTATAAGCCAGAAGAGATTGAATTCTATTTTCAAGGTGCTTAAGGAAATATCAACAGCAAATTTTGCACCCTGCCAGAATAAGCTTCATAGAAGAAGGAGAAATAAACTCTTAGACAAGGAAATGCTGAGAGTACTTATCACCACTACACCAGTCCTACAAGAAATGCTCAAGGGAATTCTAAACATGGAAACAAAAGGTTAATACTTGTCATCATAAAAACTTGTAAAAGTATAAAATTCACAGTTCTTATAAAACAATTACACAAATGACTCTACAAAGCAACTAGATAACATTTAACATTATGACAGGAACAAAACCTCACATATCAATAACTTTGAACATAAGTTGGTAAAGATAGTTATAAACTGAAGGTAACAGGATGGAAAAAGATATTGCATGCCAAAGGAAATCAAAAGTGAGCAGAAATAGCTATACTGATATCAGATAAAACAGACTTTAAATAAACAACAGTAAAAACAAGACAAATAAGGTCATTATATAATAATAAAGGTATCAATTAAAGAACAAGGCATAACAATTCTAAATATACACATACCTAACATTGGAGCACCCAGATATATAAAACAAAATGCTACTACAACCAACAAAAGAGATAGACAGCAAGACAATAACAATAGGGGACTTCAACACCCCACTGAAAACACTGCACAGATTATTCAGTAAAACTTCAACAAAGAAACACTTGACAGAAATTGGTCTTTAGACCAAATGAAATTAATAGATATTTAAGGAATATTCCACACCAACCAAAGAATATACATTCTTCTTATCATACATGTAACATAATCAAAGATACCATATTTTAGGCCACCAAACAAATCTCAATAAATTTTAGAAAATTAAAATTATATCAAATATTTTCTCAGACTACAGTGCAATAAAACTAGGTGTGAATTGGAAGAGGAACTCTCAAGACTATACAAATACATGAAAGTTAAGCAACATGGTCCTGAATGACCATATGGTCAAAAATGAAATTAAGATGGAAATTTACAAAGTTTTCAAAATTAATGAAACTGGGGACACAATATACCAAATCATCTAGGATATGGTAAAAGCATTGCTAAGAGGGAAGTTTATAGCATCCAGTACCTACACTCCCTCCAAAAAAAAGGAAAAATCACAAATTAATAACCTAACTTCACATCTCAAGCAACTGAAAAAACAAACAAACAAACCCAAAGCTAGCAGAAGAAAAAAAATAAGATCAGAGTAGAAGTAAGTGAAAGAGGTAAAAAAAGTACAAAAGATCAAGAAAATGAAACATTTCTGCTTTGAAAAGATAAACAAGATTGATAGAATGTTAGTCTTCTAACCAAGAAAAGAAGAGATAAGATTCAAACATGCACAATCAGAAATGGAAAAGAAAACATTACAACTGAAACCACAGAAATACAAAAGATCATCGGAGTAATATGAACATATGAACATCTCTATGCTCACAAACTAGAAAATCTAGAGGAAAGTGATAGATTCCTGGAAACATATAACCTCCCAAGATTAAACTAGCAAGAAATTGAAATTTTGAACAGACCATACCGAGGAGTGAGATTGAATCAGTAACAAAAAAATCTCCCGACAAAGAAAAGCTCAGGACCAGATAGATTACAGCTATCAGAGATACAAAGAATTGGTAGCAATCCTACTGAAACTGTTCCAAAAATAGAGGGGGAGGGAATCCTCCAGAAATAATTCTATAAAGCCAGTATCATCCTGACACCAAAGCCAGGTAACAACACAATAAAAATGAAAACAATAGACAAATGTTCCTGATAAACATAGATGCAAAAAGCCTCAACAAAATACTAGCAAGGCAAATCCAACAGTATTAACAAAAAGATAATACATCACAATCAAGTGGATTTATTCTAGGTATGCAAGGATGGTTCAATATATGGAAATAAATAAATGTGATTTATCACATAAACACAATTAAAAACAAAAACCAAATGAGCATTTCAATAGATGCAGAAAAAGCATTTGATAAAATTCATCATCCTTTCATGTTAAAAATTTCCAACAAACTAGACACAGAAAGAACACACCCCAAGATAATAAAAGCCATATAAGACAAACCCACAGTCAACATCATCATGAGCAGGGACAAGTTGAAAGAATTCCTCCCAAGAAATACAACAAGACAAGGATGACCACTTTTACCAATTATATTTAATATAGTATTTTAAATCCTGGGCAGAGCAATCAAGCAAGAGAAAAAAATAAAAGACATTTTAATTAGAAAATAGGAAAACAAATCATTTCTGTTTGCTGATGATATGAACTTATACCTAGAAAATTCTAAAGACCCTGCCAAAAGACTGGTGGATTTGACAAATGCATTCAGTGAAGTTTCTGGATACAAAATTAATATACATAAATCAGTAGCATTTTTATACACCAACAACACAGTCAAGCTGAGAGCAAAATTAAAATGTCAATCTCATTTAAAATTGCTATAAAAGTAAAATAAAATACCTGGGAATACATTTAACAGTGAAGGTGAAAGATCTCTACAAGGAAAGTACAAAATAATGCTAAAAGAAATTTTAGATGATGCAAACAAATAGAAAAACTTCCCATGCTCATGGATTGGAAGAACCAATATCATTATAATTACCATGCTGCCCATAGAAATCTACAGATTTAATGCAAAGCCTATCAAAATACCAATGTCATTTTCACAAATTAGATAAAACAATCCTAAAATTAATATAGAACCAAAAAAAGAGCTCAAATAGTCAAAGTAATCCTAAGCAAAAAGGAACAAAGCTGGAGGCATCACATTACCTGACTTCAAATTCTACAACAAGAGTACAGTAAGCAAAACGGCATGGTACTGGTACTCATAGATCAATGGAACTAGATAGAGAGCCCGGAAATAAGGCCACATACGTATAGCCAACAGGTCTTTGACAAGGTTGACAACATACACTGAGCAAAGTACATTCTATTCAATAAATGGTTCTGGGAAGACTGGATAGCCATATGCAGAAGAATAAAACTGAACTAATATCTTTTACTATATAAAAAATTAAATCAAATGGATTAAAGACTTAAAAGATCTATAACTATAAAATTTCTAAAAGAAATTCTAGGAAAAACTCTCATTTCCATTGGCTTAGGCAAAAAAATTATGACTAAGACCTCAAAAGCAAATAAAACTAAAACAAAAAATAGACTAATGTGACCTAATTAAACTGAAAAGCTTCTGCATAGGAAAAGAAATAATTAACAGAGTAAACAGGCAACCTATAGAGTGGGAAAAATGTTGCAATTATGCATCCAACAAAGGACTGAAATCCAGAATCTGTAAGGATCTCAAACAACTCAACAACAACAAAAATCCAAATAACCCCTCTAAAAAGTGGGCAAAGGACACGAACAGACATTTTGCAAAAGAAGACATACAAATGGCCAAAAAGCATGTGGAAAAATGCTCAACACCACTAATCCTCAGAGAAACACACATTGAAACAACAATAAAATACCACCTTGTACCAGTCAGAATGGCTGTTAAAAAATGTTAAAAAATAGATGTTGTCAAGGATGCAGAGAAAAGGGAACACTTATATACTGTTGGTGGTAATGTAAATTAGTACAACCTCTATATAAAAGAGTATGGAGATATTGTAAAGTCCTAAAAATAGGACTACCGTTTGATCTAGCAATCTCAATACTGGGTATCTGCTAAAAGAAACATTAATCATTATATCAAAAAGATACCTGCACTCATATGTTTATTGCAGTACTATTCACAATAGCAAAGATATGGAGTCAACTTAAGTGCCCATCAACAGATGACAGGATAAAGAAAATGTCTTATATGTATACTATGAAATACTACTTTGCCATTAAAAAAAAGAATGAAATCATTCCTTTGCAGCAACATGAATGGAACTGGAATTCATTACCTTAATGAAACAGTTTAGCGACAGAAAATCAAATACCACATGTTCTGTCTATAAGTGGGAAAGTGGGGGCTAAGTAATGTGTATACATGGACATACAGAGTGGAATAATAGACATGGGAGATTTGAAAGGTGAGAGACTGGGAGGAGGTGTGAAGGAAAAGGAATTAGCTAATGGGTACAATGTACACTTACTCAAGTGATGGTTACACTGGATGCCCAGACTGTACAACTATGCAATATATCCATGTAAAAAAACTGGCTTGTACCCCCCTAAATCTATATTTTAAAAAATTCATCATATGCTTTTTTTCAGTGAATGGAAATTTTTGACAAAGAAACACCTTTTTATTTTATTTTATTTTTTTTTTCAGAAAAATACCTTTGTAAGTCAATCTTGATAACATGTTATCTGAACATTTTTCTTTCTCCACTGGACCCTAATAGACAAATTGAGAAATCTTGCAATAAAAGGCAAATTTAAGAATTCTTTAAGGTGCATCATGAAGTGTTATCTTTCAGGAAATGGAAGTGTTTTTGACAGATAAAAACCTTCCCAAGCTAACCTTGAGAAGATGTTATTAGACCATGTTTCTTTCTCCACTGGGATCTATTAGGACAAATTCAGAAATTCAACAATGAAAACCAAATGTAAGCATGCTTTCTTTTTAAAATTACAATAATACTGACTTTCATATTTCCCCATCTACTTGTATGTACCAAAAATTGTAATACCATTTAGTGGCTATTAGGTACTATCTAGTGTATTTGCATTGCAACCTGAAACATTCCCTTTGCATGTTTTGTAGGGCAAGTGTAGAGATAATGGACTCCCTGGGCTTTTGTTTACCTGGGAATATGTTAATTTCTCCCTCATTTTTAATAATATTTTTTCTGGATATAGAATTCTCAGTTAACAGTTTTGTTTTTCTTGTAGCACTTTAAATACGTACTCCCACTGCATCCTGGCATCCAAGGTTTATGCTAAGAAATCAGCAAAAAATCTCACTGTGGATCCCTCGTAGGTTATAAGTCTCTTTTCAATTGTTAATTTCAAGATAATCTTTTTGTCTTTAGTTTTCAACGGTTTGATAATAATATGTCTTGGTGTAAGTCTCTTTGGATTTATCCTGTTCTGAGTTCTGTGACTTTCTTGGATTTGTATAGTCATGTTTTCAACAAATTTGGGGAATTTTCCACCACCAATTTTAAAATCTCTCTACCCCATTTCTTTTATCTTCTCCTTCTGGAATTTCCATAATGCACATGTAAGTTGACTTGATGGTATACAATAATTCCTTGAGGCTTCATTTTACTTTCCTTCATTATTTTATTTCTGCTCCTTATGCTCCATAATTTTAAATGTCCTATCTTCATGTTTACTGATTATTTCTTCTGCCTTCTCAAATTTGCTCTTGAACACTTCTGTTGAATATTTAAACATATTTGTTGGAAATAGATTGAACTCTAGAATCTATTTGGTTCCTTTTCATAATTTGGGTCTCTGTTGAGATTCTCACATTGTTGATATATACTTTTCCCAATTTTCTTTAGTCTTCTTTTAAGTTTTTCTTTAAATCTTTGAGCATATTTAAGATAATTGTTTTATAATATTTTTCTAGTAATTCTGATGCCTATTCTTCTTTCAGGACATTTTCTGCCTATTTATTTTCTTCCTTTGAATAGCCCAGATTTTCGTGGTTCTTTGTCTTGTGGTTTTCATTGTTATTGAATATTGAGTATTTGAAAAAACAACCACATCTCTCAGCATTTGCAAACTGGGCTCTCTGCCAGGTAGCTCTGCACTAATTAGCTAGGCAAGTTCTTACTCCTGGGAGCAGCTTGACACAAAAGCTTAATATCTCCTAAAGTCATGTGTCTCCTTTGGGCCTGTGTGTTGCTTTTATAATTCCCTCATATACACAGTTGATTTTCAATTCCTTTCTCCCTCATCCCCGGAATGTCTTACCCCTGCTTCTCCTCAGTGCCTTAGATGGTCTATCGTATGTCTCCATCAATAATTTCTTGCCCCAGACATTTTCAAGTCTGTAGTCTTCCTGAAGCTTTTTATGAGCACTTCCTGTTACTCTTCTGTCTGAGCTTCAAGCTAGGTGAAACAGAGGCCAGTTCCTCAAGCATCCCCGACACTGGTTAGAACATTGCAAATAACATTTGCTCCTCTCTCTCCAGTTTGAGGTAGATAGAAAGTATCTCCCCCTCAGTCCACTCTCATTTATATAAGGTAGGTTTATATAGATACAGAACTAAAGGGCTATCTTGACCACTAGGCAGTACAGCTGGATTTATTCTTAATTCCAAATTTTCTGGACAGGTTAAAGACACAACCCACCCCATCAGGCCTTTTGTAATCCAACATAAAGACGAAAAAATATGGGTACACCTCCTTGCTTTGGAATTAACCTTTTTCTGACAGTTGCAGCTGCAGCCTCGGTCCTGGGGCCACTGCATCAGGCAGAAAAAAACAAAGTTAAGGAGATGTAGGGAAGAGAGAAAGAAAAGTAAATTATAGTCATCATACTAGCATCCTCCCACCTTCCCCAGCAGTAGTGGGGATGGGGGAGAAACAGGTTAATTTTATCTATTGGGGATACTCCCTTTGCCCTCCTCATGTTGAGTGTGAGTGCATACTTCATGAAAACATGTAAGCCAGCCCTTCAAGCCTGTATCTCCCCTCGTTTTAAGTAATCAAGGTTTCAATTGCCCATTCTAATCCTCTATCAAACTATTATTTTGAAGAGGACACCTCTCTGCCCATTATTGGACTTTTTTTTTTCTTCTTTTTGGTTTTTCTTTACTTTTGCCTTTTTCTCTTTTCTTTTTTTATATTTCTGTGGGGAAATGAGGACCTAGAACTTTCTAGTCTGCCATATTCCTGATGTTACTCCTCCCTTGCCTAAATCTTGAAGAGCAGAGATCTCAACTGGCGTTTGGTTTAGATAAAGCTGGCATACAACTTGAAACAGTGCTTAATATTGAAATCTTTATTAGTCGTATTATTTACAAGAATTTGAGTTATACTATAATGTAACTCTGTTACTTAAAGACTTACATAGAAAACATAGAATCTTAGCCCAAGTAGAGTGCTATATTTGAAGTTTCTATTTCTGTGGTAAAATGAGAGTACCCAGTACGTGCTAAGAGGAAACAAGAATGACAGATGGTATTAGGAGAAGGATTCATAGCAATCATTGAAAGAGGAAATAGGTAGTCACCAAGCGTTACCATTTTCCTCACAATTTTTCTTTTGACCAGCTTTGCTTCTTTCCCCAAACCTTCTAATACTACAGAAAATGACCAGGAACCAAATGGTCATTAACGGCTCACTCAGATAAAAGTGGATATCCTTTCATTTTTTCACCATGGCTCTTTATTTTATTTTTACTATATGAAGACAAACCAAACAGCCAACTAGAATTAGTTTATCAAGCTCTAATATCCCACTTATATCTAAAATTCTCCAGTTATAAGAGTTGCATATTATAAATATAAGTATGTCAGAGAAGAAGAATCACAAAGGAATATTCAAGGCTTTTTCCAAGTAAAGAGGATTCTTTGATATCTAGATTTCTAGGCCACCGTAGTGTAGATTAGGTTAATACGTGAATGAAAGGACTAAAAACCAGATTAGTTCACTTATCAAAATGATTAAATGGGCTGAGAGTTTTCTATGGAAGAGAAAAGTATAAATGCAAAGAGAAAAGCAAGATACAATATTAAAAAAAGATAAAGCCAGTATCTCCTGGCTTTGAAAAAAAGCTTGCGGTATTCATGAAGAAATGTATAGGGATTGGGGTTATCTGCTTTGCTGAGGCAAATGGAATTTTAGCTGATAGATGGCTAGAGAGAATTTTTTTTTAAGTTTTACTGGGTGTTATGAATAGAAACTCTCTTTAGAATGTTCTGAAAGTCTTTTGTAAAGAATTATTATATGTTAGACAAATATTCTATACCACAAAAATTATGCTGATCCTTGGGTCACAAGAAAGTTTGTCTTTATGCAGACTACATAACTAAATAGTCTGTGTCTAATTTGTTGTTCTACATACAAAAATAGTCTATTCTTTTTCTTTATTTTCTGGAAATTTTTGTATCAACTATTATAGTATGTGTTCTGCTATAAATAACTGAAAATATAAGCTTGTTTAAATTTACTGGGATTTATAGGATTTACAGCCTGATGGATCTGTAAGTCCAGAAGAAAGTTATACAGTACCACCTAAGAGAAAAACATGCTTGATTATAAAAAAATTAATCTCTTGAGAACTTCAAGGAAGAGAATTGAGATTCATCCTTATTGGTCCACTTAAGTGACATGCCAAACCCAGAACCAATGACCTGGCCACGCCAGAATAATGAAATATGCTAATTGGCTTACATTGCTCCTAGTACTGGGTCTTGTGTCAGCTCCCCTCATTCCAAAGTACATCAAGAGAAAAGGAGGATGGATGAAAATGTGGATTCAAGAAAGAAGAATGATTATAGATCCTAGGTAAGCTAATACCAACATCCACTACAGTTACAGTTCATACTCAGATTTCGCTGATATCTTCAACAAGGCCATACAATTTGCAAATTGATCATTAATTTCTAATTCTCTTATTGAATGTTTATAATCAACAGGGATACTTAGTTATTCTTTTTTAAGCCCATAAACAAATGACTCAGTGCTTAACTTTCTTAAAAAATGATTAATGTAACATTCTACAGTAAAATTTCATAGGGTCAGAAACTTGAGTTTATTTCATGCATCTATATTTTCCTAGATCTATAAACTTGAGTGACTCATTTAACAGCTCTGATTCACAGGTTTCTTTTCTCTGCATCATGAAGATTATTGTCATCCTTGTCCTTCAGAGCAAAGACTTGTCAACACGTTGCTACCGGACACTTAACAATAGGGGTTGACATTTTAGGTAAAAGGTAAAACTAGAAGCCTATATGATGAAATTTGGATCAAAATATATTCTATATTCTTCAGTCATAGAAGAGAATACTATTCCCCATTCTTCTGATTTCTCTGCAGTGAGATCCACTACAAGCTAATTTTTCTGGTCTCTTTCTTGCTTCATATCTTTTACTCATTCTTTTGAATAAGGAGAATGTTACCTGGTTCATGGGAAACAGCCATTTATCCTTCTTTTTTTGATTGTGTAGAATTAATTTATTAAAATATTCTATGTGCTGAATTATGTGCCACCAAAATTTACATATTCAACCCTTAACCACCACTGTGATGTGTATTTGATGATAGGACCTTTAAGAGGTAATTAAGGTTAAATGAGTTCATTAGGTTGGGGCCCTAATCCAATAGGGCTGGTGCTCTTACAAGAAGAGAAAGAGACGTAGACATCACTCCTCAATATGTAGACACATCAAGAAGGCAGCCGTCTGCAAGCCAGGAAGAAAGATCTCACCAGAACCTGACCATGCTGGCACTCTAATCTTAGACTTCCAGCCTCCAGAACTGTGAGAGGAAAAAAAAAAAAAAAAAAAAAAAAAAAAAAAAAAAAAAAAAGCATTTGTGTTGTTTAAGTCATTCATTCTGTGGCATTTGCATTTGCCATTGTTATGGCAGTCCAAGCTGACAAATACCAAAGGTTACAACACTTTATCACATCAGTGAAAAATGCAGAGCAGAGAACTCTAAGGGCCTGTCTGTCCATAAAAATAATGGGAAAATAAGCAAAAAACTCTAAAAAATCTTTGTGGGAACTCTGAAAAATAGTTAAAGGTTTACAGAAACCAAGCCAATGTTGAATAAAGTAAAAGACGATTTAAACATTTTAGGAGAGCTTTGTGGCTTTATAATATACCCTACCATCCCCTTCTCTGCTCAGTGGCAGTTTTGAAGCCAGCAGCCCAAATTTCAGGTATGTGTCCTTACTTCTGGAGGGAGAAGAGTAAACTTTCTTCTCACTGAATTATGTTTTACTTTTCTGGCCTGTCTGAAGACTTCCTGAAGGACTGAAACAAGGTGCTTGCCATCTTTTGCCTTACACAGAACTTTCTGACAGTAGAAAAGTGGCTAAGGAGAGGACTTTTCTCAAAAACATAGGCTAATGAACAAGCCATCGTCACTTCTCATCTAAAAGGATAGAGTAGTCACCAAAAGTTATCATTTCCTTCATAATTGTTCTTTTGGCAAGATTTCTGCCTTTCCCACAATCTTCCAATACTATAGAAACTGACAAAAGTACCCCTGAAAATGGTCATTTTAGCAGCACAATAAAATAAAATGTTCTCTATGTTTTGCTGTGGTACCTTACATCATTTTTACTCTGTGGAGACCTGGAATAGAAGAATACAGTTTGGACAAATATAGAAATACTGAAAGCTAAAAGTAAAAGTTGGAGAGGAATGCAATAGGGAATATGGGCTTTGAAAAGCTCTTATATATGCCAAAGATCTAGAAGCTAGGTGCATGCCCAGGACAGAATGCATGAAACCGCCATTGAAAAACTGTAACTAAAACAGTGAAAGAGATATGACCTAACCAACTCCATCTTGCTTCTAACCTCCAATCTGTCTTTGTCCATTCCGGGGTGTAGGCTGAACTAACTTTGAGAGGAACTTAGATTATAGCTTAAAAAGGCTGAACTAACTTTAGGAGGAACTTAGTTTATAGTTTGAAACCAAAATGATTACAGCTATTTTCCAAAACAAAACTCCTTCTTGCCTGAGGACTAGACTGCCTTTGTAGGACTAACAAATTAGCCAGAAGATTGGAAAATATGGTTTAGGAGTCATACACCTGGAGGCTACAAGATTCTGACACTCCCTAAACTGCTCCTAAGATCAGTGCTTGAGATATTTTGCAAACCCTGCATTTGATGTATCAAGTGGCACCAACCAGATCTATTAACTGGCTTACCTGGTCTTGTGGCCCCAACCCAGGAACGGACTCAGCACAAGAAGACAGCTTCAGTTCCCTATGATTTCATCTCCTACCTAACCAGTCAGCACTCCTGGCTCACTGGCCTCCCCCCACCAAGTTGTCCTTAAAAACTCTCATCCCTGAATGCTCTGGAGGCTGATTTGAGTAATAATAAAACTCTGGTCTCCACACAGCCGGTGCTGCATGAATTACTCTTTCTCTATTGCAATTCCCCTTTCTTGATAAATTGGCTCTAAATAGCAAGCACGGTGAACCCACTGTGTGGTTACATGCATGTTGGGAAAAGAACTGGTAAGAACCTAGACTTTTACTACCAGCTGATCGTCCGCTCAGCAAAACCAAAAATTGAAGGCTAAAACAGAATTATAAATAATATTGAAAGAGTGCTTTAACATAGAACCAATCTGCAAAAATGTGGTATTTTTTTTTCATTTTCCTACCTTTGTCTGACTCCAGGCATTTAAGGGAACTTTTCAAATAACTAGATAATCACAAGCTAAAAGAACAAAGATTGCAGAGACCACACAGGACAGTGAATACGGTCTATACAAAAATAGTTCAGAAAAGTCACTAATCAGACTGCAACAACCCACAGCAAGCAAGAATAACAAAACTCTTAGCACGGGAAGAATTTGATAACCACATTTGTCACATTATGCAAAATGTCCAATTTTCAATAAAAAATACAAACCAATTTTTTTAAAAAAAGAAAATATGGCTTACTCATAAGAAAAAAGGAAATTAACATAAACTATCTTTGAAAAAACATATCTATTGTACTTGTTGTACAAATATTTTAAGTCAATTATGTTAAATATTCTCAGAAATAAAGGAAACCATGGACAAAGACCTAAAGAAAACCAAGAAAATGATGTCTCCACAAATAGAGAATGTTGTTAAAAGATTGAATTTTTTTTTTTTTAAAAAAAGCAAATAGAAATTCTGGACCTTAAAAATACAAGTGATGATATGGAAATTTGATTAGAGGATTTTAATAACGGTGTTGGTAGGCAGAAGAAAGAATCAGTGAACGTGAAGATAGATCAATCGAAATTATCCATCTTGAGGAGGAGAACAAAAAGGAGAAAAGAAAAATGAACGGAGCCTAAGAGGCCTGATCTGATCTGAATTGCCTGGGACAATAGTGAGGCAGATTAATTAAGATAAAGATTGACAAAAGGGCTAGTCTCTTGGCTCAATTCCCTCCTGGAGACCCAAAGCTTTTAGCACAAGAGTAGGTAGAAGAAAAATCAGGTACCTTTTTTACCTACAAGAGGTAGGTAGCTTTTTACCTACAAGAGTAGGTAAAAAAAAAAAAAAAAAAAAAAAAAAAATCAGGAGTTGGAGAAGTTTCTTTGTTGTTGTTGTTGTTGTTATTTGTTTTGTTTTTTGAGGGTTTTTTTTCCTTAGAGAAATTTCTAGAACTCCTTGATACAGAAGCTCCATGCACTGTGGTAGCAAAACCCACTGGTGAACTCCTGACTTGAGCTATAATTAGATTGAGAGGACATAAAAATGTGCATGTTGATAGGATTAAGAAAGTTGGAAGGTTTTATCAGGCTTTATGTAAAGAAGTTGTGCCTCCTTTACCTGAATGTTTTATTGGAATGTTATATTGTTATATATATATATAGTTATATATATATATATAGTTTTATTGGAATATTATATCTAGCTGGGGGATACTTCCTCTGCCTAGTATTGTAAAACAAAAACTGATGATAAAATCCTCATGAAGGTTATAGTCATGAATGTAAGGCTTGATAGAATTAAGGTAAATGTTTGTAGGAAAATTGATATGTTGAACTGGCTTTATGTGAAGTGGTTGTCGCTTTTACCTGATGGCATTATGGAATAGATATTGTATCTTACTGGGGAATGTTTCCCCTACTTAGTATTATAAAACAGAAGACATGTAAACCTGCCCTTCAAGTAATAATTGGACATGCTAAATGGGAACCAGTAACATTATCCAAGCCCAAACAATATAGAGTAGAAGCTGGAGTGGCGGTATGAACAAATAATCTGTGTGATAACCCTGTTTGGAACGTATACTGGGGCTTATGGTAAAAGCCTGTGAGTGCCTCCCAGTGACATCTACTGGAATTACGGACTAGAGAATTTCCATCAGAGAGATAATTATGGACTTGCTGTTGAGCTTTGAGACTGCCTCAATGAATAAAGAACATAAAATAATCTTGAAACTTGAAATACCCATGATGTCTTGAGTGATGTCAGATCAACACTCTAATGGAGATGACAGTACCCAAAAGAATTCCATAATAAAATGGATATAATTTATACAGGATCATGTGACCTGGAGAATGGAAGGAGAAGATACTCAAAAGCAGGGAGCCTCTTTTCCCCTAGGACGGAATCTGGAACGACAGCTCTCCACTGACCAACAAAGAGCTATTTGGTTTTTGGATGGCAATTCTAAGATGAATGGACAACATCCTGCTTGGAAGGCCACCACTCTGATTGAAGAAGGTAAGAAATCTACTCAGTGAGCTGAACTTTATGCTGTCTTCCTATCAGTAATTGAAGAATTGAACAGTGGTAAAAAGCCACCGTATTTGGGTTTTTACTTACTCATGGACAGTGGCCAATGGCCTGGACACATATTTAGGGAGGAGAGAAATGGAAACCTGGCCTATTAAAGGGATACCATACAGGAATCCCCATAGGGCCAAAAATCTGAAGGGTGTACTAAAGTAGGACATGTCAAGGTCCATCAGAACTCACTTCCAGGTATGGAAGGTGATTGGAATCAACAAACAGATATCCTCATGTGCTTGCTTGAGGTGGCCATCTGGGTCCATGAAATAAGTGAATCTGAGAGTACTACAGCTATGCAGAAATAAGCTGAATCTACATATATTCATCTTATAGCCTCTGAGGTACAAATTGTCAATGAAAACTTTTCTGTCCGTCAGCAAAAGAGATAGATACCTCAGGTGATTATATGGCAGAGTCCCTTGTTGGAAGACCCTGAACATAGCTGGCAAGTGACACTGATGCTGGTAGCCCTGGTGGCTACAAATGGGTCTTAACAGAAATAGACAGTGAATCTGGACTGGGATTTGCTTACCTGGTAGAAGACAAAAATGTTCAGAATGCTGTGAAAGAACTGAAATACAAGATATTGCACCAATTTGAACTTCCAAGTTATACTTCTTCAAGGAACATACTATGTAGCCCACAATGCTTCATATGGGCAGAGACTTGTCTGCCTCAAAGTAATAGTTTGATAGAAAATTTGAGTGGGCAATTGAAACACTGGTTATTTAAGATGGGAGATATAAGACTGAAAGGCTGGCTTACATGTTTTCATGAGTGTGAGTTCACACACAACATGAGGAAGGCAAAGGGAGTGTCTCCAATAGATAAATTATCCTGTTTTCCCCCGGAGAAGGAGGGAGGATGCCAGTATGATGACTATACTTTATTTTTCTTTCTTTCTTCCCTACATCTGCTTAACTTTGCTTTTTCTGACTGAGGCAGTGGCCACAGGACCAAAGCAGCAGCTACAATAGCCAGAAAAAAGGTTGATTCCAAACAAAGGAGCTGTACCCATATTTTTAAATCTTTATGTCAGAATTACAAAGAGCCTGTTGGGGTGGGTTGTGTCTTTAACTTGTCCAGAAAAAAGAATGGGATTAAGAGTAAATGCAACTGTACTGCCTAGTGATCAAGATAGCTCACTAGTTCTTTATTTATGTAACCCTACCTTATATGAATGAGAGTGGACAGAGGGAGAGATACTTGCCAAACTAATATTGTTGCCTGCAATCTAGAAAAGCACAGTGGCAGAACTTAATGTCCTTTTCATTAAGGGTATTATTTTGGGTGTTAATGAAGAGAAAGAGAAATAATAGCTGAGGATAAAAAATTAAAAATGGGTTATGTAAAGAGGAAAATCCAACATTATATTAATACCTCAGAAGAGGCTCAGAGGAATAGACCATATTATCTCTTAGCTCAATTATACCAGATGCCTGAAAGCGTGAAGCTATGTTTGTTGCATTTGTTTGAAACCTGACAAGATCGAACGAAAGTCTGTAAACCTGAGTTAATTCACTCTGGGAGACATTTTCATACATATAATAAAGGACTAGATGAATTATTAATGACTGAATAGAACAGTAGTAATGTGTCAGTACTTTTTGTCACTATGATCCTTGTATTAGAAGAGATCCATGGTCAAAGATCAGGGGTTGCCCTGTGGTATAATGTAAAATATATTTGGTCTTTGTTCCTGGTTCCTATCATAGAACTCCTAAAACTCCTGGAACTTCCAGAGTGATAGGAGTATGTTTTGTTATTCATAATGAGCCCCTTTGATAACTCTGGAGTTTATGATAATGAAGTTACTTAGGCTGGGTCCCTTGGATAGCCTCAGGATGGGGCCAGTCACCAGAAAGACCAAACGATTAGAGGATTAGAGGGTTAGAATTTTTATTCACACCCACTAACTTCTGGGATGTGAAGGAGTGCTGTGGATCAAGTTCTGTAACAACGCTTGGACAACAAGATATGATGAGCTTTTGGGTTGCTGAACATGCAGAAGGGAAGTCTTGTAGAGCTAAGCCCTCAGCCTGTGAGATCTGGCACCATATCCAGGTAGTCTGGCTGTAACTTCTGTCCTCCTGAAATGGTTAAAATCAAGCTGTAACTCAACCACCTGGGACAGATATTCTCAGGACCTCCTGAGGCTGTGACATGGATCATGGTCCTCACATTTGGCTCAGAGTAAATCTCTTCAAATCTTTACAGAGTTTGGCTTTTTTTTTTTTTTAAATCAACAATGCCAAACGATCTTCAACAAGGGTTCCAAAATTATTTAATGGGGAAAGTGCAGTGTCTTTAACAAAGAATGTTAATAAAAAAGGTATCATCCACATGCACAAGAATGACAAAAAATAACTCAAAATGGATTAAAGTCCTAAATATAAGATCTAAAACTATAAAACTCCCAGAACAAAAATATAGGGGAGAATCTTTATGATGTAGGACATGACGATGATTTCATGGATTTCATCAAGAGCATAGGCAACAAAAGCAAAAATAGACAAGTGAGATTATGTCAAACTAAAAAGTTTCTGCACAGCAAAGGAAAAAATCAACAGAGTGAAATGGCAACTATAGAATAGGAAAAATATTTATACATTTTATATCTAATAAGGGTTAACATCCAGAATATAAAAATAACTCCTACAGCTCAACAACAAAATCAAATAACCTAATTAAAAAATGGGCAAAGTACTTGAATAGACATTTCTCTAAAGATGATATACTATCAAGAATAGGAAAAAATGCTCAGCATTGCTAATTGAGAAATGCAAATCAAAACCACAATGAGATACCACCTCACTCAACAGAGGGAAAAGACAATCTATGGAATGGGAGAAAATATTTGCAAGCCATATAGCGGATGAGGGGTTAACATCCAAAATATATAAGAAACACCAGGACAGGTGTGGTGGCTCATGCTTGTAATACCGACACTTCGGGAGGCTGTGGTGGGAGGATTGCTTGAGGCCAAGAGTTCAAGACCAGCCTGCACAACACAGTGAGACCCTGTTTCTAAAAGAAAAAAAATTAGCTGAGCATAGTAGCATGCACCAGTAGTCCTACCTCCTCAGGAGGCTGAGGCAGGAGGATCCCTTGAGCCCAGGAATTTGAGGCTGGAGTGAACTATGATCACGCCACTGCACTCCAGCCTGGGTAACAACTAGAAGAAGAAAAGAAAGAAAGAAATACTTAAAACTCAATAGCTGGCCAGGCATGGTGGCTCATGTCTGTAATCCCAGCACTATGGAAGGCTGAGGTAGGTGGATCATTTGAGGTCAGGAGTTCAAGACCAGCCTGGCCAACATGGTGAAACCCCATCTCTACTAAAAAATACAAAAATTAGCTGGGCGTAGTGTTACGAGCCTGTAGTCCCAATTACTCAGGAGGCTGAGGTAGGAGAATCACTTGAACCTGGGAGGCGGAGGTTGCAGTGAGCCGAGGTCGCTCCACTGCACTCCTGCGTGGGTAGCAAAGTGAGACTGTCTCAAAAACAAAAAACAAAACAAAACAAAAACTCAATAGCAAAATACTAACAACCTGATTAAAACATGAGCTAGGGACTTTAATAGACATTTTTTCAAAGAAGACATACAAATGGCCAACAGGTACATGAAAAGATATTCAAGTCACTAATCATCAGGAAAATGCAAATCAAAACCACAATGAGCTATCACTTCACACCTGTTAGAAATGCTACTATCAAAAAACCTAAAGACAAGTGTTGCTAAGGATATAGAGAAATTGGAGTCCTTGTACACTGTTGATAGGATTGTTAAATGGTGCAAGCACTGTGGTGGAAAACAGAATGGAAGTTCTAAAAAAATTAAAAATAGAACTACCATATGATCGAGCAATCCCACTTCTGGATATGTACCCAAAAGAATTGAAAGCAGGACGTCAAAGAGATATTTGCACACTGATGTTCAAAGCAACATTATTCACAATAGCCAAGTGGTAAAAGCAACCCAGTTGTTCATAGACAGATGAATAGATAAGTAAAATGTGTTATATATAATCACTCAGCCTTAAAAAGGAAGGAAATTCTGTCATATACTACAACATGGGTGAACCACAAGGACATTATACTAAGTGAAAAAGCCAGTCACAAAAGGCAAATACTGCATGATTCCACTTATATGAAGTATCTAAACTAGTCAAATTAACGGAAACAGAAAGTAGAATGTTGGATACCAGGGGCTGGGGCAATAAGGAAAGGGAAAGTTGTTTAATGGATATGGAGTTTGAGATTTGCAAGGTGAAGTATTTCTAAAGATCTGTTTCACAACAATGTAAATATAATTATTACTGAATTCTACATTTAAAAATGTTTATGATGGTACATTTTTAATGTGTTTTTACTACAATAAAAAAATTCCACATCACTGGGACCCTCGGTTTTAAACATGATACAGCAACTTTATAGAAATTGGGATTAGCTTGATTGAGGAGGGCATTAATATGTCATATGTTTAGGAAGAAAGGATCAAAGGGATATTTCATGCCACACGTTCACTGTAGCATACATATTTACAGCTTTCCAAATATCAACATGATCTACCACACTTCTTAGATCCCTATAGTTAAACAGAGACATATGACTTGTTCACAACAATGGATGTTTACTTCCATCCTGAAGCATTTAATTTCTATTGAGAAACTCTTCAGTGATTTCTTAATGCTTAGAGCAATTGAAAAGGCCAATGTTTCTGTATTGGAGCCTCCATCAACCTGGATTCCTGAGTTACTGATGGGGAGCAAAGCCATACAGTAACCTACGTTAGACATGTGGCATAAACGATAAATTTTTTGTTTTATTAAGTTATTAAGATTTGTTAGTAAATATAGGTTATGCTGACTAATGTATGATGAGATTACCCTAAGTGTTTCTTTAAAAATAACTGCTTCCATGATCTGAGATTATATAGATATGCTTAGGGAATCTTGCCTTCACCAAAGGAAATTCCTGATCAAGAAAGGAACAGAATCAAAAGAGTAAAAAGAAAAGCTCAAGCATTAATCATATAGAAAGACAAATTCAGAAGAGCTCAGAAAATTGAAACCTCAGCTCTCATCTTACTTAGCTGATCTTTGTCCCATTGACACCCAAAGGTTAAGTGCTTTAGAGTCAAGAAATTCATATTCACTCATGTGCTTCTAGGGAAGGAAATGATCCAGGGCCCAAATTTAATGAGAATCTTCTTTGTCTTGGAAGTTTTCATGAATAATTGTTCCTCCATATTTATCTTTTATTCTTCCACAGTATTGTTATTTCAAATGGAAGATCATTTATATCTGTATTGGTGGTAATATTTTTTTCCTTAAGAACACTTTTGCCCTTTGTTCCTTTTTAGGCACTGACTCTCATGAAACCTAATTCTTTTTTAGAAATATGTTGACACTTCTAAAATAGTTCCACTGCCCTAACCAAAACAAAGAAACAAACAAATAAAAACAAATATAGGCTCTAACTTTTAATCAGACATATTATTTCATGGACATTTCCCCCAATTTTTTAAAACGCAGTTTCCTTTAAAAATGAATTTTAGAACATGATGGTTTTTTTTTAGCCAGTGGTGGCCATGAAAGTGCATTGCTTAGAGCTCTTTCTGTGGGAGGCATAATGGGCTCCCAGCCCCAGCTGCTGCTCAATGGATTCACCACTGTACTTAGGCCCAAACCACACTTCTTTCTGTCTGCTTGCTGACAATGACTGAGCATAGTAGAGGTACTAATGCAAGTTTATTCTGACAAGATGGGACTTCTCTGTCAAATGACTTTGGTCCAACGTCTTCCTTCAGCCTGACCAATCCATTCTTGAAAATGTGCTTTAATCTGAGTCTCTTTCTCCTTCATTACCTCTTTCATTCCACAGTTATCAGACATGAAACATGGTCTAAAGGCCAGCCCCATCTTTTCTTTGTCACTCCCTGCCCAAAAAAAAAATTTATATGTCAAATCCTGTCTGAACATTTATTTGAAAAGACATAAAGTAACTTTCTTGCAGATCCCTGATTTGGTAGTTTCTACACCTCCCGACCATCTAGTAGCTTTAATGAAAAAATAAAAAAGAAAAAACCATTAAGGCAACTAAGCTATTTGGCATCTGAAATAATACTATGTTTGAAAAAAATATTTATTGTTATCAGGTTACTTTTGTTCTAATGGATTTTCTTGGAGAGAGATCCTAAAGCCCAAACCTTGAGAGTAAGGAGTGGAGTACATCTTGAAGTGTCAAGAAATTCCAACTGACAACAGGAATTATTTTGGGAAGCATACTCATACAGGGGCTAGGGATCTAAGATTTCCTGGTGGAAAAGAGGTGGAGAAGAGGAAGGCAAATTTTCCACAGTATAAGAAGTCTAGGAGTTTTATGAAGTGGCAACCAGTACAGAACTCCTAAACAAAGGCTTAGTTCAAACTCTCAGAGATATTAATGTATTTTTCTCAATTTTCCATTCTGTAATACCTTTTATGATGCCCAAGCCATCAGCAAGGATTTGTTAAACTTTAACAATATTTATGTATATATCCTTTACCAGGAGCCAGGAATTTTTTTCTATGCTTCATGTAAGTAACCTATTTAATTCTTAGCACACTCTTGATTATTCTTATTAAAAGTTTGTCAATTTTGTTGATCTCTTCAAAAAATCAACTTTTGTTGATTTTGATTTTCTCTATTGTTTTTTCTATCTTTTTATTTTATTTATTTTTGCTATAATCTTTATTATTTCCTTCATTTTGCTTGTTTTAAGTTTAGTTTGCTCTTATTTTTTACTTCCTCAAATTGTCAAGATAGGTTACTGAGATCTTACTATTTTTTTTTTAATGTTGGTATTTACAGCCATAAATTTCCCTCTAAGCATTGCTTTCACCGCATCCCATAAGTTTTGGTATGTTGTGCTTTCATTTCCATTTATTTTAAAGTAAAGCCTAATTTCTTCTAGGATTTTTTTTCTTTAACTCATTGGTTATTTACAAATGTGTTTTTACATTTCTACATATTTGCAAATTTGTCAAATGTCCTTTGTTGTTGATTTCTAATTTAATTCCATCATTGTCAAAGAAGACACGTCATATAATTTCAATCATTTAAATGCATTATGACTTGTTTTATGACCTAACATATGATCTATATTCAAGAATGTTCCATGTGTACTTGAGAAGAATGCATATTCTGTTCTTGTTGAGAGCAGTGATTTATGAATTTCTCTTAGATCTAGTTGAATGATAAGATGTTCAGGTTTTCTATTTATTTTTTGATCTTCTGCCTAGTTGTTTTATCCATTATTGAAGGTGGGGCATTGAAGTCTCAGACTACTATTGTTAACCTGTCTGTTTCCACCATCAATTCTCTGTTTTTGTTTCATGTATTTTGGAGCTTTGTTGTTAGGTGCACATATGTTCATAATTATTTTATCTTTTTAATGGATTGACCTTTTTATCCTTTTTATCACTCAAAATATCCTTTTTCTCTACTAACAATTCTTTTGAAGTTCATTTTGTCTATATTAGTATAGCCACTCCAGCTCTCTTCTATTACTATTTTCATGGTATATATTTCCATTCCTTTACCTTCAATCTACTTGTACTTTTGAATCTATATGTGTCTATTACAGACAGCATACAGTTAAAGTCATGTTTTCTTCCCATTCTGCTAATGTGTGCCTTTTATTTGGAGTGCTTAATTCATGTTCATATAATACAATTACTAATGAGGTAGAATTCATGGCTGCCATTTGCTATTTGTTTTTTATATGTCTGATGTCCTTCTCAGCTTCTCTTCTTCTTCATTACTCTTGTCTTCTGTGTCAAATAGATATCTTCTAGTGAACCATTTTAATTCCTTTGCTTTTTAAATTATGTATTTTTATTACTTTCTTAGTGGTTGCTCTTGAGATTACAATTAGCATTCTTTATAGTAACAACTTAGTTCATATTAATACCAACTTGGTATCACTTATATACAAAAAAAATTTGCTTTTATCCTTTGTGCATTTTTGTCATACAAATTACATCTTCATACATTGTGTTTCTTAATTAGTACTTATGTAGTTGTGTTTTAAATTAGATAGAGGAAAATCTGCAATGCTACTGAGTAAGCTAAACACCTCCAGCCCACCAAATGAAGTAATCTTAAAGTGCCCATGATGGTACATCACCAGCAAATGGTTCTTGAACAAGATCTCCTAGCTCAATACCTACTTAGAAAGAGTAATGGGAAGAGTTCATTAACAAGGCTATGTTTCAGTAATCACGTATTAAATATTTCTGCCTATAGATACAGGGAATTGTACAAGACTAATGTTTATAATAGCAAATAATTGACAATTTCATCCCCAGGTGCCAATTAACAAGAATGGTCTGGATAACCATTTACTTGTATTAAGTGGAATGTGAACCTTTATTCATACCATTTGAAAGCCATAAATTAATGATAATGTCATGTTTCAGAGGAAGGACCTACACCTCAGAAAACTTTTATCATCAATACATATAATAAAGAATGTAACTTAAACTAAACAAGTATTAACCTTTTATTTGAATCACAAACAGGACTTAGGTTAAAGTATTTTCTAAGTGATTTTTTCCTTTCTTGGAAAGATTAGATATGGTTTGATTTATAACTAGTTTAATTAATAAATCTATTGTTTTTCAATCTACTTATTTTGGTATCAAGTTAAGAAAACAGGGTCAATGGTTTTCATCAACAGCATGGACATCCCTATAAGCAAACTATCAAGAGTTGACTGTACTTGAAATGTCCTTAGAAAAAGCCTCTACTTTGAATAGCTCTTGATTTTCTCTTTAAACAAGAAACAATTCAAGAAGAAGGTCAAAGAGATTAGAAGAGAAATTTGTGTTGACAGATGGGTGAGCCTTCCCGTGCTCTGCTGCCAGGTAAAATGAGTCCACTGGAGTTGCTATCCATTTCTTCTACAGCTGTGAGGCAGCTGGAGGCACATTTCACTACTTATTAGCACAGACCTAGTCCATTTGGAAACTGTCTCGGGAAATAACAATTTGACATTTAATAATTCATTTGTTGCTAAAGCCAGTATTTTGGAATGGTATGTGAGGCATCCCACATTTAACAGCAAGAACTTGAGCTATTGCCGGCAAGGTTATAATATCTTACTAGTTTTTCAAGCTTATAATTTAATAATACAGAAAAAAAGATGGCTCTTTGTATGTACATAGAAACTCATGGAAAAGTTTGTTTTAGTTCTGTAAAAAGGTAGACCCTTCCTTATCAATAATGTATAAGTGTAAACACAGAGTTTATGTAACACTCTTTTCCAAGTAGAGCATACTTGTAAAGTACTTTATATATGTTATGTCATTTAATTCTCAAAACATACCTGTTATTGGTATTAGCCCTATTTCACAAGTGAAGAAAGTGAGGTTATGAAAACAGTAATTTAGTTACAAAAACCACACAACTAATAAGTAAATTAATTCAATTTAAAAGCAGGTCTGTCCAGCTCCAAAACCTGTATATCTTTAATACATTATGCTATTCCCCAATCACTATACACTTATCTGTTTCAAAGTTAAAGATCACTGGGATAGTTTCGATGGTTTAAAAAAAGAAAAAGAAAGAAAAATAAAGGAAAAAAGAGAAGAATATCAATGGAACCCCCGGAGGAGTGCTTAAAGTCTACCTTTATGAATATATCATTTTCTTTATGCTTTATGCCAGTGAAAAAGGAAAAAAAAAAGGAGAGAAACCTGGAGAATACACTCTTGGGCCAGAATTCTCCAAAGTTTGCTACATAGAACATTAATACTGATAAATTTTTAAGGATTGATATCTGAAAAGAAGTTGAATTAGTTCAGTAAGACACAGGGTTAAACACAGTTAAACAGATATTTTCACTGTTGAATTTTTCCAAGCTTTTAATATGTTAATATGCACGGCAAAGTTCCAAGAGGCACTATGGAAACGCAGTTTCCCTAAATGTATCATTTCACAGGAATCTGCTTTACCAAATTTGTTTTGCAGAATGCCAGCTTAAGAAATCTTCTGTGCCATTTCAGTGACTGTCACCTAGTGTGATGAAGAGAAACAGGTAAATGCTTGAGATGTCTGAAAAAATGGAAATATTCAGGGAGTCTAGAGCTCCCCCAAAAGTCTACATTATAATTTTGCTTATGGTTAACTAGACTTGAAAACTTGTCAAGGAGAACAGCACTTTTGTGGCCTGATCTCTCAACATACAGTTTTATTTTATTTATTTATTTATTTATTTATTTATTGAGACAGAATCTCATTCTGTCACCCAGGCTGGAGTGAAGTGGCACTATCTCTGCTCACTGCAGCCTCTGCCTCTCAGGTTCAAGTGACCCTCCTGCCTCTGCCTCCCGAGTAGTTGGTATTACAGGCGCCCACCACCACACCCAGCTAATTTTTGTATTTTTAGTAGAGACAGGGTTTTACCATGTTGGCCAGGCTGGTCTTGAACTCCTGGCCTCAAGTGATCAGCCCACTTCGGCCTCCCAATTGCTGGATTACAGGCATGAGCCACCTCACCCGGCCACAGTTTTATTTTTGTATACTAATATGTCATGGCTAGCTGCAAATTAAGGTAATAAATTTGTTCCTATTGCTCTTTCCTGTGTGACCAGTGACTTTTCAATAGGAACTTTTGGTGTTGGTTCCGGATGTGACAACAGCACTCGATTACCAAATACAGGTGGCCAAGTCACAAAGAGAGCTGATACATTATGCAAACATGGATCAAAATGAATGAGTACAGCTGCCATTCATTCACCAGTGTCAACCTTATGTGTAGTTATAGTAGATGCTTGCCCAAACATCATGATTTGCACCATCCTGCCCCTAAATACGTTCTCCCTCTCTTCCTAAGAAATCATAGCACCTACAATTCTTTCACTGAAGCTATATTCTTTGGGTTAAGTACTGCCCTCTATAGACATCAATTTAGAAATGGAAAAAATACCTCCAGAAGAGTCACATATACAATCCCTCACCATAATTTATCAGAACTTTTCTACCATGATTAGAGGAATGGACTCTCACATGTGGGATTGGGATAACGGGCTTCTGCAGGACACCAAAGAGAAACTTTACCTCCCAATTTGACTGTGAGCACCAAACTAACAAAAAACTAACAAAACAGAATAAATGAAAAATGCCCCCACTGAGTTCCTTCTTTTTCCCTTTCCCTAATAGCCAGGAACCCCCACAGCTATGGATAGAAAATCAGACCAGGAGACTTGGCATTCCAGTGTTACAGCCAATGTAGAAGGAGGCATAAATCACAGTGTTCAGATTAAAGTTCTGCCTGTCATTTGGAAATGCCTCTCAAACACATATTTGGGGAGAGAATTAAGATCCATGGGACAACTAAAGACTAAAATGTATGATACTAGTTTTAAAGGTAATAAGATTTCCATTGAAGAAGAAATGAGTGTGTGCTGGAACAATCAGGGAAGCTTACTGGAAGATAAAAAAACTTGAGCTCACTTTTTGAGTTCCCAAACCCAAAATGAGATACAGTAGTGGTAGTTGTTTCTATGGGATCAAGCAGAGTTCACAAATTGGTTTCATCTCTTGTGCCAGTTCCACACAATATATAGTGGTGCCTGGAGCACCTTGTTGAGAAGCATGCTGAAAGTGTTTCCAGGGTTGGCATAAAAGAGTGTCACGATCAGTTTGGTGATATTTGCTATGGGATACAACAACCTTATCCGAGTACGGAAGCAAGAACCCTCCAAAGGCAATTCTGAGCTGATAAAGATAAGCTCAAACATCTGAACCCCACCTGAACTAAGATAAAGCAGTAGTATATATTCTCCCTACCTCTGGGAAATTCATTTCCCTACTTTTACATAATTTTAAACAGGGAATCTCCATAACCATTTCTCAGCATTACCTCTTTTAACAGATAGACAGGAATCACCTTATAACGTGGAAAATTTTAATTTTCAGTTTAGTTGAGTTCAAGTCATGTTTAATGGTTTAAAAAATAATTAACATGGGCTCAGTTTGAAAAATTATGTATGCAGTGAGAATGTTAAAACACAGCCTGCTTAAATGTCTGAGAACTAAAAGAATCTATCTTTATTTGGTGCCAATTTCTGGCTCTACACCAGATGGGCCTACGAGTGGCTGTGGTCCTGTGAGTTTTAAGAGGAGTTGAAGGGATGGAAAAATTCCGTTTTAATGTTTCCCCTCACTACCCTCAGCAGGGGTCTTCTCATAATTGTATCTCCTCAAAAATCAGAAAACAATGCATACTTTTCAGTATACCCTTAGTTTTTATGAATCTAAGATTATATTTAAATATATTGTGTTAGTTGAGCTTTGTTTTTATCTCCAGCAAATTGTAGTGTTTCCCTTTAAGAGAACACTTTGTATTCTGTTGTCATAGCAACACAATGTGCTAGTTGGCTGAAAAACTGACATTTCCCCTTGATGTTTATTATTCATGATGCAGACACCATTTTCTCCATCACCTCCATCAGCACTAAGGGGTCTCTCCATTTAAATGTAAATTGACCATAAAAAGATAAAAGGCTCCACTTTTACTGGCAATGAAAAGTATCTGTCTTTGCCATTTTCTTCCTTTCTTCTGTGCTTCTGATTCAATACCTCCATAAAGGAGATGATCTTTAAAAGTTGAAGAGACATTTGCCATTCCACCAAAATTTGGGACCTTTCTTAGGCACATACTATGCCAAAAGAGAAGAAAATTTTCTCATCAACAGAAAGAATAACCTTGGCTAATATTTATAAACATAAATTTACACTTTTCAAAGTATTTGCACAAAAATCTCAACCGGATGTCTCTTCTGGACTCTAGACAGGCTCAAAATGCAATTCCTTCTCTACAGTCTTCAAAACAAGGGCATATACAACCAGTCTGCTTTGGGTTTAAAAATAAGATATTCACATTTACTTTAGAAGCACTTCATAAAAAGGTGGTTTCTACGCATAATAGGCTTCTGTGAGACCACACAGAAGGTCTGCTTCCCACAAACCTCATCCAACCACTCTTTCCTCGAACAACCTGTTCAGCCCGTTTTCTTTTTCTAGAATATAGGCTCCAAGGAAGGTAAGAGCTTCGGCCCATTCGACATTTGTATAGTCTGAAACCATGGAAGCACATACATCAGTAAGCTCCTCTTTCTTTCTTCACTTATATTTTTAGATTTTTTAAGTAAACAAAGAATAATCCTTTTATTCCTCAGTATTTATGGAATCAAATGGATAGCAATGGGAATTTGATCTGAACATAAATGTATATTTAGGGAATGACTAAATAATTGTATAAACTTGAAGAATGCTTTCATGAAGGATTTGGGAAATTTTTCCAAGACTCACCCCAACTTCAAGCCATTAGAATTTTGAAATTTTTATATTAGTAGAGTAAACTTACATTTAGTCAGAAGGCTGTGAGTAGAGAATAGAAATTCTCCTCATTTCTCCTTAATTCTGTTAAAGAGTTTCCTAAATTCATGGTGCACTTTCCTGCCTCAATAAGTGAAATCTTTAAAAATGACTGTTTTTTAATTTCTTTTTTTATTTTTGTTGTTAATGCTCTTGTAAGACCTCAAAGTTTATACCAGGAACATCAATTATTACTCTACAGTGGCAAGACAGTGTGGCAATATAGTTAGATCCTCAAGCAATAAAATCAGACCTTGGTTTGGGTCCTTGCTATGCCTCCTACTAGCAAGTGGTCATGGGAAGATAAACTTACCCACTCTGGGCTTTAGTTCTTTCACTAGCAAAAATATATCTTATAACAGTGTTTATTTTATTTATTCTTATGAAGATTAAATGAGATTATGTTAAGTGCTTAGCCAAACATCTGGCATAATAGTGTTTACTGAATGTTAGCTAATTTTTATTAGTATTGCAGCAGGAGGTAAGCATGGAGAGCCTCCAAAAAGTTATTTTAACTAAGTTTTTGATATAAATTTACTTATTGATGTTTACCTCTTTGATTTCATTAAAAATGGGGAATGTAGGAGCCATTACAGAGCAACCAAATCAAATATGCCAGTGAATTATTTTCACTACTCTCACAACAGCTATATAGAATCAAAAGTAGGAAAGCATTCAATAATCACCTTGTTAGAAGTTATTCCAGATATATGCAGTAAACTTGGACTTAAAAACCACCAATGAAGAATTCTGCATTAAAGCAATTTTTCTTGGATCTAATCGAAAACCCTTTGGCTAGTATTGAAAATAACTTTCTCTTTAATCTTTGATGATGAAGAACCACTAATCTCCATGATTGTTTTAATAACCTCTAACAGAGCCAAAATTTCATCACAGAATTGTGGCATCAAATCTAGAAATGGTGTTACAGATTTGCTAGTCCAAATAGCTCATTTTGAAGATAAAAATATGAAGTTGTCATGAGAATTAACGGCCCGAAGTCGTGAAAATAGTGAATGGCAGATGGCCTGGAACCAAAGCCTCCTGGCTCCCAATCCATTGCTTCTGCCATGAAATCATTCTGTGAAGCACTGGATCTGTGATAAACATTACTAGTTGTATAAGTTTGTGTTCTCCTGATAAGGAATTCTGAGACAAGAACTTGAATACAAATAGCTTATATGGCAAGAGATCCTAAGAAGCCCAGGTAAGTGGAGAGACTGGGAAGGGAAAGAAGCCAATACTGAGTTAGTTACTCTGTGAACAACTGGAACTCAATCCTGGTGGAGACCTTGAATGAAACCATTTAGAAAGCACCTCAGAATTTTCCCACTGAAGGATCGGATGGTTGAGGCATTTATCCACTGACCTCCTATCCCCCATTTGTTGAGTATTAGCCTCAAGCACTTTAACTTCATCACCTTCCCAGGCTGTACTTTTGTGTGGATTGAGCAGCCTTCCAATGCTTTGGAGATAGTACTAAGACACAAAAACCGAGAGACACTACAGAGTGCTTGAGATGGAATGAACTGTTTACTACAGCTGCACTGAAATGAGATGGACTGAGGGTATTTTGTGTGGGACAAGTGTCTACTATACTACTTTTCACCAATATCTAGCTATCTTCTCCTGACCACAGAAGGGAAAAAGTGAATTTCTTAGCTATTGTGCAGTAGAGTAGAGCTATCTGAAAATAAAACGTGGACAATAATATCCTGTCACTTCTGGTCGAAGGTAATTAAAGGGTCATATGCAATTCTCCACTACCTCTCCTGCCCTGCTATAGCAATCATGAAGTGGGCCTTGAAATGACAAGGACAAAGACAAATGCACTGTGTATTCCAGAATAATCATATGGGGGACAGCTACCTTGAGGAGTCACCTGGGACCCACAGCACATTCTGTCAAAATAAGAAATAGACTTTTGTTGTGTTAAGCCACTGATATTTGGGATCTTGCTTATTACTGCAATATACTTAGCCTATTCTATCTAACATAGGCTCTGCCATCTGCAAGTCATATATCTTAAAATATTTCTGAAGTTGTAAGGATGTGCCATAGGGAAACATCCCATGTCATCTTAACTGTTCTTTATGATTATGACCATATTTTTCCAGAGGCTGGTCAAGATTAGAGCTGAAATTTGTGATCAGGGTAAAAAGCTAAGCTTATGTGGAGACTGGATATATATGTATTCTGGACCTTGTTCTCACATAACTATTACGATAACAAGCTACAGTCAAACTATAGATGAACTGATAAAACTGCCCTCCTGTGGTTGCAATACTTGCATCCATGCCAGAACTTCCATAGAGTAATTTTTTAAATGTTCTAACACTATTTCATTTATCTATCCATCAAAAGCCCCTGCTTTTGAAATATCACGATAGGCTATGCCTTTTTCAAGCCACTTCCCTGATGAGAAAATTTAGCACATCTCTGTCAGCCAGAATTCAAACTGTTCAGACATTGTTGGTCAAGTTATAGAGATGCTATAGTTATTACACTACTGATTTTCCTTTACATCATTCTCTTTTATCCTTCTTTTGAAGGAAAACATACTTCCATGGATTGAGAGTCATATCTTTAAGGGTTTCCAGAGACATACCCACAGCAGAGAGGCTTAACCCCCAAACTCCTGGTCTGGGATTCATTCTGTAACATCTGTTATATTCACTCATGGACTTTACCAACTCAAGTGGGATGGTTTCTGCTCTCATCACAGTGTATAACTCTGATCAAACCCCTGAATCTACATTTTCTTCACAGGTCAGTTTTATTTACCTATAATTACTCTTTCTCTGAACTGTTTTTGACTTTTCTATTTCTACACAGCACCGACACTGATGCAACAAATATTCTCTACTAATGATGCAGAAATAGAACATCTCTTGAGCATTTTACTACCATTCAGGTATCAAGAGCTTTCCCAGGTAGTTGGGTATTATGACTCATCCCAGTAGTTTTTGGGAAAGAAATTCCAATGCATACTTGCAAATGTAATGCAGAAACATCACAGTGTTGTTTTGTACTGGAAGATGAACATGCTAGAGTGCATTTCTTTGTCTCTCACTTACTCTCAAGTGTAAATTGGCACATTTATTGCAGTCCTTTAGCTACATGAGCATGACCATTCCCATTGGGCAAGGCAAAGAAATAACGTTCAATTCTTAGACTTCCTTCAAAATTATCCAGTATTTTGGGGACTAGTGGTGTTTAATTCATGTTTTTTCTTATGTTGTAATTAAGATAACTTTAGTTTCTTCCCCACTTCACCCCAACCCCCAATTTTTCATACAATTGCTGTGCTTTGAGATCCCATTTTATCCTCTAAAAATTTGAGTCATCTCACAAAGGAACTACTAACACGATTGTTAAAATAAAATGGAGAAACACTGTATAATAATATGGCAAGGGTCAGGGAGAGGGAGGAGGGGAAATCATGCAACCATTTTTGTTTAATTATAGTGCTTTAATTTCTTATTCAGTCACTGAATGTCTGTTATGTGTGACACGCAATTCTAGACATAGTAACATGGAGTTATATGAAGAAGATAGAAGACAATACAGTATGAGATAAGATATATAGACAGATATAGACATATATGCATGTATGTAGATGGATGGTTAGATAGACAGATATTGATGCAACAGGCATGAGCTTTTAGAGAAATTTCCAAATTTCCATTCGAGTTGTGCCTCAAAATATAAATAGCATCTCATCAGATCTAGATAGGAAGGTAATGAAGTATTTCAGGCAAAAGAAATAAATAGCATGAGCAAAAAGTATCAAGGTGGCAAAATGAATGTAAATACTTCAAGTTGGCTGGGGCATATAATTCATAAAAGAGAGCAGTGCTTGATAAAACTAGAAAGGTGGATTCAGAGCCAGATCACAGAGGGCACTGAATGACAGACTGAGGAATTTTGACTTAATTCAGTAGGTTATGGTATGCCACTGATAATTTTTGAACGGGAAAGGCATATGATGAGTCTGTGCTTTAGGGAGATTAACCTGGCAGCAGTGTGCATAATGGATTAGAGGTAAGAATGTGGGTAGAGAAGAATCATTATAAACTAAAGTGAAGACACATCTCACAAACACAGACACACACACACATTTACCAACACATACTTAATTATGTACATTCATTAACAAAGGAAAAAATCACATTTTAAAAATATTGTGATTTTGGGGGTCCACTATTCCACTCAAAAAACTTACATGCTGGAGTGAGCATGAAATAGGAGCATGAGTATGTTATTCGACAGCTGATCTCTCGGTTCCCATGGTACTCTAATATTGTGAGCATCTTGCCATGCTAAGTGTGGTTCTACAATTAAAATATATGTATTTTGTTTTGGTATACTATTGTTCCTAAACTCAAGCCAACTACTTTATCTACTGCTGAAAAGAAGAGTTATCTATTTCAAACCTCGAGAAACTATTGTCTGCACTGAATCATTACGATACAATGTCATTTTCCTAAGTGATACCGTCCTAAGAGTTTTGCACTGATGTTTAAACTCTAAACTCTATAAAAATTGTGGCCTGTAATCCCAACACTTTGGGAGGTCAAAGCAGGGGGATAACTTGAGGCTAGGAGCTTGAAACTAGACCTCAGCAAGACCCTGTCTCTACAAAAATAACAAATTAGTCGACTATGGTAGTGCACATCTGTAATCCCAGGGAGCCTGATGTGGGAGGATTACTTCAGCCCAGGAATTCAAGGCTTCAGTGAGCTCTGATGGTGCCACTGTACTGCAGCCTGGGTGAAAAAGTGAGACCCTATCTCAAAAAAAAATTGTGAAGGAGGCAGTGCAAAATGGTGGAATAGAAGGCTCTAATGATTGTCTCCTCCACAAGGACATCAAGTTAACAACATCTACACAGAAAACAACACTTAATAAGTATGAAAAATCAGGTGTGCACCATAATACCTGTTTTTAACTTTGTATCACTGAAAGAGGCACTGAAGAGATAGAAAAAAATCAGTCTTAAATTGCTGATGCTACCCCTCCCTGACCCTGGCAGCAGCAGTATGGTGAAAAAAGCATCTCCGGGAACAGAAAGAGGCAGAACAAAGCAAATGTGAGGCATTGAACTCAGTGCTGTCCTGTTAGAGCAGAAAGGAAAACCAGCCCAAACTTAGCTGATGCCCAGCCACAGAGGGAGCATATAAACCAGCCCTAGCCAGAGGGGAATCCCAGATCCCAGTGATCAAAACTTGATTTCCCACAAACTTTGCCACAGATGGTGACAGTGCTCTCTGTCTCCAAGTAAACTTGAAAGGCAGGACAGGCCATAGGGACTGCAACACTTAAGCAAGTCCTAGTGCTGAACTAGGCCCAGAGACAGTGGACTGGGGGTACAGAGGGGAACATGACATACTGAGACACCAGCTGAAGCAGCCAAGGGAGTGTTGACATCATCCCTCCCTTCACCTCAGGCTGCACAGCTTGGGGGCTAAAAGAGCCCTTCCTTCAGCTTGAGGAGAAGAGAGGGAAGAGTGGGGAGGACTTTATCTTGCACCGTAGATACTAGCTCAGCAACAACAGGGTAGGGCACCGTTAAGAGTCATGAGGCCTCCTTTACAGAACCTAGCTTCTAGATGACATTTCTTCACACACTCTGGGCCAGAAGGATACCCACTGCCTTGAA
This sequence comes from Homo sapiens, assembly GCF_000001405.40. NCBI lineage: Eukaryota > Metazoa > Chordata > Mammalia > Primates > Hominidae > Homo > Homo sapiens. The sequence goes on from NC_000023.11 coordinate 122,797,541, forward strand.
GAAAAGGGCCCTGTCCTGGAAGCCTTCATTACCTGCTAAATAAAGAGCCCTTGGGACCTGAATAACAAGCAGCCATACCCAGGTACTACATCAAGGGCTTTGGGTGAGCCCCTGAGACTTTCTGGCTTCAGGTGAGACTCAGCACATTAACACCTGTGATGGCTACGGGGTGAAACGCCTTCTGCTTGGGAAAAGCAGGGGGAAAAGTAAAGGACACTTAGTCTTGAACCTTAGGTACCAGCACGGGCACAGAGGGGTAGATTATCAGGCAGGCTCATGGGGTCCCTGACTTCAGGACCTGACTCTTGGATGGCATTTCTGGACCTTCTTTGGGCCAGAGGGGAGTCTATTGCCCTGAAGGGTGAGACCCAGGCCAGATAGAATTCACCAGAAGCTGACTTAAAATCCCTTGGGCCTTAAGGGAGCATTGGCAGTAGTCTGGCAGTACTTCTCATGGCCTGGGGTGGTGGTGGCTATGTGGTGAGGCTCCTTTGCCTTTGGAAAGGGGAGGTAAGAGTGAAAATGCCTACATGCCATCATTTGACTACCAACTTAGCTGCAATACAATAGAACATCAGGTAGGCGTCTAAGGTTTTTGACTCTAGTCTCCGACTCTCGCACAGCACCTCTGGACCCACCTGGGGCTGGGGAGACCTTGCTGCCATGAAGAGAAGGACACAGGCCTGCCTGGCTTTCCTGCCAGCTAATTATAGATTATAGAGCCCCAAGGCCTATAGTGAACATAGACAGTTGCCGGGGAATGGTTACAGCAGACCTCGGGAGAGACCTCGTACTGTGTTGGCTTCAGGTCTGACCCAGCACAGTCACAGTGGTGGTGGTCACTCAGCTTTAGGTGGCTCAGAAGAAAGAGACTCTGTTTCAGAGAAAGTAAGGGAAGAAAGCAAGATTCTCTGCCTGGTAATCCAGAGAATTCTTCAAGATCCTGTCTAAGACTGTCAAGGCAATATCTCTACAAATCTGCAAGAACCACAGTGTTACTGAGCTTAGGGCGGCCCCTAAAGCAGATACAACTTAGATCACAACACCAAACTCCTTTCATATACATGGAAACCCTTCCCAAGAACAATGACTGCATACATATAAGCTCAGAGTGAAGACCACAATAAATACCTAATTCTTCAATGCCCAGACACTGAAGAATATTTACTAGCATTAACACTGTATAGAAAAACATGACCTCACCAAATGAACTCGATATGGCACCAAGGACTAATCCTGGAGAAACAGAGACATGTGACCTTTCACACAGTGAATTCAAAATAGCATTGAAGATGCTCAAAGAAATTCAAGATAACAAAGAGAAGGAATTCAAAATTCTATCAGAAAAATTTAACAAAGAGAGTGAAATAATGAAAGAATCAGGCAGAAATTCTGGTGCTGAAAAATGCAGTTGGCATAGTGAAGAATGCAATAGAATCTTTTAATAGCATAATGGATAAAGCAGAAGAAAGAATTAGTGAACTTGAAGACAGGCTATTTGAAAATACACAGTCAGGGGAGACAAAAATAAAAGAATAAAAAACAATCAAGTATGTCCACAGGATCTAGAAAATAGCCTTAAAAGGGCAAATCTAAGAGGTATTGGCCTTAAAGTTACACAAATCAATCAAGATGAGACATTATATCAACAGAATAAAGGATAAAAACCATATGATCATTTCAGTTGATATTGAAAAAGCACTTCATACATTTCAACAGGACTTCATGATAAAAACTCTCAAAAAACGGGGTATAGAAAGAAAATAAGCCATATAGGACAAATCCACAGTTAGTGTCATACTAAATGGCAGAAAAGTGAAAGCATTTCTCTAAGATCTGGAACATGACAAGGATGCCCACTGTTATCACTGTTATTCAACATAGTATTGGAAGTCAGACAAGAAAAGGAACTAAAAGGAACTAAAAGGAACCAAATTGGAATGGAAGAATTCAAATTAGCCCTGTTTGCAGATTATATAATCTTATATTCAGAAACACCTAAAAACTCCAAAATAAAACAATTAGAACTGATAAAGAAATTCAGTAAAGTTGCAGGATACACAATCAACATACAAAATACAGTTGCAATTCTATATGCCAAAAGTGAACAATGTGAAAAAGAAATAAAAAAGTAATTTCATTTATAATAGCCACACATAAAATTGATTACCTAGGAAGTAATCAAAGGTGTGAAAAATATCCATAATGAAAACTATAAAACTGATTAAAGAAATCAAAGAGAACATGAAAAAGGATAAATATTCTATGTTCACAGATTGGAAGAATCAATATTGTTAAAAATGTCCACACTACACAATGTAATCTACAGATTCAATGCAATCCTTATCAAAATATGAATGACATTCTCAACAGAAATACAAAAAACAGTCCTGATATTTATATGGAATCACAGAAGACCAAGAATAGCCAAAGCTATCCTAAGCATAAAGAACAAAATACTAGAGGAATCCCAATACCTGACTTCAGATTATACTACAGAGCTATAGCAACCAAAATGGCATGATACTGGCATAATGTTGCGGGAAGTCAGGGACCCCAAATGGAGGGACCGGCTGAAGCCATGGCAGAAGAACATGGACTGTGAAGATTTCATGGACATTTATTAGTTCCCCAAATTAATATTTTTATAATTTCTTATGCCCGTCTTTACTGCAATCTCTAAACATAAATTGTGATGATTTCATGGACACTTATCACTTCCCCAATCAATACCCTTGTGATTTCCTATGCCTGTCTTTACTTTAATCTCTTAATCCTGTCAGCTGAGGAGGATGTATGTCGCCTCAGGACCCTGTAATTGCATTAACTGCACAAATTGTACAGCATGTGTGTTTGAGCAATATGAAATCTGGGCACCTTGAAAAAAGAACAGGATAACAGCAATTGTTCAGGGAATAAGAGAGATAACCTTAAACTCTGACCTCTGGTGAGCCGGGTGGAACAGAGCCATATTTCTCTTCTTTCAAAAGCAAATGGGAGAAATATCACTGAATTCTTTTTCTCAACAAGGAACATCCCTGGAAAAGAGAATACGCGCCTGGAGGTATAGGCCTATAAACGCCCCCCCGAGGTGTTCCCGTCTCTTATGGTCGAGACTGCAGGGGTGAAATAGACCCCAGTCTCCCATAGCGCTCCCAGGCTTATTAGGAAGAGGAAATTCCCGCCTAATAATTTTGGTCAGACCAGTTGCTCTCAAAACCCTGTCTCCTGATAAGATGTTATCCATGACAATGGTGCCCAAAACTTCATTAGCAATTTTAATTTTTCCCTGGTCCCATGGTCCTGTGATCTCACCCTGCTTCAATTTGCCTTGTGATATTCTATTACCTTGTAAAGTACTTGATGTCTGTGACCCACACCTATTCGCACACTCCCTCCCCTTTTGAAAATCCCTAATAAAAACTTGCTGGTTTCTGCGGCTTGTGGGGCATCACAGAACCTACCGACATGTGATGTCTCCCCTGGACACCCAGCTTTAAAATTTCTCTCTTTAGTACTCTGTCCCTTTATTTCTCAAGCTGGCTGATGCTTAAGGAAAATAGAAAAGAACCTACGTGAATATCGGGGCAGATTCCCCGATAATAAAACCAGGCACATAGACAAATGAAGCAGAATAGAGAATCCATAAATAAATGCACACGCCTAAAATGAACTCATTTTTGACAATAGTGCCAGGAAAAGGAAAGGGTGGTCCCTTCAATAAATGGTGCTGGGAAAACTGGATATCGATGCACAGAAGAATGAAACTATACCCCTATTTCTTGGTATCTACAAAAAAAAAATCAAAATGGATTAAATACTTAAATCTAAGACCTCAAACTATAAAACTACTACAAGAAAACTTTTCAGAATCTCTCCAGGACATTGGTCTGGGCAAAAATTTATTGAGTAAAACCCCATCAGCACAGGCAACCAAAGCAAACATGGACAAATCGGATCACATCAAATTAAAAAGAGTCTGCACAGCAAAGGATACAGTCATCAAAGTGAAGAGACAACAGACAGAATGGGGGAAATATTTGCAAACTACCCTTCTGATGGGAAGTTAATAACCAGAATATATAAGGAGCTCAGAAGACTCTAAAATTAAAAAATATATAATAATCCAATCAAAAGATGGGCAAATAATTTGAATAGACATGCCTAAAAAGAAGTCATACAAATGACAAGCAGGCATATGAAAAGGTGCTCAACATCATTGATCATCAGAGAAATTCAAATAAAAACTAGAGTGGGATATCATCTCACCTCAGTTAAAATGGCTTATATCCCAAAGACAGACAATAACAAATGCTGGTTAGGATGTGGAGAAATGGGAACCCTCGTACACTGTTGGTGGGAATGTAAATTAGTACAACCACTATGGAGAACAGTTTGGAGGTCCTTCAACAGACTAAAAATTGAGATACTATATGATCCAGCAATCCCACTGCTGAGTATATACCCCCTTAAAAGAAAATCAGTGTATGAAAGAGATATCTGCAATCCTATGTTTGTTGCAGTACTGCTTACAATAGCGAAGATTTGGAAGCAAACTAAGTGTCCACTAACAGATGAATGGATAAAGAATATGTGGTACATAAACATGATGGAGTATTATTTGGCTATAGAAAAGAATGAGGTCCAGTCATTTGCAACAACATGGATGGAACTGGAGATCACTATGTTAAGTGAAGTAATCCATGCACAGAAAGACAAACATCTCATGTTCTCACTTATTTGTGGGAACTAAAAATCAAATCAATTTAACTCATAAGCAGAGAATAGAAGGATGGTTACCAGAGGCTTGGAAGGGTAGTACAGTGTTGGGAAGGTTAATAGGTACAAAATAGAATAACTGAATATGACCTATTATTTGATAGCACAATAGGGTGACTGTAATCAATAATAACCTTATTGTACATTTTAAAATAATAAGTGTAATTGGATTGTTTGTAACTCAAAGTATAAATGCTTGAGGGGATGGATACCTATTCTCCATGTTGTACTTATTTCCTATTGTACACCTGTATCAAATTATCTCATGTACCCCATAAATACACCTACTATGTACCCACAAAAATTAAAAATTAAAATTAAAATTAAAAAAATTGAAAATTTGTGATGTTAGTGTATTGTTACAACCCAAGTGAGATGTACTGGGTCTTTGAATGAGCCTGGTAGTAGAAAAGGAGTTACCAAAATGATTTCTGTATCAGAAATATAATCTACAGTAGCCCTTTGGCTGATTGCTAACTCCTAAATTTGAGGTCTGGGCAACAGGATTAATGTAAAAATATAAAATTTGGCAGAAAAAGCTGATTGGGTCAGCAGTTGGGGAGATAAGAAATAATGAGATGAGTCTTGGACAAATTGAGTTTGAAACTTAATAAGCCATCTAGATTTCTAACGTAAAGTTAAAATCATGGATTTAGACCTAGGCTGGGTGGTTTTCAAACTTTGTTGTATATTGGAATCATCTGGGGGTATTTAAAAAATAATAATCTCTGGTTCCTATCCACAGACATTATTTAATTAGTATTGTGTACATATTTGGCATTGGGAGTTTTACAAGTTCCATAAGTGATCCTAGTATGTATCAACTTTTGGAAACCACTTACAAAGGCAGAGAAATAGAGATTAAAGATGAAAACTTAGACTAACACACAGAGAGATGATGACTGAAGCTACTAGGGTTTTGACAATTACTTAGCAGGTATAATAAGATAATAATAGGGAGCAGATCCTTGAAGGACTCCTATCCACTCATTGGCTATGAGAAAATAGTAGATGATTGACAACTGGGGTTAAGGATGCAGCCTCTGGCCACAGAAAGAATAAAACTACCAAAGTAATATCCAGAAGCCCATATCACAAATAATAATAACAATAATAACCTCTATTTGTCAAATTCTGCATTTATTACTCTACATCATCATTATCACCATCATAAGCAGTAGCAGCATTACCAACATCATCATAATTATTATTATCCAACAGCCATTGAATGATTATATGCACTATGCACTGTTCCGGGCAACTTAAACATATTATTTTATTTAATTCGCACAACAATCCTATGAGGTCTTCATTTTATAAATAATAAAAGTGAGAGAGATTAAGTAACTTGCCTAAGGTCATATATTGGCAGAACCAGGCTTGAATCCAGAAATATCTGACTACAGAGCCTGAAATATGCTCTCATTCCATGTTCCTACCAGTTCAGGTAATTACCTTTAGTAATAAAAGAAAACAAGTTGTTACTGGCTTTCCAACATAACTTCATATACATCTTTCACTTGATTCATTCAGAGAGGGTATTAGTGGCCTAGTTTTATGGAAGAGAAAGCTAACACAGACAGTGATTACATAACTTCCTTAAGGTCACACAATTTTATTGGTGGAGCCTGAATTATGTTAACACAAATGTATAGAGTTTATCAAGTTTCTACTTGAAATACTTCCATGTCCTACCATCTCTCCCTGACTTAATTAGATGACTATCATCTGTCCTCCCTAGGCACTCTGTGTTTTTCGTTAACAGAACTTACCATACTGCATTGTAATTGGTTTATTAACTGTATCCCTCATTAGACTATGAGCTTAGTAAGAATTTTGCCTCTCTTGGCCTCAGAAATAACACCACACATCTATAATCATCTGATCTTTGACAAACCTGACAAATGGGGAATCCCTATTTAATAAATGGTGCTCGAAAAACTGGTTAGCCATATGTAGAAAGTTGCAACTGGATCCCTTCCTTACACCTTATACAAAAATTAATTCAAGATGGATTAAAGACTTAAATGTAAGACCAAAAACTATAAAAACCCTAGAAGAAAACCTAGGCAATACCATTCAGGACATAGGCATGGGCAAAGACTTCATGACTAAAACACCAAAAGCAATGGCAACAAAAGCCAAAATTGACAAATGGGATCTAATTAAACTAAGGAGCTTCTGCACAGCAAAAGAAACTATCATCAGAGTGAACAGGCAACCTACAGAATGGGAGAAAATTTTTGTAATCTACCCATCTGACAAAGGGCTAATATCCAGAATCTACAAAGAACTTAAATTTACAAGAAAAAAACACAAGCAACCCCACCAAAATGTGGGCAAAGGATATGAACAGACACTTCTCAAAAGAAGACATTTATGCAGCCAACAGACTGCATGGTCATCATCACTGGTCATCAGAGAAATGCAAATCAAAACCACAATTAGATACCATCTCATGCCAGTTAGAATGGTGATCATTAAAAAGTCAGGAAATAACAGATGCTGGAGAGGATGTGGAGAAATAGGAAGGCTTTTACACTGTCGGTGGGAGTGTAAATTAGTTCAACCATTGTGGAAGACAGTGTGGCAATTACTCAAGGATCTAGAACTAGAAATACCATTTGACCCGGTGATCCCATTACTGGGTATATACCCAAAGGATTATACATCATTCTACTATAAAGACATATGCACATGTATGTTTATTGCGGCACTATTCACAATAGCAAAGACTTGGAACCAACCCAAATGTCCATCAATGATAGATTGGATTAAGAAAACATATATACTATGGAATATTATGCAGCCATTAAAAAGGATGAGCTCATGTCCTTTACAGGGACATGGATGAAGCTGGAAACCATCATTCACAGCAAACTGTCACAAGGACAGAAAACCAAACACTACATGTTCTCACTCATAGGTGGGAGTTGAACAGTGAGAACACATGGACACAGGTCAGGGAACATCACACACCAGGGCCTGTCAGGGGTGGGGGGCTTGGGGAGGGATAGCATTAGGAGAAATACCTAATGTAAATGTTGAGTTGATGGGTGCAGCAAACCACATGGCACATGTATACCTATGTAACAAACGTGCACATTGTGCACATGTACCCTAGAACTTAAAGTATAATAATAAAAAAAATACTATTCCTACACAATAAAAAAGAATTTTGCCTCTCTTATTTGCTGTTGTGTACAGAGGCTTTGAACTGTGCTTAGCATCTAGTAGGCACACAACAAAAATTGCTTGAAGTAAATCTAATTTACTGAATGTGCTCTAGGTGACTTTTAGTGAATAGCTATTAATAGATGAGACAAATAGTTGTCCTATATCTAGACAAGTTTAAAACTGATTGGGCATTAATTACTCTATGCATTATAGTAGCCATCAAAAAAGTTGCAACAAAGAAAAATAAGGCTGTTGTGTGCAGCCACAGAATTTTCTAGACTCTGCCTCACAAACCTGAGAAGCTTCAATTCTTTTAAAGCTCAGCCTCATATAACTGAATAGCACAAATGGATAAAACAACTATATAACATTGATGAAAGAAATTAAAGAAGACACAAATAAATAGAAAGACATCCCATGTTCATGGATTGAAAGGTTTAATATTGTTTAAAATGTTCATACTACCACCAAAAGTGATATAAAGATTCAATGCAATTCTTATAAAAATCCCATTGGCTTTTTGGGTTTTTTTTTTTGCAGAATAGATTAAAAAAACCCTAAAATTCATATGTAACCACAAACTACCATGAATAGCTATAATGGTTAATATTTGCATCCTTCAATCCAATCAAGTTGACAAGTATTGTTCCTGGGTGTGTCTGTGAGGGTTTTGCCAAAGGAGATTAACATTTGAGTCAGTGGACTGGGAAAGACAGACCCACCCTCAGTCTGGGTGGGCACCATCTAATCAGCTGTCAACGTAGCTAGAATAAAAAGTAGGCAGAATGTGGAAGGAGAACTGGCTGAGTCTTCCAGCCTACATCTTTCTCCCAAGCTGGATGCTTCCTGCCCTCAAACATTAGACTCCAAGTTCTTCAGCTTTTAGGCTTTTGGACCTTCAACCACAGACTGAAGGCTGGCTGTGCTGTCTGCAACCCTACTTTTGAAGTTTTGGGACTCGGACTGGCTTTCTTCTCCTCAGCTTGCAGATAGCCTATTGTGGGACTTCACCTGGTGATCATGTGAGTCAATACTCTTTAATAAACTCCCTTTATATATATACACCTATCCTATTAGTACTGTCCCCCTAGAGAACCCTAATACAATAGCCAAGGAAACCTTGAGAAAATAGAACAAAACAGGAGGCACAACACTTGCTGATTTCAAAACATATAAGGCTACAGTAATTAAAATAGTATGGTACTGGCATGAAGATGGGCATATAGAACAGTGGAATGCACCAGAATAGAAAGACCAGAGATAAATCCACGCATACACAATCAACTGACCATTGACTAGAGTGCCGAGACATAATGGGAGAATAGTCTCCTTAAATGATGTTGGAGAGACTGTATATCATCCCAGTGCACAAGAATGAAATTGGACCCTTATCTTACATTATACTCAAAAATCAACTCAAAATGGTTTGAAGATTTAAATGTAAGAGTAAAAAATCTAAAACGCCTGGAAGAAAACATAGGGAAAAAGCTTCTTGACACTGGACTTGACAATGATTTCAAGGTTGTAACACCAAAAGCACAGGCAACAAGAGCCAAAATAGACCGGCGGGATTACATCCAACTACAAAGCTTTTGCACAGCAAACAACAGAGTAAAAAAGCAATGTACAGAATGGCAGAAAATATTTGCAAACCATACATCAGATAAGGGGTTAATTTCTAAAATATATAAATAAGGAACTCAAACAACTCAATAGCAAAAGAAAAAAAACCCTAATAACCTGACTAAAAAATGGCCAAAGAATTTGAATAAACATTTTTTCAAATAAGACATACAAATAGCCAACCGGTCCATGAAAAGATACTCAAGTCACTAATCATTAGGGAAATGCAAATCAAAACTACAATGAGATATTACCTCAAACCTGGTAGGATAGCTATTATTAAAAAAAACAAAGAACACAAAAGACAACAAGTGTTGGTGAGGATGTGGAGAGATAGGAACCCTAATACACTGTTGATCAGAATGCAAAATTGTGCAGCAGCTCTGGAAAACAGTATAGAGGTTCTTAAAAATGTGAAAATAGAACTACCATATGATTTAGCAATCCCGCCTCTGGATATTTATCTAAAATAATTAAAATTAGAATTTCAAAGTGATATTAGCACTCATCATGTTTAGTGCAGTACTATTCACAACAGCCAAGATACAGAAACAACCTAAATGTCCACTGATGGATGAATCGATGAGAAAAACATGAGATACACACACACACACACACACACACACACACACACACACACAATGGAATACTATTCAGCTTTGAAAAAGAAGGGAATTCTGAAATATGCGACAACATGGATAAGCTTTGAGGACATTATACTAAGTGAAATAAGCCACTCAGATAAGGAAAAATACTGCATAATATCACTTACATGAGGTATTTAAAATAGTCAAACACCTAGAAGCAGAGAGATAAACAGTAGTGGCCAGGGATAGGGGAAAGAGGGCAATAGAGAACTGCTAATCAATGGGTTTAAAGTTTTGGTAATACAAGAAGAGTCACTTCTAGAGACCTTCTATACAACTTTGTGCCGACAGTTAACAATATTAAATTGTACGCTCTAAAACCTGTTGAGAGTATAGATCCATGTTAAGTGTTAAATTTAAATTTACATTTTTTAAAAAGACCCAGCAAGACAAATAGTAAAGCCAAAGTTAAAGATTGACATCTCAAGTGGGAACTTGACTTCATTCTCCATTAGCTACTTTTGTTGAGAGCATACAAGGAAGAGGAATATAGTTTCAAATTGGGCTTATTGTGAGTTCAGCCTAAAACAGAGCCTGGAGGGTTTCATATTTGTGAGTTTGACTAATTCCCTGATGTTAACTAGTTTTCTAATTATTTGCTTCTTTCTCCTCAAAACACAGAACATTCATAAGAAAATGAGATAACAAAATTTCTATTTGGTTTGACTGCATAGGGGATTCAAAATATAGACAACATGGACACTGCCCTTGAGGAGATTCCAACTGAAATACAGAAATTGGTTTGACACAAAACCAACTAAAATTAACCATTTAAGAATGATGAGAACAATTATATAAAGGTGCCAACTATGTGCATAAACGCACCGGGGAAAGTCAAGTATCAGAAAGATCAGAGTGCAGACAAGAAAAAAACCCTTTATGTGGGCAGAATCACAAACAAAGTAGGTTGGGCTAGGGACAAGAATTGGAGCTCACCCAAGCTAAGGCATGCAGAACCATCCATCCTGAATCCTATTACTATCTGTTTTAAGGCTGCTTTTAAAAAGAAATGGGGAAGAGCGAAAAAGTTTTAGCCTTAATATAAAATTAGCAAAATTAACGAAACTGTAGGCCCAGGAACTGTCATGTGTGGGCTTATGAAACAACATGATTTCAGAAAGAGTTCAAGTTCTGTGATTTACTTTGCTGGATCAGAGAAATTTCTCTGAATTCCTAATTTTATACTTTGTTGCCAGCACACCCACCAGTCTGCAGTACTTGGTTTATGCTAAGCAAAAAAGAAAATTAACTCCTAGAAATTTTGCAAAATCCATTTTTAATAATGAATCTGTACATGTCATCATAGATTAAAAATAACAGAAATATTTGCTTCCATTTTTCAGCATTTGCAAAACAGGCCAATTAAGAAATGAAAGAGCAAGGAGATGCCAATGGAAGTATAGAAAGATTTGGAGCACAGATTTCAGAGGACTCAAAGTAGGAAATCAGGCAAATGACTCATCATTTCAAGGCCTTAATAGAAAATGATAAATTGGGGCAATTTTCTGCATAATCTAAAGTACCCTACTGAAGGTACCTGGACCAGAAATCTAGGAACAAAGGCACTTGTTTCCACTTAAAGCAACTGTAAAATGACTGGCTGGCAAAACGCAAGTTGCTAGGGCAACTTTTACCACTCATAAAGGGACAGTTGTTGAGCTCTTACTTTGTCTTTGCAAAAGAAGCAGAAACACTCTCTTCTCCATTCTATCTTAGCCACCCATTCCCAAACAGATGTTAAACTTACTCCTCATTGTCATCAAAAGTTGCATCCCTCTTCAAATCACTATTTCAGACATCCCACTCTGCGACACAACTTTCTTTTCTTCCACTTTGCTTGCTCACATAGCTTCTCTGAAACAAGTCTTCTATTTCATCAAGAACTTCTCTCCATTTTCTCTTACTCTCTCACTCCCCTCCTGCTTTACTTTCTATTTAGATTATATCTGATGGTTCATTATCCAATCAGACTTTCATAAAGGCTGTTAATGCTCTTTTCCTTCTTTTCTTATTTTATGCTACCAGTAAAATACCAACACTGGATGAACCCCATCAGCCCCATAATTTGTGACTACAACTGAAAGTTTTATTTAATATAGAAAATTCCAGAGTGAAAGAAATTAGGCATTACTTATAAATTTATGAAACATTATGAACTTGGTACCAAATACTTCAGAAATCTTATGTTTCTCTAGTAAGTTGGTTCTCTGTTTCAGCAAGGACTAGATTTCATTTTTTTCTTTCTTCTAACCCAATCAATTTACCTTCCACCTGCTAATATCTGTCTTGTGCATGACTGTGCCTCATATCTCACATAGAAAACAGCACTCAGGCATTATTCTATCTTCTTATACCAAATCTTCAAACCTACTTGCATCTGTGTTCATCTTCTCCCACTGCCTTTTAGTTATAATAGAAAAGTAGCCATCATTCTATCAGAGATCAGATATTTTGCATGTGCTATCTTATCATATCTTCCTCTCTATAGCATCTTTATAATCGGTGTCCAAAAATGTTTCATTATCTTCCATCTAAAATAAAATTTTCTTTATCACACGTTCTTCCTTTCCATATCCATTCTCAGCAAAAGCAAATTTCCTCAAAGGGTTATTTATACATTAACTCCACCTCCATACTTTCCATTCCATTTTCCATGGCTTCAATCCTTATCAGATCATTGAAATATCTCTTGCCTAAGTAGTCTGTTGACTTCCATGTTGCTAAATCTAGTGGATTTCCATGTTGCTAAGCCTAGTGGACTCTTTAGTTCTCATCTTAGAGTTTTTGACATCAGTATTTGACTGAGTTAACCTCTCTACATTTCAAACTCCTTAGATTTCCTTACAATTTACTGGCTGCTTCTTCTCAGGCTCTTTATTCTGTTATAACAGCTTCTTTTCTGAGCTTCAGATGGGTACAGAATATTTATGTACTTACTTGGCATTTACAGGCATACCTCAGTTTATTGTGCCCTGCTTTATTGAACTTTGCAGATAATTGCATTTTTTACAAATTGGAAGTTTGTGGCAAGCCTACACCCAGTATGTCTACTGGCACCATTTTTCCAAGAGCGTGTGCTCACTTCATATCTCTGTGTCACATTTTGGTGATGCTCACTATATTTCAAATTTTATCATTATTCTTATACCTGTTGTGGTAGAAATTGATCTTTGATATTACTTTTGTAATTGTTTTAGGGCACCATGGACCATGCCCTTATAAGACAGCTAAATGTTGTATATGCTCTATTCCACTAACCAACCATTCTTCCATCTCTCCGTGTGTTCTCAGGCCTCTCTGTTTCCTGAGACTGAACAAAATTGAAATTAGGCCAATTAATAACCATGCAATGATCTCTGAGTGTGCAAGGGAAAGAAAGAGCTGCGCATTTCTCACTTTAAATCAAGAGCTAGAAATGATTAAGCTTAGTGAGGAAGGCATGTCAAAAGCCAAGATAGGCTGAAAGCTACTTGAGTCAGTTAGCCAAGTTGTGAATTCAGAGGAAAATTTCTTGGAGGAAATTAAAAGTACTACTCCAGTGAACACACAAATGATAAGAAAGTAAAACAGCCTTCCTGCTAATAGGAGTACACTTTGGTGTTCTGGATAGAAGATTTTAGCAGCCACAACATTCCCTTCAGCCAAAGCATAATCCAGGGCAAGGCCTTAACTCTGTTTAACTCTTTGAAGGCTGAGAGAGGTGAGGAAGTTGCAGAAAGAAGTTGGAAGCTAGCAGGGTTGGTTCATGAGTTTTACGGAAATAAGTCATCTCCATAACATAAAAGCACAAGATGAAACAGAAAGTGCTGATGTAGAAGGTGCAGCAAGTTATCTATAAGTTATAGTTAAGATAATTGATGAGGATGTCTACACTAAAAACAGATTTTCAATGTAAACAATACAGCCTTCTATGGAAAGAAAGAAGATTCCATTGAGGATTTTCAGAGTTAGAGTGGAGAAGTCAATGCATGGATTCAAAGCTTCAAAGGAAGAATTCTTTTGTTAGGGGTTAATGCAGCTGGTGACTTTAAGTTGAAGCCAATGTTAACTTACCATCCTGAAAATTGTAGGGCCTTTAAGATTTATGCCAAGTCTTCTCTGCCTGTGTTCTGTAAATGGAACAACAAAGCTTGGATGATAGTACGTATGTTTACAGTATGGTTTACCGAATATTTTAAGCCTGCCATTGAGATCTACATCTCAGTAAAAAAGACTCTTTTCAAAATATCACTGTTTATTGACAATGCACCTGTTCACCTGAGAGCTCAAATGACAAGGCGATTGGTGTTGTTTTCATACCCACTAATGCAATATTCATTCTGCAGCCCACAAATCAAAGAGCAATTTTGATTTTCAAGTCTTATACTTAAGACATACATGGCATGAGGCAATAGCTGCTATAGATAGTGATTCCTCTGATGGATCTGGGAAAAATACATTGAAAACCCTCTGGAAATGATTTGCATTAAGAACATTCGTGATCCATAGGAAAAGATCAAAATACCAACATTAACAGGAGTTTGAAAGAAGTAGATTCCAACCCTCATGGATGACTTTGATGCCTCAAGACTTCAGCAGAAGAGGTAACTGCAGATGTGGTAGAAATAGCAAGAGACCTAGAATTAAAAATGGAGCCTGAAGATGTGACTGAATTGCTGAAATCTCATGGATAAAACTTGAATGGATGAGGAGTTGCTTCTTATGAATAAGCAAAGAAAGTGATTTATTGAGATGGAATCTACTCCTAAAGATACTGTGGACATTATTGAAATGAAAACAAATAACTTAGAATACAGTTGTTCCTTGAACAACAGAAGTTTGAAGTGTGCTGGTCCACTTATATGCAGGTTTTCTTCTGCCTCTGCCACCCCTGAGATAACACAACCAATACCTTCTTTCTCCTCCTTAGTCTACTCAATGTGAAGACAACAAGCACGAAGACCTTTATTATGATCTACTTCTACTTAATAGTGAATATATTTTCTTATGATTTTCTTAATAACATTTTATTTTCACTAGCTTAGTTTATTAAAATAATACAGCATATGATACATATAATATACAAAATATGTGTTAATCAGCTGTTTATGTTATCAATAAAGCTTCTGGTCAACTGTATGCTACTTGTAATTAAGATTTGGGAGAATAAAAAGTATATGCAGAAAGAAGTTTACTGTGGGTAAAATGCTATCAAGTGGCATTTTATGCTGCAGAGAAAACTTTTGTGAAAGGAAAACTTTTGTGAAGTTTGTGACAAACTTCATTCTTGTCTTATGTTTAAAAATTGCCACAGCCATCCCAGGCTTCAGCAACCACCACCCTGATCAGTCAGCAGTCATCTACATGGAGGTGTGACTCTCCATCATAAAAAAGATGACAATTCTCTGAAAGGCTCAGATGATTATCAGCGTTTTTAGAAATAAAGTATTTTTAAAATGAGTTATGTATTTTGTCCCTTTTTACACATGCTATTGCACACTTAATATATTACAGTATAGTATAAGCATAACTTTTGTATGCACTGGGAAACCAAACAAATTGTGTAACGTTTTACTGCAATATTCACTTTACTGTAGCAGTCTGGAACCAAATCTACACTATCTCCAAGGTATGCCTGTATTATTTCTCACAAGTATCTCAAACTCAACAATCCAGAACTACACTCAATCTCCCTATCCCACCAAAAGAAGGTTCCCCATTTCTCAGTGTTCCTCATTCTTCTAAATCATACTGTAGCAGGACAAGCCACAGACAAAACCTCTCAGACACCGAGTTGTAGAAGGAAGGGCTTTATTCAGCTGGGAGCATCAACAAGCTACTGCCTTAAAATCCGAGCTCCCTGAGTGCACAATTTCTGTCCCTTTTAAAGGCTCACAACACTAAAGATTTTACATGAAAGGGTCATGATTGATTTGAACAAGCAAGCGGTTCGTGACAGTGGCTGCATGCACCGGTGGTCAGAGAGAAACAGAACAGGGCAGGGAGTTTCACAATGTTCTTCTATACAATGTCTAGAATCTATGAATAACATCAGTTTCTAAGTCATGGGTTGATTTTTAGCTACTAGGTTTGGGCCAGGCCGGCCTAGGTCCAGTTTTGGGCCTGGTGCCGGGCTGCCTGTCTTTGATTTCACTTCCTTGTTTTTTTTCTTAAAACAGGTACTGAGTATAAAACAATATAAAACAATATGAGAGGATCTCTCTCTTCCCTCAGTACCACCGTCCACCTGTTTCTCATGAATTTCAAACAAAATACCAAAACGTTAACAACATCCTGAACTACCAACCACTGCTTTTCTTATCTTTGGCCAGTACACTTCCCTGCCCACTAAGATCCAGCCCCATTGGTTTTCTTTAAGTTCCTCAAATATATCTCAAGGCCTTGGCACTTATTATTTCTTCTCTTTCACCTTCACTCGTAGTTATACTTCAGAATTCAGCTTATGTGTTTTCTTAATTCAAAGTAGATTTTCCCTAACCTATAATTTAAATTAGATCTCCTCATAAGTAGTGATTATAAATGTATTTTCATGAATGCTTATTTAACATCTGTATTACCATGAGATTCTTCACTCCATGTGTGCAGGGACCACTGTTTTATACACTGTTGTACATGCAGTACCTAGCACAGTGCCAGTGCATTGCAGGTAATTAGAATAGTTAATGAAATAATGAATGCATAAATACATAAAGATAAAGCATTAGTGATATTCTCAGTGTTAAGAAAAGAATGTCCTTTGTTACCTCACTCATTAAATACAGTGTATACCTCTAAAAGTTTTTGCCAATTCAATAGGACATAACAAAAGTTTCAAGGGATTTAATCATTGAAAAATAGGTGAAAAATTCTTAGTATTTGTTCACTGTTTACCAAGAAAAACAATGAGATTGCACTGAAAATTTGATAGAACCCTAAAGATAGTTTAATAAGGTAATTAGTCTCAAATTAAATATATAATTTTTTTCTATCAGAAATAACAAGTTAGAAAGTAGACTATAAAATAGATTTATTTCAAGTGGTGAGAAAAAACATGTAATAATTAGGTATAAATAACTTCAAATCACAGATGTCAAAGTAAATGTGACTATGTCTCTTGCTCTTCTCTAAAACAAGCTAAAAACAAGAAGAATGAAAAAGAAAGAAAAGCTACATCCCCAGCGAAACATTTTTAAAAATACTCTCAAGTGACAATCTATGCATAAGGCTGTCCGATGCGGAAAAAAATTGACCTCACTGAATGAGGAAACCAAGAGTAGAATACAAATCTCAGCAGATCTTTGGTGACATAGAAGGTTCTATAAAAGGGGATGTACATCCTTAGGGGCCACATCAATAATCTCTTAAAGATTTGTGCCTGAGCTCTCTTAAAACAATAGAATGGCAGAAGAACAAGGGATGAATATTAGAATGCACAGATATGTCGTCCATCAATGAATGAGGTGGGGAAAACGGTCATTAGCAGTCAGCTCTGCAATATAGTTATAGAGAAATACTGTAACACAAAAACTTCATTGCTGGTCAGTCTTTCAGTGGTTCTCAGCTGGATGTGGTACAATCTTTTACCTTTTGGGGGGGGGGTTCTCAACCTCAACACTACTGATATTTTGGACTACATAATTCCTTTTGTGGGGGATGTCCTGTGAACTGTAGAATGTTTAACAGCATTTTAGGCCTCCTCAGTTGTAGCCACCAAAAATGCCTCTAGATACTACCAAATGTTACTGTATTAGTCAGGGTTCCCCAGAAAGACAGAACGAATAGGATATTTTATATGTATATTATATATATATAAAATATATATTACATAATACATAAAATATATAATACATAAATATATATAATACACATAATATATATTAAATATTAAACATTAAATATTAATATTTAATTTTAAATCCAATTTTACTATATAAAATAATTTATTTTTTATTTATTTATTACTTATGATTAATTAATTATTTTCTAATTATTTATTTCTTTAATTTATTTGATTATTTGATTATTAAAAATTATTTTATATATTTTATTTATTAATTAAATGATTTTATTTAATGAATTATTTAATTAAACTTCATTAATATATTAAATATTAAATATTACATTAAATATTAAACATAAATATATAATATATAATATATGTAACATATATAATATATATAATATAATATATATAATATATATTATATATTATAATTATATTATATATATTATATATAATTATATTACATATTATAATATAATCGTATTATATAATTATATAATACATTATATAATTATATAATATAATTACATTATATAATTATATATTACATTATATAATTATATATAATTACATTATATAATTATATATATTATTATGCTATATATTATATTTAATTATGTAATTATAATATATAATATATATTTGGGGCAGAGGTGATTTATTAAGAGAATTGTCTTTCATGATTATGGAGCTGAAAAGTCCCCTGATAGGCTAGAGGACCAATGAAGTCCATTGTATGGCTCAGTAAGTCCAAGTCTGAAAGCCTCACAATCAGCCCCAGAACCAAGGGTAGGGAAATGGGCACTGGTGCAAGTCCTGGAGTCCAAAGGCCAGAAAGCCTGGATTTCTGATGTCCAAGAGCAAGAGAAGAAAGTTGTCCCACCTCTACAAGAGAGAGAACAAATTTACATTTCTTCCTCCATTCTGTTCCATTTTGGCCCCCAGCTGGTAGGATGATGCCTACCCACACTGAGGGTGGACCTTCTCCACTCAATCTACCAACTTATACACCAATCTCCTCCAGAAACACCCTCACAGACACACTTATGAATAATGATTTACCAGGTATCTAGGTATCCCTTATTTCAGTCACGTTGACATCTAAAATTAACCATCACAATCCCTTAGGAAACAAAACCATCCTGGTTGACACCACTGTCAAAGGACATTTGTAAACGTGTGTGGATGTTTTTGATTGTCACAGTGATGGAGAGGTACATTACTGGCATTTAGTGAAAAGGTGTATGTGTGTGTCTGTGTCTGTCCACTGGAAGTAGTAGAATAACTTCCTTCTGAATGCAAATTTCCAAAACTGACCAAGGTCTGAGCTGGAAGAAGAGGATAAGTTTCAGATTGCATGTAAGAAAAAAGTTTTTATTTAGATTAGATTGAGTTTCTGATATCTAAAAATATATTTTTAATTAATAACTGAAAATTACCAAGAAGCTATGAGATCTATCCAGTATGTCACTCAGGAGCAAGAAACATGCAACAAAGTATGCTTGAAGGAAAGTGGTAAAAGACAAATAAAGTTGATTATTGCATTAATAAAATCGACCCATTTGACACCTTATATATAAAAGACCGCAATATACAAATTGAATGAACTCACAATGTTCTAGAAAAGATGGACAAATATTAAAAAGACAAATCTTTGTAAAATTAGCTAATTTCAAATCAAAGAAAGTATTCTATAGACATGATGCAAAATAATCACTTGTGTATAGAAATGAGAACTCAGGTAAAGGACCTTGACAGCTCTGGATGCCCAGAAAGGCAGCAATGCAGCTGATGACATTACGCCATGACATACTCCTGGCTGGGCGGCAGCTGTAGTGTTAGCTTTGGCTACAGCAGTAGCCACTGCTGGTAGCCGGCAGATGGAAGGAAGGTGGGTGTCCGGCCCCACTGGTGGACCATGGGGCCAAAGTTCCAGCCCTGCTCAGGGGCCAA
Source organism: Homo sapiens (assembly GCF_000001405.40). Lineage (NCBI taxonomy): Eukaryota > Metazoa > Chordata > Mammalia > Primates > Hominidae > Homo > Homo sapiens. The sequence continues at coordinate 122,817,482 of NC_000023.11, forward strand.
GCCAGCAGTGCCTTCATCACAGCTAGGCAGCAGTCTCCATCTGGGCTCGGGCCCCAGCTGCTGCCACCGACAGTCACCCAGAGAAGTTGGGGTCCGAACTGGATGCGTACAGGGCCCTGGACCCCAGCACCGTGCCAACCCCAGAGGAACTGGCTCCCTGTGTCCTCCCTCTCTGGGAGCTCCACATGGGTAGCTAAGAAAGTGGTTAGATGATGGACAACTGGAAGCAGCTGTGGTCTGTGGCACTCATGGAGAGTAATGAAAGGAGTGAGTCAATTCAGCATGTGCATCCTGAGATATCTGGGTTTTTGCATTGGGACTGACTAGGCAAACAGCTCGACCCATGGACAGTGAAGAGGGTGGAGGGTGGAGGGTGGAGGGTGGAGGGTGGAGCAACGGCCAACCCAGAAGTGGCACGGAGCCAAGAGAACTCCCACCCCCAGCCAAGGGAAGCAGTACATGATCATGGGACCTCACCTGGGAACCTATGCTTCTCTTATTTGATCTTTGCAGCCCGTGAATTAGCACATCCCCTGTGAACCCACACCACTAGGGCCTTGGGTCTCATCAACAGAGCTGTGTGGAGTCTTGGCAGAGTGGCCACTCAGGCACACCCAGGAGTTTTGCTTACACACCTGGGATCCATAGCAAGGTGGGAAATCCATCCGTACATGTTTCTAGGAAAAAGGCTGAGTCCAGGGAGCCAAGGGGCATCATTCTGTGGGCCCCACTTCCATGGCACCTCGTGGATTGAGACCCACTGGCTTGGAATTCCAGCTGGCTGGTGGCAGACGGCTGGAGAGTGCCTGAGTTGGGACTGAGTTCCCAGGGGAAGGGGTGGCCACCTTCTGCTGTTCAGTAGACTCAGTCATTTCAGCCTGTTCCCAGGGGAAGGGGTGGCCGCCTTCTGCTGTTCAGTAGACTCAGTCATTTCAGCCTGCTGGCTTTGAAGAATATAGGCAGTCTGGATGAGGAGGGGTTTCCCAAAGTGCAGCACAGCTGCCTTGCCAGATTGTGGCCAGACCGCTTCTTTAAGCCGGACACTGACTCCTCACTAGGCGAGACCTCTCTGTGGGGGCTTTAGCTTACCACTCCCGCCACCCTTCCCCGCGACCCCCACAGCAAAGGGTATACAGACAGAGCTCTGATCTCTCCCTGGGACAAAGCTCCTGCGGAGAGGGGCAGTTGCCATCTCTGCAGTTCAGTAGACTCAGCCTTTTCAGCCAGCCAGCTCGGGAGAATACCAATGGTCTGGATGAGGAAGGGTCTCCCCCAACACAGCACACCTGTTCTAACAAAGGGAAGCCAGATTGCTTCTTTGTACAGGTCCCTGATACCATTCCTCCTGACTAGGTGAGACTTTCCAGCAGGAGTCTCCAGCCACCTCACACAGGCGTGTTCAGGCCAACAACAGGTCAGTGCCACCCTGGGATGGAGCTTCCAGAGGACAGAGCAGGCTGCCGCCTTTGCTGTTTCACAGCCTTCACTGGTAATACCTCCGGGTACAGGAAAATTGAGGCAGCTAGGGTCTGGAGTGGACCACCAGCAAACCACAGCATCCCTAGAGAAGAGTGGCCTGACTGTTAAAAGAAAAAAATAAAACAATAACGACTGCATCAACAAAAAATGACCCCACAAAAGACCCATGCAAACGTCAGCAACCTCAAAGATCAAAGACAGATAAGACCACAAAGATGAGAAAGGATCAGTGGGAAAATGCTGAAAACTCAAGAAACCACAGTGCCTTTTCTCCTCCGAATGACAGAAGTACCTATCCAGCAAGGGCACAGGAAGGGGCTGAGGCTGAGATGGATGAATTAACAGAAGTAGGCTTCAGAAGGTGGGTAATAACAAACTTTGCTGAGCTAAAGGAGTATATTCTAACCCAATGCACAGAAGCTAAGAATCATGATAAAACAATACAGGAGCTGATAACCAGGATGGCCAGTTTAGAGAGGAACATAAATGACCTGATGGAGCTGAAAAACACAAGACAAGAGCTTCACAATGCAATTGTAATTATCAGTAGCAGAATAGACCAAGCAGAAGAAAGAATCTCAGAGTTTGACGACTATGTTTCTGAAATAAGACAGACAGATAAGAATAGAGGAAAGATAAAAGGAATGAACAAAACCTCCAAGAAATATGGGATTATATAAAAAGGCCAAACCTACGACTGATTGGGGTACCTGAAAGAGACAGGGAGAACGGAATAAAGTTCGAAAACATACTTCAGGGTATCATCTAGGAGAATTCCTCCAACCTGGTCAGACAGGCTAACATTCAAATTCAGGAGATCCAGAGAACCCCAGTAAGATATTCCATGAGAAGATCAATCCCAAGACACACAATCATCAGATTCTCCAAGGTGGAAATGCAAGAAGAAAAGGTTAAGGGCAGCCAAAGAGAAAGGCCAGGTCACTTACAAAGGAAAGCCCATCAGACCAACAGTCGACCTCTCAGCGGAAACCCTGCAAGCCAGAAGAGATTGGGGGCCAATATTCAACAATCTTCAAGAAAAGAATTTCCAAACCAGAATTTAATATCCAGCCAAACTAAGCTTCGTAAGCAAAGGAGAAATAAGATCATTTTGGGACAAGCAAATGCTGAGGGAATTCATCACTACCAGGCCTACTTTGCAAGAGCTTCTGAAGGAAGCACTAAATATGGAAAGGAAAAACCATTACCAGCCACTACAAAAACACACTGAAGTACACAGAGCAGTGACACTATGAAGTAACCACATAAACAAGTGTGCAAAATAACTAGCTAGCATCATGATGACAGGATCAAATTTACACCTAACAATACTAACTTTAAATGTAAATGGGCTAAATGCCTCAATTAACAGACACAAAGTGGCAAACTAGATAGAGAGTCAAGACCCATATACAGGAGCAACAAGATTTATAAAGCAAGTTTGTAGAGACCTGCAAAGAGACTTAGACTCCCACACAATAATAGTGGGAGACTTCAACATCCTACTGTCAATATTAGACAGATCACCAAGACAGAAAATTAACAAAGATATCCAGCACCTAAACTCAGCTCTGGATCAAGTGGACCTGATAGATATCTACAGAACTCTCCACCCCCAAACAACAGAATATACATTCTTCTCATTACCACTAAGTACTTAGTCTAAAATTGATCACATAATCGAAGTAAAACACTCCTTAGCCAATGCAAAAGAACTGAAATCATATAAAAGTCTCTCAGACTACAGTGTAATCAAATTAGAACTCAAGATTAAGAAATTTACTAAAGACCACACAACCACATGGAAATTGGACATCCTGCTCCTTAATAACTCAAGTAAATAATGAAATTAAGGCAGAAATCAAGAAGTTCTTAGAAACTAATGTGAACAAAGAAACAATGTGCCAGAATCTCTGGGATGCAGCTAAGGCAGTGTTAAGAGGGAAATTTATAGCATTTAACGCCAATATGAAAAAGCTAGAAAGATCTCAAGTTAATAACCTAACATCTCAACAAAAGGAACTACAGAACCAAATCAAACAAACCTCAAAGCTAGCAGAAGACAAGAAATAACCAAGAGAGATAGAGACCTTAAAAATATTAATGAATCCACGAGCTGGTTTTTTGAAAACATTAATAGACAAATAAAGAAGAAAAGAGAGAAGAATCAGACACAATCAGAAATGGTAAGGGGGATATCACAACTGACCCGACATAAATAAAAACAACCATCAGCGAATACTATAAAAACCTTTATGCACATAAACTAGAAAATCTAAAAGAAATGGAGAAATTCCTGGACACATAAAACCCCTCAAGACTGAACCAGGAAGAAATTGAATCCTTGAATAGATCAATAATGAGTTCTGAAACTGAGGCACTAATAAGTAGCCTCCCAACCAAAAAATCCCAAGAACAGATGAATTTATAGCTGAATTCTACCAGAAGTACAAAGAGGAACTGTACCATTTCTTCTGAAACTATTCCAAAAATTGGAAAGGAGGGACTCCACTCTAACCCATTTTATGAGACCAGCATCATCCTGATACCAATACCTGGCAGAGATACAACAAAAAAGAAAACTTCAGGCCAATATTGCTGATGAACATCGATGCAAAAATCCTCAATAAAATACTGGCATACTGAATCTAGCAGCTCATTAAAAAGCTTATCTACCACGATCAAGTCAGCTTCATCCCCAAGATGCAAGGCTGGTTCAACATAAGCAAATCAATAAATGTGACTCATTACATAAACAGAACTGAAGACAAAAACCAAGTGATAATCACAATAGATACATAAAAGGCCTTTGATAAAATTTGACATCCCTTTATGTTAAAAACTCTCAGTTAGGTATTGATGGCTCATACCTCAAAATAATAAGAGACATTTATGAGAAACCCACAGACAAGATCATACTGAATGGGCAAAAGCTGGAAGCATTTCCCTTGAAAACCAGCACAAGACAAGGATGCCCTCTCTCACCACTCCTAATCAACATAGTATTCGAAGTTCTGGCCAGGGCAACTAGGCAAGAGAAAGAAATAAAGTGTATTCAAATAGAAAGAAAAGAAGTCAAATTGTCTTTGTTTGCAGATGACATGATCCTGTATCCAGAGAACCCCATTGTCTCAGGCCCAAAGCTTCTTAAACTGATAAGCAACTTCGTCAATGTCTCAGAATACAAAAATCAATGTGCAAAAATTGCTCACATTCTTATATACCAACAACAGGCAAGCAGAGAGCCAAATCACAAATGAACTCTCATTCACAATTGCTACAAAGAGAATAAAATACCTAGGAATACAACTAACAAGGGAAGAGAAGGACCTCTTCAAGGATAACTACAAATCACTGCTCAAGGAAATCAGAGAGGATACAAAAATGGAAAAATATTCCCTGCTCATGAATGGGAAGAATCGACATCATGAAAATGGCCATGCTGTCCAAAGTGATTTATAGATTCAATGTTATGCCTATTAAACTACCATTGACATTCTTCACAGAATTAGAAAAAAACTATCTTAAAACTCACATAGAACCAAAAAAGAGCCCGTATAGCCAAGAAAATCTTAAGCAAAAAGAACAAAGCTGGAGGTGTCACACTATCTGACTTCAAAGCATATGACAAGACTACAGTATCCAAAACAACATGGTATTGTTACAAAAACAGGCACATAGACCAATGGAACAGAATAGAGAACTCAGAAATAAGAGTGCACATCTACAACCATCTGATCTTCCAGAAACCTGACAAAAACAAGCAATGGGGAAAGGGTCCTCTATTTAATAAATTGTTCTGGGTGAACTGGCTAGTCATATGCAGAAAATTGAAACTGAATCCCTTCCTTACACCTTATACAAAAATTAACTCAAGATGGATTAAAGGCTTAGATGTAAAACCCAAAACCATAAAAACTGTAGAAGAAAATTTAGGGAATACCATTCAGGACCTAGGCACAGGCAAAGATTTCATGATGAAAATGCCAAAAGCAATTGTAATAAAAGCAAAAATTGACAAATGGAATCTCATTAAACTAAAGAGCTTCTGCACAAAAAAAGAGAACTATCATCCGAGTAAATAGACAACCTACAGAATGGGAGAAAATTTTTGCAATCTATCTATCTGACAAGGGTCTAATATTTAGAGTCTACAAGGAACTTAAATTTACAAGAAAGAAACAAACACCATAAAAAATTGTGGAAAGGACATGAATAGACACTTTTCAAAGGAAGAAATACATGCAGCCAACGAGCATATAAAAAAAGCTCAACATCACTCACTGATCATTAGAGAATTGAAAATCAAAACCACAATGAGATGCCATCTCATGCCAGTCAGGATGGTGATTATTAAAAAAAAATCAAGAAACAACAGATGCTGGTGAAGTTGCAGAGAAAAAGGAATGCTTTTACACTGTTAGTGGGAATGTAAATTACTTCAATCATTATGGAAGATAGTGTGGTGATTTCTCAAAGATCTAGAAGCAGAAATACCATTTGACCCCAGCAATCCCATTACTGGGTTTATACACAAAGGAATATATATCATTCTATTACAAAGATACGTTCACGTTTATGTTCATTGTGGCACTATTCACCTTAGCAAAGACATGGAATCAACCCAAATGCCCATCAATGTTAGACTGGATAAAGAAAATGTGGTGCATACACACAATGGAATACTATGCAGCCATAAACAGGAAAGACATTATGTCCTTTGGATGGACATGGATGGAGCTGGAAGCTGTTATTCTCAGCAAACCAACACAGGAACAGAAAACCAAACACCGCATGTTCTCACTTATAAGTGGGAGCCAAACAATGAGGACACATGGACACAGTAGGTGGAACAACACACACTGAGGTCTGTTGGGGGTGGGTGGAAGGAGGGAGAGCATCAAGAATAGCTAACAGATGCTGTGCTCAATACCTAGGTGATGGGTTGATCTGTGTGCAGCAAATGACCATGTCACACATTTACCTATGCAACCAACCTGCAAATCCTGCACATGTATACTGAACTTAAAAGTTAAATAAGAAAAATTTTTTAAAAATTACTGAAAGAAAAAAAAAAAAACGCTCAGGCTGATCTCAATCTTCCCGCTAAAATACAGTAGAACAGTATTCAGAAAATCCTCAGAGAAAGAGATTATGCCCCAAGAATGCTATGTCTATTCAATCTATCCTTCAAACATAAAGGTAACTGATAGCTGTTTTTAACATGCAAGAATGCAGAAATAGAGTAAACCTTAGCAATTCTCAGAAAAAAATACTTGAGGTTAAAATGAAGACAAACAAGAGAAGAAAGGGAAAAAACCAATATGAAAAGAATGATAGTGAGCATTTACTTAAATATAGAACTAAATTTAATGACAAGTGGAATTACAGAACACACAAAATATATGGTTACAAAAATATAGAAAAACTAGTGAACAGAGAACAGAAACAGCTAACAATGACAGGTGATGGGAGGAGGCAGGAACTGGTTGTTAGTTGCCTGTCAATGTCTATGCACTGCTTCTTCCTTACTAGCATAACACAACTTCCATTTGGGAAAGCAACATGTCCAGCTAAAAGTATTTGCTTTCTCACACTTTCAGCCTGGCTGGACATGAGACCAAGTTCTGGCCAATTAGGTCCAACAGCAACTTGCTAGATGACACTTATAGGAAAATTTTAAAGGACAAAGACTTGGTTGGCTGTTGTCTTGGTCTGGGGCTGCTATCAAAAAATGCCATAAACAAGGTATTTTATAAACCACAGAAATTTATTTCTCACAACTTGTTGACTGGGAAGTCCAAGATCAAGGCAGATTCAGTATCTGGTGAGGGCCCCCTTCCTGGTTCACAGATGTCCATCCTTTCACTGTTACTTCACATGGTGAAAGGGATGAGGGTCTCTCTGAGCCTCTTTTTAAAGTTGCACTAATCCCATTCATGAGGGCTCTGCCCTCATGGTCTAGTTACCTTCTAAAGGCCCTACCTACTAATATCATAACCTTGGGAGTTAGAATTTCAACATGTGAATTTAGGGAAACTCAAACATTCAGTCCATTGCAGCAGCCATACCCCTTTCTCCTTGTTTCTGCTGTGAACATGAACTCATGACTGGAAGTTTAATACCATAAGGTGGCAAACATGAAGATGAATGTCCATGTGCTAAGGGCAGCAGGGTAGAAAGATGAAAGAAGCCTGGGTCCCTGATGCCTTCTCTCAGTCATACCAACTCCAGATTGCCTAATCCTGGAGATCTTAGTGCACAGAATGAGCAAATTCCTTATGTATTTACCCATCATTAGTGTTGTATTTTGTTATTTGCAAACCTGCATTCCAAAATGATACTGTGAGACACAGAGACATGGCATACGGGAAAGATATACTTCTCATTGTATACATTTTTGTATTATTATGTTTTGCCATGTCACTGTCTTACATTGTTTATTTTTAATCTAGAAAATATTAACCAAAAATGCTTAGTAATAAATAAGAATGTAGACTATATATAACAAACATATGGACCTTACTGAAGTACCTAAAATAACGTATTCACATAAGGTGACTTTAAGAGTTTAATTATTCAAAAACAAAATTTGAAACATATTTTTATGTAAAATTTACCAAAAGTTTAAAATATTCATCAGAAAAAAACAGATAAAATAGTCAACAAAATTTTGCAAAGAGAGAGTAATGAAGAGGCTGCTACATTATCTGACATTAAAACGTATTCTAAAATTACAATCATTAGAACAATAAGATATAAGAATAGACAAACATATTTACATGATATTATAAACGTCTCAGAAGTAGATCTTAACCCATAGAAGAAGAGTATATGATTAGGCACCATTCCAGATTAATAAGGAAAGAAGGAGTTCTTCAGTAATGACACTGGAATTGTTGGTTGGCAACTTGGCAAATTTTTAAAAGTGGATTTTTTTAGTTTATACCATCCTCTAAGATAAATTCCATATGGACTAAAAATATTAATTGCAGACTTCTATTTCTAACAAAATAGTATACTAATTTCATGGACAAAATGAAACAAGAATTGTTTAAATGCATAGATGTACTCTCAAGAAAGAGAAAGGAACTGGTGACAGAGCAAAGAGCATTAGGCAATAGGCACATAAGTTGACCCCAAATCCTTGAGAATAAAGGAAATTTAAACAATCCAATAAAGTGCAAGAAGAAAAAAAAAGGATTTGTTTTTACTTTTTATTTTTTTAAACTTTTATTTTAGATTCAAAGATACATATGCGCAAGTTTGTTATACAGGTAAATTGAGTGTCATGGGAGTTTAACAAACAGATTATTTCATCACCTATGTAATAAGCACAGTACAGGATAGGTAGTTTTTCAGTCCTCACCCTCCTACCACCCTTCACTTTCAAGTAGGCTCCAGTGTCTATTTTTCCCTTATTTATGTCCATATGTACTCGATGTTTAACTCTCACTCATAAGTGAGAACATGCAGTATTTGGTTTTCTGTCTCTGTGTTCGTTTGCTTAGGATAATGGCCTCCAGCTCCGTCCATATTGTTGCAAAGACATGATCTCATTCTTTTTTGTGGCTACATAATATTCCATGGTGTATATGTGCCACATTGTCTTTATCCAGTCTACCATTGATGAGCATTTAGGTTGATTCCATATCTCACAGCAAATGTGGTGCTTACTGGTAAAATATTTAAAATACAATCTCATTATTGGGTATATACCCAAAGGAATATAAATAGTTCTACCGAAAACACACATGTACTTGTATGTTTATTGCAGCATGATTCACAACAGCAAAGACATGGAATCAACCCAGGTGCCCATCAAAGATGGATTGCATAAAGAAAACATGGTATATATACACCATGGTATACTATGAAGCCATAAAAAAGAGCAAAATCATATCCTTTGCAGCAACAGGGATACAGCTGGAGACCATTATCCTAAGTGAATTAATGTAGAAAAAGAAAAACAAATATCACATGTTCTCACTTATAAGCAGGAGCTAATCGTTGGGTACACATGAACATAAAGATGGGAACAACAGACACTGGGGAATTCAAAACAGGAGAGAAAAGAAAGGGGCAAGAATTGAAAACCTATTTACTGGGGACTATGTTCACCACCTGGGTGACAGAATCACTCATATCCCAAACCTCAGCATCATGTAATATATACATGTAACAAACCTGCACATGTACCCCTGAATGCAAATTTTTAAAAAGAAATGAAAAAAAATGTGAACAAATAAAAAGTTTCTTATAGATGGTGAAAAATTATAGAAAATACAGTATTCCTTTTCAAGTTGAGAAAATGACAATAATGACCACTATTGCTGCTTCTATTGAGCGTATAGCAGAGGTTCCAGTTGGTAGAAAAAAAAAAGAAAAATAAGTTAAAGGCCTGTGAATTAAACATGAAGAACTACAATTGCTATCATTCACAGATGATAATGCTATAAAAGACAAACCATAAAGAGAGATGTACCATGCTTGTTAACATAGAGAAAATACTTTAAAGTTCACAGTTGTTCCCCAGTTATCAACAAATTCAAAAGAATTCCAATTAAAATTTTGAAAAGGTATTTCATAGAAATGGGCAAGCTGACCCTAAGTTAATGTGGAGATGACAAAGGCTTAAAAATAATTTAAAAAATCAAAGAATAATAATAAAAAAACTTGTCCTACCAGATATAAAGATTCATCATAAAGGTAGAGTGAATTAAAACGTGGGTTTTGAGCCAGGAATAAAGAAATAAAATGATGGGAGAGAATAGAAAGCCTAGAAACAGACCAGTATTTATACGGCAACTTGACATATGGCAGAGGTTCCCTTACTACATCGTTACTTAAATGGTGCTGTGCCCATTTGATATTTATTTAAAGACAACCCTACCCCACACCATACACAGAAGTAATTTCATGTGAATCAAATACCTAAAGTTGATAATCCAAGCTTGAACATTTCCAGAGCAAGGAAAATATTTGTATGTCATTAAGATACTGTTTTTTTAAAAAAACAAAAACAAAATAATACAAATCATAAAGGATATAGTGGATAAATAGAGCTATATTAAAATTTAAAACTTAACTGTGATTATAACTTAAATGTAAAACCTCAAACTATAAAAACCCTAGAAGAAAACCTAGGCAATACCATTCAGGACATAGGCACAGTCAAAGATTTCATGATGAAGGCGCCAAAAGTAATTGCAACAAAAGGAAAAACTGACAAATGGGATTTCATTAAACTAAAGAGCTCCTGCACAGCAAAAGAAGCAATCAACATAACAAACAGACAACCTACAGAATGGGAGAAAATTTTTGCAAACTATGCATCTGACAAAGGCCTAACACCCAGCTTCTATAAGGAACTTAAACAAATTTACAAGAAAGAAACAACCCCATTAAAAAGTGGGCAAAGGACATGAACAGATACTTTTCAAAAGAAGACATACATGCAGCCAACAAGCATATGAAAAGAAAAGCTCAACATCACTGGTCATTAAAGAAATTCAAATAAAAACCACAATGAGATACCACCTCACTCCAGTCAGAAGGGCAATTATTAAAATGTCAAAAAATGACAGATGCCGGCAAGGTTGTCAAAAAAAAAAAAAAAGGAATGCTTATACAGTCTTGGTGGGAGCATAAATTAGTTCAACCATTGTGGAAAGTAGTATGACAATTCCTCAAAGACCTATAAGCAGAACTACCATTTGACTCAGCAATTCCATTACTGGGTATACATGCAAATGAATAGAAATCATTCTATTATAAAGGCACTGCATGAGTATGTTCATTGCAGCACTATCCACAATAGCAAAGACATGAAATCAACCTAAATCCCATCAAGTATAAACTGGATAAATTAAATGTAGTACATATACACCATGGAATACTATGTAAACATAAAAAAGAAACGAGATCATGTCCTTTGCAGGGACATGCATGGAGCTGGAGGACATTATCCTTAGCAAACCAACACAGGAAGAGAAAAACAAATGCTGCATATTCTCACTTATAAGTGGGAGCTAAATTATGAGAACATATGGACACATAGAGGGGAATCACACACACTGGGGCCCTTCGGAAGGTGGAGGATGGGAGGAGGCAGATGATCAGGAAAAACAACTAATAGGTAGTAGGCTTAATACCTGGGTGATGCAATAATCTGTATAACAAACCCTCATTACACAAGTTTACCTATGTAACAAGCCTGCATTTGTACCCCTAAACTTAAGTTAAAAAAAGAAATAAATAGGCCAGGCACGATGGCTCATGCCTGTAATCCTAGCACTTTGGGAGGCTGAAGCGATGGGATCACCTGAGGTCGGGAGTTCAAGACCAGCCTGACCAACAAGGAGAAACCCCATCTCTAGTAAAAATACAAAATTAGCTGGGCTTGGTGGCACATGCCTGTAATCCCAGCTACTTGGGAGGCTGAGGCAGCAGAATTGCTTGAACCCAGGAGTCAGAGGTTGTAGTGAGCTGAGATTGTGACGTTGCACTCCAGCCTGGGCAACAAGAGCAAAACTCAGTCTCAAAAAAAAAAAAAAAAAGAAAGAAAGAAAAAGAAAAAGAAAAAAAGAAATAAATAAAACTTGGGTATGTCACAAATTGTAAATTTAAAAGAAAAATTGCAGATTTGTAACAGATACTTGTTACATATATAGCACACAAAGGATTTGGATCAATAAAAAGAAAAAAAAGAATATAAAGAGTTTTCCATAATTTTTAAAAAACAAACAACACAATTTAAAAATATATAAGTGATATGAACCAGTAATTCACAAAGAACTCCACATTTATACAATTACATGTGCTAAAGTAGCAGAAATGTATAGATTAGAAATAGAGGCACCTATCTGGATAAATTTTAAAAGTATAATGTTAGATGACAAAGATCTGTGGGAAATGGATTGTATCTAGGCAGAATATTAAAGCACACAAAACAATAATTTATAGTGCTTATGGTTATAAATATATGTAGTAAATATAAAAACATGCAGGAAAGTTATGCAAATTTCAGCAGAGAAAGGGAGAGTAAAGGGATAGAGGTGTGACTTTAGCTATAGCTGTAATTGTTTGCCAAAAAAAAAATTTAACAAACATGGCAAAATGTTAGCATCTGTTAAATCTATGTTTGGTTCATAGATATTGAGTATATTCGACTTATATACTTTTCTTATGTTTGCAATATATTATAATTAAAATTATATTAAAATTTCAAATTTTAAATGATTGTGAGAAAACATAGGTGAACATTTATTTGCTCATGGGAAAAAAGAAGAGCATTTCAATATAAAAGCAAAAATAAATCACAAAGGTAAAGGCTGATAAATATGACTACATAAAAATGCAAAAAGGACATAAAAACATCAAAAAATTTAGTTACAAGATGGAGCAAATATTTGTAATACGTGTGTATAAATGATAGGCATACATATATCCAGTATTGTTAATGTAAAAAAAAGTACTTTCAAAATCTAAATCTTCATCAAATGTTGAATATTAATAAATGTGAATTCCATAAGGTTAATGAGTATATAGTGAAATCAGAACTTTTGTCAACTGCTAGTGGGATTTTTAAACGGTTGACCTTTTTGGATACCAGTTGATGACATTAAAAAGAGTATTAAAATTGTTCATACTAAAAATAGACATTAACCTGATAAAATGATGATCTCTAAGGAGTGAGATGACAGAAGTGACTTATAGTTTCTATTTTATACCCTTCTCTTTTTTTAGTACCTGGTTTGTATTACTTTTATAATTTAAAATTATAATTACTTTTTCATGTAAATTATTTTAACAAAAAGCAACCCATTTTATCTTTTGGCCCCAAATTCTACTTTTAAGGAAATCATTCCACAGAAATTATTAGACATGCACAAGCGATATACCAGATAATTTTTGTAAATTTTATAATACACATATAAACAACCTAAATATTAAACATTAGGGGAATAATTAAATATATTGTGGTATATAAACATGGTGGAGTAATATAATTATTTTTAAAAATATATTTCAAAAATAATCATGAAAGTGTTTACTATATGATTGTAAGAATAAAAAGGATAGCTCAATGATGCCATGTAGTGCCAAGTTAATGGAAAAAGGCTGTGCAATGTAATCCAAGTTGAGAAGGGGACAAATTGTAATAATAAGGTCATGGTTATGCTGGCAAGGAATCAATTAATGTCTTATGATGATTCAATGAAGGACTTTTAGCGGAAAAGAAATTCTCCTTGTGTGAGATGTACTTTTTTGGTTATTTTTATTTTAGGTTTTCTTCAAGAATATAAAAATATTAAATAGCAGACTGTAATCCAGAGTGGAGAATCACCCTGACATTCTTCTTCCCCCATGCCCACTTCCAATTATAGGACTAGAACTCCCCACTCTTTCTACCAGGAAGAAAAAGCACTTTTACCTGACAATCCATGCTGGAAGCCAATGGTATACAAGGAAGGAGTAGGGAGAGAAAATTGACATTGATGTAGGACTTGCAAATATCTGATTGTGGGATAACAGGCACAGAAAAAAATGGGAAGCAGGGACTTCAGGATAAAGAAAAATAATAAAAGGAAATAAGAACAAATGAACTGAAGAGAAAAGAGGGTAGCATGAAGAGTAGGCATTCTTCTTCACAGAGCTAGTGAAAAAATTCTCATGGGAAAATGAGAAAGTACAGTGAACACACCCTCAATAAATAGATGGGACAAGAGAGAAAAATCAGGGACTCACTAATCAATTTTTAAATGCACTGTCTACCAGCACCACTGTGTATGGTTTGGATTAATTATCAGAGGATTTGAGCAAAAACCGGCTTGAACTTATTTCTGTGATGTTTACTTGTAAGGGTCACAAGATAATAACTGGTATTAGATAGACTAATCCCTCCCATTCCCGCAAGAGGGCAAGGAATGGTCTATGGGGCCTTGGGGAGATACGCCAAAGAGGCAATACTTCACCCAGAAAATTTGCCTTTCATCTCTTCCTCTCTGGAGAATATCTAAAGATATATGGGCCAAAAAAATAAAGAGCCTACCTATACACACACATAAACATACATTTCAAGTTTTTCTATGCAGATCTGTATGCATAGAAAAAAAAGAAATGTCCTAAAATATTATTAATGTTTTCCTGGGATTTAGAATTACAGGTGATTTTTATTTCCTTGTGCAGCACAATATCTTATAAAGTCAGTAAGAATAGTGGATTGACATTCAGACCCAAAGGAAATTAGAATGCCCAGAAGAGAAGGGAAGAAGGAAGAGTTGAGCAGTGAGAATCATAATGCAGAGTTTAAAATCAGAAATACTTAATTTATATTATATTGTAGGACTAGGTTTATTGCAGAAAGTTGAAATGCAGGTTAAAAGCTAGATGAATTTCAGTTGAAGAGAAATAAATAACACTACAATCTTTTACGTTTGAGTTTGTGACGGAAATTTTCTACTTCCCATATTTGTTAAGCTGTGTAGAAATTTCAAATGTATGGCATGTTTGCATTTATTTCTTTGAACCCAATCAAAACAAACATTGAAATAAAGCTGTAAACATGTCAAAGATGCAGATTAATGTATGTTACTTTTTAAAGTTCTGGACTGGTAAAAGTCTGAATTTAAATCTAGAGGCACTATAAAAGAATATGTTCTGTATTAGAAAGCAAAATGTTCAAGTTAGACGCTAATAGAAACTTGCTAAATTTATTTTAAATCAATACACTTCAAAATTGTTGGAAGCTGTTAAAATCTGTAAGTAAGCATTTGGATGATCTTTTACACTAAGAAAAAGTGAAAATTCTTCATTTTAAAAAGAGAGTGACATTTGATAAATACCTTGGTAAAGGTATAAACAAAGTACTATGGGAGCAAATGCAGGGGAGCCATTAGTTCTTTTGAAAGGTTCATAAATCTCTGGCAAGTTGAATCTGCAAACCTAAACATATAAAGTGATGACAGTGAACACTGATATCTCCTTTTCTTTGACAAATCCCCTTAATGGGCATGTGACTTATGTCAAGGTAAAGAGGATAAAATCAGAAATGCTTCCTGCTGCCCTGTAATAGAAGTAGTGTTACTAAGGACAGAAGAATAAACTTTTGCCTGTCATTGTTTAATTCAATCCAGGGATTGCAAACTCAGAGAGCACTTGGGCTGATCTGGCCTACAGACCTATTTATTTTGGCTCATGATTTTCTTTTAAATAAATTTAAATGTCCTTTAAATTATACACTCTCCAGTACATCACTGTACATACCATTTTCTTTTGAAAAATTCGGCTCCACGCAGTTATTAAGAATACAGACTCTAGAAGTCAGAGTGTATGAGTTAAAATTCAGTATCTGTCACCTACTAGCCACATAACCCTGGGAAAATGACAATCTCTCCGCGTAATGGTTTTCTTATCTCTAAAATGAGGATAGTAATGGTAGGGTTTCGGTGAGAGTTAAATGAGTTAAAACCCGTAAAGCACTTAAAATAATGTTAAGCAGACAGTAAGCACTGTGCAAAGGTTTGTTAAATAAATATTGGTTCATCTCCAGCCTAATTATGTCCTGTCCCTGGCCCCTATAAGCATTTGGGCTCATACTTTTGGTTTAATTTTATCTGTAATAAAGCTTTCCTCTTGGTCTTTCATGTAAGCAATGTGTGTGGCCCCTCCATACATGGTATAAAATAAGGGATTCCAAAGAGTTCTATTTTCATATAAATATACCAATGACTGACTCATTACAATCATAAAAATCTTCTGAGCTAATTAAACTCTGGAGATACTAAGGGCACAATACAGAGTCCCTGTCCATAAAGGGATTATTGCCCAGTAAGAGACTGGAATTGTACATGATGAGTAAGTACAGTAGAAGATTACATATGCACATGATAAAAGCTAGGTGACCAAAGTCTGTTGGAGAAAGCCATGATCACAGAGGGATGGAGTGGACTAGGTAGGATCTATAGAGGGTATGGGACTTGAGCTAGTTCTTGAGGGAAGAGTGAGACTTAGATCTGCCTAGGGATTAGATGATGAAAACATTCTGACAAGAGCCATGTGAGCAAATTACAGGGGCAGAATATATCTGAAAGCTTGAGCAATTACGCACAGATTTAATTTGAGTAGAAAGTTGGTTGTGGCAGAAATTATACGAGATGAGGCTGAGCCCATGGATGAAGGCTGCATTATGGAGAGTACTAAATGCCAGATGAAGAGCTGTACATTTTATCTTGAAAGCAGTAGAAAGTCGATGAAGATTTCAGAACTGGGAGAGGTAAGTGGAGAGACAGTAAATGATTTTTGCAAAGAAATATTTAATAAATGAAGATTAATCTGTTCAGTGTAGAGGATGGAAAGGGCCAATGGATAGTAAGGCAATTAAAACACCAGAGAAGAAACATGAAAATTAGCTGGGAGACTATTGCAATACAGTCTGAGATTAAGTTGATCCAAGTCTGAATCAGGGTGGGACCATGAACCTGGAAAGGAAAGGAGGTAAGCCAATTTTTTGCCCAATTACATTGTATACATCTAGCAAAATAAGTTAGCTTATCAAGAATTCTTATCCTCCACAGCTTTATGTGTATTTATCCATACTGAAACACACCAAAACATTCTGTTACCATATCTATTTCTTCTTAATCTAAAAGCTCCTCCAGGTTATGAGAGTTGTCTGATTTCTTTTGTCTCTCTAGAACCTAGCAAAATGCCTGACACATATTAACATTTTTAAAAGTGTAAAACTAGACCAAAAACCAATAAATCTAGGTAACTTTTGATAAATGGAGAAAGAACAGCTGTTGAGCCTACTCTGTATTTGGAATATTAAGAGAATATGACAAAATAAGAAGTTCTGAAAAAGGAGCAGATTCAGGGGGAAAGGAAAAAAAATTCCAGGAGTGAGAGATTTGAATCTTAATCAATCTCTCTCTCTCTGTCTTCCCCTCCCCCTCTCTCTTCCCCTCCCACCCATCTTCCCCTCCCCCTCTCTCTTCCCCTCCCTCTCTCTCTTCCTCTTCCTCTCTGTGATGGATAATACTGAATGTCAACTTGATTGGATTAAAGGATGCAAAGTATTGATCCTGGGTGTGTCTGTGTGGGTGTTGCCAAAGGAGATTAACATTTGAGTCAGTGGGCTGGGGAAGGCAGACCCACCCTTAATCTGGTGGGCACAATCTAATCAGCTGCCAGCGAATATAAAGCAGGCAGAAAAACGTGAAGAGGTGAGACTGGCCTAGTGTCCTAACCTACATCTTTCTCCCGTGCTGGATGCTTCCTGCCCTCAAACATCGGACTCCAAGTTCTTCAGTTTTGAGACTCGGACTGGCTCTCCTTGCTCCTCAAGCTTCGGACAGGCTATTGTGGGACCTTGTTATCGTGTATTAATATATATATACATATATATGTGTATATATATATGTGCATACACACATACACACACACACACGTATATCCTATTAGTTCTGTCCCTCTAGGGAACCCTGACTAATACACTCTCCATCCATCCTTTAACAGGTAAAATCATTATTTTGGAGGGATAACAAAGTTACATATTTTAATAACTTGAACATTTATTATAACTATAAAAAATAGAGCTTCATGGGGCACCGAGACACAAGAGCAATCAGTTTGAGCTTAGAGTATAAAAGGATATAGAGCATCTGGGCAAGGTGGTGTATGAAATGTTGGGGAGTTAGGAAGCCTGAGATGGATTGCTTAAAGAGGGGCATCTAAAAGAGTAACGCATTCATTGGCCAACATAACAATCAGATTAACGTCACGTTAGCATAATCTTTGGGTTTGACCTTCCACTGTCCCTGAAAAGATGAAGTCACATAATATTAATAGAAATGTAGAAGGGAAAATTTCAAATATAGTCATGTTAACTTTGAGTAAACCAGCCTGCTATGGTCCACAGTTGTATTTCTACCTTCATAAGCCCAGGGACACTGCTTATCTTAGGGACTATCTTTTAAACAGTTAAAAAATGCAGAAAACTATCTCTTATCTCTTAGAGATAGATGGATTTCAGTGTTAAAGGAGCTTATAAAATTTGACGATTTCCCAGAGGCAAGGCATGACCTTTATACTGAACTGCTCAAGAGGTATCTGCTCCCTTTCATCCTGAGAGATAACCATGAAATAGTTTGGCTGCAGCCTAATTCTCTGGCAGTAATACAACATATCAATATGGCTCAAATGAGTCATCACCATTAGTGAGGCATGGGCCTTGCACTGGATAGAGCATAGATTAATTCAAGAAACACTTATTGAGAATCAAACAGAAGTACTTGTAGTGGCAATGTTGAATCTGCCCTGATTTAGCCACATATAGCCCAAAGCAACCCAGTTGTGATATTAATGGTCAAGGTTTAGGTATATACTATGGCCAGAAAGTGAAGCAAATAAACTTAACAAAAACTAATAAGGCAGAATAAAGAACTAGAAATTTCATGGGCTTTAGAATAACACCTGGATTTGAGTCCTGGCTTTGACACTCACTAGCTCTGTGAACTTGGAAAAGTTTATTAATTTCTCTGAGCTCCACAACTGCATCTTCATAATGAGGATTATAATAATTTCTACCTCATATACTTGTTATTAGGATTAAATGGTAAACCCTTGATAATCTTATTATATACTTATAAGAATGGTACTTATGAACATCAGGCAAGCAGTTTTGGCCTCATGGACGCCAAGTGCCTTAACCATAAGTGTAAAGCATTGTATCATTACAGATAGATTGGTATGGTAGATAGAATAATGGCCCATTAAAGATGTCCATGTCCTAATCCATATAAATATGTTACCCTACATGGCAAAAGGGATTTTTTTCATATGTGATTAACTTAAAGGTTTTGAGATGGGTAGATTATCCTGCATTATTCAGTTGGGCCCCAAGTGATTACAAGGGTCCTTAGAAAAGGAAGTCAAGGAGGTCAAAAACAGAAAAAGGAGATGTGACTACAAAAACAGAGGTTGAAGTAATGTGCTTTGCAAATGGAGGAAGGGACCATTAGCCAAGGTATGCAGGTGACCTCTAGAAGCATGAAAAGGCAAGGAAGCAGATTCTCTCCCAGACTTTTCAAAAGTAACATAGCATTATGGATGCCTTGAACTCAGACTTCTTTCCTTCAGAACTGTAAGATAATACATTAGCGTTGTTTTAAGCCAATAAGTTTGTGGCAATTTGTTAAGTAGCAATAGAAAACTAATAAATTTCGATTTGGTTAAAAGAATTCTGGCTAGCCATATGTAGAAAGCTGAAACTGGATCCCTTCCTTACACCTTATACAAAACTTAATTCAAGATGGATTAAAGACTTACATGTTAGACCTAAAACCATAAAAACCCTAGAAGAAAACCTAGGCAATACCATTCAGGACATAGGCATGGGCAAGGACTTCATGTCTAAAACACCAAAAGCAATGGCAACAAAAGCCAAAATTGACAAATGGGATCTAATTCAACTAAAGAGCTTCTGCATAGCAAAAGAAACTACCATCAGAGTGAACAGGCAACCTACAAAATGGGAGAAAATTTTTGCAATCTACTCATCTGACAAAGGGCTGATATCCAGAATCTACAATGAACTCAAACAAATTTACAAGAAAAAAACAATCCCATCAACAAGTGGGCGAAGGATATGAACAGACATTTCTCGAAAGAAGACATTTATACAGCAACAGACACATGAAAAGACGCTCATCATCACTGGCCATCAGAGAAATGCAAATCAAAACCACAATGAGATACCATCTCACACCAGTTAGAATGGTGATCATTAAAAAGTCAGGAAACAACAGGTGCTGGAGAGGATGTGGAGAAATAGGAACACTTTTACACTGTTAGTGGGACTGTAAACTAGTTCAACCATTGTGGAAGACAATGTGGCAATTCCTCAAGGATCTAGAAGTAGAAATACCATTTGACCCAGCCATCCCATTACTGGGTATATACCCAAAGGACTATAAATCATGCTGCTATAAAGGCACATGCACACGTATGTTTATTGTGGCACTATTCACAATAGTAAAGACTTGGAACCAACCCAAATGTCCAACAATGATAGACTGGATTAAGAAAATGTGGCACATACACACCACAGAATACTATGCAGCCAGAAAAAAGGATGAGTTCATGTCCTTTGTAGGGACATGGATAAAGCTGGAAACTATCCTTCTCAGCAAACTATTGCAAGAACAAAAAACCAAACACTGCATGTTCTCACTCACAGGTAGGAATTGAACAATGAGAACACTTGGACACAGGAAGGGGAACATCACACACTGGGGCTTGTCATGGGGTGGGGGGAGGGGGAGGGATAGCACCAGGAGATATACCTAATGTAAATGACGAGTTAATGGGTGCAGCACACCAACATGGCACATGTATACATATGTAACAAACCTGCACGTTGTGCACACGTACCCTAGAACTTAAAGTATAATTTAAAAAGAAAATTAAATTTAAAAGAAAAGAATGAATAGGGAATCAAAAAAAAAAAAAAAGAATTCAGCAAGCTGCCAATCTTTCAAAAAATCAGCTTTAGGACTGGTATCATCAAATATCTTCATACCCTGGCACCACAGCAATCATTACCTATAAACTATCAAAAATCCACCTGAATTCCTCTCCCAAATCATGGTGTCACTCCGGAACACAAGCCCTTGATTATTATTGTTGGTAACATTTCTTGGAACATAATCCTAGAATGGATACTATGAATGTAAAGGAAAATTTATATTGGTATTTGTGACCTTCCTCACGGATGATTTTCACTCTGGGGCTACAAGAGACAGCAAGAAATATGTTCATCATTCCCTTTACCCTTTAAGGAAAAATAAACTGCTTCACCCACCTGGGCCTAAAAGGTGGTTCCAATTGAGTGATTGACTGGCACTGTTCTTATGAGCAATAAAAGCCTCCTAGTTCCTGCTCAACAGCATCCAGTTGCATTTGATGCTGAGGGGACATGGGCACCACTCCAACTTTGCAAGTGTGCCGTTTGTACTGCTTTGGTGTGAGGCAGAAAAATAGGAAATCTGAGCTACCATAGAAATATGCTTGGGTAAGTTGCTTGCCATTGTCCCAGGTTCTGTGCATAATTTCAGGAGAAAATGAGACAAATTTGAATGTTCACTTTCACTAGATTAGGAACGTGCTACTTTCAATTTTACAAAACCATTGAAGCATTTTCTCAATACTGAACCAACGCTGACTTATTTTTGAAAAAGACTACCTTACCATGTAATACATTTTAGCTATGCAATGGAGGGTCGGGAATTCCATTTCTCCTTTTGTTATTTTGCATTTTTAAAAATGTAGCATCCAATGTAAAAATCACAATGGACACAGTATTTATATTCTCCTGTCAATGTCAGTATATTCAACTTTTTTAAAAAAGGAAGCAAGCTTCTCTCTGTTGAAAATAAAGCCTTAACCATTAAGTTATCGGGGGAAACTATCAGACGCACATAGAAGACAAAATTTTGTTTATTCCTTACATATTGTTCACAGTAGTTCCAGATGTCTAATAGGCAGAAACATAAAACTTTTACCCATCGCACAAGATCCCTGTACTAACGCCACCATTTTAGGCAAATTACCAACATTAGACATCAAGCTCCTATGCCATAGTTCAGTATAATGGCAGTTGTGCATACATTTATACATTCATCCCTCCATCCATTCAAAAAATATTTGTTGAGCACCTACATTTTACCAGGTGTATGGTGATGGGAATATCGAAGAGAACAAGATGGGTCTTTGCTCTCCTGGAGCTTTAAAGTCTAAAAAATGGTACATAGTAGACATGTGTTACATGTTTGATAAATTTATTTACTGATACGTTTAGTTTCATACATAATTCAAAATTTAACTCTGAGTGTGCCTGTTTTTGTAATCATTTGGTATTTAGAACTAAAGAGGGGAGAAGACACCATGGGGGAGATGAATCACCTATACCTAATTTCTCACACTTGTGCCACTGACAGTTTTATTATATTAATCATTCTATCATGTTACCACTGATGGTAAGAATGATAACCTTAAGATCTTCAGTGATGGTCGCTATATTCTTATTAGGGCAGGAAAGTGGACTCAGACACCTTTAATAAGAGTTGGGAAGGACTTCTATGTAGCCTTAAAGAAATCCAGTTATTTCAGTGTCAGTAAAGAGTAGTGGTTTCCAAAGAACTCGGGATATAAAATCAGATAACCTGGATTTGGATCTCAGCTCTTTCACGTGGATTTGGGTACCCATCTAATATTTAATATTTAATATGGGAATAATAATATTGGCCTGGAAGGGTTTTGAGGATTAAATGAGACAATGCAGGTGAATTGCTTGCCATTCAACACAAAGCTCTCAGTAAAAGTAGTAATAGTAATAGTTGTTGTTGTCATTGTTTGTTGTTACTACATTGATTTCTTACAGCTTCAGTTAACTAATAATTTACTAAGGCTATACTTTCAGGGATCATTTTTATAGCTTATTACTAGAGGAGTTAATGTGAATGTGTAGAGCACCAGAAACCTTGAGGAGGAGGTGCAGCGTTCTCTCCTGAGCATAAAGCTGGCCCGCAGTATTGTGTTGCCTCACTGCAACTGCCATTTGCCATTGATGATGATTGTTCTCTTTCACTGAGAGAGTAAGAGGACAGGATGCATTCTAACTGGCTCCTGTTTATGTTATTAAAAGTAAAAAATAAAAATAAAAATAAAAAATAAAAGAAAAAGAAAGGAATTTAGTGCATCCTGGCCACCCAAACCCCATAGGCTTTCAAATGTAATTGCAGGAGAAAATGTGACTTTGCTTCTCTTCTTGATCCATACATCCCCTCTGTCTAGTTCTAAGCTGCACCAAAGTCTCTCTCTCCTCTCTCTCTCTCTCTCTCTCTCTCTCTCTCTCTCTCTCTCTCACACACACACACACACACACACACACACACACACACAGAGGAATTAAGCCAGAGATGGTATGTCAGTTGTGATGGATTGATAGTTCCTGCCTGGGATAATTTGATGAGAGGAATCCTGAGGATTCCATTGGAAATCAAAATATAAAAGTAGCATGATTGATTATTAATGTCAGTTGAGGATTTGGATAAGTAAGTGATAGCATACATACTGTACTGTCAAGAAAGGATAGGTCATTAACACTTCAGTATAATTTTTTTTTTATTTTTGTAATACACACATGCCTTTTAAATATTAATGCTTATTATGGAATAAATTCTTGGCTCCCTATTAAATAAATTTCTGGCATTAGGAAGCAAGTAAGAAAGATTTTGTTGTGAGGGCTGCATTGCCTTTCTGAAATTATATGACATAATGATCTGTTCTCTTGCATAACTTGGGCCTTAATTTAGTGATTCCACAATTTTATTTGCTATAAATAAAAAAGTAAGAAAACATACTTCCCTTAACAAAAGTTCCATGATGATCTCTCAAAGAGGTAACATTGTATATTCATACAATTGATTGCTAATCAGCAATTTAAAATGAAAGAATTGGCTGGGCGCAGTGGCTCATACCTGTTATCCCAGCACTTTGGGAGGCCAAGGTGGGCGGATCACAAGGTCAGGTGATCGAGACTATCCTGGCCAACATGGTGAAACCCCGTGTCTACTAAAAAAAAAAAAAAAAAAAAAAAAAAAGACAAAAATTATCTGGGCATGGTGGCGCGTGCCTGTAATCCCAGCTACTCTGGGGGCTGAGGCAGGAGAATTGCTTGAACCAGGGAGTCCAAGGTTGCAGTGAGCCTAGATGTGCCACTGCACTCCAGCCTGGTGACAGAGCGAGACTGTCTCAAAAAAAAAAAAATTACTGATATTTAGGTTGGTGCAAAAGTAAGTAATTGCAGTTTTTGCCAAAGTAATGGCAAAAACCACAATAATCAGCTTTGCACCAACTTAATACATGTAACGATGTGAATAAATTTCAGATATTTTGCTGAGAAAAAAGGCCAGACACAAAAAGGGACATATTATATGATTCTATTTATGTATATGAACTTCTAAAACATGCAGAACTGCTCTATGCAGCAGTTCTCAGACTCAGTTGTGCAACAGGATCACCTGGAGAGCTTGTTAAAACACAATTTTCCGGGCCCTGCTCCCAGTTTCCAACTCAGTTGGTCTGGGGTGGGGGCTGAGAATTTTTTTAATATGTCTGTCTTTTCTTTCTAGTTTTACATTATTTAACACCATTTAACATCTCGTAGTCCAAGTTCCCTTTATTATTTTTCTAAGTTTTCTTGGTTATTATTGGGCTAGATGATATCTTTATATATATATATATATATATATACTTTAAGTTCTAGGGTACATGTGCACAATGTGCAGGTTTGTTACATAGGTATACATGTGCCATGTTGGTTTGCTGCACCCATTAACTCGTCATTTACATTAGGTATTTCTCCTAATGCTATCCCTCCCCCAACCCCCCACCCCACGATAGGCCCCCGTGTGTGATGTTCCCTGCCCTGTGTCCAAGTGTTCACAACAAACTGTCTCTCAGACCACAGTGCAATCAATTAGAATTCAGGATTAAGAAACTCACTCAAAACCACACAACTACATGGAAACTGAACAACCTGCTCCTGAATCACTACTGGGTAAATAACAAAGAGAATTTGTGTTTCTAATAAGTTTCCAGATAATGCTGATGCTATTGGTTCGGAGTCTACAATTTGAGAGCCACTGATAGATGGTGATATAAGTCAGAACAGTGATTATCTGTTTGTTTGTGTGTGTGTGTGTGTGTGTGTGTGTGTGTGTGTGTTTGTGTGTGTGGAGGGCAGGCAGTATTGATGGGGAAGGAGTGCGAAGGAACTTGCTGGGATGTTGTAAATTTTCTATATTTTGACCTGGGTGGTAATCATGTAGCCACATATATAAGTAAAATGTTATACAGCTATACCCTTCAGATTTGTGCCTTTTACTTCATGTAAACCGTACCTTTAATTAGAGGAAAGAACTGAACTTTGGAATCAAACAAATTAAGTTTAAATTCCCATTTCTGCTACTTATCAATTCTGTGGTGTTTGGTAAGTTACTTCACTTACATAAGCCCTGCTATTTTCATGTATAAAACAAGTTTATAATAGAACTACATCATAAGGTGATGGTGAGAATTCAGTAAGATCATCCTTATATCATCCTTATACCATACTTGGCACAGAGTAAATACTTTGTAAGTATTTGCTATTATTTTAAGATGCAATTCTAATTTATAGGGATCAAGTAATTTTTCTCTCCTCCCCAACCTCACGCTCCTATTTCTCCTCTCCATTTGCACTGACATTCTTCATCTTAGAAAAACCCTCATTCCTCATTTTTTAATACCACCTTGACTAGTAGAGCTTCTACTGAAACAGAGCTATTTCTTTTTCCATAATAATGCCAGCAGGCCCTGGCCTGGTACCACCTGCCTTCCTGATCAGCAAATAAGCAGCTCTATCAATCAAGACAGCTGTTTCTTGCTGCTCATCATGGGTACGTAATGTTTCCTGAATGTTACTGAGAGTCTCTGGACTAGGTAAACTACCCATGAAATACAACTCAACTTAGGTAAATAAGTTATAAATATGACTCAATGAAGACACCTCTCTGAGGAAATAATCCTGGCAATGGTTGGCTCCAAGGACACAAACCGAAGGTAAATATGTCCAGGTCACAGATTCAAGCTCTTTATCCCTGATTGCAGTTCTGCTGCAACTTACGGCCTCCATATTTTTTTGCTTTTAGGCTCTTTGAATACAGCTACTTCTCAAAATCTACTCTACTGGGGGCATTTTCCTAATTATCTTATTACTGCCCCCTCTTATTTCATGATATCGGGTAAGGCAGCATTTAGTTTGATTTAAGGCATGCTGTCTGAGCCCTTTCTCTGGGCCAAGCACTGTGCCACCTGATGCAGATACAAAACCAAAGTATACCTGTTCCCTATCCTTGAGCATTCTGTGAATGGGGGTAAGAAAGCCATGTAAGTAGATGATGACAGATAAAGCAAGGTGTATCAAGATAATCCTGAAGAGGAGTATCTAGATCTATATTGGAAGGCAAGGCCTATGGGAGGGGTGCTAAGAAATGTTTCTTGGAAGAATTCACCTTTAAAAATTTTTAGAACAAGAAGTAGGCTAAAGGCAAGAGCTCCTTTCAGCATAAAGGAAGAAGAGACAGGATGTTGTCTGGGTGTTTGGATGGGGAAATAAAATTTAAGGATGAGATTTTATGTGTAGGCAGGTATGAAATATCCCAGAGATGATCAAGGAATGATGGGCTTGGTTGGGCCTAAAATAAGCATGGATAACCATTTTGCCAAGGGTCAGAGCTTATCCGAAGTATAGTTGTATCAAGAAACTTTTCTGCCATACCTTTTGGTGTGCATATACCCTGCATGAATAAACCCCCAAATTAACCTTTCTGGGCCTGAGGATAAAGGCCCCGAGAGCATAGATGCTACTATTGAACTGGAAAGGACTTTGAACACATCCCCATGACACATAGCTCAGAAAGCTACAGACACCTAATGAGTCCTGGTCTGCTCTTCCCCACCTCTCCACCCAACTTACGAAAAAAACCATTTATAAATTGGGAGGTTAAAGAGCCAAGAATAGGTGCAATAAAATATGTTGCTTTTGAAGATTGATTTTGTGCTTATTAGTGGGGAAAAGCAGCCTCACTTTTATTGCAAAGCCCTGCAATTGATTAGACAGAGTGAAGACTCAACATTTTTTTCCAGTGTTTATATTAAAATGAATAAGGCATTTTGTTTTTCACAAGATTATTATGCAATGGCACAGCACATTTTTTCCATCCCCCTGTTTTATAAAGTGTTTCCTGTAGGCGGACCTGTTATGTAACTGTAACCCTGGCCCTTTATAATCGATCATGTCTCAGAGGTACTAACTCAATGTCCTCCAAGAAAGCACGTGAAATGCCATCTCTAAAAACTTGGGCCAGTACTCAGGATTCTATTAGGAGTCCCATTATTTATTCTCTGGCCATGATAATGATACCTTTGAAAAGTGGTAGCTGGGAAGAACAAACATTTTCCCCTTTCCCTTCATGTTTAGAGATAAAAGGTCTCACCCAAATTTCACCCATATGTTATATGGAGGGTAGATGATAACCTACAGTGAAAAGCACAAACAAAAACATCAAGAACTGAAATTGTTGTATACGTACGTGTGTGTGTGTGTGCATGCGTGTGTGTGTATTTAGAGAGAGAAAGAAGGAGAAAGTAAATCCTATATGAAAGCCCCCTGAATCCTTTATCTACATCACAAGGCAAAATAAATCCTTTACTCAAAAGATACGTTTTGCTTCAAAGGAAAGTAATATTCTGCCATATATGTTACCAAAATAGCAATGTGATCTTGAACAAGTTAATTCAGTTTTCTGAGCTTCAGTTTCCTCAAACTTTTGAGATACTCTCAAAAGAGTAAATAGAGAGTATCAAAGGACTTCCGGTTGTGATGTTTTGTGTAACCTTAGATTGGAATTCCTCCATATTAATGAGAGATGAGGCTGAGGCAGAAAATGCTACAATGGCTCTCCTGGCCTAGTCTGCAGATTTCACTGCAGTACAGGCTAATAGACCTACTTCAGTTACCATGGTTGGGTTCAGGGCTGCTGCACTGCCTAAGCTCTACTATGAGAAGTAACATATATGCAGGGCTCCGGGTAGGTTTATAGGCTTTGTTTTATTCTTTAGCCACAAGCCGTTACGGTACCCTTGTCAACTTTTCCACTAAGCATATTCTTGGCTGCAGGAAGAACCAGGTGAAAAGGAGGGCTCTAGGTTCAACTCCAAGTATGGATCATGATTCCCTGAGCCTACAATGAACATCTCCTAAATGCTTCCTGTAGCATTCAATCTCTTTAGCACTCTATAGTACATACCTTTGTATTGCTTTTTTTTTTTTTTTTTTTTTTTTGAGACAGAATCTCGCTCTGTCACCCAGGCTGGAGTGCAGATTGCGCAGTGGCGCAATCTCAGCTCACTGCAACCTCTGCCTCCCAGGTTCAAGAGATTCTCCTGCCTAAGCTTCCCGAGTAGCTGGGACTACAGGCGCCTGCCACCACACCCAGCTAATTTTTGTATTTTTAGTAGAGACGGGGTTTCACCATATTGGCCAGGATGATCTCAATCTCTTGACCTCATGATCCGCCCACCTCAGCCTCCCAAAGGGCTGGGATTACAGGCGTGAGCCACTGTGCCCAGCCTGTATTGCATTTTTCATGTGTATTTCTGTGTGTGTGTGTGTGTGTGTGTGTGTGTGTGTGTGTGTGTGAGAGTGAGAGAGAGAGAGAGAGAGAGAGAGAGAGAGAGCGCGCGAGAGAGCATGCATCTGCCCAAGCAGTCTCTCAACTTCTTAGAATATAGACTGGTGTAGTCTACCACTTTCATCTGAGTGACAATATGAAATACTTCTTAAGCATACTGACTCTGAAGCCATGCCCTCTGGCTTCAAATACCAGCTCCACCAGTTACAAGATGTATGGGATTTAATGTGATATTGAACTTCTCTGAGATTTGTTTTCTGATCCACAAAGTGTGAGTGAAAATAGTTTCTAACTCATAAGGATCTTGTGAGGATTATATAGGTATAATGTGAAGATAAATATACATGAAGATTTATTAGTAAATAACTTAAAATATTGCCTGGTACATAAGTATTTAATGAATGTTAGCTACTATTACTATCTTAATATCTGAAAATTGAGAAAATTCAAAGCACATGTGGGCTAGAAATGATTAAGCCAATCTATTACTTACATTTGTTTTATTATTTTATGATTTACTTAAAAGCTTGCAATAGTAAAACATTTTCATCTAAATAATTGCAAATAATGCAGACATCTAGAAATTGAATAGGTAATGTGACCCTTCAAAACTCCCCCCACTACCAACACTCATATCCTTCCAGATTTTTTTTTAATGCAAATGTAAGTATATACCATTTGGGTATTAAAATTGATATCATGTACTCTGCTGTAACTTGATTTTATATCTCAACAATGAATCACAGGAATACTTCCATGTCTCTGCACCTAATACACTTCATTTTTAAATGGCTGCATAATATTTTATTACATGAATGTGCTTTAATGCTTAACCATTCTACAGTCTATTACAACTAACTATGCAATAATCAGCTTTTGTATGTCTCCAAATGCACATAAGGGTATGTTTCTGGCACATATACACAGAAGTGGAAGTGCTGAGCTGATGCAAAGGTCTGTTTTAATATTTTATAGAAGCTGTCAAACTATCTTCCAAAGAGTTGTGCCTATTTATGTTCCTAAAAGCAGTGTATATAAGTGCATTTTCTCCACATCTTCTCCAACATTTATAAGTACTTATTTTTTCTCCGTTTGAATAGCTAAAATGGTATTGTGGTATTGTAGTCTTGGCTGGGAATGGGAACTTTTCCCCAACTGCTAGTGACAATTCACATTGAAAATCTCACCCAACTAAGCAGCCACTTTCTTGGTGCACAAGAATGGTTCTGTAGGAGCATACTGAAGGGACTTTTGCCATATTTGATAGTGATTAGAGCGCCAGTACCAACTGCATTTGATGCTGCCATCATGTTTTGGTGTCCATCCTATTCTTCCAGGCACTGCAGAAAGTTGCTATCTGAGACACTGTGCACAAGCCATTTGTAGAGACTGTATCATCTGTGCTTACAGAATTGCATCATGTTTTTGGTGCTGTTATATCTTCATTAGGATCAATATTTCATAAGTTGTGGCTCCTGTCCCTCTAGAACTTGTACCCCAATGTAGCCTCTTCCATCGAGGAGAAGGAATGGAACTAGGATTTTCCAAAATCTATGTTCCAGGAACTGTATTATGCACTTTACATATGTTATCATACTAAAGCTTCACAATAACTCTGAAGCAGAGTTATATACTGTTATCATCATTATGTTATAGATGAGAGAACTGAAACTGAGAAATTAAGCAACTTGCCCAAGACCACACAGGTAGTAAGTGGAAGAGCCCAGACTGCAAAGTAGGGTTGTCGCTTTCCAAAGCCCGTGCTCTTTCTGTTGCACCATATTTTCTCAATTTTCTGGAAGCATTCATATTTTTCCATTACCAGAGTTCTTATTGAAGAACACCTTGATGAAATCTTTTGTAAAATGAATTCATTAACCAATTAATTCCCACTGTGAGCAAAGTGTTGTTTTGTGTTTCTGAAGTTAGAAAAACATTCTGAAAGCAAGCACTTTCTTTTTTCACTACAAAGTCTTAGATTTATTTAGAGAACTTTCTATGGACTTTGTTTAGACTGCTGAGCATTCGACTATGGCTCCTTGTATCACCATTCAGAATTCAAGTAGCAGTGTATTTGGGGTGAGAGGGAATAATCAATGCTAAAAAAGCAACACCAACTGGCTTTTCAGAAATTCTGTCCCCATCAAGATAGATGTGCTCTGAGTCAGGCTGTCAATTAAAGAGAGGTAAAGCCAGTTTTTGACCCTCTTGCCTGCCTCTGCCTCTCCCCAAAAGTTAGAGGTACTATCTCCCTCAGTTACCCAAAACCCAAGCATTAACTTTACCTTCCATCTCTGCCATCCCATCATCCCCTAAATAGGGCCCCTCACTCTTCTAGCCCATGTTTCAGATTTAAGCTCAGAGTAAAATTAAGTAAACCGGGGCTTCCTCAGATTCCACCTTAGTAGATAACTACAGCTGAGGAACCAATGACGTCTAAAACCTTTCTCAAAGGGCACTGGCACTTTAACAATAAACTTCTAAAAATACCATGCCCTAGAAATTTGTCTAACCTACCTTAGTTTCCCACATTGTAATTAAGCACGGATACAAAAACAAAGAGACACAGATTGGAGAAAGTACAAATTTATCTCATCTCCTCCTGTACACGATGCACACGTATCCATAGAGGGCTGCTCTGTTCCACCCACACTCAACACCTAGAACAGCCTTTTTATCCTGACAGACAAATTAATAGTAATTTGTCATTTGTATGACAAATTGCTATTAATATATTTCTAACACAAAAGTATCCAATTTCCCCAGTATTGTACCTTGGGTGTCATTAAGGTCTTTCAATGGTCATATTTCAAAGCTGAATCTTACACTCTTGACCTATCAAGACTGTGTCATTGAACCTGGACCATCCCATTTCATGGAACTTTGGAAAGAAAAAAAGTACATTAGTAACTATGCAGGCACATTGGCCCACATTATTTGTTTCTATGGAAAATTACATATCTTTTTCAAACTATGTATGAATCCACTTTTAAAGTCTAACAGAGATAGAAATGCTAAAAGTTGACTTGGCTGAATATTGTAGCAATTCACAAATAACACGACCTAGGTAGTTATCTACCACACCCAAGGATGAGGTCAGCCCTCATTGAATTAACCTGACTTGAAGGTGGTAGTATAGGGTAGTGGCTAAGAATGTAGTCTCCGAAGCCAGTCACACTTAGATTTGAATCATGGCTCTGCCAGTTACTATCTATGTGATCTCAAGTAGGTCATGTAGCTCAGTTTTCTCACTTATAAAATGGGAACAATAATAGTGTTTACCTCATAGGGTTACTTGTGAAGATTAAATTAAACAAGTAAAAAATATATTTAAAATGCCTGAAATGGAGTAAGCTCTCAATAATCACTGGCTACTGATA
The DNA here is from genome assembly GCF_000001405.40 of Homo sapiens. NCBI lineage: Eukaryota > Metazoa > Chordata > Mammalia > Primates > Hominidae > Homo > Homo sapiens. The sequence continues at coordinate 122,849,640 of NC_000023.11, forward strand.
ACAACAACTTAAATTATAAACATGCATATTTTCTTACATACTACAAGTTATGGGCTGGGGATCCAAAGTTCTATAAGCCACAGACCTAATCTGGAGCAGTTAATCATCTATCTACCTCCACCTCAGATGGCTAAAACCATCTGAAACTTGCTGCTGAGAAGACCTGCTAAATATAAGTCCCCATCTATGGAAGCTTTTGTTGTGTTTTACCAACGCTACCCACAATAACAAACTGGCTTTCTGCCTTCAGATTATAAATGGTACAGCCTAGCAAGCCAGACTGGAGAAAAAAGTCTCTTGCTAAGAATCACCTCTAATGGAGCTGTTACTCCCTTTGACCTTTACCTAGTATTTGCTAAAGAGAATCCCCAGAAAGCAAAAAGGTGTTCAAAAGCCTCTCTAGTTTTCTAAGATAAGGAAGCTGCCACCATCCTCAGGCTGAGAGTTATGCGGCTGCTGTTTTGAGAGCCCCCAACTAAACTGGGGTCCCAGTAGCAAAGGAGCTGGCCACTCTGCCCTAGTGGAAAATGAAAGGGAGTTGGACATGGGTGTTTACAGTGTGCCTTTCATGGTATACTTCTTTTACTTGGTAGACAGCCTACTACCTACTTGTTCCACCTGTGACTAGGAGGTACCTCACATGCAAAACTTCATGCTGGCAGATTCCCTCCTGGGTCTTGTCTGACCTGTTTTTAGTTTACGCCTGCCTGACCAGTGTTCCTCTAGTTTTTGAAAACCAACTTTGTGTCCCAGAGAAAACCCAGCCTGGGGTAGCCTCTAGTTCTTCAAACGGAAGGTGCACATTCAATCCACCACCACAGCAGGAAATAAGTTACTTGCCTGGGCAGTGAAGCCATAATGAGTCAGAAGAGCAGTACTGTCTCCCCAAATCACACAAGGCAAGAAGAAAGAGTCAGGCAGAGGGAGAGAAGATAAGGGAATAGGGTGCGGGTCGCTTTAAATTCATGGGCAAATGCCTTAATAGTGTGTTTAAAGGAAGCAGTGGGAAAGTCAGGAGCCCAGTTTGCTAGACAGGAGAAATATATCTAAGTTCTTATCTCTGGCCACCTACTGGAGCAATTTGAGTGTGGTGTAGAACTGGAAACTGTGGCAAGGGTGACTAAGCCCTGCTTCTTATAGCAGAGAGTTAAACCTGCATTCAAAATGGATGCCAAGGCAATATTAAATTATAAGAATTCACTACAGCTGCCTAGTGGTCATTAACTGTTTTTCCCCAGTTTACATGAGAACCACTCTTGTGACAGGAGTAGTCACCTATGGACACTTACCACTTTCTCTCAGAAATAAAACTGCAATACATCAGAGTTGAAAAGATCTTTACAGGCTGAGCATGAGGTTATTGAACTAGAGCCTACTTGAGAAATTAGGGAACAGAAGCCCAAAGATGAAAGGTGACTTTGCCCAGTGAATACCTGGCAAAATTCGGCCTAGAACTCTATCTCCTGGTTCACAGTCTAGTCCTTGAGGAGTTTAGCTCCAGACCAAAATTCTGTGTTGCTCTTTCATGCCTGACCATAGGCAATTGCAAAACTTTGCTTGCAAGCCTCATGGAGAGAGGCTGCCCTCCCCACAGCCAGTGCTTTGCAATTTTCTGTGGGGAGTAACAGTCAAGGCTCAGGCTGACCCCTTCAAGCCTGCCATGCTCACATATATCTGCATGCCCAGCTAAAGCATCTCTATTTGGAGACCTCCTTATTGGGGGTTTCAATTGAGGCACTTACAGGCATCTCTGCCTAGGTCTTCTTATTAGGGGTCTTGGCTGAAACACTTTTCTCTGCTTTGACTGAGTTCCTTTGCACTCCTAGCCCTTCCCGCTCTCCTTATCTCCAGCTCACAGGTCTATAAACAGGAAGGAACCATTAGTTTGTTTTGCAGGGAGAACTACCCTCATCTGTACTGCATCCATCTGACCTTTGCCGGGAGCCATTCCCAGGGAGAAATGGAACACTAGGGAGTTGGCATCATTTTTGCCTCTTGCTTGCACTTTTACAGTAAGTAAATAAAAACTTGATTGTTATTTTCACTGTGGCTTATTGTTTTAATTGACCACCTGGAAAGGTGGCGGCTTGAGTCCACTTTCTAATCTACTATTCTGATCTCCTGCCTCAGGATACCAGGAGTGGAACATAAGGATCAGCAAGATGGTAAAAGGCTCCACTGATTGTCCCCCATGCAAGGACACCAAATTAAGAACTATCTACACCGAAAAAGCACTTCATAGGAACCAAAATTCAGGCGAGTACTCACAGTACCTGGTTTTATCTTCATATTGCTGAAAGAAGCTCTGAAGAGGTATGAAAATCAGTCTTGAATCACAGACACCACCTTTCCTTCCTTTCCCAGGTAGTGGCTACGTGATGCAGAGAGAGAATCGATACACTTGGGAAAGGGAGTATTCATTGAATTCTGCGTGGAATTCAGTGCTATGCTGTTGTAGTGGAAAGCAAAACCAGAACAAACTCAGCTGCTACCTGCCCACGGAGGGAGTATTTAAACCAACTCAAGCCAGAAAGGAATCACCTGTCCCAGTGGTCAGCACTTGAGTTCTGGCAAGCTTCACTACCGAAGGCTGGAGTGCTCTGGGCTCTAGATAATACTTGATTGGTAGAGTGCTGAACTGGGCTCAGAGTCAGTGGACTAAGCAGGGGAACACGACCTACTGAGACACCAGCTGGGGCCACTAAGGGAGTGCTGGCATCACCCCTCCACTAACCTCACGCTGCACAGTTCATGGCTCAAAAAGGGACCCCATCCTTCCACTTGAGGAGAGAGAAGACTGAGGAGGACTTTGTCTTACATCTTAGATACCACCTCAAGCACAGCAAGACAGGGCAACAGTCAGAGTGGTGAGGCCCATTTTTCAGGCCCTAGCTCCCAGATGACATTTCTAGACATACTCTGGGCCAGAAGGGCCCCGCTGCCTGTAATGAAAGGACCCAGTTTTGGCAGGATCACATGTGAACTGAAGAGCCCTTGGTCTCCAAATAACCAGCAGCAATACCCAAGCACTACAGTGAGGGTCTTGGGTGAGCCTCTGAGTGTTGCTGGCTTCAGGTGAGACTCGGCACATTCCCAGCTGTGATGGCTATGGGGTAAAACACCTTCTGCTTCATAGTTGAAGAAATATTGAATTAAGAGAAATAGTCTTCAAAATATGACTCTACATGGAAAAAAACTATTACTCTACACACACACAATTTATATACCTTGAAATATCCAAATAGGTTGGATAGTTTCCCAACCTGCTTTTATTTTATTTTATTTTTTATTTTTTTTGAGACAGAGTCTCTCTCTGTCACCCAGGCTGGAGTGCAGAATTATGTGGAGACCTTTTAAAATGCATATTATTGGGTTCCAATTATTATATTTAGAAAAACCTAAAGACTCCAACAACAACAACAAAACTATTAGAACTCATCAACAAATTCAATAAAGTTGCATGGTACAAAATCAACATACAAAAATCAGTGGTATTTTTATATGCCAACAGTAAACATCTGAAAAAGAAATCAAGAAAGTAATCCCTTTTACACTAGCAACAAATACAATACCTAGGAATTAACCAAACAAGTGAAAGACCTCTACCAGGAAAACTGTAAAACACTGATGCAAGAGATCGAAGAGGAAAAACATGGAAAGATATTTCATGCTCATGGATTGGAAGAATCAATATTGTTAAAATCTCCATACTACCCAATGCAATCTACAGAGTTAATCCGATCTTTATCAAACTACCAATGAAATTCTCCACAGAAAGAAAAAAAAAAAGTCCTAAAATTTATATGGAACCACAAAAGACCCAGAATAGCCAAAGTTATCCTAAGCAAAAAACAACAAAATTGGAGGAATCACATTACCTGATTTCAAATTACACTAAAAAGCTATAGTAACCAAAACAGCATGATTCTGGCATAAAAACAGATACATAGACCAGTGGAACAGAATAGAGAACCTAGAAACAAATCCATACATCTACTGTGAACTCATTTTCATCAAAGGCCCTAGAAAATACATTGGGGAAATAACAGTCTCTTCAATCAACGGTGCTGGGAAAACTGGATATCCATATGCAGAAGAATAAAACTAGACTGGTATCTCTCGCCATATTAAAAATCAAATAAAAATAGATTAAAGACAAATCTAAGACCTCAAAATATGAGACTACTACAAAAAAATTGGGGAAACTCTGCAAGACATTGGTCTGGGCAAAGACTTGTTGAGCAATACCCCAGAGGCAAGGAGAAAGGTGATCTTTGTACATTCTTGGTGGGAATGTAAATTAGTACAATCACTGTAGAGAACAGTTTGGAGGTTTCTGAAAAAAACTAGAAATTGAGCTACTATATGATTCAGCAATCCCATTCCTAGGCATATACCCAAAATAAATGAAATCAGTATATCAAAGGGATATCTGCACTCCCATGTTTGTTGCAGCACTGTTTACAATAGCCAAGATTTGGAAGCAACCTAAATGTTCATCAACAGGTGAATGGATTAAAAAATATGGTACATATACATAATGGAGTACTATTCAGCCATAAAAAAGAAAGAGATCCTGTCATTTGAAACAATATGAATGAAACTGAAGGTCAGTATTTTAAGTGAAATAAGCTAGGCACAGAAAGACAAATATCACATGCTCTTACGTATCTGTGGGAGCTAAAAATTAAAGCAATTAAACTCATGGAGTATAAAGTTTACCAGAGGCTGGGAGGGCTAGTAAGGGGTAACGGGTGTGGGGGAAGTGGGGTGGTTAACAGGTACAAATTAATAGTTAGAAAGAATAAAAAGACCTAGTATTTGCTAGCACAACAGGGTGACTATAGTCAAAATAATATAATTACCCATTTTAAAATTACTAAAATACAATTGGATTTTTTGAATCAAAAAGGATAAATGCTTGAGGTGATGGACACCCTATTTACTCTGATGTGATTAGTATGCATTGTATGCCTGTATCAAAATGTCTCACGTAACCCATAAATATATATGCCTACTATGTACTCACAAAATTTCTAAAAAATTTTTAAAAAGAATACTAACAGTTATTTAGAAGGAAGACTATCTTGTCACATTTAAAAGTAACTTCATGCAGTATAGAATCTCTAAATTAAATATATCCTTATGAATTTTTAATCCAAAGATTCTTTATTTTTGTGGTTTTCAAGATTTAGGTAGCATAAGAATTATGTGGAGACCTTTTAAATGGATATTACTGGGTTTTAAAGCCAGACATTTTGATTTAGTAGATTTAGAATAGGGATAATGAATCTGCATTTTAAACAAGGTTCATAGTTGAAATACTGAATTAAGAGAAATAGTCTTCAAACTACGACTCTACATGGAAAAAACCTATTACTCTGTACACACACACACACAATTTATATATCTTGAAATAGCTAAATAGGTTGGATAGGTTCCCAACCAGCTTTTATTTTACTTTATTTTATTATTATTATTTTTTGAGATAGAGTCTCTCTCTCTGTCACCCAGGCTGGAGTGCAGTGGTACGATCTCAGCTCACTGCAACCTCCACCTTCTGGATTCAAGCTATTCTCCTGCCTCCGCCTCCCGAGTAGCTGACATTACAGGTGCTTGCCAGCACACCCAGCTAATGTTTGTATTTTTAGTAGAGATGGGATTTCACCATGTTGGCCAGGCTGGTCTCGAACTCCTGAACTCAAGTGATCCGCCCACCTCAGCCACCCAAAGTGCTGGGATTACAGGCGTAAACCACTGCGCCAGGCCCCAACCTGCTTTTATCCAGATAGTTGATATCTACTAGGCACTCAGTAGAATTTATTAGAACTATCTTTAATAAAATATTTAAAAATATCAGACGCAATGGGGAATTCTTAGTGATAACCTTTCCAAGGGAAATCTCAATGTCTGTGTGGCAGGCTGAACTTAGCAGAATCAATTCAAGCCTGCTTGATGCCATATTCCAGCGAGAGAAGCTGTTTTTGTGTAAACGACAAATGTCTGACAATCTCAAATAAGAGCAAGAAGATCCCAAATTGAGCCGAAGCTCTAGGGGTGTAGAATTGATGGAAGGCCTTAATTAGGAGTTGTTAAGGTTCTCAGACTGCACCTGGTACTACAAAGGGACTCGTAGGCTTCCCTTCTGATCTCTTTTGAATTCAGTGCCTCATCAGCACTTACAAATACAGATCTGTGGATGCTTACTCTCCTGCTTTAAATTTTCATTAGTTCCTCAACGACTACTGGGTAAAGTATAAAGTCTTTAACTTTGATACTGGTGAAAACAATTTTAGATCTCTTTTCCCACCATTTTTACCACACACTTTAGCTACTTCTTACAATTCCCAGTAATTCTATGATCTTTCATTGTTCTCTGCTTTTGTTCATACTGTTTCCCCTGCCTAGAACGGCTTTCGTATAAATCTCTCATGAATTTTCACTCATTCTTCCAGATCCATCTTAAATTTTACCTCTTTTATGAAGCCTTTCATGGCACAAAAAAATACTGGAGAGTCTTGCTGGAATTCTCTCCTTGGGCTCAGTGGAGACTTTGCGCCTACTGTACAGAAGCTGCTTGAAGAATACATGTAATTCTGGCCTAGTAAACAAAAATACTAGACTCTAGAAGGGCAGAAATATTATCTTTTATCCATATGTCCTATTGACTTTTAAAAATAACACTGACGCTAAAGTCATTATCTCTCCCCTAAGTTCATTCCTCCTTCTAAATTCCTGATTGTAAATTATGACATCATTATCTTAGTCTCTCAAATTTAAAGGTGCAGACTTCTCTGATTCTCTTCTCTCCCTCCATACAACCCATGTCCACTTAGTCTTTATGCTCTACAGCTTATACCTTAGACTCATCTCTAAAATCAATCATTGTCATCCCATCATCACTAACATCACTTCTTGCCTAGGTTATTGCAACGGCTCTTAAACAGTCTTTCCTCCTCCAGTACTGTCACCTTTTTATCCATGCTCCAGACTCCTACCAGAGTAATATTTCCAAAATGCAAAACTGACCATGTTACTATTGGAAGTCAAATCCTCTAATGGCTCCCCATCATCTTCACTATAAAGTCCAAAAATGTTATCATGGCATGCAGTGGCCTTTCACTTTCGACCCAAACTAGATTTCTGGGCCCGGCTTTTGCTATGCGTCCAAGAAATATTATATCACATAAACTCAATATTTTGTACAGATCTTGGGGCACACATGAAATTTCACCAAACTATGCTTCAGCACATGTGGAGTTTTTATGTCTTCACTGTTTTTCCATGCTTTCTGCCCCAACTTGTACTGATTATTCTAGATCTAGCCTGTATTACCTCATCTTATGAAGCTTCAAGTCTCATTCAAACTCCACAAAGCTGAATTAGTCCAGTAATTATTTCTTCGTTTCTACAATCATGCTTTATAAATACTTATGGCACTTATCTGGAAATAAGTCTGTATTTTCCACTAGACTATGAGCTGTTCCAGGATAGTGATCTGCCTTCATTCACCTCTATTGTACTCTGCACCTACTGCAGAGTCTAACCCAAGGTCATTCCAAAAACATCCACTTAGTGCCTCCTAACTGTATTTTTAACAGCTCTTACTGCCGAAGGGGGCACAGAAATTCAGTAAATGCTTGTTGAGGAATTAATTCCCCTGCTGGGTTCCAAGAAGCCTCCACTTTGTGACAAATTTCTCTCAACGGCATATGAAGTTATAACACATTTAAAATTTTTTTTTTGGTAGAAATTTTAGCTGAACATTAAAAGTTGGTTTATTTTTGTTTTTGTAACTGAGGAAGTGACTATGTACTAAAGCAGAACTGTCATATAAATCAAGCCAAACAACCAAATGAAAATGGAAATAAATCACTTATGATACTTGGATTAAGTGTGTTCATGTCCACCTGAAGAAATGACATTAAATGATATCGTCAGCCTAGTAGCTTGAGTCTCTCACTTAAAGTAGACAAACCAGCCATTAGAAAATCCATCACCATAGGGTATTTGTATATGCTGTTTTCTTATCTATTGCCTCATTTGATTTGCACAGCAATGCTGAGAAATTGACAGGAAGGTTTTGCCACATTTCTTTGTCTCTAAAATGGCTTAAATTGTAAGATGAACAATCAATTTAATTATAACTTTTCTAAGAAAACTTAAATATCATGTTAAATGGAACATAAGACTTATTCTGATTTCAGAGACTTTAAAGTATGAAAACGAAACTTTTGTATTAGACCTGAGAACATGTGGTATGATCTCCTTTTGAAAATAGGAAAAAACTTGGTCTAGAAGACTAAGACTCATGCCACATAGTGACTAAGTAAGAGATACAGAGAAAGACTTGATTCTTTTGATAGGTAAGATAATCTTCTTTTTATTCTACTAGATCTTCCTAATGTCTGGTCAATGGAATAAAAATCTTGTAGGAATGTTAATAAGAAGTGAAAGCTGTAATTAACTCAGTTTGAGAAACTCAACGTTAAAAAATAGGTTTCTTTACTTCTCAGAGCTTTTGCTATGCTAATTAATGTCCATTATGAATTTCCAAGATAGGACTATACTATACAGCATTGAGCAAGTTATTAGACCATATAATCTTTTTCTCCCTCTTATAAAGTATCTTGTGGGACTAGTGTTCTATGGAATGCACTTTGGAAAGCTACACTATACCAAGACAGAATTGTATTAGCCTCCAAAAGGAATGAACCATAACTATCAATTTGTTTACTGTCACTTTCAGAGATCATATACGGTAAAGCATCAAGTGGTAAATTCAATTGCCTGAACCTTGGCTCAATTCGGCTTTTAAAAATGCTGAAGTGGGATGTTCCATTCAAGAAAAACTGAGAAAGTAGCCATCAACATCATCATCAGCCAAAGTGTTACTAATCTTTGTTATATAAAATATATTACCCAGAAACAATCAGGGTTCTCTAAAGACAGCCTCCCACTAGGAATATAATATTTTTCTTCATTTGGAAAAACCATATCCTTGAAAATGTCTAGCAAATTTTTCGTGTTGCTTTTTGAGTAACACCTATAGATATGTCTACTAGTCACTAGAAACTTTCATTCATTCACCCAACAAATAATTCCTGAGAGCCTAGCATTTGCCAGGCACTATGCTGAGCAATGGGGATACAATGGTAAACAGAACAGCTAAATCTGTGCCTTCATGATGTCCACAGTCTAGTCTAGGAAACATTGATATATAAAATACCATCGAATAAACATTTCAGCCAAGTCTGGACATGCAAAATGCTGCAGAGCATGTGACATTTACCTGCATAATTCATATCCTAAAAAGTCTCAGACTGAAATACCTGAATCAGGGATGCTAAAAGAAAGCCAAGGGCTTACCTTAATAGAATGATTGGCCCAGCTTTTCTGCTTACATTGCCAGCAAAGTGCTGCCCTTACCAATGCAGCCTGATTCGAAAGACAAACAAAAATATCTAACATCTTTGCTTATGCCACAATTTTATCTGCACTCCCAGTAAAGAAAAAAAATAACATTTGAAAATGCATTTACAGAAATCTACTTGCCAGGTCCTGATTAACAATTGTTGTTTCAAAGATATTAGAATTTTCTCTAAGTTTAGTAATCCAGTGGGCTCACCATAAGGAAATTAGAGATATAAAATACCTGCTAGACTGCTACCAATCTGTCTCTCAGCAAGTGCCACATAGCAGCAAAAACACTGAGTCCCTCACAGCATTAAAACATTAAACACTATGTTGCTGACTGAGTTTTCTTTCTCTTTTCTTTTTATTTATATGCTAACTTATATGTTTCTCCTTTTTGATACAGAAGGATACATTTATCTAATAACTTCCTTCACTGACTAAACATTTATGTTGTTTTATTCTAAAATGATATACTATAATTATTCAAATATCTATAGACCAAGTGAACTCTCTCTTTTTCATTTTGATGAATTTCAGTAGTTCCCCCTTATCCATGATTTTTTTTTGTGGCTTCAGTTACCTGTGGTCGCTGTGGTCAGAAATATTGAACAGAAATTTTCAGAAATAAGCAATTTATATGTTTTAAGTTTTATTTTAACATATTGATATAATTATTCTATTATTAGTTATTATGGTTATTCTCTTGCTGTGCCTAATGTATAAATTAAATTTTATCATAGGTATGCATGTATAGGAAAAAAACTAGTATGTATGGTTTAGTATTATTCATGATTTCAGGCATCCAATGGGAGTCTTGGAACATAGACAATGCAGATAAGGAGGGGACTACTTTACTGTTTTTGCTCCTATTTCCATCTTATTCGCATTCTCTCTTTTATTACCAGCTTTGGTGTCTGATTCCAGGATTCTCATGATAGTAATTATAAGGGAGGATTTAGCACTAATGTATATGTTTGTCAAAAAGACCACAGGGCACTTATTTGTGGTGTAAATTCAAAATAGTGTTTTCTTATTTTTATGTTTTGGAACCATACTAACTTAACACAGCAGGTTATGTTGAGTGCTTCTTTCTGGTTGGGTTGGCAGGGGCTGGGCCTATCATCTGATTCATAAGCTTTCCTTAATTCCGGCCTGAACATTGTTCAGGTCTATGAGAATGGTTTCAAGGGAGGGATGCCATGGAAAAGAATAGTCAGATTCATTTATTTCCAATTAGTGTTTGTTGAGACACTTGAGCTATCAGCTCTTGTAACTATGAATCCTTTATTAAATACAGTCAGCAGGTAATATTGTATGTGGTAAAAATTATAAGTAAGATCTAGAGGGTTTACTATTTGCCAAACATTTTCCTAAACACTTTACATGTATCAACTTGTTTAATTCTAATGCCCTATGGGGAGGTACTATGCCAAAATCTCAACTTCATAGGTGGAGAAACTGAGGTACAGGAATATTTACTCATGATGACAGTTAATACATGATAAGACTTGGCTCTTGTAGCCACTAACTGCTTCAAATCCTTCCCCCCTTCCCCTGATCCACCCTTAATCACAAGCAACTACTTTCCAAGTTTCCCTTGTCCTCTGTCTTCTGAGTAGGTTTGGTATATGGGAGGCACGTATAGGAAATTGTAGAGCAGAAGCTGGAGAAAAGCCCCAGTAGACAGCCCTCTCTCCATAGCCCCAGGTCTATCTGAGCAGCTCCTTCCTGGGTTTTAGCATCAACTAGACAGCCTAGCTTCTAGATTCTGGTAACACCACCTTCTTCCATTGCCCCTGTAGTACCAGAAGTGGAAGCAACTTCCTGTTGGTGCTAATCTCTTGATGGCCTCGCTATCTCCTGCTTGACTTCTTGAGTCCATCACTCATTTAACCAGCCTCCAATATGAAGTTCCCTTTAGCTTAATGATCTAGATTAGTTTCTGTTTTACTGGCCAGACCCTAACAGATAAAATTTTGAATTCAGACAGTCTAGCCCCAGAGTTCATGCACTTAATTGCCATGCTATCCTTACTCTTCCAGAGAAGAATTTCATTCCACAGAATTTTTCAAAGGGTCTAAGAGGTGAATAACCCAGACTGCAAACTATCTTCTTTAAATTATGGTTGGCTAAGGGTAGCCCATAACTATCCCAGGGCCCCATATTAGGCATTAAGCTCTGTGAGGACAGTGATTTTGCATGTTTTGTTCATTGCTGTATCTCCAGTACAGCACAATGTCTGGCATATAGTAGGTGCACAATACATGTTTTTTGAATCACTAATGGAGATCCACTTCATTTTTTTCTCATGTAAGTGAAATTGACAATAAAATTTGTCACTTGTAATATTTATTCAGCATTATATGTGCGATAATACATTATGTGTATATTATATGTATTAATAACAAACACGTGCTTGGGAATCAAACTGGCTTCAAGTCCTAGCCCTACCATTTACTAGCTGTGTGAATTTGGGCATATTACTTAATCTCTACAAGCTGCTAAAATTAGGATAATACTGGAATTTATTTCTTAGGGTTGTTGTAAGAATTAAATGAGATAATATATGTAAACTGCCTAATACAGGCCTGGAGTATGATAAATACTCGTTAAAGGGCAGTAGATGTTGTTATTACTATAGTTACGCTGTTACTATTATTATTACTATTGTTGTTGTAATTAGACTTTCTCCTTTTTGAAATGGATGCTTGTGTTGTAACATTTCCTCCAGAGTTAAAGACTGTTTTGAACTGATTTTCTGCCTACAAGACCCTTCAGCCTCTGCTTTCTCCATGCCTGCCTGCTATAGAGGCTGAAGGCCTTTAAAATTGCAGACTGAAGTCCATCACGTTCCTGAGCCTCACTGACAGTTGAGAAGATTTTGAATTGTTTTATCTGTCCTAAACCTAATACCAGTGTGTCTAGGACAAGCTCAGAATTAGTTACCATGTACTTTATGAACCTCAACTTCCTTACCATTTCCTGTTATGTTTAGCCCGTGTACATAACTGGGATTACTGTCTCTGTTTCCACGTTGCACTCTTGTTTCTTTAGTGGGTCTAGATATTGAATCCCTGAATCCCTGATTATCTTTTGCTGATAGAGACATACTCCTTATTTTTGCCCTCAAACAAATGGACCTTATAGAATCACAGTGCTACCATATTTCTGCCTACAGAGATAACCATTACTTGGAAACTTCTACTAACGAACATCCATATACTATCTAATCACATTAGGCCACCCCTCCCCCTTGTAGATCTATGCTGGCTAGGTCCAAACATGCTACAGTCCTGTGGACACTAACTGCTAGCTTGCTCCTTAAGAAGGCATTGATTGCTAAACTGGTTTAGTGCCACAGCCCTGACCATGTTCTCTCCTGGATTATTTTCTTCCCCACTGGGCCTCTAAAGCCCTAGCGGCTTTTATGGCCCAGCTAATATGGGTTATAACAGTGTTTGTGCCCGCACTATATATGCAGTTAGGTACATCCCACACATTGTATAAATGAGAACGCTGAATCTATTGGATCCAAAACCATTCAGCCAGGTGTGCTCATTTGGTTATTTTCTTTTTTTGCATTCATTCATTCAACAAATATTTATTGAGCACCTCCTGTGTATCCTATACTAAGAACAAGAGATACAGAGATGAATAAAGCAAATCTGTAACTTCAAGGAGCTTACCTTCTGCAAGTTGGAGCTCACCAAGAAAACTTTCTACAAGATTCCTAGGCCCTCTGCTGTTCTTTCTATTCTTCTAGAAAATCCTTACAAAGATCATATAGCACTAGCCTACTGGCTTCCACAATAATTTCATTGCAAAAAAAAGTAAATTTTGTGTTGCTAATAACATCAGGAGTAAAACTGATTAACGCTATCATCCACCCACACACTCACATACTCACATAGTAAATTATCAGCACTTAGGGGAAATAATTATTCTCATTTCATCAAAAACTATGGCCCCAAAGTGTCAAAGAATCTACAGATTTGGTTTTAATTTAGAATGGATGAACTGATTGCCAAGTTAATTGGCCTCATCAAGTCAGACCTTTAGCCATATTCTGTAAGTCAGGAAAATAAAATAAGTGTGATGTCAGACCAGCCTTCATGTCAGCAGCTACCCTCTCCAATCAAGCTCACAATCCGTTCAGAATGTTCAATTCAATCCATAGCAGCTGGAATGACTAGACAAATCTCTCAAGAGCAAAAGACACCATTACTTCCTCTTGTTTGCATCGTTCACTGTCAATAGGTAATTAATCACCAGGTTCCACCTCAGCGCTATAGAAATTTTTCTCATCATTTATTATATGAATAACTAAGGAGAAAAGGTCTCCAATGACATAATATGCATAATGTGCATTTTAATTGGAAGGCAATTTAGATATTTATTTAGACTAAGCTCATGCGCAAGTTATTTCTAATTATGGAAAGCTGCTTTGGTGGAACTAATTATGATAAATTACTAACAGCAGTTGTAAATGAGAATTATTCAGCAAAAGTCATCAATAGAGCAAAAGCCAAGTTCAGACATAGTTGTGAATGCTCTGTATGAACTTCCCATGAAATTTTTAAGAGGGCCCCTCTTGTTCTGTTTTACTAGACAATGAGTCATTGAAGTGCATTAAGATCGTCTCAGCATTGTGCCAGGTGTGGTGGCTCACGCCTGTAATCCCAGCACTTTGGGAGGGCAAAGCAGAGGGATCACTTGAGGTCAGGAGTTCAACACCAGTCTGGTCAACATGGATAAACGCCGTCTCTACTAAAAATAGAAAAATTAGTGAGGCTTGGTGGCACGTCTGTAATACCAGCTACTCGGGAGGCTGAGGCAGGAGACTCACTTGAACCTGGGAGGCAGAGGTTGAAGTGAGCTGAGATCACACCACTGCACTCCAGCCTGGGCAGCAGAGTGAGTGAAACTCCATCTCAAAAAAAAAAAAAAAAAAAATCTTCTCAGCATTAGCAGCTACTGTAAGATAAAGATACATCCTAGATCCCTAGACACGGAACTCTAGATTTCTCCACAATGCACTTGATTTTTAGAAGACCTGGGGTGCTAAAACAATGCTGAAATAGCTCACGTAAGCTTCACTTTTCTCAGAAATCAATTTTATCTTGGTACAAGAGGTGCTGGGCTTGATGGAAAGCAGTTAGATGAAAATTTACTTTTGTAAATTGTTCATTTAATCTCACATTTGCTGTCCATGAAAAATAAAAAAGTGGCAATTTCCATGTGTTCACAAATCAAGTGCAGCAGAAGTGTACTTCTAACCATGCAAGGCCCATTTAAAAATAGGTTGGACAATCAGAGTCTTTGCTGTCCAAAACAATTTTGCCCAAGAGTCAAGCTATTTTCTGGCTTCAGACCTCATCACCAAGCACCCAGATTTTGTGCATAGTAAAATATTCTAGGGTCAGTAGAACCTCCCACTTTTGCTTGTTATTTTGAAAGTATGTACCACAGTGAAGACAGATCACTACCAGAAATCCTCGTTCCAAGCCTTCCGGAGAACGTTCTGGGTATGCAGCTTTTAATTTTGTTTACTTACTTAAGAACTGCAAAATGTATAGCAAATAATTCAAACCCCCTCCTATCCACTGCTCATGTTATGAAATAAAACATCACAGATATAAATGAAGCCACCCATGCATCTCTTCCTGTTTCTATACCCTTCCTTTCTCCCCAGTAAGTAGGCACTTATTGTAAATTTTTTGTTTTCTATTCCCATGCATTTTTAATACTATACACATACACACCCATAAACAACATATAATATTTTCTTTTTGTTTTATAATATCATACTGTATGTATTTTTCCATAATTTTTTTATTCACTCAACATTGCAGTTGTTGAGATTCATCCATAATGATGCACATAGCTCTTGTTGAATCCTTTGTACTTCTGTAAGTATTCCAGTGTATTCATATACTACAAATTTATACACTGTTCTCTGTAGATGCACATTCAGATTATTTCCACCTTTTTGCTATTACAAATAATGCTGCTATGAGAATGTTTCCTGGCACTCATGTGAAAGATCTTCCCTAGAGGGGGTGTATTAGTCCGTTCTTGCACTGGTATAAAGAAATAATGGAGACTGAGTAATTTATAAAGAAAAGAGATTTAATTGGCTCATGGTTCTGCAGGCTATATAGGAAGCAGAGCAGCCTCTGCTTCTCGGGAGGCCTCAGGAAGCTTCCAATCATGGCAGAAGGCAAAGGGTGAGCAAGGCATCTCACATGGTGGCAGTAAGAGCAAGGGTGGGAGAGGCGCCACAAGATCCACAAACAACTGGATCTTGTGAGAACTCATTCACTATCATAAGAACAGCACCAAAGAGATGATGCTAAAACATTCATGAGAAATCTGTCTCCATGATCCAATCACCTCCTATAAGGCCCCACCTCCAGCACTGAGGATTACAATTAAACATGAGGTTTGGGTAGGGCACAAATTCAAACCATATCAGGGGGAATATCTAGGGATGGAATTACTGGACTGTAGGGTATATCCACATCTTCACCTTCACCAAATGATAACAAATTATTTTCCAGAGTAATTGTACCAATTTACATGCTTGGCAACAGTGTAAGGAGGATTCCATTGCATATTTTTCAAAAAAAAAAATTCTTCAGAAAGTTATTCCTTTGATACCTCAACATTACTTGCAAGTTCTGTTCCTATAATGCTGAATTTTTTTTTAGAAATGTAGACCTGAGCCAGTCAGCTTGATTAGCTGGGCTCCACCTGGGGAGCCAAGTGGTTACTTCAAGCTCCTACTTAGCAGCTTAGTCAATCACAGGACAAAAAAGGTGAGGCACAAGGCAGTCATCTTTCATAGGTTCTACTCCTCCCTCTTCATTTTCAGGACCCATTGATTTGATGCCCTTCCTCTGAGCACAACCATGCCACTACTAGTCACTGCTTATGCTCCAGTCAGCTCCTATTCTCATCACGGCTTACCTGTAAATCACTTATTCATTTATTTATTCAGTCAGCTACTCAATTATTCAACAAATATATACTGAGTGCCTATAATTTTCCAAATGTTATATCATGGGGTTGATAATGGGGGCTATATGATAAAGTTAAACATGAAGGGAAATGTCATAGTGGATAAGACTGACACCTCTCCTGCCTTATGTTCCAAATTTCCCCTTTTTATTAGAAAATATGATCAATTACAACAAGATGAGTAAGAAAAGAACAAGTACTAGTTGGGTCCCTACTATGAGTTAATATACCCATGGCTAAAAATGACAACATGTTCACTCTTGTGCGTAAAATATTTGTACAGTGACATGGCCATCAAGGTTCTGATGCAAAGAAAAGTAAGTAGGGAGTAAGCCATTATTTATTAAGTACAAATATGTTTCAGGGACAAAGCTGTTATCTCCTTTTAATTCCATAACAGCACTGTGAGATAAGAATTATTATTTTTCCCATTTAGCAAAAAGAAAACTGAATCTCAAAGAAAATCAGCAACTTGCTCAAGGCCTAATAGTAAGAGACTGACCTAAGAGTTAAATCGTGATCTAACCCTACCAGTCCATGGCCTTTTATGGCTGATAGTAGGAAGTTTAAATACCATGAGTCAGACAAGAAAAGTGCAGTTTCCCAATCCAAGCAACTATATGCAGTCCAGACAGACAGGATGTAATTTGCTGATGTAATTTTTGCTAAGAAAACATAAAAAGAATCTTTAATCATTTTGAGTAGGCTGAGGTTCCATTGTCCATAACAGATGGTGCCTACCTCAGGACAAGGTCACGATGCACAACTCTTGATTCACTTCCCAGTCTGTTTCATACCATGAGAGCTAAGGACTATATCTCTGGCTTTAGTGATCCTTCCATATAAGTTTCCCTAGCACCCCTAACAAAGGAAAGGGCCAAAGCAGAACTAGCTGTGACATCATAGGCAGTGCTTGAACTCTCTTTTCAATGCACAGGACTTCTCTGGATTTGACAGCTACCAATAAAACTGAGTGAAAGGAAAATTAAATGACATTTTGGAGTCAATTCCAGTGGATCTAAGAATGGCAGCGGACAGCAACCTTGCAGCTGCTGGATAGAACCTGGAAGTCAAATCTCAGCTTAAATGTCACCTCTTCTGAGAAGCCTTCCGTCAAAAGCCAAGCCTGGACTAGTGTGCTTCCACAGAGCCATGTGCTTCCCCTACCATAACACTGATCCCACTGTATTCTTTTTCTGGTTACCTGCCCATCTCTTCTGTCAAGACTGTTAGCTCTGTGAGAGGAGAGACCATACTTGTCATTTCTTTCTTATATTTATAGTGCCTAGAACATTAGCTGGTACAAAATAGGTACTGAGTATGTGTATGTAGGCTAAATTAATAAATGGACAAATAAAATTAGGGCTGAAGTCCATTGCCCTGTCTTCTCAGAGAAAGAGACCCAGAAGTGGTCTGATTTAAGCATTATAAGAAGCTGGAAAGCAGGAACCCACTGATCTGCAAAACATCTACAACACTTAATTAGCACTTCTTGTGTGCCAGGCACCATTCTATTTTATATTTATTCACTTAATTAATTCTCAAAATAATTCTGTGAAGTAGGTGCTATTACTACCCCCATTTAACAGATAAGAAAACTGAGGCTTGGAAAGGTTCAATGACTGACCCAGTGTCATTTCACTAGGAAGTGTTGGAGCTGGCATTTGAACCCAAAAGTGAGGCTTCAAAGTCTAGACTTTAACCACTTCGGTAAACCACAAAAGTACAAAGGTGATCCTGGTTTTTGTACCAAGATAGAGTGCCGATAACACCACCATGTTTTCTTATGTCAAGGCCCTAAAACCTTTATTGGACTACACTTTGTAACCCTTGAGAGACATTACCCTATTCCATGGATCTATACTCCCGGACCTAATACATTTTGGTTGCTATGAGAAAGTGAGATGCTAAGCTCTGCACAAGAAGACCTGTAGTTGAGTCATACTAACATTATACTTTGGGCAGATTACCTGAGCTTGGGCTCTGGCATCAGACAAAACTGGGTTTGGTGAATACCTGCTCTAACATTTACTAATGATGAGATCTTAAACTATTTAAATTATCTGAACCCTATTGTCTCATCCATAAAGAAATATTAGTATTTATCTCAAAAAATACTGTGAGCACCAAATGTGATAGATTATGTGAAATGCTTAGTAAGGTGCCTGGCACAGAGGGAATGTTCAACAAATGTAACTATTACCTGTAGAGTTTATTTTCTTCCTCTGAAAAACAGGAATCCTGCTACATATTTCTGTTATGAGGACTAAAGGAGATAAGGAGTGTATGCCTAGCAACAGGCTGTTGCACTACTGCCTCCTTCCTCTCCTTTTCCTCTTCTGGCAATCCAGCATTAGACTTGCAACTATACTAAAATTACTCTTTAAAAGGTGATCTATAATTTCCAAAATGTCAATTCTAATGCTCTTTTCTTAAGTCTCATTCTATTTTCCCTGTCTGCTACATTTTTCTTTATTGACCACCCCTCTTTCTTAAATTTCTCCCTTTTTAGTCGCTCTAAAATTATATTATGTTGCTGTTACTGCTGCTGCCTTTGCTCCTGCTGCTACATAAAATATCTCCCGCACTAGAAGCTTCTCTCTTCCAGCCTCTTCAACAGATATTTTCCAAGGTTCCAGCTCTGGGACACTCCAATTCCCACAAAGCCCACTCTTGCTAGGCAGTCACATAGCCTGCAGCTGCAAGAGCTAACTTTGTGTAAATGAGTCCCAAATGTATGACTCTGACCTTAACCTCAACTGAGTTGAAGTCATAAATCTCTATTTCTTGCTGGATTTCAAACTTGGCAATATATCCTGCCTTCCTCCTCAAACCAGTACTTTCTGTCATGTGGTCTCACTACTCTTCCAAGCCACCAGAGCTTGAAACCCTAATAGTCCCTTTCAGTTTAGCCTTTATTATTTTTTTGTCCAAACTCTAATAGTAGTTACCAAATAAGCCTCCCCAGTTTCAGTCTCAACTGGCTCTACCACATCCCTCAGCTAGCCCTGGATTCATAGACCAAATAAAGCCACCCTGAGGCCTAGAATGACACATGGATACAACAGTGACAAATTTAAAACTTCAAATACCTTAACCCAACAATGTTGTCTTCAAAGTCCTTTACTAATTCAAGTCTCTTCTAAACTTGGCAATATTATCCTCCTTAGTATTTCCAAAGTGAATCTAAACTTCACCATGGATTTTTATATGTTCAAGTTATTCTTTCTGCTTGGTCTGTCCCACATAATCCTCCCTCCCTTCAAAGACATTTATGTTTCAAAAGCACACTCATCCTTTAAGCATTCCTAGAATCCCACCTAAGTCACATAGCTATCTTCAGAGACCTCAGTGGAAATTTCTCTCTCTTTCTCTTACGATCCCACAGCACCTAAATTTTACCGCCCCCCCCCTCCCCGCCCCGTATAAAGATTTACATAGTCAATCTTATGTTAAATTTATTTAAATATATACCTTTCCAAAGGACTACAGTATAAGCTATTTAAGGAAAGGGGGATCCTGTATGTTTTTATTTATAAATCACCCACAGAATCAGAGGGTTTCACACATTGTAGGAGCTCAGGAAGAATTGTGTGTTTCTGCAAGTGTATGTGTATCTGTGTGTATGTGTGTGTGCACATTTTAGTGTAATTGAGCCTTATGTATGCTGAATCTCCAGGAGCTCTACAATCATTCTTAACAAAGAACCCCATAGACCCTCATGTGCTCCTTGAGTAAGCAGACTTTAGAAGCCTACCTGAGCTCCAGAACCCAGCCCAGTGAATAGCCTGGGTTGGGCATTTAACCCATAAACTTCTACCTCACTCTCAACAGCCTGTAACCAGCAAATGTAACTTACCTCTATAACAGCATTTATTACACTTTGTAGTAGACATCTCTCACTGATGTCCTTTATACTGTGAGTGCCAAAGGGACAGGGACTCAGGGCTGAATTCCCAGAGCCTGGCTCAGGGCAAAAGGGTCTGTTGAAAACATCTGTGAATATGTAAACTGACCTGTATGGAGATCAAGTTCGTAACTTTGAATTTGGTAAGTTCACAAGTTATCAGTTACATAATTTGACAACTTGGAGAAGCCATCGGCTGAGATAATCTTAAAATTCCACTGGCCCAGCTCACTGCAGCCTTGGACACATATATTGGCAATGGCTGTTTATAATATGCAGTGAGCAGCCGGTTATCATGGCCTTACCATCATTAATTCACCCTCCAAATTTAGAGTGACACCATTATGGTAAGCATTAATAATTTTAAGCATAATAGTTGTGATAACAGCAGGTAGTTTTGAAAACTATTACCCATGTTTCAATAACACATCCTGAATGTTAAGCTTAAAGCAGTCTCCTGAGTAGAAGAGGAAATGGAAATATTCCGATAATAACAGTTTATAGTAATAATAGTTTAGAGCTCTAGCTTGAACTGGCTTGTGTATGTCCTTTATTTTTTGCATCTCTAGGTAACATCGCTACGGAATTTCATTTTTCAAAAGTACTGGAATGAGCTGATCTCATTTGATAATGCTGCAGTTATAGAATGGCTACAGTTCAAGCAGCTTCTAAAAATTATAGGGCCCCAGAAATGTCAGGGCCCCAAAGTTCAAAAGTAAAATATATAACAATCTCTTATCTGTTAAAAGGGTCTGCTCTGTATAAATGGATCATTTAGGATGGACAATTTAGAAAAAATACTGAGGTGTAGTAGATAAAAACAACACATTTGAGTCCACCAAACCTGGGTTTTAAACCCTGGCTTGGCCACTTCCCTTTGGCAAATTACTTTACATTCCTTCTCCTAAGCTTTTTGTGAGGTGGAGAGAGTAATGCCCATCTCATTTTGTTCAGATGATTATGTGACATAATATGTATAAAACACCTGACACACAGGAAATACTTAATACATAGTACTATTATCCTCATTTTGAATTGGTATATAGCATAAGTCCAGGGTTGTGAATTCGATCTCCATATAGGCCAGTTCACATATTCATGGATGTTTTCAACAAATTCCTTTGCCTTGACCCAGGCCCTGGGAAGCCAGTCCTAAGAGTCTCTGCCTGTTTGGAGCTCACAGTGTAGAGGGCATCAGTGAGAGACATCTCCTACAAGGTGTGATAAATGCTACGATAGAGGTAGACACAGTAGAAGAGAAGGCTTCAGTTACCATATTGTATGTGGAAGAGAAGGTGTCACAGTAGAAGAGAAGTCTACACAATAGAAGAGAGGGCTCAGAGAAGGCTTCTGGAAGGAGGTGGGATCTGAGTTTAAACTTGAAAGAAGAGTAGCTAATACCAGGATGGAGAAAAGGGAAAGAGACTTTTGCCAGGGGAGACAGCATAGCAAAGACTAGTTGATATTTCTGTTGTAACAAACTAAACTCGCAATCCCACTCAGTCCCTTAGACAGAATCCTTTAGGCTTTAAGCCCTCAGTCAGAGAGAACATAGTTGGGTAATGGAAAACTTTCCTGGAAGAGTAGCTCAAACTGTTCACCATGCTGATGAATAGGGAGCTTGTAGCATTATCCATCTGTGATTAGGATAGCAAATCATTTACATAGGGTTCTCAAAGACCTTCAAGATACCAATAAACTGTCGGTATTTAATGAAAAAAAAGACAATGCTACTTCGGCTGAAATTGGTAAATCGAAGATATTAAAGACTGGTTCTAAAGGATTTTAAGATGCATGAAGATTTGGGCTGTCTGGGAAAACTACTATGTGAGTCTGAATCAGAAGGAAGCTTTTTGTCATCTGCTGTCTAGATTAGAGGGCTTTTTGAATCTGTGTGCAACAGTTACAGGTGTGCTGAAATATTGACCACTAGCACTCAGGGGTCGGGGGGCAGTGGGGGTGGCACTAGGGTAGCCAGAGTCTTGGACTATTCAACTCTGACAATAAGAAGTCTTTTCCTTTTACTACAGTGTGAAAATAATCTTATTTTGTATGTACCATGAAAAGAATTGAGAAACATTGCTATGGAGTTCCTTCTCTAAAGGTGAAAATGCTAGCCTACATTATATTAGGGCTGGAGAACTAAGGGTATCATCATCATCATCACTGTGTCATTATCATCATCAACACCATCAAAAACATCATCACCACTAGTAGTATTTCTATTATTAAGGCAAATCTTTTATTCTGAAAGACTCACTTGGGTCCTCCCAAATATCTTGCCTTGCTCTGGTGTCAAGTGATGTACAGGATAAATGGGATTATAATTTATAACATAGAGAAGACACACAATCTGAATCAGCAGCCATTGTGTCTGTGACTAATTCTTGACACTACCACTCAAAAAACTGAACATGGACTGAGAGTGGGTAATTATCAGTCACCATATGAAAAAGTCATAAATATGGCTGTGTATATACACTGAGGCATCAAGAAGTAGTCTCTCTTTACAGAAGGGAAAATAAATAATCCATCTGAAAAGAGAATTGTGGAAACAGAGGCAAACAATCTTGAAACCTCATTTTCACTGTCCCTTCTTCTTACTTAAAAAAAGACAAAAACGACCCAACCAACCTTTCTATGTATGACAGTTTGGACTTTTGTTTTTCCCCAAAACTCGTTTCAAGGGCCATTAAGGGAATGTTTCAGTCTGGCCAGGTTACTCTAGATTTTTATCTCTACTGTCAATTCAGGGTAGACTTTCAGCAGAAGCCTCATAATGGGCTGTCAGCAAGTCACTCTTATGCATAGCCTTTTCCTTAAAATCTTTTCCACTCCAGTAACATGGCCTATTTAAAATAGTTTCAAAACACATTGAAAATGTAGGCGTAGCAGTGAAAATAAAGAGTGCTGGGAACTACACTGAACTGGAGCTTCAACAGTTGTGAATATTCCTCAAATGTTTCCACTGTGAATGTGCTTCAGTCATGTTAAGATTTTTGACAAGTTTCTGTTTGGCTCTGGTCTTGACTACTGTGTTCATGACCTGATTAGCTTGTGCCCACAAGAGTTTGACAAGAGTGGCAAATCCATCAAGACAGCTCTTTGTAAAGGGAATTTATGGTGATTAACCCTAAGCACCCACAAGCTATTACCCAGGGCACCATAACTACTTTGGAGGCAAGGAAAACAGAATAGTGAAATCAAACATTTTCAACACGTAAGTGTGTCCACCCTCCAAACACATCTCCCTTTGAATATAACTTTATTGCTGTCTGTTGGAATTTGGAGCTGAATTCAAATCTTTGCCATCTTATAGTTGCACGACCCCAACTAAGATATTTAATTTCTCTGAGTCTGATGTTCTTATCTATAAAAAGAGACTTTTGATTACTATCTCCCAGGATTATTGTGAGTTTACATGTGAAAACAGCACAGTAGGCAATCAATACATGTTAATTTGCTTCCTTTCCTTGCCTAAAATGTTTGAATTAGGACTTGCTACGATTGTTAGCATGAGACATACCATTCAGAGAAGGCAGTTTTCTGCCCTATGCAATGTGCAGAAACGATATCTCAAACCTTAAAAGCTCCCTCTTCTGAGTAGCTGATGTTGGTTTTCCCAGTGGGATGCAATCTGCCACCACATCTGTCATTCATAGGAAGTTACTTCTAAGACTTAATATTCTTTCTGGCTATTCTTGGGCATTGATCTCTGAAGACGAGATATCTGAACAGAATTCTTTTAACCCTATCTTTGCACATGTAGCACTTAGCCCTCTTAAAGGCCTTCCCTCTGCTGCTACTACTGACTGACCCTGAGGCACATAAATGCTGACAAATGCCCTTGTTCTTGAAATAATAGACTTTCAAATCATATATCCTGGAGAGACGGAGTGCTCAGAAAGGAAGTAGGGCATGACAAAAAATCAAATTGAGCTTCTATTTTTCTCACTGATAGGATTCTTAGTTGTAAAGTTGAGATGCCACTAAACCCTGAGACTGGACTGAGCCTCTGTTCAGTCTCCCACCCCTTCTTTTGCTCATCTCATCAAAATACTTGCTGTATTGTAATTCATCTCTGAAATACTTTAGGTCAGGAACTGTATCTCAAACTTTGTCATAAACCCAGCAACTAATATAAAGCCTAGCACATTATAGGTGCTCAGCTAATATTTGTCAAGTAAGAGAATAAATGAATGGAAAAAATGAATGTTGGTAAAACCATTTTAAAATGTTTTCAGCAAGACCTTCAAGAGCTTCATAACCTCCTCCTCCACTTCCCACTATTTTGCCTAATGTACAGAATCAAATATGAGAAAATAACCCTTTCCCCTTTTTCCTGAGGAAAACTAATTATTACAAGAGTCCTAATATGCTAACTGTGCTTTTTGACCACCAACTAAATGTATACTCCATTATTTAATCCCAGAAAATAAAAAAGAAAATAAATAACTGAAACCCACACACTTGGCACTTAAGCCTCTCTACTGTAAGCCATCTTTTTGGCCTCTCATCTCACTGTTCCCAGCCTAAACATATATTGCAAATGTGCCATTCTTCTCTTAAGTCTCATTTGCAATGCCAGCCCCACTGAGAATGAGTATCCCCAGATACTGTGCCTACATATCTGAGGCTGGCACTAGTTGAATGGAATTACCTTGGGTCTAACTGTAGAGGTCCAATAGGAAGTCTTTCCTTACAGGACTACTAGGGACTTTGAATGAAATAGTGTATACAAGGCACTCGGCACAGTGTTTGACACATAGTAAGTGCTTGATACATTTGAAATAGCTACCTAATTTCCTGATTCTCTGAGTGAGAAGGCATCAAGTCCTCTTACTCTTTCAATTTACTCTTTAGTACACTTTATCAAAAATCAAAAAAAAAGAAAAGAAAAAAACCAAGCAGGGTCACCTACTACATTTCTTTCTACATGATTCTTTGCTTTTGCTCCAATCAATAAAAGGTTACTAAACAATCCACAACTGTATAAAATTCCAATTCATTCACTTTTATCCAATCCCTCCCCAATGTCCTTTTTAAAGCCAATGTTTTATTTTCCTTCGAAGAGGTTATTGCCCTTCCCACTAGAGACTTTGCGGTTTTTAATAACCTATTATATAGCTATACCTTTCTTAAAGGAACCAGAATTCTATTTTTATTAAGAATGTTTAAAATTACATTGAAACAAAATAATTTCTCTTAACAAAGCTACACACAGTAATCATTTCATTGTATACCATGTGATGATTTCTGCTACCCATACCCACACCACCTGAATTCACAAGGAAGCTGTCCCTGTCAACACCAATTTACTTGTACTTTCTTTTCTCTTGAACTCTGTCATTGGTTGCTACACAAATCCTTCAACTTAGCCTTTCCAATCTCATAATTTCTTGTAGATGTCCGGAATTTTCTCAAGGTAGATGCTCATTTCTCTCATGCTACTTTTGAATTTCCCCTAATATGTTGCCTTAAGTTAGATAGTTTTTGGCAAAGAATAGGGATTTATTATATCCTGTTGAATGAACGCATGATCATTAGGTAAGAAATCATTCTTGGAATGAGTGGGGCTCAGGTAAAGATGGCTGCATTCTCTGTGCAGTCTATCCCCCACTGTACCTACTTCTCTAGTATCTGGTAGCTTCTCCTGAAAGAAACACCCTAAATGTTCTTCTACCAGGCCTAAGCAAAGCTGGGAAGAGATAGCTCTCTCAGGTGATTTTCTTTCCAATATGGTAATTTAACAAAAGTCCAAGGAAACATATGCTCCATTCCTCCAGGTTTTCTTGTTGTTATCCCACCTGCAAGAGACAGAATTTCATCAGCTAAATACTCTTCAATATATCCAGCACCTGGCAAGATGAAAACAGGGAAATTTGCTGCCTTAATGGGGAAAAAAGCATTTTAATTTAGCCTGGAAAAACAACTTAGTAGCCAATAAATACATTTGGACCACAAGGGAAAATAAGTACATCTATCCAATTTTAAATGGAGGGAGGCAAGAACTGAAATTTAGAGAATAGAAAGTACCATCCAGAATAAGGCCAGTTCTGGGTACCATTTCATGTTCAAATTAAGAGAGAGGAGACTACTTAGTAAAGGCTTTTTTTCGCCCTGCTGTGTGAGGCTTCTATATCCTATCACAGATGGGATGGGGTATGCATTTATAAAGATGGAGGAATGCATTCTACAATTGAATGCCTCCTATCTGACACTTTTCTAAAAGTTTCTGGGGAATTCCAATGATGTTGGAGTTATCAAAAGGTAAAACTGCTGTAATAAGGCTGAGAGGCTCAAAGGAGTTCTGGAAACTGCTTAGTGAAGAAGAGGTAGAAAGAAAAAACCAACACACATTATCTTATTTAATATATACAATAACTCTAGGAAACATTTACTATTATTACTCCCATTTTAGAGATGAGAAAGCAGAAGTTAAGAACCTCAAGGATGGCTAGAATTATATAAAACTTTTATTAATATTTAACTTTCTCCACTCATTTTATAAACACAGAAAGCACACTTTGGAGAGGAGAGACGTTTTCTCAAAATCACATGGCTACAAAGTAGCAATATGAGGACCTGAATCCTTCTGTCTCTAAATCCCGTACTTTATCCACTATGTCAGGCTCCTTGCCTGTCCAGCCCAAATTCAATCCCACCATTTTAAACATATCTCTTTACTTCTTATCCTCATTTTATCTGTAGAATGTGATTTAATATCTCTAGCTTATATTCATCTGCTATTCAAGTAGTATTTCTGGCCAGGCGCAGTGGCTCACGCCTGTAATCCCAGCACTTTGGGAGACCAAGGCAGGCGGATCACTTGAGGTCAGGAGTTCAAGACCAGCCTGGCCAACATGGTGGAACCCCCGAATCTACTAAAAATATGAAAATTAGCCAGGCGTAATCCTAGCTACTCAGGAATCTGAGGAAGGTGAATCTCTTGAACCCAGTAGGTGGAGGTTGCAGTGAGCCGAGATCACACAACTGTACTCTAGCCTGGGCGACAGAGTGAGACCCTGCCACAAAAAGCAAACAAACAAACAAAAACAAACAGTATTTCTTAAGTGTCAGAAACTATGGTAGGCATAAGGCCCTAGAGTGGAGAGTAAAATATGCAAGAAAATTCTATTTCTGTTGGCATTTAAAGTCTAGTGGGCAACATAAACATCAAAGAAATAATCAACAAATAGTTAATTGCCAACTATGAATGTAATTAAGGAGTATTACAGATTATATGAGTGTATAATAAGAATAATTTGGCCTGGAACGCATATGTTCAGTAAAGGTCTTTCAGGGAAAATGAATTTTAAACAGAGATCAGAAAGGTAAGTAGGAATTGGTCA
The DNA here is from genome assembly GCF_000001405.40 of Homo sapiens. Classification (NCBI taxonomy): domain Eukaryota; kingdom Metazoa; phylum Chordata; class Mammalia; order Primates; family Hominidae; genus Homo; species Homo sapiens. Next base: position 122,877,336 of record NC_000023.11, read on the forward strand.
AGCAGAATTCAGTTTTACCATTTTGAGGCCTATATTTGAAGGTTTTATTCATTCAATAAAATTTAGTGTCTATCCACTTAAATATTATTTTTATATTGCAGAAGTAATTTCATCTTCAACCATTTACTATAGAATCATAAGCAGTCAGATGTCTTAGGAAAATGTTCTGACAGTAACTCAGTCTCAAAAAGCACAGTTTTCTCAAACATTGATTAGTTAGCTTTACCTAAAGAACTGTTGCTAAAAAGTTTACAAACTGTCTTTAAAGTAAGTGCAGAACTTGAACAAAGGCACTAAAATACCTCTTCTCAAATCCCTATTGAAATGATCAAACAAGTCTGCTTACTGGAATTGTTAAGAATTTCAGTTCCTTTCCCATATATTTCTGCCAATTGTATCACAATACTAATTTAAATTTATATCAATTAGTCATTCAGTTTAAAATAGGATATGATCATTATAACAGCACACAGATAAAGAATACAAGAGAATCTACTCATGTTTTGGAGGCTTCAAACTGAGATACAACCTCCTTATTCAAAAATGAGTTAATATAACTTGAAATCAATACAAAGCAAATGAAATTTTGCTGAAGCGTAAAACAAAAGGAAAAAAGGTGAAGGAAGTGGTAGATGATGAGCATACTTTTGAAAAAGATTTACTATAGGAAACAAATTAATTTAAAATAGTATCTGCTTTGTACAGAACAGAATTTGCGGAAATTTAAACTCTGAAATAAGCAGACGAATTAAAAGATAAAATTATTTAAGAAAGAAATTGGCTGAGCCACAGAACGTAATGTAGCAAAAAATGTTATAACAGATTTTTAAATAATATTATAAGATTTTCCTTTGGCATTTAATAATGAATCTGCTCTAAACATCATTTTGTTACTTCCACAGATCTGTACAAAGAAAAGAAAAGAACTAAAACTAAATAAAGATACTTGTCTGATTAGCAAGAAAATATACAAATGTATATATCAATTGGGAAAATGGCGACAATATCTTTGAGATTGTCAGTGGGTTAAATATTACAAGGTTGACAAGCAATTTCAATTTCCTGTGACAAACATAGTGAAACAACCATTGCCATTAACATTGTTTCAGGGTTAAGGGTTACATTTCAGAGGGGAAAATACCAATCTTTTAAAGGCAGGATGTCGCAAGAGAATTTTGTGCAAGCAAACTAGTAAAGAATTCAATTTTATGATGACAAGATACAGATAAAGTATTGATTTAACTTTAGCAAGCCCTTTATCCCACCTAGCTGATGCTGTTTTTGTTCTTTGTACCTTATTTGTAAATATCATCCACCTAGACCTTATCTTTACAGCAAAGAATAACATATGATACCAGTCTTTGCATTCTCAAAAATCCTTTTGCCATAACCTTATAGAAAAATAGGCAAGAGATATCACAAGACAGTTTACAGTAAAATAAATGCAAATATTTCTTAAACATTTGAAATATAAAAAATGCAAGTTAAACTTACGTTTTGATACAATTTTTTACCTATCAAATTGGAAAAAATCCAAAAATTTAGTAAGATCACTCTGTTGGGCAGTGGAAAAGTAGGCCCTTTCATACATGTCCGGAGGGAATGCAGGATGATACACTTCCTATAGAGGAGAATTCGGTAAGATTTAACAACCTATTTATTTACCCTTTTACCCAGCAATCCCTCCTTTGGGAGTCTATCCCAAAGATACATTGTCAAAAATATAAAATGGTGTATGCTGAAAGCTATTCAGTGCAGCACTATTTATAATAATAAAACACTGGAAACACTCCAAATGTTTATCAATAAGGGACTATGTAAATAAACTGGAAAGTCCACACAATGGAGCACCTTGCAGCCCTAAGAAATGAAGTAGAGCTCTATATACTACTACGGAGTGATCTCAAGGATATATTGTTTTGTAAAAAAGTGGGGTGCAGAACAGTGTGTTAAATTATACTAGGTTTACATAAGAAAGTGAGAAAAGTTATGAATTATGGATATCTATATCTATATTTGCTTATATTTTTAAAAAGATTCAATGGAAGAATAAATGAAAAGCTATTTTTAAAAAGCAATTACCTATAAGGAGAGAGAGAGAGAGAGAGAGTAGGACGGAAGGGATAGAGAGAGAAGCTAGACTTCTTCTAACATACCTTGCTTTTTGTTTTTGCATTGTAATGTAAATGTCTTGTGTAATTATAAAATAAAATTAAGTTAGAAAAGCAACTGTTAAAAATGAAACGAATAAGCTTAATTATATATCAGGTTATTGGCATAACCACAAAAATAATTATTTCAAGAGACTTTTACACACAGTAGGTTGGTTATACATCCCCAGTGGGATGCACCCTAAGGACAAAACATTTTTAAAAAGTAACAGCAGAGGATACTTAAATTATATTTGTAAACACTTTGTTAGCAATAATATATTTATATTATTGTTCTGAAAGTACATATAGTAAAGAAGCAATCATATTTGCACCATAAAAACCTATGATTTTCAGCATCAGATTAAAATGACATAAAATTAAAGAAATTAAGTAAAACTCATAAATTTCAATTGAAAATGTGAGTATAAAATCACAATCTATTTTTCTAGCTCTGTCCATTGAAAAGGTGGGAAAAAATAGTTGGGTATGGTGGTGTGTACCTATAGTTCCTGCTATTCAGGAGACTGAGGTGGAAGGATTGCCTGAGTCCAGAAGCTCAAGGCTGCAGTGATCTATAATTATGCCAGTGCACTCCAGCCTAGGTGACAGAGCGAGAACCCACATCAAAAAAAAAAAAAAAAAAAAAGAAAAGAAAAGAAAAATGGTGATTATGTTCTGAGTACTGGAGATACAACAACAGACAAGACAGGGTGGCCCTTGCGATATCCAGAGAAGTGCTCAGTGAGGAAAGCAGAAAAGTAAATATGCAGGTGTGGTTCACTAGGTGGAACCTAGTAGGGTGGATAAGTGCTGGAATATGCCCAGCTATAACACAAAGTATATTGAAATGAAAAACAAACAAAAAATCTCCAGATGTTCAGGTTCCCTGAGACACCAAAAAACTGAGTCTGCTTGCTTTTTCAACTGGGAGGCTCCTGGTATGGGGCAAGTTCTCAGCCCTGGTCACCAGCGTCCTGGAAATAGACTGGGTGCTGTTGGGGGAGGCTTGGTGGGAGTGAGACTGACCTTTAGGACTGTGGGCTGTGTGGGAGCAGGGTAGGCCTGTGACTGCTGGCTTTCCCCCACTTCCCTGGCAACCAGTATAACTTAGCAGAGGCAGCCATAATCCCCCTGGGAATGTAACTTCATTGCACTGGGAAGCATACCCCCAAACCCCAACAGCAGACACAGAAATCCCCGCCCAAGGAGAGGTTGAGCTCAGGCATGCCTATCCCTGCCCCCATTGGATGGTCTTTCTCTATCCTCCCTGGTAGCTGAAGACAAAGGTCATAATCTCTTGGGAGCTCTAAGGCACTGCTCACCACCTGAGAAACCTGAATACTTAACCAGATATCCCTAGGTCAAGTTTGCATCCTCCTTACAGGACCACAGCTGATGCACTCTTGAAAGTGCCACCTCCTGGCTGGAGGCCAACCAGCACAAAACTAGTGCGCTAAACAAAAATACAACCAACGACCCTCACAGAGTCCACTTCACCCCTCTGATACCTCCACCAGAGCAGGTGCTGGTATCCACAGCTGTAAGACCTCAAGATGGATCACATCACAGGACTCCTGGCAGATACTCCCCAGTACCAGCCCAGAGCCCGGTAGCTCTGCTGGGTTGCTAGACCTAGAAGAGCAAAAACAATCACAGCATTTTGGCTCTCAGGAAGCCGCATTCCTAGGGGAAGGGAAAGAACACCACATGAAGGGAGCACACTGTGGGACAAAAGAATGTGAACAGCAGCCCCTGAATCCCAGATCTTCCCTCTGACATAGTTAACCAAAATGAGAAGGAGCCAGAAAAACAATTCTGGTAACATGACAAAACAATGTTCTTCAACACCCTCAAAAGATTATACCAGCTCACCAGCAGTGGGTCCAAACCAAGACAAAATCTCTGACTTGCCGGAAAAAGAATTCAGAAGGTCGATTGTTATGCTAATGAAGATCGCACCACAGAAAGGTGAAATCCAGGTTAAGAAATAAAAAACAAGACACAGGATATGAAAGGAAAAATTTTCAGTGAAATAGAGAGCGTAAATAAAAAACAATCACAACTTCTGGAAATCAACAACATATTAGAGAAATGCAAAATGCACTGGAAAGTCTCAGCAATAGAATTGAACAAGCAGAAGAAAGAACTTCAGAGCTTGAAGACAAGGCTTTTGAATTAACCCAATTCATCCAAGACACAGAAAAAAAGAATTTTAAAAAATGAACAAGGACTTCAAGAAGTTTGGGTCTATGTTAAATGTCCAAACCTAAGAATAATTGGTGTTCCCGAGGAAGAAGAGAAATCTAAAAGTTTGGGAAATATACGTGAAGGAATAATCCAGGAAAACTTCCCCAGCCTTTCTAGAGCTCTAGCTATCCAAATACAAGAAACTCAAAGAACACCTGGGAAATTCATTGCAAAAAGATCATCACCTAGGCACATAGTCATCAGGTTACCTAAAGTAAAGACAAAGGAAGGAATCTTAAGAGCTGTGAGGCAAAAGCATCAGATAACCTGTAAAGGAAACCCTATCAGATTAACAGCAGATTTATCAGCAGAAACCCTACAAGCTAGAAGAGTTTGGGGTACTATTTTTAGCCTCCTTAAACAAAACAATTATTAGCCAAGAATTTTGTATCCAGTGAAACTAAGCTTCATAAATGAAGGAAAGATACAGTGTTTTCCAGACAAAGAAATGCTGAGAGAATTCACCACTACCAAGCTAGCACTAAAAGAACTGCTAAAAGGAGCTCTGAATCTTGAAACCAACCTTCCAAATACACCAAAATAGAACCTCCTTAAAGCATAAATCTCACAGGACCTATACAAAAAACACAATGAAAAGAAAAAAAACAAGTTATTCAGGCAACAAATAGCACAATAAATATAGCATGATAAGTAGAATAGTACCTCATACCTCAATGCTAACATTGAATGTAAATGGCCTAAATGCTCCACTTAAAAAATACAGAATGGCAGAACAGATAAGAATTCACCAACCAAGTTTCTGCTGTCTTCAGGAGACTCACCTAACACATAAGGACTCACATAAACTTAAAAAAAAAAAAAAAGTAAAGGGCTGGAAAAAGATATCCCATGCAAATGGACACCAAAAGCAAGCAGGAGTAGCTATTCTTATATCAGACAAAACAAATTTTAAAGCAACACAGTTAAAGAAAACAAAGAAGGACATTATATAATGATAAAAGTACTAGTCCAAGAGGAAAATATCAAAATTCTAAATATATATGCACCTAACACTGGAGCTCCCAAATTTATAAAACAATTACTACTAGACATGAGAAATGAGATAGACAATAAGACAATAATAGTGGAGGACTTCAATACTCCACTGACAGCACTAGACAGGTCATCAAGACAGAAAGTCAACAAAGGAACAATGGACTTAAACTATACCCTAAAACGAATGGACTTAACAGATATTTACAGAACATCCTACCCAACAACTGTGGAATATACATTCTATTTACCAGCACATGGAACATTCTCCAAGATAGACCATATGATAGACCACAAAACAAGTCTCAGTAAATGTAAGAAAATCATCAAAATTATACCAAGTAATCTCAGACCACAGTGAAAAAAAATTGGAAATCAACTCCAAAAGGCACCCTCAAAACCATGCAAATACATGGAAATTAAATAACCTGCTCCTGAACGATCATTGGGTCAACAATGAAATCAAGATGGAAATTAAACCATTCTTTGAACTGAACAATAATAGTGACACAACCTATGAAAACCTCTGGGATACAGCAAAAGTGATGCTAAGAGGAAAGTTCGTAGCATTAAATGCCTACATCAAAAAGTCTGAAAGAGCACAAGCGGACAATCTAAGGTCATGCCTCATGGAACTGGGGAAAAAAAAACAACCTGAACCCAAACCCAGGAGAAGAAAAGAAATAACAAAGGAGAGAAGATTCAAATAAGCTCAATTAGAAACAAAACGGGAAATATTACAACTGATACTACACAAATACAAAAGATTACTCAAGGCTACTGTAAACACCTTATGCACATAAACTAGAAAACCTAGAGGAGATGGATAAATTCCTGGAAATATACAACCCTCCTAGACTAAACAAGGAAGATATAGAATCTCTGAACAGATCAATAACAAGCAACAAGATTAAAATTGTAATTTTAAAAATTGCCAAAAAAAAGTCCAGGACCAGATGGATTTATAGCTGAATTCTATCAGACATTGAAAGAATTGGCACCAATTCTATTGACACTATTTCAAAAGACAGAGAAAGAGGGAATCCTCCCTAAATCATTTTATGAAGCCAATATCACCCTAATACCAAAAACCAGGAAACAACATAACAAAAAAAAGGAAAACTACAGATCAATATCCCTGATGAACATAGATGCTAAAATCCTCAACAAAATACTAGCTATTCAAATCCAACAGCATATCGAAAAGATAATCCACCATGTCAAGTGGGTTTCATACCAGGGATGCAGGGATGGTTTAACATACATAAGTCAATAAATATGAAACATGATATAAATAGAATTAAAAAACAAAAATCACATGATCATATCAAAAGATTCAGAAAAAGCATTTGACAAAATCCAGTACCCCTTTATGACTAAAATCCTCAGCAAAATTGGCATAAAAGGGACATATCTTAAGGTAATAAAAGCCATCTATGACAAACCCACAGCCAACATTATATTGAATGGGTAAAAGTTGAAAGCATTCCCGCTGAGAACTGGAACAAGACAAGGATGCCCACTGTAACCATTTCTATTCAGCAAGTCCTAGCAAGAGCAATCAGACAAGAGAAAGAAATAATGGGCATCCAAATCGATAAAGAGGAAGTCAAACTGTCACTGTTTACTGATGATATAATTGTATACCCCAAAAACCCTAAAAACTCATCCAAAAAGCTCCTAGCATAGGTAAATGAATTCAGGAAAGTTTCAGGATACAAAATTAATGTACAAAAATCAGTAGCTCTGCTACACACCAACAGCGACCAAGCTGAGAATCAAATCAAGAACTCAACCCCTTTCACAATAGCTGAAAAAATACCCAGAATACTTAGGAATATCCCTAACCAAGGACGTGAAAGACCTCTACAAGGAAAACTACAAAACACTGCTGAAAGAAATCATAGATAACACAAACAAATGGAAACACATTCCATGCTCTTGGACGGGTAGAATTAATATTGTGAAAATGATCATACTGACAAAAGCAATCTACAAACTCAATGTCATTCCCATCAAAATACCACAATCATTCTTCGCAGAACTAGAAAAATCAATGCTAAAATTCATATGGAACCAAAAAACAGCCCACATAGCCAAAGCAAGACTAAGCAAAAAGAACAAATCCGGAGGCATCACATTACCTGACTTCAAAATTTACTATAAGGCCATAGTCACCAAAACAGCATGGTACCGGTATAAAAATAGGAACATAGACCAATGGAACAGAATAGAGAATCCAGAAATAAACCCAAAGACTTACAACCAACTGATTTTCAACAAAACAAACAAAAACATAAAGTGGGGAAAGGACGCTCTATTCAACAAACGGTGCTGGAATAATTGGAAGGCCACATGCAGAATTGAAACTGGATCCTCATCTCCCACCTTATACAAAAATCAACTCAAGATGGATCAAAGACTTAAATCTAAGACCTGAAACCATAAATATTCTAGAAGATAACATCGGAAAAACTCCTCCAGACATTGGCTTAGTCAAAGATTCATGACCAAGAACCCAAAAGCAAATGCACCATAAACAATGATAAATAGATGGGACTTAATTAAACTAAAAAGCTTCTGCACAGCAAAAGAAATAATCAGCAGAGTTAACAGGCAACTCACAGAGTGGCAGAAAATCTTCACAATCTATACATCCTACAAGGACTAATATCCAGAATCTACAAAGAACACAAACAAATCAGCAAGAGAAAAACAAATAGTCCCATCAAAAAGGGGGCATGAATAGACAATTCTCAAAGAAGATATGCAAATGGCCAACAAGCATATGGAAAAAATGCTCAACATCACTAATTTTCAGGGAAATGCAAATCAAAACCACTATGGGATACCACCTCACTCCTGCAAGGATGGCCATAATAAAAAATATAATAGATGTTGGCCTGGATGCAGTGAAAATGGAGCACTTTTACACTGTTGTTGGGAATGTAAACTAGTACAACCACTACGGAAAACAGTGGAAATTCCTTAAAGAACTAAAAGTAGATCTACCATTTTATACAGCAATCCCACTACTAGGTATCTACCCAAAGGAAAATAAGTCATTATATGAGAAAGATACTTGAATACACATGTTTATAGTAGCACAATTTGCAATTGTAAAAATATGGAACCAGCCCAAATGCACATCAATCAATGAGTGGATAAAGAAAATGTGATATATGTAACCATGGAATATACATCATGGAGTACTACTCAGCCATAAAAAGGGATGAAATAATGGTATTCACAGCAACCTGGATGGAAGTGGAGACTATTATTTTAAGTAAAGTAACTCAGGAATGGAAAACCAAACATCATATGTTTTCACTCTTAAGTGGGAGCTAAGCCATGTGGACACAAAGGCCTAAGAATGATACATTAGACTTTGGGGACTCGGGGGAAGTGGTCTGGGGTGGCAAGGGATAAAAGACTACACATTGGGTACAGTGTACACTTATTGAGTGATGGGTGCACCAAAACCTCTGAAATCACCACTAAAGAACTTATTCATGTAACCAAACGTCACCTGTTTCTCTAAAACCTATTGAAATAAAAATAATGAAAATAATAAAATAAAAATGAACCATACAGAGGATGGAAGGCATAGAGATAATCATTGCACCTAAAGAAGAGGCAGAGCAAATGGAAAAGAATCAAGAAGTAAAGATACAAAGAAGAAAGCTTTCCTGAGATGAATAATGGCTTAAGTCAGCAGACGGAAAGGCTCACTAGACACCAGACTAAATTTACTTTCAAGTGACTAATTTCTAAACACATACAGATGATATTTTTTTAACTTATGCAAATAAAGTAAAAAATCTTATAGGTATCCAGACGTGTTTTTATTTTTTCAAAAAGCTATTTGTCCACAAACAAAATCAGCCTTATCTCAGCTTTCTCCCCTGTGAAACTGTGAATATGAATGGACTACATGTTGACTCTAAGACACACATGTAAAACCAAGTGATTCAGAAATACTAAAAGTAAATGAATAGATAATAATGAACCAAGCAAATACAAATAAAATGAAATCTGAGTTGTCAAAATTAACATACAAGGCAAAAAGTAGAATCCAAAGCAAGACACAGGGTGGGGAACATCATACATCGGGGCCTGTAGTGGGGTGGGGGGAGGGGGGAGGGATAGCATGAGAAGATATACCTAATGTAAATGACGAGTTAATGGGTGCAGCACACGAACATGGCACATGTATACATATGTAACAAACCTGCACGTTGTGCACATGTACCCTAGAGCTTAAAGTATAATTAAAAAAAAAGAAAAAGATAAAGAAATAATGTTTATTTAAAATTGTTTCATGATTCTGATTCTCATAGTTATCAAATAATATAACTATTATAACTAACTAAATAATATAACTCATAACTATTATTTGTTAACATAGCTAACAAATAATAATGTGTCAAATAATATAAGACTGAAATAGGTAAATAGTAATCAAAATATAAAATGCATTTTATTTATATTGATAACCAAAAACAAAATATATTTTAGCCAAAAACAGTTTAGAAACATCTATGGAGAAAAGTACAAATTTTAAGTGGAAAATACAAAAAAATCATAAAAAGAAAAATTATTTTCCACAATGAAAAGACCTTGTATTAAAAACATGTTAATTCTTCCCAGACATGTAAATTTGATGCAATTCAAATCCAAAGCACATGAATAATTTTTGAGCCTTCACAACATGTTTTTGAAGTTTACATTAAAAAAAGGATGAATTTGCACTACTATACAATGAATCAGATTACATGATTTTGACAACAGAAAGAGCAGAAATAGACATATCAATGAAACAAACTGGAAAGCCCAAGAGGGTGAACCAGCATATTTAAATATTTGGTATATAATAACAGCGGCGTTAAAATGTATTTGGGATAGATTATTTAATTATGGTGATGCCATAAATGATGAACATTTTCTAAAAATATAAGGTTAGATTTACATATTGCAAAATGAAGTGATTTCAGGAAAATTTTGCTTATCTGCTGTTTGGATAAGAAGACTTTTCTAAATCTTTACATGAAGAAAGAAACCACATGGATAAAACATGACAGATTTAATCACATAAAATTTAAAACATTGCTATGTCAACTAACACCATAAACAAAATTAAAAGGCAAGTAACAAATAAGAAAATATTCACAACACATACCAAAAGAAGATAATATATATTATATATAATTTAACATATATTGTTATCTCACAAATCAGTAAGGAAGAATAGTATACATCAATAAACACATGAGAAATGGAAATAAACATTTCGTAAAGTAGAAACACACGAAACAAAACACAAATTAAAACAAGACCAACTTGAGAGCTGAAAATCGGTAGCATAATGATTGGATTATATTACCCTGTAATTGTGAGAGTAGTGAAATAGGCACTTACGCAATTATTCTAATGCTAAATGATGAGTTAATGGGTGCAGCACACCAACATGGCACATGTATACATATGTAACAAACCTGCCCATTGTGTACATGTACCCTAAAACTTAAAGTATAATAATAAAATTAAAAAAAAGAAATATAAATTGCACAATATTTTTGAAAGGCAAGTTGTTATATGTACCCACCACCCCAAAAAAGGGCAAAAATGTGTTTATCTTTGGGCCCGCAGTGCAATTCCTAGGAATTTATGAAGAAGAAATAATGAGACATTCTTAAAAGAGTTATGCTATAATGGTAGTAATAATAATCCTCAATATTTATTGAGAGCTTGTAATATACTAGGCACGGTGCTAGGCATGATCTCTTTAATGTCCGTGACAAACTTATAAGGTTGTTAATATTTGCAGTTCCATTTCACAGATGAACAGCTTGAGGGTTAGATAAGTTAAGTGACTTGTCAAGATCACAATGCCAGTCAGTGAGCGACAAATCCAGGATTCAAACGCAGACCCATGTAATTCCAGAGCCTGAACTTTTGAACTATCCCCCTATTGTTGTAAATAATTTAGTACTTAATAAATTATGATTTATGCATATGAAATAATGCCATATGGCCTTTAAAGTTATAGTGCATATTAGGTAATAACAGGAATATGCTCATAATTTACTGTTAAGTGAAAATGTTTTACATTTTAGAGCACATATTTTAAAATGTATACCATTCTAACTATACAATAACAAATAATGCCTATATTTTTGCCTTTGGATAATAATGGAAAAAGTAGACAAGACCAAGCTTGCTCTGTTCATTTTTCACACTACAGTGGGCTCATGCTTCTGACACAATGCAGGCAGCTGAGATCACACCCACTGTGAGCAGGCAGCTGAGATCATTGGTAGTGGCTTCCTTGGAATCCCCATGTATCCATGTATTCTGAAAGCAGTCTCTTGACATCCTTTACCAGAGACTTTACAGTGGTTATGTAAGCTTTTAATTCCCTGAATTATTCTCTCTCTGTATCTCCATGTATGTATGTAAAATATTCAGAGTGATTTCTGCTTTTTTGAATGGACACTGATTAATACAGGATTTAGTATTAGGAGATGGTGATAAACACCTGCTAAGTGATACCAAAGGCACCATAATCTCCTGAAAGGGATTTTACATTGTTGTATAGAATAACGTTCAGTTTTTCCTTAAGTTTCTCATTAGCAGTACCTCTGTGTTTCACTAATAACAGGTCTGTACTAACACCTATAAAGAAAAAAATGTACTAGTGCTAATCGACCCTATGAACTTAAACAAAATAATAATCCACTCAGAAGAGATGTACCTGGACAGAGGTGTTGAATTTGAGTGTCTTCAAGACCCTGCTAAGAAGGGCAATTGGTTTTACTCCACTGAAGTTTGCAATAAATAGAACTGGTTTATTTCTTATAATAATTAATCATTGTTATTATTTATAGAAAACGTATTAAAATGAAATTAAATTGAATGTCAGATTAAGCAGAATTCAAACTGTGTCAAGTTTAAAGCATAGAATAAAGGGCCAAAAGAGAACAGCAGTGTGAGATTGTAATAATAATAATACCTTGGATTTATATAGCTCTCATCCTCCCACAAGCGCAATGTGAATGTGAACAGCATATATAAGTAGAGGAAGAAGTAAATGCAGTTTGGGTTTCTCAAGTCTGGATTTAAAAAGCTCTGACGGAAGAGACTAGCAAATGGAAAATCAAAATCTTAAGACCAATTTGAAAAAGCTCCTCATGGAAACACATATTTCAAATATTTGTTTGCCATTCCTGTTAAAGGGGCAGGATTCTCAAAATAAAGCTGAGATTTGTATGTCAGAGATGGGAATCAAAATAAATGAACAAATAAAAGATAACATATTAGTGTAATCATCCCTCAGGTATGATAATTAAAATGTGAGCTCGTCCATAAAATTTTCCTAAATTGCCTCAGCTACAAGTGATCTCTGAACTCCTGAAGAGTTTCACATCAGTTTCATGGGCGACAAACTACAAACTTCACACAGTTCACCTTGTAATAGAATTATTTATGTCTATTTCCTAGATCTCTCACCAGACCACTAGTTCTCAAACATAGTGTTCTTTAGAATCACTGTAAAAATGCATTTAAGAACTAGATTTGGGTGCCTTATTCTCAGAGATTCTGATTCAGGGAGTCTTGGATGGGCCCAGGAACATGCATTTTTATATGCTCTTCTGGTAGTCTGGTATGGATACTTCATGTCTAGACTGTAACTCCTTTGAGGGCAGGGACCTTGCTCCATGTCACAACATCATCCATCACATCATTCATATCATTGAAGCATTTTATACAATGCTATGCGTATAATAGCTTGCTCAGTAAGTATTCATACAATGTATGAATAAACGTGAAATAACTAAATGTACAAGGTTATCTATGTAAAGGATAAAAGAGCTGGGTGTGGTGGCTCACACCTGTAATCCTAGCACTTTGGGAGGCCAAGGCAGGAGAATTGCTTGAAGCCAGAAAAGTTAGACCAGCAGGGGAAACATAATGAGACTCCCTCTCTCCCTGAAAAACAAAAACAAAAACAAAAACACTTTTTAAATAGCCAGGAGTGGTGGTATGCACCTGTAGTGCCAGCCACTGAGGAGGCCAAGGCAGAAGGATTGTTTGAGCCCAGGAGTTCTAGGCTGCAATGAACTATGATGGTGCCACTGCACTGCAGCCTGGGAGACAGAGTGAGACTCTGTCCCAATACATAAATAAATAAATAAATAAATAAATAAATAAATAAATAAGCAATATACTCTTCACATACTGTATTCACAGAAAGATAATCCTATATGGAAGTTTTCCTGTAGGCAACTTCCTACAGGATTCTGAAGAAAAAGAATTCTGAAGAAAAAGAGGGTATTTATAACAGGAAAACAAAAGGCAGGGAAGGCAGAAGAACAAATAATAATATAGAGGTAAAAATATATGGGATATGTTTAGGAAATAGTCATTAGAAATTCCTATGTCTATATTTCTTCCTTTTTTAAAGTCAGAAGTTACAGGTCCCCTTTAATTTAATACATGATCAACAGGTTTTCACTCTGCTCTTCTCCTATAAAAACCTACTGATTTGCCTTATAATAATGTCCCAAGTGTCTTCATTTTAAAAATTCAAATTCCTTGGCATGAGAGACACAGCCCTTCACGACCCAGTCCTTCCGTATATTTATCCTCCCAAATACACACATGTGTATGCATGTTTGTGTACATATGCATGTACACAGACACACACACACACACACACATACACTCAATTACCTGCTTTTGAATTTCACTAAACTGCCTGCAGTTCTTAAAGATATAGTGGCTCTGTGCTTTTTCTCCTCCCATACACTACCTCGTAGCCATAGTAACTCTTCGCTTCAAAACTAAAATCAGGATCACATCATCTAAGACCTATTCTTTGACCACACATCAAGGTTCCTCCCAGCACTGGATTAAAGTTCTTCCTCGATGCTGCCATAGCTTTCTGTGCAACCTCAATAGTATCACATGTTACATTGTATTATAATTTAATCCAACTTTTTTTCTACAAATTTATTTTCCTACACGAACACAGAAAAATACGGTAGAATATCTACAACTTGAACAATCCTCTCTGTGGTAGGAAGACCTTCATTGCCCCCAGTAATGCCCATTTCCTGGTATTTGTGCCTTTGTGTGATCCCTTACCCTTGAATGTGGGATGATTTATGGGCTTTTTGTAATGAGTAGAATACAGCAGAAGTTATAGGATTCCACTTTCAAGACTAGGTTATAAAAAGACTGTGGCTTCCATCTTGGGTATTCTCACATATTCTCTCTCTCCTTTCCAGTTGACGTGTTTTGAGAACACTTAGGTCCATGTGATGAGAAACCAAGGCCTGCCAGCAATCACATAAATGAGCTTGGAAGCCAATCTTTTCAGTCCAGGCAACATCTTTGTGAAATTAGAAGCAAATTCTCTAGTCCATGTCAAGTCTTGATATGATTACTGCTCTAACCAATGACTTGGCTGTAACCTTATAAGAGACCTCCAATACAATTTTGAATACAAGTGGCAAGAGTAGACACCCTTGTCTTGTTCTTGATCTCGGAAGGAAAGTATTCAGTCTTTCACTATCAAGTACGGATTTACCTGTGGGCTTTTCACAGATACGCTTTATCACATTCAGAAAATGTCCTTCTATCCTCATTAGATGAATGTTTTTTACCCATGAAAGGGTGTTGAATTTTGTCAAACACCTTTCTGCATCTACTGAGATAATCATGAGGGTTTTGTTTTTAGTTTATTGATATGACGTTTTACATTAATTGATTTTTGGATGTTAAACTTTTCGTTGCTGGGACAAATTCCATGTGATCATGTATGTAATTCTGTTTATATGTAGCTGTATTCAGTTTCCTAGCATCTTATTGATTTTTGCATCAACATTTATTAAGAGATATTGGTCTATAGTTTTCTTGTGATATCTTTGGCTGGTTTTGGTACCAGGATAACACTGGCCTCATATAATGAATTTGGAGTTATTCCCACCTGTTCTACTCTATTGGAAAAGTTTGTAAGAATTAATAATAATTCTTCGTTAAACTGTTGGTAGAATTCAGCAGTAAAGCCTCCTGGGTCTGGGCTTTTATGTGTAAGTAGTTTTTGACAACTAATTTAATGTTCTTGTTATATGTTATATATCTATTTGAGTCTTTTTCTTAGTCAATCTAGCTAAAGTTATGTCAACTTTGTTGATCTTTCAAAGAACCAATTTTTTTATATTATTGATTTTCTCTACTGTTTTTCTATCCAAATTTTATTAATTCCTGATCTAATATTTATTATTTATCTCATTATGCTTGCTTTAGATTTAGTTTGCTCTTCTTTTTACTATTTGAAGTAATTTTCTTAGCCCAATATAGCTTTGCTCCCACCCACTTCCTTTGTGCTGTCATTCGCAAATATATTCCATTTCTGTATATTATAGGCCCAAAGAAACACATTATACAACTATTGTTTTATGCATTTTTTAATTGGTTAAGAGAAGAAATGTGCATTTATTGTATATTCTATAATTACATAATTACCTAATCGTGTTCTTTATTTCTTCCTGTGGATTCAAATTACTGTCTGGAGTCATTTTCTTCAGCCTGGAGAGTTTCCTTTACTTCTTCTATTGAGGTGAGGCCTGTATGCTAGCAACAAATTGTCTCAGTTTTTGTTTATGTAGTAATGTCTTTATTTCACCTTCATTTTTGAAAGATAGCTTACTGAATATTGAAATCTTGGTTAACAGTTTGTTTTTCTTTGTGTACTTCAAATATGTTATCTCAATGCCCTCTGGCCTTTAAAGTTTATGACGACAAGTCAGCTTTTAAACTTATTGGGGTTTCCTTGTATATGACAAGTCAATTTATTTTATTTATTTATTTATTTTTTGCTGTTTTAAAGATTTTATCCTTGCCCTCACCTTTCAGCTTATTACTGTGATGTGTCTGTTTGTGGATCTCTGCATTTATTTTACTTGGAATTTATTAAGTTTCCTGGATGTATAGTTAATTTTTTTAAATAATATTAAATACATATGGGGAGTTTTCAGCCATTATTTCTTCAAATTGTTTTGTTCCTTTCCCTCGGTCCCCTTTTTCTGGCACTACCATTATGTTTATGTGGCTCTGTTTAATAGTGTCCCATATTTCTCTGAGTCTCTTTTTCTTTATTTTTTTCATATGTTTTTCAGATTATATAATCTATATTGGTTTATCTTTAAGTTCATTAATTCTTTTTTTCTGGCAGCTTCAAATACACTGCGGGTCAAATACTAGAGGATGAGCAACTCTTGTGAATTTTTATTTTAGTTATTGTACTTTTCAGCATTAGAATTTCCACTTGTTTCATTCATATAATTTTTATCTCTGTATTGATATTCTCTATTTAATATGAGATTGTCATATTTTCCATTACTTCTTTTCTCATTTTTTTAGTTCTTTGAATATATTCATAATCACTATTTTGAAGTCGTTGTCTGTTAAACCTGGTACCTGGTCACTCTCACATTTTCTGTTGCCTGCCTTTTCTCTGGTATATGAGCCCTACTTCCTTGTTTTATTGTATGTCTCATAGTTTTGTTGGAAAGTGGACATTTTAGATAATGCATTGTAGGAATTCTGGGTACTGCCTCCCCCAGGTCTTGGTATTTTAATTTGTTTGTTTATTTGTTTAGGGACTAACTGGATTATTTTAGTGACACCCCTATCATCTCTATCTTTCCAGAGAATAGTAAGCTTCTGATGTTGCTCTCAGGTGGCACAGCTTTGAGTATATCCACATTTACCCTAGGATGACAGTAGTTTTGTCAGGGCTCTATTTGACTGTTTCTTTCTCTGATCAAACCCAGCTATTTGATTGACTCAACTCCACTAATTGCCTATTGATTGCTCTATTGCTTTCGTCACTGCCCTGGGACACAAATTGTTCCAAAGACTAATTTAATAAAATTTGGGCTCTCATTGAAGAGATAGTTTCTGAAATCATTGTTTGAGATTTGTACTAACCCAAGGAAAGCTCCTCCCAGCTGTCTCTTTCACCAGTTCTCCCCAGCAAAGTAGTCAGCCTACGGCTTTGCCTATATCACTAATGAGTGTACCAATCAACTCCCAGTTGTTTCTCACAATTTCATCTGTTTCTGAAAACACCCTTTAAATTTCAGTCTCTTTCTCAAATGAAGTCAGTTCAATTCTTTTGAGAAGAAATTACGAGCTATCTGTTTTTAGGGCCTGTTTTACCTCCAGGAAAAGTTACTGAGCCATGATTCTGGAGCTGACTGTAGGGACAATTGCATGCTTCTTTCTCAGTGACACCCCCCATACACACAACACACACACACACACACACACACACACACACACACACTCTTTAGGAGCTGAGTGCTTGGTGTAGGGGCCAGACAGTAGCCTCTGAATTTTTCAGCTTTCCACTCCCAGCATGCAACCACCATTTTATGAGCTGATAGAAGCGCAATCAGGGCCCCAGCATTCTCAGTGACATTTCACCAAAATAGAGCTTCTGTTCTATCAGTGAGAGCTGGACAGAAGGGACACCTCAGCTTTCAACTCTGCTCACCAGTACATAATCTCACCAATAGGAAGCTAAAGACAAAATGAAAAATGCTCACGGGAAGACAGTCCACCAACTAGGAGCTGGTGAGAGAGCCCCGTGTTATTGGTTGCACCAGTCTGGAGTGGAGTCTCCACTGGGAGACTCAGGTTGGGGTGGGGAGATAGCAGGGTATTGGCTGAAATACCACAGACTCTTGCTGATTTTATTGAGTTTTAGTAGACTTTCTTAAATAAACATTTTTTTCATATGCTGTATGCCCTTAGAACAATTTCCAGAAACTTTAAATGGTTTTTAAAATAATTTTCACTAGCTCTTTGAAGAGCAGGTCCACAGAGCTCTTTACTATTATACCAGAAATAAGTAGAATCCCTCCCTCTTTCCTTATATAGACAAAGAAAACCTAACTCAGCCTGGAGCAGGCTCAGGATAAATAATACCATATAAATTGAGTATTACTTTATGGTATCTCCTGAGAGAGATCCTTTTTTATGGAAAAAAAAAAGTTACAAAGAAGAACTGAGGTCCTTGCATAAACAGAGTGTAAAAAATATCATGGAGAGTGGGGTTGGGGGAACAGCTTGACTCTTCTTAGGTCAAAGAGGCTATGCTTACATTACTTGTCCATTCATTTGGGAAAAAATAACAAATATTTCTTTCCCAGCAACAAAAATAATTCCCATATTTCCCAGAAAACACTGGGTTTCTACAATTATTATTCTCAAAATTTCCAGACACCATAATAGTTTAAAGATTAAATGAGCTTCTCGACTTTGAAATGTAGTCTGAAATTCCCGAAATATTTATTGGGAAACTACTACTTGTAGACAACTATCATTAAACATTCTGTGAAAATAAAAATGAAGTCAAAGGCAGGAAGAACGTGTGAGATAGTAGGAGACAAGAGGGATACTCTTGAAACAGTCAGAAAAATCATTTTTAAACAGTATTAATAAATTCAAGCAATATACCACTCTATAAATGGTATGGCAGGTGTGAAAAGTATGTTCTGAGCATGGCAATTTAGTGAGGGAAGGCCTCTAAGAGGAGGCATGTTCTGATGTGGGTCTTGAATGAGGCAACACAGATTAAGGTTAACATGGTTAAAAAATTAAAACTAACATTTATATGGCAGCCAAAAAAATCTAATCCTAATTTATCTGTCTGCATTCATGTTTATTTGCAGAAGAGTGATACATTGCTTTATTACAGAATAAATAGTAATTTAGATACATTTTAAAATTTTGAAAACAAAGAAAATGAAATGATGGTTTTATTAAGTTACAGGCAGTTTTTCAAATAAACACAGTGATACATTCTTCCTATCCTGGTTATTTACAAGCCAGTAACTTCAGTGTATAAATTTTGCTTAATGACACTTGCCAGATATTTAATTATTGAATGTTACATAAAATATGTAGACATTTGTACTTTTAAAAGCTTAAAATCCTGTCAACAGCCACATTTACATTATGCCCCTCCCCTCCTTTTAAGTCAGAAACTATAGATCCACCTCAGTTTAGTTCATGATGTACAGGTTTTCACAGCTAACAAATAAACAAACAGGAACACATACTCTAAGTGCCTAACAACATCCCAGCAATGTTACAAGATTCCAACAGGTGCAATTTACTGCACAATGAAATTGTGAAAGTTATCAAAGATGAAAGATTTTATTTTTATAATAATGAAAGAGAGAGCAAAATGGGTTATTTAGGTCCCTGTCTTCATGGAGCCTTAACTACAGTTTGAAGTATGAGTAATTCAATTAATTGGTCCAAAATAACACTCAAAATGCATGTTAAACTTCTTTTTCTCCAATCCACATTCACCTCATCCACCAGTACAAACTAACTTCCATCAGAGTATAGTGATGAAGAGCGTGGTCTCTGGAGCCATATAGACCTCAGTTCAAATCCCAGATTTGCCATTTGGTGGCTGTATAAACTTAGGCAATTTATTTAGCCACTCTCTATTGTAGCTCCCCCATATGTAAAATGGGAACATTAAGATATGTTTAATGAGTTTAAGTGGACTAAGTGAGTTATACATAAATAACATACTGTTTATGTACAGTGCCAAGCACACGATGAATGTTCAGTAAACTAGCATGAGGCACTTGATAAACATTTGGTGACTAGATTGAATACATCTAACTGCCCAGACAGATACTTAACTCAAAAAAAAGATGTAAGTGTTCTTTAGAACAGAGTTAAGTGGATGAGAACTGTGGTATTCATTCAGTCAGGTGAGAATTATACCAGACTGAGATTACTGGGCAACCTGCAGGGCTCCACAACCAGTTAATCACAGGTAGTCACAACATGGTCATTGTAAGAACTTCTGCATCATGTTTTTTTTATGACACACAAGCATTTGTAATTTAAGTACCCTAAAGACCCCTGCTTGTAGCCTCCTTGTAGCCCCATCATAGTTGGCAGCACCATCATAATCTGACCTTCACCCTCTGCTCAGAAAACCTCTCCCTGCCCCAACCTAATCCTGTTTCTGGGATAATGAATTAGGGGTTCCACAATGGAAGGTTTTTGGGGTTTTCCGTTTGTTTGTTTGTTTTTGGCGGAGTCTTGCTGTATTGCCCAGGCTGGAGTGCAGTGGCGCAATCTCAGCTCACTGCAACCTCTGCCTCCCGGGTTCAAGCGATTATCCTGCTTCAGCCTCCCTAGTAGCTGGGATTACAGGTGCACACCACCACACCTAAGATTTGTATTTTTTAGTAGAGATGCGGTTTCGCCATGTTGGTCAGGCTGGTCTCGAACTCCTGACCTCAGGTGATCGGCCCGCCTCTGCCTCCCAAAGTGCTGGCATTACAGGCGTGAGCCACCATGCCTGGCCTGAAGGGTTTTTTTTTTTTTTTTAAGATTTTTAAAAATTAAGATAAAATTCATATAACATAAAATTCATCACTTTACCTATCTCAAAGCCTACAAGTCAGTGCTCTTTAGCATAATCGAAATATTGTGCAACCATCACCAATTTCTAATTCTTGAGCATCTTCATCACCCCAAAAATAAACCTCAGGCCTGTTAAGCACTCACTACCAATTCCCCACTACCCCAGGCCATGGGAAGCATTAATCTGACAGAAAGTGAAGGGGTAGCAGGCACATCACATGGTGAAAGCAAGAGAAAGCCAGAGAGAGAGTGAGAAGGAAGGTGTCACACATTTTTAAATGACTAGATCTTACGAGAACTCACTCACTATCCTGAAGACAACACCAAGCCGTGAGGAATCCTCCCCAGTGACCCAGACACCTCCCACCAGGTCCCACCTCCATCATTGGGGATTACAATTTAACATGAGATTTGGGCGGGACAAATATTCAAACTACATCAATCTCTATATCAACTCTTATGCAAAAACCACACTATTTTGATTACTACAACTTTATTTAATTATTGAAAAGTATGCATCTTCCTGTTTTGTTTTTCCTTCTCAATATTATTTTTGGTACTTTTTGTCCCTTGCAATTCCATATGAATTTTGGGATAAACTTACCAATTTCCACAAAGAAAAGGCAGTAGGATATTTAACAGGAATTGCATTGACTCTGAGGATAAATGTGGGGGAGCATTAACATCTTCCAATCTATGAACACAGCATGTCTTTGCATATTCTAAGGTCTTCCTTAATTACTTTTCACAATGTTTTATAGTTTTCAGCATTTATGTTTCCCCCCCCCTTGGTTAAATTTATTCCTAATTATTTAATTCTTTTAGATCCTCTTATAAATGAAATTGCTCTCCATAATTTTATTTTTGGAATTTTTATTGCTAGTATGTGGAAATACAGCTGATTTTTTTGTAAATTGATTTTGTTTTCTATAACTCTACTGAAATTTTATTAGCCCTAGGAGTTTTATTTTGTTGTTGTTCTATTTTTTGTGTGTGTGGTTCCATTAGGGTTTCCTATATATAAGATCATATCAACTAAAATAGATGTAGTTTTACTTTTTTCCTTTCTAATATGCACATTTTTAATTTATCTTTCTTGCCTAATTGTCCTTAAATTTCCAGTATAATGTTGAATAGAAGTGGTGAGAGCAGACAGCATTGCTTTTTTTTCTGATTTTAAAGAAAAGGTGTTCAGTATCATGTTAACTGTAGATTTGTCATAGGTGCCTTTCATCATTTTGCATAATCTCCCTTCTATTCCTAGTTTGTTGCATATTATTATCATAAAAGGATGTTGGATTTTGTCAACTTTTCTTCAGCTAATGAGATGATCATGTACTGTTTTTCTTTCATTCTATTAAAATAATATATTACATTGATTAAAATTTATATATTGAACCAACCTTTCACCTTTTGCATAAAACCCATCTGGTTATATTATATCTTTCTTAAATGATGCTGAATTTGCTTTGCTACTATTTTGTTGAAAAATTTTGCATTTTTATTCATAAGAACTATTCATCTGGGGACTGATGTCAGAAAGATGGCAAAATTAGAAGCCCTGGCATCTCCCTTTCTTCCATGGACACACTGATTTAATGACAATAAATTGACCGATACCCTTTGAGAAATCTAGAAACCAGTTTAGAGGCCCTATACCCTGAGCAAGTGTGAAACCATCCACATCAAAGCCAATAGGAAAATATGAAACAACTTCTTGTTATAATCCCTTCCCTAAGTCCAATGCCATATAATCAAGAGGAAACCTCGAACTCCCACCTTCTCACAGGGGATAAAATGAAAAGAGTGGACCATCTATCTAATGCTCTTATTTTTCTGGTGGTTATCCATGGGACAGGCTTCAGTACTGCCAGCCTCAGAGTATAAATAGGACCTGGCATACTCTAGATACCTGGGGGCTTCTGAACACACACCAAAAAATGTGTTCAGGGCATGTTGTGACCCCAGAAGTCCCATGGTACTCCAGGTAGATACCAAAAGGAGCAAGACATTATGTACTACTGAGGAAGGAAGGAAGGAAGGAAGGAAGGAAGGAAGGAAGGAAGGAAGGAAGGAAAAAGAAAAGAAAAGAAAAAGAAATCATCACCAAATTCTTCTAACTGGGAATTTACATACTCAAGTCCAGAGGAAACTCATATGCAGACAATGTTTGAGAGGTCCCCAGAACCTCTGGTCAGGAGTATTTATGAAAGTTTTTTTTTTTATGTAAGGACTGGGAAAGGCAGCTATTTTTTCTGATGAGCAGATGATAACACAATGAAGGAGAAGGAAAAAACAGGTAAACATTTCTCAACAAAAAGAACAAAATAAAGCTTCAAAAATCAACCCTAGTGAAATAGAATATACAAAGAGAATCCAAAATAACTTTCATAAAGATGCTCCACAAACTCAGGAGGAAAAGGAATGAACAAAGTGAAGATTTTAACAAAGAATATAAAATTTAGAAAAAGAGCCAAATAAAAATTAGAAGCTGAAGAAAACAATAGCTAAGCTGAAAAATTCACTAAAGGGGTTCAACAGCAGACTAGATCAAGCATAAGAAAGAATCTGTGAATACAAAGAGGGGTCATTTGAAATTATAAGTCAGAGGAGCAAAAAGAAAAATAATACATAAGAATAAAGAAAGCTTAAGGGACTAATGGAACACAATCAAATTGATCAATATATTCAGTAGGGAAGTCCCAGAAGGAGAATATACAAAGGTCCATAAAGCTTATTCAAATAAATAATGGCTGAAAACTTTCCAAATATGGAGAATGAAAAGAACATCTAGATCCACGAAGACCAATATAACCCCAATGAAGATGAACCAAACAAGTACATGCTGAGACACACTACACTCAAATTGTCAAAAGTAAAAAATAGAGAGAATTTTGAAAGTAGCAAGAGAAAAGTAACTTCTCATGTGTAGGAAATTTCCATAAAACTATCAGTAGAATTCTCAGCAGAAATCTTGCAGACCAGAAAGAATATGAGATAATATTTTCAAAGGACTGGAAGGAAAAAAAATACCTCTGTCAACCAAGAACACTATACTTGGCAAAACTGTCCTTCAAAAATGAAGGAAAACAGAAAAATTTTCTCAGACAAACAAAAGCAGAGGGAGTTTGTCTCCACTAGACCTGTCTTAACAAGGAATCCTAAAAGAAGCTCTTCAGATTAAGGCAAAGAAAAGCTAAAGAGAAACACAGAGAACATATTGAAAGTGGTTAAATAACTACAAAAATATGTTAAGGAATACACAATATAAATAGTTGTTATTTATAACACTAATAGCATAAAGCATGATAGGAGAAGAAGTAAAAGTGTACAGCTGTCATATGTAACTTAACTTGTAAGCAGCTTTAACTAGGATGTTATCACTTTAAGATTTTTTATTTAAGCCACATGGTAATGCCCAAAAAATACCTATAAAAGATGCATGTCTTAGTCAATTTGGGTGGCAATAGCAAAGTACCATAGATTAGGTAGCTTATAAACAATAGAAATTTATTTCTCAGAGTTTTGGAAGCTGGAAGTCTGACATCAGGGTGCCAGCATCATTAGATTCTGGCTAGGGCCCTTTCCCTGTTTGCAAACTGTTGTTGTTGTTGTTGCTGCTGCTGCTGCTGCTGCTGTTGTTGTTTTGTATCCTCACATGGCAAAAAGGGGAAAGAAAGCTCCCTGAGGTCCCTTTTATAAGATCACTACTCCATTCATGAGGTTTCCACCCTAATGACCTAATTACCACCCAAGGGTCCCACCTCCTAATACTACCATATTGGGGGTTAGGATTTCAACATATGAATTTGGCAGAGATGTAGCATTCAGTTCATTGTAATACATAAAACAGAAAGAGAAAGAAATAAAATCACATCACTATTAAATAATCAAGGAAATACAAAGGAAGACAGCATGAGAGGAAACAGGGACAAAAGAACTGCAAGATAGACAGAAAAATTGCAATAGTATAGTCCTTCACTATTACTATTTGTTTTAAATGTAAATGGATTAAACTCTATAATTAAAAGACATAGGGTTGCTGAATGGATAAAACACAAGATCCAACTACATGCTGCCTGCAAGACTCTCACTTTAGCCTTAAGGAGACGCAATGACTAAAAGTGAGGGGATGGAAAAGATAGCCCATAAAATAATAACCAAAATAGAGCAGAGGTGGCTGTATTTATAGCAGACAAAATAGACTTTAAGTCAAAAATTGTCCCAAAAGACCAAAAAGAACACTGTATAATGATAAAGGTGTCAATTCACCAGGAAGGTATGACAGTTATATATGCCCTCATCATCAAAGCACCTAAATATATAAAGCAAGTATTGAAGAACTAAAGGAAGAAATAAACAGCAATACAGTAATACTTAGAGACTTCAATACTCCATTTTTCAAAACTAAATAGGACATCCAGACAGAAAATAAAGAAAACAGTTGACCTGAACAACACTACAGACCAAATGGACATAACAGACATATACAGAACATTCTTTCCAACAACAGCAGAAAAGACATTCTTATAAAGCACACAGGAAAGACCAAATATTCTCCAAGACATATTGGATGTTAGGACCCCCCAAAAAGTCTTAATAAACTAAAAAGTTTGAATCATACCAAGTGTCTTTTCCAACCACAACAGAATGGCATTAAATATCAATAGCAGCAGGAAAACTGAAAAAATTCACATATATGTGGAAAACAAACAATACATTCATGAGCAATCAATGGGTCAAAGAAGAAATAAAAAATGAATTTAGAAAATATCTTGAGACACACAAATATAAAAACACAACATATCAAAACCTGTAAGATGCAACAAAGGCAGTACTAAGAGAGAAGTTTATAGCAATAAATGCCTACATCAATAAAAAAGATCTCACTTTACACCTCAAAGAATTAGAAAAAGGAAAAAAAAAACCCAAATTTAGCAGAAGGAAGGAAACAATAGCAACTAGGGCAGAAATAAATAAAATAGAGAATAGAAAAACAATAAAAGAAACAAGCCAAACTAAAAATTGTTGTAAAGATAAATATTATTGACAAGTTTTTACCTAGACTAACAATAAAAAAGAAAATTCAAATAAAATTAGAAACAAAAGAGTACACATTACAACTCATGCCACAGAAATCAAAAGAATCACAAGAGACCACAGTGAACAATTCTATACCAAAAACCTAGAAGTGGATAAATTCTTAGAAACACACAAACTACGAAAGCTGAATAATAAAGAAATAGAAAACCTGAACAGACCTATAGCTAGTAAGGAGATTGAATTAGTAACTAAAAGCCTCCCAACCAAAAAAATAAAAACCCAGGATCAGATGGCTTCACTGATGAATTCTACCAAACATTTAAAGAAGAGTTAATGCCAATCCTTTTCAAACTCTTACAAAAACTTGAAGAGAAAGGACTATGTCCAAATTTATTTTGAGTCTAGCATTACCCCGATATTAAAGCAAGACGATGACACTACAAGAAAAGAAAACTGCAGATCAAAATCCTTGATGAAAACAGAAGCAAAAATCCTCAATAAGATACTAGCAAACCAATTCAACAGTTCATTCAAAGGATTATATGCAACAACTAAGAGGAAGTTATCCATGGGATACAATGATGTTTCAATATAAAAAAAATCAATTAATGTGATACATCGCATTCACTGAATAAAGGATAAAAATCACATGGTTATCTTAACAGACATAGAAAAGTCATTTGAAAAATTCAACACTTTCATAATAACAACTCTCATTAAACTAGGAGAGAGAAATTATGTCTACAAAAATAAAAAGCCCACAGCTAACATCTTAATGGCAAAAAGCTGAAAGCTTTTCATCTAAGTTCAGAAACAAGGCAAGAATGTCCACTCTCACCACTTCTACTCAACATAGTACTGGAATTCCTAGCCCGAACAATGAGGCAGGAAAACAAAATAAAAAGCATCCAAATGAGAAGGAAAAAAGTAAAATTATTTTTGCATATGACATAACCTCTTATGTAGAAAACCCCAAAGATTCCACAAAATAAAACTGTTAGGACTAATAAACAAATTTAGTAAAGTTGGAAGATACAAAATCAGTATACAAAAGTCAGTGGCTTTGCTATACACTAACAATGAACTATCAAAAAAGGAAATTAGAAATGAGATCCCAATATAAGATAATCAAAAGGAATAAAGTACTTAGAACCAAACTTAACCAAAGAGGTGAAAGACTTGTACACTGAAAAATACAGAACACTAATAAAAGAAATTTTAAAAGACACAAATAAATAGAAAGACATATCATGTTCATAGATTGGAAGACTTAATATTTTCTATCCTACCCAGAAGTGACCAAAAGATTCAATGCAATCACTCTGAAAATCCCACTTTTTTTTTAAAGAAATAGAAAAAAAATTTCAACATTTATATGTAACCACAAAGGACCATGAAAAGCCAAAGTAATATTGAGAATAAAGGTGAAAGCATCACAATTCTCGATTACAAAATATATTATGAAGCAATAGTAATTAAAACAGTATAGTACGGGCAAAAAGACAGACAAAAAGACCAATGGACCAGAATAGACAATTCAGAAATAAACATATGCATATGTGGTTAACTGATCTTCGAGAATTTCAGGAATACATAATGGAGAAAGAATAGCCTCTTCAACAAATGGTCCTTGGGAAGCCAGATATTATTTACACATAAAATAATAAAATTAGGAGGTGGCCAATTTAGTGTGTGCAGCTCTTAGGAAGAGGAATAGAAGGGGCAAGTGAACACATCACATTCAACTGAAACATCCAGGTATTCACATTGGGACTCATCAAGGAAACGATCCATGGAGAATGGAGAAAAGCAAGGCAGGACAACGGCCCACCAAGGAGTGACACAAGGGAACCTACCCCACCCAGGAAAGTGGTGAGTGAATCTGCAACTCCAGGAACCCATGCTTCTCCCATAGATCTTTGCAACCCTTGGGTCAGGAGATCCCCTCGTGAACCCACTCTACCAGAATTTTCAGTCTGACACACAAAGCTACCTCGAGTCTCAACAGAGCAACTGCTGAGGCATGTGTGGAGAGTCGGGAGCCTTAGATACTTGGGCTCTCTAGGCTTCCCAGCAAAAGCAGCTGCAACTCTGACAAAGTTGAAGGTTAGACCTCCGTACATACCCCTAGGAAAAAGGCTGAATGCAGGGGGTTGAGCAGTGACAGTCTGCAGGCCCTACTTCCATGACATCTCACAGGATAAGACCTCATGGCTTGGAATTCTAGCCAGCCACCAGTAGCAGTGTTGCACATCCCTGGGATGGAGCTCCTAGGGGGTGGGGCAGACCGCCATCTTTGCTGTTTGGGCTACTTAGCCATTCCAGCTTTCAGACTTTGGAGAGTCCCCGATCCCATTCCTCCTTATTGTTGGGTGGGACCTCCCAATCAGGGACTCTAGCCACCCCTGGCAGTGTTCTCCACCCAATAGAGATTTGAAGTCTCCCTGGGATATAGGTCCCAGAGGGAGGGGCAGGCCACCATCTTTGCTGTTTGGTTGGCTTAGCCATTCCAGCCTTTGGGCTTTGGAAAGTCCAAGCCAACCGGGGGCAGAAGCGGTACCCCAGCACAGCACAGCTGCTCTACAAAAACATGGCCAGACTGCCTTTTTAAGCAGGTCCCCTATCTCGTTCCTCATCACCAGTTGGGGCCTCCCAACTGGGGTCTCCAGCTACCCCCACCAGTGTTCTCTGGCAAACAGAAGTTTCAAGACTCCTTAGGACAGAGCTCCCAGAGGGAGGGGCAGGCTGCCATCTTTGCTGTTTGGGCAACTTAGCTGTTCCAGCCTTCAGGCTTTGGAGAGTCCAGGCTGACCAGGGATGGAGGTGATCCCCCAGTATAGCACAGCTGCTTTTGAAAATGTGGCCAGACTGCTTTATAAAGTGGGTCTCCAATCCTGTTTCTCTTTACTGGGCAGGACCTCCCAACCAGGGTCCCCAGCCACCCCCGCCAGTGATCTGTGGCTAACAGAGATTTGAAACCCACCTGGGACAGAGCTCTCGGAGAGGTGGGCCACCATCTTTGCTGTTTGGGTGACATCTATTCTGGCCTTCAGAATTTGGAAAATCCAATATGATCAGGGGCTGAGGCAGATCCCCAGCACAGCACAGGTACCCTACAAAAATGTGGCCAGACTGCTTTTTTAAGCAGATCCCAGTCCCATTCCTCATCACCGGCTGGGGCCTCCCAACCAGGGTCTGGATCCAGATACCCCTGCCAGTGTTCTCTGACTGACAGAGGTTTTAAACCTCCCTGAAGTGGAGCTCCCAAGGGAGGGGTGGGCCACCATATTTGCTGTTTTGGTAACTTAGCTATTCTGGCCTTAGTGCTTTGGAGTGTCTGAGGTGACTGGGGGCTGAAGCAGACCCCCAGCACAGCACAGCTGCTGTATGAAAACATGGCCAGACAACTTTTTTAAGTGGGTCCCCAATCCCGTTACTCCTCACTGGGCAGGACCTCCTAATCAGTTCTCTAGCCACATCCTACAGGTGTGTTTGGGCTGGTAACAGGTCTGTACCTCCCTGGAGAAGCTTCCAGTGGGAGGAGGAGACTGTCATCTTTGCCGTATCACAGCCTTCACTGGAGATACCTCTAGGTACTGGAATATCCAAGGTGCCTAGGGACTGGAGTGGGCCCCAAGCATACCGCAGCAGCCTTACAGAAAAGTGGCCGGACTGTTATGTATGCCTGTTCTTATATCTCTTCACTGTGTAGGTCCTCCAGGCCTAGGCTTCCATCTACCCCCTGCTAGAGCAATCGAGCCGGTAGCAGCTCGGTAACTCCCTGGACAGAGTCTCCAGATGCAACTGAAAGCCTCTGTGGCACTGTCTTTACAATGGAACTGCCCTTGGTACCTTCAGACTAATGAAGCAACAACGACTGTCAGTGCTTTATTCACACCTCCAACACACTGTAGTCGACCCAAGGAAAGAAGGCTAGTCCCTCTCCTGTGGGTCCCACACACCCCCGACTGCTTGTCACAGACAGGGAACCCCTGGCTTGGGCCCACAAAACAGACCCTCCATCCTGGGCTGATTGATCGCACTGAGTGATTGCTGACCTGCCTGTCTCTGGGGTGGAGCCTCCAGGAGACAAGCAAAAGACCCTTGGCCACAACCACTACTAAGGTCCCTTCCTCTGATGTCTCCAAGTGGGGAAGAAACATAAACACTGAAATCACCCCAGAGGTGCAGTGGGCAGCCCAGGAGTGCCAAGTCCTGAACTACAGCCAGAACTCAAGTGAAGAGGAACCCACACATTTAGAGCATTGAGAGGGACCACAGATGCAACTGCAAGGATACATAGGGGAGCCACACAACTGAGCAAGAATCTACCAACTGACCAATAAGTGCCACCTACTGGATCACACGCCAAAGCTTCAACACCAAAAATAACTCACTAACATTTCCCCACCTGAAACCAGAGACCAGATGTTAGCTTCAAATAAAGATGCTGCACAAAGTCTCAGCCCAGTGAAAACATCCAGAAAAGAAGACTACTGACTGTGCTCAATCTACACTGCAGTTAAACAAACACATAATTGCAGAGATGAGAAAGAACCAAGAACTCTGGTAACTCAAATGGCCAGAGTTTCATGTATCCTCCTAACAACTGTACCAGTCCTCTAAAAAGAGTTCTTAACCAGGCTGAACTGACTAGAATGACAGAAATATAATTCAGAATCTGGATAGGAACAAAGATCATCAAGATTCAGGAGGATGGCAAAACCCAATACAGGGAAAATAAAATTCACAAGTGATGCAGGAGCTGAAGGACAAAATAGCCAGTTTTTTAAAAAAGAGCCTAACAGGTCTGATGGAACTGAATAACACAATACAAGAATTTCACAATATAATCACAAGTATTAGCAGCAGAATAAACCAAACTGATGAAAGAATCTTAAAACTTGAAGACTGGTTCTCTGAAATAAGACAATCAGACAAAAATAAAGAAAAAATGAATGAACAAAACCTCTGAGAAGTATGAGATTATGTAAAGAGGCAAAATCCACCAATTATTGGCGTCCCTGAAAGGGAGGGGGAGAAAGAAAACAACTTGGAAAATATATTTCAGGATATTGCCCATGAAAACTTCCCCAACCTTGCTAGAGAGGCCAACAGTCAAATTCAGGAAATACAGAGAACTCCTGCAAGATTATACACAAAAAGATTATCCCCAAGATACGCAATCATCAGATTTTCCAAGGCTAAAATAAAAGAAAGAATGTTAAAGGCAGCTAGAGAGAAAGGGCAGGTCACCTACAAAGGGAGCACCATCAGGCTAACAGCAGATCTCTCAGCTGAAACCTTACATGCCAGAAGAGATTAGGGACCTATATTCAACATTCTTAAAGAAAAAAAATCAACCAAGAATTTCATATCAAGCCAAACTAAGCTTCCCAAGCAAAGGAGAAATAAGATTATTTTCGTATAAGTAAATGTGGAGGGAGGGAGTTCATTACCACCAGACCTGCCTTACAAGAAATCTTGAGAGGAGCACTAAATATAGAAAGAAAAGACTTCTACCAGCTAATTCAAAAACAAACTTAAACACATAGGTGTCATTATAAAGCAACCACACAAACAAGCAAATATAATAACCAGCTAACAACACAATGACAGGATCAAATCCACACATATCAATATTAACCTTGAATGTAAACAGGCCAAATGCCCCATTTGAAAGGCACAGAGTGGCAAGTTGGATTAAAATGCAAACTGTAAATACTCCACTGACAATACTAGGCAGATCATTGAGGCAGAAAATTAACAAATATATTCAGGACTTAAACTCAGTATTGGACCAAATGGATCTGATAGACCTCTACAGAATTTTCCACCCCAAAACAGTAATGGCATGCTGTCTTCAAGTGACCCATCTCACACAAAATGACACCCATGAGATCCAAACAAAGGGATGGAGGAAAATATACCAAGCAAATTGAGAACAAAAAAAGCAGGGGTTGCAATCATAATTTCATACAAACAAACTTCAAACCAACAATCAAAAAAAGACAAAGAAGGGCATTACATAATGGTGAAGGGTTCAGTCCAAAAGAAGATCTAACTAACCTAAATATATATGCACCTAACACAGAAGCACCCAGATTCATAAAGCAACTTCTTAGAGACCTACAATGTGACATATACTCCCACATGATAATAGTGGGAGACATCAACACTCCACTGACAGTATTGGACATATTATTGAGGCAGAAAAGTAACATATATACAGTACCTAAACTCAATATTGGACCAAATGGATCTGATAGACATCTACAGAACTCACCACATGGCACGTACTCTAAAATTGACCACATGATGGGACATAAAACAATCCTCAGCAAATGCAAAAGAACCAAGATCATACCAAACACACTCTCAGATCAGTGTGTGATCACTCTCAGATCATAAAAATAGAAGTCAAGACTAAGAAAATAATGCAATTACATGGAAATTAAACAATATGCTTCTGAATGACTTTGGGGTAAATAATGAAATTAAGGCAAAAATCAAGGAGTTCTTTGAAACTAATGAGAACAAAGATACAAAATACCAGACTCTCTGGGACACAGGTAAGACTGTGTTAAGAGGGAAATTCATAGCACTAAATGCCCACATTAAAAAACTTTGAAAGATCTGCAATTAACAAGCTAACATCACAACTGAAAGAATTAGAGAAGCAAGAAAAAATCAACCCCAAAGCTAACAGAAAATAAGAAATAACTAATTTTAGAGCTGAACTGAAGGACACTGAGACACACACAAAAAAAATTCATAATATCAATGAATCCAGGAGTTTTTTTTTTTTTTTGAAAACATTAGAAAGAAAGGAGAGAAGGTTCAAACAAACACAATTAGAAAAGATGAAGGGATTCATCTGACCCAA
This sequence comes from Homo sapiens, assembly GCF_000001405.40. Classification (NCBI taxonomy): domain Eukaryota; kingdom Metazoa; phylum Chordata; class Mammalia; order Primates; family Hominidae; genus Homo; species Homo sapiens. The sequence goes on from NC_000023.11 coordinate 122,910,129, forward strand.
CACTATGACAAACTCACAGCCAACATTATACTGAATGGGCAAAAGCTGAAAATATTTCCCATGAAAACCGGCATAAGACAAGAATGTCCTCTCTTACCACTCCTATTAAACACAGTATTGGAAATCCTAGCCAGAGCAATCAGGCAAGAGAAAGAAGTAAAGGGCATGCAAATAGGAAGAAAGGAAGTCAAGTTGTCTCTGATTACAGACAACATGATTCTATGTCTAGAAAACCCCATAGTCTTGGCCCCAAAGCTCCTTCAGCTGATAAACAACTTCAGCAAAGTTTCAGGATACAAAATCAGTGTACAAAAATCACTAGCATTTCTATATACCAAGAACAGTCATGCTGAGAGCCAAATCAGGAAGGCAATCTCATTCACAATTTCCATTAAAAAAATAAAATATCTGGGAATAATGCTAACCAGGGAGGTGAAAGATCCCTACAATGATAATTACAAAACACTGCTCAAAGAAATCATAGAAGACACAAACAAATAGAAAAACATCCTATGCTCATGGATAGAAAAAATCAATGTCATTAATATGGCCATACTGCCCAAAGCAATTTACAGATTTAATGCTATTCCTATCAAACTACTATTGACATTCTTCACATAACTAGAAGAAAATATTTTAAAATTCATGTGGAACATAAAAATATCCTGAATAGCTGAGAAAATCCTAAGCAAAAAGCACAAAGTTGGAGGCATCATGTTACCTGGCTTCAAACTATACTGCAGAGCTACAGTAAACAAAACAGCATGGTACTGATATGAAAACAGACATATAGACCAATCGAACGGAATAGAGAGCCCAGAAATAAGACTACACACCTACAACTATCTGATCTTCAACAAACCTGACAAAAACAAGCAATAGGGAAAAGACTCCCTATTCAATAAGTGGTGCTTGGATAACTTACTAGCCATATGCAGAAGACTAAAGCTGAACCCCTTTCTTACACCATATATAAAAATCACCTCAAGGTGGATTAAAGGCTTAAATGTAAAACCAAAACTATTAAAACCCTGGAAGACAACCTAGGTAGTACCATCCTGGACATAGGAACAAGCAAAGATTTTATGACAAAGACACCAAAAGCAATCTCAACAAAAGCAAGAATTGACAAGTGGAATCTAATTAAACTTAACAGCTTCTGCAGAGCAAAAGAAACTGTCAACAGAGTAAACAATCAACCTACAGAATGGAAGAAAATACTTGCAAACTATACATCTGACAAAGGTCTAATATTCAGCATCTACAAGGAACTTAAATTTACAAGAGAAAAACAAACAACCCTATTAAAAGGTGGGCAACCCTATTAAAAAGTGAGCAAAAGAACAGACACTTTTCAAAATAAGATACACATGCAACCAACAAACGTATAAAGAAAGCTCAACATCACCTATCACTGGAGAAATGCAAATCAAAACCACAATGAGATACCATCTCATACCAGTCAGAATGGCTACTACTAAAAAGTCAAAAAATAATGGATGCTGGCAAGGTTGCAGAGAAAAGGAAACACTTATACACTGTTGGTGGGAGTGTAAACTATTTCAACCATTGTGGAAAGCAGTATAGCGATTCCTCAAAGAGCTAAAAGCAGAACTATCATTTGACCCAGCAATCCCATTACTGGGTATATATCCAGAGGACTATAAATCATTCTACCATAAAGACTTATGCACGCAAATATTTATTGCAGCACTGCTCACAATAGCAAAGACATGGAATCAATCTAAATGCCAATCAATGACAGATCAGAGAAATAAAATATGGCACATATACACCATGGGGTACTATGCAGCCATAAAAAAGAATGAGATCTTGTCTTTTGTGGGAATATGGATGGAGCTGGAGGCTATTATCCTCAGCAAACTAATGCAGAAACAGAAAACCAAATACTACGTGTTCTCACTTATAAGTGGGAACTAAATGATGAGAACTTATTAACACACAAAAAAGGAAACAACAGACATTGCAGTCTACTTGAGGGTGGAGGGTGGGAGGAGGGAGACGAGCAGAATTCCTGGGTGATTAAATAATCTGTACAACAAATCCCCATGGTGTAATTTTACTTATGTAACAAACCCTTCTATGTGCCCCCAAACCTAAAATAAAAGCTTAAAGATTATATATAGCCAAAAAAGAATAAAATTGGACTCTTATCTTACACCATGCACAAATATCAACTCAAATAAATTAAAGACTCAAATGTAAGACACAGAACTATAAAACACCTAGAAGAAGACAGGGAAAGCCACTTAATACTGGATTTGGCAAGGATTTTATGAATATAACACCAAAATCACAGGACATAAAGCAAAAATAGACAAGTAGGAATACATCACATTTTCTGCACAGAAAAGGAAACAATCAACAGAGTGACATGGCAAATTATGAAATGTGAGAAAATATTTGCAAATTATATCTCAGATAAAGGGTTAATTTCCAAAATATATAAGGAATTCCTACAATTTTATGGCCAAAAACATAACCTATTGGAAAATGGGCAAAGTACTCAAGATTTTTCCAAAGGAGACATACAAATGGGAAATATATATATATGAAAAGTTGCTCAGTATCACTAGTCATCAGGAAGAAAAAACAAATGCAAATGACAATGAGGTATCATCTCACACCTGTTAGGATACCGAATATTAATTTAAAAAAGAGATAACAAGAGTTCCCAGCAATGTGGGGAAAGGGGAATTCTCATACACTATTGGTAGGAATGTAAATTAGTCAGGCATTATGGAAAACAGTACGGAGGTTCCTCAAGAAATTAAAGATGGAACTACCATATAATCCAACAATCCCACTTCTGGGCACTTACTGGAAAGAACTGAAATCAGGATCTCAAAGAGATATCTGCACTTCCATATTCACTCTAGCATTATTCACGGTAGCCAACGTCCAGAAACACTAAAATATCCATTAACAAATGAGTAGCTAAAGAAAATGTGGTATATACATACAATGGAATATTACTCTGCCTTAAGGAAGTAATACTTTCATATGTGACAACATGAATGTACCAGAAGGACATTATGATAAGTGAAATAAATCAGTCACAGAAGGACACATACTGCATGATTTCAGTTATATAAGGTAGATAAAGTAATCGAGCTCTAGAAACAGAGAGTAAAATGGTGATTGACAGGGGCTGAGTGGAGGAGGAAATGAGAAGTTGCTCTTCAATGAGTATAAACTTTCAGTTCCACAAGATGAATCAAGTTCTAGAAGTCTACTGTACAACCTCATCAGCTACTGGGAGGCTACTGTGTATTTTTGGTGGTATTATGTTGCCTTAATTTTTCATGTTTCTTGTTGTATTATGTTGATGTGTGTGCATTTGAGGAAGTAGGGACTTATTACAGTCTTTTCAGAATTGCTTTGTCTGGGGAAAGCCCTTCACCAGTCAGCCCACCCAGAGATTTTGGGCAGCCTGTCTGACACCGTCTGAGGGTAAGCTTGTTGCTGGAGTCCTTGGGCAAGCTGTCTTTGTGCTTGGCTCTGCGGGGTTGGGTCTAAAGTCTGTATTCACTGGGGTGGACCTGTTGATTTGATTGGTGGAGATGGGCCTAAAGCCTAGGTCAACAGGGGCTTACCTGGTGCTAGGGCCAGTCTTGAGTATGAGTCTACAGGCGCTAGTTGTGTGCTGGGATGGGCCTGACACTTGGGTCTACTGGGAAGGGCCTGCAGCCTAAGCCCATGGAAACTTGCCTGGTGCTGGGTTGGGCCTGGTGCCTGGAACCACTGGGTAAGGCCTGGAGCCTGAGTTCATGGGGATTGGTCTGCTGGAGCTTAGGACCCCAGGGCCTGGCCTAAAGCCTGGGGCCAGCCTGGTCCTGGGGCCAATGTGGTGCCTGGGTCCATGAAGCCTGGTTGGAGCCTAGGATCACAGGTGCTGGCCTGGTGCCTGGGGCCACTGGGGCTAGCCTGGACCTTGGGACCATGGGGACCTACCTAAAGCCTGTGTCTGGTGGTGTTGGCCTGTATATTGGGTGTGCAGGTGCTGGTCTAGATGCTAGATTTTTGAGGGCTGGCCTGGGTCTTGGGGCATTAGGAGCCAGTCTGGATCCTGGTACACAAGGGTAGTCCTGGAGCCTGTGTCCACGAGGGATGGTCCAGTGCTGGGGCCTACTGGGACAGGCATGGACCCTGAGTCTTCTGGTGCATGAGGCAACAGGAGCTAGCCTGGCATAGGCAGACCTAGAGACTGTATCCACAGGTGTCCGTCAGGTGTTCGAGGCCACGGGTGCCAATCTGGTGCTGGTGTGGTCCTGAAGCCTAAAGCTGGATGGGGCTGGCTTGGTGCCGGGTGGGCCTGAATCCTGTATCTGCAGAGGCTGGCCTGATGACTGGGCAGTCAGCTTGGTGATGTGTGCAGTCTGGAGTCTGGGGTCACCAAATCTGACATGGCTTTTGGCCAAACCTGGATCCTGATTCAATGGGGGTTGGCTTTGCACTAGGGCAGGACTGAAGCGCAGGGATGTTCTAGATCTGGGGCTATTTGGGGTTTTCCTGGTACTGGGGCAGGCCCAGAGACCAAGTCTTCCAAGCAGACCTAGAGCTTGGGGCTGTGCAATCTTGCCTGCACTGGAGCAAACTTGGAGGCTGTCGACTGGGTCCATCTTGGAGCCTCGGTCCATGGGTGCTAGCCTAATGACTAGGGTTGCAGGAGTCAGCCTGGTGCTGGCATAGGCCTGAAGTCTCTACCAGGAGAAGCCAGCCTGGTGCCGGGGGCAATCTGGAGCCTAATGATGACAATCTTACTCCACTCAAGTGGAGATTTTTATTTTTTTATTGTTTGCATTCCCTCTTTTTTATTTGTTTTGGTTGAAACATAATAATTGTACCTATTTATGGGATATTGAATAATATTTTGATACACCTATACAATGTGTAATGATCAAATCATGGTAATTAGCATATCTATTACCTTTAACATTTATCATTTCTTTGTGTTGGAACATCCAAAATCTCCCTTCTGGCTTTTTGAAAATATACAATAAATTATTGCCAACCATATTCACCCTAAAGTGTAACAGAACACTAGATTTTATTCCTTCCATCTAGTGGTAATTTTGTATCCATTAACCAAACCCTCCCTTCCTAGTTTCTAATAACCAGAATTCTACTCTCTGCTTCTTTGAGATCAATTTTTTTAGCTGCCACATATGAGTGAGAACATGGTGGTATTTATCCTTCTGTGTCTGTTTATTTCACTTAACATAATGTCTTCCATGCTCATTCATTTTGCCATGAATGACAGAATTTCCTTTTTAAAAAAATTTCTATTTTTTTAATCTCTTTTACTTTAAGTTCTGAGATACACGTGCAGAACGTGCAGGTTTGTTACATAGGTATATATGTGCCATGGTGGTTTACTGCACCTATCAACCCATCACCTAGGTTTTAAGCCCAGCATGCATTAAATATTTGTCCTGATGCACACCCTCCCCTTGCCCCCACACTCCAACAGGCCCCGGTGTGTGTTATTCCCCTCCCTGTGTCCATGTGTTCTTATTGTTCAACTCCCACTTATGAGTGAGAACATGTGGTGTTTGGTTTTCTGTTCCTGTGTTAGTTTGCTGAGGATGATGTCTTCCAGCTTCATCCATGTCCCTGCAAAGGACATGATCTCATTCCTTTTTGTAATCCATAGTATATCATGGTGTATATGTACCACATTTTCTTTATCCAGTCTAGTATTAGTGGGCATTTGTGTTGGTTCCATATCTTTGCTATTGTGAATAGTGCTGCAATAAACATAAGTGTGCATGTATCTTTATAATAGAATGGTTTATATTCCTTTGGGTATATCCAGTAATGGGACTGCTGGGTCAAATGGTATTTCTGGTTCTAGATCCTTGAGGAATCACCACACTGTCTTCCACAATGGTTGAAATAGTTTATATTCTCACCAACAATGTAAAAGTGTTCCTATTCCTCCACAGCCTCACCAGCATCTGTTGTTTCTTGACTTTTTAATAATTGCCATTCTCGCGAGGCTTGGGGAGGGGCGCCCACCATTGCTGAGTCCTGAGTAGGTAAACAAAGCTGCCTGGAGTCTTGAACTGGGTGGAGCCCACCGTAGCTCAAGGAGGCCTGCCTGTCTCTGTAGACTCCACCTCTGGGGGCAGGGCATAGCCAAACAAAAGGCAGCAGAAACCTCTGCAGACTTAATGTCCCTGTCTGACAGCTTGGAAGAGAGTAGTGGTTCTCCCAACACAGAGCTGGAGATCTGAGAATGGACAGACTGCCTCCTCAAGTGGGTACCTGACCCCCGAGTAGCCTAACTGGGAGGCACCCCCCAGTAGGGGCACACTGACACCTCACATGGCCAGGGTCTGGAGTGGACCTCCAGCAAACTCCAACAGACCTGCAGCTGAGGGTCCTGACTGTTAGAAGGAAAACTAACAAACAGAAAGGACATCCACACCAAAAACCCATCTGTACATCACCATCATCAAAGACCAAAGGTAGATAAAACCACAAAGATGGGGAAAAAACAGAGCAGAAAAACTGAAAATTCTAAAAATCAGAGTGCCACTCCTCCTCCAACGGAACGCAGCTCCTCACCAGCAATGGAATAAAGCTGGATGGAAAATGACTTTGACAAGTTGAGAGAAGAAGGCTACAGATGATCAAACTTCTCTGAGCTAAAGGAGGAAGTTTGAACCCAATGCAAAGAAGTTAAAAACCTTGAAAAAAGATGAGACAAATGGCTAACTAGAATAACCAATGCAGAGAAGTCCTTAAAGGACCTGATGGAGCTGAAAACCATGGCACGAGAACTACATGACAAATGCACAAGCTTCAGTAGCCGATTCAATCAACTGGAAGAAAGGGTATCAGTGATGGAAGATTAAATGAATGAAATGAAGCGAGAAGAGAAGTTTAGAGAAAAAAAGAATAAAAAGAAATGAACAAAGCCTCCAAGAAATATAGGACAATGTGAAAAGACCAAATCTACGTCTGAATGGTATACCTGAAAGTGACGGGGAGAATGGAACCAAGTTGGAAAACACTCTGCAGGACATTATCCAGGACAACTTCCTCAACCTAGCAAGGCAGGCCAATATTCAAATTCAGGAAATACAGAGAATGCCACAAAGATACTCCTCGAGAAGAGCAACTCCAAGACACATAATTGTCAGTTTCACCAAAGTTGAAATGAAGGAAAAAATGTTAAGGGCAGCCAGAGAGAAAGGTCGGGTTACCCACAAAGGGAAGCCCGTCAGACTAACAGCGGATCTCTTGGCAGAAACTCTACAAGCCAGAAGAGAGTGGGGGCCAATATTCAACATTCTTAAAGAAGAGAATTTTCAACCCAGAATTTCATATCCAGCCAAACTAAGCTTCATAAGTGAAGGAGAAATAAAATACTTTACAGACAAGCAAATGCTGAGAGATTTTGTCACCACCTAGCCTACCCTACAAGAGCTCCTGAAGGAAACACTAAACATGGAAAGGAACAACCGGTACCAGCCACTGCAAACTCATGCCAAATTGTAAAGACCATCGATGCTAGGAAGAAACTGCAACTAATGAGCAAAATAACCAGCTAACATCATAATGACAGGATCAAATTCACACGTAACAATATTAACCTTAAATGTACATGGGCTAAATGCTCCAATTAAAAGACACAGACTGGCAAATTGGATAGAGTCAAGACTCATCAGTGTGCTGTATTCAGGAAACCCATCTCATGTGCAGAGACACATATAGGCTCAAAATAAAGGTATGGAGGAAGATCTACCAAGCAAATGGAAAACAAAAAAAGGCAGGGGTTGCAATCCTAGTCTCTGATAAAACAGACTTTAAACCAACAAAGATCAAAAGAGACAAAGAAGGCCATTACATAATGGTAAAGGGATCAATTCAACAAGAAGAACTAACTATCTTAAATATATATGTACCCAATACAGGAGCACCAAGATTCATAAAGCAAGTCCTTAGAGACCTATGAAGAGACTTAGACTCCCACACAACAATAATGGGAGAATTTAACACCCCACTGTCAACATTAGACAGGTCAGTGAGACAGAAAGTTAACAAGGATACCCAGGAATTGAACTCAGCTCTGCACCAAGCAGACCTAATAGACATCTACAGAACTCTCCACCCCAAATCAACTGAATATACATTCTTCTCAGCACCACACCGCACTTACTCCAAAACTGACCACATAGTTGGAAGTAAAGCACTCCTCAGCAAATGCAAAAGAACAGAAATTATAACAAACTGTCTTTCAGACCACAGTGCAATCAAACTAGAACTCAGGATTAAGAAACTCACTCAAAACCGCCAACTACATGGAAACTGAACAACCTGCTCCTGAATGACTACTGGGTAGATAATTAAATGAAGGCAGAAATAAAGTTCTTTGAAACCAATGTGAAAAAAGACACAACATACCAGAATCTCTGGGACACATTCAAAGTAGTGTGTAGAGGGAAATTTACAGCATTAAATGCCCACAAGAGAAAGCAGGAAAGATCTAAAATTGACACCCTAACATCACAATTAAAAGAACTAGAGAAGCAAGAGCAAACACATTCAAAAGCTAGCAGAAGGCAAGAAATAACTAAGATCAGAGCACAACTGAAGGAGATAGAGACATAAAAAACCCTTCAAAAAATCAATGAATCCAGGAGCTGGTTTTTTGAAAAGATCAACAAAATTCATAGACTGCTAGCAAGACTAATAAAGAAGAAAAGAGAGAAGAATCAAATAGACGCAATAAAAAATGACAAAGGGGATAACACCACTGGAAGCATTCCCTTTGAAAACTGGCACAAGACAGGGATGCCCTCTCTCACCACTCCTATTCAACATAGTGTTGGAAGTTCTGGCCAGGGCAATCAGGCAGGAGAAAGAAAGAAATGGTATTCAATTATGAAAAGAGGAAGTTAAATGGTCCCTGTTTGCAGATGACATGATTGTATATCTATAAAACCCCATCGTCTCAGCCCAAAATCTCCTTAAGCTGATAAGCAACTTCAGCAAAGTCTCAGGATACAAAATCAATGTGGAAAAATCACAAGCATTCCTATACACTAATAACAGACAAACAGAGAGCCATATCATGAGTGAACTCCCATTCACAATTGCTTCAAAGAGAATAAAATACCTAGGAATCCAACTTACAAGGGATGTGAAGGAACTCTTCAAGGAGAACTACAAACCACTGCTCAATGAAATAAAAGAGGATACAAACAAAGGGAAGAACATTCCATGCTCATGGATACGAAGAATCAATATCATGAAAATGGCCATACTGCCCAAGGTAATTTATAGATTCAATGCCATCCCCATCAAGCTACCAATGACTTTCTTCACAGAATTGGGAAAAACTACTTTAAAGTTCATATGGAACCAAAAAAGAGCCCGCATTGCCAAGACAATCCTAAGCCAAAAGAACAAAGCTGGAGGCATCATGCTACCTGACTTCAAACTATACTACAAGATTACAGTAACCAAAACAGCATGATACTGGTACCAAAACAGAGATAGACAAATGGAACAGTACAGAGCCCTCAGAAATAATACCACACATCTACAATTATCTGATCTTTGGCAAACCTGACAAAAACAAGCAATGGGGAAAGGATTCCCTATTCAATAAATGGTGCTGGGAAAACTGGCTAGCCATATGTAGAAAGCTGAAACTGGATCCCTTCCTTACACCTTATACAAAAATTAATTCAAGATGGATTAAAGACTTACATGTTAGACCTAAAACCATAAAAACCCTAGAAGAAAACCTAGGCAATACCATTCAGGACATAGGCATGGGCAAGGGCTTCATGTCTAAAACACCAAAAGCAATGGCAGCAAAAGCCAAAATTGACAAATGGGATCTAATGAAACTAAAGAGCTTCTGCACAGCAAAAGAAACCACCAACAGAGTGAACAGGCAACCTACAGAATGGGAGAAAATTTTTGCAATCTACTCATCTGAGAAAGGGCTAATATCCAGAATCTACAATGAACTCAAACAAATTTACAAGAAAAAACACAAACAACCCCATCAACAAGTGGGTGAAGGACATGAACAGACACTTCTCAAAAGAAGACATTTATGCAGCCAACAGACACATGAAAAAATCCTCATCATCACTGGCCATCAGAGAAATGCAAATCAAAACCACAATGAGATACCATCTCACACCAGTTAGAATGGCGATCACTAAAAAGTCAGGAAACAACAGGTGCTGGAGAGGATGTGGAGAAATAGGAACACTTTTACACTGTTGGTGGGACTGTAAACTAGTTCAACCATTGTGGAAGACAGTGTGGCGACTCCTCAGGGATCTAGAACTAGAAATACCATTTGACCCAGCCATCCCATTACTGGGTATATACCCAAAGGATTATAAATCATGCTGCTATAAAGACACATGCACACGTATGTTTATTGCGGCACTATTCACAATAGCAAACACCTGGAACCAACCCAAATGTCCAACAATGATAGATTGGATTAAGAAAATGTGGCATATATACACCATGGAATACTATGCAGCCATAAAAAATGATGAGTTCGTGTCCTTTGTAGGGACATGGATGAAGCTGGAAACCATCATTCTCGGCAAACTATCACAAGGACAAAAAACCAAACATCGCATGTTCTCACTCATAGGTGGGAATTGAACAATGAGAACACTTGGGCACAGGAAGGGGGACATCACACACTGGGACCTGTTGTGGGGTCTGGGGAGTGGGGAGGGATAGCATTAGGAGATATGCCTAATGTAAATGACAAGTTAATGGGTGCAGCACACCAGCATGGCACATGTATACATATGTAACAAACCTGCACATTGTGCACATGTACCCTAGAACTTAAAGTATATTAATAATAATAATAAAATTTATAAGAATAAAAAAATAAAATAAAAAATAAAAATAATTGCCATTCTGACTGGAATGAGATGGTACCTCATTGTGGTTTTGATTTGCATTCTTCTAATGATCAGTGATGTTGAGCTTTTTATCATATGTTTTGGCCGCATAATGTCTTCTTTTGAGAAGTATCTGTTCATATCCTTTGCCTAATTTTTGATGGGGTTGTTTGTTTTTTTTCTTATAAATTTGTTTAAATTTCTTGTAAATTCTGGATATTAGACCTTTATCTTATGGGTAAATTGCAAAAATTTTCTCCAATTACCTGTAGGTTGCCTGTTCACTCTGATGATAGTTTCTTTTGCTGTGCGGAAGCACTTTAGTTTAATTTGATCTCATTCGTCAATTTTAGCTCTTGTTGCAATTGCTTTTGGTGATTTCATCATAAAATCTTTGCCCCTGGCTATGTCCTGATGGTATTGCCTAGGTTTTCTTCTAGGGTTTTTATGGTTTTGGGTTTTATATTTAAGTATTTAATCCATCTTGACTTAATTTTTGTATATGGTGTGAGGAAGGAGTCCGGTTTCAGTTTTCTGCATATGGCTAGCCAGTTTTTCTAGCACCATTTATTAAATAGGGAATCGAATCCTTTCCCCATTGTTTGTTTTTGTCAGGTCGATTTTTGCTGAAGATCAGATGGTTGTAGATGTGTGGTCTTATTTCTCAGGTCTCTATTCTGTTCCAATGGTCTATATGTCTGTTTTGGTACCAGTACCATGCTGTTTCTGTTACTGTAGCCTTGTAGTATAGTTTGAAGTCAAATAGCATGATGCCTCCAGCTTTGTTCTTTTTGCTTAGGATTGTCTTGGCTATGTGAACTCTTTTTTTGTTCCATGTGAATTTTAAAACAGGTTTTTTCTAATTCTGTGAAGAATGTAAATGGTAGTTTGATGGGAATAGCATTGAATCTATAAACTACTTTAGGCAGTATGGCCATTCTCATGATATTGATTCTTGCTATCCATAAGCATGGAAGGTTTTTCCATTTGTTTGTGTCCTCTCTTTCTACCTTCAGCAGTGGTTTGCAGTTCTCCTTGAAGTGGTCCTTCGTGTCCCTTGTTAGCTGTGTTTCTAGGTATCTTGTTCTATTTGTAGCAATTGTGAATGGGAGTTCATTCATGATTTGACTCTCTGCCTATTTATTGTTGGTGTATGGGAATGCTTGTGATTTTTGCACATTGATTTTGTATCCTGAGACTTCGCTGAAGTTTTTTTATCAGCTTAAGGAGTTTGGTGGCAGAGATAATGGTGCTTTCTAAATATAGGATCATGTCATCTGGAAACAGAGACAATTTGACTTCCTCTCTTTCTATTTGAATACCCTTTATTTTTGTCTCTTGCCTGATTGCCCTGGCCAGAACTTCTAATACTATGTTGAATAGGAGTGGTGACAGAAGCCATCCTTGTCTTGTGCTGGTTTTTAAAGGGAATGCTTCCAGCTATTGCCCATTCAGTATGGTATTGGCTGTGGCCTTGTCACAAATAGCTCTTATTTTGAGATATGTTTCATCAATACCTAGTTTATTGAGAATTTTTAACCTGAAGGGATGTTGAATTTTATCAAAGGTCTTTTCTGCATCTATTGAGATAATCATGTGGGTTTTGTCATTGGTTCTGTTTATTTGATGGATTATATTTATTGATTTGCATACGTCGAACCAGCCCTGCATCCCAGGGATAAAGCTGACTTGATGGTGGTGGATAAGCTTTTGATGTGCTGCTGGATTCGGTTTGTCAGTATTTTTTTGAGGATTTTTGCATCAATGTTCCTGAGGTATATCAACCTGAAGTTTTCTGTGTTTGTTGTGCCTCTGCCAGGTTTTGGTATCAGGATGATGCTGTTCTCATAAAATTAGTTAGGGAGGAGTCCTTCCTTTTCAATTGCTTGGAATCATGTCTGAAGGAATGGTAGCAGCTCCTCTTTGTACCTCTGGTAGAATTCAGCAGTAAATCCATCTGGTCCTGGGATGCTTTTGGTTGGTAGGCTATTTATTACTGCCTCAATTTTGGAACTTGTTATTGGTCTATTCAGAGATTGGACTTCTTCCTGGTTTAGTCTTGTGAGGGTGCATGTGTCCAGGAATTTATCTATTTTTTTTAGATTTTCTGATTTATTGACATAGAGGTGTTTATGGTATTTTCTGATGGTAGTTTTTTTTCTGTGGGGTCAGTGGTGATATCCCTTTTATCATTTTTTATTGTGTTTATTGGAGTCTTCTCTCTTTTCTTCTTTATTAGTCTAGCTAGCAGTCTATCTTATTAATTTTTTTTTCAGAAAGCCAGCTCCTGAATTCATTAATATTTTGAAGGGTTTTTCGTGTCTCTGTTTCCTTCAGTTCTGCTCAGATCTTAGTTATTTCTTGTCTTCTGCTAGCTTTTGGATTTGTTTTTTCTTGCTTCTCTACTTCTTTTAATTGTGGTGTTAGGGTGTCAGTTTGAGATCTTTCTACCTTTCTGATGTGGACATTTAGTGCTATAAATTTTCCTCCTAACACTGCTTTAGCTGCATCCCAGAGATTCTAGTACATTATCTCTTTGCTCTCATTTGTTTCAAAGAACTTCTTGATTCCTGCCTTAATTTCATTATTTACCCAGGAGTCATTCAGGATCAGGTTGTTCAATTTCCATGTAGTTGTGTGGTTTTAAGTGAGTTTCTTAATCCTGAGTTCTAATTTGATTGCACTTTGGTCTGAGAGACTCTTTGTAATTATTTCAGTTATTTTGAATGTTGACCTGTCGTGCTAGGTTGGGGAAGTTCTCACAGATAATATTCTGAAGTGTGTTTTCCAACTTGGTTCCATTATCCCCATCTCTTTCAGGCACTCTTATCAGTGGTAGGTTCAGGCTTTTTACATAGTCCCATATTTCTTGGAGGTTTTGGTCATTCCTTTTCGTTCTTTTTTCTCTAATCTTGTCTGCCTGCCTTATTTCAGCAAGATAGTCTTCCATCTCTGATATTCTTTCTTCCACTTGATCCATTTGGCTATTGATACTTCTGTATGCTTCACGAAGTTCTCGTGCTGCATTTTTCAGCTCCATTAGGTCATTTATGTTCCTCAGCGAAGTTTGTTACTACCCAACTTCTGAAGCCTACTTCTGTCAATTTGTCCATCTCATCTTCCATCCAGCTTTGCCCCCTTGTTTGAGAGGTGTTGTGATCATTTGGAGGAGAAGAGGCCTTTTGGGTTTTCAGAATTTTTCCATTGATTTTTTTCTCGTCTTCATGAGTTTGCCTAGTTTTGATCCTTGAGGCTGTTGCCACTTGGATGAGGTTTTTGTGAGGACTTTTTTTGTTGATGCTGTTTTTGTTGCTGTTTTTTTTTGTTTGTTTGTTTTTCTTTCAATAGTTAGGTCCCTCTTCTGTAGGGCTGCTGTGGTTTGCTGGGGTTGCACTTCAGGCCCTGTTCATCTGGTTCTCTCCCACGCCTGGAGATGTCACTTGAGGAGTCTGGAGGACAGCAAAGATGGGTGTCTCCTCCTTCATCTGGGATCTCTGACCTCAAGGGGCATTGACCTGATACCAGTAGGAACGTTCCTGTACAGGATGTCTGAAAAACCCTGTTGGAGGGGTCTCACACAGTTGGGTGGCACAGGAAGCAGGACCCATTTAATGAGGCACTTTAGCTGTCCCTTGGTGCAAGGGGTTTGCTGCGCTGGGGTGAAACCCACTCATCTTGGCTGCCTGGATTCCTCAGAGCTAGAAGGAGGAAAGACTAAGTCTGCTGGTCAATGGAGATTGTGGCCATCCCTCCCCCTAGGGGCTCAGGCCCAGGGAGATCAGAGCTCTGTCCCTGAGCCCTGGCTGAAGTTTGAGTTCCTACAAGGAGGCCCTGCAGCTGCAGTGTTGGCTGCTGCCTCTCCCCCAAGGAGCTCAGATGGCTTAGACTGCAGGTAGCCACAGCAGTGGTTATGGCCACCCCTCCCCCAGGAAACTTGGCAGCTTAGGCCAATTGATTCTATCCAAGTGAGCATTGAGAATCTGTGTGGCTTTGTAGTTGAAGCCCAAGGCCCCAGTGGCATGCGCTCCCGAGTGGAATCTTCTGATCCATGGGTTGCACAGCTCCATAGAAAAAGCATGGTTTCCCAGGGTGGGTAGCACACTCACTCACCATCTCCCTTGGCTGGGGGTATGGCCTCCCCTGCCCCGTGTGGCTATCAGGTGCGCTGCCACACCACACTGCTCTTCCTTCCTCTCCATGGTTCACACCAGCTGCCTAGTCAGTCCTAATGACAGAACCTGGATACCTCGGTTGCCCGTGTGAGATTTGCACTGTGTTTTGGATCTTCTTGGTTGGAAACTCCAATCACTGCTGCTTCTAGTCAGCCATCTTGGCCCTGCCCCTCTCCAGAATTTCATTTTTTAAGGTTGAATAGTATTCCATTGTGTGTGTGTGTGTGTGTGTGTGTGTGTGTGTGTGTCACATTTTCTTTATCCATTCATCTATTTATGGACATTCATGTTGATTCCTTATCTTGGCTATTGTGAATACAGTTGCAATAACCAAGATATGGAATCAACCTTGGAATCAAGAGGGGTGCAGATATCTCTACAATATACTGGTTTCCTTTTCTTTGGATAAATTCATAGTTGTGGAATTGCTGGATCATATGGTAGTTCTATTTTTAATTTATTGAGGAACCTCCATACTATTCTCCACAATGACTATGCTAATTTACATTCCCATCAACAGTATATAAGAGTTCCCTTTTCTTCACGTATTTGTCAGTATTTGTTATTTTTTGTCTTTTTTATAATTGGCTGAGATTTGAAGTATATATAGTTCACATTCAGCCCAGATTCAATTGGAAGAATACTGGAGTAGAATCAAACTAGTACATGAAAAAGAAAATTCCATTTTTTAAAGTGCATCCCCAAAAGCACTATAATTTTTTAAAATTATCTATAATACAAGGTAATTTTGAAATAAAACTGAGGGTTGAAAAGAATAGCATCGTTTTTCTAGTTATAGAGTTCATAGTTTTGTTCAAATTTCTAGCTTTAAAAAAGTAAAAATGTTTTGGCTTGGGCCTGCTTTCACAGATTTTAAATTATGGAGGATAATGGAGCCCTCGAAATGTTTACCTTGAGGATCATGGAGCCCTCAAAATGTTTACCTTTCAAGACCTAAGTTCCCCCAAAATGGCTATTTGAGGGTTAGAGCCCAGTCCGCTGTTTGAAATAAAACAGCATCTGCTCTCTGCTCAAAGTCTACAGAGGATAAGAGACGGTGGACTCTTGTAGAGCTCTTAACTGAGCAGTTTGGAAACTAGGAGATGGTGTACAGTCAGGCTTGGGACTGACCTTTCTTAATAAATACCTGACACAGAAGGGTAACAAGCATCATCTCAAGTTCTTTGAAGAGTAGCCAAACATGCTGATTCTACATTGCAATGGTTCTAAATGGCTTCTTATTCAGGAGGTTTTCCACTCCCTACAGAGCCACAGAAATATGAAGTAAAGGTTGGTGCAGGGGATGACAGGGGTGTGTGCATGCCAGCATGCCAGCCTTTTTCTTAACAACTGCCTTAGCAAGTACAGCCACCATTTGAATTCCCTCTACCCTGGGGATAAGCAATTGGTAGAGAAAATAAAATATATTTTCTTATAAAATCCAGAAGTTGAGGGAAGAAAGAAAAAGAAAGACCTGACACTGTGTGGCAAGGTAGAAAGTTTATTCTCAGTGTGTTCCCCATTCCCACATTAAATCCCTTTTCAAGGATTAAACTCTATTCAGAAGTTCATTATCTACCTCTTCTTAGCTTGGCATTCAGACAAACCTATGCTACTAGGCAGCTGTAACATTGAGCACATAACTTCAGCCTTTCTAGGTCTTATTTGCTTCATATGTAAGATGGAGAAAATAATGAAATTTATCTTACAGAGTGCTTATAAGGATCCAAGGAAATGATAAAGCAACTGAAAAGTACCTAGTCCCATGTCTAGCACATAAAACATACTTAGTTAAGTGTCCATTGAATCTAAAGTATACCTGATCAACTTATGCCTCCTCAGATGTTACTGAGCACTGTGCTTATGTGTTCTCCCACTATAACATGCATGCAATTGATCAGAGTCTTTCACTGTCTCAAGTTGAAGAATTCACTAATAATGGATAGTTCAAGAAAGAAACAGAGCAATAAAGGTTTCTGTTGTGGTGACGAAGAGAGAGTAGTAAAATAATTAGCCACAGGTGACCTGTCAGAGGACAATGTTCTAAGTATTTGTATTAAGACCAAGGTCTATGAACCAAACTGGAAGTAAGAAACCTGGCATCCCTAGTCATGTCAACCCAGCTAGATTCATCCTATGTTTATGGAAGATTGTTCATGCCAGTAATCTATCTCCTTGGGCATCATCAAAGATAAGACTTTATACTCAACAACAACAATAACAATAACAACTTGGGGCACTAATTGAGTAATTGCTCTGGTTTAGACGTTGTACTAAAAGTTTGTCCATGTATTATCTCATTTAATCCTCATAATCACTTTATGAAGAAAGTAACATTATTATGCATTTTTTACAGGTAAAGTGACTGAAGCTCAGTGAGGCTGCATATTTTGACAAAGGTCATATAAAAAGAAAATGATAGAGCTGGCATTTAAACCTAAATCAATCTGACTCCAGAGTCCATGCTCTTAATTATGACACAAACAGGCTCTCAGTGGGACCTTTTTCTGTTGCTGTTCCCATTATTGCAACATAATAATCTACTCTAAAATTAATGACATAAAAATAATTGTTATGCTCACAGATTCTGTGGATCAGGAGTTTAGAAAGGTCACAGTGGAGATTATTTTCTGAGAAAACTCAAACGGTTTAGGGATGAAACAGCTTGTGTTAGAGAATCCATTTCAAGATTTCTTTTTCGCTCACATGTCTACTGGTTGATGTTGGTTGATAACTGAGACCTGGACCTCATCTTGGGCTTTCAACTAAGATACCTATGTTTGACCTCTCCACGTGACCTGAGTTTCCTTCATCATGGTGTTCTAAGAGTAGCTGGACTTCTTATATGGTGATTCAAGTCTCCAAAAACAAATCCCCCATGGTCGAAGCAGAAAATGCTTTGTCTTTTATTACCTATCTTTGTAGGTCACATAGTATTATTTCCATTTTCCTTTAATATTTGAAACAGTCATAAGCCTGCCTAGATTCAAAGTGGGTGGGGGGGAATTTAGATTCCACCATTGAAATGACAGTGGCAAGATCACATTGTAGAAGAGCATGTGCGATGAGAGATATTATTGCAGCCATTTGGAAAATATAATATCCCACACATCCCCCACCTACATTTCAGTGTAGACTGCAGGAAACCTGCTGAGGTAACTTGTCAGTGGTAGTCTATTTCTCAGATCAATTTCTTTGTACCTTGATGTGTTTTGTTGGGTGCATAAACATAGCCTGAAGCACTGCAGAAAGAAAGTTTACCTCTTTGCCCTCAAGAGAAGAAATATGTCTTAATGTGAAAATGCTCCAAGGCATGTAAATATTGGTTTCAGCTGGTTTTTACACCAGAAAACAATCACCTTTGAGAACCTATTCTGTGTTTTAGACTGTGCTAGGAGCTAAGATATTTAGCAGAAGTAAATTATAACCTATTCTGTGTTTTAGACTGTGCTAGGAGCTAAGATATTTAGCAGAAGTAAATTATATAATCTCTATTCCTAGAGCTTGGTAAGATTTGCACAGTACTAGACTAGAAATTAGACTACTTCTTTGCCATTTACCCCATTACCTGGAGCAAATCACTTGTCTTGTCAGAACATCACTTTATTCCTCTACCAAGGGGAGAATCTGCCTTAACCTAATACACAGGCTTTTGGAAGATGACAAAAACTCACATTTTAAAAGAATGAAGAACTAAGTTAACATGAAATGTAATCATCTTTGAAAAGAAGTATGTTTCCACCTCCAAACACCATACAAAATAGATAAGAAACTTAACAGAAAATTATCAATAGCTAATTCACAAAATACTAGAGAGAATGCCATGTGGATTCTGGGGAAGTATCCAAGAGTGAGGGCTGCATGAGTAGAAAACCAAAATATGGTAAGTGGATGTATTATTTAACTACTGTTGCATAACAAATGTTCCCAAAACTCAAAGGCATGCAAGAATAATCATTTATTCTCATGGTAATGGGTCTTTAGATCACCTGGGTTTGTCTTATTTAAGTTGGCTAGATTTGGCTCCAAGCTGTTGATCAGGTCCAGGACTGTCCCATGTTTCTCTTATCTTCCTTGTGCCAGCAAGGTACTTGAAGCAAGTTCAAATTGTAAGGGCAGAAGCACAAAGGGAGCTAATCTCAACCAGATAAGCACATTTTCAAGCTGCTTCTAGCAATATTTCTGCCATTGTCACATTGGCCCAAACAAGTCACATGGCCAAGCCCAACATCAAGGGACAGAGTTGTAGATTCTGCCTGTCAAGAAGTTATTGTAGGATGTGAACATATAATATCACGATAAGGAAGTGAAGAATAATGAGCAATAATTCAGTCTAACAGTAAGAGAACATAAGAAAAGCCAGTAAAAACTGGAGCCTAGGTCAATAGAATACATGGGGCATGGGGGTGAAGAAGACAAGAATTGTAGGGAAATAAGGAAACATAAGACATGTAACACAAGGCTACCTTATAGATGTTTCTGATTTCCATGACATGGTGTTTGGAAAAGTTTATCTTTCTAGTTGTTTATTTAAAACGGGAATCTGAATCAATGTGAGGTATCTCTGTTGCTTATATATGCCCTAACAAATCTTTAAAAACTAAATAAGTTAGCAAGAAAAGAATATTTGATAATTTCAGTGTAATTCCTGGGGCCATCCTAGAACCATCTGTGAGGTGAGTCTTGGCAAAGGAACAAATTAAATAATGGTGTCATTAGGCAACATGAATATTCATGCAGATGCTGTTGTTTACACATTCTTTTCTGTCATGGCTAAATAAAACATGGCACCATTTATGTGCAAATTACCACACAATGATTCTGCCACATTTCTAAATGACTGAAGGGGGTGTTACTGGATGAAGGCTTTCCAAGTCCCTGGCAATTATATGGTGAGCTACCCAAACTGAAGGTCAACTGGTGGGCTCCACTGTATTAGGAAATGAGGGTTAGTAGAACTATGAGCCCAGGGAGGAAGAGCATCTGTAAGACACAAGGTCCTAGACAAAGATGAATCAAAGGCCAGGTAAGCCACAGAAATCAAGAGGTCCATTGATAAGGATGAGGCAAAAGAGGAAAGAACTAATATTACTGAGTGTCTACAATATACCAGGTAGCATGCTAGGTGTTTTATACATACTATAGTCCTCTTAATCACTGCTATGGTTTTAATAACTGTCCACTCCAAAACCCATGTTGAAACGTAATCCCCAATGTGGCAGTATTGAGAGGTAGGGCCTCTAAGAGGTGATATGAATGAATCTATTCATGGATCAATAAATTAGTGGGTTAATGGGTTATCATGGGAATCAGATTTGTGGCTTTATAGGGAGAGAGACATGAGCTAGCACACTTAGTTCCCTCACCATGTGATGCCCTATGTCACTTTGGGACTCTGCAAAGAGCCTTCCCCAGCAAAAAGGCCCTTGCCAGATGCAGCCCCTCAACCTTGGATTTCTCAGCCTCTATAACAGTAATAAATATTTTTTCTCCATAAGTTACATAGTTTTAGGTATTCCGATACAAACAACAGAAAACAGACTAAGATAATTACCTTATGAGATATATGGTATTTTGTCTCATTTTGCAGATAAAGAAACTGAGACTAATTGAGGTAAAATGACTTGCTTAAGTTCACACCATCTTGTATGCCGCAAAACTAAGCTTGGTTCTCTCTGAATACATAATTTACATTCTTTACATACTCTGAAGTCTATATCTTTCCATCACAGCATGTTATCTCCTCACAAACAGGACTGAGGTATTTGGGGAAATGGCTAGGCGAACAATACACAGTAGGTACACAGGAAATAAGCAAAGGATGGGGTAGGGTGAGGTGGGGTGGGAAGCAACAAATAGGAGAAGCCAGATAAAACGTAGCACAATGAGTAAAGAAGAGCCTTCAGTTTTCTCCTCCAACTAATAACCAATCCTGAATGAAACTGGCCTGGAGTCTTGAAGAGGACAAATAGAAACATTGGTCTGAATACTCAGCACCTTCGGCTGGCCAGCTGTGCCCTGCATTCAAAGCATTATTTGTCAGAGGCTCTTCTCTGACAAGGCCTTTATGTAGATATTAACACAACTAGTTTCTGTGGTCTTTCAAACTAGTGAGTAGCTTGTGTAAATATTAAACTGGAGATAAATGCCATTGTGTGAACTCCATGTCTTTTCCTCTGCTGGCCCACTGAACATTAATGTTTGCTGACAAAAAAACAATGTTTACAACTGCTTATTCTAAGAAAAAATCACTAGAAGACTAGTATTTGTGTTAGGAAGCCACTATACTTGGGGTCTCAGGAGAAGAACATCAGATAGAGCTCCTCTTTTTCTGGAAACCTGGGATGCCTTTGAGAGCACAGGCTAAGAAGTAAAAGAAAAGAAGGCCAGCTTAATACCAAAAGATGGAATTTACAATAAAGTTTGTGTGAGCCGATTGTGTGTTGATTGGGAATTCTTGAATTATAGGAAGTAGCTAGACAAAGCCTTTTCTGCTTACTAGCAAGGCTGACCACACATATAAATGATCTGAGTTTGGGATTTATCAATTGACTTTGGGCATTTGCTTGTGAAAACAAAAAAAATCCATACTGAAAATTCAGTTCTTCAGATTGAAAAACATTTTGATCTCGTTAAAATGTAAACATCTTGGCCGGGCGTGGTGGCTCACGCCTGTAATCCCAGCACTTTGGGAGACTGAGGTGGGCAGATCACGAGGTCAGGAGATCGAGACCATCCTGGCTAACCCAGTGAAACCCCGTCTCTACTAAAAATACAAAAAAAAAAAAAGAAAAAGAAAAGAAAAAAAAAATTAGCATGGCGTGGTGGCAGGCACCTGTTAGTCCCAGCTACTCGTGAGGCTGAGGCAAGAGAATGGCGTGAACCCAGGAGGCGGAGCTTGCAGTGAGCCGAGATCGAGATCGCGCCACTGCACTTCAGCCTGGGCGACAGAGTGAGACTCTGTCTCAAAAAAAAAAAAAATTAGCTGGTCGTGGTGGCGGGCACCTGTAATCCCAGCTATTCGGGAGGCTGAGGCAGGAGAATCACTTGAACTTGGGAGGCAGAGGTTGCAGTGAGCCGAGATCGCACCATTGCACTCCAGCCTGGGCAACAAGAGTGAAACTCCGTTTAAAAAAAAAAAAAAAGTAAACATCTTTAAGCAGGGTAACTCTTTTTAACTCTTTTTATCAGTTAACTGTTATGTGCTATGCTTTTCTGGACTCTTTCATCTAAAATAGAGGTTAGCAAACTTTTTCTATAAACGGCCAGAGAGTAAATATTTTTTATTTTACCATGACTACCCAACTCTGCTATTGCAGCATAAAAGCAGCTCTAGACAGTGTGTAGAGTGTCAAATATTCCAATAAACCTTATTTACAAAAAAAAAAAAGTTATGAGTCAAATTTTTCTGACCCCTGATCTTAACAGAATTTCTCTGAGAAGAAAGGCTACAGACGATGGGTGGTCTTTAGTCTTTAGACAACAGAAAAACTAGGGGGCTGTCCTACAAGTCATCTAAGTGAACAAAAGCCATTATAAGGATCACAGGCCATTATGAGTCCACCATGTAACCAAAACCCCAAAATCTGATGAAGGGTAAGGAATTCCTTGCCATTCATAAGATTTTTACAAGGAATGATGATTTCACAAAGAGTAAACCCATAGCATAGAGGAAATCATCTTGTCCTGAAAGTTTACCTTCTCCAGGCCAGCTCTTCACCCTAGTCTTCCAGTGAAGTTCAATGACAACTGTATGTCCATTCACATACTTTTCTACAATCTTAGAGAAAAAATACCTGTTTCACATTTTATTCCCACTAAACTCCTGTTGGTGGCTATTTATTGTAACTGCAAAAAATGGTAGTATACATTAATCAATAATAGGGTGAGTTCAGGATTCTAATCATTCTTAACTTGATGAAAATAAAATTATGTACTTACAGTTAATGAGCTAATGAGTATTCTGTCAGACACTGAGCTTATCTTTTATGCTTTTGTTGTAGGCATAAATTAATTCCAGACATAAAGATATGACTATCAGAATTAGCCTTATTCAAAGATAGCAGAAGTAGTGAAGTGAGGGGGTGTGCTGAAGCTGTGATAGGTGGCATAAAAAGGCAAGCTTTGAGTTTCAGTTTCAGATCATACAAAGAGCTTGGAATTTGTCACTCCTGTCCTTAAAACAATCAAAGTATGAACAAACAAAACCAATGACATTTCTTGGACCCATGTGACAGCTTAAGTCACAGAGCAAATCACTACCACCAAATCTGGAAAGACAGTCACATCCAGAGAAACATAGCCCCCAAAACTTGCTTACCTGTTACAGAAGCCACAGAAATTCTTAATCTGGTAGGGAAACTTAAATGCTCATTTAGACTGAATCTGAAGGCTGAGTGCAGATGACCTTAAGAGTGAAAAACTTCTGGAGTCATAGGCGAGTTCCTCACATATATGTGGGCTTTCACTCCAGGAATTTACAAAATTCTCCCAGTGAGGATCTGAAAAAAATTCTCTTATGGTCCTTGTTGGTACTTATTAATAAGTAATTAATTCTATTTAATATAGTTTTAAAAGAAGCATAAGTGACATGCCAAAAGAGGAGATAAAATGGAATCACATAAAATACTCAAATAAAACCAGGGAAGGTGAAAACAGAGAGAAAAATAGAGAAAACATGAAACTAATAGAAAACAAAGGTGGCATATATTAATCCAGTTATAACAATAATGAATTAATTTTGAATAGTTTAAATATACCAGTTAAAAGACAGATTGCCAGAGTAGATTTTTTTAAAGATTCAAATATTTACTTATAAGCTGTCTATAAGGAAATCACTTTAAATATAAAGTATCAGATATATTAAAAATGAGGGGACAGAGAAGGATACACGGTGCTAAAACTAATCAAAAGAAATCTGAAGTCATTATATTAATTTCAGATAAAGCAGAATTCAGAACAAGGGAGATTATCAAGGATAAAGAAGGACATTACACAATGATGAAACAGTAAATTCTCCCAGAAGACATATGCTATTGTTTAAGTATTTGACCCTCCAAGCCTCATGTTGAAATTTCATTCCCAATGTTGGAGGTGGTGCCTAATTGGGAAGTGTTTGGGTCATGGGGAAGAGCCCTCATGAATAAATTAATACTCTCCCTTGGCAGGCAGTGAGTGAGTTCTCACTCTATTAGTTCCCATGAGAGCGTTGCTAAAAAGAGCCTGCCACTTCTCTCCCCTCTTTTTCCCTGGTTTTCTCACCAGATGATCTCTGCACATTCTGGCTCCCTTTTGTCTTCTGCCATGATTGCAAGCAGCCTGAAGCCCTCACCAAAAGTAGGTGGTTGGCACCATGCTTCTTGTAAGGCTGCAGGACCATGAGCCAAATAAAACTTTTCTTTACAAATTTCCCAACCTGAAGTAATTCTTCATAACAACACAAGCAGACTAAGACAACATAACAATACTTAAGATGTATGTGAGTCACAACAGGATCTAAATCCATGAGGCAGAAACTAATAGAACTGAAAAGAGAAATAGACAAATCCACCATTATATTTGGAGACTTCAACATCCCTCTGTTAGTAATTGACAGATTAAGCAGGCAGAAAATCAGTAATGATATAGACAAGACAAATCAGTATGACATGACCAATTGACTTGATCTAACTGATATTTACAGAATATTCCATCCAATAGCAGCACAATACACACTCAGCTTAAACTTACATGGAATATTCAGCAAGAAAGACCACATTCTGGGCTGTAAAACCATACCTAATTTTTTTTTTAAATAATATAAATGATATAAAGTATGTTCTGAGACCACAACAGAATTAAACTAGAAAACCAGTAATAGAAATATTGCTGGAAAAATGCCCAAATATTTGGAAATTAAACAACAAACTTTCAAATAGCTCATGGGTCAAAGGAGAAAGCTCAAGAGAAATTAAAATATATTTTGAACTAAATATAAGAGAAAAGTCATCTTATAAAAATATGTAGGATACATCTAAAGCAATACTAGGAGGTAAATTTCTAATATCAAATACATACATTGTTTTAAAAATATATAAAATTAATACTCTAAGTTTCTACCTCAGGAAACTAGAAGAAGAAGAGGAAATTAAACCTAAAGTGAACAAAATAAAAGAAATCATGAATATTAGAGTAAAAATCAATAAAATTGGAAATAAGAAAACAATAAAGAAAATTGACAAAACCAAAACTTGATTTTTTGAAATGAGCAATAAAATTGATCAACCTCTAGCAATGTAACTAAGAAGAAAAGAGGGAAGACACAAATTATCCATGTCATGAATGAAGGATGAGTCAGCACTACAAATCCTGCAGACATTAGAAGTATAATGCTATGAAAAATTAAATGACCACAAATTTAATAATTTAGAACAAATGGGCCAAATCCTTGAAAGACACAAACTATCAAAACTTACTCAATGAGAAAATGATAATATAAATAGCTTCCTATTTACTAGACAAAATAAATTTGTAGTTTACACATTTCCAATTAAAAAACAGAATATACCAGGCCCCAACAATTTCATTGCTGAAATTTGCCCATTATTTAAGGCATATATAATAAAAATTATACTTTTCAGACATTATAAAATAAGGAAACACTCCTCAACACATTACCAAAACCAGTCACCAAAAACTATAGATCATTATCTCTAATCAGCACAAATGCAAAAATCCTAACAAATACCAGCAAATCAAGTCCAGCAATATATTTAAAAAGCACACATCACTCAAGTGACGTTGTTTTCAGTAATGTGACATTGGTTCAATGATCTTAAATAAATCAATACAATTCTATATATCAATATACTTAATAAGAAAAAAATAAATGGATATAGAAAAAAATTCATTAAAATTCCAAACCCATTTATAACAATAGTGAAAAAACAAACAAACAAAAACTAGGAATACAAGAAAACTTCCTTAACCCCAAAAGAGAATACATGAAAAAATCTACAGTTAATATTGCACTTAATGATGAGAAACTAAACTCTTTTTGCCTAAGATCAACAACGAAGCAAGGATTGGAAACCAGTATAATATGTCAAGAAAAAGAAAAGATAAAAAGACAGTACAGGAAGGAATAAAACTGTCTTTATTTATAGAAGATAAAATTGTCTATGTAAACTGCCCCAAAGAGTAAGAAATAAAAAGCTGAAAATAAAAGCAACCATAGCAAGATGGCAGTATACAAGTTCAATGTGCAAAATTCAATTGCTTTCATATATACCAGGAATAAACAGTTGGTATTTCAAAATTTTGTAAAACACCAATTTACAATAGCCTCAAAAATTAATGATGTTTTTATATGTAAGCCTAGAAAATATAGACAGGATCTATAGCAAAACCTACAAAATACAGATGAAGGAAACCAAAGAAGTTTCAAATAAATGAAATTGAAATAAATAAATAAATGAATGTTCATGAATTGAAAGATGTAATATTATTAACATATTAATTATTTCCAATCAAAAAATTTCAGCAACCTTTTTTAAAATTTGATTTTATTTTTAATTGCCAATAATTGTATATAATTATGGGGTAGGGTGTGATATTTTGATACATGTATATGTTGCAAAATTATCAAATCAGGCTAATTAACATATTCATCACCTCAAATGCTTATTGTTTTCTTGTGGTGAGAATATTTAAAACCCATTCTTTTAGCTATTTTGAAATGTACAATACATTATTATTAACTATAGTCATGACATTGTGCAATATAACATATTGACAAACTGACTCTAAAATTTATAGAAAAAAGCAAAGTTACTAGAATAGCCAAGACAATTTTGAAAGACAAATTTGGAGAACATACATTACTCAATTTCAAGAATTACTATAAAGTTCCAACAATCAAGAGAGTGCAACACTGCTGAAATTATAGATATATTGATCAACGAACAGAATAGAGTGCCCAGAAGTAGACATGCACAAATGTAGTCAACTAATTTTTGACAGAGACATGAAGGTAATTCAATAGAGAAAGGATAGTCTTTTCAATAAATGGTACTGAAACAGTTACAAGTCAATATGTAAAATAATGAATAAATAAGGCTGGATATGAACTTTACACCTTAAAAAATTAACTGAAAGTAGACTATACAACTAATTGTAAATAGCACAATTGTAAAATTTCTAGAAAAAAATACAAGAAATGCAATGCTATCTTGGGCTTGATGATGCATTTATATACAACACTGAAAGCATGAACCATTTTTTTAAAATGTTAAGTTGAACTTCACTGAAATGAAAAAAAAAAAAGCTTTTAAACCTTTTAAAGCCAGAATATACAAATGAGACTTAAAAGTCAACAATAAAAAAGCAACCCAACTAAAAAATGAGCAAAAGATTTGAACAAGTTATCAAAGAAGATATACAAAGAGCAAATAAGCATATAGAAAAATACTCAATATAATTTGTCTTTAGAGAAATGTAAATTAAAGCAATGAGATACCAATACACACCTACTAGAATGGCTTAAATACACACAGACACACACACACACACAAATGTGACAAAACCAAATACTAATGAGGATGCAGGAATGCAAAATAGTACAGCCACTTTAGAAGGCAGTTTGGTCATTTCTTATAAATATTTTCTTGCCATATGAACAAACAATCATACTCCTATGTATTTATCCAACTGACTTGAAAACTTAGTCCCACAAGAACATCTCATGTGAATGTTTATAGCAACTTTATTCTTAATTACCAAAAACTGGAAGCAACTAATATGTCCCTCATTATGTGAATAACCAATCTATGCTATACCCAGAAGTGGAATACTATTTAGTGATAAAAAGGAATATACTATAAATCCGGCCTGGTGCGGTGGCTCACACCTATAATCCCAGCACTTTGGGAGGCCGAGGCGGGTGGATCATGAGATCAGGAGTTCGAGACCAGCCTGGCCAATATCGTGAAACCCCGTCTCTACTAAAAAATGCAAAAATTAGCCAGGCATGGTGGGGTGCACCTGTAGTCCCAGCTACTTGGGAGGCTGAGGCAGGAGAATTGCTGGAGCCAAGGAGGCAGAAGTTGCAGTGAGCCAAGATCTCGCCACTGTACTCCAGTGTGGGTGACAGAGTAAGACTCTTAAAAAAAAAAAGAAAGAAAGAAAGAAAGAAAAGGAATATACTATAAATGCATGCAACAGTGTGAATAAATCTTAAATGCATATTGCTAAATGAAATAAGTCAGTGTGAAAAGGCTGCATCTCATAACATTTTATTTATATAACTTTCTGGAAAAGGCAAAACTATAGATAGGGAAAACATATCAGATGTTACAGGGAATTTGCAGAGGTGGGAACAGTCAAATAAGTGAAGCACAGAGAATTGTTTAGGGTGGTAAAATTACTCTATATGATACTGTAGTGGTGAATACATGATAGTATGTGTTTGCTGAAACTCATACAATCTTACAGCATATAGGGTAACCTTAATGTATACAAATTAAGGAAAAACTCATTCTGGGGATCCAAGATGGAATGCAGACTGTAGCAAACTATCTAACTGTGTTACAAATGTATGATATAACCTCATGGAAGAGGATGAAGGTTAAAGCCGCTAATCTAAGTATCTTTGGAAATGAGGGATCTATATGACTAAATGCAAAAGGAACTATTTATAAGCACTGCACTCTAGTTGGTAAAGTTGTTTCCCATGGAGGTATGGGTTAACAATTCTAATACTTCTGTTCATGTATACTGGGATTAAGCAATAAGTAAATGGACAGATGTTGGAATCCAGGATTCTCAGTATTGAAGGGGAGGTTGCAGATAAAGCAAAGGGAGGAGGCTAGAATAATCCATATGGTAATGGATTAGAATGAGTGACATCGATATGAACACAAGTTTAGCTTAATGTGGAGAGATATACATAGATAAATAGATAATTAGAGGTAGACAGATATAGATAAATGTATATACATGAGTTAGTATACACACATACGTTTCCTAGCTCTGGTAGTTGGAAGGGCCTCAAAACAATTTAAAGGCAGTAGCAACAATAAGCACAACCAGCCCCCCAGATCTTAGTTTCTAATAATATTCTCCAGTAAAAGGAACCTGGGTCCCTTGGAGAAATAGCTGATTCAAGGGCTGGAGCAGGGACTATACAAGATGAACTTGGAACATCACTGCCAGAAAAGAAGGAAAAAAGTGCTCAGATAGACACACACACACACACACACACACACACACACACACACACTGAAGGGAGCATATCAGAGAGACATGGGAGCCAACTAAAAGAGCTCACAATGGCCAAAAATAGAAAAAATTGAGCAACAAAATAAATGAGTTGGTATTACTGGACTACAAAAAGTATAAAATAAATGTCCATGAGTCTATACTGACATAAATAAATGATTGACTAAAATATAAATGGGAGAGAATAGAGAAATCTCCCAGTCCAAATTCCAAAAACAATGTGTAGATAGAGTTGTCCATCAGTATCTGTGGGTTCTATATCCGTGGGTTCAGTCTATTGCAAATGGAGAAAAAAAATAAAAATAACAATACAATAAAAATAATGTGAATAAAAACCAATATAGTATAACAACTATTTACATAACATTTACATTTTATTAGGTATTGTAAGTAATCTAGAGATGATTTAAAGTGTACGGGAGGATATGTGTAGGTTATATGCAAATACACCATCTTATAATAAGGGAATTGAGCATCCATGGATTTTGATATCCAAGACGGGTGGGTCCTGGAACCAATACCTGGAGCCAATACCAATACCTCATGGAAACCAAGGGACAACTGTACTCTGCCCTCAAGGAAGTGGAGCATAAAACTTCACATTTCTTAAATTTGTTCTGGACACAGTGACTTCCTTTCAAAGAGTATAGCATGGAAAAAGGGACAAAAGGGGAACTTTACAGTGGAAAGACTTGCCAATCTCCATGTCAGCCAGATTAACACCAACAGTGATAATAAGTCATGTGGATAGCATGTAACATTGATATGATGTGATGAGAACGGCACTTTACCTCTGTGATCTTCCTTTTCAAAACCTATAGCCCAACTCTAATCATGAGAAAACATCAGACAAATCCCAGTAGAGGGACATTCTAAAAAATACCTAACTAGTACTCCTCAAAATTGTTAAGGTCATCAAAAATAAGGAAAGTCTGAAAAACTCTGCATGGTCTCACTTATATATGTAATCTAAACAAGTCTAACTCATAGAAATAAAGAGTAGAATGGTGGTTATGAGAGGATGGGTGGGGGTGGTGGGATTTTTGTCAAAAGATAAAAAGTTTTAGTTAGACAG
This sequence comes from Homo sapiens, assembly GCF_000001405.40. Classification (NCBI taxonomy): domain Eukaryota; kingdom Metazoa; phylum Chordata; class Mammalia; order Primates; family Hominidae; genus Homo; species Homo sapiens. The sequence goes on from NC_000023.11 coordinate 122,940,557, forward strand.
TAGGAATAAGTTCTAGTGATCTATTGCACAGTGTGGTGACTATAGTTAGTGATAATGTATTGTGTATTTTAAAATTGTAAAAACAGTAGATTTTAAATGTTTTCACCACAAAAAATGAGAAGTATGTGAGATGATGGATATATTAATTAGCTTGATTCAATCATTCCACAATGTTTATGTGAGTGTACAAATACATATATATGTATATATATCAAAACATCACATTGTTCCCCATGAATATATAGTTATTATTTGTCATTTAAATTAACAAAAAACAAGGTTTGAGAAAAATGTCACAGTCAAGAGAGCCTTAAGGAAATATGATATCTAAATATAATGTGGTATCCTGGATGGAGTCCTGGAAGAGAAAAATGGTATTACGTAAAAACTAAGGAAATCCAAATAAAGTCTGAACTTCAGTCAACAATAATGTAATTATTATTGGTTTATTGGTTGTGAAAAATGTACCATAGTAGTGTTAACAATGGGGTGCAGAATATAAGGGAACTCTGTAATATTCTTGCAACTTTTTGTATATCTAAAACTACTCTAAAATTAATAGTTTATTAAATGTCATTTTCTGAGACAAGGTCTTACTCTTGTCACCCACGATGGAGTGCATTGGCATGATCATTGCTCACTGCAGCCTGGAACTCCTGGGCTCAAGTGATCTCACCTCAGCCTCCCAAGTAGCTGGGACTACAGGTTCATGCCACCACTCCCAACTAATTGTGTGTGTGTGTGTGTGTGTAGCTCTCACTATGTTGCTCAGACTGGTCTTGAACTTCTGGCCTCAAACTATCCTCCTGCCTCCGGCCTCCCAAAGTGCTGGAATTACAGGTGTGAGCCATCATGCCCAGCCTAAACTTTATTTTTAAATGGCAAGGCAAGCTTCATCTAAAAACGTATATCCCCAGCCCACTTGCATATAATCTGAAGTGCCACCATTGAGAGCCATCACCCCTAAGTTCTTATTTTGTGAAGGAGGTCCTCCTGGGTATTCTGTTAAGCATTATCATTGTGTGATTAACATTTGAGGCAGGTGGGTTTTTTTTCTTCTTCTTCTACAGCTAGCTAATAGAGACTACTGAGGTAACAAGGTTTTTCACCAAGAAGGGAGGGTTACTATGGAGCTGACATGGCCAGGAAGGTAGAGATGAGTAGGGTGCTCCAGCAGTAGTACCAATCCTGAGGACCCAGGCCCTGTGTTTGTGAAAACCTACAGAATAAACATAGTAGACAGAGGGGCAAATTGAAGCAATTCTAACTTGCATGTGAAGGGGAAAGGTTACTGGTTCCTGCCTACTCTTACTTCAAGGGCCTCAGCTTGGTGTCATAGTACTTCTGCTGGTGGCACTCTCTTCAAGCAGTTCACAACATCTTAAATTAAGAACAGTCTCTCTCTAGTGATTTATTACTTTAGAACCCTACACAAATGGTGAGGAAATCTGAGTAGCACTTGACTGTCTATTTTGTCACAAGTTGCAGGAAGGCTGAGAAGAAATGGTTAGGGAGTGGGTAATTACAGAAAGGAATACAAACTCAGATGTTTTTCCTCTCAGACACGTTCCAACTTGTGTCTGAGTTCAGCTTAGCATAGGTGAAATCTCCCTTAGCCAAATAAACATGCCTGTAATATCCAGGGATGAGGATGAGAGAATCAAATTTTTATCAAGCAAATGCTGTTTTCTCCAAGGGCTCAATATCACTTCAGAGCCGTTTTGTATTTTTATTTCCTGGAACTTCCATGTGTTATGATATTCCAACAGGAGTTAAACATCTCACTGCTTCCTCCTCTAGTTTCCCTGTCAACTAGTTAAATGTAAATATGTAAATAAATAATTTAAAACAGTAGGAAAACCTTCTATGTAATGGTTTTCCACTGCGACTCCTTTTCTGTTCTTCTGGCTGTGTGAATTACCTCTCCCTTATGCATCTGTAAGCCTTGGTTTACTTAAGCAACACATGTCTGTCATCCTGTGGGTTTTTCACAGAGGAGCCCTTTACAGGCAGAACTGCACAAAAGCAAAACAGCTTGGTCCAATGGATAGCAGATCTAGATGATTATCAAAATTACCTGAAGAGCTGGTTAAACTTACAGATTTTCAGGCCATGCCTCAAACCTTCTGAATCTGAATCTTTGGAAGTAGGGCCTAGGAATCAGTATGCTTAAAAAGCATTACAGTTCTAGATTTAATGAAACAAGAAAAAAGTTCCTTGTAGATTCTGGATATTAGCCCTTTGTCAGATGGGTAGATTGCAAAAATTTTCTCCCATTCTGTAGGTTGCCTATTCATTCTGATGATAGTTTATTTTGCTGTGCAGAAGCTCTTTAGTTTAACTAGATCCCATTTCTCAATTTTGGCTTTTGTTGCCATTGCTTTTGGTGTTTTAGTCATGAAGTCTTTGCCCATGCCTATGTCCTGAGTGGTATTGCCTAGGATTTCTTCTACAGTTTTCAAGGTTTTAGGTCTGACGTTTAAGTCTTTAATCCATCTTAAGTTAATTTTTTGTATAAGGTGTAAGGAAGGGGTCCAGTTTCAGTTTTCTGCATATGGCTGGCCAGTTTTCCCAACACCGTTTATTAAATAGGGAATCCTTTCCCCATTGCTTGTTTTTCTCAGGTTTGTCAAAGATCAGATGGTTGTAGATGTGTGGCATTATTTCTGAGGCCTCTGTTCTGTTCCATTGGTCTATATATCTGTTTTGGTACCAGTACCATGCTGTTTTGGTTACTGTAGCCTTGTAGTATAGTTTGAAGTCAGGTAGCGTGATGCCTCCAGCTTTGTTCTTTTTGCTTAGGATTGTCTTGGCTATACAGGCTCTTTTTTGGTTCCATGAAATTTAAAGTAGTTTTTTTCTAATTCTGTGAAGAAAGTCAATGGTAGCTTGATGGGTATAGCATTGAATCTATAAACTACTCTGGGCAGTATGGCCATTTTCACGATATTGATTCTTCCTATCCATGAGCATGGAATGTTTTTCCATTTGTTTGTGTCCTCTCTTATTTCCTGGAGCAGTGGTTTGTAGTTCTCCTTGAACAGGTCCTTCACATCTCTTGTAAGTTATATTCCTAGGTATTTTATTCTCTTTGTAGCAATTGTGAATGGGAGTTCACTCGTGATTTGGTTCTCTGTTTGTCTATTATTGGTGTATAGGAATGCTTGTGATTTTTGCACATTGATTTTGTATCCTGAGACTTTGCTGAAGTTGCTTATCAGCTTAAGGAGATTTTGGCCTGAGACGATGGGGTTTTCTAAATATACAATCTTTTTCATTTGTCTTCATAATTTTCTTGCCTGGAGGATAGGGCCAAGTTTACCATCTATCTGCAATCAATATAAGGAATGTATTTTTCTTTGCTTAGTCTCAAGCAAATAACTTTCCTAGTTCCTAATTCAATTCTACTTTAGCCACTGGAAACTACTATAGAGTTATCCCATTTCCTTTTCTATGTCTGCCAGGCATCATGCGGTTAGTACCAGAATTTAAATACCGCAATTTATAACCCACCAAATCTAAACAGAAACAGTCACAAAGAAACACAATTTTCCAGGGTAGGATGACTCTCTAAATTTTGTTTGGCAAGTGCCCAAAAGGTTGAATCACCAGGCAAAGTAACATAGTGATTGGGTCACTGCAATCTTTTCGCTATCAGCCAGAACTCCAAGAGAACATGTTCCTCTACCCTATACAATAATGTCTGAAAGCAATTTCCAAATAGACCTGATAATTTCATTTTCTGAAATATACTACAATAAACACTGCACTTGAAGTAATAAGACACCTTGATATGTGTCTAGGTCTGTTGTTAACTGGTTGAGTGATCATAGACAAACTATTTTCCTTCTTTAAATCTTAGTTTTCATATCTATGAGATGAAGCAATTAAGATTTATAAGCTTTTAGAGTGGAACCTATTATTTCTCATTGAACCCAGTTGGGTTATTTGTTGTATGAGTTCTGAACTGCTCAGGGGTCCAGTTATTTGTAAGGAAACCAGATAGGAACTTCAAGACTTATTTGACTGCTACTAAATTCAGCCTCAGAGATATTTAACTTTTCACTTTGGCTCACCTTGCGCCAGACTCACTGTCTTGGCCAATAAGCTACCCAGCCATAAACAAGGGAACCAGGGAAAACAGTCTGTTAATACTGCTTTTAAGCTTGAGAAAGCCTGTCAGAAAATTCATGACTTTGAAGATAATTGAGCTCCATGAATACCAAAGTAAATGTTATCAAAGGTATTATCTCAATTGATAATCTCCCAAATTAGATAAATTTCTAAGAGCCTTTCCACTGGGACAAGAATTATTCAAATTTAGCCCCACAACAGGCTATAGCGTAAAGATAGGGCCCCATGCCTACCATATGGTCTCTTAAAGTAGAAAGACCAAATTAATGTGGTGGATGTGAGTAGGCTCTTTCTAGCTCTGAAGAAAGATCTCTCTCTTTCTCTCATTTGTGTTCTTATTCTACTTGGCCGCAATCTAATAATTTCTTTACTCAGAAGATTTTGTTTGTTGCCAGTTCCCCAGCTATCCTCTCATTGGGACTATCATTTCTTCTGAAAACAACCCTCTCTTTCTGACCATTTGGTCAGGCACAGATTCTGTTGGTTTTTGGATCATTTTTTTCTCTTTCTCTCTTTCCTTCTTTCTTTCTTTCTTTCTTTCTTTCTTTCTTTCTTTCTTTCTTTCTTTCTTTTTTCTTTCTTTCTCTCTCTCTCTCTTTCTCTTTCTTTCTTTCTTCTTCCTTTCTTTCTTAGTGTGGTTTGGCAGGAGGAAGTGAGGTTATTATTTTGGTCCCAAAATATAGCTCAAGTTTCTCACACTATAAAGCTAACCAGCCTCAGAGAACATGACAACAACATCCTTGCCTCTTCCGAAGAGAGCCCATAAATAACAGGAGAGACCATAGGAAGCCCATTTTCCCCAAAAGCATAGAAGGATCCTGTTACCAGAGGTCATGACTCACATCTAAATGTATCACATTACTGAATGGCATGGTTAGTTTTGGAAAGACATAATTTGATGTATAGTAATGCAAATTGCCATAATAGCACACTATCCTTTACTTGAAAGAGGCATTCTCCATGACGACATGAGGCCACCTTTCCAGGAAGCCATAAAGTCTCGGACCGCCCACAGTGTCAGCACAAATTCACTATACCTGTATTACCGAAATGGATGAATTATTTTTTCACCGCTTGGGTTGCCATTGTCATAATTATAAAAATTCAGCTAAACACCCTTGTACTTAAGATTCTGATAATACCAATGCACATCTAAAGGTCCACTGTGCCCTGAAGGAATGGGATGACTCTCAAAATAAACTTTCTCCAGGTGCAGATAGATCTTTTTATTCTCTAGACCTTCTCTTCATTCCAAGGACCCAGATGCTGGCTCACAGAAAGTACCAGTCCCACACCAAGCCACAGTTTCACAGCAAAGCTAAGTGTCATTGTCTTCAGTACCCCTAAGTAAAGAAGTTGTACTGTGGTAATTGCTAACATTGTTTCAAAAGTGCTTGTTGTATGGCAAGCATTGTGTAGAATCCTCCATACAGATTATTTAATTTATACCTTTAAGCAAAACTATGACACAGATTCTGTTATTACTCGTTTGTGATGGCTAATTTATGTGTCAACTTGACTAGGATGTAGCACCCAGTTATCCAACCAAACACGAATCTAGGTTTTACTGTGAAGGTATTTTGTAGATGTGGTTAACATCTACAATCAGTGGACTTTAAGCAAAAGAGGTTATCTTTGATAATGTGGGTAGGCTTCATCCAATCAGTTGGAAGGCCTTAAAAGCAAAAATGAGTTTTCCTGGAGAAGAAGAAATTTTGTCCTAAGGCTGCAGCATCAATTCCTGCCTGAGTTTCAAGCCTGTCCGGCTGCTCTACAAATTTCAGATGTGCTAGCCCTACAATCAAGTGAACCAATTCCTAGGAGTATATAGTATAGCCTACTGTTTTTTTCTTTAGATAACACTCACTGATACACCACTTTGACAGATGAAGAATGGAATTCAAGGTAGTTGAACAACTTGTTCAATGTCGTGATAGCCAGTATTAGAGATAAGAATTGAAACTGAGTAGATTGACTCCAAACTACATATCCTTTCCCCTGCTGCCTCTTAGATATCTCAATCCATTCATAAAAATTTACCTGATCCTGAGAAGTTGCATGGGAATACTTCAAGGATCTACATGTTTATCATACTTTATTGTATGATAACATTATAAAGTTATTAATTATATTTTATACTTATTAGTGATAATTATAGTTATCATTTATTGAGTCACTCTTATATGTTAGACATTGTCATAAACATTTCACATGTGTTATATAATCCCCACAACAACCATATAAGATAGTTAATACTACCATCATTTTATAGATGGTAAATATGAGGGTTAAAAATGTTAAATAATGTGTCCAATGTCATGGATCTAGTAAATAGCAGAGCGGGATTCAAGAACATTGCTCTAGGCTGACTTCCTCTGAACTAATATGGGTAGAATCCAGTGATTACCCTGCCTTAATGCCTAAGAAGTCATTATTAATCTGATAACAGTGAGTTGGTTATTTGCCTTACAGGGCCACATTTCTGCTTGCATATAGGGTCCTTGGCTTCTGAACCACGTCCAAAATCAATTAAACTTTTTGAATAGCCCCTAAAAGTACCGGAGATGTCATGTCTACTTTGGATTCAGCAGCCACTATTTCTGGGTCATGTCCAAGGTAGGCACAATTTATGAGGTCAATAGATCTGATAAAGAGGCATTAAAGGATAAAGAGGCCAAGGAATAAGCTTTGAAGACAGAACACTTGGGTTCAAATCTCTGTTCTGCAAACTTCAGCACATGAGCTAACTTTTCTGAAACTTAGTTGCTTATCTGTAAAATTGAAATGATAATTGCTATGGGATTGTTTTGAGGGCTAAGAAGGTAATGTGTAAAAAACATTAGGCCAGAGTATGGGCCCTCCAAATGTGAGCTATGGGTGGCCAGTTACAGAGCCTTCAGCTCTGGCTACTGGGGCTTCAGGCTGACCTGAGAAACCTCAGCAAGCACCCTGAGAGCTCCGACCAAGCTCCAAATTGGAGATAAACTTCTCCTGCACAAATATACCCAAGTCTGCATAATTAACTGGGCAGAGTCAAATAGGCCCAAAACAGTTAGAGAAGGAACAAAGGGTGTACTATGATCTTCATTCCAGTACTATTAGTGTTGTTCTATAAGCGACCACTCTATCATTAGTTCAATTCAGCTCTCATTTTCTGAGCTCCTACTCTGTGTCAAGATCCTGTTCTAGGTTTTGGAATTATAGGGAAGAAAAAGACATCATCTTACCCTCAATTTGCTCCTAGTCTACTGGGTTCATGAGTGTGGGGTAATGGGAGACAGGGATAGACTACTGTATTTTACTTAGCCTATACTTACATGGCACTCATTTTATGCCGGGTCCTGTTTTAACCACTCATGAAAGCCTCATATCAACTCTGTGAAATAGTTAACATTTATTATTTTTTTTTCTATTTTATGGATGAGGAAACTGAGACATAGAGACCAGGAATAATTTGTCCAAGATCACACCACTAATAAATAGCAAAGCTAAGATTTGAACCTACCTCACTATACTATTGTGCTCCAATAACACTTTCTCATTATCTATATACTGACAGGAGTACCTAGTTGGGAATACTGGGAGAGCTCCCAAAAGACTCCAGAAACTGTAGAGGACTGGTTCATGTTGTTATCTTCTAAGAAGCTGGCAAAATCCCTGATTACAAAGCAGGGGTTAACCAGAACCACAAATAATAAATTTGAGTGTGCCTGCCCATACCCATAGAATACCCGTAGAATAGGCAAGTATATGGAAATTTATCTGTACTACTAATCTGTTGTTGCATTAATAATTACCCACCAAATCTCAGTAGTTTGAAATACCAAAATTTATTATCTCATAGTTTCTGTAGGTCAAGAATCTGGACATAGCTTACTTAGGTGTCTCTGGCTCAAGCCCTTCATCAGGTCATAATCAAACTGTCTACCAGGAAAGCAGTCTCAACTGGAGGAGGATCTGTATCTGAGCTCACCCTTGTGGTTGTTTTCAAGATTCAGTTTCTCAAAAGTTAGAGGCCTCAGGCCCTCTCTGGATATCTACCTCAGTTCCTTCCTGGGCCTCTCCATAGGATAATTCACAACATTGTAGCTGGCTTCCTTCAGAGAAAGTAAACAAGAGAGGTAGAAAGAGCAACTACCCAAGACAGAAGACACCATCTTCTTATAATCTAATCTAGCTACTGGATCCCTTTAATTCTGACATGTTCTATTTGTTAGAAGAAAGTCATTAAGTTCAGCTTATATTGAAAGGGAGAGGATTACACAAGACCAGGTGTTGGGGATTTGGGGAGGGTTATCTTTGTTTTTGTTTTGTTTTCTAATTTATTTTTTATTTTTTAAAAATTTTTGTTTGTACATTGTAGGTGTATATATTTACAGGCTACATGAGATGTTTTGATATAGTCATGCAATGTAAAATAAGCATATCATGGGGAATGGGGTATCCATTCCCTCAAGCATTTATCCTCTGAGTTACAAACAATCCAATTACATTATTTAATATACAATGAAGTTATTATAGACTATAGTCACCCTATTGTGCTATCAAATGGCAGGTCTTATTCATTCTTTCTACATTTTTTGTACCAATTAACCATCCCCACCTCCCCCGCAACTTTCTACTACCCTTCCCAGCCTCTGGTAACCATCTTCTACTCCCTATGTCCATGAGTTCAATTGATTTGATTTTTATATCCCACAAATAAGTGAGAACACGTGAGGTTTGTTTCCCTGTGCCTGGCTCATTTCACTTAATATAATGATCTCCAGTTCTACCCATGTTGTTGCAAATGGCTGGATCTCATCCCTTCTTATGGCTGAATAGTACTCCATTGTGTATACATACCACATTTTTTCCATTCATCTTTTGATGAACACTTAGGTTGCTTCCAAATCTTAGCTATTGTAAACAGTGTTGCAACAATCATAGAAGTGTAGATACCACTTTAATATATTTATTTCCTTTTTGGGGGATATATACCCAGCAGTGGGATTGCTGGATCATATGGTAGCTCAATTTTTAGCTTTTTGAGGAACATCCAAACTGTTCTCCATAGTGGCTGTACTAATTTACATTCCCATCAAAAGTGTACCAGGGTTACCTTTTCTCCACATACTCACCGGCATTTGTCATCCCCTGTTTTTTAGTTATAAGCCATTTTAACTGTGGTGAAATGACATCTCATTGTAGTTTTGAATTGCATTTCTCTGATGATCAGTGATGTTGAGCACCTTTTTATATGCCTGTTTGCCATTCGTATGCCTTCCTTTGAGAAATGTTTATTTAAATTATTTGCCCATCTTTTGATCACAGTATTAGATTTTTTTCCTACAGAATTGTTTGAGATCCTTATATATTCTGGTCATTAATTCCTTGGGAGAAGGGTAGTTTGCAAATGTTCTCTCCCATTCCGTGGGCTGTCTCTTCACTTTATTGATTGTATCCTTTGCTGTGTAGAAGCTTTTTAACTTGATAATGATCCCATTTGTCCATGTTTCCTTTGGTTGCCTGTGCTAGTAGGGTTTGCTCAAGAAGTCTTTGCCCAGACCAATGTCCTGGAGATTTTCCCCAATGTTTTCTTGTAGTATTTTCATAGTTTGAGGTCTTACATTTCAGTCTTTAATCCATTTTGGTTTGATTTTTGTATATGGTAAGAGATAAGGGTCTAGTTTCATTCTTTTGGCTATGGATATCCAGTTTTCCCAGCACCATTTGTTGGAGAGACTGCCTTTTCCCCAGCGTATGTTCTTGACACCTTTGTCAAAAATGAGTTTACTGTAGGTGTTTGTATTTGTTTCTGGGTTCTCTGTTCTGTTCCATTGGTCTATGTGTCTGCTTTTATGCCAGTGCCATGTCGTTTTGCTTACTGATACCTCTGTAGCATAATTTGAAGTTAAGTAATGTGATTCCTCCCGTTTTGTTCTTTTTGCTTGGGATAGCTTTGGCTATTCTGGGTCTTTTTGTGGTTCTACATAAATTTTAGCATTGTTTTTTCTATTTCTGTGAAGAATGTCATTGGTATTTTGATAGAGATTGCACTGAATCTGTAGATTGCTTTGGGTATGATGGACATTTTAACAATGCTGATTTTTGCAATTCATGAACGTGAAATATTTTTCCATTTGTTGGTGTCCTCTTCAATTTCCTTCATCAATGTTTTATAGTTTTTATTATAGAGCTCTTTCACTTCTTTGGTTAATTCCTAGGTATTTAGTTTTATGTGTGGCTATTCTAAGTGGGATTAGTTTTTTATTTCTTTTGCAAACTGTTCACTGTTGGCATATAGAAATGCTACTTTTTTATGTTGATTTAGTATCCTGCAACTTTACCGAATTTATCAGTTCTAATAGTTTTTTTGGTGGAGTCTCTAAGTTTTTCCAAATATAAGATCATACCATTAGCAAACAAGGATAATTTGACTTCTTCCTTTCCGATTTGGATGCCCTTTATATCTTTCTCTTGTCTGACTGCTGTATTGTGGACTTCCAGTATTATTTTGAATATCAGGGGTGTCAGTGGGCATCCTTGTCATGTTCCATATCTTACAGGAAAGGCTTTCACTTTTTCCCCATTCATTATGATGCTAGCTGTGTGTCTGTCATATATGGCTTTTATTATGTTGAGGTATGTTCCTTCTATACCCAGTTTTTTTCAGGGTTTTCATCATCAAAGGATGTTGAATTTTATCAAATGCCTTTTCAACACCAATTGAAATAATCACGTGGTTTTTATCTTTCATTCTGTTGATACGGTGTATCATGTTGTTTGATTTGCATATGTTGAATCGTCCTTGTATCCCTGGGAAAAATTCCACATGGTCATGATGAATAATGTTTCTTATGTATTGTTAAATTTGGTTTACTAGTATTTTGTTGAGGATTTTTGCATCAATATTCATCAGAGATACTGACCTGTAGCTTTCTTGTTTTTAATATGTCTTTATTTGGTTTTGGTATCAGGATGATACTGACCTCATATAATGAGGTTGGAAGTATTCCCTCCTCCTGTGTTTTTCAAAATAATTTGAGTAGTATTGTTATTATTGGTTGTTCTTTAAATGTTTGGTATCAGTGAAGCCATTGGGTCCTGGGCTTTTCTTTACTGGGAGACTTATGACAGTTTTGATCTTGTTATTTGTTATGGTCTGCTCAGGTTTTAGAATTCTTCCTGGTTCAATCTAGTTAATTTTATGTATCTAGGAATTTACCCATTGCTTCTAGATTTTTCAATTTATTGGCATATCGTTGCTCATAGTAGCCACTAATGATCCTGAGGATTTCTGCAGTATCAGTTGTAAAGTCTCCTTTTCCTTTTCTGATTATATTTATTTGGATCCTCTCTTTTTTATTAGTCTAGCTAAAGGTTTGTCAATTTTGTTTAAGTGTTATAAAAATCCAAATTTTTGTTTCATTGATCTTTTATGTTGTTTTCTTCATTTCAATTTTATTTATTTCTGTTCTGATCCTTATGATTTTTTTCTTCCACTAATTTTTGGTATGGTTTGCTATTGCCCTTTTAGTTCTTTAAATGCATCATTAGATTGTTTGTTTGAAGTTTTTCCACTTTTTTTGATGTAGACACATCTATAAACTTCCCTCTTAGTACTGCTTTTGCTGTATCCCACAGGTTTTGTTATATTGTGTTTCAATTATCATTTATTTCAATACACTTTTCAATTTCCTTCTTAATTTCTTTATTGGTCCATTGGTTATTCAGGAGCCTATTGTTTAATTTCCATGTATTTATATAGCTTCCAAAATTCCTTTTGTTTTTAATTTCTAGTTTTATACCATTGTGGTCAGAGAAGATGTTTGATATTATTTCAAGTTTTGTGAATGTTTTAAGACTTGTTTTGTTACCTAACATATGGTCTATCCTTGAGAATGATCCAAGTGCTGAGGAAAAGAATGTGTACTCTACAGTTCTTGGATAGAATGTTCTGTAAATATCTATTAGATTTATTTGGTCTATAGTGCAGATTAAGTCCAATATTTCTTTGCTGATTTCGAGGGTCATCTTTGAAGCTGCCTTGCATAGTCACTAACATCATCTAAAGGCAGGACACTCTGAATTTAGCCTGCTAGAAAATCATTGGTCTGGCTTGTCCTCAGGTGCTAGAGTACCTGTGCTATTGAATTCAGAAGAAACTCTTGTACTGAGATTGAGACACTAAATCTAATAATACAAGCTACATTACAATTTTACTTGGACCTCTATTTTCATTATTTGGGGGTACAGGTGGTTTTTGGTTACATGGATAAGTTCTTTAGAGGTGATTTCTGGAATTTTGGTGTACCTGTCACCTGAGTAGTGTACACAGTACCCAATATGTACTGTTTTGTCTCTCATATATATGTTATATATGTGAATACATATATCACATTTTCTTTACTCGTTGGTTGACAGGCACTTAGGTTGGTTCCATATTTTTGCAATTGTGAATTGTGCTGCTACAAACATGCATGGGCATGTGTCTTTTTCATATAATGACTTCTTTTCCTTTGGGTACATACCCCGTAGTGGGATTGCTAAATCAAAAGGTAGTTCTACTTTTAATTCTTTAAGGAATCTCCATACTGTTTTCCATAGTGGTTGTACTAGTTTACATTCCAACCAGCAGTGTAAAAGCATTCCCTATACACCACATCCATGCCAACATCTATTATTTTTTTTTTAAATTATGACCATTGTTGCAGGAGTAAGATGGTACCTCAATGTGGTTTGATTTGCATTTCCCTGATAACTAGTCATGTTGAGCATTTTTTCATGTTTGTTGGCTGTATATTCTCTTTTAAGAAATGTCTATTCATGTCCTTTGCCCACTTTTTGATGAGATTATTTGTTTTTCTCTTGCTCTATTTGAGTTCCTTGTCGATTCTGGATATTAGTCCTTTGACAGATGCATAGTTTGCTAATATTTTCTCCCGCTCTGTGGGTTGTCTGTTTCCTCTGCTGATAATTTCCTTTGCTGTGCAGAAGCTTTTTACTTTAATTAGATTCCATTTATTTATTTTTGGTTTTTGTTGTATTTGCTTTGGGGGTCTTAGTCATGAATTATTTGCATAAGCCAATGTCTAGAAGAGTTTTTCCTATGTTATCTTCTACAATTTTTATGGTTTCAGGTCTAATATTTAAGTCTTTGATCCATCTTCAGTTGATCTTTGGATAAGGTGAGAGACGAGAATCCAGTTTCATTCTTCTACATGTGTCTTGCCAGTTTTTCCAGCACCATTTATTGAATAGGGTGTCCTTTCCCCAATTTATGTTTGTGTATGCTTTGTCAAAGATCAATTGGCTGTAAGTATTTGGTTCTATTTCTGGATTCTCTATTCTATTTCATTGGTCTATGTGCCTATTTTATATGAACACCATGCTGTTTTGGTAACTATAGCCTTGTAGTATAATTTGAAGTTGGATAATGTGATGCCTCCAAATTTGCTCTTTTTGCTTAGTATTGCTTTGGATATGCAGGCTCTTTTATGGTTCTATATAAATTTTAGGATTGTTTGTTATAGTTCTGTGAAAAATGATGATGGCATTTTAATGGAAATTGTACTGAATCTATAGATTGCTTTGGACAGTCTGGTCATTTTCACAATATTGATTCTACTCATCCATGAGCATGGGATGTGTTTCCATTTGTTTGTGTCATATATTATTTCTTTTAGCTGTGTTTTGTAGTTTTCCTTACACAGATTTTTCACCTGCCAGGGAGGCTTTTAAAACATGCTATAAAACTTCTTTTTTATAAAAAAGAATAAAACTTCATTCTTTCCTTACCCTGTCATCATTTCTGTCTCATTATCCAAAAGACATCTCTTGACACAGCTCCAGGCAGACTTTCCTAAGTAATCTTGCCTGGCACAAGGAGGTCTTCTTGCCTGAGACCCAAGTCAGTTGTTTTAGGACACACATATGGGCAAATAATAGTAGGATATATGTGGAATTTGGAATAGACAAGGTTGATGACACCTTCTCCCTGCCTCAAGTAGGGGCAGGTACAACCACAGGCCTCTAAGCATGTATTATATATAATCAACACATGTGGAAACAGAGCTACATTCACTGGCAAAAAGAGTCAAATGGGGTGGGTTCTCCTTCAAACCAGTGCTTACTCCAGTATTTCCTGCTAATTGCTTTCAATATTATCAACTTTCTGGACTCTGGGCCTGCATGGATCTCCTTAACTCTTCTTTCCCATCTTAGTTGGGCTAATACGTATTGACCTCTGACCTGCTTAGACTAATAGTAGCTGCCTGACACTGCTTGCTGCCTTTTGTTAACTAAATTTGCCTATTAGCAAATTAAATTTGATTTTTCTTAACCAGTTCTTCCTCCAAAATACAACAGTTTGCTGATCCTACTTTGTCTAAGCAAACCACAAATCCTGGTTTCTCCTGTCCATCCTCTGTCCTGCTGTCACTAGTCCATATTGTAAAAATTACCCTCTTTCACTCTAAGGAAATTCACTGCCTCTATCAGGAAATCAGTGCCTTTGGGCACAGACCCCTTCACCCCTTCTCACAACCTTACCCAAACCTGTTCTGCCTAGGCTTTGTATGAAACAAACATGTTATTTCTAATTCTCTACATGTACCATCAGCTTTACGTGTTCCCTAGTTAGTGCCCTCAGTGCTCTCTCTCCACCTGACAAACTAATTCATGCTGAGCTATTGATCACTGGGAATATCTTGATGATTTACACTATACAAAAAAGTATCCCCACTTTATTTACCAAAGATAAATATGCCAGTGCACGAAGTGAATTTCTGGCCCTCTGGCAATATAGTGGGAATTTTACTTGGGATATAAAGACATAATTGGGGTGTCCTTTAAGTCACTAAAGGTGGCCTTCTGCTTCACCTACACAAAGGGCCAGCCCTTCGCATGACATCTAAGCTGAAACGAAGTTGTTCTATAAAAGCATTGTATCACATTAACCTGCTGACAGAGGTCTAAATATTTGGACATATCTTTGGAAACCCAGGAGTCTCTCTAAAAAGCGTTTGCTTTTTTAAAAAAATAAGTGGACAATATCTTAACAAATGGGAAAGTGCACAACTTTTCCTATTGCCCACACTAGTATCTTCTGACTGGTTTCTCCTTTAGACCTTTGAAAACATAATTATGGCCAGATTATCAAGTTCCTATGGAATTTAAGATTACCCAAACGAATCTTAAATATTCCATCATCTCCATGAAAAAATGGAAAGAAAACTCAAGTACCATTTTTATATAGCATTGTTTCCAAGGCATAGTGTGTTCCAAGTTACAAAAAATTGCTTGATAAATGAACTTTTGGAAGTCAACCCATTTGCAAGTTAGGAACTGCCTATGTTATGCAAGTGGCAGTTTCCCAGCTTTTTAAACACTTAGCTGGAGAAGATCTTGAGATTCTTTGCTAATCAGAAGAAATCTAAATCTTTCCCATGGTTATATTTATCTCTTCTTTCCAACATGTAGTGAGAGACATAGACCACCATCTCCCATACTGGGTTATAAGTGTGCTTTGGTGCGTTACAAAAATATCCTTGGTAAGTAAAGGCATTTTTGAGATGTCAAATTTTCTCTTGCCTTCCACATATTCACACTTTCCCAGGGTCCCCCTAAATAAATAAAATCTACCTGGAAACTTCAAACAAATGGCAATATTAATGGCATTCCCTTTCAAGCAAGGGGAAGAAACAAAACCAAAACCTAGATTAAAGGTTTAGTCAGAGACTATTCATGAGGATGTCAATACCACACAAATTAATCTCCATCTCCTGTATCGACACTTGCAGGAAAGAGACTGATTTTCTTAGCCTTGCTTACACGGCCCTTCACAATCAGGCCCTAGCTTAATTTTCTAGGCTCTCCTCTCTTTCTTCCTACACCAGTCAGATGTTCCCTTCCTTGGTCCCTAAATATCAGTGCCTGTGTGTCTTTGCTTGCATCATCTCCCCTGCCTGATTGTGTCAGACTGCTTCTCTTCACTAACAAGAGGAAACCTATTATATTGTAAGAAGAATGGTTTCCGGAGTCAGAAAAGCCTAGAGTTCAGATCCAGGCTCTGCCATTTAACAGTCATGTGCCTTTAGGCAATGTTGCTTAGTTTTAAACCTCAATACCTTCACCTGAAAAGTGAAAATATTAATGTTGCCTACTTCGTAGAAATATTACAAGGGTTAAATGAAATAATGCATGTAAGGCACCTAGCCAATACTAGATTTCCAATAATTGGGGTTTATTATTCTTATGATGATCATCCTTTTTCATTTTCTAAGTCATAGCTCATAACTCAACTTCCATCACAGCCCATGAAGATAGATCCACTTTTTCTGAACTCTAATATTTATAGCATATATCTCACATGTTTAGCACTTTAATATTGCTCATTTTATTTGTAGATAAAAATATTTTATGTTCCCAACTACACTGAAAGCTCATGTAGGGCTAGGACTATGTCAATCTCTGTATTCTCCCAGATAATGTTTGGTACAGAAGGAGAACTCTCAAAACATTTGTTGATTGTCTAGGATTATAGATGCAGAATCAGTAATCACTTATTCACGGTGATGACATAAGGATTGAAAGGTAACAAAATTATATAATAAATAATGTTGCTTGCAGCTATCATTTTATTGAACACTTACTATTATTAAATACAATATGTAATGAGTGCTTACTATATGGGAGACACTCTGCCAGACACTTGACAAATATTGGGGCATTTCATCATCACAGCAGCACAGTGAGGTACGTATTACCAGCTTTATTTCACAGATGGGGAAACTGAGTCTCAGAGAGATTGTGTAAATTTTTCAGGGTCACATCATAAAGTGGAGGAGCCAAGATTCAAACCTAGATCATTTTACTCTGGATTTTGAGTTCTTAACCAACAAGTATACTAGGGACATAGAATGTCATAAGGACCTTGCAAATTGCCAAAGGTAAGGTCACTGTCGGTAACCAGACTTCACCTTTCTAAGATGGAAATGTGTACATATTAGGAAGATTTTCAGCATTCATTTTCGAAAAGAACAAGTAAATTCTAGACCAGACCATCCTTATACTCATCCAGTGCGTGTAATTCCTGATCATTCTTGAATTGAGGATTTAATCTCTATGGGGGGAAAAAGGAGGGTGATCAAGGGGAGGCAGATAGATGGGCAGATGGCTGGGGGAGTGGATGGCCATGTGGGAGAGTACAAGGACTGTTGCCTGCTGTGTCACAGGAAGGCTCAATGTCCATCAAGGGAAGAAAACGATTGAGAAATGCTTAACAGTGCAACACACCAAATGGAATAAGAGCCTATTCATCCACTTGGAGCAAGAAAAAAGTAACAGTGCCCACTGCCTGTGTGGGTGTTTTTGGCCTTTTCCAGCAAGGTGTATGTTTAAAAAAAGATTAGTACAATAGGGCACGAACAGTCCTATTGAAAACAGCCGCCTGCATAGACTTGGCAGATTTGTACTGTGGAACAGTTCCGTCTGACATTTAAAATGTGGCAAAACTACTTAAATTCAATTTAAAAATAAATTTTCTATAGCCCCTTATTTTCTTCTTATAAGCATAAGTTCAATGAAGACAGCATCATGAGCTTTACATGATGCCCTTCAGAATAAATGCTTGCCAAAGACAAGAATATGTGGCACTAAGTGATGACAAGCTGATTAGGCTGCAATGATTCCCAGGCTCATACCCAAGAAGGCTGCTCCCTCAAGAAAGAAAAGTTTTAGGAGCAATTTGGATTGGGATTTAGAGCTGGGATGCAGCTCAAAACCACTGCAACCAAGTTCACGAAAGGAACATAAGATCTCTCTGGAAAAGGGTGATTCATTTTAATCAACAAATAGCAGAGTAAAGGGAACAATAAGTGACATTTTCTGTAGTGTCACTGAGAGACCAGTGATAGGGCTGCAATCTGATTTGTGAAAAGTAGTTGTATTTGGTAAGAAGGGTTGCAAAACTCAGGTTAAATAGGTTACATAGCATTGCTACCGGCTTATTCTTGTTCTGAAGGGTAAAGATTCAAAATGCTTCTTGAGGACCTGAATAGACAGACTTCTTTCTCTCCAGTGACATACTTGCTCAAAATCATCTGTCCACATCTTCCAATTTATTCTCTTGCTTTCTTCTTTAGGTCTTCTGCTTAAAATCATTGCCAGGAGCTAGAGAACATATGATCACTATATAATAAAAGCTTCCTTATTTTGAGCCTTTCAGAGGGAAATTCTGCCCTTCTTATCAAGCTTCTGCCCCTGTCTGCCCCATTAACAACACCTCCACAAGAGAAGGGGAGTTGGTACGCTTATCAAAGCCTGAAACACAGAATGTGAATGTTGAACACTGGGTATAGGTTTATTTCCAGAACCCATTCATGACACTCTCTCATTTGTACTTCTATAAAGGATCTCTATCATTGGTGCAGACTCAGTCATCCTCTACTTCCATACCTTCTTCCACTTACTTTCTCCCCTCAGGAACAAACCTGGCATTCTTTTTGTCTTCTCTATGTGCCAGTCTATGTAGCTGGTTGGATCAATGGACAGAGGGCCCTTCTTGAGATTTGGCTTCCTCCCTTCTCTCCCAGCTACCTTCTGTCCCAAACAGCCACACCTGAGTACACAGGTTCCAAGATTAGGAGTGTAGAAATGAGTAAAGCCTCCATTAAGCCTCCAACTCAGTTTTCTTCAAAAACCCTATGTTGTTTATTATTGAGTACTGGCTCAGCTATTAAGTATTAATTAGATTACCATTTTGTTATTGTACACATAGCTTCCTTGACACGGAACCCTGCAAGAAGGAAGTCACTGAGAAGGTGGGAACAAAAAGCTTCAATGACTGGTGTCTTCATTAGGACACAGACACAGATGCACACAGAAGGAAGATGGCCATGTCAAGATGGAGGCAGAGATTGGAGTGATGCAGCCACAAACCAATAGACACCAAGGATTGCCAGCACCCACCAGAAACTAGATAGAACGTAATGAAACAGACCCTCCCTCAGAGCCCCCAGCCCCCAGAAATAGACAATTCTGAGGACATCTTGATTTCAGACTTCCATCCTCCTGTACTGTGAAATAATTGATTTCTGTTGTTTTGAGCCATCCAGCTTATAGTACTTTGTACAGCAGCCCTAAGGAAACCAATACAGCATTCACAATGTGAAAGTTGTACATTTCTCAGGCAATGTAATGAGTTCCATTTCAGACATGTTGAATCTGAAATGAAGTGATGTCCTGAAAGCGCCTGGACCTGGGTTACTGAAGAAAGGGTGCAAAGGTCGAGGTGAGGAGGCAGACACTGGAACTTGTCAGAGGAGAGATGGGGACTTAGAAAAACTTGGATGTGAATAGAATTAGATACATAGGGTAAAAATTGTAAAGCATGGGATGATCATCTGAAGGTTTGGGTGTTTTCTTTTAAATAGCATGGTCTATAATACCATTCTGAGCTGATCGAAACCCTACCTATGACTCGCGTTCTGAAATTAGAAATATATCTTGTCTCAATTACTAAAATAGACCCCTATATTTCCCTTTCGCCTCCATTTTCACCTTTCTCTTATCCATCCTTCTCGGTATAGCTAGAGTAAACTTCCTAATTAGAAAATCCTTTTATGTTACTCTTACCTTAAAATGATTTATTTATCCATTTATCCTCAGCATGATTTCTAAAACTCTTGCTAATATGACCCTGGTCAATTTTAAATGAGTGTCTCTCAAAATTTGTGTTGACAAGAATCACTTGGCATGTTTGTCCTATCCCAGCAATAGATTCAGTAAGTCTGAGATGCCTGGAACCTATAATATCTGAAACATGTTCACAGACTCATAAAATTTTAAAAGCTGAAATAAGCCTTAAAGATAATCTAAGTTCCAGCTGGGCACTGTGGTGTGTGCCTGTAGTCCCAGCTACTCAGGAGCCTGAGGTGGGGGGATCACTTGAGCCCAGGAATTTGAGGCCAGCCTGGGAAACAGTAAGACACCATCTCAAAAAACAAACAAACAAAACACCTTTCACACTCTATGTAGACATCCGCTCCATAGATTGTCTCACAGATAAGTCACCAGCCTCTGCATCTGATCTCACAGTTGAAAGGCTCTAAAAAGTCCAAATTTCATCCGATAAGAGGAACATCCAGGGATGGTGACAAGAGCACTGGGTCTAGTCAGAGTTTAGGTGCTTTGTCATCTTGAGCAAATCACTTGATCTATCTGAGATTCAGTATACTATTCTGTAGAAAGGCAGGAACGTGGAAGGCAGCATAGTGAAATAGTTAAAAGTATGAACTAGAGCCCAAATTGACAGGATTCAAATCAAACCTTGGCTCTGCTAGTTACTAGATGTGTGATCTTGGGCATGTTACTTAACCTTTCCATGCCTCAGGTTAGTCATCTGAAGGTGCACCTGATAATAAGAATAACTAACTCATGGTGAAATGTAAATGAGTCTATTTATGCAATGTGCTTGACACATAGTAAGTACAATGTATCCGCTATTAATATCTTCTGTTAAATTGGGGTAAAATACCTGCTGTAACTACCTAATAGAGTTGGTATAACAATAAAAATCACATAACATGATGTATGATAATGCGCTTAATAAAGTACCATATAAACATTATCAGATTTAGTTGAAATCTGTTAGTTCTAAATCTAACCTCAGAATGCCCAGACTAAATTTTGTACTTTTTCTACATATCTGAAGACAGTTTATTTTGTACCATCAGGCTTAGCAACTTCAGTGTTTTCAACAATTTCTTATATTACATAGCTATGGCCTCTTAATTATCTTAGTCATATTTTTATAGATGTGTTTTCATTCATTCTAGTTTTAAATTTATCAAACATTTCATGGACACCAATCACATTTTAGGCACTATGCTACGCTCTGGTGATATAACCATGAATAAAACACAGTTCCTGCCTTCAAAAAAATGTCCAGTGGTCAAAACCCTTCTTAAAAGAATAACATCAGCAACGAATGTTACAAAAAGGAAACTGTCTGGTCCAACGCACTTCTCCTGTTCTGTTAATACATTTTTATGTATATAGCCCAAGGCTTCATTAGCATGGTTGATCAGTGTTGATTCATATTGGCCATATAACCTTTTTATATATAAGTCCTAGGTTATAAACCTCTAAGTCTTATAGATAAAAACTTCTATTAAACCAGATTGTCCACACCCTGCATTTGTTGATTTAAAACCTGACAGCTAGAACTTGAAATTTACACCTATTAAATGCCCAATTATTACTTCACCCCATTTTTCTAGAAGGAAACAAGTTTTTAAGATCTACAGAGTTGATAGGCATTTTATCTACATTTTTACCCAATTAATTGAGTAAAATGATGAAGAGAATATGATTAGAAACTTCCATTCTGATTGCCATAAATTCACTAATTAGTATGTTTGGACTGGAGTTATTCAATTAGTTAAGGAACCACATAACACTGTCACCATACAGCTCACATTCCAGGCACTCAAATGATAACAGCAAACGTTTATTGAGCAATTACTAGATTTTGCTCTAAAGTCCTTAAACATTGTTCCAAATATTTTGCGTGTATAAACACATTTTACCTTCACAAGATTCATAAGAAATAGGTACTACATGGGTTTTGATTTTATAGATCACACAACTGAGACACTAATAGATGAGCTCAATTGCCTGAGCTCTCACAACTAGTAAGTGATAGAGCTACGGGTTCAAATTCACAAGACTAGTGCTACAGTCCACAAGCAATCACTATGATATGGGTTTATTTGTTATTGACCTAATGAAATGGGATTAATTTGTCGTAATCTTTGGTGAAGCCATACTGGTTCCTGGTGACTAACACTGCCGTTTCTTAGTACTTGCAACCTATTTCTTTATGAATTGTCTAGACTATTCCATTAAGGATTGATGTGAAGCTCACTAGTCTATCATTTCTAGAATTTTATCCCTTCCTTTTTAAAAAATAAATTATGAGTACTTTTGTAATTGCATTCAGCCAGAGACCCCTCTAATTGGATTAATACGGTGTTTTCTGACCTATGACTAAGAAGGCTGCTTGCATATTATAATTTAAAGTCAACTTTCCAAATTCCACTAAATATTTAATGAGTGTCCTTGACAGAAAGGCAGAAAATCTAACTAAAATCTCAAAAATGGCTCTTTAAACTCATTCACTGAGAAAGAAAATGAAACAGAAGACAAGAAAGTTTATATTCCAAGCAGAAACTTGTAATTATCACATTGGACCACGCATCTGTCTAGCCACCTTCTGTTCACAAGATGAAATTCAAACTGTTGATGTGCTGGCTTGCTATTCTTGTTAGTCTAGTTTCCTCCTGTGTGCCTGCAGGTAGGAATGCTCTGCATTGCTATTTTATTTCACTGACATTTTGAGAAAGTAGAATGACCCTTCTGTTTTTATCACCCTGTCCCTAATAGGATCTCTTACCAGATTGCCCCCAGAAAAAGCTATTTATTGTTATTTCCTTTTATTGTTTTCTTTTTTGTCTTTCTGCTAACTTTCCATGGAGAAAGTTTATGTGAGCATTTGATTGGGGTGGGGGCGGGTGGGAGAGTGAGAAGAATAAATTGCTGGCTTTGATTCTTGGCTATGAACTGCAGCAGATTTTTGGCCAAAATTGTTCATTTCTATCGATTTAATGAGAATTCTTAACCCCAAAAGTTGAAAAAGAAAATCCTAAAAAATTTAGATTATGATTTTCTGACTTTTGTACTATAGACCATGAGTTTAGAATTTTTTTTAAGTGTGTTTAAGGAGGAAGTGACTGTATACTCAACTAAGTTTTGAGAAATTTTTACATGATATTTTCTATGTAAGTAAACTTTTACAATTTCAGTCAATTTTAATTATTATTAAATATTTCCTATAATTTTAATTATAAATAACTTCAATAATTACAATTATTTACAATTTCAATTATTATTTATAATAAATATTAAGTTAATGTTTATTGAGCACTCACTGTGTTCAGGAACTATTGTTAGTTCTGGGAATAAAATGGTGAGGTGAATAGGGCAAATATGGTTCCTGCCCTCATGGACATAACATCCTAATTGGGAACATAGAAAATACACAAGTCAATGAATACATAAATGAGATAATCATATAATAATAAATGCTTTGAATTCAATAAAACAGGGGGATGAGATTGAGTATGGCAGGAGAATGAGTTGGAAGCACTTTAGATAGAATCATTAGCGAAGGGATCTCCAAGAAGCTGATATTGACCTGAAACCTAGACTGTTACAACTGGAATAGCAAGGAGAAGAATGGGCATGGAGAACAATGAATACTGGAAATGCCCTCAGGCAGGCAACAGTTTAGTGTCATCAAGGAATAACAAGAGAGTCCATACAGCTGAAGCAGGGTGATATAAGGGGAAGAATGATGCCAAATGATGCTTATGTAGGACCTAGTAGCCCTGATAGAGATTGAGCCATTTTCAGCAGGAAAGTGACTTAATTCAATTTACATCGAGATTTGAGAAGTACTATCTTAGAGAAATCTGCTTAGCATTTTAAATCCAGTAGTTCCCAAGCATAATTGGTCACTAGAGACTTTCATCCCTATAGAACACATTTTAGCATCTTGCATACTAGCATCCCATAGCTCACCATTTTAGGAAATACTTGTTGAGATAAATTTATGAACGAAATATCCATTTTGCAGTAATATGAGATGTTTGAGAATGCATGGAAAATACAGATGAATACAGGGAGACAGATGAAGTATACAAATACAGACCTTTTTGCCCTAGTTTTAGACAGGGTACTGAATATATCACAGGGTACTGAATATTTCATAGGGTTGGGCTGGGTTTTGAGAGGAGGAAGTTTTATATCCTTATAAAATAACCACATTTTCTCATCTCAAACGCTTCTCCTACTTGTTTTCAAGAAGACTTCTATTTTACCTAGTCTCCTCCCAAATGTTTGCTCATAGAAAGTCCTGGAGGAAAAACAGCTTGACCAAGACTTATGTTTGTGTGGTCTGCTTTAAGAAACCAATCAGTAATACACTTATTTATTGCAATATGAATCTTTCAGAAGAGGAAAGGAAGATAGGGAAGTGAGTAAGAAGAGATAGCTGAGTACTAGGTGAGAGAAAGGGAATATTCAAGTTGAATTTATGGAGCTCCCATCCATGCATACCAGGATCGTTCCATAAGCCATGTCATCTGCTCCTTGTGAGATATCAGAAAGATAAAGACAAGATGAACTTGAGGGAAAGAGTGAGAAACTGATGGGAAACAATCTAGTTGAGCAGTTAATAGCATAAGCTTTGAAATCAGACTCAGGTTCCAGACCCAGCTCTGCCACTTCCTAGCTTAAGACAAGTTAATTAGTTCTGTGTTGTCCAGTGGAACTTTCTGCAATAATGAAAATATCCTTTATCTGAGCTGTCCAGTAGCTTAGCCACCAGCCACATGGGGCTATTAGGCACTTGAAGTATGGCTAGTGCAACTTTGGAGTTGAAATTTTAATTAGCTTACATTTAAATTTAAAGAGCCACATGTGGCTACTAATTACCAAGTTGGGTGATGCAGCTCTAGGTGTTTGGAATTCTGGGACTGATGTGAAGAGAAAATATTTGAAATACCTCTGGATTCAGAAGGGGGAAAAGCAAAGAGATAAAAAAGAGGGAAAATTTTAAAGGTGAGACAAAGAAAAGGAATGAAACTTCCAAAATAACTGAGATAAGAATGTAAGAAATACTATTCTTAGTTCTATCATCCAGCCAAATAGAAACCTTATAAGAGAATAAGATGATTGTCACCTATGGCATCCCTTTAAGAAGGTGAATGGTAAGACCCACCATATATGTACCTTTCCCTTATGTCTAGCACCCAAAAGTCTCTCTCAGCCCTTCTCAACATTTTTTCTATTTTCAGCCTGCATCACTTCCTAAGGTAACCAGTTCCATATGTTTACCACCTGCTGGATAAAGTGATATTTTTATTTTATTGCATTCAAACTACCACCTCTAGCTCCAAGTAATAGTACTTTTCTTTGATGAGTTCCATTTGCTTTAAAGATATACCGAAATAACCCAATGACAAACGAACATTCCAATTCTTCTCCTGAAGGCTTGGCTAATATAACTGCATTTGGTCCTCAGAGGACTCAGAGTCAGATGGAATATTCTGTGGTCTCGTAGTTTGGTCTAGCCTGCCTTGGCACTTGAAATCCCTTTGGTTAAGGTATTCTATTGGGTAAAGGCTTTGCTTTTAGTTACCCATTAAAATACAAGTGTGCCAGAACTGTAGTCAAAAGCAATCACATAACACCTTGACTTACTGTTTTCCTACATTGGGTTCTGAGGACCTGGGACCATGTCAGTTTGGATTTGGAAAGATTATATAGAGAAAGGTCTGAATCATGGAGGATCTGCTGCCCAGGGCAAAGTATCACAAAGTGAATCAGTACAACAGTCCTGTGCATTTGTAGAGGAAACAAGAAAAAAAAGACTTGAATAACAACATTAAACAATACCAGTTTTAAAATTTAAATTTGTTTCTCCTTCACTGTGGGACTTTTCTTGTTGCTTCATTGTCTCACAATGGAAGGTCCAAGATAGAGGATGCAGAATGACAACATGAAGCTGTTCTAACTCCCTTCATAATCAACTGATTGAAAAGATTGGTAATAAACAATGAAAACTTTTTCATTGGACTGATTCTCTTACTGAGGACTTTATTTGGCCTTTAAGTATTTTCTAGCCAACCTTCTTTATATGGATATTTTAATTGTCTCTGTGAAGCCTTCAGTTTGGCTTCTTTGACTACATCCTCCCTGAATCTGTCAGTAATATAACAATGCATCATTTTGTCCCAGTCCTACATCTTGTTAATGACACTAGACTAGTACAAACTGAGTTCAAAGATAAGTATTCATGTAATTACACTGCTTATAGAACACTATGTTCTTCATTAAATTTAACAAATAGTTCTTGAGCATCTGCTATGTAGGGCTATAGAGGACATGAGCATAAATTTAAAAAGTAACCCCTGCCTTCAAGAAACATATTATGTGGAATATTGCGTCCCTCTACTATACATTATTCAATATTTATTTTATTTATTTATTGTATTATTAGTATTTACTATGTCAGAAACTGTCCTAGGAATTGAGTAGGTGGCAAACAAGACAAGCACATTCTCTGCCCTCAGAGAGCTTTGTATCTCACCGATGTTTGTGATCTATTTTGGTGTGAGGTTCAGCTCATCTTAGTTTACCCAGCGTGAAAGTCATTTATTTGGGCATCCATTTTATGTCTCCCTTAGGAGAGGCATCAATGGAGAAGAGGATATTTAATATAAGGTTGGAAGGATTTCATAAAACAAGAATAAAAAGAAGACATTTGAGTCAGTAGAAACCAGCATGACTACAGTGATGGATGTATCCAAGATATACAAATAGTCAAGTCTGGAAGGATAGTAGAGTTCATGAAGTGAATTTAAAAAAAATAAAGCTGGAAATTCAATTGATAGAATATTAAAGAAAGCCTTGAATGCTAGGGTAAGAATTCAATTCTTAATTCACTAGACAGGGTTCAATTACATGTTTAATATGTTTAGAATTTTTGAGCAAAGAAATGATATGAGCAAATACAAACTTTCAGTAGATTAATCTGACATCTTGTGTGTTGGATGGCTAGGAAATTAGAAAAACAGAAGGAAGGGAGATGAATTAGAAGGCTTTTATAATAGTCAAGACAAAAGGCAATGAAGGCCTATACAGGGAGAGTGTCAGTGGGCATGGAAAGAAGTAGATAGGTCCAACAATAAAATCTACATGACTTGGAAACTCACAAATTTTATGTAGAAAAAATCAGAGGATGACAAAGGTGGGCTGGAAGAAAGAATCATATCTTGCACATTAGTTATAAATAAAAAAGGAAATAAAGTTTATTTCAATTTCTGAGGGTTCCCTAGAGATCCTCTCATTTGAGAAATGGCATAGCAATATTAAAAAGAAATGAGGAGTTTATATAATCCATATATCTAAGGGTATGACTATGTTCAATTCAACACATGCTTTATTGAAACTCTATTATGCCCTAAGCACCCTTCAAGGCACTGGGGGTAAAATGGTGAAGGAAAATAGGCATGGCTCCTGCCTTTAAAATGTTATAGTCTTCTATGTCTCAAAGAATTAAAAGTAGAACTACCATTAGACCTGGCAATCCCACTACTGGGTATCTGCCCAAAGGAAAAGAAGTCATTATATGAAAAAGACACCTGAATTCATGTGTTCATCACAGCACCATTCACAATAGCAAAGTCATGGAATCAACCTAAGCATACATCAATGGTTGATTGGATAAAGATAATGTGGTATATATTCACTATGGAATACTATCCAGCAGCCATAATGAATAATGAAATCATGTCCTTTCCTACAACATGGATGGAGCTGGAGGCCAATATCCTAAGTGAACAAATTCAGAAACAGACAATAAAATATTGCATATTCTCACTTTTAAGAAGGAACTAAACAATGGATACTCATGGACTAATGATGGAAACGATAGACACTGGGGACTCCAAAAGTAGAGAGGGTTGAAAAATTACCTTAGATACAATACTCAATATTTGAGTGGTGAGTACACTAGAAGCCCAGTCTCCACAATTATGCAATGTACCCTTATAACAAACATGCACATATACCCTCTGAATCTAAAATTTAAAAAAAAAATAAGAGAACAATAACAAAAATCTGGGGTACTGAATGTTTGTAGATAGAAATTTACGCCTAGCTCAAAACTACCACACAAAGAACTTCTCCCCTTAGTACTTACCGGTAAGCAAAAATAAGCATAAACCAAAACAAAAAGTTTACTCTTCCGAATTAAATAGCTAGATAATAATCTGATAGTAATTAATTTAAAACATATTTCATGAGCATATACTCTATGTTAGAGTCTGTCCTAGGTGCTATAACACGACAATGAGCAAAACAGCTAAAAAAATCCTTATATTCCAGTAGAGTAGATTGACTCCCCAAAAGTAAACAAATAGAATAATTTCATAGAATAATTGTCACGAATAATGGAACTAGGTAACAGAATAAAGTGGCTGGGGTGATGTGGTTTATTTTTGATAGGGTGTCCAGGAAAGGGCTTCTTGAGGAGGGAGCGAATCACACAAAATACCTAAAGAAAAGGTCCACCAAGCAAAAGGAAAAGCAAGTATGAAGGTCCTCCAAAAGAAAAGAACATGGCAAGTTAAAAGGACAGAAAAAAGCCAGTATGTCTGGAATAGAACGAGCAAGAAGAAGAGAGGTAGGAGATAGAGAAGTAGACAAAGACAGGCTATGGAGGGTTCTGTAGGTCATGGTAAGGAGTTTGGCTTCACTCTCAGTATATCAAAGAGTTTTTAAAATAACATGATTTAATTTACATTTTTTAAAGGATAGCTCTGGTTGCTGTGCTGAGAATAGACTCTAGAGGTGCAAGAGTAAAGGGAGATCTCTTAGGAGGCTATAAATACAATATATCTCTTGAATTTTTATGGAAAAACACAGTGTTTCTACCTTGAAGAAAAAAAGAGAACCTATAGTATAAAAACTGTCCAAGCACTTGTCGATTTTTGTTCCAATATAGAGCAATAAAATTATACTTCATAGTAAATGGTAAGAAATTATACCGAATTTTGGCTATTTAGGCAATTTCTTCATTCATTCATTCAACAAATGTTTATGCAGTGGCTCCCAAGTGCTATGCAATGTGCTAGACCCTGGGGATACAATTGCAACCAAAACAGAAATAGTCCCTTCCCTCAAAGAGTTTTTAATATTGTGTGGAAGACAGACATTTATGAAATATGCACATACATAATCACAAGCCATGATAAATGCTATATAGGGAAAATGGGCTGCTCTACAATGATTATCTATCATATAAATGTTTTGCAATGAATATATGGTCATCTGCAGTGACATTAAGATTGTGACACAAGTGAAAAGGGAAAACCCACATAGGAAATATCTTAACCCAGATTTCCAGTGTATTATTAGGCAACCCTTGTTGTCTAATGCACTCCCAATTATAAGTGCACTCTCAATATCAGGGAAAGAATGAAATGTTACTGACTACATTAAAAAAGGGAGGAGATCCAAAAAGCAAATACAACAATCCCATGGAGAATCTGTTTGGTACATGGCATAGGGCTGGATGGGTCTTGGAGGGGAACTCCAATAAAGTAAGGACTCTATCCTAAAGAAATTATAGTTTCATCCCCTCAAAAAAAGAGGCCTTTCCTGATTATCTCCATTATTCCAAGTCTAGGGATCCAAGACATCCTTCTCTGGAATCCCATGGCACCTGTTCATCTCTCTATGACTCAGGGACTCTAGGACACTGCTTTTTTTTTTTTTTTTGACAGAGCCTTGCTCTGTTGCCCAGGTTGGAATGCAGTGGCACAATCTCAGCTCACTACAATCTCTGCCTCCCAGGTTGAAGCGATTCTCATGCCTCAGCCTCCCGAGTAGCTGGGATTACAGGCACATACCACCACACCCGGCTGATTTTTGTATTTTTTTTTTTTTTTTTTTTTTTTAGTAGTAGAGATGGGATTTCACCATGTTGGCCAGGCTGATCTCGAACTCCTGACCTCAGTTGATCTGCCTGCCTCAACCTTCCAAAGTGCTGGGAGGTGAGCCACCTCGCCCAGCCTGGTCATTGCTTTTTACCTCGTCTTTCTTCTCTGACTAGACAACAAGCCGCACAAGGCCAGTGACGTTGACCAGCTTGGTCACTGAAGAATCTCCACATTTCAAATAAAAATGGCACATGATGGGCACTCAATAAAAGTTTGATGAATTAACAATACAAGGTAAAAAGTAATAAACACTATGAGTGACATAAAGATAAGCTGCTATGCTCATTTATGGCAGAGAGAGGGTACTTCAAACTGAGATGAATCAGAGAAAGGTTAGGAGACGATTACCTTTGTGCTGGTCTATGAAGGTCAGACAAGATTGTATGTGGGTGTGACGGAAGACATGCCAAGTGAAGTGAATAGTGTGGAAAAAGGGGAAATGGAAAAATGCCAGGCATGCTTGTTAAAATAAAAGGACCACAGTGTGATTAGACAAAAGAAAATGAGAGGAAGTAATGGGAGGTGAGGTTGAAAATGTAGGTTAAGACTAAAGTGTGAAGGGCCTCGACTGTCAGATTCAGGGGTTTGATCATCTGACACCTGGTCCAATGCACTACAACATACAGGATTTGAAATCCAAAGATCTGTTTTCTAGTCTTAGATCTGCCATTTGTCAGCTATGTAACTTAAGGAAAACTATTAAACTCTGGTTGTTTGAGACTCTGAATCATTGGTACAATATACAAAAATTATGTCTGTCAAATTTGAGGTCCACATATGACATTCAAGAGGAGATTCCTGTAAATATTAGTGATATTTTGGAAATTTAAAAGAAATGGAGATGGGTTAGAAATAGTAATTTGGGAGTCATAAACACAGGACAGGTAGTTGAACCCACACTTTTTGAGAAAGAGTATTCAAAGTCAATATCTGGAAAAGGAATTTGTTCAAAAATGATTTGGATCAGTTTAGATTCATTCATTTCAATATATTTGAAGAACAAATAAAATCAGGCTGTCCTTTCACTATTAGCTTTCTCTTCCAGGATACTCTTGTATCCATGGAGAAACCAGCTCACCACACCAATTTCAGACATATGCAACCTTTTTTTTTTTTAGCCACTCAAATCTGTACTTCCTCCCATCACAGAAGACAAACATCTCTATTGAGATTGTTCACCAGATTATATACACAATTTTTATTTTTATCACTGTCATCTACAGTTAATTCATGCTTTTTGAATTCTATTGCAAATTATTCAAATCTCAAAAAACTTCTTAAAAATACTCTCAGAGTAATAGCTTTTCCCCATAAATCCATTTATATTGGGGAATTCTTCTAATCAGAAGTAGTGAATAAAGTTGGGCTTCTTAGACCCTCAACCCTCACCATATGCTCAAAATTCTTAGGGAGATCATGGCATATAAGGTTAAAGAGTTACTGATATGGTTTGGCTGTGTCCTGACCCAAACCTCATCTTGAACTGTAGTTCCCATAATCCCCGTATGTCATGTGAGGGACCCGCTGGGAGGTAATTGAATCATAAGAGTGGTTACCTCCATGCTGCTCTCATGATAGTGAGTGAGTTTTCACGAGATCTGATGGTTTTATAAGGGGTTTTTTCTCCCACTTCACTCTGCACTTCTGCCTGCCACCATGTGAAGAAGGACATGTTTGCTTCCCCTTCTGCCATGATTGTAAGTTTCTTGAGGCCTCCTCAGCCATGCTGACCTGTGAGTCAATTAAACCTCTTTCCTTTATAAATTACCCAATCTCAGTATGTCTTTACTAGCAGTGTGAAAAAGGACTAATACAGTAAATTGGTACCGGTAGAGTGGGGTGCTGCTATAAGGATATCGGAAAATGTGGAAGAAACTTCGGAACTGTGTAACAGGCAGAGGTTGGAACTGCTTGCAGGGCTCGAAAGACGACAGGAAAATAAGGGAAGGTTTGGAACTTCCTAGAGACGTGGAGGGCTCAGAAGACAGGAATATGTTGGGAAGTTCGGAACTTCTTAGAGACTTGTTGAATGGCTTTGACCAAAATGTTAATAGTGATATGGATAATAAAGTCCAGGCTGAGGTGGTCTCAGATGGAGATGAGGAACTTGTTTGGAACTGGAGCAAAGGTGATACATGTTATGTTTTAGCAAAGAGACTGGCGGCATTTTGCCCCAGCCCTAGAGATCTGTCAAACTTTGAACTTGAGAGAGATGATTTAGGGTATCTGGCAAAAGAAATTTGTAAGTGGCAAGGTGTTCAAGAGGAAGTTGAGCATAAAAGTTTGGAAAATTTGCAGCCTGACAAGCAATAGAAAAGAAAACCCCATTTTTCTGGGGACAAATTCAAGCCTGCTGCAGAAATTTTCATAAGTAACAAGGAACTGAATGTTAATGACCAAGACAATGGGAAAAATGTCTCCAGGGCATGCCAGAGACCTTCATAGCAGCCCCTCTCATCACAGGTCCAGAGGCCTAGGAGGAAAAAATGTTTTCCTGGGCCAGGCCCAGGGCCCCCCTGCTGTGTGCAGGCTAGGGACTTGGTGCGGGGCATCCCACCAAGTTCAATCTCATCTTGAACTGCAGTTTCCATAATCCTCACATGTTGTGGGAGGGACCCTGTGGGAGGTAATTGAATCATGGGAGTGGTTACTTCCATGCTGTTCTTGTGATAGTGAGTTCTCACGAGATCTGATGTTTTCATTAGGGGCTTTTCCCCCACTTCACTCTGCCACCATGTGAAGAAGGATGTGTTTGCTTACCCTTCCACCATGATTGTAAGTTTCCTGAGCCCTCCCCAGCCCTGTGGAACTGTGAGTCAATTAAACCTCATTACTTTATAAATTACTCAGTCTTGGGTACGTCTTTATTAGCAGCATGACAACAGACTAATACAGTTACCTTCAAGTCATCTAGTTCAACTTTCTTCTTCTTGCAATGGGTAGGTGGGTACCAAATAATACTTTGCAGACACTGTGTGAACCTCAACCCCATTGACTGTGATTCTGATTCTATGTTGAACAATTGCTAGCTTCTTTTACTTAGGGGCTAAATTTTATCTCTATGCTTTGAGCTTTATCGTGGAGACCTGCTACAAACCTGAATGATTTTTCAAACTATGGCCCTGGCTCCTGCATGGCTTGAGGTATTACTAACACCTACACTACTGCTAAGCACAACCCATGAGATCATCCTTGGACATTAATGAGGACCACCAATGGAGCCAAACCAGATAACTATTTTTTTCACCAAACCAGATAACTTTGGACCTCTAGCCCCCTCCCACAGATCATAGTACTACAGATGGAACAGTCATCTTAGACTTTGGCATTGTTCATCTCATGTTTTTTCTCTTTCCCCACTGGTTCGAGCTGCTGAAGTACCATGCACATCTAGCAATTGAGCCACTGGAAATTTGGCAACAAATGTATGGATGGCTTAGTGAAAATTTATTCCCCACTATTGGAAGAACAATACAAAGCATATGCCACCAGTATTTTCCACAGTGATGAGACTAAGCCAAAATGCATTTTAATTGAAAAGTTAGTAGTGTATCAGTAATATCAACTTCATATGGCAGCCTGCAATGAGCTACTCCAGCTCCCACACACATACACAGGAACTTGAAAATGAAGGCAACGAGGTTGCTTTCAGAATTATGAAGAAATCAATACATAATAAATGAGAATAAGAATAAGCAAAGTCGTTTTCAAGAAACAAATTTTTTGTAGGCCAGCAGAATTAGACTTTTAACCTGATTAACTGTATTAATATATCCACAGGAAGAATGTATCTATGAGAAGGGGAAATTGGGCAAACAGACATGGGAAAAATGATAGTCAACAAACAAATATTGCCTTTTGGTGATGCCCATCCAAGCACTGTCTAGGGAAAAATACCTTAGCCAAAGGATTTTGCATTCTGATTCCATTAATAAGACCATTCATCTCTATTGTGAAAATGACTATAGGAAGTTTGAGAGAATGGATATCAAGTGTGTTATTCCCATTGGCAAGACCTCCCTTTATTTGAGATGTGTCAGTCTATCTTAGTTTTAAATAATTAAATATTCATTTCATCTAGACTCATCTTAACCTGATGCAAACCTTATCAAGCATCACGGTTAAGTGACTTGCTTAAGGTCATACAATTTTGACTTGGCTTCTCATACTTGTCTGTCTAGAAAGAGAGATGTGTTGGTCCAAAAGACTTTATACATTCCAGTTCCTGTAAAATTTATGTGTCATTGTGATTTAATACACTGGTACCCTGATTATTATTTGGCTTCCCTTGCAGGTTACCCTAATAGCAGAGAATTTCTGGTCATGCCAAAACAAGCATTTTTTTTCTGTGTGACAATTATGTTCATCATTCATTAAGACTGAAATTCTAGTTCTAGACATTAGTTTTGTGAGAATAGTTAGTATGCATTTTCCTATTCTGATGGGTCCATTCTCAATGTGTTAACAATACCAGATGTCTAAGCAAACAGACTAAAGGCTAGGTCTGAAACTAACGTACAAGAGCCAGTGTACTAAATGTTACCCTGTGAGATTATTTTAGGAAACAGTCAAATGACAAAGTACCAGCCATCTCCAATGTCATTTGTGATTACTGGCAAACATCTTTTACATCACTACAACTATTTATATTATTATTTGTCAAAGTTTAAATACATGCATAAAGCCCTATGTCAGGAATCTTACATAAATTATTTATAATATTTAAGTAATTACATTATGTACCTATTCCAATTCTCCCAATGCACAAATGAGAAAACTGAGGCTCAGAGAGGTTAAGTAATTTACCTCTGATCACCCAGAAGGTAAATGAAAGAGCCTGAATTTGATCACTACTCTCTAACTCTAAAATTCATACCTTTCCAAAACTATTACAGTTGTTTTATGTCATCAATGCCTCTTTACATTTACTCACATATATTTGTTTACTCAAATATCTGTTTTGTATCTTATGGCTTCCTTTGTAACACAATTTCCTTCTTCCTGAAATAGACCCTTTAGTAGTTCTTTCAGCGAGAGTCTTGTAGAGGTAAACTCTAAGTTGCTGTCTATTCGAAACTGCCTTTGTTTTATCCCCACTATTTGGGAAGCATTTATTCCCAAATATTGGGTTTATTCATTATTTGTATTAGTATTAGGTACAGCTGTGAGATATAAAATCGTGTAAACAAAATATAAGTGTATTTTTCTCTTACTTTAATGTAAGAAATAAAGGGCCAGTATGGTGGCTCCATGATCATCAATAACCCAGATACCAGATCTATCTTGTTGCTATATAATTTTCAGCTTTATCCTTCTCCCTCATAATTTAAAATGTCTACTACAGCTCCTGCCATAACAAAGAGTTTGACAACCTTCTTTCCCTATTCCTGCTTGCTTGACTTTGGAAATGACATCAGAATTTCTCACACAGAACATCTGGCAACAAATGCCAACACGTTTGTGGTATAGATTTTACTTTTATACTTCTGCATACAGTTTAAATTCATACTTCAAAATCATATGAGGGCAGGCCCATGATTACGAACTCTCAGGAGAAACATATTTTCTCTGCCAAGAGCTCAGGGTGAGATGGACAAACTGCTTTGCCATCTTCTTCTGTGAAGGAAAAAAGTGTTCTGAGTACATTTTTTCACTGCACGTAAAGCACTTTCAGAGACCCGGTTTTATATGGAGGTCTTACATGGAGTCTTAACTCCAATATCATTCATGAGTGTTAAAATCCAAGCCTTGGTTACAAATATCTGAACTTCCAACATACCCAGGAAAACCACTTTATCTCATAGGTACCACTCTGATTCATAGTTTCCCTTTAGCTTTTGGTCGCCGGAAATGTCCTTTCTGTCTTGAAAACTCAATTATTCCTTGAAAACTCTGTGTGTTCTATTCACCAGAATGGAAACTGCACAGGTTCAGGCATTTGTGTCTGTTTCACTTCTTCAACATCTAGAACACTCTCTGGCACATGGTAAAGGTGTTCCATAATATTTGGTGAATTAATAAGTTAATTTTATCCAGCATTTCTGATTTTTTTATAGCTGGGAGTGGGATGAGAGTTTCCAGATTATCTAGTCTATGATATTGCTAGAAATGGAAGTCAAATCTATTTCCTTTCCACTATACTATGCTATTGTTCATGTTTACAGTTACAGTGAGATTTCCAGAGTGTATTTTTCCTAAGTCAGTCTATAGCAACTATCCCCCAGTGAGGGCAGGCAGGAAAAAGCCTCCACAGAAAGAAAATGCTCTGCAGGCTCACCTTCATCACCACATTCTATTGAGTAATTGGATTCTCCAATTGCATAGGTTGCATAGATGCATTACAACCAGCTTATGCCTACAGATAAATTCTAATTCAGCACCAGCTGAGAACAAAGAAATTGTCAGAAGCTTCGTTAGAAAATGTTCTAGATACAACTCTTTCTCATCAACAGGGATTCATACAACTTTCATGAGTATTAACAGCTCCATTTACTGCACACTATGTGCCAGATATTCTTGCAAATGCTTTACATTATTAGTTACAGATGCAGAAACTGAGGTACATAGAGGTTAAGTAGCTTTCCAAAGGCCACACAAATAATGGCAGAACGAGGGTTTCTAAAGGCAGGCTGGTTCTAAAGCATATGGGCTTAACAATTATGCTACCCCATATTTATTTGCATTATCTATTCTTATCCCCGATCCCATTTTAACAGGAATTTTAATCCTTAAATGGGAAAATACAACTACAGGGCTAAGTACCTTTACTGTTTCCTCAAGAAGCCAGAAGTTAATCATCTTCCATTGGTATTGCCACAATAAGGTTTGTCAGGGCAACTGAAGAGGTATGAACAGTAGTTAAAGCACACTTCTTTGCCTTCTAGCTCACAGGATCACTCAGATTTCTATTGAGAACATCACAAGGGGAAGTAGGGGGAAAACTATCATATTAACTCTTCAAAATTGGTAGGGAGGATACACTGTGAGTACATATGTAGTATCTATCACTCAAATGCTTCACTCAAAAAATCTGTTTTTTAAATACAGGAATTTGGGGGTCTTCTCCAGTCAGGACAATGATTTAGTTTGATATCCATCAAGAATGTATTAGACTGGCTTCCACTGGCAGCTACAGAGGAAGATTTAGAGAACAGTTAGTTCAAAGTTGGAAAATCACTAAAATATCCAGGCAACATATCAACCTTGCTCTGATAGTTTACTAAACCAAATAAGTGGGACTGTTTAAAGACATTAAGGATGATGCATGAATAAGGCAAATCAATTCAACTTTATTGTTTTTTCTGTACTGTTTTCCTAATGACCCAACTTTCAGCTGCACATTCACACTGCTATATGAGGGTGCATTTCAGCAGCTGATTCTATAGTAATTATAGATATTAAGGATTCAGCACACTGAGGAAATATCTCAGTGAGAGACATGAGACACAATTAGAAGATACTATATATAAACACAGGTCACATTTTTATAAATTATATCTGATATGGAAGAAATGGACAAGTAGTGGAAGAAGACAGAGATATCACCTGCAGAGAAAAGGGAAAAGCTAATAACAACAAACACTTGCTACGCTCCAAGTACTGGATTTATTATATTAATTTATTATATGGATTTATTGTGGCTAATATAAACAAAAACCCTTGGATATAGTTATTATTACTATCCCCATTTCAGAGGTGAAAAAACTGAGACATAGAATAGTAAATTGACTTTCCAAAACTCATAGGATTGATAAGTGGTAGAGCTGGTACTTGAACTCAGGCAATCAGGTCTGCAGTATGCTCTTAGCCACTCTCTTATACGTCTCTCATGGCAAAAAGTGTAAATATTAAAACATAATTCAAAAAATTTTTATTGAGCACCTGCACAGTTCTACCACTGTGATGAACACGGAGAGTATAAGGAGAAGCACAGAACTGAAGAGGTTTGCTAGGGATTTCCAGATATCTTGGAGATTAAAGGGTCTTCAAGATGATCTTAATACAAGCTTCTAAAAAGGTCATGGGAAAACTGGAAAAAGATATTTATTACATCATGAAGTTAATCCTCCTTGATCTCTGTATCAGCAGCAAAACTTCATCTTGAAGTCTATCAAGATGGCACAAGATGAATGTAGCCACAAAAAGAATCTCTGGGAAGGTTCTAAAATCCTTAAGATCCCCATGAAGGTTCTCATGTTTGAGAAGCACTTCAGACCATTGTATTCAAGCAACAGTTATTTCCATTTTATTTTTATCAACTTTGTCCCACTTGAAATCATTCAACCCATAAGTATGTATGAGCATCTAACATGGTATCAGACATTATGAGTTATACAATAACGCACAAGACACAATCCATATCAACAAGAATCTACAATCCAGTGAGTAGACAAGGAATTTTCATGAAACAATTATTAGAAAAGGCATTTTATAATAAAATGCTCACTTATACAGTACAAACAATAAATGCTTCAGGGGGTCAGATAAGGTAGAGAGCTGAGTGAATTGTTTAGTGTTTTCAGAGACTGCAAACCTGAGCTAGGCCTTGAAGGATGGAGGACTTGAAGTGATGGGAGAGAAGAGAAGCAAAGGCATTCCTAGTCTGAAGGAACAGTCTGACACAGGCTTTATAGGTCAGTGGCGTGGTACAGGGACCTGAACCAAAACTGCAAACATGTCAGGCCAGGGTCTCAAATCAACCAATGTGATCTGAGAAGCAAATGTGTTAATTAAACACATGAATCAAGTTAGGGAGCCTGGAAGATAAAGACCAGAAAAAGAAACAAGTATTGAGAATGAGAGAGTGCCAGCAAGTCCCAAGACCCAGGGCCATGGGTTTTGTGAACAGACTGACCTGGGATTGAATTCTACTTTGCCACTTACTAGCTATGTAACCTTGGTCAAGTTATCGAACTCTTCTGAGCCAATTTCTTCATCAGTGGAATGAAGATAATACCTACCACGTGTTACATCATTGGGAAATTAAATGAGACCATATATATGAAAACATTTTAATACCATAAAGTTCTATGTGAGTGTCAGTTATTACAAGCTGTTGTTACATGTAGTACAGGACCATATCATGGAAGGTTTTGGAGTCAGGATAGGTTTATAGTGATTCTCAATGTGACATATGGGAAGCTGCCTACAGGAATAAAGAAGAATATTTTGGGGACTTATTGTTTGTTTAAAAATACAACTTCTGGTGCACCCATCACCTAAGCGGTATACACTGCACCCTATTTGTAGTCTTTTATCCCTCGCCCCCCTCCCACCCTTCCCCCCATGTCCCTAAAGTCCATTATATCGTTCTTATGCCTCTGAGTCCTCATAGCTTAGCTCCCACATATCAGTGAGAACATATGGTGTTTGGTTTTTCATTCCTGAGTTACTTCACTTAGAATAATAGTCTCCAATCTCATCCAGGTTGCCTCAAATGCCATTAATTCATTCCTTTTTATGGCTGAGAAGTATTCAATTGTATATATATACTATAATTTCTTTATCCACTCTTTCATTGATGGGGATTTGGGTTGGTTCCATGATTTTGCTATTGTAAACTGGGTGCACCAAAATCTCACAAAGCACTGCTACAGAACTCACTCATGTAACCAAATACCACCTGTACCCCAATAACCTATGGAAAATTAAAATAAAATTTTAAGAAAAGAAGTAAGCTAAGAAAAAAGAGAGGGAGGGAAGAGGTGGGTACTACACCTTGGCAGAGGGAACTGTGTGTGCAAAGGTGGGAGATAAGAGAAGGCAAAGAACACTGGAGAAATGGAAAGGAATTCAGAGTGGTTGGCGCATAGAATGCGAGGATGAAACAGAGAGGTAAACAAGAGCCTGAACAGGAAGAACATATGAATCATGTTTAGAAGTTTGGACTTTATCCTCAAGGCAAGAAGAGTAGCTGAATTATTTTTAAGAAGGAGCTTTAAAATTCTATACATCTTGGACTTTATAAAAAACAGAATAGTTAAAAGAACTGTTCTAAAGTTCTTTTATTCTCTGTAACATACTCTACTCCAAAAAATTGAATTAAATTGCAAAATAAGTAAATAAAAATAAAAATACAACTTCTTTAGATTCTGATAACCTCCTTTCCTCCATACACAGCCAGATGATAATCATTGCAGTAGGGAACCACATTACTGATGAGCTGATAAGTGTGTGTCACATCCCTCAGTTATTTTGGGGCAGTAGAAAGGTTAAAATATTATTTATCTAGGAACTTATTTCAGTATTTTGAGTATGAGGTTGGGTAATGATTGGTAGCAGCAGCAATGGAAAAAAAGGAACAAATTTGAAAGACATTATGACAGAAGATGAAAAAGAAGACAGGAAACATTTTTAAATTTTATTTTAAAATATTTAATTGAGAAAATTGTATTTTTCAAAGTGTACAATGTATTTATTTGGTATATGTATATATTGTGTAATGCACCATGATTAAAGTGGTGAACACATCCATCACCACCCACATGTTACATTAGACCCCCAGAACTGATTCATCTTATAACTGAAAGTTTGTACCATTTGACCAACATCTCTGATACTAATGACATGCTATTTCATTTTATTTCATTTCATTTCATTTCATTTCATTGCTGGGGAAAATGAGCTAGTAAGAATCAAAGGCAGAATTTGAACCTAGTTCTGTTTGACTCCAAAGTTAACTCTTTTTCCTCTGATCAGATGTAAGGGACAATGAAGGGGAAGGTAGAATAACTTCAAGGTTTTTTTTTTTAACTGAAAGTTTGAACAGAACAGAAATCAGTAAGCTGAGAAGGTAAACAGCTAGAAGAGAATCCTGATAAGTTCTCAATTATATGGCATTAGAACGTTAGTATTTAAAAATTAGTTTATTATTAAACTTCTGGTAATATTGTCAGCAGCTGTCTAAGTCAGCCCCTCCTGATTCACTCTGTGATGTGCAAACCACAGTTTGGGGCCTTTTCATCCTCATCAGTAGTGTTTAGGATTGATTGCTTCGTAGCAAGATTGACTCTCTGCTAAGTTAGGCATGCCCTTTTTAACTGAGGGTGCACACTTGGGAGACAAGTTAGGGCAAAAGGTGCCATCTTGAACCCTTGAGAATCCACTTTATAGGCAGAAAACAGAATTGTCAATTCAAAAATTTGTGAATTAAATGTAAAATATCTGACTGCGATGATCTGAATGTTGTATCCCCCCAAAATCTAAACCAAGCTTGTCCAACTCACAGCCCATGGGCCACATGTGGCCCAGGAGAGCTTTGAATGTGGCCCAACACAAATTCATAAACTTTCTTAAAACATAAGATTTATAAGATTTTTTTGCGATTTTTTTTAGCTCATCATCTATCATTAGTGCTAGTATATTTTATGTGTGGTGCAAGACAATTTTCTTCTTCCAATGTGGCCCAGGGAAGCCAAAGTTTGGACACCTCTAATCTAAATGTTGAAATCCTAGGCCACAAGGTGATGGTATTTTGGGAAGTGAGTCCTTTGGGAGGTGATTAGGTCATGAGGGCGGGGTTTTTATAAATAAAATTAGTGCTCTTATAAAGAAGTGCTCTTATAAAAATTTATAAATAAAATTAGTGCTGTTATAAAAGAGAGATCCCTCCCCACATCTGCAATGTGAGGTTAGAGCAGTCTAGAAAGTGCACCCTTACCAGTCACTGAATCTTTGGGTTCTTTGATCTCGGACTTCCAGCCTCCAGAAAGAAGCATGAGAAATAAATTTCTGTTCTTTCTAAACCACCCAGTTTATGGTAATTGTATTATAGCTGCCCAAACAGAGTAAGGCATTGAATACTTGATTACTAATGCAAATAATTTTTACAGTACATTTCTTGATTTTGTTTGGCCTAAAATAGTTCTGAGTTAAGTCTGGATAAAGATATAAAGGGCATTTTGTTGTTGCTATAGTTCAGATTTTTTTTAGGGTTTAGTGATTGTTTTTGTTTTGTTTTGTTGCTGTGCCATTTTCTGCCCTAGAGTTCATAAAACTGGAAAGGAAGAGTAAGAATTAAAATTCAAGTTATTCAATAAGATACAATAACCCAAATCAAGACAGCAAAATTAAAAAAATTAATATGTAGATTCAAAAGTCAAATGGACAATGGAAAAATGAGAGAAAACGTTCTAGAGATTCACATAAAAAGACTAGAAGTCTATGTTGACCACAGTACCCAAATGCACCAAAATTACGGCATGACTGGCAAAAACCCTAAAGAAATCTTAGGTTTATTTGCTCAAAAACATTTGTTACACACGTACCATGCATCAGGAACTATGTTCTCGGCTCTAGCAATAAGAACGTACATCACCAGTAAAGAATTTTAAAATAATAATTACGCCGACTTCAGTCATTCTTCTTTTTATTCTTAACATGAGTTGACAACTCTAAACATGTCAAAGAAATAATTCCTCTTCCTGCCCAAGAGGATCACTCCACAATCTTCCTCCCATTTCCAACCCTGAGTACATGTCTGGACTCCAGATCTGTATGACTAAAACAAGTTCGTGTTCTTTTCATTAGAGTGGTGTCTTTCAAACTTTTTTGACCACAGCCTTCAGTAAGAAATATATTTGACATCATTATCCAATGCAAACACAACACACACTCTACATAGACAGATATAGATGATAAATAGGCAGATAAGTAGATGGATGATAGATAGATAGATAATTTATATGTCTATATGTGGACCTATAAAATATGACCACATAACTGACATAAAAGTTTTATAAGGTAATACTACCATTAATGTGGGCACTGTACTCTAGTATTTTCTACTGTACCCTGTTTCACTTTAAAAATAAGAAAAACAAGAGAAAAAAGAGGTAGGTCTTTTCCTACTAAATTATTTTACATCTCATCATTGGGCTAGGACCCACAGTTTGAAAAACAGTTCACTATAGTATAGTCCACCATTCTCCCTTCCAGATACAGTTGGACAGAACGTAGGATGAAAAAGAGATGTCAGCCTGAGTTTAAGCATTAGCCATTGGAATTTTCAAAGTAGAAAACTACAGGATTGCATTTGCACACTCTGCCTCTGAATTGTTTTTCTCTATATTATACTCTAAATGGCTTTTTAAACACTACCCCAAATACTTGGAAAAAAAACTTGCTGATTTTGTTTTGTTATACCTACAGTATTCAACTTGTATTCTGACACCATTCTGGACTGCAGTAACTTGGTTTTTGAGAGAGAAGCAAAAATCTTAATTTGCTTTCCTTTGATGAAAAAAAAATCTTTGAAATTTATTCGGGGCAGGAGCCAGGCAATGGGGAAATAATTTATACTGTAATCCTCAAAGGAGTACAACCTGAATTGAATTAATGTTCTTCAGGATATGGGATTCTCTTCTTATGAATAAAACCTTTTGAGATCAGGTAGGAAGTTGTAACCATTTTTCTCTTTTATTACTTTTTCCAATTTGTTGCTTTGAATATTTGGCTTTATACTGGCAGTGAGCGATGACCAACAAAGCAGCCTGACTGTGTAAGACCACCTTACTGAGTAGATTCAGTTCAGCAGATCTTTTTCCAGAGTGAACAGCTGAAGGAACCAGATCATACCTATTACACCATTTGGTTCAATCATGTAATAATTTCCCTTGGCCATCTCAGAGATTTATAGACCCCCCCCTTATGCAAGTGTTACCTGTGTCTATGGTCCCTTGTTAAGTAGAAGCTGAAAATTATAGTTTATTCTAAATGCGCATTCTTGTGAAGCTATGGTATTAGTCATTTAGTTCAGCCAAAATGATCTAATAATTCAAAATCAATCAAAATGAGAAATGGACTAAACTTGCCCAGGGTTTGATTAAACATGGGCACAGATTGACAAACCTCTTTGACTGCTTTGCTAGATTTGATCAATCATGTCAGCCAAGCTTGCCCTTTGCTCCTCCTGATGAAGTCGTATTATATATCCTAACTTAACTAGTTATACAGCTCCTACCTAGCACAGACCATTCCAACCACAGGCATATCTTAGAGACATTTTGGGTTCAATTTTGGACCACCTCAATAAAGCAAACGTTTCAATAAAACAGATTACAGACATTTTTTGGGTTTCCCAGTGCATATAAAAGTTATATTTACACTATACTTTAGTATATTAGGTGTGTAGTAATATTATGTCTAAAAAGAAACAATATACATATCTCAATTTAAATATATATTATTGCTTAAAATCCCGACAATCATCTAACCTTTCAGCAAATTATGTAATCTTTTTGACTGCTGAGGGTCTTGCCTCAATGCGGATGGCTGCTGATTGATGAGGGTGGTGGCTGCTAAGTCTGGGGTAACTGTGGCATTTTTAAAAAAAATAAGACAACAATGAAGTTTGTCACATCAACTGACTTTTCCTTTCACAAAAGAATTTTCTGTAGCATAAAATGCTATTTGATAGCATTATACCCACAATAAGCTTCCTTCAAAATTGGAGTAAATTCTCTCAAACCCTGCCACTGCTTTATCAAACAGGTTTAGTGGACCCTTGAACAATTTGTGGGTTAGGAGTACTGGCACCCCTCCTCGTGCAGTCAAAAATCTGCATCTAATTTTGACTCCTGTAAGTTTTAATTACTAATTGCCTACTGTTGACCAGAAACTTTACTGATAATATAAACAGCTGATTATCATATATATTTTGTAATGCTATATGTATTATATATTGTATTCTTACAATAAATTAAGCTAGTGAAAATAAGATGTTATTAAGATAATCACAAAAAAAGAGAAAGTATATTTACTGTTCATTAAGTAGAAGTAGATCATCATAAAGGTCTTCATCTTTGTTATTTTCCCACTGAGTAGACTAAGGAGGAGGAGGGGCTAAGAGAAGGGTTGGTCTCTCTGTCTCAGGGGTGTCAGAGGTAGTAGAAAATCTGCGTATAAGTAGACCAGTATACTTCAAGCCTCTGTTGTTCAAGGGACAACTGTATTCTAAATCCTTTCTTGTCATTTCAACAATGTTCACAGCATCTTCACCAGGAGTAGATTTCATCTTAAGATATCTCTTTCTTTTCTCATCCATAAGAAGGAACGCCTCACACATTCAAGTTTTATCATGAGATTTCAGCAGTTCAGTCACATATTTAGGCTCCACTTCTAATTCTAACTTGCTATTTCTACAC
The DNA here is from genome assembly GCF_000001405.40 of Homo sapiens. NCBI lineage: Eukaryota > Metazoa > Chordata > Mammalia > Primates > Hominidae > Homo > Homo sapiens. The sequence goes on from NC_000023.11 coordinate 122,985,447, forward strand.
ATCTGCTTACCTCCTCCACTGAAGTATTAAGCCCCTCAAAGTCATCCACAAGGGTTAGAATCCATCTCTTTCAAATTCCTGTTAATATTGATATTTTGATCTTCCCCTATGGATCATGAATGTTCTTAATGTAAATACTTTCCAGAAGGGTTTCAATGTACTTTTCCCAGCTCCATCAGAGGAATCACTATCCATAGCAGCTATTGCCTCATGCAATGCATTTCTTAAATATAAGACTTGAAAGTCAAACCTACTCCTTGCTCTGTGATTGCCAGAATAAATATTGTATTAGTAGGTATGAACAAAACACTAATCTCCTTGTCATTTGAGCTCTCAGGTGACCAGGTGCATTGTCAATGAGCAGTAACACTTTGAAATGAATCCTTTTAACTGAGAAGTAGATCTCAACAGTAGGCTTAAAATATTCAGTAAACCATGCTATAAATAGATATTGCCATCCGAGCTTTGTTTTTCCATTTATAAAGCAAAGGCAGAGCAGATTTGGCATAATTATTAAGGGTCCTAGAATTTTCAGAAGGGTAAGTGAATATTGGCTTCAACTTAAAGTTACCAGCTGCATTAACCCCTAACAACAGAGTCAACCTGCCCTTTGAAGCTCTGAAGCCAGGCATGGACTTCTTGCTAGCTATAAAAGTCCTAAATGCTATCTTCTTCTAATACCTGGCTGTTTCATCTACCCTGAAAATTTGTTGTTTGCTGTAGCAACCTTCATCAATTATTTTATCTGGGTCTTACAGACAACTTGCTGCAGCTTCTACATCAGCACTTGCTGCTTCATCTTGCACTTTTTTCTTATGGAGATGGTTTCTTGCCTTAAACTTCATGAGCCAACATCTGCTAGCTTCAAACTTTTCTTCTGCAGCTTCCATAACTCTCTCAGTCTTCATAGAATTGAAGCGAATTGGAGTGTTGCTCTGGATTAGGCTTTGGCTTAAGAGAATGTTCTGGCTGGATTGATTTACTAACAAAACCACTAAAACTTTCTCCCTATCAGCAATAAGGCTGATTTGCTTTCTTACTGTTCATGTATTCCCTGGAGTAGCACTTTTAATTTCCTTCAAGAACTTTTCATATGCATTTACCACTTGGCTAACTGTTTGGTGCAAGCGTCCTAGTTTTCAATCTGTCTTGGCTCTCTGACATGCCTTCCTCACTAAGCTTAATCATTTCTAGCTTTTGATTTAAAGTGGGAGACATGTGACTCTTCCCTTTCCTTGAACACTTAGAGGTCATTGTATGCTTATTAAATTGCCTAATTTCAATATTGTTGTGCCTCAGGGAATAAGGAGGCCCCAGGAGAGGGAGAGGGACAGGAAAACAGCCAGTTGGTGGCACAGTCAGAACACATACAATATCTATCAACTAAGTTTTCCATCTTACATAGACACATTTTTTGGTACCTCAAAACAATTACATTGGTAACATCAATGGTCAATGATCACAGATCACCATAACAGATATAACAATTTAAAAGTTTAAAATATTGAGAGAATTACCAAAGTGTGATGCAGAGACTTGAAGAGAGCACATGCTGTTGCAAAAATTGCAACAATAGACTTGCTTGACACAGGGTTGCTACAAACCATCAATTTGTAAAAATCACAAGATCTGAAAAGCACAATAAAGTGAAGTGGAATAAAATGAGGTATGCCTGTATTTCTTTTCCTGGTTTTGACTTTCTTGGCCATCTGAGGAAGATTTGAGCTAGTTAGTAAGCACTAATATGTATAGTGGTTTGATTAAAATGACTAGCTTTCCCAAAATTCTTGGTTGTTGCACTACATCAATTCAGCTATTTGGACAAATAAATCAGCATTTGCCTAAATTGATCAATCAATTCCATCTAAATTTAAATATAACAGATAGGAAAACCCGAAAAAAATGTCTTTACTGAATTCTTCTAATTATACATAGTCTTGCCATCTATTGAGAAAAGAATGAACTCTCTATATTAGTCACTGTTCTCCACAGAAAAAGAGCCAATAGAAATAGAGAGAGATAGATACTTAATATAAGGAACTGGCTTATGCAACTACATCGGCTTGAGAAGTACCAAGATCTGCAGCTGCCAAACTGGAGACCAAGGAGAGCCAATGTGTAGTTCAAGTCAGAGTCTGAAAGCCTGAGAACCAGAGAACTTATGTAAGTTCAAGTCTAAAATTGGCAAACTCAAGACCCAAGAAGAACCAATGTTTCAGACCAAGTGTAAAGGCAGAAAGGACTAATGTCTGGGCTCAAACAATAAGGTAGGAGGATTTACCAATAAATCAGCCTTTTTCTTAATTATTCAGGTGTTCAACCAATTGGATGAGGTAAACACACACACACACACACACACACAGACACTCACACACAAACACACATACATTAGGGAGAGCAATCTGCTTTATTCAGCCTACCGATTCAAATGTTAATCTCATCCAGAAACACCCTCACAGATACAACAAATAATGTTTTACCAAATGTTTGGGCACCACATGGCCCAATCAAGTCAACACATAAAATCAGCCATCATACTCTCCCTGACTGATTTTCTGCTGTTTGACTTTTAAGGGAGCCCTGTGATATTGTCTCCTTAAAGGTATTATATATATGATATGAGCTAGCTTCATTTATAGTTGGAGTCTATGGCAGCCTAAATGCTGTGGTATAATGTGGCATCAGGATGTCCCCTCAAACTAAAGATATTCCCCAATATGTGTGTATGTATGTGTGTGTGAACATCATCTACCGGTTTCTGAAACTCATTTCACCATTAGAGTTATTGTGAGATAATGCAATATGGGCGACATGCACCAAAATGCAAATATCAAATATCTATGGAAGGCAAACACACTAACTCCTTATCACCATTGACATGAAGTAGTTTGTATAAATTGTAAGGTGATTTAAAAGCCCCTTTGTAATGTGAAATGGGAAGGGGAAATTTGGAAATAAAAAGATCTAGGTTGTGAGCACAGCTACAGGTTGTATGTGTGTATACGTGTTTTAGGAATTGATCCTGAGGTACTTTAAGGGCAACTGAGGGCACTCAGCAATAGGCAAGAGATACATGAAATATAGAAATGACATCCAAAGGATAAGTAAAAAGTAATCAAGGATATGTACTATTTTATCATTTTTTCCTGAACCTGTTTTTGTTGTATGACAAGGTAGATCAAAGCTGACCAAACAATTGAGTGAATAACATTTTCTGTGGCTCATTTCTATGGGCTGGTGAAAGGTAAAGACTGAGAAACATTAGTTTGCTATTCAGGAGCTACAATTGAATCAATCTGGCCACTCCCATGCTAATTAACTGCTTTCCTAGAACCAGTTCATATCTTCCAGCAACTCTGTCACCTAAGCCATCTTTTCTCCATTGCTACAGATCTTCCAAAGGCTCAATTATGCCTGTGGGGCCTTTGTTTATGTTATCATCTCAGTCTTTGGTGAATGAGAACCAGAAGATTCCCATTGTTAACACAGACTGAGTTCTAGCTTTCAAAAGCTCATTCATGATGGGAGAGACAGTGAAATTGTCCAATGCTCCCACAACCATGGAACATTAAAGAGGCAGGAGGAGGTTGTCCCACCAGATATATCTTCTGTTCCCTTAATTAATCATTATCCAAACACCAAGGCCCAGCAAGTCTTACCCAAAAGACCTACCATGAGTATAAATTAACTGTTCTTTCTGCCTCTTCACTGGCTGGTTTATAATATTTTACAGGTGGTCAAATGATACTAATTATCTACAACAAAGGGGAAGACATTTCTGAATGAACTGAGAGGTATAATTTGCCCTAATATATTACTCAGGATGAATTTCCAGTGAGCACTAATAGTCTTTATGCAGCAGAGGATGTCTAGGTAAATACAGCAATTAGTTTGTGCTCAGTGGGAGGGAGCCCAGTGTGCAGAGTCAAAAGGACTTGTATCTTTTCATTCAAAATCAATTGAGAAGAGCAAACATCGGAACAGCGAGTGGGAACAGAGTGTCTACCTAGAGCTATTCTGTGAACGAATTTCAATATCATCTTCGAGAACACAGACAGACTGTGACAAAATATGGTAGTAGCACCTGTGGGTATCTATTGACCTCGTAAAGCGCAAAAATTCATCAATAAATCAAGATTATACATTGGCAAATTCTTCTGAGCAAGACTCTCCTTTGGTTGAGTACAAGATTAGTGCTTGGTGCATGATTAATTTGGAGAAGAGAAAATATCACCACTGTAGGAGGCACTTCCTGGGTCCACAATGTTTTTACTGCTGAAAAAGAAAAAAAAAAGAAAGGCAGCTCTGACATCAGGAAAAGGTCTGACACCTACTGCTATGCTTCAGTGTTAAAAGCTTGCCTGGCACACAGAGCTTGGCTATATTGTTTCCTGTTGGACATAAACAATCTCACAGAACACCAGTGTCAGACAAGGTCACTCTGAGACCACAATAAAGTAAGAGAAAACAAGGCCACTTCACGATTTACTTCTAAGAACAAACAAAAACACGAATATTGCCCAAACCACGAAATAGCAAATATCTCTTTCTCCTGGTTAATATGACCACTGTTTCTTTACCAGCTGCAGCTTTGGCCTCACTTTAGTGTGACCCTGCTCTAGATAAGATTTATTGAGACACCCACTCAAAATTGTCACCACTTCCTGACAGCACCCAATCTGGAGCAAATCCCTGTCTCTTTGAAACTCCCCCATATCACCTAACCAAAGCTCAAATCCTGTAATAAGTTTTTTTCTCACAATCTCCTACTGAGGTGCCCCATGGTTCCCCACAGTTTGTGTTTACCTTCATCACAATGAATATTAAACCTAACTTATTCAAACACAGGTATAACCCTGGTAGCCTTTGGTTGAGGGACATGATGCTTTTAACTAGAAGTGGGGAGCTTTGAGGGGGCAAAGGTTGGTAGATTGACCAAGGGAACCAATGCTGATTTCATATCCTTTGCTCATCTCCCTTTGTAAATTCCAAGTTAGTAAGAATCTATGTGAAATTGAAATGAATACCAAAGCAACTGCTTTAGTATACTCCCTTGGAGACTCCCAGCAGAGAAGACCTTTTAACAAACTTTACAGCCACTAGTTTACAAACTGTGTAAGCCGGTGTCCATTTTCTGGGGAACTTTGGCTACTTCAGCTGTTGTACTGATGTCAGTTAATCACTATATACAGAAAGCCTGTACCAGTAAGTATCTTTTCAGACAGTGGTCTTCAGTTTATGGTTTATCTTCTGATAAGATAGATCAGCAGACTTTACTTAGTTGATTTCTTCTAAATCATCCCATTTTCATTGAGCTTCTGCTGTTTACCAGGCACGATATTAGATTCTGGGAACAAAATAATAAATAACACAAAGTCTTTGCCCTCATGGAGCTTACATTCTAGTAGAAGAGACAGAAAATATATTGGTAAACGAATCAAAATTCCAGTACTACCTCCTCATTTTTCCTTTTTTTAATCTCCTCACTGTTTCTTGACAATTAATTTTATTGATAATTTTTATTTCTCTACATTTCTATATTAATGACTATTTGTGTTAAATTGAATTAGATGTTTTTAAGGGTCCTTAAATTCTAAGAATCAATGATTTTTTGCATTGTTCTCTATGTATGTGTATAAAGCCCCCTACCCCCACCTCATTACACTAAAAGCTAATTGTAGCAAGAATCCCATCTTTCTTATTATTTTATGCACCAGATCCCTACTGTGTATAACACAGTTCTGGGTCTACAAGGAGAGCACAGTAATTATTTCCTCACTTTAATATTCCCACTAGAAGAAGGCCACTGCTAACTGGGCCACCACACCACCCTCTGGGATTTCCAGCAGTAGTGGGCAAGATCTGAGTTGAAAATATAGTGCTGAAGTCATTATGCTAGACTCCTTTTTTTTCTTTTGAAATTATATTCTTAGAGACCCAGTGTTCCAAGATAATAGGCCATGTGTGTGTTTTCACAGACTCATTGCCACATTCATGCAAGTTGCCAACCTCTCCAACTGTCTCTATCTTACCTACCAACTATAACCTTGACCCTAACAGTAGGCAACCTCATTATTCTTTTCTATACCTCCTTCCTCTCCATCCTATATTCATACTTTGTCATGTCCCTGTTTTATTCCACCAAAGCAAATAAAGAAGCAGGCATGTATGGTGGTCAGATTCATATTAAGGCAAAAGTGCCATCAGGCTGCAGAGGCAATGGGCTTCATCCTTCTCTGTGCTGAGCAAGCAGGCAAGTGTCTACCTTACCTAGCTGATTGATGAGGTGTCCATTAATTAGCATCTTAAGGCTAACACCAAAGAAAAACCACGGCCCATGAAGAAAGCTTGTGATTCATGATTCCCTTCTTTTAACTTTATTGCTATTACCTCACAGGAGACCACTGTAGCAAGCTCATTAAGCACTGAAATACCATTTGAGGAGATAGATTGAAGAGTCAGTTATGAAAGGAGATCTAAAACTTGCTTGAGAAACGAATTATGATTAACTGAATGTAAACTTGAAGCCAAACACAACAGTCACAGCACAATTAAATGCAGCCGTGTTCCTTTTCTTCTGCCTCAGAGCACCAGTTACAATAGCTCTCCTTCCCTCCTATTTATTGACCTGTAATGAAATCTTGTTGGATGGGCATAATGGGAATTTTCGGAGTTGAGGGACTGTATTGTGTCTGGGTATACAGATGGTAATCATCTTTATTTATCTGTGACCCTGAAGTCACACCTACCTCAAGATAACTACCAGGCTATTAGCTTCTGTTCTCCCTTGAAATCTCAATAGCAATAAAGAGCGCCTTCCGACACTTGATCAGTCCTCGAAATGATCCTCTCACACTGTGTTTTATCTAGCCTCATATTTTATTAGGGTTAATATTGTCTGGGAGTTCAATCCTTGAGCTGAATGAGCCAAGGCGAGGTTTTTTTCTGTTTCCATTTGGCTTGTTGAGAGTGACTCAAGCAATTCAGTTGAAGTTGGGTACCTCAGTATTTTGTTAAGGGATTTTTGTTCAAATATCAAAGGCTATGTCTACATGTACAAATCAGGTTGCCCAGATTCAGAGCACTGACTGGTTGAATTCTACTAACTGAAGGCAGTGAGAGGAAAAGAGTGGAGATAGTTTTAATAAATGCCCAAAATCAAATTTGACCAAATTATTTAAACATTAACCTCTTGATTCAGATTCAGTGTCACATAGGCAAAGCTAATGTCTTCATTTTGTCTTTCTTATCAAGAAAAAAAGCAGAAAGGAATAAACTTGGGGTGATCTTAATGTAGTATCTGCCACAATACTGGATATACTAGAGGCATTCCGTAAATAATTGTCGACTGATTTATCTGCCAAAATATTACCTTCAAAATAGTAGCCTAACCTCTCACATCCCCTTGCGTGCTCACCCTAGCAGCTTTTTGGGGGAAGCTTAGTCATATTTTCATGAATAGAGCCAAAGTAAAATGAACTTTTGGGTATTTGGTTGTTTTTCTATACATATTTTATTATCTCTTCCTGGGTTCTGCCACTTAGTATTTCATAATATCTGTACTTTTTAGTCTGTCTATTATACTTCATAGTGCAGCAAATAAAAGGATCAAGAATTTTCTTTGGAGAAAAAAACCCATAGAACATAATACCAATATTTCACTTCAGTAGAGTCATAATTCACTGGATCTTTAATAATGTAACTTTTGCAGAAGGAAGAAATGTCAGACTTCTATCACTAAATCACCTTTAAGATAATGGCAGTTTTTGTTCTTCTCCACTATTTTGAGATCAATCCTACCCATTCAGAGGTCAGTGTTTTCATTATTTAGTACTTCAGTGTGATTTGGATGCTTTCTCCCAGATATTTCCAAAAACTTCAGATAACAACATGATTATAGGGAAAAAGACATTTGGAGTGCATTTCCTCAGCTTCTCCCTTGTTGCATATCATACAAAAGTAAGGTGTAGCTGGTATGCTGCCTGTGCTCACAGGAGCTATGGTGAGTTAACCTTGGATCTGCTAAAAACAGAAAATTAAAAATAAAACCACCACCCTGACCTATGCACTCAAAGCACATTTAAACAAAAATAAAAATGAGATTCACAAGTACGTGAATATTGTTAAGAAGCATCTAGAAACTAGGATGTCATTCAATAGCAGCCAATCTACATTCGTTCACTTTGGGTTAAATAAGTAAATCTGTATTTAGGATGTTACATATGTGTACTATCCACTACAGGGAAGGGCTGTATTTAATCTTCTCACATTTATCACATTTCACATGAAGAAGCTTCGTAGATGACTTCTTGTGTCAGTAGTTCTCAAACTTGTGGATAAATATCACCTGGTAGGTATGCTAAAACACAGGTTTCTGGGCTGGGTGGCTGGGCGTGGTGGCTCACGCCTGTAATCCCAGCACTTTGGGAGGCTAAGACAGGTGGATCACTTGAGCTCAGAAGTTTGAGACCAGCCTCAGCAACACAGGGAGACCCCATCTCTGCAAAAAATTCAAAATCAGCTGGGCATAGTGGCATGTACCTGTAGTCCCAGCTACTCAGGAGGCTTAGATGGGAGGACGGTTAGAGCCCAGGAGTTTGAGGCTGAAATGAGTTGTGATCATGCCACTCCACTCCAGCCTGGGCCACAAAGTAAGACCCTGTCTCAAAGAAATACAGATTCTGAGGACTTATCCTCAGATATTCTGAATCAGCTAATCTGAGAGACAGCCTATAAATCCACATTTTTAATACAGACCTTCAAGTGAGTTCAACGTAGCTAGTCAGTAGGCCCCCCTTTGAAAAACAGAAGCAAGCATAGTAGGTATGTAATTAAAGTATTCTACAGTGGTCACTGATCTATCATTGATTCTATAAATGTTGTCATTTCAATGCTAAAACATAGGACCCCCTTGGAGTGCCACAGCAGCCATTATACCAAAATATATAAGATTCTTTCCACATGACAGCATATTTGGGTGACAAAGGAGCACTGGAAGGCAAACTCTGCAAATCTTCTAACATGTTGCTTAGCCCCTGTCCTAATCTTTCCCATAGACTGCATGCTTGCTGATCACATCCAAAAAAAGATTTTGAAAACAATGCTTCATAGTGTGTTTACTAGACAAACAATGATAACATATCAGAACTACAGAGGTACTCAAGGATCATGGAGTCCAGCTTCATTATTTGATCTCTATTCCCACTCTCCACTGAGCTGCTCCCTGGGTAATCTTTCCCTTTGTCCAAAAACCCAATCTCTTTTGTACATTTTAACAATCTCATTTCTTGATAACTGCCTTGATAATGTCCCTGGTCCTAGCCACTGTCTCCTGTGGATTGCAGTAGCATAATTTAGCTGATGTTTAAGAACACGCTTGATCCCTGACCCATCTGATTTACCAGCCACTGATCTTCCACCACTTTGCCTAGTCTTCTTAGTTGCTCTGGTATGACATCCTACCATGATTTTTCCTTTAATTAACACCTTTTAGAAACTTTATAACATTTAATTTTCTTCTTCAGGTAAACGTCTTTTAGTCATTTATCTTATTTAAGAGAAAGCAAAGGGCCTCAATCTCCACAGAGAATAGGATGTCAGGGTGCTAGGAAGACGATTCCTCTACTCCTCATTTCTTGATCCTGTCTACGTCTCTTGATAGATGGTTTCATGGCATCCCATCCACCAGACACCTGGGCCACTGCCCCAACTCTCTGAGCCAAGGTTATAAAATCACCACTGTTTTGGATTCCTACCTCCTCTACAAAGGCCAATGAACTTTTGAAGCTCCACATTTTTCTTTGAGATTATTTGAATGCTCCTAGCATTTGAAATGGTTGATCACTCCCTCCTCCTTGAAAAGTTCTCTTCCCTTGGCTTCTAGCATAAAATTTCCATGCTTTTCTGGTAAAATAATAATAATAATAATAATAATAATAATAATAATTAAAAAAAAGAGAGTTTCTTTGTTTGAAGCAGAGGTAGAAGTGGGGGTTGCTAAGTCCTGCCCTGAGTTTCCTACTTACCTTCCCTTACCCAGAGTGGACTTATAGTAATTCAATATAATCCCCAAAGTCTTCTAGACTTTAAAAAGTGTGAACTATAAGAAAACTGTTCTAAGAACTGTTCTGGGTGATAAACTGTATTTGCATTTTAGATCACTCAGGGCTCAACTAAATTCTGTTACAGTAATCAGATGACTATCACTAATCAAAGACTTAGGTGTGTTTTATACATAGACACACACAAATTTGTGCAACAAGTTAGGAAGCATGTATTTCCATTAGGAGAAGCAAGCAATAATAACAGTAAAAGCAACTATCATTTATTGAGTGAACACTATGCATCAGACACCATGACAGGTGCTTTACTTTCCATGCATCATTAATTTATTGTTCACAGCAACCATGCGAGATAACTATGACTACTCCCATTTTACAGATAATGAAACTGGGGTCAGAGAAATTAAATAGGTTACTTTGCCCATCTAAGTGACGAATTGGCACACAGACCTCACTCACCTGAAAGCCTTTCTTCTTTTCACCGTGCTGAGCAGCACTGAAATACTGTCTCAACAGAATGACTAAAAGACATTTACTTGAAATTCTGTATTTATTGCCAGTAGAGACAACGCAGTAGTAAAGCAAGGAAATTCAAAAATAAAAGCTCCGCCAAGTAGCAGGGGTGGAAAAAACATGACATGACAAGTTGGGTGTTTCAAAGCAAAGGAGTCCAGTGTGCCACAAATCTTTTCAATATTGAACCACCCAAATGCTCTCTAATCAGCAGCAGCACAGACATTTTGGATTTCACTTTTGATATAAATGTAAAAACTCAGGGTCTAGTATCTCAACACAGCTGTTTCAAGCCCCCTAGGGAAGGGCATTGAGAGAGAAAGCGGAGTGGGTATAGTGGAGATTTTGCCAGATGGTTCCTCTCCACATTAGACTCTCCTCAGCATATTTCATTTATTTAACTCTATCCTGTCTGGTACCTAAAAAGAGAGTTTTATTCTGAAGGCATTTTTTCCCTTACAACCTAGTGGGACTTGGCATTTTAATAGGCACTATCATGTATTCTGATTTCATAAACAATAGTTAGCTTTTTTGTTTTAATTTTTTAATTTATTTTTTCTTTTTTTTTTTTTTAACATTTTTTACCTGGAACGCATGGAATGGCAAGCCACCAGTCCATTCCAATAGGGCAGCTTTTTCACACCCTCAGTCATTTAACTGCTTTCCCAGCAGGCTGTTTGTTTCTGCAGTCAATTCCTTATTTATTTATATTAATATCAGTATTCAACCTCATCACCTCTTTCCTCCCCCTTCTCTCCTCCCTCTTTTTCTCTCTCTGTCTCTGTCTCCACTCACCCCTTCATATATGTTTCTATTTCTTAATGCCTGGAGAGTCTTCTGCTTTCGAATCTCTAATGACCTGCCTTTCTCTCCTTTCCAAGATGTCTGTTCCCCTTCTCTCTGTTTGCTAGTCTTGAAGTCTTGAAGATTCTATTTACCTTAATCTTTTCTCTCTGTGGGCAGCTATGATTTAATTGCTTCTATGGGTTTGACTCCTAGCCATGCCCACACTTTCCCCCAATACTTAAATAGGTTTCTATTTCAGAGTGTTCCCATTATTGCTTCCTCGAGCTCCATCCTTGACCATAAGTTTTTGAGCCCTACCTTGAGTGCTATGTGTGGTTATGCTAATCCTATACTCTTGTGGTTTTCAAACTACTAGTGGTTTGGGGATTTTATATTAAGTTACTTCAAGCCACTACAGAGAGAGGAAGAGGTTCAGGGACCAAAACTAAGCAGAGCTTCAACCAGAGAAGTTCCACTTTTATCTGTTTTTTTTTTTAATATTAAATTTTACAGAAAATTTCATTTGAAACAATCTTCTAAAAAGATTTGAACTCTATAGATCTAACCTTTACCATTAGCCCAGACTTAGTAACTCTACCTTTAATTTATGACTCAATCCACAGTCTTGGTGCTGACAGGTAACAAACTACAAATTACTTTGTGAACAAAGATAGGACATCAACTAAGAACAAAACACATATTTGCACTCCATGCTGTCAACATTTGATATTGCTGAATTTTGTTTTATTCCAAAGAAAAAAACATGGGGATACATTTGATAATTTCAATAAATGCTGCATCACCAGATAAACATTAAACTTGGAGTACTTCTACATGAAATAATATAAATGTAATAATAATATTAGAGATTTATTTCTGTAACCAGCTAAGGAGATGAAGTTTGAAATATTGAGAAAGGAACTGTGAGTAGCAATAGCATCCTAGACACACCGTAATTTAAATCTCCTTTCCCAAAGACAGTTTCTCCCTGAGGCTGGGAAAAAATGAAGATGGTGGCATGGATAGCAATCAAGTCACTGTAGCCTTATGACCCCTTTCAAAATAAAGCAAAGTGGAATGGGGAAGAAGGAGATTCAGGGGAGAAAATATTTGTGGTCTTTGACTATATGAGTCTGAAATAACTTAATCTGGCTACCTAAACATATGTCTAGTTCCTCCCTTGAATATTCAATAGGTACTTGAAACCTCAGTGTCTAAAGTGGATGCCACCATAAGGGGTCAACTGAATATATAGGTGTGGTGTTGCTCCAGATGTTAGTGATACCTGATTTTCTGCCAGGAGAAACCAGCAGAACTTTAAGAATTCACCTAGCTACAAAAAGCACAGTTTCTTTCAATGTAGTTTACAGCAAATAATTTATTTAACCTCACAGTTGGAGATAACCATTTTATCTATACAGCACGTGTAGTAGTTGATTTGCCTGAACCTTCCTAAGCTCCTTCTCAGAGCTTGTTCTCACAGTCCCTGATGAGGCTGATTGCTCTCCCAACCACCATAATTGATTAAACCTAGCATGGAAAATTGACCAATAACCAATTGACAAATAACAGGTTCAAGACCAAGCTGTGCCTTTTATTTGCTGTATGACATTGAGCAAGCTGCTTAAGCTTCTCTGAACTTCACTTGCCTCATCTATAAAATAATTACAATAAGAGTGATGATTTTGAAGATTTTCTCTCACTCTGTGGGTTGTCTGTTAACTCTGATTATTTCTTTTGCTGTGCAGAAGCTTTTTAGTTTAATTAAGTCCCATCTATTTATATTCGTTTTTGTTGCATTTGCTTTTGGGTTCTTGGTCACAAAGTCTTTGCCTAAGCCAATGTCTAGAGGGTTTTTCCAGTATTATCTTCTAGAATATTTATGGTTTCAGGTCTTAGACTTATGTCTTTGATCCACCTTGAGTTGATTTTTATATAGGGTAAGAGATCATCCAGTTTCATTCTTCTACATGTGGCTTGCCAATTATCCCAGCACCATTTCTTGAATAGGGTGTCCTTTCCCCACTTTATGTTTTTGTTTGCTTTGTTGAGGATCAGTTGGCTATGAATATTTGGCTTTATTTCCAGGTTCTCTGATCTGTTCCATTGGTCTATGTGCCTATTTTTATACCAGTACCATGCTGTTTTGGTGACTATGGCCTTTGCAGTCAGGTAATGTGATACCTCCAGATTTTTTTTTTTTTCTTAGTCTTGCTTTGGCTATGTGGGTTCTTTTTTTGTTCCATTTGAATTTCAGGATTGTTTTTTCTAGTTCTTTGAAGAATTATGATGGTATTTTGATGGGAATGGCCATTGAATTTGTAGATTGCTCTCAGTAGTTTGGTCATTTTCACAATGTTGATTCTACCCATCCAGGAGCATGGGATGTGTTTCCGTTTGTTTGTGTCATCTATGATTTCTTTCAGCAGTGTTTTATAGTTTTACTTGTACAGGACTTTCACATCCTTGGCTAGGTATATTCCTAAATATTTTACTTTATTTTTTATTTTTTGCAGCTATTGTGAAAGGGGATGAGTTCTTCATTTGGGTCTCAGCTTGGTCGCTGTTTGTGTACAGCAGAGCTACTGATTTGTGTACATTAATTTTGTATCCTGAAACCTTGTTGAATTCATTTACCACTTCTAGGAGCTTTTTGGATGAGTCTTTAGGGTTTCCTAGCTATACAATATATCATCAGCAAACAGCTACAGTTTGACTTCCTCTTTACCAATTTGGATGCCCTTTATTTCTTTCTCTTGTCTGATTGCCCTGGCTAGGACTTCACAATCTATACATCCAACAAAGAACTAATATCCAGAATCTACAAAGAACTCAAACAAATCAGCAAGAAAAAAAATCTCATTAAAAAGTGGGCTAAAGATATGAATAGAGAATTCTGAAAGAAGATACACAAATGGCCAAAAAGCACATGGAAAAATGCTCAACATCACTAATTATCAGGGAAATGCAAATCAAAGTCACAATGTGATACCACCTCACTCCTGCAAGAATGGCAGTAATAAAAAAAAAAAAGGATGTTGGTGGGGATACAGTGAAAAGGGAACACTTATACACTGTTGCTGGGAATGTAAACTAGTACAACCACTACGGAAAACAGTGTGGAAACTTCTTAAATAACTAAAAGTAGATCTACCATTTGATCCAACAATCCCACTACTAGGTATTTACCCAGAGGAAAAGAAGTCATTATATGAAAAATATACCTGCACACACATTTATAGCAACACAATTTGCAATTGGAAAAATATGGAACCAGCTCAAATGGCCATCAATCAACGAGTGGATAAAGAAAATTTTATATATCTGCACACACACATACACCATGGAATACTACTCAGTCATGAAAAAGAATGAAATAATGGCATTCTCAGCAACCTGGATGGAATTGAAGACTATTATTCTAAGTGAAGTAACTCAGGAATGAAAAAACAAACATCGTATGTTCTTACTCATAAGTGGGAGCTAAGCAACGTGGACGCAAAGGCCTAAGAATGATACATTGGACTTTGGGGACTCAAGAGAAAGGGTTGGGGATGATGAGGGATAAGAGATTACACATTGGGTACAGTGTACACTGCTCGGGTGATGGGTGCACCAAAATCTCAGAAATCACCACTAAAGAACTTATTTATGTAACCAAACATCACTTGTTCCCAAAAACCTATAGAAATAAAAAAATCAAAAATTTTTAAAAAATAAAATAAGAATGATAAATATATCATATGGTTACAGTAACTTTTAAATGAGATAATGCAGGTAAAATGTTATACAAACATCTGTTATGATTAACATGAGTGTTTTTCCTACAGAGAACAAACAATATTTCATTTCATCAATGCTAGGAAAATGCCTTGGCTAATATTTTTAATGAAGTGGATCACTTGTGTTTCTGGTTTTTGCTAAACTAAACTAAATGGGATACATCTAGAAATGTGAAATATTTTTAATGGTGCCAACTACCTGTCTCTCACACTGAAATGCCTCCAAGTGTCTGGTAAGTGACATTCATGTGTGAATTGGTTCAAGAAGAATACTATAGCAATAAGGAGTGGTGAGGCCTGTGGCAAATTGGAAAGTGTATTCAAATCCAGTGTGTGTGTGTGTGTGTGTGTGTGTGTGTATGGGTCTGTACAAATACATACATACACATACATACACATTCATATTCTCTCTCTCTCTCTCTCTCTTTTTCTCTCTCCCCACCCCCTGCCACCCCAACCCCATATTGGGGCTAAAGTTATCAAATTTTCAGCATCTGCTGAGGAATCTGAGCAGAAATCATCTTACCTACATTAGCTTTTCACCTTTATCTTTGCATCCTCAAGGCATACCCCTGCCTGAGCCACAGAATTGCACGGCTACTAAAAATATGTGCTATCATCTCAGGAAATTCTTTGTGGTTTTTCTCCTGCCTCATTGGTTTCTTCTCCTCAGCCTTTTTTGCTAGGCCCTTATCTTCTTCACAATCTTCAAATGAAGTGTCCCCACAGCTCAGTTCTAAGACTTCTGCCTTTTTCTATATACTCTCTTTAGATTATCTCATCTGGTCTCATGGCATTATATGCTATCTTTATGCTGATGATGTTCAAATTTATACACACAGACTGGACTCTTCCCTGAAAAACAGACTCAAATGTTCAGCTTCCTATCTGACATTGTCTAATAGGCATCTCAAAATTATCATGTCCAAAATCAAAATCTTCATTTTCCCTTCACAACCTGGTTTTCCCAAAGAATTCCCATCTCAATTAAGGCTAATTTTATTCATCCATTTGCTCAGGTTAAAAACTTTGGAGTCATCCTTGACTACTCTCTTTCACACTCCATAGCCAGAAAATATCTAGAATATCTAATGTCTATTACTATGACAGGGGCGCAAATCACCCTCATATTTCACCTGGGTTATTGCAATAGTCCCCTAACTGTTCTTCCTGCTTCCACTCTTGCTGTCATGCAGTCCATTCTTCCAGAAGCAGCCAAAGTGATTCTTATAAAATCAGGTCCATACATTCTTTGATCTTTCCTCTACCTCTCCGTCTTCACCTCCTGTCACTATATCCCTTGCTCTACTTTGCTTCAGCCACAATGGCCTCTGTGGTAAGCAGTCTTTATTAAATGGTCCCCAATTTTTTCCACCTGCTGGTATTCACATTTTTGTATAATCTTCACCCCTTAAGTGGCTAATGGACTTAGTGACTTGCTTCTATCAAATAGAATATGACAAAAGTAATGAGATGTCACTTGAGATATTGGGTTAAAAAAAGAATCTGTATTTCATCTTGTTGATTCTCTCTTGCTTTCTTGCTTGCTTGCTCTGAGGAAAGACAGCTGCCACATTGTGAGCTTCTCTAAGGACACTGCCACATGCAAAGCGACTGACAGATACCTCTGACCAAAAGCCAGCAAGTAACTGAGGACTTCAGGTGAACACCCTGGGAGAACTCAATCCTGCCAGCAGCTGTGTGAGTAAGCTGAGAAGTGGATCCTCCCCAAGTCAAGCCTTG
Organism: Homo sapiens; assembly: GCF_000001405.40. Classification (NCBI taxonomy): domain Eukaryota; kingdom Metazoa; phylum Chordata; class Mammalia; order Primates; family Hominidae; genus Homo; species Homo sapiens. Next base: position 123,002,332 of record NC_000023.11, read on the forward strand.
AGATGTCTATAGCCTGGCTGGATTGCAGCCTTGGGTTTCCCTGCAGCACATGGAACTGGAGCTTCCTTTAAATCCAGGTCTGTGGCTGATAGGAGTAAATAGTCTTACAAAGAGGATGTGGAGCTCTGAAGCCTAGTTTAAATATACAAATCTAGATTTAAATCTACCCAGTTAAATTATACCTATATTATTGACCTACAGGTATGATGGTATAATAAATAATTTTGTCTTAGGCTACTATGTGTTAGGGTAACTTGTTACATAGCAATATATAATTAATATAGCTTCCTTGAACATACCAGGAACACTCCTAAAATAGGGCTTTTGTATTAACTATTCTCTCTGCCCATGGTAGGTATTCTTTCTCCAGATAGTCACATGGTTCTCTCCCTCACCTCCTTCCAGCTTTGCTCAAATGTCATCTTCTCAAAGTAGGCTTCCCTAATCACCCTTTATAAGAATAGCAACTGTGGCCAAGTGTGGTGGCTCAGGCCTGTAATCCCAGCACTGTGGGAGGCCAAGGCAGGAGGATGATTTGAGCTCAGGAGTTTGAGCCCAGCCTGGGCAACATAGCGAGACCCTGTCTCTATGGAAAAGAAAAGAAAAGAAAAGAAAAGAAAAGAAAAGAAAAGAAAAGAAAAGAAAAGAAAAGGAAAGGAAAGGAAAGGAAAGGAAAGGAAAGGAAAGGAAAGGAAAGGAAAAAGAAAAGAAAAGAAAGGGAAGGGAAGGGAAGGGAAGGGAAAGGAGGTAGGGAAAGGAAAGAAAAGAAGGAAGGAGGGGAAAGAAAGAAAGAATATCAAATGCTTCTCGGTGCTTCTGACATCCTCATACCTGTTTTTGTTTTTCTCTATGTCAATTACCCCAAGAAGGAAGGAAGGGAAGGAAAGAAAGAAAAAATATAAAATGCCTCCTCAGTGCTTCTGATACCCTCATACCTGTTTTTATTTTTCTCTATGTCACTTACCCCCACATGACATATTATATATTTATTAAATTATTGTCTGTCTACCTCATTAGAATGCAAGTTCCAGAGAAGACGGTGACATTATCTGTTTTGTTCATACTATATGCTATCGCCTAGAACTACTCCTGGCACATGAGGGACACCGCATAAATGTCTGTTCGATGAATAAATGAGTTTCCAGCTTCACACATTGTAAGTTTCTCTATAAAGGAGGCCATGTAGAAAATGACTGACAGATGCCACAGGGAATTTTTTAAGATATTGCTCAGGTGTGAGGCTTTAATCAAGAACCAAGAAGATATTTCCACTGATACATCAGTCTCAGAGGCATGGGAAGAGGAGTACAAATAATACAGAAGGTCATAAAAACCAATATAAAATAATACAATTATATTAGGAGTATAAAAAGTGGTTTCTAGAACAGTATCTGGAAATAGAATGGTAGAGATAGAAGTAATTATAAATGATCATACTAGGACATATTTTGAAACAAAAGTTGACAGAATTTAGTGATAAACTGAATTTTGCAGTGTGAGAGAAAGAGGGAACTAATGCTCAACTAAAGAGAGAACTAATACTCCAAGACCTCTGGCTTAAACAACTAATGAATGGTTGAAGTTGCCTTTCAGAAAGTTAAGTAACATTGTGGGAAGAGAAGCTTTGTGCGATGTGGGGCAGTAGAAAATCAAAAATTCTTATTTGGATATGTTGAATTTGAGGCATTTTTAGATTTCCAAATATAGAAGTTGTAAGCTATAGTATATATCTGGTTATCATGCATAGGACTGGATGAATTCCCCTAAGCAGTATGTATATATAAAGAAGAGAGTGGAAGGTTTAGGCCTGGAAATACTCCAATCAGAGTTTAGAGAGAGGAGGATGACTCAACAAGAAATACTAAGAAGGTGGAATATCAAGAGTGTGGCATTCCAGAAATCACATAAAGAAAGTGTTTCCAACAGAAAGGAGAGCATGAGGGCATGGAAATGTTCCACTCAAATGTCCTTTGCAAGGGTATAGTGGACCAGAAACCTCAGTTTCCTCCTTTGTGTATCCATCATGGCATTTGTGTTAAGGACATGCTTCCCTCAGGCTCTTGCCAGCCATGACTGACCATAACGGGGGTTCTACTGTAGAATGTGGGACTCTGCAAATGGGCGACTGTGGCTCAAAGACTTCTCTGAGTCTTTTCCTACAACATACTCCTTCTTTCCTTCCTTCCTTTTCCCCTTTCACAGGTTTCTGACCTGCATTGAAGAATGAGGCTCTCCCTACCTCCTCCTGCTCCTTTCCTTTTATCAGTCATAGATATTTTCCTTACTAAGTCTATTATGTCTTTAATTCCATCTTGGCATCTGCTCCTAGGAAGACACAAGTTAACATCAACAGACTAATTGTACCAATAACACTGAGAGGAAAATTAGAATAAGGAAAGCTATTCAGCTATTGGATTGAACAAGATGATGAACATTTGCGATGTTACCAGAAGCTGTTTTTTTTTTTAATTTTATTCTTATTATACTTTAAGTTTTAGGGTACACGTGCACAATGTGCAGGTTTCTTACATACGTATACATGTGACATGTTGGTGTGCTGCACCCATTAACTCGTCATTTAGCATTAGATATATCTCCTAATGCTATCCCTCCCCACTACCCCTACCCTAAAACAGTCCCCGGAGTGTGATGTTCCCCTTCCTGTGTCCATGTGTTCTCATTGTTCAATTCCCACCTATGAGTGAGAATAGGCAGTGTTTGGTTTTTTGTCCTTGCGATAGTTTGCTGAGAATGATGGTTTCCAGTTTCATCCATGTCCCTACAAAGGACATGAACTCATCATTTTTTATGGCTGCATAGTATTCCATGGTGTATATGTGCCACATTTTCTTAATCCAGTCTATCGTTGATGAACATTTGGGTTGGTTCCAAGTCTTTGCTACTGTAAATAGTGCTGCAATAAACATACATGTGCATGTGTCTTTATAGCAGCATGATTTATAATCCTTTGGGTATATACCCAGTAATGGGATGGCTGGGTCAAATGGTATTTCTAGTTCTAGATCCCTGAGGAGTCGCCACACTGACTTCCATAATGGTTGAACTGGTTTACAGTCCCACCAACAGTGTAAAAGTGTTCCTATTTCTCCACATCCTCTCCAGCACCTGTTGTTTCCTGACTTTTTAATGATCGCCATTCTAACTGGTGTGAGATGGTATCTCATTGTGGTTTTGATTTGCATTTCTCTGATGGCCAGTGATGATGAGCATTTTTTCATGTGTCTTTTGGCTGCATAAATGTCTTCCTTTGAGAAGTGTCTGTTCACATCCTTTGCCCACTTTTTGATGGGGTTGTTTGTTTTTTTCTTGTAAATTTGTTTGAGTTCTTTGTAGATTCTGGATATTAGCCCTTTGTCAGATGAGTAGGTTGCGAAAATTTTCTCCCATTTTGTAGGTTGCCTGTTCACTCTGATGGTAGTTTCTTTTGCTGTGCAGAAGCCCTTTAGTTTCATTAGATCCCATTTTTCAATTTTGGCTTTTGCTGCCATTGCTTTTGGTGTTTTAGACATGAAGTCCTTGCCCATGCCTATGTCCTGAATGGTATTGCCTAGGTTTTCTTCTAGGGTTTTTATGGTTTTAGGTCTAACATGTAAGTCTCTAATCCATCTTGAATTAATTTTTGTATAAGGTGTAAGGAAGGGATCCAGTTTCAGCTTTCTACATATGGCTAGCCAGTTTTCCCAGCACCATTTATTAAATAGGGAATCCTTTCCCCATTGCTTGTTTTTGTCAGGTTTGTCAAAGATCAGATGGTTGTAGATATGCAGCATTATTTCTGAGAGCTCTGTTCTGTTCCATTGATCTATATCTCTGTTTTGGTACCAGTACCATGCTGTTTTGGTTACTGTAGCCTTGTAGTATAGTTTGAAGTCAGGTAGCATGATGCCTCTGGCTTTGTTCTTTTAGCTTAGGATTGACTTGGTGATGCAGGCTCTTTTTTGGTTCCACATGAACTTTAAAGTAGTTTTTTCCAATTCTGTGAAGAAAGTCATTGGTAGCTTGATGGGGATGGCATTGAATCTATAAATTACCTTGGGCAGTATGGCCATTTTCACGATATTGATTCTTCCTACCCATGAGCATGGAATGTTCTTCCATTTGTTTGTATCCTCTTTTATTTCATTGAGTAGTGGTTTGTAGTTCTCCTTGAAGAGGTCCTTCACGTCCCTTGTAAGTTGGATTCCTAGGTATTTTATTCTCTTTGAAGCAATTGTGAATGGGAGTTCAATCATGATTTGGCTCTCTGTTTGTCTGTTATTGGTGTATAAGAATGCTTGTGATTTTTGTACATTGATTTTGTATGCTGAGACTTTGCTGAAGTTGCTTATCAGCTTAAGGAGATTTTGGGCTGAGATGATGGGGTTTTCTAGATATACAATCATGTCATCTGCAAACAGGGACAATTTAACTTCCTCTTTTCCTAATTGAATACCCTTTATTTCCTTCTCCTGCCTGATTGCCCTGGCCAGAACTTCCAACACTATGTTGAATAGGAGTGGTGAGAGAGGGCATCCCTGTCTTGTGCCAGCTTTCAAAGGGAATGCTTCCAGTTTTTGCCCATTCAGTATGATATTGGCTGTGGGTTTGTCATAGATAGCTCTTATTATTTTGAGATACGTCCCATCAATACCTAATTTATTGAGAGTTTTTAGCATGAAGGGTTGTTGAATTTTGTCAAAGGTCTTTTCTGCATCTATTGAGATAATCATATGGTTTTTGTCTTTGGTTCTGTTTATATGCTGGATTACATTTATTGATTTGCATAAGTTGAACCAGCCTTGCATCCCAGGGATGAAGCCCACTTGATCATGGTGGATAAGCTTTTTGATGTGCTGCTGGATTCAGTTTGCCAGTATTTTATTGAGGATTTTTGCATCAATGTTCATCAAGGAGATTGGTCTAAAATTCTCTTTTTTCGTTGTGTCTCTACCAGGCTTTGGTATCAGGATGATGCTGGTCTCATAAAATGAGTTAGGGAGGATTCCCTCTTTTTCTATTGATTGGAATAGTTTCAGAAGGAATGGTACCAGTTCCTCCTTGCACCTCTGGTAGAATTCGGCTGTGAATCCATCTGGTCCTGGACTTTTTTTGGTGGGTAAGCTATTGATTATTGCCACATTTTCAGAGCCTGTTATTGGTCTATTCAGAGATTCAACTTCTTCCTGGTTTAGTCTTGGGAGGGTGTATGTGTCAAGGAATTTATCCATTTCTTCTAGATTTTCTAGTTTATTTGCGTAGAGGTGTTTGTAGTATTCTCTGATGGTAGTTTGTACTTCTGTGGGATCGGTGGTGATATCCCCTTTATCATTTTTTATTGCGTCTATTTGATTCTTCTCTCTTTTCTTCTACCAGAAGCTGTTTTAAAGGGTGGGAATGAAAATCTGATTGAAATTTGTTCAAAAGAGAGTGGAAGAAATAAGCCGGGCATACAAATGCTTATTTTTAATTTTGCTATCAAACGAAGCACAGAAATGGAGTGGAGCCTGAAGGAGGATATAAGGTCAATGGAGAAATTTTTAACATAGAACAAATAACAGCATGATTGTATACTGATGGTAATAATCCCTGAGTGGGAGAAATTTTATTTTGAAAGATGAAGAGGGGATAGCTGCTGGATCAAAATAATTGAGAAGGTGAGGAGGTGAGAGGAGATGATATCCAGTACATACCAGAGGATTGGACATAGATGAAACCAGGGACAGTTCACCAATTGTAAGACATCAGATGTGGATCGGTAGATTTGGGTTTTTTTTTGTTTGTTTTTTGTTTGTTTGTTTGTTTTTGAGACAGAGTCTCGCTCTATCGCCCAGGCTGGATTACAGTGGCATGATCTTGGCTCACTGCAACCTCCACCTCCCAGGTTCAAGTGATTCTCCTGCCTCAGCCTCCCGAGTAGCTGAGACTACAGTCATGCAACACCACGCCTGGCTAATTTTTTGTATTTTTAGTAGAGACGGGGTTTCACCATGTTAGCCAGGATGGTCTTGATCTCCTGACCTTGTGATCCGCCCACCTCGGCCTCCCAAAGTGCTGGGATTACAGGCGTGAGCCAGGACACCTGGCTGAGTTTGTAGATTTGGTGATGGGAATGTAAAAGATTTTTTCTGATTACTTTTATTTCCTCAAAATAAAATAACCAGCTCAGGTTGAGGAGTAAAGGAGGCTTGTAAGGGAAGCAGACAAAAATAGTTGTCTGAGAAAATGAGAGTGCAAATTGACTTGAGAAATATGCTAGGACAGTATTAATGGCTCCTTTGAGTTTTATAGGTTTAAATTTAACACAGTCAGTATAGCTGTATTTTTTTTTTCCAGGCAGGCTCTGCTGCTTATGTGTAGACACCAAGTTGGTGGAGTGTTAGATTAAACTAGGGTTAAGATTTTCTGGGTGAGTAGGATGGAAGGAGAGAGAAAGTAGCTCAATATTTTCCAAAACTGTGATTACAGTGATAGACCATGAGATCTAAGCATAATAAGGAAGAAATTACGGCATGAAGTAAGCCATGAACAGTGAAACAAGTTGAGGAGTCGATGGACTGGAAGTCTCAAGGTATTTGAAGTATTGTTGAGTTAGAGATACCAGATTAAGTAAGCTAGAAAGATATGAGGAAGTATTCAGAGAGTAAGATATTTTAAATCAAGTTTCTGGAGGGAGGGCTGTTTATTAAGGAATAACAAGGTCTAAGCTATGAGCACAGAAAGTATTGGCTGAGGTGGAGTGAAGGTCAAGATAACTCAAGGAGAACATGTCAAGAAATAGAGAAGTCAGAGAGTTGGAAGGATACCAACACGGACACTCAAGTTACCAAGAAAGATGAAAGGAGAAGGGACAAAGAGAAAGAAGTCAGCCAAAAACTAAACTTTCCAGTAAACTATGGAGGATAGCCAGGGATTTAGTAAATGACTCTAGGCAGTCTGATGGATGAAGTTTCAATAGAGATTGGGTATTTAAAAGAGGAAAGAAGAGAAGAGAAACCTGAGGAACATGGGGTGTATGAGGAAAAACAGCTACCTCTTGTAAGGATTGCCGGGGAAGCCCTTTTCTCATAGAAAGCCAGGTTTCAGTTAGGACAATAATGAAAAGGGTGTTTACAGAAGATATCAGGGATATCGCTGATGACAGACCATGAAATGCAGCTAATGCATTAGAATGGATTAGGAGGTCAGGGAGTAGTAGGATATTGTGTTAGATTAAGATAATCTAGAGAATGAGGGATTACCTGAGGCTCGTATATCTGAGAGTGACTAAGGTAAACAAACACGTAAGGCACAAAGGGGTTGATCCTGGAATTGGGTTTTTTAAGGGAAGGTAGGTAATTACATCTGTTAGGATGGTGCAGAAGTAATTGTGGTTTTTGCCATTACTTTTTTTTTTTTATTTCTGGGGTACATGTGCAGGATGTGCAGGTTTGTTACATATGTAATCATGTGCAATAGTGGTTTGCTGCACCTATCAACCCATCCCCTAGGCATTAAGCCCAGCATGCATTAGCTATTCTTCCTAATACTCTCCCTCCCCCAACCCTACTCCCCGACAGGCCCTAGTGTGTGTTGTACCCCTCCCTGTGTTCATGTGATCTCACTGTTCAGCTCCCGCTTATATGTGAGAATATGCAGTGTTTGGTTTTCTGTTCCTGTGTTAGTTTGCTGAGGATAATGGCTTCCAGCTTCATCCATGTCCCTGCAAAGGACATGATCTCATTCCTTTTCATGGCTGCATAGTATTTCTTGGTGTATATGTACCACATTTTCTTTATCCAGTCTATCATTGATGGGCATTTCGGTTGATTCCATGTCCTTGCTATTGTGAATAGGGCTGCAATGAACATACACATGCATGTATCTTTGTAACAGAATGATTTATATTCCTTTGGGTATATACCCAGTAATGGGATTGCTGGGTCAAATGGTATTTCTGGTTCTAGATCTTTGAGGAATTGCCACACCATCTTCCACAATGGTTGAACTAATTTACATCTCCACCAACAGTGTAAAAGCATTTCTATTTCTCTGCAACCTCACCAGCATCTGTTCTTTCTTGACTTTTTAATAATGGCCACAGTGCCCAAAGTAATTTATAGATTCAATGCTATTCCCATTAAACTACTATTGACATTCTTCACAGAATTAGAAAAAAAAACTATTTTAAAATTCATATGGAACCAAAAAAGAGCCCATAGAACCAAGACAATCCTAAGCAAAAAGAATAAAGCTGGAGGCATCACCCTACCAGACTTCAAACTATACTATAAGGCTACAATAACGAAAATAGCATGGTACCGGTACAAAAACAGACACATAGACCAATGGAACAGAATGAAGAACTCAGAAATAAGATCACTCATCTACAACAATCTGATCTTCGACAAACCCGGCAAACACAAGCAATGGGGAAAGGACTGCCTGTTTAATAAATGGTGCTGGGAGAACTGGCTATCCATTTGCAGAAAATTGAAAGTGGACCCCTTCCTCACACCTTATACAAAAATTAACTCAAGATGGATTAAAGACTTAAATGTAAAACCCAAAACTATAAAAACCCTAGAAGTAAATCTAGGCAATACCATTCAGGACATAGGCACAGGCAAAGATTTCATGATAAAATCACCAAAAGCAGTTTCAACCAAAGCAAAAAAATTGACTAATAGGATCTAATTAAACTACAGAGCTTCTGCACAGCAAAAGAAACTATCATCAGAGTGAACAGGCAACCTATGAAGTGGGACAAAATCTTTGCAATCTATCTATCTGACAAAGGTCTAATATCCAGCATCTACAAAAAACACAAACAAATTTACAAGAAAAAAACAGACAATCCCATTAAAAAGTGGGCAAAGGACATGAACAGATGCTTCTCAAAACAAGGCATTCATGCAGCCAACAAACATATAAAATAAACTCAACGTCACTGATCATTAGAGAAATGCAATGAGATACCATCTCACGCCAGTCAGGATGGCCATTATTTGCCAGTAGTTTCAATGCAAAAACTGCAATTACTTTTGAACTAACCTAACAATTGTAGCTTTTTTCTAGGGGGTGGTTTTCTAGACAGTTTGTATTGGTGTTACTGACAGTGTTAAGGGAGATTATTAAATTAAACAGAAGAAACAAAAAACATTACCCTTAATCCTGCAGTGGGTAGTGTTGCCACCTTGGGATGGGTGGGTTTCCCTTCAGCACATGGAATTGGTGCCTCCTTTAAATCCAATTTTGTGGCTGGAAGGAGGGAATGGTTTTATTAAGAGGATGTGGATTTCTGGAAGCCTAGTTTAAATCTAGAAGCCTTCTGGGGCTTTTTAGAAGAAATTTAATAAACTTCAAAAAGGCCTCCATTATAGACTGCAGTTGGTGATGTTGGAAAGGACTTTACCAAGAGTTTGTTGGACCTCTCTTAAATCCTTTTAGATGTTGCTGGTTATTACATTGAAAAAAAGACATTCTGTGGTCAAATAAATGTGAGAAATGCTGGGTTCAACAAGGTTCAAGAGGTTTTTTTTTTTTGCAGAACATAGCAGAATTCTTAATATTGTAATGTGCAATGTGAGACGTCTAAAAGGGGCATAAAATATGCAAGTAAACATGGATGCAGAGCTTGAAAACATTGGTCCTGCAGAGTCACCAACTAGACCCAGGTTTAGAGAAGAGGAGGGGAGAGCTTTGGACTCTGAGCCTGAGCTAAAGAGAGGAGACATGAATCTATGTATACAATGGCAATGTTCTATCAAAAATATGCATAAATAAATGCATAAGTAAGTGGGACTTTTGTAAATTTAACTCCATTTCCCATTGGTCTGCACAATTATTGAGAGTCATTTTCTCTTTTCTGAATGACTTTCAAAGCATAGTGGCTCTCGACCCATTAGTTTTCAGTTTAACTTCTGCAGCAAATTACTAAATAAATACATCTGGAAAGACAGAAACATAAGGGAACATTTTTGGTGAATCACTTAGTTTAAATAATATTTTATAATTTGTAAAGTAAATCTCAATTCATGTTGTATATATGTAAAATCTTAGATCAGAACTTACAGAAATAATAATTAGTTCTAGTACAAAATTAGGGAAGAAAAAAATATTGACTGAAGAGGAAAACTACTGACTGCCTATCACTGTCAGTTTTCCTCATTTACACATCCTACCAATTTGGCCTATTTTTTAAGATTAAAATCGTTAAGCAAGGTTGATGTTCTATAGTTACATAGCACAATGTAATGAGGCCATCACAATTTTACAAATAACTAAAACCACTATCATTGCCAGTTGATCAATATCTTCAAGTTGCATTTTGTACAGTACAAATAAAGAATCATGTTTGGAGAATATATCATATATCACTTTAAGGTACCATTTTATTTCTATTCTTTCCACAAAACAATGATATAAAATATAAACTGTATATTTTAACATGTATTCCCTAAAGAGTGATGGAGCTTAGTTTCTTTAAAGTGGGCCTTAATTAATATACTGTAACTGGTAGGTAGAAGGAAAGTGAAAACTCAAAAAACAAGATGCTATTTGCTGGTTATTTGGCTATTGCCCTATTTCCATTCCATTAGACAGCAGCAGCCTTACAGTTGTTGAAAGAGTTTAGTACAATGGAGAACACAGAATCAGCATATCTGAAATTTTTGCTATTCCAAGAAAAAAAAAACATGAGCTTGGAATATAACAATTAGCATAAATATCAATAACAATCCAATCATATATCTCCTTCTGCTGCTCTAGAAAAAAATCTGAGAAAAATGAGGATTCTTGTTATTGAAATTTTTAGATTTTTTTAAAAAGTAATAACCAGAAACCTAGGTTGGATTTTAAATGTTTAGAATTATTGTTAAACATCTTTTTGAAACACACTACTTATTTTTTTGCCTGAAGAAATATAGTCTAGAAACCACTTGGAACCTGTGGGGGATGACTAATTACCCTGTAGCGACTCAAGGCCATCAATCTTTCAATGCCTGGGATGAAGACTAAGAGGGCAAGAGAAAGGAATTACTTATATCATGTGTAAGTTGTTGTGGTAAGCACTTTACATATTTTGCCTCATTTGATTCCCCCAAGAACCCTGGGAATTAGAAAAAATTAAGTTACTTGCTAGTAGAGGCAGAAACAAGATGCTATCCCAGATCTGTGTCACACTGGTTGAATGTACATTCATTCCAGAACATTCTCAATCAGTTGTTTCCCTTTATACAAAACTCTAAATGCACATTTAACTTCCAATCATTTTTCTCCTTCTCTACAAAGGAGAATGTAACAGGAAAAAAAAATGAAAGAAAAAGAAAATCTGGCAAATTGAGGGTCCTTGTTACCTGAATTCTGTTTAAAGCAGATTCCAGTGAAATTTAATTTTAAGAATAAACTCCAAATGAGATAACAAAATGCATACAATTGAATAATGCATTTCACTAGACTTTGTCTTTCTTTAATGACAAACATTTATATAGATTCTATTATGTGCTGGGAACTGTGTTAAGCACGCTATCTGTAGTATCTATCAGGGTACAAGTAGGAAGCAGATGACACACTCCAGTTGGATAACTGAGGATTTAATGAAGAGACCATTCACAAAAAGGCAGGCAGGGTTAAAGGATTGTGCAGTACACCAGGGCTAGCAATACCCAGAAGCCCTTTACCACTTTTACTGAAGGGACAGGGGGAGGGAGAATTTACTGGGTTCCAAAAAATATAGTCATACCTGTAGCTGTAGCGGAGGGCCATCTGACAGGAGTTGTGACCTTAGTTGGAGAAACACGGGCATCGCCAACTCATGGCAAACTAGCAAAGGGGAAAGTGGGGAAATAAAGACCCACATTCTCCTCCTGATTTCTGACCTCCTGCTAGCTGAACCCATCCAGAAGTTGGAAGGCAAGGGAACTCCTTAATGAGAGCCATACAAGCCAGCCTCTCAGGACACAGAGCAAGGTAGATCAGGAATCTAAAGGGAAAAGGGGAAAAAATACATCATTCATGTATTTTTAAATCTCCACGACATCGCACAAGATCAGCCTACTGTAATTCTCACTATTGTATTTAGATGAATAAACTGAAGTTTAGAGAGACTAATTTGCCTAAATTCACAATGATAGTACCTGGAGCAAGACTCATATCACAGTCTATCTGAATCCAGAGCTGGTGCTCATAACTACCACCCTAACTGCACAACAGAATCACGTGTGGAACATTTTTAAATTGTACCACTCATGGTCACACCAAAAAGCTACTTAATCAAAATCTCCTGGGGAACTCAGGAATGTGTAGTGTTCAAAGTTTCACAGATGCCAGGCACTCCTGTAATTGCAGCACTTTAGGAGGCCCAGAGGAGGATTGCTTGAGCTCAGTAGCCTGGGTAACATAGGGAGACCACATCTCTATAAAAAATGAACAAGGCCGGGCGCGGTGGCTCACGCCTGTAATCCCAGCACTTTGGGAGGCCGAGACGGGCGGATCACGAGGTCAGGAGATCGAGACCATCCTGGCTAACACGGTGAAACCCCGTCTCTACTAAAAATACAAAAATTAGCCGGGCATGGTGGCGTGCGCCTGTAGTCCCAGCTACACGGGAGGCTGAGGCAGGAGAATGGCGTGAACCCGGGAGGCGGAGCTTGCAGTGAGTCGAGATCGCGCCACTGCACTCCAGCCTGGGCGACAGAGCGAAACTCCGTCTCAAAAAAAAAAAAAAATGAACAAAAAATTATCCGAGCATGGTGGTGCATACCTGTATTCCCAGGTACTCCAGAAGCTGAGGCCAGAGGGTCACTTGAGCCCAAGAGTTTGAGGCTGCAGTGGGCTAGGATCACACCACTGCACTCCATCCTGGGCGACAGAGCAGGACTCTGTCTCAAAAAAAGAAAGAAAGAAAAGAAAAAGTTCCACAGATGACTCTGATTCTGATGTCATAGCCGGTTTGAGAACCCCTGGTTTTGTTATACATTTCCTCCAAAAGTGATTTTAACCATTTTGAACCTCAGTCATATTATCTGTAAACTGTGGGGAAAATAATAGCATTATAGGTCTATTATTAGCTAGCATAATTTGTGACACATGAAGGTGCTAAGTAAAATCTCTATTCCCTTTTCTTTCCCATCTCTTTATTTTGCCTTCAATGAAGCCTGGCTTCAGAGTAACCGGCCCAATCACTATGGTTTTACCTTTTCTTAGTGCTAATCTTTCAGTATTCTGATCCACGACCCCAACAAGGTACAGTGTAAGTCTCATACAGCACAAACTAGTCACAAGTCACTGACTTTGTCTTTATATTAAATTCCGAATAATGAAAATGCATAAAACATCTAGTAAATAAAATACAAATAAGATAAGAACGTTAAAAATGCTAGTAACCTTAAAAATCATGGGTGATTTTACAAAATAATATTGATTATTTTCTTTTCCTCATGGAAATAATAAGTCTCCAGCATTAAAACATGTCTTCAATCCCTCCACTCTCTCTGAACATTATCCATGTATGTGGCTTTACCATTTTTATGCTACTGGCTCGCACATCTATTAATTCAGTCTTTAATTATCTTCTGAGTCCCAGACTCAAATATTCAAATGCATACTAGACATATCTTGCTAGATGTTCCACAAACACCTCCTACACATGTCCAAAACTGAACCCATAATTGGCCTACTCACAACCATACCTTCTCTACTCCCTTTCTCAACTGATGGTGCCAGCACCCACTCAAGCTAAAAATCTGGTAATCATTTCTTCCATTCAAGTGGCAACCAAATCCTGTGAATTCTTTGGCTATACTATAATTGAATTATTTCTTTTTCATCTAATGATAATTAAGATTTTCCCAATTTTTAATTCTTACAAATGATATTGCAATAGATATCCTTTTACGTGTTCTTTTTTTTACTTTTTTAAAAGTCATAAAATTGTGACCTTGATTTTTTAATTTAGTTTTTTGAATATGTAATACATTGACATGTCTCAGAGGTCCCTCCCACTCCATCCATCATCTACCCAAAAACCACTCCACCCATCCCCCTGGTAACCACTCTTAGTAATTACATACTTATACTTCCAGAGTGTTTTTTGCATTTACAAAGGAATATTGTTGTATATTATTGGATTCCTTTTTATACAAAAGATTGCATGTTTTTGATGTTAAAATTAATTTTTAAATTAAATAATGTGTTATCAAAGTTTTGTGTGAGTCAACCATAACATCTTGATTCTAGAGAATGGAAAACCTACAGATGAGTAAGAAAGTGAATAAAAGGTTATATGACTGGGCCAATTTCATTGACCCTTGTTAAGTGAATTTAAAAATCTCGTATCATCCATTTTGAAAGACCTTACAGACATTTCAGGTGCAAACTAGTTAAGGACCTTAGCATTTGATAGGAATATATATGGAATTTTTATTACGGTAGTTGTCTGAAATTTATGATCGAAAGAGGCAAGAGTGGTGCAGAACCATCTAAATCATTCTACATTAAACTACACTCCACTGGCATGTGTGCTAATTGGTAATATTTCCTAATTGTGTTCACTAGAAATTTGTGGGGAAATGGTAGCCCAGAGAGATGGAAAACTAACAACAACCTTCAATTAATGTGGGAGTCACTTTTCTCAATGGAACATCCAGTCTTACAAAGGTAGGAGCAAACTGCAGAAACATTTTGGGAAAGTCATTTAGCAAATGTATCATAAGCCTTCAAAATTATGTTCATGTCTTTTAAACTAGTAAACTCATTTCTAAAGCTATAAATCAAAATGTAAACAAATCTATAAAAATTATTATTTCTTTATGAGGGCAAGATTTGGAAACAAATGTCTATGAATGGGATAACTAATACATACTTTTATGGCTTCCTTTTCATTTTCTTTGCAGCTGAACTTTCATCTTAAGATATCACTCACGCCCCAATTCACATGGCCTCAGAATAATATTCATGCTGTTTGGAAAATCATCCTTTTTTCACTTTTATTTAGGTTCTGGGGTACATGTACAGGTTTATTATATAGGTAAATTGCATGTCATGAGGGTTTGGTGTACAGGTTATTTAATCATCCAGGTAATCAGCATTGTACATGATAGGTAGTTTTTTTATTCTCACCCTTCTCCAACCCTCCACCCTCAAGAACACCCCAGTGTCTGTTGTTTCCTTCTTTCTGTCCGTATGTACTCAATGTTTACCTCCCACTTATAAGTGAGAACATGCAGTATTTGGTTTTCTCTTTCTGTGTTAGTTTGCTTAGGATAATGGCCTCAAGCTCCATCTATGTTGATACAAAGGACATGATATTCTTTTCAATGGCTGTGTAGTATTCCGTGGTGTATATGTACCACATTTTCTTTATGTAGTCTACCATTGATAAACATTTAGGTTGATTCTGTGTCTTTTCTATTGTGAATATGCAACAAACATATGCATGCATGTGTCTTTATGATAGAATGATTTATATTCCTCTGAGTATATACCCGATAATGGAATTGCTGCATCAAATGGTATCGGGTTGGTGCAAAAGTAATTGTGATTTTTGCCATTAAAAGTAGTTCAAAAACTGCAATTACTTTTGCACCAACCTAATAATTTTGTTTTAAGTTTTTTGAGAAATCACCAAACTGCTTTCCACAGTAGCCGAACTAATTTACATTCCCAGCAGCAATGTATAAGCACTCCCTGTTTCCCACAACCTTGTCAGCATCTGTTACTTTTTGACTTTTTAATAATATCCATTCTGACTGGTGTGAGATGATATCTCATCATGGTTTGGATTGGCATTTCTCTAATGATTAGTACTGTTCAGCATTTTCTCATATATTTGTTGGCCACATGTATGTCTTCTTTTGAGAAGTGTCTGTTCATGTCCTTGGTCCACTTTTCAATGGGGTTGTTTGTTTTTTTGCTTGTAAATTTGTTTAAGATCCTTACAGATTCTGGATATTAGACCTTTGTTGGATGCATGGTTTGGTAGTATTTTCTCCCATTCTGTAGGTTGTCTGTTTACTCTGTTGGTAGTTTCTTTTGCTATGCAAAAGCTCTTTAGTATAATCAGGTCCCATTTGTCAATTTTTGTTTTTCTTGCAATTGCTTTTGTCATCTTCATCAGGAAATCTTTTCCAGGTCTTATGTCCAGAAAGGTATCTCTTATGTTACCTCCTAGGTTATCTTCCAGGATCTATAGTTTTAGGTTTTATATTTAAGTCTTAAAACCATCATGAGTTCATTGTTATATGTGGTGTAAGGAAAGGATCCAGTTTCAATCTTCTGAATATGGCTAGCCAATTATCCCAGCACCATTTATTGAATAGAGTGTCCTTTCCCCATTCCTTGTTTTTGTCAATTTTGCCAATGATCAGATGGTTGTAGGTGTGACATTATTTCTGGGCTCTCTATTCTGTTCCATTGGTCTATGTGTCTGGTTCGTTTTTTTTTTGTTTTTGTTTGTTTGTTTGTTTGTTTGTTTGTTTTTTTACCAGGACCATGCTGTTTTCATTACTGTAGCCTTGTGGAATAGTTTGAAGTCAGGTAATGTGATCCCTCCAGCTTTGTTCTAATTGATTAGGACTACCTTGGCTAGTTGGACTCTTTTTTGATTCCATATGAATTTTAAAATATTTTTTCTAGTTCTGGGAAGAATGTCATTGGTAGTTTGATAGGAATACCATTGAATCTGTAAAATTACTTTCATTGGTTTTGCCATTTTAACAATATTGACTCTTCCTATCCATGAGTGTGGAATGTTTTTCCATGTGTTTTTGTCATCTCTGATTTTTTGAGCAGTGCTTTGTAATTCTCATTGCAGTGATCTTTCATCTCCCTGGTTAGCTGTATTCCTAGGTATATTATTCTTTTTGTGGCTATTGTGAATGGCATGCATTCCTGATTTGGCTCACATCTTGGATGCTATTGGTGTATAGAAATACTACTGATTTTTGTACATTGATTTTATATCCTTACACTTTGCTAAAGTTGTTTACCAGATCATGGAGGTTTTGGGCAAGGACTATGGAGTTTTCTAGGTATAGAATCATATCAGGTTTATAAGGCAAGGACCTTATGGGTTCATGGGTGAATTGTACCAAGCATTTAAAAATTAATGCTGAGAGGAGCCACAGACCCTCTGAAGGAAGCAGACTGCTCCTACAGGACCTTGGAGACACCCCAAATACTGTGAGTGCCCCAACTGCAGAAACAGGAAAGGGAGACCCTTCTCTCCTGAACACACAACCCCACTGGAGAACCTGAAGGTCTGTTTTGGGGAGAAGCTTCTGAATTTACCTGGAGCTGAGTCAATTTAGAGAGCCGAGCAAAATACAGGGGTAGAGGAAGCAGCAGAAAGGCCCTGGGAGCTTGCTGGGTCCCCTGGCAGGCCATTCCTGCCTGGCACCACAGGGATCCATCAGGAGGGCAGCCAGAGGAGCAGGGGGTAAAACTCCACAGGGAAAAGGAAATCTGTAGCTGAACTTTGTAACAATTTGAACGGGGAGAGAAGCCTCCTGGCCAAAACTCAGGGGAGGGCACAAATCCAGTGTGTAGACTCCACAGGCAGAGGAAGAACCAAGTCTTTTCTTTCACAGCTGGGAGGTGGGTAACCTGGGGCAAGTTTTCAAGCCCCTCTCGCCCCTCTCCTGGAAACAGACTCGGGGCTGTTGGTGGAGGGGCACCAAGGGAGTGACACTGGCCCTTGGATTTGTGAAAGAGCTGGGTGAGGCCTGTGACTGCCAGCTTTCCCCACTTGCCAGACAACCTGCATGACTCAGCAGAGGCAGCCATATTCCTCCTAGGTACACAACGCCAGTGACCCGGGAATCTCACCCCCATCCCTCACAACAGCCACAGCAAGACCTGCCCAAGGAGAGTCTGAGCTTAGACATGCCTAGCCCTACTCCCACCTGATGGTCTTTCCCTACCCACCCTGGTAGCCGAACGCAAAGGGTATATAATATTGGGAGTTCCAGGCCCGGCCCACTGCCAGTCCCTCTCCATATTTCTACAGCTAATGCTCTCTGGAAAGTGCCACCTCCCAGCAGGAGGCCAACCCACACAAAAATAGAGTGTTAAACCACCAAAACTAAGAACTCTCATGGAGTCCATTGCACCCCTCATCCCGCCACCTCCACCGGAACAGGTGCTGGTGTCCATGGCTGAGAGACCCATAGATGGTTCATACTACAAGACTCTGTGCAGACAACCCCCAGTACCAGCCCAGAGCCAGGTAGACTCGCTGGGTGGCTAGACCCAGAAGAAAGACAACAATCACTGCAGTTTGTCTTACAGGAAGTCACATTCATAGGTAAAGGGGGAGAGTACTACATTAAGGGAACATCCCATGGGACAGAAGAATCTGAACAACAGTCTTCAGCCCTAGACCTTCCCTCTAACAAAGCCTACCCAAATGAGAAGAACCAGAAAACCAACCCTGGTAATATGAAAAAACAACAATATTCAACATTCCCCAAAAATCACACTAGTCCACCAGCAATGGTTCCAAACCAAGAAGAAATTCCTGATTTACCTGAAAAAGAATTCAGGAGGTTAGTTATTAAGCTAATCTAACTAAACTTTCAATGGAAGTACCATTGAAAGGCAAAGTCCAGTGCAAGGAAATCCAAAAAACCAACACAAGAAGGGAGAAATATTCAAGGAAATAGATAGCTTAAAGAAAAAGCAATAAAAAATTCAGGAAACTTTGGACACACTTTTAGAAATGTGAAGTGCTCTAGAAAGTCTCAGCAATAGAATTGAACATGCAGAAGAAAGAAATCCAGAGCTGAAAGACAAGGTCTTCAAATTAACCCAATTCAACAATGACAAAGAAAAATGAATAAGAAAACATGAACAAAGCCTCCAAGAAGTCTGGGATTCTATTAAACAACCAAATCTTAGAATAGTCGGTGCTCCTGAGGAAGAAGATAATTTTAAGAGCTAGGAAAACATACTTGGGGGAATAATCAAGGAAAACTTCCCCAGCTTTGCTAGAGATCTACACATCCAAATACAAGAAGCACAAAGAACACCCAAGAAATTCATGACAGAAAATCATCACCTAGGCACATTGTCATCAGGTTATCCAAAGTTAAGATGAAGGAAAGAATCTTAAGAGCTGTGAGACAGAAGCACCAGGTAGCCTACAAAAGAAAACCTATCAGATTAACAACAGATTTATCAGCAGAAACTCTACAAGCTAGAAGGGATTGGGGCCGTATCTTTAGCCTCCTCAAACAAAACAAGTATCGGCCAAGAATTTTATATTCAGCAAAACTAAGCATAATATATGAAGGAAAGATACATCCTGTTTCAGACGAACAAATTCTGAGAGAATTTGCCACTACCCAGCCACCACTATAAGAACTTTTGAAAGGAGCTCTAAATCTTGAAAGAAATCCTGGAAACACATCAAAACAGAACCTCTTTAAAGCTTAAATCACATAAGAGCTATAAAACAAAAATACAAGTTAAAAAGCAAAAACAAAACAAAGCACACAGGCAACAAAAAGCATAAAGAATGCAACAGTGGCTGGGCGCGGTGGCTCACACCTGTAATCCCAGCACTTTGGGAGGCCAAGGCAGGTGGATCACGAGGTCAGATCGAGACCATCCTGGCTAACACGGTGAAACTCTGTCTCTACTAAAAATACAAAAAATTAGCCAGGCATGGCGGTGGGCACCTGTAGTCCCAGCTAATTGGGAGGCTGAGGCAGGAGAATGGCGTGAACCCAGGAGGCGGAGCTTGCATTGAGCCGAGATCATGCCACTGCACTCCAAAGTGGGCGACAGAGCGAGACTCCATCTCAAAAAAAAAAAAAAAAAGAACAAAACAGTAACTCACATTTCAATACTAACATTGAATATGAATGGCCTAAATGCTCCACTTAAAAGATACAGAGCTGCAGAATGGATGAGAACTCACCAACTATCTCCTGCCTTCAGGAGACTCACCTAAGGACTTACATAAACTTAAAGTAAAGGGGTGGAAAAAGGCATTTCATGCAAATGGACACCAAAAGCAAGCAGGGGTAGCTATTCTTATATCAGACAAAACAAACTTTAAAGCAATAGCAGTAAAAGAGAGAAAGAGGGACACTATATAATGGTAAAAAGCCTTGTCCAACAGAAAAATATCAGAGACCTAAACATACATGCACCTAACACTAGAGCTCCCAGATTTATAAAACAATTACTAATAGACCTAAAAAAAATGATATAGACAGCAACACAATAATAGTGAGGGACTTCAATACTCCACTGACAGCATGAGGCAGGTCATCAAGACAGAAAGTCACCAAAAACCAATGGATTTAAACTAGACCTTGGAACAAATGGACTTAACAGATATATACAGAACATTTCATCCAACAACCGCAGAATACACATTCTATTCAACAGTGCATGGAACTTTCTCCAAAATAGACCATAAGATAGGCCATAAAACGAGCCTCAATAAATTTAAGAAAATTGAAATTATATCAAGCACTCTTTCAGACCACAGTGGAATAAAA
The DNA here is from genome assembly GCF_000001405.40 of Homo sapiens. Classification (NCBI taxonomy): domain Eukaryota; kingdom Metazoa; phylum Chordata; class Mammalia; order Primates; family Hominidae; genus Homo; species Homo sapiens. The sequence goes on from NC_000023.11 coordinate 123,022,818, forward strand.
CTGGAAATCAACTCCAAAAGGAACCTGCAAAACCATGCAAATACATGGAAATTAAATAACCTGTTCCTAAATGAGCATTGAGTAAAAAACAAAATCAAGCTGAAAATTAAAAAATTCTTTGAACTATACAATAATGACACAACCTACCAAAACCTCTGGGATACAGCAAAGGCGGTGCTAAGAGGAAAATTAATAGCCCTAAATGCCCACATCAAAAAGACTGGAAGAGCACAAACTGACATTGTAAGGTCACAACCAAGGAACTAGAGAAACAAGAACACACCAAACCCAAATCCAGCAGAAGAAAGGAAATAACCAAGATCAGAGCAGAACTAAATGAAATTGAAACCAAAAAAATACAAAAGATAAATGAAACAAAATGCTGATTCTTTGAAAAGTGAAATAAAATTGATAAACCATTAGCAAGGTTAACCAAGAAAAGAAGAGAGAAAATCCAAATAACCTTGCTAAGAAATGAAACAGGAGATATTACAACCAACACCACTGAAATACAAAAGATCATTCAAGGCTACTATGAACTCCTTTACACACATAAACTAGAAAACCTAGAAGAGATGGATACATTCCTGGAAAATGCAACCCTCCTAGCTTAAATCAGGAAGAATTAGATAGCCTGAACAGACCAGTAACAAGTGGCGGGATTGAAATGGTAATTTAAAAATTACCAACAAAAAAAGCCCAGGACCAGATGGATTCACAGCAGAATTCTACCAGGCATTCAAAGAATTGGTACCAATCCTTTTGACACTATTCCATAAGATAGAGAAAGAAGGAACCCTCCATAATTCATTCTACGAAGCCAGTATCGCCCTAATACCAAAACCAGGAAAGGACATAACCAAAAAAAGAAAACTACAGACCAATATACTTGATGAACATAGATGCTAAAATCCTCAACAAAATACTAGCGAACCGAACTGAACAACATATCAAAAAGATAATTCATCATGATCAAGTGGGTTTCACACCAGGGATGCAGGATGGTTTAACATACACAAGTCAATAAATGTGATACACCACATAAACAGAATTAAAAACAAAAATCACATGATCATCTCAATAGATGCAGAAAAAGCATTTGACAAAATCCAGTATCCCTTTATGATTAAAACTCTCAGCAAAATCGGCATACAAGGAACGTACCTTAATGCAATAAAAGCCATCTATGACAAACCCACAGCCAACATAATACTGAATGGGGAAGAATTGAAAGCATTCCCTCTGAGAACCAGAACAAGACAAAGATGCCCACTCTCACCACTCCTCTTTGACATAGTATCTTAAGTCCTAGCCAGACCAATCATACAAGAGAAAGAAATAAAGGACATCCAAATCCGCAAAGAGGAAGTCAAACTGTCACTGTTTGCTGATGATATGATTGTTTGTCTTGAAAACCCTAAAGACTCCTCCAGAAATCTCCTAGAACTGATAAAAGAATTCAGCAAAGTTTCTGGGTACAAGATTCATGTTCACAAATCACTAGCTCTTCTATACACCAACAGCGACCAAGCTGAGAATCAAATCAAGAACTCAACTCTTTTTATAATAGCTGCACAAAAAAATAATAATAATTGAGAATATACCTAACCAAGGACGTGAAAGACTTCTACAAGGAAAACCACAAAACACTGCTGAAAGAAATCATAGATGACACAGACAAGTGGAAACACATCCCATGCTCATGGATAGGTAGAATCAATACTGTAAAAATGACTCTACTGCCAAAAGCAATCTATAAATTCAATGCACTCTCCATCAAAATACCACCATTGTTTTTCACAGAATTAGAAAAAGCAATTCTAAAATTCATATGGAACAAAAAAGAGCCCACATAGCCAAAGCAAGACTAAGCAAAAAGAACAAGTCTGGAAGCATCACACTACCTGATTTCAAACTATACTATAAGGCCATAGTCACCAAAACAGCATGGCACTGGTATAAAAATAGGCACATAGGCCAATGGAACAGCACAGAGAATCCAGAAATAAACCCAAATACTTATAGCCAACTGATCTTCAACAAAGCAAACAAAAACATGAAGTGGAGAAAGGACACCCTTTTCAACAAACGGTGCTGGGATAATTGGCTAGCCACATGTAAAAGAATGAAACTGGATCCTCATCTCTCTTCACCTTATACAAAAATCAATGCATGATGGATTAAGGACTTAAACCTAAGATCTGAAACTATAAAAATTCTAGAAGTTAACATTGGAAAAACTCTTCCAGACATCGGCTTAGGAAAGGATTTCATGACAAAGAACTCAAAAGCAAATACAATAAAAATAAAGATAAATAGCTGGGACCTAATTAAACTAAAGAGCTTTTGCACGGCAAAAGGAACAGTCAGCAGAGTAAACAGACACCCACAGAGTGGGGGAAAATCTTCACAATCTATACATCTGACAAAGGACTAATTTCCAGAATCTGCAACAAACTCAAACAAATCAGTAAGACAAAAACAATCCCATCACAAAGTGGGCTAAGGACATGAATAGACAATTTTCAAAAGAAGACATACAAATGGCCAACAAACATATGAAAAAATGCTCAACATCACTAATGATCAGGAAAATGCAAATCATGACCACAATGTGATACCACCTTGCTCCTGCACGAATGGCCATAATCAAAAAATAAAAAACAGTAGATGTGGGCATGGATGTGGTGATCAGGGAACACTTCTATACTGCTGGTGGGAATGTAAACTAGTACAACCATTATGGAAAACAATGTGGAGACACCTTAAAGAACTAAAAGTAGAACTACCATTTGATCCAGCAATTCCACTACCAGGTATCTACCCAGAGGAAAAGAAGTCATTATTTGAAAAAGATACTTGCACACACATATTTATAGCAGCACAATACACAAATGAAAAACCGTGGAACCAATCCAAATGCCCAACAATGAATGAGTGGATAAAGAAACTGTGATAGATAGATATATATATCATATATATATCATGATAGATAGATATATATATCATATATATATATCATGATATATATCTTATGACGTGAGAACGTCATATGTTCTCACTGATATTTGGGAGCTAAGCTATGAGGACACAAAGGCATAAGAATGACACAATGGACTTATGGACTCAGGGGAAGAGCGGTAGGGGAGAGGGATAAAAGACTACAAATATGGTGCAGTGTATACTGCTCAGATGATGGGTGCACCAAAATCTCACAAATCATCACTAAAGAACTTACTCATGTAAACAAATACCAACTGAACCCCAATAATTTATGGAAAAGTAACAAAAAAATCATATTGTGTGCAAACAGGGGTAGTCTGATTTCTATTTGGATGCATTTTGTTTCTTTTTCTTCCATGATTGCTCTCCTTAGGATTTCCTGTACTATGTTGAATAGGAGTGGCAAGACAGGGCATCCTTGTTTTGTTCCAACTTTCAAGGGAAATGTTTCCAGCTTTTGCTCATTCAGTATGACGTTGGCTGTGGGTTTGTTAAAATAAGATGGCTCTTATTTTGAAGTATCTTCCTTCAATGCCTAGTTTGTTGAGGGTTTTGAACATGAAGGGATGTTGAATTTTATCAAAAGCCTTTTCTGCATCGATTGTGATGATCACATCGTTTTGTTTCTAGTTCTGTTTATGTGGTGAAAAACATTTATTGATTTGCATATGTTGAACCAACCTTGCTTCCCAGGCATAAAGCCTACTTGTTGTGGATTACCTTTTGATGTACTACTGGATTCTGCTTGCTAGTATTTTGTTAAGGATTTTTGCATCCATGTTAATCAAGGACATTGGTCTAAACTTTTCTTTTTTAGTTGTGTCTCTGCCAGGTTTTGGTGTCAAGATGATGTTGACCACATAGAATTAGCTAGAGAGGATTCTCTGCTTCTCAATTTTTTGGAATAGTTTCTGTAGGAATGGTGCCAGCTTTTCTTTATACATCTGGTAGAATTCAGCTGTGAATCCATCTAGTCCTGGGCTTTTTTTTGGTTGGTTGGCTTTTTATTACTGATTCAATTTCATAACTCATTATTGGTCTGTTCAGGGATTCAATTTCTTTCTGGTTCAATCTTGGGATGTTGTATGTTTCTAGGAACTTAATCATTTCTTCTAAGTTTTCTAGCTTGTATGCATAGAGGTGTTCATATTAGTCTCTGAGCATTTTTTGGTATTTCTGTGGGGTCACTAGTAACGTCCCCTTTGTCATTTCTGATTGTGTTTATTTGGATCTTCTCTTTTTTCTTTATTAGTCTAGCTAGTAGTCCATCTATCTTATTAATACATTCAAAAATCCAACTTCTGGATTTGTTGATCTTTTGTATAGATGTTTGCCTCTCAATTTCCTTCAGTTCAGCTTTCATGTTGCTTATTTTTTGTCTTCTGCAAGCTTTAGAGTTGATTTGCTTTTGTTTCTCTAATTCCTCTAGTTCTGATGTCATGTTCATTTGAGATCTTTCTAACTTTTTGTTGTGGATGTTTATTGCTATAAAATTCCCTCTTAACACCACTTTAGCTCTGTCCCAGAGATTCTGGTATGTCATATATCTTTGCTCTCATTAGTTACAAATAATTTCTTGATTTCTGCTTTAATTCCATTATTTACCCAGAAGTCATTCAGGAGCAGGTTGTTTAATTTCCATGTAATTGTATGGATACGAGCAATTTTCTTAGCATTCATTTCTATTTTTATTGCACTGTGGTTGGAGAGTGTGGTTGATATCATTTTGTTTTTGTTAAATTTGTTGAGGATTGTTTTATGTCCAATTGTGTGGTCGATTTTAGAGTATGTGCCATGTGCAAATGAGAAAAATGTATATTCTGTTGTTTTCAGGTGGTGAGCTCTGTAGATGTCTATTTGGTTCATTTGTTCAAGTATCAAGTTCAGGTCCCAAATATCTTTGTTAGTTGTCTGCCTCAATGATCTCTAATGGTGTCTACATTTTTATATAGCTCTAAAAGGAATATTGTTTACTCTTTTAAAATAGTGTCTCAAAAATAAATGTGGAAAATTCATCAAATAGTTTTATTGAAAAAGCTGGCACTTGAGAAAATTGTGTTCTCATGGTTGATTTGTGAATAATGTTGGGCAAGTGAATGTACTTAGATCCCAATTCTATGATAAATGCAGGAAAACTGGTGGAAGGAAATACACACAAAAAATAAATGTATTATTCCCAGATGTTAGTATTATGAGTAATTTTTTAATTTTAATTAGACTTCCAAAATTTTTCAAATGTTTACAAAAAACATGTTTTACAATCATGACAACAACATTATTTTTAATACAAATGATACATTTCTAGGAGGAAATATTTTGCAATAGTCAAATAAAAAAACAAAAGACTTTTTCTTGTGGCTACTATGGACTAGTTTGTCGCCGTCCAATCATCTATCCCTGAATAACTAGAAAAGTTGGATTTTAAAAAGAATATATTTAACTGCTTAATTGGTAAAGGGTTTTCCTTCACATGATGGAAATGTCTTGAAAATAATAATGGTTACACATTATGAATATATTAAATGTCACTAAATTGTTCATTTTAAAAGTTACTCTTATGTTGTGTGAAGTTCATCTCAATTTTAAAAATCTATTTGAAGGCATCAGAGACTTACCAAAGAGCCAGAAACTGAGGGGCAAAGATCCCAGAACAAAGAGAAGCTCATTAGGGTGAACCTGCCATTCTGTGTTTCTATGCCCCTTGAAGCACTTGTTAATTCATTGGAGGGCTGGTCCCTGGGGCTAAGAAGATGAAGAGAAAGAGACTTTTAAGAGAGAGAGAAGCTAAGCATAGCTCACTGCAGTATCATGGTGCTGAGAAGATTTGGAAAAAAGTTTCAAAATTGGACTTCAGAGCCTGCCAAGGAAAATAGGTTATAATAAATATCTTAGTACTTTACTTGGGAATCCTGAAGGGCTGTATCCTGGTAGTAAGAGCAAATCATAAATATGCCAGATTTTACAAGGATTTTATAAAGCCTAACCTTAAATGAGTTTAATCCTGATTGAATTGAGGTGACCTACTAAATTTTTTCTAACTTTTTGATAGAAACTAAAGAAAATTCTCTCTAAAGGAAAATAACATTATCCAAAGCTTCTACAATTTTTAAAAATTTCATTGTGTATTAAATTACCAGGCATACCAAGATAAATAGAAAGAGCCAATATAAACATGCACAAGAATTTATAGCAGTAATAATAGGAAATGGAAACAACTCAAAAGTCTATCAATAGAAGAATTGATAAATATTGGTGTGCTTGCACATTGGAATCAATGCAGCAATGAAATAAATGAAATAAATGGACTACTGTTTACATGCAACAAATGTGCATTAAACTCACCAACATAATGTTGAATGAAAACAGACACAAAAGAATATATATATATATATATATATATATATATATATATATATATATATATGAAGTTCAGAAGAAAAAACTAAAAACTAATGAATGGTGACAGATGTCAGGATAGTGGTTAGCTTTGAGGAGGAATAGGGGAGTGACTGAGAGGGTGCCCATATGCAACTTCTGGAGAACTGGTGATATTCTATTTCATTATCTGGGTAGTTATTACACAAATATGCACATTTTATAAAATTTCATTAATCTGTACATTTATGAATTGTGTACTTTTCATTTTGTATGTTATGCTTCAGTTAAAAACAGCTTAAAAACCTGAAGTGGAGTGATCTATTACTAGAGAAACTTTTGTGATATGTCTGTCTGTCTGCTGTTCACAAGGAGTAAGGAATTATTGTGTGTCAAGCTCTGTGCAGGGTTTTTGGGAGGGGTGAAAAAAATATAGACATATGGTCTCTGCAATAGGAAGTGAACATGCAGAGAGAAAAGGCTTTCAAACAACTGTCCCACCACCTTAAGGTTTTCAAATGAGTCCCTTTCTGTACTGTTTGACTTTCCAAGCATGATCAATGTCTCAAAAACAGAATGGCTTTCATTGTTAGACAATTTGGGCAAAGGCTGCTTTCTCTGTGAATCTGGCTAGTGCTGACTGACAGTCATTAGTCTGCCCTGTTAACAATCCTGCTTCTAGAGGCACAGAACAGCAATGGAAAAAATCATTTATGTGTGCTTATTAATGCTGCCTCCCCTTTTCTGGGCACTAACCCTACTGCTTTACAATGCCTTTAGTTGTCTCCGTGAATTCCCTAGAAGACCTCCCACAATCATTGTTCCAAACATTTTCCACCCTTCTCACCTCTTCACTTCTATTCCTACCCCAGCTTATATCTCAGAAATTGAACTGACTTGAGAAAACTGAAACTATCAGGTATGAGCTGCTTTATTTTCTCTCCATATATTAACACTTCAATGATCAACTCACCTATCCTTTCTTCCTTTCTTCTTGTCTCAGAGAAAGAGAAGTCCCTCTTAATCTGTAAGAATAAGCACTGTTCTTATCTATACCAGTTATCTCATTACCTCCTACTGATGTGAAATAATGCCATTTCCTCCAAGTTAACTAGTTTCTTGAAAGTGACATCCAAAGTAATTTGAAGACTATTCAGATAAAAGCAAGGACAAATTTATTGGCCACAGTTTAGTGGCTGCGCCTCCTGCTTTTTAAAATGCCTGTCAAAAAGCAAACCACATCATTTGTGCAATTGCCCAGCCCAATGATTCCAGGTAATGTTGAGCTAGGTATTGTCCAAAGCCCTCTACTTCAATCTATCTCTGGATCCCAAGTCTTTGACTTGTTAGGCTCCCTGGCTCTGGGAAGATTGTAGCTACAGAGCTTCTCTGTCTCTCTTTCTTATTTTTTTTAACCTCTAAATACTTATTTTCTTATTTCATGAATCCCTAAGGAAGGACTAGCAGCTCCAACCCTTCCTTTTCTAAATTTTTCTATATTTCTCATACTTTAGAAATATGCAAAAATTAGAGTATCCTACCCAGAGGAGTTCTCCCTAATTTGGTACCAATGTAAAACTTTTTAGGAGTCTTCTCTCTGAGAATCTATATCTCCTTAGATCTAATGAAGAATCAATCCTCCAAGACCTTGTTTCTTCAATTATCTGCTGTTTTCCCATAGCTTCTCTCTTACTCTCTCTCTCTCTCTCTCTCTCTCTCTCCCCCTCCCTCCCTCCCTTCCTGCCTCTCTCTCATCTTTCTCCATTGGCTACTTTTCTTCCACCCTTCTGCTTACAAACATAAGCAGGTACAGATGTTTCCAATCTTGAAAGACAACCTAATTTTAATTTTCTTTCCCCTCTAAGTATACTATTCTACATCTTATTCATATTCAAATCTCTCAAAGAAGGATGTACACTTATACTTCCTTAAGCAATCATTCTCTCATGAAATCCCTGAAATCTGGCTTCTATACTCACAAATTTCCTGAGTAAGCATTCTTTTAAAAGTATCTGATAACTTCCTAATCACCAAATCCAAAGTCATTTTCTCATACTATTTTTTCATGCTTTTCTTCTGCACTTAGCACTCTGGATCAACCACTCTCTCCCACTTTTTCTTCTATGACACTTCCTTCTTTTGGTTCTTTTCTTACTGCAATTACTGCTCCTTCTCTGTCTCCTTGGCTGTTTCCTTTTTCCCAAAGTTTGGCCCATCTCTTTCTGTATACAGTCTCCCTTGAAGATTTTACAATCCCTTGTCATAATTACCATTTTTATGCTGTTAAATGACATCTTTATTTCCAAGTCCAACCTTTCCTCCAAGCTCTAGTCTTATATATGTGCCTAGCTACTGGGAATTTCCACATGGATTATATAGAAACTTCAAACTAAACAAATTAAACTCACTTATTTTCCTCATAAACCTAGTGCTTTTTTATTTGTTGAAAGTACCATATGTCAACTGGACCGAAAACCTCAATGATTGTGGATTCTTAATTATTTCTGTCTCCCAATATCCAGTCGGTTGCCTCAGACTGTAAGTTGGCTGTTTATAGTCTCTCTTGTTGAATTTTCTTCCTTGGCATTCTCAATGGCATCTCTGTAGTTCAGGCCCCAATCCCTTCACGACCAGATGACTGCTTCAGACTCTTGGTTAATCTGCCTACTTCTAAAATCTCCAGCCTAAACCATCCAGCAAGTTTCCACTTATTTAATCTTACTAATAGGTGAATTCAAAAAGTTCTCTACCTCCCTACCAACTACAAATTAAAACCTAAACTTCTTTACTTGGCATTGTTTCCCAAAAGGCAGTCTTAACTTACCTTTCCAGTCTTATTTCCCATTAATACTCCATATGAATCATAGGCCCCAACCAAAAGTGCCTACTCACTGTTGACCCTAATGCCTTCTGTCTTCTTGCATCTATGACTTTCATATAGTATTCCAGCTGCCTAAGATCTTTTGCCTTTCGTAATTAAACTAGGAGGTTTAACTCAAATAGCAGATCTTACCTGATCACCGCTTCCCAAAGTAGTCAGGCTCTCTTCCCTGACACATCATTTATGTTGTTCATATGGCATCTCTATTATATTGTATTGCTTTGTATACATGTAAACACCCACATTCACTTATAAACTCTTGGAGCTTACAACAACCTAGCAAAGTGTCCAGGACAGGAAAGGACTTTAAGATATATTTGATGAATTATTGGAGTAATTTACTAAAGCTAGTAAAGTTTTAATCTACAAAATAAGATACAACTTTTATAGTTAAATTTATCTGGCCAAGCAAGCTACTAATCCAATCCTTATCAAAGCATTAATTTAATGCATATAATCTCGACCCCTAAACTTTTCAGGGAATTTGGCAAGAATTCTATCTAGTAATTTATAAAGATTTGAGGGAGGCCTCAGTTTACATATATTTTTTAAGTCTGAATTTGAGGTTTTCCTAGAAATAAATAGCTACAATAATATTTTAAAATTCCCATGACTTCTGTGGATGTTCAATTAATTTTCTCATAAGTTGCATGAAGAATACAAACATGAGACATTGCTCAGGCCTGTCTGGTTCTTAGGCAAAAATAATGATAGGCTGATTCTTGCACAAAAAGACTCTTGTGGAGTTGTGTGCATATACCACCCCTCATCAATCCTAACAGTCCTTCTTAGGAGCTTTCCTTCTAGGCAGAATTGAACATTTGCAGTGCTGGTTACGTGAGTGGGTTGTTGTTAAAGTAACATTCTCATGGCTTTCTGATAAACAAATACTAATCTTTTAAAATGTCATAACCTTACAGCAATAAATAAACTACCAAAGCACATGAGGCCAAAGTAGCCTAGATGGATCTCAAGTAATGAACTAGGAATGATATTGGTGACAGGAATTAGCAACATGTCAGAATATCTGGTGTTTAAGTGTCAACTCATTAGCCCAGCACTGTCCTTCCCCTTCTCATAAGGTGATAGCCTTAGGGTATTCCTCTGCCCAGAAAGAAAACAAGATGAATGGCTATTTCACAACCAATACTGGCCCTAGATAAGCAAAACTTGGAAGAGAGAGTACTATTAAAATGAGAATACTATCAAACCAAAACCCGAGCAGTGTCAAATCACCTCACTAAACATAGAAGCAGATTTTATAAATTGTTTGGTTGTGTTTTTGGAATTTTCATCAGGAAATTATGCTAGAATTTAATATTAACTCATATTGCTGATAAAGCTTTCAGATAAAGCTTGGAACAACCTAAATGAAGATGTTTCTATTTAAAAGTCTCATAGGGGAGGACAATTTCCTAAACATAAGTGGTTGATCACATATTTGTGTCCTTTCTTCCCAAAACCCAACTATAATTGCAGTAAACATTTTTTTTAAATACATACACTTATAAGAAAGAGAGACAGTAGACTAGAAATCTCAATAAAAATTTGGAAGACTAAAAGTAGAGGTGAGATAACTAATTTAGCAGAGTGGAGAACGTTACAATGTGAGAATCTACAGAGGGAGATGATATTCCTGAGAGAAGAATCAGTTTTCCATGCAGAACACAGAAATTTTAGGTCTTGGAGGCACCAGTTACCACAGAAAGCAGGGATGATGCACAATACAGAAAACAGTGAGATTGATTCAAAGTCTTTCTACTGAGCAATTGGACTTTCAGATTCCAAACTACCACTCTGAGCAGCCAAGTGTCTGTGATCTCTCCCAAAGGAGACAAGAAGTTTACTCTTTAAAGATACCGAACCTGAGAGGCTTTCAACATGGTAACACCTGACATCATAGAGGACAGGGATGAGACATAAGGCTGAAAATAGAGAAATTAAGTGCAAGTATACCTGCCTACTGAGTAGAGAAATCTAAGTGAAAGAAAAACCAGAAGCTGACATTAATCTATCAAAGGGAGTTGAGTAGATCTCTAAAGAAGGAAGCAAGGAAAAAAGAATCTTATCAGGCCCAGCAGCATTATCTCCTAATCATCTTTGGAATCATATGTTAACTGATCACCACTTACTCAATTAGGCACCTGGTAAGTCTTATGATTAGTTATTGATTTACACAGTCTTACTTTCCTAGTCATTGTATAAATGGTAGAGGCAGTGGTTGAAGAAGGATCAAGTTCATGGGCTCCGTATTTAGCTTAACCTATATTGTATTACTGGCTCTATCTTTTTCTAACTGTATAACAGAAGGCAACCTCTCTAACCCTCAGTTCCCATCTGTAAATTTAGGATGATAATAATAGTCCCACATCCATAATACTGGAGTAAAGATTAAATAAGATAAAATATTTATCACAGTACCCTAACACAGAGCCAAGACTAACTAATGTTAGCTATGACTATTATTGGCACATTTGTAGATATTATTAGTTAGCCTTTCATTTCAAGTTGGTGGACTGATCCACACATCAAATGTACAGTATATTTTGCTGCTTTTTAGGCTTGCCTTTTAATTACAAATATAAATCACGATGATTTTTCTATTCACAGCCCCTTACTAAAAAGAAGTCCCTCCTCTAAACTCTTGCAAACCATATAACGCTGTTCTCCTTTAACCACTACCACCACCTTAACCACAGTTGGTCAGACCAGGTGGAAACCTGACCCAAAGTAAACCAATTCACTGGCTTTCCATAAACTAATCAGAGCTTTTCTATGTCAAGAATTTGAACCAAGAGACTCAAAAACTGCAGTGGATGATGCACACTATGTCTGTAAGGATAGGCAGACAAAGCACTGGCAATGATATTGGGCAATATACAAGCTGGAGAGGGAGGGAGGGAGTAATGGAGGAAGAGAAGCAGAGATGAAGGGTAGGGGAAGGGGGAAGAGGAATACATTTGTTAAAGAATACACAACTACAGCTAGATAGGAGGAGTAAGTTCTAGGGATCTAGGGTGACTATAGTTAACAATAATATACAGTTTCAAATAGCTAGAAGGAGAATAATGAATGTTCCCAACACAAAGTAAGGATAAATGTTTTAGATGATGGATATGCTCATTACCCTGAACTGATAACTATATAAGTATTGAAACTATGTACAATTATTATATGTCAATTTTAAAATTAAAGGAAGAAAGAGACAATTTGGCCCTTGTTTCTACCATCTATTTGCCACAGTATTGCTGTATAGCAAACACTCAGAAAACGTTAGTATCATACAGCAATAAACATTCATTTTTGCTTCTATGTGCTGGCTCATCATTGTGTTGATCTGAGCTGGGCTCCATGGACTTATTCACGCATCTATGGCCAGGTAGCTTTGGCAATATTAGCTGGACTTTATCACTTATTTAGTGCCTCAGCTGAGACATCTGAACTGATTTGGTTTTGCTCCATGTGTCTCATTGCCTCATGGGCTAACCTGGGTATGTTCTCATGGCAAAGCCAGAGACGTGAGACAAGAAATATCCTCACACTTTTCAAGTCTTTGTTTAAATTATATGTACTAATATCCTATTGGCCAAATTAAGTCAAATTGCCCAGACCAGAGTCAGAGTGGGAAGGAGCGTCAATGTTTCAGGGCCCAAGATGAGGATTTAGGAAGACCACTGATTAGAATCACAATGCAATCAATCTTCCATACCCCTTGGGAAAGAGATAATGGCTTTGGCTTAGCCCCTTCCCAACTCCACTTCCTAAGAGTTGTGACTGTACTCTGGTTCCTGTGTTAGTCTGTCTGTGGCCTTGGCAACAGTTCTTTTTCTTTTCTTTTCTTTCTTTCTTTTTTTTTTTTTTTTTAACACCTGGTCCTTAACTGAGCTTTCTTGAGTAGATTTATGTTTCTTGCAATCAAGAGATTCTTTATCAAAGGAGTCTTAATTTAGTAGAAATAATTTAGTAACAACCAAATATACAAAGGGGTACATAATGGCAAAAAGTTGGACTAAAACAGAAATCTCTATTCTATTGGTCAACTAACTCAAATATCTGCATCATTAAGCACTGATAAACAGTTATTTAAAGATACCTCTTTTTCTTTTCAAATTTGCATTTCTTTTCTTCCCTCCTAATCTGCTGGGATTCAGAAAAATTCAGCAATTTTATGGTAAATCACCAAGACATGGCACATAGGACAATTCCTATATGATCTTTTTAAAATTTATGCTGCCCTACACAAACCCAGTACTGTGGTTTATCTATTTCCAAGCTGCCCGTTTCAGCTTCAAGAGATATCTGAGAATATTTCACTCACTTCAGAACTTCCATAAATATTCAATGAGACTGAGTGACCAGAATAGATCTGCACATTTCTTCTCTTTGCAGAACATGTAAAGAGTGGAGAGAAGTTGTGCTGATTTCCAGCTTTGATTCAGAAAAAATCTTGGCTCTCAGAGCCCTGAGCATCTGTAGCTCCACACCCACCTGAGCTAATCTTGAATCATCTGCTAAGACACGTCCAGGGCTTTGAACACTCACATAGACTCACTAAAAGCTCTTCATGTGGGCTCTCTCAAGCATCACCTCTTACTAATGTATCATTTAATAGCGACTGCTATAGGACAACTAAACACCCTCCACTGCTGTGAGTTATCTAAGTGTGATAAAGTGAACCTTCTAAAACGTCTAATTCCTGGGAAATTTTACATTTATTATCTTTAACAAGGCAATCTCAATTAATTGGTTTGGGCTGTGCCCCTTCCCAAATTTCTAACAGGTATCATAAGCCAACATGCAATTACTGTAACTGTGACACAATATTTTGCATCAAGCCTAGGGTTCTCTCACAAAAGAATTTCAGACTTTCTGATGGCTTTAGCTCTGATATCCAAATTTATAGCATCGTGAAATACTGTAGATCCCTGCATTTTCTGCTTGGCAGGTGTCTCACTGATTTAAGACTGATCACCTAAAGCCTCAGTTACATATTTCTTATGGAGAAGAAGTAGTCCAGACTGCACAGTGAGAGGCAGAGTGTGGATTTCCATAAATAATCTATTGACATTTATTTAAAGTCTATATGCAAACACAGCCCTTTCCTTTAATCCACAGACCATCCATTTCAGTAACTTTGATCAGGAAGACAGTAAATGAAATCTCTCCAGTTACAATCACAAGACATTGCAAACAGTTTTAATAGTATTAATCAAGTCCTTTTATCATATATAAAATCTCTTGTCAAGATTAAAGAAGGCAAAAGTACAGAGGTGCAAAGATACAGGGAACAATGGAATCCTTTTTTATTATTTGCTTTTTTCTCATGGAGAGAGAAAATGAGAGGACTCAAAGCAATCGATTTGGAAAAAAACTAGGATCTCAGAAGTCCAAGAGTTTTATGAAACCATTTCTAAGCAACCTTTTCCTACTACAGCAACAGTGGAAGTGAAGCCCAAATGCTTGGGTTCTCTAACTAGCTTACAGCAAACATCACTGTCAGATGCAACAATTCAAACAAAAACAAACCCTTCTGATGAATAAGCAATAGACTGAACACAAATTGCGGGCAATGGTAGCCCTACTTAAAGTTTTTATTGGCTGAAGCAGAAGCTTTATTCTGAAATGTTTGTGCCTGTTATATCAGCAAATATATATTTGCTACTGTCCCACCATAACTCCTCCCACTTAAAAAAAAAAATCTTCAGTGGCTCCCAACACATGCAGGATGTAGTCCTTCTCACAACATGTAAGGCCCATCATAATCTTGCGCCTCCCTACCTCTACAGCCTTTTATGCTGCCTTTTCCCCAAACCTCCCTGACAATACTTCACTCTTGACACCCTGAAACACTTTCCACTCCTCAAACACTCCAGGCACATTCAGGCCTCTTTACCTTCACACCCGCTGTTTCTCCCATTCCCCTCTTTTTCTCTACTCTAAATGATGATCTAGCCTTGGAAATCCATCACAGTATCAACAAGTATAGTTATTTCCTTGGCCTTGATTACAAGCCTCTATAGAGATCCCATTGTATTCTGATACTCTACTTACATGTCACATACACTAGTAGGTACACTTCTGAGCTCAGCTGTGTGCATATGCATGCACATATAGACACATGTATGTACACTTCTGTGGAACTGGAACCCATTTCATATGCATTTAATATTCTCAAGTGTCTGGAAGAATGCCTAGCAAAGAATAAAAATTCAGAAAAATGGTAGAATTTATATTTTAGGTGGGCATGGATTTGCTTTCCTGGACCCCATTGTGAATGACCAATAACATATGTTTGCCAGATACTATGGATAAAAAAATAAAATAAAATAAGTATAGCTGACTTGTACAGTTAGGAAAGGAATTCCTAGCCATAACTTCAGTCTTATACACTAACCAAGTCAGCCCATGACAAGAACAAACTTTTTCAATATGGGAACCTACTCGGATGCAAGCAAACTATCATTATTCCCCCATCCCCAGGCTTCTGTGTCCTTGGGATACAGCCCATGATTTTCAATAGTTTTCTTTTTTTAGGTCTTTTTACTGAGCTCCTTAATTCATCCCCCTTTTATAGAGTTATGTATGACAATTTGGCAGATACAAGCTCTTTGCCATGACTCAATTGGCATTTTAAATTATTTTAATTTCAAGAGATGCAGCAGTGACACAACCATTTTTAACCACTAACTACTTAAAAACTTCCCTATTAGGCAAATCCATTCTTGCTGGTAGACTAGATTTCATGATGAATTGAATCATCAAACTGCATATCAAACCAAAGAGACTTTAGTTTCTGCCACATCGCATTGGTATTTGGAAGAGTTCTCAGGTGGCTTTGGAAGCTCTACCACTGTTAAAGGAATACATTTTAAGCTAATATTCAAGGATAATTAAAACCTAATTATAAAGAACTTTAAGTTGTGATGACTGCCCTTCTCAAAAGATTGCACTAAAACCAATGAGTAGGCTCTGGAGAGCAAAGAGCAGTCCTGGGCTCCCTGGGATCTTGTTTAACTTAGGCTCCAAAAAAGTCAGAGACAACAGAAACTAACCATAAAACCCTCTGGACGATAAGAGCATTGTTTATAGAGACTGCAACTGAAATAGAAACAACCTCCCATTCCTACTCCCACCCCTGAAGTCTTAACCTCATCAATAGACAAGTGTCTGGAAAATATATTTAAAGACATCTTTTAAAAATTTATTAGGCATACAGTCATCCAAAATGCACGAGTGTACATACACCACACACACACAAACACATACACACACACAAGCCTCATGAAAGGAAAAAATTTTTCAATCCAAAAGCCTAAGTATAGAAAGCATAATCAAGGATCATAATCTGTTCAATTGAACAGAATTGACTTCCTCCTCATCCTGCACTTGGAAATTCACTTTAAAAATCATAAAAATATAAATACCAGTTAACAGTGTTTATTTCCATGAAGAGGAGTTAGACTGGGAGAGGAGTTGAAGGTGGACTTTCACCTTTTACTGTAAATTTTTCTGTACTTTATTTTTTACAATGAATATGCATTTATACATTATTTGTACAAGAAAAATAAGGAGAGAAAAATACAGTGGCCTAACCTACTGATATATATGGCACATACAGTATATCAGAGATATACGGGTCAAAGTTTCTCTTCTTTGTTTAAAAATTTGCATACCTGTCACTCTGCTAGGACTCACTATTTGATGCAAGAAACTTTCATTATTTGGCCCTCAGACATCTATTAGCACGAACAGATGTGCAGCCACCCTTTCCAAATGCCTTCTAACATACAGGAACATGTGCATGTGAACACATCCCCACACACACCTGCCCTTTTATTGCCTTTGAGCCACTTACCAAAAAACTCCAGAAAAGAGTGAGAAAATCTAGAATCTCATGAAAAGCCAAGGTCATTATTACAATCCATCAAACATCTGAGTTAGAGTACAGAAGTTAGCCAGTTGGAATGATTGAGTCTGTATTTCAAAACCTAAGCCTCACTGTGCTTTTATTGTATATTTGTGTGTTTAAAAATTTATTTTTCAAACTAGGTTTCTCCTGCTTCTTTAGGGAGGCATTCTCCTTCTGCAACACATATGAGAGATGATAGATAGATGGATAGATAAATAGATAGATAGATAGATAGATACATAGATAGATAGATAGACAGACCACTAAAAAGTCTTTTAACTCTGAGATCCTAGAACGCATAAGAAGTCAAACGCATAATTTCCATGCACAAAGATGGGTCACAAAAAGGATATATCTTCAAAAGCTTAGTTTGACATTCTAGAAGTATTCTAATAGATACATTTGATGTCATACATGCCTACCATCTTCAGCAACAGAATAGCAGGATTCATATTTCAATCTTGCATATTCTTATTTGCAACAACTCACATTGGAAAAACCCTCCTGGGTTTTAACAACATAAGTCCCTTCAAAGACTACTGTTCATTTTCCTAAACTACATTAAAAAGAAACTCCCAATACAGAGAGAATTTTACAGCGTTCTTTGGATAGGTGGGTAATGATATTGAAATATTGCTGGGAATAATGCAAAATGAAACAGGGTCTAGTGAAGCAGATAGTATGGTCTCATGTATTTCAGCAAGAAGGCTTGAGAATTCTTTTAGGTTGAATTTTGATTGTCCCAAGTCTAAACACAACACAACACACACGAAAACTCATGCAAGTATGTGGCACATTCAGCACCCACTGTATTCTTTCATCTAAAGATTATAAAGGAGAGTATATTAGGAACAAAAACCGGATAAACAATGGAAATAAGTCAACACATACTGTAGGCTCTTGTAAGGATTGGCAGTGGAGGAAGAAGTACAAGGGAATTTCATGATGAGCCCTGATCTCAAGGAACTTCCATCTAGATCCAGAGGAAAGGTTAATCTACATGAAACATGTAGAGCAGTTAATTGCCAGAATTAATCTGGGTTCTTATAAAAATTTAGATTCCTGGGCTTACCACCAACTTACTAAATCAGAATCCGTGGTGATGGGGATCAGAAATCTCTATTTTTTACAAGCTCTTCCAGTAATTCTGATAATCAGGCCAGTTTCGGAACCATCTAAGAGACAACACAAAAAGTACTTAAAAGAGTACTAGATAATTTGGGGTTGGAGGTGAATCAAAATGATCCAGGAAGCTAGAGAATAATAGGATCAGTTAGGCAGGAATGATCAGAAAAGAATTCTCAGAGAAGGTAAGACTACAGCTGCACCATGATGGATGGATAATATTGGGAATGACCAAAAGCAAATGGGATGGCTTTTCAAGAGAGATGATATAACATGATCCAAAGGATAGATGTAAAAATGAACAACTTCAGAACACAGGAAAGGATCAGCAGTTGCAGAGGGGCCACTATTAAGAAAGAGTGAGAGGGCCGGGTGCGGTGGCTCACGCCTGTAATCCCAGCACTTTGGGAGGCCAAGGCGGGTGGATCACCTGTGGTCAGGAGTTCGAGACCAGCCTGGCCAACCTGGTGAAACCCCATCTCTACTAAAAATACAAAATTTATCTGGCAGGCACCTGTAATCCCAGGTGGCTTAATGGTGGCAGGCACCTGTAATCCCAGCTACTCGGGAGGCTGAGGCAGGAGAATCACTTGAACTCGGGAGTCGGAGGTTGCAGTGAGCCGAGATCATGCCATTGCACTCCAGCCTGGGTGACATAGCAAGACTCTGTCTCAAAAAAAAAAAAAAAATAGTGACAGAGGGGTGAACCTATAAGGGAGAATTAAGATACTAAGACCAGTACACCAATGCTGTATAGAGCATAAATGGTTCATCTGGGAACCATAGTCTTTGCAATAAGACATTCCTTTGATTGCAGAAAATGATGCAGGTAAGGACAAAACGGGAACTGCAGTATCTTCTTTAGGTGCACAAAGTTGCCTCCAGCCTCCACAATAACTCTCCACAATCATAAGGTGATACTTCCAAAGCAAGTGCCCAAAATTCTTCAGTTGGTTCCCATTTCTTTTAAGGAAAAACTCAAACATTTTGGCATACCTTACAAGGTGTCTTATGATCTGCTCCAGCTTACGACTGTCATCATGTTTTTTTGCCACTCCCTTCATTGCACTCTATGCTCCTGTCTTACTGAACTGCTCTCCAAACCCAACCAGTCTATGCACTTCTCCCCTCCCTGCCTTTCCTTGGCCTGGAACACTATCTACTGTTACTCTGCCAACTTACTTAGTTAATTTTTACTTACCTTGAATTTCTTTTGAAAATTGATCTCCTTCAAGAAGCCTTCCCTAACTCCTCAAGTTTGTGTTATGTGTCCCTCTTATATAGGGTCCTGACATCAACTAAGCTACAATATATCCCATTTACTAGTGTAGCTGCAGAGCCTAAAAGAGTGCCTAGCACATACTGTATTAGGTGTCCAATAAACATCTCTTGAATGAACTAGATTTTTAAATTTATTTTATTGAATAAATGAATAAACAAATAAATGAATTTAAGTTACTATTGGAACAAATCAAACCCCTCATACATGGCTCTCAGAATGGACCACACTCATAAACTCAACCTTCCAGTCATTCCACAATGAGCAGTAAAAACCCAAGCAAGAATTCTGTGTAATTGCTCTTTTCCCTAATGCCCCAAGAGTGATTCTCTTCGCAGTATCAGTGGTTAATGAAGGTACATATTAAAATAGAAAAATTCTTACATGAACATGCAGGCAGTAAATGAAGCCCAGTGCATGGTTTCCTGTTCTTCATCACACAAATTTGCTCCCTCAGATGTTATCAATCAGTCAGGTGCTGTTGTCACACCTTCTACACATAAGGCTGTGGCACCTACCTTTTCAGTATAATACAAGTTGAGAGTCCTGCAACAGTTGATAATTTTATACTTAGATGCTCAGTTTTAGGCTCCTCTTAAAGATTCAGTGCCCTCTAATGTGAAATGAGGAGCCATTTTATATCACAGATGTGCTCTGATGAAGCTAAGGCAATATAAAAACATTCCAATTCACTCTAAAGACCAATTTGAAAGTGAGTGGTTATTTGCTTTATGAGAAATGTAAAAAGGAAACAATAATATATTTTGATTTTTTTTTCAAAAAGATACACAATAGGATGCTGAGATAGTTAATAACCCCAGTGAGTTGGAAACAGCTAAATATATGTACAGCTATCCTACTTAAACATATATTATTAGTAATACTGTTCAGCACGGTAGAAAGAACACAGGCTTTGATAATGAGGGAGTTAAATTCCCATTCTTCCACTTCCTGCTCTGCCACTTACTACCTACGTGTGTGCCAGCTTGAGGCTCAAAAATTAAATAACTTGCCCAGTTTTGTCATATGTAAAATAGGAATGATACCAATGCCTACTTTATAGGGCTGCTGTGATGATTACATTAGATAATAAAGGTAAAGTATTTGGTAAGTGTAGGCTCTCCATGAGTTCCATCTTTTGTAACTGGGACCTTATATTAATTTTTGACTTTTTCGTTTCTTAATTATTTTTCAGCAGCATGGTGTTGAAGAGTACATGGGCATTGGCATTAGATAGCCGTGGATTCAAATCACAGTTCCACTACTGATTGATTGTATAGCATTAAGCAAGTTGTTCAACATCACTGAGCTTTCATTTTCTTATCTACAAAATGCATTTTGTTAAACCTACTCCTAAAGGTTGTCAGGAAGAATGAAGGGGACATTTAAAATGTCTATTCATCGCAGTGCCTGGCACATTGAAAATATTCAATAAATGATAGCTATTATTATTGTTCTAATTACTATCATTACTTATTCCATAATGAGGTATACTTGTGTTTAATTACAAAAGGAAACCTCAGCCAGGCCAAAACCAAGCAACAACAACAAAACAACAGAACCCTAGGACTATTTCAATGGTTGATTCCAGCCATATGATTTTTATTAAAAGTCTATTTATTAAAACCATATAAAATAATACGAAATAAAATTATCCATTAAACCCAATGATATTTGAACCACGAAGAAGTTGTTGAAGAGATTGTGCCTGTTTAGTTGATTGTGTTATCAGTGTATACCTAGCCTAATGCTGCCTCCCTAATAATTGACCTAAACCAATTATTTGATGTGGTTTGGCTTACCTTTAAGTAAGAATCCACATTCGTTTTTAGGGTTACATGTTCCGATGAACAAAGAAGTTATCAAGATGTATAAGAAAACGCACAGGGAGAATATAGAGGAAATGTATGCGTGAGTTGGCAGTTGGCCTAAATAACCTTGGAATTCCCTTCAAACCCTGAGATTCTGTGACTTTCTGGAATATCACTTGCTGTGTGACCAGGGCCAAGCAACTTTACTTCTCTGAGTCTGAAATTCTCCAGTTATAAAATGAAGGAGTTAGCTCTAACATTCCGTAGTTTTACTTTAATTATAATCATTCCACTATAGCCACAAGAGGATAAAAGCTGAGACTCTCGCAATTATTTATCGTAGCAAAATCAACTCCAAATAAAGCCACAGAAAACATTTGCTTCTTTACCTTTGTTACTGCTCTCCCCCTTGTTCCGGGCTTGAGTAATTTGTTATAACATCACTGTGAAGTGATTACTAATTTGCCCGCCAAATGCAGAGAAGCATAAAATCAAACCAGAATATTCAATAAATGCCCTTTACTCCAGCAATGGGGCCTAATTAAATAAGAAACCCATTTTTCAAGGAGCCTAAGCTGATATTGCAGGTGAGAACAGTTAACTTGGGAAACACTCTTAAATACCATACAACTCAAATCCTCCTAATAATCAGGCAGGAGAGAACTAGAGACATACTATTTCATAGGGAGGATTAGGGGAGAAGAAGATCTATAGGAATTTCAACATCAAATATGAACCAAACTCTTTGCAGAAGACAAAATAAGAACAAGATTTTTTCAGTGCTTTCAGTGATACCCAGTAAACCTTAACTATGACTCCATAAATGCAAATTTTAAATTTCCAGAATATTCTTGCTTCACTCTTACCGAAGGAAAATGTGGCTAGTTTTCAGATACTCTGATCAGTACTCAGAGGGTGACAAGTGTGATAATGGTGATGGTCTGGGCCCCAGAGCATTGACATGCTTCTCTGAGCTTTTTTATCTAGCCAGAGAAGGTAACATAGATAATATTTCTATACATAATATTTATTCCACTTACATAATATGTAGATTAAATTCAAATTATAATATTTTATAGATAATACTTATTAAGCACTTACTTTATGCCAGGCTGCATGCTAAGTGTTTGTTAAGCATTGTCTTATTTAGGAGACTGGTAATGAGGAAACCAGTCAGAACCCAGCAAGAGTTCTTTAAATCTAGAAGGGCTAGCCAGGAGGGTAGGGGTAAAGCCGAGAGGTCTAGATGCTCTGGCATAAGGGATTACAGAAATCTGCAGACACTGATATGGTTTGGATTTGTGTCCCCACCCAAATCTTATTTCAAATTGTAATCCCCAATGTTGGAAGAGGGGCCTGGTGGGAGGTGGTTGCATCATAGGGGCAGATTTCCCCCTTGCTGCTCCTGTAATAGTGAGTGAGTTCACGAAATCTGGTTGTTTATGAAAGTGTGAAGCACCTCCCCCTTCTCTTTCTCTTCCTCCTTCCCAGGCCACGTAAGACATGTTTGCTTCCCTCCCTTTAACATTTCACCATGATTTCAAGTTCCTCAGGCCTTCCCAGCCATGCTTCCTGTATAGTCTGTGGAACTGTGATTCAATTAAACCTCTTTTCTTTATAAATTTCCCAGTCTCAGGTGGTTCTTTACAGCAATGTGAGAATGTACTAATACAGACAGCAATCATGACAACTATGGCCTTAGACTTCTCCTGGTCACTACTCAGGTTCCAGACAGTGTTACTACAGCAATTGTTTGAGCTTAGCTCCTGCAACTCTCCCATGGAGTAACTGGATCCTCAATCAGCCACTTGGAATTAAAATTTTCTAGGACCATGCACTGTTTTCTGCCTTCACAGTATCCAATGCCAGCCTGCTTTTGCCTTATATTGAACATTCAATCCATTGTAACAAGGGATGGAAAATGGATTGGAGCACAAGAAAAGAAACTGGGAAACCAGGAAGGTGACTATCACAATAGTTCAAGTGAAAGAGGTTTAAAATAGGGTAATAGGCATGGAGTGAGATAGAAATGAGTAGATTTTCCTATATTTTCAGGAAAATGAAATTGATGTGTCTTTCTCTGGGGTTTTATGTTCACAATGAATGCCTAATTGTTTCATCTGATTTGGCCATTTGTCAAATGGGTGTATTTTTTTTAACATACCTACCTAAATAAATTCTGGTTTGGTGACTGAATTTCTTACTTTTAAATACTTTTGGTGATATGTGGATATAGCCTAAGACTTAGCAATTTCAAGAAAAGTGACAAAGAAGGAAGCATAAATATAAGCGATAATTCAATCTAAAGGAACAGGAAGGCTATAGCATGTTTTTATCTAAAACCTTTACAAACTATTAAAATCCTTATAAGGAAAGATTACCTTTGAGGATGCACACTGAGTGCTACTCAAATGGCAACTGGCCAAGAAGAGAAAGAACTTTTTTAACACCAATACATTAAGCACTCTGTAAAAATTATTTATTGCTGAAACTTGTGTACAAAAAAAATAGAAATAGACTCAATGAAGCATATGCCTCAGCATAGCCTTTTAATAAGTTTTTTTGCATGCATTAACTTAATTTCTATTGTTATATTTTCATCCCTGCTGAAATGGATTTTACTTTGCTACGTTTGAGCCCCAAAAGCCAGAAATTTAGAAGTAATTCAAATAACCAGCAAATACCCTGGTCCATGTAGTCCACCAACCATTTTGATACCTCAAGTGCATCTCTAAGCCAAGAGACATCCAGATGAAAAGCAGAAAAGCCAAGAAATCATTTAGATAACTGAACATGGTGGTGTCTAGAAGATTTGGATGCTTCGCGAATCTTTTCCTTTTATCCATTTTAATCCAGGGGTTTACTGTTTCCGCCACTGATCTTAGATATTTGCTCACTGGGGCTGGCTTGTTTCAATTTGCCTATGGCTTGTTCAGAAATACTTATAGACACTTGACATGTCTGCAGGAGATTTCTGGCAGATGAATCAACAACACATCAAATAATTTCAGAAAAATATATACCATTACATATCTTAATAATTATTTATGAGACATTTTCCAAACAGTTGTTAATTTAGAAGACAACACTTTTAGACTCCTTTGACTGAAGTCTGAACTTGCATGTTAGTTTAGTCAAGCAGCTGTTTTGACACACATACTTCCTAACAAATTTCTAGTTGTTTTGATGCCCATCCTGAAAGAAGACCTCCTAGGCATATGATGGCACAATTATTATGACTAGCTGACATGATTACCCCTAAGGTTTTGTCTTCTGGAGAGATTTCATCTCCAAAATTTGTTAAACTAACTGAAAGACTCACATCTTTTTATGTTCTAATGTTCGCCTACAAACCCGTAGTTATAGTAACCAAGAGCAAATTCTCAGCCTCAAAGGATTGTCAGATTTAAAGCAATGGACTAGATTTGGCAGTTTCTCTGCTGTCCAAAGATGCTTAGGGACTTAGAGACAAAATGGTTTGTTAACCTTTCTCTTCCTCACTTTGAAATGATAGTAAAAATGCCCACTTTCTGGGAATGCCAGTCTGACTTCTGTGTACTTCCTCACAAAAGTAGGCAGCAGGGAGACAGAAGAAGGTAAAATGTCAGGTAAGAAGATATGTAGGGTTGATGGTTACTATTTTAAAAAGTATATTAAGGGAAGACTCCACATAGAAAGTGGGCCTAGAGATAAAATATAAAGGATGGGTAGAATCTGGATTGGCAGAAAGGAACACATAGTGAATTCAAGGTGTGAACAAAGGCCTAGAGGGGAGAATGAGTATCATGTGAATACAGAACCAGGCCAAGAGAACCAGATGATCCCTACTGCTTCATAGCTACAAATGGTAGTAGCAAAGATTTCTCCATGAGAAAACCAAAATTTCAAAACACTTTTACACATGTATCTGGCTTTTCACTTCCATCTTACTCAGTCACTGGGATGTGGATTTCTATTGAAACAATATAATAGGTAGAATAATGGCCCCCAAAGATTTCCAAGTCCTAGAACCCAGAACCTGTGACTATATTACTTCACATGGAAAAGGGGACTTGAGATGAGGAAATTATCCTGAACTATCTAGGTGGACCATGTAACGAGAAGTCTCCTTATAAGTCAAAGAGGACGCCAGGGGAGTTAGTGTCAGAGAAGATGTGATGACAGAAGTACAGGTCACAAAAGTGTGATTGCTGGCTTTGAGGATGGAAGGCAGCCACAAACCAAGAAATGCAGGCAGAATCTAGAAACTGGAAAAGGCAAGAAAATGAATCATTCCCTAGTGTCCCCAGAAGGAATACAGCACTACTGACACCTCAATTTTACTCCAGTGAGACCCATTTTGTAATTCTAACCTCCAGGACTACAAAGTAGGAAATCTGTGTTTTTTTCTAAGACATAAATTTTACAGTATTTTTTTAAAGCAGCAATGGGAAACTAATATAATACAAGCAGTCTAATACATAATATCAAAAGAGACATGACTAAGTCATGTTCAATTTGGTCCAATATCTATCTCTCAGAGTCCCACGGGTAGGTAATGGCAAGGAGAGACACTGAAGGTGACATCTTGGGACCAAATGATCAGTCTATTAGGAACCAAGACCCCATTATGTGACTGGAGGATAAAAGTACAAATTTAAGTACTATTAAAAATAACAATAATAGCAAGTAAAGCAGCTACAAATTATTTTATAGCTACTCTATCCCAGGCACTTTATATTTATTTTAATCATTGTAAGAAGCCTATAAAACGCATGTTATCATTTTTCTATTTTACAAAATCCCATTTTACAGATGAGGAAACTAAGCTCAAGGGACAGAGATGCAAGAACCAGGGAGAGAGTCAGGGGCCCAGGAAAGTAGGTTGAAAATCAGGGCAAGGCTCCACACTCAGCAGGGAACTTTAGTACTAAACAGAAAACAGAGAAACATCCACTGGCTGATTTTAAGTGCGGAAGGGAAAAAGGGCTGCTGCTCAGTAGACTTATGTATGCCCAGGGCTCTTGCCAAGTATGCTAGGTCCAGGTGTGTAGAGTGCCATAAGTCATTCCAGGCCTTGCATGTTGACAGGTTGAAAGTTCAGGGTAGGGGTATATGCAGCTGGCTGTAGCTCTGCCTGCTAATCTTCAGGCATTTCAGTCTGTTGGGTTTATATAGATCATCAGTAATCTCAAAGGCAACCTCTCTGGCAATAAACTCAAAGTGCTCCAACTAGTGCCGCAGTTCTCCTCAGCTACATGTCATAGTCCCCGAAGCAGACTCTCTGCTGCAGATAAACCAGCACTTTTGCCTTCTTTAAGGGTTTGCACCCAGAAATAAGCAAAACATGCTCTAGTAAGCAGAGGAGAAGTTCTGGAAGAAAATCTCCAGGGAGTAATGAATAATTGTTCCTGTAGATTATAAATCATATCTACTGTGTTTTTGCTTCTCCCACAAGTGTTTCCTCTTCTTATTAGTTTTCAGAATCACTCTTGGTCCCCAGGAGGAATGTGTTACATCATTTAAGAATTAAAACCAAAACCAAAAAAGAAAGAGAACAAAATTCTCAAACTAAACTTTTTCCAAACCTACCTCACTCACACACAATTCTTCTCTCAGTTCCAACCTGAAGGCCATGATCTAATTCCAAGCTGACAAGAAAGGCTGCAGAGATTGGCATCCATGAGCCCAAAGGCTCTACGTTTCCTCACTCACTTCAGCATCCCCATTCACCTCAGGGGCATTCTGGGATGACAGATGCAATTTCTTCCTCCATCATACTCGAAAACTCTCCTAAAAGTTTACCTATTATAATTTAATGATATAACAATTCCATAGTCACATAATTACCAAACATGCATAGAAAGAGAATTAGCACTAATTCTAAGAAGCCTTTCCTGACCCTATAAACTGGGTCAAATGTCCTTCTTTGGTGCTCACAGCACCCAGAGGGCCCTGAAATCTAACGGTATAGTCACAGGGATATACTGCAGGATTACAGAAGACAGAATTCATCATACAACTTTAAATAGTATCTATATTAGTCCGTTCTTACACTGCTATAAAGATACTACATGAGACTGGGTAATTTATAAACAAAAAAGGTTTAATTGACTTACAGGGGAGGCTGGAGAGGCCTCAGGAAACTTACAATCATGGCAGAAGAAGAAGCAGGCACATTCTTCACAAGGTGGCAGGAGAGAATGTGAGGACAGAAAAAACTACCTTTCATAAAACCATTAGATCTCGTGAGAATTCATTCATTATCTTGAGAACAGCATGAGGAAACTGCCCCCATAATCCAGTCAATTCCCTCCCTCAACGCATGTGAATTACAATTCAAGATGAGATTTGGGTGGGGACACAGAGCCAAACCATATGAGTATCCTAATATTACCAGACCACACTGCCTTAACTGTACTATGAAATAGTAAATTTATAAATTTTGCATAATTATCTCACAAATAATACATAAATATGTTTTGTATTTTAAAATATTCTTTTTTTAATTATTATTTAAGTTCTGGGATACATGTGCAGAATGTGCAGGTTTCTTACATAGGTATACACCTGCCATGTTGGTTTGCTGCACCAACCAACCCATCACCTACATTAAGTATTTCTCCTGATGCTACCCCTCCCCTAGCCCCCCACCCCCCGACAGGCATCAGTGTGTGATGTTCCCCTCCCTCTGTCCATGTGTTCTCATTGTTCAGCTCCCAATTTTGAGTGAGAACATGCAGTGTTTGGTTTTCTGTTCCTGTGTTAGTTTGCTGAGAATAATGGTTTCCAGCTTCATCCATGTCCCTGCAAAGGACACAAACTCATCCTTTTTGTGGCTGCATAGTATTCCATGGTGTACATGTGCCACATTTTCTTTATCCAGTCTATCATTGGTGGGCATTTGGGTTGGTTCCAAGTCTTTGCTATTGTGAATAGTGCTGCAATAAACATATGTGTGCATGTGTCTTTATAGGAGCATGATTTATAATCCTTTGGGTATTTACCCAGTAATGGGATTGTTGGGTCAAATGGTATTTCTAGTTCCAGATCCTTGAGGAATCGCCACACTGTCTTCCACAATGGGTGAACTAATTTACACTCCCACCAACAGTGTAAAAGCATTCCTATTTCTCTGTATCCCCTCCAGCATCTGTTGTTTCCTGACTTTTTAATGGTCGCCATTCTAACTGGCGTGAGATGGTATCTCATTGTGGTTTTGAATTGCATTTCTCTAATGACCAGTGATTATGAGCTTTTTTCATGTTTGTTGACTGCATAAATGCCTTCCTTTGAGAAGTATCTGTTCATATCCTTCACCCACTTTTTGATGGGGTTGTCTGTTTTTTCTTGTAGATTTGTTTAAGTTCCTCGTAGCTTCTGGATATTAGCCCTTTGTCAGATGGATAGATTGCAAAAATTTTCTCCCATTCTGTAGGTTGTCTGTTCACTCCAATGACAGTTACAAAAACAGGCAATGGGCCGGGCGCGGTGGCTCACGCCTGTAATCCCAGCACTTTGGGAGGCCGAGGCGGGTGGATCATGAGGTCAGGAGATCGAGACCATCCTGGCTAACAAGGTGAAACCCCGTCTCTACTAAAAATACAAAAAAAAATTAGCCGGGCGCGGTGGCGGGCGCCTGTAGTCCCAGCTACTGGGGAGGCTGAGGCAGGAGAATGGCGTGAACCCGGGAGGCGGAGCTTGCAGTGAGCCGAGATTGCGCCACTGCAGTCCGCAGTCCGGCCTGGGCGACAGAGCGAGACTCCGTCTCAAAAAAAAAAAAAAAAAAAAAAAAAAAAAAAAAAAAAAAAACAAAAAAAAAACAGGCAATGGGGAAAGGATTCCCGATTTAATAAATGGTGTTGGGAAAACTGGCTAGCCATATGCAGAAAACTGAAACTGGACCCCTTCCTTACACCTTATAAAAAATTAACTCAAAATGAATTAAAGACTTAAGACCTAAAACCATAAAAAACCTAGAAAAGCCAAAATTGACAAATGGGATCAAATTAAACTAAATAGCTTCTGCACAGCAAAAGAAACCATCATTGGAGTGAAGAGGCAACCTACAGAATGGGAGAACATTTTTGCAATCTATCCATCTGACAAAGGGCTAATATCCAGAATCTACAAGGAACTTAAACAAATCTACAAGAAAAAACAGGCAACCCCATAAAAAGTGGGCGAAGGATATGAACAGACACTTCTCAAAAGAAGACATTTATGCGGTCAACAAACATGAAAAAAGCTCATAATCACTGGTCATTAGAGAAATGCAATTCAAAACCACAATGAGATACCATCTCACGCCAGTTAGAATGGCGACCATTAAAAAGTCAGGAAACAACAGATGCTGGAGGGGATAGGGAGAAATAGGAATGTTTTACACTGTTGGTGGGAGTGTAAATTAGTTCACCCATTGTGGAAGACAGTGTGGCGATTCCTCAAGGATCTGGAACTAGAAATACCATTTGACCCAACAATCCCATTACTGGGTAAAAACCCAAAGGATTATAAATCATGCTCCTATAAAGACACATGCACACATATGTTTATTGCAGCACTATTCACAATAGCAAAGACTTGGAACCAACCCAAATGCCCATCAATGATAGACTGGATAAAGAAAATGTGGCACATGTACACCATGGAATACTATGCAGCCACAAAAAGGATGAGTTTGTGTCCTTTGCAGGGACATGGATGAAGCTGGAAACCGTTATTCTCAGCAAACTAACACAGGAACAGAAAACCAAACACTGCATATTCTCACTCATAATTGGGAGGTGAACAATGAGAACACATGGACAGAGGGAGGGGAACATCACACACTGGTGCCTGTCGGGGGGTGGGGGGCTAGGGGAGGGGTAGCATTAGGAGAAATACTTAATATAACTGACGGGTTGATGGGTGCAGCAAACCAACATGGCAGGTGTATACCTATGTAACAAACCTGCACATTCTGCACATGTATCCCAGAACTTAAAGTATTAAAAAAATATATTCAAGATCTGAAAAATCAGTGGGCCTTCCCTGGCTGGGTTTTGAATGAGATCTTGGGAGGTACGTGGAATATTGAAGCACCAATGCTATCTTGATCTAGAAGGCACTTATTGATGACATAATATTTGAAGTCCGCTTCCATTTCTGGAAGAATTCCAGATAAAAATCAGTGTCCAGGGCCTACTCAGGCTGGGGAATCTTACAATCTTACAATCTTACACCCCAGAGGCTCCTCTGAGCTGGAGCCTCAGGGGCTTCATGATTAAGTGTATCTAGTCAGATTAAGGAAGTTCCCTTCTATTCCTAGTTCATAAAGCATGTATTATCGTCAGTGGATTTTTAATTTAATATTAAAGAGGCTTTTTCCATAAAAAAAAAAAAACTAACATCCCCAACTCCACTCCAGACCACTGAATCATAAACTCTCGAGTGGAACCCAGGAATCTGTATTTTTTAAAATGCTCCAGATGATTCTGATGTGCAGCTTCCTTTGGAAATCACTGCCCTGTTTATGTCACAAAGGACACCTCCTTTTTATAGGAAGATTTCTGAATTGGTTCTACTCTGCTCCAATTCATTTTGCAACTATTTTTCTTTAGGTGTTTGAATGTGTTTGTGGGGAGGGGAAAAAGAGAAAATAATGTTTTCATGTAGATTACACCAAAGTAGTAGGTATGAAATAAGTTTTTTCATAACTATTATATAAACTAACCATTCCCCCCACCATCTAACCCAATAGGAGCTCTTTGAAAATGTTACTGACAGGTAATCACACCTAACAATTCATAGATGTTAGTGTTCAAGCTTGTGCCCCAGTACTCTCAGCCCATCCAACTTTGGAAATTTGTATCTTTGTGCCTGAGATTAAACTGGGTTCACCAGCCTTTTTTCTAAATCTCTGGTTTATTTTTAAACTACTTTTTCTTCTCTTCTGTGCTAAAATTAAACACTTCTGATAAATCTTGACTGTCATTCAAAACAGTGGCAATAGACTGCTTACAGTGTTCCTTTAACTACCTAACAGAACTCCTTTGGTACTTTGCATTACTTTCACAGGTTGCTTATTTTTTTGCTTGGTTTTTGTTTCCTAACCCCTCTTGAGCTAAAGAAAGAGGCTGCCTTTCCAGAGCACTTCCTTTAGGTAGCCCTCACCCCCCACGAGGCTGTCACATCACCGAAGCTAATAAATACCTAATTTTAACTCTTTTACACTTTTCCTAATTATCACAACAAACACATATTTATGAAAACAAGAGCAGGCTCAGGCCTGTGATTAAATGGTTACCCAAGGAGTAGGAATTAGAGCCCTCTTGACTAAGTATGCTGAAGCACTAAGCTGGGTTCCTTCCTCAAGAAACACTTCATGCACTCAATGCTACCTAATATTCTACCACTGTGGATTTACTCCCCTGGCTTATGGATATTTTTGATATTTTTATTATTTCACTAGGGATAGGAGTTATTTTATAATCAGTCATTTGCACCTTAATGAGAATAAATTTATCAGCAATTATACTTTACAATCAAGGGAATAAAATGAGAGCTGGAGACTATAAGGTGCCTGGGATTTCGGAGGAGGAGAAACAGGGTACAGGGATGGGGAACATGTACGTAAATAAGGAGTTAAGTATTCAAGAGACAACTTTACTACCTTCTTCATTCTGAAGAAGCTGGATTAAGAAAAAACTCTTAGAATAACAATGAAAACTATTCTGCCTTTATATGCCAACCCTAGCAGCCAACCCTCTAATCAACAGCTGTGCTGTCATATTTGCCTATCTTTTGGAGTATAAGAGTCCCACCACTGTCTTGAAAACTCTTGTCTATGAGGATGGATGTTGGGAAGGGATGTAAGCTAGATGCTTCCATTGCTTTTCCCCTGCTAGGTCCCTCATTACTCAGTTTCCCCCTTCCCCATCAGCAAGGCATATGACCACATAATGTATCCAAAACAAAGAGGGAAGTCACAAAGAAGCTCTATCTCTCTCTGCCTCTCCCCACCCAGGGATTTAATATTTAAAACTGAAAAACAATACATTTACCTCTCATTTTCAAGAAAATACATAAATTTCTTGCCACAGGTCATTGGAGACATCATCTTCGAATTGCCTCAAAATATTTGTGCCAGGCTTCAATGCGCCCTTGACCACCAAGGAACTGGCCACGTACTCCCTCCCCTGCTGATTAGTTTTCCAAATCCATACAGAACAGGGCTAATCTATTCTACTGAATGCACAGTCTTGTGTCTATCCACAACACTGCACACACCTTGCTAGACATGCAGGGTAAGAAGGGGTTGCTTATAGGCAACAAGGGTATTATCCAAAAGGCAGTATAAAAACTCCACAAATTTGGACCAAGTCAGGAGAAGCTTTCAGGGAATTTGTGAAAAGCCTAAATGATAGAATTGATCAAAGCTAGAAAGATCTTTGGAGATCACATTTCCTCTCTCTCTCTTTCTCTCTCTCTGTGTAGATATATATGCATGTATATATACATATATACACACACACACACACACACACAGGTGCCTCATTAGCACAGTAGGTAGTGCATCAGTCTCATATATATACACACAAATATCTTTATATATACATATATAGATATATATGAGATATACACATATATACATATATATACAGATATATATGTGTGTGAGAGAGAAGGAGATCAAAACCATTTATTGAAAGAAAACCTTCGAAATGAAGGCAGAAATAAAGATGATCTTTGAAACCAACAAGAACAAAGACACAACATACCAGAATCTCTGGGACACATTCAAAGCATTGTGTAGAGGGAAATTTATAGCACTAAATGCCCACAGGAGAAAGCAGGAAAGATCCAAAATTGACACCCTAACATCACAATTAAAAGAACTAGAAAAGCAAGAGCAAACACATTCAAAAGCTAGCAGAAGGCAAGAAATAACTAAAATCAGAGCAGAACTGAAGGAAATAGAGACACAAAAAACCCTTCAAAAAATTAATGAATCCAGGAGCTGGTTTTTTGAAAGGATCAACAAAATTGATAGACTGCTAGCAAGACTAATAAAGAAGAAAAGAGAGAAGAATCAAATAGATGCAATAAAAAATGATAAAGGGGATATCACCACCGATTCCACAGAAATACAAACTACCATCAGAGAATACTACAAACACCTCTACGCAAATAAACTAGAAAACCTAGGAGAAATGGATAAATTCATTGACACATACACCCTCCTAAGACTAAACCAGGAAGAAGTTGAATCTCTGAATAGACCAATAACAGGCTCTGAAATTGTGTCAATAATCAATAGCTTACCAACCAAAAAGAGCCCAGGACCAGATGGATTCACAGCAGAATTCTACCAGAGGTGCAAGGAGGAACTGGTACCGTTCCTTCTGAAACTATTCCAATCGATAGAAAAAGAGGGAATCCTCCCTAACTCATTTGATGAGGCCAGCATCATCCTGATACCAAAGCCGGGCAGAGACACCACCAAAAAAGAGAATTTTAGACCAATATCCTTGATGAACATTGATGCAAAAATCCTCAATAAAATACTGGCAAACCGAAACCAGCAGCACATCAAAAAGCTTATCCACCATGATCAAGTGGGTTTCATCCCTGGGATGCAAGGCTGGTTCAATATATGCAAATCAATAAATGTAATCCAGCATATAAACAGAACCAAAGACAAAAACCACATGATTATCTCAATAGATGCAGAAAAGGCCTTTGACAAAATTCAACAACCCTTCATGCTAAAAACTCTTAATAAATTAGGTATTGATGGGACGTATCTCAAAATAATAAGAGCTATCTATGACAAACCCACAGCCAATATCATACTGAATGGGCAAAAACTGGAAGCATTCCCTTTGAAAACTGGCACAAGACAGGGATGCCCTCTCTCACCACTCCTATTCAACATAGTGTTGGAAGTTCTGGCCAGGGCAATCAGGCAGGAGAAGGAAATAAAGGGTATTCAATTAGGAAAAGAAGAAGTCAAATTGTCCCTGTTTGCAGATGACATGATTGTATATCTAGAAAACCCCATCGTCTCAGCCCAAAATCTCCTTAAGCTAATAAGCAACTTCAGCAAAGTCTCAGCATACAAAATCAATGTACAAAAATCACAAGCATTCTTATACACCAATAACAGACAAACAGAGAGCCAAATCATGAGTGTATTCCCATTCACAATTGCTTCAAAGAGAATAAAATACTTAGGAATCCAACTTGCAAGGAATGCGAAGGACCTCTTCAAGGAGAACTACAAACCACTGCTCAATGAAATAAAAGAGGATACAAAGAAATGGAAGAACATTCCATGCTCATGGGTAGGAAGAATCAATATCGTGAAAATGGCCATACTGCCCAAGGTAATTTACAGATTCAATGCCATCCCCATCAAGCTACCAATGACTTTCTTCACAGAATTGGAAAAAACTACTTTAAAGTTCATATGGAACCAAAAAAGAGCCCGCATCGCCAAGTCAATCCTAAGCCAAAAGAACAAAGCTGGAGGCATCACGCTACCTGACTTCAAACTACACTACAAGATTACAGTAACCAAAACAGCATGGTACTGGTACCAAAACAGAGATATAGATCAATGGAACAGAACAGAGCCCTCAGAAATAACGCCGCATATCTACAACTATCTGATCTTTGACAAACCTGAGAAAAACAAGCAATGGGGAAAGGATTCCCTATTTAATAAATGGTGCTGGGAAAACTGGCTAGCCATATGTAGAAAGCTGAAACTGGATCCCTTCCTTACACCTTATACAAAAATTCATCCAAGATGGATTAAAGACTTAAACGTTAGACCTAAAACCATAAAAACCCTAGAAGAAAACCTAGGCAATACCATTCAGGACATAGGCATGGGCAAGGACTTCATGTCTAAAACACCAAAAGCAATGGCAGCAAAAGCCAAAATTGACAAATGGGATCTAATTCAACTAAAGAGCTTCTGCACAGCAAAAGAAACTACCATCAGAGTGAACAGGCAACCT
The DNA here is from genome assembly GCF_000001405.40 of Homo sapiens. Classification (NCBI taxonomy): domain Eukaryota; kingdom Metazoa; phylum Chordata; class Mammalia; order Primates; family Hominidae; genus Homo; species Homo sapiens. The sequence continues at coordinate 123,058,189 of NC_000023.11, forward strand.
ACAAAATGGGAGAAAATTTTCGCAACCTACTCATCTGACAAAGGGCTAATATCCAGAATCTACAAAGAACTCAAACAAATTTACAAGAAAAAAAACAAACAACCCCATCAAAAAGTGGGCGAAGGACATGAACAGACACTTCTCAAAAGAAGACATTTATGCAGCCAACAAACACATGAAAAAATGCTCACCATCACTGGCCATCAGAGAAATGCAAATCAAAACCACTATGAGATACCATCTCACACCAGTTAGAATGGCAATCATTAAAAAGTCAGGAAACAACAGGTGCTGGAGAGGATGTGGAGAAATAGGAATACTTTTACACTGTTGGTGGGACTGTAAACTAGTTCAACCATTGTGGAAGTCAGTGTGGTGATTCCTCAGGGATCTAGAACTAGAAATACCATTTGACCCAGCCATCCCATTACTGGGTACATACCCAAAGGATTATAAATCATGCTGCTATAAAGACACATGCACATGTATGTTTATTGTGGCACTATTCACAATAGCAAAGACTTGGAACCAACCCAAATGTCCAACAATGATAGACTGGATTAAGAAAATGTGGCACATATACACCATGGAATACTATGCAGCCATAAAAAATGATGAGTTCATGTCCTTTGTAGGGACATGGATGAAATTGGAAATCATCATTCTCAGTAAACTATCGCAAGGACAAAAAACCAAACACAACATGTTCTCACTCATAGGTGGAAATTGAACAATGAGAACACATGGACACAGGAAGGGGAACATCACACTCTGGGAACTGTTGTGGGGTGGGGGGAGGGGGGAGGGATAGCATTAGCAGATATACCTAATGCTAAATGACGAGTTAATGGGTGCAGCGCACCAGCATGGCACATGTATACATATGTAACTAACCTGCACATTGTGCACATGCACCCTAAAACTTAAAGTATAATAATAATAAAATTAAATTAAATTAAATTAAAAAAAAACAAAAAAGAAAATCTTATATAAAATCCTAGGATCCAAAATTGATTTTTAAGTAAGGTGGCTGCGTAACTAGAGTAATCTGAAAGACCTAGACTCCAACCACTCAGCCTTCCCCTCTCCCTCCCTTGGCAGCTCCCAAGGCATTGTAACAGAACTCTAGGGCTTCCTAGAGCATTTCTGGAAAACTACAGCTCCAGTCCAATCCCCTGATAAGAATAAGTGCATTTTATAATATTAAGGGGCATTTTATAAGATAAAATGCACATTATTTTTGTTATATGCATAGAAATAAGATTGGAAGGAAAAGCACCAAAAAATAAACAGCGATTTTTCTGTGTGATGGCATTATACATGCCTTTTCTCTCCACGCTTCATTTTTTGTTTGTCCACTTTTATGAACTCTAAAATAAATGGTTTTCTTTTTTTGTTTTTTGGGGGTTTTGTTTTGTTTTGTTTTTGTTTTCTGGTTTGTTTGTTTGTTGTTGAGATGGAGTCTTGCTCTATTGCCCACGCTGGAGTGCAGTGGCATGACCTCAGCTCACTGCAACCTCCGCCTCCCAGGTTCAAGCGATTCTTCTGCCTCAGCCTCCCGCGTAGCTGGGACTACAGCTGTGCACCACCATGCCTGACTCATATTTTTGTATTTTTAGTAGAGACGGGGTTTTGCAATGTTGGTCAGGCTGCTCTCGAACTCCTGACCTCAAGTGATCCACCCACCTCAGCCTCACAAAGTGCTGGGATTACAGGCATGAGCCACCGCGCCCAGCCCCAAATAAATATGTTTTCCAAAAAAAAAAAAAAAAAAAAAAAAGGGAAGGGAAGGGAAGGGAAGTGGAGGGGAGGGGAAGGGAGGGAAAGGGAAGGGAGCCAAAAGCAGGGAGCATGCTTTGCCCAAGGTCATATATCATTTCAGTGGTGGAATTGAAAGTAGAACATAGGTCACCTGGTGGCCACACCAATGTGCCTTCCAAATGCCACAAAACATTTTAATAGCATTTATTAAAATTTTTAAATGACAAAAATAGTACATGCACAGTGTAGAAAATTTGGGAAATAAAAAACAAATGAGGAAAATGAAAATATCTCCTACTGTCACTGCCGAGACAAAGCCACTAGTGGTCTTTTCTTCTTGTCTTTTCATATGTATGCAACATATATTTTTATAAATTAGAACCAATGTGGCTTTCTCTCTTATTATGTCATGATTATCATTTAGCCTTCAGCATCATTAGTCTTCTGTAACATCATTTTAAGGACTAAATAGTATTCTATCTTAATGTATCATAATTTATTAACTGGGTTTCTATTTTTGAGCAGCTTGGAAGAGAAGTATGATATCTGCCTTAAAGATGAAGCCTGTTAAAATACATGTTTTAAGTTGGCTATCTTGAAACCATAAAATTCACCCATTAATAAGTGTCTCCCAATGAGCTCATACTAGCATAATTTGAAGAGAAGCTAAGTTTATAATACTTGTTGGTTGTATGAACTGACTACCTTTGATGCACATGCTTCAAGCGCTCCTTCCCCATGAATTCACTCTGCCCTTCTGCGGAGGACCCAGCCATTTCAATACTGGCTCCACCATCTCTGCACTGGTCACAATCTCAGAAAAGAATCCACCATTTGTAACTTCCGTTCTTCACCATCAAAGAACAATCCCACTATGCTGGGTCAGTTTTGTCTTGATTCTTTGACTTCAAATTCATCCTTAGATAAGTGAATGGGAACTGAGGGTGGGTGATACACTGAGACATGATCTTGACTCCACACCACATTTGTTCCTAGACTATCTGCCCAAAGTAGTCCACAAAATGTCTCACATCAGCCACTTTCCCAAATCAGAACTACTAACTCCTTGCCCCTTTGTTTCCATAATCATGCCAAATACCCTTACTTGAAAGCTAATACTATAGACCCAGGCTCTGAGTCTAGGGACTGTGTTGGGGAAGGAGGTGTATAATTGGTTTAATCATAGCACTATTACCCATTCCTTACCTAGACCTGGAAGCTCATCTTTGCCTGTTCAGACTTGTCAGCCTAGGTTCTACATACCTGATTCACTGTTGCTCAGATCCTTTCTCTAACCCCTATCCCATGATTTATAATCTTCAACCCTGTGTTTATGATATGCCTAATTCCCTGAACTCTTGCTGGTTTTGATACCTTCTTTAGTTGAACTCCCTCAACTGCTTGCACCTACCTATTCCTCCTTGCCTTTTATGATTTTTCAGGCCTGCCTAGTTTGGGATACCTAACAGCCCCTCTTTTATCAAGCTGAACATCAGCATCACCCTAGTCTCAATATGACACCTGTATTTCCCTTCTTCATTAAGTGTTATGCTCTGGTAAAAGCTAAACAGCCACATCTGGCCTGGACTTTCAGTGACTTTCTGTTAGAACCACTCTTGACTTCCATATGCCTGTCATCCTCACTGAACAAAACCAGACTTTTATATATACATATACATATATAAGCACAAATATATACATATATATACATATATATACACGTATATATGTGTGTGTATATATACTGCTTCACCCAAATGGAAAAACACTATTCATGCCTTCATAACTTGTTTTCTCTTTAACAATATAGCAGGGACACATTTCTACATTAACATCTATAAATCTTTCTCATCTTTCTAAGCCACTATATTGTCAATTTGGTGATGCTGGATATCTTTTCCTCTGATTACTGGCCTATATTTCTCATTTATTTATGATCCCCAATTTTCCATTATAATGTTATTTTTTTCTATTTGAGTTGGTTTCTATCACTTGTAACTGAGCAAGTTCTGCCTAAACAATTTGCAATAGTTCTTCAATATATTAATAATATTATCATTTTCTGTCATAAATGTTACAAATAGTTTTTCCAATTTGTTTCTCATTCAACATTTGTATGTTGTCCTTTGATACAAAGATCATGTAAACATTCACTTATATTTTATTCTAATACCTTTATTTAAATGTTTAATCCTGACCAGATGCGGTGGCTCACACCTATAATCTCAATCCTTTGGGAGGCCAAGGAGGGGGATTGCTTAAGGTCAGTCTGGGCAACATACTGACGCCCCATATCTATAAAAAAAAAAAAAATAGCCAGGCATGGCAGCACATGCCTCTGGTCCTAGTTGCTCAGGATGTTGAGGTGGGAGGATCATTTGGGCCCGGGAGTTTGAGGTTACAGTAAGCTATGATTGTGCCACTGCACTTCAGCCTGGGCAACAGAGCAAGACCTTGTCTCAAAAAATAAATAAATATTTTATTTTTCTGGAATATTCTTTTGTGTAAGCAGAGCATAGATACATAATTTTTCACTTATTGTCATCTAATTGTCTCCAAACCCTTTAGACAATAATCCAGTATTTTCAAATGCTTTAATATATACCAGATTGGCATATCATTAGATAGACAGACAGATATTTATTAGCTTCTGGGTTCTATTCAGTTGCATTGTTCTATCTGGCTGTTCCTATGCCAGTCACACACTTCAATTATTTTTATAGGATGTTTTGACATCTGGTAGGACAATTCCCCTCCTCCACAATTAATTGGCTTACTTTCTCAATTGTCTTAGCTATACTGTCTCATTTGTTCTTCCATATAAACTCAAATATGAATGTGTTGAATTTCCCCACAATTCTGAAATATGTTATTTGAAATTCATTTAGAATTATATAAGGATAATTGACATCTGTTAAATATTGAAGGTGTCCACCATTTATTATTTGTGACCAAGTATATGATAAATTGTTGCAAATTATCCATGGCTATTGTAAAATACTATATATGGTACCAATGTATAAAAGTGTTTATCTACACAACACTAAACTTGTTAATAATGCTATTCAAATATTTTCATTATTCTGTGTTTTTGTCTACTTGACCTATCTCCTGTTTCAAGTGAGATATATCAAAATTTTATACCATAATTGTGTATGTTCATGCATTCCTGACTTTGCTGAATTAATCAAGTACACTTTGTTTTATATACCCCCTTATTTATTTGGAAATGTTATTTTATAGGTTCACTCTACTAATAAATTATTCTACTTTTACTATAACAAGCTTTTTTAAGTGCCAAGAAATAAAAAGGAGAAAATGAAACAAAAATAAAAAGAATTTCAGATTATCTCCCACCTCAAAACCCATATTATTATTTTAAATACAAACATAATACGAAGTTTTGAAAGCCAAGTAATATTGAAAGGTACAAAATGAAAACTGAAAGTCTCCGTCACTCAAGCCTAGTAACTGCAATTTTTTGTGATTCCTTCAAGAAAAAATTCTATATGCCCATATATATTTATTTACACAGACAGCTGCCCCTTGAACAACACAGGTTTGAACTGTACAGGTCTACTTATATCCACATTTTTAAAAATAAATATATTGGAAAATTTTGTGGAGATTTCAACAATTTGAGAAACACTGCATAGCCTAAAAATATTGAAAAAATTAAGAAAAACTTAGGTATGCCATGAATGCATAAATTACACATAGATACCAGTGTATTTATGTGTTAAGTGACTGTTTATGTTACCTGTAAGGCTTCCTATCAACAGTAGGCTTTTGGTAGTTAAGTTTAGGAGGAGTCAAAAGTTATACAGGGATTTTCTATTACATGGGGAGTTGGCACCAGTTGTTCTAGGGTCAACTGTATTTTACAAGAGATAATACTAAACCTTTCTTTCTTTTTTCAATTAATAATATATCTCACAGCTCTTCCATATGTGCACATCCAGAGCTAACTAATTCTTTCAATAGTACATAGTATTTCACTATATGAATTTATCGCAATTTAACCAGTTCTCTAATATTTGACACTTTGGCTGTTTTCAGTTTTTGTTTTGTGCTGACATGCATGCACAAGCACACATATGCATGAACACACAAATACTACAATCAACATCTAGATTTACATTTGTGAGAATATGTCCTAGCATAAATTGCTAAAAATGAAATTTTTGAATCAAAATGTGTAAACAGTTCAATTATTAGAGATATTGTAAATTGTTTTTCAGAAAATTTGCATTAATTGACACTCCAAAAAACAATGCACAAATTGCTCATTTTCCAACATCTCCATCAACACTGGGTTTTATTCAACATTTTTATTTTTGCTGATCTGTAATAAATAGTGAAATCTCATTTTGTCTTTATTTGATTATGAGTGAAATTCAGAATGATTACATATATAGCTATTGGTCATTTTTATTTCTCTTTTGGTAAACTGCCTATTCATATCTTCTACTCATTTTTGAATTGGGTTGTTCATCATTTTCTTACAGATTCATAAGAACTTTTGTTAATTAAAGAAATTGTCCTTAGCAAACTAATGCAGGAAGAGAAAACCAAATACCACATGTTCTCAATTATAAGTGGGAGCTAAATGATGAGAACACATGAACACATAGAGGGGACCAATACACACTGGGGCCTATCAGAGGGTGGAGGATGGGAAGAGGGAGAGGATTAGGAAAAATAACTAATGGGTACTAGACTTAATACCTGGGTGATGAAATAATCTATACAACAAACCTCCATGAGACAAGTTTACCTATGAAACAAACCTACACATGTACCCTTGAATTAAAAATAAAAGTTTTAAAAAAATGAATTAGCCCTTTGCCTTATATGTTGCAAATATGTTTTCCCAGTTTTTCATCATTCTTTTTTTTTTTTTTTTTTTTTTTTTGAGATAGAGTCTTGCTCTGTCACCCAAGCTGGAATGCAATGGCATGATCTTGGTTCACTGCAGCCTCTCCCCACAGGTTCAAGCGATTCTCCTGCCTCAGCCTCTCAAGTAGCTGAGGCTACAGGTATGCACCACCATACCTGGCTAATTTTTGTACTTTTAGTAGAGATGTGGTTTCACCATGTTGGCCAGGCTCGTCTTGAACTCCTGACCACAGGTGATCCACCTGCCTTGGCCTCCCAAAGTGTTGGGATTACAGGCATGAGCCACCGTGCCAGGCCCACTCTATTTTTAGTTTTGTTTATCTCATGATTTTAGTCATATAGAAGTTTTTATTTTTACGTAGCCAAAAATATCAATCTTTTGTTTCATGGCTTCTGAATTTTCCTTTACATTTTAAAGAACTAATTTTAACCCACATTTCTTTATCAATAGCAAAATTTAAACATTATCCACTACCTTCCCACAGACTGACAAGTTGTTTAAAACCTGTAATTCCCAACATTGTCTTTTCTGTTCTGTTTTCTCTCCAGCCCAGTTTTATGGAGAAAGGTGGTGGGTGGGTACTATAATTCAGTACTTTGGGTTTCAGCAGTGTTCTCTCTCTTATTCGTCATCTTTATTGCATTATTTTTGGTGTTTTTATATCAGTAATTAGGTTTTTAAATTATCTAGCAAATATTTACCAATTGCTTCCTCTATACCAAGCATTGTGTGATATAAAATTGAGGTAAGAATTTTAAAAATTGAATAAACACAATATTATCAGTATTTTCATAAAAATGTATTTTAGTAGAATAGGGGATGGGGGGAAGGTAAACAAAAAATAAATAAAATTCTTGCAAAATTAAGTGCCAGGAAGAATACAAATAAGGTACTGAGATAAAGTTTAGTAGAAGGTAGGTAGAGGGCCAGAGAAGGGAATTTTTATTCTCCAATTTCTCCTTGTCATGGTAGCTTGCTCTTATTTTACTTATGCAATAACCTCTCAAATGTCACTAAAAAACTGGAATGTAATTTTCTCAAAGTTATTTCCTGTTTCCTACGTTAACCCTGTTTTAATGGGGCCAAATGTGCTAATTGTTCAGCTTAATCGTCTTCCATCAAACTGGATTCTGTCCATATGTCTAGTGAACTTTTCATTTTCCATTCATATTTATAAAGCAAGTTGCAAATTGATCGGTATATTTAGCTGATGTGGATTCTGCAATGATCATATGGTTCACTAACTACCCTTGGTAAGTCTCCCCTATCTGGGAACAAGCGTATCCAGAGGGCTATGGCTGACAGTGAATGCTCTAAACAGCTATTCAGAAGACAGAATTCGGGTGACATTTTTGAAAACCATTTATTTGTCTCCCCGATCCTTCCTAGCAACTGCTCCTCCAACGATTACCCTCTTTTGTCCTCTGCTACAAGGACTTTTATAGCTGCCTATGTTCTGCCAGTGTGGCAGCTGCCAATGGGGAGGAGGAAAGAAGTTACTGGAAGGTTCAGCCTGTTAGAGAAGGGAGGAAGTGCACCCTCACACACACTGATTTGGGGCTGCCAGAATATGAAGGGAAAACATGCTGGATAGATCTGTCATATTAGTAATTTCCCCCTACATTACCCTAAGCACTGTCCACACCAAAGGAAATCTGGAGATTAATGTGCTCAGACACTAGAGTCAGAAAGCCTAGCGTCAAGATGCAACTCTGCCAATTACTAGTTGTATGAGCTTGAGCAAGTTACTTAAACCTACTTGAGATCCCATTTTCTCATTTTACAGGGACAACAATAGTAGCAGTTTTTTTTTAAATAAACTTGGTGTAGGGTGCGTAGTTTAAATGAAAAAATACTTGCAAAGTTTATTACATTTCCCCATGTCTTAAATCTCCTCTGCTTGTTCCATGATCCAACATGTAATTATCCAAACTGAATACTTGAATCTATAGGATGATTATATGTAACAAAAGCACACCAGTCCAGTCCTCACATATTGTTTGTCCTTGTTGGCCTTCTTGGGACTTAAAGACATTGGTTTGCCATGACAGTCTTTCTAGGTCAGAATAAAATTACATGTTTTATCTTAAGCTACTATGCTCAAAGGCATTTTATTTGGTCTTGTTTCCCTTGAAAAAAAAACATAATAAATGTCAAGTGTTCAGGGTTTCTATTTATCAAACCAGAATGCATGGCATAATCTTCACAGAATATTCTTCTGTGTTCATTTTTTTTTGCTCAGATAAATCTAATTGCTGCTATATTTAAGGTTATCTTGCTAGCCAGTATCCTCAAAGTTCATCATCTATTTGAATGAATAAAATATCCGATCTTTTCAACATGATTTTGAGTCACAATTTAAACCTTTAAAATAAAATCTTTTTATTTTCCTAATTTTCAAATGTTTGCAGTAAATATAAAAATATATAAACAAAACCTTTAAAACAAGGAAAATGTTAGCCAACTAATTGGGAAAAAAGTGTTCTTCCCTATTTCTAATGTTAGCTTCCATAAGGAGGGATCTGCATTATAATAATAATGTTCAAAATATAGCTGATTTTCAAGTAAAGTATGAACTACCAAATTTTTATACGATAATCTCAAAAAATAATTGCAGCAAAAAATGGAGAAAAAAACATTTTTGAAGTATTAAACACTTACTTTTTAAAAGTTAGTGAATACCACAATCAACTAGGCTTCATCCCTGGGATGCAAGGTTGGTTCAACATACGCAAATCAATAAATGTGATTCATCACATAAACAGAACTAAAGAGAAAAACCACGTGATTATCTCAATAGATGCAGAAAAAGCCTTTGATAAAATTCAACACCCCTTCATGTTAAAAACTCTCGATAAACTAGGTATTGAAGGAACATACCTCAAAATAATAAGAGCTATCTATGACCAAACCACAGCCAACATCATACTTAATGGGCAAAAGCTGGAAGCATTCCCTTTGAAAACCAGCACAAGACAAGGATGCCCTCTCTCACCACTCCTATTCAACATTGTATTGGAAGTTCTGGTCAGAGCAAACAGGCAAGAGAAAGAAATAAAGGGCATTCAAATAGGAAGAGAGGAAGTCAAACTATCCCTGTTTGCAGATGACATGATGCTATATCTAGGAAACCCCACAGTCTCAGCCCAAAAGGTACTTAAGCTGGTAAACAACTTCAGAAAAATCTCAGCATACAAAATCAATGGGCAAAAATCACCGACATTCCTATAAACCAACAACAGTCAAGACTAGAGACAAATCAGGAATGCAATCCCACTCACAATTCTCACAAAAAATAAAATACCTAGGAATACAGCTACCAAGGGATGTGAAAACTCTCTACAAGGAGAACTACAAAACACTGCCCAAAGAAATCAGAGATGACACAAACAAATAGAAAAACATTCCATGCTCATGGATAGGAAAAATCGATATTGTTAGAATGGCCATACTGCTCAAAACAGTTTATAGTTTCAATGCTATTCCTATTCAACTACCATTGACATTCTTCACAGAACTAGAAAACACTATTTTAGAATTCATATGGAATCAAAAGACAGCCCAAATAGCCAAGGCAATCCTAAGCAAAAAGAACAAAGCTGGAGGCATCATGCTATCTGACTTCAAACTATACTACAGGGCTACAGTAACCAAAATAACATGGTACTGGTACAAAAACAGACACATAAACCAATGGAACAGAATGGAAAGCCCAGAAATAAGACCACATACCTACAACTATCTGATCTTCAACAATCCTGACAAAAAGAAGCAATGGGGTAAAGACTCCCTATTCAATAAATGGTGCTGGAATAACAAGCTAGCCATATGCAGAAGACTGAAACTGGACCCCTTCCTTACACCATATACAAAAATTACCTTAAGATGGATTAAAAACTTAAATCTAAAATAAAAAACTATAAAAACCCTGGAAGACAGCCTAGGCAATATGATTCTAAACATAGGAACGGGCAAAGATTTCATGACGAAGGTGCCAAAAGCAATCCCAACAAAAGCAAAAATTGACAAATGGGATCTAATTAAACTAAAGAGCTTCTGCACAGCAAAGGAAACTGTCAACAGAATGAACAGACAACCTACAGAATGGGAGAAAATGTTTGCAATCTACCCATCTGACAAAGGTCTAATATCCAGCATCTACAAAAACAAATTTACAAGAAAAAACAAATAACGACATTAAAAAGAGGGCAAAAGACATGAAAATACACTTTTCAAAAGAAAACATACATGTGGCCAACAAGCATGTGAAAAAAAAAGCTCAACATCACTGATCATTAGAGAAATGCAAATGAAAACCACAATGAGATACCATCCCACACAAGTCAGAATGGCTATTAGTAAAAAGTAAAAAAATAACAGATGCTTGCGAGGTTGCAGAAAAAAAAAAGGAGTGCTCATACCTTGTTGGTGGGAGTGTAAATTAGTTCAACCATTGTGGAAAGCAGTATGGCGATTCTTCAAAGAGCTAAAAGCAGAGCTACCATTTGACCCAGCAATCCCATTACTGGGTATATACTCAGAGAAATATAAATCATTCTACCATAAAGATGCATGCACACGAATGTTCATTGTAGCACTATTCACAATAGCAAAGACATGGAATCAACCTAAATGCCTATCAATGACAGATTGGATAAAGAAAATGTGATACATATACGCCATGGAATACTATGTAGCCATAAAAAAGAATGAGATCATGTCCTTTGCAGGGACATAGATGGAGCTGGAGGCCATTATCCTTAGCAAACTAACACAGGAAGAGAAAACCAAATACCACATGTTCTCACTTATAAGTGGGAGCTAAACGATGAGAACACACGGACACATAGAGGGGACCAACACACACTGGCACCTATGGGAGGGTGGAGGGTGGGAGGAAGGAGAGGATGAGGAAAAATAACTAATCGGTACTAGACTTAATACTTGGGTGATGAAATAATCTGTACAACCAACTCTCATGACACAAGTTTACCTATGTAACAAACCTGCACATGTACCCCTGAATTTAAAATAAAAGTTAAATTTTTAAAAAATTTGGTGATGTTACAGGTATGTTATTTCAGACATTCAGAAAATAGATAATTCCTATTCTATATAAGTTGTTACGAATAATTGCAAAGGATATAAAATGTTCTAATTCATTTTATGAAGTTATCATAATCCCAACGCTATGTGGTGTTTTTAGATTCATGTAACACACATAAGAAGTCTGTGGCTTATAAAGTAATAAAAAGAGTATCCATGCCTAGAAAAGTGCCTGAAATATGGTACACACTCAATAAATGATGGTCGAATGAAAGCACAAGGAAAGAAGACCAACAGATTGAACTCATTTATGCAAAATTACTAAATAAAATACTACTTTAATTCAAAAGTATGGTACAAAAGAATGGTAATTATTATCAATCTGCTTTTACCCAATAATTCCCAGATGGTTTAAAATCTATATACTTTATATCAATAATGTGCCATTTTACTTGTATGATAAATGCATTTTTATCCTATCAGTAAGTCTAAAGGGAAAAAATCATTTGATAAAAATTCAACATTCCTTCCTAAATAAAAGCAATTCTTAGTAAATAAGGATTATGCATATATTATCTTAACATCATTAAAATATCATGCTTAATCATAAAAATCCTAGCAGTTTTACCATAACAATAAGGACTAAGGTCAGATGGGTAATATCATGACTATCATTTAATATTTTTCCAGAAATTCTAGATTTTGCAATGAGATAGAAAAGAATATTGGAAGAGACAAAAGTTAGATATATTATAAATATCACTGCTTACCTGGAAAATAAACGTAAAATGTATTAGAACTAATAATAAGACAGCTAGTTATAAAATAATTAGTTAAAATATATATCTTCCTTATATACAAACACTGATCAGTTAGAAACTACTAAAAATATATGATCAACAATAGCAATAAACTTTGTAAAATATGCAGGATGAATGTTTTTAAAGATTATTTTAAACCACAAAGGCACTTAAAATATTGCATTAAATGGAGATGCAAACCGTGCTTTTAAATGGAAAGACTCAACAGTATACAGATGTCAATTCCTTCCAAAATTAAGTCTATAAATGGAAGGAAGTTTCAATAAAAATGTTCAATACAATTCTTTTGGGAACATGTGACAAAATGATTATAATGTTTATCTGAAAGAATAAATAAGCAAAACAGCCAATTTCTTTTTTGGCTCTACCAGATATCAAATGATGTTCTACCAGATATCAAAATATTTTTATTCATTTATTCATTTGGTCATTCACTCTGTCATTTAATCACCAGTGCAATAGCACTCAGAATAAAACAAGCAGAAATGCAGGATTTAGTTTAAAAAGAAAATAAGCTCCAGCATATTTTCTTAGTTGAAGAGGCACTAGCCTTACCTCTTACACATTTTTCCTTCCCTTACTCCATAACCATCCCCACAGCTGGATATAAATCATTAATTTTAGCTCCAATTTATACATGAGAAAACTAAAGGAGAGTAAGATGATGTAATCTGCTTAAAGGCTATACATCTGGTAAAGGGTAAAACCCAGCTTTGAACTCAAATATTTAACTATAGCATCTTGATTCTTTACCACAATATACTGCCTCTCTAGGAAAGCTCCCTAGAAAAACATATGATCAGCCAGACTCCTGCACATAACCTGAGCATATTCATCAATCAAGATCTTACCACATTAAATTCAATAATTCAGAAAAATGTATAAAGGGCCTATTATAAACCAGATACTTTGTCTGACAATGGCTAAAAAAATGGTTAATAAATAAGTATGGTTCCTTATCTCATGGAAGTTAGAGGCTGCCAGAGGGAGTCTAGGGAGGTACCAAACATATAAAGAAACAAATTATATATATATATAAACATTATTTATCGTGATGAATACTTTATGTTAAAATCCTAACCCCAAAGACCCAAAGATGATGGCATTAGGAGGCAGGGCCTTTGGGATGTGATTAGGTCATGAGGGCCTCATCTTCTTAAATGGGATTAGTACCCTTACAAATAAGGCCCCAGAGAGACCCTCACCCCTTTTGACACGTAATAACACAACAAGGTGACACTGACTATGAACCAGAAGGCAGGCCCTCACCAGACATCAAATGTGGTGATGCCTTGATCCTGGACCTCTGGACTTCTCAGCCTTCAGTCTGTGAGAAATAAATCTCTGTTACTGAAAAGCCACCCAGTTTATGGTATTTTGTTACAGCAGAGCGAACTAAGACAAGTATTGAGTGAGGAAAAGTTATTATCTACGTAATCAAATGTATTAATCCATCCTTTTTTTTTTTTTTTTTTTTTTGAGACGGAGTTTCGCTCTGTCGCCCAGGCTAGAGTGCAGTGTGTGGCGCGATCTTACTACAAGCTCCGCCTCCCAGGTTCAGGCCATTCTCCTGCCTCAGCCTCCCGAGTAGCTGGGAATACAGGTGCCCGCCACCATGCCCAGCTAATTTTTTTTTTTGTATTTTTAGTAGAGAAAGGGTTTCACCGTGTTCTCCAGGATGGTCTCGATCTCCTGACCTCGTGATCCACCCGCCTCAGCCTCCCAAAGTGTTGGGATTACGGGCATGAGCCACCGCGCCCGGCCAATCCATCCTTTTTCAAGTCTAGAAATAATAATATACAACTTTTATATAGTGCTTTCTATGTGCCAGAGACTCTTTTAACTGCTGTACATCTTTACAATAACCCTAAAACTTAATTTTCACAATAACTCTACAAGTTAAGTACTTTTATCGTTCTCGTTTTATAGAGGAATTTAAGGCATGAAATAATTAGACGACTTGGCCAATGTCACACAGCTAGAATCTGATAGAGTCAGAGTTTGAATTGAGGCATTCTTAATCTCAATTATACTGTCTTTCAAATGCTACTATTTAATTTTTACATTTAGATTTTTAATCCATCTGCAACTCCTTGGTGATACCATGAAAGGCTTGTGTTTGGTTTGTTTTGTTTCTTTGGTGGTTACTCAATTGTCCCAATATCATTTGCTGAATAAGCATTCTTAAAGTATACTTTAAGAAGTAGTAAATTTGTACATAGTATCGAACTGCTTTCTTGGCTATTATTTTGTATGATTAATCTGACTATACCTTTACTGATAACCACCATCATAAAATTACAATACCATTGTTAAACAATGCAGGATCTCAACTCAGATTTTTTCAACTTCATCTAAAATATTGTGCTTTTTCTTACTATAAAGTAGTCCTTCACTTTTATATTAATGCAGAACAATGCTTCTATTCATAAGGGCTTACAGCACAAAGAGTTCCACTGCTTACTGTGAGTTAAGTGATGTTGCAATATCAAACGTGTACTGGACACTTACTCTTTTCTAGGTACTGTGCTATGTGTTAGGAACACAAATGAATCAAATGTGGTCCTTGCCCTCAAATGAGTCCACATTCTAAAGAAGAGGATAGAGAAGTAAATCCGGCATGATGGTGCTGTAGACTAATAATGGTAAGTACAGGGTGCATTTAAATTAGATGTGAGGAGAGGGTACCATTAAGACTTCCAAAGAGAAAAGTGGCCTAAGTTGAGTTTTAATTGGCAATTGAGAGTTAGCAGGATGCAAAAGGTGAGGTAAGGTCATTTCAGGCAGCTAAATAGCTTGTGTGAAAGCCAGGGATGCTTAAGAAATTGCCAGTGGTTGGCCTGGCTGGAGCATGTGGTTTATATTAGAAAATGGCAATCTGTGAAGCTTGACAAGTAGACAGAAGCCAATTCCTTAAGGGCTTTATATGCAATAGTAAGATGTTTAGATTTTGTGAAGGTAATGGGAACTAAAGTGTTTTAAGAGAGAAGTGACATAATTTGCTTTCACGAGTCATACCAGTCAAATTAACTTATGAGCAAGTGTCCACAAGTTAATAAAGTTTTATTTTAAAAGCATGGAAAATTAGAAATGAATAAGGAATAGATTAACCCAAGACTGTGATTACAGAAGCTCACCCGTAGTGATCACGAATACTTCTTTCTGATTCTGGTACATATAAGCCATTAGGTGTCCCATCAATGCCCAGGATTTAAAGTAGACCTTTGTTTAAAAAACTTTTGTATAAAGACAAATAAAGGTCCACTTTAGGGCTTGGGCATTGGTAAGAATTCTTTGAGATGGTCTATGGTCTGTGTGACAAGATCAGGGAGAGAAAGTAGTGCTGCTCAGCTGCCGATCACTGCTAAATAACTGTCATCTCTCCCTGTACGAAGGTCTGCGAAGTCACATAGAGACATCAAATGATATCATTGGAATTAAATATGTTGGGCCCATACCCTAGGGACACTATTGAAGAAAGAGAAAAGATAACCTTCATAGACTCTTATACCTTAGGTTCTGTACAAGGTAATTTTCAAACAATATTTCACTTAATTCTTACAGACACAACCTTATAAGGTCTTATAAAAATTACAACTATCTAGATTTTGATGAAGAAAACATTCATCTCAAGTTAGTCTTTTAAAAAGAAATTTTTAAGGGGATGAGGGACTTGTTGATTTATATAAATGAAAACCTCAAGAGTAGCTTTTGCTAACCTCAGGGACAGCTTCATGCAGGGACTCAGATGGTGTCACCAGGATGATTCTCTCAGTCTCTTGGCTTGGATTTGTTTTATTCTGAGACAATCTTACTTCCTGTGATCATAAAATCAGCAGCTCTGGACTTATATGCCTCAGTTTCACATCCAGGTAAAAACAGTTCCTCTTCCCTAAAATTATCAGGGATGAATCTCATTAACCAAATTATGTATCCATTACAGAGCCCATCCATGTTATTAGGGGTATGATTGGCTGAAACTCTCCAATGATTAGGAATGAAAGTGGAAGGGAAGTGATTCCACCTAAGGCAACTTAATTTTCTTATTTCTTCTAATAAAAAATGATGAACAGATGAAGAAACTGGAGCTCAGAGAGGTTAAGTGATTTCACCAAGGTTTTACAGCCAATGACTGGGAAAAGAGGAATTAGATCCTAATCTTGTTTGACTCCAGTATCCATGTTCCTTTTACCACACCACACTGTCTTAATAAATGCATTTTAACTGGACTTGTCAAGAAACTGCAAAACTTGAATTTATGCATGATACCAATCAGTCACCCTAATAATGAAAGGGAACTCCTACACAAATCATCCCAAGCAGAAACAAATTTAGAAAACTTCTCTGTTTGGCGTTGGAATTTTTTTTATCACTGTCACAGCAGATGCACCTTTCTATTAAAGAAAGTTCTTGGAGACCATACTGAATGAACAGCAGGGGAAAGAATCTTGGGCCATTTGCTGAATGAAGTTTCGAAGATTTCAAATCAGATTTATCCGTGCATGTGTCCCTTATTGAATATATTGATTCTGAGTCTGAAAAAAATTCACATACATGGACATTTTCTAAATCAATCCCATTCATTTATAATGTATAAAGAGTACATTTCTTGAAGAAAAATGCATTTTAATCAGTGTCACCACCTGCTGTGCAACTCTGAGCAATCTTTGCTCTGTTCATCTGTGAAGCTACCATATAGTTCATAGAGCTGATCTAATAATTAGATAAAATCATATGTATAAAGTGCGTAGAACATAGTAAGTGCTCAAGAAAGAAGAATTTAATAACCTTCTGTTTTCCTCATTGGCATATACTCTAAATTCAGAAACAAGGTGACTTGTACTGGTAAATCTTCCACAGGCAGTAATTCCTACACTTTTTCTCTTAACTTGTGTCCCCAGTGGTGGCCAAATAAGCAACAATCTGTCATTAAAAACTTACATGCCTTAAGAAGTGCTCCCCACTTTAAGAATCTCATAGGGAGTCCCTTTGTAAAATTAAAATTTGTGATATAGTAAATCAGTCAGTAATTTATATGCTTTCCATCTGTATGTATTTCCATGTTCAGGTATGTTGTGCTTCCTTTAAATCCTGTGTAACATGTTATCCTGCATAATGATTTACAGACTTCTCTTTCAGAGACTTTTCGAACAGAAATGGCTTCATTTTATCAACCTTTTCATTTAAGGGAAATGTTCTAAATGCATTCTTACTACCTCTTTAAATAAAAACATACTCTATGAAGGGGAAAAGTCCGAAGGTCTGAGATTGGGTCAGCCACTAATGTACTAATGTCACAGAGACAGCCCAGAAAGATCAAATAATTCAAGAAGGGAGAAATATTGGTAATTAGAGCATCCCAGCTTTATGGCATTAATAATGCTTAAGGGACACTGAGATTTACACACACTATTCAACAGTCTAGTTAAGGAAGAGTACAGCATTTAATCATGAGGGGGAGAAGGATAAGGTTCTCTGATACATTATGGTTGTGATTACATAGCACAGGGCCAAAATACATCTGAAAGTCATTTCTTTCCATTTCATTACAGTTTACAAATTCCATGCCTAATTTTAAACATTAGCACTCCAGGCTAGATATATAATAGCCTCTATCTAATCCTACGAGCCATTACAACAGAGTTTATAGTATCATCCACACAAGTCTGGTGGAGCCACATTCTGCTTATGAAACACAGGGCTATAAAGCAGATGGGGGTCCAGGGATAGCTGCCGACAAGCCAAGCTGAGAAAGCAGCACTAAAACGTCACATTAGTTGAAAGTCCATGACAGATAGGACCTCAATTTATACAACTAAAGCAGTACTATGAACCATAAGGTGGGGGGCACTGAAGCTGAATTTAAGGGATTAATAAGCAAAAGAGGGGTGGTGAAGTGATTTTTTGTAATCCTTTATTTAAATAATGAAATACTGGACAATAAAAAAAAAACAGTTTGCCTATAATATTGAAGTCTCCAGGACCCCTTAACAGCTACATTTTTCTGATAGATAAGTACAATTGCTGTTTAATTTGTGCCATCTCAGGTGCTTTAAAATCCCGTTGGTATATCATAATAGTCCCTCCAAATAGCTGAAGCATTAACGATAGAGAGAAACTGAGCAGAAAAAGGTTAATGCAGTGGCCAGTAAAAAGAAAAAAAAAAGCACAAGAAGAAGTGAAAAATTCTCTTCCTAAATAAACTTGCTAATGCTAAAAATAATCAGTATCAATTTGGAACACACTAACTTGGAATTCTTGAAAATCTGGATCGAAACAAAGTTATGAATTAATATTATACTAATATTTTTTAAATATTGGTGAGCTAACAATGGAAGAAATATAATAGAGTAGCATGTTGAACCTACTTATAAAAATTATACGCTATAGCAGCACTAACTATAATCAAATAATTGGCATTCTAATTACAAGTAATTCTTATATTTATTAAAGCAAGCTTAGCAAGACCTCTACTAGATGACATTGTAAACTTACTGTTTGTTCTCAAAACTAATGCAATTTACCTTTTTAAAACAGAGTTTTGCACTGATTGAATGGCCTGGATAATTGTTCCCAGTATATTAGGAGGCAGAACAAGCAGATTATATACAATACCATGCATACATAGAAGAATAAAAATGACTGCAGCAGAAACATTAAAACGTAAATAATGCAGAAGGCTAGATGATGAAATTGCATGTTTGTTTCTTTGTGCTTCTCTTTATTTTCTGGAGTTTCTACAATGAGTCTGCATTTCTACTGCATTGGGGGGAAAGGTTTTAGTGGTTATTTTGAACTGGCTTTCTCCTTTCAGTTCAGCCTACACAAACTGTTAGATCATTTTCCCTGCAAAAAAATTATTTAAGCATGTCACTCTCTGTTAAGTAAATAAATGTTTTAAAAATCTTTAATGCCATTCCTACACTGCCTACAGATTTAACTACAAATTCCTCAGCTTGGCATGCAAAGCCCTATTCAGTATGATTCCAAATTCTCTTTCCAGCTTCATCTCCCACCATTCCCTACAGGAATCCTGCATTGCAGAAAAATATTCCTTGTGTGTTTCCATGCCAGGTTTTTTCTCTGACTCCTCTTGCTTAGACAGGCCTCCTGTGCATCTTTGCTTATTAAATCATACCCATTCTCCAAAGCCCATCTCAAATGCCACAACCCCCAGGAACATTTTCAGATGTATCCAGTTACATGGGATCTCTCCCTTCTTTAAACTGCCATAGCATTTTGTTCATTCCTGTTATGACATTTCTTATATCCTGCCTCATTATACTTACTTGCATAATTATCTTCTCCCCAGCCAAGACTAGGAGAGCCTGAAGGAAAGGACTGGAACTTACTCACTGTTGTATTACCCACAGGGGCTAGTAGAGTGCTTTTGTAAAATAGTAATGCTGTTGCAATAAATATGTTTGTTGCAAGGTTAAATTATGAGAAGACTGAGCTAAATATTTTGGGCCAATAAGGCAAAGTAAGAACTATAACAAAAAAAACACTAAGTTAATCTAAGTTAAGTTCAGAGAGGTAAAATTATTTGCTGCACCTCTGACTTTTAATTACCTATAGTGCTAGGATAAGAATGTGCCACAAACTTATCTGTCCTCAAGGCAAGCCTGAGAGCATCAACAATTGAAAAAAAATGCCAGTAATTACCCAACCTAATATTCTAGAATGGAAGTTTTCATACATTTTGCTGACACAAATAAATAAATAAATAAATAAATAGCAAGCTTCTGTGTTCAAGAAAACTGAATTGAGAAGAAAGAAAAAAGAAGAGATAGCTGGTATCTTCTTATTTTCTTTGAATTCTCAGTCCTGAACACAAAACCTATCACATAAGTGCTTAATTAACATGTTGAACTAAGCTGAACTCCTACAATGACAAAAAATAAAGCATATTAAGAGTAACAGTTGCTTAAATATCCTTGTTGGAACAAGTGTTTACAATTATTTCTATTTAGCATTTACTTAACATTTAGTATTTGTCCTTATGATTCATGTAGCTCAATCATTTTATAGATGGCTACCTGTTTATCTGTATGAAACCAACAAAAACCTTTAAAACCCAGAAATGAATCAAGCCTAAGACTTTATCTCTCAATTAAAT
The DNA here is from genome assembly GCF_000001405.40 of Homo sapiens. Lineage (NCBI taxonomy): Eukaryota > Metazoa > Chordata > Mammalia > Primates > Hominidae > Homo > Homo sapiens. The sequence continues at coordinate 123,078,836 of NC_000023.11, forward strand.
TTGCTTTGGGCAGGTTCTTCTCAAAGCTACCAGTCTCAAAGCATATTTTCCCTCATGGATTTCTTAAGTAACAGGATTTCAAAACTGAGTCCAGAGCCAAAACAAATATCTGCAACCAAAGCTAGCAGGAGGCATCTTCTCACTGCCTGTGTGTGTGTGTGTGTGTGTGTGTGTGTGTGTGTGTGTGTGTGTCCATGTGAGAGAGAGAGGTTTTAAACTGGCATTTGATTTTTAAAGAATTTTTTGGATAATAAAAAGGAAAAAGTGATTTTTCTTTTTAATGAAAAGAGGAAAAATAATATTTTCTGTAGCAAGGTACGAAATGACAAAAAAAGACCAAAAGTGACGTGTACAGCATGATTGGCTTACATATCTCAAAATATGTAATCAGTTATTCGAGTGTAGGAAACTAAATATTTCAGTTCAAAGTTGTTTTACATCTGTCTTCAGAAGCCAGAATTTACACTTCATCATAAAAGTGCTCTCTTGTCACAAGTAACTGAGCTTGAAATCAGATGAACAGCATTATGGCTTGTGTATCATACATGTAAAACAAATTAGCTTTCTTGATTTATCGTGGCAAAAGTGATAGTTTTTGAAAACCAGACTCTGCTGAAAAATTGACCTTTCAGTCTACAAACATAACATTTAATTTACAAGAGAAGTAAACCCTTTTGAATTGTATTTACCCAGTTACTTTAATAAAGGTTAAGCCTTTCAAAAACAATTGTAAATGTGGCATTTAGCTTCTCATATTTTTCAGAGCATTACTTGAATCTTAGGATTCAAAAGAAACAACTAAGAAAATCATAAAAAAGTAACATTGGAGTTCCCCCCAGCGTGAAATAAAATGCAGTCTACAGATTAAAATTACAGATTTAAATTTTTACATTTCGAAGACCCACTAGCCCCATTGTGTTTCAGGAAATGTCATTAACATCTCCTTTGGGGAAAAGATGGCTGATACTTTCATTAATTCATTCATAAAGCAAAGCTTATTACTGATACACACTGGTATTAGTTACTGAAAGCTGATGATTATTAAAATGCAGAAGCACCATCGGGTAATGAAAAATGCAGTAATTAAAATCCAAGAGGTTAAATCTCACACTAAAATTGAGAAAGGTTTTATTTTACTCATAGCTCTATACAAAAGAATTCATAGGTGAGAGTTACTGTTAAACCACCGTATTTTCAAATATTCAGCTATTTACTAATTTGACAAACATTTATCATGTATCTACTGCATGCATAGTGCCCTCTTACAAAGTGAGTTACGCTTCTATTATCACTGAGTTTGATTCGAATTGCCTTAATATAACAAAATCTTCTCAGGAACACAGCTTATGGTGAAAAGAATGTGGACTTTGGAAACAAACACATGGAAGTTCCAATCTTGGCTCTGCCGTTTTCCAGCTGTGTGACTTTAGGCAAGCTACTCAGCCCCTCTTACCTTCAGTTGCCTAATTTCTAAAATAAAGATAACAATTCCTATCTAACTAGGTTGCTAAGGCAATAAAGTAGGTAAACAGTACAATGCCTCGCACTTTGTAAATATTCAATAAATGTTAGGGTACTTTTTTCTTTCCTTCATACTTGTACAAAATAAGTGAACAAATCAAATCTGTGTGATTGAACTAAGTAAAAATAATTAAAACAGTTTAATTCGGTGGAAAAATAAAGCTTGAGTATGTCATTTGGACTCCTTAATACATAAGTTTATTCCTATTGCCCCAGAAAACTATTAAAATATACAGGAGTTTTTGATGCATGACATTCCTTCAGAACCAATGGCAAAAAGCCATGACAAGTGGATAATTCTTAAGAGTTATATTTCGAAGTGCCTATAAAAGGCTCTCAACGTCACTGTCTAAATTTGATAAGATTCCTTCATTTCTGGGAAGACATCAGCATTAGCCAATTTATGTCTGCATATAAAGCTGTCCCAGGTGCATTTTGGAATAATTGTCTTACAGTGTAAATAGGCCATTTGAGAGTCAGGCTTTCGCTCTGGGCTGTCCAAGGTATTACCTAAGATATATGGGAGAAAACCAGGTATGAGAATTACCCAATGATCCTAATATCTCTGCCTTTGATATCTAAGTCTTTGATCACCTGCTCTTACCACCAGAATAGCTCTGTGTATTCACACATGCTTTGAAATAGCTAAATACCATCAGCCTTTGTCTTAGGGTTGGTGATCACCAACCCTCCTGTCTACATCTAACCACTGGTACTGTTAGACTCCCTAGACTGTAAACCATCCCCGTTACCCCATGGCTTAAGTTGACCTTTTTGGACTGGATTCCATTTCTGCATGGATTTATGGTATCTGCCAGACTCCTCTATTTGGCTGTATTTAGCATCTAAGTGTCTCCTGGCCAGGGCCAATTCCAAGCTCTGACAATCCTATCCTGGTTCTTCCATATTCATATTCCTTAAACTCCTGCAACCCCAAAACACTTCCAAGGGCTTTCAAAATAGAAACGATTTAACAAATATATTCTGGGTGTGGAAGTAGGTGGGTACACATACAATTGGTCATCAAATAGAGCATATTAAAGAAGGAGGTAGAAAATTTGGTCTAACAGAATTAACCAGAGAATGGGATGGTTTAATATATTACTGCCAAATTAATGCTAGTCTTACGATTTACTAACATCAAGGCAGCTTAGAAAAATAAACATTTCACTGAATTTTAAAGTAACATAATTCCTAACTCACAAATTATGTTCTCTAAGACGTTATATAAATTTTTAAAATTATAGCTATGAAAATAGCTTAAGCTATCTCCTGCTTGTTAGGTCTGATCCCCTAAATCTCTCCTGTGTAAGTTTCAGTGAGGAAAGGATGTATTGTTCTTTTGTAAACTGTTCCCAGAAACCTAGCAGTAAACAAGGTGCTAGAGACTGGCCCTAAGGTAGCATCAGAGTACCCTGACAACATGCCAGGCATCTTCTCTGAGAATTTTTTCCTGAGTTTTTCTTCATCTGAGCATTAAGAATCCTTTCTCACCTTTCAGCTATCCACAGTACCATACAGTCATCTTACCACATTTTCCCTACTCTGGATCTTGGCCTCTAATCAATTTCACAGTTATTAGTCACACAGAATTCAGAAGTCACAAAATGTGGACCTGAAGTCCAGACATGTTTTGTTTGGCCTGCATGATATTATTCTGAATTATGTATGTGAATGCTCTTCAATTGCATTGGTGCTCTCCAGTTTGCACAGTCCCCACAACTTCTTATTGTAGAACTAGCCAACTTCCAACATTATGTTATCTGTTAATCCAATGAGTATTTTGTTTTACCAGGGCTTGATGACTACTTTGTTGCTGGTTCATTCTGACTACAGTCCTTATAGCAGCCTCCATCCTTCTTGCAAACCTCAGGGCAATCATAGAAGTTTCTATTATAACTACTCTAGTGATTTTATTCCAATGGGCCCAATGTTCCCATTGCTATTGTTCTTCATCTCTAATTGCCTCCCTATACTTCAACCTATAGTAAGCAAAAAGAAGAATGAATGAACCAAATATCCTAAGGAAACTAATGAGCATATTAGTATTAGGTGTCCACACAGGCTAGGGTTATATCCCAGAGGTCATGCAACACAAGAAAGACTGGTGTCCAACAATCAGCAGTTTTCAAGGAGCAAAGTCAAGGTAGGAAATTGCTGGCTGGGACACATCTCTAGCAATTTCTGAATGTCAGACAAGGGGGCAAAATCAAAACCTTTATTCACCTTTGGTCCTCAAGGGAGATTCAGAGAAGAAATCTGAGCACAAGGATATCCCTAAACTAATAAAAGGGGTACTGGGCTTGGAACTGTGTGGGCCAAGTAGTTGTCTTGAATTATCTTATTTATGTATGTGTGTTGTTTTGAGTTAACTACAATTATCTTCAAGACAATAATAATGGCTCTTCTCTTTATTGTCACATAATTGATGTTTTTCTCCTCTTCTTCAATATTCTTGATGAAGAAGACTTGATGCTTCCTAGAAGGCTCTCAGCACTTAGCTCAACGTTATACACATAGCAAGGTGAATTAGATATCTTCTTTTTACATGCCCCCCCACCCTCAGCACCACTCTTTATGTTTCTCTACCCTGCTGTCTGCCATGGTAAGGATCCTTTGCCCTCTGGCTGCCAGTTTGGATCAGCTAAAGAGAAGCTCCAATACGAAATTGGAGGGAGGAAAAAGAGTAAGGTTACAGTATTTATTCTCCTCGTTCCCTCGCTGCAGGGTCATCTTGGGCTACCTGTGTTCCTCAATAAAAGATTATTGCTCCTCTCAACAAGGACGCCTCTCCACTCTTTCCTTCAGGTTGTGGTATACACACCTTCCCCTCAACTTTTGGGCCTTCATCTTTATGTGGCAACAGCTCCACAGCTACTAATGCCTCATTGCTGATTATCCCTTATACTGCCTTACACCCCACCCGCACCTTTTTAATTAGTCCCTGTGTAAATAAATCCTCAAAAAAATTATCCCAAAAGAAGGATAATCTCTTTTTTCTGAGGCCCTGACAAATAAACAGGTGCTCTGAAAATATTTTTTGAATGAACAAATGAATCCTTTTGGGAGTAACATGGCTATAGTATCCTCAAATGAATCCAGAAATTCCTCACCATTTAATTACAGTTCTCAGTGCTGATTTACATTTGTCTTGAATGCCCCTAATAGAACACAGACCCCTTGAAGACAAGGGAGGCATTGGGTAAGGCCAAGACCTGGCAAAAAAGTCCATATATTAAGTTTGGCTAGAGACTTCAAGGGATATACCCAGCTGCAAGTGATGGGAGGCTATCCAATCTGTCAGGCAGAGCAGGACATCTAAAGGACGAACAATAGGTAATAGGTATCAGTTGGAATCAGTGGGCCCAGTGCAAAATTAATAGCTGTCTCCTGACTGGTATTTCATTTATGAATTCACTTGTTCATCCATTCATTTGTGTAGAGTCTCACCTATTGAATCAACTTCACTGAGTACACGAAAAGCCTTGAAGAGAATACTAGGAAAATTGAGATAAATGAGACATAGTTCCTGCCCTCAGATTATTTATATGGAAACAAAATAAAAAAAAAAAAAGAAAACAAAAAAAAACGATGATATTTAGATAGCCCCTAAGGCTAACTGTCTACTGACCTGGGAGCAGCTAGCAGGGCCTAATCACTGGGCTGGAATTCAGGGAGTATTCACACTGTGGTGGGAGTGGCAGAAGTGCTGACAAAATCTAGATTGGGGCAATCTTAGGGAAATGAAGACATTGGGCAGGTTACCAAGATAAGGTCTTAAGCACTGGGAACAAGACATTAATCAGAGCCAAGATACAAAGTAAAGACTGGCTCTCAGAATAAGACAGCTGGCCAATTATGAGAATGGAAGGGAAAGGTCGGGGCTAGCCTGGCAATAAGGGGAATTGAGAATGAGTACAGAATATTGGTATGGAACTGCTGAAAGCCTCTGGCAGGGATACATCTGAAAATCAAAATGAACTGCCCCCTACTGCTGATGGAAGAAGTGGGTGAGAGGGGATACCCACAGAGAAGAAAACAGGGACATAGAGGCTTACCAATTAACACTGGGTCCATGTGGATAGCTGACTGGCTGGTAACTTACCTCTCAGAGGAATGTCAGAATAAATGAGATAGCTACAAAATGCCTTTTCCTTGGAACACAGTACTTTGTAAAATCAGAGATGCAGCATCAACTCAATAAAGAGAATTCAAACATCACACATTCAGATAGTCATAGCATTTATAGAGTTAATGCAGGCTTACTGCATTTAGCACCCTAAGTGTCCTTGAAAACTGTAAATTTCTTTTTTCAAAATTAAATCATTTTAAATCCACTATGGGGACTTGCTATTTAAGTAAACCATGAGGTTAAGTCTTTTGTAAAGTTGAGAATCTCTTGTTTTCTGTGAATAATTTCCCTCCTGATTATGTTTGTATATTTGTGTATTAGATCCCCTTAAAGTGATAAGCTTTCAGCATGAGGGGTAATATTTGACTGAGATACCACTCATGAGAATTCAACATGCTCCACACTGCCAGACTCAGGATGTGACATTCAAACAGCAGTGATTCAATGTTCTTCCACTGACTCACAGCCCAAACAAGACTGACACAACAAGAGCAGACAAATTTACAGATGTTCCCAAGCAAAATGCGGTCTTTCAAATCCAGAACAAGAATGTGTGATGACGGCAAGACCAAGGCCAGTGAGGGTGAGGACTAGAGGAGACCTCACCACAGAAGCATCAGCAGCATTCATTCAGAACATGGGGCAAAGAGAAGTGACACAGAGGGGACCCAGGGCTAGTGTTGGCAGTATAAACAGAAATCACCCATGTAAAGCTCAGTTGGTACCTGAATTCAAACTAATAAAATGAGTGATAAAGTAGGAACATAAACAGCAGAAGAGGTCTTGGAGAAAGAAGCTTCATAACTAAAACTGAGAAAAATCTGGAAAATTGGATTCATCTGGGATGACCAATGATCTGTGTGATGGGACTAACAGGTTTCGCTGAATGCAGGACTTTCATCGTCAAGACAGGGTACACTGACATGGTTGGTCGTGCTAGGTGCACTAGGTCCTAGGCAGTAGTTAGCAAGCCAGGTAGAGGTAAAGATGTGGAGAGAATTTAACATAGTCACTCCTATAATCTACAAATACCATTTAATCACCATTCCTTGTGTATTAGTTTCTTATTGCTGCTATAACAAAATATGACAAATTTGGTGGCTTAAAACAATACACATTTATTAGCTTATAATTCTAGAGGCCGAAAGTCAGAAATAAGTATTACTAGGCTGAAACCCAGTGTCAACAGAGCTGCTCTCACTCTGGAGGTTCAAAGGGAGAGTCTGTTTTCTTGCCTTTTCCAGCCTCTAGAGCTACATTCCTTGCATTCCTTGCCTTCTTCTAGCTTCCAAGCTAGCAGTGTGGCATTTGCATGTCTCTCTACTTTGTATTAACATTACCTTCTGTCTCTAACTCCTCCTGTACCTCTAAGATCCTTGCGGTTACACTAGGCCCACCCAGATAATCCAGGATCCTCTCACCACTTTAAAGATTCTTAACTTGATCACATTTGCAAAGCCCTTTTTTGTCATATAAGGTAACATTCACAGGCTCTGGAGATTAGGACACTGACTTATTTAGAGGGGGCCAAAAAAACAGTTTGGGGGCTGGAGGTGGCAAGCATGCCAGAGACATCAGAGAGTAGTGAGAGCTAGCATGACTGCTTTACCTCTATCCAATCCTGCCTGTGTGTTCTCCAAAGATGACCACTCTCAGGTGTGAGAAAAAGAGGAGACAGCAAGAAAAGAAGGCAATTGGGAAGAAGAATGGAAAAAGAACACAGGAGGCTCTGATTTAGACACACTTGCCACTCTCAGAACATGTGTATCATATTTTGACTCCAAGTTTTTCTTCAACTGTCTGCTCCCCTAATATCATGTTTGCACAGTGTTTTCCAGTCCATTAAGTACTTTAACTACAGTTTAACAATCCTCACAACAGCCTTGCCAGCTACTTAATATTACCTAAATCTTGCAGATGGGAAAATTTAGCACAAAAGTCAAGCAACTGGCCCAAAGTCACTCAGCTCCAAAGTATAGAACCAGTACTCAAAAGAAGAAAGTGAAAATAAAGTTCTTAGAAAATTTGGAATGGAGTACCCTATACTCCTCACCCAACAAATGCTGACAGAGGAGACACACGTGCTAGTGGGTAAGCACAAAGGACACACAGCAAACAGCAGACCAAGAGAAAGGGAAGCAGGAATACTTGCCTCATATTCTAACAAGCCCAATAAAAGGGGGTTGGAACTCTAGCACTTAATTTGTTCCTCTCAGATGGGAGGCTAATACCACATTATTTAGCCTAAGCTGTAGAAAACTGTCTTAGGAAAATTAACCGTGGTCACCAAATGCTTGCTAACAAATCAGTTGCCTTGCTTTCTGAGAGGTCAATAAACAGCATACATAGCTATTTCAAAAAGCCAAAGTACTTTCTAATACAGAAAGAAGGTAAGAGAGGATAAATGATTCAAACGAGGTAAACAAAGTAAAGAGATGAGGTTCAGCCATGTGAAGTAAATGACAACCCAGTTGTATTGAGGCTGAGTCAGCATAAGCTGGATATATATCCCAGGGGACTGGGATCTGTTAACATCGAACAGATCAATTGGTTTTCATTTTCTATGATCCAGGAAAGAATTAATTAATCTAGCAAACATTTAATCTAGGTTGAAGCCCTACTGTGTTCCAGGCTAGTCAGTAGGTTAAGCTCTTATATGTTAGTTCATTAAATCCTCCCAGCCGTTTTGCAAGGTAAGTGTTGCTACACTCACGTTCCCTATAATGACAGACTACATATACGTTGGTGGTCACGTAAGACTATAATGGAACTGAAAAGTTCCTATTATCTAGACAGGTTGTAGCCATCATATTGTAGTGCAATGTATTACCTTTTCTATGTTTATATGTTTCCATACACAAATACTCACCATTGTGTTACAATTGCCTGCAGCATTCAGCACAGTCACATAATGTACCAGTTTGTAGCCTAGAAGCAATAGGCTATACCATATAGCCTAGGTATGTAATAGGCTATACCACCTAGGTTTGTGCAAGTATACTTTATGATGTTCACACAATGTCAAAATTGCCTAATGACACATTATTTTAGAAAGTATGCCCATCATTAAGCAATGAATGACTATGTTTCTGTTTGGAAGATTAAGAAACATTTGGAGAAAGATTGAGCAACTCACCCAACCACAAAGTTAATAAGTGACAGAGCTAGGAGGCAAACCCTGGTCTTCTGCCTCAAAGTCCTATGTCCTTGCTAGTACAGAACAGGTATTTTATAGCAATGTCTACTTTTGAATCTATTAAGATACCTCAGTTTCCACCAATGTTACTGAAAAGGATGAGGTCTGGGTAAACATATATTAAAATACAGTCAGTACAAAATTCAGTGGGCTGCTTTATGTATAGAAATTATCTCCTCATCATAGAACAATCCACAAAGAAACAACTCTAATAGGTAGACAACTGCATTAATAGACATACTGCAGAAATAATAGACTAGGAAATAATACCTGCAGAAAATTGCAGCTCATAGCCTTCACCCATATATCAATTAATGCTTACAAATATACTTACCAGTATATGGACTGAAACACAAGACCAAATTATTCTGGGAAATTAAGCTATAATGTCACCACTTATAGCAGTCCAGTACCTATTTTCTGAATAGCTTCTTCATTCGTTTCTCTCCAAATAAGTAAAATAACTGTCCTCATTCCAGAGGTGGGTAGAGTAATGAGGATTAAGAGGAGAGGCTAAGATTCCCCGTGGATTGACAAGCCATTCTGAATAACTTTTAGAATTTGATGCAAGTTGAATAGCAAGGCCAATATATCAAGAACACTCCTTTCCACCTGTTCCCATTCCCTGTGTAAAAATCAGCTAGACTATATTAGCTTTCAGAAAAATAACCCCTAAAGGAGTTTCTGCCTCCTAGACAAAGGAGAGGAATTTGGAATGAAACACTGAGTATGGGGAAACAGATAATTTCAAGCAATTTGAAAGAAGGAAAAAAACAGTCTAATTCAAGAAACAGAAATGGTCAAAGTAGTTGTCTCACTAAACTCTCCAACTCACTTTTAAAGAATTAGTCTGAATAAGTCAGAACAAGTTAAGTCATGGTTAAGCAATCAAATGGAATCTGGGCTAGGTGCAGTAGCTCATGCCCATAATCCCAGCACTTTGGGAGGCTGAGGTGGGAGGATTGCTTGAGCTCAGGAATTCGAGACCAGCCTGGGCAACATAGCGAGACCCCATCTCTAAAATAAATAAATAAAATAAAATAAGAAATCAAATGGAATCTTATAGTGAAATACAGAGTGATCCCAATCATCAGCCAAGAACAGAATGTAGTGCAGGTTCTCTTGGGGTTTCTCCTCAGGACACGGTAGGCACTAGATACTCCTTTGATCTTTAATCAGTCTTCTTCTAGCACTTCCTTCCCATGGTGCCCAGTGCCTAGCAGCCTCACTATGCCCTGGGAGGCAGAATTCAATGGGATTCAAATTGCCTTATAGAATACCAGAAGTTACTCTTCCTTACTAATTGTAACTTTGTACCCCTTGACCAACCTTTCTTCATCCCTTCTCTCCCCTACCCTCCCCAGTGTCTGGTAACCACTGTTCTATTTTCTACGTCTATGAGATCTGTGTGAAGGATATGCTAATTCCTCAGATTTGATCATTACGCAATGTACACATGTATTGAAACATCACATTGTATCCTATAAATATGTACAATTATTATGTGTCAATTACAAATAAAAACAATAAAAGTAACATAAAATAGTGACATAAAGCCTGGCTGATAGGGCCAGTCCCCTTACCCCTAACACACTTTCCGATGGCAATGACCTAGTAGTCAGTATCCAGCTAATATATTACCTCATAAATTCTTCTCCTGCTTCAGCCCAAAGGAGTGTTGCTATTAGAGAAATGTCAGACAATGAGACTGACTTTGTTGGATTACTAAGATGCAGTTGAAATAGTGAAAGCCAATAACTATCTAGTTGAGACTCCCCCCTGCATTTTAATGTTAGATTACTGACTAGAGGGGCTTCTAAAACTTTACCAAAAAGCAAAGAAAGCACTTTTGCTGAAAAAATGATGACACTTTTCTAACTCTGGCTTCTTTTTTGGCCCAGGTTTCAAAGTACTCTTGAAATGTCAGACACTGGAGTGTCAGGAAAGAGACCATCCCCAAAATCCTAAGGAGGACTGGATTTAAGTGGAATTTGAAAAGCCAAAAGTAAATAAAACAAACTAACTAAATTCCCTACAGGCTCTCTGTATTAGGCCCATTCTTGCATTTCTATAAAGAAAAACCTGAGACTAGGTAACTTAAAGTAGGTTTAACTGGCTTAGGGTTCCATAGGCTTTATGGTGCTGGCATCTGCTCGGCTTCTGGGGATGACTCACGAAGCTTACAATCATGGCTGAAGATGAAAGAGGAACAGGCATGTCACATGGTGAAAGTAGGGACAAGTCAGGGTGGGGATGGGAGTTGCCACATACTTTAAAATGACCAGATCACTGGAGAACCCACTCACTATCGCAAAGACAGCACCAAGCTATTAGTAATCCACCATGATCCAAAAACCTCTCACCAGGCCCCACCTCCAGCAATGAGGATTACAATTCAACATGAGATTTGGGCGGGGACAAATATTCAAACTATATCACCCTCCAAGTCAGCAGCATCCCCATTATTTTATTTTTATGAACCAAAGACCTCTATCAAATGCAAAATGTTTGAGAAAGGGATGGCGTTAGGACACTTGCAGGCATTTTTTCAAAGAGTTTAGATATTAAATTAGATTGTGTTGGAGAGTCATCCCTAAACAAAAAGGACCAGGGCCTCAACATTATAATGGCCAAGGAGAAAAAGTCTTGTTTACTTGCTGGGTACCGTACCCTGAGGTCTCTGGGGTTCTGGACAAGATATGTGTGTGTGTGTGTGTGTGTGTGTGTGTGTGTGTCTGTGTGTGTGTGTGTTGTGGGAAAGGTGGATAAAGAAGGTAGAGAGGAAGGAAAAAAGAAATACTGAAAGTGGTGGGGGCATTTGAGAAAAAGGTCATTAACTTCCCTGTCTACCTGGGTATATAGTCCAGGTGCCAGTAGAGGAAAGGGAGGTTTACAAGCTTCCCAAAGCCCCCTCCTTAGGCTTGAGGACTCCCTCTACTAGGCTATCACTAAAAATACTATTTCAGTCAAGTCATCTGCTGTGTGTTTATAGGGAAAGCCAATAATAAATCTCCAAACCAACGGAAAGAGAGTTTAAGTTATATTTTAAACCAAGCTTCTGCCACATCATGTATCAGCTGGAGAGAATGATACTCTCCAGCATGAGACTAGCAGAGTCAAGCTGAGTAGGTATCTTATAAAACTTCAGCAAATTGCTGTACCTACCACAACCGTCAACCCCAAGATAAAGCACTTACTAATTATAGATGAACAAATAAAGCTAATCTCAACTATATTTCCAGGATAAAGTCCTAATTGGCTTTCTGTTGATTTGCTCTTCAATAATGGTAAGTAATTGCTTTGAAGCAAGATATATCATTTAATCAAATTGGTGTTTCTGTTTACAAAAATGTTTCCGTTCCAAGAGGAAAAATGAGACCATTTGATAATGATGGAATACTGACTATTATTACCTCCATGTCTGTCATTAGAGGTGCCTATATTCTTAAATATGTCCTGAAAAACTCAACAGAACATTTGCCTTAATCTATTAAAACCATTTCTCCCTTTCTCTCTCTCTTTCTCTCTCTCTCTCCCTCCCTCCCTCCCTCTCTCTTTGGCTTCTCACTGCCTTTTCTCACATTGCTCCTTTCTCTCTTTTTCTCAATCCTTTTCTCTCTCCTTGCATCCATCGTTCTCTCATTTATACTATCCCTTTCACGACTTGAAGGAAGCTCAGATCTAGACTGACTGTCTGACCTTGGGCACTTCACCCTCTGCAGAGGTCCAGGTCTCAGAAAAATATACTGCACTGGATTTGATATAACTAGAAGAAATTAAATTTGATCAATAGTAAAAGAGAACTGTTCTGACTAAGGGCAGAATGGAATGGCACTGAGGAATTAAGAAACTAAAAGATGGGCATGTTCCCATTGAGCTAGCAAAGGACAAGCTCTATAATTAAAGATCGTTTGAAAATCTCAATGTACAGTATAACATCAATGGCTAGCTGGAAGATAGGTAAGCAAACTCTTGTCAATGTGGATGCTACTAAGATAGGGATGGAGACCAGTGAAGAATGGGAAATATGATTTTGTTGAGTAAATATTTTAAAACTCTTTTTCTTCCTCCAAATATTTTAAAAGTTTTGAAGACACAGAGAGAGAGAAAGAGAGAGCGAGAGAGATCATAAATTTTGTATATTTTCAAACCAAAAAGAGAGAATGTACTTTTGAGCTTTAATCACCTCTTAAATATGTGACTTGGGGTAAAGCCTCAGTGTATGTGAGGGCCCAACCAAGAAATCAGAAACCATTTTAGATAGAGTGCTTGAAATAGAGGATATTTAAGAGGAGCTGAGAAGCCAAATAGAGGAAAGGGGGATAACCTAGAGATTAGCAACAGCAGGAGCTCACTACTACCCCTAGAACTGAAAAAACAAAAAGAGAAGGTGGTGTTACCAGAGCCCTGAGGCCAGAGTCACCTAGAAGAAGCTAGAACCACAGCAGGTCTCTCTTGCGGGAGCTGGAGCCACAGAGGAAAGGCAGCCCCAGCTGAAGGTGCTGCCCCAGGCTGGAGGATGAGGGAGCAGTAAGAAATACCCTTGCCTCTTCCTACCTCCCACCCTCCAATCTCTTAACTGCATCTCCCTTTTGCTGAACATAGCCAGAAGCAAGTTATGTCTGGAAAGCCTGAGAAATACATCTTAAAGGGGTTAGCATCCCTGTGCTACAAAGCAAGGTAAGGGAAAGGCAAGGAATGAATCTGAGGGCATATAGGCCAAGGATTGACACACTTATTTTCCTTTTCTATAAAGTAGGGACAATAGTACCTACCTCCCCAAGTTAATGAGACAAATTAATTAAAGTATATATCCAAAGTGCCTAACACAGTGCCTGGCCTAAAGCAATACTCAATACATTTTAATTTTTTCTTAGTTTTAAGGGTTTGAGAAATTCATTTTTCCCCAAAATGCTTGAGTACACCCAGAACTAAACACTGCTTGTATATTAAGAGCCCTTTTTTCTAAGACACAATTAGCTAATGTCAAAAATTTTTGCTCATATTTTCATACACATTTTTATACAGTTTCATGTGTACTAATTATTAACATTCCTCTTAAAAGAAATAAAATTATTTCTTTCTAAATGGTCATTTCAGTCTTTTCACTTTCATACCAGACTTATGTCCCATTTTGCCAAATAAACTATATTCTTGCCTGATTTTGATATGTCCCTATAAATTGATATCTCTTAGGATATCAGTTTGTAATGCACAGTGGTCCAGATCCAAAAGAGCTAATGAATTATATTAGTGAATACTAAAAGGGGACTTTTGTGAAGGAAGAAAGTCCCTCAACAAAAGGCTAACTGAAGATAAATATCCCCACTGTCAAACACCAGCTGGGCCCAAAACCTTCTGTTTATGTTAGAGAGACCTCTGTCTTACAAATGTGTCCTTCAGCCCCCTAGACCAACCATGAATACTTAAGCAAAGAAATTTTGGAAAACCTTTGCTAGCATTTTCAGAAAATAAAAATGCAAAGATTGAGACAGAGGGAATATTTAAGCCTCATGCATTATTTGTAATTTGAGATGTTGATCATGAAAGGGAATTTGTGTTTCAATCACCTATGCCGCCACTTAGGAAATTCATTCCTAAGTGATTTGAAAATTGTGAGACTTTGAGTTGCCATTGACATGTAAGCTAGACATAGAGGAATGGTGACTGCAGAAACTGTTTGTGAGTGAAATGTGATTTGCCGCAACTGAGAAGCTATTAAAAGTATTTGCTCTTCCTCTCTGCACCTCTCCCCTGTCCCTCACCCCATCCTGTCTGTCCAACTGAGGGATGAATTCCCAGTGTCAGGAAAGTCACACTAGAAAACAAAGATCACAAAAGATTGAAGCTATTTTTTTTCAAAAGCTGAATGTATTTTGTAAATAATAATGTTAATAATACTAAAGGTGGTCAAAACAGGGCTTCTATGATGACTCCTGGTTTAAAAAAAAAAAAGAAAAGAAAATTAGGACTCTCATAGAATATGAGCATTGAATTCGAGATCAGGGGATTTTTTATTTTAGCATTAACTAAATAACTAGCTGAACAACTTCTGGCAGGTCACATTATTTCTCTTGATTTGAGTTTTTAATCTGTATAAATGATGATGTTAGCCAGTTATTTCTAAAGGTTCTAATAATGCTAAGATTCTACGGCCAATAGATAAAAGCTTCATTTTAAGTTTATAATGTGTAATAAGGAAGTCAGCCTGAAGGCAAAAAGAGGAGTGGGTATGCGAAAGGGGAGAGAGCTGTTTGTATTCCTGCTGAGCTAGAATAAATAATGATTTGCTCTGTGTCAACAAAAAGCTTAAATCAGCAGACTAGGTAGACAATGTCAGTAAGGACACACAAAGATTTGTCCTTGGGGTTAGCCAAAAGTTGATTCTAGTAAATATAGTCACTATCCACTTGGAGTATCCAATTCCTAACCACTTAGCCCTACATGCCTCAGAATTGTCTTTGTGAAGATGGTAAAATAAAAAATAAAATAAAATACTAAAGTGAATCTAAGTGTTGCAACTACATAACATCTTGGCATGTAAGAACCTTCTCAGCACTAACTACTAAGTTGTAACTGATCTTGTCAGGAGAGAAAGTTTTTATGTACAAATAGGGAATGATAGTGACTACTAGCTTGGAGACATTACCAAGTAAAATTTCAAAATCTACTCAAAGAGAGTGAGCTATCCATCAAAGTTAATCCTGTTACTCTAGCAGAAGTCCCTTATTGAAATTGTCTTGATGCTTCTGTATATCAGTTAGATAGATTAGGTTGAGATCCTTGCTCTGGACTATATTTCCCTTCTTTTAACCACCCTTTAAAATTCCCCTGCCCTGTGTACAATTAACTCAGGCCTATGCAAGGTAAATGCTAGCTAATCTGATGTCAAATTGGGTGAGTGAGAATTTAAGGCCTAACAGTAACATGAAAATATTGCCTTTGTAGTTGAAAATGTCAGCTCTTGAGTAGAAAAAATATGCTTTGTCATCCCATGAACAAATCGTTTAACACCATATGCCTCAGTTTCTCCACCCTGAGCAATTGGTTAGTACTTATCTCACAAAGATTTGTGTTATATTACATAAAGCACCAAACAGGATACCTGGCACAGAGAAGGTATTCAGTATCTGTTGCCTCTGTCCATCCCTTCCTAATCTCTACTTTTTGACAAAACAACCTACTTCATTTAGCTCTCAATGGTTTTTTGTTTTGATTCTACCAAGGCAATTGACCAATTATCATGGTAGAGGAACCAAAAACCCAGTATGCTGGCACAAAAACTGCTATGAGAGGCTACTAACCAGACCTGCAACATGGTTCCTTCTTCTACACCAGAGATTCTGCTGGCTTCTGATGCCTTCAGCTAATGCAGAGTAAGTGATAATTTAATGTTTCCTGATTTGTGGGACACTTTTCCAGAGGCATTCAGTGAAGCTAATTAGCATTTAAAAGATAGTAAAGGAAGAGTCCTGAGCTTAGAGTAAAGCCATTGCATGACAAATCCATTCTTATTTTAGTGCTCAGGAAATATCTAGGCTGTATTCCTGCGAGTGATAATAGCACATATCTCCTATTTTTTTTCAAATATTGCACAAAAGCCTTCACCCTCTCAGAATAGCTATTCCAGACATTTTCAAACAAATTCACCAAAACTCATGGACACTAATACATCTAAGGAACAGGGAATTGAAAGGGTGAGACATTAGCTTAGAAACATCTATGTTCATCAAGTCATTACTAAGACAGCTAGTTGGTTCCTCCAGGGTATAATTCACAGAAAAGCAAATTGTGATTTTCTGACAGGAGCTGAGGAGCTGGCTGTGGTCATCCCCTTTATTGCTCTAGACAGCCAGGCACTCACAATTTTCAGTGTGCCCTCATGCCACTGCAGAGGAGGTCCATTGCAATAGCCAACACGAGAGAAATGGATAGGATTTTGATGGCTGCTTATTAAAGACAGAAAACAGAACTACTCCAAGGCATAATATTAACCTTTTGGACTTATAGCATGACTTTGCAGATAAATCTGTAGCCTTGATACAATTCATGCGACATCAGGTCTCATCTGAGTGCCATAGCTGTCAAGATACTAGAAAGTTGGGTGCCAAATAAAGCCCCAACGGGACCTCTCTTGGTAACAAGGAAGGCCATCATATGAGGTTGGACTGGCACAATCTTACCTCACTAATTTGAATGATATGGAGAAGACTACTGTTAATCAGCGTAAGACTAAATTCCATATTTAAAAATCTACAGGACTGAAGAGGTAGGAAAAATAGTCATGAACCATCAATGCCACCCCTCCCCCTGAACTCCCAGCAGCCAGGGAGTAGTGGTGAGAGCATCTCTGGGTGCTGGGCAAGGGAGAGCCAGCAACTGTGAGGCATTGAACTCAGTGCTGTCCCATTAGAGCACAAAGGAAAACCAGACCAAACTCAACTGACACCCACCCATGGTGGGAACATTTAAACCAACCATAGCCAGAGGGAAATCAACAATCCTAGTGGTCCAAATGTAACTTTTTGCAAACTTCATCACTGAGGGCCAAAGTTCTCTGGGTCTCTAAGTAAACATGAAAGGCAGGCTAGGCCATAAGGACTGCAGATTTTAGGCAAGTCCTAGGGCTGAAGTAGTACCACAGCCAGTGGACTGGGTGGACATGTGACCTACTGAGACAACAGTCAAGGCAGCTAAGGAAGTGCTGGCATCACCTTTCCCCTAACCCTAGGCTGCACAGCCCACAGCTCAAAAAGATACCACTTTTCTCAACTTGAGGGGTGTTGCATCATGGATACCAGCTCAGCCACAGCAGGATAGGGCACCAGTCAGAGTCACAAGGGCCATTTTCCAGACCCTAGCTCCCAGATGACATTTCTAGACATGCCCTGGACCAGAAGGGAACCTGCTGTCTTGAAGGGTAAGTCTCAGCCCTCGCATGATTCATCACCTACTAACTGAAGAGCCCTTGGACCCTGACTTACCAGCAGCAATACCCAGGAACTACATTGAGGGCCTTTGGTGAACCTCTGAGACTTGATGGCTGCAGATGAAACTCAGCACATTCCCAACTGTGGTGGCTACAGGGTAAGATTCCCTCCACTTGAGAAAAGCAGAAGGAAGAATAAAGGGGACTTAGTCTTGTACCTTAGGTACCATCTCAGTCACAGGGGGATAGAGCACCAAGAAGGCCCTTGAATTACCTCATTACAGGACTTGGCTCTTGGACAGAATTTCTGGACCTGTTCTGGGCCAGGGTAGAGCCCATGCCCTGAGAAGTAAGTCCCAGGCCAGGCAGCATTCACCACAAGCTACTAAAGAGTCTTTGAGTCTTAAGGGAAGATTGGTGGTAGTCTGACAGTATTCTCAGTGGGCCTGTGGTGGCAGTGGCATTGGATGAGGTTCCTCTGCCTTTGGAAGAGGGAGGGAAAAGTAGGAAGAACTGCATCTTGTGGTTTGAGTGCCAGTTCAGCCCCAATAAAATGGAACACCAAGTAGACCCCTGAGGTTTTTTATTCTAGTTCCTGGCTCCTAGATGGCACCTCTGGACATGCCAAGGGCCTAGGGGAACTCACCACCCTGAAGGGAAGGACACAGTCCTGGCTAGCTTGGCCACCTACTAATGGTAGAACCCCCAAACCTTGACCAAACATAGGCCATAGCCAGGGAGTGGTTAAGTCAAGCCCTAGGTGAAACCCAGTTCTGTGCTGGCTTCAGGTCTGATGCAGCCATACTAGTGGTGGTAGCCACAGGGGTGCTTGAATCATTCTACCCTCAGATCTAGGGGGCTCAGTTCAGAGAGAAAGACCCCCATTTGTATTGGAGAAAGTAAGGGAGGAGAACAAGAGTCTCTGCCTAATGATCCAGAGAATTCTTCCAGATATTGTCCAAGACCATCAAGGCAATACCTCTACAAATCTGCAAGAACCACAGCATTACTGGGCTTGGGGTGCCCACTAAAGCAGACACAGCTTAGATCATGACACACAAGTCCTTTCAAATATCTGAAAAGTCTTCCCAAAAAGACAGGTGCATACAAGCTTAGACTGAGAAGACTACAGTAAATACCTAACTCTTTAATATTCAGACACCAAAAAACATCTACAAGCATCAACACCAATCAGGAAAACATGACCTCACCAAATGAACTAAATAAGGCACCAGGGGCCAATCCTGGATAGAGATATCTGACCTTACAGACAGAGAATTCAAAATAGCTTTTTTAGGAACATAGACCAATGAAACACAATAGAGAGCCCAGAAATAAGGCCACACACCTACAACCATCGAATCTTCAACAAAGCTGACAAAAACAAGCAATGGGGAAAAGGCTTCTATTCAATAAATGGTACTGGTATAACTGGCTAGCCATATGCAGAGGATTGAAACTGAACCCCTTCCTTACACCACATACAAAAATCAACTCAAGATGGATTAAAGGCTTAAATGATTAAAGACCCAAAACTATAAAAACCCTAGAAAGCAATCTAAGGAATACCATCCCGTACATAGGAATGGGCAAAGCTTTCTTGACAAGGATGCCAAAAGCAATCCAAAAATTGACAGACAAATGGAATCTAATAAAACTTAAGAGCTTCTGCACAGCAAAAGGAACTATCAACAGAGTAACCAGACAACCTACAGAATGGGAGAAAATATTTGCAAGCTACGCATCTGACAAAGGTTTTTTATCAAGCATCTATAAGGAACTTAAACAAATTTACAAAATAAAAACAAACGACTCTATTTAAAAGTGGGCAAAGGTCATGAACAGACACTTTGCAAAAGAAGACATACATGCAACCAACAATCATATTGTTAAAAAAGTTCGACATCACTGATTAGAGAAAGGCAAATCAAAACCACAATGAGATACCAACTCACACCAATCAGCATGGCTATTAGTAAAAAGTCAAAAAATAATAAATACTGGTGAAGTTGTGGAGAAAAGGGAACACTTATACACTGTTGGTGGGAGTGTAATTAGTTCAACCATTGGGCAAGCGGTATGGCAATTCCTCAAAGAGCTAAAAGCAGAACTACCATTTGACCCAGCAATCCCATTACTGGGTATATATTCAGAGGAACATAAATCATTATACCATAAAGACACATGGATGTGTATGTTCACTGCAGCACTATTCACAAAAGCAAAGACATGGAATCAACCTAAATGCCTATCAATGACAGACTGGATAAAGAAAATGTGGTACATATACACCATGGAATACTATGCAGCTATAGAAAAAATGAGACCATGTCTTTTGTGGGAACATGGATGGAGATGGAGTCTATTATTCTTAGCAAACTAATGCCAGAACGGAAAACAAAATACCACATATTCTCACTTATCAGTTTTAGCTAAATGATGAGAACTCATGAACACAAAGAAGGGAACAAAGTACATTCATGCCTACTTGCACATGGAGGGTGGGAGGAGAGAGAGGAGCAGAAAAGCTTTAGTAGATGGGTGGTGAAATAATCTGTACAACAAACCCCATGACACAGGTTTACCTATATAACAAACCTGCACATGGGTCACTGAACCTGAAATAAAAGTTTAAAAATATAGTTGTTTTGAGGAAACTCAAAGAAATTCAAGAAAACACAGAGAAGGAACTCAGAATACTATAAGACAAATTTAACAAAGGGATTGAAACAATTTAAAATAATCAAGCAGAAATTCTGGAGCTGAAAATTGCAACTTGCACACTGAAGAATGCATCAGTCTTTTAATAGCAGAATTGATCAAGCAGACTAAAGAATTAGTGAGCTTGAAGACAGACTGTTGAAAATATATAGTCAGAGGAGACAAAATAAAAAAGAATAAAAACAATAAAGTGTGCCTACAGGATGTAGAAAACAGCCTCAAAGGGGCAAATCTAAGAGTTATTGGCCATAAAGAAGAAGTAGAGGAAGAAATAGGGGTAGAAATTTTCTTCAAAGGTATAATAACAGCGAACTCCCTAAATCTAGAGAAAAATATCAATATCCAAGTACAAGAAGGTTGAAGAACACCACACAGATTTAACCCAAAGATTACCTCAAGGCTTTTAATAATTAAACTCCCAAAGATATGGGATAAAGATAGGACCCTAAAAGCAGCAAGAGAAAAGAAACAAATAACATACAATGGAGCTCCAATACATCTGGCAGCAGACTTTTCAGTGGAAACCTTACAGAACAGGAGAGAGTGGCACAACATATGTAAAGTGCTGAAGGAAAAACACTCTAATGTTAGAATAGTATATTTGGTGAAAATATCCTTCAAACATGAAGGAGAAATAAAGACTTTCCCAGACAAACTAAAGCTGAGGAATTTCATCAACCCCAGACCTTTCCTATAAGAAATGCTAAAGGAAGTAGTTCAATCAGGAAGAAAAGGATGTTAATGAGCAATAAGAAAACATCTGCAAGTACAAAACTCACTGGTAATAGTAAGTATATAAAAAAACACAGAATGTTATAACACTAACTGTGGTATATAATCTATTCTTATCCTAACTAGAAAGACTAAACAATGAACCAATCAAAAATAATAACTACGACAACTTTTCAAGACATACTCAATGCAACAAGATATAAATATAATATATAATATGTAAACAAGATAGAAATAGAAACAATAAAAAGGTTAAGAAGGGGACGAAGTGTAGAGTTTTTATTAATTTTCTTTTTGTGTGTTACTTATGCAAAATATTTTAAGTTGTTATCAGGTTAAAATAATGAATTATAAGATTGTATTTGCAAGCCTTCTGGCAACTTCAAACTTAAAAGGCATACAATGGATACACAAAGAATAAAAAGCAAGAAACTAAATCATATCACCAGAGAAAATCACCTTCACTAAAACACAGGAAGAAAAGAAAGAAGGAAGAGAAGACAACAAAACAACCAGATAATAATTAACAAAATGGCAGGAGTAAGTCCTTATTCATCAATAATAGCATTGAATGTAAATGGACTAAACTACCAATCAAAAGATACAGAGTGGCTGAGTGGAAAAAGAAAAAAAAAAAAACCAGGACCCAGGGATCTGTTGCCTACAAGAAATACATTTCACATATAAAGATATATAAAGGCTAAATATAAAGGGATGGAAAAAGATATTCCATGCCAATGGAAACCAAAAAAGAGCAGGAGTATTTATACTTATGTCAGAAAAAAATAGATATCGGGACAAAAACTATAAGAAGAGACAAAGAAGTTTGCTTTATAATGTTAAAGGGGCTGATGCAGCAAGAAGATATAACAATTTTAAATATATGTGCACCCAACACTGGAGTACTCAGATATAAACAGCAATTATTATTAGAGCTAAAGAGAGGGATAGACCCCAATACAATAATAGTTGAAGACTTCAACACCCGACTTACATCATTGGACAGATCTTCCAGAGTGAAAATCAATAAAGAAACATCAGACTTAATCTACACTATAGACCAAACGGACCTAATAGATATTTACAGAACATTTCATCCAATGGCTGCAGAATACATATTTTTCTGGCAGCACATGAATTATTCTCAAGGGTAAACCATATGGTATGTCAAAAAACGATTTTTAAAGCATATGAAAAAATAGAAATAATAATAAGTATCTTCTCTTACCACAATGGAATAAAATGAGAAATCAATAATAAGAGGTATTTTGGAAACTATACAAATACATTAAAATCAAACAATATGCTACTGAATGACCAGTGTATCAATGAAGAAATTAAGAAATTGAAAAATTTCTTGAAGCCAGTGATAATTGGAAGACTGCATACCAAAACCTGTTCCATACAGTAAAAGCAGTACTAAGAGTTAAGTTTATAGCTATAAGTGCCTACATCAAAAAAGAAGAAAAACTTCAAATAAACAACCTGACAATGCATCTTAAAGAACTGGAAAAGCAAGAGCAAACCAAACCCAAAATTAGTAGAAGAAAATAAATAACAAAGATCAGAGCAGAAATAAATGAAATTGAAATGAAGAAAATAATGCAAAAAATTAATGAAACAAAAAGTTGATTTTTTTAGTTGCTATTTTTTATTATTATACTTTAAGTTCTGGGATACATGTGCAGAATGTACAGGTTTGTTACATAGGTATACATGTGCCGTGGTGGTTTGCTGCACCCATCAATCCCTCATCTACATTAGGTATTTCTCCTAATGCTATCCCTCCCCTATCCCCCACCTGCTGACAGGCCCCCGTCTGTGATGTTCCCATCCCTGTGTCCATGTGTTCTCATTGTTCAACTCCCACTTATGAGTGAGAACATGCGGTGTTTGGTTTTCTGTTCTTGTGTTAGTTTGCTGAGAATGAGGGTTTACAGCTTCATCCATGGCCCTGCAAAGGACATGAACTCATCCTTTTTTATGGATGCATAGTATTCCATGGTGTATATGTGCCACATTTTCTTTATCCAGTCTATCACTGATGGGCATTTAGGTTGGCTCCAAGTCTTTGCTATTGTGGACAGTGCTGCAATAAACATACATGTGCATGTGTCTTTATAGTAGAATGATTTATAATCCTTTGGGTATATGCCCAGTACTGGGATTGCTGGGTCAAATAGTATTTCTGGTTCTAGATCCTTGAGGAACCACCACACTGTCTTCCACAATGGCTGAACTAATTTACACTCCCATCAACAGTGTAAAAGTGTTCCTATTTCTCCACATCCTCTCCAGCATCTATTATTTCCTGACTTTTTAATGATCGCCATTCTAACTGGTGTGAGATGGTATCTCACTGTGGTTTTGATTTGCATTTCTCTAATGACCAGTGATGAGGAGCTTTTTATCATATGTCTGTTGGCCACATAAATGTCTTCTTTTGAGAAGTGTCTGTTCATATCCTTCACCCGCTTTTTGATGGAGTTGTTTGTTTGTTTGTTTTTCCCCTTGTACATTTAAGTTCCTTGTAGATTCTGGATATTAGCCCTTTGTCAGATGGATAGATTGAAAAAATTTTCTCCCATTCTGTAGGTTCCCTGTTCACCCTGATGATAGTTTCTTTTGCTGTGCAGAAGCTCTTTAGTTTAATTAGATCTGTTGTCAAAAAAGTTGATTTTTTGAAAAGCTAAACAAAATTGACAAACCTTTAGCCAGACTAAGAAAAAAGAGATAAGATTCAAAGAAGTAAAATCTTAGAAGAAAAAGGAGACATTACAACTGATACCTCAGAAAGTCACAGGATCATTAGTGGCTACTATGAGCAAGTATATACCAATAAATTAGAAAATCTAGAAGAAATGGACAAATTCCTAGACACATGCAACCTACCAAGATTGTGCTATGACAAATCGAAAACCCGAACAAACCAACAACAAGTAATGATATTGCACCTATAATAAACAGTCTCCCAGTAAACAAAAGTTCAAGACTTGATGGCTTCACATTTAAAGAACTAATAATACCAGTCCTACTCAAACTATTACAAAATATGGAAGAGAAGGGAATACTTCCAAACTCATTCTATGAGGCCAGTATTACCCTGATACAAAAACCAAAGACACATCAAAAAAGAACACTACATACCATAATCTCTGATAAATATCAATGCAAAAATCCTCAACAAAACACTAGAAAATGCAATTCAGCAATACATTACAAAGAACATTCATAATGACCAAGTGGGATTTATCTCTGGGATGCAAGGTCAGTTCAACATACATAAATCAATTGGTGTGATACATCACATCAACACAATGAAGGACAAAAACCATATGATTGTTTCAATTGATGCTGAATAAGCATTTGATAAAATTCAACATTGCTTTATGATAAAAATTCTCTGACTGGGTATAGAAGGAACATACCTCAACATAATAAAAGCCATATATGACAAACCCATAGCTAGCATCATCCTGAATGGGGAAAAATGGAAAGCCTTTGCTCTAAGATCTGGAACATGACAAGAATGCCCACTGTCACTACTGTTTTTCAACGTAGTACTGGAAGACCTAGCTAGAGCAATTAAACAAGAGAAAGATATAAAGGGCATCCAAATTGGAAAGGAAGAAGTCAAATTATCCTTGTTTGTTGATGATATAATCTTATATTTGGAAAAACCTAGAGACTCCACCAATAAACTGTTAGAACTGATAAACAAATTCAGTAAAATTGCAGGATACTAAATCAACACACAAAAATCAGTAGCATTTCTATATGCCAACAATGAACGCTGTGAAAAAGAAATAAAAATAGTAATCTCATTTACAATAGCTCAAAATAAAATACCTAGGAATTAACCAAAGAAGTGCAAGATCTGTGCAAGGAAAAGTATCACGATGCAAGAGATTGAGGAGGACATAGAAAAATGGAAATATACTCCAAGTTCATGGATTGGAAGAATCAATATTGTTAAAATGTCCATACTACCCAAAGTAATCTACAGATTCTCTGCAACCTCTGTCAAATTACCAAGGAAATTCTTCACAGAAATAGAAAAAACAATCCTATAATTTATACGGAACCACAAAAGACCCAGAATAGCCAAAACTATCTTAAACAAATAGAACAAAACAGGAGGAATCACATTACCTGACTTCAATTTATGCTACAGAGCTAGTAACCAAAACAGCATGACACTGGCATAAAAATAGACTTATACACCAATAGAACAGAATAGAAAGCCCAGAAACAAATCCGCACACCTACAATGAACTCTTTTTGACAAAGGTGCCAAGAACATATTCTGGGGAGAAGACAGTCTCTTCAATAAATGGTGCTGGGAAAAGTTGATATCTATTTGCAGAAAAATAAAACAAGACCCCTATATCTCTCCATATCAAAAATTAAATCAAAATGGATTAAAGACAAATCTAAGACCTCAAATCATGAAACTACTACAAGAAAACATTGGGGAAAATCTCCAGGACATTGGTCTGGGCTAAAATTTATTGAGTAATACCCCACAAGCACAGGCAACCAAAGCAAAATGGACAAAGGGTACCACAACCAGTTAAAAAGCTTCTGCACAGGAAAAAATAATTACCGTAATAAAAAGACAACCCACAAAGTGGGAGAAAATATTTGCAAACTACCCATCTGACAAGGGATTAATAACCAGAATATAAAAGGAGTTCAAACAACTCTATAGGAAAAAGCTAATAACCCAATTAAAAAGTGGATGAAAGATTTGAACAGACGTTGCTCAAAAGAAGACATACAAATGGTGAAAGGGCATGTGAAAAGGTGCTCAATATCATTGATCATCAGAGAAATGCAAATCAAAACTACAATGAGATATAATCTCACCCCAGATAAAATGACTTTTATCCAAAAGGCAGGCAATAAGAAATACTGGAGAGGACGTGGAGAAAAGGGAAAACTTGTACACTGTTGGGAATGTAAATTAGTACCACCACTACGGAGAACAGTTTGAAGGTTCCTCAAAATACTGAAAATTGAGCTACCATATGATTCAGCAATCCCACCACTGGGCAAATACCCACAAGAAAGGAAATGAGTTTATCAAAGAGATAACTGCACTCCTACATTTGTTGCAGCACTGTTCACAATAGCCAAGATTTGGAAGCAACTTAAGTGTCCATCAACAGATGAATGGATAAAGAAAATGTGGTACATATACACAATGGAGTACTATTCGGCCATAAAAAAAAAGAATGAGATGCAGTCATTTGCAAACATGGATGGAACTGGAGGTCATTATGCTAAGTGAAATTATCCAGGCACATAAAGACAAATATTACATGTTCTCACTTATTTGTGGGATTTAAAATTCAAGACAATTAAACTCATGGGGATAGAAGGATGGTTACCAGAGGCTGGGAAACGTAGTGGGAGGGTAGAACAAAAAAAGAGTTAGAAAGAATGAATAAGACTTAGTATTTGATAGCACAACAGAGTGACTATAGTCAATAATAATTTAATTGTACATTTTAAATAACTAAAAGAGTATAACTGGATTATTTGTAACACAAAGGATAAATGCTTGAGGGCATGGATACCTCATCTTTCATGATGTGATTATTACACATTGCATGCATGTATCAAAACATCTCATGCAACCCATAAATATATACACCTACTATGTACCCACAAAAATGAAAAAAAAAATAGTGAGAGCTAACTTTTATTGAGAACTTATTATGTGTCAGCCACCGAAATAAGTGATTTATATGGATTGACTTATTTATTCATCACAACCTTATAAGATAGATATTATTATTTCCCTTTTACACAGGAAGAAACTGAGACAAAAGGTTAAGTAACTTGCCCAAAGGTCACACAAGTTACAAGAGGCAGAGCTAGAATTTGAACACAGGCAGTCTGGCTGAGACATTAATCTTACACATAATGTGAATAATGAAATAAAGGAAAAAGAATCTGGACATAGAGAGATCAAATTGGAGGTTATTTTTAAAGTCTTGATTTGGGGTGAGGAAGGCTTGATCATGGTGATAAAGGTGGAAAAGAAATAAAGAGATTGATGTGAAAAAAGGATCTCTGCCTCTCGCTGTTAGGAATGGGACAGGGAAAGAGAAAGACAGTGTCACTTGGCTGTCAATTCTTTCTAAAAGCTACCCTTAGGCCCCTGCCTATTTATCCATGTCTAAAACAAAAGAAAAAAATGATAGAGTCCTGCAGGTGTGTTTCTCTACAGCAGTCACCTAAGCCCACATTACTTGTTCTTTCCAATCAAAAGGTAGTAATTTTCTAATCTCAAAGGAGAGAGGTACTTGCCCCCGACAAATAAAAGTCTAACTAACCATCTATTGTGTTTACTGGTGATCTATACACAATGGTTTCCTTAGCAACAGGGAACTAACAACTTGGTTGTTTGGTGTTAAAATGAAATTCAGATTTCAGAAAGTATGTTCTAAAAGGATGCAGTATCTCATGCAGAATCATGCATTTGTCTAGTATTAAAAGAAGAAAATGCGACTGGGGCTAGTGGGTCACACCTGTAATCCCAGCACTTTGGGAGGCCAAGGTGGGTGGATCACAAGGTCAGGAGTTCGAGACCAGCCTGGCCAATATGGGGAAAAACCTCATCTCTACTAACAGTACAAAAATAAGCCAGGTATGGTGGCGGGCACCTGTAGTCCCAGATACTCAGGAGGTTGAGGCAGGAGAAATGTTTGAACCTGGGAGGCAGATGCTGCAGTAAGCTGAGATCACGCCACTGCACTCCAGCCTAGGTGATAGCGTGAGACTCCATCTCAAAAAAAAGAAGACGACAAAGACGAAGACGAAGACAAAGAAGAAGAAGGAAGAAAGAAGAAAGAAGAAGGAAGAAGGAGAAGAAGAAAATGGAATGTACTTGAAAACAGATATTCAAAGTGATTTTTGTTAATATTGCCAACCTCTAGCCTAACAAAAGGGCACACATTTCAAAAAATTATGGAGAAAATTTAATTGAAAAAAGTTTAGTAACTAAATGAATTGTTGACTGACAATCTTCAAAACAGCTCAATTTGTCACAGAAAAAAATGTACCCCTTTTTTCCCACATCATATTCACTCATTTGAAAATGGAATTGTAAAGGGAGGGAAACAAATGTTTGGTTAGTACCTGCTAGCTAGGTGCTTCCACCTATATGATCTCTTTTTAATCTAAAGATTGCTTTCATACCATAAATTCAACTTAATCATTTTCTCCTGTCTCCAGGCAACATGTTTCCTAATGAACACACTTTGTTTTGGTGGGAAAAAGTAGGGGTCAAGTGTAGCCAATCCACTGGGTGACATTGTTTTGATTGGATCCAAGGGTGGATGCAAGTCTGGCAGCAGTTGAGGCAGTTGGAGCTCCAGGGACCAACAGCCAACATGGCCAGTGCTGCAAGGCAAAGTCATGTTGACCTCAGGCACAGGATGCAATAACGTCAGAGTAGCTTTAAGTCTAATGGCTGTGCCAAAGCTTGGTGCTGTGCTGATGATACCTTAAGATAGAACGGATGGAAATCAACCTTCTGTCTTCCAAGGCTTCTGCTGGAACCTGGAAGTGGTAACTGAGAAATGCGTTGACTGTGATACATAGAAATGTGTTTCAGATGAGAATCCCCTTTGCTTGCAAATATTTATTTTTTTCAATTAGTGATCATATCCAGAAAACCATGATCATGATACATTTTACCAAATATATCAATTCCTAAATGCTGGGAATTCATACTTACCTCAATATTGGGAGAGGCCTGCAGACCAATTGTGCTTTCTCTGATTGTGTATCTTCTTTATTTTCTTTACAAGAAAGCTATTATTGGGGAAATTTATTGCAAATCACTCTTATTTTAAAGGGAAAAAATTGGCTTTTTCTTCACCTGGTCAAATTCAATAGGAATCATTGTTATAATCTTTATTCTGTGTGAAGTATCTGGGGCAAGAGTATCCATCCAAAAGCAACAATGAGGCCCCTCTCTTAACTTTGCTCTGCCTAGTGTCCTAGGTCTCCACATGAAATTGTAACTTGTCCTTCAGCACTTAATTATACCTTCCTTCTCAATACTTGTTTTATCTTGCAAGGAAAATTATTGCTAGCAATAAATTTTAAAATGCTACCATGCATTTAAAAAGCAACGTTTTGCCAAAATGAAATCGAGTTTTTTAGAGTCGGACAGTTCTGGATTTCAGCCATTTTATTCATTTCATGAACTTAAGTAATTTAATCTCTGACTCTCAGTTTCTTCACCTGTAAAGGGGGAAAATAATATTTTACCTCACAGGTTGTTATGAGGATGAAATGAAACAACGTGCATAAAGAGCTTAGCATAGTGATGAGTATGTACTCAATATGATGTTAAGTATTAAAATACCAGTAGTAATAAATTTTACATAAGAAAAAAATGTATCTTTTTTTTTCTATTTTGCCCTCCATTGTAGCAAAGCCAAAAGAACAATGAGAATCAACTACAGGTGTCCACATGTCCATATTTTCTCATGTTCCTCAAACTCACAGCAAAGTATCCCCTTCCCTATACCTTGGAAATTTACTCTAAACTGATTCTGACTCAGACTTTCATATTTGGACATGAGTATGATGCATGGCTCTAGGCTTAACCATTCAGATACATTAGGTACAGTCTAGGGCATTAATACTGAAATACAGGTATAACAAGCATGGATTCCTCTGGTCACAGGCTCAGACATGCTAATTTTTTAAAAAGGATCTTTCTCTGAGCCACCATTCTGTTTAACACAAAAAATTTAAGCCAGTTATGTCCAGGTCAGTTTAATAACATCTCGGTTAGTTCAAATTGAATCTTCAGTCATAATCACTGATTTTTCCCCTTTGTTTTAGTCCTTCCTTCCCCAGAATCAATGATTTGGGTATGTTGGGGAGGTAGAGAGGCAACTAAAGAAAATGGCATTGTGTTTGCTTTCCTTTCTTCCTGTTCCGGATGTAACCCATCTCATTTCATCCTAGGCACACATGTTGCACAATACTCCCTTGAATGGTACATCAGTTAACATTTGCTGTTTAACAAACCACAGCAAAACTTACTAGCTTAATATAACAACCATTTGTTTAGCTTACGACTTTGTGGGTAAGTAATTTGGGCTGAACTCAGCTGGACTCACTTATGCATCTACAGTCAGCTGGCAGTCAAGGACCTCACTCACATGTCTCTAGATTGGCTGTCTGTCAGCTGCGATGAGAGTAACCAGACCACATGTCTTTCATAATCCAACAGGCTAATCACAGAGTGATCAAGAGTCCCAGTAAGAGCAAGGGAAGGCAAACCCCAATATGTAAGCACTCCAAGCTTCTACCTGCCATTACATTTTATATTGCTTCATTGGCCAAATCAAGCCACATGTACAAGTCTGGAGTCAATATAAAGGGTGCTGCCTAAGAGTATAGAAACAGGAAGACATGAATAAATTAAAAGCCATTACTGCATCAGCCTCAAACAAATGGACATTGCTTGTTTTATGGATATTTAGCTCCAACTCAGCTCTCTTGTGCTGGTGAGCCAGTAAGGGGTATTACATATTCCAATCCATGGCAGAGACTGTCCAAACCATATGCACAGTCCTCTTATTCTGGCTAAAGATGTCTTAGAAACAATTGGTTTTCTTTGTCCTTCTCTCAAGTAACTTCCTCATCAAATTCAAAGGACCACTGTACATTTTCATATGGCCTCCTATGTCCCTGGAGGGTTCATACAACTTAATGGTAGGGAGTTAGCAAGTATTAAGAATAATGGAGGCTTATCTCTAGCCTTTTCTTATCCAGACCTGCCACACCACATAACTCTACTATAAGACTGCTGCATTGAATGAAAAAGAAGTAGATTGCTTGACCAGGCTTCCCAGCTTACTGGTCTCCACCTAGGCTGTAAAACTTAAGTCCTTCCTTCTTTTGATTTTTCCAACTTTTAAGTGGGGATTTCCATCATGTTTTACTATCCCTGAGATTTAGCTCAACAGCATTTGGGGGCAGAGTACAGAAACTCCCAAATTCATGTATGACCCTCTACCTCTTTAAAAATCATCTCCTCTTATCATTCTCTGCTTGAAAGTTCTCACCTTCATTCTTGGAGCTCATTGTAATAACTACCCCTATGAATTCTGAATCTTTACACATGAGAGCCATTATTCTGGATGTACAGTTTCTGATCAAATACTTAGTTCCCCTCTGAATTATGCCATAACCAAAGGTAGAGATTCTACAGGATTCAGATGAGCCTTGCAAAGGCCTTGCATAATTTGTGGAGGGGAACCGTTGGGGGAAACTGCACTGAAAAATCTAAATGCAATGATTTACTAGGGAGAGAAATGAAGAGGCATAATATCTTGAAGTATTAATGGATGGGTTTTCATTCCCTTTTTACCCCTCATTACCCCTCAACATTTCCCATTAAAATTAGACCTTGAGGCTGAAACTTATTACCTCAGGCAAGGACCCAACACATAAAACAAGGAGTCATATTCTTGGAGTTTACTTTAGAATTAGACCTCTGAAACCCTTAGCAGAGCCACTGTCTCAAGAGAAAGCTTTGCATTATAAAAGCCAAGATTTTTGGAAAGAAAAAGGTTTGATTTTCAAAAGTTTAAAGACATAGTACAAAGACTAAGTAAGAGCCTAAAAGTTATCCCATAAACAAGAGATTTGGAAAGAACATATGATGAAAGAAGACTCTCCCTTCTATATCCAAAATGAAACTAAGTTAGATTGGCTGAGTCGGGGAAGAGAATTGAGACTAATTTCTTGGAAGGGGATGTGATCAGAATCTTAGAAATATTCGGGGCATATTGAGAGCAGAGCCTCATGCTTTATACTTCCATGACAAAGCCCAAGAAGCTAGCAAGCCTTACAAAAATGGTGTCCAGACACATCTAGATAGAAAAGAGCAGAGAGTCTCTCAAATCTTCTAAGACCCCAAAGGGTGGGTAGTTATGCCAAAGTTATCTGTGCCCTGAAGAAGACTACAAATGGTTAAGAGATGAGTAGTGGGCTAGAAGAGGCCTTGTGATTTTAACAAGGAAACGATGACAATGAATTCCACGTTGAGAGCGTAATATGTAGGTCTGTTAGGACTGTGGATATTAGGAAGTAGACCAACCACCCAAATATAATACGGGCTAGGTTTCCCTCAGACACCCACAGAGAGCAGAGAATAATCACGGGAAAAATACTCTTCTTCTCATTTTAGTACTTAGATTCTACCCCATAAAATAAGAAGGAAGAGCAAAACCTTGATTTTACTGAGTTTTTACCTGAAAAGAATGTTTAATCATCAATTTTATTAACAGTATCTTGAATTGTCAATATTAAGATTTCTGAAACTGCACAAAATAGGGTCTTCAACAGTAATAGAAAGGGAGAATCTCATTTTTATACACTTGACTTAGACTATGAAAGTCTTACCTAGGACAGGGTGTATTTGTTTCCTATTGCCACGGTAGTAAATTAACACAATTTTAGTGGCTTAACACAACAAAAATGTATTATCTTGTAGTTCCAAAAGTCAGAAGTTCTAAAATCAAGGTATTAACAGGGCTGCATTCCTTCTGGAGGTTCTAGGGGAGAATCTGTGTCCTTGCCTTTTCCAGGTTCTAGAGACCAATTGCATTACATGGCTCATAGCATCTTCCTCCATCTTCCAGCAGCATAGTATCTTTAACTCCTCTTCTCTTCCCTTCTTCTATTTCTCCTTCTCCTTCTTCTTCTCCTCATCCTCCCCCTCATCATTATTCTTCTCTTCCTCCTGCTTTTTCGGCTCTCTCTCTCTGTCTCCTGCATCTCTCTTTCCTCTCTGCTTCCAACACCACATCTCTGTAACTCAGACTCTCCTGCCTCCCTCGCTCTTAGAACTCTTATGATTACACTGGGCCCACTCACATAATTCAGGATAATCTCCCCAACTCAAGATCTAGGGGACATATTCATTCATTCATTCAGCCTTCTTTATTGAGTGTCTGTTCAATGTCAGGAGCTGTTCTAGGGGTTGGAGATGCCATGGTGAACAATACCAAGTAGTCTGGAGTAGGGGCTCTCAAACGTCAATGTGCATTTACGTGTGTATTTATTGTCTAATAAAATGCAGATGTCAGGGCTGTGCTAAAAAGACAGATTCCTGAGCCCCTCCCTCAGAGATTCTGGTTCAGAGGGTTTGGGGCAGATCAGGAATTTGCATATCATAAATTGTAAATGTTTAAAGTGGGAATGTTCTTGTGAAAATGGCTCACTTACAAAGGAGAGCTCATCATGGTGGTAATGGCATACAAGAATCTTCAAAGCTAATCACTTACCATCTGTCTTCATTTCTGCTGACCCACCCCATGAGTTAGGTCATACAAATTACAGTAAGACTCATTTTATGCAGATGCTAACATACCTACTGTCTCCATTTGGAATTCCCGTGTGAACACTTGTTAATTTTAATCAACACTATAAATCTTGTATCATTATCTGCTTATTTATTTCAATAACTCTTAAAGGAGTCTAGATTGGATAAGGAAGTAAATAGGTGACTAGTCTCTACATTAGAAGATACTTCTCATGGTTTTACTTACAAGGCAAGCTGATAATTTGTGCTTTTAACTATGAAATAAAAGACAGATTATGCTTTATTATCTAAAGGTCTCCTTTGTGTTGATAGCCAGGGCACTGAGGAGTTTGACATCTCTAAGTCAGCATGCTCCACTGACAAACTCTTTTAAGGAAAACTGGCCCACACACAGCCCCTGTTTCATTGACAGTGAAGCACATGTTTTCACCTTCCTACCTACAGTATTTGGACCAGAGATGCATACCCTAACCAGAGTAATTCAGCCATAGGCTTATAACTGACCAACAGCATGGCCTAGCAAAAAGGAATCAGCCCTAAAAGAGATTAACTAAGCCAATCATATTTCCTTTCTTAATAGTTTAAACAAAAAGTCACAGAGGAAAATTGCAAGTTAGCTCTAGGAGCTGAGCTGAAAGGTCACTACCAAGGCAGATACAGGTTTTGTGCAATGTAAAGCTTATACCATTGGAGCAGAGTTGAAAAACTTTTTGAAAAAAAGAACACAAAATTTAAAATTAAGCACAAGGCCTTGGAAAAGGCCCATGCAAATGAGGAGTCATGAAGCTTAAGTTCATTAAGTAACGGTAGACTACAGCCAGCCCATATCCATTTAAATTTTCAGAAAGTTCACAAGCTTGTTGATGTCATATTGGTAGCTTCAAATCAGCCATGGTGGGAATATTCAAGCCACAGAAATCAGCAAGTATGACAAATCAGGGCATTTTCCCTCTCCCCAAGAACGAGTTGTAAACATTTACCAGTGTGACACTTCATTAGCTTATTGTTAGGAAATCCACCTCTGGTCATTAGGTAGCTTTGGTTGAGATAGTCTTTAGAATATAAAAAAGCAGGTTATATAGATTTAACAGTAGAAAAGTAAGGGAACACCCATGTGAAAATGTGTTTTTGGTAGAGCTGGAGGGTTTTGAAGGTTTCAGTAGATAGAAAAATGAATAAAATGGCAATTTCAAAGAGTAGAAAGGCAAATAGGCAAAGATAGTAAAATATCAACAAGCTTGAAATCAACAATCTTGCAAACTTTCTGAAAATTTAAGTGGATTTGGGCTTGCTGTAGTCTACCATTACTTAATGAACTTAAACTTCATGGTTCCTCACTTGCAAGGACCTTTTCCAAGTCCTTGTGCTTAATTTTAACTTTAAAATTTGAAGACATGTATAACACAAAGGATGAATTATTGAGGGGATGGTACCCCATTTACCATGATGTGATTATAACACATCGCAGGCCTGTATTAAAGTATCTCACGTACCCTGTAAATATATACACCTATTATGTACCCATTTTATTTATATTTGAGGACATGAATTTAAAGGGAGGCCAATAAGTATGTGGATTTGCTTTCTATTGATGCTGTAACAAATAACATAAATTTATCCCAGACCTCTGTAAGTCAGAAGTCCATCATGGGTCTCACTGTGCTGAAGTCAAGATAACATCCTGGGCTGCCTTCTTTTCTGGAGGCTCTATCTAGGAAAGAATCCATTTCCTTTATTTTCCAGCATTCCTTGGGCTGCCTACATTCCTTGGTTCTTGATCCCCTTCCCTCATCTTCAAATCCAGCAGTGGTGGGAGTCCTTCTCATGTCGCATCTTTCTACTATCTTCTCTTGTTTTATCTCTTTATAACCACAGTGGAGAAAGACTCTTTACTTTTAAGGACTCTTGAAATTAGATTGGGCCCACCTGTATGATCCAGGATAATCTTCCCATCTCAAGGTCTATAACTTTAGTAACATCTGTAAAGTTCCTTTAGTCATATAAGGTTACATATTCACAGATTCCTGGGATTAGGATGTGGACATCTTTTTTTTATCATTTCCTCTGTTTATTAAAAAACCCTGCATCCTTGAGAAGCACATTTGCAGTGAGTGGGGGATTTCGGCCACTCATGAAAGACTGTTGCAAAGCCCCTGTCATGTGGCTTACCCCAAAAGAGGCTCCTTAATTGCTATATCTATCCCTGCTCTTCCCCCAGCTGACTTCTGATCATGTGATGACCACTTAGGGCTGGTGAATGGGGTTAGAGGACAGGTAAGTGGAGCAGGAGACTGTGTTAGTTTAACTTTGACCCAATTTTGACCTTGAATCCTCACTGCAGGTTTCACTAGTATAAGTAAAGGGAGAAGTGCAACCCTTATTACCTCCAGCACAGGAGAGAATCTGGAGGAAGTCAAAGAGCAAAGAGAAGTTGGATGCTGCTTTGAAAGAACCCAGCCAGGCCTTGCCACCACCAAAGTGGGCTCCATTCTGAAAGCAGACACTTTGCAGAACTGGAATGAACTTCCTATTTTCCCCCCAAGAGATTATTATAGATAGCAATTTAGTTCAGTGCACTATGTACCCCCCCAAAACAGGGGTCATATCTTATCCATTTTTGTACTGCCAGTACATAGTACAGTACCTGACAAACAATTGGTGCTCACTAAATGCTAATAAAGGCAGCAGGACACAGTGGTTCCTTCCAGATTAGTGACGTGCTGAGAGAGTGTGAGCCCAGAGAGGGCATGGAAGCTCCACTCTCTCTCCCTCTCCCTCAATCTTGCCCTGTGTACCTCCTTCATTGGGCTGTTCAGCTGTATCTTTTATAATAAACCGGTGAACATGTTTCCCTGAATTCTGCGATCTGTCCTAGGAAATTAGCTGAACCCAAGGAAGTCAAGGACTCTAGTTTGTAGTTGGTCAGTCAGGAGTATGCGTGGCCCAGACTCGTGACTGGCATCGAAAGTGTTGGCTGTCTTGGGAGGTGGAGCCCTCAACCTGTGGGATCTGACACTATTTCCAGGTAATGTCAGAACTGAATTGAATTACAGGATACCCAGTTGGTGTCTGCTGGAGAATTGCTTGGTGTGTGGGGGAAACAAACTCACACACCTTGTCACAGAAGTGTTCCATGTTGAGTGTGAAGGTGTAAAAGGAAAAAAACAAATTTTTTTTTCCTTTTACATTAGCACATCAGGCCTCAATTTGAATGCCAGCTCTGCTACTTGCTAGCTGTGTAACCCTGGACAAGAAACTTCACCTCTATGTAAATGACGCTGACAATGAATCATGAAAACATTCTATCACTTATCAGCTTTGCTTTGTTACTTTGGGCAAGTTATCTAATACTGTCAAGACTTAGTTTTCCTATTTGTAAAATGGAGACAATACACATCTCTTAAGTTTACTGTCAAGATTATAAATAAAGCCTAGAACTATACCTAACTCATAATGGCTATATTAGGAATGAATGAATGAATAAAAAATAATTGGAGGGAAAAAACCTAACAACCCAGTATCCGAAGATAAGCCACAATAAACCACTCGTCTGTCAACAATGGGCAGGCCCTGGGGGAAAGGTGTCTCACTACCAAGTAAATGTTGAGAACAAGTACAAGAGTGGAAAATGATAGAAAGAGAGTGTTAAGACCAGAAAGAAGAGAAGTCAGCATTTGCTGGGTAGCTACTATGTGCAATTTATTCACAATATAACATATGACTGCCTACTATGCTCCAGGCATTACACAAAGTTCTGAGGATACACAGGCTAATTAAATGCAAAAAGAATACTTAGAGTTCGTACAAAGCAGTAGACTGTGCTATGAGAGCCGGTAATGAGGGTCCTAGGTGAGAGGGGAAAGGAAGACCCCAGAGGATGTGATATCCAAGACAAGGCCTGATGATAAACAGGACTGGCCAGGTAAGGAGGGGAAGAGAGATCCAGGCAGAGAAAAGAGCATGTGTGA
Organism: Homo sapiens; assembly: GCF_000001405.40. Taxonomy (NCBI): domain Eukaryota; kingdom Metazoa; phylum Chordata; class Mammalia; order Primates; family Hominidae; genus Homo; species Homo sapiens. Next base: position 123,116,402 of record NC_000023.11, read on the forward strand.
AGATGACTCACAGGCAAAACTACTGCTCTGGGTGCTTCACATACAGATCCTCAGTGATCATCAATCCAGACCAACTCTTTTCTTTCCTTTGTGGTTGTTATTCCTTCCAATTTATTTAGATTTTATTGTTTAGTGAAAATGGGCCTCTAGTAAAGTGTCCAGTCACAGGTGAAGGCCAATATCAGCCCAAGCAGAGTTTTACAATGGGAACAGAGCCTAATTATTTGAAAAGGAGGCTCCTAAGATGAGGAGCAGGTGGTACTAAGCCTGCCAATGTCCTCAGTCTCTTGGTGACATCAAGTCAAAGCAAATGCCTGAGTAAAGGCCCTTTGCCAGCAGCAAGTATTTTCTGAGAGCCACCCACATCAGAAGGCCCAGAGCAGAAGGAGGAAGAGAATGAACAAGTCTGAGTGTTCCACTGGAAGGCTGGGCCTCACAAAGACAGCCTTCTGTCAGCATGGTGACAGTCTTCTGTGTGGATGGGGGAGGGAGAGAGGTCCCAATGTGCCACCCATGGGATCCAGCAGAAACTGGGCTCTGAAGTATTGCTGGTCTGTAGTGGACTTTCATCCAAGGAGTTCTTTGGTCTTCACTGCCAGATGCCTGTACAGTTCTGCCACTGTGTCATCGGCCATTTGGCTGATCTGTTTCTCTGTTAGCCTAATGGTGCCCTCCGAGACTGTATCCTTGGATTTCTTCAGCTTGTTCATTGCGTTGGTACAAACCTTCCGTAAAGAGTATGTGGCCTTGTTGGTGTTCTGTTTGGCCAGTTTCACCAGCATTTCTCTGTGCTCTCTGATTACTTGGGGAATGGGTACCCGAATTAGTGTCCCTTCCACTTCTGGGTTCAGATTCATTCCACTTTCTCTTATAGCCTTGATAGCTGCAACTGTGAACTCTGGGAAGCTGGCCATATTCACCAAAATCAGCTGTGGCAACTTCACGGAGATCTGCCTAATCTGGTTTAAAGCAAGTTTTCCATCAGCGGTTACCACAGCAATCTTGTCAAGGGATCCTGGTGAGGTCCCTATATTGAGAGTCTTATTGAAATTATCCTTGCGTGCTTCTATCACAGACTTCATTTCTTCATTCACCTCTTCCAAGTTGATTATATCCTCAACAAAGGCAGCACTAATATTCACTCTGGTTTGGGACTTTCCTTTCCCTTTGGCTTTGGCTTTCTTGGTAGCAAAATGGTGGACTGGTACAGCTGAATAGGCCACGTATTGCCTATGGCCATGTTGTCTTTCATACACTTTCTTCAGTGTAACTTCTGAAACGGGTCTGATAGAGGCTGCAAGATAATTGCGAAAGGCAGGGTGGACCATGCGGGAGCACTTTAATCCCAAGGCCATGACTGAAGACAATCCTTGGAAACATCCACAGCTATCGCCCAGGTTACTAAGGAAAGACTTGTGTGATGGCAGGATGTGGACATCTTTAGGGGGCGTTTTCCTGCCTCACATAGCATCATTGTGTATTTTTTCCCAGTAGTGTTCAGCTATACATGTGCAGTCCTGAAACTGGCAAAGGACAGGATATTAACAGGGTTTGGGTTTTGCCAACAAGTACAGCTGAGAGAGATGTGCAAGAGTTGAAGAGGTGTGCAAGGAAGTGACTAAAATGATCATTAAAATCAAGATTTTAGAGGTGGTTTGTTCAGTTTTTGGTAACAACAGTTCAAAGATATGACCCTGAAAATGGGTAGATCAGGTAGATCAGGAAAAGATCATTAGAGATGAGAAAGTCGAGGAACTGAAGAGCCAGAATATTGTATGAATCATCCATATGGATGTTAAAGTCACCAGGAATATTACCAGCATTAGGGAGGGAGAGGAAGAAAGCGGGCCAAGTACTAAAAGTCATTATTGAATGACAGAAAGTAACTAGTTTAGAGGACAGCAAGGAGAGGTGGCAGGTGGTAGGTTAGGATGGCATGAGGTATAAAGGATCTGGGGAGCCTAAAGAAAAAAAGAGAGATATGAAGCAAGGAGATACCTGCCACAGGTCCTATAAACAGATGAGGAGTTCCTACCTTATGAAGGGCAGAGATATAAAATAAGCTCATCACCTTAAACCTATTTAGTATACATTGGATGAGCCTCAAGAACCTACATATTAGAAATGCAACAAAGTCAAGCTTCAGCCTCAATATTCAGGCAAATTTTATTTGGCTTGAGTTTCAGTCCTAGGTTTTGCAAGGCCAAATGGACAACTATATATGTCAACATTATATTCAGCATCATTGAACTTGTGTATGATCATTTATCATGAGTCCATGAAGTTACCATCACATGTAATCAGCACACCAATATCAGTAATAAAAAAACACACCATTTGGATTTATTGTCAATATTTGAATGCTCACTTGCAAAAATACATAAGCATGAAGCATTCTTCATGTTGAAACCTGGAGTAAATATCTTATTTTATGCTTTGTATATTGAAATTCTCATTAACCAGTGAAAGTAGGCCTGTGTATGTATTATTACAATAATAAAATGTTATAACAATTAATGGTGTTTGTGAAAGCTATTCATCTTATATACAAAAACAATTATTATAGTCTTGCGAATGTGTACATAAATAAGGAAACAGACTGACAATTAATACAAATATTAAGAGAGAGTCTTAGAAAATTTTAGGAAGAATATTATATACTTCTAATCCAACAGATAATTATGTAATCATTATATAATTACCTGTTGGCTCAACTATCTGTTGGCAGATAATTATATAATAATAATATAATATAAAATCAGAATGACAGCTTTTATTATCATTTTAATCTTTAAAAATTACTTGGTGTACTGATTTATGTTAAGTAAAATAACATTTAAAACTGTATTTGATTTAGTTGTTTAATTCCATTTATTCTAATAAAACATCATAATATGAGCATAATGCAAATCTTTTACAAGAAACAATTAAAAGTAGAATGTCAATGTTGCCATCTGAAAATTCCATGAGGAAGAAACAAACTCCAAAATCACATACAAAAACATCTATTATAAATCACCTTTGATCCAGAAAGAATACAGAATATAAAGTATGAATAAAGAAGTAAGTATTTAAAAAATGGGTCACCTTAAAACTTTATTAATCTTCCACAAACCTAAGTTTAAAATGATCATCTGGCCCAAAGCAATCTACAGCTTCAATGCAATTCCCATCAAAATATCAGGATCATTTTTCGTAGAATTAGAAAAAACAATTATAAAATTCATATGGAACCAAAAAAAGAGCCCGAAGAGCTAAAGCAATTATAAGCAAAAATAATAAACCTGGAGGCATCATATTCCCTGAATTCAGATTATACTACAAGGCCATAGTTACCAAAACAGCCTAGCCCTGGTATAGAAGTAGACACAGAAAACAATGGAACAGAAGAGAGAACCCAGAAATAAAGCCGAATATTTACAACCAATTGATCTTCAACAAAGAATGCAAAAACAAAAATTGTGGAAAGGACACCCTATTTAATAAATAGTGCTGGGAAGACTGGATAGCTACATGTAGAAGAATAAAACTGGATCCCCATCTCTCACCTTATACAAAACTCAACTCAAGATGGATCAAAGACATAAATCTAAGATCTGAAACGATAACAAATCCAGAAGATAACCTTGGAAAACATCTTCTGGGCATTGGCCTAGGTAAAGAATTTACGACTAAGACCCCAAAAGCAAAGGCAACAAAAACAAAAATAAAAAAACTAGACCTAATTAAACTAAAAAGTTTCTGTACAGCAAAAGAAATAATCATCAGCATAAACAGGCAACCCAAAGAATGGGGGAAGTATTTGTAAACTATGGATCCAACCAAAGACTAATATCCAGAATCTATAAGAAACTCAAATAAATCAGTAAGAAAACAAGCAAACAAATAATCCCATCAAAAGGTGGGCAAATTACATGAGTAGGCATTTCTCAAAAGAAGATATAAAAATGGGCAACAAACATATGGGAAAAAAATGCTCAACATCACTAATCATCAGGGAAGTACAAATTAAAACCACAGTGAGATACCATCTTACTCCTGCAGGAGTGGCCATTGATTAAAAAGTCAAAAAACAATAAATGTTGGCATTGATGTGGTTAAAAGGGAACGTTTATACACTGCTGGTGGGAATGTAAGTTAGTACAACCTCTATAGAGAACAGTATGAAGATTTCTTAAACAACTAAAAGTAAATTTACCATTCCATCTGGCAATTGCACTACTAAATATCTACCCAAAGGAAAATAAGTCATTATATCAAAAAGACACCTGCAAGTGTATGTTTATTGCAGCACAATTCACAATTGCAAAGATATGGAATCAATCTCAGTGTCCATCGATCAAAGAGTGGATAAAGAAAAGGTGGCATGTATACGACATGTAATACTACCCAGTCATAAACACAAATGAAATAATGTCTTTTTCAGCAACTGGGATGGGGCTGGAGGCCATTATTCTAAGTGAAGTAACTCAAAAATGGAAAACCAAATACCATATGTTCTCATTTATAAGTGGGAGCTAAGCTATGGGTACACGAAGGCAGAGTGGTATAATGGACATTGGAGACTCAAAAAGGGGAGGATGGTTGGGGGTGAGGAATAAAAAACTACATATTGGGTACAATGTGCACTACTTGAGTGACAGGTACATTAAATCTCAGACTTCACCACTATACAATTCATCCATGTAACCAAAAGCCACTTGTACCCCAAAAGCTACTGAAATTTAAAAAATTAATACAAATTTAAAAATAAATGGATAGATTGGGGGAAAGATGGCTGACTAGATGCAGCTGGAAGGAATATCTGCCACTTGGGGACAGGGACATTGGGAGGACTGATGTGCTCTTTGCAGATTTACGGAGAGAAGTCATTGAGAGTTCACAGAGGGAAGACACAGATGCTGGGCTGAAGGGAGAGGAAGCTGGAAACCTTGCACAGGGCTACCATGAACTGGCACTCATTCCTGGCCCCGAATCACTCCTGGGAAAGCGGTGAGTCGAACAGACAATGAGCAATCCGCCTTGGGCCTCTGGAATCCAGGCAGGAGGAGACTCCACAACCACCACAGACACTTGACTCAGCAGGAACAGCTGCTCAGAGAAGTTGTAGGGGCAGAAGTCTAGTCAATGCAGAGCCCAGAGGGTTTGGTTCAGGAGCGTATGTAGTGGAGCATAGCCAGGGATGCCCATCCCCCTGGGCTCAACTTGCTCCCATAGGAGACTTTAGCCCTAGTGAAACTGTTGGACCTGAATTCCGCAGGGCAGTCTTGCCCATAAGACAGGTCCATCCAACCTGAGTACCCTTCCGTCTGCTGCCCTCTCTCAGGGTGCCAGTTTGGCTATGCCTGCTTGCAGTGCAGCCTCAGGTGCCCAGGGTGGGGGTGGGGAATAACCTGTTGGTGGTCTGCATCACAGATCCTGTGCTGGTGGATCACGCCTGACAGGTAGAGAGCTCCAGCAGAGAGGCACCTGCAAACACACACCAGCCTGCCCTACGCTCTCCCAACTGCAGCCTCCCTTGTGCCACTTTGCCTGCACACAATCACCCATGGCCACCCTCCACATCGTTTTCCAAAATGCACATGCAAAGATGGACCCAGCCTCCCCTTCCGCGGCAGTGCACATGTGTGTGCGTGCACTCTGCTGTGCCACTGCTGCTAGTGTGAGTCCACTCCACCCCCTACATGCCGCACTGCCATTGCTGTCAGAGCATTGGCAGGCACAGAGCCCGCCAGCCTGGCCCCAGCCAGCACCCTGCCTCTTCATTGGCATTGGTGCTGGAATGAAACTAGGCATGGAGAATAGTGGACCCTCCCCCACCCTAAGCAGACACCTCCACCTGGGTGAACACACACAGAAAGCATACACAGTCCTGCCCCTGCCAGTGCCCCACTGCCATACTAACACCACCACCAACATAAATGCATGCACAGACACCAGCAGGGGCCCCCTGCTACCTCTGCAACCGTGTCATGCTGTCATTGCCACTTCTGCAAACACCTGCAAGGAGGCCAGCACCCCAGCACCCACTAGCACCCTGCTATAGCCAATGAGCATGCATCCCACCAAGCTGCTGCTGCTGCTGACATGTGTGAACTAGTACAGATCCCACTGCCACCACCCTACAAAGTGCTTTGGCTGACACCACCTATTAGAGTGTTGTGACCAGCAGTCTTGGAGCAACTCAGCCGTTCCAGCACAGCAGAATACTATCCTTGAAGGGAGAGAGAACAAAGCTGAGGCCTTATACCAGGCGCCAGAGTTAGAACACATCACCCAGGAGTCATGATCTCAGTCTTGGTCCCCTAAAATTTTCCAGAAAAGAAGCCCATTGACTGAACCCACCTTATACTACAATGAAAACCCCAGGTCATCAAATAGGATAAAAAAAAAAAACCATTCAAAGGACAGCAACTTCAAAGACTGAAGGAACATCCGCCCACAAAGATGAGAAAGAACCAGTGAAAGAACTCTGACAACTCAAAAAGCCAGAGTGCCTTCTTTCCTCCAAAAGACTGCACTAGTTCTCCAGCAAGGGTTCTGAATTGGGCTGAGATGGCTGAGATGACAGAAATAGAGTTCAGAATATGGGTAGAAAAGATCATCGAGATTCAGAAGAATGTTGAAACTCAATCCAAGGAAGCTAAAAATTACAATAAAATGATACAGGAGCTGACAGACAAAATAGTCAGTATAGAAAAGAATGTAAGCTGAAAAACACACTAAAGAATTTCATAATGCACTCGCAAGAATTAACAGCAGAATAGACCAAGGGGAGGACAGAATCTCAAAGCTTCAAGACTGGCTTTCTGAAATAAGACAGTCAAACAATAAAGAAAAAGAATGAAAAGGAACAAACAAAACTTCCGAGAAATATGGGATTATGTAGAGACCAATTCTACAATTCATTGCCATCCCCGAAAGAGATGGGGAGGATTGAAGCAACTTGGAAAATATATTTCAGGATACCATCCATGAGAACTTTCCCAATTTAGCTAGGGAGGCCAACATTCAAATTTAGGAAACGCAGAGAATCCACATAAAAAGATCTTTCCTAAGACACAAAATCATTAGATTTGTAAAGGACAAAATGAAAGAAAGAATGTTAAAGGCAGCTCAAGATAAAGAAGAGCTTACCTACAAAAGGAAGCCATGAGATTAACAGCAGACCTCTCAGCAGAAACTGTACAGGCCAGAAGAGACTGGGAGCCTATATTCAAAATTATTAAAGAAAAGAAATTCCAATCAATAATTTTATATCTGACCAAACTAAGCTTCACAAGTGAAGGAGAAATAAGATTCTTTTCAGACAAGCAAATGCTGAGGGAATTCATTACCACCAGATATGCCTTAAAAGAGTTCCTGAAAGAAGCACTATATTTGGAAAGAAAGACTTATCAGCCACAATAGAAACACACTTAAATATGCAGACCAGTGACACTATAAAGGAACCACGAAAACAACTCTGCATAACAACCAGTTATCAACACGATGACAGGATCAAATCCATACATACCAACCTTGAATGTAAACAGGCTAAATGCCCCAATTAAAAGGCACAGAGTGGCAAGCTGGATAAAGAACCAAGACCCAATGGTAGGCTGTTTCAAGAGACCCATCTCCCATGGAATGACACCCACAGGCTCAAAGTAAAGGAATGGAGAAAAATCTACCAAGCAAATGGAAAACAGAAAAAAGCAGGGGTTAAAATCCTAATTTCAGACAAAAAGACTTTAAACCAACAAATGTCAAAAAAGACAAGGAAGGGCATTACATAATGGTAAGGGGTTCAATTCTAATATATACTCCCCCAACACAGGAGCACCCAAATTCAAAAATCAAGTTCTTAGAGACCTTCAAAGAGACTTAAACTCTGACACAATAATAATGGGAGACTTTAACACCCAACTGACAATATTAGACACATCATTGAGACAGAAAATTTAAAAAGATGTTCAGGACCTGAACTCAGCTCTGGATCAAATGGACCTGATAGATATCTACAGAAATCTCCACCCCAAAACAACAGAATATACATTCTTCTCATCAATACATGACACTTACTCTAAAATCGATCACATAAAGTAAAACACTCCTCAGCAAATGCAAAACAACTGAAGTCATAACAGTCTCTTAGACCACAGCACAATCAAATTAGAAATCAAGACTAAGAAATTCACTCAAAACCACACAATTACATGGAAATTAAATAACCTTCTCCTGAATGACTTTTGGGTAAATAATGAAATCAAGGCAGAAATCAAGAAGTTCTTTCAAACTAATTAAAACAAATATACAATGTACCAGAATATCTGGGATACAGCTAAGGCACTGTTAAGAGAGAAATTTATAGCACTAAACACCCACATCAAAAAGTTAGAAAGATCTCAAGTTAACAACCTAACATTACAACTAAAAGAATTACAGAACCAAAAGCAAACAAATCCGAAAGCAAACAGAAGACAAGAAATAACCAAAATCAGAGCTGAACTGACGGAGGCTGAGACACAAAAAAAAACCATTCAAAAGATTAATAAATCCAACAGCTGGTTTTTTGAAAAAATTAGTAAAATAGACCACTAGCTAGACTAATAAAGAAGAAAAGAGAGAAGATCCAAATAAACACAATCAGAAATGATAAAAAGGATACTATCACTGACCCCATAGAAATACAAACAACGATCAAAGAATATTATGAACACCTCTATGCACATAAACTAGAAAACCTAGAAGAAATGCATGCATTCCTGGACACATACACACTCCCAAGACTGCACCAGGAAGAAATTGAATCCCTGAACAGACCAATAATGAGCTCTGAAATTGAATCAGTAATAAATAGCCTACCAACTAAAAAAATTCCAGGACAAGACAGATTCACAGCAAAATTCTATGACATGTGCAAAGAATAGCTGGTATCATTCCAAATGAAACTATTCCAAAAAAAAACTGGAAAGAAGGGACTCCTCCACAACTCAGTTTTTGAGGCCAGCATCAACCTGATACCAAAACCTGGCAGAGATACAACAAAAAAAAGAAAACTTCAGGGCAATATCCTTGATGAACATAGATGCAAAAAATCCTCAGCAAACTACTGGCAAACCAAATCCAGCAGCACATCAAAAAGCTTATCCACCATGATCAAGTAGGCTTCATTCCCAGGATGAAAGATTGGTTCAACATACACAAATCAATAAATGTGATTCATCACATAAACAGAACTAAAGACAAAAGCCACATGATTATCTCAAAAGATGCAGAAAAGGATTCAGGTAAAATTTAACATTGCTTCATGTTAAAAAACTCTCGATAAACTAGGTATTGAAGGAACATATCTCAAAATAATGAGAGCCATCTATAACAAACTCACAGCCAACATCATACTGAATGGGCAAAAGTGGGAAGCATTCCCCTTGAAAACCGGCACGAGACAAGGATGCCCTCTCTCACCACTCCCATTCAACATAGTATTGGAAATTCTGGTCAGGGCAATCAGCCAAGAGAAATAAATAAAGAGCATTCAAATAGGAAGTTAAACTATCCCTGTTTGCAGATGACATGATGCTATAGCTAGAAAACCCCATAGTCTCAGCCCCAAAGCTACTTAAGCTGATAATGAACTTCAGCAAAGTCTAAGCATACAAAATCAATGGGCAAAATACACTAGCATTCCTATACACCAACAACAGCCAAGCATCCAGCCAAATCATAAACACACTCTCATTCACTATTGCCACAAAAAGAATAAAATACTTAGGAATACAGCTAACCAGGGAGGTGAAAGATCTCTCCAAGGAGAACTACAAACCATTGCTCAAATAAATCAGAGATGACATAAACAAATGAAAAAACATTCTTTGCTCATGGATAGGAAGAATCAATATCATAAAAATGTCCATACTGCCCAAAGCAATTTATAGGTTCAATGTTGTTCCCATTAAACTACCAGTGACATTCTTCACAGAACTAGAAGAAAACTATTTTAAAATTCATATAAAACCCAAAAAGAGCCCAAATAGCCAAGGCAATCCTTAGCAAAAAGAACAAAGCGGGGGGCATCATGTTACCTAACTTCAAACTATACTACAGGGCTCCAGTAAACAAAAGAGCATGGTACTGTTACAGGAACAGACACACAGACCATTGGAACAGAATAGAGAACCTAAAAATAAGACTGTACACATACAAGTATCTGAACTTCAACCAACCTGACACAAGCAAACAATGGGGAAAGGATTCCCTATTCAATAAATGGTGTTGGGGTAAACAGCTAGTCATATGCAGAAGATTGAAACTAGACCCCTTCCTTACACCATATGCAAAAATTAACTCAAGATGGAAAAAATGACTTAAATGTAAAACCCAAAACTATAAAATCCCTGGAAGACAACCTAGGCAATACCATTCAGGACATAGGCATGGGCAAAGACTTCATGACAAAGATGCCAAAAGCAATTGCAACAAAGCAAAAATTGACATATGGGGTCTAATTTGACTAAAGACCTTCTGCACAGCAAAAAAAAAAAAAACTATCAACAGCATAAACAGAAAACCTATAGATCGGGAGAAAATTTTTGAAAACTACGCACCTGACAAAGGTCTACTATCCAGCATCTATAAGGAACTTAAACAAATTTACAAGAAAAAACAAATGACCCCATTATAATGTGGGCAAAGGACATGAATAGATACTTTTCAAAAGAAGACATACATGCAGCCAACAATCATATGAAAAAAAAGCTCAACATCACTGATTATTAGAGAAATGCAAATCAAAACCACGATGAGATGCCATCTCATACCAGTCAAAATGGCTATTAATACAATGTCACAAAATAACATACTGGCAATGTTGTGGAGAAAAAGAAATGCTTATACACTGTTGGTGGGAGTATAAATTCGTTCAGCCATTATGGAAGACAGTGTGGTGATCCCTCAAACACCTAAAGACAGAAATACCATTCGACCCAGCAATCCCATTACTGGGTATACACACAAAGGAAAATAAATCATTCTATTATAAAAACACATGCAGACGTATGTTCATTGCAGCATTATTCGCAATAGTAAAGACATGGAGTCCACCTAAATTCCCAACAATGATAGACTGGGATAAGAAAATGTAGTACATATACACCATGGAATACTATCCAGTCATAAAAAAGAATGAGATTATGTCTGTTGTAGGAATATGGATGGAGCTGGAGGCTATTATCTTTAGCAAAGTAATGCAGGAACAGAAAACCAGATACTGCATATTCTCAGTTATAAGTGGTAGCTAAATCATGAGAACACATGGACACATAGAAGGGACCAACAGACATTGGAGCGTATCAGAGCATAGAGGATGGGAGGATGGAAAGTATTAGGGAAAATAACTAATGGATACTAGGCTTAATGCCTGCGTGATGAAATAATATGTAAAACAAACCCCCATGACATATGTTTACCTATGTAAGAAATCTGCACATGTACATTTGAACTTAAAACAAAAGTTTTAAAAAAAAAAGACAAAGAAGGGCATTACATAATGAAAAAGGATTAATTCAATCAGAAGAGCTAAGTATCCTAAGTATATATGCACCCAACACAGGAGCACCCAGATGCATAAAGCAAGTTGTTAAAGACCTTCAAAGACACTTAGACTCCTGCATAATAACAGTGGGAGACTTCAACAACCCACTGACACTATTAGACAGATCATCGAGGCAGAAAATTGACACAGATATTCAGGACCTGAACTCAACATTGGACCAAATGGACCTGATGGACATCTACAGAACTCTCCACCTAAAAAACAACAGAATATACATTCTACTCATTGTCGCATGGCACAGACTGTAAAATTGAGCACACAATCAGACATGAAACAATCCTCAGCAAATGCAAAAGGACTGAAATAATACCAAACACTCTCTTGGATGACAGCACAATAAAAATAGAGATCAAGACTAAGAAATTCACTCAAAATCATAAAATTACATGGAAATTAAACAACGTGGTCCTGAATAACTTTTGGTTAAATAATGGAATTAAAGCAGAAATCAAGAAGTTTTTTTAAACTAATGAAAGCAATGTTACAACATATCAGAATCTCTGGGATTCAGCTAAGACAGTGTTGAGAGGAAAATTTATAGCACTGAATGCCCATATCAAAAAGTTAGAAAGATCTCAAACTAACAACTTACCATCACAACAAAAAGAACTAGAGAACTAAGAGACAACCAACCCCAAAGCAAGCAGAAGACAAGAAATAAGCAAAATCAGAGATGAACTGGAGAATATTGAGAAACGCACAAAAAAATGCAAAATATTCATGAATCCCAGAGTTTATTTCTGAAAAAAAGTAAATAGACTGCTAGCTAGACTATTAAAGAAGAAAAGACAGAAGATTCAAATAAACATAATCAGAAATGACAAAGGGGATGTCATCACTCACCCCCAAAGAAATACAAATAACCATCATAGACTACTATGAACACCTCTATAAACACAAACTACAAAATCTAGAAGAAAAAGATAAATTCCTCCACACATACACTGTCCAAAGACTGAAACAGGAAGAAATTGAATCCCTGAACAGACCAATAATGAGCACTGAAATTGAATCAGTAACAAATAACCTACCAACCAAAAAAAAGTCCAGGACCAGTCAGACTCAGAGCTGCATTCTACCAGATGTACAAAGAAGATCTGGTCCATTTCTACTGAAACTATTCCTAAAAATTGAGGAGGAGAAATTCCTTCCCACTCATTTTATGAAGCCAGCATCATCCTGATATCAAAACTTAGCAGACAGGAAAAAAAAAAGAAAACTTCAGGCCAATATCCTTGATGAACATTGATGCAAAAATCCTCAACAAAATACTAGCAAACCAAATCCAGCAGCACACCAAAAAGCTAATCCAGCAGTGGCTGGCAAGATGGCTGAATAGGAACAGCTCTAGTCTGCAGCTCCCAGCAAGATCAACACAGAAGGCGGGTGCTTTCTGCATTTCAAACTGAGGTACACAGCTCATCTCATTGGGACTGTTTAGACAGTGGGTGTAGCCCATGGAGGGCAAGCCGAAGCAAGGTGGGGCATCTCCTCACCCGGGAAGTGCAAGGAACACCTTCCCTAGCCAAGGGAAGCCGTGAGGAACCCTGCAGTGAGGACCAGTGCATTCCAGCCAGATACTATGCTTTTCCCATGGTCTTTGCAAGCCACAGACCAGGAGATTCCCTCCGGTGCCTACACCACCAAGGCCCTGGGATTCAAGCACAAAACTGTGCAGCCATTCGGGCAGACACCAAGCTAGCTGCAGGAGTTTCTTGTGTGTGTGTGTGTGTGTGTGTGTGTGTGTGTGTGTTTTCATACCTTGGTGGCACCTGGAACGCCAGCGAGACACAACTCTTCACTCCCCAGGAAAGGGGGCTGAAGCCAGGGAGCCGAGTTGTCTTGCCCAGAGGATCCCACCCCCACAGAGCCCAGCAAGCTAAGTAACATCCACTGGCTTGAAATTCTCACTGCCAGCACAGCACTCTGAAGTCAACCTGGGATGCTTGAACTTGGTCGGGGGAGGTGCATCTGCCATTACTGAGGCTTGAGTAGGTGGTTTTCCCCTCACAGTGTAAACAAAGTCGCCCAGGAAGTTTGAACTGGGTGGAGCCCACCACAGCTCAGCAAAGCTGCTGTAGCCAGACTGCATCTCTAGATTCCTCCCCTCTAGGTGGGGCATCTCTGAAAGAAAGGCAGCAGCCCCAGTCAGGTGCTTATAGATAAAACTCCCATCTCCCTGGAACAGAGCACCTGGGAGAAGGGATGGCTGTGGGCACAGCTTCAGCAGACTTCAACGTTCCTGCCTGCTGGCTTTGAAGAGAGCAGCAGATCTCCCAGCACAGCACTCGAGCTCTGCTAAGGGACAGATAGCCTCCTCAAGTAGGTCCCTGACCCCCATGCCTCTTGACCGGGAGACACTTCCCAGAAGGGGTCGATAGACACCTCATACAGGAGAGCTCTGGCTGGCATCTGGTAGGTGGCCCTCTGGAACAAACCTTCCAGAGGAAGAAACAGGCAGCAATTTTTGCAGTTCTGCAGCCTCCACTGGTGATACTCAGGCAAACAGGATCTGGAGTGGACCTCCAGCAACTTCCAGCAGACCTGCAGCAGAGGGGCCTGTTAGAAGGAAAACTAACAAAAAGAAAGGAATAGCATCAATATCAACAAAAAGGGTGTCCACACAAAATCCCATCTGAAGGTCACCAGCATCAAAGACCAAAGGTAGATAAATCCACGAAGATGAGGAAAAACCAGTGCAAAAAGGCTGAAAATTGCAAAAACCAGAACACTTCTTCTCCTCCAAAAGATCACAACTCCTTGCCAGCAAGGGAGCAAAACTGGATGGAGAATAAGTTTGACAAATTGACAGAAGTAGGCTTCAGAAGGTGGGTAATAACAAACTCCAACGAGCTAAAGGATCATGTTTTAATCCAATGCAAGGAAGCTAAGAACCTTCAAAAAAGGTTAGAGGAATTGCCTCTACAGTGGCAATTCCCTATGTAGAGGGATTTGGTCCACTATGGTCCCTATGTAGAGGAAGAGCCTCTACAACTCTTTCCATGTCGGTTACAAACCTCTCCTGCAACTTCTCCACCCTATCCTCACTTGTCCTCACTTTTCCAGCCATGTTCAAGAGATTACCCAGTCCTGCTCTATCTGCCACTCAGTGTCACCCCCGGGCTCCCTCTGGCCGCCACCTTTTCCTACCCACCAAGCCCAGGGCCAGGTACCAAGGCAATATTGGCAAGTAGACTTCACTCACATGCCTCCCAATAAACGAATCTGCTATCTTCTAGCCTTTGTCTGCACTTTCTCCTGGTGGGTAGAAGCGTTCCCAGCAACTTCAGGAGGTGCAAATGTCGTCACGCAAACTCTCATTATGCATATAATTTCCCATTTCTGACTCCCAATATCCATCCAGTCTGATAACAGGCCTGCCTTCATCAGCCAAATTACCCGAGGCGTCTCTACATCCTTAGGTATAAAATGGCTTCTCCACACACCCTACAGGCCTCAATCTTCAGGCAAAGTTGAAAAAATTAACTCTGTCCTTAAAGCCCAACTCACCAAGCTGGCTTTAGAAACCCGCCAGTTGTGGACAAGAAATCTCCCTTTCACCCTCATGAGACTCCATGCAACACCAAAAGCATGCCAACTGCAGTGAGAGTCCAAGGACTCCCCGACTGGGCCCATTGCACCAGGGTCAAGCTCACCCCTAAGGCTACTCTTTCCTCCAAAACATTAACAGCGGGCAACACCCTCGGAGTTCCTGTATATAATAACCTAAACAAAGAAATACGATCCTTAAAGGCAGGAGGAAGCCAAACATGGCAAGGGGACAGAAGCCAAAGATGGCAAGGGGACAAATGGCCTCCACAACAAATCATCGAATATTACGGTCCTGCCATTTGGGCTGAGGATGCTTCGTGGGATTACTACACTTCTATATATATGCTAAATAGAATAATTAGACTACAGGCTGTTCTGGAAATGACTAACCAAACCGCCTCAGCCCTGGAAATGCTCACACGACAACAAAACCAAATGTGTGCAGCAATTTATCAAAACAGGCTAGCACTAGACTACTTATTAGCAGAAGAGGGTGGAGTCTGTGGTAAATTTAATATCTCTAATTGCTGTCTTAACATAGATGATAACGGAAAAGCGGTTCTATAAATCATTTCAAACATCAGAAAAGTAGCCATGTACCAGTCCAAACCTGGAAGGGACGGGACCCAACAAACCTTCTAGGAGGGTGGTTCTCTAATTTAGGAGAATTTAAAACACTGGTAGGGACCATAATCTTCATCATTGGGCTGCTTCTGTTTCTCCCCTGTGTTATCCCACTGATAATAAAAGCCATTAAAACTCTTTTTGAAACTACAGTTAGCTGCCAGACAATCCAGACGATGCTTCTGCTACAATGACATGGTGGATACCAACCTGTCTTTCAAGAATACCCTAAAAATTAAGTTTTTCTTTTTCCAAGATGCCCACACCACCCCTATGTCACACCTGAAGTAGTTATTGAGAAAGTCGTCCCTTTTCCCTTTTCTATAACCAAATAGACAGGGATGTAAGATTCTCCCCGGGGCCTGAAAGCTTAAGGAGATGAAAAACTCCTCCCTTCTCAGGCCCAGTCCCAAGGCGCAAGGGCACTTGCATCAGCAGCATGCACCAGCAAGATAGCAGAAGCAGGAAGAGAGCCAACCAGAAGACACCTACCCTGGCTGGAAGACACATACCCCTGAAGATCGAGAAAGAGGCCATCCAGGTACAAAGGAGGAGTTACGTCAGACTAGGACACTTCCTGTTTACAGGAGACTATAAAACCTTTGCCCCGTCCTCACTTGGTGCTGATGCCATTTTAGGCCTCAGCCCACCTGCACCCAGGTGCTCATTAAAACAGCATGTTGCTCCAAAAAAAAAAACAAAACAAAACAAAAACATCAAAATGTGGGCAAAGGATATGAACAGACACTTCTCAAAAGAAGACATTTATGCAGCCAACAGACATATGAAAAAAAGCTCATTATCACTGGTCATTAGAGAAATGCAAATCAAAACCACAATTAGATACCATCTCATGCCAGTTAGATTGGCAATCATTAAAAAGTCAGGAAACAACAGATGCTGGAGATGATGTGAAGAAATAGGAATGCTTTTACACTGTTGGGAGTGTAAATTAGTTCAACCATTGTGGAAGACAGGGTGGTGATTCCTCAAGGATCTAGAACCAGAAATACCATTTGACCCAGCAATCCCATTACTGGGTATATACCCAAAGGATTATAAATCATTCTACTATAAAGACACATGCACAAGTATGTTTATTGCAGCACTATTCACAATAGCAAAGACTTGGAACCAACCCAAATGCCCATCAATGATAGACTGGATAAAGAAATGTGGCACATATACATCATGGAATAGTATGCAGCCATAAAAAGGATGAGTTCATGTCCTTTGCAGGGCCATGGATGAAACTAGAAACCATCATTCTTAGCAAGCTAACACAGGAACAGAAAACCAAACACTGCATGTTCTCACTCATAAGTGAGAGTTGAACAATGAGAACACATGGAACATCACACATCAGGGCCTGTCACGGGGTGGGGGGCTAGGGGAGAGATAGCATTAGGAGAAATACCTAATGTAGATGACAGGTTGATGGGTGCAGCAAACCACCATGGCACATGTATACCCATGTAACAAACCTGTACGTTCTACACATGTATCCCAGAACTTAAATTATAATAAATAAAACAAAAAAAATGTGAATCCACCATGATTAAGTAGGCTTTAGACCTGGGATGCAAGATTGGTTCAACATATGCAAATCAATAAATAAGTGTGATTCATCACATAAACAGAACTAAAGAAAAACACACATGATTATCTCAATAGATGCAGAAAGGGCTTTCAATAAAATTCAATAACACTTCATGTTAATAACTCTCAATAATATAGATATTGAAGGAACATCCCTCAAAATAATAAGAGCTATCTATGACATACCCACAGCCAATATCATATTGAACAGTCAAAACCTGAAAGCATTCCCATTGAAAACCAGGACAAGACTCCCTTTCTCACCACTGCTATTCAACATAGTATTGGAAGTCCTGGCCAGGGCAATCAGGCAAGCGAAAGAAACACAGGCATTCAAATAGAAAGAAAGAAAGGCAAACTATCCTTGTTTGCAGATGACATGATTCTATATCTAGAAAACCCCATAGTCTTTAACCAAAAGCTCCTTTAGCTGATTTAAAAAAAAAAAAAAAAACACTTCAGCAAAGTTTCAGGATACAAAATCAATGCACAAACATCACCAGCATTCCTAGACACCAACAACAGCCAAGCTAAGAGCCAACTCAGGAATACAATTCCATTCACAATTGCCATAAAAAGAATAAAATACCCAGGAATACAGCTAACAAGGGAGATGTAAAGTCTCTACGATGATAATTAAAAACCACTGCTCAAAGAAATCAGACATGACACAAAACAATGAAAAAACATTCCATGTTCATGTATAGAAAGTGTCAATATCATTAAAAAGATCATACTGCCCAAAGCAACTTATAGATTCAATGCTATTCCTGTCACACTACCAGTGACACTCTTCGCATAACTAGAAAAAAAACTACTTTAAAATTTATATGAACCAAAAAAGAGGCCAAATAGCCAAAGCAATCCTAAGCAGAAAGAACAAAGCTGGAGGCATCCTGTCACCTGACTGTAAACTACACTACAGGGATACAGTAACCAAAATAGCATGGTACTGGTAGAAAAAATAGACACATAGACCAATGGAGCAGAATAGAGGGCCCAGAAATAACACCTCACTCTTAAACCATCTGATCTTCGACAAAACTAACAAAAACAAGCAATGAGGAAACGAATCCCTAGTCAATAAATGATGCTGGATAACTGGCTAGCCATATACCGAAGATTGAACCTGGACCCCTTCCTTACACCATATGCAAAAATTAACTCAAGATGGAAAAAAGACTTAAATGTAAACCCCAAAACTATAAAAATCCTGGAAGACAATTTAGGCAATACCATCCTGGACATAGGCAAAGGCAAAGATTTCATGAAGAAGACACCAGAAGCAATTGCGACAAAAACAAAAGTTGACAAATGGGATCTAATTAAATTAAAGAGCTTCTGCCCAGCAAAAGAAACTATCAACAAAGTAAATAGACCACCTAGAGAATGGGAGAAAATATTTGTAAACTATGTATCTGGCAAAGGTCTAATATCCAGCATCTATAAGGAACTTAAATTTACAAGAAGAACAAAACAAACAACCTCCTTAATAAGTGGGCAAAGGACATGAAGAGACACTTTTCAAAAGAAGACATACATGTGGCCAACAGGCATATGAAAAATAGCTCAATATCACTGATCATTAGAGAAATAAAAATCAAAGCCACAATGAGATACCAACTCACACCAGTCAGTATGGCTATTATTAAAATGTCAAAAAATAATTGATACTGGTGAGCTTGTGGAGAACAGGGAACATTTATACACTGTTGGTAAAAGTGTAAATCAGTTCAACCATTGTGAAAGACAGAGTGGCAATTCTTCAAAGATCTAACGACGGAACTACTATACCCAGTATATACACAAAGGAACATAAATCATTCTATTATAAAGACACATGCACACTTATGTTCATTGCAGCATTATTCACAATAGCAAAGACATGGAATCAACCCGAATGCTCATCAATGGCAGACTGGATTTTTTAAAATGTGGTGCATATACACCATGAAATACTATGCAGCCATAATAAAGAATGAGATCATGTCCTTTGCAGGGACATGGATGGAGCTGGAGTCCATTAACCTTAGCAAACTATCACAGTAACAGAAAACCAAATACTATGTGTTTTCATTTATAAGTGGGAGCCAAATGATGAGAACTAATGAACATAAGGAGGGGAACAACAGACACTGGGGCCTACTTGAAAGTAGAGGGTGGGAAAAGGGAAAGGACCAGAAAAAGTAACTACTGGGTACTGGTCTTAGAACCTAGGTGATGAAATAATCTGTACAACAAACCACCATGATACGATTTTACTTTTATAACAAACCTGCACATGTATCTTTCAACCTAAAATAAAGGTTTAAATAAAAAAGAAATATAAATGGCCAAAAACCATATAAGACAATGCGCAACACTACTAATCATCAGAGGAAAACAAATTAAAACCACAATGAGATACCACCTTACCCCAGTCATTATGGTCATTTTTAAAAGTCAAGAAACAATAAATATTGGTAGACATGTGGTAAAAAGGGAACACTTATATACTCTTGATGGGAATGTAAATTAGTACAACCTCTGTGGTAAACACTATGAAGATTTCTCAAACAACTAAAAGGAGATCCATCATTCAATCGAGCAATCCCACTACTGTGTATCTACCCAAAGGAAAATAAGTCATTATATCAAAAAGACACCGGCACTCATATTTTGTCACAGCACACTTTACAATTGTAGAGATATGGAATCAACCTAAGTGCATATCAACTGATGAACTGATAAAGAAAATGTGGTAAACATACCATGGAATACTACTCAGGCATTAAAAAGAACAAAATAATATCTTTTGCAACAACTTGGATAGAACTGGAGGCCATTATCTTAAGTCAAGTAACACAGGAACAGAAAACCAAACACAGTATGTTCTCACAGGTAAGTGGGAGCAAAGCTATGGATATGTAGGGGCATAAAGAGTGGCATAATGGACCCTGGGGACTGGGAAAGGTGGAGGATGTAAGGGGGGTGAGGGTTGAAAAATTACCTATTGGGTACAATGTACACTATTTATCTGATGGATGCACTAAAAGCCCAGACTCCGTCACTATACAACTCATTCATGTAACCAAAAACCGCTTGTACCCCTAAATCTATTGATATAAATAAATAAAGTGAAAAATAAAATAAAATGATCATCTGTTTAGGTTCACCAATATGTAGTAGAATGACCCCAGGAGTAATCTAGCATGAGACAGTACTAAGAAATTATTCCTGCAATATGTCAAACACTTTACTTGTTGATAAAATGTATAAAATAAAATTATAGGCCAGGCATCGTGGCTCACGCCTGTAATTCCAGCATTTTGAAAGTCTGAGGTAGGTGAGTTGCTTTGAGCTCAGGAGTTTGAGACCAGCCTGGGCAACATGGCAAAACCCCGTATATATATATGTGTGTATATATATATGTATATATATGTATACATATACACATATATATACATATATATATATATATACACACACACACACACATATATACACACACTAGCTGGGTAAGGTGGCTCACGCCTGTAAGTCCCAGCTTCTCGGGAGGCTGAGGCTGGAGAATCACTTGAGTCTGGGAAGCAGAGGTTGCAATGAGCCAGGATCGCACCACTGCACTCCAGCCTGGACAAAAGAGGGAGACCCTGTCTCAATAAAATATATAATAATTAATTTGGAGGGACAAATTTCACATTTATCCTTGTGTATCACAAGTTCATTCTATTGTGATGATATATGGTTTTTGTTGAGCTTTATATTGATCTTTTAATTGAGATGTAATTCTTATACCATAATATTTACACTTTTGAACTATACAAATCAGTGGTTTATAGGATATTAACAAAGTTGTACAACCATCATTACCACCTAATTCCAGGACATTTTCATCACCCTAAAAAGAAACTCCATTCCCATTACCATTCATTCTCTATTTCCCCCTACCCCAGGCCCTGGCAACCACTAATCTACTTTCAATCTATACAGATTTGCCTCTTCTGGACATTTTAAACAAATGGAATCATACAATATGTGTCCTTTTGTGCCTTAATTGTTTCACTTAGCATAATGTTTTCAAGATTCATATATGTTATAGCATATATCAGAACTATTCATTTTTATTGCCATATAACATTCTATTGCATAGATAATTCCATATGTTATTCATTTATCACGATGTACATTTGAGTTGTTCCCACTTTGGGACTACTTTGAATAATGCTGCTATGTATATGTATTCTAGTATAAGTTTTTGAGTAGATATATGTTTTCATTTCTCTCTGATACATACCTAGAAGTAGAATTACTGATTCATAGGATAGCTCATTTAACCTTTTGAGGAACTGCCAAATTGTTTTCCAAAGCAGCTGCACAATTTTACATTTGCACAAGAAATGCATTAGGGTTCCAATTTCCATTTCTCATGTTGGCCCCTTTGGTATGGGTGGCCATGAGACTAAAGAGAATTTCATCACCTCTCCTGGAATATTTGTACTACTGGCCACCCTTTTCTTGGGCTAGGTCCAGTAGGTTTCATGCCCCCTATGCCTAGTCCGACTTCTAAATCCTAGTTTACTGCTGTCTCCCCTTGACAGCCTTCTACTGAGACTCCCACACATGCTTTATATCCAAACCCACATAATTATGACATATTTTGGATGGCTTCATTATTCAGGTTATAAAGACTTACAATTACCTGATGGAAATTTATCAACATCATTTATTCTTGAGTAGCTCTTTAAAGTTTATAAGATACATTATTTCATTTATTTCTTACAACACAAAAGTAAAGTAAGTACCATTTTTCCCATTTCAGAGACAAGGAAACTAAACCTCGGAAAAGTTAAGGGACTTGCCCAATGTTACAGAGAGCCAATTAGTTGTAAAAGCAGTTCCCAAACTTTGACTCATTCAAATGCTATTCCAGTCCACTGATTACCTAATACTGCCTCTCTTAACATAGAACCATTTGCATAAATTGTACTATGAGGACATGTTCCCAAATTATTTTTGGCAGATTCCAGGTTCTCCAAACACTTTAGAAAATTGTTCTAGCTTGTCTATGATGAAGCATTGTCTGGCTTCCCTGTCTATCATCAAATTCACTCCATTAATTGTTCCAAAAGAATCAGTTTAGACTATATGTGGCACCAGACAATGGAGCAAAAGCCTAAAATGTGGTTAATGTTTATAATATCCAACTAATATTAGCTGTAGATTATCTCATAATACTTCAGTTCTTAATCATTTTGTTCAATGTTTATAATACATGATTTTATACCCCAATTAGTTTGAATCCAGACTCTTTTGCTTAGTATTCAAAATTTTCGTTTTGAATGAAATGAGTACCTTTGCTGTACTTGAATGAAAGAGTACCTTTGCTGTACTCTTCAACCAAACTGATTGCCCCATGTGAAAACTGCCCTCAAGTCAAACCAGTCTCGTTAATATCTTCTTTATACATCATGATCACTACCACCTCAACAGCTTTGATCATGCTATTCCCTCCAGTGGAAACACTCTTTCCCTTTCCCCCACCAACAAAATATCAACACCTCCTTAAGGCCTAACTCCAATCCCTCCTAGTCCCTAAAGCTTTCCGCCAACAACTGCAGTATTCAGGGGCCTCTCCTTTCTTTCAATTCCAATTGCATCATGAAAGGAAATAAAACATCAATCGGATTGCAATCCATGGGTTAGAAAATGAGGCATTCCTTAGAAGTCCAAGTTTCAGTAGTTTCACTACCTCTAATATTCCTGATACTTAAATCATCAGGATAATCTCTCTATTCATCTCCTTCTGATGATACAATTGACAGTAATATAATCATTTAGGTGAAAAATCTATTTTCAACCAAACTTACCAAAATCCTTCATTAAATAGAATTCTTTTTGCATACAACTTTTAAAATAATGAATTAAAACACAGAATAAGCTAATTTACTTTTTAATCACCTTCCAGGGGATGTCCTGATCTTGGCAGACACTCAGCCTCATGTCCATAGCCTGTACCATCCATCTTGGAGAGTGAGAACTAATTCTTAAGATGATGATCCTGTGAATCTTCAAAAGAGGTTTAGCAGATCCTACTCACTAAGGCAGGAAGGTCGATTCAGACTAAAAAACTTCCAAGAACATAAGGAAAAAATAGAATTTTAACTGACCAAGGAAGTCAAGATAGACTCTATAAAAGAAAATGTAAGCTCTTCAAAGAAAGGGACCAAGTCTTAATTATCTTTGTCTCCCTTGACATACGCTAGAGACTCAGTAAAGAAACCCCCTACCTAGAGATTTTCGATAGATCCATTTGGATGTTTTATTTAAAATCTCCTCAAAGGCTGAAAATGTCTGCTCTGAGTCTTCAATTTAACAGCTTCATTTATACCTATCTTTTCACCTTTTTTTTTGTTTTTTGGAAATTTCTTCCTCCCTCTTGTCCTCTCTCACTGCAAATCTTTTGATTTCTTTCACAGAAGCGTATTGAGCACGGCACCCTTTCAGTAATGTTCCGTTTTTCTTCTTGTTTTTAAATCAACCATATGTCCCCCCAACCTCCACCCTCATTAAGAAGTGAAGCTCTGATGATTCTGGCTTTCTCCTTTAACAGAAGAGTTCTGTTATAAAGAAGAGAAACCTCACTTATAGACTCAGGGTTAGCCTAAGAAATGGAGACCCTTTATGCTGCTATTTACTTGATGCAATATTTTAAAATGGAATATGTGTGTGCTCTCTCCAAAATTTTACCAGGCAAAAGCCCCAGTATGGAATGCCTTTACATTAATCAGCTTTCCCGGCAGCATAATGATGCTGGAAATTCGGAAAGCAATGGAGGATTCTTAGTCGGATTTAATAGGCTCGGGCACTTTGCTAACACACTGCAGTGGATCAATTGAAGTTAATTATTATACAAGATTAAACCCCAAGTAACTACAGTACATCAAACCAATGCAAAAAGCTCTGGCTAGGAAGAAGAAAAAACAATCATGAATTCTGGAGGTAAGACTTTTCTATGCAGTCCTTAACTCACTATATTGCGTAGCTGCATATAAACATATTGGACTAATACAATATGAAATCCACATATTAAATACTGAAAGTGAGATATAAACTTCACTTACTGTCTCCATGGTATACTTAACCTGGGGACCTGAAGAAATAGCTGTGAATTTTCTTAACATTTCCATTTATTTTTAGAGAGTTGATTTGTCTTCCACTGCTTGCCAGGATTTACATTTCCACCCACCAGGGACTCAACGTTTTATGATCATTGACCATTCTAAGAAAAATAAGTATCTGAGTAAGTCACAGAAGCAAATAAATGGGGTTTCACATTTATTCACTGCCTGAGTCACTTCAAGAGAACATGGCTAAACCTAGAATGGGTGCTTCATAAGTAACTGTTGGTAATTTGAAGGTGTATGCTTTAAGTTCTTTAGGAACCAAACTGGGAAAGACAAAGGAACACACTAGAAAGTAGAAAACAATGACAAACCATATGTATGCTAATTTGTTGTCATTAGGTGATAGTGATGTACCTTTTGGGTAAGATTATGTTTTTAAAATATCAACCATTTCTTCCCAAGAGTTTATTTTTCTCCTTATCCTTACCTTCATTGAACAGCTAAACAATTCTCTGCTCATTTTGCTTTGGCAGACAGCAAACAACAGAAACAGCATAAAGCAGTGGGGAGCAAAAGGCTTCTCATCTTGGCATTTAAGTTTCAAAAGCCTAGCAAAGGGCTCACAACACAGACAAATAATATTTGTGAGAAAGCAAAGATTACTCCAACTATTCCTCCACAAGAACAGAAAAAGATTTCCCAGGATGAGAGAACTAAGGAAAGTTGGAGAGGAAATAATGAGAATATAAATGTCAAATGATCCCAGAGAAGGGTCCAGAAACAAAAGTTACATAGGTTTTTGGTTTCCAAGAGATAGAGAATTTGGGCCTCATTTTTAAGTAAATCCCTTGGGAAACAATAAGATACACCAGAGAAAAAATGGCTTACATGTGTTCAGGCAGAAGGGGCCATAGACTGTGTCACAGAAATTTACTACACCTCATCATGGTGCAGGAACAGCTGAGTAATTCACATGAGCACAATAGTAACATGAAAATAGCAGAAAAAACCAATCAACCTAAAGGAGCAATGAGGGTAACAGCAAGGAGTATCTTTCCTGATGGTGTCTACGGACACTTGATGAAGGCTCAGATGGGACTATGGACATCTCAGCAGACGCCTATATGAGCAGATGATATTGAGGATATAGTAGATCACCTCCCAATATCTTGGCACTAAATGAGTTCTCCACCTACCCCTCAATAACTTAGATGCAACCCACAGGAAAAAAGTGTGATAGCCCCAAACTGACTACAATTAAGTTTTCAAACTCTGTTGGAATGAAGATTCTAAGTTGAAATTTATCAGAAAATAAAATTTCATTTCTTGTACACATTAGTTTGTGGACTGAGATTCATGCCTGTATATCTGCAAGCATACGTAAAACAAAATACAGGCTAAAAACATTAAAATTCGGGGTGGACAAGCCATTTATTCTATAAATATTTATTCATTGGTCACTATGGCTTTAGTTAGGGGATGGTGAGGGGAACATAATGGAAGGAAGATTTTGTGGAAATTAATAGAGCCTTAACAAAAGAGTTGAATTTTCAAAGGCAGGGCAAGGTAGTAGATAAGGAAACAGAAAGGAAACTCTAGCATAGGAAGCAAATGATAGCCACATTCTTATTTAACTTTATGTTAAAATATTGCTTCTCAAACATTAGTGCAAGAGAAAAGCACCCAGTCACATATAAAGAGAACCCAAACTAACAGTGGATTTCTCAGCAGAAATCTTACAGTCCAGAAGATAACGAGATGGCATTTTCAAAGTGTTGAAAGAACAACAATAACAAAAAATCTGCTAGTCGAACATTAGTGCAAATAAGAAACAGCTTTCATGATTTTGTTTCACAATTCAACACTCAGACCCCACTACCAGACATTTTGACTCCATGGGTATTGAGAAAGCTCAACAAACTTTTTCTGCAAAGGACAATATAGTAAATATTTTAAGATTTTCTGATCATGTAGGCTTTCTTACAACTACCCAATTCTGCACTGTGGTGTGAAACCAGCCATAAATAATACATAAGTGAAAAGGTATGTCTGTGTTCCAATAAAACTTTATTTGCAAAAAACAGGCAACAGCTTGGATTTGGACCACAGGCCACAGTTTGCTAACCCCTGCTCTTAAGCAAGGTCTGACACTTGTAATTTTAAAAAGTTGTACAAGTGATTCGAACGCTTAGCGAAAACTATTGGAAAAACACTGAATTAGAACATAATTTTCCAGAAAGCTTTGATTTGAATACAAATAGGTTACCTATGAGGGGTTAGCGCATTAATCCTTACCAAAGTTGTAACTTAAAAAACACAAAATTGGGACAAAATACACATGGGTCTCAGAGGAGAATAGCAAAAATGTTATGCAGAAATCCCAAGTTAAATATTACCAAATAGAATTCTGTAGTACATTAAAAAGCATAAGCAATCAGAACTAAGTGGAGCTAATTCAAAGAATACCAAGATATTTCATACACTTTGACCCCCAAATTTAATCATTCACAGGAGACTATATGCTTTAATTTGCATAGAATGTCTCTGGAAAAATATACAAGAAATGGTTAACAAGTGGTTGCCTCTAGGGAGAGGAATTTGTTGACTGAGAAACAGGGTTGAGAAGGAGCCTTGTTGTATATACCATACTTTGAGGCTTTAGGATTTTACATGATGTGCAAATACTATACATTAAAAATAAGTAATTATTATAATTTTTAAAATTGTACCGCATTAATTGATTCATTTAGCAAATCTTTATTGGCCTCTTCCCTGGGGACATAACAATAAACAAGATATCCAGCAGAGGAAACCATTAAGCAAACAATTCAGAAAATGTGGCCTGAGTGCCACATTTTTCCAGATTCCACCATCAGAAATTCTGATCCAACTGGGGGAGTGGGGGCAGATGATCAGTATGTTTTTAAAAACTCCTAAGGTGATTCTAACTATACTAGTCATATTTGAGGACTTCTTAATTTAAATAAATATGATTTGCTGGTGGAAAAGCCTAGAGAGAATCTTAATTGCATCTGAGGCTGACACTTCTCCAGAGGACATGACAGGTGCATGGTGTCATCTTTTATAACAGTGAGGCAGGGGGTCAAGGAGAGAATGAATGTCACAAACCTAGAAAGTCTGTTGAAATAACTTAGCTACAATAAAAATCTTACCAATATCCAGACATATGAAACATGCATTAAAAAAAGAATTAAACAAACACTAAACTTCTCTTCTTCAACACTGGAAGTTGGAAGACATGGGAACAATATATACACATGTTTGGGGAGAAGAGATTTAATCAAATATTCATGCATGAGAATAAAAGAAAAAAAATAAGTAAGGACGTGATTGAGTTTAGAAAGTAGGACACTCAGGTATTCTTTATAAGTAAAATACTCAAAGAGAACATTTTTCCAAATGAAAATTATAGTACACCAAAGAACTCAAATATAACACATCAAAGAATTTAAAATTTTTAATTCAAAAAAATTTGTAGGTAGATAATGGTAATATAAAAATAATTTGTAATATAAATGCTAAGAAAAATATATTGAGCTATAACTTCCTTCTTGTAAAGGTAAATATAATCTTACCCTGGAAAAAAATATTATTTTAACAAAATGTGGGATTTTGTTGAGGAAAGAAGGAGTGAGGATTTAAAAGCTTTGTAAATGTCTCACTTTTAGTAAGAAGTTAGTTGGAACATTGCAGTAAAACATTTTGGGGGTTGGAAAGCATAACATTTAATTTTGGCATTTTGATAGAAGAATTTAGCTTTAAATACTACAAAATTGTAGAAATGTAGTACTAGAAAAATAGAGAATGTATAACAGCAAAGAATGAATTTTTCTCAATCTGAAAAATCCAGCAAATATAAGAAACAGTAACTGAGCAAATAATTCCAGCCTAACAGTAAGCACAAAATGAGAAAAAAGGAAAAATACAAGTATGTCAGTACGACAAATGTAAATGGGGTTGAACTCCCTGTAAAAGAAATTCTCAGACTGAATTATGAAATAAATGTTGAAAATAAAGAAATAAGCAAAAATATATCAGGCAAATATAAACAAAAAGCATGTAAGAGTAGTGATATTGGTATCAGAAAATGGAAATTAAAGTGAAAACTATTAAATGGTACAAAGAGAAACATTTTGCAACTGATTTATTCATTGAATACCTACTATGTGTCAGGCATTCTGTTAGGACAAGGAAGAAACAATAACCAAACAGAATAAAAGAACTGTTCTTGAGGACCATGTTCTACAGTAGAAGAAAAATATTAAACAAAAAAGTAACTTATTTGGTATATTAGAACATGAAAAATGCTATAAACAGAAATTTTAAAAGTGGGCAAAAGTAGTAGGGAATGCTTCAGATGGGATAGGAGAAGCTGATTTGAGAAAGTAACATTTGAGCAAGCACTTTAAAAGGCATAATGGTAAAAAAAGCTAAGAAGATATAATATGTAATAGTTAAATCTTTATGCACCAAACAATATACCAGCAAAAACTCCCAGGAGTTTATATGTATATATATACATACATAATAGAGAATGTTAATAGATGTCTTTTAGAATATGACAGATCAAGAAGGGAAAAATTAGTAAGGACATAGGGATGAGTCATTCAATCAAAAATTTTCCTTTCAAAGAATATATGTTTTCCTCTTATGGCTAAGGAACATTTATAATAATCAACCCTGTATTTGACACAAAGGAACCTTAATAAATTCATACAGTAAAGGTTTTTTGTTTGCTTGTGGTTTTATTGAGCTGTAATTGCCAAATAATAAATAGTACATTTAAAGTATAAAACTTGATGAACTTTGACATATGTATACTCTCATGAAACCATCACTACAATCCAGATAATGAATGCATTCACCATCCCCAAAGGTTTCTTTGTGCCCTTTATAACCCATTCCTCCCTTCCCCCAATCCATATTCAGACAACCAGTGATCTAATTTTTGTTGCTACAGATTAGTGTACATTTCCTAGAATTTTATATACAGGGAATCATTCAGCATGTACTCCTATTTTTGACTTGCTTCTTTCACCTCAGCATAATTATTGTTAATTTCACTCATGCCATGCATATATCAATAATTTTTGTTTCTTCTCATTGTTGAATGCTATTTTCATTGCATGGATGTATCACAATTTATCCATTCAGTTGCTGATGGACATGCTTTGTTTCCATTTTTGGCTATTTTATATAAAGCTGCCATGAACATTTATGTACAATGTACAAAGTTTTCATAGAATATGCTCTCATTTCTCTGGAGTAAATACCCAGGAATAGAAATGGAATGGCTGAGTCAAATTGTAGGTATAACATGGATGGATGGATAGATAGATAGATAGATAGATAGATAGATAGATAAATAGATAATTTCAATTGATAAGTAATAATTGTGCATATATATATTTCTGAGGCACAATATGATGTTCTGATATATGTAAACATTGTGAAATAATTAAAAAGAGCTAATTAACACATCTAACATCTTACCTACTTACTTTTGTGCTGAGAACACTTAAAAATTTATTCTTTTAGCAATTTTGGAATATATAACGTATTATTATTAATTGCAGTCACCATGCTGTGCAAGAGACCACCAGAACTTATTTCTCCTGTCTAACTGAACCTTTGTATCTTTTGACATCTCCCCTTTCCTCATCCCTCTCCTCAGCTTCTGGTAACCACCATTCTACTTTCTACCTCTATGAGTTCAACTTTTTTAGATTCCACATGTAAGTGAGATCATACACTATTCATCTTTCTGTGCCTGGCTTATTTACTTAGCATAATGTCCTCTACGTTCATCCATGTTGTCTCAAATGATAGAATTTCCTTCTTATAAGGCTGAATAATATTCCACTGGGTGTATATACCACATATTCTTTATTCATTGACAAACATTTACGTTGATTCCATATCTTAGCTCTTGTGAATAATGCTGTAATTAACATGCAAATGCAAATATCTTCAATATACTGATTTCAATCCCTTTGAATATATACCCAAAAGTGGGATTGCTTTAATTCTGTTTTTAGTTTTGTAAGGAACCTCCACACTGTTTTCCATAATGGCTGTACTAATTTGCATTCCCACCAACAGCATACTAGCATTCCCTTTTCTTCATATTCTTGCCAACATTTGTCTTCCATCTTTTTTATAATAACCATTCTAATAGGTGTGAGGAAGTATTTCATTGTGGTTTCAATTTGTACTCACCTGATGATTAGTGATCATATGATGCTGAGCACTTATTTGTACATCTTTTGGCCATTTGTGTGTATTCTTTTGAGAAATATCTGTTCAGGTCCTTTGCCTATTTTTAATTGGGATATTTGTTTTCTTGCTACTTACTGAATTATAGAGTTATATTTTGGATATTAGCCTTCTAATCATATGTACGATTTGCAAATATTTTATCCCAATTCATGAGTTGTCTCCTCACTCTTTTAATTGTTCCCTTTACCGTGTAGAAGTTTTTTAGTTTATGCAACCTCTTATGTATATTTTTGCTTTTCTTGCCTGTGCTTTTAGGTTCATATCCAAATCACCACCCATACCAATGTCATAAAGCTTTCCCCCTATATTTTCTTCTAGTTTTTACCATTTCAAGTCTTACACTTAAGTCTTTAATCCATTTTAGGTGATTTTTTCATACAGTGTGAGATAAGGGTCCAATTTCATTCTTCTGCATGTAGATATCCAGTTTTCCCAACATCATTTATTGAGAAGACTGTCCTTTCCATACTGTGTATTCTTGGCACCTTCATTAATTCAATTGACCATAAGTGGGAAAACTTATTTCTGCATTTTTTATGCTGTTCCATTGGTCAATGTGTCTGGTCTTATGCCAGTACCATGTCGTTTTGCTTACTATAGCTTTGTAGTATAGTTTGAAATTGAGTAGTGTGATGCATGTCTCTAGCTTTGTTCTTTTTGCTCAAGATTGCTATTGCTATTCAGAGTCTTTTGTAGTTCAAAGAAAAGCCCAGGACCTCATGGCTTCATGGCTAAATTCTACCAAACTTTTAAAGAAGCACTAATACCAAACTTTCTCAAAATCTTCCCAAAAAATGAAGAAGAAGGAATGCTTCCAAATTCATTTTATGAGGCCAGCATTACCCTAATATGAAAGCCAGACAACACCACTAAAAGAAAAGAAAATTAAGCCAGGTACAGTGGCTCATGTCTGTAATCCCAGCACTTTGGGAGGCTGAGGCAGCCAGATCATTTGAGGCCAGGACTTCAAGACCAGACTGACCAACATGGTGAAATCCGAACTCTACTAAAATACACAAAATTAGCTGGGCATGGTGGTGGGTGCCTGTAATCTCAGCTACTTGGGAGGCTGAGGCAGGAGAATCGCTTGAAGCCAGGAGACGAAAGTTCCAGTGAGCCAAGATCACGCCACTGCACACCAGCCTGGGTGACAGAGTGAGACTCTGTCTCTAAATAAATAAATAAATAAAATTAAGAGAAAAGAAAATTACAGGCCAATATCCCTGATAAACCTAGATACAAATATCCTTCAACAAAATACTGGCAAACTAAGTTCAACAGCACATTTAAAGAATTATTCACTTTGATCAAGTGGGATTTATCCCTGTTATACAAAGATGATTCAACATACAGAAAACAAAACATGTGCTATACCATGTTAACAAAATAAAAGACAAAAACTGCATGATCATCTCAATAGAAGAAGAAGAGCATTTGACAAAAGTCAGCACCTTTTCATGATAAAGTTCTCTCAACAAATTAGGTATAGAAGGAACATACCTCAACAAAATAAAGACTGACAAGTTCATAGCTACCATCATACTCAGTAGTAAAAGTTGAAATGTTTTCCTCTAAGATCAGAAACAAGGCAAGGATACCCTCTTCCAACCACTTCTATTCACCATACTGCTAGAAGTCCTAGCCAGAGCAATTAGTCAAGAAAAAAAATTAAAGGCGTCCAAATTAGAAAGAAAGAAGTAAAATTATCTCTGTTCACAGAGGATATAATCTTATACATAGAAAACTCAAAAGTGTCCACCAAAAGACTGCTAGAACTAATTTAAAAAATCAGCAAAGTAGCAGGATACAAAGTCAACACACAAAACTCAGTAACATTTCTATATACTAACAATGAATAATCTGAAAAGGAAATTAAGAAAACAATTTATAATAGCATCAAAAATGCTTACAAATAAACTTAAGCAAGAAAGTGAAAGACTTGTACAATGAAAACTACAAAACAATGCTGAAAGAAAATAAAGAGAAAAATAAATGGTGAAGGAAAAAATGTTTTCTCTACTCAGAAGACTTCTGACACCATATGTATGGGTTTCTTTCCCCACACCAAGCAATCCTCCAATTCTCTGCAGACAGCAACTGGGTACCCAGTGATTTAATTCAATTCTGACACTAGCTACCCAGAGTTAGTGTCAGACCCACACAAGTCAAGTACTCAGTCCCACTAGACTGCCTCCGACTTCATATGCCAATTACAAGTATTAGGCCCCCAGGTTACCCACACTTAATTGGTTACAAATCAGGGATCCCCATGACCCCTCCTCAGGTTTGATAATTTGCTATAGCAGCTCACAGAACTTAGGGACTTACTTGTGATTTCTGGTTTATTAAAAAGGATATTATAAATGGTACAAATGAACAGCCAAATGAGGAAATACATAGGGTGAGGTCTGGAAGAGTCCCAAGCACAGGAACTTCTGTCTCTGTGGAGTTTGAGGTTCACCACACTCTCAGCATGTGAGTGCATTCATCAACACAGAAGCTCTCTGAATCTTGTTTTTCAGGGATTTTATGAAGATTGCATTACATAGATGTGATTGATTAGATCATTGGCCATTGGTGATTTAATTCAATCTCCAGACCCTCTCTCCTCCCCGGAGGTATGGGGAGTCAAGGTAAAAGTTTCAATTTTCTAATCACCTGGTTAGTTCCTCTGGCAACCAGCATCCTTCCCAAAGCTATCCAGGGGCCCAGTCACCAATTATCTCATTAGTATACAAAGACAATTTATTACTCTGGAGATTCCAGAGGTCTTAGAAGCTCTTGTATCAGAAGCCAAGAATGAAGACAAAATGTTATAACAAAAGATACTGCTATCACCCCATCACTCAAGAAATTGCAAGTTTTAGATACTCTGTGTCAGGAAACAAGGGAAGAGACCAATATACACTGTCACAAATGGAAAGGCTTCCCATATTTAATGGCTCGGAAAACTTAATGTTAAGATTCCAGTGCCACCCAAAGCAATCTACAGATTCAGTGTAATCCCATTCAAAATCCCAATTATATTTTTTTCCAGAAATAAGAAATCAATCCTAAAACTTTTATGGAATTTCAAGGTACCAGGAATAACCAAAACAATCTTGAAAATAAAGAACAAAATTGTAGCACTCACACTTACTTATTTCAAAAGTTACCAGAAAGCTACAGTTATTGTAACAGTATGGCACTGGAATAAAGATAGACATATAGATCAATTAATAAAATAGGGAACCCAGAAATAAATCCTCACATATATGATCAAATGATCTTTGACAAGTGTTCTAGGACCATTTAAGAGGGGACAAGAGAGTCTTTTCAACAAAAGGTGCTGAGAAAACTGGATATCCACATGCAAAAGAATAAAGTCAGACCCTTAACTAATATTATGTACAATTTTTGTACATAGCTAATCTTTAATTCAAAATGGATCAAAGACTTAAATATAAGAGCTAAAACCATTAAACTCTTGGAAGAAAATAGGCGAGAGCTTTACAACATTGCATTTGGCAATGATTTCTTGGATATGACACCAAAAGTACAAGTAAGTAAGGCAAAAATAAACAAACTAAAAATGATAAAAACTAAAAACTATTATGCATCAAAGAATACTATCAACATATTGAAAAGGCAATCTGGGCAATGGTATAAAATATCTGCAGATCATATGTCTGCTAACGAATTCATATCCAGAATATACAGAGAACACTAAAACTCAACAACAAAAACAAAACCCCAAACAATCCAACTAAAAATGGGCAAAAAACTTGAATAGACATTTCTCCAAAGAAGATATATTAATAGCCAATAGGTCCTTGAAAAGATGCTCAACATTAGTAATCATTAGAAAACTACAAATAATAACCACATTGAGATAACACATTACATCCATTAGTGTGGCTACTATTAAAAAAAACATGAAATAAGTGTTGATGAGGACATGGAGAAATTGGAACCCTTATGCACTGTCGAGGGGACTGCAAAATGATATGGGCACTGTGGGAAACAATATAGTGGTTCCTCGAAAAATTAAAATAAAATTGCCATTCCACCTGGCAATTTTACATCTAGGTATATACCCAAAAGGATTGAAAGCAGAGTCTTGAAAGAGATATTTGTATACACATGTTTATAGCAGCATTATTTACAATAGCTAAAGTACAGAAGCAACCCAAGTGTCTATCAACAGATGAATAAACAAAATGTGGTATATAGACACAGTAGAATACTATTCCACCTGTAAAATGGAAGAAAAATTTCACATATGCCATAATATGGATGAACCTTGAATACATTATGCTAAGTGAAATAAGTCATTCACAAAAAGACAAATATTGTATGATTCCACTTATATGAGATGCAGAGTAGTTGAATTTTTGGAGAGAAAAAGCAGAATAGTAGTTGCCAGGAGCTGTGAGGAAGGAGTAATGGAGGACTATTTTTTAACGAATATAGAATTTCAGCTTTGCAAGATGAAAAGAGTTCCAGAGATGCATGGTGGTGATTGTTGCAAAATTATATGAATGTACTTAATATCACTTAACTGTACACTTAAAAATGGTTACAATGGTAAATTTTATGTTATGTGTATTTTATCACAATTTTAAAAATTGAAAGAAAAAAAGGAACCCTTTTTAAAAGACATAGATATGTATAAAATTGTACTCCAAAGAATACTAGTGCCTAAAATATCTTCATTATTAAAAAGAATACTTGAAATAATTAAGTTAGTTATCCAACTTAATAAACTGGAAAAAGAACAACAATAAAAATGAAAACAAATAGAGCAAGGAACTAATAAAGATAGAAGTTGAAAAAGAAAGCAAATCAAAATGAAATTTCTCCAAAATTTGAATGATAAACAAGCAACAATACTGACACCTTCAAAAAACAAAATAGATAAATCCTGATTAGGACAAAAAGGGAACAGCTGAAATATACAACTTTAGATGGGAGAAAGAAGAGGAAGTGCAAATATTGAAGAGATTTAAAAATTCTAAGATGATGTGGCAGATGAAATATTTGGCAATAAATTTAAAACTCTAAATGTAGGTAAGCAAATTTTATATAAAGAAAAATTTTGAAAAAACAATAGAAAAATTGAAAAAAAAACTATTATAGATATACCATTTTTAAATGACCCCAGTCCCAGATGATTTAAAGATGATAGATAATTTGGACTTTATCAAAATTTATTTTTGTGTATCAGAGGACATCATCAACAAAGTAAAAAGCCCATGGAATGGAAGAAAACATTCACAAATCACATATCTGATCAGAGCCTCATATCCAGAATATATAAAGAACTCCCACAGCTCCACAACCAAAAGACAAAAACCCAATTTAAAGTGGGCAAGTAACTTGGATAGATATCTCTCTAAAGAAGACTCACGAATGGTCAAGAAACACATGAAAAAGATAATACTACCAATTTCCAAGAAAATGCAAATCAAAATCACAGTGAGGCACCACTTCACATCCACTGTAGGATGGCTATAATTTTTTGCAGTATCAAAAACTACTAGTGCTGAGGAAGATGTAGAGAAATTGGAACCCTTCTGCACTCCTGGTGGGAATGCAAACAATGCAGCCACCATGGAAAACAGCCTGGTGGCCCCTCAGAAACATCAAACACAGAACCACCACATGACCCACAATGTCACTCCAAGGCATATATCCCAAAGAATTGAAAACAAAAACTGAATGTCCGCCGGAACACCAGCTACAATAGTCCAAAAGTGAATACAACCAAAACGTCCATCAACAGATGAAAAACAAAATGTGGTAAATTCCCACAATGGAACACCATTAAGCCACAAAAAAAGTATGAAGTGTTAATACATGTGAAAATATGGATGAACCTCAAAAAGTTATGCCAAG
The DNA here is from genome assembly GCF_000001405.40 of Homo sapiens. Taxonomy (NCBI): domain Eukaryota; kingdom Metazoa; phylum Chordata; class Mammalia; order Primates; family Hominidae; genus Homo; species Homo sapiens. The sequence continues at coordinate 123,153,056 of NC_000023.11, forward strand.
TAAAAAACAGTCACAAGAAGTCACACATAGCATGAATAATGTCTATGTTTTTAAAAATTGGAATACAGAGTGTGGAAAACTTCCCAACTTATTTCACCAAATTTTCACAACCTAAATACAAAATATTTACAAACATACAAAAAGAGAAAAAATGTTCATCACACAAATACAAAAATTTTAAATAAAATCACTTTAAAAATCCTGTAGTTTATGAAAGACATTAAGAAATTAACAAAATGGTTTATATTTTAAAATTTTAAAGAGAAAATCCATGTAATTAGGTCAACAAATAATAATTAAAAGATGTTACATTCTGCAGCCACTCCAGATAAAAACTACAAAGAATGAAACAGAGAGGTGATACAGTATTTAAGGCAAAAATATCAGAACCTAACTACATGTGTTTGAATCTCAGCTCCAGTAATTCCTAGCTGTGAAGGTAATTTTGTGCCTCAAGTTCCCTAACTTTAAAGTAATATTAATAATGGTTATTTTATGAGTTGATATGTGTAAGACACTTAAACTAGTACCGCTTTTCAGAAAGACAGTATGGTATAGTAGCTGCCTAGTTTCAAATCCAAGTTCACCACCATGAGCTGTGTTACTTTGGGAAAGTTACTTACCCTCCCTATTCCTCCATTTTTTCTTTCTCTATAAAACAGGAATAATTAAAAACCTATATCTGTAAAATAAGAAAAATAATAAACCTACTTCTTGTTTTTGTTTTTTCAAGACAGATTCTTGCCCTGTCGCTCAGGCTGGAGTGCAGTGGCACAATCCTGGCTCACTGCAACCTCCACCCCCCAGATTTAAGCAATTCTCCTACCTCAGACTCTGGAGTAGCTGGGATTACAGGCACTCGCCACCTGTAATTTTTTATATTTAGTAGATATGGGGTTTCACTATATTGGGCAGGCTGGTTTCAAACTCCTGACCTCGTGATCCCCCCACCTTGGACTCTCAAAGTGCCGCGATTGCAGGCGTGAGTCACCACGCCCAGCTGCATAAACATACTTCTAATAAACTGACTGTTTAGGATTATTGTGAAGATTAAGTTAAAGCTAAAAGCACTTAGGCCACTGCCTGGTAGATGTTAAGAGTCATTATGAAAACACATGCGCTTCTGGGATTACCTCTCCCTGGTTCCAGTCTCTATAGCAACCTGCCAGAAATTCCAGCCAACTTTGGTAGTTCAAAAACTATGATCTCTGCCTCTACTGCCCAGGGAGGGCACCATTCCCTGCTACATTGGGAAATATACCCAGGGTATATTCACTTGGGTGAATATTAGGCTTGAATCATATACTTCCTCTATCTCTCTCAAAGTTTGCAGTCCTACTTTGATTACTGTCAAATGCCTTAAATAGTTGTTTTATATATTTTGTCAAGTTTCTATAGTTGTTCATGGCAGGAGAATAAGCCTGAGACCAGCTACTCCCTCATGGTCAGAACTGGACATGACAGGAACATTTTTAAAAAATTGATGACACAGTGTGCTTTTGAGTTTGTTGGGAACTAGGTATTCTTTGACACTGTGGGTGGAGCTGTAAACAAATATTAGTTTTTTGAAATAATGCCTGGGTGCAGTGGCTCACACCTGTAATCCCAGCAGTTTGGGAGGCCGAGGCAGGCAGACCACCTGAGGTTGAGAGTTCGAGACCAGCCTGACCAACATGGAGAAACCCCGTCTCTACTAAAAATACAAAATAGCCAGGCGTGGTGGCGCATGCCTGCAATCCCAGTTACGCGGGAGGCTAAGGCAGGAGAATCACTTGAACCCGGGAGGCGGAGGTTGCGGTGAACCGAGATCGTGCCATTGCACTCCAGCCTGGGCAACAAGAGCAAAAGTCCTTCTCTAATAATAATAATAATATGACATTTATTGCATTTATTGTGACAGACTTTCTAAGCACTTTATATAAACATATTATCTCATTTAATCTTCACAACAGACATGAGATAGATATTTCCTGATTATAGAAGAGGAAACTGATTAAGACAGAGGATATTAAATAACTTGCCCATGGTTACACAGCTAGTAATTGGTGGAATGAAGATTTGAAACCTGACCCTTTTATTCCGGAGCCTATGCTCTCAACCACTGCGTTATACTGCCAATCTGGAAAAATTTATTAAAATTAAAATATGCATAACTTTTGACCCAGCAATCCTACTTCTGAGAATGCATCCATCAGACATTAAAGCACTAGTATTAATATATCAAGATATATGTGTAAATTTGTTTATTGAAGCATTTGTAACAATTTAAAAATAAACTGGAGACAACTTGAATGGCCATTGATGAGGGAATGGTTTAATAAATTACAGTATATTTGTACATACTATGGAATACTATATGGCTCACAAATGAGATTAATCAATATGTATTGAATTGAAAATGCACATGACTTACTAAGAGTAGGAAACAAATTACAGAATACTGGGGATAGTGTGACTCAAAAATGACTCACCTAATTTATGTCTCCGGCTCAGACCTCTTCCCCAAACTTCAGACTTTCTACTCAACATTTCCTCTTGAAGTCTCAAAAGCACTGCAGATTCAATATGTCCAAAACTGAACTTAAAGCTTTCTTTCTCCAAACCTAGTTGCTTCCACTCCCTCCTTTCCTAGTGGATGGCACCATCAGACATCCATATTTGTAAAGCAGAAGCCCAGGACTCATCTTTGACATTCCCCTCTCCTTCACATCAATTTTACCACCAGCACACCTCCCCCACACTACACACATATCCAATCATTCACTAATTTCTGTTGATTTTACAACCTTAATGTACTGCCAATAGATCTACTTCTCATTATATGCATCACCATCACGTGGGGTCAAATTACCAATACCTCCCACTTGGATTGCTAAAATCTTCTAACGCAGGTTGTTTCTTCATATTCACTCTAGTCCACGGTAATTCATCCCCCATCCTGCATTCTGAAAAGAGAGAGCTGTAAATTTGGAAAGCTTTTGCCCTAATTGCTCTTGAGCAGACACAAAATAGTGCAGCAGTGTCATAATCACAGCCTAAAGAATTCAATTGCCTTTTGTTATCAAGAGTAACAATGGCTTTAGTATTTAGGAAACATTTTGAGTAAAAAATCCCCTTCCCCTTATACATTGTATCTTGTGCCACAGAGCACAGGAAATGTAACAATAAAATGAACTTTAAATTCTTCCCGAAAGTTTATCCTTGGCGTGTTGATGCCATAGGGAAATGAAAGAGTTTCTTTCTAGGGAGTTCCTCCAGCAACCATGCCATGTTATTTATCTCCCCATTTTAGCTACCACCTCATAAGTATTGCAGTAGAAAAAGATTCTGCTTGCTTTCTACTCATCTTGTGTGATTAGTTTTCTAGCCTGAAAGACCATAAGGACCCAAACTCCTCCAATTAGCCTGGACTTCTGCTGTTTTCAATTTCCAAATTCTTCCTGGTGCTCCTGACTAGGGCCCCAATACTCTTAGGCTCAGATCCTTCACCTGAATCTCCACTCACTGGTTAGAATCCTGCTACCAACAGGCAGATCTCCCAAATGCACCTACCTGCCTGCTAACTCCTGAGGACCTAATGTCATGTGTTGCCCTCTACCCTTTTAACATGTGCTAACATAATAGTGCACACTCTGGTGTTGACTGTTGGTTGAGGCCTACTGAGATAGTTATTCCTCCAAGCCAAGCCCAGCCTCAGAATTCTAGAAAGTTTGCTCAGTGACTGCTCTTCACCAGTGGGTGGGTTTTGTGCCAAATCTTGGGATTTGACAGTGGTTTCCAGATGTGAAGCACTCCTCAAGCCTCTGAAATACTGGTGAGCTCTGGGGAAGGAGACAGGAGACACCATTTCTCAATTAAGTGGATCAATCTCTATAAAGCAGTCTATTTAAAATTCAAAAAACCTCTGACTTTTTGACATAGCCAATAAAATATTAATGATAACTCAATATATACAATACTGTTTTGCATTTGTCATACAATGTTTTTACTTCTTCCAAACATTTGCATATTGTCATTTTTATTTGCACCTGCCATTTTATCAGATCTCATAAGCATCTTAGAGGATAAGTAGAATAGGTGTTAAGGTGTTAAGTGAATTATAAACTTCTTAAGAACATGGACTGCCTCTTGCATTATGTGAATCCTCTCTACTATCCAGTACAGTGATTTGGTACAGGGTGCTCAATAGGTAATAATCAATTTTATATTTTCCCACTTTATAGATTCAGAAAGCAAGTATCAGAGATGTTAAACAACACATTTAAGGTCCCACAACCAGTTAGTTATACTCCTCATTCTAGGCCCAGTGCCCATTCCATTAGACCAGTGGTTTTCGTATTGTGTTCCATGGAAATCTTGGAGGTCCATAGAGTTGTGCAGGCAGTATGAGGGGGAGGCAAAGTGGAGAGCACATAACTGCTTCAATCAGAATATCTTTACATTTATCCATTTTACATATTAAGATTTGTGTCACATTTTACCTAAATCAATGACTGTGCTACTATGTTTTTTAAGAATAATCATTTACCCATGCTAATTTGTAATGTCTTTTGTGGTGAAAAATAGTATTCGCTTGATGGATGAAATTGAAATGAAGTAGGTGAAGAGAGAAAGCGGAAAACAATAGCAGTAGAATCAGTTAAAGCTGGTAGTTATGAATAAAACTCAGGTCCCCAGATGTTTAGGTGCTTGGCAGGGCAAGCACATTGCACAACTCCTGTTGGCACCATTTACACAGAATGTAGCAATTATGCCCCAAGGATAGGGACTCAATATACCTAGGAAAGCACTCATGAAAAATGTCTCTGAATCCTGATAGATACTCAGAATATACAATACAGTTTTTTTCACACCATACACAGTTAATAAAAACTATTGTTAAGGGTTTCGGGATGATTACTACTACTATTTTGGAGTCCAACCACCTAGCAGGTTTTGTTGCCTTAGTTACTATTAGGCTTTTTAAGCTCAAAAGGGGACGAGAGAAAAGAAGTATGTTTATGAGTGGGGGCTGAACAAGAGTAAAGTATTAATACTGGTGTGTCACTGCAAAAACAAGTACAGAAGACACAAATAGGCAATTCACAAAATAAGAATGGCCAAAAAGCACGCAAAAATGCTCAATCTCACTATTAAGCAATGAAAAATACAAGTAAAACCAAGTGATATTTTGAGAAAATTAGCAAAAAAAAGTGGATAATAGCCATAATTGGTAAGATTCTGGGAAATGTACACTCTTGCACATTGCTTGTAGGAAGATAAATTGATTTTTTAAATTCTGGAGGAAAATTTAACAATAAATAGCAAAGTAGGGCCAGTTGCACTGGCTCAAATCTATAATCCCAAAACTTTGGGAAACTGAGGCAGGAGGATGGTTTGAGGCCAGGACATCAAGACAAGCCTGAGCAACATAGTAAGGCCCCATCTCCACAAAAAATTTAAAAAAAAGAGCCAGACATGGTAGCACCTACTTGAAAGGCTGAGGTGGGAGGATTACTTGAGGCTGGGAGCTAGACACTAGCCTGGGCAACATAGTGAGATCCCCACCTCAACAAAAATAAAATAAATTAGCTGAGTGTGGTGGCATGTACCTGTGGTCCCAGCTACTTGGGAAGCTAAGGCAGGAGGATCACCTGAGCCCAGGAGTTCAAGGCTGCAGTGAGCTATGATCACACCAGTCCACTGCAGCCTGGGTGACAGAGTGAGAACCCGTCTCAAAAAAAATGAGCTGGGTGAGGTAGCTGATGCCTGTAATACCAACAGTTTGGGTGGCTGAGGTGGAAGTCTCATTTGATGCCAGGAGTTCAAAGCCAGCCTTGGCAACATAGTAAGACCCCATCTCTACAAAAGTAAAATAAAATAAGTTAGCCGGGTATGGTGGCACATGCCTGTGGTCCCAGATACTCAGGAGGCTGAGGCACAAGGATCCCTTGAGCCCAGGAGTTGGAGGCTGCAGTGAACTGTGATCACACTGCTGCACTCCAGCCTAGGTGATGGAGCAAGAGCTCATCTCTTTTAAAATAAATGTAGCAAAGGTATTCACATTCTGCATTTCTTTTGACTCTAGTAATTTATCCTGTAGAAAGAATCATAAATGAGAACAAAGATGTATGCAAATGAGTCTTCACTGCAGTGTAACTTGCCATAGAAATATTGGAACCAGTTTAAAGAGAGGATTGATTAAACAAATTATTGCATATATACAGCTATTAAAAAGCATCTTATAGGAGAATATTTATTGGCATATGTTTTAGTCCATTTTGTGTTGCTTTGAAGGAATACCTGACACTGGATAATTTATAAAGAAAACAGGTTTATTTGGCTAACAGTTCTACAGGCTGTACAAGATGTGTAGAGCCAGGCTCTGCTTCTGGTGAGAGCCTCAGACTGTTTCTACTTATGATGGAAGGTAAAGGAAAGCCTGGGTGTGTGCAGCAATCACATGGTGAGAGAAGAAGCAAGACAGAGAGGAAGGAGGTGCCAGGCTCTTTTTAACAACTACCTCCCAGGAAAACTAATAGAGAACTCATTCGCCCCTGCAAGACAGCATTAATCTATTCATGAGAGATTCCCCATGACCCAACACCTCCCATTAGGCCCCACCTCCACCATTGGGATCAAATTTCAACATGAGGTTTGCGGGGACAAACATCCAAATTATAACAGCATGGAAAAAATTTTAATACACTATTTTAAAAATACATTGCGTTTAAAAGGAGGTTGCACAACGGTATATTGAGCATGAGTTTTTAAAATATGCATGCTTCTGGTAATCATTAGGACTGTTCATATCTCTCATGCTCCCCTTCAAGGGACATTATATGATTGTGTATTCCTATCCCTTCTGACATTAGGCACAGCCATATGATGTAACTGGGCAATGTATTCCTATCCCCTCTGACATTAGGCACAGTCATATAATGTAACATTCCATGTGAGTGGAATGTTTAAGGGCCAGTGCTTAATTTGCCACATGCCCCTTTTCTTGCCTTATTGATCACGGAAGCATTTGTTGAGAAAGGACTTTAGTCACACTGGGTCCTTAAGTGACTACAGTGAGCAGAGACCCCTTGCCCATGTATATTGGACAATGTAGCATGAGCAGGAAAAATAGCTTATATTGTGTGAAGCCACTGAGATGCTCATACCGTGTGTGTGTGTGTTTGCGGGGGGCAAGAGGGAGAGAAGAATGAAGAAGGAAGAGAGGGAGGAAGAGAAGGAAGAAAACTGGTTAGTTATACACGAAAGTAACAAATGGACTTGTGGGTGATTTTCATTTTCTTATTTTTTTATACATGTCATCTAAATTTTCAACATGAACATGTATAATTTTCTAAATTAATAAACATTATTTTATAGAATAGTTTTAGATTTATAGCAAAGTAAAGCAGAAAGAACCAAGAAATCCCGCGCAGCCCTTGCCTTCGCACACAAACCTCCCCTACCAACAACATCCTCCACCAGAAAGGTATACTTGTTAAAATCAATTAAACTATATTGACACATCAATATTAGCCAAAGTCCATGGTTTACATTAAGGTTCACTCTTGTTGTTGTACATTCTATGGGTTTGGACCAATATATACTGACATGTGCCCACCATTAAAGTATCATTAGAATAGTTTCACTGCTCTAAAAACACCTCTGTGCTCTGCCTATTCATCCCTCCCCAACCCCCACCAATCTCTGGAAACCATTCATCTTTGGTCTACAGTTTTTCCTTTTCCAGAATTGGGTTGGAATTATGCAGGATGTAGCACTTTCAGATTGGCTTCTTTCACTAAGTGGAAAGATATGCATGTAACTTTCCTTCATGTCTTTTCATGTATTAGTAGATCATCTCCTTTTAGTGCTGAACAATATTCCATTGTTCGAATGTACCACAGTTTATCCATTCATCTGCAGAAAGACACTTTGATTGCTTCCAAACATTGGCAATTAAGATTGTCAATAACATCTGTGCAGATGATTTTGTGTTTTTGTGTAAGTTTCTAATTCATCTGGGTAAGGAGTGCGATTGCTGGGTCATATGGTTAAAGTATGATTAGTTTTGTAAGAAACTGCCAAACTGTCTTCGAAAGTGGCAGTACCATTTTCCATTTTTACCAGCAATGACAGAGAGTTCCTGTTGCTCCACATCCTTGTCAGCATTTGATATTGTCAGTGTTTGGTTTGGGGCCATTCTAATAGATGTTTAGTGGTTCCTCATTCTTGTTTTAATTTGCAACTCCTTAATGACATATGTTGAAAATTTTTTCATATGCTTACTTGCCAATTGTATATCTTCTTTGGTAAAGTGTCTGTTTAGGTCTTTTAATTATGCACTTTATGATTCCATTTTCTCTCCTTTCTTAGCATATCAATTATACTTCTTTTTTTTTTACTTATTTTAGTGGTTGTCTTAGAGTTAACAATATATATTTACAACTAATCCAAGTTTACTTTCAAATAGCACTATACTGTTCCACAGGTGGTAGAAGTATCTTATAATAAAAAAATTCCTAACTCCCCCTCCCATCTATTGTATCATTGCTATCATTCATTTGGCTTATACATAAGCATATATATGATATACACATATATATTCATATATATACATAAGCATACATAATTGAATGCATTGTTGTCATTATTATTTTGAATAAACTGTTATCTACTGGAACAATTAAGAATAAGAAAAACAAAAATTTTTATTTTACTTTCATTTATTTATTGGTTTATGCTCTTCCTTTCTTTATGTAGATCCAAGTCTCTGATCCATATCATTTTCTTCTCTCTAAAGAATTTCTTTCAACATTTCTTTCAAGGCAGATCTACTGGCAATGAATTCTCTCAATTTTTGCTTGTCAGACAAAGTCTTTATTTCTCTTTCACTTTTGAAGCATAATTTCACAGTGTCCAGAATTCTAGGTTGGTGGGTTTTTTCTGTCAATACTTTATTTTATTTTATTTTTATTTCCACAGGTTATAGGAGAACAAGTGGTGTTTGGTTACATGAGTAAGGTCTTTAGTGGTGATTTGTGAGATTTTGGTGCACCCATCACCCGAGCAGTATACACTGCACCCAGTGTGTAGTCTTTTATCCCTCACCCTCTTCCCACCCTTTCTCCCTGAGTCCCCAAAGTCTGTTATGTCATTTTTATGCCTTTGCCTCCTCATAGCTTAGCTCCCACATATCAGTGAGAACACATGATGTTTGGTTTTCCATTCCTGAGTTACTTTACTTAGAATAATAGTCTCCAATCTCATCCAGGTCCCTGAAAATGTCATTAATTCATTCCTTTTTATGGCTAAGTAGTACTTCATCATATATATATATACACACACACACACACACACATATCACAGTTTCATATATATATCTATAGATATAGATATATATCACAGTTTCTTTATCCACTCGTTAATTGATGGATATTTGGGTTGGTCCCACGTTTTTGCAATTGTGAATTGTGCTGTTATAAACATGTGTGTGCAAGTATCTTTTTGTATAATGACTTATTTTCCTCTGGGTAGATACCCAGTAGTGGGACTGCTGGATCAAATGGTAGTTCTACTTTTAGCTATTTAAAGAATCTCCACACTGTTTTTCATAGTGGTTGTACTAGTTTACATTCCCACCAGCAGGTAGAAATATTCCCTGCTCACCACATCCATGCCAACATCTACTATTTTTTTATTTTTTAATTATGGCAATTCTTGCAGGAGTAAGGTGGTATTGCATTGTGGTTTTGATTTGCATTTCCCTGATCATTAGTGATATTGAACATTTTTTCATATAGTTGTTGGCCATTTGTATGCTTTCTTTTTGGAATTGCCTATTCATGTCCTTAGCCCACTTTTTGATGGGATTGTTTGTTTTTTTCTTGTTGATTTGTTTGAATTCATTGTAGATTCTGGATATTAGTCTTTTGTCAGATATATAGATTGTGAAGATTTTTTTCCCACTCTGTGGGTTGTCTCTTTGCTCTGCTGACTGTTCTTTTGCTATACAAAAGCTCTTTAGTTTAATTAAGTACCAGCAATTTGTCTTTATTTTTATTGCATTTGCTTTTGGGTTCTTGGTCATGAAATCATTGCCTAAGCCAGTATCTAGAAGGGTTTTTCCAATGTTAGCTTCTAGAGCTTTTATAGTTTCAGGTCTTAGATTTAAGTCCTTATCCATCATGAGTTGATTTTTGTATAAGGTGAGAGGTGAGGACACAGTTTCATTCTCCTACATGTGGCTAGCCAATTATCCCAGCACCATTTGTTGAAAAGGGTGTCCTTTCCCCACTTTGTCTTTTTGTTTGCTTTGTCGATGATCAGCTGGCTGTAAATATTTGGGTTTATTTCTGGATTCTCTATTCTGTTCCATTGGTCTATGTGCCTATTTTTATACCAGTACCATGCTGTTTTGGTGACTATGGTCTTATAGCATACTTTGAAATCAGGTAATGTGATGCCTCCAGATTTGTTCTTTTTGCTTAGTCTTGCTTTGGCTATGCAGGCTCTTTTTTGGTTCCATGTGAATTTTATAATTGTTTTTTTCTAATTCTGTGAGGAATGATCGTGGTATTTTGATGGGGATGGCACAGAATTTGTAGATTGCTTTTGGAAGTATGGTTATTTTCACAATAATGATTTTACCATCCATGAGCATGGGATGTGTTTCTGTTTGTTTGTGTCATATATGATTCTTTCAGCAGTGTTTTGTAGTTTTCTTTGTAGAGGTCTTTCACCTCCTTGGTTAGGTATATTCCTAAGTATTTTATTTATTTTTTTGCAGCTATTGAAAAAGTGAGTGAGTTCTTGATTTCATTCTCAGCTTGGTCACTGTTGGTGTATAGAACAGCCACTGATTTGTGTACATTAATTTTGTATCTGAAAACTTTGCTGAATTCTTTTATCAGTTCTAGGAACTTTCTGGAGGAGTCTTTAGGGTTTTCGAGATAAATGACCATATCATCAGCAAACAGCGACAGTTTGACTTCCTCTTTACCAGTTTGTATGCCCTTTATTTCTTCCTCTTGTCTGCTTGTCTTATTCCAGTTCTCAGAGGAAATGTTTTCAACTTTTCCCTATTCAGTATTATGTTGGCTGTGGGGTGAGTGAGATTGAAATGCTAATTTAAAAATTACCAACAAAAAGAGTCCAGGACCAGATGGATCCACAGCAGAATTCTACCAGACATTTAAAGAATTGGTACCAATCCTACTGATACTATTCCACAAGATAGAGAAAGAGGGAACCCTCCCTAAATCCTTCTATGAATCCAGTATAACCCTAATACCAAAGTCAGGAAAGGACATAACCAAAGAAGAAAACTACAGACCAATGATCCTCATGAACATAGATGCTAAAATCCTCAACAAAATACTAGCTAACCAAATCCAACAACATATCAAAAAGATAAACCACCATGATCAAGTAGGTTTCACACCAAGGCTGCAGGGATGGCTTAACATATGCAAGTCAATAAATGTGATACACCACATAAACAGAATTAAAAACAAAAATTACATGATCATCTCAATAGATGCAGAAAAGCATTTGACAAAATCCAGTATCTCTTTATGATTAAAACTCTCAGCAAAATTGGCATACAAGGACATATCTCAATATAATCTCAACACTTTAAATATTTTATTCCACTCTCTCTTGCTTCCCTGGTTTCAGAAAAGTTGGATGTAGTTCTTACCTGTGATCCTTTATCAGTAAGGTTGTTTTTCTTCTGGCTTCCCTCAAGATTTTTTCTTTATCTTTGATTTTATGAAGTTTGAATGATATGCCTAGGTATAGTTATTTTGGCATTTATCTTTTCTGGTATCCTCTGAGCTTCCTGGATCTTTGTTTTGGTGTCTGACACTAATTTCTGGGAAATTCTCAGTCATTCTTGCTTCAAATATTGTTCAAGTTTCTTTCTCTCTTTTCCTCGCATTCCCTTATATATATGTCACACATTTGGTAGTTGTCCCACAGCTCTTGTATATTCTGTTATTTTTTTCAGTCTTTTTTATCTTTGCTTTTCAATTTTGGAGGTTTCTATTGTCATAGCCTCAAACTCAGAGATTCTTTCATTAATAATGTCCGTCTACTTATGAGCTGATCACAGGCGTTCTTCATGTCTGTTATAGTACTTTTTAGCTTTAGCATTTCTTTTTCATTCTTTAATTTTCATCTCTCTGCTTACACTGCCCTCTGTTCTTGCATGTTCTCTACTTTTTCTACTAAAGCCCTTAGCATATGAATCATAGTTTGTTTATTTTTTTTAATTCTTGGTCTGATAGTCCAACATTCCTTCCATATCTGAATCTGGTTCTGATACTTGCTAAGCCTCTTCAAATGTGTTTTTGTTTTTGTTTTGTTTTGTTGTTGTTGTTTTTCTGCCTTTTAGTATGCCTTGTAATTTTTTGTTGAAAGGTATACATGATGAACTGGGTGAAAGGAACTACAGTAAATAGGCCTTCGGTTAGGTCTCGGTTTTTTCATGAGCCTATGCTCCTGGATGGTGAATTTCATCAGTGCTTCTCAGATTTTTACCCCCTTAGTGGGGACAAGATGGCTAGAGGGAGCCAAAGCTGGGTATTTCCTTTCCCCAAAACAGTCAAGCTCTGATGAAACCCCAAAAGGTTAAGCTCTGGCAAAATAGTTTGGCTTGAGGGAAAACCTTGTTAGGAAGCACAGAGTCCTCTGGTGTATTTCAAAATGATTCCTTTTCTCCTTTCCCTGCCAGAGGCAAAAGGGGATTTTTCTCCAAAATTCACCGTGAGGGCCTGATAGAATTTCTGGAGGTAAAACCTAAAAAAGTGTGGGGAACTCCTATGAGTAAGTCTCCTGGAGTTTTTAACTCTCAGACTTACCCACACTGAGTCTCCAGAAATTTGCCAATTATCAGTTCAGGTTTTCCTACCCTGTTATTGGTTCCCATAAAGGTTTCTGCTCATGGGCTTCTATAGGTTGTGATTCTCTATACCCACCTGTCTGTCTCTCCAGTTATTGGGGCAGTGGTTTTCCTTGTGACCTCACTTCTCTAATAGATCTAATAAGAGTTGTTGACTTCTCAGTTTCTTCAGGTTTTTACTTGTTAAGCTATAACAGCAATGGCAACTTCTAAGCTCCTTACTTGTCAGACCAGAAACCAGAAGTACCTACTGCAGTATTTATATTAAGAAAGAAAACAATGTTTTTAAAATGTGTATAAAATTACCTCTTCCTTTTCTTATCTACTCTGTCCTTTCAAAAGATTCTATATAATTTTCCTGAGCCCTTAAGAGGAGATTATGGCAGTGTAACCCTGGGTAAATCACTTAGTCTCTCTTGGTTTTCCTTCTACCTCAATGACTTCTACTTTTCAATTTCCTTTGCAGACTTCTCTTCATCTCCCCCAGTGTCTCAAAGTTCATGTGCTTTAGAACTTAGCACTAAACCCGCTCCTCTGTTCACCCTAACCTTTTTCACTAAGTGAGCTCATCCATTTCTCTGGTTTTGAATGCCATTTCTACACTGCTGACTTCCAAATATGTATCTCTGGCCCAGATCTTTCATCTGGGCTGCAGAGTCTCCTATGCAATTACTCACTTGACCGTTCCACTTGAATATCTCACAACTATCTCAAACTTAAAATATCTAAACAGAACTCTTGGATCAACACTCCCACTTCTGTCAAAGCCTATTCCTTGCCCAGAACTTCCCATCTCAGTTAAAAGAAAGTGGATGGTAAGGAGGAGGAAGAGGAGGAGACTACCATCTACCTAGTTTCTCAAGCCAAAAGCCCTGAAAATGTCTTTGCTTCTTCCCTTTTCTTCCTGCCCCACCTCTGAGCCATTAGACATGTCAGTTCTACCTATAAAATATTTCTCTCCACTTCTCTCCACATACATTTTTCTATCTCCCTATTCCAAGCCCCCACCATCTGTTGCCTGAACCATTGCCACAATCTCCTAATTGGTCTCCAAATTCTACTCTTGCTAACTTTCTAATTCATTTTCAATATAGCAGCAAGAATAATCCTAAGATATAGGTCATGACCCTTAGCTATTTAAAGCCCTTCAGTGGTTTCCCACTGCACTTTGAAGAAATCTTAAGTCTATGCCACACTTTACAAGGTCCTAATTGTTCTAGTCTCTGCCTTGCTCCCAAATCTCATTTCATGTAGCTCTCCCATTACTTGCTACATTTAGTCACACTGGTCCTCTTTCAGGTCCTCAAAGATGCCAACCTCTTTCAATCTCAATTATTTTGCATAGGCTCTTCCCTCTGCCTGAAATGTCCTATCTCTCAAGCTTCATTTGACTGAATCCATCTCATCCTTCCTGTCTCAGTTAATACATCATTTCATCAAAAGAGCCTTTCCTGAGTGCCCTATCAAAGGCAGAAAATATTGACTTCTCCTATAGCAGGTACCCTTCATCCACCTTACTATTTTCTAGGACAATGATAATATTGTTCAAGGATATGGCTGTCATGTGGCCAGGGGGGGTTGGCCCCTTCCCAGTTCTAGCTGGTAAATCGCAATTTGTCTCCAGCAATCATGATCGTATCATGCACTTTTGTCAATGACTAGTTTAGGGATAGGCATGTGACGCAGATCTGACAAATTTGACACAAAGTGAAGTCCACTTGGGACCTTTTTGGAAAGGCCTTTCTTGATGAGAAAAAAAAGAAAGAGACACAGAAAATTAAACACCAATTTCCCTTGACTAGCTGTTATGTGTCTACATGTGATGCTTACAATTTTGGAAGACATTTTACAACCATGAATAAAGCATTACTCATACACTAAGGATGGTAGAATAGAAAGATGAAATGTGCCTGGGTCCCTCATAAAACTTATATTGTATATCTGAATTAACCCTGGGTTCCTTACCTCCAGACTTCTCATTCAGTGTGTAATAAATCCCTTATAATTTGACCTAATTTTGGTTTGGCTTTCTGTTACTGGCACTCAAAAGTTGGTCCTCACTTTCTTTTCTCTATGGAAACATCCTATTGGTTTTCTTTTAAACAAATCAAAATGGGTTGTTACTATATTTGTTAGTTGTTTGGTTTTTTGTCTATTTAACTTTCATGAGAGCAGGGTCTGTGTCTATCTTGTTCACCAGTATCTAGAACAGTATCTGGCACGTAGTAGGCACTCAAGAAATATTTGTTAATGAATGACCAAATGTCACATCCACAGGGAGAATCAACTAGTTGGTTTAGATGGTGACTAGTAGGATATCAAATATATACAAACACTAATAAATAAATTATGTGTCCTTTAAAGCTGATTTCCCAAAGAATCCTGATCCTGATTTTTACATTTTAGTTTCAAAGGGATGTAGATGGGGAAGATATTAAAACAGAGGGCTGAGAATTTTAGTTCTAAGAGTGCTTGCCCATTCACCAGGCAATCTATGTTTCATCATCCCAAAAAGACAAAGGGCAATTCTACTCTCGAAGGAAGACAATCATTTCTAGATCTCTACCACTCTAAAGTGAGTTCATGTTCCTGCCTGAAGCAGATCAGACACAAACCTGGATTATTTACTTTTTTACTTTTTTTATCAACTTTAACTGTTATAAAAAGCATTCTATTGGCTTTTCATAAATTCAAGTAAATCTAAAATTATGCCACAATCCCATAGAGCATGTCATCTAGATGGCAGCAGAAATCATGTTGAGGGTATTATAGCTTATCCAACTTTGAAAGCCCTGACCAAGACAGGACCTATGTGGTATAAGTCAGGTCATACTGTGAGGTTGTGTCTTCCAACCAGAAAAACACCCTGTTGCCATGGTGCCTGAATTCCCACCTTTATCACTGTTTCACTGGATTAACACAGTTATGTCTTCAGAAGTCCCTTATTTAAATGTGAATATACTTCCTAGAGAAGCTAATACGTTAAATTTTTAGCATTCATTTTTCAACAGAAGGCAAAGTCTCGAAGGAATCAAATATTATAAAGAACAGCTAAGCTTTAATGGATACGAGCAAAGAAAGAAAATTCTGGACATGGGAGGGAACATGGGCACTGGGAAGCTAGAGAAAGAAAGACGGTAAACAAGATGAGGAAGATACCAAAATGGAAATTTAGTGAGGATTCAGAAATCACCAATTTACCCCTGGGTCCCATATGGCCTTGTTGCTACCTAATTACTCACTTCTGACAAAAACTAGGGTATAAAACATCATTTAGTGTCATATCTGTCTCTTCGTCTGTGAAATGGAGACTAGAGAAAAACAGAATAAGAGTAGGTGATCCTAGCTATATAAATAGAAAGACAGATAAGGAAAATGACTAATGGAGCAAACAGATTAGAAAAGTACACGTTTCAGAGGTCTTTTCTCAGTAGGGCTCGTCTTGGAAACTAACCTAGGTTAGGGTATAATTGACTGAGGTGACTAAACTTCCTAGATGATACATTCTGCCTCATGTCCTGGCTTAATTATTAACAGTGCCTCCTTTCACTCTCAAAGTGTCCCAGATTGGATCATAAATGATATGGTCACCCTTATGAATGACTGGTGATCTTTCATAAGGGTGGCCATATAAAAGATCAGAGGTGTGCTCAGTTAGTAATTCCCTTCAGTACTCAAGATCTGGAGTGGCCTGATTCCAAACTTATTAACTCCAGTTATGAGGAGCTGCCTGTGTGCCATGATGTAGAAATAATGGGAAGTATGCATCACATGTAGGCAGCATCACCATTTTAACAGAGTGCTTCCCAAAGGAGTGGGTGAAAATAGGAATTTCAGAAAGCACAATGAGGCTACTAGTGAAGATACAAAAAAGGTGAAATGGAAGCATTAGAAGCCCCTCAAAGGAAGCACTCACTCACTGCTCCTACACATAGGGCTAGCCCTGATCTGTGTATTCAAGCAGCTGTCAAGTCCTCCATTCCTACCCAAAAAGAGAAAATAGTGTTTGCTTTAGACAGTATCACTCAGTCACAGGCTGGGCTGACATTCATAGATGAGTCTCGCCAGTTATTTAGCCTTCACCTTGTTAGAAACAGATCAGGCCTCATACAATGTTTAGTCCAGAACAGAAACTACAACAACCAAAAACAATTAATAGCCCATGCACAGAGAAAATACAATATGAACAAAACTGCTGTACTAATGTGTTAAAAAATAAAAAAGATTCATTTGATTATAAACATTGGACTCTAGTTCTCATCTTACAGCACCAGAGAGGAAATTGTTCTCAAATTGATAACCTGTGTTTTTCCTTCCGAAAGTTCATGTTCCCATTCAAATTGCACTAAATCTTTAGAGACTTTGCCTTCTGAGCCTCAAACCTATTTCCACACCTAATTCTCATATCTTGGTAAATACTTGTAATGTATCTAGGAAATCAAAGACATAACTTCTTTTTCAATATATGCAAAGACATCCATCTCCTGTGGTTGAGGGGATGAGTTAAATGGTACAAAGAAATCAGAGGAAAGTGGATGGGGGCTTTGGTGCAGCTCCTTGCCCCTCTGGTACTGTTTTTATTTCCCTGTAACAACACCAATGTGTAAGGGAAATAAACTAAGAATCTGGCCTCTTGGCTGCTCCCAGAACAAGCCTGTGTTATTTTAATGTACACTGAGGAGCAGATGGGAAAAGAAAAATACAAAAGAGCATCAAAGCCCTCCCACCAACGCTTGCCTCTAAAGTCTTAAGCAAGAGCCCCAGCCTCTGCTATTCTATCTTCCGCTGTGTGCATAGCGAGCAGGTAATCAGCAAAGCTAATCAAAAATGCATTCATTACCACAGAGCGGCAGTGGGTGAAAGCGACTGCAGCTTTCTTCCGGCAAGTGGTTTCTGGACTGGCACAATCCAATCTCCTTGGCTCTTTGGCAAGCCTTTTGCCTCCCCCTGCCCTCCCCCTCCCCCACCCATCCTAGCGGTCTCTGCCATGCCCAACTCTGCTTCTCCATTAAGGGCAATCTAATTCTTACAGTTGACAATTTTTCCTCCTCAATCACTACGACGTTGCTCTATGAAAGCTGTTTTCTGCCTAATAAGTCTTCTGGGTATTTTTATACACCTTTAAAGGTGTTTCTTCACTTGAAAAATATATTTTTCCTTTGTTTTCAAAATAAGAAGCCATTTCTTGTCAAGGCTAAACAAACTCAAATGCTGACAGCTTCTGCAAATGCAAATGCCTTTCCTGCTTCCTCCAACTTAGCAAAATGGACTCTCTCAGAGCCCCCAGAACCAAAAGAAGCTCAGAGAAACCTGTGCTAAAATATGCTTATGGGCCTGGAGCTAGTAACAATAAGAGCTAATATTACTGAGCATTTGTTACATGCCAGGCATAATTCGATGTACTTTAATTATCTCATTCAATCCTCACAGCATCCTTATGAAGGATCTGTTACTTATTATCATCCCCATTGTACAGATGAAAATAGTGAGACCCAAGGAGGTCGAATCAGTCTAACACTAGTTGTGAATGGGGTATTTTGAACTCAGGCTGAGTGGCCCTTCCTTTAAACCACCTACCATGGTTCTGATGGAAAAAGACAAGTATACCACTATACACACTGCCTTGTCCTCTCTCAGACAGTAAAGTTAACCCTTCCAGGGCATGAGATTGCCATTCAGTAAGTAACTATTTTCTCGGAGAAGTGAACAGTACTCCCTCCATCCCTTGAAAAAGTAAATTATCTTTAGCTAAGCTAGAGAGAGAAACTTTTAAAAACAAAACAAAATTTTCTTTCAAGTGTTTGTTTTTCCCAATCAGTCTACAATGGTAGTTGAGTGGCCACTGAGCTTGTATGGCATAGAGGCAGCTATCCATTCTCTGCCTTTTGGGAGCACACATACTAGTTGGGATTTCAGAACAGAACACACACACACACACACACACACATACACACACACACATACACACACACAGAGAGAGAGAGAGAGAGAGAGAGAGAGAGAGAAAGAGATAATGACGTGGAGGCAGGGTGACAGAGAGGCTTCCTGGACTTGATTTCACATCTACCACTTAGAGCTATGTAACCTTGGGCAAGCCATTCAATCTCTCCGCGTGACTCATTTCCTCAGCTGTAAAATTGAAGTAATAATACTACTTACCTCATAGGGGGCTATTAGGATTAGATAATCTAATATATAAAAGTACTTAGCACATGCCTGGCACATAGAAAGTACTTGATAAATAATAACTCACACTACAATTTCTTCCCCCTGGCATGAAATTTATAGCTTATGTTGTACATCCAAGGTTTCAGTGAAGACGTGATCGGTGGTAATTTGGAGCAAAGATGGCAATACCTATGTATGTTTTATTAACACTTCAACTTTGTCCCAAATAAAACTGGGAAATTTCTGATCCTACATCAGAAGTATACTATGAAGGAATAATAGACACTGGGGTCTACTAGAGAGGGGAGATAGGGAGGGGGACAAGAGATGAAAAAATACCTATTGGGTCGTATGCTCACTACTTGGGTGACAGGATCATTTCTACCCCAAACTTCAGCATCATGCAATATAGCCATGTAACAAACTGCACATGTACTCCCTGAATCCAAAATGAAAGCTGCAATTATAAAAAAGGAAGTACCATGAAAAGATACTAGATTGGAATACTGGGGATTTCAGAAAACTAGATATTTTCCATTTAAGCTCTGGTATCAGAGAAGGTTTGAAAAATAAACATCTCAAAACCACAACTCTTTATTCAAAAGCATCTACTCTCTAAATTCTAGGGGACTATGTTTTATTTTTAGTACAACATGAAGGAAACTACAAAAATGACAAAATAGCCCACTTTTTAACTTCAAAAAATGATTTGCTTCAGGGTTTCTTTAAGTGGCAAGCCCCTGTCCTGGATTTAAAATAGGATTCAATTTATCTAAATTCATTTTCCACTTAAATTTTGAGAGGTATGCCCATTGCATAAAGCAAGGTTTGCCCATATTATAAGGTATAGAAGCAAATTGCTGACTTCCATTTCCATTTTCTCAGCATTTGCAACCCAACCTCTTATCATGTTGTGGCCAGCTACAGACATAGTCAGCCAATTTCCACAATCTTGAGAAACAGAAAATGTTATACTAACTCAGACCTTCAATTCTTCTCAACTGTCATCTGTCCCTTAATAGTAACACAAGGACTGCTTTCCACCAAGTACCTTGTAGAATATACGAATCACTTTTATCAAACAAAATACTGAAAAGAAGAGGGAAAGGATGAGTAAGTTTTATAAGTGATGCGGCAATAAGAGAAAAGTTATTCTTTCCTTGTCCCTTTCCAGATCCACCCTCCACTATTCTCCACCACCTCTGCACCTCAAGAGGCACTATCCTAAGTATAACGTATGGTCACTGCTATCTAAGAGTTTGCCAAATCTAATCTCCCAGACAGAAGGGCATTTGGGTCTGTTCTTTTTCAGTTCATCCATGCAATCAGAAACTTTTTCTCCCTTGTATTCCTCCTAATGTATGTACCATTATGTTAAGCATCATTAGATCTTGCTTTTGACTTAATTCATGTATTCACTCATTTGAAAAAGAAATATTTAGCATCCATTAAATTCAGTGCATTGTTGTAGGTGCTAGGATTACAGCAGTAAACAGAACAGACCAAAAAAAAAAAATCCCTCCCCTCATGGAGCTCGCAAAATCTTAAACAGATAAACAAAGTTAGCAAAATATCTAGTTAGAGTTAACATATAAAGTTACAGTGTATTCCAATACCAAATTAGTTGGTTCCCTCAAGTTTCATCCTCTTTAGAAAGACAGTAAAAGGTTTATAATTTTTTAATGGGTTAGTTTGGAAATGTAAACATTCCATTCATTCACATATTTTTTCACCACGCTGCTCCTGATTCCAAGAAGAATTTGAGGTCACTCAAAGTAAAGGACACATAAATGTATTGCTTTAATTTACTACCCAGAAATCTAACTAGAGCAAAAGTCAAGTAATGTGTTGGAGGAGAAGTGTAAGGTTCAATAGTCAAGATCTCTATGGCTTTCTACTTGGGTAATTTGTCTGCAATTATTGGAAACTTCCACAAGGTGGTGGTAATGATGCCTTAGTTTATAACCATATCAAGAGGGCAAGCTGGTATCACAGGTATAATTTACTTGAAATAAAGACACAGGGTACTTCTCTAACCATAAAATTTTGTTTCTCAAAATCCTTTGGCAGTATTCATGATTAAAGAGCTTAGGGTGTTTTCTTGAAACTCCATACAAAAATTTAGATCTTTAGTGAGCCTACAAAAGCCTTGATTGATTGATTGATTGATTGATTGATTGATTTAAGACAGAGTCTCACAATGTTGCCCAGGCTGGAGTGCAATGCCGCGATCATGGTTCACTGCAGCCTCGACCTCTCCAGTCTCAGGTGATCCTCCCACCTCAGCCTCCTGAGTAGCTGGGACTACAGGCATGTGCCACCACACCCAGATAGCTTTTGTATTTTTTGTAGAGAAGGGGTTTCGCCATGTTGCCAAGGCTGGTCTCGAACTCCTGGGCTCAAGCAATCCACCCTCTTCAGCCTCCCAAAGTGCTAGGATGTGAGCCACTGCACCCGGCCAGCCCTCATTTATTAATTCATTCAGCACGCTTTTATTGAGAAGCCTCTGGGTACTAAGCATTGTACAAAGCATTTAAAAATAAATTTTGTGTTCACAAAAAAATACAATAAGGGAAGCATCCTATAATAAAAGGAAAAATCAATGACACTTTTCACATTCTAACTTGTTAATAATAGGAACTGCGCAATTTCTTTCCATTTAACATCTCTTGTGTAATAGATGCTTTTCAGCGTCTCTTTCCTTTAAGGTTCATAGGAAATGCTTCTAATTTTGGTTTGAATGGAATATGGGGATACTAATAGTACTTATCTCAAAGAGTTGTTGTAAGAGTTCAATGAAACAATACATTTAAACCATTTAGTAGAATACCTAGCATGAAGTAAGAAATAAATGTTAGCCATCATCATCACTGTCATCATCATGATCATCATTGCCTTCATTATCGTTGTTATCTTCCTCCTCCTCATCATCATCATTGTTATCATCACCATCAACAGGAAAAAGTACCAAGTTAATCTGTATGTACCAGAAATTTGAGTAAAGGAAATTCAAAATTGGGAAAGAGTCACTGCTTTCCCGTTATTATCAAAATGTGATAATGTTCTAAGCTCTTAAACACTACATTAAGAGGGAGGAAATGTTTGTTTTTGCTTTGTTTTGTTCTCTTCTGTTTTGTTTTGTTTTGTTTTGTTTTGTTTTGTTTTGTTTCTAAAGGCATTGCCTCACAAAGAGTTTCCCAGTGTGGTGCCTTTGTATATGGAACAATCTTCCCCCAAGGGAGCTCAATTTGAGTTTAGATAGCAGGGCAGGTAGGATCTATAAGACCACTCTTTGGCTGATTTCCTGCCAAGATACAGTGATTGTCTCTTGTTCTGCAACATGTAACTTCTCTTGGGACTGGGGTAACCCACTGAGGGAGGCTGGGTGAAGCAGTGAGGAACTGTTTGTACCTCCCTAGAGGAAGCCACCTCATTTCCTGTGGACCCTGCAGGGTCCTTAGTGAATGAGCTTCCTCCCTGGGGCCTGGAGTCAAGGGCCCAGGTAACTGAAGAGGGAGGTGCTCCAGACTGGCCCATTCTTCTCTATAGTAGGCACTGCCCTCAGTGTGACCTGTGCAGTCATACAGGGCTCCATGCTAGAAGGGCTCATGCTTGGATTAATGCACTGCCATTTCTGTCTTGAAATTCTTAAAAATGTTTCAAGAAGGTGCCTAGCACTTTCATTTTTGCTCTAAGCCCTGCAAATTATGTAGCCAGTCCTGTCTGCCCTGAAGAGTTTCCAAACACTGTATAGGCCTTGTTCTTACTTTCCCTCCTTCCTGCTGCTACTTAGAGTCCATTTCACTCTCTCACCCTTGAGTCCAACTAAGTGTTGGTAGCTCAGCAGAAACCAGCTTTCTGCCCAACCCTGAGCTCTGATGATCACTGTAGAGATAGTTTCATAACTGCTGCTTCCTCTCAGTTAGTATTTTCTCTAAAATAAAAAAGAACATTAACAATAATACAAGGATAATATTACTTGAAGCACTGATAACTAGTAACAGGAACTGTAGGTAACTTGCGGGGAATTAATGAAAAAAAAAAGGCAGCATAGGAAGTCAGACAGCCTTGGCTTTTGCATTGGATTTGGGGAAGTGACAGATATTCTGCCCTGCTGCAATTTCTTCGGTTGTAGAATGTCGAGAAAAGTAAAAGCAGTCGAAGTACTCTTAGAAAGTTCACATTTCCTGGTAATTCTATGATTTGAGCTAATCAACTTTACCAGCCTGAATACCACAATATTAAGTGTATTGTAACAATGATCTTTCCCTCTCCCCTTATCCCCCTCCTCCCTCACTCCCCTCCTCCCTCATCCCTCTCCTTTTCTCTCTAATGCTTTATTTGGAGATATAAATAAGATGTATCCCCAATTCACAGATCAAATCACTGAGTCTCAGAGAGTGTAAATGATAGCCTGATGTCACATTCCTAGTAATTTTGGCAGAATTATGATTAGAATCCAAGTTTTCAGATTCCTAGTTCAATACTCACATTTCTGAAAAGGTGTGTATATACCTATTTGGTTTTTCTAAAACTCCTATTCTGAATACATAAGAGTTGGGTTCCTCAACAGTGGCACTATTGACATTTGGGGCTGCCTTGTGCATTATAAGGAGTTGAGCAGCATCTCTGGCCTCTACCCACTAAATTCCTGTAGCACCACCCTACACTGCCAGGAATGATGATCAAAATGTCTCCCAAACATTGCCACTTGTCCTCCAGGGGGCAAAATCACATCTGACTGATAACCATTGCACAAGAGCAGTTCACTACTTAAAGGAAAACTTAGGCAAATCTTTTAGTAAACTACAAAACTCCTTCCAAATTTCTAGTTCCACATATTGGACTTTTTAAAACTAGGGCATACCTGTATTTTCAAAGGATAAAACTACTAATTTTAATTTTGTGGGTAATTGCCCAGAAAAATGTGGAGTGGTTAATATGCTTTTCTTTTTCCTCAAAATATTATGTTCATGAAATTGATGTCACAAAGACTCAACGGAATATGCCCACAGCACACATATTATAACAGATTAAACTTTAGGAAAACCAGCAATTGCAATTCCTCTTTAAGAATTAGCCACAGGCAAGTATCTTCAAATTCAAATGTTTCCAGTTATCTTTTTATTCCCCTAAATACTCTGAATTTTCTTTCAAAGCAGGAAACCCAAAACTCCCTACCTCTAAAGGAGTGTTAAAAATACCTTATTCCTCAAGATGGCTAAACTCAAATCCCCAGCTGACAAATTAGAAAGCAGAAATTAGGAGGTAGAAATAGCAAACAAGCAGATAGCAAGTCTTCCATCTGGCCCTTGAAGCAACCACATATAAGATCTACATTGTCTCAGCTAGATTGACCACAGAAATTCGCATTTGAACTGAGGTATTTTTATCCCGGTGAAAGGGGGCACTTATAATTGTCCCAAGACCATGGGCATAAACTGAATGGTCTTGGGTGAACAAAAATATATGATCACCCTAGCTTTAGACCATTCATAGAAATATATTACGGCCAGAGGCCTGCTGTATTAGTTAGCTATTGCTCCACAACAAGGTGTCCCAAACCTTAGTGGCTTAAAACCACATCAGTCACTTATTCCTCACTGATGGGCAGGTTGGCTGGGGTTCAGCTGATCTAGACTGGCCCCAGCAGTGTAGTGCTGCTACAGGTAGTAGTAGCTGGGGTGGCTCTGCTTCTCACTGTAGGTCTATGAGTCAACTGGAGCTGCTCTGCTACTCATGTCTTTCATCTTTCTTGGGCCAACAAATTAGCTGCTGCATGTTCTTCTCATGGCACTGACAGAGCTGAAGATGGCAAGCAGATATGTGTGAGGTCTCCTAAGATGTAAGCTGAAATTGGTGCACTGTCACTTTTTCCCACATTCCATTGGCCAAAGCAAGTCACATGGCCAAGTTAAAGGGCAGGAAAACAAACTGCCCACAATGAGGCCATGATAAAGATATGAATTTGGGAAAGGGTGAATAATTAGAGCTCTCATTCAATCTAACATGTGTACTGCACTCATTCCAACCCCATCACCACCACCCCCACACATATATGCACCTCAAAAATGGGGAAAAAGTCTATTTGCCTTCATATGATGTTATCTGGCATGATGCTGACTCAGTTCCTAACCTCCAGTCATGTAAGTTTCAGAATCCAGAGTCAACTTCCAATTTTCATAAGTACTTCAAAAAATGGAAATTTTTCCAGTTGAGTATAAAGCATAACTCCTCAAACAATTGGCACCAATAATTCCTCAACATCTCTAGAACTCTCAAATCTACTCAAACATGCAACCCCTCCCCAGGTAGGGCTGGGAGGAGGGGCTAGTTTTAGTTTGGGGGTTAATTTCCCCCTGACTTGCCTATGCTGTTTCCCAGTGATCATTTTTTAACTTTCCCAGAGGGGTAAAATGGTATACATTAATAAAAATGTCAAGAATATTATCTCTGGGAGGTAACCTGGAATAATTCACAATAAATTAACACTTCCCATCAGAGGGACATTGCAGCTTATAAGAATGTCACTTTGTGAGAAGTGGGAGTCCTGAAGCCATGTGATTTCCATCTACAGTTTTTAAGCCCATTCAGAGTCTACCAGGGGATAATTACTTGCTAAGATGTAACCATCCCAGCAGAATGTATTTATTATGATTCAGTTCTATCCACATCCTCAGTATCACAGCATGAAGGAAACTCTGGTCTGGTGAATAAAGCCCTAGAGGGATAAGAAATGCCAATCCTTAACACATGGCTGTATGACCTTGGGCTATTCACTTAACCTCTCTGATTCCTCAGTTTCATAGTCTGTAGAGTGACACCTCTGCTTATCCTGAGGAGAATGTGTGGAGGAATCTCTAGATTTTTACCTGAAAGTCTCTAGAAGCCTATTTGCCTAGAAAAGAAATTATTTCTATATTAGTTTCTCACCCTGCACTCTCAATATAACATAACTCTGTTAAGAACAGAATTAAAATATCAGGCAGATGCATCTTGAACTAAATTTAGGGGGCTGAGCTACTAAAGTAACAGAAGGATCTCACCATTGAGGAGTCTACCTACAACAGACCAAAGACAAACCATTTTGGCAAGTCTTCAGGGGCCTGTAGACACTTGAAGAATAAAATTATTACCACCCACAATTCCCAGGGAGCAGGCCTTCAGGAAGACAGGGATGTCAGTGGTTATTGTGATTGTTTCCCAACCTCCATATCTCTCTCCCTCATTGTGTATCAATCATGTAATTTGGTGGTGGTGGGAAGACTGACCCTACACTAAACTGCACAGATGGGTCATAATCCTGGTCCCCTATGTCATGGCTACTGGTTCAGGTAATTCAGGCCTAAGCATGGCATTACCTGGCCACAAGATTGGATCATGAATAGTCACATGATTCACTGCCAACTAATACAAGATGATGTGACATAGATATGAAGCCAAGAAATCCTACAGCCATTTTGCCATCTTCAGGGAAACAGAAAGGAGAGAGGAAAAGAAATTAGGTTTTTGATGAAATTGTTGAAATATTGAGTCTAATGAATTCTCAAGTCAGCCATACCTTTGGCCCTTCCAGTTATGTGAGCCAATGTGTCTCCCTTAGTGTTTATATCAGTTTTAGTGGATTTGTTCTTGTCTGCAGCATGAAGTATTCTAACTGATATAGGACCATTCAAAGCATGGTCACTAACCCTGAGGGTGCTTAAAGGAGGTGGTGTGAAAGTGTTTAGTCCAGAGAGGAAGGTGTTGGAAGAGAGGTACAAAAAATACCAGGTCATTTCCAATTAATTGCTCCTCCAAATGGCTCCTGGGGATGTCTTCAGGGAAAACATGGAGTTCTAAATACCCTTATGTATAAAAAGCAAGCTAATCTGAAAATGATTTAGGATAAACAATTGCTCCCATAGCCACTACTCACTTGGTGTAACTGTCTCCTTCTAGAAGTTTCGGTGGATCGATTTCTGGACATATTAAATCCAAATTAATAAGGTTTTTCCTCTGACTCATAGATACACTTCCAACAGAAGCAACTCCAACTAGGCCTGTGTCTGAAATTTTAGCTTCTCAGGGATGTAGATTTATTTAACAACATGGAGGCCAACACTTAGATAGAAGATTTCCACAGAGGTTTCTGGAGGGGTGATATAATGGAGAAAATGGAACTATAGAGAAGTAGGTCAGAGGACCTAAGCTTTCTTAGAAGTCATACCCAACCTGAATCTCCAGATATGGCTAAACTCTCTATTCTTCCCAAATAATCTGGAAGTGACAGTGCAAAAGATGGCCACAAAGAATCAGTTGTATCTAGCTTAGTTCCTTTATTAGAGTCTAGGCTAAAGTTTGGACAGTTTTTCTAACCCCAAAATAATCTCACCTCATGGAATCATAGGATGATCAAACATAAAAGCAAGACGGGTACTTAGAAACCACTTTGTTCTATCTTGTGTTTGTAAGGGTTTGGGATAAGGGAAGTACCTTGTTTCAGATAGTTAAACACCATCCTCTGTGCTGCCATGGTACCTGGTGCTTACCATTTTCAGAGCACTTGCCATATTGCATTGTCATTGCCAGTGAATACATCTGCTCCTCCTTTGAACTTGACATTCATGAAAAGCAGAAACTGTTCCTTGCTTCCTTACATTCCTGGTGCTTAGCAAAGTCTGCCTATAGTAGGTGGTCAATAAATGTTGAAGAAATCAAAGTATCAAGTCAAATGGTTAGAAAATTATGCTCCCATTAGGCAAAGGATATAGTATCTTGGTTTCATTTTCTTCGAAGGGTATAGCAGTTTCCTTCCAATGAAATAGGATGATTTCTGTTGTTGTTTTCCTGATTTTTATGAAGTTGGCAAGTATGAGGCTCACTGTACGGTATAGATCACCTCTTAGAATTCCACTGGCCAACAGTTCTTTATGCTTATCCAAGTGCACCTCTCAAGCCTGAAACAAGCACAAAGCTCATGAAGAGAAGTACACTTTTTACTTTTTGATAAAAACTGCAATGGTTATTTTCTTGCTATTTAAACTATATCATAGAGCTCATTTAAAAGTACAGATCATAGGTACTAAGGCTAGCAGGTAATCCTAAATTCAGCAGGGATACTCTTAACCACAGAGGGAGAGCTAGGTTTGGGGCTTTGTTGGCAACTTCTGGTGGCTATGATGCTGCTAGTATAATCTCTAACCCCTCGTTGGAAAATCAAAGTTGAAGTTTATAAAGTGTCTCCCTGCTCTTTTGGGTGAGGAATCGATTGCTAAAGAATTTGCATGTATTATACAGGCTTTTCAACCAACAGCAATATGCTTAGTCTACCACTGTGCCCCTGCTGGCTCAGATGAGAGTAGTCCAACTCTGCCAACAGCTGCCACTGACAGCTAAAAATTGAAAGAGTGGCAGCAGATAAAAGAGAGGGGAAAAAGGTATTGGGCAGGGGAGGATGACAATGGAAGGGATGGGTGGCATTTACATTCATGACTTCGAGGGTTTTCAAGTGCATAGGCACCAAAATACTTTTCTGCCTCTCATCTTTAGTTACTGAGCCACCCTCATCACTCTTCAAGCCAAATGACAGTGAAGATGGCCACAGATCTTTTCTTCCACCTCCTCTTACAGCTGGCCAAGCATGGCTGGGGACGTGGCTACTTTCAGGAGTGAAGTGAGACATGCTGAAAGTCACTTTCTCCTCGTACAAAATATATTGTTCACTCACATGAAATCAAAACTAAAACCTCCTCATTAAAGTTGTTCCTTTGGGACAAGGCATTGAAGGCTCCTATTAAAATGCAACTGTGTTATCTAAAAAGGAGAAACACCTAGTGCCTGGCACAGAGTAAAGGTTCTTTAAATGTGACATTTTAATATTAAATTGTCATTGCCTGCCATTAGAATCTTAGTAAAGATTGTCTCCCGGGCCTTTTGAGGAGCCACAATGGAAAGATTTTAATGTGGAACATTGGCATAGACTTGATAGCAGAGTCTGAAGTTATGTGGAATATGAGGAGAGAGGAGGATGACAGCATGAGGAAACTTGGGGGACAAGAGGGCACTTTTACTAGGTGAGAAAGAGGGAAGGGAGTTTGGAAATTAACATTTATTGATTTTTCTCTGAGGCAGGCACTGAATTAGATGCTTTCATATCAATTATCTTACTTAATTTTCACAACTGCCTTATAAAGAAAGATATTAATATTCCCATTTTGAAGATGAGAGAACTGGGGTTCAGATTAACAAAGT
Source organism: Homo sapiens (assembly GCF_000001405.40). Classification (NCBI taxonomy): domain Eukaryota; kingdom Metazoa; phylum Chordata; class Mammalia; order Primates; family Hominidae; genus Homo; species Homo sapiens. The sequence continues at coordinate 123,182,340 of NC_000023.11, forward strand.
TGTTCAAGGTCACACACTGCCTGTATGTGATGGGACTTAGACTCGAACCTGGACGTGTATGCCTCCTAAGCCCATGTTCCCGAATAATGCTATGTCCCTGTCTACATTTGGCAGGGGATGACCAACCTTACCTCTGCTACCCGCTTTGCCCTAATGCTTCTTCCACTGAAAAGATGAGTCTCCTCAGACTCTCATGTTTCTCCTTCACTCCTGTCCATGAAATATCAAAATGGAGACAAAAGATTTCTATGAGTGGTGGGTGGGAGGAAATTATGCATTATCAGAATGAATAGAAATTTGGGAAGAGCCTAGGACAATTTTTCTGGTTTGAAGCCATTTTGTTCCATTGTTCCAGGCTCCAGACTACGTCTCGCCAAATCCAAAGTTCTGTAGCAACTGATATACTAGCTGGGCTCCAGGGTCCTTCTATCCCCTGTATATTCCCAATTTTATCCCCGATGTATATCAGTTCGCTTTACACTGGCAGGAGAGTTCATGTTCCACTTAGACCAGGAGGAGAGGATATGAAAAGGAAAATAGCAGGTGTGGGGAGGATAAAACCCATGCCTTCTACAGTAACTGTAAAGTAAAAGTGAAAAACGTGAGAGATAAAGAGGATTCTTTTTCCTCATTGCGGGAGAAAGGGGCTAGGGAGAGGAGTCTATAGCCCAGGAGGTTCATCCGCAGCATGCTATGGAGAAGGCCACCGTCACTGAAATCCGGTCTGTACTGTAGGACTTCATAGGTTCTTTGCTCGCCTTAGAGCAGAGGGGAAGAAGAGTCAGAAAGAATTGATAACCTCTGAGGTCATCAGTCAGGGGCCTAGGCTGCTAAGTCCAGAGGCAACACCAAGGGATCAATGCAGCTAGGTACAGTTTTCTCCAGCCTCAACTTTCAATCCCCACCCCCAGACCAGCTCATTCCCACACCTCCCTCCTCCTTGGTCAGTGAGCCTGAGCGTCCTTTTCATTAACCTTTTAGTTACTACCTCTACGCACATACTTTTTCCTATGCCCTCCAAAGAAGTCAGCCCCATACTGCCCATCACTGCTCAGCACCGCCCACCCCATGCCCCCGCAAGCCGGCCTCAGCACTAGTTTAAGGGGAGGGACACGCCTCCCAAAGCTGCGGGGATGGGGGTGGGGGTTGCTCACTCGCCCTCGGATCTCTGCTGTAAAAGCGGAGCGGCAGAGACCGGGCATGCGCAGCATCTTCGGGCGCATTGTGATGGGAACTGCTTCTCTGAGTCTCTACAAAGACTCCGGAGTAACCACTAATGGCCCTCCTAAGGCCCCCCTTCTTTAAGACAGACACACAAACACAGAGGCAATGCAGCTATTTTTTTTTAAAGGGTGGGAGGACGTTGCAGCTTGAAAGGTTGATCCACGTTAGGAGTGGTGTATTTCTATTGATCCCATCTCCGGTGTTGACAAACGCCAGCGCCTAGGCTTTGCAGTCCGGGGCTGCAGTTTGCAGTAGAGCTAAGCGGTGTGCGGCTTTAATTCCACGTCAGATCAACTTTGATCAATATCCCCCTACTGGCCCAATTGGAAGAGCCCAATTCACCGGCACTGAGCCTTTTCGCTCTTTCCTTTTTTTCCCCCCCTCTTTAGACCTACCATCTTTTGCGGGGGGGGGGGGGCGCGGAGAGAGTCTCAGATTGTCTTGATAATTTATTCTTTCGTTCTCTTTCTTTTGCTTCTCTATTTTTGTTTTTCAGTGTTTTGCTTGTTTTGTTCTGTTTTAGGATTTTATTCTCTCTCTCTCTCTCTCTCTCTCTCTCTCTCTCTCTCTCTATCATAGGGACAGAAATCGCTTTGGCAAACCCAGCTTGCAGCCAATGAACCCGCCTTCCAGATTGGTGTGAAGACAGAAGTGAGGTGGGGGGAAGGGAGGGGGTGTGAGAGATCCTGGGAGCGAGAGGGAGAGAGAGGGAGCAAGAAAGGAAGAGAGAGCGAGCGAGAGAGAGCGAGCGAATAAGAGAGAGAGTAAGAGGGAGAGAGAAGAAGAGGAAGAAGAGGAGGCGGCGGCAGCGGAGGAGGAGGAGGACTAGTGTGGGGTGGAAAGGAAGAGTGAGCGAGAGCAAGTTAAGGGGAGGGGGTGTAAGAGCCAGCGAATTCTTTTTCTTTTTCTATTATTATTTTGACGACTCCTGAGTTGCGCCCATGCTCTTGTCAGCTTCGTTTTAGGCGTAGCATGGCCAGGCAGAAGAAAATGGGGCAAAGCGTGCTCCGGGCGGTCTTCTTTTTAGTCCTGGGGCTTTTGGGTCATTCTCACGGAGGATTCCCCAACACCATCAGCATAGGTAAGCGCAAGCGAGCCAGCCGTCGGTCCAGGCTCTCCCTCACCCGAGACCACTGCCCCGGCAAGGCTTTCCCTGCGGTGGGTCCCTGTCCTGCGTGGCCTGGGAACTGGGACTGGGGCCGGGACCGGGCAGAGATGGTGCGGGGCGGGGGGCGGGGCGGGGGGAATCTGAGCCTCAACGAGGTGGCTGGTCTGAAGAGCCTCTGGGACAAGAGAGGGGTCTCCTGGGGCTAGTGGGGGTGAACTGCTAGGTTTTCCGAGCCGAGAGGAGCACCGGAGGCGAGCAGGAGGCTGGGATGCTGCAAGGGGGTGAAGAGTCGAGGCTTTTCGGCTCGCTGCTCTGGACTTTGCCATGGCGTGCGTGCAGCTCCTGGAAGTTGTCCCAGGGTGATGCCGACTGTCTGGCCGCGCCAGGGCGCATAACCCGGGCCCGGGGTGCTCAGTCCGTGGTCTCCGGCTGTCGGGAGACAGGCTGGTGCTGGGGGAGGTGGAGCCCACTTTGGATCTCCCAGACCCGGGCAGCAGCAGGCGTTGGTGGTGGATGGGGTAGGAGGCGGGGGTGAGACTAGGAGCTGAGCGGGCAAGCGGCGAAGTCACGCAGACCACGAATTCATGAATTGCCGCTGTGTCTGTCTGGAGCCCGGCTCCTGGGCGCCTGGAGGGAGTTATCTTGGCTTCTGTCGTATTTACAAGTCTAGAAGTTAGAATTTTTGCCATTACTGAACCAACCCCCTGTATTGTCACGGGGGAGGGTGGCTATGGGGAACGGGTTGGGGTAGCAGGGGGAACAATATTGTTTTTCTTCCCAACCTTTCCCTTCACACAATGAAAAGATGACCAGCTGTGCGGATGGGCGGGGGGCGGAGGGGGGGGGCGACTAAAAAAAAAGAAGGCTGCCGACTAAGAAAGAACCAAGTCTCACTCTTGGTTCCATCGTCCTAACCCAAAACGGCTCCCTCGTCTCTTCTCCCTTCTCTCTAGCCTCTTCTTTTCAGTCTAGAAAAGCCAGGTTTCTCTTGGCCAAAATCTGAGTTCACAAGTCTTGAAAGACACACAGGTTGAATATCAATCCTCAATCCCACACCCCAGTATCATTGAGAGGTATCCGGTATCTATATTGTTCCCCAATTCCTAACTGGCCCTAGTGTGGGGGAACACAAGCCAAATCTCCGTTCCCTTTGCTTATAGGTGGACTTTTCATGAGAAACACAGTGCAGGAGCACAGCGCTTTCCGCTTTGCCGTGCAGTTATACAACACCAACCAGAACACCACCGAGAAGCCCTTCCATTTGAATTACCACGTAGATCACTTGGATTCCTCCAATAGTTTTTCCGTGACAAATGCTTGTAAGTAGATCTGCTTTTCCTCCCTTTGGGACGTTGGGGACCTCATTTGCATCTTTCTTGTGGCACTTAGGGTCTGTGTATGTGCTGGGAGATGATTGCTTCAGTAGATATTTTAGGGGCTCTAATCCATCCGGTTTCATGTTGCATAAATCAACTCCAAATGATACTGCTGAGGGGCTTAAGACAGTGGGAAAAACTCAAGACAGTGGGCAAAAGTCTGCTCCAAATAGTGTTTGATGCAAAAGTTTCATTTTCCTCCATGCTAACCTAGTGTGTTCCTTCTCCAACACTCTCTCTCTTTTTTTTTTAACTGGGGAAAAAAAAAGAAAGAAAGAAAAAAATAGCACGGTTGTTCAGAGAAATTTCTTCAGATGAGATTTAAAAAAGCAGCAGCAGCTTCTTGATTGAGTCAATTCAGGATGTACATCACTTGACTGTTAAAGCTAGTGCCTGGCTCTAGGAACGAGCTGAATTTGACAATTGCCTAATGTGTAGGAAGCAAATATGAGAAATTCTGCAAACAAGTGACCTTGAGGGGCAGAACAGGCTGGGTTCCCTGGCCTCTTTCTGTCCTCAAATATTACCTTACTTACTGAGAGAGCTCTGATAGGAACTCATAAGACTACAAACTGATTGCAAGTGATGAATGCCTAGCAAACTGAGGGGAGGGGAGAAAATGGTGATCAGGTGATGATTTAGAAAGCTAGTTCTGCCTCCCCTAGTGTTGTTCACCCCCATGATCATTAAAGACAACACAGTTCTTAATTTAGAGCAAAGAGGGGGCAGGAGGAGAGGAGGCTTGGAGCAGGAAAACTGAATATGGAAAGAGAAGAAATTCATCAGGCCCAAAGCCGGTTCTGAAATCCTTAGTTGTACCGGGTGATTATTCCTCTGAAAAGGGGACATTTTGTAAAATACAACCAAAGGAACCTAAATGGCTAATAGCCTGTTGGACATATGGTTTTACTTGAATGGAATGTTTCGTGAGAAAGACTGAGAATACTTCATGTAAGCTTATTTCACTAAAAGTTTTCACAACAATGAGGCTGAATATGGTATAAAATATGCTTTGCTTTTATGGCTGATGTAGTTTGGAATTTGGGGTTTTTCTTCCTTTCTCTTCCAAGGGAGAAATGATATTTATGTTTGGATGGGTGAAACTTTGTATATGACTTTCTTTAAATCCTTCTGCCTCAAAGGATGCATGGTTTCCAGAAACCACTGAAAGGGTCTCTCCAAGGGCACAGGTTTCTTGGCTTTGAAGACTTGGGCCAAGAGGATGGGGGTAACATACTCTGCAAGAAATATGACAGTTGTCAGCTTTAAGAAAATTTTAGCTGAAGATACAGATCCTTATATGAACGTGTTCTGAGATACTCCATATTTGACTTTCTTTGGCTTTCTGACATTGACAAAAATAGGAATTTATTAATTCCAGCTAGTGTGAAAGTTACGAAATGTCTGTCTATACTTTGCATCTTATTTTGGTAATCCCAGCCTGTCTCCACAGCATTTACAACACGCATCTGACTCTTAATCCTGCAGCACTGTGATCTTGTCAAGAGGCTGAATCTCAAATGCAGCTTCCTAAATATCAATTAGAACAGATTTAAAACTAAATACATTAAACTACCAGGGTTTATTACCATTAGTAACAAATAATATTTATTTCAACTCCCTTCAGTGTCTTTTCACTGATGAGAACTGGGATAAGAGAACCATTTGGTTTCTCAGAAATGATTGATTTCCAAGGTTTTTGGTCCTGTTCTTATGGTCAAACCAGATTGACACCCACCAGCCCTGGACTGTCAGAACCCCACTCAAGAAGCAATCAGAAATGATTCTTGCCATGTGAAAATCTCAGGTTTAGGAAAAGGCAATAAGTCATCCATATTGGTATTGAGTTGCCTTATTGCCTTACCTCTCAGGGCAATAAGAGAACAACCAGGGGAAAGGAAAAGAAATTGATCAAAATCCCTCACCGTAAATTCATAGCATTTCCACTTACAAGGCTGGGTTGTGGCTAGGGGCTTGAGAGTTCGGGAGAAGGAGTGTGGCTCACTGGGCAACAAGAAAAAGAAAATGAAAACGTGACCTTGCCCTTAGTTATGTCAAATACACATGTATGCATGCACAGACATACGCAGGAAAAATAGCTAGAAACCAGTGTTGTGTATCCAGCTGCCTGTTGCTTTCTCTGAAGACAGAGGAGGAAAGCTGTCATCTTCTCTGGTCCCTGAAACAGTCATCTCTGAATGTCACAATCATTGAATGGGGGCCAGATCTCAAAGCTGTCTCTAGGCAGCTGCTGCTTGGTAGCTTAGTATGAGAAAGATGACTCGTCTAACCATAGTCTTGGAATGCAGAAACCAAGTATTTCAAGGGACCAAAGAAGCCCTGGAGGTGTTTCTCATTTCTACCCCTGGCTTTAATTGTTCTTTTTCTTGTGGAAGCGGAGATCAAATATTTCCAACTGGGTTGAAATTCTAGTTCAGTGCTGGAGCCTGACAGGTGACCCCCAGGTTCCACTCCTCCAAATGATTGCCCTGATTGTGCAAAGAGAAACCTCTGTATCCTCCGGCCTGTCCTTCTCTGGAGACCTAGGGAGAATTCCAGAAAACAACAGATGAGTCTCAATCTGGCCAACCACCTCTCCTATCTGGTTCAATATGGAATGGGCTGGCAAAAATTAAAGAAACTTTCCCTTATTCCTATGCAAAATTCCTAGTTTCAACTTCCCTTAGCACTAGAATTGATCTCTTCTCATGATCTTTCCTGCACCCTCAATCCTGAGGCAGGCACACACTTTCTAGGGTGTAGGTGTGCAGGTAAACGAATACACAAAGAATAAACAAAGGGTAATTCTTTCATATATGTGTCCCTGTTCTCTGTTCTCCCTCCACATCACCCACCCCTACAACCTCTGACAATGTGTTTGAAAGGTTTCCTTGCGATGAATCCCAGGCATCAGTTATTTAAAGACTCTTCTTCATCAGAAACCAATTTTTTTGCACAACCCCCAAGAGGTTTGCTTAAGACAGACTCCAACTTTATTCCATGTCCTACGAGGCCAATAAGAGCCACACTGGCTTTGAAAGGTGTTTAATTTGGGATCTCAACTCAGAGATGGATTGAAGTTTATCTAAGAGACTTACCTGATTTGAAGCACATGTTCCCATTTCATGAGGATTAATAGAGTTTGCTGCCTTACTTTTCAACTTAGCTAGATAACCCCAGAACCAAGAGTGGTGTGAATTCTTTGGCTTCAGGATATATACATTCATAGACACACAATCAATATATATGAAGAGAGATGTATACACATGTAAGTTACATGTGTGTTTTTTAAAAAACAGATTCAATAGTCCTAAGGCTTTCAGGGCAGGGGTGTGGAAACACCAAGGGACTGATGTGTCCCATCGTGTGGCTTTGCTGTCCTGGTTCCTCAGGAAACATCGCCGATTCCCTTGAAGTCCCCTCCTGTGTCTTTCTGCTGTGCACTTGTAGTGCACTCCACACTACACCGCCCCAGCCTCTGCAGTGTCAGCTCATTAGCACACAGATCTCATATTCCCTCTCCGCACTGTCATTGCAAAAATTGCTGTTGTACACCTTTACAGCCAACAAATGTGCTTGTGGATTACGCACTGTTTGCAAGAAGCAGGGAAAAGGCAAATGTAACCTTAAAGGTTATTCACCACGGAATTGTACTCTAAACGCATTGGCTTAAATAAAAATCTGTTGATGGAGGCACAATGGTGATGGTGGGATTGAGAATAGGACTTAGGAGTGCAGGCTTTAATGGAGCCCCAGGTAAAATCCCTTTTGCTGGCTAAACGTAACCCATCAGATGCAAAATTTTATTCCATTAATTTTTTTCAAGCCATTTGAAATATAACTGCTGAGAACACACTCCCTTTACAACTAAGCGCATTTCACTACCAAATATACTTAGCTGAGACAGGTTTCTGTCTCTTGCCTACAGAGTCACAATCTAATTATCTAATTATTATAATTGCCAAAATCAATTTAACTATTTATGTCCATTTGGGAAGGAAATGTCTCCTTTGATCCCATTCTTTGCAATTTGGTGGGTTTTGTTTTGTCTTGGTTTGGCTTTGGTGTCTGTCCTTTCCATGTAAGATTTGGAAACCAGGTGAAGACTCCTGGGATCAAGATCAAGCCTCCTTCCCTTAACAGATTTTGCCATACTACCCAACATTGACTGCTCTGGTTCCACTCCCTCCCTCACTCCCCCTCTTCCCTGCCTTTGTGCCTTTGCTGCTCTCCCTCTCTCCTCTGTCTGCTGGCCAGCCTTCAGTAAGCACGCCGGCTTAGCTCACTTCTCGGCCCCTCTGGCTTAGTCCCCTGAAGCATGAAGAGGTTGCCTTAGTGGTGCCAGTCAAAAAATTAAGTCACGTTTTCACAAGGTTTATTACGGTTTTTAAAATTTATTTTTCATAGGGCGGGGGAGGGAAGAAGCTGATGCTGTTCATTTGGGCCATAAAAATAGATGGCAATCAGCAGGCTGTAAAGGTGAGCTTCCTGCAAAGTGTATTACCTCCCCTAGAAGGCAGCTTCCTATTGATCTACTAAATCAGGGGGGACAGCAGCAAGAAGGGTTTGAAGGAAAGGAATAAAGGGAATTATTTTGTTCTCCATCTACATTTACTGCAAAATGGGCCATGGTTTTTCTCCCTCTCTGCAATTTTAACTTTTTTTCCCTAAAATGAAACTAGTTTTCCACATTTTCCTACTTCTGCCCCTACAGAGGTAATTTCCTTAATTCTGCATTTCCCTCCCTAGTCCCTAAGACTGAGTGATAATAGTGGAGGATCGATGAGCTTTTTGTTATGTTTTTGGCTCCTGATGTATTTTTAAATTTCATTGTTATGGGTAGTCAGAGGTGATTGGCTGGTTTCATTTTAACAGATTGAAAAATAAATGAAGCTCCTGAGGCATCGTTATTTGTCTTCCTTTTTACAGTTAAAGAGATTTGTCATTTTTATACAGTTGGTTTAAGGATTAAATGATGGCATAGATTTTAAGACAGGGCCAGAATTTTAGACGATAGAATTCCATAACTTTGGGGGAGACTAATAAACATGCTTATCCAGATGATTTCCCTGTCAACTTCTTAGATTGAGACTGCAAAATAAATTTGAAGGACCTTTCATAAAACCATCTATCTTCAATGAAGGTCAAGCAAATAATCTGTATACTTTACCTGCTCCATTAAAAAATCAAGTTTTGACTTTATTCCTTTGGCTTTGTTACTTTGGGTCTTATTAGATAAAATATCCACAGGAGGGTGCAATTAAAACCCCAGGTGGGGGTGATAGGTATTCTTCAGCAGCACTGTGGGAGTTGTGCAGACACAAAAGGAATTCCCTCCATCTTGGGAGCTGCTCAGAAACTGTCTGGGCTCCAGATACAGAGCTATAGATAGCCTCAGCCCGTGTGTGGGATGAGCCTTGAGCTAAGGCAGCAGCCCCCAAAAAGGGTCAGTCCTTGACAAAGGTTAACATGGATAGAAATTGTCTTCCTCATATTTCTACCTCTTCTATTGCCATTATTTTCTTCTCTTGCTCTATCCGTCCAGCTCGTCTAACTCCCTTTTGCTGGTCTCTGCCTACTCACTGACCAGCCCCTGATTCTAGCATCCCATCCACACTAAACTTACCTAGGGACTATTTTCTACCCCGGACTTTTCCAGACCTAATTCCCAGAACTTCTCCTTCTCCACCAGAATACCTTTACTCTTGGTCCATGCTCCAAGGATGTAGAGTGCAGTACGGCCTGCACTCTACTTTGGGGGTGACAGCTTTATATCTAATATAGGTATATATTTCATATATATGAAAATGTCAGATAAATGGTAAAGGGTTAATATATGTAACGGGGAGTATCTGCTTCAAAACTAGGGACTATGGGAAACATACTGCCTCAATTTCAAGGAAAGATACTTAAATAGGAGTGTTTCTGGATATTACTCTCAGAGTGGCTGTTCACTCTACCCAAACTAAAGGTCAGCTGGCTTTGGTCATAGAAGACTTTTACAGGCCAAAGTACAAGTCTAACTGCCCATAGTAGGTTGGGTGTAAGTACACCCGAGGCATAGGCAGGTTCAACTTCATGTTGAATCTAAAAGCCTTTGCGGGTAATTTGGGAAGCTGCAGGTTCAACTTCTTCATATTGAATCTAAATGCCTTTGGGGGTGATTTGAGAAGCTGCTAAAGTTCATAGGTATTTATTTTATTAAAGAGGCTGGTGTGGAGACTGAACCTGCCTATGTGGGCACTGTCAGGAGATGTACTGGCACAAAAGGAAGGTTATAGGAGAGGATAAGGGTGGGAGAGAAGCTATCTCTCCAGCTGTAAGTTTCCTTTCCCTGGGATGGTATGTGGAATGCCACGTTTAAGAGGTAACATCCCTCTCACCGTCACTAAATAGTATCTCTGGAGGTATTTGGAAGTGTAGTTAAGCAGTATCTCCTCCTCCCTCCATCCTTCCCTTACCTTGTCTCAAACATACACTCTGGCCTCCCTCCCAGTGGAAATAACCAGCATATTCTCTTCTGGATTTCCAATTGCTCATTGGTCACAGAAGTGTTTACATCCCATGCTCTATCTGGACCTCCCTGTTCCTCAATTCCCAACCGTCACTGGCTTCTTAAGCAATTATCCTCAACACAACCATCATTTGTCCTTATTTGGAGGGTGCAGGGGAGCAAGGATAAGAATAAGGAGAGGAAACACAGCTGATAATGATCCCTCAACCCTATGAGGCGCAATTCAGGGTAGAACAGCACTTGTTAATTTTTCATGTGCACACCAATCACCTAGGAATCTTGTTAAAACAAAGATTCTGATTCACTAGGTCTGTGATGGTGCCCAAGAATTTGCATTTTTAGCAAGCTGCCAGGTGATGCCAATGCTTCTGGTCCTGGAACCACACTTTGAGTAAGAAGAGCCCAGAGCAAGGAGACTGTGATCATTAAAGGAAAAGGCTCTCGCAGACCAGCTCTTATCCATCTTTGTATCTTCTTGCCCTCCAAAGAAGGTTCTGTAAGAGACACATTTGGCTCGTTCTTACTCAAGTATGTATCTGTCACATTCCCAACAAGTCCGTGTCCATTTCAGCCAGGTCTGTAGGTGGCATTACTAGATATCTGATGATAGCATTTAGAGTTGTTTTATTGTAGGGATGTGGAGTGGGGACTGAAAGGCAGGTTCAGCGAGGAAGTAGCTCATGAGCCCGGGTGACACTGTCTTGGCTTCTTGCCATACCCCAAAGTGCCCCTTTTAGAAACAACCTGCCCAAGAGAGCGAAGGTTGGCATGCAGTTCCAACTGCCTTTCCACTTTGCTTCTCTGGGTCAAGGCATGCCAGAAGGAGGAATGTAACATCTGCTCCTCAGCTGTCTGACTTCCCTTAAACAGGGTTAGAAACAAGAAGTACAACACAACCTGAATTCTATCTGGTTCCCTAAGAGACTGAAAAATTGACTCCATTTTCAAGGCCTGTGCCAGGCACTCACTGATGGGAGGGATGGGAGGGAAGGGAAGTAATGTCACTTTCTAGCAGACCTGAGCCGAGAACTGCTCCAGGGAAGCCATTAAAAGCTTACCCAGTGTCATTTGAGGATCGCAAAATAGCAAAATTCCCCAGAAAAATTGCCCCCCAACAGTGTGCCATTAGTCTGAAATTCCACAAATTTGTTTATTTGTATTACTGCACTGAAAGCCTGTGCCAAAATGCAAGCGTGCTATCTGGAAGGGAATAAATTAAATCCTTATCAGTCATTAATATTTCAACCAGAATTCTCTGTTCAGATTACCACCTGTTACCTTGCAGGATCCTCAGAGGGGGCTTTCCAAGACAGGTAAATGACCCAGAACAAGATACCTGCCCAAGGAAGTGAGGCACCAAATGGATTGCGGGCATTCAGAGGGGCGCTGGTAGACTCTTGAGGATAAGGAAGATTCCCTCAAATACACTTCACCTATTTTTCAACATTTGACCTTCTCCATGGATAAATTCTGGTACTTTATTCACTAAGATTTTAGTTATCTTTAACTATTTTAGCTGCCTTTGACCGAAGTCATACCCTTCTGATGGTAGTGGGCCTGCTGCCTGTTCTGTGTGTGGTGTTTGCTGCAATAGGTGATTTCAGCTTCAGGATTTTCCACAGTTACTGTGGAAAATTTTCAGAGGTAAAATCAGTTTGTGATGAGGTATGGTGAGAATTTAAGCTTTTAAAAATTGTTGTGATCAAAAATAATTCCCTCTCAATTATCCATGATTGGCTAATCTACCTTGCCAATTACTCATTGCAACCAGGGCCTTCATCTTTGTAGCTCCCCAGAAAGGGGTCAAGCCACAGGCAATAAATGAGATGGGAAGGGATCAGGATGCAGCTCACAGAGGGGTAAGTGTATGGGTGTGGGTACAGGTCTTTGTGTAGGTGAACACCTTTGCACAATTAAGATTAGTAAAGCCATTAATGTCCAAAGTCAGTCAGAACCTGTTAAACATTCTCAAATATCCTAGTACCTCACTGCAGTTTCCAAAGCTCCTTGTTCATTAAACAGTGTTTCTTGAATTGGGCCACTTGCTTTAGAATCACCAGAGATGCTTGTTAAATATTAATTCCTGGGTCATACCCTAGATGTATTGAATCAGAAACTATCAAGATAAGCATTTTACCAAGGTCTATGGGCGATACTAACGCATACTCAGTTTAGGAATCACAGGTTTAAAAAGCCCCAGTACTACAGAGATATACAGATTCAGATTGAATATTTATTGAATACCCACTGAGCACCAGGTATTATGCCAGGCACTTTCACATATGTTACTTCTCTATGTAACTGAGGTGCTATTGGCCTATGCAAGCATTAGAGAGTTTGGCTTTCAGGCTGGAAATCTAAGACTTGGAAGAACTAAGAGACTAGCCTCAAGTCACAGTCTCTGAGGGAAATAAAACAGAATGCTCTTTGAGATGGTAAGTAGAGACAAAGGAATTATTTTCATTTTGACAATGCTTCTTCCTTTCTTTGCTTATTAGCTAATGATTCGTCCTCAGACATGCTCTGAACTAGACGTCATGGCAAATGCCAACTCACTTATTAAAAATAAATGTATTGCAATCAGTTCATATAGCAATCACTGTGCCTTCCTCCCCATCCTTGCTATCAACAAATTTAAAACCAGAGCTAAAATAATAACAGCTACCATTTATTAAAGCCGTACCACATGGAAGGCACTGTGCTAAGCATTTTACATGCCTTATCTCATGGAATCATCACAATATTGCCACAAGCGAGGAACTCTCATCCCCATTTTCTAAAAGAGGAATGATAGGTGGTTCAAAATGCATAAGCAACTAGCTCAAGGTCCCACAACTAGCTAAGTAGTGGAGCCAGGATTCGACCTGAGATCTTCCTGTCTCTAGAGGCTGAATCAATTTCAACTTGGGTTGAAATTTCAAATGCATATAGGGGCTACGCAGACCACATAAAAGTGGTAGGTAATTGGACCAGGTGTGTTATAATAGGGAGTGGTGGGGCCTATGACAATCCAGAGAGTCCATGCTTCTGCCTGAAGACATTCAAATTCAATTTTCTTAAACCACTATGGGACAAACAAAATGCCTGCAACAGGACCTAGAAGGACTGGGAGTGGAAAGTACACATTTCTGACCTCTGCACTATACTATATACCTCCTTTTAGCAGCTAGGTTACTGGTTGAGGGAAGCTCTATTAACTGGTAGTTATAACTACTGAGAACAGCAGAGAGAAAAGCTCTTCTCAGTAAAAACTCTATTTTGACTTTCTTCTTATAGTGTGCCATCAAAGTATCTCAATATGGTAGAATTTTTTCTCCTTTGTGGAAATACTTGTGGTGCCATGTACATACACTCTATATCTAGTAGCTTTTCATGACTGAGTGCCAGCTTGACTCTAACTAACCTTCCCCCAGGCAATGCGGAGGCCCTCAGCAAGGTCAGAATGCTGGCACAAGGTCATTAATAAGCGCCCAGCAGATCAGAAGAGGTACATCACCATTGGTGGGGGGAGGCTGTGCTCTGGGACAACTTCTTAGGTTCTAGAACATGCAAACCCCAGGCCCACAACTGGGAGGCCACTGGGTCAAGTAAGGCTATGTCAACAGCCACCCAGGGTAGGAACTTCCCATATACTCTGAGAAAGAGGCTCACCAACTTTAGACCAGGGTCTAAAATAGAGATGTAATAGTTGTCTGGAGTTGTAAACTAACCTAACCCAATCTGGTCATTGACAATCATTACGTACTTTTTGTTGGATATTAATAGCCTGCCATAGTTAAAGTGAGGCTATAGATCTTCTCCCCATTAACATCACTACCAGCTATAACAGCAAGACTCAGACAATATTCTACTTCCCATTAAAATAATAGCAAATAGACATAAAATAATTTGATATCCAATTCTGTAGACCCAGACAAATTCAGCTCCCTTTGCTTCTAGGTGCTACAACAACACCTTGCATGAAGGTTTACTTGAGGCACACAAGACAACATTCTAGTAGCAGGATTCAGCTAACCAAAAATCCCCATCAGTGGCTGTCCACAGGACAATTTACAAATTGAACCTACAGTACCATTTTTTCTAAGGGATAATATTATAGAGCTTACTAGATGCTTATGTTTTCTTTATGCTAATTTGGGAACTCCTCTACCATATTTCTAGCCAATCCACATATGTTGTACACTATTAATTTCACCAATGAGAAGTTTAATGTTAATTAACAAAGCCTCTGGTGCTCATTGGAGATAAACTCCTGAGGTGATTGTTACAATCACTTCTTGATTAGAATTCTTTAAATGCTAAATTACTATTCCTGGTCTATGTATTTCCAAATGAGGGTAACTGACCACCTCTACAGTATAGATTAAGACTAACTGACCCATATATACACCACACAATTTATGTTGAAGTCTTATGAAATAAACTATAAGTAACAGAACATTTGAGATATCATGTTTCTTATGGCCTTGGAAAACAGTAAAAGTTGTAAGAGCAATAGGAGGGTGGTGGAATGAACAATGGGACAGAAATTAGGAGATCTGGGTTCCAGTCTCAGCTCTGATATCCACTGCCTGGATGACCTTGGATAAATCACACCTATCTCTGGCTCTAGTTTTTATCATGTGTAAACTAGGGAGGTTCTTCTGGATGATGTTTGTGACTTCTATCTTTGACATTCTATCCACTGGGCATGGCAGCTCAGGCCTGTAATCCCAGCACTTTGGGAGACCAAGGCCGGAGATCACCTGAGGTCAGGAGTTCGAGATCAGCCTGGCCAACATGGTGAAACCCCGTGTCTACTAAAAATACAAAAATTAGCCAGGTGTGGTGGTGTGTGCCTGTAGTCCCAGCTACTCAGGAGTCTGAGGCAGGAGAATCGCTTGAACCCAGGAGACGGAGGTTGCAGTGAGCTGAGATCGTGTCACTGCACTCCAGACTGGGACAGAGTGAGACTCCATCTCAAAAAAACACAAACAAAAACAGCAACAACAACAAAGACATTCTGTCATTAACTCTTGTCCAATTCTTACCATCTCATTTCATTTCTTACTGAGAAAAGGCCATCCAAAATGAAGCTCCTCAAATTCTATATCTAGAAATTCCTCTTCATATTCATCTACTCTCTGCCTTTATGAGAGCCTGTGATAAAAATATTGAATCCTTGAAATCAATGGTTAGTGTTTCAGCCAGTTGTGGCTTATCCTTGCACATCCCAACTCTTCCACTTACTAGCTGTGAGACCTTGGGCAAGTTACTTAACTTCATTGTGCCGCAGATTCCCCAGTTATAAAGTGGTGATAGTAATAGTTCTTACCTCATAGGATTGTTGAGAGTTTTAAATAAAATAATTCACAAATGCATGTAAACACTTAGAGCAGTGCCAGGGCCATCAGTGAGCTTTCTTCGTGGGCCCTGGAGTCAAGAGCCCGAGAGAGGCCCTCCATACTGTTCATTCTCCTCTGGAGCAGGCACTGCCCTGGCACACAAATGGCACATACCTATTTCTTTGTTCTTTTCTACTTCCTAGTGACCACTTAGCAGTTGATAATCCTTTTAGTCACTTGCCATTCATATGATGAAAGCTCAACAGAGATGCACCTCTGGAACATCTCTGAGTCTAGGCAATTCTTCCACTAATATATTACAGTCTCTTACAGCATTCAGTATACTTTGTGCAAGAGCTACTAAATGCATTCTAATCTTGGCTCTCTTACTAGCCATATGACCGTGAGCAAATTACAGAACCTCTGTGAGCCTCAGTTCCATCATCTGTTCAATGAGAATAAATATAATAGTAACTATCTTATAAAGTTGTTGTGAAGATTGGGATCATCCACGTAAAATATTGACCATAATGTCTAACATATGTGTTCAATATATTAACACAGAGTAGCGAAGTGGTTGGTAAGGAATAGAATTAGTCAGAACCAAACTGTGGAAGATATTCTTAACTATCCCCAAAGCCCTTCAAACTAACCTGTATGCCCTGTGAATTTGTAGCTGAAAAGAAGCTGGATGAGATCACCTTTGAATACCCACAATGCTGCCTTGGGCATAAGAGGTTTGCTTGGGGACAAAAAAAAAGTGGGGAAAGAAAGAATTTGCTTGATACCTCAAAAAAGCCAGGGCACACATACCACTAAGCCTAATCATGCCACCATTAAGTGGAATTGTCCAGAAGGACATGATCCCTTCTGATATTTTTTTTCTCTAAACTGGACATGATTTGGGTAAAGCAGCATGGATAGTAATATGATAACCTTAGCACTTGCTGGCTCAAAGGAAAGAATAATCTTTCTTCAAATGTGACCTCTATTTTAATGTGTTTAAAGTGGGAGCATGGAAGAGTGGATCCCAGATCCTGGATCCTGATCCTGCACTCAGACTAGGAAAAATGTAGTTCCAACTGGGCTCTCCCAGCCATGAGTTTTCTGAGTTTTTTAATTAAGGCTGATGCGTGAGTGGAAGTTAAGAACGTATTCGTTTGAGTGGATGGATTTTTTTCTTTTGATGTTGCTTGCCTAAGTCAGATTGAAAATAGCAAAGGAAGGAGATATGGAAAAGATTAAAAGAGAAATTTTGCTAATGTGATTTTCCAGCATTTTAGTCTCTCTCTATTCTCTCCAGAACAAAGGTTAACTAGCTGATTCCATAAGCATAGATTCATGAGAAAGGATCCTGCTAAGGACCACCAGACTTTTTAGTCTTTTAAATTTTTTTTTTTTTTTTTTTTTGCTCCCCTCTCTTCTTCTGTATTCTGTATCTAACAGCATGGTGTATCCAGCAGGCCGAAACCTGGGTTATGACCAAAGGCAATTTTTAGCCACTTCCTATCCCAGTGTACCCATAATCCATGAGTATCATCTCCTCTTCTCATTTCCTATTCAAGCCTATTCCTATATTTTCATGTGGAATCACTGATCTTTTTTTCAGATGAAGAAACTGAAGAGGAGGAACAGAGATGCTCAGTGACTAGCCCAAGGTCACACAGCTAATTGATAACTGAGCTGAGGTTGTAATGCAGGTTTTCCAACTTTTGGCACTTCTCTAAGATGTCTTCCCAACATAATCCTTATTCTCTTGGCTTTCACTGCTGCACAATGACATACATAAAAATGACAACACTGTCAGTTTTAAGTAGGTGGCAGAGAGGAAGAATAAATCCACAGCAAGTTAATTAGAAATACAGTAAAACATGAGTTTCAGGCGCCACAATTAATCGTATCTACCATTTAGTGCCTCCAATGTTAACCTGTCATAGTTTACCACCCTCTGATCTATAGTCAAAAATGAGCAAAACAAAGTCTTGAAGTCCTATTACAGATCATAGACCGTTGGAGCTGGATCAAGTAGTTTTAATCTAATTACCTCATTTTGTGGATGAGGAAAATAAGAACAAGAAAGGAAAAGAGATTTGCCAAAGGTGATGCAGCTCCCTAGTAGCAGAAGTAAGTTGAGCATCTAGACTAACAGATTATCAGAGCGGGGTCTTTTCCACCATGTTTTGCAGCCTTATCAGCAGAAAACTGTACTAAAGTAACACCACAGATTTATTACTTTACTACCTTCTGTTATCTCTTTTTCTCTAATTGTCTAATAAGAGAATCGTCTAATTCTCTTATTCTCTAGTAAGTCATATTACCCCTACCTGATTTTTTTAATGTGGAAAACACTTGTATTATTATAGAATTTAAAATGTAAAATTAATTTCTGCTCATTGTCAACAAACAAAAAACTTCAAAAATATAGAGAAGAAAAATTACCCAGGTAAATTAAAAATCACCCAAAATTAAGTTTTAACATGTGTTCAGATTTGTATCCTGCCTTTTTACTTTATATTATATTGGAAGCATTTGTCCAGACTCTTTAAATGTTCTTTAAAATTTTGATTTTTAATATTTGTGTTACTGTATCACAGTTATTTTATGACACATATGTACATATAAAACCATTACCTTATGTACATATATTTATATATTTTATATATATACATATAAGTCATTATATATGAGCCCATATATATACATATACACACACACACATACATACACACACACACACACACACACACACACACACACGCAACCATTATACAACTTTATGCATTGAGGTGGATTCCCAATTCACTAAGGCTTACTATTATACCTCAACTTCCTCTAATGCCTACATTCTATCACAGATCTGAACACACAGTAAATATGTAATAAATACTTGCTGACTTTTAGTTTTTCTGGTCTTTTTTGGGATGATCATTATTCCTCCACCGGGTAGGGCAACCAAATTGAGAACATGACTTTCCATCCTCTTTAAAGCACATGTTATATAACTCAACAGGCAGTATAGCAATGGTGGTTATGATCAGAAGCCAGACTCTCTGAGTTCAAATCCTGGATCTATCTCTTTCTTGTTGTATAGCCTTGGGTGAGGAGCTTAACCCCTCTAAATCTCAGTTTTTCTTTCTGACAAATGGGGGAAATATTAGTATCCACTGTGGTAAAAATTGAAAGATAAAATATGTGGAAAGTGAATACTCAACAAAGATTAGTTGCCATTATTATTACATTTGCCAAAGGGAAATAGAGTACAGATTTGGAGTCAAAAAACTTGAGTTCTTGTTCCATCTCTGCTATTATCTAGCCCTATGTCCTTGCATGAGTTATTTTAGTAGTCCATGTCTCAGTTTCTTCATCTACAAAATGGAGATAGCAATACTTGAGCTGTATAGCTTATAGGGATGTTATGAAGATTAAATGAGAGAATAAATGTGAAAGTCCTTTGAAAACTATGAAGTTAAGTATAATTGCTAAGTATATAAAGGTAGATGTAACATGATTGTCGTATGGTAGGACTGGAGATGCAGAGGGTGCAGGAGACTAGGCTGAATACAGTGAGCCTGGGAAGATATTTTTAAAATAAAATTCCTTGTATTGGAAATATAGACTGTTATAGACAGAAGGGACCTTAGAGATCATCTAGTCCGTCATCTTAATGTTATATTTAAGAAAAAAGATTCAAAGAGGAGAGAGCTCAAAGTCACAAAGCCAGTCACAGAAATGAAACTAGAATTCATGTCTCTTGATTTCCCAAACACATTCCTAAAGCAATCACTGCAGATCCTTGTTTGTTGACCTTCATCAAAAAAAAAAAAGTAGTAAAGAAAAAAATACAGTTATTTGTGGCATCCATGTTGGTAGTAACTGATTATTTGGGGTTTTATCACAAGGATAAGCCACATATAACATAGCTTTATTATATTTTTACCAACTTTATTCCAGGTGAGAAAAGTAAAGGCGCAGGAAAGTGATGGGTCGGGGGAGGATTCAGTCAGGGCGAATGACCTCAGACTTGGCCAGATTCCCAAGGGATTGCTGTCATCCCCGGCAATGACCACTGTAGCACATGGTCTTTCTTTGATTGTTAATATTTACTTTGCAGTCAGTCCTTAGTTATGTGTTTTTGGAAAACTCGGTATAGTAGATGAAATTATCAGTTGCTTAAAAATACAATTGCCAATTGTTTGATTCATGTAAATTGATTACAGTCAGAGGACTATTCATTTTATGCTGGCATGCATACAGCCCACGTCAGGCAAGGGCTGCATCACTGATGGCAGCTCAGATATCGTCGCATTTCCTGAATTATATCCCGTCAGGTACTCAGTAAATATATGTGTTGGATACTTTCATCTTTACATTTTTTTAGCTGAGATGAGAGCACATAAACATTTCCATCTGACAACCTTTTCAACTTCAACAGCACAGAAGGTTATTTTCAAAAGAAACAAGAAAGGAGTTTTTCAATAGCGAGCTCCAAAGGTGACTAAAAATGCCTTCCAACAAGGCAGACCATTAAGAAATGTAGTGTGAAGTGTGTTAATACAATAAACTCAAATGTGGTCTCACTAGTCTTAGCTCCTCAGAATGTTGGCTGCCTTCCCCAGCTGCCACTGTGGCCTGGACAGTGTACATCAAGGTTCACCCTCTTTCCTCAATCTTGAAGTGCCCCCTTTCCACCCTTCCGCTGAAGGAGACCTATGGCCAGAAGCAGCTTCCCCTCACCTTGTCACCCCCACAGGTCCTGCTGAAAGGGACTACCTGCCTTGGCCAGGAAGCATCAGGGAAAACAATTGGACAGCTCTGCCGTGCTGCAAAGATCATGGGCTGCTGCACCTAAAATGTTCACCAGGTGGGGCCCGCCAAAACTGGGCCTATTGTATCTGGGGTAAGTGCCCATAGTTTGAAATCAGCAAGGTGGAAGGAAAGGGGAAAGAATCTTGTTCACCAATTCCTGTTATGCCGCAAAGAAGATCTCCCCACTCTGGAAGCTTGAAAGGAACAAATTCCAGGCAAGTCAAAGTCAAGCCTACTTTACACAGTGGGAAGTAAACATATGGAACCCCTTAGCCCAGAGTTGGTGCCAGCTGAAAATATAAATACTGTCAGATAAGGTTCAATACATTTATGACTGTTAAGGCAATGATAGGTTATTAAAGGAAACGAGGCTGTTTGGGGACATGTTAAATCTCTGAGCTCAAAATTAGTGAGGACAAGCGGATCCTCTGACAGCCTCAGTGAATGAGTCCTGAAGATATACATGGTCTCAGAACTGTGATTGTGTTCTCCAATTAAGCTAGGAAAAAATAAAGATGTGGTATTTAGGGCTGCTTGGCTCAAACTGAGATGCTAAAATCTCTGGTTTGCTCAGAGTTAAATTCTTCAATACATGTAAGGGAAGCAATGCGTTATGGAAGAAAAAAACCCTAGTATCCTCCCTTTGCACTGCTGCTACTAACTAGCTATGAGACTGCCCCCTCTTTAGGCCTCACCTTTTCCCATTTGTAAAATAAGGGAATTAGAGTAGGTGATTTCCAAGGTCCTTTCTAGCTTCAACTAGGTTTAATTCAAATGATATCACGAGGTTCCCTTGAAGGGTTTGGAGCGGGGGAGATCCTGCATCTTTCCTTGCCCTCCCTTGCTCAGGAGCTCAGAGTCTTCAAGATGTTTGAAAGATGCCCCTGATTCTACCAAGACTTGACTCCTTCAAGTCTGGCCTCCACAGCAGACGTCCATGCTCTGAAATTTATATCTCATGGCCTATTCCCCCACTCATCAAGCTCCCAATTGCCTGGTAAAGAGGTAGAACTGGTTAGATACAGGGGTTTGTTTTGTTCAGTGCGATAGCAAGGTTGGAGAAAGTTTGGGCTCCAATATTAGAGACAGCATTGTATGGGCTTTAAAGCTAGAGCTAGCCCGGGTTAGAATTCTGGTTCTGCCATTTCTGTGCTCATCTATAGAACTTATCTCATCTATAGAATTACAGTGATAATACTGTCATCCCTCTAGGGTGATTGTCAGGATTAAATGACAGAATTCATATCAAATCCTTAGCATAATGCCTGCCATAAAGTAAATGCTGCCACTAGTGGGCGTCTTTTCCTGTTCTCCACTAAATAGATGTTGAGTTAAAAATTAAAACCAATAAATCAATAAATATTGAGCTAATAATCAAGGCTCAACTTTTAAGTTGTGGCAAATTATTTGGAGTCTCAGGGCCCCCATGTTTTGATAACTATAATGGCGTATTTGCAATTTATCAGGGGCATTCTGGAAACTGCACAAGCCAATGAGAGAACTAATTCTGGTGGGTGGCATTTAATTTTGCAGTAACCCCGCAGATCACACTACTTAGATGAGTGCTACTTTGACCACCTCATGGAACCAGTGCAGCCTGTGGGCATCCTGCAGGGAGGCTGACAGAAAGGGAAGTTCCAAAAGGTGACCCCATGATGTGGCTCATCCATTCATAGTGCTGAACAATATTTTACCTTTCCTGTTCAAGGCGTTACAGGTGAACTGTAAGATGAGAACAAGATCACAAGTCAGCACTACCTCCTCCCTTCTTGAGTTCTCAACTGAGTGAGCATCATGGAGGGAGAAGAAAGAAAGAAGTTCAGCCTGGGTGTGTGAAGCTGTAAAGTTGCAGGTTGAACCCAAACCCATTTTAGAGACAGAAGAAACTACCCTCTGGAGATAAAATAAAAAGATGAAGCTGAGATGGGACAGGATCAAAGTTGATGAAATATCAAGAGAGGTTAATAAAGGAACATTAATTTATTCCTCAAATCCTGTGTTCAGTTGTGTGGGTGTATTTTTGGGAGTTGAGGGGAAAATGGAAATAGATATGATAAAGAATTAACTTTTCTTAATGCACTTCCAGTTGATTATTATTATGAATGTCAGCTTTGACCTGGAAATCCCATAGCTCATCTTACACAGGTTGCCTAAAGATAATTTCTCTTCTTAGGCTTTTCTGAGTAAGAAGCCCTCAGTCTTTGGTGGAAAAACCTCAGTAATTAATTGGAAACATGCATGAACATAAAATGGCTTAAGAGTTTAGTGGATCAGGTAAGGAAGTCAAGAGATGGAGATGATCCCTAAAGGTGTGTACCAGGTCCAGTGTAAGGGAGGGTGAGAGAGATGGTGACTTGCAGTGGTTGGCGGCACTTTACTGGGAGCATCGGGTAGAAAATCTAATACATAATAAGGTAGGTCAGGCTGATAGCATTACTATATCCACTTTACAGTTTAAAGAAACAGGCTCGAAGGAGTTAAAGTGTTTTTCCCAGTAAGTGGCTGGGGTGAGACTCAAACCTTAGTCTAATCTTATGCTCCTTCCATGCAATATGCCGTCTCCATTCAACTAGCATTATAAGGGAATGAGTGGTTCTAAGCTAATTTTCCAGATATTTGAAGCACATGTCTTTCAGCAGTGCAAGTGCTATTTTTATTTTAATCATTTTTGAAGAAAAAACTTTCTACAATGCATCAAACACCTCCACACCTTATTATGCAGAAGATACAGATTACTGTGCTTTTAATTTTCTGTCTATTTCCATAGCCTTCTATCTCTTTTCCCACTGTAGCTGACAATGTTCAGTACTTCCTAGGCTACTGAAGATAGACAGCATATTAGAAATGAAGCACTCCTAAAAGTAGATATACTAAAATGTGACAGCTGACAATAAGTGAACACCATGCAGAATCACCAACTACAAAAGCACAACAGTCTGGGATTAATTCAGGTAGGGGCAAATAGACCTAAGAGGCCAAGTAACCGCATGGACAACGAACTCAGTACCGGAGCTGGAGTTGCCAGTAAAGACCCTGAATCATCCATAGAAAATTGAATTCTGTTCATTCTTCTGCACTGGTATACTGTGGGGAAGGGGTGATATATGAGGTCCATCCCAGCTGGGAGGAGTATTTTTTCACTGATATTTAGAAATGCCTGTGCATATGATAATAAAAAAGCAAGTAGACAGTTTATTACTGTCTTTAAATTCTCTACACACTACCCTCTTATTGTTTGCACCCCAGACAGACCACTCCTACTGCTCCTGCGTTGGTATGCCAGTGCTTTACTGTGTTTAAAAAGATGGTCGTGGGGGAGGGTTTCCACTTTAGAAAGATATCCACTATCTCAAATGGCTCAAGATTTGGTATGTCTAAAGGGGTAAATGTTTACTGATCTGGAAAACATAACTCATGTAAGAAGCATGGCAAATTATTGTGTGTTTAGCCTGTCACTTCTCTTTCCTTGTTCCACCTGTAATTTCAAAGGAAAAAAAATAACACTACAAGCAAATCCTCCATAGAATGCCATCCTATTGGCCTGCTGCAAGTACTTGGATCTTTTCAAATTCCAATCAGAATGGGCCGTGCTTTGCCTTCTCCATCTCTGTCTCCTCTGACCCGGCAAAGTTTCCCATCTTTTATCCTGTCACTTAGCTAATGGTGTGTGTCCCTCTTGCATATATTCCATAGTCACCGGCTTCTTTCGCTAGTAGAGTCGTCAGCGAGATGCTCGGCAGATGGCTCACTGGCTGCCGTTCTTGTCCCCTCACTGCAGCAATCTGCTGTTCTAAATCAAAATGTTAATGAAAAATAAAAGAACGCAGTGCCAATGTCTGTCTGATTTAAATTAATACAGAGTCATACCTTTGGAGGCAGGTTTTACTGGCACGAGGTTCTCCATACAGGCTACCCATATTGTGTGTGGCTTTTTTTTCCTCTCTAATTAAAATTAAGCACTTTCATTTATCTGAGTCTCTCTTGGTACCCCCAACCTGTTCTTTTTAATAATAACAAAGACCTAACAAACAGTGGATTTTAGTGTTCCAGGGAATGGCATCTCACCTGGTGGAACATAATTTTGAGAGATATTATATGTGATGTCTAATTATAAACATACTTTGATTGGATTCTGTTCTCAATACTGAAATGACACATTTACTAAATGCTTCAAGTGCAGCTCTAAGTTAGGCATGTAGTTATTGAAATCTCTTTCAATCCATTTGTTTTAAAACTGGTGGCAAAATCACTGCTAATTTGCTACTTTATTTACAAGGGCCCTTCACTTTCTATGTACTCAGCACAGTATTCATTTCTGTTGCTGCAACAGGACTGCTCCCCTCTTTGGGGAAAATGTATGTGTCTGCAAGATTGACTATGCAAGACAAAATTTTAACTTCAATTTAGAGACGAAGGGACCACGGTGATGTTAACAGACATGGTGGAGGAAAATCACCTCAGTATTATAATTTGCAAAAAAAAAAAAAAATCTATGAACCAAAAGAACAGCAGTTTCAACTGATTGCAGAAGACCACACCTTTCATTTTTTCTTCCTATGACTCCTTTGTAGATACTGCTAGGAATAGTATTGAGAATAATGAGTTAACATAGTGCTTCTTACATACCAGGCATCCTTCTAAGTGATTTACATTTATTTATTGTTCCAGTCATCAAAATTCTGTGACTTAGGTCTATTTCACAGATAAGGATTCTGGGGCACAAAGAAGTTAAGTCACTTGCCCAGTCACATAACTGGTAAGTGACAGAGCCAGAGAAGAACACAGCCTGGCCCCAGAGCCTTCTCTTTTAACCACTATACCATTCTATAATGTGCTGAAAGGGCCACGAAATCCAGCCTACTTGAAAGTAAGCTACTGTTTCCTTTCAGATTCGGCAAAGGATATTCTCTTTGCTGAAACTGCTGTGTAAAAATCAGGTTTCTACTTCAGTGGGGCTTGGTCCTTGTTAAATGCATGTACTATTTGCATGTGTCACCACCATTAAGATTAAGGTGAGCCAGGTAAATTAAGCTGAAGCAGCAGGCAGGCAAGCAGGAGAAAAGCCTGGGTTTTCAGGTGGGAACTGGGGTGCTAGTCATTAGGTCAGTCATCTCAGGGCCACCTCACAGTTCTGACAAGAGAAGGCCAAAAGAGGTAAGGCCTACAAAGCCCACATTTGAACCAGCCAAGTATATAGGGACTCCCTCCTGGAACACAACAGGTCAGGTCACCTGGCTTCAAACTCAGTACTTATTCCTACCTACAGGCAGGGCCAACACACAAACCAAACACTATTGAAGATCAGCCTTCCTCCTGCTGCTCAGAAGCCAGCTCAACTGGAAAAACAAACAATAGAAGATGATTATCTCTAATTAAATATATGCATCCCAGGATACATTTACTGGGGTATCAAGTTATTCAAAAGAAAAAGCCTCTAGTCGGAAGGGGCTAAGTAGAGAGGCAGTCATTTCCCTTGCTAAACCTCATTTTGGTGGTTGCATTTTTCTGGCCTTACCAGGGACTAAATGAAAATATGAGATTTGAAAAGAATATTACCAGACAGCAGGATAGGTTACACAGAACCCTGGGCTGGGAGCCAGTTGTCCTGGGTTCCAGCCCCAACTCTGTTTCTAACAAACCATGCCTTCTCTGGGTTTCAGTTAGATCTTTTGTAAAATGAAAAGATCCTGTGAGGGCCTTTCTAACATTAAATAATTTCTGATTTTAGCCACCTCCCCCAACCACCAGTTTTTAATGAAAGATGATTCTCCCTACAGAAACAAGGAAACTCAGAGGATAATTTGACCAAATGAAGCAAAGATTTGAGCTGTTTTGGGGTGTTTCCAAGGAGGCAACTCAAACCATTGAAGTCAGAAAGTAGATTTCTTTTTGGCCTGATCTCTCCCAGTTGATATCACTAGATAATTGCTCACCCCTCTGAGTCATCGAATCATAGGCTGATTGAATCTCTGGGATATAAAGGACCTTAAAGGTCATCTTTTCCCACCTACCCTCAGAGATGGACTCCCTTTCTCCAAACACAGCTAGTCTAAGTAGTGGGACATGTCTGTTTTATAAAGCTTGTGTATATACAGGTGCTGCTTACCTGGATGGATGTCACAGGTCATTGGACCCTTTGACTCCTATTTCCAAATAGCTCTCACTCCTGCTCACTGATACCAGAGCATATTTAACAGAGGGACTTTCATTCTCCACTGAAAACATATGATATAAATTCCCTTTGAAGAGGTGGCACTGTCTAAATTCATAATGCAATGCATGCAACTCTATAGCAGATCCTATCATGAGAGCAGATTTCAATAGGAAAGGTGCCCAAAGACATGGAATTCTTGAAGAGAGTGAAACAGGTTTCAGTGAGAGGTAAAAATTATATAGAATGGGAAGACAGCAAGGGTGGAGGCCCTAGAGTGATAGTCTAATAGAATGTGTAACAACCTGAAGTCAGACTTGGGTTTATAGCTCAACTCTGCCACGTAACTAACCATATTAGCTTGTACAAGTCTCAACCTCCCTGAATCTAAGTTTCCCAAACTGTAACACAGGGATAATAATATCTACTACATAAGGCTGTTGATAATTAAATGAGATAATTATTCAAAGGCATAATGACAGTATGCTTGATTTAAGTACATTTTCAGCCCCAAATCTACAATGTTGTCATAGTCTGATGGCCTTTGATGTGTTTGTTCTTGGTTATGCCTCTGCAACACTCGTGAATATGAATAATGTTGATGACCATGTCTGCAGCCACCAGTACAAATTTTAACTCTCTTACTCTTCTATGCAACTAACTACACAACTGATTCTAGTACCAGCCAGGATATCAATTGTCAAGCAACTGAAATGCCCACCTAAACTTTGATCAAGATTTGCAAGCACAAAGAGATTAGCTCCATGCTCATAATTTCAGAGGAGCTCATATTTTCAAACCTGTTTCAATTTAGCCCAGTTAATAGGACTTCAAGGTAGTTTCCCTAATTAATTAGCTCCAACCAGGAGTAAATATGTATGGTGGCTTTTTGAAAAATATTCCCAAGGTATATTTCAACCTTATTATGGGAGAAAAAGGTTAACAAATGGGATGGTAAGGTTTCAGTACAAATTTCAGGTTGTGTGGGGGAGGTACTGAGTCCATATGCCTGTCAAAAATAATGACAGACAGATTACAGGTTGCCTCTGAACATACTGTTAGATAGCCTTGAAGCCCCCGACTTCTACACTATTATTAGCTTAAATGCTGTCAAGCTTGGAGTTGGGTTTTACCGTGATTTTGTTTGTTTGTTTGTTTGTTGGTTGGTTTGTTTTTCTCTAGGAGGTGTTGTTGGTTTGGAGAGGCTCATCAACTCCATGATTTATTATTTTCTATCAGAGAAACATGAAAGTTTGGGGTCCAGCATTGTCTTCCTTTTCAAAAACATGCTCAAAGCTCCATATTAAAAAAAAAAAAAGTTTCAACCTGCTCCTTTTTTTTTTTTTTTGCCATCCTCCTTTTGCTTCCTAAATCCCCTAATCTGAGATTTGTGTGAGTTGCCTTTATTTCCTATCCCACATTCTGTTCCTAACTCCTACACTCTGTTTCTATTCTCACTAATCTACCAACATTTCTCTTTTGAGTTCACCAGTGATCTTCTTGCCAAATCCAAGAGCTGTTTTTCAATTGTTTATCTTCCTCAATCTCTTTGGTGTATTTGACACACTGGTTTTATCCACTCAAAGTATCTCTTGCCTTAGCTTCTGCTGACACTTCACTTTCTTGATTCTCCTCTGATTTTCCATCTAATTCCCTTTTTGCCTGTAACATTAGGCAAAAATGTTCTCCTTCTCCTTTCTGGGCATGAGTTTCTTCCTCAGTAAAATAAAGGGTTTAGACAGGGTAATATCCAATGTCCCTTTCATATAAAACATTCTATGGCTCTGAGGGTCAGTGAGTTATTTGACTTTAACATGTTATCATGTTTTTAATGTTGAAGGTTTTGTAGCTATTCCAGTCGACTTTAGTGTTCCAGTAATTGATATAAGTGTCTGAACTTCATAAGGCTAGGCCTTTGCTGATTTATACATGTTTAATACATGCTTGCTTTTCTTCTTTATCTAAGACTATGCATATTCGAAATACCTAGATACTACACTGTTCCTTTCTTGAAAATAGATGTAAGGTACATTCTAGAAGAATATCCTGTTGCTTATTATTAATACTAGTCTTTCAAAAATGTATTTGGATCAGAAATCCTTCATCTTGTTCCATTTAATTTGGATATTTAGAAAATGAAACAACAATCTTTTCAGCCAAGTGAAGGCATTATGACCAACCGTGAGAGCCAGAATTCACCAATGTCATCAACAAAGGGTCAAAAATAATATATTTGACAGCTTAATACTGAATTCATATGTTACACAGAAATAGGTGGTAATGCTTTAGTGAACCCTTGTATATCTCTGAGAAACATAACATCACTTAAAGACACTCAAAAAAATGTAAAACAACACAATTTCTATTGATACTTCTTTTCCTTCACCCATATTTTAGGTGCTATACGTGATACTGCCAAGAGTTGCCTGAGACCCCAGGGCAAAAGACTGGCTATAAATACCTTACAAGTCATCCCCACAAATCCACCAAATAAGAAGTTTCCCTTCTCCTAATTAAAAGGCAGTAATGCAATTACTGATCCCAAGGGTATACAATAAATATATGTCAGTAATGAGAAGGTCAGAAAAAGTAAATTGTTAGTGTACAAAATAGAAAATGCCTGTCCCTGCTAAGGAAGCTAGTCAAGAGTGGGGATTAGGGTCCTTTAGCTGCTCCCAATGCAAGACACATAAAAAAGTAGCTGAGGTTTTGTTTTCTTATTTATCACCAAAGAATATATGAATTTGAAAGACCTTGCACACAGGAGCTCTCTTGATCCATGGAACATAAACATGTCAGTGTCTTAACTAGCCATGATATACTATCATCTTCCTCTAACAACAGAAATTCAGTGACTTATGCAAAGTTGTAAGAGTCAGTGGCTGAGTCAACAGTCCCCAAAAATCTCTGTCAAAAATTCAAAACTTGTTAATTTATACAAAATATTACAATGACTGCCACTCTCGCTCTTTCTTCGTCTCCTTCTCCCTCTTCCTCTGCATTTCTCTCTCTCTCATACACACACATACTCCACCCTACCTAAGTGCTTCTCAAAGTCAACATGATGGGCTAATTTTTATTGTACCGTATAGTATCGTTATTGAGCATGGACTAGAGCATTCAAATTAATAGACTTGGTATTCAAGTTATTAGAAACCACTAAATATGTCATATAAGGTTTACCAATTTTTAAGAGTTAGAATAAAATAAAATTTACTCATGACTAAAAATATATTGTGTATGAAGTTATCTTTCATTGATGATTCAGCACTGCTCTGGAAAGACTTCACACAGTTAAGTAAAAGACACCATCTTTGGAATGACAGGACCATGAAAGTTTGTTCTAGGTAAAGCAACTGATCCTAAGGTCTCTGGGAAAAGAAACAACCTAGATTATTTCTCAAGTGAGTAAACATTGTCAGAATTGTTATATAAAATGCTAAAAAAAAAATCTTACCTTGAGATTGCAAACTCAAATATTCTTGACACCTTGCCTTCTATTTTCAAATCAGAAATCCCAACTTTCTGCCCTTAAAAGTAATATTGTGGTATCTCATTTTGTAGATCAGAATGTTTACTTCTCTAGAAGTATCTTCATCTTTTGGGCTTTTAAGATATTACCCTGAGAGGTCAAATTTACTATATGGCATTGTCACAACTTCAGGCTTAAATAGGTTCAACAAAATGCCAATTTATCTATCGAGAGCTCTAGGTGATATTGTGTGAATGACAAAGAGTTTGCTGTTGTGTGCCAAGAGTTATATTTAGGTTTCTGGCACAAATTAATAATTACTTATAACATTTTATAAAAACAAGAAATCATCTTGACAGCCTTTCATCCAAAGCAACATCAGTCGTTCTATTAGTATTGGAGTTTTTGCAGTGACAAGGAGAAAATGATGGGTAATAATATCAGAAATAATAGCAAATGCTAGGCATTTGCTAAATGCTTTTACATATATTATGTCACTTAAATCTTCAGCAAACCTATGACATAGGTACTATTGTTAGCTCCAATTTACAAACAAGGTCGCCAAGACCTAGAGAAGTGAGGGTGTCCACAGCAGGGGTCCCCAACCCCTGGTACCAGTTCATGACCTGTTAGGAACCAGGACACACAGCAGGTGAGCCATGAGCTTGCATTACTGCCTGAGCTCTGCCTCCTGTCAGATCAGTGGTGCCATTAGATTCCCATAGGAATGCAAACCCTATTGTGAACTGTGCATGTGAGGGATCTAGGTTGTGTGCTCCTTATGAGAATCTAACTAATGCCTGATGATCTGAGGTGGAATAGTTCCATCCTGAACTCCTCCCCAACCCCCGATGGACAGTCCATGGAAAAATTATCTTCCATGAAACCGGTCTCTGGTGCCAAAAAGGTTGAGAACTGCTGGTCTACAGGATCTTTTGCTCAGACAAAATGACCTGGGTGTAGAATTGCATTGGTTGTTTCATATGACAGAGCATTAATGTTTAGTGAGCATCTACCATGTGCCAGGAACTGGGCCAACTGCTTTACATAAGTTGCCTTATTTAATTCTGCCATCAGCCTTATGAGGTTGTTACTTTTAAACATATTGTACAGATGAAGGGAAGAAGGATACAAAGAAGTTAAGAAATTTTCCCAAGGTCATGCTACTAGTGAGGGCGGAGCTGGGATGTTAATCTAGATAGGTTTGATTCTACAGTTCACACTCTTTCCACTATGAAGTAAAAATCAAACCAGCAAAAGGCAGGAAATAAATTTAGTTTAAGAATAATTTCCATATTGTTTCCTTGGAGTTAAAACTTTAATCATGAAAGCTAATCCCAGTGTCGGTGCCAAGAGTAACTTCCTGTACACAGAGCTTTTATCCTATGGAACACAGGGTTACAGCATTCCGATCACTTTTAGCTTTTAGAGCAGAGAATGGGAACAGGTTGAAGCGATTCTCCAGAATTCTTTTCAGGCCAAATAAAGGGAAAAAATAGACACAAAATGCAAAATCGTCCAAACTTATCCATATGCAGCAGGGCAGCTTTCTCTAAGACAATGAGTTAACTCTTCCATCCCATTAGATCTCCCTCTGAGTACAAGAAGTCAGTCCCTCTAGCCTCAGTGGCCTGAAAGCTTTAATAGCCTACCCAAACAGAAACACCCCATCAGCATTTCTCATTGGAATCCCTTGGAATCATTGTTAAAAATTGCAGTTCCCAAGCCCAAGCCTTGAAAGCAGGACTTAGGAATCTGCATTTTAATAAGTATCCCAGATCACTTATATGCACAGTAAAGTGTGAGAATCACTACACAAAGCAATGAAAGTCTCAAGCCTTGTGTTCTGAATTTAGGATGCTCAGACACAGATAAGCTGAATTTATTTTCAAGGAAGGAAAGTCTCCTTTAATTTAATTAATATTAACAACCTACTTAACATAAGCTTTTAAGGTTTTCAGAAGCAGTAACCGGCAAACAGATTTAAGGTCTGTTCACATCCTTTGTATCTATCCATTATAGCAGGACATAGGATCTGCAACACGACCATATGTAGATCTCAGCAACCCTCTCTTAGCCTTTAAAGTTCCCTATATAAAGTTCAATGTTCATCTAAGAACATTCCATAACCCAGACTTTACCCTAAATAAGACTGATCTTACATAAATTTATCCCTAAATAATGAAATTGAACTATATTTCCCTTCTCACAGTTGAAATCAGTCTAAAGCAGGGAATAGTAGTCTCCATAATAAATAGCAATTAGTTGAGTGTTTACTGTATACCAGGCCCTATTACAAAACAAAATACTCCCTGGATTAAAAGGGCCCACAAGATGATTTTGCCTACTGTAAACTCCTCTTGAACATTCATAATGCACATGAACCTATTAAGGACTGCAAGAGGGCCTTGAAGGAAAGAAATCAATTTATTTTTCTTAACTCAGTTACAAAAACCTATCTGATAGCATACCCCTTTTATGAAGAAAACCTGACATACACTTTGAGAATGTGCTGCTACGCAACAGTGTTTCTCTAAGTGTCAGTGGCATCAAAATGCAAAGTCAGGAGCCCTACCTCAGACCTAAAGAAACCAACTCTGTGAGGGGCTTCAGGAATCTGCATTCTTAGGTACACTGCTCTAAGGTATACCAGGAGAATCAGCAGTTGCCCCAAAGATGACAGTTGAGGGAAATTGTTATAGCTACACTGGCAAGGCTGACTGAAAATTAAACAAAAAATTCCAAAATGGAAACTACCAAGTGACTATATTTCAACAATTGATAGTTCGCCAATCTAAAAAACTTGGGCTTTTTATAGGGGGAGATTCTTGCCCATACATAACTGGGATCCAAGAACAATGCACAGAACAAGTCCCACTAAATTGTCCAGCAAATTCTGCTGCCGCCTCAAGGTATAATAGGAAAACATAGGTGGGTAGATATGCTCTCCCACTTGCTAAGCTGTAGGACTTTAGCAAAACCACTTTACCTCTCTGACTTAGTTTTCTCATCTATAAAATGAGAACAATTATCTCTACCTCAGGGAGCCACTGTGAGAACTAAATGAGGCAGCACACACAAATCTTCTATTATAAATATGAAGTTCACAAACTGTTCGTTCCTTTTCCCCTTCTCTCCTTCCCCTCCTCCCCTAGTACAGTACAGCACTATGATGTCAGCATCATTAGCGTGGAGAAGACAGGAAATGTTGCTGTCAGTTTTAGTGTAGTTACTCTCTTCTGAGGGTAGTTTCCTTTAATGAACCCCTATGTCGCAATACTGAAGTAGCCATTCAATTCTGCTAAGTAGGAGTCAACACCCACTGGGGTACACAGAGATGAAAAGGCAAGTCCTGCCCTCAAGTTGCTCATATCATAGTAGTGAAAATACCTAGTGTGTCAGAAAATGGGAACTCTTTTTCTGGGGGGCAGA
Source organism: Homo sapiens (assembly GCF_000001405.40). NCBI lineage: Eukaryota > Metazoa > Chordata > Mammalia > Primates > Hominidae > Homo > Homo sapiens. The sequence goes on from NC_000023.11 coordinate 123,215,747, forward strand.
GAGATGGACGCAGCTGGTCACAGAGGCAAGCCAAACTGATGCAAAATGCATTATGGCTAAGTTAAATCAGAGAATCCAAGGACACCCAATGTCATCTTTATCTGTCCAGAAAAGCCAACTGCTGACCTAACCCAGGGCTGCAGTTCCAGGGCTCGGTTCCAGCAACCAGCACAAACCCAGTCACAGGCTGCTTTGTGCTTTGTGCCCGGTGCTGTACTACATATCAGCTAAAGCCAGTAAGCTGAGCTGACCTCTGCTCTCTAGGAGGAAAAGCACAGATGAAGGCAAACCTCTAATGCACACGAAAATAAGTGAAAACTTGGTATCAAACAAGCAAATAAATACATTTGCTCATATCATTCTCTTCTCAGGTTCCTGTTGATTTTTCTCTAAGATGAAAAAGCTTAGGTGAGACTGAAATAAATGAACCTCAAGTCCCCAGCCTCCCCTACCTCAGCAACTTGTCAAGAGAGTTGGAGATTTTTTCCATCGTTATTTTTCAAAACCAATTTCCTAACTGTTGCATGACAATCAGCAGTCAAACTAATTGGAATGTTACTTTAACATTTCTTCCTCCTTTTAGCATTTTTTGTGCTGTGTTGTGGGGAGGAAGGGATGTGAGGTTTCAGCGATGCTTACATAGAACCTTACCTTTCCTTTCCTTTCTTATCACTGCTCCCAACTGGGTCTTCAGCTTCTTGGGTCAGTGGGACAAACTACAAGCAACTGCTACAGTGTCCCTTTCAACTTGCATCTCTTCTCATATCTAGTGGGGTTTTGGGGATTGACAAGGTTGGCACTTCTCAGAGATGGAGGGAAGGGAGAGGCAGTGGTTGAGGAGCAGGACCAGAGGATGAAGTGCAGACTTGGCTAGTAATTTCTTGTACCTTCCATTTAACCCTATGCCAAGCCTCCACCACCACCACCACTGAGGAGAAGGAATGTCATAATTAAAGAAGGCTCTACGAATAGCACAGATATTGTTTCTAAACAGGAAAAAGAGTGGTAGGGGAAGGAATTCTATTAAGCAAACATTGTTGGTTTTTCTCCCCCTGATTTTCTTCGAGAAATGTGTGTAGGGAGAGACTACAATGAAGGGTCATAATCTATTAAATACACGGACTAAACTAAGTATGCCATCTCAAAGGAAAACATAAGTAGTGTTTAAAGGTCTGGTCTAGTCTCAGCTGGTCAGCCTAGAATCCACTGGACAACTGCACTTCATTACTAACATCTAACTCCTCAAATAGCCTTTTAGTACTATGTGATGCTGCTAAAGGGCAAAAGGTGCTGACAGGGACCATGGACATTTCTGCAGTGCCTGTCCCCCCGGTAGTGTTCAGATCTTGCAAAGCCAACAAAACTGCAGCATAGGTCAGCTGCAAACTCCCCCTCATCAGAGACCTCCCTGAGCCAGCAAAGTCAAGGCTGTGAGCTCAGGGCCTTCAGAAGGTCACTGGAGAGGACAGTGAGTCTGCAGGATGAGTCAGGAGAATTGAGAAAGCCCAGCCAGTCCCCAGAGCCAGGCCTCTCGTAAGGCAGCCAAGGAAAAAGCTCTGTAAGAACCTGGAACACCCTGATAATGGAGAAGAGGGTGGAGGAAAGAAGCAACAGACAGACAAACTCCCTGTCCTCAGCATCAGCAAAAGAAGGAAGTAGACCAGCTTTATCCTTGACAAGTCCTTATCCCACTTTCAATACCCTCTCCAAATTACCTGAGACACCCACAGAAATGCCAGCCGACCAGGCATTTCCTACCACCCGCAGGTTACCCCTTTCCCCAACAAACTCACCTTTCTCAGAGCTTCCCCAGTATTTCATGTCTTGTTTCCTCAGCATTTCTCTGCCTTGTCATTTTATCATAACTGATCTGGGCCAATACACCAATTCCTGAGTTACTGTGGTCCCCAGCAGGGTCACATATTGGCAAGTAAACAGTTGCCTCTTAGCAACAGAGTACTTGTACCCCAAAGGGTATGTGTGGTGAAAGGATTTCCAATGAAGGGGGGACCTCAGGCAGATAAATCCTGGGGGACCCCACATTCAATTTCATGTGTACTGTTACCTCTCTCTCTCCTTGTTAAAGTGTAAGCCAGCTCAACAGATATCTGGCCAAAAGCCTAAAAACAAATTAGGTCCCAGAGTACCAAGATACCATCTTTTGTGGGCCCCAAGATAAAAGAGCTTCATCTGAATTATTTCCGACAGATTGCAAACTGCTCATTTGTGATATAATCGTTTGGGGGAGGGGAAGAAAAAACAGGAGTTAAGAAAACTGTAGAGGAAGAAAACTTTTAAAGCAACACATAGTATGACAAAAATTGTGTGCTTAAAAGTTTTTGAAACCTTACATTGTTCCAAAGATGCTAAATAAGAAAGTGTATAACCTGAAAGGCCTACCCATGGCATCAGCTTGTATGCCTGGCACCTGGGAGAAAGTTGGGAGGTGGGACTTTGGTGGAAGGAAGAAGGTAATGATTGGCAGTTGAGGCTTTTTCTGAGATGACTGAGGATAAGACAAGCAGCTGGTATTCAGGTTATCCAGCTTATTAGAGGCTGTAGACACCATTTGACTTGCGATGGGTCTGACTTCCTAACATACTGTTCTGAGTTGCAGCTGTGTTTTCAGAATAAAAACATCTAGTCGAGTTTTGAGTTCTAAACTATCTAAGAAAGCATCTAATGATGCTGATTTTTTTGTTTTGTTTTGTTTTTTGTTTTTTGTTTTTTTGACACGGAGTCTCGCTCTGTCGCCCAGGCTGGAGTGCAGTGGCGCGATCTCGGCTCACTGCAAGCTCCGCCTCCCAGGTTCACGCCATTCTCCTGCCTCAGCCTCCCGAGTAAATGATGCTGATTTTTAATGGATATTACTGTCTCTTTAATGAGACTTCTCTGGAGAAAGAATACTGTGACCTCAAATTACTTGTGCAAGTGGACTTAGCAGGCCTGGCAAATGGACCAAGCTTGTCTTTGGGTTCCTTCTCCTTCCTACTTCATAGCTCTGTCTCTCTACACCCCTATCATTGGGACCCATTTTTTTCCTGGTAATTTAGGGCTCCCCGTGACTCCATGCTTTCTCCCATCACAAGAATCTTTCCTATGAGGGCTCAGTTGTCTGCTTTCCAAAGTGACAGCTGGGGGCTAATGAGCTAAAGTGGTAGTGGCTGACAGTGAGTTAAATTCTTGACCCTTCAAATTAGAGCAGTTTGATTGGCAAGGAATGCCTTTCTAATGATAACATTTTAAGCTTGTACTAGGCTGGAGGAGATGGCACTTGTGTGTAACGGGGTGCTGCTTGACACACCTCCAGTCACACAGTGGAAATGGCTGCCTACTTTACCCTGAACATAGCACAGAGGAGGTGCCTTGGCTGTTTAGAGGATGGAAGCAACCAGCTAACAAAAAAAAATTGCTTAATTTACAAATAACCTATTAGCATTGTCAAGAATCCACTCACAGGCAGGTGTCCATCCCTAAGAAGGCTGTGTATTTTACCTATGATTCTTGCTTTGTCTTTTGCACTTCTACCTTTCTTAACTGAGTCTGAGGCAAAGTGAAGTTGCCAAACTGTTAGTGCATTTTTCCTGGGTCATCTATAAACTTGCCTTCCTTACTAATGTTTTAGAATGAGTCTACCTCTAATCCCCACTTTCTTTTAAGGTTCAAGAAGTAGACCTCACTTTACTCAACAGCTGCATTACTGAAAATATGTGTATATGGGAAGGGCAATACCAATAAACACACCTCATTGAATCGATCTATAATGTAAAGAATTCCATTATTCAGTAAACAAGCATAAGGCTGACCTTTGGCCAAATTGACCAGTAATACACAGCTGTGGTCAAAATATTATATGCTCCCATACCAGTTGGTAAATAGCTACTACACCTTGTCCTGGATGCCAGACTGTACTCTGAGATCCCTAGACCTCCACAAGATCCAGCAGCTAATACAGTAATGCCTGACACAGCAAAGGGCCTCCGGGTCCTTGCTCCAGGGCTACAGCTGGAACCTAGACTGATTTGTTGTTTCCTGTGCTTTCCTATGTGAATATTATCCACAATTTCAAAGCTACTGAGTAGCAGGCACTAGGTGTGGCCATGAATGTGGACCATAATTACTTTGCTTAAAACTGTAATAGTGACACTGAGGTTTGTGTCAGTTCACTCTGCCCCATGCATTCCCATGGAGCAGAACGTCCACGACCTTCAAAAGATGGACGACATGAGCCCTGTTTCCAAAATAGCACTTGGCAGGCAGCCTAGATTTGGATGTGAACAGCAGACACAGGCTATGGGCATGATGGGCCAGCCCCCTGTCACATCACCTCAGGGGATCCTCAGCCTCATGGGACTCACTAGAAAATCCTTTACATCTGAAAAGCAGAAATTATCTAGTCCACCTGAGTGCCCTGGGAGTGGGTCTGTATTCTTAGCCTCATGCTTCCAGTGCTGAGTTTAGAACAAAAGCCTCTATTCAAGGTCATATGGTGAGTCAGCTACTGAACAGGGAGTGAAAAGAAAGGGGGAACAAACAACCCACAACAGGATTAGCTTGAGCTGCCTCAACCTATGAGAAAGGCCTGGTCAAACCATTTATAGTCTTCATATATAGATAGCTTGAAGAATTGCCTCTGAAGGGTGTTAATGAACATAGGTAAGGAAGAATGGTGATAGTTAATCAGCAGTCCTGGAGACACAAATTTGTGGTCGCCTTGTGATACAGGTAAATTATACAATGAGTTTCTGCTTGCTGTCCTTATGTGTATCTTAAGAAATAACTCCTTCATTCTACCTCAGGTAAAAGCTCACTCTTTCTCCCAATGCACCTTGGCTACTGTCAACCTTGCACTAATATAAATGGATTCCTCCTTGTGCTAAAGGGAAGCAGAAAGAGCCCCATGTCTGAATTTGGAAGGTCTGAATTCTACTCTTGACTCTGCTAACTCTCTTGGTAACATTCAGGGAGACACATTCTGTTGTTTCATTTTCCTCTTTTTATCAAATAGGGATGACACTACTTCCTACTTCATGGGCTGGCATAGGAAGAAAACAGTATTATACATAAGACTATTCGAACATTCCAGTACCCTCCAAATACATGAGGAAATATGACTGTCTCAGAGATGCTCAATGAGTACATGGAAACCAGCACTTATAGCACTTATCAAGCACCTACTATGTGCCTGGCACTTACACACTCATAGTTTTGTTGATCCTGACAACAATTCTATGGAGTAGATATTAGTTGTGGCATGTTAAATGATATGGGATAAAAATGACAATAAAATATGTCAGTGCATTCAAATTTTAACTTTATTTTTGAAGTAAGTAAATTTGATCCCCCTTAAATAACAAGCTTGCACACACACACTAAAATGGAATCCAAACTACAAATGACACAACAGATCAGTTTAGCATCAACTTGCATTTCTAAGATAAAATTGAAAGTAAACGTGTGAATCATTCCATAATTTATATCACAGAAGCAAAATATGGTTTGTGAAAGCTTGGAAAACATGTAGGGTAAGGATTATTACCCTGGAAGGAATGCATAGGTGTTTAAAAGGTAGACAATAAGTCTAAACAACTCCTCACGTTAAAATGACATAGTACAAGGAGGTAGAAATACAGCTTATATTGGGCTTAAGGTAGCAGCACTGTGGGGCCTCCCAGAGGGGCACACAGAATGCCTTAAGAAAGGTACTGGGTGGAAACCCAGGTGGAGATATAAAATGAGGCAACAAAGAAAGGAAGGCTGATTTATATAAATTTTCAAATGCAAGCATGTGTGAGACTATCCAGGATATTGCAGACCTGTAGTTTCCTCCCTGACCAATGACAGGCTACAGCCGAAGCTGAACTCTGTTCCTTACAACCTTGGCCAAAGGAGGGATGAGATGCTTGAGGGGAGGGGATAGAGAGAGGGTGGCTGTTAACACTTTTATCCTCATCTTACACAAAGAAAATGGGGCCCAGAAAGTTGTTTCTTCAGGCATGCAGCTCATAACAAGGGACACTGGGAGTCAAACAAAAGTATATATGACCTTCCTATACATACTTTGTGTAAACAAAGTATATATGACCTTTTTATACTATAAAAATCCATGTTTTTTCCAAGAAAATGCACCACTTCCCCAAATCACATTCTCTTTCTCCCAAAAATGGTGCCAAACCCTTGGGTGATAGTGAAACATTGCTCCAAGCCCTTTCTAACTTAAGCGCCCCTCACAATGACCACACCACTAGTCATAAATGATGAACATCTGTAAGCATTCCTACAAATGCTAAATATCACCATTTCATTGGTCAATAAGGGGAGACTATGTGACCAAGAAGCAGAGCAGTTCTCTATTAACAAAGCTAACCTACCTTCCCAGGAGATCAAACTCATCCATGGCTTTATCTTGTCTCTCTTCTTTCCTCAGCCTCCCAGGCACAGAGATCCCTGAAGGCCAAGACTCTCTCTAAAACATTCCATCCAAATAGCCCCCATAGCATCCAGCACAGTACTTAACACATAGCAGACACTCAAAATATTTTATGAATCAATGAACTCTGTTTCTCCCACCATGTGTATAACAGTATGTCCTTAATGTCTTCATGTTATTAGAATCCTTGTGAAATTTAATCAGAGATTATAATGCAAAAAATATAAGAAATTGAGATGAAGGTAATAGTTGGCTTCTGAGAAACTCTCCTCTTTCTCAATCACTAACCTAGTAACATTCGTTCTAGTCTCATATCTAATACCACCAACCAGAGGAACTAGAAGAAAACATCTCAGCTTCACCATTTTTAAAATTAATCGTATTTAGCTAGAGCAGAAGTTCTCCTCCCTAAGTTTTCATGAGAATTACCTGGGAAAGCTTTAACAAAAACTGATGCTAGATTCTGTTCCCAGGGTTTCTGGTTTAGTTGATACTGGGTGAGACCTGAGCATCAGTGTTTTTTAAAAACTCCCCAGTGAATCTGAAATGTTGCTAGGGTTGAAAACCACTGGGCTAGATGATCCTTGAGGTCCCTTCTTACTCTGAAAATCAATATGCTGACTATAGCTGGGTGTCTGTTGATGTCATGGGTTGTTCTGACTGTTCTCCACTTTCCTCTCTAATACTGCACACCACGAGATCTATATCAAGTTGCTCAACAGCCTAACATCTTGTTTCCCTCCATTTACCTATTGACTTAAAACTTTGTGTACTCTTGGGGCTCCTAAGCACAACTATTGAGATCTACTTTTAATGCTATGTGGGTCATTTTGCCACCAAAGAAGCTCCCCTGGCACCACGATGTGTCCCCAAAGCACTATCTGGCCTGCCCTGCTTCCAGGCGGGAAAGCCCAACAAGCAAGCATGAACAGCTGGAGTGTTCCCACTGATCTGGAAGGAATCCGTAAGGACAATGCACTACTTTCTATTTCACTGGACTCTTTCATGGCACTGAGCCTGCCTATTCCATTCGGCCCTTTGTCAAGAATGTCCTTGACACTTAAGGAATTGATTTCTTCTTCCTTTCCTTTAAATAATAAGCCAACAGATACGCAGGAGTTTTATAAGGTATCAATTTAACATACAAACTGCATTATGGCCTTTGAATGCTACAGCAAGAACCAATGCCTCATCAGCCAGAAAGACCAATATAGTGACAACCTAACGTTTTCTTAACCTGTCAAAACATTCCTGTGCTCTGGGCTTACTGAGAGCAGACATGCCAAGGATTTAGAAATGTCAAATTAAAATAGTCTGGGCTATTTTCAAAAAGACATGAGCCTTTTTAACCACTAGCATTCTATCAGCAATGCTTTTTCAGAATGTAGGGCTGCTAGAAGGCCCTCTTTCTGAAGAACGGTGTGAACATTACACAGGGAACAGAGAGTTTCTCAAGGTCATATGATGGTTTTCTAGAAGCACTTCAACACAAATGTTTGCCTCATCTGTGGTTAGATGAGAAGGGCTGGAAATGTGGGGCAGGATAAGGGTGGAAGGGAGCACAGGGCAGGAGTCTAAATGAAAAATTCCCATACTACAAAGATCCTAAAATACAAATTTGAAAAAATAGAATCTGGCATGGCCTTTTAGTGATACACAGCTAAGGTGCTCTTCAAGGATGGGAAAGTGCAGAGGTGCTTTGTTGTAGACCCTTGGTCAAATTGCCAAAAGTACATGAGGTCATTATTCTTTTCATTGCCAAATGTGTGGGAAGAGTAATCATCTCACCTTGCCCATTTGTTCTTCAGATTTACCTCCCATATTCACCACTCTGCTGCAACTGCTCTCATTCAGACACCAGTGATCTCCTAACAGCCAAGTCCTGTGGTTAGTTTTCAGTTCTCATTCTGACTGGCACATCTATAACTATTTGATACTGTTGACCATCCTTTCCTTCTCTGACTTCTGTGATGGGGTCTCTCTCTAGATTCTCCTCCTATTTCTGTACTTTTATTTTCAGTTGCTTTCTTAAGCTAGTCTTCCCATATCCAGCTCTTAAATGATGGAGATTTTTCTTAGCCCTTTTCTCACTTTTGCAAAAGCTTCCATGCTATGACTTACATGATTCTAAGTCTTTATCTCTTGTCCCAAAATCCTTCCAAACTCTAAGCTCATATAGTCAACGCTCTTTTTGGACATCTTCAACCCAACAGACACTTATCCCCATTCCCAGTCTGCTCCTTCTCTTCTATTATTTCAGTCGCTACAATAACTTTCTAACTGGTCTCCCAACTGGCATTCTTTTTCTCATCTCTAACCTATTCTCCTCGTTTTTTTCCAGAGTTTTCTCTTGAAAACATAGATATATATCTGACATTTCCACTCTGTTTAAAAACTTTTATCGGGGCTTTTTTCTACTTATAAAATAAATCTACTCATTATCCCATAACATTCAAGGTATCTAACAAGCCAGTCCTGTTTTACCTTTCTAGTTTTACTTCTGATATCTCCCCTGTCATCCCTACTACTTCCCAACACCTCAATCCCACCTATCTTACATATTTAAATTATCTAAATTATTTAAAGCAGTTAAATATTTAAATTTTAAATCATTTAAATATTTAAATGTAAATCCTTAAACATGCCGGGCTAGCTCATGGCTCAATGCTTTCTTTCACACTATTTCTTGTAGCTGGAAGAATTCCCCCTTCCCATATCCAAATCATAGTTTTAAAATGTCACCTTGACCAACTAAAATGTCACCTCCTGTGTAAAATCTCCAGGCAGAATTAATCGTGGTTTCCTCTGAACTTTCTGCAAACCATAACTGTAGCACTTATGCACATTGTTTTACAATTAGGTGCGTGAAACCTCTTTAAAGATGGGGATTCTGCCACAGACTTCATGTTTAATATGTCTGGTTCTGGAATCAGAGACTTGGATTTTAGTACCAGCTCTGGCACTTACTAGGTATGTAATTTGGGGCAAGTCAACCGGTGTCTCTAAGCTTCAATGTTCTCATCTGCAAAACAATAACAATAGTGTTGCAAGTAAATGAGATAATGCATACAAAACACCTATAGTGCCTGACACATAATAAACACTCAACAAATGTTAGCTATGACTATTTTTCTGTGCCTGGCATATGGTCTTGCACGGAGCGAGTACCCAATAAATGATTACTGAATAAATTAATCATAGCATGGAAGACCTAAGAACATTTGCTAAATGGACAGTTTCTTCCTTTATTGAATCTTGGAATTCCTGTCAGAGGCATAAAAAATGGGTTACATAATGAATTTATTTCTCTGTAGTCAAGTAATAATTACAGTAGCAATTGGGATAACCAAAAGCTTTGTCTGTGCAGTTTATCTTTTGAACCTGAACCTATTACATCTTTAGTCCCAGGAACTACATGTTTTGAAGTGTACATTTCAAACTTCCTTTCCAAGATAAATCCAAAGACTTTTTTTCTACTCTAACATTTCACAAATAGGATGAATCAATTAATGTGATAATTATTTAATACACCAAGCAATAACTTTTAAGGTGTAATGGTAATTGAGCCCAGCATGCTTGAAAATACCATTCTCTGAGTCAGGTTCAGCAACATGTCTTGAAGTTGGGACCTTAGAGGCTTAATTCATTCTAAACCCCCTCTACCAATATAAAATTTAAATTAATGGTATTTCTGACTCTTGGTCCCTTTCACCTATAATTCTTCTTAATCTCTTGACCTCTATTTCATTCATGAAATCCCAAAAGATTATCTTTCACAGTGAACCCACAGTAATCTGTTTAATATCCCTTGATAAGAAATATCCCTTTAAAAAGCCAAATTCTGCCATGCTTTAAATAGAAACCCTATTTGCTGAGACAAGACAAACACTTATAGTCTTTTTCCTTTACTTGGTCCTAGAAAAGGCCCAAAATAAAACATACATGTCAAGTCCATTGTAAATGGATGTGGAAACCAGACATTTGAAGTGTTATCATCACCATCATTAGCATCATCATCACCATCATCTTCATCATCATTATCATAAAAAACAACATAACAACAGTTCAAGAAGTTTGGAAAATGAGGATATGGGTTTATCTAAAACTCCACTACCCACATAAAACTAGAATTATTTTTGTATATTTTTCCATTCTTTCTCATTGGCCTACATTTTTTCAAAGCTTGCTCCCAAGTATTCCCAGGTATACCAAGGAGATTTTAAGAACTTCAGAAAAACTGTGATTCTAAATGTATAACTGCCTAGAAAGTTTCCCATTGCTTCAGTTTTTCAGAGAAAGACACTCTGAGAGTACAGATGGTATAATGGCCCAAGTCTACAAAAAGTTTCATTTCTGTGCATACATACCACCCATTCTACGATAAGGTGTTGGGGATCAGCTGATGAGCTGACCAAACATGCCCATAATAATCCTGGACAAAGGCTGAGACCAGCACTTTTTACTTCAATTTGGACTCTGAAAGAAAAATTATATGAGGAAAGGTGAGGATTCCCTAATGATAATAACCTCAATCTTCATGATATTAAAACATAATAATTAAAAGGCAGAGAGAGACTTTAAAAACCCCATTGAGATTTCAAAAGAACAATACAATATGCAAATAGTCATTCTTGTATGCAGTTCATCATTGATTATCCATGAGAACAGAAAGGAGCTGAAGCTTTGGGGCATGTTCAGTAATATTTATCTGCAACTTCTAGCTTCCTGTCCCTCTCCCTGACCCCCTCCAATACACACACACACTTAGAATAATATTTATTTTAGATTATGTTTTGTATGTTCACGAAAATCTAATATGACCACTAATAAAAGCTGAGGTTTATGGCCTTGTTACCTTTGTCTCTCAAATTTATATTCCTTCATTATCTTCTGCACCTCTTGAAAACCACACAGATTCCTCCTCCTCTTTTTCCCTTTTCCCACTTATCTAGGCTAAATGATTTAATACTGCATTTTATAATATTTTATGTTGTTCTTGAATCATTTAATGTCACTTAAGGTTACTTCCTTAACTGGATCATGAGTTCTTTGACAATTTATGCATGGTACCTTTTTTTCTATCTGCTGTGATCCTTGTGACATAGACTATGAGTTACTTGAGGCCTTATTTTCCTTTGTCTCCTCAGCACTTATTACAGTACCTAACAGTGGAGCTATTCAATAAAGCAAATATTTAATAAAGGAATAAATGAATGGACGAATGAATGGATGGATGGATAAAAAGACAGCATCCAAGAAATGTTACCTAGCTGATGAGTGGACTTCAGAGCACTTGCCAGCAAGAAGGGTGGCCAGCAAGTGTTGATAAGTCAGTCAGCAATTACTTATTGAGCACCTACTATCTGCCAGACACAGATATTCTGTGGGGGAAGGGGAGGGGAACAAGAGAAAGCAGGCCTAGAATTGAAAATCAGATGTGTACAAGTCACAAAGTGGAACACAATTGCCCAATTGTCTGACTTTTTGTCATTATTTTCTGAGTGTAGCATGGGTGAATATTTTTCTCTACCATGAGGCAAACTAATTTGGGAGGCAGAGTATTACCATCTTTTCTACTATTCTCTTGTCTTAGGTTGAGTTGAATAGTTCAAGTATTGAGATGTGTAGTTTCTTCTGTAGTATCTTCCCTGCTCTGTCACCATCCTTTTCAGACAATAGAACATGAGTTGGAGAGACATTCTGAGTTCTAGTGAAGTCACTGAAGCCAACTTGCCAATGAGTAAGAGGTAAAGACCTAGGGTGTGAGGAAGGACTTGCATTCAAGGCTGTTTGAACTTTCCGTGTTAAGCCTTCGCTTCCATTTTGGAGACTGGAGCCTTTCAGCTCCTCCTGTCCTTCTGGCAACTCTTAGGAAAAAATGCTTAAATAACAATAACAGAGCAGCAGAAAGGAAGAATGGAAATTATCGTAATAGCATGGACTTGTTGCGCCAACATTGTTAGCCTCTCAGCAGCCAACTCCATGGAGCTGCCCTATGCTTGTCAATGAAAGGATAAAAAGGATATGAAGGAGACATTTTATGGGGCCATTTCAGCTGTTCACTGTAAATACACCCTCCATCAAATATAGTGAGCTGGGACCTAGAGATCACAGACAGCTGGGTTGCTTGAAAAGAGAAAAGACATTATAGTAAATTGTATTATTATACATTTACTGAGTTCCAGGGTTTCTGGGAGGGCCTCAAAGATCCAAGGGAGCATTTCCAACCAGTGGCTTGAAGCACTGCCAGGCTGGGGGTAAGCTCAAGGCCAACTAATGGGTCCAATGACATGAGACTATAACTCTGGTGGTTGCGAATTTGGTTAGGGGCTAGTATGGACATTTTTTTAGGGTAGAAGCACTTAGCAGGTGAGCCAAAAATGAATATTTTTTATAGAAAGATTCAATAACACCATTGAGTGTACTGCCTGGCCTCAGTGATGCCTTCTGGTATTAAGGATCCATTCAAAAGCAGATGTCTAAATCTGAGGTTTTATGACAATGCCTCACCATATCCAAAATCATTCACTCTCATCCCTCACCCCTCAGTAACTAGGCAAGGACACATAAAACATATCCAGTCCAAAGGCACAAATCAGGCAGTTGTCCTAGTAGGGTTGGAGAAGGTGGGGGATCCCTTGGATTGCCAGAGACCTATGAAAATCAGTATATTGCTGATGGAGTGAAGTTAGGGTTGCCATAGGAGGGCAGTTCAACACAGAGGTCAGTAAATCAGTTGATTTAATTATATAACACATATTACAAAATGGGGCCACGCTTTATTGAAGCCTGATTGCCACAGGCAACACACTTGCTTAATTCAAAAGGAGGAATTTCTCGCTGGGGTTGAAATGCTAGAAACTCTGTGTTCAACACACCAGATCGTGCCCATCTCCATGATGGGTAGCAGGAATTGGCAGTGGAAAAAAATCTGAGAGCCGGAAGATTTCTTACAGATTAGACATTGACCCCTACTCTTGCAGATAGAAAAACTGAGGCCAGCAGTGTACTCAAGGGTGCATTGCAGGTCTACAATTCAGGTCCTGACTCCCCAGATTGATGTGCTTTCCATTATACCATATTACTTCTCACTGTATATAACATTCATCATGATGACCGTGAAACTGTAAAAGACTTGGAGGTACTTTCTGATTTATTAGAGAAAAACCATAGTCTGTTCCTTCTATTGCCAGTCTGTCATGAATTTCATCACAGTTACTTTTTTTGCTTTTTTGTATCTATAAAAATTATTTATTAAACAAAACTGTAAATTAATCTGAATAGCCTATTCCCTACCAGATAGCACATCATGTTAGGAAATGCAATGTGCTCGTTCCCTCAGCAGCCATCTCCTGGATTATTTAGGGGATCTGTGCCTCTGTCCAAGACCTAGGGAAAAGAAACTGGGAGTAAAAACAGAGGCCAGCTTTCAGAGCAAGGTGCTTGTCTGGGATTATATTTTCTCTTTCTTTTTCTTCCATAGCACCTAACACATTGTGGGGCACACATTTGTATCCATAACTGCTGATTGGTTCATCACAGAAATCCCCAGTCTGTGATGCTCTGCTGGAGATAGAAGAGAGGGTCATTGGCTTAGTGAGATAAGTCATTGTAGCTTAACAGAAAGATAATAGCTCTTGTACTTATATGGACCTGAATTGAGATAACATATGTAGAGGCCTAGCATGGTATCTGACAAATAGTGAGTGTTCCTCAAAAGGTGTTCATTATTATGATTATCATGATGCAAAATATGTGTGCCAGAAGGACTAAAGCTTCCCAGGGGATCTGGATCACTAATCAAATGCTGAGGGGGAAGTCAGCATGCTAAAACTTAGGAGTCTTTGCTAAATGCATGATTTGGGGAGGAGGAAGAAAAAAAGAATTCCCAGTTCCTCTACTGAAGGACCACTTTTCAGCACTTTCTTCTGAGGTGTGCAAGGTCTGTTGTCACTGTGGAGTAGTTCCAGATGGTTTTTAGTACCTCATTGGACTTTTGGTGCCATCACGAAGTGGAGGAGGCCAATGCTCCCATGTTGAACATTAGTTACTTGAGGAAAGCTTATTGCAATACTCCCTAATCTTCTAAATAGTACCCCATGTTCTGCAATTTTCCTAATTCACCCTTAAAGTCCTAATGGAAACTAACCCATCTTGTGTCATATGCCCCCAGGACCTTGGCCTTAGTTAATACAAAAACTAATTTATTCAGAAGTGTTAACGATCACTAATACCTTGTTTATCTCAGGTGATCCACATATATTTTCACTTTCATGAACCCTCCATGTCAACCTAAAATGGTTTGGTAGAGATTTCTGACACCTGAGTAGGCTGGTGGGGGAGATATTTATGGGCATATAGGAGCATTTTGGTAGTCCTCAAACCATATCATGTGGGCAGCTCTGCTTCAGATCATTCTAGAAAATCAACTGGGTATAAATTATAAAAATAACAAAAAGAGAAAATTGCCTACTCAACCTATGTGTAGGGCTTCCCAGCTGTCACTTTATTCAATTCTGTAGATATTTTGAACACCTACTCTGAACCTGGCACTGTGCTGACTGCTGTGGATACAAAGATGGCTATGACACATCATTGGAACTCCTAGTTCTATCATCCAGCTGGGGCCCTAACAAAACTTAGAGCTACTTATTTGGTTGACAAAGGAAATAAAACAGCAGACAAAGCCAACAGCTGTTTGCTTATAACCACTTATAATCAGAGACGTCTCTCCCTGGTTTAAATACTTCTCTTTATCTCAAACACAAAGAGGATGAAGATATCCATGTGAAAAAGCCTACTCTTAAAGGTAAAAGCTAAACAAAGAACAAGTGATAAGAGAAGTGAATTCTGCAGTGAGCAAATTGCTAGTCTTTTCAGAAACAAACCTACACGGTCTGGTACCAGGAAATAGCCTTTGATGAGGAATCCACTAATTAAACCTGTTTTTACTGTGACTATTCAAAACATTAGCACCCTGGAGATCTCTGGAAATAAATAAAAGGCAGAAAATCCCAGGCAGTTTAACAGAAATATTTTCTCCCACTGGTGAGAACGATAAACCCGACTTCAAAGGAATCATAAAACATTCAAGCCAGAAAGAACCTTAGAGATCATTGGATTCTCATTTTTCAGGTGAGGAAATTAAAGCTCAAAGAGGCCCAGGGACACACCTATGGCCGCACATCTAGAAAATGAGCTCTGGGACTAGAATCCAGAGCTCTTGAATGCTATTTATTCATGAATCTGGTCAGTCGGTCAACTAAATTTCTTGAGCAACCACTATGTGCCAGTCATTGTGCTACGATTGGTCCCTATCCCTGTCCTTATAAAGCTGGAGGAAGCAGATATTAAACAAATGGCAAATTAATTATTTATAAATGTAATCCATGCTGTAAAGATTAAGTAGAGGATGGAATGAAAGTAATCTAGCCTTTTTGAGGGAGTAAGGGATGGCATGGCTTAGGCTAAGAAATGAAAGATAAGGGCAAGTTCCCTAGCCAGGTAAAAATTGACCATGTAGTTGGAAGTGGAGGTCTGAGGGAAGAGAACATTCTAGATGGCATATGGAAAGGTGCTTGCAGTCCAAAACTATCCCAGCTCCCCCATCTGCCCCTCTCAAAATCCAGACGTCTCACCCTTTTTATAAAACAGCGATCTACAGTATATAGAGATATATTTTCAGAAGTATGGGTGTGTAGTAGGAAGGAGGCATCATAGCCATCTGGACCTATTAAAATACTTATTAAATCACTTCACTGATTAAACAGTTATTTTTACTAACCAATGCCATACACCAAGGCAGATAATCAGTGTTTTATGCTTCTGGAAAGGTCACATCCTCATCCTTTTGCATGGCACCTGGAAATAAAATAAGCCTATATTCAAAGCAGTAGATGTTAAATGATGCTTACTGAAAATAAGTCCTCACTTTCAAGTAGAAATAAGAAGTAATGGAATTTTCACATATGTATGCAGAAGATGACATAGCAGTAGGTCAGCAGGCAACAACCAGACCTTAACCCCTTCCAGCTCTCACTAGAAGTACCCTGTCCACAAGGGCAAGCAACTAAAACTATGTAGCAGTTGCTAACTCCACAAGGGGTTTGGAGTCCTGCATCCCAAATGAAAAGGGGTAATTCTGAGGCTCTCAGAGGTCATTTCTGTTATGGCACCTGGAATGTGCCTACCATCTAGTCCCCCACTTTCAACTCAGGTTAAAATTAACTGTTAAAAAGAAAGCAGAATGGTGGTTGCCAGGGGATAAGGGAAGAGGGAAATGGGGAGTTATTATTTAGTGGGTACAGAGTTTCAGTTTTACAAGATGAAAAGAGTTACGGAGATGGTGGTGATGGCTGCACAACTTTATGAATGTATTTAATACCACTGAACTGTATACGTAAAATTGTTAAGATGGTAAATTTTATGTTAAATATATTTTACCATGATAAGAAATAAATTTAAAAAGTTAACTGCTATGCCTGCACCAAAACATCTCACGTACTTTATAAATATATATACCTACTATGTACCCACAAAAATTAGAAATTAAAAAAATTAACTGTTAATATTAAACTATGATGAGTCACAAGCAGCATAATAATGAAAGCTATCCTGTTATGGGCACTATTTGTTTTATATGCATTATATTATTTTACTTTCATGACAGTCCTTTGGCATGGGTTCTATTCTTGGCATTTTGCAGGTGAGAAAGCTGAGCCTTTGAAAAATTAAACAATTTGACCAAAACCACACAGATAATAAATCTACCCCCAAAGTGAGTGAGCTTATTTTCTTGAAATAATCAATGAAGGCAAAGATTTGTGTCTTCTTACTCACTGTCATATTCCCACCACCGAGAACAATAATTGGCATAGAGCAAGTGCTTGGTAAATATTTGGTGGAGTTGGAGTCCAATCAAAGCAGTCTTCTTCTAGAGTCTACTTAGCCACTGGATGAAATGCCTCCAAGGTCTCTATCCCTCAGCCTCCATCTATTTAGGTTCTTATCTCTTATCTGGGAACCACAGTGTGCTCCTAACTACTTGTCTTCACTACCATTCCCAGGCTTCCCAAGGTTTGCAACTCTTCCTGACATAACACTTAAGCCTAGGGATACCCCTTACTGAACAGCCTTCCGAATGCCACAGGCCCTGCTTAGTCCTCATTAGTGCATTTCAGATATTCCATGTTCACATCCTAGCTCTGACATATGCTAGCTATGTTGAACAAGTTGGGTTACTTCTCTGAACCTCAGTTTCCTTATCTGTAAAATGGAAAAAAATCACTTACCCTCTCTGAGCCTCAGTTTCTTGTTTATCTCCCAGGTCTCTTCTAGCTCTCAAGCCTTCATGACTAACACACTGGTACCACAGATCTATTGCTGCCCCACCCCTAATGACTTACAGCCCCTTGTCAAAGTTCTGCAAATAGGTCTGGTGCCATGAGAATTTGCTAGGCTTTTAGTTACTAAGATCTGCCTGCAGTTACCAAATATGCAGAATTCAATGATTTCTTACCTCTTTTGAAGAGGTATACATAGTATTTCTGCCTTTATTCCTACCTAAGACATTTTATGCTTAAGATCTAGAAATGAAAGAATGAGCAAGATGTCTTCTGCCTGGGAATTTGATGATCAGAGGTTGAAGCCATGAATAGTAAGTATTTGAGGAGAAGTATTAGCTATATAAAGCTGTTAGCTTGTTGATAGGACCTAGAAGGACTCCTATGTATAATTCCTAAAAACTTACCTTTTTTTCATGTTTTCCTTTTCTGAAAGGAAATGCTACAGTAAAATTAAGAAAATAATGGTCCCTGTTTTATGGCCTCAAAACATTGTTCCTTCCATTTGCATGGGTAACACCATGGAGTCCTGGAAAAATAATATTAACCTTGTAGAAGAAAATGAAGCCTGTTGCCTTAGGCTTGCCTGGAGCTATTCCCTTCTGTGGCCTCTCCTTCTTATGAACTATGACCTTCCCAGATGCTACCACCTGGTTGACAGGGATCTGCCCCAGTAGTGGAAGGCTAACTGACCCCCTTACAAACTGGCCCTATGACTCTGGCTTAAGCAGGCCACAGAATTTCCAGCCACTTCCATCATTATCTATGAATCCATCCCTTCCACACACAGCAACAGAGCCATCCCCATGACAAACACCCTTTTGGTCCTTATGCCACTCTCTAAAGCTTCTACCCTGAAAAGATTTGTACTTTCTCTCTTGGAATCCATTTCACAAATGTTTATGACTCTGGAATACTGATGGTATTATTATAAGTAGAGTGGCAAAGTGATATGTAGAGGCAATAACTATCTTCAGGATGGGCCAGTTCAGAGTGAGCTTCTTAGAGGAAATTACATTCCAAGCAGGCAGTAAGCAATGCCATCCTGGCTCCCTGAAATTGACTGGGTGGCAATCCAACTACAACATGTATCTGATCATTTTATACCTTGTGGCAACATATTGAGATCAGACCATTTCAGGGGAGTGGAATATTCCACCTCAGCGGTTGGCCCACTCTTAATGGGTCCTTAACACATATATAAGGAGATATAATAAAATAATAACTCTGTTCTTTAAGAGCTAAGGTATCCATGGGTAAATGTGTTATGTCATAGCAACAATATATCAGGCAATAAGGCAAGAGGGTGCAAATGACAAAATCTCTTCTAAAGACGAATAACTGGATCGTAAGCTCAAATAGCACATATGCATTGAGGGCCAGGATAATTGGTCCTTTATCTTCTCTTTATAAAAACAAAGGTTTATTTGCCCTTTAAATGGTTCAATAAAATTAAATTGGTACCCTGTAGTGTGTGCTGAATACATAATCAGAAATTGGAAGCAATAAAAAAAAAGAGGGAAAAGGCAAAAGTAATAAAATCTAAAATTTGGAACAGTGTACAAAAACAATGTAGGAAAATAATGCAATTCCCAATAACACCTCCTCATTGTGTAGCAGATCCTGTAACAATCACTTCTTCTCCTGAAAGCCAGAGATCACCAACTGGATCCACAGTACCTCAAAGGCACAGGCTGCTTGACTTTGTAGTATCCTCAGAAAAGGGGAGGGGCAGGGCAGGACTGGGTAAGAAAGGAAGTGACTCTCTATTTACTTTGTCCACTTTTGGAGGGATACACAAAACTTTGAAAGTAAATGTAGTACTCATGAAAAGGAATGCTTCGTGGAACTCAAAATGTCTTTTAAAATATATTCCCTGTAATCCTTCCAAAGCTGCTCATGTTAAGATCTTCAGAGAAAAAGCACAATAAAAACCTCATAATACATAAGCATACAGCAATCCAACCTCCAGAAAAACGGGAGAGTTGGTGCTTGGCAACTGATGAACATGAAACACAATACATTAAAAAAAACACATTCTTCTTTCTGATTTCTAATTTTGATGGCCAGACACAGAAATATTTGTTTAATGAGTGACAGCACATTGATAATACTTTTCTGTATGAACTGGATAGATGAAAGAGAAGGGAAATTGTGTTATTGTTCAATTATTTTTTGCACCAAATATATTCACATGCTTTACTCAGAGAAAATATTAATCATGCACACAAGAATTTTGACTTGGAAATCTCAGAACACTTTATAGAAATCCATTGTGTAGAGTGATTCCGGTGGCCAGATACATTAAAAAAAAAAAATGAAAAAGAGGGACACAGAACGAGTTTCAAAAAATACCTTCATTAAAATGTCTTACAGTTGAAGATTCTTAGTGAAGGTGAAACTATCTAGAGGTCATCTCTTTGCCTCCAACCAGGAGTACATTAAGTCATCCTGAATAAATTAAGTTCATCTGCTTTCCACACAGGACGTTTCTTCAGCCTTTCCAGGGGCCTCTCTTAGTTTTCTCCGGGCTCAACAGACCAAAAGACCCTTTCATAACTAAAGAAATACACGTTTTATTTCCTTTATGTCTCTCCCAGGCACCTGCCAAAGGACTCTGCACTTCGTTTACCCTCAAATATCATTGCTGCCTGGCTGGCACTTATGTTTAGTGCCACCCATACCACACCAATCTGGAGCTGGGACTCTTTCTTAAACACAGATGAAAACCAACAAGAGAAAGAAAAGTAGCCAAAGTAGGAGCTTTAAGGGTGAAAGAGAGCAAGACAGTCATAGAGTCACTGGGTCTGCAGCATTGCTTTGTGGAGCCTAGGCCCCATACTGAAGATTAATCTTAACCAACTTCATCAGTGATTCCATTTAAAAGGCAAAGAGGCAACTAGGTCCCAGTTGTGCACAGAAACAAAAATCACAAGCAATAAAATAAAATTAAATACTCATAATTAACTAATTGGTGGTACAGTTGGCTGCTTTTCCCCCCAGAGAAGGCATCTTCTATATGAATTTTGGAGCACTTAACCAAGTACAACAACTGTAATTATTATTATTCCTATAATAATAGGGTTCCCACAGATCTTCGTATTTTTACATGTTTTATACTCATTATGGCTAATCCACAAAACATCTCTTTAGGGTATGCAAATACTTTTATTGCCAGTATGCTAGAGAGGAGATAGAGCTAAAAAAAAAGGTGAAATGAAGGTCACAGATTATCAGCAGTGACTTACGAAATAGAACTAGAGAATTCCTCATCTCAGAACAAATTTATGTCATCAGCTCGCTAAATGCTTACAGTATGAGCCAAATTATACTGAGTCTGACACAAAAGTAACAGAACACCTGTTTCCTGGGCCTTCAAAAGCTTCTCAGTCATTGATGAAGTTCACATTTACACACATGAGGCAAGCAGGCCACAACTCAGTCCAGGCAAGCTATGATCAAATGCCAAAATGGGGGCTTCAGGCCAAGTGCTGCTGGCAGTCACAGTAATAATAGATTTCTTGGGGGATGAGGCAGGCACCAAATGCTCCACAGAGCAGGGAGTATCAGCCAGGTTTTGAAAGGCAGGCAAGAATTGGAATGGCAGAGATTTAGAGAATGGCATTCCAGGATGGGGACACAGCATGAGAAAATGCTCAGTAGCAGGAATGAATAAGAAGTATCTGAGGCATAGAAAGACCACTAGTCTAGGGCAGAAAATTCCTACAGGAGACCTGTGGAAGACAATTTTAGTTAGATCCTAAGTCCTAAATATAGAGAGCCATGGGGTAGAAAACAAATACCTACTGTTTGTTGAACACCTATTATGTACAGATTCTGTGCTTCATGTTTTCTTAATGTAAATTCCAGACTGAAGAGTTTGGACTATATCTGAAAGGCAATGGAGAGCTTAGGGCCCAGTCACTGCGTTCCAATATCTAAAATAAGACAGAGTGTGCTCAGTTACCTCACTCACATGTCCTTGGCCAACCTCTGAGGACTTACTTGAGTGTTTTATAACTGAGTATACAGCTTCTCTCAGGCAATACCATTGTTACCTGAAAATACAAAGCCTTTAATTTTGCGTGACATCACACAAAGAGAATTACAGAGCCCGAATCCTCTTTCTCTTGGAGCAAATGGACCACTCTGATGTGGTCAGATGTATTCATCAGTAGCACATAAAAGTTACAAGTTAATACATGACTGAGCAGCAAAGTGCTAGAGGGGCTACTTATTCCGTCTGCAGATGAAACTACATTCTAAGAGTTGCATGTGTTTACTTAATTGTAGCTATTTCTAGCTATTTTTAGTCAGATTCCACCCCATGGAGCAAGTTAGGTACTTTGGGAGACACAGTTTTACTTTCAAGCCACTGAAGGAGCATCTGCAAGGTCCATGCAAAAGGACTCAGCTGTTCCGTGTTGCTGCAAAAGGCTAAAGTAGGAATTAATTTGAATGATGTTCTGCACCAGTGGTTTCTCTTCCCACCTTGCAAATGGATTG
This sequence comes from Homo sapiens, assembly GCF_000001405.40. Lineage (NCBI taxonomy): Eukaryota > Metazoa > Chordata > Mammalia > Primates > Hominidae > Homo > Homo sapiens. The sequence goes on from NC_000023.11 coordinate 123,238,025, forward strand.
AGTTCTAAAAGATGTGTAATCTGGCTGGCCTACAGGTGGCCTTAAATACCAGAGCTGCTTGTTAAAGCACATAAGACCCAGGGTACAACTGAACGGTTTTACAGCACTGAACCTAACTCTATTGCATGCTCATGTTTCTGTGGGAAGATGCGTTCACCTTCCCAACTCAAAAGTTTAGTAACACATGTTCCCTAAGCACTCCCATCTGAGACAGTGGGAGCAGAAATCCCATCGGCTTCCATCCCCAGGTGTTGGCAATTCAATGTGACTCCAGCTGGGTGGTGGGGATGAGTTCAGATGGAGGCTCAGAGGGCCTAGGGAGGAGGGATGGATTGTGAGAACAGGAAAAAGAATGAGATGGGTCCTCTGCAGGAAGTGATAAACAGTGAGGACACAAATGTTGTAGATCAAACCAGTACTAGGCTTGGGACAGGGCATGGAACTACAGTGGCATAAGGTAGTAAAGAAATACATTTTATTTTATGACCCATAACACATATGCATGTATTTAAAACCCAAAACATATGTTTCATGAAACAATGAAACAATACGTACCTTTACTACAAAGATGCACCTTGGCATTTTTCTAGGCTGTTTCATTTATTTTTAATGCTAGGTCATGACTCACTACATTGATTTCATAAGCCACTAATGGGTTGTACCCTGCATAATTTGCAAACATTGTAGGAAAAGGGAAGAAAGATTAGTTTTCCTTTATTCTTTTTTTTTCTCTTATCGATCATAGACTCTGGCCTGGAACAAATCAGAATGGAGGTTGAAAAAACAGGCACTGGGATAAAAGTGATGAAGGTGGGTTCTAGGCAACATTCAGGGAGAAAAGATAAATGGATAGGAAAGGTGTGGTCATGCTGTCACTGGACCAGTTATGAGTTCCCTAGCAGGAGGTCATATGAAAGGGAACTTGAGAGTAGAACTCTGTATATCTCCAGCATCTGGCACAGTACTTGATGCTGTTCAATAAATGTTTAATTTAAAATATCTACCAAATTGATACACATACATTAGAGGCTGATTGAACATACACATCTGATCAAAACACAGAGTGAATATCAGAATGTATGCTTGGCCAATGGCGGTGTTGACAGGGTTTGTTGTTAGCAACTTTATCCCTCCCCTTTGTCTCTGCGTTCAAATGCCAAAAGGTCCCCATGCAGAGGTATCCCCAACTGGAGAGTCATTCTCCTAGAGGACAACTAAAAGACTCAGATCTCCCCTGACTGTCACTAACGGCCCTCAAAATTTTATCTGACCTGTGTCCTGTTTCCTCAGTGCCTGGTTCTCGTCAGAACTAATCTGACAAACCAATCCATACTGAAGTAGTCATGAGAAATACTGACCGCATGTTTCCCTTCCAGACCACATTTGTAATTTAATAGGGAATTTTGCCATGCTAGCCAAAAAAAGGTGGATGTTTCAAACCTTGTGGTAGTCAATGGAGAAGAGAAACTGAAGATGGGACATCTTTCTAGGGACCCTCAAACCACACTACAATGCCACTATCTACTCTGCCTACAAATAGGAAGTTTCCATTAGTCATTAAACAATGCCCTCCTCCCCTCCAAAAAAAGTATGAAAGTTGCTAGTACAATGCCTAAAACAGTTAGTAACTAATAAATACTGGTTGGATTAGAATCTAAAACATTTAGGTGGGTAGGCACAGGAGGCAGCTTTAACAGGTCCTACTCACCTAGCATTGTCTGTGATAATGGACAATTAAATGTTGCACTGTCCACTAGCTGCACGTGGCTATGGAGCACTTGAAATATGACTAGTGTAACTGAGAAAAGTGTAGTCACATGTGGCTAGTGGCTATCAAGCTAGACAAGACAGGTCTAGACAGTTAACAGACATGAGACACACATTTTGAGCAAGTACCTTTCTCTCACTGGTGCCCTTGTTAAAAAGCTGGATCTTTTTCTAGATTAGCCCCAAGACCTAAAATGCCTGTCTTCAAAGGGTTGTCCTTCTTCTTTTAGGACAAAGGGGTGTAGGGGATTTGTGGGAGCTGGTTACAGAGGGCTTTGTTCTTAGATTCGAGCTAGACCATCTGTTCCCAATCAAAGCAGCTTTCAAATAGAGAGCAGTGCAACCCTGAAACATCCTGCAAGGGCCACTGAGGTTTACCTGAATGTACACCCTATGCTTGTCAGATGGACATCTCAGCGTGGACCTCCTTGGCACAAAGTTTTACACAGAGCCAGAACAACCTCCCAAACCACAATTGGGCAATTACTTTTAAAAATCCAACTGGTTGAATTCAAGTTAGAAGAAATGCCTTTTACTTTAACTTGCCTTTTTTTTTCCTTGATGGAAAATAGGTTTTTTTGCTCTTCAGGCTATTGAGACATATTTGAAGGAACTGAGGTTGTATGGATTTTTAATGCAGCAAAAAGGTGAACTGTTTTGAGTACACCAATCCTGGGTATTGTGAAGATGGCTTTTCAAGAGTTGCTGTCCATCAGGATTGCATTTGGGAAATTTCATAATGCTGCTTACAATTGCTTTAAAGTCTTCTAGCAGATATGGATGCTGAAGACCATGAACCCTAGGGTCGGATATTAATTCAATTTTTCCACCTGTAAAATGGGTAGGCCATTTGCTTCCTAACAACAAACAGCAATGAATCAGCATTTTGATCTTAGGTAATAACACACTGCTTGAGTTATTCTGTAGAAAACAGGAGTTTCCCAATTCTTCTGGTGGCTCATTCTTCACCAAAGAGGTACTTCTCTGTTTGATCATCCTCTCTCCTCTCAGCATCCTTTTCTTTTTTTTTACTTCCTTTTCATAAAACTTGATGATAAATGGTAAAGATACATTGTCAGAGATGATAAAACCCAGGAGAGAAGAAAATTGTTCCAGTTATTTTTTACCCAAGATTTAGGCCTGTGAATGTGTGTGAAGAACCAAAGTCAGTGTTAAGAATCATTCATATTGCCTAAACTGTGAATGTGTTAAAGATATAATATATTTGGAGCATACTGAAGAACTTTAGCCAGACTATTTATTATCTAGTTATTGTCATCCTGAAAGGTATAGGGGTGAAGAATAAAGTAGCATGCCCAATAATTTTGTCCTTGGCCCTGTCCTCTTCAGCATTTTTGTCAATAACTTGGATTATACTACCCGAAGCAGACTGACCAAATTGCAGATGATGCATAACTGGGAGCGACATCTAATAAACTTGTTAAACAAATCAAGATTAAAAATGATCCCTAGAGGCCGAGTCAAAACCATTAGGACGTTTTTAAAAAGCAAAAGTCTATATTTAGGTACAAAAAATCAACAGCACATATCCAAGGTTGGGGGAAGCCTGGTTTGGCAGAAGTTTCTTAATATACCTGGGATATAATTTCAAGACCACAAAGTAGGAGTGGTTTCCATGGAAATCTATGGTGAGCTGTTTGTTTGTTGTTGTGGTTTTGTTTTGTTTTATTTTGTTTTGTTTTATTTTTTAAAAAGCCATGCCATACTCAGCAGCACTGACAGATATGTGTTTTCTAGTCCAGAATTGGGGGGTGGGGAGGGGTATCAGTTCCCTGTCTTCTGGAGGGGTTCAACCTTACTCACAGTGTGGTGCTCAATCCTGGACGCCAAACTTTAAGGGTGACATTTGACAAACTGGAACACATCCAGAGAAGGATGGCCAGAGTGGTGAAGAGCCTGGGATCTCTGAAGAACAGTTGGCGATAGGCTGAAAAAAAGAAGTCATAGACAGGTGGGATGCATATTGTCAGATGTTTGAAAGCCTGTCATTTGAAGATGAAGTAGATTGTTTCTGCATACTTCAGACAAAAAAAAAATAATCCTCAGGTGGTGAAAGTTACAAGGAGGTAGATTTGCAGTCAATATATTAAGAAATTTCTAATAATTAGAGCCATCCCAAAGTAGAATGCACTGTTTTGAAGAGTAGTGAGTTCACTATCATCAGAAGTATTCAAGAGGGGATGGACCCACCTGCCAATTAAGCTATAGAGGGGATTGTTGCATTTTTTAGGAAGATGGAGGAGGTGACTGAGGCCATTACAACATTAAGAATGTGATGCTAAGGAATCCAAACAAAGTGGGAAATAAAGGCATGTCTTCTTCACTGATGATGGATCTAAAGATTTTATTACTTATATATGGTTTTGGCTTTAATTATGAAATATTTTAAGCCTACAGAAAATAAAACAGACAATTATTAGTTCATTTTTGAGAATAATTTTTGTTTGGGGACCCATCTCACCCTCTCCCTGCTCAGCATGGGCTGCAAAATCAAAGAAAATGGCTTTCAAATACTATATGATGTGATATCAAACTTGTAGCTCTTATCTGTCCATGACAAACCTTAGGGCTGATCCAAAGACATCATAAGAGTTCATCACTTTCCTGCACAGCTTTAAAAATTGTTTCATTGACTGTGACTGGATTACTGGATCAATTATTTTTTCAATTAAGAGTCCTGCTAAACCCCATGTAAAATGAGTTGCAAGTCAAGACAAGCCCCTGACTACTTTAGATGATTGATGGAGATATGTGGATGACAGAGACAGGCTGTAAAGAATGACAATTCTGTGGATTGATTTGTTATGTGGATGATGATTACTGGAAGCCAAGTACCAATACTACTTACTCGTTGATACTCAGGGACTTTTGTAATTTTTAAAAGGAGAAATTTAGCTATTACTTCCATTTATTCTCTGCACGAACCTGTGAGGTGGGCAGAGCAGGTGTTAGCATTGCTGGGTTACAAATGACAGACCTGAAGCCCAGGGAAGTGACCGGCCCAAGGCCATATAGCCAATTAGGGGCTGAACTGTATAAAAACCCATCTCAGTGCAAACACACTGAGAAATAATTTTTAAAATAATATAAATAACATATATCACTTATCAATTGAGCACAGACTATATGAAAGTCATAAGCACTTTACACATATTCATTTAATCCATACAATAATACTATGGAGTAGGTACTATTATACCAATTGTTATAGATATGGAAATGAAGCTTGGAGCATCTAAGTAACTAGCCCAAGTCTATTTAACCAATAACTTGACCTTAAAAAAAAACTCCAAAACTCTTTACCTTCAGTGCCACAACACAATTCAAACCACTATTGTCTCTCACCTAGACTATAGTAATAACATTTCAAAGGTGTTCCCTACTTTCGTTGATGTTCCCTTAAATCTACTCTTCATACAGCAGCAAGAAAAGTCTTTTAAAAATATAAATCAGTTTATGCTATACCCATGATCAAAATTATTCTAATATTTCCTCCCATAGTCCTTGGCATAAAAATACAAATTCCTTACCAACATCTAACAAGGTCCTCCACGGTTGGTTCCTGCCTCCTCTACCAGATTCATCTTGCATTATCCTCTTCCTCACTGGCCATGTTCCAGCCAGGCTAGTCTTCTTTCAGTGCCTCAAATGCATCAAATGCATTTCAGGGCCTTGTCACATGCTAGTCTCTTTGCATAGGGTGCTCTTCTACCATCAGGTGTCAGTTCAAATGCTTTGTCCACAGATAACCTTTCCCTCGCCTAATCTAAATTAAAACCACCTTATCATGAAGTCACAGCATCCTACACATTCTCCTCTTCATAGTTAGAACGTGATAATCACACATTGGTATGATTATTTGATTCATATTTATCATATTTACTGCCAGTACTAGACTGTAAGCACCATGAAGGCAGAGATCTTGTCTGTTTTGCTCACCACCATATTTCAGCACCCAGACACTGCCACACACTAGGAACCTGAAATTTATTTAATGAATGAATAAGCAAAAAATTAAAGCCCACTCCTGACTCCTGAGTCCCAATGCTTAACCATATTATCTCGATATAAAAGGGCCTAAAAAGCACCCTCTTAGCCCAACCCATTTCAACACCTTTCCCGTCATCTCTGACATTGCTATGGAAGGATGATTTACATTTACATGTGCAAAATGAATTTTCCAAAATACATGTGTTCATATATTAATGCCTGCATTTGCTAGCAGTTACATTCAAGTAGGATCAAATGTTGACAATAAGTGTTTTCTTTGCCAGCATTTAGATACATGCCATGTAATTGCAAAAATAATTAGTTAGACTTTCAGAAGGCAGTATGCTCTTGAGAGCTGAACAAAATGTTCAAAGGAATTAACCCCAAGATGGTAATTAAACCATGCAATCATCAGCTGGAGAATGGGGCTGACACACTGTTCTGACTCTGAAACCTAAAAGGACCCACTGTGGTTACCAGGACACAAGACCAAAGGGCACTGGGGAGGGATCATGATTTATATGAACCCAGGGAAGGTATGAGCTGACTGCTACCCTATACTCACCCCACCATATCCATCCTCTATCTAATTTCCCCTCTCCTACATCCCCAGGCTAAACACAAATAACTCATTAAAGGGCAGGATCAGGAAGATAGCTGCCTGTATGGTAGGCTTGGAAGAGTCCAGAATATCCACCCTTTTTAAGTTTCTACTGCTAAAGTAACTCCTTTGGGGTTTTCTAGATATGTATGCATTTTCATTGGATTAAGGTTTTGCTCTTTGTAAGGAGGAATTCATAAGGTAAACCTTTGGTTCTCAATGTGGGAGATGAGCTATGTTGCCCTCCTGAGGGATATTTGATGATGTTCTGAGGCATTTTGGGTTGTCACAACAGGTAGTAGGAGTGGTGCCCATGGCATTTAGAGGGTAGAAGTCAGTGATGTTGCAAAACATCTTACAATGCACAGGACAGCCCCTGGACAAAGAATTATCCAGACCAAAATGTCAATATTGCCAAGGTTGAAAAACCCTGAACTGACCCACTTACAAAGATTCATTTATTAATCCATTAACAATTCATACACAGAGTAGGTTCTTGCAGAAATAGGAGATGGGATGAGTATATTTTGATTGATCAGTTGAAACAGAAAGAAGGAACAGTAATTTTATAGCAGTATTCAATAGTCTGGGAAAAGACTGGAAGCAACTGACCAGTTAAGAGACTACTCTCAGTCAAGAGAAAAGGAATGATAACTTGAACTGACAATGAACAGGAGGTAGATACACGTACCTTAGAGGCAGAATTGGTGAAGCATTACAAAAGAATGGTATAGGGAAATGAGGGAGAGAACAAAGGCAATCATGATCCTTAAGACTTTAGCTTTGGTTCCTGGAACAAGAGCAATGCATTAGAAGAAACAGGGACAACGGGAGCAGACACATAGGTGGAGGATGGACGTAGAGAAATAATATGCTGAGTTCGTGATGCCTTGAGGGCCTCTGGGTGAGGCTGTTTTATGGGCAGTTAGAAATGTGGCTCTGGAGCTCAGGAGTGTGGCTGAAGCTACAGGTATCTAGTTAGAAGTCATCCACATGGAGGTAGTGAGATTAGATCCCCTTGCCTGGCACATAGCAGGTCCTCCATAAATATTTGTTGAATTTTAAAAAACCATATTTAAAGTGAGGAGAAAAGAGGGCCAGGGACAAAATCTTTGAAACACATCCTCATTGAGGAGGTGGACACAGAGGAAACTGAAAAGGAGGAGTAAGAGAGGTAGGGCCAGCAGAGTTTAATGCACTGGAAATCCGAGAGGAGAGTTTCAAGGGCTAAGATTTAGCCAACAATATCAAATGCGGCTCAGCAATCAATTCGAACAACGTCTATGAATAGAGGGGGATTTGACAGTGAAGAAGTCATCATCGAACTTGAGAGAGCAGTTCAGTAGAGGAGTTGGAACAGAAACTAGGTTCCAGAAGCTGAAGACTGCAAGATCTTTATTATCCCATCATTAGTAATAGTGATAAAGGAGTTAGAATGATAGTTGATGGAGGTGGCAGGGATTTAGGAGGAAATGGAATCTTAGCAGATGTTTAGCCTGACAGGAAGAAGGCAGCATAGAGAGACTACAGTGTGGCACTCAAGAAGCCCAAAGAGTAAAATTAGGTTCAATTTAAGGACGAGCTCCCTAGCTGTCAGAGCTGCCCTCCAAGGGAAGTAGTGAGTTCCCTTGTTACTGGATGGATTCAAGGAGAGGCAATATGACCTCACAGAAGGTGGCTCATGTATTGAATGGGAATTTGGACTAGATAATTCATTTCCAACCTTTTGGACTTATCAGATTAATAATATTTTAGGGGGAAAAAGGTAGGGCAGGTGCACATTGATCCAGAGAGTTACCAACCTTTTAATTTTGCTATGTTAAATGTATTAGCTTTCTATTTACTGCTGTAAAAAATTACCACAAACTTAATAGCTTAAATTGACACAAGACTATTATCATACAGTTCTGTAGGTCAGAAGTCTGGTACAGGTCTCACCAGGCTAAAACCAGTGTGTCGGCAGGGTTGTGTTCCTATCTGGAAGCCCTAAGGGAGACCCTGTTTTCTTGTCTTTTTCAACTTCTAGAGACTACCCATATTTCTTGGCTTGTGGCCTCTTTCCACTTTTCAAGCTAGCAATGGCCAGGCAAGTCTTTCCCATGTCACATTACTCTGATACCGACTCTCATTTTGCCTCTGTCTTCCACATTTAAAGAAGCTTGTGATTACACTGGGCCACCCAGATAATCCAGGATATTCTTGATATTTTAGGGTCCATTGATTAGCAGCCTTAATCCCATCTACAGCCTAATTTCCCTTTACCGTATAACCTAATTCAGGGACTTTGGGACTCAGACATGGACATCTTTTGGGGAGTCATTATTTTATCTACCCACATAAGAGATATAGATATATAAATATATCTTCCATGTGATAGACATCATCATCATTTATCATCAACATCATCATTTCAGAAAATAAAGACTACATATAGCACTAAAGAGTAGAAATTATATAGAGAAAAGTACTGTCTTTCAAAAAAAAAAAAAAACCACGAGTTGTCTACCTTACTCCAACACACACAATAAAACACAGCATACATTTATTTATTTCCTTACACTGGTAACTCCACCAATTACTAATACCACAGCTTTAGAAAGCACCAGACTATATGATCTCTCAAGGTCCCTCCTAGCTCTAAGTTTCTTTGATCCACTGGACTTCACTGTACTATGAAGGAATTACCTGGAGAACCTTGTTGTGATGTAGCTCTATGAGTTTCTTCATAGCTATATTTTTCGTCTTCCTGCTTGCTTTAAATGCAATCATTAAATCAGCAAGAGACTTCAGTTTCCCTCTTTCCTCCTTGATTCAAAAGGTATGAAAAGTGTTCTGTAAATGATATGCAATATTGTTATTCTGAACTTTGAAGTAATCAAGTTGTTTGACATTTTTGTAATGATGCCTTTTGGAATATGGGTGGTATAATTTGGTGCCACACTGTACATTAACAATACCCGTCTCGACCCTACAGACTCGGGGACTATAAATAAAAGCGTGACAGCTGGCTCCAGCCTTGCTTGCCACTCACCATTGAAGGGAACGCAGCTGGGGAGCTACACTAGAGTCCCCAGGAATCCAGAATGTAGTCAGAAACGACATCTTCAATGAGAAAAAAAATTGGTATTTTGTTACTGGGAATATACAGAGACAGGCACTCTTAGGAGGCAGACAACCAAGCTATTTCACACTGAGAAGGCACAGAGGCCCCAGGTAGGGACAGCATTTCACCAGCACAAAGGCATTATATAGGGAGGGAAGAGACAGAGGACAATGGCATCTTCTTGAGCCAAATTGGCAGAGTTTCTTTAACCCATTACCACCCAGAAGTGAGACTAGGAAAGAAGAAATGGATAGGAAAAGTGAAAGAGATGGAAAGTGATATCCTGGGGCTTGGTATGAGATAGAGGGCAATGGTTACTGTGGGGAGGATAACACAATAGAGCTAACAGAGGGCAAAGTACACAGAGAGAGAGAGAGAGGTGAAGCTGATATACTTCATATTTTATTTATTTGTCTCATTTATTGTATTTTCCCCTCACTAGTCTGTAAGTCCCAAGAGGACAGGATCTTTTTCACTCCTGTATCTCCCAACATCTATAACAGTGCCTGACACATAGTAGACGCTCAAAAAATATTTGATGAATGAATAAATAGCTAGTATTCATTGAATGTCTATTATATGCTAAGCACTGTTATAGGTGCTGCCCATGAATGAACGTATTTTAACTTTCACAGCAATGCTGAAACAGTTATTGTCATTATCCCAATTTTACAGATGAAGAAACTCTATCAGAGGCACAGAGATACTAAGTAACTTGCCTAATAAGTAAAGGATACAGGATTTCAACCTATGTGGTCTAACTTTAGAACCTGCCTATGTAATAACCATCCTATACTGAGGCTCAGAAAGGTCAAATAACTTGCGCAAAGTTACGCAGCTTATGACTGGCAGAGCCATGATTGGAACCAAGATCTGCCTGTCTATGAAGTTGCTGCCTTTCCCTCTGCACTTCATGACTTTATAAGATTGCCAAGACAAATATTTCTTCCATCACCATTTTACCAGAGAGTCTTCTGAGATAAAGAAATGGGTGTGAGGCTGGGCATGGTGGCTCACTCCTGTAATCCCAGCACTTTGGGAGGCTGAGGCGGGTGGATCACCTGAGGTCGGGAGTTCGAGACCAGCCTGACCAACATGGAGAAACCTCGTCTCTACTAAATATACAAAAATTAGCCGGGCATGGTGGCGCATGCCTGTATTCCCAGCTACTTGGGAGGCTGAGGTAAGAGAATTGCTTGAACCTGGGAGGCGGAGGTTGCAGTGAGCCGAGATCGGGCCATTGCACTCCAGCCTGGGCGACAAGAGCAAAACTCCATCTCAAAAAAAGAAAGAAAGAAAGAAAAAAAGAGAAATGGGTGTGCTTCATTAAGGATTCAGATAAAGGAAACAGACATCCCCCAAAAGAATCATGACTCCCAAAAGATCACCAATCTGCAACCAGCTCTCACTGCTGTTATTGGGGCTGGAGGGAGCTGAGGGAAGCAGCTGGCAGATGAATCATGGGAAACCCCTGGTAGAGCCATCTATGCTACCTTGTCTGAGGGCTAGGCATTGAAGGTAAGTCACTTTCATGCAGGTGAATCCTGACCCACGCTGCAAAAGATAGCTCTGGAGTAGGGATGGTGAGGAAATGCCAATAAAGCTTTTCTAAGAGACTAGTTCATAATTCTTGTGTGACCTTGTGTAAGACACTCCCTCCCTTTGTGTCATAGTTTCTTTATGATAGGGAGACATCAGACCAGTGAAACTCTGTTCAATCAGAAGAGCTCCACTGTCTCATTTGTAAAATAAACTTTTCCATATAAAATTTCATTTGGAGAAAGGATTTCACCACTAAAAACTATGCTTGAGAAACAAGTGAATAAAAAATAAGTTCCTTCTAGCTCAAACATTCTAAGAATCTAAAATCATAGACATTGTGGGTGGGTCAACTCAGTGTTCCATTCAACCCTACTTTTGACAGCCAGGAACAGGCCTAGGATCTGCTGTGAAAGGCCCTTCACAGGTCCCCCATGCCCCAGCTTCTTTCAGAGGCCATTAACACTGTCCTCATATGGCAGTTGTCTTCCCCATTGGGCTAATCCTTCGCAGGCCTTCTACTGATGTCTGTCTATGTTGGAGTGGGTGGAGCACAGGGGTCAATATTTGAAGGACAGTTGTACTTCTGTTTTATATGAAAGGAGTCAAATGTTTCCTGATTTTCACCTAAAACTCTTCTTATTGATGTCCACCACCAAAAGACAGTGGATCTGCCTTTTGGACCACGGTGGCATATTATTCCCTGAGGATTGCCACTGATCTATAAATATTCCTGAGTCCCTTGTCTGAGTCACAACCAGAGCTGTATGCTTAGTTTGGAAATTTTAAATTTCAGTGGGTTTTCTCACACAGGCTCCCTACACATTTTTATAAGTTCTTCTTTTGTCTCATTCTTCTTGTCATAATATACAGGCTTAAAGATTTCACTGGGTTCACCTTCCTGGAGACAACTCATAAAGTTTTACCAAAGTCTGGGTTTCACATATACAATATGACTCCCTTGATATAAAGCTTTAAAACAAGCAAAAATAATAATATATCGTTTAGGTGTATGTGTTTGTATATTTTTTTAAAACCAAGGTAATAATAAATACAAATTTCACGATAGTAGTTACCTGGGGCAGGGGTAGCAGGGAGGAGTGTTATCAATACAGGGAGATGGACTAGAGGAGGACCACATAGATAAAAGTAAGTTACCAGTAATGTTATAGTTCTCAGGTTGGGTAATGGCTTTATAGGTGTTCATTATAGTCTAAATAAATAAATGAATGCAATAAATAAAATATTAAAAGTCCGTGTATGAACTAACAATGATTAATTAATTCTGCACCCCGAGTTCAAGGTCAATGATTAGAAGAGCAATACAAGATTTTTTTTAATCAACCAGAACCTCGCCACTTATCTTCTGTTTCCTTCCACTATTTCAAGAGTTTTTGAAACTGAAAGTGGATCATGGCTATAGTTTTCCTTCTTTTTAAGTTTATATTCCCCCTCAATTATTGCCCATAATCTAGTCAGGTTGGAGTTCTCCTTACTGAAAATATGTTGCATTTTCCCATGAGACTATTTTTGTATAGGATTCATGGATCCTAATTTTTCTTTTGCCAGTTGGTATGGATCTGAGAATTACCAGCTACCCTTTGAATCATTTTGGTTGAAGGGCCATGATTGCTTGTTCTAGTCTTCCAGCCCATGACCATTATTAGTAAGGAGAGGTTCTTTCTAGGGTTGACAGATAAAATACAGGATGCCCAGTTAAATTTGAATTTCAGATAAACAACAAATTATGTTTTTAGTGTATGTATGAATTTGAGGCATACTTATACTAAAAAATTATTTACCTGAAATTCAAATTTAATTGAAAATCTTGTTTTTATTTGCTAAAGCTCGAAACCCTATCTCTTGTGGAGCAATGATTACTTTTTAATAACATTATTGGATTTGAGTACATGTGAGTGTGAGTTTTGGATCAAGCACACTCAGATTCAAATTCTGGCTCCTCTGCTTAATAGCTAGAACAGTTTTTTTGGTCTCAGAATTTTTATCTATTAAATAGGAATAACAGCAATACCTCATAAAGCTGATGAGAATATTAAATGAAAAAATATTTGTACAGTAGTTAGTATAGTGCCTGGCTAAATACTATTCTCATTATTAATGGCTGTTATTATCAATGGCTATTATCATTATTATTGGATGTTATCATTATTATTGTCAATTTTGTACAGAACATTATGTGCACTGGCCAAGATTTGATTTGGTATTGCAAAACTCCACTTACAGGATTAATTTGAGAATGGGACTTTTCTTAGCATCACCCTTGGTGATGATCAAGACATCCCTTTTGTTTCTGAGTATTGTACTCCCTTTGGCTCTTGTCATGAAGTACCCCAGATTCACTCTAGTTGGATTTTTCCTTTTATTTATTTATTTGTTTATTTTTGAGACGGTGTCTCACTCTGTCGGTCGCCCAGGCTGGAGTGCAGCGGCACGATCTCGGCTCACTGCAACCTCTGCCTCCCGGGTTCAAGCGATTCTCCTGCCTCAGCCTCCCGAGTAGCTGTGACTACAGGTGCCCGCCACCATGCCCAGCTAATTTTCGTATTTTTAGTAGAGACGGGGTTTCACCGTGTTAGCCAGGGTGGTCTCGATCTCCTGACCTCGTGATCTGCCTGCCTTGGCCTCCCAAAGTGCTGGGATTACAGGCGTGAGCCACCGCGACGGGATTTTTCCTTTTAATATAAAGACGTTTCCTGTGCATGTGTCTGAGGGTCACTTAGAATTCTTCAAGTTGAAGACTATTGTCTCCTATGATGGAGATGGTTAAGTGACTGATAATCACTTTTGAAATGCTACCCTCAAGCCAATGGCTAATGACTTTGGTTGATAAAAAGAGAACAGCTCTAATCAACATAGATTCGAATCAAATGCAGGGAAAGCAAAATACTACATCCACTGAGAACTCTATCTCTCACAACAGGGTCAAGAAATGAATTAAATTGGTTTTCCACTTGCCTTCATGCTTTCAATACCTTCTTTATTTTTGGTGCTCAACGTCTTCACTGTTTCTCCTCTCAGGGAGGACTCCAGACCCCATACACATTCTCTTCTCTGACCCACTCATCCCCATCAAAATTTACCCATCTGATTTCCCACTCATCCTTGCATCTAATCAGACATTAATTTATCTTACCACAGTAACTGCTAAATAAGATTCTATTTAATCACTCTCCCAGGCCACAGACTTCTTTTAAACACTTGAAGAAGTAAACTTAACAGTGGTATTTAGGGTTTTCTAGTAGGTAAGGGAGACCATGCAGGACCCCTTAAATCACACCACATTATGCCTGTTATGTCTGCTTCGCATGAATGGAAGTGAGCAGTGGTGCAGATAATCTAAAGATCATTTCCACTTTGTTTGTGAATGCTCCACAGTGTTGTTGTAGCTGATTTGTTTTGCTAATTATGTTCTACTGAAGCTAATATTAAAATTGGTTCACATTTTTTAAGCTCTTATGGGCCAGAAGAGAGAAGAGGCAGCAATGTGGCCCACTTTGAAATGAAGGAAAGGTGACAACTGTGAGGGGGGTGTGAAAATTCTACATGTGGGCTAGTGGAGTCTATAAGATACATGCAAAAGGATCAAGATAGAACTTTCCCAATTACACATGGGCAGGATAGGCAGCCACCTAACCCCTGTGACTCGATGAGCACTGAAAGGACAGTCTTCCCATGGCCTGCCCAGAGCCTTAAATCATCTAAATTAATAGCCCACATTAAGGGCTTTAATAATAACATAACTGTGGCTAAGACATTATGTAACCTGAAGGGTAACACATTTCCTAGCAGACTTATTAGCAGCTAGTCTTACTAAATTCTCAGTCACCTATGAGAAAAAGGAATGAAGGGTGGTACAAAAAACAGTTGTAGTTGTAGTTTGATGGACGCATTAGTACACTAAGAGGCCCCTGGGCAGCTAAAGTGGAAGTACAAGAGCACTGAATGCCTTGGAGATGAGCCGGGAGGGTTTTGAAAGGGAGTAAGACGACTTTCACCTCTATTTTTCCCACATTTTCTTAGTTTCCAGCTCATTGTGCACATAGAGAATGTGTACCTGTATCAAATTAATTCTCTTCCCTTTCTTACTCTTCTCCTGTTGGGTAACTGGGTTTTCAGGGGCTTCTTTCTTCTGAGGTATGCAATTTGGGGCCTAATTGTACATTGTATTTCTAACCCTACAAGTTGCAGCAAAGGACCATGGAGCTATTGAATCTTTTTCTCTTTTTCTCATTGCAGTCTGCTCCCAGTTCTCGAGAGGGGTGTATGCCATCTTTGGATTCTATGACCAGATGTCAATGAACACCCTGACCTCCTTCTGTGGGGCCCTGCACACATCCTTTGTTACGCCTAGCTTCCCCACTGACGCAGATGTGCAGTTTGTCATCCAGATGCGCCCAGCCTTGAAGGGCGCTATTCTGAGTCTTCTGGGTCATTACAAGTGGGAGAAGTTTGTGTACCTCTATGACACAGAACGAGGTAAGAAGAGGCACCTGCTCTGCTCTTTAGATATTCATGTAATTGTGTTCAAACTTCCTCAGCTTATGTGCCCTTTGCTTCCAATAAATAAAATCTAATTCTGTTTTAAAATTGTATTTAATATTCCAAATAAATCAAAGGTTAAGATTAAAAAATAAAAGTAATAGTAATTTTAGAACCTAATTTTTCAAGCTATGTAGGCCCTCCCTGAAAAAGCAGTTTGGAATACCTCTTGATTGAGTCACCATAGTTGAAAAAGAACGCCTCCCCCATCAAAAATTTTATCTGGTCTAAAATGTATGAAGTAAAAGCAGCTTAGTCTAAGTAGAGAGAGGCTTAAATTGGAAAGTTTTGGAAAATTAATCCTGTCAGAAACTGTAATTATCCCCATTTCATAGATGAGATAGCTAAAGTCCAAGTGCTTTTTCATACAGCAGTTTCACCACTAAAATGGGACTGGTAGCAATGTCTCTTGCTTCCAGGACTCATTCCATCAGATCACATTAGGTTTTCAGCTTAGCAGGCCTCAACAATTATCTGATAGAAATAATGAGTGAGACAGCTAAACTGGGCTTTGGGGATTGACTTTTTGTTTTGTTTTTGGTTTTGTTTTTGTTTTTGTTTTGTTTTGTTTTAAATAGTGAGACAGTCTACGGCCATACCACTCTAAATATGCCCAGTCTCCTCTAATAGTGAGACAATATATTGAGGATACACTCTATTAAAACAGGCTCAGAAATTAAGAGTCTGATCTTAAATAATATACAGTAAGGTCTATTGATTAATTTGCTAGAGCACACACATCATAATTCATCTAATCAGGCTCCTCCAACACCCAGTTGTCTTTGACGGGTTCCTTGGTAAAACCAAGGGATTCTATCACCAAGACGTTCCAGAAGACAATGTTACTTTATCACTCATTTGCCTGTGGTTCCATTTATAGGCTGGGGGTGGTTCTCTCTAACTCAGAATTTTTAAACTCAGAAGGATTAAATGAAAGGCTTATCTGCCTGAGGGGTACCTGTAGAAGAGGTCCTTCTAAGTAACTTAACTTGAACGGCCATTTTGCTCTTGGGAATCCAGAACACTCTTCACTTTACTCTCATTTTGCTGCATCATCAAATCTTAATAGCAAATACTTAGGCCTGTATTTCCCTATTGTACTTACCTCCAAACTATCATCAAATTTCATGAACCTGAAGCAGAAGACCAGAGGTCTAGTCCAAGCTCTGCCACTTACTAGCTCACTTAACAAGTTGACCTTGACCAACTCATTGACATGCTCTTGGACTTGGCCTCCTCACCTAAGGTGTGTTCCTTCTTAATGTTATATTCCATGATTCTGTGATTTTTTTTGAGATATTTGACCAGCTACTGACACTTTGTATCTTGCTACTAATCGTAACTTATATATTATCAGTTAATTAGTCAATCCATTCTACAAGCCATTATCAACCCCCAATGGTGGTCTCCAATCCTGTGATACATACATATATAATATGGTTTCAAGGGGGTGTGTACAGAAAAAGATACTTATAAAGCAATTCATGAACAACACAGAACAACATCAAATTGAGTGCTACACTGTATACTCTGAATACTTTAAGAATTGTGGAAAGGTTGCACTCCAGAAAAGTAGAGTTTTCAGAGAAAGCTTGCTAGAGAAGCTAGCCTTGAAAGATAGATAAGTTGTGGGTTGCAAGAGAGAAGGGAGATGGGGCTTTGGAGAGGAGAAAAGAGAACAAACAAACAGCAGGGCCAGGAAGGAACACTGTGTGTTCAGGTAGAGCCCTGTCTGACTGAGATACAAAATAGCTTGAATATTCTAATTCATAATTTGCCAAATTTTAATAAATTTCATTTTGTCCAAACAGTATACATGTACTGTATACAGCGTAATCTAGTGCATATCAATTTCGTTTTCAGAACTGAACTTTGTAAGTCAGGCAACTTCTCTCCTGAAACATTTTAAAAACGAAATATTGGTTCCACCAACAGTGTACCTCTCATTTATTCAAAAGCAGAAGACACAATTAATGAATTTTATCCTCATCTAGTGTGACCCTTCTCTGCTCATTAGCTCTCTACTAGAAGAACGGGAGGAAAAGACCATCTATCTATTTCTTACCCTTGCATCTTTTCTCTAATCATCTAACTAAATAGTTTGGACAAGTCTATGGTCTTGGAGTCAAAGAAAGCTTTCTGACTCATGTAACTTTATATTTTTCACCTGCAGCCATTTAGCTGGTGGGACTAATCCGCTCTGCTTAAGAAGTACTTCCCATAAACTTTTACACTAATTTACCCCTTGAAAAGCCTTCTTACATTACTGTACTAGGATCCTGTTCCAAAATTTTCAATGGCTTTCTATTGCCCATATTGAAAAAAGCAGTCTATTCTTCAAGACTTGGCATGAGTATGCCTCAACCAACTAACAAACCCATTCTCCCTATGCTACCCAATGAGAACCTCCCATTGTAGGAAGCTCCCATTTTCCACTGCTGCCTAAATGCACCAGAACCATGCCTGCCTCAGCAATCGTACTTTTACTACTACCTGGAATTCTCTCCTTTATCTTGATATGGTAATCATGTCCATTCTTCCAATTTTCAAAACCCGCCTCAAACTCTACCTCCCCAAGGTAGCCTTCCTTGACCACTCTAGCTCACAATTATTCATTAATGCAATAGATGCTAAGGCTACAATAAAAACCACATAGATATAGTTAGATATGGTTCCTGCTTTATAAACCTACATTCTAATGATGGAGATAGACAAAAACCAAGTAAATTAACAAAAAAACAATTGCACATTTAAATAAGGTGCTATGAAGGAAAAAAATAGACAGATAATAATGGATAGGGCTTAATTTCCAAAGGATGTTCAGTGATGGCCTCATTGAGAAGGGGCATTTAAGCTGAGAACTAAAGGACTGGAAGGAGGCAGCATGTGAAGAGTAGAGGGAAATAGTTTCAAGCAGTAGAAATAGCAAGTGCAAAGGTCATGTCGTATGGTTGAGGAACTGAAAGAAGTCCAGTGTGGCTAAAGGATAACAAGTAGGTAGAAAGTGGCCTGAGAGCAGACTGTAGAGGTAGACAAGAGCCAGATCATAGCCATAGAGTATAAACAGAAGCCATGCTGAGGAGTATGAATTTTATTCTAATTGCAGTGGGAAGTCATTGGAGGATTCTGAGCAGGGAAGTCACATGATCTACATTTCTGTAGAGAATGGAGTGTGGTGCAAGTAAAAAAGAAGGGAAACCAATTGAAAGTCCATTGTGGTCATCCAGATGAGAAGTGATGGCAGCTTTGGACTAAGCTGGAGATGGAGAAAAAGAGGTGGAGTTGAAGTATACTTTGGAGACAGAATTGACAGAACTTGGGGACAGATTGACTGTGGGATGTGAAGGAGAGGAAGGCTTCATGGATGATTACTATGTGTTTGGCTTGAGAGATTGGGTAAGATGGTAAGATGGTGATGCCATTTACTGAGGTGACTGGACAGGAGGAGACTTAGTTTTGAGGAGCAGAGATCTTGCCTACCTCTAAACACCCACAGAACCCTTCTGTCCATGTCATTCATCTGGCATTGAATATAACTGCCTTCTGCTGTTATTTCACTGGCTATGATCTATACTATACCTTCCCAAGCATTTCTCTCCAGTGTGATAATAAACAACTGGCTAGCCCCTAGATTTATACTTTGTGCCTCCCCTAGTACATAGCACATGCCTGTGTGCCTACTTAGTGTTTTCCAACCTCCTTTAGTGATTCATCAACAATAAGCCTATGTCTGTTTTTCAACACTGGACTGAAAGAAAGAGAGAAAGAAAGAAAGAAAAATAAAGAAGGAAGGAAGGGTGGGTATGGGTAGGAGGGAGAATGGGAAGGGAAGAAAGAAGATAGGAAGGGAAGAGAAAGAAGAGAAGGAAGGAAGGAAGGAAGGGAGGAAGGGAGGGAGGGAGGGAAAGCAGGCCCAATTCATAAATCATACCAATCACTTGGTACAGTTGTTTAAAATATTCAGTATTCTGTATTTTCTTGTTTTGTGCAATGATCATCTCTTGCTTTAGTAATAAAAATTACAGGGAGAAATTACAATAGAAAATATAATTTTACAATATTTTAAATTATATAAGAGAGATAGAAGAGAAAGAGAAACAGAAGAGAACACCTATAATTACATTCATAAGCTAAATATACAAATGATGTGACTCTACTGTATAAGGGCAGGGATGAGTGGGGAGCTGAGAAATGGGTTAAATGTTTGAGATCATTTAAAAGAATTGTAGCACAACCAGGGTAAAGTTTTCTCTGAAATTATGAAACATTGAGTGGAATTCAGGGCTTTGTTGACTCTGCTTCTATTTCTGTCTGCAGACGAAAGTCTGATTTGGGGTTTGCAGTTTGTCAGTTTCTAAAATCCTACCTTGATTCATTAATACAAAGTTGAAAATTACTTTCTTGGTGCTATATACATAAAAGAACAGTTTTTGAAAAAATTATGAGGTTAAGTGTGTTGTCTGCCCTATCGGTACCCTCTCCTATTAACACCCTCTTTCCTTACTATGGCATTATGTTTACACCTGCCCTCCCTGGCAGGAGCAAAACCTTAACATCTCTGTCTCAACCTGCTTCTACACCTTCATAAAAACTTCCCTGTCCTGCATTTTCTTCCCACTGATTAATAGTCTTTCTCTGCTAGTGACAACAGCTCAGCTGACCAATTTATTCATGCTAATTTATCTATGACTATTAACAACTTGATGGGTTAGTGCATCCAGGGAAGAAGAAATTTCTATTCAGGCAAAGGCCTTCTGTGAATACAGAACCATAATCCAAGGTGTAGCTTTTTAATTCTGGGATTCCAGGCACCATGAGTCCAGTTTGTGAGGTCCTTTGCCCACATGCCTTCCTATATAGAAAGTCCTAAAACCATGCCAGGGAGGTGGCCATCTCTTCCAGTTATTAGACTTATCTTTTGGGTGCAAGTGACCTAGTTCTCTGTGGTGCTAACATTTCCCCCAGAACAGCAACATACTTGAGAACTGCAGCCAGACTCTCGTGCACCTGACAACTCTCCTTGGCTTCAATGGGCACAGCCCACAGAGATGAAAGAATCCGGCCCAGCTGTGGCTCTCAGCTTAGATAATGAGATAATAGCTCTGGGTGCCCTTTGAGGCAACTAGTCCCTACCTTCTTGCCAGTGTTCAATAAACTCCTGCTGTCTCCCATTCTCAACCTGAAACTCCCTACTCAGTTCCCAAGTAACTCTCTGGAAGTCAACAGCCTTCTAACAGATCTTTCTATTTCCTCTCGAAGGTTGTGACAGGAACATAGGCAGTTGTAACAATTATCCTATCAGTCAACAAGCAATTATTAAGCTTTCTCCAGTGTTAGCTTGTGCTAGGCCACTGGTGGGGTTTAAAAGAAGCAGAATTAGATCTCAGCTCTGAGAAGTTGACAATACTGTTGCTGAAAGAGTGACTTATCTAAGAGGCCTGAAAAAAATAATTTTTAATACAACTGTTTCCAGATCCACCAATGAAATATGCATTCATTAGAGCAAGAACCCTGTGAAAAGATTAAAGAGTTGTCAGATAGCTAGGAAGGTGGGAAAATGTTGGAAGGTCCTAAAGGGCTTAAGAGGTAAAGGGATTCCCCAAGAAAAGGAGAAAAGGGCCTGTCCTCAGAGGATTATGAATGTTTCAACCGGCTAGATTTGAACTCTACTGAGAGACAAGCAAAGTTTCAGCCTCACACTTTTCTGCATGTTGTCATTCTCCACCTACTTACATAGCCTAGCCTCATCCCATTCACCCAGTTCTACTTTCCCAAATAAAGCACAAAATACCTCTCTCTCTCTCCCTCTTTCTCTATCTTCCTTCTCTTTCTTCGCCTCCTTTCCTCCTTTCTCCTCTCCACTCCTTACGCCCTTTTCTTTCTCTCTACACACACACTCATGCGCGCGCACACACACACACACACCTCAATACCAATCAATGACACATGTCAACAAATCTGTTATTGTTATCATTTTATTCTTATTGTGATAAGAGCAACTGCCATTTCTTAAGCACTTATTATGCACTAGGCCCTGAGCTTATGGATTATCTCATTTAATCTTTGTAACATCCCTGCATCTTTACAACTGAGGAAACCAAAGCATGGAAAGGTTAAATGATAGTTCCTAGGGTCACACAGCTACAAAGTAATAAAACCAGATTTCAACCTGGGTCTGCCACGTTCCACAGTCTATGTACTGTTCTCTGACTGACATACTGCCTCCTACATTCTTAACAGTTGAACACAACTATTACCTCTTCCTTTAGTCTTCCCTTCAGCCATTCTTCAAAGACCAGGTACTTAGACCCTCCCTATCCTGGTTGTCTTCCCGTGGATGCAATCCAATTGCCAATTTCCTTCTTAAGGCATGGTATCCACAAATGAATGTAATATCTTGTTGTCTCAGGGTACCAGGAATCCAGACAGGCAAGAGGTCAAAAATCCAGGTTAAGAGGTAAATGAGTTGCAAAGGTGAAGGCAGAGAGACAGCAGAGTTCTAAATGCAGGCAGAAGGTAACTGCTGTGATGCATACTAACGGAGGGTTGTGCTGAGGCCCTGATTCTGAGGGAAGGGAACTCATCTATTCTTCTCTGGGTCAGAGACTTTCCTGAACACAGAAAGAAAAATCTGCAGGTTGTCATTGGTAAGGGGCTATATTTCTGGTTGGAGGAGCCTATTCTGGTTCAGGATAGGCCACTATCATGAACTTCTTTAAAGTTCCAGCTAAGTACCATGACTGCTTGGCCAAAACTGTTAAGACAGTAGCAGGGTATCTCAATTATGAAAGAAAGAAAGACAGACAGACAGACAGACAGACAGAAAGAAAGAAAGAAAGAAAGAAAGAAAGAAAGGAAGGAAGAAGAAAGGAAAGAAAGAAAGAAAGAAAGAAAGAAAGAAAGAAAGAAAGAAAGAAAGAAAGGAAAGAAAGAAAGAAAGAAAGAAAAAAAGGACAGACTATCATGGATTCTTTTTCTTCTTCACTTTAAGAACTGATTAAAAGACGTACGAAGGAAACAGATGGCTCCAATTCTGATTGTGTCCATTTGCCTTCTGGGAAAAGTGAAGTCAAGAGAGTTTTTATTGAAATTCAAGCTACTTTTTACATCTGAATAAATTAGGAAGGCCCAGCGAGTACATTATCGTGTGAGAGACGGATACTAAATTCCCCTGTTTGAGCAGCAATAATCAGGGTTGACAGTACCTGAGACATTTGGTAGTTTCCACAGCCTGCCTAATCTATTGTGATGAGTCTTCAACTATGAGAGCATCTTGAGAGCCCGCACAATAATAATAGTGAATGACTATTTGGACTGGATTGTGAATAAAAGACTGTACATTTGTCTGTAATGAGAATTTCATCGAAAATGAAAATACCAGAGCTGTCAT
Organism: Homo sapiens; assembly: GCF_000001405.40. Lineage (NCBI taxonomy): Eukaryota > Metazoa > Chordata > Mammalia > Primates > Hominidae > Homo > Homo sapiens. The sequence goes on from NC_000023.11 coordinate 123,260,996, forward strand.
ATTTTTTAATACTTCGATTTGCACATCCTTGACTGCTTTGGGGCATAAGAAGAGAAAGTGCCGAGCAATTTGTTGTCAGCTCTTGAAATAAATTATCATTTAAACACTTACTCTCCACAAAGGTTATTAGCTTAGTAGCTCGTTCCTGGGGTTGGACCATCAGTAGGGGAAAAAATTCAAAAGACATTAAACTACCCTTTCAGAAGCTGAATATTAGTTACTGTGGAAATTGTTCTCTCGGTAGCTTAACATATTTTTCTGTAGCTCTCCAATGCTGCAGATTAGGCTGCAGCAACTATTAATAAATACTGTCATATTTTACAGCTGTCATGCAAAGCTGAAAAAAGGCTTCACTGTGATTAGATCCTGTTTACTGTAATATTTCCAGCTCAGACTCAGAAAAGCAGTTTTCCTATAAAGGTATTTTCCATAAGTAGAATATTTCTCCAGAAAATGACGATTAATTTTAATGTATTTTTAACTCCTTGGTGGCAGTGAATTTGAGGTTGAATTGACTTCACAGCCAGAGACATTCCTCTCTAGAGACAAATTAAGCTAAAATGTCAAAATTTCTCTCTTGGGTTGTCCTTCATATGCGGAAATGGTGCTACTGTCAGGAGATGTGCATTGAGTAGCCCCCCACCCCTATAGAAGGACAAATCTGCACTGGTTTATCCAACTTCTTTTACCCTGTCCCTCTTGTGACCAATTGCATTGTTTGCAAGACAGCTGGTAAGGATGTTGGGTAGGAATATCACTTCAGTAGGCTAGCTAAAAATTCTGCTTCCTGAGCTAAAATGTCATCATACGAGCTAAAGAAACAGATCTCTAGCCCCCCTACAATGCATTAGCTGTTTGAAATGGTATTCACATCTCTGAAAAAAAAGGAGGTGACAGCTGGCAGGGTTGCTTTTGCTCTGACCTTCTATTGCTTTTTATCAAGCTCCTTGAGGGAATTAACCCTCACTAAGCTGAATATCTAGTTTTTAATGAACAGGTAGTTAATTAACCCATTAAGGGTTATCTGGAGTAGTCTATAAATTCAGGGTTTGGGCCTGAAACATCCTTGAAAAGGTTCTTCCAAATGTTCCTTGGGGCAGGGATGGACAGCGGTATAGACCTGCAACTGTGACTTTGAGGTTTGTCCCTTGAAGCCCTTTAGACAACAATTAAAGCCAAGGCAGGGTTGTTGTGAGAGTTTAACAAGATAATGCCTCTAAAGCCTTTATCATCAAGCTGAACACAGTAACACCCCATGCTCAATGACTTTTAGCTCTTATTATTTTATTACCATTATGGAACAGTGGTCCTCAATAGAGAGTGAGGGTAATTTTCCCCCCTCAGAGGACATTTGGCAATGTCTAGGGACATTTTAGTAGTGGGTAGAGGCCAGGAATGCTGGTACACATCCTACAATGCACAGGACAGTATCCTTCTCCACGCTCTCAACAAAAAAATTATCCAGCCCAAGATGTCAACAGTGCCAAGGAAGCAGCAGGCCAAATAAATGGTTGCAGAAACTCCTTAAGGGGTTGGCAGTGAACCAATCTAGCATTTATTGAGTGTCTCTTACTATGCCTAGATCAGTAATAACAGCTCTGTTCAATAAGTAGAGCCTTTGATTCTGAAGAGCTTACATCTTGGCCAGAGAGACATATTAAGATTAATGCACAGAAGCAAATATTAGTGCAAAACAGCATAAAGCAAGAGCTAGATTGTGTGGTATGGATGTGAAGTACCGTGGGAGTCCAAAGAAGAGAAATTTCATGATAGGCAGGCTGGACTAGCCAGGGAAGGCTTAATGGAAGAAGTTATAAACGTTTCTGAGGCCACCACAGAACTGCCTCCCCTAGCAATGACCTTGCCTTGATTACTAAGGCCAAGTTGGTATCTAGAACCAAAACAACATGGCATTCCCATCAATGCTCCCAAACGTCACAGCTCAAGGCAAGAAATACAATTAAAAGAAAAACCAAAAAAGGAACAATGTTCCTTTTACTAAATGGAAAGCAATTACAGGGCTGTTGAAAATAGGCAGTAAACAAAGGGAGGGAGGGAAATACTGGCAAAATCCCATTTTCTCAACTAATCCTGTAGCAAAAGTGCAATTTGCAACAAAATCAACAGTGCTCTTTCCCTCTCTCTTGCAGTCAAACACACTGTCTGGCATCAGTATGGCTACACATGATGCCTTAGCCAAAAAGTGCATGCAAGCAAGGAGGACAGAATATGAATTGGAGAGGAGAGCAGAGGTTAAGGTGGAGCACAGCTCACTTCACCTCCAACTGAAGTCTCTGTAGAGCATTCCCATTCAGAGGAAAGAGGGGGCACACATAGAGACTACTTCACTCCCTGTCTTCCTGGATCCTTTCCAATCAATAGGTTGCCAGTGTCGGCTGCTGTCCTGCTTTGTCGACTCCACAAACGATCTGATTAATTCTCTGGTGCTAACTGCCTCAGCAGGCTTTCTCAGCAGTAGAACAGAGGCTAATTAAGATCATGTCAGGCGAGGAGGCTGACAGGTTATGTTCCTGGGCTACACTGAACTTTTAGAGGGTGCTTCAACTTCACTGCAGGCAGGCAGTGCTTGGCTAGGCGCTGATTCCATAGCAGGCTTCCCATTTATTTCCACGGGTTCCTGTGTCAATGGGTCTCCGTTTTGTTAACGATTTACATCCTCCTCCTGGGGATAAATAGTTGCTACTGTGTTGCTTTCAATTGCATTACTTGGGCTCTCTTTCATTTAAATTTTTAATATGCTTGTAAACAAAGATAACAATTAATAGTGAGGTCGTTTTCCATCCTAAATCACATGTGTGTCTGAGACTGTGTATATGCTTTTGCATCTTATCAACATAAAGCCCACAGAGGTGAATTTAGGACAAATAAAGGAAACTCTACTTCTCACAGCAGGTAGAAAATGGAGGAGACATATGGAACTCATTACACCAAGTGGTGGATTAGACTGAAGATATAAATAGCTTTCCCCTCCCCCTAAATAAAGGCTTAGATGAATTCATGGATGACAGACCCATAGTGAGCTATTAAGGGAAACAGAGATGTTTGGAAACTGAGGTTGGCACAAATCACCAAGTAGATTTTTGAATCCATATTTACCTTCTCATAGGCAAATGGCCACACAGAGTACTGGCACTCTATCCTCTGTGTTTTAAAATAAAATCTTAAGAATCCACCAAGCATCTAGGAGACAGGAGGAATGCTCAGAAATAGAGGAAACTTCTCCAGGAGCATTCTGTCTGGTTTCATATAGAGTCTCTAACCACTGTCAAAGATAAACAAAGCTGGACATTTGTTAAAGAGCTAAAGACTGATTTTAATCAGTAATATACTATTGCAGTAGGGAAAAGCGTTCAGCATAAACTGAACTCACCTTCAATCTGTACAGAGGTGGCTGGGCATTTTGAAGGGAAAATGAGGGAAAGGGGAGGGAGATGAAAGGGGGCCCAATAGAGTCAGGAAAGTGAAAAGTTACAAAAAGCAGGAAAGGGGAGGTTTGGCCTATGTGAAACTCATCTGAGTTTGTCAACTGGCACTTACTGAAGTTAGGCTCCCACCCTTCCATGGAGACTGGCAGACAGGAGAACTATATTGAGGTGTTGGGTGAAACAAACAATAAATTATTTTGGCAGCCTTGAGTCTTCTCAGGCAGCCACTTTAAGGAAGACTAGAATCTTCCTAGAGATGTTGTCTTGGGCTATTAGAAACTATGTTAGTGTTTTGTTCTAGTCTTTATAGGCCAAGGTTGGGACGGGGTGGAGAAGAGGGCTCAGAGGAGCATGGTGAGAATTTGGTCAAAGAATCTTTGTCACCACATGTCAAGAACACTCTGTTATGAGAGGTGAATAGTCCCGTTAAGGGTGTTGAAGAAAAGCATCATCAACTCAGAACCTCAGTTCCAGGCCCCCAACTCTGCCACTAAGTAGCTGTGTAATCCTGGGCAAGTCACAATAGCTTTTCTGGTCCTCAGATTCCACATCTGTAAAATGACAGAGTGGACTCCATCATTCTGCAACTAACAATTCCTGAGTGCAGGAATTTTGTGTCAGGGAAGTTACAGGAGTTATGGAAGTGAATGAAACAGAGTGCCTCCCCTTAATAAGCTCACAGTTTAGAAGGGCAGCATGGACATATAAAAAAAAAAATACGTAAATACAATCTAGAGTGATTCCTTTTGATTCTAAAATTCTGTGGGCTATTACAACACTTCCATTTACAATTGACCCTTAAATAACATGGGAGTAGGGGGTTTACCCACCTGTACAGTTGAAAATCCACATATAACTTTGGACTCTCTCAAAACTTAACTACTAATAGCCTACTATTATCTGGAAGCCTTACCAGATAACATAAATGATTCATTAACACGTATTTTATATGCTATATCTATTATATACTGTATTCTTACAATAAAGTGAGCTAGAGAAAAGAAAATGTCATTAAGAAAATCATAAAGAAGAGAAAATATATTTACTATTCTTTAAGTGGAAGTTGATCATCATAAAGGTCTTCATCCTCATTGTTTTCATATTAAGTAGGCTGAAGAGGAAGAGGAAGAGGAGAAGTTGGTCTTGCTTTCTCAGGTGTGGCAGAGGCAGAGAAAAATCCGTGTATAAGTGGATTCATGCAGTCAAACCTTTATGGTTCAAGGGTCACCTGTATAATGAAACTAGAACTTATTTTCAAATGAAGTTTGAAATTAACTCTTAAGGAGAGTTATGGAGACACAAATAACCAGCCACATTGGCTTTGGAAATTGGCCAGAGGCCTTAAGTGCACTCACATGTTTCCCTTCGTGTTCATTTCTGAGCCCTGAACCCTTTCAGGACCCTGATAGATAGGCGGCAAAAGGAAACAATGCCTAGATAGTAGATTAGGATATCCCAGTAGATCTTAAAACCCTTCCTGGTAGATCTCCAAGCCAGGGGCTGACACAACACACTTCTAGCAAGTTTTCTTCTAACAAGGTTTGTCAGTATTCTCAACAGTGGCCTCTCCTCCACTTAAGGCCTTTACTGCCATCACTCTTCGAGGTCTTAAAACACAGACCTACATAACCATTTGCAATTTCCAGGATTCCTTAAAATAAAAGGAGTATTTCTTCTCAAAAATGATATGAATTTCTAGGATAAAAGATAAAGCAGTTTTGCTTCTTGAATATTTTTGTAATGATTCAAAACCCTTCTCTATGCAAAACAGTTGCAATTTCACATGGGCTTTCCAGAGGCCCCAACCTCTCTTTCCAGTTCTGGATCCATAGTTTGGTTTCCCTCTAAAACCTTTATCTTGATGCCCTACCTGGACCTCAAACTCAATGTTCTGAATTCCGAATTTATTCTTTTTTCCCAGAAAACTTTTGCCTCCACCTATGTTCCCACACTCAGTGAATGGCACTGCCCAGTTGCCCAAAGTAGAAACCTCATCCTTGAATCTTGCCTCTTCATCATATTGCACATCTCATCACCAAAGACCTTCGTCTACGTTTCCACTGCCACTGACTCAAGCTCAAGCTCCCACCATCTCCTGCACCATTCTCCTAACTGATCTCCCTGATGTTACCCCCTCCACCACTGATAAACAGCAATCTTCCCATCATGTCACTCCCCTGCCTAAAAGATTTCAACAACATTCCTGTTACCCCTAGATTCTAAGCATGGCACACAAGGCCCTTCATGATCCAACAAAACTCCAACCCACTTTCCTACTCTCTTCTCCACCCATCCCTTAACTACTAGTGCTCTATACTATAACCATATGGAACTATGCTACTTTCAGTATGTCACATGGACTATGACCTTTTTTCCCTCCATTCCTTTGCAAATACTTTTCCTTTTTTTAGCACTCAGCCCCCTCACTCCATTCCCCCCATACACACACACTTTATCTGGTAAATGATATATCTTCGAAATTCTGCTGAAATATTTGCTTCCCCAGACCCTAGATCTCCAGCCCCTTAGCCCTGCTGTGTGTCCTCATAGCTATTTATGCAGCACTGGTCTTACAATAGTATTATTATTTGTTTATATGTTTAACTCCCTCACAATACTATGAACTTCTTGAAGACAAGATTGTTGTCTTATTTATCTCTGCCAATAGTGCCTGGATTATTATTATTTGTAAATTGAATAACTGAATGAGTAAATGAGATAACTTTAGCTAAAAACAAAATGTAGGATTACAGGAACATTGAGGAGCTAGCAAAGGACATGGCCTTGAGTAGGCTGTGTCCTCAGATAATACATTAGATAGTCATCTACCTCCTGTGCACTGGACTTGCCTTGATTTTGACCCAATCTCCCTACCAAAAACATTACCTTCCTGGTCCGACCAACTTAGAAGCAAAACAGATATCTTGGTTCTGGGAACCTTAGTCATGGGTTTCTGGCTAGAGGACAAAGCTGCAGTGCGCCTTATGGTTCCTGAGTCTCAGCCAGTAGAATCATTAACATATGAGTAATCTCAAGAGCTAGAATGTAGATATAACGCTATTTCATATAAATCAATGGTATTTAGACAGCCACATGAATTCTCTAAAGACAAGAGTAGCATAGTATTATTTTCCACAGCTCCTAATGAAAAACTAAAGAAGGAAAACTGCTTCAAAATGTCTGTGTAGGCAATGTAACAAGGATGAAAAATGATGTGAGAACTGTTATAGGTAGTTCTCAGTTATCTGAACCAGAGGAGGTAAGCTTGGCACAGATAATCCAAAAGGCATTTCTGTGAGCATAAAATAGTGCCTATTCATAATGCATCTTCCTTCTTGGTTCTATCTTTCTTAGGCTTGGCTGAGCATGGGAAGTAAGGGAGGTTATCTCAGGGATAGGAATGTTTTGGATGTCCCTTCAATTACATATTCCCAAAAGTCAGGGAGCATCCTTTTGAGGGACTAGCAGAAGTAAGATACAAAATAATTGTATGCAGAAATATGAGTGGATGGGGGAACACAGAAGAAAAGAGAGGGACACTAAATCCAGGGAGAAAAAGAATAGTTTCAGGGCCATAAAGACAAACGTTACTGATCTCACAATGACCTGAGATCCTTGTTCCTGAGACTATAATGTCTGACGGACACAAATAAAGAATAAACAAAATCAACAATAAACATCATAAGCTTAGTATTTTTTGCTAAAGAAATTTGATGTGATGTTTTATACTTGCTTAAGAAGCTCAAAAGAATTGCATCAGCTGTAAAATTTCCAGGTTCCAACACGCATACTACAGAACTATTTCACAGAAGCATTTTATACCTCTGAGAGGCTGAGAAAAAGGCTTCCAAAGATTGGTCCAGTCTCTTTTTCTCTTGGAAAGCTCTTGGCACAAATGTATTCCTTCTGAAAATCCTAGAGAAAGAATTACTGGTTTTCATTTGGCACAGTATGAAAGGAAGCAGTACAATATTATTTACCAAAGCTACCCATTCTCTTCCATTTTTTATTCCTTTTGATAATATAAATAATAATATAAATATAAATAATAATAATATAAATATGTCATGGTTCATCAGTAAGGTAGAAACCTTAAAAACCTTTAATAATCACTTTAACAAATGATTTTTTTTATCCCACCACTTCTATCCACCTAGCATAATGCTGAATAGTAGCATTTAAAAAATGACCTTAGACATGTCAAGCTAGAAAGGTCTTTAAAGTTCTTAAGGCTGAGGTTTCAGGTTCTGAAAAATGAATTGGCCCATATTTTGTCAAGTTGGTGAGTCTCCTAATCTGTAATTCTACTTAAAATGTGGGATTCGAAAAATCTAAAGGCTAGCCCCAGATTTATCGCGTTAAGCCTTTTCTACCCTGTCTCAATTCTTTTATCTGCATAATGGCAGTAATATACTTTGTACCCTATCTTGCAGGAATAAAGAAGAATGGCATAGTGATGTAAGCTAAAATCAAAATGCCGAGTATGACTGGGCAATTGCCTAAAGCTAAAAGAACTGCTCTGTATATAAGTGATTAAGATGCGGGAGGAAAGCCTCTTCCTTTTGTGCCCACGCAGTCACAGTGCTTTGTGTAAGGCTTTACCCAACAGAATTGAAAGAGTCAATGTACCTTCCCATGTTCCTCATGTACTCACCCACCCAGGAGAATGCAGTCAGTTCTATCTACTTCTCACATCGATTAGCAAGTCAACAAGTCACGGCATTAAATGCTAATCAGAACAGCGGCTTTTGTGGTATACTCTCTGGGCCATATTGTGACGAGAAAGAATGACCACAGGCATTAGGCTCTGTGTTGTGTGGCTGTTTCCTCACCAATAAAGTGAACATAATAATTGCCCCTAACTTATAGAATTGTTGTATGGGTTACATCCATGAAAGGCACCTAGAACAGTTTCTGCCACATAGTTAGCATTCTGTAAGTGCTTGCCACTACCATTATGCTCTTACTAGGGTTACAGGAAAGCAGACTTCTGAGACATAGAACGAAGATCTTTAGCTGCCCTAGCTGATGTCTCCCATGCCTTGGTGCCACCTTGCTCATCTCTCCAATGTGCTAATTTTGGTTTTCTTCTATGAGAATCAGAACCTGTTCCCAGGAGAGGAGCTGGGAAACTCATTTACACTCTATGAAGGTAGAAACGGCTGATGGACAACGTCTCTCAGACATCTCTGTGGTTTAGGCAAGTGTAGAAGGCCTCGGGCCAAAGGAAGGAAGTCTTGTTTTTGGAATCGCAATACTGGTGATCAGAAAGCGGAGGTTCATTTCCTTCCAACAATCCTAACTACATAGCCAGCCATCCGCCTATCCCACATTTTGCTAAGGTTAGGCCCATTGCTGCAGAGAAGAATGCAATCAGAAAAGCTGGACCAATGCATTTTTATGGCTTTACTGGGCATATATTTTGGAGAATCATAAAAAGGAAAATGACATTCTCTTTATTCACAAGCAAACGGAAGTGCCTAAAGGCAGCTTAAGCTAAACAGACTTCTTTGGAAATTCTTGAAGTCAGTGGCTCCACCAAAAATATATCTACATTTTCATTTCTTAATAAGCTGAGAGAAAGCAAAAAGCATACGTATTTTCTGACATATTTTTAGGCTCCCCTGGATTCATAGTACATATTGAATCTTAGAATTGGGAAACTAAGCTTAGTTTACGGTCTTGCATTTGTTTGGCTTAAGCTGGTGACTACTAGGAATTGGGAGGAATGGCCATGTATCTAGTTCCAATTTCCTTTCCAAGCTCTCCCTTCACCTGCAGGCCCATTTCCTGAGGCCATTGCCATATGGCTGGATGGACCCAGTCATTTGTGTGTATCATCCACTAGGAGGGCTATGAAGAGAAAGCAAAGGACAGCCATTGGAGAGCATGCAGAATATTTGGTTATTTTGTGGGAGATCATGGGAAAGATTTTTTGTGGCCTTAAAGACAAACAAATAAAAAGATAGGATAGCCACTACCCTCACTGACAGCCCACATAAATCTAAAGTCAGTGTTCCCCAAATTCAAGCTTCCCTCATCACTTGATCGTAGGGGCTGTCCCCGCCAAGTGGATGCTCAGAATTCTGTGGTACAATGGACCTATTTTCTGAATGCAAAAACAGGACACATGGTCTGAAAATACGTTTTCTTTTCTTTCTGGCTTTTCTAAGGCAATCCTGAGGATTCAATCCCAGCTCTGACAGAGATTAGCTGTGTGACCTTGGGCAACAACCTGTCTGAGCGTCTGTAAAATGGCAATGATTATAGTATCTACTTCATTGGGCTGTTATGAAAATAAAATGAGATACTGTGAAAGTGCTTAGCACAGTGTCTGATAAACAGAAATACTCAACAAAGTGTAACTATTAATTATGATAAATGATTAAAATTGTATAAAAGCATCAACATGAAATCACATTTAGTTAGTAATTTCACATTTAGTTACTAATTTTATAGAAAAGAAGAAAGATACACGAAATTTGGATTGTCCTAGAAAATCCTGGGTGTTTTATCACTGTATCTGTATTCACTGTCTCCCCTTCAGATTAATAAGGCATCTTAGAAGAAGAGACAGAAAGAAGACAAAAATAGGAGGCAAAGGCAACCTTCTCACTGACCCCATAATTTCTTATAGCTGCTGATAAGCTATTTGGAGCTCTGTAGATCTGATTTTGTTTCTAGAACCCATCTGTTTTCCTCTCTGAATGTGCTAACTTGAAATTAGAGAAGATTTCCATAAACTATTTGTTTCATGATGTCATCTAATATGAATCTGAAAGTTCAAAATTATTGTTTAACTGGAACCTACTGAAATGGAAGACCATTCAGTTATTCTAATTAATATTATTCAAAAGGTAACCTACCACTTTACACTTCCAAGCACTTTCCCCATGTCTTTTATCATCATTCATACTTAATGAGGAGGGCAGTGCAGGTATATTGTTGTTACTTTACAGATTTTAAAAATCTATATTTTTAGAGAGGGTAAGTGATTTGTCCAAGTTCACACAGCTAATGAGCAGTGAACGCGGGACTAAAGCCCGTTTCCTAACACCCAGTCCAAAAATCTTCCATTACACCAGACCACTGCACACCTTTAGGACAAAAGATTATTATATCCTTACTGACAATGAAAGGCTCAGCTTCAGAGAAAGTTTTGGGGCCAATGAATAATCAGTTCCTCAGACTAACATCCACCCTTGACGAGCATTCATGTGCCATGCTCTGGGCTAAGCCTATTAAATGCATCATTTCCTTTAGTCGTCACAAAAATTTTACCAAGGAAGTACTGTCATGATCCTCATTTTACAGATGAGGAAGTAGAGGCATGAATTAAGTAATGTGTTCAACATCGCATTCCTAGTAAGTGGTGGAGCCAGTGCTAGACGCCCTGATTCCTAACTCCCAGTGAAAGTGTTCTTCCTGTCACTCCATACTGACAGCCACTTTCAACTCTCCTATTAGCAAAGAAAGGATGTTACTTTTAAAGATGCTTTAGGGAAAAAGGGTAACTCAGTCCTCTCTCAATTCCACATACAGGCAGAGGGGGAGAAGTTTAGAATACAAGCACATCATGCCTAATCCCAAAGCCATGAATGTGCAAATGTGGGAGGACAGTTAGGAACACAGAGTCCAGCAGAGAGAACTCAGGGATAGGGATACATCCTCTCTTACTTATTCATGCCTTGGGCGTCAGTCACATCTGGTTCTCAGCCAAATAGAAGGGCAAAGTAGGTATAGTCAGTCTGTAGTTTCCTTCCTCCTATGGGGAGCCTGGGGCCCTAACCACGTTTCAACCTACCCCACAGACCTCATCAAAACTGCTCTGTTCCCTTTTCCCTAGAATTCCACTAGATGCATGGAGCCAAGTCCAAGTGTTCATGGCTAGGGAGAATAGTGGCTACCCGCCTCAGTGACATTTGCTTTTTAAAGAAGTTCCTTCTAGGCCTTCACCTTTGAGCCTCTGAATAGTGGGTGCAGAAGCAAACCTGCTTTCCACCCTTCCCATCCCAATCTGAGGTGGGGACAGCCAGTTAGGCGGGATGCTGAAGGGTTGCCTTGGCTAACTCACTAGTAATTGGAAGTTGACCTTTCTCATTTTCTTGCCTCCAGAAATCCTCCCCTGGGGATACAAATGTGTGCAAATCACCCTAAAGACAGGACAGGTGAAGCTCCAAGTGCACATTTAGACTGGGAAAGGGAAAAATCAGTTCATTATTTCAAGACCTCTTGAGATGCTGTAAATACACAGTCAACACAGAACAAAGATCCCTTTTTCCCCCTTACATTATTTATGTGCCATCTAAAAATTACACACCCGTTCTCTTTCCAGCACTGAGAGAGAGAAACATGCATATTCATGATCTGATAAATATTTAAGTGGGATTTATTTAAATGAGAGAGTCCATTTACAAACATTCCCTGGCTCTGAGATCTTATCCTGGGCACACAGAGGGAGGATAATTTCCTCTGGTAGATTCAAAACCTCCGCTGGCCACCTGTCCCCCTAAACTTGGAGCTCTTCCTTGAGAGCTGGTGAATGCCACCCGCAGTATTTCAAGGGAGTCTTCCGTACCTCCTCCCTACAGTCCGGCCTTCCTGCTCTGAGCTCATGTCATAGGATCAGTCGTTGGCAAAATGCTAGAGCTGGCAGTTTATTTGGTAGTCGGGGGAGGAAGTCACAGCTTTCTTTGCCTGGGCCCTTCGTCCCCACCACATAAGCCCGATGGCAGCACCCACCACTGATATTCCTAGCTTTCTTGTGGGACCATCTTCCCCTCTCAAGGAGAACAGTTATGTGATACACCAGGTAACCAGGACTGGTTGACTGTGCTGCCCCTCTCTCAGGAAGACATGCATTTTAATGCTTCAAAAGCGTTTTGTCAGTACCTGTTTTCAAAGGACTTATACATAGAGTGTTTCCATTCACTCCTCACAACAATCAGATGAGAATTGACAAGAATTCCAAGGCAAAAATCATTTTCCCAGCCTTAAAAATGAAGAAATAAAAAAGAGAACCCCTGCTTGCCCAACCTAAGTCACACAGTTTGTAAGTTGCAGAGTTAAGACTTGAACTTAGGTCTGACTCTAAGATCTGGGATCTTTTCATTATACAAGGCTGCCTCTCATCAGGAAGGAGGACTGGAGAGAAAGCAATGGTAACCCAAAAGGAAGACTAATGGTGACCTATCAGGCATTGTGGCCACGGGGGCCCAAGACCTCTTCATTCCTATCATATAGATGACTTTCTGTATATGAACTTAACTCTGGACTTTCCATTCTGGTGCCCATTCTTGGACATCACTCTGTCTCTAGTCCTATCCCACTTCTTCTCGCTCAAATTAAACTCACCTGTTTTGTGTCTCATTTTATCTAGACTTTATGAGATGATCAGTGAACTCACCCATAGAGCTAATCTGGGCTAAGGCATTAAATTAAATGCTGATTAATGGCTCAATATGCAACCTCTCTTAGGTCATACACATTTTTTGACAGAAGCTTCTAAAACTTTACTCAAGGATACTGTATATGACAAATACTTCAAGCAATGAGCCAGGCCAGTGAGAGCAATATCATTGGGCAAATGGGCTTCTCAGGCCTTTAACTTATGCTACCTAAGTGACCATCTATTCTGCCTAATTTAGGGTTACCAGATGAAATATAGGACATCCCATTAAATTCAGTTTCAGATGAATAACAAATACTTTTTAAGTATAAGCATGTCCTAAATATCGCATGGGACATACACTAAAAATTATTTGTTGTTTATTTGAAATTCAAATTTACTGTGTTTCCTGTCTTTTTATTTGCTAGATCTGGTAACCCAAACTTAATTGTAAGATCTGTTCCGCTGCGCATAACCATCAAAAAGTACCTATTAGGCATCTGCTTCCTCATGACACTTGCTTGTGACCAATCCTATAGCATGGAACACTGGTGGAGGGGTGAGGGCAATGAGAAAGAAAAAGCGAAAGCAGACATGGGAAAGAGTATCCCATCATGAGACTGGTCTTACCTAGTCACTTGTCCATGACATAAAAGTAATGTCACTAGGTCTTTTCAGAAAATAGAACTAGTCCCATTTGCCTCTCATCACCAACCCCTCCTCCCATCTGCTATGCTATACTGTTCTGTTCTATTTTGCTTTTTGATAAATGAAAAAGGAACATGTTTTGGCAAATGCCAGCCCCTGTGTTCTCTAAGTGATCTGGGCCTCAGAAGGCATATCCCAAGCAAACATCAAGGTGGGATGGAGGGCGCTACCAGGCCACTGCACAGACAGTGAGGCTGCCCAAATGTAATTAAGCACCAGGCGCAGACCCCAAGAGTGACAGTGGGAAGAATTCCATGACCAAAAAAATATTAGGGAAGTGAAGTGGAGAATGTTTACAACCCTAATTAGCAATTTGCACAACACCAGAATTAAAATTTTTCCCAGTGTCAAGCAAGTTTGTAGACTGACACTATGGAAGCTAAACTGGGCCCATGGGAAAAGGCAGCACTAGGCTCCTGCTAGTCAGTCCAGTCCAGTGGCTAACGCACCTACCAAGGCATTCAAATTGAGAAAATGACTAAATTAGAACACAAACAGTAGACTGACTCATATGTAAGATAACAACAGAAGCGAAGGAATGCAAACTCCAGAAATGAGGCCTTTGAGTAGCAATAACAAGGATAATAACAATAATAATAACAATAATAATATAACAATATTATAAATAATAATAACAAAGATAATTATAACAATAGCAAACCTATGTGAGCACTTATGTGTCAGGCACTGTTCTATATACTTTGCATGAATTCGCTCATTTAATCCTGATGACAATCCTATGAGGACTGTCATCCACATTTTATGGGACACAGAGAGATTGTGTAGCTTGCCCAGATTCACACAACTATTGAATGATGAAGCAGAAAATCAAACTTAGGCAGTCAGGGGCCAAGGCCCACATATTTGACCACTAGGCTTTACCACTTCTCTAATCTGTTCTTGAAGACATTTTCCCAGAAGTGGGATGGATTTACTGAGCCCTTCCCACCACATTTTCCAGTATTTCACTGGTGCAAGAGACACCCATTTGTCAAACAGGTAGAAAGGTTAAAGGTACACTGCATGGATCTAGGGCAGAAGGAGCCTAGTGACTTTCTCAGCATCATCATGTTCTAATTAAATGAACTAACCACCACTGGGCTCTTGAAAGTATCCTAGAACTACGAATTTAAAGTGTGAATTACACGGACACTTAAAGAGATCATACATATCTGATAGTACTTTGGAACTTGGAACTGACCTTGATCTGTTAAGTTGGCTGATATCTTAGTTATCCTTTAAGACACATATTAACACCTCCTCCATGAAGGCTTTCCCATTTTCCCAGTTGGAAGCATTTGTTCCTTTAAGCTCCAAATGTGCCTTTTCGTGTATCATTGTATCTAGCTTCTATCTGTCTCTCCAAAAAGAATGTAAGCATTTTGAGGCCAAGGATTATTTTATTTATATTTATATCTGCATACATTTCCCCCAAACATACACATTGAGTATTTTTAAAACAAATAAATTTAGTCTAACCCATTATTTCTCCATATGAAAAGACAAAGGCCCAGAGAGGGAAAATGACTTACCTAGGGTCACACAGCAGGTCAGTGGCTGTCTCTTGACTCTCAATCCATTGCTCCATCCACTATCCAAGGATGCATTTCTGGAGATTCTGAATGGGTGCAATTTTTCTCCTCCATATTCTTGCTATTCTAGTGCATTTTCTTTTAGTTCCAGAACCTGCTGGTTTCAAGCTTTCTTTTTTGAAGCTCATTTGGAAAACAGTCACTCTGATTCCTCTCCTTACAACCTACTCCCTCCCTTGGGATTACTTTTTCCATCCTTTCCATAAACTCTCATATCTAGGTGATGATTTTGAGACTATTACATTTTTTAATTGACAGAGATGCAGCTGGGTCCTGTATAACAGCTGAGCAACACAGAATCTCTCCCCCTTTCCTCCCTCACTGAGCCATGAGCTGATGAAAATTTGTAAACTATACAGAGGTATGCCTATTCTATGCCAGCCAATGCACTAAAACAATTCATGGATTTTATCTTATGTCATCCTCACAATAATTCTATGATCTAGGCGGTGTTACTGTTTTTATTTTGCAGGTGAGGACATAGAGGCTCAGAGAGCTTAAATGATGCTCCCAAAGTTACACAGATAATACAACTGGAATTTGTATCCAGGCAGTCTAACTTTAGTGCTCATAGCCTTAGTCTTTACATAATCCCCTCTGGAACATCTCACATGACATAATTCTGCCAGAGAACTTTTCCTAAAGTATGTCATTATTGTGTCCTTCCCTACTGCCTCTAGAGCTGTACCTCTAGAGCAGTGTATTAGAGACAGTATGGTAACTACTAGACACATGTCGCTATTTAAACATAACTTTAAGTTAATTATGATTAAATAAAATTTAAAATGAAGTTCCTCAGTTTAATTACCCACATTGCAAATTTCAAAAGCTAGATGCAGATAGTGGCTACTGTATTGGACAGTGCAAATAGAGAACATTTCTATCATTGCATTTTATTTCTGCAATGAAAGCTCTATTGGACAGCACCACTCTAGAAACTAAAGTTTGAACTCCTCTGCCTGTTTTTTTTTTAACTTTTTTTTTAATTATTAAAAAAAAATTGTGAGTACATTGTAGGTGTATTTATTCATGGGGTACATGAGATGTTTTGATACAGACATGCAATGTGAAATACGCACATCATGGAGAATGGGGCATCCATCCCCTTAAGCATTTATCCTTTGAGTTACAAACAATTTAATTACATTCTTTAAGATATTTTAAAATATACAATTAAGTATTATTGACTATAGTTGCCCTATTGTGCTATCAAATAGTAGATATTTCAAGTGCCCTGCAGTCTGGTTCCTACAAACTTTTCAGCAGAAAAGCAGAAAACAAGAAGCGAGGAATGAAGCTAGAAAAAGGGGTAGGAGTCTGAGGATGAAAGGTCTCCTATGCCACACTAAGGAAGTAAGGCCTCGTGATGTAGGAAGGACACAATGGATTTCCTCTCTGAGAATAGATAGAGCCAGTGCATGTTGAGACCTGGCTCAAACTCGCCTCTCTCAGGAAGCCTGAGTAAATAACTACAGAGGTCTGAATATCATGTCACTCTGTTGACTGGTTGCTCCCCAAAAGTGACAGGAAGGGTTCCAACACTTACAGAGAATACAAAGGTCTCACATTCAAAATGGATTCAAAGGACCTGTTCTCAAATCACAGTTCTATGTCGTGTTGGGACCTGCCACTTTGCATCACTGAGCTTGTTTACCTATCTGTGAAATGCAGCCAATAATATCTACTTTCCTGATTTTCATGACCATCAAGTAAGACAATGAGGAAAATGAGATAATGATGTGGGGTGGGGCCTAGACTTTTAACTTCCTCATGTGATTCTAGGGAATGCCAGGGTTGAAAATCCTTGAACTGGATGATCTCTGAAGTCCCTTCCAGCTTTGAAATTCGAATCAAGCTTTGACTCATAGTAAGAAAAGTCAGCAGTCATTTTGAACAAAATAGTTACCTAGGTCCCCACAACAGGCTGCAGGCTTCATAAGCAGTCAACGTTTCAACGATCACAGATAGCCCAGATTTCCAGGTAAAGCAGCTTCTTTGATGAGAGTGCAGAAGCAGTTCCATGTACAATGGTGAGCATTCTACTCTTGAGAGTGCAGGATCAGTTTTGGCTTCTTGGAAGAGTCCCCTCCCCACCAGGTGGCAGATGTACTCCAAAACCCTAGACAAGGACTATACCACCATTTGTTTTTATTGTCCTCAAAATAAGTCATTTAAAAGAGTCAATGGATATTAACCCCTTGTCACATGTATAGTGTGCAAATATTTTCTCCCATGCTGTAGGTTGTGTCCCCACTCTGTTGATTATTTCCTTTGCTGTTCAGAAGCTTTTTACTTTAATATAGTCCCATTTGTCTATTTTGGTTTTTGTTGCCTGTACTTTTGAGGTCTTAGCCATAAAATCTTTGCCTACACCAATGTCCTGAAGTGTTTCCCCTGTGTTTTCTTCCAGTACTTTTATAGTTTCTGGTCTTACAGTTAAGTTTTTCATCTATTTTGAGTTTATTTTTGCATATGATGAGAGGTATGGGCCTAATTTCTTTCTTATGCCTGTGGATATCCAGATTTGCCAACACCATGTATTAAAGAGGCTGTCCTTTTCCCAAATGTGTGCTCTTGGCATCTTGGCCAAAAATCAATTGGTTGTAAATGCATGGATTTATTTCTGGGTTTTCTATTCTCTTCCATTGGTCTATGTGTCCATTTTTATGCCAGTTTCATGCTATTTTGGTTGTTATGGCTTTGTAGTATACTTTGAAATCAAGTAATGTGATGCCTCCAGCTTTGTTCTTTTTGCTCAGAATTGCTTGGGCTATTCTGGGCCTTTTGTGGTTCCATATAAATTTTAGCATTTTTTTCTATTTTTATGAAGAATATTATTAGTATTTCAATAGGGATTGCATTGAGTCTGTAGATCACTTTGGGTAGTATGGATATTTTAACAATATTAATTCTCCCAATCCATGAACATGGGATATATTCCTATTTATTTGTGTCTTCTTCATTAAGTGAAATAAGCCATGCACAGAAAGACACACACTGCATGATCTCAGTCATACATGGAATCTAAAAACATTGATCTTATAGATGTAGAGAATAAAATGGTGGTTACCAGAGGATAGGGTGGTTAGGAGTGGGAGTAGGTGATGGGAAGAAGTTGGTCAAAGGATACATAATTACAGTTATATAGGAGGAAGAAATTTCAAGAAATCTATTGTGCAGCAAGGTTACTATAGGTAACAATATTGTATTTTTGAAAAATGTAAAGACAGTGGATGTTATGTGCTCTTACCACAAAAATAATAATAATAAATTTGTTAATTAGCTAGATCTAACCATGACACAATGTATATGTACTTCAAAACATCATGTTGTACACAATAAAAACATACAATGTTATCTGTCAATTAAAAATTTTTTTTATATAGAGCCAACAGATTTCAAGTTTGGACGTTGGTTCAAAGCTTTCTCCTTTCATATGGAATTGCTTTGTTTCAAGGAAATAGAAGTTTCAAAACAGCAGGCAGATGGATGTACAGAAGTATGCAAGGTGAAGAGGACTGAGAGGAGCTGGCAGAGGGAGGAAGAAGTAGGCGGGGAATATTCTAACTAATTCAGATAGCATCCCTACAAGCCCCAGCAGAATAGCACAACAAAGCTGATTTCCCAGCATGTTAATTTCCCAAAGACTTCTCTATTAGCCAGCCCTCTGCACATCAACAACATATGGGGACCTGGAGTTCTACCTATGGCTCAGGAACTCTTTAAGGTCTTGAAGTACCTCCCTAAATTACCAAAGAAAGACAAAATTATGTTCAAATTGATACAACATTATAATTATATTTTGCTTTATATTTACTCTTTGAAAATCACAAATCCCTATAAAGTGAATAGGGAAGCACTCTGTTAAACTAGACTATTTGATGAATCAAGGTACTCCATTCCCAACTGTGCATAAAACTGAAAGTTTGAAGGATTGTAGACATTTGTAACTCCATCTTGCAACCAGAGAAAAAGAATCAAATGAAGATCAGCAGCTCACACTTCACAAATGAATATCATAGCTCCAAATAGGGCTCCCAGGGCAAATCATTCATCACTTTCTTGATTCTCAATCACAGCCACACTCCTGAGTTCATCTTGAAAAGACACCCTAAGGTTTTAGACATGGAAACCAAAACACGCAGACATTTCTTCTTTTCACTATAGTCTCACTTTATTTCACATTCATCTTTTGCCTCTAAACTGTACAAAAAAACCACTTCATCTTTTTTTGTGGTGCTTTTGGGTCTGGCTATCAAACTGGTTCTGTGGCGGAATGCCAAATTAAATACACTCTTTTTTATTATTAAAAATAAGGTAGCTGAGGATTAGTTCATCAAAATTCTCGGGTAATGGACTGTTCTAATTAAAAGAATATTCTGATAAACTGGGTTTAGCTGCAACTACAAGAATGTTGAAACAACGTATCTAGTTTGGTCTACTTTTGGCATATTTTCTGAAATGTCTGGTTTCATGTCCCACCTTAAAAATATGATTGAATCTTCGGTACTTGAGGCTCTTTCAGGGTTTTAGAGTTATTATTTTGAACATCTATTTTTAATGTCCAGAGTTAGAAATGAATATAGATAAAACTATACATGAGCTGAGTTCTGGACATAGCTTTGGTGAAATTTCCAATGTGAGAGGTTTATTGTGTATTGCCTCTTTTAAGTCAAGGACAACGGAAGAGGACAATTATGCTAACTGAAGTTTCTGGCTAAACAAAATTTAATGTAACAATACATTCAACTTTTCCATACATTTTCACACCTGGATTCACTTGATCTTCATTATACTCTCGGGAGACTGACTCTTCATTTTATAAGCTGAAACCTAGAGATGCTAAGTGACTTACTCAAGGCCGAGATTATCAAGTTTTTGAAGTCCCAGTCTAGTGTTCTTTTCAGCACATGCAATATCCATGTCAATTCTAGTTTTACTATATTTGTATTGACTTCCTCCCAAGCAGGCCACACTGAGCTCAGCTAATCTCAACACAGTAGGAGTAATATATGAATATATACTCAAACTTTAGTAGCACTCAGAATAGCTTAGGTGAAAGTCATGGCTAAGATAATGACAGCTGCCAGAAGAGTGTCCTTAAGCACTCCAGTTGAGAGCTATTTATTTTGCATAATATGATCTTGGCATACTAAATGTTCATTTGCATCCTCACATTGAGGACACTTTACTTGTCTATGGCATCATTGTCTGTGGAAATAAATTTTCTTCAGAAGGTTTTAGTGTCTCTAACAATAACTGCTGGACTTCTGAGTGGCCAAAGAATTCTAGTATTTGAAAAGAAGGGAGAATGTGTGTTCTTAGATTGCTTGTATGTCTTTTAAGAAATAAAAAGAAATTATCTCTGTTGATCTTTATAGTAATTTTATGAAGTTGGTACTGCAGGTGTCATGATTCCGTTTTACAGAAGTGATTCCTGAGATTAAACAAGCTTGTCATGGTACCTTAAACCTAGCCACACATTCCTTTTCCTATGGTGCTTACTAAAGCTCACTTATCATCAGAATGCCCTAGGAGCATGTTACAAATACATATAGCCTTCCCAGCTCCTTCCCTGACATCCTGAAAATTGCCTGCTCCACCAACTTCATAAGATGACTATCAAGATCAACTGATAAAATTTTAATTTTCTTACTGAAAATGAAGGAATTAAGACACTAAAGAATGGCAGCTGCTTAGAGCAATAATTTAATGATTACCTGCTCTGTGATGAACACCACATCCCATGGTGGAGGTTGGATAGGAATAAGGACACACAAGATACATAGGACTCAGAGTGTGGCCTTGGAGAGTTTATAAGGTAGTTGGTTGCCAACTACCTTATAGCAGTAGTTGCAAGAACCAACTCTAGCATGCCTCAGAAATCATCTGGAGGACTTGTTAAAACACCAATTACTGGGCCTCAGCCTCACAGTTTCTGCTTCATTAAGTCTACAGGTGGAACTCTGAGAATCTGCATTTTTAACAAGTTCCCAGGTGATGCCAATGCTGCTAGTACAAAGAACACAATTTGAGAGTCACTAGCTTAGGCATCATTTAAAATTGTATGACTGTCTTGGAGTTAAAAGTGATATTTCAGAATATATGCATGAAAGAAAATTAAAACAAAAGGAAACAATGATCTGTAGTATTATACGGACTACCCTGTGTCCCCCTCCTCTTTCCCTTCACTGCCCTCACAGGGCTACATGTCCATGCACTGCAGTCACAGAAATAAATCTTTCTGATATCTGAAAAACAATCCCATTTTCTTACCACAAATGCACTGGCTGGCACCACTTCAAATGGAAACATTTGCTTCCTTCACTGCCTGGTTTCTCTAGAAATAGGAAAACCCTCTGCTTTAGAGTCCAGAAGGAGGCAGAAGAGAGGACCACCTCTCCCCATCGCCAAAGGCAGCGTTTCTCATACTCCAGTCCTCAGATGAACAGTGGCAGAATCATTCGGTGTCTTTATTAATAACGAAAATTACAGGCTGGGAGCAGTGGCTCATGCTTATAATCCCACCACTTTGGGAGGCCAAGGTGGGCAGATCACTTAAGGCCAGAAGTTTTAGATCAGTCTGGCCAACATGGCGAAACCCTGTCTCTACTAAAAATATAAGAACTAGTTGTGTGTGGTTGCACGTGCCTGTAATCCCAGCTACTGGGGAGACTGAGGCAAGAGAATCGCTTGTACCAGGGAGGTGGAGGTTGCAGTGAGCCGAGATTGCACCACTGCACTTCATCCTGGGTGACAGAGTGAGACAATGTCTCAAAAAATATAATAATGACAGATTAAAAATGAAAACATGGGTGGCTGGCAAGACGGCCAAATAGGAACAGCTCCGGTCTGCAGCTCCCAGTGAGATCAACACAGAAGGCAGGTGATTTCTGCATTTCCAACTGATGTACCCAGCTTACTTCATGGGGACTGGTTAGACAGTGGGTGCAGCCCACGAAAGGCGAGCCAAAGCAGGGTGGGGCATTGCCTCATCCGGGAAGCACAAGGGGTCGGGGAACTCCCTCCCTTAGCCAAGGGAAGCCGTGACAGACTGTGCCATAAGGAATGGTGCACTCTGACCCAGATACTATGCTTTTCCCACAGTCTTCACAATCCATACACCAGGAGATTCCCTCGGGTGCCTATGCCACCAGGGCCCTGGGTTTCAAGCACAAAACTGGGCAGCCATTTGGGCAGACACCGAGCTAGCTGCAGGATTTTTTTTTCATACCCCAGTGGCATCTGGAATGCCAGCGAGACAGAACCATTCACTGCCCTGGAAAGGGGGCTGAAGCCAGAAATCCAAGAGGTCTAGCTCAGCAGACCCCACCCTCATGGAGCCCAGCAAGCTAAGATCCACTGGCTTGAAATTCTCGCTGCCAGCACAGCACTCTGAAGTCGACCTGAGATGCTGGAGCTTGGTGGGGGGAGGGGCGTCCACCATTACCGAGACTTGAGTAGGCGGTTTTCCCCTCACAGTGTAAACAAAGCCACCTGGGAAGTTCAAACTCGGCAGAGCCCACTGCAGCTTGGCAAAGCAGCTGTAACCAGACTCCCTCTCTAGATTCCCCTTCTCTGGGCAGGGCATCTCTGAAAGAAAGGCAGCAGCCCCAGTCAGGAGCTTATAGATAAAACTCCTATCTCTCTGGGACAGAGCACCTGGAGGAAGGGGTGGCTGTGGGCACAGCTTCAGTAGACTTCAGTGTTCCTGCCTGCTGGCTCTGAAGAGAGCAGCAGATCTCCCAGCACAGTGCTGAAGCTCTGCTAAGGGACAGATGGCCTCCTCAAGTGGGTCCCTGACCCCCATGCCTCCTGACTAGGAGACACCTCCCAACAGGGGGCAAAAGACACCTCATACAGGAGAGCTCCAGCTGGCATCTGGCAGGTGGCCCTATGGGACGAATCTTCCACAGGAAGGAACAGGCAGCAATCTTTGCTGTTCTGCAGCCTCTGCTGGTAATAACCAGGCAAACAGGGTCTGGAGTGGACTTCCAGCAAACTCCAGCAGACTGGCAGCAGAGGGGCCTGACTGTTAGAAGGAAAACTAACAAACAGAAAGGAATAGCATCAACATCAACAAAAAGGATGTCCACACAGAAACCCCATCTGAAGGTCACCAACATCAAAGACCAAAGGTAGATAAATCCAAGAAGATAAGAAAAACCGGCACAAAAAGGCTGAAAATTCCAAAAACCAGAATGCCTCTTCAACTCCAAAGGATCACAACTCCTCGCTAGCAAGGGAATAAACCTGGACTGAGAATGAGTTTGAGGAATTGACAGAAGTAGGCTTCAGAGGGTTGGTAATAGCAACCTCCTCCGAGCTAAAGGAGCATGTTTTAACCCAATGCAAGGAAGCTAAGAACCTTCAAAAAAGGTTAGAGGAATTGCTAACCAGAATAACCAGTTTAGAGAAGAACATAAATGACCTGATGGAGCTGAAAAACACAGCACGAGAACTTCATGGAGCATACATAAGAATCATAGCTGAATCGATCAAGCAGAAAAAAAGGATATCAGAGATTGAAGATCCACTTAATGAAATAAAGCGTGAAGACAAGATTAGAGAAAAAAGAATGTAAAGGAACAAACAAAGCCTCCAAGAAATATGGGACTGTGTGAAAAGACTAAACCGGCATTTGATTGGTGTACCTCAAAGTGACAGGGAGAATGGAACCAAGTTGGAAAACACTATTCAGGATACTATCCAGGAGAACTTCCCCAACCTAGCAAGACAGGCCAACATTCAAATTCAGGAAATACAGAGAACACCACAAAGATACTCCTCGAGAAGAGCAACCCCAAGACACATAATCATCAGATTCACCAAGGTTGAAATGAAGGAAAAAATGTTAAGGGCAGCCAGAGAGAAAGGTCGGGTTACCCACAAAGGGAAGCCCATCAGACTAACAGTGGATTTCTCGGCAGAAACCCTACAAGCCAGAAGAGAGTGGGGGCCAATATTCAACATTCTTAAAGAAAAGAATTTTCAGCCCAGAATTTCATATCCAGCCAAACTAAGCTTCATAAGCAAAGAAGAAATAAAATCCTTTACAGACAAGCAAATGCTGAGAGATTTTGTCACTGCCAGTCCTGCCTTACAAGAGCTCCTGAAGGAAGCACTATATACTGAATGGAAAAACCGGTACCAGCCACCGCAAAAACATATAAATTGTAAAGACCATTGACACTATGCAGAAACTGCACCAACCAATGGGCAAAATAACCAGCTGGCATCATAATGACAGGATCAAATTCACACATAACAATATTACCCTTAAATGTAAACAGGATAAATGCCGCAATTAAAAGACACAGACTGGCAAATTGGATCAAGAGTCAAGGCCCATCGGTGTGCTGTATTCAGGAGACCCATCTCACATGCAAAGACACACATAGGCTCAAAATAAAGGGATGGAAAAATACTTTCCAAGCAAATGAAAAGCAAAAAAAAAAAAAAAAAAAAAAAAAGCAGGGGTTGCAGTCCTAGTCTCTGATAAAACAAACTTTAAACCAACAAAGACCAAAAAAGACAAAGAAGGGAATTACATAATGGTAAAGGGATCAATGCAACAAGAAGAGCTAACTATCCTAAATATATTTGCACCCAAGACAGGAGTACCCAGATTCATAAAGCAAGTTCTTAGAGACCTACAAAGAGACTTAGTCTCCCACACAATAACAGTGGGAGATTTTAACACCCCACTGTCAATATTAGACAGATCAACAAGACAGAAAATTAACAAGGATATTCAGGACTTGAACTCAGCTCTGGACCAAGTGGACCTAATAGAAATCTACAGAACTCTCCACCCCAAATCAACAGAATATACATTCTTCTCAGCACCACATCACACTTATTCTAAAACTGACCACATGATTGGAAGTAAAACACTCCTCAGCAAATGCAAAAGAACAGAAATCATAACAAACAGTCTCTCAGACCACAGTGCAATCAAATTAGAACTCAGGATTAAGAAACTCACTCAAAACTGCGCGACTACCTGGAAACTGAACAACCTGCTCCTGAATGACTACTGGGTAAATAACAAAATTAAGGCAGAAATAAATAAGTTCTTTGAAACCAATGAGAACAAAGACAGAATGTACCAGCATCTCTGGGATACAGCTAAAGCAGTGTTTAGAGGGAAATTTACAGCACTAAATGCCCACATCAGAAAGATGGAAAGATCTAAATTCGACACCCTAACATCACAATTAAAAGAACTAGAGAAGCAAGAGCAAACAAATTCAAAACCTAGCAGAAGACAAGAAATAACTAAGATCAGAGCAGAACGAAAGGAGATAGAGACACGAAAAACCCTTCAAAAAATCAGTGAATCCAGGAGCTGCTGTTTTGAAAAGATTAACGAAATAGACCACTAACCAGACTAATAAAGAATAAAAGAGAGAAGAATCAAATAGACACAATAAAAACCGATAAAGGGACATCATCACTGATCCCACAGAAATACAAACTACCATCAGAGAGTACTATAAACACCTCTACGCAAATAAACCAGAAAATCTAGATGAAATGGATAAATTCCTGGACACACACACCCTTCCAAGACTAAACCAGGAAAAAGTCGAATCCCTGAATACACCAATAACAAGTTCCGAAATTGGGGCAATAATTAATAGCCTACCAACCAAAAAGAACCAAGGACCAGACGGATTCGCAGCCAAATTTTACCAGAGATACAAAGAGGAGCTGGTACCATTCCTTCTGAAACTATTCCAAACTACAGAAAAAGAGGGACATCTCCCTAACTTATTTTATGAGGCCAGCATCATCCTGATACCAAAACCTGGGACAGACACAACAAAAAAAGAAAATTTCAGGCCAATATCCCTGATGAACATCGATGCAAAAATCCTCAATAAAATACTGGCAAACCAAATCCAGCAGCACATCAAAAAGCTTATCCACCACGATCAAGTTGGCTTCATCCCTGGGATGCAAAGCTGATTCAACATACGCAAATCAATACACATAATCCATCACATAAACAGAACCAATGACAAAAACCACATGATTATCTCAATAGATGCAGAAAAGGCCTTCGATAAGATTCAGCACCCCTCCATGCTAAAAACTCTCAATAAACTAGGTATTGAAGGAGCATACATCGAAATAATAAGATCTATTTATGACAAACCCACAGCCAGTATCATACAGAATGGGCAAAAGCTGGAAGCATTCCCTTTGAAAAGAGACACAAGACAAGGATGCCATCTCTCACCATTCCTATTCAACATAGTATTGGAAGTTCCGGCCAGGGCAATCAGGCAAGAGAAAGAAATAAAGGGTATTCATATAGGAAGACAGGAAGTCAAATTGTCTCTGTTTGCAGATGACATGATTGTATATTTAGAAAACCCCATCGTCTCAGCCCAAAATCTCCTTAAGCTGATAAGCAACTTCAGCAAAGTCTCAGGATACAAAATCAATGTGCAAAAATTACAAGCATTCCTATACACCAATAATAGACAAACAGAGAGCCAATTCATGAGTAAACTCCCATTCACAATTGCTACAAACAGGATATAATACCTAAGAATACAACTTACAAGGGATGTGAAAGACCTCCTCAGGGACAACTACAAACCACTGATCAAGGAAATAAGAGAGGACACAAACAAATAGAAAAACATTCCATGCTCATGGATAGAAAGAATCAATATCGTGAAAATGGCCATATTGCCCAAAGTAATTTATAGATTTAATGCTATCCCCATCAAGCTACCATTGACTTTCTTCACAGAATTAGAAAAAACTACTTTAAATTTCATAAGGGACCAAAAAAGAGCCCATATAGCCAAGACAATACTAAGCAAAAAGAACAAAGCTGGAGGCATCACGCTACCTGACTTCAAACTTTACTACAAGGCTGCAGTAACCAAAACAGCATGGTACTGGTACTAAAACAGATATATAGACCAATGGAACAGAACAGAGGCCTCAGAAATAATGCCACACATCTACAACCATCTGATCTTTGACAAACCTGAGAAAAACAAGCAATGGGGAAAGGATTCCCTATTTAATAAATGGTGTTGGGAAAACTGGCTAGCATTATGCAGAAAACTGAAACTGGACCCCTTCCTTACACCTTATAAAAAAATTAACTCAAGATGGATCATAGACTTAAATGTAAGACCTAAAACCATCAAAACCCTAGAAGAAAACCTAGGCAATACCATTCAGGACATAGGCATGGGCAAAGACTTCATGACTAAAACACCAAAAGCAATGGCAACAAAAGCCAGAATTGACAAATGGGATCTAATTAAACTAAAGAGCTTCTGCACAGCAAAAGAAACTATCATCGAGTGAACAAGCAACCTACAGAATGGGAGAAAATCTTTGCAATCTATCCATCTGACAAAGGGCTAATATCCAGAATCTACAAGGAACTTAAACAAACTTACAGGAAAAAAAACAAATTACCCCATCTAAAAGTGGGCAAAGGATATGAACAGACACTTATCAAAAGAAGACATTTACGTGGCCAACAAACATATGAAAAAAAAAGCTCATCACTACTGGTTATTAGAGAAATGCAAATCAAAACCACAATGAGATACCATCTCAAGCCAGTTAAAATGGCGATCATTAAAAAGTCAGGAAACAACAGATGCTGGAGAGGATGTGGAGAAATAGGAATGCTTTTACACTGTTGGTGGGAGTGCAAATTAGTTCAACCATTGTGGATGACAGTATGATGACTCCTCAAGGATCTAGAACCAGAAATACCATTTGACCCAGCAATCGCATTACTGGGTATACACCCAAAGGATTATAAATTATTCTACTATAAAGACACATGCACACGTATGTTTATTGCAGCACTATTCACAATAGCAAAGACTTGGAACCCACCCAAATGCCCATCAATGATAGACTGGATAAAGAAAATGTGGCACATATACACCATGGAATACTATGCAGCCATAAAAAAGAATGACTTCATGTCCTTTTCAGGGACAAGGATGAAGCTGGAAACCATCATTCTCAGCAAACTGATGCAGGAACAGAAAACCAAACACTGCATTTTCTCACTCACAAGTGGGAGTTGAACAATGAGAACACATGGACACAGAAAGGGGAACATCACACGCTGGGGCCTTTCAGGGTCTGGGGCACTAGGGGAGGGATAGCATTAGGAGAAATACATAATGTAGATGATGAGTTGATGAGTGCAGCAAATCACCATGGCACGTGTATACCTATGTAACAAACCTGCACGTTCTGCTCATGTATCCCAGAACTTAAAGTATAATTTAAAAAAAATATATATATATATATAAAGATAAAGATAATAATAAATAACGGAAATTGCAGTGACCCACTACAGACCAAGTGAATCAGAATTTCTAGAAGTGAGACCTGGGAATCTGGAATCTTAAGTGCCTTGAGTCATTGGGCTTTTCTGAGGCACAGTGAAATTGGAGAATCCCTATTAAAAGAATTTTCCCAATATTCGGTTTGGATAAGGACACTAAAAAGTCTGATTTCTCCTAACTGACCACCACTTCCCCTTTCCTGCGTCTTCATGTCCCTTGAGAAACCTTGTGAGACTGGAAGAGACACAAGGCTCCTCCCTCCTTCACCCTTACACATGACCACCCTCCACCCCCCCAACCAAGACATGTAAATCCATTTGGACTGAGACATTTCTGAGGTTGCTAAAGTACCCACCCTAGTCCCTGCCAAATTCCACCCAGTGAGGAAAACATTCCTTTATTTTTTAATGCACTTTTTATAATTTTTTTATCTTCTCTGTTCTAAAATGTTTCTCTCTCCTGCTTCTTTATGATATATTCTGGAGATATTTCAAAGCCATTTATACTTCATACTGATATTGGTGTTTTCACTGTTCTGTGAAATGCCATAGTTTATATTGAAATGATGCATTAAGATATAGGAGAAAAAGAGACATTGAGAGAGGAAAAAAATGGTGAGGAAAATAACCGAGAGCAACATTATGAGAAAGATGAACAGACCCAAGGGTTGGAACTCTCCCTCCTATAGCACTAAAATATTATCAATTCATTACTTGGCATGCACCTCTTCTTTCTAGGGTGGGGAAGACTTTGGAAGTTAGGGGATGAAATGCAATTCTTTCACCTGCTTTACCAGCTATGGGTCTGCCCGAGTTTTTGCTTTTTGGTTTATTGTCAAGTTACAGCAAATATATATTTTGTGTCTTCTGGGCTAGTCACTATATAACTTACAGTTTTTCATTGTGAGCTTCTCAATACAATTCCACACAGAGTAGATTAACTAATGAAGGTCAGAAAACACTATGGAGATATAGGTTGCTAGGACACAGAACCAAACAGATGAGTCCTCTATATGGGAGGGGGCACCCAACATGTGCAATTCACTAATGCTCAGTTTTAATTGGCTTCTAAATTCTGTTTCTCTTGCTCCCTCTCCTCAAAGGACTGTGTGTGTGTGTGTGTGTGTGTGTGTGTGTGTGTGTGTGTGTAAGGGTATATGTATAAAAAAATTATTTGCATTAGACATCATAATCATGTTCTCAATTTATATAGCACAATAACTTTTACATTTCTGCAGAGGATCTTATCCAATGCTCTTTTTCGCATTACTTTTCAGGATCATGCAAATATTACTGAGAATTTGAATAAAATCTGTGAAAGTAATAAAAAGTCATCCCTACAATAATTCCAAATGGAGCCAGACCTTTTGAAGGTGGCCACTTATAAGGTGGGGTTAATGAGCATCCAAAGTCTTTCTCTGACCCAAAATGTGTCCCTTGATTTCCCTGCCACAGCTATCAAAATCCATTTGTTACAATGGAGGGGGGTCACCCTTTGAGGCTAACACAGTGGAGAACTCTGCTATAAGTTAAAGCTTTAACACACAGGCATTTATTCAATTAGCTTCTATCACTTCACAAGGCCCTGAGGGAAACAGGACACAGAACAGATTAAGCTTTATTGGTTTTAATAGTGGTAGTGAATGGAGATCAGGAAAGACCTGAAACTGGGCACACTGGCATAGCAGGCTGACCTGGACAAAGCACCCTACTGAGGAGAACTGAATAGCCAGGAACTGAAAAGCCTTGAAGGTGCTGGAAGCCTGGTAGTAGGTAGATATGTATCTATTAAGATAACAAGGCTGCAAGTAGCAAATCTTGACTATCTGTGCTTTAAATAAGTAGTAAAAGCCTTCAAGCAGGTAGTTGTAGGCATTGTTTCTGCTGCTTAAGAATACCATCAAATGGCAACAACAGACACCGGGAACTACTACTGAGAGAGGGAGAGAAGAAGGCAAGAGTTGAAAAACTGTTGGGTGCTATGCTCAGTACCTGGGTGGCCAAAGCAATCATACCCCAAGCTTCAGCATCACACAATATACAAACCTGCACATGTACCCCTGAATCTCAAATAAAAGTTGAAATTATTTTTAAAAAAAGAAAAGAAAAAAAGTACAATTTTTAAGAGAAAGTATAAAAGAATAACATCAAAGACCTAAGCTCTTCCTTTTTGCTTCTCCATCCTTATCACCTGGCTTTCACCTATATGCTTGTTTCCCATTCACATCTCGTTTGCCAGAACTATATTGCATGGCCCGCCTCCTCAATATCAGTTGCAAGGGAGCCTGGGAAACAAAGTATCTAGCTGGGCACATTGCCACCTTAAACAAAACCAGGATTGTGTTAGCAAAGAAGGAGGAAATAGATATTGGGTAGGCAACAAACGATGCCTGCCAAAGACCAAAGGAGAGCTCTGGCTGCCCTTAGATCAACCATATTCACTGGGCACCTACTAGGTGCCAAACACTGTACCATGTGCTTGGAGATCTGACTTTTGCCTCAGGCTAACCAGAATTCAGAGAATGAAGCTACTCCAGAGGGATAAATTACCAAAACTAGCATCTAGCTGTGTGTCAAGTTTTATTTTTTTTTCCTAGCCACCAAGCTGCACTGAGCTTTGAGAACATAATTTCATCTAATCTTTCAAATTATTTGGGGCAGAGATTCAAACATCAGCTAACCCGCTCAATATAGGGACCATCACAAAGAAAGGTCTTTGAATTTTAGCTATCAGGATCATTTTTAAAAACTGTGCATCAGAGTTATTTTATGCATGCAAATCTCTTTCTGCTTTTTAATTGGATTTGTGCCTGGATGTACTACAAATTGCTTTTAAAGATGGGCTGCAGAATAGGTTCCAGCTATGGACACCAATACAATGGCATAGGCAGGTACTTTTGGTGTCACCTCACCTCCACACCTTTATTTCCACACAGTCTCCAATCTCATCCTACTTGCTGACTAGTCGGTACAAAGGACTTCTTCTAACCTAAAAACAACCTTTGAAGACCTCCCCCCACCCCACACCCCAAAAAAGCAAATGCAAAATCATTAAGAGCTCCAGAATGATTTTTACTAAGGAATTTTTCCTGGGGATTCTCTCTCCAAGGAAAGATAAATAAACGGCTCTCACAAAAGAACGAGTCTTTGCTGCTTTGATGTGAATGAGGCCAACCAGAAAATCCCTGCAGCTTAAAACCTAAGCTCAGTAACACTTTGTTTTTAGTAAAGTCAGAATGGAAAAAGACTTTGGGGAAGTCAAGAAGTGGCCAGTAGGATTACATGGCATAGACTCTTCAAAATCCAACTTTCTGCAGGCTGGTAGCAGTGGAATACAAAACTGTCTACCAAATGTGATTTGAGAAGAAAATTCATGCCCACAGATTTCTTTTTACCTTGGACGATCATGGCGAAAGTCCAAGTCCCTTAGGGCTTTCTGGTAACAGGTGCACTCCATTTCTAGGGAAGGATAATATGTTATCTGGGATTAGTTTATCTGGTTGGCCTATTGTCACCCAGAAGAGATCAGAGCCCTAAGGGTATGGTACCTTCTGGTGTTTTTAAATTTTGAGAAATAGGAAAGGGATGGTTTATAATTTAGAATCCAAGCAGAACTCAGTGAGGTGCACCAGAAGGAACTTCAAGATAGACACGGAAGAGTAGGTGGCCACTAGACCCCTGGGAAGAGAGTGAACCAAAGAGAAGTAGGAGAGCGGCAGGGCTCTGGAATGAGTCAATCATGACACCTATCTATGCCAAGCTTATGTTGGAATCAAAAGAGTATACTGAAGTGGGATATTTAGACCCATTTCTTAAATGATGCAGAGTGTTACAAAGCACCCAGTATAGTGTCTTACAGACACTCATAGAAAATATATAATAAATCCTAACCACGAAACATTTCATAAAGTAGAAGGTTTGAGGAAGGATAAGGTTGATAGAAAGGCAGCACCTTAGTGAAATAAATGAAAGTGTTCATTGATACTCCTGTACCATCCACTGCATCCCCTGTGCTTTTGCTTGCCCATACCTGATATAAAATCCCACCCAACATAACATCTCTATATATGAGTCATTAGAATTCATGGGTGGGGAGGGTAGTAATAATTTATGGAGTAGAAGAAAGGGACTAGGTGGGGAAGGGACAGTAGGAAGGAGAATAAAAGAAGCAGTTGAGGGTAGAAGCAAAACGGAGAATGGCTGTGAAAGTGCAAAGCGAAAATACAGGAAGAAGACACTGGATATTAACATAATAACAACAATAATAGTAAAAGTTATATAAGGCTTACTATGTGCCAAGTCCTGTTGGAAGCACCTCACGTACATTAACTCACTCTTCACAATAATCCCATGAAGTAGATTTATTATTATCTTCCAATTTTATAGATTAAGACATTGAGGCATAGAGTTTAAGTCAAAATAATGATACTTATAAAGCAGAGACAAGGGATAAAGAAAGAGACTGAATTCTGACATCATTTGCTCTCCAGATTTTTCAATTAAGCCAATAATGTCTTTCTTTCAAGTCAATTTAAGTCAGGTTTCTGTCCCTTGCAACAAAGAGTCCTTGCTAATAAAAAAAAAAAATCTATTGGCTGTTTATCATGGACAAAGTACTGGGCTAAGTGTTTTTATATACTTTTTAAATTTAATCCTGATGACTCAATGAGTTTGGTACTGTTATTATTATCCCTATTTTGAAGATGAAGAAACTGAGGCACAGAGATATTAAATAACTTACCCAGAGTCATGCAGCTAATAGGTAGCAGAACTGAGAGGTAAACTCCTGCAGTTTGACTTCACACTCTGTGCTTATCACAACCATACTAATCTTTGATGTGCACACAAATAGGCAGATAAAGGAAGAGCATGTCACTAGCCAGTAGTGAATAATGGAAACTGAAGGCCACTTCATTCCAACTGTTCCTTTTAAAGAGTAACCTGATAAAGTTATAGCCACCCATTCAAATTTCCAAGAAATCAGGTCCTATGCAGGTGAACATTTGTTTGGAGTCTCCTGACTCTTGGGAAACCATTATTTTTGATGGTATGTAGCCTTGACTCTCCAGTGAGGAGTCACTTAGCACTAATAGAAACTAGCTCTAGGATTTTATGTCCCCAAAAGAGACTCCCTTTCAAACAGGAAAAGGAAGAAGTTATGGTGAAGCTATCTCTGTGGGTACGGCTGGGAATACTTCTTAGAACAGGAAACCAGTAGCATCACACCCTGGAAACCACCATACCAAGATTCACAAAGCTAGCATCAACTGAGCAAAGCCTTCTTCCATTTCTTACGTGCCTACAGCCTCTCCATATAATCAAAGCTTGCATCCTTAATGGCTTTCAGTCAATCCCTATGAGCATTCCTTCTTCCACAAGTGTACTACAATTAGTTGCTGTAGCTTTACTGCAGAAGGAACTATGTATATGTTTTTAATTTTTTGTTGTTTTATTTTTAATGTATACAAATGCCTATCTGCTAGCGATAACTATTGGCCAAAGAATAATAGTCTATTCAACTGGGATTCAAACAGTTAAAGATTACAAATGGCTTTCATTGTTTTATAACTATTAGAAGGCTCCCCTGATAATTCCTTGCTGATTTATATCTTGGTCTCTATTTCTGCATAGTCACCATAAAAATGCTGTGTTAAATAATTTCATATTAAAAAACAAAACCAGGATTTAATCGTCACTTAAGAGGCAAACGATAATTTTTATCAGCCTTTGCGAATGGGCCTTGTTTCTCCTTCATTACATGTCTATAAATGTTTGCTAGTTCTTAGAAGTTAAATGACTAGAAGGATAGAAGAGACGTGAATTTTTAAAAATCAGTCACTGTTTTTAGCTCCATTCTAAAATACATCCTGCATGACACAGTAGATCTTCTCCATGAGACTAGTTAATAACAAGCATTCTGCATATTTTATAATTATGTGCACTACCAGCAGAGTGCCATTGGATTTATTGCACATTTGAGCCCCCAGAATCAGAGTCGTGCTTCACACTACCTATCATAACAAATGGCATGGAGGGGTTCTTTATGTTACAGGTTACTGAGTTGGATATTTAAATAGCACATTCGGAAGTGTTCTGAGTTATGGTCACCCTGCAAGAAAGGCACCATCCAAAGTACACTATGATTTAAGTGTCATGGCCCATGCTGGAGCTAGCAGCTAGCTGACTCAGAATTGGGATCTATAAAAAAGGAAATGAATAAAACCCTAGTTGATTAGGAGCAGATTGATCAGAAACATCTATTGTTTCTGATTGGGTTTTTGGCACACTCCAATTTTTAGATGTAAGAGGCAAGAAACACAGACATACATAGGTCATATTACTTCTTTTTTTCAGTAGATAGTCCAATTGCCTATACCTCTTTTCTATCTCCATCCTTTAAAATGTTGGAATGTATCACTAAGTGATATGTGTGTAGAAACCCCTTCTTTCTCTGGCATAAAAGGTATTCCACACATGGAGCAGTATTTCTCTCACTCCCACCTTAGAATGAAGGGAGAATGACCTTTGTTTTTCCATCATATACATAGAAAGTTTGAAGAATTTTTTATTTCAATGTGTGCAAAATAATTACTGATGCAACCTTGACTGTTTATACCACTTTTACTCATCAACCTATTATCCTCAGATAATGTCTTTGGATATGAACACTAACACTGGTACAATTAACTCTACATTGGTATGCTTGGAGTGGTGACATAACTTATCCTAGGTCCCACAACAAGGTCGATATAAAGGACAGACTAGATTACAGGTCTCTTGACTTCTGGCCGAATGTTCTTACTACTGAATGGTGTTATCTGCAACCTGTACTGCCCTTGGTTAATTTACTTTGAGAAACATATGCAAAAAAAAGTCTAGGATGTTGTTTTCTTACCCTATGCTCATGAATCAAACTTGTTCTTCTTCCCCCTCCTGTTACCAGCACCCTCCCCAATTCCCACCCCAACCTCCACATATCATTTAAAAGCCTGTGTTTCCTTCTACTATTCAAGAGACTGGAACATCCAGATCATCTAACTATGACTTGAGATAAATCACGCTATGTTCCCTCAGAAATTACTTTGACACAAACAATTACTCCAATAATATACGGTGGAAAATAGTGTTAAGTACAATCAGCAAATCTAAATGGCAGTAATTGGCATTACTAATTCTTGCACACAAATAAATAATTATACTACTTTCCTTCCAAATTTCAATTTGGACATGCAAAGTCCACTTAGTTCACTGGAGCAGAAAATGGAAGCCTTTACCAAAGTTGACAGTCCACATGATAATGTGTAGCCTATACCTTAAACTCATCTTTATATTGTTCACAGTAACTGTTAGCATGAGGCTTTGCATGTAGCAGGGTTTTAAATAAAGCCTTGTTAAATGAATGGTTGTTCATGACCAGTCTCTAATTTCCATATTATTTTTTATCCCATGAGAATAAAATGCTCGATTTCACTTTGTATTGTGGTATATAATAGAAGTTCTTATATAACTTAGTTTATTAAATATATTCAAGCATGCCTCTCCCAAAGCATACCAATTATGGAGAAGACCCTAAAGACACTACCCTATAGCCTTGCTACTTAAAGTGTGGTCCATAGACCAGAAGCATCAGCATCAACTGGGAGCTTGTCAGAATTTCAGGCCCCATCCCAGACCTATGGAATCAGAATCCACATTTACAAGATTCTCATGTGATTCCCGTGCATGTTAAAGCTTGACAAGTTCTGTGCCA
This sequence comes from Homo sapiens, assembly GCF_000001405.40. Taxonomy (NCBI): domain Eukaryota; kingdom Metazoa; phylum Chordata; class Mammalia; order Primates; family Hominidae; genus Homo; species Homo sapiens. Next base: position 123,297,231 of record NC_000023.11, read on the forward strand.
TGGGAACAGTTGTTAATCCTGTCACCTGACTCCAATCGTCACACTGCACATTCCAGTCTATAAAACCTCTTGAACCCCTATGGGTTTATTAGGCACTAGATAGAATACAGACAAAGGAAAAGACATAGCTTTTAGCAAGGACAATATATAATCTAGCTCTAATTCATGTGGTTTACATTGCAGTAATGCAATCATAGGGAAGATCAGGTAGATTGGGTTGTTCAGGGAAGGCTTATTGGAAATGGAATAATTTACTAATCAGTACTTTTGGAAGTGGGGAAAAGTGGTAACAATAGCTAATGTTTGTCTAGTGCTTACTATCTGCAAAGGCCTCAGGTTACACTTTTTCATTTATCATCCCATTTAATCCTCACATTAATTCGATGAGTTAGGTTTAGTGTAGTGGCAAAGTGCGTAGGCTCTAAAGTAAAATGGTCTGAGTTTGAATCCTACCTTTGCTACTTACTAGCTGTGAGATCTTGGAAAATATTTTTTTTAACTTTTATTTTATGTTCGGGGGTACATGTGCAGGTTTGTTACATAGATAAACTTATGTCATAGGGGTTTGTTGTACAGATTATTTCCTCACCCAGATATTAAGCCTAGTACCCATTAGTTATTTTTCCTGGTCCTCTCCCTTCTCCCACCCTCCACCCTCTGAGAGGCCCCCGTATGTGTTTTTCCCCTCTATGTGCCTGTGTGTTCTCATCATTTAGCTCCCACTTATAAATAAGAACATGCGGTATTTGTTTTTCTGTTCCTGTGTTAGTTTGCTAAGGATAATGGCCTCCAGCTCCATCAATGTCTCCTCAAAGGACACGATTTTTTTTATGCTGTTCTTTTTTATGCTGCATAGTATTGCATGGTGTATATTATGACATTTTCTTTATCCAATCTCTCTTTGATGGGCATTTAGGCTGATTCCATGTCTCTGCTATTGTGAATATGCTGCAATGAACAGTCACATGCATGTGTCTTTATGGTAGAAGGATTTACATTCCTCTGGGTATATGCCCAGTAATGGGATTGTTGGGTCAAATTACAGTTCTGCTTTTAGGTCTCTGAGGAATCAAAACACTGTCTTCCACAATGGTTGAGCTAATTTACACTCCCAGCAAGGGTATATAAGGGTACCATTTTCTCCACAACCTCACCAGCATCTGTTATTTTTTGACTTTCTAATAATAGCCATTCTGACTGTTGTGGCATGGTATCTCATTGTGATTTTCATTTACATTTCTCTAATGATCAGTGATGTTGAGCTTTTTTCATATGATTATTGACTGCATGTATGTCTTCTTTTGAAAAGTGTCTATTCATGTCCTTTTGCCCACTTTTTAATGGGGTCGTTTGCTTTTTCTTGTAAATTGGTTTAAGTTCCTTATAGATGCTATATATTATACCTTTATCAGACTCATAGTTTGCAAAAATTTTTTCCCATTGTGTAGGTTGTCTATTTATACTGTTGATAGTTTATTTTGTTATGCAGAAGCTCTTTAGTTTAATTAGATACCATTTGTCAATTTTTGCTTTTGTTGCAGTTGCTTTTGGTGTCTTCCTCATGAAATCTTTGCCCATGCCTATGTTCTGAATGCTATTTCCCTGGTTGTCTTCCAGGGTTTTTATAGTTTTGGGTTTTATATTTAAGTCTTTTTTTCATCTTGAGTTAATTTTTTTTATGGTGTAAGGAGTCCAGTTTCAATCTTCTGCATATGGCTAGTCAGCTTTCCCAGTACTGTTCATTGAATAGGGAATTTTTCTCCATTGCTTGTTTTTGTCAGGTTTGTCGAAGATCAGATAGTTGTAGGTGTATGGTCTCATTTCTGGGTTGTCTATTCTGTTCCATTGGTCAATGTGTCTATTTTTTTGCACCAGTACCATGCTGTTTTGGTTACTTTAGCCTTGTACTATAGTATGAAGTTAGACAGCATGATGCCTCCAGCTTTGTTCTTCTTGTTTAGGATTGCTTGGCTATTCAGGCTCTTTTTGTGGTTCCATATGAATTTTAAAATACTTTTTTATAGTTTTGTGAAGAAACTCCATGGTAGTTTAATAGGAATAGCATTGAGTCTATAAATTGCTTTGGGCAGTATGGCCATTTTCACGATATTGATTCTTCCTATCCATGAGTATGGAATGTTTTTCCATTTGTTTGTGTCATCTCTGATTTCTTTGAGCAGTGGTTTGTAGTTCTCCTTGTAGAGATCTTTTGGCTCCCTAGTTAGCTGTATTCCTAGGTATTTTATTCTTTCTGTGGCAATTGTGAATGGGAGTTTGTTCCTAATTTAGCTCTAGGCTTGACTGTTGTTTGTGTATAGGAATGCTAGTAATTTTTGCACATGGATTTTGTATCCTGAGACTTTGCTGAAGTTGCTTATCAGCTTAAGAAGCTTTGGGGCTGAGACTATGGAATTTTCTAGATATAGGATCATGTCATCTGCCAACAGGGATAGTTTGACTTCCTCTCTTCCTATTTGGATGCCCTTTATTTATTTCTCTTGCCTGATTGCCCTGGCCAGAACTTCCAATACTATGCTGAATAGGAGTGGTGAGAGAAGGCATCCTTGTCTTGTGCTGATTTTCAAGGGGGAATGCTTCTCACTTTTTCCCATTCAGTATGACATTGGCTGTGGGTTTGTCATATATGACTTACTATTTTGAGGTATGCTCCTTCAATACCTAGTTTATTTAGAGTTTTTTAACATAAACAGATGTTGAATTTTATCAAAAGCATTTTCTGCATATATTAAGGTAATCATGGTTTTTGTCTTTAATTCTGTTTATCTGATGAATCACATTTATTGATTTGTGTATGTTGAACCAATCTTGCATCCCAGGGATAAAGCCAACTTGATCATGATGGATTAGTTTTTGGATGTGCTGCTGGATTCGGTTTGCTAGTATTTTGTTGAGGATTTTGCACGTATGTTCATCTGGGATATTGGCCTGAAGTTTTCTTTTATTGTTGTGTCGTTACCAGGATTTGGTACCAGGATGATGCTGGCCTCATAGAATGAGTTAGGGAGGAGACCCTCCTCCTCAATTTTTTAGAATAGTTTCAGTTGGAATGGTTCCAGCTCTTCTTTGTACATGTGGTAGAATTCAGCTGTGAATCTGTCTGGTCCTGGGCTTTTTTTTTTTTTTTTTTTTTTTTTTTGGTTGGTAGGCTACTTACTACTGCCTCAATTTCAGAGCTCATTATTGATCTTTTCAGGGATTTAATTTCTCCATGGTTCAGTCTTGGGAGGGTGTATGTATCTAGGAATTTATGCATTTCTGACTGTTTATTTGAATTTTCTCTCTTTTCTTATTAGTCTAGCTAATGGTCTATCTATTTTATTAATTTCTTTTCAAAAATCCAGCTCCGGGATTCATTGATTTTTTAATGGTTTTTTGTTTGTTTGTTTGTTTGTTTGTTTGTTTTTTGTATCTCGACCTCCTTCAGTTCAGCTCTGCTTTTGGTTCTTGTGTTCTGCTAGCTTTGGTATTTGTTTGCTTCTGGCTCATTGGTTTTTTTAGCTGTGATGTTAGGTTGTTAATTTGAGATCTTTCTAACTTTTCGAGATGGGCATTTAGTGCTATAAATTTCGCTCTAACACTGCCTTAGCTGTGTCTCAGAGATTCTGATATGTTGTATCTTTGTTCTCATTAGTTTTCAAAAAACTTCTTGATTTTTGCCTTAAGTTCATTATTTATCCAAAAGTCATTCAGGAGCAGGTTATTCAATTTCCATGTAATTGTATGGTTTTGAATGAATTTCTTAGTCTTCATTTGTAATTTGATCGTGCTGTGGTCCCAGAGACTGTTTGTTACAATTTCAGTTCTTTTGCATTTGCTGAGAAGTGCTTTACTTCTGATCACGTGGTCAATTTTAGAGTATGTGCCATGTGCCAATGGGAGGAATATATATTCTGTTGTTTTTGGGTAGAGAGTTCTGTAGATATCTATCAGGTCCGTTTGGTCCAGTGTTGAGTTCAAGTCCTGAATATCTTTGTTAATTTTCTGTCTCAACAATCTGTCTAATCCTGTCAGTGGGGTGTTGAAGTATCCCACTATTATTGTCTGGGAGTCTAAATCTCTTTGAAGGTCTCTAAGAACTTGCTTTTTGAATCTTGGTGCTCCTGTATTAGGCGCACATATGTTTAGGATACTTAGATCTTGTTGAATTGAACCCTTTACTGTTATGGAAAGACCTTCTTGGACAAGATATTTAAACTCTCTATGCCTTAGTTTCCTAATCTATAGAATGGAGATAATAGCAGCACCTACCTCTAGTACCCATTAGAATTAAAGGAGTTAATATGTATGAAACACTTAGAGCAATGCCCATCACATAGTAACCATCCAATAAATGTCAGATGCTACTATTTTCATTTTATATGTGGAGAAACTGATGCACAGAGAAGTTGAATAACTTTTTCAAAGTCACACAGCTAGTAAGTGGTGGAGCTAGAACTTAAATGTTGCTTTGTGTGACTACAGAGCTCACACTTTCAACTCTTTATTACATAATTTAAAATGTTCCTGAAGAGGGAGAAGGAGAAAACTGTTCTAAATCCAAACTTTTCCAATGATTATGAGCCCAATCCTCCTGTGGAAGCTGGGCCCACACAAGTATTAGGCAATAAGCTGACAATATTTGAGATAGTGTCTTCATATAAGATTCCAAGCAGATTTCACTATTTGCAACAAAATTCATCAAAACTTTAAATTGTTTTCCCAGCAGTGGCTATGGCTTTGCCCAGTAATTTATAATCTTCTGCCTGGATAACTTCGTGACCAGACAAAAGTAAGGGATACAGGCTGCACAAGGCCTAGAATAAACGTATCTGGCCCTCATGAGCCTGGTATTTAAGAAATGGTGTTTCTGTGCAAAGCACACCTTTAAAAGACAGACTGAACACCTTCTGAATAGCCTGGAATCGGATCTTAGACATAGAATCAGATGTCACTGGATTAGAGGGTAGTTTTTGGTTCTTTCTAAATTCTGGGTCTTATTCAGATGAGATTAATTCTGTGTCAAAATCTTGGCTAAGATCTCTTCTGTATGACCTTGAGTCAGTCAGTATCCTTCTCTGGACCTCAGTTTCCAATATATGTAAAATAAGACTAATGGGATGGTCTCTACATGTCTTTCCAATTCCAATATAGTCTTTACAGTTTTGAAAGTGTGTTTTATCCACACCACTTCTCTCCTCCCTGGTCTTTAGTGATGTGGAAAGAGCATAGGCTTTGGAATCAGATAGACATAGGGTTACCTCCTTGCCCCCAGGACTTAGAAGCTGGGTGACCTTGGTCAAAATATGCCTCTCTCTGGATCTCGATTCTCTCCTAGAGATAGTAATACTCCCACCTCACAGGGTTACCAGGAATTGTATGTAGTAGAAGGCATGCAATTTACTAATAAATATCTCTCCCTGAATTTCTGAGGATCATTATATGGGTCTATTACTCTATCGTCTACACAGAACCACTTTTGTATGCTTAGAGAAGTCAAGGGTAACATTGGCCTGTGTGATCTTCTAATACTGAAACCTTTCCCTATAAGCCAGAAAGATCCATTGAGGAGTTTTAATATCTTGATAAGGTCAGAGAAGGGCCAAGGAAGAGCTATTGTAATGGTCATGGCGTACCCCTTAGCAATTCTATCCTCTGTCTAAGTCTAATAGGACAAGTGTTTAATATTACACACTCACAATAGAATTTCCTTTCTATGACGTGGGCTCCCAGAGACTATTTCAAATCTGAGTTTCATAGCAAAAACTTTCCACTGCCAACCCCTTCACAATTTTTTCACCCCAGAATGGTCTCCTATTACTTTTAAGGACTACTGCAACATTTATTTAAAGTAAAATTAATGTTAATGCATTTAGATTTTATTCAGATATTGGGTTGCAGGATCTAGTAAGAGTGTGTCCAAGCTCCTGATCAATCACATTGGAAAGCAGAATTCTCAGTAGTGGGAAAAATCTAGATTTGTCATTGACTAACCAAACAAGTCATAAAATCATTCACTTGTTTTTAGAGCAGTGCTTTGGTTCAGCTAGGAAGGCTTAGTTCCTTCTAGTCAGGAACCATATAGAAAAATGAAAGAACACTTCCGAAGAACATTTGTCACCTTGGTTTGGGTGACGGTGTGATGTATACAGGAAAAGATGTTAAGGTGAAATAAAATATATAATTTACCCAGCAGGATATCTACTGCTGGGAATAGGTTGTCATCCATTGATGAGAGTCATAAGCTTCACTATGTAAACATTTTAAGGAAACATATATCTGTGAAGGCACTATGGTTAAAAAGTTCATCTCTTTCTCTGATGTTTCATCTATGTTTCATGTTTTGCATCGTTACTTATTTCAGGCGGGGTCAGTACTGGTCTAGTTCCATTCTTTGCAATAAGGCCATGTTATTTGACACCACACTTCTTGACCACTCCACCCCAACTTTTGCTCCCATACCCAAGGAGAATCTTGACTCACTTCAGACACTTCTTCTGTGAGGAGGATCTCCCATTAGCCCCCAAAGCCCCACTTTTAGTGCTACAACCAAGGAGAATCCAGTGAAGATATAGCATGTGTCAGCCCTAATTTCAGATTCCAAAATAACATTTAAATTTCTTTTTACAGTAAAATCTCTATCAAACAGAGTCTGATGGGTCAGAATCTTCAAATAGCCAAAATTTCTGCCTAGAGATTTTAGGAAAAAAAAAATGATTTCAAAAGGAGCGGGTGATATCAGGGATTTAGTAAAAGTGACAGTCTCCTTGGGCTGCTCCAGGGTCAGTACACATTTAGCCAGTTGCCTCCATTTTAACTTCTACAGTCCTGGGTAATGAATACCTATGTTCAGAAAGATGACCCTGAGACATTGTAATATCCTTGGGCACCAAAAAAGATTCTGCAATATTCAGTTGGTTATATTTATCAAGGAAGAAAAGTGGGCTTACATATTTTATAGAAACTTTCAATGGCATTTCAATAACAACAACAATAACAACAACAACAACAAAAAGACTTCTTGGTAAGCATTCAATTCTACATATGTTACTGAAAGGAACTTTTCCCCTTCCTCCTCCCTTTACAATTTCCAAGCATGCCACATTTCCCTCTGGCTTTTAGTGTGTACATCTGTAAAATCAAAAGATTAAATTAGATGATATCTAAGGTCCCTTTCACTTCTGATGTCCTGCGATTATACCATCTCTGTGATTTCTTACATGGCCTCTATAACTTCAGTATTATGCATAATTCTAGCAGAGTCTACCTCAGTGGAAAATATTTCCTCCAGGCTCCTTCTCTTATTCAGTGCCTTCGAAGTGCCAAAGACCAGGGAACAGTCTCAGGAATACTAGCCCAAGTTGACTAAGCACAGAGGTTTTGCGGATCCCATCTGTAAAGGCTACCAGAGTCCCTTTGATGACCACCTTCAAGAGGGCTAATAAGGACAACTCCCATGTAAGAAGAAAAGTCCATCTGACAAGTATAAGGCAGTAGTTTGAAGAATTAAATAAAGGACAGTTTGGCAACTGCTTCCAAAAGGCTATACTGGCCTGGAGGTAGTTTGAAATAAAGTCTGTATTACTAATTGAAAGGCAAGAAGAGAGTCTTGGAATAAATCAGATAAAATAAATAAAGAGATTATTTTACTTATTGTCAGCAATGCCACAGGCAGTCTTGGAATTTGGTGGCAGTCCTATCTTCTTAAGCTTTTCGTTGCCAACTCTCAAAATGTTCAAAATCCATTTCTAGGTCTTCTTTCCACCCCATGGTTATAAATCTTCAATGACAAAAAAGCAAACCTTGAAAGTTCTATAATGTTAAATATTTCTGAGGATACAACCCACTCCCCAAGTAGAGCTAGCACCTGGATACTTCCTCCCACAAGAAAGAATTGCTGGAGAAGCTTGCCTGAGCCACATCTATTAAACTTAGGCTTCTAGGAGTCTAAGAAAAATGTACTGTTTTCACGTCGAGTTTATACCAGCTGACCTGATTTTGAACCCACACCCACCCAAACACAATGTAAAACTCTGCTCATGATTCTAACTACTGGAGAGTGACTTGTTTCACTTACCAAAGAGTGTCATGCCAAGACTTAGGAACTACCAAAATATAGCAAAAACCCACAACCAAATAAATAAGATAAAGAAATTAGAGAAATGATGCATAAGCACTATATTATCTGTATATGTTCTATATCTTAAAATATAGATTTTCTACACATACCCAAAAGATACTTCTTATACCAAAAATAAACATTGAGACTTTGGAAGACTTGTCTCTTGCATTATCCTTGTCCAATTATAAGGGATTCGTTACCTATAATGCCAATACTGCTTTCGAGTTTGGCCATTAGCATTTATTTTTCTGCACTGAGGGAAATTCTACATAGGCATTTTGTATATGTCTGAGAGATGAGCATGGAGAGAGTGGAAAGTAGAAAATGCACAAGAAACTGAGGCAGATTCTCCTTTCCTCTAGCATCAGGCCTTTATAGTTAAATTCATTCCCACAGCATGCAGACACATTCAAACAAAGTATAAAATAGGTTACACAATTAAATACAAGTGAGTTTAAGCATATTCACTATTTGGTACTATTCGAACCTTGGATTCCCTGTCCCCGTTGCAAATAATTGAGAAAAGTAAGTTTTAAAGCATAGGTAGACAGAATAGCTGAAGATGGGAGGTGGTGGGGGAAGATGGGTTGGGTAGACTAAATGGTCTATTGAGACTTCCACTTGCTCTATCATTCTGTTAGGAGTCATTGACGTTAATGTTCTTAGACTATTCTGTATGCATAAGGCAAATTATAATAGACCCTCAGATTGATCATTCAAGAATCTGAGGGCTGTTTTGAAAGATGGAGCTTAAGTTCTTTTCTTATTCATCCCTTGGGTATGTGGATAATTCAAAAGCAAGTAATAGACATGTCTGTTGGGTCTACCTGGCTTATTGGCCAGTTTGATCTTTAATATTATACAGTCACTACTCTAGCTTTATCTAAGGCTTTATGATTCCCTTATGCCACCAAATCGCAAGTTGACCAGATATTACACGTGCAAACACAAGGCTCAGAGAGCAGAACAGGTGACTACTGTGGCTGTGCCCCAGACACACTCTTCCCTAGAAAGAAGGGAGGGAGTAAATTAACATTTAGTGAGTACCTACTATGTGCCAAGTACTGTGCTAATAACTTCCACATACATTCTAAAGCATGTTCTACATTGGAAGCAGGGTTGATCTATTCAAATAATATATGATACATTGGAAAGTAGAAGAAGAGAGGGGTGTTGCACCTGGGAATCAATAAATCCAACAGCAAAATATTGATTCAAGAAATACTAGCAACCTCTGGCCAGAGAAGCTTACCTTCCAAAAAGATATAATCACAGCCTCAGCCAGCTGAAGATAGGAATGTCAAAAGGCTCAGGGGAGGATGCATATCTTTCGAAATGATCACAACAGCAGTATTTCTCCAAGCTACATTGAGCTTTCTTGGCACCACAGACAGAGTAGGGGAGCCTAGGGTTGAACCAACATACTTGTACCCATCCAGCTGTGCCCACATATCTGCCACCTCCAGATAACCCTCTCTCTAGCCCTGGGGCACAAGCTGATCACACACCATTTTCTGAAAATAATTCTTCTTTGTCTTGCTCCAGGGACTTTGGCAGAGAATTGGGGAAGATGCTTTGTGCATCCTGTGGCACTCAACTATCTAATGCCGAAAGCTTGCAGCCAGGGGAGGTTTGTCCAAATGTCTGACCTAAAAGGGCCATGGCTTCACTTCTTTTCTAATTAGGATAATTAACCTCCCCTGCTCATTCATCCTGTTCCAATCCAAAAAGCTCAAATTAAAATGGCACAGGAGACTGTCAGGCTCTAGGGACAAGAGACAGTTTACAAGTCTTTCATTTCCATGCCACCACCATCAAGGCAAAGCCAGGACAAAGTTGTCACAGCAACTTTACCCTTGAAACAACCTTGGGGCCCCTGGAAGGCCACTTTCAGAATTTTCATCAATGTAAATACTCCATCAGCTATAAAATTTTGCACAGCTCCATAACACTTGCTGACTAAATTGGGGCAGAAGGGAGGGACAGGGAAGATGATAATAGGAGATAACATTTCTCTTTCTATTGTCATGTGGATTCTGTGGTTGGTCCAAGGAGAACAAAAACTAGATGCTTTGAGTTGGTAGGATTTGATATGGGATTCAGGGAATGTATTCTTTGGGAACAATCACTGGAGGCAAAACTTTGGGAGCATTTAAAAAACTGGAAGCAAATAGCAGCACTTCAAGCAGGGCAGAGACACAACTAAGGGGAAGCAATTCTACAGTTCTTCCTCTGATGACTTTAACTGTCCTTTCCCCACCTCTGAGCAGGTTTTAGAGTTTCATATCAGATGCCCAGGCAGATAGGACTGATGACTGTCCTCTGGATCTCTTGCCCCTCCCTACTCTAGGATTCAGTCCAGCATCTTCACTACATGCAGCCCTTCCTACCTACCTGTGTGGGAAGCCACTGTGCGCTGTAGTCTCGGTGCCAAGAATTCGTTGGCTACAGACCTTTGTGAGCCTCCATGGCTGATAGGAAAGGCAACGGACAACAGGTTAATAGATGAGATTGTGCTGCTCATTTGGACTGAGTACTGAAAAGTTCTTTCCAGCCCAGTAGTGTTGATTTTCCCTGGGTCTGCCTTGTTTGGAATATCTCCAGTAGTGAAGACCCTGACTTGCAACTCAGTATGTCCTAGATCCATCTACATAAATTTTTCAGCATGTTAACAGCTTTGACTTGGGCCTAGGTTGAGCAAGTTGGTCACTCTCTAAACTTTGCCAAATCATGTCCTGGTCCCCTGCTAGCCCTACACTGTTCATGTCCCATCCATAATCTCCACTGCAGCCTGGGCCTTTCCTGCTCTTGAATTACCAATCTGTGTTAACCAGCCAAAGCGTAGTTCTCAGTCGTTATACAAGAATGACTAGGCCAGTGCTTCTCAAATTTTGATGGGCTAATGAATCACCTGAGAAGCTTGTTAAAATGTACATTCTGGTTCATTAAGTCTAGAGTGGGGCCCAAGAGTATGCAGTTCTAACAATCAGCCTTGGTGATGCCAATGCTGCTGATCCATAGACCATACTTTAAGTAGCAAGTAGAGCATCTTTAGGGTCTTCTCTGTAATTGATATGCTGATGTAGAGGCCACACTTTAAGTAGCAAAAACATATGCTCATTTCCCAAATGAGTTAGACCCGACTTGGCTGCTTGAAATAAGACATTGTGGCACATCAACCTCTCTTCTTGGCAGTCAACAATAGCATCCTTTCATATTAAGGCTAAAAGAATTTTTAGGGTAACCAGGGCTGTGCAGAGGGTGTGACAAATGTGAACCTTAGTGTAGAGTATTCTTCTTAGGACTTGGGTTACTGGAAAAAAGCCTTCCTGGGCACCTGAAGCCAATCATGCAGGCCAAACTCATTTCGTATCCAGCCACTCCATTCATCGCACCCACTTTCATAGTGGTTCTGGATGGCTGCTGCCGCCACATCACTCATGCTGTGATCTGCATCAGTGGTTGAGACAACGGAAGCAGCTACATCATCCAAGCCACAATCCATTTATTTCATGCTAAGAAAAACAATCTTCTATCCAAGTGGGGCAAGCTAAGCTGGGCAGTTGCCACAACTTTAAGGTTATAGGAAATATGCCTTTTGCGCTATTTACCTCCTCAGTGGAGAGCAATGACCCCCTTGAAGAGGACCCAGATTTCATCAGTGCATCAGTGCCATGCCAGGCAGAGCAAGCCCATTTCTCCTCTGAGGCATAAGGCGTATAACTCCTGGAGTTGTTTAAACATAGATTTTCAGGCCAGGCGCAGTGGCTCATACCTGTAATCCCAACATTTTGGGAGGCTGAGGCAGGTGGATCACTTGAGGTCAGGAGCTCAAGACCAGCCTGGTCAACGTGGTGAAACCCTGTCTCTACTAAAAATACAAAAAAATTAACAGGGCCTGGTGGCACATGCCTGTAGTCCCGAGAGGTGGAGGTTGAACCTGGGAGGTGGAGGTTGCAGTGAGCCAAGATCGTGCCACTGCACTCCAGCCTGGGTGACAGAGAGATACTCTGGAAAAAAAAAAAAAAGCCATAAGTTTTCCAGAGAAACTAACTGCCTTGTTTCTCGTTTCTCTCTAAAGGTAATTCTTGAATCCTTTCCTCTTTAGCATTGCTGCTGATTGTGTTCTTTGCTCAAATAATAGCTAATAAACTTCAAAGAACATTTGTATTTGTTTTGAGGGATGCTCTGTTATGTTGATATTTACAGAGTTAAACACTGCAGATGGGGAGTTTTCCCTAAGAAGATTCCAAAGCATTATGATTTTGTGGTTTTGATCCAAAATATATACATGTTTTATGGCCTAAGGGGGTTGTCAAACAGTGTTTTAAAAAACACTGGCAAATTTAAGATGCCTTTAAAAGTAGGACAGCTTGGGGATCCAGAAGGGCCCCACACCTACATTTCCCAGTGGCTGTGTAGAAACAAGTCTTGCTGGGCTGGCCTATTGCTGGCTCTGGTGGGGTCTCCAAGCTAAAGGAGTAGTCCTCATTAACTTTTTCCCTCTTATCCACTATCCCTGCCCACCTAGGCAGGTTACTAAACTCTCCTGGAGAGCTTAATAAATACTTTCATCTTCACAGGACCTGACAACTCCATTTTCCTCAAAATGATACATAAGACTTAAGACACTGGCCAAGGGGATCAGATGCCCAGCCAAGAGGAACTGAACCATTTTGTTAAGTTCTGTCAATGAGTACTTTGCCTGAATGAGCATAGAAGCTCTTTGGGCATGGCCAACTAGTCCCTGCACTGACCCAGTCATTATGATGGCTAGCTATGTGATTTATAATTAGATTCATTTTATTCAAATAAATTCCTAGCCAGTATGGTTTCCCAGAAGTCCATCTCAAGAGTTGTCATCTTAACTCTAAGTGACTCAGGGCTTTCCCCCTGTAAACTCTCCAGCCCCAGATTCTAGTTTGCTGAAGCACTCCTAAATTCAGTCACTGCCATGTGGTTGTTTGTTCTTTGCAAATATTATAGTTAGCTCAGCTGGGTATATCCCCTGGTTAAATGAAGCCAAAGTCATGACTTTGATGACTGCTAGTGCCAGTCAGCTTACTTCTCATCCAGAGATCTAGACTTTTCCCTCCATCTTGGCCAGCCAACCTTCTTAGTAATCTATGCCATCAATGGCAAAGAAGACTAGATCAAATGGTGAGCTGGCTTTGCTTACATCTCTTTGCTTTATGCTCCACAGCTCTAGACAAAGTGTTAATTTCCAAGTGAAATATTATTTGGGAACAATCAGGGTAAGGGAGCAGAAATCTTTAGAAATATATTTTCTCTATCTCTCCTCCTTTCATATTATCTTTCCTTTTTTTCTAAATTCTAGCCTCCTTTTGTCTCTTATCAAAATAGAATTCTCAACCAGGCATGGTGGCTCACACCTGTAATCCCAACACTTTGGGAGGCCAAGGCGGGCGGATCACTTGAGGACAGGGGTTCAAGACCAGTCTGGCCAATATGGCGAAAGCCTGTCTTTACTAAAAATACAAAAACTAGCCAGGTGTGGTGGCACACACTTGCAATCCCAGCTACTCAGGAGGCTGAGGCACGAGAACCTCTTGAACCCAGGACATAGAGGTTGCAGTGAGCCGAGATCATGCCACTGCACTCTATCCTGGGCAACACAGTGAGAATCTGTCAAAAAAAAAAAAAAAAAGAAATTCTCTTGATCTGTCCTGCAAATTCTGACAGTACCTATTTATACAATCCTTATGGGACTCCCAGGAATAGAATATCATTTTACAGATGAGGAAACTGAGTCCCAGAATGGAAAAAAACAACCACATGCTCATGTATTTTAATGAGGTCCCCAAGACTTTTTTAGAAGGTAAATCTTAGATTGCACGCAAGTTCAAACATTTATAATGCCTTCTCTGAACTTTCTCCTATGGGCAAAGAAAAAGGTTGGAAAGTTTTTGAGAATGAGCATGGCTGTAACATAATCAAAAGAGTGAAGAAGTTAAAGCTGACCTTAGTGAGAAGCTTGCATGAAAGAGGACTGCTGGAGTAGCCCAAGCATGTACCAATAATAACTTCAGAATAGCTGGTACTAATTAGAGCGTAAAGAATGTGGCAGAACACAAAGAATTAATATATTTGACTTTGTGTACTCTTAGGGCAGTGGAAGGCTCCAAGATAGTATTCAAATTTTGTAACTAGGAAATTTGACAGAAATAAGAAAGTCAGAAGAAACCGCTGCTTTGGAGGCAGGGATATCTGAGAGAGTGTGAAGAATAAGTAAGGACACAAACAATAATAAAACCTGCCCAGTCTAGGAACTCCAGCTCAATTACAAAGTTGGTGATTAACTGACAGGAAACATACCATTAGCCAGAGAACCATGACTGTGTTTCTTTTAAGCACTGACTTACAATTGATTGCATGGCCTGTATCCCTGTGAGCCTGAAAAATCCTGGGCATCTTCAGGTATTTACACAACAATGTGTTCTAGAGCCCTCCCTGCCATGGAGTAACACATAGAAAAATGTATGATTCCAACTTTCCTGGACAACTGCACATGTTGGAATAATTTCAGTCACTGATGGGGGGAAGAAATAAGAGTGCGAACTTAGAATCCAGACTAGTTAAGTGTTTTTCTTCATGAACATGTGCGTCTCTGAGCCTCAATTTCCTCACCTGGTTATTTGGGATAACTATGTACTCTTTAAGATTGGAAGAATTAAACGTGATAATGTGTATACATTGTTAGCTCTGTACTCAGCCCAAAGTAGACAATAAATGTTCATTTCTATCCTTGACCCCGCCTTGACAGCCCAAGGGAAAATAGTTCAATTTAAAACCTGAGGGATGAGAGTAAAAACATTATACATCACAATACAAGAAAACCACAAATCTCTTAGTCAAAAAATGATTTAAATTTGGCATTCAGCTATAATCCCTCAGAGATGGGAGTAACCATCTATAGCCTAAGATTCTCAGGCTAATAGAAGATGGATGTGAGAGCTCGGAATCTTCGTTTCCCACTATCTCAATCAGATGATCTGTTCAGTGATACGTATTTTAAGGTGAGTCTTAATGAATGAAAGGTTTGTGGGATGGAAGTGAGGCTTTGTGGTGGAGGGCAACCAGAGTAAATCATGAGAGATGGAAAATGCTGGAGAAGGCTGTGCCTTGCATGAGAATTTGTGTGAGTAAGCAGGGTGAACCAAGCCAAAGGCTTTGGAGCCTGCGTAGATTAGAGTGGGCCTCAGTGCCAAATGGGAGTCCCAGCTAGATTTGAGGAGGAAGATATGCTTTAACACACAAACTTGTTTGTGGGCTCTCTCACTCCTCCATGCAAAGGTACTGAAGGAAAGGAGAAGAGCCCTTAAGGAAGTCACAGATGTGTTGTAGGCAAAGTGCAAGGGATATATCCATCATGACATTCCTATTGGATTTTAACTTTTAGTCTATATCAAAATGAATCTTTATTCAGAAAATGCCACAGAAACTTTGTTTTACATTAATATTGAAAGTTAAAAGAAGACAAGTATTGTGGTCATGGTCAAGTTTGGGATCTATCATTGGGGCAAACCATTTTGTCTTTCTGGGCTTCAGTTTCTTATTGGCACAATGAAGAGATTGGGACCATCACTAATTCTGGCTCTCATATTTGAGAATTCTGAGAAACTTGGAAGAACTCTGGCCACCACAAACAGCCTGACTTCTCTGCAGCTCACACAAGATTCAGCCACTCTTTCTGGAACCCAAGGCCTTGACATTAGCCTATAACCCGCCTCCATAATGCCAAATTCACTCTCATATCCCCATTGGAAAAAACTCAATTGAAAGTAAACAACTAATCAAAGTGAGTTGATCTTGGGGGTGTTTTACGTGGGTTTCTTTAGTATGGTGGATGGCACATGAAAATACTTATTTATCTTGTGAGTTTTGAACCCCATTTTGGGTGTTTCCCAAGCAGATTTTAAACCACAGTATTAAGTCAAAAAGAACTTGTCTTCCGCAAGAGAACAGCATGTTCTCTGTTGTCCTCAGGACTGTATCTTTGGCTCCTCTGTACCCTCTAGGCAAGAGTTTGCCCTTAATATTACCTTTGACAGCCCTCCAATGGTATTAGGATCAAGGAGTCTCAGCACTCCTGGAGGCACAGCAGGCAGAATAAGCTACAGTCCTTTGCACTCAGATCCAGACACTTTTCATCTTTGGCATACATTCACCCCCACTTCCTTCCCCCTTTTCCTTCTCACTGGTAACCATCATTCATACCTCACACCCAGAACTCAGAAATGTTAAGAGGTTTATCTTGGCCTTGCTTTTTAAAAATTGAGAATGCTGAAGAATGTTCCCAGATAAGTGACTTGCCTGATGAGAAGCCTTTTGCTTAGTGGAACCTAAACACATACTTTCTGAGCTCAAGTCTCACTTCAGTCAGTTCACTTTACAAGTCCATAGGCACAGGCCACAATGTGAACTACTCTGCACAGAAGTTCAGGGTATGGATGCTCAATATAAAATATACTCACTTCTGGGAATCTCTTCAAAGTTCATCTTCTGCTGGAGAAGGGGCAGCAGGGTGGGTGGTCATCTTCTTCTTTGTAGTCACTAGGTTCCATGTGGAATAAATGGGACCTGGGAAGAAGATGTACTGTGGCTGACTGGTAGCACTCCTTCCTCCAACCCATAAGTGAAGCCCCCTTTTAATCATGCATAAGGCCTTCCCCCCACTGCCACCCAACTAGGGCTGGCAAGTGCATTCTCTGGTTGTGATCTATGGTCAGCTCTCTGCCCCGGGTATCTATAAAGTGCTTACTAACATCCATGTCACTCACTACTTGCTCTCTAGGAGACGCAGTCACAAGATCAGAGCTGGAAATTACGGATTTCAAAGGGATTAAGATGCCGAATGAGGAAATGTCATGTAAGAAACCCTATTCATGGGCATGATTAATCCTCTCATGGCATCTGTTAAGAGCTCAACAGTCCATGGAGAAACTTTGAGATGACTCCTGCCCTCTGTGAGTTTGCATCGCAGGCAGTCTATCCCAGAACAATTATTTAGATACCAAACAGAAACATGAAGGAACTACACACAATCATTGTAGCATCCCCTTCAATCCAAACCCCAGTTGCTTTCTGTTATTTTTATTTTTTTTATTTTTTATATCAGATATTGTGTGGGTGAGGATCAGAGGCTTGCCTATTCTGCTCTTCCCAGATGTTAAGTAAATCTACTCCAGATGGTCTTCTAAATTTCCTTTCAGCTGACAATGCAAAGCAAGTTTACTTTCACTCAATGAAACTGACATATCTATTTGGGCATGTTTTCTTAGCTCACAGAGAGGAGAATGGAGCTACATAATTCACCAACAGGGAGACAAAGTTCAAATAAGGAACAAGATGAAAGAGAAAAATGGAAAAGGCAGGATTACATGCATTGCCAGCTTCAGAGCCAAGGTTACACTTGACTAGTAGTCAGTAGCTGCCTCCTGGAGTGAGCTATTGGAGTACTTGGAATGCCTCAAGTAAGATATTGGGGTACCTGTTAGCTCAAGTTGCCAAACAATACTTGATCAATCACTTACGGCTGTCTACAATTTGCCCCTGTATTGTAAGTCTTTGGTTCTAATATTAAAACATACATCCTTCATGAAGGAGGTCACAGTTGAAGCTGTTATCAGTCATGGACAGTCTAGTATAAGAGTTTCGTTTGGATTGAGAGACAATTTGTATTGGGAGAGAAGAAAAAGCACAAACAACTGGGAAACTGGGGTCACCTTCTGTTCAATGATTCCACAAATTAGCCAAGTACTCATCCTAATAATGCAGCTGCAAGGAGAAGAAGATTTGCAGAGGGTCAGCTCTTAATTAAAGGAAAATTTAAACAAATACAATTATAAGGAATGGAAGTCTCAGGGAAATATTAATTTGCTAACGGTAAATTAAGGATTGAATGTCGGTGAATATTTGTCTTTACCTTGTTCCATAAAATTCACAGACTGACATCCATATGCAAATATAAAGGGGTTCTTGATCTTCCCATATCAAACTCTTCACACACAGAACAGTTTCTGTATTAGCGTCTCAAATTTAGACAATCACTATATTGATTTTGATGGAAAATAAAAGGGTTTAAATCAAGTTAAAACAAAAACAAACAACAAAACAACAAAATGTGGATTCAAATGTGCTATAGAAGTCTTTCCATGAATTATTTTTAAATGAAAGTATACTTTGTAATATGAATAGTAATAGCCTGAAGTACTGGCTCTGAGTTCAGATTTTTGTATATCAGGTTTCTGAGATATGGGAAAACATACCATGAAATAACTAAATTGAGCTCATCATCTTTCTCTTTCCTCTGCCTCTATTTTTTCTTTACTTCTGTCTCAGAAACCACCTTCACACTCCATATCTAGCTTCTCCATTGCTTTACTTGGCCACAATATGCAAGGGAAATTTATTGGAAATTCCATGGAGACCAAAGACATTGCAAGAAATGGAAAGAGTGGTTGGCATAAGTTTGGATTTAAAGCCCATGTGAGCACTAGAATAAGAGTAGAAGAGCAAATTTTGGTCAGGCACAGTGGCTCACACCTGTAATCCCAGCATTTTGGGAAGCCAAGGCAGGTGGATTGCTTGAGCCCAAGAGTTTCAGACCAGCCTGGGCAACATAGCAAGACCCCATCTCTAAAAAAAAAAAAAAAAAGCAAATTTTATTCGTCATTCACGTGATTTTTTGATGAAAAAGAATATTAATTTCATTAAAATGTCAAACTTTTATTCATGACAATGTATCATAAATATTAAAAGTAAAATACACTGGATTAAATATATGGCATATGTCAAGATACTTAATGTCAATATATAAAGGCTCTTATAAATCAATAATAAAGACATTAACATCACTAAAAAGTTGGACAAAGGAAATAAACAGGCAGTACTCGAAATGATGAATAAACATGGACAAAAAAATAAAAAAGTCACTAGCTTTACTAATAAAGAAATGCTAACAAAAAAAGAGAATCCTCTTTATTCACCTACCAAATGGGCAAATATATTGTTCAGTGCTGGCAAGGGGACAGAGAGACAAGTACTCTCATAACCTGCTAATGGGAACACAAAGTGGGACAACCTTTCTGGAGGGCAATCTGGCAGTATGTATCAAGAGCCTTAAACATGTCCGTAAATGTTTGGCCCAGTATTCCTACTTTGAGATATTAATTCTATGAAAATAATTAGAGATGCTGTATGAGTGTTGTCAGCACGGCATTATTCATAATAAGGAGAGATTGGAAAACACTGAAATGTTCATGTTGCAGAATAGTTAAATAAGTTATAGTATGTCTAAAGGTTGGAATACTATGTCATCATTAAAACTCATGTTTGAAAATGTCTAATAACAAGAAAATGTTCATGATATAATGCTAGATTTTTTAAAGGCAAGACACAAATACAGTCATGCGCCACATAATGGCATTTTAGTCAATGACAGACTCCATATATGACAGTGGTCCCATAAAATTATAATACTATACTTTTACTGTGTCTTTTCTATGATTAGATATGCTTAGATACACAAATATTTAACACTGTGCTACAGTTGCCTACTGTATTAGTTCGTTTTCATGCTGCTGATAAAGACATACCCAAAACTGGGAACAAAAAAAGGTTTAATTGGACTTACAGTCCCACATGGCTGGGGAGGCCTCAGAATTATGGCGGGAGGCAAAAGGCACTTCTTACATGGTGGCGGCAAGAAAAAATGAGGAGGAAGCAAAAGCAGAAACCTCTGATAAACCCATCAGATCTCTTGAGACTTATTCACTATCATGAGAATAGGATGAGAAAAACCAGCCCCCATGATCTAATTAACTCCCCTGGGCCCCTCCCACAACACAGGGAAATTCTAGGAGATACAATTTAAGTTGAGATTTGGGTGGGGACACAGCCAAACCATATCATTCTGCCCTGGCCTCTCCAAATCTCATGTCCTCACATTTCAAAACCAATCATGCCTTCCCAACAGTCCCCCAAAGTCTTAACTCATTTCAGCATTAATCCAAAAGTCCACAGTCCAAAGTCTCATCTGAGACAAGGCAAATCCCTTCCACCTATGAGCCTGTAAAATCAAAAGCAAGCTAGTTGCTTCTTAGATACAATGGAGGTACAGGTATTTTGTAAATACAGCCATTCCAAATGAGAGTGATTTGCCAAAACAAAGGGGTTACAGGGCCCATGTAAGTCCAAAATCCAACAGGGTAGTCAAATTTTAAAGCTCCAAAATGATCTCCTTTGACTCCAGGTCACACTGATGCAAGAGGTGGGTTCCCATGGTCGTGGGCAGCTCCACCCCTGTGGCTTTGCAGGGTACAGCCTTCCTCCCAGCTGCTTTCATGGGCTAGTGTTGAGTGTCTGCGGCTTTTCCAGGTGCACGGTGCAAGCTGTCAGTGGATCTACCATTCTGGGATCTGGAGGATGGTGCTTCTCTTCTCACAGCTCCATTAGGCAGTGCCCCAGTAGGGACTCTGTGTAGGGGCTCTGACCCCACATTTCCCTTCCGCATTGCCCTGGCAGAGGTTCTCCATGAGGGTCCCACCCCTGCAGCAAACTTTTGCCTGGGCATCCAGGCATTTCCATACATCTTCTGAAATCCAGGCAGAGGTTTCCAAACCCCAATTCTTGACTTCTGTGCTGCCACAGGCTCAACACCACATGGAAGCCGCCAAGGCTTGGGGCTTCCACCCTCTGAAGCTGCAGCCTGAGCTCTACGTTGGCCCCTTTCAGCCATGGCTGGAGCAGCTGGGACACAAGGCACCAAGTCCCTGGGCTGCACACAGCACGGGGACCCTGGGCCTGGCCCACAAAACCACTTTTTCTTCCTAGGTCTCTGGGCCTGTGATGGGAGGGGCTGCTGTGAAGGTCTCTGACATGGCCTGGAGACATTTTCCCCCCATGGTCTTGGGGATTAACGTTAGGCTCCTTGCTATTTATGCAAATTTCTGCAGCCCGGTTGAATTTCTCCTCAACAAATGTTTTTTTCTTGTCTACTGCATCGTCAGGCTGCAAATTTTCTGAACTTTAATGCTCTGTTTCCCTTTAAAGATGGAGTGCTTTTAACAGCACCCAAGTTTTAAATGCTTTGCTGCTTAGAAATTTCTTCTGCCAGATACCCTAAATCATCTCTCTCAAGTTCAAAGTTCCACAGATCTCTAGGGCAAGGGCAAAATGCCACCAGTCTCTTTGCTAAAACATAACAAGAGTCACCTTTGCTCCAGTTCCCAACAAGTTCCTCATCTCCATGTGAGACCACCTCAGCCTGGACCTTATTGTTCATATCACTATCAGCATTTTTGTCAAAGCAATTCGACAAGTCTCTAGGAGGTTCCAAACTTTCCCACATTTTCCTGTCTTCTTCTGAGCCCTCCAAACTGTTCCAACCTCTGTCTGTTACCCAGTTTGAAAGTCGCTTCCACATTTTTGGGTATCTTTTCAGCAACGCCCCACTCTACTGGTACCAATTTACTGTATTAGTTCATTTTCACACTGCTGATAAAGACATACCCGAAAGTGGGAACAAAAAGACGTTTAATATGGACGTACAGTTCCACATGGCTGGGGAAGCCTCGGAATCATGGCAGGAAGCAAAAGGCACTTCTTACATGGCAGCGGCAAGGAAAAATGAGGAGGAAGCAAAAGCAGAAACCCCTGATAAACCCATCAGATCTTGTGAAACTTATTCACTATCACAGGAATAGCACATGAAAGCCCAACCCCCGTGATTCAATTACCTCCCCCTGGGCCACTCCAACAACACAGGGGAATTCTGGGAGATACAATTCAAATTGAGGTTTGGGTGGGGATACAGCCAAACCATATCACCTACAGTATTCAGTACAGTAACATGCTGTACAGTTTTGTATCCTAGGAGCAATACGCTATGCCATATAGCCTAAGTGTGTAGGAGGCTATTCCATGTAGGTTTGTGGAATACACTCTATGATGTTTGCACAATGACAAAGTCACCTAACAACGCATTTCTCAGAACGTATCCCCATCATTAAGTGATCAATGACTGCATTACAATCCATTTTGCTAAAATAAAAAGTGTGAAGTCTATTTATATAAAACAGAATGTAAAGAGGGATAAAGTCACCTATACTTTTTCTTTTAATTTTTGTACTTTCTGTGTTTTTCCAAATGTCCAAACTGAGCATATTAATTTTATACTTAGAGAGAAACACCCAGATGCTACCTCAGAAAAGGAAAGATATTTGTAAAGTGCTTTGAGTACATCTGGGTTTGCTTCCCACATACTGTACTCAAGGTTTCCAGATTCTTCATCTACCACAGGAAGAAGCAATTTGTAAACCTGGCCTGAGCCCTCCCTTCTTGCCTCTGTGTCTTTATTTGCTGATGTCTAGGTAGTATATGGCCCTTCTTGAAACATGCCTTTCTCACCCAGAACCTTTCTGCTGGTCATGAAGAACACCTCAGGAAAAAAAAAAAAAAAAAGGCCTGCTTTAATATGCCACATTTGTATTGGGTAGCCCTTAGAATAGGTCAGTGATTCTCCACTCTGGCTGTACATGAGAATCCCCCAGGGAGATTAAAATAAAACAAAACAAAGCCCAGGAATCACTTTGAGAAATCATTATTTTATTGCTCCAGAGTAAGCCTTGGCCATCCATTTTTCATACTTCCTAGGGTAACTGTAATGTGCAACCAGCATTGAAAGCCACAGAGGTAGGTGAAGACACAGAAAAGGAAAGAAAGAAATGGTTTTTTCAGCTGATTTCAGTTGAGTAACATAGACAGGAATGGACACTAACCTTCTGTGGACCTGTCTCACCATTGTCTTCCCACTCCACTGGCCCCTGAGATACCCCATATCTACAAGCTGTTCATTTGTTAAACTCCGTAAGATCATCAAGCACATCACCAACTTTCAAATTCATCATCTGAATGACCCCATAAGATGGGCAGACTCAAAAACAATGTTAACATTCTCTTTTGTTTTCCTTCCAAACTCATTCATGTTAAGGTCACTGCTAAAATGTACGTGTGTTCGCTGAAAGGATAACATGTTATGCCATTAGCTATTTTTACGCTGGCACCTGGAAAAGGGAAGGGTGCTGAGGGAATTGAGCACAGGATAGGAAAGTTTTAATATGGGGAAAGAGGAAGAAAAAGACTGGGATTGGTAGTGATAGGCCTACTCAAGGTACTGGGGAGACAGGGAAGCGAACATCAGGATGTTGTGTGACATCAAAAAGAGAAGAGAAAAGGACATGAGGAATTAAGTTCTGTCCACACCAAAATGTTGCTAAGCGTCATCTTAAAATGAGAGCTATAAAGTAAGTTGGACATGATGCACTTGAAAGACCACTAAATTGGAAGCCAAGAGACTTGCTTACAGGGTCAATACTAGGGCAAGGTAAGTGCGGCTGCACTTGTGCAACCCTCAGAAAGTGCCTTCTTGAATATTTACCCTAGGTGCTTCACCTGCCTCACCTTAGCTCCAGCTCTGCTTGCTTAGATTCCAGTCTCGCTTCAGATTCTAAACTGTGTGATATTTGGCAAGTCACTTCCCCTGTCTAAGCACCACCTCTCAAACCCGAGAAGCTCCACTTTTACCTGTCTAAGCTATTGGGCTTCCATAAAAATTTCATTTGAAAAGAGTTACACAGCTTTAAAAATTGTATCCTACTTCTCTGAGTCATCTGTAAGAGTACTAGCCTGTAATACTGTGGTTCTGTGTCTAATAATTGTAAGCTACAGGAGTTTTCATGGGCCACTTAAAGCCTCTCTTTATCAACCTGAAAATATTGACAAGGTAATTTCTAGCACAGGCCACTGGAAAAGTATTGAATTACCCTCTGGGAAAGACCAACTTGCCTCTCTATAGAACATTTCGAGAGGGCCAGTAAACCTTTTTGGGGCTTTATGGCAAACCCTCTGAGAATCACAGCCAGGCACAAATTGCTATAAATGTCAACACTCATGAGAAGCCTGTTCATCAATATCAGCAACTTCCATCATTTGGGGGACTGTTAAAAGACCCCGTCAGAAGTACAAATGCTGTGGCTCTGAGAGATCTGGTGCAGATTCACAGCTGACAGCAGGTGGTGATAGTCCCTGCTGGAAGATGCACAACAGGAACAAAATTATCCTCAACTATATTTTCTTGGGTATCTTTATTATGAACTTCCATATGTCAATATCCTACTTATTGTTCTTCTGTGTTTTCAGATGAAATACTAAATGTGTTCAGCATGGAGCGGGTTTTCACTTGTTTATACATTTAACAAAATCCTGGCCTTCTTTCCCCTGTGAAAATGATTTTGACAATTGTATATTTGAGAACTTTTTGTATCTGATGCTATCCCTGTCATGAGATCAACCTCATAGTCACAGATGAATCCCCCAGAAATAAACTGAAATAGAGATTCACATGCAAGAAGTTTATTGGCTGGTACTCTCATTGTCAGCAATTGTGGGAAGAAGAGAAGGATGCAGGTGAGGGCACAAAGAGAAAATGAGCTATGGTGCAGTCATAACAAACCCTCAGCTCCCTTCCGGGAGCTCTGAAGCTAGGATGACTTGCCCTTAGAGTTACCTCGCTGGGGGTATGAGGGTTGTGCCTTTCTATCCTGGGGCAATCGGTCATTGGATGCAGGATACCCCAGGAAAGGGTCATAACCTTAAGCTGCAACTTTTCCAACAACTGAAGGAATAAGTTCTATGGTGCTGAAGGAGGATCTGGGTGGTACAGCACAGCATCCACCACACTACCCTTTGCCAAGATTATCACACCTTATTTGCCAAGAGTAGCCCAACCACCACTCCAGTAGGATTAAATTGGTCATAGCTGCAGCCCAGTTCTTCATCCATAATTTCCTTCCCACTCCTTGCCACAAACTGCATTATATTGGTAAAATGCAGATGACAATCTAGCATTCACCCACTTACCTATATGGTAACTACCATTCTTTAAAATGAGGAAGAAGAGGAAAGTGGATAGCGACAGCAGTCTGGAATCAGAATGAGAGAATTTGCTGCTCAAGTAAAAGTAGTTTTTAGTGTTGCAAAATTGGGCACGTTAAAGCTCACAGAGAGTGGATGACAATTCTGAAGCTGCTAAAACAGCAGGCTTATTTTTACAAAGCCAAGGGTTTGTTACGTACCTCTGCTCCTACAAGCACCAATGCCTGTTTTTTTCTCTGCCTCCTGTGTCAAATTTTTCTCTTTTTTTTTCTCCCTCAAGCGCATATTTACTCTCTTTGGTCAGCTTCATCAGGAAACAGTCAAACTACAATAAATTAGGTATGAAAACAAATAAAAGCTTTTCTTGGGCTGCTCAGTGACAGGTACGGAGCTGAGGTGACCATTCCCCCCAGGGTTCTATAGTACACAGCCACATGCTTAAGCAAACACAGAGAAATTCTGCATGGTAAAAGACACTGCAGTATTCAGCCACGGTTCTGACTTGCTCAAAAAATGTGAGCAAGGCTTATAGCCCAGGAAGCTTCAGACATGCCCTCATTAAAAAGCAGTGTGCTTTTTCTACTTAATTTTTGAATAGGTAATACATTCACATGGTTCAAAGAACAAAAGTATAAAAAGATTTGTAAGTCAGTGTTTAGTAAAATGCCTCTCATTTGTGGCAGTATGCAGCCTACAAAGGAGCTCTCATCTATCATCTATGTCTTCCAGAAGCCTATGTTCTGAGAGGACAGCATGAGTTGTACTTCTTTTTAATCTTTATTGTTTTTGTACTTACAGAAAATAATACCTGCTTCTTGTAAAAGGGCCAAATTTTACATAACTAAATGACAGTGAAAATAAAAGTTCTTGGTAATCCTACATCTCAGAGATAACAGCCAATTCCTTCAGATTTTTTCCACACATATAGAAACATATAGTTTCTTTACAAAATAGAATTATAACATAAATGCCATTTTACAGCTTGTTTTTTCTATTATTACCTATTATCCAATATATTATATATACTGTACAAATCTTTTCTTGTTAGTATATATAGATTGAGCTGTCTTTTAAACAATAGCATAGTATTCTATGCGTATTTACTATAATTTCTTTATGCAGTTTTATTTTAAAATTTTAAATGTCTGTGACATAATTCTTTAAACCCATTTCTCCATTGCTTATAATTAATTTACCATGAACTTAAATCTACTCATTTCTGGAGAAGTTAATGAGAAGTCAGTAAAGGAAGTTTCATGGACAAAGAAGATAATTCAGAAAGGTCTGCAGGTGTAGACAGATGTGCCTGTTAAGTGGACAGACAAGTGTGGCTGCCTGGAGTACTGAATAAGTGAGTGAGGCCATTTTCCAGATTTGAATGAATTTGAAAATAAGGGAGAAGTGGGGACTGGAATGGGGTGAGGGATTAAACAAAGGGAGATAAAAGCAAATTGGAATGGAAGAAATCTTGATACACGGATGGTGAGTCTTTCCAGACGAAAGATTTTTATGGAGAGAACTGACACGTTTTAGTTGAATCCAAGCTTGATACTAATTAACAATATAATTTGGGTATTTAAAAATATTGGCAAAGGCTGCTAAAATAACAACCCACGTCAAAGCAAGCAATAATCTCATTGTCGTCCACACTGATCAGATCACACTGGAATTATCAGGATCAATAAAATATTGACAGATATCCATAGGAGAGAGCAACAGTGAGGGAACTTGTCATCATGCCATAAAAGTAACGGTGGAAGGACTGGGACGTCTTTAGCCTGAGGAAAAGAATGTTAAAGGGAAACATGCTAACTGCCTTCAAAAATGTGAAGGACTAACACATGCAAAAGGAGTTAAATTTGCTCTGTGTCATCCCAAATGGTGGAATAAGACCAATGAGTAGAGATTACGAGAAGGCTTATTTTGATTCAACACATGAACAGCTGTATTCTGCTAAAGGGCCTTTAAAAAAGTTTACTTTAAATATATTAAAGACTCTGTCCACTTTCATTAACATTATTATTTAGCCAATGTTTTCTTCATAAATAGTACAAAAGTAAAATTCAACTCAGTCCTTGATGAAGTTTCATAAATTCTTAATTAGTGAGATTCAAAATAATGAGGCTTTATCGTACACTGCTTGAGAAAGATTTTCAATTGCCTTAATCTCTTTCTTCCTATGTTTATTTCTCAATCCCATGCCTTGGCCTACCATGTCCCCTCAACTCCCACTGAAGCAGAGAGCACATCAACAACCCACACGAAAATGTAAATCTGAGAAATAAATATGCGTGGTTGGTTTAAAAAGAGAAAGAATTAACATTTAAAGCAATGGTAATTTACTCTGATCTGTAATTTTGAGCTCCTGTGCTGAAATTGCTCATTTGGAAATTACCAAGTGCTTGGGTCTCATTTGTGATCTTCTTCCTGCATACACCCAGCACACAAAGGAGTCATAATGACCGGCTGAGTCACTGCTGCCATCTCCCTGAAGCGTGCTCTTCAAATGTCAATACCATTTTCTATGGTACAATGAAGAAAATTCCGAATTGTAGCCTGCTTACACTAAAGGGTGAGCCCGAAACAGCACAGAACCTGGAATATGCTCAAAGGGCATCGCAATCCTCTCCCATTCTCTTCTCCTCCAGTCATCAAATTGCTATGGCATGGATCATTTTGGCTTTGCAAATCATCCCTATCACCCACTCCCATTAGTCATTACTTGAATATAAATGAAAAACTATTTAGGTTTATGGGAAGAAATGAGCTGCTTTTGGCAATATCCCAATAAAATTATATCTATAGTTGAAGTTATATTCAGATATGGATTCAAACCAGAAGCGAAACTATAGACACAATGTAATATTAGAGACATGAAGACTCTAAAAGACCAGCATGTAGAAAACTCTTGTGCTATTCTTATGGATCATACTTCAGATATTTTGTTCTTCCCAACTTCTTAAACCCTAACTCCAAAAAGGTTACCCAAAACTCAAGCATCAGATCTTTTCTCTTTTTCTCATTCAATATAGATCCAGGGTAATGGTAGCTAACAGTTATCTAATGTAAATTAGATAAAAAGGAACCAGGAATTCCTGGTAAATTTAATTGAGAAAGGGAAAGAACTCAGGAAAGCTTAATATGACTGAACTTTTTAATAATGTGGTGATCAAGAGCTCACGAGTATGATATCTTTGTTATAGATTGTCTTTTTCAGGTTTTCATAAAATTATTTTACTTGGGAGACATAATTTACCTTGTTGGATAGTCTTTCTATGTAAGGAGAAGCCATATTATAATGAGGCGCTATCTCTACTGAAGTTATTTCTAATTTGCCACAATGCTTATATAGAAGATGAAATAAATGAGCTTCAACTGCAGTAAGGAAATTGCAGGCAGTTGTAAGAAGTTCTTGATTTTATTCCATAGATATTTTGAGAGTGCATGTCAATAAAAACAATTAGATAATATAATTCAGCTGTGAGCTCTCATGTAGCCACTTGATGCGGGGTGCCCAAAAGTTGTAGAATCTTCTTTCCTTTGCAACAAAATGAAAGTGCAAACTGTCTGGAGGGTTAAGGCTGAGGTTATGAGTAAGCCTGCTTTCCATAATGGATAAGGTTCAAAGGCACCTGATGGACTGTGACTAGAAATTCAGTAGAATCTTTAATACCTACAGAAAGATTTTTAAATCATTGAAGCTGTTTTTCCTTCCTTCAGGATTTTCCATCCTCCAAGCGATTATGGAAGCAGCAGTGCAAAACAACTGGCAAGTAACAGCAAGGTCTGTGGGAAACATAAAGGACGTCCAAGAATTCAGGCGCATCATTGAAGAAATGGACAGGAGGCAGGAAAAGCGATACTTGATTGACTGCGAAGTCGAAAGGATTAACACAATTTTGGAACAGGTACGTTTGAGATTTATTTCACCGCCAGCCAACATGTTAAATTATCAACCTAAGTCAGCTCCCATATCTGCTAATAAATTAAGTAGCCAACAGACTAAACGTGCCAACAGTTTTTGATAGTCTCTCTAATCCTTTTTTCCTCCCCAGTGGCTGCAGAAAAAAAAAAAAAAAAAGAAAGAAAGAAAAGAGAAGAAAATCTAAGCTGTTGAAAATTGCATGCCATGATTAATCTGGAAGTATTTGCAATTTAATGCTACCTATCAGATAAACATATCCCTCCACACCTCTGTTTCATAGACAACTGACTTTCAAAGTAATCCCCTTCCTTTCCCATACCTTCTTCCCAACAGGGAACAGACAAGGGACTAAGCAGTGCAGATGGAAAGGGTTTTTGTTTCAGGAGCCTCATTGCTGGAATATGTACTATTTCCAGACCCTTCTAAAGATCACCACCCATTCTTGATGACTATGGATAGACAGACTGTCAGGACAGTACTCACCAAGTTTTGAATTTGTCTACATTTTTGCAGATTATCCCTCTGGATCAGAGAGAGAGAGAGAGAACAATTTAAGACCATTTTTTCCCATTTTATAACTTTTTAATTCATTCACTCCACAAATATTCATTTAAGACCCATTACATGCTGACAATGTGGGCAACAAGTTATCACTGTCCCATAATTTCTCAAAGGAGAAATAAGATCTTGTATTACTTTAAAATAACAATTTTTTTTGAGACAGAGCAAGACTCTGTCTCAAAAAAAAAATTATGTGAAACCCCATCTCTGTTAGAAATACAAAAATTAACTGGGCGTGGTGGCGGGTGCCTGTGATCCCAGCTACTCAGGAGACTGAGGCACGAGAATCGCTTGAACCCGGGAGGCAGAGGTTGCAGTGAGCTATGACCGCACCACTGCACTCCAGCCTGGGCAACAGAGCAAGACCATTTTTAAATAAGAAGTGGCATATGAGAAAAATGTTTATGCTTTTAAAAATAGAATTCAATGGGCCAAAATATATTCATTATTAAGCTTGGATATTTAAATTTAAGACTAAAAAATATTAGAAGAAATGTTTCACCCTAAACCAGATCTGTTCAGGGTAGAGTCAAGCTGAAATGTGAAGAAAGTTTATCACTTTCCTTAGAAGTTTCAATTTGCCAGTTAATAACAATGTGCCCACGCTGCCATAAACAAAAATGTAAGGGAAACATTTCCATTCTAATTTAATCCCAGTGTACCTAGGGGCCAAAACAGCTTCAGAGATTGAAATTATAGTGAGCAGCTATTGCCTGGGAGAGCTGTTTTATAGCAAATTAAATATTAATAATTTGTCAGATATGCCCCCATAAGAAGAGAAATGCAAACAAAAATAGGTGACAAAAGGAAAGAGAAGGGAAGAGACGGAAGGAAGGGAGGAAAGGACAAAGGGAGAAAAGGAAGGAGGGAAACTGCTGACTCTATATCGTAGAAATACAAAGTGTCCCCTTGTTAAGATCGGCATTACCCTCTAGTGAATCATACTTCACAGAAAATCTACAGCACTAGCCTGGTTAAATCAAGTTTCTCAACTAACATTCTCTTGAGCTACACAAATGATCTACCTGCCCCTTCCCCCCCACAAAAAAAAAAATACCTTCCTTTGATTTTCTTAGATCTTGAAAGTGAAGAATCAGGTCAGTGATGTTGGTGTATGTACTACATGCCCTCTAAAATTTTATACCAAAATAGCCTTTTAGTGGGTGACCTACTTAATAGCCCAAAGCAGAAGAACATCCTCCTTGTCATACTTTGTTTTTCTTCTTTTGTATTAGTGACTTTGGCTTCTTAGATATCTTATATTCTGTTAAAGTCTTTTGGATTTTATAGAACTTTATACTGCAGTCTGGGATTTTTCAGCATTATGTAATAGAAAAGTAGTGGGTAGAGCTCTGAATTCTATATAATTGTGGGACCTTGGGCACTTAAATATCTATGCCTCAGTTTTCTCATCTACATAATGGAGAAAATAAAATTTTCTCTACATCACATGGTTGGTATAATTGCTTTAAAAAGCGTAAAATGCTACAGAAAAAACAATCATTATTACTAGACACTTTCAGAAAAACTAAACTAGTATCATTCAAAAACTCTATTCTCTTTTCATGTCATACTTCTCCATCTTCCTTTCTTCTATACGCACATTCACAGTATCCTTTAAAACACTTTCTATACAATTTTTCAGGAAACATTGTTCAAAGAAAAGTTTTAGCAACATCTAGGTAAGGATAGAGAGTTACTTTCATTTATTCTTTTTCCCTCTTTCAAAAAATTGTCATAAAACCATCAACTCATGATTGTTTTCTCTGCCATTTAAGGTGTTCTTACTAGGCCATAAATTCTATGAGGGAAGGACTAGATTTATCTTGTTCACTATTATATCTCCAGTGTCCAACAGAGTAACTGGCACATAGTGTTGGATGAATGAATGGATAGATGGATAATGAACAAGAACATTTCAGAAGTTCCACTGCAATTTTGCTGTATTTCCATCCAGAGGCAAAAAAGTACCTACAGTTACATGATGTGATTATTATTAAAGTACACATTTTCTCAAAGGTGTGGCTTTCTGCTTAAGCTTATTCCAATGATCCAGTGAATTTGCCGTAATTTATTTTACGAAAATAAATTTTCATTAAACAAATGATCTAAATTAAGCAACAACTTCAACATGATATTTATTTATAGAAAACATTTTTTAAAGACATCAAATGCTAAAATACAGAGATATCTATCACCTTTCTCATTGGTTCCTAACCAGTCTTTTGATAAATTTATCATACTTCACTATACAGATCCTGATTGGAATGATAGCATTTATAATCCAATCAGTATTAAGTTCTCCCTAGAGATGCTCCCATCCTCCAAGAGTGTATTCAGCTCTGTTTGAGATCATTTTTATGGAAGGAAACTTCTACAGTCTCCCACAAAATGATATTTCATACCACTATCTGAGGTAGAAGAGCCTGTTACACCACTATAACACTGTTTCCTATAGATCAGATTTTGGCATAAATTAAGTTTATATTGTACTCTATATCCAATGAGTGTTAATAAAAATGCCTCAATGTGGTGCAATTTTAAAATATAAGCAGGTCTTCAACATAGTGTTATATAGCATAACCTCCTCATGTCATGATATAAGTTCTGGTTTTCCCTGTGAATATTCAAATACATAAGGTAAATCAAAATTCTTTCAATATTTTTTCCCCAAACCTCTTTTTCTTTTTAACTGTTTCAACCCTTGAGATTACATTAGGGGAAAAATTCAATTAGGTATCAATCTGTCTTTCACATCTCCATTTAATAGTTAATCTACCAGAGAAGCATTCTAAACTTATAGATATAAGAATTAACATAGAAAAGGACAGCACTAGAGAGAGATGAAACCATGAAGGGTTGGTAGGGCACATAGAGAATATTTAGAGATGGTATATCCTGAATTCAAGAATTAAGAGCACTTTCCATAAGAAGGTTTAGGTGAACAAGGGTGAATGAACCATTGGCCTGACCCAATATAGCATTCCTATTACTGTGTTGTGCTTATGAAGCTCTCCTCACTGGTGGACAGCTGCCTTACTCAATTCAATGACCAATCTAAACATTAATTTTTGAAAAGGTTGCCTCTCTGGGAGTTATCTATTCTGAAGAGATCCTCCACCACAGTAATATATACCTTATGGCTTTGTTGCACCTTTAATGTCTATTCAGAGACGCAGCATAACAGCGTTTCAGAGCATGGACTCTGGAGCCAGTCTGCATGGATTCTGTCACTTACTATCTTTGTGACCCAAGGCAAGTTATTCAATTCTCTGTGCCTCCATTTTTTCGTAGTAAAGTGAGAGTGATAACTGTACTATGATGAGTTAATATATGCAAACCATTTAGAAAGGTGCCTGACACGTAGTGTTTATATAGTGCTTTGATGCCAAAGCAAAGTGTTTTCACATAGATAATCTGATTTGACACCCACTATAGGAGGCAGGCAGAGCAGATAGGTTTTATCCCAAATTTACAGATGATAAATTGAAACTTGGAGACATTTATATGACTTGTTTAAATGTAACCCTCTGCTCAATCCTAGTAAGTGGCAGAGCAAGGATAAAACTCAAGTCTTCTGATTCCTCATACAGTTCTCTTGCCCCTACACTGCACTACCTCTTTTAATTTGTAAGTTACTCATTAAATAAATATTTAGCCAATGCCAAAACTTGGATTTGGCCTGCTTATCAGGTTAAATCTTAAAACAGTTGCAAAACAATTAGAGAAGATCCAAAGAAGAGCAGCAAAAATATGATTAAAGTGTTAGAAAATGGGGCCTGTGAGGAAAGGCTAAATGAGTTGGGATTGTTTAGCCTGGTGAAAGAGAGCCAAGAGGTAGTTTAATCACCTTCTCAAGTATAAAGAGTTATCATTAAAAGGGCACTGACCAACTGTTCTGCATGCCTAAGGACAGTACCAGAGCAAATGAGCTTAACTAGACTAGAGAGAGAGTCAGTATTAGAAATGACTCATTATAAAACAGAGAGGAAATGAAGACAGTAAAATCTCACCAGTTCAGGCTATATGAAGGTGAAGCCATACTGAATTAGTGAAAAGTCAGACCTAGATATGTCTTAACATTGTTTTCAAGAATATACAAATATTCCAAATTAATCCTGTGTGTTGACAAGTAAATATCCTTATAGAAGACTTATTTAATAAATAGACTTATTTAATAAATAGTATTTTCTAATTTGTCTATTCATTATATATCTAAAAGGCTGTCCCCTTAAAAAGATTTACACATTCCTCCTTCAGTCTTAACCATGTTTCTCTTTATTCCATAGAAAATTTACAGACAAGTCTCAGCATATCCTCTGCCTAAATTATAGCATGTGCTAATCTAGTGGGGCCCAAACCAATATGTTTCAATGTTCTACCTAAAATATTATATAATGTATAATTTCCCCTTGAGATATTCCAGGCTAAAATCACTTCATCATGGATGATGTGAAGGTAGCATTTCTTAAGGACAGATTCCTGAAGCAGGTCAATCCTTCAGGTAGATTTCATTTCAGAAACCCCGGCTGTCACTTTGAATTTGGTAGTTTTAAGAAATGAAAGTAAGTCAGTTTCCTAAATAAAACAGTGTAAGCAAGATGAACAACATTAGGGGCCCTTCTAAATTATGAGACTGTAACTCAAAGGGGAGAGTGCTCACACTTCAAAATATGTCTAGAAATTGTGGTCACTAGAGCACTGTTGCCTACAGCTGGACCTAGGACAAGTGAAGCAAAAATGTTATAGCTACATGCTTGCTCCCTGCCTCACCCTCACTCAGCAGATAGTGGTACTGCCCAGTTCCTCTCCACTTTGTTGGTCCCTTTTTATTCCAGCCCTTACTCTCAATGTTCCATGTAGAACATTAAGCTCACTTACCAATCCAAAAGACAGTTTGGGTTAGCATTCTTTCTTTTTGGAATATTTTGTTTGCCATATAGTTGAGTAAACACAAGCTTGGGACTCAAATAGACATGATTTCTAATTTTAGCTCCCTGATTTCCTTGTTGTGTGACAACAGGGGAGGTGACAATTTCTTTGGGGCTCATTTTTCTCAGCTTAAAAGACTGTTCCACTACCTTCCTTTCGTGGTTGTTGTGAGGATCAAATAAGATTCTATGTGGAAAGCACTTGGTACAGTGCTTGGCACTCAGTAGGTACTCAGTAACTGATAACCATAGCTATTTGCTCATGAGTGGTGAGTTTCTGTGTTCATGAAAATCAGTTATTTGAGAACTATTGCTGAAGAACAATGTCCTTGTGGCTTCCCCAAGGTATCAGTTCAATCTAAGGTCATATCATGAGAGCAAAGTCTGAGAGTTGGGCTATGCTCAGGTCTCACTAATATAAGTTTAGCATGTTAGAAAACCTCTCTGGTTTTTTTTTTCCTGTGATATAACACTGGGTAACACATATTGATTGATAAGCTCAAGAACAATTTGAGGATTAACTAGATTTTTCAGCATCACCTAAAATAATTAAAGGCACTAAAACCTTGAACCAATATGCTAACTGGGCATTTTTAATAACAAATATATATGTATTGAATGCTTACTATGTTTCAGATATTATTTTAAGCAATGTATGTGTATATATGTGTATGCTTATATATCTCATATGAGTTAATCCTCATATTATCCCTGTAGGTAGATGGAAATATTATTTCCATTTTACAAATGAGGAAATTGAGACTTAGAAGTCATGCAACCAATAATTGGTAGAGATGGAACTTGAACCAGGGAAGTTGACACCAGGTACTGTTAATCACTGCTCTGACTGGCCTCGCATCTGACAGAATTTTCCAATCAGAATAGATTCAACCGGAAGTCATCAGACTTCTTGATACCCTCATATCTTTTGCCTTATTCCATAGTATTCCCTTTCATCCTATCCGAAGTCTGAAAAAGAAGATGGTCAGGAGCCATGGTTAATATAAATTATAAATTTGGAGGGACAGGGATACAGAAGTAAATTACTCAAATTTTTCTTCCTCTTCTCCACAACTACTGCCACAACTTACCCTGAAGCACTAAGTCTGATCAGACTCTTCAATGCTAGAGTTTATCTAAAACATTTTCTATACTTAGGATTCTAAAGTTCTTCTAGAGACTTGCTTTCAGAGACATGGTTGTAAGCAGAGAGTTAAACAGTCTTCCGCCACTAAATAGTAGTGGCTCTATACTTCACTTAGGTCTCTGTGTCCTCCATGACATTCAAATTTTATGGTGGGTTGGGTACTAGATGACAGACAGTACAGCTATACTGGAGCCACCCTAAAGCAAATCAGGATGTCATTTCTTTACCAGCCTATGTCTAGTGTGGGCTGGCTGAGAAGTCTTTCAGCATCTTCAAAAGACAAACACAAGTAAAGGATATGACAGATGTTATTACCTGGATTTCAGAGGTCAATCTGAGGTCATGCCCCCATGAGAGAAACAAGGAGTATACAGAAAGGGATCTCTTGGAGTAGATGAGTAATTGCTTAGCTACCTAAGAAATCACTGAATATTCAGGAGGTAATTCATATAGAAGAAGGAAGGCAAATGGGATCAGACCTCCAGAATGGGCATTGAAATTTACATGGAAACTGTCCCAGACAAGAGCCAGCCAACTGTTGTGAGGTTAAGCGTCACACAAGGGCTTATATTCAGAATACTATACTAGGCACTATTGGGAGAAACAAAAGTTCTTTCTTTCTTTTTTAAGTATTTGTAATAGCCCTTAGCAATGCGATTCAAGTCAGAGAGCAGCATCTTGACAAATGCAAAATAATATAACAAAAACTAGGTATGTAAATGCTGATAGAATGAAAGATATTAGAAAAGCCTAGAACTTATTTTTGCATACGATTGAATCAATCATGAAATGTAAGGTGAAAGTGTTCTTAGTACCTATAATATCTCTCCATCTTCTTCTCCCAAGTGCATATTAAGTACTATATGTAAAAGAGGAGATCCCATTCCTCTTTGCTTTCCTTGCTTCCCAATTTCCTAATGGCGAGCTTCCAGAGTAGATCAATACATGGCCAAACAACCCACTGGCCTTCCTTCATCTCTTACTGTATTTTAGTAGGTGGTTCCCTTTTTTCCCCTGCCTCCAGCCATTCCAGGTGTCTCTCTGTAAGTTGGTTGCCTTATTCTTCCTTTTCAAGGACACTTTTTGTTACCTAACCAATCATGGTGTCCAAATCGTGGTCACTATTTCTTAATCTAATGACATGGCAATTTGATGCTATTACTTAACACTTATTGGGCTACCTGAATTAATATCTTGAAGCAATAATGCAACCCAAACTACAGAATGGTGTCCCAAAAGCAAAACCTATGGTTGGATTTCTTAAAGATGTTCATTGGAAACATGGTTTCTTAAGTCTAACCTAGTATCTTTAGGCCCTAAGCAAGCGAGACTCTACTTGTGGTAAAAGCCTTCAACAACATATGTTAGGTGACTTTGACACTCACTGACAGCCTTAAATAAACTTGTTCTATAAATGCAAAGATATTTATCCTAGGAGTTAGTAGCAGACATCAATATTCTATATTTAGGAATTTTATCTTCAGCTTATTAAAAAAGATGGCACAATTCTCTGGTCATACCTCACACTAGACTGGCTAGACTGGCTTTGTGACTGTTTAGAAGCAAATCCCCTCTGGGAAAATAAAGAGAAAAAAAAAACTTTTTCAATAACATTACTTTGAAACAGCAAGACTCTTGTTTATTTCAGATGATAGAAGCTTTAGGGTCAAAAAGGAAATGTTCTACTTAATCAACAGTTCCCTCCTCCCATTAAACAAAAATCTGATAAATGTTTGATTATTTCTTGTCAGGTTTGGGGGGTTTTATTTTTAAAATAAACACAAATTCAAATTAATTTTCATTAGGGAACTTTTTGAGAGTCGTTGGGATGACTGAAGACACCTTGGGGTTTTGTAAAGCAGAGTACAGAAGCCTTGAGGCAGGAGAGCTGGATTCTAGCCCCAAGCTGTATGAGTTCAAAAAATCAATCTCTCTACATCTCCATTTCCTGAACTGTAAAATGAATCTATGGAATATGATGGTCTTTTCCAGTTCCATCAGGCTATGGTTCCCACAGCTGTGAAAAACAAGGTAGGAAATCCAGTTCAAGAAATATTGATTGATTCCCAACCCATTTTGCCACACTCAATGCTAGGGTGAGGAGAAAAGGACATGTCTTCCCTGCTGAAGAAGCTTGCAATCTAGTAGGGCGATATGTCAATGCAATAATTCTAGAAGTCAGAATATAATAAATATCTAAAAATGTGTGAATCAACTTTCCTGCTTTCTCAGGTTTCCAGGCTGGTGACCATCATTGATTTCTTAGCTGACTGACACTCTTACACACCTCAACATCAGTGAGCTTTGCTGAGACTTGGAGACAGAGATGATAGGAAGATTGAGATAATGTATCTTAAGGCCAGGGCACAGCCTGGAAGTTTATCATTTACCTCTATCCTTAGAACACAGAACAACAAACGTCTGCATTAAAAAGAGTTTCTGGTTGATCAAAGCTGTGCCACATATGTATATATAAATAAATATGGCCTCAGCCCTTCTAGGAAATACCTAGGGAAAATCCCTATTAATTAAGGGCTTCTGGTAATTGGATTCTGATTAACTGAGATTTGTTTGTTTATCATAAGCCTATCATAAGTTCCTCATTATATCTATATTCACTGTTATCCTACTACTCAGATCCAACATATAGTAGATTGCAATACAGATGTATTAAATCAAGGCCTTTTCTCCCACCCTTTAATGCCGCATTTTAGCATTAAGGCTGGTATCTTATTCCAAAATTATAAAAATATGGACCAATTCAAATAGAACAATAAAACTGATGCAAATATCCTCTTTATTTTGAGTTAATCCCATCACTTAAGTCAAGTGAGATCTCCAATTCATACTTTAAAAAAAAGGAAAGGAAACACTAGCCATATATAGCCATTTCATCCCTCCATAGGCAGTGAATATGTTTTTAGTGGGCAGAGGAAGAAAGAGCCCTAATACCTCTTACTTCATATGACTTACACTGTGAACACTCAGTTAAGCCTTTGCAGACACTGAGAGATTAAGTCCTATGAGTTAGAATTACTAGCTTGTAAACATTAATGAAATTTTTAAAATCATCATCCAGCTTTATTAGGAAATTTTCCCAGATTAAGAGCAACAAAAATGTAGCAATTAGAGTGTTCATCACACAGCTGCATGATTACAGGAGTCTTGTTCTAGATTCTAACAGATGCTGTAACAAACAGTTTTGTGAGGGCTGCAAGAACCATAGTTTACAAAAGCAACACAAAAGCTAGTTATTGTTCAAGCTCACATTGCCACAGGACCCTTATGTTTAAAATAATTTACACTCTT
The DNA here is from genome assembly GCF_000001405.40 of Homo sapiens. Lineage (NCBI taxonomy): Eukaryota > Metazoa > Chordata > Mammalia > Primates > Hominidae > Homo > Homo sapiens. Next base: position 123,336,179 of record NC_000023.11, read on the forward strand.
GAGCTCCTCTACTGAGAGGCATCAAGCATGTAAATGAGCAATAACAAAAAATAAAATAAAATGTGCAGACTCAAGTTCTTCACTGCACTAACATGGAAGGGCAAGGGACATTAATTGATCCGTACAAAGTTCTGGACTTTGATGAGACCAAATGTGGGAATCAGCCATGGACTAGTTTGATGTCATTGTTACCAAGCCACCACCTGGCTCGTCCAGTCAAATTAAGCTCATCCTTTCAGGGACAGCTTTACTTCAGTCCAGATTTGGCAAGGTCAAACTATCTCTGCTCAAAGGTTATGACAAATTGACAAGTGAGGGGCATCACTCAATGGGCCCAGGTGGGGGCTTGAGGAGATTGGTGACAATTAGTGTTACATCACTAGGGGTGGAGCCAAAGTGGAAGAGATTCATAGCCAGATACCACTATTACATATATATATTTAGAAATATATATTATATGTAGCCTCCCAAATACAAACCACCACCACCCTACTCTGAAAAAGAATAGCAACTGATCAAATATTTCCTAAAGGACTCCAGTATTAAGCCAACGACTAGCAATCTGGCTGAGTTCTATCTATTTCAAGATCATTGTGTGACCTTGCACAGCCACCTCACCTTTCATCATCTCAGGAACTTCAGCCATAAACTATAAAAATCCTTTCTTGCCTTACTGGGATGACATTAGGATGAATCAGGCAATTTCTCTAAGGTATTCTAAGATCCTCAGAGAGGGCAAGTCTACAAATACAAGGTATTATAATTAGAATCACTGCACCTCATTTCTTAAGGGGGAGAAAATGAATAAGGAAAGGAATGTGTGGTCACTGAGCTTGAGACTCAAAAGGCATTTAAAAGCTCTTTCTATCATCTGAGGTAAGTCTCAAGAGAGGGAAACTGATCTGGTGGAGTCAGAGAAGAGTTCAGTGAAGAACCTTTGTGCCACCTGTGAAAGTGGCTAGGACATGCTCCCAGGACATTAGAAGCCTTCCTGTTTGTCTTTGACAGTATAACGTTACTTCACTATGATCACCATAAAGGTTTAGATTTGTGAATACCACCAAGAGAGTGGCAAGTGCTTTGATTATGATGTTGTAGGCCAAAAAGGTCTTGCCTTCCGTAGTGGGATTAATTGTTCATAAAAGAAGAATAGTATATTCAAGCTCAAGTGGTTTAGCTGAAATTGTTTTCATGCCTTTAATTATCTCAATAGCAGAAATCATAGCTCTAGGTATAACTGGATAATTAGTGGGGACAGAGAAAGGAAGAATGGGATCCCTTTCAGAGTTCAGCATTGGGCCAGAATGCGCCTGCTGAGCTTAAGAATGGGGACACAGAAAAAGGATAACTAGGTGAACGGATTTGCAAATCAGAACCTGGGGATTATGCTATCTAAAAGACATACACATTTGCGAGGTAAATAAGAGAAAAACCAAAATAGAGTGTGACCTCAGTAATACTCTGTCTTGGATTAAGAGATAAGGATCTAGAGACACTGAAACAATGGACTAGGTAGCCAACGAGGGTACTGTAGAAAGCTTCTTAGTGGGCACTTTTAAGTACCTTGCCATCACTATCTTTTGAACAGCTCTGAGGGTCCTTTTCAGTCCTCTTGACCTATTTCAAACTACTACTTGTGCTTAACTTGAAAACTTCCTACTCAACAAATTGTTCCTCCTGCTTCCTTTGACCAACATAAAATCAATTGTTGTTTGACAGAATACTTTGTTGCTGTTTTCTCAAAGGTGCAAAGGGGAAAAAAACACCTTATTTTTGCACACATTAACTTAATTTCAGTCTTACCTACTCAAGCACAACATAATCCTTCAAACTCTGACCGAAGCCCCTTCACCATTTGGTGTCCATGGCAACCGCCACCAAGCCACTCAGAGAGTTGCAAGCAGTGGCAGAAAAGTGCATCTCCCAACAGAGCCATTAGCTCTTCTGCATTAACCCCATCAATAAAAGGTGGCAGCAGGCCCAGCCCTGCATTTTCTTTCATCAGGGAGGAGGAATGTTGTCCGTGTTTCCTTCCCAGATTGTGAGAATTGGGTGTGGCTACATCTCACACCCAACCTGTTGAAAATAAAGCATTGAGGGTAAATTACTGCAACTAAGTCAGAGAACGATTTTCACTTGAGAAAACTTCCCACTGGTATGCTTCCCCAACGACTCTGTCAACTGCAGCCTCCACCACAACACTGCTTGCTAAACTACAGCCAGTAATCTTAAACCCCACAAAGACAATAAACATGAAATCCTAGCCACTTCCTGCTATGGTTCTTAGCACTCAGTGACCTACAGGTCATACTCTTTGTTACCCATGTCAAGAATGCATGCGTGACAATTTCATGCCATCAAACTATATTTTATTTATTTATTTATTTATTGAGACAGAGTCTTGCTCTGTAGCTCAGGCTGGAGTGCAGTGGTGTGATCTTGGCTCACTGGAACCTTCGCCTCCCGGGTTCAAGCAATTCTCCTGCCTCAGCCTCCCGAGTAGCTGGGATTACAGGCATGTGCCACCACGCCGGGCTAATTTTTTGTATTTTTAGTAGAGACGGGGTTTTACCATACTGGTCAGGCTAGTGTCGAACTCCTGACCTCGTGATCCGCCTGCCTCGGCCTCCCAAAGTGCTGGGATTACAGGCGTGAGCCACCATGCCTGGCCCCATCAAACTATATTTTTTAATGAAAAAGAGCAATGTTAATAATGGTCTAGGTACTGGAGGATTTATGAGCCAATAGTAAATGGTATGGTTTCTCCAAATATAGACAAAGCTGTTCAGTCTACAAACTGTTTTTATGTGTTCCATATTATTTGCTTTGTTCAGAGCTTAGCTTAAAAGTTGTCAGATAGGAATTTCCCTTTACTGTACTCCAGAGGAAGACTAGGATGTTTCATGGGGATGGTTCTGTCATTACAACAGAATCCAACATATCTAACAGAGATATTTTTGCATAAAGAGAACCATCTCAGACTAGGTTCTTTGTAGAAACTAAAAAGGACCTACTACTCAAGTATCTTCTTCATAGAATCTACATAAATAGGAATAATATTTAGAGTAGAAGGAACAAGTGAGTGGTTTTATCTTCTCAACCGCATGAAAAAGAAAACAGAAGGCTATTATGCACAATCCTTTCCAGTAGGTCCTCTGAAATCTAAGGAAACAATTTCAAGCTCTCCATAAAAAGCAAGACATCATGACTAATCACACTGCCTATCTCTGTAGTCCTGGATAAGGACTAGTAAAGAAAAAGTGAAAAACCAATAAGACATAGTTCCAGGCCTCAAGAAACTCATAGTTCATAGGGAAGCAGCCAAGTAAACAGATGATCATAGTCTAGTGTGATAAGAGCAGTGGCAGAGGGGAACACAGATCTTAATGGAAATGTAGAAGAAACATCCTAACTCAGCTTGACTCAGATCAGGAAGGCCTTTCTCCTCAGGATTGGTTGAACTAAGTTTCCAAGGACCCATTGAAGATCATCTGGTTTGGAAAGGGATGGAAATGTATAATTGCATAAGTATGACAATCCCCACTTATGTGTCAGCATGAACGCTAGTAAGAAGTGCTGATTCAAAAATTGAAACTGACTCAGATGTCATAAGACAGAACAGTAAAACCTGATACTAATAAGAATACGGGTTATACTGGCCAGAACACAACTTGACCTTTCATCATGACCTTTGGATCCTCAAGAAACAGACATTTTCCGTCTGCCAGTACACTAACATGGTATCTGAAATGAGACGATTCTGCTTAGGCATTAAACCACCTCCCTTCATTTTACAGTGAAGAAACTGGGGTGCTGAGAGAGACTGACATACATAATGGCCACACAACTAGTGAGTGAAAGAGCAAGGATTTAAACACAGATTTTACTCCAGTGCTCACACTCTTGGTGCCACACCACCCAAGACTATGCCATTACATGGACCAAATAAGCATCTATATATGGGTTCACCTGAATAGGTCACCTGCCTTCTTACCCCCATTTCACATCCCACCCAACTGTCTGTAATTAGCATTTAGATTAAGATAGCCTATTCACATGAAAGCATACTAAACCAGAGAGATAAAATTTAAAGTTAATATTACTTCCCACCCTTCTTCCCAGTTTTTGGAGTCCTTTCCTTTCTCATTATCCACAAACATTAATTGTATATCTGCATACAGGCAACTGTACTGGATGATGTGCACTCTAAGAAGTATGAAACTGGAGCCCTGTCCTCAAAGACATATCATTTAATTGGGATGGTAAGACATGTGCCCTAAGTTGGGTAAATAATTAGTAGACTGAGGGAAAGATGAGAAGTAGAGATTATATAGGAATTCACAGGGGGAAGTGCACTAGACAAATGAACCAGAATATAAGGCTTCATGAGGGCAGGGTGTTTTGTGTTTTGTTAACTGTCATACCCCTTGCATCTAAAACAGCTTGGAGCTTAGTAAGTACTAAATAAATATTTGTTGAATTAAATAAATATGCTTCTTGACTTGTTTTAGGAAAAAAGTCCTGATGTTTATCATTTGGAGACTAACTCTCAGTCCTATATGCATTCCACTTTGTGGATTTTACTCACGGTACACACACAGCAGGAGCTCTCTAGGGAGACTTGTAGAAATGACTATTCACCCTATGATGACTTAAACCTTTGCAAAACCCTAGCAAAGCTGTGTTCTCTGCTGCTCCCTGCCACGGATGGGTGTTTCCCAGCGATGAAAAACAACAGGGAGCCAGAGCTTTTTGTTTGTTTATTTGTTCATTATGACCTCAAGCTCTTTTCAGCAAAGGGCACAGACCTTAGATAGCAATGCAATTCTGGGAAATACAACTCCATTATTTGCTTGGCTCATCTAACAAGATAGAATGCAGACTCTGATTTAAAAGCAAGCTCCTTTAATGAGTTTTAGTTAGGGTTGATGGATAAACAGTTGTTATTACTGTCAGTAGGCACAGGTTGTAAATGTCTGTTTTCAATGCTTATATTCCATTACAGGGAACTCAGATGGGCATCAGAATACAATTTCCTTTAAAAGGTGGAATTAAGGGGAAACAAAAAAGCAATTTCAAATGTGGTCATTTTGTGTATCCCCAGATGGTCAAATTCTTGGTCTTCCAAGGCTCCACATTGCGTTATGATTTTTTGTAACTTATTTCATTTTTACCATTGTACAAATTCTTATTACTTTTGGCTTCAGGGCTTGGAAAGATACGGACAATTAGAATGTATCAGAACACTGAAAGGAAACCCAAGCATTCATTAAAAAAAAATGAGTGAGGCTAAACCCATCCTTCTCTCACCATGGCTTACACTAACCTCGCAGCACCACAGTCTGTGCCAGCAGGTAATTTCAAGTAAAAGATCTATATTAACACAAATGGAGAAGGATCTGATTTCATAACAAACAATGCTAAATTTGTGTGCTCTCTGATTTCCTCCAAAAGCTTAGAAAGCCAAAATCGTGTTCAGTTCTGTGGGTGCATCTAAGAAATTAGAATATCACGTACCACCATACAGGTATTGTGCTAAACATATTGCCCACTATAATCCTTTCACTTTCTGAGAGGTGTAGCTCAGAAGGTACCTGGTTTATCACGGAGTCTAAAGAAAAAATGAGAGGCCACACCTAAAGCAGGCTTATACTTTAAAAACAAAAATGTTTTATTAGGAAACTTTCCTGAACTAAAGCAAGAGTAAACACTGCCTTGTAGAGCTTTCCATATTTTTCAAAGATTTTTCCTGAAGTAGCTTCTTCATCCTCTGAAGTAGATAGGACTAAGAGTGGGTTTTTTTTTTTCATTACATAGATGAGAAACAGACATAAGAAGGTTAAATAACTTGCCTAAGACCACATGGTTAAAAGCACTAAATTTTAATCCTTATTTCCTAAAGACCTAGACCTATTTTATGTACCACATCTAAAGGGATGCATTTGGAAAGACAGCAATGAAATTCTTGTTATACAACATTAACTATGCCTGCCCCAATCAGCGCCCCCTGCTTTTGAAAGGTATAGCTATAGCTAATAACCTTTACTTTGGGCTTGGACATTTCTCTTTACCCCATCCCCACTCTATTTCCTGAAAGAACAATTAAGATCCATCTGGGACTAATTATAGCGATTCTTGAATTTGAACTCGCAGCCATTACCCAATTGAGGTCACTTATTTTAAATTAACTTGCCTGGTCAGAACACAGGTTTGGTTATCTTCAGAACCCAGTGCAGAGAGGTACCAGCTCACTCAGACTTTTAATTAACTAGCTAAATAACCTGCACTGTGACAAGCTGCCTATGATTTGATGGACTCATTCATTTGCATTCAGACAAGGATCAAAATACATTGTCAGAGCTTCAGGGACTGAGTCCTAGAAACCTTCACAGTCTCTTGTTAAAGGCTGTGAGCCACTTCCCTTTGGTTCGCTCTAGTTATTTTTCCTGTGCTTTTGTTCTGATTATCCAACATTCATCACAAGTGCAGCTTGTGATTAAACAATGACAACTCATGTCATATGCTGATAGGGAATCGAAAATTGGAGCCATGATCATATGAACCAAGCACAAAGCTTTGCAAAATAATTAGGGGAAACCAAAGGGAATTCCCTGGATGCCCAGCAACAAAGGAGAATTTCCAAAGTTTCGGGCCACAACTGTTCCCCACTTAGGTAATAATACATAATAATGGTAGGTACTCAGTCTTTTTTTAATTGAATTCATGGTGGGAGCTGACCATCCCACAATAGTAGTGACAGTTGTTATCATCAATAATTATTATTACAGCTTCCAACATTTAGTTCCTGGGTTCTTGAGTCAGATAAATCAGATTTTGACTTCAAGCTCTATCATTTTCAGCCTGTGAGGCATGAGACAAATTATCCAACCTCTCTGTGCCTCAATTTCCTTACCTGGAATATAAAATCAATAACAATGCCTACCTTAAAGGATTGTGGTGAAGCTTCAATGAGATGAAGTGTGTGAAAAAATCGTTTAACACCATGCGTTGTACATAACAAAAGCTCAGTACATTTTAGCTAACGTTTGTCTTGTTACATCCCACCACCAGGTTTTTATCCAGGGCATCTTTCCACCTGGGATCCTCTCTTCTCCCTGCCAGCAACAGTTCCCCTCATCATTCAAAACCTAGTCTAAAGATCCTTCTTTTTTCTCCAGTGGAAAGCCTTCCCTGGTTCTATCCCCTGCATGTAAACTTGTTCAGTGCCCATCCTTTCAGTACACTTTCTGCAATACACTTTTCAGATTTTCTATTATTTTAAATAGGCCATCTTCTACTGTTTCATAGGCAATCTGGACTTTTCTTCAGGATGTACTATTGTTTAAGACTTCCAGAATATTTATATAGATAACATATACAGAGAGAGAGAAAGCAAGAGAGAGAGAGAGAAAGACAGAGAGAGAGAGAGAGAGAGAGAGATTGAGCATCTCATTCAGAGACAGAGAGAGAGAGAGATTGAGATTGAACATCTCATTCCATTGTCCAGGCTGGAGTGGCGCAATCATGGCTCACTGTAGCCTTGACCTCCTAGTCTCAAGCGATCCTCCTTCCTATGCCCGGCAATTTTTTTTTTTTTTTTAGAGATAGGGTCTCACTATGTTGCCCAGGCTGTGAAACATTTACTGAGAACTACTCCAGTGCCACACACTGGGGCTGTATGCTGTGGAGTACAAGAGATGAGTAGAGATAGGGATGGGAGAATGGGAAGCAGCATTGGTTGAATCCCCTTATATTGCAGTTGTTCTGTTAGGAATTTTAAAAGCATTTTCTCATTTAGGTCTCACAATAACCCTAAAAGTAAGTGTCCTAGTTACTCTTAATGTACAGATGTGGAAACTGAGGTTCAGAGAGGTAAAACGACTTGTGAAATATCACCTCATCTTGGAAGAGGAAGAACTGGTCGATCTGACTCCAGAGTGCACTCTTATCATTAACTATGCTTTACTGCCCAACTCACAGTTTTGTTTTGTTTTATCACTTGCAGTGTTGTATGTCAAAGCAATACATAAACTTTAAAGTGTTACATATGTGACATAAGGTGATTGCAGTGTAGCAGATGCTGTTGGTGCCCTACCCATATCCCCTCAGCACTAACCTTTCCTATACCTGCCAAAAGCATCCTATTGTAGGCACATGCTGTTCTCCTCTTGAAGACTTTCTCTCAGCCTGGGAGTGAGACAAGTCAGAAGAGTGAGGGAGGAATTAATATTTCCCAAAGCAGTTATAAGCTAATGGTGAATGGGAGTTGAAAGTCAAAGACCCCAACTTCCTGGCCCTTTTGGTAGGTGTATTGTCCATCACCTCCAGAGGTCCCAGAGGTAATTTGCTGATTAATACACTGTTTTGTCACCTTTCTTCTCCCTGTCTCATTTCCTCGCTCCCCTACTAGTTCTTCATAGAATCACTTCCAATTAAACTACTGGCCCTCAAATCTTTGTCTCAGGGTCTGCCTTCAGGAGAGTCCTGGTTAAAACAACAATGTTTCAGAAATTCTTTTTTGGCTCCTTTCCCAGGAGTCTGGGTGAATTTCCTCATGCTGCTCCCTGCCTACCCAGGACTCACCATGGGTGATCCCTAAGGGACCACCTCATAGACTCAGTGTGTCCCTTCCTATCCACTTTGATGAGGATCCCATCATTGAGGGTCCTGCTTTTAGATTTTCAAAGTGCATTTATTATCAGATGGAAAGGTGGTTCTTAAATTTCAGTGTGCATCAGAATCACCAAAGGTGAGATGTTAAAATGCAGGCTCCCTGGCCCTAACCTAGACTTGAGAATTAGAGTCCCTGGAGAGGAGCTCAGGTGCTTGCATTTTCTAGATTCCCCAGGTGATCCACATAGTGTACACTTTGAGAAATACTGTCCTAAGACATCCATGTAGACTTGGCCTCAAGGGAATGTAGATTATGTTCCTTAGTGCTATCTCTACCTCCAAGGCCTCTGTGGAGTCAAGTAAGAAAGCCTGGAATAGTTATGCTTCCCTGCTCCTATAATGAAGCACGAATAAGGCCAAGAGCTAGATGCTACTGTCAGAGTAGGGCAGCCCAAGACGCCTAGGCAATGTTCTACAATGCGGAGGAGATATGCATCTTACTGACTGCCAAATTATTGCTCTCACCTCTCTCACTGCCCACCCCCAACCCCTATTCTCCCCTGTATTGGAAACACTGTGATGACTGCACATGCCCAGTTAGGTTATGACCTGTGCTCCTTTGTCTCTGAGTGGGAGCCCCCCTTCACAACACACACACACACACACACACACACACACACACACACACACACACACACACACACCTCCTTCCCAAACAAGGCTACTGTAGAGTTTGAGTTCATGGTTTTGATCAATGCTAGGGGCGGGAGAGGATGGCGCAGGGGAAGGTGGCAGTGCGGGTTACTTTGTTGTCAGTTTACCCCCAGCTTCTCTTCTCTTGTCCTTTTTGCACTCTCAGCATAAACGCCCAAACTCCAAGTACAAACCTCAACTCCTTCCCTCCATCTCCAGCCCAGTGCCATCCTAACCAGTGGCCCCAATACTCCTCTGCACCTGAGTAATGATGCCTTTCCACGGCCCCCATCCCACAGCAGCAGGAAACCTCTTCTCTACCTTTTGAGCTTGGGGAACAAAAATCAGGGAAGGCTTCTTGGAGGAGGTTGCATATGACCTGCGCCTTGAGGGATTGATGTGATTTCTACAGAGAGGGATGAAGGGAAGAGGCATTGAAATAAGGAGTAAGGAAGGGAGAGCATAACTAATATAGGATAAGCATTGGGCAATCTGTTAAGAACTATAGATACATTATTTTATTTATTCCTCACTGCAATTCTATGAAATAGGTACTAATGGTAGACCCATTTTACAAATAATGATACTGAAACCCAGAATATTTAAGTTGATTGCCCAAAGTCATACAGCAAAGTAGGAATTCTAAGCCAGGCAGTCTAGCCTGTACTCTTGACTACCCTACTCTACTGCCTCTCGACTATTGTAATCCTTATTTTACAGATAGAAAACTGAGGTTGAGAGGTTAGGTAACTTGCCTAAAGTTACACAGCTTATAACTGGCAAAGCTGGGATACATTGTCTTTAGCAGATACCATTCTATTTACTATCTAATCATTCATACCCTCTGTAACTTAGCTTTTTTCACCAATCATTTCAGTCACCACTCCAATTCTTATGGAGTCAGCCCTGGATACCATCACACCAAATGCTTATAGTTGCTCCCAATAAAAATCTTTCCCCTAGTGTGTAAGCACTGTAAAAGAGCAAGGCTCTTCTGAAATCAAGAGAAATAGCCCTCTAAAACACATCTCTCTTCATTTTCAAAATAGCATTCTGTTTAAGTTACCTGTTTGTCAGGTTCCCACTTATAAAAGCTACAGGAAAAATTTCTCTAGATCTTTAGTTGGAGACAAAGTACTTTCTATCTATAGCAAATTATGAGTTAATCATTCTCTCCTCAGTTGTACCTTGTACATATTTCTGTTCTTGCACTTCTCCCACTGGGTTATAATTGTCTGTTAACTTGGCTTTCTTTCCCACTCGAATGTGAGATCCTCCAGGCTAAGGACCAGGTTACTGTGACCTCTGTATCTCCATGGTCCAGCCCCAGAATTGGCACAGAGCAGGCATTCAAAAATGTTCATTAAAAGAAGAGAATAATGAAATGTGGTTAATAAATGCAGCCCTTCCATCCACTTGAGATTTTAATCAATATTCTTTCTGAATCCAGTGGTATGCTGGAAAACTGGCTCCCAGAGAGCAAAATAAAAAGCCCTGATTTGTAGTATTGTTCGATTTTTGTGGTGTTAGTACTCTCATCATGGCTGATTTCAAGCAACCAATGGTTTAATAACTGGCTCACAAAATTTCTGAATATTTAACAATGGGCTTTCAAGAGCCCCCTGTATTTCGCTGAAAGTCTATAATTCTGCCTAGGGTGCTTGAACTGTTAGCGTGTCAGTGTGATCAGAAAGGTGGATGAGCTGGCAGAGTGGGGAAAATAATGCCAGATGCAAATAGCAGGAGCGAAAGACCAAACCAAACATTTGTGAATTAAGAGAATTCTGTGTTTGCCTCCCATGAACTAAGCCTCTATCATTTGTCATCCATTTGCAAATTGAGATCCACTTAAATGACATGGCTCCCAGTAGAAAGAGAAATCTGCCAAGTAAGCAACTATCCTGAAAAATCAAAGGCCCAAAGAACACATTAGGTTTCTCAGAGATATTTACTTTTATTCGAAAATATAAACATGTTCACTCACTTCTTTCAGCAATCAGAAAATCTCCATAGATGAGGATATCAAGTGCTGGAAGCACTGCACAGATGGAAAATGCATAGACGAGGCATACCTAGGGAGTTCAAAAGGAGAACATCCCACCCTCTACATCCCCATATGTTTCTCTTCCCTCCCCACTCGGAGGCTCCATTGTTCTAGGCTGGACTTGGTCTCTAATACAATATCCTACCAGCCATGCTTAAATTTTGCACACAATAATGGAACTAATAAGTAAATGGCAGGATTTAAATCCAGAACCATCCGACTTCGAGGTTTATGTCTCTTTCTAGTACATCACCTTTAATAAATACCAATTTGTTTGCAGCTTTAAGGGCAACTCAGATAACATTTATAAAGAATTTTAGACTCTTACAAGTTTAAACACTGTAAGGTATCATTTTAGGTGTGACGAGTTATTGATCCTAATAAAAACCTAAAGATGGAGAGGTGTGACTCTTGAGCCAATGAAGGAAGTCTTGTTTTATCCCACCCACCCTCAAGTAGCTGTGGCTGGAAATAACACACATTTGAGTAACTACTCAGCCATATACCCGATGGTGCCATTCCTTAAAAAATAAAAAATCAAAGTAATGAGTTCACTGGCACTCTCAAGCTTGCTACTCAGTACCCATACAGTGCTTTCAGTATATCTGTCAGATATTCATGATTATATTGCTTTGGGCCCAAATGATTTTGCAAAGTCTATAGAGAACACAAAGATACAATTTGATATTTAGAATAAGGGTGTCAATATTAAAACCAAACATTGTTGTGAATGTGAATATAGAAATATATAAATAGTTCACAGTAAATTTCACAAAAGAAGATATCAGGAATGCTGTAATTTAAAATTTACTCTCTAAAATAAATTTCTTGCTAATTTGGGGAGATAGCTAATATCAGAGAAGCTACAGAAGTCATAAACATGGTCGTGTTAAAGAAAAACTAATTTCCCTTTGCTGTGATACTCTAGATTGAATACTAGTTAAAAATCACTCCAATTCTGCCTTCCAAAAAAAATCTAGAATATTTCCAAATATAAACAGGGTGCCATGAAAAGTCCTCTAGATAAGGTACTCCAAGAACAGCATTTGAAAATGCAACATAGCTTGATAAAGCATCATTTTACAGGATGCTGGCTGGTGGAAAGATCCAGGAATTTAAAGTATTTACTGTTGGACCCATGACCAAGGACTCTAGCTGATCAAAGCTGCAGGCATCCTGTGTGGGAAAATACATGTAAATTGCCTCAGGAAATGGTTTTGTAAGTTTCCAGATTTTTTACACAGTCCCAGGCATCATTTGCTACCTTCCGAACTCTGTCCATCATTTTGCTCCTTTACAATACTCAAGAAGATTTGAAAGTAGATGAAGATATTCTTAAAATTTCAACCATAAATGGGAAACTAACCTTTCATCAGGACAGGGAAACCTGATCTACATTCTCTCCCCTAAAGATATGATGGCTTTAAGGCAATATTTCCCACCATCCCTGGTGGTACACAAGAGGATTTTCAGTGACACCTAGATGAATACATTCTATTTTCATACAGTTGTATTTATTTTCTTGTATTAGTGTCATTGATATTATCCCTCTGGACATGACTAGATTTAAGTAGTGACTAGCTATAAAGGAAAAAATTAAGTAAATAATAGTCATGTGATATGCAGATAAGACAAAAATCATTAAGGACGTTTGTGAAGGAGTGAAATTTGAGAAATGCTGTTTTAGGATTAAGACAATGAAGTGTTCCCACAAAGGTCAACATGTATTTAAATGGCTGTTTATCCCCAATACCAATAATAATCTGTTGCTCCTTTAATTTATTCATGGCCATTTATTGCCTCTTATTTGCGTTGGTTCTTTGCCTCTCCTGCTGTTTAGCATTAAATCTTCCATGTATTCCATTGAGTCATGATGAATGCAATGTTAAAGTCTGGAAAGTGAAACTTCCCAAAGACATGTTCTTTGGTGAAATCCTTGTTCTCTAATCCTCACATCCTAGCATTTTATTTGATGCCTTATTCAATTGCCTTCTCTCTGCATAAGCTTCCCTGTAGATAGCATAAGCATTGATGAGATTCCTCGGTTATACTTCCGTTTTCCTTCTTTACAAAAAGCTTCAGCCTGTCTTTCTCCATCTGTACCACCCCCACCCCCATTACCATTGGGCTGACTTTGGTATGGGTGATTGGCTCTTCTCTGCCTCACTAATCCAGCACATTTATTCAAGTCAGATGACTGCAATATGAAGCATTGTCATTCGGTGATAGGAGAGCATGTGTGTGCAGATTAAGATTATTAGAAAATAATTCTAACAGAATTGACTTCTGGTATGTATTTACGAAGACTCAGGCAATTTAGTACCTTGGGGGTTTTATTCATGAAGATGAATGCCTTTTATCATATGGAAGATTTCTTCTGTAAAGTATGGCATGTTTTAAGGCTGATTTCTGTAGCACACCTCTTATTCAACTTCCAACATAGCCAAATGTAAATAGGATGCCATAGGACAACAGTATCTTTTTAAAAAAAAATTAACTAGGAGAGCAGGAAAAAATGAAGGGGGCTGAAAAATATCCCCTCTTTGAACATAAAGAATGTGGTCTAATAGCTTTTTCTTAAAGAGAAAGTATTCATACAATAAATGAAGAAAACTTGGTGAATTAAACCAGCAATCCCCCACACCCACACTTCTCTCCTAGCCCCTCAGACATTTGCAGGATGCCTAAATCAAAGAGAAATAGAGTAAGGTGAGCATCAAGGCATGTTGTTCTGTACTCAAAGCAAGATCAATCTTTATACATAGATCCTTTTTTGGCGCTGATGTAGAAAATCCAAACAAGGAGATACTTAGGTCTACAAATAACCTAATCTGCATACCAGATGGATCTAAGGGGGAAAAAAACATACACACTTCTCCACACACATATTTTTTTCTAAAATGTGAGCATAGAAAAACAGATGCTTTTGCCTCCCAACGGATCTGTGGGCCTCTCTCAAGTAGTCTTGTGGAGCAATTTCATTTCAAATTTCTAAAATTATGAAAATGTCTAGATTAAACATTAAATTGAAAAGGAAAGGGCCTCTTACATAGAAAACCAAATGAATATTTTATGAATTATTTTTAACTGCTCAGTGATACCCAACCCCCAGTTTCACAGATGAGTGGATATGGGGAGGGGGCCAGTAAGAGGAAGTCTCCCCAGAATGGGTTGACTATGATTCACTAACTTCTTTGACAAATAATTTGATGCTATATGCATCACTCTGTGTGTTAGTATGTAAGAGCTCTTTCTTCTACGAATGAAACTCTACTGATAAAGCTTCAGTGAATAAGGATTGTGGCATTTTTTTCTTTCAGATCCTATATGTGAGGATTAAAATAAATTTCCTTAAAACAATAAATTTTATCTATATTTCACACATTTCCCCTTATTACATTTAATATATCTGCTATCATATCAAGCCATCCATCATCTCCAACAAATCTTACAAAAGCAAAGTGAATACAGAACATGGATTTGGAAACTTGCTATTTCTTCCTTAAATTTCATGGTCGACTGTAAAAACAGCTTTTATACTTGAAGTTCTGCAACTAATTCAGAAAGAGCTATTATAATTACTGTAAAAGCAAAGTTGAATATTCTTTTGGTTACCAGAGTCATTAAGTAACTGAGGGTACAATTTATGCCTTGTTCATCTATAACAGATGGAAAGAACAAAGATTTAGGGTGAGCTGAACAAGAACCACTCCCATTAACTAGTTCCATTATGCATCGCACTAAGTACAATCCTCCCATCCCACCCTATTCCCATAAGCCCTGTACCAAAAATTCAAAAAAGGGAAAGATCAAGAGCAAAACATGACACTTTTTGTGGTGAGGGCTCCTGTAGCTCACATCAGTAGGATCATAGCTGCTCCACGTAAGTAAGATTTCAAGATAACTGAAATTTACTGTCTTAAGTATTGGGACTTTGAGCATTTCTTCTGGAAACCTTCCCTAAAATATGCATATCCCTGGGTTTTTCAGCAGAGATTACTGAACACAATAAACCATAGCCTGATGACTTAGGGAACATCCATGATTATACTGTGCACTAGTATGATGTTGTCTCGTTTTCTCATCCCTTCTTTCTCCTTTAAGTCAGTCTGTCACTTCCACTGCTACTAATGTACCTCTTTCTAATATCAGTCCCTCCCTTCACACACACCCTTTCTAGTTTGCAGCTTTTAATTTACTGTGAACTGGAAAACCAAGATTGGTAAGAACTATATGTTAAGTAAGAGTTAAGGCACTGAAAGCAAGGATGAGGAATTAATTATGGGCTTCAATACATCAGCTTTGTGACACTTTAATGTTCCTATCTTTAGATAAGCTTCCTATCCCAGTTTAAAGCTAAATTTTGAAAGGGTGTTGTTATAAGACAGCTACCTTCAAATAAGTAAATTTGTTCTGAGCAGACCAAAGTGGGCCTGAATTAAAGCAGATATCTTGATAGCTCCAAGTTTTTCTGAACCTGAAAAACAATGTCTCAATGAATGACCCCTTCCCACATTTATATAGCATCACACACTTAAATAATGCACATTTCAAACATTTTTTTTTTTTGAGATGGAGTTTCACTCTCGTTGCCCAGGCTGGAGTGCAATGGCACGATCTCAGCTCACTGCAACCTCCGCCTCCCGGGTTCAAGTGATTCTCCTGCCTCAGCCTCCCGAGTAGCTGGGATTACAGGCATCTGCCACCACGTCTGGCTAATTTTGTATTTTTAGTAGAGATGGGGTTTCTCCATGTTGTTCAGGCTGGTCTCAAACTCCCAACCTCAGGTGATCCGCCTGCCTCGGCCTCCCAAAGTGCTGGGATTACAGGCGTAAGCCACCGCACCCAGCCTCAAACACTTTTGGAGACATTATCCAGTTTGATCCCAGCAACACTTCTGATATAGGCAGGGCCAGATTATAGATAAGGAAATGAAGGCTCAGTAATTTGCCCACAAACAAACAATTAGTAAATGACAAGACTGGGGTCCTGGGTTCTCATTCACTGTTCTTTTCACAACACTGATGTCTTCTATTGCTCCCTCTCATCTTCTCTACACACAAAAAAACACTAAACTCTGCCTCTGATGAAAAAGACGTATTCCTTTTCCTTGGGATTCCTTCCTTATTCCCCTCTAAGCATT
The DNA here is from genome assembly GCF_000001405.40 of Homo sapiens. Lineage (NCBI taxonomy): Eukaryota > Metazoa > Chordata > Mammalia > Primates > Hominidae > Homo > Homo sapiens. The sequence continues at coordinate 123,352,672 of NC_000023.11, forward strand.
GCCAGATGTCTTTAAGAATATTGCTCATTTTTCTAGCAGAACTCAAAACCCTCTGGTTTTATTATGTTGAGAGTTGTCAGTTAATTAAAAATTCAACAAATGTATGGTCCCAACTTGCCACCAAAAGTTAACAAATGTCACCGGCAAGGATGTTTCTCGCAAGCGGACACTGAAGAATACATCCCAGAAGATACCTAACAGCTCATTTTGTGTCATGGAAGCATGAGAAATCACATCCTCAAGACATTTATTAACCTTTCATTTCCTCTATAAATAATCAGTCAGAAATGTGGCTCATAATTTAAATTAATCAAAAACTGCTCTCTTGTCCTCTCTCTCTCTCTCTCATACACACACACACACACACACACACACACACACACAAACACACACACACACACATACTTAAAATGACTTGTTGAAATGACTTGAGGGCTTGTAATGCCAGCATCATAGTCAAATGTATGGTTCCACTTCTCTGGGTCAACTTAAACATTGCCTCGTCCATGAAGCCTTCCCTGTTCATATCAGGCCTTAAATATCTCTTCTTCCTCTTGTCCAAGACTTTATAGCAATTACTAGCATTTGCTATTTAGCATATATTTAGAAACCATGTGAAGTACTGCCAAGAGTATGGGTTCTAGAGGCAAATGGACCCAGATTCCAATCCCAGCTTTACCGCTTCCTAGCTGTGTGGCCTTGGAAAAATTACATAAACTCTCTCTGACTGAAATTCCTCATCTGTAAAATGAGACTAATGATACTTAATCTGTTAAACTGTTCTGGGGATTAAATACATATAAAGCACTTAGCACCGTGCCTGCATATACTAGGCACTCAAATAAGGACAGTTAGACTTATTATTATTACAATCTTTCATGTATAGTTCTGGTTTGATATATGTGCAATTTTGAGGCCTTCTCACTTTGTTCTAAACCCTTTAATAGCTGCATCCAGAGAGAAATTTATCATAAAGCTTAAGCTTAATGGCCCCTCACTTGCATAGCTTCTTTCCAAGGCCTTGTTCCAAATTATGACATTCATAATTTTATATTTTTTTAAAGAAAGATCCTAAAATTGCATTAGCTTCAGGCCAGTACAAAACCTGGTTCCACCTCTGGTTGTGTCTTTAACCTCTATGTTATCCTGTTCCGTCCATGGGTACTCATTGTAGTACTTTGTACACAGTCAGTACTCAATAAAAATCCTCAGTTAGCCAGAGTTTTTGGTGAATTTGGCTTCAAGGAAATAAACATCAATTATTTAGTCAAAAACTTCTAACTTCTAACCAATACATTTGATTGGAAAATATTCAGCCCACTCACATATTTTGAGATAATAAAAATGTACTTCGTGAACTGTACAAAGTACATTTTTATTAATACAAAGCCTATTATTAGACTTGGTACTAATATAGCATTATTCATAAAAATTATGGTAAGAATGATGATACTGAGGAAGGGTTTCTCAACCTTAGCACTACTGACATTTTGGGCCTGAGAATTCTTTATGTGTGGGCTATTCCAAGCATTGTAGGATGTCTAGCGACATCCTTGGCCATTACTCACTAAATGCTAGTAGCACCCTTCCCAGTTGTGACAATCAAAAATGTCACCAGGCATTGCCAAGTGTCCTCGAGAGGAATCCCTCCTCAGTGCCCTAAGGCATCATGATCAGCACCAAAAGATGTACAAGCGATTACAAGTCTTTCAAACTAAAGCAGGAAAAGGAAGATAATTATTTTAGAAAAGTTTTCAATAAGCAAAAGCAACCTCGGTTAACCTGAAAATCCCATTAACCCCATTCCTTGAATGTTCTATTCCCTTAGCATTCCAGATAAAAACAACAAAAAAAAAATACTGTACATTCTATTTTCTACTTTGTATGCAAAGTTCAGCTGATTTTCCATCTCAAAAGCTAAGTACAGAAATCGAGTTCATGAGTGGGGGATCTTCAGCTTCATCACTTTTGCCATCTATTTTAAGTGACAGTGATGCTATTGACCTGAAAGTTTAGGGAGTTTTTTTCCCCTTGTTTTGACATTTTAAGTTTGGTATTAGCAAGTCTTCCTGTTTTATCTAGTTGAAAGCGAAATGCAACAACAAGAAATCTGATCCAATTAACTGTGATTTTCCTGTATATAAAAGCTCTAACATTTTGTTCTAGCCACCCCACTGATTGTGCAATTGAAAATGTCCTTCTTGAATAAGCAATATGTCTTATTTCTTCTTTCTGCAGGTTGTGATCCTAGGGAAACACTCAAGAGGTTATCACTACATGCTCGCTAACCTGGTAAGAACAAGCAAGTGTCCCTGGGCAATATATCCTATTTAGTTTGAATTTTTCTGTAATCATCCAAAAAGGAAATACATCAAGTACCTAATGCTTTCTCCAGAAACTTGGAGAAATGACTTCGGTAAATACCAAAACCTGAATGCAATAGCCTTGCTTTCAATTATGCTGTCGTTTTAGCTGTGAAGCAGCTATATTCTTTCCTAATTTAAAAAATAATTTGATATGATTCATTACTTATTTTTAGATTCAATTTCGGTTTGAAATGTAAACTATTTTAATTGGGTTTGAAAGATAAACCATGGAATTGGGGACACAGGAAACTGACTCTTTCCCAATTGATTCAAGTATATGTGCAGATCAGTACTGCATTTGTCCTTTCAGAAGCAGACCACTACCAAATCTTTTTGAGCAGATGTCAGAGTAGGTTTCAACACAGTACATTATATGACCCTGCCAAAGTGTATAGCCACCTTTCTACTTACATAAAACACAACTTGAATCTTTACTTTCAAACTTCCCATGCCTTTAAAATTTGTGACACTGTAGAAGCTAGTATTTCATTAAGGTTATTTTATACATTTTCTTTCTCTGGAAGGACAATTTGTTTAGGAATTAACAAAATTGCTTCTAAATTAGTAATATCTGTTTGGCAGAGGTTCTGAATAATACCATCTCCATGAAATGAAAGAGAAATGTTAAATTATCGCTATAATACTAAAAATCTATTAAGTTATTACATGAGTTCTAACCCCAATTTTGTTTCATTAGCACAAGAAAATCATGATCATTGTAAAGCTCTTAAGCCAAAAGAATAGAAACAAAGGTGAAAGATTATTGTAATTATATTCTTATATTTTTTAATCAAAGAAATATCTAATATCTTATTTTGTTTTCATAATGAATATTTTTTAAATGAAAAAGGAAATGTTACTTAAACCTCTTTCTTAGGGGTATGTGCATTCAAACACTTTATAAGATGCAGATTAGAGCTACTGCTTTCAAATGTAGTGTGCATTTTTCTCCAATAATTTGCTCTAAGTGGAGCACTTAGTCCATTTTGGGAATAAATGAATCTAGTCTTTTAGAAGAAGAAATCTTGATTCTTAAATTACATCCATATATTTTCAATATGGTTTTTAGGCAACCAACAAATAAAGGACTTTTTTAATGCAATGGAGGTTAAACTGTGGCTTGTCAGGATATATGGATGTCACAACAAGGCACCTGATACAGTTATTGATGACTTTTTGTCATTACTTTCTCACCAGAAAATATTTTGCTCTCCTTCTTTCCTTCCTTTCTGTTTTCCTTCCTTCCTTTCTTCTTTCCTTCTTTTCTTCCTTCATCTCTTTCCCCTTTCCTTCTCCTCTTCCTTCATCTCTTTCCCCTTTCCTTCTCCTCTTATTTGTATGTCCTAGAAAGCAGCAAGGTTTATAGCACAGTGTTTAAAAATGCAGGGTTCACCAATCACTGACCATACATGAGGTGACTTTAGGTAGTATACGCACGCAAACTTTTTTATTTTAATGAAAATATATTTCCTTACTATGTATTAGAAAAATATAAAACTAGCATATCAAAATTGAAATTGTATAGATACTATTACTTCAAACAGGGCTAAAATAGAGATATAACAAAAGTAAAATATGTTTTTAATGTTCAAGTAAACAATAGCAAGGGGGATAAAGAGATATAGCAAAATCTGGGTTTTGCCTACCTGGTTGTTTTATACATGAATGACTAAGTTTGAGATATAACATTGAACTGGGGATCAGAAAGTTTGGGTTGTCAAACTGACTTTGCTACTAGCAAGGTAAGGGACCTTGGGCAAGTCACTTCAACTCTACAGACAGTGTTACAATTCCATTACTTTAACTCAGGTGGGAGTGGTGGGGGGCAGTCATTGATGTGTCGGATGGGTCATTTGAAAGCAGATAATAATTAGAAGTGCAAGATATTTATTGGGAGTAATACCTGTGAAAGATAAAAGGGAAAGGGACATAAGTAGGCAGGGAGAGCTTCAGACCACAATACAGGTCTATACCAGTAACAGAAGGGAAAAGGAAGCAAGTTTAATAGGAAAAGCTTCAGACTGTGCTGTAGCATTGATAAAATCTTGGCCAACACAACTAGGAGATCAGTTCAAAAGATAGCTCATAGAGGAGTCCTATGCTTCTTCCAAATGGCAAATCATTTCATCCCGACTTTGCTCAGTCATTAGCTGGCAGCAGCCCAGAAAGCACACACCTTCCACTTGAAAAACTGAGGCAGATCTGAAGGTACCTGAAGCTGGAGGTTGTCAGCTAACTTAATTCTTTGAGACAGATTTTGTCTTAAAGAGCGATCTGAGCCGTGCATAAGAATGGCTATCTCATTTGGCCTACCATGACCGATGATCTGTAAAGGCCTTTCCCATTCTATAATTCCAACTGGGTCTCCTTATTTCTACTGACAAACTTTTTTATTTTTTTTATTTTTGTGGGTACATACTAGATGTATACATCTGTGGGTTATATGAGATATTTTCATACAGGCATGCAATGCACAATAACCACACCAGGATAAATAGGGTACCCATCATCTCAAGAATTTATCCTTTGCCTACTGACAATCTTTTAAATCAGCTTTTATTGCAATTTTGAGATCCAGACCTGACAAAAATTAAAGTCTATGGAGTGATAGAACTGAAAGAGAAAAATCACTAGGACAACGTTGGGAAAAAGAATGGTAAACTGAATCCTATACACACAACTCAGAATTATGAGACTTTGGGGGAATGTCTACTACAAGAACAAGCAAAGTCTGTTCCTTTAAAAATAAAGTAATGTATAGTATGATGTCAGTCTAAGTAATGAAAATGTGACTTCCTTTACCATGCTTTGAGCTGCCACCCTTTTTCTTCCTTTAGTGACCCTCTTTTCATTTGAATTCAGCCGTGTAAGTCCCTGTACTCTATATCAAATTGCATTTGGGTAATAGAGATAGGAGCTGCTGTTCATCTCTGATGATAATAATAATGAGCCAAATTATCCCTACTATGGTCCATGGTTCCCAGTTTTTTCAAAGCAGATAAAAATTACCCCAAATGCCTCCATCAAAGACAGACAGAGAGAGAGAGAGAGAGACAGAGACAGAGAACCAAAACTATTTAGAAGTAAGTTGGATGGTCAAGAAAAGGGGAAGTGGAGATAAGAAGATGTTTCCTTTCAAGATGAGCCAGCTGGATGAAAGCTGAGGGTGGATATCTATATACAAAAGAGCAAAGTCCAATGTGAGTCTTGGTGTTACAGACAGCACAAAACCACTGCTTTCTTCTACAAATGTAGAGTCAAGAATATTTAAGCTACTTAACTAAGCTTCCTGGAATCACTTCCTGCAGTTCCCTTTGATACTGAGCTCTATCTGGCAAAGACATCTTTGTACATTTACATGGAACTTCCCCTGGTAACAATCCTAAAGTGAGAAGACTTGGATATTCCATGAATGCTTTAACGAAGACCTCTCAGAGGTCAAGATGTACATTTCAGAGTGGACAATGAGCTGCAGAAAATTCTAGCTTGTTGAAATCCCGGAAAGAAACAGAAGATTTCACCAGGAGTACAACCCAGAGATGTGATCTACTCAGGCTAGAAGTGGACATCCCAATAGAGCAAGTAAGTCTCTTAGAAATTCTTGTATCAGTTGATGATGTCATTTTTTAGGAGTTGTTCTGTAATTAATTGTTGTTTTATCTTCCAGGACTCTCTCTAACATGGCGCTGTTTGTCAACGTTAGTCCCAGAATTAGCCATCATGTGTACAATCTGTCAGTCAAGCAGCCTCTCAATCTCTCATGGTAAGGTCCTGGATCTGGATGCTTTACACTGCATTGTCAGGCATGTTATGTAAAGTGATTTAGTTTTTTTCACCTATGTCAGTAATGATAGCTCAGTTACTGTGTGTAGAGCCCTAGAGTAATATTAGGAATAGATGCAAGGGCAGGAGGCAGTGTGGTATAATAATAATAAGAAGAAAAAAAAGCACGAGGCTAGGAGGTAGGAGTCAGGTTTGAATCCCAAGAATTCATCTAACTAGCTATATAGCAAACCAAACCCCTCTGAACCTGATTATCAATCTGTAAAATGCAGACGTAGACAAGATCAGTATTTCCCAAAATGTACATGAGATGATTTTAGATACTACATAGCAAAACTTCTCTTTTAACTTATTAGTTTTGAATGTATATTAAATACATATTGGAAAAACAACTATCCCAGCAATTCTGTGATTTTATAGATACCATTCCTTAGAATGAGGCTAAAGTAGATATATAGATAAAAGAAACTCAGTCAATGTAAATAAAAATATTAAGTAAATTATAGTTCGGATGGTCCACCTCTATGGCAAAAAATTGAAAAGGTGGTATACTAATGACTAGAATTTGGAAAATACACCACTGTCGCTTCTAGATCTACATTTCTTCCCTCTTGGAGTTCAGTTTGGGCCAGGGTAGGCCAGGTGAATGCTGAGGACACAAACAGGGAAGCAAAACCAGAGCCCCGTTATCCTTGGGGATATAAAGTTATAAGGCAGACTAAAGCTTTAAAATCAGTCCAAGGGGGCAAAAACCAAGATAGATATGAGTATTCTTAGCCAAGTTCTAAGCAGAGCTGAGGATCTGAAGGATCAATCAAAAACAGTCTAGCAGATTACACAGGGCAAATTGGATCTGGATTGAATGATCCAACAACAGATGTTCATCACTCCCCAAATAAGACCAAAAACAAAAACAAAACAAAACAAAAACCCACAAACAATTGAAGTGCCCAGGGGAGAACATGAGCCATAGCAGGGCTCATTCAGTGTTGCACCAGTTAACCACTGCCTTAGAAGACCTGACATTTTCCCTGCCTAGGTTGATACTGGTACCAGAGTTGGAGACAATTGCTGACCCTTTAAGTGGAGGAATTTAGGTAATGTCTGCTGTTAGCAGTAGAGAGCTACAGGCAATCAAACAGGTCATTGTGCAAGAAGAGAAAATAGAAGAAAGTTCATCTATCTTATATTCCTCTCTGATGTGTTAGCTGTTTTCTTTAGACTTTCATTTAATTTTCTCAGAACTTCTATGAGGAGAGACTTCTTGCCCACCCACCTTCCTAAGCCTTTTACATATCAGAAAATGGACTCAGAAAATATATATAACTTGCCCAAAGTCTCATAGCTAATCCATTGCCAAACTAAGTTTTCTATCTAGATTGGTAACACTCTTAGTAGAGCACCTCGCTCTTCCCACTTTACCCACCCAAGCTTCTCAGTGAGATAGAAAGCCAGCACCACAAAGGTCACATAAAAGCATTTGCAAAGACACAAATGTAAATAAATGAAGCACAAGCTCTAAATTTATGAGGATGAAGTGATCAGAGATAAAAAGGGCTTTTAAAAACAAGGACACGTTGGGCCGGGAGCGATGGCTCATGCATGTAATCCTAGCACTTTGGGAGGCCGAGGTGGGTGGATCACGAGGTCAGCAGTTCAAGACCAGCCTGGCCAATATGATGAAACCCTGTCTCTACTTAAAAAAAAAAAAAAAAAAAAAAAAAACTTAGCCAGGCATGGTGGCATGTGCCTGTAGTCCCAGCTACTTGAGGGGCTGAGGCAGAAGAATCGCTTGAACCTGGGAGGTGGAGGTTGCAGTGAGCTGAGATCGTGCCACTGCACTCCAGCCTGGGTGACGGAGCAAGACTCTGTCTCAAAAAAAAAAAAAAAAAAGGACACCTTTGTGAATCTGGTTTTGAAAAAAACCATCCAAAAGCCCAACATGAACTGTATCTTAACAGGCATCAATTACATCCCCATCACTCCCTGCTGTCTAACCATTTTCCTTCCCTCCTCTCTCTCTCTCTCTCTCTCTCACACACACACACACACACACACACACACACACACACACACACACACATTTTCATTCCCCTTTTTTCTTATGCTTCGTCTTCTCTCTCCCTCCTCATCCAACCTCACTTATGCCAGAAAATAATGATGGAAGGGGGGTACTAGATGACATCTAATTTTTCCAAAATTTTACTAAAACAAGAGCATTACTCATAAGATTGAACCCAAACAGGCAGCCAGGAGCTTCAACAAGCTTGAGGAAGTGAACTCTGCAGCTCACCAGATCTCAGAATGTACTTGAAAAACAGAAGGGCCTATTTTGCTTAGAGAGAAAACAAGTTTAAATAAGATTTAGTTATGCTGTTTTGCTTGCCAATAACAACTATTCCCTTCTCTCTTCCCCTTCCAGGTCTTCTTCTTCTGTTCTCTACTTTCCCTTTCTTTGTTCCGACATTTTTTATGTTCTAAATAAAAAATTCAAATGCTCAAAGCCACGTGTTGTGATCACTGACACCTCAGCAGATGGCATGTAAACACAGAGCTCACTGGGCTGGAGCCTGGCTTTGCAGGCAAGGGAGGTGGGCTTGCAGGTAAAAATTCCCCCTGGTCCCAAATGCCAGGGAGCCCAGTCACCTCTCCTGGTGCACAACTTCTCTGGTAGCTCAGGATTCACTTTCTTCTCCAAATGGAAATGGTACATAGAACACCAAGGGAATGAGGAGTGGGGACTGGGCTGGTTTCCAACTTCCTGCCATGCATTTCAAAAGCCACAGGCATTTGTCAGCTTAAAGTTGCGAACTCTGAGACTCCTATTCTCTCTCTCCCAAAATGCCTTTATTATAGTCAACCACTGCACTGTGTCTCTCTTCTCTCTCTCCCCTGCCTGAAATTAACAAGGAAAGATCATTTCCTACCCAATGTTATAGCAAGATGAATTAAAAGCATTTTATCTTCTCCCCAAACTCTCAGATTATGTCCTCTAAAACAGTGCTTCCTAAACTACCTGTGAAGAAGAACCAGTTTTTCCCCCCAAGATCTTCATGGACCAGTAAACATGCAACAAAAATAAATTACTTAAAAAATGAAATAAGCAAAATAAGATATATAAAATATAAGTTCAGTATTTTTAGTATTACATTCAATAGCCATTATATTACCCTGTCAAGTTCCTATGAAGGTTGGTAAAGACTTACCCTCCATTTCTTTCCTTATATCATCTCAGACTGGTAACAAACAATGAACCAGCACCAGTCTGCACACATTTTGAGTAGCACTGCTCTGAAGGTCTTTACAGTAAGTGTTTTTTTCTATATATACCACTGTATGTCCAACAACTTGTTCACTTCACAGCAAGGAAAACAGAGTGTATTGTCCTTAAGAACCTTATAATTGTATTGTTCAGACCAGACTTGCATAGCTTATGATAATTGCCACTGAGATAGAACAGGTGCTGGGACAATGAATAAAGAGAAGGCAGATTGTGGAAGTCAATACCGTGGAAGTCTGCATAGTGTAGCCAGAGAAGGCCTTTCAGAAAAGGTGACTTTGAAACCATAATCTGAAAGAGGAGAAAGATTCAGCTACATGACGAAACAGGGAGAGTTCATGCATAGGGAACAGTACATGTCAAAGTCCTGAGGCAGAAAACAGCTTGATGTCTTCCCTGAACAGTCAGAAGGCAATTTTGGGTAGAGCAGAATGAGTGACAGGACAGATTAGATGCCAGGTGGAAGAGTTTTACCCTTTTTTCAACAGCAACAGAAGGCCCATTGAAGAATTTCAAGCAGGGAAGGGGTATGATCTGATTTATGCTTTTTTAAAAATCCGTGTCAAATGGATGAGTTTTATGTGATATAAATTATACCTCAATGAAGCTGTTAGTAAAAAAAAAAAAGAGAGAGAGAGAGAGAGAGATCAGTGGCTATTTCCCCATTAATAGAACTTATGCCACGTTGTAATTATTTATTTATTCATACAAATAACCCCCACTGAACTGAAGTGCCATGAGGGCAAGGACCAAGTTTGAGATGGCTCGCCATTGTAACAGCTAGCACTTAATAGGTTTCTAAGTATGTTTGTTGGTCAGACTAGAGAATAAAATCATGAGTGAACAATATAAGCAACTTGTAATCAAGTACTAATTTATATGGTGTAATTGTCAACTCTACACATTGTATCCTCCCAGGAGGATGGATCTGCTTTCTAGAAAAAGACTTGTGTCTCTCATTAGCAATCTGACAACTTGAATCACCACAATTACTATGCATTTCTTTACTGAAGCATCACCCAGATGAACAGTACAAATGGCACCAAAGGCAGAGCCAGTCTTCATCCAAAATGTGAGATAGATAGTTGTCTTTGGCAGCCTTCCAACCCTCATTCTACTGCTTTTATCTTTCCTATAGGCAAGCCACCTTTTCTCACCCATAATCTATCATCAACTCCTAAAAGTCACCCAACTTATCTTGTCTCTGTTTTCCCCCTGTACAAAATGTGCCCTAATAATAGTACTGTATGAAGGAAAACTCCACATCATACCTTGAAAATAAATGCACTTAATGTAAGCCTTGGATATATTTATTTCCAACTCTCAAATATCCACACTTCCAAAAGTAAAGTGAAATTCAGTATGTGAAAATCAACAAAGATGGGATAATACCAAAGTCATTTGGATCTTTGGAAGACTGAATTGTCGGGCTATTCTCAAATCATGGATGGTCTGTGTTTGGATGACAGTTGTGTAACCAGTGTCTATGTGAAAGATGGCTTTGGAGAGTTAATCAACAGAAGCTTACAAGACCCTGCATGAACTGCTTAGGCATAAAGGTCATGTTGGTTTTATATAGCTGCATTCAGATGTGAGCAAACATGCACTGATCAAACAAACAGACATGATATGATTGAGAAGTGGTGCAATTTATGAAATATAGCAGAACCTACAAATCAAAATGGGTAGTTTCCGTTTCAGAAGAATCACTTCTGGATATTATACCCATATTTCTAACAAATATCACCATTGTTACACAGAAGCAGTCAAGTGTACAGAAAACTTAGAACGCAGAGAGTGAGAAAGCAGAATTTCAATTCACCCTATCTATGAGCAGTAGGATTGCTTCCAATCTGTCCCTGCCTTCTCTCATATCTTTTAATCTCTTCCCACTGCACACAAAGATTACCGTTCAAACCAAAGAAAAGGATACTAACATGGCTAGCCAACAAAACCATTGATTGCAACCAAATAGAATTGGTGAAATGCAAACAGCACTAGAATTCGATAAGTTTAGTCCAAGCACACAAAAATCATTGAATTTGTAATCAACCCTTAATTATTAAAATCCTTATGAAATAATAAGATAGGCTTAACAGAAATTCCATAGCACAACAGGAAATTTGGGACCTTAGAGTCACTTAGCACCTATGTTGTAGAGTATACACATATACTTATTGCACAGAAGGCATGGGAAGTCATGCAATAATAAGACAAAAATCCATAAACAGTCATCCATATGTACAATAGCCTATGTAATCATTGGGAAGGGGGAGGATAAAGGAGCACAATTAGCCCCCTTACTACCTAGTAGAAGATACAGGGACAAATTTGATATAGATGTTCTTAACCATTATTTCACTAATTGAAAATGTTAGCAAGGATGCAGAAAAAAGGGAATGCTTGCACATTGTTAGTGGGAATGTAAATTAGTGCAGCCATTATGGAAAACAGTATGGAGGTTCCTCAAAAAACTGAAAATAGAACTACCATATGATCCAGTAATCCCATTGCTGGGCATATATCCAAAAGAAACAAATCAGCATATTGAAGAGTTATCTGCACTTTATGTTTACTGCAGCACTATTCACAATAATCAAGAAGTGGAATCAATCTAAGTGTCCATGAACAAATGGATAAAGGAAATGTGGTATATGTACACAACGGAATACTATTTAGCCATAAAAGGGTGGAAATCCTGTCACTGTGACATTCATTTGGATGAATCTAAAGGACATTATGTCAAGTGAAATAAGCCAGGCACAAAAAGACAAATACCACGTGATCTCACGTATATGTGGAATCTTAAAACGTTGAACTCATAGAAGTAGAGAGCAGAATGGTGGTTACCAGAGGCTAGGGGGTGAGGAGAGAGGGAATGAGGAGTTGTTAATAAACAGGTCCAAAGTTTCAGACAGGCAGTAGGAATAGGTTTTGAGAGCTATTGCACAGCAGGGTGCAATAACAATGCATCATATATTTCAAACTAAGAGGGTAAATTTCAAATGTCTCACCTTAAAAAATTGTAGGTAAGCAAGGTGATGGATATGTGAATTAGCTTGATCTAATCATTTCACATTGTATATGTATATCAAAACATCACATTGTACCCCATAAATGTACACAATTATGATTTGTCAATCACAATAATATTAATAATTAAAAAAGAAAGAAAGGAAAGAAAAGAAAATGGTTCTTGAAGAATGAAATTTCAATAGAGGCACCTAAAGTTGTAAGTAATAAAGTAGGGGCCCTTTGTAGGCAAAGAGAACAAAGATACCAATGTTAAAAGAGTGCATGATGTGGCTAGAGCATGAGGTCTGTTGAAGGAAATGGTGTAGATGAGGCCAGGGGAGCAGAAGATAACAGATAATGGAAATCCTTGAAAATGAAGTTAAGATATTTGGCTGTTAATAGAAAGTAGGGACTCATTGCAGTCCTTTGAGAAAGGAGTCTTATACACTAACTGGTATTTTAGGAAGGTAAATTTATTATGTGAAGAATAAACTGGAGAGGGAAAAAAAAAGAAATCAGAGCACCAACTAGGAAGCTAGGACAATAATCTAGGCCAGTGGTTCTCAAACCCTCTTGTACTTCAAAATCACCTGTTGAATTAGATGCTTGGGCCTCATACTCCGTAAGTCTAAATTAGAGAAAGGGATACAAAAAGAAGAGATTTTAAAGGAATGTAATCACCTTGCTTTGGGGCACATTCTTTTTTTATTTTTTTTAAGTGAAAGCAAGTTTATTAGGAAAGTAAAGGAACAAAGAATAGGCAGAGCAGCCCCTAGGGCTGCTGGTTGCCCATTTTTATGGTTATTTCTTGATTACATGTTAAACAAGGGGTGGATTATTCATGAGTTTTCTGGGAAAGTGGTGGACAATTCCCAGAACTGAGGGTTCCTCCCCATTTTAGACCATAGGGTAACTTCCTGACATTGCCACGGCATTTGTAAACTGTCATGGCGCTGGTGGGAGTGTAGCAATGAGGACAACCAGAGGTCGCTCTCATTGCTATCTTGGTTTTGGTGAGATTTAGCAGGCTTATCAGCAAGTTCTTTATGACCCATATCTTGTGCTGACCTCCTATATCATCCTGTGACTTAGAATGCCTAACCACCTCGGAATGCAGCCCAGTAGGTCTCAGCCTTATTTTACCCAGCCCCTACTCATGATGGAGTTGCTCTTGTTCAAATGCCTCTGACATTTCTCCTCTCCCTTTTATAAGAGAACCTTTAATCCTAAGGGTTCTCCTTCGTAGAAGGATGAAGATTCATCTTCTGTAACTTCTTTAGGCTGAATAGGGCAATGATATTCCCGCTTAACTATTGGTTCCCTTGCATTTGGGGTAGAGAGGAGCTCAGTCAAAATGCTGACTTGGTATGTCAAGGGCCATTTATAACTCTTGAGTTCCAACAAAAGGTGATATCTGGAAAATTATTAAGTGTTCAATTTAAGAGAACATTGAGTAAGCTTATCCTGCATTCCTACACGTAGAGTGTAACAGCAATATATTCCACAACAGTAAAGCAAAATAAGCCAAATTATTCCAAGTAAACTAAATAAGAAGGCTTTCCATGAACTGGGAAACTGTTGGAACCAAGCTGATATGGGGTTGCTAGCTGACTCCAGTATGTAAGGCACATTCTTTTTACAACGCACATGGAATATGTAAGTTAATTTAGTCAGCAGGTGGTTAGAGAAGGGAGTTTTAGAGATATGAGAAGGTTTAATTGGAGAGTCATTGGTATCTTATTCAAAGTGAATTCAGGTTGAAAATGCCAAAATAAAATAAGAAATTAATTTGTTTTACAGACTCTAAAGCCTCAAAATGTAACAAGTTCATTTTCTGAGGTATTTGTGTGGTAAATGTCATCCTTTTGAAAAAGCAGATTCTCAGAGCCCGACTTTATGAAAAATCATGAGTATCCCCATAGTCAAACACTCAAAATTAAAAATATAAAAAGGCAAATAAAAAAGAACAAAAAATTCTAATGTCTTTGGGTAGACGAGAAATGCCAGAAGAAGGTACTTGTTTTCAAGCAGAAAATGAACTGCTGAAGCAGTCTATGATTCAGTGAAGGGAGAAAGCAGTTGCTGCAAAACAGCTTAAACAAAAGGAACCATTGTTTCTCGCAAAAATATCAAGTCTACTGAAACACATTTTGTTTTCGGTAAAAATGCTATTTTAAAATATATTATTTTAATACCAGATGAAATTCAGTGAGGAAATAGAATTCATGACACAGAAATTTCCTTTGAAGTCAAACTTGTTAAAAATGTATCATGTATTAAATAAAAAGATGTGGGTTCTCTCTTTTTTTTGTTTTTTGTTTTTTGTTTTTTGTTTTTTTGAGACAGAGTTTTGCCCTGTCACCCAGGCTGGAGTGCAGTGGCGTGATCTCCACTCACTGCAACCTCCGCCTCCTGGGTTCAAGCAATTCTGCTGCCTCAACCTCCTGAGTAGCTGGGATTACAGGCACCCACCACCACATCAGGCTAATTTTTGTATTTTTAGTAGAAACGGAGTTTCACCATGTTGGCCAGGCTGGTCTAGAACTGCTAACCTCAGGTGATCCGACTACCTCAGCCTCCCAAAGTGCACGGATTACAGGCATGAGCCACCGTGTCCAGCCTTCTGGATGTTGTTTGTTTGTTTGTTTGTTTTTTCTGAATAGTCGTCATTGGATGAGGAGTTCAGGTCAAGCATTTAAACCCTGAAACAAAAGTCAGAACAAACTAAAAAGACTTAAGAACATGAAACCAAATGTCAACTTTGTTTGAGCCAAGGACATGAATTAAAAAGTAAAAACTTGTAAAATCGTTTATCATGTATTTAAACTAGTAATCATATACTTTTTTCTAAAGACTTGGATTTTCTGATAATAAAAATATCTGTCTGTGTTCACATATATTGCTGTCTGGTCACTGCTCTACTTCTACTCACAACAGCATTCATTATACAAGGGAAAAAATGGAATATAGGGAGGAGGCTGGGCTGTGGGACAGAGAGAAGTCTGAGTGACAGTAATTGGAGTGTGTCTGATAGGCAGATGCTTCATGGGACTAGTCGGAACTGATTGGCTGAGGGAGCTATGTCCCACTCGTGGGTGTTATTATCAGAGAGGAGGAGTGAGAATGGAACTTTCTGGAAAAGGTCACATGATAAAGAGGACCAGTAAGAGGTAGCTTCACGAATGGAGTCTGAGCCAGCTAGCTATGGAGAATAATTTGACAGCTGGCAGGCAGACAGGTAGGATATGTACCTTCCTCTACTGCTCCCTACCCCTTAAAACCCCATCTCTTTCTGCTTTTACCTCTCGGGTCTGGGTATTGAAGGCCTAATGCTGTTTCATTCAATTTTTACAGAAGTTTTAGGAAACCAGGGACTCTAAATTCTCCGACATGGTGAACTGTGGGTGGCCATCTCCAACTGCTGGTGATGCCAGAAACGAAGGCAATGGGGAACCAGGAGGCAATACACACCTTCCTTTAGCTAGAAGCTGTCTCCTAAAATATCTGTCTCTACATATTACCCCCACCCTTTCCCTTTCCACTTTTACCTAATGGCTTTCAAGTGACAAAAACTGTGTGGGCAATTTTACAAAAGTTTCAGAAAGGCCAGACATTTCAATTTCTCAAAAGAGTGAAGTGGCAAGTCCCACTGTAGATCATAATACAAAAAAAAAAAAAAAAATTGGCCAAGAGCTAGGAAACTCTAATAATTTAGCTAATCATTTAGCCAGATTATATGAGCATTTAGCCAGATATTCATATAATAGCCATCTCTACATTCCTTAACCTTCTCCTGATAGAGATTGGTGCCGGATAGCAAATTCTGTTACAATAATTTTTTGGTAGGGTTTAAAGAAAACAGGGGATCAAAATTCCCAAAAGTGCAGACTTTGGGTGGCAAACATCAAGTAAAAATTACCAAAAGGGAAAAAAGCAAAAAGGAGCCACTAACTTTTAATATCTCCCACCCTTCCACTCTCTCCTCTCCTCCTTTCCCCTTTTACTTACTGTATGTGTGATACTCAGATCTGTTGATTTAATGTCTTAACAGAGGTTTTATGTGGATTCTTCCTCAATTTTCCAAACTCAAGGACTGCGAATTGGAAGCTCACAAAAGGAAATGTAGCAACATGCTATGAGCAAGAATAATCATTTAAAATAAAAGGATAGGCAGAAGAGAGCCAAGAGCCAGGCAACCTCTGTCCCATAGGCAAAACATCTCTCTTTTTTGTAGGCTAGTCAAGTGCAGCAGTGGGAGTACAGAAGGCACTAGAACTTTTCTCTTAATACAACTATGCCTACCATTCATCCCTTTTTTCCCAGTTGCTCAGATCCTCAATTCCTGTCGAAGATTCGCTGGCCAGCTCTGCTGAATTAGTGTCTTTGCTGAGATGATAGGGAGCGTCTGGCCTCAATTTTCAAAATGTTGTATGCACTGTGCTTGTCCATGACTCCAATAATGTCTAGCGATATGTGAAAGAAAACAGAATATATTTTAAAACAATAGAGTAGAGATGGAAGGTGGACTAAGAGCCAGGCATGTCTGCCTCTCAGCCAGCAACTGTCTCCGAACTTCCTTCTTTCTACTGTTATTCTTTACCTTTTTCTTTGATCTGTTTACCTATTTGATCTGTATGGTGGCCATTTCTGCTATGTTAGTTGTTTTACAGAGGTTTTAGAGCTACTTGGCATTTATATCCAAACTTGAGGTCAGTGTGTTATCAACTCAAAAAAAGAAATCTAGCAAGAGTTATGGATAAGAAAAATGTCTTAAAAATAATGAGATTCTAGGTGAATAAGGACCAGGAACCAGCCAACTTCTGCTCTTAGACAGGATCCCTACATTCTACCAGTGACCTTAATCCCTTTATTTTCCTTTTATCCTCTAGGTGTTCAGTGGACATTTCCACTGCATTAATGTCTTTATAGTGTTGAGTGGGACTTGGGTTCAGTATTCGCACCTACAATTCGCAAGTGGTCAGCTAAAGAAGTGAAACCTAAAAATAATTTATGAACAAATGAAATGTCTTAAAGATATTGTGATAGGAGCCAAAACAGGATTAGGAGCCAGCAAACTGCTGTCCTTCATACAAAAGTGGTCTTCTAATAAGCCCCTTTTTAACACACACCCATCCTACTTTTCCTTCTCCCTCTTACTTCCAGGATATGGGGTGGTCATGCTGCTGCATCAATTACCTACATGAAATTGTTGGGAGACTCTAATCTCAGTTTTCTATACACTGCTGACTGTATTTACTCATGTCAGCTACACCATTTAGCAATATGAGATGGAAAAGACAACATGCTTTGAATCACATTAGAAGGTACACAGGGAAACCAAGAGTAAGCCAACTTCTGCCCAATAGTCAGTACCACTCTCCTGCCTTCCTTCACTCTGCCAACGACCTTCACACATTTGTTTTTCCCATTTCCCTTTCAGGTTTTCAGTGGTCACTTCTGTTGCATTATTTTGTTTATAGAGATTTCAGTGGGGCTTGGGAAAATATTCCCACCTGAATCTCTGCAGGTAATCAGAAGTAAGGCCTAGGAATAATGTATTTTATTTTATTTTATTTTATTTTAAAGGGTTTTTTATTTTTAATTTTTGTGAATACATCATAGGTATATATATATGTGTGTGTGCATATGTGTATATATATATGTGTCATATATATATATGGTACATGATATATTTTGATACAGGCATGCAATGTATAATAATCACATCATGAAACATTGGGTATCCATCCCCTCAAGCATTTATCTTTTGTGTTACAAGCCAATTATCCTCTTTTAGTTATTTTAAAATGTATAAGTAGGTTTTTATTGACTACAGTCACCTTGTCGTGTAATCAAATACTAGGTCTTATTCATTCTAACTTTTTTTTTATTAATCATCCTTGTCTTCCTCCCACCCACCCCCACTACCCTTCCCAACCTCTGATTACCATCCTTCTCTATGGCCATGAGTTCATTGCTTTGATTTTTAGAGCCCACAAATAAGTTAAAGCATGTGATATTTGTCTTTCTGTGCCTGGCTTATTTCTCTTAGCATAATGACCTCCAGTTCCATCCATGTTGTTGCAAATGACAGGATCTTATTCTTTTTTATGACTGAATAGTACTCCATTGTATATATTTATCACATTTTCTTTATCCATTCATCTGCTTGTGGACCCTTAGGTTGCTTCCAAATCTTGGCTATTGTGAACACTGCTGCAACAAACATGGGAGTGCAGGTATCTCTTTGAGATCCTGATTTCCTTACTTTTGGGTATATACCCAGCAGTGGGATCGCTGGATCTTATAGACGACCTATTTTCAGTTTTTTAAGGAACCTCCAAACTGTTCTTCATAGCGGTTGTATTAATTTACATTCCCACCAACAGTATATGAGGATTCCCTTTTCTCCACATCCTCACCAGTATTTTTTATTGTCTGCCTTTGTATAAAAGCCATTTTAACTGGGGTGAGATGATATTTCATTATAGTTTTGACTTTGCATTTCTCTGATGATCAGTAATGTTGATCACCTTTTCATATGCCTGTTTGCCATTTGTATCTCTTCTTTTGAGAAATATATATTCAAATCTATTGCCCATTTAAGGAATTGGATTAGATTTTTTTTCCTATAGAGTTCCTTATATGTTCTGATTATTAATCCCTTATCAGATGAGTAGTTTGCAAATTTTTTCTCCCATTCTGTGGGTTGTTTCTTCACTTTGTTGGTTGTTTCCTTTGCTGTGCAGAAGCTTTTTAACTTAATGTGATCCCATTTGTCCATTTTTGCTTTAGTTTCCTATGTGTGTAGAGTGTTACTCAAGAAATTTTTGCCCAGACCAACGTCCGGGAGATTTTCCCCAATGTTTCATTGTAGTGGTTTCATTATAGGAGGTCTCAGATTCAAGTCTTTAATCCATTTTGATTTGATGTTTGTATAAAGTGAGAGATAAAGATCACGTTTCATTATTCTACATATGGATATCCAGTTTTCCCAGCACAATTTATTGAAAAGACTGTCTTTTCCCCAATATATGTTCTTGGCATCTTTGTTGAAAATGAGTTAACTGTAGGTGTGTGGATTTGTTTCTGGGTTCTCTATTCTGTTACATTGGTCTGTATGTTTTTATGCCAGTATCATGCTGTTTTGGTTACTGTAGCTCTGTAGTATAATTTGAAGTCAGGCAATGTGATTCCTCCAGTTCTGTTCTTCTTTCTCAGGATAGCTTTGGCTATTCTGGGTCTTTTGGGATTTCATATAAGTTTTAGGATTGTTTTTTCTATTTCTATGAAAAATGCCTTTGGTATTTTGATAAGGATTGTATTGAATCTGTAGATTTCTTTGAGTAGTATGGACATTGCAACAATATTGATTCTTCCAATCCATGAACATGGAATATCTTTCCATTTTTTGTGTGTCCTTGTGAATTTCTTTCATCAGAGTTTTATAGCGTTCATTGCAGATATCTTTTACTTTTTTGGTTAAGTCATTTCCTAGGTATGTAACTTTATTTGTGGCTATTATAAATGGTAATTTTTAAATTTCCTTTTCAGATTGTTCATTGTTGGCATATAGAAATGCTACTGATTTTCATATGTTAATTTTCTATCCTGCAACTTTCTTGAATTCGTTTATCAGTTCTAAAGTTTTTTGATGAAGTCATTAGATTTTTCCAAATATAAGATCATATCATCTACAAAGATAATTTGGATAATTTGACTTCTTCTTTTCCAGTTTGGATGGTCTTTATTTCTTTTTTTTTTCTTTTTTATATTTATATATATACCTTAAGTTCTAGGGTACATGTGCACAACATGCAGGTTTGTGCCATGTTGGTGTGCTGCACCCATTAACTCATCATTTACATTAGGTATTTCTCCTAATGCTATCCCTCCCCTAGCCCCCCACCCCACAACAGGCCCCGGTGTGTGATGTTCCCTGCCCTGTGTCCAAGTGCTCTCATTGTTCAATTCCCACCTATGAGTGAGAATATGCGGTGTTTGGTTTTCTGTCCTTGTGATAGTTTGCTCAGAATGATGGTTTCCAGCTTCATCCATGTCCCTACAAAGGACATGAACTCATCATTTTTTATGGCTGCATAGTATTCCATGGTGTATATGTGCCACATTTTCTTAATCCAGTCTATCATTGATGGACATTTGGGTTGGTTCCAAGTCTTTGCTACTGTGAATAGTGCCACAATAAACATATGTGTGCATGTGTCTTTATAGTAGCATAATTTATAATCCTTTGAGTATATACCCAGTAATGAGATGGCTGGGTCAAATGGTATTTCTAGTTCTAGATCCCTGAGGAATCGCCACTGTCTTCCACAGCGGTTGAACTAGTTTACACTCCCACCAACAGTGTAAAAGCATTCCTATTTCTCCACATCCTCTCCAGCACCTGTTGTTTTAATGATCGCTATTCTGACTGGTGTGAGATGGTATCTCATTGTGGTTTGGATTTGCATTTCTCTGATGACCAGTGATGATGAGCATTTTCTCATGTGTCTGTTAGCTGCATAAATGTCTTCTTTTGAGAAGGGTCTGTTCATATCTTTTGCCCACTTTTTGATGGGGTTGTTTGGTTTTTTTCTTGTAAATTTGTTTAGGTTTTTTGTAGATTCTGGATATTAGCCCTTTGTCAGATGAGTAGATTGCAAAAATTTTCTCCCATTCTGTAGGTTGCCTGTTCACTCTGATGGTAGTTTCTTTTGCTGTGCAGAAACTCTTTAGTTTAATTAGATCCCATTTGTCAATTTTGGCTTTCGTTGCGATTGCTTTTGGTGTTTTAGACATGAAGTCCTTGCCGATGCCTATGTCCTTAATGGTATTGTCTAGGTTTTCTTCTAGGGTTTTTATGGTTTTAGGTCTACAATTTAAGTCTTTAATCCATCTCGAATTAATTTTTGTATAGGGTGTAAGGAAGGGATCCAGTTTCAGCTTTCTACATATGGCTAGCCAGTTTTCTCAGCACCATTTATTAAACAGGGAATCCTTTTCCCATTTCTTGATTTTGTCAGGTTTGTCAAAGATCAGATGGTTGTAGATGTGTGGTGTTACTTCTGAGGCCTCTGTTCTGTTCCATTGGTCTCTATCTCTGTTTTGGTGCAAGTACCATGCTGTTTTGGTTACTGTAGCCTTGTAGTATAGTTTGAAGTCAGGTAGCGTGATGCCTCCAGCTTTGTTATTTTTGCCTAGGATTGTCTTGGCAATGCAGGCTCTTTTTTGGTTCCATATGAACTTTAAAGTAGTTTTATCCAATTCTGTGAAGAAAGTTATTGGTAGCTTGATGGGGATGGCATTGAATCTATAAATTACCTTGGGCAATATGGCCATTTTCACGATATTGATTCTTCCTATCCATGAGCATGGAATGTTCTTCCATTTGTTTGTGTCCTCCTTTATTTCGTTGAGCAGTGTTTTGTAGTTCTCCTTGAAGAGGTCCTTCACATCTCTTGTAAGTTGGATTCCTAGGTATTTTATTCTCTTTGTAGCAATTGTGAATGGGAGTTCACTCATGATTTGGCTCTCTGTCTGTTATTGGTGTATAGGAATGCTTGTGATTTTTGCACATTGATTTTGTATCCTGAGACTTTGCTGAAGTTGCTTATCAGCTTAAGGAGATTTTGGGCTGAGATGATGGGGTTTTCTAAATATACAATCATGCCATCTGCAAACAGGGACAATCTGACTTCCTCGTTTCCTAACTGAATACCCTTTATTTATTTCTCTTGCCTGATTGCCCTGGTCAGAACTTCCAACACTATGTTGAATAGGAGTGGTGAGAAAGGTGGATGCTCTTTATTTCTTTCTTTTGTCTGATTGATCTAGGTAGGACTTTCAGTACTATGCTGAATAACAATGAAAGTGGGCATCCTTGTCATGTTCTAAGTCTTAGAGGAAATGCTTTCCATTTTTTTTCCCTCCATTCTGTACAATACTAGCTGTGGGACTGTCATATGGCTTTTATTATGTTGAGGTATGTTCCTTCTATACCCAGTTTTTTTAGGGTCTTTATCATGAAGGGATGTTGAACTTTATCAAATGCTTTTTCACCATCTATTGAAATGATCATATGGTTTTTGTCCTTCATCGTGTTGATATGATGTAACATATTGATTAATTTGTATATGTTGAACCATCCTTGCATCCCTGGGATAAATCCCACTTGGTCTTGATGAATGACATTGTTAACATATTGTTGAATTCAGTTTGCTGGTATTATGTTAAGGATTTTTGCATCAATATTTATCAGAGATATTGGCCTCTAGCTTTCTTTTTTTGATGTGTCTTTATTGGGTTTTGGTATCTGGTTAATACCGCCCTTGGAGAATAAGTTTGTAAGTCTAGGGATAATTTATGAGCAATTAAAATGCTTTTAAATGATACGATAGGAAAATGAGCAGGATAAGAGGCAGCCAACTTCACTTTGGCCTTTTTTTAAACCCTCTTAAATTCTGGATATCTTTTAGTGTTCTCTGTTATATTAGTTCTTTGCTGTAATTGCCCAAATAATCCAGTCTCAGTTTTCTGGACCTGCAGACTGTATTTGCGGATATCACCCTTAGAATCTAGCAATATGTGATGGAAAAGTGGCATGCTTTGGGCCACATTAGATGGGAAATAGATGAACCAGTAATCAGCCAACTCTCAACTTTAGTGAGCACTTATCTCCTAACTCTTCTTTATACCAATAACCTTTGCACATCTATTTTCACCTTTCATCTTCTAGATGTTCTGTGGTCATGTCTGTTGTCCTATTTTATTTATAGAGATTTCAGTCAGCTCAGCCAGCTATTCCCACCTCTGAGTCTTCAAGTGGTCATCTCAAGAAATGAAAAACTAGCAACAGTTTGTGAATAAGCTAAATGTCTTAAAGTGTTGTCATAGGCAATAAAGCAGGATCAAGAGCCAGCCAACCTGTAAAGTTTATGGAAAAATGGTCTCCTAATATTAACATTCCTAGCATACCACTGTCCCCTTCTTTCATTCTCTATCTTATGTCCTGGATATTGGTTACTAAGCTCTGCCACATTAGTGTCTTTACTTATGTTGTCTGAAGAATCTAGTCTCACTTTCCTGCACCTTGCACACTTTATTTGTGCATGTCAACCATACAATCTAGAAATATGTGACAGAAAAAAAAACAAAATATTTTAAAATAGAATAGAAGCAAGTGAACTAGGAGGCAGACAACTCCTGCTATTCAGAAAAAAAATTGGGCTTTCAGTGTTTGCCTCTTGCCACAACCTGCCCTTTTCTTATTTACACCCTTACATCCTGGGTATTTGGTAGGAAACCATCTTATATTCGTGTCTTTGCTAAAGTTGGCATAAGAATCTAGTCTCGGTTTTCTGTATCTGTAGACTGTGTTTGCACATATCATGATAGAATCTGGGAATATATGATAGAAAACATAATACACTTTGAACCATGTTAGAAAGGAAACTGGTGAATGAGGAGTCAGCCAACTCTTGCCCATCAGCCATCCCTTTTCTCCTAACTTCTTTATTTCTTCCAATGTTCTGAGTTTACTTTTCCCCTTTTATCTTTCAGGTATTTAGTGGTCATTTCTGTTGTGTTATTTATATAGAGAGATCAGTAGGGTTGGGCCAAATATTCTCACATTTTGGTCTGCAAGTGGTCAGCTCAAGAAGTGAAACCTGGGAAGAGGTTATGAACAAGTGAAATGCCTTCAAATGTTGTCATAAGAGGAAAGACAGCATCAGGTGCCAGCCAACTCCTGCCCTTTTACAAACTTTGTCTCCTAATATTCCTCTTCTTATCACTCCCCTCTTCTTTTCATTCACTCTTTTTTTTTTTTTTTTTTTGAGGCAGAGTCTTGCTCTGTCGCCCAGGCTGGAGTGCAATGGCGCTATCTCGGCTCACTGGAAGCTCCGCCTCCCGGGTTCACGCCATTCTCCTGCCTCAGCCTCCCGAGCAGCTGGGACTATAGGCGCCCGCCACCATGCCCGGCTAATTTTTTTTATATTTTTAGTAGAGACGGGGTTTCACCGTGTTAGCCAGGATGGTCTCGATCTCCTGACCTTGTGATCCGCCCGCCTCGGCCTCCCAAAGTGCTGGTAGTACAGGCGTGAGCCACCGCGCCTGTCCTCTTTTCGTTCACTCTTTTCCCTTGTGGATATTTGTTGGTCACTTCTGTTATATTACTTTCTTTGCTGAAGCTTTCCAGAGGCCGAAGTCTCTTTTGTAACTTGGAGTTTGTATTTGCATATATCAACAGTTGAATCTAACAATTTGTGGTATAAAGACATGCTTGAACCCAAATTAAATGGAAATAGGTAAACCATGAAATAGCCAATTCCCTCCCATTAGTTGTAAGTTCCTTATTTCTGTCTATGATATTTCTCATTTTATTTTCTCCTATTCCCACATGGATTTTTAAAATTATCTCTGTAACATTAGTATCTTTTGAGAGATTTGAGAGAGTTTCCACCTTGAAGTCTGAGGTCACAACATCAAACAGAGAAGCTTAGCAAGCATTATAGAAAAGTGAAATTCCTTAAAATAATTAAATAACAAGAAAGTATGAACCATGAGCCAGCCAATTTTTGTCTTTGTGCCAAACTATTTATCCTAACTTCCATCATCCTTTATAGCCCCTCCATCATCACCATTCTATTGCCTTCCTTATACACTCTGGTTGTTGTCTGGGCTCTTGTCTGTGTTATTGTCTTTATATTGGTTTCAAGGATTCACAGCTCAGCTTTACCACCTTGACTACTGTGGGTGTCTTGCATGATGAAAAAGATTTAACAAGATAGTATAAAAATGTGTATTCCCTTAATATTTTTGGATTTTATAAAAAGAAGTTCCAGAAATCATACACCTCCTGTCCTCTATCGAGATCCTCAATCCTAAAATAACTGTGATCCTCAGTCTCCCTATTTCACTTCACTTTTACATATATTCTCATGCTTGCTAAATGTTTCATGGTCACCTCTCCCCCATCAGTGTCTTTGCTAAGCCTGTGGGAAAAATCAGGCCTCTGTGTTCAATCTTGTGGACTACAGTTTCTTACAATACAAAGTAGCAGTTTATGAAGAAAAACAGCACGTGCATTACAAAACTTAATTCAGATGGAAGGTGGTCCAGATGCCAGCTGACTTCTACCATTTATTTAACACCTCTCTCCTAGCTTCCATCTTCTACTGCTGACCTTCTTTCCTCTATTTTCCCCTTTATCGTCCAAATGTTTAATATTCATTTTTGTAGTGCTAGTGTATTTGCAAAGGTTTTAGAGAGACTCAGTATTATCAACTTGAGGCACTTTTTTTTTTTTTTTTGAGACACAGTCTCACTCTGTCACCCAGGCTGGAGTGCAGTGGCATGATCTCAGCTCACTACAACCTCCGCCTCCTGGGTTCAAGCTATTCTTGTGCCTCAGCCTCTCAAGTAGCTGGGACTACAGGTGTGCACCACCACACCTGGTTAATTTTTGTATTTTAGTAGAGATGAGGGTTTCAGCATGTTGGCCAGGCTGATCTCAAACTCCTGACCTCAAGTGATCTGCCCACCTCCGCCTCCCAAAGTGGCTGGGATTACAGGCATGAGCCACCATTCCTGGCCAACTTGAGGACCTTTTGTGGCCAACTCTTAAAGAGAAATCTAGCAAGAGTTGTGGGCAAGTGAAATACCTTAAAATAATGAGATAATAGGTGAAAATGGACCAAGAGTCAGCCAACTCCTGCCCTCAGCCAGAACTTGTATCCCAACTTTTAATTTCTATAACTGCCTGTCACCTTTCTTTTCCCCTTCACTATTCAGATTAGTTTTTTTTTAATTTGTATAAATGTATGGGGTATAAGTGTAATTTTGTTACATAGTTAATTTTAAAACTCTACTGTCAGGAGTGGGATTGTTGAAGGTTATTTTTGTTGCATTAATCCCACCTCAAGGTCTCTGTGTAGCCACTTCTTGCAAGAAATGAATTCTGGCAAGAGTTATGAACAAATTAAATGTCTTAAAATAATCATACAAGTGGAGAAAGTAAACCAGGAGCCAGCCAACTTCTCCCCTGAATCAGAACATTTCTCCTAACTTCTATCACCCTACCACAACCCTCCCTGCCATCACCATTTTATTTCCCTTTTTATATACTCTATGTTTTATAGTGTCCTATACTGTTTTAGTGCCTTTACATTGATTTCAGGGATACATGGCCTCAATATAAACACCATGAGGGTTTTGTGTGTCCAATGACTAAAATCTAACATGCTATGGAAAAGTATGGTGCCTTAAAATTCGAAAGCAAAGAGGACCAGGAGCCTGACACCTCCTGCTCTTTAGCCCAAAACCATCTCTTGCTCTCTTCTCTCTTACCACTTTCTCCCCTTCTTTATTTCCTGTCTACTTGGTGTATGTTTGCTGGTCAGTTTTGTTGCATTAGTTATTGTATTAAATCTGTCGCTAAACTCAGGCCTCAATTCACAATTTTGCCAACTATGGTTGTACATGACAACAGCCTCTAGCAACTTGTTTTTTTTTTTTTTTTTTTGTAAAATTTATTTTTTTATTATACTTTAAGTTTTAGGGTACATGTGCACAATGTGCAGGTTTGTTACATATGTATACATGTGCCATGTTGGTGTGCTGCACCCATTAACTCGTCATTTAGCATTAGGTATATCTCCTACTGCTATCCCTCCCCCTCCCCCCACCCCACAACAGGCCCCGGTGTGTGATGTTCCCCTTCCTGTGTCCATGTGTTCTCATTGTTCAATTCCCACCTATGAGTGAGAATATGCGGTGTTTGGTTTTCTGTCTTTGTGATAGTTTGCTCAGAATGATGGTTTCCAGCTTCATCCATGTCCCTACAAAGGACATGAACTCATCCTTTTTTATGGCTGCATAGTATTCCATGGTGTATATGTGTCACATTTTCTTAATCCAGTCTATCACTGATGGACATTTGGGTTGGTTTCAAGTCTTTGCTATTGTGAATAGTGCCACAATAAACATATGTGTGCATGTGTCTTCATAGCAGCACGATTTATAATCGTTTGGGTATATACCCAGTAATGGGATGGCTGGGTCAAATGGTATTTCTAGTTCTAGATCCCTGAGGAATCGCCACACTGACTTCCACAATGGTTGAACTAGTTTACAGTCCCACCAACAGTGTAAAAGTGTTCCTATTTCTCCACATCCTCTCCAGCACCTGTTGTTTCCCGACTTTTTAATGATCACCATTCTAACTGGTGTGAGATGGTATCTCATTGTGGTTTTGATTTGCATTTCTCTGATGGCCAGTGATGATGAGCATTTTTTTCATGTGTCTTTTGGCTGCATAAATGTCTTCTTTTGAGAAGGGACTGTTCATATCCTTCGCCCACTTTTTGATGGGGTTGTTGGTTTTTTTCTTGTAAATTTGTTTAAGTTCTTTGTAGATTCTGGATATTAGCCCTTTGTCAGACGAGTAGATTGCAAAAATTTTCTCCCATTCTGTAGGTTGCCTGTTCACTCTGATGGTAGTTTCTTTTGCTGTGCAGAAGCTCTTTAGTTTAATTAGATCCCATTTGTCAATTTTGGCTTTCATTGCCATTGCTTTTGGTGTTTTAGACATGAAGTCCTTGCCCATGCCTATGTCCTGAATTGTATTGCCTAGGTTTTCTTCTAGGGTTTTTATGGTTTTAGGTCTAACATTTAAGTCTTTAATCCATCTTGAATTAATTTTCGTATAGGGTGTAAGGAAGGGATGCAGTTTCAGCTTTCTACATACGGCTGGCCAGTTTTCCCAGCACCATTTATTAAATAGGGAATCTTTCCCCATTTCTTGTTTTTGTCAGGTTTGTCAAAGATCAGATAGTTGTGGATATGTGGCATTATTTCTGAGGGGTAGCAACTTGTTTTAGAAGAAAAAAAGTTCCATGTTTTTAAAAAATGAAATAGATGTAAGAGGTTGAGAGAAGCCAGCAAAGTCTTCCTCCTTGGCCATCTCTTCTCTCTGAACTTCCATCCATCTATCTATATATTTTATTCTCATCTCTTTTATGTTAGTGTCTTTAGGGAGGTTTTAAGAAACTCAGCTTCAGTTTTATCTCCTTGAAAACTGTGATCCAACAGCCTAAGGAGAAAATCTAACAAGAGGTTATGGGGTCAGTAAAATGCCTTAAAACAATGACATTCTGTACTAGGAGAAGGAAGACAAGAAGCCAGCCAGCTCCTCTACCTTAGCCCACACATCTCTCCTAACCTCCATCTTCCTACCACTGACCCTTACCTTTTTATTTACTCCATTTTTATTTCTGGATATTATATCATCACCTGTGCTGTGTGAGTATCTTTACATTGGTTTGGGGGGACCATTGGCCTGCCTTAGGGTTATAAGTGTCATAACCATAAAAATTCATCAAAGATTATTATGGAAAGGAGTAATGTCTTAAAATGTTAGGATAAGAAGTGAAAGAGACCTAGAAGCCAAACAAATCCTGCCCTTGTACAGTACCTCTCTCCTAATTTCCATCATCCCTCTCTACCTTTTCTCCTTTCCCCTCTTACTGTTGAATATCAGCTCTGCTGTGTTAGTGTCTCTGAAGAGGCTGTGGAGAGAATCAGTCTTTAATTTTTGCAATATCATGGACTGTCAGTGGTCACTTAAAGAGTGGAATTTAGCAATAGTTGATACAAAAGGAAAAGTCTTTATAATAAAAAAGGTATCAGAAAAAGAAAGATGACGAAGAGTCAACAAACTCCTGTCTTTAGCTTGACAATTTTCCTTATATCCACCTGTCTATTACTCATTTCCCTTCTCTTTTCCTCTTCTACTTCTTTGATACTTATTAATCAGTTCTGCTGCATTAGTGTTTCTTCAGAAGGTTTAGGGAAAAATCCAGCCTTGATCATCTCAACCTTGAGGACTATTGGTTGCTCTATCTAAATGCTGGGAACCAGAGTGACAAACAAGTCATAGAATCTGAAGAAAGATAACAAGCAAAATGTACACAAATGGGACAGAGGGAGAAGTAGGACCAGGATCCAGTTAACTCTTGCCCTTTAGTAACAAGATCTTTCCTTTCATCTCCCTAAACACCTGTTACCTTCTTTCTTTTTTCACCTCACTTCTGCTCTCTTCACCTTGCCAAAGGGGCTGTTAGTGCTTTCTGTCCATATGGCCTGGTAAGCTGTAATGGCCCTCAGTAGGAGCTAGTGGTGTGGAGGTCTTGCCAGCTAAAAAAAAAGCAGGTTGTGATGACCTCCCCCTGGTTTAATCTGTGCTGCTGTGGACACATTTTATCCCATGAGCACAGCCAGGCTAATGCCAATTTGCAGTGTGCCAGAACTCATTCCCGGGATGTCTGTCAAAAAACATTAGTCGACTGAGAGACTTCTAGTTCCTCAGTGATATGGTTGAGGTTGGGTATAGAGATAAGTGCACTGTATTCCTATAAAGGTGTTTCCAAATCACAATGTGTTTATTGGAGATCAAGACACCCAGGTGGGAATTTGTGGGGTGTATGCGGCAGGATGAAGCTTCCTGGGAGCAAGGGGTGGTAATTTTTGAGGTGTATTTGAGGTGGACATCTCCTTTTAGTTTCTCTGCCAGAAAAAGGGTAATTAGGCAAATCTTCAAGAAAAGAGTGGTACAGTAGACAATAACCAGACTGAATTGCTGGCTCTTAGGCCTTAAGGCAGAAAGTGAGATTTGGGGGACCCTTTCTCCCTCGCTTTTGCTAATTCTACATTGCCATTTTAACATGCTATGAATATTAGGTAAACAGGAGTATGAAGCTTATCAAAGTGAGAGATACTGCTTTCTAGTGCATGCTGTGCCTATTGACCCTGAGGACTGTAATGGTGGCAGAAGCATTCACAACCCCTTTCTCTCAAGAAAGATGGCTCTACTTTTCCAGCCCAGGCTTTTAAGATACAGGCCAAGCACAAGAGATCCCATCCTTCACCCACAACAGCAGGTCAATGGGCAGTTGGTCAATTTTCTTATGTAATATTTGTTAACTGCCAAATGTGGTTAGGCATGGTAAATGAATTAAAGCTATTCATTAAAGATTTTAAATGATACATATTTGTACATATCTGTAGGGTATATGTGATATATTGTCACATGCATAGAATTGTAATGATCAAATCAGTGAATTTAGGATATCCAACACCTTGAGTATTTATCATTTCTGTGTGTTCGGAACATTTCAAGACCCCTCTTCTGGCTACCATGAAATACACAATACATTGTTGTTAACTATAATTACCCTACTCTGCTATTGAACAAGAGAACTTTTCCCTTCTATCTAACTGTATGTTTATACTCATTAACCAGCCTCTCTTCATCCTGCCCCCTCTCTCACCCTTCCCAGCCCCTACTAACTATCATTCTACTCTCTACTTCCGTGAGATCAAAATTTTTAGCTCCCAGATATGAGTGAAAATATACAATATTTGTCTTTCTGAGCATGGCTTATTTCACTTAACATAATGACCTCCAGTTCCATCCACGTTGCTGCAAATGACATGATTTCATTCTTGTTTATGGCCAAATAGTTGTCCATTGTGTGTATATACCACATTTTTTGAAGGCCATTAAACTTTTTAAGTTTTTTTTAATCTTTTTTTTCAACTTTTATTTTTGGTTCAAGGGTACATGTGCAGGTTTGTTATATAGGTAAACTTGTATCACAGGAGTTTGTTTTGTAAATTATTTTGTCACCCAGGTACTAAGCCTAGGACCCAATAGTTATTTTTTCTGATCCTCTCCCTCCTCTCAGCCTCCACCCTCCAATAGGCCCCAGTGTCTGTAGTTCTACTCTATGTGTCCTTGTGTTCTCATCATTTCTCTCCCACTTATAAGTGAAAACATGCAGTATTTGGTTTTCTGTTCCTGTGTTAGTTGGCTAAGGATAACGGCCTCCAGCTCCATCCATATTCCTGCAAAAGACATAATCTTCATGTTATCACTGCATAGTATTCCATGGTGTATATGTAGCACATTTTTTTTATCCAGTCTATCATTGATGGGCCTTTAGGTTGATTCCATGTCTTTGCTATTGTGTAGTGCTGCAATGAACATTCACGTGCATATGTGTTTATAATGCAACGATTTATATTCCTCTGGATATATACCCAGTAATTGGATTGCTGGGTCTAATGGTAGTTCTGTTTTTAAGTCTGAGAAATTTCCATACTGCTTTCCACAATGGTTGAACTAATTTACACTTCCACCAACAATGTATAAAGTGTTCCCTTTTCGGCCAGGCGTGGTGGCTAACGCCTGTATTCCCAGCACTTTGGGAGACCAAGGCGGGTGGATCACCTGAGGTCGGGAGTTCGAGACCAGCCTGGCCAACATGGTGAAACCCCGTCTCTACTAAAAATACAAAAATTAGCCGGGCGTGGTGACACACGCCTGTAATCCCAGCTACTTGGGTGGCTAAGGCAGGGGAATCACTTGAACCCGGGCAGCGGAGGTTGCAGTAAGCCGAGATCATGCCATTGCACTCCAGCCTGGGCAACAGAGTGAGACTCTGAAAAAAAAAAGTGTTCTCTTTTCTCTGCAATCTTGTCAGCATCTGTTATTTTTGACTTTTTAATAGCCATTCTGACTGGTGTGAGATGGTATCTCACTGTGGTTTTGATGCATTTCTCTAATGATCAGCAATGCTGAGCTTTTTTTCATGTGCTTGTTGGCCACACACTTGTTTTCTTTTGAAAGGTGTCTGTTCGTGTCCTTTGTCAATTTTTCAATGGGGTTGTTTGAGTTTTTTGTGTAAATTTGTTTTAATTGCATATAGATGCTGGATATTAGACCTTTGTCAGATGTATAGTTTGCAAATAGTTTCTCCCATTCTGTAGGTTGTCTGTTTACTCTGTTGATAGTTTCCTTTGCTGTGCAGAAGCTCTTTAGTTTAATTAGGTCCCATTTGTCAATTTTTGCTTTCGTTGGGATTGCTTTTGGCATCTTCCTCATGAAATCTTTGCCTTTTCCTATGTCCTAAATGGTATTACCTAGGTTGTCTTCCAGGGTTTTTATAGTTTTGGGTTTTACATTTAAGTCCTTAATCCATCTTGAGTTGATTTTTGTATATGGTGAAAGGAAGGGGTCCCATTTCAATCTTCTGCACATGGCTAGCCACTTCTCCTAGCACCACTTATTGAATAGGGTATCCTTTCACCATTGCTTGTTTTTGTCAGTTTTGCTGAAGATCAGATGGTTGTAGGTGTGCAACCTTATTTCTGGGTAACCTATTCTGCTCCATTAGTCTATGTACTAATATCATGCCGTTTTGGTTACGGTATCCCTGTAGTATAGTTTGAAGTTGAGTAGTGTGATACCTCCAGCTTTGTTCTTTTTGCTTAGGATTGCCTTGGCTATTTGGGCTCCTTTTTTGGTTCCATAGGAATTTTAAAATAATTTTTATCTAGTTCTGTGAAGAATGTCATTTGCAGTTTGATGGGAATAGCATTGAATCTATAAATTGCTTTGGGCATTATGGCCATTTTAATGATATAGATTCTTCCTAACCATGAGCATGGGATGTTTTTCCATTTGTTTGTGTCATCTCTGATTTCTTTGAGCAGTGTTTTGTAATTCTCATTGTACAGATCTTTCACCTTCCTGGTTGGCTGTATTCCTAGGTATTTTATTCTTTCTCTGCCTATTGTCAATGGGATTGCATTCCTGATTTGGTTCTTGGCTTGGCTGTTGTTGGTTATATATTTTCTTTATCCACTTGTTCATTGATGAACACACTTAGGTTGATTCCATATCTTTGTTATTGTTAATAGTGCTGCAATATACATAGGAGTGCAGGTATTCCTTAGATATACTGATTTCTTTTCCTGTGGATAAATACTCAGTAGTGGGATTGCTGGATCATATGGTAGTTCTATTTTTAGTTTTTTCATAAATCTTCACACTGTTTTCCATAGTGGCTATACTAATTTACATTCACAACAGTGTACATGAGTTCCCTTTTCTCCTCATCCTTGCCAGCATCTGGTTGTTGTTGTTTTTGTTTGTTTTTGTCTTTTTAATAGTAGCCATTCTAACCAAGGTAAGATTTTTTGTGTGGTTTTAATTTGTATTTCCCATTTGATTAGTGATGTTGAGCATTTTTTCATACACCTATTGGCAATCTGTATGTCTTATTTTAAGAAATTTCTATTCATGTTCTTTGCCCACTTTTTAACGGGATTATTTGTTTTTGTTTTTGTTTTTGTTTTTTATTGAGTTGTTTGAGTTCCTTGTATATTCTGGATATTAGTCCCTTGTTGGATGAATAGTTTACAAATATTTTCTGCCATTCAACAGGTTGTCTCTTCACTCTGTTGATTGTTTCCTTTACTGTGCAGAAGCTTTTTGGTTTAATATAGTCTCACTTGTCTGTTTTTGTTTTTGTTGCCTGTGCTTTTGAAGTCTTAGCCATAAAATCTTTGCCTACACTAATGTCCTGAAGTGCTTCCCCTATGTTTTCTTCTAGTAGGTTTATAGTTTCGAGTCTTATGTTTAGGTCTTCAATCCATCTGGAGTTCATTTTTGTATATGATGAAAAATAGGAGTCCAGTTTCATCCTTCCGAATATGGATATCTAATTTTCCCAGCACCATTTATTGAAGAGGGTGCCCTTTCCCCAGTGTATGTCCTTAGAAATTTTTTTGAAAATAAGTTGGCTGTAAATATGTGGATTTATTTCTGGGTTCACTATTCTGTCCCATTCATCTATGTGTCTGCCTTTATATGAATACTGTGTCATTTTGATTACTATAGCCTGGTGACACATCTTGAAGTCAGGTAGTATGATGCCTCCAGCTTTGTTCTTTTTGCTCAGGGTTGCTTTGGCTACTTGGACTCTTTATTCATTCCAAGTGAATTTTAGGATTTTTTTTTCTATTTTCTGTGAAATATGACATTGGTATTTTGACAGGAATTGCATGAAATCTGTAGATTGTTTTGAGTAGTATGGTCATTTTAACAATATTAATTCTTTCAATCCATGAGCGTGGGGTGTCTTTCCATTTGTGTCCTCTTCAATACCTTTCATCAGAGATTTCCTTGTAAAGGTCTTTCACCTCCTTGGTTAAGTTTATTCCTAGATATTTCAGTAGCTACTGTAAATGGGATTGCCTTCTTGATTTCTCTCTCAGCTAGATCAATATTGGTGCATAAAAACACTACTGATTTCTGTACGTTGATTTTATATCCTGCAATTTTACTGTATTTAATGATCAGATCTAAGAATTTCTTGGTGGAGTCTTTAGGTTTGTCTTGATATAAGCTCATGACATATGCAAAGAAGGACAATTTGACTTCCCCCTTTCCAGTATGGACCTTTCTTTTTCCTACTTGGTTGCTCTGGGTACGACTTCCAGTAATACATTGAATAGGAGTGATGAAAGTGTGCATCCTTGTCTTGTTCCATTTCTCAGAGGAAAGGTTTTCAGCATTTTCCCATTCAGTCTGATTTCAGCTGTGGGTTTGTCATACATAGCCTTCATTATGTCGAGGTACAATCCTTCTATGCCTAGTTTGTTGAGAGTTTTTATTATGAAGGGATGCTGACTTTTACCCAGTGATTTTTCTGCGTCTATTGAGATGATCATACAGATTTGGTGTTCATTCTGTTGATGCAATGTATTACATTTATTGATTTGCATATGTTGAACCATTCTTGCATCCCTGGGATAAATCCCACTTGATCATGGTGTATCTTTTGGATAGATTGTAGGATACAGATTGCTAGTATTTTGTTGAGGACTTTTGCATCTATGTTCATCATGGATATTTGCCTGTAGTTTTTTGTTGTTGTTGCATCCTTGTCTGGTTTTGCTGTCAGAGTAATGCTGGCATCATAGAATGAGTTAGGGAGAATTCCCTCCCCTTGATATTTTTGGAATAGTTTGAGGAGAATTGGTATTAGTTCTTCTTTGTGAGTTTGGTAGAATTCAGCAGTGAAGCATTCAGTCCTAGACTTTTATTTGTTGAAATACTTTTTATTACTGATTCAATCTCATTACTCATTATTGGTCTGTTTAGGTTTTCAATTTCTTCCTGATTAAATTTTGGTAGGTTGCATGCCTCCAGGAATTTATCCATTTTCTCAAGGTTTTCCAGTTTGTTATCATCCAGTTGTTCATAACAGTCTCTGATGATCTTTCATTTTTTTCTTTTTTGAGACAGGGCCTCACTCTGTCACCCAGGCTGGAGTACAGTGGTTCACTCTTGGCTCACTGCAACCTCTGTTTCCTGGGTTCAAGCAATTATCCTGCCTCAGCCTCCCGAGTAGATGGGATTATAGGTGTGTGCCACCACACCCAGCTAATTTTTGTATTTTCAATAGAGACAAGAGTTTCACCATGTTGCCCTGGCTGGTCTTGAACTCCTGACCTCAAATGGTCCACCCGCCTTGGCCTCCCAAAGTGTGGGATTACAGGAATGAGCCACCGTGCCAGGCCGATTTTTCATATTTCTGTGGTATCAATTGTAATGTCTCCTTTCTTATTTCTGATTTTATTTATTTAGATTTTCTCTCTTTTTTGGTTCATCTAGCTAGTGGTTTATTGATTTTATCTTTTGAAAAAATTTATTTTGTTGTTCTTTTGTGTTTTTCTTTAGTCTGTTTCATTTAGTTCTGCTCTGATCTTCATTATTGCTTTCCTTCTACTAATTTGGGCTTTGGTTTGCTCTTGCTTTTCTAGTTCTTTGAGGTGCATCATTAGATTGTTTATTTGACATCCTTCTACTTTTTTGATATTGGCAGTTATTTCTATAAACTTCCCTCTTAACATTGCTTTTTCTGTTTCCCACAGATTTTGGTATGTTTTGTTTCAATTTCATTTGTGTCAAGAATTTTTTAAATTTCCTCCTTAATTTCTTCTTTGACCCAATGGTCATTCGGGAGCATGTTGTTTAATTTCCAGGTATTTGTATAGTTTCCAAAGTTCCTCTTGTTATTGATTTCTAATTAAACTCCTTTGTGGCCTGAGAAGATATTTGATATGATTTTGATATTCTAAATTTTTTTGAGACTTGTTTTGTATCCTAATGTATAATCTATCCTGGAGAATGTTCCATGTGCTGATGAGAAGAATGTGTATTCTATAGCTGTTGGATGAAATGTTCTATAAATCTCTGTTATGTACATTTGGTCTCAAGTGAAGTTTAAATTCAGTGTTTCTTTGTTAATCTTCCCTCTAGATCATCTGTCTAATACTGACAGTAGGGTGTTCAAGTTCTCACCTATTTTCGTACTGGAGTCTATCTCTCTGTTTAGTTGTAATAGTATTTGTCTTGGTGCTTTGGTGTCAGAAGCATATATGTTTAGAATTGCTATATAGTACTATTAGATTAATCCCTTTATCATTATGTAATGACCTTCTTTGTCTCCTTTCACTGTTTTTGACTTAAGTCTGTTTTTTTCTGACATAAGTATAGCTACTCCTGCTTGCTTTAAATTTTTGTTTGCACAGAATGTCTTTTTCCATCCCTTTACTTTGACCCTATATGTACATTTACATCTGAGGTGAGTTTCTTGTAGGCAGCATATAGCTGGATCATTTTTTAAATCCATTCAGCCAGTCTATATTTTTCTTTTGTTTTTGTTGTTGTTGTTGTTGTTGTTGTTGTTGTTTTATTGAAAC
This sequence comes from Homo sapiens, assembly GCF_000001405.40. Taxonomy (NCBI): domain Eukaryota; kingdom Metazoa; phylum Chordata; class Mammalia; order Primates; family Hominidae; genus Homo; species Homo sapiens. Next base: position 123,389,731 of record NC_000023.11, read on the forward strand.
AAAGTCTCGCTCTGTTGCCCAGGCTGGAGTGCAGTAGTGCGAACTCAGCTCACTGCAAGCTCCACCTCCTGGGTTCGCCATTCTCCTGGCTCAGCCTCCCAAGTAGCTGGGACTACAGACACCCGCCACCACGCCCGGCTAATTTTTTTGTATTTTTAGTAGAGACGAAGTTTCACCATGTTAGCCAGGATGGTCTCGATCTCCTGACCTCGTGATCCTCCTGCCTTGGCCTCCCAAAGTGCTGGGATTACAGGCATGAGCCACCGCGCCTGGCCCAGTCTATATCTTTTAAGTAGAAAGTTTAATCTATTTATATTCAAAGTTATTATTAATATTTGAAGGCTCATTTCTGTCATTTTATTAATTGATTTCTGCTTATTTTGCATATACTTTGCTTCTTTCTTCCTCTCTTACTGCTTATCATTGTGGTTTGATGGTTTTCTGTAGTGGAAACATTTGAGTCCCTTCTCTTCCTCATTTGTGTGTTTGCTCTATCAGTGGGTTTTATACTTTCATGTATTTTCATTATGGTATATACTCTCCTTTTTCTTCCAGGTGTAAGACTCCCTTAAGCATTTTTTATATGGCTAGTCTAGCAGCTATTAATTATTTCAGCTTTTGTTATTTCTCCTTCATTTATGAAAGGCAACTTTCTTCAGTATAGTATCCTTGGTTGCCAGGTGTTTTTTTGTTTTGTTTTGTTTTGTTTTGTTTTTTCAGAACTTTGAGTTTAGCAGCCCATTCTCTCCTGGCCTATAACATTTCTGCTGAGAAATTCACTGTCAGTCTAATGGGAACTCCCATCAGACTAAGTGACTAGATGCTTTTCTCTTGCTATTTTTAGAATTATCTTTGACTTTTGACAGTTTGACTACAATGTGCCATGGAGAAGACCTTTATAAAGATTTAGGGATCTCTGAGCTTCCTGTATTTGTATGTCTAAATCTTTTGCTACATCTGGAAAGTTTTCAGCTATTATTTTGTTAAATAGGTTTTTTATCACTTTCATTTTCTCTTCACCTTCTGGGACACTAAAAATTCACATTATTGGATCACTTTACAGTGTCCTATATGTCATAGACTTTGTTTATTCTTTTTTAGTATTTTTTCATTTTTGTCTGACTGGGTTATTTCAATGACTTGTCTTCAACTTCTAAAATTATTTCTTCTGCTTGATCTAGTCTAGTGTTGAATCTTTCAAATGTATTTTATATTTCATTCAATGAATTATTCAGCTTTAGAATTTCTATGTGTTTTTCTTTTTATTTTAGCTATCTCTTTGGTAAATTTCTCACTCATATCCTGCATTGTTTTTCTGATTTATTTGTATTGTTGTTCTGATTTCTGTGTTCTCTTGTATCTCACTAAACTTCTTTAGTATCATTATTGTGAATTTTTCTGGGATTTCATAAATTTCTTTTTGATTGGGATCTATTGCTGGAGAAGTATTGTGTTCCTTTGGAGGCAATGTATTTTTTTTACTTTTTCGTACTTTTTGTGTCCTTGCATTGATATCTGCACATTTGATGTAACAGTTACTTCTTCTAATATTTTAAATTTGCTTTTGTAGGGGAGGACTTTTTCCTGAAGATTTACCTATGGTGTTGGTTGGGTAGGACACTTTGGCTTTGATTCTCGGTATGTGCAATAATATAGTCTCCATGATGATTTATCTGGCTGTAAACAGCATCAGTAGTATTTGTGATTTCCTTGGTGGTATAAGGTGCAGTTGTTGGTGGAGGCTGTGGTGAAGTTTTTCTGGGGATGGGGACATCAGATGGGCCAGTTCTTGGGCACCAGTGGTAGTAGCAACAGGTCAAACATACCTGTCCATGGGCCTCAGGGAAGTGTACATGGGCACCAGTGTTAGTGGGTCTAGTCAGGCTGATTCTTGGGCCCTCCAGGCAGCTTGCTCAGATGCCAGCAGCGGCAGTGGTGGGCCGGATGGGTGGGTGGGTCCTTGGAGCCCTAGCAATTGGGCATAGCATAGGCAATGGTTGTAGCAGAGGCAACACAATCCTCTGACTCCCAAGTGCTTTGTCCTGGTGATGATGGTGGCTGCAATAGGCTAGGCCAGCCATTCTTGAGGCCTGTAGGTAGCACATGCAGGTGAGTCCCAGCCATGGTGGTAGTGACAAGCTAAGTCAGCCTGTCCTCAGGTTCCCAGGAGGAGTGCTAAGTTCCAACGGTGGTGAATGGGGCAGAGCAATCTCCAGGCCCCTGGACAGTTTACTCAGGCACTGGGAATTGAGGGGAGTAGAGCCAGGCCATCTGGTGGTGCACGTGGGTGCTGGCTGTGGTAGGCAGGGGCGAGGTGATCCCTAGATCCCCAGTAGAATGCTCAGGTTGGGGCTGAAGTGGCTGTGCTGCAGCCCTACTGCTGGAGAAGGCATGGTTGCTTTCAGTGGCAGCAGCCATAAACAGGTAGCTTGGGAGCATGTGCTTTGGCCCTGATATAAGCAGGGGAGCCTTTCCTCAGGGCTCTTTTAAATATGTAGCAGCACTGCTACTAGGAGTGACAGGGTCACTGCCAATGACTCGTGTTTCGCCCTGGCAGCAGCAGCCAACAATAAAGCCCAGCCCTGCATTCAAGGTATTCAACCCCATTGATGGGGTTCCAAGGATGTGGAAATGCAGGGGCTGTTGGGCCCCTGGTCAGGATGTAGTCTGATGGGGGCTGGGCTCTCAAAATGGCACCCTGCTGTGGCTGCTTAGGACTCTGGGGTATGCAGGAACCACTCAAGCTCCCTCTCTAGAGAAATGCCATTATACAATCTCTAGGCAACTCCTTCAAAGCCCATGTGGGTTGAGGGCTCTCCCAGGGCTAGGATTGCAGGAGTCCACATTGAGAATATGGACTGCTAGGGGTCTCTCACTTGTCCTTTACCCATGCTGGGGCACCTCTTCAGGCTTCCAGATGATCCCAGCCAAGCAGGCTACCTTACTTCTTTCTCATTCCTTGAGTCAGATGTTTCCTGTCACTTCTCTATTGAATTCCAGCATTCTCTCTTAGGAAATATATTCAAAGTGTGATTATCTACTCACTATTTTATTTCTTCTTTGTATGGGAGGTGAGTTCTGGATGCCTCTATTCAGCCATCTTGAGGCCCCTTTCATTGGAGTTTTATCCTCAGCATTTTATTTGAATATAAGTTTAAGGAGTGAGAATGGAGAGTTGGGTAACAGTTAGGCTTAAACCCCAATGGTAGCCTCTGCTAGACTTTCTACACAAGTGAGGCTCTCTGCTGAATTTATTACAGGGGGAATAAAATGGGAGAAAACACTGAGTCTTATTTTCCCTCATGAAGAAAGCCTTTGGGAGAAAACTCATCATGATGAATTAATGTTAATTTTTAAAATACTTTGTGGTTATCAGAATGAAGGAGTGATTCCCAGTGATGTAAACTATTTGACTCTTTGTCCAGTCTCATTGACTCATACCCCACTTATGAAAAGAAGAGGAAGGGGCTGTAAGTAATAACTGAAAAAGCTGTTTCACTAAAATGTTTTCTAAGACTGTCTTGTTATCCATGGTAAAGAAATGTAAAATTAAGAGAAGCACGGATGGAGGTGCTGACTCTACAGATATTGTTTATGTTTAGTTTGTGAATAAATTCACCAAGCTATACACGTAAAGATATGTGCACTTCTCTATACAATTATTACACTTCAATAAAACCTTTTTTAGACTGTTAAAAAAGAGAGGAAACATTAAAGAATGGATATGGATTTGGGTAATAAAGGTGTATGCATTTATCAAAACTCATCAAGTACATTTCATTGATGTAAATTTTACCTCAAAAAATGAAGAAAGAAAAAGAACTGTAAACAAACACTGAATTTTAGTTAATGACCTGCATGCTGAAATCTTTAAGGGTGAAGTATACTAATGTCTCCAACTTACTTTGAAATGAACCCCAAAGTGAAATGGTTTGATAGATGAGTAGAAAAATAATTGTAGAATCTGAGTGTGACTATGTGGGTATTCACTGTATAATTCTTTCTATTTTTCTGTATGTTTGATCATTTTTATATTAAAATGTTGGAGGGTTCTAAAGAAGGGAGGAAGAATTCTACCCATCTGTTTATGAATAGAAATGATGGCTTCAGCTCATTGAAGACCCTAACACATTAATAGTAATTAGCAGGATATAGTTATCCAGCAAAAGTAGCAGCAATTCCTAGGCTGCTACTTGTCCCAGAAGATAATAATGCCCAATGGAGCTGGCAGAGCTCACATGGAGATACTCCTTTCACAAGGCTTAGGTGGCAGAAGCACCAGATGGTAGCCACAGCAAATTAGAAGAAAGTGGTGGATACTATGTAGTAGTTGTTAAGATTCATTTATTGTCTGGGTGCAGTGGCTCATGCCTGTAATCCCAGCACTTTGGGAGGCCGAGGCAGGCAGATCACTTGAGGTCAGGAGTTCGAGACCAGCCAGGCCAACATGGTGAAACCCCATCTCTACCAAAAATACAAAACTTGGGAGGGCATGGTGGCATGCGCCTGTAATCCCAGCTACTTGGGAGGCTGAGGCACGAGAATCGCTTGAACCCGGGGGGTGGTGTGGAGGTTGCAGTGAGCCGAGATCACACCACTGCACTCCAGCCTGGGCGACACAGCGAGACTCTGCACTCCAGCCTGGGTAACAGAGCGAGATTCTATCTCAAAAAAAAAAGAAAGATTCATTTATGGATACATGTCAGATACCCTGGGATTTGTACCATCATATACAACCAAGCTGTCAGTTTCACTCATTGGCATTTCTGTAAATCACAAATTTCTAAAGTACTCATCACTAGAATCTGAAGCAATCCACTGTGTTTATCATGTTAGGCTGAAGAAAAGTTTGCTATAACACCCATCGGGTCAAACTTTTTCAACATTTTCCAATTACATAAAGCATTGTATTTGTACGCAATGAAGAAAGACTAAAAATACAGGTAAATGAAACAAATCAAAATATTTGCTTAAAGTTGGCACCTATGTTTGTCCATGTGGCAGCCACATTACATAAAGACACATGAACTAAAATGGAAGAATGCATATTTTCTCCATTATGCCTGCAGTTTCAGGGACATAGTGCCCTAACAATTAATTTCATATTCAAGGCTGTCTTGATTGCTAATAAATGATCCTAGGGAAGGAGCTTTCACATTATCCTTAGCACTCTAACAGATATGGTGAGTAAGAACATACAACTTCCCACAATCATGATCCTTTCAATGTCTTTCCAGGGTTTTACTGATATTTTACTGGAAAGAGTCATGCATGGGGGAGCCAACATTACAGGTTTCCAGATTGTCAACAATGAAAACCCTATGGTTCAGCAGTTCATACAGCGCTGGGTGAGGCTGGATGAAAGGGAATTCCCTGAAGCCAAGAATGCACCACTAAAGGTAATGTTCCATGGCATGTAAAAAACCTAAGGCCAGCTTTTCAAAGTATCTCAGTATGATCTTTATACACTAACAGTCATCTTATGATCAAGTGATTTTCCTCAGAAGTGATTCAAAGATGCCACAAAACAACTGCAGGTGATGCTATTGCATTTGAAAACTAAACCCCTGAATAAAGAAGCTGTTGAGAATGAGATCTTTTAAAATCCAGTGCTTGGAAATAAGTTAACTTAATTTTTAATGAATTTTATTTGTAATATGCCTATAACAATTTACAGTATTACAAGAACCTGAGCCAGGCAAAGGGTGGGGGCAGTGGGAACAGGTAAGGAAGACTGATAGTCTGAAACAGAAAATTAGATTTTACATTATTTATGTGATTGCTTTGTTTTAATAAGTTCCATGAATCTCAGTACACCCAAGTGAATTAGGGTCTAATAAAGAGTGTACATTGCCTATATGTATATTGAATGGAAATGTTTTCCTGCCTGCTAAAGTATCTTAGAAAATAATTAAATTACCTAGATTGCTCATTTTCACAAAATCAAGATAAGAATATTAAAAGCAGAAAGTCATGGTTAAAAATGCACATTTTTCATGTGTTCCCCTATGGCTAGAAATCCTATTATTTAAAAACCAGGAATTAAACAGATAAATTAGGGGAAAGTTATTCATGCTACACAAAGGACCCTTCAAATATATTTTTAAGTAAATCGTTCCCTCAGTGCATTGATTCAAATATGAAACTGACTTTAAATTCTTCCTGATATAGTGAAAGTATGTACCATAGCTGTGGTACGAAATAGGGGATCAAAATAGAGTCAAGACCCTTTCCTAGAAAAGGAAAAGGGGAAAAGATCTTCCTCATTGTTTCAAGATACTCATCCTCACATCCTTCCTCCCTGGCAAGAATAGAATAGGGGATAACAGGCCGGGCATGGTAGCATGCGCCTGTAATCCCAGACACTTGGGTGGCGGAGGCAGGAGAATGGCTTGAACCCGTGCAGCAGAGGTTGCAGTGAGCCGAGATCATGCCACTGCACTCCAGCCTGGGCTGGACTCCATCTCAAAATAATAATAATAATAATAATAATAATAATAATAATGATGATAAGGGAGAACAGTAGGCAACACAGACCAGAAAAAAGATATAGAGATACATTCTGTACCATCTATGCAGCTCCACCTTAAATGGGTTACGTCAGAACATAATACAAGTGAAATCTTACTTTATGCAATTGGTGTGTTCTAGAAAAGTTATGGGTTAAACATACTTTTTTCGTTCAGTTAAGCCACTTACTAGTTAAATGGTACCCTGTGGTTGTAGCGATTATGCCTGCCAGATTTTTCCAAGATAGTCTTATTTTAAAACATTCTGTTTTAGGGTCCGATCAAGTGTCCTAATTTGCTTTAGTAAATATGGTCACAATCCCTATGATGAATCCTTTGTAATCAAAAAAATTTTTAATGTACTAAACTGATATTTACTGGAAAATAATCCCAAGTGAATTAGGCTCTAATACAGAGTGTATGTTGCCTACACATATATTGAATGGAAATGTTTTCCTGCTTGCTAAAGTATTTTTGAAAATAATTAGATTACCTAAGTTGCCCATTTTCATAGAAATCAAGATAAAAATATCAAAAGCATAAAGTCATGGTTCAAATGCATATTGCATTACATTTAGGTGAGCTTATTCAAATTTAGATTTTTCATAAAACTGCCTACCCACACTGCTTTATGATCTTTAGATTTACCAGGTAATAGGTAGAAGAGAGAAATTCATTTATTCAATATTTTAGTGGGTTAGTAGTCTGGCACCTACAATGTGCCAGACACTGTGTTAGGCATGAGAAAATGAGTAATGGTAAGAAGTATGAAAAGGGTACTGAAGAGTAGTTTATGCCTGTGCTGAAGTTGCAGAGCCATACAAAAGAGAAGGAAGCCAATCTCAGCTCTGGACTATTCATTGATAACACTTGGTGTGTATAATGTAAAGTTCTAGAACCCACTGAGAAGAAATGTTCATGCTTATAAGTAAAACCCTTTAAATAACTTTAAAAAATTGAATATTTGAATAGATGTTACAACTTACAGATTACTTTTGCTTAGTATTGGTCATTATAGAACCTTGCACAATATCAATCAAACCAAAAGCCCACTTTAAAAATTGATGTATAATATTTTTGATTAGGAAATAAAATTGTCTACAGATTAAAAATCCTGATAATTTACTCTATAAACATTTTCTTTTAGGGCTTGGGAGGGTATTCTCACCCATTGGTAAGTAGAAACTGAATAAAGCAAAAATTAAATAGCTCCTTTGGCATGGTTTGGAAAGGACTACATTAAGATTGCTGACAATTTATGCAGTCAGCTGAAAAAATCATCACCATGTTGGCTTCATGTATTGCAAAGATGTGCAGACACAAAGATTTTTCTTCATGAAAGAACATATGTCCCCTGTTACAGTCACACTTGATGATTTGCTTCTGAAAGACAAGTAACGTGAGAAAAGTCAGAAAAGCTAATTGATAGTTGTAGAGGCAATAATCTATTCACTCCCAATTGTATTTGGACATACTGTACTAGAGAGAGAGAACTCCCCCTGGGACATTTTGCTACATTTTTAAAAAGTCAACAACATTCTACATTCTACCAGTATTTGTCACCCCTGCAAAACAGGGGCCAGCTTATTTTAACCATAGTTTGTTATGTTAATTCATTTAATGAAAAAGCATCCACCATTTCAAATTGCAGATAATCAAATCCCTTGTATTTAGTGACTGACCTCATCCCTAGTAGAGCATATCAATATATCCAAGGAATAGAAAGTGTTCTTGCCTGCAAGAGGTGGCATCATGAAGTATTGCCTATGAATTGTCAACATCATCAGATTTAAAACTCAATAATAATTGAAATTTTCTACAATTGAAAAACAGCTTTGGTTTTTGCTACCCCCAGGAAACAAAAACTCATTTATTGCTGGCCAGAAGTCCCACCTCGCCAGAAACATGGTCCAGACAGAAATGATTAATGTTCTCCTCCAAATTAATTTCAAGCTGTCTAACTTAGCTATTTCCATTTTCCCCTAAGTAAACACCAGATCTCTACAAACAGCAGTAACCCAGTCTTGCTTTAGGATGTGCTGTTTCCTCTCCAGTCTATACATGCCATCCTTTAACTTCACACATATTTCTTCCTCTATAAAGGACACAGCCTTTTGGTAGTCACTAACTCAGTATAAAAAAGAAACAGTATTGAGAGCAAGAGAGAGATTGCCTTGAGCCATTTGATTGTAATAATTGTAACACATGCACACATGAGGTAAGAACTATCACTGTAGAATGAATCGAATTCAGGCTTGCCCAGAGAGATCTCTTAAATAAATAGGGGGGTGACTGCATAGAACAATAGGTAGAAATGAATGAAAATTATAAGAAACAAGGCAAATTTTGAGGGTATCATTTATCATGATATCTTGTTTTTCATGCATCCATTTCAGTATACATCTGCATTGACACACGACGCAATACTGGTCATAGCAGAAGCTTTCCGCTACCTGAGGAGGCAGCGAGTAGATGTGTCCCGGAGAGGAAGTGCTGGAGACTGCTTAGCAAATCCTGCTGTGCCCTGGAGTCAAGGAATTGATATTGAGAGAGCTCTGAAAATGGTAAAGACCACAATGGGTTATTGGGGTGGAAGAAACTTATAAAGACATAAAAAAGATGAGACCTTGATCTTGAGAGAAGACATACTAAAAGGAATAGGACCAGATTATGTAGAATCTCAGAGTATGCAAAGAGGATAAGTATAGCCATTTCTATAAATCATCCAAACCTAGAAATCTAAAAGTTGGAGGTCATTTCTTGAAGCTTGAAAAAAAAAGAGATAAATTTAGGGCAAATGAATTTTTGGTTATGCACTATACTATGGCTAGTAAATGAAACTTAGTACTCTCAAAAGTTACAGATTGAATATATAAATAGCTTCAAAAAATTCAAAGCTTTCAAACATATGACATTCTTTAGGGAGATTAGAATATTTTATAAGATGTTCCTAACTTCAAGATAGACATTACAAAGGACAGCATCCTCTGGCTCATCAGACAAATGATTAGCCTAGACAGGCTGTGGAACTTAGCCAGTGTGATAGTATTTCTGTTGTCAAAAAGAACACTCATGCTATTCTACAGGATGAAATGCAGGAACATGATACATTTCTAGGTCTACTTAAGAAGCTTTTGCCTAATGCTGCAAAGAAAAAGCCTAAAGAAAAGTAAAAGGAATCAATGGATAGACAGTCAAATAGGTCACTTGTTTTTAGTATTTGCTGGGTAGGAGATCATTTAAGGCTTCAAGCAATGTCCTTTGAACAGATTTCATTATTTATACCAGAAGTAGCATCACCCATTCATTGCAGTTTTCCAAGCAAGAGCTCTGTCCTGAATATTTTGCTTTATGCTACATGTGCCTGCATGTATTAAAATGAGCTTTCAAGAGTACAAGAATCTCTTATTTCTACTTATTTAGTTATCCTGATGTTTGGGACATCCAAATCAACAAAGAGATGGGCAAAGATAAGATAATTCTGTGTGCAACCCAGCAAGGAAGAACTTGTAACGGCCTCATAACATACATCATTTTGTGTAGCTGGCTCTCTTATTGATGCCTTAAATTTGCCAAGTTGGAAGCATTCAATCAAAAGGGGTTAGTAGCCCTTGTGTCTCTCTTCAAGAAAGAGATATGACTCATTTTCCCATCATGCAGATTTTTATGTCATTATGTCAGTTCCTTAACAAATGCCCTAAGTGTAGTTTTATGGAGGTAGCACTGTACAATTTTGAAGAGCAGTTAATTAAATTCAACCTTCATAGCAGTTACAAGATTTGTATTGTCAGGTGAAACATAATGATGAGTGAAATATAAAACTCCCTCAGAGTGAATCAAAAGGAGTTTCCATCAACAAAACCTCAAGGGGCAAGAGCCAGCATCTCCAATTGACTCCCTATTCATGACACAAATAACTACCTTCCCAAATAGAAAACTGGCTATCAGAATGAAGGATAAGATACCAATTGGGCTAGGAAAAAAAAATAGATTGATCATACTACTGCACAGAAAAGTTTCTGCATGTCTACCTCACTGATAAAGCTCAAGTTATAAGCCAGGTAACCTTCCTCCCCAGGCCCTAATGACCAGACACTCAACCAAAACAATACATTACCTTTCTATAGGACAATCTCTATTGCTCCAGAGAGGCTGGAAGGCATCTATTTTTTCCAAAAGTAGACAGTGCCTCAGTAAAACTGCTCTACTCAGAGGGACTGTAAGGGAGGCTAGTCTGAAGTACTAAATGTTTTACTACATTAAAAGAAATCCCATTTTATTTGAATTAATTAAAATTGAGACTGCATAATGTAAAGCATCCCTCATTGTGACTAGCACATAGTTGTTTCTCAATAAATTATTCTCTTCCTTCAAAAGAAATCTGGCAAACAAAATCATTGCCTGGCAGAGGCTCCTAAGGGGCCTGTTTTAATGAATAAATAAGCACAACATTCATTCAGTAAATATTTATTGAGCACCCATGACTATGTATCAGGCTCCATATTAGTATGCAAGCAAGAAATAAGATGAGGAGTGCACACATTTAAATTGTTAATATGTAAACAAATGCTTTAAAATATCTTAAAGCCACTTGCAAATTGGGTAATCATTCTCCTCACAATCTGCAAATAATGCAAAGATCAGCCCAGCACAGTCTACTGACATATCTGTCACAGATTCTAAGTCTTTGAGACTTGTTCAATCAACATTTATTAAGGATCTGCTCTATCCCAGGCACAACATTAGTTGCTGAGAACAGAGGTAAAAAAATGTCTCTCATCTCGAGATGCTCCTAATCCAGTAGGAAAGTTAGAAACACATAGATTATAAAAATGTTATGTCTAAGTCTTGCACAGGATGCTATGAATTAAAGAAGGGATCCCAGACGGGATGCGGGGAAACTGTCACTAACATTCAATACTGGACCACATCCTTAAAAATAGATTTCTCTGAGTGGTAGTCCAATTCTACTTCTGGTCACCAAACGTTCAAATCATGCGTCTGGAATCTGTTGGACTATGCCTTGACTATTCTCCAGTTCATATATCATATTCAGATAGGTTGGGTCTTTAGAAATAGACAACTCTTAATGAGACTTAAAGCCCTAGCTATTTTCACTAATGAAGGCTTTCCTTAATAAGTTCCTATTGCCCTTGTCTCTGCCCTGTCTAACTCTTCTATCAGAATTCAGTGCTCAAAATAGAGTATAAAGAGCCCTTCATGCTCACATTATGTATCAGTCTCATCCCACTGGATAAGTAATTTCTATCTCAACAAAGGTCTTTTCTCTAACTAGAAGTGTGATGCCACCTTCTCTGCAAGCCTAAGCTAACAATAGTGCTTAGGTTTGTTGGATCAGTTGGACAATCATCTTGTTTTCAGTTCATCAGATTGGAGCATTTTCCTTTCAACAGGAATTCCACAGTCTCCTACTGGTGGTGAACAAGCCCCTTTCCCTTTAAAAAATGTTCCCTAATATTTGACAACATTTTTCTTTCTGCAACACAAACCCACTGCCACCTCTGACTTGTTTGACAGCTTGTCATTTTCCATAAGTGATGAAAAACAATTCCATTCTTTCATACTAGGAAAATGAGATATATTCTTTCTCTTTGAAGCAAAGTCTTTGACCTTTACTTGCCAGATGAGTAATGCAAGTGGTTAGCAACAATTATTTATATTTGTAGAGGGTATTTCATCCAGTGTCCCTGCACTGTAAAATAGGTAAAGAATCTATCTACCCTGAAGAGATGGCCTCTTGCTAATTCATAATACTGAGCCCAGGCCCAGGAAAAATTGTTCCATACATGAAATCGGCATTTGGCATCCCAAACAAGTGTTCTGGCTTCCAGTACTTCTACATTTCTTGTCTAGTGCTCCATACTCCTGACCCCTTAGGCTTAATAAATTTCATCAGTCTTTGGATTATCCCTCTATGGCTTAGCTCTCTTGTCTGTTACCTGTCTGTAGCTGAGTGTGGGTTAAATAAGAGGGAAAGCTCATCCCTGTCACTGTAGTAGCTGGCAAATGTGTAACCCTCTCAAGAAACAGAACTAAATCCATTTTGGTTAATAATAATTAATATAGCTAGCATGTATTCTGATGCTTAATAGATGCCACATACTGTTCTAAACATTACGTTTATATGTGTGTGTGTATATATATATATATATATATCTTCTCTAATCTTCCCAATAACTCTGAAAGATAGATACTACTAGGATTTTCAATCTTACAGATTAAGACACTGGGGTAAAAAAGCATTAAGAACATGCCGAAGGTCATTCAATTAATAATTGAAGCTACGATATGAGTCCAGGTGTAACAGTGCCCATGCTGCTGAAACCAGATTATGTTCAGATATGGGAAATATTAAGATAAGACACAGCCATGGCCCCCAAGGAACTCAGTTTAGAATACATTACCCTAGTTAAGGGGGTAGCCTGCAGAGTATTTTTAGGAAGGGGCTAGTGGAAATTTCAGGTCCTTGAAAAAGTGGCGGTAGAGCCCTCATTATATTATATAAGTAACAGCATCTTACACCTACTCAATGCTTCAAAACTAAAAGGCATGCCAAGAAAATACTGTGGAGGAAATGAAGATCTTGTATAGACTCGATCTGGTGGATAGAGCTCAATGACTTGCAATAATAATTCTTCAAGATTCCAAGATCTGTCAGCAGACCTCATCCCAGAGACTTAGAAGGCAATAATGCCGTGCTATTTTTAAATTTTAAATTTTCCCTTTCTACCAGGTGCAAGTACAAGGAATGACTGGAAATATTCAATTTGACACTTATGGACGTAGGACAAATTATACCATCGATGTGTATGAAATGAAAGTCAGTGGCTCTCGAAAAGTAAGTAACCAAAACAGACATTTAAAGAAAAGGACTCTTGAAAGAGGACAGCATTTGGATGTAAGAAAATAAGTATTATTATTTTACAAAATATCAGTAAGGATGAGTGGGAGATGGGAACCTCCAGGATGAAGGAATAGCACACCTATGTGTCAGTGTTGGGGGTCCTGGTGGGAATTACAAGACCCGGGGAGACAGGATGTCAATCCTTATAGAGCTCAAGAAAGTTTTGTTCCACAACAGCACTTCAATTTCATGCAGTACTTTTCTGAGGGAAAAATAGGCATCCAGGTCAAATGTCTTCTCTTTCTAGGCTGGCTACTGGAATGAGTATGAAAGGTTTGTGCCTTTCTCAGATCAGCAAATCAGCAATGACAGTGCATCCTCAGAGAATCGGACCATAGTAGTGACTACCATTCTGGTAAGTGTGAACAGAAGGTAGGTGGGCTTTCTGTCCAGCAAGACTTCCGTTTTCTGAAAAGTATTTTTCCACCAGTAGAAAAGACCTCAAGTTCAAACAGTAAAAACTTCCAACAGGGAAGCTCAGGAAACTCTCAAAGTATCTTGCCATGATGATGAACAGAATGTCATTTAACAAAAAGAGAGAAAGAAAAAGAATAGGAATTTAGAACAGTTTTAGATTATCATTTTCCTCTTTCTCCCCGCCTCCATGCCCGCCCGCATAGGACTGATGCTTCATCTGGACTTGAAACCTAATTCTTCATTGTGGGGGAAGCAGCATTGTGTGGAGGAGAGAGTACATTAGGATTCTAAAATTAGGTCTACCACTAACCTGTAAAACTGTGCAAGTCACAACTTCTCTGAGCCTCAGGTTGTTGTTTCTTCATTTATGAAAGGGGTATAATAATAATCACCTACCCATGTCATAAGCCCGTTTCAAGGCACAGTTCACTACACGAAGAAGTTTTCTGCAAAACTCAAAGCACTTAAAATGTGAGATGGTATTCTCATTTAGTTTTAAAACACTTTTCTAGAAGCTGGTTTGTTTTTACTGAATGAAGTACAAACCTGGGTTAAAAACAAATACATCTCTAGGTGTGAAAGTATGACTAACTGAATGGAGACTAGGCTGAAGTTTGCCTTTCATCTAAGCATACATATCAAATACTCCCTTTGTCTTAAGTACTATACTAGGCCCTGGAGATATAAAAATGTAAATGCCACGGACGCTGACCTCACAGGGATCACAATGCTTCCCCAGGGCTTTGCCTCAACTACCTGCAATTCCTACATAATAAATCTTGAGAAATGAAAGGCACTTCACCATCATGTAACTAAGTCTGCCAAATTTGATGAAATCAAAGACTTGATAGGTGAAAACTGGGCCATCTTTCAAACTCTCAAAAAGAACTGAAATCCTTCTCTGCTTCCTTAAATTACCAGTTAAGGACTCCCCCTACCAAAAAAAAAAAAAAAAAAGTGACCCAATGAATACTCAATTAAAGCTCTTCTGTTTACTAAGTAACAATTTAAAGGCCTTTTTCACATACCAAACCTCAATAGTCACAGAGGGGAAAAATTATTGCATTTATCTTCTCTTAGAAAAATGTATAGGAGTAATCCTTTTATCTTGCTTCTGGTCCCAAAGGAATCACCATATGTAATGTACAAGAAGAACCATGAGCAACTGGAAGGAAATGAACGATATGAAGGCTATTGTGTAGACCTAGCCTATGAAATAGCCAAACATGTAAGGATCAAATACAAATTGTCCATCGTTGGTGACGGGAAATATGGTGCAAGGGATCCAGAGACTAAAATATGGAACGGCATGGTTGGGGAACTTGTCTATGGGGTGAGTTTTTTCCAATTCTGTTTTCATTTATTCTGTGCTTTCCAATTAACAAAGAAGAGAGAAGATTTAATTTTCAAGTGCAGTGTTTATCCAATTGTATAGTTTACATATAGTCTACAAGAAAAATATATTCTTCTACAGTTGCGCTCTGTAAAGGTAGGTTGTCAGTAGTATCCTTTGGACAACAGGATTATTTTACTAAAAGGAAAATAGAATTGGGGGATTTTATTTGGCAACATTAAGCACAGCCTGCCCTCTATTTAAAATCTGTTCCTTCTGTGTTCTCTAGCTCAGGCAGCAGAATTACCACCCACATAGTTGCCTAAGCAACTTTGCCTAAGCAACCTCATCATCTTTCCTCATTGTTCCCCTCTTATCTAGTCAGTCACCATGTCCTATGAATTCTACTTTTAAGTCTCTCAAATCTAGACACACTCTTCACCCCCACCATCGTCACCTTAATTAGGGTTCTTAACATCTATCAGTCATTTAACTTGTTACCCTGCGTCTGTTCTTACCCTGGCAAATTAGATCTCCACATTACTGTAATTTCCCACTTTAACAATCAGGATGAAATTCAAATTCCTTCACATGGCAAATAAGGCACTTTATAATCTAGCACCCGCCTACCTCTCTAGCTTCATCCTGTACTCTTTCCCCCTCACACCCAATGTTCCAGCTATAGAAAAGTAAGTGTTGTTCCCTGAAGGTGCTGAGCTCTCACTTAGTATAAGCCTGGAAGTACTTTTGTGTCTCTTCAGCAGCTAATACCACCTACTAGTCCTCTGAAACACAGCAGTGATACTTGTTTCAGAAAACCTTCTCTATTCGCATCTACTTGCCTGCAGTCTGGGTTAGGTACCCCTGCTTTTTGCTTCCTTCCTTTCCATATTCATATAGTACTTCTAAGTCTGTATTGTAATGATCCATTTACAAGTTCCACTGTTCTACTAGACTATGAACTCCTCGAGGACAGAAGATGTAGCTGATTCATTTCAATATCACACAGTCTGAAACATAGACATTCAATAAATCCTTGCTGAATTAATGAATGAAAAATGAACAGAATGGCTCTGCCAGGGGCTTATCTATAGTCCAACTGCAAAAGAATTAATATGGGCAATTAGGGCTTTTAAGAAAGGTACAGTGATATCTTCAGAGCTCCTGGTTCACTTAGTATTAAATGGTTTTGGCCTCTGATTGTGAATGACAGATCTTGGGCAGCTTAATGAGGCACATGTAAATAAGCAGAACTGGACAGAAAAACTGCCCATGCAGTAAACCGGTCACTAGAGAACTAACCCAAGTGCAGTGGGTGGTGGCAAAGGTTTAGTTCTAACAAACAAAGATTACCTGTAATAATAACTCTCTGTCTAGACAATATCTACACTAAGTAAGGGGAAGACAGAGGAATCTAGGAGGTAGAGATACTGAGAAGCTCCAGCTGGCAAGAAGCAAACAACCAGGTTATTTATTTATTGGACTGAGGTTCAGGAGAAGGACTCTAGTGCTTGGGATGGAAACCAGCAAGAATAAGGTATAGCTCTCCAATCATATGAGAGTACTGGGGTCACTAAATAAGTTCTTGGAACAGGCCTTTGGGAGGAACCACAAAGTCGGAAGCTCATTTCTAAAAATAAGGGCACAGAAAGGTAACAAAAGCAAAGCTGGACCCCAGATATAAAAACTGGAGCACCATCCTCTAGTCAGATGAACAGCAAGGCAACTTGAACCTCAGCCTCCATCTACGGGCCTGGAGCCATCATCTCCTGTCTTGGGTCAAGATCGGTCCTGGGAACTGAGGCAGGGCTAAGTGGCAGATGAGATTCAAGTGAATCCAGCAGTAAGAAAGAGAAGAATTTCCAACACCAGTGCAGAGAGGGCTGAACAAGGGTCAGAGCACCCAGTCATGATTTCTGAGGACCCTGAGAAGCTCTGAACCATCTTGACATGGCTCTAATCTTTTACTTTCCAAGTTGTTGATAAGGTTTTCTTCTCTTTCCTGTTCCTCATCTCCCCAACACTTAGGCTTCAAGAGGTCTTGTCTTGCTTACAGCTCACCCTTGCTCTTGGCACATTACCTGATACATAGTAAATGCTCACTTTTTGCTTTAATGAATCAATGCCTGGCATACAGTAATGCCTAAGCCAGTATTCATTAAATTGAGTTCATGGTGGGATATAATCTTGTAATATCATTACTATTTCTATTACTACTACTACTATTACCACTACTATTACTACTACTACTGCCATTATTAGCTACCATTTGTTGCATATTTACTGGCTGCCAGATACTGTACTAAGTGCTCTTATATGTAATTTAATCCTCACAACACGCCTCTGGGGAAGGTGTCATTATTAAACTCTTTCTACATGTGAGAAAATTGAAGCCTAGAGAGGTGAAGTCACATGCTAAAGACCAAACAGTTTACAGTGACTATCTTAGTTTGTTTGGACTGCTATAATAAAACACCATAAACTGGGTCACTTATAAACAACAGGAATTTGTTTTTCACAGTTCTGGAGGCTGGGAAGTCCAAGATCAAGGGAGATTCATTGTCTCGTGAGGGCCACTTTCAGGCTCATAGATGGTACCTTCTTCCTGTGTTCTCACATGATGGAAAGGGTAAGGGGTCCCTCTTGGGCCTCTTTTATAAGGACACTATAAGTTCCATTTATGAGGGCTTCACTCCCATGACCTAATCACCTCCCAAAGCCCCACTTCCTAATACCATCACCTTGGGGGTTAGGATTTCAACATATGACTTGGTTGCGGGGGGGGGGGGGACGTGGGGACACAAATATTCAAACTGTAACAGTGATACAATAACTTTAACCCAGATCTTTGACTCTGAAGTCCATGCTTTTTAACCATTACACTATCTGCCCAACAGCTAAAGTGTGGTTTCAGGCCCATCCCATTCTGAAAGATAGTTGAAATTTATTAGAAAGGCTTATGGTGCCTTAGTCATTCTGGAGAGAAGAGTGTTTGGCAACAACAGCATGGCAAGAAATTTAAGGCGTAAGTGTCTTTTTATTTTATTTATTATTTATTTATTTTTGAGACAGAGTCTTGCTCTGTCAACCAGGCTAGAGTGCAGTGGCATGATCTTGGCTCACTGCAACCTCTGCCTCCCAGGTTCAAGCGATTCTCCTGCCTCAAGTTCCTGAGTAGCTGGGACTACAGGCACCTGCCACCTTGCCCAGCTAATATTAAAAATATTTTTTAGTAGAGATGGGGTTTCACCATGTTGGCCAGGTTGGTCTCAAACTCCTGACCTCAAGTGATCTACCTGCCTCGGCCTCCTAAAGTGCCGGGATTACAGGTGTGAGTCACCACGCCCAGGCTAAGGTGTAAGTTTCTACTAGCCCAGGTTATCCGATGTGAGCTATACCATGAACTCTACCACCCCATCACAACTGAATGACCATATTTCTCCTGTCACTCTCTGTAAATAGATCACTGCTCTCCTGGCATTGAGGAAGACATTACACACAGTGACATAGAGCAAGGCAGACTTATTGACATTGTTCAGACAAAGACCAATTTTCTCACTGGATTTGTTTTCTCCTCCAGCATGTTCCCTGTACTGCACTCATTTAATCTCCACATATCTCTTCCTCATTCCAATTTGTCTACTTGTGAGTGAGGGAGCTTGAGTATTAGAGTCCCTCATTTGTTTAGCAACTTAGATGCCTTCTCTCCACTTCTGAATAGTAAAAGTGTTCCCATAGGAACCTTCCCATCTTTTCCCTTTAGTTCTTTCTACTAAAGACAAAAGCAATAGCCGGGGAGGCTCTTACAGAAATGTCCTCCTCCTTCCCCTGCCTAAAACAACTTTCTGATGCTTTCTGGGCTTATAACAGGAGGTGATTCCAGAGAACTACAGCAAACCAACCCATCGGAGAAGACTGCCAAATTCCATTTTCCTCTAAAACCTGTGGCTATGAAAAATATACATTCTTATCATGCTTGGAGTAAAAGCTCTCTGTTAAAGAGGATGATCTCATGAGCTAAATGTGTCTTCATCTTCATTTAGAAGTTTTAGTCTTTTGGCATTGGGAAGTTTTCAACTTCTCTATCAATGACAGAAATGGAGAAAAATGAAAACACAGGCTTTCATTTCTGGCAGGCCTGGCCTCTTGTGGTTTGCAAGTTGCTTTAAAAAAAGAAGAGCAGAAAACCCCTAATGATTTCTCTAAGTTCTTAATGAGCAAAAAGATGGAGAACAGGGAAATATTTCTTGCAGTGAACATGAAACCTATACAGATAGGCACTGCTTTATCTTAAGGGTATTTCTCTTATGCTTTTAGTATGTAAAACAGAGCAGAGTGGAAAGAATGAAAAAAATCAGAGATGAAGAAAGCTCTGCAAGGGAGATTTCAGTGTCAGTCATAAAGTTTCAAGAAAGAATCAAAATGAATTAAATTTGCTAAAGAATAAGGAAGCCAATCAGCCTCTTTTCAGATGATTTATAAATAGGTTTTTTTCTAAGGAAATTCAAATCAGGTTGATGTTGGGGCACCTTGTATCTCTAAGAAGGCTATTTTTGAAACAAACCTCAGTAGGACACAATGTGCCCCATTATGTAAGCCCTTCAGAACATCATGGACTTGAAACTGTCCACCTGCTTTTAGCAGTTTTGATTTTGAGCTGGATGTCTGTAACACCACTACATGGTAACAGTCCCAGATCAAATGGCTTACAGACCACAAGTTTTTATGGCTTCCAAATACCATATGTTTTGAGGGCACTTAAAAACAGCATTTTTTGCTAGCAGGGCTCTTAAACATCCTTAATCCTACCTTACCATTCATTTTTTACAAATGCATATGGGGACCAGCCAAGATCAGACATCAGAACTGCCCCTCAGGTAATCAGGAATCCAAAGCCTGATAAAGGACACAGGTACAGCAGTGGCAGCAGGATTGGACAAAGTCACAAAATCCCACAACTTGGCAACACAGGTTTTGTGACTCATGGTCTAGTGCTCTGTCCACTGGGTCACACTGGCTCAGTTCACTAAACTTGTGAGATTATGGAAATATTGGTGTTGTATCAATCAGATACAGCATCCCCACCTGGCTCTAAGGGGCTTACAATCTAGTTGGATTATAAACTTTTCCATCTAAGATAC
Source organism: Homo sapiens (assembly GCF_000001405.40). Taxonomy (NCBI): domain Eukaryota; kingdom Metazoa; phylum Chordata; class Mammalia; order Primates; family Hominidae; genus Homo; species Homo sapiens. The sequence goes on from NC_000023.11 coordinate 123,410,056, forward strand.
TTATTTTGCTATTTTTCATCCAAGATACTCATCCTGCTTATTTATGGCCTCCAGGATAATGTAATCCACATTTCTAGTTATCACTCGAAATATTTGAAAACCCAATATAGACAGCTGGGGGTTCTGCCCTTAGAGAGGAGATATGATCTAAGGGAAAAAGAGAGTCAGGAGAAAGGCTAAAAGGAAATTGAGGCCCCAATTAACAGAACACCTCCCAGTGGGCAACTGCCATGTTCCTTATGTTCCTAGCAGTTACAACTAAGGATAAAGAAGAAGGGGGTTGCTTTGGGAAAGGCTTGACAAGCTGCTGCTTAAATTGCTTCTTCTGACTTAGAAGATAGCAGAGAGCCTGGGGGTAGTAATGGGGCTGCAGGGATGGTTGATTATAGGTCATATTCCCTGGGTGTCCCCAGACTCCTTCACGCTCCCAGGACACATGGCAACTTTACAGATACTATTTGCACTGACATTGCTCTGCCTAGAAGAAATTATCTCTTAGGTCGTCACTATCCTAAGCTGGATTCATTTTCCATTAAGAAAGGCAGAGAGTCGATTTGTCCTTCCAGCTAAAAGGCAGAGAAGCAAGGGTCCAGTAACAGATGCCAGATATTCTTCAGGTGATTATACTGGGCTTTGGCAGAAGGGCTGATGATTTGATAAAAGTCCCCCCTCCTTCAAATGATGCATGTAACCTCCAGGAAGGAGCATTAAGGACACATGAAGTATGCCATTCGAAGCAGAAAGAGTGGGGAAAATATTTCCAGCTAAACGTAGTCTCACAAGGCCTTCATCCAGCTACAGAGACACTTTTTTATCTTGATATTGTCTTTAACTCTCTCAGCTCCCCAAGGACAAGGAGCCCTAATCAATAGATCCAGTCGGGGATACCTGTTCTGGATAAAGAAATTAGGATATTCTGTTGTGACACTGCTTGTTGTTGCACAGATTTAAATAAGCCTCATTCTTTTCTCCAGATCTTAACAATTGCAGACAGTAAACATCCCATAGAGTACTGCCAATAAATCAGTTTAAGTCTTGTCCCCCAGCACACAGCAATTATATTCCTATTGTCTAGCTTGATTCTGCCCCACTCCTGTTTTCAACACATATCAACTTTCCAAAGGAAATGTCTGCCAAAGGCAACTAGAGCCCTGTGGTTGATACAGGGACAAAGGGTCAGGTCATGTCTGCTTCTTCTCTTGGATAACATATAGTACATTATGATTACACATCAATACATTGTCTACTTCCTCTCTCCTGTCCCCTTCCCTGCTTTCAGAAAGTGTTTTAAAATGGTGTCTGACAAGCTCCTGCTCATTCGTAGTCTCATGGTGGGTTACAAGTTTTGTATCAGATAATCAGATGAAAATTCTTAAAGATATAACAAGCTTGCAATCTCAAAGAGATTAAAATTACGTTTAAAGTCAGTGTCATCTCTGGCTAAAACCTGTCAGATTCTTAAGTGCATCAGCCCTACACATATGAGTTTGTTGGTTTTTAAGTTTTATAACATTTACAACTTTGGCAACCCACCTATGAAAAGGATTATAAATCCCCTCAAGCTAAATCCTCTCCAATAATGCAGTTGCTCCATGTTTGCAACTGGTGAGTGGAAAATTCAAACCTAATTCAGTGTGTTTACTGAGCCCACACAGCCACATTTAGGCTGCTTGATTAAAATCCTTTAAGTAGTCAAGATGCAAGCAAAAGTACTAGTAAACTCTTACTCTGTGCTCTTTCCATTTGCTTGATTTTGTCTGTCAATTGGAGCACCCTCATACCACTACTACACACTTACCCACCTAGGTTTCTGAAAATAACTTGCCTACTGCTATTACCAGTGCAAGCAGAGGCTTGAGGACAACTGGCCACTGGAGTGATTCAGGACACCCCAAGAGAGGCACTTCATTGTTGAGTCAGAATTTCACCTACTCCCTAACCCCATCCATAATTCTTACCACTCTCTCTCCCAGCCTACAGCTGGCTTTCATAAGAGCAGAGACTAGGAAAGGAATTCCATTTGAGGACTTACCTTTTTCAGTTTTTCATCAGTGTGGGCCTCCTCAATCTTTAAGTTGCCTTGAAAGTGACCTCTCCCTTTACCTTCTTGCTATGGCAATCCCAGGAGAGCTCAATGGTTATTTTTGGATGCTAGTTAGTTACAGGGTGGAGCATATAACTAACTAGTGTTCAAAATACCTACTGAGCTCTCTTGGGACTGCCATAACATGATTGCCCCACATAAATTATGCCAAGCAGGTCCTATGCTCTGAAATAACCAATTATCACAACAACTTATTTTAACATTTATTTTACGTTCAGGGGTACATGTGCAGGTTTGTAATATAAGTAAATTGCATATCACAGGGGTTTGGTGGACAAAAAACAACCCCATAAAAAAGTGGGCAAAGGACATGAACAGACACTTTTCAAAAGAAAACTTACATGCGGCCAAAAACTGCCTGTGGGAATAGTGGTGATAGAGGGCAAGGGCTTTGCCAAGGCTGGCTCTGAGCTGACATGAGTTCTGCTGCTTGGTTTCTTACCAAACATACAAGAAAGGAGAAGAGTTGCTAAGTCTCCTACCAATAGAAGGGAAGGGAGCTACAGATTCTGCCTCAAGCTGTCCTTGAGCCTTCTTCCACCTGCCTTCTTCCACCTGCTTTTTGCTATTCCCTTGCCTTTTTCCATCTGTAATAGGTATTTTTTAAGGTTCATCATGGGGAATTCTCCTTTTGGAGTCAGGTCTACATCAGTGAGGTACAACTGAGCACAGATTTAATGCCATTCTTGATTGGGAGAGCACCCTCCAAAACATAGACAAATTCCACATTTTTTGAAAAATCTCCTTAGAAAGAAACAATCCAGAAAAAAAAAATACAGAAATGCCAGGCTGAGGAAAAAAAAAGGCAGTGCCTAAGGGAAGCAGATGATTCTTCCTGTTGTCTTTTGTGATTTCAGAAGTACTTCAAACTAGGAATGGCCTTCTTTGGGAATCTGTTCTTTTGATGAATGTTCCTGGGAATCAGACAACAAAAAGTCCTGCTTTATCCATCTGGCCACGTCTTGTTAGTATTTAGTGGTGCTTACCATGTAGTAGGTGTTTCAATTACCAAGTAGGGTTTTTTTAAAGGGGTCAAGATTCTCAAACTCCTTTCTGTACCTTCTAGAAAAGACCCCAAATTCCTTAAATTCATTCCAAAATAATTTTCTCATGTGAATGCCTTCTTATTTCTTTTTTCTAAAACAAACAAGTAACAATTTCTCCTAGAACTATCTTTTAGACTTAAAAGATGAAAAATACTGGTTAAATTAAGTAATTAAATTCAAATGAAATCAAGTGAGAAATGATACTAGAGGGGTATTTGCATGCTCTGAGCAGGAGACAGACATGTTGGCAAAGAGAGGAAGTGGCTTTATCTGTGAATTCTCTTGGCATGACAAGACTCTTTCTAACTGATTCAGACTCTCTCTGCCAAAAAAAAAAAAAAAAAAAAAAAAAAAAAAAAAAAAAACACTCTGCTAGCTTTCTGGCCAACTCATTCTCCTCAGTACCCTTTTTTACTATGACCAGGTCTAGCTTCAGGCAAAAGGGTAAAATAGATGAAAATTTGTCTTTGGCTCCCCTCTAGTTAGTAACGTGGAACTGGAAATTCAGAAGTTAGCCACGATGAGATGAGAGTTGAAACCACAGGTAACAATACTGAGGGATGAAAGTGAAGGACAGAACCTTAAAGAACAAACCTTCATTGATTATCTCCTAAGACAAGCACTCTGAATAGTCCCTTGGGGTACAAAGGTGCACCTTAATTGAGAGAGCAGAACTAGGAAGGAAAGTCAAAGAAGGAACATTCAGAAAGGTAGGAGGAGAACCTGTAGTCTTTCATAACAGAGAGCTAAGGAAAGCACGTACATAGTGCAAAAGGCCAATGGCATCACACAAGCAGTTAATGTCTGAAGGAAGATATTTGAATTTAGTAGCCAAGTATATAATTCAAGAAACAATTTCAGTAATTTGGAGGGGCTGGAAATTAAGTCTCAGGGGTATAAGGAGAAAGTGGTGTTGATATCAAGACAGTAAAGCTGTCTTTTTTCAATAATACTGGTGGTGTTAGGGAGGGATGTAATGTGGTTAAGAAGGCAGCAGGATCAAAAGGTGGGAGGAGTGTTTTCTGTTTCATTTTTGTCTGTTAGTAAATAGGATTACCTGAAAATGATTTTAAGTGAATAAAACAGATCAATGATTTTCAAATTATAGCAAGCATTACAACAAACTGGAAGGCCACATGAGTCTCACGCCTCCACAATTTCTCATCCCATACATCTGGGGTGGAGCCCGAGAACTGGCATTTCTTTTTCTTTTTCTTTTTTATTTTTTTTATTATACTTTAAGTTCTAGGGTACACGTGCACAACGTGCAGGTTTGTTACATAGGTATACATGTGCCATGTTGGTTTGCTGCACCAATCAACACGTCATTTACGTTAGGCATTTTTCCTAATGCTATCCCTCCCCCAGCCCCCCACCCCCGACAGGCCCCAGTGTGTGGTGTTCCCCCACCTGTGACCATGTGTTCTCATTGTTCAACTCCCACCTATGAGTGAGAACATGTGGTGTTTGGTTTTCTGTCCTTTTGATAGTTTGCTGAGAATGATGGCTTCCAGCTTCATCCATGTCCCTGCAAAGGACATGAACTCATCCTTTTTTATGGATGCATAGTATTCCATGGTGTATATGTGCCACATTTTCTTAATCCAGTCTATCATTGATGGACATTTGGGTTGGTTCCAAGTCTTTGCTATTGTGAATAGTGCCGCAATAAACATACATGTGCATGTGTCTTTATAGTAGCATGACTTATAATCCTTTAGATACATACCCAGTAATGGGATCACTGGGTCAAATGGTATTTCTAGTTCTATATTCTTGAAGAATTGCCACACTGTCTTCCACGATGGTTGAACTAATTTACACTCCCAACAACAGTGTAAAAGCGTTCCTATTTCTCCACATCCTCTCCAGCATCTGTTGTTTCCTGACTTTTTAATGATCGCCATTCTAACTGTGTGAGATGGTATCTCATTGTGGTTTTGATTTGCATTTCTCTGACGACCAGTGATGATGAGCATTTTTTCATGTGTCTGTTGAACTGGCATTTCTAACAAGTTCCCAGGTGACTCTTTTGCTGCTAATCTAGGACCCATACTTTAAGAGCCACCGGAATAGATTAGTGGAGAAGGGAAAAATTAAAGATGTAAAAGAGATAGTAGATAGAGCTGGGTTTTAAGAAGCGACAGAGAAATATAGAATGCATGGAATAAGTTGATCAAATCTTAGAAAGTGTCACTTTCTGTGAGATGGAAACACACAGAAGAAATGTATAAAGATGCTGCAATATGTTGACAAAGTTGGGGGAGGGGGAACTGAGATGATAGAGCTTATATCAAATGGCTTCCATCTTCTCAGTAAAGAAAGAGGCAAGATCATCTGCAGAGAGGATAGGACTGATAAGGATTAGGAACTGGGAAAAGTTTGAAATAAGCATCATCCACAGACACAGAGGAGAATCTACTTTTGGGGGGATAGATGGGTTAAATTTTAGAAATGATGAGTTTGAAATGGTGGTGAGCCTCCAAGGTAGATTTGATCAGTAGGCAGTTGGCTTCAATAAACCCATGCTTTCTGCAACTTCCACTAGGATGTAAAGGATGTAGGATGCCCTCCATGCAGGTAAGTATTTTTGTCTGTTTTGTCTGTCTTGTTCACTGCTTCATTCCTAGCACCTAGAATAGTGCTTGGCACAGAATAAAGACTCAAATTTGCATTGGAATGAACCTAAGAGGGGTTGGCTAAGGTTGATAATTGCATATAAAAGTAGTGTATAGTAGAAACCTGCAAGTATCTATGGAGTTAGAACATTATGTTCATTAAGCAACTGGGTTCTGGAATCTGAAGACCAGGGTTCTAATCCCAGCCTCTCTGTGCTTTAGTTTCTCCATCTCCAACATGGGAATGGTGATTGTACCAATATCAAGGTTACTGTGAGAATTAAATGACATAGTAAGTGTAATGTGCTTAGCAAAGTGCCTCATATAGAATAAGCACTCAATAAATGTTAGCTAGCTGTTTATCATCTGCATTTCCCTTTCAACTAATTAAGGAGTATTCCTCAACTGGTTTATCATATGTAATTCAAAGGAGTAAAATTTCATTTCTTTGAAAATATACTCTATATCAGACTTCCCTACCTCTGCCCTTTGGTAGGGGTATTGAGGCATTACTGTTCTGAACATAGAAAAAAAATGATCAAAACTTGTGTTTTCACTTCATATATGATATACCATCCAAAAGCCTTTCCTTAGTCAGAAGGATTTTTCTTTGTGTGCATTTTAAGGCCTGGCTTCAGACTATGACTTACTACTGTTGGAAAGGAACAATTACAGAAAACAAAAGAAATAAATGTAGAAAATCCTAGTGCCTATTTTCAAGGGATTAATATAAAAAACATTGCCTGCCTTTGCCTAAGTTAATTGTGCAGTGCACTACTGACATTTATTTTATTGATTCAATCCATGTGAGTGCTACACTGATATTATCACTAGAAAATATAGCTTACTACATAAATTGTGTTCTGACAACTGTTTTACCCTTGTTATTGCCCAGGCAAAATTCTTTCATGTTTGCATATGTCATATACAGTAATCAACAACTTATTTTTTAGGCATCTACAGTTTCTTTAGTTTAGAATCTGTTGCAGTGATACATACAAAAATAGAAGATTGAGTCTCTGCCTTCAAAAAACCTGTTTTAAAAGATATGCTTTCAAAAAAATTCAAGAATAACATAAGACAGCAAACACCTAAGAATTAAACTGCTGTGGCCCTGTGTGGCACCTCATGGTGTAGAGTGAAGCAGATATAAGAAGTATAGGATATTATGCCTGCTCCACAAGAATTTTCAGTCAAGTGAGGGAGATAAGACATAAGAACACGAAAATTAAAATAAGAAAACGAGAGTTAAATAGTGACATGTCACAAGGCAGTACAAGTTGTATTATAAGGTAGCAAAAACACACTATTAGGAAAAGAAAGCAGAGTCGGTTGCTCTAAGCCAATGTGTCTCAGAAGACAAAAGGCCAGCACCCTTTCTTTAATTTACCATCAAGTTAAAGCACTTTAGAACCCACTGAATGCTACCACTTTTCTAACCTAAGCATTGATAATTCAATTGGTTGTAAAGATTTAGGACTTGATATTTTCACCAAAGAAGTATATTAAGCGACAAATAACTGATTAAAGACTGTCTCTAAAAGTCATATATGTTTTCTTTTTTTTCTTTTTTTTCAGAGAGCTGATATAGCTGTTGCTCCACTCACTATAACATTGGTCCGTGAAGAAGTCATAGATTTTTCAAAGCCATTCATGAGCCTGGGCATCTCCATCATGATAAAGAAGCCTCAGAAATCAAAACCAGGCGTATTCTCATTTCTGGATCCCCTGGCTTATGAAATCTGGATGTGCATTGTCTTTGCTTACATTGGAGTCAGCGTAGTTCTTTTCCTAGTCAGCAGGTTCAGTCCTTATGAATGGCACTTGGAAGACAACAATGAAGAACCTCGTGACCCACAAAGTCCTCCTGATCCTCCAAATGAATTTGGAATATTTAACAGTCTTTGGTTTTCCTTGGGTGCCTTTATGCAGCAAGGATGTGATATTTCTCCAAGGTTTGTTTTTGTGGCATACTCAATGCCTCATTGCATTTTATGGTCATACTCCATTCATGTACATATGGTATTCATCCATCTCAACTCCAGATTTTTTTCATTTAACATTCCATCAAATGACAGATTATCATCAAGCCATTGTGTTTGCTTATGTCCATGAAGTGAGTGTGTCATTGGTGTTGCTTTGAATGTCTTTCATGCATTTCTATGGTATTGTATATACATTAAAACAAACATTTGAACTCTGGATAAAGGCAACATTGCCACTAATATTAATATTATTCAGATAAAGTAAATACTAAATCTTCATCAGATCAAACAGACATGGTTTCCTAATTAATTGTACTGAAGTGTTTTCTCATTTCTAAAGAGATTGGATCCAGACAAAATTTAAAAGAACATAGAACTCTTCTTTAAATCCCTCCTACCTTCTCCTTTCAATGCCCTCCCTTTTTCATTTTGCTCTCAGACTGCCTACAACTATCCATTATAGTATCCCACCCAAGTTTTCTAGTTAAAACTATAAAACTTCTCAAAGAAAACATAGGAGAATATCTGTTTTACCTTGGTTTGGACAAAGTGCTCTTAGATAAGACACAAAAAGCACAATCCATTAAAAATTTGATAAACTGGACTTCATCAAAATTCAAAACCTTGCATTTAAAAAGACGTATTAAGAAAATGAAAAAAAAACCCGACTGGGAGAAAACATTAGTAAATCATGTGTCTGATAAAGGACTTGCATCCAGAATATATAACACCTCTTACAACTCAATAAAAAGAAGACAATCCAATTTTTTAATGGACAAAAGATTTGAATGGACATTTCCCCAAAGAAGATATATAAATGGCTAATAAGCACAACAAAAGATACTCAACATTGTTGGCCATTAGGGAAATGCAAATTAAAACCACAATGAGATGCTTCCATACATCCTCTAGAATGGCTGCAATCAAAAAGATAGGCAATACCAAGTGCTGATGACAATGTAGAACAACTGGAACTTTCATCCACTAGTAGTGGGAATGCAAAATGCTACAGCCACATTGGAAAATAGCTTGGCAGTTTCTTATCAAGTAAGATAAATACTTAAAATATAACACAGCAATTCTATTCTTAGCTATTTACCTAAGAGAAAGGAAAACATATTCACACAAAAAGTTATACACAAATGTTCATAGTAACTTTATAATATTAAAAAAGTAGAAACAACCCAAATGTCTATCAACTCGTGAATAAATAAACAAAATATTTTATATCTATATAGTGGAATACTATTCACCAATTAAAAAGAACAGACTACTGACACATCTATAACATGGATGAACCTTAAAAATGTTATGCTGGGCCGGGCGCGGTGATTCATGCCTGTTATCCCAGCACTTTGGGAGGCCAAGGCAGGTGGATCACCTGAGGTCAGGATTTCAAGACCAGCCTGGCCAACATGGTGAAACCCCGTCTCTACTAAAAATACAAAAAATTAGCTGGGCATGGTGGTGGGCACTTGTAATCCCAGCTACATGAGAGGCTGAGGCAGCAGAATCACTTGAACCTGGGAGGCGGAGATTGCAGTGAGCCGAGGTTGCGCCATTGCACTCCAGCCTGGGCAACAAGAGCAAAACTCAGTCTCAAAAAAAAAAAAAAAAAGTTATGCTAAGTGAAATAAGCCAGATGCAAAAGGCCACATATCATGCCATTTGAATCCCATTTATTGAATATCTCATATTGTATGATTCTATTTGTCCAGAATAGGCAGTCTACAGAGACAGAAAGTACGTTAGTTGTTGCCAAGGGCTTGCAGGGAGCAGAGAGGGGATAATCAGGGCCAGTATCAGGGTGAGGCAAGTGAGCCTGAGTAAAGCAAGTACAGGGATCACATCCAAGCTTTATTTAAAATTTTGATATTATGCATTAATTTTTTAAATATTGGACTAAAATTCTATTTATCTTGATTAATGAGATTTTGATGCCCCTTTAAACTTTGCATGTGGGGAAGTTGCCTCACTTGCCTCATCCTAGTCCTAGGCCTGCCAGGATTAACTGCAAATGAGCATGAAGGAACTTTTTAGGGTGATAAAAATGCTCTAAAATTGGATCGTGATGATAGTTGCACAACTCTACGTTTACTAAAATCACTGATCGTACACTTGTATTGGTGAATTTTATGGTATGCAAATTTTATCTAAGAAAAGCAAAATATTGAACATGAATGTCCTGAGCCTCACAAACTTAGTCTAAACCTAAACAAATATGGCGGTGAATTCTTAATCATAATACATTGTAGGTGACTGTAACATCTTTATATTTTGAGACAAAAAAGCTGTAGGTTTTGGTAAACTTGAACATTAATCCAGATACTGACCAGAGTCAATTATACAAACACATTAGGGATTTTCATGTGAAATATAAAGACTCAGAAGAGTCCTACCATGTTTTTACAGCATACTTCATTTTGAGATTATCCACTTGGACCATAAAACATTTAAAAAGAAGCTTTGCAGCATAACTAATTGGTAACCATATTCAGCAGCTTTTTAAAATAGTCTGTATGGGGTATGCCTCATTTATCGAAGTCACACTTTTTTTGGCTTTTCTCAATCTGCTTGATTACATTCTCCAAATTATTTCACTCCCTGTTCCTTTTGTGCTTAGAATGTATGTCATTTTTTGTATTATCTGGGAGTTTATTTTGCTAGTTTCTTTATTTTTTGAAATGTTCACTTCAAGAGACTATGGTTTCTGAATGATCCTATAATTAAATGATTTTTAACATGGCTGGTAATCTATGTTGAGACAATACTAAAGAGTCATTAAGGCTCAAGATTTTATTGGTTTCTGTAAGTGAATTTTCAGAACTAAGTTTGTGGTATCCCCATTGGAGTGCTGCATACTACTCTGCATACTCAAAAAGCACTCTTCTCATTTTTAGAAGAATTTATATATATATTGATTCATTAAGTAATAACTTAAAGATTATGGCCTGAAAATGACAAGTTGAACAGGTTTGTTAATGTCTTATAGTAGAATGTAAGCTGTGGCTCTTCTTTGGCACTGAGATATATCAAATGCTTTTTTTCAAAGTATGTATTTTATTATACTAAACTAGACACTGTCATAAAGAGCAATGGCTTTCAAAATTTTTTTTACCATGACCCACAGTAAGAAGTAAATTTTCCATCACAACTCAGTATACACATATGTATATAACCAAAGGTTCACCATACTTTACCCTTACAATGTGCAATGCACTCCGATATTTTCTATTGTGTCATTTTTTTTTTAATTCTGGTTACAATTCAACCCAGAAATAGGGCACACAACCTACAGAATAACACTAGCCTAGAGTAACAAATATTATTCTTACTATACTTTTAAGTAATAAATTATTGCCTTTATGAGCTCTATGTTTTCCACCATATGGGTGATCCCTCCTCCAATATTGTCTTTTGTGTGTCTTTCGAAATAAATTATACCTTTAAGCATTTTAATAAAATGTTATGCTTCTTAGCATATTTCTGATATATACTAGTGAAGAGGAAACATGTTTCTCCTTGTCTTGAGAGCTCTATTCATTATATGTTTGTGCTCAATTGTATAACAGCAATCACTGTGATGTTTCTAGAACTATTAACAGATTTAGAAATTTCTGATAATAACACAGTTGTTACTCTAAGATTTGTGGTTGCCTTGACTACAAACACCAGCAGTATACTTTATTTCTGTTTAATGGCCACAGTTGGAATGCAAACTCTTCAGAAAGCCCAGAATGTGAGCATGCATTATACACTCTGACTTTTCTCAAAATTGAAGCAATTCAAGAAATTATGAGACCACATTTTAAAGTAGAATTTAAGTATTAGAGCAGGAGAAAATGTCAGACATAAATTAGCCCAACTGCTTCCATTTACTGGGGGCAGAGGGACAACAACCACCTTCCCTCAGCTCCCACTGTGTATAGGCACTTTACCTCCATTATCAGGTGGATTTTAATCCTCAAAACACCACTGCAGCGTGGGCATTATACTTATTTTTAAGTTGAAGAAGGTGATAGTCAGATTAAATAATTTGCCCAGCCACACAGCTAATGGCAGAGCCTGAGTACAAACCAAGCTCCAATTCCAAAACATGCTCTTTCCACTTCATGCTGCTTTTTCCAATATCACAGACAAGGGAACAGCACCCGAAGGATGATGTGATGAAATCCAAGGTCATGGAGGTTTTCAGAGGCAACAGTATGATTATTTCCACTACTGCACACTGCCTCCTACTACCAACCTGAAGTTGCACTGTTTGTTCCATTCCTCTCCTCATGCTCAGGCATAAGAGCTGTTTTCCATTCTTTCAACCTCTAAAGAAACTCTACCTTTTTTCTGGTTTGCAATGAAAGAAGGCAGTGAGCATTTAAAATATTATCGAGAGTGTGTATGCTCAAAGTAAGAGACTGGGAAATCAGAAACAAGACATCATGAGAAAAACTGATGGCATCATTACATTTCCACCAAATTATTCACAGCTACCTAGAAGCTTAAAGAGTCTATGTCAATATTAGGTTTGAACTACCATAATTGTTCAGAGTGAATAAGTTTGTTCTACATGAAGCTGGAGGCTGAGCTAACTCTAGAGAAGGTAATCAATATAATAACCTGAGGTTTTGTCCACATACAAACTGATTTATTAGGAGGAGTCGGTGGAAGGTACGAGGAGATTCAATTCAACCTTTTTCCCCCTGAGTGGGGAAGGAGAAGACAGGCAATGGGTACAGGCAGATGGAAGAAGCATAGTGGTTAAGCACGTGGGCACTGGAGTTAGCCTCACTAGATTCACAATCTGCTTAGCAGTTGTGTAACCTGGGGCAAATCACTAAACCTTGCTAAGCCTCAGTTCTTCATCTGTGAAATAAAAAGCACAGTGCCTAGCATGTAAGTTCTCAATAAATAATAGCTATTGTCATTATTAAATTGGCTGCACATAATCATGCTAGTTTCACAAATACTAACAGCTAATATAACATTTGCATTTTAGTTCCTAAAACTCCTTGGGAATACAGTTGAAATACCAGTTAGTATCAAAGAGCTGACCTCTGATGAGAAATAACCAGCAACACTCCTTCTTGAACTTGCTTTTGTTAAAGATTACAACTCTTGCAAATATTTTTATTGTATTATTCTACTATGTCTTACTGATATTGGCTGGAAGTTGTAACTTTATTTTTAATACGAAATTTATTTCCTTTGTAAAACTTGGATAGAACCACTAAGCAGTCCAGAGTCCAAGTCCTTCCAGACAAATGCTCCCCCTGCTGACTTTCTGTGCAGCTGCAGGGACATCTGAGGGCTAGACAAATTGAAGACATGAGAGTTGGGGGAATTATTACAGAGAAAATGGAAAGAACAGATGAACTTGAACCTGATTACTGTGTATAGATGTTTCCAAAGGTGTTACTCTCCTGTTAAGTTTTCAAGATATGAAGTACTTTGTTGAAGAGGGCAGGGGGTCTGTCCAGATTAGTTGACACGTAGATCCTCCTTTAAAATGTAAAGTATGTGCAGAATAATAAAAGACATGAAGGGTATAAAATAAATGAGATCAAAGACAATAGGATTTTTGGCTATATTTTAAGCATACCCTTTCCTCTGCTGATGTATGACCACTGTCTTTATCTTACTGCAAATTCACTTCAAAGTAGTAGTGATGTAATAATAAATTAATGAGGTAATAGCAGAATTTTTATTACAACTACTTCATGGCTTTTCTGGCTAAAAGCTGTAGTTTTCAGTCTTTGGGACATGGTTACTTATTCCCATCAGAGAAGACTGTAAGAACCAAAGATTGATTCTGCACATTTTTTAAAAATCTGCCACAGACATGGCATTAAATGGAGTATAGAAATGATGCATACTTTGGAAGAAAGAAGAGAAAAAAAGGAATGATAAAGAGTTTGTACAATAGAGAAGCAGTTTTCAGTCCCAGCTCTTCATCTTGTAAAGCTAGTAAAGTGAAGATTATAAAATTTACTTACAAGATGAAGGTTATAGCACATAGCTCACTTTTATTATCATTTCAAAGGTCATAAAATATATTTTATTATTAACTCAGAAAATCTAGTTCTTTATTATTACAGATAACAAGAGCATTGTATATTATTTGATGTACGTATTTTGCAGTGCTTTTTATATGTCTGTTTTCCTCTTGTTGCTAATTTACTTTCATTAACTTCACGCCTCCTCTTACATTTCCTCAAAAGGTATGATACGCTTCTTATAATGCACTTTTATAAACACTAAATGTGCAGCATTTTACAGCCATTTCATTACGCTAACCTTGAAATCTGTCTTGTGCAACAAAACTATTTGAAATGAATGTTAAACATTTTGTAGCTGCATTAATGGAGGGAAAGATACTGGAAAATGACAGGTCTTTTTAACTCAACTATAAAGTCTTGTCTTATTTTAATAGATCCTTTATAAAATGTGATGGGATTGACCCATCAGTCACTTTTTATATAACCTCCATGTGAAATGTGAGTTTAAGTGGCTATAGTTTCCCTAATGAGAAAAGGTAAATGTAAAAATGCCTATGGAGCTTCTTCCCTGTAGGTTCCACTGCACTTTTTCTCAGTGAAAGGATTGAGGCGCTTATGCTAAACAAGGGAATAAAGTGGTGGAAATTCCATCAAATCTTTTGTCTAAGCTACTACTGTTTTGAGGCGAGAATGTTGAATGCAAGCTTGTGCATTCCACACTGATTCCACTGAAGCTCCTTTTCTATCTCTGCTGAGGTATGCAGGTACTGTTATAGCATTTTTATGTGGGTAATCACCCAAATTCTCCATGATCATAGGTATATCATGACATTAACCACAAAATTGCCAAAGTCAATAACCATGTAGACAAGAGGCCATGAAAATGACCATTTTGCATTTAGATTTATTTTCAGTCATGTCAACAACCAACAGCTGAGTCATTCAGATCAACCACATGATGATCTGAGTCAGTACTAAAGTGGCCAAAATAACCAGATTATGATGTGCAGGCTTGATTTTAGATCAGACTGACACAGCCACAGTCCATTAGCCTCAATACAATGGCACAGTGTAATTTCCATAAATTACTGTATTTTTCTCCACATTGTCAAGTAGACAATGCATAAACTACCATTAGTATTCACAGCAGCAAAATATACCTCTTTCCATATCAAACTGTGATTCTGGAATTACTCCAAAGTCAGTTTTCTCCTTGGTCTGGCAAAACCTCATCATTCCAAATAAAAATGACAGTCACAGTTCTGTCCCAAATGAACAACAGATAATAAACAATAATTATACAAATATGTTTGGTTTTCATGCCACTATATTTCTCAGTGTTTGGAGAAAATTTGTACCTTCTATAACTTGCACACCATTTTGGATTTTCTTATACAAAATACGGGTATTTTATACTACAAAAATGTGGGTATTTCTCTCCTAGTGTATAAGTTTAAATGTTTTATTTTCTATTCTGCCTCTCTGTGCCTCAGTTTCTTTATCTGTAAAATACCTCTGTTTGCTTATCTTTAAAATAGTACCTAACCATAGGGATAGAGAATTAAAATAGTTGGCACAGGTAAAGCAATTAGAACAGAGTCTGGCACACAAGAAGTGCTCAATAAGTATTAGCTATAATTGTTATCATTTTTCTTCCTCTATTACTATGGATGTTTCTTTGGAATGTTAATCTTTTATATAGCAAAATTATTTCTAGAGTCAGATCAGTTCAGAATAAATTAAATGTATGTGGCAACAATGAAGAAAGACTCTGAAAGGTCTAAATGCATAATCAAAACACCCTGTATACTTTTAGCATTCAGAAGTGTGCCACATTCTTTTCTGACTCATCCAGATGTTTTTACTTCTGATTAAAAGAGAAATGTTCCCAGATGAAATCCTGAGATAGTGTAACTGTTAGAAAAATCTACTGCAAAGCAGATTTTCAAATTCAAAAAGCTAAAAGTGATCATGTTCAGGAAATAAATACGGGTTGTCTCAGGAATCCAGGGACGAACAGGAACTACAGATTTAAAAAAAATCAAGTCAGTTTGTTATAGTTAACCAATAATAAATATTTATCAAAATACCTGCCAAAATTATTCAGAGTGTAGCATCTAAAACAACTGAGTTTTCCAGAGGCCAGAAAAAGGTTACCTTGGGACACAGGAATTTAAATTTGCTTTAAAGTGGTGAAATGCTGGTACAGACAGAGAAGAGCTTGATTTGCCGGCTCTCAGCCCAGAACTACCCTCTTCCCACAGAGCCTGGAGATATGCCAGGCTCCTACGCCTATTCTTGACTTTATGACAGAGTGGGTTCTCTTCCTGTGAGTTTTTCTGGGCATGGGAGAACATAGCGTAACTAGGATGGAGCTCTGCCACACAGCAGAATTATCCTAAGGATGATGTGGCAATGTTTTATAAAACCTAGGGAGCAGATTTTCATTTCTGCAGACAGAGCCAGCCTTCAGCAACACTGTGAAGGAGATGAAGTTTCCTGAGTACAAGCCATTACCCATCACTGAGCATTCAATTCCCTCACACTGTCCAATAACTTCTTATGGTCCCTGTCTCTGAGGAACACTCATGATGCAGGACCAAACTTGCAACCCTGTCTGCACCTTGAGAGTTTTATAAAGTGCTGCTGCTTAGTCCCAACCCCCAGGGTTATGATTTAATTGGTCTTGAAGCCTAGGCAAGGTTTTTTGTCTTTTTGTGTTGACGTGTTTTGACTGAAGCTCCCTAGATGATATTGATATGCAGGCAGAACTGAGAATCACTGATGTAGAAGAACAATGTTTCTCAGTTTGGTCTGCAGACCACTTGCAGCAGAATCACCTGTGATGCTTAAGAAGTGCAGATTCTTGGGCATTCAGCTATTCTGAATCTGCATTTTAACAAACACCTCAGGTAATGCTGATGCACAGTAACATTTAAGAACAAAAATTTCCCCTTATTAAAACTTACCCATCTTCTTTCCCATTCCCTACTAACTGAATAAACAGTGGGTGCTGTTGAAGTAATGTGTTACATTTTGATCAAGCCTCCTGAAAACAACACAGAGCGTGATTCCAATAGAATTTCTCCATCAGACCAGGAGGATGATTTTGTTTTCGTTTTCTGTGTGTGGGGGTGGAAGGGGGTGTGGAGGAAGCAAGCCTTTTGATGCCTCTAATCCCACTATACAGGTAGTTTCCTACTTCACTTGGAGTCTGCCCTGAGTGGTTAAGGCTTAGTTGTCAAAGGAGAAAGTTTCTAATCTCCTGGGCCCCAAAAGCTATTTATATGAAGATGATGAGAAATATTATCATCTAGCTCCTTGCCTTATGGATGACCAACTCCACAAAATAGCAATGTCTTTGTTAAATTTATTAAACTCAAAGTGAATAGTGCTCATTTTCCAGCACCTACCCATTTATCTTCAAGTGAGAAGAGGTTTTTGACTATGTTTCTCTCATGACATTACCTTGTAGCAGTGGTTTTCAACCTTGGTTGCACTTTGTAATCACCTGGTGAGCTTTAAAAAATTTAAATGTCTGTGTCCTACCTCCCAAGTTCTGATTTAATTGGTGGGCCTGGGCATGAGTTTTTTTTTAAGATCCTAGGTGATTTTAATGTGGAGCCAAGGCTGAAAACCATTTGCTTCTACAGGTGTGCCCAGCAAACTTCACAGGAAGAGAACTCAATAAGTTAAATTATTACCTGTGGAAGCAGGAGATGGTAAAAAAAATATATATTTTTTCCTGTAATTAAAAGGAAAAATCCTGCTAGGAGTGCACTTGTAGTCCCAGCTATTCAGGAGGCTGAAGCTGGAAGATAGCTAGAGCCCAGGAGTTCAAGTCCAGTCTGGGCAACATAGAGAGACCTGACCTCATTTTTTAAAAAGAAAATCCTGCTTTGAAACGTGTATAGGCCTGACAAGTATTATGCATGCACCATCATAGTATGCCATCATGACATGGGGTATTGTTGTTAACATGTGACCTTTGTTTAATGTTTTAATTCCCTCACATCATCTATTTCCCTCCTTCATCAGCTATACTGAAACCACTCCTCTTTCCAGAAATAAAGAAAAGGATTTCTTAAACTTAGATCTGGCCCCTCTGGGTCTGGATTTGTTTTTGTTTTGTTTTATAGATCACTCTCCGGGCGCATTGTTGGAGGGGTTTGGTGGTTCTTCACCCTGATCATAATTTCTTCCTATACTGCCAATCTCGCTGCTTTCCTGACTGTGGAGAGGATGGTTTCTCCCATAGAGAGTGCTGAAGACTTAGCTAAACAGACTGAAATTGCATATGGGACCCTGGACTCCGGTTCAACAAAAGAATTTTTCAGAGTAAGTGCTCTGCAGTTAATTGAGCCTGCTGATATTTATTTTATCATCTTCTCACAAAGGCAAGTTCACAGTGCTTTTAAGGGAGAGTTGGGAAAGAGTGGGAATGTTATCAAAGGAGAGCATCTTAAATACTGGGCTGCTTGGTTGGTGATCTACTCCATTGTCGTTTAGAACCAAGACTTGAGTAAGACATAACAAGCTGCATGTCAAGGGCACTGAGTTTGGACTCCCAGGTTTGAATCCCAACCCTGCCACAAAGTGATTGTTTGTCCTTGGGCAAGCCATTTAACTTCTACCAGCTTCAGTCCCCTCACTTGAATAATGAGGGGATTGAACTAAATAATATATATTCTGCTTTCTAGCTTTTACAAAAGCAGTGCTTTTATGTCTCAGAGGTTCACAGAAGTTAGGCAATTGACTCTAAGACTGATGAGTAATGGACTATAAGAAATTACATATTCTATTTTAAATGTTAGTTGTCTATTGAGATGTATTACAATTGTATCAAGTATTTGTGTACATGGTGATAATTTCATTTTCAGGACAGCTGATAATTGTTTTAATTTCTTGGGTAGACGTATTCCCTCAGCTCCTCATAGGCAAAATCTTATTGAGGAAACAGTAAATTGTTCATTAGCAAAAGTTAATAAAGCTATGTAAAGTCTGTCAAGAGGAAAGATGAAAGGAGATTGAAGCAGGAAATGATAGAAGGATAATATGAGGGACAAACCACTTTCACATAAACCATCAAGATCTTTATTCTGTGGTAACTGGACTATTAAGGAAGAATACTAGTAGAGTTTTTAAGAACTAAAATGTTTTTTCAGTTACCCCAACAAGAAAAATATGCTAATTTAGATTAGAAAATGGACACATTCTATAATATTACTACTGCCTGCTACTGTAACCACAGTAACTAGTTGTAGCAATGATCCAGAAGCCACTTGGGTAGTAGGTGGAGTAGTTAGTCACTCTCTCCAACCAATAATCAAGTTATTGGATGACAGATATAATTGCTGATTTTTCCTCAAAGGCCCAGAGTAAACAGATGGTGGTTCTAAACCTCCTTTTTAAATAATCAATAAGAAATACATTTCTACATGTATTATCATGAGATTTGTCCAATTACTTCACAGTAAACCAGGAAGAGTACATTTCTTGACATTACAGCAATTAACTACAAACAGTTTTCACTCCCTGAAAGAGAATGTATTAGTCCTGGGACCCTTTCAAGAATTCTCATTGATTCAAGATATCCATATCTCACCTATACCACCTGTTTACTGACCAGATCATAATCCCCAACTGGGAGGAGGGGTCCAATGTTGGTCCAATGAAGACCCTCTGGAACTAATCTGGCCTTGACCCTCACTACTATGGCAGTCCCAGAAGCTTATTTAGAAACAATTTTCTGCCCCCATGAAATCACTCACATTTATCGGGGCTAGAAGCCAGGGATTTCCATCTGATGAGTAGTCAACACATAACCAGCTCCATGGAAATCTGGTTTGATATCAACCTTCAACAGAGCTTATGATAACCATCCCAATAGGCATGAAGTTTCTATATGAAGTAATTAACCACTTAGGATATCAAGACACCAGAAGCTTCTATATGAAGTAATTAACCACTTAGGATATCAAGACACCAGACTTGAACCCTCAGATAAGAGATACTTGTTCCACTGGAAAGCATTTTTCTTTCAAAAACAATTAGAGGTTAGAAAGTTGTGCTTTAAATGGTAATCAATAAACGGCATCAATTCCCATTAGGCTTTCAAAGG
The DNA here is from genome assembly GCF_000001405.40 of Homo sapiens. Classification (NCBI taxonomy): domain Eukaryota; kingdom Metazoa; phylum Chordata; class Mammalia; order Primates; family Hominidae; genus Homo; species Homo sapiens. The sequence goes on from NC_000023.11 coordinate 123,429,923, forward strand.
CCATTCATCCATATTGCAGGCAAAAGGAGGCTCTCTGGAAAGATGAAGAGATTTATTAGCCCAGAGGCAGAAAGTGTGACCAAATATTCATTGCCCTCATGCCCAGACCCCATCTCCCACTTATTCTGTGTCTTTCTCAAAAACTAGGAAAGCATCTACTAAATCATTCAATCATGATTTCATTAAAGGGCATCATATTACCAGAGCTGATTTGAATCAACATTTAATTCTGAGCAAAGCTATTGCCACATTCTGATTGGTTTGTGGTTTCTAATGCTCATCAATTCCTAGCCAATGAGTAATTCATATGGAAATTGAGCTGTTTTGAAAATCTGATTACACAGGGAGCTGGATATTTCTAAGTATAAGGAAGTACAAATCATTTTCTAGTTCTGGCATGCCACTTTTTCTGTTTCCCCAAATGGTCACTGGTGGCATCATTAAGGACTTGGTGGGGTGGTTCTTCAGGGCAGCACACGAATGTTGATTATCTAAAAGTGGAACTATAAAAGCAGCATAGAAAAACCAACTCCTTTAACCTGCTTATACTGAAAATGTTATCTAGACCCAACAAAGACTATCTTTGATATTCGTGCAATACAGGGTTGTGGGGCCGGCAGCCAATTGGTCTCCAAGCCATTTAAATCCAATGGGGCAAAGAAGGCAGCCAGCAAGAGCACATCATCCTTTATTTAGGGACTTGACTGCCACAGTCATGTCACTTCCCCTTCATTCTTCAGTGATGTCAAGTCATAAAGGCAATTTTAAAAACTAACTCCTGGCCAGGTGTAGTGGCTCACACCTGTAGTCCCAGCACTTTGGGAGGCCGAGGCAGGCAGATCACGAGCTCAGGAGATTGAGACCAGCCTGGTCAACACGGTAAAACCCTGTCTCTACTAAAAATACAAAAATTAGCTGAGTGTGGTGGTGCATGCCTGTAATTCCAGCTACTCGGGAGGCTGAGGCAGGAGAATCGCTTGAACCAGGGATTCAGAGGTTGCAGTGAGCTGAGATCTTGCCACAACACTACAGCCTGGCAATAGAGTGAGACTCTGTCTCAAAAACAAAAACAAAACAAAACAAAACAAAAAACAGTAACTCACATACACACACACACACACACACACACACACATTGGGGATCTCTGATAGCATGCCTTATGAACTTCAGAGGATGAAACAAGATCACATGCAACATTTACAAACATAATATGAACTCATTTCTTCCCGTGCTCACTCTATACTAATACTACAGGGACCAAATTGTAATAACATAAGACAGCCTAGGGCCAGCCCTCTAGTCCTTCCACTAAGAGATAGGAATAAATAAAATAAAATTCTTTTCTAATTGCCCTGCAGACATTTTTACTTGTCCTGAGTAAAGCTGCCATTAAAATGATGGTATTTTTAAATGATTCATTTGTTTCTCTCATTTTCTGAGCTTTCCCTAGCTGTCATCTTACAATCCCATGATCAGTGGAACAGAGGGACCTGTTCCGTCAGGAAAGGCAGGGAGCAGAATGCATGCTGCTAGAAGAGACACCTGGAATATTACTATCAACTCTCTTGATTTGAAAACTGATTTCCTTAGACAGCAGCTCCAAAACTATATATCCCAACCAGACGTAGAAGCACATATGCCAAAAAAACAAGTGGACGGCTTTATTGTTGTTGCCCAGAGAAATGCTACAATGATTTGGAAAGCTGCACTGAAATGACCATTCTCCACTAGGTTTTGGAAATTTAACCTGATACAGATTCATGTTAAAAGGTGGCACTGGAAGAAAAAGTAATTCCAAAGTTCTCTCTGCCTGCAGACCTTTAAAAGTATTAGAAAATAACCAGGATGCTGGATTTCTTTTTTTGTGAAAATTGATATTAATATTTTATTAAGATGCATTCAAATAATTATTTATACATTTATATGCATAAACACCCAAAACATTTTATACATGGAATCATATAACATAGTATTCTCTTGCCATTATTTGTTTGTTTTTTAAAACTCAAATAAGTATAGATTTACTTTTTTTTTTACTTCATAGTATTTAACTTTACTTCAACTCTATTATTTCCTTTATCAATTTCCTCTTGATAAATGTTTAACCTTTTGAAAATATTTTGGTGTTAACAGTGGTTCAATAAACATTATTTTCCATTGATGTAATAGAATTATTTTAAAATGTTTTTAAATATTTGCCCTTCAGTTAGATCCCTTAAAGCACTTAGCCTGTGATGTGACATAAGCCATGTAATGCCCAGCTGCAGACAAAGCTGGCTTCACAAAGTTACAGAATGTAGTAGGCACCTGGCTAAGGAAAACTCTACCCCACAAAATATTTAGCCCCCAGTAGGCACTTTAACAGGAATCACATTTTTTCCCCTTTTTACATTAAATGTCTGATGGTGGAAGAAGGGGACATGTTTGTTCTAAAGTTAATCCTAATGGAAAAGTTAATGGTCCAATATTTTATTTATACCATAATGGACAATTTTTCTCTTTCTCATTTGCTGAACTTTATGCAAGGCTCTTGTGTTTATTTGGGCACAACTCCAGAGGCCTTCATTCTTATTCTCACCTGACTGGATGGCCCAGCCAGGTCATGTATAACCTGTGATATGCCTGTGCATATACCTGTGTGCGTAGGCTGCTGAGGCCCTGGTATTTGGTTTAGTTTGTTGCTTACTTTGCCGTTGCTTGGTTTCCTGATTCTCTAAAAGAATATAAGGCAGAAAAATCCCAGAGAGATGTTTCAGAGTTTCAGAACAGTACCGTTGAAGATACTAGTCACACTGAAGTTTACAAAAGTTACATATAAGAGAACAAAGACTTCTTTCATCATTTAGACAGAGTTGGTTTGACAAAGGTTTTCAGCAAATCACATCACCAAATAAGAAACTAAACTTGCTGACTTAGCCTATTGCACTAACCACTAAACTCAGCTTCCTCCCTTAGCTACACAGGGAAGAAACACAGGGGGGAAAAATGCCACCCTTTTTGAAACAAGCAAACTTTTGGAAAATGGCCAGGTCTGGAGGCTGACTTGTATAGTGCATCATTTTATGAGATGTATACCACACCCAGAAACCTTGCAGAAATCATCATGACAGAGATGAGATAATCTCAAAACTTTCTGATTTTATGTGGCGATCATTTGCCATGCTGGTAGAAGGTTTTATGAGAACTTAAATGCTCTCTTCTGGAAATAGGCAGTAATTCTAGAATCCCAGAAAATTTAAATCCATGTCAATTTGATATGTTTGGACAGTTGACAGGGAAATAGTACTGTTTTAATTCCATGTATATAGGGCATAAAGACACATATTAAAATAAGAAATAAGGACCAGATCAGAATGAAGCACCATAATGTTAATGAAAGCAATAAGTTCAAGGGATAATTTTATAAAACTGTCATTAGAGTATTTGCCAAAGAGAGAGTTGCATTATCTCTATCATATCTCTTATTTCACTATACCAGAGCCTGCATAACTGCAGTGATTATTTTAGGACTTAAGACAAATACTTTATTTATTCTAAGAACACATTGATATACAACTTATATATCACATATAAGAAGTCAATTGTCTCTTTTTGTATTAGTTTTGATCAGTTAGCTGATGAAGTCTTTGAGTCTTACCCCAATGCCGGATGCCAGATTTCTTTTCCAGATACTTGGCCATATCCCCATTACAGAAAGTTTGGGGGATAAAAGGAATTCTTTTTTAAAAATGAAATGTTTAACATTAATTTAAACCTCTTTAAGAAAGTAAATATAAAAGAAGAGGAGTAGAGAGAGTGGTGACTTGCTCCAGTGCCCTAGGCAAGGCAGAAGAATTGAACTTTATTAGGAGACCACTAAGGGGACTGTCCTGCCTCGTGAGTTACAGGTATTGTAAGCCCTGTGAAGCACAGCTGAATTACTCATGAAGAATGTTTTGTCTCAACACAAGACTCTGATTATTGTCTTGGTCATTATAGTTTTTCATTTTTTTTAAGCACAGGCAGCGAAAGGAGGGGTTCTGCCATGCTGATTTGAAAAGGAGTCCCTGCTAATAGCATTTCGATTCTGCTTACACATTCACAACCACACACATACACAAAGCATTTTCAACTGGGTCTACATTTCTTCAATATTTATTGGCTATCTATAACAGGGCTTTTGAAGTATATGCAGGAAGGGAGAAAAATCTTTCCACAAGCGCACCTATGCAGGGTATGCTGACATTTTGACATAATCCAGAAAATCAACCATTAATCTTTAAGCTTTATTATAATTGAGCTATGTACACAACAGACCTCCCTGACACCTTAATCCATCCCCTTGCCTTAGGAAACACATCAAAATGTAAAAATCTTTTGTTAAAAATTTTTCTCACCAAACACCATGGTGAATTTAAGATCTTAACAGACAATATACCTGGAAAGCTGCAGCCAAATTTTATTTGTTTGAAGACACATATAATGTGACCAAATGTTTGAGGATACATCCAAACCATGCACTAGGGGAACACATAACAGCAACAGCAACAGATGAGTTGACACTAAGGGTAGTAGGTCAGGGACATCTGCTGTACATACTACTTGGCAGTTTAAAAAAAAGAAAACTGTCTTTCAATTTTGACATGGCTGTTTTGATGCTGTCTTATTTTTTTTTAAGTCTTACTTTCCTATGTTATATAATACACAGCAAGAGCCATAGACCTTATAGGTCAAGACTGGAGACAGAGCAACAGCCACAGGTGAGGATGCTGAGGCCTGGCCAAAAAGGCCTCTGGAAAAGGGAAAGATGCAGTAAGACCACCGTTGGCTTTTCCCATCCTTCAGCAGCTAGGAATCTGTGGCTCCATAGCTCTTCCTTTCAGGCAAGTCTCAGGCTGGCTGGAAAGGACAATCTCCAAGAAAGTAGAGGTTGACCTGACAACTATGCACGCAACTGAAAACACATCTAATATCTGCCTCCAAGAGAAAGGAAAGCATTTAGCAATAAAGACAAGCTAATAATATGCCTGATATTCCATTATTTATTCAGCAGTCTTTCAGTAACTTTTGAGCCAAGCTTCATGCTAAGCACTGACGATCATACATCTTATAAACAAAATTAAATTCCTATCTTTTGCCAAATTACCTGAAAATACCTAGACAGGCTTTTTCACCATATTTGGAGACAGATTAACTTAAAATATAGGTATCTCACATAACTAGATGACTTTCCCTCCAGGGAAGCTGGTGGTGTTTATTTCTATGGAGCTACTTCCCAGCATGGGCCAATCTCTGGGTATGCTCCATGGTGACTTAGCAGCAGGGTTAATGATTCCCTGTAACCTCAGTAGGAAGATCAGCTAGTTTATGAATGAAACAGAAATGGCCTCTACCCTCTTGGAGCTCACAATCTAGTGGACCATTAATTTTCAACACACATTCACATACATTACTACACAATCCACACAACAATCCTGGGGCAGCCAGAACAAGTATCATTACACCTGTTTCATAGAGGAGACAAATGAGGTACATGACATTGTGATTTGCTGAATGTCACTCAGCTCAATGGAGAAAAGCTGGCACTAGGATCCTGATGCTCTGAGTCTCTAATGCAGCACATGTTAAGGCATCTGTATCATCTCCCGGTTGATCTATGTTTTTATTCCCCTTGATAGATCAATTAGAAAAGGAAATCTATGCCTACTTTTAAAAGACACTTCCCATGCTCTGACAACTTCAAAGGGTTCCAAGATAAGAAGGCAAAGAAAGGCATCTATAAAGCTAGAGTGAATGCCATAAATGGAGCAAACCTCTATTATTACATGGCTTGTTATAGTTTCTGACGTGCTAAGGGTTATGTCATGTGTGTAGATGAAACTAGAAAGAACAAGAGAAAGATGAATTGTTTCTAGTTCCACATCCACTGATGACTTTCTTATTTTTCTTTGGGTAAAGAATATTTGGTCTCAGTTTCTTCATTTATCAGGGAGAATATTCCTTGCTCTACTGTCCTTATGGGGTTGGTGAGAGGCTAATATCACAAAAGCTCTTTAAAAGTATGAAGGTGTCTACAAGTCCCAAGAAACATTAGGAAAAGGGCCCAGCAATAGAGCAATTAAAACCTAAAGACTCAGGGGGAGGGAGAGCATCAGGATAAATAGCTAATGTATGCAGGGTATAATACTTAGGTGATGGGTTGATAGGTGCAGCAAACCACCATGGCACAAGTTTACCTATGTTATAAACCTGCACATCCTGCACATGTATCCTGGAACTTAAATAAAATAAAATAAACCTAAAGACTCTCCAGACACAGTTCTGTAGAGATGTGAGGGGTACTTCACAAAAATAAAATAAGATAATCTCTCTGCTTTCTTGATGGAAGAGATGTGGGTTTGTTTTTTGTTTTTGTTTGTTTGTTTGTTTGTTTTTCTGGCTTTGGGAAGAGAAAGAAAGCTCATTCAATATTTTCCCCATCCTCTTGATCCCACTTCTACCCTTAAATATAAAATATTACTATTGTGCTCATCTCCTAGTTGATTCATCTTTAGCTATTCCTTTGTGGCCTGCAGATTCAACAACTTCAATATGCACAATTTAGAGCTGCCCTTGAAGACCATCTAGAAACTTTAGGTGCTTCCAAGGTGGCCTGCCGGCCATCTGCCCAAAGTAACCAACCATATGGATTTTATTAAACTATCTCCATTAGTCCTCCAAGGTAACCTACTTGTTTATGAGAGCGTTTCACAGCCCAGAAAGCCTAAGGGGGTTAAGTCTCCATTCTTTCTGAGGCTGCCAACTCTCACAGACAGCATCAGGGTAATTAACATCACACAGGACCCCCAGATCTTTGTAAGAACTCTGAAACTCTGTTTCCTAGAAGAACTCATCTAAGGATCTCACTTTCTTTTCTTATCTGACACAGTCAAATCATCTAATAGCCTTCCAGTTAAAGGAATGAGGCCCATCTCTTCAATTAGACTTTACTTGAGTTCACCTGGCAAGCCTGTGTAGGTTAATTATTTACAGTCCTCCTTCATGCAGAAGCCTAAAAACTTGACCGTAAGGATCAAGTAAAATTCGACTTACGAAAACTCAACTAACAAGGACAATTAACTGGAATGCTTGGTTGCACTCCACTTTTGAAAGGAAAAGGCAACTTAGACACACAAAAACTTGATAAGAATTTTTTCCCCAAAAGCCTACTAGATGATGTCCTGCAGTCAGATTCATTCTAGTCTTCAACATCATTCACACTTTGGTCAGAGAGTAAATGTATTGAATGTTTATCATAGCAATTTAGGCACCAGGTATACAGTACAGGAAACATTGACAGAACCCTTACCTTCAAGGAGCTTGCATTCTGTTGGAAGGAGACAAACCATAAACACATAAAAAATAGATGTATAGAATAATTCCAGGTACGGATAGGTGCTCCAGGATGCTATAATAAAGAATGACTTAGGGTTAGAAAAATATTTTAAACTGGGAGCTTGGGTTGGATGGAGGGTTTAGGGAAAGACTCATTAAGGAGGTAACATTTTATTAGAGACTTAAATGATAAGAAGAGGCAGCTATGTGAAAATCTGATGGAAAAGTATTCCAAACAGAAGTCATGCGAAGTACAAAGTCCTGGGGCAGAAACAATCCTGGAATGTTTAAAGGAAGGAAGAAAACCACTGTGGCTGAAGAATAGTAGCCTACATTAGAATTATAGTGATGGAGACTGTGTGAAGGAATCAGATTTATGATTCATTTTGGAGGTAGAGTCACAGAATTTGCTGATGGATTGGATAACATTTATGAGCAAAAGGAAAGAGCCAAGGATGACTCTCAGATTTTGGGCCTACATCCCTTTTCAGTAATCACTTATGAAATCTATAGTCACAAGGGCTGAAAAGGTATACTAGGACTGGTTAAGAAATTTTCCAAAGCGTTGGAGAACGTTAGCTGTCTGAAGGGAAGATTGCCGTTGTTATAACTGTTTTAAACACATCTATTGAGATATAATTCATATATCACACAATTCATCCATTTAAAGGGTATAATGGTTTTGTTATATCACATTATTAGTTTTTTTAAGTTGTGATAAAATATATTTAACAAAACTTGCCATTTTAACCACTTTTAAGCACACAATTCAGTGGCACTAATTGCATCCACAATGTTATGCAACCATCATTACTAATTCCAAAATATTTTCATCACTTCAAATAGAAACTCTATAACCATTAATCAACTTCTCATTCCCTCTTCTCCCAGGTCCTGGAAACTTCTAATCTATTTCCTGTCTCTATGAATCCACCTATCTAAGTACCTCATATAAATGGAACAATATGTCCTTTTGTGTCTGGCATATTTCACTTAGCATAATGTCTTCAAGCTTCATACATGTTATAGAGCTTCATTCCTTTTTAAAGGCTGAATAATATTCCACTGTATGTATATGCCACATTTTGCTTATCTATTCATCTGTTGATGAATACGTGACTATTTGTGAATAATGCTGCTATAAACATTGGCATACAAACATCTGTTCAAATCCCTGCTTTCAATTCTTTGGATATACACCTAGGAGTAAAATTGCTGGATCATATGTCAATTCTATGTTTATCTGCTATAACTTTTTTTTTTCCAAGATGGAGTCTTGCTCTGTCACCCAGGCTGGAGTGCAGTGGCACAATCTCAGCTCACTGAAACCTCTGCCTCCTGGGTTCAAGCAATTATCCTGCCTCAGCCTCCCAAGTAGCTGGGATTACAGGCGCATGCCACCACGCCCAACTAATTTTTGTATTTTTAGTAGAGATGTGTTTTTACCATGTTGGCCCCTGACCTCGTGATCTGCCTGCCTCAGCCTCCCAAAGTGCTGGGATTACAGGCGTGAGCCACCGCACCCGATCTGCTATAACTTTCTAAAAGTCTATTTTGAAATAAAATAGATGAGGGCATCTTCTGTTCTGTTTTCTTCTCATTCCTGTTTAAACAATCTCAGTCTTGAGGCAATAGATGTTTCTGCTTCAGTAGGAAGAGGGATGCTGGATAACTGGTGTTGGGGGCAGATCTGTAGTTAATATCACAAAGTTTCATCTTGATATCATGAATGAAGTTGAGGAGGAGGTATATGTATGTATGCATGTGTCAAAAAAGATCTAAAGCCTTGTCTACACCACACATTTATACAAAGCCTTGGACATTTTAGTTAGTGGCCCCGACTTTTAGCAAAAACTTAGGGGAGCATGCTTCCCTTTTCTGTGTTTGGGTTGCAACTCTGGTGCCTCAGCAGGATTGCACTAGCATGCAGGCAAAGGATGATAAAAATGGAACTCATTGTCCTCCCTCTGTTTTAAATGGTTTAGAATGTTACCTGTTGGAAGAGAGGGGCTTGGATAGAGATAATCTATTGCATTTCTCTCCAGTCCTGATTGCATGAATCTATCTATAAGCTGCCCTCAAAACTGATCTTCTATCTGTATACTCTGTGGTGACCTAATGAAGATGTCCCTGAACGTGGTTAACTTCTATGCCTAGAGAAATCTGAATTCCAGAACTGAGTCTTAATTCCCAGTTTTATCAAAATTCTTATGTGTTTATAGCCTGATTTATTTGACTCTCAACTTTACTTCCTTTGAGTCTGGTCTGGGTTACAGACTATTATTTTTATGAGAAATATTTTATTTTGTTTTTTTTTTTAATTAAGGTATGTTACAAATAAAACTTACATATCCTGTCATTCTTGGCAATATGAATTCACCTTGAGGGCATTATGCTAAGAGAAATAAGTCAGGTATTGAATGAATTATCTAATACCTAAATCCAATAAGCAAAAATAGTCTGTTAGTTATCTCTCTGTTAGGGGTATGCTTGTTACACTCAACTCATATTCTTGTTCTTTTTTTTTTATTTATTTTCATTTTAGGTTTGTGAAGGTTTGTTATATAGGTAAATTTGTGTCAAAGGGGTTTGTTGTATAGATTATTTCATCACCCAGGTATTAAGTCCAGTACCCAATAGTTATCTTTTCTCCTCTCCTCTCCCTCTTCCAACCTTTCATCCTCAAGTAGACCCCAATGCCTGTTGTTCCCTTCTATGTGTTCATGTGTGCTGATCATTTAGCTGCCACTTATAAGTGGGAACACATGGTATGTGGTTTTCTGTTCCTGCATCAGTTTGCTAAGGATAATAGCCTCCAGCTCCATCCATGTTCCCACAAAAGACATGATCTCGTTCTTTTTTATGGCTGCATAGTATTCCATCGTGTATCTGTACCACATTTTCTTTATCCAATTGGTCATTGACGGGCATTTAAGTTGATTCCATGCCTTTGCTATTGTGAATAGTGCTGCAGTAAACATTCATGTTCATGTGTCTTTATGGTAGAATGATTTATATTCCTCTGGGTATACACCCAGTAATGGGATTGTGGAGTCAAATGGTAGTTTTGCTTTTAGCTCTTTGAGGAATTGCTACACTGCTTTCCACAATGGTTGAACTAATTTACACTCCCAACAACAGTGTATAAGTGTTCCCGTTTCTCTGCAACCTCACCAGCATCTACTATTTTTTGACTTTTTAATAACAGTCATTCTGACTGGTGTGAGATGGTATCTCATTGTGGTTTTGATTTGCATTTCTCTAATTATCAGTGATGTTGAGCTTTCTTTCATATGCTTGTTGGCCGCATATATGTCTTCTTTCGAAAAGTGTCTTTTCATGGCCTTTGCCCACTTTTTAATAGGGTTATTTTTCTCTTATAAATTTGTTTAACTGCCTTATAGATGCTGGGTTAATACCTTTGCCAGATGAATACTTTAGAAATATTTTCTTCCATTCTGTAGGTTGTCTGTTTGTTGACAGTTTCTTTTGCTGTGCAGAAACTCTTTAAGTTTAATTAGATCTCATTTGTCAATTTTTGCTTTTGTTGTGATTGCTTCTGGTGTGTTTGTCACAAAATCTTTGCCTGTTCCTATGTCCAGGATGGTATTGCCTAGGTTGTCTATCAGGGTTTTTATAGTTTTGGGTTTCACATTTAACAGACTATTTCTTGTATCAGTCAGTAACATTGATTTTCCAACCCACTGGGTAAAGAAGTCTGTCCTGGACACTCTGGGAATAAAGGAAATGCCATTCATACTGAGCCCAGTATGCAGAAAATAAAGAAGACAGGTGATTTCATCAGGAACAGTTTCTAAAAAAGAGGGCAATTTAAAATTATTTGGAGGGAGAAAAGAATTCAAAAATAGTTCAAGGGGGATGTGAGAATATTTTTGTGGCCAAGAAAGAAAAACAATGAACAATAAGACCATGGCTTTATATCACATTAAACCATGGCCACTATTGACTAAGGTAGTTAGTTTTCTCTAGTGTTCACATTAAGATTTGTTTGTGAGAAATAGCATATGTATATAAATTTGGGGGAGAAGGATTTAGGAGAGATAAAAACAATTAGTTTCTGAGAAAGAAATTATTGCTTTGGAACAACTGTATCATAGTAGAAATCAATATATAGACTGCCAAGGGTAAACTGGGAATCATTCCTAGAGATCAAGGTGCTCTGGACATGGTCTTATTTCTAATTTTAAAACTTACATTTTGCATGTGAAGGTGAGGTTCATTAAAAATGTGCTCTCCAAAGAATACTTTGCTTTCCTTTAAATGAGCTTCGGGAATCAATGTTGAAAAGCAAAATCCATCTACACTTTTGGCATACAATATCAAATGAAAGAGGATTTTATAGCAAATCTTTCATATTTAAAAGCAACCTCATTACATTAGACATTGTTTCAAATAAAATAAACAGCCCCTTTCCTGAACATGCTAGTATGAATAAGATAATCATAAAAAGAGTCAAATTAAAGCCCCTTTGCCAAGAAGTTTGAAGTTTGATTTCCAAATGTTTGTATTCGCCACCTTCCTCTGAACACACACACACACACACACACACAATTAAGTACTTATGATTAGCATATTATTGAAGTTTATTATATATGAAAGTCAGAGAGAATAAACTGCCCCACCAGCCAGATTCTTAAAAACACTTTTGCTCCATTTTCTTGGCCTGGGATTTCAGCCAACTGTACAAACAGGAAGGTTGGGAACACCATGGTCAATAACCAAGGAAAAATATAAATAAATTCAAGGAGACTTGGATAAATTCATACAATACGGATACGTGGAAAGTTGTTAAAGTTAAGGGACAGGTACTTGAAGGACACTTTCACGAAGGACACTTTCACTTTTAGAGTTGACATCCAGAAGACAACCATGGCTTCCCATAGTCCATAGTCCTGTCTTAAAACATTCTTATCTGGAACTGCCCAAAGAGCAGACCTATAGGGACTAGCCTATAATTTTTTACAAGATTGTTTACAAACACAGTTGTTTCTCAGTTCGCAAGAATTGAGACTATTTAGCCTGAAGAAGATATGTAGCAGCAGAATATATTAGAATTGTCTTCAAAAATTTGAAGGGTAGACATTTTAAAGATCGACTGGACTGTTCCGTGGGGCCCCAAGGGACAGAACAAAGATCAAAGAGTGGATATTACAGGGATAGAGATTTTAGATCAATGTAAGAAGAACATTCTAATATAGCAATCCATAGATAAAATGAGCTATATTCATAGATAGTGAGGTGTTCATCATTGAAGGGACTCAAGAATAGGCCACTTATCAGAGATGTTGAATAGAGGACTCAGTAATCTGATGAATGACTGTACTCGACCAGTGTTTTCCAACACTGTGTATATAAAATCATTTGGGGCACTATTTTAAAACATAGACTACTGGGTCTCATGCCCCACCTCAAGATGCTAATTCCATGCATCTGTGTTTTTCCAATAATCTGTGTTTTTAAAGCAGCATCCTAAATGATTACAACACAGGTAACCAAGAGCCACTCTTTGATGAATATTTGACGATTTTCTGCTTTGCTTTTTTTTTTTTTTCCCTATGCAAAGGATGCAGCGGGGAGGCTGGAAGTTGGGCCTGTGGTGTAGAGAGAAGCCTGAGTAGAAGTAGCTGGGGCCTGTCTGACATGAAGTGGTGTCTTGAGAGTGATCACAGCTGACTGGCTGAGGTCAAGCCACCCGCTCTGTGTGTTCCTGTCAGGGATTGAGAAAAAGGAAAAACCTTTCCTCTAATCAACAGGGACCAGTGGGAGATAATTGTTTCAGGGGCTGGAATCTGAGGTCGAATTGGCACTGTCGCATTGATGCTTTGCCAAAGGTTTAGGGAGCCCCAAATGAAGATCTCTATAGGGAAGCTCAAGTAATGGTATCTGGCTGAAGACTATGAACAATAACACACCCTGAAAACTAAAAGTAAGAGCAAAATTAAACTGCAAAGAGAGAAATCATGGCCAAAAGCCTTGAAAGGTTTACAATTTTGATCTTCTTCTCCTCTGATCCAGATAATGCCCTTCCTTTTCCACTGCCCATTTACTGGGTGAGTCTTGAGTGACCAGGACTGTTGTATTTATGTCTTTATGGATCTTTCAGAGAGCCCCCTGATTCCTATCCTAGAGGACTGCAGGTGGCCAGGTCCAAGTGCTGGTTATCAGTGGAGATCTTCAATTAGTATGACCTAGGTAAAGGCTGTGGGTAAAAGGAACTTCTTAGAAAAATATGGAGCAGATGACAAATATATATCAGGAGCCTGGAAACTCCTGCCCTTTGGAGAGAAGCTCTCTCCTACTTTCCTTTACCCGACCCTTACTTCCTTTTCTCTTTCCTTCCTTTACCTGCTGGGTCTTGGGTATTCAGGACTGTTATGTTAGTGTCTGTACAGAGGCTTCAGGGAAACTCCCCACAAGCACTCTTACCTGAAAGAATTTAGATGAATAGCCATAGATATTAGTCAGCATGGGAAAATAAGAGCCACAGAACCTGGAAAGAAGTAGGGACATAAGCAACTTCATAAAAAGAAAGAAGAAAATGGAGTAGAGGAGCAGACTGGTCAGGAGCTTGGCAACTTATGCCAACCTAAAGAAGCTGTCCCACTGGCCCTTTCTGAGACCTAAGGGTCTCAGGTGGTGAGGACTTCTATGTTGGTGTTTTTACAGAGGTTTTAGGATGGACAAAAAGAAGAGCTACCCTTCACAAAGGAAAGTTCATTAAAATATGGTTGGAAGCTATGGGCAAGAGAAAGGTCCTTAAAAATGAAAAGGGACAGAATGAGAGATTGCACCAAGAGCTTTGAACTCTTAACCTTTAGCCAAAGATCTCTCCTACTATCATGTTATCCCTCCTCCCCCTCCCTCCTTCTTTGTCCTTACACTTGCCTTTTATGATGAGGCAGCTCTACTATGTGACTGCATTTTGGAGGCTTCAGAGAGCCTCATGCCTCCAAGTTCCCAATCTAGAGGACTGTAGCTGGGTAGACATAAACCTGGTTACCAAGAAGAGCTCAAAATTAGGAGGATGTAAATGTTATCAGGAAAAGAAACAGATTTTAAAACTGATACAGAAGGAAAAGAACCAGGAGCCAGGAAATTCCTGCCCTGTAGCCAGAAGCACAACCCTAATGCACAACTCCTTATTCCTTACTCCCTTTCTCTTTGCCTATTTGACCTGCTGGGTGTGGGCATTGGGTAATCAATGCAGTTGCATTCATTTACAAAGGCACTGAGGAGACCAGGGGTCCAACCTTCCCCACACAGAAGACTTGTGGGTGGACAGCCCCAAGTGACTGAATGGCAGGGTGAAGCCTCCTGAGAGTAAGTGGAGGTGATCTGTGAGGAGAATATGAGCTGCATACCCTCCTTTAGTATCTTTACCAGCGAGAGTTAGTGAGGGCACATCTTTAAGAAAAGAGTGGTATGGTAGATAGTACCCAGACTGAAGTGCTAGCTCTTAGGCCTAAAAGAAAGAAGTAGGATTTCTGTAATCCTTTCTCCCTCCCTCTCTTCTTCCCTCCCTTTTGTTAATTCTACATTGCCATTGCCATTTTAACCTGCTATGGGTATTAGGCAAACAGAAGTGTGATCATATTCAAAGGCACCTATCCATGGAGTGGGCATAAGGTATCTTTTGAATACAGGCACCGGGGTGGCGATAGGAGAGTTCCAATTCTCAAGCAGGAGAGAAATGTTTTCCAGCCCAGAGGGCAGATTGCCCAGCCTTTATCTACATCAGCAGTTGGGCACAGTTGATCAATTTTCGAATCAGTGCAGGCTTTGCTGATTAAGGCTATATTATGGACATTGCTCAGCTTCATATGTGGTTAAGCTGGACCTGTTAACAAGGTACATAGAGTATTTCCACCACAAATTATTTGGATATCTGATGGATATTTAAGAGGAGCCATCCCTTCTTTCTAACTTTCTTTGGAGTGCCATCATCTCCCAAACATAAGGATCCTGGCTTCTGCAGAAAAGAGAACTCTGCCCTTCCCCTCCCTGGAAAGTAATACTCCGCCTTTTATGAAGACCAGATCAGTTTTTATAAGGCTAGGGTTCAATATTTTTTCACTCTTTTCTACTAGGACCCTTGCTATTACCATGGATACCTATTTTGCCCCTTGACACTTTGGAGATGCAGTACAGTATCCATTGTACCAGGATCTCCCACCTTGAAGCTCTTTTTACTGGTTTTTTGTTGTTGTTGTTTGCTTGTTTGTTTGTTTTGTCTTCCAGGCAATTTCCAGGCTTGCCTATCTTCCAGACCAAAGATTACCAAAAGCTAGTTAAAAATATTTGTTATCTTTAAGGCTTTCCCTTTCTTCCAAAATCTTTGACTATACAACACAGCAGGACCCTGCCTTAAGTAATCCATTAATCAGACAATTCACAACTGATGAAAGCAATAAATAGTAATTACTCACATTGGAAACATAATCTTCCCTAGAAAACAGAGATCCCTTAGTGCATTTAGTGCATTTGGGTGCTAACAGATCATTAACTACTTGTCAGAGAAACCTAGGAGGAGGGCTTTCAGAAATAAACATAAAACAACCTATGCATCAATAGAAAAATAAAATTTGATTTTCAAAAACGAATCTAATTTATGGCACAGCTTTTTTTTAGGAATTCCCCTGTTATATAACGGAAGACATACTATTTTCTAGGCAAAGCAGCACAAATCAGGGAAAGGAACATTTAAAAGTGTTGGAAAACTTACTTGCCTATGTTGAGCCAATCTATGTAGGTATGGTTACATCATTCTAGAAGTCTGGTAGTCAATCTCGGAGTCTCCTTTACACACACTGGTCATTTTTTCAATACTTTTGGATCCATGTCTTCCTAATGCTGGGCTAAATATTCAGCATGTGCCATGTTGCTAAAACAGAAACAATGAGAAACCTAAATGTTCTGCATTCCTTGATTTTGAGTTTAAATTTGTAACGTTATTAATATTGCATTAATAACCTATTTTGCATATCTGTTTGATTGTACCATCTTAAACATTCATTTAAACCTGGGGAGGTCAGCATGACTCCTACCTGCTTCTCACTAATAACATGCTTTTCAGCGAGTAGATAATGAGTGACCTGGATAGAAATCAGTGGAAATGCAGATTGCCTTCAGGTGGAGAAACAGGCAGGAAATCCACTTTCTCCACAACACTGACAAGCAGTTTTGAGGCTGAAGGTAGAGAAAGTAAGCCTCAAAGAGAGATGACTGTTTAGGAAGGCTCTTAATCAAATATTCTGTTGTCTTTACATGTGGTAGTATGAAGGAAAAGTCATCCTAATGGAAATTAAATCTTGCAAGTGACTTTAAAAATCTTGGGTTAATAGAAATAAGTGATTTAATTATGGAGAGAAAAACAGATAACTCTTGGCTACTGATTATCCTAATGGGTTACAGGCCTGAATAAGCATTCCTTAGTTCGTTGAATTAACTACTGTTAGTGGCACACAGGTAAGGATAGGGGTGGGAAGTAGTGGGCAGTCAAAGGTCTGCCATTGATTGATCAGAGCTGGGATAGAAGGCAATCAGGTGAGTCTTAAAGGAGAACCACATAATTTTTTTTAAGTATTAATGGCCCACTCCACTTTTCTGGAATAACAAAATATATTAATAATAATGCCCTTGCTCAAGATATAGAGGGCCTGTTTTTCAAGTTACTGTATTTCTTTGGTAATAACGTACTGGCACAGAAACAGGGACTTATGTGAAATGTATTTCAAACCAATGTCTGCTAATAAATTATCCCACAGGCCATAGGTTTCACAGGTATTAGAAAATGCATGAGATTTGGGCCGGATGCAGTGGCTCATGCCTGTAATCCCAGCATTTTGGGAGGCCAAGGCTGGCAGATCACTTGAGGTTAGGAGTTTGAGACCAGCCTGGCCAACATGGTGAAATCCCATCTCTACTACAAATACAAAAATTAGCCGGGCATGGTGGTGCACACCTGTAATTCCAGCTGTCTCAAAAACAAAACAAAACAAAAAAAAACACAACAAACAAAAAATAATACATGAGATTTGGAAATGCAACCTGGGCTTTCAGTTTCTCTCTTCTAAGTTCTTTACGATTCAACATGGCTTCCTTCTGCAGTTTGACTATTTATCTTCACTGAATAAAGGTGATAGCTGTATCAGAAACTCAAGTCAAACCAAATAATGGTGTGATTTGTTTACTTTGGAGGGTTTTCAGACTTTGGTTTTGTTTCTGTTCGACGGTGGTAATAAAAACATAGGTCTGAATATAAAACAACCTAGTTTTCTACTTGATTCTTGAAAAAGAAAAAAAACTTTGCTTCAGCTCATGAGTCTGTTTCTTATTTTTTGTTTTCTAATGGAGTTTGACTTGCAAATCTGCAATTTGGCAGCATTTATTTCTGTTTGGGGCTTTTGGTATAGCTTGGCTCAAGTCCCTGGTTACTGTATGACAGCAACCAAGCCAAATGGCTGTAACATTCAATCTGCCCAATTAAAAAGCGTTGGTTCCATGCCCCCTTTGGTGACTCAGATCAGGCAAATTTACTGTTGTTTTAATCTTGATTGTACTCAATTATTCAACCCATCTCTCAGAGCTGATACAGATAACTATTTTTTAAAAACCTTGGGGAATTGTGAGTGTTGTCACCTGGCTGCTCACTCCTTTTGGAATTCTTCCCTTGGAAATAAGAGTCAGAGAGAGTAGGTCTAAACAACTTAATGTAGCAACTCACAGAGCCAGAAAAAGATAATCAGGCTACGTAGAAACTTAAGGAGTGCACCTTTTGTTTTTTCCACAAATATTTTCTTCTATCTGCTCTTTTTGAAATAAAGTATGGTTCTTAAATAAGAACAGCAAGAATATTCTTCCATGGAATACCTAGACTCAGGAGTTCATTTATTTTCAATTTTACACAATTAGGATAAATGTAAAGGAAACAGTTTCTGCACGTGCCTAAGGAATTCTTGCCCATACAAATAACACAGCTTACCTTTCTCTAGAGAGGCTTCCATGAGCACAGGCTGGGGGAGCTATTCCAGAGCTACATACTAGCTCTGAATAGAGCAGAAGTTAATTCCCCAACCTACCCCCCTGTCTCTCAACCCAGATGATAGCCAGCCCTCCAAATGGTGCAGGCAGGATGTCCATTTGATGTAGTCATCACCTCCATAATCAGAGTAAACTAGAAAAATATTATAAAATAGGGAAAGTGGTTCTTGGTGCTGTTTTCTGCCTTTTAGTTCCTCTCTGCTTTTCCTTAAGCTGTAGACCTATACTGTCCAATATGGTACCCACTAGCCACGTGTAACTATTTAAATTGAAAATAACTAAAATTAAAAGTAAATTTAAAATTCAGTATTTCGGTAGCACTAGCCACATTTCAAGTGCTCAATAGACATGTGTGGCTAGAAGCTACCATATTGGAGAGCAGAGATATAGAACATTTCAGAAAGTTCTATGAGATGTTGCTTCCAACTATTAGTTCTTTTAGCTTCTTGAGCATAAGGAACATGTTTTCCACATCTCCATTCCTTACAGCAGGTACCACAATTCCTGATACAACTATGGAATTGGGGAGAAACTAAGTGCTTACTATGTTGTCGTGAGCTATGTCAAATTCATTATAAGCAATCTCTCATTTCATTACCTCAAGAACACTATAAGGTGGGTCCTATTACCATCCCCATTTTTCAGAGGAGGAAACTGAGTCTCAGTGAGGTTGAATTATTTGCCCAAAGTCACACAGTTAATAAGTACCTAAACCAGGTCTTTATAACTTCAGGATCTATACTCTTAACAACTGCTGTGTACACCAAAAGAAAACTGCACATAACTACAAATTTCAACATGGGACAGACAGGCCCCTTCCAGAGCATTGGTGACTAGGTGGCTTCTCCACAGCACTCATGCTGGCCAAGGCAGAATAAAGACAATTTGAGATCAGGGCCTGAGCATGAAGATTGGGGACTTAAATAAGTGTGCTGATTTGTGTTTGCATATGGCTATCAGATTAAGTGGCTATCTGACTACTTCTCTAATGAAATAGCAGCAAATTAGTAGTTTTATCTGCCATTTTGCATATGGAGACCATTGCCTTGACCCCAATGGTAAAGATTAGTGGAACCTAATCATTTCATGAAGTCAACCTCACTTGCTGCACTTATCAGAAGCTTCTGTAACTTGAGCTTCCATGGCGTGCAGTTTATGCCAGGACACGCAAATGCCAGAAAATCAATTTTCCTGCAGCTTTCACAGTCAGTGTGTTTGCCAGACAAAACTGCAGCCAGCCACCTTTTTTAAATCAGCATAGCACCTTTAGAAATAATACTTACCAGAACGCTCCTAACACAGCAAGGAGGAAAAGACTTAAATCTAAACCCAACTGTTCAAAATCGAGAGCCACAGGAGAAGGTGAAATATGAATATATTGAAAGTGAACATTTTAGTGGCCCCATTTGGCACTGTAAAGTATTCTCTGCCAAGCATCTGTTGAGTTAACTTTAATTCTAATCTGTGCCACAGTAGGACTGAAAACACTTAATATGATACCATACTTCCTGTCACCCACATGTGCCCAGGCCCTCACGTGCCCCTGACATATCGGGGTGGCACTCCACATTGCCTGCCTGCCCCAAGACCTATCTTGATTCTTCTTCCTCTGGTATTCTTCTGGCACACATTCTCAAATAAACCAAACCACACAAAGGCAGTGGATGTGGGGTCATGTTACCTTCCCATTTGCCATGAGTGCATAATCTACTTTATTGAAGACTTACTACTTGCCAAGAACTGTTATGGGTGCTTTACATGAATTATCTCATTTAGTAGTCTATCTCCATTTCAGAGATAATTATTAGAGTCTTAGAGAAATTTAAGTAACTTGACCAAGTCAAACAGAAGGCATGATCTCTAATGGTAGCATTTAGGGCCTGTGACAAGCTAGTGAGTTATCATATTGGTGCCTTTTACCTCGGAGCATCTTGCACAGGTTTCAAAGCTGAACCAAGAAAGAAGATCAAGGTTATATAAAATCATGTCAAAACAACAGGTCAAAGAAGTAAACTTCACTCAATTCACTAGTTTTGGTCAATGTAGCTACTAACGATCTTTCCACTGGGAGGCAGTGCAGAGTAGTAGAAAAAAACAACACAGGTTTTTGAAAGCCAGCACACCTGGATTTGAATACTAATTCTGTCCCCCTGCATCTATGCAAACTTGGAATTATAACTTTACCTCTCTAAACTCTGGAAGAGAGAAGAAGGAGAATATAGACTTTGGTGTCAAATGAGCTGGGTTTAAATCTCAGCTACGCATTTATTCATTCAGTTAATATTTATTAAGTACATGCTATATGACAGCCATTGTTGTAAGGGCTCAAAACCAAAGTCCTTGTAATCACTGTAGTGGGTGAGACAAAATTAAACAAATTCTGTAAATAACATATATGTTTCTGTTGGTGTTAAGTGCAATGAAGACAAAAAGCTGGTGAAGAGACAAAATGTTGGTGTGGAGGTGCTATTTCATCTTGGCTGATTGTGGAAGGCCTTTCTGACATTTGATCAGACACCCTGAATGAAAGGAAGGAGCAGGCCATGAAAGTATGAGGTGGAGTTGCGTGGAGAGAAAAGCATTCCAGATGGAATAGCGTTAGCAAAGGCCCTGACATGGGAATACACTTGGTAGGTTTGAGGAAGAAGGTCCATGTGCTAGAGTGAAGTAAGTGAGGGAAAGAGTGGTAAGAGATGAGAGCAGTGAAGAAGACAAACCGTGGTAAAAATTCTGGATTATATTCTGTTTGACAGAAAGTCACTTAGCCGACTTTGAGCAGAGGAATGACATGATCTAATCTATGTGTAAAAGGATCAATCAGACTGCTATGTCAGGGCAAAAGTTGAGAAGCAGGGAGACAGACCACTTAAGAAGTGATTGTAGGCCGGGCATGGTGGCTTATGCCAATAATTCCAGCACTTTGGGAGGCCAAGGCATGAGGAACACTTGAGCCCAGAAGTTCAAGACCAGCCTCAGCAAAATAGTGAGATCTCCATCTCTACAAAGAAATTTTTAAAAAATTAGCTGGATGAGGTGGCACATGCTTGTAGTACCAGTTACTC
Organism: Homo sapiens; assembly: GCF_000001405.40. Taxonomy (NCBI): domain Eukaryota; kingdom Metazoa; phylum Chordata; class Mammalia; order Primates; family Hominidae; genus Homo; species Homo sapiens. The sequence continues at coordinate 123,451,399 of NC_000023.11, forward strand.
AAGAGGCTGAGGTGGGAGGATCCCTGAGCCTAGGAATTCGAAGCTGCAGTAAGCTAGGATCACACAAGTGCACGCCAGCCTGGACAACAGAGAGAGACTCTGTCTCTAAAAAAAAAAAAAAAAAAAAAAAAAAAAAAAAAAATTAATTCAATTTAAAAAAGAAGCAATTGCAATATTTCAGGTGAACAATGATTAGCTTGAATTAGGAGGAGGGTAGGGAGAAGTGGTTGCATTTTGAATATAGATTGAGCTGACAAGGTGTGGAATGTGAGGCCAAAGAGAGGAGTCAAGGATGACTAAAAGGATTTTGACCTGAGCAACTGGACAAATTGGAAGGTGCTGCCATTTTCTCTGATGGAGAACCCTAGAGGAGTAGCAAGCAGGGGTGGGGGAGAATCAAGAGATCCATTTTGGCCATGCTAAGTTGGAGATACCTATGAGATATCTAAGTGGAGATATCAGTTAGGTAGATGGATAAATGAATCTAAACTTTAGTGAGGTCAGAGCTAAAAATTTAACCAGCTGTATCACCTTGGAGAAGTAAAATAACTTCTATAAGTATTAGTTAACTTCTCAGTAAAATGGAGATAATATTGGTTTCACAAGGTTGTTTTAAGAATTAGCAATCATGTATATAATGCACGAAGCACCATTCCTGTTGCATGTAAGTGCTTAATAAATGGTAGCCCTCTCATTGTCAGTATTTATGCACTAATTGGTAGCTAGTTGTTGCAGCTGTAGGACCATTGTTGATTATTCTAAACACATCGTTGAATATTAGAATCACTTAGGAAGCATTATTTACAATGTTGGCCCCGCCTCAGGCCAATTAAACCAGAATCACAGAAGCAGTCATCAGTAGCTTCCCAGGTACATAGTATTTCCTGCTGACAAGCTGGCTTTAACAGAACTTCTCTTCAGATTAGTTCCAGCTCACCTTTTAGGAAACTAACACTCCCCCCCCAAAAAAAAAAAACTCTAAATGGAAAATTTGGGCTCTTTTGGATAACCCCAAGCAAATTGCTTCTTCTTTTCTTCATTGCTTTTTTCTCCCCTTAGTAAGAAAATAATTCTCCAGGGACCTGGAAGTAACAGCCACAGTGGAAACAAAACATTGCAATTTCAGGATAGATTTTTCTTCTTAATAGAAGAACATTTTCCCGCTCATTTCCTAGGACCTGTATTGTCAGGTTTGGCCTCCACACTACAATTAATTGATTCAAGAATAACAATAGTATTGAACTTCTCTTTTGAATATCTTAGTAATAGAAAATAAAAATACATTTAATCCAATTGGTCAATGGTAATTGGCTTTGGATTGCTGGAGATGCCGTTTCATTGAAAAATAGAACTCTAGAAGGCTGAGGGAAGTGACCTTGGAGTGTTCAATAGTGATAGCAGTCCTAGAAGCAATCCTTGATTGAGAGTCAGGGAATTTGAGGCTTTGCTCTAGTTAGTAGTGAAAGGGTGTGGCAGACACACTTTCTTTGTGACCCATTCTCTGTCTTGAAAATAGGTTCTGCAACTTTTACACTGTTGGTGGGACTGTAACTAGTTCAACCATTGTGGAAGAAGTCAGTGTGGCGATTCCTCAAGGATCTAGAACTAGAAATACCATTTGAGCCAGCCATCCCATTACTGGGTATATACCCAAAGGATTATAAATCATGCTGCTATAAAGACACATGCACATGTATGTTTATTGCGACACTATTCACAATAGCAAAGACTTGGAACCAACCCAAATGTCCATCAATGATAGACTGGATTAAGAAAATGTGGCACATATACACCATGGAATACTACGCAGCCATAAAAAAGGATGAGTTCATGTCCTTTGTAGGGACATGGTTGAAGCTGGAAACCATCATTCTGAGCAAACTATCAAAAGGACAGAAAACCAAACACCACATGTTCTCACTCATAGATGGGAATTGAACAAAGAGAACACTTGGACACAGGAAGGGGAACATCACACACCGGGGCCTGTCGTGGGGTGGGGGGAGAGGGGAGGGATAGCATTAGGAGATATACCTAATGTAAATGATGAGTTAATGGGTGCAGCACACCAACATGGCACATGTATACATATGTAACAAACCTGCACGTTGTGCACATGTACCCTAGAACTGAAAGTATAATAAAAAATAAAAAATAATAAAAAAAGAAAATAGGTTCTGCAATCTAAAGGTGAAGGTACATAGCAAAGTCAGGTTTTCAACACACACACACACACACACACACACACACAAACTTCTCCTCCATACCCAATTAATGTGTCCACCATTAGGCTATCATTCCTTTAGCTGTGGTTTGATCCTATGAGGAGATCACACTTTTGTATATTGTTCATCATTTCTACCTCAGTGTGAATGTTTCCAATTCTTTTCTGAGCACAGGATGGGGTGGGGAGGGCATCTTTTACCTGATAAGGCAAATGAAAGAGAGGTGGTACTACCCACGCAGGGGAGTGGAAAATGAGGAGCATCTGTGAAAATAAAAGTTGACTCACAGTCTTGGCTTATAACAGCCATATAAGTTCAATACATAACGTTATACTCCTTATATATTTTCATTCTCAAAATAAGGAGAAAAAAATAATTTGTCAACTTCTGGTTTAAAAGGTAGGGTTTTCATGTGGACTAAGGGTAAGACACTTTAGTCTCCAATCCTACATTTCAGGGAGGGAATAATAGAAATATCATGCCCCTTGAAATGATGCTAAAGTATAAGCATCATTTCAATCAGAAAGCAGAATTTCTGTGAAGTCATCCCAACCCTACCACATGGCTTAACCTATCTAGGAATAGTGTACTGTTTGAGAGCAGACTCTGGAGCCTGAATGAGTTCCCAGATCCACCACATACCAGCTGTGTGGCATTAAGCAAACTACTTAACTCCTCTGTGCCTCTGTTTCTGCATGTTTAAATGGGGTAATATATAATAGTATAATCTATTTCATAGAGTTGTTGTGAGAATTACATGAGTTAACACATGTAAAACCCTTGAAATGGACCTGGAACAAAAAGTATGTATTCAATTAAATGTTAGTTATGATGGGTTTTCTTACTTAAAGATGGCTTAATCAAAGTCCATATAGCAGAGTTTCTCAACCTTAGCACCGTTGACATTTGGGGCCGGATAATTACTGGTGGTGGGGGCTGTCCTGTGCATTGTAAGACATTTAACAGCTCCGCTGGCTTCTACCCACTAGATACCAGTAGCACTCCTCTCCCCAAGTTGTGACAATGAAAAGTTGTTGCCAAACGTCTCCTGAGAGGCAAAGTTGTTGCTTACTGAGAGACACAGGGGTAGAGGGTACTGTTTCCCTTCCTCCATTCTCCCAGAATAGAGCAATGGTACCTTAGAAACATTTTCTGAAAGAATGTGTTGACTCTAGCTTTCAAAGTCACATGGCCACTGGCACTATTTTCAACCCATTGGAATATGCTTAGTCTGACTCAGCAAGAGAAGCAGAAGATTAATCAGAACAGTAATCTGACTTTGCATACCAGAGAGGGACACTAGAAAGGTCTCAGGAAACTTAGCTGATTGTCACCTGCACCTTTGGAAAGGAGACATCAGAAATAGCCCTTCTTGAAGTGGAAGGAAACATGTCCCTGGACTTGTGAACACAGTTTGAAACTGTTAAGCAAAGTCATTTACATTTGAGGGCAAAACTTAATGTCTAGGCGAAAGGTGACCTCCAACTCCAATGAAGTTATCTAAAAGCCCAGCCCTCAAAATAACTCAGTCAGGCTCATAACACACAAGTAGAAAAACTAAGAATAGAAACCAGAATTTCTTTCCCTTCCTTTCCCCTGTGTTCACCAATACACAGTCTCATGACAGCTGCTGATTGTCTGAAGCAAAAGGACACAGACAAGCAGTACTTCTCTGAATGTTAAAAATGTGCAAACCTAAGTGAAGGAAGAAAGTGAAATTGGGGTTTTGGCCATGCTTAGAAATGATATCATTTGTTGTGTGCCTTGCTCCAAATCAAAATGGAAACTATTTCCTTTACTTTAGGGGGAAAACTGTAAAAATCAATGATTCCTTTTTCCAAATGCACCTTATTAGAGCTATTGACTTCTTCAAAACATAAGTGGAAGAAAAAAATGTGTCCGATGCATTTGGCAACCCAGATGTATTTTTCTTCTTTTGCCTCAAATTGCTCTGATCACTTTACATGGTGAAGTATGGACACTAAGGGCCTATAGCAGGGTTACAATGAGTGACAAGAATGTTCACTAATTCCAGTGCCTTAGTGAGAGGGGATTTGGAGTTAATTTACAATTTACCCCAACTTCAAAAAAAGCTTGGACAAGAAGCAAAAAATGTTTTTGGAGGTGAGTTGCCCTCTTTCATCAAAAAGGATATTGTCAGTGCTAAAGCAAGCAAAAGAGGCTGGGGTTATCACGGGGAAAGATCTATCTGAAACCTTTCTAGTTGACTTGGATAGTGTCCCAGCCTTGTTCCTCATTAGCTGTGTGACCTAAGATAAGTAGTTGAGTCAATGGCAAATCTTTGAATTTCTGTATTGGAGACTCTTCAAGGTGGAGTTCTGGTTAGGCCTTATTTGGAAACTGCTTAGCAAGCACACAGCTTTTTTCAGGCTTGATTTATACTGAGGGGGTAGATTCATGGAAATGAGTGAGTAGGCTAAAGCCCACTATGGCACCTCTTGGCATTGCCACTGCACTTACCCTCCCTTACCCTCAGTTCCATCTTTTATAAAATGGGAATTCATTCTTTCATTCAATATATATTTATGGGGCACTACTGGGCACACACACTGTTCTCAGTGCTGGGGAGTAAGCAGTGAAAAAACAATAGCTACTGCACCCACCTCACAGGGCTGCTGTGGGGTTTAAATGAGATGGTGTGTGTTAAATCACCCTGGCACCCAGAAAGCTTTATGGAAATATAAAGTTTAAAGATATTCAGCTATCTCCTGCTTCTAGTCATGACAAATCTAAGGCCTCTCTGAATAAGGGAGTATTTGAAAAGTTGTATGGCAGGTAATTCTCACCACAAAAATCTCCTCTTCATGAGTCTAAACCAAGTGCTTGAGATTTCCACAGTTGGAGTCTTAACTTAAAGAACTTAATTTCTGTAGACCTGAGACTTGTGACTACATTAAAGAACTTCAGAATGGGCCCACCCCAGCCACACCTTACCCCTCCCTTATAGTCCTACCCCACCCACCCTAGTAGGACATGCAAGCACATTGTCCTCTTCCAATCCCATCAAACATTAGAAGAGGCAAAGAAGAAAGGAGGAAAAGAGGGGGAGGTCAGGAGCTCTCCAGAGCTGTGGCATCATTGGCCTTCTTTCCTTCTAGCACCTTGCCTTGTAAGGATCACCTATGCATATCCTAGTATTGGTCAATTCTGTGAGGCAACATTTGCTCCTGAATGTTAGAGAAGGCACACAAGGCACACAGGGGTCCTGTAAGTGTTCCGTTCAGGCAGATGGAGGCCCAAAGCCACCCTTTTGAATTTTTACCACCTAGACACCTGAGCCTTTAATAAAAGCAGAAATTACAGAGGACGCTAAATAATTCAGAAGAAAAAGCAGATTGTAGTTTATAATTATATTATCTTAAAGATACAATCTAAAGAAAAAATGGACCAAATTGTCAAGCAAGAAGTAGTCCACAATAAACTTAGAGACAGCAAAATGAGTGAGGAAAAGTCATTTTTGTTTGAAACTCTTGCCATATTTCCCTTTCTTAGTGTCTCATACACAAGGCAGCCTTCTCCAGCCCTTGAAAGGCACCTTTTATAATGCCAAGAAGCCCACTCTCCTTTTTGGGGTATGAATCCCCTATTCAAATCAAAATGACCCCTTGCTCAGGGGTAACAGAAGCCATTATACTGTTAGTGAACACCTCTATGAGGACCATGACTGCTGATACCAGAAAAGGGGTACAAGTTATATCTCTGAGGGAGGCAGACAGTGAAACAGGGAGAAAGTGGTAGAAGATGAGCACCCCAAAGTCAAATCTAGCCCCTTTGACATGTATGTACAAGGCTAGTCCTGTACATACAATGATGGAAATGGACAACATAGGCATGGTGGCAACAGTGTTCAAAAAAATAATTACATGCATAAAGCTGGCCCATTTTCCTTTGAGGAACACTGGAATACAAAGTGCCTAAAAGTATCTTCCCCGACCTCTCCTTCATTACATGTTGGGGAATAGAGATGTTACAAACACCAATACTGTCTTTACAAATTATGTAATACTTTGTCTGCATTCTGACAGTAAATTAATAGCATAAATGAATAGCATATTATGCTTCTGTTGATAAACATGCTTCCAATTTATTAGTCCATTTTGGTAATTCAGTTAATTCTGCACTATCAACATATGGGAAAGTGGATGTTGAACCCTGTCAAACTGAGGAATTGTGCTCATGTCAAGACCACGAGAAGAGATGGTTCCATTGTCCTTTATGTTAATGTCACTATATCAAGCATATTGTGCTCAATTTGGGAGGCCACATTTTAGGAGGGACTTTAAAAAAATGAAAAGGTATCTAGAAGATTGTGACCAGAAAAGGTGAGTTGAATGGAATTTGTGTCATAAAAGTAACAAATGAAGGCCCTTAAAATGTTTAGCCTGCAAACAAGGCAATTAACAAGTGACACTGTGGCAGTAGATTCCAGGCTGTACATCGTGTCGGGAAGAGAGCATACTGATTCTCTATTGCTACAAAGAGAAAAATTAGGACCAGTAGGTGACACTTCAATTTTAATATTCACTCATTCCACCGACACATAGTGAGAGTTTACTGTGTGCCAGGCATCATGCTACACACCCGTGGTGCGGTGACAAAAAAAGACATGATCCCTACTCTCAAGGGGCTCAGATTTGGCTGGGGATAACCATTGCAAAGCAAAATAATCAGTACTCCCTACAATGGAGAAATGGAAACAGAGAGGACGTACTGCCCAATTCAAGCAGGAGACAGAAGTAGGATTGGAGAGGAGAGGCTTTCATTAAGAATATCAGCCAAACCAAAGGAACTTTCTATCAACTTGAATTGTCCCACCATGGAATAAGCTACTTCCTATGCCTCCTCTGAGCTAGGGAGTGCCTCTTCACCAGAAGCATTTAAGCAAGAAGCTATCACTTCACCGGGTGAGAGGCTCAACAAAATGGTTTTTAAGGCGCCTTCTAGCTCTAAAATTCTGTTATTCTACTGACTCCAAGTGGATATACTATTGACCAAGTGGATATCCTATTTTATCTCACAGGAAAGCAGAAAATTTTATTCACCAAGTTTCCCCAGTAGCAGTGTTCTGGTTAATGAGGATTTTAATGTATAAGCCTCAACTTAACTGCAAAACATAAATGTAAAAGGAAAAGTTGCCATCCTGCCCATTCTCCTACACCAACAAAATTTTTAAAATCCAATTTCAAATGATAGTAATTTTTGTTGATGGCAGACCCTGGTCATTCACCAGGCATATGTCTGGAGATCCAAATATACAAATAATACTTAAGCATGTGATTTCTCCCATAAAATGAAGTAATGATTCCGTAAATATGGCACTGAAGTAATTTATAATACCATTAAAATAAATTCTGTCAGTAAAACAAATTATACTTTCTTTATTATAAAGATATATAATGTTTTTCCCACTTCCTGTGTTTCAGGGATTCTTCTAAGTATGTATTAACCCATTTAATTTCTCCCAATAAACCTTTGAAGTATACACTTAAAAAATCATCCCATTTTATGGGTGAGGAAATTGAGACACATAGATGCTAGATAATTTATGTACTTAGCAAGTGTGATTCAAACCCAAGCAGTCTGACTACATGTTCTTAAGCACTGCACTATATAGTTACTTTGAACTTACATAAAGAATAGTTTTATCACTAGAGAGCTACTATATGCACAATGACTAGGAGTGAACAACACCGTTGCAAAGAGACACAAGGTCTAAGTGGTAGGCTTCTGTGTACCAGACTCACAGGGCCCAAGATTCAAATCTTCACATCAACAAAAAGACAGATTTCTTCATATATTTGACCTTCATGATGTATTACGAATAGTTAGAGCTACAACTGTTGAATCCATTAATGCTAAGGCTCTACCATATCTGCTATTTGGGATTAATCTGTTCCTTCTCCATTTATGTATTTCTCCTTTGGATTTTGGTTGCTAATTATCTAGCAGTGCTTGAGAATTTCTTATGGCCTTTCTTTATAACCATTGTTTGTTCCTTTTTAGGTACAAAATGGTGCTCTGTGGGATGAATGAAATGAATGGTGGTGGGTTGGAGAAAAATGAACTTGTTATTACACATCCTGCCCATAAATTGTTTAACTTCTCCCAGATGACAGAGCTAAGATTCAGTCCCTTTTATTGCCTTCTTTATTTCATCCAAAATAAGACAGAATGCAAAAAAAAAAAGGAAAGAAAAAAAGAGGAAATGCTAGTTTTCTTTCTTCTTTATGGTCTGAATGTTATACTGACACTTAAATACTAGTTGGAAAGATAAACGTTTCAGCTTAATTTCTCCTACTTATGAGTCATTTCTTTTCCCCCTTCTAATCTTTTTGAGAATTCAGTCATCAAAAAGAGTCCAATCATTTCTGCCACTAACTGACTTGTCATTTAATGCATTCATTAATATCTGCCACATGTACACCATGTGCATTTAAAGGGCCTGCTTCAAGCACTGCTATTTATTCTCCTAGAAATGCATCATTACCTAAAGGAATAAACCTTTTAACCTGTATCAGCAATCAAAGAGCTCAAGTAAATGATGAAGTAAATGAGTCCAAATTATAGTGCACTTGGATCAGAATTCATGGACCCCTTTGCCCTTGGCTTATAAATTTATCTTTGGAAGCAATGGCCTGTTTGCAAATAGTGTAAAAGACAAATATGTCTGAAGTCTCCCCTTCCTGGACCCCCACTTTGTATTCAGGTCTGGTTGGGCCAAGATGAAAAACACAAAACAGCTCTTTATAAATGCACAAAAATGCATACCCACTACAGGGTTTTCTATAATGCCAAAAATAATGGAAATTATCTAAGAGCCCTTCAAAAGGGGTTGGGTAAATAAAACATAGTGTGTTCGTAGATTGAAGAGCTATGCAGCCATTATAAAGGAAATATGCTTATTCTAGTAAAAGTATAAAAAGGTGCAAGGGAATAGTAAAGGCTAAATTCAGTATCGTGGTTACTTTTGGCGAGTAGAGAAGAATATGTATTTAGGGAGGGGTAGATAAGCAGACTTTAACTAACTTCATAATGTTTAATTTGTTAAGCTTTATGGCAGGTACACAGGTGTTTTTACATTATTTTTATATCTTTCTGTGTATCGAATTATTGATTATTTTTTAATTCCTTGGGTAACTAACTAGGAAATGTCTACTGAAATAAAGTCCTTGACAATGTATTTCATTACAATGCTTAAAAATTGTCTTATGTGTCAAAAGAGGATAATGTAATATGGAATGAGCATAAATGACTATGGGTGAGATTTTAATCTTAGAAGGCCTTGATTGTTAGGGATTATTTGGGGGGAAGTTATTGATGTGGGCATCAAAGGCAGACTAAGTAGCATTTAAAAAGAGGATTGAAAAGCATATATCCAAATTGGTTTAGCAAGGTACTCAGTGATTTTTAGAAAAATTTCAGCTCTAGAATTCTACAGTGCTATAAAGATAGTGCTGGTAGCCATTTTTACCTGAACTTCTGATATCTTTGACCAGCAATCTGGTCGTCACCATGGTCAAGCCTAAGCTTCAGTTATTAAGAAAACTTATCTTTAGTCTGTCATGTATAGAGTAATTTGCTGGCTGCCAAGAGGGCTAGCAAAATTAATAAGGTATGGACTTTGTCCTCAAGAAACACTCAAGTAACAGGGGAAGACAGACACATAGTCAACTCACCCTACTGCAATTAAGCTCTATAGCAAAGGTATGAGCAAATGGCTTTGGGAGGACACCCAAAGAAGCACTTCGTGGGGGCAGGAAAGGGTTAGGAAAGACTTCACAGAAGACATGACATCTGCTCTGGATCTTGTAGATGAATAAGGTAATTTAAGCAGAAGCAAAAGCATAACCAAAGGCATAAGACATGGAAGTGGCTTATTTCAGTGACCAGTGAATAGCCCAGCATGACCTAATCACAGGAGAGTGTAACCAAGATCATAAGCACTCTTGAATATCATACATAAGAGTTTGGATTTTTTTTTCCTGTAGGTATTAGGGAACTAGCCGAGGATTTTAAAGAATGAAGTAACTTGATTAAGTTTGCATTTTGGAAGAATCACTAGAGGATAAATTGAAGAGAGAGATGAAGCAGGGAGACTAGTTAGGAAGCAAGATAGTCTAGACAAAACAACGATGGAGCCTGACCAAGGGAGGGCAATGGTAATGAGAATGAAAAGAAGATGAGAGGACAGATTTTAAAGTCATTACTATATTAGAAAAAACATGGCAGAATGAGGGAGTGAGGGAAAAGTAAAACCAAACCCTTTAGCTTGGAGGTTAGGTGGTTTACTGATAGAATGTAGAAGGAAACCCAGGCTTTACAAGGTATATAATATAGATTTAGTTGGGAAAAGTTTAATCTGAAAATGTCTACAGGACCATCAGGTGGAGATGTCCATCATCAGGGCTTGTTTGCTATCTTCCCAAAACACATCTGGAATCCAGCCTTTTCTTTCTACCTCCATTGCTCCCACCCTAGTCCAAGCCACAGTCATCTCCCCTCTGGAATATCAGAATAGCCTCCTAACTAATTTCCCTTTCTTCCACTCTGACCCAACTCATAGTCTATTCTCCATATGGCAGTGAGAGTAATCTTTAAAAATTTAAGTAAGATCTTATCACACCCCTCCTCAAAATCTTCCAATAGTCTCCTATAACAGGTAGAATAAATCCAAACTTTTTACCATGACCTACAGGGCCCTACAAGATCTGGCCTCTGATTATCCACCTAAGCTCATTTCCTACGACTCTCCCTTTTTCTCATTTAATTTCAGCCACAGTGGCTTCCTTTGCTATAATTTGTGCAAACCAAATGTGTTCCCATCTCAGTGAAGAGTTTCACTGACTCTGTGAGGGCTTCCATGAGGGTCTGATTGCCATAAACACAATGCTTAATGTCCCTGGTGATCCAGCTGGGCGAGGTGGCTCAGGCCGGTAATCCCAGCACTTTGCCAGGTGAAGGTGGGAGGATTGCTTGAGGCCAGCAATTTGAGTCCATGGTGATAGTTCTGGAAGTTCCAGCCCCCCCTGGAATTATTTGGGCAGGTCCAAGCAGGCCCCAAGAAAGATGCAACACAGCCGGCCAAAGTCTAGAGAAGAGCAACTAAATAAATAATCAAGAAAGTTGGGGTGGGGGCCAGGAAACCCCACAAAAAGACATTTGAAAACATGGTATATGTTTATGGTTTCTGCCATGCTATCTCAACCTCTGGTCAAGTATCACCTTAGAATTTTTTTCTAGGATTTTCATTCCTAAGGACCTAGCTCCCAAGTCAATTGGAAGTTTTTGAGTCATTGAGTCTACAATTCTTTTATAGTCTCCAGAATGACTAACATAGGGCTAGAGGCACAGTAAGCATTTAATATATGTTCTAGGGACCACCTGAATTGAAATGAAATTTAATGGGATTATATGCAAAATTCAAAAAGGTAAAGATGAAGGAGACTTGACTTGGCAGAAAGAACTAAGTTTTGGTTTGACCTCAACCTGAGTTGATGGAAAGACTCTATTGACTCTATTATATTCTTCCAGTGCTTCTCAATAAAAAAAAATTTTGTTGAAAGGATAGAGGAATGACTAAATATATTAATGCAAATTCAAACAGCATTGGTAGAAAATAATGCTCCAGGTCAGGTGCTCACGCCTGTAATCCCAACACTTTGGGAGGCTGAGGAGGGAGATTCACTTGAGCCCAGGAGTTTGAGACCAGCCTAGGAAACATAGTGAGACCTCGTCTCTACAAAAAAATAAACAAAATTAGCTGGGCTTGGTGGTGCACACTTGTAGTCCCAGGTATTCAGGAGGCTGATGCAGGAGGATCACTTGAGCCTGGGAGGTCAAGGCTGCAGTGAACTAAGATCACAGCACTGCACTCCAGTCTGGGTGACAGAGTGAGACGAAAGAAGCGAAGGAAGGAAGGAAGGAAGGAAGGAAGGGAGGGAGGGAGGGAGGGAGGGAGGGAGGGAGGGAAAGAAAGAAAGAAAGAAAGAAAGAAAGAAAGAAAGAAAGAAAGAAAGAAAGAAAGAAAGAAAGAAAGAAAGAGAGAGAAAGAAAGAAAAAGAAAGAAAGAAAGAAAGAAAGAGAAAGAAGAGAGAGAAAGAAAGAAAAAGAGAGAAAGAAAGAAGAGAAAGAAAGAAAAAGAAAGAGAAAGAAAGAAGAAAGAGAGAGAAAGAAAAAGAAAGAGAAAGAAAGAAAGAAAGAGAGAAACCAAACAGAAAAGAATGCTCTAAAATAAGAAGCAAAAGTTTGTTGTTGTTGTTTTTTCATTCTGTTCTGGTCATTTATTTGGGGTACCGTGTCTATTTCTATACACTCTAAATAGAGACAGACATTACCAACTACAATGTGCCTACGAGTGGAAAACCAAAGTTGTGAGAGTTCTGGAAACAATATCAGTCAGAGTTTCACCTGATGAAGAGATGAGAAGGGGACATAATAAAGGCCTTTCAATAATTAAAGAACCGTTGTACATTAAAAAAAAGAACCGTTGTAAAAAGGGACAGAATTATTTTACATAGCTCTAGGGGATAGTACCGGGGGTGGGGGTGTGGATTAAAATACTACCTATTGAATACAATATTCACAAACTAGGTGGCAGGATCCGTACTCCATACCTTAGCATCACACAATATTCCTATGTAACACATCTGCAAATGTACCCCCTGTGTCTAAAATAAAAGTTGAAATTGTAAAAAGGAATGGGAGTTATAGAAAAACAAAGATCATCTCAGAATAAGGAGGTACTTTCTTACAATAATTGATATCTCATGCTGGACTGGGCTGACTAAAATAGCTGTACACTACCTTATAATGGTCTTTGATTAGGCATATCCTGCTACGATTAGATAAACATAGCAGGATATTGTAGAGGAGATTTTTTCATTGAGAGGAAGGTTGAACTAACAAAGTGTTTTTCAAATAAGATTGCAACCAATTAGTGGGGCCATGAAATCCATTTAGTGGGTCCTGAGCAACATTATTTAAAATGAATTAGAATAGAATAGAAAATATCAGAGAGCATCACACATAGCAAGGATGAGTGTGGTTTTGAGAACTTGTTTTGGAAACAATGTTTACGTATGTATGAACGTGCCTACTAGGTTGCAGTGTAACGTGTTTTTTATTACTGTGGATTGCAATTAAAAAAAAAAAACTACTGCACTAACCCTCCTCCAGACTGAATATCTGGCAGCTCTAAGAATTCTTATCTCTTTGGTGCAGAGATCCAAAATTGCTGTGTACGAGAAAATGTGGTCTTACATGAAATCAGCGGAGCCATCTGTGTTTACCAAAACAACAGCAGACGGAGTGGCCCGAGTGCGAAAGTCCAAGGGAAAGTTCGCCTTCCTGCTGGAGTCAACCATGAATGAGTACATTGAGCAGAGAAAACCATGTGATACGATGAAAGTTGGTGGAAATCTGGATTCCAAAGGCTATGGTGTGGCAACCCCTAAAGGCTCAGCATTAAGGTGGGTGGAATAATATAACAATATCCGTGTTGTTATAGTATTCCACCTACCCTGATGCATTTTGTTGTCATTTTCTTTCTTGTGGATTTTGAGGTAACTTTTAAAAGTTTAAAATCTACAATATTCCATGGAGTTAAATAAGACGGTAAATTATGGTTTCATCTATTTAATGCATCCATTTTTTTTAATGTTCTCTCTCTGTGTTGTCCTCTCTGACTGTTTGTTGCTGTTTTAATTTTACAGTTCAACGGCTTTTTCAATTTAAATGGTAAAAGCCAAGTTATGGTGCCATATGTGACGAATGTTAATTGCATGGATGTGGTGTTCTTGTTACTTTTTTTCTCAAAGACAATTTCCCCATCCCGCACACTTCAGTTTTGAGCAAATGTTATCCTCCATGCCACCTTCCAATATTTAACCCTGTATTTGCTGTACAGACATTTTTATAGCTCCACGTTCTGTGAAATTTAGCCAATTTGTCCTCTTGTGCTCCTTTTTATACGTTAACGATTTCCTAAGCATTTGTGCATTTTCTTACAAGTTATGTTTTATCGTTTCAAGAAATGCTGTTAACCTGGCAGTATTAAAACTGAATGAGCAAGGCCTCTTGGACAAATTGAAAAACAAATGGTGGTACGACAAAGGAGAGTGCGGCAGCGGGGGCGGTGACTCCAAGGTCAGCCTCAATGTCACCACAACCGGGTACCCTTAGTGACGAGTAATCGGCAAGACTGTTATCTTATTATTGAGGAGAGAGCACAAGACTCACACATAAAGTGGAATGACCAGGTTATTCCCCTGCCTGGCAGCTTTGGGAACCAAAAAGACTTTAGGGCACTGCCCACATTTTTGATCTAACTTGGGTCCCTTCTTCAACTCCCAGACAGAGGCTCCAACCACACCCTTTCCCTTCCTTTACCCACCAGTTTGGTTGCCTTATGAAAGCCATGATGTGGGTTTCAATGCCCTAGGCTTTCAAGAGTCCAAGGCTTTCCTGTGAGACTGTCCCCGCCTGCCTCAGTTGAGTGGTATGAAAAATCAGATCCATCTACTGAAAAATCAGGGCATAGCCTTTTGTTTTCTAGGTTGTGATGGTTGCTCACAGAGGTTGGTTGGTTGAGTAAGGGTGGCTTCTTCAATTATGTGTCTGAGTGATGAGATGTTGTTCTCTATATGTGATAGCCCATTTAAGCAGGCCCCACTTAACTTGAAAGCCAAATAACAAGCTCGGTTTCAAGTTAAATGGGGTCTTTCTTCAATAGGCCACCCCATATAGAGACTTTGCAGAGACATTTTGTGTATTTAAGCAAGTGCGTCGCCTAACTGTGATACTATATGTGTGTATGAATCCCTGATTTAGCTTCTCCTTAGCCATGTTCTTGGTTCAGGTAGGTCTAATTGTTATCCAGGCTGCCATCATGAGAAAACCCATCTTACTTGGCATTCCTTTGACTTCTAATGCTCTTTGGAGCTAGAATGAATGAATAGCCATCATCCAAGCAACAAGAAATAGGGGCAAGCTCAGAAGCCGCGATACAAAGTCATGGAAACACACTTCGGGTAAGTACAGGAGAGGACCTGAAAATAGAATCCTCCTTGGCCCAAGGGGCATGAGAATTATATTGAAGCATGTAAACTCACCTCTTGTACGACCAAGATCCCATGGGCATCTTAAGGTGAAGAACAGTGTTTCCCAACCACAGACCAACAGACAGGCAAGCCAAAACTTTTCTTCTTCAGAGACAATGGTTGCACTTCTGCTCCTCTCTTTCCCTCTCTATCCCTCAGGATCCTGATGGAAAAGTTAGTTTGCCAGTCTGCAAATATAATATGGGTTTGGAAACACTGATCCAGAACACTTTCAAAGAAATCAATTTTAAAAGAACTTTCTTCAGCAAATAATCTTACCAGGCATTGGCATGGCCTTTTATCGTAAAACCTTGATTAACCAGAACTCACCTAACCAGTACCCCAACTAACTGAATTGCCCCTTCAGTACTTCACATTGATGAGAAAGCAGCAATAGTATTCCAAAAAAGAAGACTGCAAGGAATTGATTTTTTTAAAAAATACTTACCAAGAGATGACCTATGGTTGGGTCACATTCGGCTCTTTCTCCTCTATCTTCTCTCCATCTGGATTGACCCTCAAACGTTAGAGGCTGCTTCCCTGAGGCGAGAAAGTAGATAGAAGCATTTTAAGAAAAACTGTTATTAGCCAACAATGAACAAAATGGTTGTTCTTATTGAAAATTCCATTCATCCCTTATGGATTCCAATTAATCAAGGTTTTACTATGTGTCAAAAAGCAGTAACTTTCTTTCCCACCAATGTGAACTGATGACACTGACAATTTAGCCAAGCTTTTGGCTCATTTCATATTTACAATGGCCAACTTGATGGCCAAAGTATTTAGCACCTGTCTTTTTCTCATGTTATTTGCACGGAGAACCTAATTGTATCATTGAAGTGAGTTGCAGAATGAAAATTGAGCTGGATTGGATGCATTGCTCTCACGAATTCATCATTCATACTCATCATGGTTAAAAAGGAGCCATGGACTGTAACAAGATGACTCTAAAACATCCACATGATGCCAAGTGCCCAGAAGTTTTCAGATAACCAGACGTTTGATGTTATATAAACAAACAAAAAAATCTGCACATATTTGGCTGACTTTTTACTTTTCACCCAGATGTTTTGGTACATGAAGACCCCAAAACTTTAGACCAGCTATTTTTTCATTACAACCAGCAATCAAGCTTTTTTTCCCTCAGCTAGTACTGCTGCAAAGTTTTTTATCAAGTAACTTTATTGACAGCTCACGATTTCCAGATTATCTGAATTTTGATATGCAAATAGAAAAATATTTCAGTAGATCCTAAATGTTTTCAACTTCTCTAACCATAGTGCTACCTGCCAGGCATCTTTCAAATCGCTTTCCTTGGTCATTCCTACAGCCAGTCTTTTGAAATAAGTCAACCCTTTTCTCAACTATGGATAATAGTATGATCGATCAGTGCTGCATACCCAACGATTGCTTATTCCATTTCTGGATTACCAAGAAGCTTGCCTTTGTCTTCTTCCTTCTTGCTACCTGCTGTTTTCTGAGAGTGAGCAAGAGAAGGGGCAAGAGATGAACGTGAATCTGGTTACCACTACGTATTAGTGATGCAAAAAAAAAAAATCAATGGAGAAGGAGGTAGAAATAGCAGTAAAACCTCATTAATTTGAAGCCCTCTAATTAATAATTTGTGATAAACTAGACAGGGACCAGTCTACAAGTTAACTTTATATTATCAGGCATGAGGACAAGAAAGGTTTGTTAAGCAAATGAAGAGTTTAGACTGGAATGTCAGTTGAATTTTTTCTTAAGAGAACAAACCCTTTTCAAATGTTAGAAGCACTTATTAGATATAATCATATTCGTTACATATCTATAGGCTAAAGTAGCTCTCACGAGGATCTCCACTAAGGCAATGTTTTATAGTCAGTTTGAATTACAAAATAGACTTAAAGTAATAAAATTGTCATTCTTTAAACCTATTTTGTAATGCAGGACTTGCTTTACTCATTCAGACAATCCTTTCCCTCTGTTCCTCCAAATCAGTGAGGTTTTACTGTATTAGCAAAATGACTTGAGATTTACATCTCTTCATTGTGTCCCATCTCGTTAACATGAAAATTGACTGTTGAATATACCATCATTTCACAGAGAAAGTGCGATCCAGAGATGGTGATGACTTTGAGAAGGTCACACAGCTAATGCTGTCATAAATCTCTGCTGACTTTCAGAGTCACCTCTTGTGATAATATTGCAGATGGCAATTTAGCACTACCACCTATCCAATGAGCAATGTGAATCTGATTGCAAGCGATATGTTTCCATAAGAATCAGGTTCATTCGCAACTACCTTGGTTACTAGGCAAAAGGCATATTTAAGCTGTTCCAGCCCTCAGTACTGATTACTAAAAATGACAATAATCACAACGCCTGACATTTATAAGTGCTTTTACTTTTTCAAAAACACTTTCAGACCTATTATCTCTGAAACCAGAAGAGGGAGAAATACCTGTATCACTTATCTTTCTGTCTCTCTCTCTCTCTCCAACCTTTAACTAATGATAAATGGGCAATTATATTAAGTCATTGACTTTTTCTTCCCTGGCATGAGACATTACACATTCTGAGATTAGTCTAGAAAAGTTACCATACTATGGAAAGAAACAGCAAATTTTCAGGCTGTCGTAAATGTGCATGAGCTTAAACTAATAAAACTAATGTTTTATTATTTTATTTTATTTTTATGGATACAGGGAATTAAAAACAAGGTCAGTCTCTGAGGCAGCCCCTGAACCATACCTACAAGCTGAAACCAGAATACTCCTTGGCTTTCCCAATTTCCCAAACCTGAGCTAATAGGACCTAAACAAAACAGACTTGATCATTTCTTGATGAACTGTAAATGCACATGCAAGGATCATGTAAATTAGAACTGTGCTTTGGGAATTTTTAACCTGCAAATCACCCTTTTGTGTTCATGCTTTATTACAATGTGTGTGCAGATGCAGTAATTAAGAGCCAGTAGGTTGTTTCAGTGATAAACCCAGATCACCAGGGATTTGTGACATAGCCAGTGAAAGTCTATCATTGTAAATCACAGCAGAATGGAGGATTTATGTACAGAACTACCACATAGGCACATCAGCCTCCTTCTGCAGCTGCCTGTCCCCTCAAAAGTTTATGTTCTTATCCACCCTACTTCATTCCCTTAATCTTGGGTAAAGGGCACCAGCTTCGCTTTCCCATCTAGCCTTACCTTACAAGATAGGGTAGGGTCAGTGAAACGAGCTATTTGTGACTGAGGTGGAAAGTTATTAACAAACCCTACCCAACCTCACCACAGAATTATACCAGACTTTAGTCCTCTCTAGGGATTAAAATAGACTCCCAGTTTCCATATATTCCAAGATGAAAATCAGCACATGTGTGCTCTTGGGAACATTGTAACAATATTTAAAGGGACCATTCTGAGCCCCTTGACTGCAATGATAATTGTAGGATAGGTGGGTGCCTTAACTTGAGAGGCATATAAGGAAATGAGGGAGGAGGATGGGATGTGCAATTGAACCTCCATTATTTAAATAAATGGTAAGATGCTCATTATGACTTATAGAATATTGATAGAGAAATGCAGTTTTACTATATCTTCAAAAATATATAGGAACTAGAATAAACTGACCAATGTGATGCTAGGAAAAAACATAGGGAATTTGTTTAAATCGTTTCAAAAAATGCCTGCAATTAAAATCAGTGGTGTTTCCTTTCACATGGGTGCTCTTAAGGTACCTAAAAAGAGTTTGTTCTCTGAAGAAATTAAAACATGTTCCTCCTCCCTATCACTAGCTATCTTTGTTTTTTTAAATCCCATGCATTTGCTTAGCAAGTCTTCTCTTCAAAGATAGTAAAAAGTTACACTCTCGGACAGCCCATTTCCAAAATCCCTCAGCTTCATATTTGGTGGCACATAGATGAATGAGGTTATACTGTATTTCCCATTGGTATACATGAGATCTTCAGTTTTGTGTGTATTTCTTCTTCTTCCATGTATGTCTACAATTCTCCTCTCCTATGCCACCGTCTCTTAACCACTTCTCTTCCACACCCAGAATTCTTTGACTTTCTTGGGCCGTGGGTAATGGATATGAATCTGCATCTGCCTTTGCCTGCAACAAAATGGACCTTTTATTGGCAGGAGCCATCCCTAAAGGTTGACATTTCGGATACTCAGGGTTAAGATGGATCCCAATGACTCTTTATTGACACTGTTATGTGTGTAGGCAAGAATCATTACAGATCGATGGCACTTCCTGGGTCTTAGCAGAAGTTCCTGTGAATCCTCAAGACTCTGGTTTGGGATCGAGGAGTAGGGTGAGTATATTGTGCTCTTCGTTGGTTTGCATGATTCTATGCTGGTACTGCCTCCTGGAAGTATGAAGAACCTGACAGTTTTCTTTCCTGGTAGTCACTAAATTTGCTCCTTGAACTTACTCAGGTCTTCCTCCCAAGAGCAAATCCTCACTTTCTCTCAAGTGACTGCTTCAAGCAAGGGACCTGTTGCCTTAAGAACTGAACCAGTCCAATGGCTGCCAAAACCATTGATTTTGCCAAATGATATTAAAGAATAAATTCTACCACCGGAAAAAAATGTAATCCAGAAAGAAAACACTTTTAAAAAATAATTCCATTCTAATGATTTTTTAAAAAATGAACTATGGCCTTAACATGGTTTCTATGATTAGGACATTATTATTTGCCTTTGGTGTTATCCTGATAACATGAATGTGTTTCTTATTGACAAATAATGACCAAATGTCCAACACCAGAGCTACAGAAAGAGCCACAGGAATGAAAAGCCTGAAGGTAAGAATGCTGTTATACAATTGCCAAGAGGAAAGATGCCATTGCAGTGGCAGACAGTGAAATGGTGTATGTTTATTCCCTTTCTGCCCTTTGAAGACCAAATCATTTGGTTTCCTTTCATTTGAAGAGAAGGTTATACACAATCTCTGAAAGGTAGGACAGCCATGGAAAAGAAACATGAAAAATTTGATGCAATTGAAATATATTTGGTGAGGGTGGGAGTTGGGGTTGGTGGAACAGGGTGGGGGCAAATTTCTTTTACGAACAATTGAATTCCATTCTCTTTTGACTTTCTAGAGAGCGGTATAGCATTTGGCCCTTGGCACATGAGGCTGATCCCCATTGATCAGAAGTGGCAAAAGTGTTGTCCAAGTGCTGGATTCACCTTTTTGCCTAATTTCATCTAGCATTGAAGCAAATGTTTTTCAAAATATATACCTAAGGCAATGGCATTCATATATATATATATATATATATATATATATATGACTATTTGTATGTCCTGTCTAACATCACTGCTGGAAGGGCAGATGTGATGTGTAGATGCTAGAATGTATGCTAATAGAGGGTGGTATATGCCCTGGCATGGCAAACAGATCTGATTTCAGATCTGATATATAGACTTCACTTGTTGCAATCTAGCTAAAACTGATTATTTTTCTATGAGTCATGGTCAAGGGATGGCTATTGGAGAATAAAGAGGATGTTGGCACCCATCAGATTGAACTCTCAATGCATATTTTGTCTAGGATCAGGGGAATGAGTTAAATGTCTTCAGAAACATACATCATGTGAGTTTCTGGTACCGATCTGTTTCTCTCTTCTCATTCTATGCTTCTCTAGGTGCCATTGGAATGAACTAAAGAAAACACACTTATATATGATAAAACCCAATAAAATTTGATAGTTTGATCTTTCAAAGGATCTTAAACCAGAGTTTTCAAGTGAATCATGCCAATTATGTATTTGAGAAAGTGTCTATGGCCATATTTTGTTCAAAACTTAGCATTTTCCCTGAGCCCCTTCTCTCTGTCAGGGATAAATTGAGTAAGAGGTCTTCCCAGACTATTGGGTTCAACTACTAGATGGAGAAGTTGAACAGAGGTCCAGTTTGGCAGTTTAGTAGAAATCTATCAGTGAAATACACAACCTATGGAATCAAGGGGTCTACTGCTCTGTATTTGAGAGGTTGTAATTTAGAAATGTCACTGGCTTTACCCATGTGTGTAAGAGTTGCTTCTGGGGCTGCTGCTGCAGCATAGATGCTCATCAATAGGTTTCAATCACTAGCATTGTTAGGCCCTTAGTGAAATGACTCACAGCTTTCAACTCTTAATGTTATATGCACGCATTATTGAATTTTCTCTTTGCACTTATATTAAATTATTATCCCAATAGCAAGGAGTTAAATAGGTTTGAGCTATATTTGTGAACTACATGAATATAAATACTCTCTCAGAGATGGTTTCTAGCAGCTAAGCACTGCATAACTGCAAATCATTGTAGCTGCCCTTGTTAAATGAGGATTATTTAGGTTGCCAGAGTTCAGTAATGCCAGCAGCCATATATGCACATGCTCCCACGTTGTACAGAAAGCCCAGGCTGATCCAAGGATAGAAGGATTGAAATAAAATCCTCATTTTCCTGGAATCCTACATTCAGGAACCCCTGTGAAAACAAAGGGATAGAGATTTGTTTTAAAGGACTTCAGACACTGGTGTACTCAAGGGCATATTCTGAACTGCCATGGCCTTAAACAGCTGCTATATGGAGAGATAAATCCCTTCATTATACATATCCCAGGTTAATCTACAGAAAAGAATGTAAAGTACCACATAGTAAATTCTTTAATACAGCAAATATTCTTCTTTTGCTTGATCATCAATTGGCTTCAGCTAAATAAAGCAAGACCAACCTGGGCAGAGATGTCTGTGACTGCCTGCCTGTACATGCCTGTTATGTCCTGGGTGATGCTGGGGCTTTTCCAGAGAATGCTAGAGAAGCAAGTGAGTGATTGGGAAAGATGCTTTGCCATCATGAAAACCTGAAACATCTTCAGTAAAAGAGTTAGCAAAAGAGAGGATGGCTGTTCTCCCTCCATTGGGCCAAAGACATTTCTAAAAAGTTGTTCCCAAAAGATCACTAGATACCAAGAAGCAGGTGTTAGTAACTTAGAGCAAGGGTTTGGTTAAGGGATAGGGTGAGGGAGGGGCTTCCAGCTTAGGCCGTGATAAGTTTCCATTCTCGTCATCCAGATAATGTGTTATCAGAGCAGATTTCTAATTGACTATGCAAATGCACCACCCTTGCTCATACATTTCTTTTACTTCTCTGTGATCTCTTTGTCTTTCTCCATAACCTACATATTTACACATATATCTATCTCTCCTAAGGGCACCATTGAGGATCTTCTGGAATAATTAATTAAACAGACATTTGCTCTTTAGGTGTCCCTGCTCTGAAAGGAGAAGTGAAGCCATTTATAGTAGTATATATCCCATAGTATTTCAGGGGACTAAATCATACTACAACCTGGGTTCTGATATTTTTCAGGCCCAGAACCATATTGACAGTATAGATTCCTCTCTTTACCCTTCCAGGATCACCAGATTATTTCACAGAATCAACTTGGTAATTAATTGACAAGACCCAATTTTCCTTCTTTTCCCCTAAGCTCAGCACCCTCATATCACTCTCTTCACCATTTCTTTGTTCATGATAAGGAATCCAACCTGGTTCTAAGCTACTATTTGCTATTTACTATTTTAGGTATTTCCTGAAATTAAAACTTTAAAATAAATTAAGCAGTTCTTTTGAAATACATCAAAAGTTTTATTTATTTTGTTTTTTAAAAAAATTAAGTTTTGGCTGGGCGTGGTGGCTCACACCTGTAATCCCAGCACTTTGGGAGGCTGAGGTGGGCGGATCACAAGGTCAAGAGATTGAGACCATCCTGGCCAACATGGTGAAACCCCATCTCTACGAAAAATATAAAAAATTAGCTGGACATGGTGGCATGTGCCTGTAGTCTCAGCTACTTGGGAGGCTGAGGCAGGAGGATCACTTGAACCCGGGAGGCGGAGGTTGCAGTGAGCCGAGATCATGCCACTGCACTCCAGCCTGGCAACAGAGCGAGACTCTGTCTCAAAAATAAATAATTAATAAAAATTTAAAAAAAAAATAAGTTTCTACTTTCACAGAAAAAAAAATCAATGGCATTCTTATCCTAAAGCTGTCTCCATATGTAAGGTTGGCCATCACTAAGATAACATTGATTCTTTAAAATGGCTGGTTGGTACAACCCAGGAACTGAGCCTGGAATCCAGGAGACCACCAGCTGGCAGGTGGAGGCCTTGGATTGTGAGCAGTCTTAGTAGCTGAGTTAGTGGCAGGTGTGGATGGTAGAGATAAGCAGAAATTTTTATAATCCAATAATGTTTTCTTCAAAAAATGAACTCATTATCAAAGTATTATGAATTACATTACTATCCTCCATATAAAAAACAGACAGATGTAATTCCATGACTGTTCCCCACACTCAGGAATCATCACTGAGACACAATTCAGCATTAACTTCACATACTTTTAAATGACTATCTAATTCCCATTTCTCTCACTCTCTCCATCTGATCAGCAATCCATATGCATTTTTATGACTTACATGCCACAAAATGTTTTCTTAGGGGAACCTTACACTCTTCCACCCCACCTCAAACATTTTTTTAGACAAAATAGAACAAAGAGTTGTAGTTTATAAATATTTACTCTTTGTTTCATTTCCCATTTCTCAGAAGGATTTGTATTTTAACAAATCATGTCACTTGAAGATGTGAAATTCTCACAGTGGAATTTCAGCTGCCAGTGAGATAAATATTTTTGGATGGAGGGATGTTCCCAGTCCCCATGAAATTATGTCACAAAGCACTCCTGTTTTTTCCCTAAGCCTGCTGACTCATGTCTTTGTCTTAAGACGGCTCTACTCAGCAAAAAGTTCATAGCAAGCCCTTCAGAGGGGAGAGTGCCTGACTAATTTCCACGATAGGAATCTGACCTACTTTGTTTAATTCTTTCTGTTCTCTATTGAGGTGAGTACAATAAATATTTCTGACTTATAATTCTCTTAGGTACCAGTTAAGGGCCTGCAGTAATTGCTGTGAAACATTACACTGGAGACATTGCTGCACCACAGTAAAAGGCCCCAGCTGCAAAATACACCCTTGCTAGATTGATAGTTATTTGGAGTATGGGGGTCCCTAAAGGAAAATAAAGTCATCACAAATATCTAAGCTTGAAGAGCAAAAATAAAGAGGGATGCTACCCTTTTGTGTATTCCATTGGAGAATGTACAGAACACAGCTCAATGTATATTAATTGGCCTCTTGACCCACCCCATAAGTTGCTGCACAGGTTTGTGCAAATTGCTTAACCTATCTGTGCCTCAATTTCTTTTTGTATTAAATAGACACCATAAATCTACCTTCTTAGGGTGATCATTAAACCTGAACAATAATTATAATCATAATAATAAGTATGTAAATATACTAGATTGAAAAACAAAATACTAAAAGAGTTATTGATTTGACAAGTATTTATTAAGAAAAATATCCTAAATGGAGATACAAATACATGAGCCATATTCCCTGCCCTTGAGAAGCACACAGTGTAGTGGGAGACATAAGACATAGGCATAAATAATAAGGCAAGGTAGAAGTCATGGAAGAGACAGAAAACATTGAAGAGCAAAAATGGCTTCATGGAGAAAATGACATTCAAAATGATCAAATGCCCACCTATTTCCACTTCCTTCAAAATACCTATGTGTAAGAGTGTGTGTGTGTGTTGGGGAGAGGGTGTCAATACCTTCAGTTGGTTAGGATTGGGCTAGGTAACACATCTAATAAGGTACAGTAAGAAAGAAAACTATGTGGACAAAAGCAGTTTTCCTCTGCCGTCTCAGAAATTTAGTCTACCCCACAGCAACATAGAGTTCTAGGAGATTTGGATTTTAAAGTACTTTCTTTTCTTGGCATCTATTGTAACCTTGTTAAGTGGTATTATCTGTGATTTCTGATTACAGCTTTTATGTTTGTTGGCTGTGCTGCTGCTTGAAATGTTTGTTTTTCTCCCTCATTTTTATTTAGAAGTTCCCAAAAGCACATTGGTTCCCTGCCAGGTTTCATAAACCCTGTGATTATTTTTCCGATCCAAGGCTAAACTTCTAAGAGTAGGTCATTTGTCAAAATTCTCTAAAGTCCTGTGGTATCTCACAGGAGGTCTGGATACTCAAAGGCAGCATTTGTTGCCTGTAGCATCTCCCGGCCCCGACCCAGGTGTGACAACAAAAAATGACTCCAGACATTGCCAAATGTCCCCTGGAGGACAAAATGGCCTCTGGTTGAAAACTATTGCTCTAAAGTAACCTACACTGTAATGGTTTAAGCCATGGGAGTGAAAAGCAGTTACTAGCCAGTTCGTGGAAGCCACTAGATGGCCTAAGGCAGGGATAAGCCATTGTTCAGAAGTAGGATGCTAAGTCACCGATGTACTGAGCCTGGGTTTTGGCAAGAGTGGACAGTGGCAGCCCAGCATGGACCCCTAGCACAAGAATAGCCTTCCCTCCTCCAAAACCTGTTTCTGAAATGCTTTGTCCCAGGACTTCTCTACATTCTTAAAAATGATTAAGAATCCCAAATAGATTTTCTTTATGTGTGTTACATCTATTCATATTTACCACATCAGAAATTAAAACTGAAAAATTGTTCATGTATTCATTGATTCATTTTAAAAAATAATAAACCCAATATATGCTAACATAAATAATATACTTTCATGAAAAATAACTATTTTTCTAAAACAATAAAAAGAATAGTGAGAAGAATGGCACTGTCTATATTTCTGTAAATCTCTTTGGTATCTGGTATAATACAGAGAATGAGATTCTCATTTCTGCTTCTTCAATCAATCTATTGTAATTTCACCCATCATATGGCCTCCAGGAAACTCCACTGTATATCAAGAAGGAATAATAGTGAGAAGGGCACTTAGCATTATTATAAAAATAGTTTTGACCTCACAGATCTTTTGATGAAAGGGTTTCAGGGATCCTCCGGGGGTCCCTGGACCACACTTTGAGAACAACTGCTCTAAACTGACATGCCACACTTTTATGAATGTAGTTCACTTAAGGGTTGATAAATTTCTTTTGAAACTAGGATCTCTAGGAGCAGTGAAATCTCCCTATTAGACCTTAGTGTGAGTACCTTTAATCAGACTGCTCTGTTCCTAAGATCTGGTGAGCAGCAGTACTGAAGAAACTGAATGACGTAATTTGAAGAACATATTACCGGGAGGGAGGACAGGACCGGGTAAGGGCTTAGTCAGGTAGCAGTGTGAGGACACTGGGCCCTTTGCAATAAGAAAAGAGGAAGCACAGAAAGGAGGAAGAATTTGCTTTGTAGTTTCTCCTGTGGTCCTGATGAGCCCAGTCACTCATATGCCATTGGAAAGCATCTTCCCCTGTATCCTGAGCTAATTGCCACATTGCTGAGCCTGGTGCCACTGCCTGACTTAAGGCATAGCATTGCAGGAGAAGTGGTAGTGATGAGACAACAACAGGGAAGAGGAAGAGAGAGAAGAGCATCAGACGGTGGAGAATAGAGGAGAAGACAGTGCCAACACTAAACTCAGGGCCATCGATGGCCTGTCTGTCATTTGAAAGCCTGACTTAACTTTCACTGCCAGTAATATCTTAAAGAGGCTCAAAGTTTTATTTGAGTATATTTTTGTTGCTTTGCATTCCAAGCAACTGGTTAGCATTTGAGAAGCCTGGGGTTCCGAGCATTGGTTGAAGGAACTTGTTTAAAGTATAAAAGGATCTCAATTTCCTAGTGAGATACAAAATCCAAATATTCTGGCTGCCAGGTCCTACGCTAACCAAGAAAGTTACCTCCCTGATATTAAAGATTTATAGTTATTCAAACCGCAAGTACTCTGAAATTGCATTATTTTTAAATGATTATATCTTTCTCAGACTATCTGAAGATAAGATAGCCCCTCTGTTTTAAACAGCAAATGAGGGAAGAAAGGAAATAGGTTTTGGGACTTTGTATGATAGAGACCAGATCTCTGTGACTATAGCAAGTCTTATTAGTGACTGGATATGTTAGTGGGTCCAACTTATCCAAAATAGGCTAAGAAATTTTTACAGCATGTTCACAGTTCCATAAATTTTTCTGCTGTCCTCTTTTTAAGTTAGTGACATTCAGACCAACATGCACTAATATTTGGCAATATTGCTCCCATGAATGTGAACAGACAGTTTATTGCCTCAGAATTATGCCACCCTCTCTACATGGTGCATTTTTTATCCCAAGTCATTAAAGATTCTTCATTTAAAATCTAATAGCTCTAGAAAGAAGACAGGATAAAGGTCATTATTCCCATTTTACAGCTGAAGAAATTTATAAGGGAGAAAATCTTTATCCTAGAACCAGTAGGGTTTCGGGCACTTGCCCAGTGGCTCTGAATGCAGTCCTTATGTTTTAAGCAGTGAAGGACTAAGGAGCAGTGGCCTGGCCTCCTGGGGATATGTACTAGCCTCTTAGTTGAGGAAGTCTTATCTTACTAGAACAATTAAACTATTTCTCTACAGCGTTACCCAACAGTGGCAGAGTCATTTTGCTGGTTTAGGCCCTGCCATATTAATAATCCATTTTGAAACAATCTGGTTTGCCCTCTGGTGATCTAAGTTGACCACAGACATATGGCCATATCAGAAGGACAGCCAATCAGTAACTCAAAAACAATCCATAGACCAGTTTTTACATTGTTGAAAATACTCCCCTTATCCAAAACAGAGGTCCACAATATACCTTTAATACTAAGACCAGTATGTGCATAAGAATTTCGACTACATGTTTGTGGAGTAAGAACATGTACGTGGTACAGTTCTTTCTGAGATCATTTTCAGCTGGGCAACAGACTTGTGTGATAAAGGACAATTAATTAGAAGGCATGTTATTTATGTAGAATCTATTTTCAATTCTGTTCGGATTTATCCATTTGTCTCGGTCCACAATATGGAAACACTTCCCCTTCTGGGTCTGTCCTTTTCCCGACTCCTCCATAAAATTTGCTTTCTGTCTGGAAGTACAACAAGACACCCAGTTAGATCAAACTTAACACATCTCCTTCACAAAGCTACTGCAAGCTGCCGCCGACGATTGTCACCTGAGGGGAGACCCTCCTCACCACACACAACCTATCTGAGGAGTGCCTTTTTTTCTATCCTCATTATTTAACAGTGTGTGCCGATTACTCAAAGCGATATGGGCAGGCCCTGGTAAATATAGCGTTGCTGTAGTGTTAACTTTTTATAAGGTAATGCTCAGGTTGCCTGCAGTGTCTAAAATTACTCTGTGGCCAGGGCCCCCTGCTTTATCGCTTTCTATAGTTTTAAAGTAGTTTGAAGCTTGAATAACATAAAATAACATAATATAATGTTATTTATGTTATTTCCCACGTGAAGAACGCCTGTAAACCTTGCAGTATTGAAACTCAGTGAACAAGGCATCTTAGACAAGCTGAAAAACAAATGGTGGTACGATAAGGGGGAATGTGGAGCCAAGGACTCCGGGAGTAAGGTCAGTCGCTGAAGGTCTTTTTGTACTGATTAGCAATCACATTTTGACCCACTGTTTATTTTCTACCCTAAAACGGCTTTCCTTCCCAACACACACTCCCTGACACAGTGGGACCCCTTTATAACAACAGTGCTAAAGGAATAAGACAAATGCCAGCCTCAGAGGCCTGCCACATGACATCAATTGTTGACTCTATAGAACAGTTATGATGATTAGGAAACTCAATCTGGCCTACTGCATTTCCAAAGTTATAAAATAATGAGCTGTGTTATAAGGGGGTTTTACTGTATTTCACATTTCAAAAGTTCAAAGAGAAAATATAATAACAATAACAACAACAACAACCAAAAAAAAGAAAGATTTATTTGTGACAGTACTTTCTCTTAACCTCTTACAGTGTCAGAGACTTTGTAGTTATAAATGCATTTGGTTATTAATATATTATGTCAATCCCATCTGAAAACAGTCAAACGAATAAATAACAAAGACTGGTCTCTGTAAGCAGAATGATTAGCCTCCTGCCAGCTGCTGTTGTATTGAGTTCAGCATTAATTTGGATCTCGAATCTCATTAAGTCTGTCACACTTCTCTCTTCCAAAGGTGTCATTTGAATCTCTGTACGTAATACTTTTAAAATTTAGTCGCATGCTCCTTAAAGGTATACATCGTTAGGATAACATCACATTGATAAGCATGAAACACTCTTCCCCGCCTCCTTCCTGCCCCCCTTCGCTCCCCTAAGAAAGTTCTTTTTTAGTTTCAATTTTTGCCTTTCCTTTTTTTGGACTAATATCGTGGTATCAGTTAATTCATTTCATGAAATGCCACTCATTTTCCCCGTGCAATGAACCATTTTGCTACTGGTTTTCTACATCCCACATCAGGGAATTCTATAACTCTTGTGAAACTTAAATAATACATGGAACTTGAAACTGTTCTTCTTGTCACAGCTTACATGGGTTATGTCAAAGGACCTCTCCCCCCATTAAATATCATATACATATAAAAGTCTAATGGCAGAGGAAGGGTTACCAGAAATTGGTCTATTTCCCAATGGACTGTGGAACATCCTTGCAGATAGCCTCACCAGTCTCCTTAAAGAGATAATCCAATATTTCATATGTGACAGAAATTATTACTACTTGTCTAGCTGTCATTCATCCTAAAAGAGTGACTATTTGCAAGGTTGTTGTGAATATGAGGCATTCCCACACCCCGTTTCTGAATGCAATTCAATTTCAATTGGACCTTTTATTAAAGTAAACAAGTATAGGACTGGCTTCTATGAAAATGGGATAAGAAGGACACGGCCATATTGTCTTTACTTTTAATTATTTAAATGATACCAAGACCAGCTGAACTAGAGTGTTAAGTGTCAGCAATGGCCATCATCTGTCACTGTGTTGTCACTTAAATAAGATGCTCAAAATTCACTGGCTTAACAATTTGGGTATTCCATTCAATTACATTCAGCAGCAAAATGGTTACATACCCTCTAAAAAGACTACAAAATGCTATTTTATTTTATTTCTTTTTCAAAGAAAGACTCCTGGCCCTTGGTGTGTCCTACCTCAAGGTAGGGCTCAAGACACCAACTTTTTTCTTTCCATTGTTCAGCAGTTCAGATTTTGCTTTTTCATACAGGCAGATAGCTTAGTCAGATTTGCACAGTTTGACCTGAAAGTCACTGACCGGCTTCCTCAATTTTTCCCCCTTGTTACAAAGAAAGCAAATAAGTGTAATTTTTAAAAATTATTCTCTACATTCCCTGGAGTAAAAGTTAAAAATGAGCTGGATTTTTAAAAAAATCATCAGCCTCCTGGAAAAGCTTTCTGATTTGTATGGAGCCAATCTAGGACCCGATGGATCCTCTGACACTCTCCTTAAACTCTCAGGAAAATGGAACGGAGCCAATTCTTTGTGCTGTGCCCTTGTTCCAGCAACACAAAGACTTGCTGCCCTGATTTTAACTAGGATGAAGATTTAGCAGCCAATCTCCAAAGGGAGCATTTTCTCAGCCACTAGGGGAAAGAGGAGAGTTAACCCTTTTTAAGCAAACCCTTGCAAAATAACTCCTCAGAGAAAAATAGCAGGAACCTCTAATATTATCATGTCGTATCTTAAAGACTAGTCGTTCACAAAGTTTGTCACAGGGAGAGCAAGGGAGAAAGGGGTGTTGCGGGGCAGAGAGGGGAAAGAGTGCTTCAAGTTCCCAAATGAAAAGAGTGTTACATTTATAGAGATTATGTCACCGCTCAACTCTGGCAAAT
Source organism: Homo sapiens (assembly GCF_000001405.40). NCBI lineage: Eukaryota > Metazoa > Chordata > Mammalia > Primates > Hominidae > Homo > Homo sapiens. The sequence continues at coordinate 123,482,448 of NC_000023.11, forward strand.
GGTGTTTATCAAGGCTGGCAGAGGAATAAATTATGCTTGTGTTTACTCTTTTGTTCCCATGGCCAAGTGCTGTTTTATTAATTGTTGAACACCATTTTGAGGCACTAAGGAACGTAAGGAGTCAAGATGAAAGGACATTTAGGTGAGGATCAAGACTGTTAACAGAGGCACAATCTACCGTCTTGCTGGTCATTGCAAAACATTAGCCAGTTGCCAGAATTGAGTCATAACACTTACATCAATGTTTAGTTATTTTACAATTTAGAACTCCCCTGTACTGTTGTAATATATTATAATGTTCCATTGCCTTTGTTTTCCCCAAGATCTAATCACGTTGTTCATTTCTCTTAGGACAAGACCAGCGCTCTGAGCCTGAGCAATGTGGCAGGCGTTTTCTATATACTTGTCGGAGGTCTGGGGCTGGCCATGATGGTGGCTTTGATAGAATTCTGTTACAAATCACGGGCAGAGTCCAAACGCATGAAACTCACAAAGAACACCCAAAACTTTAAGCCTGCTCCTGCCACCAACACTCAGAATTATGCTACATACAGAGAAGGCTACAACGTGTATGGAACAGAGAGTGTTAAGATCTAGGGGTACGGTTAAGGTCTAGTAAACTAATCAGCTTTACTTTACTGTATGTCAATCTCTTTTTTTCTTCTTTTTTTTTTTTTTTAGTTTGGTTTATTGTTCAAAGCATTGTCTCTTTGCAACCATTTGATTCTTTGAAAACAATGGTTGTGCTTTCTTGTCAGGCAGTGGTGCTTTTCTAATAGAATGGTTGTAATTAAATTGTGGTCTGTGACCCAAAAGGAAATACAATTCTCCAGAACATCATTGTTCAATAGAAAATATATGCAAGCCACATACATGAGCCACGTGTGCAATTTTAAATGTTCTAGTAGTCATATGTTAAAAAGTAAAACAAGTGAAATTAATTTTAATGATACATTTTATTTAACCCAATATATCCAAAATATGATCCTTTCAACATGTTATCAATACAAAAAAAAGAATGACAAATTTTACATTCTTCACGCTAATCTTGCAAATCTGGGGTATATTTTATGCTTATGGTACATCTTGACTCATACTAGTTACATATCAAATGTTCAGTAGTCACACATGGCCAGTGGTTATTGTATTGGACAATGCATCTCTAGAGAAAGCAGCTGCTCTGGAACAGATATTAAAATTAGGGGCCGGGCACGGTGGCTCACGCCTGTAATCCCAGCACTTTGGGAGGCTGAGGCGGGTGGATCACGCAGTCAGGAGATCGAGACCATCTTGGCTAACACGGTGAAACCCTGTCTCTACTAAAAATACAAAAAATTAGGCGGGCATAGTGGCAGGCGCCTGTAGTCCCAGCTACTCGGGAGGCTGAGGCAGGAGAATGGCGTGAACCTGGGAGGTGGAGCTTGCAGTGAGCCGAGATAGTGCCACTGCACTCCAGCCTGGGTGACAGTGTGAGACTCCATCTCAAAAAAAAAAATTAGGTACACAGGTGAAACACTGCCACCTCAAGTAATACAGCACTTCCATAGGGAGAGGTGGTTCTTTTAAGTAAACAGTGTATAAGTCTGAGATAATTCACTTAAGCTTTGAGTTCTTTTGTTGTCCCTTCCTTGGAACTGGTGCACAGGTAAGTGTCTATCAAAGGATAGTCTAGGCTCCCAGCTGCTAGCCAAGCCCTAATTCATACTTCAGTGAACCTGAGTGTTGCCACCTTGACTCTGGCAACTACAAACACCACCAATAATTCAGAATGTTCAAATGCAAGCTCGAATTAGAATAATGTCTCCATTCTGGACGTGTTTAAAAGAATATAGTCTTGTTACTTTAAAGTGCATCTGTCATCACTAAAATGCCTATCTGAAGTGGAACAGAACAATAAGCAACTTCATACCCCTTATTTTAGGCAATTTTGACCTCATGAGTAAATGTCAATATGCTGGGATTTCTACAAGTGCATTTGTGTTTTGTTGTTGTTGTTGTTGTTGTTTTGTTTTGGGGTTTTTTTGGGGGGTGTTCTGTTTTGTTTTGTTTTTGAGGCGGAATTTCACTCTATCGCCCAGGCTGGAGTGCAGTGACGCGATCTCAGCTCATTGCAACCTCCACATCCCGGGTTCAAGCGATTCTCCCGCCTCACCCTCCCAAGTAGCTGGGATTACAGGCACTTGCCACCATGCCCAGCTAATTTTTTTCTATTTTTAGTAGAGACAGAGTTTCACCATGTTGGCCAGGCTGGTCTCCAACTCTTGACTTCAAGTGATCCGCCTGCGTCAGCCTCCCAAAGTGCTGGGATTACAGGCGTGAGCCACCATGCCCGGCTGCATTTGTGTTTTGGCCTTCTTATAGTTCACACTGTGGATTTACATTTAGCCAATTTTTAAATAATATTTCATTCAAATAAATCATTTGTCTTGGTCATGGAAAACATAATTTTGTCCAGTGAAGTTGCTGGTTGTTCCTTCTTCCTGCCTTTTGCCACAACATATTCAGCACACTGCACCAATCCGCTGACAGTGTTCCCATTGCATTGGTGGATGTACAATACATGGATTCATCTGTAATTGCATTGTTTGCATGCAAGCATTTAATGTTTCAATGTGCTTAAAATGTTTTACTCTTGAGTAGGTGCCATAGGCCCATTACAATTTGGGGCATATGTTTTTATAGGATAATATTAATACATGATTCATAATCCATTTTCAAAGTGATCCACTTTCTTTCTGTAGCCTACACATAGACAGGCTTGCTGGACATGAGCAATTTCAATCTAACTTAATTATCCCAAATTTTGAGGTGCTGGCCTCCAAATAAATAATACACCTGAAATTTGTGTAGCAGTCATCCAAGTGTTCTCACATCTATTGGCTCATTTGAGATAAGATGGATCAGGCAATTATCAGTAAGACCCAGCCCATGAAGTGACTTACTCAAGGCAACACAGTTAGGTAGTGGCAGTTCTGGGACTAGAACCCAGCCCTTCTTCTGCCTATAGCCATATCTTTGCTAAACCATGCTACTTCTAACCACCCATGGCCTGATGTCCCCCAGGAAACTTGAAATCCTAATGGGATCCTGTCAAATGGAGAGCAGATCTTGAGTTTCTGTTCCACTTGTCCACAAAAAAAGTCTTGAGAAACTTCACCAAGCCTCCATATGCCCCATTCCTTATGCACTCCACACAAGATTGAATATTCAATCACTCCTACTTTCCCCAGAAAGAATCTTTCTGAAACAGGATTACATCAAGGCTCAGGGTCACATGACCTCCAGACTCTTTATCAACGATTCCATCTGAGAATTTATGTCCCTACTATCCAATTACTATAGCCTCAGACTCTTATTAAAGCCCCAGAGCAGTATTCATCAAACATTAGTGTGCATGCAACTCATGTGGGAACCTTCTAAAAATATAGATCCTGATCCAGCAGGTCTGGGATGGGGCCTGAGGGTCTAGATTTCTCACAAACTCCCAGGTCATGCAGATGCTGCTGGTCCCAGGAGTAGAAAGATTCTAGAGAAAATAAACTCAGAGAATGTAACTTAAGAAAAGAAAGGAAGGAAGAAAAGAGGGATAGAGATACAGGAAGAAAGAGGAAGAAAGGAAGGAGGGAAGGAAGGAAGGATGGAGGCAGGGAGGCAGGGAGGGGGGAAAAGAAAGAAAGAGGGAAGGAAGGAGGGAAGGAAGGAAGGAAAGAAGAAAGGGAGGGAGGGAGGGAGGGAGGAACTGAAAGGAAATGAAAGGAAAGAAACTGGGATCAGCAAACCTTTGTTAGGACATAATGTTGCCATCCAAAAGTGGCGGCCTGGAACATCAAACCTGAGGGGAAAGTCTCAGAAACTAATATGCCACAACTTCTGGCTTTCCTTTACTCATCTGAGTTGATCCACTTTTGTGAAGCAAAATTCAGGCTACTTGAGGCAACACTCACATTTTAATAGACTCCCATGCCAGTGTGGTTATAGCCCAATTACCTAGCACCTTGGCAACCATCTCCAGGGTGAAAGAAAGGTTGGGAAGAGCATCTGCAAACAAATCTGTCCTCCAAGCCTGTACAAAGTCTCCAGACAAGAAGCAAAAGCCTCATACGACGCCAGGAAAACCTCACTTGTGTTAGTCAAGAGGCATAAAGCAAGCTGCTTTGAAACCTCTCTGTTGTCCTCAGCCAATTTGGTGATGTGATTAGGGGAATGTTGGTTAAGTGAAGAGTGAGATCTTCACCCACTCATCTTTTATTTCCCAAGAAGGTCTGGAATATCTCCTGGTGACTTCTAATTTGTTACCTAGTTATTAGGCTTCCAGTTCTCTGAGTTGGCCTAAATCTGTCAAGGTCTATCCAGGGGCACCGACATCAAGAGGTACCCTGAGATTTTACTTCTATTACTAATTATCAGAGCCCACCTTGGGAGTTTATAGTACCAGTAATTGTTCAGGAAAAATGACTCAGGGCAAATCACCTGCAAAAATGTGATCTAGTGAAATCTGGTTAATAAAAGGGCATCCTTGAAAGATGAGGGAGTCGTTTCTCATTTTCTATGGGTGATAGTCACATCAGGATTACTGGGCTTATTGTGGGAACATGTGCCTCGGCCTCAGATCATGTTTAGCTCCCACTAGGGAGCAGAAAGCCTCTTGACTACCTGGTGCCTCTCTGGGTTACTGACCAGCCACTGGAAGTGTATCCTCCCAAGCATGCCTTGGCAGGTGACTGCCCATCAAGTGCTCCAGATTCACTGCACCCTAGGGTTGACTGTGCTAATTGTTTTAGGAAGTTATTTCTCATTTCCTAATTGCAGTTCAGAAGTACTTCTGGCTTCTTTGGTTTCTTCAAAAATATTTTTGAAATCTCTGTCCTTTACAAGACCTCAACATGCCTGAAGTTAGGGGAAAAGATTTTCATTTTTCTTGTAGGAGTTTTCTGTTTAGTCATCCTAAAAATATTAGCTTTGTGGATGCAGCCCATTTTCAAAGTGATCCACTTTCCTTCTGTAGCCTATGCATAGGCATGCTTACTGGAGACATTTTGCTGCTGAAAAGAATTCACGTTATGTTAAGTATGAAAAAAAAAAGCATTCTGGATAACCAAGGTGATGATGTTCTTTCTCCCAAGGGACTTTTACATCAGTGATAATAGTTCATTTGACCCCATTTAAAAGTGGAAACAGAGGCACTGAGAGGTTGGGTTCCTTTCCCAAAGTCATGCCACTAGTTAGTGATGTCCCATGCCCACTGGGGAGACAGGGGGAGACTTTATTCTTTCTGCCAGATACAAAACTTCTCCAAGCTTCTGCGATACATATGACTCAGGACTTAGGGGTGCCAAGGAAGAGGTTTGTCTACTTTCATGTTAGTCTTATTCTACCATCCTTGGATGCTTTTGGCCTTCAGGTGCATATTTGACATTCTTCTTACAGATACTTTTACTACAGGGCCAGTGGTAGATCATAATTACGTCATTCTTTTGGGATAAAATTCGGTGTTAGCTTAGAAGAAAAGGAAGTGTTTCATTAGTGCAGAATGAAAGGATAAAGAGAGGGATGTAAACTTGAAGAGGAGGTAAGAAAGTGTCCTACAGTATTCAGAATCAGGGGCAAATGAATCCCCTGCACTAGTTAGTGCCTCCAAAAAGAAGACACTATCAGCATTTCAATCAGGCCTATATGTCAGGGCAAAGACCGCATTGATGCCAAGTCCCCTTCATGGGTATCACTGCTCTGGCCTCTTCCTAGAATCTGCTGTCTCTTTAAAGTCCCAGAGCTATTTTCAGACTTTAATAACTAAGGTTGTAGGTACTAAGAGAAACAATTGCTCACTTTTCTAGCAATAAGCAAAATATTTTCTTCTCACAGTTAAAATGGATTTCAATTCAGTAAGCCATAGAACACTGTTTACCCTCTGTCCTGGGTGAACAATCCTTTGTCATAGTTTCTGCAATCAGAATACACTCTTTTAGTTCTTGTGAATATCTGTATTAAAATGCCATGGAAACTTTCTGGTATACCTACATCATAAGTGATTAAAGCCTTGAATTAAACTTCCTGCAACACCTGCATATTCCTTAGTACAATACATATAGTAGAGAATGTAACCAGACCTGTCACCTAAAGCCAGTCAAATAAATGAGGTGCAACCCCAGAAATGCCAATTTCAGAAAACAGCCATAGTTTTGTCCAAGATAGACTGAGCCATTATAAACTTCTCAATTCCTAATAGGAAGCCCCTTCAAATTTAAATATCCCCTTGCCTTTGCAGATCCCTTCCCACTGGAGGCATGTGATGAGAGGAAATCACCGAAAACGTGGCTGCTTCAAGGATCCTGAGCCAGATTTCACTCTCCTTGGTGTCGGGCATGACACGAATATTGCTGATGGTGCAATGACCTTTCAATAGGAAAAACTGATTTTTTTTTCCTTCAGTGCCTTATGGAACACTCTGAGACTCGCGACAATGCAAACCATCATTGAAATCTTTTTGCTTTGCTTGAAAAAAAATAATTAAAATAAAAACCAACAAAAATGGACATGCAAGATTCCAGTATGCGAAAAAAAATCTTATTAAGTCAATTCAACAAAAGCCATTCTTTGATACCACTGCAGAGTATATAAACACCATGTTCTTTAATACACACACACACACACACACACACACACACACACATTTAAATTCCAATTCAGCAAAGAGGCCCATCTAAGCTAAAAAAATTAATTCTTCCTGATTAAAAAGAAAAAATCTGTCTCCCAGTGTTTGGGAAGACGGACTGGCATTTCTTCTAGGATCTGCTGACCAGATGTTTTTGGTATTTCCTGTTGGTGGTGATGTTCTGTGCACTCTATTTCCTTTCAATGTTGCTGAAATGTGTATATCTTTAGAATGTAAATGCAACACTTAAGAAAATTCAAACACTTTGGAAAAGGGACTAAACAGTGATTTCTCTGTGTTCTTGAAATGGTTTTGTGAAAATGCTTTGATAACTTCCCACTCAAAGAAGAGATTTACAGAGCTTTCGAAATTGACTTTGTGTGTAGCAAGGGACGGGGCACTATCAGGATACCTCTTGGTGCTTTCCTAAAATGGATCCCGGGGCTTTCCAAGGAGCCTGGAATTTCAGCTCACAGATCTGTTTTTCTTGCTTCAGTGTGCATTTTAAGTCAATAGAGCTGAGTATCTAGCATTGAGGTGAGGGAAATGCTGCCTATACTCCCAGATGTGTTTAGAATATCTCAGAAACAACACTGTGTTTAGCTCGGCTTTCTCTGCTAAGTATGCCTTTCAAGTGTACACCACGGAGACAGGACCGCGTTGCAAGGCGGGACAGCAGGTTCAGACCACAGTTCTCAGTCTGACTTTACTCTTGCTAGGTCTGTCCTACTAGCTGTTGCCTGCTACCGCCCATGGCTCTCCATCGGACTGCATGTGTCCTTTTCTAGTTTGCAAAGACTAAAATGCATTCCCAAACCTACTGCTAATCTGAGGGCCTCAGCATCACTTCCAGATCCTTGCTTGGAGCAGTCTCTCTATTGACTCTCTCAGATCGCTCCACTGCTCCATGGGCTATCAAGTAACTAACTGCATACCTGCCGTTGGCATCATCAGAACAGTCCGAAGAAATAGTCTCCACTCACTAATTACCTCCTATATAACGACGTATGCTTCCTGTAGTTCAGTAGTTTGCTCTCATCGATAACGTGCATTGGGAAGTTTCCAGACTGCAAAAACTAGGAGCTCGCATTCATTTCCCAAGTGTGACCCTTAGATGCTTAGTTGACTCGCTGCATATTTGCTCTTGTCTTCAGAAAAGAAAGGAAGAAGTATCGTTCCAACGAAATGTTTCCAGAAAAGTGTACTATAAACTTTCATTCCAAAAATGGTGTCATAAGCAAACAACTCACTTGTCAAATTTCAAATGGTATTGAACAAAAAAAGAAAGCTGTTGTGTTTTTGTTTTGTTTTGTTTTCATGAAACTGTGATTTTCAACTTATGAATGCTATAATGTCCCAGCGCGGGAAGCTCACGCTGTGTGAACATGAAGTTGTATAAAACAAACCAACCAACCTACACACAAATGTTTTCATAGGCACTGTATAAAGAAAAATGTATGTTTATTAACTCAAATCAGTTTTTCAGAGAGGAAACGTCACTGAGATGAAGAGGCGGGTAAATTGGTTTGTTATTTTTTAAAAAAAACTTGCATGTTTAAAAAAAAGTTGATTGCTTCAAATTTCTGCTACTAACTTCAAGCTATGGGAGTTTGGCAGTAGTCACTTGAGGATTTTTTTTCCAATTCTTTTCTTTTTGTTGTTAAAGCTGTACTTCAGTGAACAGAAAAATTGCCAAGCAAACTAATGGCTATAAAAGCGTAATTTGCATGTGTGGGCATAAACTACAGAGCCTCATTGCCATGAGGTATTGTACAAAGTTTTAATACATTTTGTAAATAAAATTGTAAAGAAAGAATTCTGTTTCTGTGCTTTGGCTAGATGTTTAAAATTTACTTGGATGCAGATGCCAAGAAGTTATTCACTAACTGACTTCCCCTAGAAGCTTTGCCAATGATGTAACAGTCACCTTACTGGTGACTTTCACAAAGGATTACTCCTCTCCCCACCCCAACTGCAACTGTAGTCAGGCGCAGACCCCTAGCTTAAGCAAAACCATACATCCAAGAACTTAGATTAGTTTAACTTTAGGATCTTCCATTCCCATTCTTTGTCTCCTCCACCCTTTGGGACTCCTTTCCAGAGGCCTGCCTTGGCTCTAAACTTGATCTTCAATTCTCCCATCTCCACAACTGACCTCCCACAGAAGTACCTAAATTCAAGATTATTGACCTTCAAAAACACTTCCAATTACTTTCCTATGCCATCATAACATATATGTCCTAGTACTCTTAATTGCTTAGCTAAGTTTTGTGCTGCTGCTTCAATTACCAATAATAATTCCTAACTGGAAAACGTTTATTCCACCAAGGATCACTAATCTAGAGTGGGAGAAGAAATAATGAATTTAGAACTATACTGATTTTAGAATAGTTCTGACAGAGAAATGAAAAGCTAATTATCTAGTCTGATTTGTAGATTCTGAACACGTAATACAACTTTATCCAACAAATAAAGCAAGTGTTTAAATGTACACCAGCTTATATCATAATCACCTTAGAGAACAGAGGATAATGATAGGAGGAAAGGAGAGGGGATAATCTGCAACTGAACCAAAAAAGAAGGAAAGTGCAGCTGAGATGCTAGAGAGATCAAGGAAAAAAGATATCTGGGGTTAGGGAGTTAGGAAGCAAGGAACGCAAGAGCTTAAAGAAGAAGAAAAATGGGAGTGGGAAAGGAAGACTGAGAAAATTCTGAAGTGAAGGCTGATATAATCACACTGTGGACAGCTTGGCTTACTGTAGGCATCATCATAATTACTACCATTTTCACTGTGCTCTGAAATGCTAAATAGCTGTTAAACCACTCACACTTCATAACTCTTCAACTGCTTTTTAAAATTAAGACACCTGTTGCAGTCCTACCAGAAGACAATTGATTCTCCGGAGCAAGTTCAGTGACTAGATTAGAGTGATGAAATCAGTTCAAGTACCAAACAATGTCCCTGGATCCTCCAAAACAATAGATTTATGTTTTAACAGCCACTTCAATTCCTTACCCCTAAAGGAGAAGCTAATCTCAGTTGCTGTCACAGATAATGGAGCACTATTTTGGTGTAGGTGGGATTTTGGGGTTTTTTTCTCCTTGGAAGAAGGAGGAAACAAAGGGGGCTGCTTTTAGTATTTCTCAAATTGGACTATAAGTAGTTAGATATTTTGCTTATACATAGAGTCAACCTTACCAATCAGGTCTTCAAAAAGGCCTTGTATTTCAAATGCCACACTCTCCCTGTGCACAAAAGAAGAATTCCTCTTGGTCTCTGCATCAGTATTCTTGCCCTGTTAAGACTCACATCTGATCACACTCAGTCAACAGAACAATCTTCAAACAGGAAGGACAAATGTATTTAAGGAAACCTTAGTAAGATCATGGCAGAAATGTTGCAGGAAATCGTCTCCCTCCTGTTGGATGAGGGAAAGGGTCAACTGTGACTTCAGAAGATGAACGTAGAGGAGAACAAATTGAGAAGCAAGAAGCAAAACCATTATTCCTCAGAATTCAGACTCAATCAAGCAAAAGATGCATTAATATGCTATCTCACAAGGGTCAGAAACCATTTGTAACACAAACACTACCAAAACCTACTGTTACTGAGAGAGTTACTTTCAAAACCTGAGCTTTTTAGCGACTCTGAACCATACCCCTCCCCTTTTGTCCTCACTCTGTTGGACTGAGGTTCCTGGGACCAATTTATTATCAGATCACTTGGCAGACATGAAACTCAGCAGCTGAGGTGTGGGAGTTCTGTGCACTCCCACAGCTGAATTCAGATTCTCTCTTAGGAGAGAATGGTGGGTTGCACTAAGAATTAATGAAACCTGCCTCCAGAACTAAAAGTGCTATGAAGTGCTAGGAGACTTCCTGCACACCTAAGATCAAGAATCATAGACTAGCCATTTACATTCGGTGAAAACATGGGGCACTCAGATTTTCTCAAAAGGTTTCCAGGGAGAGCATTGTTGTCAGGAGAAGATTGAGGGAGGCTTTAGGGGGTTGATCACTGTCCCAAACCTACTGCCATATACTCAACCTCCTCAATGCTGAGGGTTCACAAATTCATTCAAATGGGCAAGATTCCCCAAGTTCTCTGACAGCCATTGTTATTGTAACCATATGTCACCTGCACAGGATGGTTGTGAGAGGGCATACACTCTCTGCTTCTCTTTGCCAGATGAGGAAGGAGCAATCTTGGCCCCTACCCTCAGAGGGCTTACAGTCTTGGTACAAGGTAGATGATGACTGAAAAGAATCTGCATTCATTTATGTATATTGCTCTGCTCAGAGAAAATACTTTTAAAAGCCCAAAAGGAAGACTTTCCCTTTGCCCCTTCACTTGGACTTGCTCTTCCTAATACAATCGGGGGTGGGGGAGTTGACTAAATTTTTCTTCGTGCCCAAAAGCTGTGAGCCTTTGCAATTGAGGAGTCATACCGGGACCCTGAAAGCATATAGCTGCTGAGAACCTCAGAATGACCACTTTCTTGCCAGCCTTTCCACCTTCTGAGCAGGAGGTATTTGCTTATTTGTTGATTCACAATGCCCTAGCTATAAACATGTAAAAGAACCTACAATGACAACCTAAGAAAAATCCTCTCCCCATGTCAGCAGCTTTGGAAAACTTACCCCAGGAGTGGTTTCACTGAGCTTCAATCCTATAGCAAAATGGTTGATTTACAATTTTCCTAATAAATATTCATTAAGCCTGAACAAGTCAATTAAAGCTCTGGTGGCAGCTCACACGAGGCTTGAATATAAGCAGACAGAAGGAAACAACTTCTATAAATATTCCCAAATAACATTACAGTCTTCCCCCATGAGAGTGCAAGAGTTTATCTGAAAGATTGAAAACCCTCTCTGAACCCAGTGAAGGCCTCTAAGGTCCACATTTCCTCCCATTTACTGTACAGCTTCAGAAAAGCTTGTTGCATCCTCAGTCTCCACTTCCTCAATTATTGCAATATGGTTTCTACCACCACCACTGTACAGGAACTTCTCTTGACAAGGTCATCAATAAACTGCAATCCATACTTTATAGCAAGGGTTGGCAAACTTTGGCACACAGGCTAAATCCAGCCCACCACTGGTTTTTGTTAATAAAGTTTTACTGGAACACAGCCACAGCCATTCACTTATGTATTTTCCGTGGCTTCATTCACTCTGCAGTGGCAGAGTTGACTAGTTGCAACAGTATTGCCCAAAGTCTAAAATATTTACTAACTTGCTCTTTACAGAAAGTTTCCCGATCACTACTTTACCCTACTTGATAGCCATTATTTTATTTTATCTCTTTTCAGAATTTGATGCCATTAACCTCCTCCAGTTTGGAAATCTCTATTATTTTTACTTCCATGACAGCACTCTTTACTGGGTTTCCTCTTACCCTGCTACTGATAATTTTTCTTCTGCTTCCTGGTCTCCTCTTCTATCTCTTAATGTCAATGTTCTCCCAAGTTCTACCACATTTCCCCCTTTCTTTACACTCCATATTCTCTTCTTGTGTGCTATCCCATGGTTTCCATCTCCACTTACATTATGATGTGTTTCAAGTTTTTATTTCTATCTCAAAACTCTCTCGTGAGCTCCGAACAAGTATAATTAAATGTCTATAGGAGCCCCCCTCACTTGGATTATGCTATAAGCATGTCAAACTTGACATCTCCAACACAGAAACTATTGTGTGTTCTCTTGCCCTCGCCCCACTGCTAAACCAGAGCTCCCTATAAGAATCCCTCTCTTGATTTAAAACACCATTGATGGGGAGTCAAATTAAATATAAAAATAAAACTAATGGACTTTAAAATTGGTGGATATGACAATCTGAAAAAAACAGACTTGCACTCAAAAGCAGAAGCCACAGTACAATGACAATGGAAAAGCAGATGGGTTAGTTTAACACCAACTTGTATAGCTATAAGATGTAGTGAAAAGTAAGCATATGGTTCTTTGTATATTTTGGATCGCCAAATCATAATATGATTTGCACTCTTGCGGAGGAAAACCATCTAGGGTTATCACCAAGGAAGGAATGTGCAAGCCCTGAGCATGCTAGCCAAGGGTCCCAAATCACTCCCCAGAACAAAGCAATACAAGGAGGTGGTTATGGTCACTCTGAGGGAGATATTAGATGAAACCTGGGTGGAATCAAAAAAGGAACAGGTGGGGAGTTTGCATGTTCAGTTTATATATACCCAAGCATATGTATTTCTGTAAGTGTTCAGAGAACTCTAAGCAACCCATGTTTTAGATTTTTTTTTTTTTTTTTACCTTTTGCTATGGACTGAACTGTGTCTCCTCCAAAATTTGTATGTTGTACTCTAATCCCCAATATGACTGGATTGGAGATAGGGCTTTTAGGAGGTAATTAAGGTAAAATGAGGTCTTAAGGGTGGGGTACCAATCTGATAGGATTGGTGGCCTTATAAGAAAAGGAAGAGACAGAGATCTCTCAGTCCACATGCATGCATGGAGGAAAGGCTATGTGAGCACACAGCAAGAAAGTGGCCATCTACAAGTCAGGAAGAGAACCCTCACCAGAACTTGACCAGTCTCACACCCTGATGTTGAACTTCCAGCCTCCAGTACTGTGAGAAAATTAATTTCTGTTGTTTAAGCCACTCAGTCTGTGGTATTTTGTTATGGTGGCTAGAGAAGACTAAAATACCCTTTCCACTGTCACAGAGAGTTGGGTCATACAGACACAATGGTGGGAGAGGGGATCAATCACCACTGTAAATCCAGTCACCAAATTCAGAAGCCTGGAAATCAACTCTGCCTGCTCCCTCCCTCATTCTTATCTTGAATCAAGTTCCAATGATTCAATCTCTCTGATATCTCTGAAATCCATCTACTTATATGAGTCCCTACCTTAGTTTGAACTTATAACAGTTTCTATGTGGCCTAATATAATATCCTCTTAGCTGTCCCTCTTGTTTCCAGGTTTTTGTCCCTCCAATTCATGCTCCACACTGCAACCAGAGTGACTTTTCCTGATCTCATCACTCCTCAGCATTAGTGGGTCCCTATTGCTCTTTGGCACAAGAGTAAGCTCTTTTTTATTATTATTTATGTGTTTAATTTTGGTTTTAGAGAGACAGGGTTTTTCTCTGTTGCCCAGGGTGGAGTGCAAAGGCATCATCATAGCTCACTGTAGCCTTGAACTCCTGGGCCCAAGCGATCCTCCCACCTCAGCCTCCTGAGTAACAAGGACCATGCCTGGCTAATTTTTTTTAACTTTTTTAGTTAAAAACTAAGTCATACTATATTCCCCAGGCTGGTCTTGAACTCTTAGCCTCAAGCAATCCTCCTGCTTTGGCCTCTCAAATTGTTAGGATTACAGGCATGAGCCACCAGCTCTTTATTTTACCATAAAAGTTGCTTATAATCTGCCACCTGCCAATTTCTTCACCCTTGTTGCTATTCACTAAGACCTAGTCATATGCAACTTTTTATTTTTATTTTTTGTTTCAAACTCATTTTAGGTTCAGGGAGTACATGTGCGGTTTTTCTATGTAGTTAAATTGCATGTCATTTTTAACATTAAGGGTTTGGTGTACAGATTCTTTTGTCACCCACATAATAAGCATAGTAAGTGATAGTTTTTTGACCCTGATCCTCCTCCCACCCTCCACCCTCAAGTAGGACCCAGTGTCTATTGTTCCCTTCTTTGTGTCTATGTGTACTCAATGTTTAGCTCCCTTCGTAAGTGAGAACATATGGTATTTGGTTTTCTATTCCTGCATTAATTTGTTTAGTATAACGGCATCCAGCTCCATCCATATTGCTGTAAAGGACATGGTCTCATTATTTTTTATAACACCATAGTAGTATTCCATGGTGTATATGTAACACCATTGATAAGGATTTAGGTTGATACCACGTCTTTGCTATTGTAAATAGTGCTGCAATGAACATACACGTGCATGTGTCTTTATGGTAGAACACTTTATATTCCTTTGGGTAGATGCCCAAAAATGGAATTGCTGGGTCAAATGGTAGTTCCGCTTTAAATTCTGCAAACTGCTTTCCACAGTGGCTGCACCAATTTATTTTCCTATCTGCAGTGTATAAGAGTTCCTTTCTTCCTGCAACCTCACCAGCATCTGTTATTTTTTGACTTTTTAATAATAGCCATTCTGACTGGTGTGAGATGGTATCTTATTGTAGTTTTTATTTGCATTTCTCTAATTATCAGTGATGTTGAGCTTTTATCATACGCTTGTGAGCCACATGTATGTCTTCTTTGGAGAAGTGTCTGTTCTTGTCTTTTGCTCATTTTTTAATGGAGTTGTTTTTTGCTTATTGAACTGTTTAAGTTCTTTGTAGGTTCTAGATATTACATCTTTGTTTGATGCATAGTTTGTGAATATTTTCTCCCATTCTGTAGGTTGTCTATTTTATTGATAGTTTATTTTGTTGTGCAGAAGGTCTTTAGTTTAATTAGGTCCCATTTGTCAATTTTTGCTTTTGTTGCAATTGCTTTTGGAGACATTGTCATGAAATCTTTGCCATGGCCTATGTCCAACATGGTATTTCCTAGGTTTCTCCTAGGGTTTTTATAGTTTTAAGTTTTACCTTTAAATATTTAATCCATCTTGGGTTGATTTTCGTATGTGGTGAAAGGAAGGGGTCCAGTTTTTACCTTCTGCATGGGGCTACCAAGTTATGCCAGCATAATTTTTTGAATAGGCAGTCCTTTCACCATTGTTTGTTATTGTCAACTTTGTTGAAGATTAGATGGTTGTAGGTGTGTGGCTTTGTTTGTGAGTTCCCTAACCTGTTCCATTGGTCTGTGAGTCTGCTTTCTTACCAGTATCATCATGTTTTGGTTACTGTAGCCTTGTAGTAGAGTTTGAAGTCAGATAATGTGATGCCTCCAGCTTTGTTCTTTTGCTTAGGATTGCTTTGTCTATTCGAGCTTTTTGTTGTTGTTGTTGTTCCATATGAATTTTAGAATAGTTTTTTCTAATTCTGTGGAAAATGTGGTTGGTAGTTTGATAGGAGTAGCATTGAATCTGCAAATTGCTTTGGACAGTATGGCCTTTTAATAATATTGATTCTTCCAATTCATGGAATTTTTTCCTTTTTTTTATTTTTTTATTTTTTGAGATGGAGTCTCGCTCTGCCACCCAGGCTGGAGTGCACTGGTGCGATCTCGGCTCACTGCAACCTCCGCCTCCCGGGTTCAAGCGACTCTCCTGCCTCAGTCTCCTGACTAGCTGGGACTACAGGTGCCCGCCACCACACCCAGCTAATTTTTTGCTTTTTGGTAGAGATGGGGTTTCACTGTGTTAGCCAGGATGGTCTAGATCTCCTGACCTCGAGATCTACCTGCCTCAGCCTCCAAAAGTGCTGGGATTACAGGTGTGAGCCACTGCGCCTGGCCTTTTTTCCATTTTTTTTGTATCATCTCTGATTTATCTGAGCAGTGTTCTGTAATTCTTATTACCTCCCTGGTTAGTTGTATTCCTAGGTATTTTATTCTTCTTGTGGCAATTGTGAATGAGTCTGCATTCTTGATTTGGCTCTCAGCTCAGATGTTGGTGTACAGAAATGCTACTGATTTTTGTACGTTGATTTTTTGTATCTTGAAACTTTGCTGAAGTTGTTTATCAGATCTAGGAGCTTTGGGGCAGATACTATGAAGTTTTCTATGTATAAAATCATATTTTCTGTGAAGAGAGATGATAGTTTGACTTCTCTACCTATTTGGATGCCTTTTATTTCTTTCTCTTGCCTGAATGCTCTGGCTAGGACTTCCAGTACTATGTTGAATAAGAGTGGTGAAACTGGGCATCCTTGTCTTATTCCAGTTCTCAAGGGGAATACTTCCATCTTTTGCCTGTGCAGTATGATGTTGGCTGTGGGTAGAAATGGTACCAGCTCTTCATTATACACCTGGTAGAATTCAGCTGTGAATCTGTCTGGACCAGGGCTTTTTCTGCTTGGCAGGCTTTTTATTACTGATTCAATTTAAGAACTCGTTATTCATCTGTTCAGCGTTTCAATTTCTTCCTGAGATTCTTTCCTCAGCTTGGTCCATGTTACTGTTTGTACTTCTGATTGTATTATGAAATTCTTGTGGTGAGTTTTTCAGCTCTATCAGATTAGCGTGGTTCTTTTTCAAAACGGCTATTTCATCTTCCATCTCTAGTATCATTTTATTGGATTCATTAAATTCTTTGGATTGGGTTTCAATTTTCTCCTGAATCTTGATGATCTTCATTACTATCCAGATTCTGAATTCTATGTCTGTCATTTCAGCCTTTTCAGGCTGGTTCAGAACCATTGCTGGGGAGTTAGTGTGGTCACTGAAAGGTAATAAGACACTCTGGTTTTTGGGGTTGCCAGAGTTCTTGCACTGGTTCTTTCTCAATTGTAAGGGCTGATATTCCTTTAATCTTTGAATTTGCTGTCCTTTTAATGGAGCTTTTCCTTTTATATTCTTTGACGTCCTTGAGGGTTTGACTGTGGTATAAGTTGGTTTCAGTTGACTGGCTTCATTTCTGGATAATTTCAAGTGGCCAAGGCTCAGCTCAGCACCCCTGGGCTGCATGCTGTAACAGTGGGGGACTAGGACCAGGGCCATGGCTTTGTTCTCTGGACCCTCGAGTTGAGCATCTACTGTGCTGGAGGGGCTGAGGTGTTTCCATTCCACTAACAATACTCCAATAGGGGAGGAGGATGCTGGCAAAAGCATTTCATTGGGGCTGTGGCAAGGGGTCTATGTGCATGTGCTGGTGGCAGCAGGGCAGTAGCGCAGTGAGATCTACATGCACGCACATGCTCCAGTAGTGGCAGGGTGGTGGGGACTGCATGCATGCACTTGCATCAGCAGTGGCGATGTGGCAGGGTCCACGCATGTGAGCACTGGCAGCAGCAGCACAATGGGGTCCACTTGTATGCACTGGCAGCAGCCACATGGTGGGATCCATGTGCACAAGTGCACTGCCGGTGGTGGTGCAGCAGAGTCTACATGCATGCAAGTGGCGATAGGGCAGCAGTGTGGCAGGACCCACCATGGGTCAGCAATGGGGCAGCAGTGCGGCAGGGTTCATGTGTGTGCATATGCACAGGTGGCAGGACAGTGAGGTCTGCATGCACATGCTCACACCAGTGGTGGTGAGGCAGTGGTGGCAAAGTCCATGGGCACTGGTGGCAATGGAGTGAGTAGCAAGGTCCATACGCACACAAGCTGGCAAAGCAGTGGGGGTAGGCTGCAAGCAAGTGTGTGCTGGCAAAGCAATGAAGGGAGGCTATGGGTTGATGCACGTTGGCAGGGGCCCATCTGCTCAAACCCTCTGATGGTTAGCTGGGCCTGCCAGTGAAGGAGCTATGGCAGCAGCCACCAGGAAGTGCACCAGTTTGGCATCTGAGGCTGCGCTGCAAACAGGTGTGGCCATGCAGGGATGCTGGGAGATGGCAGCAGACAGGAGGGTGTTCAGATCAGACTTGCCCATTCCACAATCAAGATAGCCCTGTTCTGTCCAGGTCCAACAGTCAACAAAGGCCAAAGCCACCTAGAGGACCGTGGCAAGCCTCAGGGGATGGGCATCCCTGGCCATGTTCCATTGCAGCCATTCTCAAACCAAACCCTCGGGGCTCCACACAGTCTGGAGTCCTGTCCCTGCCACATCTCCAAGTACCTATCCCTGTCAGCTTAAATATCTGTTGGGGTCTTGGGTCTCCTGCAGCTAAGATTCCAATGGTCCTTTATGACAGTGGGCCACTTCTCACCTATTTAACTCATCCTTTCCCCAGGAGCCACTGAGGGCCAGGAATGAGCCCTGATGTTTGGCAGCCCTGTGCAGGGTTCCCAGCTTCCTCCCCCTTCAGCCCAGGGTAGGTGTCCTCCCTCTGTCCACTCTCAACGTCTTCCTTCTGAAGATTCACTCAGAGTGTGCTAGTCTTCTTGATGGTCTCATCTCTCAGTGGGTGATACTCTTCCTGGTTGTGTCTTGTTGGCCATCTTGGTTCTCCTCCATATACAACTATTTAAAATTCCTGGCCTTGCCATGTCTTTTCATGTTTTCATGTTTTTGCACATGCTTCTCTATTTGCTTTTATGCCTGACTAGTTTGTACTCTGTCTTTAAGACTAACTTAGCATTGTTTCCTCTGGGAAGCCTTGTCTAACTGTGTTAGGGACTTTCCTTTTTGCTCCCATCACAGTAGTACTTACCTACCTCATTGTGCTGTAATGAAATATTATTTTCCCTACTGGGTCATGCACTGAGACCATGGGAAGAGTCTCTTGTAGTCATTTACATAGCTGGAACAGAGTTGTAAAGGTTTGATGGGCAAATGAATGAAATGTGGAAGTGGGGAAAAAAACAGGCATAACTTAGGAAGTAGTGTTGACAGAGAAGAGGTGCCACCTTATATGATACAAAATGCAAAATCTCCCAGACTTTCTGTCCAAAAAGGCCCAACTTCCACATAATCAATCGGTCAGCAAAAGCAGTTGTCCATAACTGGTCATCTTTTCCAGGTCTCTCTTCTCCCAAAAGAAGCTCTACCTTATCTCCCACCAGCCAGGCAGCCTAACCTTCAGATTCCCTTGGATGTGGAGTATCTCTTGCACCACCACTATGGATGCCCTCCCTGGCCAATGCCAAGCTACTGCACCGCAGCTAGGTCCTAAATTGATTCATAGGACACTCAGGCATGCAAATCTAATCTCCTTTGTGAGGCTTACCCACTGGATAGTGGAGGAGAAATAGAAATTGTAGTCTAAACGAATAGATTTAGCTCATACACAGTGGTATTAAGTTCAGTCAATGTCGAAGTCATAGTGATCCATCCCTCATATTCCCCTTCAATCAATGATTTACTGCCCAGCTATAAGGAGTGTAGTTGGCTGACAGCTGTTAGCATCTTCAGAATCTGCCAGGGATTTAGAATATGGATCATACTCTTCTTGGGACATCTAGCAACTAATGACTGAGCAAAGTGGTGATAAGCAAGGTCACACTCCCTGGGGGTGATCCCCAGTGAATGACCAAGCAAAGCAGTGGTACAAAAGCCTAGCTATTCCCACCCAACATGGGACTTCTCTAATGAGCAATCTTTGCTCCAGAGAGCCCCCTCGGGCTGGCAGAGACTTTGTCAAGACACAACCAGGAAGAGCACCACCCACTGCATATCTTCTGATGGCTCCCCCTCCTCAATCCTTCTTTGTCTCTATTTCTTCACAGGTGTTATTCCCTAATAAATTTTTGCACTCCTAATTCCTCTGAATCTGCTTCCTTGAGAAGCCAACCTGTAACTTTTGGTGCCAGAAGTGGCCCAAGAAAGGAAGCCGTAAGATGCTGTGTGGATATTGGATTCATCAGCACCTGTCTGGCATTAAGGACCCCATTCCTGGTGGAAAGTTATGCACAGAGAGCCCCTGACACAAGACAGAGTCCCAATGTCTAAATATTTCTCCTGTGGTGTTTCAGGAGAACACACCAGTAAGGAGAATTCATTAGCTCATGGAATGACTCAAGCATTTCAAATGTATGCGAGAAATATAAGTATAAAGAAAATGGAATCTTATACTTTTATTTAGTTACATTGATGCCCTGCTGAAGGGCAATAACAACTAAAAACTAAATGTGCGAACACAAAATCTCTTTAGTAGCTTACAAAGAAGACCTAATTTCATGCAATGGGTGAGCATAAAAAGTTGAAGACAAAACCCAGAATTTGATCATTAGAGTGGCTGAACTTCAAGGATAACTGAATGCTCAACTGAGGCAGATATGTTATGCCAAAGTCGAGGTCCTAGTTGTGAAAACTTAGGACCCTGACACAGGGGATGGGGACATCTAAGTGGATGCTCCTGAAGATTTTGACTCCCCAGCCCTCTCAAAAGCTTCTGAGCCTGTAGAAATGCCTCATGCTTGCCCAATAAGAGCTAGTACTTCTTCTGTATAAGAAGACACTACATAGATCTTTCCACCACAAAGCAGCAGGCCTATATGCAGCAAAACATTTCCACAATCAAGCTGGACCTGACTGGGGAGGAAAAGGACTATATCCCAAAGGAACTGCCGGCAGGTACTGAGAGGAATCAAGGGAGGTCCCATGGGACTATGTTCTGAAGGTGCTTGACCAAGGAGAGCTTTCTTGTAAGACCGGATAAGGGAGAGTTTGTTGGTTTGGGGCCACTCTCTTAGAATACAAGACTTAACACCCTAACAGAGACACCAGAAGTTGGTGTAACTTGCTGCTAAGGTGGCTCCTATAAGCCTGGAAAAAAAAACAGCCCATACTGAGAGACGTTAAAATTCCTGAATTGCTGTGGCACATGCCAGAGAAAGAAATTAAAAGGCTGGGAGAAGCGGGCATGTTGGAGTGGATATGAAGCCAGAAGATCCACTGGAGGATTATGTCACATAGGAGAACCCAGAAGACACATCATTCACCTAGCCCATCAGGAATACTGGTGAAAGGGGCAGCAAGATCACCAAGAAGTTCAGTGGTGGCTCTCCTCTGCAGGCCAAAGCACATGATAAGAGATGTGATTCCTTGATTTGTTGATAGAAATGGAAATGATTGCCAAACCTCCCAACCCTGGCAATAGAGACCAAGTGATAGCACTCCACCACCAGAAGCCCAGGGGTTTGTAATTATTAAAATAACAATACACAATTAGATTGGCAACCAAGTGGGCCTGATATGTAGAGATGGTTAATAGAACACTGCATCCCTAAAGGCAAAATAGATAGCAGCCAAAAGGGTATTGCTTAACATATATAATTTTTTAAAAGAGTAAGCATAAATGAGCAGGAACTAGGTCAGTCTCCCCAATTAAAACGCCATAATTTCTAGTTTAGTTTCCAGACCTGAGCTAATTTTCCATCCCAGAACACACCTATTAGAGACATGGCCTCCAGTGGGAAGATCCCTGCATTACAAGTCTTTCCCCCCAGTCCTTACCAAAAGGACCCCACAGCCATCTACTTGGCAAATTTACTGTACAATTATTGTACATAAGGTACATTTACTGTACACTAGAAAAAGAGGCATATCCAGATATTAGACCTGGGGTCTGAGTGGACACTGATACTTGCAGACATGAAGCATCATCATGTCCGCTTGTTAAAGGGGGGTCATCTGGGTGTCAAGTAATAAAAAAAATCCTAGCCAAAGCATCACTTACAATGGAGCCACTGTATCTGCTGACTCACATGATGGTCATTTTCCTGGTCCCTGAATGTACAGTTGGAATGGACATATTTGGCAGTTGAAGTAGCCCCCACATCGGGTCCTTGGCCATAATGAAGGTTAAATAGGAATTTCTGAAGCTGCTCCTCCTCCTCCTGCAAGAGACTAAGATAATAAACCAAAACCAGTATCAAATCTGAAGGAGGATTATGGAAATTTTTGCCCCTTGTAAAGATTTAAACAATGCAAGGGAGAGCAAGATGGCCAAATAGAAGCCTTTACCAATTGTCCTCCCCTACAAAAACACCAACTTGAACAACTATCCACACAATAAAGCACCTTCATAATAACCAAAAATCAGGTGAGTGATCAAAGTACCTGGTTTTAACTTCATATCACAGAAAGAGGCACTAAAGAGGGTAGGAAAGACAGTCTTGAATTGCTGATGCTACCCCTCCCCAATCCCCAGGTAGCAGCCAGGTAGCACGGAGAAAGAATCTGTGCCCTTGGGGGAGGGAGAGCACAGTGATTTGGGGACTTTTCATTGGAACTCAGTGCTGCCTATCACAGCAGAAAGCAACATCAGGTAGAATTCAACCAGTGCCCACCCACAGATGGAGCATTTAGACTAGCCCTATCCAGAGGGGAATTGCCCATCCCAGCAATCAGAACCTGAGTTCCAGCTAGCCTCACTACAGCAGGTCAAAGTGCTCTGGGCTCCTAAATAAACTGGAAAGGCAGCCTAGGCCACAAAGACTGCAATTCCTAGACAAGTCCTGGTTCCGTGCTGGGCTCAGAGCCAGTGGATTTTGGGTGTATACAAATTAATGAGACACCAGCTGGGGTAGCCAAAGGAGTACTTGTGCCATCCCTCCCACAACCCTCAACGGCAAAGTCACAGCTCCAGAAGAGACTCCTTCCCTCTGCTTGATGACAGGAGAAGGAAGAGCAAAGAGGACTTTGTCTTACAACTTGGATACCAGCTCAGCCACAGTAGGATAGGGCACTAGGCAGAGTCCTGAAGCCCCCAGTCCAGGCCCTAGCTCCCAGACATTTCTAGGCACGCCCTGGCCAAGAAGGGAGTCCTCTGCCTTGAAGTAAAGGACCCAGTTCTGGTAGCAAGCATGATCTGCTGACTAAAGAGTCCTTGCGCCCTGAATAATCCGCAGTGACACCAGGTAATATGTCAAGGGCCTTGAATGAGCCTCAGAGATGTGCTGGCTTCAGTTGTGACCCAACACATTCCTAGCAGTGGTGGCTATGGAGACCGACTCCTGCTTGAGAAAAAAGGAAAGAAGAGTAAGGGAACTTTGTCTTGCAGCTTAGATACCAGCTCAGACACTGTGATGGAGAACCTAATGGGCCCTTAGGGTCCCCCATTCCAAGACATGGCTCTTAGGTGGCATTTCTGGACCTGCCCTAGGCAGAAGGGAGCCCAGTTCCCCGAAGGGTGAGTCTCAGTACAGGCAGCAGTCACCACAATCTGACTGAAGAGCCTTGAGCTTTAAGGGAACATTGGTGGCAGCCTGGCAGCATTCCCCATGGTCCTGAGGTGGCAGTGACCATGAGGTAAGGCTCCTCTGCGTTTGGTAATGGAAGCGAAGACTGAGAAGGACTGTGTCTTGTGGTTCAAGTTCCAGCTCAGCCACAATACAATAGAATACCAGGTAGACTTCTAAGGTTCTTTACTCTAGTCCCTGACTCCCAGGCATCCATGTGCAGAAGAATGAAACTAGACCCCTATCTCTCACCAAATACAAAAATCAAATCAAAATGGATTAAAGACTTGAATCTAAGACCTCTGACTATAAAATTACTACAAGAAAACATTGGGGAAACTCACCAAGATATTGGTCTGGGCAAAGACTTGAACAATGCAGCAGAGCCACAGGCAACCAAAGCAAAAATGGATAAAGGAGATCACTTAAAATTAAAAAGCTTCTGCACAGAAAACGAAAATCAACAAAGTGAAAAGGCAACCCACAGGATGGGAGAAAATATTTCCAAACTACCCATCTGACAAGGGATTAATAACAAGAATATATAAAGCACTTGATCCAATAACAAAAAAAAAACTAATACTCTAATTAAAATATGCACAAAAGACCTGAATAGAAATTTCTCAAAAGAAGGCATACAAATGGCCAACAGGTATATGAAAAAATGCTCAACAACACTAATCATCAGAGAAATGCAAATCAAAACTACAATGAAATACCATCTCACCCCACTTAAAATGGCTTATATCCAAAAGACAGGTAATAACAAATGCTGGTTAGGAATTGCTGAAAAGGGAACACTTATACACTGGTGGTGGGAATGTAAATTAGTACAATCACTATAGCCAACAGTTTAGAGGTTCCTCAGAAAACTAAAAATAGAGCTACCATGTAATCCAGCAATCCCACTGCTGGGTATATACCCAAAAGAAAGGAAATCAGTATATCAAAGAGGTGTCTACACTCCTATGTTTGTTGCAGCACTGTTTACAATAGCTAAGATTTGGAAGCAACATAAGTGTCCATCAACAGATGAATGGATAAAGAAAATGTGGTACATATACACAATGGAGTACTATTCAGCCATAAAAAAGAATGCGATCCTGTCATTTGCAATAACATGGATGGAACTAGAGGTCATTATGTTAAGTGAAATAAGCCAGGCACAGAAAGACAAACATCACTGTTCCCACTTATTTGTGGGAGCTAAAAATCAAAACAATTGAACTCATGGAGCTATACTGAACTCATGGAGATACAGAGTAAAATAATGGTCACCAGATGCTGAGAAGGGTAGTGGGGTTTGGGCGGTGGAAATGGAGATGGTTAATGTACACAAAAAAAATAGTTAGGAAGAACAAATAAGAGTGTTGGTGGCAAAACAGGGTGATTATATTCAATAATAATTTAGTTGTACATTATAAAATAACTTAAAAAGCATAATTTGATCATTTGCAACATTAAGGATAAATGCTTTAGGTGATGGATATCCCATTTACCCTGATGTGGTTATTACATATTGTATGCCTGTGAAAAATAAAGTAAAATAGCTCATGGATAGGAAGAATCAATATCGTGAAAATGGCCATACTCCCCAAGGTAATTTATAGATTCAATGCCATCCCCATCAAGCTACCAATGACTTTCTTCACAGAATTGGAAAAAACTACTTTAAAGTTCATATGGAACCAAAAAAGAGCCCGCATTACCAAGACAATCCTAAGCCAAAAAAACAAAGCTGGAGGCATCATGCTACCTGACTTCAAACTATACTACAAGGCTACAGTAACCAAAACAGCATGGTACTGGTACCAAAACAGAGATATAGAACAATGGAACAGAACAGAACAGAGGCCTCAGAAATAATACCACACACCTAAAACCATCTGATCTTTGACAAACCTGACAAAAACAAGAAATGGGGAAAGGATTCCCTATTTAATAAATGGTGCTGCAAAAACTGGCTAGCCATATGTAGAAAGCTGAAAACGGATCCCTTCCTTACACCTTATACAAAAATTAATTCAAGATGGATTAAAAACTTAAATGTTAGACCTAAAACCATAAAAACCCTAGAAGAAAACCTAGGCGATACCATTCAAGACATAGGCATGGGCAAGGACTTCATGACTAAAACACCAAACGCAATGGCAACAAAAGCCAAAATTGACAAATGGGATCTAATTAAACTAAAGAGCTTCTGCACAGCAAAAGAAACTACCATCAGAGTGAACAAGCAACCTACAGAATGGGAGAAAATTTTTACAGTCTACCCATCTGACAAAGGGGTAATATCCAGAATCTACAAAGAACTTAAACAAATTTACAGGAAAAAATCAAACAACCCCATCAAAAAGTGGGCCAAGGATATGAACAGACACTTGAGAAGACATTTATACAACCAACAGACACATGAAAAACCACAATGAGATACCATCTCACACCAGTTAGAATGGCGATCATTAAAAAGTCAGGAAACAACAGGTGCTGGAGAGGATGTGGAGAAATAGGAACACTTTTACACTGTTGGTGGGTCTGTAAACTAGTTCAACCATTGTGGAAGACAGTGTGGCAATTCCTCGAGGATCTAGAACTAGAAATACTATTTGGCCCAGCCATCCCATTACTGGGTATATACCCAAAGGATTACAAATCATGCTGCTATGAAGACACATGCACACATATGTTTATTGCGACACTATTCACAATAGCAAAGACTTGGAACCAACCCAAATGTCCATCAGTGATAGACTGGATTAAGAAAATGTGGCACATATACACCACAGAATACTATGCAGCCATAAAAAAGGATGAGTTCATGTCCTTTGTAGGGACATGGATGAAGCTGGAAACCATCATTCTGAGCAAACTATCACAAGGACAGAAAACCAAACACCACATATTCTCACTCATAGGTGGGAACTGACCAATGAGAACACTTGGACACAGGATGGGGAACATCACACACTGAGGCCTGTCGTGGGGTGGGGGGAGGGGGGAGGGATAGCATTAGGAGATATACCTAATGTAAATGATGAATTAATGGGTGCAGCACACCAACATGGCACATGTATACCTATGTAACAAACCTGCACATTGTGCACATGTACCCTAGAACTTAAAGTATAATAAAATAAAAATAAAAATAAAAAAACAAAAATAAAGAAAAATAAAGTAAAATAGCTAAAAGAGTATAACTGAATTGTTTGTAACACAACAAAATCATAAATGCTTGAGGTGATGGATACCCCATTTACCCCGATGTGATTATTACAAATTGTATGCCTGTAAAAAATAAAATAACTAAAAGAGTATAATTGGGTTGTTTGTAACACAAAGGAAAGATAAATGCTTGAGGTGATAACACCTCATTTACCCTGATGTGATTATTACGCATGTATCAAAATATCTCATGCAACCCATATATATGTATGTGTGTGTGTGTGTATATATATGTATACATGTGTGTGTGTGTATGTATATATATATATACCTACTATGTACCCACAAAAATTAAAAAATAAAAAAGAAAGAATAGGATGTAGCTAAATAAATACACAAATAACACAAGGGAGGCAATTCCTATAATAGCTTCTTTAATTGAAAAATCTGGCCCTTCAACATCAGCTGACATAGGGCAGGAATGAGCCTGTCTTAGTGTCTCTGCCATGCCCAGTCATTGGTACATGGCTTCACTGCAAACACAGTGATGGATTTCAGAGCCCAGCAGCTGGGGCCTTTGGTCAGTTATGCTGTCATGGTTGAAGGTCTTCCAGGCCATTCTCATGGCAGCCATAATATATTTTTGTTAAGAAATTCTACCAAAGCAAAATATGGTTGAGGTAGGTATCAAAAAAAATCTGACCCCTGAAGAAACTAGATAGATCTTGGAAAATGACTGTTGACTAGTGCAAACTCAATCACAACATAGCCCCATGGTTTCATGTACATGATATACAGCTGTTGGTTTGGTAAATGCCTTCTTTCCTATCCCAGTCAGGAACCAAGATCAGAAATATTGAGGATTCATATGGAAGAGACAACAAATATTTATACTTTTGCCTTAGTACTATGTTAATTCTTACACCTCTGCCATAATGGAATCCAAAGAGATGTGGAAATGTTAACTCTTACACCCTCTGTCATAATGAAATCCAAAGAGATGTGGGTATCCCTCAGAATACTACATCGATCCCTTACATTGATTGACACCATTATGCTGATCCAACAGGATGAGCAAGATAAGACTAACATACCAAGGAGGCCTTGCTAAGACACATGCTCCAGAAGGTAGAATATAAACCCTTTAAAGATTCAGGGACCTGATACTTCAGTATAGCTGTTAGGAAGTCTATTATCAAGGGCATGCAGGAACATCTCCTCCTAAGTAAAAGACAAATGGCCAAACCTTGTAGACCCTACTATAAAGAAATAAACACAATGCCTGATGGGTCTCTTTGGGTTCTGGAGGCAACACATTTCATACCTAGGAATATTGCTCTGGCCCATATAGTGGGTAAAGCAGAAGGCTACCAGTTTTGAGTGGGGCCCAGAGCAGGAAAGGGCTCTGCAGTAGACCAAACCTATAGTGCAAGCAACCTTGCTACTTGGGCCATACATCTGGCAGACCCTATGTTCTTGGAGATTCCGGTGTTGAAAAAAATATGCAAGGTGGAATTTATGGGAGAGATGTGGGAGAATCAAAGTGCACTTTGAGTTGCCCCTGGAGTTTTAGGGCAAGGCCATGCCAAAGAACATACATATCACTTGAAAAATAGCTCCTGGCAAGCTATTAGTCCCTGATAGAGACAGAACAGTTAACCACAAAATAATGATAATGATCATGCATTTAGAAATGCCCACTATGAGCTGTGTCCTGTTAGACCCACCAAGTCTTAACATCAAGTAGGCCTAGCAGCAATCACAATAAATGTGGAAATGGTACATCCAGAACCTAGTGCAAGCTGAACCAGAAGACAGGCAAACTGCATGAGAACGTAGCCCCGACTGCCATATCACCCACTATAGCTGCTCTAGTGCCCTTCCCTCAACTCACACTGATGATCATATTGGAGGGTCCCATATGACCACCTGGAAGAGAAAGAAAACTTCCGAATTTGGTGTGTGGATGGGTTAGCTTGGGGTATGGGTGCAAGCCAAAAATGAAAAGTGGCTGCCTTACAGCCTCACTCAGGAGCAGCCTTGAAAGACAGTGTTCTTCCCAGTGTAGACTCAAGAAAAAGAAAGACAGTAAAGAGGGAAAAATGTACCCAGTGGGCAGAACTATAGGAGGTGCACCTGATCATCTATTTTGTATGAGTGGAGACATGGTCCAAGGTTAGAATAAATACAGACTTATAGCCAGTGATGAATGGCTGGGTCAGGGCCCAGAAAGAGAAAGATTGGAAAATTGGAGTAAACAGCTTCTAGGATTATTGGCATGTTGATTGACATATAGAAGTGGACACAAATTGTGACAATCTTTGTGTAAAATGTTAATGTCCATCAGAGGAGATCTACCATGAAAGAGAGACTAAACATCAAACAGTCTAAATGGTTGGCCAGTTGATGCTAACCAGCCTTCTTCATCACTCACCCCAACACTGGCAAAACAGGTTATGAAAGAAGTAGCATGGTGGTAGGGACAGGGGCTATGCATGGGCCCAAAGTATATGAACTTCCACTCACTTAGGGTGTTCTAGGTAGTTTTAAATGTCTAAAATGCCAGTAACAGTAACCAGTGCTGAAGTCCTCATATGACACAATTCCCCAAGGAGAACAATCAGCCACTTGGTAGCAAGTTTACTACAGTGGGCTGCATCTATCCTGGAAGGGCCAGCAGTTCATCCTCACAGGGCTAGATACCTATTCTGGGTATGGGTTTACTTTTCCTGCCTGTAGAACCTCACCCAGAACCTGGGAACTTATGAAATGCATGATCCACAACTATGGAATTCCACACAGCATGGCATTCAACTAGGAGACCCATGTTACAGCAAAGGAGTTATGGGAATGAGCCTATGACCATGGGATACATCGATCATATTGCATACTACACCATCCAGAAGTAGCTGACCTCACAGAAAACTAAAATGGCCTCCTAAAGGCACGGTCTCAGAGGCAACACTCAGAAGGTATGAATTAAGTCAGAGATCACCATATGATACTGTGTTCTCTACAGGAATAATAAAAGGTTCAGAAAGCAAGGAGTGGAAGCAGGAATGGCCCTACTAAGCATCACTACCAATGACCCACTGCAGAATCTTGTGTTTCTGGTCCCTTAAACTCTAAGTTTTATAGTGTTAGAGGTCCTAGTTCCCAAAGGGAGTGCACTCTTACCAAGGGACACAACAGGATACCACTCAACTACAAACTATTACTGACAACTGGACACCTGGGCTTCTTGTGACCAGCAGCCAAGAAGAGGGCTCACCATCCTATCAGGCGTAATTGACACTAATCATCAGGAGAAGGTATGGATAATATTTCACAATGAGAATAGAGAGGAGTAAGTGTGGAGTTCAGATGACCCACCTGGGTGCCTCCTGGTACTCCCCTAACCCATTGTAACTATGAATAAACATATGCAGCAAATCCAGTCTGAGAAGGGTATGGTTACCAGGGACTCTGATCTTTTAGTAATGAGGGTTTGAGTCAGACACCAGACAAGCCACCAACACCTGCCAAGTTGGTAGCTGAGAGTGAGAGGAATTTAGAATGGATAGTGGAAGAGGGAGGCAATGAGTACCAGTTGAAGCCCAAGACCAGCTGAGGTAGGGTTGGAGAGCTGTACTTTATCCCACTAACCCTTCTCTTCTAAGAAAGGCTCACAAGAGACCTGAATGAACTTCTCCATGAACATGTATGGAGAAGCGGAGCAGCATGATACAAGGGGTGGACTGCGGCAGACCTACAGATGTGTCACTCAGATCCCTCTTCAAGAAAGGACTCACTTCACAGCTGTAAGGAGAGTAATTATTTCATAGCCACCTAGCTGTTAGCACCTTCAGGATTGGCTTCAGTTCTTGGGCCAAGGTCATGCTCTTCTTGGAGCAGCCCCTAGTCAATGACTGAAAAAGGCTGTGGTGCACAGATCTAGCCATTTCTGTCCAGTGCAGATGCTTCCAATGGGAATCTGTTTCAGAATTCCCCACTGGACTGACAGAAACTTTCTCAGGTGTGCATTGAGACTGATGGTGCCTCCTGCCCAATCCTGCTTCCTTTTCAATCACAGGCGTCACTCTCTAACAAATCTCAGTGACTACTTCCCAGAAAACCCATCCTTCCTGCAACAGTCCGTTTTAAAATAACGTGCTCCATCTTTAGGAATTGTGCCCCTTGCCCCTACTCCAAATACTGGGGAAACTATGTGGCTTAAGTCACCTTGTAGTAGCAGAGGGTAAACAAGACTGCCAAGAGTAAAAGTGTTCCTTTTACTCTTCACTTTGCCTTTGACAAATATCCTGGTGAAACGCCAGGCTTCTCTAAAATGGCTCAGGCATTGAGGGTCCTACCATGGGCCTTCCTTTACTTCCAACTCCTGCCCCATACCTGACCCTCATCAGGGACCATGCCTTAATACTGGTCACTTTATTGTGGAAATAAAAAGCCCTAAAATCATCTGAGAGAAACAGTTTGCAAGTCTTAATGTGGCTTTCCTCTCTTCTATTTTCTCTGGTGGGATTACTTACAGGCATAAATATGAAAAATACATATCACATGCGATGATTCACAATTATTAAAATTAAATAAGAGGAAATCTTTGGCATTCACATTCATTTTCTTATTCGGAAGAGACATCCCATTCTACTGATTGCAATATAAATAAGTTTGGAATAATGATTGTGATATTCCATTAAACTAATGGATTCAATCTCATAAGTCATTTTTATGGATAAAATTTAACATACTGTATTAATTCCAAACAGAATACATGTGCAGTTTGTTACAGGAAACTAGATTACTACATGTAATGTCAACAGTCATTACTTCCTGGTGTTATTTACCTGATCCCAATTTCCTAGCTAATACCACTGTGTGTGTAATGAATAATGCACTGTGGAAATGTACACTGTGCAAAAACACACTATATATAGTACAGTTATTAGCGTGGACATCACCTAATAAAATAGTTTGCATTTCTTCCCTGCCTCCCACCCGCTTCCCACTATTTTTAATGTAATATATACCCGGAAGAAACACTTCAGAGGTGGGGAAGGACGTCCAAAGTGAGCAACTTTTTATAACTATTTATTTACTATTAAGATGTAAATGAGCAGACAAGTAATAACCACCCAGATCAAGCAAGAAATGGAAAGCTTTCAACACCCCCAGAAAGCTCTCTTGTGCCCCCTCACCATCTATACCTAGGAAGTAGCCACTATTTTAATTTGTATCACCACAGATTCGTTTCAAAGTGAGCAACTTTTAAAAACTGTAAATTCGGTGCTTAAAAATCTCCTAAAGCAAAGATTGAAGTTATTTGTCACTATTGCAAAAACAGGAAAAGTCCAGCACTCAGCAGTGAGGCTTAACAACAATAACTTTCAGTTTTTCAGGTGGCTGACTGGCTAGTTAAAAATTATCCAAACCTGGTGTTCGCAGGCGCCGCCGCGCCGCCGTCGCTCTCCAACGCCAGCGCCGCCTCTCGCTCGCCGAGCTCCAGCCGAAGGAGAAGGGGGGTAAGTAAGGAGGTCTCTGTACCACGGCTCCTACAAAGCGGACTGCCCGCAAACCGACCAGTGGTAAGCACCCAGGAAGCAACTGGCTACAAAAGCCGCTCGCAAGAGTGCGCCCTCTACTGGAGGGGTGAAGAAACCTCATCGTTACAGGCCTGGTACTGTGGCGCTCCGTGAAATTAGACGTTCAGAAGTCCACTGAACTTCTGATTCGCAAACTTCCCTTCCAGCGTCTGGTGCGAGAAATTGCTCAGGACTTTAAAACAGATCTGCGCTTCCAGAGCGCAGCTATCGGTGCTTTGCAGGAGGCAAGTGAGGCCTATCTGGTTGGCCTTTTTGAAGACACCAACCTGTGTGCTATCCATGCCAAACGTGTAACAATTACGCCAAAAGACATCCAGCTAGCACGCCGCATACGTGGAGAACGTGCTTAAGAATCCACTATGATGGGAAACATTTCATTCTCAAAAAAAAAAAAAAATATCTTCTTCCTGTCATTGGTAGTACTGAACGTTAGATATTTTTTTCCATGGGGTCAAAAGGTACCTAAGTATATGATTGCGAGTGGAAAAATAGGGGATAGAAATCAGGTATTGGCTGTTTTTCCATTTTCATTTGTGTGTGAATTTTTAATATAAATGCGGAGACATAAAGCATTAATGCAAGTTAAAATGTTTCGGTGAACAAGTTTCAGCGGTTCAACTTTATAATAATTATAAATAAACCTGTTAAATTTTTCTGGACAATGCCAGCA
The DNA here is from genome assembly GCF_000001405.40 of Homo sapiens. Classification (NCBI taxonomy): domain Eukaryota; kingdom Metazoa; phylum Chordata; class Mammalia; order Primates; family Hominidae; genus Homo; species Homo sapiens. The sequence continues at coordinate 123,515,198 of NC_000023.11, forward strand.
TTTGGATTTTTTTAAAACAAGTAAATTTCTTATTGACGGCACAAAAAAAAATTATCCAAATCTCCAACCTTACTTCTCCCTTTAGAGTGTTTAAATCAGTAATCAGTTCCTTCGCTTTTTTTTTTTTTTTTAATCTCTGCCCTTCCTCACCCCTCCATTCTGCCTCTCTGGTCACCACTTCCTACACCAAGTGGAGTTCTGGCTTTTGAGAGTTAATCGTACACATCTCTTCTGAACTCCATATTCAGTGATGTTCAATTGGTAGCTTAAAATTGGTAGCCATGGTGGAAGTATTTACACAACAGAAAAAACTGCAAATGCTATACCTCTGGGCCCCGCTGCCCCCAGTGATGATTGCTAAATGTTTATCAGGACACCACCAGGCCACTATAATACACACACACAGACACACACACACACAATACATTCAAATTATGCCAAATGCCTCAAAGAGCTTTGGGGATTAAAAATGCTATCCAGTCACACAAAGCAAAACCAATCACAGAAGATTAGTAGGAGCAAGTTTCAACTCAGCCAGTCTTTTCAGATTCATACTAGCTTGCCACTGGTGGTGGTTTGGTTTTGCATCAAATGTCACTTTGTGAATTGGTTCTACAATATGTAAATGCATAGTAATTTCCTAATTGAGGTAAACTATTGCTAACCTCACCTGAAATATTTGCAATAGACTTAGAGACACAATAATATATTGCAGAAATAGTTGAAAATTCACTGTGTGAAACAGAATTTTAATAACTTGTCTCTGTATTACAATCTCTATCTGTTATTTATGGCTTCAGGCATATAATACTTTGTCTCCGAACCAGACAGTAAGTCCATTGGGATCAAAAATAGTGACTTCTTCTTACTTTAAATTCTTCACAGTGCCTAGCATAGTATTAGGTTTCAAGCAGATGGCAGGTAGCAATGTATTAAATTCACTGTTTCCTCTCCTATTTCCTTCTCTATTCCATCCCCCTAATCAGTTACCCTATACTTTCTTAGTTACTCCCTACCATCTCTCTAATCCACCCAGTCACACAAAACAAACCCTACCACAAAAATTAAGAAGAGTATTATAAATATTCTGTATTTCAGAAACAGAGTACGTTCATTTGACAAATATTTGAACACTAACACGAGGGGCATTGTTCTAAATATTGTAGGTACATGCAAAGATGATTTAGACACAGACTTTTACTCGAAGGAGATTCCAGGTGAAAAGAATAGATTATACACTGTCTTAGTTCATTTTCTGTTACTTATAACAGAATATACGAACTGGCTAATTTATAAAGAAAATGAATCTATTTCTTACAGTTATGGAGGCTGAGAAGTCCAACGTCAAGGGGATACATCCAGTAGCTTGTGGGGACTCTCTACAGGGTATCACATGGTAAGGGGGCTGAGTGTACTAGCTTGGGTCTCTCTTTTTAGTTTTATAAAGCCAATGGTCCCACTCCCATGATAACTCATTAATCCATTAACCCATTAATCAGTTAATCTATGAACAGATTAATCCATTCATAAGGGTGGAGCCCTCACAACTCTATCACTTCTTAAAAGCCCCACTTCTTAATACTACCACATTGGGGATTGAATTTCACCATGAGTTTTGGAGGAGACAAACATTCAAACCATAGCAGATACATATTTAAGAAACTCTGATACAAGTAGGAAAATAATCCAGATAAAATGCCATGGGAGTGTAAAGGAGGGAGAAACTACTTTCCACTAGGATAGTTTTTGGACATGCCGAGTTGGAAGTAGAGGTAGAGGAGTAAATAACCAAAGCAGGAAAGCACAGGAGCACACACCAGAAACAGCAGTTTGTCTGGAGTGTAGGATGTGGAAGGAGGAACAGCTTAAAATGAAGTTGGAAAGCGGAGGTCAGATTATATAGAATTATCAATATTTTACTAAAGAGTTTGAGCTTTACCTTTGGTCTTTGTGTTACTCAAAGTGCGCCAGATTATGTTGCAGTAAAATCCACAAAACCAATGACTTAAAACAACAATATTTATTTCTTAATCATGCTACATGTACATCATGAGTACTCTGGGGGCCCCTCTCCCTTGGATCCAGGCCAACAGAGCAGCCACCACCTGGAGCCAGAGGGACAAAGAATGGGGCAAATTGTACACGTGCTCTTAAAGCTTCTGCCCCAAGATATCACACATCACTTCTGCCCACTTTTCATTCACTATAACAAGTCACATCGTTACTAAAATATCAAAGGTTTGGTCTAGGTCCCATTGCTCATAGCATGGAAAACCAATCACTGAGATGAGTATTGCCAGGGAAGAAGGCTTTATTCAGGTGCTGCACCTGAGAAGATGGAAGATCAGTGTCAAATCCATTTCCCTGACCAACTAAAACTAGGGGTTTATATAGCAGGAAAGAAATATGACCATGTGTGGGAAAACAGGAATTAGAGAGGGGATAAAGAAGAGGAGTTGGTCAACAGGAAGCAGGTGGTTGGTTAGGCAATAATGATGGGTGAGGGATCTGGCATCTTATTGTCCAGATGTGGTGATCTGATAAATTTCAGTTTCTTGATACCATCTGAGGGGCCTGATGGTTGGTTTCCTGAGAAAGGAACTCAGATAAAACAAATGTAATTTTCTCAAGTTTTAAGACTGGGAGGGTTAATTTCTACATGTATTCAAAAGAAACCATAAACATCAGTTCTAAGGGACAATTATGCCAGTTTCAACATGACCACACCTAACTTCAAGGGAGTGGGGAACTGCAATCTTACCATGTGCCTAGTGGAGTGGAGAGCAAGCCAGACATATTTAATAGCACTAATGACTACCAGAGTCTTTAAGAAGGGGTTGGATATGGTCATATATAGATTTCAGAAAGATCACTTTAGCAGTGCATATTGGAAGGACGTGAGGGATGCTAACCTGGAGGAAGAAAACCTAGTCAAAAGGCTGGTGTAGTATTCCAGGGGCAAGATGATGGTGGTCTCCTCTAGAGCAAGGTGGAAGAATTAAAGAAAAAGGAACACATGCATGAGATATTCAATGAGATACTAAGGAGAATCAACAGGACTAAGCCAACGGGCCATGAAAGTAGGAATGGGGTAAATAGAACTGCTGCTGTTAGAAATGTCTGTTGGGCAGAGATTGTGGTGGTGCCCAGGGCTGTTGAGGTGTGACTGGTGGTGGAGCAAGGCTGGCAAGTATGGTTGATGGTTTTTCACTATTGGTGGTGAGCTGTGAATAGTGGCTGGTGGGTGTGGGTGGTAAAATTCAGTATAACTGAAGCATATATGAGGTGGGGAGTAGTAGGAATTTAGAATGGATGGGAAGGTAGCCAAGAGCCAAATAGGAAAGTCTTTGACTACCATGGTATGTGGTTTGGATTTTATCATAAAGACAAAAGAACCACCTAATTATTTTAAACATATCATCCTGATGATGCTTCAAGTACATGGCAGTTATAAAATGAGAAAATCATGTGGTAAAGTAAGGCCAAGGATAGCTGGCCAACCAGTATATGCATGAATCTGACAGAGTTCGAGAGCAGAGGGGTGGGCTGTGTAATGTAGACTGCATTGCCATAATTCATATCTATCTGACATTTGATAACTGTCTAGACAAAGGTTAATTGGAATGCTTCTTGTTTTCACAAACAGGATTTTAATTTTCCATTTTTATTTTATACTCATTTTTCCAATTCATTTCCACTTTTGAGCATGCCCACAGGGACACCAAGTTTAGAGCAGGCTCTACTTGCCAGAAACTTCCTTCATGTATTAACTTCAAAATCTGGCCTTAGTGGAAAAACTGAGTTCAGAGAAATGACGAACGATTTGGTGACTGCTATGAAAGAAGTCTGAGAAGTTAGCACATGTTTGGCAGAATGGACTGAAACTCTGCAGAGTGAAAATCTCAGACCTGAAGTTGTCTTCATGAGGAATTTAAATGCTACCATCATCTCCAATATTTATGTTAATGCAGGCTTCATTGCACTTGAAAGTTCAGAAATTTGAGCATCAAAATGCAAAGATACCATAGACATGAAATAAAAATAGTCACAAGGATATTTATATCTAATAAAGTTCAACAACCAAGTTATCGACACATGGCAATCCACATATTGCAGAAATTGAAGCAAAATGAAACAGGTAAGAAGCTGCTAACTCACTACATTAACAATTTTAGAGCCCTTTATAGAAAAAAAATACTTAAAATCTACTACTGAAAGCTAAATATTGGAAAATAAATCAGAAGATATTCTATGTGGAGTTCTTAATGTAGTCTAAGAGGATGGGGAGGAAAAAGACAGAAAAACATTCCAGTTAGTAAAGAACTATTGAACATAGGCAAGGCAGATACAGAGAAAAGGGAACAGACACACGAGACATTTAAACTGACCCACAAACACAGCACTACCAATTTGTGAGTGCTTGATGCGGGCCAGGCACCATATTATGTAATTTGCATACATTATTTCATTAATCCTTTCAGCTTCCTTTGAAGTAGGAACTTACATCAGATATTGTCTATGGGTACTTGAGTCCACACCTGACTTTCTATCTGTAATCTTCCCTGTATTGCCCAGGTTGGGAGCCAGAAAACCTACATTTCCAAGACTCTCTTGCCAGCTAGATTTTGGCTAGCTTTTGCCAATGGAAGGCTCTCTCACGAGGTAATTAAGTAGGAGAGGAGAGAGAAACTATTCTGCATCTGGCTTTGGCAGTGGAAGCACCCCGTGACTGCAGGTAATTACGGGCTCCAGCAGCATCAGTGGAGTTCTAGGAGCCCCAGCAGCACTGTCAGCAGCAAGTGCATGCTCACAGACTCTAGGCCAGGGGTGTCCAATCTTTTGGCTTCCCTGAGCCACATTGGAAAAAGAAAAAGTGTCTTGGGCCACACATAAAACACACATTAATAATAGCTAACGAGCTAAAAAAAAATCACAAAAATTTCATAATGTTTTAAGAAAGTTTACGAATTTGTCTTGGGCTGTATTCAAAGCCATCCTGGGACATATGTGGCCCATGGGCCGTGGGTTGGACCAGCTTGCTCTAGGGATATTAATTTTCCACATTTTTGCTCCTCCATCCTTAGAGAGCTGTGGTTTTCTATAGTTACTGACATCTAGGTTATACCACCCTCTGCCTTTTGCACCTCCAGCCTTTCCAACACTTTTGTAATCAATTTCCTATATTAAATCTCCATCTGTTTGAAGCACCTAGAGAGATTTCTGGCTTTTCCATTGGCAACACATCATATCATTTAACCTTTTCAAGAACGCTTTAGGCACTATTATCCTTATTTCAGACATAATCCAAATATCACCTGGCCTAAACAATCTTTTAGATACAAATGAATTCATATTAACATCTATTATCCAGAATTTCTTTTTACATATCTTCCTTCCCTCTTCCTTGAACCCCTAGAATGTCTACTACCCCTCTGAAAAGCTCCCCCCAGTATTTTGGGGAATTTTTAAAGGGAAGTATTATATGTCTTTCAAATTATTTAAGGCACTAAATTGCATGTGACAGAGACCTGCCTCAAATTAGCTGAAGCAAAAAAAGTAATCTGATTGGCCCACATGACTAGGAAGTATTTTGAGTTAGACCAGAGAATTGAAGGAAGAATGCAGAACCAGGGCCCTGGCTGAAACTTAATGCCATCAGAAATTTCTCTGTCTTCATTCTTCTCTTATGTCTGCCGTTTTCTAATTGGCTTCACTCTTTCCTATTACAGATTGTCCTTATCTACATGGAAGGGAAGAGAGCCACTGGCAGCTCCAACATCACACCCTTAGAGTATGGCCATAGAGGGTGACCCAAGAGGCTAGATGACATTTCCTCCATCTGCAAGTGAAGAATTTAGGGCAAGGATTCTGATTAGCCATTTTAGAGCATGTACTCATGTCAGTTTTATTTTGTGTTGCTATTTTTGTTTTGTTTTGTTTTTTTCTTTATTTTATTTTATTATTATTAGACTTTAAGTTTTAGGGTACATGTGCACAATGTGCAGGTTAGTTACATATGTATACATGTGCCATGCTGGTGTGCTGCACCCATTAACTCGTCATTTAGCATTAGGTATATCTCCTAAAGCTATCCCTCCCCCCTCCCCCCACCCCACAACAGTCCCCAGAGTGTGATGTTCCCCTTCCTGTGTCCATGTGTTCTCATTGTTCAATTCCCACCTATGAGTGAGAATATGCGGTGTTTGGTTTTTTGTTCTTGCTATAGTTTACTGAGAATGATGATTTCCAATTTCATCCATGTCCCTACAAAGGACATGAACTCATCATTTTTTATGGCTGCATAGTATTCCATGGTGTATATGTGCCACATTTTCTTAATCCAGTCTATCATTGTTGGACATTTGGGTTGGTTCCAAGTCTTTGCTATTGTGAGTAGTGCCGCAATAAACATACATGTTCATGTGTCTTTATAGTGGCATGATTTATAGTCCTTTGGGTATATACCCAGTAATGGGATGGCTGGGTCAAACGGTATTTCTAGTTCTAGATCCCTGAGGAATTGCCACACTGACTTCCACAATGGTTGAACTAGTTTACAGTCCCACCAACAGTGTAAAAGTGTTCCTATTTCTCCACATCCTCTCCAGCACCTGTTGTTTCCTGACTTTTTAATGATTGCCATTCTAACTGGTGTGAGATGGTATCTCATTGTGGTGTTGATTTGCATTTCTCTGATGGCCAGTGATGGTGAGCATTTTTTCATGTGTTTTTTGGCTGCATAAATGTCAGGCATTACCATTCAGGACATAGGCATGGGCAAGGACTTCATGTCTAAAACACCAAAAGCAATGGCAACAAAAGCCAAAATTGACAAATGGGATCTAATTAAACTGAAGAGCTTCTGCACAGCAAAAGAAACTACCATCAGAGTGAAAAGGCAACCTACAAAATGGGAGAAAATTTTCGCAACCTACTCATCTGACAAAGGGCTAATATCCAGAATCTACAATGAACTCAAACACATTTACAAGAAAAAAACAAACAACCCCATCAAAAAGTGGGCAAAGGACATGAACAGACACTTCTCAAAAGAAGACATTTGTTTTGTTTTTTTCTTGGAAGGGAGAGAAAGGCACAGCATGACACCTGAATAAGGAGAATGAAAAAAAACTGTTAGGTGAACAGAAACAAAAACAACCACAGACCACTATAGTTGTCATCCCCACCCACCCATATCCCCTTCCAATGCTGCTCTGACTTGCAACTGTCAATGCCCAACTGCCTGAAAAGCCAGTGTACTTTCCAACTTTTGTTAAACCTCAGGAAGGCTAAAAGGTGCATGAGAACAACTGGGGGCCTCACAACCATGTGAGTTTTTTCATTAGGTCATCAGTGTCCTTTCTCCCTAGATGTAATCTACATCAGGGCAGGGATTTTTTTTTGTCTATTTTCTTTTTTATTATTATTAACGTTGGTTATTTATTTATGGACCTACTCATTTTAGCATGGTAAAATGTACTCAAAATAAAATTTACTATTTTTTCTTCAACTTTTAAGTTCCAGGGTACATGTGCAGGATGCGCAGGTTTGTTACATAGGTAAATGTGTGCCATGCTGGTTTGCTGCACAGATCAACCCATCACCTAGGTATTAAGCCCAGCATCCATTATTCTTCATGTTGCTCTCTCCCTCCACCCCCCACCAATGACAGGCTCCAGTGTGTATTGTTCCCCTCGAAGTGTCCATGTGTTCTCATCGTTCAGCTCCCAGTTATAAGAGAGAACATTTGGTGTTTGGTTTTCTGTTTCTACGTGAGTTTGCTGAGGATAACGGCTTCCAGCTTCATCCCTGTCCCTGCAAAGGACATGATCTTGTTCCTTTCAGTGACATTAAGTACATTCACATTGCTATTCAACCATCGTCACCATAAATCTATTTTCAGAACTTTTTCATCTTCCCCAGCTGAAACTCTACGCCCATTAAACTATAATTATCCATTTCCCTCTCCCCTAGTCCTTGGGAACCACCATTCTACTTTCTGTCTCTATGAATATGACTATTATAGGTACCTCATATAAGTAGAATCATATAGTATTTGTACTTTTGTGGTTGGCTTACTTCACTTAGCATAATATCTTCAAGGTCTACCCACATTGTAGGATGTGACAGAACTTCCATCTTTTTTAAGGCTGAATAATATTCCACTATAAGTTGATGCCAAGTTATGTTTATACATCCATTCATCAATGAACATTTGGGTTGTTTCTGTATCTTGGCTATTGTGAATAATGGTGCTATTAACATGGCTTTAAAAATACCAGTTCAAGTCCCTGCTTTCATTTATTTGGGGTATATACCCAGAAGTGGTATTGCTAGACCACATGGTAATTCTGTATTTAATTTTTTGAGGAACTGCCATACCGTTTTGCACAGTGGCTACACTATTTTACACTCCCACCAGCAATGAAGAAGGGTTCCAGTTTTTCCACGTCCTCATCAATATTTGTTATTTTGGTTTTTTTTTTCATAATAGACACCCTAGTTGGTATGAAGTAGTATCTTATTGTGGTTTTGATCTGCATTTCGCTAATGATTAGTGATGCTGATTATCTTTTAATGTGCTGATTAGCCGTTGATACATCTTCTTTGGAGATATGTCTGCTTGACTCTTTTCCCATTTTTTAACCAGGTTGTTGTTTATTGTTATTGTTGTTGTTGAATTGTATGATTTCTTTATATATTTGGAATATCAATCCCTAATCAGATATATGATTTGAAAATATTTTCTCACATTCCATAGGTTGCCTTTTCACTCTGTTGATAGCATCTTTTGATGCAGAAACCTTTTTTATTTTGATGAGGTTCAATTTATCTATTTTCTCTTTTGTTGTCTGTGTTTTTCATGTCATATCCAACAAATCATTACCAAATCTAATATGAGGCTTTTTCCTATGTTTTCTTCTAAAAGTTTATAGTTTTAGCTCTTATGTTTAAGTCTTCAATCCATTTTGAGTTAATTTCTGTATATGGTATAATGTAAGGATTCAATTCATTTTCTTGGATGTGGATATCCAGTTTTCCCAACACTATTTGTCAAAAAGACTGTACTTTCCCCATTGAATGATCTTGGTACTCTTGTCAAAACTAACTTGGCCATATATGTAAAAATTTATTTCTGATCTCTATGTTTCTACTCTATTGTTCTAAATGTCTGTCTTTATGCCAGTATCATACTGGTTTGATTACCATAGCATAATGTACTGTAAGTTTTGAAATTAGAAAGTATGAGACCTCCAACTTTGCTCGTCTTTTCAGAGATTTTCTTGGCTATTTAATGCCTCTTAAAATTACACAAGAATTTTACAATGGATTTTTCTATTTCTGCAAAAAGAAGAAAACACCCATGGGTGAACAAGATACCTTGGCACATGCCTGTTGTCTCAGCTACTGGGGAGACTGAGGTGGAAGGATCACTTGAGCCCAGGAGTTTGAGACCCCTGGACAACATAGCAAGACTCTGTCTCTAAAAAAATTAAAAATGACACCATTGGGATTTTGATAGGGATTGCATTGAATCTGTAGATAACTTTGGGTAGAACTGACATCTTAGCAATATTACCTCTTCCAACCTAGGAACACAGGACATATTTTCATTTATTAGTGTCTTCTTTGATTTCTTTCAGCAGCAATTTGTAGTTTTCAGTGTACAAGTCTTTCATCGCCTTGGTTAAGTTTATTTCTAAGTATTCTATTCTTTTTGATGCTATTGTAAATGACACTGTTTTCCTAATTTCCTTTTAAGTTAAAACTGATTTTGAAATTAAAGCTAATTTTGTACACTGATGTTATAGCTTGCAGCTTTGCTAAATTAGTGTATCTCTTCTTAACACCTAGATTCCTAATGTCTATCGCCTGTAACATAGTGGGTACTCAATAACTGTCTATTGAGTAAACAAAGAAGTCTCTTGAAAGAGCCTCCCTCTTGCTGCTGCTAATGGTGCTTCTCATGAGAATGTTCATTCCAATGATGTTATTTCACTAATGAGAAAAGCCTTCTCCCAGATATTGTAATACTCTTTGTTATCGGAGCCCTACAGTAGTATTACTCATTTCTAGAGTCCATAGAGCCTCTCAGCCAGGATTCAAATGCAGCTGGTATGCACCAGTACCTGTGTCTGTTATTTAACAACATGCCTATTGTTAAAACATTGAAATACTTCCATACCTATTGATAAATAATGACTTCTTTCCGTATCTCAAGTGGCCCCACTACTAGATTTATCATGTGGTAAATTGTTTCAGTAATGATGTGACTGATGAATCACACTTGTCTATGTTCTCTCTCTTATGTGGTTCCCTCCCACATTGACTCTGGGCTTGGCCATGTGACTTGCTTTCACTAATGGGACATCAGCAAATGTGATGTGAGCAGAGGCTTGAAATGGTTTGTGTATTGGAGTTATTCATGGGAAACTAGCCACCATGTGAAGCAGCCCAGGCTATTCTACATAAGCTATATGGCCCAGACAACAGACAGAAACCAACTATAAGACATGTGAGTGAGATCATTTTTGACCACCCAGTCCCAGTAAAGCTAATAGCTGACTGCAGCCACATACATGACCCCTGCAAAATAACTGCTCAGCCCAAATCACTCAGACCCATAGATTTGTGAGCAAATAAAATAATTACGGCTTTAAACCACTAAGTATTGGAGCGGTTGCTTATGAAACCAAGCTAACTATAAATGGACAAAACTACTCCCTCAGGCTCCAAAGATGTGAAATAACAGGAAGCTCACAGCATGCAAATGCTGGTTACTCCATACCTGAGAGAATAGCGTTCACTTTTAGGAAAAATATACAGAAACAGCTCCCAACTAATTGAAAATATATTCTGCCTATTTGAAAAATTTCAATCAACTACTAATACCACCTGGTACTAACCAGGTGGTAGATTTTTTTCCCCTTGAAAGAGATGAGAAGTTATCTTCAAAGACTTTCACTTTATGATTTATTGCTTCAATCTCCTTTAGAAGACAAAAAAATATTTAATTCTAACAGGAGCTTAATTCTTTTTGCAGTTTCACCTCCTATCTTCTCAATTATAAAGAGAAGTAAATCTTACTTGCTAAAGAATTACATCTCTAAGGTCACCGTTTAAACTTCCAGCTAAAATAATTTGCCCTCTACTTCTTTCATGTTTAAAGGGTGCACATTTCTGTGTCTTCAAGGGGGTGACACAGCTAATGTTTCTTAAATCCACAATTCTGCTTTCATGAAATCAACAAAGGTCTTCTGTGACTTTCTATGAAGACAAAAGATTCAATTTCTAGCCACCTAAAGAAAGGATAGCTTTTCTGTGCCAGAGAGATTCAGAATTCCTTGAATCAAGTGTCATGATGTCTGGCAACTTTTCAACAACCTTGCTTTTCTTTGCTCAAGAAAATCTAAAGCTCTAATAGACCAGTCAAGTGAAATTTCCCATAGAATACAATCTTTAGAGACCATAGAATCAAGTTAGAATGACAAAAATGTGACTTTTCTCTTCTATGTCTAGGATCTTTTATCAGAATTGAAACCGGTTTTGCTTCACCATTATTTTTCAACAAAACAACGTGTCATACTCTCAGGTTTATTATTTATTTTGCCTGGGATCATTAACTCAATTGGCTTGTGCTTATTGTTAATGAGGCTGTGATCTTCATGTACTCAGTCCCACTATGGGCCAGTTGGCTTTCCATAGAAATGGATTGCACCCTTGGCTTCAGTGCCAATCTCACCCCGACCTCAGCCAGATCACCTTGCACTCAAGAAGGACAAGTCATATTACAGCTACATATGTGTGAACATTCCTATCATGAGAACAATTCAATCTTTGTTTAGGGGTGTAATGAGGTTTGCCATCACTTGAACAAGATTTAACTGGAAAAAAAAGGTTCTAACTTGAATTTGGGGCTCTGGTATGAGTCCACATAGAGCACATTTACGGTGTTTTAGAGCAATGATGAGCTGCTATAACAAACAATACTAAAAATACAATGATTTTATTTTCCTTGTAATAAACATTTTTAAAAACCACTTTGTTGAGGTATAATTGGCATGTAAAAAACTGTACTTATTTAATGTATACAACTCGATAAGTTTGGAGATAAGTATACACCTGTGAAACCACCACGACCATCAAGGCCATATTCCTATCCATTATCTCATGAAGTTTCCTCCTGCCCCTTTATCGTGTGTGTGTGTGTGAGAATGTGTGTGTAGGAACGCTTAATATCTACTCTCAAAAAATTTTAAGTATACAATATTGTTAGCTATAGGCACTATGTGTATAGTAGATCTTGGGAACTATTTATCTTGCGTAACTAAAATTTTGTACCCTTTGGTCATCATCTCCCAGTTTCCCTCTATGCCAGCCCCTGACAACCACCATTCTACTCTCTGCTTCTGTGAGTTTGAATAATATATATTCCACATATAAATGAGATCATACAGTATTTGTCTCTGTGTTTGGCTTATTTCACTTAGCATGATGTCCTACAGGTCCATCTATGTTGTCTCAGATGGCAGGATTTCCTTTCTTTCTAAGGCTGCAGAGTATCACATTTTCTCTATCCATTCATCCATCAATGGATACCATATCTTGGCTATTGTGAAAAATGCTGACATTAACATGAGAGTGCAGGTACTGCTTTGAGATCCAGATTTCCATTCCTTTGGATAAATACCCAAAAGTAGGATTGCTGAATCATACGGCAGTACTATTTTTAATTTTTTGAGGAACCTCCATACTGTTTTCCATAATGGCTGTACCAATTAACATTCCTGCCAACAGTTTACCAGAGTTCCCTTTTCTCTACATCTTCACCAACACTTTTTTTTTTTTGTAATAAGAGCCATTCTAACAGGTATAAGGTGATATTTTATTATGGTTTTTATTTACATTTTCCTAATGATTAGTGATGTTGAGCATCTATTCATATGCCTGTGGCCATGTGCATGTCTTCTTTGGAGGAATGTCCATTCAGGTCATTTGGCCATTTTTATTATAAATTGACAGTTATAGTTGTATATATTTATGATATATAAAGTGATGTTTATAAATGAAATGTGGAATCAAATTAATTAACTCTCCATTGCCTTAAATACTTACCTTTTTTGTGACCAGAACATTTGAAATTTACCCTTGTAGAGATTTTAAAATGTGTAATACACTATTATTAACTATACTCACCATTCTGTGCAATAGATAACAATAAAAAATTTTATTCCTTCTGTCTAACTGAAGCTTTGTACCCTTTAACTATCACTCTCCTTTTCCCCACCCTCTAGCCTCTGGTAACCACCATTCTACTCTCTGCATCTATGAGTTTAATTGTTTTAGATTCCACATATAAGTGAGAACATGCAGTATGTGTCTTCCTGTGCCTGGTTTATTTCACTTAGCATAATTCTCTCTAATTCCATCCATGTTGTTGAAAATGACAGAATTTTTTTCTTTTTAAGGCTGAATAGTATTTCATTGTACATATATATCCCAAGTTTTCCTTTCCAATTCATCTGTTCATGGAAACTTAGGTTGATTCTATAACTTGGCTATTGTAAATAATGCTGCAATGAATATGGGAGTACAGATATCTTTTTGACATACTGATTCCAATTCCCTTGAATATATACACAGTACTGGGATTGCTGGATCATATGGTAGTTCTACTTTTAGTTTCTTCTTAGCAACCTTCATATGGCTTTCAATAATATCTATACTAATTTACATTACCACTAACAGTGAACAAGGGTTCCCTTTTCTCAGCATCCTCACTGACACTCGTTTAGCTTTCAGTCTTTTTTTTCTATAACTTTTATTTTAAGTTCCCAGGTACATGTGCAGGATGTGCAGGTTTGTTACATAGGTAAATGTGTGTCATGGTGGTTTGCTGCACAGATCAGCCCATCACCTATGTATTAAGCTCAGCATCGATTAGCTGTTCTTCCTGATGCTTTCTCACCCCCCAACCCCCATGACAGGCCCCAGTGTGTGTTGTTCCCTGCAATGTGTCCACGTATTCTCATCGTTCAGCCCCCGCATTTAAGTGAGAACATGCAGTGTTTGGTTTTCTGTTCCTGAGTTAGTTTGCTGAGGATAATGGCTTCCAGCTCTATCTATGTCCCTGCAAGGGACATGATCCCCATCCTTTTAATGGCTGCATAGTATTCCATGATACATATGTACCACGCTTTCTTTATCCAGTCTATCATTGATGGGCACTTAGGTTGATTCCATATCTTTGCAATTGTGAATAGTGCTGCAATGAACAGTCACGTGCATGTGTCTTTATAATGGAATGATTTATATTCCTTTGGGTATATACCCAGTAATGAGATTGCTGGGTCAGGTGGTGTTTCTGCCTCTATATCTTTGAGGAATAACCACACTGTTTTTCACAATGGTTAAACTAATTTACACTCCCACCAACAGTGTAAAAGTGTTCTTTTGTCTCCACAGCCTTGTCAGCATCTATTATTTCTTGCCTTTATTATGAATAATAATTGTCATTCTGACTGCCATGAGATGGTATCTCATTGTGGTTTTGATTTGCATTTCTCTAATGATCAGAGATGTTGAATTTTTATTCAAATATTTCTTGGCTGCATGAATGTCTTCTTTTGAGAAGTGTCAGTTCCTGTCCTTTGCCCACTTTTTAATTGAGTTGTTTTTTTCTTGTAAATTTGTTTAAGTTCCTTGTAGACTCTGGATATTAGACCTTTGTCAGATGCACAGTTTGCAAAAATGTTCTCCCATTCTTTAGGTTGTCTGTTTACTCTGTTGATAGTTTCTTTTGCTGTGCAGAAGCTCTTTAGTTTAATTAGATCCCATTTGTCAATTCTTGCTTTTGCTGCAATTGCTTTTGGTGTTTTCATCATGAAATCTTTGCCCGTGCCTATATCCTGAATGGTATTGCCAAGATTTTCTTATAGGGTTTTTATAGTTTTGGGTTTTACATTTAAGTCGTTAATCCATCTTGAGTTAATTTTTGTATAAGGTGTAAGGAAGGGGTCCAGTTTCAATTTTCTGCATATGGCTAGCCAGTTCTCCCACCATCATTTACTAAATAGGGAATCTTTTCCGCATTGCTTATCTTTATCAGGTTTGTCAAAGACCAGATGATTGTAGGTGTGTGGTCTTATTTCTGAGTTCTCTATTCTGTTCCATTGGTCT
Source organism: Homo sapiens (assembly GCF_000001405.40). NCBI lineage: Eukaryota > Metazoa > Chordata > Mammalia > Primates > Hominidae > Homo > Homo sapiens. The sequence continues at coordinate 123,530,378 of NC_000023.11, forward strand.
ATGTGTCTGTGTTTTTACCAGTACCATGGCATTTCGGTTACTGTAGCCTTGTGTAGTTTGAAGTTGGGTATCATGATGCCTCCAGCTTTGTTCTTTTTTGATTAGGATTGTCTTGGTTATCCAGGCTCTTTTTTTGGTTCCACATTAATTTTAACATAGCTTTTTCTAATTCTGTGAAGAATGTCAAGGGTAGTTTAATGGGATTAGCTCTGAATCTATAAATTACTTTGGGCAGTATGGCCATTTTCATGATACTGACTCTTCCTATCCATGAGCTGGAATGTTTTTCCATTTGTTTGTGTCCTCTCTGAATTCCTTGAGCAGTGGTTTGTAGTTCTCTTTGAAGAGGTCCTTTACTTCCCTTTGTAGCTGTATTCCTAGATATTTTATTCTCTTTGTAGCAACTGTGAATGGGAATTTATTCATGATTTGGCTCTCTGCTTGCCTCTTGTTGGTGTATAGAAATGCTAGCAATTTTTGCACACCGATTTTGTATCCTGAGACTTTGCTGAAGTTGTTTATCAGCCCAAGAAGCTTTTGGGCTGAGACAATGGGGTTTTCTAGATATGAGATCATGTCAGCTGCAAACAAAGATAATTTGACTTCCTCTTTTCCTATTTGAATACACTATATTTCTTTCTTTTGCCTGATTGCCCTGGCCAGAACTTCCAATCCTATGTTGAATAGGAGTGGTGAGAGAGGGCACACTTGTCTTGTGCCAGTTTTCAAGGGGAATGCTTTCAGCTTTTGTGCCTTTAGTATGATATTGGCTATAGGTTTGTCATAGATGGCTTTTTTATTATTTTGAGGTATGTTCCTTCAATAGCTAATTTATTGAGAGTTTCTAACATGAAGGAATGTTGAATTCTATCAAAGGCCTTTTCTGTGTCCATTGAGCTAATCTTGTGTTTTTTGTCTTTAGTTCTGTTCATGTGATGAATTTCATTTATTAATTTGAATATGTTGGACCAACCATGCATCCTGGGGATGAAACCTACTTGATCATGGTGGATAAGCTTTTTGATGTGCTGCTGTATTCGGTTTGCCAGTATTTTGTTGAGGGTTTTTGCATCGATGTTTGTCAAGGATATTGGCCTGAAGTTTTCTCTGCCAGGTTTTGATATCAGGATGATGCTAGCCTCATAAAATAAGTTATGGAGGAGTCCCTCCTTTTCAATTGACTGGAATAGTTTCAGTAGAAATGATACCATCTCTTCTTTGTACCTCTGGTAGAATTCAGCTGTGAATCCGTCTGGTCCTGAGATTTTTTTGGTTGGTAGGTTATTTATTACTGCCTCAATTTCAGAACTCACTGTTGGTCTATTCAGGGATTCACTTTCTTACTGGTTCAGTCTTGGGAGGGTGTATGTGCCCAGGAATGTATCCACTTCTTCTAGGTTTTCTAGCTTATATGCATAGAGGTGTTTATAGTATTCACTGATGGTTTGTATGTCTGTGGAGTTAGTGGTGATATCTCCCTTATCATTTCTGATTGTGTCTATTTTATTCTTCTCTCTTTTCTTCTTTATTAATCTAGCTAGCAGTCTATCTATTTTATTTTATTTTTTCAAAAATAACAGCTCCTGGATTTGTTGATTTTTCAAAGGGTTTTTCATGTCTCTATCTCCTTTAGTTACTCTGATGTTGGTTATTTCTTTTCTTCTAGCTTCGGGGTTTGTTTGCTCTTGGTTCTATAGTCTTCTTTGTTCTGATGACTGGTTGTTAATTTGAGATCTTCTAGCTTTTTGATGTGGGCATTTACTGCTATAAATTTCCCTCTTAACACTGCTTTAGCTGCATCCCAGAGATTCTGGTACATTGTCTCTTATTTCTCCTTAGTTTCAAATAACTTCTTGATTTCGGCCTTAATTTCATTATTTACCCAAGTGTCATTCAGGAACAGGTTGTTTAATTTCCATGTAGTTGTGTGATTTTTAGTAAATTTCTTAGTCTTGAGCTGTAATTTGATTGTACTGTGGTATGAGAGACTGTTTGTTATGATTTCAGCTATTTTGCATTTGCTGAGGAGTGTTTTATTTCAGATTTTGTGATCAATTTTAGAGTAAGTGCCATGTAGCAATGAGAAGAATGTATATTCTGTTGTTTTTGCATGGAGAGTTCTGTAGATATCTATTAAGTTTACTTGATCCAGAGCTGAGTTCAGGTCCTGTATATCTTTGTTAATTTTTTTGTCTCAATAATCTGTCTAATATTGTCAGTGGGGTGTTATAATCTCCCAGGATTATCATGTGGGAGTCTAAGTCTCTTTGTAGGTCTCTAAAAACTTGCTTTATGAATCTGGGTACTCCTGTATTGGGTACATATATATTTAGGATAGTTAGCTCTTCTTGTCAAATTGAACTCTTTACCATTACGTAACGCCCTTCTTCTTTTTTGATCTTTGTTGTTTTAAAGTCTGTTTTGTCAGAAACTAGGATTGCAATCCCTGCTTTTTTCTGTTTTCCATTTCCTTGGTAAATTTCCCTCCATCTCTTTATTTTGTGTCGTGTGTGTCTTTGCACATGAGATGGGTCTCTTGAAGACAGCATGCTGATGGGTCTTGACTCTATCCAACTTGTCATTCTGTGCCTTTTAACTGGGGCATTTAGCCCATTTACATTTGATGTTAATATTGTTATGTGTAAATTTGATCCTGTCATGATGCTAGCTGGTTATTTTGCAGACTTGTTTATGTGGTTGCTTCATAGTGTCACCGGTCTGTGTACTTCAGTGTGTTTTTGTAGTGGCTAGTAATGGTTTTTCCTTTCCACATTTAGTGTTTCCTCAGCACCTCTTGCAAGGCAGGCCTAGTGGTGATCAATCCGTCAGCATTTGCTTGTCTGAAAAAGATCTTATTTCTCCTTCATATATGAAGCTTAGTTTGGCCAGATATGAAATTCTAGGTTGAAAATTCTTTTCTTTAAGAATGTTAGCTATTGGCCCCCAATCTCTTCCAACTTGTAGGGTTTCCGCTGAGGGGTCCACTGTTAGTCTGATAGGTTACCCTTTGTAGGTGACCTGGCCTTTCTCTCTGGCTGCCCTTAACCTTTTTTCTTTCATTTTGACCTTGGATTGAGCATTCTGCCAAGACTCCACAGCTCTATGTATTGGACCCAAGGCCCTGGTAGCATGGGCTCATGAGGGTATCTCCTGATTTGTAGGTTGCAAAGATCTGTGGGAGGAGCATGGTTTCCCGGGTGGGGTCGCACAGTCACTCACCACATCCCTTGGCTGGGGTTGGGGGTTCCTTTGGTTCTGTGCCAATCCCAGGTGGGCCATTGCCCCACCCTGCTTTTCTTCATTCTCTGTGGGTCAAGTTATCCACCTAGTCAGTCCCAATCCAAGAACCTGGATATTTCAGTTGAAAGTGCTGAATTCACTTGCCATTTTCATTCCTCTCCATGAGAGCCATGGACCGCAGCTGCTTCTAATCAGCCATCTTAGTCCCTCCCTCAATCTTTTTAATAATAGTCATTCTGACAGATGTGAGATAATATCTCATTGTGGTTTTCATTTGAATGTCCCTAATAATTAGTGATGTTGGGCATTTTTTCATGTGTCTGTTGGCCGTTTGTATGTCTTCTTTTGAAAAATATCTATTCAGGTCCTTTGCCCATTTTTTTAATTGAATTATTTGTTTTCTTTCTATAGAGTTGTTTGGGTGGCTTACATATTCTAGATATTAACCCCTTATCAGATGTATGACTTGCACATATTTTCTCCTGTATGTTTTCTTCTATTAATTATTAGGTTGATGCAAAATTAATTGCGGTTTTTGCCACTAAAAGTAATAGTTGTACAGTTTCAGGTCTTATGTTTAAGTCATTATCCATTTTGATTTTTGTATATAGTGTGAGATAAGGGTCCAATTTCATTCCTCTGTATACGAATATCAACTTTTCACAATACCATTTATTGAAGAGATTGCCCTTTCCCATTGTGCATTCTTGACACTTTTGTCAAAAGTCATGTGTGGGTTCATTTCTGGGCTCTCTATTCTGTTCCATTGGTCAATGTTCTATTTTTATGCCAGCCACATGCTCTTTTAATTACTTCAGCTTTGTAGTATAGACTGAAATCAGGTAGTGTGATACCTCCAGCTTTGTTCTTTTGAGTCAGGATTGCCTTTGCTATTCAGAGTTTCTTGTTGTTCCTTGTGAATTTTAGGATTGCTCTTTCTTTTTCTGTGAAAAATGTCACTGGAATTTCGACAGGGAGTGCATTGAATATGTAGATTGTTTGGGGTAGTATGAACATTTTAACAATATTAATTCTTCCAATCCATGAACATGAGATATATTTCCATTTATTTATGTCATCTTCAATTTATTTCATTAAATGTTTTATAATTTTCAGTGTACAGGTATTTTACCACATCGGTTAACTATTTTCCTAAGTATCATATTTTTTGCAGCTATCATAAATGGGATTGTTCTCTTTGTTTCTTTTTTGGAAAGCTTTTTGTTAGTCTTTGCCCATTTTTTTAATCAAGTTACTTGTTTGTTCACTAAACTGTAGTAGTTGCTTACGTATTTTGGATATTAGCCACTTATCAGATATATGGTTTGCAAATATTTTCTCCCATCCCATAAGTTGGCTTTTCATTTTATTGATTGTTTCCTTTGCCGTGCAGAAGATTTTTAGTTCGATGTAATCCCACTTGTTTATTTTTGCTTTTTTTTTTTTTGCTTGCGCTTTTGGTATCATATCCAAAAAAAATTATTGCAAAGATCAATGACAAGGAGGAATTTCTCTATGTTTTCTTCTATCAGTTTTATAATTTTAGGCTTTAAGTCCTTAAACTATTTTGAATTGATTTGTGTGTGTGGTATAAGATATAGGTTCAATTTCATTCTGTTGCATATGGATGATATCCAGTTTTCCCAACACCATTTGTCAAGAAGATTATCCTTTCCCCATTTTGTGCCTTTGTCAAAATTAGTTAACTGTATATACGTTTGTTTATTTCTGGGCTATCTATTCTGTTCCATTGTTCTATGTGCCTGTTTTTATGCCAACATCATACTGTTTTGATTACTATAGCTTTGTAATAGAATTTCATCAGGAAGCATGATGCCTCCAGCTTTGTTCTTGCTCAAGATTGCTTTGACTATTTGGAGTCTTTTGTGCTTCTATATAAATTTTAGGATTTTTCTGATTTCTTCACTTTTAGACTATGTGTGTCCTTAATGTCAACGTGTGTCCCTTGTAGGCAGTATGCAGTTGGATCTTGATTTTTTTTATCTATTTAGCCACTCTATGTAATGGAATACTATGCAGCCATAAAAAAGGATGAGTTCATGTCCTTTGTAGGGACATGGATGAAGCTGGAAACCATCATTCTCAGCAAACTATCGCAAGGACAGAAAACCAAACACTGCATGTTCTCACTCATAGGTGGGAATTGAACAATGAGAACACTTGGATACAGGGTGGGGAACATCCCACACCAGAGCCTGTTGTGGGTGGGGGAGGGAGGAGGGATAGCATTAGGAGATAAACCTAATGTAAATGACGAGTTAATGGGTGCAGCACAGCAACATGGCACATGTATACATTTGTAACAAACCTGCATGTTGTGCACATGTACCCTAGAACTTAAAGTATAATAAAAAAATATATTCCATGTAAATGGTGACTAAAAGAGAGCAGGGGTGGCTATACTAATATCAAATAAAATAGACTATGTCAAAAAGTGTCATGAGACAAAAGAAAATCATTATATAATTACGAACAAGATGATATAACAATTGTAAATATATGCACCCAACATCATAGTACATAAATAAATAAAGCAAATACAAACAATTGAAGGGAGAAATAGATGGCAATACAATATTAGTAGGGAACTGCAATACCCCACTTTTAACAATAGATAGGCCATCCAGACAGAAAAGCAATAGGGAAATAGCAGACTTGAACAACACTGTAGACTGAATGAACTTGGAAGACATATACAGAATATTGCATCCAACAGCAGCAAGAATACACATTCTTCTCAAGTTCATACAGAACATTTGCCAAGATAGATTATACATTAGCCACAAAATAAGACTTCATAAATTTAAGAAGATTAAAATAATATGAAGTATTTTTTCTGATCAAAATGTTGTGAAACTAGAAATAACCAAACAAATTCACCACTGCACTCTAGTCTGGGCAACAGAGCAAGACCATCTCTCTTTAAAAAAAAAAAAAAAAGGAAGAAAAGGGAAAAGAAAGGTTTGAAAGTAGCAAGAGAAAAGCAACTCATGACATACAAAGGAACTCACATAATACTATCAGCAGATTTCTCAGCAAAATCCTTGTACACAGGAGAGAGTGAGATGATATATTCAAAGTGCTGAAAGAAAAAGAAAAACTCTGAACCAAGCATTGTTTACCTGTCAAAGCTATCATTAAATATGAGGAAGAGAAAAAGATTCTTTCAGACAAACAAAAGCTGGTGGAGTTCATCACCACTAGACCTCCCTTATAAGAAATGCTATAAGGAGTTCTTCAAGTTATAACAAAAGGATGCTAATTACCAATATGAAACCATGTGAAAGTACAAAACTCACTGGTAAAGTAAGTGCATAGTCAAACCCATAATAACCTAATACTATAATGATGGTACATAAATCACTTTTAACTCTAGTATAAAAGTTAAAAGAAAATTAAAAAAAACTATAGCTACAATAATTTGTTAATGGATACACAATCTAAAAAGATGTAAACTATGACATCAACAACATAAAATGTGTGTGAGTGGAGAAGTAAAAGTGTGGAGTTTTTATATGAGATCAAAATTAAGTTATCAGCCTAAAATAGACTGTTATGACTATAAAATGTTTTATGTAAAACTCATGGTAATCATAAAGAAAAAACCTGTAATGGATACACAAAAAATTAAGAGAGAGTAATCAAAACACACCACTAAATAAATAATCAAATCACAAAGGAAGACAGCAAGAGGGGAAGAAAGGAACAAGGTAACTACAAAACAAGTCAGAAAACAGTGAAAGAAATGACAATAGTACGTCCTTCACTAGCAATAATTACTTTACATGTAAATGGATTAACTTCTCCAATTAAAAGACATAGAGTGGCTAACTAGATAAAAAATCAAGATCCAACTGCATACTGCCTGCAAAGGACATACATTGACATTAAGGACACACATAGTCTAAAAGTGAAGAAATCAGAAAATTCTTTTTCCTTTTCTTCCTTTTTTTTTTTAAAGAGAGAGGGTCTTGCTCCGTTGCCCAGACTAGAGTGCAGTGGTGAATTTGTTTGGTTATTTTTTATGGTTTCTATCTCTTTGTTGACGTTTTTATTTCTTCATGTGCTATTCTCATAGTTCACTGCAGCATTGAATGCCAAGGCGCCAGTGATCCTCCTGCCTTGGCCTCCTGAGTAGCTAGGACCACAGCTGCATGCCACAATGCCTGGCTAATTATTTTTTCTTTTTAGAGATGGGATCTTGCTATGTTGCCCAGGTTGGTCTCAAACTCCTGGCCTCAAACAATCCTCCCATCTCAGCTTCCCAAAGTGCTGGGATAACAGATGTGAGCCACCACATATGGCCCATTTCTTTTCTCATAACTTTTGCTAATTTGATTACAATGTGTCTTGGTGAAAACTTTTCACATTCAATCTATTTGGAGTTCTTTGGGCTCCACGGATCTGGATATTTATTTATCTCCCCCTCCCCCACCCCAGATTTGGGTAGTGTTTTTGTCATTATTTCTTTAAATGCACTTTTTGCCCTTTTCTCTGCTCCTCCTGGAATTCCCATAATGCATATATTTGTTCTTTTGATAGTGTCCCATGGTCCTGTAGGCTTTCCTTTTTTCATTTCTTTTTTGTTTTGTTTCTCTGACTAGATAATTTAAAGTGATCTGTCTCCAAGTTCACAGATTCTTTATTTTGCTTGATCAAGTCTGCTGTTGGAGCTCTCTATTTAATTTTTCAGTTCAGTCATTGTGTTCTTCAGCTCCAGAATTTGGTTCTTTTTTTATATTTTTTCTTTGTTGACCTTCTCATTTGTTCATGTATTATTTTCTTGATTGATTCAGTTGTTTATCTGCGCTTTCTTGTAGCTCACTGAGCTTCTTAAAAACAATTATTTTGAATTCTTTGTGAGGTCACTTGTAGATCTCCATTTCTTTAGAGTTGGTCCCTGGTGCTTTATTTTGTTCCTTTGGTGGTGTCATAATTATTGGATCTCTTGTGATCCTTGTTGGCTTATATTGGTGTCGATGTATTTGAAGAAGTAGGCACCTTTTCCAGTCCTTACAGACTGTCTTTGGCAGGGAAAGCCCTCCATCAGTCATCCTGGCCAGAAATTCTGTTTGAATACACAAGTGGGCACTGTAGACGGGCCTGCTGCAAGGGTCTGCCTGCAAACAGTCAGGCCTGGATAAAACTGGTGCCTGGGTCTATGGGGCCAGCATGGCACCGGAGTCCACTGGGGCAGGCTTGGAGCATGGATCCACAAGGGGAGACCCGGGTCTGTGGTGGCTTCCCTGATGCTGGGGCAGAACTGGGCTTGGAGTATAGGTCCACAGGGGCCATTCTGGCACTGGAATGTGTCTAAAGCCTGGGTCTGTGGGGACCAGCCTGCATCTGAAGTGGGCCTGTGGTCTCTGTCTGCAGAGGGCAGACTGGTGTTTGGGACCACTGGTGCAAACCTGAAACCCAAGTTTGCAGGGATCCTCTTGATGCCAGGGCTGGTCTGGTGCTATGGTGAGCCTAGAGCCTCAGTCAGCAAGGGTGTACTTGGAGCTTAGGTCTGCTTGGACTGGCTTGTCACTGGGTTGGGCATGGAGCCCGGGTCCATTGGGGTAGAAGTGTTGCCAGAGCAGGCCTGGAACTTGGATCAGTGGCAGCTGGCCTGGCCGTGGGGTATAACTGGAGCTTTTGTCTGCACAGGTTGCCTGGTGTCTGGGACCACTGGTGCAGGCCTGAAACTCGGGTTTAGAGGGGCCAGCATGGCACCAGGGTCCACTGGGGCTAGCTTGGAGCCTAGGACCATGGCAAAGTCAGATGCTCACTTCACTCTCTTTTCCTGACAGGAGAGCTCCAAAACAGAGAGGATCTCTCTTAGCCCCTGTGCTACACAGGCTATGGGGAGAAGTCACTTGGGCAGAGTAAAACTGTCTTTCCTACCTTCACCAGTGCATCTTTTCTCATTTCTGTGCTCTACCCAGGTGCTATAATCCCTCACATGGATCCAGAGCTCTCATGAAGATATTTTTTGCATGGATTTGTGCATCCTAAAATTGGTGTTTCTGTGAGGGGATACAGAGTGGAACCTCCTATTCTTCCATCTTTCTGATGCCCAACAATACAGTGATTTAAAAAAAAAAAGAAGTTGATATAAATATATATATATATATATATATATATATCTCATAATATTTGCAAGTTAAGTATTAATGTATTGTCAAGGTAAACAAAGCAGCTCTGCTCCATGATTATTTAGGAGTCTGGATTTCTTTCACAGGTCTGCCCCTCCATCCCTTAGATCATGGATGCGATCTGCTTGGTCAGATTTAGGTTATCACGGGTTGCAATGTGAAGAAAGAATGTTCACTTTGTTAAGACCTTGAAGTAGAACACATCACTTCCATTCACTTTCCACTGGGGAGAGCTTAGTCAAATGACTAAATCTACTACACAAGGGACTGTAGTAGCTATAGCTATGCACCATGTTCCTAGGAAGAAAGGAAGAACATATCTTGGCAGTCAACGAGCAGTCTTTGGAACAGATGGAAAGTCAAGACCATTCCTATTTTGCTATTTGCATACTCAAAACATTCACTGGGAAGAAGAGTTATTCCCAAAGTGCTGGGATAACAGCACAAGTTCTATGATTGCATGTAATTTTTCAAGCCAACACTCATCACACAACCAAAGCCACAAACTAGAAAAAGGAAAGTGACCAGTCTGTTCAAAGGCACAGATATGAGAAACATTAAGAATGAACAACTGCATTGTTTATCCCCGAATATATTAATGCCATGATCCTATGAGGGTACACATTTTACTAGGCAGTGTTTGTACCTTTTCCTAGCAAAAGGTACTATGCAAAAAGAGAAGCTATGGAGGAATAAAGAGAAGATTAGTAAGTTCTTCTTCTGACCTGACAAGAACATCTCTTATCATTAAGCTTCAGAGGTTCTGGCTTTATGTCCTCTCCAACATTCCTCTCCTTCCCTTATCTCCCACCAAACTGTAGCCTGTCATAAAAATGTGATTGGCTTATTAAACGAAAAACAACACACTTTGTATGTAGCATTGGTTCAAAAAAAAAAACATTTTTCACCATGTTGACTGTTCTCTTAACTAGTTCCCTTGCATTTTCACTCTGGTCCTCCTGTCTGCCCCTTCATCCTTATTTCAGTAAGTAGAAATGGGGCCATACCCACATGGCCAAGGCATCTTACCCTTTTATTTGCATTCTGAACCCTGCGTGACTAAGTAGACTTGCAGTTTCACCAACCATCTGATCACTAACCAGTTGCAATTGATACTGAACACATCCCTGTTACTGGGTGTGTATTCCTCATTCACTAGGTACAAATAATCATTCATGTGTCAAAGTCAAAATATTGAGCAATAAGGTATCCATGACTTGGAAATTCCTGAAGCTTCTCTGAGGCAATGCTTCCAGCACCAGCCTGTTGGTCTCTCACCTCTTCTCCCTATACACTGGAGTCCTTGTCTTTATACTTCCAGTCCCTAGGAGGCTATTAGAAGAGATAAAAAAAGTTCATACCCATTCACTCATAGAGTTATCCCATACTAGCACCACAATCACTGAGGCAAAATGGAGGACACACCCTTCTCCAGCACTCTCTAGCTCAGCAGTTACGGGATGTCTCATCCCCTTTAAGGATGTTCTTTCCTGTTTTCTGGGCCACAGTGTCCTCATCTGTAAAACTGAGTATCAATAGCACTTATCTTATAGAAATATTTGATAATTAACAGAAACTTTAAATAATATTGATACTCAATTTAACCAGCTCCCTATACAAAAATGATGCAGGAGTAAAAAGAGGGTCATTGGCACATATTAGTAGCCACTTACACCCTGGCGTGGATCATTCAACCCAGGCCATCTGGCTTCAGAGACTAGGCTCTTAAACGCTGTACACTGTTTCTCATGAATTAATTCATTCAACAAAAAATGAGCACCCACTATGTGCCAGACATAGTTCTAGGTGCTGGGAACCTAATAGAGAATAAAGCAAATTCCCTGCTTTCACAGAGCTTCCATTCTAGTGGAGGAGATAGGCAAGAACCTAACAAATACTGTAAAGAAAACTGAAGTAGGAAAGGGCATAGAGGGTGACAAGGTTTTTCAGATTTATGCAACATTTCAAAATCCTTTTGAATTTACTCATTATTCCAGACACAACTTTCGTGACTAGTCCATACAGGGTTCAACCAGCTTCAAGTAGGCTCAATGTGACACTGTCTTGCCACAGGTGCACACTGAGGCTCTTGCCTCCTGCCCCCAGACTTCTCTGATTTCTGCTACTGATGTCTTCAAATACTTAATTATTTTTGAACAAAGGGTCCTTCATTTTCATTTTGCACTGTGCCCCACAATTTATGTAGCTGCTCCTGCATCAGAGATGGTGAGCTGATGGAGAAAAGCTTCCCTCTTTCTTTTCTTCTCTCTTTTTTTTTTAAGACAAGGTCTCCCTCTGTCACCCAGGCTGGAGTGCAGTGGCACAATCTTGGCTCACTGCAGCTCCAACCTCTCTGAGGCTATTGGTGTGCACCTGTACCCCAATTGAGAAATTGAGGTGGGAGGGTTGATTGAGGTGCCCAGCTAATTTTTGTATTTTTTGTAGAGACAAGGCTTCACCATTTTGCCCAGGCTGGTCTCGAGCTCCTGGGTTCAAGTGATCCTCTCACCTTGGCCTCCCAAAGTGCTGGGATTACAGGTATGAGCTACCAGGCCTGGCCTGCTTCACCCTTTCTAATCACCAGAAAGTATGCAGATGCTCATGTCATAAGTTGTCTGAGATGTCCAGCAGGATTAAGAAAACAGTTGCCCATAGCTGTGGTCAACTCTGTAACTCATCTTTATATTGGCTCTCTCTTCTTGTTTCACTTCCCTTGTTCTCCATACATGCTTCCAGAGATGACGTTCCCAAATAAATGACCTGCACAAAAGTTGTTACCAACTCTTAAGCAGAGACCTTTAGATGGTGGATGATTTCTGTAGACATCTAGAGGAAGATAATTGCAGGCAGTGGGAATACTAAGTGCAAAGCCCTTAAGGTACAAGCATATCTGGTATGTTTGAGGAGTAGTGAAGAAGTCACTGTGGCTGGAGTGCAGTGACAAATAATAGGTGAGAGTAATAAGAGATGAAGTCAGTGAGGTCATGGATGGGCTTATAGCTCACCATAAGAATAGTGGCTTTACTCTGACAGAAATGGAAATCTGTTGGAGGATACAAACAGAAAAGTGATATGATCGAACTTAAGCTTCAAAAGGGTCATCTGGCTGCTGTGTTGATTGTAAAAGACAAGCATAGGAGCAAAGAGAACATTTAGAACACTATTGAAATAGTCCAGGCAAGAGAGAAGACAGTGGCTTGAATCAGAGTGGTAGCAGTAGAGGTGGTAAGAAGAGATCAGATTCTGAATGTATTTTGAAGTAGTGCCAAAAGATTTGCTGATAAATTGGATGAAGGCTGTAAGAGAAAAAGGGGAGATGAAGATGTCTACAAGGTCCTAGGCCTGAGCAATTAAAAGGATGAAATTGCCCATTAACTGAAATACAGAAGATTGCAAGAGAATGAAGTTTTCTGGGAGGATCAAGAGTTTGGACTTTAGATACAATAAATTTTAGATGCCTAGTAAGCAACAAAGTGGAGATGTCAAATAGGAGCATGACTACATAAGTTTGAAGCTCAGGAAAAGACATGGCTTAGAGACATAACAGAAAGCAGGTCCCTGAGAGAATGGAAGACATGACAGTGGCGATGGTCCAGATAGAAAACAGGATAATCTGGAGAACAGACAAGAGTGTCCAGAGGAGAGCAATAGGATTCATGGTTCCAGGTAAATCTCTCTCTATTTTCCTTCTTTCCCTTGCCCCCCAAAAAATGACTAATGAGTAAATTAAAGTAGCCAGCTAAAGAAAGAGGGGTCCGTACCACAGAGGTAGCCATTCACTCTGTATACACTTGCAGTTGACCTTATAAAAGGTCACATCTGGTATCTGAGACTCTCTGATATGAGGATAGCCAATTATGGCAGGCCTATGTAAATAAGACAAATCAGCTTTCTTGGAAAGAGCACAGAACTGCAAGATATGTGCACTGGGCTACTGCAACCCATAGATGAGCTATTACCCACGAGCAGCATCCATTTTTGCCCACTGACCTTGATACTTCTTCACAACCCCACCCCACCCCCCACCCCGCAACAAGAAAATCTACTGACAAAGCATTGAAGATTGTACCAAATACTGCACAGGAGAGATGGAGAAAATACATTTCCATCACGAACAACTTCATCAATCCCCATTTGACATATTTCCAATTCTCAATTTCTCTCTCCAACCATCCCACCAATGAGATATTTTTTCCTTCACCCACCTCTGCCTAGCCTCACTAAACTTCCCTAATTCTGGCCCTCTCATTCCTGCTCCAACTTAACTCCAGCTTCTCCAAACTTGTAACTCAGTTCATTTTGAGAACAAAGAACCATGAAAAGAAAAAAAGATCATCTGGTTATCATGATCCCTTGGGTGTATGATATAGGGGGAAAGCAGGGAGAACACTTTCTTTTTTGCACTAAGGACTGATGGCATGTCAAAAAATACAGTCTCTAATGTCCAGTATCCAACTGATATGTAAATGAATCATTGTAACTCAGTGCCATAAGTGGTATGATAGAAGTAAGCATAAGTACTATGAGACCATAAAGGAGGGTCACCTAATCCAGATTGAAGGGATAGTAGCCAGGGAAGTTATTTCAATTTTTTCTGAGCACCTACTACCTGCCAAACTCTGTACCAAACACTAGTGGTATGGAACTAAATCCTACACAGCCTCTGCCTCCAAAAAAGGCATTACTATTTGATGCCCTTGCTTTTCTGGTGCCCTAGGCAGGTTCTTAATCTGCCTATTGGATGACTGTCTTCTGCCTCCTGAGGCTGTCCTCTATCTCTGAGCTCAGTTTCTCCATCTTTCCACTGGAGGAATCTGACCAGAGTTTGGCAGAAGCAGGATCACAACCTGGGGTTTTGGTTCTTACTATATGGGACTTAGAATGTCTTAGAAGCTGGGAACTGTTGTTTCAAACACTTTGTTCTCATTGCTAATTTATCAACCTAAATGTATTGTTAGTAGAAATAGGAGGCCAGAGGCATTGTACAGGCCTCTAGACAATTCTGGAGTTGGCTGGGTGTGGTGGCTCATGCCTGTAATCCCAGCACTTTGGGAGGCCAAGGCAGGTGGATCACCTGAGGTCAGGAGTTCAAAAACAGCCTGGCCAACATGGTGAAACCCCGTCTCTACTAAAAATACAAAAATTAACCAGGCATGGTGGGGCACACCTGTAATCCTAGCTATTCAGGAGGCTGAGGCATGAGAATCGCTTGAACCCAAGAGGCAGAGGTTGCAATGAGCTGAGATTGCATCACTGCACTCCAGCCTGGGCCACAGAGTAAAACTCTGTCTCAAAAGAAAAAAGAGAGAGAGAGAGAGGGAGAATTCCGGAGTTGATTTCCCTATTTATTTTTTCCTGCCCCAGTCTCTACAGTCATTGCTGAGACCAAAGAAGTCTTTCTTCATTGCATTTCCTTGGAACCACAGTGACATTCAGTGGCCACAGGAGGTTGAAAAGAAGTGTCAGAGAAAGCACTTGTCTTTATGCTACAAGATGGAGTAAGGTGACTTTCCCAGCAATTTTCTTATTTGAACTGCCACGATCTGACCAGCTCCTGTTGTTGCTGATGAAAATTTAGCATAGGGCTAATAAGCTACAGGCTGGACCCAGCAAAAGACAACTGCCTAACACAGACTATTTGTCTTGACTCAGTTGCCTTTATAGACAAAAGAATAAACCAAAAAAAAATTTAATAGCAATTTTTCATTTTGCTTCCTAGATAATGCTTTCTTAATACAAAGAATTAGGAATAAAAATCTGAAAAACACAAAATGTTAAAATCATCCAACTTCACCACCCAGAAATAACCCTCATTAATATGTTTATTTCCTTCCTGTCTCTCTCTGAATAATAAACTGTTTATTACTCAACACACAGTGATTTGTTGCCTGCTTTTTGCACTTAGTGATACACCATGAACAGTTTCTTATGTTATTCTTTTATATCATTATTTTAAATAGTCAAATAGTATCCCAACATATGGATGAACTGTAATTCACTTATGGATATATCATAATTAGTTAACCAAGTCCATATTAAGACATTCAGATGGTTTTTAAATTTTCAACACTATAAAATAATATTATAGGAGTTTCCATATATATATATAACATATCTGATTATTTCCTTAGGATCAATTCCTGCAATTGTAACAACTAGGTTAAAGAACACACGCATTTAAGACTTTTGGAATATATTGGCCATGCACAGTGGCTCACTCCTGTAATCCCAGCACTTTGGGAGGCCGAGGCGAGCAGATCACTTGAAGCTGGGAGTTCGGGACCAGCCTGGCCAACATGGCAAAACCCTGTCTCTACTAAAAATACAAAAATTAGCCTGGAGTGGTGGATTACACCTGTAATCCCAGCTACTAGGGAGGCTGAGGCACAAGAATCACTTGAACCCGGGAGGTGGAGGTTGCAGTGAGCTGAGATCGTGCCATTGCACTCCAGCCTGGACGACAGAGCATGATTCCGTGTCAAAAAAAAAAAAAAATCTGGAGTTGATTTCCCTATTTATTTTTTCCTGACCCAGTCTTTACAGTCATTGCTGAGACCAAAGAAGACTTATCTTCATTGCATTTCCTTGAAACCACAGTGACATTAAGTGGCCACCGAAGTTTGAAAACAAGTGTCAGAGAAAGCACTTGTCTGTATGCTGCAAGATGTGCAGCACCTTACAAGAGTGGAGACCCTGTCTCAAAAAAGAAAAAGACTTTTGGAATATTATCCTTCAGAAATATTATTATACTAATTTATTCCCCCAACATATAAATGTTAACATATGTATATAATTTTCATATACTTGAAAGTCTTTATTTCCTCATACCCAGGTCAACACTGTGTATTATCATTACTTTTATTCTTTATCAATGATAGGCAAAAAATAGAAACATTTTTAAATGGCATGATGTTGTGTAATCATTTTTTTTATTATCAGTGAATCTGAACTGCTTCCATTTTTTCCATTGGCTATTTGTATTTGATCCTTTGTAAATTGCCTGTCCTCAACTTTTGCTCATTTTTTTTCTATTGGAATGTTTACCTTTATTCTTTATTGATTTGTAAAAATTATTCATTCCTTTGTCATATTATACACATGTTGTCAACATGTGACTGTCATTCTAGTTCTTTGATTACAAGTATGTTCCACCACACCAACTAGTTTTTGTATTTTTAGTAGAGACAGTGTGTCCTTGCAGGAAGAGCATTGTAAAATGTGGCACCAAGGACAGAAACCATAAAAGAAAATATAGATTTAAATATATTAAAAGAATGCAATCATATCATTCACAGCAACATGGATGGACCCGCATCCTAAGTGAAATCACTCAGAAACAGAAAATCAAATACCATATGCTCTCATTTATAAATGGGAGCCAAACAATGGGTACACATGGAATAGAGGGGTGGAGCAATATGGCGGAATAGAAGGCTCTACTGACCATCTCACCTGCAAGGACACCAAGTTAACAACTATCTACACAGAAGAAACACCTTCAGGCTGGGTGTGGTGGCTCACGCCTGTAATCCCAAAACTTTGGGAGGCTGAGACAGGCAGATCACTTGAGGACAGAGTTCGAGACCAGCCTGGCCAATATAGCAAAACCCTGTCTCTACTAAAATACAAAAATTAGCTGGGTGTGGTGGCACACGTCTGTAATCCCAGCTACTTGGGAGGCTGAGGCACGAGAATCACTTTAACCCGGGAGGCAGAGGTTGCAGTTAGCTGAGATTGCATCACTGTACTCCAGCCTGAGCAACAAAGCGAGACTCTGTCAAAAAGAAGAAGAAGAAGAAGAGGAGGAGGAGGAGGAGGAGGAAGAGAAGGAAGAGGAGGAGGAGGAGGAGGAAGAAGAAAGAAGAAGAAGGAGAAGGAGAAGGAGGAGAAGGAGAATGAGGAGAAGGAGAAGGAGGAGAAGGAGAAGGAGGAGAAGGAGAAGGAGAAGGAGAAGGAGAAGAAGGAGAAGGAGAAGGAGAAGAAGAAGAAGAAGAAGAAGAAGAAGAAGAAGAAGAAGAAGAAGAAGAAGAAGAATCACCTTAAACACCTTGATAAAAACCAAAAATCAGGTGAGCACTCACAGTACCTGGTTTTAACTTCATATCACTGAAAGAGGCACTGAAGAGATGGAAAAAAAAAAAAAAAACAGCAGCAATCCCATCATCAAATGGAAGTGGTATATATGTGATCAGGCTCAAGCAGGTCCTGAAAGCACAAGTAAGTTACATGAGGAAGAGGAAGTGGCTCAAATGCCCATGGTCTCCACTCTTGCCACACTGCCTTCTCTTCCCTAGCCTGCACTGATGGAATCATGGGGAGTTCCCTATGATCAGTTGACAGAGAAAGAGAAGACTAGGGCCTGGTTCACAGATGTTTCTGCATGATATGCAGGCACCACCCAAAAGTGGATAGCTACAGCACGACATCCCTGAAGGACAGCAATGAAGGGAAATCTCCCGAGTGGGCAGAACTTTGAGCAGTGCACCTGGTTATGCACTTTGCACTTTGCATGGAAGGAGAAATGGCCAAATGTGCAATTTTATACTGATTTATGGGCGGTAGCCAATGGTTTGGCTGGATGGTCTAGGACTTGGAAAAAGCATAACTGGAAAATTGGTGACAAAGAAATTTGGGGAAGAGGTCTGTGGATGGACCTCTCTGAGTGGTCAAAAACTGTGAAGATATTTGTATCCCATATGAATGTTCACCAACGGGTGACTTCAGCAGAGGAGGATTTTAATAATCAAGTGGATAGGATGACCCATTCTGTGGACACCACTCAGCCTCTTTCCCCAGCCACCCCTGTCATTGCCTAATGGGCCCATGAACAAAGTGGCCATGGTGACAGGGATGGAGGTTACGCATGGGGTCAGCAACATGGACTTCCACTCACCAAGGATGACCTGGCTACAGCCACTGCTGAGTGCCCAATTTGCCAGCAGCAGAGACCAACACTGAGCCCTCGATATGGCACCATTCCTCAGGGTGATCAGCCAGCTACCTGGTGGCAGGTTGATTTATTGGACCTCTTCCATCATGGAAAGGGCAGAGGTTTGTCCTCACTGGAATAGACACTTACTCCACATATGGGTTTGCCTATCCTGTACGCAATGCTTCTGCCAAGACTACCATCCGTGGACTCACAGAATGCCTTATCCACCATCATGGTATTCCACACAGCATTGCCTCTGACCAAGGCACTCACTTTATGACTAAAGAAGTGCAGCAGTGGGCTCATGCTCATGGAATTCATTGGTCTTACCATGTTCTCCATCATCCTGAAGCAGCTGGATTGATAGAATGGTGGAATGGCCTTTCAAAGTCACTATTACAATGCCAACGAGGTGACAATACTTTGCAGGGATGGGGCAAAGTTCTCCAGAAGGTTGTGTATGCTCTGAATCAGCGTCCAGTATATGGTACTGTTTCTCCCATAGCCAGGATTCATGGGTCCAGGAATCAAGTGGTAGAAGTGGCACCACTCAAAATCACCCCTAGTGATCCACTAGCAAAATGTTTGCTTCCTTTTCCCAAGGCATTACATTCTGCTTGCCTAGAGGTCTTAGTTCCAGAGGGAGGAACGCTGCCACCCGGAGACACAACAACAATTCCATTAAACTGGAAGTTAAGATTGCCACCCAGACACTTTGGGCTCCTCCTACCTTTAAGTCAAAAGGCTAAGAAGGGGGCTACAGTGTTGGCTGGGGTGATTGACCCGGACTATCAAGATGAAATCAGCCTACTACTCCATATAGGAGGTAAGGAAGAGTATGCATGGAATACAGGAGATCCATTAGGGCGTCTCTTAGTATTTCCATGCCATGTGATTAAGGTCAATGGGAAACTTCAACAGCCCAATCCAGGCAAGACTGCAAATGACCCAGACCCTTCAGGAATGAAGGTTTGAGTCACTCCACCAGGAAAAAAAAATCCACGACCTGCTGAGGTGCTTGCTGAAGGCAAGGGAAATACAGAATGAGTAGTAGAAGAAGGTAATCATCAATACCAGCAACGACTACGTGACCAGCTGCAGAAATGAGGACTATAATTGTATTTCTTCCTTCTTTTGTTAAAAACATGTTTGTGCATGTATACACTTGTACTAAGAAAATACCTTCATTTTATTTCCTTTCTCCTTTATCATGTGACATAAGATTTATCAACTTCACATCAGCATTTAAGTATTGTTAACTTTATGTAATAGTATTTGGGTTGGGGATTGGTGCATTTCTGGTTGTATGAAGGATAGTTGTATTATGTTAGGCATAATTATGACCTTATTATTGTCTTTATTTGAAAATTAGGTATGATCTCAGGAGATGTATATGGGTTCAAGTTGACAAGGGGTGGTTAATACTGAGTGTCAACTTGATTGGACTGAAGGATACAAAGTATTGATCCTGGGTGCATCTGTGAGGGTGTTGCCAAAGAAGATTAATATTTGAGCCAGTGGGCTGGGAAAGGCAGACCCACCCTTAATCTGGGTGGGCACAATCTAATCAGCTGCCAGCACAGCCAGAATATAAGCAGGCAGAAAAATGTGAAAAGAGAGACTGGCCTAGCCTCCCAGCCTACATCTTTCTCCCATGCTGGATGCTTCTTGCCCTCGAACATCAGACTCCAAGTTCTTCGGTTTTGGAACTTGGACTGGCTCTCCTTGCTCCTCAGCCTGAAGATGGCCTATTGTGGGACCTTGTGATCGTGTGAGTTAATACTTAATAAACTCATATATATATATATATACATATAAATATGAGTTTATATATATAAATATATATAAATATGAGTTTATATATATAAATATATATAAATATGAGTTTATATATATAAATATATATAAATATGAGTTTATATATATAAATATATATAAATATGAGTTTATATATATAAATATATATAAATATATATAAATATGAGTTTATATATATAAATATATATAAATATATATAAATATGAGTTTATATATAAATATATATAAATATGAGTTTATATATATAAATATATATAAATATGAGTTTATATATATAAATATATATAAATATGAGTTTATATATAAATATGAGTTTATATATATAAATATATAAATATATATATAAATATATATATATATTCCATTAGCTCTGTCCCTCTAAGAGAACCCTGACTAACACACTAATGAAGTCCACAGCTCCTATCAAGAGGCATTTTCCAGATAGCTGTGCTCCTCATATTCTGGTAACCACTCATATTAGGTTGGTGCAAAAGTAATTGCGGTTTTTGTCATTAAAAGTAATGGCTTCTAATGACAAAAGTAGCTTCCTCTACTTGCCCATTTGGACAAGTAGATGCAACAACTTCTCCACTGCTGCTAGCCCTAAAGTCCTTGTACTATCCTTTGCTGATTCCTCTAAACATTCCCATACCTTTATTAAACTCTTCTCAACCTACTCAGATTGTGCCAACTATTTCTAGCTGGAATCTTTACTGATACATACACATTTAGATGGACATTATATCTTTAAAGATTCGGGCTTGCACTGTGGCCCTGCTAGAGATAATGATTCTAAACCCAGGTACAACAATGTCTTCCCCCTCTCTCCCTTAAATGCACTAACAGTGTTATCTCAAACCCCAAAGTATACCAAAGTCTTCTAAAAAAGAAACTAAAAATAAAAACAAAATCAAGAAGCAAGTATGAAAGAGTTTTCAAAAAGTTTTAAGCAGGGTCCAAAAATTTTTCATCAGAAAAAATACACAGTATTGCAGAGTTAACAAAAAGCAATATTTTTTAGTTAATCCCTACTATCTCAAAAAGCACAAGGGTAAAGATCTGTTCACTTGCTGTACCCAGGAGATCTTACACCTAACTGAGAAAGTCACAGATGATCACAACATAGTCATTCCTAACCCTATTTCTCCCCTACCCATTCTACTACTGCAGAAAATAAAAGACCTTAGCCTGCTCCTATTTTAGAACTGCAGATGGATAAAGAACAGACACAAAATGAAAAATGTATTTTTTCAGAATTAGCATCATCATGAGGTTTTACCGTACTTTCAAATTCAGATGATACCAGGTGGCAGGTCCAGTACAAGGGGGATCTTGAGAACCTTCACTGACAAATATGGTAGGGCAATGTCTTGGTTTGGGCTGGACTTTGGTTTGAATGTGTCCCCTAAAGTTCATGTGTTAGAAACTTAATCCCCAATACAACAGTGTTGGGAGATGGGGCCTAATAAGTGGGCAGAGCCCTCATGAATGTCAATATCACAGGAATGGGTTAGTTATTGCAAGAGTGGGCTTATTATAAAAGCAAGTTCAGCCCCCTCTTACTCTCTTGCCCTTCTGACTTCCACCATGGGATGATGTAGCATGAAGGCCCTCACCAGATGCAGACCCTTAAGCTTGGACTTCCCAGCCTTTAGAACTGTGAGAAATATTTTTTTTATTTATAAATTACCCAGCTTGTGGTATTCCGATAGAGCTACACTAAACAGACTAAGAGAGGATGTGATAACAAAATACCATAGACTGAGTGGCTCAAACAACAAACATTTATTTTTCATACTCTGGAAGCTGGGGGGGTCCAAGATCAAGGCACTGGCAGATCCAGTGTCTGGTAAAGGCCTACTTCCTGCTTTGCAGATGGCTGTCTTTTCATTATATCCTCACATAGTGAAAAGAGAGTTAGCTACCTCTTCTTAAACGACTCTTCTTAAAAGGGCACAAATCTCATTCATGAGGGCTCCACCCTCATGACCTAATCACCTCCCAAAGGTTCCACCTCCAAATACTATCACATTGGGATTAGATTTTCAACAGATGAGTTTGAGGGGACAAACATTCAGTCCATTGCAGACAGTGTTATGGATACTGTGGACTGGTTCACTCAACCTTCATTCCCATTTCCTTCTAGTGCACCTTCTGTGCTGCAAAGACTAGAAAACTGAAAATTGCATTTCACGGACTCTTTTACAGCTAAAATGCTCAATGTAAAATGGCTTGTATTAATTAGGTACATTTTTGTGAGACTTGGAAAGCAGAAATCATGCCAAGGCCACTTTCTCTCCCCTTTTAGACTCTCTTACCCTGGCAATTGAGGTCATGTAGACATGGGAATGTTCTGCAGCTGTGTGCCAGCAACTAGTCTCCAGCTTCCTGGGTGTCAGCTGTGGTGCTATGCTCTTGAATTCAAGCATTCCAGTGGTGGTCTCAGAAGTAGTAGCCAATTGGTGGATCAGTTCTATAAGATTCTAGGAGCCATTTCTTCAGGCCCAGCCTAGAGCCTACTCTTCCAATCCTTCCAAAGATTTTTTAAACTATCTAATTTCCTTATTAAATTCCTTTTTACTTAAAGTACTTAAAGTGATCTCTGTTTCTTACACTGAATCCTGACAGGTATAGGCAGCCAAATTCAGGGTCTACAATTTTTTACCAATTCCCCTCAAGATCTGAGTCTGGAAAAATATGGCTTATAGACAGGGGCCTTTTAGATAACAGCTGGTTAACAGACAGGAAAAATTTTTTATCCATCATCAGACTGAGTCACAGATACCGGCATCCTTCCCTTGGTTGATGCCAATACTAAATGTAAATACATGGGTAGTGGAAGGAGCAGAGACGAAGAGAGCTGTGAAGGTAGCACTAAGTGCCTACTATGTGTTAGATACTGACCTAGACATTTTCACACATACTCATTTAATTCTTAACAGTTCTGGAAGTTAAATACAGTTATCCCCAATTAATCCAACCCTTCACATACACATTTCTGGGTTTAGTGTGTTCATTACCCTTGGGTTTATTTCGCTGTTAAAATAAAACACCTAGCTGGGCACAGTGGCTCACACCTGTAATTCCAGCACTTTGGGAGGCCGAGGTGGGTGGATCACCTGAGGTCAGGAGTTCGAGACCAGCCTGGCCAATCAACATGGTGAGACTCCATCTGTACTAAAAATTTAAAAAAATTAGCCTGATGTGGTGGCGCCCACCTGTAATTCCAGCTACTCAGAAGGCTGAGACGGGAGAATCGCTTGAACCCAGGAGGTAGAGGTTGCAGTGAGCCCAGATTGTGCCACTGCACTCCAATCTGGGTGACAGAGTAAGACTCCTTCTCATAAATAAATAAAATAAAATAAAATAAAATAAAATAAAAATAATTTTTAAAAAAATACCTTATCTAGCATGGGGATTCAGATGGTGGGTAGGTCTAGATTCTAAGCCACTCTGTGAGGACCTCAGTTGTAGAAGTTTGCAACTTTCTATCAGGTGCTCTGCAGGTAACATAACTTGGTTTCAGTCTTTGTGTCTACTTATTTCTGCCTTGCTACCAACTTATAAATTTCCTTTGTGTCATGAGTCAAATGTCCTGGGGAAATAAACTGTACTTGTTCATCTTAAGGCTGGGTCACAGGAGTCAGCTGCCAGCATTTGCATGGGCAACATCCCTCAAAGACAGGCACCTATCCCTCGTGCAATTAGCTGTGACTGAGAGGAGAAGTTCCACATCCTGGTGACTACTCAGCAAAAGGATGGATAGGGAAGACTAGATTTTGGCATCTCTTGAAAAATCAGACTATTTGGAAACAATGACCCTATATTTCCACAGGCAACAGGGGGAAGGAACTCCCTTAATATTGTAATGTGAAGCTTATCACTTATTTATGTTAATTACCTGGCTTTTTTAGAGATTTGAGTTTGAGAACTCCTAAATTCCTTCCAGCTTTAATCTTCAAGATTCTGTATTCTTCTGGATTCCTTTACACTGAAAGCATTGCAGATTGACGTGGGCCTCATTGAACAAATAATTTGGAAATGAGCCAGAAGTGCATTTTATTTATCCACCAATTTGATTTTATAAATAGGAACTCTACATTTCCATACTATAAAGCCATTTATTCTCCTCTACTAGAATTGCTATAATTCTCAATATGCCATGTATTATCATCATCCTGTCAAAATGAAAATCTCACAGAGAGCCTGTGAAGGTCTTATCAAATCAAGTGGAAGTGATTAAGGACAGTAGAAAAAAATATAACAATTATATATACACTATTAAATAATGCAAAGGATGAGGATTCAACTAGTCTCAGATTTTTAGAAGGTTTGCGATTAGATATTTTGTTGACTCAATAGCAAATTATTAATTCATTAAATGATTAAGCAATTTATCAAAACTGTGAATGACAAAGCAATCAGAGACTGGGATAATCAGACTCCAAGTCTGTTCTTTGTGTAAAATTCAAATGCACCCAGCACAATACAATTTTGTACTTAATGCCATTCATCTAATCAGCATATTTCTGCTCCAATGTGAGATCTTTGTTTGAACATGATATGCAACAGATATGGAAACCACAAAAATTTCATTTATATAATCATAACAAGCACGTTATCATGGTTGTCAAAATTAATGAAACCTAATTCGCTATATTTTCTAAACTTAAAATTGACACAAAACATTTTTGTGAAAGGCAAAAATGCTAAAGAATCACAGAAATAAGTATAAAAGTGAATCTTTTTAAATGCCTACATCTTGTTTAGGTTAGAGAGCTAACTAATATTGATTATGACAGGTTAGATCCCCTACATTTTAAACGATCAATTGAATACGAACATTCACTCTGTGAACATCTTAACCTTTGGCTTCTTTTAAGTAATAATGAGCCCCCCTAGTGCAATTACAATAAAAGTCAACTTGTGAAACTTCCATTAACACACTACTTCTCAGGAAAACATGCTTTTCTAAGACAAGGGACGCCTTTATTTCAGATTACGCGGTCATCTTGATCATCCTCCAGTTAGAGCAAGAGTTCTGCCTATAAAAGTGCTTCTCAAACTATAGTGTACATCAGAAACATTTGGAGAGCCCGTTAGACATGCAGATTCTGGGGCTTCACCCTGATCTTGATTCAAAAGGTCTCAGCAAGGTCTGAAAAATCTGCATTTTTCACAAGTATCCTACGTAGTTCTGCTGTAGCTGATTCAAGGACTATACCTTGAGAAACATTGACCTACACAGTATTTTCTTTCTCCCTTTGCATTATGTTGTTTTGAATCATCGCATTATAAATCTTTCCAGTATCTCTTTTGATTGCTTTTTGCACACCCTAATGACCTCCACTAATTCCCTGGGTCTCACCACATCTCATTAGCCTGAACTGGAAGAAGTTAGAATTTCTACATTTTCTTTCCCCATATTCATACCTTTCAGGCCTTCACACATGTGCATCTCCTTTGAAAGCAACAATTAGCCGTATCCTTCTGGAAAGCTTCCAGTCTTCCTAAGCCAATCAGATTCCCAAGGGTTTCAGAGCAGGAGCTCTTCAAGTAAATACATAGGTGTTGCTTCTTTCACTCAAACCACCCTGTTACCTAGGAGAGCTCCTCTATGACTTTGGTGCTCTCAACACTACTCCACAGAGTGGACCAAATAAAACAAAGGACAAAGAGCTCAATCCTGTCTATTTAAAATCTTATTAGCAGCTGAAGAAAAAAAAAGTTGCCAGTAAAGAACTAGAATTGTCTTTTCTTGAAAATTCACAATTGTCTATTGACATGAATTAGCCAAGTTATCACTGAGCCCTCATACTACAGAGAGAATATAGATATTAAACTACCACCTGGGAACCCACTTAGGGAGATTTTCATATAACCAATGCCTGAGCCCTGGCCTAGACTAGGATTTCTCAGCTTTGACACCATTAACATTTTAGGCTGGGTAATACTTGTTGTGAAGGGATGCCCTGTCCATTGCAGGATACTTAGAAGCATCACTGGACCCTACCCACTATATGCCAGTATCACAACACTCCTCTCTCAGTTGTTACAACCAAAAATATTTCTAGACATTGCCAAATGTCCCCTGGGGGAGGAGAAACAAAATTGTCCCCATTTGAGAGCCATGGTCCTACACCAATTAGGTCAGAATTTCAAGGGGTGAAGCCTGATATTCTTTAAAAGCCCCCCAGATAATTCCAATGTACAGCCAGGGTTTAGAGCCACTGCCTTATGAAGATATCTGAGCCTCAGTTTTCTCATCTGTAAAATGAGTATGATGAGGATATCTACTTCACAGTTGTTCTAAAGATCAAATGAGATAATATGTGGTGGAAATGTTTCATGTATCATTAAAGAAACGTAATATTTCTCCCATCTATTGTGAAACACTAATCCAGGTGTTGTCAAACTAAGCCCGCAGGCCAAATCCTATTCATTATCTGCTTTTATATAACTTTTGAACTTGTGGTTTGTACATTTTTTTAATGGCTGGCCAAAAATCAAAGTAAGAATATTTTTCGACTCATGACAATTATATGAATTTCAAATTTCTGTATCCATAAATAAAGTTTTATTGAAACACATGTTTACCCATTTATTTATTGATTGTCTATGGATGCTTTTACATTTTAAGTTCAGTAGTTATGGCAGAGATTTTATGGCTCACAAAGCCTAAAATTTTTACTATCTAGCCTTTTACATTGAAAGTTTTTCCCATTCCCTAATCACAATTTAAAATATTCAAGCTAGTTTCTTTTCCTGGCTCTCAAGTCCTTTTCAAATCTGCTTGGGAGGGCTGCCCTGCTCTCCCCAGAAAAGCTTCAATTATGTAAGCAGTAAATCTTTTTATACCCTCTTGGTATGTGTGTGGCATCATCAGTCCTGACATCCAAACCAATTTTCAGGTGGGCATCCATTCTTTTTCTTTAGGATGGTCACAACACAGGCAGAGGGAGATTTGAACAGAAGAAGGCAACATAATGGCTAAAGCAAGATGCTATACTGCTGGCTTTGAAGATGAAGGGATTATGAGCCAAGGAATGTAAGAAATTCAGCTTCAGAAGCTGGAAAAGGCAAGGAAACAGACTCTCCCCTAGAGTCTCTGGAAAGAGTGGGCCCTGCTGATAGCTTGATTTCTGCCCAGTGAAACTCATTTCAGACCTCTGACCTACAGAACTAAAGAAGAATAAATGCCTGTTGTTTCAAGCAACCAAATTCGTGGTAGTTCGTAACAGCAGCCCTAGGAAACTAATACAGTGGATAAGACTACCGGTGCCTTAGCACAAATTGAAGCAGTGCCACAAAATAGTACTAGTAGGCATTGTGTTTGTTACCACCATATGCTGTTTTATTAAAAACGTCAGTTGCACTTGTCTTATATGGAGCAGTGAAAAGTATTCATGTTATAAATATTGACCCTTGAAAACACGGTTTTTAAATATTTTGTATGACAAATGGAAAATATGCATAAAGCACTTCTGCTACATCTTGAAGTATAATCACTGCCTCGAAGACAAACACTTGTGCAATTTAAAAGTAACTCTTTTCATGAAACACCATTGGTAGTTAAAAGAATTACTGACAGACAAACTTTGGTTATTCAGACTTGGATTTTGGGCAGATGTTTCTCTAAAATTAACAAAGTGAGGCTGTCACTTCAAGGAAAACAACTGACAGCATTATTTGTCAATTACAAAATTCAAGTTTTCATGTAAAAATTAGAGTTTTAGAAAACTTGTAGTAGATACTACTTAGTCCAGGGCCTGATAGCTAGGCTTGTTCACTTCTTTTGAATCAGAGGCCGCTGCTGCAAACATGCTCTACCAGATCCTCAATCAAGCCAAGAAGCATCTGAGCATGATTCTCCTCTGAGTTTATTGGAGATGGAGGTACTGGAGCAGCACTGTATGTTTTATATCCAGCATTGTTCAATCCAGATGTTACTTGGGACAGAAAGAATGACCCAGAGCCCTGGAACAAACTGGGTCCCAATGATCAATACAAGCTCTACTCAGGTAATGTGGATTACAGCAAACCGAAGAAAGAAGGTCTTGTAAAATTGCTTTAGAATGAAGGTCCTCCAGAAGCCATCTCCACAATTTTCCACTTAACTAGGAAATTTTTATCCTCTAAATGCATGAAATCATGTTGATGTATTGTGTAGGAGGTTACACTCATTAATAAATATTTGAAACTTACAAAAAAAAAAAAGAAAACTTGAGTCTGCCACCATAAGCTGTACAGCTTTCTGAAACATAAATACTTTCCTGATAAGATCAATGGTGATAGTAACAAATGTGATATTGTATCATGAAATATGTCAATATTTGGAAAGGTTTGCATAACTCAGTGAAGCAATATTTTTAAAATAATGAATGCATGATGCTACAAAATCATTCATAGGTAAAAATTCCACTCCAGGTGAGGATAGGCAAATGGATTTTCATGTATAAAAACACAAACAGTTCATTGATATAGTTTCAGTTTGCATTTTGGAACTAACCTCCAAGAAACTTCCAATTGTCCAATTTTGGTATAATATCAAAAACCATCCACAATTATCGGCATAGACTACTTAAAAACTCCTGTCTTTTCCAACTACACATATGTGTGAGATAGGACTTTCTATATTTCACCCAGAACAATATATCACAGA
Source organism: Homo sapiens (assembly GCF_000001405.40). NCBI lineage: Eukaryota > Metazoa > Chordata > Mammalia > Primates > Hominidae > Homo > Homo sapiens. The sequence continues at coordinate 123,559,191 of NC_000023.11, forward strand.
AGAGTGAATGCAGAAACAGATAAGGGAATCCAGCTCTTTTCTATTAAGACAGAAATCAAAGAGATTTGCAAAAAATATAAGCCCATGTTACTTTTCTCACTAAATGTTTTTGTTTTGAAAAATATAGTTATTTTCATAAAATAATTTGTGCTAACTTGTAATTGATGTATTATCACTTTTAAATTAATACATAATTAAATATTTTTAATTTCTATTTTAATTTCTAATACAGTAAATAATAGTATATTTAACTCAGATAAACAAAGGCTCTTTGGGGTCCTCAATAATTTTTAAGAGTAAAATTAAACAGTTGGAGAACTACGGCTCTAGAAAAACTCAGGCCCGGGAACAGTGGCTCACTCCTGTAATCCCAACAATTTGGGAGGCCAAGGCTGGCAGATCACTTAAAGTCAGGAGATTGAGACCAGCCTGGCCAACATGACGATACCCCGTCTCTACACAAAAATTAGCCAGGCATGGTGGCACGCACCTGTAATCCCAGCTACTTGGGAGGCTGAGGCAGGAGGATCACTTGAGCTCAGGAGGCAGAGGTTGCAGTGAGCCCAGATCGAGTCACTGCACTCCAGCCTGGGCAACAGAGCAAGACTGTCTCAAACAAAAAAAAAAAGAAAAACTCTTACACATATGCTCAAGGAAACGTGTTTATCGCAGCTTTGTTTGAAACAATGAAAAGATGAAAACAATGTAAATATTCAAGAAGAGGTGAATGAATAGGCAAAATGTATATATTCATAAAATGTAATAATATGTAACTGTTGAAAGAAGAGTTACAAGTATTAACATGGGTGAATCTCACAAACATAATGGTGAGGAAGTTGTCAAATTCTTTGTAAAGAGTGATAGATTTATATACATTTTTAAACATTTACATAAAGTCAAAAGATAGTCATTAATCATACCAGATTTTTGTCTATGTGTATATATATATATATATGTAGTAAAATTAAATACATGAAAATGAATGAGAAGAATGTCCACCAACTTCAGGATATGGTTCTTCTGAGAATGAAGAGAATGATTAGGAAGAAGTACAAATTGGACTTGACCTCTATCTATAATATTTTATTTATTTAATAAATAAAATAATTCAAAGCAAGTATCATAAATTATTAGCATATGTGAATTCAGGATGATAGGTACACAGAGCTCTCTTTTATTAAATTCTCTTCCATGTATGTTTTGACAGTACTGCCCTCTCTCAGTTCATATATCACAGTCATGAGGTCTCCAGGGAGAAGAGTGAGAATTCCACAAAACAGAGTGGGTTTCAGTGGTGGTCTCACCTCTTCACTATCTTTCAGAAGATTGCCATGAATTGTTGTTTATCTGCAAATCATAAGAGGATTGTGAATTATACTATCTAGTTTTAAATAAAACAGTCCTTAAAACGTGGGTAAAGAGCTTGAATAGATTCTTACAAAGAAACCAATTGAAAATAATTATGCAAATGGAAAGCTGGATAAAGAGCCAAGACCCATCAGTATGCTGTCTTTAAGAGATCCATCTCACATGTAAAGACACACATGGGCTCAAAATAAAGGGATAGAGGAAAATTTCCCAAGCAAATGGGAAACAGAAAAAAGCAGGAGTTGAAATCCTAGTTTCTGACAAAATAGAATTTAAACCAACAAAGATCAAAAAAGACAAAGAAGGCCAGGTGTGGTGGCTCACGCCTGTAATCCCAGCACTTTGGGAGGCTGAGGCAGGCAGATCACCTGAGGTCGGGAGTTCGAGACCAGCCTGACCAACATGGAGAAACCCCATCTCTACTAAAAATACAAAATTAGGCAGGTGTGGTGGCACATGCCTCTGATCCCAGCTACAAGGGAGGCTGAGGCAGGAGAATCACTTGAACCCGGGAGGCAGAGGTTGCAGTAAGCTGAGATCATGCCACTGCACTCCAGCCTGGGCAACAAGAGTGAAACTCCACCTCAAAAAAAAAAAAAAAAACATTCACTAAAACCCACACAACTACATGGAAATTGAATTACTTGCTCTTGAATGACTCTTGGGTAAATAATGAAATTAAGACAGAAATCAAGAAGCAATTTGAAACTAATGAGAACAAAAAGACAATGTACCAGAATCTCTGGGAAACAGCTAATTCAATATTAAGAGGGAAATTTACAGCACTAAACACTCACATCAGAAATCTAGACAGATCTCAAGTTAAGAACTTAACATCTCAACTAAAAGAGCTAGAGAACCAAGAGCAACAAACCCCAAAGCTAGCAGAGACAAGAAATAACCAAGACCAGAGCAGAACTGAAGAAGAGACATGAAAAACCCTTCAAAAAAATCAACAAATCTAGGAGCCTTTTTTTTTTTAATTAATAGTGCTCCGCCGTCTCCACAGCATCTTCCACCCACGCCGCTGCAGCTCCCCACGCTCACGCCACCTCCGCCACATCCACCCTCAGCACCACCACCATGCAGGAGATCATGCACCTGCAGGCCGGCCAGTGTGGCAGCCAGATCAGGGCCAAGTTTTGGGAGGTTATCAGTGACAAACATGGGCATCGACCCCACAGGCACATACTATAGGGACAGTGACCTGCAACCGGAAAGGATCAACGTGTACTACAATGAGGCCAGAGGAGGAAATTATGTCCCCAGAGCGGTGCTGGTGGACCTGGAACCCAGCACCATGGACTCTATCCTTTCCGGCCCCTTCGGTCAGATCTTTCGGCCGGACAACTTCGTGTTTGGCCAGTCCAGAGCCGGCAACAACTGGGTGAAGGGGCACTACACGGAGGGCACAGAGCTGGTAGGCACTGTCCTGGACGTGGTCCAGAAGGAGGCCTAGAACTGCGACTGCCTTCAAGGCTTCCAGCTGACGCACTTGCTGGGGGGTGGCACGGGGTCCGGGATGGGCACACTGCTCATCAGTAAGATCCGTGAGGAGTTCCCAGACCGCATCATGAACACCTTCAGCATGGTGCCCTCGCCCAAAGTGTCAGATACGGTGTGGAGCCCTACAATGCCACACTGTCTGTGCACCAGCTGGTGGAGAATACGAATGAGACCTACTGCATCAACAATGGGGCACTCTATGACATCTGCTTCCGCACCCTCAAGCTGACCACCTCCACCTACGGGGACCTCAACCACCTGGTGTCAGCCACCATGAGCAGAGTCACCACCTGCCTGTGCTTCCTGGGCCAGCTGAACACCAACCTGCACAAGCTGGCCGTCAACATGGTCCCCTTTCCTTGCCCGCACTTCTTCATGCCTGGCTTCGCACCCCTGACCAGCCGGGGCAGCCAGCAGTACCAGGCCCTGAGGGTGCCTGAGCTCACACAGCAGATGTTCGATGCCAAGAACATGATGGCCATGTGCAACCCGCGACATGGCCGCTACCTGACCATGGCCACCGTGTTCCGGGCCGCATGTCCATGAAGGAGGTGGACAAGCAGATGCTGAGCCTGCAGAGCAAGAACAGCAGCTACTTCGTGCAGTGGATCCCCAACAACATGAAGACGGCCGTGTGCGACATCTCGCCCCACGGCCTGAAGATAGCCGCAACTTTCATCAGCAACAACACAGACTTCCAGGAGCTGTTCAAGTGCATCTCTGCGCAGTTCACGGCCATGTTGTGGTGCAAGGCGTTCCTGCACTGGTACACAGGCGAGGGCATGGACGAGATGGAGTTCACCGAGACTGACAGCAACATGAATGACCTGGTATCTGAGTACCAGCAGTACCAGGATGCCACAGCCGAGGAGGGCGAGTTCAAGCAGGAGGCCGAGGAGGAGGTGGCCTAGGCTGCTCCCATCGCTTCCTGTCTGTCCCCTCGAGGCTTCTGACCTTTGACCCCCTAGGCCCTCCATCTCTGACCCCTAGACCCCCGCTTTCCCTCCAAGCCTGACTCATCCCTGACCCTAAGACTTCACCCTGACCCTAACAATACCTTCGGAGCTCGCTTTACCTCTGGCTACTTCATCTCCGACCCTGGCTCCCCATTGACCCTTGAGCCCTAATTTATCTTTGACCCCCTTGAGCTCTTCCAACCTTGACATTCCTAGGAGGAGCCCCGCTTCACCCCTTCTGACTCTGGAAACCACACCTTTAACTTTGAGGGCCCTCTTTCACCCCTGACCTCTGCTTCACCTTTGACCCCTGCCCCCCATGAATCCCATTTTACCTCTAGACCCATAAGTCCTGGCTTATGTTTGACCCCTCCCTCTGAGCTGCACTTCACCTCTGACCTTGCCTCACCTTTAACCCCCGACCTGAGCCCCAGCTCCTACCTCTAACCCCAACTTCTCTTTCACCCGTGAATCCCCTCTGACCCCAACTTCTCTTTCACCCCCTACGAATCTCATTTTACCTCTCCACCTATAAGTCCTGGTTTACACTGCACCCCTCCCTCCGAGCTGCAGTTCACCTTTGACCTTGCTTCACCTTTCACCCCCCCACAGCCCCAGCTCCTACCTGACTCCAGCTTCTCTCTGGCTCCCACAGACCCCATGCATCCTCCCTGCCTCACTCCCCTCAGCCCCTGCCAACCTTAGCTTATCTGGGAGAGAAACAAGGCCTGGTCCCTGTGAGGAAGAGAGGTCGCCCTTGCCCTCCCTCCCCGCTTCCTGCCTCGCCTTCAATAAATAAATTGCTTAAAAAAAGAAAAAATTAATAAAATAGACCACTAGCTAGACTAATAAAGAAGAAAAAAGAGAAGAATCAAATAAACACAATTAGAAATGATAAGGGGTTTATCACCCTGACCCCACAGAAATATAAACAATCATCAGAGAAAACTATAAACACCTCTATGAACATAAACTAGAAAATCTAGAAGAAATGGATAAATTTCTGCAGAGATACACGCTCCCAAGACTGAACCAGGAAGAAATTGAATCCCTGAATAGACCAATAATGAGTTCTGAAATTGAGGCAGTAATAAATAGCCTACCAACCAAAAAAAAAGCCCAGGACCAAATAGATTCACAGCTGAATTATAACAGAAGTGCAAAGAAGAGCTGGTACTATTTCTATTGAAAATATTCCAAACAATTGAAAAGGAGGGACTCCTCCATAACTCATTTTATGAGGCCAGCATCATCCTGATACCAAAACCTGGCAGAGATACAATAAAAAAAGAAAATTTCAGGCCAATATCTGTGATTAACATCAATGCAAAAATCCTCAACTAAATACTGGCAAACTGAATACAGCAGCACATCAAAAAGCTTATTCACCATAATCAAGTAGGCTTCATCCCCTAGATGCAAGGTTGGTCCAACTTATGCAAATCAGTAAGTGTGATTCATCACATAAACAGAACTAAAGACAAAAAACACATGATTATCTCAATAGATGTGGAAAGGCCTTCAATAGAAATCAGTATCCCTTCATGTTAAAAAGTCTCAATAAATTAGCTACTGAAGGAACATACATCAAAATGATAAGACCCATCTATGACAAACCCACAGCCAATATCATACTGAACAGGCCAAAACTGGAAGCATTCCTCTTGAGAACTGGCACAAGACAAGGATGCACACTCTCTCCACTCCTATTCAACATAGTATTGAAAGTTCTGGCCAGGGCAATCAGGCAAGAGAAAGAAATAAAAGGTATTCAAATAGGAAGAGAGGAAGTCAAATTAACTTTGTTTGCAGATGACATGATCCTATATCTAGAAGACCCCATCGTCTCAGCCCAAAAGCTTCTTAAGTTGATAAGCAAATACAGCAAAGTCTCAAGATACAAAATCAATGTGCAAAAATCACCAGCATTCCCATACACTAACAACAGGCAGGCAGAGACCCAAATCAGGAATGAACTCCCATTCACAATTGCCACAAAAAGAATAAAATACCTAGGAATACAGCTAACTAGGGAGGTGAAAGATCTCTATGAGGAGAATTACAAACCACTGCTCAAGGAATTCAGAGAGGACACAAACAAATGGAAAAACATTTCATGCTCATGGATAGGAAGAATCAATCAATATCACGAAAATGGCCATACTGCCCAAAGTAATTTTTAGATTCAATGCAATTCCCATGAAGCTACCAGTGACTTTCTTTGCAGAATTAGAAAAAAAAAAAAACTACTTAAAATTTCATATGGAACCAAGAAGAGCCAGTAAAGCCAAGACAGCCCTAAGCAAAAAGAACAAAACTGGAGGCATCACACTACCTGACTTCAAACAATACTACAAGGCTACAGTAACCAAAACACCATGGCACTGGTACAAAAACAAACACATAGACCAATGGAACAGAATAGAGAACTCAGAAACTGAGACCACACACCTACAACCATCTGATCTTTGACAAACCTGACAAAAACAAGCAATGGGGAAAGGATTCCCTACTTAATAAATGGTGCTGGGAGAACTGACTAGCAATATGCAGAAAATTGAAACTGGACCCCTTCTTTACACCTTATACAAAAATTAACTCAAGATGGATTAAAGACTTAAATGTAAAACCCAAAACTATAAACACTCTAGAAGAAAAGCATATCATCCATTTTGCAACATACAGAGAATTAATAAATGTAGGCATTGACTATCAACACCTGCTAACATCACAGAAAAAAAGAGACTACAAGACATAACATACATTCTGATAGAAGAACAAAATGCCTCCAATAAAGTATTCTTGTTAAACAAAGAGAGAAAGTGGGACAGAAGGAGAGGAGGGAAGAAGAAGGAAGAAGAGGAGGAGGAACAGTGACGATGGCAACAATGACAAAAGAACATGTTAAATATCATCATACGTGGGAAAATCCAAGCTGTGGGAAGCTCTTCAGGACAAATGACCTAGTTTCTGCAGCAAATAAATAATTTCAAAAAAAGAAAGATAACCTATAAATTAAAAAACTTAAACACTATAAATTAATCATAATGCAGACCTTATTTAGATGCTAAGTCAAAGAAACTTTTAAAAATTAGGTACTCAAGGATATCCTCGAAAAACATTGATGCGAAAATCCTCAATAAAATATTGGCAAACTGAATCCAGCAGCACATCAAAAAGCTTATCCACCACGATCAAGTCGGCTTCATCCCGAGGATGCAAGGCTGGTTCAACATACACAAATCAATAAATGTAATACATCACATAAACAGAACCAATGACAAAAACCACATGATTATCTCAATAGATGCAGAAAAGGCCTTCGATAAAATTCAACATCGCTTCATGCTAAAAACTCTCAATAAACTAGGTATTGATGGAATGTATCTCAAAATAATAACAGCTATTTATGACAAACACACAGCCAATATTATACTGAATGGGAAAAAAACTGGAAGCATTCCCTTTGAAAACCGGACCAAGACAAGGATGCCCTCTCTCACCACTCCTATTCAACATAGTATTGAAAGTTCTGGCCAGGGCAATCAGGCAAGAGAAAGATATAAAGGGTATTGAAATAGGAAGAGAGGGAGTCAAATTGTCTCTGTTTGCAGATGACATGATTGTATATTTAGAAAACCCCATCGTCTCAGCCCCAAAACTCCTTCAGCTGATAAGCAACCTCAGCAAAGTCACAGGATATAAAATCAATGTGCAAAAATCACAAGCATTCACATACACCAATAATAGACAGAGAGCCAAATCATGAGTAAACTCCCATTCACAATTGCTACAGAGAGAAAAAAAATACCTAGGAATACAACTTACAAGGGATGTAAAGGACCTTTTCAAGGAGAACTACAAACTACTGCTCAAGGAAATAAGAGAGGACACAAACAAATGGAAAAACATTCCATGCTCATGGATACGAAGAATCAATACCATGAAAACGGCCATACTGCCCAAAGTAATTTATAGATTCAATGCTATCCCCATCAAGCTACCAGTGACTTTCTTCACAGAGTTAGAAAAAACTATTTTAAATTTCATATGGAACGAAAAAAGAGTCCATATACCCAAGACAATCCTAAGCAAAAAGAACAAAGCTTGAGGCATCATGCTACCTGACTTCAAACTTTACTACAAGGCTACAGTAACCAAAACAGCATGGTACTGGTACCAAAACAGATATACAGACAAATAGAACAGAACAGAGGCCTCAGAAATGACACCACACATCTATAACCATCTGATCTTCAACAAACCTGACAAAAACAAGCAATGGGAAAATGATTCCCTATTTAATAAATGGTGGTGGGGAAACTGGTTAGCCATATGTAGAAAACAGAAACTGGACCCCTTCCTTACACCTTACACAAAAATTAACTCAAGATGGATTAAAGACTTAAATATAAGACCTAAGACCATAAAAATCCTAGAAGAAAACCTAGGCAATACCATTCAGGACATAGGCATGGGCAAAGACTTCATGACTAAAACACCAAAAGCAATTGGAACAAAAGCCAAAATTGACAAATGGCATCTAATTAAACTAAAGAGCTTCTGCACAGCAAAAGAAACTATCATCAGAGTGAACAGGCAACCTACAGAATGGGAGAAAATTTTTGCAATCTATCCATCTGACAAAGAGTTAATATCCAGAATCTACAGAGAACTTAAAAAAATTTACAAGAAAAAAACAACTCCATCAAAAAGTGGGCAAACGTCCATGAACTGACACTTCTCAAAAGAAAACATTTATGCAGTCAACAAACATGAAAAAATGCTCATCATCACTGGTCATTAGAGAAATGCAAATCAAAACCACAATGAGATACCATCTCATGCCAGTTAGAATGGCGATTATTAAAAAGTCAGGAAACAACAGATGCTGGAGAGGATGTGGAGAAATAGGAACACTTTTACACTGTTGTAAATTAGTTCAACCATTGTGGAAGACAGTGTGGCGATTCCTCAGGGATCTAGAACCAGAAATACCATTTGACCCAGCAATCCCATTACTAGGTATATACCCAAAGGATTATTAATCATTCTACTCTAAAGACACATGCACATGTATGTTTATTGCAGCACTGTTCACTATAGCAAAGACTTGGAACCAACCCAAATGCCCATCAATGATAGACCGGATAAAGAAAATGTGGCACAAATACATCATGGAATACTATGCAGCCATAAAAAAGAATGACTTCATGTCCTTTGTAGGGACATGGATGAAGCTGGAAGCCCTCATTCTCAGCAAACACACACAGGAACAGAAAACCAAACACTGCATGTTCTCACTCATAAGTGGGAGTTGAAAAATGAGATCACATGGACACAGGGAGGGGAACATCACACACCGGGGCCTGTATGCGGGTGGGGGGTTAGCGTAGAAATAGCAATAAGAGAAATACCTAATACAGATGATGGGTTGATAGGTGCAGCAAACCCCCATGGCACGTGTATACCTATGTAACAAGCCTGCACGTTCTGCACATGTATCCCAGAACTTAAAGTATAATTTAAAAAAAATAATAATAATACTAAAAAAGAAAAAAGAAAAAAATATGTACTCAAAAGAAATGAAAACTTATGTTCACATAAACGCCTATATTCAAATGTTTATAGTAGCATTACTCATAATACCCAAAAAGTGAAAACCACCCAAATGTCCCCATCGACTGATGAATGGATAGATAAAATGTGGCATATCCATACAATGGAACATTATTTGGCAATAAAAAGAAATGATATACATTACTGATCCATGCTACAACATAAATGAACCTTGAAAATATTATATTGAGTGAAAGAAGTCAGTCACAAAGGATAATATGTTGTATGATTCCATTTATGTGAAATGCCCAGAATGAGTAGGTCTATAGAGACAGAAAGTAGATTGGTGGTTGCCTAGGGCTAGGAGGATGGTGGAATTGGGGAGGGATGACTGCAAATAGGTAAATAGTTTCTTTTGGGGGTGACAGAAATGTTTTAAAATTGATTATTATGAGGGTTGCACAACTCCATGAATGCTAAAAGCCATTAAATTGTACACTTTAAGTGGGTTAACTCTATGTGAATTACATCTCAATAAAGCTGTTTTAAAAATTATGACATTTATGAAACCATTGGAAATTTGAACATTGGATATATGATAGTAATAAATTGTTGATATTTTAGCTGAAAATGATCATATACCTGTTTTTAAAGAATCCTCATCTTTTACAGACAAATATTGAATTATTTATGGTTGCAGTGATGTGATGTATAGGATTTGTTTCAAAATAACTCAGTCATGAGTAGTGTGTGGCAATATAGATAAAACAAGATTGGCCATGAGATCATTATTTTTGAAGCCAATGATGTGTATTAAGGGTTCACTATACTATTCTGCCTAAATTTTTGTTTGAAATCTTCTCATTAAATTTTACTTCAGTGATTAAAATAATACCCCAAAGGGACTGATGTTGGATCATTGTGTACTAAAGTCATTCTGTGAGTTGGTACTTGTGTTTTACCTGAAAGGAGAAGATAGTGTCATTACCAATCATCCTTGAACAATAACAAAGACTGAAAAGGTAAGCTTTTGATTGGCTCCTTCCCATCTAAAGAATGTGATGGGGCCTGATGTGGTAGTCAGGGTACTAATTTAACTCATACATCATTTGTACTCCTAGAGTGGTGAAGACTGGTTATACACACAAAGACAGACATCTAGAAGAGTCCAAAGCAAAAGGCTAATAGGACACAAAATGTACAAATCATTCAAAATGATTGATAAATTGGACCATGTTAAAATTAATAATTTCTTTTCACTGAAAGACACGATTAAGAGAGTGAATAAGTAAGCCAGCAAGGTAATTGATCTTACATGGAGATTAGATGAACTTAGAGAGCTGAGGGAAATACAGGGGTAGAGGAAGCAGTGGGAAGAGCTCTGTGGCTACTCTTAGTCCCTGGGGAAGCCATTTCTGACTTTGTCTCACAGGGGTCCTTTGGGGAGGGCTGCCGGTGGAATTGGGGAAAAAACACAAGGAGAGGTTGTGAACTGAACTTTGTAACAATTTCAACCAAACACGAAGTTTCCTGGACAGAACCTGGGTAAGAGGGTGAACCAGGAGTGCAGACACAGTACAGAAGTTGTGACATGCTGGGAGCCGCAAAACCTGAAAGTCCTGCTTGCTTTCCCAGTGGGGAGGCCTGGACCCTGGGGCAAGTCCTCAGCTCTGCTCACCTACTACCTGGAAATAAACTCAATGCTGTTGTGGAGGGCACAGTGAGAGTGAGACTGGCCTTTTGGGCTGTGTGGGAGCTAGGTGAGGCCTGTTACTGCCAACTTTCCCCCCAGTTCCCTGGCAACCTGCCATGGCATGCAGCAGAGGCAGCCATAATCCCCCTGGGAATATAACTCCATTGGCCTGAGAATCACACCCCCATCCCCTACAGCAGCCACAGCAAGCCCTGCCCAAGGAGAGTCTGAGCTCAGACACACCTAACCCTGCCCCCACCTGGTGGTCTTTCTCTACCTGCCCTGGTAGCCAAAGACAAAGGACATAATGTCTTGGAAGCTCAGTGGCCCAAACCACCACCTGAGAAACTTATCCAGGTGACCCTAGGGCAAGCTTGTATCCTCCCTATACTACCACAGCTGATTCTCTCCTGAAAGCACCACCTCCTGGCTGGAGGCCAAATAAAACTAGCACAATAAACAAAAATACAACCAAGGACCCTCACAGAGTCTGCTTCACTCTCCTGCTACCTCCACCATAGTACGTGCTGGTATCCATGGCTGAGAGACCTGAAGATGGATCACATCACAGGACTCTTTGCAGACACCAGCCCAGAGCTCAGTAGCTCTGCTGAGTGGCTAGATCCAGAAGAGAAATAACAATCACTGCAGTTTGGCTTTCAGGAAGGCACATCCCTGAATACCCACATCCAGGGAGCACTCTGTGGGATGAAAGAATCTGAACAGCAGTCCTTGACCATCAGATCTTCCCTCTGACATAGTCTACCCAAATGAGAAGGAACCAGAAAAACAATTATGGTAATATAACAAAACAAGGTTCTTTAACACCCCTAAAATATCACACTAGCTCACCAGCAATGGATCCAAACCAGGAAGAAATCTCTAGATTGCCAGAAAAAGAATTCAGATGGACAATTATTAAGCTACTCAAGGAGGCAGAAGAGAAATGTGAATACCAACTCAAAGAAATTTTAAAATGTTACAGGATATGAATGGAAAAATCTACAGGGAAATAAATAGCATAAATAAAAAACAATCAAAACTTCTGGAAATGAAGGACACACAGAGAAATGCAAAATACACTGGAAGGTCTCAGCAATATAATTGAATAAGTAAAAGAAAGAACTTCAGAGCTTGAAGACAAGGCTTTCAAATTAACCCAATCTGACAAGTCAAAGAAAACCAGAATTTTAAAAATGAACAAAGCCTCCAGGAAGTTTAGGATTATGTTAAATGATGGATTCTAAGAATAATTAGTGTTCCCAAGGAAGAAGAGATATCTAAAAGTTTGGGAAACATAGTTGAGGAAATAATCAAGGAAAACTTCCCTGGCCTTGCTAGAGATCTAGATACCCAAATACAAGAAGGTGAAAGAACACCTGGAAAATTCATCACAAAAAGATAATCATGTAGGCACTTAGTCATCAGGTTATCTAAAGTCAGAACAAAGGAAAGAATCTTAAGAGCTGTGAGACAAAAGCATCAGGTAACCTATAAAGGAAAACTTATCAGATTAACAGCAGATTTCTCAGCAGAAACCCTACAAGCTAGAAGGGATTGGGGTTCTATCTTTAGCCTCCTTAAACAAAACAATTATCAGCCAAGAATTTTGTGTCCAGTGAAACTAAGCTTTATAAATGAAAGAAAGATAGTCTTTTTCAGACAAATGCTGAATTAGCCACTACCAAGCCAGCACTACAAGCACTGATAAAAGTAGCTCTAAATTTTGAAACAAATCATCAAAATGCACCAAAATAGAACCCCCTTAAGGCATAAATCTCACAGGACCTATAAAATAATAACAAAATGAAAAAAAAAAAAACCAAGGTATTCAGGCAACAACTAGCATGATAAATAGAATAGTACTTCACATCTCAATTGTAACATTGAATGTAAATAACCTAAATGCTCCACTCAAAAGATACAGAATGGCAGAATGGATAAGAATTCATCCAGCAAGTATCTGCTGTCTTCAAGAGACTTACCAAACACATAAGGATTCACATAAACTTACAATAAAGGAGTGGAAGAAGATATTCCATGCAAATAGACACCAAAAATGAGCAGGAGTAGGTATTCTTATATCAGACAAAACAAACTTCAAAGCAATAGCAGCTTAAAAACACAAAGAGGGACATTATATAATGATAAAAGGACTTGTCCAACAGGAAAATATCACAATCCTAAATATATATGTACCTAACACTAGAGCTCCCAAATGTATAAAATAATTACTACTAGACCTAAGAAATGAGATAGAAAGCAACACAATAATAGTGAGGGACTTCAATACTCCACTGACAGCACTAGACAGGTCATCAAGACAGAAAGTCAACAAAGGAACAATGGACTTAAACTATACCCTAAAAAGAATGGACTTAACAGATATTTACAGAACATTCTACCCAACAACTGCAGAATATACATTCTATTCATCAGCACCTGGAACATTTACCAAGATAGACCATATGACAGGCCACAAAACAAGTCTCAATAAATTTAAGAAAATTGAAGTTATATCAAGTACTCTCTCTGAACACAGTGGAATAAAATTTGAAATCAATGATAAAAGGAACCCTCAAAACCATGCAAATGCATGGAAATTAAATAACCTGCTCCTGAATGATCATTGGGTCAACAATGAAATCAAGATGGAAATTAAAAGTTCTTTGAACTCAATGATAATAGTGACAAAACCTATCAAAATCTCGGGGATACAGCAAAGGCAGTGTGAAAAAAAAGCAAAGATGAAAGTTCATAGCACTAAATGCCTACATCAAAAAGTCTGAAAGAGCACAAATAGATAATCTAAGGTCACACCTCAACGAACTAGAGAAACAAGAACAAACCAAACCCAAACCCAGCAGAAGAAAAGAATAACCAAGATCACAGTAGAATTAAATGAAATTAAAACAAACAAACAAACAAAAAATACAAAAGAGGGGCCAAGATGGCTGAATAGGAACAGCTCCAGTCTGCGGCTCCCAGCAAGACCAATGCAGAAGGCGGGTGATTTCTGCATTTCCAACTGAGGTACCCAGTTCATCTCACAGGGACTGGTTAGGCAGTGGGTCCAACCCACAGAGGGTGAGCAGAAGCAGGATGGGGTGTCGCTTCACCCGGGAAGTGCAAGGATCTGGGGAGCTCCCTCTCTGAGCCAAGGGAAGCCATGAGGGACTGTGCTACCCACCAGGTTACTATGCTTTTCCCATGGTTTTTGCAATCTGCAGATCAGGAGATTCCCCATGTGTCTACACCACCAGGGCCCTGGATTTCAAGCACAAAACTGGGCGGCTGTTCGGGCAAACACCGAGCTAGTTGTACGACTATTTTTTCGTACCCCAGTGGCGCCTGGAACCCCAGCAAGAGACAACCATTCACTCCCCTGGAAAGGGGGCTGAAGCCAGGGAGCCAAGTGGTCTCACTCGGCAGGTCCTATTCCCACGGAGCCCAGCAAGCTAAGAACCACTGGTTTGAAATTCTTGCTGCTAGCACAGCAATCTGAAGTCAATCTGGGATGCTCCAGCTTAGTGGGGGGAGGGGCATCCACCATTACTGAGGCTTTAGTAGGCAGTTTTCTCCAGACAGTGCTAAGGAGGATGGGAGGTCTGGGCTGGGCGTGACAAAGTGGCTGTGGCCAGACTGCTTCTCTAGATTCCTCCTCACTGGGCAGGGCATCTCTGAAGGAAAGATAACAGCCCTAGTCAGGGGCTTACAGAAAAAAAACTCCATCTCCCTGGGACACAGCACCTGCGGGAAGGGGCAGATGTGGGCGCAACTTCAGTGTATTTAATCATTCCTGCCTGCCAGCTGTGAAGAGAGCAACCGAACCTGACAAGAGGGATTCTCCCAGCCTAGCGCACCTGCTCTGCTAAGGGACAGATTGCCTCCTCAAGTGAGTCCCTGACCTCCGTGCCTCGTGACTGGGAGAAATCTCCCAACAGGGGTCAACAGACACCTCATACAGGAGTGCTCTGGCTGGCATCAGGCCAGTGCCCCTCTGGGAGGAAGCTTCCAGAGGAAGGAGCAGGCAGCAATCTTTGCTGTTCTGCAACCTCCACTGGTGATACCCAGGCAAACAGGGTCTGGAGTGGACCTCCAGCAAACTGCAGCAGACCTACAGAAGAGAGGCCTGTATGTTTGAAGAAAAACTAACAAACAGAAAGCAGTAACATCAACATCAACATAAAGGACTCCCACACAAAAGCCCCATCCAAAGGTCATCAGCATCAAAGATCAAAGGTAGATAAATCCATGAAGATGGGGAAAAAACAGCACAAAAATGCTGAAAATTCCAAAAACCAGAATGCTGCTTCTCATGCAAATGATCGCAACTCCTCTTTAGCAAGCACAAAACTGGACAGAGAATGAGATTGATGAATTGACAGAAGTAGGCTTCAGAAGGTGGGTAATAACAAACTCCTATGAGCTAAAGAAGCATGTTCTAACCCAATACAAGGAAGCTAAGAACCTTGATAAAAGATTACAGGAACTGCTGACTAGAATAACCAGTTTAGAGAGGAACATAAATGACCTGATGGAGCTGAAAAACACAGCATGAGAACTTCCTGAAGCATACATAAGTATCAATAGCCGAATAAATCAAGTGGAAGAAAGGATATCAGAGATTGAAGATCAACTTACTGAAACAAGGTGTGAAGACAAAAAGGAAAGAACAAAGCCTCCAAGAAATATGGGACTATTTGAAAAGACCAAACCTATGATTGACTAGGGTCCCTGAAAGTTATGATGAGAATGGAACCAAGTTGGAAAGCACACTTCAGGATATTATCCAGGCAAACTTCCCGACCTAGCAAGACAGGCCAACATTCAAATTCAGGAAATACAGAGAACACCACTAAAATACTCCTCGAGAAGAGCAACCCCAAGACACATAATCGTCAGCTTCTCCAAGGTTGAAACGAAGGAAAAAATGTGAAGGGCAGCCAGAGAAAAGGGTCAGATTACCTATAAAGGGAAGCCCATCAGACTAACAGCAGATCTCTCTGCAGAAACCCTACAAGCCAGAGGAGACTGGGGGCCAATATTCAACATTCTTAAAGAAAAGAATTTTCAACCCAGAATTTTATATCCAGCCAAACTAAGCTTCATAAGTGAAGGAGAAATAAAATTCTTTACAGACAAGCAAATGCTGAGGGATTCTGTCACCATCAGGCCTGCCTTACAAGAGCTCCTGAAGGAAGCACTAAATATTGAAAGGAAAAACTGGTACCAGCCACTGCAAAAACATACTGAATTGTAAAGACCATCAACACTATAAAGAAACTGCATCAACTAATGTGCAAAATAACAAGCTAGCACCATGATGACAGGATCAAATTCACACATAACAATATTAACCTTAAATGTAAATGGGCTAAATGCCCCAATTAAAAGACACAAACTGGCAAATTGGATAAAAAGTCAAGATCCATCAGTGTGCTGTATTCAGGAGACCAATCTCACGTGCAAAGACACACATAGGCTCAAAATAAAGGGATGGAGGAAGATTTACCAAGCAAATGAAAAGCAAACAACAACAATAACAAAAAAGGCAGGGGTTGCAATCCTAGTCTCTGATAAAACAGACTTTAAAGCAACAAAGATCAAAAGAGACAAAGAAGGGCATTACATAATGATAAAGGGATCAATGCAACAAGAGCTAACTATCCTAAATGTATATGCACCCAATATAGGAGCACCCAGATTCATAAAGCAAGTTCTTAGAGACCTACAAAGAGACTTAGGCTCCCACACAATAATAGTGGGAGACTTTAACACCCCACTGTCAATATTAGACAGATCAACAAGACAGAAAATTAACAAGGATATTCAGGACTTGAACTCAGCTCTGGACCAAGTGGACCTAATAGACATCTACAGAACTCTCCACCCCAAATCAACAGAATATACATTCTTCTCAGCACCACATAGCACATATTCTAAAATCAACCACAAAATTGAAAGTAAAACACTCATCCCAGCACTTTGGGAGGCCAAGGCGTGTGGATCATGAGGTCAGGAGATCAAGACCATCCTGGCTAACACAGTGAAACCCTGTCTCTACTAAAAATACAAAAAATTAGCCAGGCGCAGTGGTAGGCACCTGTAGTCCCAGCTACTCGGGAGGCTGAGGCAGGAGAATGGCGTGAACCCAGGAGGCGGAGCTTGCAGTGAGCCAAGATAGTGCCACTGCAGTCCGGCCTGGGTGAAAGAGTGAGACTCCATCTCAAAAAAAAAAAAAAGAAAAGAAAAGAAAAGAAAGAAAGTAAAACACTCCTCAGCAAATGCAAAAGAATGGAAATCATAACAAACAGTCTCTCAGACAACAGTGCAATCAAATTAGAACTCAGGATTAAGAAACTCACTCAAAACCACACAACTACATGGAAACTGAACACGCTGCTCCTGAATGACTACGGGGTAAATAACAAAATTAAGGCAGAAATAAATAAGTTCTTTGAAACCAATGAGAACAAAGAGACAACATACCAGAATCTCTGGGACACAGCTAAAGCAGTGTTAAGAGGGAAATTTATAGCACTCAATGCCCACAACAGAAAGCAGGAAAGATCTAAAATTGACACCCTAATATCACAATTAAAAGAACTAGATAAGCAAGAACAAAGAAATTCAAAAGCTAGCAGAGGCAAGAAATAACTAAGATCAGAGCAGAACTGAAGGAGACAGAGACACAAAAAAAACCCTTCAAAAAATCAGTGAATCCAGGAGCTTGTTTTTTTGACAATATTAACAAAATAGGTGGCCCTCTAGCTAGACTAATAAAGAAGAAAAGAGAAAAGAATCAAATAGACACAATAAAAATGATAAAGGGGATATCACCACTGATCCCACAGAAAGACAAACTACCATCAGAGAATACTATAAACACCTCTACGCAAATAAACTAGAAAATCTAGAAGAAATGGATAAATTCCTGGACACATATGCCCTCCCAGACTACACCAGGAAGAAGTTGAATTCCTGAATAGACCAATAACAAGTTATGAAATTGAGGCAGTAATTAATAGCCTACCAACCAAAAAAAGCCCAAGACCAGACACATTCACAGCCGAATTCTACCAGAGATACAAAGAGGAACTGGTACCATTCCTTCTGAAACTATTCCAAACAATAGAAAAAGAGGGACTCCTCCCTAAAGCTTATTTTATGAGGCCAGCATCATCCTGATATCAAAACCTGACAGAGACACAACAAAAAAGAAAATTTCTGGCCAATATCCCTGATGAGCACTGTTGTGAAAATCTTCAATAAAATACTGGCAAACCGAATCCAACACATCAAAAAGCAGCACATCAAAAAGCTTATCCACCACAATCAAGTCGGCTTCAACCCTGGGATGCAAGGCTGGTTTAAACATATGCAAATCAATACACGTAATCCATCACATAAACAGAACCAATGACAAAAACCACATGATTATCTCAATAGATGCAGAAAAGGCCTTTGATAAAATTCAACATCCCTTCACGCTAAAAACTCTCAATAAACTAGGTATTGATGGAACGTATCTCAAAATAATAACAGCTATTTATGACAAACACACAGCCAATATCATACTGAATGGGAAAAAACCGGAAGCATTCCCTTTGAAAACCGGCACAAGACAAGGATGCCCTCTCACCACTCCTATTCAACATAGTGTTGGAAGTTCTGGCCAGGGCAATCAGGTAAGAGAAAGATATAAAGCGTATTGAAATAGGAAGAGAGGGAGTCAAATTGTCTGTTTGCAGATGACATGATTGTATATTTAGAAAACTCCATCGTCTCAGCCCCAAAACTCCTTCAGCTGATAAGCAATTTTAGCAGTCTCAGGATACAAAAATTAAAGTGCAAAAATCACAAGCATTCCTGTTCACCAACAATAGACAAGCAGAGAACTAAATCATGAGTGAACTCCCATTCACAATTGCTACAAAGAGAATAACATACCTAGGAATTCAACTTACAAGGGACGTGAAGGACCTTTTCAAGGAGAACTACAAACCACTGCTCAAGGTAATAAGAGAGGACATAAACAAATGGAAAAACATCCCATGCTTATAGATAGAAAGAGTCAATATTGTGAAAATGGCCATACTGCCCAAAGTAATTTTTAGATTCAATGCTATTCCAATCAAGCTACCAGTAACTTTCTTTGCAGAATTAGAAAAAAACTACTTTAAATTTCATATGGAACCAAAAAAGAGCCTGTATACCCAAGACAATTCTAAGCAAAAAGAACAAAGCTGGAAGCATCACACTACCTGACTTCAAACTATACTACAAGGCTACAGTAACCAAAACAGCATAGTACTGGTATCAAAACAGATATATCGACCAATGGAACAGAACAGAGGCCTCAGAAATGACACCACCCATCTATAACCATCTGATCTTCAACAAACCTGACAAAAACAAGCAATGGGAAAAGGATTCCCTATTTAATAAATGGTGCTGGGAAAACTGGCTAGCCATATGCAGAAAACAGAAACTGGATCCCTTCCTTATCCCTTATACAAAAATTAACACAAGATAGATTAAAGACTTAAACATAAAACCCAAAACCATAAAAACCCTAGAAGAAAACTTAGGCAATACCATTCAGGACATAGTCATGAGCAAAGACTTCATGACTAAAACACCAAAAGCAATTGGAACAAAAGCCAAAATTGACAAATGGGATCTAATTAAAGAGCTTTTGCACAGCAAAAGAAACTATCATCAGAGTGAACAGACAACCTACAGAATGGGAGAAAATTTTTGCAAGCTACCCACCTGACAAAGGTCTAATATCCAGAAGCTACAAGGAACTTAAACAAACTTACAAGAAAAAAATCAACAACCCCATCAAAAAGTGGGCAAGGGATATGAACAGACAATTCTCAAAAGAAGACATTTATGTGGCCAACAAACATATGAAAAAAAGCTCATCATCACTGGTCATTAGAGAAATGCAAATCAAAACCACAATGAGATACCATCTCACGCCAGTTAGAATGGCGATTATTAAAAAGTCAGGAAACAACAGATTCTGGCGAGGCTGTGGAGAAATAGGAACACTTTTACACTGTTGTTGGGAGTGTAAACTAGTTCAGCCATTGTGGAAGATAGTGTGGCGATTCCTCAAGGATCTAGAACCAGAAATACCATTTGACCCAGCAATCCCATTACTAGGTATATACCCAAAGGATTGTAAATCATTCTACTATAAAGACACATGCACATGTATGTTTATTGCAGCACTGTTCACTATAGCAAAGACTTGGAACCAACCCAAATGCCCATCAATGATAGACTGGATAAAGAAAATGTGGCACATATATACCATGGAATACTAGGCAGCCATAAAAAAGGATGAGTTCATGTCCTTTGCAGGGACATGGATGAAGCTGGAAACCATCATTCTCAGCAAACTAACACAGGAACAGAAAGTCAAACACTGCATGCTCTCACTCATAAGTGGGAGTTGAACAATGAGAACACATGGACACAGGGACGGGAACATCACACACTGGGGCCTGTTGAGGGTTGGGGGGCAAGGGGAGGGACAGCATTAGGACAAATACCTAATGCATATGGGCCTTAAAACCTAGATGACGGGTTGATAGGTGCAGAAAACCACCATGGCACATTTATGCCTATGTAACAAACCTGCAGGTTCTGCACATGCATCCCAGAACTTAAAGTAAAATAAATAAATAAAAAAGCATACCAACAAAATTCTAAACAATTAAATGCCTAATCCAGAAATGCTTAATAAAGTTGGAAGCATAAACTTCTTTTTTTTTTTTTTTTGAAATGGAGTTTTGCTCTTGTTGCCCAGGCTGGAGTGCAATGGCACGATCTCGGCTCACCGCAACCTCTGCCTCCCCTGTTCAAGCAATTCTCCCGCCTCAGCATCCTGAGTAGCTGGGATTACAGGCATGCGCCACCACACCTGGCTAATTTTTTTTTTTTGTATTTTTAGTAGAGACGGGTTTCTCCATGTTGGTCAGGCTGGTCTCGAACTCCTGACCTCAGGTGATCCGCCCACCTCGGCCTCCCAAAGTGCTGGGATTACAGGCATGAGCCACTGCACCCGGCCAGCATAAACTTC
The DNA here is from genome assembly GCF_000001405.40 of Homo sapiens. NCBI lineage: Eukaryota > Metazoa > Chordata > Mammalia > Primates > Hominidae > Homo > Homo sapiens. The sequence continues at coordinate 123,580,372 of NC_000023.11, forward strand.
TTTCTGGACTATGCCCACTCACCTCACTTAAGGAATAGTATAATGATCCAACATACCATGCTAGGACAAGGGTAGCATGGTAGGTTTCAAGTGACGGCCCAGACTCCAGAGGCTTTGGAACAAAGAAAAAATAGACTCCCACGGTGTTTTGCTGCTTGAGTTCTGCCCCTTCTCATCCAGAGAGAAAATCTGGATTGCAAGTCATGACTGTCTAACATTTGAAAACTTGTGAAACATATATTTTTTTTTAATTTGAGTTTGAAAATCTGATGTGGGCACCAGAGTCATGACGGTAACCAGATTTCCAGGGTAAACAGCTAGTAGATATGATTGGACACCTGTCTTTCAGTTAGAGCCTAGAAGTCTGTTGGTGTCCTGGCTGTAATAAGACTGTATCTGAAAGCCTGTAAAAGTTTCAGAAAGGTGAAGTAGAGTAAAAGATTTGCAGGGATTTTTGTCAGTGTTTCTTTTGTTTAAGTAAATTCCTTGGGTTGGGAATCATAAATCCCATGAGTAAACGGAAGAGAAACCAATGGCCCACAGCAGTATGTCATGTGTCTGAAGAATGGTGAATATTCTGATTTTTAAAAATCATTAGGATGGGAATTTTTATTTTTCCCTACAGTGAATTTTACATATGTATTTGTCTCTGCCTCTGCTTTTGTCCCCTGGCTAGAGACAATTCTCTGTGTGTATTTAAATGAGAAAAGCCTTTACTCCCTCCTCATAGAGGAAAAGAAATTAGTCATGAAGGATAATCTACTTGTAATTGTAACCCTTTGTCTGTATCTGGCTTTTGAGGAAAGCATTTTTGGAGATTAACTTATCATAGGAATCTATCATTTGTGAACACTAGAGATATCCAACCCAAAGAGATCTACCGTCAAGGTTGGAGAAACATATAGACTTGAAATAGATTCTGCATTGTTTAGAGAGCAGAGAATTTTGACTTCTATAGAATTTACTTGGCTTGTATAACAATAATATGAATGTATTTTATGTGTATTTAAAACCTTGAACTGCACATAAAATAGGAATACAATAGCATATAACAAAATATAGAAAATAGAGAAAAAACATTTTTTAAAACTTCACCCATAAACTCCTGCTTGGGCAATCTCTAGCTTGTCAAAGAGTTTATATGATTCTTCTACTGTATGAATGTGAAGTATTTTCTAAGAAAGTACTTTAGAACACTTCTACCTACATCCAGAGGGAATTAATAAATTTGATTATGAGGCCTTAAATTTAAGAGATTTTGTTCTGTTTAGCTTATTGAGACTAACAAGTACTTACATAAACCTGAAAGAAAAAAACTCAAGAATTCCCATACAAAGAAGAAATTGGACTTCTGATGCTTTAAATGTACTGGCCCTTTAAGAAAAACTTCTTCACACACAGAAACTGCCAATTCAGAAACTGAAAAGCTGAAGTAGTCAAATGGTTGGAGGCTAGGTTCCAAAGAAAGAAATGAAAATGAGATATCAAGCTAGCAATTAGTAATCATAAAAAGGCACTATTCAAAACTTCTGCGAAGCATTTTAAATATTTTTAAATAAATGTAAAAGAATATATGGTTTCAAGTTCATCTAATATTCCTAATCAAGATGAATCCTCCCACAAATCAGAGTGATTTGATAAATTTGGTTTTAAAAAAAGCTAAACGTCTTCTCCCAGATTTTATGACAGTAAGGAATATAATGCAAGTGCACGAGTTTAACAATTTTTAATTAAAATGAAGAGATACAGAAAAAGTGAAAAAAATTTGTCACCAAGAGACATTTATTTTTAGATGTCTTTTTCATTACATAAATGTATTTGTTCTTCATAGCATTTAGATTACAAGGAAAAATCCAAGCAATAAAAAGGCGTATGCTGGTAAGACTAATTTTAAAAGCTGTTTATGGGCAATCATGATGTCTGCATACAGAGAAATTTAATTTCTTCCTTTTTGATCTGTATGTTTTATTTCCATTTCTTGCCTATTGCACTACCGAGACCTTCCAGCCTTATGCTGAATAAGAGTAGTGAGAGCAGACATTCTTGCTTTATTCCCAGTCTTAGCTGTAAAGTATTCAGTCTTTCGCTGCTAAGTATAAAGTTAGCTATACGTTTTTTGTAGGTGCTCTTCAGCAAGTGGAGGAATTGCTCCTCAAATCCCTTTTATTACTTTTTGAGCAGTTTTATTACAAATGAGGGTTGAATGTTGTAAAATGCTTTCCCTGCATCAATTGATGTCATCGTGATAGTTATTCTATTTAGCTTGTTAATTTGGATAATTGCACTATCGATTTTGAAATATTAAAACAGCCTTGCATCCCTGGAATAAAATAAACAAAAACTAGTGTTTAAAGCCTTAAATAATGTTATCTGACATTTAGTATATGTGTTTGCATTTAAATATGTATATATTGAAGTCTGTTAAAATGACATGATTGATTTTAAAAGCAGAAGCTTATGTATAGTAGGGGACTGGTAACTCAGAAAGAAAAGTGGTCTTTGAATTTATGGTTTGTTCTCAACTGTGAGGGTGTAAAATGTTACTATTTACTTTCTGCATGTTCTACTCAAATGGCAAAATCTGTTTTTCTCACCCTACCCAAATACAATCTCTCAAAAAGTTCTGTTAACTTTCTCGGTTTTGCATTAATTTTGCATACTTTAGATTTAAAACTGCGAACTAGTCCAGTTAATTAAACAATTATAATAAAACAATAGAACAATAAGGGCTTCTACAGCTATAAAGTAGCCAAAATAATTATTCTTTATGTTATTTTTCCTGTTATTACAAAGTATCATTTTCCTGATTAGTAACATAGATAAAGCTGCAGCATTTTCTTTCTGGGGAATCTGTGTTATTGACTGAAAATTCTCGTCAATGCTGTCCTTCTCTGAGATGGAGCACAAATTTAGAGATCCAATGTAATAACATCATCAAGATTTTTTAATACCCAAATTATTGTTGGCACTTCCTATATGACTACTAGGTATCTCCCCAAAGACCTGCTTCTTCATTTTGTAACCAATTGCAAGAGGGATGCTAGAAATAATTAAGTATATTTGATTTCCTTTAAATTTTTCAGCCATTATATTTTCAAATATTTTTTCTGCCCCTTATTCTCCCTTCTGGGGTATCTGTTACACATATATTGGACTGCTTTTCTCTTCATTCTTCTTCAATCTTTTTTGTGTTATTCAAATTGGAGTGTGTGTGTGTGTGTGTGTGTGTGTGTGTGTAAAATCAAGCCCACTGATTCTTCTGCCAAGTCCAATGTGTTGAGCCCATCTAGTAAATGTATTTCAGTTATTTTATTTTTCAGCTTTATAATTTCTAATTTTTTTGTTATAGTTAACATACTTCTGTTGAGATGTTTCTAATTTATTGATACCACATTTTCCATTAATTCTTTGGGCATATTTATAATAGATGTTTTTAATTCTTCATCTGCTAAATCTGGGCCCACTCAAAGTCAGTTTTCATTAACTGCCTTTTCCCAGGTGCCTAGGTCTCACTTTTCTGTTTCCTTCAATGTCTACTAATTTTTGTTTTAAAATTAGACATTATAGACAACGTTATAATAAATCTGGATTCTGATGTGTTCTTATGATTACTGGGATTTTGTTCAAGTAGGCAGTTAACATACCTGAATCCAAACTGAATACTTTATGTCCCTTGAGGTATGTAGCAACTGATATGTCTGCTCCGTTCTTATGGCCTACCTCTGGCTTTAGCCTGGCCTATCTGCATGGAAGGCACATGTGGTATCTCCTATGTGCCTGTATAATTTGACAGTCAGCCAAGAATTTGGGCAGAGATGAAACTCAGTCTCTCTGCAGTTTCCTTGCTTCTAAGGTTTCCCACCTAGTTTACTATTTGTCCTGCCAGCCTTGGGCTCTGTTGTCTGATACTTCAAGCCTATAGGCTTCAGCTTTCTTCTGCTCCATCTGAGTGCAAATAAGAATATACATTCAGACTTCTTTTTTTTCTTTAAAAAAAAAGCATTTCTACATATATACCCAAGATAATTAAAAAACAAGTACTCCAATAAATACATGTACACACATGTTCACAGCAACACTACTCACAATAGCCAAAAGGAAGAAATGGACCAAATGTCCATCAATGAATACATGGATAAACAAATTGTAGTATATACATACAATGAAATGTTATTCAGCCACAATAAAGGAATGAAATACTAATACTTGCTGCAGCATGGATGAACCTCCAAAATATTATGCTAAGTGAAAGAATCCAGACAAAAAGGTCACATATTGTATGAAGCCATTTATATGCAATGTCTGGTATAGACAAATCCATAGGCAGGATACAGACTGGCAGTTGCCAGGGACTAGGGAGTAGGGAATAGTGAGGAGAAACTGCTTAATGAATACAGAGTTTTACTTTGGAGTGATGGAAATGCTTTGGAACTAGATAGAGGTAGTAGTTTCACAACATTGTGAATGTACAATATGCCACTGATTTGTCAACTGTAAAATGGATTTCATATTGTGTGAATTTCACTTCAATAAATTATTTTTAACTTTTACTTTTTTTAGTTAAACCAAACAACATACCCAAAAAAAGCAAATGAACAGAAGAACAGAACTTGCTCCATGATTGAAGTATAGATTTCTCTCTGTTCCTTACATGTTTTATGTTAGGCCTCATGAATCCACTCTTGCACATGCATAGTCTAGCCATCAAAAGGATTTAGACAGAACTTCTATTTGGAATTTGAGCCTCACTCTTTCTATGATTATTTTGCTTCCAGAATTTCCCCCTTTAAATTTCAAGCTGATCTTCTAGCCCTGAAAGGTACCTTGAGCCAATAAGGCTGTTTTTCTACTGCTGCTTCTCTCAGCCATAGCCATAGGGGTCAAGAAATGTCTTCAGACCGGAAAACTACAAACTCAAAATTCTTACCCCGTGCAGTTGCAGTTTTCTTTCTTCTGTCTGCTTTTGTAGTCTTTCCAGTGCGTTTAACAAGCTTTTAAAAACGTTTCATAACTGTTATCTATGAAAGGGTTCCTGTGACCACTTCATTCCTCCATAATTACCGGAAGACTCTATATTTTAAAACTATATCAACATTATTATAAGAGCTTCCTCATCATTAAATCCACAATATGAGAAAAGTTTCCAAATAAAAAGAGAAGCTCCAACTCCACCATGTACTTTTTATAGGTCAAATATTCTTAATATATTCATATTAAGTCTCAGCTATTTTATTCCTCAGGATAGATAAAAGCATCATCAAGCTTATATGCAGTGTCAAATAACTGATTTTCTTGGTATTAGCTTTATTGAAATATAATTCACATACCACACAATTCACACATTGGAAGTGCACAGTTCAATGGTCCTTAGTGTATTCAGTTTTTCAACCATTACCATAATCAATTTTAGAACATTTTTATCACCGCAAGAAGAAACCATATACCTTTAGCTATGACCCTGTAACTCCCTCATTTCCCCAGACCTAGGCAGCTACTAAACTACTTTCTATCTCTATAGATTTGTCTATTCTTGACATTTCATATAAATTGAATCATATATGTGGTATTTTGAGACTCTGCTTAGTGTTTTCAAGGTTAGCATAATGTTTCCATAGTTTTTTCAGTTAGCATAATGTTGTCAAGATTCAAGCATGTTGTAGTGTATATCACTACTTCATTCCCTTTTCTGGTCGAATCATTATTACATTTTATTTATTCAATTGATGAACATCTAGGTTTCTATTTTTTGAATATTAAAAATAATGCTGCTATGAACACTTGTGTACAGGTTTTTTGTGGATGCATGTTTTCATCTCTCTTGAGTATATACCTAGAAGTGGGATTCATGGGTCAAATGATAACCCTATATTTAACTATTTGAGAAACAGCCAGATTGTTCTCCAAAGCAGCTGTACCATTTTATATTCCTATCAGCAGTATATAAGAATTCTCATTTCTCAGCATCCTAGACATTTTTTTTATTATTTGTCTTTTTTATTCTAGCCATCCTGACAGGTGTGAAGTAGTATCTCATTGTGATTTTGATTTGCATTTCCCTGATAGCTAATAACGTTGATGTGCTTATTGGACATTTCTATATCTTCTTTAGAGAAATGGCTATTCAGATCCTGTGCCCATTAAAAAATTGGGTTATGTATCTTTTTATTATTGACTTTTAAGTGTTCTTTATATAGTCTAGATACAAATCCCTTATCAGATATATGATTTGCAAATATTTTCTTCCATTCTATGGGCTGTCATTTCACTTTTCTGATAGCATCCTATAATGCATTAAAGTTTTTACATTTTCCTTTTTTTTTTTTTTTCAGACGGGGTCTCACTCTATCACCCAGGCTGGAGGGCAGTGGCGAGATGTGGGCTCACTGCAACCTCCACCTCCTGGGCTTAAGGGATCCTCCCACCTCAGCCTCTTGAGTAGCTGGGGCTACAGGCATGCACCACCACACCCAGCTAATTTTTTTTGTATTTTTTGTAGAGACAGGGTTTCCCTATGTTGCCCAGGCTGGTCTCAAACTCCTGGGCTCACTTGATCCACATGCTTCAGCCTCCCAAAGTGCTGAGATTACAGGCATGTGTCACCAAACCCAGCTAGTTTTTAACTTTTGATCAAGTCCAATTTATCTATTTTTTTTCCTTTTTTGCTAATGCATGTGGTGTATATCTAAGAAACCATTGACAAATCCAAGGTCACAAAGACATACTTCTATGTTTTCTTGTAAGAGGTTTATAGTTCTGTTACATTTGGGTCTTTTTTTTCCTTTTTGTGGAGAACAGGGTTTCGCTATATTGCCCAGGCAGGTCTCAAACTCCTGGGCTCAAGCTATCCTCCCGCCTCTGCCTCCCTAAGAGCTGGGATTACAGGCGTGAGCCACCGCACCTGGCCACATTTGGGTCTTTGATCCATTTCAAGTTCATTTTTGTATACAGTGTATACAAAAATTGGATAGACATCCAACTTCATTCCTTTGCACGTGGATATCCAGTTGTCCCAGTGCCATTTGTTGAAGAGATCATTCCTTCCTCATTGAATTGTTTTAGCATCCTTGCTGAAATCAATTGACTATAAATGTGAGGGTTTATTTCTGGATTCTCAATTCTATTCCATTTATCTGTATGTCTATCCATATGCCAGTACCACACTATCTTGATTATTGTTGCATTGTAGACAGTTTTGAAATCAAAAAGCATAAGCTCTCCAACGTTGTTCTTTTTCAACATTGTTTCAGCAATTCTGTGTCCCTTGAATTTCCACATGAATCTTAGGATCAACTTATCAATTTCTACAAAGCAGCCAGCTGGGCTTCTGACAAGAATTGAGTTAAACCTACAGGTCAATTGAGGAAGTATTGCTATATTAATACTAGTAAGTCTTCTAATCCATTAATATAGGATATCTATTTATTTAGATCCTGCATAATTTCTTTCAATAATGTTTGGTAGTCTTAAGAATTTAAGTTTTGCCGCCCCGTCCAGGAGGGAGGTGGGGGGCAGCCCCCGCCCGGCCAGCCGCCCCGTCCGGGAGGTCGGGGGGCGCCTCTGCCCGGCGGCCACCCCGTCTGGGAGGTGTACCCAACAGCTCATTGAGAACGGGCCATGATGACAATGGCGGTTTTGTCGAATAGAAAAGGGGGAAATGTGGGGAAAAGAAAGAGAGATCAGATTGTTACTGTGTCTGTGTAGAAAGAAGTAGACATAAGAGACTCCATTTTGTTCTGTACTAAGAAAAATTCTTCTGCCTTGGGATGCTGTTAATCTATAACCTTACCCCCAACCCCGTGCTCTCTGAAACATGTGCTGTGTCCACTAAGGGTTAAATGGATTAAGGGCGGTGCAAGATGGGCTTTGTTAAACAGATGCTTGAAGGCGGCATACTCCTTAAGAGTCATCACCACTCCCTAATCTCAAGTACCCAGGAACACAAACACTGCGGAAGGCCGCAGGGTCCTCTGCCTAGGAAAACCAGAGACCCTTGTTCACATGTTTATCTGCTGACCTTCCCTCCACTATTGTCCCATGACCCTGCCAAATCCCCCTCTCCGAGAAACACCCAAGAATGATCAATAAATACTAAAAAAAAAAAAAAAAAAAAAAAAAAGAATATAAGTTTTGTACTTCTTTTGTTAAATGTATTCCTAAGTACTTTAATCTTTTTGATGCTATTGTTAAAGATTGTTTTCATAATTTCAGGTTTGATTTGCTCATTGCTACTGTACAGAAATATAATTGATTTTTGTATATTAATCCTTTACCCTCTAACCTTGCTGAAGTTGTTTATTAGTTTCAGCAGATTTTTTGTGAACTCCTTAGGATTTTCTATATTAAAAAAATCATGCCATCTGCAAATACAGTTTTGCATCTTTCTTTACATTTGGATGCCTTTTATTTCATTGTCTTGTCTACTTCCATGGCTAGAACTTCAGTACAGTGTTGGCTAGAATTAGTAAGACTGGACAGTCTTATCTTGTTCCTACCCTTAGGGAGAAACTTCGCTGGCTTATTACCTTTATTGTTTGCTCATATCATATGTAAACTGTGGGTTGACTGCAGGCCAACCCAACAAGAGGCCAAGCCAGGCCACACAATCAGCTTAAATCTCTACTTGGATGTGGCACATGTCATAACTACTCACGATCTATTAGCCAAAGTATGTCAGTCAAGGCCAAAATTAATGAAGCGGGGACCTGTCTTGTCCTCTTCTCACAAAACTCACAGCAGGTCACCAGGCAATGAACAGAGATATATAATACTTTTATGGGAAAGGTAAGAAATAAATAACTGAACTAATACCATCATGGACCCTATGAAATCTATGGCTAATTTCCACTACCACTAATAGAAAATTAACTAAGCAATAAATTCAACTAATGGGCCAGGTGTGGTGGCTCATGCCTGTAATCTCTGCACTTTGGGAGGCCGAGGCAGGTGGATAGCTTGAGGCCAGAGGTTCAAGACCAGGCTGGACAACATGGTAAAACCCCATTTCTACTAAAAATACAAAAATTAGCTGGATGTGATGGCACATGCGTGTAATCCCAGGCATGGGATCACATGCCTGGAGAAACTGGAGAATACAGGAGGTGAGGGATTACCGTGTCTAAGGAATCATTCACCCACAGTAAAAAAATAATAATAATAATTAAAATTTAAAATAAAAAAGAGTTTGAGACCAGCCTGAGCAATATAGCAAAACCTTGTCTCCACAAAAAAAGACACGCCTGTAATCCCAGCACTTTGGGAGGCCGAGGCAGGTGGATCACCTGAGGTCAGCAGTTCGAGACCAGCCTGGCCAACATGGGGAAACCCCATCGCTTCTAAAAGTACAAAAAATTAGCCAGGCGTGGTGGCACGTGCCTGTAGTCCCAGGTACTCAGGAGGCTGAAGCAGGAGAATTGCTTGAACTTGGGAGGTGGAGGTTGCAGTGAGCCAAGACTGCACCACTGCACTCCACCCTGGGCGACAGAGCAAGATTCTGTCTTAAAAAAAAAAAAGAAAAAGAAAAAGAGAAGAAAATAAGGAAAAATGATGATTGCATGACTTGTTATCATGGCTGTACTTTTTATTTTCCTTTTTTGATAGAATATACGTATAAATGTATGGAGTACAAGTGTAATTTTGTTACATGCATTGACTGCATAGTGGTGATGTCAGGGTGGCAAAACATTTTCTAATAGGCCTATCAGTCACCTCTCTCAAGATTTGTAACTTTGACCAACTATCCATAATTAATTATGGTCCAGATGATTTTAGTCTTATAACGCTAGAGGTTAACTCACAGAAAACTACTAAGATGTGGTTTAGTTTTGGGGGGAAGGTTGGTTGGTTTAGTGGATAACCCAAAAACTTTCAGTTTATTGCACAATAAGACATTAGCCAAAGTTGAATGTAACTTAGTAATGTTACTTTGGCTTTTTTTCCCCCAACTGACTACATGAATCCCTGCTTCTCAAATGCTCTTTGAATCAGCATTCTTCTGTATCTGTTCTTTCATTAACTGGTTAAATAAAACTTTAACATGTGCTAACAGATGACTTTGCCTGAGATTTGGGCTCTTACAGACATCATAAAACCTTGAACTCCTCTCCCTCCAACCTCCCACCCATCCTCTGTGCTTCCTTAGCACCCTGTACTTTTCCTATTAAAGCAGTATTCAAACTGCATAGGAATTGCCTATTAATTTATCTCCCTCCCTTACCAGACTGTGACCATCTTGACAGAGGTCTTTCCTTACTTGATTGTAGATCCCCAGGACCAAGTGCAGTGTCTCACATCGTACATGATCAATCAGTGTTTGAGAACAAATGATTGTTCTGTTATTGTTGCAAGGTGATGACCAATAATTAGATGAATAAATGAATCCAGAAAACCTGGTGTCTTGAATGCAGAGGGAATTATCACAATAGACATAATAGTTAAGGGAAAAAATTTAGCTGGTCTTCACTTTTAGGAAAGCCAATATATGAAATTCAAATTTAGGATACAAGAGTGCACATTCATTTTCTTAATGCTTGTTTCGTGGAATAATTCACTGGGGTTATATCCCCTTCTGTGTTTAAGTACCTCTTATTAACTACCTGACTGGGTTAGCTTTAGAATCTGCTGACAAATGAAGATCAGAAGCGAAAGTGTGAGTCAACAGGAAAACTATTTGATTTGTGCTTGTGCACCCAAGACAGCTTTCCAGGAACGTGTTTATTGTGTAAAGTGAACCAAAAGTAATCACGTAATGAAGTAGTTTTGCTTACAGGATAATAGCTCTTTGACCTCTAAATGCCTTGGATAAAAAAAAAGACAAGGAGGGGAGAATAAATGCTGTTTCTATGCTTCACTGTAGCACCTAGAAGAATGCTTGCTATCTTACCTCACTTTCACCCTGTCCAGGCCCTCTCTCCCCATTTAAAACAAAGTGTTCTCCCATCCTTTCTCAAAAGAGGACATACTGTTAATATTTAACTAGGCTACATGAATCAGAATTTTAATGAAACATCACTTGCTACTTTCATTTTAGCATCGGTCTCACTTAAGCCATTGAACGTGTTCTCCAAATATGGTGGATAAATGGAAGTAGCATTCACTGAACTAGGGTTTAAAAGTGTCTTAAGAAAGCTTTCTGACTAAATATAAATAAGCAAATTACTTATTTCGTACCTCAGTGACTTCAATGCCTCACAGAGGCAGAGAGTGCATGTTGGACATCTATTTGTTACTTTGACAAAGATTTAAGACTATATTTAGCCAGTAGGCAAAGTCAGAATTCCCCTGGACATATCCTGCAGGGAGCAATGGGATGTAGCCCTTGAAATATTCCTAATGACCATCTTTTAATATACTGATTCTAAAATGATTAGAGAAGGATTACATGAAAGGTCTCTCTGGCTGATGTCTTCTATTACACAAAATGTTCTTTCTTCAAAGGTTAGCATATTCTTGTTTCTAGGACACCAGACATCAATATTTCCTGTCTGCCAACAGAACTGAAGGGTTAGAGACCCTGGGAAAATTTGTCATGTAAATTGACTCAATTAGTCTTATTTTAGTTATAACGAGAAAATGTATTTGAAAAATTAAAACTCCAATCTTTTGTTTTAATGGAGACAGTGTCTCTGTTGTCCAGGCTGGAGCACAGTGGCACAATCATAGCTCACTGCAGCCTTGACCTCCTGGGCTCAAGCAATCCTCCCACCTCTACCTCCTGAGTAGCTGAGACTACAGGCATGTGTCCACCATGTCTAATTTTTTTTATTTTTTTTAGAAATGGGGTCTTGCTATGTTGCCCAGGCTGGTTTTGAATTCCTAGGCTCAAAGGATCCTTCCACCTCAGCCTCCCCAAGTGCTGGGATTAAGGCGTGAGTCACTGCATGCAGCCTAACTCCAATGTTTTTAAAAGTTGCTCTAAGCTGATATCCTTCCCAGAATAATGACCTCTACCACCAAAATAGAAGAGAGTATTTCCTTCAGCCAACACATTTTCTGTCAAAAATAATTATACCAACCTTGAAAAGAAAAAAAAAAATCTCTATTTGTCCAGAGTTATAGAAAAGGAGTGACACTCATTTTTGATATAGAGACCAACCTGCAAATCCATTTACTCAGGCTCCCTAGTGGGGAAAGCCTGTCTGATTAGCTTAATAACGATCTGTAATGAGCTGTATTCCAAAATTTATCTGTAAGTGAACTGTTTTAGAACATATTTTCCCATAAAAACAAAGGGTGGTTAGAGTTTTTAGACCAGCTCCCAGAAGCCTATGACCTCAACCATGGGACCACTAGTACTAGTCTGTATTCTGGATCCTAAGAGCAATAGGCTGCAGTGCAGGAGAGAAGAGGAAAAAGGTCTCCTTTCCCTTCCTTTCACAGAGCAATTTAGAAAAAAATTTCCCAAAAGGCCAAGCTGAGGTGTGGCACCCTCTGTTCTGCTAATATTCCTCTCCCAGTGTCTTTTAACCTCTCTCAAGCCCCTCAAAGCTACCACAACCCTGAATGTGTGTTGGGGAAGAGGAGTACGGTAGGCTGAGCAACATTAGGGACTCAGCTATGATGGACTGTGTATAAGACATGGACACCAACTCTAGATAAACTGAGATACAGAACAAGGGCTCTGTTTATGGAACTTGGATGCACAGGTAGAGTTAGCCATAAGAGGCAGGAGAAAAATCCTACAACCAAAATCTGCACCCAAAGTTGAAGCTGTACCGGCAGCAAAGCTAATCCTGAGCTGCTGAAACACTTGTGTAGCACTGTTCGTACTCCTCCAGCCCAGGGACAGGATTGAACCCACAGTGTAAGTTTGGTGCTCAATTTAGAGAAGGTTAATGGTCCAGGTGAGATGAACTAAAGATCCATGAGGGCAATGAGTCAAGCAGGTAATAATGATGTTTATCTGATCAAAAAGATTTCTATTCATTTGGAGGAAATGACAAATTGGTCATTCTTTCAATAAATATTTATTGAATACTTACAATATGCCATGTACTACGTTAGAGGCTGGCATTACACAGTCCCTGCTCTCATGGAGCTTATATTCTCGATGAATGTGGAAGAGTTCAGAGGGACCAAATAAATCCTCAATGAAGAGGAAAAAGAGGGAAAAGCACGACTGCTCCAAAGCCACTACTGCTTAGACTTCCAAACAAGCCACCTCATGTTTTGGAGATAATTGTAAAGTATGACCTAGTCAACTATTCAAGAGTTGAATAGTTAAAATATTATTTGGGACACATTTCACCTACACTGAAACTGAGGTAAACCAAGCAAATACAAAACTCAGAAGTTTAACTTCACAAATCAGCCCAAGGTAAAACCAACTGGGCTAGGTCCTTTTTGGCAACTTTCCCACCTCTCCTTTCACCTTCAAGGAACCATCTGGGCTACCCATTGTGGCTCCCTTCCCAGGATAAGGCTTTGTCCTTTTCACTGACTTTTGCCTATGTACATTTACCTGCCCAACCTCCCAGGGCTTTCCTAGGTATAGGAAATAGGAGCATGATGGGGTATCATCAGAAATCATCCATATTTCAGTGCTAGTGTGAGAACTGATTGCCCCCTCACAAAATACCTTACCTCAACGAATATGGAAATCTCCAGAAGTCTCTGTAAAGTGCTTAACTATGAGAATTTCTCATACCACAGCTAGCTAGTAGATGTTTTAGAGCTAAGGCCTTTAGAGGCCCACTCAAACCACACTTGTACAACCACCTGCACCTTACATGTGTGTACATAACCAGGTCTAGAACCCAAAACCTTTGAAGAGTTGATATCACAATGAGTTCTCCATCCCCTAATTTTTAAAAACTAATATTTCTCAAGCTCTACATAAAAATGTGTGCCAGGCCCCATCTAAGCACTTTGCATAAATGTCATTTAATCCTCAGGACAACCTTATGAAATGGTTATTAGCCTCATTTTATAAATGAGAAAACTGACGCACAATCCTTTTAAAAGAAGGCAGGAAAAGAAAAAAAAAGAGAGAAGATGCAACAAACAGAAAATACCAGGATATCAAATGTAAACAGAACCATATTGATAATTACATTAAATGTATGGCGTAAACTTTCAAACTAAAGGCAGAGATTGTCAAATTGGATTAAAAACCAAGAAACTCATTTTCAATATAAAGAAAAAGAATAGAAAATATCCTATGCAAACACAAGAAAAAGAAAGCTAGAGAGGTTATATTAATATCAAAATAGAATTTAGGATAAGGAATATTACCAGGGATAAAGAGGAATATTTCATTTTGATAAAGGGGTCAACTCACTAAGAGTATATAATCTTAAATGTGCATGTACTTAATAACAAAGTTTCAAAATACATGAAGCTAAGAAATGACAAAACCAAAAGAAGAAATAAGACAAATTCACAATTGTATTTGCAGATTTCAACATGCTTTTCTTAGTAACTGACAGACCAAGCAGAAAATAAATTAGCAAGAATACAGAAGACTTGGAACACCACCAACCAACTTGACCTAATTGGCATTTATAGAATACTACATCCAATAACAACAAAATGAACATTCTTTTCAAGTGCATGTGGAATATTCACCATGGAAGACCAGCTACTAGATCATAAAACAAGTCCCAGTAAATTTAAGGGGATTTAAATAATTCATAGTATGTTCTTTGACCACACAAGACTAAATTAGATAACAACAGAAAGATATCTGGAAAATCTGCAAATACTTGGAAATCAAGCAACACACAAGGATAAAAGAAAAAATAAAGAGAAATTGGAAAACATTTTGAGCTGAATGAAAATGATAATGCCACACATCAAATTTGTGGGATCGAGTGGAATAGTGATTAGAGGGAAATTCATAGCATTAAATTATTAAGCATTTATACATACCCCCCCTTCACCATCAGTTTATTTTGCAAGGAAAAACAAAGAATGAAGGACAAAATCCAGTCCTGAACACAAGTCCAATAATATAAAAGTGAACTGCTACAGATTAAAGAAGGTGTAAGTGGTATCAAAAAACATTCTGAACTTCAAACTGCTTATTTCAGTAGCAGATGCTTGCTGACAATATACAGCTAGTCTAACAAGAGGTGAGATTCAGAAAGGTCAGTGAAGGAAGGCTGGAAAAGTCAGGGGGTCCATGAACAAGAGTAGCACGGGCTAGCAAAGTTGATAAACTCTGATACCAGGACAGAGGCTATTGCCATTGATTTGAAAATATTCCTTTCTAGGCATGGGTTGTCTCTGGGACATAATATACTTATCACCTCCAGAAATAAGAAGTCTCTGAGTTTTGTCCAAAATTAAGAACTGAGATGCGGGGATTGTGTGCTGGTTTAACTCCGTAATTCCCAAATATTATCCCTACTTTGGAATCACCTGAGGAACTGTTTGTAGAAAATACTCCAGGTCCCTACTCTAAGAAAATCTGATTCAATATACTTGATGTGGGGACCTCCAAAAGTTTCTCAATTCATTCTAATGATTCTCAGTTTGGAAAGTACTGGTATGAATACTACCACTAATAACAACAACTGCTACTAGTTATTGAGTACCTGCCAGGTACTAGGTCCTGTTTTAGGTGCTTGACATGTATTGTTAGATTTAATTCATTAGCAGAAGGGCATTGTGAAGATCAAGTGAGACAGTGTAAGAAGTTTCAGTGGAGTTCATCCCCACTCAGAGGAATACAAATGGACAAGGAAAGTCATCTTGACATAGAGACGACAACTTTTTAATTACCTGTAAAGACATGAAAAATGTAATTAACACTGATTAAAGCAATAAAAAGACTGATGATGTCAGGGGTTAAGACCAAAAAAAGGGGAAAATATTGAGGCAGTTAAGGAAAAGTACCCAAAGAGGTAGAGAGCATTTGTCTCTCAAATCTGATCTATTCCTGGGCTGGTATAACAAATTGGCTTCAAAGATTCTGCATAATACCAGAATTGTTCAGAATTCCAAGTTCAACATTCACTCTCCGCCAGTGCCAACTTAGAGTTAAACGAGACCCCAAAAGACCTATACCTTCTAGGTCTAAGGAGAAAGCAATTGGCTTCCTTAGAGTCCAAATCCTTTATAAAATTTTCCTAGACGAACCTGTTGTGGACAAAAACTTCTCAAATCACACTCAGTCTGAGGTAATTCTTACCGAGTATTCACCAACCTCTTAAAATGTACCTGGTCCCCAGCTGCATGTGGTATGGATACCTTACTCATTTTACATATTGTTTCTTGCTTAGCATGTTTGTCTGTCTTACTGATGTCTTGGATCAATTATTCCAGAAAGCAGAAAAGATGCTGTTTAATAGTGCCTAGCAATGGCGTATCCAATTACAATTCAGAAGTGTTCTTTGATAATGATGATATATGTAATAGGAAATAAGTACTATTACATACCACATGAAATTAGGATCAAGAAAGCCTTGAACAAAGTACAGTATCATTCTGGCTAAAATATAAGAAAATTTTTTGAGGACAGAGGTAATAATAGCTGTCTATTGGTCTGATACTCGAGCCCAAGGACATCTAGCTGTCATCTAACAAAAATCAGAGGTCCAACTAAGCTAGAGGTTAAGTGCCAGGTCATTTTCTAGCTCCTATCCATGAAATGAAGGCTATTTCTGATCTGCAATTATGTATTTCTCAAGCTTATGTGCCCTGTGCCCAATCAGAATCATCTCTGTTCCCTCTCCTTCCTCTATTAACCACATCCATTTAGCAACACATCAAAGGAATTAAGCTTTTTAAGCCTGATCCATTTAGAAATGGCCATTCATTACAGCTTAAAACAGTACCTAAGAATCAGGAACAAAAACAGAATTTTTTACATTAAGGTTTATTTTCTCAGGTTGCCACACTTCCTTTAATCACTACTTCCAATATCCCTCCTTTTGTTGTTCTTATGTCTACTTCTGTCTATAAATAGAAGAAAATCTGTGTTCAGTTAGCATGAATTACCATCTTTTATGCAGCTCCTCTTTTTATTCTCAACTCTGGACCCAATAAAATCTCCTTGGCCCTGAAAGATAGTGTCTCTAGAAATGTTACTTCAATTTTTAAAACTTAATCATTTACAAGATAAGCGGATCACTTGAGGTCAGGAGTTCGAGACCAGCCTGGCCAACATGGTGAAACCCTGTCTCTACCGAAAATACAAAAATTAGCCGTGTGTGGTGGCACGTGCCTGTAATTCAGGCTATTCGGGAAGCTGAGGCAAGAGAATCTCTTGAGCCTGTGAGGTGGAGGCTGCCGTGAGCCAAGATCGCACCACTGCACCCCAGCATGGGCAACAGTGAGACCCTGTTTCAAAAAAAACAGAAACAAACAAAAACTTAAGCATTTAAACCACATTTCTGATAAGTATTGAGATAGAATATTGAAGTTACAGTATAATAAGCTTCATTCTATCTAAGAGGCAGCCTTAGAGATCACCATCCATAAAAATGAAACAAAGGGCAGGCAAAGCTTTTACACTAAAGAGGTCTTGTTCATATTACTTGTATTATGGGAACCAAACAACAGTCGCATGAGTTTCCTAATCTTTACAAACATACTTACAAAAAACAAGGCTATAATAAATCCCAGTTTACAAACCCTGTCCCAAATATTTAAAAATATTTTCCTGGACTGAAACAAATCATCAGAGACCTGCATGCCTGGACCGCATGTTCCGGTGTCATTGTAGAAATAACCTTACTAGAATGAACTAAGGTGTTGGCCATCGGGTAATACTCAAGACCATTTAAAAGACACATTCCTTTGTTTTATCCACTGAAAAGACATGACTGCTTTGTGAATGCAAAGAAGTTTCTTTCAGGCCTCGGTGCCAGGAAACATTCTTCTCTGCTGCAACTAGCTTTATATTTGATGGACACTAGTTCCTATAACTAACCACATTACCTTCTCTTTGTGGCCTGCCAGTTTCTCCATGGCCCACTTGTACATGACATTTTGGGGCAATAGCTTCATTTAGGTTACTAATTTCACCCAGAAACAAATTTTCTCATTTAAAGATACTGTACTATGTTTTTTTTTTTTTCATAAATCCTTTTTGGATCATAGTAGGGTAGAAATAAATCAATTACATAATTGTCCTAAAAAAAAAAAAAGGCTACTAGGATGTCTGCCCATACTTGGCTAAAGTACCTCCTTAAAAGAGGAAATGGCCCGCATGGACCAGTTACTTTCCAACAAATTGCAAATCACTTGTAGATTATTTGCCAAGGCAAGAAAGGCTGCTGCTCTAACTTTAGCCCCTACCATTTAATCCAAGGTAGATAGACAACTGCCTTCCACCTTCTCACCATCCCCAAAAAGATTCAGAGTTAGTTATAAAGGTCTCAAACACCTTTGGAACAAGACCCATTAAAACAAACTTACCACCTTAGGCTTATTTTCTTGAGAATCTGGCAAAAGCTATAGACTCAGAAAAGTGTACATAACACAAACTTGTACCCAATTTCTGGGATTCTGGAAGGCCCATAAATACCCCCCAAGCTCATTCATGAGCCTTTAGTCAAGAACTCCTTTCTAGAAAATGGCAAGCCTAGATGCCACCCACTAGAACAACAGAGAGAGAGAGAGAGAGATCCTGCATATTATGTTTATGTAAAAGGTTCAAAGATGGGTTGGGAATCACAGACAGATTATTCGGTAATAAAATATTCATACTGTAATAACTGCCTCAAAATGCCCTGCTTCGCTCATCTTCACTCCATAGTCACTGTGTAATCAGCAGTAAATTCGGCCTCACCCCAGTCTCCTTATCCAGGTTTATTCTTCCTCAGAGGACCTCCCTCCAAATAACATTATTTGTTTGTTGTCTGCCTCCACTGACTAGAATGGAAGTTCCATGAGGGCAGGGGTTTGTTTTGCTCATGGCTGTACCTCTGATACATAAGAGGCACTCAAATATTTCAATAGGTTTTTGGGGAACTAGTGGTGTTTGGTTACATGAATAAGTTCTTTAGTGGTGATTTCTGAGATTTTGGTGCACCCATCACCCAGGCAGTGTGCACTGTACCCAATGTGTGGTCTTTTATCCCTCACCCCTCTCCCACCCTCAAATATTTTTTAATGAATACCCTATAGGACTCTCTACTCTTTATAGAAGGGGTTGACAAACTACAGCCTGCAGGCCAAATCTAGGCTTCCACCTGTTTTTGTAAATAAACTTTTACTGAACTCAGCCATGCTTATTCACTTACATATTATTTATAACTGCATCAACACTACAATGGCAGAGCTTAGTAGTTGCAATGGGAACTACATGGCCTGCAAGGCCACAAATATTTACTATCTGGCCCTTTACAAAAAGTTTGCTGGCCCCCCATAGCATTCATTTGGTTCTTCTTTTCCAAACTAGATTGGAAGCACTCTCGAGACAGGTCTTATACTTCTTTGGACCTAGAACAGAGTAGATGCCCTAAAATAGCTAGCACTTTACAAACACAGATTTCCTACTTCCAACATACATTATTTTTACACAGTTAATCCAAAGATAGTATTTTCCATCATCAATGCATTTCTAGTAAGGCCAGAACTAATTACCTGTGTTTGATGATTTGGGGCAACACAGAGAAGGCATATTGATGCTATCTAATTAGTAAACTTTCTAGTTCAAAACCACAATCATGTAACCTTTAAAATATGAATGCATATTTAACAACTGGAAAGTTCTTCCTGATATCTTTCAGGCAAATAATTTTGAGGTAAGCCATAGTTATTTTCTCAAAGTCAAAAATCACTCTAACAAAACATCTATTTTTATGTCAGGCACATTATAAGCACTCAACAGTCACTGAATATATCACCCTCCCATAAATATTCTGCTCATCGATTTTTGCAAATTACAATTACCTGAAAAGAGACATCAAGATTTATACCCTTTTGCCAATTCATTTAAAATATGCTCAGTAATTCTCAATTCTTTAAAAAGTTATATCCTTTTTGTCATTCTCTGAAAATTTTAATTTGCATAGGTATCGTTTCCAAGGAACTGAAGACTAAATGGAAAAATCCAGGCATGCTACCAAGTCCACTGTTTACTCCAACTACAGAGGTAATCAAACAGGATATTTTCCTATTATTGGATGATATGTCACTGGAAAATAATGTAGCCCATGGAATAAGAACTGAGAAGGGCTAGGAACCTTAATGAATTATCTTTGCTAAGTTATTCTGAATAAGCAACAATATACACAATAATATACAACCATTTGAGAAAACTATTGTTTATTTAGAAAAAAGGTTACACTGGTAGAATTCGGCAGATAAAAAAATTCTCTTTTAAAAATGTCACTGTGAAACTTTTCCAGATGAAAGTTCAGCAATACAAAGCTCCTACAGCTGTAGAATTAAAACAATTATGTTTTGATCCCCCCGCCGCCAAGATTTGTCTAACATAATTACAAGAAAAAATGGCAAGGGACAAGTGATCGCTGGTACCTTTTTCTTTTTTAAACACGTTTAATGTTGTACATGTACTATATAAAATGATTCCTAAGCATTTCATAAGACAATGCTCCCACTGCTTTTAGTGACTAATATTAAGAACAAGCCAAATAATAAATTAAAACAGTTTTAAAATGAGGTAAAATCAAAAGGGTTCAACAATTGTTTATTTTCAGTTTCAAACAATAAAAAGGAAGCATTTCAGAATGGAAATAAAAACTGAACCCAGGCAATATTTAGTTAATCTAAAGTAAAACTCTGTACACAGGTAACCTTATGCAGCACATTGTGCTAAAAGTATGGAACAGTTAACACTTTCAGCCATTACTGAAAATAAACATGTAGAAACTAAGCAACAAGTTAAAATACAGTAATGCACAACTTAACAATTTTAAGTTTTCCACATGGAGCAATAAAGCAGGTAACTGAATAATTTAAGGAGATGCAAATGGCCCTCTTCATTCTTAATTCTCGGCAATTTACTCAGGAAAATAAATTTCTGGTCGCAGCCGAACAGTTCCAGTCCGATCTCACCTGAAAGAAACAAAGTGATTATATTGATAGAGAAGAAGGAAGGAAGGAAGGAAAGGAGGGAGTAGGGGAGGGAGGCTTAGTCAAAGGAGGTAGGAGAAAAGGAAGGGAGAAGGAGAGAAGGAGAATGAAAGGAGGAGGGAGGGAAGAAGGGAGGGAGGGAGGGAGGGGAGAAGAAAGGAAGAAGAAGAGAAGGAAGGAGAGGAAAAGGTAAGGAGGGAGGAAGATTTAAGAAAGAACAAGAAGTTAATGAGTTCCATCGGTAACAAAGACTTGAGTCCCCAGAAAAGGATGAAATATTTGTGTGTTTCTTTTTGTCCATTCTTAGAATCCATTAAAGATAAACACACTAATGATGACTTAAAAAAAAAATTGAACATTGTGTGCGTGTGGGAGAGAGGGGTGGGGGTAGGGAGAAAAAAATGGAGCAACAAGTAAAACATTCCACAACGGCAAGCAATAGCTTATTAAATAGAAAATGTAGCAAAGAAAAGTAACCTATTTTACATGATCAACAAAAAAAGGAAAATGACATCACATTTTTCACAAGGACACAATTTTAATAGTAACTTATATTAAGATGCAGTGTCTGCTAAATTATAAAAATTGCTTTAAAAATATATTGACTTAATTATACTCATTTCCTTTCCTTTATGTATTGACATTTTTCAAATACTTCATATTGAAATAATTTCAAAACATGATTATTACAACATGTGGCAAATATCTTCACATCTGCCTTCATTCAAATTTTAAGCTAATGCTTAATGCATTAAACTTTATTGATGAAAATACTACATTCACATATTTCTTAAAACCAGGGCTAGAAGGGTCCTTAGAAAATAATCACTTACATGAAATGCTGACAAATAATTTACATACCATTTCGACACAGCATTCTGTTCACACCATGTATAATCTTGATATTATCAATAACTGTGGATACATTTAATGTTGAACTTACAATTTAATACTTAAAAGCCATTGTTCCTGTCCATTAATTGCTGAATGGATAAATAAAATGTGGTACACACTCATACAATGAAACATCATTTAGCCATAAAAAGGAATGCAGTACTGATACATGCCACAACATGGATGAGCCTTGAGAACATGATGCTAAGTGAAAGCCAAACACAAAAGGCCACAAATTATTGCATAATTCCATTTAAATGAAATGTCCAAAACAGGCAAAATCACAGAGACAGAAAGTACATTACTGGTTTCCAGGGGCCGAGGAAGGGAAGAACTGGGAGTGACTGCTAATAGGCATGGAGTTTCTTTTTGGGGTGACAGAAATGCTCTGGAATTAGACAGCGGTGATGCTTGCACAACATAGTGGATATACTAAAAACCATTGAATTGTACACTTTAAAAATGGCAAGTTTGAGGCCAGGCGTCATGGCTCACGCTTATAATCCCAACACTTTGGGAGGCCGAGGCAGGTGGATCACCAGGTCAGGAGATCGAGACCATCCTGGCTAACACGGTGAAACCCCTATCTCTACTAAAAATACAAAAATTAGCCAGGCGTGGTGGTGCACGCCTGTAGTCCCAGCTACTCAGGAGGCTGAGGAAGGAGAATTGCTTGAACCCAGGAGGCGGAGGTCACAGTGAGCCGAGATCGCGCCACTGCACTCCAGCCTGGGAGACAACAGCGAGACTTGGTCTCCAAAAGAAAAAAAAAAAAGTGAAAGGTAAATTTGATGTTATATGAATTTTATCTCAATTGTTTAAATTGCAAAAAAAAAAAAAGTCAATGTTCCAATTAAGAGCATCATGGTATCACAGTATGGCCATTAGGAGAATAAGAAATGGGTTCTCAATCATAAAGGTGCCACGTTACAAGAGGCAAGGGAAATTTTGGTGACACATTTAAGGTCACATTAAAGGATAAAATTGCTGTTGCTGTTAAAACACGTCAAGAACGTCTTCCCCAGGAACTGAAATTAAAATTTTTACTAGAAGCCAAAATCCTCAAGCAATATAATCATCCCAGTAATGTCAAAAGTATAGGAGTTCACACACAAAGACGGCCTATCTACGTCATTAAGGAACTGGTTCCTGGAGGCGATTTCCTCTCCTTTCAGAGAAAGAAGAATGAACTAAAACTCAGTGAAATTTTCATTAGATGCTGATTCTGGATGGTGTATCTCGAGTAAAAAATGTATACACAGGGACCTTGCTGTAAGAAACTGCCTGGAGGTGAAAATAATGTTCTGAAAATCAGTGACTTTGGAATGTCTCGTCAAGAGGATGGTGGTGTGTACTCATCTTCTGACTTAAAGCAGATTCCCATTAAATGGACAGCACCAGAAGCTCTTAATTATGGGAGATATCATTCTGAGAGTGACGCACGGAGCTTTGGCATCCTCCTCTGGGAGACTTTCGGCTTAGGGGGTCTGTCCATAGCCTGGAATGACAAATCAGCAACCACAAGAGCAAGTGGAAAGAAGATACTGGATGTCAGTCTCTTGGCAGTGTCCACAGAGTATTTTAATAAAATAATGCTGAGGTGTTAGGATTACAAACTTGAAAACTGCCCCCAAGTTTACTGAACTTCAGAAAGAGCTAGCTGTCATCAAGAAGAAAGTTGCATAGTGATGAAGCAGTGCCAAACTCAGCCTTCAGGACTCTATTTTCAGCAAAGCAGTATTTTTCTTCTTATTAACATTTATACCACATTACCTGCAACATTCTCCTAAGTGTTTTATTAACTATTTTTTAATATGTACTGCTTTAACCATTGTAAATAAGAAAGTGTAAGTTCTGAATGTAAGGGATCACACAGATCTATCTTTTTCACATCTAGGACTGTTGCTGCTTCTCAAAAATTTTCTACTCCAGGCTCAGTTCATAGTCTGCTGTTCTCCATCACAGACACCTATTGGTGCTATAAGCTGTATTGGTAATATCACATACCACATTTGTAGGACACATCTCAACAGAAGATGGCCTTCCTACTCTGCTGAGACAAGATTATATGTGTGAACGCCATTTTATATTGGTAATTATCTGGACCTCCTGAGTTGTTTGTTTTTTTTTTTTCTTTTTGGCCAGAGATAGGTCCTGTTTTGTTAGTAAGACTGCCATTTCCCTATGTTTCACAATGCCGTCCTATGCACAAACATCCTCAAAGAGTTGAGGCAGCTGATTTTAACTGATGTTACAGAGAGCTGTGATAGCAAGAATCAAGTTTGAAAAGTAAGGTGGTCTGGAGAAAGGAACAGCTAGGGTGGTGATCAAAGTAGAGAAGAAAAGGCAAACATAAAACCAGCCTTCTTAACAGAGGTATGCCTTTATAAAACACATACACGCTTTTTAATTTTATGATCAAATTCACCAAAAAGGTCCTAAGAAATGTTTTAGTAGTTTATATAGATTCTTCATAAAAGAGCCCTCTGGATGGCAACCAAACAATTTTTAAGAGAAACTATAAAATCAAGCCCACCAAAATAATATATTATTTTTGGTTAAGTGTCTTCACTTCACAGGAAGCATCCCAGAACTGCATTCCATGCATTTTTACTAGTGTCTGAAACTGTCAGGATTTTATTCTCATTCTCTCGTTCTTTTCACATAAACCCCAGGTAGAAAGGCATATAAAGATGAACTTGACATTTAAAAAGTCAAACAAATATTTATAAGGAAGAAAGAAGTTATGAGAAAGACATGGGGACAGCCATCCTAAATCCACTTTACTCCTTCATTTACCCTTATACTGCAACCTAGGAATTCTTTATAGCAAACAGAGTTCCTGAGATGTTCCACGTGGATAAAATGTAACAGAGTTAAGACGTGGATTCTGTTGAGCTGAAACTTAACTGCACCCAGGGATGCTTTTCAGGATAATTATGTGTGTAGGGGAAAGACACACTCAGGGCAAATGTTGTATGGAAGCCTTTTATAAGTGCTCATGCCCATGTCAAAATTTTAAAAAACAGCATATAAATGAATATTTGCTCTACCGTAAGTGGAAGAGCAAGGAAATAGAAAATTTCTCCTGCCCTCTTCAACTTTTCATGCCTATGAATATCAGTGCACAAAACCTATACTCAGTATTTTTTTTAAGTATAAAAGTTGATAATGAAGACAGAAATGATTTGTGTCTGTCATTTCAAGCTCCTTACAAGAGTCTAGTATACATTTAATGGTTACTACATACAGACCAAAATGAGAGCATATTAAATCTGCCCTCAAAAAATATGCTGCAGCAAATAAGCAAGCTCTTTTAATCAGTATAGGTTCCCTTCCTATAAAATGGTGTGTTTGGTGGCAAAAAAAGTCAATGTTGCACTTATACAGAGATATTAAATGTTTCTCTGGCATCAATGTGAACATTGATGAGTTCCCTATCCCATACCCTTTACCAATACCTATCGTCAACATCTAGGAATAAGCCTCAGAATGGCAATGCATTCCTAAAACAAGAAATCTTCAGGAGCTTAGGAGGTCAGTTTCCAAGTATGAACTGAAGGGAAAACAAACAAACAAAAAAAGGCTTAGAGCTGGAATTACAAAATCAATTGTCTACAAAGGCCAAGAACGTGATGAAAACAAAAGAAACGAGCTGAGTGGGGACTGACGGAGGTGAACTGTTTTTAAAAAGGCCCTTGCTCTATTCTAAAGGGGGGCAGCACCTAGACAAGTCTAGCTGAAATCAGGACATAATGATGCTATGCAGAAATCAGAACACAATGTTACCAGATGTTCCAATCCTTCAAGAAAAACTGAAATTTGGATTTTGTCAATTCTGATTTTTAAAAACAAACAGATTTTTAAAATTTTGAAATATTGTGTGAGGTTAAGAAGGTGCATTTTGCTGGCGGTGGTGGCTCACATGTGTAATCGTACCACTTTGAGAGGCAGAGGCAGGAGGATTACTTGAGCCCATGAGTTCAATACCAGCCTGGGCAATATAGTGAGACCTCGTCTCTACAAAAAAAAAAAAAAAGAAAGAAAGAAAGAAAGACAGGCCGGGCGTGGTGGCTCACACCTGTAATCCCAGCATTTTGGGAGGCCAAGGAGGGCGGTTCACTTGAGGTCAGGAGTTTGAGACCAGCCTGGCCAACGTGGTGAAACCCCGTCTATACTGAAAATACAAAAAAATTAGCCAGGCATGGTGGCACATGCCTGTAATCCCAGCTACTCGGGAGACTGAGGCATGAGAATCGCTTGAACCCAGGGGGTAGAGGTTGCAGTGAGCCAAGATCGCACCACTGCACTCCAGCATGGGTGACAGAGAGAGACTCTGTCTCAAAAATGAAATGAAATGAAATGAAATGAAAAATAAAATAAAGTACATTTAACATCCCACATTCTGCCCAAGGGCTGATAATTTGCAACGTAGGATTTAGAGGATAAAAATTAGGTTACACATGTGAGACTGGAAGGAATGGACCTGCAAATATATTTGGCCTTCTTGGAATGGAGGATTAGAATAGGAATGTAGTAGATTAAAAATACAGATTATGAATAAGTAGTGCTAACTGCTAATGTTCTTTAAAATCAAAGTCCTACATCCAAAATAATAAAAAGCAAGGAGACTGAGTATCTCAAGGCCTGGGAGCAAATGTCAGCTTAGCACAGCATTTGGTTCACAAAAGGACTTTCAAAAGTTTGCTGAACTCAACATCCCTGAGTTGAGGATCACATATATCAAGTTAAAATTGAGAAGCCAAAGGGTGGTGGTTCTCAGAGGACAATTTTATAAGCAGGAATTAAAAAAAAAAAAGTTAAAGTAGGAAGGAAGGTTAAAGGCAAAGGAACTAGTAATCTTCAAGAGACTAAATCAAGGAGAGGCAAGATGAATTTGTACAAAGACTTTAAGGGCAACAGAAGATGCAGAGAAGGAACAGAGTTTTGCAACCAAAAACAGAAGACGAGAAAAGATGACAGAAGACTGGAAGGAATTTAATTATGGTCATATTTATATACTGTTATCTTCTTAATTCTTAAGAGACAGAGTCTTGCTCTGTCACCCATGCTGGAGTGCAGTGGCATAATCATGACTTACTGCAGCCTCGAACTCCTGTGCTCAGGAAATCCTCCTGCCTCAGACTCTCAAGGAGCTGGTACTACAGGTGCATACTACCATGCCTAGCTAAGTTTTATTTATTTATTTATTTATTTATTTATTTATTTATTTATTAGAAATGGGGTCTCACTATGTTGCCCAGGCTGATCTCAAATTCCTGGCCTCAAGCAATCCTCTTGCCTCAGCCTCCTACAGTGTTAGGATTACAGGCATGAGCCACCATGCCTGGCCTTGTATCTTAATTCTAATGTGATTATTTTAATGTTTGTGAAAATCAGGATGATACTTACAAATCACTGTCATTTCTCTACCAACCCTCCTTAAAAAAACTGTTCTAAAAACAATAATGAAATCTTACAAGTAACGACATCTTTCAATCATGGAAATATGACATATGTAAGAGCTGTCCTTTCTATAGAATAGAAAATAAAAGGTGAGTGGGGGAGGGCAGCAGATTTCAAAGTAGCCTGTAAATAGACGGTTCCAATCAGATATGATAACATTCTTAAAGAAAAGGAAGAAAAACAGACCTGACCAACCCTGGAATGTATCCAAATAGAAAGTAGCAGTCAACAGCCAGAAAAAGAAACTATCAGCCAGGCATGGCAGCTCATGCCTACAATCCCAGCACATTGGGAGACCAAGTCAAGCAGATGGCTTGAGTCCAGGAGTTTCAGACCAGCCTGGGCAACATGGCGAAACCCCGTTTCCATTTAAAATTTTTTTTTGTTTTAAAATAAACTATCGGCCAGGTACAGTGGCTCACGTCTGTAATGCCAGCACTTTGGGAGGCCGAGGCAGGTGGATCACCTGAGGTCAGGAGTTCAAGACCAGCCTGGCCAACATTGTGAAACCCCGTCTCTACTAAAAATACAAAAATTAGCCAGGCGTGGTGGCACGTGCTTGTAGTCCCAACTACTAGGGAGGGTGAGGCAGGAGAATCGCTTGAACCCGAGAGGTAGAGATTGCAGTGAACCAAGATTGCACCATTGCACTCCAGCCTGGGCGACAGAGTGAGACTCCATCTCAAAACAAACAAACAAAAAAAAAAAGAAACTATCAGCCAGATGGCCCAGCACAGTGGCTCAGACCTGTAATCCCAGCACTTTGGGAGGCCAAGGCAGGTGGATCACCTGAGGTCAGGAGTTCAAGACCAGCCTGGCCAACATGGTGAAACCTTGTCTCTACTAAAAATACAAAAATTAGCCAGGTATGGTGGTGCGTGCCTGTAATCCCAGCTACTCAGGAGGATGAGGCAGGAGAATCTCTTGAAGAATCACCAGGAGAATCACCTGGAAGGCAGAGGTTGCAGTGATCCAAGATCGCACCATTACACTCCAGCCTGGGCAAAACAGCGAGACTTCTTTGTCTCAAAAGAAAAGAAACTATCAACCAGAGTCTCACAAAATTAAGAGTCTACCCAAGAAGAAAGTATCGTACAAAGTTGTCAATGAGGAATTCAACAGGATGGACATCCAGCTAGACATACTTTTAAAAGAACATCTGAATCTAGAAGTTTTGCTATAAGACCACGAGCCAAATATCTAACCCTGACCAGTTTTGTCATCCCTTTGTTCCTAAGAGATTACACAGAGGGGTAAAATACAAATTCATGGTCAGTGCAAGAAAAACTCAAATCTGTAGCATAACCTTCACATACAAAAGAATAATATTTGGGTACTGAGTAAACAGAGATATATAAAATCACTGTGAAAGTTGTCAGTGACAATGGCTGGCTCATTCCTCATGAAGATATGAAAGGTGGGCTTTTTGTTTTTCTTTTAATAGGGAGACCACATGTGACAGCAAAATGCCAGATTAAAAGAAAGGTTAAAATGAGGATTAAGAGTTTATGGCTCACCAGAGAAGATAGTTGTAAGGTTGGGATGGGGGTAGGAGCAGCTAGAATTGAAGAATTAGCAGTAATATTTCCTTTTAAATCTATTAAATTCGAAATGTTCTTTTATAACTCTCATTTACCCTACTTTACCCTAATCTACTTACATAGCAAGCACCAAAAAAGCAGGAAAAGCACACCATTCATCATGTGTTGACTATAAGGCAACCTCTCGAATCCCTGCTTTGCAGCCAAAATAAAGATGACAAAATCCATACCTTTAAGCCCATACCCTTATACAGAACTGGCTCTCAGACATTTCTCACTTGTAATTTAAACACTGGTAAACAGCCTTGGTTATCTATCTGGTCTCATAAAAGATTAGAAGCATCCAATAATATTAGGGGGGAGGTATAGACAAGCAAGGATACTTAATTAATTAATATATTAACGAAGTATAGAAAAGCAAGTATACTTAATATATTAAGAAATGATGGCTAACATGGAAGCAAGAAAACGGGCTATAAAAAAGCAGAGTCGGCCAGGCACAGTGGCTCACACATGTAATCCCAGCACTTCGGGAGGCTGAGGCAGGTGGATCACGAGGTCAAGAGTTCAAGACCAGCCTAGCCAACATGGTGAAACCCCATCTCTACTAAAAATACAAAAATTAGCCGGGCGCGGTGGCAGGCGCCTCTAATCCCAGCTACTCAGGAGGCTGAGGCAGGAGAATCGCTTGGACCTGGGCGGCAGAGGTTGCAGTGAGCTGAGATCGCGCCACTGCACTCCAGCCTGGGCGACAGAGTGAGACTCTGTCTCAAAAAAAAATAAAAATAAAAAAATAAAGGCAGAATCAACAGCCTCAAAACACAGCTGTCTGGAACCATTACATTTAGGGGGCAAATTGTCCTACGTACTTCAATAATACTAAGGCATCACCAAACAGTAACTATTCAGATTATCTTAAGTGCTCAAAAAAGGCGATGTTAGGGTCTGAACACTGTATCCACTATGATGGAAACACAATTTATTTAAGATGGGTAAAATACTTTTTAAATCTCACATAAAGCATTAAGTGCATTACCTAAAAAAAGAAAAAAAAAGAAAAAAAAAGTTACACATTGTAAATTCCAGAACTAAAAACACAGACCATATTTTCTGTTGCAAAACATGGGCAGTGGTAAAAAAAAAAAAAATGGCACGAAAACTTAAAAATCTTTGGATAAGACATCAGCATGAGAAAGCAAAAGGAACAGAGAACACTAAAGGATAGAAAGACTGAGGATAGTCAACTGGCTCTGTTGACTAATATCTTTATGACCCTCTTCAACTTAACCTCTCAGAGTCTGTTTCTTCACTTATAAAATGCAGATACCACTACCACCATTTACAAGGCAATAAGGACTTTAAAAACATAATTAATTATCCAGAGAAGATGGGAATAAGTGGTGAAGAGAAAGCCAGATGTTCTTAAATATATCTTGGTGCTTAAAAAAAAAATGTGTGGCTAATCAGCAAGCTTAAAATGAAAACAGCTTAAAAATAACTCTGAATCTTGTTTTGCATCTATACCCGAAGACTTGGTCGTTATATTTAGGTGAAAAAAACAAGTAGTTGTAGCTTGTAAAATGCATCTAGTTTTTCAACATTATCAGAACTCATTTTATGTTTCTATCATTAAGTGAAAAGGTGGTGAGAGAACACTCACCTTGATGGAAAGTCTTCATTATCTGTGCTTGTCCGAGGACTTATGAGTAGATGACAAATTAAGGGAAAACAACTTTTGGGAATGGCGGAAAGAACAGCATCTCCCCTTTTAGTACAGCACCTCAGGTTGCAGGCCTAAATGGGCTCTGACCAGCCTGGTAGCCTCAAACTCTACCAGCTCTGCTTGTCTGACTCATCATTTTGCCCTTCTATTCCCAATGTCCCCAGCCCTAGGGACTCTCTGTTCCCTTTCTTCCTCTCTGTGATAATATAACCTGAAAGACTATAAATCCCTTAGTGGCATAAAACATCTCAGTCACCACAGAAGTATTTTTAAATATCAAGAACATCAAGTATCCCACTTCCAGATTTCACACATTTTGAGAGTTAACTGGAAAGACCATTTCAAAACTAATCAGCCCTTAAGCATATAAACCACATACTAAAAGAGTACAATTGTAAACATGACCAGTATCAAAGCTTTCTACTACACTAACTGAAAACATCAAAATGAAAAGGATATTGTTTCTTCTCTTCCTTTCCTCCTGAACTGTCCCGTTTCTCTTTCTTTTCTATCTTTTCTTTATCATGCCTGGACTCCTATAAGAAATAGTAGAATTAGCTGGGGAAGGGAAAGCCAAATATAAAAGCCAGCTCAAAACCCCTTTTCATCACCCGCGAGCTATATTTGTCTTCAAAAACTTACTTAACATGACACCAAAAGCATAAGCAACAAAAGGAAAAAAATAGATACATTGAACTTCATCAAAAGTAAAAACATTCATGCATCAAAGAACACTATCAAGAAAGTGAAAAGACAACCTATAGAACTGGAGAAAAAATTTGCAAATCACCTATCTCATAAGGATCTAGTATCCAAAGTACATAAAGAACTCTTACAACTGAGCAACAAAAACACAAACCCTCAAAATAAAAAATGGTCAAGGTATCTGAACAGATTTCTTGAAAGATAAACAAATGGCCAATAAGCACATGAAAAGATGTTCAGCATCATTAGTTATTAAGAAAATGCAAATCAAAACCACAATGAGACACCACTTCACACTTACTGGAATGGCTATAATAAAAAACAAAAACAGAAAATAACCAGTGTTGACAAAGATGTAGAGAAATCTGCACTCTGATACTTTGTTGGTAGAAATGTAAACTGTACAGCCACTGTCTAAAAGATTTTGGTGGTTCCTCAAAAAGTTAAACATAGAATTACCATATAACCCAGAAATTCCATTCTTGGGCATATATCCAAGATAATTAAAAATAGGTGTTTGAACAAATACTTATAGCCCCACACAAATGTTCACAGCAGCACTATTCACAATAGCCAAAACGTGGAAACAATTCAAAAGTCCATCAACTGAAAAATGGATAAACAAATGTGGTATATTCATATAATGAAATATTACTTAGCTATAAAAAGAAATGAAGTAAATGACACATGCTACAACATGGAAGAACTTCAAAAACATTATGCTAAGTGAAAGACATCAGACACAAAAGGGCACATTATTGTACTATTTCATTTATATAAAATATTCAGAATGAGTGAATCCATAAAGAAAACAGATTTATGGTTCCCAGGGGCTGAGAAGGGGAAATGGGAGTGACTGTTTAAATGGGTATAGAGTTTTCTCTTGGAGGTGATAAAAATGTTTTGGAACTAGATAGAGATGATTACACAATACTGTGAATATACTAAATGTCACTTAAATGTACACCTGTAAAATGATTAATTTTATGTTATTTGAATTTTACCTCAATTAAAAAACACCTAAAAGAACAGCCTATCTTTTAAAGCATAGAATTAAAATGTTCATTATATAATTTTCTAGAGCTGTTTTTATGAACTATGAATAAATGGCATATATTTTCAATATATATAACAATGTTTTGGAAACAATTTATACTTTAGTAATGGCTTGCTTATTACTTTATGGCAGATGCGTGAGATTCACTTTAAATATCAACCATTAATATGTAAGAGAATGTATCTTATACTCAATTTTTAAATCAAATACAAGTATCAAACAAATGAGTTTATTAGGAGAAAACGTTACAAAAATGTTTCAAATCACAATCAAGACTTTATGATGCTATGATGGTCAGAGAGAATACATGTGACCATATTTTAATCTCAGGAATAAAGAGAAACTAAAAGCAAAGAGTTGGTGGAGAAAAAAGAAAATGCAAAGAACAGCTGAAACTCAATCAACAGAAGTAGGTGGGAATGGAATGGAGAGGGGAAAGGAATCTCAGAGGTATACTAACTCTACCCTCCTGGTAATCTGGGACTGAACTGACTCAAATTCCCCAAACGGAATGCCCTCCCTCAATACCTCTTCTTCCCACTCCTAAATAATGAACAAAAGACTATAGGACTAGGAAAAAAATTCAATATTTGCTAAATTTTCAGGATTGATTTTTTTAAGATAAAGCATATTATTCCTTTATTTTCCTAATTTACCTTTTTGCCACCGGAGGAGATTTTATCCATCTTCTCAGATTTAAATGAATCACTGCCTTTTTCTTTGCCTGAAGATTTTGACTTATTTTTTTCCTTGTCTTTCTCATTTGGATAAGGAGATTCACAAGGACTTTCACTTTTATGTTTTGAAACCCCCACTAAAATTACAAAAGAAAATCATGAAAGCCTTTTCCAATTCACTTCGATGATATCTTCAAAGATATGAATAAGTCTACCTACTTGTTCCATTCTCCTCTTTAC
Organism: Homo sapiens; assembly: GCF_000001405.40. Lineage (NCBI taxonomy): Eukaryota > Metazoa > Chordata > Mammalia > Primates > Hominidae > Homo > Homo sapiens. The sequence goes on from NC_000023.11 coordinate 123,613,660, forward strand.
GTCTCTTGGTTAAGTCCGGTGGCACTTCACGGTCGTTGTTTGAGTGATCCTAGAACCAAGAATTGTGAACTACATTGACCAAGGGCTTCTGTTTTTGTTTTAAAGTATTACTTTTATATGAGAAGGGCACAGCTAACTAGCAATGGAGAGTATTTGCAGTAGTTTCACATACTTGGTAAAATGGCATGAAAGACAAGCAGAGCTGACAGAGATTACTAGGCTGAAGATCCTTATTAACGTAGAAAATGCAAACACTTCAGGGTAAAAATATCAATAAAATCATGAAATAACAGACTACTATGGAACAAACTAGTATTTTTTAAAAGGCAACATACACACTGGTGTACATGATAATGAGCTTTCCAAACTAGTTTAAAAAAAATTTTACAAACCCTTTTCCGCTCTTTCCTGTCCTTTTCATCTTTTTTCTCTCTTTCTCTGGATCTTTCCCTTGACTTGTCCAAATCTTTCTTGTCCATTTCTCTCTCCTTACTCTTGGACAGTGGTGGAGGAGTATGATTAATGTAGAGCTGTTAAATTAAGGCAATATTACTAAAGATTATTAGTTTTCCAGTATTGGCATCACTTGTTTGTTTACTAAATGAAACACAATTGGGAATTATACCCAAAGTAAAAACTGGTCAGCTATCTGGATTACAAGAGGTAAAATAAAAGGGCATGGCACAAATTATACAAAGGCTTCAATTCTTGGCCTTATAAAAATCACCATTTAAACTCCATCAGTTCATTTGTGCCTCAACTGAGACTCATTAGTAAATTCACAAGCTAGAGTATTCCTTATAGCTCTATTGTAAAGACCTATAACCACCATTACAAGAGTCCATATATGAACAATAGTGACTGGAGTTTCTCTACTGTTTAAAAAAAAAAAGAAAAAGAAAAAAACACCTCTACACAATCATGGAAATTTTAAATAGTCTTACCATCCACCGATAGGCAGTCAATAATGGCAATGGGCAAAAGTATAAAAATAAAACCTAGCTATGATTTTGCTAATAATTCTTTTCTGCCTCAGTGTGAACCATGCAAAGATTATCTCAAATTATTTTTACAAATGTAAAGGCTGCATGTTCTCTACTTCTGAAAGCACTCCAATTTCTATCAAAATAATCACAATTAACTGTGAAATTTGTCTTCCTGGTTCTAAATACCTCAGAAAGCCATCTAGTCAGCTGAGGATGACTAAACAATTCAAAAGACTAAAAAATAATGAACCAATATTCTCCTCTGCCTATTCTTTCTCTGCCAAAAGGGCTATACGCAATAAAACAGCCAATCATCAAGGATATTCTAACTAAATAATTGAGAGATAACCCTTCTTAGGTGAGTTGTAAATATGGAAATATGCTGTAACATAAAATATTTAGGAAGTAGTCAGGAAATAATCAGATACCTAACCTTACGGCATTTATATCTGTGCTACAAGCCTATGTTTAATTTAAGACATTAAAAGTATTATGCAGCAGAATACTGAATATAACTCATTACATAACTACACAATGCTAGATACACCTTAGGAACAAATAGAATAGTGAGTCAAAAGTCAAATATTTTTACATGAAGAAATCCTTTGGTATTCAAAGGAATACATGAAAAATGAAAACCATCAGTTTGAGAATTAAACACTTATTTTTTAACACCACCAAACATTTTCAATTCAGTTGGCTCAGAAATACTGCCATAGCAATGCAGAAGTAGATTCTTTAAAATTTCAATGTTTAAAAGTTGATAAACTGAAATAGACAAAATGCTTATTAATAAAGAGCAAGAGAACGATAGTCATAAAAATACTTGTCTAAAAGATACTCTTGCTGGCTAGAATGCCTTAAATGACATCAAGATTTTTCTAATCGTGAGGTTTATTCATATCTTAACATTATTTATGAAAATGATTAAGACAAAGGAAATATTGCTGCAATACTCAAAGAAGACTTCTCTAAGTAGTAATTTTTCCCAATAAAAGCAAAAAAAAAAATACACACACACACACACACACACACAACCCTTATTAATAATGAAGTTTTGAACTGTGCTTACTTTCTGTACTGTGAGGAATTGAGAAATTTTTCTAGAACTTACTTCTGGCATTAATGTTCAAATACTTCATTCTTGACATAAAAAGTCACATAGCTCAACTGACAATCAGAAATTCTTAGTTCAGAATGTACCCAATTCAATTCCTTCTTTAGAATAGTTCTGATCAAATACTCTTTTGCATAAAAACAGAGTTTCTCATTGCCTAATGAATTAAATGCATACCCCTTAGTTTAGGCATTCCAAACTCTCCACCATCTTTTCACAATTATATCCTGCTATAGTAACCCAATGCATTCTATGCTGTGGCTATCACTGCTCCCTAACATCTGTCCTTTCCAGCAGTTCTCATTACTAGAATGGTTGTTCATTTTTATCTTAACTTCTTAAAATCCTACTTAGCCTTCAAAGATGGCCAAAGTCAACAGCACTCAACCATCCCTCAACTCTGCAACTCACTTTACATTATTTTATATTTACCTTTTTTTTAGGACAAGTGCTCCCTATTAACTTCATGTCATACATTTTTGTCCATAACAGTTTCCAGTATGGTAGAAGAGCTAAGGTGCCTTTCTACTTTTACATACTTCCTAGTTCCTTGTACACACAGTGAATACTCAATACAAGTTTGACAAATAAAATTAAGGATTCATTAAATGGATTTGTATGTAGCATCGCTGGGTTTTGTTCTTGATTGGCTTTTATTCTTGACATTCGGATCATTAAGGTCCAAAAAAGAATTTGACTGATTTTCAAAATCTGTTTCAGAAAACTCTGCTCCACTGACTTTATTAAAGCTTCACTATATTATATAAAGATGGCCTCACTTTTAGGCTTGGGTTTGGCTGTAAATCCTCATTTTAAGATGGTGAACAAATTGAAAGCTAAATTCTGTCTTGAGGTGGTTACTGATGCCCTCCTAAATTAGAGAGAGGCTGATTAATGGAACCTGTTTTTTGTTTTTTTTTTTTTAACACTATCTTCATCAAAAGTAGCTGCTAGAATTGCTACATCAAAACACAATTGATCAAAACTAGAAATACACTATTTGGAAATTAGGGGTAAAGGGTGAACTGACAGAAAAGATTTGGATACTAAGCTAGATTTTTCTTCTTTTAGTTAATCTCATTTGAAAAGCTAAAATCCATGTATTGCTTTTACCACAAATTAGAAAGTAAAAATAGCAAATAAATAATAAAGAGAATCCCACAGAAAACGCATAACTAAAAAGTCAAACTAAAGCAGGGAGAGAATTTTATAGGTACAAGTGACAAGATAATATGAAAATAGATGCGTATCTTCCAAACCCTCTAGAAAGTAAAAGCTACCTCAGAAACAGGCTAAAGATAATCAACTTTGGAGATCACTCAAAGTCCAGTGAAATTTTTTTTCTAAGACATTCATATGCTATTAAACTTTCTAGACACATAAAAATGCAACATCAGCTACTATGCAAACCAGTACTTTGCATGCTTTACCAAAGTGCAAAGGCTTAAGAGATCACTTCAAGTATTTATTGAATACCTAACCTTACTGCCAGGCACCATGCTAAGCACTAAAGATCTGAAAAGTAGTAGGAGTCACACAGTTTTTAGAAGCATATGTATATGCCATTTTCAAATTTTTCTGGTTGCATGTGGAATAAATTAATTAAATTTTAAAGGCCTGCAAAACACCATTTTTAAAAAGGAGGGATGTGGGAGACTGACTTGAATCACTGTAATTTTTAAAAACCAAGGCAAGCACACTAAAGGAGCTAGAAAAACCCTCTCAACTATTGTTGAAATGGGTGGTGCTAGGAATCAAGAAACCTTAATTTTAGTTCATGTTTTGATACTAACAAATTCTATGTAACTGGGAAAGCTAAAGAACTTTTAGTCTCTCATTTGTCAAAAAGACACTATCCACCTGCCCTGTCTACCTCACAGCACTGTTATGAGCATGAAATGAGATAGTACATATATTCAAAAGGCCTTTTCACAAATGTGAGGAACCATCATCGATTAGAAAATCCAGTTAATTTTAACAGCAGGTTACAAACTGCTTCAAAGTATGTTTCAGTAAACAAATATTCAGAAGTTAACACTGTTAGCCCATTAATTTAAAATAGCCCATAGAAGCCACTGATGGTTAAGACTGACATAAACAATTTGAAACTGGTTATAAAAACCTACTATATTGCAGTATATATTTAAGTTAGCCAATAAAAAGTTTACATTAAATGAAAGTTCTATAGATATCAAAATTGAAATGGAATATAAATTAAGTTTTCCAAAACTAACCTAAATAGGAACATCATTTTAAATAATAATCCCATGTAATAATAAATAGCGGTATATAATTCCAACCTGATATCAACATTTTTGTAACTCCTACTAGGTATGGAGAACTCTGTTAGTATTGTGACGTTATGGCTAACAGCAAAAAAACAAAAATACGTTGGACGTTTAGAATTTTCAAAAATAATGTCATTAGGTTGATGTTGTGTCTAATGTGTTATTTCGGCTTGTTCTTCAATAGCGTATTACAGAATAACCCCGATATCTACTTCAAATAAAACATCCATTCAAATCAGAAAAAAAATAAAACTAAATGGAACTTCTCCCAGCATAGCTGAGACTTTTGATTAATATAGTATATTCTAAAAAACAATGCTACAATTTTAGGACACAGGTACACTGGCTAATATAAACTTAAAAATTAGTGCCTTATTTGCCCAATATCCACAGACATTTCATTATAAATCTATACATCTAAAAGCAGTTAGTAATGTCAACTGGCTCTGTTTCAAAATTTCATTTGGTCCACCAGTAAAGAAATCATGCTTAGCTGATTTCTATTTTAATCATGGCAAGCAATATTTATGCTGAAAAATAGGCTTCATTCTGCTGAGCAGATTCATTTGCTTGTAGCTTGTAAGAGGAGGCAAAGTAGAAAATCAAAGAAGGGTACACGTTTTATAACAAAGACAAAACAACATGAACAATGGACAATTCAAGTATAATACTGAAATAAACTCTGTAATAAGATACACAAACTGCACACTACTTTTAGTAGCAGAATACTCAAGAAAGTAGAATAATAGGTAAGAATTAATACTGACATGTAAACACAACCACCGAGTATTCCTGTCCAGGGGAATGATTCTTTCACATTAACAGTATCTCCTGATATTGTGCTGTAACTACCAAAAAGGTACCTCAGCAGAGGATATATAAAGAATTTTTATAGATTGAGATGAGTTCCATTTTTAAAACAGATATGTGAATGCATCAAATTTATTTTTTGGTATTTTGGGTTGTCTAAACAGTCAGACAGCCTGGCAGATTTGTTTTGAAAAATTAAATAAACCCAAAACAATCAAATAACCTCTTCCCCGAATGTTAAACTTATTTCCAGATTTTGAAAAAGCATAAAAGGAGAAGGTATAACACAGCAAGCAAGGAGAGATGATAGAAATGTTGCCACATTACACACATTTTATAACAATCTCATTAAAAGGGACCACTGTCATCTGTTGTTTCAGTTTTAACATTTAATATTTTTGAAGGTTATTCAATGTAAGCAGAGTACTTTATCCCACTGATCTCAGCTTACTGAATGTACTAGGGTGAGGACATCTACTAAATAAAATAAGTAAAGAACATTTGGTTTACTTAGGCATGATGATTTTAAAAGACTCAAACCTTTGCTGAAGATTCCTTGAGTTCGATGAGACTGTCCTGTAGAAAATGAATGGAGATGACAGGTGAGCTGGCATAGTTCTCAGAACCCAGAGGAACTTTGGGAAGTATGGCTGTAACCTGGAAATAAACCAGCTACTTCTTGTGAGGATAAATTTCATGATGTCATTATCAATATGAATATCAACAATAAAAAAAAACATGTAATGGAATTGGAATGTTAAAAACTAAATTAAATGTACTCAATGTAAGAAATAAAAATCTTTCTCTGCTCAGAATTTAAAAATAAATGTCAATGCCACATTGTTCATATCTCTCTACTTAAGCTATAGTTAAGAGGTTTAAGAAAGCAAAACATTTTTTTCTCCACAAAAAATTTAAAATACTGGAGGTCACTGTGGAAGAACAACATTGCCTTATATTTTTCATAGTTCTTCTTTAATTGGGAGGATTCACATTTTACTTTATTTTTAACTCTAATATGAATATACACATCCTAGCTGAAAAATTCAGTGGCATTGTATTAACAAGAAAACAAAATATATAAGAGTAATCACTTTTTTTTTCTGCAAAGTGCCTATCATGGTGAATCTCACACCTCCCACACACAAAGAAAGCATTAAAAAAAAAGAAAGAAAAAGAAATCAACTACGATATTCCACCACAGTGCTCTTGATGAACAATTAATAACTTACAGTTTTTTAAAAGTTCAACGTACTGCAAATTCAAAGATTCCATGAAATTAGATGACTTTAGAATTAAAATTAAATATGGAGCAAGGAATGGCTACCCTGAGTCTTCAAGAAGGCTACACCCACGATTTTGTGCTGCAGTTGAATGCCTGGGGTTTCTCTTTGCTGGGTGGTAGGATTGGATGCCACATCTGCTTTTATCGTAACGCAAGGTTCAACTTGTTGGGAACCCAATGGGTATAAACAAACCTCCAAGGGAAGATACAACAGAAGCTGCATGCTCACTGAATATACACAACTACAGGAGAACTGATCACCAAGGAGACTTTAAAATGGAACTCCTTTCAAGACTCCTTCTTAGAAGGCACACATCGGTATGATGCTCATCAAGAAGCTTGAATTCAGAGGTAACTTGTTTATCTTGTGTCATCCAGGAAGTCTTCAGTGCTATATATTCTTCAATATGCTGAAAAATAGGCTTCATTCTGCTGAAAAGATTCGTTTGCTTGTAGCTACCATTGCACTCCAAAAAAGACTGCTTAAAGCAGTTGAGGCACTTCTGGGTAAAATTTCTCTTGCACTTTGAAACACTACAAAATTAGTGCTAAGTCCTTGAAGTTTTAACATTTTTATAATAAAAATACTCAATAGGAAAAAAAATCAGTCCACCAATATAGAAAAATTCATTTTCTAATGCAATATAAAACCTCCAGTGGCTCCAGTGAATGCTTGGCATAAGACTTGAAGGAAGTCAGGACACTGGTATTCCAAACAGGTGAGCCTAACATGGACGCTGCCTTCCTCAGGCTATACTAACCTTTACTGTGGAGGAATGTGATGGAGAAGGGTGAGTATCAATTTTGCGGCGTTTTTGTTCTGTTAAGACAAAAAGAAATAGTCAGAATAAGGTACATTTCTAGTTTTCCAAACACTTAAAAAAAAACACCAACTTGTATGACAAGTTCCCCTAGCAAAACCCCTATATAACTTACCAAAACAAGGAGACAATAACCAACTATACATTAAAATAACAAAACGTAAGAACGTATAAAGAAAGGTAAACTTGCCCCTTTCAGGCTCTGGAATATCTGATCTGGGAACAGGTGATTTCAAGGACCCAGAAACTGGTGTTTTTTCTCCTCCTTTAACATTTTCCTTTGATTTCATTTCCTTTGCTATATCTCTTTCTCTGGATGGCTCCTTCTCTCTTTCCCTTTCTTGAGTTGATTTTGATTCTGCGTTGGGGACAGTGGTCTTAAATTTCTCATCTTTAGCTTTTTCTTCCTTCTTGAATTTTTCTTTCTCTTTGTCAGACTTCGGCGTTCTTTCCTTGGTCTCTCTTGCTTTTTCATCTTTATTTGGCCGCTCTTCCTTTGGTTTTTCTTTACCATCTTTACCAAGTACCCTGGCCTCTGGAGTAGTAGCTGGAGTCTTTTCTTTTTTCTCTTTTTCTTTCTCTTTCCCTTTTTCTTTGTCATTTTCTTTAACAGCTTTGTTGCTTAAGAATAAAAACATGGGATTTTAACACAAATAATCATAAAATATATCCTTTGATATATGATAAAATATATCATAAAGGGTTTCTTACTAACTTCAAAAATACTAGAACTAAGGGGGAGTCCTTTGAAAACTAAAGGACAACTTTAAGACAAGGAAAAAGGAAGAAGTAATGGTCGGGTGCAGTGGCTCACGCCTGTAATCCCAGCACTCTGGGAGGCTGAGGAGGGTGGATCACTTGAGGTCAGGAGTTCGAGACCAGCCTGGTCAACATGGTGAAACCCCGTCTCTACTAAAAATACAAAAAACTTAGCTGCGCATGGTGGCGGGCACCTGTAATCCCAGCTACTCTGGAGGCTGAGGCAAGAGAATCACTTGAACCTGGGAGGCAGAGGTTGCAGTGAGCCAAAATCACACCACTGCACTCCAGCCTGGGTGACAGAGCAAGACTCCTTCTCGAAAAAAGGAAGTATTTCTTTATCCAGTAAATCATAAACAAATTCATTAATTGCAGATTTAAAAGATGTATTAGCCGGGCACGGTGGCTCACACCTATAATCCAGCACTTTGGGAGGCCAAAGCAGGCAAATCACGTGAGGCCAGGAGTTTGAGACCAGCCTGGTCAACATGGCAAAACCCTGTCTCTACTAAAAACACACAAAAAATTAGCCGGGAGTGGTGGCACACGCTTGTAATCCCAGCTACTAGGGAGGCTGAAGCACAAGAATCGCTTCAACCCACAGCAATCCCTCTATCCTAAAATATTTGTTTAACTTCACACCTACATTCCCCTGAATATCCCAGAAGGAGAAACAAAGTCGTTATACAAGCATAACTATACAAAACATAATTAGGATGTAAAGCGTATCAGCAAAATAGGGTACATACAAAATTTCAAAGCCCAACATAAATGACTTTTCACATTACTCAACAACCACTCCCCTTCTACTCATGAGGACTCATAGAAGAATTTAGAATTATGAGGGCCAGGTGCAGTGGCTCATGCCTCTAATTCCAGCAGTGTGGAAAGCCAAGGCAGGTGGATCGCTTGAGGCCAGAAGTTCGAGACCAGCCTGGGCAACATTGCAAGACCAACCCCGTCTCAAAAAAATACATAAAAATCATTTTTAAAAAGAATTTAGAATTATGACACATGGCACAGTGTTCCTACCTGTTAGAGCCACTATTTCCATTGCTTGAATTCCCTTTAGGTGTGGTACTAGAAGCTTTATTAACAGCTTTCACACCACACTGAGATCTCTCCCTTGATTTATCTGAAATAAAAGTAAGGTTTTATTTAACAAGCCCCTAAATGTAAATAAGCTACAATTTCAGAGCAAAATGATTAGAGAATAATTAGAAAGAAACAGCAAGCTGATTACTTCTTAACGCTTATATACTCCTATCTAGGGAATAAAAAGTAATACTAAGCCAGCATTGTACTCGTTCTGTGATACAAAACATTTCACTTTGTTGAAATAAAATATATTACTTATAAGTTTCTACAAATAAGCATACCAGTCTCCTCAGTACTGCTTTCATCCGATTTAGATGCACTTCCTATTGATGATGAAGAAGGCCCACCACCAGGCCCATTTTGCACACTGGCAACTGCATTCCTCGGAGGGGGGTCTTTGTGATGAAACTCATTTTCAGGTATCATGTATGACTTTCTACTTTTCAACTGCCCAGAGTAGCTGAAAGTCGCACAAAGTGTTTAAATATACAAACACAAATCAAAAAACATAAACATGAGGTTTTTAAGAATAAAATTAGCAAGTTATTCATTCTACTATGTGGTTCTAGAGAATTAAAAAATACCAATTTTTAATAAGTTCTTGAAGGTTTTTATAGAACGCCCAGCTTTCTTAAAAATTACAATTTCACTATAAACTAATCCTTAAACTAAGATGGCTTTTTTTTTTTACTCTTGAAGATCTGTTAACTATGATGATAAAATTATATTTCCTCCCAATCAAGAAATATTATACATGACTTTAAAAAAACTATCATCCAGTATAGACCGGAAGTTGATAATCAGAAGTGGTAACTCTCACCAGCCTGTGGAAACATGATCGCATAATCTCCCATAATCTCCTGAAGGCAGAAGATAAACTTCAACACTGTAAAACATTTTAAAGTCTTCAGAATCCTTCTGTCATCTAGTCTTGTAAATCACATTAAAATATAATTTTGTTACCCCATAGCCAATGCATATAGATCTGGCCTCTTCTCTTTTTCTTCTTGGCAGATTTTGTGTACTCTTCTTTCCAAAGCTTGACCCAGATTCAAAACTTTTGGGTACCAAGGAAGTATTTTTGTTAGCACAATCAAGATATTCCTGATGTGAGTATATTCGCCTGTTTCAAGGCAATGTACCGATGCCTACAACAAACATTTTCAGATCCATTATTATAAAAGCACAAGTATACAGAGAAAAATTTGCCTTTGAAAAATCCAATTTTTTTTTTACCTTGGTTAGTTTGTAATGCCATTTATGTACAACATGTCGAAAATTTTCATAGTCTAATTGATCAGCCTTATTTCCACCATCAAATCCAGTTGCCCGTAATATGGTAAGGAATCCTGGATAGTTTCCACATTCCTAAGGAAACAATGTTTGTCACTTTTAAAGAAAAATTATGATCCACAAAATAGCAGAAATTGAAACTTAAGTAGACTAGATCAATGTTTCCGTGTAAAAACATCATGCGTATTTGGATAGGTAGTCACAAAAAGTTCAACTTATACAAAGATACTAATTTGGAATGTCAGTTTGAGATAGAATAAAAAAGTACATAGCACATTTTAATAACAAATTAATTGTGCTTATAAACACAGTTTTACAACTGAATCTTAAACTCAGCTTCTCTTTTAAAACTCAACTATCTAGATATTAATGGATGTGGTCATTATATACATGGGTAAAATATAAGGGTTTTTATTAGTCATACCTTTTCATATGTGGCTCTATCACTATGCCACCTGGTCACAGTCTCTAACATGCAGCAAAGAAACCTTCCGTATCGACTGGCTTCATTTTCAGTACAGCTTGCAACTGTGTAAATTATGTCAGAGAAAACCTACAGGAGAAAAATGTTTAAAAAATATAAACAAATCAAGGTCAAAATCAGTTAAAAATATTAGAAGATTCTCTTACAGCAAGTCATAATAAACAGGTAAGCCTAGTCAAAATGTATATTCCCTTTATATAATGACACTGCAGAGAACTTTGGAGATTTTGGCTTTTGTGGGGAAATAATGCATTCATAAAACAACCACCCAAAACAAGAACTTTTATAAAGAAAGCTGATTTACAGTGACAAGGAAAAAAAAATTTATCATTATTATTACATAATAAGTTGTTTTTTTTTTATTACATAATAGTTTCTTAACCACTTAGCCATACATATTACTGGGTTTACGGGGAGAGTAAGCAGAGGAAATGCTGATAGAAATTAAAAATATGCAGCTGACATACTGGAACATACATTATGTTTTTTGTTTTGTTTTGTTTTGTTTTGAGACTGAGTCTTACTCTGTCACCCAGGCTGGAGGGCCGTGGTGTGATCTAGGCTCACTGCAAGCTCCGCGTCTCAGGTTCACACCATTCTCCTGCCTCAGCCTCCTGAGTAGCTGGGACTACAGGCACCCACCACCACACCCGGCTAATTTTTTTGTATTTTTTTTTTTAGTAGAGACGGGGTTTCACCATGTTAGCCAGGATGGTCTCGATCTCCTGACCTTGTGATCCACCCGCCTCGGCCTCCCGAAGTACTGGGATTACAGGCATGAGCCACCGCACCCGGCCACATTATGTTTTTAAACCACAAAATGTAGTAATAAGAAAAAAGCTAAATGCAAAATGTGCATATGACCATACTGAAAAGCTTCCCTGCTTTTATATGTGTGTGAAGGTGTAAACTTTTTTGTCTTTTTTTTTTTTTTTGAGAAGTGAAGGTTAAGAATGGAGAAGAGAGTTCTACCTATTATGATACAACACGTAAACTCAAATACTTAGTTAATAGTTTAACCTTGAGTGCCTATTACATATCAGGTACTTTTTATGTGTAGTGATTCATTTAATCCTCACAACAATCTTATGAAGCAGGTACTTATGCTTTACAGATAAGAAAACAGGCACAGAGAGGTTAAATAACTTGCCAAAGATCATACAGCTAGAAAGTAGTAGAGCTAGGATTCAAGTTCAGACACTTGGTTCTTGAGTTCATGCTTTTTAACTAAACACACAATAATACCTCTATAAATTATAATGTTAGCTATCTTTGTGTGAGAACTTTTTAAAGGTTGCAATAAAAACTTACTCGATCATAGCAAAGAAGTGTGGAAAAATTTGGAGTTTTCTGTTGATGTACCAATTCAACAAAACGAGCACAGTAAACAGCATCAATTGCTGAAAAAATACATCGAGGAAATATACACAGCTGTAGAAATTTTGTGATGGTCTCATTTTTGGTAGATTCTAAAAATAAAGGAAGAATATATTAAGTGGTAAACTTCTTCCCCAAGTGCCTCAAAGCCACTAAACATGACAACATATTACCTTTAGTGAAGAGAATACTATAAACCACAAACTATTTATAGTTTGTAACCAAATGTCATGCCTGGTCATGATTATCATTTTTACTATGTGGACCTTTTTTTCTATGATTTCTCCAGAAATATGTTTTATACAGAAAAGCTGAATGACAAGCTGCCAATATGTAGTTAAAAGTTAATTAACTTCACCAGCAAACTATATCAGTTCCTCCAGTGAACATGAAGTTGATTCTGCATTAACAAATAACCAAAGAATGGGATAGGGAACACTGAGTTGAAATACAAACATAATACACTTTAACACCTCTAAAGTTATAATGTTTTGTTTTCTGTAATTTACCAGCATCAGGAACCTAACAATTCCAACAACTTACTTGCTAAAAGCCAGTTGTCCTTTTCCAGTTTCAATCTCTGTAGAACTCTCTGTACATGTTCCATCTGTTTCTTTTCTTCTTCAAGAAGCTTGTCCTGAAGGGCAGTACAGCGCTCCTTCTCTTTTTTCTTTTTATTTGGGGGCTACAAAGAATTCAATTAGACACTTTTCTAACTATATGCACATTACCTTTCTTCTTTTAATTGAAAAGTTTAAAGAGATAAAGGCTGATAGTTTATAACTACTTTAACATGAATATAGGTCCACTTGAACGTGCTACTTTTATCTCCATTCAACACACTCATAACACTGTCATGGCATCTTCATACACCATCAGAACAGGCTACATTTGCAACACTGACACTATTAGTCTCAGGCATGGTGTCATCTTTGACTCTTCCCTCTCCTTTATATCAAGACTGGTTTACAAGCCTTGTACACTGCCACTACCTCCATCAGTCTATGCTCTCACAATAGACTGCCCAAAAAGCCACCTAGCTGGTCTTTAGCCTAATGCTAGTCAAAAAGCATCTTTCATACTGCTGTCATGAGTAATCTTTTTTAAGTACCATTTTTTACATTACTATCCTGCTCAGGAATCTAAAATAGCTCTCAATTTTACCAAGTCTACTTTTCTCCCTGACTTCCAATGCCTACATAATCTGGCCCCATCATAACTATTCATATGAATCACTAAGTACATTCACTACATGAAAGTGAATCAGTAAAAGTGGTCTCCCTAAACCTCAATCTACTTCCTGTCTTTGCTGGAACCCTATGGTGACCTCCCTATCTGCTTCCATATTTCCAAACCTAATCTACCTTCAAGGCCTGTCCATTTCAAGACTCGGCTTCTCAATAGTCTTCTCCTAAAGAACTCTCCTCTTGAGAACTACTGCTCTTGCTATTAGAGTCACATGAATCACTTTAAGTTACTAGCATAGTCGTCAGTAGAAAAGGACACTCAAATAATTTTTGATTAATCATAACCTCCACCTAGTCACCAAACTCCTGGCCCCCCACTCAGAAGTAACTATTAAACCCCATTTAAGAAAATATTATATAGCAACAAGATCACTGTTTTAAGGAACCAGAGCTAAAACAATTTCAAAATATAGGTAACATTGAATACCATAAAGTTATTGCACTTGAACTACTAGAACAAAAACCTACCATTTCCTGATTGTCATCAATTGCTTTCATCTGGACTTTAAGTTTATTGACTTCTCGTTCATAGCTGGTGTGTGGAACTGCAAGGTCATACATTGTCAATGACCAGAATGTAGCATAGAATTGAGGGCTGATGTCATCCCAGACTTTGGAAACATGTAAGGAGACCACTGCTTCATGGACAGGCGCCATCACCATCTCACATGATGTAATGTACTTATGAACTTTATGTTGCTGTTTACTTCCCTTTTCTGATTTTTTAAGTTCATCATACTTTGACTGTAGATAAAAAGTAAAAATACATACATACATACACACACAACATAATTTATAGCTTTGACTTTCATGGCATAAAAATCTATATTCCCTTCTAAAGAATCAAAAGATGACCAATCTCAAAACTGTTGTAGAAATTCTAGTTTCTTATGAACAACGTTTATTTTAAGATAAATCATCTCTGGAAGCTATTCCAGTCTTTAGTACTGTGTGCCAACTAGGAGATTCTCAGAGGGTTCTTATCTAATCTGACCTGTTGAGTAAAGTGAACAGGGTATATGCATGTTCTCCTCTTTCATTCCCCCACCCTACTCCCTCTTGCTGCTGTATCAGGGATTGAACATGTAGGGTTTCCAGTCCTGCTTTTGAGATATTCAAGGGAACAAATAGAAGGTCTTAACATGAGAAAAGAGGAAGAATGGAACTAGTAATAGCCAACTAGGACAGAATGTAGTATCACTACATGCAGACCCTACCAACTGTTAAAATTTGTCAATTAAAAAGCTGGATCAAGAGACCAAGGCGGGCAGATCACTTGAGATCAGGAGTTTGAGACCAGCCTGGCCAGCATGTCAAAACCCCATCTCTACAAAAAATTAGCCAGGCGTGGTGGCGCAGGCCTGTAATCCCAGCTACTTGGGAGGCTGAGGTGAGAGGATCACTTGAACCCCAGAGGCAGAAGTTGCAGTGAGCTGAGATCATGCCCCTTCACTCCAGACTGGATGACAGAAGGAGACTGTCTCAAAAAATAAAAATTAAAAAAAAAAAAAAAGCTGGATCAACACTAAGAAAAGTTATGAGAAATTTGTTTTAAGACTGCTAAGTAGGGTGACCAATTGTCAGGGTTTGCTGGGGATTCAGGGATTTCTGAGGATTTAAGACTTCAGTGCTAAAACTGGGAACATCCCAGGCAAACCAGGACCAACTGGTTACTCTACTGCTAAGCCAAATAAATTTTTCTGTGAAAAGCTGTGGTATATTGAAGTTTAAAGCATGTGAGAACTGATGCTGCAGCTTCTTTCGTTTGACTGGTTTATCCTAATTTGGGGGAAAAAACAGAGGAATGCCATATTCTTAATTGTATGAGGAAAAAAAATTGTTAGTACAATGGGAGGGGCTGCAGAGATGTGTATGCCAAATATATTATACATATATATACACACACAAAAATATATATATTTTTTCTATATATTCTATATATATGAAGATAACATATATATGAACATATATATTATACATGAACACACACACACACACACACACACACACACACACACACACATATATATGAAGATAACACAGAGTTGCTGCTATTGTTTCACATCCTTCAGTCTCTTTAGGATGAAAGAGCTCTCATCCAGAAAATTTTGTTTAAGTTAGGTATCACCCTTCATACGAACCTAAAGGAAGTCCTAAAACTAGTTACTTCCTTACGTTAGAAAATCACTTAAATCATTCTATTTGTGCTAAACACGTAACCCAAAACGAGATGATCAAAGGTTCTGCTTCCAGTTCTACACTGTGATAGGCAAAAGAGTCTCAGCTCCTTACAGCTCAGTTACCTGCCTTCCTTCCTGAGTGCTCAATTTTACAATTGTTCTAGAATTTTACAATTGTTCTAGAAGTGGGAAGATTTATGCTCTGTTATCCCCATTTTAGAGAGCATGCTGACAACCACTGAGACCACGTAAGTGACAAAGCTACAAAGAACATTAGTTACGAAAAAGGAGTCCCAATTGCATCAGAAACCTGAGGGAATAGCAGTTGGGAAAACAGAGAGTGTTTTTTAATTTAGAGGACAGGTCTTATTGAAGGTAACTAATATGAATCTAGATGAGCAGAATGACTTCTGCTAAGGTTCTAACAAAACGGGATAAAATAGGGCTGACATTATCTGCATAAAAGACAGCCTAATTACCTGTTCTGGGCAAGATCTAGAATATGAACTAGGTTAAAAGCCTATCTTTCAGACCTGTGTCTCAAGGTGGACCACAACCTCAACAATTAAAACTAAAAATTAGTTTATAGGTATGAGAGGGTTACATGATAGCTCCAATCTCCCCAGTCCTCTGGGTCTGAATCTGTGATTTCTATTGCTAGGAACCCCATAGTCACTATCTAGTTAGAAAAATAGGCTTGGTCAGAAAAGAAGGCTATACTTCGTATTTACCCAAGATGAATATGTCCTTGTCTAAAGTCAGTTTAACTCCCACTTCAAGTTCACACCTTCAGTCAAATGAAGAGACATA
The DNA here is from genome assembly GCF_000001405.40 of Homo sapiens. NCBI lineage: Eukaryota > Metazoa > Chordata > Mammalia > Primates > Hominidae > Homo > Homo sapiens. The sequence goes on from NC_000023.11 coordinate 123,630,215, forward strand.
ACAGTTCTACATTTCAAATTGCCTGGGGAACTAGACTTATGGAATAGAACTGATATCCACAATTATTGCTGTACTTCTCACTATTGTTCAAAAATCTCGTCTCAAGAATCTGAGCAGGCCAGGCACAGTGGCTCATGCCTATAATGCCAGCACTTTGGGAGGCCAAGGCAGGCGGATCACCTGAGGTCAGGAGTTTGAGACCAGCCTGGCCAACATGGTGAAATCTCATCTCTTCTAAAAATACAAAAATTAGCTGGGTGTGGTGGCGGGCACCTGTAATCCCAGCTACTTGGGAGCCTGGGATAGGAGTATCGCTTGAACCCGGGAGGTGGAAGTTGCAGTGAGCTGAGATTGCGCCACTGCACTCCAGCCTGGAAGACAGAGCGAGACTCCATCTCAAAAAAAAAAAAAAAAAAAAAAAAAAAATCTGGGCAGCGTTTGGCTGAATTATCCTCAAGAGAGCCTGCTGATAGTTTATAGAGGGGACATAGCAATCACCTAATATACATTTTCACTCTCTCAACGAAGGCTCTTCAACAGAGGCTTTCACTCAAGAAGCAAAAGCAAGGATCCCCAGGACAGCTTGGATGCCCATCCAGCACAACCACAAGATTGCTGGGAAACACCTTTTCCAGAGAGTGGCATGCTGCCTACAGATAAAAGACTTATATCTGACTTGGCTATACAGCCACTTTCATTTAGTTTTCTGTTTTCTTCCAAGCCTGAGAGGGAAATGCCATTTCTTTGTTTAGGTTTTTGTATCTCTTAAAAGACAAAGGTAATATTTTACACAAGTAAGAGAGAAAAAGTAGCTTGAATGACCTGCTCCATTTTCTGAGCTGGAAAAGTTCAGCCAACCACAGACAACCAGGTGTTCCTGTTTGCTAGGATTCCATATTGCTGATTAGTGTGTTCACTTAGCACAGGGCAGGTCAGAATTCCTAAGATGAAGAAATTCTCCCACCTCTGTCTGTCAAGAAATCAGGTACCCTCTTGCACAGCTGAGACTGATCTACCATGGGGTGTGACAACAGTAAGACGTTACACAAAGACGGCAAACAATTCTCTGGATTGAGAGGATCTAAAGGGGAAGAAGCAGCCTAACACCACTCCCTTATTGTCTTTTTCCCTTCAGAGTGTATACATAACACAGGAATTTCTGCATAGTGCTAACAAAGTGATAATTAAATCAAGTAGCAGTTAGTTAGGAAAGAAGTGGGAGACTGTAGCAGTTGATATGTAAACACTAACAGCAGATGTTTGATTAAATGATCAATTAGACTCCAAATTTCTCATCACCTTTTTTGTATACCTCTACCACACAGCTTCGTACCCCTATTGGAAACAAAGAAGGGATCCTAGTTTAGGGCCAAGACCTTCCCCCAAAATCTGTAGTGATATGTACTTACAGATAAAACCGTTAAGAAATAATTTGGATCGTTCTTGAGCGGCAGCAAAGACACTTGTACTTACCGAAATATGATGGGCATACATTGGCCTAGACAGGAAAAATGCTGCATCATGGGGTGTATGAAATTCATTACAGAGTACATCAATTGAAGGCACTCGCTTTATATAATCTTCTGTGCTCAGATTAGATGCTAAAAACCCACCAAACTGCACCAGGGTATCATGACACTAAATTTAAAAAATAAGACAAAATCAACATATTTTCCAAAGTGATTAAGAAGTCATTTTAGGAATATTTTAACAATTAAGAATCCAAATTTTATAACTTAAAAGGACTTTAGAGACTATCTACAAGTATAACCACATGACCATATTACAAAAAAAGATGCCAAGGCCCTGACAGGTTGACTAATCCAAGGTTTTACTAGCCAACTAGGTCTCTTAAATGTCAAGCTGTTGTTCATCACTTTTAGTAGAATATATTTACCTAAATCAAATAAAATAATAACCATAGGCAAACAGAAGTCAATTCCTTTGCCCTTAAAAGAAGAAAACTTTATTTACAGAATATATTTATAAATATTAAGTACCAAAACCTAAGATTAGCCCACAAAATGTGTTTAACTATCATCAACTATAACACAAAGAAAAAGAGAGACAGCAACCCAGCCTGGGCAACACGGCAGAGGCCCGACTCTACAAAAAAAATCTAAAAATTAGCCAGGTGTGGTGGTGCATGCCTATAATCCCCAGCTACTCGGGAGGCTGAGGTAGACTGATCACTTGAGCCAGGGAGGTCAAGGCTACAGTGAGCTGAGATCATGCACTGCACTCTAGCCTGGGTAACAGAGTGAGGCTTTGTCTCAAAAAAAAAAAAAAAAAAAAAAAAAGGGAAAAGAGAGTGAGCATGCACAAGTGGGCAAGCAAGCATCTATTCTGTTATGACTGAGATTTCCAGAGATCGGGAAAGATATAAATGCAAACAACTTGAAGTTGCAGGAATTTAATGATGTAATATTTAATTAATTGACAGCCTTACATATAACATCTCTTGGAGCTATCTCTTATATATCACAATTTACATAGAAATAGGCCCTATTTCCAGAATGTCTTTCACATTAGGATGTCTCATATTCAAATGATGTGCAAAAATGACATTTTTCAAATTATAACACATTATCCTCCTTTAACAGGATTAAAAACATGTACATAAACATAAAAGCCACTTTAACTTGCCTGGTCATAGAGCTTTCCCACAAGTTTCAAATGTTTCTCTCCACCTTCCTGAAAGATTACCCCATTTCTCTGCTGAGCCATAAGCAGACAGAGAGGAAGGGCAAGATCATGGTCCAATAGAGCATCCTTTAATCTCTGAGAGGATTTTTTAGTGTTTCTGATCTGACCAAAATAACCACCCTGCACAAGGGAAGACACAAATTTACCAGTGTACAGTACATAACCCATGCTAATTTGAAAAAGACACAGAAAAAAGTTGAGTTAAAATGCTTAATATAAAAAACTCCTACATTCCACATTCCTTCCCTTACACAAATTTATTTCAGTGACTATTACTGACTACAGTCACTGGCTTAAAGACAAATGTCAACTGAATTTAAATTTCTGCATATTTTCCATTTTCCACCTTGCAGTCCCCTCATAAAGGATTATTCATTATTCAGTATGGCACAGATTCAACAGAGCAACTAAGACTTAAGGGAGTGAGGATATCAAGGATCATAGAAGATATAGTAATTATTTGGTGATTATTTTATTTATTTATTTATTATTTATTTTTTGAGACAGCATCTCACTGTCTTGCCCAGAATGGAGTACGATGGCGAGATCTTGGCTCACTGCAACCTCCGCCTCCTGGGTTCAAGCAATTCTCCTGCCTCAGCCTCCCAAGTAGCTGGGATTACAGGCACCCACCACTACACCTGGCTAATTTTTTGTATTTTTAGTAGAGGCAGGGTTTTGCCATGTTGGCCAGGTTGGTCTCGAACTCCTGACCTCAGGTGATCCACCCACCTCAGCCTCCCAAAATGTTGGGATTATAAGCGTGAGCCACCACGCCCGGCCTTATTTGGTAATTATTTTCCTTACGGATGCATTACTTACTGCCTTTTATACTTTGTTTCAGCTTTTTTAAAAAGTTAAAGTAATTACTGTATCTCAATTTCAAAAGGGGGGCAGGGGTGGTTGTGAAAGGAAGGTATGTATGGCTTTGACATTTGGTTTTATAAACTTACATATTGTTTGGATTCTTTACTATGACCGTGCATACATTATGAATTTTAAAAGTTGATGAACAAAAATAGCAATTCTTACCTCAGCTTTTAGCTGCTCTCCACCAGTCATAGCCTCTAGTTGCTCCATTGTCATTTCCTCTGTAATTTCTATTCCTGCCATTTTTTGTACCACTTCTTTCAATATAAGCAGGTCAAAACTATTCAAAAAGAAAAAAGAAACAGTCTATAGTTAGAACTTCAAATATAAAAGTAACAATGTATTGTAATTAATATACTGAGAAACCCTTAATTATTTGTATATAAATATGGGGGAAGGGGCTGAAGCAGTTTTTAACTGCATTCCTAGAACTATATTGACAAATACTTGGTGCGTAAGTTTATTTTAACTTTTACTTGGAAATAATTGCAAATTTACAGATAGGATGGAAAAATAACAATAGTACAAAGCTCACCCATATATCCTTTACCTCAACTTCACCTGGTAACATTTTTACTCCTGCTTGATTATTTGCATTTTCTCTCCCTCTCTGGAGCCCCTCTCTACATACATAGTCACACACTCAATTTTTTAATCATTTGAGGGAAAATTATTTACATCATGGCCTTCTACCCCTAAAATTTCTAAGACTGAATTTCCTAAGAGAGCTATTCTCTTAAATAACCACAGCACAGTTATCAATTTTAGTACATGTAACGCTGATACAATACTTTAATCTACCATTCATATTTCATTTTATCAGTTGACCCAATAAAGTCCTTCATAGCATTTTTTCTCCTCCAATACAGGATGGCCAAAATGTTTTTGATGGTATAGAGCCATTTCTAAATAATCCATTTACTAAACAGGGACAAAGATGTAGCATGGTCACATACACTTGGAAGCGAGGCAGGGAAGGAAGGAAAAAAAGAAGTTCTAAGTTGTGGTATCTGAGCCAAAGATGACAATTTAGTGGCCAGCCCAGAGCACATTTCAGTAATGTGCCAACAGTTATGCTTTTTAATCTGCAAAGTTTAGGACTACCAATGGAAATAATACCTTATGTCCTCTAAGATCTTCTTTAATTAATCTAAACAAAGTAAAAACATTCTTTCCTAAAACATACAGATGTTTTTCCAAACATAAAGTCAGACATACCCAAGACACAAGCTAATAGACGAAAGAACCATTTTCTAAGATTCTTATTAAATGTTTGTTCTCTCAACTTGCCTTGCTTTCCTTAGTTTCGTTTGTTTTTTTTAAAGAAAGCCCTCATGAAAACTAGTATATAAGTACCAATGAAACAGTTTATTTTTTCTTTAAACTATGTTTTAATTAGATGGTCACAAAAACTGTATTCACAGTACAGAAAGCTGAGTTATAGATTAAAAAATGATATATATTCTCCTGGCCTATAGACAAAGAAGAATAAAAATATATAGAAATGGCAGAGAGATGAGCATAAGGGATGTGCCCATAAAATCATAAGTTTAAAGTTTTTTTAAGTTTTCCCTAAGCCAAAATAAGAATCTGTCAATAATTACTTAGGTAATACTTGTTTGGAACACCAAGTAGCTTTTAATTTTTTGTTTGTTTGCTTTCTACCAGAAAGCTTCTGAAAACAATTCAGGTTCTTTGATTCTAGTCAGTTTACTTCTCATGAGGTTTAATACACATACATACTAATTCAAACTCTAAGCACTGATATTGACCCAAAATAAAATAAACTTCAGTATTTATAAAGAAAAAAGGACATTGTCCAAAAGGTATGAAAGCCTTATGTATCTCTAAAACTCAAATTCAAAAATTATGCTTTAAAGGTATTATATACACCCTCAAGATAAACAAGTTCCTACCAGATGTTCAATGTGACACAGGTCAATTACTGCATACTGACCTAGTGCAGTATGTTTTGTTATACGAAGATATACAATGTATCATATTAGCCATTTACTCAAAAGCCTAATAGGCAGTCAAAATAACTGAAAGTATCTTTTTAGTGCATTAACATATATAGTCATATAGTACATTTATTCATGAAAAAAGGTGTCTATTTATGTATTAAGTTATCATTTAACTAAAGAATTTTATGTAAATAAGTGAGCAACTATTCTACTTGAGCCTACAACCAACAAATAAGTAGTCTTTCGGGATAACAGAGTCTCAATAACCCCAAACCACCAAAAGTACTCTATTGAATTTCATTATGTATAATTTGCTATGAATACCTTTTGCCCGCCTTTAGCTGATTGGCAACATACTGAAGAAGACCAGCAAGATCAATTGGATATTTACGAAAAACTGCACCACAGAAACTAGCCAGACCTATATAAAATAAAAAAAGAGTAAAAACAACTCATAAAACAAAATGCACAAGTATCATTTCAACTAAACCTCTAAAACAAAATGAGGTAGCAATAATTGTATTGCTGATGCTGTTGAATGGAGCTTCATAATAATAACAATAACCAATATTTATTGAGCATACATATGTCAAGCACTGTACCAAGCACTTTATAATGATTATCTCATTTAATCCTTGCAACTATTATCCTAGGTTGGTATAACCTATTGATGAGGCAAATTCAGAACAGATATGTCATGTAACTTGCTCATGGTCACGTAGTACAAAGTAGAGCAGTAAGTCAAATCTTTGCAGCCTGATTCCAGAGTTTGTGAAACTAAGTTATAACAAAATCTTGCAGATCACTCAGTAAACTTGAATAAATGACAAAATGCCAGCCCCTGAATGTGAGTCAAGAAAAAAAAAAATCTCTTTTTATCTTGGAACATGCTACTAGTTGTGGAGGTGCAAGAAAATAAAGTATTACCAGACCTAGAAGCAGACAAGAGACCAACTTTAACCAATGGTCCTTATCATACCATGAATAGGGAGGAGACCCCAGCCAATACAAGAGTAGGAGATTCAAGTAAAGTCAAGTGCTCTGCAGCCTATTCCACAACTATTTGCTAAGCACCTAAATGATATTGGACAAAACACAAGTCCTGCCCTCAAGGAGCTGAGTCTAGTGGAAGATACAGAAAAGTAAACAAATAACTATGATGAGCAAAAGGCTCCATGGGAATATAAAAGAGGAGCGCCCAATTCAGACTTGTGGGTGGGAGCATTAACAGAAAAAGCTTTCCAGAGGAAGTGACCTCTAAGCTGAAATCTAATGAATAAACAGAACATGGAGTGGGCCATGAAGGGTATTCCAAGTCAAGTGAATAATGGGCAAAAGTTCATGGAAAGTACAAGAAGTTCAGTATTAATGGAATCTAGAATATCGGGAAGCAGGGAAAAGATGAGGCTAGAACAGTGCAAAAGGACCTGATTTCAAAAGAACTTACTTGTATGACTTATTAAACATTTCGGACTTTAAAGGACAATGGGGAGCCACTGCAAGATTCCGCTATCAGATACAATAAGTTGAAAGAAAAGGAACTGGCTGCTAGAAACCAAAGGTACAAGAATTAAAAAGAAATATGGTTAGTTTTTTTGGTTAAACTAAGTCAAGTTTTTGTTCTTTTAAGATGACTGGAACCTCAGGATGGAATGGGAAGAAATGAGACTAGATCCCTTACGATCAACTCCTATAAAATAATGTTAGTTAAAAAGGAGATTTTTGGCTAGGCATGGTGGTTCATGCCTGTAATCCCAGCACTTTGGGAGCCGAGGTGGGCGGATCACTTGAGGTCAGGAGTTCAAGACCAGCCTGGCCAACATGGTGAAACCCTGCCTCTAACGAAAATACAAAAATTAGCTGGGCGTGGTGGCGCGTGCCTGTAATCCCAGCTACTCGGGAGGCTGAGGCAGGAGAATTGCTAGAACCTGGGAGGCGGAGGCTGCAGTGAGTCGAGATCACACCACTGCACTCCAGCCTGGATGACAGAGTGAGACTCCATCTCGAAAAAAAAATAAAATAAAAAGAAGGAGATTTCACCTCCCCAGTAATGCTTACCCAAATTCTATCACAGTCAATAATGGTCTCTTAAGTTAGGAAAATAAATAAGTACCATATCAACCTCCTTACATAGCCAAGGGCTCTGCAGAACAAACTCAGTAGCTAGATATTCTCAGCAACTCTTAACAAATAGGCTTCTAAAAGTCTCTAAGCATCGGTAATAAAATGCATAACATGGCAGTTACCACAGATAGTAATTTCATCTTTGGAAAAATAAAAATACTTACTCTGAAGCCAGCTTGAGATGGTTGTGTCATCATGTTTCATTCTTTCCTTTTCTGGATTAGCTAAAGCTTCAATGATACAATCTTTCATACATTAAGAAAAAACTAAGTCATTACATCTCTAATAAAGACCCTTAAAACATGAATATGCCACATCATAGGGGCAAAATTGTTGGTCATTACAAATTATTTTTCTAGTTTTCCAAGACCAGGGATGTTGCTAAAACTAATTATTGAAAAATACACTTACTGTAGTACCAACATTTCTTCTTTAGCCTACTTTCCATCTTTCAGCAATCAAGACAGATTCCATCAATATCAAGATGTTTGGTAAGCCAACTGGGTGCAGTGGCTCATGCCTGTAATCCCAGCACTTTGGGAGGCCAAGGTGGGTGGATCACTTGAGGTCAGGAATTCAAGATCACCCTGGCCAACCTAGTGAAATCCCACCTCTACTAAAAACAAGGAAATTAGCCAGGTGTGGTAGCACACGCCTATAATCCCAGCTACTTGGGAAGCTGAGGCAAGAGACTCGCTTGAACCCAGGAGGCGGAGGTTGCAATGAGCCGAGACAGTGCCACTGCATTCCAGCCTGGGAGACAGAGCAAAAGTCTGTCTCACACACACAAAAAAAAAAAGTTGGTAAGCCTAACATGTCTCCCTTTATACAACACAAAGACACACACGTACACACACACACACACACACACACTCTCTCTCTCTCTCACATACACACACACACACACACACACACACAATTGACTGACCAAACTTCAGATCAGCCACCTGAATCAACCTCAGATGGTTACTAAAGGAAAATAGAATGAAAATAAAACGTTTACCATATGATCTATTAAATATGAAATCTACATATTACTTCACTTGAAAGGATACAGGCCAAGACATCATAATTCAGTGAAGTGAGGTATTTCAATGAATCTACTACAGGTGTTATTAAGTTATCATACTTCTGTATTTGTGACAAGATCTGGAAAACAGCAACAAACAATAGAAGGCATTAACTGATCAAAGGATTTCTACTGTGCCAACTAAGTAATGGCTACACTTTCTATTTTTCAAAAGAAATAATGCTTATAATTAAAGTGGTTTCCTATATAAATATTTAACAAAGTGGTTTCTATATAAATATTTCATATTTATATAGAAATTACTATTTTATCACTGCCTTAGAGAATATTTTCTTAGGCTACATTTTTCAGTTAGAAAATAATTCCAATTCTATAAAAAATGACAGTGGTAATCTGACTGGAACTGCAATGAATCTGTAGATTCCTTTGGGCGGTATGGACATTTTAACTACATTGATTCTTCCTATCCAAGAGCATGGAATGTCTTTCCATTTGCTTGTATCATCTATGATTTCTTTCAACAGTGTTTTATAGTTCTAGTAGAAATCTTTCACCTCCTTGGTTAGATGTATCTCTTGGTACTTTTTTTGTGGCTATTGTAAATGGGATTGTGCTCTTGATTTGGTTTTCAGCTTGAACATTATTGGTACATAGAAATGCTACTGATTTTTGTATGTTGATTTTGTATCCTGAAACTTTACTATGGGTACACACGGACATAAAGATAGAAAGACACTGGGGACTCTAAAAGTTAAGTGGGGTGGGGCAAGGTTTGAAAAACTACCTATTGGGTACTATGCTCACTATTTGGGTGAGGAGTTCAATAGAAACCCAAACCTCAGCATTATGCAATACATCCATGTAATAAACCTGCACATGTACCCCTTGCATCTTAAAAAAATTAATTTAAAAAGGAAATAATTCCAGGCCTAAAGCTGAATTTTGGAATGAAAGAGTCTAGTCTCTCTCATATGTTTTAGATATCTCTAAATATGGGCCAGGTGTGGTGGCTCACGCCTATAATCCTAGCACTTTGGGAGGTCGAGGTGGATGGATTACCTGAGGTCAGGAGTTCAAGACCAGCCTGGCCAACATGGTGAAACCACATCTCTACTAAAAATACAAAAAATTAGCCAAGTGCAGTGGCATGCGCCTGTAATCCCAGCTACTTGGGAGGCTGAGGCAGGAGAATCGCTTGAACCCGGGAGGCAGAGGTTGCGGTGAGCCAAGATCGGGTCACTGCACTCCAGCCTGGGCAATAGAGCAAGACTTCATCTCAAAAAAATAAATAAATAAATAAATATTGCAGTGATAGTATTACATATAAATCACAATGAAATGTTATTTGAATGTTTCTAAAAGTCTAAAATCAAGTAATACCAGAAATCAAGATGTGGTATACAAAATAACATTATATATACAAAATAACTATTATATTGCCTGTAATAGTAGCACTGTTACATATTACTATTAAAATAGATCAATGTGTTAAATATATTGTGTAGTAATTTTGTTTTTAGCATAACCTTACAATGTTTCATTTTCTAACATCATTCTATTTCCACTTGCACTGATTTAAAGGCAACAGAAAGAAAAATCCCTTAAAATAATATTAACCTCAAAACATACATAATCAAACAAAATGGTTGGATTGCTGTGGCTCAACTTCCCAATTTGTCTTCCAGAAGGCTTCACATTTTCCTTGGTTAGGCGCCTACGGAGGAAGAAAAAGGTGGCACGGATCATCTTAAGTAACATTCCTTGTAATGTTGATAGCTTTGTTACATCATCGTGGGGGAAAAAGCAATTATTCCCCAAATATCCAAAATGGATTCATGTAAACAACTACATTCATCACATCCTTTATGGTAGGATTTGGGCTATTTTGGTTAGGGATTCTCTCAGAGGATATTAACATTTTATATTAAATGCTTAACATTTATAAAATACACATTTCCACTTTATAGTAATAGTCTAATAATCAGTAAAACTCTTAATGTACTCTACAAGTACATAAAACTCTTCTTACAAAGAATCAAAATTATTTCAGATTTAGGAGGACTCATCAGTTTAGGGATTAAGATATCAAATTTGGTGTCATGCAATGAAATGTCTCGTGCCATCTGTCTCAGTGACTCTAACAGAGTTACTGTGTTATCTGTAAACTTATGTAACTTTACTCCCTCAATATGTAAAGTTATCTGCTTTTCATATTCAAGGTAAACAATATTTTGAAACTAAATTCTACTCCTTTCCTTCCTCTTTATTTCTTCCTTTGCTCATTATCCTTTTGCCAGCATTCTGCAAATTTTATCTATGAATTCTTACAGTTCAAAACAATTATTACACAGAATCTTAAATGCCTCTCCTGAGATGATTACATAATAAATCTAGAGACTTCAAAAGGCTACAAGTGACAGGAAGGAAGCTTTCTAGGATGAAAATATAATGAAGTAAATTATGAATTCAGTTTATAATTCAGGAGATGTGACCATTCTCCAAGTGACGAACTTGCTTTAATTAATTTCTCATGACAAAACTGGCCCCATCAATCAAAACTGTTTCATCAACTGCTTCCCTTTCCAATTCTCCATATCCCAGTTTTGGTTTCATAGAAAAGAGAGACCATTAGTTTTAAAAGTTAGCTATACAGTATTTTGTTCAAATTTCCAACTTACCACTACCTGTCCCTATTTCTAACCCCAATATTTCAGGTGCCTCCCTCTACTTGCCAAGGCCAACCCCTCCTTTCTCTGTTTTTCATTCCATTCCCTTCTGCCTCCATCACCCTGGAGGGACAAACAAACAAAAATTAAAGAAATATTTTCTTGTCTTTGTCTTCCCCTCAAACTACCAGTGTCTAGCATATGGAACATAATAAACATTTGTAGAAAGAATTACTAAATGCCCTATAGCAAGCTCATGTTTTAAATAGTATTCAAAACTCATGAAATTCTACAAGTAATAAGTTAATACATTATATGCTCAATGTAAAAACTTCAAACAGTAACAAAATCATATTGTTTAAGCCTGGTAAAATAGTTATAGCTTACAAATATAACAAAAATCCAAGTATATTAAAAATTCTGCACATACTATTCTGTAGTAAATTGTATTTTTATTCATTCATTCATATTAATGCCTACGATGACAGTCAAAGTACTAAGCATTAGAAATACAAGGAAGATTGTGTCTCAGCCTTTTAGCTAAGGTCAGTGTAGAAATATAAGGATGAAGCCGCGTGCAGTGGCTCACGCCTGTAATCCCACCACTTTGGGAGGCCAAGGCGGGTGAATCACAAGGTCAGGAGTTCGAGACCAGCCTGGCCAACATGGTGAAACCCCGTCTCTACTAAAAATACAAAGAATTAGCTGGACTTGGTGGCAGGCGCCTGTAATCCCAACTACTTGGGAGGCTGAGGCAGGATAATCGCTTGAACACAGGAGGCGGAGGTTGCAGTGAGCCAAGATCGTGCCACTGCAGCACTCCAGCCCGGGCAACGGTGCAAAACTCCATCTCCCAAAAAAAAAAAAAAAAATAAGAAATACAAGGATGAATAACAGAGTAACAGTTCCTGCTCTCAAGCCTGGTCCAGTGAAGGAGACAGATTTAAATTCATTTATTAAATTTCAATATTCTAAAAAAGAGCAATCAACAGAACAGTACTTATATGCTATTGATAATATAAAAGGTGGCTGGGGTGTGGTAGCTCACGTCTGTAACTCCAGCGCTGGGAGGTCAAGGTGGGAGGATCACTTGAGGCCAGGAGTTCAAGACCAGCCTGGGCAACATAGTGAGGTCCCATTTTTACAAAGAAAAACAATATTAATATAATAATAATATAAGAGGGGGATAATATATATTGTATTGGCTTGCATATACATAAGAATATATGGAAGGATAAATAAGAGACTAAACAGTGGTTACTTTTCCTTGAGGGGAAGAACTGAGTAGATGGAGGATGGAGTGAGACTTTTTGCTGTATTTATACCTTTTATATTTACTGAAACTTAAATCATGTAAACACATAAACTATTCAAAAAACAATCATAGCAAGGTACCTAGAGGTATGATAACATTATATGCTAAAGAATAGTGATGGAAATAAAGATTGATTGTGTCTGGCAGTTTATGCTAGGGAAGCCTTCACTAGAAGTAACACTGGAGCTCACTCTCCAAGAATGAGGTCACCAGATGGAAAGGGGGAAAGGAAGGTAAGGGAAAACCTGTACAAACAGAGGGAACAAAAAGTATATACAGGGGAAGAGAAGCTAAGGAGAGAGTGGTACATTTAGGGGACATAAGTAGGCTCAGTACATCTGGAAGTAGAATTGGCAGGAAAGGAGGTTGGATGCAGGGAGGGACAAACCAGGGAGGACCTCTTATTTATATCACCATGCCATAAAGCTTAACATATACCTTCAGGTAAAGTCAGTCACCAAAGGATTTTTAGGTAAGAGAATATACAACTATAATACACCAGATAAAATAACTAAGGTAGTAGTGGTAGTGACAGTGGATGAATTCAAGGTATTTAAAAATGCTTAATGTATTATTAAACAATCCATGCAGAGCACTTAGTTTAATGCCTGGCACATACAGTAATAGCTCCCTAAATATTAGCTGCTGTTGTTAAGCTAGAAACTGTACCTGGAGAACTCTTAAGTCCAGAAACTCTTTCAGATCTAATATCAACTCCTGCCAAACAAAACTCCCCCAAGTGAAATCATTTAGTCTCATCTATCCTCCCATAGCACTTTATTCATACTGTATAACAGCACCTATTATACTAGGTTGTTTCAATATAATCCATAGGCTCACAGGAAAAAAAAAAAAAAACAACAACTAGATTGTGATCATGCACACACCTGTTTTCCCAATAGGCTGTGACCAGAAACAATATCACTGGGCAAGGACAACATTTAACAGACATTACACACTGTTAAATCTAAATAAACTGAGAACGAACTACTTTTAATTAGAATAACCATACCACTGCCATGAATTTAAAAAAGGAATGACAACTGACAATAGCCTCGTTGAAAACACTTGCAATACAGCAATACAATTAAGCATCTAAACTAATACTAATCTGAAGTACATGATTTTCATAATTAAACTTCAAATAATCTACTGGGAAGTAGAACATCACTCTTATGTTTTTAATGATATGAAAATAAAAGTGTACAAATTTTTTTAAAAAAGAAATTTCTCAAAAGTTGACTCCCTATGGAGATAGTTCTGGATAATTTCATTAGTTCTTCCTAACAGATTAAAAAAATTCATTATGGTAACTTTCAGCAGTGGAAATTGCTAGAACTTTTACTACCTTGCACAAATCACTAAAGGTAAGCAAAGGCCACAGCAGGCTGTCCTTAAAAAGAAAAAACAAAACCTTCATCCCATAATATGATGCACATATTAAAGAGGATTTCCATTAGATTTTTATCCATATGTAAACACAACAACTATGAAAACATTAACTTGGTAGTCAAAATGAGCTAAAACCACAGTTAACAGTCATTCCATCTGTAGTATATAAATCAGCTATACCATTCACAACACATAGGCTTTCCCAAAACTGAGGCTCAGACAAGCTACCTGAAAGAAAGTATATTAGATTCAGATATAATTTAGATTAATATGAAAAATAAATTAAAACTTACTTCATGATATATTTGGCTCTGTCTATTGTTTGAGCTTTAACTTTTACTAAAAGTGGGTGACTGTTATAAGTTTCATTCTTCCACTGGCCATACAGACGATATCTTAAAAAACGATGAGATGAAGAATTAGGAAAAGTTAAACACTTAGAGGTTAATATACTAGAATTACTAATAGTTAAAAACATGAAAATAATATGTATTTACCTATGCTGATATGGAAATGTTTTAAACATTCCCCATAGTTCCTCAGACATACAAGCATTGCAGTCCATCAAAGAAAGAGATGGAAGTAGTACCTGGTCAGTAATGCTAAGCAAACAGCTAAGGATAACTTCCTAAAAGAAAGAAGGAAAAGTTATTTCAGTAAGAGGTCTATATTAATATAACCAACAATAAATTTATAACAGCCTTGGGAAAATTACCATTTCTTAATAACATAACACACAATATCCCATTCCTCACCCACCCTTTTCACAAAGCTTATTTATGTTTCTCCATCGAAGACATAAAATGGGGTGAGGAAAGGAAAGGGGTAGCAAAGGAATGAGGAACTTTTATCTCTCTTCCTTTTTCAACATCAGGGGAAAAAATGTTAATCTTAAAAGATAACTTTGCATATGCCGCCAAAAACTATAATCAGCATCTACATTATAAAACAATTACTCATACAGATGATTAAAGCTTGTTCACAGTAAAATTTGTAATATACTGTAGCAAGACAAACATTAGACACATTATTGGATTTTTCTAGTCTCTTACCGTTTTTTCTTTATCTTCTTGTTTGCTTCCATCAGACTGAAACTACAATTTAAAAAAAGAAATTAATAAAATACAAAAAGGTTAAGATTATGATGTCACAATTAATTTCTAATTTGAAAAAACTTTAACTTGCACATGGTTGTAAATTGTTCTTACTTTTTACAAATATGTAGATTTTAAATATAGCCTGTTAACCTTTTTAAATTTTATCTGTTTCTAACCTCTAAGTCATACTTGACATCCATGAATTTTAAGTGTCAATTTTTATAAACCAATTCTTTTCTCAACCTATCAAACCAAAGCATCCTAAAATTGATCTAAGAATTTATTATAAAAGTGTAGCAAGGGCTGGGCGCGGTGCCTCACGCCTGTAATCCCAGCACTTTGGGAGGCCAACGTGGGCAGATCACCTGAGGTCAGGAGTTCGAGACCAGCCTGGCCAACATGGCGAAACCCCGTCTCTACTAAAAATACAAAAATTAGCCAGGCATGGTGGCGCACACCTGTAGTCCCAGCTACTCAGGAGGCTTAGGCAGGAGAACCACTTGAACCCGGGAGGTGTAGGTTGCAGTGAGCCGAGATCGTGCCATTGCACGCCAGCCTGGACAACAAGAGCAAAAAAAAAAAAAAATTGTGGCCAGTACAAAAACTTCATTATAATACATTTGCATTTTTCCATCCAGAGATTATAGTTTTTCTTCTATGGAATTAGTATAATCAAACACTAAAGCAACAAAAATGCAAAAACAAAGCCAAAATTAAACGCAAAGAAATTTAAATCTATCTTTTAATTCACCACTCCCAAAGTCCTCACTGAAAGATAAGCCCAAAATACCAGTAACATTACTAACAAAGACAAAACCATTGCTTAAATTGTACAGACTGAATGAAAAATCCTGGGTCCGTATTATATAAACAATTTGCAGATTTACAGATGAGCCCCTAAAGTGATGTTTGACAAGGATGTCTATTAATTCAAAATGAAACAGTGAATGATACTTGTGTGAATATAAACAGACAGAGGGCTGGCGGAGTCTGTAGAGGCCAAAAAGACAACTGAAGTACTGACAACCAGTGACAATCTAGATTTCTGGCAAGGATTTAGCTCAATATCAAGTGAGAAAGAGGGAAAAGCTAATATGCAGATAACAAGCTTCTTATTTTCTTGGTAGATAAGGGTGTTTTGTGTATGCATACGCTTTCACACTTCAGTAATATAATGGATATTACCACAGGAAAAGTCTAACTGTTATGCTACATTTTCACATAACACTAATTCAGGGCCTGCCATGTTACCTTTATGGGAAAATACATACACTCAATTTGTTTTTAATTGGCAGGTTAAAAAGGTATGGTTCCTTTCACAGAAATAATTTATTAAGTCAACATATATCCTGGTAAGCAAAGAAGGAACTGGGTTATAAAGGAGTGGCCTGGCAGAAAAAAGCCAGATGGTTTGGTTTGGTTTCGGGGTGGTAAGGTAGCACACACATAATTCTGGTGGCACATAGGGTGTACATTGGGAAGCAAAAATACAGGTATCCTGTAACTGGAAAAACTAGGTTTATGGTATATTATGTCGGGGAAAAAGACAGTTAAGCTCCTCCTTTCCTGGTATACTATAATTTAAACAAACCTAATAAAGCGACACACAGTTTTTTTCCCATAGAAATAAAACATTTTCTTATTTACTAAGTTGTCCTAACTCCCTTTCTAGGTGACTCATATGAGTTTCAAGCATCTATTCTCTAGGTTTCATATCAATTTCAAACATCAATTCTCTAGATTTCATTAAGCAGGAAAATTTGAAAAGGGGAAAGAAATATAGGAAGCAAAATAAAACCATCTAGAAGAGCAGTAAAAGACCTTCCTATCAAAGTCGAATTATAGCAAGAATGTACAAAATTAAATCAAGAAGTACATGCAAATAAAAGCAATTTTCTTTTGTTTGGTAGGAAAATATATTCTACTCCCTTGATACTTTTTCTTTTAGTTTAATTTGCTTTTTAATTCAAAGCAACTGTAAGACTCTCACATAATACTATAAGTTTTACTGAATGCCAGCTAGAAATGGGAGGGAGACAGAAACAGGGAGGGAGAACAAGAGACATGCATTCATTCATTCATTCATTCATTCAATGACTAGATTCCAGGCATTGGGAATTCAAATATGAACAGGACAGAGTACAGGCACCTCTTGAAGATCAAAAACTGTACTTGGGCCAGGCACGGTGGCTGACGCCTGTAATCCAAGCACTTTGGGAAGCTGAGGCAGACAGATCATGAGGTCGGGAGTTCGAGACCAGCCTGACCAACATGGTGAAACCCCATCTCTCCTAAAAATGCAAAAAATTAGCTGGGCATGGTGGCACTCGCCTGTAGTCCCAGCTACTCGGGAGGCTGAGGCAGGAGAATCGCTTGAACCTGGGAGGTGGAGGTTGAGGTTGCAGTGAGCCTAGATCACGCCACTGCACTCCAGCCTAAGCAACACAACAAGACTCTGTCTCAAAAAAAAAAAAAAAAAAAAAAGATTTTGAAAATGGAAAATAAAACTTGCAGATCTAAGAAGATCAAATGGGAAGTTAAAAAAAGCTATATGGATTGTTGAGACCTGGCAAATTGTTTAAATGTAATCAGCCTAACTTCTATGAACTCTCAGAAATCACGGGTTCGGTGGCTGGCAAGAAAGCCAAATAGGAACAGCTCCGGTCTGCAGCTCCCAACAAGATCAACGAAGAAGGTGAATGATTTCTGCATTTCCAACTGAGGTACCCGGCTCATCTCAGTGGGACTGGTTAAACAGTGGGTGCAGCCCACAGAGGGCGAGCCAAAGCAGGGTGGGGCATTGCCTCACCCGGGAAGTGCAAGGGGTCGGGGAACTCTCTCCCCTAGCCAAGGGAAGCCGTGAAGGACTGTGCAGTGAGGAACAGTGCATTCTGGCCCAGATACTAAGCTTTTCCCACAGTCTTCACAACCCACAGACCAGGAGACTTCCTCTGTGCCTACACTACCAGGGTCCTGGGTTTCAAGCACAAAACTGGGTGGCCGTTTGGGCAGACACTGAGCTAGCTGCTGCTGCTGGAGTTTTCTTTCAAACCCCAGTAGCGCCTGGAACACCAGGCGAGACAGAACCATCCACTCCCCTGGAAAGGGGGCTGAAGCCACAGAGCCAAGTGGTCTAGCTCAGCAGATCCCACCCCCACGGAGCCCGGCAAGCTAAGATGCACCGGCTTGACATTCTCGCTGCCAGCACAGCAGTCTGAAGTCGACCTGGGACGCTGGAGCTCAGCGGGAGGAGGGGCGTGTGCAATTACTGAGGCTTGAGTAGGCGGGTTTTCCCCTCACAGTGTAAACAAAGCTGCTGGGAAGTTCAAAGTGAGCAGAGCCCACTGCAGCGTCACAAAGCTGGTGTAGCCTGACTGCCTCTCTAAATTCCTCCTCTCTGGGCAGGGCATCTCTGAAAGAAAGGCAGCAGCCCCAGTCAGGGGCTTATAAATAAAACTCCCAACACCCTAGGACAGAGCACCTTGGGGAAGAGGCGGCTGTGGGCACAGCTTCAGCAGACTTAAACGTTCCTGCCTGCCAGCTCTGAAGAGGGCAGCGGATCTCTCAGCACAGTGCTCAAGCTCTGCTAAGGGACAGACTGCTTCCTCAAGTGGGTCCCTGATCCCTGTGCCTCCTGACTGAGAGACACTTCCCAGCAGGGGTCGACAGACACATCATACAGGAGAGCTCTGGCTGGCATCTGGCGGGTGCCCCTCTAGGAGGAAGCTTCCCGAAGAAGGAAAAGACAACAATCTTTGCAGTTCTGCAGCCTCTGCTGGAGCTACCCAGGCAAACAGGGTCTGGAGTGGACCTCCAGCAAACTCCAGCAGACCTGCAGCAGAGGGGCCTGACTATTAGAAGGAAAACAAACAGAAAGGAATAGAGTCAACACCAACAAATAGGATGTCCACACAAAAACCCCATCTGAACGACAAAGACCAAAGGTAGATAAATCCATGAAGATGAGAAAAAAACAGCACAAAAAGGCTGAAAATTCCAAAAACCAGAATGCCTCCCCTCCTCCAAAGGATCACAACTCCTCAACAACAAGGGAACAAAACTGGACAAAGAATGAGTTTGAGGAATTGACAGAAGTAGGCTTCAGAAGGTGGGTAATAAGAAATTCCTCCAAGCTAAAGGAGCATGTTCTAACCAAATGCAAGGAAGCTAAGAACCTTGAAAAAAGGTTAGAGAATTGCTAACTAGAATAACCAGTTAAGAGAAGAACATAAATGACCTGATGGAGCTGAAAAATACAGCATGAGAACTTCCTGAAGCATACACAAGTATCAATAGCCGAATCGACCAAGCAGAAGAAAGGATATCAGAGACTGAAGATCAATTTAATGAAACAAAATGTGAAGACAAGATTAGAGAAAAAAGAATGTAAAGGAACAAACAAAGCTTCCAAGAAATATGGGACTATGTGAAAAGACCAAACCTACGTTTGATTGGTGTACCTGAAAGTGACGAAGAGAATGGAACCAAGTTGGAAAACACTCTTCAGGGTATTATCCAGGAAAACTTCTCCAATCTAGCAAGACAGGCCAACATTCAAAATTCAGGAAATACAGAGACCACCACAAAGATACTCCTCGAGAAGAGCAACCCCAAGACACATAATCGTCAGATTCACCAAGGTTGAAACGAAGAAAAAAATGTTAAGGGCAGCCAGAGAGAAAGGTCGGGTTACCCACAAAGGGAAGCCCATCAGACTAACAGCGGATCTCTCAGCAGAAACCTTACAAGCCAGAAGAGATTGGGGGCTAAAAATAAACATTCTTAAAGAAAAGAATTTTCAACCCCGAATTTCATATCCAGCCAAACTAAGCTTTATAAGAGAAGGAGAAATAAAATCCTTTACAGTCAAGCAAATGCTGAGAGATTATGTCACTACCAGGCCTGCCTTACATGAGCTCCTGAAGGAAGCACTAAATATGGAAAGGAAAGACTGAAACCAGCTACTGCAAAAACCTACCAAATTGTAAAGACCATCGACACTATGAAGAAACTGCATCGACTAACAAGCAAGATAACCAGCTAGCATCATAATGACAGGATCAAATTCACATATAACAATATTAACCTTAAATATAAATGGGCCAAATGCCCCTAAATTAAAAGACATAGACTAGGAAATTGGATAGGGTCAAGACCTATCAGTGTGCTGTATTCAGGAGACCCATCTCACGTGCAAAGACACACATAGGCTCAAAATAAAGGGATGGAGGAAGATTTACCAAGCAAATAGAAAGCAAAAAAAGCAGAGGTTGCAATCCTAGTCTCTGATAAAACAGACGTTAAAACAACAAAGATCAAAAAAAGACAAAGAGAGGCATTACCTAATGGTAAAGGGATCAACGTAACAAGAAGAGCTAACTATACTAAATATATATGCGCCCAATACAGGAGCATCCAGATTCATAAAGCAAGTTCTTAGAGACCTACAAAGAGATTTTGGCTGCCACACAATAATAGTGGGAGACTTTAACACCCCACTGTCAATATTAGACAGATCAACGACACAGAAAATTAACAAGGATATTCAGGACGTGAACTCAGCTCTGGACCAAGTGGACCTAATAGACATCTACAGAACTCTCCACCTCAAATCAACAGAATATACATTCTTCTCAGCATCACATCACACTTATTCTAAAATTGAGCACATAATTGGACGTAAAAGACTCCTCAGGACATGCAAAATAATGGAAATCATAACAAACAGTCTCTCGGACCACAGTGCAATCAAATTAGAACTCGGGATTAAGAAAAAAACACACAACTACATGGAAACTGAACAACTTGCTCCTGAATGACTACTGGGTAAACAATGCAATTAAGACAGAAATAAACAAGTTATTTGAAACCAATGAGAACAAAGACAAAATGTACCACAATCTATGGGATGCAGCTAAGGCAGTGTTTAGAGAGAAATTTATAGCACTAAATGCCCACAGGAGAAAGCGGAAAAGATCTAAAATCGACATCCTAACATCACAATTAAAAGAAGTAGAGAAGCAAGAGCAAACAAACTCAAAATCTAGCAGAAGACAAGAAATAACTAAGATCAGAGCAGAACTGAAGGAGATAGAGACACAAAAAACCCTTCAAAGTATCACGGAATCCAGAAGCTGGTTTTCTGAAAAGATTAACAAAATAGACTGCTAGCCAGATTAATAAAGAAGAAAGAGAGAAGACTCAAATAGACACAATAAAAAATTATAAAGGGGATATCACCATTGATCCCACAGAAATACAAACTACCATCAGAGAATACTATAAACACCTCTACGCAAATAAACTAGAAAATCTAGAAGAAATGGATAAATTCCTGGACACATACGCCCCCCCCCCAAGACTAAACCAGGAAGAAGTGGAATCCCTGAATAGACCAATAACAAGTTCTGAAATTGAGGCAGTAACTAATAACCTAACAACCAAAAAAGGCCCAGGACAAGACGGATTCAAAGCCAAATTCTACCAGAAGTACAAAGAGGAGCTCGTACCATTCTTTCTGAAACTATTCCAAACAATAGAAAAAGAGGGACACCACCCTAGCTCATTTTACGAGGCCAGCATCATCCTGATACTAAAACCTGGCAGACACACAGGCCAACATCCCTGATGAACATAGATGCAAAAATC
This sequence comes from Homo sapiens, assembly GCF_000001405.40. Taxonomy (NCBI): domain Eukaryota; kingdom Metazoa; phylum Chordata; class Mammalia; order Primates; family Hominidae; genus Homo; species Homo sapiens. The sequence goes on from NC_000023.11 coordinate 123,652,027, forward strand.
CTCAATAAAATACTGGCAAAACCGAATCCAGCAGCACATCAAAAAGTTTATCCACCACAATCAAGTTGGCTTCATCCCGGGGATGCAAGGCTGGTTCAACATAGGCAAATCAATAAACGTAATCCATCACATTAACAGAACCAATGACAAAAACTACCTGATTATCTCAATAGATGCAGAAAAGGCCTTCGAGAAAATTCAACACCCCTTCATGCTAAAAACTCTCAATAAACTAGGTATCGATGGAACATATCTCAAAATAATAAGAACTATTTATGACAAACCCACAGCCAATATCATACTGAGTGAGCAAAAGCTGGAAGCATTCCCTTTGAAAACCAGCACAACACAGGGATGCCCTCTCTCACCATTCCTATTCAACATAGTATTGGAAGTTCTGGTCAGGGCAATCAGCCAAGAGAAAGAAATAAAGGGTACTGAAATAGGAAGAGAGGAAGTCAAATTGTCTCTGTTTGCAGATGACATGATTGTATATTTAGAAAACCCCATTGTCTCAGCCCACAATCTCCTTAAGCTGATAAGCAACCTCAGCAAAGTCTCAGGATACAAAATCAATGTGCAAAAATCACAAGCATTCCTATACACCAATAATAGAGAGCCAAATCATGAGTGAACTCCCGTTCACAACTGCTACAGAGAGAATAAAATACCTAGGAATACAGCTTATAAGGGATGTGAAGGACCTCCTCAAGGAGAACTACAAACTACTGCTCAAGGAAATAAGAGAGGACACAAACAAATGGAAAAACATTCCATGCTCATGGGTAGGAAGAATCAATATCGTGAAAATGGCCACACCATCCAAAGTAATTTATAGATTCAATGCTATCCCCATCAAGCTACCAGTGACTTTTTTCAGAGTTAGAAAAAACTACTTTAAATTTCATAAGGAACCAAAAAAGAGCTCGTGTACCCAAGACAATCCTAAGCAAAAAGAACAAAGCTGGAGGCATCATGCTACCTCACTTCAAACTATACTACAAGGCTACAGTAACCAAAATAGCATGGTACTGGTACCAAAACAGATACATAGACCAATGGAACAGAACAGAAGCCTCAGAAATAACACCACACATCTACAACTATCTGATCTTTGACAAACCTGACAAAAACAAGCAATGGGGAAAGGATCCCCTATTTAATAAATGGTGTTGGAAAACTGGCTAGCCATATGCAGAAAACTGAAACTGGACCCCTTCCTTACACCATATACAACAATTAACTCAAGATGGATTAAAAGACTTAAACGTTAAGACCTCAAACCCGAAAAACCCTAGAAGAAAATTTAGGCAATACCATTTAGGACAAAGGCATGGGCAAAGACTTCATGACTAAAACACCAAAAGCAATGGCAACAAAAGCCAGAATTGACAAACGGGATCTAATTAAACTATTCTGCACAGCAAAAGAAACTATCATCAGAATGAACAAGCAACCTACAGAATGGGAGAAAATTTTTGTAATCTATCCATCTGACAAAAGGGCTAATATCCAGAATCTAGAAGGAACTTAAACAAATTTACAAGAAAAAAAAAACCCATCAAAAAGTGGGCGAATGATATGAACAGACACTTCTCAAAAGAAGACATTTATGCAGCCAACAAACATGAAAAAAATGCTCATCATTACTGGTCATTAGAGAAATGCAAATCAAAACCACAATGAGATACCATCTCACACCAGTTAGAATGGTGATCATTAAAAAGTCAGGAAACAACAGATGCTGACAAGGATGTGGAGAAATGGTAATGCTTTTACACTGTTGTAAATTAGTTCAACCATTGTGGAAGACAGTGTGGCAATTCCTCAAGGATCTAGAACTAAAAATACCATTTGACCCAGCAATCCCATTACTGGGTATATACCCAGAGGATTATAAATCATTCTACTATAAAGACACATGCACACGTATGTTTACTGCAGCACTGTTCACAATAGCAAAGACTTAGAACCCACCCAAATGCCCATAAATGATAGACTGGATAAAGAAAATGTGGCACATATACACCATGGAATACTATGCGGCCACAAAAATGGATGAGTTCATGTCCTTTGCAGGGACATGGATGAAGCTGGAAACCATCATTCTCAGCAAACTAACACAGGAACAGAAAACCAAACACCGCATGTTCTCATTCGTAAGTGGGAGTTGAACAATTAGAACACAAGGACACAGGGAGGGGAACATCACACACAGGGGTCTGTAGCAGGGTAGGGGGTTAGGGGAGGGATAGCATTAGGAGAAATACCTAATGTAGATGATGGGTTGATGGGTGCAGCAAACCACCATGGCACGTGTATATCTATGTAACAAACATGCACGTTCTGCACATGTATCCCAGAACTTAAAGTATAATAATAATAATAAATATATATATATATACACACACACTTGCCTGTGAGCAACTGAATTTTTAAGTTTGAATAGGCAGAGTGCAGTGGCTCACGCCTGTAATCCCAACACTTTGGGAGGCTGAGACCACGGATCACGAGGTCAGGAGCTCAAGACCAGCCTGACCAACATGGTGAAACCCCTTCTCTACTAAAAAAAAATGCAAAGATTAGCTGGGCATGGTGGGCGCGCACCTGTAATCCCAGCTACTCAGGAGGCTGAGGCAGGAGAATCGCGTGAACCTAGGAGGCAGAGGTTATGGTGAGGTGAGATTGCGCCACTGCATTCCAGCCTGGGTGACAGAGCTAGACTCCGTCTCAAAAAAAAAAAAAAAAAAAAAAAAAAGTTTGAATAAAACTAGCCACAATTATGCCTATATAGGCTATTAGCTGAATGGCCCAAAACAAGTTCCAAAATTGCCCTATAAAGACACAGTAGCTGATCGGGCTGCATAACAGTACAGGACACACAAAAAATATATAGGTTTATAGGTTTATTAGGAGGAGGGTTTTTGGGGAGTCATGGAATAAATGGAAAAGTTGTAGATATAACTAGATAATTTTTTATTACTAATGATCTATTTTTCGTATCCCTGCCCCTTGAACATTTCAAACACTACTCAGGATTATGTCTCAGAAGAGAGAGGAAAAAAACACAAGATTTTTGAAAAGACTGGAACCTGAAACTGTGTGAATTAAAACACTATTTTCAACTTCCTCCTTCTTCTCATTCTTACTACAATTTATTTAGTACTCACTATGTGCCACGTACAGACTAAAACCTTCGCATTTATTTCTTAAAACTACTCTATGAAGAATCTTGGGCTTTAAGCTACATAACCAAGACAGATTTTCAATTTTGAAAACAAATAAGTGGAATGAAGCAGAATCAGACTCCCCCTCCTGTAATAGCTGACAAAAAAACAAAAAGTAGTAAACATCAGCCTCAAAGTTCTAAAGCATTTGGTTTATAAACTACAGTTTTGGAACTACTGGTCTAAGGCACATTCTCCTTGCAATCCAAATTTTTATTATGAAAAATTTCAAATTACATAAAAACTGAAAGGATAGTATACTAAACAGCTATATATACCTACCTGCTAAATTCAACAATTAACATTTTGCCCTTTTTTCGGCAGACCAAAAAAATTTGCAGGCATGACACGTTTCTCAAAATAATTCAGGGTGTCTCCTAAGAACAAGGACATGCCGCCATATTAACACAAGATCACTATCTCACCTATTTCCTAATGTCATCTAATACCCAGTCTGGGGTATATTCTGCCTGCCTAATTTCAGGTTTTACTAAGCTTTATTTGTAAATCAATTTAGAGCACTTTGGCTTTTACCAAGCGCCAACGTATGAAATAGCCACATATACAGTCTTTCTAGACAAATTAATTACCATGGCAGAGTAAAACATAAACACAGAATCTCTCTCCCCCATTCCTAACACAATAAATAAAATATATTTTATTTATATTTATAAGAATCGCTTGAACCTGGAAGGCGGAGGTTGCAATGAGCTGAGATTGCACCACTGCACTCTAGCCTGGCGACAAAGCAAGACTCTGTCTGGGGAAAAAAAAAAGGGAACTTAATGGCCGGGCGTGGTGGCTCATGCCTGTAATCCCAGCACTTTGGGAGGCCAAGGTGGGCAGATCACCTGAGGTCAGGAGTTCCAGACCAGCCTGGCAAACATGGAGAAACCTCGTCTGTACTAAAAGTACAAAAATTAGCTGGGTGTGGTAGTGGACACCTGTAATCCCAGCTACTGAGGAGGCTGAGGCAGGAGAATAGCTTGAACCCGTGAACCCGGGAGGCAGAGGCTGCAGTGAGCAGAGATCATGCCACTGCACTCCAGCCTGGGCAACAAGAGCGAGACTCCGTCTAAAAAAAAAAAAAAAAAAAAAAAGAGAGAGAGAGAGAGAGAGGAACTTATGCTATTTACTTCTAGGAGGGAAAAAGACAAACAAGATTCCGTGACTGGCTGGGTACGGTGTTTGACACCTGTAATCTCAGCACTGTGGGAGGCCAAGGCAGGTGTATCACTCGAGGCAAGGAGTTTTAGACCAGCCTAGCCAACATGGCGAAACCCCGTCTCTACTAAAAATATAAAAAATTAGCCAGGCATGGTGGCACGTGCCTGTAATCACAGCTACTCAGGAGCCTGAGGCATGAGAATTGCTTGAACCCAGAAGGCGGAGGTTGCAGTGAGCCAGGGTCACTCCACTGCACTCCAGCCTGGGTGACAGAGCAAAACTCTGTCTCAAAAAAACAAAGGCGGGGAGCCGGGCATGGTGGCTCACGCCTGTAATTCCAGCACTTTGGGAGGCGGAGGTGGGTAGATCATCTAAGGTCAGGAGTTCAAAACTAGCCTGGCCAACAAGGTGAAACCTCATCTCTACTAAAAATAGAAAAATTAGCTGGGTGTGGTGGCGCATGCTTATAGTCCCAGCTACTAGAGAGGCTAAGGCAGGAGAACTCCTTGAACCCAGGGGGCGGAGGTTGCAGTGAGCCAAGATCATGCCATTGCACTCCAGCCTGGATGACAAAAGCAAAATTCCACCTCAAAAAAAAGGGCAGGGGCAATATAAGCAGAGATATGGAAATTTTAAGAAAAAATAAAAAAAGAAATCCTACAGATAAAAAACACTGTAACAGAATGAAGAATGCCTTTGATGGCTTATTGGGAGATAACGCGGCTGAGGAAAAAATTCTGAGCTTGAGGATATCTCCATAGAAGCCTGCAAAACTGAAAAGCAAAGAGAAAAAAGTCTGATAAAAGGCAGAACAGAATATCCAAGAACTGTAGGACTAAAAAACTGTAACATATGCATAATGGAAATAGCAGAAGGAAGGAAGGAAGAGAAGAAATATTTGAAGCAATGATGACAGAATTTCCCCAAACTAGTATCAGGCACCAAACCACAGATGCGGGAAACTCAGAAAACACCAAGCAAGACAGATGCAAAAAGTAAATAAATAAATAAATAAATAAACAAATAAATAAAACAAACAAAAAAACTACACTTGGGCATATCATGTTATAACTACAGAAAATCAAAGAAAAAGAAAAAATCCTAAAAGATGCTGGGTGTGGGGGAGAACACCTTGCTTATGGAGAAGCAAGGATAAGAATTTAAAACATTTCTCCTTAGAAACTATGCAAGCAGAGTGGAGTGAAAGATTTAAAGTGTTAAGATAAAAAAAAAAACTAGAATTCTGGACCCTGTGAAATTATACTTTAAATGTAAAGGAGAAATAAAGACTTTCTCAGACAAAAACTGAGGGAATTTGTTGCCAGTAGACCTGCCTTGCAAGAAATACTAAGTAAGTTCTTTAGAGAGAAAGAATATAGGTCAGAAACTTGGATATATATAAACAAACAAAAAAAGAAACACTGAAGTAAGATTAAGTGAAGGTAAAATGTTTATTTTTCTTATGCTTAACTAATATAACAAAAATAAGTTTGTTCAAAATAATAATAGCAACAATGTATTTGATTACATACGCATATGCGTGTGTGTGTGTGTGTGTGTGTGTGTGTGTGTGTGTGTGTGTGTGTATAAGCAAATGAATGACTTCAGTGATGCAAGGGTCAGGAGGAAAGAATTAGGATTATGCTGTTATTGTAAGGTACTCACACTACCCATGAAGCAAAATAGTGTGTTTGAAAGTGGACTTGGATCAATTGTAAATGTACATTGCAAACTGTGGGGTAATCACTAAAAAACTTAACCAAAAATGGGCCAGAAAGGGCAGGAAAAGAGTGGAAGACAAAAACAAGAACAAAAAACAGGGGCAAAAACTAAAAAAGAATAAGAAAAATGGTAGATATTAATATTAATCCAAATATATCAATTACTTTGAACACTGATCATCTAAATGCACCAATTAAAATACAAAGACTGTCAGAGTAGATCAAAAACCTAGGTCCACACAAAAACTTGTACAAAGGTGCTTACAGCAGCTTTATTCTTGATTGCCAAAACTTGGAAGCAACCAACATGTCCTTCAGTAGGTGAATGGATAAACTGTGATACATGCAGACAATGAAATATTATTCAGTGCTAAAAAGAAATGAGCTATCAAGCCATGAAAAGACACAGAGGAAACCTAAATGTGTATAATTTTACTAAGTGAAAGAAAACAATCTGAAAAGGCTACATACTATCTGATTCCAACTATATGCCTTTCTGGAAAAGGCAAAACCACGCAGACAATGAAAAGCTCAGTGGTTGCCAGGGGTTGTGAGGAGAGAGGGATAAATGAGCAGAGCACAGAGGATTTTTTAGGGCAGTGATAATATTCTATACATTTGATGAGATCCCTAGTATGTACAACACAAAGCAAATCCTGATGTAAACTATGGACTTTGGGTGATGTGTCAATGTGGATTCATCCCTGTAACAAATGTACCACTCTGGTGGGAGATGTTGATTACAAGGGAGGCTGTGCACATATGGGAACAGGGGCTATATAGCAAATCTTTGTGCCTTCCTCTGGATTTTGCTGTGAACCTAAAACTGCTCTAAAAAATAAAGTCTAAAAAATATATAGGTGCTATCAAAAACATTTGAGTATGTCAGGTGAGCATGTTAGTGCTCTATAATTAAAGAAAATGTTATTATAGCAAAATGTGTCCTTTTACATGAAACAATTCTAGAACCACTACACTCCTCCACTGCTTAAGCCTAGAACAAGAATCCTCAAAGTTTGGTCTTTGGGCCAGGAGCATCAACATCACAGGAGAACTTATTAGAAATGCAAATTCTAAGGTCTCATCTCAAGACCTACTGAATCAAAAACTCCAAGGATGGGGCCCAACAATTTATTTTAACAAGTCCTTGGCCGGGCACAGTGGCTCACGCCTGTAATCCCAGCACTTTGGGAGGCCGAGGCGGGCGGATCACAAGGTCAAGAGATCAAGACCATTCTGGCCAACATGGTGAAACCCCGTCTCTGCTAAAAGTACAAAAAGTAGCTGGGCACGGTGGCGCGTGCCTGTAGTCCCAGCTACTTGGGAGGCTGAGGCAGGAGAATTGCTTGAACCCAGGAGGCGGAGGTTGCAGTGAGCCGAGGTTGCGCCACTGCACTCCAGCCTGGCAACAGAGCGAGACTACGTCTCAAAAAAAAACAAAAACAAAAACAAGTCCTCTGGGTGATTACAAGGCATGCTGAAGTTTGAGAATCACTGTACTAGGAGTTAGTCCTATATACTACATACCTCAAATTTAAGAAACATATATACACATAATCAGAGAAATAAATTACAAATAACTATAGGGCTGGAAGATAATTCTGTTAAGTGATATCTGGTACAAGTATATAAGCCTCTTTTTAAAAATATACATAATTTGTATATAAAAGCAACCCTAAGCTTATAAATGAGATTTGTTAAAGAAGTGTAATTGTAAATACATTATTTGGAACTAAGGTCATATTCACCCTTTAGAAGCAATCTTAAAAATCCTGCTTGAATTCCAAGCTAGACAACAAAAGCCATTTAAACACAGAACAAATGATTTGTCACAGCAAAATCTTTTATGGGTAAAAATAGATCAAAATTCTAACTCAGATAACTGTAAGGATTCACTTTTCCATCACAAACCTAGTAATGAGAAAACGCAGATTTCTTCTTACACTGGTCTCTATGGTCAAAACTAACATTTTTCTCTTCCCTTCTGCCCTTCATCTCTGCAAGAATAGACTGGAGTTAACGCAGGAACCTGGCACAACTAGGGCAGAACGGGTGTACAGGATGAATGCAATGGAGAAGGCAAGAGGGGAAGTGTGACAGCTCTACCAAGTGTGTATCTTGGTAATAATATTGTATATGGTTATGTACAGGACTTCCATGAGTTGAAGGTTTGGTCTCCTGCTCACAAGTTTGATATTTATAACCAAAGAATTTCAGAACAAGAGATCTGAACATTAAGATTTTCAAGTTAAAAGAGCAGCATTAGGTAGGTGAAAGTATGAGGAGAAACAGTCTGTTTATATAGTCTCAAAGTGTTATATCTTCCCACAAGACATATATTAATAACAAAGGGAAAAATAGTAACTGTATAGTGGAGAAACCTGGCAGAGATCATCTTAACCAAATGATAAAGTTAACATCACCAGCAATGGAACAAAGTGACTTCACATGCACCTGATATGATGCACTGGAAAAAAATACAGCCCTTTTGTTTCTTGAGCAGGCACTAGCTAACATGAATCATCCTTTTCAGACAATAAAAATCAAGAGTGAAACATTATTATACTTCCTTTCTAAATTTCTTTAAATTTTTTACTGGTACAAATATTTGTACATATTTGTGGGGTACCTGTGATAATTTGTTACAAGCAATCCCATTACTGGGTATTTATCCAAAGGAAAAGTAATCAATATATCAAAAGAATACCTGCACTCTCATGTTTATTACAACACTACTCACAACAGCAAAGCTATGGAATCAACCTGTTAAGTGCCCATCAACTGATGAATGAATAAAGAAAATGTGGTGTATATATATATACACAATGGAATACTATTCAGCCATAAAAAAGAATGAAATCATATCATTTGCAGCAATGTGGATGGAACTGAAGGTCTTTATGTTAAGTGAAATAAGCCAGGCACAGAAAGACAAATATCATATGTTCTCACTCGTGTGAAAGCTAAAAAAGTGGCCTCATGGCCGGGCACAGTGGCTCACGCCTGTAATTCCAGCATTTTGGGAGGCGGAGAAGGGCAGATCACCTGAGGTCAGGAGTTCGAGACCAGCGTAGCAAACATGGTGAAACCCTGTCTTTACTAAAAATACAAACATCAGTTGGGCGTGGTGGCGGGCACCTGTAATCCCAGCTACTCGGGAGGCTGAAGCAGGAGAATTGCTTGAACCCAGGAGGCGGAGGTTGCAGTGAGCCGAGGTCGCGCCATTGCACTCCAGCCTGGGCGACAAGAGCGAAACTCCATCTCAAAAAAAAACAAAACAAAACAAACAAAAAAACCCAAAAAAACAAAAAAGTGGTCTCATGGAGGGAGAGGATAGAATGACAGATAACAGAGGCTGGGGGTGAGGGGGAATAAACAGAGGTTGATTAATAGGTACAAATATGCAGTTAGATCGATGGAATGAATTCCAATGTTCAATAGCAGAGTAGGGTGACCACAGTTAACAACAATGTATTATATATTTCAAAATAGTCAGAACAGAGGACTTAGAATGTTCCCAACATTTAGAAATGATATACTTCCATTTCATATGAATATTATATAATAAACAATATATATAGTAATAATTAACTACTTAACAGATTTCTTTAGAGTACCTTTACATAATGTAAATTTGTGAGCATTAAAAACAACCTACCTAGGCAACATAGGGAGACTCTGTCTCTACAAATATTTAAAAAATTAGCCAGGCATGGCGCATGCACCTGTGGTCCCAGCTACTTGGGCTGCTGAGGCGGGAAGATCCCTTCAGCCTGAGAGATCAAGGCTGCAGTGAGCCATGGTGGTGCCACTTACACTCCAGCCTTCATGACAGAGTGCAATCCTACCTCAAAAACAAACAAAAAAAATCTACCAGCTAAGTATAAAAAGCCAAGTCAAATATTTCAGATGTCAAGAAATTAATACACAATAGCCGTTAGTATTTCTATACAGTTGCTGTTGTCTAAAATTCAAATTAGATATAATCACCAAACACTGAAGACACCCTGCATTTGTCCTTTTTAACAATGTCTAGATGGTTTTTTTAGTTGTCATGATTCACAACTTTAAAGAAACTATGTATAATTCTTTTCAGCTTTAAAACCTTGGGCTGGGCAAAGATTTCTTAGAGCATGAAAAGCAAACCATAAAAGAAAAATACTGGCCAGGCGCGGTGGCTCATGCCTGTAATCCCAGCACTTTGGGAGACCGAGGTGGGCAGATCACGAGGTCAGGAGATCGAGACCATCCTGGCTAACACGGTGAAACCCCATCTCTACTAAAAATACAAAAAAAATTAGCCGGGCGTGGTGGTGGGCGCCTGTAGTCCCAGCTACTCGGGAGGCTGAGGCAGGAGAATGGTGTGAACCAGGGAGGCGGAGCTTGCAGTGAGCCGAGATCGCGCCACTGGACTCCAGCCTGGGCAACAGAGCGAGACTCCGTCTCAAAAAAAAAAAAAAAAAAAAAATACTACTAAATCAGAATTAAACGTTAAAATTTTTTGCTGTCAAAAGATAGTTAACAAAATGAAAAGGCAAATCAGACTAAGAAAAAAATTTCACAGTATCACATATCTGATAAGGCCTTGCATCCAGAATAAAGAACTCTTACAACTCAATAATAAAAAGACAAATAACGCAACTTAAAAATGTGCAAGAGACATGAACAGACATTTCACTAAAGATAACTATAAATGGCAAATAAGCACATGAAAAGATGATCAACATCCCTAGTCACTGGAACAAAATTAAAAGCTCAGTGAGATACCACTACATACCCACTAGAATGACTAAAACTTAAAAGAGTGACAACAACAAGTGTTGGTGGGAATGTGGAACAATTAGAAGTCTCATACAATAGCTGTTAGGAATGCAAAATGGTACAGATGCTTTGGAACAGTTTGGCAATTTCTTATGAAATTAAACATATACTTACTCATATGACCCATCAATCCCACCCCTGGGGACACAAAAACACATGCCTCCCAAAAGGCTTGTGCAGGAATATTGAAAGCAGCTTTATAATAGCCTCCAGGTAGAAACAACCCAAACGCCCATCAACTGGTGGCTACACTCTGGTACGTCTATGTAATAAAATATCACTCAGCAATAAAGGAACTACTGACACATGCAACTTGGATAAATCTCAAAAGCTTAAGTGGAAGAAACTAGACTGAAAAGAGTATATACCATATGATTCCATTTATTAAATAAGATGTAGAAAAAGCAAAACTATAGTGATGGAAAGCCTATCAGAGGTTGCCAGGAACAGCAATGGAAGGAGGGAACTTCTATATCATGATTGTGGTGGTGAACATACAACTGTATGCATTTGTCAAAACTCATAAAATTGTAGAAGTTTACTGTATTTAAATTATACCTCAAAGCTGATTTTTTTAAAAAAAAAAAGCATAAATGGTTATGGTTAGGATAGTAACTAGAATGCAGCATGAGAAAGACTCTAGGTTGCAGGTACTATTCTGTTTTTTTTTTTTTATACTTCAAGTTCTAGGGTACATGTGCACAATGTGCAGGTTGGTTACATATGTATACATGTGCCATGTTGGTGTGCTGCACCCATTAACTAGTCATTTACATTAGGTATATTTCCTGATGCTATCCCTCCCCTCTCCCCACACCCCACAACAGGCCCCGGTGTGTGAAGTTCCCCTTCCTGTGTCCAAGTGTTCTCCTTGTTCAATTCCCACCTATGAGTGAGAACATGCGGTGTTTGGTTTTTTGTCCTTGTGAGTTTGCTGAGAGTGATGGTTTCCAGCTTCATCCATGTCCCTGCAAAGGACATGAACTCATCCTTTTTTATGACTGCATAGTATTCCATGGTATATATGTGCCACATTTTCTTAATCCAGTCTATCATTGATGGACATTTGGGTTGGTTCCAAGTCTTTGCTATTGTAAATAGTGCCGCAGTAAACAAACATGTGCATGTGTCTTTATAGCAGCATGATTTATAATTCTTTGGGTATATACCCAGTAATGGGATTGCTGGATCAAATGGTATTTCTTGTTCTAGATCCTTGAGGAATCGCCACACTGTCTTCCACAAAGATGGATTAAAGACTTAAATGTTAGTCCTAAAACCATAAAAACCCTAGAAGAAAACCTAGGCAATACCATTCAGGACATAGGCATGGGCAAGGACTTCATGTCTAAAACACAAAAAGCAATGGCAACAAAAGCCAAAATTGACAAATGGGATCTAACTAACTAAAGAGCTTCTGCACAGCAAAAGAAACTACCATCAGAGTGAACTGGCAACCTACAGAATGGTAGAAAATTTTTGCAATCTACTCATCTGACAAAGGGCTAATATCCAGAATCTACAAAGAACTCAAACAAATTTAGAAGAAAAAACAAACAACCCCATCAACAAGTGGGCGAAGGATATGAACAGACACTTCTCAAAAGAAGACATTTATGCAGCCAACAGACACATGAAAAAATGCTCAACACTGGCCATCAGAGAAACGCAAATCAAAACCACAATGAGATACCATCTCACACCAGTTAGAATGGCGATCATTAAAAAGTCAGAAAACAACAGGTGCTGGAGAGGAGGTGGAGAAATAGGAACACTTTCACACTGTTGGTGGGACTGTAAACTATTTGAGTTGGGTAGTGGACATATGGGTGCTTAGTTTAGGGAAAGTCACTGAGCTGTATTTTTCCGTATGTATGTTTTATTTCAATAAAAATCTTAGTAAAAGAATAAATAAATAAAAGAATGGGTCCTTAACAGTCTGAGGCTGAAAAGACTTCTTACACATAGCAGCAATGATTGAAAACTACACTCAAGAAAATGACTAGAAGGAAAAGAATGCTAAGTAACCACTAATCATAAGGGAATTAAAAAAGCAGCCACTTGTCTGAAGTATATTTTCCCATGTGAGGGACTTGACTAATAATCTCGCTAGATTTGGGTTTATATTAATATATACAGTTATGCACCATTTAACAATGTTTCGGTTGATGGACCACATATATGACCAGGGTCATATAACATTATATTAGAGCTAAAAAATTCCTATTGCCTAGTGATATCATGGCTGTCCTAACATCTTAGTGCAAGGTATTACCTTTTAAATGTTTAGATATGTTCAGATACACAAATATTTAACAGTGTATTACAACTCCCCACAGTATTCAGTACGGGAACATTCTGTACAGGTTTGTAGCCTAGGAGTAACGGGCCATACCATATAGTCTAGGTATGTAGTAGGTCATACCATCTAGGCTTGTATAAGTACACTCTCTGATGTTTGCACAATGACGAATCACCTAATGATGCATTTCTCACCTGTCATTAAGCAACACTTGACTGCATATGGTTAGGACACACTGGAATTTTCCACAAACCTCACTCAACATAACCCTTTATTAAATGAGGTTCATATTTTTATTTCTAAAGATACTCATAACACAAGTATACTCAGAATATTTTCATTTCAAAATTTAGGTTTGTAAGAAAAATCTTACTTACCTCCTTCATAAATGACTTGCCTATGCGCACCACTTTTGCAAATAAAATGGGATCGTGAGAAAGGTGAGGACCAAGGTAACAGAACATATTGAACACGTCTCTCCTCAAATCTTCAAAGCTCTCAGCTTGTTTTGGTGCTCTCTTGTTTTGCAAAGCATTAACAGGTGAGCCTTTAGCACCTTTAGGAACTCCAACTCTATTTTAAAAAGTAAAATAAATAAATAAACAAATAAATAAGTATATAATAAATATAACTATATACACACACACTACAATATCTACCATTTTAACAAAGTTATCTTAATCAGTGAAATTTTTTCTTGCTCATATTTGCTTTCTACATTTCAATTGTGCCTAACTTTATTACACCAGATAATTCTCAACTGGTAGAAACACATAAAAACAACAGTCATTAGAAAAAAAAAATCAGAGCTCAGAGGAGAATGTTCCAAATTAACTGCTTAATCAGAGAAGTGTGGATTTCAAGGAACATTTAACACACACCATCTGAATCTGTTTTTAAACTTGGCCGGTATCGGGAACTTGGATATGGGAATGGGCAACAAGGGATGGACCTAAGATGCACTGGAAGATGAAACAGAAAAATATGGATATAACAACACTGATTCAAGTCAACTGACATTTCTCAATCTGGATTCCACAACCTAGGGTATGTAGAATGTGGTCGTAGGGAAAGTGAGCCATGTAATAAAAGAAGGTCACTTTAGGACACCATACCCAGAGTTCTCACCTGCTCAGCAGGTGCCCCACTGTGGAGTCACAGGGGTCACTCTCTAAGAAGCCTGCATGGTCCACGGCCCATGAAGTGACACTGACGGCAGCAACCAGCAGCTACACAAAAGTCACAAGGCTGAGGCTTTTGAGGCAGGCTCTGATCTATGGGGCTGTAGCCACAGCTGCTATCAATACTGCTCCTAAGTATCCTGCAAGTAGGCAGAAAGCTAAAGGACTAGATGACATAGTAACTGGGGATGATAAGAGAGGCTAAACTACTAATTTCCAGAACAGCAGCCTATATGCCAGGAAAGGTAAGGGAATCAGAGAGGCAATGTCCTCACTCAGAGCCACTCAGCCAGGATGGAGAAAAATTACACTAAGAAAAAACCTCAGGAATTCTTTGCCCCTCCCACCCACTGAAAGGAGGGAAAGTCAAAACCAGAAGAATGGAGTTTCAACTCTCAATGGAACAAACCCAACCTAGAAGTCTAACTTGTAGTTTTCAGACTACACTGCAGCACACATTCTAGAACCCCTGGTCTAGACGTTAGAAGACAAGTCACTGATTAATATATATCAGACTGATACACTCTGTGAATAGTTCTTATCTTTTGATAAAAGGTACTAAAATATATGCTTGGTTTGAGGAGATAAGATAAATATACATTTTGTTGTAGTCCTAAGCTATTTCTACCTCAATGATTAATAAAGTATAAAGTTACATACCTTCGGTAGAGAGGCTCAATAGTTATATGAATGAGCTTGCAAATAGCAAGGGCTATTAGCTTGTGTGAAGCTGCATAGTATGGAGGCATCTGATCCATAATGTTCTGTGCATGTTGCCAATCACCAATCTTTAATAAGGCTTCCAACAAGCCAAGTTTTTGGTTATCAGGTGGCTAAAAATGAATAGTCAAAACTAAGATACTCAGGATACAGACATCAAGAAATCTTAATACTTTGTCACTTAAAAAACTGACCTAAGCAACACATCAAAAATATTTGCTATTCATGGGAAATTAAACAATATATTCCTGCAAGTACAATCAAAATTTTTAGCTATTGAAAAAACATCAGGGCCAGGCGCAGCGGCTCACACCTATAGTCCAGGAACATGGGAGGCTGAGGTAGGCAGATCACTTGAGCTCAGAAGTTTGAGACAAGCCTGGGCAACATGGCGAAATCCCATCTCTACAAAAAATACAAAAATTAGCCAAGTGTGGTGGCGCATGCCTGTAGTCCCAGCTACTCAGGAGGCTAAGGCTGGAGAATTACTTGAGCCCAGGAGGTAGAAGGCTGCAATGAGCTGTAATCATGCCACTGCACTCCAGCCCGGGTGAAAGAGTGAGACCCTGTCTCAAAAATAATAATAAATTTATTAAAAAAAAAAACAGACACAGGCATTACAGTTTATAGACTTGGAATTAAGTTCTACTTCATGTTATGTCGTGCCACAGGAAACCAGAATTCATCATCTCTGAGAATCTCTTTAGGATTTGAGGGCCACTAATACACAGAGGACAATTAAAGTCAATACAACTTGTGATTTTACTTAGAAAACATTTTGAAATTTATACAAGAAAAAAAATATGACAGCTTCTCTTAAAAAGGAGCCATTCAGATTAAAAATAAAACCACTGTAGCAAATGATCCAGAAAATGAGGTTTCAGCAAAATGAAAACTAAGAAATTATTCTTCCATAAATGACTATTTAGAAGTTAAATTTCATAATTCAAAATCCAGAAGATAGTGTTAATTTTACTAGAATGAATTACATACTTTCTCTACTTTCTCCTCTTCTTTTTCCTTTTCTTTCTCTCGCTCATCCATTTTTTCAGAAGACAACACAACCATCGTAAGCTTTCTAACAATTTGCTTAGCTTCCGCAATTTCTCGTTTGTGTTCATCCATAATGCAATTATCAGCCGGAAGAAGCTAAAAATGGTACATTAAAATTTCATAAAATAGCTAATACCAACTACTTGTTCATATAAAAAGGAAACACTATTCTCAATTGATAAAACTATAAATAAGAAGTCTAACTTATTCGTGACCATTTGCCTTCTAAGTAAATTTCAGTTATTTTCTTATAATTTGACAGAATGAAGTACCTGAATTCTGTACCCCTTTTAAAATCAAGTCGCAGCTCAAAGTTTCACATCTTCTGTCTGACAGAGTCCCTAAAGTAATGTAATACCACAACAGTGATGTTTTCCGTTGAATTTATTAGTTTACCCAAGAAAATATATAGCAGTTCCATTAAAAACATTACAAATTTCCCCATTAAAGGCTAAACTCCAAATTAAATAAAGCATTGCAATATGGATCCAATTTGGGAAAGGTGAACTACTGAATAACACAAAGGGATAAATTTAAATCATCTAAATGAAAAATTTCAAGTAGAAAAATTATTAGTAACTTGACATCTCACTTTTTCTAGGAGCTTATTTAAGTCACAAGCTAGTTACTAATTTATTGCAAAAGAAAAAGTACTATGTGCATAGTCAACCCTCCATTATGAAAAAGGCTCAAGTATCTCAAACAGTCACCTTGTATGAGTGGAAGATGATTAATGAAGACATTTATAAAATAACCCTAACACAAAGAAAACTTTAGGCAACAAATTACTCAGTAGTTTCTGCTAGTCACTATGATAAGCTATAAAAGGAGTGTTCCTGACCCCTAGAAATGCATAATCTATTCCATTAACTAGGTTTAATGTAAACAGTAAATGAAAATAATAATGAACTATTAAACATTATAGATTTCATTCCATTTATCAAAAAAAAAAAAAGGAGGGAGGGAGAGAGAAAAGTCACTATGGACTGGTGCAAGGAAGTAAGCAAGACTTTTTCTCATTCTGTATGTTCTCCCCTGGCAATCAAACACATTTGTATTGCTGTACTTATACACCTGGCACAGGTCCTCTTGTTTTATTTTTTACTTTTTTTTTTTTTTTGAGACAGTTTTGCTCTCGTTGCCCAGGCTGGAGTGAAATGGCACGATCTCGGCCCACCGCAATCTCTGCCTCCCGGCTTCAAGCAATTCTGCCTCAGCCTCTCGAGTAGCTGGGATTACAGGCATGTGCCACCACCCCAGGGTGATTTTGTACTTTTAGTAGAGATGGGATTTCAGCATGTTGGTCAGGCTGGTCTCGAACTCCTGACCTCAGATGATCTGCCCGCCTTGGCCTCCCAAAGTGTTGGGATTAGAAGTGTGAGCCACTGCGCCCGGCCATAGGTCCTTATCTTTTACCCAGACAATTACAACTCCCTCTAATGGCCAAACTGTTTCTTCTTATAGTTCTCTCAACTTTTATTTCTGTGTATTTTGAGAATATGTCATTAGATACATGTAAAGTTAGAACTGTTTTATCTTCCTAGTGAGCACAATCTTGTTATTATGAAGTAGCCCGCTTTATCTCCTTCTGCCAAAAAGTCTATTTTGTCCAACAGTAAGTTTGCTGATCTATTTTCTCATCCTTTTACTATCAACATTTCATTATCCTTAAGTTTAAGCTGTTTCTCATATAAATAATAAACTCATTTTTAATTCCACTTGACAATCTTTGTCATATTAACAGGACCACTCAGTCTGCTTACATTTACTGCTAAATGCAATCATAATGAGTAATAAATCTATCATCAATTTGTACTTTCCACATATGCCGGTCTATACTTCCCTCTAAAGTCATACCTGTGTTTTTAAATTTTCCCTTTTCTGTCCACTTTTCCATATTCTCAGTTTCTACATCACATCTCTCCTTTAAATACTAATATGGCTCTCCACTCCCAAGAGAAAAATCCAGATTCCTTACTATGTCACTTAAGCCGTTAACAGTTTAGCTTTCTCTATTCCATCCTCATTCCCCCTATATACCACCCTAGGCTCCAACCACTCTGAGCTTCCTGACAGTCCCATAAGGGGATAAAAAAGCCCTTTCAAATCTCCTGCCTTGGCTGGGCATGGTGGCTCACGCTTGTAATCCCAGCACTTTGGGAGGCTGAGGCAGGCAAATCACCTGAGGTCAGGAGTTCAAGACCAGCCTGGCCAACATGGTGAAACCCCATCTCCACTAAAAATACAAAAATTACTTGGGCATGGTGGCATGCGCCTGTAATCCCAGCTACTTGGGAGGCTGAGGCAGGAGAATCACTTGAACCCAGGAGGCAGAGGCTGCAGTGAGCCGAGATAGTGCCACGGCACTCCAGCCTGGGCAACAGTGAGACTCTGTCTCAAAACAACAACAACAACAACTCCTGCCTTTATACTCAGTTAATTCTACCTACAAAGTTTTCTACCATTTCAGCCTAGATGGTCCTACTTGTCTATCAAGATCCCAGTTCAACATCACTAGTTTGGGAAAGTCTTCCAAAATCCCCCAAGACAGATATGGTCACTATCTATTCTGAGCTTTGTGAATATCTCCAATAGAGTACCTATTAAATAATGCAAAATTTTTTTCTCCCTTCCTAGAGTATGACTGCTTCCAAGGTAAAGACCAAGTTTTACTCAACTCTGTAGCCACAGTATACAAAAATAGGCAATGATGTTAATAAAGTGATCTCAAAGGCAGTGAAGATGATATCACCTTTGGACATACTTGTTTTAAATTAATAGATATCCTAATACAAAACCTAATAGAAGAGGAATTTATATACTATTAGCCTAGATTCTGAAACTGATGACTAAATTTTTGTTAAACTAGAGGTCATCTGCCACAATCATGAACTCTTCTACATCCTGGGTCCAGCAATAAAAGCATAATAGTCATTTAGTGCACACGAATAACACAAGAAAAATATTTTTTAAATATACTAAATATAAAAATACACTAATGAAGTTCCCCATTCATCCTGAATGCCTAAAATTAACATTTTAGAGAGAAAGAAGCAGTATATAGGTAACTTTATATTTCCCATCATTTGTAGATAATAAAAAGGCTTAAAAAACCACATTGGTTAGAACTTGGCCTCTCTCCCCATGAGCTATGCCTTGATGACAGTTAAGAACTTGAACTTCATATCCAAACTTAAACTCCATAAAGGTGACCAAAACTTAAACTCCATAAAGGTGACCAAAAAGGTATTTAATTTTCATAGACTGCCAAATAACTAAATTTATTCACTTTATAAAGTAAACACAAATCAACAATGTATTGGGGCTTCAAAGAGTGAGACTTGAGAACCTCGAACCAACCCAATCCTGGGGGTGCTATGTGGCTACCTACTCCTCTTCCCTACCCTTGGGACAGACAATCAAGTATTCTTAGCAGCCCACTTGACTTACATGTACATAAAGATCATCTAAATCAATAAGATTAAATTGTAGAAGTACTGCTGCAACTCTGTATAAAGATGATGGTGTCTCGCCATTTGGTTCCTAGAAATATAAAAAAAAAAGTTTCCATTTAGTGCAGAAAGGACAATTAAAGCAATATCCTTCACCTACCAATAACTAAGAACAATTAGATCAAATACTCTAGGCCAAGAAAATGCTTCACTGCTCTTCCTTATCTTACCAAATATCTGAATTCAGTACAAGGATTATTATGCCAACATCCCTTTTCACATTGGAACATCTTCTGAAGAACACAAGGAAAGCAATTTCAAAAACGGACACAATTTACAATGCAGGTTAACATTTAAATAAAATCTCACAGCTGAATAGCATAAGTGAGATTTTATAATGCACAAGATTTAGTCTGCAGTTCTGTTTATATGTGTGTTTTCTTTTCTGTTTTTTTGTGTGTTTTTTGGTTTTGGAGGGTTTTTTTTGAGACAGGGTCTCACTCTGTCACCCAGTCTGGAGTGCAGTGGCATGGTCATGGCTCACTGCAGTCCTGACCTCTCAGGCTCAAGCGATCCTCCCACCTCAGCCTCCTGAGTAGCTGGAACTACAGGTATATGCCACCACACCCAGCTTTTTTTTTTTTTTAGTAGAGATGGGGTCTCACTATGTTGCCCAGGCTGATCTCCAACTCCTGGGCTCTAGCGATCCTCCCACCTCAGCCTCCCAAAGTGATGAGATTACAGGCATGAGCCACCATGCCTGGCTGATACACATGTGTGTTTTCTTAACTTGCTTTTTCAAGTTAGTTCTTAGTGGAGACGCAGATAGACAAACTGTCAAGTGCAGAAGAACCATCAGCATTTGCTTTATATTTTTCTTCCTTTAATTTTATTTCTTGGGTTTTATGCTAAGTATATCTGGCTGTCAGCTGATGTTCTCCACAAAACAGGTGTACATAAATATTACAGATGAATAAATCGATGTTTTAAAGTACAGAATGGCAAAGTCAATTCCAGGCCAGCCATGAGGACCCTACATAGAAACATAAGAATCTTTGAATGCTATCAATTTTCAAAGCTAATTTTAACACTGCTGAGGTCAGATGAATGGAACAGTGAAGTGAGAATAACTGGCAATAACTAACTGGCCAAATGTAAATAAAAAGCAAACAGTAACAATACACTATGTTCTTTTTATAGTCAATACTGAAAATGAGACCTTTGTATGTGAGGTTCCTCCCACAATTATGATATTATGCAAATAAAATACAAAGCTAACCAAACTAATGTGCATCATTTATAGAAGGCATTGTTTCACTCTATTTTTTAAAAACAGATGAGATGTCTTCAATGTAACAATAGTTTCCTAATTCTAATTTGCTTACAGGCCAGGCACAGTGGCTCACGCCTGTAATCCCAACACTTTGCAAGGCCAAGGTGGTCAGATCACCTGAGGTCAGGAGTTCGAGACCAGCCCGGACAACACAATGAAACCCCGTCTCTCCTAAAAATACAAAAATTAGCCAGGCGTGGTGGCAGGCACCTGTAATACCAGCTACCTGGGAGGCTGAAGCAGGAGAATCACTTCAGCCCGGGAGGCGGAGGTTGCAGTGAGCCAAGATCACGCCACTGCACTCCAGCCTGGGCGACAAAGAGAGACTCCATCTCAAAATAATTTTAAAAACATGTAAAAATAAATGCTTATAAATGGTTACTTAGTAGCAAAACATTTTCCCATAAAAATGAATTGTGGCCAGGGTTTCAAAACAAACTCACAAAAGCTTATTTAACTTATTGACAACCTGTCCTCCACTACCTGACTTGAATGCACCAGGGCCACATTCATTACTCCCTTCATTCTTGTTTAAATACATCACCACAATATGCCCCACACTCTCATCCACATACTGTTATGCACAATCCCTGTTCTGTCCCATCATACCTTTCCACATCCTTGAAATACTTCCACGGAATCATATGGAATTCATGATCCATTCTCAGCAAAATTCCCTATATCCAAATTTCTCATTTAAAGGTTCTTTTCACCGTGGTGCTCACACAGAGCCTGGTTCACCCTGAGAACAGCCCTGCCATTGTAACGCAGTTAACTGGTAGCTGTTTTCCTCAGACGCCTCACACTACCAGGCCTGGAGGTGATGTGGCAGTTTTCTTTTTGCTTGTTATTGTTGCTTCCAGACTATTCTCCCTCTATCCACCCAGCTTTGAATTTCATATCACTCACTACTCCCTCACTATTGTTGCAATCTAGTTTCATTCTGTTGTGGTCAGAGATGATATTTTGCATGATTTCAACTGAGACTTGTTTTGTGGCCTAATATATGGTCTATTCTAAAGAATGTTCCATGTGCTTTGAGAAGAATGTAGATTCTGTTGTTGTGTGTAATGTTCTATATATATAACGTTGTTCAAGTGTTCTATTTTCTTACTCATCTTTTGTCAAGTAATGGTTAGTTGTTCTAACCATTAATGAAAGTAGGGTATGGAAATGTCCAATAATTACACAACTATGTTTCCTTCAAGTCTGCCAATGTTTGCTTCAAATACTCTGGGGCTCTGTTGTTTGGTACAGGTATGTTTATAACTGTTATATCTTCTCAATGGGTTATCCATTTTATATTATATAATGTTTTTCATTGTCTCTTGTAACAACTTATTGTCTTAAAGTCTACTTTGATATTAGCATAGCCACCCCAGGTCTCTCCAGCATAATGCTTGCACAGAATATGTTTCCATACTTTCAGTTTCAAGCTATTTGTATCTCTAAATCCAAAGTGAGTTCCTTATACACAGTATGTAACTGGATCATGATTTTTTATACATTCTGCCAAACTCTTGCCTTTTAATTGGTGGGTTTAATCCATTTACATTCAAAATAATTATAGATAAGGATGAACTTCTATCATTTTGCTACCTGTTTTCTGTCATATTTTTGTTCCTCATTTCCTCTATCACTGCCTTTTTTGTTTGATTTTGTGTGTGTGCACCATTTTGATCCCCTTCTTTTTTCTGTTTAGTTTTTAATTATTTTCTTAGTGGTTCCTTTGGGTATAATAATTAACATTTTAAACTTAAAACAACCTAGTTTGAATTAATACCAACTTCACTTCAATAGTGTACAAAACCTCTGCACCTATACATCCCTGCCCCTCCCCACCTATTGTTAGTCACAAATTACATTTTTATAGTGTGCCATTTGACAGATTTATAACCTGGGTGATGGGATGAATTGTACCCCAAACCTCAGCATCACACAATATACCCAGGTAACAAACCTGCACATGTACCCCGAGTCTAAAATAAAAGTTGAAATTATCTTTTTAAAGATTCATAATTATTATGTATTTGTCTTTTAAGTCATATAGGAAAAAAAGAGGACTTACAAACCACAAATGTAATAGTACTGGCTTTTATATTTTACCTAGAGTTACTTTAACCAGTGTTCTTTCTTTGGCTTGGCTTCTTCTACCTGCTCAATTCTACTGTTGAACCTCTACAGTGAATTTCTTATTTCAGTTATTGTACTTTTCAACTCCAGAATTTGTTTGGTTCCTTTTCATAATTTTTATCTCTTTATGGATGTTCTCTATTTATTTGGTGAGACAGCACACTCCTGGTTTCCTTTAGCTCATAAAGCATTTTAGGACTATTGATTTCAATTCCTTATCTAGGCTGGGCACAGTGACTCACACCTGTAATCCCAGCACTCTGGGAGGCCGAGGCAGGCAGATCAACTGAGGTCAGGAGTTTGAAACCAGCCTGGCCAACATGGTGAAACCCTGTCTTTACTATAAAGACAAAAATTAGTCAGGCATGGTGGTGCGCACCTGTAGTCCCAGCTGTACTTAGGAGGTTGAGGCAGGAGAATCACTTGAAACCTGGAGACAGAGGTTGCAGTGAGCCGAGATTGTGCCACTGCACTTCAGCCTGGGTGACAGAGGGAGACTCTGCCTCAAAAAAAAACAAAAAAAAAAACTGGACATATTTAATATTATGTAGCAACTATGGAGATTAGATTCTTCTCCACCCCCAAATACCCAGAGGTTGGTTGATGCTGCTTATTGTGGATTTATTGTTGTGTGTGTGTGTTTAGTGACTTTTATAAACTTTTTTTGTAAAGTTTGTATTCTTCATCACGTGTGGCCACTTGAATCTATGTTCTGTTAGCTTAGTGACCAATTAGTATATTGACAGTTTTTTTAAAGGCCTGGATAAATGGGAAAAGAGAGTGCATTAGAACACTCCTCAAAGTTTGGCCAGACCATTCACAGCTCTGCCTCAGTCTTCACTTCCTGCCTACTCAGACCCAGAAGAGAAAGCTTAGGGTCTCTGTTGGCCTTTTCTGGGCATGTGCCCAGCTCTGAGCATAAGCATGACCTTCTTATGGTATATATGACAACTTTGTAAAAAGCTCTTTTTCCCCATGTATCTCTTTTTCTAATGTCTTCCTTCTCAGGCTTTTCGGTCTCACTACTGCTTGTCTCAGCTGTTGTCCCTTGCTCCA
This sequence comes from Homo sapiens, assembly GCF_000001405.40. NCBI lineage: Eukaryota > Metazoa > Chordata > Mammalia > Primates > Hominidae > Homo > Homo sapiens. Next base: position 123,676,193 of record NC_000023.11, read on the forward strand.
GGCCATTACAGACAATAATTGTGCCTTTAAGTGCTTTTGGCAAAAGCCATACCAGCCCTGAGAATACTCCCAGTCAAAAGATACAAAAGTAGGCCCCTATGTGGGTCCTTCAGGGAGCAGGTAGCCAGATTAAAACCCAAAAACACAATTCTTTGCTCCCTCTAGCATTAGCAACCTGCACCAGGAGTGTGGGCTTCTATCACCATGGCCACCACTGATCTGGGTGTGGGGGCTAGTAGACAGGCAATTTAAAATGCCACAGCACTCTCAATTAACTTTGTAGAGCTCTAGAATATAGTAAAAAAAACTTACACCAACCAGGGAAAGGACTGGGGAAGAATAAGACAGCAGCAAAGTTGACTGATAGTTTTTTCCACTTCGTTATGTTGTTTTTGTGGCGAGACAGAGCTCTGGAGTTCCCTACTATGCCACTTTCAGTGATGTCCTATTGATGCCATTTATGGATCCTTGAGTCTACTGCCCTTCATTTTGCAACAATATTAGCCTCTGTCACTCTCTCTGACTACAATTCTTAACTTTTGGAGATTTTCATATACATGTAGGTGAGCCTTCTACCATGTAGCCTCTTGGTTCTCCTGAACCCTTTCTCTTCCAAAGATCTTCTATACCCTATCTTAACCACTTACTCCATATCCTAAATCTTATTATTACCACTAATGACAATCCTTCCATAATGCCAATTTCATGTATCTGTCCTCAAATGGGCCCTTAATGCTGCTGGACAATCATGTTCCATTTGTCTTAGCCATTCACTCAACTATATCATGTATCACTTAACAACGGAGATACATTCAATGCCTCTTTAGAGCATACTTACACAAGCCTATATGGTACATAACCTACTACACATGTAGGCTATATGGAATACTCTATGGCTCCTAGGCTACAAACCTGTACAGCAAGTTACTATATTGAATACTATAGGCAACTGTAACACAATGATAAGTGTTTGTGTATCTAAACCTATCTAAACACAGAAAAGGAACAAAAAAATTACGGTATAAAATATTTAAAATGGTACACCTGTGTAGGACACCCACCAAGAATGGAGTGTGCAGGATCAGAAGTTGCTCTGGGTAAGTTAGTAAGTGAATATGAAGGTCTAAGACATTGCTGTACACTACTATATATTTTATAAACACTATATACTTAGGTTACATTAAATTATTTTAATATTTCTTTCTTCAATAAATTAAAATAAATTAAGCTTAGTTACTGTAACTTTCTTACCTTATAAGTTTTTTAATATTTTTTTAACTTTTTGACTTTTTTGTAATAATGCTTAGCTTAAAACACACATTGTACAGCTGTACAAAAATATGTTTTCTTTATATCCTTATTCTATAAGCTTTTTTGTACTTTTAAGATTTGCTGGACAGGCACAGTGGCTCACGCCTGTAATCCCAGCACTTTGGGAGGCCGAGGCAGGCGGATCACCTGAGGTCAGGAGTTCAAGACCAGCCTGGCCAATATGGTGAAACTCCATCTCTACTAAAAATACAAAAAATTAGCCAGGCTTAGTGGCAGGCGCCTGTAATCCCAGCTACTTGGGAGGCTGAGGCAGGAGAATGGCTTGAACCCAGGAGGCAGAGGCTGCAGTGAGGCCAAGATTGTGCCACTGCACTCCAGCATGGGCAAGGAGAACAAAACTCCGTCGCAAAAAAAAAAAAAAAAAAGATTTTTTAAGCTTTTTAAACATGTTTGTTAAAAACTAAGACACAAACACACACATGAGCCTAGGCCTACACAGGATCAGAATCATCAGTATCACTGTCTTCCATCTCCACATCTTGTCCCACTAGAAGATGTTTAGGGGCAATAACACTCATGAAGCGGTCATCTATGATGACAATGTCTTCTTCTGGAATACCTCCTGAAGGACCTGAGGCTCTTCTTGAGGAGGTGTCACTCTTTTCAGAAATATGTCCATGCCACGATGGTTTGCCTGGTTTGTTTGTTTCATCACAGATTCGCTTGTAAGCAGACAATGCGCCATGTACATTCCTCTCTATTAATAAAAACCTTGGTCAGCATTGGGGTCCATGTTTTCAAACTTTTTTTTTTTTTTTTGAGATGGAGTCTTGCTCTGTCACCCAGGCTGCAGTGCAGTGGCACGATCTCGGCTCACTGCAATCTCCACCTCTCGCGTTCAAGTGATTCTCCTGCCTCAGCCACCCTAGTAGCCAGGATTACAGGTCTGCACCACCAAGCCCAGCTAATTTTTCCGTTTTTGGGTAGAGACAGGGTTTCTCCATGTTGGCCAGGCTGGTCTCGAACTCCTGACCTCAAGTGATCCACCCACCTCGGCTTCCCAAAGTGCTGGTATTACAGGCGTGAGCTACCGTGCCTGGCCCACGTTTTCAAACTTTTTAAGGAGCTTGCTGAAAAGCTTCTGCTAAACCCTTTACTGTGAATTTTCTTGGGGGTTCTTCTCCTGTAGTTTCCTTTTCTTGGGCCTCTTCTTCAGCTACGTGTTCCTGTTTCATTATAATCTTATGCAACCACCGTCATATATGTGGTCCATTGTTGACCGAAACATCATTGTGCAGCACATAACTGTACTTCCCTACCTTCTCTCCTAACCTCCAATACCTCCCTCTCTCATCCTCTCAGCTGATGTCCTTGCTTTCTACTTCAGTAAGAAAATTAGATCAATTAGACTTCTACAAACTCCCAATCACACCTACCCAACTATATCTACATATATTGCCTTTATACCTGTTATGATAAACTCTCTATCCTCCTATATCAAGTTAATCCACCCATTTAAGCACCAAACTCCATTTTCTCTATCCTCAAGAACACCGCTCCAAATAATTCTCACCTCTCTCCCCTGTAACACCAGCTCTCCACTTTCCACTCAGTCATACCCATCAGAATACAAATGCGTTCTCTCTCCCATCTTAAAAAAATCTCGAACCCACTTCCCTTGCCATCTACCATCCCATTTGGTCTGCACCCCTTTGTAGCAACTGCTTGATAAAGTTGTCAATTGTCACTGTCTCCAATTCTACTCTTTCCATTATCTCTTAATATCACCCAATTCCACCAAAACTGCTAGTTTTGACCTCCCTCCAATGGTTAATTTTCAGTCCTTAAATGACCTATCAGAGGCATTTGATGGTTAATCATTCCTTCCTCTATTTAGCTTCCAAAATGCCACATTCTCTCTTTTCCTCCTACTTTACATGTTGTTCCTCATCTACCTTATTTGCTGGTTCCTCGTCTTCTCCTAGACCCTTAACACTGGAGTGCCCCAAGCCTTAGTCCTTGGTTCTCTTCTCTTGCCTCTCTGTATACAACCCTTAGTGATTTCATCCAATGTCATGTATTTATATAGCATCTACATGCTTTTGATGCCCACACTTCTATTTCTGGCCTGGTCTATTCTCTTGAACACCAGGTCCGTATATCCAATTATTTACTCAGATCCATGTGGGGAAAAGAAAGAGAGATCAGATTGTTACTGCGTCTGTGTAGAAAGAAGTAGACATAGGAGGCTCCATTTTGTTCTGTACTAAGAAAAATTCTTCTGCCTTGAGATGCTGTTAATCTGTAACCCTACCCCCAACCCTGTGCTCCCTGAAACATGTGCTGTGTCAACTCAGGGTTAAATGGATTAAGGGCTGTGCAAGGTGTGCTTTGTTAAACAAATGCTTGAAGGCAGCATGCTTGTTAAGAGTCATCACCACTCCCTAATCTCAAGTACCCAGGGACACAAACCACTGCACACAAAACACTGCGGAAGGCTGCAGGGACCCCTGCCTAGGAAAGCCAGGTATTGTCCAAGGTTTCTCTCCACGTGATAGCCTGAGATATGGCCTCGTGGGAAGGGAAAGACCTGACCGTCCCCCAGTCCGACACCCGTAAAGGGTCTGTGCTGAAGAGCATTAGTAAAAGAGGAAGGAACGCCTCGTTGCAGTTGAGACAAGAGGAAGGCATCTGTCTCCTGCTCCTCCCTGGGCAATGGAATGTCTCGGTGTAAAACCCGATCATATATTCCATCTACTGAGATAGGGGAAAACCGCCTTAGGGCTGGAGGTGGGACATGCGGGTGGCAATACTGCTCTTTAAGGCATTGAGATGTTTATGTGTATACATATCCAAAGCACAATACTTAATTCTTTACCTTGTTTATGATGCAGAGACCTTTGTTCACGTGTTTACCTGCTGACCTTCTCTCCACTATTATCCTATGATCCCGCCACATCCCCCTCTCCGAGAAACACCCAATAATGATCAATAAATACTAAGGGAACTCAGAGGCCGGCATGGATCCTCCGTATGCTGAACGCCGGTCCCCTGGGCCCCCTTTTTTTCTTTCTCTATACTTTGTCTCTGTGTCTCTTCCTTTTCCAAGTCTCTCGTTCCACCTAACGAAAAACACCCACAGGTGCGGAGGGGCAACCCACCCCTTCAGATCCATATGTCGATTATCTACACTTGGATGTCTAAGAGACATCTCAAACTTAACATGCGCAAAGTGAATTCCTAATTCTCCCTCCCAACACTCCAAACCCAATCTACCTGAAATTTTCCCTAAGTTGGTGACAACACTATCTTTTTAACTGCTCAGTCCAAAAAACTTCAGAATAGTCCTTAACTCTACTTTCTCACATCCTGTATCCAATCCATCAGCAAACACTATTGGTTTACCTTCAAATACATTCAGAATCTCATCAATATCCACTGCTGCCACACACAATCAGACTGATCCATTGAAAATCTAAGTAACCACACACACACATGCATTCTCTCTCTCTCTCTCTCTCTCACCACAGACACACATGTACACACCCAACTCACGTCACCATTGGAGGCTGCTATTAAAGAAACTCCTTACTCTGATAGCTCGTAATTAGTGGGAAAATATTAATCATTTGTCCTGCCTTTCCAGTAGGAACCGTATTTCAAGGAAAGCAAACAGCCTGAGTTAGTAAGGGACAACTCTTCTTTATTAGAAGAATGACAGCTAATAAATATATAGGGCATGATAAAATTAGTAAATCATCAATTTGGAACCCCTAAAGGGAAAGGTGGCTCAAGCAAAGGTCATCCATGGATTCTAAACCATTTAATGTAAAGTTGATGAGAAACTGGATATTCCCAGGCTGCCAAAGTATCAACCTGCAGATAATTTGTTATTGAAGGGAAAGGTGGTGGGGGGGTGGGGGGATGCCATTGTATAACTGAGGAATCAGACTATCACAAACTTACTGAACCATTTAAAGACAGTCGAACATTAGATGTTACATAATCTATGAAGTATTTTTGCCATTAAATATTTTGCCTTTAGACCTAACTCCAAGTATAGAACAAATACAGGAAATAAAGAACAAATAAGATGAAAAAGCAATTAGATAAATCCAAAAGATGAGGTCTTCTAGGAATGGTCTCATCAATAAGTCAACGCCATTAAAAAATGGAGAAGGTGGGGAACTATTCTAAATTAAAAGAGACGAAGAATCTTGACAATCAAATACAACATGTGGTCTTTGATTAGATCATCATGTGAACATACCAGGTGTAAAATGCATTTTGGGGACAATTTGGAAAATATGAATACAGTCTAGGTTTATTATATGACAGTAATCTAATTATGTTATGAAATTGATCCTGGAGGATCACCTGAGGTCGGGAATTCGGGACCAGCCTGACCAACATGGAGAAACCCCACCTCTACTAAAAATACAAAATTAGACAGGCGTGGTGGCAGCCACCTGTAATCCCAGCTACTCAGGAGGCTGAGGCAGGAGAATCGCTTAAACCCAGGAGGCAGAGGTTGCGATGAGCCGAGATTGCGCCATGCGCTCCAGCCTGGGCAACAGGAGTGAAACTCCATTCAAAAAAAGAAAAAAAAGGAAAATGCCCTTCCTTTTAAAAACCGTAAACTATAGTATTTAGGAAGAAGCTTTCATGATATTTGTAACATAAATTAATATTTTTAATATGGCAACATGTTAATAAACTTAATTGTAAGTAATGGGGTTATAAGTATTCATTATACTATTCACTCTTTTCTACATTTGAAAATGTTCACAATAAAATGAGAGAGAAACAAAATGTAAAGCTAAGTTAGATCACATCACTACCCTACTCAAAACCCTCCACTGACTTCACTCAGTATCAAAATCAAAAACCTTGCACTGGCTCTGTGATCTCATCCCCCACATCTCTGACCTCATCTCCTACTGTTCTACTCAATCACTCTGATACATCCACACTGACCTCCTTACTGTTCTTCAACACATCAGGCATGCTCACACCTTAGAGCCATTGCATTGACTGTTCCCTTGGCCTAGAGGCTCTTCCTCAGACATCTATACAGTTTACATCCTCATATCCTTCATGTCTTTGCTTAAATCTCAACTTTTCAATGAGTATTCTCACTATTCCAGTTAAAATTGCAACCTACCACTCCTGATCTTATCTTGCTCTGTATTTTTCCCCATCTCATTAATTGTTTTCTAACATATAATTTACTCAGAATCTAAACATCAAAAAAGTAAGAATTTCTGTTTACAGATATAGCCTCAGTACCTAGTACACTACCTTGCACAAATATAGATTCTCAATCTATATTTCTTAAATGAATGAATTTGGGGTATGTATAATAGGGTTGAACCATGGTACTACCATTACTACTATTACTGTGTTTTGAATCCAGAAATCAAAGGGCAATATGGATGAGACCTATCACCTCCTCTTCCTTTCCTGTAACAAGACAACTCCAGACAAGTTTGTCTTCTGGTACCTTCACACTTTCTTGTACTCCCTTCCTGTCCTTTGTGCTGTCTCTCATGCTGTCCCCAAATCCTCTACTGTACAAGTTGAGTATCCCTCATCTAAAATGCCTGGGACCAGAAGTGTTTTAGATTTTGGAATTTTTTTTCAGATTTTGGAATATTTGCATACTGGTTGAGCATCCCAAATCTGAAAACCCAAAATCCAAAATGCTCCAATCATCTCCTTTGAACATCATTCAGTGCTCAAAAAGTTTTGGATTTCGGAGCTTTGTGGATTTGGGATGCTCAACCTCTCACTGTCGTTGATATCATAGAATAATACTAGCATTAAGGGGAAAAAAAAAGAAGCCTATTAATCCAAATAAGACCCAGCTGGTCAACATATGAGTTGGGGAAAAGGATTGTGAACATTTTCAGGTAGTGATGGGAAAGGGGTATGGGGGAATTAGGCCAGGGACCAATACACAGATTGACCATATATGCTTGGGAGCCAACTCTCAAGGTTACATCACCTAAGCAGTTCCTGATTTTCATAGCTTTCCTTACTTTACCTTCAAGGCCAAAACTTTTCAAAAATATCTGACATTTCTTCCCCTACCCTCAGTGGCCCTTAAAACTGCAGATTCTCACAATGACAAGACTTTTTTTTTTTTTTTGAGACAGAGTTTCGCTCTTGTTGCCCAGGCTGGAGTGCAATGGCATGATCTCGGCTCACCGCTACCTCCACACCTCCTGGGTTCAAGCAATTCTCCTGCCTCAGCCTCCCGAGTAGCTGGGATTACAGGCATGCGCCACCACACCCGGCTAATTTTGTATTTTTAGTAGAGACAAGGTTTTTCCACGTTGTTCAGGCTGCTCTCAAACTCCCAACCTCAGGTGACCCACCTGCCTCGCCCTCCAAAAATGCTGGAATTACAGGTGTAAGCTACCACGCCTGGCCCATAAGACAGTTCTAACAATAGAAACAAAGGGATGGTATTACATAGAGCAATATGAGGGTTAGTCATTCCAAGAACAAGTTATTTCTAAATTAAGTATTTATTGGGTAAGTATTTCTTATATAAGAAAAATGGTCGTTGTCTACAAAAAAAAAAAGATTATTCAAATACTGTTGACCCCCCCGGGTATATTTTAATTCAGCTCAGAAAAGTTACATTATTTATAAGGAATGTTTTCATACAAAAAGATTTTCATTCTAAAACTCACATTCAACTAACCTGATGTTATGCAGGTCATCATTATTCACTGTCATATGCTCTCAAACCCACAGTCTCCAAAGCCCTAATTTAAATTTTAATTAATCATGCACAAGTTAAATTTCAGCCAACCTGTCACTAAAGCAGTTGGCTTCATGTACTCAAGCCCAGAGCAATCATGGTGGCTCTTAAAATCTGACAGAATGCTTGAATCTCTCTTTCCCAATACCAAGAGTGGACTTTCTGAGACGGAGTTTTACTCTTATTGCCTAGGCTGGAGTGCAGTGGCATGATCTCGGCTCACAGCAACCTCCACCTCCCAGGTTCAAGAGATTCTCCTGACTCAGCCTCCCGAGTAGTGGGGATTACAGGTGCCCGCCACCACGCCTGGCTAATTTTTTTTTGTATTTTTAGCAGAGGCAGGGTTTCGCCATGTTGGCCAGGCTGGTCTCAAACTCCTGACCTCAGGTGATCTGCCCGCCTCAGCCTCCCAAAGTGCTGGGATTACAGGCGTGAGCCACTGCACCCAGCCGCCACTGCTCATTTTTGAACAAAGGTATTATGCTCCTGCCCAAAAACCCTACCATGTCTCTTGTTTGGTATTGAAAAGCTATATGCTTTTAAACTGTCGTCTGCTTTCTCTTCTGTCTGCTGGAGCATCCCAGATCATAGAAAATACAAGATGAGCAAAGGCAGTAGGTACTATATCATTTAAGAATACTAAAAGGAATTATCTTATTATCCTGACCTCACACTCCAAGAGTATAGAAACAGACACTCCTCTACACCAGAGTAACCTCAGTGCCTAGCAAACAGCATAATCATAAACATTCAATGAATGCTTTCTGACTAGCTGACTATCCCAGGCAAGTAAACAAATTAGCAGAGCTATACCAAAAGGTAAATGGAGGCCTTATTACATTAAAATCCTCCATGCTATCAAGAGAATTGTCTTCCTAAAACATAGATCACTCGTTTACAATTAGTGAGCATTTACTATAGGCTAGGCAATAAATTAATCCATAGGAATTAGTAAAACATAGAACCTTCCCTATATGGTTTACAATCTGGCAAAGGAGATAGATACAGTTTATTCACCTGCCCTATATGGTTTACAGTCTGGCAAAGGAGATAGATACAGTTTATTCTAAGATAATCTGATGGGTGTTAGAAGTTATGTGTCAAGTTTTATGAGAATACAGATTAAGAAGTGACTAATTCTGCATGGGTAAAGAGTCAGCTAAGCCTTTACAGAACAAGCAGCATTTGCTCTTAAAGAATAAATAGGAGTTCACAAGATGAAGAAAGGAGAAGTGAGAGGGTTGGGTAAGAATGGTTTCTTAGTTATAAGGAACTACAGGAACAAAGGTTCATAGCAATATCTATATCTAAGTTCAAGAAATGGCTAGTCACTTAATATGACTAGAATATTAGATTTAAGAAAAAAATAACTATAAAGATAAGGCCGGAAAGAACAGTGCCAAATTGTGAAGTGCTATTTCTGCCACATTTAGAAGTTTGAATTTCATCCTAGAAGTAAAGGTTTTTGACCAGTGAAGTGCCTCAGTTAGGTCTCTTTAAGAAAGCAACAATAACAATAATATGAAAGATGGATTGAAGTAGAAATAATCAGAGACACAGATTAGCTTGACCGCTATTTTAGTGGCTTAAGGGAATGATGTAAGATGTGCCTTGAATATTTATTCACATCCCTAAAAAATTCCAATAGCCATTGTTTATAAAACAAAATTCGTGATCCAAGCACAGTGGCACACGACTGTAGTCCCAGCTACTTGGGAGGCTGAGGTGGGAGGTTCACTTCGGACCAGGAGTCTGAGACTAGTCTGGGTGAGATCCCATCTCAAAATAAAAAATAAATAAATAAAAATAAGATTCTAACTCTTAACACAGTATTCAAAGCCTGTGACAATCTGAAGTACACATACCTTCCCAATTTCATTTCCTGTCCCTTCTTTTCCCATCTTACAACCCAGCCACATCAGACTATGAACCATTCCTTCTATCTCTATATATTCACACTGCCACATCTTGATTCTCACATTGTTCGTTACTCATGCAGAGAAAACCTTAATGAACTCCTATTCATCCTTCAAGGACCAGGTTTAAAAAAAGACACATCTATAAAGTCTTCCCTGACTCCACCTCTCCCAAGGCAAAACTTAATAATTCTTTCCTCTAGGCTTTCACATCACATCATTCATACTACCAATATAGTACTTATCACATTGCATTGTTAGCTATCCATTTATCTATCTCTTCTGCTAGAACACCTGAGATGAGACCAATCATTTACAAATAAAACAAATTAAATTATATAAACAAGATTAAGAAATCAATCTCTAAATATACATACATACACGTTTTTCTTTACCTGGTAAAACTTGAATTTGAACCCAAGAATATGACACAGTGTTTGCGGTTCACACATACTCATGTAAGATTCTAACAAAGATATAAAGAAGTCATCGTGTTCTGGCCTGCATTCAAACACTTCTAAAATGACATCCAAAACTCTATTGGGATCCAGATTAAAGCATCCTGCAACAGATGAGACATACAAAAATTTAAAAATGATTATACATCATTTCTAGTGAAGCCATTAATTTTCAGGAATAACTCATATAGCAAGATAAAAATGTTTTTAAAAACAACTTTCTTTACAAATTTGCTTCCTCTCTCCCAGAGGGAAATAAATCCACTACACATTTTTACAGATGAGAATGTGACTTTCCCAGAATCACAGAACGGGTTAATGACAGAGCTGGGTCAGTATAGTCCAGGACCAGTGATACCAGTCAAATAAACATTCCTCTATGCCACACTTTGCCTCATCAGTTCTTGATTACTCGGGCTAGTGAAACAGGTCCACATTATTAATTCTTGGAAAAACACGAAAATCAAACAATGCATTTTACAAATTAAGCAACAAAAGGGGTTTTTTTTTAATGTTTTAGGCAGAAGTATTTGGAATGCTGATAAACAGTTAAAAGTCCGGGTTCACAAAAGTGGACCATCATTTTAAAAATCATTTTTATTTTATCTTACATATACTACAGAACTATAAAATATACCACTGATTTATATCCATGGCTTTTAGTAGCATTCTAAAGGGAAAAGTGGTATGCTATTTATCCTAACAGATCAAAGAATACCAAGGGAGTTGGAGGCTCCTGGTTTACGTCAGTTCCCACATGCCTTTCATCAAGCTGAATGAGATTCTAGTATTTTAAAATATGTATATTTCATTAAACATAGTCCCTAAATGCAAGCTAACCACTTCATTGGGCTAACAAATAAACACTGATTTCTTCTAATACTGGAGGAAAAAAGAACTGTGATAAATTTAGGGACATATGTTACATCTAAACACTTATACCTTATGGATGAGTTAGGGGATTTTCCCAAGAAAATTCCTATGTAATTTCCATAGGTTGTATGTCCCAACCCTTTGGTAAGATGATATCTCCAGTTACTTATATTAACGCCACACTTATTTATATTAAATGCTACAAAACTAATGTCATTTCACGTTTCATACTACCTTAGCAATCACTTAGAAAACCAAATCCTCCAAATACAAGTTTTCCCTCTTTTTATGAGATCCAAACTTAAGAACACATTTTCTTCCGCTTCTCAAACTAAGGAAAAGAAGGACTAAAGCAGTGATCATGTCTTACTCAAAAAAAGCTCCATATTTTCATAAACTCTCCAAAAAGACGTTTCCCTGAAGTTCTAGGAAGAAAACTTCTAAATATTTTTACCTCCCCCTGTACTTCAAAAAAGTATGGCCTATGAATATAAAAGTGATTCGAAAATAGCAATTAAGATCCTTAAATGCTGCTGATGGCAATGTAAAATGGTACAACCACTTTGTAAAATTGGCAAGTTTCTTTAAAATTTAAACTTATACCTACCATATGACCCAGCCTAGGTATTTACCCAAGAGAAATAAATGTCTATGTCAATACAAAGATTTGTACACAAATGTTCACGGCAGGTTTATCTGTAATATACAATACTCCTCAAATGTCCATCAACATATAAATGGATAAGCAATTTGCCGTATAGGATAAGTGGAGTAAGGAAAAGTACAGTGGACATACTCAGCAATAAAAAGGGAAGAACTACTGATACAGGTAACAGTATGAAAGAATCACAAAATAATTATGCTGAATGAAATAAGCCAGACAAAAACAGTACACACTGTACGATTCCATTTATAGACAAATTCTAGAAAAAGCAAATTAATCTACAGTAACAAAAAGCAGATCAGGCCGGGCGTGGCAGCTCACACCTGTAATCTCAGCATTTTGGAAGGTCAAGGCAGGTAGATCACTTGAGTCCAGATGTTTGAGACCAGCCTCAGCAACATGGCAAAACCCTGTCACTACAAAAAATTAGCCAGGCATGGTGGCACATGCCTGTAGTCCCAGCTACTCAGGAGGCTGAGGCGGAAGGATTACTTGAGCCAGGGAGGCAGAGGCTGCAGTGAGTCAAGAAGAAGCAAATTGAGGGGGAATGGGAGAAATGTGCACTATCTTGTTTGTGGTGTTTTCACAGATGTATACATATGTTAAAACTCAAATTGCACATCTTAAATATGTGCATTTTACTGTATGTCAAGGAAGCCTCAACAAAGATGAAAAATGCCTTCACACTGCTGTAACACTGATGATAGATTATGGAAGTAAGATCTAGCAAATTATCAAATCATGTAACTTCTCCTACATTAACTAAATATAAAAAATTAAATCACTAAATAAAAATGAATTAACACTCTATCACAGAAGACAAAAGAGACACTGAATATAATTTTTGGCAAACTGGCTGGCTTATAATTACCCATTAGGCTACATACACAAAACTCATAAATAAAGAATAGAACAGCAACATGTTAGATTAAAATCTTTTAAGTGCTTCATTCACATTGCTTTTAAGTTTACATTTTCAGTATGCTGAAATGTGAACCACTAGCATTATGTTTTATTTAACAGCATTACTTCATCAAGGCTATTCTATCAGTGACCTTTACTATCAACTACCCACTTTCCTTCTAGGTGCAATTTAAGGCAGTAATCTGAAACAAGAGGTATGTGCACTTTTACTTATAACAGGTATCACCTTTGCATCTTTCATTAAAGAAAAACTGGCTCATGAGTTTTCTATTACATATCTCAGGTGCCGTAAGTCCAATTAATTTTATCCATAAGATAGAAAAGGTAGCCAATTGAAGGTTTAGAAAATTATTTTCATTTATTATTATTTTTAGAGACAGGGTCTCGCTCTGTTGCCCACGCTGGAGTGTAGTGGTGCATTCATAGCTCACTGCAACCTCACACTCCTGGGCTCAAGTGATCTTCCCATCTCAGCCTCCCAATTGGCCAGGACTACAGATGCAAACCAACATGCCTGGCTAACTTTTTTGTAGAGATGGGGACTCACTATGTTGCCCAGGCTGGTCTCAAACTCCTAGTCTCAAGTGATCCTCCTGCCTTACCCTCCCAAAGTGCTGGGATTGCAAGCATGAGCCACCATGCCCAGCTGAAAATCATTTTTAAAATCTTAGCGTTTTAAGTAACAGTTAAACTAGTTCATATACAGTGAGACTCTAATAATAATCAGTAAGTTTGAATATCCAAAATGTTTCCCTAATGGCAGCTGTAGTAGAACATAAGCAGTCTTGTATGCAAACATCTTAGAAGAGCTTTGTCCAGCCCAAGCACTGATAATCATGTGATCTTTACAGAGATCACAAACCTAGCTCCCTACCTCTACCACCAGCTACATTAATACACACAGCAATTTATATATATATACACACATATATATTTTTACATATACATACATACACACACACACACAAACACACACACATATGCCTTTATGCCTTTTGAGGAACAAACAAGAAACCATATTTAAAGAGAATAAGTGGAAAAATAAAGAAACTGCAGATCTACAATGGCCATAGATGCCCTCCTTCATTTAAATAAGTATTAAATAACTACCCACTATGTGCCAGGTGCTTGTGATTCTCCGGGAAAACAGAAGAGAGAAGAGAGGGAGGATAAACACAAAGAGGCAAGAGAAAATTTCAGGGGTAGTGGGAGGAATGTGCATTATCTTGTTTGTGGTATTTTCACAGATGTATACATATATTAAAAGTCAAATTGTACACTTTAAATATAAGCATTCTACTATATGTCAATGAAGCCTGAATAAAGCTGAAAAACTATAGCGATTAATAAAATGTTTACGCTACCCTTGAGAAGAGTTCACACCTTTTGAATGATACATCTTTGAAGAAATGCAGGAAAAAGCAACTGGAGTTTCCCCAAAGATAGAAAAAATAACCAGTTATGTTACAGTGACACCAACTAGGGGCAAGAAATATGATCAAACTGACAATGACTGTTGTAGAAATTAGGCCAAATTGAGATCTTAACAGGAAAATAAAAGACCAAGATAATATTGCAGACATAACTAGGAGAGATGTCCAGCCTATAAATTTCAGGCAAGAAAACGGAATTATAGCCTCAATCATCAAGTTCCTGAGAGAATGGACCTTAGGAGACAAAGAAAATCATGTTTTTAACAAAATGAAATGATCTACAATGTAGAAAGAGTTTCTTTAGAAGCTAATAAAAATCTATGCTAGACTATTTCTAAGAAACACTATTTGCAAAAAAACTGCACATCTCAAAGCAAGAACCAATGAATAACAAAATAAAAGTATGATCTAAAAAACAGTAACAAGGCCAGGCATGGTGGCTCACGCCTGTAATCCCAGCAATTTAGGAGGCCAAGGCAGGTAGATAGCTTGAGCTCAGGAGTTCGAGACCTGCCAGGGCAACATGGCAAAACCCCATCTCTACAAAAAATACAAAAATTAGACGGGCATGGTGGTGTGTGCCTGTAGTACCAGCTATTTGGGAGGCTGAGGTGGGAGGATGGCTTGAGTCCAAAAGGCAGATGTTGCAGTGAGCCAAGACTGTACCACTGCAATCCAGCTTGGGCAACAGAGCCAGACCCTGTCTCAAAACAAAAATAAAATAAATAACAACAACAAAAAACCCCTATAGTTGGAAACACTAATTGCTGTCTTCTTTTTCATACTATGAAGGGAAAACTTCTAACATATAGCCAAGAAACTTCAATAATGTAAAAATTTAAGTAAATAAGGCAGCCAACTTCCCTTTCAAAGAAATAGGAAAAAGGTGGCACAATAAGATGTGTCTAAGTTGAATGGACCCTATATTCAGATTGAACCAAAGATAAAATACTAAATACACTCAAAATCATGTAGTCAAAGGGGTGAAATGTCCCATAATCTATCCAAAAATAAAAATCGTTTGGCTTAAGGATTTATTTTGTTTTTAATGTTACTCTGGTCACTTGAGAGACTGAAGAGGCAAAGACTCTCACTCTACCCTTCCCTAGCCAAATCTATACCCTTTGACACCAGGCAACAAATGAAGGTCTTGAGGTTTGGTGAAGAAAGCTCTGGTTCTGCGAGCAAAGGTAAAGGGGTTAGAGCCTAGGCCAAAAAGGTCCTGGACCACTAAAATCCAAAACCAGGAAGAACCATTTTCACTCTCTAAAGCTACGCTCAAATAAGCTAGCTCCGTGATTAGTTGTTAGGCAGAACTTTTGATTTAGAGCAAGAATCAGCAAACTATGGCTTGTGGGTTAAATCCATTTAGCGGTCTGTTTTTGTAAATAACATTTTATTGGCACACAGTCACATTTATTTATGTACTATCTATAGCTGTTTTTACGCTGTTTTTACACTACAATGGCAGAATTAAGTAGTTACAACAGAAACCATATGGTCCACAAAGCCGAAAAATATTTACTATCTCACCCTTTATAGAAACACTTGCTGACCACTGATTTAGAAGAAAGGAAAGGAAAGAACACTTAGCAACCACTTGTTTTTATTATATATATTTAAAGTGTACAGCATGATGCTCTGATTTTTTTTGAAGGGCATCCAAAAGAGTAGAGTTCTTACCGTTTAGTTCAGCAAACAAAGGAGTCCACCTGTGATATCCTTTCCTCTAATTTCTAAAAGATGTTTTTTTGCCATCTTCAAGCTATGGCCACTTGTATGGTGTCTATGACTTGGCAGCTCAATAGTCTACTGTTCACTATTCATTCGTATTTAATAAGTTGTTCAAATTTAGTGTCAGATCACAATCACCATGCAGATGCATAATGGTTCTGCTTCCTTGCTTGCGCATGCAGTAAACAGCCCCAAGTTATCCAGCAGAATATAAAAATTTTGATGTGCCAGAATCTTTTAGGAGCAAATAACTGCCTTTTTTTTTTTTTTTTTTTTTTTTTGAGACAGTGTCTCACTCTGTCACCCAGGCTGGAGTGCAGTGGCACGATCTCAGCTCACTGCAACCTCCACCTCCTAGGTTCAAGTGATTCTCCTGCCCAAGCCTTCAGAGTAGCTGGGATTACAGGCATGTGCCACCATGCCCAACTAATTTTTGTGTTTTTAGTAGAGACAGGGTTTTACCATGTTGGCCAGGCTGGTCTCAAATTCCAGACCTCAGGTGATCTGCCCACCTCGGCCACCCAGAGTGCTGGGATTACAAGCTTCAGCCACCGCATCCAGCCAAATAACTGCCTTTTAACTAAAGGATGATAAGTAAGGATTTATCCTGGTCAGACCAAGTACCCTGAAAGTATGTGCACCTAAAATGTATACTGCCCAAACTAGGTATCAGTTTCTGACACTGGCTGATGAAGGAGGTATTACCTGTCTAGACTGTTCCTAAACAGAAAACAATGGGAATAAACACAGAGAAACCCATCCAAAGAGGCCATGAAAAATAGGATGCTGGTCAGTGAGGTGTTCTGGACAGAATGAGACAAGGCCTGGATGAAGTCTGCACTAAGAGGGACTCCAATAAATGCTAACAACACTGAAAGAATACTCATTGGAATTGAAGTTTCAACCTCTATTTTCACATCAATGAAAAGTTTCATTCAGGCCGTGTCCGGGGGCTCACGCCTGTAATCCCAACACTTTGGGAGGCTGAGGCAGGTGGATCACTTGAGGCCAGGAGTTCGAGACCAGCCCAGCCAACTTGGTGAAACCCCAACTCTACTAAAAACACACACACAAAAAAATAGCTGGGCATGGTGGTGCACGCCTGTAATCCCAGCTACTCGGGAGGCTGAGGCACGAGAATCGTTTGAACCTGGGAGGCAGAGGTTGCGGATAGCCAAGATTGTACCACTGCACTCTAGCCTGGGCAACAAAGCAAGACTCTGTCTCAAAAAAATAAAAGTTCATTTCTCAGACAATTGGGGGAGGAGGAAATCACCTAGTCAGAGATAAATAAACACTGAGACAGGAAGATGAACTTTCTAAAATTCTCCATATCAGGAAAAAAATGCTAAGAGTCAGTATAGATTATACAAGAATAGAGGAAATATTCATTCCTTTTTTACCCAGTATTTATTTATCACCTACATACCAAGTATTAAGGATAAGGTACCAAACAAAACCCCAGTCCTCACAGAGCCTACATCACAGGTGGAGGGGGAGGAGGTACAGAGCATATTATATGGTGATATGTGCAAAAAAAGAAAAATAATCAGGGAATAGCAGGGAGTTTTGACAGGGGTGGGCAGGGAAGGCTTCACTAAGAAGGTGACATTTGACTGCTACTTGGTGGGTTAAAATATAGGTTTAGCCCAATAAATCAAATTGTTTATACTCATAGACTGTCCATATACCTCATGAGCTTGCAGTTGTGCCTGTTACACTGTTCTTCAGAAACAGGATCATAGCCTGTTCTCCCTGAGAGTAAAGTTCAAGAAAAGTAAGTAGTATACATTTTCTAGTAAGATAAAAGCACACCTTCAAGAAAAATCCCTCTTTGAAATGTTCCCAAAATAACAAAGGAATAAAAAGGTATAAACTCACAAGAAATAGAAGAAACAGATGTCAACAAAAAAGGATATAAAGTTAAAAAAAAAAAATAGCACAGAATTTTTATGTGGGGAATACTACCTTAAGTAAGTATGACAGGATACAAGGAAAGACAAACTTATAGCAAAGCAGTACTGAAAACCTTCTCAAGCTAGATCAAAAAACACTCAGGAAAGTGTGGCGCCTACCCTAGAAAGAACAGAAAGGGGCTGGGCACAGTGGCTCAAGCCTGCAATCCCAGCACTTTGGGAGGCCAAGGCGGGCGGATCACCTGAGGTCATGAGTTTGAGACCAACCTGGCCAACATGGCAAAACTCCATCTCTACTAAAAATACAAAAATTAGCTGGGTGTGTTGGCTGGAGTCCCAGCTACTCAGGAGGCTGAGGCAGGAGAACTGCTTGAACCCGGGAGGCAGAGGTTGCAGTGAGCTGGGATTGCGCCACTGCACTCCAGCCTGGGTGACGGAGTGAGACTCCATCTAAAAAAAAAAAAAGAAAAAAAAAAGAGAAAGAAAGAACAGAAAGGAACTAAGGAACCACCATGGGAAGGTTTTTAAAAATGGGTCACTGCCACACAGTTAAGCAAGAGTCCCACAGCCCTAGGGGGCCACCCATCTTGGTGTTAAATTGACAACTGGAAGAAACAACAAAGACACTAGATCAGCTGCCAGAACTAGATTAACTTCAAAGAAAAGAGTAAATTTAAACAAAAGGCTATTTAGTTGGGCACAGTGGCTCATGCCTGTAATCCCAGTACTTTGGGAGGCCAAGGCAGAAAGATCGCTTGAGCCCATGAGTTCAAGACCAGCCTGGGCATAGCGAGACCCCGTCTCTTAAAAAATAAATAAACAAAAATTTAAAAAATAAACTAAAAGCTACTTACTTGTTGGTAAGAACAAAGGTGATTATAGTAAATATAGTTTTAATTGGATTCCTACACAAAGCACTAGAGGAAGGAGATAAGGATTGGGACACCTTCTCCCTCTTTCTTAGTCATATATAAACTCCAAAAAAAGAGAAAGAACCAAGAAGCTGAGGATAAGCACCCCTAAGATACAACTAGTGAGGCACAAAATATGACTCCTCTGGCAGGTCTCAAGACCCAGGTACTGCAAAATCTTCCCTAAGATAGCACAACACCTAGTAAATAATAAAAAAACTCTTTCCACCTCAGGAAAATCTGGATTACCCTATTTTTCTAGTGCTCATTCATCTTTTTTACAGAAGTCAACTACTTCTTCCAAATGCTCAATGCAAATAAAAAGAAAACAGTAATGCTACAGGAATTCTACTTAAAGGGTAGGGAGAATAATAACTTTCCTATCTGTTACACTTTTACAACAGCTGTTGCACTTACTTTAAAAGGCTACTATAAAGATAAAATAAGTATCAAAGTCCCTTGTAAAGTTATTTTGAAAATCAAGTTCAAAATTACACATCTGTAGTTTCAAAAGTTCACTGAAGATTTACTGTATTAAAGTTTTCATGTTTGCTTTTTGGTCCTCCATAAAATGGTTGAGAAATACTTAAAAATAGAAATACTAGAGAAACGTAGGGCACTCTATCAGAACAGTCCATCCTGTTCTTTGTCATCCATTCTCTTTTGAAAGTGTTGGCTTACCACTCAGGATCCCCTCCACAAAAAAGAAAGACTAGACAGAGCAGGACCTAATATTAACATACAAGGTATAGTGACAATAAGATTTCTCACAAATATCATGCTAAATTTTATAATTATTGATAAACCATTAAAAGTAAAAGCTAAACACCTCTCCCATTCCTTAACTGAAAAAAAAAATAGATGGAATGCACTCATTTTGTCTTTATGGATATTCTCCAATAGCTAAAATAACTTGTTATCTTAACAACACATACTATACAGATAAATGTCTTACCTATTAAAGATTTGATATTTTCTAAGATTAAATCACTAGTAATACTTCCAGATAAATCTTGCCCCAATTCAGCAATCAGCTTGGCATAACCTTCATTCTCTTCTCTTAACAAATTGAATTTTTGCTGCTTATAACTGAAATCAGATAAATATCATTAAGGGGATAAAATTAATTTTAATTAACAAGCTTGCACAGAGTACTGTATTCTCACTGAATTTTCTTATCTCCAACCTACAACAATCCTAAGAATAGTTGTTGAAAGTTTACCTCTTTGTGTACCTTTTAGAGTAGAAAATAACAGTGATTCATATGAGAACCCCAATATTAATTACATAGGGAAAACCAGTAACACAAGAAAAGGATATTGTTAATATCAGGGAACAATAACATATCACCATTTCCATCTCTAAGAATATACCCTGAGTATAGCCACAGTCATAAATTATTTTATTGCTAATGATGAAAGCATGAGTATTATTTTAACTTTGAATATGGGCAAAAGTAACAATGGTTTTGCACAGGTAAAGATCACTGATGACTCAATATTAGGCTACTTTTAGAAGGCAAAAAACACAAGACATGCTAACCACAAACAAAAAAAACAATCTTCAAAGTCCCCTTAGAAGCTACTAGGATTCAAAATATGAACGAAAAAACATACTCAGATACTTGATCTGCAACATAAGATACGTGTACTTACAAGAGTTTTGTCTTGATTTTAACTGACTTTTGATTGAATTGCTGTGATTGTTTGATAAGCCCTAATGATTCCAGTGTTTCTGGATCCAGGCGTTCCTTTAGAACTGTGTCTGAAACTAAATACTGTATTAAAAAATATTAAAGGTCATTTATTCCTTAGCATTGCATCCACAATGTTAAATATATTCAAACTAAAGCTTCCTAAATAAGAATACAAAAATAACATTCTCTACATAACAACCTACAATTTATAAAAAGGCTTAGAAGTTCAATTTAACAAATATTGACTCCAAATATTGAAATATTTAATAAACGGCTTTCAAAAAATTCACTATAAAATTATATGCATGTTGTATACTGCCTATAAATGACAAGAACTACAGATGAAATTTTCAATATGACTGCATTTGGCTTATCTGGACTTTCACCTAATACAGCACTTAATAGCCTCCTACTTTAAGTTAAATTCTAGTATAGCAAAGACAAGCACCTTCTTCCAGGTCTCAACCACGGCAGTTCTCCCTGGTTCTAAATTTATGAACACAAATGGTTTACCAGACAACAATCATGGCAAGTTCTAGAATTTATCATTTTTAAACTACCTCTATTCTTTTACTCTTTGCTTAACAGTTTATGAGGAAAAAAATCCATTTAAAAGCTGTCTACAATCATTTCTACTTACTTTATAAATGCTTACCTTTTTCTTAGGAACTTACTAGGTCAGGAATATCACCAAAGGTTTTAAATGTATAGATAGTTTAAGTGATATGGATATGGTTACATGCTTATTTCACAGAAACAGCATGTCTTATTTCACAAAACATTCCATTTCAAAACCCAAATCTCACCTTATGAGAAAAGTCAACTGAATGTCAATATCCTCCTTCATTAACATGATTAACTTCTATTACAACTGTTTAATGCAGATTTTTAAAAGGGAAAAATATTTTTAAAAACTTACCAAACATGCTAATACCAACTGTGTAAAATAGTCTCTCTTGCTTTTTTCTTCTAAACAATTTGTCTCAATGTCTATAATGATGAAGAAGAAAAAAGTTTGATTGATTTGTCTAGACTCCCCAGCACTAAAGTAAGATACTTATTTTATTTGAAACTAACTAATTTTAAAATGCCTCAATCTGAATTTGGAAAAATTCAAAACTATGGTAACATGAGATGTTATATGAATGCTTTAATTTCTCCTAAAACTGGAGATTGACCCTGTGACCTATGACAGATCCATAAAACAGTACATCAACTACACTGGAGCTACCTGCTATGGCACTGGAAGCAACAAAGCTTCAAAAACTATTGTTCGCAAAAAATGAAACATTCAAACAAAGTTTAAATGACCACTTGTCAGAGATGCTAAAAAAAAAAAAAAAAGATTATTTTAGGTGGAAAGTTGAACAGGGTTATAACAAAGATTTCTTCTAACTCTAAAGAGCCTAATACTCAGGCTGGGCGCAGTGGCTCACGCCTGCAATCCCAGCACTTTGGGAGGCCAAGGCGGGCGGATCATGAGGTCAGGAGTTCAAGACCAGCCTGACCAACATGGTGAAACCCTGTCTCTACTAAAAATGCAAAAATTAGCCTGGGGTGGTGGCACACGCCTGTAATTGCAGCTACTCAGGAGACTGAGGCAGGAGAATCGCTTGAACCCGGGAGGCGGAGCTTGCAGTGAGCCGAGATCGTGCCACTGCACTCCAGCCTGGGCAACAGAGCGAGACTCTGTCTCAAAAAAAAAAAAAAAAAAAGATCCTAATACTCATGAAGATCAAACCCATGACTTTCGCCACCCTGGTCAAATTACCATGTTCTAACCAAGCTACCTGGCCACCAACCTTATGAAAAGACAGTATTAAATATTTTTGGCCGGGTACAGTGGCTCACACCTGTAATCCTAGCACTTTGGGAGGCCGAAGCGGGTGGATCACCTGAGGTCAGGGGTTCAAGACCATCCTGGGCAACATGATGAAACCCCGTCTCTACTAAAAATACAAAAATCAGCTGGGCTCAGTGGCACACATCTGTAAGTACAGCTACTAGGGAGGCTGAGGCAGGAGAATCACTTGAACCTGGGAGGCAGAAGTTGCAGTGAGCCGAGATCACGCCACTGCACTCCAGCCTGGGTGACAGAGTAAGACTCTGTCTCAAAAAAAAAAAAAATTAACATCTTATCTTGAATTATAATTCTAGTCAGTAAATAGAAATTATTCAAAATTTTTATCTTCCTACTGAAATATTTAAAAACTGAGAGTTTCAGTAAATTATTCAGAAAATTTGTCAAAAAATTTTCTGATCTGAAGTGTGGAAGAAAAAAAACAATTAGTGCCAAATGCCAAGCACCAAAAATTTCAACCAGCATTGGCAGGATTACAAACAAGGCTGATCTCAGGATTACTGCTTTAACTGATTATATACTATTAACCTAATTTTACAGTCAACTCATAATTTAGAATATGCTATAAAGAGAAGCACTGGTTTTAGTGAAGTAATAAAAATTGTCATCTACATGTTCTACTGCCAACACTAAGAATCAAAAGAGAAAGGGATTTTTCATCAAACATATCCACATTTTCCTGGCCCTTGACTTTCCCTTCTTGGACAGTTGCCATTTCTACATATCCTGGCCACTGTAGCTAAGCACACAGTTAGCTCATGTGTATTAAGGAAATTTTAGGGTATAATTTATGCAATGTAAATTACAATACAATCTCAATTTCTCATTAAGACTTTTAACCCATGTGTATCTCACCAATCCTTTTCAGGGACTCCCAATTGTTGCCCTGCTATCTGGTTTTCTGGTCCCTCCTCAGTCTAGAACTTTAAAGATACTGATTTTAAGGGATTGGGGCTAAACTGGGCCCATTCTTTTACCCAACATGTATCTATGCTCCAGGGCCCTAAAGTCCCTAAGATCTACCTCTCAAGGTCCCTAAGAACAGGGGCACTGGATGGCAGATTCATCCTCTTCAAGTCAAGTCTCTCCTCTCAGCCACTTAACCTGATTAAGACACTTACTCTCTGAGGGTTTGTGAACCTGGAATGAATTATTTTAGCTCATTAATCTTAATTCTTAGAATTGGATAAATTACTTAAATGTCTAACCATTCTCTTGGGTTCTGACAATGTTAGGAAACGCTTAAAAGAGTCTCAGTAAATTTCTTAGCTGAGCTATCTCAACAATCAGTACAGGACTCTATTATCCCAACTGTACCTTCCCTGGTTTCTTTATTCTTTTTGCTCTAACTCATAACACCATTCTAATAAACTCATTTATTATCCCTGACTCCTTTACCTCGAATAAATTCTCTTTAATTTCCCCTATGATTTCAATAAAAAGCCCTCAGCTATTTCCAGCTCTAGTGCCCAGCATCACCAATTACCTACCCCAGCCCAGAGGCCCCATCAGCATATCAACTTACAGCAGACTCCCCCTTTCTATAGCTCTCATGCCCCCTCACCTTCATACTATTAGTCTGTTAAAGTTGCTATCAGCCGGGCGTGGTAGCTCAAGCCTGTAATCCCAGCACTTTGGGAGGCCAAGGCAGGCGGATCACCTGAGGTTAGGAGTTTGAGACCAGCCTGGCCAACAGGGCGAAACCCTATCTCTATTAAAAATACAAAAATTAGCTAGGCGTGCTGGCACATGCCTGTAATCCCAGCTACTCAGGAGGCTGAGGCAGGAGAATCACTTGAACCCACGAGGTGGAGGTTGCAGCAAGCCGAGATTGCACCACTGCACTCCAGCCTGGGCAACAAGACTGAAACTCCATTCTCGGGGCGGGGCTGGGGGCGGCGGGGGGGAGGTGGTGAGGGGGTGGGGGGGGGTGGGGGGGTGGGGAGGAAGTTGCTATCTTAACCCGGAAAGTGCAGCACTAATTTCCCTTGTAACTGTCAACATTTAGAATGACAATATGATGTAATAAAAAGATCATAGGCTGTGGAGCCAAAGGGACCCAGGTTCAAATTCTGCCTTACTGGCTTGCATGGCCTTGAAAAATCACAGCTTCGCTGAACCTCATTTTTCTGATCTGTACTCCTACCACCTTTACAGGAGTTGATGTAAGGATTAAAACAAAGATTAAATGCTTAACACAATGCCTAGAACATGGAAGGTACTCTAAAAGCAGAACTTAAATTGTTATCATTATTATTGTCATCATCATCATCATTATTATTAGAGGTAGCTAGCATTCTTACTCCTATTCCCCATCCTTGATCTGGGATCACACTTGAATCATTTTTTTTCTGCCAAGGGTGAGGGTAGGTGAGTGAGGGAGCAGGTGAGGGAAATCCTCTTTCCAAGTTTGCCGTCATAATCTTGCTTATAAAAATGGACTGGATAGGCCGGGCACGGTAGCTCACGCCTATAATCCCAGCACTGTGGGAGGCCAAGGTGGACAGATCACTTGAGGTCAGGAGTTTGAGACCTACCTGGCCAACATGGTGAAACCCCATCTCTACTAAAAATACAAAAAAAATTAGCCAGGCGTGGTGGCACGCGCCTGTAATCCCAGCTACTCAGGAGGCTGAGACAGGAGAATCACTAGAACCCAGGAAGCAGAGGTTGCAGTGAGCCAAGATCGTGCCACTGCACTCAGTCTGGGCAACAGAGCAAGATGCCATCTCAAACAAAAAATGGACTGGATAGGCTAAGAGAAATTTCCCAAAAGCAACCAAGCATCATCTTCATGAATTCATGTTACTCGTACAAGACAATGACTTGTAACAATAATTCATATTACTAAATAACTATGAAGGGAAAAATATAATCTAGTAAGTCAATAAAGAAATTACTAGGGCCAATAAGCTGATAATTGATGATTACCCAAAGAAAGATATACTCCTGACACTATCAAGGAACAATAGCTTCCACAAAATGTTACCTACACATCAGTCTTACAGTCTTACAAATTTATAGTAAAAATATTTTTAACTGAAATTTGTTTCATGATGTATTTATTTGCAAAAAAAAAAAAAGGTAATATCTTTAGTGCCTCACTAAAAATTTTAGCTTAAAACATTTTTTGGTTGGCTTACATCAATCCAACAGATACCATGAACATATACTCTATCATCCAAACCAGGATAGTTATGAGAATAAAAGAGGGTACTATTAATAATTAGCCAGTGAAAACAAAACAAAACTGGGACATGTGGTCATCTCATCAATGGTCTTCTCTTTTCATTTATCACTCCCAGTCCACATACATTTTGACCTACTCCCAACATTACCGGGAACTTAGGAAATCTGAAACTTCCTGAAGGATCAAGCACCAGGATTTATATTTGTCAAGAACAAATTCTAAATTCTCAGTAAGATATTTAAGTAATTTATCTAATTCTAAGAATTAAGATTAATGAGCTAAAACAATTCATTCCAGGTTCACAAACCTGCAGAGGATGTCTTATTTTAAAGTGAATATTGGCCGGGTGCGGTGGCTCACACCTATAATCCCAGCATTTTGGAAGGCCAAGGTGGGAGCATCACTTGAAGCCAGGCATTCAAGACCAGCCTGGGCAACATAGCGAGACTCTGCCTCTAAAAACTAACTAAATAAATAAAATGAATATAATAATGTTTGGCAATGTCTTCTATTAGATTCAAAGTTACAGAAAGCACAAGACTGGGCCTAGTGCAGTGGCTCATGCCTATAATCCCAGCACTTTAGAAGTCTCAGGTGGGCAGATCGTTTGAGCCCAGGAGTTCCAGACAAGCCTGGACAACATGGTGAAACCCCATCTCTACCAATATATATATACAGATATATATAAAATACATATATACATATATATAATATATATTACATACATACATATATAACATATATACATATATATTATACACATATATATTATATATATCTGTATATATAATATATATGTGTATATACATATATTTTATATGTATATATATATTTTAGCAGGGCATGGCGGTGAGATAGGAGGATCACTTGAGCCCACGAGGTTGAGGCTGCAGTGAGCCAAGATCACACCACTGCAGTCCAGCCTGGTCGAAAGAGTAAGACCATGTCTCAAAAAAGAGAAGAAAAGAAAAGAAAGCACAGGACTGACTGAAGGGAAAACTGTGCTCAGTTATTTTCATCTAGATCTAAAATTAGAGAAAAAAATTATAATAAACATTATTGTTTAAATCCATGCCATCGGATACTACATTTCATTCTAAGTCACAGAAATACTCCTTTTTTTATCTTGCATGAACCCTTATTTATTCTGGAAAAATAAAGAAGTTGCTATTCCCAAAGCTGGTTTCTCATCCTCAAAACAAAAGTACTTTTGATTACTTTGGCTCTTCTTGCTCTTTCTAAAATTAAGAATCAAAAGAGTACAAGAGCAAAGTAAGTATTTCTTGAGAGTCCTAAGTCTGAGATTCTGACATCATTCATTGAAAACCTGCATTGAATAAGATTATTTGGTTACCAAAATCTCAGAAAACTTGGCCTTTTAACTTGAAATGACTTAATTTAGCTCAAATTTATAGAAATCTACATTGTCAAAAACTCAAACAATTTGAATTATACCTCTAAAGTTTGTTTATAACATTGATTATGACATTTGACTTATATTGCTATATTCTCTACAAAGAATCAATTTGCTTCTAGACTTGCAGAAACATTTGTAAAATTCTTAGTTTAAAACATTTTATTTAACAAACATTTGATTTACCACACAGCACATTACAGGTGAAATAAAGGCTTAATACCTACCTAATATGCAGAATACATCAGCAAGAATGGAGGGCATATCCTCACGAAATTCCTAATTTTAAAAATATAATTACAATAAATAGCAAAAAAGCACACAGCAAGTATTAGGGTTTCATAATAACACTCTTCTGTGAAACTTAAAAACAAAAAATGGCTGGGAGCAGTGGCTCACACCTGTAATCCCAGCACTTTGGGAGGCCGAGGAGGGCAGATGACTTGAGCCCAAAAGTTTGGGACCAGCCTGGACCATGTGGTGAAACCCCATCTCTACCAAAAAAAAAAAAAAAAAAAAAAAAAAATTAGCCAGGCGTGATGGTGTACTAGCTACTCAGGAGGCTGAGGTGGGAGGATCATTTGAGCCCGGGAGGTGGAAGCTGCAGTGAGCCAAGATCGCACCACTGCACTCCACCCTGGGCAACAGAGGAAACTCTGTCTTTAAAAAAAAAAAAAAAAAAAAAAATTGATTTCCAGGTGGTGCTGAAAAAAGATTTTTAAAAAACAAAAACCCCATCATTATATTGACAAATATTAAAATTCTTCAAGTAAACTTTCATAACAAAGAGGAAGAAGATAATGTTTGCAAAAAATGTTTAAATGTCTACCATAAAATAACTTGATAAAAAAACAGAAACCTAAACAAGCACTTTAGGAAATAAAGAGCACAAATGAGTAACATTTTTCCAAAGAAGTTTCGTTTTAGAAATCACGTGAATTTAGAGTGCCTCATACTTACCTAAAGGAAGACTGTTAAAAACTGTACATTTTTCATCCAAGACTTTAAATGTTGTGCTCATGCCTGAGTCAATATTTGATTTATGCAAAAATCATAATGGTATCAGAAAAACAGAAATCTTGAAAATACAAAACCAGCTAAAAAGCTAAAAGCTGGTTTGGGCAGTTTTCAGTTTCAGGAGGTACATGTACAGGTTTGTTACATGAATATATTTGGTAATGCTGGGGTTTGGGTTTCTATCGAATCCATCATCCAAATAGTGAACACAGTACTCAATAGGTAGTTTTTCAACCCTTATTGCCCTCCTCCCTCCCCGCTTTTTTGGAGCTCAATATTCTCTTTATTTTCTTTATTTACTCTTGTAGCCTTTGGAGAAAATGACCCAAAATCGGGCCAGGCACAGTGGCTCACGCCTGTAATCCTAGCACTTTGGGAGGCCGAGGCAGGTGGATCACAAGGTCAAGAGTTCAAGACCAGCCTGGCCAACATGATGAAACCCTGTCTCTACTAAGAATATAAAAATTAGCCGGGTGTGGTGGCATGCGCCTGTAATCCCAGCTACTCGGGAGGCTGAGGCAGGAGAATTGTTTGAATCTGGGAGACAGAGGTTGTAGTGAGCCAAGATTGTGCCACTGCACTCTAGCCTGGGTAACAGAGCAAGACACTGTCTTGGAGAAAAAAGAAAAGAAAAGAAAAGAAAAGGATCCTCCTGTTTCTGAATAAAAACTTCAGCATTATTCTAGACTTGTCTCTTGACTTTCCACTCCCACGCTCAATTTTAGGGCTATTTTCCATTAGAAGGGATCATAGTTCACTTACTGCAGTTAACAGTTGGCTGGCAGTATAGCAACCCTAAAATTAGCCTATTTTCAGAAACTAAAAGAAATTCTAAAGAAAAATCTGGCAGCTGCAAGGAGACGCACAAGTTACTCTTCTGTGGGTAAGATACTGGACAGTATATAGTACTAAGAGAAAGCCATGACAAAGACAATCAAGCTGCAGAAGTATCTATAAAGACATCATTAAGTATTCAAAAGAAAGAAGAAGCTATGTAAGAACCAAACACACATATATAAAATTCACTTGAACTATCCATTTTCAATAAATGAAAAAAGAATCAGAATCAGATCCCATAAACAAACTAAAACCTATACCAATGCTCAATTTACAAAATGAAATAACCTTGTCAATCAGATTTTAGCCTCAAATTTCTTAAGGGCTCTGAACTCTGGTTATGTCTATTTAAATGCAAGTACTCAGGCCACTTGAAGATCAAAAATAGAGTAAGACAAGAGTTTTCAAAAATGAAATATTAGTTGTTTAAGAAAGATTGGTAGCAACTGAATTTTTTTAACGTTAAAAAAAAAGGAATTTGACTACTCCAACATGAACTAATTCTGTTGTTATCAGCTGGAGATAATTTAGAGACAAAAGGGAAACTCACAGAATTCCTACTGCTCAAATACACCCCAATATGGGGTGGAAAATCACAACAGCTAAACTTAGAATTTCCTTAAGACTATCCCTGGGAAAGCACAAAAAACATACAAATATTACCTCCCCTGACAGAAAAAAAGGCTACAGAAGATTAAAGAAACACAGTAAGAGAAGTTCAGATTGAGACCAAGAAGCTTCAAATCCCACACCTTAATAAAACCTATTATAAAAGCTATTCTGAATTTTATGTATATACAAGTTCATTATAAATGTATATATACACATATATACACAGACACAAGATAATTTTATTTATATACAAGTTTAAAAGCCAGCTTAATAATAAAAGAACAGCACGCCACTTGTAAAACCTCAAGCTTAACTACTGGTTTACAATTTGAAAGCCCATTTTCCAATTTAAATGGCAAACCACCATGAAAAATAGTTGGTCTGAATCTAACTTAAATTCTCCAATAAATGAAGGAGTGAAACAGAATAACCATGTAAAAGAGTTTTTTTTAATCTAGTCGATATTTTTTAAACCATAAGTAAATGAAAACTAGCACCAAGTGAATGTTAGAGCCAAACAATTGCAATTTAAAATAATTTAATCCTCAATTTTTAAAATATATTTAATTTCTAAACATAACTACAAACAAAAAATGGCTTATACTATATTGAGAGAAAAATATTTTAGCCAATTTACTTTTTTAGAGTGGCATTTTTTATTAAGGACACCTTAATTTCTTCTTTTTTTTTAATTATACTTTAAGTTCTAGGGTACATGTGCACAACGTGCAGGTTTGTTACATATGTATACAGGTGCTGTGTTGGTGTGCTGCACCCATTAACTCATCATTTACATTAGGTATATCTCCTAATGTTATCCCTCCCCCCTCCCCCACCCATGGATACCTTAATTTCATTACAGCACAGGCTTTTTTTTTTCTCCCTACCAGCTTACCTGATATTTCCTACTTTACCAACAACCAGATAAAAATATTAAACTATCTGTGTTCCTGTCTGGCAAAAATGGGTTACCAATGTCACCTTAAAACATCCATTACTCACTTCCATAGTTCTGAGGGGAAAAAAGTTAAAAAAATAAAATTTTAAAAATCCATCCACTTCTATAATTTTGAATAAAATACAAGTTATAAACTTCAGGGATCTTTGTGTCAAAGCAAAAAGATATATAACAACTATTAACTTAAAAAAATATATACATACTTACACTAATGTCACTAAGAACATTAGATGCCTGTTCATGCTTTAGATTTCCTTTAATTACATGATATGACAACTCATAGAGAGCTTGCTGGAAATCTGTTGAACATAAGAGAAATAATGTAAGGATACAGTCTCTTGAACATGAAAAGTAAATCTATATATTTCCTACGTCTCAGAATTATTATAAACATCAATAATGAAAAATATAATTCTAATGCTTTTCCTCTAGCAATTTTTTCTTTTATTTTCACAAAAACACAAAATTAAAAGGTTAGAAAAATGTTAACCATCTCTCCACTACTATAACTACAGCTTGAACATTCCTTTCCAGTTTTTTCTGTATGTCTACAGATTTTACATATTTAAATTCACCATGCACATCATATAGCATTCTGATTCCCCCCAAAACAATTTTAAAGCATTTTTTCATGCTACTCAAGTCTCTATAATTATATTCAATGAACTCTAGCAAGTGGATTCAAACCAATCATTCTCCTCACCAGTAGACTTCAGATATATACTCAATTCAATCTCAGCACTATAGTGACAACAGATAAAGAATAGCAGTACATATACTACCGAGTTTTAACCATACCCTAGTGTGAGAGAAATTTCTCCCCAAATCTAAATCTCTTTGTCCCATAAAAATCAAACAAAAAATACATGTATAAAATGGCAGTTCTATGATAACTGTCAACTACAAGTAGCAACATTCACTATTAATTACCACAGTCCCCTTTCCTGAAAAAAGATATTTTGGTTTTGGAGTGGGTAGTTAGTGGTCAGGTGAACACCTCCTTCTGGTCATCTTTTTTTTAAGTCCCATATACTGAAAACTTTACCTCCTTCCAATCATGAAAAGTAGTGAAACAAGAAGCTTTAAAGATGCTAATGTAAAATAAAGTCTATTTATAATCTCCTTTTGAGTGGAATCAAAATTTTTTCAGAACCAAACAGCAAGTTAAAAAATCAAATATTTTAAAAATCTTCTTAGCCAGGCGCAGTGGCTCACACCTAAAATCCCAACACTTTGTGGGGCCAAGACAGGAGGACGGCTTGAGCCTAGGAGTTCGAAACCAGCCTGGGCAACATAGGGAGACCTCATCTCTACTAAAAAAAAAAAAAAAAATTAGCCAGATGTGGTGGCACACACCTGTTATGCCAGGTACTCAGGAGGCTGAGGCGGGAACTTAAGCCCAGGAGATCAAAGTTGCAATGAGTTGTGATAGCACCATTGTCTCAAAAAATAAAAATAAAAATAAAAATAAACTTCTCCCCTGCTATGACTCCTAGCCACAAAAAGGAACATAATAGAAATCAAAATGTACATAAATCCCCCCTTAATGAAAATACTATTTTGCAGTAAAATTAACTTGTTCATTAAATCATTTGCTATTGCTATTTGCTATTGCTAATAATTATTCCAATTATTTATGAAGAATTCTTTATTAAATATATTCTGCCTATTTTACAACTATATCTACGTTGTGCTTTTAAATAACAATATAAAAACAAAGGAAAAAATTTCTGTATTTTGGTATCGCAGGTATAAGAGGTCAACTTTATGCTTTGTATTTCCATGAATAAAATGCTTTACAACAAACAACAAATAATACTTATTTAAAATTTTCCAGACAATTAAGGTGGTTTTTTTGGCTTTTTTTTTTTAAAGCAGTAACTTAGAAGAACAAAATAGCCAATTATCAAAAACTAAGGTCCCATGAGAATATGTCCTCTGGTACTCATAGGGGACCAGGGAAGTCTAATCTTAACCACAGAAGGAGATTAAAATAGAGAACAAGTGACCTGGGTCATTTTGCTGAAACTAAAGTGACATAAGAACAATCACATTGTAATCCACACAGCAGCAACGAATAGTCCCTAAATCACAAGTTTTCTTATTTTTTTTTTCTTTTGAAACAGAGTCTCGCCCTCCAGGCTGGGGTACAGTGGCGCAATCTTGGCTCACTGCAACCTCTGCCTCCTGGGTTCAAGCGCTTCTCCAGCCTCAGTCTCCCAGGTGACTGCAATTACAGGTGTCCGCCACCACGCCCAGCTAATTTTTATATTTTTGGTAGAGACAGGGTTTCACCATGTTGACCCGGCTGGTCTTGAACTCCTGACCTCAAGTGATCCACCCGCTTTGGCCTCCCAAAGTGCTGGGATTATAGGCGTGAGCCACCAGGCCCAGCCTAATTCACGAGTTTTCTAAATGCCTATTTAAAAATGGTTAGGAACTCCTATTGTGTTTTATCCATAGAACTGTAAGTGGTGGTTTAAAACTGTCAGGCTAGTTCCACAGAAACCTATAAAATCTATATTGCAGGTGAAAAACTTTATATTTACAATGAGGAGGAAAACTTACAACCTTATAGTTATCTACAAAAAAATTCAATAAAATATTTTATCTTAATGTTAACACTTCAGAAAGAGTAGTTTTAAGAATAGCCACTAGAGGCCGGGCGCGGTGGCTCAAGCCTGTAATCCCAGCACTTTGGGAGGCTGAGGCGGGCGGATCACAAGGTAAGGAGACCGAGACCATCCTGGCTAACATGGTGAAACCCCGTCTCTACTAAAAATACAAAAAATTAGCCGGGCGTGGTGGCGGGCGCCTGTAGTCCCGGCTACTCAGGAGGTTGAGGCAGGAGAATGGCATGAACCCAGGAGGCGGAGCTTGCAGTGAGCCAAGATGGCGCCACTGCACTCCAGCCTGGGCGATAGAGCGGGAGACTCTGTCTCAAAAAAAAGGCCCCGAGAAGGTACTTCTAGAGATTCTTAGTTTTTGCGGGGTTTGAATGTTGAAGACACCAGTTCTTGGTTATGTCTAATATTGCTAGTACTACTCATGTTTGTTTTTTTAAACAATAATGTACTGTTTATTTTCAAATAGCTAGAAGGAATTTTTAATTTTCCCAACACAAAGAAATGATAAATGTTTGAGGTGATACACTAACTACACTAATTTGATCATTACACATTATATACACGTATCAAAATATCACACTGTACCCCAATTACTCATGTTTATTAGCCATCATTACAATGTTGTTTCATTGGCAGTGGCTGGGGTGGGGGGGAAGGTGATTTATAAAAGAAACAAGGAGAAGCAGTGTGTGCAAGGGAAACTGCCTGCCTGAAATGAAATTAATTCAAGGGAAGGGCAGAAAGAGAAAGGTCAGAGGGGACACTGCCCGAACTCAAACCCCTAAGACAGAAAAGAGATTCTGAAGAAATGACATTCAGTCAGTTTCCTGCTAGGACAACAAACTGGAGCCCCTCAAACCAACGCCTGCCTGTTGACAGAGATCAGCCAAGGAGTATATGTGTTAAGGAAGCAGGCAAGGGTAAGAGAAGGAGAGCAATGGCAATTCAGCCAATAAGGCCACACTCATAACTATTTCTGGTTTCACATGTGAATCAGAACCATGCAAATAAACAATAATCTAATAGTTATTAAAGATCCAGAGTCACATGGTTACACTATTTACACTATCATTTATTGAAAATTCTTCTATTTTATCCACCTAATGTTTCTATCAAACAAGATCAAAGTTAACTGAGATGTTAAAAACTGATTTTAAACCCGGGGAAGAAAAAAGATAAAGTACCCAAGTATTTTTAGAAAGGAGTCTTTTTGTACATTCTTATACTTCTGACAGTCAACTAACTTAAACAAGAATACATTACTGTCTATCAACCTCAAAAATCTTTTGAGTGATCATGCAATTTTATAAGCAGGATAAACAAGAAAATAATTTGGGGGGTGGCAGGCTAGGAATGTTAACTCTTAAAACAGGTCTTACCCATATGACAGGGTGAAAAATGGCTTTTTCATTTGTTAAAAAAACATTTTCGGTCGGGCACGGTGGCTCACGCCTGTAATCCCAGCTCTTTGGGAGGCTAAGGTGTGCGAATCGCCTGAGGTCAGGAGTTCGATATCAGCCTGGCCAACATGGTGAAACCCCGTCTCTACTAAAAATACAAAAGTTCGCCGGGCGTGGTGGCGGGCGCCTGTAATCCTAGCTACTCGGGAGGCTGAGGCAGGAGAATCGCTTGAACCTGGGAGACAGAGGTTGCTGTGAGCCAAGATCGCGCCATTGCACTCCAGCCTGGGTGACAGAGCGAGATTCCATCTCAAAAAAAAAAAACCATCTTCCACTCACACACCCAAATGTTCTTTTTATGAAACAAGGTTCACTCTGTCACCCAGGCTGGAGTGCAGTGGTGTGATCTTGGCTCACTACAGCCTCTGCCTCCCGGGTTCAAGCGATTCTCGTACCTCAGCCTCCTGAGTAGCTGGGATTATAGGCACACGCCACCACACGCAGCTAATTTTTTTTTGTTTTTGTTTTTTTTTTGGTAGAGATGGAGTTTCACCATATTAGCCAGGCTGGTCTCGAACTCCAGACCTCAAGTGATCCACCCACCTCAGCCTCCGAAAGTGCTAGGATTACAGGCGTGAGCCACCGCACCTGGCCCAAATGTTCTTTAAAAAGTATATCCTCAGCTATGCAAGGTGGCTCATGACAGTAATCCCAACAATTTGGGAGCCTGAGGCGAAAGGACTGCTTGAGGTCAAGAATATGAGACCAGCCTAGGCAATATAGCAAGACACCTCATCTCTACAAAAAATAAATTAAAAAAATAAGGCTGGGCACAGTGGCTCACACCTGTAATACCAGCACTTTGGGAGGCCAAGGCAGGCAGATCACCTGAGGTCAGGAGTTCAAGACCAGCCTGACCAACATGGTGAAACCCCGTCTCTACTAAAAATACAAAATTAGCCAGGCATGGTGTCACATGCCTGTAATCCCAGCTACTTGGGAAGCTGAGGCAGGAGAATCGTTTGAACCCGGGAGGCAGAGGTTACAGTGAGCTGAGATTGCACCAATGCACTCCAGCCTGGGCAACAAGAGTGAAACTCCATCTCAAATAAATAAATAAATAAATAAGCAAGGAGCAGTGTTGCACACTTGCAGTCCCAGCTACTTGGGAATCTGAAGTGGCAGGATTGCTTGAGCCCAGGAGTTTGAAGCCGCAGTGAGCTATGATTACACCACCACTGCATTACAGCCTGGGCAATGGAAAGAGACCCTGTCTACTTTAAAAAAAAAAAAAAAAAAAAAAAAGTATATCCTCTATTATGAAAGTCATGATTTTTGGTAGAACAAAAATAAATATATATATATGTAAAATTGTTCTTAATCTTCTTTTCACAAAAGCATAATTTAAATGACCATAATAAATTTTATCTAATGATTTTTGGCTTCAAATAGAATATCGGTTATAAAAATGTATTTTCTAATTTAAAAAAATAATGTGGGTTTTACCCCCAACAATACTACTGTAAATGCTTTACACTTACTAGACACAATCACTTTTAGCTTTGCCCCTCCTTTGCCAAATCCACATGTCTAATTTTAAATTAACAAAATGTTAAATAGTAAAATCCTTTGAAACTAAAGTTACTGGAAAATTATAATACATACTGCTTAATTACATATTTCATTTAATAAATCATATCTGTGATATGCAGTAAACAACTCCTTTGAATGTTTCCCATGACAACTGCCTTTAACAAGATCCCTAGACACCACCTAAACATAACCAGCTTTAGTAAAAACACTGAACCTCAGTTTCTGGAAATTTTCTAGTGCAAATAAGATCAGAACAATTTTTCTTTCCATGTTATCTTTTCTGTCATATTTATGATTGATACAGCTAACAACTGCTGAAATTTAGCTAAATATACCAAGCCCCAATTACAAAAGTCAAGCAATATCATATCATTATAATGCAGGTCAAATAACATCAGTATACAGAGATATAGTCTTACTGTAACTGCAGTTTTAATCCTGACTATAATATAACCATGTAAAACCTTTATATAATGTGAACTATCTTACACCTTTTGTTTTCATACCTAACAATGAATAGAAAGCAGACAGTTACTAATTTTAATCAAGAAATAACTAAGATACTTTTAAAAATCTTACCTCTGTATGTTGAACTATCATGGCTTTTATTTTCACTGAGGATCCGACATAAATGCAAACTAGAATAAAATAGAAAACATGTATTTCAATTTCCACCCTAACATGAGATGATTCTTATAAAGCAAATTATATCAACTGGCAAGTAAAAAAAAATTTAATCAAGCATTTATTCTGCCTTTCATATACAAACTGTACCACTGGTAACTCATAGAAGATTAAAAATACCTCTGTAGTAATAAAGAAGGAATTATGAAATTAGAATATCACCATTTAAGACCCCTAATTAATAAAAGAATCTAGGCATCTACCAATGGCTGCTCATATTACTAAAAGAGACTATGGGCTGGGCGCAGTGGCTCACGCCTGTAATCCTAGCACTTTGGAAGGCCAAGGCGGGAGGATTGCCTGAGCTCAGGAGTTCGAGACCAGCTTGGGCAACACAATGAAACCCCGTCTTTACTAAAATACAAAAGAAATTAGTCAGGCGTGGCGGCATGCACGTGTAGTCCCAGCTACTAGGGAGGCTGAGGCAAGAGAATTGCTTGAACCCAGGAGGCAGAGGTTGCAGTGAGCCAAGATCGCGCCACTGCACTGCAGCCTGGCAACAGAGCAAGACTCTGTCTCTACAAAAAAAAAAAAAAAGTAAAGAAAAGAAAAGAAAAAAAGACTATGACACATTATGTGCCTCCAGATTCTGATGAAAGAAAACACCATGTAGGCTGGGCATGGTGGCTTACGCCTGTAATCCCAGCACTTTGGGAGGCCAAGACAGGCAGATAGCTTGAGCCCAGAGGTCAAGACCAGCCTGGGAAACGTGGTGAAACCCTGTCTCAACAAAAAATACAAAAATTAGCCTGGCATGGTGGCTCATGCTTGCACTCCCAGCTACTCGGGAGGCTGGGGTGAAAAAATCAAATCATCTGAGCCCAGGAAATTGGGGCTGCAGTGAACCATGACTGCTCGCTCCACTGTACTCCAGCCTGGGAGACAGGAAAAAAAAAAAAAGGAAAAAAGAAAAGAAAGCATCACCTACCTATGAAGTTGTCTTTAGGGGGAAAAAAAGTGTGAATCAAAATCTGATCAAGCCATCTAGATCCAACTACCAATTTACAGAAAAAGACAACAGAGGAATATATTAAGAGATACCATAGGGATACAAT
This sequence comes from Homo sapiens, assembly GCF_000001405.40. NCBI lineage: Eukaryota > Metazoa > Chordata > Mammalia > Primates > Hominidae > Homo > Homo sapiens. The sequence goes on from NC_000023.11 coordinate 123,714,010, forward strand.
CACCAAAATCCAAACTGTGGGAAAATCTAACAGAGAGTGACCCAATCTCTTAAACAAACAAATTGCAAGGAAAAATGTAATAAAATATAAAGGAAGAGTGCAAGAGAGGAAAAGAGGAACAGAAGAGCTACAACACAGAAAAACAATTAACAAAATGGCAATAGTAAGTCCTTTCCTGTCAGTAATTACCTTAAATGTAACATCTAACTCCATGTTCAAAAGACAAAGTATCTAAATTGATCTTTTTTAAGATGAGCTATTTTTTTAAAAAGCTGTATGCTGTCTACAAGAAACGTGTTTTAAATTTAAGGACACAGATAGGCTGAAAGTGAAAGGATGGATAAAGATACTCCATTCAAATGTTAGCCAAGAGAGAACAGGGGTGGCTATGCTTATATTAGACAAAATATACTTTGAAAATATAACAATTATAAATATATACACATACCACATCAGAGGACAACAGCATATGAATATATGTGACACAGAGCTGAAGAAACAAATAGACACCAACACAGTAATAGTAGGGAATTTCATACACTACTTTCCATAGAATACCCAGACAAAAGATCAGTAAGGAAACAGAAGACTTGAATAATACTACAGACCAAATGGATTTAATGGACATATCCATAACATGCCACCCAAGATAAGGAGACTACATTCTTCTCAAGCACACACAAACCTTTTTCCAGGCTCTAACATGTGATCTAACATTCTGATCACATTAGATCACAAACAAATAACAAATTTTAAAAGATAGAAATCATACCAAGTATCTTTTCCAAACACAATGGAATAAAACTAGATATCAATACCAGAAAGAAAACTGGAAAGTTCACAATTATGTAGAAATTAAACACATTCTTGAACAACCAAAGAATCAAAGAATGAAATCAAAAAGGAAATTAGGAAATACCTTCAGACAAATGAAAATGAAAACATAAATACCAAAATTCATGAGATATACCAAAAGCGGTTCAAAAGAGGAAATTTGTAGCAATAAAGGCTTTTTTTTTTTTTTTTTTGACACAGTATCTCATTCTATCACCCAGGCTGGACTGTAATGGCAAAATCTTGGCTCACTGCAGCCTCGACCTGAGCTCAAGTGATCCTCCCACCTCAGCCTCAGCACCACCACCCCCCCAACATCCCATTAGGTGGGACCACAGGTGCATGCCACCATGCCCAGCTAATTTTGTATATTTTGAAGAGATGGGGTTTCACCATGTTACCCAGGCTGGTTTGGAACTCCTGGGCTCAAGCAATCTGCCCACCTCAGCCCAACAAAGTTCTGGGAATACAGGTGTGAGCCACGGAGCCAGGCCTATAAATGCCTTTTTCTTTTTTAATCTCAAACCACCTAACTCAAAACTTCAAGGAACTAGAAAAAGAAGAATAAACTAAGTCCAAAGTTAATAGAAGGAAGGAAATAATAAAGATTAGGGCAGAAACAACTGAAATAGAGAATTAAAGAAGAAAAAAAAATCAGCCAGGTGCGGTGGCTCACGCTTGTAATCCTAGCACTTTGAGAGGCTGAGGCGGGCAGATAGCTTGAGCTCAGGAGTTCAAGATCAGCCTGGGCAACATGGTGAAACCCTCTCTCTACAAAAAAAATACAAAAACTTAGCTAGGCATGGTGGCCCACGCCTGTAGTCCCAGCTACTTGGGGGGCTGAGGCGGGAGGATCACTTGAGCCCAGGATGTTGAGGCTGCAGTGAGCCAAGATAGCACCACTGCACTCCAGCCTGGGTGACAAAGTGAGACCTTGTCTCAAAAAAAAAAAAAAAAGAAAATGAAAATGAAAAAAATCAATAAAATTAAGAGTTTTTTTTAAAAAAAGATCAACAAAACTGACAAATCTTTAGCTAGACATTCAATAAAGAAAAAGAAAATTCAAACAATATTAGAAACAAAAGAGAAAACATTACAACCAATTACACAGAAACAAAAAGGAATATAAGAGGCTACTACACCATGATACCAGAGCCAGACAAAAACATTACAAGAAAAGAAAATCACAGGTCAATGCCTCTTATAAACACAGATGAAAAAATCCTCAACAAACACCAGCAAACAGAATTTAACAGCACATTAAAAGGATCATTCACCATGATCACAATGGATTTATCCCTGGGATGCAAGGATGGTACAACATACACTAAATGTGACACATTACACTAACAAAATGAAGGATAAAAATCACTTGATCATCTCATTAGATGCCGAAAAAGCATTTGACAAAATTCAATATCCTTATGATAAAACTCTCAACAATTAACTATAGAGGCTGAGCGCAGTGGCTCACGCCTGTAATCCCAGCACTTTGGGAGGCTAAGGCAGGTGGATCACTTGAAGTCACGAATTGGAGACCAGCCTGGCCAACATGGTGAAACCCCATCTCTACTAAAAATATAAAAAGCAGCTGAGTGTGGGCCGGGCACGGTGGCTCACGCCTGTAATCCCAGCATTTTGGGAGGCCGAGGCGGGTGAATCACAAGGTAAGGAGATCGAGATCATCCTGGCTAACACGGTGAATCTCCGTCTCTACTAAAAATACAAAAACAAAATTAGCCAGGTGTGGTGGCAGGCGCGTGTAGACCCAGCTTCTCGGGAGGCTGAGCCAGGAGAATGGCGTGAACCCGGGAGGCGGAGCTTGCAGTGAGTCAAAATGGCGCCACTGCACTCCAGCCTGGGCGACAGAGCGAGACTCTGTCTCAAAAAAAAAAAAAAAAAAAAGTAGCCGAGTGTGATGGCGTGCGTCTGTAATCCCAGATACTTGGGAAGCTGAGGCAGGAGAATCGCTTGGACCCAGGAGGTGGAGGCTGCAGTGCTGCAGTGAGCCGAGATCTCACCACTGCACTCCAGCCTGGGCGACAGAGCAAGACTCCATATCAAAAAAAAAATACATACTAACTATAGAATGAATGTTCCTCAACACACACAAAAAAAGGCCATAAATAACAAGCCCATAGCTAACATTATATTCAATAGTGAAAAGTTGAAAGTTTTTCCTCTAAGATCAGGTACCTGCCCACTCTCTCCACTTCTATCCAACAGAGTACTAAAAGTCCTTGCCAGAGCAATTGGGCAAAAAGAAGAAATGAAAGTTATCCAAACAAGAAAAGAAGTGAAATTGTCTCTGCTGACAAAATGATCTTATATTTAGAAAATCCTAATGACTACACCATAAAGTTAGAAATAATAAATATACTGTATCCATCAAGGCAAAAAAATTTTTTTAAAAAAGGAAATAATAAATAGGGTAAAATCACAGGATATAAAAATCAACACACAAAAATAGGTAGTGTTTCTATATACTAACAATGAACTACCTGAAAAAAATTTTTAATTCCATTTAAAATAGCTATATTGTAGCATTGCAAGAATGGCAAAAAGAGAAAAATAAAAATAAAAATATAATAGCTACAAAAATAAAATACTTAGTAATAAATTTAACCAAGGAGGTGAAAGATCCATACACCACAAGCTATCAAATGCTGATGAAAGAAACTGAAGATGACAAATAAATGAAAAGATATTCCATGCTGATTGATTAGAATAATTAAGATTGTTTAAATGTCCATGCTACCCGAAGAGATATAAAGACTCAATGCAATCTCTATCAAAACACCAATGCCATTTTTCACAGAAACAGAAAAATCCTAAAATTTATATGGAACCAAAAAAAAAAAAAAAACCAATAGCCAAGGCAATCCTGAACAAAAAGAAAAAAGCTAAAGTATCACACTATTTGACTTCAAGGTACAGTTGGCCCTCTGTATCCACGGGGGATTGGTTCCAGGACCATCTCCCACACACACCAAATTCACAGATGCTCAAAAGTCCCTTATATATGGCATATATACAGTCATCCTTCTGCGTCCGCAGGTTCCGCATCTGCGGATTCAACCAACTGTAGATAGAAAAATACTTAACAGTCAGCCCTCCATATCCACAGCTTTTGATCTGCAGTTGGTTGAATCTGTGGATGCAGCCAACCCACTAAATATAAGGCCAGCCAACTGTATATTACAAAACTAGGGTAATTAAAAGAGCATGGCGCTGGCATAAAAACAGACACATCAACCAATGGAACAGAATAGAGAGCGCAGATATTAATCCATGCATTTATAGCCAATTAATTTTCAACAAAGGGTACCAAGAACACATAATGGGAAAAAAGACAGTCTCTTCAATAAAGAATGTTGGGAAAACTTAATATCCACATACAGAACAATGAAACTGGACACTTACTTCACACCATATACAAAAATCAACTCAAAATGAATTAAAGACTTAAATGTAAGACCTGAAACTATAAAAATCCTAAAAGAAAAAATAGGGGAAGAGCTACACAACACTGGTCTGGGCTATAATTTTTTAGATTTGACCCCAAAAGCTCAAGTAATTAAAGCAAAAATAGACAAATGGGATTACATCAAACAAAAAAAGTTTCTACACAGGAGGCCGGGTGCAGTGGCTCATACCTATAATCCTAGCAGTCTGGGAGGCCAAGGCAGGCAGATAATCTGAGGTCAGAAGTTCAAGACAAGCCTGACCAACATGGAGAAACCCTTCTCTACTAAAAATACAAAAATTATCCGGGCATGGTGGCGCATGCCTGTAATGCCAGCTACTCAGGAGGCTGAGGCAGGAGAATCGCTTGGATCCAGGAGGCAGAGATTGCAGTAAGCCAAGATCGCGGCACTGCACTCCAACCTAGGCAACAGAGCGAGACTCTGTCTCAAAAAAAAAAAGTTTCTACACAGGAAAGGAAACAATTAACAGTGTGATGGAGACAACCTATGGATTCAGAGAAAATATTTGCAAGCCAAACATCAAATATGGGGTTAATATCCAAAATATATAAAGAAGTCAAGGGGCCGGGCACGGTGGCTCACGCCTGTAATCTCAGCACTTTGGGAGGCCGAGGTGGGCGGATCATGAGGTCAGGAAATCGAGACCATCCTGGCTAACATGGTGAAACCCTGTCTCTACTAAAAAAATTCGAAAAAATTAGTCGGGTGTGGTGGCGGGCGCCTGTAGTCCCAGCTACTCGGGAGGCTGAGGCAGGAGAATGGCGTCAACCCGGGAGGCAGAGCTTGCAGTGAACAGAGATGGTGCCACTGCATTCCAGCCTGGTCAACAAAGCAAGACTTCGTCTCCCAAAAAAAAAAAAAAGAAGTCAAGAAAACAACCCAATTTTAAAATGGGCAAAGGACTTGAGTAGACATTTCTCAAAAGACATACAAATGACCAACAGAAAAAAAAACCTCAAAATCATTAATAACTAGGGAAATGCAAATTAAAACTACAATGAGATACCACCTCACACCTGTCAGAATGGCTATTATCAAAAAGACAAAAAATAAGTATCGAAGATGTGGATAAAAGGGAACTCTTGCCAAGCGTGGTGGCTCAGGTCTGCAATCCTAGCCTTTTCGGAGGCCAAGGATAAGAATTGCTTGAGGCTAGGAGTTGAGACCAGCCTGGGCAACCTAGCAAGACTCCATCTCTACAATCAACATATGCTGACATCACGCCACTGCACTCCAGCCTGGGCAACAGAGTGAGACCCTGTCTCAAAAAAAAAAAATTAAAAAATAAAACATATTTCCAAAATAAAAGAAAATGGTGATGCCAGCCAGGCACGGTGGCCCATGCCTGTAATTCTAGCAATTTGCAAGGCCGAGGCAGGAAGATTCCTTGAGGTTAGTTGGAGATCAGCCTGAACAACATAGCAAGACCCTGTCTCTACAAAAAAAAAAAAAGAAAGAAATAGGCATTGTGGTGTGAGTCCTAGCTACTCGGGAGGCTGAAGCGGGAGGATTGCTTGAGTCCAGGGGTTTCAGGTTATGATGAGCTATGATTTCACTACAGCACTCCAGCCTGGGCAACAAAGCAAAATGCTGTCTCAAAAACAAAAATAAAAAATAATAAGCCTGGGTAACAAAGAGACCTCATCTCCACAAAAAATAGACAAAACTAGCCCGGCATGGTGGTGCAGGCCTATAGTCCCAGTTACTTGGGAGGCTGAGGTGGGAGGATCACTTGAGCCCAGGAGGTCAAGGCTGCAGTGAGCTGAGATCATGCCATGCACTCCAGCCTAGGCAACAGAGTGAGACCTTGTCTCAAAAAAAAGAAAAAAAATAGGCCAGGCATGTGGCTCACACCTGCAATCCCAGTCTTTTTGGAGGCCGAGGCATGAGAATTGCTTGAGGCTAGGAGTTCGAGACCAGCCTGGGCAACCCAGCAAGACTCCATCTCTACAAAAAAAATTTAAAAATTAGCGGGTCATGGTGGCACATCCCTATAGTCCCAGCCACTTAGGAGGCTGAGGCAGGAGAATCACTTGAGCCCAGGAGTTCAAGGTTACGGTGAGCTATGATTGCACCACTGCACTCCAGCATGGGTGACAAAGCAAAAGCCTATCTCTCGAAAAAAATTAAATAAAATAAAATAATGCAATTGTTATGAAAAACAGTATAGAGATTCCTCAAAAAATGAAAAGTAGAGCTACCAAATGATCCAGCATTCCTACTTCTGAGTACTTATCCAAAAAAATTTAAGTCAGGATCGCACAGAGATAGCTGCACTCCCATGTTCACTGCAGCATTATTTACAATAGCCTAGAGGTAGAAACAACCTAAATGTCCACCAACAGAAGAGCAAATAAAGAAAACGTCATGTATATCTATGAAAGTAAACATTATTCAGCCATAAAAAAAAGAAGGAAATCCTGTCATGTGCTACAATGTGGATGAACCTTAAGGACAGTGTGCTAAGGTAAGAAGACAGCCACAGGACAAATACTGTATGATTCTACTTATATAAAGTATCTAATGTAGTCAAACTCAGAAGCAAAAAGTAGAATGGTGGTTGTCAGAGGCTGCAGGAAGGGGAAAATGGGGAGTTGGTGTATAATGGATATAAAGTTCAGCTCATAGAAGATGAAAAAGATCAGGAGAAGATCTGCTAACATTGTACTTATAGTTGACAATATTGTACTGCTCACTTAAAATTTGCTAAGAAGGTAGATTTCATGTTAGGTGTTTTTTTTTACCACAGTAAAAAAGTTACTTAAAAATTGTTAATTTTGTTAAATCCTGAACCCTAAGAACATGTTGTTTTGGGGTTTTTTTGTTGTTGCTGGTTTTTTTTGTTTGTTTGTTTGTTTTGAGACAGAGTCTTGCTCTGTCTCCCAGGCTGGAGTGCAGTGGCACTATCTTGGCTCACTGCAGCCTCCACCTCTCAGGCTCAAACAATCCTCCTGCCTCAGCATCCTGAGTAGCTGGGATTACAGGTGTGCACGACCATGCCTGGCTAATTTTTGTATTTTAAGTAGAGATGGAGTTTCACCATGTTGGCCAGGCCAGTCTCGAACTCCTGACCACAAGTGATCTGCCCACCTCGGCCTCCCAAACTGCTGGAATTACAGGAATGAGCCACTGTGCCTGGGCAAGCATGTCTTTTTTTAAGAACACATCCTTTTGGCTCGCATGGTGGCTCACGCCTGTAATCCCAGCAGTTTGGGAGGCCGAGGAGGGCGGATCACTTGAGGTCAGGAGTTCAAGACCAGTCTGACCAAATGGTGAAACCCCATCTCTACTAAAAAATACAAAAATTAGCCAGGCGTGGTAGTGCATGCCTGTAGTCCCAGCTACTCGGGAGCCTGAGGCAGGAGAATCGCTTGGACTCAGGAGGCAGAGGTTGCAGTGAGCCGAGATCACACCACTACACTGCAGCCTAGGCGAGAGAGCAAGACTCTATCTCCAAAAAAAAAAAATTAAAATTAAAAAATAACACATCCTTTCAATAGCCTATATGATGAAATTTAAAAGGTTGCATAAATAATTTCTGCCACACACCCAAATACAACCACAGTATTTGTCTACAGGTAAAGCACTTGTGCGATTGTTTGAATTGCAAGCTGAACTAGCTTGTTTTTATGAAACACCATTTTTTACTTGAAAGAAAAGCAAACTATGGTTTTTAAGACATGGGTCTTTCACAGGCATTTTCTCAAAACTGAACCAAGTGAGCCTGTCACTTCAAGGAAAACAACAGAGTATTTGCTGCCGATGATACGCTTTTACACTGTTGGTGGGGGAGTAAATTAGTTCAACCATTGTGGAAGACAGTGTGGTGATTCCCCAAGGATCTAGAACCAGAAATACCATTTGACTCAGCAATCCCATTACTGGGTATATACCCAAAGGATTATAAATCATTCTACTATAAAGACACATGCACACGTATGTTCACTGCAGCACTATTCACAAGAGTAAAAACTTGGTACCAACCCAAATGCCCATCAATGATAGACTGGATAAAGAAAATGTGGCACATATATACCATGGAATACTATGCAACCATAAAAAAGGATGAGTTCATGTCCTTTGCAGGGACATGGATGAAGCTGGAAACCATCATTCTCAGCAAACTAACACAGGAACAAAAAAACCAAACACCACATGTTCTCACTCATAAGTGAGAGCTGAACAATGAGAACACATGGACACAGGGACAGGAACATCACACACTGGTGCCTGTTGGGGGTTGGGGAGCAAGGGGAGGGAGAGCATTAGGACACATACCTAATGCACGTGGGGCTTAAAACTTAGATGACAGGTTGATAGGTGCAGCAAACCACCATGGCAAATGTATGCCTATGTAACAAACCTGCACATTCTGCACATGTATCCCAGAACTTAAAATTAAAAAAAAATGACAGTTGTAACACATGCAGTGTAACCCAAAAAGGGCTCAAATACAGACTATATAAAGAACCCCTACAAATCAGTGAAAGAAACTCAAGCAACTCAATAACAAAAAAGGCAAAAGATATGACAGAGACCTTTCACAAAAAGAAATAAGAACTCCAGTACAGGCGTGGTGGCTCACGTCTGTAATCCCAGCACTTTGGGAGGCCAAGGCGGGCGGATCATCGGAGGTCCGGAGTTCAAGACCAGCCTGCCCAACATGGTGAAACCCTGTCTCTACTAAAAACACAAAAATTAGCCAGGTGTGGTGGCACACACCTGTAATCCCAGCTACTCAGGAGGCTGAGGCACAAGAATCGCTTGAACTCGGGAGGCAGAGGTTGCAGTGAGCCAAGATCACGCCACCACCGCACTCCAAACTAGGCGACAGAGCAAGACTCTGTCTCAAACAAACAAAAAAAAAGAAGTACTCCAAATGACCAATAACATATAAAAAGATGCTCATGGAAATATAAGCCACAGTAAAATTACATACATATTTACAAAAAATTTAAGTCTGACAATATCAAACATAGTGACAATGTGAAACAAGGTCAACTCATACACTGCTGGTGGGAGTGTACACTGAAATAGCCTGGCAATATCTAACAGAGCTAAAGTGTAACCTATAACCCAGAGATTCTACACCTAGTATATACTCCACAAAAACACATGCTTGTATACACCAAAACTGTTGTATAATAATGTTTCTATTGGCACTGTTAGTAATAGCCAAAAACTAGACGCAACAAAAATGTTTAACAAGACAGCATAAAAATAAACAAATACTGGTATACGATGGAGTATCTTGCAACTATGAAAATGAATGAACTAAAAAAAAAAGGAAAATCAATGAACTGCAAACATACAATATGGATGAATCTTAAAAGTCATAACTGTTGAACAAAAGCAGCCAGAAACAGTAGGATAAATATTCAATGATTTCATTTATATGAAGTTCAAGAAAAAAATTAAACATATTGGGTAATGACACTGCAAAGAAAATCAAGAAAGTTTCTTTGAGTTGAAGATGCAAGGTTAAAAAAAGAGAAAAATCAAGAGGAAAACCATAAATGTCAGGATAATGTTTACTACATGAGAGGTGGGAAAGGTTTGATCGGGAACAAACAGTATGTTGCCTTGACCTGGGTGTAAGTTACATGGGGGTGCATCTTACAGTGATTATTTTAAGCTCTATATTGAGGTTTCATGACTTCTCTGTATTTTCATTACATTTCACAATTTAGAAAAAAATTCTTCCATGTTGCACAAGGCTTTAAAGAGAGCCAATGAATTCATATAGAAGAGTTTCTTACTCTTTTATATCTAGTAATCCTTTTTCTAGTCAATGAAACAAATAATTTTAAGACTTACAGAACCTGCTTATATATCACATCTAAGGCTAAATAAGATGCCAGATTACAATCATCCACAGAGAGATTATCTACTTTGCAGATTATACATAACCTTGCAGCTCACCTCTGTGCCTTCTGATTATGTCAATACCCTATCATCAGGATGAGCAGGGTAAGGTTATTAAAAGTCAACAGAGTAAACTTTTGCTGGTCAACAATTCACTTCTAGGTTTCACAAATATGTTCAAAACCAAAAAATAAAAAGGCAATGGAAGCCGGGCACTGTAGCTCACACCTGTAGTCCCAGAACTCTGGGAGGCTAAGGTGGGTGGATCAGTTGAGGTCAAGAGTTTGAGACCAGCCTGGCCAACATGATGAAACCTCGTCTCCACTAAAAATACAAAAATTAGCTGGACGCAGTGGTGCGCACCTGTAATCCCAGCTACTCTACAGGCTGAGGCAGGAGAATCGCATGAACCCAGGAGGCAGAGGTTGCAGTGAGCCAAGACTGCATCACCGCACTCCAACCTGGGCAACAGAGCGAGACTCTGTCTCAGAAAAAATAAAAATAAAAAATAAGGGCAATGGAGAGCATCTACTAAATTAAATATTTAGTTTGAAAATGTCAGGCCAGGCATAGTAGCTCACGTCTGTAATCCCAGCACTTTGGGAGGCCAAGGTGGGTGAATCACTTGAGCTCAGGAGTTCGAGACCAGCCTGGTAATATCACCTGAGCTCAGGAGTTCAAGACCAGCCTCGTAACGTGGTGAAACCCTGTCTCTACCAAAAACACAAACAATTAGCAGAGCATGGTAGCACGCGCCTGTGGGCCCAGCTACTCAGGAGGCTGAGGTGGGAGGATCGCCAGAGCCCAGGAAGTTGAGACTGCAGTGAGCCAAGATCACACCAGTGAGCCATGATCGCACCACTGCACTCCAGCCTGCACTCCAGGGTGACAGAGCAAGATCCCATCTCAAAAACAAAAACAAAGAAAGAAAATGTCATTTAGCTATTAAACATTTCTCACTAAAAAAATTATTCTGAGAGTACCTTACAAATGGTAAGCTGGTTTAAGTTTGATCCCAAGTACTTTCAACTACTTCCCTGGAGAACTAGACAGGCCTTCTAATGGGTTGAGAAGAGAACAGTGGTTGGTTAAGAACACTGGTTAAAGTTGGATATGCTGGCTCATGCCTGTAATCCCAACACTTTGGGAGGCCGAAGTGGGAGGATCACTTGAGCACAGGAGTACAAGACCAGCCTAGCCAGCCTAGCCAACAAGTGAGACCCCATCTCTACAAAAAAAAAAAAAAAATAGAAAAAAAAAGTAGCCAAGTGTGGTGGCACATGCCTATAATCCCAGCTACTTGGGAGGTTGAGCTGGGAGGATCACTTGAGCCTGCAGGTCGAGGCTGCAGTGAGTGGTGATCGTAGTACCACTGCACTCCAGCCTGGGCAGCCTGGGGAACAGAGTGAGACCCTATCTCAAAAAAAAAAAAAAAAAAAAAACCACGATTAAGCTTCTAATTTCACAAAATACGTTAAACCTAACATAAGTTTATCTGGAATATAAAACAAAATCAATCTTCCTTCCACCAGGCAACACAGAAATAACATCTGCTTCAGACTAGCATCAGAAGATATAACCTAAAAATGCCATCTAGGTCTTTTGTGGAGAGGAGATATATAAGTATATCAAGGTTGCTTCAATATTTACTATGAAGTATTAAAACAATTCCCTCTTTGGGTTCTCATTTCCCTTATAGGGTCAATTCTCTTTAGAATATAATAGCAGGGGCCAGGCACCGTGGCTCACACCTATAATCCCAGCACTTTTAAGAGGCCGAGGAGGGCAGATTACTTGAGGTCAAGAGTTTGAGACTAGCCTAGCCAATATGGTGAAACCCCGTCTCTACTAAAACTACAAAAATTAGCCGGGCTTGGTGGCCAATGCCTGTAATCCCAGCTACTCAGGAAGCTGAGGCAGGAGAATCACCTGAACCCAGGAAGCGGAGGTTGTAGTGGGTCGAGATCGCACCACTGCACTCCAGCCTGGGCGACAGAGTGAGACTCTGTCTCAAAAAAAATAATAATAATAATAGCAGGAAGCACCATGTCTTTGAAAGAAGAATTTAACAGAATAAAGTAACTCATCTTTCCCTTTGTACTCGGGCTACTAAAATGCAATTTCAAATATTCCTTCATATAGAAAAAGAGAAAAAAGAAAAAGAGGAAAGGAAAAGGAAAGGATGAGAAAGAAAGAGAAATAAAATAATTGTTTAAAATTCCTCCTTATTCACTTGAGCCCAGGAGGTCAAGGCTGCAGTGAGCCAAGATCGTGCCACTGCACTCCAGCCTGGGCAACAGAGTGAGACCCTGTCTCAAAAAAAAAAAAAAAAAACTTCTCCTTATAACAATGCACTTGCTTCCTCACATTTTCAATAGTTTCATTTCTATTTAACAATCTTAATGCATGTCTTTTGCAAAAAGCCTTCCAATGGTTGCGGGGAAGAGGTTGCATCAGTGTTGCAAACTCCTACCTAGACTAATGGTACAGTCATCATTACATAACTTTAAGAAATAATTGAAATATAATTCTATATTGTCAGTCACCAGGCTACAAACATGTTCATTAGGACACAGATGACAATGTCATCATGAACTATTAGTTAGAATCTCAAAGATTTGCTCAAGTTGCATATGGAACCATTGAAAGGTTATTACAATAAGGCAATTTGTTTGCATAATAGATACTTACATTTCCCTAGTATAAAAGAGGTATTCCTTTGGCTGGGCGTAGTGGCTCATGCCTGTAATCCCAGCACTTTGGGAGGCTGAGGGGGGAGGATCACTTGAAGCCAGGAGTTTATGACCAGCCTGGGCAATATAGCAAAACCCCATCCCTACTCATACACCCGCACAAAAAAATGTTTTTAATTAGCCAGGCATGGTGGCATGCACCTGTAGCCCTAGCAATTCAGGAGGCTGAGGCAGGAAAATCCCTTGAGCCTGGTGGGGTCAAGCCTGCAGTGAGCCGTGATCGCCTGCACTCCAGCCTAGGTGACAAAGCAAGACCCTGTCTCAAAAAAAACTTAGTTAAAAATAAATTTTTTAATAAAAAAAAAACAGGTATTCCTTAGTTATAACAAGAAACTAAAAACAAACACTGAGATTTTTCCCCAACAAGTAGATGTATCTGTGCTCTTCTCCCTAAGTAATTCACTAATAGAAGTCCACCAAGGATTCTTAAAGAAACTGTTTCTGAACATTACATTTGTCTTACTATACACCTGCCTAATGGTTTTAGGTCACTAACCTAAATTATAGGGAGAGGAAAAAACAAAACTACCTCTAATAGTTGCCCACTTTAATATCGCTTAAAAATAATCAAATTTTCTGTCTCAGTCCAAATTGAAATTATTTTAATCCCTTAATAACTTTCAAATACTTGAGTTTACCATTTTTCCACTTTTTAATTTAATTTTTTAAAAATAAAAATAGAGATAGGTTCTCGCTATGTCGCCCAGAGCTCTCCTGGGCTCAGGCAATCCTTCCTCCTGCCTCAGTTGCCCAAGTAGCTGGGATTACAGGTGTGTGCCACAGTGCACACCACCTTACATGCCACCACGCCAGGCATTCATTTTTTCTACTTTTAAAATAGTTTAGTGCTATTATGGAGATGCTGTCTCAGGTCCCTGAGAATGAGGACAGAATCTACTTTCTGTCAAAAGATGTATGGAAAACTGAATAAAATGTCTGAAGTTCCTTCAAGGACTTAAAAGGTATTTTGTGAATACTTCTTAACATGAGTATACGGCTTTTCATCTTACTTGTTCCCATTTTCCAGTAAAAAGGAAACAGAGTCACAAGCTTAAACTACTTGATTATGCTCACATCTCAAATGTGGCTTTCATATATAGAAGGCTGATGTTCATTTACGCTTCACTTAATTCTTTAAAACAAGACAACAAAAAGGTTAAATGTAGTTAAATAAAGTGCTACCTCTATTATCATTTGTAGAACAGAAACATAACCCACAAAAATGAATACTGGGACAACACAGTTTTATCTTGTAGAAACATGCATTTAAAAGAAAAGGAAACAGGAAATGTTAAAAAAAAAAAAGACAACAGGAGTTGCCGCACTTACAGTAGGAAAAAAGCACAAGTATATTGACAGCACTCACCCTACCTAAACGTTAGAGCATTACAGAATAATTTTTTTTAACAAACAAAGTAGTAGCCTATACAACCTCCTGACATTGCTTCAACATTTTGTGAAGAATGTTTCTCTTCCCAGGAAAACAGACTAAGACTTATACTTAGCTTATGAATACAGGTCGAAATGGGAAATTAAATGCTAAATGAAAACTGAGACATCAAGAAAAGGTTTCAGATAAAGCTTTGGCTGAATTTGGAGCAACTTTGCGAGGAAAAAAGACTCAACCACCAAGACTAAAATTTCTTAGAATGATTATATCCCTTTACCTGGAATCCTCCAAGAAATTCAGATCAGATGGCATGTTCTGAACAACCAAATATACTTAAATAAGTTCTAGAATGTCTAAAATCATGTAGTAGCAGAAGAAGAAAAAGAACAACAATCAAAACATTTGGCAATTAAATTTTAAAACTTTATTGTAACTACCATTAATAAGGTAAGACCTAACAAAACTTTCTAATTGATACCTAAATAAGCTATTCAAACAAACAGATGATATTCAACAAACGTAAGTATTTCAAAATTAGACTAAGTATTAACATGAGGCTAGCATCTTCAGATTAAGAGCTTCGAATATCAATTCTCCATTAAGGTTGCCTGTAACAAAGAAATGCTGAGTTCACTGTGTTAATGATTTCTACCAAAAACAGAATTCTACACTGGATCTACCAGTACATGCAAGTTTATTAGCTTCATCATGGCAAGTTCTACGTCAATATAAAATAATCAAGAAACTAAAACTAATTCCAAAATTAAGTGATTAAATACATATCTTTCAGAATTTGGAAGAGTTTGCATTTAGATATAAGTATTATTGGAAATTACAATTACATTTTGGTAGTCCTCCTTTGCCCTTCTGATCCCTCTTTAAGATCACTTTAAAGGTCACTCTTTAAGAGTTCTATAATTTAGCATTAAAAACATAATTGGTATCTCTGGAAACATAATGGGATATCTAGATATGTGATGGATGGACCATTCAGATAGGCAAAATACAGTTTTACTTTTCTCTCTAATTACCTAATAAAACATTCTTCAAAGTCAAGACCTTCCATTTAATAGACAGTTGTTTTTCATGGCGTACAGTTAAGAATTTGCCCTATCTGAAAGTTATAAAATGCCCCATACATCTCTTATGTTGCTTTCAACACTAGCTGACTACCACCCCCAGAAAAGATTTATGCTGGTAAGAAGTGACAGACAAGAAATGAATTAACAACCTCATGAAATATATCACATTATTTTTAAAAAGATAATTTTCAGTCAAGTTAAAGCTTATCTGCTAATTTATCTTGTTAAAAAGGAAAAATTCACCCAAGGTATAATTTTAAATATTGGTCATATTCTAAACGCCAAATCTATAGCTTCACTAATAATGTGGTGGCACACTACCTTCATTTTTAACATTTCCAGTTGCTGTTTTATATTTCAGAAGCTGTTTTCAGACAAAGGAAAAAGGTTTTTTGTAATATATTTGCACCACCACGTATTCTGCCTAGTAATATGAAAATGCTAACACCTATCTTTAGGAAGACACAAAAACTCCAAAGACATGCTATATGCAACAAAGTTTCATAGAGGGAAAACAGGTCAAATAAACTGAAACTAAGTACTGGATGGTGATGTGTTTAACTATTTAAAATAGCTTATTATGTTACACAATTTTAAATTCTCTTCCTGTAACAGAATGCAATCATAAAACTGACTATACTGATTTGGATCTACTATAATTCAATCCACATTCCACAAGTCATGCAATAACTACATACACGTAAGTTCTAATAACAGGTTTTTTTGCTGTTGTTTTTGGTTTGTTTTTGTTTGGGTTTTTGTTTTTTTTTTTTTTTTAAAGAGTTTCGCTCTTGTTACCCATGCTGGAGTGCAACAGCGCGATCTCCGCTCACCGCAACTTCCGCCTCCCAGATTCAAGCGATTCTCCCGCCTCAGCCTCCTGAGTAGCTGGGATTACAGGCATGTGCCACCACGCTCGGCAAATTTTGTACTTTTAGTAGAGATGGGGTTTCTCCATGTTGGTCAGGCTTGTCTGGAACTCCTGACCTCAGGTGATCCACCCGCCTCGGCCTCCCAATTTGCTGGGATTACAGGCGTGAGCCACCACGCTCGGCTTCTAATAACAGTTTTTAAGCAGCTCTTCAAACATAAGAACTATGACAGATAGCATGTATTATGTAAATATACATAATGTGAACCTAAAATTCCATTTTATCTAAGTATTTCGATCTCCTACATCACTTTTTCTCAAACCATTACCAGTCAGAAGCCAAGCAGAATTTCACCTTATAGCCCTAATACCACTCATGCTAAGGTGGCAGCAATAATAGTAAAACTGTTGGGAGGCCGAGGTGGGCGGATCACCAGGTCAGGAGATGGAGACCATCCTGGATAACACGGTGAAACTCCGTGTCTAGTAAAAATACAAAAAATTAGCCGGGCGTGGTAGCACGCGCCTGTAGTCCCAGCTACTCAGGAGGCTGAGACAGGAGAATCGCTTGAACGTGGGAGGCGGAGGTTACGGTGAGCCGAGATCGCGCCACTGCACTCCAGCCTGGGCGACAGAGCGAGACTCCGTCTCAAGGGGGAAAAAAAAAAGTAAAACTGTCAAAAAACAGTAGCTGAAAGGAGGAAGCTGAGCAATCTACAAACATAACAGCCCCTAAATAAATGAGCTGGCTTTGAAAGTAAACAAAACAATGAACTGCTTTTATCAGTTTTGGGGGATTACCCTAATATCGATGAAGATGATGGTCTGGCTGGGTAACTTCCCATCTTGCCTTCCCCAAACTTGATGGCTATTTGTCAACTAGCTATCAAACTTGACAGCTATTTGTTAACTAGCACATACGAGGATTTGTAAAATGTTCATTATAGTTAAAAACGAAGATTTATCAAATAGCCTTCTCTGACAATTAATAAACCAATAAGCATTCTAAGCATAGGCTGGGGGGGCGGGGCATGTGTTAAACCAAAAGAAATATGAGACATAGTCCCTATATTTCAAAGGCCTCCCAATTCATTACAGTGCAAGAATAAACACACATGAATAAGTCAGAGACCAATTAATTGCTAACCTGAGTGGTACAGACTTTAAGTGCATGAGCTGTCCTGAGAAGTTTAAATATCTAAAGGTTGGAATAATATTACTTTTAATAGCTATCACTTGAGCACTTACTATAAGCCAAGTGCTTTACAGGCATTATTTAGTCTTCACAACAATCCTTTGAGTAGAGTACTTATTATTCCCAATTTACTCAAGGGGAAACAGTCCAAGTGGTTAAGGAACTTACCCAAGGTCACTCAGCTACTTAAGTGGCTAAGACAGCCGCTTATTTAGGGAATTCTAGAGCTCACACTGTTAAGACTTCATACAGCAGTGCGGGGGGTGCGGGGGAGGAAGCCACATAGGCTGGCACTATTACAAGCGCGGGATCCGGCAACGCGTTCCTCGTGTTTCGTTCCAAGTAACGAAGTTACAAAGATTTGAATCTTTAGCATGAGCCACGGTAAACTGGCTACTAGAAATGGAGAGGGGTGGGCAAGGACGACAAAAATGGCTAACGAGGGTTAATTTCATCCAGGGTTGAGCTTTAGCATCTAAAAGCGACCCAGAGAAGGAAATGAGATGTTATTAATATTTGTTCTTATATCTGAGGTTTGCTTTGCTGCTTAAACGACTCCTTCCAGGGGAAGGGGAGGAGGGAGCGCTCTAACGTGGGGGCGAGAAGACTAGGGGTATGGCAAATTACTGTTTTCGGTGTTACGGGGGAAAGTTTCACGACTAAAGGAAACGCGTTATCCTAGGTACTGGAGAAGCTTGGAGAGCTGCCAGAATTAGTTGCAGTCCCAGGATAAAATGGGGTTTAGGGAACATTTAATGACGAAAGTTGAATCCAACCCGAAATAGCTCTAAGGTGAAAAGACGGAGCAAAGAAATGTCGGTGGTTCTTCAGGGAAAGCGGCAATCCCTGCCACACTTCCCCACGGCGCTACGCGAGGCCGGGACAGTCGAGAGACCGCTCCCCGGGAGGGCGAGAGGTGCCAAACCGGGTTCTTCGCGGCGCCCCGGGCTTCGCGGCAGCGGGCGAAGAGGAGGGGAGGGGAATCCGGGACGGTTCGCCCTCCTTGGACTTCAGGCAGAGGAGGCGCCAAGCTCCAAACTGCGGAGTCCAACGGGTGCAGAGTGAAGAAATGGCACAGAGAGAGATGGAAAGTCCGAATTGCCCCGGCTCAGCCCCATAAAGATAAAGGAGCCAAGTGAGATCAAGCGAAGAGGGGGACACAAAAAGAGACCAAGAGGGAGCGCGGAGACCTGCAGGGGCGGAATAAGAGTTCTACTAAGAGGCTAAAGGAAGCCGAGCTACCGCAGGCAGTAGCGATTTCTGGGAGGCCAGGGAAGGAAGGAGGTCCGCGGCGGTAAACAGCACCTCTCCCCGAGTTCGAAACTCCTAGACGACCATCCACGCCCGCCGCCCGGGTGGGGGAGGGGGTACATCTTTCCCCCTCAACCTCCCACTACAGGTGAGAGTGCAGCTGACGCCCTGGCCCGGCCCGGCAGTGCGCCTGCCTCCGGCCCGAACACTCACAATTCGCCTCTCCCTGATTTCTCCCAGTTCTTTATCCACTCTGCGGGAACCACCACAGCCGCGGCCGCCATCTTCCTCTCACTAGTAGCAGAAGCCCGGATGTGTAGCACGCGAGCGAAGGGTCAAAGGGGAGCACCGCCCACGAGGAATGCCGGGAGCTGAGAGTTCGTTTTTCGATTTCCCGCCCCACTTTCCTCTCCACCCAGCGGAAACCCGAGGCAAGGCAGCCAACGACGTGGAGACTCGCGGGCCCCTTTGCGAGGTTACTACACGGGTTGCGCCCTCCGAAGTCTTCGGCCTTACTTCCCATTAGAACAGAGAAATGCCATCCACAGGCCAACAAGTAGACTTCATCTTCTTCCGTAATATCTACCCCTAACCACTAATACAAACACGCATTTTTCAAGCACCTAATATGTGCTAGACACTGGGAATAGAGAAATAATAGTCTTTGGGAAAGCCATAAATATAAGCAAATAAATTACATTACGCCCTGCTGACTGCTGAGATAAAAGAAAATAATCGGGTCCCTCTCCTTCTCCCTCTCCCTCTCCCGTCTCCCTCTCCCGTCTCCCTCTCCCCACGGTCTCCCTCTCCCTCTCTTTCCACAGTCTCCCTCTGATGCCGAGCCAAAGCTGGACTGTACTGCCATCTCGGCTCACTGCAACCTCCCTGCCTGATTCTCCTGCCTCAGCCTGCCGAGTGCCTGCGATTGCAGGTGCGCGCCGCCACGCCTGACTGTTTTTCGTATTTTTTTGGTGGAGACGGGGTTTCGCTGTGTTGGCCGGGCTGGTCTCCAGCTCCTAACCGCGAGTGATCCGCCAGCCTCGGCCTCCCGAGGTGCCGGGATTGCAGACGGAGTCTCGTTCACTCAGTGCTCAATGGTGCCCAGGCTGGGGTGCAGTGGCGTGATCTCGGCTCGCTGCAACCTCCACCTCCCAGCCGCCTGCCTTGGCCTCCCAAAGTGCCGAGATTGCAGCCTTTGCCCGGCCGCCACCCCGTCTGGGAAGTGAGGAGCCTCTCTGCCTGGCCGCCCATCGTCTGGGATGTGAGGAGCCCCTCTGCCTGGCTGCCCAGTCTGGAAAGTGAGGAGCGTCTCTGCCCGGCCGCCATCCTGTCTAGGAAGTGAGGAGCGTCTCTGCCCGGCTGCCCATCGTCTGGGATGAAGTGAGGAGCGTCTCTGCCTGGCCGCCCATCGTCTGAGATGTGGGGAGTGCCTCTGCCCCGCCGCCCCGTCTGGGATGTGAGGAGCGCCTCTGCCCGGCCGCGACCCCGTCTGGGAGGTGAAGAGCGTCTCTGCCCGGCCGCCCCGTCTGAGAAGTGAGGAGACCCTCCGCCCGGCAGCCGCCCCGTCTGAGAGGTGAAGAGCGTCTCCGCCCGGCCGGCCGCCCCGTCCGGGAGGGAGGTGGGGGGGTCGGCCCCCCGCCCGGCCGGCCGCCCCGTCCGGGAGGTGACGGGCGCCTCTGCCCGGCCGCCGCTACTGGGAAGTGAGGAGCCCCTCTGCCCGGCCACCACCCGGTCTGGGAGGTGTACCCAACAGCTCATTGAGAACGGGCCATGATGACAATGGCGGTTTTGTGGAATAGAAAAGGGGGAAAGGTGGGGAAAAGATTGAGAAATCGGATGGTTGCTGTGTCTGTGTAGAAAGAGGTAGACATGGGAGACTTTTCATTTTGTTCTGTACTAAGAAAAATTCTTCTGCCTTGGGATCCTGTTGATCTATGACCTTACCCCCAACCCTGCGCTCTCTGAAACATGTGCTGTGTCCACTCAGGGTTAAATGGATTAAGGGCGGTGCAAGATGGGCTTTGTTAAACAGATGCTTGAAGGCGGCAGGCTCGTTAAGAGTCATTACCACTCCCTAGTCTCAAGTACCCAGGGACACAAACACTGCAGAAGGCCGCAGGGTCCTCTGCCTAGGAAAACCAGAGATCTTTGTTCACTTGTTTATCTGCTGACCTTCCCTCCACTATTGTCCTATGACCCTGCCAAATCCCCCTCTGCGAGAAACACCCAAGAATGATCAATAAAAAAAAAAAAAAAAGTCAACAGAAAAAAAAAAAAAAAAAAGGAAGGAAAACTTTCCAGAAGAGAGATGTGTCTAGCACAAGAGAAGAGGAATAGTCCTGAGCCTGGAGGATTATTTTGCAGGAATCTCACAGGGCAGTTCCTAATGCAGGAGAATTAAAATAGGCTTTTCCTGGTGTATTTCTTGCAAACATTTTGGGCCAAGTGGCCTTCCCACACCCTCACATGAGCCTGCTTCCCTCCCACTCCTCTGTCATCAGGGCATTTCTGTTTAGGAACAGCAGGTCTAATATTGACTTAAATAAAGCAGACTTGACAGAAAAAAAAAAAAAAAGAAAGAAAGAAAATGTGGCACATATACACCATGGAATACTATGCAGCCATAAAAAATGATGAGTTCATGTCCTCTGTAGGGACATGGATGAAGCTGGAAACCATCATTCTCAGCAAACTATCACAAGGACAAAAAACCAAACACCTCATGTTCTCATTCATAGGTGGGAATTGAACAATGAGAACACTTGGACACAGGAAGGGGAACATCACACACCGGGGTCTGTTGTGGGGTGGGGGGCGATAGCATTAGGATATATACCTAATGTAAATGACGAGTTAATGGGTGCAACACACCAACATGGCCCATGTATACATATGTAACAAACCTGCACGTTGTGCACGTGTACCCTATAACTTAAAGTATAATAAAAAAATTAAAAAAAAAAAAAACACACGTTTGGCAGAAAATACAGACAATCCAAATGAAGAAATCCTACCCCACATATGAACTTTAGAGCTAGTATCTTCTAAATATGGCAAGTTTTGTCAAATGAACCAGGTTCATTTGCATTGAAAAACTATTTAAGTTATGTGCTGTATTCAGAACTGGTTCTGGGAAAATGCTCCATTGTTTATGATTGTTTTTCACCAGCTGTATCTAGTCTTCTAGTGTCCTGTCTCACTTTGAAATTCTAAAGCCACCCACTAGAAAATATCCACCTATTAACTTCAGTGATTTCTGCTTGTAAAAACCTTCTGCCGTTTTGAGGAGGATCAAATATAGAAGTGCCCTCTAATCTTTTCATGTTTCCTTATTATGGACAATTTAAAATGTATACAAAGCAAACAGAATGATACAGTGAATCTTCATGTACCATCATCCTTCCTGGAAAACTTTGAAGTCATTATTACAAGACGGCTTCTGTGATACAAGAAGCACTATCTTGCTACTTATGTATACTTCTCTGTGTAGTCTACAGCAAGGACTTTCAACCTGGGTCAGATAATTTTTTGTGGGGATAGGGGGGATGGGGGCCAGGGGGCAGGGGTCCTCTGCATTGTAGAATGTTTAGCAACATCTCTGGCCTTGACTCACTAGATGTCAGTAGCAGCCCCCATACACACACACACACACACACACACACACACACCCACACCAGTTATTACAACCGTTTCCAGACATTGCTAAATGTCTCCTGGAGGGCAAAACAGTCCCCTTTTGAGAACCACTGAGCTACAGTATTCTCCTGTACTGTGGCTTACCTTGCCACGTATCACAGTGATTTCTTCTTCCAAACATTGAACTGTGCAGTATGCATAGTAATCAGTATGTCACACTTGTGGTATGACCTGAGTGCAATGATGCCCTTTGAGGCCTGGTTTTCCCTTCTTCCAGAAACTGCAGAACTATTTTTACATGGTATGATGACTCCTTTAGGAATTACTCAGAGCTAATTGGCTTTTTGATCTATAAGATTGCAAAGCTATTAAATCTTCTGCATCCTTGTTGTTGGCTTGCCTGCTCTTTGCTATCAGCATCTGGTATTATCTCAGCAGCTGGGGGGATTTTTCCCTGGTGATCTCACAAGCTCATGGATACCAATGTGCTATTCAGGGACTGAGGTCTGTGGTGGAGGCCAGGGATTGGGTAGTTTCAATGTTGACAGTCTGATGCATGGAATGATAGGTTGATTTTAGGTTACTGTAAGGTCAAGCAATCTTATAACTTACCATCTCAGTGAAGACAAATAATGGGACCAAAAAGGAAGCACATAAAAGCAAAACAAGACAAAATAACAAAATAATTAAAGAATGAATGCAAAGGGTTTTTTGAGATTTAAAATGAAGAAAAGTTCTTTAGAATAAGCTACTTGATAACTTCTGCATTTTATGCTAAGGCTGTTTATGCCAAACCAATCTACTTGTCTCCTTCCTGTCTACAGTGCTCCTTTGGTAAAAACAAGATCTTTTCTTTTTCTTTTTCTTTTTCTTTTTCTTTTTCTTTTTCTTTTTCTTTTTCTTTTTCTTTTTCCTCCCACTTCAGCCTCCCAAACAGCTGGGACTAAAGGCACTCACCACCACACCCGGCTAATTTTTGTATTTTTTGTAGAGGCAGCCCAGACTGGTCTCAAACTCCTGAGCTAAAACGATCTGCCCACCTCGGGCTCCCAAAGTGCTGGGATTACAGGCGTGAGTCACTGTGCCCCACTGAAATCTAGCTATTTTTAAGGGACATCCCTAAAACACAGGGACACAAGAAGTTTGAAAGTGAAATGATGGGGCAAATACACCAGCCAAATACTAATATCAACAAAAATTAAGCTGTTGTAACTTAATTTCTTTTGTCTTTTAATTTCTTCTTGATATTAAGGTAAATATCAGATAAAATAGACTTTAAAAGAAAAATAAGTCCGGGTGCGGTGGCTCGTGCCTGTAATCCCAGCACTTTGGGAGGCCGAGGAGGGCAGATCACGAGGTCAGGAGATCGAGACCATCCTGGCTAACTCGGTGAAACCCCGTCTCTACTAAAAATACAAAAAATTAGCCGGGCGTGGTGGCGGGTGCCTGTAGTCCCAGCTACTCGGGAGGCTGAGGCAGGAGAATGGCGTGAACCCGGGAGGCGGAGCTTGCAGTGAGCCAAGATCGCGCCACTGCACTCCAGCCTGGGCAACGGAGCAAGACTCCGTCTCAAAAGAAAAAAAAGACAAAGCCAGGCACGGTGGCTCACGCCTGTAATCCCAGCACTTTGGGAGGCCAAGGAGGGTGGATCACATGAGGTCAGGAGTTTGAGACAAGCCTGACCAACACGGTGAAACTCCATCTCTACTAAAAATACAAAATTAGCCGTGCATGGTGGTGCATCTCTGTAATCCCAGCTACTTGAAAGGCTGAGGCAGGAGAATCGCTTGAACTGGGGAGGCGGAGGTTGCAGTGAGCAGAGATGGCAACATTGTTCTCCAGCCTGGGCAACGAGTGAGACTCTGTCTCAAAAATAAAGAAAATAAAAGAAACATAATTACTATGTTTAAGGAGGGTTACTATGTATTCATAAAAGTTTCAATTGACTGAGAAAATATAGCAATCCTAGTCTTGAATGTACTCAATTACAGTTTTGAAACATGTGAAGCAAAAATTAACAGAACTACGAGAACAAATTGACAAATTCACCACCACAGACAGGGTCTTTAGTTCATGTCTCTCAGAAATTGACAGATGAAGCAGACAAAATAATCAGTGATGATGTAGAAAATTTGAACAAATGAATATGCTTGATCTGGTAGCTATACATAGAACACTGTACCTAGCAACTGGAAAATAAACATCCTTTATAAGAACACATGAACAGAAGTAGAGGGAGGGAGTGAAGAAAAGAAAAAAAAAAAAGAAGAAGCAGGGCCGTGTTCACAGATCAAAGGGACCTAGCCAAAGGGAAAAGTGGGGGCCAAACTCCATGCCATGCTCCACTTGCCAAACCACACGTTCAAGTGTGGTACTGCATTTAGCTGGAAGATAGAGCATATTTTCCTAATTCACACAAAGGCAATGTGTCATCTAGTGGTGGTCCAGCACATCGAACGTGTATAAAAATTAACCATATACTAGCTTTAAAAAAAAACAAATGTCGGCCAGCCGCGATGGCTCATGCCTATAATCCCAACACTTTGGGAAGCCGAGGCTGGCGGATCACTTGAGGTCAGGAGTTTGAGACCAGCCTGGCCAACATGGTGAAACCACTTCTCTACCAAAAAAAAAAAAAAAAAAAAAAAAAAAATTAGCCAGGTGTGGTGGCACAAGCCTGTAATCCCAGCTACTCGGGAGGCTGAGGCAGGAGAATCACTTGAACCTGGGAGGTGGAGGTTGCAGTGAGCCGAGATTGCACCACTGCACTCCAGCCTGAGTGACAGAGTGAGACTCTGTCTCAAAGAAAAAATAAAAATATAAAATAAGTAAACAAGTTTCAAAGAATCAATCTTAACCAGTTCACATTTTCTGACCACAATGCAATTAAATTGTAAATCAATAACAAAAAGATAAAGAAAGAAAATTATAAAAAAGAAAATGATCATACTTTGAAATAAATCACAGGTCAAAGAAAAAGTCAAAAAAGATAAAATACTTAGTACCAAATAATAACAAAAATATTACATATCACAACTAATGACAGAAATTATGGGTTGCAGCTAAAGTGATATTTTAAAAAATATGCCCTTACACCTTTGTATTATTAAAGAAAAAAAGGTTGAAAATTCAAAAGCTAAGCATCCAATAACAGAGTAAACAGAGTAAATGAAAATAGAAATAAAGAAACTTTAAAATAGCAAACATTCATACAATTCCAGAATAAGCAGGGTTTTTTGTGGTTGTTTGTTTGTTTTTGAGACAGAGTCTCGCTCTGTCACCCAGGCTGAAGTGCAATGGTGCAATCTTGGCTCACTGCAACCTTTGTCTCTTGAGTTCAAATGATTCTCATGCCTCAGTCTCCGGAGTAGCTGGGATAATTTTCTTGTATTTTTAGTAGAGACAGGTTTTTCTCTATGTTGGCCGGCTGGTCTCTAACTCCTGGCCTCAAGTGGATCCACCTGCCTTGGCCTGCCAAAGTGCTGGGATTATAGGCTTGAGCCACTGTGCCTGGCTGAGAATAAGCAGGTATCTTTAAAAAATTAATGAAAAAGAAAATATCCATTATAAAGGATCAATAAAACCAAAACTTGGCTGGTTGAAAAGTCTAATAAAATTGACAATCTTCTGGCAAGACTGATCATAAAAAGGAAGAGAGAAGCTACATATAAACCAGTACTAGGAATTATATCATTGGGTTCATGACAGGAAGCAGATGACATACTTAAAAGGAATAATTAAAGAGAGTTTAATGAAACAACCATGCACAAGGATGTGGGCAGGATTAAGGGAAACCTACAACAGGTGGTGAAGCACCTCTGGGATAGCAACACGAGAAAACATTAGCACTCCTAAGCCTCTAGGGGCAAGGGGAGGGAGTCCTTACCAAAAACTAGTGAGAGCTGTAGCAGTAGCTATAAGGAAAGCAACACCCAAAGGGAACTGTGGGTTTCTGTGGAGAAATATAGTCACTGCCAATTCATATCCCAGCAGGGAGGGAGTCTGAAAAATACCCCAATCTTTCTCTCCTTCACCATCTGATCTCCTGCTGATACCTCCCATGGGCTAAAGGCTAGAAGAAGTCACAATGCAAAAAATGCTGGTGAATGCAGTTTATATGGGTCAGGGGACAGAGCAGGCTGGAGAAAGGTTAAAAGTGGATCTTGAAAGGGAAAACAGAATTTCCAGTACTGCCCATTCCTTTTGTCCCCTCTACATCCACTCTTGCTTTTTGTCTGGATGAAAAACTCATGTCCTCAAAACAGAATGTTCAAAGTCCTATCAGCTACTGTATCATTACAGGATGATGTTGATTCATTCATATATATGCCCACATGAAATCTAAAATATTAGCCAACACCAGTGGTTTTTACACAAAGTAGAAGAGAAGGAGGAGCTATTAACATAAACATAGTTGCTACAGTCCCCGCTTCTAAAACGGGAAGCAAGCCTTCAGTTGATAATCATACCTCTTTTTTCTATCATTCACTCCATGTTTCCCTTATCCTCTTCCAGCATCTCAGCAGGCCGGGATACATTACCTGATAAAGTTCCTGAAACCTTTATCGCCACTGAATCTGGGTCCTTATAATCTTGCCTTGATTGAATTACCAGTTTTCATTGACCAATACTATTGAGCAAGAGAGTGATAAGAGGAAGCCCACTGAAAGTCGGTGGGTTCTAGACACAGTCCTTCTTGCCTTCATTGTGTAGTAGTCAGAATAGACCACCCTGCTCAGTACAGTGACTCCTTATTTGCCCCCTGTTCATCATGCTGCTGTTCGAAGATTGAGGAGCATAAAATGGCCAGAGAGCAGGGTGTCAGCTTCTCAAATGTCAGAATCCTGTCATATTCCCTGGTGGAAGCATTTCTCCTGCACTAGAACTTCCTAACCCACTGAGTCCAACATGTAGAAATGGAAAGCAAATATTTTTTCAGTGAGGGGGTCACTCCTACCTCTACCCCTTGAATCTTGGACCCATACACTATGGCAACAATGGAGAGAATATGATATATTGGCCTATGATGTAAAGCACATAGTAGGTTCAGTAGGACAGAATCCCAAACTTGCTGGGTGCTGCCACCCTGCTGGTGTCATTACTGAGCTTTCATCAGGAAATTTCACCATTCTGAGAAATAAAAATAAAATCCTGGCTGAGTGCGGTGGCTCACACCTGTAATACCAGCATTTTGGGAGGCCAAGGCAGGTGGATCACTTGAGGTTAGGAGTTAGATTCCAGCCTGATCAACATGATGAAACCCCATCTCTACAAAAATACAAAAATCAGCTGGGCATGGTGGCGGGCGCCTGTAATCTCAGCTACTTGGGAGGCTGAGGCAGGAGAATCACTTGAACCCAGGAGGCAGAGGTTGCAGTGAGCCGAGATCATGCCATTGCACTCCAGCCTGGGCCACAGAGCGAGACTCTGTCTCAAAAAAAAAAAAAAAAATTAAAAATTAAAAACATAATAAAATAAAATCCAGGCTGGGCGTGGTGCATCACGCATGTAATCCCAACACTTTGGGAGGCCAAGGCTGGCAAATCACGAGATCAGGAGTTCGAGACCAGCCTGACCAACATGGAGAAACACCGTCTCTACTAAAAATACAACAAAATTAGCCAGGCGTGGTGGCAGGCACCTGTAATCTCAGCTACTCGGGAGGCTGAGGCAGGAGAATCACTTGAACCCGGGAGGCAGAGGTTGCAGTGACCTGAGATTGCACCACTGCGCTATAGCCTGGGTGACAGTGTGAGACTCCGTCTCAAAAAATTAAATTAAATTAAATTAAATTCTATGCCCCCACCCACCACTGCAACCCACTAAACGGCCCCTCTCTTGGCTAAGTGGGCCCCAGAGAAACTTTCAAAACTTAGTTCCCAGCCATGATGGGATGGGAGATAGGACATGCCTCATTTTACCCCCTCTCTTGCTAACTGCCAATAAGCTTTCTTCCCTAAGAGTTAAACAGAAACCAGTGCTTTTGAAAGATTTGCTCCACCACTGATATCAACCAACCACCTGACACCTGATGGTGCCCCTCCCTTTTGTGGTTTGATACAACAACTGACTAGCATTTCTTCCTGATCAGAGGCCACTGATCATGGGGTAGTTCTGACTATTCTACAGAGGCTGCGCACAGAGGAATTTCATGTCCTCTGCTTCACCTTTTGATGTATAGAGCCTAATTGTAATACATCTAAATGTTAAGTCTCTATCCCAAAGTGAACATGGGACACCTGTTGCCTACATGTTAGCTTACTACACATGCCTGTGCCTCTCCTTCATGAATAGTCATAGCTCCTCTTATAACCTGTTGAATATGTATACTTAGCCAACCCTCTTAGCTTCAATTCTTGTTCCCTTTACTCCTCCCTTGATGTGTCCAGCCAGAGACTTTGCTTCCCAGCATGCAAGATTGCCAGCCTGCAGGTTGCAACCCCTTATGAGAAATAAAACTCTCAGCGGCCGGGCACGGTGGCTCACACCTGTAATCCCAGCACTTTGGGAGGCCGAGGTGGGTGGATTACCTGAGGTCAGGAGTTTGAGACCAGCCTGGCCAACATGGTGAAACCCTGTCTCTACTAAAAATACAAAAATTAGCTGGGTGTGGTGACACATGCCTGTAATCTACTCAGGAGGCTGAGGCAGGAGAATCGCTTGAACCCAGGAGGCGGAGGTTGCAGTGAGCTGAGATCGTGCCACTGTACTCCATCATGGGCAACAGAGTGAGACTCCATAAAAACTCTCCTTTCCAAATGTATAAACCTCATCATTTTTCAGTTGATGTGGTTCTTCAGTTGACATATCAAGACAGATGTTTTTGCATGATGGGACACAGGATAAGATCAATTAATTCCATGGAGATGAGCTTATCACATTTCCTTCATCCTAAAATGAGTTCCTTTGTTGGTGGCACTGTTCGGTGGGATGCCATGTTGATGAATAAGGCATTCTATGAGTCCACATGGTGGTGCTGGCAAAAACACTACAAGTATGAAAAGCAAATTTGTATTCAGACTATGTATCTATTCCTGTAAGGACATTTTGTGCCTTCTCCCATGATGAAAGGAGTCTAGTGTAACTAACCTCCCACCAGATGACTATCTGGTTCCCTGTGGAATGGAACCACACTGATGCTTTAGCCTTTGGTCTCTGCTGATAAGCAGATTGCCCATTAAACAGTGATGCTAGAGAGATCAGCTCCAGTGAGAAGAACCTGCTGTCGAGTCCACATATAGACCCCATTCCAGCTGCCATGACCATTTTGTTCAAGGGCCTACTGAGCAAACATTAAGGTAGCTGAAGGAAAAGGTTGGCTAACATCAACAAAATAGATCATCTCATCCACTTGATTGCTGAGAGTCTCCTCTACAAAGAATGCACTCTGGGGACAATTACGAGGAATACAAATACCTTCACACTCTGGCCTACTCTAAGAGGCCCATCCATGTATCTCTCTCCTAAGCCTCCTCATCACCAAATTCTTACCTTGTTTTTTTCACACTCTTCACTAGCCAGCCAACTTATTAGCCTCTGCCCATGAATCTGCATAGATCAGTATATGAGGACATTTCTCTTTCCTTCAATGTAAACAAACAGATGTAATATTTGGGAAGATTTTCCTATACCTCCATCTTTAGGGGCCATTCCTGAGTGGGGCTATAAGACAACTGCTGCCCACTTCCAGCAGCTGCAAGCCAACTATGCAAACACATCCATAGACCCACAGACCTACAGTTTCTTGCTTTGTTAAATGGTCATAGAGAGCTCTCTTTGAGGCCATATATATGGACTTATGGAGAAGTAGTGGCAAGTACCATGAGAGTCTGAGCCACTTCCTCGTTCAGTTTACTTTTACCTTCCCACTTTTCTAGGATCCAATATTATATGCAATTTCTATTTAACAATGGAATGCTGCCTGCATATGGCCATTTGATGATTGAATGGGTTGGATAACACTCAGTTAATGATGGACAGTTCAAGTCACATAATTTCTTCGTGTTCCATAGTCAGAAATACAGTCATGGCCAGGAATGGTGGCTCACGCCTGTAATCCCAACACTTTGAGATGCCAAGGCAGGAGGATCACTTGAGGACAGGAGTTTGAGACCATCCTGGGCAACATAGTGAGACCCTGTCTCTACAAAAAAAAAATAAAAATTATCTGGGCATGGTGGTGCACACCTGTAGTTCTAGCTACTCGGCAGGCTGAGGTGGAAGGATCCCTTGAGCCCAGGAGTTCAAGGATGCAGTGAGCTATAATTTTACCACTGCTATCCAGCCTGGGCAACAGAACAAGACCCTGTTTAAAAAAAAAAAAAGAAAAGAAAAGAAAGAAAGAAAAGAAAAGAAAGAAAAAAGAAAAGGAAAAGGGGCCTAGTAGCAAACCAGGTGCTGCCTTTCAAATGGAGAATAATTGTCAAGCAAGGAAAGTATAGTCTTGGCCAGGTGCGGTGGCTCATACCTGCAATCCCAGCAGTTTAGGTGGCTGAGGCAGGCAGATTGCTTGAGCTCAGGAGTTCGAGACCAGCCTGTACAGCATGGTTAAACCGCATCTCTACAAAAAATACAAAAAGTAGCCAGGGGTCAGTAGTGTGCACCTGTAGTCCCAGCCACCCTGGAGGCTGAGGCGGGAGAATCACTTGAGCCCAGGAGGTGGAAGTTGCAGTGAGCCAAGATTGCACCACTGCACTCCAGCCTGGGCAACAGAGCCAGACCCTGTCTCAAAAAATAAAAAGGGGAAATATAGCCTTGCTTCAATCCCCTAAGATTCCATGCTGTGAGAATTGTAATGGGCTTCATAGAACGTCTCTGCCACACTCTTCCAAAACCATTCAGTCTGCTGAGTCATAAGGCCCAACCAACAGGGCAGCCCAGATTTGCTGCAGAGCCTTTTCTTACTTCAAATCTCACTCAAAACTGGCAGCCTTACAGGTTACTCAGTAAATAGGCCAGAGCAGCATGCCCAAATATGGTATACATTGCCACCTAAATCTAAAGAAGCCCGCAGAGGATTGGTTTCTTTCTTTGTGGTGGGCGATGCAGGGAAAAACAATTTGTCTTTTATTTTAGAGGAGGTATCCTGACATGCTCCAGACCACTGGACCCCTAGAAATGTCATCCATTTAGCAGACATCAGAACTTTCGCAGGATTTGTCTCCTAGCCTGTGACCACAAGTCAATTAGGGTGCTTGATTGTTGCTGCTCATAGTGATCATTATCATTATGTCATCAATGTAATGGACCAGCATTATGTCTGTGGGATGAAAAGACAGCAGTTCCTTTTGGAATAGATTATGACAGAAAACAACATAGTTTAAGATAGCCCTGAGGTAAGAGAATGAGGATAAACTGTTCCTGATTATCTTTGCTGATAACATTTGCTAGGGAATTAGGTGCCAGAGGCGACGTTCATTTGCTCCAGTAAATGGGAACCACAGCCATGACTGGCATCATTATCTGACTAACAGTAGCTCACAATCATTTTCCAAAACCTATATGGCATTTTCCATAGGCCAAATGGGCCAGTTAAATGGGTAAGCAGTTGGAATCTTCACATTTCCATTTTTCAAGTCCTTGGTTTTGGTTCCAATCTCTCCCATTGTCTCAGGGATTTGGTATTGCTTTAGTGGTAGGGGTGAGAGGAGGATGTACAGTTAAAAGGGTTGCTATTTGCTACTTCCCTATAATAAGAGCTTTCCCTCTGTGGATATGTGGGTCAGAAAAACAATGTGTGGTGATTCTGCAAAGACGGGTGCAAGTTCCCACTGAATGGACTCAGACCAAGACTTTATTTAGCACCTGACTCAATAAATCCCCTCTCTGGTGATGGACGACAGTGGCAAACTATGTCTATAAGAATTAGCATTGGCCAGGCGTGGTGGCTCACGCCTGTAATCCCAGCACTTTGGGAGGCCGAGGAGGGCAGATCACGAGGTCAGGAGATCGAGACCATCCTGGCTAACTCAGTGAAACCCCGTCTCTACTAAAAATACAAAAAATTAGCCGGGCATGGTGGCGGACGCCTGTAGTCCCAGCTACTCAGGAGGCTGAGGCAGGAGAATGGCGTGAACCCGGGAGGCGGAGCTTGCAGTGAGCCGAGATCGCACCACTGCACTCCAGCCTGGGTGACAGAGCGAGACTCCGTCTCAAAAAAAAAAAAAAAAAAAAAAAAAGAATTAGCATCAATTCAGAAACAGGATCTAATAATTTTCAAATAGTTCTGGGTATTTTCTTTTTCTTGGTCATGGTCCTCTGGTAAATGGGCACAGGTCCCAGTCTGAGGGAGATTTAGAAGATTTGCAATATATATCTGTGATAGCATCACAGCTGAGTCCTTTCTCAGAGAGATCCAGCCTCCCTCTTAATCAATGGGCTCCAGATCTGTGAACTGGCTTAGTAGATCTGGGAACAGAGTAGGAGTTGAGGAGTCTGCAAAGTTTCTGCGTATCAGACCTAGAATTTTTCTGCTTCTGAAAGTCACACCTATTTTATTCCAAGGGAATTCCATAAATAATCAACCACTGCAACAGATGGAGGCAAAAACACTCTATTGCCATCCTATCCCTGCACTTTATTATGTTACTTGCACCCACCTTAGTTCTCAAAGTTAAGTACCATCACAGGCACTGTACCCTTTTGGACCCTATTGTTCCCACTGAAGCATCTCCCACCATTATCCCCGGCCTACAAAGGATATTCTATGGAGCTTTTCAATAATACTAATGCTCATCTCACCAATGTATTTCTTGATGCCTTATTGAAGAGAGTGCCCTCCCAGTAGGGTGACCAAGTTGTCCCAATTTTCCTGGGACTGTACTGCTTTTAAACTGAAAACGTCATAACCTAGGAAACCTGTAAGTCCTAGGTGAATCAAGACAGTGGGTCACCCCACCACCCAGTTCTTCTGAGAATATAGTTGGAAGTAGGCACTGAGCAGGTGGCATATAATAATCCCACTTTAACATTCCCTTCCCCTTGGGCATTTGAGCATCTGGGCTACACTAAGATCTTTTTGTTTTTGTTTATTTTTTTTTCTGTCACCCAGGCTGGAATGCAGTGGCATGATCTTCGCTCACTGCAACCTCCACCTCCTGGGTTTAAGCAACTCTCCTACTTCAGCCTCCCAAGTAGCTGGGATTACAGGCATCCACCACCTTGCCTGGCTAATTTTTGTATTTTTACTAGAGACAGGGTTTCACCATGTTGGCCAAGCTGGTCTCGAACTCCTGACCTCAGGAGATCCACCCACCTCAGCCTCCCAAAGTGCTGGGATTACAGGCGTGAGCCACCATGCCTGGCCATAAAAGGTTTTTACACAGGGGAAGCCTGGTACCCTTAGACAAGGAATATAGGGCTGCTTCTACTGGCAAGGAAGGGGAGTTGGGGGTTAAATTTTTCTCAGCCTCATCTGTTTATGCCCAAATAATTCCATCCAATGTGTTAGGGTCCTATTCCTTCCCCAGGAGTGCCTTTAACTTAGCCTAAGAGTCCTGGCAAGTCTTTACCTTTAATTGATGCCACACATCTGCAACATTTATAATCAGTCCTGGCCGGGTGTGGTGGCTCACGCCTGTAATCCCAGCACTTTGGGAGGCCGAGGCGGGCGGATCACCAGAGGTCAGGAGTTCAAGACCAGCCTGGCTAACATAGTGAAACCCTGTTTCTACTAAAAAAAAAAAAAAATACGAAAAATTAGCCAGGCATGGTGGAACACACCTGTAATCTCAGCTACTCGGGAGGCTGAGGAAAGAGAATCGCTTGTCATGCCATTGCCCTCCAGCTTGGGCACCAAAAGCGAAAGTCCGTCTCAAAAAAGTTAAAAAAAAATTATAATCAGTCCCTGAGCATGATCTTCAGGCTTATCTGTCCTGCAGCTCCAGGAGAATTAAGACTACTTTAATGCTGGCATTGTGGCTCTTTGATTTTCCATTGTGGTATGAGGTGTGCATTCAAGGCTTTCAGTTTGTCCTCTTTTCGATGTAAATTCTTTATGGTCATCAGAAACAGCCTTAGCCAAGTTAGCAATCACCATTGTCACCATAGGGACTAAGTGCTCTAGCCATTTCATTTTGCAAAGATTTGTCCTACAATTGCATCCCATTTGAAGCCACCATGGGTGATAATTTAAGTAATCACCATTCAATTCATGCCACACATTAAAAATGTCCCATTTCCCCTAGCAAAGAGGTCATCAAGCAGATAGCATTCTTTAGGAGGAAGAAGCAGAAATTAGGAGTGCAGCGAGTTTACTGGAAAGTGAAACTCGTGAAGGAAAAGAGGATCAGTAATCAGAGGTCTAGACACACAAAAAAATTAAACTTAAGTTAAACACAGGATTTCAACGTTCTTTTTTTTTGAAACAGGGTATCTCTCTGTTGCTCAGGCTGGAGTGCAGTGGTGTGATCACGGCTCACTGCAGCCTCAACCTCCTGGGCTCAAGCAATCCTCCTTCCTCAACCTCCTGAGTAGCTGGTACTACAGTGCATGTCACAGCACCTGGCTAATTTTTTTTATTCAGTCAGTGGTTCTCAAACTTTAGTGTGCATCAGAATCCCCTAGAAAGCTTATTAAAACAGACTGCTGGGCCCTACTCACAGGGTTTCTAATTCAGTAGGTCTAGGGTGGGGCTTGAAATGTGCATTTCTAACAGGTACCAGGTGACACTCCTGCTGTTGGTCTAGAGACAATATTTTGAGAACTGCTGCCCTAAACATTAGAAGTGGTTCTTAAAAGGCTGGGTGCGGTGGCTCATGCCTGTGATCCCAGCACTTTGGGAGGCTGAGGCGGGTGGATCACCTGAGGTCAGGAGTTCGAGACCAGCCTGACCAACATGGTGAAATCTGTCTCTACTAATAATACAAAAAATTAGCTGGGCGTGGTGGCGGACGCCTGTAATCCCAGCTACTTGGGAGTCTGAGGCAGGAAAATCACTTGAACCCAGGAGACAGAGGTTGCAGTGAGCCGAGATCACGCCACTGCACTCCGGCCTGGGCAACAAGCGTGAAATTCCATCTCAAAAAAAAAAAAAAAAAAAAAGTGGTTCTTAAAGTGAGATACTCCAGCAACCTACATCCGAATCACCAAGAACCCTGGCCTCCTGAGGTGTATGTTTTAAAGGAGAAGAGACACAATAAGCAATTAAACTAATAGAAATACAATGTCATAAAAATAAAGTGGAGCAAGGAGATGAAGAGTGATAGGGAATGCTATTTTAGACAGGGTGGTCAAATCAGGCATCTCTAAGAAGAAAACATTGGACAGAGACCTTAATGAACAGAGAGCAAGCTATTAATTATAATTCATGTCAATATGTTAATATGTGAGAGAAGAGTATTACAGGCAGAAAGAAAAATCACTGCAAAACCCATGAGACAGGAATATGCTTGGTATGTGTTCCTGGAATAACTCAAGGCCAAGAATTTGATTCTTTGTTCTTTCTGGTTCTTTGTGTTCTTTTCTCCCTGGGGTAATAAGCTTCAGTTTATTCTCTATCTCATAAATAGGGTCATACAATACATGCTGTTCTGCAACTTGCATTTTCCGTTAATGATAAATCATGAACATCCTTTCATGTCACTACATTTAAGATCTGCCTCATGGTTTATAAGAATTGCATAGTATTTCATAATATAAATGCACTAGGGATTTATTCGGGAAAAAAAATCAATTCTTCTTTTTTTGGAGACGGAGTTTCACTCTCATTGCCCAGGCTGGAGTGCAATGGCACGATCTTGGCTCACTGCAACCTCTGCCTCCCAGGTTCAAGTGATTCTCCTGACTCAGCCTCCTGAGTAGCTGGGATTACAGGCACATGCCACTATGCCCAACTAATTTTGTATTTTTAGTAGAGAGGGGGTTTCACCATGTTGGTCAGGCTGGTCTTGAACTCCTGACCTCAGGTGATCCACCCGCCTCGGCCTCCCAAAGTTCTGGGATTACAGGCGTAAGCCACGCACCCAGCCTCTGTGTATGTGTGTGTGTGTGTGTGTGTGTGTGTGTGTGTGTGTGTGTGTGTGTATGTGTATGTGTATATACATATATATATATGTAAATGAAATAGGGTCTCACTATGGCCAAGCTAGTTTCAAACTCCTGGTCTCAAGCAATCCTCCGGCCTCAGCCTCCCAAAGTTCTGAGATTTACAGGTGTGAGACACTGTGCCTGTCCTCAATTATTTCTTTAATCAGTTTCCCATAGAGGAATAGTTAAATTGTTTCCAGGTCTTAGCTATGACCCCAAAAATGCTGTAGCAGGCTGGGCGCAGTGGCTCATGCCTGTAATCCCAGCACTTTGGGAGGCCAAGGTGGGCAGATTACTTGAGGTCAGGAGTTTGTTACCATACTGGCCAACATGATGAAACCCTGTCTCTACTTAAAATACAAAAACTAGCCGGGCATGGTCGTATGCACCTGTAATCCTAACTACTGGAGAGGCTGAGGCAAGAGAATCGCTTGAACCCAGGAGGAGGAAGTTGCAGTGAGCCAAGATCACGCCACTGCACTCCAGCCTGGGCGACAGAGCGAGACTCCATCTCAAAAAAAAAAAAAAGAAAAGAAAAGAAGGCCGGGCGTGGTGGCTCACGCCTGTAATCCCAGCACTTTGGGAAACCGAGGTGGGTGGATCACGAGGTCAGGAGATCGAGACCATCCTGGCTAACACAGTGAAACCCCGTCTCTACTAAAAATACAGAAAAATTAGCCGGGCGTGGCGGCGGGCGCCTGTAGTCCCAGCTACTCCGGAGGCTGAGGCAGGAGAATAGCATGAACCCAGGAGGCGGAGCTTGCAGTGAGCCGAGATCGCACCACTGCACTCCAGCCTGGGCGACAGAGTGAGACTCCGTCTCAAAAAAAAAAAACAAAGAAAAAAAAAAAAGAAAAGAAAGAAATGCTGTAGCAAGTATGTGTATATGTGTGTGTATGTACTTGTTCATACATTCCTTTACACATTACAAATTTATTGAGCCGCTATTATGTGTTTGGTACTGTGTTATGTGCTGAAAATACAATGACTAACAAAACAGACATGATTCTTGCTCTTATGGAACATATAATCTACTGGGGAGAGTACCATACAATTAGTATATAGTAAAAAACTGTCTAAAGTTCTAGCAAGGTATGGCAGACACTGTTGTTCAGCGACCCAACTCTCACTCCCAGTCCCATTTTCCCCAGCCTCCTCCCAGCTAGAATACTGGCCAAAGAGACACAGTGGGTTGTGGTAGGCAATATAATGGCCCCCCAAAAGATGTACATGTCCTAGTCTCCAGAACCTGTGAATATGTTAGGTTACATGGCAAAGGGGAATTATGACTGCAAATAGAAGTAAGGTTGCAAACCAGGTGACCTTAAAATAGGGAGATCAGCTGGAATTATTCAGGTGGGTCCAAAATAATCACAAGAGTCCTTAAATGTGGAAGACAGCTGGCAGCAGAAGAGTCAGAGAAGGAGATGTGGTGATGAAAACAGAAGTCAAAGTGATGTAGGCTGGGCGCAGTGGCTCACACCTGTAATCCCAGCACTGTGGGAGGCCAAGGCAGGAGGATCACCTGAGGTCAGGCATTCGAGACCAGCCTGGCCAACATGGTGAAACCCTGCCTTTAGTAAAAATACAAAAATTAGCTGGGCGTGGTGGTAGGCACCTATAATCCTAGCTACTTGGGAGGCTGAGGCAGGAGAATTGCTTGAACCCGGGAGGTGGAGCTTGCAGTAAGCTGAGATCTTGTCGTTGCATTCCAGCCTGGGCGACAGAGCAAGCCTCCATCTTAAAAAAAAAAAAAGGTCAAAAGTGATGTGATTGTGATTGCTGTTGCTGGCTGTGAAGGTGGAAGGGAGCTACCTGTCAAGGGATATGGGCACCCTTGAGAAGCTGGAAAAGAAAAGGAAACCAATACACCCCCAGAACCTCCAGAAGGCACACAGCCCTGCAGACACTGTGATTTTAGCCCAGAGAGACCCATTTCAGACTTCCGACATCCAGAACTGTGAGATATTAAACCTGTGTTCTTATGGCCGGGCTTGGTGGCTCACGCATGTAATCCCAGCACTTTGGGAGGCCGAGGCGGGCAGATCACCTGAGGTCGGGAGTTCAAGACCAGCCTGACCAACATGGAGAAACCCTGTCCCTACTAAAAATACAAAAATTAGCCGGGCATGGTGGCGCATGCCTGTAATCCCAGCTACTCGGAAGGCTGAGGCAGAAAAATCGCTTGAACTCAGGAGACCAAGGTTGCTGTGAGCTGAGATCGCGCCATTGCACTCCAGCCTGGGCAACAAGAATGAAACTCTGTCTAGGCCGGGGTGCAGTGGCTCACGCCTGTAATCCCAGCACTTTGGGAGGCTGAGGCGGGTGGATCACGAGGTCAGGAGATTGAGACCATCCTGGCTAACATGGTGAAACCCCATCTCTACTAAAAATACAAAAAATTAGCCGGGCGTGGTGGCGGGCACCTGTAGTCTCAGCTACTCGGGAGGCTGAGGCAGGAGAATGGTGTGAACCTGGGAGGCGGAGCTTGCAGTAAGTGGAGATCACACCACTGCACTCCAGCCTGGGCAACAGAGCCAGACTCCGTCTCAAAAAAAAAAAAAAAAAGAGTGAAACTCTGTCTCAAATAAATAAATAAATAAATAAAATAGAATAAGTAAATAAATAAACAAACTAACTCGTGTTCTTTTAAGCCACTAAGTCTATGGTAGTTTGTTACAGCAGTCATGGGAAACGAATGCAGGGGTTCTTTGGGAAAACTTTTGCTTTCCTGAGAACAGCGCTGTCTCTAACTCTTCTTTCTTATTTTTGCCTTTAATGTGGAGCTGTAAAAGTCATCTAGTGGCATTGAGGAAAAGGCCAGAAGAACTGTGAAGCCATCAGCCCTAACATTGTTGAGCTGCTGAACAAATGCTAGCAGCCCCGGATCTCTAGCTTTCCAGTTTTGTGAGAAAATAAACCCAGAAATCCATATTTAAGCCATTGTAGGTAGATATTCTGTTACAGACAAAAACACCTCTGAGTGATAAGAAGGTAAAAGTATGAGGCTATGAGAGAATATAACAGAAACTTGGACTGGTGGTTATGAATAATGTGGGTAGTAGAATTTTTCAATTGTTATTTCTTCTTGTTGTTGTTCTATTCACTGATTGATTGCTGCTCAACATCCAATCCCTCTCCCTATTTGGGGAAGAATCACCCAGTATGTGCAGCTTTGTAGTACTGAACCTCCTACTTCAAAATCTAAATGAGAAAATCTTCCATCTAGCTGCTCCATGGCAACCAGTGTACAGGCACTAGCTCACCTCAACCAGAAAAAGGGAACAAGGCTATTTAAAAACAAATGTAATAATTCCGGCCAGGTGCGGTGGCTTATGCCTGTAATCCCAGCACTGTGAGAGGCTGAGGCAGGCAGATCACCTGAGGTCAGGAGTTGGAGACCAGCCTGACCAACATGGCGAAACTTTGTCTCTGCTAAAAATACAAAAACCAGCCAGGCGTGGTGGAGGGTGCCTGTAGTCCCAGCTACTGGGGAGGCTGAGGCAGGGGAATCCCTTGAACCCGGGAGGTGGAGGTTGCAGGGAACCGAGATTGTGCCACTGCACTCTAGCCTGGGCAACAGAGCAAGACTCTGTCTCAAAAACAAAACAAAACAAAAAAAACTTGTTAATTCCCGCTCACCATCCCCCCTCATAACAGACTCTAGATGTTCCTCCCAATATCCTCTAAGCACTCAATGTTTCTGTATGGGCCACTGGTTTCTTAACTGCAAGCACCTGTGACTCTCTGCCTAAGGGCTTTCTGACCACAGGAGTGTGCTTAGCCAGTATACAAGGCAGGCCAGAAGTGCCAGGGAGTTAAGGCCCTTGGGAGAAACCCTCTATCAATGATGGACACAAATGAAGGGAAAATACCCCCAGCTTCCTTGTTCCCTGGGCAGAAAACCCGATGCATGTCCTATTTACCCTTCCTGAGGCCCCAGTGGAATTGAATCCGAGTTGCCCCAGAGTAATTTGTTCATTAGCAGACCATGTGTTGTGTTGTGTTGTGTTGTGTTGTGTTGTGTTGTGTTGTGTTGTGTTGTGTTTTGAGACGGAGTCTCACTTGTTGCTCAGCCTGGAGTGCAGTGGCATGATTTTGGCTCACTGCAACCTCCACCCCCCGGGTTCAAGCGATTCTCCTGCCTCAGCCTCCCAAGTAGCTGGGATTACAGGTGCCCGCCACCACACCCGGCTGACTTTTGTATTTTTTTTTTTTTTGAGACGGAGTCTTGCTCTGTCTCCCAGGCTAGAGTGCAGTGGCAGTGGCGTGATCTCGGCTCACTGCAGACTCTGCCTCCCAGGTTCAAGCGATTCTCCTGCCTCAGCCTCCCGAGTAGCTGGGATTACAGGCACCTGCCACCGCGCCTGGCTAATTTCTGTATTTTTTAGTAGAGACGGGGTTTCACCATCTTGGCCAGGCTGGTCTCAAACTTCTGACCTCATGATCCACCCGCCTCAGCCTCCCAAAGTGCTGGGATTACAGGCATGAGCCACCACACCCGGCCAATTTTTGTATTTTTAGTAGAGACGGGGTTTTGCCATGTTGGCCAGGCTGGTCTCAAACTCCTGACCTCAAAGTGCTGGGATTACATGCATGAGCCACTTGCACATGGCTTTTTTTTTTTTTTTTTTTTGGCAGACCATATATTGTTTTCCATTTCTTCCCTATCTCACTTCCTTCCATTGTTTCCTGGGATTACCTCCCAAGTAAACCACTTGCTCTCAAACATTTACCTCAGGGCCTGTTTCACCCAAAGTATGACTTTTGGTACCAGAAGTGGTCATTTAAAATAGACCCTCAGGATGGAATTCTGGAGCTGGATCACTTGTAGAACGTATGAAAACAAGAACCTCATTACTGATGGTAAGCAGAGTGTTGGTAATCCCTGGCATGCTGTTGCCTCACAATTGCTGAGATTGGTATAGGGTACAAGTGAAAGGAAGCTTATGCAATAGTTCTAGCACTTGAAAGGTGGAAATTTTAAGAATCATTGAGTTAGTTTCCTGTTGTTAATGGCCATAGAAACCTTAAAGGAAGAAAATGATAAGTTTTGTCAGCTAACTTTTTTTTTTTTTTGAGATGAAGTTTCGCTCTTGTTGCCCAGACTGGAGTGCGATGGTGCGATCTCGGCTCACCACAACCTCTGCCTCCCGGGTTCAAGCAATTCTCTTGCCTTAGCCTCCCAAGTAGCTGGGATTACAGGCGTGTGCCACCACACCCGGCTAATTTTTGTATTTTTAGTAGAGACAGGGTTTCACCATGTTGGCGAGGCTGGTCTTGAACTCCTGACCTCAGCTGATCCACCTGCCTTGGCCTCCCAAAGTGCTAGGATTAGGCATGAGCCGCCACGCCCAGCCATGGTTAGCCAGCTATTAACTCAAGGAATAGTGTGGGCCAGGCTCGATGACTCATGCCTGTAATTCTAACACTTTGGAAGGCCAACGTGGGAGGGTCACTTGAGCCCAGGAGTTTGAGACCTGCCTGGGCAACACAGTGAGACTCTGTTTTTCCAAATAATTTTTAAAAATAGCTAGGCATGGTGGTGAATGCCTGTGGTCCTAGCTACTCACAAGGCTGAGGTGGGAAGATCGCTTGAGCCTGGGAGGTCAAGGCAGCAGTGAGCTGTGATCATGCCACTGCACTCCATCCCAGATGACAGAGCAAGACCTTGTCTCAAAAAGAAATTTTTTTAAAAGAATGATGTGAAAGCAAAAGGCCTTCATAAGAAATTGTATTTTTTAAATCTCTTCCGGAAAAGAATAGTCTATTCTAATAGACCCCAGGTTTGACTGTGAGAGTGATAGACTTACACAGAAGGATGATGCTTATCTTCCACAAGATCTGCCCCCACCTCAGCACATTTCTTCTATAGACAAATAACAAGGGATGATTCTTAACATGGGCCAAGAAGAGAAACAGTGTTTCTACTATGGGAGAAAAGAGATTATTCACTGAATAGTTGTCAGTCTTGGAAAATTTCTATTTGCAGGAATCAGGAGAATAAACTGGGAATAGATCTTGAGGGTTCTGGACCAGGAAGGGATAGAAAGCTGGATATGGAAGAATTTATAGTTATTGGAACACTCTCCCATGACTCAGGATTTAGCATCCTGGCAAGGACATCTGGAGCCAGTCCTAGTATGCTGCTGGAATGGCTCCTTGAAACTTGGAGACAACAATGCCTCTGTAGTAAATGAAGGGGAGTTGTTGGAACTGCCTTGACTTGAGAGAAGGGTCAAAAGGCTCAGAAAGGTAGGCAAATTAGCACAGCTTACTTATGCAAAACCAGAAAATATATCAGTGGACAATGTCTCCTGAGAGGGCCCAGAGGACACTTGTTTTGTTAAGGCTACTAGCAATATTGAAAAACTCCATGGTGGCTGTTTTCTATGGGTCAGGGTACATGATAGGAGAGATTGCTATGTAATTAGGCCCCTTGGTGTCTGTCAATGAAGATAATAGGATTCTGAAAGAGCAGAGGCCAGGTGGTAGCAGTTAACTGTCAGAGTCAAGGTGAATGTAATAATCGTAATGGACAGCAAGTCTGGAATGGCAAAGATGGAACTTTGACCTACAGGACTCTGTAGAGATAGTTAACAAACTGACATTCCCTGGAACAAGATAGATGAGAACCTATATTAATTTGCTAAGGCTGCCATAACAAAATACCACAGATAGGTTGCTTAAACAATAGAAATGTATTTTCTCACAGTTCTGGAGGCCAGGAGTCCAATTCAAGGTGGGGACAGTTTGGTTTCTTCTGAGGCTTTTCTCATTGGCTTGCAGATGGTCTCCTTCTCACTGTCCTAACATAGTTGCCCCATGGGCTCTGTATTGTCTGTGTCCTAATCTCTTCCCTCTAAGGACACCAGTCATATTGGATTAGGGCCCACCTATATGATCTCTTTTTACCTCAATTGCCTCTTTAAAAGCTCTGTCTCCAAATACAGTCACATTCTAGGGAAAGGGGGATTAGAAATTCAACATATGAATTTTGAGGGGGACACAATTCAGCCCATAATAGAAGCCAACAAGAGTATTGCTTATAAAATAAAATTAAAAACCAGCCAGTGCCAGGTGTGGTGGCTCATGCCTGTAATCCCAGCACTTTGGGAGGCTGAGGCAGGCAAATTGCTTGAGGCCAGGAGTTAGAGGCCAGCCTGGCCAACATGGTGGAACCCTGCCTCTACTAAAAATACAAAATTAGTCAAGCATAGTGCCACGATCCTGTAGTCCCAGCTACTGAGGAGGCTGAGGCAGGAGAATCATTTGAACCCAGGAGGCAGAGGTTCCAGTGAGCCAATATTGCACCACTGCACTGCAGCCTGGGCGACAGAGTGAGACTCTGTCTCAAAAAAAAAAAAAAAAAATTCACAGACAAGAATCAGGCGCAA
The DNA here is from genome assembly GCF_000001405.40 of Homo sapiens. Classification (NCBI taxonomy): domain Eukaryota; kingdom Metazoa; phylum Chordata; class Mammalia; order Primates; family Hominidae; genus Homo; species Homo sapiens. The sequence goes on from NC_000023.11 coordinate 123,757,797, forward strand.
CTCCCCTACTATAAGTTCCCAATAGTTAAACAGGGTTGGATTGCTGTAGAAGACCCAGGAGACCCAGCATGAGGGTGCTTACAAATGTACAGTTTACTAGAGGAGAATGATACAATATAGCAGGAAAGTAAGAATATGCATCTGATATGGTTTGGCTGTGTCCCCACCCAATTCTCATCTTTAATTTCCACATGTTGTGGGAGGGACCCAGTGGGAGGTAACTGGATCATGGGGGCAGGTCTTTCCCATGGTGTTCTCATGGTTGTGGGTGGGTCTCACAAGATCTGATGGTATTATAAGGGGAGTTTCCCTGCACAAGCTCTTTTTCTTTGCCTGCTGCCATCCACGTAAGATGTGACTTGCTCCTCCTTCCCTTCTGCCATGATTGTGAGGCTTCCCCAGCCATGTGGAACTGGAAGTCCATGTTAAACCTCCTTCCTTTATAAATTGCCCAGTCTCGGGTATGTCTTTATCAGCAGCATGAAAATGGACTAATGCAATAAATTGTATAAGTCGTTGCTGAAAAGATAACTGAAAATGTGGAAGCAACTTTGGAACTGAGTAACAGGCAGAGGTTGGAACAGTTTGGAGGGCTCAGAAGAAGACAGAAAAAATGTGGAAAAGTTTGGAACTTCCTAGAGACTTGTTGAATGGCTTTGACAAAAATGCTGATAGTGATATGAACAGTAAGATCCAGGCAGAGGTGGTCTCAGATTGAGATGAGGAACTTGTTGTGAACTGGAGCAATGGTGACTCTTGTTATGTTTTAGCAAAGAGACTGGCAGCATTTTGCCCCTGCCCTAGAGATTTGTGGAACTTTGAACTTGACAGAGATGATTTAGAGTATCTGGTGGAAGAAATTTCTAAGCAGCAAAGCATTCAAGAGGTGACTTGGGTGCTGTTAAATGCATTCAGTTTTATAAGGGAAGTAGAGTATTAAAGTTTGAAAAATTTGCAGCCTGACAATGTGATAGAGAAGAAAATCCCATTTTCTAAGGAGAAATTCAAGCCAGCTGCAGAAATTTGTATAAGTAATGAGGAGCCAAATGTTAATCTCCAAGACAATGTGGAAAATGTTTCCAGGGCATGTCAGAGGTCTTCACGGCAGCCCCTCCCATCACATGCCTGGGAGCCTAGGAAGAAAAAACGGTTTTGTGAGCTAGGTCCAGGGTCCCTGTGCTGTGCACAGCCTAGGGACTTGGTGCCCTGTGTGCCAGCCACTCCAGGCATGACTAAAAAGGGCCAAGGTACAGCTTGGGCCATGGCTTCAGAGACTGCAAGCCCCAAGCTTTGGCAGTTTCCATGTGGTGTTGAGACTGCAGGTGAGCAGAGGTCAAGAATTGAGGTTGGGAAACCTCTGCCTAGATTTCAGAGGATTTATAGAAACACCTGGATGTCCAAGCAAAAGTTTGCTGCAGAGACGAGGCTCTCACGGGGAACCTCTGCTAGGGCAGTGCAGAAGGGAAATGTGGGTTCTGAGCTGCCACACAGAGTCCCTACTGGGGCACTACTTAATGGAGCTATGAGAAGATGACCACTGTCTTCCAAACCCCAGAATGGTAGATCCACCAACAGCTTGCACCATGTGCCTGGAAAAGCCACAGACACTCAGCCAGCCCAAGAAAGCAACCGGGAGCGGGGCCATACCCTGTAAAGCCACAGGGGTGGAGCTGCCCAACACCATGGGAACCCACCTCTTGCATCAGTGTGACCTGGATGTGAGCCATGGAGTCAAGGGAGATCATTTTGGACCTTTAAGATTTGACTGCCCCACAGGATTTCAGACTCACATGGGGCCTGTAGCCCCTTTGTTTTGGCCAATTTCTCCTTTGGAATGGCTGTATTTACCCAATGTCTGTACCCCCATTGTATCTAGGAAGTAACTAACTTGCCTTTGATTTTACAGGCTCATAGGCAGAAGGGACTTGCTTTGTCTGGGATGAGACTTTGGACTGTGTACTTTTGAGTTAATGCTGAAATGAGTTAAGACTTTGGGGGACTGTTGGGAAGGCATAATTGGTTTTGAAATGCGAGGTCATGAGATTTGGGAGGGTCCAGGGCCAGAATGATATGGTTTGGCTGTGTCCCTACCCAAATCTCACCTTTAATTCCTACGTATTGTGGGAGGGACCCAGTGGGAGGTAACTGGATCATAGGGGCAGGTCTTTCCCATGGCATTCTCATGGTTGTGGGTGGGTCTCACAAGATCTGATGGTACTATGAGGGGGAGTTTCCCTTCACAAGCTCTTTTTCTTTGCCTGCTGCCATCCATGTAAGATGTGACTTGCTCCTCCCTTCCTTTGCCATGATTGTGAGGCTTCCCCAGCCATGTGGAACTGTAAGTCCATATTAAACCTTTTTCTTTTGTAAATTGCCCAGTCTCGGGTATGTCTTTATCAGCAGCATGAAAACGGACTAATACAGCATCATAGACATAAATGTATACAAATAAAAAAATAAAAGAAACAAGAAGCAAGCTCTGTACATCTCAGAGTCACATTGCTAAGACAAATAAAGCAATATGCAGAAAAATCTGTATATCACACTATCACCTGTGTAAAAAAATGTGATGCAGGCTGGGCACAGTGGGGGGACGCTGGCTCACACCTATAATCCCAGCATTATGGGAGGCTGGATCACTTGAGGCAGAGGTTGCAGTGAGTCAAGATTGTGCCACTGCACTCCAGCCTGGGTGACAGTGTGAGACTCTGTCTCAAAAAAATAATAATAATGATGATGCAAATATCTCTGAAAGTTTATGGGAGAAACTGGTGACCTAGGCTGCCTATGTGGAATGGACTGAGTGGCTGGGGGAGGCCTGGAAAAGAGCTTTATCACAGCATACCTCTTGGGACCTTTTGAATTTGAACGATATGAATATTTTACTCATTCAAAATAATAAATACAATTTTAATTTCTATAATAATTATAATATAAAGTTGTTTTATCCAGTTCAATGGGATGTTTACAAATATTCCTATTTGAATTTTATTGTATTTGTTATTTGAGGGAGGATTAGTGTTTTTATATCTTTCAATTTGCTCAGATCTTGTTTTAGGTTTTTCAAAAAGAAGTTATAATGTTCTTCATATAAATCCTGTATATCTCCTGTTCCATTCATTCCTAGATTATTTTAAATTTTTTTTGGTATTGTGAATGGAATATTTTCCCATTGCTATTCCTAGCTGGTTATTCGTAACATTAGAAAATTCTACTTGTTTTTTGCTTGTCATGTAGCTAACCACCTTACCAAAAACTTTTATTAATTCTAGTAGTTTTTTCAAAATGTCAGTGGTGTGAGGAAAACAATTCTGGAAATTTTTGTAAAACCAGAGTCTATTGGGTTTTCTATGAATATAATAAAAATTTGATAATTTCTGGGTCTTTTTTCTGATAATTATTCCTATTATATTGGTTTTAGTAAAAGCCAAATGAGAGCCAGAGGGAGAGAGAGAAAAAAAATATGATAGAAGTTTATTTATTTATTTATTTATTTATTTATTTATTTAAAATAGAGATGGGGTCTCACCATGTTGCCCAGGCTGGTCTTGAATTCCTGGGCTCAAGCAATCTGCCCACCTCAGTCTCACAAAGTGCTGGACTTACAGGCATGAGCCACCACACCTGTCCAGCTTATTTATTTATTACATATCCATATGACCAATTCAGGCTGGTGGGACATCCTTGCTCCACAAGGTTATTCAGTGATCCATTACTATCCAGCCATCTACTGGGGTATTGTGCTCATCTGAATGGTTGAAGCTAAATTACAGTTGTACCTATATTATAGCCTGTGGGGAGCAGGGTGGGAGAAAAGTCTAGGACAAGCAATTTCCTTTTAAGCACTTGAGGGGTACATTGAAACCTATCTCTTCTGTGCATATTCTACTGGTGCAAACATGGTGATGTGGCTGCAGGTATCTTTAAGAAAAACTGGAAAATGTAGTCTGTCTCAGTCATGTGCTTTAAAGCCGAACTTCTGAGGAGGAAGGGGAGAATAGATTTTGGAGGACAACTAACAGTCTTCTACACATACCACTTCATTTTCTTGTCTTATTGGATTGTTTAGAACATACAAAACAATGTTGAATAACAGTGGTGATAGCATCCTTCTCTCGTTCCTGATTTTAGTGAAAATGACTTCACATTTTCATTTAATATGTTTGCTGTTGAGTTTCGGAAGTCTTTATCATGTTTAAATAGTTTCTTTCTTTTTTTTTTTTTGAGATAGAGTCTCACTCTGCCGCCCAGGCTGGAGTGCAATGGCATGATCTCGGCTCATTGCAACCTCTGTCTCATGAGTTCAAGCAATTCTTGTGCCTCAGCCTCCCGAGTAGCTGGGGCTACAGGTGCATGCCACCATGCCCAGCTAATTTTTGTATTTTCAGTAGAGACAAAGTGGTTGGCCAGGCTGGTCTCAAACTCCTCACCTCAAGTGATCTGCCTACCTTGGCCTCCCAAAGTGCTGGGATTACAGGCGTGAGCCACCGTGTCTGGCCTATAGTTTCTTTTTAATTTCTATTTTACTTTGAAGTTTTATTAGAAATGGCTGTTGAATTTTTGATGCTTTTTCAGTTTCTATTGACATAATAACATGAGTTTTCTCCTTTAATTGCTTCAGGTCATGAATTATGTTAATAGACTTTTTGGAGTCTCACTATGTTGCCCAGGCTGGAGTGCAGTGGCCATTCACAGGTACATTGATAGTACACACTACAGCCTTGAACTCCTGGCCTCCAGCGATCTTCCCACCTCAGCTTCCTGAGTAGCTGAGACTACAGGCACATATCACCATGCCCAGCAATGTTAATAGATTTCTTAATGTTGAATCATTTTTGCTTTTCTTTATTTTTATAATTATAATTTTGTACAGGCAGGATCTTACTACATTGCCCAGGCTGGTCTCAAACTCCTGGCCTGAAATAATCCTCCCACCTTGGCCTCCCAAAATGCTGGGATTACAGGTGTGAGCCACTGTGCTCAGCAATTTTTTTTTTTTTTTTTTCTTTTCTTAAATAGACCCTACTTAGTCATGGTATATTATTCTTTGCTACACTGCTAAATTCAGTTTATTAATATTTTATTTCGAATTTCTACATGTATCTTTTGTGCAAATATTATCATATTTTAATATATTCCCACATGTAAGGCTATGCTAGCTTTACAAAATAAATTTCGGATCTTTTCATCTTTTTCTGTGGTCTGAGGACTGGTGCCTGTCCCTAACGTGTTACCATCTATGATGAGATAAATACAGAAATTGAGAGGGTTTAGAAATTGTTATAGCAATTTAACATCATTATGACATCCAAGCAGTGATCATCGGACTCATCAATGAGTAATGTATTCAGGTTTTGTAATTATCTTATTTGTCCCTATGTTATTTTTTATTTTTATTTTTATTTTTGTATTTTTTAGTAGAGACGGGGTTTCACCGTGTTAGCCAGGATGCCAGGATGGTCTCAATCAATTTTTTTTTTTTTTTTTGAGACGAAGTCTTGCTCTGTTGCCCAGGCTGGAGTGCAGTGGTGGCACGATCTTGGCTTACTGAAACCTCCACCTCCCAGGTTCAAGTGATTCTTCTGCCTCAGCCTCCTGAGTAACTGGGATTACAGGAACGTGCCACCACACCTGGCTAATTTTTGTAATTTTAGTAGAGATGGGGTTTCACCATGTTTGCCAGGCTGCACTCGAACTCCGGACCTCAGGTGATCCACGTGCCTCTGCCTCCCAAAGTGCTGGGATTACAGACATGAGCCACCGTGTTCAATTTATTTTGATTTTTTTTAAGTGTTTTTTTTTTTTTTTTTTTGAGATGGAGTCTTGCTCTGTCGCCCAGGCTGGAGTGCAGTGGCTCAATCTCAGCTCACTGCAACCTCCGTCTCCCGGGTTCAGGTGATTCTCCTCCCTCAGCCTCCTGAGTAGCTGGGACTACAGGCTCGGGCCACCATGCCCAGCTATTTTTTGTATTTTTAGTAGAGACAGGGTTTCACCATGTTGGCCAGGATGGTCTCAATCTCCTGACCTCGTGATCCGCCCACCTAGGCCTCCCAAAGTGCTGGGATTTACAGGCATGAGCCACAGCGCCCGGACTATTTTGATTATTTTTTAAGAAAATTTAATTTTATTTCTGATTATTCTAAAAATTTGAAAATTGGCCTTGCACTTTATGTCTGCGTATTATTTAATTTTTCTAGTCTTTTAAATTAAAATTGGCAAAAGTAGTCCAGGCACGGTTCCTCATGCCTGTAATCTCAGCAGTTTGGGAGGCCAAGGTGGACAGAGGCCAGGAGTTAGAGACCAGCCTGGCAAACATGGCGAAACCCTGTCTCTACTAAAAATACAGAAATTAGCCGGGTGTGGTGGCGCACCTGTAGTCCCAGCTTCTCAGGGGGCTGAGGCATGAGAATCGCTTGAACCCAGGAAGCAAAGGTTGCCGTGAGCTATGATCGTGCCACCACACTCCAGCCTGGGTGACAGAGCGAGACTCCGTCTCAAAAAAAAAAGGAAAAGAAAGAAATGGCAGAAGTATATGTCCACAATAATTCTAAGTTTTAAAAAACTTGTTCTTCACTGCAGATATTTTGAAAAACACTATCTAGAATGGACTAGATAACATTGAAGTTATTTGTTCTTTAAAGGTTAGCTAAAATTGGCCAGGAGCAGCGGCTCACACCTGTAATCCCAGCACTTTGAGAGGCCGAGGTGGGAGGGTCACTTGAGCTCAGAAGTTCAAGACCAGCCTGAGGAACATAGTCTCTATTTTTTTTTTTTCTAATCAAAGCATTAAAAAAAAAAAAAAAAAAGGTTAGCTAAAACTTAGCTAAAACCCAACTAGACCTGGTGACTCTCCATTCTCTTCTGTGGTTATTGCTCTTTTCAGGTTCTCTACTTCTTGGGTCAATTTTGGTAGTTTATAGTTTGCTAGGAAACCAGTCATTTCTTCTACATATTCACATTTGTTACCCACAATAGTTTCTTAAAATTTTTATCATATGGCTGTGTTTTTATCGACTTGCTCATTACTAATATTTTTCCCTCCTTTCCCCTTCTTTCCTTCTTTTTTGTTTTTTTCTTCCTACCTTAGGCTAGCTGACAGTTTGTCTATTTTATTAGTCGTTTCAAAAAAAAAAAAAAGCCAAAAAACACCTGCTTTAGGGGCTGGGTGGGAGGGTCCAGTCCAGGGTAGAAAACTGGGTTAGTTGAGAGTCGGCAGATGAAGCCAGTGTGAGCCGAAGGAAAGGAGCGGCGGAGGCGGCTCAGCGGACTCAGCCCTGCCAAGGAGAATTCCTAGGGCGGGACCTAGAGTTTTCCGGGCCCCATCTTCCGACGTCGCCGCCCCGGATGTCATCTTATCCTCCTTTGTCTCCGCCTCCCCCCTCTCCTCCTCCCGCGCTGGGCTCGCGGTGCCTGGTTCCTCTTGGAGCCGCTTCTTCCGCCGCCGCCGCCGCCGCCGCCGCCGCCGCCGCCACTCGGTTCATCCTCCTGCACCAGATGGCCAATCGAGTGATCAGGCTGTACACAGTGGTAGTCAGTCTCAGGACCTCAACTGAAAGCACAGCTAGAAGGGCGACTTTCACAGGGTCGGTTAACAAAAAGATTCTAGAGCCATTATCGCACTCCATGGGTCTTTTTGTTGCTGGTGCTTATGGCCTTCCCATCATGTGTTCCCTGTCGATGTGCACTTTCTGGTATGGATAGACACAGGACACCTCTGTATGACCTCCCTATTGAGCAAAAGATGTATGGAGAATCAAAAATTGAACACAGTATGACATACATTGGCCTTATATTGTTAAAGCCATGGAGAACCATAAGGATGAGCTTACCACCATTTCTGTACTGGTTGGAACTTTCAGTGAGTCAAAAGAAGAGGAATACAGGAAACTCTACAATACGTAGCTAGTGCAGCACTATCCAATAGAAAGATAACATGAGCCAAAAATGTGAGCTATGAGTGTCATTTTGAATGCTCTTGTAGCTACATTAGAAAAAGTTAAACAGGTAAAATAAATCTTAATAGATTTATTATTATTATTAAGTCTCGTTCTGTGGCCCAGGCTGTTGTGCAGTGGCACGGTCTCAGCTCACTGCAACCTCTGCCTCCTGGGTTCAAGCAATTCTCCTGTCTCAGCCTCCTGAGAAGCTGGGACTACAGGTGCATGCCACCACACCTGGCTAATTTTTGTATTTTTAGTAGAGACGGGGTTTCACCATGTTGGTCAGGCTGGTCTCAAACTCCTGACCTCAGGTGATCCACCCACCTCAGCCTCCCAAAGTGTTGGGATTACAGGCGTGAGCCACCGTGCTCGGCCAAATCGTAATAGATTTAATATTATATATCCAAAATAGATCATAATCAATTAATATGAAAAATATGAGATATTTTACTTTTTTTTTTGCATTCTAAGTCTTTGAAATCTTGTCTGTTTACACTTACAACACATTTCCAATCAGATTAGCTTCGCTGCATTCCAGGTGCTCAATAACAACCACCATTTCGGACAGTGCAGTTTCTTCTATTTCTGCCATTGAGGTCAAAAGTTCTGGACAGTTACTCTGCTCAATCTTTAGGAGAGACTTAGAAATATATTGACTATCAAGCCAGGCACGGTGGCTTACGCTGATTTTGATCTTGGGGGACACTCAAACCTCAAACTAATAGAATGTTCTCTTGTTTTCTAGCAGGAGTAGCCCTTTTAAAATATGAATTGATTACAAATTTCTTCCTCGTTTAGGGCAGTGGAAGAAAGGCCAGCATGAAAATATGTTGATTTACAGTTCCCACCATGGCAGGCAGCCCTTTAAATGCTACTTGTTTTTTGCCTAATATATAATTTAATAGATCCTAAATATCCACTCTTTGAAAATTTGTGCACATGTATTCCACTTGAACAATTTTGCAAATTGCACAGAGACACAAAACGGTGGAAGCATTAATAGGTTGAATTTACTTTTTTAAAAGCCAGCTTTTGGGTTTTGGCTCTACGCATTTTTGTTTATTTTTGTGATAGAAACAGAGAGGCATTACTCAGATCCCACTTCATGAAGGCTCTCACTGTCCAGCTTCAAGGAGTTTGGTTAGCTGTTACTGCCATCAGCTGTTAGTAGCTCCAAGGTCAGACCACCTCAGTTTTTGAGCTGAAATCATCCTCAGGATGCCCATGGCTAATGATGGAGCAAAAGGAGGTATTGGGATATAGCCTTTTCTGCTCAATGCAGAACTCATCTGATGGACAATCTTTGCTCCAGAGCTCCCCATTGGACTGACAGAGACTTTCTCAGGTCTACATTGCAGTCGTACAACACCCCCTTCCCTTTTTTTCCGCAGACATTACTCCTCTATAAACCTTTCGTACCCTTAACTCCCTAGTATCTGTTTCCCTGACAACCCAACCTGTGACGAGTTTCTAGTTCACTCATTTGAGCTTTATCTTTCATTAATTCCCTATTTGTATTTTCTTTTGGATAATTTTGTGGCTTTGCAACTGTGTTTATAGTATATTACTCAGTGTACATATTTTCCACTTTTAATAATAAGAGCATTTATAGTGGAGTATTGCAAACTGCTGGATTTGAATGCTTTTAGGACAGTCATGTACTCTCCAATTCTCCATAGGCCCTTCCTCTACCTATTTTTACATCTAACCACTTCCTACATCTACATCACCTACATAGGCCCTGGACACATTTGTGATTCCTAATGTAAAGCTATACATTTTCTTCTAAATAGAGCCTTAGATGATCCCATAGGTTTTGTTATAAAGCATTTACCTTTTTGTTACTTCCTAAAAAATTTATAACTTCTGTCTTGATTTTCTCTTTTATCTAGGAGTTTTTTGGGGATTTGTGGGGTTTTTTTGTTTGCTTGTTTGTTTGAGATGGAGTCTCTCTCTGTAGCCTAGGCTGGAGTGCAGTGGCATGATCTCAGCTCACTGCAACCTCTGCCTCCCGGGTTCAAGTGATTCTCCTGCCTCCCAAGTAGCTGGGATTACAGGCGCATGCCACAACGCCCAGCTAAATTTTGTAATTTTTAGGTAGAGACAGTGTTTCGCCATGTTGGCCAGGCTGGTCTTGAACTCCTGGACTCAAGTGATCCACCTGCCTCAGCCTCCCAAAGCTCTGGGGTTTTGTTGTTGTTGTTGTTGTTTTGTCTTGTTTTTTAGAGACAGGTTCTAGCTCTGTCACCCAGGCTAGAGTACAGTGGCACAATCACGGCTCACTGCAGCTTTGACCTCCCAGGCTCAAGCAACCCTCCCACATCAGCCTCTAAAGTACAGGAATGCACCACCATGCTTGGCTACTTTTTTTTTTTTTGGAGATGGGGTCTCACTATGTTGCCTAGGCTTTGATCTTGAACAAAATTTTTGTAGAGACAGGAGTCACGCTATGTTGCCCAGACTGGTATCAAACTCCTGGTCTCAAGCAATCCTCCCACCTTGGCTTCCCAAAGCACTGAGAGTACAGGCACAAGCCATTGCACCCAGCCGTGATCTAGGGGTATCTAGGAGACTGTTCCTCAGTTTTTAAGTAGTAAAGATATTTTGACCATCTTCAATTATTTATTTTAAATTTTACTGGATTATAATGAGAATGTGTTGCCTCTACAAATCTCTGCTTCTTTAAATTCATGAAGTTTTCCTCTGTGAAGAAGCACACAGTTGATAGACATTAGAACATAATTTACATTAAAAATTTTTTTTCCGAGTTCCCAAGACCTGGAAAACAAAATAGTTTACATTTTAAAATGCGTGTGGAAATATACATATATATGATTATATGTTGAACTTGTTTGTCACATTATTCAGTCATCTATTTTCTAGCTTATTTTTCATCTACTTGATCATTCAAGTTCTGAAGGAGATATATTATAATCTCCCATTATGGTGGTGGTTTTCTATCAAAATCTTCTTGGGTTTCTGAGAGTTTGCTGTAAATATTAAGCTGTGATACTTCAGTACATAAAAGTTTGTGATTCATCACTTCAACAAGGATTGAACCATTTATGCCCCCTTTTCGTCTTAATGCATTTGATCTTGAATTCCACTTTTTTTTTTAATAAAGCTTGATGGCTTAAGCAACACATTTATAACCTCACAGTTTCTGTGAAGCCTAGAGTCCTGACCTAACTGGGTCTTCTGCTTCAGATTCTCTATAAGATTGCAATCAAGGTGTCCATTTAGGGTCTTTCACAGGCTGCAATCAAGGTGTCAGCTGGGGCTGCAGTCTTATCTCAAGGCTCACTGTGACAGGATGCACTTCCAAGATCACTCAAATCATTGCTGGAAGGATTCAGCTCCTTGCTGGCTGTTGGACTAAAGGCCCCAGTTCCTTGCCAGGGGGCCCTCTGCATCAGCGTAATCACTTAGGAAGAGCCAGAGACAGAATATGAGCAAGACACAGAAGCTACAGTCTTTTGTAACCTAACTATGAAAGTGACATCTCATCATTTTTGCCATGGCTCATTTGTTACAAGCAAGTCGCTGGGTCCAACACAAGAGGAGGGATTTACAAGAGGGTGAATATTGAAGAGGTGAGGATCATTGGGAGCCATTTTAGAAGCAGCCTACTACAGCTTGGTGCAGGATTTTTTTTTTTTTTTTTTGAGATGGAGTTTCACTCTTGTCACCCAGGCTGGAGTTCAATGGCACAATCTCAGCTCACTGCAACCTCTGCTTCCCGGGTTCAAGCGATTCTCCTGCCTCAGCCTCCTGAGTAGCTGGGATTACAGGTGTGCGCCACCATGCCCAGCTAATTTTTGTATTTTTAGTAGAGACGGGGTTTCACCATGTTGGCCAGGCTGGTCTCAAACTCCTGACCTCAGGTAATCCACCCACCTCGTCCTCCCAAAGTGCTGAGAATTATAGGCGTGAGCTACCTCGCCTGGCCTGGTACAGGATTTTTAGTTAGGAGTTCTTTTCTCCCAATTTTCTGCAGATGGTATTCCACTGTTTTCTACCTTTCTGTGTTGTAGATTTTTAAAACACAAAAAAACTAGCCAGGCATGGTGGTGCACACCTGTAGTTCCAGCTACTTGGGAGGATGAGGCAGGAGGATCACCTGAGCCTGGACATGTTGAGGCTGCAGTGACCTGTGATCATGCCACAGCACTCCAGCCTGGGTGACAGAGTGAGACCCTGAAAAAAAGTAAGAAAGAGAGAGAGAGAAGGAAGGAAGGAAGGAAGGAAGGAAGGAAGGAAGGAAGGAAGGAAGGAAGGAAGAAAGGAAGGAAGGAAAGGAAAGAAAGAAAAGAAAGAAAGAAAAAGAAAGAAAGAAAGAGAAAGAAAGAACAAAGACAAGACAAGACTGGGCTCGGTGGCTCACGCCTGTAATCCCAGCACTTTGGGAGACCGAGGCGGGCGGATCACGAGGTCAGGAGATCGAGACCATCCTGGCTAACACGGTGAAACCCTGTCTCTACTAAAATTACAAAAACTTAGCCAGGCGTGGTGGCAGGTGCCTGTAGTTCCAGCTACTCAGGAGGCTGAGGCAGGAGAATGGCGTGAACCTGGGAGGCGGAGCTTGCAGTGAGCCGAGATGGCGCCACTGCACTCCAGCCTGGGAGCGAGACTCTGTCAAAAAAAAAAAAAAAAAGAAGAAGAAGAAAAGAAGAAAGAGAGAAAGAGAGAGAGAGAAATAAATAAATAAATAAATAAATAAATAAATAAATAAATAAAGTGGTGTTACCAGAGCCCAAGAATCTGGGTTATCCAGCGCAAGCCTGTCTGGCAGGATCTGGGGTTATAGAGGAGCTGCAACCAGTACCAGACATATTACCCAAGACAGAGAGGAAGTTCTACAGAAATGTCCAAGCTTCTCCCTGTTCCCAGTCTTCAGCCTTTTACCAGTGCCTCCCAGTGGCCAAAGCTAGCTGGAAGCTAGAATGTGTTCTTTCTGTTTGGAAACTTACAAGGTTTTCTCTTTATACTTGGAATTCAAGGATTTCACAAGGATAAATTTTGATGTGTGTCTCTTTTCATTATCATTCATAAGACTCAGTGAACACTTTTAATCTGCGAACCCAAATCTTTCTTCAACTCAGGGAAATTTTCTTTTTTTTTTGAGACGGAGTCTTGCTCTGTCACCCAGGCTAGAGTGCAGTGGCGTGATGTCAGCTCACTGCAACCTCCGCCTCCCAGGTTCAAGTGATTCTCCTGCCTCAGCCTCCCAAGTAGCTGGGATTACAGGCGCCCACCACCGCGCCCGGCTAATTTTTGTATTTTTAGTAGAGACGGGGTTTCACCGTCTTGGCCAGGCTGGTCTCGAACTCCTGACCTCAGGTGATCCACCCGCCTCGGCCTCCCAAAGTGCTGGGATTACAGGCGTGAGCCATCGCGCCCAGCCCGGAAATTTTCTTCTATTATTTATCTAGTTAGGTTTTCGCTTTCTTATATTCACTTTATCCTTCTGGACTCCTGTCATTTTCACAACAGATCTCCTGAGTTTCTTAATCCTCAATGATTTCTATTTCTTTACATTTTTGTTCTCTGTTGAAAGCTATTTCTTCCGCTTGATCTTCCAGATTGCTAATTTGGTTCTCAGTTAAGGATCATCCTCTTTTCCAGTTTGTGCACTAATTTTTTTTTTAATTCTAAAATCATGTTTTCTAGTTCTAGATTGTCTTTTTTGTGCTCTAATTGCACATCCTTGAGAGCTTTTGTTACTTGTTTGTTACTTTATCATTTGACACACGTGTATATAATATACGCCAAGCACTGTTCTAAATATTTTACAAATATTAACTTGTTTAATCATTTACTAATTCTCTGTGACTCTTCCTGTGATTCTGCATCAATAGAAGCCATCTGTCTAGTTGTGTGAGTTAGTCTTCCTCCCTCTAGTTAATAAATGTCCTAAAATGGGTCATTTCTCCTTACCTGCTCATAGTTTTGACTTCTTAGCAGTTAGGTCAGATTAGGGTCTCCTGAGCAGTGGTAAACCAGTGAGTGGTGGAAGACTAAGCAGTTTTTGCTGTTGTAGGTGAGAAATCAACTAGATGAAGAGATATTATGCCTTTGCTGAGACGTAGGAAGGAAGCCTCTTTGCCCCAAGCCTCCCTGAGCATACGTGGCAATCTCTTCCAACCATAGGGGCTGAAAGTAATTCAGACCAGCAAAATAGTTTTCCTCAAGTTCCATCATGGTCATGTGAATCAGTCAGGTCCCTTAGGGCTTCAAGAAAGCAGGTGAGCAGGTTGAACCTTCATAGAACAGGCTTCATAGAGCAGAATCAGTCTTTGTTCCAGGTTTCTTTTTTTTTATTTTTTTATTTAAAATTTATTGAGGGCTTTCCTGTATTTACTGGAAAGCCTGCTAGACAAATTCTAAAAGAGCTGTAACACCCCCAGGTTTTAAGAGAGATACCCTGCCCTGGCCGGGCGCGGTGGCTCAAACCTGTAATCCCAGCACTTTGGGAGACTGAGGCAGGTGGATCACGAGGTCAGGAGATCGAGACCATCCTGGCTAACATGGTGAAACCCCATCTCTACTAAAAATACAAAAAATTAGCCGGGCGCCTGTAGTCCCAGCTACTTGGGAGGCTGAGGCAGGAGAATGGCTTGAACCTGGGAGGCAGAGCTTGCAGTGAGCCGAGATCGCACCACTGCACTCCAGCCTGGGCGACAGAGTGAGACTCCATCTCAAAAAAAAAAAAAAAAAAAAGAGAGAGATACCCCGCCCTCTACCACTATCCCTTGACTCTCTCTTGACACTAAGCAGATCGGACAGTCTCAGCCAATTCAGCAGGGGAACTCCAGAGCCAAAATTGCCTATTTGAAGTGTTTCACTGGCCAGGCGTGGTGGCTCACGCCTGTAATCCCAGCACTTTGGGAGGCCGAGGCGGGCGGATCACAAGGTCAGGAGATCGAGACCATCCTGGCTAACACGGTGAAACCCCGTCTCTACTAAAAATACAAAAAATTAGCCGGGTGTGGTGGCGGGTGCCTGCAGTCCCAGCTACTTGGGAGGCTGAGGCAGGAGAATGGCATGAACCCGGGAGGCGGAGCTTGCAGTGAGCCGAGATCACGCCACCGCACTCCAGCCTGGGCGACAGAGCGAGACTCCGTCTCAAAAAAAAAAAAAAAAAAAGAATGAGACCCTGTCACAAAAAAATTAATTATTTAATTAAATTAAAATTAAAATTAATTTTAAAAATAAAATAAAGTGTCCCACATTGGGCAGAAATGGTCAGATGCTAGCATCACTGCCATATGCAGTCATAGGCTGGACGCTGCTCAAATCTGCTCTCCATACCCACTAGAAAATCCTAAAAGAAATATAGCCTTAAATACAGTTTTTAGGCTCCATCACCTTACCTATCCTGGCTGTTGTGTTACTCTCCAGCAGGATTCAGGAGGAAGAGTGTGTCAGGAACATTTATTCAAGCTTTTATCTTCCCAGAACTTGAGGATACTATTTCTTTTTTTAACCTTCCATACTGTAGAAGCATTGCAGCCATGCTAATTTCAAAGAGAAGAATGAAAGAAAGTAGGAATAGCATTGCTACTGGTTTTCCAAGACCTAAAAGTTATGTCGTATTTCTCTAGTTTGGTCTTGAGATCTTTCTCTGCAGAGGGAGTGTAAACTCTAGCCCTGCCCTGATCAGGTTCCAGGGGATTGTTTGTCGATATTTACACTGTGCCTTTCACAGGATACTTCTTTATCCTAGCAGATGGCCTAATGCCTAGGTATCTGACCCATGGTCAGGTGTCCCTCTCATAGGAAACTTGTTTATACCGTCAACTGCCCTTGAGGCTCTTTTCTGACTTGTGTTCAGTTTATTCCTACCAAGATAGCCACTCTTTAGGAGAGCTTTCACTGGAAGTAAAATTAGGTCTGTGTGTGTCAGTCAGGTGAGGTACAGAGAAGACAACATAACAAAAACACATGAAAAAAACAAAAGCAGTTTATTACTCATAGATCCCAGAGAGAAGAAGGGTGCCAACAAGCAGATTGTCAAACCAGTGAGAGGGGAGTGAGAAACAGAGAAGACCTATGCAGTGAGTCATTCACTGGGGCCCAGGATACTACCAAATCAGAGTTCCCTTCCAATTGGTGGAGTTAGAGAAAGCAGACATGAGTTCTATGGGGTTGCATTGTGACAGAGTGGTCATTGCAGCATATCTGTAGAGTCCCTGTTGAGGGTAGAATAAATGGAGTGAGTCAAATGTGGTCACACCCGGCTAATTTTTGTATTTTTGGTAGAGACGGGGTTTTGCCACTTTGGCCAGTCTGGTCTCAAAATCCTGGCCTCAAGTGATCCGCCCGCCTCAGCCTCCCAATGTGCTGGGATTACAGGCATGAGCCATCACGCCTGGCCCAACATCTTAATGACTAAACTGAAATACTTGAAGCAGGGGTGGCAAACTCAAAGACTAGGGTCAAGCAGGTAAGTATGTGAAGGAAGGGACCAAGTATAACTACATAAGCATTCACTGTGTGAGTGGTAAGGATGGCAGCAAATTCCAGAAGGCAAGCTACTCAGCTCCAGCATACATTGCAGTCAAAAATGCAGTCTGAACCGGAGCCTACATTCTTTTTTTTTTTTTTGAGACGGAGTTTCGCTCTCGTTGCCCAGGCTGGAGTGCAATGGCATGATCTCTGCTCACTGCAACCTCCGCCTCCCAGGTTCAAGCTATTCTCCTGCCTCAGCCTCTCGAGTAGCTGGGATTATAGGCATGAGCCACCATGCCAGCTAATTTTTTGTATTTTTAGTAGAGACGGGGTTTCACTATGTTGGTCAGGCTGGTCTCGAACTTCTGACCTAGTGATCCACCCACCTCGGCCTCCCAAAGTGCTGGGATTACAGGCATGAGCCACTGCGCCTGGCCCAGAGCCTACATTCTTAACCACAGTGCAATGCAACCAACATTTAGGGCTGAACCTGTACCCATACCACCACTCACCATACAGTAAAAAGGCTGCAATAAGATGAGGAATTACGGCCGGGCATGGTGGCTCATGCCTGTAATCCCAGCACATTGGGAGGCCGAGGCAGGCAGATCACCTGAGGTCAGGAGGTCGAGACTAGCCTGGCCAACATGGTGAAACCTTATCCTACTAAAAATACAAATAGCCAGGGGTGGTGGCAGGTGCCTATAATCCCAGCTACTTGGGAGGCTGAGGCAGGAGGATCACTTGAACCTGGGAGGTGGAGGTTGTGGTGGGCCAAGATCATGCCATTGTACTCCATCCTGGGCAACAAGAGTGAAACTCCATCTCAAAAAAAAAAGAAAAAGAAAAAAAAGATGAGGAATTACATCACCACTCTTTTGATTAATCAAGAAAACCATAAGGTAGTACTACTGAGATCCCTACTCATAGCACCAGAATAAAGCCCATACCAACTTTCACCACATCAAGCAAAAGCACCTTTTTAAATCAAGGCCATCATCATACCATCACTTAATTTACTAGGAGCCAATCTCTGATACAACCATGACCTATATTCATATCAACATTTAGCCCTCCATGAGAAAGCATTAGCGAAGAAGAAGGTTTTTATCCCCACAATACCAAGAGAAAGCTGTGGCCACTCGATTTTCCTTGTGGACCTAGAAGTGTTCAAAAAAAATAGTTTATTAATCTTTTAAAAGTTTGAAAAACCTTTAAGTAGCAATTTATCTAATTCTTTTAATGGTTTTGTCATTTGTACTACGTGGATTACTATCAATTATTTAACCAACGCCCTATATTTAGGGCTTCTTCCTTCAAGTATTCATCGTTACAAATAATTCTGCAATGATCATTACTATGTATCCATCTTTAAGTATTTCTACAAGATATATTCACCAAAGTGTAGTTGCTAGATCAAAAGGTCTATACCAGCCCAGCATAGTGACTCACGCCTGTAATCTCGGCACTTTGGGAGGCCGAGGAGGGCGGATCACAAGGTCAGGAGTTCAAGACTAGCCTGGCTAGCATGGTGAAACCCTGTCTTTACTGAAAATACAAAAAATTAGCCGGGCATGGTGGCATGTGCCTGTAGTCCCAGCTACTTGGGGGGCTGAGGCAGGAGAATTGCTTGAACCCAGGAGGCAGAGGTTGTAGTTAGCCGATATTGCCCCACTGCACTCCACCCTGGATGACAGAGCGAGACTCCATCTCAAAAAAAAAAGAAAGGTCTATACCTTTAAAATGTTTATAGATATTGATAAAATGGCATCAAAATATTAACCCAATGTATAATCCTACAGACAGTGTTAAAAGAATGGCTATTTATCAATATTCAAGCCAACCCTGGAAACTGTCAATATTTCAAATCTTTACTAATCTGACAAATCAGATGAAATATTTTGATTAGCATTTATTTGGTTATTAATGAGGTTCAGTGTCTTTCATACATTAGCCATCTGTATATTCTCATAACCTTTGTCTATTTTTCTAATGCGTCATTGGTCATTGATTTGTAAGAATTTTTTTTGTATTAAGTAAATAAGGTTTTCTCTCTCATATGTAGTGCAAATATTTATTCACAATTTGTTTTTTAAAATCTTTATTTGTGCTGCCTTATGCCATGCAGATTTTTTTAAATGTAGTTGAATTTATGTCTTTTTTTCCTTTAAAGCTTCTTGGGGCCGGGAATTGTGGCTCATGTCTGAAATCCCAGCACTTGGGTAGGCTGAGGCAGGAAGATCGCTTGAGCCCTGGAGTTCAAGACCTGCCTGAGCAAAGTAGGGAAACCCTGTCTCTACAAAATTAAAAATTAAAAAAAAAAAAGCCGGGCATGGTGGCGCCCACCTGCAGTGTAGTCGCAGCTACTCAGGAGGCTGAGTTGGGTGGATAGCTTGAGCCCAAAAGGCCGAGGCTGCAGTGAGCTATGATCGCACCGTCGCACTCCACCCTGGAGACAGAGAAAGACCCCATCTCAAAAACAAACAAAGGAACAAACAAACAAAAAACTTGGCTTGTGTCATGCTTCGAAACCCCTCACCTGCTTTTTTCTTTGCTTGTTGTTGTTGTTGTTGCTGTTAAGAGATAAAGTCTCTCTGTAGCCCAGGCTGGAGTGCGGTGGTGTGATCACAGCTCGCTGTAGCCTGGAACTCCTGGGCTCAAGCAAGCCTCCTGCCTCAGCCTTCCGAGTAGCTGGAACTATAGGCACGCACCACCATAACCGCCTAATTTTTTAATTTTTTATTTATTTATTTTTTTTTGAGATGGAGTTTTTGCTCTGTTGCCCAGGCTGGAGTGCAGTGGCATGATCTCGGCTCACTGAAACCTCTGCCTCCTGGGTTCAAGCGATTCTCCTGCCTCAGCCTCCCAAGTAGCTGGGATTACAGGCGCCTGCCACCACACCCGGCAAATGTTTGTATTTTTACTAGAGACGAGGTTTCACCATGTTGGCCAGGCTGGTCTCGAACTCTTAACCTCAGGTGATCTACCCTCCTCGGCCTCCCAAAGTGCTAGGATTACAGGCGTGAGCCACCACGCCTGGCCGTGATCTACTTTTAATTTGGACTAGTGTAACTCCTTCATGCAATAAACTGAAAAGAGTCATTTTGTCTGTCAGGCCTCTGAGCCCAAGCTAAGCCATCATATCCCCTGTGACCTGCACGTATATATCCAGATGGCCTGAAGCAACTGAAGAATCACAAAAGAAGTGAAAATGGCCTGTTCCTGCCTTAACTGATGGCCTTACCTTGTGAAATTCCTTCTCCTGGCTCATCCTGGCTCAAAAGCTCCCCCACTGAGCACCTTGTGTCCCCCACCCCTGCCAGCCAGAGAACAACCCCCTTTGACTGTAATTTTCCACCACCTACCCAAATCCTATAAAACGGCCCCACCCCTATCTCCCTTCGCTGACTCTCTTTTCGGACTCAGCCTGCCTGCCCCCAGGTGATTAAAAAGCTTTATTGCTCACACAAAGCCTGTTTGGTAGTCTCTTTACAGCTCACACAAAGCCTGTTTGGTAGTCTCTTTACACGGACGCGCGTGAAATTGTCTATTCTTGAAGTACCTCATTTAAACAAAGGTCAAGGAGTAGGCACCTGGTAGTATCAAGCCTGAAACAAAGCAATAACGTGATGTTTCACCCAAGCCCAGAGTCCTAAGATCACAGACGACTAGGCTGTGTCTGGCAAGAAGCTCCTCAGCTCCCTCTCTGCAGTTCCCTGCCCTAAGCGAATGTCACCACCTGCTGAGAGCAACAGCAGCAGTACCACTAGAGGGAGCCTTTGGTGGTAAAAGAAAGATCCCCTGGTATCTCCAACCTAACCAAGAGGGCAGAGCTTAGAGAGGATACCTTCCCTTTGGTGAGGTGACAGGATATCTGGCTTGCCACAGATATCTTTTTTTTTTTTTTTTTTTTTTTGAGACGGAGTCTCGCTGTGTCCCCCAGGCTGGAGTGCAGTGGCGCGATCTCGGCTCACTACAAGCTCTGCCTCCCGGGTTCCCGCCATTATGCTGCCTCAGCCTCCCGAGTAGCTGGGACTACAGACGCCAGCCACCACGCCCGGCTAATTTTTTTGTATTTTTAGTAGAGACGGGGGTTTCACCGTGTTAGCCAAGATGGTCTCGATCTCCTCACCTCGTTATCCGCCCGCCTCGGCCTCCCAAAGTGCTGGGATTACAGGCGTGAGCCACCGCGCCCGGCCCACAAAGATCTTTTTGACCAGACATATGCTAGCTAAGGGATGTCCAAACACCAGAATGTGAAGCCAACCTTCCATCAGACTTAAACTTTTGACAGGAGAACAAATCTCAAACTGATGAATCAGTCATGTAGCTAGCTAGCTATAGAGCTTTCAACTTAAATTAGCAGCAGCTGCCCAATGCCATGTGAAGTAACAAACTGGTTTTTGGGTTTTTTTCCCTTTGGTTTTAATGTTATGTGTAATATATACATATATATATATATATATATATATATATTTTTTTTTTTTTTTTTTTTTTTTTTTTGGTTGAGACGGAGTCTTGCTCAGTCGCCCAGGCTGGAATGCAGTGGCGCGATCTCGGCTCACTGCAAGCTACGCCTCCCGGGTTCACGCCATTCTCCTGCCTCAGCCTCCCGAGTAGCTGGGACTACAGGCGCCCACCACCACACCCAGCTAATTTTTTTTGTATTTTTAGTAGAGACGGGGGTTTCACCATGTTAGCCAGGATGGTCTCGATCTCCTGACCTTGTGATCCAAAAAGTACTGTGCAGTTTTAAAATCAGAATGGTGATAAATATATAAATTAATTTGGGAATAATTACTACTTTTGCAAAATTCAATCCTTTGCTGTCCCTCTAGATTAATTTTAGTCTCTTTTTTTTTTTTTTTTTTTTTTGAGACAGAGTCTTGCTCTGTCGCCCAGGCTGGAGTTGGAGTGCAGTGGCGTGATCTCGGCTCACTGCAAGCTATGCCTCCCGGGTTCACGCCATTCTCCTGGCTCTCAGCCTCCCGAGTAGCTGGGACTACAGGCGCCCGCCATCATGTCTGGCTAATTTTTTTTTCTTTTTTTTTTTTTTTGTATTTTTTAGTAGAGACGGGGTTTCACCGTGTTAGCCAGGATGGTCTCGATCTCCTGACCTCATGATCCGCCCGCCTCGGCCTCCCAAAGTGCTGGGATTACAGGCGAGAGCCACCGCGCCCGGCCTAGTCTCCTTTATATAGGTGTTACACAATTTCTTCATTAATATCGTATTTATGAGTCACCTATAATGTGCAAGGCACTGTTTGTTCTTGTATGCTGGACATACAAGAATATGTCCCTGTTTTCATGAAGTTTACAATCTAGCTGGGGAGGGAGACAACATTTTTAAAAACAAGTAGCCGAGTGCGGTAGCTCACGCCTATAATCCTTGCACTTTGGGAGGCTGAGGCGGACGGATCATGAGGCTAGGAGTTTGAGACCAGCCTGACCAACATGGTGAAACCCCCTCTCTACTAAAAATACAAAAATTAGCCAGGCGTGGTGGTGCATGCCTGTAGTCCCAGCTACTCAGGAGGCTGAGGCGGGAGAATCGCTTGAACCCAGGAGGCAGAGGTTGCAGTGAGCCAAGATCGCACCACTGCACTCCAGCCTGAGCGACAGAATGAGAATCTGTCTCAAAATAAAACAAAATAAAATAAAATAAAATATGACAATTGGTGACAAGTGTTATAAGGAAAATAAACCTGGGTAAGAGCATAAAGAATAAAAGGAAAGGAATGCTATTTTACATAGGCTGATCAGGGAAGGCCTTTCTGATAGGTAACACTTCAGCAAAAACTTAAAGGAGGTGAATGAATCAGCCATGAGGATATCAAGGTAAAGAGCATTGCAGGCAGTAAGTACAAAGTCCTGAGGCTCAAGCATAACTGGCTTGTTTGAGGAACAGCAGGAAGCTAGTGTGACTGAAGTACAGGTGATAAGATCTGAGTGGTAACCAGGGATCAGGTTATATAAGTCCCTGTAGGTCATGGGAACGATTTTGGATTTTATTCTGAGTGGGTTTAAAAGACACTGGGAGGTTTTAAACTAAGAAGTGACATGTCTGATTTATTCTTTTAAAGGATCAGTCACTTTTATGAGGAGAATAGAATGGCAAAGGTGGAAGCTGGGAACTCAGTTAAATCCAGGAGATAGATGATGGTAGCTTGGGCCAGGGTGGTGGTGAGGGTAATTTGTGCTCAGAACAGAAAGAAGTGAGCCAGGGCCTCTTCCCTCCAGAGGCATTTACCAAGCAAAAGGTGTTCCTTAAGTGAGAGGGACACATGAGACAATGAGTTAGTGACCTGCAGCCACCAGGAAAGTAGACCCTGGACTCTGGATATCTCTCTCTCTGTGTGTGTGTGTCTCTGTCTCTGTCTCTCTCTCTCTCTCTCTCACACACACACACACACACACACACACTCTCTCTCTCTCTCTCTCTCTCTCTCTCTCAACTAGGATTCTGTTGTAGTCTTTGCTCCAGGGGTCATTTGCCCAGCCCAGGAAACAACTGATAGGCAAGCAGTGCTTTGGGGTGGACACTGGGAACTGAAGAAAGCAGCTGAAGCTGTCCACCAGCCAAAGGGGACTCCTAGTGCAAATTACACTCTTGTGCAGAGAGAACTCAAAGGACTACACTCTGGAATATGGAAACAAAAAATTCCTCAAGCTTTGTTTCCAGACCACTAATGCTTTCAGGTGAGTCATGACTAAGGCAAGCTTAGAGAGAGGCCAGAAACCCAGAGAGGTTAGCATAGCATGCAGGGATAGCTTTTAACCTTAAGGTGTTTGACCATTCCAAAGAGGTATGTGAGAAGCTGAGCTGCTCATTTGTTGGTTTATGGGGCTGGGGGACAAAAGGTGGAATCTAAGGTGTACTGTTCCCTGCTTTGGGTTTGGAAACTAGATAGCTACACCCTAGTAGTAAGGACGAACCAGAAGTAAATTAGCCTTCATGACCTCTATAGATCAGATTTATCATTTGAATGGCCCACAAAATACCAAGATTTAAACTTGGAATAAGGTAATCCCGTACTCTTCCCATACTATTAGTGCCCCAGGCACTTGGTAAGGAACAAAAAAATCCTTTCTGGGAAAAGATAATATTATTCCAAGTCTCAAATTATTTCTATAAATAATTCTTCAGGACCGGGCACAGCGGCTCACACCTGTAATCCCAGCACTTTGGAAGGCCAAGGCGGGTGGGTCACCGGAGGTAAGGAGTTCGATACCAGCCGGGCCAACATGGTGAAACCCCATCTCTACTAAAAATACAAAAATTAGCTGGGTATGTTGGCAGGCACCTGTAATCCCAGCTATTCGGGAAGCTGAGGCAGGAGAATTGCTTGAACCCAGGAGATGCAGTTGCAGTGAGTCAAGATCGCGCCACTGCACTCCAGCCTGGGCGACAAAAGCAAGACTCCATCTCAATAATAATAATAACAATAATTCTTCAAATAGGATATCCAACACATAACTAAGGATAATCAGGGGCCAGATGTGGTGGCTTACGCCTGTAATCCCAACACTTTGGGAGGCTGAGGTGGGCAGATCACGAGGTCAGGAGTTCGAGACCAGCCTGGCCATCATGGTGAAACCCCCGTCTCTACTAAAAATACAAAATTTAGCTGGGCGTGGTGGTGGGTACCAGTAATCCCAGCTACTTGAAAGGCTGAGGCAGGAGAATCATTTGAACTCGGGAGGCGGAGGTTGCAGTAAGCTGAGATCGTGCCATTGCACTCCAGCTTGGACAACAGGACGAGACTCCGTCTCAAAAAATAAATAAATAAATAAATAAATAAATAAATAAATAAATAACCAGAGCCAGGCACAGTGGCTCGTGCCTGTAATCCCAGCACTTTCAGGAGGCCGGGGAGGTGGCTCACTTGAGGTCAGGAGTTCAAGACCAGCACACCTGCAGTCCCAGCTACTCAGGAGGCTGAGGCATGAAAATTGCTTGAGCCTAGGAGGCAGAGGTTGCAGTGAGCCGAGATTGAGCCACTGCGCTCCATCGTGGGCAACAGAGTGAGACTCTCTCAAAAGAAAAAAGAAAAAAGATAACGAGACACACAGTGAGAGACAACAAAGATTGAGCAAGAAGCATCAGAAACAACAGACAATACAAATACATCTGCCATCCACTATGACTCTAGATACTGTTAAAACCCCTATTTAAATACTCCTTAAGGAATTAGAAACTGTAAGGTGATACTACAGATTTGAAAACAAACAAACCAACTGGCTGGGCGCATTGGCTCACGCCTGTAATCCCAGCACTTTGGGAGGCGAAGGCAGCAGGTGGATCACCTGAGGTCAGGAGTTCGAGACCAGCCTGGCCAACATGGTGAAACCCCATCTCTACTAAAAATACAAAAATTAGCCAGGTATGGTGGCACATGCCTGTGGTCCCACCTACTTGGGAGGTTGAGGTGGGAGGAGGATCACTTGAGCCCAGGAGGTTGAGGCTACAATGAGCCATGTTTGTACCACTGCACTCCAGGCTGGGCAACAGGGCAAGACCCTGTCTCAAAAAAGAAAAAGAAAAACTGTCAGTAGTAATAAAGTAGAATTTATTTAATCTTATAAAATAGCAAAATGGAATTTCCTTAATCTTAAAAGAAACCTAAAGCAAGCATCAAACTTAAAGAATAAATATTAAAAGCTTTCCCCTATTAATGAGGAATGAGACAATGATATCCATTATCACTATTTCTATTCAATATTTTACTAGGCACAAAACAGCAATAAAAAATAAAAAAATTAAAGGTAAAAATATTAAAGATTAGGGCTGGGCGCAGTGGCTCATGCTTGTAATCCCAGCACTTTGGGAGGCAGAGGCGGATGGATCCCTTGAGGTCAGGAGTTCGAAACCAGCATGACCAACATGGCGAAATTCCTCTACTAAATACAAAAAATTAGCCAGGCTTGATGGCGGGCGCCTGTAATCCCAGCTACTTGGGAGGCTAAAACAGGAGAATCCCTTGAACCCGGGAGGCAGGAGTTGCAGTGAGCTGAGATTGTGCCATTGCACTACAGCCTGGGCAACAAGCGCAAAACCTCGTCTCAAAAAAAAAAAAAAAAAAGAAAAAAAGAAAAAGAAAAAAGAAAAAGTACAGTAAATTATTATAATTAATTAGAGAGTTTAGCAAATTGCTGGATACAAAATTAGCATTCAAAAATAAATTATAGAAGTATTATAGAAGTAAATATTTGTGATCCTGGGATAGGAAATAGTTTCTTAGATAGAGCATCAAAAACACAAATGACAAAAGAAAAAAATAGATAAATAGGGCTTCATAAAAATTTAAAATTTTTGTACACCATAAGTCACCATCAAGAAAGTAAAAAGACAACCTACAGAATGGGAGAAAATATTTGCAAACCATATATCTGACAAGGGACTTTTATCTAGAATGTATAACCTTAACATTCAATAATCTTTAAAAAAAAAAAAGCCCAATTTGTTTTTTTGTTTTTTTTTTTGTTTGTTTTTTGTTTTTTGTTTTTTTTTGAGACGGAGGCTCACTCTGTCACCCAGGCTGGAGTGCAGTGGTGCGATCTCAGCTCACTGCAAGCTCCGCCTCCCAGGTTCACGCCATTCTCCTGCCTCAGCCTCCCGAGTAGCTGGGACTACAGGCGCCTGCCACCACGCCCAGCTAATTTTTTGTATTTTTAGTAGAGATGGGGTTTCACCGTGTTAGCCAGGATGGTCTCGATCTCCTGACCTCTTGATCTGCCCACCTTGGCCTCCCAAAGTGCTGGGATTACAGGTGAGAGCCACCACGCCCAGCCAAAAAAAAAAGCCCAATTTTCAAAAAGGGGCAAAGGGGCCGGGCACGGTGGCTCACGCCTGTAATCTCAGCACTTTGGGAGGCCAAGGCAGGGGGATCAGGAGGTCAGGAGTTCGAGACCAGCCTGGCCAAAGCGACCAGCCTGGCCAACATGGTGAAACCCTGTCTCTACTAAAAATACAAAAATTAGCCGGGCATGGTGGCAGTACCTGTAATCCCAGCTACTCGGGAGGCTGAGGCAGGAGAATTGCTTGAACCCAGGAGGCAGAGGTTGCAGTAAGCTGAGATTGCCCCATTGCACTCCAGCCTGGGCAACAGAGTGAGACTCCTACTCAAAAAAAAAAAAAAAAAAAAGTTGGCGGATGCGGGGACAGCAAAGGGCTTAAGTAGACATTTCTTCAAAGAAGATATACAAATGGCTGATAAAGACATTTAAAGATATTCAGGGCCAGACGTGGTGGCCCACATCTATAATCCCAGCACTTTGGGCTGCCAACGTGGGAGGATATCTTGAGCCCAGGAGTTCACGACCAGCCTGGGCAACATAGTGAGACTATCTCTACATAAAAACAAAAAATAAGGCTGGGCATGGTTGCTCACACCTGTAATCCCAGCAATTTGGGAGGCCGAGGCAGGCAGATCACCTGAGGTCAGGAGTTTGAGACCAGCCTGGCCAACGTGGCAAAACGCTGTCTCTACTAAAAACTACAAAAATTAGCCTGGCATGGTGGCGGGCGCCTGTAATCCCAGCTACTTGGGAGGCTGAGACAGGAGAATCGCTTGAACTTGGGAGGCCGAGGTTGCAGTGAGCCGAGATTGAGCCATTGCACTCCAGCCTGGGTGACAGAGCAAAACTCCATCTCAAAAATAAATGACTAAATAAAATAAAGATGTTCAACATCACTAATCACTAAGGAAATGCAAACCAAAACCACGAGATACCATTTTACATGCAGAAGAATGGCTATAATTTTAGAAAGATAGAGTTTCACAAGTCTAGACGCTGAGCCGCAGCACATTTGCAACGTCACGTGGAAGCTGAAACTGCACCTCCCACGTGGCCCCTCTAGCCAGCTGAGAACCTCAGATAAGAACTACACCCAGGCCAGCACCAGCAGCTCAGCCACTAGCAGCAGCCCCACCCTCTGCAGCTGGCTCTCCTGCTGCTGCACTCCGCGGCAGCCAGGTCTGATGGCCCGGGCGGCAATCACTGCAGCTGGCATGGCTGTGGACTCTGCTGTGGGGCACATACTGGGTCATGCCATCAGTGGGAGCTTCAGTGGAGTAAATAATGCTGAGCCCCCAAGTGGTGACATCACTTACCAGAAGCCTCAGGGAACCCACCCGGCACAGCAGCAGTAGGCTTTCTTGTATGAGATAAAATGGTTTTTGGAATGTGCCCAGAATCAGGGAGACATAAAGTTCTGTGAGGGTTTCCATGAGGTGGTGAAACAGTGCAGACTTGCAAATGGATTTATCTAATCAAGAAGTTCAAATTGAAGAAATGGAAAATCAGCTCTCACAACTAAGTTAATTTAGCATAAAAACATAATTGATAGCCGGGCGTGGTGGCTCACGCCTGTAATCCCAGCACTTTGGGAGGCCGAGGCAGGCGGATCACCTGAGGTGGGGAGTGCGAGACC
Organism: Homo sapiens; assembly: GCF_000001405.40. Classification (NCBI taxonomy): domain Eukaryota; kingdom Metazoa; phylum Chordata; class Mammalia; order Primates; family Hominidae; genus Homo; species Homo sapiens. Next base: position 123,785,622 of record NC_000023.11, read on the forward strand.
AGCCTAACCAACATGGAGAAACTCCGTCTCTACTAAAAAAAAAAAAAATACGAAAAATGAGCCGGGCGTGCTGGCGCATGCCTGTAATCCCAGCTACTCGGGAGGCTGAGGTAAGAGAATCACTTGAACCCAGGAGCTGCAGGTTGTGGTGAACCGAGATCATGCTATTGCACTCCAGCCTGGGCAACAAGAGCAAAATCTGTCTCAAAAAAAAAAAGTATATATATAATATATATTTAATAGTGAAGGTATAAAGTGTAAAACCGTCAGTGAAACCAATCCTCTGTCATTCATTACTTTCTTGCTTCAGAATTGCAATAGAAGAGGGTGTTCTTATTTGGTAGAATTTCATTAAGATAGTATAGAATTTGGGGCGTGTCAAATGTTTGTGTGGCCTCCTTAAACCAGCTGTTGTAATTTTTTTGTTTTGTTTTGTTTGTGAGTTAATTAGAATAAAGTGATTTTCTTTGCCCAAAAAAGACAATAACAAGTGTTGCTGAGAATGTGGAGAAATGGGAAACTTTACATATTGTTGATGAGAATGTGAAATAATCCAGCTACTTTGGAAAAAATGGAAACAATCTACATGTCCATCAACTAATGAATGAATAAACAAAATGTGATATATTTATACCAAATATTCCACTTATTCCATTAAATGGAATATTATTTGGCCATATAAAAGAATGAAGTACTGATACATGCTACAACATGGATGAATCTCAAAGAAATTATGCTAAGTGAAAGAATCAGTCACAAAAGACCACATATTATATAGTTCCATTTATTTGAAATATGAGGCAGAAATTGTGAGAGAAGAGTCTTCTCTTCTCTCATGATAATACCACATAGGGTTCACACTCTGAAGAAAGTCCCACCCTAATTAAAACTAAGAACGAGTTTGAGACCTGATGGATCAGAGCACTAAGAATCAAAAGGAAGGGCGTTATTTGTTTTTTGTTTTTGTTTTGAGACAGAGTTTCACTCTTGTTGCCCAGGCTGGAGTGCAATGGCTCGATCTCAACTCACTGCAACCTCTGCTTCCTGGGTTCAAGCCATTCTCCTGTCTCAGCCTCCCGAGTAGCTGGGATTATAGGCATGTGCCACCACGCCCGGCTAATTTTGTATTTTTAGTAGAGAACAGGTTTCACCATGTTGGCCAGGCTGGTCTTGAACTCCTGACCTCAGAAGATCCACCCACCTCGGCCTCCTAAAGTGTTGGGATGACGGGCGTGATCCATTGCACCTGGCCGGAAAGGTGTTATTTGAAAGATGTGTTGGCCGGGTGTAGTGGCTCACGCCTGAAATCCCAGCACTTTGTGAGGCTGAGGCAGGTGGATCACCTGAGGTCAAGAGTTCAAGACCTGCCTGGACAACATGGTGAAATCCCGTCTGTACTAAAAATACAAAAATTAACTGAGCCTGGTGGTGCACGCCTGTAGTCCCAGCTGCTCAGGAGGCTGAGGCAGGAGAATCACTTGAATCTGGGAGGCAGAGTTTGCAGTGAGCCATAATCGTGCCACTGCACTCCAGCCTGGGCAACAGAGAAAGACTCCATCTCAAAAAGAAAGAAAGAAAGATGCGTAAAAAAAAAAAAAGGAAGAAGCCTAAAAATTGCACAGTACAAGAGACAGTAGTCTTGTGAAGGCAAGACATGAAGAAGTAGCCATTGGAGGAATAGCATTCAGAAGATCAAATGATCCTTCCCTCCAAAAGTATAATTTATTAGAGACACTATACTTTATTGTATCAACAGAAGAGGGTGCTCTTGAGCCAATAAACCAAATAAGGTATCTGAATCCTTTTCTTCATATAGAATCAATCAAAACATTATCACCGAATCAGGAAAATCCAGGATACTTTACAATAATCAGAAAATGATTATCTTCACAGAATTACTATAAGGGGGTAAAAAAGCAAGAACCAGAACTTTTCAGCTGATGAAAATAAATATCCTCCAAAAAAAAGACAAGAATAGTAAAGCAGAGAAAAACATAAATATAATTAAACAAGCAATTGCAGATATGAAAGACTACTGCGAATCAAAAATTTAAGGCTGGGCACAGTGGCTCACACCTATAATCCTAGCACTTTGGGATGCTGAGGCGGGTGGATCGTTTGAGCCCAGGAGTTCTAGACCAGCCTGGCCAACATGGTAAAACCCCATCTCTACTAAAAGTACAAAAATTAGCCGGGTGTGGTGGCGTGCACCTGTAATCCCAGCTACTCGGGAGGCTGAGGCAGGAGAATTGCTTGAGCCTGGGAAGTGGAGGCTGTAGTGAGCCAAGATTGTGCCACTGCACTCCAGCCTGGGTGAGAGAGCTAGACTCTGTCTCAAAACACACACACACACACACACACACACACACAATAGAAACAAACAACAGGAACATGTGGCATGCTGACTGAACTCAGGAAAGAAATTGCAGAAAAAGACGAAATCATCTCAGAAGAGAAAACTAAATTACAAGGTGCCCAAGGGAGAATTGGTGTCATTGAAAAATGCCATAAAAGGAAAGAAAGAATGTGAATAAAAAAGAACCAAGACAACCAAAACAAATTAAAGGGGCAAAGAGTAAACTGACAGTCTCGCTCGGTCTCCAGGCCGGAGTGCAGTGGCGTGATCTCGGCTCACTGAAACCTCCACCTCCCAGGTTCAAGCAATTATCCTGCCTCAGCCTCCCGAGAAGCTAGGATTACAGGCGAGAGCCACCACGCCCACTCAATTTTTGTGTTTTTAGTAGAGTTGGGATTACAGGCGTGAGTCACCGAGCCTGGCCTGAAAGCTCTTAAGAAAAAAAAAAAAAAAAAAACAGCCGGGCACGGTGGCTCACGTCTGTAATCCCAGCATTTTGGGAGGCCAAGGTGGGCAGATCACCTGAGGTCAAGAGTTCAAGATCAGCCTGACCAACATGGAGAAACCCCATCTCTACTAAAAAAAAAAAATACAAAATTAGCCGGGCGTGGTGGCGCATACCTGTAATCCCAGCTACCCGGGAGGCTGAAGCAGGAGAATTGCTTGAACCCAGCGGATGGAGGTTTCAGTGAGCTGAGATCGTGCCACTGCACTCTGGCCTGGGCAATAGAGTGAGACTCTGTCTCAAAAAAACAAAAACAAAACAAACAATGGAACAGAACTGTTATAATATTTAAAATTATAACTTAAACAAAACTTTCTAGAAATAAAGCAACATCCACTTCTACATATTTAAAGATCCTGCTGTGTACTTGAGGATACTGACAATCAACTCTGAGACATAGCTCAGTAAAACAGACAATAGTGATTAGAAAAAAAATCCTTTGACTCTATAGGCAAAATAAACAAATAAAACACTCAAGTGACCTACAGGAAAAGAAAATCAGTTGGCATCAAACTACTTGACAGAATTATAGAAAGTAAGATAACAGTGAAGAAACCTCTTGAAGAAACTCAAGCTTTTAAAAAGTCTGAGTTTCAGAAGACTCAGACATATCAGAGAAAAAAAAGAAAAAAAGTGTGAGCCAAAGATTCCATCTTTAAACTTTCAAGAACTCAAGTAATTTTGTATTCAAGGACTCTTTCTGAGGATTCTACTAGGGGTCAAGTTTCATACAACTAAAAGATGATTGCAAAATTTTAGCCAAAAAAACAGATCTTAAGGATTGAACATGTTCAATTATATAAATCTAAGACTAAAACAAATGTAAGAATAAGTGCTGACGAATGCTCTCTGGCAAAGTAGAAATACAATTAAAAATGGGAGCAAAGAAGAAATGTAGAAGAATAAGCTCAATGATTACGCACAGGTAAAAGGTGAAAGTTAAAGCATGTCGTTTAAACAAGCAAACCAGCCTGGCACAGCGGATCACGCCTGTAATTCCAGCACTTTGGGAATCCGAGGCCAGAGGATCACTTAAGCCTGAGTCCAGGTGTTCAAGACCAGCCTGGGCAATGTAGCAAGACCTCTATCTCTTAAAAAAAAAATTAATAAAAAAAAATAAACTAGGAAACCAAATAGTAAAAACCTAGGTAAGAAAAATGAGGGCTGGCTGGGCGCAGTGGCTCACGCCTGTAATCCCAGCACTTTGGGAGGCTGAGGCGGGCGGATCACCTGCGGTCAGGAGTTCGAGACCAGCCTGGCCAACATGATGAAACCCTGTCTCTACTAAAAATACAAAAAAATTAGCCAGGCATGGTGGCAGGTGCCTGTAATCCCAGCTACTCGGGAGGCTGAGGCAGGAGAATGGCTTGAATCCTAGAGGCGGAGGTTGCAATGAGTCGAGATCGAGCCATTGCACTCCAGCCTGGGTGATAAGAGTGAAACTCTGTCAAGAAAGAAAGAAACAAAAAAGAAAGAAAGAAAAGAAAAAGAAAGAAAGAAAGAAGGAAAGAAAGGAAGGAAGGAAGGAAGGAAGGAAAGAAAAAGAAAGAAAGAAAGAAGGAAAGAAAGGAAGGAAGGAAGGAAGGAAAGAAAGAAAGAAAGAAAGAAAGAAAGAAAGAAAGAAAGAAAGAAAGAAAAAGAAAGAAAGAAAGAAAGAAAAAAGAAAGAAAGAGAAAGAAAGAAGAAAAATGAGGGCTAAGAGCTGAGACCCTTAGCTATGCTAGTATCGACCACCTCATCTATCCTAGTGATGGCATCATGTAAGCCTGTTCATGCTCTGACCCTTGTGGTTTCCCTTTTTTTTTTGAGACGGAGTTTCACTCTGTCATCCAGGCTGGAGTGCAGTGACGCGATCTCGGCTCACTGCAACCTCTACCTCCTGGGTTCAAGCCATTCTCCTGCCTCAGCCTCCTGAATAGCTGAGACTACAGGCATGTGCCACCACACCCTGCTACCCGGCCAATTTTTTTTTTTCCCATCACCACGTCCAGCTAATTTTTGCATTTTTAGTAGAGACTGGGTTTCACCACATTGGCCAGGCTGGTCTCGAACTCCTGATCTCAGGTGATCTGCCTGCGTGGGCATCCCAAAGTGCTGGGATTACAGGTGTGAGTCACCGCACCTGGCCAAGATTTTTGTTTAAATTCTAAATAGTAACCGTTTGCTTTAGGGCTTACTCAGTTGCTTTTTGCTACTCAAGCCATGGAAGAGCAGACAGGAGGCTGTTCAGAAAAAAATGTATACTAAAGGATGACGTTGGCTTTTTGTTTAAAGTCTGTTTTTTCTCATGTTAACACAATATCCATCTGGGCCTGTTTTACTAAGGTTTTTAAAAACTATTATCATAAATAAACATTGAACTTATCAGATGCCTTTTTTGGCATATATCAAGAGGATCATGTAGTTTTCTACCTTTCATCTATTAATATAATACTATACAATTAATATAGTTCATTATACTGAACCATCTCTTACATTTCTGGAATGAATTCCACTTGGCCATGGTTAATGCACAACTTTTGTTATTGTTGTTAAATATCATATCAGGGTTTTTGCAGATATATATATATAGACATATAGATATATATATGTTGTTTGAGACGGAGTCTCACTCTGTTGCCCAGGCTGGAGTGCAGTGGCGCAATCTCGGCTCACTGCAACCTCTGCCTTCCGAGTTAAAGCGATTCTCGTGCCTCAGCCTCTCGAGTAGCTAGGATTACAGGTGTCCACCACCACACCCAGCTAATTTTTGTATTTTTAGTAGAGACAGGGTTTCACCATGTTGGTCAGGCTGGTCTCAAACTCCTGACCTCAGGTCATCCGCCCACCTCAGCCTCCCAAAGTGCTGGGATTACAGGCATGAGCCACCACACCCGGCATTTTGCAGCAATATTTTTGAGTTATTTCATCAAACTTATTTTGAGCAACCCCATTTTCTTGACTGATGTTTTTCCCTTCCAAACCATCACTATCAGGATACAGAGCCCAGAGACATAGCACAGTCCATCATCCCATGCATGGTCCCTGCTCAGTTCAGGATTCCTTCACATACCATGTCTTGGCCCAACACAAAGGAGCCCTCATACAGTTCATAGTCCTTAACAATAGGAGCCAGCAAGGTGGGAAATGACCCTCTGTCTAGTTGAGGATCCTCATACAGATATATGCTCCCCAAATTACTAAGCAGACAATCCTCTGAGCAGACACTAGCAAATCAGCCAAGGTCCAGACCTCTAAACAGTTCAATAGGAGATGAACCCCACTCAGCATCTATATCAGGAATTGCAAAGTGGTATCCTTGAGTGGATTCTTTTTTTTTTTTTGAGATGGAGTCTCACTCTGTCGCCCAGGCTGGAGTGCAGTGGCATGATCTCGGCTCACTGCAAGCTCCGCCTCCAGGTTCACGCCCTTCTCCTGCCTCAGCCTCCCGAGTAGCTGGGACAACAGGCACCCGCCACCACGCCCGGCTAATTTTTTGTATTTTTAGTAGAGACAGGGTTTCACCGTGTTAGCCAGGATGGTCTTGATCTCCTCACCTCGTGATCCACCCGCCTCAGCCTCCCAAAGTGCTGGGATTACAGGCGTGAGCCACCGCACCCCGCCTTGAGTGGATTCTTGATCCACATTGCACACTTTTCTCCATACACAGTGCTTCTTTTTTCTTAATAATTTTTTTGTACAGACAGGGTCTCGCTATGTTGCCCAGGCTGGTCTTGAACTCCCAGGCTCAAGTGATCCTTCTGCCTCAACCTCCCAAAGTGCTGGGATTACCAGAGTATGCCACCACACACAGTCCCTTTTTGAATTGAACCAAGACTTAAAAATCAGAATATTTATGGCAGGGCACAGTGGCCCATGTCACCAGTGCTTTGGGAGGCAGAAGTGGGAGGTTTGCTTGAGCCCAAGGGTTCAAGGCCACCCTGGGAAATATAGCGAGACCGCGTTTCTACAAAAAATTTAAACATTAACTAGGTGTGGTGGTGTGCACCTTTAGTCCCAGCTTCTAGAGAGGCTGAGGTGGGAAGATCACTTGAGCCCAGGAATCAGAGGCTGCAGTGGGCTGTGATCACACCACTGCACTCCAGCCTAGGAGACAGTGACACCTTGTCTTTAAAAAAAAAAAAAAAAAGAGGCCGAGTGTGTTGGCTTACACCTGTAATCCCAGCACTCTGGGAGGCCAAGGTGGGCAGATCACTTGAAGTCAGGAGTTCAAGGCCAGCCTGGCCAACATGGTGAAACCCTGCCTCTATCATATCTACTAAATGTAGTATTAATAATAATAATATATACTTTTTTTTGTTTTTTGTTTTTTGTTTTTTGTTTTTTGTTTTTTGTGAGACGGAGTCTTGCTCTGTTGCCCAGGCTGGAGTGCAGTGGCGCGATCTCGGCTCACTGCAACCTCCACTTCCTGGGTTCAAGCGATTCTTCTGCCTCAGCCTCCTGAGTAGCTAGGATTACAAGCATGCACCACCACGCCCAGCTAATTTTGTATTTTTAGTAGAGAAGGGTTTCTTCATGTTGGTCAGGCTTGTCTTGAACTACCGACCTCAGGTGACCCACCTGCCTCAGCCTCCCAAAGTGCTGGGATTATAGGCGTGAGCCAACACATCCAGCATATACTGTTTATTTTTCTCTCATATCACAGGTTGTTTTCTGAACCCGTTTCCATGAGGGGTGAGTGTTTCAGGAAAAATGGAGGAGTGCTAATTTCTTTGTGAAAGTAATTAATATTCCTCTGCAATTAAATGTGTAGATACTCAGCCTACAGTATTTGTTCATTTACCTGCTGGCATCTGAGCTAGTAATCCTGCTGCTCAGCAACAACCAGACAGTCCCCTCCAAGAATATGGCCGTGCAGCTCCCTCTCCAGATATAGGTCTAATCCTCTACCTATATTCAGTCAAAATGAAGACAGCATCCCCACAGATAGTGGTTATATAGATATCCCCAATTCATTACTCAGTAGGCTTTGAAACAGGATCTTCGTAGACCATGATACATAAACATGCCACTATTTGGCAAATCAGAAGATAATACTTAAAAACCAAAAACCTATATTCATCATACCCTTTCACTACACATGATACAGTCTGACTAGACAGATCATTTTTAGAGTGTTGAGACAGACCCTTCACAGTTCATTATATACAAACCTAGAATTATATCTTGCCATGATTTTCTAAACTATGGCATGGATATAGGAACTGGTTATATTGATAGCTGTTTCACACTAAGCTGAGTGTTGGTATGAGAATGGGCTGTAGTCTGAATCCATAAACTTACCTTTAGGTAGGTGATATAGTTTGGATCTGTGCCCCCACCCAAATCTCATGTTGAAAAGTAATCCCCAATGCTGGAGGTGGGGTCTGGTGGGAGGTGATTGGATCATGGGGATGGTTTCTAATGGTTTAGCACCATCGCCCTTTAGCTGTCCTCGTGATAGAGTTGTCTTGAGATCTGGTTGTTTAAAAGTGTGTAGCTCCTACCCCATCTCTTTCTTCCTCCTGCTCCAGTCATGTAAGACGTGCCTGCTCCTGCTTTGCCATCCAACATGATTATAAGTTTCCTGAGGCCTCTACAGAGGCAGAAGCTGCTGTGCTTCCTATACAGCCTTCAGAACCATGAACCAATTAAACTTCGTTTCTGTGTAAATTACCCTGTGTCCAGTATTTTTATAGCAATGGAAGAATGCGGGCATCGCCTATGGGATTAGTTTTGAACGTAGAATGTCTTGTATGGTGAGAGTTGATGTATCAGTCAAGTTAGGCTAGATTACACCAAGGTTGAAAAATCTCAGTGGTGGCCAGGCATGGTGGCTCACTGTAATCGCAGCACTTTGGGAGGCTGAGGCCAGAGGATCGATTGAACCCAGGAGTTCGAGACCAGCCTGGGCAACATGGCAAAACCCTTTCTCTACAAAAAATATAAAAACTAGCTGGGCATGTTGGTGCACACCTGTAGTTCCAGCTACTTGGGAGGCTGAGGTGGGAGGTCAACGCTGCAGTGAGCCAAGATCATGCCACTGCACTGCAGCCTGGGTGACAGAGCAAGACTGTGTCTCAAAAAAAAAAAAAAAAAACTTAATGGCTTAAAACTACAAAGGTTTATTTTTTGTTCTTGTTGCATATCCAATGCAGTTCAGCAGAGAGGCTCTGTTCATCAGAGCCATTTAGCAAACTTTGATTAGACAAACGGCCACATAACATGAAACAGGCCGGGCGCGGTGGCTCAAGCCTGTAATCCCAGCACTTTGGGAGGCTGAGGTAGGAGGATCACTTGAGGTCAGGTGTTTGAGACCAGCCTGGCCGACACGGTGAAACCCCGTCTCTACTAAAAATACATAAATTAGCTAATTATGGTGGCCTGCACCTGTAATCCTAGCTACTCGGGAGGCTGAGGCAGGAGAATTGCTTGAATCTGAGAGACAGTGCTTGCAATGAGCCGAGATCGCGCCACTACACTGCAGCCTGGGTGACAGAGCAAGACGCTGTCTCAACCACCACCACCACCAACAACGACGAAAACCATGAAACAGTTTCTCTCAGCCCAGGACTACAAGTAAGCCCAAATCTTACAGGACACTTCTTCTGTCTAGATTAAGGTGTATATCCATATAACTCTTTAGCAAAGGGTAGTCCCTACTCATAATAGGCCCAAACTACATAAGCCTTACTCATGAGCCAGCACTGGACTAGAAAGTCTAAACCCGGCCGGGCGCAGTGGCTCACACCTATAATCCCAGCACTTTGGGAGGCCAAGGCGGGCAGATCACCTGAGGTCGGGAGTTTGAGACCAGCTTCCTCAACATGGTGAAACCCTGTCTCTACAAAAATACAAAAATTAGCCGGGCATGATGGCGGGTGCCTGTAATCTCAACTACTCGGGAGGCTGAAGTGGGAGAATCGCTTGAACCCAGGAGGTGGAGGTTGCAGTGAGCCAAGATCACACAACTGCATTCCAGCATGGGTGACAGAGCAAGTCTCCATCACAAATAATAATAATAATAATAATAATCATTGATCTGCATATACTTTTGGAATGTTTACATACACAGGCATATCTTATGCAAATAATAAAACTTCTGGCTTATCCTCTTAAAACCTTATATTATTTTTCTCATTACTACACTGCATAAGACCTCAGCTACAATATTGAAGAAAAATGATGACTGTAGTGAGCATCTTTGTCATGTTCATGATCTCAAAGGAAAAACCTTTTGTTTCATTAAGTATGATAATGGGTATAAGTCATTTGAATATCTTTATTAAATTAAGGACATTTCTTTATATCCCTATTTTGCCATTAGTTTTATCATAAGTGGGATATTGAATTGTGGAAAGTGTGTGTGTTTTTTTTTTTGCATCTTCTGAGATTACCATATGATTTTGTCTTTTAATATGTTAAGACGACCAATTAAAACAATTGATTCCTTAATAATAAACCATCCCGGCATTTCTGGGAATAACCCCAACTTATTCAGGATATATTATCCTTTCCATATATTACTGGACTTGGTTTGCTAAAATTTGGTTTAGGATTTTTGCACCTATAAGTGAGATTGACATGTCTTTTCCCTTTTTCAAACTATTCGTGGGTTCTGGTATCAAGATAATAGGAACCTCATAAAGTGAGTTGATGAATAGCCTATCTATTTCTAGTCTCTGGAGAAGATTGGAACTATTTCTTCTTCAATGGTTTAGTAGAACTCAACTGTAAAGACATATAGATATGGAGCTTTACTTTTATTTGAGTTTTCTACTTTTTCTGTATCAATTTTGATAAGTTGTGTTTCAAGGAACTTATCCATTTTATTTACATGTTAGTTTACGACATAAAGTTGGTGATATTATCCTCTTATTATCTAATTATCTCTTGGATCTTGAACCAATAAATTGCTCATTAGTAGCTATTTGATGATTCTAAACATCTTTTCATGTGCTTTGATCACTTTTTTTACTTATCTTTAGAAACTAAAGATAAGGTGGCCGGGCACAGTGGCTCACGCCTGTAATTCCAGCACTTTGGGAGGCCGAGGCCGGCGGATCATGAGGTCAGGAGATCGAGACCATCCTGGCTAACATGGTGAAACCCCGTCTCTACTAAAAATACAAAAAATTAGCTTGGTGTGGTGGCGGGCGCCTGTAGTCCCAGCTACTCAGGAGGCCGAGGCAGGAGAATCGCTTGAACCCTGGAGGCGGAGCTTGCAGTGAGCGGAGATCGTGCCACTGCACTCCAGCCTGGGTGACAGAGCAAGACTCCGTCTCAAAAAAAAAAAAAGAAAAGCCATTCTCCCACACCCATCCTCATACTCTGTCCTTAGGATGTATGCAATCTCTCCATTTAAACTCTCATTAGGGAGAGATTGCATACATGCATACATGCAATCTCTCCCTAATCCTTTCTCGAGTCCTACAAAATCAAGCATTCTAGCTTCCACTGGCTATCAATGGATTTCTCCCATGCCAGGAAGAAATGCATGTCCTAGCAATGAGGAGTGGGAGGAGTGACTTTTGTTCCATTAATAAAACTAGAAAGAGGCCTGGCTCATGCCTGTAGTCCCAGCACTTTGGGAGGCCGAGGCGGGTGGATCACGAGGTCAGGAGATTGAGACCATCCTGGCTAACACGGTGAAACCCCATCTCTACTAAAAATACAAAAAATTAGCCGGGCGTGGTGGCGGGCGCCTGTAGTCCCAGCTGCTCGGGAGGCTGAGGCAGGAGAATGGTGTCAACCCGGGAGGCAGAGCTTGCAGTGAACCAAGATGGTGCCATTGTACTCCAGCCTGGGCGACAGAGCCAGACTCCATCAAAAAAAAAAAACAAAAAAAAAACTAGAAAGAGACTCGGCCTGGTGGGTCACATCTGTAATCGCAGCACTTTGGGAGGCAGAAGTGGGAGGATCACTTGAGGCCAGAAGTTTGAGACAAAAAAAATTAAAAATAAAAACAAAATAAAAAAAGAAACTAGAAAGAGACACTGTGTGCTTCTACCATTTCAAAGCTGTTTTCCCCCCGAAAGTACCTAAAAATCAAAGTTACCTCTTCACTGCTTCACAGACAGCCCTTGGAGTGCAGCAGGCTTCAGCACACGGACGAGGGACCACTCTGGTGAGGCTTTATATCTACAAGCAGCTGTATCTATAACAGCAAACTCCTATTCACCTTCTGCCTATAATAGTTTCACACTCACACATACACATCACACAGTGAGCCAGGGGACAGACCCCAACACAGACCTAAGCTCATGCCCACAGAATGACTCAGACCACAAACAGACACCACATGACCTGGCTTAACCCTGTACCCACCCCATGGCTCTTCAAATAAGAGTGAACCATGGTATACATCAGAGCCAATACGGGTACCACCAGGAGATAGTCTCCCACTCAGGCTGGGTCTATGCCTCTATACATACCAAGCATATGATGGAAATGCCAGGCCTGAGCCCCCTGCCCCCACCCCCCACACACAAACACACACTTGCTGTAACATAGCAGCTACAATGATGGCCCTCACTAAGAATGAGGCCCATGCACAATCCACTCCCCAGCACACCCAAATGCAGCCCCTGTTCCACAGAGGAGACACTCATACACCAAGGATCAGCACAGAATGTGATAGCCTCTAGGCAAACTCACTATGCCATCATTCATCATACAAGAAATCCTCATTGGAGCAAGGCCGCTGTAAAGACCACTGCTCAGCACCAAAGGCTGCATTTCCAGCCCTCACCTACTGGACCTGATGGGGATGGGACATGTGGGCCCCACCTTCCTCCATGAAACACTCTCTTCCCTCAGATCCCTGGACTCTGCGCCTGCCTCTCCCACTCTCCAAGTTCCCCTCCCGCTGTCCCCTGCTCCCATGGACGCTGTTCGCTGGGCCCTTGAAGACCTCCCCCACTACTTCACACAACTCCCAGGTGACCTGTGAATCTCTGCTCAGGTGTCCTCTCCTCAAGAAGCCTTGGATGGTCCCACCCACAGCATCTGGACTTGCCTCTCTGTCACAGTGTGACCGGATGTTCCCAGGTGGCTATCTCTCTCTTTTGAGAGCTAAGGTCCTCATGGGCAGGAAACCACTGCCACTCTCCTCCACGTCTCCAGCACCGAGCATGGTGCCAGGCTGTGAGCCAAGGCTCCGTAAAACTGGGTGCCTCTCGAGCTGGAAGCCTGTGTGTCTGGAAGCTCAGGGAGCAGCTGTGACCTGCACGTGGGATTCCTGAGCTCCCATGAACAGGCAGGAGAGGAGACAAAGGCCTGCACGTTGCTGTGGAAAAAGCCCTTGCAGAAGGCAGGAGGGGCTGTCAAACCAGGCTTGCTCTGAAAATGTGGCAGCAAGGGCCGCCTCTAATAAACCCCATAAAGGCTCAGTAAATGTGTGTTGAATCAGCAGAGAGGCGTCGCTGCAGACTTAGCCATCATGAGAGGGATGAAGGGCCCTTGAGTTCCTCTGTTAGAGAGGATAATTTAGCAGGCAGAAGAGAGGGAGGCTGCATCAGCGGCTTGTAGGGAGAAGCACTTGGCGCAGCAGAATGGGCAGTGATGGCCCAACAATTCCAGGTCAAGCGATGGCTTCTGAACACGCAGGGGATCCAGGCCCCTCCTTGCACACCGAGGGGGAGCACTCTCTGCAGTAGCCGGTGACACACATTTCATCACAGGGAGGAGGAGTGGCTTCAGGGTGACCGACTGTCTTGGCTTTGCTGGTACGAGGGGATTTCCTGAGAAGCCAGACTTTCCAGTTTAAAATCAGGCCAGTCCCAGGCAAACTGGGACAGCTGGTCACCCTCTGTGGCATTGGAGGGCATGTCAGTCTCAAGCAGGGCCTCTTCCCTTCTGCTGTTTAGAGCGGAGGAAGTGAAGGGGGCCTGGGTCTGAGCTGTAGCTCAGTGGGACTATAGGCCTGCCTCCAGTTCTAATGGGGGGCTGCCTGGAGGTGGCATAGGTTGGGCCCTCTTTTTCTTTTTTTAATTTTTTTCTTTTTAATTAATTATTGAGACAGGGTCTCTCTCTGTCACCCAGGCTGGACTGCAGTGGCGCCATCATAGCTCATTATAGCCTCGATCTCCCAGGCTCAAGCCATTCTCCTCCTTCAGCCACCAACTCCCACAAGTAGCTGAGACTACAGGTGCATACCACCATGCCTGGCTATATATATATATTTTAATTTTAGTAGAGATGATGTCTCGTTATGTTGCCTTTGAGGTTGGTCTCAAACTTTTGAGCTCAAGCAATCCTCCTGCCTCAACCTCCCGAAGTGCTGACATTACCCGTGCCCAGAACGTTGGGCCCTGTTCTGGAGGGCTTGCCCTAAAGAGGTTTGGTCTCAGCTCTGCTATGGGCACATTGTCCTTGGCAGGTATACTCATAATGACCCAAGACTGAGCTAAGACCAGTCTGTCTTCATCTAAACTGGGCTCTGTGTATGGCCAAAGTCTGTCTTGGGGAATCCCTAATCTTGTAATGGTTATGCACTCTGGACTGGTTTAGGGATGAGTGTGTGCTCAGGCCTGTGTCAAGCCAGTGTCATGGTTTGTTGAGCAGGGAGATGTCCACATCCTGTCTCAGCAAAGCCTGCCCCCTTAGTGGAGGCATAAGCAGGTATCTGAGGGGCAGCTGTCTCAGTATGTCTAGCTGAAGGTTGGCCATAAACCCTGGTCTAGCCATGAGCTGGTTTGGAAAGTGTTCTCTGTGGGTATATACGTGGGTCATGTCCTTGGCACTGATGTGCCATGGTGTCATCTTGGCTGGTGGTGTCTCCTGAGATAAAGGTATATTCCGTGGCGGTCCCCTGGCATGTTAGTGGTAGTTTTTACCCTTTTCTAGACAACGTCTGTTTCATAGTCCATGTCTGTCACTGACCTAACTAATGGCTGACTCATGCTATGATTTAGAACTTGTGTGGGCTGTGCATCGTGAGTTCTGGGCAGGTTTTAAGTGTCCTTGTTAGAGACTCCCTATATTTCTTTTTTTGTTGTTAGACAGAGTCTCGCTCTGTCGCCCAGGCTGGAGTGCACTGGCGCGATCTCCATTCACTGCAACCTCTGCCTCCCAGGTTTAAGTGATCCTTCCGCCTCAGCCACCTGAGTAGCTGGGATTACAGGCATGCACCACCATGCCCGGCTAATTTTTGTATTTTTAGTAGAGACGGGGTTTTACCATGTTGGCCAGGCTACTCTCGAACTCCTGAGCTCAAGTGATCCACCCACCTTGGCCTCCCAAAGTGCTGGGATTAAAGGTGTGAGCCATCACGCTTGGCTGAGACTCCCTATAGTTCTTCAACAGGATGGAGAGTTTTCTGAAGTATTAATGGTATGACTGAGGAGATCCTGTTTTGAAAGCAAGTCCTGAGTCTTGGGGTAATGCAAGTGGAGGGATACGAGCAGAATCTGCTTAGGGAGGGTCGCAATGGTGGAGATATGGTCCCCAGCTTGTATTAAGGAAACAAAATGTCTTCTTTATTGAAGAAAGGGACAGTATAGTTTTTAGTAAGAGTCCAAACAGAGCCTAGGCATGTGTACCACTCACCCCAAATAATCTAGGCTGTCCACCATTTTTTTTTTGAGACCGAATCTCGCTCTTTGGGAGACCGAGGCAGGCAGATCACCTGAGGTCAGGAGTTCGAGACCAGCCTGGCCAACATAGTGAAACCTCATCTCTACTAAAAATACAAAAATCAGCCGGGCGTGGTGGTGCATGCCTGTAATCCCAGCTACTCGGGAGGCTGAGATAGGAGACTCGCTTGAACCCAGGAGGCGGAGGTTGCAGTGAGCTGAGATCATGCCATTGCACTCCAGCCTGGGCGACAGAGGGAGACTCCGTCTCAAAAAAAAAAAAAAAAAAAAAATTAGGCAGGCGTGCTGTTGAGCACCTGTAGTCCCAGCTATTCAGGATGCTGAGGTAGAAGAATTGCTTGAGCCCGGGAGGTCAAGGCTGCAGTGATTTTGTCACTGCACTGCAGCCTGGATGACAAGGTGAGACTCAGTCTCAAAAAAAAGGAAAGAAAGAGAGAGAGAGGGGAAGGAAGGAAGGAAGGAAGGAAGGAGAGAGGGAGGGATGGAAGGAGGGAAGGAGGGAGGGAGGAAGGAGGGAAGGAAGGAGGGAAGGAGGGAGGGAGGGAAGGAGGGAGGGAGGGAGGGAAGGAGGGAGGGGGAAAGGAAGGAGAGAGGGAGGGATGGAAGGAGGGAAGGAGGGAGGGAGGAAGGAGGGAAGGAAGGAGGGAAGGAGGGAAGGAGGGAGGGAGGGAAGGAAGGAAGGAAGAAAGGAAGGAAAGAAAGAAGGAAAAGGAAAATTTAAAGTTTGCCAATCCTTATGCTAGAGAACTGTTCCCATTTGTTCAGCTCATCTGGAAGGATAATAGATGGCAAAAAATAGCATAAAATTTAGTTTGTGGCCATAATCCTCACAACAACCTGTTGATGTAGGGTGACATTCTCATCACATTCACAGATGAGGAAACTGAGATACAGAGAAGTGAAGTGACACAGCTAGTAAGTGCCAGAACCAAGATCTGGCCCCAAGCAGGCTGGCTTTATAGACTGGCTCCTATCTACTACAGAGAACTGTCTCCTTTGTAGAGCAAGGCTAGACATGCAGCCTTTATACAGCCTCCACCCTGCCAGTGTTATCACGATTCCGGAGTTCATTGAGGCCTCAGCTGGACTAAAGCAACATGCTCCAGTGCAACATCTGGACCCTTGCAGACAAATAATTGCACTATTCTTTACATCCTGTCTAAGTTCCCTTGTCACATCTGTGAGGAAGGCCTCCCTGTTCTACTTTCCTCAGCCATACTCTCCACACATAGAAAAGGACAAAGACTTAGCTACTTAGGAACATCACTTGGCTGCAGTGAGCTATGATTGTGCCATGCACTCCAGCCTGGGTGACAGAGCAAGACCCTGTCTCTAATAAGAAAGAACAAAGAATTTCATAAGTAATACTTATTCATTCACTATTATTAAATTCTAGCATTTTCTTCTATCTGCTTCAGAATTTCGTTTATTAAAAAATAAAATATAGGCCGGTCTCGGTGGCTCATCCCAACACTTTGGGAGGCCAAGGGTGGGGTGGATCACGAGGTCAGGAGTTCAAGACCAGCCAGGCCAACATGGTAAAACCTCATCTCTACTAAAAAAATTAATAATAATACAAAAATTATCTAGGCGTGGTGGCACACACCTGTAATCTCAGCTACTAGGGAGGCTGAGACAGGAGAATCACTTGAACCTGGGAGGCAGAGGTTGCAGTGAGCCGAGGTTGCACCACTGCACTCCATCCTGGGAGACAGAGTAAGACTTCGTCTCAAAAAAAAAAAAAAAATTGGCCAGGGCGGTGGCTCACGCCTGTAATCGCAGCACTTTGGGAGGCCGAGGCGGGCGGATCACGAGGTCAGGAGATTGAGACTATCCTGGCTAACACGGTCAAATCCTGTCTCTACTAAAAATACAAAAAATTAGCCGGGCATGGTGGCAGGCGCCTGTAGTCCCAGCTACTCCGGAGGCTGAGGCAGGAGAATGGCGTGAACCCAGGAGGCAGAGGTTGCAGTGAGCCGAGATCAAGCCACTGCACTCCAGCCTGGGCGACAGAGCAAGACTGCGTCTCAAAAAAAAAAAAAAAAAAAAAAAAAAATTAGCTGGGTGCCGTGGCAGGCACCTGTAATCTCAGCTACTCGGGAGACTGAGGCAGGAGAATCGTTTGAACCTGGGAGGCAGAGGTTGCAGTGAGCCCAGATCATGCCATTGCACTCCATCCTTGGCAACAAGAGCGAAACTCCATCTCAAAAAAAAATTAAAATTAAAATTAAAAAAATAAAAAATAATAATACTAAAATATAGCCCCAGTTGAAAATCCCTGTTCACTTCTGTATCTCTTTTCCTTCTCTCTCCAGCGGTAACCACTATTCTGAAATTGGAGCTTATCTTTCCTGTGCGTGCCAGAACTCTTAACTAGCCTGCCTTTTTTTTCTTTTTAAAATTTCATCATCCAGCATAGGCAAGAAATACTAGCTTTTCAAGTTCATATAGTCTCTCCAATCATTTTCATCCCTCCTCTGATGAGATATCCTTTGAACCTGGTTGTTTGGAGTTCAGTGTCTTTGTTCATGGTGATCTTAATCTATTCATAAGAGTGGTTGCCAGGCAAGAAAGGGGGATGGAAGTAAACAGAACTAGTGTCACGTCTGAGTCATTAGTCGGCCACAATTAAGTGCTTCCTATCTCAGTCTGTGACATCCAGCTGCTACTCACAGGGCCAAAGCAAATATAGCAGGGGCACTTCCTATGAGGGCCTTTGTTTAAGTGGTGTTCCAGAGTGCATGCTGTACTGGGTAAGGCAACCCACAGCAGATGAAAACATCTTGATCAAAGGGATGAGGAAGGAAGGAAACCAGAAGTCACAAGTAAGAAGCAGTGACAAGCATTGTCTTCCAAGAATCATCTTCAGTTTTCCAAAAGGAATAAGTTTAGGCCTGATGTGGTGGCTCATGCCTATAATCCCAGCACTATGGGAGGCCCAGGCCGGCAGATCACTTGAGGTCAGGAGTTCGAGACCAGCCTGGCTAACATGGTGAAACCCCATCTCTATTAAAAATACAAAAATTAGGCAGAAGTGGTGGCTCACACCTGTGGTGCCAGCTACTCAGGAGGCTGAGGCAGGAGACTTGCTTGAACCTAGGAGGCGGGGGTTGCAGTGAGCCAAGATTGGGCCACTGCATTCCAGCCTGGGCAACAGAGCAAGACTCCGTCTCAAAAAAAAAAAATAGTTTAGGGGTTACAAGATGGTAAGGTCAGAAACTGGTCAGAAAATGAAAGGCAAGATAAGTTGAGGCAAACAGCTCAAGACCTGGGCTGAACTGAAAAAAGAGGAAAGGGCATGGTGGCTCAGGCCTGTAATCCCAGCACTTTGGGAGGCTAAGGTTGGTGGATCACCTGAGGTCAGGAGCTGGAGAGCAGCCTGGCCAACATGGGGAAAACTCGTCTCTACTAAAAATACAAAAATTATACGGGCGTGGTGGCATGTGCCTGTGGTCCCAGCTACTCAGGAGGCTGAGGTAGAAGAATCGCTTGAACCCAAGAGGTGGAGGTTGCAGTGAACCAAGATTGCTCCACTGCACTCCAGCCCAGGCAAGACAGCGAGACTCCAAAAACAAAAACAAAAACAAAAAAAAAAACAAGAGGAAAGAGTAATAGGGACCTATGCTGCGTGTCCTTTATTGATTTGCTCCTCTAGATCCACTCTCTTTTTTTTTTTTGAGACAGATTCTCACTCTGTCACCCAAGCTGGAGTGCGGTGCCTCGATCTCAGCTCACTACAACCTCCGCCTCCTGGGTTCAAGTGATTCTCCTGCCTCAGCTTCCTGATCAGGTGGGATTACAGGTGCGTGCCACCACGCCCGGCTAATTTTTATATTTTCAGTAGAGACGGGGTTTCACCATGTTGGTCAGGCTGGTCTCGAACTGCTGAGCTCAGGTGATCCACCCGCGTTGGCTTCCCAAAGTGCTGGGATTACAGGTGTGAGCCACCGCGCCTGGCCTAGATCTGCTCTCTTCTCTGTTCTGTACTCTGGGAGACTGACCTATGTACATCACATCAGTGAGCTCCATTGCCTCTGGCTTCCAGCTGGGTTGGTTTGTTTGTCTGTCTGTCTGTTTGTTTGTTCTGTTTTGTTTGAGACAGAGTCTCACTCTTGTTGCCCAGGCTGGAGGGTAATGGCACAATCTCAGCTCACCGCAACCTTCGCCTCCAGAGTTCAAGCGATTCTTCTGCCTCAGCCTCCCGAGTAGCTGGGATTACAAGCATGCACCACCATGCCTGGATAATTTTGTATTTTTAGTAGAGACGGGGTTTCTCCTTGTTGGTCAGGCTGGTCTCAAACTCCTGACCTCAGGTGATCTGCCCACCTTGGCCTCCCAAAGTGCTGGGATTACAGGCGTGAGTCACCGCGCCCGGCTTCTCCAGCTGAATTTGGTCAGTGGGGAGGGACTGGCAAGGATTTTCAGAAAGGGCAGAGAATGAAGTTAGGGTACTTATTCCCTAACTTTTTTACTGAGGGGTTTCCAGCAGGCTGGCTGGCCCTTTCTCTCACCTGAATGAAGGTCATAGTTCCTCCTGTGAATTAGCCCTTTCCATACAATATTTGCTCTTCTCCAACCCAAGTGCAAGAAATCACCCCCTTCCTTTGCTTCCTACTTTGTTAAACCTGGGTTCTGCAATATAACTTATGGATTCTCTACATCCTATATAAATGTTGTAAATAAGCCGGGAGCGGTGGCTCACACCTGTAATCCCAGCACTTTTGGAGGCCGAGGCAGGTGGATCACTTGAGACCAGTAGTTTGAGACCAGCCTGGCCAACATGGCGAAATTCTGTCTCTACTAAAAATACAAAAATTATCCAGGCTTGGTGGCACAGGTCTGTAATCCCAGCTACTCAGGAGGCTGAGGCACGAGAATTGTTGGTCCTGGGAGCTGGAGTTTGCCGTGAGCCAAGATCTCACGCCACTTCATTCCAGCCTGGGTGACAGAGTGAGACTGTGTCAAAAAAATAAATAAAAATAAAAAAATAAAATAAAAAGCAAATGTTGTAAATAGTTGTTTTATTCAGTGCTTCTTTCAAAAAAATTGGTTAGGCTATCTGTTCCTACTGGACTTTAACTGATCCAGAACTCCTTTTTGTATTACTGAGAAAATTCCTTACAAAATAATTCCATTACTTCTATTAATAACAACTCATTGACTTTCAATTCAAGGAAGAGATATATAAAAAGACACTCTAACTAATAATGTTGTGAAACCACAAAATGTTTACACCCAAATTTCCTAAAGAAATCATATTCAGGCTGGGCGCGGAGGCTCACGCCTATAATCCCAGCACTTTGTGAGGCCAAGACGGGCTGATAACTTGAGGTCACTAGTTCGAGACCAGCCTGGCCAACATGGTAAAACCCTGTCTCTACTAAAAATAGAAAAATTAGCCAGGTGTGGTGGTGCATGCCTGTAATCCCAACTACTCGGGAGGCTAAGGCAGGAGGATTGCTTAAACCCAGGAGGCGGAGGTTGCAGTGAGATGAGATCTCGCCAGTGCGCTCCAGCCTGGGCAACAGAGCAAGACTCCGTCTCAAAAAAAAAAAAAACCAAAGCCAGGCACAGTGGCTCACGCCTGTAATCCCAGCAATTTGGGAGGCCAAGACGGGCAGATCACCTGAGGTCAGGAGTTCAAGACCAGACTGATCAATATGGTGAAACCCCATCTCTACTAAAAAATACAAAAATTTGGTGTGGTGTGGTGGCTCATGCCTATAATCCTAGCACTTTGGGAGGCCAAAGCAGGTGGATTGTCTGAGCTCAGGAGTTCGAGACCAGCCTGAGCAACATGGTGAAACCCCATCTCTACTAAAATACAAAAAAAGTAGCCGGGCGTGGCAGCATGTGCCTGTAACCCCAGCTACTTGTGGGGCTGAGGCAGGAGAATAGCTTGAACCCGGGAAGTGGAAGTTGCAGTGAGCTGAGATCATGCTATTGCACTCCAGCCTGGGCAACAGAGGGAGACTGTCTCAAAAAAAAAAAAAATTAAAAAATTACTGGGTGCAGTGGCTCACACCTGTAATCCCAGCACTTTGGGAGGCCAAGGTGGGTGGATCACCTGAGGTCAGGAGTTGGAGAACAGCCTGACTAACATGGAGAAACCCCATCTCTACTAAAAATACAAAATTAGCCGGGCGTGGTGGCGCATGCCTGTAATCCCAGCTACTCAGGAGGCTGAGACAGGAGAATTGCTTGAACCCAGGAGGCAGAGGTTGCAGTGAGCCGAGATCACACCACTGCACTCCAGCCTGGGTGACAGAGTGAAACTCTGTCTCAAAAAAAAAAAGAAAAGAAAAGAAATCATATCCAGAACATTGAGTTCTAAGCTCAGGAATCTTTAATATCTTTTTAATTTTTTTATTTTTATTTATTTATTTTTTTTTTGAGATGGAGTATCGCTCTATCACTCAGGCTAGAGTACAGTGGCACAATCTCAGCTCACTGCAACCTCCACCTCCCGGGTTCAAGTGATTCTCCTGCCTCAGCCTCCCAAGTAGTCAGCCAATTTTTGCATTTTTAGTAGAGCTGGGGTTTCACCATCTTGGCTAGGCTGGTCGCAAAATCCTGACCTCAAGTGACCGCCCACCTCAGCCTCCCAAAGTGCTGGGATTACAGGCGTGAGCCACCATGCCCGACCTAATATCTTTTTTAAAATGTTGAATTTCACAAAGGTAATCTCTGATGTGTTTATTTATTTGATGTCTATGTCCCCTACTAAATTCCATGACTCTGTTAGAACAGGGACATATCTGTTTTGTTGTATGCTATATCCTCAGTGATGAGGACGGTAACTCTCAAATAGTAGATCCTTGACATTTTTTTTTTAAGTTTAATGAGTGAGAGAAAAAAAGTCAAAAGCAGTAATAACAACAATTAACCATCATAGATTACTGATGAGTCACTCTCTTAATTAGAGGCAGATGTGATGAGGCAGGCACTTGTTTGGATAGCGTCCTTAGTGAATCATGTGACCTGTTTATGGCTTACAATTATATCGTTTTGTGAAGGTGGTGTGGGAGTGTTCACAAATTTTTCAGGGTGTCTGCTCCATTATAAAGATAACATGAGATGGTAAATTTCAACATAGCCTGAACAAAATTGGACTTTAGGAAAGCCTTAAAGCCTCATTCAGAGCTGAGGAATTCATAACACATGTTTTGCAGGGGTATGCCTGTAATATCAAGTGAGTCCCTGAAGGGAAAAGGCAATAACATTAAGAAACCTGTAAATGCTTTTGATAGGAGCACTAGCAGAGATTCCTTAACTTAATTGTGCCCTTACCTAACACATCACCCAGGAAATAATACTCATCAGTACACCCTTTTCAGGGCATTCATTTGCAGATGCTTCTGGTCAATAAATCAGCAAACATTCCTACTGCACCTTCTATTTGTCCCGTCCTGTGAAGACACCCTCCCACCCCAAGGCCCTGGCAATGATGAATAAGACATAGTTCACGTCTGTGATTGCTCACAGACTAGTGGAGCCATAGTCACAATATAAGTACCCTAATGGAGGTATTAATTTTTTGTTTTGTCTTTTTTTTTTTTTTTTGAGACAAAGTCTCGCTCTGATGCCCAGGCTGGAGTGCAGTGATTCGATCTCGGCTCACCGCAACCTCTACCTCCTGCGTTCAAGCAATTCTCGTGCCTTGGTCTCCCTAGTACCTGTGATTACAGGTGTGAGCCACCATGCCCGGCTAATTTTTGTATTTTTAGTAGAGACGGGGTTTCACCATATTGCCCAGGCTGTTCTCTAACTCTTGAGCTCAAGTGATTCACCCGCCTAGGCCTCCCAAAGTGCTGGGATTACAGGCGTGAGGCACTGTGCCAGGCCTATTTCAGTTTTCTTTCAGTTTAATTTTTTCCCCTTCCCATTCTTATTGAATTAATTTCTTTTTTCTTTTCTTTCTTTTTTTTTTTTTTTGAGATGGAGTTTCGCTCTTGTTGCCCAGGCTGGAATGCAGTGGCCCTATCTCGGCTCACCGCAACCTCTGCCTTTCGGGTTCAAGCGATTCTGCTGCCTCAGCCTCCCGAGTAGCTGGGATTACAGGCATATGCCACCATATCCGGCTTATTTTGTATTTTTAGTAGAGAGGAGATTTCTCCATGTTGGTCAGGCTGGTCTCGAACTCCTAACCTCAGGTGATCCGCCCGCCTCGGCCTCCCAGAGTGCTTGGATTACAGGCGTAAGCCACCGCGCCCGGCCCTTATTGAATTAATTTCATTTTCTGATTATATAAAACATTAATATGCTTATAGAAGTCAAGAATATGTAATAATTCATACTCAGGAATGTCACTTCCTTCCATCCATATCCTTTCTGTACCACTGCTCCTCCCTCCTCCAATCTCTTGTGTGGTGATCTGCATTGTTGTTTTCTGGTTTATTTGTCCTGTGTTTCTTTTCCTAAAGATAAGCAGACATAGGACTGTTTTCTTATTTTTCCTTCTTTGTTGACCAGATGGGAAACTATTACATATACTCTTTTTCATTTTGCTTCTTCTGCTTAACATTAATAGGGATTTTTTTTTTTTTTTGAGACAGTCTTGCTCTGTCACCCAGGCTGGAGTGCAGTGGCATGATCTCAGCTCACTGTAACCTCCACCTCCTGGGTTCAAGCGATTCTCATGCCTCAGCCTCCTGAGTAGCTGGGATTACAGGTACGCACCATGATGCCCGGCTAACTTTTGGGTTTTTGATAGAGACAGGGTTTTGCCAAGTTGGCCAGGCTGGTCTTGAACTCCTGACCTCAGGTGATCCTCCTACCTTGGCCACCATGTCCTGCCAAATAGGGATATTTTAAGGTCTACTAATGTCAGGACTAGGGTGAGGTAAGGCATACTGGGCCCAAAATTCAAGAAGACACTAGTGAACTCTGATTGGAGGAGTCTGATATCTGATAGGTGAATAGGTATACACCTAGCAGAGAAGAGGATCAAGACGGGACAAAGGAAAAGTATGTGCGAAGGCAAGGAAGCATGAAAGAGCATTGTGAAAAGTGTAATGTAACTGAAGTAGAGAATGTTTGTTAGGGAGTGCCTGGAGATGATGCTAATAAAGTAGGTGGAGGCTGGGTTATGAATTGCCTTAGGTGCTAAGAGCCTGGACTTTATCCTAGAGGCAGTAAGAAACCCTTGAAGATATGTTCCACACCCTTGATTGCAATATTCACTCAGTCATCAGGTTTCATCAACTCCACTTCCACGATGGCTCCTCTTGAAGGGTTTTTTTTTTTTTTTTTTTTTTTGGCGGAGGCAGGGAACAGAGTTTCGCTCTTGTTGCCCAGGCTAGAGTACAATGGTACAATCTCAGCTCACGGCAACCTCCACCTCCCGGGTTCAAGCGATTCTCCTGCCTCAGCCTCCCGAGTAGCTGGGATTACAGGCATACGCCACCACACCTGGCTAATTTTGTATTCTTAGTAGAGACGGGTTTCACCATGTTGGTCAGGCTGGTCTCAAACTCCCAACCTCAGGTGACCCATCCCCCCCTTGGCCTCCCAAAGTGCCGGGATTACAGGCGTGAGCCACCGTGCCCGGCCCTTTTTTTTTTTTTTTTTTTTTTAAGACATGCTCTTACTCTATCGCCCAGGGTGGAGTGCAGTGGTGCAATCATGGCTCACTGCAGCCTCGAACTTCTGGGCACAAGCAATCCTTCCACCTTAGCCTCCCAAGTAGCTGGGACTACAGGCACACGCCACCACACCCTGCTAATTTTTTTTTTTTTTTTTTGTAGAGACAGGGCTTCACCATGCTGCCCAGGCTGAGCTCAAACTCCAGAGCTTAACTGATTAACCCACCTAAGCCTCCCAAAGTGCTGAGATTACAGGTTTCAGCCACTGTGCCTGGACCTTGAAGTTTTTTAATCAGGGCAGTAACAGGATTATAATTTTCTTTTAGTGAGAGGAAACTGGCAATGTTGTATGGATTAGACTAGGAGAATAAGTGATAAGAATGGTAGAACCAGAGGCAGGTAAGGAGGCTCAGAAAATAAAAGGTGATAAAGAACTGAATTGAGAAGGCAGTGGCAGGCAGATTGGACAAAAAGAGAGAAATGTTTATGAGATAGAATTAGCAAAACTTGGCTGGAGTGGTGGCTCATGCCTGTAATCCCGGCACTTTGGGAGGCCAAGGCAGGTGGATTCCTTGCACTCAGGAGTTCAAGACAAGCCTGGGCAACATGGTGAGACCTTGTCTCTACTAAACTACAAAAATTAGCCAGGCGTGATGGCTCACGCCTGTACTCCCAGCTACTCAGTAGGCTGAGGCAGGAGAATCACTTAAAACCGGGAGGCGGAGGTTGCAGTGCGCCGAGATCACACCATTGCACTCCAGCTTGGGCGACAGAGGGAGACTCCATTTTTTTTTTTTTTTGAGACGGAGTCTCTCTCTGTTACCCAGGCTGGAGTGCAGTGCCGCGATCTCGGCTCACTGCAAACTCCGCCTCCCGGGTTCATGCCATTCTCCTGTCTCAGCCTCCCAAGTAGCTGGAACTACAGGCGCCCGCCACCACGCCCAGCTAATTTTTTTGTATTTTTAGTAGAGACGGGGTTTCACCGTGTTAGCCAGGATGGTCTCGATCTCCTGACCTCGTGATCTGCCCTCCTCGGCCTCCCAAAGGAGACTCCATCTTTAAAAAAAAAAAAAAAAAAAGGCCGGGCGCGATGGCTCACGCCTGTAATCCCAGCACTTTGGGAGGCTGAGGCAGGTGGATCATGAGGTCAGGAGTTCGAGACCAGCCTGACCAACATGATGAAACCCCGTCTCCACTAAAAATACAAAAATTCGCTTGAACCAGGGTGGTGGAGGTTGCAGTGAGCCGAGATCGCGCTACTGCACTCCAGCCTGGGCGACAGAGTGAGACTCCATCTCAAAAAAAAAGAAGAAAAAAGAAACGTGGACAGTCTCCCTCTTCTAATTTCTTTTTGCCTTCACAATCAAGATGAAACCAGGAATTTTCGGTAAAATATTTGTTTTACCAGGTTATGCCTGGGAGTCCCCAGGAGGTGTTTTTAATGTCCTCATGAACCTGATATGGAGAGTTCAATAAGACACCTGAGTGCCTTACCCTTGCCACAGTTAGTGTCCACTGTCAAAGTATAAATTTTAGGAAGTTAAAAATCTGACTCATACGGCCGGGCCTGGTGGCTCACGCCTGTAATCCCAGCACTTTGGGAGGCCGAGGCGGGCGGATCACGAGGTCAGGAGATCGAGACCATCCTGGCTAACACGGTGAAACCCCGTCTCTACTAAAAAAAATACAAAAAATTAGCCGGGCGTGGTGGCTGGCGCCTGTAGTCCCAGCTACTCGGGAGGCTGAGGCAGGAGAATCACTTGAACCCGGGAGGCGGAGCTTGCAGTGAGCCGAGATAGCACCACTGCAGTCCGGCCTGGGCGAAAGAGCGAGACTCCATCTCAAAAAAAAAAAAAAAAAAAAAAAAAAATCTGACTCATACAAAATATAAAGCGAGCACCAATGAATTTTTTTTTTTTTTAGATAGATTCTCGCTTTGTCTCCCAGGCTGTAGTGCAGTGGCGCAGTCTCTGCTCACTGCAACTTCTGCTTCCTGGGTTCAAGCAATTCTCCTGCCTTAGCCTCCTGAGTAGCTGGAATTACAGGTATGTGCCACCACGCCCAGCTAATTTTTGTATTTTTAGTAGAGACAGGGTTTCACCATGTTGGCCAGGCTGGTCTTGAACTCCTGAGTGCAAGGGATCCACCTGCCTCGGCCTTCCAAAGTGCTGGGATTACAGGCGTGAGCCACCATGCCAGGTCTTAAAATTTGTATTTAACTCATTAATGAGCATACAGCAGTATGGTAAGTAGGTTCAGAGGAAAATCTGAAAGATAGATATTGATACTAAAAGAATTTTAGAATAAGATTACTAAATTAGATACAACACTGGTTGATATCCCATAGGGAAACACAACTGTTAGCTTTGGGATTATCTTTTCCACCAGACAGAAATCATTTGCATGAAAGAAGTCTGCAAGTTAATATGCAACTTTACAGAGACTTGATCTTAATCAATAGTAAGCAGTTAAGTCAGGCAAGGCACGGTGGCTCACGCCTGTAATCCCAGCACTTTCGGAGGCCCTGGCAGGCCGATCACCTGAGGTCAGGAGTTTGATACCAGCCTGACCAACATGGTGAAACCCCATCTCTACTAAAAATACAAAAATTAGCCGGGCTAATTTACTTCATTCTCTGCCCTTTCTGAAAATTCTTGCCAGTCCCTCCCCATTGACCAAACCCAGCTGGAGAGGCCGGGTGCGGTGACTCATGCCTGTAATCCCAGTACTTTGGGAGGCCAAGGTGGGTGGATCACTGAGGTCAGGAGTTTGAGACCAGCCTGACCAACATGGTGAAACCCCATCTCTACTAAAAATACAAAGTTAGCTGGGTGTCATGGGGTGAGCCTGTGATCCCATCTACTTCGGAGGCTGAGGCAGGAGAATCGCTCGAACCTGGGAGGCGGAGGTTCCAGTGAACCAACATCGCACCATTGCACTCCAGCCTGGGCAACAGAGCGAGACTCCGTCTAAAAACAAAAACAAAAACAAAAAAGAGTGAAACTCTGTCTCAAAAAAAAAAAAAAAAAAAGCCAGGTATGGTGGTTCGTGCCTGTAATCCCAGTACTTTGGGAGGCCAAGGTAGGCAGATCACAAGGTCAGGAGTTCAGGACCAGCCTGACCAACATGGTGAAACTCTGTCTCTACTAAAAATACAAAAATTACTGGGCATGGTGGTGCACACCTGTAATCCCACCTACTCAGGAGGCTGAGGCAGGAGAATTGCTTGAACCTGAGAGATGGAGGTCGCAGTGAGCCCAGATCGTACCACTACACTTCAGCCTGGGAAACAGAGCAAGACTCTGTCTCAAAAAAAAAAAAAAAATGCCGGGTGCAGTGGCTCACGCCTGTAATCCCAGCACTTTGGGAGGCCGAGGCAGGTGGATCACGAGGTCAGGAGATCGAGACCATCCTGGCTAACATGGTAAAACCCCGTCTCTACTAAAAATACAAAAAATTAGCCAGGCATGGTGGTGGGCGTCTGTAGTCCCGGCTACTCGGGAGGCTGAGGCAGGAGAATGGCGTGAACCCAGGAGGCGGAGCTGGCAGTGAGCCGAGATTGCACCACTGCACTCCAGCCTGGGTGACAGAGTGAGACTCTGTCTCAAAAAAAAAAAAAAAAAATGGAAAATCCACACAAAGTAGATTAGTGGTTGTCAGGGGATGTGAGGAGGGGGAAATTGGGAAGCACACGGTTTATTTTTGGGGTGATGAAAATATTCTGAAGTTAAATAGGTGTGATTACAACATTGTGAATATACTAAAAACCACTGAATTGTGCATTTTAAATGGTTTACATGGTGAATTTTATGTTATGCGAATCATCCAAAATAAATAAATAAATAAACAATACAATGATGTCATTGTAGTACAAACTACCCTGAAACTCATCAGACCCATGGTTACAAAGCCACACTATTAGATAATATATTGCATGCTTTGACCAGGGATCAGTGCCAGTCAAGAACTTTGGCAAAACGCTCAGGCTAATTTCAGCCTTGTTGCATACCTCAATATATGCCATCTCCATATAAGGCATGGCTTTTACAAAGAGTTAATACATGCATTAACCCTCACAGCATAACTGTCAAGCACAGTGTGCCCATAGCAGAGCTGAGACCAAGCCCCTTTAGGGCAAGCCTTCCAGAAGAGGGCCCAACCCATGCCACCTCCAGGCAGCCCCCCATTAGAACTGGAGGCAGGCCCATAGTCCCACTGAGCTACAACTCAGACCCAGGCCCCCTTCACTTCCTCCGCTCTAAACAGCAGAAGGCAAGAGGCCCTGCTTCAGACTGACATGCCCTCCAATGCCACAGAGAGTGACCAGCTGTCCCAGTTTGCCTGGGACTGGCCTGATTTTAAACTGGAAAGTCCGGCTTCTCAGGAAATCCCCTCGTACCAGCAAAGCCAAGACAGTCGGTCACCCTGAAGCCACTCCTCCTCCCTGTGATGAAATGTGTGTCACCGGCTACTGCAGAGAGTGCTCCCCCTCGGCGTGCAAGGAGGGGCCTGGATCCCCTGCATGTTCAGAAGCCATCGCTTGACCTGGAATTGTTGGGCCATCACTGCCCATTCTGCTGCGCCAAGTGCTTCTCCCTACAAGCCGCTGATGCAGCCTCCCTCCCTCTCTTCTGCCTGCTAAATTATCCTCACTAACAGAGGAACTCAAGGGCCCTTCATCCCTCTCATGATGGCTAGGTCTGCAGCGACGCCTCTCTGCTGATTCAACACACATTTACTGAGCCTTTACGGGGTTTATTAGAGGCGGCCCTTGCTGCCACATTTTCAGAGCAAGCCTGGTTTGACAGCCTCTCCTGCCTTCTGCAAGGGCTTTTTCCACAGCAACGTGCAGGCCTGTGTCTCCTCTCCTGCCTGTTCATGGGAGCTCAGGAATCCCACGTGCAGGTCACAGCTGCTCCCTGAGCTTCCAGACACACAGGCTTCCAGCTCGAGAGGCACCCAGTTTTACGGAGCCTTGGCTCACAGCCTGGCACCATGCTCGGTGCTGGAGACGTGGAGGAGAGTGGCAGTGGTTTCCTGCCCATGAGGACCTTAGCTCTCAAAAGAGAGAGATAGCCACCTGGGAACATCCGGTCACACTGTGACAGAGAGGCAAGTCCAGATGCTGTGGGTGGGACCATCCAAGGCTTCTTGAGGAGAGGACACCTGAGCAGAGATTCACAGGTCACCTGGGAGTTGTGTGAAGTAGTGGGGGAGGTCTTCAAGGGCCCAGCGAACAGCGTCCATGGGAGCAGGGGACAGCGGGAGGGGAACTTGGAGAGTGGGAGAGGCAGGCACAGAGTCCAGGGATCTGAGGGAAGAGAGCGTTTCATGGAGGAAGGTGGGGCCCACATGTCCCATCCCCATCAGGTCCAGTAGGTGAGGGCTGGAAATGCAGCCTTGGGGTGTAGCAAGTGTTGATCTTAGGAGAGGGGTTTCACAGTTGAGGCATCATGGCAGAGGCCAGCTTACAGGGGGTAGAGTGGTGAACAGGAATGAAGAGACACGGGCTACAGACTGCTCTTCTAAAAGCTTGGCTCTGACATTTATAGACATAGAAATAGAAAGTCCTAGTTTTGGGGCTAAGCACGGTGGCTCACGCCTGTAATCTCAGTAGTTTGGGAAGCTGAAGCTGGTGGATCACTCGAGCCCATGAGTTCGAGACCAACCTGGGCAACATGGCAGAACCCCATCTCTACAAAAATACAAAAATTATCCCGGCTTGGTGTTGTGCGCCTGTAGTCCCAGCTACTAAGAAGGCTAAGGTGGGAGGATCGCTTGAGCCTGGGAGCTTGAGGCTGCAGTAAGCCATGATGGCACCACTGCACTACAGCCTGGGCAACAGAATGAGACTCTGTCTCAAAAAAGAAAGAAGGAAAGAAGAGAAGGAGAGAAGGTGGGACAGAGGGAGGGAAGGAGGGAGGGAGGGAGGAAGGAAGGAAGGAAGGAAGGAAGGAAGGAAGGAAGGGAGGGAGGGAGGGAGGGAGGGAGGGAGGGAGGGCGGGGCTAACTTTGGGATTTCAAGTGGAAGAGATGTAGCTGATTATAAGAAGGAAGTTGGGGCAACCCGCTGGGGTCCCCTTCCATGCTGTGGAAGCTTTGTTCTTTCACTCTTCACAATAAATCTTGCTGCTGCTCAAAAAAAAAAAAAAAAAAAAAAAGAAGGAAGTTGGGGAAGGATGCAGTAGAAAAGGAGTGAATAAAGAATGAAGAGATAGGCCAGGTGTGGTGGCTTACACCTGTAATCCCAGCACTTTGGGAGGCCAATGCGGGTGGATCACCTGAGGTCAGTTTGAGACCAGGCTGGCCAACATGGTGAAACCCCATCTCTACTAAAAATACAAAAAATTAGCCAGCTGTGGTGGCGAGCGCCTGTAGTCCCAGCTACTCAAGAGGCTGAGGCAGGAGAATCACTTGAACCCGGGAGGCAGAGGTTGCAATGATCCGAGATTGCACCATTGCACTCCAGCCTGGGCAACAAGAGCGAGACTCCATCTCAAAAAATAAAATAAAATAAAATGAAGAGATAGAGAGAAGGTTCTTATTGGGGGCTGGGTCCAGGTATGCTGCAAGGTAATAAGAGTTCACATCATGGGTTGAACCAAGTCTCTTATTCTTTATCCTGAGCAACTGAGAACACTGGGTCCCTGTACGGAGAAAGAGCTGGCTATCATAGAGTTTGCTTGAGGGTTGACATGTGTACAGATCCTGGCCTAAATATTGTCCTGTGCCTTGTTGGGCAGGGATATAGGTAGAGTGCTGTTCTGCAGGTAGTTATCTCAGCTGGTGTTGGAACTGTAACCACCCAACGGGTTCACCTGGCCCGCTGCCTAGACAGAGCCGATTTATCAAGACAGGGGAATTGCAATAGAGGAATTCACTCAGAGCCTGCTGCATGGGAAACCAGAGTTTTATTATTACCCAAATCAGTCTCCCCAAGCATTCAGGGATCAGAGTTATTATGGAGGACTTGGTGGGTGGGGTGCCAGTGAGTCAAAAGTGCTGATTGGTTGGGTTAGAGATGAAATCAAAGGGAGTCGAAGCTGTCCTCTGGTGCTGAGTCAGTTTCTGGGTAGGGGCCACAAGATCAGATAATCCAGTTTATCAATCTGGGTGGTGCCAGGTGCAGGATCTGAAAAATATGTCAAGCGCTGATCTTAGGAGCAGTTTGGGGAGGGTCAGAATCTTGTAGCCTCCAGCTGCATGACTCCTAAACCATAATTTCTTTTCTTTTTCTTTTTATTTTTTTTTGAGACAGTGTCTCACTCTGTCACCCAGGCTGGAGTGCAGTGGCAAAATCTCGGCTCACTGCAGCCTCGACCTCTTGGGACTCAAGCCATCTTCCCACCTCAGCCTCCTGAGTAGCTAGGACCACAGGCGTGCACCACCACACCAGACTAATTTTTTTATTTTTTGTAGAGATGGGGTTTTGCCATGTTGCCCAGGGTGATCTCGAGCTCCTGAGATGAAATAATCTGCCCGCCTTGGCCTCCCAAAGTGCTGGGATTACAGGCGTGATCCACCCCACCCAGCCTAAATCATAATTTATCATCTTTTGGCTAATTTATTAGTCCTACAAAGACAGTCTAGTCCACAGGCAAAAAGGGAAAGAGCTATTATAATCTTTGTTCCAAAGTTAAATTATAAACTAGGTTCCCCCCAAAATTACTTCAGCCTACAGCCAGGAATGAACAAGGACAACTTGGAGGTTAGAAGCAAGATGGGGTTGGTTAGGTTAGATCACTTTCACTGTCTCAGTTATCATTTTGCAATGGCAGTTTCAGAACCAGCATCACATTCTGATCTGCTGATCAAGTGGTCACATGGGGTATGTCTAGGAGCTGTGTCATAGTTTGCTGAACACTGGGCAATGATCTGTCTACAGGGAGGCCCTTCTCATAGTGTCCTGAGCAATGGCTCAGGTATGATTCATGTCCTGATAGGTCCTGGCATGCCACTGAGAGTGTGTGGACTTAGCCTGTGGAGGCTAAAGCAACTCTATCTTGGAAGCTATTTCACCATGTTGGCTTCCCATCAACCCCTATTCGAGGAAGGCCTCTAAGATTTCCAGTTTATGTATTGATCCTAGTGTAAGAACATGTATTAATATTTACCGTAAATCCCACCCTTAGGTCAAACAACCTTGATGTTATCATACTTCAGTTTTCCTATATATCCCTTCTGAACCACCCCCCTCCCCTATGGTGTATAAACCCTAGGTCTGGGGGAAAATGCTGCAGGGATCCACCATTTTGTCTTGCTGTCACCCAAGACACACAGACCTGGCTTTTGTTCATAAGTCCCCCTTTTTTTTTTTTTTTGACCGAGTCTCACTCGGTCGCCCAGGCTGGAGTGCCGTGGCGCCATCTTGATACAGCTGCGATGAGTGGAGGAACACCAAGGTTCTTCCTATTGAGTCGAATTAGATAAAACGACATGGACACACGTGGAGTGGTTTTAAGGAGCGGAGAGTTGGCCGGGCGCGGTGGCTCACGCCTGTAATCCCAGCACTTTGGGAGGCCGAGGCGGGCGGATCACGAGGTCAGGAGATGGAGACCATCCTGGCTAACACGGTGAAACCCCGTCTCTACTAAAAATACAAAAAATTAGCCGGGCGTGGTGGCGGGCGCCTGTAGTCCCAGCTACTCAGGAGGCTGAGGCAGGAGAATGGTGTGAACCTGGGAGGCGGAGCTTGCAGTGAGCCGAGATCGCGCCACTGCACTCCAGCCTGGGCGACAGAGCCAGACTCCGTCTCAAAAAAAAAAAAAAAAAAAAAAAAAAAAGGAGTGGAGAGTTTAATAGGCAAGAAAGAAGGGAGAAGAAAGGGAGAAACTCCCTTGTAGAGAAAGAGGGAAGGGGGCTCCAAAGCCGAGAGAAGAGACCCTTGCGGGCCGCGGATACCAGCCAGTTATGAGGGGCTGGAGGAGGCGTTGTCTGATTTGCATAGGGCTCAGGGGATTGGTTTGACCAGGCGTGTCATTCACGTAGCCCGCGGAAAAAACTGTCCCTCCCACCCTAGCCTTTAATATGCAAATGTAGGGCGCTGTGATGTTCTACACGTGTTGGGATGACTACACTGCCAGGCACAGGTGGGGGCAAGGGCAAGAGGACAAGGGTGGGAATCCCCATACTGGGTGGACCCGGTTTCCAATGGCCTACATTTGCATATCAAAGGTTGCCTGCTGGGTCTAAGAGCCGGCGCCGGTCAGGCGCGGTGGCTCACGCCTGTAATCCCAGCACTTTGGGAGGGCGAGGCGGGTGGATCACGAGGTCAGGAGTTCACGACTAGCTTGGCCAACATAGTGAAACCCCGTCTCTACTAAAAATACAAAAATTAGCTAGGTGTGGTGGCATGCGCCTGTAGTCCCAGCTACTCAGGAGGCTGAGGCAGGAGAATCGATTGAACCCGGGAGACGGAGGTTGCAGTGAGCAGAGATCACACCACTGCACTCCAGCCTGGGTCACAGAGCGAGACTCCATCTCAAAAAAAAAAAAAAGCGCTGAGACTTTTCTGCTACACATGAAACGATTCTGGAGCTGCTTTAAAAGAGACAAAAACTTTCCAAGGACCCCTTTTCCTCTCTTTTTTTTTTTTTTTTTTTTTTTTTTGCGGAGTCCCGCTCTATCTGCAGGCTGGAGTGCAGTGGCACTATCTCGGTTCACTGCAACCTCCGACTCCTTGGTTCAAGCAATTCTCCTGCCTCAGCCTCCCGAGTAGCTGGGATTACAGGCATGTGCCACCAGGCCCAGCTAATTTTTATATTTTTGGTAGAGACGGGGTTTCACCATGTTGGCCAGGATGGTCTCGATCTCCGGACCTTGTGATCCACCCACCTCGGCCTCCCAAAATGCTGGGATTACAGGCGTGAGCCACCTCA
The DNA here is from genome assembly GCF_000001405.40 of Homo sapiens. Taxonomy (NCBI): domain Eukaryota; kingdom Metazoa; phylum Chordata; class Mammalia; order Primates; family Hominidae; genus Homo; species Homo sapiens. Next base: position 123,820,520 of record NC_000023.11, read on the forward strand.
CCCGGCCGACAAATCCACTTTCTTAGAAAGAAACTTTTAATAGGAACTTATGGGCCGGGTGCACTGGCTCATGCCTGTAATCCCAGCACTTTGGGAGGCCGAGGCAGGAGGATCACCTGAGGTCAGGAGTTCAAGACCAGCGTGGCCACCATAGTGAATCCCCCTCTCTACTAAAAATACGAAAATTACCTGGGTGTGGTGGCACACACCTGTAATCCCAGTTACTCCGGAGACTGAGGCAGAAGAATTCCTTGAACCCAGAAGGCAGATATTGCAGTGAGCCAAGATCATGCCACTGCACTCCAGCCTGGGTGACAGAGCAAGACTCTGTCTCAAAAAAAATAAGAAAGTGGATTTGTCAGCCTCTTTCTTCAGCCTCTTAGCTTCCTCAAACTTTGGGGCAGGTTGCATAGACCTACCCACCATGAGACATAAGCCTATACCATCTGAGATTACACTGTCTGTACCAAGTGTTCACTTGTCTGGGTCATCTTTTAGGCAGGAAACTGTTCTCAGTGTGAGGATCAGTGATCTGATCACCCCAACTATCCAGTAACTCACTGAGCAGAGATGTGTTCCTGGGCTCTGCTTTTGCCCAGAGCTGTCTCTTGGTTCATAAAATGGTGGTGTAGACCCTGGTTTGGTCTGGGCTATTTCCTTATGTGTGAAGCATTTTTGTGGGAAGGAAAGAATGGTCTTTCTGAGGGCAGATGCTGCTTTTTCTTTCTTTTTTTTTTTTTTTTTTGAGACGGAGTCTCACTCTGTTACCCAGGCTGGAGTGCAGTGGCACGATCTCGGCTCACTGCAACCTCTGCCTCCTGGGTTCAAGTGATTCTCCTGCCTCAGCCTCCCGAGCAGCTGGGACTACAGGCACGTGCCACCACACCTGGCTAATTTTTTGTATTTTAGTAGTGACAGGGTTTCATTGTGTTAGCCAGGATGGTCTTGATCTCCTGACCTCGTGATCCGCCCGCCTCAGCCTCCCAAAGTGCTGGGATTACAGGCGTGAGCCACCGCGCCCGGCCTGATGCTGCTTTTTCAAGTGCACAGTGATGGCGTGGATGTTGACCTTTGTCTGAGAAGGGGTAGGCACCAGTGGTGCTGAGAGAAAATGAGGATATGTCCTCTAGACCCTGTGGTAGCTGAGAAGTGGGGATCACCATATGGGCTGAGCAATGGTGTAAGTTTTTCTCTGTGAGTGCTTTGTCCTGGTATGTCCCAGTCTTGATGTTACCACAAAGTGTGGTCTGGGCAGGGACTGACTTCTGGTTTTCTGGTGTGCCAGATGCGTGGCATGGTGTAGTCTCTGTTTCTAGGTTGGTGCTGTCTTATAGTGGCCCACGTAGTGGTGTGGCAATGAGGCAGGAAAATGGGGTCTAGAGGCAAGGAACATAAGGCCAATACACACTACAGCTATGACAGGAAGTATCTTCTCCATAGGGCGTACGCCAAGAAAATGACTTTGTAACTTTACTTCATGCTCTTCATTTACATAGGGCATACACCAAGTAACCAATGGAAACCCTTAGAGGGTATTTATTTATTTATTTATTTTTATTTGTTTTTTTTTTTTTTAATTTTTCTTTTTTTCCCCCAGAGGGTATTTAAACTCCCACAGATTCTATAACGGGGCTCTTGGGCCCCTATGCTCGCTCCCACACTGTGGAGTGTACTTTCGTTTTCAATAAATCTCTTCATTCCTTCCTCGCTTTGTTTGTGTGTTTTGTCCAATTCCTTTTTTTTTTTTTTTTTTTTTTTTGAGACGGAGTCTCGCTCTGTCACCCAGACTGGAGTGCAGTGGCATGATCTCGGCTCACTGCAACCTCCGCCTCCTGGGTTCAAGCAATTCTCCAGTCTCAGCCTCCCGAGTAGCTGGGACTACAGGAGCCTGCCACCACGGCTGGCTACTTTTTGTATTTTTAGTAGAGACGGGGTTTCACCATGTTGAACAGGCTGGTCTTGAACTCTTGACCTCAGGTGATCCACCCACCTCAGCCTCCCAAGGTGCTGGGATTACAGCTGTGAGCCAACGTGCCAGGTCATTTTTGTATTTTTAGTAGAGACGGGATTTCACCGTGTTGGTCAGGCTGGTCTCGAACTCCTGACCTCAGGTGATGGACCCGCCTTGGCCTCCCAAAGTGCTGGGATTATAGGCGTGAGCCACCGCACCCAGCCAGGGCTCATTCTTTCTTTTGTGAATAGGCATCTAGGCCCCATGTTGGCTCATGAATCTCTCCTAGTATGGCAGGTGGGGAGTTTCATGGCCTAGTTCAGATTTCAGTTTTGATATATCTAATGGTATAGGTGTAGGCCTTTATCCAAGTGAGAGCTGTTTCCTGATGGGCTAAGTGTGAGTATAGTTATCAGTCTTGGTCAACAAGGACTTCGTGTTATGGAGTTCAGTGGCAGTATATATAGTATTATCTCTTTTCCATATAAGATTTTTTTGTCTTGGTTTGCTAACAAATGATCTGCAATATAGTGTTGTTATGGTAGGCCTTCTAGTGTAATGAGTGAAGGAATGATTCCTGATGATTGCTCTGGATGTGGGGCTCCTGCTGATTTACTGAATGCCCAGATAAGTGTGTTTCCTGGTCTCTGCTTTGTACGTTCTGTAGAACACTGAGTTTGGGACAAAGTACAGATATGTTTTGGTCTTTGTGCTAATCCTTCCCATGATGTGCTGAAGCAAGTCTTTGTACTAAGCTCTTGCTAAATAGTGGTATGACTAGTGTTCCTGTTTGAGTTCATCTGTTCCCTGATGTACTACACACATCTGAATATCTGAATATAGATTCCAGCCTGGCAGAAGGCTATTTCATGGAAAATTTTTAAGATGGGTGGGTAGAGACCTGATTCTAAGGTAAGAGCTGTCTCATAATTTGCTGAGGAATGCGTGAGTATGAGCAGTGATCTGAGCAGGGCTCTATCAAGGTGAACTGCCTCGCACTTTGGGGCAGGTGTGCATAAACCTACCCACTGTGAGACATAACCCTGTACCCTCTGAGATAACATTGTCTGTACCAACTGGTCACTTGTCTGGCTCCTCTTTTAAGCAGGAGACTGTTCTCAGTGTGCAGATCAGATGGTTGAAGTCGGCCAGGTGCGGTGGCTCACACCTGTAATCCCACCACTTTGGGAGGCAGAGGCAGGCGGATCACCTGAAGTCAGGAGTTCGAGACCAGCCTGGCCAACATGGTGAAACTCCGTCTCTACTAAAAATACAAAAATTAGCGAGGCATGGTGGCTCAAGCCTGTAATCCTAGCTATTCAGGAGGCTGAGGCAGGATAATTGCTTGAACCCGGGAGGCGGAGGTTGCAGTGAGCAGAGATCGTGCCAGTGTACTCCAGCCTGGGTGACAGAGCGAGACTCTGTCTCAAAAAAAAGAAGGCTGAAGTCAGTGTAGGTTCTCACAAGATAGGGCTGTCTCCACATGTGTTGAGAGGTGAGATGCGTACATACTGTGGTCAGTGCATGAGCACCTGACTTAGACTTGTTGAATAGTGGTAGGGATACTACATGAACTGCCATGCAGTATATTGACTAGAGGTGGGACATAGGACCAGGTTGGCCCTGAAAAGTTAAGTGATCTTTTATGCATGGGCCTGAGTCTGTGTTTGGGCAAGAGTGAGCCTCATAGTTTTTCAAGCAGTGGTATAGCTATAGGCCCACCCAGCTCTGGGAAGGGGCCATATTCTAATATGCTGAGTGGTAGCAGAATATGGGTCCCTGTCTGGGTGGGTGCTACACTTTCTATCAGAAGTACAACCAGGCCAGGCACAGTCGCTCACGCCTATAACCCCAGCACTTTGGGAGACGGAGGCGAGTGGATCACCTGGGGTCAGGAGTTCAAGACCAGCTGGGCCAACATGGCAAAACCCCATCTCTACTAAAAATACAAAAATTAGCCGGGCATGGTGGCAGGCGCCTGTAATCCCAGCTACTCAGGAGGCTGAAGCAGGAGAATCGCTTGAACCCAGGAGACGAAGGTTGCAGTGAGCCGAGATCGCACCACTGCACTCCAGCCTGGGTAACAAGAGGGAAACTCTGTCTCAAAAAAAAAAAAAAAAAAAAAAAAAGAAGTACAGCCAAACTATTCTCTTTCACACTCTCAATTTCTGCTGGAACAGCATAACCCACTCCTCCACAGAGCAGACCCATCCTACAGCAATTACTGTTTCCACACGCAATACTTTACTCTGGTCATGTCTGTCACATCAATAGCTTCAACTTGCGGGCCAAGGAGTACTCCTAAACATTCATTATGCCTAGACACTAAAAAATCTGGATAGCAAACAAGTAACAAGGACGATCCCTTTCTCTGCTATCATTAACTCTTTGCCTTTCTTCTTTAGTTTCTCTACCAGTCACTGCCGTCATTACCCATGGTAGTTTCAGAAACTCAGAGTATAAACTTACTCTCCTGGTTCCGGTGTGTACTGGTGTGATACTGTGAAATATATATATTTGGTCTTCCTCCCCGTTTCCTGGCATACAACTACTAAAATCCTTGGACTCTCCAAAGTTATGTGTTTTTGTATGCTAATGATTGACTGATAGCTTCAGGATATGACTCACCCAAAAGACAAAGGCCAACCTCCAGGGAGTGGAGAGTGGCTGAAGGTCAAGTTGAGCACCAGTGGCCAATGGTTTAATCAATCATGCCTATGTAATGAAAACTCCATAAAAACCCAAGAGGACGGGATTCAGGGAGTTTCTGGATGACTGAATACATGGAAGTTCCTGGAGTGGGGTGTGCCCAAGGAGGGCACAGAAGCTCTGCACTCCTTCCCGCATACCTCGCCCTATGTATCTCATCTGCATCCTTTGTAATAAAGCAGTATGTGTAAATGTTTCTCTGAGTTCTGTGAGCCACTCCAGCAAATTAATCAAACCCAAAGAGGCAGTTGTGGGAACCCCAACTTAAAGCCGGTTAGTCAGAAGTTCTGGAAGCCTGGACTTGTGACTGGTATCTGGTGGGGAGCAGTCTTGGGGACTGAGCCCTCAACATATACAGGATCTGATGCTATCTCAGGGTAGATAAAGTTAGAATTGAATTAGAGGACACCCAGTTAGTGTCTGCTGCAGAACTGATTGCTTGTTTGTTGGTGAGGAGAAATCCCCTACATTTGGTCACAGAAGTCTTCCGCGTTGATTGTGGCTGTGTTGGTGTGAGAGCAGAAGAAAAACCTGTTTGAGAGTTTTTTCCAAAGAATCCAAACATGGTTAGTTTTCCCTAACGAGTGGGAAGAAGAGTGTCCCCCAAAACTCATGTCAACCCAGAACCTGTGGACAGGTCTTTGCAAATGTAATCGAGTGAAAAGAAGGTCATATCAGATTAGAGTAGGCCCTAAATCCCATGTGACTGGTGTCCTTGGTGTCCTTCTAAGAAGAGGGAAATTTGGCTGGGCATGGTGGCTCATGCCTGTAATCCCACCTACTTGGGAGGCTGAGGAAGGAGAATTGCTTGAACCCTGGAGGCAGAGGTTGCGGTGAGCCGAGATGGCGCCATTGCACTCCAGCCTCAGCAACAAGAGCAAAACTCCATCTCAAAAAAAAAAAAAAAGAAAGAAAGAAAAGGCCAGTGCGGTGGCTTATGCCTTTAATCCCAGCACTTTGGGAGGCCAAGGTGGGTGAATCACGAGGTCAGGAGTTCAAGACCAGCCTGACCAAGATAGTGAAACCCCTTCTCTACTAAAAATACAAAAATTAGCTGGGCGTGGTTGTGTGCGCCTGTAATCCCAGCTACTCAGGAGGCTGAGGCAGGAGAATCGCTTGAACCCGGGAAGCAGAGGTTGCAGTGAGCTGAGATCTTGCCACTGCACTTCAGCCTGGGCGACAGAGCGAGACTCCGTCTCAAAAAAAAAAGAAAAAAAAGAAATTAGCCAGGCGTGGTGGGGGGGCGCCTGTGATCCTAGCTACTCAGGAGGCTGAGACAGGAGAATCACTTGAACCCAGAAGGCGGAGTTTGCAGTGAGCCAGGATCCTGCTATTGCACTCCAGCCTGGACAACAGAGCAGGACTCCATCTCAATAAATACATAAATAAATAAGAGGGAAATTTGGACATAGACACACTGAGGAGAATGCCATGTGAAGGAAGAGATTGGAGTGATGTGTCTACAAGCCAAAGGATGCCAAGGGTTAGCGGCAATCACCAGAAGTTAAGAGGAGGCAAGGATGAATTATTCCCTAGAGGCCCTGCTGATCCCTTGATTTCTGACCTCTAGCCTCCAGAACCATGAAAGACAATAAATGTCTGCTTTTCTTTAGCCACTCAGGGCGAATTTGTTATGGCAGCCTATGGAAACTAATACACCTTGTTTCTATTTCTTTCTTTTTGGTTAGACCCTGTCTAAACGCCAAGGATTTTTTGTTTTGTTTTGTTTTTTGTTTTTTGTTTTTTGAGACCGAGTCTTGCTCTTTCACCCAGGCTGGACTGCAGTGGCACGATTTCAGCTCACTGCAACTTCCACTTCCCAGGTTCAAGTGGTTCTCCTGCCTCAGCCTCCTGAGTAGCTGGGATTACAGGCAGGCACCACCACGCCCAGCTAATTTTTGTATTTTTAGTGGAGACGGGTTTCACCATCTTGGCCAGGATGGTCTCAATCTCTTGACCTCGTGATCCACCTGCCTCAGCCTCCCAAAGTGCTGGGATTACAGGCATGAGCCACCACACCCGGTTGGATTTTTTTTTTTTCACTAGTTCACTAGTGAGTTCATTCCTCTTTGAAAAAGTGAGTATAATGCCAACTGGATTTCATCAAACATCTACATCAGTGAAGCAATTAGGATGGCTGAAATAGTACCAGGGCGTGTTAGCCAAGTGGTACCAATTTAGAATACAGCTAATTTTTTTTTTTTTTTTTGAGACGGAGTCTCATTCTGTCACCCATGTTGGAGTGCAGTGGCGCAATCTCGGCTCACCGCAACCTCTGCCTCCTGGGTTCAAGCAATTCTCCTGCCTCGGCCTCTTGAGTAGCTGGGACTACAGGTGCCCGCCACCACGCCCGGCTAATTTTTATATTTTTAGTAGAGATGGGGTTTCACCATGTTGGCCAGGCTGGTCTCGAACTCCTGACTTCAGGTGATCTGCCTGCCTCAGTCTCCCAAAGTGCTAGGATTACAGACGTGCGCCACCGCACCCAGCAGATTTTTTTTTAATAGTAAAACAAGTAAAATTTTTAATTTACCACAGATTTAAAGCACACAAACTTGTTCTGAGAAAGAAAGACCTTTAAAAATTCCTGAGAAAGGGCCCGACGCGGTGGCTCAAGCCTGTAATCCCAGCACTTTGGGAGGCTGAGGCGGGCGGATCACTTGAGGTTCGGGAGTTCGAGAACAGCCTGACTAACATGGAGAAACCCCATCTCTACTAAAAATACAAAAAATTAGCCGGGCGTGGTGGTGCACGCCTGTAATCCCAGCTACTCGGAGGCTGAGGCAGGAGAATCGCTTGAACCCGGGAGGAAGAGGTTGCGGTGAGCCAAGATCGAGCCATTGCACTCCAGCCTGGGCAACAAGAGCAAAACTCTATCTCAAAAAAAAAAAAAAAAAAAAAAAATTCCTGAGAAATGCCAGGCGTGGTAGCTCATGCCTGTAATCCCGCCTTTTTGGGAGGTCGAGGCGGGCAGATCACTTGAGACCAGGAGTTTGGGACCACCCTGGCCAACATGGCAAACCCCATCTCTACTAAGAATACAAACGTTAGCCAGGGGTGCTGGCGGGCACTTGTAGTCCCAGCTACTCAGGAGGCTGAGGCAAGAGAATCGCCTGAACCCTGGAGGCAGAGGTTGTGGTGAGCCCAGATGGCGCCACAGCACTCCAGCCTCGACCACAGACTGAGATGCTGTCTCAAAAAAAATAAATAGGCAGGCATGATGGCTCATGCCTGTAATCCCAGCACTTTGGGAGGCCAATGTGGGCAGATCACCTGAGGTCAGGAGTTCAAGACCCGCCTGACCAAAATGGAGAAACCCCGTCTCTACTAAAATTACAAAAAATTAGCCGGGCATGGTGGTGCATGCCTGTAATTCCAGCTACTCGGGAGGCTAAGGCAGGAGAATCGCTTGAACTCGGGAGGCCGAAGTTGCGGTGAGCCAAGATCCTGCCATTGCACTCCAGCCTGGGCAACAAGAGCGAAACTCCGTCTCAAAAATAAATAAATCGGTCGGGTGCAGTGGCTCACGCCTGTAATCCCAGCACTTTGGGAGGCCGAGGTGGGAGGATCACGAGGTCAGGAGATTGAGACCATCCTGGCTAACACGGTGAAACCCTGTCTCTACTAAAAATACAAAAAAAAAATTAGCCGGGCTTGGTGGTGGGTGCCTGTAGTCCCAGCTACTCGGGTGAGGCAGGAGAATGGCGTGAACCCGAGAGGCGGAGCTTGCAGTGAGCCGAGATCACACCACTGCACTACAGCCTGGGCAACAGAGCGACACTCCGTCTCAAAAATAAATAAATAAATAAAGCCGGGCGTTGTGGCTCACCCCTGTAATCCCAGCACTTCGGGAGGCCAAGGCAGGCGGATCACCTGAGGTCAGGAGTTCGAGACCTGCGTGACCAACATGGAGAAACCCTGTCTCTACCAAAAATACAAAATTAGCCAGGCGTGGTGACACATGCCTATAATCCCAGCTACTCGGGAGGCTGAGGCAGGAGAATCGCTTGAATTCGGGAGGTGGAGGTTGCAGTGAGCCGAGATCGCGCGATTGCACTCTAGCCTGGGCAACAAGAGGGAAACTCCGTCTCAAAAAATAATAATACTACTAATAATTAATAAATAAAGTCCTTTCTACATTTTAAAATCAGGGGAAATATTTTGCATCCATCCTGCTTGCTCTGTTTTTTTACCTTAGTAATTATGATAGTATAGTTTTAATCCATTTTAATAGGTAAATTTACTTCATATTTTATAGATTTGTAGTGTTCTTATTTAAAATTAAATTTCCAGCAATTACATATTTGGGGTCTAGATACTATATTTGATGGAGGAAAACCAAATATACAGCATCTTATTCCATTTCCTTCACTTCTTTTTATAAGTCATCTCTTATCCTTCAAAATGCTTTCCCTCTTTTGGCTTCATCTCATTATCAAACACTTCAACAATATGGCTTCTACTATCCTAAATTATCTCATTCACTTTCCTTTTTGACAGTCTTCCACCCCATCCCAATTTCTCTCCTCCATCTTCCTACCTACTTTTTCTTTTTTTAGGAGATTAGGTCTCCCTATGTTGCCCAGGCTGGAGGACGGTGGCCATTCACAGGTACAATCATAGCTCACTGCAGCCTCTAACTCCTGGGCTCAAGTGATCCTTCCGCCTCAGCTTCCAGAATTGCTGGGACTACATGAGTGCACCACAGTGCCTGGCTATCTTCCTACCTACTAAGTGTTATGAAAGAAATTCTAATCAGGCCAGGCCTGGTGGTTCACACCTGTAATCCCAGCACTTTGGGAGGCCGAGGCGGGTGGATCACCTGAGGTCAGGAGTTCAAGACCAGCCTGGCAAACATGGCAAAACTCCGTCTCTACTGAAAATACAAAAATTAGCCGGGCGTGGTGGCACTCACCTGTAATCCCAGCTACATGGGAGGCAGAGGCAGGAGAATCGCTTGAACCCCGGAGGCGGAGGTTGCAGTGAGCTGAGATCATGCCACTGCACTCTAGCCTGGGCAAGAGTGAGACTCTGTTTCAAAAAGAAAGAAATTCTAATCATACTGCCTGGATTCCATACAAAGTCAGTTTCTCAATGGATAACCCTTAACATCCAACTCTGGAAAGGAATAGCCTTTGGGTCTAAGGCAGCCTCCTAGCTAGCAAATGGTTTGCCAGGATAGCAAATGGTTTGCCAGGATCCATGCATCACTTAAAACCCACAGCTTAAGGTTATATGCATGATGGAACTTGAATGTATTCCTTGAACTTTTGTAGCTTACTGGTTACTCTTTGCTCAGATCTCAGTTCCTGTTTGTTCACTCATCCCTTGCTGAGTGCCCCACGCCACACGCCGCACCATCTACTCCACCCACACCATTTTCCAGTTACTGAACCTTGCCCAACCCTTGTCGGTTGCCATGACTACTTCCATGCTAAGTCAGGACTGACTTCTCCGCCAGGAGCTTTTTTTTTTTTTTTTTTTTTTTTTGAGGCAGAGTCTCACTCTGTCGCCAGGCTGGAGTGCAGTGGCACGATCTCGGTTCACTGCAACCTCCGCCTCCCAGGTTCAAGCGATTCTCCTGCCTCAGCCTCCCAAGTAGCTGGAATAACAGACGCGGGCCACCACTCCCAGCTAATTTTTTTTGTATTTTTAGTAGAGATGGGGTTTCACCATGTCGGTCAGGCTGGTCTTGAACTCCAGACCTTGTGATCCGCTCCCCTCAGCCTCCCAAAGTGCTGGGATTAGAGGCGTGAGCCACCGCACCTGGCCCCACCGGGAGCTTTTTTTTAATTTAATTTTATTTTTTTGAGACGGAGTTTCGCTCTTGTTGCCCAGGCTGGAGTGCAGTGACGTGATCTTGGCTCACTGCAACCTCCGCCTCCCGGGTTCAAGCGATTCTCCTGCCTCAGTCTCCCAAGTAACTAGGATTACAGGCATGTGCCACCGCACCCGGCTAATTTTGTATTTTTAGTAGAGACAAGGTTTCTCCATGTTGGTCAGGCTGCTCTGGAACTCCTGACCTCAGGTGATCCACCCGCCTCGGCCTCCCAAAGTGCTGAGATTACAGGCACGAGCCACCGCGCCTGGCCCACTGGAGCTTTTTAAAACTCCTATATATTGAGACACACACTATACTAAATGCATCACATCCCTATCTCATTGAATGCTCACAACCTTATGAAGCATGAATTACCCCTTTGCTTTCAGCCAATGGTCATGCCTTCCATAATGTGGGAAAGAATGAGCCCATCCAACATAAGCTTCCCTAATTCCTCTCTTATCCATCTCAACCTTTCTCTGGAAGTTTTCTGCTTCACTTCATTTTCTCCAATTGTGAAAAAATATCAACTAGACAGAGACAGAAATAAAGAGGCATCTGAGAGACAGACATAGTCAGTCCATGGTCTCAAGAAGAACAGACCTTTTTTTTTGAGACGGAGTTTCACTTTTGTCACCTAGGCTGGAGTGCAATGGCGTGATCTCGGCTCACTGCAACCTCCACCTCCAGAGTTCAAGCGATTCAACTACCTCAGCCTCCCGAGTAGCTGGGATTACAGGTGCCCGCCACCACACCTGGCTAATTTTTGTATTTTTAGTAGAGATGGGGTTTCGCCATGTTGGCCAGGCTGGTCTCAAACTCCTGACCTCAGGTAATCCACCTTAGGTGCTGGGATTACAGGCATGAGCCACCATGCCCGGCCAGATGGCTTTGATTTTATCTTTGCAACCACCATTCCTATCCTGATGACTCCAGACCCCTCCCTGATAAGTTTCAAAATAATGGCTCCAAATGTCCCATCTCCCACCACAGCTGCCCTTGCCTCAGCTTTGAGGAAAGCATACCACACTCTTCTTTACGTTCTATCACATTTGGTCACTGGCTGAGAGAAGCCCCTCGGATCATCTATCCTTTCCCTTCCTTTCATCTCCACACTGTTCTGTTTCCTCCCCAACACAAATCCACAATGCACCTCTCCCTCTCAGATTTTTCCACTGCACCATAGGGAATTCTCATTCAAAGATAGACAAACTCCTTTCCATGGAAACGTTCCCACTTTCTAGCTCTAAATGAAACATTGCTCTCTCCTCAAGACACCACTGCCCTGCATCTCCCTCCAGGGGAGGCCACACATTTATTCATTTTCTACATATTACAAGACCCAGAAGGCGGGCGTGGTGGTTCACGCCCATAATCCCAGCACTTTGGGAGGCGAAGGCAGGCGGATCTCTTGAGATCAGTTTGAGACCAGCCTAGCCAAAATGGCGAAACCCCGTCTCTACTAAAAATACAAAAATTAGCCAGGCATCATGGCTTATGCCTGTAGTCCCAGCTACTCGGGAGTCTGAAGCAGGGGAATCACTTGAACCTGGGAGGTGGAGGCTGCAGTGAGCTGAGATTGCACCACTGCACTCCAGTCTGGGCAACAGAGCGAGACTCTGTCAAAAAAAAAAAAAAAAAAGACCCAGAGGTAGGGTTGGTATGCTCTTACTACTCTGTCACTATTTCTAAGCTGTAACTCTTCCAACATTGCGTCTTTGAAGTTCATGTCACCCAGTTTTTCTTCTTCATTGCAGTCATCTAACAACCTACTGGCCAGCCTCTCACTGGATATATTGCCACCTGTATCACAGTCTTCCTCTACTAAATTGGCCATCAACCTGGATGACTTCAGTGTTCTTATCAATAAACATCCATCTTGGGCACTTAATGTCTAGGTTGGGGAGTCTAAGATGGCAGCATTTGAACAGCCTTTGCTGACTTAACCTTCTGGTTTCTTGGTGGTTTCTCATTATAAAAGCACTGCATTTGAACAGAGACTCAGCCTTGTGGTGTCCGGTATAGAGAATCGAGGATGGTGTCAGTTCTAAAAAAAAATCTGAATTTTTTTTCAGCAGCTGACTAGATATCTAAGTATCTTATATGGGGAATTGTCTGGGAAAGGTGTTTAAGCAAGAGTTGCAGCAGACAGTCTAGGCTTATCTAGCAAGAATGTATTCAAATCAGCTCTATTACAAAGGGATGACATTGAATTAAAGTTCCATGATGTTGATAAATAAAACAATATTTCATCAAATATTTCCTGAGAGCCTACTACATGCTAGGTACTGTCCCAGAAGCTGAGGACAAAGGAGAAAGAAAAGAAGACATTATCCCATTGCTCAAATTAGTTTATAACTGTTTAACATAAATCATCCAAATATCAAGTAGAGGTAATGATACCCACTCCACAGGGTAACATTGTTTTGAGTTTTAAATGAGAGCATTAATGTACAGCAAATAGCTCAATGTATACATGGTCAGTAAATGGTAAAGGCATGGGGCTATTATGAATTCTCTGCACCTCCCAAATATGACCACCAGGTGTCAGCCTCCCCTAGCCAAACCCTACCAGGTGAAGGGTGTCCAGGTTGTCTATCCTCTCCAACACTAGAGGAAAGAGCAAAGGATCTTGGTGCGACGATTTACCCTTCACCTACTGCTGTTCTGAGCTACTTAGGTGCACAAATATCAGCACCGATTTTTTTTTGAGATGGAGTTTCGCTCTTGTTGCCCAGGCTGGAGTGCAATGGCGTGATCTCGGCTCATTGCAACCTCCGCCTCCCAGATTCAAGCGATTCTCCTGTGTCAGCCTTCCGAGTAGCTGGGACTTCAGGCGTGTGCCACCATGCCCAGCTAATTTTTTTGTATTTTTTAGTAGAGACGGGGGCGGGGGGGTTCGCCATGTTGGCCAAGCTGGTCTCGAACTCCTGACCTCAGGTGATCCACCCGCCTCGGCCTCTCAAAGTGCTGGGATGACAGGCGTGAGGCACCTCACCCAGCCCAGAAATATCTTAGTACCTATTTTAGGTGAGAACTTGCCTGCCTACAGACTAAACCCAGTTGTGCAGTCTCCCTAGACATGGAAATTTGGAAATGTCCAAGATAAGGTCAAGGAAAAACAGAAAAAGAACGTTCAAGGCAAAGAAGAGCAAAAAAGTGGAATCAGGAAAAAGCCAGGGAGAGAATGAAATAGGAGGAGGAAAGAAGAGATTTAGAGAGAGGAAAAGATAAAACTTTTCTTACTCAGTCACCTCTCCAGGGCCTCACCAAAAGCTGTGCCAAAGCCCTTTCATTTAAGCCACCAGCAACCTGAAACCCCCACCTCCCAGGCTCCTGCCACAGGTCAAATCCCTTTTTAATCCTTGTAATCCCACTGATTCTCTAGCTGGCTTTCTCTTGGATATATTTCAGAGAGGAGCTTTAGAGTCCCTGGCAAAGAACTCATCATTCATTTTTGGCCCATGTAATTTCTACTTTATATATGAGCTTCCATCTTTTCCAGACTTCCCTGTTCTCCCCATTAGAAACTATATTTCCATTTTTTGAGAGACACTTTTCCCCCACTTACAATAGCCTCTTTCACTTTGCTAGTTCACCAAGCTGCAGGTTTTATTTCCCAAGTGCATAGTATTTTTTATCATTGGCATACATTTTTTTCAGGCTTCCAAAAAGTATTTTTAAAGTAGTCCACAGGCTTCCTGTGGGTTATTGACTTTTTGAATGTTAGTCTTAATTTGTCCTAATGTCTAGTAACATGTGGCATACCCAAACAGGAGTAAGCCTTGTTCGGACACCATCCTGAAGCAGGATTGTTGACTCAGTCTGCTCTCTTTGGGCAGAAACCTGGCTGTAACTGAGTTAGGCCCATCCACCGGTTAAGAGCTCTTTACTTCACACAGAACAGATCTTTGCTCAGGAATTTCTAAAGAAAACCAGAAGGAGGCCAGGCGCCATGGCTCACGCCTGTAATCCCAGCAATTTGGGAGGCCAAGGAGGGTGGATCACTTGAGGTCAGGAGTTTGAGACCAGCCTGGCCAACATGGTGAAACCCCTTCTCTACTAAAAAAATACGAAAATTAGCTGGGTGTGGTGGTGTGCTATGCCTGCAATCCCAGCTACTCAGGAGACTGAGGCAGGAGAATCGCTTGAACCCGGGAGGCGGAGGTTGTGGTGAGCCAAGGTCACGCCACTGCACTCCAGCCTCGGTGACAGAGTGAGACTTTGTCTCAAAAAAAAAAAAATTAAAGCATATTGCAATTCACGTAAAGGCTAAATTTATGAACTAATGAACTACCGCTAATTCCTCCTCACTCTTAGCAAGAAATGGTTAAGGGAAGTGAAGCAATTTCTAGGACAACATAAGGATTCTAGGAATTTACAGCCAGTTACCTGAAAAGTCTGAACTTGGATTTCTTCCAAATAATGACCAATCCAGGTCATTGCCTGATCAATCACAAGAGGCCTGAGCCTACAAGGCCATGTCCCACCTCTCAACTCTCCCATGGGAGGCTGTCATGAGACAATTTCCCATCGGCTCTCAGGCTCTGATGAGGAATGGAGCTTTCTGCCTCACTCCCACATAATATAAAACTGCTTTTAAATATAATACATAAATAAAAATTTATAAAATGCACATTGTATAAATATTAAATATAAATTTATATAAATATATATCCTGCATACTATAAAGCTGCAGAACATAAAACCTCCAAGTGGTAGCTGTGAAGGGACTCCTCCCAAATACAATGTCCCACAACACACATTGCAGTCATCTGGCCCCTTTTTGCTTCATTGTCATGTTTTTTTGTTTGTTTTTGAGACAGATTCTCACTCTGTTGCCCAGATTGGAAATGCAATGGCGCAATCACAGCTTACTGAAGCCTTGAAATCCTGGGCTCAAGCAGTCCTTCTGCCTTAGCCTCCTGAGCAGTTGGAACCACAGGTGCCTGCCACCATGCCTAGCTAATTTTTATTTTATTTTTTGTAGTGACGGTGTCTCACTATGTTGCACAGGTTGTTCTTGAACTCCTGGGCTCAAGTGATCTTGCAGCCTTAGCCTCCCAAAGCACTGGGATTATAGGCATGAGCCACCGTGCCCAGCCAGTGTTGTATTTTTAGTGTTGGGGACAATGATTCACAGGGAGCTCTCACCTAGGTTTAGTCTTCTTTTTGCTGTCTAAGTAATAAAATGTCTAAATCTAGAATGACTCATTGTTTCTTTACCAACCAAATTAGTCAGCTCTTGGCCCTTGCCTTGCCTTTTTTTTCTTTGAGACAGAGTCTCCCTCTGTTGCCAGGCTGGAGTACAGTGGGGTGATCTTGGCTCACTGCAATCTCCGCCTCCCGGGTTCAAGCGATTCTCCTGCCTCAGCCTCCTGAGTAGCTGGGATTGCAGGCATAGTACGCCACCACACCCAGCTAATTTTCATATTTTTTTAGTAGAGACGAGGTTTCACCATGTTGGCCAGGCTGGTCTCGAACTCCTGTCGCTGGGACTATACAGGTGCGTGCAACCACACCCGGCTAATTTTTTTTTTGGTAGAGACGAGGTTTCTCCATGTTGGCCAAGCTGGTCTCGAACTCCTGTAGCTGGGACTATACAGGCACGTGCAATCACACCCGGCTAATTTTTTTTAGTAGAGACAAGGTTTCTCCATGTTGGCCAGGATGGTCTTTTGACCTTGTGATCCACCCGCCTTGGCCTCCCAAAGTGCTGGGATTACAGGCGTGAGCCACCACGCCCGGCCGGCCCTTGCCTTGTCTTATGTGTGAGCTTGACAACCCTTAAACCAGTCCACACAACCAAAATGTGATTGAGTCCAAAGCATGACAGGTGAAGAAGATAGCTGGGGCCAGGCACAGAGGCTCATACCTATAATCCCAGCACTTTGGGAGGGCAAGGCAGGAGGGTCACTTGAGCCTAGGCCTCCAAGACCAGCATGGGTAACATAGTGAGACCCCATTTCTACAAAAAAACAAAAAACCAAGCCCAAAACAAAACAAAAAGACAATACAGTTGGTTCCATTGACAACGTCTGATTACTCCTTCCTACAGGAGGCTGTTGCTGTTTCTGACACTAAATGAGGGTTCACGTTTGTGTTGTATATTCTTTTTTTTTTTTTTTTTTTTTTTGAGATGGAGTTTCTCTGTTGCCCAGGCTGGAGTGCAATGGCACGATCCCGACTCACTGAAATCCACGCCTCCCAGGTTCAAGCGATTCTCCTGTCTCCTGACTCAGCCTCCCAAGTAGCTGGGATTACAGGCGCCCGCCACAACGCCTGGCTAATTTTTGTATTTTTAGTAGAGGCGAGGTTTTGCCATGTTTGCCAGGTTGGTCTCGAACTCCTAGCCTCAAGCAATTTGCCCGCCTCGGCCTCCCAAAGTGCTGGGATTACAGGCATGAGCCACCTCGCCCGGCCTTGTGTTGTATATTCTATGAGTTTGGACAAATGAATAATGGCATGTATCCACCATTACAGTATCATACAAAATAGTCTCACTGCTCTAAAAATCCTCTGTGCTCTGCTTATTCATCCCTGTCTCTCTCCTTCCTAACCATTGATCACCACTGAACTTTTCACTATCTCCATAGTTTTGCCTCTTCCAGAATGTCACATAGTTGGAAACATACCTTATGTAGACTTTTCAGATTGGCTTTTTTCAGTGAGTAATACGCATTTAAAGTTCCTACATATCTAGCCCGGGCTTGGTGGCTCATGCCGGTAATCCCAGTACTTTGGGAGGCCAAGGCGGGCAGATCACCTGAAGCTAGGAGTTTGAGACCAGCCTGACCAACATGGAGATACCCTGTCTCCACTAAAAGTACAAAATTAGCTGGGCATGATGGCGCATGCCTGTCATCCCTGGTACTTGGGAGGCTGAGGCAGGAGAATCACTTGAATCCGAGAGGCGGAAGTTGCAGTGAGCCGAGATCGCGCCATTGCACTCCAGCCTGGGCAACAAGAGTGAAACTCCGACTCAAAAAAAAAAAAAAGTTCCTATATGTCTTTTCATGGTTTCATAACTCATTTCTTTTTTTTCTTTCTTGCTTTTTTTTTTTTTTTTTTTTGAGATGGTGTCTTACTCTATCACCCAGGCTGGAGTGCAATGGGGCGATCTCGGCTCACTGCAACATCTGCCTCCCAGGTTCAAGTGATTCTCCTGCCTCAGCTTCCTGAGTAGCTGGGATTACAAGCACCCACTACCATGCCGGGCTAGTTTTTTTTATTTTTATTTATTTATTTATTTATTTATTTATTTATTTGAGACAGAGTTTCGCTCTTGTTGCCCAGGCTGGAGTGCAAAGGCACAATCTTGGCTCACCGCGACCTCCGCCTCCCAGGTTCAAGCGATTCTCCTGCCTCAGCCTCCTGAGTAGCCGGGATTACAGGCATGTGCCACCCCAGGCCCAGCTAATTTTGTATTTTTAGTAGAGACAGGGTTTCTCTTTTTTTTTTTTTTTTTTGAGACAGAGTCTCGCTCTGTCGCCCAGGCTGGAGTGCAGTGGCACGATCTCAGCTCACTGCAAGCTCCGCCTCCCAGGTTCACGCCATTCTCCTGCCTCAGCCTCCCGAGTAGCTGGGACTACAGGCGCCCGCCACTGTGCCCAGCTAATTTTTTTGTATTTTTGGTAGAGAGGGGGTTTCACTGTGTTAGCCAGGACGGTCTCAATCTCCTGACCTCGTGATCCACCCGCCTCGGCCTCCCAAAGTGCTGGAATTACAGGCGCGAGCCCACTGCACCCGGCCTATTTTTTTTGTTTTTTGAAACTGAGTTTAGCTCTTGTCGCCCAGGCTGGAGCGCAGTGGTGCCATCTTGGCTCACTGCAACCTCCGCCTCCTGGGTTCAAGCGATTCTCGTGCCTCAGCCTCCAGAGTAGCTGAGATTACAGGCCACTACGCCCAGCTAATTTTTGCATTTTTTCTTTTAGCAGAGACGGGGTTTCACCATGTTGGCCAGGCTGGTCTCGAACTCCTGACCTCAAGTGATCTGCCCACCTCGGCCTCCCAAAGTGCTGGGATTACAGGCGTGAGCCATTGCACCCGGCCACTTCATTTCTTTTTAGTGCTGAATAATATTCCGTTGTCTGGATATGCCACAGTTTATTTATCCATTCATCTACTGAAGGACATCTCAGTTTCTTCCAAATTTTGGCAATTATAAATAAGGCTGCTATAAACATACATACGCTTTTTATTTGTGATTGGTTAAGGACCAGGAAAAAAGAAAAAAAATCATGTATGTGCAAGTTTTTGTGAGGGCAAGAATTTTCAATTGATTTGGATAAATACCAAGGAGTGTGATTGCTGGATTATGTGGTAGGAATATGTTTAGTTTTCTAAAAAACTGTCAGTTGTCTTCCAAAGTGTCTGTCCTACTTTGCATTCCCACCAGCAACAAATGAGAGTTCCTCTTGCTCCACATCCTCATCAGCATTTGGTGTTGTCAGTGTTCTGAATTGTGACCACTCTAACTAGGTATGCAGTGGTATTTCATTGTTGCTTTAATTTGCATTCAGCTAACAACATATGATGTAGAACATCTTTTAATATGCTTATTTGACATCTGTATGTCTTATTTATTGAGGTTATCTGTTCAGGTCTTTGGCTCCTTTTTTTTTTTTTTTTTTTTTTTTTTTTTGAGCAGGAGTCTCACTGTGTTGCCTAGGCTGGAGTGCAGTGGTGCTATCTAGGCTCACTGCAACCTCCACCTTCCCAGTTCAAGCACTTCTCCCTGCCTCAGCCTCCCGAGTAGCTGGGATTATATGCTCCCGCCACCACGCCCAGCTAATTTTTGTATTTTTAGTAGGGATGGGGTTTCACCATGTTGCCCAGGCTGGTCTAGAACTCCTGACTTCAAATGATCCACCCACCTCGGCCTTCCAAAGTGCTGGGATCACAGGCGTGAGCCACTGCACCCCACCTGTAGTTTTCTTTTTTTTTTTTTTTTTTTGTTTCTGAGACGGAGTCTCACTCAGTCACCCAGGCTGGAGTGCAGTGACACAATCTCAGCTCATTGTAACCTCCGCCTTCCGGAGCCACCGTGCCTGGACCCGTAGTTTTCTTCATATAAATTTTATACATATTTTGTTAGGTTTATATCTAAGTATTTTTCTTTTTTCTTCCACTCAATTTTAACAAATCTCAACATTTTGCCGTTTTTTTGCCTTTTTTTTTTTTTTTTGAGACAGTCTCACTCTGTCGCCAGGCTGGAGTGCAGTGGCAAAATGTTGGCTCACGGCAACCTCCACCTTCTGGGTTCAAGCGATTCTCCTGCCTCAGCCTCCTGAGTAGCTGGGACTACAGATGCGTGCCAACACGCCCAGCTATTTTTTGTATTTTTAGCAGAAACGGGGTTCCACCATGTTCACCAGGATGGTCTCGATATCTTGACCTCATGATCCATCCCCCTCGGCCTCCCCAAGTGCTGGGATTACAGGGGTGAGCCACCGCACCCGGCCCAACATTTTGCCATTTTTGCTTCAGATTGTTTTAAAAATAAAACATTAATAGTACAAGAAAAGTATAAATAGACTTGAATTGCCTTGTGTATCTCTCCTCTATCCCATTTCCCTCTCCCTCCCCCCAAAACACCACTAGAATAATTTGGTATCTATCATTTGTATACATAGTTATAGATGCATGATTGTAACGTGGTATCCGTTTTTCTTATAGTATATGTATCTTGTAGTATATGTAGTATATGTTTCATTCTTTCTCTCTTTTTTTTTTTTAGAGACAAAGTCTCACTCTGTCACCCAAGTGGTGTAAACACAGCTCACTGCAGTGTTGATCTCCTGGGCTCCAGTGATCCCCCTACCTCAGCTGCCTAACTAGCTGGGACTACAGGCCTGCGCCACTATCCCCAGCCAATTTTTCGTATTTTGGGTAGAGACGAAGTTTCCCCATGTTGCACAGGCTGGTCTCAAACTCCTGGGCTCCAGCAATCTGGCCACCTTGGCCTCCCAAAATGCTGGGATTATTGGTGTGAGCCACCTCACTTGACCATGACACATGCAACTCATTTTTTTTTTTTTTTGAAACGGAGTTTCAGGCCGGGCGCAGTGGCTCATACCTGTAATCCCAGCACTTTGGGCGGCCGAGGCGGGCGGATCACAAGATCAGGAGATCGAGACCATCCTGCTAACACGGTGAAACCCCGTCTCTACTAAAAATACAAAAAATTATCCGGGCGTGGTGGCGGGCGCCTGTAGTCCCAGCTACTCGGGGGGCTGAGGCAGGAGAATGGCGTGAACCTGGGAGGCGGCAGAGCTTGCAGTGAGCAGAGATAGTGCCACTGCACTCCAGCCTTGGCGACAGAATGAGACTCTGTCTCAAGAAAAAAAAAAGAAAGAAAGAAACGGAGTTTCGTTCTTGTTGCCCAGGCTGGAGTGCAATGGCACGATCTCGGCTCACCACAACCTCTGCCTCCTGGGTTCAAGCGATTCTCCTGCCTCAGCCTCCCGAGCAGCTGGGATTACAGGCATGCACCACTGCGCCCGGCTAATTTTGTATTTTTAGTAGAGACAGGGTTTCTCCATGTTGGTCAGGCTGGTCTCAAACTCCCGACCTCAGGTGATCCACCTGCCTTGGCCTCCCAAAGTGCTGGTATTACAGGCGTGAGCCACCGTGTCTGGCCACCACATGCGACTCTTTTTTTTCTCTTTTTTTCTTTTTTGAGACAGAGTCTCACTCTTGTCACCCAGGCTGGAGTGCAATGGCACAATGTCGGCTCACTGCAACCTCCGCCTCCTGGGTTCAAGCAATTCTCCTGCCTCAGCCTCCCAAGTAGCTGGGATTACGGGCGCCCCCCACCTCGCCTGGCTAATTTTTTGTGTGTATTTTTACTAGAGACAGAGTTTCACCATCTTGGCCAGGCTGGTCTCGAACTCCTGACCTCAGATGATCCACTCTCCTCAGCCTCCCAAAGTGTTGGGATTACAGGCGTGAGCCACCGTGCCCGGCCACATGCAACTCTTTAATTCATTCCTTTCAACTATCATATGAAATTCTAGGCTGGGCACGGTGGCTCACGACTGTAATCCTAGCACTTTGGGAGGCTGAGGCAGGCAGATCACGTGAGGTCAGGAGTTCGAGACCAGCCTGACTAACATGGTGAAATCCTGCCTCTATTAAAAATACCAAAAAATTAGCTGGGCGTAGTGGTGAGCACCCATAATCCCAGCTACTTGGGAGTCTGAGGCAAGGGAATTGCTTGAACCTGGGAGGCGGAGGTTGCAGTGAGCCGAGACCATGCCATTGCACTCCAGCCTGGGCGACAGAGGGAGACTCCGTCTCAAAAAAAAAAAAAAAGTTCCATTGTATAAATATATCACAATGTATTTACTCAGTCCAGTATTGGTACATATGTAGGTCATTTTCAATATTTCACTATTATGCCGGGAGTGGTGGCTCACGCCTGTAATCCCAGCACTTTGGGAGGCTGAGGCAAGTGGATCACCTGAGGTCGGGGGTTTGAGACCAGCCTGACCAACATGGAGAAACCCCGTCTCTACTAAAAATACAAAATTAGCTAGGTGTGGTGGCACATGCCTGTAATCCCAGCTACTTGGGAGGCTGAGGCAGGAGAAGTGTTTGAACCCGGGAGGCGGAGGTTGCAGTGAGCCCAGATTGCGCCATTGCACTCCAGACTGGGCTACAGGAGTGAAATTCTGTCTCAAAAAAAAAATAATAATATTTCACTATTAAAAGCAATGTTGCATCACTAGGGAAATGCAAATTAATACAACACTGACAAAATAAATAAGCAAACAAAAAAACACTGACAGAACACTACATACTTAATAGAAAGGCTAAAATACAATAAATTGACAATACCACTTACTGGTAAGGATGTACTCTCATCCTTTGCTGGTAAGAATACAGAATGGTACACACATTTTGAGACAGTTTCTTTCTTTCTTTCTTTTTTTTTTTTTGGAGACAGAGTTTCACTCTTGTCTTCCAGGCTGGAGTGCAAAGGCGCGATCTCACTCACTGCAATCTCCGTCTCTGGACTTCAAGGAATTCTCCTGGTTCAGCCTCCTGAGTAGCTAGGATTACGGGTTTGTGCCACCACGCCCAGCTATTTTTCATATTTTTAGTAGAAACGGGGTTTTACCATGTTGGACAGGCTGGTCTCGAACTCGAACTCCTGACCTCAAGCAATCCACCCGCCTCAGCCTCCCAAAATGCTAGGATTACAGCCGTGAGCCACTGTGCACGGCCTCAGTTTCTTTTCTTTCTTTCTTTTTTTTTTTTTTTTTTTTTTTGAGGTGGAGTTTTTGCTCTTGTTGCCCAGGCAGGCTGGAGTGCAATGGCGCGATCTTGGCTCACCGCAACCTCTGCCTCCTGGGTTCAAGAGATTCTCCTGCCTCAGCCTCCCAAGTAGCTGGGATTACAGGCATGTGCCTCCAAGCCCGGCTAATTTTGTATTTTTAGTAGAGACGGGGTTTCTCCATGTTGGTCAGGCTGGTCTCGAACTCCCAAACTCAGGTGATCCACCTGCCTCAGCCTCCCAAAGTGCTAGGATTACAGGTGTGAGCCACCACACCCGGCCTGGCCTCAGTTTCTTATTAATATAAGTATATTCTTATCATTTAACCCAGTAGTCATACTCCTAGGTATTTATCCAACGGATTTGAACATTTATGCCCACAAAAAAACCTTCATGTGAAGGTTTATAGCCACTTTTTTCATAACTGCCAAAAACAGGAAGAAACCAAGGTAAACTTCAATATCTGAATGGGTAAACAAATTGTGGTACAGCCCTACAACGGCATATATTTTTCAATAAATAGGAATGTACTATCAATTCACACAACACTATAGATGAATTGTAAATGTATATTGTTATGTGAAAGAAACCAGTTTGGAAAGGTGATATCCTGTATGAATCCATTTATATAACATTCTGTAAAAGGCAAAACTTAAGAAACAGTAAAAAGATCAATGGTTGCTGGAGTAGGGGAGGGTTTAATAGGTGAAACAAGGAGTTTTTTAGGGTGATGAAAGTATTTTGTATGATACTGTAACAGTGGATACGTGACACAATGCATTTGTCAAAAACCATAGCATCGGCTGGGCACGGTGGCTCACGCCTGTAATCCCAGCACTTTAGGAGGCCAAGGTGAGCGGATCACGAGGTCAGGAGTTTGAGACCAGCCTGGCCAACATGGTGAAACCCCATCTCTACTAAAAATACAAAAATTAGTTGGGTGTGGTGGTGCGTGCCTGTAATCCCAGCTACTTGGGAGGCTGAGGCAGGAGAATTGCTTGAACCCTGAAGGCAGAGAGTGCAGTGAGTCGAGATCACACCACTGCACTCCAGCCTGGGTGACAGAGCAAGACTCCCTCTCCGGAAAAAAAAAAAAAAGAGAATAAATTTTAATATAGCAAATTAAGGAAAAAATATTTAGGAGATCACGGGAATACCAGGATGGAATGCAGGCTGGGACAAAAGGATCTAACTTTATTACAAATGCATAGCATAACCTCAATGAAGAGGGTGGGAGGAAAGGTGCTAATGCAGGTACTGTTGGAAATGAGTGAGGTCTGTAAGACTAAAGACAAAAAGAACTGTGCACAAGCACTGTAGTGTAGTTGTCAAAGTTGTTTCCCATGAAGATAAGGCTTAACAGTTCTGAAATTGCTGTATGTGTATACTGGGATTCAACAGTAAGTAAATGGATAGTGGACGGTGGGAGCCATGTTTCTTACTGTTGGAGTGGGAGGTACAGATAGGCAACAGGAAGAGGCTAGAATTAACCATGTGATAATGGATTAGAGTTGGATACATCAATATGAATTCTTTGGGTTAATATAGATACTGTGCTGGGTGCAGTGGTTCACACCTGTAATCCAAGCACTTTGGGAGGCCAAGATGGGCCCATTGATTAAACTCAGGAGTTCAAGACCAGCCTGGGCAACACGGCAAAACCCTGTCTCTACAAAATTACAAAGAAAAAAAAATTTAGCTGGGCATGGTAGTGTGTGCCTATAGTCCCAGCTACTCAGGAGGCTGAGGTGGGAGGGTCACTTGAGCCTAAGAGGTAGAGGTTGCAGTGAGCGAAGATGGCACTACTGTACTCCAGCCTGAGTGACACAGAAAGACCCTGCCTCAAAAAATATATATATAGATATTGGTGGGTGTGGTGGCTCACACCTATAATCCCAACACTTTGGGAGGCCGAGGTGGGCAGATTACCCGAGGTCAGGAGTTTGAGACCAGCCTGGCCAAAATGGTGAAACCCTGTCTCTACTAAAAATACAAAAAAAAAAATTTAGCAAGATGTGGTGGTGCACACCTACAGTTTCAGTTCCAGTTCCAGCTACTGGGGAGGCTTAGGCATGAGAATCACTAGAACCTGGGAGACAGAGGTTTCCATGAGCCAAGATTGTGCCACTGCACTCCAGCCTGGGTGACAGAGCCACCAGGCATGGTGGCTCACGCCTGTAATCCCAGAGCTTTGGGAGGCCGAGGCTGGCAGATCACCAGGTCAGCAGTTCTTTTTTTTTTTTTTTTTGAGACGGAGTCTTGCTCTGTTGCCCAGGCTAGAGTGCAGTGGCGCAATATTGGCTCACTGCAGCCTCCACCTCCCGGGTTCAAGTGATTCTCCTGCCTCAGTCTCCTGAGTAGTTGGGATTACAGGTGCACGCCACTGCGCCTGGCTAATTTTTTGTATTTTTAGTAGAGACGGGGTTTCACCATGTTTGAGCTGGTCTCGAACTCCTGACCTCGTGATCCACCCACCTTGGACTCCCAAAGTGCTGGGATTACAGGCGTGAGCCACTGCGCCCGGCCCTGGTCAGCAGTTCTTGACCAGCCTGGCCAACATGGTGAAACCCCGTCTCTACGTCTCTACTAAAGATACCAAAAAAAAAAAATTAGCCGGGGCAGGGCGCGGTGGCTCACACCTGTAATCCCAGCACTTTGGGAGGCTGAGGCGGGCAGATCACCTGACGTCAGGAGTTCGAGACCAGCCTGACCAACATGGAGAAACCCCATCTCTACTAAAAATACAAAATTAGCCAGGTGTGGCGGCCAATGCCTGTAATCCCAGATATTTGGGAGGCTGAGGCAGGAGAATCTCTTGAACCCGGGAGGCGGAGGTTGCAGTGAGCTGAGATCGTGTCATTGCACTCCACCCTGGGCAACAACAGCGAAACTCTGTCTCAAAAAAACAAAACAAAACAAAAAATTATGTGGGCGTGGTGGCTCACGCCTGTAATCCCAGCACTTT
Source organism: Homo sapiens (assembly GCF_000001405.40). NCBI lineage: Eukaryota > Metazoa > Chordata > Mammalia > Primates > Hominidae > Homo > Homo sapiens. Next base: position 123,846,246 of record NC_000023.11, read on the forward strand.
GGGAGGCCGAGGCGGGTGGATCACGAGGTCAGGAGATCGAGACAATCCTGGCTAACATGGTGAAACCCAGTCTCTACAAAAAATACAAAAAAAAAAAAAATTAGCCGGGCGTGGTGGCGGGTGCCTGTAGTCCCAGCTGCTGGGGAGACTGAGGCAGGAGAATGGTGTCAACCCAGGAGGCAGAGCTTGCAGTGAGCCGAGATAGTGCCACTGTACTTCAGCCTGGGCGTCAGAGCGAGACTCCGTCTCAAAACAAAACAAAACAAAACAAAAACAAAAAAACTGCCTTTGTGACACTAATGAAAGGCCACAAGAATAGGATTATGGGAGGGTCCTGAACTCTAGGAAATTGTAGGCACAGTTTCTATAATCCCTTATTGCTCAGGAGTCATGTGGCCAGAGATCACAAGATTCATGACTTTCTCCACTGCTCCTATAGATAACATCACTACTGTAAAACCTAAAATTGGTGTTTTGAGATATTTTTCAGACTGACCCCATCCAGACTTGTGACTCATGACTCAACAGGTCCTGTGGCCCCACACAGAGGCTGACTCAGTGCATGAGGATCATTTTCCACACCCCTATGATTTAATCCCCAACCAACCAGCAGCACCCATTCCATAGCCTCCTACCCACCAAATTGTCCATAAAAACCCTAACATCGGCCAGGCGCAGTGGCTCACGCCTGTAGTCCTGGCTACTCGGCAGGCTGAGGTTGCAGTGAGCTGAGATTGCGCCGCTGCACTCCAGCCTGGGCGACAGAGCAAGACTCCCTCTCAAAAACAAACAAACAAATAAAACAAAACACAAACAAACAAACAAAAAAACACCTGCTAACATCTGAGACTTTGAGGAGACTGACTTGAGTGTTAACTCCAGTTTTCCCACATGGGCCAGCCTCATGGCCTTATGCCAATTAAACTCTCTACTGCAATGCCATGGTCTCAGTGGATTGATTTTATCTGTGTAGTGGGTGGGAAGAACTTGTCAGGCGATTACACTAGTGAGGATGTGGAGAAAAGGGAACTCTTATACACTGTTGATGGGAATATAAATTAGTACAGTCATTATGGAAAGCAGTATGAAGGTTGCTCAAAAGAAACTAAAAATAGAGCTACCATATGATCCAGCAATCCCACTATTCGGTATTTATCCAAGGGAAAAGAAATCAATAAAGGGATATAGACACCACCATGTTTATTATAGCACCATTCACAATACTAAAGATAGGGAATCAACCTAAGTGTCTAACAACAGACAAATGAATCAAGAAAATGTGGTATATATATACACAATGGAATACTATTTTGCCATAAATAAGAATGAAATCAAGTGTTGACTGGGTGTAGTGGCTCACGCCTGAAATTCTAGCACTTTGGGAGGCCAAGGTGGGTGGATCACCCTGAGGTCAGGAGTTCGAGACCAGCTTGGCCATCATGGTAAAACCCCATCTCTACTAAAAATGCAAAAAATTACCCTGGCATGGTGGCGGGGGCCTATAGTCCCAGCTACTCAGGGGGCTGAGGCAGGAGAATCGCTTGAACCCGGGACGCAGAGGTTGCAGTGAGCTGAGATCACACCACTGCACTCCAGCCTGGGAGACAGAGCAAGACTCCATCTCAAAAAAAAAAAAAAAAGAGGAATGAAATCCTGTCATGTGCAGCAACATGAATAAAATTGGAGGTCACTATGTTAAGTGAAATAGGCTAGGCACAGAAAGATAAACATTGCATGTTCTCACTCATATGTGGGAGCTAAAAAAGTTTATCTTGGCCAGGCGTGGTGGCTCACGCCTGTAATCCCAACACTTTGGGAGGCCGAGGCAGGGGTATCACCTGAGGTCAGGAGTTCTCAACCAGCCTGGCCAGCATGGTGAAACCCTGTCTCTACTAAACATACAAAAATTAGACGGGCGTGGCAGCAGGCACCTGTAGTCGTAGCGACTTGGGAGGCTTAGGCAGGAGAATGGCTTGAACCTGGGAGGTGGAGGTTGCAGTGAGCCAAGATCGCACCACTGCGCTCCAGCCTGGGTGACAAGTGCGAGTCTATCTTAAAAAAAAGAAAAAAAGGCCAGGCGCGGTGGCTCACGCCTGTAATCCCAGCACTTTGGGAGGCTGAGGCGGACGGATCACAAGGTCAGGAGATCGAGACCATCCTGGCTAGCACGGTAAAACCCCGTCTCTACTAAAAATAGAAAAAATTAGCCAGGCGTGGTGGCAGGCGCCTATAGTCCCAGCTACTTGGGAGGCTGAGGCAGGAGAATGGCATGAACCCGGGAGGTGGAGCTTGCAGTGAGCCAAGATCGAGCCACTGCACTCCAGCCTGGGCGACAGAGCGAGACTCCGTCTCAAAAGAAAAAAAGAAAAAAAAGTTGATCTCATTGAGGTGGAGAGGAGAATGATAGTTACCAGAGCCTGAGAAGGGTGGGAGCAGGGGAGGGATGAAGAGAGAGGTTGGGTAATGGGTGCAAACCTACAGTTAGATAGAAGGAATAAGTTGGGCCGGGTGCGGCGGCTCACGTTTGTATTCCCAACACTTTGGGAGGCAGAGGCAGATGGATCACCTGAGTTGAGGAGTTTGAGACGAGCCTGACCAACATGGCAAAACCACGTCTCTACTAAAAATATAAAAAACTAGCCAGATGCGGTGGCGTGCACCTGTAGTCCCAGCTACCCTGGAGGCTGAGGCAGGAGAATCGCTTGAACTCGGGAGGCGGAGGTTGCAATGAGCCGAGATGGTGCCACTGCACTGCAGCCTGGGCGACAGAGTGAGACTCCGTCTCAAAAAACAAAAATCAAAGAACAAAAAAAAAGAAGGAATAAGTTAGTAAAAGGAAAATAAATCTCGGGAACCCAAAATCACTAAGCCAAAGAGAAAAGTGAAACTGAGAACTGCACAGGGCAAACCTGCCTTCCATTCTCCCTAAATAAGCATTCTGTTCATGTGAGACAAATGCATATCTGATTGCTTCCCTTGCCCTACTGCTTCACTAAGCCAGACTAAGGGGTAAGTGAGTATTCCTGTGAATTGCGTAGTCAGTGCAAGGCTAATCAGAAACTCAAAAGAATGCAACGGGCTGGGCGTGGTGGTTTACGTCTGTAATCCCAGAATTTTGGGAGGCCGAGGCGGGCAGATCACGTGAGGTCAGGAGATCGAGACCATGCTGGCCAACACTGTGAAACCTCGTCTCTACTAAAATACACAAAATTAGCTGGGCGTGGTGGCGTGCGCCTGTAATCCCAACTACATGGGAGACTGAGGCAGGAGAATCGCTTGAACCTGGGTGGTGGAGGTTGCAGTGAGCTGAGATTGCGCCACTGCACTCTAGCCTGGTGACAGAGTGAGACTCTATCTCAAAAAAAAAAAAAAAAAAAAAGAATGCAACCATTTGTCTTTTATCTCCTTATGACCTGGAAGCTCCCTCCCCCACTTCAAGTTGTCCTGCCTTTCCGGATTTAACCAATGCACATCTTACATATATTGACTGATGTCTCTTGTCTGCCCAAAATGTATAAAACCAGTCTGTGCACCGACCACTTTGGGCACATGTTGTCAGAACCTCCTGAGGCTGTGTCGCGGGTGCATCCTTAACCTTGGCTAAATAAACTTTCTAAATTGAGACTTGTCACGCATACTCTTTGGTTTACAAGTTCTAGTGTTTTGTTAGATATGAATTCTATATTTCTTTTCAAAGAATCAATATGTCAGTATGTTCAATTCTTTGCCTTCTTCTTTTAAACTTAACTTCCTCATAAAGCAACCCTTTTAGATTACCTGCTCCACCCTGACTCCTTTCAATCACCTGCCCCACCCTGACTCATTCCGATTACCTGCTACCTGCTCCGCCCTGACTCATTCTCCACCCTGCATAACCATTTTTTCCCTCCAAACCACTCACCCCGTCACGCTCTTTAAATTAGCCAATCGGAATTAGTTTAGCCTGTGCTGTCTAACCCTAGCCAATAGGGGAACGACACAGCAGCAGGGGCCACGTACGTCAGAGATAAGAACCCCTTTCCCTCCCTTGTCCAGGTGTGCGCTCACCATTGCTCCATCTGTAAGGGTGCACCCTTCTATAGAAGTATCTTGCCTTGCTGAGAATTAAAAAGAAAATTTTATATTCAAGTGCTATTTCTTTTGTGGCATTGAAACTTTATTTATAACAGTTTGAAGCACACACAGTAGGGTAACTATAGTTAACAATAATTTATTGTATATTTCAAAATAGTTAGAAGGGAAGATTTGAAATGTTCCTAACACAAATGATAAATATTTGAGGTGATGGATGCCCTAAATACCCTTATTTGATCATTACACATTGTATACATGTATGAAAATATCACACGCACCCCATAAATAAGTACAACTATTATGTATTTTTTTTTTCAGATGGTCTCTGTCACCCAGGCTGGAGTGCAGTGGCATGATCACTGCTCACTGCAGCCTTGACCTCCAGGGCTCAAGCGATTCTTCGGCCTCAGCCTCCCAAGTAGCCGGGATTACAAGCACACACAACCGCGCCCGACTAATTTTTGTTATTTTTTTGTGGAGATGGGGTTTCACCACGTTGCCTAGGCTGGTCTCAAACTCCTGGACTCCAGTAATCCGCCCCCGTCAGACACCCAAAGTTCTGGGATTACAGCTGTTTACAAACGTGCATGACAACTATGTATCAATTTTTTAAAAGCAAAAAAAAAATTAGAACAGTTGAACAATTAAAAAAAGAATACACTTTCCATTCTTCCCTGCAGCAGGGAATAGCCAATGAAGTGTAAGTGCAAATACGATAAGGCTTCTGGGAAGGGTCTTTAAAGGGGCCTGGCCTAGATGGGAAGTCTGCTGTTTCACTTGTCCCCACCTTCCCTCTCTTCCTCCCACAAATAGCCCCTCTTCACAACTCTTAAAAGCATTCCTTTACAGTCCATTAACACTGCCACTACCTCTGCTGGAAGCTTCCTCATTTCCTGGGTTACTGCAATAGTGTCTTAAGTCATCTCCCCACCCCTTCCCTGTGATCCATTCTGTATATTACCCTACCAGGCTGATTTTTCTAAAACCCAACTTTGATCAATTCACTACCCTACTTCAAACTCTTTTGATGGTTCTCTTGCCTCCAGAAGTGGTTCTTAAAACTGGCTGCATCAGAATCAGCTGGAGAATTTGAGGAAGTCATACATTTTCCCAAAACGTAACCCAAACTGACTGAATGTGCATCACAGGATTGTCTAGGAATTAGAAGTTTCTTGTATTTTCTTCTTCTACTACTTCTGCTTCTGCTTCTCCTTCTCCTTCTCCTTCTTTTTTTTTTTTTTTTTCAAGACAGTGTCTCTCTCTGTTGCCCAGGCTGGAGGGCACTGGCATGATCTTGGCTCACTGCAGCCTCAACCTCCCAGGCACAGGCGATCCTCCCACCTCAGCCTCTCAACTAGCTGGGACTACAGGCGTGAGCCACCGTCCTTGGCTAATTTTTGTATTTTTTGTAGACATGGAGTTTCACCATGTCACCCTGGCTAGTCTTGAACTCCTGGACTCAAGCAAACCAACTGCCTTGGCCTCCCAAAGTGCCAGGATTACAGGTATAAGCCACCAGGCCAGGCCAAGGCAGACTTTATTCAGGACTATGGTGACAGGTATAGGAACCACTGCAATGAGATTTTGCAGTAGGGGAGAGAGACTGGGTTCAACTCCAAATATGACAAGACAAAATGAGAATTTATAGCCAAGGAACAGGATAGGAGTCAATGAATGGAAAGTTACTAAGAGGAGACATCAAAGATAGGGGAATTTTTTTCTTCTGTTTTCTCCTTGTTCAGGATCTTTTTATTTTATCTTATTTTTCTTTCTTTGTTTTAAGGCTAGGGGAAATCTTGCTGGGTAGACTCAGGATTCTTGCTGAAGGCAGGCTAGAATGATAAGATATGGAGAGTAGGCCAGCATGGTGGTTCATGCCTGTCATCTCAGCACTTTGAGAGGCCAAGTCAGGAGGATCTTTTGAGCCAGGAGGTCGAGATCACCTTGGGCAACATAGGGAGACCCCATCTCTCAAAAAAAAAAAAAAATCTGGCCGGGCATGGTGGCTCATGCCTGTAATCCCAACACTTTGGGAGGCCTAGGCAGGCAGATCACTTGAGGTCAGGAGTTCGAGACCAGCCTGGCCAACATGGTGAAACCCCGTCTCTACTAAAAATACAAAAATTAGCCAGGCATGGTGGCAGGCGCTTGTAATCTCAGCTACTCGGGAGGCTGAGACAGGAGGATCACTTGAACCCAGAAGGTGGAGGTTGCAGTGAGCCAAGATTGCGCCACTGCACTCCAGTCTGGGCAACAGAGCAAAACTCTGTTTTACACACACACACACACACACACACACACACACACACACACTCACACACAGAAAAAAAAATCTAAAAAAAGAAAGACATGGAGAGTAGAGGATGAGGAATTTGATCAGATATTGAGGTTGATCAGACACTGAGGGCAGGCATTTTTTACTAAACTGACTCAGCAGTATTTTTGCTAACACTGGATTAAGTGGGTCAAGGACAGAGCCCAAGGTTGGAGCTTAGTCAGAAAGAGGGCTCAGAGGACCCAGACTTAGGTTTGGTCAAGGAGAGAGTCTTTGTTACTATGTAACATAATTAACACAGCATGAACACAATAAACATTCAGTAAACGTTAGCAGCTACACTCTAGCCATAAGACATTAACGGTCGTGCCCCATGTACATGCTACTGTTCCCTTTCTATGCATTAGCACATTCTGACGAGTCCACTTAGAATGCTTTTCTCCTGCTTCGCCTAGCTAATTCTCCCTTGTCTTTCAACACTGAAGTCCTGTTGGAGTCAGTTCTGATCTGGGTCCCTCCTCTGGGCTCCCACTGCACGCTGTGCCTGCCTCCACCAAGTGAAAAACCACTGCAGGGTTTTAGGTGGAGGAGTGACCTGACTTGTCTTGAATATCTACTATATGCCAGGCACCACTGTAGGTTCTGAATCAAAATAAGAATAAAAAGAACACTTAGCAGCTGGGCGCGGTGGCTCACACCTGTAATCCTAGCACTTTGAGAGGCTGAGGCGGGTGGATTGCCTGAGCTCAGGAGTTTAAGACCAGCCTAGGCAACAAGGTGAAACCCCATCTCTACTAAAAATACAAAAAATTAGCCAGCGTCATGGTGTGTGCCTGTAATCTCAGCTACTCAGGAGGCTGAGGCAGGAGACTCGCTTAAACCCAGGAGGCAGAGGTTGCAGAGAGCTGAGATCATGCCACTGCACTCCAGCCTGTGCAACAGAACAAGACTCTGTCTCAAAAAAAAAAAAAAGAAGAACACTTAGAGGGTTACTGAGAAGATTAAAGAGATAAAGCGAGATAAAGCTTGCGAAGCACTTAAGACATGGCCTGACATATGGCAAACATTCAGTAAATGCTAACCACTATTACTTATATTTAGAAGAATGTAAATAACTATTATTATTACTATTATTTTTTGAGATGGAGTCTTGCACTGTTGCCCAGGCTGGAGTGCAGTGGTGCGATCTCAGCTCACTGCAAGCTCCGCCTCCGGGGTTCTTGCCATTCTCCTGCCTCAGCCTCCCGAGTAGCTGGGACTACAGGTGCCCGCCACCACGCCCGGCTAATTTTTTGTATTTTTAGTACAGACAGGGTTTCACCGTGTTAGCCAGGATGGTCTTGATCTCCTGACCTTGTGATCCGCCTGCCTTGGCCTCCCAAAGTGCTGGGATTACAGGCGTGAGCCACTGCACCCGGCTATTATTATTTATACTCCCTTACATACATTCAGGTCTTTGGCATCACAGTCTTCCTTTCTAAACACAAATCTTACCACCATCCTGGATGATGATCTCTCCAACATGCCAGCCTCTCTCTTGGACCTCAACTCCAGCAGCTTTCACCTCCTCCCTACTCAAGATACACCATGACGACACTCTGACCTTGACATTGTTGTTGGATTGTTGGATTTTTGCACAATAATAGACTGGGTATAACAATAGGATTAGATTAGTGTATATTAATAGAAAGCTCAGGTGCAATTTTCCATTAGTTTGAGATGAGAGTGTAATCTTCTGTTCTTGCCACAAACAAGCAAGAAGTCTTTTCTGTATGACTGGGTCCCAGGAAGATAAAAGCAGAGAAAGGAAAGGAGGTGCTGGCTAGAGATGCTAGCTTTGCCAGCACAAGCTAAGGGCAGGCATCTTTATGACTACTCAAAGAGAGGAAATTACAGTTGCAGTCTTTCTGGCAGCAAAGAGGGAATGAGAGGTTAGTGACCAAGATACTGGATCATGAATCAGGAGACTGAGGGGCGGATGCTGCCAACAGATGCTATTTGACATGAATGCTCATCACAAAGGCTGTTTGGTTATTGGTGAGTCAAGAGTAATCCTCTGCAAGTCTGCACCGCTTTCTCCCAGAAGAAGTTTCTTTTTTATTGTTGTTGTTTCCCTACTCATAGAAGAAGTTTCATGAAGCTGATAGCTCCGAGAACAAGGCCTGAAAGTCGGGGCTCACCCGCCCCCACCCCCCACCCCGCTTCACTCAAAGCTCTTGCTTTTTTTTTTTTTTTTTGAGACGGAGTCTCGCTCTGTCGCCCAGGCTGGAGTGCAGTGGCGCTGCAAGCTCCGCCTCCCGGGTTCACGCCATTCTCCTGCCTCAGCCTCCCGAGTAGCTGGGACTACAGGCGCCCGCCACCATGCCCGGCTAATTTTTTGTATTTTTAATAGAGACGGGGTTTCACTGTGTTAGCCAGGATGGTCTCGATCTCCTGACCTCGTGATCCGCCCGCCTCGGCCTCCCAAAGTGCTGGGATTACAGGCGTGAGCCACTGCGCCCGGCCTTTTTTTTTTTTTTTTTTTTGAGACAGAGTTTCTCTCTTGTTGCCCAGGCTGGAGTGCAATGGCGCGATCTTGGCTCGCTGCAACCTCTGCCTCCCTGGTTCAAGTGATTCTCCTGCCTCAGCTTCTCGAGTAGCTGGCGCCCGCCACCAAGCCCAGCTAATTTTTTGTATTTTTAGTAGAGACGGGGTTTCACTATGTTGCCCAAGCTGGCTTCGAACTCCTGACCTCAGGCAATCCGCCTGCCTTGGCCTCCCACAGTGCTGTGATTACAGGCGTGAGCCACTGTGCCCGGCCTATAACTGCATTTTGGAAAAGAGTTCTAGTGCTAAATCTTTGCCGTTCCCCTCAGCGGATAACTACATATTTTACGTTCCACAGTATCCAGCTGCCACTGAGGTGTGGTGGCCATCCTCAAAATTCCCTTCTACTTATCCACATCTTGTGTCCTTTAGTCTCTGAGGATGTGTCCTCTTTTTCTGTTCAAGGATAATGCCTCTATTCATGCTTGATCCGATCTCTTTCTCCTTTCCTCTGAGTCTTTATGCCATCAATTTTCCTTTCTTCTGTTAGGTTGAACCATATTAAATTGCTGTTTGCATCATTTGGCAATGGTGGAACATTGGCAACTTCATGCGGTTCAAGTTAATATATCTTCATTCTTTTCCTCTCTAAATGTTCCTTCTCCTCAACCAAAACCAATTACAATAAAATATCCTTGTATAGGTAAGAGTAAGCTCTCTATATATTGTGTTTTGAATTTTACACTTACATATGTCCCTGCATATAAAACCTAAACACCGTATCTCAGGTATACTGGCCTTTGCTGTTCATATCTCCCAGTTGACAATTCACCCAATAAGTATTTACTGAGGATCTGGCATGTTCATGAAACACTTATTCACTCACCCAACAAATATCTTCTGAGCACATACACTGTGTCAGATACTGTTCTAAGCACTCGAACGATATCAGTGAACAAAACAAGGATCCTTGTGCTCTTAGAGCTTATATTCTAGCAGGAGTGGAAAGGAGACAATGTACAGTAAAGAAACATAATAATTAAAAGTACCATATAGTATGTTAGAAAGTGACAGATGCCGGGCACGGTGGCTCACGCCTGTAATCCCAGCACTTTGGGAGGCCGAGGCAGGCGGATCACCTAAGGTCGGGAGTTTGAGACCAGCCTGACCAACATGGAGAAACCCTGTCTCTACTAAAAATACAAAATTAGCTGGGCGTGGTGGTGCATGCCTGTAATCCCAGCTACTCGGGAGGCTGAGTAGGAGAATCGCTTGAACCTGGTAGGTGGAGGTTGCAGTGAGCCAACATCGTGCCATTAGCACTCCAGCCTGGGCAACGAGAGCGAAACTCTGTCTCAAAAAAAAAAAGAAAAAGAAAAAAGAAAGTGACAGATGCCATGGAAAAAGCAGAAAGTTGAGCAGAGGAAGGGAGATTGGGAGTGCTGGGAGGAGGAACTGTAATTTTAAATATTGTGGTCACTGTAGGCCTTTTGGAGAAGGTAACAATTAAGCAAAGACTTGAAGGAGGAGAAGGATATGCTATCTGGGGAAAGTGTTCCGGGCAGAGTAAACAGCAAGTACACAGACCCTGAGTCAGGAAAGCTAAAGAAAGAAGGAGGAGAATAGTAGGAAATGAAGACACAAAAGTAAGAGTTTAGGGTCTTTGTATTAGGTATCTACTGCTGTGTAACAAATTGCCCTAAAATTTGGCTATTGACAATAATACACAGGAATTCAAGAGTCCTTTGGCTTGGGGGTTCTGGCTCTGGGTCCCAAGAGGCTACAGTTTCTGAAGGCTGTGCCTGAAGATTCTTCTTCCAAGGCGGCTCACTCACATGGTTGGCAAATTGGTGCTGGTTGTTGATGGGGGAGGAAGAGATGAGGAGAGGGGAAGGGCTTTGTTTCTATTTGTGTGGGTCTCTCCACCTGCTGTTTTTAAAAAAAAGCCTAGTGAAGTAAAGCAGTGAGAGTAGAGAAGGAAGAAAGAAATCTGTAACTAGCTGTGATCAATTGGTTGTAAACACCACTTCACTCAGACCAGCCTCCACATGCTGTTTGAGTATCTTCATGACATGACAGCTGGCTTCCCCTACAGCAACCAATCCAAAAACGGAGCAAGGCAGATACCACAATGCCTTTTATGACCTAGTCTTGTAAGTCACACGCTATCATTTCTACCATATACTACTGATGACACAGTCAGCCCTGGTTCATTATAGAAGAGAACTACCCCAGGGTGTAAATAGCAAGAGGTGAAGACCATTGGTGGTCATCTTGGTGGCTATGATAGCCTTGGTAGGTCATTATAAATCTGTGGTTTTTACTTTGAGGGAAATGGGAAGCCAATTAAGGGATCTGAGCAGTGAAATGACAATGATCTCACATGTTTCATGAGGACAACTCTTGCCACTGTGTGAATTGACTGGAGAAGAGCAAGGATGTAAGCGGGAGACCAGTGAGAAGGCTATTACAGTCCAAGAGAGATGCACTAGGGTCATAATGGTGGAGTCGAGAATTGGTGATATTCTGGATTCATTTTGAAGACAGAGATGACAAGATTTGCTGATGGATTGGATGTGGGATATAAGAGAAAGGAATTAAAGATGACTTCTAAGGGTTTTGGAGGAATAGGAATTACAAAAATGAGTTCCACATAGATCTTGCCATAAATGAGCTTACAACATAGGAGAGACAAGGTGTGTACGCAAGTGCCATATATACTACATGGCAGAAAGCACTATGCTCCATAATACAGTGCCAAGTACAATAAAAAAGTTCTGGAGATGGTTGCACAACAATGTGAATGTACTTATTGCCACTGAAAAATGGTTAAAATGGTAAATTTTTATTTATTTACTTATTTTTATTTATTTTTAATTTATAAATTTTAATTTATAAATTTTATTTATTTATTTATTTATTTTTATTTTTATTTTTTTGAGACGGAGTCTCGCTGTGTCACCCAGGCTGCAGTGCAGTGGCAGGATCTCGGTTCACTGCAAGTTCTGCCTCCCAGGTTCACGCCATTCTCCTGCCTCAGGCTCCCGAGTAGCTGGGACTACAGGTGCCTGCCACCACGCCCGGCTAATTTTTTGTATTTTTAGTAGAGACTGGGGTTTCACCGTGTTAGCCAGGATGGTCTCGATCTCCTGACCTCGTGATCCGCCCGCCTCAGCCTCCCAAAGTGCTGGGATTACAGGCGTGAGCCACGGCGCCCGGCCTATTTATTTTTATTTACTTATTTATTTTGAGACGGAGTCTCGCTCTGTCACCCAGGGTGGAGTGCAGTGGTGCGATCTCGGCTTACTGCAGCCTCCAACTCCCGGGTTCCAGAGATTCTCCAGCCTCAGCCTACCAAGTAGCTGGGATTACAGGCACTCACCACCACACTCGGCTAATTTTTGTATTTTTAGTAGAGACGGGTTTTCACCATGTTGGCCAGGCTGGTCTCGAACTACTGACTTCTGGTGATCCACCCGCCTCGGCCTCCCAAAGTGTTAGGATTACAGGCGTGAGCCACCATGCCCAGCCAAAACAGTAAATTTTATGTTATGTACATTTTACCACAAGAAAACAACGGTGCTTAAAAAAAGCAAAAACAAATATTAGAGAAGTGCCACTAGAGTTCAGAGCATGGAGAGATGAACTTCAGCTAAGAAAATCAGAGAAGGCTTTGTGTACGGGCAGTCTTTTTTTTTTTTTTTTTTTTGAGACGGAGTCTCGCTGCCTTCCACGGGCAGTCTTTTCACATAGGCAGAGGGAGTAGTTTGAACAAATTAGCGGAAGGCAGGAAAACTGAGGATAGGCGGGGCACAAGGAGTAGTTCTGATTTGTTAGAAGATAGGGTAGGGCACCCAAGGGGAGAATAAACATGCAACTACGAGTTTTAAGAAAATTCTTTCCTCTCCTCCCTCCAAGTTCCCTTGTTGTGAAGGGAGGATCATATCTTGTATCACTTGATTTCATTTGAAATGAAATATTCAGAATCCATCATCTCACCACATTACCCTGTAAGATCCCATTTTCCTGAAACAAAAATTCCTATGTTGATCTGACAATCCTACAACGCATTTGAAATAAATCCAGGGTATGACCAGCATTTTATGTACACAGACTTCCTTTGTTTCCGGTCCATCTGCTTTCTTTTTCCTCTATTAATTTTCCCTTCACCTCCCAATCTTAACCCCCGCCATTCCCCCAGGGTCTCCCTTTCTTGTCATCCCTTTCATCCTTCCCTTCTTGGAAACAGATCCGATTCTAACCTCAGTTACCTTATTAGCCGCGTGATACTGGGATAGTTATCCCCTGTGGGCCTCAGTTTCCTTTGTAAAATGGGCTTATTAAACCCCCAAAGACAGTGCTTATCTTACAGGGTTGTCAACATTACAACAAAGAACACGTTATATGCCTAACACAGTACCTGATCTATAGTAAGAACTCAACATTTTCGCCCCTTCTCCTCCTCTTTTCTGTCCTTGTGCCTTTCTTCCACTATTCCTCAACCCCAGGGCCCAACAGGTAAAAACCGTGGGAAAAACCATCCTTAAGGCTGAAAGAAGAAACACTGGAGCTGGGGGCGGAGACTACGAGGTGCTCACTGCGCATGTGCGCGCGCTAGGTCAGCTTCTCGGTTCCAGCCGGGCGGGGGGGTCGGGTGGGGGTGGGGGTAGGGGTTGCAAGGGCCTCATTTTTTCTTACTGCCCCCATCCGGTTCGGGGAGGTGGCGGGACCTTGGCGGCGCCCGGAGCCGGCGTGGCGCTCATCGAGGGACGCCCGGCCCAAGTGGTAAGTTGAAAAATGGCGGAGGGGGGAAGAAGGAGGGGCTTTGCAGGGCAGGAGGCTGACCTCCCGGCCGGGGGTGGGAGGGACACGCCGGGGCCCAGTGGCGCAGCCCGGGCTGGGAGACTGACGGACCGCGCCCGGTGTCTCTTTGAGGCCCTGACGTGGACACACTTCGGGTTTCACGACTCCGGGTTTCTCCAGGGGATGGGCCGGCCGGTAGAGGCGCGTGAGGGAGACGAAGGGACTTCCGTTTCCTTCACCTAGGCTGGGGCCAAGCCGCAGAGCGGAGTTGGCATTTCCAGATTGGGGCTCGGGCCGCGCCTCCTCCGGGACCCTCCCCTTGGACCGAGCCGATCGCCGCGGGGCAGTTCGGGCCGGCTGTCCTGGCGCGGTGGGTACAGCTTGTGTAGGCTTTCCCCTCCCCCGCTTTCCCTCCTTCCCCTCTCCTCCCTCCCCTCTTCTTTTCCCCTCCACTTCCCTCGGGCCGGCGCTGCTGGGGAGGGCGGGAAGGCCGCGCCAGCCCATCAGGGGTGGCCCGGCCCCGGCTGCTTGCCCGGGTTCCTCGGACTGCCGACGGCAGGCGTGGGTGGGTGGGTGACTTCAGGCCTGCAGGATTGCCTTCCTAAACCCTGTGACACCTAAGGTAAATTGAGGCAAAGAACTTTTTAAAAAAATATGATCAAAGGGATTTCCTCCCCATGTGATAACCTGTGGCTTGTGTGGAGCAGGGTGGAGTGTGTCTGGAGAGGGCATATGAAACTGAAAGAATAAGGGCCAAAGAGCTTCCGGAAGAGGAAATTAGCTGGTGATTCTTTCCAATCTGCTTTCCCAGTCACCTTTCCGGCATGTTCTGTAAAACAAAATGTAATTTGACTTTGTTTCATTATTTTAACTCCATAACACTTAAATTGTTTTCTTTTCGGGGAGGGGAGTGTTTATTCTCAAACTAAGCAGTAGCCCTCTCCACCTTCGAAAAAGGAACAACGTCAATCCAACCTTTGTTAAAAAACTCCAACCTATCAGATTTTAATAATCTAGTAGTTTGCTTTCAAATATAATTATGTCGCTAGTTCTGTCACAACTATACTTTGATAGTTTAATGACTCACAGAAATTTGTAAGACTGGAGGTTGCAGTAGTGTTTCTTTCTTATTCTTTTTTTTCCCCATAATATTTATTATAGTCAATGAACAGTGTTACAGACGGCCATCTTAGAATTATAACATTTTAGAGTTGGAAGGGATCTTAGTCAAACCCTGTCCTTTTACAAAACCAGAAACCACGGCTTAGGAAGATTTCATAGCTTGCTAAAGGCTATCCAACTAGTTAGATTAGAACCCATGTTATCTGGCTTCTTGCCCACCACTCTTACTGCGCAATTGCTCCATATCGCCTCCAAGCATGAAAATTAAATGTATTCAATTCAACACACATTTCTGAAGAGTATAATACTTTGTACCAGTGACTGTGGTACCACTTTCTATGTATTTCAATGTATTTAACATGCTTATGGAGTACTTGAGATTCCCCCCCACCCCCACATTCAAGAAGTGGCAACAGTTTAGATTTATACACACACCTTCACATGTACGTGTGTATACTTGCATTTGCTCAGATAGTTTCTTGAAGGATACACAATAAAAATGTTAATAGTAATGACTTATGGAGGAGAAGAGAGATAGAAGACTTTTTACTTTGTACTTCACATGATCTAATGTACGGTTTGAATTTGTTATAAATTCGTATTGATTTCATAATTGAAAAGTTTTAAAGTTCACACCTTCCCACACAAATATATATATCAACATAAGCAAGTATAT
The DNA here is from genome assembly GCF_000001405.40 of Homo sapiens. NCBI lineage: Eukaryota > Metazoa > Chordata > Mammalia > Primates > Hominidae > Homo > Homo sapiens. The sequence continues at coordinate 123,861,722 of NC_000023.11, forward strand.
ACCAATGGTATGTACACATTTATGTGCATATATGTATTTATACATATCAGTGGTTTGTACTGTAAAATCCGGTATGATTCAGGTCAACTCAGCTGACAAAGCAGACCTCATTATTGGATACTCATGTTTCGTTTTCTTGTATTGCTCTCTCCTAATGTAAGATAGTAAAAATAATATGTTACTAGTCGTCATATATTTTTAGAAATTGTCCTAAGCTTCTTGATTATCAAATAATGTAGCAAACTTTTAACACATTTAAAATATCAAATCTGGGTACTTGCTTCAGTGGTAGCACATATACTAAAATTCGAACAATTCAAAGAAGATTAGCATGGTGTTTTTTTTTATCAATTAATTAATTAATTTTTTTTTTTGAGACGGAGTCTTACTCTGTCATCCAGGCTGGAGTGCAGTGGCCCTATCTTGACTCACTGCAGCCTCCGCCTCCTGGGTTCAAGCTACTCAGCCTCCCCAGTAGCTAGGACTACAGGCATGCGCCACCACGCCTGGCTAATTTTTGTATTTTTAGTAGACACCGGGTTTCCCCATGTTGGCCAGGCTGATCTCGAACTCCTGACCTCAGGTGATGCACCCGCCTCGGCCTCCCAAAGTGCTGGGATTAAAGGTATGAGCCACCTCGCCTGGCCAGTCCATTTTTTTTTTTTTTGAGACAGAGTTTCGCTTTTGTTTCCCAGGCTGGAGTGCAATGGCACCATCTCAGCTCACTGCAACCTCCGCCTCCCAGGTTCAAGTGATTCTTCTGCCTCAGCCTCCCAAGTAGCTGGGATTACAGGTGCCCACCACCACACCTGGCTAATTAGGTCCCTTTTTTTTAATAAACCACAAGAAAAATTTGACACCTGACGCTGTGGCTCATGTCTGTAATCCCAGCACTTTGGGACGCCAAGGCGGGCAGATCACCTGAGGTCAGGAGTTGGAGTCCAGACTGGCCAACATGGTGAAACCCCACCTCTACTAAAAAAACTAGCCGGGTGTGGTGGCGTGCACCTGTAGTACCAGCTACATGGGAGGCTGAAGCAGGAGAACTGCTTGAACCCAGGAGGCAGAGGCTGCAGTGAGCCGAGATTGCACCACTGTACTCCAGCCTGGGTGACAACAGTGCACCTTTGTCCCGAAAAAAAAAAAAATTGACACAAGGAAAATATCTGCAGCCTGGGCAACATGGCGCAGCCCTCTCTCTAATAAAAATACAAAAATTAGCCGGGCGTGCTGGCTTGTGCCTGTAGTCCTAGCTACTTTGGGGAGCTGAGGCAGGAGGATCACCTGAGCCTTGGGAGGTGGAGGCTGCAGTGAGCCATGATTGGGCCACTGTACTCCAGCCTGGGCGAAAGAGTGAGACCCTGTCTCAAACAAAACAAAGAAACAAAAATCTGAATTGTAGACTCTTTGTAGATAAGAACATATTTTTTAAAAAAGTTAAGACTAGGGCCAAGTGCGGTGGCTTTCACCTGTAATCCCAGCACTTTGGGAGGCTGAGGTGGGCGGATCACCTGAGGTCAGGAGTTCAAGACCAGCCTGGCTAACATGGTGAAACCCCATCTCTACTAAAAATACAAAAATTAGCTGGGTGTGGCGGTACACCCCTGTAGTCCCAGCTACTTGGGAGGCTGAGGCAGGAGAACCACTTGAGCCCATGAGGCGGAGGTTGCCGTGAGCTGAGAACGCAACATTCAACTCCAGCCTGGGCCACAGAGTGAGACTCCACCTCAAAAACAAATAAAAAGTTAAGACTAAAACAGTTTATAGTGATTAGGAGTTCAGCTGTCTAGTTTTGTTTTTGTTTTGAGATGGAGTTTCACTCTTGTTGCCCAGGCTGGAGTGCAATGGTGCGATCTCGGCTCACCTCAACCTCTGCCTCCCAGGTTCAAGCAGTTTCCTGCCTCAGCCTCCCGAGTAGCTGGGATTACAGGCATGCGCCACCACGCCCGGCTAATTTTGTATTTTCAGTGGAGACGGGGTTTCTCCATGTTGGTCAGGCTGGTCTCAAACTCCCGACCTCAGGTGAAAAAGTGCTGGGACCTCAGGTGAAAAAGTGAGTCACTGCACCTGGCCCAGCTGTCTCGTTTTTAGAAATAGATTAAGACTCAAAAAAAATATTGCCCACCGTAATATATCTGATTATTAGCAAAGCTTGGACTAGAGTCTAGGTTCTAGTCTAGTGGCCCTTGTACTATACCTGTAATTTTATTGCTTTCTAGTGCATTGGATGATTCCAACTAGGCTGACAAAGTAATAATATCTAAAGGTTAGCCAGGACCATTTCAATAGTTAAGAATTATTATTTTTTTCTTTGGTTTTTATTTTATTTTGTCTTCCTTTTTTTTTTCATTTTCAGGAAGTGAGCAGTTTCTCAAAATTATTATAATTAATGGACCAGCTAATTTGTATAGTGCTTAAAATATTTTAGTAACATAAATTTTACTAAATAAATTTACTAATTTAGTAAATAAATGTTCTCCTTTTATTTCATTGTAAACATTAATTTCTTTAGTAAATCCTGTATTTATATTGTAAATGTTTAGCGATAAAATAATGATATTTCACTGTTTTTGTTTGGTCTAATATTTAAGTCTGGTAGGTAGTATTAGCAGAGAGCAAAACCTACAGTTTATGAAATAAACATTCATTGAGCACTTAATGTGTTCCAGGCATTCATTGTAGTATGTGGTAGGATTCCAAGGATAAATATGGCAAAACAAATGCCTTTCTTCTGTTTTTTTTTTTTTTTTTTTTTTTTTTGAGACGACGGAGTCTGGCTCTGTTGCCCAGGCTGGAGTGCAGTAGCGCGATCTTGGCTCACTGCAGGCACTGCCTCCCGGCTTCACGCCATTCTCCTGCCTCAGCCTCTCAAGTAGCTGGGACTACAGGCACCCGCCACCACACCCGGCTTAGAGTGTGTGTGTGTGTGTGTGTGTGTGTGTGTGTGTGTGTGTGTGTGTTTTAGTAAAGACAGGGTGTCACCGTGTGTGTGTGTGTTTTAGTAAAGACAGGGTTTCACCATGTTAGCCAGGATGGTCGCATTCTCGTGTGTGTGTGTGTGTGTGTGTGTGTGTGTGTGTGTGTGTGTGTGTGTGTTTTAGTAAAGACAGGGTTTCACCGTGTGTGTGTGTGTGTGTGTTTTAGTAAAGACAGGGTTTCACCATGTTAGCCAGGATGGTCGCATTCTCCTGACCTCGTGATCTGCCTGCGTTGGCCTCCTAAAGTGCTGGGATTACAGGCGCGAGCCATCACACCAGGCCGCCTTTCTTCTTTTTTTTTTTTTTTTGCTTTTTTATGTTCGTCTGTTTTTATTTTGCTTTTGTGTGTTTGTTTGTTTTTCCATTGTTCTTTTGAGGCTGGGAGATTATCATGAGCTGTCAATTCTCAAGCTTTATCTCTGTGAGATAATCTGGTAATAGTTTTATAAAATGTAACCTGTTAGCACTATTAAAGGACATTGTGTGAGTAGATATGAAGAGACAAACAGTAGTGATAAGATAAAAAATACTTTAGAATTTAACAAATACTGTTTCTGTATCTTAGAGGTCATGTGCTACAGTGTTTGGAAAGAGCCCTACGTTGGGTACCACAGTACAGGTTATTGACTTTGTTTCCAATTAGCTGTGGGATTGTGCATGTCAATGACCCCATCTTTCTTTACATGTTCACATTTTTGATATGTTATTTTAGGTGTTGAATTCAAAACATAAAAAGGGTATTTTAAGGCCGGGCGTGGTGGCTCACGCCTGTAATCCCAGCACTTTGGGAGACTGAGGCGGGCGGATCACGAGGTCAGGAGATCTAGACCATCCTGGCACCCCTCTCTGCTAAAAAAAAAAAAAAATACAAAAAATTAGCTGGGCGTGGTGGCAGGCGCCTGTAGTCCCAGCTACTTGGGAGGCTGAGGCAGGAGAATGGTGTGAACCCGGGAGGCGGACCTTGCAGTGAGCCGAGATTGCGCCACTGCACTCCAGCCTGAGCTACAGAGCGAGACTCCGACTCAAAAAAAATAAAAGGGTATTTTGAATATTTTATTTTATTTATTTGTTTTTGAGACATTGTCTTGCTGTGTCACCCAGGCTGGAGTTCAGTGCATGATCCCAGCTCACTGCAACCTCCACCTCCTGGGTTCAAGTAATTCTGGTGACTCAGCCTCCCAAGTAGCTGGGATTACAGGCGTGTGCTACCACACCTGGCTAATTTTTTTTTTTTTGGTATCTCTTTTTTTCCCCTCGGAGACAGAGTCTTGCTCTGTCGCCCAGAGCTGGAGTGCAATGGCTGCGATCTCTGTTCACTGCAGACTCCGCCTCCTGGGTTCAGGCAATTCTCCTGCCTCAGCCTCCCGAGTAGCTGGGATTACAGGCGCACGCCACCACAACTGGCTAATTTTTGTATTTTTAGTAGAGACGGGGTTTCACCATGTTAACCAGGTTGGCCTCGAACTCCTGACCTCGTGATCCACCCACCTCAGCCTCCCAAAGTGCTGGGATTACAGGTGTGAGCCACCACACCCAGCCTTTTTTGTATTTTAAGTAGAGACAGGATTTCACCATGTTGCCCAGGCTGGTCTTGAACTCCTGACCTCATGTGATCTGCCCGCCTTGGCCTCCCAAAGTGCCAGGATTACAGGCATGAGCCACTGTGCCGGCCTTTGAGTATTTTAAGTTATAAAAGAAATATGTGTTTCTATATATATTATATAATATATATTATACATGATATATAATATATATGATATAAATTATATTATATACAATATATTATATATGATTAATATATAATATATGATATATCATATATAATATCAAAATATATAATATGTATATAATAATGTATGATATATATAATATAGTATATAATATATTACATGTATAATATATTATATATAATATATAATACAATATATGTAAAATATATATAATATATAACACAATATAATATGTAAAATATATTACATATATAATATATATATTTTTCAGACAGAGTCTAGCTCTGTCACCCAGGCTGGAGTGCAGTGGTGAGATCTTGGCTCACTGAACCTCCGCCTCCCAGGTTCAAGCGATTCTTCTGCCTCAGCCTCCCAAGTAGCTGGGACTACAGGTGTGCTACCACACCTGGCTTATTTTATTTTATGTATTTATTTATTTTTCTGAGACGGAGTCTTGCTCCTGACCTCATGTGATCTGCCCGCCTCGGCCTCCCAATGTGCTGGGATTCCAGGCATGAACCACCGTGCCTGGCCAGAGATATGTGTTTATTATAGAAAATTTATGAAATAGAATAATGACGATCATATTGTCTACAGGTTGTTTTAATCCCCCCCCCCCCTTCAACATTCTATAGTTAACATTTCTGTTTTTTTTTTTGAGACGGAGTCTCGCTCTGTCGCCCAGGCTGGAGTGCAGTGGTGCGATCTCAGCTCACTGCAACCTCCGCCTCCTGGGTTCATGCCATTCTCCTACCTCAGCCTCTCTAAGTAGCTGGGACTACAGGTGCCCGCCACCACGCCTGGCTAATGTTTTTGTATTTTTAGTAGAGACGGGGTTTCACCATGGTCTCCATCTCCTGACCTCGTGATTAGCCCGCCTCAGCCTCCCAAAGTGCTGGGATTACAAGTGTGAGCCACTGCGCCCAGCAGTCTTTTTTTTTTTTTTGGTTTGGTTTGGTTTTTTAGACAGAGTCTCACTCTGTCCCCCAGGCTGGAGTGCAGTGGCACAATCTCAGCTCACTGCATCTCCGCCTCCTGGGTTCAAGTGATTCTCCTGCCTGAGCCTCCTGAGTAGCTAGGATTATAGACATGTGCTACCACGCCCGGCTAATTTTTGTATTTTTAGTGGAGGCATGGTTTCCCCATGTTGGCCAGGCTAGTCTTGAACTCCTGACCTTGTGATCCGCCCGCCTTGGCCTCCCAAAGTATTGGGATTACAGGTGTGAGCCCCCGTACCTGGCCTTTTTTTTTTTTTTTTTTTGAGACGGAGTTTTGCTCATGTTGCCCAGGCTGGAGCGCATTGGTGCAATCTCAGCTCACTGCAACCTCTGCCTCCTGGGTTTAAGTGATTCTCCTGCCTCAGCCTCCCAAGTAGCTGGGATTACAGGCGCACGCACAACCATGCCCAGTTAATTTTTCTATTTTTAGTAGAGATAGTGTTTTACCATGTTGGCCAGGCTGGTCTCGAACTCCTGACCTCAGGTCATCCACCTGCCTTGGCCTCCCAAAGTCCTGGGATTACAGGCATGAGCCACTGCGCCCAGCCTGAAGTCTTTCAAAATACATTTTTTATTTATCCAGTGTATTATTTTATACTGCACTTTCTTCATCTGTAAAGTAACAGGGTCAGGCATGGTGACTCATACCTGTAAGCCCAGCACTTTGGGAGGCTGAGGTGGGAGGATTGTTTGAGACCAGCCTGGGCAACATCGTGAGACCCCGTCTCTACCAATAATAAAAAAATTAGCTGGATGTGATGGCACGCGCCTGTGAAGATCGCTTGAGCCCGGGAGGTCAAGGTGGCAGTGAGCCATGAGGGCACCACTGCATTCTAGCCTGAGTGACAAGAGTGAGGCCCTGTCTCAAAACAAACAAACAAGCAAACAAACAAACAAAAAACCCAGGGTGGCTGGGCTTAAGGACTAGTTGATTCCAACGATTCAAAACCCATTATAATAGTTTTTAAGCCTGATTATCTGAGATTTTGTCAAGGAAAAAAATTCCACATAACAATCCCAGGCCAGGCATGGTGGCTCATGCCTTTAATCCCAGCACTTTGGGAGGCCAAGTCAGGGAGATCCCTTGAGTCCAGGAGTTCAAGACCAGCCTGGGCAACATGGTAAAATGCTATCTCTACTAAAAATAGAAAAATTAACTGGGCATGGTTGTGCGTGCACCTGTAATCCCAGCTACTCTGGAGGCTGAGGTGGGAGGATCACTTGAGCCCAGGAGGTGGAGGTTGCAGTGAGTCAAGATCAGGGCACCCCATTCCAGCTTGGGGGACAGAGCAAGACCCTATCTCAAAAAACAAAAACAGGAATTTGAGGCCAAATTTATGGATTATATATTTTATCTGCTCTGTATGTGGTTAATAATAGGTTATCCTTTATATGATAAAAACATACTTATGTCCATTTTGCAGGACTTGGCATGGGCTTTTATTGTTTTAAATTGTGATACATTTGTAGCTCTGCTGTTTGATACATTTTGGGATTTGATTTTGGTATGATTTGGTACCCAGTCTTTGTTATGGATACATGTGATTCACCTTGTTATGATATAGTTTTATGTATTTTCGAGGATATGGGTCATAGTGAAAAGTCACGTTTACCTGTACAGACTGAGAATAGCTTGATCTCAGATGGTCAGATGTTGAACCAAGTGGATTAAAGCTGATTTCTTAAACCGGACAAGGCTGCTGCCATTGTGCATTCCCTGGTACTTATAAAATATTATGGTTTGAAATTTTATTCTTATTTCTGTAATCATCTTATTCACCTTAAATACAGAAATACAGACATCTGGCTGGGCGCAGTGGCTCACACCTGAAATCCCAGCACTTTGGGTGGCCGAGGCAGGTGGATCACTTGAGGTCAGGAGTTCAAGACCAGCCTGACCAACAGAGCAAAACCCCATCTCTACTAAAAAAATACAAAAAAAAAAAAAAAAAAAAAAGCTGGGTCATGCCTCTGCAATCCCAGCTACTTAGGAGGCTGAGGCAGGAAAATTACTTGAGCCTGGGAGGTGGAGGTTGCAGTGAGCTGAGATCATGCCACTGTACTCCAGCCTGGATGACAGAGTGAGACTCCATCTCAAAAATAAAGAAAAGAAAAAAAAAACACAGACATCTCAGCATATATTACCATGTGACTTAACCTTTCTATGGTTCTAGCTAATTTTTTAGGCCTTGAAAGGGAAGGAAGCCTAACATTTTCTGCTACCTCATTGGACTGTCCCTTCTGCCAGTAATCCTTGTAGTAATTTCCTTAGACCTATATTGGTCATAATCACTGGGTGCATGACCTTTGATGAGTAACAGTCAGAACTACTGTTTCCTCATATTTCAGATGAGGCCTATGATATATTATGTAGGTTAAATTAGATTCCATATATGAAAACATTCTAAATTGTAAAGCACATTACATATGTTAGTTATTATCAAAGGTAACATCGTGAAAGAAGAGAAGATGAGCTATAGAATCACACAAGCCCATGCTTAAATTTTGACCTTACATTAAACCAAAGAGGATTGATTTTTTTTTTTAATTGAGACGGAGTCTCGCTCTGTCGCTCAGGCTGGAGTGCAGTGGCGCAATCTCAGCTCACTGCAACCTCTGCCGCCCAGGTTCAAGCGATTCTCGTGCCTCAGCCTCCTTAGTAGCTGGGACTACAGGCACGCGCCACCACGCCCAGCTAATTTTTTTGTATTTTTAGTAGAGACAGGGTTTTGCCATTTTGGCGAGGCTGGTCTCGAACTCCTGACCTCAGGTGGTCTGCCCACCTCAACCTCCCAAAGTGCTGGGATTACAGGCTTAAGCCACCATGCCCAGCCAAGATTGAAAATTTTTAGTTTAAATTCAGCATGTTTAGTAGAGAAGTACTTACTTGTAGCTAAAATGATGGGATGAAGGAAAATGAAAATTAGTTTGTAGATAGTATTTGGGTACATGCGGACACTCATGAAATATGTTGTATCGTTTAAATTTGGTTTGTAGCACAGTTTCCTTTACTTTGTGTCATTTAAAAAAATTAAAACCTAGACAGAAGAGAAACGTACTAAATGTTTGAATATAGATAGCACTGTGGCTTTCAGATAGAGTTAAATATTTTTACTGAAGAAAGAGAAAAGATGTGGGCTCTTATCCATAACTTGTTTGATCAGCCTGGGCAATATAGTGAGACCTTGTCTCTACAAAAAAAAATTTAAAAATTAGCTGAGTGTGCTGTCGCCTGCCTGGAGTCCAGCTCCTCAGGAGGCTGAGGTGGTAGGATTGCTTGAAACCGCAAGGCAGGGGTTGCAGTGAGCCAAGATTGTGACACTGCACTCCAGTCTGGGCGATAGAGCAAGACCCTGTCCCAGAAGAAAAAAAAAAGTTGTTTAAGTACTTGCTTGAGATCCTAACATGATCATGGAATAGAATACTTCACTCTGAGGTGAGAAGATCACTTGAGGCCAGGAGTTCAAGACCAGCTTGAGCAACATAGTAAGACCCCATCTCTTTTTGTGTGTGCGTGTGTGTGTGTGAGGGAGTCGGAGTTTCACTCTGTCAGCCAGGCTGCTGGAGTACATTGGCACGATCTGGGCTCAATGCAACCTCCGCCTCCCAGGTTCAAGTGATTCTCCTGCCTCAGCCTACCGGGTAGCTGGGATTACAGGCATATGCCACCATGCCCAGCTAATTTTTGTATTTTTAGTAGGGGCCGGGTTTCACCATGTTGGCCAGGGTGGTCTCGAACTCCTGACCAAGTGATCCACCCACCTCAGCCTCCCAAAGTGCTGGGATTACAGGTGTGAGCCACCACACCTGGCCATGAGCCACCAAGCCTGGTCGAGACCCCATCTCTTAAAGAAAAAAAAAAGAATACTTCGTTCTGAGAAATGTCTAGGGGTAGGTATTACCTGCTTATGAAGTCATCCATGGCATTTCTGGAACCATCTGATTGTATGAACTGCTTTCTAATCACTCTGTCAGAATAAGTTATCTGGACAAAGTATCAGAGTACAGTAAGTTCCGGTTCCATGCCACTAATCAGCTCTATGGCCTTAGTCAAATCATTTACCTTCCTTATGTTTTAGTTTCTTTTTCTTTCTTTTTTTTTTTTTGAGACAGGATCTGGTTCTATCAGCCCAGGCTGGAGTGGCCAGGCTCAAGTGATCCTCCCACCTCATCCTCCCGAGTAGCTGGGACTACAGGCTCCAGCCACCATGCCTTAGTTTTTTGGGGTTTTTTTTGTTTTTTTGTTTTTTTTAGTGACTGGGTCTACCTATGTTTCCCAAGTGGATTAGTTTCTTTTTCTGTAAAGTAAGAGAATGATTTTTATTATCCTGTCCAGCAAGACATAGTTATTATGAACAATTTTTGCTCGTGAGTGTCTACAAAATATAATAATGGCCGGGTGCGGTGGCTCATGCCTGTAATCCTAGCACTTTGGGAGAATGAGGCGGGAGGATCACGAGGTCAGGAGATCGAGACCATCTTGGCCAACATGGTGAAACCCCATCTCTACTAAAAATACAAAAATTAGCTGGGTATGGTGGCACGTGCCTGTAATCCCAGCTACTCTGGAGGCTAAGGCACGAGAATTGCTTGAACCCAGGAGGCGGAGGTTGCAGTGAGCCGAGATTGTGCCACTGCACTCCAGCCTGGTGACAGAGCGAGACTCCATCTCATAGTAATAATAATAATGATGATGCTTTTTAGTATACTTGATTCTGAGCTGCTCGTTTTGTTAAAATTATTTTAGGGAAGTTTTTGCCCAAAGTTCGCGGATACTTCTTTCTTCTTACCAGGCCCCAAAGTCATTGTAAATTTTTACAAGGCAGTGGATGAACAGTTCATAACTCCAAAGATAGATATCACTCAGAAAAATTTTTCCACAAGAAGTCCTTTTTTTTTTTTCGTCCTTTTTTTTTTTGGCACACTAGTGTCTCACTTAGCAAGTCCTTTTATTTTCAACTCAAGTTAACAATAAGTTGGCCGGGTGTGGTGGCTCACGCCTGTAATCCCAGCACTTTGTGAGGCTGAGGCGGGCAGATCACCTGAAGTCAGAAGTTTTGAGAACAGTCTGGCCAACATGACGAAACCCCGTCTCTACTAAAAATACAAAAATTAGTCGGGCATGGTGGCGCGCCCCTGTAGTCTTGCTACTCAAGAGGCTAAGGCAGGAGAATCACTTGAATTTGGGAGATGGAGGTTGCAGTGAGCCGAGATCACGCCACTGCACTCTAGCCTGGGTGACAGAGCAAGACTCCATCACAAAAAAAGAAACCCAATAAGTAGCAATCAGGTATCACCTGTGTTTCTCAGCCCTTCTCTTCTGCTGCTGGTTTACTGCCACTCAAGCAGTGGACCAAAAGGCATTTGTTTCTGGCCAACCACCATGGACATGATCTGATGACTGCTTTTATCTCTGGGACTTGACCTGTATCCCTCTCTCTCTCTTTTTTTTGGATAGCTTTTCATTCTGTCTCCCAGGGTACAGTGCACTGGCACAATCATAGCTCACTGCAGACTCTGCTTCCCAGGCTCAGGCAGTCCTTCCACCTCAGCTTCCTGAGTAGCTGGGACTACAGGCATGTGCAACCATGCCCGACTAATTTTTAATTTTTTTTTTTTTTGAGACGAAATTTCGCTGTTGTTGCCCAGGCTGGAGTGCAATGGCGCAATCTCGGCTCACCGCAACCTCGGCCTCCCAGGTTCAAGTGATTCTCTTGCCTCAGCCTTCCTGAGTAGCTGGGATTACAGGCATGCGCCAGCACGCCCGGCTAATTTTGTATTTTTACTAGAGACGGGGTTTCTTCATGTTGGTCAGGCTGGTCTCGAACTCCTGACCTCAGATGATCCTCCCGCCTCGGCCTCCCAAAGTGCTGGGATTACAGGCGTGAGCCACCACACCTGGCCTAATTTTTATTTTATTTTTTTTTGTAGAGATGGGGTCTCACCATGTTGCCCAGGCTGGCCTCAAACACCTGGGCTCAAGCAGTCCTCCTGCCTTGACCTCCCAAAGTGCTGGGAATACAGGCATGAACCACCATGTCTGGCCCTCTCTCTCTCTCTTTTTTGAAACCTGATGATCGCCAGGCACGGTGGCTCACGCCTGTAATCCCAGCACTTTGGGAGGCCAAGGCGAGCAGATCACTTGAGATGAGGAGTTTGAGACCAGCCTGGCCAACATGATGAAACGCTGTCTCTACTAAAAATACAAAAATCAGCCAGGCGTCGTGGCGGCACACACCTGTAATCCCAGCACTTTGGGAGTCTGAGGCAGGTGGATCACTTGAGGTGAGGAGTTTCGAGCCCAGCCTGACCAACATGGTGAAACCACATCTCTACTAAAAATAGAAAAAAAAAAAATTAGCTGGGCCTGGTAGCACACGCCTGTAATCCCAGCTACTTGGGAAGCTGAGGCAGAAGAATTGCTTGAACCTGGAAGGTGGAGGTTGCAGTGAGCCCAAATTGCGCCACTGCACTCCAGCCTGGGCGACACAGCAAGAGTCCGTCTGAAAAAAAAAAAAAAAAACCTGGTGGGTTGCTCAGAGGCAGTTACCTATGTAACAAGCTGGCAGAAATTCTCAGGATAGGCAAAAAGATAAGAACCAAAGAACATATCCTTCCCTTTCTAAGTCATAAAAATTACTTCCTGTGAATGAAAAGCCAAAACTTTGCATTACCAGGCCTTGCTATTGATAGTTTACTTGGCCAGTGTATTCACAGAGGGAGGAAGCATTGTCACATGGCAAATAACCAGATTACACCCATAGTCTGGTTGGCAGGATTGTACAAGGGTGCCTGACTAATCAAGAGTCCACCTGCTTATTTCTTTTCATTAGAATCTAATATATTTGCTGTATAGAATTTAGAAAGTTAAGAAAAGCGCAAAGAAAATAATCTCACTGCTCAGAGATAACCACAGCAGAATTTTGATATGTAATTTAGCCTGTCTTTATATATCTGTATTTTTTATAATTTGGGTTATATAATACAACATCATTTTGTAACCAGCTTTTTCCACTTAATACAACATCATGGTGCTCGCTTTGGCAGTACATATACTAAAATTGGAATGATACAGAGAAGGTTAACATGGCCCCTGTATAATATATGCATGTTTTTAAAATACATCCTGAACATGAATTTTTAATGGTTACCTGGTGGCCCATATTACCATAGTATTGTCCTCTTTTGTTAGATATTGAATTGTTTTTAGTAAATAGCACTTTATGGAACATCCTTATATATACACTCATAATGAAATGATGGGGGATTTTTTTTTTTTTTTTTTGAGATGGAGTCTCCCTCTGTTGCCCAGGCTTGAATGCAGTGGCGCAATCTTGGCTCACTGCAACCTCCACCTCCCGAATTCAAACAATTCTCCTGCCTCAGTCTCCTGAGTAGCTGGGACTACAGGTGTGTGCCACCACCCCCAGCTAATTCTTGTATTTTTTTTTTTTTTTTTTTTTTTTGTGGAGCCTAGGTTTTGCCATGTTGGCCAGGCTGGTCTTGAATTCCTGACCTCAAGTGATCCACCCACCTTAGCCCCCAAAGTGCTGGGATTACAGGCATGAGCCACTGCGCCTGGCTGATCAGGGATTTATTTTTTTTTTTTTTTGAGATGGAGTTTCCCTCTTGTTTCCCAGGCTGGAGTACGATGGCACAATCTCAGCTTACTGCAACCTCTGCCTCCCAGGTTCAAGTGATTCTCCTGCCTCAGCGTCCCGAGTAGCTGGGATTACAGGCGTGCACCACCATGCCTGGCTAATTTTTTGTATTTTTAGTAGAGACGGGGTTTCACCATGGCCAGGCTGGTCTTGAACTCCTGACCTCAGGTGATCCGCCTGCCTTGGCCTCCTAGAATACTGGGATTACAGGCGTGAGCCACCGCGCCCGGCCTGATCAGGGATTTATTTATTTTTATTTTTTTGAGAATATGTTTAGAACTAGAATGGATGGTTCAAGAGATAATCATATATTTAAGACTTTTAGAACATATATTGCCAGATTACCTTCCAGAAAAGATGTACCAGTTTTTAGTTCTAACAGGCAAATGCCTCTTGCTTCATACTCTCCAGCCACTGCGTTTTCGTTGTTGGTAGTAATGTTGACCTTTGCCAAATAGGATAAAAATGTTATCTTTTAAAGTGTTTATTTCTTTGATTATTAATGAGGTTTAACATTGTTGCATATGTTTGTTGACCATTAATATTTCCCACTTGTAAATTTGCCTGTTTTCTATCAACGTATTAATCTTTTTCTTATAGATTTTTTTTTTTTTTGAGACGGAGTCTCGCTGTGTCGCCCAGGCTGGAGTACAGTGGCACCATCTCGGTTCACTGCAACCTCTGCCTCCCAGGTTCAAGCGATTCCCCTGCCTCAGCCTCCCGAGTAGCTGGGATTACAGGCATGTGCCACCACGCCTGACTAATTTTTGTATTTTTAGTAGAGACGGTGTTTCACCATGTTGGCCAGGCTGGTCTTGAACTCCCGAAATCAAGCGATCCACCCACCTCGGCCTCCCAAAGTGTTGGGATTACAGGTGTGAGCCACTGCACCCAGCCTTCTTATAGATTTATAAGTGTATTCATACTACTTTTTTTGTTTTTTAAGACAGTGTCTTGACCTGTTGTATAGGCTGAAGTGCAGTGACGCAGTCACAGCTCACTGTAACCTGGAATTCCTTGGCCTACATTGCCCAGTCTGGTCTTAAATTCCTGGGCTGAAGTGATTCTCCCGCCTTAACCTCCCAAAGTGTTGGGATTACAGGGGTGAGCCACCGCATGTGACCTCATGCTGCTTTTTTTTTTTTTCCAACTACTTTAGTCAGATGCTTCTTGAGACTATTACTAGTCAAAAACAAGATAGATTAAATGGAGGTAGTGACAGGACACTGCCCTGTTTGAGGCCATCTATTATTGGTGTGAAAAGCAAACATTACATAAGTAGGTTTAGATAGAAGGTCATTCACTCCAGCATTGTTCATAATAGTAAAAAACTAGTCAAACACAGTGGTTCACGCCTATAATCACAACACTTTGGGAGGCCAAGTCAGGAGTATAGCTTGAGTCCAGGAATTCCAGACCAGCCTGTACAGCATAGAGAAACCACATCTCTAAGAAAACTTTTTAAAATTAGCAGGGCATGGTGGCATGTGGCTATAGTCCCAGCTACTCAGGAGGCTGAGGTGGGAGGATTGCTTCAGCCCAGGAGGTCGAGGTTACAGTGAGCTATGATCACACTACTGCACTCCAACTCGGGCAACAGAGCAAGGCCTTGTCTTTTAAATAAATAAATAAATAAATAAAAAGGAAAATAATATGAGTAAACTCTACCCATCAGTGGTAAATACCACATATTTCTATCAATGTTAGGCAGTCTTCCTAGAATAATCCCATTAAAGAAAATCCAAAATCGTTGTATGAAAAAATACACAGGTTTGTTCCATGTGTAAAAATCTTTTAATCTTGGTACATTTTTTATCAAAAACATTCACACTACTTGAATACATTAAAAGAGTACAAAAGCATTCCAATGTACATATGGACACACAAAACACAGGGAATGCTTTCTAGTGAAATTAGGAGTAAATACAAGAATGTTAAAGGAGAGAGTCTCATATTACCAGAGTCAGTGAATTAATTGCCTTTTTTTTTTTTTTTGAGACAGAGTTTTGCTCTGTCACCCAGGCTGGAGTACAGTGGCATGATCTGGGCTCACTGCAACCCCCGCCTTCTGGGTTCAAGTAATTCTCATATCTCAGCCTCCTGAGTAACTGGGATTATAGGCATGCACCACCACGCCTGACTACTTTTTGTATTTTTAGTAGAGATGGGGTTTTCGCCATGTTGGCCAGGCTGGTTTCAAACTCCTGACCTCAAGTGATCCGCCTGCCTCGGCCTCCCAAAGTGCTGGGATTACAGGCATGAGCCACCACGCCCGGCCATTAACTGCTTTTTACAACACAAACTATACCTGTTTGGAATTAGTTTTTAAATATATAAGCTACAGGATGTACAAACACCAATGTGAACAACTGTCAGAGAATTTTGTAATTCAGGAACATAGCTTCAAGTGCTTCATAACATGGAAAGCAACTCCTAAAAATAGTAATTGGCTTAATTTCTTAAAAGCATTCCAGAAAGTGATTTGTTACAATTAGCAACAGAAGAACAACATTAGAAATAAGAATACTGGGAACATAAGAACTGAGGTCCTCCAGTACCAAGAGATAGAATCAAACTTTTTCTCATTAGAATTTAAAGAATATAGCCACGCACGGTGGCTCACACCTGTAATGCCAACACTTTGGGAGGCTGAGGCGGGTGGATCACGAGGTCAGGAGGTCGAGACCATCCTGGCTAACACGGTGAAACCCCGTCTCTACTAAAAATACAAAAAAATTAGCCGGGCGTGGTGGCGGGCGCCTGTAGTCCCAGCTACTCGGGTGACTGAGGCAGAAGAATGGCGTGAACCCGGGAGGCGGAGCTTGCAGTGAGCCGAGATCGCGCCACTGCACTCCAGCCTGGGAGCGAGACTCCGTCTCAAAGAAAAAAAAAAAAAAAGAATTTAAAGAATATAGTTAAAGGAAAAATTCACTGGGCTCTGTGAAACAGGTTAAATATGTAACCACTTCAAACAGAAATGACTTAGTCCTCTCACCTAGTTCTGAAAATGTACTAACATCCCATTTTCCATATCAAAAGCACGTAATTTCATTAGCAAAAGCCTCTTTGTTTTAGACTTAAAATCACCTCTGATCCACCAAAGTTTATGCAGTTACCAAACTACTATTTTAATAACATTTTGACAGCTTTATTAAGATAAAATTTATATACCATAAGATCCATTTAAAGTATATAGTTCAGTGGCTTTTAGTATATGCAGAGTTGTGCAACTATCACCACAATCTAATTTTAGAACATTTTCATTACTCCAGAAACAACCCCAGTAACCATTTGTAGTCACTTCCTATTTCCCCCTCCCCAGCCCTAGGCAACCACTAATCTACTTTCTGTTTCTATTTATTTTAATAACATTTCAAACTTGTAATATTATTGTTCTCATGCTTATTCTGGGTCGTTGGCTCAGAGGTTTAAAAGCTCTTAAACTACCCAAATTTACAAGTCCTATGACATCCTCATTCAGAAAACATTCAAATGATGGTTTCATAATGTTATGATAGTTCCATCTTCTAAGAGTTTTTGATCTGGAGCATATGTTTCAAATTCTATGTTTGTACTACTGCTAAATTCACTTAATTAGAAGAAGTAAAATCATTCTATCGAGACTCAAGAATGAGTTTGTTCTGTTTATGTTAACGATTCCAGGCTTTTGATGGTAGGAATGGCTTTAGCAGTCTTCTGTGGCACACCATTATCTTAAATAATATTGTCACCTTCCCCACTGTCTTCATCCTTTGGCTCAAAGTTTGGTTCAATCTGCTGTGGTTAGGCAAGAAGGCTATTATCAGCAGATTGGCTGGAGCTACCAGAAGTCTGACTGTTCCCAGTAACATTATTCTCCTGGTTGCTGGTCTCACTGTTAGGATGAGGTGGCTGCTGTTTGCACTCATCATGTCTGTTTACTTGATTGAGATGCTTCCCTGAAACTTATGTACCATCAACTTCTAAAAACTTCATCATTAACAGTTCATAGTTCTGTGCTGTGAGCCAGGCCTGGAACAAGCCAGGATATAAAAGATCCCTGGGATGCTCTCTAAGCCATGTGGTGTCTCCCTTAGGCTAGAACCATCCTGGATATAGAGTCCTAGGGGATGCTTAGTTCCTGGGAGAACATCCACATCTATGATTGAAGACACGGGTCTGAAGTCTTAGGGCATAGCAGTGACTGGATATAGCCTTTTTCTGTGGTTGACAAAACCACAGAAAGAGTTTTTTTTTTTTTTTTTTTTTGAGATGGAGTCACTCTGTCACCCAGGCTGGAGTGTGGTGGCACAATCTCGGCTCACTGCAAGCTCCACCTCCTAGGTTCACGCCATTCCCCTGCCTCAGCCTCCCGAGTAGCTGGGACTACAGGCGCCCGCCACCATCCCAGCTAATTTTTTGAATGTTCAGTAGAGACGGGGTTTCACCGTGTTAGCTAGGATGATCTCTATCTCCTGACCTCGTGATCCGCCTGCCTTGGCCTCCCAAAGTGCTAGGATTACAGGCGTGAGCCACCGCGCCTGGCCAGAAAGAGAGGTTTTAAGTGACAATATTATTAAAGACATTCTGGAGAAAAAGATCACCTATAATCCCGTCACCTTAACATTTTCTCGATTTATTTAATATTACTTTCCGAGTCTTGTCTATAAGTATACATTTTCATACAGTGGTAATCTGGCGTGCATTCTACCTTATATCCTTTTCCCCATTAAAATAACCTTTATTCTACGTATTTGAAAACCTTGGCTGGGCTCAGTGGCTCACGCCTGTAATCCCAGCACTTTGGGAGGCCGAGGCGGGCGGATCACGAGGTCAGGAGATCGAGACCATCCTGGCTAACACAGTGAAACCCCGTCTTTACTAAAAATACAAAAAATTAGCTGGGTGTGGTGGCACGTGCCTGTAGTCCCAGCTACTTGGGAGGCTGAGACAGGAGACTCCCTTGAACCCGGGAGGCGGAGGTTGCAGTGAGCCGAGATTGCGCCACTGCACTCCAGCCTGGGCGACAGAGCAAGACTCCGTCTCAAAAAAGAAAACCTTAAGGCTGGGCGCGGTGGCTCATGCCTATAATCCCAGCACTTTGGGAGGCCGAGGCGGGCGGATCACCTGAGGTCAGGAGTTCAAGACCAGCCTGGCCAACATAGAGGAACCCTGTCTCTACTAAAAATACAAAATTGCCGGGTGTGGTGGTGGGTGCCTGTAATCCCAGCCACTCAGGAGGCTGAGGTGGGAGAATCACTTGAGCTCAAGAGGCGGAGGTTGTGGTGAACCGAGGTCGTGCCATTGCACTCCAGCCTGGGCAACAAGAGTGAAACTCTGTCTCAAAAAAAAAAAAGAAAGAAAACCCTAATAAAAAAAAAAAAAGCAGCCTGGCACAGTGGTTCACACCTGTTATCCCAGCACTTTGGGAGTTCGAGGCAGGTGGATCACCTGAGATCAGCAGTTCAATTCCAGCCTGGCCAACATGTTGAAACCCCATCTCTTCTAAAAATAAAAAAATTAGCCAGGCGTGGTGGCGGGCGCCTGTAATCCCAGCTACTTGGGAGGCTGAGACAGGAGAATGGCTTGGACCTGGGAGGCGGAGGTTGCAGTGAGTTGAGATCACGCCATTTCACTCCAGCCTGGGCCATAAGAGCAAAACTCTGTTTCAAAAAAAAAAAAAAAAAAAGGGAGAAATAGAAACTTTTGTGTCGTATACAGACACCAGGGTTTTGTATGTGCCTTTGTCTCTGTATCCCCCACCTCCACATTCCCACATTCTCGCTAGATTAGCTGTCAACCTCCTCTCCTTGGCACCTCCTGGTGGCTCTCTTTACGCAGTTGACTGGACTAAATGTATGTACATACATGTATACTGTAAAACCTTACATATCACCATTGTAGAATCTCCCAAACCCTTCATTTAAACATGCACCATTGCTTGCTGGTCCTTTTTGTCCCATTTTTTGCTTCCATAGTGCTATTTTCCCAACTACTGTTACCCTTAAGATTCCTGACTTCCCAGCCCCTTTATACCAAAAGCTTTCTTTGACATTTTTCTCTTTCCGTGCCTTCCTGCCTTTCCACTTACCCAGTACAAAGCCTGAAGATGCTTTCACAGAGAAGCCTTAAATTATCCCAGCATACTTTATTGCACCCACACCTTTTCACTTCAAAAACCTTTTTGTCACCCTTGTCTAATATTCATACCCTATTTTCTTCTATATTCTCAATTCATCTGCTCCATATATACTTGTTTTCTGTGGTATCATTTTCCCCACCTCCATTTCACTTAGATCCTATATTTTTTTACCCTATCTTACCCTTTTTGTTTGGTGCCTTCCTCCAAACCCAAGGTTTCTGTCTTTCATCAGTCATCCTTCCACCTTTCACTCTTAAACTCTGGTAATTCTGGTTTTCCTCCTTCTCAAAAAGCTCACACTCTGCTAATGTGTATATATTGTTCACTTGAGTGCTTCTAAATAAATATTTACTTTTCAAAACAGTGAAATCTGAACTATTAGCATGGAAACAACCTCTGGGAAGATAAGATCT
This sequence comes from Homo sapiens, assembly GCF_000001405.40. Lineage (NCBI taxonomy): Eukaryota > Metazoa > Chordata > Mammalia > Primates > Hominidae > Homo > Homo sapiens. The sequence continues at coordinate 123,881,623 of NC_000023.11, forward strand.
CCACTCAAAAGCTTCAAATTGAGATTCTCCTGCTCATGTTGAATGATGGTTTTATCTAATATTTTCTGAAATAGGGTGACTACTTGAACTACACAAAATTGTGAAATGAGAATATCTTTGATTTTATACTTCTATTTTTTTTTTTTTTTTTGAGACAGAGTCTCACTCTATCACCCAGGCTGGAGTGCAGTGGCAGTCTTGGCTCATTGCACCCTCCACCTCCCAGGTTCAGGTGATTCTCGTCCCTTGGCCTCCCAAGTAGCTGGGATTATAGGCATGTGCCACCACACCCGGCTAATTTTTGTAGTTTTTGGTAGAGATGGGGTTTCACCATGTTGGCCAGGCTGGTCTTGAACTCCTGACCTCAAGTGATCCACCCACCTCAGCCTCCCAAAGTGTTGGGATTACAGGCGTGAGCCACTGTGCCTGGCCACTTACATCTATTTTGATTGACTTGAAATAAAATTTAACACCTCAGGGAAGGCAATTCTCATGTGTTTTGAATTATACTGAGCATTAATTCTTCAGGATAATTATAGACTTGGAAAGGTTTAACCCAGTCTCCCAGTCCATGCTGAAGTTCCTTTAAGTGATAGGAGGAACTCATAATCTACAAGGCAACCCAATCCATTTGGTGCTACCATCGATTGTTATAAAGCCCATCCTTGGGTTAAAATCTACTATTTACAGTTGTATTTAATGACCTTAATTCTGCCCTCAAGCTATATAAAATTTGGATCTGTTTTCTACATGATAATCTTTTAGATATCTTAAGGTAGTTAGTCTATCCTCTCTACCCTTCCCCTCACAGTTTTTCCACCCTTTGAGATAAATATCCTTCGCTATTCCAACTATTTCTCATATGGTATCATTTTTATCATCCCGATTGCTCCCTAAGGATGTTAAACTTTGTTAATGTCCCTTCCAAAATGTATTTGGAACTGGAAATAATATCCCTTGGTAGCTGAATTGGATCTGGATGTTGCACATCTGGACACTAATGCAGTCTGAAGTTGCTGTAAGTTTTTTAGTCGACTTGTAATGTTGGCTTATGATGAATTTGTAATTAAATAAAATCCCAAGGTTTTAATCTGGAGGATTGCCTTTAAGTGATTTCTTCTTAAACTAAGTCTCAATCTTCTTTTAGTTATGCAACAGATTTTTTTTGTTTGTTTTTTGAGACGCTCGCTCTGTCGCCCAGGCTGGGGTGCAGTGGCACGATCTCAGCTCACTGCAACCTCCACTTCCTGGGTTCAAGCAATTCTCCTGCCTCAGCCTCCCAAGTAGCTGGGATTACAGGCATCCGCCATCATGCCTGGCTAATTTTCTTTCTTTCTTTTTTATTTTTTTTTAGTAGAGACGGGGTTTCTCCATTTTGGTCAGGCTGGTCTCGAACTCCTGACCTCAGGTGACCCACCCTCCTCAGCCTCCCAGAGTGCTGGGATTACAGGCGTGAGCCATCACGCCCGGCCTTTTTTGAGATGGAGCCTCGCTCTGTCGCCCAGGATGGAGTGCAGTGGCATGATCTTGGCTCACTGCAACCTCCGCTCCCCGGGTTCAAGGCATTCTTCTGTTTCAGCCTTCCGAGTAGCTGGGATTACAGGTACCTGCCACCACGCCTGGCTAATTTTTGTATTTTTAGTAGAGGTGGGGGTTTCACCATGTTGGTCAGGCTGGTCTCGAACTCCTGACCTCAAGTTATCCGGCCACCTTGGCCTCCCAAAGTGCTGAGATTACAGGCATGAGTCACCGTGTCCGGCCTATGCACCAGATATTTTTTAAAAACCAGATGTAAGACTTTATACTTATCCCTATTAAATTTTATCTCATTAGCCTATCAGGTAGCCTTGGTTTTTTTCTTTTCTTTTCTTTTCTTTTTTTTTTTTTTTTTGAGACAGAGTTTCACTCTTGTTGCCCAGGCTGGAGTGCAGTGGCGCGATCTCAGCTCACTGCAACCTCTGCCTCCCGGGTTCAAGCGATTCTCCTGCCTCAGTCTCCCAAGTAGCTGGGATTACAGGCATGCTCCACCACGCCCAGCTAATTTTGTGTTTTTAGTAGAGACAGGGTTTCTCCCTGTTGGTCAGGCCGGTCTCAAACTCCCGACCTCAGGTGATTTGCCCACCTCGGCCTCCCAAAGTGCTGGGATTACAGGTGTGAACCACCATGCCCGGCTGTTTTTTTTAAGACTAGTCAAGTGCAGAGTGAGAAGGGGGGAAAGAGTAGAACAAGGAGTTTGATCAGCCTTGGTTTCTTTGAATCTTGATTTTTGTCATCCAGTTTATTGTGCTGATTCAACAAAGGGCCTTGAAGCTAATGTTGGAATGTTTTCAGACATATAGGAAATGATAATTCATCAAAAGTCATGGAGACTATATTCCAAAAGTTTTATGCAGATATAACTCAGCTGTTGAGGTATATGAGTTAATACCACTATAAATTGACATGGCCAGGAAAGACTGAAGTCCATTGCCAGCTTGCTTTGTGTTGAACATTACTCCAAAAGAGATTAAATTTTAAGGCATATTGTGTCAACATAAAGGCAAAAGAGCTGGCTAATTCTTCTCAAGAAATCAATTAATGGCAGGGCGCGGTGGCTCACGCCTGTAATCCCAGCATTTTGGAAGGCCGAGGCGGGCAGATCACCTGAGGTCAGGAGTTCAAGACCAGCCTGACCAACCTGGAGAAACCCCGTCTCTACTAAAAAATACAAAATTAGCCGGGCATGGTGGCGCATGCCTGTAATCCCAGCTACTTGAGAGGCTGAGGCAGGATAATTGCTTGAACCTGGGAGGCGGAGGTCGCATGAACCAGTATCACACCATTGCACTCCAGCCTGGGCAGCAAGAGCAAAACTCCATCTCAAAAAAAAAAAAAATCAATTAATGCACGCATAATATAGAGACAGAGTCATTGTTACCATTCTCTTATTTTGCCTTTGACAAGTTTATATTGAGCATGTTATCAGGCAATGTGGGAGATTCTGGAGAACCAGGTTTGCCTCATAACTAGGGTTACCATATACTCTAGTTTGCCTGGGGCAACCCTGATTTATGCCTGTTGTCCCAGTGTGATTATTACTAGTGTAATTTTTCACTTTGAGAAGTGTCCAGGTTTGGAGGATAAATTATCTTTCTAATAATTGATACCCTTCTCATAACCTAACGGGTTCCTTTTAGTATTTTATCTGGGTTAAAATTACCAGCTGTAATTTGGCAGCTCTAATAAGACTGCAGCAATACTTATCTTCCATTTGAACAGATTGTTACTTGACCAAGGGAAGTTAATAGCAAAAGTAACTGCAGGGCACATGTATGTCATGGGCAAAAAAAAAAAAGTAACAGCAATTAAGGTTTGCAGGTACTTAGAATTTTTCCTGAGCCACCCTCTAGAGGGCAGTGTTACATATATATCTGTAATTATCCAGTTACAACAAAAAAAGGGCTCTCATTCATGCATGAAAATCAGAAATATTTCATACTCTTAAAGAACACATTGGAACCAATATTATGATTAAAACATATTTTGCTAAGCAAAGAGATATTAAAAATTAATTCATTAACATTCTGAACATTTTTTAACTTGTAAAAACAACTTTGATGCCTTGAATATATAATGATTCATTATAACAATTATGCATAGATTTTAATAATCTGCATATTTTATGCTTTCATGTTTTTCCTAATTAATGATTTGACATGGTTAATAATTATAATATATTCTGCATCACAGTTTACATATTTATGTAAAATAAGCATTTAAAAATTATTAGTTTTATTCTGCCTGCTTAAATATTACTTTCCTCAAAAAGAGAAAACAAAAATGCTAGATTTTACTTTATGACTTGAATGATGTGGTAATGTCGAACTCTAGTATTTAGAATTAGAATGTTTCTTAGCGGTCGTGTAGTTATTTTTATGTCATAAGTGGATAATTTGTTAGCTCCTATAACAAAAGTCTGTTGCTTGTGTTTCACATTTTGGATTTCCTAATATAATGTTCTCTTTTTAGAAAAGGTGGACAAGTCCTATTTTCAAGAGAAGATGACTTTTAACAGTTTTGAAGGATCTAAAACTTGTGTACCTGCAGACATCAATAAGGAAGAAGAATTTGTAGAAGAGTTTAATAGATTAAAAACTTTTGCTAATTTTCCAAGTGGTAGTCCTGTTTCAGCATCAACACTGGCACGAGCAGGGTTTCTTTATACTGGTGAAGGAGATACCGTGCGGTGCTTTAGTTGTCATGCAGCTGTAGATAGATGGCAATATGGAGACTCAGCAGTTGGAAGACACAGGAAAGTATCCCCAAATTGCAGATTTATCAACGGCTTTTATCTTGAAAATAGTGCCACGCAGTCTACAAATTCTGGTATCCAGAATGGTCAGTACAAAGTTGAAAACTATCTGGGAAGCAGAGATCATTTTGCCTTAGACAGGCCATCTGAGACACATGCAGACTATCTTTTGAGAACTGGGCAGGTTGTAGATATATCAGACACCATATACCCGAGGAACCCTGCCATGTATAGTGAAGAAGCTAGATTAAAGTCCTTTCAGAACTGGCCAGACTATGCTCACCTAACCCCAAGAGAGTTAGCAAGTGCTGGACTCTACTACACAGGTATTGGTGACCAAGTGCAGTGCTTTTGTTGTGGTGGAAAACTGAAAAATTGGGAACCTTGTGATCGTGCCTGGTCAGAACACAGGCGACACTTTCCTAATTGCTTCTTTGTTTTGGGCCGGAATCTTAATATTCGAAGTGAATCTGATGCTGTGAGTTCTGATAGGAATTTCCCAAATTCAACAAATCTTCCAAGAAATCCATCCATGGCAGATTATGAAGCACGGATCTTTACTTTTGGGACATGGATATACTCAGTTAACAAGGAGCAGCTTGCAAGAGCTGGATTTTATGCTTTAGGTAAACTTTATTATAAAACCAATAAATAGCTTCCCAAGTATGCCAGGGCTCATAAAAAGTAAATAGATGCCCTTAGCCCCCTGAACTGGTAAATATTTAGGTATAACTTGGCATGATTATATATATATCTGTATTATTCCGTGAACTCTTATGTTGAACCTGTAATGTAACTACTGAATTTATGTGAAAAAGACTACCATATTATGAGTCATGCTTCTCTTCATGTAATTGTTTTTAGGAAGTAGATAACTTGCAAAAGATGGTAGACATCCCCAATAGCAAAATGGGTCTAATAGTAATATTAACCATCATTTATTGAGCACTTACTATAAGTGCTCAATACATATACTTCATGCATTTTCTCTAAGCTTCACAATAGCTTTGTTTGTTTGTTTTTGAGACAGAGTTTCGCTCTTGTTATCCAGGCTGGAGTGCAATGGCGTGATTTAGGCTCACCACAACCTCCACCTCCCGGGTTCAAGCGATTCTCCTGCCTCAGCCTCCTGAGTAGCTGGGATTACAGGCATGTGCCACCACGCCCGGCTAATTTTGTATTTTTAGTAGACACAGGGTCTCTCCCTGTTGGTCAGGCTGGTCTCAAACTCCTGACCTCAGGTGATCCACCCGCCTCGGCCTCCCAAAGTGCTGGGATTACAGGTGCATGCACCATGCCTGGCTAATTTTTGTACTTTTAGTAGAGACAGGGTTTCACCATGGCCAGGCTGGTCTCGAACTCCTGACCTTGTGATCCGCCCGCCTTGGCCTCCCAAAGTGCTGGGATTACAGGCATGAGCCACTGCGCCGGCCATATGAGTACTTTCAAATGGACTGTGGTAGACATTTCAGGAAGGGCCATTGGAGTGATTGCTTCTAAAGATATTTTAAAAAGTTATACCATTATATATTTGACCCATTTATTTTAAGATTGAATAATGCCTATAAAATATTGGTTATTTCGAAAGATTTTATTTATGTACCATCATATAGTAATCTTGAAGGTTTGTTTAGTGTCATGTAGCTATAAACTTAGAGAAACTTACAATTTCATTATGTAGAACTTTAATGTTACTAATACTTGAAACATAACTTGTTTTAAAATTTCACAGTTTGAAACAGTAAGGACAATATTGGTGGCCCAAATAACATACTAAAAAGAAAGTATGGCCGGGCGCGGTGGCTCCCGCCTATAATCCCAGCACTTTGGGAGGCTGAGGTGGGTGGATCACCTGAAGTCAGGAGTTCAAGACCAGCCTGGCCAACATGGTGAAACCCCGTCTCTACTAAAAATACAAAAATTAGCTGGGCGTGATGGCATGCGCCTGTAGTCCCAGCTACTTGGGAGACTGAGGCAGGAGAATCACTTGAACCCAGAAGGCAGAGGTTGCAGTGAGCCGTGATCGCGCCATTGCACTCCAGCCTGGGCAACAAGAGTAAAACTCCATCTCAGAAAAAAATAATAATAATTAATAAATAAATAAATAAATAAATAAATAAATAAATGAAAATAAAGTATGCCAGGTACAGTGGCTTACGCCTGTAATCCCAACACTTTGGAAGGCCGAGGCGGGTGGATCACTTGAGGTCAGGAGTTCAAGATCAGGCTGGCCAACATGGTGAAACCCCATCTCTACCAAAGATATAAAAAATTAGCCGGGTGTGGTGGCGCATGCCTGTAATCCCAGCTACTTGAGAGGCTGAGGCAGGAGAATCGCTTGAACTCAGGAGGCAAAGGTTGCAGTGAACCAAGACTGCGCCATTGCACTCCGGTCTGGGGAACAGAGCCAGACTCAGTCTCAAAAAAAGAAAGAAAGTAACAATTTTAGTTTTTAACATAAAACTTGGGCAGTTTTATTTTTGTCTTCTATAAAAATACCTCACATTGAATCAGTGAATTTAGTGTGTATTTCTTCCTCAAAGGATAAAAATCATATCTGTTACTTAGATGTGAATTTGAATGTCTTGTTTTAAGCTGTGAGATTTTCATGTTTTTTAGATGTGCTTAATTTTTAGGTGTTAAATGAATATTTTTGTGTAAGCTTCTAATTGCACAAATACATATATTCCTGTGTGTTTTCGTAGGTGAAGGTGATAAAGTAAAGTGCTTTCACTGTGGAGGAGGGCTAACTGATTGGAAGCCCAGTGAAGACCCTTGGGAACAACATGCTAAATGGTATCCAGGGTAAGATATTTAATTGTTCATTGTACAGGCAAGTTGGATAGCATGCAGTGGGAGACTTGAATTACTTTTTACCTCAACTATTTTTGCCTTCACTATGGCTTGAAATTCATGCTAGGTTTATAAAAATGAGCAAGGTTTATAAGCCTTCTCTGATGACCAAAAACATTCACTGCTTATGTGTGATATCTATAACATTCAGATTATCCCTTTTTTTTTTTGAGACGAAGTCTCACTCTCTTTTGCAGGCTGGAGTGCAGTGGTGCAATCTTGGCTCACTGCAACCTCTGCCTCCCAGGTTCAAGTGATTCTTGTGCCTCAGTCTCCTGAGTAGCTGGGATTACAGGCACCCGCCACTGCCACCATGCCTGGCTAATTTTTTTTTTTTTTTTTTGATATGGAGTCTCACTCTGTTGCCAGGCTGGAGTGCAGTGGTGCGATCTTGGCTCACTGCAACCTCCGCCTCCCAGGTTCAAGCGATTCTCCTGCCTCAGCCTCCCGAGTAGCTGGGACAACAGGCAAGTGCCACCACGCCCAGCTAATTTTTTGTATTTTTAGTAGAGGCAGGGTTTCACCATGTTGGCCAGGATGGTCTTGATCTCCTGACCTTGTGATCCGCCCGCCTCGGCCTCCCAAAGTGCTGGGATTCTGGCTAATTTTTGTATTTTTTAGTAGAGACAGGGTATCACCATGTTGGCCAGGTTGGTCTTGAACTCCTGACCTCAGGTGATCGGCCCGCCTCGGCCTCCCAAAGTGTTGGCATTACAGGTGTGAGCCACTGCGCCTGGCCTCTAGATTATCCCATTTCTTTTTTTTTTTGAGATAGAGTTTTGCTCTTGTCGCCCATGCTGGAGTGCAATGGTGCTATCTCAGTTCACTGCAATCTCCGCCTCCTGGGTTCAAGTGATTCTCCTGCCTCAGCCTCCTGAGTAGCTGGGATTACAGGTGCCTGCCACCACGCCCAGCTAATTTTTTATATTTTTAGTAGAGACAGGGTTTGACCATGTTGGTCAGGCTGGTCTCGAACTCCCAACCTCAGGTGATCCACCCACATCAGCCTCCCAAAGTGCTGGGATTACAAGCATGCTCCACCTTGCTTGGCCTCTAGATTATCCAATTTTTAAATACAGATTAGGAAATGTGTGCTTTTTTGTTGTTGGAAGTAGGCTCTTTTATGATCAGCGTGAGAGCCCATATTGCCAAGGAGATTCCTTAAGAAGCCATCATACCCCTAGGAAATATTAATGTATCTCATTATCTCTATGACATACAGTTGTTCACATTTTTTTTTTTTTTTTTTTTTTTTTTTTTTTTTTTTTGAGACGGAGTCTCGCTCTGTCGCCCAGGCTGGAGTGCAGTGGTGCGATCTCGGCTCACTGCAAGCTCCGCCTCCCGGGTTCACGCCATTCTCCTGCCTCAGCCTCCCGAGTAGCTGGGACTACAGGCGCCCGCTACCACGCCCGGCTAATTTTTTGTATTTTTACTAGAGACGGGGTTTCACCGTGTTAGCCAGGATGGTCTCGATCTCCTGACCTCGTGATCCGCCCGCCTCGGCCTCCCAAAGTGCTGGGATTACAGGCGTGAGCCACCGCGCCCGGCCCAGTTGTTCACATTTTAAGATCTCTGGTTGGAGTGTGGTGGCTCGTGCCTGTAATCTCAGCACTTTGGGAGGCTGAGGCGGGTGGATTGCTGGAGCCCAAGAGTTTGAGACCAGCCTGGGCAACATAGTAAGACCCTGTCTCTACAAAAAATACAAAAAAAAAAATTAGCCAGTCATGATGGCACACACCTGTAGTTCCAGTTACTCATGAGGCTGAGGTAAGAGGATCACTTGAGCTGGGGAGGCAGAGGTTGTGGTGAGCTGATGCCACTGCACTCGGCGCCACTGCACTCCAGCCTGGGCGACAGAGTGAGACACTGTCTCAAAAAAAAAAAAAAAAAACTAGCCGGGCATGGTGGCTTACGCCTGTAATCCCAGCACTTCGGGAGGCTGAGGCAGGGAGATCACTTCAGGTGAGGAGTTTGAGACCAGCCTGACCAACATGGTGAAACCCTGTCTCTACTAAAAATACAAAATTAGCCGGGCGTAGTGGTGCATGCCTGTAATCCCAGCTACTCAGGAGGCTAAGGCAGGAGAATCGCTTGAACCCGGAAGGCTAATGTTGCAGTAAGCCAAGATCGTGCCACTGCACTCCAGCCTGGGTGACAGAGCGAGACTCTGTCTCAAAAAAAAAAAAAAATAACAAAAGTCAAGGTGCTAATTTAATAACTTGTTTTAGAAAGTTCTCAAGTTGATATTTTTTGCTCTACTAATATTAGCATAGGTAGCATAACAGAGGGAACTTTTTTAACCTTAAAATGACAGTGGGATAGGGAATTGGGTAACATTTTACTTTGTGGCTCCTTAGAAGTACTGAAAAGCAAGTTAATGGAATTAATAGAATTAATATGATGGAGATTATATCTTTGCTTATACTTCACTAATTTATCAGCTACTAAAGTTTAATCTTTTAATTGTTTAGGTGCAAATATCTGTTAGAACAGAAGGGACAAGAATATATAAACAATATTCATTTAACTCATTCACTTGAGGAGTGTCTGGTAAGTCTCATATAATTTATATTTTCAAATTCACATTTCAAATTATAATTTATATTTTCATTATGTAGTTTATATTATATCATTTGTTTTATAGTTATTTCTTCATGTGATATTCACAGTATAGTATTATAAATCAATATATGTGTACATTACATCAAAACACAAATTTTAAGTTAAAAACAAAATAATAAATGTATGATGGGCTTTAAAGATGAGAGCTAGCTGGGCAGTGTTTCACACCTGTAATTCCAACATTTTGAGAGGCCAAGGTGAGAGGATTGCTTGAGCCCAGGAGTTTGAGATCAGCCTAGGCAACATAGTGAGACCCTGTCTCTACAAAAAATTTTAAAAACCAATTAGCCAGACTTGTGGTACATGCCTGTAGTCCCAGCTACTTGGGCGGCTGAGGCGGGAGGATCGCTTGAGCCCAGAAGGTCAGAGGATTCAGTGAGCCAGGTTCATTCCACTGTACTCCAGCCTGAGTGAGAAAGGGAAACCCTATCTCTTAAAAAAAAAAAAAAAAAAAAAGAGAGAGCCTAAAAAGTGTTTCTTATTCTTTACCTGAAGTAAATTTGTCAAAAGATAATCAGGATGAACTGATTTAAGTATCATTGTAGGCAAAAATGGGCTTGAAGAACTAAAATATTAAAAGTCCCTTAGCCTTCTGAAATTAGATCTTTGTATAATGTGCTTTGTACTCATAAGTAGTTTTAAGTTTTTGCAGACAATATTTAAAATCTCAAATATATCTAAATTGATAGGATGGGCGCTGGGCACGGTGGCTCACGCCTGTAATCCCAGCACTTTGGGAGGCCGAGGCAGATGGATCACCCAAGGTCAGGAGTTCGAGACCAGCTTGGCCAACATGATGAAACCCCGTCTCTACTAAAAATACAAAAATTTAGCTAGGCGTAATGGCGGGCGCCTGTAATCTCAGCTACTGGGGAGACTGAGGCAGGAGAATTGCTTGAACCTGGGAGGTGGAGGTTGCAGTGAGCTGAGATCACGCCACTACACTCCAGCCTGGGCAACAAGTGTGACACTCCATCTCAAAAATAAATAAATTAAATAAATAAATAAATTGATAGGATGAATTGAGGTGGCCAAGGCATCAGTAATAGGTGGAAAGAACCCTGGACTAAAATGGGAGACTAGAGTTGCCCCCAGTGACTCTACCTTGAAGTCATTCATTCTCCCTGGGCCTCAGCTTTTTGTTTGTAAAATGAAGGGATTAGATTAGATAATCTTATGACTTCCTTCTAGCTCCATCAGGCTATGCCTCTTGTGAATATTCATATATTGAATTGGAATAAAGCCAATTTATTTTAAATTTATGATTAATTTCACTTTTCAAATGGAAATGATTGCCTCTACCAAAAATAATTCTAACTTACAGTTCCTATTTCTGTTACAGGTAAGAACTACTGAGAAAACACCATCACTAACTAGAAGAATTGGTAAATATGCTTGTTAACTATCCTTTTAATTTAACTGCCAATTTATTTATTTATTTATTTATTTAGAGACAGAGTCTCACTCTGTTGCCCAGGCTGGAGTGCAGTGGTGCGATCTCAGCTCACTGCAATCTCTGCCTCCCGGGTTCAACCGATTCTCCTGCCTCAACCTCCCGAGTAGCTGGGACTACAGGCCTGCGCCACCATGCCCGGCTAACTTTTTATATTTTTAGTAGAGACGGAGTTTTACCATATTGGCCAGGCTGGTCTCAAACTCCTGATCTTGTGATGCGCCCGCCTCGGCCTTCCAAAGTGCTGGGATTACAGGCATGAGCCACCGCACCCGGCCTTTAACTGCCAATTTATTATAGTTGTTATTTATGGGGTGGAAAGATAAGCATGTTCTTCCAAGGTCACCATGATATATTTATTTCAGATGACATTACTATAAATTTAAGAATTTAGGCGGCCGGGCGTGGTAGCTCACGCCTGTAATCCCAGCCCTTTGGGAGACCGAGGCAGGCCAATCACGAGGTCAGGAGATCGAGACCATCCTGGCTAACATGGTGAAACCCCGTCTCTACTAAAAATACAAAAAAAAAATTAGCTGGATGTGGTGGCGCACACCTGTAGTCCCACGTACTTGGGAGGCTGAGGCAGGAGAATTGCCTGGCCTGAACCCAGGAGGTGGAGGTTGCAGTGAGCCGAGATCATGCCATTGCACTCAAGCCTGGCGACAGAGCGAGATTCCGTCTCAAAAAACAAAAATGAAAAAAATAATTTAATGAAGTACTTATAAATTGCAGTCAGAGGCTGGGTGCAGTGGCTGACACCTGTAATCCCAGCACTTTGGGAGGCCGAGGAGCTCAAGACCATCCTAGCCAACATGGCGAAACCCCATCTCTACTAAAAATCCAAAAATTAGCCGGGCGTGATGGTGTGCGCCTGTAATTCCAGCTACTCGGGAGGCCGAGGCGGGAGAATCGCTTGAACCTGGGCAGTGGAGATTGCAGCCAGCTGAGATCGTGCCAGTGCACTCTAGCCTGGGCAACAGGGCAAGACTCCATCTCAAAAAGAAAATAAAAGAAAAAAAAATCAGTCAGACGTGTCTGTATTAAAAATGTTAGTAGGCCATCAGATAGTTTTTCCAAGTTCAGGAGGAACACTGATAGGTTGCCTCATTGCCATCTCTGCTAAAATCACAAGAGAAAGGGTGAAGTGTCTTTTTGTACCTGGGGTTCCTTAAGTAAGCCAAAATTATTTCAGTTTTCTACTAGTGTGCCATTACCCTGATAAGCCCTAACCCACCTGCTTCTTTATCCCATACTGTCATTGTACCTTCCCCAGCTTCTTCACAGAGGTGTAAGTTTTGGTTTGTTTACCTCCTGTTACCTCATGGAGAAGTAGAGGTTTTAAAACTCAAAAAGTGGGCAGAGAAAGATATTATGCTAAGCAAGGAAGGTAATTGTTATCCCCACTTTTCAGATGAAGAAAGAGTCAGAGAGGTTAAGTGACTTGCGCACAATCACATTACAAATAGTTAGTGGAACTAGGACCACAAGCAAGGTCTTCTGAATCCTACATCACAGGGCAGATCTCATTTTCAACTTAGGCATATTTCAAAAGTAGTAGAAAGTTTAATTTAGAATATGTCTAGTGATTCCCCACTTCCTAAACTGGTACCATCATCTATTTAGTATCTTAAGAATTACAAGCGGCTGGGTGTGGTGGCTCACGCCTATAATCCCAGCACTTTGGGAGGCCAAGGCAGGTGGATCACCTGAGGTCCAGAGTTCCAGACCAGCCCGGCCAACATGGTGAAACTCCGTCTCTACTAAAAATACAAAATTAGCTGAGTGTGGTGCTGCACGCCTGTAATCCCAGCTACTTGGGAGGCTGGGGCAGGAGAATTGCTTGAACCTGGGAGGCAGAGGTTGCAGTGAGCCAAGACCACGCCATTGCACTACACCCTGGGCAAAAAGGAGCAAAACTCTACCTCAAAAAAAAAAAGAAAAATACAAAAATTACCAGGGCGTGGTGGCACACACCTATAGTTCCAGCTACTTGGGAGGCTGAGGCATAAAAATTTCTTGAACCTGGAAGGCGGAGGTTTCTGTGAGCTGAGATCATGCTACTGCACTCCAGCCTGGGTGATGGACCGAGATTCTATCTCAAACATAAATAAGTAAATAAATAAATAAATAAATAAATAAATAAATAAATAAAACATAAATTCAGCTCCATGACTGCTCCTGCAGAGCAGGGCTACCCACTACGCAGTGAGTGGCATTACTACTATTTAATTGCAGAACACTATCATTACCCCAACAAGAAACTCCATGCTCACCCATCAACAGTCATTCTCCATTGCCCACCCTACCCCTAGGCCAGGGCAACCAGTAATCTACTTTCTGTCTCTATGGACTTGCCTATTCTGGACATTTAATGTAAATGGAATAATGTAATATGTGTCCTCAAGGTGTATCCATGTTGTAGCATATATGAGTACTTCATTCTTTTCTATTGTAGAAAAAGAGTCCATTGTATAAATAATACCACATTTTGTTTATCCATTTGTCAGTTGACATTTGGCTTGTTTCTACTTTTTGACTATTATGAATGATGGTTCTATGAACATTTGTGCATAAGTTTTTGTATAGACATGTTATATACCCAGTTCTCTTGGGCATATATCCAGGGATGGAATTGCTGGGTCATGTGGTTATTCTATATTTAACCTTTTGATAAACTATCAGACAGATTTCCAAAGTGACTGCACCCTTTAACATTCCTACCAGAAGTGTATGAGGATTTCATTTTCTCTACATTCATTATCTGTCTTATTTATCACAGCCATTCTAGTGGATGTGACATGGTATCTCATTGTGGTTTTGTTTTGCATTTCCCTGATGATTAATGATATTGAGCATCTTTTCATGTGCCTATTGGCCATTTGTAAATCTTTGTAGAAACGTCTGTTCATCTCCTTTGACTTTTTTTTTTTTTTTTGAGACGGAGTCTTGCTCTGTCACCTAGGCTGGAGTGCAGTGGTAAGATCTTGGCTGATTGCAACCTCCGCCTCCTGGGTTCAAGCGATCCTCCTGACTCAGCCTCCCTAGTAGCTAGGATTACAGGTGCTCACCACCATACCTGGCTAATTTTTGTATTTTTAGTAGGGACGGGGTTTCGCTATATTAGCCAGGCTGGTCTTGAACTCCTGACCTCAGGTGATCCACCCACGTTGGGCTCCCAAAGTGCTGGGATTACAGGTGTGAGCCACCATGCCCGACCCATTTTTTATTTTTTCTTTTTTTTGAGACAGGGTCTTGCTCAGTCACCTGGGCTGGAGTGCAATAGTACAGTCATGCTCACTGTGGCCTCGACCTCCCTGGCTCAAGCAATTCTGCTGCCTCAGTCTTCCGGGTAGCTGGGACTACGGGTGTGCGCCACCACACCCAGTTAATTTTTGTATTTTTTATAGAGAGAAGGTTTCGCCATTGTTGCCCTGGTGGTCTCGAACCCCTGGGCTCAAACAATCTGCCTCCCTTGGCCTCCCAAAGTGCTGGGATTACAGGTGTGATCCACTGTGCCCAGCCTTGACCATTTTTTATTTGGGTTGTCCTTTTTCTACTGAACAGTCTAGGGGGATGGGTTATCTTTTTGTTATTGAGTTAAAAGAGATCTTTATATATTACAGTTCTTTTTTTTGGCTTCTTTTACTTTCTAAATGAAGATGATAGTTATTTATATATAAAAGTTCCTGTCAGATTTATGATTTGCAAGTATTTTCTCCCATTCTGTGGGTTTCCTTTTTTTTTTTTTTTTCCCAAGACGGAGTCTTGCTCTGTTGCCCAGTCTGGATTGCAGAGGCATGATCTCTGCTCACTGCAACCTCCGCCTCCCGGGCTCAAGCAATTCTCCTTCCTTAGCCTCCAGAGTAGCTGTGATTACAGGTGTGCACCACCATGGCTGGCTAATTTTTTTTGTATTTTTAGTGGAGATGGGGTTTCACCATGTTGGCCAGGCTTGTCTCAAACTCCTGACCTCGTGATCTGCCCACCTCAGCCTCCCAAAGTGCTGGAATTACAGGCGTGAGCCACTGCACCCGGCCACCTTTTTCACTTTCTTGGTGTTCTTCGAAGCATAAACGTCTTTAATTTTTTTTTTTTTTTTTTTTTGAGACGGAGTTTTGCTCTTGTTGCCCAGGCTGGAGTGCAATGGTGCCATCTCAGCTCACCACAACCTCCGCCTCCCAGGTTCAAGCAATTCTCCTGCCTCTGCCTCCCCAGTAGCTGGGATTACAGGCGTGCACCACCATGCCTGGCTAATTTTGTATTTTTAGTAGAGACGGGGTTTCTCCATGTTGAGGCTCGTCTCGAACTCCTGACCTCAGGTGATCCGCCTGCCTCGGACTCCCAAAGTGCTGGGATTACAGGCGTGAGCCACCGTGCCCAGCGAAACATCTTTAATTTTTATGACATCCAATTTATCTATTTTTCTGTGTGTGTTGCTCATGCTTTTAATGTCATATTTAAGAAACCATTGCCTAATCCAGGGTCACCAAGGTTTATACCTATGTTTTCTTCTAAGAGTTTTATGGTGTTATATCTTACATTCTGGTCTTTGATCCATTTTGAGTTAATTTTTGTATATGGTATCAGGTAGGGGTCCACGTCCTTTTTGTTTTTAGCAAGTTGAGTTTGAGATACCTGCAGGACATTGAAGTAGGAGGATAATAAAACCTTGTATAAAGGAGAGTAAGATGTTGCTGGTAGGGAAAGTGTCTGGAAAGACTTTTTTTTTTTTTCCGGAGACGGAGCCTCGCTCTGTCACCCAGGCTGGAGTGCAGTAGTGCGATCTTGGCTCACTGCAACCACCGACTCCCGGGTTCAAGCGATTCTCCTGCATCAGCCTCCCCAGTAGCTGGGACTACAGGCACATGCCACTGCGCCCGGCTAATTTTTGTATTTTTAGTAGAGACAGGGTTTCGCCATGTTGGCCAGGCTGGTCTTGAACTCCTGACCTCAGGTGATCCACCTCAGCCTCCCAAAGTGGTGGGATTACAGGCGTGAGCCACTGTGCCCAGCTGGAAAGACCATTTTTCAGAAGGGTCGATGAGGGAATGGAAGGGAGCCACCAACATCTAATTAGGTGGGCACAAGTAATGGAGCAACAAAACAAACTGAAAATAAAAACAAGTCAAAGATAGGAGAAGCAGGAAAGAGCAATGTCTAGTTGCCCTCTGGACATTTCCACCTAGAATGCATCTCTAAAAACCACTCAGACTGAATCTAATCCTGCACTTTTTTCTCCTGTATTGGTTAATAGTACCACAGTTCACAAGGTTGCCCAGTAATTTATGTTGTTCCTAAGCTCTTTGCTCTCTGTAATCCTTTTACATTTAATTAATCATCAAATTTGATGGATTCCACCTTTTTAATGTTGCTTCAGACTTTCCCACTTATTCTGCTCTAGTTCAGGCCCTTCCTTGTTTTTCAACTGGACAATTGTAGTAGTCTCCTAACTGGTCTTTTGTCTGTATTATAACCTGCCAACAGAGTTTTTCTTTTTGTTTGTTTGTTTTTGTTTGTTTTGTTTTTTTGTTTTTCTGAGACGGAGTCTCGCTCCGTCACCGAGGCTGGAGTGCAGTGGCGCGATCTCGGCTCACCGCAACCTCCACCTCCGGGGGTCACGCCATTCTCCTGCCTCAGCCTCCTGAGTAGCCGGGACTACAGGCGCCCACCACTATGCCCGGGTAATTTTTTTTTTTATTTTTTGGTATTTTTTGCAGAGACGGGGTTTTGAACTCCTAGGCTCAAGCGATCTGCCCGTCTTAGCCTCCCGAAATGCTGGGACTACAGACGTGGGCCACCATGCCCAGCCTTATCTTTTATTTTTATTTTTTAATATAGATAGGGTCACACTTTGTTGACCAGGGTGGTTTCAAACTCCAGGCCTCAAGGAATCCCCCTTGGCCTCCCCAAAGTGCTGGGATTACAGGTGTGAGCCACTGCACCCAGCCTCCTCTCTTTCAAAAAACATTTATTGAGCTATAATATACATACAGTAGCCGGGCGCAGTGGCTCACGCCTGTAATCCCAGCACTTTGGGAAGTTGAGGCAGGTGGATCACGAGGTCAGGAGTTCGAGAGCAGCCTGGCCAATATAGTGAAACCCCATCTCTACTAAATATACAAAAAAATTAGCCAGGCGTGGTGGTGCATGCCTGTAATCCCAGCTACTCGAGAGGCTGAGGCAAGAGAATTGCTTGAACCTGGGAGGTGGAGGTTGCAGTGAGCCGAGACGCGCCATTACACTCCGGCCTGGGTGACAGAGCGAGACTACGTCTCAAAAAAAAAAAAAAAAAAAAAAAAAATATATATATATATATATATATGATTTTATATATATATGATTTTATATATATATGATTGTGTATATATATATGATTTTGTATATATATATGATTTTGTATATATATATGATTTTGTATATATATGATTTTGTATATATATATGATTTTGTATATATATACACACGCACACATACACACATAAAGTGCTTAAAGTACCCTAATCGTAAGTTTTCTACTTGATGAATTTTAACATATATATGTTAAAATATATATTAAATATGTGTTAAATATATATTAAAATGTATATGTTAAAATATATATATTTATCTGTGTGACTATCCCCCAGATTAAGATATAGAACATTCCCACAACCCTAGAAAGTTCTTTCATGCTCCTTCCCCATCAGTACCCACCCCCAAGTTATATTCTGGCTTCTATTACCATAGATTAATTTTGTTTATTACCATAGATTAGTTTTGAAGTTCTTATAAATGGACTCATGCAGTAGGTACTCTTTTGTGTCATAATGATGAATTATGATTATGTTTTGCTCATTATATCTATGAGATCCATCCATATTGTC
This sequence comes from Homo sapiens, assembly GCF_000001405.40. Lineage (NCBI taxonomy): Eukaryota > Metazoa > Chordata > Mammalia > Primates > Hominidae > Homo > Homo sapiens. Next base: position 123,899,708 of record NC_000023.11, read on the forward strand.
TGTGGCAATAGTTTTTTTTTTTTTTCTTGCTGTGTAGCGTATGAATATACCACAATTTATGTATCTGTTCACCTGATGATGGACATTTGAGTTGTTTCCAGTTTGGGGCTATTATAAATAACACTACTATGAATACTCTTGTGCATATCTTTGGCAGAGATATACACTCATTTTTAATACCCAAGAGTGGAATTGATGAGTCAGAGGGTATAAGTGTCCTCTCCTAGCACTTCCCTACACATGCTGTGTTCCTACTTTAAGTATCATAAAAACAAGTTTCCATTGACTTTCTTGCTTTATTCAGTCCTACCCGCTCTGCTACAGAAACGAAGTTTGAGAGCTAGGAAATTGACACATTCAAGGTTATAGACTGGGACTTCCCTGATTTCCCATCATTTTCCCCAAATAATTGCTAGTGACTCAGTAACAACATCCACTCTTTAAGTAACTTAGGTTAATTGTTAATGAGTACAGCTAGATTCAAAACAGTTCAGATTTTTGAAGCACTTAACCTTTTTCTTGCCTATTTTACCTTGCATCGTTTCAAACACTACAAAATACATACTCATTGCATTTACAATTAATTGTAAGATTCTGAAAGTGATTTTTCAGTGCCTGAATACTTCAAAAAATCTTCCCAAAGCAGCTTTGCTTTGCTGGTTTGTTTTTATTCTTTCGCTTGCTCCTTAATTTTTTCATTTTAACTATATTTTGCTATTGAGTTGTGATAATGAAAATAATTGTTTAAATTCTATGTTCTTTTTCCTCACCAATTTTTATTTCAGATGATACCATCTTCCAAAATCCTATGGTACAAGAAGCTATACGAATGGGGTTCAGTTTCAAGGACATTAAGAAAATAATGGAGGAAAAAATTCAGATATCTGGGAGCAACTATAAATCACTTGAGGTTCTGGTTGCAGATCTAGTGAATGCTCAGAAAGACAGTATGCAAGATGAGTCAAGTCAGACTTCATTACAGAAAGGTATGCATTGCTGTTTTTAAAAAGCAAGAAAGGGCCAGATGTGGTGGCTCATACCTGTAATCCCAGCACTTTGGGAGGCTGGGACAGGTGGATATGGACATTTTTTAAACGTAACCTTAATGCTGTGTGTTAGTCTGCTCAAGCTGCTATAATAAAATTCCATAGACTAGGTGTCTTAAACAACAGACTTATTTCTGACAGTTTTGGAGGCTCCAAAATCAAGGTGCTGGCTGATTTGGTTATTGATGAGGGCCCTCTTCCTACCTTGCAGATGGCTGCCTTCTCACTGTGTCCTCACATGGCATGGGTTGGGATTGGATGGGACAAGATGGAGCAAGTACTCTGGTCTCTTTTCCTCTACTTTTAGGAACACTAATCCCATCATGGGGGGGTCTCATCTTCATGACCTCATCTAAACCTAATTACTTCCCAAAGGCCTCATTTCCAAATATCATTACATTAATCATGGAAAAAAGATTAAAAATATGAGTTCTACCAGCCTGGACAACATAATGAAACTGTCTCTACAAAAAATACAAAAATTAGCCGGGCATGGTGGTGTGTGCCTGTAGTCCCAGCTCCTTGGGAGGCTGAGCGGGGAAGATCACCTGAGCCAGGGAGGTCAAGGCTGCAGTGAGCCATGATCATGCCACTACACTTCGGCCTGGGCAACTGAGCAAGATCTTGTCTCAAAATATATGTATCTCTCCTTTAAGGATGATGGACACTGTAGTGCTTGCCAACAACATCGAAGGTTAAAGAAGAAGTTTCAAACTGAGTACACTTTTGGGTACTTTACCTGTAATAGTTCTCTAAGCTCTTGACCATCCTCCCTCCAAAAAGATGAGAATTCTCCTACTGCTAAAAAAACTTAAACGTTTACTTATTTTTGACGCATTTAAGATCCTTTTGATCTTTAAGATATTTCAAGTGCTTTTGAAACACTATTCAGATAATCGTATAAGTTATGAAACAGTATGAACATTAATGATATTTAAAATTATATTCATTGATGTAAGAATCAATGGAAAGCTTCCAATTTTTTCCTTATAGATGCATTTATTTAAAACTTACACAAGCTCCACTTATCTTGGTGGTGGTAAAATAAACCCTTTAATTGTCATCTTTCTTTCTTTTTTTAATTTTTTATTTGTTTTAAGACGGAGTCTCACTCTGTCGCCCAGGCTGGAGTGCAATGGCACGATCTTGGCTCACTGCAACCTCCGCCTCCCCAGCTCAAGCGATTCTCCTGCCTCACCCTCCCGAGTAGCTGGAATTACAGGCATGTGCCACCACGCCCGGCTAATTTTTTGTATTTTCAGTAGAGACAGGGTTTCGCCAAGTTGGCCGGGCTGGAATTTTTCTACTATAACAGAAACACAAGCAATTGTGTCATTTTTTTCCTGCATCTTAAACACGCGCTTAATTGTTTGGCCATAAATTGTTAGTTTTCAAACCTTAATGTATCTGCAGCAGAAGGGTTTAGCAGGTTGTAATAGGAAGAGATCAAGAGACTGTGCATTAGGGAGAGTGTCTTTTCTCTATCTAACAGGAGTCAATGGGCGCTCATATTATCACTGAGACTACAAACTAGGATGGTGTGGGAAGGAGAGCCTAAGGGTTGGAATTCATTTGAACTCTCCTCAGTCTCACTAAATTGAGAGGCAAGTAATTGATACAGGCTCTCTACTCATGCTGGGACTGCTGCCTATTTGTCTTCCCAAAAGCTGATGAGGAAAGACTGGCACTAAGAATCTTTTAATTTTATATAAAATAAGGATGGGGCTAACTGAAGTGAAGCAGGTGAGGGTTATTAGAGAAAATATAACATTGTCACTTACTGAGAAATCCTAGATTTAGTGCTAAACTTTTTTGCCAATGGCTGTGTAACAGAGAATGCCCTAGTAAAAGGTCTTGTAAAAATAGTACCGAATCAGTATCTTTTTTTCTTTCTTTGAAAAAATTATGTAGTGTAAGATAAAGCCCTTTATTTAGTATATGTACTAAAGTACTTATTTTAATCTTTATGTGTATATATATTACTGTATATAATATAAAAATCAAATAACCCATATTCATTTCTTATCTGTCTTTCCATATGAATCTGCTCTAATAGTAAAATGAATAACATCAGTTTATTCTAGAAGAGGTTTTAAATAATTACAAATATTAGCAAATAACATCAAAAGTTATCTAGCCTTTATTGCTCATGTGCCAGTAACCTTCTGACCTAGAAGAGGGCTTTGTGGGGAGGAGAAGGGGAAAGGCGCTGTAGAGAAGTATGTAGAATCCAGTAGTTACCTTTAAGCCAAGAGGGAAGTAATTGCCAGTGGTAAACTACTGGTCTGAGGGGAAAAGATCTATGCCCAGAATATCACCATCTCAAGTTAGTGGCTTTATACAAGGATGAAATAATATAGAAAAAAATGAGATGATATGGTATCACAAACAATCAGAACCAAAGGAACCTTAAAGATTATTTTATAATTTTTTTTTTTTTTTTTTTTTTTTGGAGACGGAGTTTCACTTTTGTTGCCCAGGCTGGAATGCAATGGTGCAATCTTGGCTCACTGCAACCTCCACCTCCCGGGTTCAAGCAATTCTCCTGCCTCAGCCTCCTGAGTAGCTGGGATTATAGGCATGTGCCACCACACCCTGTTAATTTTGTATTTTTAGTAGAGACGGGGTTTCTCCATGTTGGTCAGGCCGGTCTCCAACTTCCAACCTCAGGTGATCTGCCCGCCTCGGCCTCATAAAGTGCTGGGATTACAGGCATGAACCACTGCACCCAGCCCATTTTATAACTTTTATGACCTTAATTGGGAACCTGAAGTACAGATGGGCTGTTGCCTAGGATCACGCCGATAGTTGGGAATAGAATTCAGATTTCCTGACTTCTGGTCCAGTGTTTTGGGGTTTGTTTCAGTTTTTTTTTTTGTTTTGTTTTTTGTTTTTTTTAGATTTTAAAAAATTGTGATAAAATACACATACAGTTTACCATCTTAACCATTTTTAGTGTATGGTTCCGTAGTGTTAAGTACATTTACATTGTTGCACAGTCAACCTCCAGAACTCTTCATCTTGCAAAACCGAAACTCTACATCCATTAAACAGCCAGGCGTGGTGGCACACGCCTGTAGTTCCAGCTGCTTGGGAGGCTGAGGCAGGAGGATTGCTTGAGACCAGGAGCTCAAGGCTGCAATGAGCTGTGATTGCACCACTGCTCTCCAGCCTGGGATACAGAGCAAGACCCTATCTTTAAAAAATAATAATAATAATAAAAACATGTTCATTAAACAACTCCCCATTCCCTCTCTTCCCAACCCCTGGCAACTACCATTTTACTTTTTGTCTCTATAAATTTGACTACTCTAGGTGTCAGTATTGTTGTTGCTTTGTTTGTTTGTTTGTTTCTTCCTTTTTGTGGAGAACGGGGTCTCACTATATTGCTCAGGCAGGTCTCGAACTCCTGGGCTCAAGCTATCCTCCCGCCTCTGCCTCCCTGAGAGCTGGGATTATAGGCGTGAGCCACCGCGCCCAGCCTGTTTGTTTGTTTTTAACTCGTTGTAGCATTACATCTAAAAGTAATGTGGAAATTACTTGTTCTCCTTTTGATTTTTTTGGCATGAAATACACACTTCATTCTGACTTTTTTTGGTGTTGATGCTTTCTTATAATATAAATCAGCTTATAGTGCCGTTTCTTTACTTGTATTTTTTCCTCTGCCTTGAGTACGTTTTCTCTATCTGTATACCTAGTCCCATTCCCCACTCTACCCCCAACTCCCTGAATCTACTTTGTGAACTCATGTTTCAAGGTTCAGCTCAGAAGTCACTTCTTTCAAGTTTTCTCCCGCACCCACAGCAGAGTTAGGAGCTCCTTCTTATCTACTCCTGGTGCTGGTAGAGTTTTGTTTTGTTTTATTTTGTTTTGTTTTGTTTTTCTTGAGACAGGGTCTCGCTCTGTCGCCCAGGCTGGAGTGCAGTGGCACACAATCTCAGCTCACTGCAACCTCTATCTCTCAGGTTCAAGCGATTCTGCTGCCTCAGCCTCCCGAGTAGCTGGGATTACAGGCATGCGCCACCACACCCAGCTAATTTTTTTTGTGTGTATTTTTAGTAGAGATGGGGTTTCACCATGTTGGCCAGGCTAGTCTTGAACTCCTGACCTCAAATGATCTGCCCGCCTCAGCCTCCCAAAGTGCTGGGATTACAGGCGTGAGCCACCAGGCCTGGCTGAGCATTTTGCTTTTTACACTATTTTGGGACTGGTTTCTGCCCTGCCCATTAGACCAAGCTTCTTAAGGGTAAGTGCTTTATCTTCTTATCTCTGATGCATTCCATGTTTGAGCCTATAGTTTTTATTATGCCCAAGAGGGTACTTTTTAAGAAGAAAGAGATTAAACAATCCTTTCCTCTACCCCCTAGCCAGAGAAACCTTTCTGAGACATAGATGTGATCATATCTGTCTCTAGTTTAAAACCCTTCACTGCCTCCCAGGACCCTTGGGATCAAGTCCAAACTCCTTTACGTGGCTCGCCTAATCTTTCATGATCAGGCACCCTTTTGTAGCCTCATCTCATGCTATTTTCTCAAATTCTGTGCCCAAGCTTTGCCTGTGCACTTGTAGGCCACGTTCTGTCTCTCTCCTTGGAGCTTGTTTATGCTGTTTCCTTTGCCTAAAACACTTTTCTCCCATTGCCCTTATCCCCCAAGGCCTCCTTCTCCTAGTAAACTCCTAATTCATTCTTTTGTACCCAGTTTTAGGTATAATTTCCTCCAGGAGGCCTTCGTTTATGCATGCATGCACACACACGCACACACACCCTTCCTGTGCTCTTCATAACACATTGTAATTACCTTTGTCATCATACCATTTATACTTTCCTGTTTGCTTGTGTTCTTTACTTGTCTATGAACTATTGGGGGCCTGAGGTTTATGTATTTGTTAATTGTATCCCTAGTACCTAGAACCTAGTTAAGTGTCCAGTAAGTATTTCTTGAATAAACTATTGTTTTCCAAACATGTTTTCAGAATAGTGTTCAGCAGGATGTTAAAAGGATGCCATGAAAAAGGAACCCCATAGTTAAATAGGGAAATGCCTTGTACATTTCTAAGAGGGAACATAGACTATACTGTCCTATATTGTACTGTACTGCCCTGTCCTGGATGACAGTGGTTCTCAAACGCCAGTGTGCCCAACCCCAGAAATTTTAGATTCTGTGAATGGAGCCCAGAAATCCGTGGTTTAAAAATGCCCCAGGTTATTCTCATGTGAGGCCATATTTGGAAACCACTGGTACATAATGATTATAAAGATGCTAAAATAAATAAATAGTTGTGATCACAAAGGTATAGTTAAAATATGTAATGCATTTGGAATAGTGCCTAGCACGTACTATTTATGCAATATTACTGGTAACTGCTGCTGCTGTTGTCATTATTGTTATATGTGACCATGAAACACATGTTTTGTGGCATATTTATTCACATTTCACAAAACTATTTTGGGAAAGGCTGAATTAAGCAAGTACTTCAGTGCCACCTATATGCTGATGACATCCAGATCTCTATCTCTAGCCCTGACTTCTCCTGACCTCAAGATTTGACTCTTCAGTTGCCTACTGGTTATTTTTATATGGGTGTCCTGAAAACACCTCAAAAATATCTGAAGATCCCAAACCTGTACCTCCTTTTATATTTCTTATTGGCATCACCATATCCTTGTCAGCCAAGCTAGCAATCTTGTAATCAACTTTAGTTTGTCTTTCTTCTTCAGCCCTCATATCCAGTCAGTCACCCAATCCTACTTGTCCCACTTCAGAAGTGTCCCTCAAATCCATCCCTCTATTTCTGGAATTAGTCGTGACCTTTCCATATGCTGCTCCTTTTACCTAACCCTTGTTTTTCTGCCTGGCAAATGACTGTCCATGCTTAAATGTCACTCCTCCACTTCCCTCCTCCCCCGATCCAGCCACTGCCAACCTGTGAAGCCTTCTCCAACTAGCCTGAGCAGAAGAACTTGTTTTCTCATCTTGTCCCAGAGCACTTTGTACATAACTTTATTATAGCACTTATCACTTTGTACTTTGTGCTTAACCTCCTAGCCTCATCTTACATCCTCTCCCACTAGCGTGTGAGCTATTTAAGAGCAGATGCCACGGGTGAGTCATCCTCATATCTCCCGGCACTTGTTGGGTGCTTGGCACGTAGTAGGGGCTCAATAAATGTTTTCAATGAATTTAAACAACTAAGAGAGTCTAAAACTAGCATAATTATTTTCTCTTTTTGCAGAGATTAGTACTGAAGAGCAGCTAAGGCGCCTGCAAGAGGAGAAGCTTTGCAAAATCTGTATGGATAGAAATATTGCTATCGTTTTTGTTCCTTGTGGACATCTAGTCACTTGTAAACAATGTGCTGAAGCAGTTGACAAGTGTCCCATGTGCTACACAGTCATTACTTTCAAGCAAAAAATTTTTATGTCTTAATCTAACTCTATAGTAGGCATGTTATGTTGTTCTTATTACCCTGATTGAATGTGTGATGTGAACTGACTTTAAGTAATCAGGATTGAATTCCATTAGCATTTGCTACCAAGTAGGAAAAAAAATGTACATGGCAGTGTTTTAGTTGGCAATATAATCTTTGAATTTCTTGATTTTTCAGGGTATTAGCTGTATTATCCATTTTTTTTACTGTTATTTAATTGAAACCATAGACTAAGAATAAGAAGCATCATACTATAACTGAACACAATGTGTATTCATAGTATACTGATTTAATTTCTAAGTGTAAGTGAATTAATCATCTGGATTTTTTATTCTTTTCAGATAGGCTTAACAAATGGAGCTTTCTGTATATAAATGTGGAGATTAGAGTTAATCTCCCCAATCACATAATTTGTTTTGTGTGAAAAAGGAATAAATTGTTCCATGCTGGTGGAAAGATAGAGATTGTTTTTAGAGGTTGGTTGTTGTGTTTTAGGATTCTGTCCATTTTCTTTTAAAGTTATAAACACGTACTTGTGCGAATTATTTTTTTAAAGTGATTTGCCATTTTTGAAAGCGTATTTAATGATAGAATACTATCGAGCCAACATGTACTGACATGGAAAGATGTCAAAGATATGTTAAGTGTAAAATGCAAGTGGCAAAACACTATGTATAGTCTGAGCCAGATCAAAGTATGTATGTTTTTAATATGCATAGAACAAAAGATTTGGAAAGATATACACCAAACTGTTAAATGTGGTTTCTCTTCGGGGAGGGGGGGATTGGGGGAGGGGCCCCAGAGGGGTTTTATAGGGGCCTTTTCACTTTCTACTTTTTTCATTTTGTTCTGTTCGAATTTTTTATAAGTATGTATTACTTTTGTAATCAGAATTTTTAGAAAGTATTTTGCTGATTTAAAGGCTTAGGCATGTTCAAACGCCTGCAAAACTACTTATCACTCAGCTTTAGTTTTTCTAATCCAAGAAGGCAGGGCAGTTAACCTTTTTGGTGCCAATGTGAAATGTAAATGATTTTATGTTTTTCCTGCTTTGTGGATGAAAAATATTTCTGAGTGGTAGTTTTTTGACAGGTAGACCATGTCTTATCTTGTTTCAAAATAAGTATTTCTGATTTTGTAAAATGAAATATAAAATATGTCTCAGATCTTCCAATTAATTAGTAAGGATTCATCCTTAATCCTTGCTAGTTTAAGCCTGCCTAAGTCACTTTACTAAAAGATCTTTGTTAACTCAGTATTTTAAACATCTGTCAGCTTATGTAGGTAAAAGTAGAAGCATGTTTGTACACTGCTTGTAGTTATAGTGACAGCTTTCCATGTTGAGATTCTCATATCATCTTGTATCTTAAAGTTTCATGTGAGTTTTTACCGTTAGGATGATTAAGATGTATATAGGACAAAATGTTAAGTCTTTCCTCTACCTACATTTGTTTTCTTGGCTAGTAATAGTAGTAGATACTTCTGAAATAAATGTTCTCTCAAGATCCTTAAAACCTCTTGGAAATTATAAAAATATTGGCAAGAAAAGAAGAATAGTTGTTTAAATATTTTTTAAAAAACACTTGAATAAGAATCAGTAGGGTATAAACTAGAAGTTTAAAAATGCTTCATAGAACGTCCAGGGTTTACATTACAAGATTCTCACAACAAACCTATTGTAGAGGTGAGTAAGGCATGTTACTACAGAGGAAAGTTTGAGAGTAAAACTGTAAAAAATTATATTTTTGTTGTACTTTCTAAGAGAAAGAGTATTGTTATGTTCTCCTAACTTCTGTTGATTACTACTTTAAGTGATATTCATTTAAAACATTGCAAATTTATTTTATTTATTTAATTTTCTTTTTGAGATGGAGTCTTGCTTGTCACCCAGGCTGGAGTGCAGTGGAGTGATCTCTGCTCACTGCAACCTCCGCCTTCTGGGTTCAAGCGATTCTCGTGCCTCAGCTTCCTGAGTAGCTGGAATTACAGGCAGGTGCCACCATGCCCGACTAATTTTTTTTTATTTTTAGTAGAGACGGGGTTTCACCATGTTGGCCAGGCTGGTATCAAACTCCTGACCTCAAGAGATCCACTCGCCTTGCCCTCCCAAAGTGCTGGGATTACAGGCTTGAGCCACCACGCCCGGCTAAAACATTGCAAATTTAAATGAGAGTTTTAAAAATTAAATAATGACTGCCCTGTTTCTGTTTTAGTATGTAAATCCTCAGTTCTTCACCTTTGCACTGTCTGCCACTTAGTTTGGTTATATAGTCATTAACTTGAATTTGGTCTGTATAGTCTAGACTTTAAATTTAAAGTTTTCTACAAGGGGAGAAAAGTGTTAAAATTTTTAAAATATGTTTTCCAGGACACTTCACTTCCAAGTCAGGTAGGTAGTTCAATCTAGTTGTTAGCCAAGGACTCAAGGACTGAATTGTTTTAACATAAGGCTTTTCCTGTTCTGGGAGCCGCACTTCATTAAAATTCTTCTAAAACTTGTATGTTTAGAGTTAAGCAAGACTTTTTTTCTTCCTCTCCATGAGTTGTGAAATTTAATGCACAACGCTGATGTGGCTAACAAGTTTATTTTAAGAATTGTTTAGAAATGCTGTTGCTTCAGGTTCTTAAAATCACTCAGCACTCCAACTTCTAATCAAATTTTTGGAGACTTAACAGCATTTGTCTGTGTTTGAACTATAAAAAGCACCGGATCTTTTCCATCTAATTCCGCAAAAATTGATCATTTGCAAAGTCAAAACTATAGCCATATCCAAATCTTTTCCCCCTCCCAAGAGTTCTCAGTGTCTACATGTAGACTATTCCTTTTCTGTATAAAGTTCACTCTAGGATTTCAAGTCACCACTTATTTTACATTTTAGTCATGCAAAGATTCAAGTAGTTTTGCAATAAGTACTTATCTTTATTTGTAATAATTTAGTCTGCTGATCAAAAGCATTGTCTTAATTTTTGAGAACTGGTTTTAGCATTTACAAACTAAATTCCAGTTAATTAATTAATAGCTTTATATTGCCTTTCCTGCTACATTTGGTTTTTTCCCCTGTCCCTTTGATTACGGGCTAAGGTAGGGTAGAGTGGGTGTAGTGAGTGTATATAATGTGATTTGGCCCTGTGTATTATGATATTTTGTTATTTTTGTTGTTATATTATTTACATTTCAGTAGTTGTTTTTTGTGTTTCCATTTTAGTGGATAAAATTTGTATTTTGAACTATGAATGGAGACTACCGCCCCAGCATTAGTTTCACATGATATACCCTTTAAACCCGAATCATTGTTTTATTTCCTGATTACACAGGTGTTGAATGGGGAAAGGGGCTAGTATATCAGTAGGATATACTATGGGATGTATATATATCATTGCTGTTAGAGAAATGAAATAAAATGGGGCTGGGCTCAGTGGCTCACGCCTGTAATCCCAGCACTTTGGGAGGCTGAGGCAGGTGGATCACGAGGTCAGGAGATCGAGACCATCCTGGCTAACACGGTGAAACCCCGTCTCTACTAAAAAACAGAAAATTAGCCGGGCGTGGTGGCGGGCGCCTGTAGTCCCAGCTACTCGGGAGGCTGAGGCAGGAGAATGGTGTGAACCCGGGAGGCAGAGCTTGCAGTGAGCCGAGATCTCGCCACTGCACTCCAGCCTGGGCAACAGAGCAAGACTCTGTCTCAAAAAAAAAAAAAAAAGAAATAAGAAAATGGGAAGCAATATTTGACATAGTTCTTTTTAGTCAAATCTACTTGTTAAAAAAAGGGTAGCAGTTTATTCATCTGTGAAAGGAAAATAATACTTATCTTACAAGGTTGCAAGAGCTCAAGGAGACCATGTATGTAAAGTTCCTGCTGTAAATATGAACTCCCATCCTAATACCCTTTTACCTCTCTGTGGGTTTGTCTTGACCTGGAAATTTGGGCTAAAACTTAGAAAAAATTCTTACATGATAACTCAGTGATGCTTACTCATAGTTTTTGGTGTTTCTCATAGATAAGATATAAATCAGCTGGGCGCGGTGGCTCATGCCTGTAATCCCAGCACTTTGGGAGGCCGAGGCGGGCAGATCACCTGAGGTCGGGAGGTCGAGACCAGCCTGACCAACATGGAGAAACCCCGTCTCTACTAAAAATACAAAATTAGCTGGGCGTGGTGGCTCATGCCTGTAATCCCAGCTACTTGGGAGGCTGAGGCAGGAGAATCGCTTGAACCCAGGAGGCGGAGGTTGTGGTGAGCGAAGATCGTGCCATTGCACTCCAGCCTGGGCAACAAGAGCAAAACTCTGTCTCAAAAAAAAAAAAAGATATAAATCACAATAAATAAATAGGTCAATACAAATGTTAGCCAGGCGTGGTGGCACATGCCCATAGTCGCAGCTACTCTGGAGGCAGAGGCAGGAGGATCACTTGAGCCCATGAATTTGAGGCAGCAGTGAGCTATGATTGTGCCACTGTACTCCAGTCTGGGTGACAGAGTGAGACCCCATCTCTAAATAAATAGGTCAAACCCTTAAAAATATTTAAATTCTTAAAAAATTGAAAAGATTATTCTTCTCAAATTTAGTTGAGCTTTCTAAGAGAAGCAATTGGCTTTTTCCCACTTCAATAATCATTTTCAGTTTGACTCATACAGTTAACACAATGTGAATTTCTTCCTCAGCATAACAGAGTTATAGAATGACAGGGCTGGAAGTGACCTTAGAGAGTATCCAGTTCTTTCATTTTACAGGTGAGGCAACTGAGACTCAAAGGTGATGTAATTTGTGCAAAGATTATAGCTAATTAGTAGCAGAGCCCTGACTGGGACATAGTTTGAAGGTGAAAAACTTCACCAAGCTACCTTTCTTGAAAGGTCCAAATGTTTATGTTTTCAACTACTCTTTCCACTGTACCATAACTTTCACTACATATTAAATGACACTTTATAACTAATATAATAGGACAATCATCAATGCATATATAGCCAGCCCTTCATATCTGTGGGTTTTGCATCCATGGATTCAACCAAGGAGGAATTGAAAACACTGAGAAAAAAAAAAAAGACCACACAATAAAAAAAAAAAATACAAAATAATACAAAGAAAAAGCCAAAATTGTCATACTGTTGTTAAGCAACAGTATAACAACTATTTACATAGCATTAAGGTTGGTGCAAAAATGCAAAAAAAAAAAAAGCAATTATTTTTAAACCAACCTAATATATTGTATTAGGTATTAAAGTCATCTGGACATGAATTAAAGTATATGATGCCAGCCTGGACAAAAGGCAAAACCCTGTCTCTACAAAAAATACAAAAATTAGCTGGGCATGGTGGTGTGTGCCTGTAGTCCTGGCTACTCCGGAGCCTGAGGTGGGAGGATCGCTTGAGTCTGGGAGGCAGAGGCTGCATTGAGCTATGATCATGGCACTGCATTCCAGCCTGGGTGACAGTGCAAGACCTTGTCTCAGAATAAATAAAGTATGTGATGAAGATGTGCATACATTATATGCAAATACTGTTTTTTTTTTTTTTAATTTAAACAGTCTCACTGTGTTGCCCAGGATGGAGTGCAATGGCACAATCTTGGCTCATGGCAAACTCTGCCTCGCAAGCAGCTGGGACTACAGGCATGCTCCACGGTGCCCAGTTAATTTTTTTTGTATTCTTAGTAGAGACAGGGTTTCACCATGTTGGCCAGGCTAGTCTTGAATTTCTGACCTCAAGTGATTCATCTCCCAAAGTGCTGGGATTACAGGCGTGAGCCACCACGGCCGGCTAATTTTTGTATTTTTTAGTAGTGACTGGTTTCGCGGTGTTGACCAGGCTGGTCTCGAACTCCTGATCTCAGGTGATCTGCCTGCCTCGGCCTCACAAAGTGCTGGGATTACAGGTGTGAACCACTGCTCCCGGCCTTGTGTGATTTTATCTAAGGGACTTAAGCGTCCTCAGGTCCTAGGGGGTCGTGAAACCAAAACCCCAGGGATAGCAAGGGACAATTGTATCTTCAAAGTAGACAAATGGCGCCGGGCACGGTGGCTCACGCCTGTAATCCCAGCAGTTTCCGAGGCTGAGGCAGGCGGCTCACCTGAGGTCAGGAGTTGGAGACCAGCCTGGCCAACATGCTGAAACCCTGTCTGTACAAAAATACAAAAATAGCTGGGCATGGTGGCGCATGCCTGTAGTCCCAGCTACTAGAGCGACTGAGGCAGGAGAATTGCTTGAACCTGGGAGGCGGAGGTTGCAGGGAGCCAAGATGGCGCCACCGCACTCCAGCCTAGGTGATAGAGTGAGACTCCCTCTCAAAAACAAAACAAAACAAAAAAATTAGACAAATGCTACATTAATGTTTGGGTGGTCAGATTCTACTTTGAATCTGAAGTTTGCAGATATGCCTATAGATTTTTGGAGTTTACCACTTTCTTATTCTGTATCATTAATGTAATATTTTAAATTACTATATATGTTACCATTTTTCTGGATTTAGTAAGAAATTTGCAGTTTTGGTTTGATGTAACAAGGGTTTTAATGTAATTTATGTTAGATTTTGCATTTTTTTCATTACTGTTATATTTTAACCTGACTGACTGATCTAATTGTATTAGTATTGTGAATAATCATGTGAAATGTTTTGAGACAGAGTACTATATTTGTGAATATAATTTTATGGTTTTTTTCACTTAGAACCTTTCTGTGTGGAAAACTAAGAAAATTGCTTTCTGCTGTATAATCTGGCATTCATTGTAGATTAAAGCTTATTTTTCTGTGAATAAAACGTATTCAATAAAATACTATTCTTTAAAATTATATCATACTACCTTGTATTTGTTTCACTTTCTTAGAAAAAATAAAATCACCCTCTTAAAAATACTGCAATGTAACCTCCTAAATATATCTTATGCCATTGTACGTAGGCGTAAGGTACACATTAGGTCATGCCATGTTTTAAAAGAAAAGACATCAGTTTTCACATTAATGTATGGAATTCTATAAGTGCATGAAATGTCAATTTTTAAAATGTATATATATATGAACAATGGTAACACCACTCCCTCCAAAAAGATATGCCTGGTTGTCTCAGGAGATAGTATACTCACTATAACAGAACTTGAACAGGCAAATAGCAATGAACCTAAAAAACCACTGCCCCTTTGAGGCAGGCAGCAAGGAAGGATATTTGTGAGTTTGCGGAAGCAACTGCCAGTGAGTTTCAGAAGCTGTGAGCAATCTGGTGGGATAAAGAATGAGGGAATAAAGAACCTTTGGCAAAAAGAATTTTTTTCTTTCTTTTTTTTTTTTTTTTTGAGATGGAGTCTCACTCTGTCTCGCAGGCTGGAATGCAGCGGCGCGATCTTTGCTCACTGCAACCTCCACCTCCAGGCTCAAGCAATTCTGCCTCAGCCTCTGGAGTAGCTGGGATTACAGGCACCCACCACCATGCCGGGTAATTTTTTTTTTCTTTTTGATACGGAGTCTTGCTCTGTCGCCCAGGCTGGAGTGCAGTGGCACAATCTCAGCTCACTGCAACCTCCACCTCCCGGGTTCAAGTGATTCTTCTGCTTCAGCCTCCCGAGTAGCTGGGATTACAGGTGCACGCAACTATGCCCGGCTATTTTTGTATTTTTAGTAGAGACGGGGTATCACCATTTTGACCAGGCTGGTCTTGAACTCCCAACCTCAGGTGGTCCACCTGCCTCGGCCTCCTAAAGTGCTGGGATTACAGATGTGAGCCACTGTGCCCAGCCTAATTTTTGTATTTTTAGTAGAGACGGGGTTTTACCATGTTGACCAGGCTGGTTTGGAACTCCTGACCTCAAATGATCCGCCCACCTTGGCCTCCCAAAGTGCTGGGATTACAGGCGTGAACCACCATGTCCGGCCAGAAAGAAATTTAGAAGTTCCTGCCCACAATGGAGATTCCTGAATTAAGTTGTATTTCAGGCCCAGTCTACGTAGGGACTGGTTATCTAATCTTTGACAGTGTTATCACTGCACTGTTGTCTGAGATAAACCTTAATAACCATGTCTTAAACACAGTCCAAATTTTTTCTTACGTGTCAACTAAACTTTGATATTGAAGATGTGAATTTTCAAAGCTTTCTATTACAGAAAATTTTAAACTTAATACAAAAGTAGAAAGCATAATGACTCCACGATATTCATCACTTATCCTCAACAATTTGACATTTTATCAGTCCTGTTTCATCTAGCACTCCTTCCACTTGCTCACCCCAATACTCCAAAGTAAATCCTAGACATAATGTCATTTGTCCTGTAATTACCTCATTATATATTTCTTTTTTTAAATGTTTTATAGAGATGGGGTTTCACCATGTTGCCCAGGCTGGTCTTGAACTCCTGGGTTCAAGCGATCTGCCCGCCTCAGACTCCCAAAGTGCTGGGATTACAGACATGAGGCACCGCGTGCCCAGCCTTGTTATGTCTTTCTTTCCTTCTTTCCTTCCTTCCTTCTCTCTCTCTCTTTCTTTCTCGGGTTCAAGCAATTCTCCTGCCTCAGCCTCCTGAGTAGCTGAGAGTACAAGCATGTGCCACCATGCCCGGCTAATTTTTTGTATTTTTAGTAGAGATGGGATTTCTCCATGTTGGTCAGGCTGGTCTCGAACTCCTGACCTCAGGTGATCCGCCCACCTCGGCCTCCCAAGGTGCTAGGATTAAAGGCTTGAGCCACCGCGCCCAGCTGCCTTGTTATGTATTTCTAATGCATAACAAAAAATTTGCATAAATGTGTGAATTTTTAACTCACCACTGTTATTGCTGAATTTTAATATACATTTAAACAATAATTAGGCCGGGCACGGTGGCTCACGCCTGTAATCCCAGCACTTTGGGAGGCCGAGGCGGGCGGATCACAAGGTCAGGAGATCGAGACCATCCTGGCTAACACAGTGAAACCCCCGTCTCTACTAAAAATACAAAAAAATTAGCCGGGCATTGTGGCGGGTGTCTGTAGTCCCAGCTACTCGGGAGGCTGAGGCAGGAGAATGGCGTGAACCCGGGAGGTGGAGCTTGCAGTGAGCCTAGATCGCGCCGCTGCACTCCACCCTGGGCAACAGAACGAGACTCCGTCTCAAAAAAAAAAAAAAAAAAAAAAAAAAATCAACTTTATGTCCCATTTTTCCATATTTGAAAATTAAGGGAAATAAAACCCCCCATAACTGATATTATTGTTTCAAAAATACTTTTAAACCACGTTTTCACTATTTCATGTGGTAGTTTGCTTATAAATTGTAGAACAAATATAGTACTTATTAAAAGTTAGTAGACTAATGGCGCGCGGTGGCTCACGCCTGTAATCCCAGCACTTTGGGAGGCTGAGGCGGGCAGATCACAAGGTCAGGAGATCGAGACCATCCTGGCTAACACGGTGAAACCCCGTCTCTACTAAAAATACAAAAAATTAGCCGGGCGTACTGGCGGGCGCCTGTAGTCCCAGCTACTCGGGAGGCTGAGGCAGGAGAATGGCGTGAACCCAGGAGGTGGAGCTTGCAGTGAGCGGAGATTGCGCCACTGCACTCCAGCCTGGGCGACAGAGCGAGACTCCGTCTCAAAAAAAAAAAAAAAAAAAAAGTTAGTAGACTAACTACATGGTATATGGATACCTAGTGGTTCTCAAAAGTGCATCACCTGGGAATTTGTTAGAAATTCAAATTCCTGGGCCCCACCTCAAACCTAGAATCAGAAACTGAAGGTGCAACCCAGCAATCTTTTAATGAGGTCTCTACGTGGTATAGGTGCCAGCTAAAGTTTGAAAAACACTGGAATATCATATGGGGTCTGAAACCTATAAATCAAATTGATGTAGATCTCTGCAAATGATTATCATCCTCACCTTTCTTACTTTTCCCTATAACTAACTCATTGCTGGCCCAGTGTTGTATTTTCTCATGTTACAAAATATGAAGGCATAAAATACAATATCTTGTGAATGCCTTCTGATTCTACTTTTCCAAAAAAACTCTTGCATACACTTTGAACTTTGTAATGGGAATTTTTCTGCAACCCTTTCCCTGCTGAGTTCAACATAGCCCCACATTGCTCATTGCCATTACACTATCCTCCAGTTAAGCAATGAAAGAGTTATGTATTTGAAGGCTCACTCATTAGTGCTAGCCCAACAGCAACAAGTTGAGACTGTACAGAACAGACCTGCATTTCTAAAGAGCCAAAGCTTCAGTGCAACATGAGCCTTGAATTTGGAATGCTAGAATTTCAGAGTTGGAAGAAGTCAGCCTCTCTAATTCATAATAATTAGTAGTTCTGAATTCTTTTTTAGTTCTGAAATTTTAAAAATAATTGTGCCACAAAAGAACCAAAGAAAACTGGCCGAACACGGTAGCTCATGCCCTCCTCGGCCTCCCAAAGTGCTGGGATTACAGGCGTGAGCCACCTCGCCTGGCCTGGGCCTATACTTGTTAATTGTAGGCTTATGACTAAATATTGGAAGAATACTGGGTAAAAGTTAATAAGGGTCCCTGGAGTGTTTGTGCACCTGTATTTCCAGCTACTCAGAAAGCTGAAGCAGAAAGATTGCTTGAGCCTGGGAGTTCGAGGCTACAGTACACTATTATTGCTCCTATGAATAGTCACCGTACTCCAGCTTGCGCAACGTAGTAAGACCCCTTCTCTAAGAAAGAAAACAGAAACAAAGAATAAGAACCCAAGAGAAATCAAAACTGTTATTTTCTTCTTGTAATTTCCCAGAACTTAAATTTGCGAAGAAAGACTAGGATATAATAAATTGAGATATGTATTTAAACAATGATCTAGCTTCAAAATTTAATTTTTCTTACAATAGACCTTACTGTTCCAAAAATATATTTTACATACAAAATTATTAATGTCTATTTGTTATGTGAACTTTTATTTTGAGAGTCAGTTTTCTTTGTGTGTGTGTTGTTTATTTTTTATTTTTTCAGATAAGTGACTTGGAAATGTTTCTTTAGCTTTTTCCTGTTACTAGGTACTGAGGATTTCTTTTTTAATTCCATTAGCTTATATAAGGGGCTTTGCATTTTTGGCTAAGGCATAAAAAGTGTATTTTCTCGTTGAATACTGGAATTTTGTTTGGCAGAGATTAGGCTCTGCTTCTGCCAGATTACTGACAATTATGTTGAGGAAGAAAGGCAAACACATGAGTATGTTCATGAACACCTAACTGTTGTTTCAGGGAAACTAGGATTAAAAACAAAAGAAAGACTCCAAATCTCCTCCCATAAAATTAATCTTCTGAAGTTGAGAAAAACTTGCTAAAAATCATTTTATTTTTCATTAAACAAACATTACACATGGATTTCTTAGTAGAAATTTAACAAAGGTCTGTGTTAATCATTAAGTAAAGAGAATGATCTAACAAATCTGGAAAAACCTGTTTTTCTTTCAACTAGATTTTGTTGTTGTTGTTGTTATTTGATTACTAAAAAGAATGTACTCTATGCTGTACCGTTCTTGGTTTTCTGTTATAAATTTTTAGATACATTAGATTTTTATGTGATCCATAATAACTAAGTGAAAAAGCCCGGACAGGGTGGCTCACGCCTGTAATCCCAGCACTTTGGGAGGCTGAAGTGGGTGGATCGCTTTAGTCCAGGAGTTCGAGACCAGTCTGGGCAACATGGCGAAACCCCGTCTCTACAAAAAAAAATAGAAAAATTAGCCAGGTGTGGTGGCATGTGCCTGTAGTCCCAGCTACTCAGGAGGCTGAGCTGGGAGGATCACTTGAGCCCAAGAGGTCGAGGCTGCAGTGAGCCGTGATTGTGCCACGGCACTCCAGCTTGAGTGACAGAGCAAGAGCCTGTCTCAAAAAAAATTAAAAAATAAAAAAAATTAAGTGAAAAGACCTATATTGTGTGAATTGTAAGTCAATATTTGACTAGTTATATGAAGTGAAACATAAAAATATCAATACAAGAGCGTAATAATTTCTGTTCACCTACCTCAGAGGATTGTTGTAAGGATCATATGAGAAAATGTACATGAAAGAGATTCAAAAAGTACAAACCCTCTATATAAGCCTGAGGAATCATTCCTCTAATTAGAGTTTATTGGACTAATTATGTGTTAGTTTCACATGAAATGAAACAGTCGTGAAACAGTATGATTAATCAGGGATATAGCATGATGAAATTCATTTATACAGCTTCTTAGCCATTTCCATGGCTCTCAAAACCCTTTATATACATTATCTCTTTGCCTTCTACTCTCTATATGGTTACTCCTTATGTTTAAATCAGTATATGGGTAATGGCACTGAGATAATTGGAGAAATCGTTGTTGTGTACCATTGTGGAAATTGTGTTCTTAAGTCCTGCCATTCAAGGGGCCCTCAGATTTACTTGGACAGTCAAATCAGTTCTGTTTTCTAACATGAAAATAAGAATGTATGAAACAGATAAATTTAGGGATGTTAATTTGTACTCTCAAAGGATCTCTTGATACATAGTAGTGATATCAATTTACACAACAGCATCTCTGAAACTGTAATTTTCTTTTCTTTTCTTTTCTTTTTTTTTTTGAGGTGGAGTCTCGCTCTGTCTCCCAGGATGGAGTGTAGTGGCGCAATCTCGGCTCACTGCAAGCTCCGCCTCCCGGGTTCACGCCATTCTCCTGCCTCAGCCTCCCGAGTAGCTGGGACTACAGGCGCCCGCCACCACGCCCAGGTAATTTTTTGTATTTTGTAGTAGAGACGGGGTTTCACCGTGTTAGCCAGGATGGTCTCGAGCTCCTGACCTTGTGATCTGCCCGCCTCAGCCTCCCAAAGTGCTGGGATTACAGGCGTGAGCCACCGCTCCCAACCTGAAACTATAATTTTCAAAGCACTTTACCTGCTTTGTTTTGTAACATCTCTCTAAAGTGAGCAGTTTATTATAATTCTGCAGTTAATGAAATGGCCACTGAAAGGTTAGGTGACTTGCCCAGGGTCATACAGATAGGTAGAAGCAAAGCCATAAAAATAACTCTGACTTCTGGTCTGGTACTCTTGCACTATGCCATTGTGTTTCTTATTCATTATATTCCTAGCATCTCTGTAATTTACAGCTGAGAAACCCCAGACATAGAGGTTATATGACTCACCTAAATCATATGGTGAATCACCAGTCAAGCTGTTCTTATAGGCAACAAAGCTGTTTCTAGCTAATTTTTGGCATCATTTAGCTAAATTGGCTGCCTCACTGTCTGATGTATATACGTCTAAATCTAAGCTCCTTTTTGGATGGCAAGACCTGGCTGGCCATATGATACCAAACCACAAAACCAAATCTATTCAACTTGAATTGAAAAATTAAAGTAATTCTTAAAAAAAAAATAGTTTAACTACATTTCTGATCTCAGGAATTTGGAAATGGGAAAGATAACTTTTCACTACACTGCCAAGGCAAACCTTGGAAGTCAGGAACCATGTCTCCCTAGTCCCTATGTTATCATGACTAGCACACTATCTAGTCCATTAGTAGGCACTGAGTTAATTTTTGCTCAGTACCTAAATATATGAGTGAAGGAATGAATGAACAAATGAATAAATAAATGGAGTGGGAAGACCTCCCCATCCAAAAACTGTGCATTGACAAGTACAATACAATTTGGATCAATACTGATGTTTTTACAAATTTTTCTTTTCTTTTCTTTTCTTTTTTCTTTGAGACAGAGTTTTGCTCTTGTTGCCCAGGCTGGAGTGCAATGGCGTGTTCTTGGCTCACCGCAACCTCTGTCTCCTGGGTTCAAGTGATACTCCTGCCTCAGCCTCGCCGGCTAATTTTTGTATTTTTAGTAGAAACGGGGTTTCTCCATGTTGGTCAGGCTGGTCTCGAACTCCTGACGTCAGGTTATCCACCCGCCTCAGCCTCCCAAAGTGCTAGGATTACAGGCGTGAGCCACTGCGTCCGGCCTCCTTTCTTTTTTTCTTTTTTTTTTTTGAGACAGAGTCTTGCTCTGTTGCCCAGGCTAGAGTGCAGTGGTACAATTCCAGCTCACTGCAACCTCTGTCTCCCAGGCTCAAGGGAAACTCCCACTTCAGCCTCCTGAGTAGCTGGGACTACAGGTGTGCCAGCATGCCTGCCTAATTTTTGTATTTCTTTTTCTTTTTTTTTGAGACAGAGTCTCACTCTGTCCCCAGGCTAGAGTGCAGTGGCTGATCTCTGCTCACTGCAACCTCTGCCGCCCGGGTTCAAGTGATTCTCCTGCCTCAGCCTCCCGAGTAGCTGGAACTACAGGCGAGCACCACCATGCCCAGCTAATTTTTGTATTTTTAGTAGAGACGGGGTTTCACCATGTTGGCCAGGATGGTCTCGATCTCTTGACCTCGTGATCCGCCCGCCTTGGTCTCCCAAAGTGCTGAGATTACAGGCGTAAGCCACCGCGCCTGGCCCTTTTTTTTATTTTTTGAGATGGAGTTTTACTCTGTCGCCCAGGCTGGAGTGCAGTGGGCGATCTCGGCTCGCTGCAACCTCCGCCTCCCGGATTCAAGCGATTCTCCTGCCTCAGCCTCTCCGGTAGCTGGGATTACAGGCGTGTGCTACCACGCCCAGCAAACTTTTGTATTTTTAGTAAAGACAGGGTTTCTCCATGTTGGTCAGGCCAGTCTCCAACTCCTGACCTTGTGATCCACCTGCCTTGGCCTCCCAAAGTGCTGGGATTACAGGCATGAGCCACCATGCCCGGCCTGAAATATATATTTATTTTATTTTATTTTATTTTATTTTATTTTATTTTATTTTATTTTATTTTACTTTTTTGAGATGGAGTCTCACTCTGTCGCCCAGGCTGGAGTGCAGTGGCATGATCTTGGGTCACTGCAAACTCTGCCTCCCGGGTTCAAGCCATTCTCCTGCCCCAGCCTCCCAAGTAGCCGGGACTACAGGCACCCGCCACCATGTTCGGCTGATTTTTTTTGTATTTTTAGTAGAGACGAGGTTTCACCGTGTTAGCCAGGATGGTCTTGTTCTCCTGACCTCGTGATCCGCCTGCCTCGGCCTCCCAAAGTGCTGGGATTACAGGCGTGAGCCACCGCGCCCGGCCACCTGAAATATATATTTAAATTCAGCCACCTTGATTAATGAGTTTAATAGAACCCATTTCACTTCACTGTTACCCTCACCACCGTCTCTCAATCCTATTAAATCAAACTAACACTGTGTGTTAAGTGTTTGATGTGTACCCAGAAATTCTGGGAAGAAGGATATAAGAAAACAAGACTCAAACTCAGCCCTCCTGGGGTTTATAGTCTCGTTGGCAGAAAGAGACTTACATACATCATTCACAAGCTATTCCCTGATTCCAAATACAATACAGGGGCATTGATAACTGTTGTGTTGTTTAACCCAAAAAAATCAAAAGAACAAAAGAGTATAAGTACAGTGTGATACAGCGATAGATTGTGTGTAAT
The DNA here is from genome assembly GCF_000001405.40 of Homo sapiens. Classification (NCBI taxonomy): domain Eukaryota; kingdom Metazoa; phylum Chordata; class Mammalia; order Primates; family Hominidae; genus Homo; species Homo sapiens. Next base: position 123,922,566 of record NC_000023.11, read on the forward strand.
AGACTATCATTACAACAGGAACACAGAAGGACAAATGAGGTGTGGCCCAATAATTGGAGTAGGTTTTCTGAAAGGAGTGTCACAAAAGCTAAAAGATCTGAGATTGACCAGGTGCAGTGGCTCACGTCTATAATCCCAGCACTTTGGGAGGCCGAGGTGGGTGGATCACCTGAGGTCTGGAGTTTAAGACCAGCCTGACCAGTATGGTGAAACCCCATCTCTACTAAAAATACAAAAATTAGCTGGGCATGGTGGTGCGCACCTGTGTTCCCAGCTACTAGGGAGGCTGAGACAGGAGAACTGCTTGAGCCCAGGAGGTGGAGGTTGCAGTGGGCAACCAGTGCACTCCAGCCTGGGTGACAGAGTGAGACTCTGTCTCACAAAAAAAAAAAAAAAAAAAAAAGATCTGAGGTTGTTCCAGATCCTAAAGCTGTATGATCGTATATGATACATTTGTCATTTTGTTTTGTTTTGTTTTCTGTGCAAGGTGAATGATGGAGGACAAAAGGACCCACTTGGTCTATTATGTTATAAACTTATATGTGTGTGCTGGCATATGTCTTGCATATTTTAATATGTTTCCATGTACATTTTATTGAATAGTAACTCTTCAAACAGATTACAGCTTAAAATGAATCTAGCGTCCCTTGCTTCCAAACAAACAAACAAAAATTAGAAGCCAAAATTTACTCAAAGCACTGCTCAAGCAGTCTGTCTTCATTTGGAAATGGTCAATTAACTCAAATGACAAATCAATCTGGAATAGGAGCAACTCCACAGATGATTCATGGTGACTGAAGGCGCCTGGTAACCTTTCTGTCTCCATTTCTTCATCTGTCTGTAGGGAATAATGGTCTTACAGAGGTGTTACAAAAAACAATTAAAGTTGGTAATGTGCTTTGAGAGCCATGGATGAACCAAGCTTTCAAAGTGCATAATTACATACTGCAGCGAGTCTCTCATACTTGCATCCTCTACTCAACTCTTTAATAGGTATTTGAAATGACACAACTCAGGTAGGTTTTCCATGTTCTCAAGTTACTACTACATTATTTATCCACTGATACCAGTTGTCTTTAAAATAGAATGCAACCCACAGTAGTAGTAAGGACCATTAATCCTTTGGACTTTAGGATACTTAAAGTCTTTCTTCTGTTTTTTTGTTTTTTTTTTTTTGAGACGGAGTCTAGCTCTGTCGCCCAGGCTGGAGTGCAGTGGCGCGATCTCGGCTCACTGCAAGCTCCGCCTCCCGGGTTCACACCATTCTCCTGCCTCAGCCTCCCGAGTAGCTGGGATTACAAGCGCCTGCCACCATGCCCAGCTAATTTTTGTATTTTTAGTAGAGACACGGTCTCGTCATGTTGGCCAGGCTGGTCTTGAACTCCTGACCTCGGGTGATCCACCCGCCTTGGCCTCCCAAAGTGCTGGGATTACAGGCGTCAGCCACCACACCCGGCCCAAGTCTTTCTTCTTGGGGAGTATAGTTTTCCAGATCATTTTCTACCTTCATTTTTCAATTTTTCCACTTCAGTTGGCTCACTCATCTCCTCTCTGACAACAGTCCGTGAAGATTGTAAAAGATCAGCTCAGTGGCTTCACTGAAACCTAATAGGAGGCCCCTCTTTGCTTTGCTGAATACTTGGTAATTTCTTGTTTGCTGTTCTTATTCCTCTTCTTTCCCTCCACCTGCTCCATATTTTAATTGGCCTGTTGGAAACACACAGCAGGTGAAATTCTTTAGATGTCTCCACAGCAGGAGAAGGAAAAAGATGTTGAAATCAGAATGTTGAATATTTAAGTCGGGAAGGAGAAGGGCTGGGATTGGCCAAGCAGAAAACAAGAGGGGAGAAACCAGCAAGATGTAGTGACAACATCCCAGTCACTCTGGGTAGTAAGGGGAAACCTAGAACAACAAAGCCAGTTGAGAACACATGAAAAAAGAACTACTGACCCATAACCTGGGCAACCTTCCCACACACTCCTTTTGCCATTCTGCCATATGAGAGAAGGAAAGGAGAGAGTGTAGTATCCCTCTCCATTACAGGAAAGCAGTGTCAAGCTTATATCTTCTAATGAACTTGGATAAACTTGGATCCTACTTAGTGGCAACTTTATGTTCAAAGGAAAGCACATTTTCTCTGATAGCCCCAAAGAATCTAAATATTTGGTTCCAAGATGGAATATGAAATGGAATATGAGACTATGAGTATAAATCAAATATTTTTCTTTTTATCTTTTTTTTTGGGGGGGGCAGGAGGGACAGGGTCTTCTTCTGTCACCCAGGCTGGAGTACAGTGGCACGATCATAGCTCACAGCAGCCTCAACCTCCTGGGCTCAAGTCATCCTCCCACCTCACCCTCCCGAGTAGCTAGGACCACAGGCTGTGCCACCACACTCAGCTAATTTTAAAAAATTTTTTTGTAGAGATGGGGTCTCCCTATGTTGTCCAGGCTGGTCTTGAACTCCTGGACTTAATTGGATCTTCCTGCCTCAGCCTCTCAAAGTACTGGGACTACAGGCATGAGCCACCACGCCCAGCCCCATTTTCGTATGTTAGGTTTGAATTCTGTCCTTTATCAATGTGTGATGATTTTGATACATGAATTTCAAGCAAAAACTTTTCTTTCCTCCAGCCCCAAAGTTCTGTCTGAACTATATAGGGTGTGGGGAGGCTGTTTTCCTTCATAGAAACTACTACTTGAAGCAGTGACCATTGCTAAGGGGATTCAGCTGCCATTACTAAAGTAGAAATTTACTAAAGTACCCAGAAAGTGAGTCAATTTTACTCTGCTGGAAGGAAATATTTTCCTTTAAATGGAGTAAGAAAACACAAGAGGGTTCCACCCTTCTTGAAATACTGTAGCACTGCATATGTTTCTCACTCTGAGTGCAGAAAACTTTTGAAAAGTGCCTATTTATATAGCATTTTTTGAAATAACAAAATTTAAGAAGTGGAGGGCCAGAGTAAGTGGTTGCCATGGATTGGGGAAGGGAGGGTGGCGGTAGATGGGTGTGGTTATAAAAGGGCAACAGGAAGAATCTGTGATGCTGTAATTGTTCCGTATCCTGACTGTGGTGGTGGGTACATGAATCTACACAGTTGATAAAATGGTATATAAGCTGGGTGGAGTGCTGCCCACCTGTAGTCCCAGCTACTTGGGAGGGTGAGGTGGGAGGATTGATTGAGTCAAGGAGTTCAAGGCTAATGAGCCAGAGGAAAGATTGGGTGGAAGGAAATGAAGAAAGTATTATTATTATTATTATTATTATTATTATTATTATTATTAGAGACAGAGTCTCACTCTGTCACCCAGGCTGGAGTGCAGTGGCATGATCTCAGCTCATTGCAACATCTACCTCCTGGGTTGAAGCAATTCTTATGCCTCAGTCTCCCAAGTAGTTAAGATTACAGGTGTGTGCCACCATACCCAGCTAATTTTTGTATTATTATTATTATTATTATTATGATTTTTGAGGCAGAGTTTCACTCTTGTTGCCCAGGTTGGAGTGCTATGGCGTGATCTTGGCTCACTGCAACCTCCGCCTCTTGAGTTCAAGCAATTCTCCTGCCTCAGCTTCTCAAGTAGCTGGGATTACAAGTGTGCGCCACCATGCCTGGCTAATTTTGTATTTTTAGTAGAGACAGGGTTTCACCATGTTAGTCAGGCTGGTCTTGAACTCCTGACCTCAAGTGATCCACCGGCTTCGGCCTCCCAAAGTGCTAGGATTACAGGCGTGAGCCACCTCGCCCAGCCAATTTTTGTATTTTTTAGTAGAGATGGGATTTCTCCATGTTGGTCAGGCTGGTCTCGAACTCCTGGCCTCAAGTGATCTACCCGACTTGGACTCCCAAAGTGCTAGGATGAAAGGCATGGGCCACTATACCTTGCCTGTATTGTCTTTTTTTTTTTTTTTTTTTTTTGAGACGGAGTCTCACTCTGACAGCCAGGCTGAAGTGCAGTGGCACATCGGCTCACCGCAACCTCCGCCTCCTGGGTTCAAGCGATTCTCCTGTCTCAACCTCCCGAGTAGCTGGGATTACAAGCGCCCGCCACCATGCCCGGCTAATTTTTGTATATTTAGTAGAGACGGGGTTTCACCATTTTGGCCAGGCTGGTCTTGAACTCCTGACCTCATGATCCACCCGTCTTGGCCTCCCAAAGTGCTGGGATTACAGGCGTGAGCCACTGCGCCCGGCCTGTATCATCTTAATCAGATGAAATTCTCTCTTTCCTCTCTGGGGCTAAGCATGCTGTATTGTAGTTTCCTACTGCCTGTCCATCTCTTCAGATGGTCTATAAACTTCTAGAATGCAAGAACTGTGGCTTATTTTTCTGAATCCCAAGTGCCTGCCATATGCTAGGAGCTCAATGTTTGCTTCTTTAATAAATGAACGGTAAAGGCCGGGCACGGTGGCTCACGCCTGTAATCCCAGCACTTTCGGAGGCTGAGGCTGGCGGATCAGAAGGTCAGGAGATCGAGACCATCCTGGCTAACACGGTGAAACCCCATCTCTACTAAAAATACAAAAAATCAGCCGGGCATGGTGGCGGGCGCCTGTAGTCCCAGCTACTCGGGAGGTTGAGGCAGGAGAATGGCGTGAACCCGGAAGGCAGAGTTTGCAGTGAGCCGAGATCGCGCCACTGCACTCCAGCCTGGGCGACAGAGTGAGACTCCGTCTCAAAAAAACCCAAAAAATCCCTTCTCTACAAAAAATACAAAATTAGCTGGGCGTGGTGGTGGGTGCCTATAATCCCAGCTACTCGGGAGGCTGAGGCAAGAGAATCGCTTGAACCCAGGAGGCAGAGGTTGCAGTGAGCCAAGATCACGCCATTGCACTCCAGCCTGGGCAACAAGAGCAAAACTCAGTCTCAAAAAAAAAAGTAATCTCTACATAATCGCATTGAAGAAAACCAGATAATGACCTGATAACGATCATTTATTTGAGGAAGTTTGGGAGTAAACTGTTCACAAATGAAAGGAACAATACAGGAGAAACACAACTCCTATATGATATTCTAAGATGCAGTATAGCCAAAGCTCATAATTAAATTGCAACTGGTTCCAACACATTTCTCTTCCAAACTGAGACCCAGTTTACTTTTTCATTCCACTACTCTGATGGGCACCTTCAATTTTTTCTTTAACCACACAGTACTACTTGCCATTCCTGAGATTGACATACACTTTTCCTCCTCTGCATCTTTGCTTCACTTTGCCCAGAAAGCTTTTTCCTCCATTACCTTCCCGGAGAATTCCTATTCATCTTTCCATTGCCAGCTTGTCTCACTTGCTTATTGCTGCATAACAAAATCCCCCAAAACTGAGTGGCTTAAAACAACGTGCTTTATTATTTCCTAAGATTTTTGTGGATTGGCTGGACAGTTCTGCTGGTCTTGCCTGGGTTCACTCATGTGGCTGCAGTCAGCTGGTGGGTCATCTGGGGGCTTGGCTCAACTGGGACATTGTCATAGCTGGTCTTCTCTCTTTACATGGCTTCTTTCCAGCAGCATAGCCTGCACTTCTTTATATGGCAACTGGGTTCCAAGGGCAAAAGCAGAAGCTGCTAGTTCTCATAAGGCCTGCCTGGGCTCAGAGATCCCAAGATGTTGCGTTTGATTGGTCAAAGCAAGGTACATGGTCAGAGACTCAAGGGGAGGGGAAAGAGACTCTACCACTTGATGGAAGGAGCAGTAGAGTCACATTGCAAAGGGGCATGGATACAGAGAAGAATAATTCATTGGGAGCCATTTTAACAATCATACAGCTGAAATGTCACCTCTTAATTCATCATTTGTGATATGTATATATGTGTGTGTATATGTATATATACATGTATGTACACATACTCATCACATTTTCTAATTACTTGTTCCTATGTTTCCTCTGATGATATTCTGGCATGCTCCTGACACATAACTGAAGGAGTCAAGAGTTTAAAAAAATAGGTACAGCCCAGACATGATGGCTCATACCTGTAGTCCTAACACTTTGAGAGGCCAAAGCAGGAGGATGGCTTGTGCCCAGGAGTTCAAGAGCAGCCTGGGCAACATAGCAAGACCCCCATCTCTACAGAAAAAAAACATTTTTTAAGGTATACAGTCTGAAAGGACAGCTTTTGGTAATCTTATATGCAAAAAGCGGTATTGGGGAGATGAAGCTGGAAATATAGTTTGGGGTCATATCATCAAAAACCTTGAATGCCATGCCAAGGGATTTAGATTTAATTTTGCCAGCACTTAAAACTGAAGTCAAGAACATAATCTCACTAGGTGCAGTGGCTCACACCTGTGATCCCAGCACTTTGCTAGGCCGAGGCGAATGGATCGCCCCATCCCTACAAAAAAAAACAAAACAAAATATTAGCCTGGCGTAGTGGCATGCACCTGTACTCCCAGCCACTTGAGAGGCTGAGGTGGGAGGATCCCTTGAGCCCAGGAGGCAGAGGTTGTAGTGAGCGTGAAGATCGTGCCACTGCACTCCAGCCTGGGCGACACAAAGAGACTCCGTATCCAAACAAACAAACAAACAAAAAAAAAACGATAATCTCTTCCCAAACTACTTCTTTCCTGTTCAGGCGAATGTCAGAAACATGGACTCACAGCCCCACCCCCTTCATTCATCCAAATGGCTTCCAAGTTCTTATCACAATTCCTAACTATCTCTTGACTCATTCTCCCATCTACACTGCCACAACCTTATTTCAGGGCCTTGTCATTTCTTCTCTGACCTGTTATCATAGCCTCTTTTTTTTTAGACAGAGTTTTGCTCTTGTTGCCCAGGCTGGAGAGCAAGGCTGGAGTGCAATGTCACAATCCCAGCTCACTGCAACCTCTGCCTCCTGGGTTCAAATGATTCTCCTGCCTCAGGCTCCCGAGTAGCTGGGATTACAGGCATGTGCCACCACGCCCGGCTAATTTTGTTGGTCTGGCTGGTCTCGAACTCCCAACCTCAGGTGATCCGCCTGCCTCGGTCTCCCAAAGTGCTGGGATTACAGGTGTGAACCACCGCACCCAGCCCATAGCCTCTTAATAGGTTTCCTGATATCAGTCTTGCTCACTTGTCCATGCTCCATACTTCTACCAAAAGCATCTGCTGCTCGTTCCCTCATTATAAGCTTTTGTGGATTCCCATCACTCTCAAGATAAAGTTCAGTCTTTAGCACTCATTGCAAGAGCCCTCCACAATTTGGCCCCTGCCTAATCTCTCTCCACTGTTCTTTGCCCCTTCTCCTTTAGATTTCAGCAGTACCAAACTTCTTGTAGTTCCTCAGTTCATGCCTTCTTTACGTCTTGGTGTATTTGCCCATGCTAGACTCTCTCTCAAATACTGAATACTCTCTCATCCCTTCTCTGCCTAGGTAAACTCCCAGTTTTCTTTCAGTCTCAATCTCAGACCAGGCACGTTGGCTCACACCTGCAATGCCAGCACTTTGGGAGGCTGAGGCAGGAAGATTATTTGAGCCAGGAGTTCAAGACCAGCCTAGGCAATATAATGAGACCCCCATCTCTACAAAAAATATATTATAGAAAAATTAACCAGATGTGGTGGCACACATCTGTGCTCTCAGCTACTGGGGAGGCTGAGGTGGGAGTATCACTTGAGCCCAGGAGGTTAAGACTGCAGTGAGCTGTGTTCGTGCCACTGCACTCCAGCCTGGGCGACAGAGCCAGACCTGTCTCAAGAAAAAAAAAAGAGAAAATATACAATAGTGGAATGAAGAAGGCACTAGATAACAGCAAGACTTCCCTCACCTTCTCCTCAATAAGGTAAAAAATGAAAAGAAACTTATATTGTACTACACCAAACTAGAGAGGGACACAAAGAAAGTTTGAAAAACATGTAAGCTTGACCAGAATTAATATATTAATAATATGTGAAATACAATACAATAATACAGTGACAGGAAGCTTGGTGATATGGTTTGGCTCTGTGTCCTCACCCAAATCTTACCTTGAATTGTAATAATCCCATGTGTCAAGGGTAGGAACAGATGGATATAATCGAATCATGGGTGCAGTTCCCCCATGCTGGTCTGATAATAGTGAGTTTTCACAACATCTAATGGGTTTCTTTTTTCTTTTTCTTTTTCTTTTTTTTTTTTTTGAGATGGAGTCTCGCTCTGTCGCCAGGCTGGAGCGCAGTGGCACAATCTCGGCTCACTGCAACCTCCACCTCCCGGGTTCAAGCGATTCTCCTGCCTCAGCCTCCCGAGTAGCTGGGACTACAGGCATGCACCACCATGCCCAGCTAATTTTTGTATTTTTAGTAGAGACGAGGTTTCACCATGTTGGCCAGGATGGTCTTGATCTCTTGACCTCGTGATCTGCCTGCCTCGGCCTCCCAAAGTGCCGGGATTACAGGCGTGAGGCACCGCGCCCAGCCAATTTGATGGTTTTAAAAGCATCTGGCATTTCCGCTTCTGGCACTTCTCTCTCCTGCTGCCATGAGAAAAAGAACGTGTTTGCTTCCCCTCTGCCATGATTGTTAAGTTTCCTGAGGCCTCCCCAGGCATGCAGAACTGTGAGTCAATTAAACCTCTTTCTTTTATAAACTACCCAGTCTTGGGTATTTCTTCATAGCAGTGTGAAAATGAACCAGTAACAGTAAATTGGCACAGGGATTGAGTGGGGCTTTGTTAAAAGATACTTGAGAATGTGGAAGTGACTTTGGAACTGCGTAATGGGCAGAGGTTGGAATAGCTTGGAGGACTCAGGAAAAGACAGGAAGATGTGGGAAAATTTGGAACTTCCTAGAGACTTGTTGAATGGCTTTGACCAAAATGATGATAGTGATGTGGACAATGAAGTCCAGGCTGAGGTGGTCTCATATGGAGATGAGAAAATTGTTGGGAATGGAGTAAAGGCCACTCTTGCTGTGCTTTAACAAAGAGACTGGTGGCCTTTTCACCCTGCCCTAGAGAACTTTGAACTTGAGAGAGATGATTTAACGTATCTGGTGGAAGAACTTTCTTTCTTTCTTTCTTTCTTTCTTTTTTTTTTTTTTGAGATGGAGTTTCACTCTTGTTGCTCAGGCTGGAGTGCAATGGCATGATCTTGGCTCACTGCAACCTCTGCCTCCTGGGATTACAGGCGCATGTCACCACACTTGGCTAATTTTTGTTTGTTCGTTTTTTGAGATGGAGTTTCGCTCTTGTTGCCAAGGCTGGAGTGCAATGGTGCTCACTGCAACCTCCTCCTCCCGGGTTCAAATGATTCTCCTGCCTCAGGCTCCCGAGTAGCTGGAATTATGGGCATGTGCCACCATGCCCAGCTAATTTTGTATTTTTAGTAGAGACGAGGTTTCTCCATGTTGGTCAGGCTGGTCTTGAACTCCTGAAATCAGGTGATCTGCCAGCCTCGGCCTCTCAAAGTGCTGGGATTACAGGCATGAGCCACTGTGCCCGGCCTTCTGGTGGAAGAACTTTCTAATCAGCAAAGCATTCAAGAGGTGACAGAGCATGAAAGTTTGGAAAATTTGCAGCCTGATGATACAGTAGAAAAGAAAAACCCATTTTCTGGGGAGAAATTCAAGCTGGCTGCAGAAATTTGCATAAGTAACCAGGAGCCAAATGTGAATCACCAAGACAATGGGGAAAATGTCTCCAGGGCACGTTAGAGACCTTCAAGACAACCCCTCCCATCACAGGCCTGGAGGCCTAGGAGGGAAAAATGGTTTCCTGGGGCAGGTCCAGGGCCCAGCTGCTGTGTGCAGCCTTGGGACTTGGTGCCCTATGTCCCAGCCACTCCACCCATGGCTAAAAGGGGCCGAGGTACAGCTCCAGCCATTGCTTCAGAGGGTGCAGGTCCCAACCCTTGGCAGCTTCCATGTGGTGTTGAGCTTGTGGGTGCATAGAAGTCAAAAACTGAGGTTGGGGAACCTCTGCCTACATTTCAGAGGATGTATGGAAATGCCTGGATGTTTATGCAGAATTTTGCTGCAGGAGTGGAGACTTCATGCAGAACCTCTGCTAGGGCAGTGTGGAAGGGAAATATGGGGTGGGATCCCCCACACAGAGTTCCCACTGGGGCACTGCCTAGTGGAGCTGTGACAAGAGGGCCACCATCCTCCAGACCCCAGAATGGTAGATCCATTGACAGCTTGCACCATATGCCTGGAAAAAGCTGCAGACCCTCAATGCCAGCCTATGAAAGCACCTGGGCGGGGGGGTGGGGGGCTATACCCTGCAAAGCCATGGGGGTGGAGCTGCCCAAGGCCATGGGAGCCCACTTCTTGCATCGGCATGACCTGGATGTGAGACATGGAGTCAAAGGAGATCATTATGGAACTGTAAGATTTAATGACTGCCTTATTAGATTTCGGACTTGCATGGGGCTTGTAGCCACATTTTAGTCAATTTCTGCCATTTGGAATGGGTGTATTTTTATTTTTTATTTTATTTATTTATTTATTTTTGAGACAGAGTTTCGCTCTGCCCAGGCTGGAGTACAATGGCGCAATCTCGGCTCACCGCAAACTCCACCTCCTGGGTTCAAGTGATTCTCCTGCCTTGGCCTCCTGAATAGCTGGGATTACAGGCATATGCCACCATGCCTGGCTAATTTTGTATTTTTAGTAGAGACAGTGTTTCTTCATGTTGGTCAGGCTGGTCTCAAACTCCCGACCTCAGGTGATCCACCCACCTCGGCCTCCCAAAGTGCTGGGATTACAGGTGTGAGCCACCGTGCCCCACCTGGAATGGGTGTATTTACCCAACACCTGTACTCCCACCATATCAGGGAAGTAACTAACTTGCTATTTTACAGGCTTCTAGGCGGAAGGGACTTGCCTTGTCTTAGATGAAACTTTGGACTTGGACTTTTGGGTTAGTGCTGGAATGAGTTAAGACTTTGGGGGACTCAGGACAGGTGTAGTGGCTCACGCCTGTAATCCCAGCACTTTGGGAAGCTAAGGCGGGCAGATCACCTAAGGTCAGGAGTTCAAGACTAGCCTGGCCAACATGGTGAAACTCCATCTTTACATAAAAATACAAAAAATTAGCCTGGCATGGTGGCACATGCCTGTAGTCCCAGCTACTTGGGAGGCTGAGGCAGGAGAATTGCTTGAACCCGGGAGGCAGAGGTTGCAGTGAACCGAGATCATGTCACTGGACTCCAGCCTGGGTGACACAGTGAGACCCTATCTCAAAAAAAAAAAAAAAGATTTTGGGGGACTGTTGGAAGGGTATGATTGTGTTTTGAAATGTGAGGACATGAGAGTTGGGAGGGGCCAGGGGCAGAAGGATATGGTTTTGCTTTGTGTCCCCACCCAAATCGTACATTGAATTGTAATAATCCTCATGTGTCAAGGCCGGGACCAGGTGGAGATAATTGAATCATGAGGGCAGTTCCCGCATGCTGTTCTTGTGATAATGAGTGAGTTCTCATGAGATCTGACAGTTTTCTAAGAGGCTTCCCACTTTGCTCGGCTCTCATTCTCTCTCCTGCCACCCTATGAAGAGGTGCTTCCTGCCATGATTGTAAGTTTCTTGAGGCCTCCCCAGCCCCACAGAACGGTGAGTCCATAAAACATTTGTTCTTTATAAATTACTCAGTCTCAGGTATTTCCTTATAGCAACGTGAGAATAGACTAATACACTTGGTTATAGTGGAAATCACATAAATTTTGCATCCTAATGGACCTGAGTTTTAATTCTGTCCCTGACCTCCTTGTACAAGTCATTTAAATTATCTAAACTTCAATTTTTTTCACCTATATCATGGAGATAATAATATATAATATCGAGATAATAATATGGGAGGTTTAAAGATAAGGTACTGGGCTGGGCACAGTGGCTCACACCTGTAATCCCGGCACTTTTGGAGGCCGAGGTGGGTAGATCACTTGAGGCCAGGAGTTCAAGACCATCTTGGCCAACATGGTGCAACCTCGTTTCTACTAAAAATACAAAAATTAGATGGGTGTGGTGGCGCATGCCTGTAGTCCCACAGCTACTCGGGAGGCTGAGGCAGGTGAATCACTTTAACCCAGGAGGTTGAGGCTACAGTGAGCTGTGATCGTGCCACTGCACTCCAGCCTGGATGACAGAGCAAGACTCTGTCAAAAAAAGATAAGGTACTGTATGTAGTCCAGTGCTTGACACAGAGTAAGTCTTCAAAAAATGGTAACTTTTGCCCTTTATATCTCAAAACTCCTCATTCCTTTACTATGTCTTTTCCCCTCCCTCCCTCCCTCCCTCCCTGGTCCAATGACAATCCCAGTACCTGGGATTCCTTCCTTCCTTCCTTTTTTTTTTTTTTTTGAGACAGGGTCTCCCTCTTTCACTCAGGCTGGAGTGCAGTGGCATGATCAGGGCTCCCTGCAGCCTCAACTTCCCAGACTCAAGTGATCCTTCCACCTCAGCCTCCCAAGTAGCTGGGACTACAGGCACGCACCATCACGCCTGGCTAATTTTTGTATTTTTTGTAGAGATGGGGTCTCGCTATGTTGTGATCTGTCTGCCTCAGCCTCCCAAAGTGCTGGGATTACAGACATGCACCATCTGCACCATCTTTCTTTCTCTTTCTCTCTCTTTATTTCTCTCTCTCTCTCTCTCTCTCTTTCCTTTCTCACTTTCTTGATGGGATCTCACTATGTTGCCCAGGCTGGCATTCAGTGGCTATTCATAGGCACAATCATAGCATGCTACAGCCTTGAATCCTGGGCTCAAGTGATCCTTCTGCTTCAGTCTCCCGAGTAGCTGGGACTACAGGCATGTGCCATTGTGCCTGGCATCAAAGCACTTTCATACACATTGTCACAAGATCAGTTAGGGATAGAGAAAGAAAATATACCATGCAAGGCTACAGGGTACTCTGGAGAAAGTGCTGGGCTTGAAATCAAACAGACCTGGGATGGAATTGGCTCCATTATTTCCCGAGATATATGACCAAAAGGAAATTCCCTTTACCTTAGAAAAAAATTTTTTTGGCCAGGCACGGTGGCTCACACCTGTAATCCCAGCACTTTGGGAGGCTGAGGCTGGTGGATCACATGAGGTCAGAAGTTTGAGATCAGCCTGGCCAACATGGTGAAACCCCCTCTCTACCAAAAAATACAAAAATTAGCTAGGTGTGGTGGCGGGCATCTGTAGTCCCAGTTACTTGGGAGGCTGAGGTGGGAGAATAGCTTGAGCCCAGGAGGTGGAGGTTGCAGTGAGCAGAGATCACACCACTGCCCTTCAGCCTGGGCAACAGAGTGAGACCCTGTCTCAAAAAAAAATTAATATAGGTTCTCACTATGTTGCCCAGATTAGTTTCTTTTGTGCAGTGGTGCTATCTGCAATCTCCGCCTCTTGAGGCTAGCCCGGCCAGCCCAGACTAGTTTCAAACTCCTGGGCTCAAGCAATTCTCCTGCCTCAGCCTCCTGAGTACCTGAGATTACAGACACATGCCACTGTGCCCCACTTTCCTTAACCTCTTTTTGAGCCTCAGTTTCCACATCTGTAAAATAGGGATAACAGTATCTAGTTACTAAATGAGGGATTTTGTGCACTTATACATAGGCCTAAAAACCAGTAAATGAGGCCGGGCGCAGTGGCTCACGCCTGTAATCCTAGCACTTTGGGAGGCAGAGGTGGGCGGATCACGAGGTCAGGAGTTCGAGACCAGCCTGGCCAATATGGTGAAACCCCATCTCTACTAAAAATACAAAAATTAGCCGGGTGTGGCGGCACACACCTGTAGTCCCAGCTACTTGGGAGGCTGAGGCAGAAGAATCACTCAAACCCCGGAGGTGGAGGTTGCAGTGAGCCAAGATCATGCCACTGCACTCCAGCCTGGGTGACAGAGCAAGGCTGTCTCAAAAAAAAAAAAAAAAAAAGAAAGAAAGAAAGAAAAAACATACAAACAAAGAAAAACGACAACAAGAAAAACAGTAAATGAGTATTTTGGCTGGGAGCAGTGGCTCCTGCTTGTAATCCAAGCACTTTGGGAGGCCAAGGTGGGAGGATCACTTGAGCCCAGGAGTTGGAGACCAGCCTGGAACCTCATCTCTAAAATAAATAAATAAATAAAAATAAAAGCTGGGAATGGTGGCACGTGCCTGTAGTCCCAAGTACTTGGGATGTTGAGGTGGGAGGATCACTTGAGCCTAGGAGGTCAAGGCTGCAGTGAGCCATAATTGTGCCACTGCACTCCAGCCTAGTTGACAGAGTGAGACCCTGTATCAAAAAACAAAACAAAAATGTAAATCAGTATTTCAATTTGTGAGCTCTGAAAAATCAAAGCTTGTGCTTATTTGTGAGCTCTGAAAAATCAAAGCTTGTGCTTATAAATGACAACTAAATTTAGGAGTCATAGGCACCACCAAAAAGCTCAAATAATCTTGTGTGATTCCAATGACTTTGAGAAGAAATTTTTGTATAAAACCTACGTAATGCTTTGAATTCCTTGGTTCAAGCAATCATCCTACCTCAGCCTCCCAAGTTTCTAGGACTACAGGCGTGGATCCCTACACCTGGTTAACTAAAAAAATATTTTGTAGAGATGGGGGTATTCCTATGTTGCCCAGGATGGTCTTGAACTCGTGGCTTCAATCATCCTCTTGCCTCAACCTTTCAAGTAGCTGGGATTATAGCCGCATGCCACTATGCCCAGCTCCAAAATCTACTTTCTTTTTTTTTTTTTTTTGAGACGGAGTCTCACTCTGTTGCCCAGGCTGGAGTGCAGTGGCGTGATCTCGGCTCACTGCAAGTTCCACCTCCCGGGTTCACGCCATTCTCCTGCCTCAGCCTCCCGAGTAGCTGGGACTACAGGCGCCCGCCACCACACCCGGCTAATTTTTTTGGTATTTTTTTTTAGTAGAGATGGGGTTTCACCGTGTTAGCCTGGATGGTCTCAGTCTTCTGACCTCATGATCTGCCAGCCTCGACCTCCCAAAGTGCTAGGATTACAGGCGTGAGCCACCGCGCCTGGCCCAAAATCTACTTTCTTATTCCTAAGGTGGCTTCAATGGTGCCTGGATACTGTAAACAGGGTTACCAATTAGTGCACTGACAGAAATTAGACGCTGGATTTGCAGAAGTGAGTTGTGAACCCTGAATTATGTCAAATCCCTCCAAACTACAGCCTCTCTGCAAAGCCCTGTTTGGGTGGGTAGCTGGTCTCTTAGTGTGTCTATCCATAGGCTCTCCATCAAAAGGTAGCAATTCAGCCGGGCATGGTAGCTTACGCCTGTAATCCCAGCACTTTGGGAGGCTGATGGGGTCGGATCACAAGGTCAGGAGTTCAAGACCAGCCTGGCCAACATGGCGAAACCCCGTCTCTACTAAAAATACAAAAATGTGGTGGGCGCCTGTAATCCCAGCTACTTGGGAGGCTGAGGCAGGAGAATCGCTTCAACCCGGGAGGCAGAGGTTGCAGTGAGCCAAGATCGTGCCATTGCACTCCAGCCTGGGCGACTAGAGCAAGATTCCGTCTCAAAAAAAAAAAAGAAAAAAAAAAGTAACAATTCACAAGTTTACACACAAAGAAAAAAGACTAACTTAAAATGTTACATTCAGTTTTTATTAAACTAGTTGTCTCCTATTGAAAGAATTACATACATTGCACTTCTAGGTAGAGAAACACACCCACAGGTACACAAGGATGTTTACTATAGAACGGTTGTTAGCTGTGAAAAATAAACAATTTCTGTGTCTATCAGTGGGGGAATGACTAAATAAAATGTAGCTCATTCATGTAATAGAACACTATACAGTAGTTAATAATCATGAAGTATTATATGTATCAACAGGGATAAATCTCTAAAACATAATGTTGAATGAAAAGCACATGTCACAAAAGGGTATGTACAGTATGACACGATTTATGTCAAACACTATGATACAATACTATGTTCTATACTTTAGGCTTATAAACAAATTGGTATGTATGTATGTATTTATTTATTTATTGAGATGGAGTTCCACTCTTGTTGCCCAGGCTGGAGTGCAGTGCCACAATCTTGGCTCACTGCCACCTCTGCCTCCCGGGTTCAAGTGATTCTCCTGTCTCAGCCTCCCGAGTAGCTGGGATTACAGGTGCCCGTCATCATACCCACCTACGCAAATTAGTATTTAAAATACCAATTCTATGCCTACTTAAGTAGAAGTATTTAAAATATTTGTCGGGAAGGATGTGTACCAACCTAAAAAATGATTATCTATGGAAAGAAGGGAAAGAAGCAGGTTGGGATGGTGGCCAAGGGGACTGTGATGGTTAATTTTTTTTTTTTTTTTGAGACGGAGTCTCACTCTATTGCCCATGCTGGAGTGCAGTGGCATGACCTCGGCTCACCGCAACCTCCACCTCCCAGGTTCAAGTGATTCTCCTGCCTCAACCTCCCAAGTAGCTGGGACTACAGGCGTGCAACACCATGCCCAGCTATTTTTTTTTTTTTTTTTGTATTTTTAGTAGAGACGGGGTTTTGCCATGTTGGCCAGGTTGCTCTCGAACTCCTGAACCCAGGTGACCTGCCCGCATTGGCCTCCCAAAGTGCTGGGATTACAGGAGTGAGCCACCAAGCTCGGCCAGTGATGGTTAATTTTATGTGCAAACTTGATTGGGTCAAAGTGTACCTAGATATTTGGTCAAACATTATTCTTGGTGTGTCTGTGAGGGTGTTTTTGGAGGAGATTAACATTTGAATTGGTAGACTGAGTAAAGCAGATGGCCCTCCCCAGTGTGGGTGGGCCTCATATAATCAGTTGAAGGCCTGAATAGAACAAAAAGGCTGACCCTCTCAAGAGTAACGGGTAGTTCCTACTACTTGACTGCTTGAACTGAGACATTGGTCTTTTTCTGCCTTTGGACTCAAACGGAAATATTAGCTCTTGTTGGGTCTTGTGCTGGCTCTCAGAGTGGAACCACACCATTGACTCACCTTGGTCTCCAGCTTGCCAACTGCAGATCTTTGGACTTTTCAGCCTCCATGATCACGTGAGCCAATTCCTTAACACACACACACACACACACACACACACACACACACACACACACACAGTGGTTCTGTTTCTCTGGGGAATCATGACTAATACAAAGACTTTAGCTTCATCTTTTTAATGTTCTGATTTTTTTTTTTTTTTTGAGACAGAGTCTCGTTCTGTCACCCAGGCTGGAGTGCAGTGGCATGATCTCGGCTCACTGCGAACTCTGCCTGCCGGGTTCACGCCATTCTCCTGCCTCAGCCTCCCAAGTAGCTGGGACTACAGGTGCCTGCCACCACGCCCGGCTAATTTTTTGTATTTTTAGTAGTTTCACTGTGTTAGCCAGGATGGTCTTGATCTCCTGACCTCGTGATCCGCCCGCCTCGGCCTCCCAAAGTGCTGGGATTACAGGTGTGAGCCACTGTGCCTGGCCAATGTTCTGATTAAAAAAACATTTTTTGGGGGGGGGTACAGGGTCTTGCTCTGTTGCCCAGGCTGGAGTGCAGTGGCATGATCAGGGCCCAGTGCAACCTCAACCTCCCAGGCTCAAGCGATCCTCTTACCTCAGCCCCCCTGAGTAGCTGGAACTACATGCGCCACCACACGTATCTAATTTTTTTGAATTTTGATAGAGACGAGGTCTCACAATGTTGCCCATGCTGGTCTTGAACTCCTGAGCTCAAGCAATCCTCCCACATCAGCCTCCCAAAGTGTGGAGATTACAGGTGTGAGCCACTGTGCCTGCCCTATTCTGACTTTTTTTTTTTTTTTTTTTTTTGAGGCGAAGTCTCACTTCCCCAGGCTGGAGTGCAGTGGCGCTATCTAGGCTCACTGCAACCTCCGCCTCCTGGGTTCAAGCGATTCTCCTGCTGCGGCCCCTTGAGTAGCTGGGATTACAGACGCCTGCCTCCACGCCTGGCTAATTTTTGTATTTTTAGTAGAGATGGGGTTTCACCATGTTGGCCAGGCTGGTCTAGAACTCCTGACCTCAGGTGATCCACCTGCCTTGGCCTCCCAAAGTGCTGGGATTACAGGCATGAACCACCATGCCCGGCCAATTCTGACTTTTTAAAAGGAGAATGGATTCATGTATTACATTTATTATTAACTCTATCTTCAGAGAACCAAAATATGTCAAGCCTGTATTGTTATTCCCAGGTAAGATATAATGAAACTGAAAGGTTAAATGATTGTCCCAGTCTTTCCCCTTAGCTCTCCCTGACACATTCACAGGGAAGTTGCAAAGACAAATGCAGCATTATAATATAAAAGTATTTGGAACTCCTTGTTAACACATAGAAATATAAGGTATTGTCATTTCCTGATTTTTCCTTCTCACCTTCTTTTCTTAGATATTCCACACCAAAGGAGTGAGCTCACACACATTGAGGAAGACAGTGGAGGCAACAAATGTCTCATAAACATGGGAATTAACTCCATGTTACTTTCAAGGTTTGAGGATGTGCCAAAAGTTGTCTGACCCTCGGAGCATGGAGTGAATACGACTTTGGAAATCATTGAGAATCAATGCTTTAGAAACATAATTTATGGGCACAGTAGCTAGACAGCAACATTTGCAGTGGAAAATTCCTCTAACTCCCAGGTTAAAGGATGGGGATAATTATTCTGGAGAAGAAAAATGTACTTTGAAATATGTAAGAGGAAGGCAGAAAAAATTTAAAAGGGGGGAAAACTTTATGTGAATATGTGAATATTTATAAAATCCTGAAGTCTCTTGACTGTATTTTTGAGGAAAAGCATATTGACCTGAAATCTATTTGGGAGACTTTCTATTTTACTTAAACAGAGAAAAAGGAATAAAGGTGGTTCTGTTATCAACAGTGTTTTAAAACCCTCTTTCCACCAAATTAAGAAAAAGCTACTGCATCTTAGATCTCAGAAGGTCTTGTGTAACTACTTGAATCTGTAAACAGGGAAGTGGAACAGTCTCCATACCCTTCCCCCTTACTCCAAATCAATTGTTTGAACTTTATTTTTATTTATTTATTTATTTATTTATTTTTGAAACAGAGTCTCACTCTGTCGCCTGCACTATGCCCAGCTAATTTTTTGTATTTTTAGTAGAGACGGGGTTTCACCATGTTGGCCAGGCCACTCAGAACTCCTGACCTCGTCATTCGCCCACCTTGGCCTCGCAAAGTGCTGGGATTATAGGCGTGAGCCACTGTGCCTGGCCTGTTTGACCTTTAAATTAATAATGTTGTATTAGTTGTTACACGAAATGCCCTATTATACAAGTAGAATTATTCATCTTATCAAACTTGGTAGTTTATCAGGATACTTCTGAAAGCTGTTTTCAGAATTTTTCCTTTTCCCTGATTAAGTATGGCTTTCTTTAAGCAATGTACTTTATTTATTTATTTATTTATTGAGATGGAGTTTCCCTAGGTTGCCCATGCTGGAGTGCAGTGGCGCAATCTCAGCTCACCGCAGCCTCTGCCTCCCGGGTTCAAGCAATTCTCCTGCCTCAGCCTCCTGAGTAGCTGGGATTACAGGCGCATGACCCTATGCCCAGATAAATTTTGTATTTTTGGTAGAGATGGGGTTTCACCATGTCGGGCAGGCTGGTCTCGAACTCCTGACCTCAGGTGATCCACCCGCCTCAGCCTCCCAAAGTGCTGAGATTACAGGCATGAGCCACTGCGCCCGGCCTAAGCAATGTACTTTAAATGTATAAACAACAGTATTGCGTTTAAGGAATTCTAAAATGATTATGTGGACCTCTGGTTTGAGTTTGGCCATAGTTTTTCAAGAGACTTTATATGGTGTTTACATGAAAGTATGCTAATAATATTTTATTGTGAGGTTTTCATTACTTTTATCTGTAGAATCTAATTTTTCTCAGACTCTATCATTGAGCTTTTATTAAATATCCTAGTGCATTTCAACTACAATGAAAAAGGTTTTCTGAACTTCACATAATCTTTATTTTGCATTATTTGTATAAATATTTAAAATTACAATCAGAATTTTTCATTACATTTGAGATCCAAGACAAATATTCTGGCTTCATATTACACCTTTTCATTTCTTTTTTTTTTTTTGAGACAGAGTCTCGCTCTGTCACCCAGGCTGGAGTGCAATGGCGTGATCTTGGCTCACTGCAACCTCTGCCTCCTGGGTTCAAGCAATTCTGCCTCAGCTTCCTGAGTAGCCGGGATTACAGGCACCTGCCACTACACCTGGCTAATTTTTGTATTTTTAGGTGAGACAGGGTTTCACCATGTTGGTCAGGCTGGTCTCGAACTTCTGATCTCATGATCCACCCGCCTTGGCCTCCCAAAGTGCTAGGATTACAGGCGTGAGCCACTGCACCCGGCCCTAGAAAGATAATTTTTTAAAAACTTATGGTTTTGATTTATTTTTCGCAGGCAAAGGCACTATGTCTCACCCATTTCCCTGTCTTCAAAATAAATTGTTTGTAACTTTCTAAACATTTGCAACTATCCTCTTGAGCATCAAAACCACAATTTGGTTGAAGTAATGATGTCATGACAGCAACTTATCTTACATATTTTTGATTCTCTTTTAATTTTCATATACTGCTATTTGTAGATTGAAGGATAGAACCTGATTTTCCATCAAACAGCATACCATTTTTTGTACTATATATAAAAAATCTGATCACTGTACTTCAAAGCTCTTTGAACTCTATTTCACAACAGTTGTTATGAATGAGTGTCTTTTCCAACTCTGTTTTGTTATTTCTTCTTGGGTTGTAAGACTGAATTCATCAGGTGGGTGTTTTATTGGTCTTAACTTGCTGAATGGTAGGCTGTAAACCTTAAGAATGTTTCAACAACTCATAAAGGAGTAAAGACCCCTGTTTAAAAGTTTCTGATGATTGAGATCTTAAATAGACTACTAACCTCATTAAGTTTCATCTGGTAGTCCTTTTGACAACTTATAATATTTAGATTTTTATCACTTTCTCTTTCTAAAGGTTGTGGAAAAGCGTCATTTATTTATTTTTTTTAATAGGGACAAACAACTTGGTATAGCCCCTATTTTTTTTGCTTTTTCTTGTGCTACTAGTTGATATACTTCTTTAAGAATATCTAATTGGCTATAATGTTTTGCCCTGGAAAGTGACTTTAAATTGATTCTCAAAGTGTTCTATAAGCCATATTTAAATCTGAAAGGATAAAACCTCAGTAAAGACTCCAAGGCTGATGTCATTTTCTAATTTGGCACCTAGACATTTGGAAGTCCCACCCTCTGTGAAACAAGTCATCGACTTTCATTGTTGGTAGCCAGCTCTTCATTTACAGCTCTGAGAAAATGCATGCCAAGTTTTATAGCTTCGTAAATAAATCAAAAAGCATCTTAAAAAAAAAAGACTATATGAAAGGCATTCCAAACTAATGGATATATCAAATATTTATTGATCACCAAGTTTTATTTATTGAGCATCTACTGTGCTAGACAGATGTTTCTACTCTTGAAATGAATAAGTACACTAAGTTTGGCTAGGCAGCAGAAAACTTGATCTTGTATCCACTCTCTGTAAAATGTGTTCTCTAGTGGTGCAGAGAAACAGCCTAGGACTTGGGGATGAGAGGATTAGGGTGTTGCTTTTAACTGTTACTGGACAATGTGTTATACTGGGGAAGTTAATCTCCTGACTCTTCGGTTTCTTCTCTGAAAAGTGAGGTAGTTGGTGTGGATGCCCCTCTATGTATCTTCCACACATTCTTCCAAATGAAGGGAAGGGACAAATGTGGAACGCGATATTCAAGACAGATTTTATGCCAAGCATGTTAGCTCACGCCTGTAATTCCGGCACTTTGGGAGGCCGAGGTGGGTGGATCACTTGAGGTCAGGAGTTTGAGACTAGCCTGGCCAACATGGTGAAACCCCGTCTCTACTAAAAATACAAAAATCAGCCAGGCATGGTGGCAGGCGCCTGTAATCCCAGCTACTTGGGAGGCTGAGGCAGGAGAATTGCTTGAACTCGGGAGGTGGAGGTTGCAGTGAGCCGAGATCCTACCACTGCACTCCAGCCTGGGCAACAGAGTTGAGACTCTGTCTCAAAAAAAAAGAAAAAAAAGAGAGACTTTGTGGGGAATATGAGGCTTGACGAAGTCCATTGAAGGATTTAGAAGCCTGGGAAGCAAGCAGTGTGTCTGGGCATAGCTAAATTGGTTCCTGCTGCTAGGTATGTGATTACTTTTCGTTTATGGCATATAATAAATAACTACAAAGCTAAGATAATGTATATATTTACCTACTTCCTTGGGAAGACAAGTTTGAAAGATGCTTCAGGTGATTTGAGGATGAGAAAAGATGGCATATTAAAATATATTATTATCATTATTAGGTACTTATCACTAGGTTTTTCTTTTTGTTTTTGAGATAGGGTCTGGCTCTATCGTCCAGGCTGGAGTGCAGTGGCACAATCTTGGCTCACTGCAGCCTCCACCTCCTGGGCTCAAACCATCCTCCCATCTCATCCTCCCAAGTCAGTAGCTGGGACTACAGGCACACGCCACCACATCTGGTTAATTTTTGTATTTTTAGTAGAGAGGGGTTTTTGCCATGTTGCCCAGGCTTGTCTTGAACTCCTGAGCTCAAGCGATCCACTCGCCTTGGCCTCCCGAAGTGCTGGGATTACAGGCCTGAGCCACTGCGTCTGCCCTTATCACTAGGTTGGTTGGTTGGTTTGTTTTTGAAAATGTATCAACTCAGGTTAAAAGTAAAACAGAATAACTCATTGGTTATAATCACACACACAAAAATTCATAAATCTGGACATGATCTTTGAATTAGATTCCTGACAAATATGTTTTAACTACTGGCTCTCCTGGGGGAAAAATAGACTGGTCTCTAGTGTTTGCTGATTTCCATGGTGTAAATACTCCCATCATGGCTGATTTCAAGCTATCAACCTGAAATCACTGAACCAGAGTTGGGAAGACATGTGTACAATCAATTCTAGTGAGATGGTGCTAGAAGACTGTAGCACACCGCCACTGTATATAAAGTATGCATAAGGAATATATTTATATTACCTTTCTTTCTGAACCATTTGAGGATAAGTTGCAGGCATAATGCACCTTTTACCCCTAAATATTTCAGCATGTACTTCTTTTTTTTTTTTTTTTTTTTTTGAGACGGAGTCTTGCTCTGTTGCCCAGGCTGGAGTGCAGTGGCGCGATCTCAGCTCACTGCAAGCTCCACTTCCTGGTTCACGCCATTCTCCTGCCTCAGCCTCCTGAGTGGCTGGGACTACAGGCTCCCGCCACCATGCTCGGCTAATTTTTGTATTTTTAGTAGAGACGGGGTTTCACCGTGTTAGCCAGGATGGTCTCGATCTCCTGACCTTGTGATCTGCCTGCCTTGGCCTCCCAAAGTGCTGGGATTACAGGCGTGAGCCACTGT
Source organism: Homo sapiens (assembly GCF_000001405.40). NCBI lineage: Eukaryota > Metazoa > Chordata > Mammalia > Primates > Hominidae > Homo > Homo sapiens. The sequence continues at coordinate 123,945,875 of NC_000023.11, forward strand.
GCCCGGCCCAGCATGCACTTCTTTTTTTTTTTTTTTTTTTGAGACGGAGTCTCGCTCTGTCGCCCGGACTGGAGTGCAGTGGCGTTATTTCAGCGCACTGCAAGCTCCGCCTCCCGGGTTCAGGCCATTCTCCTGCCTCAGCCTGCCAAGTAGATGGGACTACAGGCACCCACCACCACGCCCGGCTAATTTTTTATATTTTTAGTAGCGACGGGGTTTCACCATGTTAGCCATGATGGTCTCTATCTCCTGACCTTGTGATCTGCCCGCCTCGGCCTCTCTGGGATTACAGGCATGAGCCACCGCGCCCGGCCTGTACTTCTTAAGAATAAAGATATCCTCCTACATAACCACAATGTAATTGTCAAAATCAGGAAATTAACACTAATTCAGTATTATTAGTCCAGGCATGGTGGCTCATGCCTGTAATCCCAGCACTTTGGGAGGTCAAAGCAGATGGATCACTTGAGGTCAGGAGTTTGAGACCAGCTTGGCCAGCAAAGTGAAACCCTGTCTCTACTAAAAATACAAAAATTAGCCAGGTGTGGTGGCACACACCTGTAATTCCACTACTTGGGAGTCTGAGGCACAAGAATGGCTTGAACCCGGGAGGTGGCGGTTGCAGTGAGCCGAGATAGTGTCATTGCACTCCAGCCTGGGTGACAGAGCAAGACTCCATCTCCAAAAAAAAAAAAAAAAAAAAAGTTTGGTCCAGAATCTAATCTGGTACTGTCTATATATTTGAGATAAATGTATTTTCTCAGAAGTTTCTATCCTTAGCACTCTTTTACTTTGCAAACCTCCACTCATCCTCTCTTCACACCTCTTAATCTTTCCACAAGCAGTTCTAGCATTAATTTCTAGTGTCTAACATTAGAAGTGCTATCAGCATATAACAGTAAACTTGCTACCAATGATAGACATCAAATGCTGATAGTAGTGATAGTGTTTTAATTCTGTTTCTTTTTTCCATTTTTTTTTTCCTTTTTGCTTTTGCTGATTTTCCTTTTTTATTGACCACCATGGCTAAGGCCAATAGTGTTTGAATTTTACTTAATGTTGGTAGTTACAGTAGCAAATACTTCACTTAAACTTAAATAGTCTTTATTGTCATTAATATGAGTGTCCTCCTTAATTATTAATATGACCTTGGCTTTATAAGCTTGTATGTGTACCAATAAAAGAGAGTCTTGTTGGAGGTTCTGGGCAATATTAATTTTAACTAAATCACTTTCAGCAATATAGGGAAAGAGCCAAAAAATATTTGTTTTTGGGGGTAGGGTTTATTTTTTCTGTTAACAACAATGCTTCTGTTTCTGTAAGTCTGAGTTGATAGGTCTGCTTGTGGCTTGATAAATGTTTTGTTGTTTATTAAAAGTTTGCACTGAGGCCGGGTGTGGTGGCTCACGCCTGTAATTCCAGCACTTTGTAAGGCCGGGGCAGGCGGATCACGAGGTCAGGAGTTTGAGACCAGCCTGACCAACATGGTAAAACCCCGTCTCTAGTAAAAGTACAAAAATTAGCTGGGCATGGTGGCGCACGCCTGTAATCCCAGCTACTTAGGAGGCTGAGGCAGGAGAATCACTTGAACCCAGGAGGCAGGGGTTGCAGTGAGCCGAGATCATGCCACTGCACTCCAGCCTGGGTGACAGAGCAAGACTCTGTCTCAAAAAAAAAAAAAAAAAAAAAGAAAGAAAAAAAAGTCTGCACTGAAAAAATAATGCAAATGTCATTTGTCTACACAAACTAACCCTATGACATGTTTACTTAATACAGATAACTAGCATCAATGGCAGTGTTAAGTCATGATATAATTAGTTCCTGATAGGAAACAATTATTTTGGCTAGTATTTCTCAAATGATTTAGGCAGAAGGTAGTTTTTCCTTGAAATTTCCAGATATTCATAAGTTTCAACTTTGCTTCCATGGAGACACCACCATTCAGTGAAGGCTGTGCCTCTATATGCAAAAGTACACAAAAAAAGAAAACTGAATGGATTATCAAAAAAGACAAAATGAAGTTGTTCACTGTAGTTACCATCTTGTTTCAGGCTAAAAAGCATATATACCTCATCTAAACCCTGGCTACATTTTCACTGCCACTGCTTAGTTTGGCCGCATCACTTCTTAGACTGTGTATCTCTTTCCAGTGCATCACGCAGATCGACATCTTTCTAAAATGTCAATCTGAATATGTAGCTTCCATGGCTCTCTATTGCCTATGGGATGCCAAAATCCTTCCTCAGCACTGCATACAAGGGCACTCTATGATTGGGCTCTTGCTTATGTCTCCAGCACAAACTTCTCCAGTTCTTTGTTTTAGTATTTCAAATTATTTATTTATTTTTTAAGAGGTAGCGTCTTGCTCTGTTGCCCAGGCTGGAGTACAGTGGTGTGATCATACCTCACTGCAACCTTGAACACATGGGCTCAAGTGATCTTCCTGCCTCAGCCCCAGTTATTATATATATATATATATATATATATATATATTTTTTTTTTTTTTTTAATTTGAGACAGGGTCTCACTTCCATTGGCCAGGTTGGAGTGCAGTGGCAAGATCACAGCTCACTGCAGCCTCGATTTCCTGGGCTCAGGTCATTCTCCCACCTCAGCCTCTCGAGTTATCTGGGACTACTGGCATGCACCACCCCACCTGGCTAACTTTTTGTATTTTTAGTAGAGATGGGGTTTCGCCATGTTGCCCAGGCTTCAGTTCTTTTAGTAGAAATCCCTGCCCTCCATTTTCTAGGTGTTAGCTAAATTAACTACTTGTAGTTCCAGGAGGAGATGGGCTCTCTGTTTTGATTTCCCATTCCTTTGTTCATACTCTTCCCTGGGCAAAGCTATCTTTTGTTTGCCTAATGAAGACTATGTCACTTTAATGCTTTTTAAAATTTTATTTTTAAAATAATTTTAATAGAGATGGGAGGTCTCACCATGTTGCCCAGGCTGATCTTAAACTCCTGGGCTCAGACGATCCTCCTGCCTCGGCCTCTCAAAGTGCTAGGATTACAGGCGTGAGCCACTGTGCCTAGTTCATCATTTGAGCTCTTACCATCCTTTTCTGACTCCCGACTCCAGAATCCTTTTCTGACTCTTGCCCACATTCTCCTTTGTGTGCACATTCTACTTTTGTCAATCTTCTATAATAGCACCTACAACACTTGATTGAATTTCTTTGATCCCGACTATCTTTTCTTAATAGGTTGCAAGCTCTTTAAGGTCAAGAGTTGTGAATTACAGTCCTCCCTCTGTATCCATGGGTTCCTCATTCTTGGATTCAGCCAACTGTCGATCAAAAATATTTGAAAAAGGCCGGGCGTGGTTGCTCACGCCTGTAATCCTAGCACTTTGGGAGGCCGAGGCAGGTGGATCACGAGGTCAAGAGATCAAGACTGTCCTGGCCAACCTGGTGAAAACCCTGTCTCTACTATAAATACAAAAATTAGCTGGGCATGGTGGTGCATGCCTGTAGTCCCAGCTACTCAGGGGGCTGAGACAGAAGAATCGCTTGAACCCAGGAGGCGGAGATTGCAGTGAGCCGAGATTGCGCCACTGCACTCCAGCCTGGGCGACAGAGCGAGACACTGTCTCAAAAACAAAAGCAAAAGCAAAAACAAAAAAAAACAACAAAAAAGAAAATAATACAAATTAAAAAACCAATACAGTAGAACAATTGTATTGTGTGTGTATATATATATGTAGTATTTACATTGTATTAGGTATTATAAGTAATATAGAGATGATTTAAAATATGTGGGAGAATGTGTGTAGGTTATATGCAAATACTGTGCCATTTTATATTAGGGACTTGAACATTTTGATATTCTGGGGGGATCCTGGAACCAACCTCCCTTGGATATGGAAGGATGACTATATTCATTTTTCTATGACCAGCCCATAGAATACTGTGTGGCTGGCTGGCAGAAGGCACTCAGTAAATACTGTTGAATGAAGAACAATTTTAATCAGAATTATCTGGATAGCCACTGTTCAATGTGGTAGCCACTAGTCACATGTGGCCATTTACATTTAAATTTGAATGAGTTAAAATTAAAAGAAATAAAAAATTCAGTTCCTCAGTTGCACTAGCCACATTTCAAGTGCTCAGTAGCTACATGTGACTACCATGCTAGATTAACACAGGTTATAGAAATTGCCATCCTTGCAAAAAGTTCTAAAAGTGCTGATTTAGATAATTATTTCTTCTCCTATTTCAATATAATAAACATGTATTACCAGCCTGGGCAACAAAGAAAGATCCCCATCTCCACAAAAAATTTAAAAACAAAATTAGCTGGGCACGGTGGTGTGCGCCTGTAATTCCAGCTACTTGGGAGGCTGAACTGGGAGGATCACTTGAGCCCAGGAGTTCCAAGTTGCAGTGAGCCATGATTGCACCACTACACTCCAGCCTGGGTGACAGAGCAAGACCCTGTCTCATAAAAAAGAGTTACTGATTTTCTATATGTCAACATTTGTGCTAGGCACAGTGGTTATAGCAAATGTGAACAAAACATTATTACTACTATAATTATTATTTGCAAGGCAGCCAAAATCTGGTAGGGAGAAGACTTCCAAACTCAAAGAGATAATTTCCCAAGGGGACAGCAGGGGAGGCTTTATGGAGACATTTTCATTTAAACCGGGCACTCAAGGATGAAGAGAATTTGAATGGAGGAAATATACAGAGGCGGGAAAGTTCATGGAAAACAGCAAGAATTTTATTTTATTTTTTGAGATAGGGTTTTGCTCTGTCACCTAGGCTGGAGTGCAGTGGCACGATCACAGCTTATTGCAGCCTTGACTTCCCGGGCTCAAACGATCTTCCCACCTCAGCCTCCCAGTAGCTGGGACCACAGGTGCGCATCACCATGCCCAGCTAATTTTTTAATTTTTAAATTTTTTTTTGAGACAGAATCTCGCTGTTATCCAGGATGGAGTGCAGTGGCGCGATCTCGGATCACTGCAACCTCTGCCTCCCAGGTTCAAGCAATTCTCCTGTCTCAGCCTCCTGAGTAGCTGGGACTACAGGTGCACGCCACCACGCCCAGCTAATTTTTTTTCTTTTTGTTTTTTTGAGACGGAGTCTTGTTCTGTTGCCCAGGCTGGAGTGCAGTGGTGTAATCTCTCCTCACTGCAACCTCCGCCTCCCGGGTTCAAGCAGTTCTCTGCCTCAGCCACCCGAGTAGCTGGGATTACAGGCACCTGCCATGACGCCCGGCTAATTTTTGTATTTTTAGTAGAGATGGGGTTTCACCATGAGGCCAGGCTGGTCTTGAACCCCTGACCTTGTGATTCACCCACCTTGGCCTCCCAAAGTCCTGGGATTACAGGCCTGAGCCACCGCGCTCAGCCTAATTTTTGTATTTTTAGTAGGGATGGGGTTTCACCATATTGGTCAGGCGCCCAGCTAATTTTTGTGATGCAGTTTCACCATGTTGGCCAGGCTGGTCTCGAACTCCTGACCTCAAGTGATCTGTCTGCCTGGGCCTCCCAAAGTGCTGGGATTATGGATGTGAGCCACTGTTCCTGGCCTAATTTTTAATTTTTTTTTGGAGATGGAGTCTCGCTCTGTTGCCCAGGCTGGAGTGCAGTGCACTGCACCTCCGCCTCCTGGGTTCAAGCAATTCTCCTGTCTCAGCCTCCCAAGTAGTTGGGACTACAGGCACCCACCACCACGCCCAGCTAATTTTTGTATTTTTAATAGAGATGGGGTTTCACCATGAGGCCAGGCTGGTCTTCAACTCCTGACCTTGTGATCCACCTGCCTCGACCTCCCAAAGTGCTGGGATTACAGGCATGAGCCACCATGGCTGACCTAATTTTTGTATTTTTAGTGGAGACGGGGTTTCACCATGTTGGCCAGGCTAGTCTTGAGCAATCCTCCTGCCTCAGCCTCCTAAAGTGCTGGGATTACAGGCATGAGTCACGGTGTCCAGCCTGCAAGTAATTTAGTTTGCTTTGAATGCATGGCATAATGAACAGGGAGTAGCTGTTTGTTCATTCATTCCTTCAATCATTCAACAAATATTTTTTGAGCACCTATCCTATTTCAGGCTCTATACTAAGGGCTAAGGATGCAACAATGAACGTTACCTCAGCAGAGTTCACTGTTATGAGATTTGGATACGACTGTGGAATGCACTGAAAACTACCCTAAAGAGTTTGTACTTGGTTCTTCAGATCCTCACTGCGCAAACTGTGGACTTTAGACCAGCAACCTGGGAGTGTACCGGAAGTTTGTTAGAAATGCAAAATCTCAGCCAGGCAAGCGTGGTGGCTCGCGCCAGTAATCCCAGCACTTTGGGAGGGCAAGGCAGGTGGATTGCTTGAGCCCAGGAGTTTGAGACTAGCCTGGGCAACATGGCGGAAATCCTGTCTCTTAAAAAAATGCAAAAAAATATTAGCTGAGTATGGTGGCAGGCGCCTGTAGTCCCAACTACTTGGGAGGCTGAGATGGGAGGATGGCTTGAGCCCAGAAGGCAGACGTTGCAGTGAGCCAAGATTGTGCCATTGCACTCCAGCCTGGGCAACATAGTGAGACCCTGTTTCTACAAAAACAAAACAAAAAAACAAATCCAAAGTCTTAGGTTCTGCCCTAGCCACAAACTTACAGAATCAGAATTTGCATTTCAGCAAGATCCTTAGGTGATTCTTATGCACATTAGTGTTAGAGGAGCATTGTTGTAGGCCAACTAAGACAATAAGAGAGTATGTACATTGGTCACTAAGTTAAAAAAAAAAGAAAAAAGAGCATGTAAATGAATGAGCCAGAGTAAGCAAGAAAGTAAGAGAGCTAGTAAGCATGCACAAAAATAAGGAAGTAATCTAATCAGGATTGGATTGGATGTGAAAGAAACCGGACATGGGACTATTACTGTAGTTAGATGAGAAGTGGAAGGGGTTAGATGTGAGAGATAGAATCTTTTGTAAAAAGATAGAGCGGGCCGGGCGCGGTGGCTCATGCCTGTAATCCCAGCACTTTGGGAGGCCGAGGTGGGTGGATCACAAGGTCAGGAGTTCAAGACCAGCCTGACCAAGATGGCGAAACCCCGTCTCTACTAAAAATACAAAAAAATTAGCCGGGCGTGATGGTGGGCGCCTGTAATCCCAGCCACTCGGGAGGCTGAGGCAGAGAACTGCTTGAATCCGGGAGGTGGAGGTTGCAGTGAGCTGAGATCGCGCCACTGCACTCCAGCCTGGGCGACAGAGCGAGACTCGTCTCAAAAAAAAAAAAAAAAAAATAGAGCTTTGGCTGGCTAACATGGTGAAACCCTGTCTCTACTAAAAATACATTAAAAAAAAAATTAAAAAAAAAATTAGCCAGGCGTGGTGGCAGGCGCCTGTAGTCCCAGCTACTTGGGAGGCTGAGGCAGGAGAATGGCATGAATCCGGGAGGCGGAGCCTGCAATGAGTCGAGATCACGCCACTGCACTCCAGCCTGGGCGACAAAGTGAGACTCCGTTTCAAAAAAAAAAACAAAAACAACAACAAAAAAAGATAGAGCTTTGGTTCCATTAACTCATACTGGGAACATTGCATATCATTCAAAGTAAAAAAAAATCAGCAAATCTAGTAACAGGGTATTTAAGATGTCTTAAAAGGTGCCAGTTATTTGTTTTAGACAAGGCTTATTGGTATGTCTATTTCCTGTTAACGCCACAGGTCCAAGGTCTATTTCTAAGTATTGCAGCATCAAGCCCTTAATCATGTAAGTTCACACAGGGGTAATGATAAGGATCTTGGAAATTAAGTCATTATATCCAAGTTTACAAAAAGCTGATTTGTAAACCAGAAATTCAATTTATTAATTTGCAATAGAGTAATTATCTTTCCACTAACCAGAGAATTTTTTCAGTTATTACCACTGTCATTTTTTTTTCTTTTCTTTTTTTTTTTTTTTTTTGAGATAGGGTCTCACTCTGTCTTCCAGGCCGGAGTGCAGTACTGCAATCTCGGCTCACTGCAGCCTTGACTTCAAGCGATCCTCCACCTCCAGGGCTCAAACCAGCCTCCCACCTCAGCCTCCAGAACAGCTGGGACTACAGGAGCATGCTACCGCGCCTGGCTAGTCTCAAACTCCTGGACTCAAATGATCCTCTCACCTCAGCCTCCCAAAGTGTTGGAATTACTGGCATGAGCCACCATGCCCAGCCCCAGTGTTAAATTTTTTATTACAACTTTTTATTTTGAAATAGTTTAGGACTATTTTATTTTGAAATAGTTTAGTTTGCTACAAGAAGTAGCAAAAATAGTAGACAGAATTCCCACGTACCCTTCACAAAGCTTTGCCCCAATAGCACCTTGTCAAATCCAGGAAATTGACAATCGATACAACACTATCAACTCAAGTGCAGACCTTATTTGGATTTCACCAGGTTTTTTCATGTACTTATGTGTGTGTATTTGTAGTTCTCTAAAATTTTATCACCTGTAGATTTGAGTAACCATCACCAAAATCAGGATGCACAATTGTTCCATCACCACAAAAAAATCTCTCGTGTTACCCCTTAATACTCAGTCTTTTCCCAACCCTAATCCTTGCCAACCACTGATCTGTCCTCCATAACTATAATTTTTCATTTTGATAATATCATATAATGGAATCATTGTAACTCTGATTTTTTTCCCACTAAGCATAATGCCCTTCAGATCCATGTAAGTTTTTTGTATGTATTAAGTTTATTTTTATTTTTATTTTTTTTGAGACAGAGTTTCGCTCTTGTCGTCCAGGCTGGAGTGAAGTGGCACAATCTCGGCTCACTGCAACCTCCGCTTCCTGGGTTTAAGCAATTCTCCCATCTCAGCCTCCCGAGTAACTGGGACTACAGGTGCCTGCCACCATGCCTGGCTAATTTTTGTATTTTTAATAGAGACGGGGTTTCACTATGTTGGCCAGGGTGGTCTTGAACTCCTGACCTAGGGTGATCCAACTGCCGTGGCCTCCCAAAGTGCGAGGATTACAGGCATGAGCCACCGTGCCTGGCCAATAGTTTCTTTTTATTGCTGAATAGTATTCCATTCCCTGATGGAACCAGTTTGCTTAACCATTCACCAGGTGATAGATATTTTGGTTGTTTTCTGTTTTTGGCTATCACAAATAAAAGCTGCTATAAGTACTTGTGTGCAGGTTTTTGTGTAAACATAAATTTTAATTTCTTTGGGATAAATGCTCAGGAATGAGATTGCTGGGTCAGATGGTAAGTATGTATTTAACTTTGTAGGAAAGTGCCAAACTGTTTTCTGGGGCAACCAGTATAAGATCTTAAAACTTCCATAAGTAATACATGCTCACTGTAAAAAAAAAAAAAAAAAGAATAAAATAAGGTGGAAATATATAAAACGAAAAGTAAAATGACAAGTCATGGAACTGTACTGCCTCTTTCCTGAGTAGTAACTGTTGTTAGGTTTCCTGTATATTCAAGAATGTTTTGGCTGGGCGTGGTGGCCCATGACTGTAATCCCAGAACTTTGGGAGGCTAAGGCAGGAGAATTTCTTGAGATCAGGAGTTTGTAACCAGCCTGGGCAACATAGTGAGATGCCGTCTCTATCAAAAAAATGTTTTATGCATATGCAAGCAAATACATGTGTATATAAATATATATATATTCCAAAATGTGATCACAGTATACAGGTAATTGCAACTTGATTTTTTCTCATAACTTAGACATATTTTTTTTTTTTTTTGAGACAGAGTCTCGCTCTGTTGCCCAGGCTGGAGTGCAGTGGCATGATCTCGGCTGACTGCAAGCTCTGCCTCCCGGGTTCACTCACGCCATTCTCCTGCCTCAGCCTCCCGAGTAGCCGGGACTACAGGCGCCCGCCACCACGCCCGGCTAATTTTTTTGTATTTTTAGTAGAGACAGGGTTTCACCGTGTTAGCCAGGATGGTCTCGATCTCCTGACCTCGTGATCCACCCACCTCGGCCTCCGAAAGTGCTGGGATTACAGGTGTGAGCCACCGCGCCCGGCCCATATTTGCAATATTAATAAATATATACTTGTTTTAATGGTGGGCATAGGACTATTGTATGCCCACCATTATCCAATGTATCTATTGTATGGATGTATTATAATTTCTTTACTCAGTCCCCTGATGATGACCATTTCTATTGTTGTCAGTTTCTATTACAAAGCTATAATGAAAATCTTTCTATATATATTTCTTTATAATTTGTATGAGCATATCTGTATGGTAAACTCCTAGAAATGGAATTGCTAGATCGATTTTACATTTAACTGCTCCGAGATACTTTCAACTTTTTCTCCAGTTTTTAAAATTTTTGTAGAGATGGGGTTTTGCTATGTTGCCCAGGCTGGTCTCAAACTCCTGGGCTCAAGTGATTCTCCTGCCTTGGCCTTCCAGTGTTAGAATTGCAGATGTGAGCCACTGCATCCGACCTTTTAAAAATTTTTATTTTTCAGTTTTTTTTTAAAATTTACTCTCCCCTCAATGATATATGAGAGTTCTCAGTTCTTTACCAACACTAAGTATTATCAACATTTTAAATCTCTGGCAATCTGGTAGGAGAGTTTGTATTTAATTTGCATTTATTTTATTTTATTATTTTTTTGAGACAGAGTCTCGCTCTTTCGCCCGGCTGGAGTGCAGTGACACGATTTAAGCTCAGTGCAACCTCTGCTTCCTGGGTTCAAGAGATTCTCGTGCCTCAGCCTCCTGAGTAGCTGGGACTACAGGTGAGCTACCACGCTCAGCTAATTTTTGTATTTTTAGTAGAGACGGGGTTTCACCATATTGGCCAGGATGGTCTCGAGTGATCTGCCCGCCTCGGCCTCCCAAAGTGCTGGGATTACAGGCGTGAGCCACTGCGCCCGGCCTTAACTTGCATTTCTTAGTGGCAAATGAAGTTGAGCACTATTTTATGTATGTATTAGCCATCTGTATTTCTTATTTCTTTTTTTTCTTTTTTTTATTTTTGAGAAGGATTCTCGCTCTGTCGCCCAGGCTGGAGTGCAGTGACACTATCTCGGCTCACTGCAACCTCCGCCTCCTGGGTTCAAGCGATTCTTCTGCCTCAGCCTCCTAAGTAGGTGGGACTACAGGTGTGTGCCACCATGACCATCTAATTTTTTGTATTTTTAGTAGAGACGGAGTTTCCTTGTGTTAGCCAGGATGGTCTCGATCTCCTGACCTTGTGATCCGCCCGCCTCGGCCTCCCAAAGTACTGGGATTACAGGCGTGAGCCACCGCGCCCGGCCTAGCCATCTGTATTTCTTCTCCCACAAGTAGACTATATTCTTTGTCCACTTTTCTACTGGAGTTTTAAATTTTACCATATTGATTTTGACAGTTCTCCGTATCTTGAAGAAATTAGCTTTTTTCATCCATATAGCAAACATTTTCTCACAGTTTCTAGTTTATCTTTTGACTTTGTTTCTGGTGTCTTGGTATACATAATTTTTTAATTTCTGTGGACTTAAATTTATTTATCTACTTTTAGGTTTCTGGGTTTTATGTTTAGAATGGTGTTTAAAAATATAAAAAATGGGCTGGCGCGGTGGCTCACGCCTATAATCCCAGCCCTTTGGGAGGCCAGGCGGGCGGATCACGTGTGGTCGGGAGTTGAAGACCAGCCTGACCAACATGGAGAAACTCCATCTCTACTAAAAATACAAAAATTAGCTGGGCGTGGTGGCGCTTGCCTGTGATCCCAGCTTACTCAGGAGGCTGAGGCAGGAGAATCGCTTGAACCCTGGAGGTGGAGGTTGCAGTGAGCTGAGATCGCACCACTGCACTCCAGCTTGGGTGACAGAGCGAGAGTTTGTCTCAAAAAAAAAAAAAAAAAAGAAAATAAAATAAAATATAAAATATATATATATGCTGTCCAGAGGAGAAGACTATCTGGAAAACCTAATTTATAATCAGAAGTCTGTTCCATTTGCATGGAGTTAAAGCAAAGAGATCTGTGGGATGTTTTAGTCCGTCTATGGTAAACCTGGAGGATTATCTTTGTTGTACTGTGGCATATGAATTTCTTGTGACCAGAACATTTCTGCATCAAATAGTGTCTTGCCTTTTATATAGTATCAGAGGTTTGTAAGTTTTAACTATTCAACTCTCCTTTTTCACTATTTCTTATTAGGCACCCAAAGCTTCTGCCTTTACAATATTATCTCATAAAGGACATGTTACAAACAAGATTAAAATTATTTTCCATCAGTTATTTCATTTTTCATTATTTCATATTTCGTTTGATGGCATTTTCTCCCTTTGTCCTCACATTCAAAGGGTGAATTGTTTATATTTTTCAGTACCCCATGAAATAAACTCCACTTCTTATGATAGGACTGGGGCACCTAGCATTCTGTACATATTGAAGTCTTGATAAGTATTTTTTTGAAAGAGCTCTAACAAAAAAAATGGTTACTGTAAAATATTCTTAAATATTAGTAAAAATTTGCTACAACATTTATTTCTGATGTTATACCAGTTTGTTATTAATCTTCAGTGGTATTTTTCACAAAATCAGAGCTAATTTGCTAAACAGAAGAACTTTTCAGTTTTGTTCTAAGCATAAAATTGTTTAAAATCTCAGTTGCTACATAGATAATTAACTGAGAATACAAATTTATAAAATAGATAAAAAACTATTTGTACCATGTACCATAAATGTGATGTTTGGAGCAGAAAATCAGTAGTTTTCAGCTAATACTAAGACAGGAAATCATTTAATATCAATTGAGATTAAATTGGCACAATTGAACTAAATTAATGTAAAAATGACTTGGTACACGGCCCAATTTTTCTATTACTTCAAGTGGAATTTTGCATTAACTTATATAACTCTGTAAATTTTCCACTACTCTCTATTTAATGTTCTAGCTGCATCATTCTGTAACTTGAATCTATTAAAAACTGTATAGCATTCTACCAAAGATGGTCTATAAAAGAAATGGAAATTTATTTTGAATAGTATTCCACTCTCCAGAGCTTTAGAGGTAAGTAAAAATGTCTCAGATTTTACTTCTTGTTATTGATATTCAGATGTTTCTGTTTAACTTTTATTGTCCAGTTGATTAAATATACTATAACTCTTTTTGTAAAGTTGCAGAAAAAACAATAAGCACAGAGGATGGGAGAGAAACTAACAAGAGATATGGAAGGAATATAATTTAAGGACTGAAAATAATCGTTATATTACATTAGGAATGTTTCAGAAGTGATATCGGGGTGAAAGCTTCATGATTTACACGGGGCTCACCCTATTTCTCAGTTGGAAAATTTGTTTTGTTATTAATACGTTTTATTTCTTTTCTTCTAATTGAAATGTAATTTAATATTTAAGAAATATTTTAACCAAAATTTCAAAAATGGAACAGAAACGAAGACTTCTTAAGCAAACACTATTTTATGAATCTACGAACTTCTATAACAGCAATGGAGACACTGCAATAGGTCACTTCTTCCTGTCCAAGGAAAAAGCGGCGCTTTGGAGGGGATAGGCCCTCCTCGAGTTTTTCTCCCCCGAGTAAAGAGCTCTTGGCGGTCAAAGGTCCAATACACTGGATTCGAAACAAACAAAAAAAAAGGGTGACAAAGATTTTAGTTAACAGGGGTCGGAGGAGCAGAAAGGGTCTTTTCGCACTTCAAACATCTTGGGGGAGGGATGGGAAGGCAGGATGCGAAGTAACCTAAATTCCCAACCATTTCGCGTGGTTGCACCCGCCCAGGAAGGCAGTGGATGCGCGGGGGAGGCGGGGTAGGTCCCCCTCCACTCCTTTTGCCCAAATTTCGATTTCCCTCCACTTCGCTCGGTCCTATCTCTTCCCCCGCCCCGAGAGTGGCGAACAAATTGGTCGAGCGCCCGGCCTAGCCTAGTAGTCCAGTTCTTTAGGACTCCTAGAACCTGGAGATACAGACCACGTTTTCTCGGAGACGGGACCAGTGGGCTGTAAAGCAAAACAATTTTTCTTTCTTTTCCAGGGCTAGGTCTTACTGGTAGAGAATCAGCTCGCTCTCTCTCCACACCCGAAGCAAAAAGCAAAACAAAACCAACCCGTATTCCGCCCCCGATCTAGCCCAAGTAGCTCCATTAAACCATTTAGGATCAGGTGCCAGAGTTAAGCGACTTGGGTTCTTTTGGTGGGAAGGGGTAGGGACAAGGGGGCATCGAAGGTACGGGAACTAGGGCCACAGGCCCCTCACAGGGGTGTGTCAGAAGAGGGGACTTCGAAGGGTGATGCCCGACTGGGCTGCCACCTTAGCGCCTCGCGAGGGGCGGAGGGGCCCGGGGAACGAGTCCCGGAGCGAACCCAGCCAGCCTCTGGATTCCCACGGCCCAGGGCTCCGCCGGACATTCCTACCGCCCTCCCCTCGACACCCCACTAAAGACAGAAGAACCGCGGCTCGATCGGGTCCGCGGCGGAAGCGCGGCCAAACGAATGAGTAAGTCAGGCGCGGGCACGGCACCTTGTTTACCCCACTCGGCGGCGCGCCCCTGCGGGCGCCTGGTTTGCGGGCGGCGTCGGAGACGCTGAACCCGGGAGTCAGTCGGCCACGATTGGTCGGTGACTGGGAGGAGGACGCTGGGTGGGAGGGCTGGGAGCCAGGCGTTGCAGTGGCAACTCTCTGCCGCTAGATGCCGCTCCCTCCCAACGGGAGCCGGGCGCGGGTTCGTGGCCGACAGATGGCGCCTGCGCGTTCCATTCGCCTCCAAGTCGCCGAAGAGCGAACACCCCAAACAATCCCGAAGCGCCACCAAAAAAAAAAAAAAAAAAAAAAAAAAAAAAAAAAAAAAAAAGAAAAAAAACCCCGCCGGATCCGACCGCCACTTTCAAAACCCCCCACCGCTCTAGAACCGCGGGAGCTTCCGTCCCTGAGTAGAATTCGAGGGTGTAAAGAAGAGGAAGGGGAAAAATATCTTGTACCAGCCCAGGGGTGAAGAAGCCCCCGGCCTGAGAAAGAAGGAGGAGTGGGGGAGGCGAACAGTCTCGTTGCTGCCTCTGTGTACGCTGAGGGGGGAGGTAAGTTATAAAATGGCGGAGGCGAAGCTTCTAGAAGTTTGGAGGGGCACCCGGAGGGCGCTTGGCCCACCGTGAGGTGTGTATGATTGAAACAGGGCGAGAGAGAGGAGTTGGGAGGGAAAGAGGTTGGGCACTCTGTTGCCATTGAATTTCCCCTCTGCTTTCTTCGCCCCCATGGGGGGCAGCCATGGAACGGGGGGCAGAGTCCAGGCGGGAGGATCTTTCTCGCCCCCGCGGCGCCCCCCGCCCTCCTTTCTCCCTTCTCCCCCCAAGTCGCTACCCCAACACTTCCAAGGAACTTCCAGCCCCCCTTCCTCCCTACCTCCTACTCCTAGAGTGGCTTTCTACCGCAGGGCTCTTCTTTTCGACTACCCTCGCTGAAGATTTTCTCTTCCTTCCCTCGCCCAACTCTCCCTCGGGGCCTCTACGGAGACCCCCCCCCCCCATGGGTGGCCCAAAATGGAGAACGCGGAGCAGCGCAAGATGGAGGCTCCGCTTCTCTGTGTAGCAGTAGATTTAGGTTCCTTTTCTCCGGCAGGCTCCTAAGCCTAGGAGAGCCCGAACTGGAGGTGGGGTGGGGTGCGAGCCGTAGTCGGGGGAGGAAAGCCGGGAGGCTGTGGTTGGGGTGGGGGAGAGCGCGGTGTCGCGGTGAGGGGAAGGCAGAGAGCAAAATGGTGGTGCTGGGAACCTAGGGGGGAGGGGAGAAAGGAGGCTCAGTTGTGTATATTTGGGCCTCGGACCGAGGGAGGCGAGGGAAAATCTACTCTGATCACACCCCTCCCTCGTGCCCCCTCCCTTCTCCCTTCCCCTCCTCCCTTCCCTCCCTCCCCCCTCCCTCCCTCTCTTCCTCCCTTCCTAGAGAGGGAACAACATTCATGTGACGGGCCCCTCTGCTTCTCCCCCGCCCCATCATCTCCAGCGCGTGGTGGGGGAACTGCTGGGGAAGGCGATTGGCATCGATCTCTCCATCCCTTCCGAGGCCCGACTTCGGTCAGTTTTCTTCGGGCAACAATTTTCTAAATTGGCTGGGGTCTGGCGGTGTTGGCCCCCGCGCGCAGACCTTGCCCCGAAGGGGGCCCTGCCTGCCTGGCATGGGCGGAGGGGGGAAGGGCGGGAGTGGAAGGCTGTTTGTTGGGGGGTTTTGGCGCCACTTTTGTTTTAGTTTTAGTGCTGCTTTTCATTCCCACCCCCACCCGCACTGTCTTTCTCAAGGCACGAACTGAGCTGATCCTTGCCCCAGGTAGGCAGCCTGTGCGTTTTCACTCCACACTTTTATTCTTGCTCGGGGTCGACTTTCTTTTTTCTTCTCCCCTGGATCCGGAGATCTGCGGACGGCGATTTTGGGACGAAAAGGGTCGGATGGGCCGTGGGAGAGAGAAGGTGTGGGAAACAGCATCAAGTAGTTCCGCAAAACTTTGAGCCCCGTTCCCATTTTCTTTTGGCCTAGAATTGTGAACGTATTGTTGATTTCGGCCT
Organism: Homo sapiens; assembly: GCF_000001405.40. Classification (NCBI taxonomy): domain Eukaryota; kingdom Metazoa; phylum Chordata; class Mammalia; order Primates; family Hominidae; genus Homo; species Homo sapiens. The sequence continues at coordinate 123,962,343 of NC_000023.11, forward strand.
TTTTTTCCCCCCGTCGCGAGAATGTCTTGTTTTGCCTTTAGTTTTTTATAAACCGCTGTACTTTCGACATTTAGTTTCCGCTCCCCCTTGGTGCATATGTCATTTTATTTTTAATCCTTAACTGTAATGGGTTATCGTGTGATTTTCGTGCTTCAGTGCTCGGCTTTAATTTTTAATATTGTATTAGTAGTTTCATCCGGTTTGTGAGACTTTCTCTTCCGTGGCCTAGAATGTTTTTTATGTTGTTGCCTACCACCCCTCTTCCCTCTCCCTCCTTCTTTCTCTTGGATGTAGTTTTTAAATTGAGGGCCATGGTGTTGGATTAAATGGTAATTTACAGTTTACATGATATATCTATTGGAAACTTTTGATCTGTAAGGTTAGATTTAAAGTAAACGAGGCGCTTGTGTTGGTTTGCAATGGTTCCTTAAAATGCGCGGGCCACCCCCTTCTCCCACCATAAAGCCCCATCTTCCCTTCACACTGGAGTGTAAATTCCATACCCCTTTTCTCCCACGGACCGCCGTATTTCGCAGCAGCCACACCCTGTATTTGTCTCTGTGGATTGGACTCATTATCAGCTTAATTTAGTGACTCTTAAACCACCATGATGGGACTTGCTTAAGCACGAAGCTTCTTTTCCTGTTTAGTCCTAGTGGTTAGTGTCGAAAGAGGAATCATCGAGGTTTCTTGATGAAACCTAGTGCGGTCCAACCTCTGCCTTTTTTTCTGTTGTCTTTTTTCCTACTCCGGGCTGTTGGCGGTGTCAGCACCGCTGCTGGGGGCGGGGGTGGAGGGGAGAAAGAGTCGGGTTACCGAAGTGCGTCATTCCTGGCTCTAGCAGGGCCTGCTCGGGAGCTGCTGGTGTTTGTTACTGTCCTCGCAGCACTTTTCTGCCAACCTTCTCTCTCTGCGTATTGGTTAGGAGCAAAAGCAGGAGGCGGTCTCCTAATTCTGTCTGTAGCCTAGCGCGTTGCGTTTAAGGGTATATCTGAACTTATTTTGTTAAAAAAAAGGCTCTGGGAAGTGGATGCATTTGTTTAATGACATATAATTCAGGTAGTTTAGGCTTGCTCTCATATACTTTCCGATGAACAGTGGGGTTAATTTTCAACATTTTCAACCACTTAACGTTAAAATGCCTGGTTTTCTTTCTACATTGATATCAATCTATAATTAGGGATCAGAAGGACCAGTTTAAGGTATATAAGTGTTCAGCAGTTTTTCAAGTGGTTGAATTGCAGTTTTATGACACATTATGTTAAATAGTCGATTTTTTTTTTTCATTTTGAACTAAGGTGCCACGTTAAGTAAGTTAATTGCAGATGTTTAAGTTCGTTTTCATCACATTTCCCTATTTGTCTTTTTAGGTATAATTTTAAATATGCCCTTTGGGTTTATGGACTTCATTAAAATTCTTAAAGATGGTTATATCTTTGTGTTTAACTGAATTCTTAAATTTATCACCTACCAAAGAATTGTGTAAGGCGTAAGGCGGCTGTATAGTTACATTGTTGGATTTTGACTTAACATGCTAGTTTTTGATACTTTTGCTATCTTTGGGTAGAAGTGTACTTAGAGAACATAGTATCTTCCTCTTAATTCTTTTTGAAGATAATAATGAGAGGAGGGAGTGGGTAGGAGGTAGGTGTGAAGCAGAAGTGGCCTTGAGTTGATTATTGTAGCTGGATGAATACAGAAGCGCTCATTGTTACTATTATTCTCTCTACTTTTGTGCGTGCTGTTAAACATTTCCATAGTTTAAGATAAACTTTTTTTGCAGTAGAATTTCCAGATTGTCTTACAGTCTTGGGGGTAATGACTTAAGTTTATATTTACATGTCAAAATTACTTGCATAGGAAATTTAGCCTTGTGTAAGTGATTACACAATGCTTGGCAAAACTTTCAAAAAAAAAAAAACGTTTAAACGGGAACTAGTATAAAACAGGCAACATAAATACTTATAAATTGGTTGAACTTTAAATGTTTATAACTTAGCCTGAATGTGCTCTACTTTTAGTTTCCTTTTTAATTCTTTGAAAACAGGAAAATTCCATTTGCAATTTTTGTAAATTCTGCTTAGTGTCTATTTCATCAAGTTGGAGTTACAGTGAGTCAGTATGAAAGGGATTTACTATTAATAGGAGGGGCTTTGGCAGTTGCAGTAAGTGACAGTGGAAGGGATTGAGGTACCATAGGGAGCATTCCTGGTAGAAAGATCTAGGTAGCTGAATTCAGTTTCAGAATTTGGTGTTTAATGACTAGGTAGAGAAGTGGGTTGGAAAAGAAATGTACTTATTAGCTATTCCTTCCCACTGTGAAGTAACTATAGTATTCTAAGGTGTATCAGAGACTGGCAGAGAGGGTGGAGTGGGTTTTTTTTTTTTTAACTGATAAGAAAATGAGTGTTTACATTTAAAATGGTTTAAATCACCTCATGCCCCAAGGATCTGGTGCTATAACTAGTTAGAAGTTGATATGTAAAATATTTCAATATTGTCTGTTAACATTCTGACCATTACCCGTAAACAGTAAAAATGTGTTGCAATGACAATCCTTGGTCTCCCTTAATTAGTGCATTTGTGAACTGCTCCTAAATTCTATTAAGGTAAGTGCCTTTTTTTTTTTTTTTTTTGGCAGTTCTATACTGTTCAGTGTCAGGTTTATTTTTTTCCCCCAGGAGATACATTTTAAAAATACATGTCACAGTTCCGAAAGGAATCCAAAACAATGGATATTTAATTTATAGCAAAATTTCACCCCAATCTGGGAACAGACATTTTGTAACTGTTACCATTAGTCTGTTTGTGTATTTCATATTCAGGATTTTAGCTTTAGAAGGATGTTAAAGGAAAATAGGTGACATATTTCAAATTTTTATTCATATACAAATATTCTTAGTAGATGGTAAGGATTGTGGCATCAGATTTATTTTATTGTGGTGAGGCAATAGCTAAACTACTACACTAACACATGATGAGTTTGGTAACTTTCAAGTATATTTAGTTAGGATTTTTTAAAGCCCAAATGCTCAAATAAGATTTTCATGAAATCAAATTCTACATTTCTTTTTCAACTGTATTGACTTCTGCGGTCACCTGAGGACTTATGAATTAAAGTGAATGGGATGGGCTTGGGGGACAGGCTAAGGCTCAGATCTATTCCTTTGGGAATTTAGGGTTAGATGTGAAAATATGCAGTTTAGTAATGCTTAATATTGTGCATGTTTAACTGATACCACCCACAGTCATATGTGGGAAGGTAGTAAACAGAGAATAGCATAATCTTTCTGCTTCGGGTTCTTTATAATAGATGGCAGACTTCAGTTTTTGATGCTGCAAGTTGACTTTTGAACTTAAACCAAAATCGGCGGGGCACAGTGGCTCACACCTGTAATACCAACACTTTGGGAGGCTGAGAGGCTGAAGTGGGGGGATCACTTGAGCCCAAGGAGTTCAAGACCAGCCTGGGCAACATAGGGAGACCCCATGTTTATAGATAATTTAAAAATTAGGTGTGGTGGTGCACACCTGTGGTCCCAGCTATTTGGGAGGCTGAGGCAGGAGGATCACCTGAGCCCGGTACATAGAGGCTGCAGTAAGCCACGATTGCGCCACTGCACCCAGCCTGGGCAACAGAGCAAGACCCTGTCTCAAAAAAAAATTAAAAATAAACTAAAATGTACAGTTTACTATATAATGGAGTACCGTTTTGGGAGTTGGGGAGAATAGCGAGGGAGAGGGATAGTTTCAGGTATGGGCATCAGTATATACTGAAGTGTGATTGTTGGAGAGTAAGGAAGGAACTTTAAAGACATAGGCTATTTTAAAAGTTTTTGGCTGGGCACCATGGCTCACGCCTGTAATCCTAGCACTTTGGAAGGCTGAGGCAGGCGGATCATGAGGTCAGGAGTTCAAGACCAGCCTGGCCAACATGGTGAAACCCCCATCTCTACTAAAAATACTAAAATTAGCTGGACGTGGTGGTGCGCGTCTGTAGTCCCAGCTGCTTGGGAGGCTGAGGCAGGAGAATCGCTTGAACCTGGGAGGCAGAGGTTGCAGTGAGCTGAGATCGCGCCACTGCACTGTAGCCTGGGCGACAGCGAGACTCCGTTTAAAAAAAAAAAAAGTTCTTAACATTTTTCTGCATTGGCTACATGTTCAGGACTTTAGTTCGTGTTTCAGTACTGTCCCTGTGTAATAATTCTTTATGTTTCTGGGTATCATAAATGATGGTTATTGCGTGTTCTGATTGGCAAAGATATATGATAAAGCAAAATTATCAGTTTGATTTTTCAGTCTCTTGAGTTGACTGCTTTACGTTTAATTTACCCAAATTTTATATTTCTTCAGTGTAAGTGGTGTTGCTTAGTGGAGTCTAATTTTTGTTGATGTGCCTTTTAAAAATCTATGCATCTTCAGCAGCTGTGGTAATCTGCTACCTGAATTGTGTTTTTAATGTGTGCTTGCTATAGATCTTTGATACTCACCAGTAGACACCAAGAAGTCTTTACATATGGTTATTGTAGTAAGTCAAGAAGAGATTTATTTATTTTTTGAGACGGAGTTTTGCTCTTGTTGCCCAGGCTGGAGTGCAGTGGCATGATCTTGGGCTCCCTGCAACCTTTGCCTCCCGGGTTCAAGTGATTCTCCTGCCTCAACCTCCCAGTAGCTGGGATTACAGGTGTCCGCTACCACGCCCAGCTAATTTTTTGTGTTTTTAGTAGAGACAGAGTTTCACCATGTTGGTCAGGGTGGTCTCAAACTCCTGACCTCAGGTGATCCACCCACCACAGCCTCCCAAAGTGCTGGGATTACAGGCGGAGCCACCGTGCCTGGCCAAGAAGAGATTATTGAAATTGTTTTCCATTCCTTCTGCCGAAGAAAGAGAGGATGAATAATGTCAATGGTGTATTTTTTTTTTTTTTTTTTTTTTTTTTGAGACGGAGTTTTGCTCTTGTTGCCCAGGCTAGAGTGCAATGGTGCGATCTTGGCTCACTGCAACCTCCACCTACTGGGTTCAAGCGATTCTCCTGCCTCGGCCTCCCGAGTAGCTGGGATTACAGGCATGTGCCACCACACCGGGCTAATTTTGTACTTTTAGTAGAGACGGGGTTTTTTCCATGTTGGTCAGGCTGGTCTCGAACTCCCGACCTCAGGTGATCTGCCTGCCTCGGCCTTCCAAAGTTCTGGGATTACAGGCGTGAGCCACTGCGCCCAGCTGGCCTATTCTTTTTTATTACAGTCATGCATTGCTTAACGGCGGGCATACCTTCTGAGAAATGCATCTTTAGGTGATTTTGTTGTGTGAGCATCATACAGTGTACCTACACACACCTAGATGGAATAGCCTACTATACATCTATGCCATATGGTATGACCTGTTGCTCCTAGGCTACAATCCTGTACAGCATGTTGCTGTACTGAATATCGTAGGCAGTTATAATACAGTGGTAAGTATTTGTGTTTGAAAACAAAAAAGATACAATAAAAATACGGTATAAAAGAAAAAATAGTACACCTCTATAGGGCAGCTCCCTTATAATCTTATGGGACCACTGTCTTTTTTTTTTTTTTAGATGGAGTCTCCCTCTGTCGCTCAGGCTGGGGTGCAGTGGCGAGATCTTGGCTCACTGCAACCTCTGCCTCCTGAGTTCAAGCGATTCTCCTGCCTTAGCCTCTCAAGTAGCTGGGATTACAGATGCATGCCACCATACCCGGCTAATCTTTGTATTTTTGGTAGAGACGGGCTTTCACCATATTGGTCAGGCTGGTCTCAAACGCCTGACCTCGTGATCCGCCTGCCTCAGCCTCCCCAAGTGCTGGGATTACAGGCATGAGCCACTACACCCAGCTGGGACCACCGTCTTATATGCAGTCTGTTGTGGACTAAAATGTCATTATATGGCACATGACTGTATTTTAATTGGGAAATACATTACTAGGCTTGATGAGACAAACTAGGGAGATTTCAGTAAGCTCTGCCTAACTTAAGGGACCATTCAAAGGTAAAATTTCTTTGTAAGAAATAAGTTGGCTGGGCGTGGTGACTCACCCTCTGAATCCCAGCACTTTGGTAGGCCAAGGTGGGAAGATCTGTTGAGCCCAGGAGTTTGAGACCATCCTGGGCAACGTAGGGAGACCCCATCTCTACAAAAAAATTTAACAATTAGCTGGGTATGGTTGTGCAGCCTGTGGCCCCAGTTACTGGGGAGGCTGAGGTGGGAGGATCACTTGAGCCCCAGCAGGTTGAGCCTGCAGTGAGCCATGATCATGCCTTTGCACTTCAGCCTGGGCAAAAGAGTAAGACCCTATCTCAAAAAGTTGTTTAAATTCTGTTGTACATCGTTCAAGGGGGGTGAAAAACAAGTCCTATTTACATTTTTGCAAGAATAACTTTTGAAACCTGAAGCATTCTAAGAAACTTAATTTAACTGCTATTTAAGTTCCTACTGAATGCCAGTAATGCTTTAATCTTCTGTTTAATCTTCTCAACCACTTTGCAGGATAGGTTGTCCTCATCATTTTACACGTGGGGAAATTGACGCTCTCAGAGAGTAAATGCCTTGTCTCAAGTCACATGGATTCACACTCAGATTAGCCTGGCCTCAAAACCTTTGTGCTTTTTTGTTAAACTCAGTTGTTTCCCTTATCTGGTTTAGGTCTTGGGCTATCTGTCATCAGAGAGCATGCATTCTTATTTTAATTTTACAAAATCAAGATTCTTTTTCATGTATAGTGCAAGGTAAATATAGATTTTTACCCAGAGTCAGATAAGTTGCTGCCTGAGGTCTATATTGTCTTTTAATAGTAATAGAAGTAGTTGAAATAAATCTGAGCATTGGTTTTGTTTGCATATGCTTATTAAAGTTTGTGGGATAATGAATTGTATTCTTGAATTTTTTGGGGGGGGAATCATGTGATACATGAAATGGTTTCATAGATATTTTTTCTTTTAGGTCATTTATGCTCTATTTAAAATGGAGATTACATGTGTCTGAGAATTGTTCCCCAGTCCTTCAGCTTGTTTTACTGAGTGGTTAGATTCGAAGTAAAAAGTTTAGGCTAATCTTTAATAATTCAGCGCTCTGGTTCTTTAGGGGTATTTTTTGTTATTTAATTGTACCTTAAAAATTCTTTTTTATTCTGTTAATATCTCCTGTTTGCTTATACTTCCTATTTTAGTTCATCTTTCACTATTAAGTTTTCTTGTTCTTACTGTTATCAGGTGATAAATAGTTAATATCAGGGCCCCAAGTTATTAGGTTCATTAGTGATCGGTATCTTAGTCTCAGTTTTCTTTTTCCTTTCTGTTTTTTTTTTAGATGGAGTTTCGCGCTTGTTGCCCAGGCTGTGGTGCAGTGGCATGATTGGCTCACTGCAACCTCCGCCTCCCAGGTTCAAGCGATTTCCTCGCCTCAGCCTCCCGAGTAGCTGGGACTACAGGCGCGTACCACCACACCCGGCTAATTTTTTGTATTTTTGGTAGAGACGGGATTTCCCCATGTTGGCCAGGCTGGTCTCGAACTCCTGACCTCAGGTGATTCACCCATCTCCACCCCACAAAGTGCTGGGATTACAGGCGTGAGCCACCGCACCCGGTCTTCCTGTTTTTTTTTTTTTTTTTTTTTTTTTTTAATTGTAACTGAAGTTTTTTTTATCTGAAGGAATTCTGGTTGTTGGACTTATGACCTAAGATAAATTTATGGAGACAAGGAAAACAAAATATATATATTTGTGCTTTTCATAGCCATGAGTCAAATTTATATGTTTATATTGATCATTCCTTTAAGCTTTAACATGTAGGAAATACTTTTTTCCCAGGTGATGAACAGCAGTCTTATACTCAGACTCTTTGTTCATTGAGGAGTCTTTTCATCCATATTTCCCCCTTTGTATTCCAAGAAAACCAAGAACTGGTGTTCCATGACAGAATTATTCCCCGAGGCATCCATTGTATATTATAAATTAGTTTCTCCCCTGCACATCTAGAAAGATATTAGTTAGGTATCATTCTTGGGAGACTTCAGGAATAGTCACTGAAGTCATTTTCTGAGTTCTGTAGTCAAGTCATTTTCTGAGTTCTGTAGTTAACATGAGGAACACTGGTTGAGAAAGGCTGCTAGAATATTAAGGGACTTGGTTTGGCACTAAATAAAGTTTTACTTTTCACTGTCACTTTCCTGTTAGTAACTCTAATATGGCCTCTATTAAAATTCGTGATACAATGTGAATGCTGTTGATACTGCTATTGCTGTGGGATAAATTGGTTAGTGTTGATTTCAAGCAGTTAGTGCTGCTTAGTTGTTTGAAAGAATTTAATGTGGGACATTAAATGCATCATTTTATTTATAAGAAGGAATATTGTGGGAGCACTGTTCATTATACAGTTCAAAATCTATAAAAAGTCACTGACAGTGACTAACATGAACAAGAACTAATACTAACTGAACTCTTACCATATGCCAGATACTCTTAAAAATGCTTTGTGTGTATTAGCTTACTTTATCTTAGTAACTCTATGAGGTAGGATGACCATATGATTTATTGTTCAAGCCAGGATACTTTTGAACGTGAAAGGGATTGCTTCTTGGCCTTTTGGCTAAGATCAAGGGAAGAGTGAGTGAAAGGGGGCACTCACTGAATGGCATGCTGAGATAATAGCAGAAACTAGGACTGTTTGAGAGAAAGGATGTGTGATGACCCTAATTAATACCTTCTTTTTCAGAAGAAACTGAAGCATAGGGAGACCAAATAACTTGCCCACTTAGTAAGCGGTAAGAAGGGATTTAAAACCTCTGTAGAGGCTGGGCGCGGTGGCTCATGCCTGTAATCCCAGCACTTTGGGAGGCCGAGGCAGGTGGACCACCTGAGGTCAGGAGTTCGAGCCAGCCTGGCCAATATGGTGAAACCCCGTCTCTACTAAAAATATAAAAATTAGCCAGGTGTGGTGGCATGTGCCTGTAATCCCAGCTTCTTGGGAGGCTGAGGTAGGAGAATTGCCTGAAGCTGGGGGTAGAGGTTACAGTGAGCTGAGATTGCGTCACTGCACTCCAGCCTGGGCAACAGAGCAAGACTCTTGTCTCTAAAATAAAATAAAACCTGTAGAGATTTCTATGGGAATGAAAGTGATTTAAATTATTTTAAATTGCCATATTCTGGGAGTTTGTTTACTTTTACCCTTTTGGGGGAGTTTTTGTTGGTACATGGTCAATAGTAAAAAGACAAGATAGTGTTTTTTAAAATCCAGGAGAATTTCCACTTGGATTTTTTTCAAGTGGCTGTTAGACTGAGGTGATTATATTGTCTTAATGTTGAAAAGCAACTTTCCTGAGGGCCACCTAAGTTAAAACAAAACTCTAAGATAACGACATCTGAGTTTGTTTTCCGTATGTATTATTCAGGTTCCCTTTACCATTTTCTTAGGCAGAAATGTGGATTGTAGAAATTTTTACTGAGAAGACAGTAGAAAGAAGATGAATACTTTTGTGACTAGGGAGAAGTGTTACTAGAAAAGAAAGAAAAAGGTCCAGTTTAGAGACTTTTGAAGGTAAACTGATTCTGTAGCATAGTTTGAGAGTTAAGTCTTGTAGAGATTAATATGTCATTTCATAAAAAATATCCCTCTTTTATTGTGATTTTTAAAGCTATTTTATATTTCTGGCCTGTTTATGCTTGTGCTGTCACCTGAAAAAATATTACTGGTGAATTCAAATGTGGAGAAATGATTTTGGCACAGTTGTGGAAACAACTATATTGTAAACTAAGATCTTTTTTTTTCCTTTGAGTGGGAGTGAATGGTAGTATCTGATCTTAAGGAGACTTCCAGTTTTGTTTTCATACTTGGCTATTTTAATAGTTCATTGAGTAATTTGTGTTTTTTTTTTTCCCTCTAGCTAGTTGACGTTTGGAGGTTTTGTTGGTGTAACTATCATTTTTTTTTTTTCTTTTTTTTTGAGGTGGAGTCGCCCAGGCTGGAGTGCAGTGGCGCAATCTCAGCTCACTGCAAGCTCCACCTCCGGGGTTCACGCCATTCTCCTGCCTCAGCCTCCCGAGTAGCTGGGACTACAGGCGCCTGCCACCATGGCCGGCTAATTTTTTTGTATTTTTAGTAGAGACGGGGTTTCACCGTGTTAGCCAGGATGGTCTTGATCTCCTGACCTCGTGATCCGCCCGCCTCGGCCTCCCAAAGTGCCGGGATTACAGGCGTGAGCCACCGCGCCCGGCCAATTTTTAAGGTCTTTTATTTAGTTCATTGAAACCATTATGAGACAAGATATAGCTTGAAGGGGGACTGCATTTCTCACCAGATGAAGGAATTTGTGGCCTGTGTAGTGACTACGGGAGACAAAAGGTTATTTTGAGGAGATTTGATTTATTATATAAGATTAATGGGCTGGGCTAGGTGGCTCATGCCTGTATTCCCAGCACTTTGGGAGGCTGAGGCTGGTGGATCACTTGAGCTCAGGAGTTCAAGACCAGTCTGGGCAACATGGTGAAACTCCCCCCCTCTACCAAAAATACAAAAAAAAAAAAAAAAAAAAAAAAAGAACCGAATCAGCCTGGCGTGGTGGCGCTCACCTGTGGTCTCAGCTACTCAGGAGGCAGAGGTGGGAGGATCACTTGAGCCTGGGAGGCGGAGGTTGCAGTGAGCTGAGATTGTGACATTGTACTCCAGCCTGGGTGATAGAGTGAGACCCCCACTCAAAAGAGAAAAAAAACAGTAGTAAAATAAAATAAAAAAAAAATGCAGTTGGATTTTAAATACTATATTGCTGGTTTTTAAGCTGGGGTCCATGAATGGGATGGAGATTTGTGAACCCTCTCAAATTATGTACAAACTGTATACATGCATTTCATCAGTTTCTCTAGGGCTCATTGTTAAAATCAGCTGGTATTTAAAGTACTTATGGGGGACCGGGTGCGGTAGCTCATCATGCCTGTAATCCCAGCACTTTGGGAGGCTGAGGCAGGCAGATCATGAGGTCAGGAGATCGAGACCATCCTGGCCAACACGGTGAGACCCCGTCTCTACTAAAATAACAAAAAATTAGCCGGGCATGGTGGCGCGTGCCTGTAGTCCCAGCTACTCGGGTGGCTGAGGCAGGGGAATTGCTTGAACCCGGGAGGCTGAGATTGCAGTGAGCCGAGATCGTGCCACAGCACTCCAGCCTGGCAACAGAGTGAGACTCTGTCTCAAAAAAAAAAAAAAAAAAAATAGACTGGGCGCGGTGGCTCACACCTGTAATCCCAGCACTTTGGGAGGCTGAGGTGGGCAGATCACCTGAGGTCAGGAATTCAAGACTAGCCTGAGCAATGTGGAGAAACCCCATCTCTACTAAAAATGCAAAATTAGCTGGGTGTGGTGGTGCATGCCTGTAGTCCCAGCTATTCGGGAGGCTGAGGCAGGAGAATTGCTTGAACCTGGGAGGTGGAGGTTGCAGTGAGCTGAGATCACGCCATTGCACTCCAGCCTGGACAACAAGAGTGAAACTCCCTCTCAAAAAAAAAAAAAAGTACCTATGAAAGATGGGATATACAATGGTAAACTAGATTACATAGTCTCTGCCCTTAGGGGAATATAGTCAGTTGGACTTTGTCACTACAGAAGGGTTAAAAAAATACCTATTAAAATACCGTGTATTGGGTTTACATTAAAGAATATTGGGCTAAAACCAGCCATCAATGCAGTTTTGGCACTGTGTTCCTAATGTGAGATTAGTGACATACTGAAAAATTAGGGCTGCACTGAAAAACTTCAGGGAAAAATAACAACTGAGAAAACAAGCAGAACAACCGAGGGCTTTAATGTAGCCTTGGAATGCTTCAGTCTTTGGCAGTTGTTAATAAACAAAGTTAAAAGAGCCCATGATCATCTTTTCTTTTCTTTTTTCTTTTTTTTTTTTTTGAGACGGAGCCTTACTCTGTTGGCCAGGCTGGAGTGTAGTGGCACAATCTTGGCTTACTGAAACCTCCACCTCCTGAGTTCAAGTGATTCTCCTGCCTTAGCCTCCCAAGTAGTTGGGATTACAGGCACCCGCCACCAGGCCTGGCTAATTTTTGTATAGAGAAAGGGTTTCACTGTGTTGGCCAGGCTTGTATCGAACTCCTGAGCTCAAGTGATAACACCCGTCTTGGCCTCCCAAAGTGCTGGGATTACAGGCATGAGCTACCGTGCCTGGCCCCATGATCATCTTATATATGCAGTTACTGTTATCCAAAGGTTGATACCTTCTTTTTTTTTTTTTTTTTTTGAGATGGAGTCTCGCTCTGTCGCCCAGACTGGAGTGCAGTGGCGTGATCTCGGCTCACTGCAACCTCTGCCTCCTGGGTTCAGGCGATTCTCCTGCTTCAGCCTCTTGAGTAGCTGGGATTACAGGTGCATGCCACCACGCCTGGCTAATTTTTGTATTTTTAGTACAGATGGGGTTTCACCATATTTGTGAGGCTGGTCTCGAACTCCTGATGTAGTGATCCGCCCGCCTTGGCCTCCCAAAGTGCTGGGATTACAGGCATGAGCCACCACACCCGGCCTAGTATTTGATTTTCATTACATTCACTCACCCACACACTCATCATATAAAATGATTGAGGTTTGGTATACTTGAAGTATTTTCATTTCAGGATTGGGATATATGATAACCTCTTTCCTTAGATTTCCAATCTTTTTTTCCTTTCAAAAGCAAGGGTAATTTTTACAGTCACCAGTGTGTCTACTGCCTTGTACCTAATTTGCAAACTTTATGGTGGCTAGAATGTTATTACAAAGAACATGTTTGATATCTTCTTACTAAAATAGAGGCATTTTTTGTAGTCTAAAGAAATAGTATATATATAAAGATAGGAAAATGAACCTTTGAGAATTTCCCTTCTACACTATTAAAAAGAAGAAGATAAAATGTAGGAAATATTATTAGCAAAACCATAATATTTTTCCTTTGGGATATGTCCCTCCCTGTTTCCACCACTCATTCAGTCCAAAAGACATTCCTCAGACTTTACTCCTGGCAGGAGAATTGAGGAAGTGGTGGTAGTCATGGTTGGCAGAGAAGCAGAAGCATGAAGGTATGTTTTTGAAAAGCAAACTTGTCAATGACAAATGGATTTTTCCAGTTGTGAGTATACGTACTTTTTTTTGAGCCAGAGTTTCGCTCTTGTTGCCCAGGCTGGAGTGCAATGGCGTGATCTCAGCTCACCGGCAACCTCCGCCTCCTGGGTTCAAGCGATTCTCCTGCCTCAGCCTCCTGATTAGCTGGGATTACAGGCATGTGCCACCATGTCCGGCTAATTTTGTACTTTTAGTAGAGATGGGGGTTTCTCCATGTTGGTCAGGCTGGTCTCGAACTCCCAACCTCAGGTGATCCGCCCACCTTGGCCTCCCAAAGTGCTGGGATTACAGGCATGAGCCACCATGCCCTGCGGAATATGTACTTTTTGAGTTTTGATTAAATATCAGTGCATAAAGTGCTACTGTTCATTGAGGAATATTTAGTAGTTATATTCATATTTGGGTATTCTGAATATACTTGAAAAATTTCAGAAGGATCATTTGGACAATATGGGATTTTATTAGAAAAGTTCCTATAGTAGGACATTTGTTCCTAATCCTTTTAAGTTAGACTGAAGCAGTTTTCTAAGTTACTATGGAAAAATAGGTTTCTGCCGGGAGCAGTGGCTCACACCTATAATCCCAACACTTTGGGAGGCAGAGGTAGGAGCCCAGGAGTTCCAGACCGGCCTGGGCAACAGAGCGAGACCCTGTCTCTACCAAAAATTCAAAAATTAGCCAGGCATGGCAGTGTACATCTGTAATCTCAGCAACTTGGGAGGCTGAGATGGGAGGATTACTTGAGCCCAGGAGGTTGAGGCTGCAGTGAGCCAAGGTCGTGCCACTGCACTCCAACCTGGGTGACAGTAGTGACCTTTTCTCTTAAAAAAAAATTTAAAAAGATGAAATTAAATTTTAAAAAAGAAAGATTTGTAACTGGAGGCAATTGTGTGTGCATATATGTATAAATATATAGTATTTGAATGTACAATATTGGCAAATATCCAGATTTATCTCATAGCAAGATTAACCTTTTCAGTCTAGGAACTGTTTTCATCTGATTTTGAATCCTTGTTTCATTGTGCAGTATATATTATACAGGTTCTCAAATGGTAATTGAATTGAAACCTTCGTTTTTTTTTAAAGAAATGTAAACCTGCATTATAATTGCATTATTGGTATTCATATTTAAAAGCTGCATATTGGAAGAAAAATAGTTTCCCATAGTTGGTTTTACATTAATGATAAAGTTTGTATCGACAGGATACCACTTACAGCATCTTCTTACTATATGACAAGTTGTACTAGGCTCCCTAACATTTAATTTTTTGTTTCTCACAACAACCCTATTGAGGTTGTTTACTGAGGTTCAGAATTGTTAGAGACTTGCCCAAGATCACTTAGCTAATAAGTGGCCAAGCTTACTTTTTGAATCCAATTCTGCCTAATTCCAGAACACTCCTTTACATGGTGATACACTGCCTCCCAGTGGGATGATTTATAGATTTCATAGTGATACTTTCTTTGGGGAAAGAGAATATAAAGGATACAAGAACTCTAAATGGAAAAGACAGAGGAGGAAGTTAAACTTCTCATAGTGGTCAGGAACCTTTTGGGGGATTAAGTAGGAGGAAAGCTTATTTTCAGCTGAGAGCTGATGGATGTTTGAAGTTGCATGTGATATGTGTCATGTTTTATAATAAACATCAAGTAGCAACTAGAAAAGGCTTAGCGGCAGGGAGATGATAAAGTTTCTTACACTGTAGTGATGATAAAGTTTCTTACACTGTACTGATGATAAAGTTTCTTATACTGTACTGTTTTAATCTTGAGTAAAGTGACATCTGAATTAATTTTAAGGAATTAACCTTTATAGAAAATAAACTGAAACAAAATGTTAATCTAAAGCATTGTCTCCATAGGTAGTGTTCCCACCAAAGAACAATAATTCTAATAAGAATAATCTGTTCAGGTAAACTGGTCTAAGTCAGGCAGCATTATGATTCCAGTTTGTGTTTTGGTTTTCATATTCCACTAGCCTCCCTTTTCTGCTGTTTTTTTTCCCCCCCTCCGGTATCTTTACAGTTTCTGTAGTTCTTCATAAAAAGTAGAAATGTTTTGATGGCGATTTCCTTATTTTACTTTTATGCTGTTACTGCTAACAGTAGACAGCCTTATTTGTGAGGCACTGAAATAGAAGTGATTTCAAAAATTAATCCATTTCGTGACTCAGAAACATTTCCTTTAAAAATAATGAAAAAAAATAGAAAAATTAGTCCATTTAAATTTCCCTACAAGCCTGTGAGGTGTTGATGCTATTATTATTTTCTGTTTGTGTGTGAGGAAACGGAGGCATAGTGAGCTTAAACTTTTTCTAAGCACACACATACTTAGGAAGTGTTGGAGCCTTAATGTGAACCCAGGCAATCTGGTTCCCAAGTGTTTTTTTTTTTTTTTTTTTTTTTTTTTGAGATAGGGTCTCATTCTGTTGCCCAGGGTGGAGTGCAAGTGGCACTATCATGGCTCACTGCAGCCTTGACTTTCTGGGCTCAAGCGGTACTCTTACCTCAGCCTCCTGAGTAACTGGGACTACAGGTGCATGCCACCAAGCCCAGCTTATTTTCATATTTTTTGCAGAGATGGGGTCTTAACCATATTGCTTAGGCTGGTTTTGAACTCGTGGGCTCAAGCCACCTGGCCGCTTTGGCCTCCCAAGTGTTGGGATTGCAGGCGTGAACCACCGTGCCTGGCCACTACTGAGTTCTTTTTTTTTTTTTTTTTTTAACTTTTAAGTTGAGAGGTACATGTGCAGGATGTGCAGGTTTGTTAACATAGGTAAACCTGTGGTTTGCTGCACAGATCATCCCATCACCTAGGTATTAAGCCCAGTTTCCATTAGCTATTCTTCCTGATGCTCTTCCCCCACTCCCACAGGCCCCATTGTGTGTTGTTTCCCCCCATATGTCCATGTGTTCTCATCATTCAGCTCCCACTTATAAGTGAGAACATGTGGTGTTTGGTTTTCTGTTCCTGAGTTCTTAATGCTACACTACCATACTGCTGATCAGTGGACAATAATGTGAGTGGTTTCTTCATCTTGGCAGTGTACTTTTAAGTCCTCTATTTAATTGTGGAGTATGTTTGTGCATCCTTATAGGAATTTTAGGAGATAGCAGAGGATTGGGCAAATCTTTGATCCTCAAGATTCCCCAGCTGTACAATAGGTGTAATCCCATTTGCCTTATAGGTTATTTATAGAGACTATATAGTAATACAGGTTGAGCATCCCAAATCCAAAATCTTCCAAAATCTGAAACCTTTTAAGCACCCACGTGATGCTCCAAAGAAATGTTCATTGGAACATTTTGGATATGGGATGCTCAACTGGTAAGTATAATACAAATAATCCCAAATCCAAACAATATTAATATTTGGATTTTGGAATATTTATGTTTGAAACACTTTTGGTCCCAAGCATTTTGGATAAGGGATACTCAACCTGTACTTTTTCTGGGATTTTTCTGTGTGCCAGATAATAGGCTGAGGGTTTTGCTGGCATGGTAGGCCCCCCAGATAGCTCAGTAATTCCATTTATTGAGTACATTCCATGTGTCAGATACTTGAGGTAATATACTACCTTTAGTTATTACATGATAGGGGATATTATACCCATTTTATGGATGAGAAAACTGAACCTAAAGAAATTCAGTAATTTGCTCAAATAGGTTTTTACTTTGCGGCCTTTGTACTTGTTGATCCCTCTGCCTGGCTTGGTTTCTCATTTCTCTAGGATATTTTGCTCAAATATTACCCTTTCAGTGGAACGTTCCTTGGCCATCTCATTAAAATAATATCCCTTGCTTTGCCAGCCCTCCTTTTTCAGTTTATTTTGCTTAATATTACCATCAAACATACATTTACATGAGTTGTCTCTTTCCCCACTCTAGAATGTTAAGTGAGAGGAAGGATATTTGTCAGCCGCCTTTATATTGCTTTAACCCCAGCACCTAGAACAGTGCTTGGAGTGTAGTAAGTATTTAATATTTGTTGAGCTAATGTTTATGTGGCATCCAGGGATACACTGGACTTATTTGCAAGCTGATCCTGAAGTAAACTAATTTCATATTTAACAGACCAAAATGGGCATTCCTTAGAAGTGAAATGCTGTGGCAGGTGTTTGGGCCTGTTTTGGGTGGGGGTTGGGAGGCAGTTGAGTCTCCTGTAGTTTTTAGAGGCCTATTCTCATGAATTGCCTTGAGTTCCAGGAGGAGTATATGCCTTCAGCTCAGCTTCTAGGTTCTGTAGAGCCTTTTATCTATTAGTACAGGTCTCTTAAAGCTGCTGCTTCTTACTTAACTTGCAACCCCTCATTTTGCCCAAAGATTCTTTGAGTGACCATTTATAGTGTATTTGTGATGATCACAGCATAGAGCTTGATGTGAAGCAGAGGGTTAGCTTTGAACAGGGGGATCCTAGCTTTGCCATTTATAACTTAGTAGGAGATAACATAGCATACATATGTACATTTCTAGATAGATACATATGTGTGTATATTTTAAAAATGCATTGTGCTGAAACTTTCAATAATTAGGTTTTGGTTAATATTTAATATTTTGATAGCACATAGTTTTTTCTGACATCTTGGAATGCATACCCTTTTTGTTTCTGCTTCTCAAAACATTTCTTGCAATAATGTGTGTAGTTGGAACATAGTAGTAATAATATTTTACTGTACTCTTGCATCCAAATGCAAGCTGATTTTGGAGAGAAAGAGACATTGGATTTTAGATACTTCAACCTTAAGTTGATATTATGTAACTGTGGTTCAGCAGAGATAAGAGCAGGAGATTTTTTTGGGATCATTATGCATAGTGTACATTGGCTTTTGGTGGGGGTACTTAGAATTAAAGAGCCGGAGGGTCAGAGGTGAAAACATCATGCTTAACTTGGCAGGAGGAAGAAGTAGGATCACTGATAAGAGTGGTCAAAGAGGTAGGAGAAAATTTAGGATAATGTAGCATACAATCCATAAGCATCTCAAATTTGAAAAGAATCCAGATGGCATGTTCTCCCATCTGGGAGATGCTTTTAAATTGTATACAGTATAAAAACTGTTCTTCCAATTATGTCAAGTTAAAATTATCTTTAAAGCTGATATGATCAACAATTATCCTTATGTAGATTGTTTCCTTTGTCGCATCTCATGGGAATTGGGTTCTTCTCCCACACTGGGTCCCAGGTTACAAATAATAGGTTTAAGCTGGGAAGTGGTCAGGGACAGGAAGGGAGGGCATATTTGGCTTTATTGAATTCTACAAAGTCAAATAGAATTGTATTGGAATTATTTTACATGCAACATTGGTATTAGTGTGGCTGATCAAAGAATTGATTGTACTTAAATATGCAAATAGTATTAGGATAATACAATACTGCAATTTGATGTCCTCTTCAAAATAGCTCTGAAAAATATGATTGGAATTTCTGGAGTCTATTTTGAAAAGGAAAACTTTTTTTTTCTTTTTTCCTTCTGTACTTCATGTGAAATAAGTGTGTAGGCAACTACTTTAGTTTCTTTAAGTTTTGTGTAAAAGCTAACTTGGGTAGAAATAATGCTGGAGATGAGTATCTTATAAAAATCACTTCATTTTTCTGCTTCTTGAGAGAATATTTTACAGGGAAATTATTATCAATATGAAAAATGACTCATAATTCTACTTTTCTCATTCCAGAAGTTTTTTTTCTTAATTTTGGTAAAATATATATAAAATTTGCCATTGTAACCATTTTAAGTATACAGTTCAGTGGCATTGAGAACATTTACGTTGTTGTGCAACCATTGTCACCATTCATACCCAGAATTTTTTTACTATCTCATAATAAAACTGTACCCATTAAACAATAGGGCCCTGTTCCTCCCTCCCTCCCTCGCTCCCTCCCACCTCCCAGCCCCTGGTAATCACTGTTCTTCTTTCTTTATATTTGACTATTCTAAGTATTTCATGTAAGTGGAATGATACAAAATTTGTTCTTTGTGGCTATTTCATTTAGCATGTATTCCAGGTGATACATGTTGTAACGTTTATCAGAATTCATTCCTTTTTAAAAGTGAATAATATTCCATTGTATGTATATACCATATTTTGCTTATCTACTCATCAGTTGACAGATGCTTGGGTTACTTATACCTTTTGGCTATTATAGGCATTATTCAAGCATGAATAATGGTGACAGGAACATTGGTGTACAAATATCTGTTCAAGTCACTGCATTCGATTCTTTTGTGTATATACCCAGAAGTGGAATTGCTCCACAAATATTTGAGTACCTAGTATATGGCAGGCACTGTGCTAAGCACTGGGGATGCAGCAGTGAAAAAGAGGGGCCTGGTTCTTGCCCTTATGGAATTTACAGTCTAGTAGGGAAAAAAGATGTTAAATAAGCAGTTGCAGTTAAGTGGGTTAAATGTTACAAAAACGTTAAGCACAGAGTGCCGTGTGTATGTTTCATATAATTGTAATAATATATATATGTTAAGCCAAAAGAGACTATAAAACATCAAATACTTTTTCCCCTTCCAATATAATCCCCTGCAGCACCTCACTACCCCTGGCCACCTACCACATGGAAATGTCTTCTGCTGCTTTTCTTCACATTTAAAAATGCAATGCCGCTGGGTGAGGTGGCTCACGCCTGTAATCCCAGCACTTTGGGAGGCTAAGGTGGGTGGATTGCTTGAGGCTAGGAGTTCCAGAAGAGACTGGGTAACAGCAAGACCCTGTCTCTACTAAAAAAAAAAAAAAAAAAGCCATAGTGGCATGTACCCACAGTCCTAGCTACTCGAGAAGCTGAGGCTGGAGGATCCCTTGCTCCCAGGAGTTTGAGGCTGCAGTGAGCTGTGGTCATACCACTGAACTCCAGCTTGGGTGGCAGAGTGAGACCCTGTCTTTAAAAAAAAGAAAATGCATCCAGAATTTACTTTTTTTGTTTTTTTGAGATGGAGTCTTGCTCTGTCACCCAGGCTGGAATGCAGTGGCACGATCGTGGCACGATCTTGGCTCACTGCAACTTTCGCACCACTGCAACCTCCACCTCCTGGGTTCAAGCGATTCTTGTGTTTTGGCCTTCTGAGTAGCTGGGATTACAGTGCCACCACGCCTGGCCAATTTTTGTATTTTTAGTAGAGATGGAGTTTCACCATGTTGGCCAGGCTGGTCTCGAACTCCTGACCTCAAGTGATCCGCCCACCTTGGCCTTCCAAAATGTTGAGATTATAGGCGTGAGCCACCGCACCCTGCCGGAATTTACTTTTGAATATGATGTGAGGCAGGGCTGTACACTTTAGTCTTTTTTTTTTTTTTTGCCTTTTTTTTTGCCCTTTTTTTTTTTTTTGCCGTATCATGAACCAAAACCAACTACTTTCCTTGTACATTTGTCTGTTTCTATATCCTCATTTTTAGGTAGCAATACTTCTATAAGTAGCTTTATCTTTTTCCCTATCTAATTGTGTCCAGCAGTTGGAATCACGCTGTCAGTCAGCATGAACATTTTTAAAGCTCTTGGTAACTGAAGTTATATTGTTTTCTAATAGGGTTGTACTGATTTTACAGTGCCATCAGTGCTGTGATACGTGGTAACCACATTTTCCCTGCTTCGGAGATGTTAAACAGTCCGTGCAGTTCCTCAGATTTCTTTAATTTGCATTTCTTTGATTACTAGCTGAAATTAATATTTCCCCTTGTTTTTCAGCAAGGTATTGTGAATGTGACTGACAAACTTAAGTTTAACCTGAGAGGGCCTTATAAATTATGAGTATACAGTAGTTTTTAGTAAATTACTGGCACTTTTTTTTTTTTAGTATTTAGATGTATCTACTTTTTTTAAATTGAGTTTGTGTATTTTGTAATGTCTGTTCACCTTATTTGTGGTTCTCCTAGTTCATTTCAATTTACTACTTAGGAAACCTGAAGTAATCTATCCATCCTCTTGTTTAGCCTAGTAGTGCTAAGTTGCATTCAGTGGATAGCCAATTCGTGGATGAGCTGAGTTCAAGTGTTTTGTAAATAGAGTATGAGAGAATCAGTGGGAAGAGCCCAGATTTTTTTTTCTTACTGTAGTGTAATCTTTTTAGCAGTGAAGCCTATAGTGAAATGAGATTTTTATTAGTAACTTAGCCTGCTTCTTGATAGTAATAGTTATTTATAGTCATGAGCCGGACGGATAAAGTAAAATTGGCTGTTTGACATAATTCTTTTGAAAAATAATTATATAATTGTATTTATCTTTATGCCAGGTGGTAGTAGTCTACATAAACTACTTCCAGGTAGGAAGTCCGCAGTATTCTCCTTTTGGGGATTTGTCAGTACCAAGGCATTGCAGAACCTATGGAAAAAGATATCCTTTATGATATCTGAGAATGTTCTGGACTAGCTAACTTTAGAGTGGTTAAAGAGACACTAACAACTTAGTGGTGAAAAATTTTCCAGGTGTAGAAAGAGAAGTTAGGGGCAAATAAAACATTGTATAGAGCAGTTAATTTTGTTTCCTTTAACCTGTGTCAGAAAAAGAATAATTTTCTTTTCTTTTCTTTTTTTTTTTTTTTTTTTTTGAGACGGGGTTTCGCTCTTGTTGCCCAGGCTGGAGTACAATGGCGCGATCTTGGCTCACTGCAACCTCTGCCTCCCAGGTTCAAGTGATTCGCCTGCCTCAGCCTTCCTGAGTAGCTGGGATTACAGGCATGCGCCACCATGCCCGGCTAATTTTGTGTTTTTAGTAGAGACGGGGTTCTCTATGTTGATCAGGCTGGTCCCGAACTCCCAACCTCAGGTGATTCGCTGGCCTCAGCCTCCCAAAGTGCTGGGATTACAGGCATGAAGCATCATGCCCGGCCAAAAGAATAATTTTCAAACATCCTTTATAGATTGACTTATTTAGGAAGATAGAATGTATTATTTATAGTTTTGCTGAAAATAATCATGCATGTTACATTACATTTAAATGCAGTGAATGGAGAGCCCTGTTCCCCTTTCAGCGTAATCATCTTGTTTTATTTTCATGCTAGCATTTACCAGTACTTGGTATTTTCTCATTTTTCTTCCCCCTCAATAGACTTTAAGCTCCATGGGGGCAAAAACTTCTCTCTTCAATGTTGTAAACATGGTGTCTCTAATAGTGCCTGATATATAGCAGGCTCTCAAGAAATATTTGTTGAATGATTTAATTTAGTGCTTTATCTGGATACTGATCAAAATATTTTATTTAATTTAAATTTTTTTTTGAGGTGAGGTCTCACTCTGTCACCGAGGCTGGAGTGATCTCAGTTCACTGCAGCTTCTGCCTCCCAGGGCTCAAGTGATCCTCCCACCTCAGCCTACGGAGTAGTTGGGCCCACAGGCACACGCCACCACACCTGGTTCATTTTTTGTATTTTTGGTAAAGGCAGGGCTTCACCATGTTGCTCAGGCTGGTCTCGAACTCCTGAGCTCAAGCAATCTGTCTGCCCTCCTTGGCCTCCCAAAGTGGTGTGATTACAGGCACAAGCCACCGTGCCCAGCTTCTGATTAAAATATTTATAAATAAATAAATTTAGTCTTAGTTGTGAATATAACTGCATTTCTGAACCTACCACTCAGATTCTTAAACATCAGTCTATGAAGCAGGAAAAAGTTTTGAGATCTGAGAGGCTTGTCAGTATTACTGTAGAATACAAGAAATTGGAGCCAAGGTTAAAAAATACAGTCTGAAGCTCATTAAATACTTTTTTTTTTGCTCTATTTAACTATGTCTGAACTCATTATTGGCATGTTTTCTTCTGATCAGTTGTCCTTACAAGTTAAGACAACCGTTTATTCCTTTTTTTTGAAACAAGGTCTCACTTTTTCACCCAGGCTGGAGTGCAGTGGTGTGATCACAGCTCATTGTAGCCTTGGCGTCCTGTGCCCAAGGGATCCTCCTGCCTTAGCCTCCTGAGTAGCTGGGACTACAGATGTCTGCCACCATGCCTGGCTAATATTTTTTATTTTTTGTAGAGATGGCGTCTTACTTTGTTCCCCAGGCTGGTCATTATGTGCTTTAATCAAATGTAATAGTAGCAATGATTCCACGATAGTTTTAGTTTGCATAGCACTTTCACTCTGTCTTCATCATAATAATGATCCTTTAGGGAGGGAGGTCTTATGGTATTTTTTATTTTTTATTTTTAGACACGATTTTGCTCTGTTGCCCAGACTGGAATACAGTAGCAAGACCACATAGCTCACTGCAACCTCAAACTCCTGGGCTCCAGTAATCCACCCCCTTCAGCCTCCTGAGTAGCTGGGATTACAGGCACGCTCTACCGTACCAGGCTAATTTTTTTTTTTTTTATTTTCGGTAGATACGAGGTCTTGCTATGTTGCCTAGGCTGGTCTCGAACTCCTGGGCTTAAGCCATCCTCCCTGCTCCACAGCCAGCCTCTTGTATTCATGCTACTTTACAAAGAAGGAATTAGCCTTTCAGAGGAGCTAAGAAACTTGGCCCAGGGTTACACAATTAGAATTAGTAATATGAACACTGGGACATATATCCTGTGTTCTCTGGTTCTGGTTCTGTGTTTTTTAGAACCATAGAATTTTAGAGGAGGAAGAAGCCTTGAAGAGTAGTACTCTAACCTCACATATATATATATCATATATATGTGTCATATATCATATATACATATATGATATATATCATGTATATATGCATGTATCTATATATACATATATGTATCATATATGTATATATGATATATATGATACATATGTGATACATATATGATATATAATATATGTATATATGTGTGTATATATGGGAAATATTTATTTACAAATATATATGATGTTAATATATATAATAAACTAACTTTATAAAGCTAATATGGCAGAGTTAGGATTCCAACCCAGGTCTCTTCCTTAGATCAGTCCTGTGATCTTTCTAATCTTCCATGTCTTTGATTCTGGAGATGTGTATGCTACCTGATGAAATGTCTGATAACAAAGGTATTTGAGTTTCTTAATAGTTTTCTGTCACATGTTTGTTCTTGTAATGGTGAATAGCTTCCAAAAACATTTGAATTTATTTTGAGGCAGCTTGGGATGGTGGAAAGAACTTATGCTTTAGAGACAAGTAGATTTAAGAGCACCTATGACACCTTTATTGACTGTGTGACCCTGTTGTTTACTAATCTGTAAAATGGGCAGAATATCATCTACCTTGAACTAAAACATAGTGTATTATGTTGAGTGTCTGACATAGAATGTGCTCGATAATGTTACCATTGTTTTAGAAAATGTTACAGAGATGAAATGTACTTCATTACAGTATAGAAAGGGACAACTAAGATGAAAAAACGTTTTGGAAAGCATTTGACCAAAGGTTTTATATCTGCATTCATACAGATTGATATGAATAACTTATGATTTTAAATGTTAGTGAACATTTTTTTTTTTTTAGAATATCTTTTTTGAAACAGGGCCTGCGCAGTTTTCTCTCAAACTTCTGGGCTCAAGCAATCCTCCCACCTCAGCCTTCTGAGTAGCTGGGACTGGAGGTGTGCGCCACCATGTCCAGCTACTTAAAAAAAAATTTTTTTTTTAATTTTTTTTAGACGGAGTCTCGCTCTGTCACCCAGGCTGGAGTGCAGTGGTGCGATCTCAGCTCACTGCAACCTCCACCCCCTGGGTTCAAGCGATTCTCCTGCCTTAGCCTCCTGAGTAGCTGGGATTACAGGTGTGCGCCACCATGCCCAGCTAATTTTTGTGTTTTTAGTACAGACGGGTTTCACCATGTTGGTCAGGCTGATCTCGAACTCCTGACCTCGTGATCCACCCACCTCAGCCTCCCAAAGTGCTGGGATTACAGGCGTGAGCCACCGTGGTGTCGCCCAGGCTGGAGTGCAATGGAGTGATGTCGGTTCACTGCAACCTCCGCCTCCCAAGTTCAGGCGATTCTCCTGCCTCACCCTCCTGAGTACCTGGGACTACAGGCATGCACCACCATGCCCGGCTAATTTTGTATTTTTAGTAGTGACGGGGTTTTGCCTTGTTGGCCAGGCTGGTCTCAAACTCCTGATCTCAGGTGATCTGCCTGCCTTGGCCTCCCAAAGTGCTGAGATTACAGGCGTGAGCCACCATGCCCGGCCTTTAAATTTTTTTGTAGCGACGATATCTCCCTGTGTTTCCCAGGCTAGACATCTATCATTTTAAGTTCTTCATAACTTTTCAAGGAATAGGTGCAAATCTCTGCATTTTACAAATAGAAAAAATTGTAGAGATGCATCTTGTCTTTAATCAAGAGCCCTAAAGTAAATCTACTTGGGTCTAATAATGAGAAAATAAGGGATAATTCAACATAAAATCTGTACATAGGAAGCGTTGTTAGTTATTACAATGAAGTGTTGGGGTCAGTCTTAATGTCTAATAATAAATGAGTAGATTATCACATCTGGTGGAATCTCATAAAACTATTAGAAGTTTGTATTATGAATATTACAGAAGTGCCTAGAAGTGCATATGGAGATGAAAAGTTGTGTACAATTGTATCCATTTTGTGGTTATAGTTTTGAAAAATCTACAAAGTCATACAGGCATATACATGTGGACAAAGGCTGGGAAGGAAAATGAAAATAGGTGATTTTTCAGGGTATTATAATGCTATGTGATTGTTCTGATTATTTTTAAAGATAATTTTGTGTAATAAAGAGGGAGAAAACCAAGATGATATATTTCCCATGTAGTGTGCACTGAAGAGCATTGGCATTAAAACAGTCAGGGGTTCCACCTAGATGATGTGGTTTATAGTATATTGTATCTTATACTTTGGGGGAATTTTAATAGTCTTGACTACTGGCTTTTAATTTTTTATTAGTAAACTTTTAGCATACTATCATTCAACCCATTGCATTTTACCATGGAGTTTCACTATTATTTTATTATTTTCTTCTTCTTCTTGAGAATTATGGCCACAATAAGTAGACTTGTATGTTATGTAAATAAATCTTAATGGACTTTTTTTTTTTGAGAATCTTCAACTTGGTGTCATTAAAGAAGCATTTTTAAGCCCGAGATATATGTTCCATTGCAGTATTATGAGGGAAATCATCCATTATAAACTTCTATGCCCATAGCTTTTTGTGTAGCTTGTCTTGTCAATCAGCAAAGCAAATACTTTACTGCTCTCTGCCTTCCAAATTACTTCATATATTTTATGGTTGATATACTTTATGGTATGTGTGTTCTTTTCTGTTTCATTGCTTCCATAAAAAAGACTGGTTGAGGTGTTAGTTTGATTTCTTCTCTTTTTCCATTCATCTGTGAGTACTACTACAAGACACAGTGCACCATTGATTCTTGCATTCCTCATTTACATTCTGATTTTAAAAGAAGCTTGTTAAAAAGAATTTGCCTGGGTAAATGGTACTATAGTCTTGGTGGTTTGAAAACTTAGAGAATGCTTTTTCAGTTGTTTCATTCCAGTTAAGCATATTGTTAAACTGATAAGGTTCATTCTCTCTGTGTGTCTCTGTCTATCTGTGTGTGTCTTGCCTGTCTCTCCCACCACCTTCTCCCCTCAGCCCCCACCATTTTGTTTTAAACTAATCTTCAGGGAGTATGTCCACAGTGAAACTATTCAGAGTTCCCTGTACTGTATGTAATTCCTTGGAATGTTTGCCTTTCTTGAGTTGTTGTGTATTTTACAGAAGTAGTTAGTATCCGGTAGACTTAATGAGTTTTGTAGCATGGTCTTCACATCTTCAAAGAGTTTTTGACTGTTTAGAGCATACTACTTCAAAAGAAGGAATAATTTTATTAATAATTGTGTAAAAATAATGATCCCTGCCCATAGCAAAAATTTAGTACAAAAGGGGTATAAAGTGAAAGATTTCATTTCTTCCATTCCAAGTTTTTAGAAGTAACCACTGCTGATAGTTTTTTGTATCCTAGAAATTTCCTAATCATAAACGAATTGAATTATATGTATTGCATTGTAACTTGCTCTTTTCACTTTATTATAGTACCTTATATTTTACAATATCAGCATATTTTAAAGCAGCATATACATTGTATTTATAAATCTAATCATCCCCATGGCTTTTAGAAATGCAAAAATTTTATTTAAAACTCATATATGTATATGTATGTGACTTAGTGTTTTTTCTTCCAGGAAAAGTGGTATTATATAATTATTTTCTTTTTTTCTTTCTTTTTTTTTTTTTTTGAGACAGAATTTTGCTCTGTTGCCCAGGCTGGAGTGCAGTGGCTCCATCTCGGCTCACTGCAACCTCCGCCTCCCGTGTTCAAGCAGTTCTCTGCCTCAGCCTCCCGAGTAGCTGGGATTACAGGCGCCCGCCACCATGCCTGGGTAATTTTTGTATTTTTAGTGGAAACAGGGTTTCGCCATCTTGGCCAGGCTGGTCTTGAACTCCTGACCTTGTGATCCACCCACCTCAGCCTCCCAAAGTGCTGGGATTACAGGCGTGAGCCACCACCCCTGGCAATTATTTCTTTATACTACGTTAGCCTAACATTTTTTTTTGTTGCATTGAGGATGTGATTTAGGGCATACTTTATGTTAAAAGTGTTACTGGTAGAGGGTCTTGACTGCAAGTTGTCCAGGTTCTTGGCATTTTGAACGAAGAATTGGACAAAACACACATCAAAGCAAGGAAAGAATGAAGCAAGGAAAGCAGATATTTATTGAAAATGAAAGTACACTCCACAGAGTAGAAGCGGCTGGACCAGCGGCTCAAGAGCCCTGGTTACAGGATCTTCTGGGGTCCAAATACCCTCTAGAGGTTTTCCGTTGGCCACTTGGTGTACACCCCATGCAAATGAAGTAGTGGCCTGTGATCAGTCTGATTGATTGTGGAAAGCAAGCAATTGGGGGCTGAAGTGAAGTTACAAAGTTACGCTCCTATGCAAACTTTGTAACTATACAAAGTGATACTCTTAAGAAAGGTACTTTCAGTTTTCCCTCTGCCACACAGAGGTACTTTAGTATGGAGAGTTACTTAGGTATGGAGGGTTGAGGTTTTCCTTTTGATTTAGTTCTAGGAAGTCAGGGTGAATAGGCCTTATTCCACCTGCCTCCAGACCCCATTCTCTTGCCTCAAAAGAACAAACTTTACTATGTACATATTTTGATGGTGTCTTTTCAGAGTTGTGTTTAAGATGCAGTTTTTGTTCTCAATGTCCACAGTCTTAATACAGAAGGTAGCTAATGAAACAAAAATACTAGAATAGAGTCATTATTGTAATGATGGAAACTTACATAAAGTATAGGAACAGAAAGAGGTAGTGATTATCTCAGAGATTTCAAGGAGTGTGTCTTACAGAGGAGGCGTAGTGATTGAGGTTCAGTAGTTTATCACGACATTCCAAACCACCTGACCTCCATCTCGCATAACTCTAACTGCTCTTAGTTCCCTGGGGACACCAGGCTGTTTGCCTAGATATTTCTTTGCTTGGGCTGTTTCTAATGCCTAGAATATTCCTGTACCCACTTGCCAGCATAACAGTACATGTCCTTCCAGATTTAGATTGAGGTTACTTGAAAACCATACCTGAGGTTTCCTTTCCCAGAAGAGCTACTTTCTGGTGCCCTGAGGCTTCCTAAGCATATTCATGCCAGTGTGCTTTCAGTGTACCCTATAGTAATCACTTGTGTGACACCTTCACTATACTTTAAATTCACTGGGGGGAGAGAGTATGTTTTATTCATTTTCCCTGAACATTTTATTATGAAAAACTCCAATGTACATAATTGTATAGTGAATACTCATATACCTATCACCTAGATTTGACTTTTAGCTTTTTGCTCTACAGTCAGCCCTTCATA
Source organism: Homo sapiens (assembly GCF_000001405.40). Taxonomy (NCBI): domain Eukaryota; kingdom Metazoa; phylum Chordata; class Mammalia; order Primates; family Hominidae; genus Homo; species Homo sapiens. The sequence goes on from NC_000023.11 coordinate 123,991,243, forward strand.
TCCATGGTTACCCATTTGTGGATTCAGCCAGTATTTGAAAAAACCTGCTTTAATCTGCACTGAACATATAGAGATTTTTTCTTGTCATTTTCCACTAAGTAATATGGTATAACAATTTTTTTTTTTTTGAGACGGAGTCTGACTCTGTTGCCCAGGTTGGAGTGCAATGGCATGATCTCAGCTCACTGCAACCTCCGCCTCCCGGGTTCAAATGATTCTCCTGCCTCAGCCTCCCAAGTAGCTGGGACTACAAGCATGTGCCACCATGCCTGGCTAATTTTTGTATTTTTAGTATAGATGGTGTTTCACCATGTTGGCAAGGCTGGTCTTGAACTCCTGACCTCAGGTGATCTGCCCGCCTCTGCCTCCCTAAGTGCTGGGATTACAGGCGTGAGCCACCATGCCCGGCCCAACAACTATTTTCTTTTTTTTTTTTTTTGAGACAGAGTTTCGCTCTTGTTGCCCAGGCTGGAGTGCAATGGCGCGATCTCGGCTCACCGCAACCTCCGCCTCCCGGGTTCAAGCGATTCTCCCGCCTCAGCCTTCCGAGTAGCTGGGATTACAGGTGCACGCCACCACGCCCAGCTAATTTTGTATTTTTAGTAGAGACGGGGTTTTTCCCTGTTGGTCAGGCTGGTCTCGAACTCCCAACCTCAGGTGATCCACCCGCCTCAGCGGGATTACAGTGCTGGGATTAGAGGCGTGAGCAACGACGCCTGGCCACAACAACTATTTTCATAGCACTTTCATTATATTTGCTATTACAAGTAATCTAGAAGTGATTTAAAGTATATGGGAGGATGTACGTAGGTTAGATGCAAATATTGGGCCATTTTATATAAGGGACTTGAGCAACTATGGATTTTGGTGTCCTTGGGGTGTGCTGGAACCAATCCCCCATGGATACTGAGGGATGACTGTATTTGTTTTGTCAGGTACCATCCATCTAGCTTTTGTGCTCTGCGTTTTTAAACATGCACTCCAAAGTAAGTTGCAGACATTGGTGTATGTCACCTCTGAAGAATTCAGCATTAAAATCCTTAATTTTATTTATTATTAACTCTTTATTTTAATCCTTTTTTACATTTTAAAATGTGTATTATTTTTATCATCAGGCCTACCACAGTGCTGCTACAGATATACTTAATATTTGAATTGAAATCTCTTAAAATTTTTAAATTTTACTTTTTTTTTAAATTTCCGTAGCCTTTTTACTTTGTGCATTTGAGTCTAAGTTTACTGCACTCGAAGAGATCAATTCATTGAGGGCTGTAGTAGGGAGAGTTTCATGGAACAAATGCTGTGTTTTTCTTGGAGACAGGGTCTCCCTCTGTCTCCCAGGCTGGAGTGCAGTGGCTCAATCTCGGCTCACTGAAACGTCTACCTCCCAGACTTAAGCAATTCTCCAACATCAACCTCCCAAGTAGCTGGGACCACAGGCACACACCACCATGTCCAGCTAATTTTTGAATTTTTTTGTAGAGACGGGGTCTCACCATGTTCCCCAGGCTGGTCTGAAATTCCTGAGCTCAAGAGATCTGCCCGCCTTGGCCTCCGAAAGTGCTGGGGTTACAGGCGTGAGCTACTGTGCCTGTCCTATGGTTTTAACTGGTCCTTAAAGAATGATTCTGCATTGAGTACAAAGGGGGTGGTTATGGTTACAGGCTGGAGAAACAGAGATGGGAATGAGTACTTTCCATGGAATAATGAGACAAACATTGTGATTGAAACTGTAGGTTCAATTTTATTAATAGAAAAAGCAGGTCTTTGGTTTTTGCAGGATCTTGTTGGGATTGATTATATTTAAATATAAGTGCCTAAAAATGATACCTTGTATTTTTCTTAAACGATACATTTTTCTAGTTGGGTAAACTTTTGAGTTATTTAGACTAAAAACTGGGTGGCTTAGTGTTTCTGTAGAAGATAGAAAATGAACAGAGGAGCCAGTCACAGTGACTCACACCTGTAATCCCAGCCCTTTAGGAGGCTGAGTCCAGGAGTTCAAGACCAGCCTGGGCAACTTGGTGAGACCTTGACTCTACACAAAAAACAATTTTTAAAAAAATTCCATTTAAAGAAAATCGGGGAAGATCCCAGTGGTGAGTTGAAATCTATATGGAATGAACTTCCTGGAGATTTTCAATCTCGCTTACCTTAAATTTGAGCAATACCTTTCAGGAAAGGTACATTTTTTTTTTCTTGTGGAAAGAAGAGTAGTGTGGCCACTGGTGGCTTATTCTCTGGAAAGCTTCTTAAGGACATTCTGGGGAAATGCATCATTGAGCTGTGGGTTCCTGGCATTTGAGTGAATAATGTTCAGATGATTAAGTGGCCCAAGGCAGGAAGCAGGGAGAATGTTTGCTTCTCTTCCCTAGCTACTCATACCTCCTGTTTCTCTAAAACTGGGTAATCCTATATATAACAGGTTGCTGATTCCATGACTTAGAATAGCTTTTCTTAAAGTGGAGTATGGATTCACCTATATTAGGGGATTTATGAATAATACAAATACCTGAGACCTGTATACAGATCTACTGAATGAGTCCTTGGATGTCGGACCTGTGACCATGCATTTAAACGAACATTTTATATGATTTTTATGCATATTGGAATTTAAGAGAACTGCTCTCATATAGGTGGAATTTTCCATAATTTATTTATTAAACAACCACCTATAGGCATTATGGGGGAGTTACTGCTCCTCTTTAGGAAGTATAATTACAGGCAGTAAATGCTGTCTTAGTCCATTTGTGTTTTGCTGTAACAGAACACCCGAGGCTGGGTAATTTATAAACAAAAGAGGTTTTAGCTCAGTGTTCTACAGTCTGGAAAATAAGAGAAGCATTGCACCATATCTACTTGGCTTCTGGTGATGGTTACTTGCTAGGTCAAAACATGGTAGATAAGGTCAAAGGGGAAGTGGACACATTCAAAGAGAGAACCCAAGGGATAGCTTGGCTTTATAGCAACAGCCCCACTCTCTTGGGAATGAATCCATTTCCAGGAGAACTAATCCAGTCTCACCAGAGTGAGAACTCAGAATCTCACTCATTACCAAAAGATTGGCAACAAGTCATTCATGAGGGATCTGCCACCATGACCCAAACACCTCTCAGTAGGCTTTACCTCCCAACACAGCCACGTTGGGGATCAAATTTCAACATGAGTTTTGGTGGGGACAAACAAACCATATCTAACCCAAAGCAAATGCCTATTGCTTTATAATAAGATTGATGGTAAAGTGCAGCTGTTGGGGATTTTCTGCTGCTCAAGATTTTGCTAAAGATCGTTTTGTGTACACAATTGTAAGGAAACTATTATTTTTATTGCATGTATTGAATGAAGAGTAAGATATTTCAGGGGTTTCTATGTGATAGTTTTAGATAGTTCCTTAAGTACAAAGGAAGGAAATTAAGACCTTATGTTTGAAATTGAGTGATTCACAATACTTTAAGAGTGTAGTCTTATTTTTGTTCTGAAGAGCTATTATGTGGATTATCCTAGTAAGACAAGTATATATTTATGAGACAAATATGTAGAAGATGAGTTCAAGCCTAGATTCTTGCCTCTTAGCTGTGTGACCTTGGGAAAAGCTTTTAACTTAAAAACAAATTCAGCGTTGATTAGTATTTAGGGGAAGTTGATTTGCTGTAGAAACCATGTTATGCTATTACTTGCGTAAGTATTTTGGTAACACTTCTGGTATTACCATGGTAGTATAAAAGCATTTTTTTCCCTCTCGTATAATACAGAAACAACAACGTAAACAAAAAACCTCTGCAAACTCCTATTTTTAGCACACTTGGAGACATAAAATGTGCCGATTACAAAAAATGTGTAGAGGGGCCGGTAGGTCGTGCATCAAAGAAGTGTGGAGAATAGTGAGCTGGCCCAGAGATGGTAGATCTTAGAAAGCTTGACTGTAAAATACAATAATATCCTTTGTATGTGACAATGGGAGCAGGTAAAGAGATGAGCAGGCTACAAGATAAAGCCTTTATGGAAAAGGTTTAGTCACGACTAGGGAGATATGGTAGGGCTTTTGCACAACGAATCCGTTTTAGCAGGAAATCATCTCTGTGGAAGCAGTGGAGAGAACTTTTGACTTAAGAAGCCTGAAAGGCTATTTATCCTAACATATAAAGAGCTCTTTGGAGTCAGTAAGAAAAAGATCATTAGCAGTGGCTCACGCCTGTAATCTCAGCACTTTGGGAGGCCGAGGCGGGTGGATCACGAGGTGAGGAGATCGAGACCATCCTGGCTAACATGGTGAAACCCCGCCTCTACTAAAAATACAAAAAATTAGCTGGGCATGGTGGCGGGCGCCTGTAGTCCCAGCTACTCGGGAGGCTGAGGCAGGAGAATGGCGTGAACCCGGGAGGCAGAGCTTGCAGTGAGTCGAGATTGCACTGCTGCACTCCAGCCTGGGTGACAAAGCAAGACTCTGTTTCAGAAAAAAAAAAGAAATCATTAGCTTGTTAAGAAAATGCAAGCAGCATTTATGAAAAAGATAATATGAATGGCGCTTAAATAAGAAAAATAGAGAAGTGCTTATTAAAATGACAGATATCCCTTCTTAGACCTGTTTGGTTCCTGATTTCCTTAGCAAGAGTTCAGATAGTGATTAATACTGCATTATCCAAATCTGTTTGGTTGATGTTTTGAGTAACAAGGGATTTATTGAAAATGTATGCTTGGTTCCTGAGATTGTGAAGTAGAATTTTGTGTAGGGAGGTTCACCAGTATCCTGAATACCACTGTTCACTTAGCAGATTGCCAAAAATCTCTAAAGTCTTGACAGCACTGTTGGTGACTGTATAGAAACTGACAGATCCGTACATACATTGCCGGTGGAAGTATAATTCGATATAACCCCCGAACATGGAGGGCAATTTTGATATCTGTTAAAATTACAAATGCATATCGCCTTTGGCCAATGCCTTCAATCATGTTTCAGTCAGTATGAGGGACTACTTATGTGTTAATTGGTTAAAACAATCACAGCAACATAGAATTAAATATTAAATATTATTCAGATAGCTGAAACAGATAGCTTTGAGGTTCCAATGTAGATGTTGATGAAATAACATCAGAAGAAAGCATTTGAGTATGGGCAGGCGAACACTGATGGACATAAATTAAAAAATTAAGATATTTATATACAGTCTAATTTACACTTTTTAGCGGATAGTTCTGGGAGTTTTGACAAATGTATACAGTTGTCTAACCATCACTACAATTAAGATATAGATCAGTTCCAGTACCTCTATTTCCACATCCCTCCAATATTCCTTGGTAGTCCTTCTTTCCTCCCCAACCATAGCCCCTGGCAACCACTGATTTCTTTCTCATTTATATGTTTTTTTTGCTCTTTCCAGACTGTCATATACATGGAGTCATATAGTAAGTAGCCAGTTGAGTCTGGCTTCTTTCACTTAGCATAATGCATTTGAGATTCATCCGGGGTGTTGTGTTAGCAGAAATTTGTTCCTTTTTATTACTGAGTAGTATTCCATTGTATGAGTATAACATAATTTGCTTATCCATTTACCACCAGTTGAAGGACATTTGGGTTATTTCTGCTTTTGGTGACTACAAATAAAGCTGCCTAGAAGTTTTGATAGTTTTAGGTTTTTACATTTGAGTCTAGCATCCATTTTGAGTTAAATTTTTGCATATGGTACAAGGTATGGAAAGAATTAACTTTTTTTGACATATGGATATCCAGTCATTCCAGCACCATTTGTTGAAAAGACTATCTTTCTTCATTGAATTGCCTTGGCACCTTTGTCAAAAATCAAATGACCATATGTGTGTAGGTCCATTTCAGGACTTTCTATTCTATTTCATTGATCTGTCTTGATCACCATTCGCACTGTCTTACCGTAGCTTTATAGAAAGCCTTGACATCAAGTAGTGTGAGTCTTCCAACTTTGTTCTTTTTCAAAATGGTTTTGGTTATTCTAACTTCTTTGCCTTTTCACCTAAGAATCAGCTTGCTGATTTTGAAAAAAATTTTAGTAGAATTTTGATGAGACAGATTTCTAAAAATTGTGGTAGCATATATATAACAAAATTTTCTATTTTAACTTTTGAAGTGCACAGTTTAGTGGCATTAAGTACATTCACATTGTTTTGCAACTATCGCTACCATCTGTTTCTAGCAACTTAAAAAATTTTCCCAAACTGAAACTCTGGACCCATAAACAATGACTCCACAGTGGAGGACCACTACACCCAGCACCTGGCAAACCACCATTCTACTTTGTCTCTTTGAATCTGACACCTTTAGGTACTTCATCCCGTATTTGTAGAATAATAGAATATTTGTCCTTTTGTGACTGGCTTTTATTTCACTTAGCCCATTGTCTTCAAGGTTTATCCTTGGTTGGTTGGTTGGTTTTTGTTTTTTTGAGACAGAGTCTCATTCTGTCACCTAGGCGGGAGTGCATTGGCACGATCTCGGCTCACTGCAACCTCCTCCGCCTCCCAGGTTCAAGTGATTCTCTCGCCTCGGCCTCCCAGGTAGCTGGGATTATAGGCACCCGTCACCCTGCCTGGCTAAATTTTGTATTTTTAGTAGAGACAAGGTTTCACCATGTTGGCCAGGCTGGTCTCTAACTCCTAATCTCAGGTGATCCGCCCACCTCGGCCTCCCAAAGTGCTGGGATCACAGGCGTGAGCCACTGCGCCTGGTCCCTTGTTGTTTAATATGTCAGAGTTTATAATCTATTGTATGTATATACCACATTTTGTTTGTCCATTCATCTGTTGATGGCTCCTCGGGTTGCTTCCACATTGACTGTTGTGAATAATGTCGCTATGAACATGGGTACATAAATGTCTTTTTGAGTGCTTGCTTTGAATTCTTTGGGGTATATGCCCAGAAGTGCAATTACTGGATCATATGGTAATACTGTGTTTAATTTTTTTTTTTTTTTTTTGCGATGGAGTCTCACTCTGTCACCCAGGCTGGAGTGTGGTGGCATGATCTCCGTTCACTGCAACCTCTGCTTCCCAGTTTCGAGATTCTCCTGCCTCAGCCTCCTGGGTAGCTGGGATTACAGGTGCTCGCCACCATGCCCAACTAATTTTTTTTTTTTTTTTAAGTAGAGATGGGATTTTGCCATGTTGGCCAGGCTGGTCTCGAACTCCTGACCTCAAGTAATCCACCCGTCTTAGCCTCTCAAAGTGCTGGGATTACAGGTGTGAGCCACCACGCCCTGCCGTGTGTGTGTATGTGTTTTTTTTTTTTTTAAGGAACAGTTATATCGTTTTCCACAGTTACATCCCCACAGTTTCAGTTTCTCCATTTTCTCACCAATATTTTTTTGTCTGTCTATCCATCTATCTATCTATCTATCTATCTATCTATCTATCTATCTATCTATCTAACTAACTGATGGCCTTCGTAATAGATATGAAGTCAAATCTTAATGTGATTTGATTTGTACTTCCCTAATAATTAGTGACCTGAGTCTCTTTCAAGTGCTTTGGATAGATTTTTAAATATAGTTTTAAATATTCTTATAAAAGTTGTATATGTACATTGTAGAAAAAATCTACAGATAACTAAAAATAAGAAAGCAAAACCAGGCCGGACATAGTGGCTCATGCTTGTAATCCAAGTGCTTTGGGAGGCCAAGGCCGGGAGTATCACGAGACCAGCCTGGGCAACATAGCGAGACCCCATCTCTACAGAAAATGAAAAAAAAAAATTAGCCAAGCATGGTGGTGCCTGGGTGCATGTCTGTAGTCCCAGCTATTCAGGAGGCTGAGGCAGGAGGATCACTTGAGCCCAGGAGTTCGAGGTGACAGTGCTCTCCAGCCTGGGTGACAGTGAGACTCTGTCTCTAAAAAAATAGAAAGAAAATAAAACCATCCTGTTTTTATCTTTCAGACATTTTTCTATACACATATATATGTGCCATTAAAAAAGAAACACCCCTTCAGAGTAGAGGAAGCAGAGAGACATTATTCTATACATGTGCTTTTGTGTCTGTCTTGTCTTTTTCTTCCCTCCTTTTCTTCCTTTTTTATTTAGCTCCACCATTTCATGTCAGTAACATTTAATTTTAATGCCCAGTCCACATTCACATTTCTCCAAGTATTCATAAACATGTATCATATCTGGTTTATCCAAACCATACATGCATTGAATCTGGTTTCTCTCTCCCTCCTCCTACCCTCCTCCCTCCCCCTTCTCTCCCTGTCTCTCTCAGACAGGATCTCCCTCTGTCACCCAGGCTAGAGTGCAGTGGCATAATCATAGCTCACTGCAATCTCCCAACTTGTGGGTTCAAGTGATTCTCTGGCCTCAGCCACCCAAGTAGCTGGGACTACGGGTGTGTGTCCCCATGTATGCCTAATTTTTTTGTTTGTTTGTTTGAGACAGTCTTGCCTCTGTCGCTCAGGGTGGAGTGCAGTGGTGCTATCTCGGCTCACTGCAACAACCTCCGCCTCCTGGGCCAAAGTGATCCTCCTGCCTCAGCCTCCTGAGTAGCTGGGACTAGAGATGTGTGTCACCATGCCCATCTAATTTTTATATATTTTGTGTAGCCGGGGTTTCTGCATGTTGCTCAGACTGGTCTTGAATTCTTGGGCTCAAGTGATCCACCCACTTGGCCTCCTGAAGTGTTGGGATTACAGCTGTGAGCCACCCTGCCCGGCCATAGTTTTTTTTTTTTTTTATTTTTTGTAGCGACAGGGTCTTGCTATGTTGCCCAGGCTGGTCTTGAACTCCTGGTCTCAAGTGATCCTTCCATGTGAATCTGGTCTCTTAAGCCTCAACTCTAATAACCTAGCACAGCTCACCCTCCTTTTATATAAACTACAGTCATGTGCTGAATAATGACGTTTCAGTCAACGATGGACCACGTACAGCATGATCGTCCTATAATATTGTAATGGAGCTAAAAATTCCTTTCACCTAGTCATGTCGTAGCCTTTATAACGTCTTAGTGCAGTGCATTTCTCATGTGTTTGTGGGGATGCTGGTGTAAATTAACCTGCCCTGCCAGTTGTATAAAAGTATAGCACATACAGTTATGTATAGTACATAATACTTGGTAATAACTGTGTTACTTGTTTACATATTTACTATTTATCATTATTTTAGAATGTACTATTACTTATAACAAATTGTGGCCAGGCATGGTGGCTGATGCCTGTAATCCCAACACTTTGGGAGGCTGAGACGGGAGGATCAGTTGAGCCCAGGAGCTTGAGATCATCCTGGGCAACATAGTGAGATGCCATCTTTACAAGAAAAATACCCAAAAAAATTAGCCAGACATGGTGGTGCATGCCTGTAGTCTCAGCTACTTGAGAGGCTGAGGCAAGAGGATCGCTTGAGCCAGGGAGTTCAAGGTTGCAGTGAGCAGTGATCACACCACTGCATTCCACCCTGGATGAGAGAGTGAGACGAGACCCTGTCTCAAGGGAAAAAAAGAAAAAGTTAACTGTAAAACAGTCTTAGGTCCTTCAGTGGGTATTCCAGAAAAAGGCACTGTTATGACAGATGACAGCTCCACATGTTATTGTCCCTGAAGACCTTCCAGTAGGACAAGATGTAGAAGTGTAAGACAGTTATATTGATGATCCTGACCCTATGTAGGCCTAGGCTAATGTATATTTGTGTCTTAGCGTTTAACGAAAAAGTTTGAAAACAAAACAAATAAAAATTTTAAAAATAGAAAACTTACAGAATAAGAATATAAAGAAAGTATTTTTCTACAGCTGTGCAATATGTGTTTTAAGCTAAGTGTTATAATTAGGAGTCAGTGTAAAAGTTTATAAAACAAAAAAGTTACAGTAAATGAAGTTTAATTTATTATTGAAGAAGAAAAAAAATTTTTTTTTCTTTAGAGACGGAGTCTTGCTTTGTCACCCAGGCTGGAGTGCAGTGGCGCAATCTTGGCTCACTGCAACCTCGGCCTTCTGGGTTCAAGCGATTCTCCTGCCTCAGCCTCCCGAGTAGCTGGGACTACAGGCGCGTGCCACCACGCCTGGCTAATTTTTTCTATTTTTAGTAGAGATGGGGTTTCACCGTGTTAGCCAGGATGGTCTTGATCTCCTGACCTCTTGATCCATCCGCCTCGGCCTCCCAAAGTGCTGAGATTACAGGCGTGAGCCACTGCACCCGGCCAAAATATTTAAAAAAATACATTCAGTGTCTCCTAAATGTACAGTGTTTATAAAGTGTACAATAGTGTCTAGTAATGTCCTAGACCTTCACGTTCACTCACCACTCACTCACTGACTCACTCAGAGCAACTTTCAGTCCTGCAAGCTCCATTCATGGTGAGTACCCTATACAGGTATACCATTTTTTATCTTTTATATGGTATTTTTACTGTACCCTTTTTTAGGTTTATATATGCTTATATACACAAATACTTACCATTGTGTTAGTTGCCTACAGTATTTAGTACAGTAACATACTGTATAGGTTTGTAGCCTAGGAGCAGTAAGCTATGCCATGTAACCTAGTGTGTAGTAAGCCTAGGCTATACCATCCAGGCTTGTGTAAGTACACTCTGTGATATTTGCACAACGACGAATTGCCCAGTGATGCATTTCTCAGAACTTACCCCATTGTTAAGCAGCACATGACTATATATTGAGGTATAATTTACATACAATAGACATCACCCATGATATATACTCCCTTGCAACCATCCACAACAATCAAGATAACATCATGGCTGGGTGGCTCACACCTGTAATCTCAGCACTTTGGGAAGCTGAGGCAGGAGTATCGCTTGAGGCTAGGAGTTTGAGTCAGGCCTAGGCAGCAAAGCAAGACCCTGTCTCTACAAAATAAACACACAAAAACACAAAAATATTAGCTGAGCATGGTGGGATGCAGTTACTGAGGAGGGAGGATGGCTTGAGCCCAGGAATTTGAGGTTGCAGTGAACTGTGATCATGCCACTGCACTGTAGTCTGGGCGACAGAGGGAGACCCTGTCTCAAGACAACAACAACATAAAAACCCCATCTCCATTACCCTCAAGTTTCTTCTTGCCTCCTTTCTGTCAAGGTAGATTAGTTTGCATTTTTTGTAATTTAGAATTTCATATAAGTAAAATCTTACAATAGTAGATACACCACAGTCTTCATATAATCCCAACTCTTTGGGAGGCCAAGGCGGGAGCATTGCTTGCACTCGGGAGTTATAGGTTTGAATATATCCTAGGTGATTTTGTATATTTGTTGTATCTTTCCTGTAGATACGTTAGTGATGATAAAGTTAATTCCTGGCTTAGGGTGATGACTGTCCAATTTTCTTATTGTACTGCTAGGTTTTCACCTTATGAGTAGAAAATTACCTGTGTGGTTTTACTTGGGAACTAAAAGATGGCCAGTTCTGCGTCAGCCATACACCTGATTTTTTTTGAGACGAAGTTTCACTCTTGTTACCCAGGCTGGAGTGCAATGGCGCGATCTTGGCTCACTACAACCTCTGCCTCCCAGGTTCAAGCGATTCTCCTGCTTCAGCCTCCTGAGTAGCTGGGATTAGAGGTGCCTGCCACCACGCTTGGCAATTTTTCTTTCTTTCTTTCTTTCTTTTTTTTTTTTTTTGTATTTTTAGTAGAGACGGGGTTTCACCTTGTTGGCCAGGCTGGTCTTGAACTCCTGACCTCAGGTGATCCACCCGCCTAGGCCTCCCAAAGTGTTGGGATTACAGGTGTGAGCCACTGCACCCGGCCACACCTGATTTTTTGTTTGTTTGTTTTTTTGAGGTGGAGTCTTGTTCTGTCACCCAGGCTGGTGTGCAGTGGTGCGATCTCGGCTCACTGCAACTTCTACCTCCTGGGTTCATGCAATTCTCCTGCCTCAGCCTCCCGAGTAGCTGGGATTACAGGGATGTGCCACCACGCCTGGCTAATTTTTGTATTTTTAGTAGAGACAGGGTTTCACCATGTTGACCAGGGTGGTCTCAAACTCCTGACCTCAAGTGATCCACTCAACTCAGCCTCCCAAAGTGCTGGATTACAGGCGTGAGCCACCGAGTCCAGCCCACACCTGATATTTTTAATTACAGTTGCTAATCTTGTTTGCGTCACTGATTTCATTGTTAGTTAGGGAATAATTTCCAAAATCACTCCTGTATTCACTGGCTTCTTTAGTTTTCTTTCATCAACTGAGATTGCTTGTTACCTGAAATATAATTTTTTTTTAATATATTTTTTGAGACTGAGTTTTGTTCTTGTCACTCAGGCTGGAGTGCAATGGCGTGATCTCAGCTCACTGCACCCTCCACCTTCCGGGTTCAAGCGATTCTCCTGCCTCAGCCTCCCGAGTAGCTGGGATTACAGGCGCCTGCCACCACGCCCGGCAATTTTTTTTGTATTTTTAGTAGAAATGGGGTTTCACCATGTTGGCCAGGCTGGTCTTGAACTCCTGACCTCAGGTGATCCACCCTCCTTGGCCTCTCAAAGTGCTGGGATTACAGGCGTGAGCCACCGTGCCCAGCCTGAAATATAATTCTTAATGAAAAGGTAGGGTAAATACTTAATTTTTTCCTTTAGTTACCAATTTTCAAATTAAGGTGTTAATTTAGTAACTATAATGATAACATAGATTTGTTCTTTTATCTTTTTTTGAGGTTTATTATAGATTTTTATTGGTTTAATATATTTTAATACACTATAGTCATGTGTATTTGTTTTTGATGTATTTTAAAAATCAGTTTATATTGATACTCCTGATGAAACATTTTTTGCTTTAACTTTTTTATGGTAAAATACAGATAACATATACATTTGAACCATTTTTAAGTGTACAGTTCAGTAGCATTAAGTGCTTTCACATTTGTTGTGCAGCCGTCACCACCATCCATCTCTGGAACTTTTTCTTTTTTGAAAACTTTCTAGAGGTTCATATTTATTGGCATTTGACCTAGAGTCTTCCTCATGGGCAAGGTGCAGCCCTGGGCAGGACTATCAGCATCCTGCTGTCTCCTCAATTCTGTTAATCCACCAATCCTAATCCCTCCTAACCCCACTCATAGTCCAGAGAAGATAAAAAGTTCAGGGACATGGTGTACTGCTCTCCAGATCCTTTCCCAGCTGAAACTCTATACCCATTTAGCACTAATTTCCCATTTTCCCTAGCCCAAGATAACCAACCACCATTCTACTTTCTCTTTGAATTTGACTCCTAGGTACCTCACATATATATTCCTATTTAGTGGAATTGTAGACTATTTATCCTTTTGTGACTGGCTTATTTCACTTAGCACTGTTTTCTAGGTTCATCCATGTTGTAGCTTCTGTCATAATTTCCTTCCCTTTTAAGGCTGAATAATTTTCCATTGTGTATATGTACCATATTTTGTTCATCCATTCATTCATTGATAGATACTTGAGTTGCTTCTACCTTTTGGCAATTGTGAGTGATGCTGTTATGAACATGGGTGTACAAATGTCTGTTTTGAGTCCTTGTTTTGCTTTCGTGCATTCTATTAAAAATGTTAAGGTTCTTTGCTTTTTACTTTTTTTTCTCTTTTATCCACCTTTTGACTTTATTCTTAAAGTTTTATCTTGGTATAATAATTTATGGTATGTTGCAGAATTAGGAGCAAAGTCCCGTGTGTCCTTCACTCAGTTTCCCCCAATGGTAACATTTTTCATAATTACAGCACAATGTCAAGACCGGGAAATTGACATTGATACAGTCCATATACAGGTGTCCCTTGGTATCTGTGGGGGATTGGTTCCAGAACCCTCGATGATACCAAAATCCATGGATGCTTAAGTTTATTAGATAAAATGGCATAGTGTTTTCACATAACCTACACACATCTTCCTGTATACTTTAAATCATCTTTCGATTACTTATAACACCTAATATAATATAAATGCCGTGTAAATAGTTATATTGTATTGATTTTATTTGTATTTTTTTTATTGTTGTTATTTTTCATTGTGTTTTTTCCCTGAATATTTTCTATCTGTGGTTGGTTGAATCTGAGCATGGGGAACCCATGGATATGGAGGGCTAACTGTATTTATTCAGATCTTGCTAGTTATACATGGACTCATTTAGATAACTATGTTTGCATGTTTTATGTGTATAATTCTATGCAGTTTTATCATGTGTGGATAGGTGTAAGCACTACCACCACCATCACCATCACCATCAAGACACAGAACTGTCCCATCATCACAGATATCCCTCACACTACTCATTTAGTTACACTCACTCCCCCACCCCTTCTCTCCTTCCTCTATTTGGTTTCTAATCTGTGTCAACCACTAACCTGTTATTCATAATTTTGACATTTTCATGGAGTCATATAAATGGAAATCATACTGTATATAACTATTGAGTTTTTGTTTTGTTTTGTTTTTGCATTTAGCATAGTTTCCTTGGGATCCATCCATGTTGTTATATTTCAGTAATTCATTTCTTTCTATTACTGAGATGTAGTCTGCGGTACAGATGTACCACAGTTTGTTTAACCATGTACTCATTGAGGGATTTTTGGGTTTGTATTAGTTTTTTAGGGCTGCCTAACAAAGTAGCACAAACTGGGTGGCTTAAACAACAGAAATTTATTGTTCTGGAGGCAAGAAGTCCAAGATCAAGGAGTTGGCAGGGTTAGTTCCTTCTGAGAGAATCTATTCTGTCCCCCTCTCTTAGCTTCTGGTGGTTTGCTGGCAATCTTTGGTGTCCTTTGGCTGGTAGAAGCATTACCTCCCATCTCTGCCTTCATTTTCACATGGTGTTCTCCTTGTGTGTATGTCTCTTTGCAAATTGTCCTTTTTTTTATTAGAGTACCACTCATATTGCATTCCTCCCTAAGGACTTCGTTTTAACTTGATAACTTCAGTAAAGATCCTGACTCCAAATAAGGTCATATTCTGAGGTACTGGGGGATAGGACTTCAACATATGAATGTTTGGGAGACACAATTAAACCCATAGCAGAGTTGCTTTCATGTTTTGGCTATTACAAACAAAGGTCCTATGGATGTTTATGTACATGTTTTTACGTAGACATAGGTTTTCATTTCTCTGGGATAAATGCTCAGGTGTAAGGTTACTGGTGGTTATGGTAAGTGCATGTATGGTTTTTAAAGAAACGTCTAAGCTCTTTGCCAGAGTGGCTGTAGTTTACATTTCCACCAGCAGTGTATAAGAATCAGTTTCTCTGCATCTTTGCTATCATTTGGTGTTGTCACTATTTTTTTTTTTTTTTTTTTTGAGAGGGAGTCTCGCTCTGTTGCCCAGGCTGGAGTGCAGTGGCACAATTTGAGCTCACTGCAAGCTCTGCCTCCCGGGTTCACACCATTCTCCTGCCTCAGCCTCCCGAGTAGCTGGGACTACAGGTGCCCACCACCACGCCCGGCTAATTTTTTTGTATTTTTAGTAGAGACGGGGTTTCACTGTGTTCATCAGGATGGTCTTGATCTCCTGACCTTGTGATCCGCCCACCTCGGCCTCCCAAAGTGTTGGGATTACAGGCGTGAGCCACCGTGCCCGGGCTGTCACTATTTTTTTATTTTGGCAATTCTTACAGATGTAGTGATATCATGTTGTGGTTTTAATTTGTGTTTTCTTCTATTCAGTTTAACATGTGTTTTAAAAGTTTGTTTGCTAATTATCTCTTTTATACTTAATATCTTGATTCTTAGGGTCATTAACAAGATTGCTTGCCTTCTCCTATAGTATAAAGAAAATAACTTCAGAAAAACAGAATTAGTGTAGCAGACAACAGAAGTATTGTATGAAGTTTAATTTTCTTTCCTTCTTTTTTTTAAAAATAGAGACATAGTCTTGCTCTGTCACCTAGGCTGCAGTGCAGTGACCTAATCACAGCTCACTGCAGCCTCGTACTCCTGGGCTCAAGCGATCTCTCTCTCTCTCTCTCTTTCTTCCCTCCCCCTCCACCCTTTCCCCCTCTCCCTTCCCCGCTTTCCTCCCTCTCCCTCCCTCTCCTTTTTTGTAGAGAACAGGTCTCGCTGTGTTGACCAGGCTGGTCTCAAACCCCTGGCCTCAAGCGATCCCCCCACCTTGGCCTCCCAAAGTGCTGGGATTACAAGTGTGAGCCATCCCATCCTGCTTTAAATTTTCTTCTTTTTGTCCTTAAAATTCTTCCCACTAAGGATAAGCAAAGTGTTGTGTTCTGACCTCACTTTATATGAATACTTTCTCTGTATGTCTGTGTTATTGATTTGATGTACATGATTAGGTTTTTTTTTCCAATTTGTCTTTAATTTCAGAAATTTCTGTTTCTATGACAGTGACATAACCTAACAAAATTCAGTTTCATTTGAATGAGTATGACATTTTCCTTATTCAAAAGTTAAAATTATATGCAAAGGTATATATAGAAGTCTTCCACAGATTCCTGTCTCGTATATTTCTTTTATCATCCCTTCCTCCTTACAACTTGGAAAAAGTGTTTCTTGTTAATCCTCTCAGTATTTTTTTGTGCAAACAAATACATCCATTCATATACATGTTCTTACTTTGTGAAAGGCATCACATTTTACATTATATTACATAATTTGATGTAAACTTAAATATTAAGTAGCAGACCTAACAGAAGACTTTCAGAGTTGTGTTAATGCTGTTTTTTATGTTGTGAGAGTTGAATCTGCTACACTGACTTCCACATTATTTTGTGATCTATGAGTTATGATCAACATGAGATAGTAGGTTCACTAGTAACTAAGTTCAAGTATGTAACACTGGAAAAACTGCTTGTTGCTTTATGACTTTGGGCAGAAAAACAGACAGGTGAAATGCAGTTGAATACTTTGTAAATTATGGTTAGCCAAAGTAGGTGACATAGGACTAACCTGTGAAAGGGGACATAATGAAGTAAAACATTCAAGTAAAATGACATGATAATGGCATATTTGGCAAACATCTTCAGAATAGATTATATGTAGAAGTTGGAGGAGAAAAGTTTTTCCCTTTCCTAGTTGCAATTTATTATTATTATTAATTTTCTTTCTTTTTTTTTTTTTTTGAGATGGAGTTTCACTCTTGTTGCCCAGGCTAGAGTGCAATGGTGCGATCTCGGCTCACTGCAACCTCCGCTTCCCAGGTTCAAGCGATTCTCCTGCCTCAGCCTCCTGAGTTGCTGGGATTACAGGCATGCGCCACCACGCCTGGCTAATTTTTGTATTTTAGTAGAGACAGGGTTTCACCATGTTGGTCAGGCTGGTCTCAAACTCCCGACCTCAGGTGATCCGCCTGCCTCAGCCTCCCAAAGTGCTGGGATTACAGGCGTGAGCCACCGTGCCCAGCCCTATTATTAATTTTTTAGAGACAGTCTCGCTGTGTTGCCCAGGCTAGTTTCAAACGCTTGGGCTCAAGTAATCCTCCTGCCTCAGTCTCCTAAAGTGCTGGATTAGGGGCATGAGCCACCATGCCCAGCTGCTAGTTGCAATTAATTTATTAATCAGGATAGCTAAGCACAGTCATTTATGGTGGGTGGAGGGAGACAGAGGGAGAGGGAGATTGTGTTTCATGATGAAAAGATCATTTTGAGTATTTTTGCCAAAATAATAATCATAGAATAAGATGGAGATCCTTGCATATGAATAATCTTCTCAATCATGTTGTTCTCAGTGTTGCTACGTTATTTGGCAGATAACTTTTTGCCAGGAGGATAATTATAACACATTTTTTTTTGAAAGAGTTTTCTAATTGAGAAGTTTCTTTCCTGACTAATGACTTAACAAATAAACCATTGTTACAACAAACTGTGTCATAACAGCAAAGTTGCAATAACTATGAATCTAAGATAGTTTCAAGTTCTCTGTAGTAGAGTGTACTTTCAAGTCTATCCAAAACAAAAACGTTAGCTCTAATATATATTTGTTTTTAATAATATATTGCTCTTAATATTAAATATATGTTGAGTCATTATTTCGCCTCCTTTCTTAGCATCTCGATAGTTCTTTTGGGGATATTGATTTTGCAGGATGCTTTAATGTATTTGTTGTTGTTTAGAAATAAGGCAGTCTTTTGGTCATAGTTCTAGGGAAGGTTTAAAAACTTCAGTCATCTTAGAGCTCAGATTGAGTTGGTCTGTTTGGATGGCATGCTAAAGTATATGAAATTTGCTTGGTTACAGGGCAAAATGTGAGAGTCCCCTAATGATATCTGGTACCAGTAATCTAACCAGGTAGGTAGGTAGGTAGGTAGGTAGGTAGGTAGGTAGGTAGGTAGGTAGGTAGATAGATAGATAGATAGATAGATAGATAGATATCTCTTCTTACTGGATCTTTTTCATGCTGTATGCTTCCTCTCGAGTTTAATGGAATCAAGTGTTGCATTTTAGGGTAATTCCTAAATCTTAGTATCATCACATGAGGCCATTTAGTATGCTAACCGTTGGATGCAGTTAGTTTGCGTTGCTGCTGGAAGATTGTTGCTGCTTTTTACCCTGGCTTTAAGTTGTGTGCTCTTGTGGGTAACTATGGGACTTGACTTGTACTGTCATATTTTGAACAAGGGAAATAAATGTTTAACATTTGTTAAATAGGTTTCAATGACAGTTTTCATACTCTATGGTGAGCAACTTAAATGTAAGGTTAGCTCTGGTTGTTCAAGTGTTTCCATGTTTTTTTGGAAAAGTTAGATTATTTCTTTTGATATTTTGCTGTAAATTTAACATAAGCTTTGGTGCATTTTACCTTATTAAACGGGAGACAAAAAGTCTCAAAATATTCTGAGTGTAGATATCAATGATTAGTGTCTTAATTTACAAAATGACATCTCAATAGATCAGTAGTTATATGGTATGTGGTATGCTTGTTTAGTAGAAAGGTGTTCTTAAATGATCGATGATTTAAGTAAAATCCTGTGAGTTTATACCATATGAGAGAAGCTTGCTTGATAAAAGAGGTTTCAAATTTAATTTTTTATTGTGGTAAACAACAACATTTACCATTTAACCATTTTTTAAGTGTATAATTGAGTAACGTTAAATATATCCAACTGCTGTGAAACAGATCTACAGAAATTTTTCATCTTGAAAGCCAGAAACTCTATACCTATTAAACAACAACTCCCGTTTTTCTCTTCCCCTAGTCCCTGGTAACCATTCTACTTTCTGTTTCTATGAATTTGACTACTTCAGATACCTCATAAGTTGAATCATATGGTATTTGTCTTTTTTGTGACTAGCTTATTTCAGTTAGCATAATGCCCTTAGGGTCCATCCGTGTTGTAATGTAGTACAGATGTTCCTTCCTTTTAAAAGGTGTGTAACTCATTTTATGTATCTACTACATTTTGTTTATCCATATCTGTTCTATTCCACTGGTCTATTTGTCTTTATGCCAGTACCTCACAGTTTTGATTACTGTAGCTTTGTACAGTAAGTTCTCACTTAGTGCCGTTCTTAGGTTCTTGGAAACTTGGGCTTTAAGCAAAGCGGTGTACAGCAGATCTTTGAACAATATCAATTTGTTCAGTGTTGTTTTGTTATAATGTTGATGAGGAAAAAAATTGGTTTCATTCATTATACGTCATTTTGCTTAACATTGGAGTTTCCAAGAACCTGTTGGTGATATTGAGGACTTTCTCTAAAATGCTTTGAAATTAGGAAGTGTGAGTCCTCCAACTTTGTTCTTTTCTTCCTAAAATTGTTTGGGCTTTTTGGGGTCCCTTGAGATTCTATATGAATTTTCAGCTTAATTTTTTTCATTTTTGCAAAAAGTGCTATTGGAATTTTGATAGGGATTGTGTTGAATCTGTAGATTTCTTTGGGTAGTATGGACTTCATGATAATATTAAGTCTTCGAATTCATGAACACAGGATGCCTTTCTATTTGTGTCATCTTTCATTTCAGCAGTATTTTGTAGTTTTCAGTGTACAAGTCTTCTACGTGCTTGGTTAGGTTTAGTATTTTACAGTTTTTGATGCTGTTGTAAATGGAATTGTTTTCTTAATTTCCTTTTTGGATTGTTAGTATATACAAGAATTTTGTGTGTTGATTTAATATCCTGCGACTTTATTGAATTTGTGGTTATTAGTTCTAAGAGTTTTTATGTGTGTGTAAACTTTGGGATTTTCTACATATAAGATTGTGTCATCTGGGAACAGAGATAATTTTACTTCTTTCTTTCTTTCTAACTTGGATGCCTTTTATTTGTTACTTTTCCTGCCTAATTGCTTTGGCTAGGCCTTCCAATACTATGTTGAATAGACACGTAGTGGGAGTGGGCATCCTTGCCTTGTTCTGTATGTTAGAGTAAAAACTTTCAGTCTTTTACCCTTGAGTATAATATTAGCTATGAGTTTTTGACTTTTACTATGTAGAGATAGCGTCTTAGTCCATTTTCTGTTCCTTACAACAGAATATCTGAAATTAGGTACTTTATAAAGAAAAAGAATTTATTTCTTACAGTTAAGGAGGCTGAGAAGTCCAAGTTTTGAGGGTCCACATCTGATGAGAGTCTTCTTGCTAGTGGGAACTCTGCACAGTTCCTAGGTGTTGCAAGGCATCACATGGCAATGGGACTGAGGGTGCTTGCTCAGGTCTCTTTCTCTTCTAAAGCCACCTGTCCCACTCTCATAACTATTAAATCATTAATCCAGTAATCCATGAATGGATTAACCTATTCATGATGGCAGAGCCCTCCTTACCCAATCTCCTATTAAAGACCCCACTTCTCAGTACTGCCACATTGGGGATTAAATTTCCACGAGTTTTTGAGGGGACAAATATTCAAACCATAGCAGGTGATTTTTTTCTAGTTTTAACTTGAGTGTTTTTTATAGTGAAAGGGTGTTGAATCTTGTCAAATGCTTTTCCTGCATCAACTGAGATGATCATGTGGTTTTTGTCCTTCATTCTGTTGATGTCCTGTGTTACATTGATTGATTTTTGTATGTTGAAACAGTCTTGCATTTCAGCAATAAATCTCACTTGGTCATGGTGTATAATATTTTAAATGTTTTAAATGATGAATTCTGGTTTGCTAGTATTTTGTTAGGAATTTTCGCATCAATATTCATCAGGGATATTGGTCTGTAGTTTTCTTATAGTGTCTTTTTCTGGCTTGAATTTAATTTTTAAAATGTAATTTGCATGCCTTACTCTTTGTCTAGGAATGTTTAAGATTAGAGAGAATTAAAAGAATTTTAGAGTACCACATATGTGTCTCCTGTTGTTACCACTGTGTGGAATTACCAAGTGAAGAATCAAACTCTTAGATCTGAAATACGAATTGGGAAGTACTATAGTGTGTTGACAAACTGAATTATGAAAGCATATTTGATTTCTGAACTTGAATATGCATATAATTCAAGCCTATGAATTGTGTACTGTGGTTGTTAGCTAAAAGGTTAGTGGGTAATATCAAGTGGCTGGTAATGCTAAATATTTTAATAAGGTCAGCTAATCAGAAGTGAAAGGAACAAAAAAATTGGACATGTGACATATATGTGTTCTTATATAGTCATGCTAAAATGAAAAAAGAGGCATTACATATTAATAGTCACCACATTTTTAAATTTTGGGTTAAAATTTTTCATTCTCTATAAAGTGGTTTATTTTTCACATTGGTTTTATTGTTTTTAATCTACTGAATTGTTTTTTGGCTACAGTTCTATCTTCATTATCATGCAAATTATTAATAAAAATTCAGTAATTCATTGAGATACTTTTTACTACCTTGAGTAAATAAATGTGAAAACTTGTGATGTAATCTATTGAGAGTATGTGAAATGAAAATTTAGATTTCCCCCAACATCAAGCAGGATTATCCTGTGTTCATCTACTCTTCTATGAAATCTGCCTTTTTTTGAAATTTGCCAGTGAGCCAGTGATGCCCAGTGTGAAATGGTTTAGATGGCAATAATATATTGTGCTTATATCATGCTGTATACCATTTAACCCTTCTTGTAAATTTGATTTTTGGATCTGGATATTCATTTATACCAGCTAATATGGTCTCATTGGAAATGTTGATAGCCACTACACCAAGTTGTAATTACCCATGTTTATTTGTTATGTCTTAACATTACAAATTGACATCACAAGTTACATCACAAAGTTATGTTAATAAGATGGAGATGTATACACATGCACACACACACACACAAACACACACACACACACACACACACGCACACCAGTCCAGAAAGCTAACTGTAGAATGTGGTATTCAGATATAAGTGAGATGAAGAGTGGATAATGACAGTATTAAAACAATTATTAGCTATTGACCTTGGCAGACTGAGAAATGATTTTAAGGTGATAGTATATGATAAAACAAATATTCTATCTGTTTTGATATTTGTCTTAGGATAGAGCCAGATAATGTCTAGTCAGCTGCAGCTTATTAGGGCTGACTGGGGAAAATAGTAGTCTTCAAATTAGATAGCAGATATGTATCCAATATGTCAACTATAATATGGTATCCAGTGTCTAGCAGCAGCCAGTGCCAGTATGGTCAGACAGATGAGAGGACAATATTGCGGCATTCAGGTTAAGGCAACTCAAGAGACAAATGGAGACTTTTTAGGGTGGGTTTATGGGCAGGATTCCAGTACCAGAATGAAGGTAGATGTATTACAGCAGGAACATGTCAGACGGGGTAGGATCTTTGGGTGATTCAGGTACAGGTTACAATTGAGTACTGAGCACAAGTTGGCTCTGTGGGAATAGGACATAAGCCTTTTCTTGTCTCCCTCCAACCCCTAACTAAGGGGGTTGCTAAGTTCACAAGGCGTGCTAGGTTTTCTACAGACATCAAAAATGGTCATTGAGAACTGGGACAGCCTGAGTATGTAGGTTTGTCAAGGTGATCACAGTTGTGGTGATGGCTCGAGTCATGTTTTGAAAGTATTGGGGAAAGTGAGTAGACAAGAAAACTAGGAATATTGCTGTGCACCTACTATAATACGCTTAAAAATAGGAAGGGAGCAGGTGGATGTATCCCGTTTTGTAAATTTTAGTTTCTGGCAGTGTGTAGTGATGCTGTATCTGTAGACTGCCCCAGCTTGCTCCTTCCCCAATTCCTGAAAATAAAAGTTATTTTTGTAATGTTGTGGCCTTAGGCCTGTTCAGTTTGTCTACTTAGTTATTTTAGAAAGGCCTTTTACTTTGGCCTCCTTCCATCCTTTATATATATGTATGTATAAAATTTTTTTTTTTTTGAGACAGTCTTGCTCTGTTGCCCAGGCTGGAGTGCAGTGGCACGATCTCGGCTCACTGCAGCCTCCACCTCCTGGGTTTAAGCGATTCTCATGCCTCAGCCTCTGGAGTAGCTGGGATTACAGGCCTGTGCCACCATGCCCAGCTAATTTTTGTATTTTTAGTAGAGATGGTATTTCTCCACGTTGGCCAGGCTGGTCTGGAACTCCTGGCCTCAAGTGATCTGCCTGTCTTGGCCTCCCAAAGTGCTGGGATTACAGGCCTGAGCTACTGCACCCGGCCTGTCCTTTATATTATTTTTAAAGTTTGTAAATATAGATTTCCTACTATTAGTTAGGAAATATAGACAGGGTCATTAATCTTCTTACATATGCAGATTTCTTCCAGGCATGCCTTCTCTGGTTTACCTATTCCTGTACCAGAGCAGGGACTACCATTAGGAATTCTGTAGGACTCCATCCAGGTTTGTGTAAAAGAAAAGATATTTGCGAATGATATATGTGGTAGCTGTAATGTGAGTGTGTTGTCAAGAAACTTTTAGGTTAAGATTTTACTACTGGGCTGAGTACACATGATCATTGCTTAGTTTGACGTACTTTTCTTTTTTTTTTTTTTTTTTTTTTTTTGAGACGGAGTCTCACTCTGTCGCCCAGGCTGGAGTGCAGTGGCTTGATCTTGGCTCACTGCAAGCTCCACCTCCCGGGTTCACGCCATTCTTCTGCCTCAGCCTCCCGAGTAGCTGGGACTACAGACCCCCAACCACCAAGTCCGGCTAATTTTTTGTTGTTTAGTAGAGATGGGGTTTCACCGTGTTAGCCAGGATGGTCTCGATCTCTTGACCTCGTGATCCTCCCGCCTCGGCCTCCCAAAGTGCTGGGATTACAGGTGTGAGCCACCGTGCCTGGCCTAGTTTGAAGTATTTTCACCATGTCATTTACTTAGAATAGTATAGCACAAATTAGGGAGATTAACAGAGGGAGGACAAATATCTTTTAGGTAAGAAGAATTTCTTTTTTTTTTTTTTGAGATGGCATCTTGCTCCGTTGCCCAGTCTAGAGTGCAGTGGCATGATCTTGGCTCACTGCAACCTCTGTCCCCCGGGTTCAAGCGATTCTCCTGCCTCAGCCTCCCAAGTAGCTGGGATTACAGGTGCATGCCACCATGCCCAACTGATTTTTCTATTTTAGTAGAGATGGGGTTTCACCATGTTGGTCTTGAACTCCTGACCTCGTGATCCGCCTGCCTCCACCTCCCAAAGTGCTGGGATTACAGGTGGGAGCCACCACACCCGGCCGAATTCTTGTTAAAGATTGTTACTCATCAAAGGGGCAGTAGTTTTTTTCTTTTTGAAGGTAGATATTTATGTCCACATTTTGGGTTAGCTTTTCATTTTTTTGCCCGCATGTACATCATTTGACATAGAAATGATAGTAACTTTCCTGTTTGGATCAAATGTACTACTGCAGGAAGTAGTCTACCTTTTAGCATTCACAACCTCAAACTAAACAACAGACTTCTGTATGCTGTCTCCTGAGAAAGTACATAGGCCAATAAAAGGAACATACCTTTGGGTCTTGTTGTCAGGAGCCTGTAAGAAAGTTTATGTTCCCTGCTAATCTTGAGTAGGCAAACATAATAAAGGTAATTTTATGATAGAACTCAGAGTTTTTGTACATTTAATTTTATATGATTATAAACATGAAATATGAATAGATTTTAGCAGCATAGTTTTGTAATTCCTTAGGTAGCTTAGGTTTTTAAACAGTTTTTTTTTTCTCCTGAGGACAGTCTCACTCTATTGCCCAGACTGGAGTGCAGTGGCATGTTCTCAGCTCACTGTAGCCTTGACCTCCCAGGCTCAAGCGATCCTCCCACCTCAGCCTCTCAAGTAGCTGGGACTATAGGCACGCGCCACCATGCCCAGCTAGTAGTTCACGTTTTAACAGAGTACATTAAAAACTGAATTTCCCCTTCATAATTTCCTTTTTTGTACTAACAATAAGATTGTAAATAAAAAATTAAAAAATTACCCACCTTGATTTGTTACTGTATTCCTTTGCTTCTTTTTTGTTGTTATTATGTCTGTTTACCCACATTGGTACACAGTCATAAATAGTTTCAGTGTATGAATATTACATTAATTACATTGATGTACTATCAGTGGTACTTGGTTGGATGAATTTTTAGTATTTAGAAGCTTTAAAAATCCTATTTCACTAGAATAGGGAGTTGGCCAGGTCAATAATTTTTTCTGTGTCTATCAGACCTTGACACAACATTTTTTTCTTTTAAAATTATATGTACCTGTCTGGGCGCAGTGGCTCACACCTGTAATCTCAGTACTCTGGGAGGTTGAGGTGGACAGATTGCTTGACCCTGGGAGTTCAAGACTAGCCTGGGCAACATGGTGAAACCCTGTTTCTACAAAATACACAAAAATTAGCTGGGCATGGTGGTGCTCGCCTATAGTCTATGGATAATTGGACATTTTGGTAATTCCTAATTTTAAGTGTTTGTATTATAGTGATGGTGGCATTTTAGAAGGGTGTATACATTTCCTGGATGTGATCCTTACATATAGAAGTATGTGACCCTTTTGGGAGGAGTGTTAAGGGTATGGCATGTGGTGTGTGAATTTGCCAGCTTTTAGCAGTTGAATATTTCTGCATTTTTAGTGAGAGAATTAACATACCAGCTACTTAAGTGTTCCCCTCCCCTGTGCTCTCCAGTAATATATTATTAATATATGGATTCTGGGGAACCTTGTTAGTGATGGCTTTGTTGGTAGCTTTTCATTTTTTTGTCTTGAGACCACTTGGGATTGAATTAAATACCTTTTTTTTTTTATGGAGATGGAGTCTCACTCTGTTGCCCAGGCTGGATTGCAGTGGTGTGTTCTCGGCTCACTGCAACCTCCGCTTCCCGGGTTCAAGCGATTCTCCTGCCTCAGCCTCCCGAGTAGCTGGGACTATAGGTGCACACCACTGTGCCCAGCTAATTTTTGTATTTTTGTTTTAGAGACGAGGTTTCATCATGTTGGCCAGACTGGTCCTGAACCCCTGACCTCGTGATCTGCCCGCCTCAGCCTCCCAAAGTGTTTGGATTACAGGCGTGAGCCACCGTGCCTGGCCCCTAAATTAAAGACCTTTAAAACAGTAATTATTTTGGGGGGAAAAAAATTAAATCATATCAAAGCAAGATATTAGGATGTTTTGTGTGTGCTTTTATTTTGTTGGGGGGTACTTTTGATGAATGTAGGAAGTCATTCTTTTTTTGGAGTTGCAAAGATTCAAGCATCATCATAATTTTTACTTGCTTGTATTAATGTGCTATAGTAATAGGTATCTGACAGGTGTTTCTTGTTATTGAATTTAACTTGTAATCTAAACTTTGAGTAACAGCCCATAAATATATACTAATTATGGATAACCTGAGAAGTTACGGTGATTAAGTTTCAGCTTTTAGGTCTGTTTATATTAAAAGCAGTGTTACTTGAATTTAATATTTAGAATTAGAAATAACGCGATCATCTGTTACTTTTTAATCTAATAATTAATAGCCTTTAATGGCAGCTCACTATACATGTGAACTTAAGCAAGTAGTTTTACTTTAATATATATTGTTTAGCTTATCTACAAATGGGATTGCCTGGTTTTCAGTAAGGAAAAGCAGAAGCTAGTTGTTGCTGGATAGGTTTTTTTCCCAGAAGGAAAATAGTGATTGAGACTTAATGCAAATTTTATTTCTATGCTTTATCCTCCAAAGCTGTTAGAATGTTAACTCTTTTATAGTAGGTATAGAGAATTGTTACATATGATGAAAACCTCAAAAGTTTTTTCTAGACACTAGGAGAGAGCTCCACCTTGTGATCTTGGAGCATATTTTTTAAAAAGTTAATAACCCGCAATAGTGCAGAAATTGTTTGGTGAGTTTGATTTTTAAACTGATACTTTTCTTTGAGCATTACATGTTTTTATAGTTTTGGGTTACCCAGCTGAAGTCAAATGGTATTAAGCACATTTGAAGATACTCTGAATTTGTTAATGTAAGTCTGTGGGGGAAACACATTGGATGGATGGATGGATGGATGGATGGATGGATGGATGGACAGACGGACGGATGGATGGATAGATGGATGGATTGACAGAGTCTTACCCCATTGCCCAGGCTGGAGTGCAATGGTGTGATCATGGCTCACTGCAGCTTCTACCTCCTGGGCTCAAGCAATCTTCCTGCCTCAGCCTCCCAAGTAGCTAGGTCTATAGGTGTGTGCCATCATGCCCGGCTGATTTTTTGATTTTTTGTTGAGATACGGTCTCACTGTGTTGTCCAGGCTGGTCTCGAACTCCTGGGTTTAAGCCATTCTCCAACCTCATCCTCCCAAAGCGCTGGGATTGTAGGTGTGAGCCATCATGCATGGCCTGCAAATTGTATTTATATGCAGCTGTAGACATTTAAAATAAAGATGTAAACATTCTCAGCTCTTCCTGTAGATTAAAGTTTACATTTAGAAACTACTAATCCCAACTCATCCGTTGGGTTCCTTCCCTTCTAAATTACAAAGCAATTTTAATATTTGTAATTTTTTGTTGAGCTATGATGAACTGTTTTTATGGCAAATAAGTCATTTAGAGAATGACTAGCAAACACTCGGATACATGGAATTTAGCACTCTTTTTTTTTTTTTTTTTTTTTTATTTAAGATGGAGTCTCGCTCTGTCACCCAGGCTGGAGTGCAGTGGCGCAGTCTTGGCTCACTGCAAGCTCCACCTTCCGGGTTCACGCCATTCTCCTGCCTCAGCCTCTGGAGTAGCTGGGACTACAGGCGCCTGCCACCACGCCTGGCTAATTTTTTGTATTTTTAGTAGAGATGGGGTTTCACCATGTTATCCAGGATGGTCTCCCTGACCTTATGATCCGCCTGCCTTGGCCTCCCAAAGTGCTGGGATTACAGGCGTGAGCCACCGCGCCCGGCCAGCATTCTTATATTTAATAATAATAAGTGGCAAGTAGGTACCTTCTCGTAGAAATAATAATCACATTTCTTAACAGGTATTAAGGACAAGGATCATTGTTCTCCTGTTCACTGTTGTATTCTCATTGCCCAGCACTACATTTGGCACATGGTGGATACTTTCACTTGGTTGGATGAATTTTCAACATTTAGAGACTTTAAAAAAATCTTATTTCACTAGGATAGGGAATTGGCCAGTTCAATAATTTTTCTATCAGACCCTGACACAACTTTTTTTTTCTTTTAAAAATATATGTACCTGGCTGGGCGCAGTGGCTCACGCCTGTAATCTCAGCACTTTGGGAGGCTAAGGTGGGTGAATTGCTTGAGCCCAGGAGTTCAAGACTAACCTGAGCAGCATGGTGAAACCCTGTCTCTACAAAATAAGAAAAAATTAGCTGGGCCATGGTAGTGTGTGCCTATAGTCCCAGCTACTTGGGAGGCTGAGATGGGAGGATCACTTGAGCCTGGGGAGGTCAAGGCTGTAGTGAGTTGTGATTGCGCCACTGCACTCCAGTGCGGGTGACAGAGTAAGACCTTGTCTGTCTGTCTCTATTTTTTATATACGTATAATACGCACATGCGCGCATCTATCTTGTCTTGAGAGATACATCTTACATCTTTGATTTTGCTTTTGTGTTTGCTTTGGTTTCTAATTACAAAGTACATGTTAGTATAGCCTATGCTTTGCAAAATAATTTGGCCTGGGAATGCTTCTTTCTTTTACAGTAGAAATTAATTTTGTGCTATTTAGAAGAATCCAGTATATCGCACAATATTCATTTTATTTAGTATTCTCTGCTTCTCAGAGATGATGCATTCTTTATATTCATCACCTGTGATTCCTTAGGTGACTGTATTTACGAACTACCTTTAAAGTGTGCTTAGAAATTATATTGAAGGAAAGCAGCAACTTTGGTTTTGATGAAATGCTCAGAGACGCAGACAGATACAGCAAGGATCACATGACCTTTTTTATTTTCATCTTGCCGTCTAGATGACCTGACCTGTTCATTAGAATTTATTAGTTCTGTGCCTCTCCAGTTCCTTTAAAAGAAACAAAATGATTTTCTTTTATAAATAAGTTAGCATTTTAGGAGGTGAATGTGTATCTTACATATGATGACAAACTTCAGAAAAGAAAAAATTAGCCAGATGTGGTGAGTACCTATAGTCCTAGCTACTCAGAAAGCTGAGGTAGAAGGATCTCTTGAGCCCTGAAGTTTGAGGCTGCAGTGAGCTATGATTTGTGCCACTGCACTCCAGCCTGGGTGACAGAGTAAGCCCTGTCTCAACGAAAATAAGATTTTAAAATTTATGTATGTATGTATGTTTGAGACAGAGTCTCGCTTTGTCACCCAGGCTGGAGTGCAGTGGCATGATCTCAGCTTGCTTCAGCCTCCCGAGTAGCTGGGACTACAGGTGTGCACCAACACACGAGGCTAATTTTTGTATTTTTAGTAGAGACAGGGTTTCGCCATGTTGGCCAGGCTGGTCTGGAACTCCTCACCTCAAGTGACCTGCCCGCCTTGGCCTCCCAAAGTGCTGGGATTACAGGCGTGAGCCACTGCGCCTGGCTGAAAACAAGATTTTAAAATCTGAGTATCTTTCAGAAAAAAAATAAAGTGGTGGTATATGTTATTTGATTATTCAGGATTTAATTTGTGGATTATTCATTCTTGTTTCTCCTATTGCCTCATTTGTTATTTTGCTGTTCACAAAACATAAAATTAATATTTTTCTGTTTTAGCTTAAGTAAGCTAGGAAATACAATGTTTTGAACTTTGTATATTAATTAAATATTAGTAACCATTGATGATGTTTTCTAGAGAGATAAAATTACCAAGACAAATTGAGCTGTTTCTTGTGTGATATCTAACCTACTGGGAGAAGTCATTAGGAGTTTGTCAGTATGTTATATTTGAGCATTTAATATTAATTGGATATGTTTAATCTTACCTGCTTTTTCTTTAGGTGGCCACCGAGTACTAAATTCACTTGGGAATAAAAGAAAAACATAAGAAAATTATAAGAGAAAGGTACACATAAGACTAAGAGCTTTAGACTTTAGCTTCAGCCTGTTTTCTCCTTCCTTGTTTGCTTTTAGGTCATTTTCTTCATTTAGGAAATGCATCCTTGACTTTCAAAACATAGACATAATACCCTTTCTGTCTGCCATTTTTACATGTACTTTGGTCAAAAATGGCATTCATTTGTTGTTCGTATGAAATTATTGGCATTTAAATTGATCGTAAGTTCCTTGAGGGAGAGGAATAGATCAGATCTAACATTTTTTCCCCCTTCTCTTCTCAACAAAGTTTGTTATTATCATGAAGTGGTTATTTATTTAATAAGCCAGGCTTTGGACTGTATGTTTCCAGGGCAGGAAAATCTGTTTTAAAGTTATATCTTAGGTTTTTTTTATTAGCTCCTTTTAACTGTATGTGCATGATACCAGCAAAAGGTTGTATTTTCAGGCATCTCATATTATGGTTTAAAGTTCTCATAGGGATTTCAGGACCAGTAAGAGTCATATCCTGTTTCTATTTAGGATGTATTAATATATATATAAAGCCAGGCGGAGAATCACAAGAAAATTTAAAAACAATTGTTTTATAAGCTTCTTTTTCCCCTATGTGTTATTACTGTGGGGCTGCGAGTGTTACAACAAGTCCATATCTAGATTAAGCAGTCAAGGTCAGGCACGGTGGCTCATGCCTGTAATCCCAGCACTTTGGGAGGCCGAGGCAGGTGGGTCACCTGAGGTCAGGAGTTCGAGACCAGCCTGGCCAACATGGCAAAACCCCATCTCTACTAAAAATACAAAAATTAGCTGGTCATGGTGGCCCGCGCCTGTAATCTCAGCTACTCGGGAGGCTGAGGTAGGAGAATCGCTTGAACCTGGGAGGCAGAGGTTGCAGTGAGCCGAGATCGTGCCACTGCACCCCAGCCTGGGTGACAGAGTGAGACTGTGTCTCAAAAAAAAAAAAAAAAGAAAGCAGTCAAATGCAAGGGAATGAAATCCTTATTTACTAAAACACATTAGTAGGCACTGGGGAATTTAACTTTTGAGTATGGATATCCTTTCCGAATATTTTTGGTGCATTTGTAATAAATGTCATTTTCTCCTTTTTAAAGGAATTGTCTTAGAAGAAAGAAGGCAAGCCACCATTTTACCCACGTAAATATATGAATATATTTCTGACATTGAGGTGTTCCAGAAGATGATAAAGAAATGATAGCAGCTCCAGAAATACCAACTGATTTTAATCTACTACAGTAAGTAAATTATATTCTGATAATTTTTAAATACTTGTTTATTCCACAAAATGGGGAATGCATTAACTTCAGTTAAATTTCCTTCTGCTCGAGAAGATCTAATATATAAAATAGCTTTTATGCTTTGCAAGAGTTTATATCAGCACTCATCAAGGCTCTGTAATAATAATTATTCTGTACTTTTTTGTTGTTGTGTTTTAAATTTGTCTTTTAGTTTACATGCTGCAGTTTATTATTTTTTGTTGTGTAGTTCTGAGTCCATACTTGGTTTTGCAATAGCAACTGTTTTGAGAGAGCATCATAAAATTCCTAAAAATAAAGTTTTCTCATTAGTGAGGTATACCATGTGGCACTATTTAGGATGTAATGTCAGATTTCTGTTACAAAATCAAATGATGATTGCAGAAATAAGTTACATGTATATTGGTCCAGAAAGTGTTTTCAACATAGGTATCCTCTTTACCCCCATCTGAAAAGCTAACTGTACTCCTTAGCTTTTATTCTAATTACTCCTTGGTTTTGAAAGATTTTGAACTACTCTATGTAACAGTGATTTTCATACTAAGGTACAGTTTCATGAGTTGCCTCAGTGAAAAGTGAACTTTTAAATTGCCCGTGAATCCCTTTATTTACCCACCCCCACCACTGTATTTTTTATTAGGATCTTTATGAGACTTGACTTGAAAAGAGAGTTTAGTTGCTAAAAATTTTGAAAACAACAGACTAATACCTTTGTACATAATGGCAGCCAGCATTTACTTTTGATCATATGTAGATTTTCATATTTTTAATAATTTTGTTATCTTCAGTGGAGTTTATGAATCTTCTGGGACCAAATACATTCAGGTTCCCACAAAACAGCATTTTTAGTGAGGATTTTATGTATTCTAAGTCTCATATCTTTGTAAAAGTTAATTATTACCTTTGTTAATATTAAGTGTCTGCTGTATACAGGATGTTACATTAGATCCTGTGAGGAATTAAGTTAGGTACTTCCTGCTGCCTTTATGAGTTCATATTTTAAAGATATAAAGAGAAGATTATGAAGTTTCTTATATACTTGGTTAGAGACTATAAAAAGGGTTTATATTATGGACTAGACTATTGACTGTTAGAATATCTCAAATAATGAGGACCTGAAATAGGATAATGAATAAAAGGGAATTGATGTTGTTCGGGTGGAACAGGCCCAGCATTTGACTGGGTATGTGGGGTGCAGGGCACAGTAAAGAGGAATGGAAGATTCAGTCGTGTGATAGATGACTCAGGATGTTTCAGGTCACTGAATGGTTAATACAGTATGTTTAATAAACATAACTGTTATTTCACCTAGGGTAGTTTTTGTTGTTCTTTTGATCTTAAAAACACAGGAAAGCATTGAAGAACGGCTTAGGAGAGTATTTCTTCTTTGGTTGGGAGTATTTTAGACTTCCATTCTGATTACTCACTTAAGCTTTCTTTAGAAAGTTTTTCAGTAAGTTACCAAACCTCTAGTGCTTCACTCTTAGTTGGGATAGCTTGGAGATGAGTATTAAGAGGATAATTGAGCCCTTGATTACTCTGGCCATTGGAACATTGTGAAGACTATAGTGATTTTCTTCAGACTTAAAGCAGTTACTTAGCTCTTTAAGAGAGCTGGTGTCCTACGAAACGCTTGGGAAGAAATAAATATTACTTATACATCAAGATATTTTAAATTTTCATTTTTTTTTTGCAAGACCATATAGACATGTGAGAAGATTATTGATGACAACAATCTTCTTAAGATGTAACACACATGAGCTTCAGGGTTAATATTATAGTAGTCATTCAGTTTTTGGTGCATTAACTCTAGGGAATGGTATTTATTACAGGCCCTTTCCTCTCAACATTGTAGGATATAGTTAGGATTGCCACCACCTTCCATACATTGTTTAAATTACTTTATATGTAAGTGCTGTATAAATAGTATTTTTTTTCCTGCTAGCATCTTAATCATTATTTTAGATTTATGAAATATTCTTACCTCACAGCCTCTGCTACCTCATAGCCTCTGGGCAACTGGTTATTGTAGCAATAAAATGGAAATAGAAGAAATCTAGATTGAGAATACTAGTTTTATAAAGATAGCCTTTCACTTCGATTCCATTTATTTTAAGCAGAGCTGGTGCTAGGTTTACACATTTAGGGTGGAAAAACCTTTATCTTTTATGGATGTGGCTCAATTCTAAAATCCAGTGTGACCCAAATACTAATATAAGTATGCCTTGCTTTAAGCATTTAAATGAGGGTATGTTACTACTATTTAGATAGACTCATGTTTACTCATTTGGAAAGCATCACACATATTTATTTAAATCGGTCGGCTTCCATATGTTTGTGAGAAAATCCAGATTATACAAACTAGCCTTACCCCAACCCAGAACAAGGGACAGTTGTTTAGGACTATAGATTCATATGTTGGAGATTGTAGAGACTTTAGAGATTTCGTTCTTTCCTGCGTATATATTATTTATAGATGAGAAGATTGAGATTGTCACTTGTATAAGATCCACAGTTACTTAGTACCAAAACTGTTCTCCTGACTATAGCTCATCACCTCTTTACTTCATAAAGGATATTGATCACTTAGCATAATTCCCTAGTGTATTTCAAATGCTTTAGTTTATAAAAAGGTTTTATAAGTACCCTTTCAGAAATACATGTTTTGTATATTGACTCACCTAGATTTATAAATACTTTTCGAGTGAGGTAGGAGAGATCAGAGGATCCATAATCATAAAACTCCCTAATAAAGTTCCTCCAATGCCTAGTATTAAAATACAGTTTTTCCGCAGCACTGTGATCTTTGAAGTAGGAAATGGAACCAACGATTACATGGAACACCACAGTTCCTAGGGTTAAATTTTGAGACCCACTGGATTAGTTTTCATACTTTGATTAAAAATTAACAAAAATGTTTAGGTATTTGTATTTTAGATTATTATTTTTGTAGCTGCTTATGTAATCTTGTGTGTTTGGTAACGTGCTATAGTATGATGTTTTGGGGAAACATCTTAATTACTTATAATGCTAATATGAAGTTTTGTAATGAGTTAACCAAGCCTTTCTTTTAGAAAATATGGCAAAAATTAGAAACTCAATATAAATTTCTAAGGAAGGGTTTTAATTCTTATCTTTCTGTCACAGGGAGTCAGAAACACATTTTTCTTCTGACACAGATTTTGAAGATATCGAAGGAAAAAACCAAAAGCAAGGCAAAGGCAAAGTATGTATCAAATATTTGACTTTATTTTGTTTCCTAAGATCTCACACACACACAGATTTAAGTTATGTCTCAGATAGTTTTATCTTTTAAAAATGGCTTTTTAAGGGGGTGGGAGCTGATTGGTATGGTAAGCCTTCTGAGTAAATGTGGTCCTTTTGTCTTCTAGACCAGGTAGCCTTTGGGATCTATTTACACTGCTGTAAAGTTGCAAATAATAATAATAATAATAATAATAATAATAATAATAATAATACATTTCCAGTAGTTTATTTCGTAAAGCACAGTATGTGAAGCAGAATGCAATGTTCTGTTGGCTTTATTTTTGTTTTCCCACAAGTAATAAAATGTAAAGGAAAGCAATATATAAAATCTTTAAAGCACTCTAAAAATGTAACATACAACCAGTTTAAGGCTAATGGGTTACAAATGACAATAGTTTTACTCTTTATAAGTAATATGAAAGATAAAAAATTACAAAGTTAAGTTCTGAGTCAATATAATGTAAGTTTAAAGTGTGAGTGGGTTAGCCTGAGGGCTGGATATAACTTGGCGAATGGCTAAATTATTTTGTTGTTTTGGAAAGTATATTTGACTCTGCATGTGTGTAAATACATTATGCAAAAGATAACTTGTTTTTGTTGTTCAGCATTTGTTTTTCAAAATGAATTTTGGATTTATATTGTCTCATGACATACTTTGAAAAAGTCTTAACAATACAGAAGTTTACGATGACCAAAGTGAAATTTTTCCATAATCCTATCACCTGGAGGTAATTTATTCTTTAAACATTTTGATGCACATACTTCTATTCATACACCTATGTATAAACATGATGATAACATTTTATTTAAGTGGAGTCATACTATGCAAACAGTTTAATGTGCTTTTAAAACTCAATGGTATGTTGTCAACAGCTTTCCCATAAGTGACTGTAAAACTCTCTTTTATTTTTTTTCTATTTTTTAAATTAAATTTATTTGTTTTTTTGGAGATGGGGTCTCTCTATGTTGCCTAGACTGGAGTGCAGTGGCTATTCACTGGCACAGTCATGGCACACTACAGCCTCAAACTCTTGGGCTAAAGCAATTATCCTGCCTCAGCCTCTCGACTGGACTACAGGCACCACAGGCCTGTGCCACGATGCCTGGCTTCTCTGTAATTCCTTTTATTTTTTATTTTTGTAGAGATGAGATTTCACTATGTTCCCCAGGCTGGTCCTGTACTACTGGGCTCAAGCAGTCCTCCTGCCTCAGCCTCCCAAAGTGCTGGGATTTACAGGTGTGAGCCACCACGCCTGGCCATTCTCTTGTGATTTCTAATTGTGGCAAAACATCACGTTTAATGTATGGAACATAATTTATTTAACTAATGCTTGGAATATTTTTTGAGTGCTCATAATTCATGTGTTTCATAATTTTGTGTGCTCTCTTATTTCTTTAAAAAGACTCGAGAGAGGGATATGAATAGAAATATTAACTTACGGCTATCCAAAGATAACCTTAATTCTATTGGACAGTATAATTTAT
Source organism: Homo sapiens (assembly GCF_000001405.40). NCBI lineage: Eukaryota > Metazoa > Chordata > Mammalia > Primates > Hominidae > Homo > Homo sapiens. Next base: position 124,027,445 of record NC_000023.11, read on the forward strand.
TAGAAAACCATTTTTTTTCCATTAACCTATTTTGCCTTTGATTTAATTTACAAGTTTGGACAAGATTCTTGGTGGCACCTGAGTAGATGACTCTGAAGTTTTTGTGCCACAGTTTGGTTAAGGTTATATAGCTACTACTGTGGGTGAGGTGTTGGGACAGGTCAAGGATTTATTACAATAATAGCAACTGCATTTTGAGACTATACTATGTATGTTCCATGTGTTGTGCTAACAATTTCACATGTTAATCTAATATTTGAACAACTGCGTAGATGAGAAAACACCATTATTTTATAGGTAGGAAACTGAAGTCCAGAGAATCCCAGTGGTTAAAGGATTTGAGTTCAGGTCTGTGCCCTTAACCCTCTATACTATACCACTTCCTAAAGTCTTTATGTAGAAGTTTTTTTTCTCTCCAAGGTTGTACACAGGTTAGCGTATTTGCTTTTTGTATAATGCTTCCTTTGTTATTATCACTCCTTGCACATTTTTTTTTCTAGCACAGCATACCCATTCTGCCATTTTAATTGTCCCAATTAGTTTTTCATACTGACAGGGACTATTGAGGCATTTGATAGATAAACTGCAAATATACAGCTCCATGTTAATTAACATTTTATATTTTACTAGTCTATTCTGTTGTAGTTGATCTTTTCTTTCAACCTTATCTCTGAAAATGCTTTTACTGGGGACAAAAGCCTTTCATTGTGCAATCAGGAATTAATGAATTAGGTTCACAAAGACTGAATCTCATTTACAGAATATAGCAGTCTCCCTTATTCTCAGGGATACATTCTAAGACCCCCAGTGGATGCCTGAAATTGCGGATAGTACAGAACCTTGCATATTGAATTTTTTCAATATGGTAACCAAAATGGCTAGTAAGTGACTAATGAGCTGCGTGGATATGCTGGACAAAGGGATGATTCACGTCCTGGGTGGGATACAGCAGGATGATGAGTGATTCTATCATGCTACTCAGAATGGTGTGCAATTTAAAACTTTTGAATTGTTTATTTCTAGAATTTCCTACTGAATATTTTTGGACTGCAGCAGACCAAGGGTAACTGAAACTGAATAAAGTAAAACCCAGGGGAGGACTACTGTATTGCAAATTAACAAGTAATATGTTTCAGATGTTTCAGGTGTTCCCCTTCAGGGAAGGGGTTTAAAGTAACTGTTAAGAGTTGAGTCGTTTTGGACTCTTGGAGGAAGAAGGGACCCTCTAAGGAATAAAGTACATAAATACCACAGGCTTTCAGTGGAAAGAAATTTGTAGGCATCGCTATAGATCAGAGATCCGCAATCTGTGGCTTGTTTTTGTACTGTCCAGGAGCTCTAAGAATAGTTTATATATATATATATATATATATATATATTTTTTTTTTTATAGAGATGGGGTCTCGCTCTGTTGACCAGGCTTGTCTTGAACTCCTGGCCTTAAGCAATCTTCCCATCTCAACCTCCGAAAGTATTGGAATTACAGGTGGGAGCCACTGCTCCCGGTCGTTTTAATATTTATTTATTTATTTATTTTTATTTATATATATATATATATATATATATATATTTATTTATTTATTTATTTTTGAGACGGAGTCTTGCTCTGTCGCCCAGGCTGGAGTGCAGTGGCGCAGTCTTGGCTCACTGCAAGCTCCGCCTTCTGGGTTCACGCCATTCTCCTGCCTCAGCCTCCTGAGTAGCTGGGACTGCAGGTGCCTGCCACCACGCCCAGCTAATTTTTTTGTAATTTTAGTAGAGATGGGGTTTCACCGTGTTAGCCAGGATGGTCTCGATCTCCTGACCTCGTGATCCGCCCACCTTGGCCTCCCAAAGTGCTGGGATTACAGGCTTGAGCCACTGCGCCCGGCCTATTTATTGCTCGAGACAGAGTTTCGCTCTGTCACCCAGGCTGGAGTGCAGTGGTGTGATCTCGGCTCACTGCAGCCTCCACCTCCTGGGTTCAAGCAATTTTCCTGCCTCAGCCTCCCGAGTAGCTGGGACTATAGGCGTATGCCGCCATGCCTGGCTAATTTTTTGTATTTTAGTAGAGACAGGGCTTCACCGTGTTGGCCAGGCTGGTCTCGAACTTCTGAGCTCAGGCAATCCGCCCACCTCGGCCTCCCAAAGTGCTAGGATTACAGGCGTGAGCCACCACGCTGGGCTGTTTTTATAATTTTAAATAGTTTTAAAAATAAAGAATGTGCTACAGAGACTGTATGTGGCCCACAAAGCCTAACATATTTACTATCCAGTTCTTTACAGAAAGTTGGCCAACACTTGCTTTCTAGATCGTAGAGATGTGTTGGTCTAAAAGAGACCTTTAAGAAATCATCAAATCCAGGGGTCGGAATACCTTTCTGTAAAGTATTTTAATTCAACCCTGGCATTTGAGAAATGAGGATTCCGAGTTAGGGAATGGCTTGTTTTCTTAAAGTATAAGAGCTATGGGAGGTATTTTTATAGCTTAGGCATATAGGGAACCTTTTCACTGATTTTTTTGATGCCCCTACCCGCGCGTCCCCACCCCCCACCAATACTGACAACTTTTGTTATAATGGGCTTCATTTCCATAGTTTTCATTAATTGAATTTTCATGATGACTAAATGTTGGAGGGAGGCCTAGAACAAGAATGAGATTGATAAACCTACTCCTAATGTTCAGAATTCCTTGTTCAGAGCACTGCAATGATTTCTAAGACTAACAATACAAATAAAATGTTGAACTGAGTATAAGGTACATATTTGATAATGAGTTTGGTTATTCTTGCTGCCCACTTCAGTCTGCATCCAAAAGCTGCATAAGGGAGTAATATAAAACTTGGAGATAGCTACCTTGATTTACTACACCCTTGAGAATTCTCTGATTATACTTGAGAGATATTTTTGCAGTGTTTTTCAAACTTTGTTGATATTTTGAGGGCTTTTAAGTCTGTGATTTTATATTACTTTTCAAAATAGATTCAAATCAGTATTTTGTGTCATTGTTTCTGTTGGTCTTCCTACCAGATTAAGATTCATGTAACATTTACTGAACTCCTTTTAACATAATTTTTTCATTTTACAGTGATAACAATAGCTGACATTTTTTGACTTTATTATATGCTGGGTATGTTGCTAAGTACTTTGTGTTTTCATTATCGCAGCAACCCTATGGGGTAGGCACAGTTTTATCCTCACTTTACAAATTAGAAAAACATCACTGAAACATAGTGTGGTTAAGTAATTTGCCTAAAATCACTCAGCTAATAGTAGCAGAAATTTGCACCCACAGAGTCTGTCTGTCTGCAGAGGCTATGCTGCTAACTACTATGTCATGTGAGGCATGGTAGTATACTTGAAAAAATGGACACCACAAAGAGGCTGTCACAGTTATATCATTTTGTTATAAGTGGATGGAATTCTTTAGGGCAAGTTTAAGCATGTTATGTACCCTATCAGCTACTTCTACTGTAGCTGTGTTTTGAACTCTCAAGGATAGTGATATAACTTAACCACCTCGTATTTTTTATGCAGACTTGTAAAAAAGGCAAAAAGGGCCCAGCAGAAAAGGGCAAAGGTGGAAATGGAGGAGGAAAACCTCCTTCTGGTCCAAACCGAATGAATGGTCATCACCAACAGAATGGAGTGGAAAACATGATGTTGTTTGAAGTTGTTAAAATGGGCAAGAGTGCTATGCAGGTAAGATTTATGTTGTTCTTCCCAGTTCATTTGTACATTTTAAACTTTAATGAGTTATATAGAGTGTAGCTCTGATTTTTCTAATTGCATTTTAAACATACACTACTTATTAGAAAAAAGCAACAAAATCATCAGAAAACTCTTGGGATGTATTTCTTCATATATAAGACTTTTGTGCTGTGTTTTGATTCATTTTCTGCTGCATGCTTTTTTCTTTTTTCTTATTTATTTTATTTTATTTTATTTTTTTTTGAGACAGAGTCTCGCTCTGTTGCCCAGGCTGGAGTACAGTGGCATAGTCTCGGCTCACCACAACCTCCACCTCCTGGGTTCAAGCGATTCTCCTGCCTCAGCCTCCCAAGTAGCTGGGATTACAGGTACAAACCACCATGCCTGGCTAGTGTTTTTTGTTTGTTTGTTTGTTTGTTTTTTTTGTTTTTTTGTTTTTTTGTTTTTTTTGGTGGGTATTTTCAGTGGAGACGGGGTTTCACCATGTTGGCCAGGCTTGTCTCAAACTCCTAGCCTCAAGTAATCTGCCCTCCTTGGCCTCCCAAAGTGCTGGGATTACAGGCGGAAGCCACCATGCCCAGCCCATTATTTATTATTATTATTATTATTTTTTTGAGATGGAGTCTCACTCTATTGCCCAGGCTGGAGTGCAGTGGCACGATCTCTGCTCACTGCAACCTCCGCCTCCTGGGTTCAGGCGATTCTCCTGCCTCAGCCTCCCGAGTAGCTGGGATTACAGGTGCCCGCCACCATGGCTGGCTAATTTTTGGTTTTTAGTAGAGATGGGGTTTCACCATGTTGGCCAGGCTGGTCTCAAACTCCTGACCTTAAGTAATCCACCTGCCTCGGCCTCCCAAAGTGCTGGGATTACAGGCGTGAGCCACCACGCCCAGCCCCAACCCATTATTTTTTTTTAATGGCCTAAGGTAAAAAATAATTTGGTCAAAAATATGCTGATGTAAACCATGGCTATGAGGTCTCAATTTTCCCTGAATTTATATAGATGCCATTAAAATACGAAGTCTTCTACCCATATGGAATTCCTGGTTGAGTGACCTAATATAATTATTATCCACTTTAGTGGAATGAATTATTTTAGTTACTGTTGTCTATTACAAATTTTATTATTTGTGCTTGTTTCTTAGAAGAATAAAAAGTTGGAGGCATATTCATGTCGAATCATTCGAATTATGTTTTCTCTGCATACTTTTATGACAATAGAAGCATTTAGGCTTTCTAATGTTGGCTAAACCATTAGAAAGTGGAATAAATACAATACTCAAGGAGTATATATACTTAATAAAGTTTTAATTTAATTTATAAAAGCTACAGGCAATAGTTTTTTTTTTTAATTTCAACTTTTAGATACAGGGATTACATATACAGGTTTGTACATGAGTATATTGCACCTAGGAAGTGAGGGTAGTATCCAGTGGGTAGTTTTTCAGTCCCCACCCCCTACCCCCAGTAGTCCGCAGTGTCTATGTTTTCCACATTTGTGTCCACATGTGCTCAATATTTAGCTTCCACTTACAAGTGAGAACATGTGGTATTTGGTTTTCTGTTCCTGCGTTAATTCACTTAGGATTATTGCCTCCAACTCTACCCATGTTGCTGTGAAAGACACAATTGCATTCTTTTTTATGACTGTGGAGAATAGTATTTCTTCATAGAAATAACTTTAATCAGTGATGGGTGCACATGAATGGTTATCTGAGAACTATCCGTTCAGGCTTTTTGTTAATAAAAACTGACACAAATACCTTGTTTAGAAATATAGAATTAGCTTAATATGTGTGGTTTTATAAATAAAATGTGTCAAATGAGGCTAATAAAGAACAGTTTTACATGTAAAATGTGAAAATACTTGTTAATTGTTTGAGCTTTCGCCAATTTTACAGAGCAAAGAACTTAAAAGGTGCCAGATTTATTCATACCATTCTAATGCACCTTTTTAAATCCGTTTATTAATGTTTGCTTGTATATCATGATTAGAGTGTGGATTCTTTTTCTTGTGTAATGTTTTAAATTACTGTTTTGAATATGTTTGGCTTTTAAAAAATAAATAATGTCTTATTATATTGCTGTACTATGGTTTATTTAGTCATTCCCCAATTTTAAAAATTACTTTTCTCTCTCTAGTTCTCCTTTTGGGTTATTTTTATCAAGAGGATAAATTATTTCAGTTACATTGTATTGCATTTCATTACTTTCCTTCTTTTTTTTGTATTATACATTTTCTCTAATATTTTGTTCTAAGTAGTTAAATGCACTAATCTTCTTTCTTCTGCTATCTTTTTAACATCAGTGTCTTAGTCCATTTGGGCTGCTATTAAAGAAACTAACATAGGCCAGGTGTAGCAGCTCACATAATCCCAGCACTTTGGGAGGCCAAGGTAGGTGGATCGCCTGAGGTCAGGAGTTGGAGACCAGCCTGCCCAACATGGTGAAACCCAGTCTCTACTAAAAATAAAAAAGTTAGCTGGGCTTGGTGGTGAGCACCTGTAATCTCAGCTACTCAGGAGGCTTAGGCAGGAGAATCACTTGAACCCTGGAGGCGTAGGTTGCAGTGAGCTGAGATCGCACCATTGCACTCCAGCCTGGGCAACAAGAGTGAAACCCTGTCTAAAAAAACAAACAAAAACAAAAAACCAACATAAACTAGAAAGCTTATAAAAAACAGAAATTTATTTCTTACAGTTTTGCAGGCTGCGAAGTTCAATATTAGGTGCCTACAGATTCATTATCTGGTGAAGGCCTGTTTTCTGGTTCATAGATGGCATCCTCTTACTGTGTCCTCACATGGAAGGGGCAAGGCAGCTCTCAGGGGCCTTGTGATCTTATTGCCATCTATAGGCTCCACTTCTTAATACCATAACATTGACTACAGTTCAACATACAGTTTGAACACAAAACCCTTCAGACCACAGCTATGAGAAATCCTGACTCATAACCACAGCTAATTGGGCTATTCCATTTTTATCTAAAAATGAATATTTTCTTTATTTTTGTGTTGCTTATGGCTTGTCATATTAAGATTGTACCTCTATCTGTGCCATTTTTGTTTTCATTTTTTATTTTAAGATGAGGTTTCATTATGTTGCTCAGGCTGGACTTGAACTCCTGGGCTCAAGCAATCCTCCTGCCTCAGCCTCCCCAGTAAGTGGGACTACAGGCACATGCCATTGTGCCTAGCTTGTTTTTCTGTTTTGAAATGTGTTTCCCTCTTAAGAGAGAATGTCTGCACTGTCTTTCCATTGATTTCCTGGAATCTTTTCAACAATTTTATTTTGTTATGTGTGTTCCCACTTGTGTTACCCTTTTAAGACCAAATTTGATGGAGGAAGTCCTCTGTTTAGAAACTTCCAAGGGTTCTTATCTAAAATTTCTAGCTCAGATTTCCTTATGCCATGTTTTCTGTCCTCCAGTCACAGTATATACTCTGCCCTTAGACTTTTCTTTTTGTTTTTCTTGTTGTTTGCAATAGTTTTATTTTACTCCCCCCTTGCATATCAAATAGGACTGAGCGAATCAAATGTCAGTCTTCTGAAAAGCATTCTCAGACACTACTACTTTTCCTTTCCAATGTGTTTTTTACTCTTATCTTTTCATTATATAGCACTTATACTGTGCCTGACTTTGACTCTAGATTGCTAATTCTTTGATCAAAGATCATGTGTTATTCATTATTTTTGCATTGCCAGGATATACCTATCTCAGTAGTTGTTGTTGTTGTTGTTGTTGTTATTATTATTATTATTATTATTATTATCATTATTCGAGACAAGATCTCACTCTGTCACCCAGGCTGGAGTGCAGTGGCATGATCTCGGCTCACTGCAACCTCCGCCTCCCGGGTTCAAGTGATTCTCATGCCTCAGCCTCCCAAGTAGCTGGGATTACAGGTGCATGCCACCACGCCCAGCTAATTTTTGTTTGTACCTTTTGGTAGAGACGGAGCTTCATCATGTTGGCCAGGCTGTCTCTCTCAGTAATTATAAGTGATAGTCAATAAATGCAAGAATGGCTGTTGGTTTAAAACTGGTTGTTATGTTTTAAGAATGGAGAAAGTATGCGTGTGCCCCTTAATTTTATTATATAACAGATGTTGAATTTTGTTACATAAGTTCTCAGCATACTATTTGATTAAAAATTTTAAGCATATTTCAGTAGCTCGCATTATTTTTATTATAGCAGACTTATTTTCCTAGTGTAAACTCTACTTGATCTTAATGAATTACTTTTTAATGTGATGTAGTGGTCTCTTTGTAAGAGTTCATTGAATATTTTGCATCTTTATTGATGAGAGTAGCCATTGTTCCAGTTATCTATTGATGCATAACAAACCACCCCAAACTTAGTGATGTGAAACAACAATCATTTTATTATGCCTAATGATTCTTTGGGTCTGGAATTCAGACAGAACTAAGTGGAGATGACTTGTGTCTGCTTTATGATGTCAAGGGCCTTAGCTTGGACCATTTGAGTGCCTGGCACTAACACAGTTAGGGACTATAATCATTTGGAAGCTTCTTTACTCATGTTTAGTGCCTAGTCTGTAGTGATATGAAGGCTGGACTTAGCCAGAACTGTTAGCTGCATAACTACAAATGGCCTTTCTATGTGGCTACGGCTTCTTACAGTATGGCGTCTGGGTTTGGAGAGAATGTCCTGAGAGAAGTGTCCAGTTTGCTAGTGCTCCAAGAGACCAGTGCAGTTGCTGCCTGGCATTCTGTGACCTAATTTTGGAAGCATCACTGCATTCTATTCTAGAGAAGATGACATAGACCCTCTTACTGGGGAGCAATGTCCAATAATTTGGGGCCATGTTTTAAAACTGTCACAGTCTCTATGATATATTCTTTTGCTGTTTATTGCCTATATCATATTTGGGAAAAATACTGAGCACATTTCTTTTGTAAATTATGTTGGTTAATATAAACAAGCTGTTGTAAATACAACAAAGTAGAAATTAAGTAAAGTTTTAGAATAATTCCAGTCAGTCTATCTGAACCAGGTATTTCTTAGATATTTTTCCTTGATTTATCTTTATTGTGTAATCATAGTATCTTTTTTGTACATTAGATTCTACATGTTTTAGTCATTGTTTGTACCTGGATTTCCTATTTATTGGTATATAACTTAGAAACATTTCCCTCTCCCAACCTTTTGTTTTTTATACTAGCTCTTGTTTATCATCTTGATTTTATTTAATTTGCTCTATTTAAAAAGTTTTGTTGTTGTTGTTTTTGTTTGTTTGTTTGTTTGGAGACAGAGTCTTGCTCTCTTGCCCAGGCGGGAGTGCAGTGGTGCGACCTCAGCTCACTGCAGCCTTCATCTCCCGGGTTCAAGTGATTCTTCTGCCTCAGCCTCCCGAGTAGCTGGGATTATAGGCATGCACCACCACACCCAGCTAATTTTTGTATTTTTAGTAGAGACGGGGTTTCACCATGTTGGCCTCTCGAACTCCTGACCTCAAGTGATCCGCTGGCTTCAGCCTCCCAAAGTGCTGGGATTACAGGCGTGAGCTACCGCACCCAGCCTAAAAATTGAAAATCAGTTTTGTCGTTGCCTCTCTTGCCCCGAAAGGAATAAAGTATTCCTTTTATTTTTAGTTCTAGCCTATTTTCTTTTTTAAGAAATAACCATATTGAGATATATTTACCATACTATAAAATTTACCCTTTAAAGTGCAAATTCAGAGTTGTACAGCCACCATTACAATATAATTTTAGAATATTTTATTTATTTTTATTATTTTTTTTGAGATGGAGTCTCACTCACTCTGTTGTCCAGGTTGGGGTACAGTGGCATGATCTTGGCTCACTGCAACCTCCATCTCCTGGATTCAAGTGATACTCCTGCCTCAGCCTCGCGAGTAGTTGGGATTACAGGCGTGCACCACCACGCCTGGCTAATTTTTGTATTGGTAGTAGAGACAAGGTTTTACCATGTCAGCCAGGCTGGTCTCGAACTCCTAACTTCAAGTGATCCACTCACCTCGGCCTCCCAAAGTTCTGGGATTATAGACATGAGCCAGCACACCTGCCCTGTATTGTCTTAATTATTTGAAATTCTCTCCTTTCTTTAATGTCACTGAGAAATCATAAGTAATTATACTTGATGGAATTGACTTCCATAGTTTCCACATTCTTTTCAATGCAAAATAAATAGAAGATTGATAGGTCATTTTGTGTTATCAGATAATTGTTTTACTGAATTCGATTCTATTTTATTATTGTTAAAATTGAACTTTAAATTTCAGTGTATAAGTATTTATATTAAAGTAATGTGATACTATATAATCTTGAATTTTATGACTTTATCAGACTTAATTGATTTTGAGAAAATTAGAAGAAGCTAATGATTTTATTTTTTTCCCTCTGCTGTAGTCGGTGGTAGATGATTGGATAGAATCATACAAGCATGACCGAGATATAGCACTTCTTGACCTTATCAACTTTTTTATTCAGTGTTCAGGCTGTAAAGGTAAGATATATTTATTTTGAAATCAGCAGCTCTCAAATAGTCACTTCGTTGTTCCACCTAAAGAGATGTTGTTAGCACTTTACATGGTAAATAACGCTAAGGCATTATTTGCATCATATCCATATAAAATTTGTAAGGAAAAAAGAGCAAAGGACAAAGTAAGAGAGAAAGTCTATTGACAAAGTTTTATTCATATGTGAAAGTTATCTAAAAACTTAGCAGTTTATAATTATTATGTTACTTTTATTAGATATATTTCCCACTTTCAGCATCTGGTTTTAGGAACAAAGAAATTGATTAAGAAGGGAGGAGGAAGATAATGAAGAGATACAGGTTCAGATGACAGGTAATCGTACAGTGTAGGGAGTTAAAAAGTGCCATGAATAACAGTAAGTAAGCAAGCAAGCAAGTAAGTAAGTTACGTTAAGTAAGTTAAATAAGGTATTGATAAAATCGACATTTCTTCTAAAAGGTAAAGAAATTTTGTTGTGTGTAGTGGTGTCTTTAAAGTGTTTTCACTTTATTTTAAAAATATTTTGAACTGGGAAAGATGAAAGTACAAAATACAGAAATTTCTTCCCTAAGACAGAAGTATTTAGGACAAACATTTGGCAGGGGGACAAAATTATGTAAGTTGGGGAGTCATATATCCTCATATGGATCAATAAATGAGCCAGTCAAGATTACGGGCAGGTTCTGATGTATCTGGTGTCTCCCAATACTTAGCTCATCCTTGAAATTTCAGATGATGCCCGGGCAAATACATTTTATGGAGATTTCTGGGGGTATTTTTTTTTTTTAATGAAAGTGGCATCAACAACATTAGAGCATTAGAAATTGGGAGAGGAAGTTGCTTAAAAATAGATATAAAACGTTAAGATGGTAAAGAATGATTTATTTAAACAAATGCAGAAACTGAATTGTAAGAAGCAATTCAATTCTGCAGTATTCCTTTAAAGATACCGTAATATCTTTGAAAAACAAGTAACATTGGTAGAGTTTGATCACAACATTCAGTGTAGTATGTGTATTAAATGTTACCTGTCTGTGAGGCCTGAAAGATAGACAACTATATTAAATTCTTGAGCCTGTGATCTTTATAATGTCACTAAGGTGTTGAGAAATTTAAAAAATTGTCTTAATCATAGCATATAGAAAGCTGCCTAGTTTACTTCATTTGCCTAAAATAAAAGTAGCTTTAATTCAATATTAGAAAATTCAGCTGACTTCTGCTCAGAGGAGATGTTGTCATGATGTTACTATGGTATCCTTAAGGTTCTGAACCAGATTGACTGTTTAAAGATGAGCTATACTAAAATTATTTTTCCCTATATCCAGTCATTTTTTTCTGGGGTAGGATGGATATAAGTACCTGCTTGTTGTGTCATATAATCAAGGGCTATGTCCTTTCTCATTAGGCTCTTTGCAAATGGAAGGTTGAGTGCAGACAGCTGAACAGATGCCAGAAATAACGTAATGAGTTGAAATTTTAAATCTTAAGTCTCCCCTTTTATTTATTATTATTATTATTATTATTATTATTATTTTATGAGAGAGAGTCTTGTTCTTTCATCCAGGCTGGAGTGTAGTGTCGTGATCATGGCTCACTGCGGCCTTGACCTCCTGGGCTCAGGTGATCCTCCCACCTTAACCTCCTGAATAGCTGGGACTACAGGCTCACGACAACACGCCCAGCTAATTTTTTGTTTCTGTTTTTATTTTTTGTGGACATGGGGTTTTGCCATGTTGCCCAGGCCGCAAGTGATCCTCTTGCCTCATCCTCCGAAGTAGCTGGGGCTACAGGCGTGCACCACCATGCCCAGCTAGTTTTTATTTTTCGTAGAGACAGATCTGGCTGTGTTGCCCAGGCTGATCCTCAATCTCCTAAACTCAGGCAGTTGTCCCACCTCAGCCTCCAAAGTGCTGGGATTACAGGCATGAGCCACCTTCCTGGCATGAGTGAGTTTGTTTGTTTGTTTGTTTGTTTGTCTGTTTTTGGCATGAGTTTCTTTCTTTCTTTTTTTTTTTTTTTAATTTAATTTTTTTTTGTAGAGACAGGTCTTTCTCTGTTGCCCAGGCTGGTCTCAATCTCCTAGCCTGAAGAAGTTGTCCCACCTTGGCCTCCCAAAGTGCTGGAATTACAGGTGTGAGCCACCCCTCCCGCCTGAGTTTCTTAATTAGGCTTCTGAGTTGTAGTTTTTTTTAAAACAAGGCCGCAGAGCATGTTCCCTTTGTCAAATTCATTCCTTTTTTGGCATCAGTTTGTTTACAAATCAGGAGCTTGCTAACTCAACATTTGGACCTTGTCACAAGTGAGTTTGTCAAGATTTCTAAAAACTTAAGGTGTTGAAAACTTAAATTGTAAGGTTAATTTAAGCACTGCTGTAATATTTATCTTAGAATCAGGCAATCTCCATGAAGGGGAATTTACTATATAATCAAAGATAAAGCCATTAATTACTTATACACACAAAATTATTTTAATATAATTCTTTTATAAATGACTTAGAAACTTCTTTAAGTATACTTATTGTAATTTAACATTTCCTGCAGACCCAAAGTTGTTATAAGCATCAGTTATTTTTTCTACAATACATTGATGGCTTCTGTAGCTGTTGAAGCATGGAGGGATATTTAACTCCATGCTGCTCCTGACTGCTCCGTTGGTGATTCTGTGGCCAGTGTTTTCTTCTTTTTTTCCTAGTCAGCTGTCACTTTTCTTTTTTTCTTTCTCTTTTCTTTTAAAATAGAGATAGGGTCTTGCTCTATCACTTTTAGATTTACCGGATTTTAGCAGTCTTGCTAAAAATGTCCCCCACATTTTTAAGGCAGCAGGCTCTGGCCTTATGTCCTAATGGTGGCTTCATACCTGCCTCAAGAGTTAAATGAATGGAGTTTGTGATAGCTACTTTCTTTTCTGCTCTGAGGTCCTTTTCTGCTTGTTTTTGGGTTTCTGGATGTCTTGTGGTTTATGAGACGGGGAGGAGCTTTAGAAATGAGGGATTGTTGAAAAGTATGCAGTATGTTTGCTTTGAGATATATTTATATGTAAATGTTAATTTCACAGAAATGTTCAGGTCATTAGTTACTTTTTGTTCTCTAGCATTCCCAGGTATACAGCACCTGGGTATGAAGTATGGGAAGATTTTGAAGAGAGATACGTGATTCTAGATTAAAAACAAAAGCCTTTCAAAAGGTTTTTGAGAGTGTTTTCTCTTCTCCTCTTCTCTCTTTTTTTTTTTTTTTTTTTTGTGAGACAGAGTCTCACTCTGTTGCCCAGGCTCTGGAGTGCAGTGGTGTGATCTCGGCTCACTGCAACCTCTGCCTCCCAGATTCAAGCGTTTCTCCTACCTCAGCCTCCCAAGTAGCTGCGATTACAGGCATGCCCAGCTAATTTTTGTATTTTTAGTAGTGACGGGGTTTCACCATATTGGCCAGGCTGGTCTTGAACTCCAGACCTCAAGTGACTCGCCCGCCTCAGCCTCCCAAAGTGCTAGGATTACAGGCATGAGCCACCGCACCCGGCCAAGAGTGTGTTTCTTTAGCCAGAGAAATGGTGCTTTCTCCTGAGTTCATCAACTTTTTAAAACAATCATTTTTTTTTTTTTTTAAGTTGCGGTAAGTAAGGATTCTTCTAGGGTACGACTAGAAATTAATCTCACCCAGATAAGAGGGAGGCAGCATGATTTAGGTGAATAGTCTCAGACAAATTATTTAATTTCTTTTAGCCTTAGCCTAAGCCTTAGTTTCCTCATCTTTGAAGCTGGGATTATGGATTTACAGCTATGTATATACACAGGCGCGCGCACACACACAGATGCATGCATATACAAAATATTGCTCTGGTCAATTGAAAAAAATCTATGTTAATTATATCTAGTTCTTATTTATAAATCTCATCTTCTTGTACCAAGACATTCTTCTTTTAGATATTACTATATTTATGGTATTTCTAGTGAGAAGACTAGTAAGCAAATAATTCAACAATAAAAACAGGATTTTGAAAATCTAGTATTTACGTTGATTACCCCTGCCCCCATCTCTCTCTTTCTCAGTCTGATGCCCCATCAGTGGAAGTTCATGTATCTCTTCTTACTGCACACTAGAAATTTCCTTTCTGATGTTTGGTCTCCACCTGACTAATGTTTTACTACTTCTAATGTGTACCTTTTCTTTTTTCCTCTCCCATCCTCCTGTGTAAGATTCTAAAGGTCCTTATCAAATTGTTTCTCTTTGACATAGTTCTTTATTTTCTAACTTATAACATGTGTGGTTTTTCTGGTGGGTATGGAGTGGAGGTGGAGTCAGAGCTATAGCATTTGGCATTTCCACACATCAGGGCTTTGATTATGTACTACTTTTGACAGCTTCTTTTTCTTTTTGGTATTCTTTAGTTTTAACTTTTAACTAGATTACAGGCGTCTAGGTGGGCAGGAACTACAATTTACTACTTAGCTCTTTTAGAGGATATTAGGATGTAGTTACTTTACATGCAATAGTGCTTAATAAAGAGACTTGACTAAAGTGAACTCTAGCTATTACTCTTTTCCTTATCTTCAGCTTCATCCCCAAGGTTTTAAGTGTTATACTAGATGCTATCTCACTCTTGATAACATATGGTTTATGTTAAAGAGACAAAGCCAATATAAATATTACAGCATGAGTAAAGTGAGTCAGGTAGAAATGGCCAAAGTTAATTGTGTTAGGAAAAAAGATATCTGTCAGAAGTATGGGGCTGTTTTCTTGTGCATACTGAGAATAGATAGCATTTGTTTGTGCTTTATTTATAGATTAGAGTATCATGGTAAAGATTATTAGATGATGGTTGAAGAAGTATGCCTTTTATTGTGTGACCATAGACTTCTTAGTGTTAGAGACTTACTTGGAAGTTTTCTTTATTTTTTTATCACACCATATATTAACTTCTGACATTTGCAAATTTCAGGAGTTGTCACAGCAGAAATGTTTAGACATATGCAGAACTCTGAGATAATTCGAAAAATGACTGAAGAATTCGATGAGGTAACTTACTACCTTAAGTGTTTTGATAACTTATGCATGTTTATCTTGACTTATTTTTGAAAGTATTATTAAATTGTAAGCATTAGGCTGGGCATGGTGGCTCATGCCTGTAATCCCACACTTTCAGAGGCCGAGGCAGGCGGATCACCTGAGGTCAGGAGTTCGAGACCAGCTTGACCAATATGGTGAAACCCTGTCTCTGCTAAAAATACAAAAAAAATTAGCCGGGAGTCGTGGTGTGTGCCTGTAGTCCCAGCTACTTGGGAGGCTGAGATAGGAGAATTGCTTGAACCTGGGAGGCGGAGGTTGCAGTGAGCCGAGCTCTCGCCACTGTACTCCAGCCTGGGCAACAGAGTGAGACTCCATCAAAAAAAAAGGAAAAAAAAAATTGTAAGCATTAATGTTGTAAATAAGAGCTTTGGCATTAGATTTAATCAAATGATGCCTGTGCGACCTTTGGCAGGTTGTTGTCTTAGTGTCAGTTGTTTTTTTTTTTCTTTTTTCCTGAGACAAAGTCTCACTCTGTCGCCCAGGCTGGAGTGCAGTGGCATGATCTCACTGCAACCTCTGCCTCCTGGGTTCAAGCAATTCTCCTGCCACAGCCTTCCAAGTAGCTGGGATTACAGGCACCCACCACCACACCTGAATAATTTCTGTATTTTTAGTAGAGACATGGTGGGGGGTGGTGGGCGGTGTGGGTTTACCATGTTGGCCAGGCTGGTCTCGAACTCATTACCTCAAGTGACCCGCCCACCTTGGCCTCCCAAAGTGCGGGGATTACAGCAGGTAGGCGCCACTGCATCTGGCCAGTATCAATTTCATTATCTGTAAAATGGGCCTAATAGTACTTTACTCATAAGGCTGTTACGAAGATTGAATTGAGTAATGTTTGAAAATTGCTTAACATTTTATGGTTCCCAGAACATAGCAAGGACTTAATAAATGGTAGTTATTATTGACAAAAATGAAAATGTCAAGGAAAAGTATAAGAACATATCCTGGAATGTTGTAAAAGGAAGGTTTCAGCAATATTTAGGGAACCTGATAGCTAGGGCAAAGGAGTATATAGATACTTTTATTGTTTAAAAACTCTTAAGAACAACAAAGATTACATATTAGTTTAGACTGAGTTGTCCCCCCCTTACCTCCCTAGGGCTAGATTGAGTTGATTATTTCATTGAGCTCTTTGAAGTATTGTTACCAATAAATACATACATAGATTTACTATAAATTAAGCTTCTTCAAGGAAGGGATTTGGGTTTGTTTGGGTCACGGCTGTATTTCAGCACCAGTACTTTTACTCTTCCAAAATTTTTCGCTGTGGGTTTTCAAGTAGAAAATGTTGTCTGATTTGAGTTTTATTTGGTCTTTTTTTTCTTGCTTACTCTGATGAAGGAGCTTTGAACTATTATTCTAAAAGATAGATGAGTTAAAATGGCTTTGATGATCGCTAAGTGCTATTAATCACTCCCCAAGTAGTTGAGAAGTAATTTTGAATAGTGGCATTTTTTACCCTTTTAATATTGAATGTTTTAGTGAGAACTTTCTCACTAAAAGGGAACAACTATTTGAGATAATTGTCCTGAAATATGATTTGAAAATGTCAGCAAACCAAGTTGCTAACAATTAAGATGCTATATTTCAATATAGTCACTAAATTAGCCAATCAGAAAATACCAAAAAAACTTTTTTTGTGGAATATCAGGACCTTATTCTCAGATGAGACGCAACTGCACTTACATGTGACATGACTTCAGATTTTAAAAAATGTTCTGTTGACAAAAATTAATTTTTAAAATTTACTGAACTGAATTACCTTACATCTCTAGGATACTCTTGTCAGAGACCGTTACTTTTAGATGTTCTATATGGTATTGGTCTCTGCTTTTATTTCTAAGTACTTCATTGTTTTTAATGATTTGTGGAGAATCTCAGTTTACCCTGAGACTAGAGAATGCCCTCTTGTTGTGCAAAGGAAAACCAGAGTACCAGTCTTCCAAGGCAATACTAGCTACATTTCCATTTCTTTAAAAAATTATGATTGTTTATATCTGTTGACTGTGTGATGTATTTGAAGCTAATAACATATTTCTAATGTTTTGTTGATTTATACATCATACATTTTATTTGAGAGTATAATTTCCATCATTTTGAATCCATTTAAAAATATAATTTTGGTTTGGTTTGGGTTTGCTTTTGCTTTATATCTGTGCTTATCACAAGGATGTTTTGTTTTGATGAGGGAGGCTTTTAAAATTTTTAACCTGAGTAATTGGTATATATTTTCATTGATTAAAGTGAATTCAGAATATCTATCTTGATCTTAAATAAAGAGCTGAAGTGTTCAGAGGTACCCCTACCTTTATATATTGTTCTCTTGCCTACTTTGAGGATTTATTGGAGAAGAAAGGTGAGATAAAGATACCTTTTCATGCTTTTGTCTAGGGTATTTCAAAAGCAAGTGATATGTTAAGTCATGCATTCTAAATGAAATTGCTGTTTTAAATTTTTGTTTTAGGATAGTGGAGATTATCCACTTACCATGGCTGGTCCTCAGTGGAAGAAGTTCAAATCCAGTTTTTGTGAATTCATTGGCGTGTTAGTACGGCAATGTCAATATAGTATCATATATGATGAGTATATGATGGATACAGTCATTTCACTTCTTACAGGATTGTCTGACTCACAAGTCAGAGCATTTCGACATACAAGCACCCTGGCAGGTCGGTATTTAGAAATATTTTCTGCATATTGTCTTAGATTTGAGATGAAAAAGATTCTCATTTAAAGAGAAAGGAAATAACAGAGATACAAATTAATTTTATTTATAAAGTGACCACTAAGAGGACACTCCCCCATCCCTCCTGCGAATTCCTGGAAATGGGATGATAATTTCAGTTTTGATTTTGTGAAGGTATACTATAACTAGTATTTGGTAATTTTCTTGTATACTATGCATACTGTGCCACAGCAGGGGAGAATTGGACAATAGGTATGTGTTGGGTTCTTGAAAAATACTATGCCACAGCAAGGGAAAATTGGACTATAGGTATGCATTGGATTATTGAAAAATACCATGCCACAAGAAGGGAAAATTGGATGATAGGTATGTATTGGGTTTTTGAAAGATATGTTACCAGGGAAGATATTGACAGCAGATTTGGAGATATCATCACAGTCATTTTGGATATGTGATCCTGATGCCATTTAGTTTGTCTTTGGTGTGCGTTGCCTCTCCAGGTAGGATGGCCCCTACTAGATGATGCCTGTTCTTTCAGTCACACTGCAAAAAATTGATTTTTCTTATGTTTCTGGGTAACTTTAGGCTGGGGCAAATTCTTTGATCTTTAAAGTTTAATGAAATAAGGTATATTTTTATACCTCATAACATCTGTTAGTTCCTCTTTTGTGCTTAAGGTAAAATTGGTGATACACTGCTGTTGAATTTGTTGCTTTTGAGTTTCAATAAATAAAATAGGCATTAATTGTTATGATAGTATTCTGAATCTTCTGAATCTTAATGATATTTTGATTTTTAACTAAAAAAACTTTATATTCTCTGTTGGTTTGTTTTTTATTTATAAGATTTTCTCAAAGAATTAAATCTATGATTAAAGATATGCTTCTACGTCCTTCATTATTAAAGAGAAAATGCAGTTTCCCGTATGTTGTTTTTGTTTTTAGATTTGAAGTCAGAAAATATGAATGTGATCTTGCTTTATGCACTTGTGGTAGCAATGTCAATAACTTGATGGCTAAAGTAAATTAAAACAGGGATTATGGTGCAAGATGGATACTTTTAGATCAGAGTGACAGACTGGTTTGCTGGGAGCATGAAATTAACTTAGAGCAGAAAATTGGGAAATCTTTCTTTAAGAGAGCCAATAGCCACAAATTTAAGATGTAGTTTTATTGTTGTTGTATCATGCAATGCACCAAGTCTGAGAAGTAGTCTGGAGTAAGCTAAAGAAAGCAAAAAGTGATCAGATCTTTCAGTTAATAAATTTTAAATCCCAGGCAATAAGAATCTTGTATCAGGAGTAAGAGTTTAGTAACAGAAGGTAGAGATCTGGAGGAAGTTTTATGAAAAAGCACTTTAATTAAGTCACATTTTGCCCTTTGTTCTTTTGACTTTCCATGGAGATCTGTTCACAGTTTCATCAGTCATGTTATAGAGTAAAATGAAAGGAAAGCAAATACTGATAAAATTCCTCAACATTTTCATAAAATATAATTTGATGTAAAGCCATCAAGTTCCTTTTAATTACTGAATAGCTAAATAACTTCTGTGTGAACTAAAATTTACTTTAGAAGGTGAATCATGATCTATGAAAATGATTATTTTAGAGGACATATTATAGAATAATGGGATTTAAGGATAGACTGGAGTCAGATTGCCTTGGTTTGAATCCTGGTTTGACTGCTTATATGAACTGAGGCAAATTTTAAAATTTCCCTGAGCTTCAATTTTGCCGTGAATGAAATGGGTATAATACTTACCTTTGAGAGGGCCATTGTGAGGATTAGGAGATAATTCCTGAAAAGTTATTTTATTTTATGTTATTTTATTGTCATTTGTAGCAGCTGCATCTTTCTTTTGTTAGAAGCAGATTAGCTCATTTCTGCTTAATATTTCTATTTGATCTTAAATTGTAAATTTTTGTGTCTGTTAGATTAGTTTCACCATACTTTTACTCTTTAAAAATAGCTATGAAGTTGATGACAGCTTTGGTGAATGTGGCACTAAATCTTAGCATTAATATGGATAATACACAAAGACAATATGAAGCAGAACGGAATAAAATGATTGGAAAACGAGCCAATGAGAGGCTAGAACTCCTGCTACAAAAGCGGAAAGAGGTAAACTTTTATATTGAATATTTAGGCTATTGTGTGACCAACTTGGTCACCATTAATTAGGATATAACTTTGCTAGTGGCTCAGATAATTGTTTTTGAAATATTTAAATGTAAATAACATTTCAAACTATTTGCCCAACAAAATTCTGATGAATATCCGTGCCAACAATACTGTTTTCTTATTTTCAACCTGCGTGGACTAGTATTAAGAGTGGCTTTAAGTAAGGGGACTGGGGTTAGTCTGACAAGTTGTCTTAAGCTTTAGTATTATTCATCTCTACGGTGAAAAACCTTTTGTCAGGATGAAAAGAGATTTCACAATTAAAATCACTTTGGAAAATAAAATCACTTTGAAAAATAACATAAGCTGTTTATTGGCATCTAAATCAGTGTTTTTTATACAGTAGAAGGCATTTGTTTAACATTAATGACTGACCACCAAATTCAACTCTGAATGAGGAAAATAATTTTTTCAGCCTTATGCGAAATAACAGTAAATAAAATCTTTTGATGCTGCGGCTGTAATTTAAATTCTTTCTTCATTGGTGATAAAATATTTTGCTATCTCATAATGGAGATGTTTGTTTTCATATCAAATAGGCAAAGTCTGATTTTTCAAAAATATTAGTAATGCAGTTGAATTCAGTAGTTATCATGGTTATCTACGAATTATTGACCTGATCTTGAATTTTTTTGGGGAGGGGAATTAGTAGCTAATTTTAAATTGGTTATTTCTGAAATAGTTAATAACTTTAAAACATATCCAGACTCAAGAATTGACTAAGAAAAATCCTGATCATATTTCACCCATGTCTAAATTCCTCATATTTTTCATATAATTTGAAATAAAGTGTTGATACTTTTTCCCTTTAATTTATGTATATGCTATATAGTAAGTGATATGTAGTAGCAAACTACATTACAGATTTCTTTACAGTGTTTTTTTTGGAGGCAGAATCTCACTCTGTCTCCCAGGCTGGAGTACAGTGGCACTATCTCAGCTGACTGCAACCTCTGCCTCCCAGGTTCAAGCTCCTGCCTCAGCCTCCTCAGTAGCTGGAATTATAGGCTTGTGCCACCATGCCTGGCTAATTTTTGTATTTTTAGTAGAGTCGGGGTTTTGCCATGTTGGCCAGGCTGGTCTCGAACTCCTGACCTCAAGTGATCCGTCTGTCTTGGCCTCCCCGAGTGCTGAGATTACAGGCATGAGCCACTGCACCCGGCCTTCTTTACAGTTCTTTAGTGGAAATTTATGAGCATTAGAAAAAAAATCTACTAGCTAAATATTAAAATCCCAATCAAATATTTCAGGTATTAAGGGACTTTATCTACCTGGTAATATAACTGTTAATTTTTCTATATGGTTACTGTTGTCTAGTATAATTCAAAATTCCCCAAAATACTGGGGAATTCTGCTTTTTTTGTGCTTGTAACAACTTACAGGTGTTCATTTGGTTGTCTTCCTTTACAATTGAAAAGAAATGATGTGTTTTTTTACAGCTTCAGGAAAATCAAGATGAAATAGAAAATATGATGAATGCAATATTTAAAGGAGTGTTTGTACATAGATACCGGTAAGTTGTGACAGTTTTTTTCATAAATAGCATTATGTAATTTCTACTCAGCAAGTTTGCATATTTCGTGGTGTAGGGAATCTAAATTAGCAGGAAGAATGTTATAGTAAAATCAATGTTAGACTCCATTAGTGCCACTGAGTCACTCTGGGCAAGTTATTTAACTCATGTGAGTTTGGTGTTTCCCATCTGAAAAATGGGATAATGCTGTGCTTGACTTGCAGCCAGTAGAAGTTACTGCTATTTGGAGTTGGGCTACACAATACTTAATTGCCTTTGGATGCACTATGTTAGTAGAGCCTGCACGTGCTGACTCCTGACTCTCTTCCCTTCCATTGAATATCAGTGGGAACAATTGGATAGGTTAAAGTGAGATATTTTCTTTTGCTGTTTTGAATGAACAGAGGAAAGAAATAGTAATCTTATAAATTTATGCTGTAACCTATTCTTAAATTTTGGTAGTATTTTTATTCAGCTTCCACATATCCTCAACTTGGCAGTTACTGAATCAGGTTAATGCTTACTTTTTGTAATGTCTCCATGTCCATTCTTACCTTTTCACTTCTATTGTCACCATTACCTTAGTCTGTTTCCTCATTCTCATGCCTAGAGATTATTGCAGTTTTGCCAAAATATCCTTTTATTGTGTTATTCCTCTGCCTTCAATGACTCACCAGTACTTACAAGATGAATTTAAAATCATTTATTCTAACATTCAAATCCCAGTTGAGCTTGACCTCAGTGTAATGTATAAATAATACTTACCTGGAAATTACGCTCTAGCCAGACAAGTGTGCCTGCTGTCTTCTGAACACACCATGCCCAGCAGGTGTGAGCAAAGGCTGGGATATGGTATGGTATAAAAGGTGGGGATGGGATTTTGTTTGTAGTTTTATATAATTTTAAATGTTTATGTGTTGATAATTATGCTTTGCCACCTAAGCTTTTGGCATTCAGGCCCATGCTTCATTTCTATTTTTTAATCCCTAGTAATAAGATAATGTCATATTCATAGTAGATCTGAAGTACTTGGCATCTCTTGAATAAACCATAAGTTTTGTGGTATATTGGCACTAATTATGCATCGTTTTTCCTTCCCCCATTCAGTGATGCGATAGCTGAAATTCGAGCTATTTGCATTGAAGAGATTGGCATTTGGATGAAGATGTATAGTGATGCCTTTCTTAATGACAGTTATTTAAAATATGTTGGTTGGACTATGCATGATAAGGTAAGATGTGCCCTTCAGACTGCTTCTTTCTACACATCGGCGTGGCTGTCTGCACCTCTCATTCATGAGTTATCTCCCAGTATGTATACCTGGTGACACATTTCTGGAAGCCTCCCCTTTATTCTTTTCTATCTTCTCTGTAAAAACTTATTTTCTATCACATAAAGTCTGCTAGATATTTTTGAATCCTGGCCACTGATTTAACCATTAATGGTGAATCATTTTTTTGCTGAAATATTACAGTCATGAAGGTAGTAGGAGTGAGGCATTTCTTAGGGCACGAAGAAGAACCATTACGCTGTTGTTATCTGAGAGCTATATACTTAAAAAAAAAATTATTCAATTTTGATCCTCTCTTTTGACAAACCTGTATCTTAGCCAGATTATACCTTACTACTTGGTTTCTGACCTTTTTAATATGTTTTCATTAAACTACCATTCTCTTAGGCTGCCTCTTCACTTGCCTTGAAGAAATTGATTGTATATAATTCTTTCCAAACATTACTTCCCATAGTGGAAAATATACTGTGACACATGCTTCTATTGTTTTTCACAATAGATTTGTTCTGAACAAATTTTCAAAAATTATCCTTTGAACTACAGAAATAGTAACCCCATAGGTATTTAGTCATAAATGTATGTACTGATTACTATTTTTGCATTATCAAACATGATAGTTTCTGAAGGAATGCTATGGTATGAAACATTTAAAATTTTAAAGTAGAAAATATTGTGTACATCTTGAATATTGAAGTTGAAAATACATAGAGTTTTAATGCATTGTCTCATCTTTTTTTTTTTTTTTTTTTAGCAAGGTGAAGTAAGACTCAAATGTCTTACTGCTCTACAAGGGCTTTATTATAACAAAGAGCTTAATTCCAAACTGGAACTTTTTACCAGTCGGTTCAAGGTTAGTATTACTTAAGAATTTACAAATAACTTGTCATTTGCAAACACTTTTCTCTTGCTTTCCTTTTAAAAATATTTTAATTTTTTTGTCCTTAGGATAGAATTGTGTCTATGACCCTTGACAAAGAATATGATGTTGCAGTACAAGCAATAAAATTACTCACTCTTGTTTTACAGTAAGTATGTATTTGTTGCATATTTGCACTAATGTTCAGATATCTAAATAATATATTAGAGTATTTGGTTCAGACTCATCTAGGTCTAAATTTTAGTAGCTTACGTCATGGAGGTTTACAGCTAGAAGTTGAATTTCTTCATGTATAGTTGAGAAAACACAGGAAGAAGGAACCATAGAATATGGAAATTCTTTTTTTTTTCTTTTTTTTTTCTGAGACGGAGTCTCACTCTGTCCCCCAGGCTGGAGTGCAGTGGTACGATCTCAGCTCACTGCAAGCTCCACCTCCCAGGTTCACGCCATTCTCCTGCCTCAGCCTCCCGAGTAGCTGGGACTACAGGCGCCCGCCACGACGCCTGGCTTATTTTTTGTATTTTTAGTAGAGACGGGGTTTCACTGTGTTAGCCAGGATGGTCTCGATCTCCTGACCTCGTGATCCGCCCGCCTTGGCCTCCCAAGGTGCTGGGATTACAGGCGTGAGCCACTGCGCCTGACCGAATATGGAAATTCTAACTGAGCTAGGAATTCATGTGTTCCCATTCTCTTGGCAGATTGATTTCCTTCCTGTTTTTCTGTTTTTGATGCTCTTGAAATAAGCACATCAGTGTATTAAAAAACATGCTTATTGTATTTTGTTACACTTTTAGAGTATGAGCATTTATAAGAATGTCTGTTATACTTCTCATAGCACCTTTAAACAATCTGAATTTAAGACCTATTCTGTGTTAATATCTGATAGTGATGTTATTCATATTTTTCCTTTTTAAAAAATGGTAGTAAAATATAGATTATGTAAAATTCACCATTTTAACCATTTTAAAGTATGGTTTACTGTCATTACCTATATTTACGTTGTTGTACAACTGCCACCACTATCCATTGTCAGAACCTTTTCATCACTTTATTCTGGAGCTCTGTACCCATTAAACACTGATTCTTCATTGTCCCCTTTCCCCAGATCCTGGTAACCACTGTTTTATTTTCTATCTCTATGAACTTGCCTATTCTAGATATTTCGTATAAGTGGAATCATACAATATTTGTTTTTTGCATCTGGCTTATTTCACTTGGCATAATTTCTTCAAGTTTCATACATTATTATAGCACGTACTCCTGTTTATAGCTGAATATTTCACTATATGTATATTCCACATTTTATTTATCCATTTTTGCATTGATGGACATTTGGACTGTTTCCAAATGTTATTGTCAGTTATTGTCAGTAATGCTGCTATGAACATAGATGTGTACAAGTATCTGTTTGAGTCTCTGCTTTCAGTTCTTTTATGTATACCCAGAAGTGGAATTGCTGGATCATATGGTAATTCTGTTTAATTTTTTTTTGAGGAACTGCCATAATGCTTTTTACAAAGGTTGCACTGTTTCACATTCCCACCAGCAATGTACAAGATTTCCAATTTCTTTTTTTTTTTTTTTTCCTGAGATGGAGTCTCACTCTGTCGCCCAGGCTGGAGTGCAGTGGCATGATCTCGGCTCACCGCAACCTCCACCTCCCGGGTTCAAGCGATTCCCCTGCCTCAGCTTCCCAAATAGCTGGGATTACAGGTGCCTGCCACCACGCCTGGGTAATTTTTGTATTTTTAGTAGAGACGAAGTTTCACCATGTTGGCCAGGCTGGTCTCGAACTCCTGACCTCAGGTGATCCACCTGCCTTGGCCTCCCAAAGTGCTGGGATTACAGGCATGAGCTACCACACCCAGCCAAGATTTCCAATTTCTGTACGTCCTCACCAACACTTGTTTTCTGCATTTCAGGATAAATATTTATCAAGTGATGTCTCTATACCAAGCACTTGGGTGGTATGTTGAGAGAGTTAAAAATCAGAGCCTTCTCATTTCAAAATAATATGACGTTTTATAAAAATACCTAGAAATAAGAAATCCACCAGATATATGCAAAGAAACATTAATAAAATGCAACTAAGGGACATAAAAGAAGGCTTGAATTTGGAAAGCTTACCTAGGAAAACTCAGTATTTAAAGGCTTGTAATCTTCCCATTCTGTATATTTACCACAATGTAAATAGTAAAGGCAAAGGAATTTTTTTTTTTTGGCCATAGCAAGCAAATTGTGACATTTCATATGGAAAATTTATCATGTAAGAGTTGCCAGAAGAATATGATACAAACTAATGAGTGAGGACTAGCCCAATGTATTTTTAAGTCATGTATTATAAAATCATAGTAATTTAAAAATTTTGGTCCTGGTACATGAATAGACAAAAAAGATCAATGAAGCAGAATAAAAATAGAGATGAACACATATGCACCACTAAAATGACCATGTAAGGCTTTCATGAGCATGACACAAAAGCTAGATATAAAAGGATCAATGAATTAACTATATAAAAACCTAAAAATGTCTGTATGGCATAAAATACCATAAACTGAGAAAACAGATCTCAGATTGGGCAAGATATTTTTGCATCAAAGGAGTTAATTTCTGCAAATCAATTAAAGAAATCTGTAATAATAGGAAAACAGTCAAATATTATAAATCAGATTATTGACAGAAAAGTATGAATTTAAACATATGAAAAGATGTTGGGCCACACTTACAAACATATATATTAAAGTGAGACTTTTAAATCTGTTTGCTTGGCAAAGATAGAAAGTGTTTGGTAATTACACTATATTGTTGAGGCTATGACGTAACAGGCCCTTTTACATTGTTGATGGGAGTATAAATTGGTCTAAGCTCCTTGGAGAAAAACTTGACAGTATCTGTCAGAATTTCAAATGCTCATGTTCTCTAACAAAGCATTGTTTGTAATAGCAGAATTTTGAAAACAACCAAGGGTGCATATCACTAGAGGAAGAATTAAATTAGTATGTAAGATAATAGCTAATATAAGCACTTTATATGGATAATTTCATTTAATACTGCAGCTCAGTGAGATGGTAGTGGCTATTCCCATTTCTGTGAATCGGACAACATTGCAGTAATTAAAAAGAAGGCAGTTCTACAGATATTGACAATTCAGGGAACTCACTTACCTTGGAATTTCTTGAGCAGTCTGTTAACTGTTGCATTCTTTAATTTTTAATTATATTTTAAAATCATAAATGTTATACACACATGTTGTATATAAAAATTTTGAAAGAATTCTGAAATAAAGTAACAGTATGCTACATATATTTCTATAGCTTCTTTCCCACCATCCTCCACAGTACACTAGAAACATCTTCTTTCTGATATTTTTATCAAAGGTAATAGACATACCCATTCATGTTGATTTTCAGCCATCTATATACCTAATAATTTAAATTTCTTAGAAACGTTCCTTTTCAAAAAGTTAAAATGAGTGAACTTCTGTAGAGTTACAGTACTTTAACTTGTTTGATTCAGTGTTTTTTTTGTTTTGTTTTTTAGAGACAGGGTCTTGCTTTGTCACCCAGGTGGTATGATCATGGCTCACTCCAGCCTCGCCCTCCCAGGCTCAATCCATCTTCCCACCTCAGCCTCCTAAGTAGCTGGGACTATAGCTACTGTAGTCCCACCATGTCCGGCTAATTTTTTTTTTCTTTCCGTTTTTTGTAGAGATGAGGTCTCATGTTGCCCAGCCTAGTCTCGAACACCTGGGCTCAAGTGATCCACCCACTTCAGCCTCCCAAAGTGCTGGGATTACAGGTGTGAGTGACCACACCCAGCCTGATTCAGTGTTATTTTGTTAAAAACACACAAGTTATTTTTCCAAGAACAATCTGATATTATATAAAGAGCAATTGAAATCAGTGTGCTTTTGAAACTTGAATTTTAACAATTTAGTTCTTTTTCTCTCAAAAAGAAGTAATACTTCTTAGACATCAGACTTCTGGAAGCTTTCAGCACAACAGAAAACCAAAAAGTAAAGAGGATCTGTGTGCTTCAACTATCCAGTATTCTTAGGCTTTTTTCCTCTGGCAGTGGTCCTATGATTTGAATTTACATATAATGGTAAAAACCTAGATTATATATATCACAGTAGACTAGAAGCATATTGGGAGAGAAAGAGCTGCCAGGGGCCAGGACTCTGAATGCAGTTGCAAGGGAAGAATGCAACAGCGTTTACCCTGGGGTACTGTGGTTGATGGGCCTTAATGATGATGATTTATCGAAAATATTTTGTTAGGCTTATTTTGTTCTTTAAAGATAAGAAAAATAAAATGAGCATTACATTTTAGTAAGATTTTTTTCCCCAGTGATTGCAGTTAAAGATCTTTGGCACTTAGATTTTAGTTATTTGGGAAAACCACTTGCATTGCCTTACATGGTGTTCAGTACATGGTGGATGAAGCATTTTTGATTGATGTGATATAAATGGGCCATTAGTATATTTTGATGTAATGTTGTGACTTAATATTACTATGAAATATAAGGAAAGTATTATATTATCTGTGATTTTTAACTCTAAGCTCTTAGCTTGCTGCCCCTTTACTTTCTATATGGGTTTTCATTATTTTGTCTTCCTTTTCTGTTAGCATCCATGTGACATAATTCTTTTAAACGTTTATTTGTTTACCTTCTGCATTCACTTTTAATTTTACCTGCCATTTATCTTTGATAGATTTTGGTAGATGGTAATTAAATAAGCTTGATTTGGTTTTTTTTTTCCTTTAACACAAATTCATGAAACTTTACAACTTTTTAAAAGTATGAGCATAAGTTTTTGTACTGTTAATATGCTTAGAATTAGGACGTTACTAAAAGCACCTGTTACTGCTTATTTCTTAGGAGTAGTGAAGAAGTTCTCACTGCAGAAGATTGTGAAAATGTCTATCATCTGGTTTATTCAGCTCACCGGCCAGTAGCAGTAGCAGCTGGAGAATTTCTCTACAAAAAGTAAATCTATATATCTGTTACTCATTTTCTAAGGCATACTTTCATAACAGTAATTTGTTATGTTATACTTGACATTAAGATTATATATATATAACTTATTTTAAAAATTACTACAGATCATATCGAAGCTTTCACATTTTACTTTTTCCTTTAAAAGTTTAGATTTCTCCTAAGTTCTTTGATTTATTTTAAGTTAGATCTTTAAAGGGAAATGTAGGCTGGGCGCAGTGGCTCATGCCTGTAATCTCAGCACTTTGGGAGGCCGAGGCGGGTGGATCACGAGGTCAGGAGATCGAGACCATCCTGGCTAACACGGTGAAACCCCGTCTCTACTAAAAATACAAAAAATCAGCCGGGCCTGGTGGCGGGCGCCTGTAGTCCCAGCTACTCGGGAGGCTGAGGCAGGAGAATGGCGTGAACTCGGGAGGCGGAGCTTGCACTGAGCCGAGATTGGGCCACTGCACTCCAGCCTGGGCGACAGAGCGAGACTCCATCTAAAAAAAAAAAAAAAAAAAAAAAGGGAAATGTACCCATGTCTTTCAGTAAACATGCTTAGAAAGATACCTAACTATATTATAATATTAAGACTGATCTCTTCCTAATTGTTTACCCTTTTATTACCTGCTTCAGCATCTAAATATTGCTTATGCTATAATTAGGCTTTTTTTTTTTTGAGACAGAGCCTCTCTCTGTTGCCCAGGCTGGAGTGTGCAGTGGTGCGATCTCAGCTCACTGTAACCAACCTCTGCCTCCTGGGTTCAGGTGCTTCTCATGGCTCACCCTCCTGAGTAGCTGGGACTACAGGCTGTATTTAGTCTTCAACTTATTTTTCCTTTCCTTTAGAAAATATTAAAAGGTTCTTCAAGTATTTAATAAAGTTTGACATAAGAATCCCAAGAATTCTACAGTCTCTTTACTTTTGTGATCCTATTTAACTCAGATTAGGTAGTATGAGTAGAAGTGTGAATATCTGTTCACAGAAAACAAAGATTGTTATATAATGGCTTTCAAAGAGACTCTTTTGAGCCATATAGATTAAACTTTTCTTGTTCCTATGATGTTATTAAAATGCCTGTTGGGGGTGCAGCAATTATTAGGAAGAGTAGGTGGTATAAAACATTTACACTACAGTTTTCTATTCATTGCTGTTTAGTGTTAATTCTCTTTGTTGTTTATGAGGAAAAATGCTCATGCTATCCATAGTAAAAGGACAGTAAGTTGGGGTAATTTTGCCAGAAGGATGGAAGGAAAGTATATGTTTAGTTTTCAAGATGAATATGTATCATAGATTTTTTAGCATAAATGGTGTAGCTTTGTCAATGTACTACTTTTATGGAAGGCAACAGTTATATAAAATACAGTAAGGTTTTTAAAAACAAATAGTTTATAACTCAGTACAATTAACTTGAGAAATTAGTTTAAAAGGACTTAGAATTACCATCAAACATGAAATGAAAAAGGTTTATAGCAATTATTTGCGTGGTGTGCCATGTTGGATGATATTGTACCTACCCAGTTCTCCTTTACTCCTTTGTTAGATCCTTAGATATGAAATTGAAACAGTTAATTTTTTTATTAGAAAATTTTTTGTTGTTGTTGTCGTAAAATAAATATTTTACTTTTTTCACAGGCTCTTCAGTCGTAGAGATCCAGAGGAGGATGGAATGATGAAAAGAAGAGGAAGACAAGGTCCAAATGCCAACCTTGTTAAGACATTGGTTTTTTTCTTTCTAGAAAGTGAGGTTAGTTGATAGTATTTATTTTATACTTAGGTTCGAAAAATTTTGGAAAAGGGGTTAAAATGAGGCACATTTAAAAAAATATTCCTTGTAGCACAGTAAATTGTGAATAGAATGGAGAGCCACCCACTCCCCCACTCCCCCAATTTTTTTTTTTAAATATGCTTTCTACTTTTCTTCTTTTTTTTTTTTTTTTTTTTTGAGACGGAGTCTTGCTCTGTCACCCAGGCTGGAATACAGTGGCGCCATCTTGGCTCACTGCAGCCTCTGCCTCCCAGGTTCAAGCAGTTCTCCTGCCTCAGCCTCCCGAGTAGCTGGGCTTCCAGGCGTGTGCCACCACGCCCAGCTAATTTTTAGTACAGACGGGGTTTCACCATGTTGACCAGGCTGGTCTTAAACTCCTGACCTCAGGTGATCCGCCTGCCTTGGCCTCCCAAAGTGTTGGGATTTACAGGCATGAGCCACTGCGCCCGGTCACTTTCTTCTTCTAGTAAGATGTTCAAACAGTAGGATTTATGTATAGTGCTGAGAATATTAATTTTAAAGTTCAAAATCCTAATTGTCAGTTGGGCTACTCTGCTTACTATTTGTGTGACCTTGGTTTAGCTACTTATTCTTTCAAAGCCTCAGTTTCCTAGTAAAAAGATGGGTAATAAATTCTTAGTTAACACTGAAATAATCTGTATAAAACTTAACACAGATCTCTAGAACATTGTAAGATTTCAGATGTTGGTACCTGCCATTGCAATTGTAGATGTAGACTTAAACTAGTCTCCCTAAAGTTGGAAACCTACAATGTTAGCCAGATTTTGAGAGGGCTCAAAATTTATTTTTGGTGTTCATATTACATACTATTATTTAATTAGTGATCAGGCCTTTTAATTTTCTAGTTATTTCTATATATGGATATATAATTGGTTTTTTATTCTTTAGGATTTTCTACATTACACCATCAGGTCATTTGTAAATAAAGATAATTTTCCTTTTCCTCTCCAACATTTTTTTTTTCATTTGTTTTCTTGCCTTATTGAATTGTCTAAGACCTTCAGTAGAATGTTGCGCTTAGGTGCGGTGGCTGACGCCTGTACTCTCACCACTTGAGGAGGCTGAGGCGGGTGGATCACTTGAGGCCAGGAGTTTGAGACCAGCCTGGCCAACATGGCAAAACCCCGTCTCTACTAAAAATACAAAAATTATCCAGGCATGGTGGTGCATGCCTGTAATCCCAGCTACTTGGAAGGCTGAGGCACAAGAATCGCTTGAACCGGGGAGGCAGAGGTTGCAGTGAGTCAAGATCATGCTGCTGCACTCCAGCTTGGGTGACAGAGCAAGACTCTGTCTCAAGTAGACATCTTTGGATTGCTCCTGATCTTATGGGAGAAGTGTCCAATATTTCGACATTAATTACATTGTTAGCTATAGGTGTTTTGTAGATATTTATAATCCGATTGAGAATGTTCCCTTTTATTCTTTTCTTTGCTGAAAGTTTCTAACATGAATGGAAATTGAATTCTGTAAAATGCTTCTGCATTACTTGAGATGATTGTTTTATTTTTATCCTTTATTATGTTAATGTGTCGAGTTATGTTGAATGACTTTTTAAATGTTGAATCAACCTACTTGTTCATGATGTTATTCTTTTTCTATATTGTTGGATTCAGTTTGCAAATATTTTATTTTATTTTATTTATTTTATTTTTTTAAGCAACAGTGTCTTGCTCTGTCACTCAGCCTGAAGTGCAGTGGCGTAATCATAGCTCATTGCAGCCTTGAACTTGTGGGTTCAGTTGATCCTCTTGCCTCAGCCTCCCTAGTAGCTCCGACTACAACTTCGTGCCACCACACCCAGCTAGTTTATTTTAGAATTTTGTAGACAGTAGGGGTGTCTTGTGTCCCAGGCTAGTCTTCAACTCTTGGGCCCAAGCAGTCCTCCCTCCTTGGCCTCCCAAAGTGCTGGGATTACAGGCATAAACCACAGCACGTGGCCCGGTTTGCCAGTTTTTGAGGGCATTCCCTCTATGTTCATAAAGGATTTAGATTTAGATTTTTTATTATTTGTAATTGCTTTGACAGCTTTTTTTTGTATAATGATTATGATTTGCACACCCCCTCCTCCCCCCGCCAAAGGAGTCGGGAAACAGTAGGGTTTGTTTTTTGTTGTTGTTGTTTTTTGATACAAAGTCTCGCTCTATTGCCCAGGCTGGAGTGCAGTGGTGTGATCTCGGCTCACTGCCAATCTCTGCCTCCCACGTTCAAGTGATTCTCCCACCTCAGCCTCCAGAGTAGCTGGAATTACAGGCACCCATCACCACACCTAATTTTTGTATTTTTGCTAAAGACAGGGTTTTGCCACGTTGGCCAGGCTGGTCTCGAACTCCTGACCTCAGGTGATCTGCCTGCCTCGGCCTCCCAGAGTGCTGGGATTACAGGCGTGAGCCACCATGCCCAGCTAACAGTAGGGTCATTTAAGCTTCACATAATGAAGAGAATGATTTGCTTATATATTGAATTGACAAACATGCATTTTGTGTTTTAATTAACCATTATCACTCCCCTTCAGTTAAAATAAATTCATAGCATACCTAAGAATTGAGAGTAGCTGACTAATACATTAGGTCCAAATAAGCAGTAAGTATGTATATAATCTTTTTATAAAATACTTTTCAGGACGGGTGCAGTGGCTCACACCTGTAATCCCAGCACTTTTTGGAGGCTGAGGTGGGTGGATCACCTGAGGTCAGGAGTTTGAGACCAGCCTGGCCAACATGGTGAAACCTCATCTCTACTAAAAATACATAAATTAGCCGGGCGTGGTGGTGCATGCCTGTAGTCCTAGCTACATGGGAGGCTGAGGCAGGTGAATCATTTGAACCTGGGAGGCAGAGGTTGCAGTGAGCCGAGATAGCACCACTTCCCAACAGCCTGGGCGAGAGCGAGACTCCATCTCCGCCACCCCCCCAAATATATATAATTTATTATAAATATATATATTTTATATAAAAATAATAAAAAATTTTTTTCATATTAATGTTTTAATGATAATTGTTAATGTGTAATGATGCTACCTAACACGTCTTTCTTACAGCAAGCAAACTAAGGCAGTTTCTTCTCTGTCCTTTCATCTATTTGACGTCAAAAAATAGATTGCTGTTTGAGAGTTTGTAGATGATGTCAATAAAGTTTCCATTCTTTTGAGTTAAGGCTAGTATGATAATTGTCTAAGACCACATTGCTCTTTTTAAATTTTAGTTACATGAGCATGCAGCATACCTTGTGGATAGCATGTGGGACTGTGCTACTGAGCTGCTGAAAGACTGGGAATGTATGAATAGCTTGTTACTGGAAGAGCCACTTAGTGGAGAGGAAGGTAAGGATGTTTAATTATGATATTTTTGTTTAGACAGTTTTGTAAGTAGATTTTTACTCATTCCATTTATTTGTCCTTTTAGTTTTAAGACAATTTGATAGAAAAATCTTACTTCGTGCATAGTTTTGTTTTCATATAAATATTATGCTATGTAAAAAGATGTAATTGCTGTCAACATTCTTTATTTTTTTGTATCTGGGTTATTTTTTTTACCCAAATGTATGGATCTGTGGTGGATAGATTTGGGATGCTGAGGGTTTTAGGAAGGTGATGTTTTCTGTGATAAAGTAATGGGATTTTCTTTAGTACCTTAGGGCAGATTCTGTTTACAGGCAGAAGAAACTGTTATGTAATAATTACAAGTGGCATATAGGGAGAAGAAATAAGCTAACTCTTTCTGACTTTTTTTTTTTTTTTTTTTTTTTTTAGCACTAACAGATAGGCAAGAGAGTGCTCTGATTGAAATAATGCTTTGTACCATTAGACAAGCGGCTGAATGTCATCCTCCCGTGGGAAGAGGGACAGGAAAAAGGGTATGCCAATCAATGTCTTTTCAATATTCTAAACTCCATTTCTCCTTTTTCAGTATCTTTTTAAAAATTCCATTTTAGCCATGAAACAATTTTGTTTTATTTTTCAGACAACCTTTGCTTATAAATTTGTTAGAGGTAAATTTTAAAGCATTAGCAATTTGAGAAATTTGAGTTCTCTGTAATATACTTTTTTAGTTGCTGCAGGAGATATGATTGACAGTCCCTGCCTTCATGACTGAATGTAGCATACACCATTTGGAATGGTGCAGTTGTATGTTTTATTTATGGATTTGCTTTCTATTTCTTCTAAAATAAAATCAGAAATAAAAATGGAGATAATTTTTTATTAAAATAGGGAAATTTCTATTTCCTGGAATCAGATTTTAATGCATTATTGTAAAGTTTACATGAACTTGCATTTTATACCAACAATTCCACAGGCTTTCAAACTTTTGACTGTAAAGCATAAAAATTCATTCTTATATTGTGACGTATTACACATGAATATGTTTGTGTGTGCATAACTGAAACAAAATTTTATCAAAGACAATGTGATGCTTTCTGTGTTTTCTATTTCTGTTTTTTAAAAATTTCTGTTTCTTTTTTGCTAATTGCTGATAGCAATTTAGTGTTTTGAATTTGTTACTTATGTGTCATGTCCCACAGCCTAGAGTAAGCAGAAATGCTGGTCAATCCCAGTATTTTATATATAAGCTCTTAAACTATATTTCCTATTTTTAACTGATTCTCCTACCATCTGAAGGTAGAGTTGGTTAGTCTTATTGGATATTGATTTTCCCTATAGGACTATCCAAATTTTTTTTTGTTATTTCAGGTGGCTTTTTGTTTTTATAATGTGTAGTTTTCTCTTTCATGTCACTTTTAGGGTTAATGTTTTATAGTGAAATTTTTGTGTCCATCTCTTAAAATATAGTTTTAGTAATCATTTTGTATGTTTTAACTAAAACTTGAACACTTAACAGTGCTAATGGGCTTAATAAATACAGAAGTCTTTCTGTTCCTTTAGGTGCTTACAGCAAAGGAGAAGAAGACACAGTTGGATGATAGGACAAAAATCACTGAGCTTTTTGCCGTGGCCCTTCCTCAGTTATTAGCAAAAGTAAGTTTGTGTCAATATCATAGTGTTACTAAGAAATGAGTTTTTTTTCCCTAAATGCCTCACAGAATATTATAATGCTTTCTTATTGTGATATTTTTAACGTGATCTTTATATTTCACAGTACTCTGTAGATGCAGAAAAGGTGACTAACTTGTTGCAGTTGCCTCAGTACTTTGATTTGGAAATATATACCACTGGACGATTAGAAAAGGTAAGATTATTTTGTGTAAAAAAAACCTTTAAGAAAAATTATTCAGTTCATTATATCATAGCGTTTGTTTATATTTCTTAAAATGTTTTTTTGGAACGTATTTTAAGAAAGGAAACCTATAGCTTAGGTCTTCTGTACTTTAGTTTGACTTACAGAATGGCGGTAATGATGCTTCCCTTTGCTTCATGCCCACAACTGTACCTTCATTCTTAGCTATTATATGACTATGTCACTGATCATTTATAGAGACTGGGGGTGGATAACTAGATAATAACAATTAGATGAGATTGGGCTCATTCAGGGTGGTATGGCCATAGACGATAATAACAATTATAAGACAAAATCAACTAATATTTATTGAACACTTTTGCTATGTTCTGTGGATTAATGTAAGCTCTTAGTATATGTTAGCATTCTCACCATAGCCCTATGAGGTAGGTAATATCTCCCTTAAAGTTGAGGAAAAAGTATGGATGGATCAGTGTATTTATTTATCATGATTAGAAAAGCACCTTAAAATGTACGCTCTGTGTTGTAGACTTACTGTATTTGAAAATTTTTTCCATGGTGGTATGGTCATGTAGTCACTTTATACCTATCATATATGCCTTAGTTTTGATGAAAAATATTATTATTTTGCAGCATTTGGATGCCTTATTGCGACAGATCCGGAATATTGTAGAGAAGCACACAGATACAGATGTTTTGGAAGCATGTTCTAAAACTTACCATGCACTCTGTAATGAAGAGTTCACAATCTTCAACAGAGTAGATATTTCAAGAAGTCAACTGATAGATGAATTGGCAGATAAATTTAACCGGCTTCTTGAAGATTTTCTGCAAGAGGTATATATTATAACTATTACAAGTATTTTGTCAGTTGAGCCCCTCTACTGCAGTAAGCTAATTAGTCACCCAAGTGTTAAGTCTTGGTGATAGTCCCTAGCAGTATTTTGAAAAGATGTTCAGGCTTTTCATTCTATGACTCATCAGGCTACTCCTCCACCAAAATAGGAAAGTGGTAAGAATCTGTGACTCAGAGAAGGTGAAAGCAAAACTAACATCTTTTTTGTTTTGAGAAATGATCTGAACAGTTACCTGGTTTTTATTGAACCAGGGCTGTTAAGGAATAGGGTGTTAATGGAACAGAAAAGGAGAGCTAGATTTAGACTAGGTAGCCTAAAAAAAGTAGAGTATTTCTAAGTGTTTTGGCAGTGTAGGTTAGGGAAGGACATTATGTTTTTTTTTTTTTTTTGGAGACGGAGTCTTTCTCTGTTGCCCAGGCTGGAGCGCAGTGGTACGATCTCGGCTCACTGCAGCTTCTGCCTCCCAGGTTCAAGCGATTCTCCGGCCTCAGTCTTCTGAGTAGCTGGGACTATAGGCGTGTGCCACTGTACCAGGCTAATTTTTGTATTTTTAGTAGAGATGGGGTTTCACCACATTGGCCAGGCTGGTCTCGAATTCCTGACCTCAGGTGATCCACTCACCTCGGCCTTGCAAAGTGCTGGGATTACAGGCGTGAGCCACACATCCAGTCTGGGTTTTGATATTATAAAACTTTAATAAGTTATTATTATTATAGCCGCTGCTACTGTTGGAGTTTCCTGTGTTTTCTCTTGTATTTCCAAAGAGGCTTAGTGCATAGTACTTAAATACACTTGTATTTTTGTTGTGATTGTTATTTTTTCCAGAAATATATATTTACATTCAGTTTTTTTGATTAAAATAAAAATTCATAATTGTCAAATTAATGCCATTAGCCTTTTCCACATCACTTTTATCATTAATGCTGTAAGATCATATGGACTTTGTGATTTCTAGTTTTCTTGTTTTATTAATTACTCATTTAACTTTTATTTGGTGTATATTGTTATTCCGGGCTTATTAAGTTTTACTAATTGGAGGTTTGTGCAAATATGTTGATGTACGATGATTACATTCTTAGTTAAAAATTTTAATAGCTCTACTCTTGGCTGAATATAATTTTGATTAGGACAAATTAAAATCAAGCAATGGTTTAATTAAATTTAATTACTTTGTAGAAGAGTTATAGTTTAAAAACAAGTGCTTTTTTGAGAGAACTAGAGTTCAACACAGTAGATTGAGTAATGTGTAAGCAATTTTATGTTTCCTGTAGTAAGACTGGTAAAATTTTTCGAAAGTTAAGTTACCCTAAGTTGAAAAGTATATTAATAGATGTTGATATCCAAATGGGACCAGCATATCTAGTCATTTTTCAGAGGGTTTTTCCCTGTTTATCTGTGATTAGTGTCATATGTCTTCATGATGATATATGTTTAAGGTACTTAGATTTTGTCCTTTAGGTATTGTCCTTCTGATCTTCTTGTCATTTAAGTATTTTATTGTCCTAGTGCATTTATTACTGTGAAAAAATAGATGCCTTTATAATTTTGTGTCAAGTTTACTTAGAAGAAAAAGAAGAATGTCATTTTCGTTTTTTCTCTCAGTTGTGATGTTTCTATGATAAACTTGTGTTGACTTACTTCCCCAGCCATATTGCCTTAAATTTGGCCAGATCTAGGTATTGAATGACAAAGTTCATTTGTGGGTTTTGTTATGTTATTTTTCATTTTTCAAGGTAATAGTGACATTTTGATAGCCTAGGAGTTTTCACTTTGATGGTTCTTAATGTATAATTAATATTTATAGGGTGAAGAACCTGATGAAGATGATGCATATCAGGTATTGTCAACATTGAAGAGGATCACTGCTTTTCATAAGTAAGTTGAATTTTGAAGTTCCTGTTTTCTTAAATCTGTAGAAATAAACTTGCATGTTTTGTGGGTTATGTTAATTTCTAAGCTAATTTGTTGTTGTCGTTGTGGGGGCATTTTAAAGTTTACTGCATTTACTGCATTCTGTTAACAGTCAAGTCCAAAACAATTGTCATTAGGCTTAGCTTTTTAATAAAACTTAATTTTTTTTTTTTTTTTTTTTTTTTTTTACAGTGCCCATGACCTTTCAAAGTGGGATTTATTTGCTTGTAATTACAAACTCTTGAAAACTGGAATCGAAAATGGAGACATGCCTGAGCAGGTTTTTATTTATTTGCTAGTTACACATTTATCTTTGAAAAGTGAAGTCTTGTGACTTTTAAATTTTAACTGTATCCTTTGATTCTTTTTACAGATTGTTATTCACGCACTGCAGTGTACTCACTATGTAATCCTTTGGCAACTTGCTAAGATAACTGAAAGCAGCTCTACAAAGGTTTGTGGTGGTTCAGTAGTGTTTTTATTAGACTAAATATCATTAACTGTTTTCAGCAAACTCACACATTTAATGAGATCAGTTATTTCAGTGAAATGTTGCTTGTTTCTAATGTACTGTTATTTGTAGTTTGATGTATATTCAGTGGAGAGGATATCGATATGGTTTGTTTCAAGGTATGATTTTTAATTAAAAATTGTTGTTCACATTTGAAGGTGGCATAATCTGTGGTTTTCTGTATTCTCAAAGTTGGTGAGCAAGAGCCTTTGAA
This sequence comes from Homo sapiens, assembly GCF_000001405.40. Classification (NCBI taxonomy): domain Eukaryota; kingdom Metazoa; phylum Chordata; class Mammalia; order Primates; family Hominidae; genus Homo; species Homo sapiens. The sequence continues at coordinate 124,066,708 of NC_000023.11, forward strand.
ACAGATATAAGTATTAGATTACATAAATTGAAGATAATAAACCAACTCCCCCTAGATCTTCTTATGCTCTGGTATTGTTTTGGGATAACCTTATTCATATTCAAGATCTCTCTAGTGATGTTCCAAATTCATGATCAATCATTTTCTGATTGAATATATAATGTGCCAGCGCCAGCTATTAGTACATATAGAGCTTTTAAAGCTTTACCCATAATGATAATCCTTAATGTGTTTAGTAATTGAACTAAACAGGACTGCCTTTTCCATTTGTAAACTGGAAGCTTAAACATTGTACTTGTAGTGCTGGATATTACCTTAAATATTGTTTGGGCTCATTTTTAGAAATATCACACAGTTTCTAAGAGTTCTGGAGTTAGGTGTTTGTAGGCATTTTCTTCAAAAAGTAATCCTCTTGATAATAAGTTTGTGTTGCCTAAACCCACAGAATAATGTTAAATACTTAGAATTTCTCTGGGCTTTTAAGATGTTGTTATATCTACAAATGGATTTTTCCTCTTGAAAAATCAATATAGTATTGTTAACATTGTGTGCTTCCCGCCCCCCCACCCCCACCACCTTCTGAGGCAGTCTTGCTCTGTCATCCAGGCGGGAGTGTAGTGGTACAATCTCGGCTCACTGCAACCTCTGACTTGCGGGTTCAAGCAATCCTCGTGCCTCAGCCTCCTAAGTAGCTGAAACTGCAGTCATGCATCTCCACGCCCACTAACTTTTGCATTTTTAGTAGACATGGAGTTTCACCATGTTGACCAGGCTTGTGAACTCCTGGCCTCAACTGATCCGCGCATTTTGGCCTTCCAAAGTGCTGGGATTACAAGCCTGAGCCACTGTGCCCTGCCCATTGTGTGCTTTTTATCAAACACTTAGGAAAAAGTTAATTTAACTAAATGTTAAGCTTGTAGTAGGAACGGTGACTATATTACCATGTATAATTGCTCACCTATGTTGGAAGTTAAAAACTAAACTGGAAAAAAGGCAGTATTTTTAGTAGAGGAAAGGGATGAATATAAAATTATTTATGGTAAGCCAGGCACAGTGGCTCACGCCTGTACTCCCAATGCTTTGGGAGGCTGAGGAAGGCCACTCACTTGAAGTCAGGAGTTCGAGACCAGCCTGGCCAACATGGTGAAACCTTGTCTCTATTAAAAATACAAAAATTAGCCAGGTGTGATGGTATGCACCTGTAATCTCAGCTACTCAGGATGCTGAGGCAGGAGAATTAATTGCCTGAACCCAGGAGGTAGAAGTTGCAGTGAGCTGAGATCATGTCACTGCACTTCAGCCTGGGCAATAGAGTGAGCTCCATCTCAAAAAAAAAAAACCCAATAAAAATAAAAAGTTTGAGATATTTTAAAGTTTATAGTAATACCACAAAATATTTTCCATTCTGAGTTTTTATAAAATACAGCAGTATCCTTCCAACAAGAAATGGAAGATGCTGTTTCTTTTTTATTATTTTATTCCATTTATGGGTTGACCACCCTTGAAATAATGTGAGCATGGAGCGTAAATCTTTATTAGCATTCTGTGCTAGTGGCTTTATTAAAGATTGCCATATCAATTATATAAGTCTTCTCATCCTCTTAATATCCTAAAGCCTTAGGATATTATCTATTAATGTACCTCATATTTTTAAGGCTGCAATTTGGTGAGATTTGTAAGACAAACCGTCTCTTTGTTTTCATTTCTTATAAATTATAAGGAAGAAATTTAAATCAAATGCAGAAGTAGAGTTAATAAAGCTATGAGATAATGTTTTACATAATTGAAAACATTTTAAAGAAATGCTGAATTGTTTATACAATATTTTTTAAAAGTTAATGTTAAATTTTTTCAAGGAGGACTTGCTGCGTTTAAAGAAACAAATGAGAGTATTTTGTCAGATATGTCAACATTACCTGACCAACGTGAATACTACTGTTAAGGAACAGGTTAGTAATTACTATAGATGGTAATCTTTTTGTAAGCAACCTTTATAAAATCTGAACTAATGTAGAAAGTTTAAATAATACTAAGATTGAGCAAAGCAGAAATATCTTGTATCTGCCTATGTATATTATACTAAAAAAATAGGTTAATATATTGGATTTGTGCATAATAAAATTGATTAATTTCATATGGGGTTTATAATTGCATTATAGATTACCCTTATTGTCATTTTATGTTGTTGTTTCTTTATGACACATGGTAAACAGACTTCATACAAATTATAGATGTATGAAATTAACAAAAGTCATTCCTGAAAGCAACTAATATGACAAGTTTGTTCCAGGGTAGAAAAGTCCACAGGGTTTTGTTATCTCTGAGAGTATCAGATGTTGGCATTCTCGCTCATCCTGATCTTCCTGTGGACCTTCTCTGAAATAAACATTTATAATCACTTCCCTGTCTTCCAAGTGTTACCTTCCCAACGCGTATGCCTTCATGCTTCCATTACTTCTAACCTTTTCAGTTCTCGAAATAGACTGTTACCTGGTTTGATCCTAGAACTAACATCATGTTCAATTCTAATTCCCTAATTGAGAGGATTAAGCTTCGTTGGAAACGTGCTTTTCAAATGCTTTTATGGGAAGATGTTTTCACAAGCATTCCATAAGAACTATTAATATGGTATAGTCAAAATGATTATGGTGATTTCAAGGTTTGCAACCATTTCATACAGCTTAACCTTTGTTTTTTCAGGTAGAATCCCAATAGTCAACCTGACTATGATTTTTGGACACTGTGATATGTTAGGTACTATTTATTTTAGTTCAGTGTTATTCAAATATAACCAGCCCTTTGTTTGGCACTTGTCTTTATTTAATTTAAAAATACCGAAGCTAATTTTAATAAAACATATTTGGATTTTTATAGTTTAAAATGTTCATTCAATGCCCAGCTGGTAGTCTCTTTTTTTCTTATTTCCAGCTCTCTCTTGTCCCTACCATACATATATGCTTGGTCACACATGCCAAGATGCAGTTACTGAATTTTGCTATTTTTTTCCAAAAATATGAAGTATATTGCCATAACTATTGCATTGCAGAATTCTCTCCAATTTTACGTGTGTAGTTTTGAACTATAGCAATAAAGGGTGTGGTACTTTAATTTTCATCTCTATAATTCAGATGAAAGGAACAAGATTTCTGATGGTAGTAAATTGAATTTAGATTTAAACTCTTGGAATAGGATTTTAATGACATGCACAGATCGAAACCTAATGCACGAAATATTACTTTATAATTGCATGGGACACCAAGATATTCAGCATAATAATCCCTATTTTTATAGCATTAACACATAATCCTTGTGGGTTATCCTGTGTAACCTCCTATATAATCCCTTGCTCAGGCCATAGAGATTAATTATTTAGTTATTAAACAGCTTATGTGCCCAGTCTTCCCAACAGCTTCCCAGAATGTGTCCTGGTCAGCTCACTTGATTTGCCAGTTCAGCTAATTAGTAAATATCATCATACTTAATACTTTATATCCTTACTCTTTATGTTGCAAGTTTTTGTAGACTGAAATATGCTAATAGGTATAAATTACTACTATAGTAGTTAGGAGAAGAGACTGAAGGAAGGGGTAAAAACATAAAGAGAAAAAGTAAATGTGGTTAGTTCCAAAGTGGCAAAACTCTTAATAAGATCTGCTTTGTGCTCTGTATTATATTGTCTTTCCAGGAATGATCTTCCTTTAAATGTATTTTCTGGTTTACTTTGTGACCCTAAATTTCTATTTTCATTACCCCTTCCCAACAAATAATTAATTAGTCTGTGACTCCATTTAAAACCCATGGCAGAGTTTTTATTAAGCTCCTTGAGATACAACTTCAGCCTTATGTTTATTATAATATGTTCAGGTTTACCTGATAAATAGTAAGCAGCCCTGTATCTGGTTATGTTTTCGCTACTTAATCAGTACACGTGTGAACAATGAGAGTGCTTAATAAGTACCATAGATTTTGTGATCTCTATTCTAATACTTATCTCTTTAATGTTTTTTCTTCTGTAGAGTGAAGAGTGGTACCAAGTTTATACATTATTTCATATTTGAGAATGAATACCTTGGGGCATTGCAATATAGAGCAAAGTAGGGGATTTGGAGTTAGAAAACATGAGTTTGAGTCCTGACCCTGCATATTTTTGTAGTGTGTAACATATTGTACAAGTCACTTAATGTTGCTGAAAATTAAAAAAAATTTGTGAAATTACTTTGCAGTTAGTAAAGCCTTATACAAATATAAGCATTCGTTGTTACATAAATTATACTTCGCAGCTTTAGAATCTTAGGAAAATACTAAACATTGATTTCTCTTAAGATTTTTAAATATAGAAAGTTGGATTCTGTTTCTGTGTTAAATATGTAAATTATTTGTGGCAGTTAGTGAGAAACCTTGGATTATAGCATGCTTTCCTCTTTTTTTTTTTTTTAAATAGGCCTTCACTATTCTGTGTGATATTTTGATGATCTTCAGCCATCAGATTATGTCAGGAGGGCGTGACATGTTAGAGCCATTAGTGTATACCCCTGATTCTTCATTGCAGTCTGAGTTGCTCAGCTTTATTTTGGATCATGTCTTCATTGAACAGGATGATGATAATAATAGTGCAGGTAATTTTATTGCCATCTTTTTATTAAATCTGTGTCCACCATAAAATCAAACTTAAGTAACAATGATGTACATCGGTGCACTAAAATATATTTTATCCTTAAAAACGTGAAACACAGGTATATATTCCAGCACAATTTATGTTCATTTTTTTGTACTATTGTAAAGAAAACGTGATGTTGCAGAGTATAGGCTTTCAAGTCAGATCGCTGCTTCTCACTAGCACTGAGTCTGCTTTCTAATTTCTAACTACCTCATAAAACTGTTAAAAATTGAGTCAAATGACTAGTACAGTGCCTGGACATATAGCAGGTACTCAATAAAATTTATTCCCTCTTGCCCTTATTCATTGGTAATACCAATATGCAGATAATTTGGAAAGAATAAAGTATTTATGTGACTTTTTGTTGTGTACTTGTATACCGTAGGTTTTTTTTGTTTTTTAATTTGGGGAGTATTAATTTGATTTCTGAATGTTAGAAAAATGTTTGAAACTGCTCTGTAAAAGTCTGGGGCAGTATATAATGTTTACAGGAAAAGAATCAAACCAGCCTTTCCTAGTGTTAAGTTACTCTTCACACCCTAATTGTTTACACACCCTAATTGCCTTACTTTAGCATGAGGTTATGGAAAAGAAGTGATATTTGGCGGCATCTTTCTGGGTTTGTTTTTAGTTTGAAGGTATATTTTTTGTTTATTTTTATTTTTTAGAAACAGAGTCTCACTCTGTTGCCCAGCCTGGAGTACAGTAGCATGATATTAGCTCACTGCACCCTCAAACTCTGACCAAAGCAGTCCTCCCCCTTTAGCCTCCTGAGTAGCTAGGACTACAGGTGGTGTGCCACCGTGCTTGGCTAATTTTTTGTAGACATGGGGTCTTGATATGTTGCCCAGGCTGGTCTTGAATTCCTGGTCTCAAGTGATCTTCTTGCCTCGGCCTCCCAAACTGTGAAGTTAAAACTTAAAGGAAAATACAACATCAACATGTATATATCCATACTGATGTATCACTGCATATCAGGGTGTAAGTATATATGTAATTCTGTATATGGCATGTAGCTTACTTTTAGCAATAGAGAGCTTTGTGCTCATGTACTAAAAACTTAACCTCAACACAAATGAGAAACCCAGAGTAGCCAAAACAGTTGTCAGAATCCATGTAGTGAAGTTTATATACTTTGAGTTTTTCATCTGTCACTCTAAGCTATTGGCTTAGTTATGCTTTTGTTCATAACATTGATTTGACAAACATTTATTGGTCAGCAGGCAGTTTACTAGATGGTATGGATATGAAAAGATGAGACAAGGTCTCATCCTTCAAGAATTAAATTCAGGATGAAAAGAACCAAGTAATTATAGTGTTGTTGTTGTTGTTTGTTTGTTTGTTTGTTTGTTTTGAGATGGAGTCTCACTCTGCTATCCAGGGTGGAGTGCAGTGGCACAATCTTGGCTCACTGCAACCTCTGCCTCCCGGGTTCAAATGGTTTTCCTGCCTTAGCCTCCTGAGTAGCTGGGATTATAGGTGCCCACCACCACGCCCAGCTAATTTTTCTTTTTTTTTTCTTTCTTTCTTTCTTTCTTTCTTTTTTTTTTTTTTTTTTTTAGTAGAGACGGGGTTTCACCATGTTGGCCAGGCTGGTCTTGAACTCTTGACCTCAGGTCATCTGCCTGCCTGGGCCTCCCAAAGTACTGGGATTACAGGCATGAGCCACTGCGCCCGGCCTATAGTGCAATTTTTGATAAGTAATGGAGGCATGTACAAAGTGTTGTGGGCATGTAGAGTAAGTTCTCACTGATCTGCAGGTATTGAAACATCTTTTGAGAAGCTAACAACTGAAGTTAATCCAAAAAATGAATAGGACTTTATAAAACGTCTTTTTTTAAAACTTCTAAAACGTCTATGAGAAAGTACAGTTGGATTCTAAAACCTGATACAAAATAAGTTTTAGTACATAACCGTTTTGTTAATTTGGGGCTGCCTTAGCTTCATTTAGTCCATGGGGAGTTGAATTAGAGTAAGCTTGCCAAAACTCTTGATTTATCTAGGAGCTTCCTAGAATTACCCACACTTCTTATCTCCTTAGACTTGTGTGTGTGTATGTGTGTGTTTGTGTGTGACAGGGTCTCACTGTGTCACCCAGGCTGGAGTGAAGTGGTGTGGACTTCATATAGCTCATTGCAGCCTAAATCTCCCAGGTACAAATGATTCTCCCACCTCAGTCTCTGGAGTAGCTGGGACTCAAGCGTGTGCCACTCTGCCTGGCTAATTTATTTAATTTTTAGTAGAGACGAGGTCTCGCTGTGTAGCCCAGCGTGGTTTCAAACTCCTGGGCTCAAGCAGTCCTCTCATCTTGGCTTCTCAAGGTGCTGGGATTACAGATGTGAGCCACTACACCTGGCACTATTTTCACTTTTAAAATGAAGTGCATTCTAGTCCAATGGAAGAGTATAAAATATAACAGATTTTTACATAACCATTCCATCAGTCTTTGTCAAATTTAGCTGTGTTTGTTTTAGGTTTTTTAAAGAAATAAAAGCACAGTTACAAAAGAAGCCCTCATTTGTATTCCTCCCTTATCCCATTATCCTCCCATTTTCCCTAGAGATAACTGCTACCCCAAATTTGTTGTTTATCACACCTTTGCATTTCAATTTTATTTTACTAAGAATTTGTATCTGTTAATAATACATAGTTCATTTATTCTTGCTAACTTCCATGTAAATGATATTAGGTTGAACATTTTGCAATTTACCTTTTTTCTTCTTTTTAAAATATGAAATGAGATCTTGCTATATTGCTCAGGCTGGCCTCAACCTCCTGGGCTCAAACAGTACTCTTGCCTCAGCCTCCTCAGTATCCGGGATTATAGGCACATGCCACTGCACCCAGTGCAGTTTTCCTTTTTGAATTTACATTCTTGAGATTTTTTTCAGTGTTGACATGTGGCTACAATTCATTTATTCTAACTGCTGAATATTATATGATACAAGTTAACTACAGTTTATCCATTTTCTTATTTTTAGACATTTAGGTTATTTCTACTTTTTCCTCAATTAAAATAGCGTTACAACAAATATTTCAATGCTTAGCTCCTTGAGCACATATACATTTGCTTTTCTAGTGTATACCTGAGTGGAATTGCTAGATTATGTAGTGTGTGTGCATCTTAAACTTGATCATATTTTGCTAAAGTGGTTGTATTGTTTTACCCTCCTTCCAGCAGCATATGATAGTTTCCATTGTTACTCATCCTCACCTAACATCTAGTATTGTAGACCCTTGGATATTGTATTTGTTAGCCTACATCAGATTAGAAAGGGAGAGTAAAATAGGGAATGCTCCTAGAGGCATTTCATTGACAATACATAATAATAATGGCAGCTGACACTTATGAAAGGCCCAGTGTGTTAGGTACTTCTCTACATTCCTTAACATCCACAAGAGAAAAAGTTGGCTAATTCTTGACAAGCCATTAGTGGAGAAAAATAAAAATCAGGACTTAAAAACTCTGAATATCATAGGATAGTTTAGTCTTTAGAGGGAAAATGTCTGTATGCGATTGGAAACAATGTCATGTAGAAATTGTCCATTATAGTGACAGAGCTATTAAGAAAATGTTACTTTATGTATTCAGTGTAATGATATGTCTTAGGTTTCTAAGCAAATAGTGTTGCATCTTGGGACATACATTTGAGATAAAACTTTCTCTGATGGTCTATCTTAAATTCTTACTCTTTAAATTTGGTTTTAGTTTACTAGAAGTTATCAAAGATTACCAGAGACAGGATGAAAAATTAATTAAATGAAGGAACATTCTTACTATACATAAAATAGTTTTTGATATTGGGAACCTTATATTGGAGCTTATAGGATATGCGCAGACTGTTCACCAGAGGAATTATAAATGGCTAATAAACATAAACAATTTTAATTTCATTTAACAAGGGATAGTGGTTTGTTTGTTTGTTTAGATGGAGTTTCACTCTTGTTGCCCAGTCTGGAGTGCAGTGGCGTGATCTTGGCTCACTGCAACCTCCACCTCCCGGGTTCAAGCAATTCTCCTGCCTCAGCCTCCCAACTAGGTGGGAGTATAGGCGCGTGCTACCACACCCAGCTGATTTTTGTATTTTTAGTAGAGATGGGGTTTCACCATGTTGGCCAAGCTGGTCTCAAACTCCTGACCTCAGATGATCCGCCTGCTTTGGCCTCCCAAAGTGCTGGGATTATAGGTGTGAGCCACCACACCCGGCCTGGGATAGTGGTTTTTGTTTTGTTTTTTTACAAGTAATTTCATTTGTAAAATCTGTCCAGAGGGAAAAATTTTTGTATGCAGCTTTTTTTTTTAATATAAAAAGCTTCATCTAGTTTTATTTACAGTATCCAATAAGTAAAACAATTATTTTGCATTACTTGGAGGCTGCAGTGGGGCTTCCCTGACTGCGAATTTGGAAATAAGTTTGTCTTCTTGAGAATTGAATGTCAAGATTTCACATAATGGATCAGAGTAGAAATATGCAAGATTATTTTAAAAAGACAGAATGGTTTCTGGGGCCTGTCTAGCTGAATATATGTACAAAGGAGGACTGTTATAGCCAGATTTTGGGGTTTGAGGTAAGGTGGGATCATCCTTGGAAGGGATAGGAGAAATTCTGAGGTTGGCAGTGTTCAGGAACGTAGGAGCCTTAACTAACAGACTTTGAGTGTGCAGATTTTGTTGACAAACTATCCTGCTAGGGAAGTAGACAAATGTTAGGCAAGTTTAGCCTGACTTCAGTAGGTGAACATGGAATACGAACAAATGGAGTGATTCAGTTCCATTTGTTCTGATCATCATTTGATGTCACAAAAATTTAGTCTATTGGAATAAATTATGAATGGTTATAATTTTAATTTTAATGTTTTTCCCTTTTCAAATTCTCTTATAAAAGCATGTTTCATAGTGAGAATTAAAAAAAATACATGGTTGAAATAAAATACAAGATGCTTAATGTTTGGGACTTTTTCTCCAGATGGTCAGCAAGAGGATGAAGCCAGTAAAATTGAAGCTCTGCACAAGAGAAGAAATTTACTTGCAGCATTTTGTAAGCTAATTGTATATACTGTGGTGGAGATGAATACAGCTGCAGATATCTTCAAACAGTATATGAAGGTAAAGTTGAAAAATGGATAGCAAGATAGTTTTAAAATGCAACGCTAGTTTTTATGCATGGCTGCCATTGAATTCTTTAAGGGCAAATTACATTTCTAGTGTAAAAGAGTTGTATTTTAAAATATTTAGTGTTTTCAATACATTTCCTTATACCTCTACTCCAGTTAATGGACATTTTGGGTTTATTGTGTTCGTTTGCATTTAGAATATTGGAGATGGCCCCTCTCAATTTGTCACTATCAGAAATAGCATGTATGATTCAGTTTAAGATAATAGGATGGCATTCCTCCTCTGCTTGATGTAGCATTAAAAAGAGTTTCAGGAGTCAGAAGACTTGGGTGGTAGTTTTGGCTTGGTTACTATGCATCTTGCGACCTTGAATAACTCCAAGCATTTTGTGACCTGAGTTCCTTTATCTGTTCCACTGTGATTGTTAAGGTTTTCCCCTTTGGTTCTCAAAGTCTGATTTGATTAACCATAGGTTATTCATAATTTTCATAACTATATGTGAGGTTTTGTTAAGTTGAAAGTAGTGATAAACAGGATATTGTTGATTATACTAACAGAATGTGACTAAATGTGGTAAGATAGCTTAAAAATCCTTCCTCAACTAAAATCTAATTATAAATGTAAACTTTTTAAAGCCTTTGCTTTCAAGAAATAAAATATGTAATATATTTAAACCTAGTTAATCCTCTCTGGAATATTTTGCTACTTGAACTCTAATATCATTGAAAATTATTTTGGAACTTAAATCATTTGGGATGATAATTACCAGGTTTTTTTTTTTTTAAACTAAGGTTGTTTATGAAGTTATTTAACAAATTTTAAAGTTTTAGTCTTAGGTATTCTAAAGTCACTTACTAGTCATAGGGACGTGGTTATTCTGTTATCTCTGATAATTGTTATTGTACGTGTTTGAAACACAATCTTAAATTAGGAAAAAATTTCATGTGCAATGTGTAATGTAAATGTCATATAAACAACTTTTAAAAGTTGTTTATATGCTTTCCTTTTAAAAGTTGTTTATAGGCTGTTAGATTCTATAAGCCAAATTAATAAAGTTTTAAACTGCTCGTGGCCTGTATACCCGGTATCAATGAATTAGTTATAAGTGTAACTGAGATTATATTTATTGTTTTACAAAGAGAATTTTGTTTGTACATTTTGTGTTACTTCTGAAAATCTGCATAACCTAATTGTTGTTTTGACTAAAACTGACCAGTATACCGTCTTTATTTTAACCAAGTCTGGAGCTTAATTTGATTAGATCTTAACTGTTTTGTATATATGATTTTACTGAAGTTAGGGATTGTATGCTTAGAAATGATCTTTAGGTTTCAGTAACATTCTTTCCTGCCTTTGAAGGCATAATTTTGGCTAAATACATACTTTGTGACGTGTTTACATGACTAACCTAAAATTTGTCTTATTGTCAAGTAGTTTTAAGAGATAAAGCTCTAATTTGTACAAATTTCTTTATAGTATTATAATGACTATGGAGATATCATCAAAGAAACAATGAGTAAAACAAGGCAGATAGACAAAATTCAGTGTGCTAAGACCCTTATTCTCAGTCTGCAACAGGTAAGCATTAAGAGTACCAACTTTAGCTAACACAATTAACACCTAATAGTTAGCAAAATAAGGTAGCAGTTGAAATTGGGCAAAGTGTGCAATAGGCAATTTATAAAAGTAGAAATACAAGAAAGTATAAGTGAGATTATTTTTTTGCTTTCAAACTGTCAAGATTGGCAAAACCTATAGCTATCTAAGGTATGGAGGAAATATAGATATGGTAGGCAATTTGGCAATTTATGTAAAAATTTATAATGTGTATGCCATTTGAGGCAGCAATTCTACTTTTTAAATCTACTCTTTTATCCAAGGTGATAAGACAAGTTTGCAAAAGTTGATATACAAAGTTGTATATTGCAATGTTGTTTATAGGAAGTAAGACATAATCTAAAAGTCTATTAGGATATTAGATAAATTTACTGTATAGTACATTTCTGCGATGACCGTTGTACAACACTTAAAATTAGTGTAGATCTATATTCATTAATGTATAAAGAGCTTCATAATCACAAAATATATTAACAGTGGTTAACTTGTTTTGGTAGATTTCATGTTGAATTCTACTTTTTTCTCTGTATATTTCCAAACTTATTTTTGTGAGCATATATTAATTTTATAACTAAAACACAATAGTTTTGGCCAGGCACAGTGGCTCATTCCTGTAATCCCAGTGCTTTGGGAGGCTGAGGTGGGTGGATCACCTGAGATCAGGAATTCGAGACCAGCCTGGCCAACATGGTGAAACCCCGTCTCTACTAAAAATACAAAAATTAGCTGGGCATGATGATGTGAGCCTATAATCCCAGCCACTTGGGAGGCTGAGGCACGAGAATTGCTTGAACCTCGTAGGTGGAGGTTGCAATGAGCCAAGATCATGCCACTGCACTCCAGCCTGGGCGACAGAGTGAGACTCTGTCTCAAAACAAACAAACAAAAAAACCAATAGTTTTCATTTTGGCAGTGTTGAGGCATTTAATTAGATAAAATTACTGACTTAGTATACTTTTGTCTTTGGAGACAAAATTTGCATGCAAAACCCAACCCAACCCATTCCAACTTAATGAACTTTCTTTTAGGAATGTCCTTTTTTTTTTTTCCTTTTCTTTTGAGACGGAGTCTCGCCCTGTCGCCCAGGCTGGAGTGCAGTGGCGTGATCTTGGCTCACTGCAGGCTCCACCTCCCAGGTTCACGCCATTCTCCTGCCTCAGCCTCCCAAGTAGCTGGGACTACAGGCACCCGCCACCACACCCGGCTAATTTTTTTGTATTTTTAGTAGAGACGGGGTTTCACCGTGTTAGCTAGGATGGTCTCAATCTCCTGACCTCGTGATCCACCTGCCTCGGCCTCCCAAAGTGCTGGGATTACAGGCGTGAGCCACCGTACCCAGCCAGGAATGTTCTTAATTTTATTTGAGAATTTGAATTTTCTCTATTAAAATTAATAAAATGTAGGCTGGGTGTAGTGGCTGATGCCTGTAATCCCAGCACTTTGGGAGGCCAAGGTTGAGAATTGCTTGAGCCCAGGAGTTGGAGGCCAGCCTGGGCAACATAGCAAGAGCCCATCTCTACAGAAAATGAAGAAAGAAAAATAAATAAAATTTAAAAGGTTGAAAAGATGGCATTTAAAAAATAACTTTTGCTATAAAGTAATAGCTGCTAGCTGTACTGTTTAGAAAATATAAAAAGGAACAAATGCAAATTATCCTTAATGTTTTCACTTCACAATAACCTTTTTGTTTTTTGATGGCCTTGTTACTCTTTTTTATGCGTACATGAAATCTGATTTTTTAACAAAATTAAATTGTGCATTCCATTTTGTAAGGCTGCATTTTAATATTAATAAACACTGAACACATTTATGCCATTAAATAATTTCCTCAGCATCTTTTTTTTTTTTGGAGCAGGAGAGGTTCATTTATTTTTTTTTCTAGATTTTTGTGAAGGTATAATTGAAAAGTAAGAATTCTGTGTACTTAACGGTATACAGCATGATGTTTTGATAGGTATGCATTGTGAAATGATTAAATTTAGCTAATTAACATAAACATTACATCACATACTTACTTGTGGTAAGAACATTTAAGACCAACTGTTCTAGCAGTTTTTAGATAAACAGTACAGTACATTACTCTTAACTATGGTCACCATGCTGTACAATAGATCTTCAGAACTTACTTATCCTGTCCTACTGAAACGTTGTTCCCTTTGACCAAAGTCTCAGCCTCCCCCAACCCCCAGTCCCTGGCAACCACCATTCTGTTCTCTGCTTCTATGAGTGCAGATATTTCCTCAACATGTGGATTTCATTTTCTCTGGGTGTATACCCAGAAGTCTTCCTCCTTTTAAAAAGTTGACACACGACCGGGCGCGGTGGCTCACATCTGTAATCCAAGCACTTTGGGAGACTGAGGCGGGCAGATCACGAGGTCAGGAGTTCGAAAGCAGCCTGGCCAATATGGTGAAACCCCATCTCTACTACAAATACAAAAATTAGCTGGGCTTGGTGGCACACACCTTTAATCGCAGCTACTCGGGAGGCTGAGGCAGGAGAATGGCGTGAACCCGGGAGGTGGAGGTTGCAGTGAGCCAAGATCATGCCACTGCACTCCAGCCTGGGTGATAGAACGAGACTCTGTCTCCAAAAAAAAAAAGTTGACACATAATTGTACATATTTATGGGGTGTACATAGTGATGTTTTGACACAGTGTATAGTTAACCAAAGCAGGATGATTAGCATATCCATTTTGACGACTATATAATATTCCATTTTATAGATAGACCACAATTTAACCAAAGTCTCCTTGTTTACGCTGAGGTTTTTTTACAAGTTTTGTTATTACAAATAGCACTAAAACTTTTTTGTACATATTATTGTGCATAAATATTATTTCTTTTGGTTCAAGTCCTATAATTAGAATTGCTTTGTCAAAGAAGATTAAAATTCTTAAGCTTTTGCTATTTCATGTTAAGAGTTCTTGATGTAAAGATTCACCACTTAAACGTAAATAACAGAGCATGGTTGCCTAATAATTTGCTGGGGTTTTTTTTCCCCTTTATATTTTTATATGCTATGTTAATATCCAATTAATACCAGCAGGATAGCATTCTGCCAAAACTAACCTGAAGGGTTTCTAATGTTAATAAAAACCTCCAGTTTAAATATACGAAGTACTGCACTTTTGGTCATTTGCATCATGTTTTAGTGTTTTGCAATAAAATACAGTGCCTCATTTATTGAACACCTGTATTTTAAATGAAAATGTAATATTTTAAAAGATGTTAATCTCCAGGTATTAAGAACTTTAACATGCTTTCTTTCTTTCCAAACAGCTTTTTAATGAAATGATACAAGAAAATGGCTATAATTTTGATAGATCATCCTCTACATTTAGTGGCATAAAAGAACTTGCTCGACGTTTTGCTTTAACTTTTGGACTTGATCAGTTGAAAACAAGAGAAGCCATTGCCATGCTACACAAGTAATCTCCAGATATTTTATTCAGCTCTCATATTTTTTAGTCATGAAACTTTATTTTTAAATCTAGCCCTTTCATTTGGAATAACTAAATTAAATTTATGCTTTATTATTAGCTTATAAATCTCTACCCTATCTCCTTTCTTAATTTTAAAGAACCAGTTACAGTGCTATCTCAATTAACAAATGAGTTGGGCCAGGCTTGGTGCTCATGCCTGTAATCCCAGCACTTTGGGAGGCTGAGGCAGGAGGATCACTTGAGGCCAGTAGTTTGAGAACAGCCTGGCCAACATGGTGAAACCCGTCTCTACTAAAAATAGAAAAATTAGCTGGGAGTGGGGGTGTGCACCTCTAGTCCCAGCAACTCAGGTATGAGAATGGCTCGAACCTTGGAGGCAGAGGGTGCAGTGAGCTGAGATTGCGCCACTGCACTCCAGCCTGGGGGACAGAGCGAGGCTCTGTCTCAACAACAACAACAATAAAATGAGTTAGGATTAAAACTCCGTTTATAAGCCTTTGTTTAAATTTAAACCATACAAAGTCTATAAATTATGTGAATCAAAGCAGCATAAATTCAAGCATTACACATCTTTTTTATCAACTTTTGTCATGATCTCATTGTCAGATAGAGAAATCTTTGAGGTTTGATTCCTTTGTCTCAAGTTTTTTCTTTGGTTCTGCACTCTTACTTTGTAGTGACCTTTTCCCATGTTTTGATCCACACCCTTCTTTCCATCTGCATATTTTGTTGCCCTTATCAAAATTGGAAGTCGTTTTATTTTATACTGGGCATGTAATTTAGTGATCAATTGCACTTTTAAAGTATGGGTACATTTTAGACCTTTAACATAACCAACATTTGTGTATTAAAACCCTTTATCTGTTACCTGTGGGTTAAAGAACCTTGCTTTTAGATTCTCGGACTCTCCTTCATCCTCTTGCTCATTTAGTTATAAAAGTGCTAACTGTCTCTCTGAGGAAAATATGCTGCTCTTGTTTAAGTTTTGCTTCTACTCCCTCAACTTAATTATTATTATTATTTTGTTTTTTGTAGAGACAGGGTCTCACCATGTTGCCCAGGCTGGTCTTGAACCCCTGGCCTCAAGAGATCCTCCCACTTAGGCCACCAAAAGCACTAGGATTATAGGTGTGAACCACCACACCCAGCTTCCTCCCTCAACTTTAATTAACTCTCTCCTTTCACTTTCTTCTAAAACTGAAGTTTATTTTTATGCATCCATTAGATGGTAATTTTACATAATATTTAAGGACTACCTGTATATTATTTTCAGAAATAATATCTTTTTTTCATGTAATATCCTTTTTTCCTTCTTGATTCCATCTGGATTGTTTTTTACTCAGTTACATATTTGATAGAGTTATAATGTTGGGTTGTTATTTTGATGAATAGAGGTATTTATCGTCACATAAATATAGTTAAAATGGGCCTTAGATGGGGTTTAATTTTACTCTTGAATTGTTTATTACAAATGTTTGTGAATTATTTTTTAACGTTCTATATGTTAGAGTAGGTCTCCTTTATGTCTTGAAAAATACAGATAATGTATTGATCATTATGTGAGAGAATTTACATTATTTTCTATGGAAAAAAGTACTGATTAAAGAATGTAGATATACCAGACCATATTCAGACTGAAAGCTAAGTGGCGTGTGTGTGTGTTTGTGTGTGTGTGTGTGTATTGTTTTAAAGAAAGTAACAGTGACATAAAATGTCAGTATATCTGCACATTCTCACACTTTACAACCTGCTTATTTTCTATTCCTCAAATTAAAAGCTTGGCAAAGGAAGTAGTGAGTGAAATTTCCTAAGTTATTGACTTTTTTATTATAGTCCCTCAAATATTTATTTCAATTATTTTTTGTTTTCCTTTGCAGAGATGGCATAGAATTTGCTTTTAAAGAGCCTAATCCGCAAGGGGAGAGCCATCCACCTTTAAATTTGGCATTTCTTGATATTCTGAGTGAATTTTCTTCTAAACTACTTCGACAAGACAAAAGAACAGTGTATGTATTTGCTGGAAATGTCCTATTTAATTTCATTTTGGGATTCTTAAGGGCAATTTTTATACTTGGTTTCTCTCCTTTCTACTCACACAGAATTGTAGGATTGCATTAATACACAAAAAAGTTTATACTTCAGCAACTTTATAATTTAAGGATTATAACTGTGTTTTATGCATAATACTCTATTTTAATATTGTGAGTTTTCCTCCAGTATAATTTTGGCTTTTGACACGTAATTTGAATACTTTATGTATTATTTAAGAGACTGGACTCACTATGTTGCCCAGACTGGCTTTGAACTCCTGGGCTCCAGTGATTTTCCTGCCTTAATCTGAGTAGCTGGGACTGTAGGCAGGAACCACTGCCTGGCTGCTTTTTGTGTTATTATCTGCATTTGTGCCTTAACCCAACTAAGGAGGGAGCATTTGAAAAAGAATAATAAAGGCAATCCATCAGGAACATCCTTTAATTCTCAAACAGGGCACTTTTCTGGTTTAGTCTCCAATAATAGTGACTTATAAAAGAGCCCCCAAAATGGATTTAAATTCTCAAAAATCTTCTACCTTTCGCCATGGCTTTGAGGTGTAAAAGGGCAGAAGCGTATGGATACCTCATATTGTAAATAATCTTGTCTGAAAACTCACTAGTATTTTGCATTTAAAGACTATAGATTTTATATGAAATTCTAAAGCAGGCAAAACTAATGTATGGTGATAAAAATTACAGTAACGGTTACTTCTAGTGTTGGAGAGTTTGAATGGGAACACTAGGGTACTAGAGTTCTGTATCTTTTTTTTTTTTTGAAATGAAGTTAGGTCTGTCCTTCAGGCACCATCTCGGCCCACTGCAAACTCTGCCTCCTGGGTTCAAGTGATTCTCCTGCCTCAGCCTCCTGCGTAGGTGGGATTACAGGCGTGCACCACCATGCCCGGCTAATTTTGTATTTTTAGTAGAGACAGGGTTTCACCATGTTGGCCAGGCTAGTCTCAAACTCGTGACCTCAGGTGATCTGTCCACCTTGGCCTCGCAAAGTGCTGGGATTACAGACGTGAACCACTGTGCCCTGCCAAGTTCTGTATCTTGTTAGGTATGTGGGTCACACAGGTCTATGTTCAGTTATAAAACTGATACAACTGTGCTCTTAGTTTTGTGTGTTCTATTGTATATAAATTTATCCCAGTTAAAATTGCATAAGCAGTATTAATCAGAGAAATAAAAATTAAAACAAATACCATTTCTCACCTAGCACATTAGGAAAAATTAAGAAGTCTGATAGTGTCAAGTATTGCCAAGGATGTGAGGCAGCAGAGCCTTTTATACATTGTTGGTGACAGTACAAGACCATTTTGTGGAGCTCTTTGGCAATGCCTAGTAAAGTTTAAGATTCTCTCTACCTCATGATCCAGTAATTTCATTCATAAGTAGATACCCCACAGAAACTCCTGAATACATGCACAAGGAGACCGATAAAAGAATGATGGCTGTTTGATTGTTTGAAATAGTGGAAAAACTCAAAATAACCTAAACATCCATCAACTGAAAATGGATCAATAGATTGATATATAATGGAATACCATACAACAGTAAAAATAGCTGGATTTCATTGAGTACAAACAGCAAAGTACAAAACTGTACTATGATGTTTACAGACAACTATGTATTGAATGTACAAAATGTGCATGGGGGTGATAAGTAGTGGTAACCTCTGGGCACGAGGAGGAAGCAAAATGGGGATAGCTTTAGTGCGGGCTACTTATCTGTAATGTCCTATTTAGGTATGTGGTGGGTACATAATTGTAAATCTCTCTGCCAGTGAGTATATTTTGGCTCAAGTTTTGTATCTTGTTGCAGACTTAACAGTTTTTGGAGTGGTAGCCAGTTCACAGGCCACACTTGGAGGAGTACTGTACTACTATATATGACTGAAGTGTATTGTAATACAGAAAGACATACTGGGAGTCGGGTGCCGCGGCTCACACCTGTAATCCCAGCATTTTGGGAGGTCAAGGCGGGCAGAGAGTTCGAGAGCAATCTGGCCAACATGGTGAAACCCTGTCTCTACAAAAGATGCAAAAATTAGCCAGGCATGGCAGTGTGCACCTGTAATCCCAGCTACTCAGGAGGCCGAGGCAGGAGAATCGCTTGAACCTGGGAGACGGAGTTGCAGTGAGCCGAGATGGCACCACTGCACTACAGCCTCGATGACAGAGTGAGACTGTGTCTCAAAAAAAAAAAAAAAAAAAAAAAGAGAAAGGCACACTGAACAGCTAACAAAGCAGTATGCTTTGTGACTGATTTCTCCTATTCTCTTTAATGCTGTTCACACTGGTGAATCTGAATTGATAGAAATCAGTCATTACAATGACAGCAAATATTTGAATTGCACTTTACAGTTAATTGACAAATAGTTGTCTTTATTTGAAGCATAATTTAGCCTTATAGAACTCTTGGTGTCAGAGCCTTGGACTTGAATCATAGTTATGCTGCCTACTCATTTTTATTACTGTGGGATTACTTCTTAATTTCAATTATCCTTTCTTTCGTCACCTGTAAAATTGGGAAAACATTTCCCTCATAGAATTGTAAGAATAGTTAAGGAACCTGAGGAAAAAAAAAATATCTAGCACATAGTCGTCACATGAACGTTAGTTGAATTTTGATTGCAAAATTACATATAAGCCTTGAGATACTTGGATCCAAGGGTAGATTTATGATTTCCATCAGGCTGAAACTTTTTTGCAGGTAGGTATCATATCATATCCATCTTTGTATCTATCCATAGTGCCTGGGACATAATAGGTACTCAGCAAATGTTAAACTGAGTGCTCTGAATTATTTCATTTGATGTGAAAATCTTGGCAGAGACAACATTGTTCATTAATGTCCTGTAAGGCTGAGTTTGAGTAGTGAAGTAATATGCCTATGCTCGCACAACTATGAGTTAATATAACCCACAGATTTCTGTATCAAAGCTAACAGTTTCGATTTCTTTTCAAGGTATGTTTACTTGGAAAAGTTCATGACCTTTCAGATGTCACTCCGAAGAGAGGATGTGTGGCTTCCACTGATGTCTTACCGAAATTCTTTGCTAGCTGGTGGTGATGATGACACCATGTCAGTCATTAGTGGAATCAGCAGCCGGGGGTCAACAGTACGGAGTAAAAAATCAAAACCATCTACAGGAAAACGGAAAGTGGTTGAGGGCATGCAGCTTTCACTCAGTAAGGATATAATTTATTCTCTTTATATTTATCCCTAATGTTTACCAACTGAATTGTCATTAAGGTTCACCTTATTTTTTATTTGAGATGTGTTCAATAATAGCTTACAAAATGTGTTCATTATGTGTAAACATGCTGTTGTAGGCATTTTAGATACATAAACTCAGTTCTCACAACTTTTTGGGTACATCTTCATTTTTCAGATGACAGTACTTAACACAGAGAGGTTAAGTAACATACTCATGTCACAGTTATTAAGTAGGAGAGCCATGCAGTTTCACTGTAGAGTGCCTGCTTTTTAAAATCTGTGCTACACTGTATGCATAGGGAAATGGACTCAGTATTATAGAGCTAGTTATTACCCAAGAGATCAGATCATCTAGTTAAAGTGGAACAACAGATTCAGAGAGGTTGCAACTTCTGAATTCCTATGAAGAGGCCATTAATCATGAAGAACTTCATAGAAATAGAGTGCTATCGTATTAGAGGTAGGAATGCATTATGACGCTTGAAGCTCTTAGACTCCTAGCACTCCAGAGTTGGTTCAAAATGGGCCTGGGGACTTTTTTCTTTTTCTTAGGAATTATTAAATTAGCATAGTTGTCAAAATTTGTCCCAGTTATTATTGTTGAATAGCAAATTACCTCAAAACTTAGGACATAGCCAGGATCATGGTGTCTGGTACCTCAGCCAGGAAGGCTCAAAGGCTGGTGGCTGAAATCATACGGAGGCATCTTCACTTACATATCTGATGCTGGCTGTCATTTGGGACCTCAGCTGTACTGTCTGCCAGAACACCAACGTGTGACTTCTCCATGTCAGCATAACACTAGGCTCCAAGAGCAAGTGTCCCGAAAGACCAGAAGTGGAAGGTGCCAATTTCTTAAGGCCTGGGCCCAAAAACTAGCATAGCGTAATTTCTGCCATATTCTATTGGCCAAGCAATCACAGAGATTCTAGGGGAGAGGACATAATTCTTAACCTCTTAATGTGAGGAACGTCAAAGAATTTTGGGGCCATATTTTTAAATTGCCACATAACTCATCAGCTTTCATTTATGATCAAGTGCTTAGTGTTTAAAACTTGATTGTCCTATGAATTTTAGTATCTTTTGTCCAGTAGTATAAAGGCATAACCTTATATTTCTAACTTGTACAATTTTACACTGGTTAGTTATATAGTCCCAACATCACAGTTGATGGGGAAATCTCTTTTATTACCCTGGGCCAGTTAAAGTAGTTAGGGCTGATGGTTTATAAGTTAAAAGAAACTTTTCTGTTTTTTAAAAACAAAATGTTATCAAATTGAAAGATGATGTTTTCTCATATCACTAAATTTTTGAAAGTTTTTATCATCTGAACTAGTAGTTAATAGTTATAGGTGTGTGCTGGGCCATCAAATCTCTCTCTCTCTTTTTTTTTAGACCTCATGGAAACACATGAATGGGTATTTATATTACAGAAATCTCTCTTTTTTTTTTAGACCTCATGGAAACACATATGAATTGGTATTTATATCACATTTTACAAATAGATTATTAAACCAGATACGTCAATTTTTACAGGAAGAATCAATGCTCTCATTCAGGTTTTTGGGGAGAATCATAGAAATTGGGGCATTAATAAGTTAACAGAAGGAAGTATGAATACTGATAGGTTGGCCAAGTCAATGCAATTTTGAAGACAGTATTGGAGCCTGAATGCAGTAGAACTTAAAGGCTGATGTAATTATATTGCAAAATGTGGAGTTTATGTTTAATCTATTATTAGAGTATTAGCTATTCATGCATTTTCTTTCCACTCTTATTCCTTAAAACCTTACACACATTTGCAAATATGTATAATCTTTTTTTTTTTTTTTTTTGATGGAGTTTTGCTCTTTTTGCCCAGGCTGGAGTGCAATGGTGTGATGTTGGCTCACCGCAACCTCCCCCTCCCTTGTTCAAGCGATTCTCCTGCCTCAGCCTCCCAAGTAGCTGGGATTACAGGCATGCGCCACCACACCTGGCTAATTTTGTATTTTTAGTAGAGACAGGGTTTCTCCATGTTGGTCAGGCTGGTCTCGAACTCCCAACCTCAGGTGATCTGCCCACCTCGGCCTCCCAAAGTGCTGGGATTACAGGTGTGAGCCACTGCGCCTGGCCTTTTTTTTTTTTTTTCTTTTGAGATGGAGTCTTGCTCTGTTGCTGAGGCTGGAGTGCAGTGGTGTGATCTGAGCTCACTGCAACCTCCACCTCCCAGGTTGAAGCAATTCTCTTGCCTCAGCCTCCCAAGTAGCTGGGATTACAAGCGCCCGCCACCGCACCTGGCTAATTTTTGTATTTTTAGTAAAGATGGGATTTCACCATCTTTGCCAGGCTCGAACTCCTGACCTCGTGATCCGCCTGTCTCAGCCTCCCAAAGTGCTGGGATTATAGGCGTGAGCCACTACGCCTGGCCTCATATGTATAATCTTCTAATGAAATAGTTTTCTTCTAAATTCACAATCAAAAAGTGCTATCAATTTTTTTCTCCCAGGTCAGTGATTTTAAAAATTACTATTAATTCAGTAACAATTGTACACAAATTTGACTTATTAATTATGGCAACATTTACAGACATTTGAAAAAAGTAGCTTTTGCAGGTGTGAAACCTTTTTTCTTTTTAGTCCAATGCTTAATTAATATTTGTATAGATTTGTGGCCCCCTTGCAGTTGCCTCTTACTACCTGCTCAGTGGTCTGCATCCCATAGGTTGGGAACCAGTCTCCTATTGCTTCCATCCCTGTTGCCATTTCTCACTCACCTAGGCCACACAATTAGCCTTTTAACTGGTCTGTTTGCTCACCGGTATTCTGTTTTTAAGTTCACTCCCCACACTGCCACCACATTGACTAAAACATGTAACTCACCAAATTGCTTCCCTACCTTAAAACCTTCAGCAGCAGTTCCCTGTTACCTTAGAAGAGCTCACAAGATTTTCCACAGTTTGATTCCTGCTTCTTTATCCAGCCTTGTCTTTTGCTACCCTTTCAATCTTTATGCCCCAGGAGTAGCAAACTGTTAGTTTTGAACCATATGAAATTGCCCTTTTTGTAGGTCAAATATCAGCAGATTAATAGGGTTCAGTCGACTGGGTGCGATGTCTCACACTTGTAATCCCAGCACTATAGGAGGCCAAGGCAGGCAGATCATTTGAGGCCAGGAATTCAAGACCAGCCTAGCCAACGTGCTGAAACCCTGTCTCTACTAAAAATATAAAAATTAGCCAGACATGGTAATGCATTCCTGTAATCTAAGCTACTTGGGAGGCTGAGGCAGGAGAATTGATTGAACCCAGGAGGTGGAGGTTGCAGTGAGCTGAGATTGCGCCACTATACTCCAGCCTGGGTGACAGAGCGAGACTCTGTCTCAAAAAAAAAAAAAAAAAAAAAAAAAAGGTTTAGTCCTTGTTTCCTGCCTTAGTGTTCTTGCTTTATGTTCTTCTCCCTGCCTAGAATAAAAAGCCTTTCTAGCCCACCTGATACCTACTCTAGTTAGAAGTTGCTTCTGGATAGCTGGCTCTGACCCCTTTCACTGCCCCCATTCCCCTTATACTTCCCTCTCTCCTTGCATTTACCACACTGTATTTTAATTGCCTGGTTGTTTTGTGTCGCAACTAGACTCTAAGGCCAGGTCAGGGACTGCCCCTTACATAGGTTTGTGTCCCCCGTTCCTGTGACTTGCATGTGGAAATCAACAGATGTTTATTGACCTGAACAGGTTGTATTAGACATCTGAATAGTCAAAATTAGTGACTAAACCTCGTCGTTAATTTTCTTTTCCAGCTGAAGAAAGTAGTAGTAGTGACAGTATGTGGTTAAGCAGAGAACAAACACTGCACACCCCTGTTATGATGCAGACACCACAACTCACCTCCACTATTATGAGAGAGCCCAAAAGATTACGGCCTGAGGATAGCTTCATGAGTGTTTATCCAATGCAGACTGAACATCATCAAACACCTCTTGATTATAAGTAAGTACATTTGATCATTTTCTGTACTATAACTTTATTAATTACATAGAAAAAGTTAAGTTAAAAGAGGAATAAAATTCTCCTTGAAGCACGCAGGTAACATGGATGTTAGCTCAAAGACAACAAGAGGAAGCAAGGCAACAGCAGGAGAGAGCAGCAATGAGCTATGTTAAACTGCGAACTAATCTTCAGCATGCCATGTAAGTGAGAGTGCCTTATTGTCTGAGTCTAGGAAGTTCACTAATTCATTTTAACATTTTAATGTGTGCCTTATCTAAAAATTTCAGCAAACTCTCTAGAGTAACCTAAGCTGAAATAATCAAGGAACTAAAAATTGGTCTTTCCAACAGAAAAGCAAAATATTTTAATTAAAATACTACCTAGTTAGCCAAAGGACCAATCTTAGGTTGATCTGTTGGAAAAGTTTAAATATCAATCCTTGTTTATTTTGGTACACAGCATTAAAAATACAGTTGTGTTACATCCTAATTGATTTTCCCAACTTAGTTCAGGCCCTCATCTCTCACCTGAACTATTGTATTAGCTTTCTAACTGGTTTTCTTCCCTCAAATCTCCCATTTATTTTCTCACCAAACCTCTCCCTTCACCCCCCGCTCCATCATTCACACCACCATCAAGAATTACTATTCTAGAATAAAAATCTTACCATGTAACTCTTACTTAAAACCTTTCTGTGGCTCCCCATTGCCTGCTGGATAAACTCCCAACTTCCTTAGCTCATGGCATGCAAGATGTTTCAAAATATGGCCCCTGCCACGTTTTAGTATCATTTCCTATTCCCTGGCAGCTGGTAAAATCATCATAAAAGAACAAGCTCAGGTGTCACTTTAACTGAAGCTTTGGTCATCTATGCTCCCATAACACTATGTATATCCATATTTCTTATAGCACTTGCCACATTGTATTGTAAATATTTGTTTATGAGTTTGTCCCGTTTGTCTAGACTGTGAGCTCCTCAAGGGCAGGGACCACATTCATTGCCTATCAGTGCTTGGCACGTAAAAGGTGCTAAGTAAATGTTCATTGAATGAATAAATGTTCAATGCTAAAAAAATGAAGTTTATCTTTTAAATACTTTGTTTTTACTGGATTATGTATGATAACTTTATAAATCTTTCTAAAATCTTCATTAGCTTTGGCTCTAAAAAACATGGCAGACAAGCAGTCTTTAGATAATTTTTTTAAATGTCTTGATTGGTATACAGGGAAAAGTGTGATGATTATGATTAAGTTTTTGAGTTTGAAAGCATTGTATTTATAATGTGGTATATGTTTTACTATTGGGAGATAGTAGTTGTTACCCTCTTCTTTTTTTAATTTATATTTTGTTCTGTCTTGTTGGTTTTTA
Source organism: Homo sapiens (assembly GCF_000001405.40). Classification (NCBI taxonomy): domain Eukaryota; kingdom Metazoa; phylum Chordata; class Mammalia; order Primates; family Hominidae; genus Homo; species Homo sapiens. The sequence continues at coordinate 124,092,134 of NC_000023.11, forward strand.
GATGTTAAGAATTTTACCTGTTTTTCTTACAAAATGATCATTTACTATGAGTGGTGGCCTGCATAAATTCACTTTAGTTATCTCCATAGTGGTCTTAACCTCTAGAGACACAAGGTATACTCTATTACACGTATAGATTCTGATCCTGGTTAATATGGTCATCATCTATATTGTCACATAGTTCTATCCCCTTTTGTCTGTTTCTGTGACCACATTCCTTTTAATATAAGTTCTTATTTTATGCTGGATCCTACAACTGATTTCTTGGCTTCCAAGTAGTCGCCGGTCCATATATTCCAGAATTCTGCCATGCAATCATTTGGTCTATATCTCTCCCCATAAAACATTACACCAGTTCCTAAGATCCTATATAGCATGTCACTACTTAGTACCATTTTAATTCCCAATTATAGTTAACTCCCCCGCCTCCCGGCAACTACAAGAAATTATCTCAGTTAAATGACTATTACCAAAGGATTCTTTGGTGGTTGTACCATAAGTCATCTATTGCATGGGACTCTAAAGCATTTTCATCTTACAATGATTTTTCTATAATGGTATCTGCCCTATAACTAAAAATACTTCCAAATTTTCTTTTTTATTTTTCATAGCTTGTATCACATATATCTTCCTTGTACTTCAAACAAAATGCAGAACGGCTTTCTGATTTTCTGTCACATAGTTCATACAGCACATATATTCCCTTCACGGTTGCCTCTACAAAATATAGTAAAATTGTCTTTCTACCCAGAACTGTTAGGAAGTAAGGACCATTATAAACATATTTGTCCAGGTAACATGGATCAGAGATCGTATCTTGTTATCTTTATATCTTTTAAGAACCAGCATAGTATTGTGTAAATTGTAAGCATTCGGTAAATAATTGCTGGGGTTTTGGCAACTTTCTTGACTGTGGGGGTGTCTTTGGATGAGAAAAGAAGGTAATGTTGGCCAAACTAGGGAAAAACAAGTCCTACTCAGTTTCACTATTATGTTGGCTACTTTATGCTGATCTGGGCTAATTTGTGAACTTAATTTATTCCCCATAATTATGTAATAACATATATAACTTTTGGTCTTAGTTTTTCATTTTAAATTTCTAAATATGTCTTAGTTTTGAGTTTCATAGGGCACACGAATCTGAAGTTTCAGCATGAGTGTTCCTCATTTCTTCCTGAGGCAGAATTAATTCCTTATTTTAGTATGTCCTTATAACACTTGATGCATAGTTTTCTTGTAATATTTATCACATTTTGTCATAATTAATTGTTTATCTCTGTTTGCCATGGTAGACTGTAAGCTCCTTGAGGGCAGGAATCATGTCTTAGTCTTATTCATCTTTTTTTTTTTTTTTTTTTTAACATCCATAGGACACAGTAGAAGCCTGTCACGTAGTAGGCATTGTGTGAGTGAGTGCGCGCATGCCTGGTACACATTAGGTACTGAATGAATGAGGGAGTGATGATGGGTAAAATTAGCATTATATATTGATGAAAATATATGTTTTCTGAAAATGTCATTTTTTTGGTCTCTGTTTTATGTTTGTTTATTAATTTGTACCCTGCCTACTTTCAAAAAGGATTTGAGGTATCTTGTATGTTCCCATGTGGGAAATTCTCATTGAACCTTGTATATGGGATATCAGAACTATAAAGCTAAATGTACTGAAGTAATGTAGAATAAACATAACTCCTTAGCATTTTTAGACAAGTAAACATTGGGTTTTGATATCATTGATGACATAATCAATGCCTAATCATTCTCCCTGACCTTTAATTCCATCATTTTCCATTATACTTGAATATAGAGAGCCACATACTGCTGCCTAGATATTAATAGTCACGACATTAGTTCAGATCTTGACTTTGTTTTATATTTCTCTAGTCGGCGTGGCACAAGCCTAATGGAAGATGATGAAGAGCCAATTGTGGAAGATGTTATGATGTCCTCAGAAGGGAGGATTGAGGATCTTAATGAGGGAATGGATTTTGACACCATGGATATAGATTTGGTAAGAAACTTAATGATTTCTGTAAGATTTTCAGTTTAGATCTTTTGAAAATTATGTTGGATATTTATTAGAGTAGAGAAATACTTACCAAGAGAAGTAAGTTTTGCAAAAATATTAAAATAGTTGCCAGGGGTTTAGATATATGGGAAGGGATTTAGAAGAGAGTAAGGTTGGTGAAGGTGGTAGATCCTAGATTAAGATGATAACAATTGTCTGTTTGTTTCTGAGATTAATTTAGGAATATATAGGTTTAAAGGGTATATTTTGATTAATACTAATTTGACTATGAAAATCAATTTTTATTTAATTATGCATTTTAAAAAATATGAGTTAGTATAAAAGTATACCATTATCAAAACAATATATTAATACTACTTGTTGAGACAAATTCCGTATCAGATAATGAAGTAAAATTACTTAAACTTGGAAGGAAATTAAATACAGGTAGGAGTGTATTCTTTATTAATAATTAAATATGTGGTTAGGGTTGATCATATACAAAATGGTTTTACATATTTCATCTTGCTACATATCTCATTAAACTTTGTGAAGTAGGTTGAAAGGATTGAGGATATTGAAGCTTACTCTCTCCAAAGAGGCAAAACTAGCAAACAGTAAAGTTGATACTTATAAGTCCAGTCTTATGATTCTTTTTAGTATATTGTGTATTCTTCTTAAATAATTAAATTTTTAGAATGGTATAATTTGGTGCCTCGAAAGGAATATGATTTTTAAAGTAAAATGAAAAGTGAGTTTTCCGGTTTTTGTCTCTTAGGATAATTTTCCATGAGTTTTTTTTTTGAGATGGAGTCTTGCTCTGTTGCCCAGACTTCAGTGCAGTGGCACAATCTCAGCTCACTGCAAGCTCCACCTCCTGGGTTCACGCCATTCTCCTCCCTCAGCCTCCCGAGTAGCTGGGACTGCAGGCGCCCGCAACCACGCCCGGATAATTTTTTGTATTTTTAGTAGAGGCCGGGTTTCACCGTGTTAGCCAGGATGGTCTCGATCTCCTGACCTCGTGATCCACCCGCCTCGGCCTCCCAAAGTGCTGGGATTACAGGCGTGAGCCACCGCACCCGGCTGATAATTTTCCATGAGTTTTTAAAATATTGTGTCAGGTACACTTGGAATCACATAGACCATGTGAAGAACTTGGATATTTTCAGTTACTATCTGGTTTGTAGATATAGCTAAACTAATGTCAACTTATTTCCTTTTTTCCTTTAGCCACCATCAAAGAACAGACGAGAGAGAACAGAACTGAAGCCTGATTTCTTTGATCCAGCTTCAATTATGGATGAATCAGTAGGTTTAATTTAAATGTACCCTAGGATTGCAAAATCAGAAGTATAGGCAGTCTCTCAGTTTGAGGTTGAAGACCTGGGGCAGCATACTGAGAATAGATGAAAACAGCTGGATGTGAGAAAAAGAGGCAGGCAGGCAGGATTTCAGTGGGAGGGGAAGAGAGTGCTGCAATAGTGTTGACAGATTAGAAAAGTACTTTTGAATCCTGGCTGACTGGGACTTGAATATTAAGGAATTTGGACTGTTCTTCCAGGTTTGTACTGTTCTTCAATGGGTTGCCCATTGAAAGATTTTAAATAAGGTAATGGCATGATCAGAATTGTGTTTCAGAAAGATTTCCTTGACATTTATGGATGGGACAGGATGAATGAGGGGCGTCATATAAAGGCATGGTGAAAAATAATGAGAACTTGAACAAAGGCTTTGATAATGAAGAGAAGGGTATCTAGCTATCTAGGATGAGAGTCAGTTACCACTCCCACCATCCTTAATTGGTTATTATTGGGTTTTGTCAGTTATTTTTCTTAAGTACCTCTTATATCAGTCCCCTGTGCCATATTCTCCTTGACAGTGCCTTGATTCGGGTCCTCCTCAGTTTTCACATGGGCTGTTGCAAAGCCTTTAAGCTGATATTGCAGTCCCGCTGCTCCTTTATGCCTCTTGTGGGGTCATCTTTCTAAAAATGCAGATCTGATATTCTCACTTATCGTTCTAAGTCTTTTATTGATTTTTTTCCCCCCCATTGCCATTAGGAAGAAAATTCTAGCTCCTCAGCCTAGCAAACAAAGCCTTTTATGATCTGGTTCCCTTGCCATCTTAACCTTGGCCTTTTCCTTACATGTATTCTATGCTCTAGCCATATCAAATCTTGTAGTTCCACTCAGATACACTATGCTCTTTCCTGACTCCATAACTTTGTATAAGCTTTTTTCTGCCAGAAATTCCCCTTTATTTTTCCTCCTAGTAAAGTCTTTCTTTGATACTAATTCTGACATTACCTGTGGAATTTTTGCTGACTTCCACAGATTTTTTTTTCTCTCCTTCTTTAACTGTTTGTACACACTTTATTGTAATAATTACCAGACTTGTGTAGTGAGATAGGATATTACATGCCCTGGTCCTTCACTAGACTGAACTCCCTGAGGCAGTGATGATGTTATTCATTCTTAGTTCTGCCCAGCACAATAGATATTTAGTTTTGTCAAATGAATAAATCATTTAAATGCCCTGCCATCTCCCTTTTTAGAATCTACCCATTTTATGTTCCTTGTTCCTCACACCTACTGCCTCAGGTGACGGTTATACCATCCTCAAAGGCCTGCCTTCTATGTACAATTTCTACCATTCCCACCTTGCCCTCTCCTACCTCATAATCTGCTTTCAGATAGCTTTTAGAACTATTTTGACAAACTAATTCACACTAACATGTTTACTAATAAGGCCAAGGGGCCGGGCTCAGTGGCTCATGCCTGTAATCCCAATACTTTGGAAGGCCAAGGTGGGAGGATTGTTTGAGCCCAAGAGCTTGAGACCAGCTTGGGCAACACAGTGAGACCCCATCTTTACAAAAACTAAAAAAATTAGCTGGGCATGAAGATGCATACCTGCGGTCCCAGCTACTCAGGAGGGCGAGGTGGGAGGATTGCTTGAGCCCAGGAGGTTGAGGCTGCAGTGAGCTGTGTTCACAATACTGCACTCCAGCCTGGGTGACAGAGCCGAGACCCTGTCTCAAAAAAAAAAAAAAAAAAAAAAAAAGTAGAATCTGCTTCAATTGGTCTTAAGTGTGGCCTGAGATTCTGCACTGCTAACAAATGCTGTCAGTGCTTCAGGTCTGCAAACCATACTTTGAGTAGCAAGACTTTATAGTACCTAATGACCTGTTGCACTCATAAGTCTATAGTTTAACTGCACACTGAAGTTTATGGTTTTCTTGATAATTAATCTAACAGTATGTATCATCTTAGTTTGTTAAATAAAACATGGAGGTAGTGATTGTGATGAGGGGTAAAGGAATATTTTCAAGCAGGTGCGATGAAATGCATTTATTCAACAATTTATTACATCAGAAGTTGGTGCTAAAGCGAATAAGACACTCCCTGTCCTTAAGGAATTCATATTCTAGTGCACCTTGACTATCACTTTGAAATGAAAAGTATGGAAGGTAGTAGCTGAGAGTTTGGGTGACAGACACTGTGCTAGGTATGATTTATTTTGATCCTCTCAGCAACCGTGTGAGAAAGGTAATGGGAATTTCCACTTTCATACCATAGCAAGCTGAGACTGAAGAGATCATTTAGTGACTTTGCTCAGTTATACAGTTAGCAAGTGTCCGAGTAGTAATTTGATGCCAGTTCCTTTTGATTTAATAATCTCATGCTGTCTTCTACTGTTGTGCTTCCCAAAACTAAAATCCCCATTTGGATGAGAACACCAACAAAAGTAATTAAGAAATCGAAATGGTTAACTGTGATCAAAATTAATATGGGCAGTTAGGATCACCATTTTTTAATGTATTTGTCTAATGTCAGGAGAACTTTTAACATTCGTTTTCTTAGTTACATACTAGATTTGCAAAAAGGTGTTCTTCAGATTACTAAAATAATGAAACAGCAATATTAACTATGTGTATCTATTTTTGACATTTAACATTTAGAGAAAAATAGGGGCCTAATAGTCATTTTTTATTTATAGTGATTTTATAGCATTCTCATGTATATTGAATGTTACAACTGAGGGGCTTTTATTTATTCTTAATTTGATAATAGTTTAGCTGCTTCTGCTACAAAAATTAGGAAAATTAGCACATGTACTTATAACTGTAGTTTTATAGCATTACCACATGATGGCAGCAGTCACATAACTGAATGCTCAGTAATCTTTAAAGGCTTAGGTGTCTTTAGAAGTCTTTGACCATGTAATTTTTTTTTTAAAGTTAACAGTTTATTTTTTAAATATACACTAAACTATACTCCATACTGTCTTAACCATAACTTAAGAAATGGAATAATGGAAAATTTTGAATGTCAAATTCTGTTTGCCTTTATACAATACCCCACATCTGTTCTTACTGAAGCCCATAATACCGGAGTCATCTAAACAGTAGCAAAATTGGGATTTAAATTCTTTAATGTCCAGTTCTGAGATTCTCCAATTCTAAGGGAAGTAACTCAAAGCACCCTAATGTAGACACTTCAGTTTGTTACTAAATAAATTGTAAAAATATCTTTTTAAACACTTAATTTTTAAACATGATTTTCTAAATAAATCATAAAAAATATCTTTTTAAACACTTAATTTTTAAACAAGATTTTCTAAATAAATCGTAAAAATATCTTTTTAAACATGATTTTCACATTATCCAGGAGTGGTAATATAAAAACTCTGAACATATTTTGTGTTGCATATACATAAAATTCTAGATTTATGGTGTAGCTGGTTTTATATTTGGACACAAAATTGGTTTATACCATTTTGATAACAGTTGTTTTCTGCCAGAATTGCCAAAATACACTGAAGTTTGATATTAAATATGTTTAAGTATTTATTAATGTTAACATCAGAAACAGGCAGAGTTTGTGTTGGCACAGAAAAGAAAGTGTCACTACTCTCATTCTCTTGTGTTGAGATTCTCTTATTAGAATTATTTATAGTATAAAATTGGTAAAGAAGGGCTCCATGTAATGGAGCTAATTTAATGTTCTAGTAAGAGAATCTACTTATAACCTAGTCTGTACAAAACAAAAAGAATCTCAAGTGTTTGGGTGCTTTCTAGTCAGGCACTCTGTTTGGAAAGAACTTGAGTTCGTCTTCATCCCATACTCAATACTAAATTGCTAATTAAGATTTTGTACTTTCATTCATCATCAGACCTTTTCTACCGAGATTCATAGAGTGTTATGGTAAGAATTGGCCTTTAAACATTATCTCGGTCTTTTTGGTGGAAACGTTCTAACCACCCAAACTCTGACTTGAACCAAAAAAGGAGAACCCTGAAGCATGCGGGAAGGGGAGAGGACAAGGGATTAGTAGTGTGGTAGTTACTGTGAATGGACAGGTAAGAAATTGGGTGCACGAGTCCTCTTTGTTTTCATTACTTGGGATTCCAAACACTACTTGATAATTCATTATAAAGAGGCTGCAATCAGATACTTGTTTCTGGATCTGCAAATACACAGTTTCTTCAGCTCAAAACAATACATGAGTTCTATGACTTTTGTTCATAGAACTTATAAGAGATTTAACTTACAAGTAAGAGCTCTTTGTAATATTTCAGCTCATTACATCTGGCTTTGATATCAGTTCTTAATAGCTTATTATAGTATTCTAAAATATTACTTAATGGGCATAAGTGCTAGAATTTTAATTGAACAACCTAACTTTTAGTATATATACTAAGAGTCACATGCCATTCTTGTTTAGTGAACAAGGGAGAGTTGCTCCATTCATCATCTGCTTTTACTTTTAGACAAGTAATTATTAGATTTTACCTAACATTCCTTTCTCAGTTGGAGTATATAGAAAGCATCAATGTAAGTCATTTTGCCCAGATTTTACCTTACCCTTTTGATTTCTTAAAATTTGTAGTTCTGTTCCATTCACTTTGGCCAGATTTTCTAAAGAAAGCTTCTTGCTTTCTACATACTTGAATTGTTCTTAGATTTTTTTTGGTCTGCATACTCAAATGCCTTTTTGAAAAACCATATCCACTTCCCAGCACAAATAGCCAAGTTTGCAAGACTTTCTTAACCCCTTTCCAAGGAACCTGTGCCAGAAATATATGTGAAGAAGCACATTCATTTATTCATTTAACAAATACCTATGTTGAGTGCCTATGTTTAGGGTATTATCTAGACATTAGTGGTACATATAAGCATAATTAATCCAAGGTTCCTACTTTAATTATATGTGAGGTAAGTAGCATCTTGATTAGTCCTGATGTTATTTCATTATATATCATGGTCAATTTAATTTTAGAATTATACATCTGAAGAGAGGGGAAGTTTTCAAAGTGGTTTTATTAGCATGTTATTTAACATAATAAAGTATTAATGTAATATTTATGGATATATTTAAAGAAATGAATGACTTTTAACGAGATTTTCTCCCCTCTCTCTCTCTCATTAGGTTCTTGGAGTGTCAATGTTTTAATACCAGTACACAATTAAATCTGTGGTGAAGTCATTTTCTAAGTGGAAGAGGAAATTTTAAAGTGTGGTAGATACAGTGAAATTCTGTACAGATTTTTCTCTAAGGAGAATATGACATGCTTATGCTTACCAAGATCAAGTGCATTGAGGGGCAGTTTTGTTTGCCTGAATAAACGTAAAGGACAAGTAAACAATTTGATGATAAGCTACAGTTTTTCTTAGAAAGTAAATATTTTATTTATGCGCTGTTAGTTGGCTTTTGAATCGATTATTTCATGCTTTTTTTTAAAAAAAAAAAAAAACAAAATAACAATCTGAAGAGGCATTTGGTACAGATATGAATTCTCTTACATTTATTTACTGGTTGTACTAAATAATGATGACCTCTGCTGGATTTCTGTTTACATCCAGAAAACAATGTTAAGGATGTATTTATTCCCCTACCCTGAAGAAAGTGTAGGATAGAATTGTTTTTAGCATTCTAAATTTAAATGCTTAAAACGTCAATCAACAAAACTTTGTTTTAAATATTGTAATTGTGGAGAAAAGTAAACTTATAAGCAGAACTTTTACAATTTTTTCATCTAAAAGTATTTTAAGATATTTTTAAAATCCAAGAGCTTCTCTATACTTTTCAGAAATATCCAGATGCAGTGAACTGCCAGAAGGTAACCAGTCTCAAACATGCTTATCCCATTATCAACCCTGAAAGTTTGCTTGTCCTTTAAGATAAAAATGTAATGTTGTGATATTCCTTCCAGTAATGCCACTGTATTTTGTCTCCAAATAAAAGAAGCTTATTGTAGTATGTTTGCAGAAAAATTCTAAACAAAAATTATACAGCTTATTAGAGTGTGGGAATAGGGATCTAAATTTTAAATAAAATTATATATATATATAAATTGGTGCTGATTTTATAATTGCGCAGTTTGTTTAGTTTTTTCTTACTTTTAAATTCCAACTTAAAATTATGAGGTTTCAGAAATATATTGAAAGTTTAACAATGTTTAAAAATAGAAAAGCATGAGTGTTCATGCTTTAAAATGATTTTTAAATTTGTATTTTATATTGTTTTATCTATCTGTCTTTGCAAGCAGTCTTCAGGTTAAAGATACTTCTAACAGGTTACAGTACATTTCCTCTGTATGTAAATTAGATGGGATAATAGAATTCATAACCCATAATATTCTTTGAAAGCTAAGCTTTAAACTTCATTTTATGTCCTTTCACAAATAAATTAGTTTAAAACAGAAAGTGGCTACTTGCCATTTTGACATCAACTCATTTTGCGAGGCTTAGGCAGCTAGACATCGTTTAAAACAAAATATTAACTTATATTACATGTGTATCTATCTATTGTCAGTCGTCTCTCAGTTCTTGAGGTATATTATTTTAATCATTCCATGCCTTAATATGCTTGCAATACAAGAATATCTTCAGATGGGTGAATACCAAAAGGCTTTCAGTTTTTAGTCAGAAATCAAGCATTGGGCTGTGGTAGCCAAAAACCATAGGTTAGCTAAAAAGATCATGATACAATTATTTTATTAAGTCATGGTTAATAACAAATGAATCCAGACTTGTCTAACAGATTTTCCATCAACAAATATTGTTATGTGCAAAAGTATTGCCTATGTTGTTTTACACACCACTGCATTAACTAGAACTGCTGAGAGGACTGTATATATGATTTTAAACCTAAGTTGATTTTTTTTCTCACTCTTGAAAGGAGTACTTCTTTGTGAAAGCAGTTCTTACAGCTTTGTTTTCAACCAGCTAAAAATGTTTTATATATTACTCTAACCTGTTGTCCTCCACATTCTATTGTCCTAATTGTACTGTTTTCTGATTTGTATTTATGTCTTGAGACAGTAACTTTTTGAATAAAAATAAACCTACAGTATGTTGTATGTTTTCTCTTGTACTCAAAGGGGGAGGGTGGCTATAAATGGTTTGCAAATTTATATCTATTATCACATCTTTTAATGTGTTTGGGGAATAATTTATAGAGAATACCATCAGTTTATATTTTTAATAAATCATATGTATTTACAATGAAACCAAATCCCTAATTGGATTATTACTTTAAAATAGGAACCTGTAACCATTATTGCTTTAATTTTCATCTGGTATGAGTTAAACACATTTACAAATGTTTACATTGTTTATACAGGGTACATTTGAGTGCCTACTGTGTGCTAGCATGTGTTAAGAGATCTCTCCTTCATAGATCCATTGGGGAAAACAAAATAATGAAACTTGTAATAAATGCCAGGAAGGAAACAAGCAGGATATGCTGAGGTAGAGAATGAGAGAGAGACAGTAAGAGAGAAACCTGCCTTAAATAAGGGGCTCATGGCATGGAGGTAAAACCATTTGAAAAAGAATTTACTAATTGAATTCTTATTGAAAACTCATCAAAGAAAGTGTTAAGATTTGCATTGTACTCTTTAAGAGATTCATGTCAGTGTAACACTAGCACATTGTTCATTTGGGCTAGTTTGTATATCAGAATTGTCTTCTGTCATTAGTGATTCAGAACTGAACATATAAAATGATAGCTAAAACAGCTGCGTGCTGTTTTAAGTAGTTTACATGTAATAACTCATTAAGCCTCATGACAAGAGTTGATAATGCTGTCATTCCCCCACCCTCTGCCACCAATTTTTTTTTTTTTTTTTAACAAATCAGAAGAAGGTGAGAATGAGGTACAAAGAAGTTTAAATACCTTAGACCAGGGGTACCAGAACGTGGCCTGTTAGGGACTGGGCCGCACAGCAGGAGGTGAGTGGCAGCCTAGTGAGCAAGCATTAACCACCTGAGCTTTCCTACTGTCAGAGCAGCCGTGGCATTAGATTCTCATAGGAGCGCGAACCCTAAAGTGAACTGCACGTGCAAAGGATCTAGGTTGAGCATTCCTTATGAGAATGCTTGATGATCTGAGGTGCAACAGTTTCATCCTGAGCCCCCCTTCCCACCCTGCCCCCAAAGTCTATGGAAAAAATTATATTCCATGAAACTGGCCGCTGGTGCCAGGAAGGTTGGATACTGATACCTTAGACAAGGTTATATGGCTAGTAAATAATGGAGTTGGTATTCCAGCCCAGGCAGTCTGGCTGCATTAAGTCCTAGAAAGCATTGAAACTATTTGATAGATAAGGGAAATATTCATAATTGCATACACATAAAATGGTACATTGTTCATTGTGCCATAGTGCATCTATCTACTTAGAGTTCAGCTGGTTATAGAGTTGGTAGGTGTAAATAAATAATTGTCCTTAATATGCTACCTAACCGGCTTTCATAAAGAAGATGTAAGTTGAATCTGAGTCCTGAGCTTATCAGTGGTTTAGTTAATAAAGCTGAGAGACTGGGGAAGATGAGTAGGAAAATTGAAATGTCTTCAATATTCTGCCACAAAGGGAACTTTAAGGGGTCACGTGGTTGAATACAGATCAGACAGACTATTCTGGTGGCTGTAATGATCCAGCAAAAGAAAATGATTCGATAAAGCACCATGCCTTTGGTTATGAGGAAACTCGGTGTTGAAGTCCACTAAATAAATGTCACTTCAGGTCAACAAATTATTGATTGATGTGTGCCTGGCCTAGTGCTAGCTGGTGAGAAGGCAAAGACCAACAAGACAGGTTTTGTGCTTACAGTTCTGCTGGGGGTTAGGATGCAGGTGCCAAAAGAATAAAATGAAGTAAGTTCAGTGTTTTTACTGTGTGTTAGGGGAGCACAGACGAGGGGCGCAAACAGTGGATGTGCTCAGGGAGCCTTCCTATAAGGCTGATGCTAGAATTCTCCCCTGCAACATTTTTATTTATTTATTTTTTATTATACTTTTAAGTTTTAGGGTACATGTGCACAATGTGCAGGTTTGTTACATATGTATACATGTGCCATGTTGGCATGCTGCACCCATTAACTCGTCATTTAACATTAGGTGTATCTCCTAATGCTATCCCACCCCACAACAGGCCCCGGTGTGTGATGTTCCCTTTCCTGTGTCCACGTGTTCTCATTGTTCCAATTCCCACCTATGAGTGAGAACATGCAGTGTTTGGTTTTTTGTCCTTGCGATAGTTTGCTGAGAATGATGGTTTCCAGTTTTATTCATGTCCCTACAAAGGACATGAACTCATCATTTTTTATGGCTGCATAGTATTCCATGGTGTATATGTGCCACATTTTCTTAGTCCAGTCTATCATTGTTGGACATTTGGGTTGTTTCCAAGTCTTTGCGATTGTGAATAGTGCCGCAATAAACATACGTGTGCATGTGTCTTTATAGCAGCATGATTTATAATCTTTTGGTATATACCCAGTAATGGGACGGCTGGGTCAAATGGTATTTCTAGTTCTAGATCCCTGAGGAATCGCCACACTGACTTCCACAATGGTTGAACTAGTTTACAGTCCCACCAACGGTGTAAAAGTGTTCCTATTTCTCCACATCCTCTCCAGCACCTGTTGTTTCCTGACTTTTTAATGATTGCCATTCTAACTGGTGTGAGATGGTATCTCATTGTGGTTTTGATTTGCATTTCTCTGGTGGCCAGTGATGAGCATTTTTTCATGTGTTTTTTGGCTGCAAAAATGTCTTCTTTTGAGAAGTGTCTGTTCACATCCTTCGCCCACTTTTTGATGGGGTTGTTTGTTTTTTTCTTGTAAATTTGAGTTCTTTGTAGATTCTGGATATTAGCCCTTTGTCAGATGAGTAGATTGCAAAAATTTTCTCCCATTTTGTAGGTTGCCTGTTTACTCTGATGGTAGTTTCTTTTGCTGTGCAGAAGCTCTTGAGTTTAATTAGATCCCATTTGTCAATTTTGGCTTTTGTTGCCATTGCTTTTGGTGTTTTAGACATGAAGTCCTTGCCCATGCCTATGTCCTGAATAGTATTGCCTAGGTTTTCTAATAGGGTTTTTATGGTTTTAGGTCTAAGATTTAAGTCTTTAATCCCTCTCGAATTAATTTTTGTATAAGGTATAAGGAAGGGATCCAGTTTCAGCTTTCTACATATGGCTAGCCAGTTTTCCCAACACCATTTATTAAATAGGGAATCTTTTCCCCATTGCTTATTTTTGTCAGGTTTGTCAAAGATCAGATAGTTGTAGATGTGTGGTATTATTTCTGAGGGCTCTGTTCTGTTCCATTGGTCTATATTTCTGTTTTGGTACCAGTACCATGCTGTTTTGGTTACTGTATCCTTGTATAGTTTGAAGTCAGGTAGCGTGATGCCTCCAGCTTTGTTCTTTTGGCTTAGGATTGACTTGACAATGCTGGCTCTTTTTTGGTCCCATATGAACTTTAAAGTAGTTTTTTCCAATTGTGTGAAGAAAGTCATTGGTAGCTTGATGGGGATGGCATTGAATCTATAAATTACCTTGGGCAGTGTGGCCATTTTCACGATATTGATTCTTCCTACCCATGAGCATGGAATGTTCTTCCATTTGTTTGTATCCTCTTTTATTTCATTGAGCAGTGGTTTGTAGTTCTCCTTGAAGAGGTCCTTCACATCCCTTGTAAGTTGGATTCCTAGGTATTTTATTCTCTTTGAAGCAATTGTGAATGGGAATTCACTCATGATTTGCCTCTCTGTTTGTCTGTTATTGGTGTATAAGAATGCTTGTCATTTTTGTACATTGATTTTGTATCCTGAGACTTTGCTGAAGTTGCTTATCAGCTTAAGGAGATTTTGGGCTGAGACTATGGGGTTATCTAGATATACAATCATGTCATCTGCAAACAGGGACAATTTGACTTCCTCTTTTCCTAATTGAATACCCTTTATTTCCTTCTCCTGCCTAATTGCCCTGGCCAGAACTTCCAACGCTATGTGGAATAGGAGTGGTGAGAGAGGGCATCCCTGTCTTGTGCCAGTTTTCAAAGGGAATGCTTCCAGTTTTTGCCCATTCAGTATGATATTGGCTGTGGGTTTGTCATATATGGCTCTTATTATTTTGAGATACGTCCCATCAATACCTACTTTATTGAGAGTTTTTAGCATGAAGAGTTGTTGAATTTTGCCAAAGGCCTTTACTGCATCTATTGAGATAATCATATGGTTTTTGTCTTTGGTTCTGTTTATATGCTGGATTACATTTATTGATTTGCGTATGTTGAACCAGACTTGCATCCCAGGGGTGAAGCCCACTTGATCATGGTGGATAAGCTTTTTGATGTGCTGCTGGATTCCGTTTGCCAGTATTTTATTGAGGATCTTTGCATTGATGTTCATCAGGGATATGGGTCTAAAATTCTCTTTTTTGGTTGTGTCTCTGCCAGGCTTTGGTATCAGGATGATGCTGGCCTCATAAAATGAGTTAGGGAGGATTCCCTCTTTTTCTATTGATTGGAATAGTTTCAGAAGGAATGGTACCAGCTCCTCCTTGTACCTCTGGTAGAATTCAGCTGTGAATCCATCTGGTCCTGGACTTTTTTTGGTTGGTAAGCTATTAATTATTGCCTCAATTTCAGAGCCTGTTATTGGTCTATTCAGAGATTCAACTTCTTCCTGGTTTAGTCTTGGGAGGGTGTATGTGTCAAGGAATTTATCCATTTCTTCTAGATTTTCTAGTTTATTTGCACAGAGGTGTTTGTAGTATTCTCTGATGATAGTTTCTATTTCTGTGGGATCGGTGGTGATATCCCCTTTATCATTTTTTATTGTGTCTATTTGATTCTTCTCTCTTTTCTTCTTTATTAGTCTTGCTAGCGGTCTATCAATTTTGTTGATCTTTTCAAAAAACCAGCTCCTGGATTCATTGATTTTTTGAAGGGTTTTTTTGTGTCTCTATTTCCTTCAGTTCTGCTCTGATCTTAGTTATTTCTTGCCTTCTGCTAGCTTTTGAATGTGTTTGCTGTTGCTTCTCTAGTTCTTTTAATTGTGATGTTAGGGTGTCAATTTTAGATCTTTCCTGCTTTCTCTTGTGGGCATTTAGTGCTATAAATTTCCCTCTACACACTGCTTTGAAAGTGTCCCAGAGATTCTGGTATGTTGTGTCTTTGTTCTCGTTGGTTTCAAAGAACATCTTTATTTCTGCCTTCATTTTGTTATGTACCCAGTAGTCATTCAGGAGCAGGTGTTCAGTTTCCATGTAGTTGAGCAGTTTTGAGTGAGTTTCTTAATCCTGAGATCTAGTTTGATTGCACTGTGGTCTCAGAGACAGTTTGTTGTGATTTCTGTTTTACATTTGCTGAGGAGTGCTTTACTTTCAACTATGTGGTCAATTTTGGAATAGATGTGGTGTGGTGCCGAAAAGAATGTATATTCTGTTGATTTGGGGTGGAGAGTTCTGTAGATGTCTATTAGGTCCGCTTGGTGCAGAGCTGAGTTCAATTCCTGGATATCCTTGTTAACTTTCTGTCTCGTTGATCTGTCCAATGTTGACAGTGGGGTGTTAAAGTCTCTCATTATAATTGTGTGGGAGTCTAAGTCTCTTTGTAAGTCTCTAAGGACTTGCTTTGTGAATCTGGGTGTTCCTGTATTGGGTGCGTATATATTTAGGATAGTTAGCTCTTCTTGTTGAATTGATCCCTTTACCATTATGTAATGGCCTTCTTTGTCTCTTTTGATCTTTGTTGGTTTAAAGTCTGTTTTATCAGAGACTAGGATTGCAACCCCTGCCTTTTTTTGTTTTCCATTTGCTTGGTAGATCTTCCTCCATCCCTTTATTTTGAGCCTATGTGTGTGTCTGCATGTGAGATGGGTTTCCTGAATACAGCACACTGATGGGTCTTGACTCTTTATCCAATTTGCCAGTCTGTGTCTTTTAATTGGAGCATTTAGCCCATTTACATTTAAGGTTAATATTGTTATGTGTGAATTTGATCCTGTCATTATGATGTTAGCTGGTTATTTTGCTCATTAGTTGATGCAGTTTCTTCCTAGCCTCAATGGTCTTTACAATTTAGCATGATTTTGCAGTGGCTGGTACCGGTTCCTTTCCATGTTTAGTGCTTCCTTCAGGAGCTCTTTTAGGGCAGGCCTGGTGGTGACAAAATCTCTCAGCATTTGCTTGTCTGTAAAGTATTTTATTTCTCCTTCACTTATGAAGCTTAGTTTGGCTGGATATGAAATTCTGGGTTGAAAATTCTTTTCTTTAAGAACGTTGAATATCAGCCCCTACTCTCTTCTGGCTTGTAGAGTTTCTGCCAAGAGATCAGCTGTTAGTCTGATGGGCTTCCCTTTGTGGGTAACCCGACCTTTCTCTCTGGCTGCCCTTAACATTTTTTCCTTCATTTCAACTTTGGTGAATCTGACAATTATGTGTCTTGGAGTTGCTCTTCTCGAGGAGTATCTTTGTGGCATTCTCTGTATTTCCTGAATTTGAATATTGGCCTGCCTTGCTAGATTGGGGAAGTTCTCCTGGATAATATCCTGCAGAGTGTTTTCCAACTTGGTTGCATTCTCCCCATCACTTTCAGGTACACCAATCAGACGTAGATTTGGTCTTTTCACATAGTCCCATATTTCCTGGAGGCTTTGTTCATTTCTTTTTATTCTTTTTTCTCTAAACTTCTCTTCTCGCTTCATTTCATTCATTTGATCTTCCATCACTGATACCCTTTCTTCCAGTTGATCGAATCGGCTACTGAGGCTTGTGCATTCGTCACATAGTTCTCGTGCTGTGGTTTTCAGCTCCAGCAGGTCCTTTAAGGACTTCTCTGCATTGATTATTCTAGTTAGCCATTCGTCTAATCTTTTCTCAAGGTTTTTAACTTCTTTTTGATGGGTTCGAACTTCCTCCTTTACCTTGGAGTAGTTTGATCGTCTGAAGCCTTCTTCTCTCAACTCATCAAAGTCATTCTCCGTCCAGCTTTGTTGCGTTGCTGGCGAGGAGCTGCATTCCTTTGGAGGAGGAGAGGTGCTCTGATTTTTAGAATTTCTAGTTTTTCTGCTCTGTTTTTTCCCCATCTTTGTGGTTTTTATCTACCTTTGGTTTTTGATGATGGTGACGTACAGATGGGGTTTTGTTGTGGATGACATTTCTGTTTGTTAGTTTTCCTTCTAACAGTCAGGACCCTCAGCTGCAGGTCTGTTGGAGTTTGCTGGAGGTCCACTCCAGACCCTGTTTGCCTGGGTATCAGCAGCAGAGGCTGCAGAATGGCGGATATTGGTGAATTTGCCTGATCGTTCCTCTGGAAGTTTTGTCTCAGAGGAATACCCGGCCGTGTGAGGTGTCAGTCTACCCCTACTAGGGGGTGCCTCCCAGTTAGGGTACTTGGGGGGTCAGGGACCCACTTGAGGAGGCAGTCTGTCCGTTCTCCGATCCCAAGCTGCGTGCTGGGAGAACCACTACTCTCTTTGAAGCTGTCAGACAGGGACATTTAAGTCTGCAGAGGTTTCTGCTGCCTTTTGTTTGGCTATGCCCTGCCCCCAGAGGTGGAGTCTACAGAGGCAGGCAGGCCTCCTTGAGCTGTGGTGGGCTCCACCCAGTTCAAGCTTCCCAGCCACTCTGTTTACCTACTCAAGGGGCAATGGCGGGCACCCCTCCCCCAGCCTCGCTGCCGCCTTGCAGTTTGATCTCAGACTGCTGTGCTAGCAATGAGCGAGGCTCTGTGGGCATAGGACCCTCTGAGCCATGCGCGGGATATAATCTCCTGGTGTGCCGTTTGCTAAGACCATTGGAAAAGCACAGTATTAGGGTGGGAGTGACCTGATTTTCCAGGTGCCATCTGTCACCCCTTTCTTTGACTAGGAAAGGTCATTCCCTGACCCCTTGCGCTTCCCAGGTGAGGCGATGCCTCGCCCTGCTTCAGCTCACTCTTGGTGCACTGCACCCACTGTCCTGCACTCACTGTTCGACACTCCCCAGTGAGATGAACCCGGTACCTCAGTTGGAAATACAGAAATCACCCGTCTTCTGTGTCGCTCACGCTGGGAGCTGTAGAGTGGAGCTGTTCCTATTTGGCCATCTTGGTTCCACCCCCTACCCCTGCAACATTTTATGCAAATTTTCACACAACAAGGTTGAAAGAATTTTACTTTGAATACACTGTTGTACTTGCCTTTACCACATATCCATCTGTCTCTCATTTATGTATTTCAAAGTAAATTGCAAACACCGGCACACTACCTCCTAACTACTTCAGTGTGCATATCATTAAAAGTTTACTGTTTTCTATTTTGGTGTATAATTTATATATAGCGAATACACAAACTATATATATTTGCTGTTTTGACAAATGCTTACACTGCTTAACCCAAATCTGTATTTGAACATTACCATCAACCTAGAAAGTTTATTTATTCTCCTTAACCAATCTGTTCATCTATCCTCTAGAAACAATAGCTATTATGTTTCCATCATAGACTAAATTTGGCTCTTCTAGAACTTCATATAAGTGGAATCATAACAGTATTTTTGTGCAAGGTTTCTTTCAGCATGTTTTTGAGATGTATCCATGTTTCATATATCAACAATTCATTCTTTTTAATGTGTTTCATTGTAAAGATATACTACAATTTGTTATGGGTTGTTTCTGCTTTTTTGGCTATTATGAATAAAGCTGCTACCTGAGTTGCATTTTAAAAGCCAAGAGGTGGAATAGGAGAAAGGAGGACTGGGTGACGAGGGCTGAAAATTTCAGGCAAAGGAGACAACATAAATGACCATCTTAGATGTGAGAACTATTTAGTAATTGCTTAAGGGTGGATGGGGCAAGACTGGAAAGGATAGTTGACTATCCAATACCTCATCAGCTTTAAAAATGAAAAAAGACATTCACAAGTGATACCTTTGGTAACTGAAGTGTTTTCGTTTTATGTGTGATGTGCTCAGAATTGGCGAAGATCCAAAATAGTAGCAGGGTGCCTTTAAATGACTTGTGAGAAATTGATTTAATAATATGGGTGTTTTCATCACATCAGGCCTTATTCTACCATTGAGGAAAATGAAAGGCCAGCTACTATAAGTTTGTTTTTCATTTTTTATTTTTACTTGTTTTAATTGACTATATATATATGTGTGTGTGTGTACATATTGACAAGAACTATTCATGTGTATGTGTTTTAAAATATGTATACATTGTGGAATGGCTAAATCAAGCTAACTAACATGCATTACCTCACATTTTTTGTGGAGAGGGGTCTTTTGCTCTTACTGTATTGTGTATTCTCCCTTCAAATTTATTAATATTTGCCATATATATACTTAGGTGCTCCAATGTTGGATACATCTATATTTACAATTGTTATATCCTCATGATGAATCGTCCCCTTTATCATTATATAATGACCTTCTTTGTGTCTTTTTACAGATTTTACTCAAATTCTGTTTTATCTAAAGTATAGCTACCCCTGCTCTCTTCAGGTTTTCACTTGTGTAAAATAGATTTTTCCATCCCTTCACTATCTGTGTGTGTCCTTAAAGGTGAAGTGAGTTTCTTTTAGGCAGTATATAGTTAGGTTTTACTTTTTAAAAATCCATTCAACCAGTTTTTTGATTGGAGAATTTATTCCATTTATACTCATAGTAATTATTGATAGGTAAGGACTTATTACTGCTATTTTGTTCATTGTTTTCTGGTTGTTTCATAGATGCTTTGCTCCTTTCTTCCTCTCTTGCTACCTTCCTTAGTCATTAGGTGATTTTCTTCAGTGATATTTTTATTCCTTACTTTATATCTTTTGTGTATCTTCTATAGCTTTTTGCTTTGTGGTTACTATGAGGTTTACATAAAACATTTTACAATTACAACAGGCTATGTTAAGCTGATAACAAGTTAATTTTGATTGCATTAAAAAACTATACTTTTACTCCCCCCATTTTATGTTTTTGAAGGCAGAATTTACATCTTTTTATATTGTACATTCTTTAACACATTATTGTAGCTATTATTACTATTATTGTTTTTTTTTTTTTTTTGAGGCAGTGTTTCACTCTTGTTGCCCAGGCTGGAGTGCAATGGTGCCATCTCAGCTCACCGCAACCTCTGCCTCCCAGATTCAAGCGATTCTCCTGCCTCAGCCTCCCCAGTAGCTGGGATTACAGGCACGCACCACCATGCCTGGCAAATTTTGTATTTTTAGTAGAGGTGGGGTTTCTCTATGTTGGCCAGGTGGTCTCGAACTCCCAACCTTAGGTAATCTGCCCATTTCGGCCTCCCAAAGTGCTGGGATTACAGGCGTGAGCCACTGTGCCCGGCCCTATTATTTTTAATAATTTTATCTTCTAACCGTCATAGTAAAGATATAATTGATTTACACACTATCATTACAGTATTAGAGTATTCTGAATTTGTATATTTACTTTTACCAGTGAGTTTTATACTTTTATATGTTTTTGTGTTACTAATTAGCATTATCTTTTATCTTGAAGAACTCCCGTTAGCATTCCTTGTTAGACAAGTCTGGTGGTAATGAACTCGCTCAGCTTTTGTTTGTCTGGAAAAGTCTTATCTCTCCTTCATTTCTCAGGGACAGCTTTGCCAGGAACATGTTCGTGGTTAGCAGGTTTTTCCTTTAGCACTTTGAATATAATCATCTCACTTTCTCCTGGCCTGTAAGGTTTCTGCTAAGAAATTCACTGCTGACTTTACTGGACCTCCCTTATATGTGATATGCATTTTTTTCTCTTGCTGCTTTCATTATCTGCGCTTTGTCTTATTTTTGACAGTGTGATTATAATATGTCTTGGTGTAGTCTTATTTGGATTGAATTTGATTTCAGATCTTTGACCTTCCTTTACATGGTATTTATATGTTTTCTCAGGTTTAGAAAGCTTTTTGCAATTATTTTCGTAAGTAAGCTTTCTGTTCTGTTGTCTCTGTCTTCTACTTGAACACCTATAATTTATATAATGCTCTTTTGATCCTGTACCATAAATCCTGTAAGCTTTCTTCACTTCTTTTTATTCTTTTTTCTTTTTTCTCTGACTTTATATTTTCAAATAGACTGTCTTCAAGTTCACATATTTGTCTGCTTCATTAATTCTGCCACTCGCTATTTCATTTTATTCACTATATTTTTCAGTTCCAGAATTTTTTTCTTAAATTTCAATTCCTGTTAAATTTCTTGTTTATTCTTTTCCTAATTTTGTTGAGTTGTTTCTTTGTATTTCTTGAAGTTCAATCAACTTCCTTAAAACAATTATTTTAAAGTTTTTGGCTGGCAGTTCATAAATCTCCATTTCTTTAGGTTCACTTCCTGGTGCTTTCCTTTGTTCCTTTGATGGTGTCATGTTCCCCTGATTGTTCTTTATCCTTACGGCTGTGCGTTGGTTTCTGTGCAATTTGAAGAAGTTGGAACTTATTTCAGCCTTTGTAGACTGGCTTTGTCTTGGAAAGCCCTTCCACATTCAGCCTGTCCAGAGATTCTTAGCAGGTAGTCTGATGTGGTCTATGAGTGGGCTTGCTGCTGGTGTCCTTAGGCAGGCTGGCCAGGTAGCTGGGTAAGGAAGTGAGTGGGCCCAGCACCTGGGTCCACAGGGTGGGGCCTTGAGCCTCAGTTTTCAGGGGCTGGCCAGGCATTAGAATGGGTCTGGAATCTAAGTCCATAGGAGCAGTGCTATAGCCTGAGTCCATGGGGGCTGGCTCAGTGCTAGGCTCTATTGGGATGAACCTGGACCCTGGGTCTGCTGGAGGATGGGGCTGCAGTGGCTGGCCTGGCATTGTGCAAGCCTGGAACTTGTGTCCACAGGTGCTGTCCTGGTGCCTGAAGCCAGGATTGTCAACCTGGCGATTGGACCAGGGATTCCAGCCTGATGAGTAGGGCTAAGGGTGGGGGCAGCCTAGTGCTGGGGTGGGCCTGAAGCCTGTGGCTGTGGAGGTGGTCCAGAATCTGAGGCTGCTCGGATGGACCTGTCTATAGGGGCTGGCTTGATGCTAGGGTTGGCCCAGAGACCAAATCCATGGGGCAGGCCTGGAGCCTGGGGCTACAGGGTCTGGCCTAGCACTGGGGCAAGTCTGGAGGCTCAGTTTGGGGATACTGGCCTAGAGTTTGGGGCCATGGGGGCACAGGATTTTACTGGGATGGGCCCAGTGTTGGTTTTACTGGGATGGACAAAGTCTGGTGCTCACTTCCCTCTTCCCCCAAGCGGAGGGTCTCTGTCCACACTGCTGACTGGGATTGAGGAAGGGGTTATGAGGATAATATAAAACTGTCCTTCCTACCATCTTCAATGTAGTTTTTCTTATTTCTGCATTAAACTCAGGTGCTATAAGCTCTCATCTGGTTTCTTTAGCTCTTGAGAAGGTATTTTTGTGTGAGGATAGTTGTTCAAATTGATGTTCCTGTGAGGAGCCAAGCACTGGAAAGTTCTATTGTGCTTTCTTGCTCACATCTGAACTCGTACCTTGATTCTTTTTTACATTAACTTATTTATCCTCTACTATCTTTTGCTGAGTATATGCCTGAGGATTTTACTCTAGTGAACCTGTGACAAGTTAGCTTTTAAACAATTTTATAGTGTTTATAGCAAAATTGTAACTAACATTGAAAAAATAATAGCTAATATGTGTTGTGTTTACTGTATAACAAGCACTATTCTCCAGCAAATTATAGTTGATATTATCCGCATTTTACAGAGAAGGAAACTGATGCACAGGTTAAATCAACTTGCCGAAGGATGCGTAACATGTAAGTGATGAGGTCTAGATTTTAACTCACGGTTTCTGATTCCGCAGGCTATGAATGTAACTTTCTCTCTTCATCCTCCTGCTACTAAATGTATGCACCTACTTGTGTCTGTCTTTATTCGTATAGTTTGTGTTTCATTCTGTTATAGTGGACAAGCTATCCTTGTTTCTAAGATACTGGATCCTATCCTGTATTTTTCTCCTCTCTCCCCTCCCCTCTCTTATTCTTTTTATTGGAGAATGGTATTTAGAAGCCAGAATTTGGCAACTACATATGCTCATTGGTACTGGTTTTAATTGCTTCTACAGGCTTTCTTAGAGGACAAAGCTGAGAAATATATGTATGTATACATATGCATACTTCTATATGTATTTATCTGTCTGTATGTTCTGTGCTACCTCCTTCACTGCCACTACCTCCACAATGTAGTTATGTTATTCATTTGACATATAGTTAGGTTTGTTTATATTGCATCTTAGGGTCCTCCCCCATTTTTGTTGATTTTATTTATTTATGAATATGTGAGGAATTATTAACAAGATTCTAAAAGCCAAAACTATACAGAAATATATACTCAAAGAAGTCTCACTCCCACCCTTGATTCTTTCTATCCCATTCCTAGCCTCCATTCTTTTTTTTTTTTTTTTTATGAGATGGAGTTTCGCTCTTGTTGCCCAGGCTGGAGTGCAATGGCATGATCTCGGCTCACTGCAACCTCTGCCTCCCGGGTTCAAGCGACTCTCTTGCCTCAGCCTCCCAAGTAGCTGGGATTACAGGCATGTGCCACCACGCCTGGCTAATTTTTTTTTTTTTGTATTTTTAGTAGAGACAAGGTTTCACCATGTTGGTCATGTTGGTCTTGAACTCCTGACCTCAGGTGATCCACCCGCCTTGGCCTCCCAAAGTGCTGGGACTACAGGCATGACCCATGGTGCCCGGCCTGCTAGCCTCCATTCTTTCCATCCTATTTCCACTCACCACCTGTAGGTAACCAATCTCTTTACTTCCTGCTTAACATTTTCTGTGTTTCTTCCTGCACAATGAGCAGATATGTGTACATTTTCTTATTTTCCCTTTATTACTCTTTTGCACTCATTTTATTTTATTGTAGAGATGGGGTCTTGCTATGTTGCCCAGGCTGGTCTGAAACTCTTGGCCTCAAAGGACCTTTCTGCCTCAGCCACCCAAAGTGCTGAGATTACAGGCAGGAGCCACCACGCCTGGCCTGCATTCTACTTTTCTTAAAACTTAACATGTCCTAGAAATCATTTCATATTATTCATAGATTCTTATTCTGTTTTTGCAGTTCATACTACTTCATTGTGTGGGTACACTATAGTTTAACCACTCTTCTATGTATGGGCATTTAGGTTGTTTTCATTGTTTTGTATCTACAAAGGAAATACTGCACTGAATAACTGTGTGTATAGGTATTTTTGTATTGTTGAAGATATAACTTCGGGGCAAATTCCAATGTTCTTCAAATGGCTATGTGTGTGGATTTCTGTTAGATACTGCCAAATTCTCCCCCCTAAAAGGATTGGCTAATTTTTCTATTTTTAGTAGAGACAGGGTTTCACTATGTTGGCCAGTCTGGTCTCAAACTCTTGACCTTGTGATCTGCCCACCTCAGCCTCCCAAAGTGCTAGGATTACAGGCGTGAGCCACCATGCCTGGCTTTTTTTTTTTTTCTATGTTTTGTTTTGATTTTGAGACAGCATCTCACTCTGTCACCCAGCCTGGAGTGCAGTGGCAGAATCACAGCTTACTGCATCCTCAACCTCCGGAGCTTAAGTGATCCTCCTACCTTGGCCTCCCAAGGTCCTGGGATTACAGGCGTGAGCCACCCTTGCCCAGCTTCTCCTCAATTTTTAAGAGTTCTTTAGATATTAGAAATATTTGCCCTTTGTGATACATGTTGCAAATATTTTCCTTGAGTTTGTCATTGTCTTTGACTTTGCTTATGCTATTTTTCTGCCATGCAAAAGATTTTAAAAACCTTTATGTGGTCAAATGTGTTAACTTTTTATTTCATCAGGACTTTGAGTCATAGTTAGAAACCCAGGTTATACAGGAATTCACCCAAATTTTCTTGTAGGACTTATATGGTTATATCATTTAATTTCTTTATTCAGATTTCTAATCCATTTGAAATTGATTCTTGTGTAAGGTGTGAGGTATGAATCTAATTTTATCTTTTTCCAAATGGCTATCCAGCCCTGTTTATTAAAATGGTCATCTTTGCCCCAGTGGTTTGAGCTGTCACCCTTATCAGACAGTAAATTTCCCTATGTACTTAGCATACATCTCTGGACTTTCTTTTCTGTTTCACTTGTCAGCCTGTCTATTCATGCAGGGAGTACCACACTGTTTTGTTTGTAAGGCTTTTTAGTCGGCTTTAACATTCCATTTATTATTTCCTTTTTCAGTGTTTTGCAAGCTATTGTTGCATGCTTATTATATGGAAAGTGTCAACTTGTCTAGCTCCATTAAAAACCTTGTTAGTATTTTATTAGGATTGTGTTAAATTTAAAAATTAACTTGGCCAGAAATTGTGACTCATGCCTACAATCCCAGCACTTTGGGAGGCTGAGGTGGGAAGATCACTTGGGCCCAGAAATTCGAGACTAGACTGGGTAACATAAGGAGACCCCGTCTCTACTAGATAGGTAGACAGACAGACACACAGATATGAACAAAAAATTAACTACAGGAGGACTGATATCTCCTCCTCATCAGTCCTTGCAAAGGTGAGTTGTTCTAGTTAAGAACAGGGATATCTTTCCATTTGTTCAAATCTACTTTGTGTCTTTCAGAAGTGTTTTAAACTTTTCCTCAAATAGGTTTTGCACATTTCTTAAGTTTATTTTATCTTCATTATTGCTATTTGAAGGTGGTTTTCCTCTACCATTATCTTCTCTAACTGGTTTTAGTGTACATGAAGGCTATTGATTTCTGTATCTTAATTTTATATATTGCTAGCTTACTGAGTAAAATAGTGTTGGAAAAACTGGATAACGATATGAAAAAAAAATTCAGCTCAACTCCTATCTCACACTATACATAAAGTCAGTTTGAGGCAGATTATAGATCTGTCACCACAGTTTGTGCCCCGAGTTCTTGGCTTTCGTGTAAATGGAAATTAACGCCAGGATGGGGCTGGGTGTGGTGGCTCGACGGTAGTCCCAGCACTTTGGGAGGCCGAGGTGGGCGGATCGCGTGAGGTCAAGAGTTTGAGACCAGCCTGGCCAACATGGTGAAACCCCATCTCTACTAAAAATACAAAAATTAGCCAGGCGTGGTGGCACGTGCCTGAAGTCCCAGCTACTCGGGTGGCTGAGGAGGGAGGATCCCTTGAGCCCAGGAGGCGGAAGTTGCAGTGAGCTGAGATCGCACCACTCCTCTCCAGCCTGGGGGACAGAGGAAGACTCTGTCTCAAAAACAAAAACAAAACCCAGAAATTAACACCAGGCCAAACAAATTTTTCACAGATAAGGTATAATAGGCTTGTGGCTCAAGCAAAGCAAGTGAGCAGCGTACAGGAAAGGGGTCCCAGTGCTAGCTCCCTGAAGGGCTTTAGCTCTTGCCATTTTAAGGAAGCTGAGGTGAAAAAGGGTGATATATAGGCATGTACTACCTGCACAGTTTGATAATATGCTTCTTCATGTATTGTGTGTCTCATTAGCTGTTAAATCTCCACCCCGGGTGTGATTTTTAGCATTATAATGAGATTATTAGGAGGAAGACCTTGATGAAAGGTCAGCGCTGGAGTCTATCTTGTCTAGCTGGGTGCATCTGGTCAGGTTCTTATCAGGAATGCTAGAGTCTCACTTTAATAGCCTTGGGAGAAGTAACTCAAGGAAATAAACGGTTACGTTCTTTTTTTTTTTATGGTTGGGAATTCAGAGGAGGCAGCAGCTATCTGCTACGTGACTTGGGTCAACCCTTTAAGGGAGGCAAGAAGGTAGAGGAAGGCATATGCCTGGGCATGTGAGGACCCTGGGGTTTTGGTTACCATGTCTCTTCCCTGCCAGACTGAGTCTCTTCGCTATGTTGTCCCAAATCTAAATGTAAAAGACAAAATTATAATACTTTTAGAAGAAAACATAGGAGAATATGTTTGTGATTTGACAGTAGGCAAAAAATTTCTTAGGATGTAAATAACTATCAAAGAAAAACCTGATAAAATAGACTTCATCAATGGCCGGGCATGGTGGCTCAGGCCTGTAATCCCAGCACTTTGGGAGGCCGAGGCAGGTGGATCACTTGAGGTCAGGAGTTCAAGAACAGCCTGGCCAACATGGTGAAACCCCATCTCTACCAAAAATACAAAAATATTAGCTGGCCTGGTGGTGCAGGCCTGTAGTCCCGGCTACTCAGGAGGCTGAGGCAGGAGGATCGCTTGAGCCTGGGAAACGGAAGTTGCAATGAGCTGAGATTCTGCCACTGCACTCCAGCCTGGGCGACGGAGCAAGATTCTCTCTCAAAAAACAAGAAAACGAAAACAAAACATCAAAATTTAAAACTTCTGCCAAAGAAATGACACCATTAAGAAAATATATAGGCAAGCCATAGACTGGAAGAAAATATTCACAAAACATTTATCTGAAAAAGGACTGGTATCCAGGATATATAAAGAACTCCTGACAACTCAGTGAAATAAATACCCAATAAAATGGGCAAAAGATTTGAACATAACACTTTACAATAGAAGATAGATGAGTAGGCAGGGTGCGGTGGCTCACGCCTGTAATCCCAGCACTTTGGGAGGTCGAGGTGGGTGGATCACCTGAGGTCAGG
Source organism: Homo sapiens (assembly GCF_000001405.40). NCBI lineage: Eukaryota > Metazoa > Chordata > Mammalia > Primates > Hominidae > Homo > Homo sapiens. Next base: position 124,119,984 of record NC_000023.11, read on the forward strand.
AGTTCGAGACCAGCCTGACCAACATGGTGAAACCACATCTCGACTAAAAATGCAAAAATTAGCTGGGCATGGTGGCACATGCCTGTAATCCCAGCTACTCAGGAGGCTGAGGCAGGAGAATCACTTGAACCTGGGAGGTGGAGGCTGCAATGAGTCAAGATCCCGCCACTATACTCCAGCCTGGGCGACAGAGTGAGACGGTGTCTCAAGTTAAAAAAAAAAAAAAAAAACATAGATGAGTAGACAATAAACACTTGAAAAACATGTTCAACAGCATTAGTTATAAAGGAAATGAAAATTCAAAATCACAGACATACTACTACACATCTACCAGAATGACTAAAATTTAAAAAGACAGACAATACAAGATATTGGTGAGGATGTGGAACAAGTGAAATTCACATTTTGTTTTGGAAAAGGGCTGGCCATTTCTTAATAAGCTAAACACTCACATACCCCGTGATCCAGCAATTCCTTTCTTAGGTGTTTACCCAAGATAAATTAAAGTCCACAAAAAGACTTGTGCAAGAATGTTCATAGCAGCTTTATTGATAGTAGTTCCAAATGGGAAATAGCCCAAGTTTTATCAACAGAAAAATGGATAAATGAACCTAAGTATATTTATACAGTGGAATACAACTCAGCAATGAAAAGGAATGAACTACCAATCCACACAACGAGGAGGACAAATATCAACATTATACTAAAAGAATCCAGATATAAAAGTATACATACTGTATAATTTCACTTATATGAAGTTCTAACACAGATGAAACTGTTCTGTGGTGGAAAAAATCCTAACGGTCATTGTATTAGGAGTGTAGAGGCCAGGATTGACATGAGAACATGAGGGAACTTGCTGTGGTGATGGTACTATCCTATAACATAAGTTTTGGCCTATGTGACTCAAACCCTTACACAAAAGATTTGTGCATTTCACATTATATTTTACCTAATAACAAAAACCATAAGTAAAAGTTTAACTTTAGTTGACATGTATACTGAAATATTTTGGTGTGAAATACACTGATGTCTTCAACTTATCTCAAAATGCATCAAAAATAAGATTAGTTTATGGATGAGATGAATAGATATAGGTGTAGATAAAATGTTAGTTGTAAACTCCAGAACTCCAGGTGGTGGGTATATGAATGTTAACCGTAAAATGCTTTCAACTTCTGTGTTTAAAAATTTCCATATCAAAATATTGAAAGCAAAAAAGTGGATGGGAGGAGGAGGGGAGAAAGGAACGAAAAGAAGAAAGGAAAGAAAGAATTACTTACAAGCTAAGAGGATTTGATCTGTGGAAACAGACCTTTCAGGCTAACAATCTGTTCCCGCTACCAAATAAATAGACTCTGAGGTGATCATACACAGACAGTATATGGTGGTTTAGGAAGACTAGTTAATTTACTATTGTTTAAAAGATATTTCTAGGTCCTCGAGCCAGGGGGGAAAATATGTATTCTTCACAGCTGTGCTAAAAAAAAGAAAGAAAAAATATGTATAGTTGTAATTAGAGAGCTTAAACAACAACCGCAACAAGAACAAAAGCCTTAAAAAAAAGGAAGCAAATCCTGCCATTGTGACAAGGATGAACCTAGAGGATATTATGCTAAGTGAAATAAGCCAGGCACAGAAAGACAAATACTGCATGACCTCACTCATGTATGGAATCTAAAACAGTCAAACTCATAGAAACAGAAAGTAGAAAGATGGTTGCTATGGTCTGAGAGGGAGCAGAGAAATGGGATTTTGATCAAAGGGTACAAACTTTTAGTAATAAGATGAATAAGTTCCGGAGATCAAATGTGCAGCATGGTGAGTATAGTTAATAACGTATACTTGAAATTTACTATAAGTCTTAAGTGTTCTCACCGCAAAACATGTAACTATGTGAGGTGATGATATAGGAGTTAAGAAGGAATTACTTAGGCAGATAGCAAGGGCATGGGAGCCCTCGGTAAGGCTTTTCTTTTTCATGAAAAGCAGCCCCAAATCATTTTCTAACAAAGAGCAGCCTGTAAGGTCAAGCCACAGACATAGGCAAACCAGCTAAGAGCTTGCAAGGGTGAATGCCGGCAGGAACTAGTTACTAGACATGTTCAAGAGGGCGGGTCCATCTTCCCTTCTCTTTGTCAGCCACGTGTACAGTAAAGAGCAGACAAGATGGATCAACTGGAAAGCCCATTTGCCATAACTTTAGAGTGAGCTAAATCGCCACTAATGTTTATCCCCATTTTGTTAAAAAATAATACAACAATGTAAAAAGAAGCAAGATGAACACCAAGAATGAAAAATAATTTGTTACAGCATTCATGTTGTCTCTGAGCATATAAAACAAAACCAGTTTTTCAGATTAAGCCTACCACTTATGGGTTGTCATAAAATAGTATCCTGGCAATGGAAGAAAGAACCTGACAGTAAGTAAAACTTCATGTTTCTAGTATTTCTTATGATATCCCTTAGTATAGGCCATTAGTGTAATGCCAAAGTGGAATTCATTAAAGGATAGCCAAAAAGTGGAAATAACCAAAATATCCATCAATGAATGAATGAATGAATAAAATGTATTATATCTATGCAATGGAACATTAGTTAACCACACACAAAAAAATGAAGTACTCATTCACGCTACAACATGGGTGAAACTTGAAAACTATTATGCTTAGTGAAAGAATGCAGTCACTACAGAGACCCAAAAGAGATTATTGTTCTAGGGGATGAGGGTGGTGTTGAAGAAAAAGGGGCCACAATTGCTAATGGGTATGTTTTTGGAGGGGGGTGACGAAAATGTTTCAAAGAATAACTGTGGTGATGATTGCACGACCCTGAAGATGTATTAAAAACCACTGTACATTTAAAATAGTTGAAATCTAAGGTATGTTGGTTATATCCCAATTAAAAAAAGCAATTCTCGGCCAGGTGTGGTGGCTCACGCCTGTAATCCCAGCACTTTGGGAGGCTGAGGCGGGTGGATCACCTGAGGTCAGGAATTCAAGACTAGTCTGGCCAACATGGTGAAACCCTGTCTCTACTAAAAATACAAAAATTAGCCAGCCATGGTGGCTTGCACCTGTAGTTCCAGCTACTCAGGAGGCTGAGGTAGGAGAATCACTTGAATCCGGGAGGTGGAGGTGGCAGTGAGCTGAGATCGCACCACTGCACTCCAGCCTGGGTGACAGAGTGAGACTCTGTTAAAAAAAAAAATGCAATTCTCCATAGACTAGGAGAAAATATCTGCAAAAGGCATTTATGATAAAGGACTGTTATAAAAAATATGTGATATGATTTGGATATTTGTCCCTGCCCAAATCTCATGTTGAATTGTAATCCTCAATGTTGGAGGTGGGGCCTGCTTGGGTCATGTGGGCGGATCCCTCATGGCTTGGTGTTATCTTCATGACAGTGAGTGAATTCTCACGAGATCTGGTGGTTTAAAAGAAGTGCGGTACCTCTCCCACACCCGACTCTCTCTCGCTCCCATTCTCACCATGTGATTTGCCTGCTCCCTTTTTGCCTTCCATAATGACTGGAAGCTTTCGGAGGCCTCCCCAAAAGCATATTCTCCTATGCTTCCTGTATAGCCTGCAGAACTTATGGGCCAATTAAATCTCTTTTCTTACAGATTATTCAGTTTCAGTTATTTCTTTATAGCAATGCAAGAGTGGCCTAATACAGTAAACAAATAACTCTTTTTTTTTTTTTTTTTTCTTGTGACAGAGTCTCACTCTGTTACCCGGGCTGGAGTACAGTGGTGCATTCTCGGCTCACTGCAACCTCCGCTTCCTGGTTTCAAGCAATTTTCCTGCTGGGATTACAAGTGTGCACCACCACGCTCTGCTAATTTTTATATTTTTGGTAGAGAAGGGGTTTCACCATGTTGGCCATGCTGGTCTCAAACTCTTAACCTCAGGTGATCCGCCCACCTTGGGGTCTCCAAGTGCTGAGATTATAGGGATGAACCACCACGCCCGGCCACAAAGAACTCTTAAAACTCAACAATAAGTAAATAGCCCACTTTAAAAACTGGCCAAAGTCTTTAACATACATATTGCTAAAAAAGATATGCAGATGGTAAATAAGCACATGAAAAGATGGTTCATATTATATGTCATCAGGGAAATATAAATCTAAGTTAAAATGACCATTACCCGTTAGAATGGCCAAAATCCAGAACACTGACAACACCAAATGTTGATGAGGATGTGGAGCAATAGGAGCTCTCATTCATTGCTGGTGGGAATGCAAAATGGTACAGCAACTTTGAAAGACAGCGGCTGTTTCTTACAAAACTAAACATACTCTTACCATATGATGCATATGGTACCAATATCAATCATGGTCCTTGGTATTTACTCAAAGGAATTGAGAACTTGCATCCACACATAAACCTGCACATGTATGTTTATTTATAGCACATTTGTTCCCAATTACAAAACTTGAAAGCAATCAAGATGTTCTTCAGAAGGTGAATGGACGAAATGTGGTACATCCAGACAATGGAATGTAAAATTCAATGCTAAAAAGAAATGAGCTATCAGGCCATGAAAATACGTGGAGGAACCTTAAACGCATATTTCTAAGTGAAAGAAGCCAGTCTGAAAAGGCTAAATACTGTATCATTCCAACTATATGACATTCTGGAGAAAGCAAACCTATGGAGACAGTTAAAAAGATTAGTGGTTGCCTAGGGTTGGTGGAGAGGGAAGGATGAATAGGAGAAACACAGAGGATTGTTAGGGCAGTGAAACTATTCTGTATGATACTCTAATGGTGGATACATGTGGATACAGTTGTCCAAACCCATAGAAAGTACAACACTAAGTGTTACCCTAATGTAAACTGTGGACTTTGGGCAATAGTGATGTGTTAGTGTACTAGTGTATGTTCATCAATTGTAACAAACATACCACTCTTGTTGGGGATGTTGATAATGGGAAGGGCTGTGCTTGTGTAGGGGCAGGGAGTGTATTGGAAATCTCTATACCCTCTTTTTTTTTTTTTTTTTTTCTGAGATGGAGTTTCACTATTGTTACCCAGGCTGGAGTGCAATGGCATGATCTCGGCTCACTGCAACCTCTGCCTCCAGAGTTCAAACGATTCTCTGGCCTCAGCCTCCCGAGTAGCTGAGATTACAGGCATGCACCACCATGCCCGGCTAATTTTTGTATTTTTAGCAGAGATGGGGTTTCACCATGTTGGCCAGGCTGGTCTCGAACTCCTGACCTCAGGTGATCCAACTGCCTCGGCCTCCCAAAGTGCTGGGATTACAGGCATGAGCCACCCCCCCCCAGCCTCTTTACCCTCCTGTAGATTTTGCCATGATTCTAAAATTTCTTTAAAAAATATAAAGTCTTTACACCTAAAGTAATTTTGTGTGTGTGTGTGTGTGTATGTGTAGGGGTAGGCAAGTCAATTCAGTCCACAAATACAGTTTTCTTGATGATCTCACTTTTATCCAGGGATACATGTTTGACTAGAGAAATATAGGCTTCTTAGACTTCAGGCGATCCTCTATAAGTATTATATCTCTCAGCTGAGCTTTCCGTTAAGTATTGAGCAACTGTGGGTTTGAGGGTATGTTCTCTGACAAATCCTTAGAGCACAACTATTCTGTGTTTGCCAAAGCACAGAGCCATGTGTCTTAAAAGTCAACCCAAATGAAAGATGAGCCAAACAGGAATCAGTCCTTGAATTGAAAGCCACTGCCCTTCTGTGTGGAGGTAGGCCAAGGGAATATTCACTGTCAGGGCCAATATAACTCTTGGGAAGCAAGTTGTGGTCTGCTTTAGCACAGAGATGAACCAGACCCCTAAACTCTAAACTAGAGATCATCACCATAGTGATTTTAGGCAGCAAAAATTTAAAACAAGAACGAAATCTCGGTCCTGAAAAAGCTCAGGAAAGATCTAGCTTTGAACAGTGAAACTTCCTAATGAGCCAGCCACCAAAGAGAAACTAGTTTAAAAGATATGTCTAAGTAACTGAATGAATCAATGTACTGTACAGGATTGTTATTGCCGAACTTGATAAATGTTGAGGAATGTCTACTCAGAATGGTGATTTTGATTTTTTTTTTTCCAAGATGGGGTCTTGCTCTGTTGCCAAGGCTGCAGTTCAGTGTTATAGCTCACTGCAGCCTCAACCTCCGGGGCTCATCCTCCCACCTCAGCCTCCCGAGTAGCTGGGACTACAGGCATGCACCACCAAGCCTGACTAATTTTTGTGTTTTTAGTAGGGATGGGGTTTTGCCATGTTACCCAGACTGGTCTGAAACTCCTGACCTCAAGTGATCCATCCGCCTCGGCCTCCCAAAGTGTTGGGATTACAGGCATGAGCCTCCGCACCCAGCCTGAAGCTTCTCTTTTGTAGCTGTCATGCCTAGCTTGTGACAAACCTTCTGCTAATGGGGATAGATAAAGCATCTATCTTCCTACTTCAAAGTGATATTAAGTTATGAAAGTACTGCTCAATTTCAGCAAGACTTTCACAGCTTAATATCACTTTGAAGTAGTAGATAGATGCTTTATTTCAGAATTTCCTCAGAAATTGAGGAAAAGCCAGTACACACAACTTGTTGGCTGAATCGGAAAATGCCCATCAGGTTAAATGGAGCATAGTCCTATTGATGCTGCCATTCTTGTTTAATTGGCAACTAGGAGTGACTGAAAATACATTTAGGCAAAAATGCTAAATGGTCAAGTGTTAAAATCAATATTTACCTGAAGCCAAGGCCTAAACTAAATAATGCTGTCAGAAAATTTCTGGAATGCAACAGTAAATCCAAAATTGTATTGAAACATTATTAAATGTCTTTAGTTTAAAAATGAGGTTTTCAGCTACACAAGGTGGCTCACGCCTATAATCCGAACACTTTGGAAGGCTGAGGCAGGAGGATCGCTTGAGGCCAGGAGTTCAAAACTGGCTGCCTGGGCAACAAAGCAAGACACTGTCTCTACAAAAATATTTTCAAAATTATCCAGGTGTGGTAGCACAGCCTGTAGTCCCAGTGATATGGGAGCCGGGCAGGGAAGTGCTGGGTAGAGAAGGGTGGGGTCCCTGGCCAAGGCCTCCACCCTTGGGCCTGTGCCCATGGACCTGAATGAGGACAGGTATTTCTGTTTTCAAGCCCAAAAATTGCCTTTTGGCCCGCCACTGCCCCCCGCCCCGACGCCCGCTGGCATCCTGTGCCCATAAAAACCCGAGACCTAGCGGGCACAGACACAAGCAGCCAGACATTGTGAGGAGCAGAGGAACACACCAGCAGACACCTGCAGACCAGCAACAGTGGAATGGCGCAGATGCCGAGGGGATTTCCGCCCAGGGCAGTTGGAGAAGAGTCCCGCCGCTGGGTGGCCCGACTCCAGGGGAAGACCACCTTCCCACTCCATTCCTTGATTCCGGTTCAGCATCCATCTAGCCACCTCCACCACTCAATAAAACCTTGCACTCTACCTTCCAGCCCACGTGTGATCTGATTCTTCCGGTACACTGGGCAAGAACTCAGGAGAGATAGTGTCTTGCTTTGTTGCCCAGGCAGCCAGTTTTGAACTCCTGTCACACTCGCCCCATGTCCTTGCGATAAGGCAGAGGGTCTGCTGAGCTGACTAACCCAAGCCATGGAACACACGCCCACTTGGGCTTTGGGAGTCCTGCTGTGGGGACAGAGCCCAAAAGCACTCTTCACGGCCTCTGCACCCGCTTGTCTGCATGCTCCCCCTAGGGGTTTGAGCAGCAGGGCACTGAATAAGGGAACCACACCTCTGTTGCATGCCCTGCAAGGGGAATAAGAGAACTCTCTCATTTCACCAGCTAGTCCGGAGGCTGAGGCAGGAGGATCACTTGAGCCCGGGAGTTCTAGGCTGCAGGGAGCTGTGACTGTGTCACTGCACTCCAACCTGGGCAACAGAGTGAGGCCTTGTCTCAAAAAAAAAAAAAAAAAAAAAAGAAGTTTTCACATTGAACATTTATTTATTTATTTATTTTTTATTGATCATTCTTGGGTGTTTCTCGCAGAGGGGGATTTGGCAGGGTCATAGGACAATAGTGGAGGGAAGGTCAGCAGATAAACAAGTGAACAAAGGTCTCTGGTTTTCCTAGGCAGAGGACCCTGCGGCCTTCCGCAGTGTTTGTGTCCCTGGGTACTTGAGATTAGGGAGTGGTGATGACTCTTAACGAGCCTGCCGCCTTCAAGCATCTGTTTAACAAAGCCCATCTTGCACCGCCCTTAATCCATTTAACCCTGAGTGGACACGGCACATGTTTCAGAGAGCACAGGGTTGGGGGTAAGGTTATAGATTAACAGGATAAGAATTTTTCTTAATACACAACAAAATGAAAAGTCTCCCATGTCTACCTCTTTCCACACAGACGCAGCAACCATCCGATTTCTCAATCTTTTCCCCACCTTTCCCCCCTTTCTATTCCACAAAACCGCCATTGTCATCATGGCCCGTTCTCAATGAGCTGTTGGGTACACCTCCCAGACGGGGTGGTGGCCGGGCAGAGGGGCTCCTCACTTCCCAGTAGGGGCGGCCGGGCAGAGGCGCCCGTCACCTCCCGTGCGGGGCGGCTGGCCGGGCGGGGGGCTGACCCCCCCACCTCCCTCCCGGACGGGGCGGCTGGCCGGGCGGGGGGGCTCCTCACTTCCCAGTAGCGGCAGCCGGGCAGAGGCGCCCCTCACCTCCCGGACGGGGCGGCTGGCCGGGCGGGGGGCTGACCCCCCCCACCTCCCTCCCGGACGGGGCGGCTGGCCGGGCGGGGGGCTGACCCCCCCACCTCCCTCCCGGACGGGGTGGCTGCCGGGCGGAGACGCTCCTCACTTCCCAGACGGGGTGGCTGCCGGGCGGAGGGGCTCCTCACTTCTCAGACGGGGCGGCCGGGCAGAGACGCTCCTCACCTCCCAGACGGGGTCGCGGCCGGGTAGAGGCGCTCCTCACATCCCAGACGGGGCGGCGGGGCAGAGCCGCTCCCCACATCTCAGACGATGGGCGGCCGGGCAGAGACGCTCCTCACTTCCTAGATGGGATGGCGGCCGGGAAGAGGCGCTCCTCACTTCCTAGATGGGATGGCAGCCGGGCAGAGACGCTCCTCACTTTCGAGACTGGGCAGCCAGGCAGAGGGGCTCCTCATGTCCCAGACGATGGGTGGCCAGGCAGAGACGCTCCTCACTTCCCAGACGGGGTGGCGGCCGGGCAGAGGCTGCAATCTCGGCACTTTGGGAGGCCAAGGCAGGCGGCTGGGAGCTGAACATTTTTATTAATAGGTATATTTTTTGAGACAGAGTCTTGTTCTGTCACCCAGGCTGGAGTGCAGTGGCAAGATCTTGGCTCACTGCAGCCTGTGCCTCTCAGGTTTAAGTGATTCTCATCATGCCTGAGCCTGTCGAATAGCCGGGATTACAGGCGTCTGCCACTACCCATGCTAACTTTTGTATTTTTTGTGGAGACGGGGTTTCACCATGTTGCCCAGGCTGGTCTGGAGCTCCTGACCTCAAGTGATCCACCCACCTTGGTCTCCCAAAGTGCTGGGATTACAGGCATGAGCCATCGCGCCCGGCCAATATAACATACTTTTAAATGACATTTTTTTTTTTGGTGTATAGGTCTCTAAGGAGTTCATAAACAATTTTATGGTGTCATTTTTCTGAATTTCCCCTCTTTCCCTCTCTGCCATCTTTCTGATACTTTCAGGTTTCTAAGGCTTCCATATTCAGTCCTCTGACCAGGAAACTGGCATTTTTAGTTAGTTCATTCTGCCATATATTAATACTTCTTGTGACTGTGCCCATGTCTGGAAGGAAAGAGACAGAGGGAAATGAACCAATGGGTGTTTGCTCCCCTGTCTTGTTACCACACCTCCTCAGAGTTTTAGGCCCCTGAGAGGCCCTTTGACTGCTGCAGCCACTGCTGCTGTCCATGCTGTGATAGGATTGCAAGTTTACTTTGAATTCTTGTCTTCTTTTCCAATATGTCCGCTACCACATACTTTATGGAGTTCTCAAATAGATGCTCCATGCATTCTATCCAGGTTTTATAGCTGCATTCAGTGGGAGAGGCAGAGTGGAATGTGCTTCTACAACTTAACTAGAAAACCAGCTCTTGATGTTTTATACAATCTTTTGAGAGAAATTTGTCTTTGAACAGTGGACCTAGATGTGTTAATAGAGCAATGTAATAGACTCTTAAGATACTGGCTGGTCACGGTGGCTCACGTCTGTAATCCCAGCACTTTGGGAGGTTGAGGTGGGCAGATCACTGGAGGTCGGGAGTTCATGACCAGCCTGGCCAACATCGTGAAACCCCGCCTCTACTGAAAATACAAAAATCAGCTGGGTGTGGTGGTGCACGCCTGTAATCCCAGCTACTCAGGAGGCTGAGGCAGGAGAATCTCTTGAACCCGGGAGGCAGAGGTTGCAGTGAGCCAAGATGACACCACTGCACTCCAGCCTGAGTGACAGAGTGAGACTCCATCTCAAAAAAAAAAAAAAAAAAATCTACGAATTGCCACCTGTATCTTAGCATTCATTGCATGTATGCATCTAGTCAAATTCCGGAAGCCGATTTGCCTAGCTCATCTACAGTTGACCATAGACGCATGAAGGAGCCCAGCTAAGACTGGAAGAACTGCCCAGCTGAGCCCGAATTAAACTCACAACCTGCAGAATTGTTAGCCAAATAAATGGTGCTTTATTAAAACCACTAAGTTTTTGGGTGGTTTTTAAAATAACATAGCAATAGCTAACTGCTACTGTAAGCAAAGTACAACAAAGCATTAATCCATTGTGCTGTGATTTTAAAAAAGATTTCTGGTTGATTTTGCATTTCCAAGGGTACAATGAACAAAGTTTTAAAAGTAGCATAGCTAATAGTATTGCTAATCATTTTTGTGCACAGTAGAATATAATTCAGACAAAACATTTTTCAGTAATTTAATTTTTAGAAGGAATTTTGTACCTGAGATTCATAGCTTGGGCACATTTCAAAAATCCTTCAATTTCAACTACTGAAAATTGTTGGCAGTCTATAAGCATCATTTCAACAAGTTTTGTTTAGATTCTTAAACTCCATAGACTCAACACAATAAGGAATTGCCTTAAAGGATTCCTGTAAAGTCTGTTTTTTTGAAGCTTGCTTAATGAGAATCAAATGAGCTTTGGTTACCTTACTTGTCTCTAACACTTTCTTGTCTTTATAGTCATTACGTTCTTTGTTACTATATTTGGATGAAACATGATTTATCATGGCTGTTGCAAGTGATTTTGGATTTTTTTCCTCATGAACTTCTGAGGCAGAAAAGTTGACATTTAGCTTTTATTTTGTCTTCATAACTATGAAGGATTTTCAAATAAGACTTTTTCTTAAAACACTCATGGCCTTATAATTAAACAATTAAAAATTAAATAAAGTTATTTATTTATTTATTTTTTGAGACAGAGTCTCACTCAGAGTGCAATGGCGTGATCTCAGCTCACTGCAACTTCCGCCTCCCGGGTTCAAGCAATTCTCCTGCCTCAGCCTCCCGAATAGCTGGGATTACAGGCATGCGCCACCACGCCAGGCTAATTTTTGTATTTTTAGTAGGGACAGGGTTTTGTCACGTTGGCCAGGCTGGTCTTGAATTCCTGACCTCAGGTGATCCACCAGCCTCGGCCTCCCAAAGTGCTGGGATTACTGACGTGAGCCACTGCCGCCAGCCAATAAAATTCTTAAAGGCTATTTTGTTTATTGTTCCAAATGCCGATGCAAAAAAAAAATTCTACAAAGATTAGAATTATATCTAATTTTTATTTTTGTTTTATAATTTAAAAAAGTATTTGCTCCAAAAGAATATGATTATCTTAAATGTATTTGGCTACTGCATATTAACCTAATATTTTATTTTATTTTATTCTTGGATTTTGAGACAGGGTCTCACTCTATGGCTCAGGATGGAGTGCAGTGGTGCAATCATAGCTCACTGTAACCTCAAACTCCTGGGCTCAAGTGATCTTCCCACCTTAGCCTCCGGAATAGCTGGAACTACAGATGTGTGCCACCACACCTGGCTAAGTTTAAAAAAAAACTTTGGTAGTCTAAAACTCCTGGCCTCAAGCAATCTTCCCATTTTGACCCCTCAAAGTGCTGGGGTTACAGGCATGAGCCACAATGTCTGGCCCTTAATATTTGTATTGACTGTTCACCTATTTCCCTATTTATTAATAACTTTTTGTAAGTTCCTATGTTTGTACATAAAATTACTTTCATAATCCCCATTAAGTATTGTAGCATTTAACTCCTGCCATAATAAATATATATTTATACTTCAAATGACTGAAACATTTCGACATACAAGGCATATAGGGAGGTTTTTACCCCAGTTGACCTCTAGAATGCTTACCTATATTTAAAATGCTTAGATATTAAAAATAAACCTAAATTATATTCTTTGTTCATATTACCGACAGTTTGGTATTGATTATATATGATGATAACATATAAGATCACATCTTGCACCAGTTCTGGGATGGCAGAAGTAATGTTGAGGTAGACATTTGGCCTTCCAAAGGATAAGGCCAAAGGTGAGAGCAGATTTTGGGCAAATATTAAGGCCAAAGCTAACTTTCTTTACTTTTCTCTTTCTTTCTTTCCTTTCTTTCCTTTCTTTCCTTTCTCTCTTTCTCTCTTTCTTTCCTTCTTTCCTTCTGACAGACTCTCGCTCTGTCACCCGGGCTGGAGTGCAGTGGCACGATCTCAGCTCACTGCAACCTCCACCTCCCGGGTTCAAGTGTTTCTCCTGCCTCAGCCTCCTAAGTAGCTGGGATTACAGGCACCCGCCACCATGCCCAGCTAATTTTTATATTTTTAGTAGAGATGGGGTTTCACCACGTTGGCCAGGCTGGTCTCGATTTCCTGGCCTCAAGTGATCCAGCTGCCTTGGCCTACCCAAAGTGTTGGAATTATGGGCGTGGGCCACCGCGCCTGGCTCCAAAGCTAACTTTCAATGCATCCCTACAGCTGACTCTTACTTTCTCCCCTGCTCCAGAACTGTCCTAGATGATGTGACTTAGAAAGTGTCTGGGATGATTTTAATCCATAAGAGCACACAGAGGAACATTATAACATCCTGCTTCATTTGGCTTCACTTCCACATAGCATCCCGTGCCTTCACTAATACCACCCCCACCCCTGCCCCAGAAGACATAAGTCTCTTCCTTTTGTGAGCTGGGTCCTTTTAAAATTACTAGGGTGGGCAAGTTAAGTGGAGAGTGCACCTGCAGTGAAAAAAGGGAGATAACTGAAAAAAGAAAGACTCTTTCATCTTTTTTGTGATGACTGGATTTTCATGCTGTTATGTGAGATGTGCCTCCCTCAAACCTTGTCATGACATCTTGGCACATTACCCATCTGATGTGAAAAAAAAAAATGGAGGGAAAGAAGTTGACCAGGAGACCGAATATAAGAAGAGCCAGAGAGGACCATGGTTTTCTTTAGAGAAGAAGAGGCTGCAGAGGTGAAGCATCACTGGAATCATTAAATGATTGTTGGAGGTTATGCATTGTTTCTAATTTCCCCTAAGTATAGATGTAAAAATTGCAGGAAACCACTCTTGGATGGAAGAAGGTACATTAAATGTTGGAGAAAGTTGCTGAGGCAGGATCTCAAGAGTCGGGTGGAAGAAGAACCAGTGGAGCAATGATGTCCTCAGAAACCAGCAAACGTACTAGGCAGACTTTCCAGTTTTAATGCTCTTTATGGTGTTGTAAAAAGTAAGAACAGCCTTTCTCTAACAAGGGATATCCTGAACAAGAGATGGGCTGCCCTCAAATTTCTGGTTGTCTATTGCTGATTAAAAGGAAGGCCAGCTAAACACAATGCAGTATCCTAGATTGGATCCTGCAATAGAAAAAGGACATTAGTGGAAAAACTAGTGAAATCTAAGCCTGGAGTTTTGAAAATGTACCAGGATAGGCCGGGCGCGGTGGCTCACACTTGTAATCCCAGCACTTTGGGAGGCCAAGGCTGGTGGATCACCTGAGGTCAGGAGTTCAAGACCAGCCTGACCAACATGGTGAAACCCCATCTCTACTAAAAGTACAAAAATTAGCTGGGCCTGGTGGCACACGCCTGTAATCCCAGCTACTTGGGAGGCTGAGGCAGGAGAATCGCTTGAACCCAGGAGGCAGAGATTGCAGTGAGCTGAGATCGCACCACTGCACTCCAGCCTGGGCGACAGAGTGAGACTCTTTCTCAAAAAAAAAAAAAAAAAAAAAAAAAGAAGAAAGAAAAAGAAAGAGAGAGAGAGAAAGAAAGAAAGAAAAAGAAAGAAAGAAAGGAAAGAAAGAAAGAAAGAAAAGAAAGAAAGAAAGAAAGAAAGAAAGAAAGAAAGAAAGAAAGAAAGAAAGAAAGAAAGAACGAACCAGGATAATATAATGTGTTAACCTTGGTGAAAACTGGATGGGAATATGTGAGAATTCTCTGTACTATCTCTGCAAATTTTCTGCAAATCTAAATTTATTCCAAAAGTGAAAAACAAACAAAAAGAAAAAACCTAAAACTGAGGGAAAATAAGAAGGCATGAATTTGAAAGCAGGCTAGTGGGTTTTTACAGGGAGGCATTTCCTTCAGGGCTAGGCAGAGCCCCCAGAGAAGGTTAAATGGGAAGAACGTAATGACTACTCCAAATATGGACTAGAAAGTAAAGTAATGAAACACAACTGAGGGAAAGTAAGTAGAGGATAGACTCACATCAGGATACTTCGTGTAAATTTTGAGAAAATGATGTCAATATTAACATGTATATTATAATGAGATAGCAATGGTCTAATACAAACTCATTCTCTCATACAGATTATCCTTTAGTGTTTAGCCAATGTTCGATTCACATGGAATTGACATCTGCCACCTTTGGTGAGAGTTATAAGGAACCAGATGTTTTTTTTTTCTCCCTTCCTCCATGCAGATGTGAACTGTGGTTAAACAGTGGTTTTGGAGTGAGATGGTCCAATATTTTTTCTTACCATGTTGTTTCATAGTTTCAAATTCTGCATTAAAAAATTAAACAGCTTAAAAAATGAACAAGTAAAATTATATCAAACTAAAAATCTTCCACATAATGAACTAAATAATCAACAAAATGAAAAGGCTACCCACAGAATGGGAGAAAATACTTGCAAACTATATAGCTGATAAAAGGTACTATGGTCTTAATGTTTGTGTCCCCCCAGATTCATATATTGAAGCCTAATCCCCAATGTGACAGTGTTTCCATTAGGGCAGAGCCCTAATGAATGGTATTAGTGGCCCTATAATGATATTCCCAAAATTCCTTCTGTATGTACTCCATGTGCTTTCTCGATTATCCTATTCTAGTGCAACCACTTTTTGCAATACTGAATTATCAGGCATTAATACCTTAGCATAGATTTGTTTATCTCATCCTAGAGACTGGTAAATGTTTTACTCATTTATTTATTTATTTTAGAGACAGGATCTCACTATGCTGCCCAGGCTGGCCCTGAACTCCTGGGCTCAAGGTATCCTCCCACCTCAATTTACCAAGTAGCTGGGACTGTGGGCACATGCCACCATGCCTGGGAAGACTGGTTAACTTTGATGGGAAATCAGAAAAGACCTTGAGTACCGAGGATGGACTGTGAAAGTGAATGATGAGGTGTAGAACAAAATGGGGAGAGGACACTGGAAATTGCCTCACTTACCTCAGGCTAAGAGTTCTGAAAGCTCCCCTAGCAACTTCAGTCCGTGGGAAGCTTCTGTAAAAATCTTTATTTTAAACTTTTATTTTAGGTTCAGAAGTACATGTGCAGGTTTATTATATAGGTAAACTCATTTCACAAGGGTTTGCTGTACAGATTATTTCATCATCCAAGTGTTAAGCCTAGTACCCAATAGTTATTTTTTCTGCTCCTCTCCCTCCTCCTAACCTCCGCCCTCAAGTAGGCCCCAGTGTCTGTTATTCCTTCTTTGTGTTCATGAGTTCTCATCATTTAGCTCTCACATATAAGTGACAACATGCAATATTTAGTTTTCTGTTACTGCATTCGTTTGCTAAGGATAATAACCTCCAGCTCCATCCATGTTCCCGCAAAAGACACAATTGCATTCTTTTCTATGGCTGCATAGTATTCTATGGTGTGTAAGTACCATATTTTCTTTATCCGGTCTGACATTGATGGGCATTTAGGTTGATTCCATATCTTTGCTATTGTGAATAGTGCTGCAATGAACATTCACATACATGTGTCTTTAAGGTAAAATGATTTATATTCCTCTGGGTGTATACCCAGTATTGGGATTGCTGGGTTGAATGGTAGTTCTGTTTATATCTCTTTGAGGAATTGCCATACTGCTTTCCACAATGGTTGAACTAATTTACACTTGCACCAACAGTGTGTAAGTGTTCCCTTTTCTCCACAACCTCATCAGCATCTGTTATTTTTTGACTTCTTAATAATTGTGGGCGGCAAGCCACCCAGGCGCCGAGGCAAGAGACCGAGGACACGAGCTGTTCCAGCATAATAAAATATAAAAGAATAGTTATACCAGATATAGATCTTAGATATGATTATATACGAATATCATTAATCATTAGTTGGTAGTAATTACTCTTTATCCCAATATTATATAATCCTCGCTCTACAATCATAACCTAGGAAAAACCAGGCCATACAGAGATAGGAGCTGAGGGGACACAGTGAGAAGTGACCAGAAGACAAGAGTGCGAGCCTTCTGTTATACGCAGACAGGGCCACCAGAAGGGCTCCTTGGTCTAGCGGTGACGCCAGCGTCTGGGAAGATGCCCGTTGCCGAGCAGACGGTGGTCTAGCGGTAGCCTCAGTGTCAAGGAAAAACACCAGCTACTTAGCAGACCGGGAAAGGGAGTCTCCCTTTCCCTGGGGGAGTTTAGAGAAGACTCTGCTCCTCCACCTCCTGTGGAAGGCCTGACATCAGTCAGCCTTGCCCGCAGTTATCCAGAGGCCTAACCATCTCCCTGTGATGCTGTGCTTCAGTGGTCACGCTCCTAGTCCGCCTTCATGTTCCATCCTGTACACCTGGCTCTGCCTTCTAGATAGCAGTAGTAAATTAGTGAAAGTACTAATAGTCCCTGATATGCAGAAATAATGGCGTAAGCTGTCTTTCTCTCTGTCTCCTCTCCCTCTCTGCCTTGGCTGCCAGGCAGGGAAGGGCCCCCTGTCCAGTGGACACGTGACCTTACCTATCATTGGAGATGACTCACACCCTTTACCTTGCCCCTTTTGCCTTGTATCCAATAAATAACAGCGCAGCCAGACATTCAGGGCCACTACCGGTCTCGCGCATTGGTGGTAGTGGTCCCCCGGGCCCAGCTGCCTTTTCTTTTATCTCTTTGTCTTGTGTCTTTATTTCTACACTCTCTCGTCGCCGCACACGGGGAGAGACCCACCAACCCTGTGGGACTGGTCCCTACAATAATAGCCATTCTGACTGGGGTGTGAGATAGCATCTCATTGTAATTTTGATTTGCATTTCTCTAATGATCGGTGATGTTGAGCTTTTTTGCATATGCTTGTTGGCCGCATATATGTCTTCTTTTGAAAAGTGTCTGTTCATGTCCTTTGCCTATGTTTTAATGGGGTTGTTTGTTTTTCTCTTGTAAATTTGTTTAAGTTCCTTATGGATGCTGGATATTACACCTTTGTCAGAGGCATGGTTTCCAAAATAGTTTCCCTCATTCTGTAGGTCGTCTGTTTACTCTGTTGATAATTTCTTTTGCTGTGCAGAAGCTCTTAAGTTTAGTTAGATCCCATTTGTCAATTTTTGCTTTTGTTGCAATTGCTTTTGACATTTTTGTCATGAAATCTTTGTCCATTCCTATGCCCAGGATGGTATTGCCTACGTTGTCTTCCAGGATTTTTATAGTTTTAGGTTTTATATTTAAGTCTTTAATCCATCTGGACTTGATTTTTGTATATGGTGTAAGGAAGGGGTCCAGCTTCAATTTCCTGCATATGGATAGTACCAATAGTACCATTTATTGAATAGAGAATCTTTTCCCCATTTCTTGTTTCTGTCAGCTTTGTCAAAGACCAGATGGTTGTAGGTGTGCAGCCCTATTTCTGGGCTCTCTATTCTGTTCCATTGGGCTATGTGCCTGTTTTTGTACCAGTACCATGTTGGTTTGGTTACTGTAGCCCTGTAGTATAGTTTGAAATCGGGCAATGTGATGCCTCCAGCTTTGTTTTTTTTTGCTTAGGATTGCCTTGGTTACTCAGGCTTTTTTTGTTGTTGTTGTTCCATATGAATTTTTAAATAGTTTTTTTCTAGTTCTGTGAAGAATATTGTTGGTAATTTGATAGGAATAGCATTGAATCTGTAAATTGCTTTGGGCCATATGGCCATTTTAATGACATTGATTCCTCCTGTCCATGACCATGGAATGTTTAGTCGTTTGTTTGTGTTATCTCTGATTTCTTTCAGCAGTGTTTTGTAATTCTCCTTGTAGAGAGTTTTCACCTCCCTGGTTAGCTGTATTCCTAGATATGTTATTCTTTTTGTGGCAATTGTGAATGGAATCGCCTTCCTGATTTGGCTCTCAGCTTGGTTTTTGTTGCTGTATAGGAATGCTAGTGATTTTTGTATGTTGATTTGGTATCTTGAAACTTTGCTTAAGTTGTTTATCAGCTGAAGACCATGGGGATTTCTCGATATAGAATCCTGTTGTCTGCCAACAGGGATAGTTTTACTTCTTCTCTTCCTATTTGGATGCCCCTTACTTCTTTTTCTTGCCTGATTGCTCTGTCTAGGACTTCCAATACTGTATTGAATAGGAGTGGTGAGAGAGTGCATTCTTGTCTTGTGCTAGTTTTCAAGGGGAATGCTTCCAGCCTTTGTCCATTCAAGTATGATATTGGCTATGGGTTTGTCATAGATGGCTATTATTATAATATTTTGAGGTATGTTCCTTCAATACCCAGCTTATTGAGAGTTTTTAATATGAAGGAATGTTGAATTTTATCAAAAGCCTTTCCTGCATCTATTGAGGTAATCATGTGGTTTTTGTCTTTAGTTCTGTTTATGTGATGAATCACATTTATTGATTTGCATATGTTGAACCAACCTTGCATCCCTGGTGTTAACGGTGGTGGGTGTCCAGGTTCTTGGCATCTTGAACAAAGAAATGGACAAAATGCACAAATAAGGCAAAGAAGGGATGAAAAGGCTTATTGAAAATGAAAGTACACTCCACAGTGTGGGAGCAGGCCTGAGCATAGGGGCTTAAAGGCCCTGTTACAGAGTTTTTATGAGTTTAAATGCCCTCTACTTGGGGAATGCCCTATGTAAATGAAGAGCATGAAGTGAAGTTACAAAGTCATTTACAGCGTACGCCCTATGGAGAGGATATTTCCTGTCATAGCTGAAGTGTGAACCGGCCTTAGGTTCCCTGCCTCCAGACCCTATTTTCCTGCCTCATCTCCCCCGCTGAGAGATATGATCCCCATAAATCTTTATGGGAGGAAGAGGGACTAATGGTCTTTTTTCTGTAACTGCTTCATGCTGGCTTGAGGCATAGTCCCTACCTATTGGGGATCACAGAACTTGCCCTGCTGTATCTAGTTGAGGCAGGGCAGCTTCTTGATGACCAGGGGTGGTGTCTTCACCTGGAACTGGCTGGAAGCTTTGTTGCATGATCATCTGAAGCTTAATGGTCTCTAGGTGAGAGGAAATGAATTTGGTTAAAAGATTTAATGGGAACTTCAGGGGGTGGATACCTATGCTGTCAGAAATGTTTGTTATAGAGATTTGCAGGAGAAAAAACAAAACCTGGTCTGTTCTAGAATCTATGTGTTTCCTTAGGACAAATCTTAGCACGAGTGACTCCATTTTGGTTTGGTTTGATTTACTGGGGACTAGTGCATGAGCTCAGTTCAAAACAATGGACTCCAGAATTTTGTTTAAAAAAATTTTCCCTTTTTTGTCAGGTTCTAACTTAGGTGAGCATGTGACCAAAACTTAGGGCCTTAGCGCCACTCTCAGTTGCCATCATTGTGGGTTTCCAGTCTCAGCACATCATTTATAGGTTAGTGTCCTCATGGTTGCACATTTCTTTTAGCTCTTGTCATTCCAGTTGCAGAGAGACCATACGACATTCTAGAAATGGCTGCATGCAAACATTTAAAACCTTTGAGAGAATACAACGCATCAGGGAGACTATTATTATGACTATTGTGAGTAAAATACCAAGAGTTTGGAGTATTCTCCTTACTCAAGGTTCCCATAAACAAAATCTCCTAAAATGAAATAGATCAAAGAATGAGCTAGATAAACAGTTTACTCACTTGACTAAGCAATTTTTTCATCAGTCCTCTACCACTGAATTTCTATATTCTTCATTTGATGTATTTCCCCATAGGCCACAAGTGCCAGCAGCTGCACAGGTACTTTTCCGTTTAGCTAATTCTATTATTTAGCATAACTTTCACGAGAGAATCTAAAGTCTGTTGTGTAACTGTAGCCTTTACAGTAGAATTTGCTGTAGAACCTATCATGAGGGATACATTTCTAATCATTGCATCTTTTACTTTAAACCATGGAGAAAGTTGCTAACAAATGATGCACTTTTAGAAAAGTGAAGGCCTTCTGGCAATGTTCTCTTTAACCCACGATGTGGGTTAAGAGGAGTGAACCAGTGTTTTGTTTTTGACTGATTATGAGGCAACACATGTACCGCTAAAGTTTCTTACCCACATTGGGACTTTATCTATCAAAGTATAAGGTTATCTATGTATAAGGGTGGCTGCAAACTCCTTCACAAATAAAAGTATACACCATAAGTGCACACAACAGACCCCTTTTCTACTTCTATTGTTCATAGAGGCATAAGCAAGAAAAAACATTGAAAGATAAGAGTTTCTTGACAGTAGAAGTCTTAATCTGTGAACTTGGGAAAAGCTGTTCACATCAAATATGCCATCTTCTTCTTGGGAGAAATTTCCCTGGTTAGCTTTACCTCAAGGGTTCCAATGGGTGCACAGTTCCAAAAGTGTGGAGGGACCCTTCTCAGTTGTGAGACCATGAACCCAAAGCCTAAGGTCCTGAAGTTTTGTTGTAGTGTAAATAGCAAGGCGAGTCTTTCTCCGATGTTCTCAGAAGATCCATACCATGAAAAGCTTTCTTTACCTAGTGAAAATACACTGTAGCATAATAATCTACTGTTATAACATCAGCACTCTTGCATGGGAAAGCTTTTCTACAACCAGAAAACATGCATTGAGAATAACAATGGAATGAAATCCCTTTATACAATGTTTAAATGACCCTCCAGGTGACCAGATGTATCTGAAGCTTTAATTGTTTTCCCAGGAATATGGGATCAAGTACTGGTTATAAACTATTTTAGTAATTTGTAAGTCACTACACCAATGTATTCAATTTGGATCATTATATCTTTTCCATGATGAGTCATGAAATGCAGAACTTTTATAATGAAAGCTTTAAGAACTCAGGAAGGACAAGGTGGCCATCCAGGTTCTCCATGAGTCCACGCTTAATTAACATTAGACTTATATCCTCTCGGATACCAGTTGTTTTTCCAAATTAGGTACATAGCACTGACAAGAAAATTTGGTTATTTTTGTGGTTTACAATAACTTAACATAATAACCGTAATTATAATTGATAGCATATACTTAGACATTAGAATTTTAGAAATCCCGTACAATTTAGGAATATGTATTAGTATTATTCACAAAAATATAGCCTAAAGAAGATTGAACATTATTTTGGGAATCCCATGTATCTAAACATGTCAAATAATCCTGTTTACCTCTTTTCTGGATGTTTTCAGGGACCCTCTGATTCATCCAGAAAGCCAGGCATTAGGAAAGACAATTTTGAAACTGAAGTTTGATTTTGGAATTCCAGATTACCATAAATTATTTATTTTGCCAAAATGATGACTCAGAAATTTTAAAGAAGCAAAAATCTTTTATAACCTTAAAAAAACCCCCACACATTCTACTGTTCTTACACACCTCACATGTAAAACTATTTCTAGTAGTCTTAATTGCATGTTATAATGGCGAATTTTAATGTAAGACCCGGTAAGTTATGTTCTGATAAGGTTTGACTATTTCCAGCATAGCTAGGGGCGTGGCTAACTTCACATGTCCCCAGGCCTTACCTAGCTGGAAAGCAGGCAAGTTAAACAATTTCCAAAAGCCAAAGAAGCAGTTTATGGTCTTAAAGCATTTAGCAAACCTAATATTTGAACATAATTTACACCACATGTTTACATTTTGAAGACATTTGTATTTTACCAAGAATCTTGAAAACCATCTTTATTTTCCAAAGATTGCTAAAGTCACACATGAACTAAAAGACATTACATTTTCTACTTTTTTGACAAAATATTTGATTTAAGCTATTATTATTAAACCAATTAATTTAAAACTTCACAGAGGAGATTAACCAGTTTGCACAGAGAGAAAGAGGCCAGAGACTGACAGGTAAGAAATTCTTACCCTTTTGCTGGCAGGCCAGGTTTCTGGGTTCTCTCTCCCTGAGCGGCCCTAGTGAACCTGCTTGACTGCATGCAAAAAAACACATTGCTATGAATTAAGAATATTCATAGATAGTTTACAAATTTTGGAGAAACTAGGCAGAGAGAGAAATATGACTCAAATTCTATTTGTAAGCATATACTCAATACACTTAAAGTGTCAGGAAGCCTAAAATCCATAAAGTTAGTTGAAGGATAAAAAGCTGGTGTGCTCCAATAATTCCTGCAGCCCAACAAGGGTAGTTTAGGAATTCCAGATAAATAGAAAGGATGATAACTTGCTAGAAATGCACAGGAAACAAAATAACTATTCACAGAACCAAATAAAAGGCTTACACTAGCATGGTTTTATGTATATGGATACACAAGCAAAGCCAGAGGAAAATAAATAGCAAACAAATGAAAACTAGAAGCAAAAACAAACAAAAAATTAACCTAAATTTTCCTACTCAATTTACCATGGAGGCTACAGTTTTACCTAGGGCCCCCCCTAAAACCCCACATAATGAATATTTTATTCCTGATACACAATTCAATATCCTTAAGTTCACCAATATCATTATACATTCTGAGCAATCAGGAAATCTACTTTAGGCACATGACCAGTAAGTACTCCAGCACCATCCACGCAAAACAGTAAACATACTGTGAAGCAATGCAAGCATGTATGTGAAATTTGGCTTCACACTAAATCCAGCTTCATGGTTAACTATATTAAAAAAAATTGCCAAACTGCCAATGCATTTTTACAATACTTCTTACTTTAATCAAGACTAAGAGCTTTAACTATGAAAATGTTAATTAGCCAAATGTTTCCAATTCTTTATCAGGTTTTAAAGAATATTTTATTTAAACTTTTTCCACATCTTTCTCTCCTACTTAATGGTTCCTTACTACATTGTTTCATAAATAACCTTTTCAAATCTGTAATTTGAACGAACTTTTAGATAACTTCTGAATTAGACAAAAATTATTCTTTTTTCACTAATAACATAACCCTTTCTGGCACATTTTGTATACAGAATAACGTGTTAACTAGAATTTTATCCTTAGTAACCTAAACTTTAGCGAAACCCTAAGAAGCAAGAAATCCTGAACTGTCAGAAATGGGCATTTATAGATAAGAACAATTCCACAATTTTAGAAACATATTTCCCCATATCACAATCCTTTCTTAATTGGAAATGACCCAGATATTAAATGAACATCAAAAATAACTTTAAGATTTTAATTTACACAAAAAGTTTACCTAAAACATGTATCTCATTCACTGTAGTTAATTTTTACTTTTAACAAGGGAGACATGAGACATCAAGCAACATATGTAAAATGAACACTGGTTTGGTACAGAAAGGTGGGACAACTCGAGGCAAGGAGAGGGCTTGGGGGCTTTCAGATCACAGGTGGGAGACAAATGGTTGCATTCTTTTGAGTTTCTGATGAGCCTTTCCAAAGGAAACAGTCAGATATGCATGTATCTCAGTGAGACTTTGAATAGAAGGGGAGGCAGGCTTCCCCCCAAGCAGCTCCCAGCTTGAATTAACACTGACATTTTAAAATATCTAACAAAGACTAACATAACATTCAGATGAAATGTATGCTGACAATTCTGAAGGCCTTTCTATTTTTATTCCACCAATAATTTTAAAGCTAGCTTTTTTAGTAAAGTTATACTTAGATCACGTGAACTTGAACTTGAAAATAGACTTATTTACTTAATTGATGAATGCTCTTTTACTTATAAGCTAATTTGGCAGACACAACATATAACAATAAGTGTACACACAAACACATCTAGTCGTGTATACACACACATAAACAAAGATCCAATAGCTTGGAACCTCAGCTATGAGGTAGCAATACAAGCTTGCCGGTTTTACTTTGCCCCAGTAGATAATCCAAGGAAGGCTGTGAACCAAAATTTTGGGTAAAGCAGTCTCCATGGCAGTTTGATTTTCAAAAACTAAACCTCCCCAGACTCCAAGGAGCACTGGGCCAAACAGTACCAAATGAGGGCGTCACACGTTAACCACGCCCCCTGCTTAGAACAGCAGCACAAAGGCCTGGATACATGCAATGCCATCCCACTTTCCCATTAGAGAGTAAACTTCAGATTCTAAACAATTTTGGGGCCAAGCAGCACTGCAACTGCGAAAGAAAATTCTATGGAGGGCTTATTACTAGACCTCAGAACCTCTGCTGAGAGCATCCTCTTTGGAGAGTTTGAGGTCTGGAGTATCCCCCAGAGCATCCTGCTGTGGGGTCCAATCTTAGAGTTCCAGACATCTCTTGCCTTAGGTGGGCACTGGTGCCACTTCGCATGCATTCCCTCCAGAGCCTGCTATGAGCTTTCCTTTGGAACCTGGGTGTAATCCTCAACGTTTAGCATCTTTATAATTTGGTAAGGCCACGCTTTCCCATGCTTCCCATTCCATGAACTTTAATGATAGGAACTGGAGGCTGGGTGGGTTTCCTTTGCCTTTAGCCAGTTGAATAGGGGAAGGGAAGAATTTAGCATAAAAAAAAGAAGGTTTAAGTCATCTGAAACGTTTGGGTTTGCTCCAAGCTGCCCTGCACATAGGGATCAGGGACCACGTGTGGAAAAGATTTTTTAAAAAGTCATTCACCCTTTGGGGCAGGGAAATTATTCCCATTCATTCCTTGGCCTTCAGGCAATACTGAGCAGTGACCCCAGCCAATTTGCCCTCATTTTCAAGGAGCTATTAGGAAACAGCCGCTGAAAAACTGAAAAAGAAAGAGGAAAAGGAAAAATGAAAAAGACCCGGATCCCTTAAACTAACCAACTGGTGGCAGTTAGGCTTCTCCACATGGAAACCCCTTAGTTTCACTGACTATGACCAGAAACCTGCAGTTGCTTCCATGTTTAGATGCTGCCCATCAAGGGTCCTGCGTTGGAAAGGAAAAGAGAGAGAAAGAGATTCCCTTGTATGGAGCAGAAAGGAAAAGGAGAAAGGAGAAGAATAAATCCCAAACTTTTGTAAGATACCATAAATCTTTCTGAGTTTCTCTTCAAAGGGTTTAGCCTGTTAACTTTCTTATCCTTTGTTCTCAAACTCAACTTTCTTGTTCTTCCTTGCCCCCTAGTTACCGTAAACAGCCTCTTCCTGTCAGCTCTAATCAACAACTCACATCTGTTCCCTTGGTTACCTGTACCCATTGTTCCCCCGAAACTGTACGTCTCACATGTTCCACCTCTGTACCTTACATCCCCCTCCCCTTCTATATTTAGGAAAATATGTACAAGTAGCCAATCGGGTCAGCTCAGACTGTGCGGTCCAACCGCAGCCCATGGAGGAGTGACACACAGAGAGGGACTGCGTTAAGGATAAAACCCTCCTGGTCTCCTTTGTTCTCTGTGCTCTTGTGATCTTGATTGACGCAAATAGTACCCTTCTGCAGAAGTAAATTGCCTTGCTGAGATAATTAAACTTTTGCCCGAGTGCTTGTTTTACTTCATGGCGCTGAGCATTTATTCCTGGAGCATTTTATATCCAAGAATTCGGGCTTACCTCTTCCTCCTGGCTGGCTTACCAAATATATATTACCAAATATATTAACAGTGGAGGGGGTCCAGGTTCTTGGTGTGTTGGAGAAAGTATTGGATAAAATGCACAAACAGAGCAAGGAAGGGACGAAGGGACTTATTGAAAGTGAAAGTGCGCTCCACAGCGTGGGAGTGGGCCTGAGCATAGTGGCTCAAAGGCCCTGTTACAGAGTTTTGTGAGTTTAAATGCCCTCTACTTGGGGTATGCCCTATGTAAATGAAGAGGATGAAGTAAAGTTTCAAAGTCATTTGGCCTACGCCCTATGGAGAGGGTATTTCCTGTCATTGTTGAAGTGTGAATCGGCCTTATGTTCCCTGCCTCCAGACCCTATTTTCCTGCCTCACTGGGATAAAGCCTACTTGATTGTGGTGAATAAGCTTTTTGATGTGCTGCTGGATTCAGTTTGCCTGTATTTTGTTGAGGATTTTTGCATCGATGTTCATCAAGGATATTGGCCTGAAGTTTTCTTTTATTGCTGTGTCTCTGCCAGGTTTAGGTGTCAGGATGCTGCTGGCCTCATAGAATGAGTTAGGGAGAAGCTCCTCCTCTTCAATGTTTTGGAATAGTTTCAGTAGAAATGGTACCAGCTGTTTTTTGTACATCTGGTAGAATTTGGCTGTGAATCCATCTTTCATTTGGTAGGCTATTTATTACTAATTCAATTCAGAGCTCATTATCATTGTGGTATAATAATATATTTGGTGTTTGTCCCAGGTTCCTGGCACAGAGCTCTTTTAAAAATTTCCTGAATTATAGGAATGTCTTTTGTTTTCATAACAAGCCCTTTAAATCGCACCTGAGTTTATGCTAATGAGGTGACTTAAAATGGAGCCCCTAGGTAGCCACAGGATGTGGATGGACACCACAAAGACCAAGTAATTAGAGGGTTGGAGATTTCAGGCTTGCCAACAAACCTCCTGGAAGGGAGAATAAGAAGGGTTGTTACCAGAAAAACTGGTCCCCCATAATGGGGTCTATCCCTGTTTGGTACCATGAAGCCAATACACAAAACCGCAAGTGAGCATCAAAAAGCGGAGGCTTTCAAAATTGACAAATGGGATCTAATTAAACTAAAGAGCTTCGGCACAGCAAAAGAAACTATCATCAGAGTGAACAGGCAACCTACAGAATGGGAGAAAATTTTTGCAATCTATCCGTCTGACAAAGGGCTAATATCCAGAATCTACAAGGAACTTAAGCAAATTTAAAAGAAAAAACAACCCCATCAAAAAGTGGGCAAAGGATATGAACAGACACTTCTCAAAATAAGACATTTATGCGGCCAACAGACATATAAAAAAAGTTCATAATCGCTGCTCATTAGAGAAATGCAAATCAAACCCACAATGAGATACCATCTCACACCAGTGAGAATGGCGATCATTAAAAAGGAAACAACAGATGCAGGAGAGGATGTGGAGAAATAGGAATGCTTTTACACTGTTGGTGGGAGTGTAAATTAGTTCAGCCATTGTGGAAGACAGTGTGGCAGTTCCTCAAGGATCTAGAACCAGAAATACCATTTGACCCAGCAATCCCATTACTGAGTATATACCCAAAGGATTATAAATCAATCTACTATAAAGACACATGCACATATATGTTTATTGCAGCACTATTCACGATAGCAAAGACCTGCAACCAACCCAAATGCCCATCAATGGCAGATTGGATAAAGAATATGTGGCACATATACACCATGGAATACTATGCAGCCATAAAAAAGGATGCATTCATGTCCTTTGCAGGGACATGGATGAAGCTGGAAACCATCATTCTCAGCAAACTAGCACAGGAACAGAAAACCAAACACTACATGTTCTCACTCATAAGTGGGAGTTGAACAATGATAACACATGGACACAGGGAGGGGACCATCACACACTGGGGACTGTTGAGGGGTGGGGGACTAGGGGGGAGATAGCATTAGGAGAAATACCTAATGTAGATGACGGGTTTATGGGTGCAGCAAACCACCCATCCTGGGCAACATATATAAACATAATTTTTTTAAAAAAAATTAGCTAGGCAGGTTAGCATGCACCTGTAGTCATAGCTACTCAGGAGGCTGAGGTGGGAGGATTGAGCCTAGGAGTTCAAGGTTAGACTGAGCTATAATTGCACCACTGCACTCCAGCCTAGATTGTTAGATATGAGTTCTAAATTTCTCTTCAGAAAACCAATATGTCAGTCTGTTCAATTCTTTGCCTTCTACTTTTAAACTTAACTTTCTCATAAAGCAACCTTTTTTGATTACCTGCTCCACCCTGACTCATTCCGATTACCTGCTCCACCCTGACTTATTCTCCACCCTGACTCATTCTGATTTCCTGCTCTGCCATAACCATTTTTCCTGCCAAACCACTCACCCCGTCACTCTCTTTAAGTTAGCCAATCGGAATTAATTTAGCCTGTGCAGTCTCACCCTAGCCAATAGGGGAACCACACAGCAGCAGTGGCCACGTGCGTCAGGGATAAGAACCCCTTCCCCTCCCTTGTCCAAGTGTGTGCTACCATTGCTCCATCTATAAGGGCGCACCCTTCTATAAAAGTAACTTGCCTTGCTGAGAATTAAAAATAAAATTTTATATTCGAGTGCTATTTCTTTTGTGGCACCAAAACTTTATTTATAACAAGATGACAGAATGAGACCCTGTCTCTCTAAAAGTAAATGAATAAATAAATAATAAATAGATTGTGAGAACAGATAAAAGTAAATAAATACATAAAAATTTTAAAAATACAAAAAATGATGTAAGTAGTTGTTTATTGCAGTGCTATCTATAATGTCAAAATATTGGTGATATCCTGCATGTCTATTGATAGAGGATTGGTTAAATAAGTTATGATACATCCATTTAGTGGGTCACTAAGTATTGGTTAAACATGGTGATGTTTATCAGTCATTGAAAGGCAAAGAGTGTGTGGGGTTGGGAAGGAGTGTTGTATACAAGGAGGTTGTGGGGGTGGGGGTGGGGGTGTGTGGCGGTATACAAGGAAAGATTTTTGGAAATATGTTTACCAAAATGTTAACAGTGGTCACTTCTGTGTGGTGGGATTCAGAAGTGATTTTTAGTTTCTTAATACATTTCTGTATTGTTTAAAGTTTCTACCATATCCATGAAGCATTTTTACAATAAAGAGACAACTGTAAGAAATTTTTATTTTGAAAAAGTAATAGAGCTACTTTGATTATAGTATGATTGGACTTTGATTCAGTTATGAATAATAAGCTAGCCCGCTCCCAATTATAAAGTACCTGGATAAATTAGTGTAAAACCTGTCTTTTCTCTTCAAGTCCCATATGTTCCCCTTTATATGTCTCTGACTCCAAAGTGTTTACTAACCTGAGGTTGGGGGTGGGCATTGTGTATTAGAGCATCTTACTTACTCATCTCCTTGTGCTGAAATTGGAACCTTTGATCCTGGATAATATTGTTACCAGAAACCACTTGATTAGAGCTGAACTGTAGTGAATTCTCTAGAGGTTTGTTCAGCCATTGGCTTAAGCTCTCTAGATAAAGTTTAAAAAATTTCCTGAGTTCATACAGCAGTGTTGCCTCAGTGGGTGGTACCCAAAATGATAAAGTCAGTGTTATACCCCCTGTTCCTGTTATTATCATGGGTGCTAGCAGATTCCAGCACCAGCCACACATGAATGCTTTAAGACAAACAGTCCAAGCAGCTCACAAAGTTACAGGACCAGGGCATGGTTTACCTTCAGGAGGAAGCAGGCAGGATCAATTTTGAGGTTCATCAGCTTATTAACCCAGAACTACTGGCCCCCATTTTCCACAATGACTCAAGCATCGGCTCACCCATTGGATTATCTCTTTATTTTCTTGGTGATTTTTTCTGGGATCTGCTTTCTCTTCCAGGTCCCTGCCTTGGTAAGGACCTTTGTGGTTTAGTTCAAGTTGACAGGTTTCCTCAGCTTGGAATCTGAAGGGAGAGGTTCGCTTCTCATTCTTTTCATTCATCTTCACCACAGAAGGCCCTATGCTCTACAGCTTTCTTCCCAGATTTGCATACTAGAGGGGCAGACTTAGTGAAGACCTGAAAGATCCTCCTGTTATCAATTTACTCAGAGCAATAACTACTTACTCTCCTTTGAACAAGAGAAACTCTCAAAACCTTTGCCCTGAATATATATGCTCCAAGAGAATTTTTTTGTATCTTCTCTACAATGAAGAAGATGGCAGTTTTAAAAAATTTAAGTAAATAATAGTTTGTTCAAATTACTCTCCTCAGCAGCTACTCCACTACAAAAGAGCTTCCTGCCAATTTGAGTAAGTGTGTGGTAGCTCCACAGAGACAAGTAAGTCTTGGTACATTGACTGAACTGTTTCTAGACCTACAGAAGTGAGGATCAGATCCTGGACCATTGTGATCCCACCCAGGCAATAGCCCTTATAAGAAACCAGCAGAACTCATTAATCCATTCATTTAGGAAATATTTCTTGTTCACCTGCTATGTGGTCAGCACTGTTACAGGCACTGGGGAATACTGTAACTGCCCAATGAGTTCTTCTTGCCTGCTTCCCAGATACAGCCAATTCATCAAGACAGGGGAATTACAATAGAGAAAGAGTTTAACACATGTAGAGTCAGCTAAACAGGATACCAGAGTTTTATTATTACTCACATCAGCCTCCCCCAAACTTCAGAGGCTAGGGTCTTTCAGGGATAGTTTGGCAGGCAGGAGGCTAGGGAATGGGTGCTGCTGATTGGTTGTGGATGGAAATATAGGGGTGTGGAAAATGGTCCTCCTGTGCTGAGTTCACTTCTGGGTGAAGGCCACAGGTTGGGATAGTGGGTCTGGATGGAGTCATCTGGTCATCAGAAATGCAAAAGCCAGAAAAGACATCTCAATCTTAGGTTATACTATAGTGATGTTATTTGCTAGAGTAATTGAGGAAGTTGCAAATCTTGTGACCTCTAGAATAATGGCTGGTAATCATTTATGCCTACATCTTAGCAGAATTCAGGCCCCCCTCATCCTCTTAACTGGGTGGACCTTTCATTAGTTTTACAAAGGTAGTTTAGTTTTGGGAATGGCTATTATCATTTAAAATATAAACTAAATATCTCCCAAAGTTAGCTTGGCCCATGGCCAGGGAGTTTGGAGGTTAAAGGCAATATGTAGTTGCTTTGGTCAGATCTCTTTTACTGTTACAATTTCCTAACTGTTATAATTTTTGCAAAGGTGGTTTCAATCCCCCATGTTGGGTTTCACCACACCTTATTCTTAGGTGTGAGCTACAGAGATGGGAAAAGGCCAAAAACTGCTCTAACTTCTTTCTGCTGACAGGAGGTGCTGTTGGGATAGGGTTGGCTCCAGGGTAAGAGTAGTGAAACTGCTTTACAGCTGTCCAGATGTATTCACAGCCTGGTTGGAGGTTGACAGCAAACTATAAGATAATGAGTCCTAATATAAGGAATGAAAGTCCTAGCTTCAGAAGTCCTTGTAGAATTTATCTAAAGCCCTAAGGGATCCAGGTGAATAGCTCTGAGAACCAGTCAGACACAGGGTCACCAGTCGAGAAAGATTTGTGTTAGAGGTTGTTGGTAGACAAATTGGGATGAACAGGAAAGAGTAAATTTAAATATACCATGCCATATCTTTTTAAGTCAGTTTTTAGTTCAGAGAACAGATCAATTCAGTTAAACAACTCTGTCCTATTTCAGGAAGTGGTATTGCAGATGGGCTAGGGCTCTATATGTGATGAAGGCAAACAGATTTTTAATAGGAGGCATTTCTATGGAAACAGAAGAAAAGCAAAGGTTAGTGTTGGTCACAATTTATCCAGATGTTGGTCTCAAAGCATCTTTAGCTATATAGGAAGAAGACAGTGGCAATCTGACACATTTTTTCTTGCCTTTATTACAAGGAATAAGCTCCAGCTTGCAGGGCCTCAGGAAAAAGGTAATAGCAATTTCATTGAGTCCAGGTCAGAAAAATGGAAGAAAAATTGGAAAGCATGAGTTTGGAGACTTGTAGCTCAGAGAGAATTCAGGATTCAGTCCAAATTGCAGAAAATAATAAAAACAACAACAACCAAAAACAGACAAGACTAGAATCTAACAGGTGTCCTATAGTGTTTTTTTTTCCTTTTATGTTTTTGAGACAGGGTATCACTCTGTCACCCAGGCTGGAGTGCAGTGGCATAATCTTGGCTCACTGCAACCTTCGCCTCCCGGGGTTCAAGTAATTCTCCTGCCTGTCTCCCAAGTAGCTGAGATTTCAGGCACAAGCCACCACACCTGGCTAATTATTTTTGTATTTTTAGTAGAAACGGTGTTTCACCATGTTAGCGAGGCTGGTCTTGAACTGCTGACCTCAAGTGATCCACCCGCCTCAGCCTCTCAAAGTGCTGGAATTATAGGCATGAGCCACCACCGACCTTATAGAATTTTTTGAAACATAATTTTTCTCTCTCCAGTCCCCATTTTTACGAAAGACAAATCATAATTGGAAAAATGTATTTGCAAAATAAGTTTTAGTCTTATTATACTTTGCCTGACTGTTTGCATAAAGTGCAGCAATAATAATTATTTGACATGAAGGCTCTTTTAATAAAATTGGCTTACTGGTACTGCTTTTTCATAAGGAAT
Organism: Homo sapiens; assembly: GCF_000001405.40. Taxonomy (NCBI): domain Eukaryota; kingdom Metazoa; phylum Chordata; class Mammalia; order Primates; family Hominidae; genus Homo; species Homo sapiens. The sequence continues at coordinate 124,152,704 of NC_000023.11, forward strand.
CTCAGATTGGACTCTTAAAATCCTCGAGCTCAGCCATGGATTTATCTGTGCCTGCAAATATTTGTATTAATTGGTTGAATTCCTCTCCTCTCAGTCTCAAGATAACTTGGGGCTCCTGGGCTTGTCAGAAAGTGACATTCTTTACTTATCACAGGTCAGGAACCGTGTACAGGGACTGTATACACAAGGTATGAGGCCAATTTTCCCAAGGGGCTATTACCAGCTCTATAAGTCAACTTTGATTCCTTAAAGCAATCTGTTTATATCTGAAAGCATATCATTCCAGTCAAAGCCTTGGTAATATAACCAGTATCTCCAATTTTGTCCTGTTACAAAAGAAAACAGATTCTTATTGCAATTATGCAAATAACTATATTGGTAAAAGTTAAAAATACTCATGAATACTTTCCAAAGACTTATGTTCAAGAACACTTGTCAAGGCCAGGTGCAGTGGCTCACACCTATAATTCCAGCTGACTTTGGGAGGCCAAGGCGAGTGGGTCACCTGAGGTCAGGAGTTTGAGACCAGCCTGATCAACATGCTGAAACCCCATCTCTACTAAAAATACAAAAATTAACCAGGTGTGGTGGTGGCCTCAGCTACCTGGGAGGCTGTGACAGGAGAATTGCTTGAACCTGGAAGGCAGAAGTTGCAGTGAGTTGAGATCGTGTCATTGAACGCCAGCCTGGGCAACAAGAGCAAAGACTCCATCTCAAAAAAACAAAAAACAAGAAAACACTTGTCAGGGTCCTATAGATGATTATAAACTGCCTTTTGAAAAGGATCAAAATAAGATGACAATTGTCTGTGGATGGCAAGTCTTAGGACAGCCACAGTTAAAGATGCAGTCAACAAGGAAATCTGGTCATTTTTGTGGCACATAATAATTTAATACAACAGTCATAATTATTACTCATAGCATATACCAAGACATATCAGAATTATAGGAATCATATAGTTTTGGAACTCATACTAGTAACATATGTATATGAATATAACCCAAGAAAAATTAAATACCATTTTATATTTGACAATGGTCCTTGTATGATTTTAATATACCAAATAAACCAGGTATGTCTCTCTCTCTCTCTCTTTTTTTTTTTTTTAATTAAGACAGAGTCTCACTCTGTCACCCAGGCTGGAATGCAATGTCATAATCTTGGCTCACTGCAATCCCTGCCTCCCGGATTCAAGTGATTCTCACGCATCAGCCTCCTGAGTAGCTGAGATTACATGTACACCACCGCACCTGGCTAATTTTTTGTATTTTTAGTAAAGATGGAGTTTTGCCATGTTGGCCAAGCTGGTCTCAAACTCCCGGCCTTAAGTGATCTGCCCGCTTCAGCCTCCCAAAGTCCTGGGATTACAGGCATGAACTACCGTGCCCAGCCGAATATGTCTCTTTTGCACTTAAAAAGGTTAATGAGGCAAAAAAAAAAAAAAAGACACAATTTAGAATATGATTTTGGAAAGTTTGTCGAATATCAAAGGTTTAAAACAATTGATATCACTAAATAGGATCACAAATCATTCATTTAGCTGAAGTGATAGCTCAAAAATGTTTTTTTTTCTTTCTTTTTTTTTTCTTTCTTGAGATGGAATTTCCCTCTTGTTGCCCAGGCTGGAGTGCAATGGTGCGATCTTGGCTCACCGCAACCTCCGCCTCTCGGGTACAAGCGAATCTCCTGCCTCAGCCTCCTGAGTAGTTGGGATTAGAGGCATGCACCACCACACCTGGCTGATTTTGTATTTTTAGTAGGGATGGGGTTTCTCCATGTTGGTCAGGCTGGTCTCGAACTCCTGACCTCAAGTGATCCACCTGCCTTGGCCTCCCAAAGTGCTGGGATCACAGGCGTGGGCCACCGTGCCTGGCCTCAAAAATTTAAGAAAAGGCAAAAACCTTTAGTTTGATAGAGGGGAGACAGCTTTTCAAACAAGACCCGATAAAGATGGCATGAGACAAACTCAATCTGTCTCTTCTCTCTCCCCCCTTTTTGTTCCTGTAGTTTACTCAAAGGGCAACATCAAGAAATCCTGTCCTCACAAAAAATAGACAAATTAGCAGGGTGTGGTGGCATGTGCCTGTAGTTCCAGCTACTCATGAGGCTGAAGTGGAAGGATTACCTGAGCCCGGGAGGTAGAGTTTGCAGTGAGCCATGATGGTACCACTGCACTCCAGCCTGGTGACAGAGTGAGATTCTGTCTAAAAAAATATATAAATAAATAAAAGGATGGCCGGGAAAAGCGGACACCTTTACAGGTGGAGATTTCCTTAAAGATGTAAGGTAATTGGATTACTGGCTTTAGGGTGGAGCCTTTTAAGGAACAGGGCCAGGAAGGCATGCAGTTTCTAGGGCCTAATAGGCAGGCATAGCTGGGAGGCAGAACAGATCCCCAAAAATTAAGGATCCCATTTTTACACCAAATCCTGAATCCCCAAAAGAGGGAAACACTATGGGAAGAGACAGTGCATAAAGTTCTTTTTGTGGGCATGTGGGAGTGCTTTCTCCTAGTCTCCACCATCTGGAGGGTGGGAATTTTTGGGTACATGTCATGGCTAGCCTTAAGAATTCTCTTGAGCAGTTAAAATCCTTTCCAAGCTCAAAAATGACTACCCTAGACTCCTTATGGGAAAAGCAATGGCGACTTCCCCATGTTGTAACTCACTAGCTAAGGCCTTGGCCTTTTACTAATGGTGGCCTGGGTTCTATTTCTGGTTAGGGAATGAGCCCTTTCTGGATTAATACTTGTGCAGCTTTTGCCATTTAGTGATTATTTTTCCCTCCAGGGACAGCTTCTGATATCCTGTCTTGAATTTTCCTTTCTCTGAGCTACTTTTGGGGCAATTCAGATCTTGTAAAAATGACTTGCCATCTTATGCATCTGTGGTTATGCATAAGTTCAGTTAAGGCTTATTGATTTCACATATGAAGTTACCTTTTATAAAAAAAAATTTCAAAAGCCAGAAATATAGGCTGTTTGTCTCAGCTAAAATCTAGTAATAAAAGATTTCAAAGTATTTTTCTTTTGAGATCTCTGTTGTTAAAAATCAACTTAATTAAGGCTGATATTTGGGTTATATACATACAGATACTGTTTTAGAGCCCCTGCTCTGCCTCTGTAAAAACTCAGCCAACAGAATTCTGTCTGATTCTCTGTTTCCTCCTATCTGTTCCTTCTTTCTCTTGTATCTAATCTTTTTGACTTTTAGGGGGACCAGAAATTACATTGCATTATGAGAAAATTTTAACCTTGATTTATAATAGCTATATAAAACATATACTTTTAAAAATGGTTAATAGCCGTTGCTTAGAGTGAGTGATTATTACTACAGGGCTATACTCCTATCTTTGTTCATTTAAATAAGAAGCGCATCCTCTTGGACACTTAGGAGCTATGGAATGGCGGGGTGAGAGATGATTACAGAGTGGGCTGATTGGCACTAGGTTGCACAGCAGCCTCAGGGAAACATCCTTTCAATGAGATGTATTGTGGAACATTGCACTGTCTCGCTCTCTATAAGTATATATGTCTATATATATATATGTAAATATATGAGAGTTTATTAAGTATTAACTCACACAATCACAAGGTCCCACAATAGGCCATCTGCAAGCTGAGGAGCAAGGAGAGCCAATCTGAGTCCCAAAACTGAAGAACTTGGAGTTCAGTTCAAGGGCAGGAAGCATCCAGCATGGGAGAAAGACGTAGGTTGGGAGGCTAGGCCAGTCTAGTCCTTTCACACTTTTCTGCCTGCTTTATATTGTAGCCATGCTGGTAGCTGATTAGATGATGCCCACCCAGATTGAGGGTGGGTCTGCCTTTCCCAGCCCACTGACTCAGATGTTAATCTCCTTTGGCAACACTCTCACAGACACACCCAGGATAAGTAATTTGTATCCTTCAATCCAATCAAGTTGACACTCAGTATTAACCATCACAAGTCCACCCCTTGTCAACTTGAACCCATACACATCTCCTGAGATCATACATAATCTTCAAATAAAGACAATAGTAAGGTCATAATTACACCTGACATAATACAACTATCCTTCAGACAACCAGAAATGCACCAATTCCCAACCCAGATACTATTACATAAAATTAACAATACTTAAATGCTAATATGAAGTCAATAAATCTTATGGTACATGATAAAAGAAAAAGGAAATAAAATGGAGATATTTTCTTAATACAAGTGTATAAATGCACAAACATATTTTTAAGAAAAGAAGGAAGAAATACTCATGACAATTACAGTCCTCATTTCTGCAGCTGGTCACGTGGTTGTAGCTCGTATTGATGACTACTTTCTTCTACTACCCCTTCTGTATTCCTTTTGCCTTCAGCAAACACCTCAGCAGGTCATGTTTTTTTTCCTGGTGGAGTGACCCAAACCTTTAATTCCTGAAGTGTCTGGGCCGTTTGTACTCCTGCCTGGATATTAGCTGTTGTAGTTTCCCATTGACCTTAATCACAGGGCATGGTAATATTAAGAGATGCTACTAAGAGATGCCCTAATGGATCTCCTGTATTCCGTGCATACTCTTCCTTACCTTTATTGCAGAGTAGTAGACTGATTTCATCTTGATAGTCCGGGTCAATCACCACAGTCAACACTGTAACTCTCTTCTTAGCCTGTTGACTTAAAGGTAGGAGGAGCCCTAAGTGTCCGGGTGGCAATCTTAACTTCCAGTTTAATGGAATTGCTGTTGTGTCTCTTGGTGGCAGCGTTCCTCCCTTTGGCACTAAGACCTCTAGGCCAGCAGAACGTAATGTCGCGGGAACAGGAAGCACAAATTTTGCTAGTGGGTCACTAGGGGAGATGGTGAGTGGTGCTACTTTCACTTCTACTCCTTGATTCCTGGGTCTGTGAATCCTGGCTGTGGGAGAAAGAGTACCATATATTGGACGCTGATTCAGAGCATACATGGCCTTCTGGAGAACTTTGCCCCAGCCCTGCAAAGTATTGTCACCTAGTTGGCATTGTAATTGTGACTTCAAAAGGCCATTCCACCATTCTATCAATCCAGCTGCTACAGGATGATGGGGAACATGGTAAGACCAGTGAAATCCATGAGCATGAGCCCACTGCTGCACTTCTTTAGCCATAATAATGAGTGCCTTGATCAGAGGCAATGCTGTGTGGAATACCATGACGGTGGATAAAGCATTGCATGAGTCCATGGATGGTAGTCTTGGCAGAAGCATTGCCTGCAGGATAGGCAAACCCATATGCAGAGTAAGTATCTTTTCCAGTGAGAACAACCCTCTGTACTTGCCATGATGGAAAAGGTCCAATATAATCAACCTGCCACCAGGTAGTTGGTTGATCACCCAGAGGAATGGTGCCATATCGAGGGCTCAGTGTTGGTCTCTGATGCTGGCAAATTGGGCACTCAGCAGTGGCTGTAGCCAGGTCAGCCTTGGTGAGTGGAAGTCCATGTTGCTGAACCCATGTGTAACCTCCATCCCTGCTACCATGGCCACTTTGTTCATGGGCCCATTGGGCGATGACAGAGGTGGCTGGGGAAAGAAGCTGAGTGGTGTCCACAGAACGGGTCATCCTATCCATATTATTATTAAAATCCTCCTCTGCTGAGGTCACCCGTTGGTGAGTACTCACATGGGATACACAGTTTTTGACCACTCAGAGATGTCCATCCACATACCTCTTCCCCAAATTTCTTTGTCACCAATTTTCCAATCATGCTTCTTCCAAGTCCCTGACTATCCAGCCAAACCATTGGCTTTAGCCCATGAATTAGTATAAAATCACACATCTGGCCATTTCTCCTTCCATGCAAAGTGCACAACCAGGTGCACTGCTCGAAGTTCTGCTCACTGGGAAGATTTCCCTTCACCCATGTCCTTCAGGAATGTGATAGAAAGGGGCTGTAGTGCTGCAGCTGTCCACTTTTGAGTGGTGCCTGCATACGGTGCAGAACCATCTGTGAACCAGGCCCTAGTCTTCTCTTCTTCTGTCAACTGATCATAGGGAACTCCCTATGTGGCCATCAGTGCAGGCTGGGGAAGAGAAGGCAGAGTGGCAGGAGTGTAGACAACGGGCATTTGAGCCACCTCCTCAAGTAACTTACTTGTGCCTTCGGGACCTGCTTGAGCCCAATCATGTATATACCACTTCCATGTGATGATGGAATTGCTGCTGTGCATGACTCACTTTATGGCTTGATGGGTCAGAAAGCACGCAGTTCATAATAGGCAGTTCGGGTCACATGGTGACTTGATGACCCATAGTCAAACGTTCAGTTTCCACTAAAACCCAGTAACAGGCCAAGAGCTGTCTCTCAAAAGGAGAGTAGTTATCTGCAGAAGATGGCAGGGCCTCGCTCCAAAATACTAGAGGCCTCTGCTGTGATTCACCTATGGTGGCCTGGCAAAGTCTCCAGACAGCATCCCTATCTGCCACTGACACCTCAATCACCATTGGATCTGCTGGGTCATGTGTCCCAAGTGGCAGAGCAGCTTGCACAGCAGCCTGGGCCTGTTGCAGAGCCTTCTCCTGTTCTGGACCCCACTCAAAATTGGTAGCCTTTTGGGTCACTTAATAAATGATCCGGCATAACACACCCAAATGAGGAATGTGTTGCCTCCAAAATCCAAATAGGCTCACTAAGTGCTGTGTCCCTTTTTTGGTTGTAGGAGGGGCCAAATGCAGCAACTTCTCTTTCACCTTAGAAGGAATATCTCAACAGGCCCCACACCATTGGACTCCTAGAAATTTTATTGAGGTAGAAGGTCCCTGAATTTTAGTCAGATTTATTTCCCATCCTCTGGCATGGAAGTGTCTCACCAACAAGTCCAGTGAGTTTGCTACTTCTTGCTCACTGGATCCAATCAGCCTAATGTCATCAATGTAATGGGCCAGTGTGATATCCTATGACAGTGAACAGTGATCAAGGTCTCTCTGAATAAGATTATGACACAAAGCTAGAGAGTTTATATACCACTGAGGTAGGATAGTAAAGATATATTGCTGGCCTTGCCAGCTGAAGGCAAATTGCTTCTGGTGGGCCTTATGGACAGGAATGGACAAAAAGGCATTTGCCAAGTCAATTGCTGCATACTAGGTACCAGGAGATGTGTTAATTTGCTCAAGCAATGGAACCACATCTGGTACAGCAGCTGCAATTGGATTCACCACTTGGTTAAGCTTACGATAATCCACTGTCATTCTCCAAGATCCATCTGTCTTCTGCCCAGGCCAAATGGGAGAATTGAATGGGGATGTGGTGGGCATCACCACCCCTGCATCTTTCAAGTCCTTGATGGTGGCACTAATCTCCACAATCCCTGCAGGGATGGAATATTGTTTTTGATATACTATTTTTCTAGGTAGAGGAAGCTTTAATGGCTTCCATTTGGCCTTTCCCATCATAATAGCCCTCACCCTACCAGTCAGGGAGCCAATGTGGGGGTTCTGCCAGCTGCTAAGTATGCCTACGGCAGTTATGCATTCTGGTACTGGGGAAAATGACCACAGGATGAGTCTGGGGACCCACTGGACCCACTGTCAGTTAGACCTGAGCTAAAACTCCATTAATTACCTGACCTCCATAAGCCCCTACTTTTTTTTCTTTTTAAGATGGAGTCTCGCTCTGTCACCCAGGCTGGAGTGCAGTGGCATGATCTCGGCTCACTGCAACATCCGACTCCTGGGTTCAAGCGATTCTCCTGCCTCGGCCTCCTGAGTAGCTGGGATTACAGGCACAAGCCACCATGCCCGGCTAATTTTTGTATTTTTAGTAGAGATGGGGTTTCACAATGTTTGTCAGGCTGGTCTTGAACTGCTGACCTCATGATCTGCCTGCCTTGGCCTCCCAAAGTGTTGGGATTACAGGTGTAAGGCACTGCACCCGGCCCATAAGCCCCTACTTTAACTGGAGGACCACAGTGATGTTTTGAGTCCCCTGGAATCAACATCAGCTCCGAGCCAGTGTCCAGTAGTCCCTGAAATGTCTGATCATTTTCCTTTCCCCAGTGCACAGTTACCCTGGTAAAAGGCCAGAGGTCTCCTTGGGGAAGGATGGAAGAAAGATTAACAGCATAAATTGTCAGTAATGTAGTGGGGTCTTTCCTCAAGGGGACCCAGCCTCCCATTCATTCAAGGGGTCCTGGGTCTGTAAACTGGCTCAAGTCTGGAAATTGATTGATGGGTCATGATTCTCTGTTTTTATAATTCAAATTAGTCTTTTGTTCATTAGGCCTAGAAGTTTTCTCCTTGTATGAATTAAGTAGGAATGCAGTAGGCTTCCTATCAACTTCACTTATAGGAACACTGTGATTAATTGGTCAATGCCAGAGCTCTACACAAGTCAGACTATTATGATTGCTGCTTTGCCTCTGCTGTCCATTACAGTAGCTACACCCACCTGGCCTTTGACGGTTGAGTGCTGCCACTTGACCCCTGCCACCTCGGCATCCAATTATTCCCATTGTATTTAAATTTTGTAGTTGAATGACTGCAGTTCCCACTGTTATTAGATCTGATATACAGAGAAGAGCAATTACAGGGCTCTTCAAAGATGCAGGTGGTGCCCTCATAAATCTATTTCACATGGCATTGGTCAAGGATATATCTTCTGGACCCTCCCAGCTGGGATGAGCAGGTCTAAAGTGATTAATCTACTCCACCATCTCAATCTGCCTAAGCCTTTGGATCCCTTCTTCTACATTAAACCAAGGGAGATCAGGCATTTCCAGCTTGCTTACAGTGGGCTATCTTTTAATCCATATTTCAGCTAATCAAGCAAATAAACTTTTAGAACCTTTTTTTAACTCCCTGACTCTACACCATTAAATGCAGAGTCCCTACTTAGTGTGCCCAAATCAATAAATTCAGCCTGATCCTACTATATATTCCTTCCACCATTACCCTACACCTTTAATATCCATTCCCATGCCTGTTCTCCAGATTTCTGTTTATATAAATTAGAAAACTCAAGCAGTTCTTTTCAAGTGTAGTGTGTCTCCTTATGGGTCATACGCTCAACCTCACCTCTAAGGGTCTGCCAGAACTTTAGTCTAGCTGTAGGTCCAGAAGCAAATAGGGGTGTTGGGGGTGGCTCCTGAGGAGAATCAACATTATCTTGCTTGGCAACTGCCTCAGGGGAGGCCATCACTGTTGCCTCAGGCAGCGCAGGGTTTATCTCCCCAGACAAAGGTGGAAAGGCTGATGGCAGCATGAATTGGGGAGGGGATGTTGTCACTATTGGGAATGGGAAGCTGTTTCTTCGGGCAAAAAAGGTTCATCAGAGTTTACAAACTCAGTGTACCCAGCTTCATCATGGTCCTCCCACATGTCCCCATTCCAAGTTTCAGGGTGTAATTCTTTTCCAGTCAATGCCCTCACTCTAATAGTAGACAGCTGGCGAGGCTGTGCATGCAGTTTTCATTGCAGGTCAGCTACTCACATGATAAGAGCTTGTGTGTGTTTTTCTACAATTTCAGCTCTTTCTCTACAGGAGATAAGACTCTCAATCCGGGAAATCTTAGCAGACTTGAGACTCAGTATCTCCTTCTGAAGACGGGAGTTAGAATCCCTGAGTTCATCATTTTCTTTCATCACTTTGACCACTGAACTTAGGAGCAACCAACCAGCTTCATTATGTTCCTTGGTTCTCCACATGTGGTCAAAGGTATTATGTATAGAGTCACTAAACTCCTTGTCTCTCACAAGCAGTGAATTAGGAGTGTCAAATGCATTTATTTTGCATAACTCTCTAAACAGTTCACACCAACAACTATCAGTGTTCTCCATACTACTAGAAGTAGAGTCCTTAGCATTGGGTCTAAGCATATTAAGCAGCCAACTCCAGAAACACCCAAACCAATGAGAGAACTCCATCCTTAACATTCTGTCCCTCTAGAACCACTCCTGGTACAAAAATCTGTATTAGTCATGGTTCTCTAGAGTGACAGAACTAATAGGATAGATATAAAGGAGAGTTTATTAAGTATTAACTCAAACAATCACAAGGTCCCACAATAGGTTGTCTGCAAGCTGAGGAGCAAGGAGAGCCAGGCTGAGTCCCAAAACTGAAGAACCTGGAGTCCAATGTTCGAGGTCAGAAAGCATTCAGCACAGGAGAAAGATGTAGGCTGGGAGGCTAGGCCAGTCTAGTCTTTTCGCGTTTTTCTGCCTGCTTTATATTGTAGCCGTGCTGACAGCTGATTAGATGGCGCCCACACAGATTAAGGGTGGGTCTGCCTTTCCCAGCCCACTGACTCAAATGTTAATCTTTCGCAACATCCTCACAGACACACCCAGGATCAATACTTTGCATCCTTCAATCCAATCAAGTTGACACTCAATATTAACTATCACATGGAACAATACAGAAAGACAAATTATGGCACAAAGTACACAAGATTCACTGGAGCCTAAGATTAGTCTCATAAATTCTTTTTCCTATTAAACAATAGCTTGCAGAGGTGATAAACAGTGACTTTTACCATTTACTCAATTGGTTTGCACAGAGAAAGAGACCAGAAACTTGGCTGGTAAGAAATTCTTACACTTTTAATGGCATGCCAGGTTTCTGGGTGATATGGAGCCAAGTAACATCACAAAAAAAATCATTCTTTTCTGTTTCATGGAAGCATAGACAAAAACCTCTCAGTTTTGCAAGATGCAGCCCAACAGTCCAACAGGCTGCATGGGGGAACCCAATTAACATGTTCCCTTCTGGCCAGAGAAAAATCACGTGACAAAACACAGACACTAGTCACCCTGCTCAGCACTCAATATCAACCTTCCAAGGCTCAAACTTGCCTTCATTGGTCCCTGACATCCTTGATTCAGTCAAAGTAGGGTAGGATGACCTCCAACCAGAAGTTTCAACAGATGGTCTGTGAGCAAGATGGAAGAGCAGATGGTCCCTGAGTTAGGACTGTTGAGTTTCCTTCAGGGCTCACCAAATGTGACCAACCAGACACACTAGGAGAGCCTGCTGGACTTCTATCAGCAATTCCTTTGAGGAATCCTGTCCATGCTTACAAATATGCACAATGAGGTAAAGATGGACAAAAGGACTTCCAAACCAAAATTCCAGACTAGATTCTAAACCAGAAGAGTATTCCTCCAAATAGGCCCCATATTCTCCATCTAACTGGGGAGAAATCTCCCCAAACCAAGACTCTTTCTACAACCTAGGGAGAGTCAAACAGTCCCTGGGATGGGCCTACAGATAGGGCCTCTAGGGAGGCCAACAGATGAGGAGAAGGAAGCAAGTGTTGCCAGATCCTGGAATACTCACCAAACCAGGTTACAAGATGTCTTCCAGGAACTATTTCTCCATTGCAATTAGATGCATGCACTATGGGTTGACAGCACCCCAGCAGTAGAGATAGTGCCAGGGGAAGCCCTTGGTCCAAGAGAACTAAGTAGCTGCTCGGGCTGGCCTCCGGATCTGTTGCTAGTGAAGAGCTACCAAACTGTGGGAAAGTAGCCACAAGGGCTATCCCAGATGAGCTCCCAAATTTGTAACTGCCCAATGGGTCCTTCTTGCCCACTGCCCAGATAGAGCAAGACAGGGAATTTGCAATAAAGACTTTAATACATGTAGAGAAAGCTAAATGGAAAACTCGAGATTTATTGTTACTCAGATCGGCCTCTCTGAAAATTTGGAGGCTAGAGTTTTTCAAGGATAGTTTGGTGGGCAGAGTCTAGGGAATAGTGCTGCTGATTGGTTGGGGATGCAAAACATAGCCATGTGGAAAATGGTCCTTGTTCACTGAGTTGGCTTCTGGGTGGTAGCCACAGAGGAGTTGCTGGTCTAGTTGGGGCCATCTGGTCATCAGAAATGTGAAAGCCTGAAAAGACATCTCAAAAGGCCAATCTCAGGTTATACTATAGTGATGTTATTTACAGGAATAATTGGGGAAGTTTCAAGTCTTGTGACTTCCAGAAAAATGGCTGGTAATCGTTTATCTTAGCAGAGTTTAGGCCCCTCTCATCCTCCTAGCCTGGTGGCCCTTTCATTAGTTTTACAAAGGCAGTTTAGTTTTGGGAATGGCTATTATCAGTTAAACTATACTTTTATCCTAAAATTAGCTTTGCCCATGTCCAGGAATGACCAAGGGCAGTTTGGAGGTTAAAGTCTAGATGGAATTAGTTAAATCAGATCTCTTTCACTGTCTTAATTTTCTAACTGTTATAAATTTTGCAAACGAGGTTTCAATATTGCAATGAACAAAACAGACAAAAATCTTTGCCTGATGGAGCTTGCAGTCGACTATGTTTGATGGGTGTTTCTATTTATTAATTTACTCATTTGAACATTCATTTAATAAATGTATATTGAGCATAGACTAGATATCAGACACTATATTGGATCAGGAGTTAAGTCCAGTAGAATCAGAGTTAACAGTTTTAGGGATTTTTTATTTTTGAAAATTGAGAAAAAGTAATCCCTTTAGCAATTTTAAAATGTACAATTCAGTGTTTTTTAGTAGATTCACCATGCGGTGCAACCATCACTATGATCTAATTTCAGAGTATTTTCATTACCCTAGAAAGAAACCTCATGCCAATTAACCAGTCATATCTCATTGCCCCTCCCCTAAAGCCCTTGGCAAATAATAATCTAGTTTCTATCTATAGATTTGCCTTTTCTGGGCCTTTATATAAATGGAATCATATAGTATATGGCCTTTTTTTGTCTGGTTTCTTTCACTTAACATAATGTTTTCAAGGTACATCCATGTTGTGATGTATATCAGTACTTCATTCCTTTATATGGTTGAATAAATATTTCATTGTATGGATATACCATATTGTGCTTATCCCTTCATCAGTTGATGAACATTTGGATTGTTTCCACTTTTTGGCTATTAAGAATAATGTTGCTATGAAGGTTTGTTACAAGTTTTTGTGTGAATGGATGTTTTCATTTCTCACGGGTATATACCTAGGAGGGTAATTGCTGGTTCGTATAGTATCTGTTTAACTTACTCAGGAACCACCAAACCTATTTCTGTGGCAGTTGTGCCATTTTATATTACGACCAGAAATGTATTAAAATTCCCATTTATCCACATCCTTACCAACACTTATTTTCCTTTTTTTAAAAAATGGCAATTCTAGTGGGTGTGTTGTGATAGCTTGTTGTGGTTTTGATTTGCATGTACATGACTAGTATCTGTTCATGTGCTAGTTGGCCATTTGTATATCTTCTCAGAATAAATGTCGATTCAAGTTCTTTGTTCATTTTTTAAAGCATTCTATCAACTGAGGCTAATTTATCTTTTTCCTAAAATTCATTTTTATTTTTTAAAATTAAATTTTAAAAATTATTTATTTGTTTACTCATTTATTTATTTTGAGACGGTCTCACTCTATCATCCAGCCTAGAGTGCAGTGGCGTGATCATAATTCGCTGCAGCCTCCAACTCCTGGGCTCAAGCGATCCTCCAACCTCAGCCTCATGAGTAGCTGGGACTACAGGCTCACATCGCCACGTATGGCTAATTTTTTAAAGTTTTTGTAGAGGCAGGGTCTTGTTGTATTGCCCAGGCTGGTCTGGAACTCCTGGTCTCAAGTGATCCTTCCATCTCAGCCTCCCAAAATGCTGGGATTACAGGAGTGAGCCACTGCACCTGGCTAATTTGTCCAATTTTAATTGAGTTGTTTTTCTTTTTGTTCTTGAGGTTTAAGCATTTTTTTGGTTTATTCTGGATACTACACTATTATCAGATACATAATTTAAAAATATATTTCGGCCGGGTGCGGTGGCTCACACCTGTAATCCCAGCACTTTGGGAGGCCGAGGCGGGTGGATCACCTGAGGTCAGGAGTTGGAGACCAGCCTGACAAACATGGAGAAACCCCGTCTCTACTAAAAATAGAAAATTAGCCGGGCACAGTGGCACGTGCCTGTAATCCCAGCTACTCGGGAGGCTGAGGCAGGAGACTCGCTTGAACCCAGGAGGTGGAGGTTGTGGTGAGTCGAGATTGTGCCATTGCACTCCAGCCTGGGCAACAAGAGTGAAACAAACAAACAACAAAAACAAAAACAAAAATATATATTTTTTCCATTTAATATTAACAGGTTCTCCTTTTACTTTTTAGATGGTGTCCCTTGAAGCACAGAAGTTTTTTATTGTGATGAAGTCCAAATTATCTATTTTTTCTTTTGTTGCTTGTGCTTTTGGTGTCACATCTAAGAAACCATTGCCAATGAACATTAACATATACCCTTATGCTTTCTTCTAAAAGTTTTAAGATTTTGAGGCGGGGCACAATGACTCATGCCTGTAATCCCAGCACTTTGGGAGGCTGAGGCAGGAGGATCGTTTGAGCCTGGGAGTTTGAGGCTGCAGTGAGCTATGATAATACCACTGCATTCCAGCCTGGGCTACATAGCAAGAATATCTTTTGGTCATTGATGTACTTTGAGTTAATTTTTGTATATATTCTGAAGTAGGGGTCCAACTTTATTCTTTTGCATATGAATATCCACTTGTCCCAGCACCATTTGATGAAGAGACAATTGTCTCCCTATTGAATGATTTGGCATCCTCGTTGAAAATTAATTGGCTATAGATGTATGGGCTTATTTCTATATGCTTAATTCTATTCCACTGCTCTGTATGTATATCTTTATGCCAGTACCACACTGTTTTTAATTATTGTAGCTTTGTATTATGACTTAAAATAGGAAAGTGTGAGTCTTCTTTGTTTTAATTTTCAAGATTGTTTTGTTTTTTTCAGGGTCCCATGCAATTCCATATGAACTCAATAACTGACTTTTTCTTTTGCTTTTTTTTTTCTTTCTTTTTTTGGGTGGGGGGGTGGGGACGGGGTCTCACTCTGTTGCCCAGGCTGGAGTACAGTGGCACGATCATGGCTCGTTGCAGCTTCAACCTCCCTGGCTCAAGCCATCCTCCCACCTCAGCCTCCTGAGTAGGTGGGACCACAGATGCACACCACCACACCCAGCTAATTTTTTATTTTTAGTAGAGATGAGGTCTCACTATGTTGCCCAGGCTGGGCTCAAATTCCTGGGCTCAAGTGATCCTCCTGCCTTGGCCTCCCAAAATGCCATGACTTTTCTTTATCTGCTAAAAAGGCCATTGGAATTTTGATAGGAATTGCCTTGAATCTGTAGATCACTTTGAGTGGTATTGCCATCTCAAACAATATTATGTCTTCCAATCCATGCACACAGGAAGTCTTTCAATTTGTTTAGGGCTTCTTGGATTTCTTTCAGACATGTTTTGTAGTTTTCAGTTTACAAGTCTTTGACTTCCTTGGTAAAATTTACTCCTAGGCATTTTATTCTTTTGGATGCTATTGTACACAGAAATATTTTCTTAATTTCCTTTCAGGATTGTTCATTGCTAGTGTATAGAAATACAATTGATATTTGTATATTGATCTTGTATCTTGTGAATTTGCTGCATTCATTTGTTAGCTCAAGTACATTTTTTCTGGAATCTTTGGAATTTTTTGTATATGGGATTATGTCATCTGTGAATAGAGATAATTTTATATCTTCCTTTCTACTTTGGATGCTGTTTTTTCTTCCTGTCCCATTGACCTGACTAGAACTTACAGTACAATGTTGAATGACCGTGGAAAGAGAGAGAGCCTTGTCTTATTCCTGAACTTAGGTGGGAAGCTTTCAGTCTTTCACTATTGAGGGTGATGTCAGTTGTGTGTTTTTCATAAATATCCTTTATCAGGTTGAGAAAATTTGCTTCTAAATTTCTGAGAGTTTTTATCCTGAAAGGGTGTCAAATGCTTTTTCTGTGTCAATTGAGATGATCATGTGGATTTTTTCCTTCATTCGATTAATGTTGTGGTTTACCACATTGATTAATTTTCTTATGTGAATCACTCTTGCTGTTGTAGGTAAAGCCTTCTTGGTCATGGTTTATAATCCTTTTAACATGCTGGAGAATCTGGTTTGTTAGTACTTCCTTGAGGATTTTTACATCTGTATTCATAAAGGATATTGGTCTGTAATTGTTTTTTCTTGTGATGTCTTTGGCTGTGGTTTCAGGGTAATGCTGTCTTCGTAGGATGAGCTAAGAAGTATTCCTTTTGCTTCTAGTTTTTGGAAGAAATTAAGAAGGATCAATGTTAATTCTTTAAATGTTTGGTAGCCTTCTTGGACTTGTTTTTGTTAGAAGGTGTTGGAAGGTGTTTGATTACTGATTCTCTTTACTTATTATAAATGTGTTCATATTTTTTATTTATTCTTAGGTCAGTTTTGGTAATTTGTGTCTTATTCATTTAAAAATATGTTTTCAACATATGGATGAAGTACCCTTTTCATCTCTGATCCTGTTTTGGTAATTTGTATGTTCTCTTTTTCTCTCTTTTTTTCTCAAATAATCTCACCAAAAGTTTGCCAGTTTTATTAACTACTCTTAAAAAAAACTTTTGGCTGGGCACGGTGGCTCACTCTTGTAATCCTAGCACTTTGGGAGGCCGAGGTGGGTGGATCGCCTGAGGTCAGGGGTTCGAGACCAGCCTGACCAACACAGTGAAACCCTGTCTCTACTAAAAATACAAAAATTAGCCGGGCGTGGTGGTGGGCGCCTATAATCCCAGCTACTTGGGAGGCTGAGGCAGGAGAATAGCTTGAACCCAGGAGGTTGCAGTGAGCCGAGATTGCGCCATTGCCCTCCAACCTGGGCAACAAGAGCAAAACTCCGTCTCAAAAAAAAAAAAAGTTTGTCTTTGTTGATTTTCTCTGTTTTCTGTATGGTTACTATGCCATTTATTTCTATTTGTTTTTGCTTTTATTTTCCTCCACCCTTTGGTTTTTGTTTTTCTGTTTATAGCTTCTTGAGGTGGATGCTTAATCCACTAATTTTCAGCCTTTCTTCTTTCTCTCTTTCTATATATTTGGCCAGGCAATATAAATTTGTCTTTTTTGTTATACATGTCTATTTATTAATGAAAAAGGAACGATCACCAACATTCATTTAAAAATAGGCAAAAGACATTAACAAACATTTTTCCAAAGAAGATATACAGGTGGCAAATAGACACAAAAAAATGGTCAATACCATAAGATACCAGAAAAATGCAATAAAATCACAGAAGGATGCTATTATACAGCTATTAAAACAACTAAAGTTAAAAAGACTAACCACACCAAGTATTGGCAAGAATGTAGAGAAACAGGAAGGCTCACATACTGTTGATGGGAATGCAAATGGTACAGTTAGGTTATAGTTTGGTAGTTTCTTTAAAAGTGAAGCATTCACATACACTGTACTATTGGAACAGGAGAAATAAAACATTTATGCATCTTAAGAATTATATGCCTATGTTCATAGTAGCATTATTTATAACAGCCCCAAACTGGAAAACATCCAATTATTTATCTGAATTGTGGCATATCCACAGAATAAATATTTCTCAGCAATACAAATGAACTATTCACATAAACAACATTGCTAAATCTTAAAATAATTATGCAGTATGAAAAACATTAGGAAAAGAGGAGTAAATATTTTATGATTCCATTCACATAAAATTCTAGAAAACACAAACTATTCTCTTGTACTGAAAGTAAATCACTGGACTCTTAAAGGCCTTGGAAAGTGCAGGCAGACTGTAAAACAGCATGAGTTGAATCATGAATATGTTCATGATCATGACTACGGTGGTGTGTTAGCCCGTTTTCACACTGCAGATAAAGACATACCTGAGACTGGGCAATTTACCAGAGAAAGACGTTTAATTGGACTTACAGTTCCACATAGCTGGGGAAGTCTCACAATCCTGGCAGAAGTCAAGGAGGAGCAAGTCACATCTTATGTGGATGGAGGCAGGAAAAAAAGAGAGCTTGTGCAGGGAAACTCCTCTTTATAGAACCATCAGATCTTGTGAAACTTATTCACTATCATGAGAACAGCACGGGAAAGACTTGCCCCCATGATTCAATTACCTCCCACCGGGTCCCTCCCACAACACATGGGAATTCAAGATGAGATTTGGGTGGGGACACAGACAAACCATATCAAGTGGTTTCATGGACTTATATGACAAACTCTTCAAATTATACACCATAAATACATATATACTATGGCATGTCACTTATACATCAAGGAAGTTTGTAAAACATGTTTCAAAATAAAATACCTGATCTCCCACTTTTCTTTTTTCTTTCTTTCTTTCTTTTTTTTTTTTTTTTGAGATGGAGTGTCACTCTGTTGCCCAGGCTGGAGTGCAGTGGTGCTATCTTGGCTCACTGCAGCCCCCGCCTCCCGGGTTCAAGTGATTCTCCTGCCTCAGCCTCCCAAGTACCTGGGATTACAGGCGCCCACCACTATGCCTGGCTATTTTTTTTTTAATCTTTAGTAGAGATTGGGTTTCACCACGTTGGGCAGGCTGGTCTTGTACTCCTGACCTCAGGTGATCTGCTCCCGTTGGCCTCCCAAAGTGCTAAGATTATAGGCGTGAGCCACTGCGCCTGGCCTGATCTCCCACTTTTCAGAAACCAGAAGGCTTGGCATCCTCATGTTGACTGAACTGTCTTTTCCTTCAGGCTGGAGGAAGGGCAACCCTGCATCCATCAGTTCAGGAAATATCGGCAAGCACTGTAGGGTGCTGTGGTCTGAGACAATAGCAACACTGGTGGAAATCACAAGTCCTACATCCCTGTCAAGTAAGGCTTCTATTATCTGGAGTGCAGTGGTGCAATCTCAACTCATTGCAACCTCTGCCCCCCGGGTTCAAGCGATTCTTGTGTCTCAGCCTCCTGAGTAACTGGGATTACTGATGTGCACCACCACGCCTGGTTAATTTTTGTAGTAGAGATGGGGTTTTACCATGTTGGCCAGGCTGGTCTTGAACTCCTGGCCTCAAGTGATCTGCCTGCCTTGGCCTCCCAAAGTGCTGGGGTTACAGGTGTGAGCCACTGGGCCCAGCCAGACTTCTATTATCTTTATCCTTTTCCTGCTTCTACAGCAACAGACTTGACGTAAACAACCCAGAAAGTCAACAAGAATAAAAAAAACTAATTATTTTTGCTGACAATGACCTCAGCTATTGGTGATACACAGATTTCTAGGTCCTGTCACTTGCTCAAAGCCACAGTCACAGGAAGATTTGTAAATGCACTTTTATAAGGGGCACATTCCAAGTAGCTTGCTGCAGTCTCCGCCATATCCAGTATTTCTGGACCAATTATAGTTCACACCTGACTCCCATTGTCTTCTGAGTGACATCAGCCTATGGAATGTTTGATATCAGGGCATGTCTCCTTATAGAATCTTGTGAAAAACTTCTCAACAGTCCTGGGCATCATATGACGTCCTCTAGGAACAATGGAACAAATTTGTCCTATTCCCCGAAGCACAGGTGCTTGTCATAATAGCTGGCTTTTCCTCAGGATAACCTCTAGTCTCACAGAAAGTATAGGCTCCAGGCCACAAATTAGAATAACCAAAACCTTGCATTGTTTCCTAGGAGATCTTAGGTAGCAAAACAAATATGACCAAAATCAGAGTGAGAATTACTCTGTCATTTTACTTTTTCTGTAGAGGCCCACAAAAGCTGTCCACTCCTTCATATAGAGTTCAAGTCTGTTTGCCACCCACCCCACATAGTAAACAAAACCCCAAGATTACAGGTAGATTCAAATATAAGGCCTTTAGTGGTGGTGCATGCCTGTAGTCCCAGCTACTCAGGAGGCTGAGGTGTGATAATTGTTTGAACCTGGGAGGTGGAGGTTGCAGTGAGCTGAAATCTCACCACTGCACTCCAGCCTGGGTGACAGAGGGAGACCCTGTCTAAAAAAAAGGTATATATATATATATATATATATATATATAGAGAGAGAGAGAGAGAGAGAGAGAGCGCCTTTGTTAGTGCACAAACTGGAACAATGTGAGGCAGCCAGTTGCCAGGTGGTGACTTGGAGGCTGGAAGAATGACCAAGAGTCGTGTGAGACCAAGAATTTCCATGAAGGGAAGCCTTCTTCCACCAGAACCCAGGCTGGGACCTCCTGACCAAAACTGGGTCAGATGTGTGCTGTGATCAGTCAGAAAAGAGAATGAATTTCCCCAATAGGCTCAGACTGCTCAAGATTTCCTCCAAAGAAGAAAAGAACACACAGATGTCTGCCTTGCCTCAGAATATCAGGGTGACCAATGCCTACTGTGCAAGGTGGTAGAGGGGAGACGGTTTCTACCAAAGAAACTTGGAAGCATAAGGTTCAACTTCAGGCAGGTGGCTCCCTCCTAAAGGCTCTCCACTGCCACAATACTACAGAGACAGCACATTCTCTCTAGGTCTAAGGCTCTTCTGAAGTGTGGACTTTCAGGAGCTAAAAGATGATAGATCTTGAAGGTAAACACTCTTCCACATTTGCTGCATTCATGAGGCCTCCACGTGTTATGACATTTTTGGTGATGAATGAGGCTGGCGCACTGGCTAAAGGAATTCCCACATTGGTTGCACTCATAAGGCCTTTCTCCAGTGAGAACCACCTGGTGTTGAATAAGGCCAGACTTTTGACTAAAGAACTTTCCATGCTGGCCACACTCATAAGGCCTTGCTCCAATATGAATTCTCCCATGTTGAATAAGGATGGAGGCCTTTCTCCAGTGTGAACTCTCTGGTGCTAAACAAGTGAGTACTTGCCACAGAAGGCTTCCCCACATTTGCCATTTTTTGTTTTGTTTTGTTTTTTGTTTTTGAGACAGACTTTCACTCTGTTGTCCAGGCTAGAGTGCAGTGATGTGATGTCAGCTCACTGCAACCTTTGCCTCCTGGGTTCAAGCAATTCTCCTACCTCAGCCTCCCAAGTAGCTGGGACTACAGGTGCACACCACCACACCTGGCTAATTTTTTTTTTTTTTGTATTTTTAGTAGAGAGGGTTTCACCATATTGGCCAGGCTGGTCTCAAACTCCTGACCTCAGGTGATCCGCCCACCTCGGCCTTGAAAAGTGTTGGGATTACAGGTGTAAGCCACTGCGCCCAGCCAGCTTTCCCACATTTGATACACTCATAAAGGCTTTGTCCAGTGTAAACTCTTAGACAGTGAACAGGAGTGCTTGTGCCTGGAAGCCTTCCCACACTGACCTGACTTGTAATGACTTTTTTGACTGTGAGTGTCCTCTCCACATTTGGTGATCGTGTTGGGCTTCTCAGTTTTAGGAAAGACCAGGGACCTAGAAGCCCCAAGATGGCTGGGAGGTCCTTCCCAACCTCGCATTTGCGGAAGGGCTTCCCTGACATATGGAAAAGGCAGTGCTTCACTTACGAGGCTCTGTCCATGTCCCTCTTCAAGGATTTCTTTGCACTGTGATGTTTCTGGTGCTGGTACTGGTTTGCACGTGCTCCAACCAAGTAAGGTTCCCGCCCAGGGAGATTAGCCAGAGGCAAGATATCTTTCAGGAATGGAACATATATCTCCCGGGGTTGAGTCTTCAGTGTGGATGAACCTGCCTTAAACTGTGACACTCCCACAGAAACATTCTGCTCAGAAGGTGTCTCTTCATCCTCTTTACCATGCCCACAACCCAGTGAGGCTACTTTTACAAGAGGCACATTCCAACTAGTTTGCTGCAGGCTCCACCACGCCCAGTATTTCTGTACAAAATCCTGGGTAAAATACAAGTGCAAAGTTCTCCAGCATCACTTCAAGGTATAGGAGCCTCCAAGCCTCATCAGGCAGTCCCTACTCGTCCTGTGAGAAGTAAATGGCGATGTCCTCAAAGGTCATACAGCCCTTTGTGAGATTTATATGTTCTTCTGTAGTCATGGTAACCTGAGCCAGGGCCCTCAGTTCTGCCGCTGCCATTGGAACCTGTGGACGGTGCGGGACCTGGACCGGGACCGGGACAAGGACCAAGACCAGCGCGGTGACCCGAGCAAAGCTGTCACCCCCGCCGCCGCCGACCCCCATACCCGCCACTGTTCAGCAGGAGGGCCCCTCCCCTCGCCCCTTCCTGCCCTCTCGCCAAACGATGCGCTCCCAAAGCTCTGACGGCCTGGATGGACTCAAGAGCTGCTAAAATGACTGTCACTGGAGCAATACCCTGTCTTTTTTTTTTTTTTTTTTTTTTTTTTTTTGAGACAGAGTCTCGCTCTGTCGCCCAGGCTGGAGTGCAATGGCGCGATCTCGGCTCACTGCAACCTCCGCCTCCTGGGTTCAAGCGATTCTCCTGACTCAGCCTCCCAAGTAGCTGGGATTACAGGCACCCACCACCACGCCCAGCTAATTTTTGTATTTTTAGTAGAGACGGGGTTTCACCATGTTGGTCAGGCTGGTCTCAAAATCCTGACCTCAGGTGATCCACCCGCCTCAGCCTCCCAAAGTGATGGGATTACAGGCGTAAGCCACTGCGCCCGGCCTCTTTTGTATAGGTAAATAATGATCAAATATTGCAACTTTATACGGTTTATCCTAATATTTAAGGCTAAAAACTTGCTGTAAGCACTGGTATTTCCCGTAAGTTAAAATATTGATGTTACAAAATTATTTCTTGTTGATGAGTGCATTTATTTATAGTAAAAGTGCAAATCAGGCATAGGAAAGATACACACCAGTTTTAGGATAGTAGTTACTTTAGAGAAGGAAGGGATGATGAAGGAATATAGATGTAACATTTTATTTCTTACAAATACAGCATTAAAATATAAATAAACATGTATAGCAAATAAGGCAGGAGAGTAACATCTGTTTAATTTTGTTAGTGGGTAAATCCCACAAGATTTTATACTTAGATTTTTTTATCATTCAGTTGAAAATATTTCTTATTTAATTATGATCTGTGATTTCTTTTTTTTCCCCTCAGGCCTGGCCTGGGAGAGCGTGTCGTCACCACATGGATCTATGATTTCTTTTTAAAAAGTCTTTGAGTTGTTTGGAAGTCTATTTTAAGACTTCTGAGCACATAGATATTTTCTAGTTATATTTATTTGTGTGTGTGTGTGTGTGTGTGTGCGCGCGTGTGTTTGTATAAAAAGAGAAAAAGAGAGAGAGAGATGTGGTAACATCTCGCATTACATTTGGGAAATTTTGGTGAAGGGTATGCCATAATTCTTTTTTAGTATTCTTACAACTTTTCTATAACTCTAAAATTACGTCAAAATAAAAGTTTATAAAAAATAAAAAAAAGCCTTCTCTGCAGACTCATGTTTAAAATAAAATTTGCTTCATATGATATTGATTTTTTAAATGCTATATATTTTGTATGATCATAGCTGTAAATAGCCATCGCACTCCAGCCTGGGCAACATAGTGAGACCCCATCTTTAAAAACCAACCAAACAAGGCCGAGTGTGGTGGCTCATGCCTGTAATCCCAGCACTGTGGGAGGCCGAGGTGGGCAGATCACTTGAGGTCAGGAGTTCGAGACCAGCCTGGCTAACATGGCAAAACCCCATCTCTACTAAAAATACAAAAATTAGCCAGGCATGGTGGCACGTGCCTGTAGTCCTAGCTACTTGGGAAGCTGAGGTATGAAAATCGCTTGAAACCGGGAGGTGGAGATTGCAATGAGCCAAGTTTGCACCACTGCACTCCAGCCTGGGTGACAGAGCGAGACCCTGTCTCAAAATAAAATAAAATAAAATCCAACCAAATAAATAAACAACCTTTTATTTTAAACTTTATCCTTTTAGTTCTTTCTTTTACAGTATATTTAAGGAATTGATATGCTAAAATACTGTAATACTCTTATATTTGATATTGAGTATTCCTCATGACTATTTCCAGTTATGGTGTATCTGATTCAGTTATCAAAATTAGCCTGTGTTTTTCCTATCTGGAGAAATGCATCATGTTATTAAATATTTTAATTTTTATAAATTTCCATAAAAATTATTAATATTGTTTTATATAGTCAATATCCATTTGCCCACATAGTATTTTCTTTGCTCTTCGTTAAAAAAAAAAAAATCTCAGTTCTGGCTGGGCATAGTGGCTCATGCCTGTAATTTGAGCACTTTGCGAGGCTGAGGTGGGAGGATCACTTGAGGCCAGGGGTTCAAGACTTTAAGACCAGCCTGGGCAACATAATGAGACCCCATCTCTAGCAAAAATAAAAAATTGGCCAGGTGTGGCGGTGCATGACTGTAGTCCCAGCTACTTGGGAGGATGAGGCAGGAGGATCACTGAGCCCAGGAATTCATGGCTGAGCCAAGATTACACCACTGCACTCCCGCTTGGGTGACAGAGTGAGACTCCGTCTTTAAAAAAAAGTAAAGAAAAAAATCTCAGCTTTGACATTTAGAATAATTTTTCTTTCTCAGGTACATCATTTAGAATTACCTGTAGTGTGAGTCTACTGCTAGCAAACTCTCACGTTTTGCTTGTCTAAAAATATATTTCACTTCAATTTTTTTACTTAGAACTACTTAAAAAAATACATGTAAAATTTAACAATGTCATGATTGTTCTCTTATTGTTTCATTTTTTTTTCTTTGAGACAGGATCTCACTCTGTTGCCCAGGCTGGAGTGCAGTGACATGATCACAGGTCACTGCAGCCTCAACCTCCTGGGCTCAAGCGATCCTCCTACCTCAGCCTCCCAAGTAGCAGGGACAACAGGTGCACACTACCATGCTTGGCTAATTTGTTTTAAAAGTTTTTGTAGAGATGGGGGTCTCACTATCCTTCTCAGGCTGGATTTGAACTCCTGGACTCAACTGATCCTACTGTCCTGGCCTCCCAAAGTGCTGGGATTACAGGCCTGAGCCACTGCACATGGCTTATTGTTTCTTTTTTTCACCCCGAATCAACCTTTTTGCTTTGTCTTATTGTTGTTTTCATTTGTGTAACTTTTTCCTATATTTTGAATATTTCAAACTACAGAGAAGTGGAAAGAATTGGACAATAAACACCTGTATACTCTTTATTTGGATTCACTAATTGTTAATGTTTTGCCACAGTTTCTCTTTTTTCTTCTCATCTTTTCCCCCTTTTTCTTCCTCTGTTCTTCCTCTTCCTCTCTGTCTCCTACCAAGGCCACTGCTGCCTCCTTCTCTTTCTCCTCCTCTTCCTCCTCTTCTTTTTCTATTTCTTGTTCATGCTAAACCAATTAAAGCATATTGCTGCTGGCTGGGCGCAATCGCTCATGCCTGTAATCCTGGCACTATAGGAGGCTGAGGCAGAAGGATCATTTGAGCTTAGGAGTTCGAGGTGAGCATGGGCAACATAGTAAGATCCCTTTCTCAACAAAAATAAAAATAAGAAAATTAGCTGGGCATGGTGGTATGTGCCTGTAGTCCCAGCTACTCAGGCGGCTGAAGCAGGAGGATCATTGCTTGAGCCTGGGAGGTCAAGGCTACAGTGAGCTATGATCACACTGCTGCACTGCAGTCTGGGCAACAGAGCAAGACCCTGTCACACACACACACACACACACACACACACACACAAAGCCCAAAATAAAACAAAAAAGAGTATGTTACTGACATTATGCCACTTCACTCCTAACATTTTCAGGATATATTGCCTAAGAACAAGGACATTCTCCTACATAACCATAACTTAATTATTACAGTTCAGGATTTTAACATTAGTACAATATTATTACCAAATACTAAGTCCATATGGAAAATTTTCCAATTGTTCCAATAATGTTCTATACAGTTTTTAAAAATCCAGGATCCAGGCCAGGCGTGGTGGCTTATGCCTGTAATCCCAGCACTTTGGGAGGCCAAGGCCGGTGTATCACTTGAGATCAGGAGTTCGAGACCAACCTGGCCAACATGGTGAAACCCTGTCTTTACTAAAAATTAGCTGGGCATGGTGGTGCATGCCTATAATCCCAGCTACTGCAGAGGCTGAGACAGGAGAATCACTTGAACCCAGGAGGTGGAGGTTGCAGTGAGCAGAGATCACACCACTGCAACCTCTGTCTCCCAATTTCAAGTGATTTTCATACCTTGGCCTCCCAAGTAGCTAGGACTACAGGCGTGTGCCACCACACCCAGCTAATTTTTCTGTTTTTAGTAGAGATGGGGTTTCACCATGTTAGCCAGGCTGGTCTCGAACTCCTGACCTCAAGTGATCTGCCCACCTCGGCCTCCCACAGTGCTGGGATTACAGGCATGAGCCACCACACTCGGCCTTGTTTGGTTGGTTTTTAAAGATGGGGTCTCACTATGTTGCCCAGGCTGGAGTGTGATGGCTATTTACAGCTGTGATCATACAAAATATAGCATTTTGAAAATCAATATCATATGAAGCAAATTTTATTTTAAACCTGAGTCTGCAGAGAAGGCATTTTTTTTTATTTTTTATAAACTTTTATTTTGACGTAATTTTAGAGTTATAGAAAAGTTGTAAGAATACTAAAAAAGAATTATGGCATACCCTTCACCAAAATTTCCCAAATCTAATGAGAAATTTACCACATCTCTCTCTCTTTTTCTCTTTTTACACACACACACAAAGATAACTAGAAAATATCTATGTGCTCAGAAGTTTTTTATTTATTTATTTTTATTTTTTATTTTTATTTTTATTTATTTTTTAATTAGTATACTTTAAGTTTTAGGGTACATGTGCACATTGTGAAGGTTAGTTATATACGTATACATGTGCCATGCTGGTGTGCTGCACCCACTAACTCGTCATCTAGCATTAGGTATATCTCCCAATGCTATCCCTCCCCCCTCCTCCCACCCCACAACAGTCCCCAGAGTGTGATGTTCCCCTTCCTGTGTCCATGTGATCTCATTGTTCAATTCCCACCTATGAGTGAGAATATGCGGTGTTTGTTTTTTTGTTCTTGCGATAGTTTACTGAGAATGATGGTTTCCAATTTCATCCATGTCCCTACAAAGGACATGAACTCATCATTTTTTATGGCTGCATAGTATTCCATGGTGTATATGTGCCACATTTTCTTAATCCAGTCTATCATTGTTGGACATTTGGGTTGGTTCCAAGTCTTTGCTATTGTGAATAATGCTGCAATAAACATACGTGTGCATGTGTCTTTATAGCAGCATGATTTATAGTCCTTTGGGTATATACCCAGTAATGGGATGGCTGGGTCAAATGGTATTTCTAGTTCTAGATCCCTGAGGCATCGCCACACTGACTTCCACAATGGTTGAACTAGTTTACAGTCCCACCAACAGTGTAAAAGCATTCCTATTTCTCCACATCCTCTCCAGCACCTGTTGTTTCCTGACTTTTTAATGATTGCCATTCTAACTGGTGTGAGATGGTGTCTCATTGTGGTTTTGATTTGCATTTCTCTGATGGCCAGTGATGGTGAGCATCAGAAGTTTTAAAATAGACTTCCAAACAAGTCAAAGACTTTTTAAAAAGAAAGAAATCATAGATCCATGTGGTGACATCATGCTCTCCCAGGCCAGGCCTGAGGGGAAAAAAAAAGAAATCACAGATCATAATTAAATAAGAAATATTTTCAACTGAATGATAAAAAAATCTAAGTATAAAATCTTGTGGGATTTACCCACTAACAAAATTAAACAGATGTTACTCTCCTGCCTTATTTGCTGTACATGTTTATTTATATTTTAATGCTGTATTGGTAAGAAATAAAATGTTACATCTATATTCCTTCATCATCCCTTCCTTCTCTAAAGTAACTACTATCCTAAAACTGGTGTGTATCTTTCCCATGCCTGATTTGCATTTTTACTATAAATAAATGCACTCATCAACAAGAAATAATTTTGTAATATCAATATTTTAACTTATGGGAAATACCAGTGCTTACAGCAAGTTTTTAGCCTTAAATATTAGGATAAACCGTATAAAGTTGCCAATATTTGATCATTATTTACCTATACAAAAGAGACCGGGTACAGTGGCTTATGCCTGTAATCCCATCACTTTGGGAGGCTGAGGCGGGTGGATCACCTGAGGTCAGGATTTTGAGACCAGCCTGACCAACATGGTGAAACCCTGTCTCTACTAAAAATACAAAAATTAGCTGGGCGTGGTGGCGGGTGCCTGTAATCCCAGCTACTTGGGAGGCTGAGTCAGGAGAATTGCTTGAACCCAGGAGGCGGAGGTTGCAGTGAGCAGAGATCACACCACTGCACTCCAGCCTGGGCAACAGAGTGAGACTCCGTCTCAGAACAACAACAACAACAAAAAATCCAGGATCCAATTTAGGATCATAAAATACATTTAGTTGTCAGTGTTTGTTTAATTTTCCTTAATCTAGAGCAGTTCCCCTGTACTTTTTTTTCTTCAGGCTTTCATGACATTGTCTTTTTCAAAAGTCCAAGCTAGTTATTTTATATTTGTCTGATTGTTTTATTTTGATTAAATCCAAATTAAAAATACTTGGCAAAATACTACATAGGTAATGTTATGTCCTTTGTGCATCTTATCAGGAGACATAAGTTTGTCCCATTATTTACCTCCGTTCTTTTTTGTTCCTTTTTTTTTTTTTTGAGACAAGGTTGTCTCTGTTGCCCAGGCTGCAGTGCAGTGGCGTGATCACTCACTGCATCCTTGAACTCCTGGACTCAAGTGATCTTCTCATCCCAGCCTCCTGAGTAGTTGGGACTACAGGCATGCCACCACCATGCCCAGCTGATTTTTAAAATTTTTTGTAGAGACGGGATCTCATTATGTTGCCCAGGCTGGTCTTGAACTCCTGGCCTCAAAGGATCCTCCTGCCTCAGCCTCCCAAACTACTGGGATCACAGGCATGACCCAGTGTGCCCAGCCTCACCTCCATTCTTTTTTTTGTTTGTTTTCAGAAAAGCACAATTTTAATGCTGCTAGCAGTATTGACAAATATTTGAGCTCAGATTTGACACCACATGGATCTATGGCTATTTTAACAAGACATCATAGAACTTATCTGTTCATAATGTTGACAATGAGGCATTAAGAAAGGATATATGTTGATCAATATCTTTAAAGAGCATATTTTGCTAGTAGCTTCAATAATATTTACCATTTCTGAAATTCCTATTTTGTATAATGACATTTTTACAATCACCGTTTGATTGATTGATTGATTGATTGATTTTGAGATGGAGTCTCGCTCTGTCACTCAGGCTGGAGTGCGGTTGCGCAATCTCGGCTCATTGCAACCTCTATCTTACAGGCTCAAGCGATTCTCGTGCCTCAGCCTGCCAAGTAGCTGGGATTACAGGTGTGCCACCACGCCCAGCTAATTTTTTGTATTTTTAGTAGAGACAGGGTTTGGTCATGTTGCCCAGGCTGGTCTTGAACTCCTGAGCTCAGGCAATCTGCCCACCTTGGCTTTCCAAAGTG
Organism: Homo sapiens; assembly: GCF_000001405.40. Classification (NCBI taxonomy): domain Eukaryota; kingdom Metazoa; phylum Chordata; class Mammalia; order Primates; family Hominidae; genus Homo; species Homo sapiens. The sequence continues at coordinate 124,181,924 of NC_000023.11, forward strand.
CTAGAATTACAGGCGTGAGTCGGCGCACCTGACCTCATTTTTGTGTTTTTTAGTAGACACGTGGTTTCTTTCTTTTTTTTTTTTTGAGACAGAGTCTCGCTCTGTCGCCCAGGCTGGAGTGCAGTGGCGGGATCTCGGCTCACTGCAAGCTCCGCCTCCCGGGTTCACGCCATTCTCCTGCCTCAGCCTCCTGAGTAGCTGGGACTACAGGCGCCTGCCATGACGCCCGGCTAATTTTTTGTATTTTTAGTAGAGACGGGGTTTCACCATGTTAGCCAGGATGGTCTCGATCTCCTGACCTCGTGATCCGCCCGCCTCGGTCTCCCAAAGTGCTGGGATTACAGGCGTGAGCCACTGCACCCGGCCAAGAGGGGGTTTCACCATGTTGGCCAGGCTGATATTGAACTCCTGGCCTCAAGTGATCCACCCACCTCAGTCTCCCAAAGTTCTTTTTTTTCTTTTTATTTTTTCCCCCTTTTCCCCTCCCCCCTTCCTGGGCTTCACTGGGTTTTGAACAGTCTTGGGAGTTATTTTCTTTTCCCACAACATTTCACTTTCTCCTGGCTTCCACTGTTGCTGATAAGAAGTCAGTCTTATCGTTACTTGATGTTTTGCTGTCTTTTTCTCTGGTTGCTTTTAAGATTTTCTCTTTGTCTTTCTGTACTTTCACTGTTATGAATCAAGAAGTGGGTTTCTTTTCATTCATTTTGCTTTGGGTTTCTTTAATCTGTCAGTTGGTGTCTTTCGTAGGTTCTAAGAAATTCTGTCATTATGTTTCTGAATGTTGCCTTTTTCTCATCTTTCTTTCCTCTTTGTCTCTCTGGAACTCCGAGTGTAATCAATCCTCATTATTTGTGGATTGCATATGTGCAGATTCACCTACTTGCTAAAATCTATTTGTAACCCCCAAATTAATCTTATTTTCATGGTCATTCATGGACATGCTCAGAGTGGCAAAAAATTGGAGTCACCTGATGTACATGTTCCCAGCTGAAGTCAAACAAGGTGATGCTCTGCCTTCTTGCTTCAGCTCTCATACTGTACACACATGTCATTTTTGCTATCTGTTTAGTGCTTTGGTTTTGTTTTTTGGATTTTTGTGCTTTTTGTTGGTGATTACTCTGTTTAAAATGCCCCCCAAGCATCTTTCTAGGTACAAGAAGGCTGTGAAAATCCGTGTGTTCACATGTTCTCACTCATAGGTGGGAATTGAACAATGAGAACACATGGACACAGGAAGGGGAACATCACACACCGGGGACTGTTGCGGGGTGGGGGGAGGGGGAAGGGATAGCATTAGGAGATATACCTAATGCTAAATGACGAGTTAATGGGTGCAGCACACCAACATGGCACATGTATACATATGTAACAAACCTGCACGTTGTGCACATGTACCCTAAAACTTAAAGTATAATAATAATAATAATAATAATAATAATAATAATAAAAAGAAAATCCGTGTGTTAAATAAGCTTCATTCAAACATGAGTTAAAGTACTGTTGGCCATGGGTATGTTAAGTAAGCTGCCTTTAAACAAAAACACACATAAAACAAAGTTATATATTGATTAATTAATGAAATAATTGTGAACATATGCTCACAAGAACTTAACCTTTTATTTCTCCTAGGAACAATGGTTCAGTATTCACTAATCCACTATTCACAATGACTTTATAGAACGTAACTCTTGTCAACAACGAGAAGTGACTGTGTTAGAACATCTTCTGTCTTATTTCTTTCTCTTTTCTTCTTTTCTTTTCTTTTTTTTTTTTTGAGACGGAGTTTTGCTCTTGTTGCCCAGGCTAGAATTTCACTCTTGTTGAATGGCACAAACTTGGCTCACTGCAACCTCTGCCTCCCGGGTTCAAGTGATTCTCCTGCCTCAGCCTCCTGAGTAGCTAGAATTACAGACCTGCGCCACCATGCCTGGCTAATTTTGTATTTTTAGTAGAGACAGGGCTTCTCCATGTTGGCCAGGCTGGTTTCGAACTCCCAACCTCAGGTGATCCACCTGCCTCGGCCTCCCAAAGTGCTAGGATTACAGGCGTGAGCCACCGTGCCCAGCTTCTCTTTTTTTATTTTCTATTGTTTTGTCTCTCTGTGTAGCATAATAGATAATTTATTTTGATTTAATTTCCAGTTCATTATTTGCCCTTCAGTTGCACCGTATGACTACTGAAGTATTGAGTTTTAAACTTCAGTTATTTGTTTTGCTGTAAGTTTTATTTGGTTTCTTTTTAAGTCTTCAGTGTCACTTTTTAGGGTTTCCTATTCTCTGTAGATTTGATCTAGCTTATGTTTCATTTCATTTAAAATGGTAAGCATACCTCACAGTTATTTAATCAGATAATCTGTATTATCTGAAGTTAGCATTATCTGAATAGTCTTCACTATCTGAAGTTTTTGAGGGTCTGTTTTTGTTGCTGGTTGTAGCCACTGGTTATTGCTCTTGGGGTCTAGTTTTCTTGTGCACTTGGTCATCTTGTATTGAGACAGGATGTTGCTGTCTTGCCCAGGTTGGAATGCAGTGACATGATCATGGCTCACTGCAGCCTCAACCTCCTGGGCTCAAGTGATCCTCCCACCTCAGACTCTTAAGTAGCCAGGACTACAGATGCATGCCACCATGCCCATACTTGGTTATCTTTGACCATGTGTTCCTCACTGAATTTAAAAATTATTTGTAAGGAATAATTTGAGATCAAGAATAAAGGTATCTTTCTCCAAACATATGTGTTTGTTTCTCTCAGGTACTTGGGGTTACCAGCAATATGGCATTTCCTTAAACCTCGTTCAAGGCTGGAGGTTCTGTGATCAACCCAGAGAAACAGACTTGGATTTTAATCCCATGTGAGGACGGTCCCAGCTCTGGTTCAACCTTTTCCTGAGGGTGTAGGGTCCTAGTTTATTGAGGGGGGATCTACTATTTGTGGGGGCTCCAGGCTTTGACTTCTGTCCTGATGTCACTTGCTCTGTGAATTATTCAAAGTGAACGTTCAAAAATTTACGATTGTCAAGAACTCTCAGAGAAAAAGTTTCTTTTCCTCTTATTCACCTCACTGGTAAATATTTAACCTTCAATTGTGGCCTAGTAATTCCTTACCATTTTGTCAGAATTTTTATGCTGTTTTTTTTTTTTTTTGATGGAGTCTTGCTCTGTTAACAGCCCAGGCTGGAGTGTGGTGGCATAATCTTGGCTCACTGCAACTTCTGCCTCCAGGGTTCAAGCCATTCTCCTGCCTCAGCCACCCAGGTAGCTGAGATTACAGGTTCCTGCCACCATGCCTGGCTTTTTTTTTTTGTATTTTTAGTAGAGATGAAGTTTCACCTTTTTGGCCAGGTTGGTCTCGAACTCCTGACCTCAAGTGATCCAACCACCTCGGCCTCCCAAAGTGCCGGGATTACAGGCGTGAGCCACTGGGTCCGACTGAAAGCTAGCATCTAATTCAGCCCCTTCTGTCTCTTCTGCTTAAGGTGAAGGCAATTCCTACTTTTTCTTCCTGGCTTATTTATTTGCTTTTATTTTCTAGAGACAGGATCTCACTCTGTCATCTAGGCTGGAGTGCAGTTGCATGACCATGGCTCATTGCAGCCTCAAATTCCAGAGCTCAAGCAATCCTCCCACCTCAGCCTCCCAAGTAGCTGAGACTACAGGTGTGTGCCACCACTCCTAGTTAATTTTTAAAATTTTTTACAGAGATGAGGGGCTCACTTTGTTGCCCAGGCTAGTCTTGAACTCCTAGCTTCAAGCAATCCTCCCTCTTTGGCTCCCCTAAATTGCTGGGATTACAAGCATGAGCCACCATGACCTCTTCCTGGCTTAATTCCTCATCTTCTGTGTGTGATCACTCAGATGGGAGAAGACATATCTCCAGAAGAATAAGCAGTAGGTATAAGGCACAGGACACTTCCTCAGGGCAATAAGTTCTGCAGAAACATAAAGTAACTCTAGTTCAACTACACACAGCTATTTTTGCAACACTTTATATTACAAATCAAAACTCGGTTCATCAATCTAAAAACATCTTCATTCAGGTTGCTCCATAGTTTCCATCAAGAACAAAGTATAGGGTTGAAGAACATTCAAAAAACAAAACAAAACAAAAACAAAGGGCAGGTACTTTCTTTGCATGTATGGAACTGAAGAGTTCATTTATGGGTTATCTCCAACCCTCTCCCCTAAAAGGAGCAGCTGGAACTAAAGATGAATTCACATTTCTACTTCCCGATCTTGGTGCTTGTACTTTTTAAATAACAGCTTTCTCAACTTTTATCCATCAATATTTTCCCCAAAATTCTCAGACCTCATAATTCATCCTAGACATCTTGTTAACTTTCCATCAAAACAGCAGATTCCAACTGCCTCTTTCCTCCATCTTTCCCCTTCCCCACCTTGGATAGTTTAGATGGAACAAGAGTTAATGGCCTACAGTGCTGCCTTTCATAAAAGCTGCTTGCTACTAAGTAGGTCTTGCCAACATATTTGCTTATAAAAACAGGCACCTCTGTGGCAATATTTTATTCCTATGATGCTTTTTCCATTCTATCAGGACATGCCAGAAATGTGACCATTTTGGTTGATGGTCTTTAGTACAGTGGACTCAACTGTTCAGCTTCAGCATACTTTGATCTGGGTTTTGACTTGCTAAGAACCTTAAACTGAGATATTTTAACACATCAGTGAGACACTGAATCTCTTATGAAGAAGGCAGAGAGTAGTGCTTGAAGAAACTGTCTATTGGTTATTAAATGTGAAAATTAGTGCTTATAGTCCAGCAAGTTTTTAAAAATTATCTGACAGAAATGCAAGATATCTCAAGAAAGTGTCTTAAAGCATTACCTTTTAGAACAATTTGCTTTCCACCAGGATATGTGTATATTGAATGTGAATGGGAAATGGAGTGAAAGTGTCTGTGTATAATATAAAGTGCACCAGAAAGAGGAATGGATGGAGGGTGAGAGATGGCTGTTCCTCAGGCAGAGGAAAAGAAGGAATAATTTATTTAAACCTGGCCATCTGCCTCCTCCTGTCCCTACAAGTTTGTAGGGACAATTAGTTGAGGATATACTAGGTTACGGTGTAGTAGTAACTCCAAATCTTAGTCGCTTAACGCAAGAAATATTTATTTGTCTCTCATATCCAGTGTAGGTCTGAGGGACTTTCTAGCATGACTGTATCTCTATGTGTCAACTAAGCTAGTCAGCCTGATGGAGGCTTTACCATCCGGTAATTGTACCATTTTAAACACATGGTTGTTTTAAACTTGCTTGATGTAACTTGGGAAGAAAGAGTTTGAGGCTCAGCTACATGCTACCCTCTAACTGGGCACCTTTCTTCTCAATGCAACTAGACTCATCTCTCTAAAATGCAAACTGGTTCACGCCACTCCCTTGCTTACAACTCCCACTGCCATTACAGTAAAGTCCAAATTCTGATTCCATGGTTTGTAAGATTCTCCAATACCTGTTTTTGGATTATTTCTCTAGCTTCACTCCCCGTTAGTCCCCTATTGCCCTCTTGCACTCTACGATCCTGCTATGCATTCTTTTTCTGGTTCTTGAATTGCGTGGTTTACCTGCATGCTTTTGCATACTGTCTTTCTCCACCTCATTCATCTGGCAAACTCCTATTCGTCCTGAGGGCTTACATGTCACTAGAATCTCTCCCTTTGCCTCCTCCACCATGCTGGGGGTCCCTCCTCTGTGCCTCTATGGCCATCAGTATTTTTTGTGTCATAGCACTACCCTTGTGATATCATAATTAACAGTTTATTATCTCCCTCACTGCAATGTGAGCTCCATATGAGCAGGGACTATGTCTGTCTTGTCCAATGCCCAGAACATGGCTTAGCAAAATATTTGTGAACAAAAAACTAAGTAAAAGAATGATTGAATGTCAGAAATTCTGTATTCTTCTGGTGTCAGGATTCTCCTGGTGCCTTGGCTTCCAGTCAATTTGCCTGCCTTTCCTGAGAAGGAACTTGGCACCTATCACCTCCTTTGACGATAGTGCATGCAGCACTATTTTCCATCAACACTTAGGGCAAAGCAACAAATTAAGGGGTTGGAGGAAGGGGCAGTTGTTCCTAGTGGGCTAGTGGTATTGCCTGCATACTTGAGGCCCCGCCCCGCCCCGCCCCGCCCCGCCCCGCCTCGCCTCGCCTCACCTCTCTTTTTTTTTCCTCTTGTCACCCAGGCTGGAGTGCAGTGGCACAATCTCAGCTCACTGCAACCTCCGCTTCCCGGGTTCAAGCGATTCTCCTGCCTCAGCCTCCCAAGTAGCTGGGATTATAGGTGCCCACCACCACGCCAGGCTCATTTTTGTATTTTTAGTAGAGATGGGGTTTCACCATGTTGGCCAGGCTGGTCTCAAACTCCTGACCTCAGATGATCTGCCCGCCTCTGCCTCCCAAAGTGCTGGGATTACAGGCGTGAGCCACCATGCCCGGCCTATTTTTTTCGTATTTGCAATTACAATTTTAAAAATATCAGATCTTTCCCTCTCAAGTGGGCAGTAAATTCCCTGAGTTCTGGTGCCATGTTTTCTACCACTTTTGAAGATCTCCAAGCTCATTGGCCCAGTGCTTAACACTTGGTAAGCAGCAGCCCCAGGGACCAATGGACAGTTCGCGGGCAGGGAGATTGAATGCATTGTTTAGCTCACCTTGTCAGAGGTGGCAAAATTTGGCTATGCATTGGTTGCTCATGATTTTGAGGCATACTGGGGAAGATAACAGGACTAGAAGTGTGCTCTAGCCGTTGGTTTAAGCGGTTTACCCTTGGGTGAAGGCCTTGCCATATGCTATTATTGGATTATTGCTGTGGGAAAAAATTTGCTTCCCAGATCTTTGTTGTTCATTTTAACATGTGAACATGCAAATTGAGTTTTGTTGGAAAACCCCACCAGCCACTGCTGAAAGAAAAACTGGGGCTTTACATCTCACAGAAGAGACCACTCTTGTCTTGTTCTGGAGGCTGAATTTCTTATTCTGCAGAATTAATGTCACAGTTCTGATTATACAGTGCATTTCAGTCTTCTTTTTCTTGGGTTTGACTAACCATGGGCCCTTTACAGCTTGGCCTAGAGAAACCGTGGATTAATGTATATGTTTTGCCTAGACACACAGATAGGCAAGGTACAGTAAAAACTCAAAGTCGTATGTATTAAGAGTTAACCTAAGGTTCAACACAAAGTTTGCAGAATTCTTTGGTAAATTATCTGTAAATAAATATTTAGATGTGTTAAGAAATTCAAAGTTTTAAAAAGATCCTAAGCTGAATCCTTTTATAAATTAAATAATTCATGCACTGTGAGTAAGTAACCCATACTTGATCTGATTTAATAATTTGTATTTTCATACTGGATTTTTCTAAGATCAAGGACGATAATACTGAGAAATCACCTATCCATATGATTTTTTTTGTAAGTTTCATTCACCCACTCTCCAATATATACAGTTGTAAATCAATGTTGTAGACATTAGTGCTATTCATCAAGTTTTTCTTGTTCTCCTTGAGCTCATGGTAGGATTTCACTTTCTGGTCTCTTTGGGATTGGGTTGGGCCATGTGAGTTGTGAGTGGTAATAATATATCACTTCTAGGCCAGAGAATTTCATTACCAATGTGAGACCTTCTGGAACCTTTTCTTCCCATTAGGCTGGGTCTATGAGTGATCATGATGAGCAGAGACCTGTGCCAACTCACGATGGACATGAAGCATAAATGAGAAATTTTTATTATTTTTATTATTTTTTTTTTTGAGACGAGTCTCGCTCTGTCGCCCGGGCTGGAGTGCAGTGGCGCGATCTCGGCTCACTGCAAGCTCCGCCTCCCGGGTTCACGCCATTCTCCTGCCTCAGCCTCCCGAGTAGCTGGGACTACAGGAGCCTGCCACCATGCCTGGCTAATTTTTTTGTGTTTTTAGTAGAGACGGGGTTTCACTGTGTTAGCCAGGATGGTCTCGATCTCCTGACCTCGTGATCCGCCCGTCTCGGCCTCCCAAAGTGCTGGGATTACAGGCGTGAGCCACCGCGCCCGGCCGAAATTTTTATTATCTTAAGCCACTGAGATTTGAAGGTTGTTACCCTGGCAGATCCTAGCTTATCCTGAATGATACACACCGGTACAGCATGAGCCATCCTTTTCTGTCTCACAGCATGTGTTCCTTGTTTCTATACTGAAGTGGTTTGGATGTTTTGTCCCTCCAAATCTCGTGGTGAAATATGACCTCCAATGTTGGTGGTGGGGCCTAGTGGGAAGTTTTTGAGTCACGGGAGTAGATCTCTCATGAATAGCTTGGTGCCCTCCCTTTGGTAATGAGTGCATTCTTCCTCTGTTAGTTCATGAGAGAGTTGGTTGTTTAAGGGAGCCTGGTACCTCTCTCCTTTCTTTCTCTCTCCATGTGACACACATGCTCCCCCTTTGCCTTCTGCCATCATAGTAAGTTTCCTGAAGCCTCACCAGAAGCAGAGCAGATGTTGGTGCCATGCTTCTTGTACAGCCTACAAAACCGTGAGCCAAATAAACTCCTTTTCTTTATGAATTACCCAGACTCAGGCATTTCTTTGTGGCAATGAAAAACGGACTGACACACATATGGAAGAGGAGTCAGGGGTGTTAAAGTCTCTTATGCTAGAAAATGCATCTGTCAGTCTACAGATTTCCAAGGCTATTTGATGGCTCTAGTTAATAATTTACTTGGGAAGGACTAGTGACCCTCAGTTCTATAACATCTGGAGTCCTGGAAGGTAATCAGAAAGCTGATAACATTCTCTTCCAGAAACCTTCCAATCCTTTCTCTTTCAGATCAAAGGCACACTAAACTACATGCAGATTTTGGAAAACAAAAATTCAGGGACTGTCAGAGTCATGATTCCCATGGTGACTATTTTGCTAACAGACTCTATACCACCTGCTGTGGCCACCTGACCTTAGGTAGGCTAATTAGAATCCTTCCCCAGAATTTTATATACTAATATAGGACACAAACTATAAAGATATAGGCTCAAATCTGTTGAAAGCCCTCTTCCCTGCCCCACATACAAAATCTGATGGTAGGTCAGGTGCGGTGGCTCATGTCTGTAATCCCAACACTTTGGGAGGCGGAGGCAGGCCGACTGCTTGAGCCCAGGAATTATAGACCAGCCTGGGAAACATGGTGAAACCCCATCTTTACAAAATATACAAAAAATTAGCCTGGTGTGGTGGTGCATGCCTGTAGTCCCAGCTACTCTGGAGGCTGATGTGGGAGGATTGCTTGAGCCCGGGAGGTAGAGGCTGCACTGCAGTGAGCCAAGATTGCACCATTGCACTCCAGCCTGAGTGACAGAGTGAGACTCTGTCTCAAAACAAACAAACAAACATACAAAAAACCACACACACACACACACACGCACACACACACACAAAGGCAGGAAAAGAAAGAAAGAAAACGTGATGGCAGAGGAGGTGGGAAAGTAAATATTCTGAGAGCAGCAATGAGAAATGGAGATGTAGAGACAGTGAGTGAGAGTGAGCTAGTTGTATTCCTGTCCTTTCATCCAGTCATCACTGAGGCCAGTGGCATCCTTGCCATTTATACATTTTTGGTTCTTGAGTCCATAAATGTACTCCCCAATCCCACTGCTTATTTGGCTTAAGATAGTTCTGGTCGGACTTCTGCCACTTACAATGAAATGAGTCCTGATTAATAAAGTGGTATAAGCAACTCTTTTTCTTATCGTTATTCTTATCTCAGTGTTTCTCAGCTCTTTTATATCATGACACAAATGGAAAATGATATTTTTACAGCACCTGGGGGTAAACTGGAGGGGATTTGTGGGTGTCTATGTGGGACTCACTGACAACATCCATTCCTTTTTTGCATCATATACAGACATTCTCCAATTGAGTGCCCATGTGACCATTCTGTTTTTCACTTTCGGTACGGTATTTAATAAATTATATGAGATATTCAACACTTTATTATAAAATAGCCTTTGTGTTAGATGATTTTGCCCAATGGTAGGCTAATATAACTGTTCTGGGCATGTTAAAAGTAAGCTGGTCTAAGCTATGATGTTTGGTAGGTTAGGTGTATTAAATGCATTTTTGACTTATTTTTAACTGATGGTGGGTTTATGGGGATTTAAGTATCTGTAAGTTACCCCATAGTAAGTATCTGTAATTATGATAATTAAAATAAATATATTTTATTTATTTATTTATTTGATATGGAGTTTTGCCCTCGTTACCTAGGCTGGAGTGCAATGGCGTGATCTCGGCTCACGGCAACCTCTGCCTCCTGGGTTCAAGCAATTCTCCTGCCTCAGCCTCCCAAGCAGCTGGGATTGCAGGCGCCCGCCACCAGGCCCAGCTAATTTTTGTAGTTTTAGTAGAGATGGGGTTTCACCATGTAGGCCAGGCTGGTCTCGAACTCCTGACCTCAAGTGATCCACCTGTCTTGGCCTCCCAAAGTGCTGCGATTACAGGTGTAAGCCACAGCACCCAGCCCAAGATATTTTAAAAGATATTCAATATTTGTGTTAAATTTATAAATGAAATATTTTTAAAAATGTTTAATGAAAAAAACCTGAGCTTGCTTCTGTCAGTATAACTTTTTCTATCAAGTATGTGCTTGAAATGATTTCACACAGTTCCCTATCAAGGTTTTAATTATGACTATTTGTTTTTATTTCTTAAAATTTAATTTAATTTAAAATTTTTGTATAGACAGGGTCTCCCTATATTGCCCAGACTGGTCTTGAACTCCTGGTCTCAAGTGATCCTTCTGCCTCAGCCTCCCAAAGTGCTGGGATTACAGGCATGAGCCACCGTGCCCAGCCCACTGATGACTTTTTGAATTTTTTATTGTCACTATTGACAAGAAACTTTGTTCCCACAAGTAGGTGATAAAAACAACTTAAAAAAAATTTTCCAAAACTTAACAACAGTTGAATTTTTTAGACAACTCGTGGCTAGAGTAAAAAAATAAAAAACAATTTAATTTTTTGTAAATTGTATTTTTTTTTAGAGACAAGGTCTTGCTCTATTGTCCTTTTTCTCAGGCTGCATTTGAACTCCTGGGCTCCAGTGATCCTCTTGCCTCAGCCTCCGCAAGTAGCTGAGACTACAGTCACGAGCCACCAGTCCTGGCAATAGTTGAAATATATTTTAAAAGTCTAACAGTTCTTCCTTTTCTTTCACTGATAAGCACTATGATGAAATACCTTGTGATGACACAAATGGATTCCAAATCCAATCCATTTTTTTTTTGAGACAGTGTCTGGCTCTGTTGCCCAGGCTGTAGTGCAGTGGTACAATCTCAGCTCACTCCACCTGCAACCTCCACCTCCCAGGCTCAAGCCGTCCTCTCATCTAAGCCTTCCAAGTAGCTGGGAATACAGGTGCACACAACCACACCCGGCTAATTTTTTATATGTTTTGTACAGATGGGGTTTTGCCATGTTGCCCAGGCTGGTCTTGAATTCATGAGCTCAAGTGATCCGCCTGTCTCGGCCTCCCAAAGTGCTGGGGTTACAGGCATGAGCCACCGTGCCCAGACCCAATCCAAATTTTTTAATGTCAAGCACAGTATTTCAAAATAATGATGATGCTGTAATTTTCAGAACACATGGGCAGTCATCATGTGGCTAGCTTGGATGCCTCTAAGACAGCATATCAACAGCAGACAGACATATGTGAAGATATGAATTTGGGGCCGGTACACGGAGCTGGGCCTACTGGCATTTTCTCTCCTCATTCCCTCCCCTAGTCTCAAATAGATGACGTGGTGGTTGATCACTTCCTTGGGTATACTCAGCATGAAACAGTGAAGCAGTGAGGGACAGAAGTTCCTTTAGTGCTGGCTGGCTGTGGAGACGGGAGGGCAAAATTCTAGATTCTGTTCTACAGAGCCTGCCCTCTGCAAAAAAGCCCAGCTAAGTTGCTAGCAGCTGGTGGTGACTGGCATGAAGGCTCTGGCTCCCTCAAGCTCTGCCTGACTGCCCCAAACCCTGAGGGAATCAATAATTCTTGCCCTACTTATAATCCCTTGACAGTACCCCAGTGTCTCAAGGTCCTTCAATTGGGAAGCTCTGCTTTATTAAATCTTTCACTAGAACTACACAATGGGATGGGAGAAAGACTTGCCATTTTAGGCCTTCACAAGAGGGGCATCCCACATGCAGTCACTCTCCCTCAACCTCTCTCTCTAAAGTCCCTCTGGCTTTCCCACCGTCTTCCTCGGGAAGCTATAGCCTAGTCTTCTCCTCAAGAGAAAGAGTTCTAGTGTGTTCTGGTTTCTTTGTCTAGAGGTAGAGGGAGGCTTGCTGCTACCTAGGCTTGGGGGCTCTGGGGCTGAGGCCTGTGGGTGTCGTGGCCTGCCATTCCTCCTGTGGTTACCCCAACACCTCTAAAAGCTTCTGCTGTGCCAACGCAAGCTTCACTCACTAAAACATCACAAATGGGGCTGGACTGCTGGACTCCTAGCAACACTGTGTTGTAGCAACCGTGACAACAGCTGAAGGAAACAGTTCCTACGTGAACAGATTAGGCTTCCAGATTTTTCTCCTTAAGGCAACAGAAGCCAGTAGTGACCCCCTGAAATGAGTATGCACCCCTGCGATTCACAGAACTCTTGTGAGAGGGTGCACTCTAGAGAGGGAAGAAGCATATTCTAATGATAGCTAAGCGAAGGGCTAGGGATAATTTAATTAGACAAATAACCGAAATTTGTTTTACTTTAAGCTAGGTAAGTGGTATATATATTTTTACACTTCAAATTTGTTATTTCCTGAAATGCAATTGCCTTCAATTATTATTGGCTTCTAGCACAAGCGGCCTTAACATAAATGTAATGACGTATTAAACTAGTGAAACAAAGTGGGCTGTTCTCGCTGATAATCTTGCCTGTTGTAGACTTCAAATCTCATTCCAAACCTCACTTTCCTGAGGAAGTGCTCTGCTAATTCCTGCTCTGGCAGCTTATTTAATCCTGGGTGCCCTTGGAAAAGTGAACAAAACTTCCGAGTTTTTCTCATATTTGTTCGTCTGTTCAAATTTGTAGTAAGTCACTCAGCTTACTGAAGTGCTCCTCCTTCTATGCCTCTGGTTTGCCTGAGGAACACGAAGACAACAGCCAAGTACAAAGGAATGTCGGAACCAGGGTCAGGCCCTGGGAGTTGCCTTCTTTTCTTCTCCCCGGAATTAAAAATATCATTTAGGTCATGAAACTGCTACCTGGGTTAACAGCCAAGTCCCTGTCTACCCGCAGCTGTGCTGGCATTTCAGCTGACCAATCTCGCTATTCATTTCTTGTTAACTCTTACTTTTCCTCCCCTATGCTCCCCTAATCACTTTAAGCTTTTCCCGCCATAGCACTTAGCACCCTGGTTATATCTTTTTTTTTATTTCTAATATCTTTCACGCTACACTAAAAGTTCCAGGAGCACAGGGTCACTGACTAGCTTATTTTTCACTATGTCCCTAACATCTAGCCCAGGGTCTGCCGGGCATAGAGCCAGCAGTCAGTAAATATTTGTTGCACACATAAACAAAACTCTATTAGGCTTGGGGACTTGAGCAATTATTTTCTTTTCTCTAAGCCTCAGTTTCCCTATCTGTAAGATGAGGGCTCTGTAGATATTCTTCAAGGTCCTTTATAGTACTGACATTTTATGGTTTACTTTCCTCAAATGTCAATCCCATTCTCAGTGGATTCAAAACATTCCTCACTGATGACTTCATCTTCCACTTCGATGATATCAAAATTGCCCAAAGTGAGATCTTGCAATATATCCTGTCCATTTCTAAATTATTTTGCATAGCCACCTCTTCTGTCTTCTATTACCTCTTGTTTCAAAGAAGAAAGATTTCTCCATTCATAATTCCTGCCCTTCCCCTCTGTTTTCCTCTGGGATCTTACCTTCATCCATTCATTCAACAATTATTTGTTGAGCACCTACCATGTGCCAGATGCTATACTAGGTACCCAGAATAGAACTATAGGCAAATCAAATCCCTTTTATTCAAGAGTTTATACTCTTCCTCTATAATATCTCTGCAGATGCTCTCAAATCTTTATCTTCAGCTTGGATACTTTTCCAAAGCTTCAAACTGTAATATTCCGAGTTTCTTTTGGTCATCTCCACATGGATGTTCCATCAATCCCTCATATCATTTGTAGCATATCCCAAATTAAACTCTTCTCACCAAACTGTTTTTTTCTTCTTATCGAGAGTCTTACTTTGGTTAATGATTCTATCATGGTCTGAGCCACTGATATTTGAGAACCTAGAGTTATAACTGCTTTCCTTAGTTTCACTGTCTGTACAAGGCTGAAATGGCTTTCCAAAAGATATTCACATCTTAATCTCTGGAACCTGTGAATGTTACATTATATAGCAAAAGGAACTTTGCAGATGTGATTAAGACTCTTGAGATGGAAAGATTATTCTGGATAGGCCTGTGGACAAGTGTCCCTTATAAGGACAAGCATCTTTATAAGGGAGAGGTAAGGACATTTGACACGGAAGAGGAGAAGACAATGTGACTATGGAAGCAGAGACTGGAGTGATGTGGCCAAAGAATGCTGGTAGCTACTAAAGCTCAAAGAGGCAAGGAATAGATTCTCCCCTGGAAGCTCCAGAACTAGCCCTGCTGACATCTTGATTTTAGCCCCATAAGACTCATTTTGGACTTCTGGCCTCTAGAGCAGTAAGATAATAAATTTCTATTTTTAGAGATAGAAATTTAAAAATCTTTCTATTGTTTAAACCCACTAAGTTTATGATAATTTATTATAGCAGTCATAGGAAGTTAATACATGATCCTCCCTCAAATCAGTTGCCAAGTCCTTTAAATCTACTTCCACAATGTCTTCCAGATCCATTCTCCCCTCACTGTCTCTACCATTACTGCCCTAGTTCAAGCACTCATCACCTTTATCTGGTGTTACTAAAGTAGCTTTCTAAAAACAAAGTATGGTTCCTAGCTGGTATAAGACCCTCCATAGTTCTTATACCATAAACTTCTGCTTGAACACTTCCAGAGATGAGGAGCTTCCTGCCTATGATGCCATCAATATGATTATTAGACAACTCAAGTAGTTTGAAAGGTGTCCCAGTAATTTCTTTCTATTAGGCCTAGTTCTACCCATCCTGTGGGCTTCTCCCTACCAGATCCTGAGGACCTACTGCTAACTTTTCAGGTTCCAGCCTCTATTTCTGTCTTCCCTGTGGAGTTAACTTGGGTAGGTTGAACTACATTTCCTGGAATTGTCTTCCTTGTGTGTTTCCTCTTAATGTGGGCCACAAGAGGGATTCTTGTGTGAGATTTGAAAGGCGGAAGTGAAACAACAGCCATTTTGCTATCCAGAGTAGGTGTTTAGTAATTGACCCATTATCATGGTTTCTGCACTAATCGCCATTCTCATGAGTCTACTGGATGTAGTCAGATTAGCATTGGGTACAATAGTGAATAAAGACTGGTGCAGTAGAGAGGCCTGATCACTTCTTTGGCTTGGATGGTATGCTTATCTGAATGTGGTCTAGTGAATTCAGATCACATTTAGGAACATGGCAGCAATAGCTTCATGATGACTGCTGGGCTCACTTCTACCCAGAGTCTCATTAACCCCACAAAGGAGTCTAGATGTTTGTTTAACGGGGTTTTCTTGAAGCTGTTTCAGGGCGGGTGCAGTAGCAGCAAACCACTTGGGCCTGTGAAGAACATCATAGCCCACACCAGCATATCTGGATGGATATGCTGCCCAGCAATGCCAATTATAGAGAAATAAAAAAAAATGAGCAAAAAAAAAAAGATAATAAAAACCCATGTAACTTGTGGACAAGGCTTATTGACAGGTGCAAAAAATAAATAATCTTTTGCCACTCAGAACTCATTGTTCAGTATGAGTTTTGATACACATAAGAAGGAATATTATTAAAAGCAAATAAAAAAATCATAATTCCACTGTCCTGAGGCAACAACTGTTAACATTTTGGGTACAACATTGTTTATGTTCTAAGTTTGAATCTGACTCTGCCAATGCTTTTTGACTTGGGCAAGTGTTAATTTTTCCAGCCTCAATTTTCCCATCTGAAAACAGAGATAATAATGCCAACCTAGCAGGGCTGTTGTGAAGATCTGACAAGATACTTTATGTAAAGCACGTAACCCATAGTTGCTCTTAAAATTTTAGCCATTATTATTTTACAAGGTGTATTAGTCTGTTCTCATGCTGCTGATAAAGACATATCCGAGACTGTGTAATTTATAAAGAAAAAGAGGTTTAATGGACTCACAGTTCCACGTGCCTGGGGGGAGGCCTCACAATCATGGCAGAAGGTGAAAGGCGCATCTTACATGGCAGCAGGCAAGAGAGAATGAGAACCACGCAAAAGGGGTTTCCTCTTATAAAACAATCAGATCTCTTGAGACTTATTTACTACCACAAGAACAGTATGGGGGAAACCACCCCCATGATTCAATTGTCTCCCACCAGGTCCCTCCCACAATATGTGGGAATTATGGGAGCTACAATTCAAGATGAGATTTGGGTGGGGACACAGCCAAACCATATCACCAGGTTATTCCAATTCCAAATAACAGTCCTAACTGTTAGGACTGTTATTGATCTTTCTTCTGATCTTTCTTGTGATGTTTTTCTTCCTTAAAAAAAGTGAAAATGTAGATAGAATAAGATTGGCCACAAGTTGATAATTGTTGAGAACGAGGATTCATTATACTATTCTCTCTCTGTCTCTCTCTCTCTTTCTGTGTGTGTGTGTGTGTGTGTGTGTGAATTTTCTACAATAAAATGTTTCTAAAAAAAAACACACACACAAAAAACAAAGAAATAAAGAAGACTTACATGCAGGTTTTGCCCCAATCTCTCGTTATAAACTTGTTTTCTTCAGTTTAGGACCCTGCAAGTTGGGCTTGCAAATATAAACTGGGGCCTTTTACTAAGGATATTTTGAGATGCAACTATATGGCATGAGCCACTACTTTTGGGTTACACCATTTGTGGATAATGAGATGAATGGGTCACTTTCCCCTAAAAGGGCACAAAAATCTATGGGACGTGGTAGGGGCAGTATAGAGGTTTGTGCAGAGAAGCTAATGTGGCAGTGACCTGACAATACTGTTGAGTAGTTCTTGCTTTTTAGGCCCTCTGGTACTGCCTAGTTGATCTTCTTCTGCCTCCCTTCCATCCTGCGGGCTTCTCCCTACCAGATCCTGAGGACCTACCACTAACTTTTCAGGAATTTTGTGAGCTAGATGATGTTACACTGGGAGCTTGCAGTTGGCCGTGGTGGGAGTATTTATATGATGGAAATCAGCAAACATTAGAAATCAGATTTTTTGTTGTTGTGAAGAGCTGTTTGCTAAACATCTACCAGTGCACCACTAGTCATACCATTCCAGTAAGTTCCATTTTTCCTCATATGAGCTAGAGTTGGATTCTGCTACCCTTCTCCTAGCTTCTCCAAGTAAAACAATTAGTAATGAGTATACTGCAGAGAGAGAGAGCAGTTTGTTGCTGCTGTTACTGCTGCTAAGTGCTAAACGTGGCATGCGGCTCTTTTTAAGTCAACGACTCCACAGATACTGATAAAGTGCTTAATTTCCTTTTCTAATTGTCAAATAGCTTTTTGGGGAATTCTAAGTGACACATACCAGCACTGGAGGTCTCAGAGAAGACAAAAGCTACCACAGCTTCTTCATGCATGCCTCCAACTCCATACATTCCATGGTTTCATAACAAGATTTTCACCTTCTCTTCTTCACTTTTCACTGAGATAGAGGACTGGATAAGCTGCAACTGACCTCCTGCAGATGTTTCAGATTTAGTGGTTCATTGATTCCCATTGTCAAGTTTTCCCTCTGGTTTTAGAATCCTGTTTTCTTTTGGCATTAAGGAAACCTGGGTTGTACACTCTGTCACTAACTCACTACATCAACTTGGGCAGGTCTCATCTCTTAAAGCTGTGATTCACAAATTCACTCTGGGCTCTGGCATTGTCTAACTATGCCTATTGTTGTTGCTGTTGTTGCTAGGGTGATGGGACTACCATTGATTCCCTATCCCAATTGTCTTTAATGTTGTTTAAAACCCTTTCTTGGTCCAGTGTTGTGGCTCACACCTGTAATCCCAGCAATTTGGGAAGCCAAGGCAGGA
The DNA here is from genome assembly GCF_000001405.40 of Homo sapiens. Lineage (NCBI taxonomy): Eukaryota > Metazoa > Chordata > Mammalia > Primates > Hominidae > Homo > Homo sapiens. Next base: position 124,200,093 of record NC_000023.11, read on the forward strand.
GGATCACTTGAGGCCAAGAGTTTGAGACCAACCTGGGCAATATAGGGAGGCACCGTCTCTACAAAAAATAAAAAATTAGCCAGGTGTGGTGGTATGCCTGCAGTCCCAACAGATTGGGAGACTGAGGAGGGAGGATCGCTTGAGCCCAGGAGGTCAAGGTTACGGTGAGCTATGACTGCACTACTGCACTCCAGTCTGGCCAAGAGAGGGAGGCCCTATTTAGAAAACAAGCGAACAAACAAAACACCTTTTTCTTAAATAAGTTTTTTAATTAGATGATTTTTTTGAGAAACATTCCTATTTCGAAGTTTTAATAACACAGAGTAAAATGTGAGATTCTGTCATTCCTTCCCCATTCCCATTTCCCTTTTTAGAGGTTGCTATGGTTATTAATTTGTGTATTTCTTTCAGGTCTTTTAAAATACATTTACATATATACATAAATACATATACTTGAATATAGTACGCACGCATGGGTAAATGGGATCTTACTACATATCTTGACTTCTGACTTGTTTTCATGGGCTAAATCTGAGGAGACTGAGCCAGAAGACTACTGGAGAAGGTGGTTCATCCCCAATTCCCCCACTTCCCTGTATGTGGCTACCTGCAGTGTTTTTGTCTGATTTTGCCCTTCCCTCCAAGCCCCAAACTCCCTCAATCCCCAACACTATAAGATAAGAACATTAGCCCTCCACATCTGAGATTTGAGTGGAGGAAGAAGCCAATTGTGAATTATGTAAGGTTGGAATGTTACTACAGGATGTATATTGCAGGGATTTATGGTGCCATAATTTACTTAACACCTCCCTATTGAGCACCTGTTTGTCTGATTTTTCATTATTACAATCTTGCAAAGAACATCCTTGTAAATACATATTATGCATGCATGTGTTCATAAGTTAAATTCCCTGAAGTGAAAAAGTCAAAAGGAATGAACCGTGAAAAGTTTGAGAGACTCTGCCAACTGCACACTCAAAGATCTCATTTTATCTACCACCAGTAGCATATGAGTGCCTATTTCCTCACACATTGTTGATATTAGATATTCTCAATCTTTTCAATTTTTGTTTATCTGATGCACCAAGAATAATTTCATTTTAATCAGCATCTCCACCAGTAACTAGTAGGTTGAACAGCTATTTATGACAATTGGTCATCTTTTTTCATCTTAAGAATTGCCTAGTACAAGCTTGTCCAATCCATGGCCTGCAGGCCACATGCAGCTCAGAACATCTTTGAATGTGGCCCAACACAAATTCATAAACTTTCTTAAAACATTGTGATTTTTTTTGTGATTTTTTTTTTTTTTTTTAGCTCATCAGCTATCATTAGTGTTAATGTATTTTATGTGTGGCCCAAGACAATTCTTTTTCTTCCAATATGGCTCAGGGAAGCCAAAAGATTGGACTAGTACATCAGTAAAATGTCAGAATAAGGAGGTTGGGCACGGTGGCTCATACCTGTAATCCCGGCAGTTTGGGGGGCTGAGTCAGGCGGATCATTTGAGGTCAGGAGTTCAAGACTAGCCTGACCAACATGGTTAATCCCTGTCTCTACGAAAAAAAAATTAGCTGGGCATGGTGGTGCACTCCTGTAATCCCAGCTACTGGGGAGGCTGAGGCATGAGAAATACTTGAACCCAGGAGGTGGAGGTTGCAGTGAGCTGAAATTGTTCCACTGAACTCCAGCTTGGGTGACAGAGTGAGACTCTGTCTCAAAAGATAAAAAAAAAGTCAGAATAAGGAACTTCAAAAGTTAATTGCTTCATAAAAGCAATAAATAAACTGGCAAAAACTGTCAGAATCAACTTTTTCAGAACTCTGGAAACTAATAAAAATCTTACAGTAACCAGGGGAATTCTTAATCAGGAAAACATATTTGGATCTCAGTAAGAGCACTTTGTGGCATTTAAACTTAAACTATCTCCCAAACCCAGGCTTGGCAGTGGCTTTGAAGACAATAGCCTTCACTCCTGGAACAAGTACCCAGCATTGGAGGGAGTAGAACAGAGCTTATTCTCAAAGAATTCTGGTGTAATGTTTTGACCTGACTGGTGACTCCCTTGAGGATAGACTCGAAGGACTTGCTTTTATTTTATCTAACTTGAAAATCTCCCAGAGTTGAGATGGCTACTCTGGGAGTGTTTGCCAAAAATATTTAAAGGCAAATGTTTTAGGTGCTCCCACATGGGGAGGGATAACACTTGAGGCAAACAATAGAAAACCGAAAAGCTTGGGAGGAGAGGCTGGAAAGTGAGATGCTTTAGGGAATAAGGGCTTTGAAAACTCCTACATATTCTTGGGAATCTGAATGGCCATATGTATGTCCAGGGCTGTGCACATGCTCAGGAAAGAACTGAGAAGGCCATAAGCTGTCACCTCTGATTCACCTCCAGGCTCTGTGCAAGAAGGTAGTATAGGCTCAGGCAGAGTTTTAAACTGCCTGACTGAGTGTTGAAGATGTACCCCAATATAAACAGAACTTCTCAGTAAAGACTGAAATATTGTGTGTGTGTGCTTTTTTGGTTCCAGGCATGTTAAGAATTATTTGTTGAATCACTGGCTGACCACTAAGTGTATGGAAGAAGGAATCCAGTGGCCACACATGACAAAGAATACAGAATTTACAAAATTAGTTTATAAAAGTCATTAAACAAACAACAACAAACCATGAGGAGGGGGATTTGATTTTTAGAGTTGCCACATTATAATATTCAAAATGTCCACTTTTTTTTTTGTTTTTTAAAAGAGGCATGCAATGAAACAAGAAAGTGTGCCTGTACGCAGGAAAAAAGAAATTAATAGAAATTGTTCACACGGAGGCCCCTACATTAGATTTACTCAAAAAGCCTTTTAATTAACTATTTTAAATATGCTTAGAGATCTAAGGATACCGTGAGTGAAGAACCAGAAGAGATCAGGAGAATGATGTCTCACCAAACGGAGAATATCCAATGAAAATTATAAAAAGAAATCTAATAGAAACTCTGCAGTTGAAAAGTACAATAACTGAAACAAAAAAATTCATAAGAGGGGTTCAGCCACAGACTTGAGCAGGCAGAACGATGAAACAGCAAACTTCAAGATTTGTCCATTGGGATAATCCAGTCCAAGGACCAGAAAGAAAAACAAAAGTGAAGAAAAATGAACAGAACTAAGGGGCTTGTGGGATACCATCAAGAATACCAGCATAAGCATAATGTGAACTCCAGAAGAGAATAAGAGAAAGGCAAAGAAAGAATGTTTAAAGACGTAATGGCCAAAACTTTGAAAATTTGATGAAAGACATTACTTTTTGCCTCTATAGAGCTCAATGAACTCCAAGAAGGATAAACTCAAGGACATCCACACCAACACATATCATAATCAAATTGTACAAAGCCAAAGACAGAATATTGAAAGCAGCAAAGAGAAACAACTCATTATGCACAAAAGATCCTCAATAAAGATTAACAGCTAATCTCTCATCTGAAACAATGGAGGTCAGAAGACTGTGGGATGATGTATTTAAAGTGTAGAAAGAAAATAAAACCCTGCCAATCAATTCTATATTCAGCAAAACAACCTTTCAAAAAGGGAGAAACTGAGACATTCCCAGTTAAACAAAAACTGAAGGAGTTCACTGTTGTTAGAACTTCCCTACAAGAAATGCCAAAGGGCATCCTTCAGGCTGAAATGTAATTACCATATATAGTAACTCTGTAACTGCATGAAAAAAAAACAACACCGTTAAATATAACTACATGGGCAAAAATAAAAGTCAGTATTAATGTGTCTTTTGTTTATAACTCTTCTTTTTTCCCATATGATTTAAAAGACAATTGATTAAAGTATAAATTATAATCTATGTTGGTGAGTACATATTGTATAAAGATGTAATTTGCGACAACAGCTTCAGGGTGGGCTGGAGCTATATAAGAGCAAGGATTTTTTTTAAGTTACATTTTTTATTTTATTGTGGTAAGAACACAACATGATCTACCTGTTTGACACATTTTTAAATGTACAATACATTATTGTTGACTATGGGTACAATGTTGTACAGCAGATCTCTAGAGCTTATTATTCATCTTGCTTCGCTGAAATTTTATGCCTGTTGATTAGTAACTCCCTAGTTCTGCCTTCCCCCAGCCCCTGGCAACCACCGTTTCACTCTGTTTTTGGTGCCAATTTTAAATACAGTTGTATTCAAGACATTGCATTTTGCACTTACAATACAGTGCTTATAAAGTTCAATGCTGTTTCCTTCCTCTGTGCACATGTTCCATATTCAAGTATTGAGAATATCCAGTAATTTACTATAGCAGCTGAACTTTAAAACTGCCATAGAATTTGCTGCAAATTTGGGTCCTTCAAAGTTTTAACTGCGTGGAACAATGTTATATCTATACATGGGTTAGGTTAATCAACCTCTTCAATAGAGGGCACTGAGGAAGCAACACTAGAGGGAGGAGTTCTGTCACCAAGGAAGCTCCCAGGCATTCCTTCAAACGCCTCCTGCACTCTGGTACAGCTTGGTAACGACGGGGTTGCAGACTTCCTCCAGCTCTTTCTGCTGATGTTCAAATTCTTCCTTCTCTGTAGTACCATTCTTATTGAGCCAGTTGCTAATTTCATTACACTTGTCAAGAGTCTTCTGTTTATCCTCATCATTGTCCTTCTTATGGTTGTGCTTGAACTCAGTAATAAAATGGTTGACCATTTGCTTGTTGAAGTCTTCTCCACCTAAGTGGAGAAGCTGTATATTTGACCTCAAAGATTCCATCCTCAATAGTGAGGATTGACAGATCAGAAGTGCCACCTCTTAGGTCAAAGATGAGCACATTTCTTTCTGCTTCAACCTTTTTGTCTAAGCCATAAGCAATAGCAGCCTAAGCCATAAGCAATAGCAGCAATAGTTGGCTCATTGATAATTCTTTTTTTTTTTTTAGATGGAGTCTTGCTCTGTTGCCCAGGCTGGCATGCAGTGGTGGGATCTTGGCTTGCTGCAACCTTTGCCTCCTGGGTTCAAGTGATTCTGGTGCCTGAGCCTCCCGAGTAGCTGGGATTACAGGCACACACCACCAAGCCTGGCTAATTTTTGTATTTTTAGTAGAGACGTGGTTTCGCTATGTTGGCCAGGCTGGTCTCGCACTCCTGACTTTAGGTGATCCACCCGCCTCAGCCTCCCAGAGGGCTGGGATTACAAGGGTGAGCCACCACACCTGGCCTTGATAATTCTAAGTACATTGAGACTAGCAATGGTTCCAACATCCTCGGTAGTCAGATGTTGAGAATCATTAATGTAAGTTGGCATTGTGACCACAGCATTGGTAACAGTCTTCTCAGGGTAGGCTTCTGCAATTTCTTTAATCATTGTCAGACCATAAATGACACCTCCTCTGGATGGAAACTTTTTGTCTCTTACTTGTATTCTACTTGGACTTTGGGACTATCTGCATCATTCACCAGCAAGAACGACCAATGCTTCATATCAGACTGGACAACAGCATCATCATATCTGCATCCAATCAGATGTTTGGCATCAAAAATCATGTTGATGGGGTTCATTGCAACTTGGTTCTTTGTGGGATCACCAATTAGTCATTTGGTATCAGTAAAGGCAACAGAGCTTGGGATGGTTTGATTTCCCTGATCATTGGCAAGTATCTCCAATATTCTGTGCTAAACGACATCCACACAAGAGTAGGTGGTGCCAAGATCAATACCAACTTGATCCCTTAGATCCCTTAGACATAGCAACAGGTCCCTTAGACATAGTTACTTGCATGTAGGTTTGGCTTGGCTTGCAAAGAATACACACGAATCTCGAAGGCTGCCACTATGTTCAATGAGCCATTTCACTTGTTGATTCTGTGAATTTGACAATTTTACATACATCATAAAAATTGAATCATGCTTTATTTGTTATTTGTCCTTTTGTGACTGGCTTATTTTATGCAGTATAATGTCCTCAAGGTCTAATCATGTTGTCACATATTGTAGAATTTCTTTTTTAAAGGCTGAATAGTATTCCAGTGTATATATATACTACATTTTCTTTATCTATTTATCTGTTGATGGTCATTTAGGTTGTTTCTACATCTTGGCTATTATGAATAGTGCTGCAATGAACACAGGAGTGCTAATATCTCTTTGAGATTCTGATTTCAATTCTTTTAGATAAATACCCATAAGCGGGATTGCTGGATCATATGGTAGTTCTATTTTTAGTTTTATGAGGAACCTTCATTCTGTTTTCCATAGCATCTGCATCATTTTGCATTCCCACCAACAGTGTATAAAGGTGCTTTTAATTACTCCTAATCCACACCAATGCTTGTTGTCTTTTTTGTTTGTTTGTTTAGGAGACGGTCTTTCTCTGTCACCCAGGCTGGAGTGCAGTGGCATGATCATAGCTAACTCCAGCTTTGAAATCCTGGGCTCAAGCAATCCTCCTGCCTCAGCCTCTTGAGTAGCTAGGGCTACAGGTGGGTGCCACCACACCGGGCTATTACATTTTTTTTTTTTTTTTTGTAGAGACAGGGTCTTACTATGTTGCCCGGGCTGGTCTTGAACTCCTGGTCTCCAGTGATCCTCCTGCTTCAGCCTCCCAAAGTACTGGGATTACAGGCACGAAGCCACCACACCTAGTCGGCAATGGTTTCTTAAGTATGAAACCAAAAGCACAAGGAAAAAAAGGGGAAAAAAGATAAATTGGACTTCATCAAAATTTAAAACTTTATGCTTTCATGGACACATCAAGAAAGTGAAAAGACAACCCATAGAATCACAGAAAATATTTGGAAATCTGATAACAGTCTAGAATCCCAAATACATATAAAATTACAACTCAACAACAAAAAACAACCCAATCAAAATGAACAAAGAAATAGACATTTTTTTCCGTGGAGTATATAAAAGTGAACAATAAGCATATGAACAGATGCTTAACATCATTAGCCAATAGAAGAATATGAATAAAAACCATAATGAGATACTACTTCTCTAGCATGGCTGTAATTTTTTAAAAAGTGAAAATAAATTTTGGAAAGGATTTGGAGAAATGAGAACCCTCACACATTGTTGACGGGAATGTAAAATGGTGCAGCTGTTGTTGAAAAGTTTATTAGTTCCTCAATAAATTAAACATAGAATGACCATATAGCAATTCAACTCCTAGATACATACTTGAGAAAACTGGTAATATATATTCACACAAAAACTTGTACGCAAATAGCAGCATTATTCATAGCATCCAAAAAGTGGAAGCAACCCAAATTTCAATTATTCAACTCTAAAAATGAATGAAATACAGATACATGATACAATGTGGATGAACCCTAAAAAATTATGGTAAGTGAAAGTAGCCAGAAACAAAAGGTCACATATTGTATGATTCCATTTACATGAAATGTGCAGAATAGGTAAATCCATAGATTTATGGAGAGCGTAGATTTATTTGGAATGTAGATTAATGGTTACCAGGAGCTGGGGGTGGGAAGGAATGGGAGTGACTTTTTAATGTGTATAAGTTACTTTTGGGGTGATTAAATGTTCTGGAATTAGATAGTGGTGGTGGTTGCATAATATTGTGAATGTATATATTTCTATTATGTGGTTGGTGTTTTATTAATTTGTAGAAACTATATGTGGTGGATATAAAATTCTTTTTTAATATGCTGCAAATATTTTCTTTCAGTCTTTTGTCTATCTACTAAATTTCCTTGTGTTATCTTTTTCTGTACAGAAGTTGAAAATTTTTACATACATGTGTTAATTTTTACATACATACACATACATGTGTAAATTTTTACATACATGTGCAAATTTTTACATACATGTGTTAATGTTTTTTCTTATGGCTTTTGAATTTGAATCTTAAGAAGATATCTCCCACTCCAACATTATAAAAATATTTTCAGTGTTTTCCTCTAATGCTTCTGAGCTCTTATTTTTTAATTAAAAAAATTTTTGTTTTTGAAGCAGGGTCTCACTGTGTCTCCCATTCTGGGAGTAGAGTGGCATGATCTCGGCTTGTTGCAACCTCTGCTTCCCAGGCCCAAGCAATCCTCCTACCTCAGCCTCCCGAGTAGCTGGGACCACAATTGTGCGCCACCACGCCTGGCTAATTTTTCATAGAGACGGTGTTTCACTAGTTGCCCAGGCTGGTCTCGAACTCCTGAGCTCAAGTGATCTGACTGCGCTGGCCTCCCAAAGTGGTGGGATTACAGGCATGAGCCACTGTGCCTGGTCTGAGCTTTTATTTTTAAATGAAGGTTTTAAAAGCATCTATAATTTTTTGTGCTTTGGGCATGAAGTGAGAGTTTAACTATTTTTTTCCAAGTAGTGCTGTACAATTTATTGAACAATTCATGCTTTCCCTACCAATTTGAACTATTACCAGTATCATATTTTGATAATAACATTGAAAACGTAGCAGTCTTTGGCAGTCAGGTCTTTCAGAGATTCCTGTGTAATGATTGATGGTTATTATAGCCTATTCTATTTTAATTATAAATGTACTAAAATAATGCAACTTATCTCTAAGCAGTTATTTTAAGTATTTTTCTCTGGAAGGCATTTTTGTGAAATTATTCGGTTGTCTCATCAATTTTGATGGTGGATATATTCATCTGCTCAGGCTGCCATAACAAACTACCATAGAGCGGGAGGCTTGCCCAACAGAAATTTATTTTCTCACAGTTGTGGAGACTGGAAAACCACCGTCAAGTTCCAGCAGGGTGGGTGTCTGATGAGTGTTCTCCCCTTGGGTTGCAGACAGCTGCCTTCCCTCTGTGTGCTCACGTGGCCTCCTTGGTGTGCTTGTGTGGAAAGAGGAAGGAAGAGGGGGAGGGTAAAGGAGGGAGAAGAGGAGGGGAGAACGAGCACTCTCTGGTGTCTCTTCTTATGAGGACACTAATCCTATCAGATTGGATCAACTCTAAGATAATACTTTAATATATTACTTAGTAATTTTTATAACTTTCTAAGTATTTTCTTTTAAGTACCTTCTTACTTAATACTTAGAAAAATTCCTGGCTGGGCATGGTGGCTCACGCCTATAATCCCAGTACTTTGGGAGGCTGAGATTGGCGGGGGATCACCTTTGGTCAGGAGTTGGAGACCAGCCTGGCCAACATGGTAAAACCCTGTCTCTACTAAAAATACAAAAATTAGCCAGGCATGGTGGTGGGCACCTGTAATCCCAGCTACTTGGGAAGCTGAGGCAGGAGAATCGCTTAAACCCGGGAGGCGGAGGTTGGAATAAGCCAAGATCGAGACACTGCGCTCTAGCCTGGGCAACAGAGCAAGGCTCCATCTCAAAAAAAAAAAAAAAAAAAGAAAAAGGAAAAAAAAGAGAAAAATTCCTTCCTTCCTTCCTCCTTCCCTCCCTCCCTCCCTCCCTCCCTCCCTCCCTCCCTTCCTTCCTTCCTTCCTTCCTTCCTTCCTTCCTTCCTGTTCTGTATCCATTCTACCTTCTTTTGGCAGAAGCATGCCCATTTCCTTTGGGAAGATTCTTTTTTTGACCCTGGATAAATTCTGGTAGGAATATTGATCAAGATACCCTGCCCTCTCCTAGTGTAGGAGTAGTGATGTGGACCCAAGCTAGGTCAATTAGAAGCTTCCTCTTGAATTTGATCTATGAATGGAGTAATAAAAAGACCGCATAAAGTGTTAAGCAGTTCTTGCTCTACATCTTCTGGAGCTCCCTGGTTTCTGCTTTGGTTTCTGAGGAGTTGGTTTTTCCAGTCTCTTCTTAAACCTGTTCGCTGCCCTGTAGCCTTCAAATAAATTCCCTCTTTTCCTAAGTTAGCCAGAGTTGGGTTTTGTCACAACCAAAAAACTCCAACTCATATAAGGGTGGTTCATTAAATCATTTGGCAAATATTTATTAAGTACTTACTATTTGCCAAGGGCTGTACTAGTCACCGGGGAGGGCTTTCCAAGTGTTTAATGCGCTGATCTCTTTTGTCAATAAGAAAGAAAACTGGGAGTTAACTCTCTGCCTTCATTATAAGTGCCAAGAAAAAAAAGAGACTCTAGGAGACTCCCAGTGCTCCACAGGAGAATAATTAACTATCATTAAATAAAGTTTAATAGAAACAATAAAAACACTAACGTTAACATTATGATGATTTTGTCTAGTTGAATTAATTCAGAGCTTTAATAATTTCCAACTTTGTAACAAGTTTCTTTAGAGGTCATAGTTATTGTTATACTCCTGAGTAAATTTGGGTAAATCCTTGTTGCTCACCACTCAGGCACACATTACATAGTGTTGCCTATGTGAGAAGCAGCTCTATCAAAAACCAATGCCAATTATTTGAGGCATTTGCATTTGGGACTTATTAATAGCCATGGGTGAAAAAGATATTCACTTGGTACTTACGGCCTTTAAAAGATGAAGCAGTAGTTTGAAGGAACCAGTGGTTTGGGAGAATTAAATACTGATTCCTATTGTACCCCGTTGACATACACAGTTTAAGCTCTGATCTTGTCTTAAATTATTGGAATTGTGGAAACTGCTCCATTAATAACAATTTTAGTAACTTTGGGGGCTTAGTAATTGGTTTCAACATGACCTTTCTCTTGAAACATTTAGACTCTCCTTTCAGATTCCAGACATAGAACTAGTGTAGATTCTTTGGCATAATTGATTTGGAGTTCAAATGTAAAAGCACTCTTTTCTCTTACAGAAGCATCTGAATTCATATCTCATGTATCTCCTGATCAGCAGCCAAATGTCTCTTTGAACTGAACTTTGGTTTCAATTGCCTGTGAAAGAACACGATTCTTCTCATCTTCCTCCAAGCATTCTTCTTACTGCAATTTTATTTGCCCTTGAAAGAGCCTGTCTTTGCAATTGGCCCTTGCACGGGTGTCCCTTTAAAATTGGGTTTCCAGATCCATAAAAATTCTAATTTAAAATACTATTGGTTATGACTTCCTATTCTTGGTAAAAGAAAACAAATACTCTTGGTGATTTGAAACTAAGATATTTTCATCTTTGGGACAAATTTTGTAGCATTTAAATTTATTCATTGTGTGGAGAAAAAAGTTATTTTGAAAAATTGATGAAATTTTTGAATATTCTCTTTAATCTGTGATATTTTAGAAAAATTCAAAAAGTGTAAGTTTCTTAACTCATACAAATCCATAAAATGATGGGCCACAAAGCTCAATGCAAGGAAAAAAATAATCAATGTGCCCTACAGCATCCCCAAAGTAAATTGTGCTAATATGATGTATTTTAAGCCAGACCATCTTGAAAATAACCTTCAAATTTGGTGAAAATATGTCCACTTGTTTTTACAGCTAGAGAACAGACAAAACTAGAGAACAGGTGTTAATTACATACAGGTAAGACATAAGTGATCTGTGCAGTCATTGATGACCCTGGCCCTTTCTTCCGTGACTTCTGCTACTCATTAGTATCTCCACCAGAGGGCAGACAGTAAAAGAGAAAGGAAAGGAGAGGAAAGGACATGAGGCTCTTGCAACCCAGCAAAGAACTTGAAACTCTTTAAGCCCATCTCTGAATTCATTCTGAGGTCCTGATGGATCTAGTTTATTTGAATGACAGTATTAGCTCTGATAGGGAACTGGGTCCCAATCATGACTCAGCCACTTCAGGTAGTCAAGAACTATTTACTGAGTGTCTGGTATATGTGAGGCACTGTTCTGGACACGGGATACAGTACAGACAAAAATGTTAGTTTGTGGAACTCGCAGTCTAGTGTTGTATTATAATCCCCATGAGCCTCAGTTTCTTTATCTGTACCATGGGGACAATAACACTGGAGTTTCTGTGAGCATTTAAATGAGATACTTAAGCACCTAACAAAGTTTATTATATTTTAATTTATACCTTGTACAGTTTTATATAGCGCCTATACAATTTTTAAATTTTATACTTTACAGTCCATACACAGTTTTATATTATTTATTATAATTTATAGTCTGTACATAGTCTATGTAGTGTCTATAAAGTTTTGAATTCTATTTGACATCATTCCATAAACACTTTTCTATGAGTGATTCTACTTAGTATTTTAATGGTTATACAACATTTCATCGTGTTGATTTGTCATAACACTTCAACACTGCTCTATTCTATTAGATACTTGGTCATAGAAAGTTCTCAGTAATTATTTGTTGAAAAAAATGCATGAACATCACATACTTATATTACTTGCATCTTTTCAACATTATAAATAACACTTTATTTTCTGAATAATGTTTCTGGTAACTACTCTAAAAGTAGGATTATTGTATCAAAATGCATGACACAAGGCATGAATAGTTTCATGATCCTCAATATATATTACCATCATGCTGCTGTAAAGACTGGTACTAATTTAAAACTAATAACTACATTGGGGTTTAATTTGTATTATTTAATTATTAATATTGTTGAATTTCTTTTGTATAGTTACTTACTATTTGAATATCCATGTAGTCAAACTTATCTGTTTGTGGACCAGGACAATCTCGAGAGAAGACAGGGCAGGCCTTCTATGTAAGATGTTAGCTACAAGAGCACAAATAACCACCTGAGCCATAAGGGCATCAGGAGCAGAAAATGAGGTGACAGAAGGAAGAGCCATGCAGAAAATAAAAGGGAAGGGCATAAGAGACAGATGTTACAGTTTTGCCAAACTTACAGATGATAGATAAAGACTATTACCACAAAGGAGAACCTTTTTGTTACATCATATCGAGGGTGGGGCTGTTTTGTGCAATGAGCACCTGCAATGTTGCAAGTGAAGTTGGTGAACCCTGGTATCTTGGTTGGAGTTGAGAGTGCTGATGTAGCACTAGGCATGGAAACGTTGATGAATTAGTATGAATTGGGGCCTGGTTTGCAATGTGATTTGCATATCTGTGGTTTGGGGTTATGCATGCCGTATATTTACCCCTTTGCCCTGAAGAATAAAATTGGTTGAGTAGTTGAAATTAAGCAATGAGTCTTTGATCTGAAATGGTTTGGTAAAATAAGCAATTGTGTGGTTTTAAAAAATACTGCATATTGAAATATTTTCAAACCTACAGAGAAGTTACAAATGCAGTGCAAATAACTTCCATATCTGTTTCACCTAGATTCTTGTTAACATTTTACTGCATTTGCTCCCTCTTTCTCATATATATATAAACATTATTACATATATAAATAATATATAAACATTATTATATTAATGTGTATATATATATACACATTAGTCTTTTTCTGAACCACTTGAGAGTAAGCTGAAGACATGATGTTCTATGATCCTTAAATATTCCAGTGTGTCTTTCCCCTAGCAAGTCCACTCTCCTAACCTACCAGCATACAGCTCTCCAGGTCAGGAAATCCACAGTGGTACAACACTACCACTCAATCTGCAGACCCAATTAAAACTTTGCCAACTGTCCCAACAATGTCTCCTTTTCCTTTCTGGTCCATGATTCCATCCAGGAACACTTAGTTACCAGCAATTAGTTGTCATCAGTGTCCATCTAGTATTTAGTTGTCGTATCTCTTCAGGCTCCTTCAATCGGAGAGAGTTCCATAGATTTTTCCTGTCTTTCATGTCCTCAACAGTTTTAGCAACTACTGATTTTACATTTTGTAGGATGAGCCACGTTTCCTTATGACTAGACTCAGGCCACATTTTCTTGGCAGGAATACCCTAGAAATGATGCTGTGTTCTTCTTGGTGCATTGCATCAGAGAGCACACAATGCCAACCTATCCTGTCACTGGTAGTGTTAACTCTAATCACGGGGTATATTGGTGTCTGCAGGTTTCTCTAGCATAACAATGTCCCTTTTTTTTCTCTTTGTAATTGATCAGTATTTTGTGGGGAGATATTCCCAGATTATGCCAACATCCTGTTTCTCATCGATCTTCTACCCACCACCCTTAACTGCCTGAATCAACCAGGCAGTTAATTCAGTTATGTTATGGTGGCCAAATATTGATTCTCATTCCCATCAATCTTTCTACACTTATTAGTTGGCATTCTACTGTATGGAACAGAAGGGCTTCTCCTCTGTTCCAGTTATCTATTGCTGTACATCAAGCTAGACCCAAATTTACTGGCTTAAAACAACAAGAATTTAGCTCATGAATCTGCAATCTAGGCAAGGTGATATTTTAGCTGGGGCAGTCAGCTGGGGTTAGAGGATCCAGTTCCAAGGTGGTTCATCACTCACATGACTGACTAGTTGTTGCTGTCTTTTGACTGGGACCTCAGCTGAGGCTGCCAGCCAGAACCCTCACATGAGGCCTTGCTATGTAGCTGCTTGATTTCATCCCAGCATTGGGGTTGAGATTTAACAGCAAGTATCCCAAGAGAGCAAGGTGGAAGTGCATGGCCTTTTTCTAATACAACCTCAGAAGTCACACAGCTTTCATTTCCATTGTATTCTGTTGGTTGAGGCAGTCATAAATATCCATCTAGGGTCAATGGATGGGGACATAGCTCTTACCACTTGATGGGAAGATTGTTAACATCACATTGTAAGAACAGCCTATAGGATAGAATATATTGTGGTGGGTATCTTTGTAGATATAGTCTGCCCTATCCTTTATTTATTTATTATTTATGTATGTATGTATGTCAATATGGACTCATGGAGTCCTATTTTGTATAATTGGTTGCGATCCATTACTATCAACGTTTATTTTGATGCTCAAATTTTCCCAGATTTGACCACTGGGAGCCCCTTTCAAGGTGGTCTCGGTGTCCTTTTGACTTGTTCCCATTATTCTTTGAGCACTTTTTCTTTAGTGGAGGGTGGTATATGAAAACTATTATCTGAGCTCTTGGTGGGCTCATTGCTGCTGGGCTATTATTGCTTGCAGGTGCTCTTAGCAGACAGGGCTGGAAAATATATGTATGTATATATTAATACATACATGTGCATATATACACATATGTACATCTATAACTATTTTTATATCTCTCTGAGTATATATATTTAAAACATGAATTTATACCCAAACCTCCAATTTCAACCCAGAATGTTAACATTCGGTCTGGTCTTCCTCCTTTCTGTTTTTAGTATCTTCTCCAACAGTGAGAAGCCTGCCACTTATCTTCAATATAATCTTCACTTATTTGCTCAATTAATGTAAACAGTCTCTAAACCACATGAGTCTACTCTCCCACCTACCACTTCAACACCCCACCACCAGTGATCTACATTCTCAAACAGGATCAGGCACATTACCAACGAACTTCCAGGTGGCATTCTGTATCGCTTCAGCATCCCATGTCTTTGGTCACCAATAGGCACTCCTCCAGCACATCTCTGCACAGCTCCCCTCCTCTCTGAAACTGGTCAAAATGTGGTACAGGGTCTTCACTTTTTGAAAATCCACACTAGCTCCTTTTTCATCTTTAAAAAATGCAAATTCGATCATGTTGTTCCCCTGCTTAAAACCCCTGAATGACTTTCTGGTCCTTAGGCTAAATCCAAAAACTATAATATGGCCTACAAAACCCTACATCATTTGACATCCTGCCTGCTTCTTCAGTATCATCTGAATTATTTCTCTGGGTTCAGTCAGTTTCCCAGAGTGGAATCTTCCAATCTTCCGCTTGGCATGTGTAACCTGGCTGTCAGTATTTTGGGAACTGAGTCAAGGATGGGGACTGGAGGTCTCAATGTTCAGAAGGCAGACTCCAACTTAATCCCAGTTTTCAACATAGCTTCTCAGTGGGCCCTCAGCTGTGCTTGGTTTAAATGTTTTCTCCCCTGCTGGGATGGAGGGAGGGATTTGGGGGCTGTTTCTTATCATCATGTTCAATCTATCATCCTGTTTTCAACTCCATACCAAAACTCCCACTTTCAGAGATAACTGGTACCCTCAAAACCTGAGCTTTTTGAGGTTTGGAGTATAAACCGCATCCTTGGGTTTTGGCTTTTTCTAATCTGCTAAACCACTCATTTAGCCATTCTCTAGTTTCCATATTTGCACATGTACACGCATGCACGCGTGTGTGCTTCTTGCTTATTATAGCCTCTCCCCCTTTTTCCTTTGTACTCACTGCATTTGGCCTTTTAATCCCCTGTTCTTTTTTTGTGGGATCTCAGGAAGGAGCTCAGATAAGTGCATGTGTTCAATTTGCCCAATTTAATTGGAAGTGAAGTTGTTTTAAATAACAAACACCTGTTTCATTTTAAAGCCAATCCCATGAACAAAAACTGGATTTCCTGGAATCATGAAATATTATAACAAAAAATGTTCATCCAGTCCATTGTTTCTTGTCTTTTTGCTACCAAGTATCTCTTTTATTATATTATATCTACCCCTCACTCCAACCCCACAATTGAAAAGATTCAGACTTCCAAACCTTAGTTTGGGAAACTTTGCTCAAGTCAATGCCCTCGTTTTACAGATGAAAAGACTGAGGCCAAGAGATAGAAGTGATTTGTTGAAGTCTAACCACTAATAAGGGGCCAAGTTAGGATGGGCACCCAAGTCTCCTACTTCCTCTTCTGCTGCTTTTCTATCTAGGATGTGAGATTTCTGACTGCCCCCAAACTGATGGGAGGGTGAGGGAAAACTTTCCTTCTGACTGTGGTTTTTCTTAGCAACATCATTACTGGCATTGAAACATTACTTCTTCTGGTGGCTAAGAGGAAAATGCTCTCCGCCACCTTGAAGGCCACAGGTGGCCAGACATTCTGGGAATCACTGGAGCTTTCTCAGGGCCACAGGGGAACCGTTTGTTTGAAATGTAATAAAGGTTCCTTTACACCAAACGTGGAGAAAAAGCTGCACTGGGAACACAACAGAATCAGCGTGAGAGGTCTTTTCTAGCCACTTAACCAGCCAATCAGCAAGGGGGCGCCTGCTGGGAACTCTTTCCTCTCCTGGAAGTTACCAGGGATACACGGGCTTGGCCCTGAAGGGGCTTCTGATCAAATTGCAGAGACCAGACAGCTTATCGAACAGCTTATAACCTCTCTAAAGGCAGGACCTTTCTTATTCTTATTTCTTGTGGGCCTCAGTGCCCCAGGCCTCCTGCTGGACACATGTTAGTTACCTATAGCTTAATTAAAGCTTCTTTGGTGCATTATTTCCTCTCCCCAAAGTGGAAATAATGAGCGAGTGCTGAGCTGATGTGACCACGTAGCCCCATTCCCCAAGGTAAAGTGACTACATACATTTTGTCTTGGAAACTCACTGCCTTCTGCAGAGTCCTTTTTCACTGGTAAAGGTTAAGTTTTGTTATTCTCCTGGATCTTTTGAAAACAATGCCTATAAATGAGGAAGCTAGCAATAAAACCCCTACTGTTTGTATAGGCTTTGTAGCTTACTGTGATCTAATTTAATCTCCTATCTTGTCTTTTTCCTCAGTGCTTTGTACACAAATGTTATTGATTCCCTCCAGAGGCAGCCATGTGTGGTAGAATAAACAGCATGAGTCTGGAGTTTTAGCACCCACCTCTTCAACGATCTGAGTGCTGTTAGGCAAGCTGCTTCCCCTCCCTAAGCCTCAATTTACCCGCATACAGAATGAGGAAAGGGTTTGGACTCCACAGAATCTGAGGCCTCTCTAGTTTCTCATTGGAGTGCAAGTGCCATTGTGTGGTTTCTGCTGTGGGCGTGGTTGTTCCAAACCAAAGGGCAGGGACAGGATGCAGTCTGCTGATCAGGGACAGAGGAAGAGAGACACAGCAGCTTTGCACATTTGTGGGTCCTTATTCCCTCTCCTTACATTTCCCAGACTGTTTAAGTTCATGATCTCAGGGCAGCGCCTGTCCGCCCCCTACCACACACATCATACTATTCAGAGTTTCTTTCCCAGGGTCTACTTTAAAGCCAGTAGATTTTCAGGGGTCTCAGATCTTCTTATTGCTTGCCCTCTTGACATCTGAGGCCTGAAAAGAATTTGGGTTGCCTGCCTAGGCAGGCTTCCGGAGGCCTCAGCCTTCTGTCTTCCGGGGCTGGGGGTAGGAGGGTGCCAGAGCACAGGCAGTCATTGTTTGGGTATTGACTCAAAGGAGAAGGAGCCACAATGCACAGGAAAAAGGATGAGCTCATGACAGCTAAATGAAAAGATTCTTATCTTGGAAACAGCGGTTTCTTATGCAGAACAAGGGGCGGCAATGTGATTGTGCCCAAGGAGTACATTCAACAACAGGGATTTCAAATGAAGAAGTTATTTTGCATACTTACGGGAGGAGCAATGGGCCAGATTGTTCATTAATTAAAGGGGGGGGGTGCTGAACCCCCTACACACACACACACACACACACACACACACACACACACACACTGCAGAACTTAAATAATTCATTCGCTTTCTCCTCTTTCTCCTCAGTCCCAGATGATCAGCTGAGAGACAAATGTTTTTTCAACTCTAGCCACCTCTGGAGAAAGGATGGGGGAGAGGATGGGGGAGGACGGGAGAAGGGATGTGGTGGGGAGGGGAGGGGTGTCACAGATAACTAGAATGGCAGTGATCTCTCAACCATTTCTATTTGGTGTTCAAATGTATTGTACGGAGCTGGTGATTTTTTGTTTCCTTTTTTTGCACCCAGGAGATTTACCTTTCTAGTTCTGTTTGATTTCACATGAAAGAAGTCTGAGCAAATCCCCACTGAAGACGAGTAGAGGAAAGGAGAGAAATGCAGAGGGTGCAGGTCAGGGAGGCCAGGAATATGTTCTTTGACCACAGTCCCTCTCTTTCCCCAACTCTGACACGTGGTCCCCTGAGGGGAAGGACTAGATCTGTGGCTGTCCTGGAAATTCCGGAATGTAGGTCACCCACTAAATGGGTAATGCCAGAAGTGGAGAGTAGAGTTGTATGTGGTTGCAGGTGGGAGGCATCAACACCGCCCACATATCTTTCCTATCAGCCAGACTGCTCTCCTTCTACCCCAGATCATCTTTTGATTTAGGAATAAGAATGGTTATCATCTATCAAGTACTTTCACATTCATTACCTCTTTTATTATCCCCTCTCACATGTGTTATACATGTGTGCCAGATACTTTCACATATATTAGCTTATTTGAGTTGCTCAGGGACCCTGGGAGATAGCTCGGTATTACTGCTCCTGTCTTAGAAATGAGGATACCGAGGCTCAGAGACACTAAGTAGGTTACCCAAGGTCACACGGCTCAGAAATAGCAAAGCTGGAATTTGAACCCACATCGGTCTTGTTATCAACATCTGTGCTCTAAACTGCTATGCAATGCTAACTCTCCTCCCTTTCCCTCATTCTTCCCTACATCCACTTTGCCCTACTGTTACCCAAAAGGCAAACTTCCCATGTAGTTGGCATTCTGGCAAGCAAAGCAAGGACGGAGGTCTTTCATGAATGTGAGACACTCCTCTCAACCATGCATACCATCATTATGGAAGGCAAATTAAGGAAGAAAAGCCTCATAGATCTCCTCTCTACCTCAGGCTCACAGATAGGATTAACTTCTTTTAAGTGAGGATTATTGAGGTATAATTTTCAAACAGTAAAATTCTCCTTTTAAAAGTGCAAATAAGTTTCAACAAACATATCCTATTATGTCACCACCAACACAATCAAGACAGGATATTTTTATTACCCCAATAAGTTCTCTTGTGCTTCTTTGTGGTCAGTCTGCTCTCTCCATACACAACCTTTGGCAGCCTCTGATCTATCTTCTATTCCAGCAGTTTTGCAGTTTCAGAATGTCATATTAATGGAATCATAGAATATATACTCTTTTAGGTCGACTTCTTTCATTTAGCATAACGCCTTTCTTCCTTCCTTCCTTTCTTCCTTCTTTCCTTCCTCTTTCTTTCTTTCTTTTCTCTTTCTTTCTTTCTTTCTTTCTTTCTTTCTTTCTTTTTCTTTCTTCTCTCTTTCTGTCTCCTTCTCTCTTTCTTTTTCTTTCTGTCTTTCTGTCTTTTCTTTCTTTCCCTTTTTCTCTCTTTCTCTCTCTCCTCTCTCTCCTTCACTCTTTCTCCCTTTCTCTCTGTCACTCCTTTTCTCTCTGTCACTTCTTTTCTCTCTTTCTCTCTCTCCTCTCTCTCCTTCACTCTTTCTCCCTTTCTCTCTGTCACTCCTTCTCTCTCTTTCTCTCTCTCTCCTTCTCTTTTTCTCTTTCTTTCTTCTTTTCTTCTCTTCTCTTTCTTTCCTTTTCTTTCTTCTTTTCTGCAGGGTCTCACTCTTGTCACCCAGGCTGGAGTGCAGTGGCAGAATCATAGCTCCCTGCAGCCTTCAACTCCTGGGCTCAAGCAATCCTCCCATCTCAGCCTCCTGAGTAGCTAGGACTACAGGCACATGGCACCATGCCCTGTTAATTAAACTTTTTTTTTTTTGGTGGAGGTAGAGTCTTGCCATGTTGCCCAGGCTGGTCTCAAACTTCTGGGCTCAAGCTATCCTCCTGCCTTAACCTCCAGTGCTTTTGAGATTCATCCATGTGTTAGTTCATTCCTTTGTATTGCCAAGTAATATTCCATTGTATGGATGTGTCACAATTTGTTTATCCATTCTCCAGCTGATGGACATTTGGGTTGTTCCCAGCTTTGAGTGATAATTAGTGAAGCTGCTATAGACATTTACTTACAGGCTTTTGTGTGAATGTGTATCTTCATTTCTTTTGGGTAAATGCCTAGACATTGGGTTACCGGGTCATATGGTAAGTGTATCTCTAGCTTTATAAAAAACTGCTAATGGGGTTCAGTACATGCTACTTCAAAATATGGCATCTTTGCATTTGAGAAAACAGCAGAAATGGGAAAGTCACTCCCATCTTCCCCCTGCCCTTTCCCTCTGAAGCAGGTCAGAAAACCTAGGAAGGAAATCCAAAGTTGTAGGCCCTCCAACTTTGTTCTTTTGAACAAAATCCTTCCTAGGTTTTCTGCTCTTCCCCTGAAATAGGTCATAGGACCTTCATGTGAGAGGTGCCTTCCCTATACTTGGAGGAAAGGAACAGCCTTATCTCTGAAGACAAAGGGACACAGAATGAAATCTGAACAAACAGAGCTTGCAAAGTTTCCCCCAGTTTGTTACCATTAGATCATACCCTTTTGTCTTTCTATCATATTTCTCCGTGATTGTCCACTCTTCATCAAACCTACTATGAAATATACTCGGGTTTAACTATTTCTTTGGGTCTTCATTTCTTGACGAAGCCTTCCTTGTCATGTACAACTTATATTAAATAAACTTGTTTGCTTTTCTCTTGTTAATCTGGCTTTTGTTACAGGGGTCTCAGCCATGAAACTAGAATTGGTAGAGAAAGAGATTATTTTTCCTCCTCTATACTGTTAAACTGTTTCCAAAGCAGCTGTACTATTATGAACTCCCACAAGCAATGCATAAAAATTCTAGTTGCTCTTCATCCTTGCTAATACTTGGATAATGTCACTCCTTTTAATTTTAGCGATTCTAATAGATGTGTATTTTATCTCAATGTAGTTTTTACTTTGCATTCTCCTAATGATGAATGATGTGAAGTGTCTTTTCATGTGCTTATTTGTCATCTGTATCTCTTCTTTGGTGAAGTGTCTATTCAAATCTTTTGCCCATTTTTTAAAAGCTTTATTGAGGTATAATAGACATATAAAAACTGCACACGTTTAATGTATACAACTTGATGAGTTTGGACATATGCATACTCTCATGATACTATCACCACAATCAAGGTAATAAACATATCCATCACCACCAAAAATTTTCTTGCATTTCCCCCCTTTTTTTGTAGTAAGAATGCTTAACATGAGATCTACCATCTTGAGTTTTTAAGTGCACAATACTGTCTTGTAAACTATAAGCACTATGTTGTACAGCAGATCTCTAGAACTTATTCATCCTTGCTGCCGATTTTTAAACTGGGTTGTTTGTTTTCTTATGATTGAGTTTTGAGAGTTAATTATATATTCTGAATACATGCCTCTTATCAGATATGTGATTTGCAAATATTTTCTTCTAGTCTGTGGCTCTCCTTTTCATTTTTCTAGTCTTATCTTTTGAAGAGTTAGTAATTTTCATGAAGTTCAATTTTCTTCTATTGTTCATGCTTTTTGGAGTCATATCTAATAGATCTTTGCCTAACTTGAGGCAAAGAGAGGCAAAGAAGCAAACTCTTGAGAACAAAGAGTTTTCTCTCATGTTTTATTCTAGAAGCTTTATAGTGTTAGATTTACACTCATGTCTATGAGCCATTTTGAGTTAATTTTGTATATGATACAAGGTAAGGGCTGAGGCTTATTTATTTATTTATTTTTTTGCATATAGATGTCAAATTGTCACAGTAACATTTGTTGAAAAAACTATCCTTTCTTCACTGAATTGCTTTTGCACCTTTGTCAAAAATCAAGTGACCACATATATATGGGTCTACTTATAGACCTCTATTCTGTTCTGTTGATCTATATATTTAGCCTTATGCCAACACCACGCTGCCTTGTTTATTGTAGATTAGTAATAAGTCTTGAAGTTAAAATGTAGGTCCTCCAACTTTGTTCTTTTGAAAAATTGCCTTGGCTCTTTTATGTCCTTTACTTTTTCCATAGAAAGTTTAGAATCAGCTTGTCATTTTCTACAAAGCAGCCTGCTGTCTTTTTGGTTGAGATTGTGTGGAATCTATAGACCAATTCGAGAAGAACTGACATTTTGACCCTATTGAGTCTCTGATCCATGAAAACAGAATGCCTCTCCAGTTTTTTTAGGTCCTCTTTATTTCATCAATGTTTTGTAGTTTCAGCATACACATCTTGCACATATTTTGTAAATTTATTCCTAAGTATTTCATATTTATTATGCTATTATAAATGGTACTGTTATTAAATTTCTGTTTCCAATTGATATGCAATTAATTTTCGTATACTGACTCTGTATCCTATGACTTTGCCAAACTCAGTTCTAGTAGCTTGTTTGTACACTCTTTGGGATTCTTTGGTTAAATGATCATGGTGTCTGTGAATAAAGACAGTTTTATTTCTTCCTTTTCAATATTTATGTCTTCTATTTCCTTTTCCTTGCTTAATTGCTCTGGTTAGAACCTCCAGTACAATGTTGAATAGAAGTGGCAAGAGAAGACATCTTGTTCCTCTTCTTAGGGGAAAAGCTTTCAGTCTTTTACCATTAAGTATGATGTTAGCTGTGGGTTTTTCATAGATGTGCTTGATCAGGTTGAGGATATTTCTTTCTATTCTTAGTTTCCTGAGAGTTTTTTTTTTTTTTAAATCGTAAATGGATCTGCATTTTATCAAAAATTTTTAATGCATCTATTGAGATCAATCCTTGGATAAACACTACTTGATCATGAGGTATTATCTGTTTTTCTGTATTGATGGATTTAATTTGCTAACATTTGGTGGGGAGATATTTTCTGTCTATGTTCATGAAGAATATTTGTCTGTAGTTTTCTTATGTCTTTGTCTGGTTTGGTATTGATTGGGTTTTGGATTGAAGTTATTTTTTAAGTAGTGGGTCTGAATTCAGGGCTGGTTTGAAGCAACAGTGCTTTATGAAGGCCAAGTTTCTCTTAGGCTTTCCTTTCTTTTGCTTTCCTTTACTCTGTTAGGCCACACTACTGACCTTTCTTCCTGCAACTGCAGATGGCGCTGGACCCTCAAATAGTCCCCCTGCTGCTCAGCGCTCTGGACTTTTATGTCTTTCTTCTTTGCTCCACTTCCAAAACAACAACACAATGCATAAAACAACAGAGACCTGCTTCCTGTGTGTGATAGTCAGCTAGTCAGATACATTGAAACTCGTGCTGAAAGACCTGCAGTCATATCCTTGTCTATGCTTAGAGTTGACCTGAGTGAGCTCCGAGGCGCCTGCATACACTGTCACCAGGGTCTGAGGGATGATGAGGGGATTACATCCGGCTTGTGAACGGGAGTACTTTCACATTGTCACCTGTACTTTGCAAAGATTTGAGAGTTCTCTGTAGTACGCTGAGTATTTAACAAGCATTCTGACGCTGAGTAATGATTACGGCTGTACATAAAATAGAAAGATTAGCGTCTCAGTTGCCTGCTTAATATGTAAATGTATCCAGTTATGTGTGAGTGCTTTTAATGAAGTAACTTGCATTTCTGCTTCCTACATTGAGAGTGATTGATGGAAAAAAAAAACAAAAAAAACCTCTACAACTCCATCAGAAATTAGTAGCCGGCAGGCTCTTCGGAAGAGCCCTCTGGTGCTGCCTGGCCTGGAGCTAAAAGGCAGTGGGACTGGGGTTTAGCCCTGGTTTTACAATTGATTTCTGCTTCTCTGGGCATTAGGAAGTAGACTTCCTTATCCCCCAATCTGAGCTCAGAGGGTTGTTGATGATGGATTGTGAAATAGCTCCACTCACCTGTTCACCTTGGATTGGTTCTCATTCCAACATACAGATATGGATGATAAAAGTAGAAACTACCAGGCACTGGTGCTGAGTGCTTTGCTCATATTACTCCCTTCCATCATCACACCAATCTTGGAAGATATGAATTAATATAGCTCCACTTTACAGGCGGAGAAACTGAGGCACAGAGAAGGTAAGTCCCTTGCCTAATCTCACTCTATCAGTTAGTGGCTAGACTGGGATTCAAATTCAGATTTCCATGGCTGTTGCCCCCAAACTCTTCTTATCACGACACTTCACTGTCTTTTTCACTGCTGAGGTTGGTGGCATCTGTCTGTGAGAATTATCTCACTTGCCTGTAACTGGATGAGCTTGAAAAGATAAGAAGTGTTCTATGCATCTGTGATGAAGAGCTACAACCAGACAGTGGCTAGGGTTGAGCACCTCCTTCTGCACACTGCCACATACACTGCTTTCGGCCTTCCGTGACAAGGGTAATGATTTGAACTGCATTTCTCCTAAAGTCTGGCTTAAGAAGAGTGTTAGACTTCTATCTGCTGTCTCTGTAGCAGTGAGAGGCTTCTTTCCCTCTGCAGAGGTCCCACAGTGGGTAGGGAATGTTTCTCCACTGAGTGTCTCTAATTGGAAAAGATTTATGTATAGCACTTGTTATATACCAGGTACTTCTCTAATCACTTTATAAATACACACACATGTCTGTTAACTCATATGATCCCCACAACCATCCTGTGAGAACTCTTATTATTTCCATTTCACAGATGGTTAAACTGAAGCACAGAGAAGTTAAGTAATTCACCAAAGTCCCCAAGCCAACAAGAGGCAGAATGGGGCTTTGAACCCAGAGAATGTAGTAACCCCAGACCTGTGCTCGTTCATAAGGTAGCCACTAGCTACAGGTGACTATTTAAATTTCAATTTAAATACATTAAAATGAATGAAATTAAAAATTCAGTTTCTCAATCACACCAGCCACATTTCAAGTACTTGACAAGCACATGTGGCTAGTGGCTACTGTATGGGATGGTGCATATATAGAACACTGCCATCATCACAGAGAATTCTTATTGTACAGTGCTGGGCTAGAGTCTGTTCTTTTAATTTACTTGGTGTGGCCCTCTCAGAATACAATCTGAGTATATCTCCCTATGTTGTTGAGTTGGTTTCCACTTATCTTTCTCTCCAATTTTCTATCCCTCTTCTTTTTTAACTTGAGTGATAAGATAGAATAGAATTTTTGACCCTTTGAAAACCAGGCTGTAAACTGTGACCTAAGCCTCTTCTACTAACCTACCCCTTCCCCACCACCTGGACCTCGGGCTCCTACTGATACTTTCATGTTCAAAGAGCTACAACCTCTACTCAGGATTTTGTGTTAGCCTTGCAGGCTCCTTCTAGAAGTCCCAAGTCATGGCAGGGAAGGAAAGGGGAAAGGATGCCAAGCGGGTGTAACCCCTTGCTACTTCTTTCTCCAGACTTTGCCCCTTATCAAATCAGTCTGATATGTTGCCTGGAAGGAAAGAAAAAAATAAAGGAGCTCCCAAATAAGCACCACACAATAGAAGTCGAGAGCAGTTCTCCCCTGCTACACTAACTTATATCGGCATTACGACAAAATTCCCCAGAGCTGGGACAAGCAGACATGTGATTGACGATGATAACCAAAAGAGATTTTTGTGGGGTTTCAGAGGTGTAACAAAGTGGGGTACTCCTTACCAGAAGGTGTCTATCTATAGGGTGGGGTTTTAGGGAAATTGACAAGGTTCTATGCTCCTCCACCCCTAAAATAAATCTCCCTCTAGGCCTTCCAGGAAGTCTGTAATGTCTCCTTCCCTTCAGAGGGAGCGTATGCTGTTTACTTGTTAGCCAACATATCACATCAGAGGGACACAGTATTGCTCATTCTCCCCCTAGGGCTCTGAGCAAGACAAGGGCAGGGTGGGGACATTCTGGATGGGTGGGGAGTCATTGGCTGAAAAGTTGCAGATGTACCAGACACACTTCAGTTAGTTCTTTTGTTGGCCTGTGGCCCTGTCTGCAGGTTCAAATTCAGGAAGGAAGCCTTGCAAAGACTCTCCATCACCACAGTGCCCTTAAATTGATGCTTGTCAGGGCACGCCAGGATCAGGATCTGTCTATCTTTCTTTCTCTTTTCTTTCCCTTCCCTTTCCTTTCCTTTCCTTTCCTTTTCTTTCTTTCTTTCTTTCTTTCTTTCTTTCTTTCTTTCTTTCTTTCTTTCTTTCTTTCTTTCTTTCTCTTTCCTTCGTCTTTCTTTCTTGTTCTTCTCTCTCTCTCTCTTCTTTTTTTTTTTCCACAGGGTCTTACTCTGTCACCCAGGCTGGAGAGTAGTGGTGCGATCACGGCTCACTGCACCCTCTACCTCCTGGCTCAAGTGATTCTCCCACCTTAGCTTCCCGAGTAGCAGGAACTACAGGAGCACACCACCACACCTGGCTCATTTTAAGTTTTTTTTTGTAGAGACGGAGTCTCACCATGTTGCCCAGGCTGGTCTCGAACTCCTGGGTTCAAGCAATCCCTCAGCCTTGGCCTCCCAAAGTGCTGGGATTACAGGCATGAGCCACTACTCCCGGCAATAATGAGATTTCAAAAAGAGAAAGGCAGGCCACTGAGTGGTTATTTGTCGTTAGGTTTTGGCATTTGTGGTTGATACAGCGGGTGCTTTGCTGCTATATTGCCATATTGACAGGGGGTGTGAAAGAGTGGTAACAAAGACTATTTATTCCACCAAGCACCCAGGCCCTGGGGGACAGGTGACTTGGACAGCCCATGCTTGAGTTAGTGCTGTCCTTTCTTCTTGTTCCTATTCCTGGAAGCAACCTGTTGCCCTCATGTGTGCTGTTATAAAACTTTTTCTTTTTTTCTTTGGCATGATCTTGGCTCACTGCAACCTCCACCTCCCGGGTTCAAGCAATTCTCCTGCCTCAGCCTCCCAAGTAGCTGGGATTACAGGCATGTGCCACCACGCCCAGCTATTTTTTTGTATAATTATTATTATTATTATTTTTGTAGAGACTGGGTTTCACCATGTTGGTCAGGCTGGTCTCGAACTCCTGACCTCAAGTGATCCACCCGCCTTGGCCTCCTAAAGTGCTTGGATTACAGGCGTGAGCCACTGCACCCGGCCGTTATAAAACTTTTTCAATATGCCTTTCAGGGTCCATCATAGTAGTAATAACAAGTCCTTGTGCTTGAATAGCTGGCTGCAGTTTGTGCAGCATTTTAAAATCCTTGATCACACCTCTCAGGAAAGCAGTATCATCTCCATTTTGATGATGAGATGGAGGCTGAGAGAGACCTCAAGGTTTCTATGCAAGGTAGTGTTTGAGTGGCACCTGACTGGAATCCTGGATATCTGGTTACCCTTCTGCAACCTGAAGCTTCTAGTACCTCATCCTCTGTCTCCTTTGTTGGGCCTTTGGGAGGGAGTAGTTTGTTGCCCAGAAGGAGAGACACCACAGCCATCACAATGAGCTCTTTCATGGGGTCGAGTTGTTTAGAGGACTTGATAGTCCTAGCAGCTTCTCTGGCCTTTTTGTGCCTCACTTTTCAGAGCCGTGTCGTTCTTTTCTCTGGAGTCAGGAAGCCCCTCCATAATTTTTTTTTTCCCCACTGACCAAGGTCCAGAACAGGGAGTGTGGACACAGGAATCAAGGAATGTTCTGCAGTGTGCTGTCTTCTAACTTCCTGATATAGATGTCCAGCATGCCTTGCTGATTGATGATGTTCATGGAGATGAAACCATCCTTTCAGGACCATGGTGTGCCTGAAACGGTAGGTTAACAAGTTTGAGTTTTATCTTGTAGGCTGACATTAGCTATGGATGGGTCAGTGTGCTAAGGGTTAGAAGGAAACCCTGGGAACAAGCTGTGTGTTCTGGGATGTTGTTGCAGGAGGACAAGTAGGAAGCAGGGGGAGCTCTGCAGGGCTAAACAAGGTGAAGGAATACATCCTAGATGTGATATAATAAATACTTTTTTTTAACAGATTAATTGCTATAGCTGGCTTCTCAGCTTCTAGCAGGTGGTTACAATAAGCTGATCACAGTCCCCAAGTGTGTTGTAATTGTCTGTTTACTTTTCTTTTTTTTTTTTTTTTTTTTTTTTTTGAGACAGAGTTTTACTCTGTCGCCCAGGCTGGAGTGCAGTGGCGCGATCTCGGCACACTGCAACCTCCGCCTCCTGGGTTCAAGCAATTCTCCTGCCTGAGCTTCCTGAGTAGCTGGGAATACAGGCGTGCACCACCATGTCCGGCTAATTTTTTGTATTTTTAGTAGAGACAGGGTTTCACCATGTTGGCCAGGCTAGCCTCGAACTCCTGACCTCAGATGATCCACCCGCCTCAGCCTTCCAAAGTGCTGGGATTACTGGTGTAAGCCACTGTGCCTGGCCTGTTTATTTATCTTCTTCCCTGTTTTTCTGTGAATGTTAGGGGCAAAGGGGCCTAGTCTTATTTCCCAGTTCCGAGCACAGAAAGACTCAGAGTAAATGCTTGTTTGAATGATAGGAATTTTAGAACTTTGCTCATGGAAACTGGCAACAAATTCCCAACAAGGACTGCCAATCCTTAGCAGAGTCTTTCCTGCTTGTATATTAGGCACCTGGGTGGAACCACCAGGGTCCTGTTTAGTGTGCTGGAGCAGGCTTTGACTAACTAGAAAGTAGTTGGTTAAATAAAACCCTGGTGGCTGGCAGAGGTAATTTCTCCCTAACGGCCTGTTAGAGAAAGATTATTGTGACACTTATTAAAATGGTAACGAAGACTTTCTTCAAGGCTGCTGCAATAAGGGACAGAGACCGAACTCAACTCTAAATACAACAAGGTCCAGTGGGGATTTATAGCCAATCCATTTACAGAGTAAAGGGGTCAATGGATGGAAAATTACTAAGAGAAGCTTGATTATATCTGGCACTTGCCATACCACCACCTCCACTTGCATGCTCCACTCTTAGGCAGGCACACCTGGTGGAAAGCTGAAGTGGATGCCAGTGTTTGCCCGGTAGAGCTGCCCATTAAAATCACCTGGGAAGCAGCTTGAAAAATACCTATGCCTGGGCTCTTTCCCATACCTAGTAAATGCAAACTAATGAGGGATTCGACAAGGCATCTATATGCTTAACAAGCTCCCTGCTGATTCTTATTATCAGCCGGCTTTGGGACCCACAGCTTTACACTATGGATTGACCGAGGGGACAATAGAGAGGGAATGGGAACTGGCTATTGGGTGGGGATAGAGAGGAGCAGGGAGAAATAGGGGAGGCTGGAGCAGATCCAGTGTCTATTTTGCTCCCTTTCCCCACAGACATGGGTTCCACCCTTGGGGGATGCAGAGGGAAGGCAGTAGGGCTACCAGGACTTGTCTGTCTACTCATAAAAATGGCAAAGTAAGTGAATACTGTCTAGAATATCTACCACCTTTGCTTCTCAGGCCTTCCCCTTCCCTCCCCGCTGTCTTTGGGAACTCTGTGGCCCCTCAGACATCTTTTATTTATTTATTTTTTTGAGATGGAGTTTCACTCTTGTTGCCCAGTCTGGAGTGCAATGGTGTGATCTTGGCTCACTGCAACCTCTGCCTCCCAGGTTCAAGCAATTCTCCTGCCTCAGCCTCCTGAGTAGCTGGGATTACAGGCATGTGCCACAATGCCCGGCTAATTTTGTATTTTTAGTAGAGATGAGGTTTCTCCATGTTGGTCAGGCTGGTCTAGAACTTCTGACCTCAGGTGATCTGCCTGCCTCGGCCTCCCAAAGTGCTGGGATTACAGGCGTGAGCCACCATGCCTGGCCACCCCTCAGACATCTAAGACCCTCACATTCTCTCTACTCTCTTCTGAACTAAAACTTGCTCTCTGATACAAAGGTATTTGAGGAAATAAAATAACCCCCCAAAAAGTAAAAGCTTTTCTCTTGGAATAGACTGGTTAAGTATAGGTAAGGTTTGCATTGTTAAGGAAAACTGGCATTTTTAAAACGGACAAATCCAGAAATTAAAAGACTAGATGCCCCAAAGTAGGAATTTCAGGCATCTGAGAGGGGGCCGCAAGGTTGTGTGTGTGTGTGTGTGTGCGCATGTGCATGCGTGTGCTCCCGTATGGAGGTGGAGGAGGGCTCTCTAGTATCTTACAAATGACACAGACATAGATAGCTTTCTTTGCCTATGTCTAAAGTCGGCTCAGCTACTTTGTTATGCCCCAGATTCCTAGGACTTTCTGGGAGATGTTAGGCAGAGTTCTTTTTCCTAAAAGGACAGAAAAATGAAAGGTTTAAAACTAAACCCTGACTCCCAGGTAAGATGCAACCCTTACTGAAATAGCACTATGTCAGCAAAACATGGTCTCATTGGCTCATTATCAGGTGAGGTCAGGACATTATTTCTGGTAGCTTCTGAAAGCCACAGCCTGTTAGAAAAAAAAAATCTTCTTCCTGAGGGTTTAATACAGCTTGCTCTCAGTTCTCAGGAGCGCTCTCGCTCGATCCCTCTCTCTTTTCTTGGGCCTCCTTTTAAAATGCTAATTAAATTTACTTGATCTCCACTCCGCGCTCCCCCCGCTAATTTTGGAGATCAAGAAAGGGAGCTTGATGTGTATAATAGATGTGCTTGTCTTTCCACCTGAGCTACCTTTGTATTTCATTCCCTTTTATTACAGGAAATTGTGTCGGGGCCCTAAACACTAACATACATAACATTGATTGTATTCTGCATAACAAATTGGATTAGGATAATTACCACACAGATGTTAAAAAATCCTGAATGCAAATCAATGCAATTAGTCATGACTTAATATACTATAATTCACACATTGGAATGTCTTATTGTGATTATACTATTTTAGAACTAAATGCATTAACAAAAAAAATTCTTTTGCTCTGTGCTGCACGTGCTCTGAACAAGAAATTGTTTTATGCTAATCTGGAATTCCACCACTCAGAATTCTTATTAACTAATCAGATCCTTCAATTTCTCTTGCCCTCTTTTATATAGAGAAAGCCGCTTCTTTAGCAAGACAATTTCATGCGCAATTCAACTTGAATGCCACCATTATGAACAAAGGAATTTGCACACGGATGCTTTTGACAAACATGGCTTTAGAAAACTGAGCCTTGGTGGTGGGGGGAAAGCCCTCCCCACTGATGGCCAGACCCCAAAACAAAGCAGATAGAGTGTAAGCAATTGGAATGGGTCCAAGTTAGTAGGCAAAAAGCAGACCTGTCACAAGGGCAGTAGGCTCAGAGCTGCCAGAAAGGGTTGTGCAGCTTGTACCCAGCTGAGAGGGTGAGTGGGGGCTGAACTCCAGCCTGGAATTCATGCTCCAAGCTGTGCACCAAAAGCAATGCTGTCTCTGACCCCAGGAAAGGGCTCCTTTTCCTAATTCACACAAAAGTGCCTGTGGGTACAAGGCAGGAGTTCGGTCACAGAGAAAAAATAACAGCAGCTGGGACCCCTTGATTCTGAACTGTGAACTCAAATCCAATTCCTAAAGTCTTTTTTGGCTTATCCTACCTTCCAGTGTTCTGTGCTGGCTTAGAATTGCTTAGAGTTCAAGGTGCTCATAGAACCTGTGATCTACATGGTACACTCTTTTTGCCTGTGATCTACACGGTATACTCTTTTTGCAATTGTTCTGTATCTGATTTATGTCAAAGCTTTGCAAACCCAACTGATCTGGGGGACCCTTGAGGGCTACGCTTGTGCCATCATAATCCTCTCTGAAGTCCTCCCACCTAGGGTTACCAGATGTAGCAAATAAAAATACAGAATGCCAGTTAAATGTGAATTTCAGATATATAAAAAATGCTTTTTTGCCTGAGCACGGTGGCTCATGCCTGTAATCCCAGCACTTTGGGAGGCCAAGGCAAGCGGATCACTTGAGTACAGGAGTTCGAGACCAGTCTGGGCAACATAGGGAGGCACTATCTTTACAAAAAATAAAAAAATTATCCAGGTGTGGTGGCCTGTGCCTATAATCCCAGCTACTCAGGGGGATGAGGTGGGAGGATCACTTGAGCCCCGGGGTTGAGGCTGCAGTGATCTGAGATCGCGCCACTGCACTCCAGCCCGGGTGACAGAGACACTGTCTCAAAAAAAAAAAAAAGCATTTTTAGCATAATTATATCCTATGCAATATTTTGGACATATTATATTAAAAAATGGCCATTTATCTGAAATTCAAATTGAATTGGGTGTTCTGTGTTTTATCTGGCAACACCACCCCCACCCTGGCACAAAGCGCAGAGCTTCATGTTTAAAATAAAACTAGGCCAGCGTTTCTTACACTTGAGCATGTAATCAGAATCACCTGGAGGTGAGTAAGACCTAGAGTGCTGGGGCCCCACCCCCAGAGTTTCTGATTCAGCAAGTCTGGAGTGTTGCCTGAAAATCTGCATTTCTAAAAAGTACCCAGGTGATGCTGCAGCTGATCTGGGGACCACACTTTGGGAACTGATGCTCTAGTATAAGCTTAATAAATAGATCCAATGGGGATGAGGCTGTTGCTCCCAAGTTGACGTTAAGCCAGCAGAATGCTTCACAGACCTCATAGCAGGGTTTGTGGGCTCCCTGGCAATGTTTACTCAAGGTATGCATCTATTTAGCTCTGGTAACCTCAGCTCCCTCCCTGTGTAATCTCTCTTGATTGCATTCACTTGGCAATAGGCAAAGTTGTGGTTTGTCTTTGTTGCATCCAGTCTTGTTTTCACTCTGTCAATTTTTACTCTCCTACCCTCCTCCCTGCCTCTTCAGGTGCCAATGTCTTTCTAGTCTCTAACTTAGGGATGGCAAACCTACATGTTGTGAGTACTGGTGAAGAAGGACTCTACTTGCTTCCCAAGTAGGAAAGCAAGCTTTTGGAGGTAGTTGGCCACTTTTAGTGAACATATTGATTCCCTTTGAGGCTCTCTTTCTTTGTTCCAGGCAAGTCACCAAAATGGCCTTTTACTGAAATTGAGATCAAGATCCTGAATTTCAGACTGAATTTCTATTTGAGGCCCAAAGTTTTTGTAACATGTTGGGATGATCTAGGCTGGTCCTGGCCAATTCCAGGGGTTGGGAAAAAGCAATAAAACTCTTGAGATAGAAGGAGACAGGACCAAGTGGCTGGTCTGTACACTGGGAGTCCTGAGGTGCAGGGAGGATTGGGGGATGTTTCTGCCAAATCTCTGAAGCTGCTGCTACGAGAATCCGCCTCAACACAGCCCCTCCAGTGGGCAGGTTTAAGCCACAAGCAAGGATTCATGTGTGGGAAAGAGTTGGAAAACCTCAGGACGACTTTATCTTGAAACATTTGTTGCAACCATGCCCCAGCATTCCTGTGGGTGATAGTCTAGCCCAGGGGCCATGGCTGAGTGGTGGTATCCAGGTGTATATCTGATATCCTATATTCTAAGGGACCCCAAGATAAAGGCTGAATTTCCCATCAATATGGGTTTGTAAAAACTCAGTCATGCTGGGTGCGGTGGCTCACGCCTGTAAAACTAGGACTTTGGGAGGGTGAGGCTGGTGGATCACCTGAGGTCAGGAGTTCGAGACCAACCTGGCCAACATGGTAAAACGCTCTCTACTAAAAATACAAAAATTAGCTGGGCATGGTGGCGGTCTCCTATAATCCTAGCTACTCGGGAGGCTGAGGCAGGAGAATCATTTGAACCTGGGGGGCGGAGTGTGCAGTGAGCCGAGATCTTGCTACTTCACTCCAGCCTGGGCAAAAGAGCAAAACTACGTCTCAAAAAAACAAACAAAAAACTCAGTCATAATAATTTGAGCATTAAAAGAAATGTCAAAATATGTGTCCAAGTGATGGGATGCACACTACATGTGATACATATGTTTAAAACTACCTTGGTGAAAATTATAATAGTGAAAGAGATCTGATCTAACCAACTCTTATCTTGCCGTGAACCTCCAACCTGTTCATTCCTGGGTGTAGGCTGTGCTAACTATAGGAGGAATTTAGTTTATAGTTTAACTTTGAAACAAAGATGATAGCTCTTTGCCCAAACAAAGGCTCTCCATGCCTCGGGACGAGACTGCCTTTGTAAAACTGACAAATTAGCCACGCGATTAGAAAGTATGGTTTAGGAGTCTTTCATCCAGAGGCCACAAGATTCCTAACCTCCCCAGTTGCTCTTCTGGATAACATCACTACTGTATAATCTAACATTGGTGTTTGGGATACTTTTCAGACACCGCATTCTGACGGATCAGCTGGCGCCACCCAGACCAGAAATCTGACTCAACTAGTTCAGGAACTGAAGACAGCAAGAACTACCCCTTGACTCCAGGTGATTTCATCCCCAACCCGACCAATCAGTATTCTCCACTTCTTAGCCCCCTGCCTGCCAAATTATTGTTATTATTATTATTATTAATTTTTTATTTTTGAGACAGAGTCTCTGTCTGTTGCCCAGGCTGGAGTGCAGTGGCGCCATCTCGGCTCACTGCAACCTCCGCCTCCTGGGTTCAAGAGATTCCTGTGCCTCAGCTTCCCAAGTTGCTGGGATTACAGGCACCCATCACTACACCCAGCTTATTTTTTGTATTTTTTAGTAGAGATGGCCAGACTGGTCTTGAACTCCTGACCTCAGGCGATCCACCTGCCTCGGCCTCCCAAACTGCTGGGATTACAGGCTTGAGCCACTGCTCCCGGCCCAAATTATTCCTAAAAAACCCTAGTCTCTGAATTATCAGTGAGACTGATTTGAGTAATAAAACTCTGTTCTCCAGCCCTGCGTGGTGGCTCATGCCTGTAATCCCAGCACTTTTGGAGGCCAAGGTGGGCGGATCACAAGGTCAGGAGTTCACGACCAGCCTGACCAATATGGTGAAACCCCGTCTCTACTAAAAATACAAAAATTAGCCAAGTGTGGTGGCGCGCGCCTGTAGTCCCAGCTGCTCAGGAGGCTGAGACAGGAGAATCCGCTGAACCCGGGAGGCGGAGGTTGCAGTGAGCAGAGATCGCGCCACTGCACTCCAGCCTGGGCGACAGAGCGAGACTCTGTCTCAAACAAAAAACAAAAAACAAAAAACAAACAAACAAAAAAACCCACCACCAACAAAAAACTCTGTTCTCCTGTTTAGTTGGCTGTATGTGTATGATTAAACTCTTTATCTCAGTTCTCCTGTCTCAGTAAACCAGCTCTATCTTGGCAGCAGGCAAAAAGACTCTTGTTGCCTCCCTTTTTTGCATCCATAGTGGACACTGTTATTTGTTCATAGCCTTTCCCACAGAGTTTTGGTGTGCCCTTTGAATCCTTCTGTTAGAATATTCTTGGTTGCAAGTAACAGAAAACAAACTTATAAATAAATCCTTACCTAGCATTTACTATGTGCCAGGCAGGGGACTAAAGCCTTTATACATTCACAAAATTTACAGATCCTTTTAAACCAGCCATAGAAGGTAGAGTAGTTATCCCAATTTTACATATTAGACAAAAAGGGGATTTTTATTCTTTTTCTTTTTTCTTTTTGTTTTGAGACTGAGTCTCACTCTGTTGGCCAGGCTGGAGTGCAGTGGTGCAATCTTGGCTCACTGCAACCTCTGCCTCCCGAGTTCAAGCGATTCTTGTGCCTCAGCCTCCCAAGTAGCTGGGATTACAGGCGCCCAGCACCACACCTGGCTAATCTTTGTGTTTTTAGTAGAGATGGGATTTCACCATGTTGGCCAGACTAGTCTCGAACTCCTGGCCTCAAGTGATCAGCCCACTTCGGCCTCAAAACGCACTGGGATTATAGGTGTTAGCCACTGAGCCTGACCCTTTTTTTTTTTTTTTCTTTTTAGTAGAGATGCAGCGTGTCTCCCAAAACCCAAGTTCCTGAATATAGGTGACCTTCAAAGATAAACTGGACCACAGGATAAACACAATGTGGATTCTCTCTCTACTTCTTGCTTCTGCACCCCTTTGTTCCTGTGTTTCATTCTTCTTTCTATAGACCAGCTTTTTCTTGTCCATATGGAGAAAAACATGGTAGGTAACATCACCTGGGTTTTACATGTTATGGATTTGACCATCCACAGAGAGGAGCTGAGCTTTTTTTTTACAGTAGCTTCACAGTATTTTATTTTTTCTTTATTTTTTTTAAATGGACAAAATTGTATATACTTATGGCATATTAACATGATGTTTTGAAATGTGTATACATTATGGAATGGCTAAATCAAATTAATATATCCATTCCTTCACACACTTATATATTTGAGATGAGTACACTTAAAATCTATTCTCTTAAAACATTTTAAGTATACAATCCATTGTTATTAACTGCAGTCACTGTGTTGTACAATATATCTTTTGAATTTATTCCTCCCATTTAACTGAATTTTTGTATCCTTTGACCAACATCTCCCCAATACCTTACCACCCAGCATGTGGTTACCACCATTCTGCTCTCTGCTTCTATTAGTTTAACTTTTTTAGATTCAACATATAAATGAGATCAGGTGGTATTTATCTTCTCAGAGAGAGAAACTCCCTTCCTTCCTTCCTTCCTGCCTGCCTGCCTGCCTGCCTGCCTGCCTTCCTTCCTTCCTTCCTTCCTTCCTTCCTTCCTTCCTTCCTTCCTTCCTCCCTCCCTCCCTCTCTCTCTCTTTCTTTCTTTCTTTTTCCTTCTCTCTTTCTCTCTTTCTTTCTTTTTCCTTCTCTCTTTCTCTCTTTCTTTCTTGAGTTTCGCTCTTGTCGCCCAGGCTGGAATGCAATGGCATGATCTTGACTCACTACAACCTCCACTTCCCGGGTTCAAGCAATTTTCCTGCCTCAGCCTCCCGAGTAGCTGGGATTACAGCCGCGCACCACCATGCCTGGCTAATTTTTGTATTTTTAGAAGAGACGGGGATTCAGCATGTTGGCCAGGCTAGTCTTGAACTCCTGACCTCAGGTGATCCATTTGCCTCAGCCTCCCAAAGTGCTAGGATTACAGGCATGAGCCACCGTGCCTGGCTGAAACTTATTTCTTAATTTAAAAATCCCCTGGGAAGAGATTTCTTGGCTCAATTTGTGTTAGGTGTGCAGCCCTGGATGCATTCTCCTAGGGATCAACCTTTACTGACCCAATGCAACTTGCGAAAGAGGGATATAAAAACCATGGACAGAGGGCTGTGAATCTCACTGTAGAAACATGCCGTTCCCTCAGGCACTGAATGGATATAGAAGGGAAGGGAAAAGCCCTTGAAATAAGTATTGGGAATAAAATACCTGCCCACAACACCTTAACACAGCATCCCATCTGGTTTCTGCCAAGTGATCAGAATTGATACACGCTACTATTTGTCATCTCTGCCCTGGCTGCCTCCTATCAGTATAGGAAATTGATGTGGTATTCTCATTTGTACTGACTGTATTGGTCCAAGGAGAAGATCCTTATATCTGTCCAAGTTGCACACCCCACCCCCAACCCCCTTTCCCTGGCTTTGTAACGCCTTCCTGCTGTTATCCACTACTTCTTGACCTCATCCTGTATCATCCTGTAGGAGAACTCAGTCAACTGATTGCACTTCTAAGAAGCTTTTTCTAGACATGGTGCCAGAGCTGTTGTGGACAAGGAAATTGCCCTTGAGGAAGATGTGGCAGTTAGAGGAGTGAGGCAGGATGGCTGTGTCATCAAGAAAGTTTGTCCGACAATTTAGGCAGGACCTCACAGGGTACTGGTTAGATCCAGAAGCTGAATTTTGTCAGAGATACTTAGAGATCTGTAATCTCCTGGGCATAGACTCATGCTAACCAATGTAAATCACAAGGGATAGAGATATTAATACAAAGCTATAATTCCAACTTATTTTCAGGAGTACAGAGAACTATTAATCAGGCTGGAGTTGGCATGTCAGCTGGTCAGGCTAGACCTGAAAGAAAAGCTAAATGATAGCAGAAGATTGTTTATGGAGCAAGGAATGAAAACTAGGAGCAGTTCCTTGGATGATCTTAATGGCATCTGCCATTCACCTGTGACAGCCCCACCCTTGGGATAGATCAAAGAGGAGAGACAAAATACTCATATTTGTATGTGAAGATGAGCTCTCCTGGACTAGTTGAGCAACATGTTGAGAGTTTCTTGTTCTTTGACTCATTTTCTAGATCTCTATCCACACTTGCCTCTACTTTGGTTAACACATCTATCTTAAGCCTCAAATTATCAAGCTATTAGCAGTGTTACCTCAAAACCAGAGTTCTGAGAAAGGAACATTGTTCTGCAGGATGATAATTGATGTTTTTCAGTTAAAAATGTCTTTTACATGGTCGACATTGAGTTAAATAGGTTTCTTTCCCACAGGATGTCTGAGAGCCTTTAGTGAACCAATATACACTGTGAATTTCCAAAAGAAGGGTAGAACCTGCAAATTTATTTGACCACTTAGTTGTATTTTTCAAAAGAAGTTATGCTGAGTGAAACAAGCCAGGCACAGAAAGACAAATACTGCATCATTTCACTTACATGTGGAATCTAAAAAAGTTAAGCCCACAGAAGCAGAGAGTAGAATGGTGGTTACCAGAGGTTGGGATAGGGGGCAGGGATAGAGGTTGGGATAGGTTGGCATTAGAATGGGGAGATGTTGGGCAAAGGATACAAAATTTCAATTGGACAGGAGGAATAAGTTTTCAAGAGCTATTGTAAAGCATGGTTATCATAGTCAATAATAAAGCATATTTAAATTGCCAAAAGAATAAATTTTAAATGTTCTCACTACAAAAAAGTATATGAGGTGATAGAAATCCTAACTAGGTTAGTATAATCATTTCACAGTGTGTACATATATCAAAGCATCACCTTGTACCCCATAAATATATACAATTGTTATTTGTCAATTAAAAGTAAACATTTTAAAAAAGTTATGAGGGAGAATGTCTTAGTTTCCTATCTCTGCTGCACAAACTTGTTGGTTTAAAACACAATTTTTTATTTTACAGTTCTGTAGTTCAGAAGTCCTGAAATCAAGGAGTCAGCAGAGCTGTGTTCCTTCTGGAGGCTCTAGAGGGGAATCTATTTCCTTGCTCTTCCCAGTTGCTAGGGATTACCCACATTTCTTGGCTTATGGCCCCTTTCTTCATCTTCAAAGCCAGTGACAGCATATCATCTTCAAATCTCTCTCTCTCTCTCCCTCTCCCTCTCCTCCCCTCACCGCCTCTCTACCTCCCACTTCACTGCCCCTCCCTTTTGCTCTGTCATCATATCTCTACCTTCTGACTCTGATGCTTCTGCTTCCTTCTGTTATAAGGACTCTTGTGATTACATCTGTCCTACTAGATAATCCAGATAATCATCCCACCTCAAGATCTTTAGCTCAATCTCATCTGCAAAGTCCTTTTTGCCATGTAAGGTAACACGTTGATAGGTTTCAGGGATTAGGATGTGAACCTCTTTGGAGAGAGTTATCATTTGACCTACCACAGGGAGCAATGGGAAATACTGGACTATGGTATTAAACATGCTAATACAATCATACTCTACTAGGGTTATGCTAGTGTCAAACCTGATCAGATTTGGGGAGTTCCTGACATTTCTCAGATACCTCTTTAGAGGCTGGAGTTGGCTTCTACACTACCGACAAGATCTAATGTTCTCTACTGGTGGGGCAGTGGCAGAAGCTCCTGAAGGGAGAAGGAGCAAGGGCTTGTGCACTGAAGAAGGGGATTTTCCCCAAAGCTTCTTCTCAGAAACATACCCTTCTCAAAAAGACCAAAGTCATGCAGAAGAATTCCGTGGCAGTGGGTTAAAGTTACCTGTTTAATCGAAAGTAGAGATAACCTATCACTTTCATTTCAAATGGAAACCTGGGCTCCAGAATGTCTTAAATGACAGTGTTACCAACCTGGGAAACCCCCCGTTGACTGGTGAGCAAGAAAGTAAGGCTGAAAGCAGGCGATCTTTTTATGCCACCTAATGTATTTATGACAGGTGCTCTGCTGTGTTTGGAGAAATGGACACCCGAAGTTTTCGGCTTTCCTGCAGAGAATATGTGATCCCTTCTTTCTTTCTCTAAGGATATTTAACTGTATTTCATGATATGACAATAATAACTCTTGACTTTGATATAGTTTCTGCTAGGTCTGGGGTCCTCAGAACTGACTACATCACCAGAAATAAAACTGAAGACTAGATAGGGGTTATTGAGATCCCATTAAATACTGCCTTGGATAAGAACAGTAATTTCAGCTTAAGTGCTTGATTATGCTGAAGATTCTATTGCAGAGTATGAGTAACTTAGACTGAGAAATAATTCCTCATGTGGTTTTGGATCTGCTTGGGAAAATACATACCAGAGGTTTCCAGGCATCTCTTTCTTACCAAATCTCAATAGCATTTTCTTCACTCCCATGTTTTTCTCATCCCCACTGACACTGACTACCCTAACTTTTTATATTTTTTTAATATTTTGGCTTCAGTGGTCCAGCCTTATACTAGTTTTCCTTCTATTCTTTTGACCACATCTCTGCTTTATTTCCTGGCTCTTCTTTTTTCTTCTTTGTTATAACTGGATTCTCCTAAAGACATTCTCATGGACACTCTCCTCTTTATCTTTATATACTCTTTCGTCAATCCATCCATTAAACATTTAAAAAGTATTTAAATATTTATGTTTGGAGACCTGTATTGTGCTCTGGGGATAGATAAACGTATTAGACACAATCCTTGCCTTCTGGGAGCTCAAAAACTGGGGAAGGAGACAGAAAATCAATGAAAATAGTATAGTGTAATATTTAGTATGAAATATATAGGACATGTTTTATGGAACTCCATGGTAGGGGCATCTATATATTTCCAGTTGGGTTGCTTTCATCTAGAAATAACAGAAAATTCAAAATGATTTAAGCAATGAGGATAAATATTTCTGATAACAAGAAATGTAAAGCCACAGAGGTTCCAGAGTTTGTCAATTCAGTAGCTTAAGGACATCATTAAGAACCCAAGTGTTTTCCATCTTTTCATCTTTCTCATCTGCTATCTTAAGCAAATTCCTTTCAGGATTGCAAGAAAGCTGCAGTGGTTGCAGGCATCACATGTAGAAATGATAATGTTCACCAAAGAAAAAGGTGTTACTTGCAGTGAATTTGATTTTATGAAAAACCTATTTTTTTTTTTTTGAGACAGGGTCTCACTCTGTAGTCCAGGCTGGAGTGCAGTGACATGATCATGGCTCACTGCAGCCGCGACTTCCCAGGCTCAGGTCATTCTCCCACCTCAGCCTCCCAGGTGGCTGGGACTACAGGTGCATGCCACCATCCCGGCTAATTTTTTAAAAAAAATTTTTGTAGAGATGGGGTTTTGCTCTGTTGCCCAGGCTGGTCTCGAACTCCTGGGCTCAAGCAATACCGCCTGCCTCAGGCCTCCCAAAGTGTTGGGATTACAGATGTGAGCCATCGCGCCCCACTGAAAAACCTCTTTTTGAAGCCTCCACTCAACTTCTTTCAAGGACCCATTAACTAGGATTACCAATTACTGGCAAAGAGAATAAAGATGCCTTGATTGATTGGTTTAGATCAGGGGATCTCAGCTTTGGCTGCACGTGAGAGACACCTGGAGGGCTTTTAAAAAGCTCATGCCCAAGCATATCCTAGAGCAATTAAATCAGAATCTCTGACTGTGGACCCAGGGATCCACATTTTAAAAACTCCCCATCTGATTCCCCTGTGCAGCCAAGGTTGAGAACTATTGGTTTAGACCAATCCCTCTGATTTGTGTCTCTGGAGAGGGAAGAGCTCCCAGTCTCCCTTTAAGAACCGGAGTGACTGCTATAGGAGAAAATTGAGATTCTATACGCAAGGAAGAAATGAGGAATAGCTTTTTGGTGGGCAAATCACAATGTCTGCCACAGTGACTAATCAACATTCATGATTTCAGTTAGCATTTCTGTGAGGAGACTGATGCTTCTAGCTTT
This sequence comes from Homo sapiens, assembly GCF_000001405.40. Classification (NCBI taxonomy): domain Eukaryota; kingdom Metazoa; phylum Chordata; class Mammalia; order Primates; family Hominidae; genus Homo; species Homo sapiens. The sequence continues at coordinate 124,242,255 of NC_000023.11, forward strand.
GACCTCGTCTGAGTTTCAACTGTTTCCTGGCATTTCTACTTGGATTTTTTCATCCACACCTCGATGTCAACTTGTTCCAAACCAAGTGTTCCAGCCTGCTGCCTCTCCTGATGACATTATTTTCATAACATGCTACTAGCATTCTCAGGATATTTCAGGCTCAAATTCTTGGAATCTTTTCTTCTCTGTCTCCTTTACGACTATTTAAAAAGTCGCCTCACCCTGTTTTCATTTTGTTTTCTGGAGATGTTTTTATTCCACTGTACTATATCCTCTTCCAGACTGGTTCAGACTGCCCTTGCAGCATTGTATACTTGCATTCTGTAACAGCTTCCTAGCTGGCTTCCTGATTCTAGCCTTAAACCTTTTCAGTTGATTCCGCATATCACTTGAACGAGTTTAGACATATTGTAGACATCACTGTAGACATAGTGCTAAGATACTGCTTTCATTATGTCACTCTGCACAATGCCTTTTGATGGTTTCCAAATCCTACCTGTTTTCAGGGTCCTCCAAATTTCAGGGTTTTCCCATCTATTAAGGCCTGGTTCCAGCCCTAGTTCCTGTAGGAGGCATTTTCCATTTACTCCAGACCTCTTGGATCCACACAGATCTTGGTTCAACTCCTGACTGTTACGTAACTACCTGTGTTTCCTTGGCAAGTTGCATATGCTTTCTGAGTTTTAGTTTCCTCATCAGTAAAGTGGGAATAATACTAGGTGTTTTTTTTTTTTTGAGACAGAGTCTTGCTCTGTCGCCCAGGCTGGAGTGCAGTGGCATGATCTCAGCTCACTGCAAACTTCACCGTCTGGGTTCAAGCGATTCTCGTGGTTCAGCCTCCTGAGTAGCTGGGACTGCAGGTATGCACCACCATGCCCAGCTAATTTTTGTATTGTTTGTGGGGATGGAGTTTTGTTATGTTGGCCAGGCTGGTCTCAAACTCCTGACCTCAAATGATTCCCCCTGGCCTTGGCCTCCCAGAGTGCTGGGATTACAGGCGTGAGCCAATGCCCCAGGCCACTAGTTTTCATCTCATAGGGTTATTATCAGGATTAAATGAGTTCCTTTTCTCCCTGCCTTTTTTCTGACATCTTATGTTGCCTACTTTTTAGTACATAATGTAGCCTTTTATTATCTAATGCCCTGTACCCTGGGCTCATTGTTTTTTGCATGTAAATATCTTTTCACTACAACTTGACAGACAAGCTCTTTTAAGGAAAGGCGCTGTACTTGCCACTTTTCTTGTGTGCCCTCCTGAATTCTGTTGTATGCTAAGCCCATATAGAAGGTATTCCACAATGTTTGTCCACTTTTTAAGTATTAAGTAGCACAAACAAAAAGTACTATAGGAGCTGGGAGAACAAATCTGTCTGCAGCTTAAGGAGATGGAACTTCTGTTCAGAGTTACTTTTTGCTGTCTGCCTTTCAGTCAGCAGCCTCCCTGCTTGGTTCCTGGCACTGAGTTTCAGGTGATCTCATTTGGATAGAAGAATCTCCATCCCAGTTTTCATTGCTTTCACTCTTGGAGCAAGGTAGAGATCTGACTTCTATGGCACTAAGCTTGCATTCAGTGGCCTGTTCATCATATCAGCAAAGGCTAATGTCTTTGTCTTCTGGTAGGGTAGGGTGATTTTCTCATTGGAAGCTCCATTTGGGTGTTGCTTTCTAAGTGTTACCAAAGTTGTTGCAAGGTGTTAATGCAAATGAGGATAAACAAAAGTGTGACTCTTTCTTGGAGAAAAAGGTATCATATATTTTGCTCTGTGGCTTCACATGGTTTTGGGTGTTTTTGTTGTTATTGTTTTGTTTACTTGTTTGATTCTCAAATTGTGATATTCCTCTTCCCTGTAACCCGTTTGAATTGGAATCTACATCACTGGGAGTTGGGAAAAAAAAGCCTTGGGCAGAGAATTAGAAGACCTGAGTTTGTTTGTAGCTTTAGCCAAGTTAGTCCTTCTTATTGTGCCTCAGTTTCCTCATTTGCAAAATAGGAATAATGCCTGCCCTGCCTATTTCACATTGATGTGGAGAGAAAAGATGACCAGCTGCATAAGCATGCTTAGGAAAGTGAAAAGCCTTTACAAATGTGAGGATGTATATATGTATGTATGTATGTATGCATGTATGTATTTATTTATTTGAGATGGAGTCTCGCTCTGTCGCCCAGGCTGGAGTGCAGTGGCGTGATCTCAGCTCACTGCAACCTCCGCCTCCCCAGTTCAAGCGATTCTCCTGCCTTAGCCAACTGGGTAGCTGGGATTACAGGCATGTGCCACCACGCCTGGCTAATTTTCATATTTTTAGTAGAGTTGGGGTCTCACCATGTTGGTCAGGCTGGTTTCAAACTCCTGACCTCGTGATCCCACCTCAGCCTTCCAAAGTGCTGGGATTACAGGCATGAGCCACCGTGCCCGGTCGGATGTATTCTTTTAAACGGCATTTAAACACAATCTGGCTTCAAGGGAACATTCTTTAACCACTGGGAGTTGATAGATTTTGCTTTTGTTATTAAGGATAACACTTATATTATTGTCTAAAGGTATTTGATGGTTTTCCAACCCTTCTTCCAGTGTTTATACTTATGTATGTGTGGGGGTGGTGGCAGGCTTCCAAAAACTGTATTCCATATGATTTTACCTTATCATAGGGTCATATATATGTGGTTTATATGAAAATTCTTATTTGCATTATAAGTAATCTCCCTTCCACGGTTCTTGTGGGTTTTAATGATTCATAATTAAATTTATTTTGAAATGTAATAATTTCCATTCTCTGAACACTTTACCATGTATTAAAAACTGGCCTTAGTCAATTTGATTTTATCTATGTTTATTTATATGGAGATAATGGTAGTCATTAAAAAAGTTTGAGATGAATTGGGATTACTTACTTTATTGCAATCTCCCTACGAAGTTATAATGAAAGCAAGTCTCAGACCAAATTTTGTCTTACACATTAACATTTATTAAATGAACATTGATTAATAGCAGTAACAAAAGAGCTCATATAAACAGTTTTTTAAGGTTGATGAAGTCCCAGCTCTCTGTCCTTTTAAAGGCTTTTAACAAAACATACCTCAATGAGTCACAGGAGGAAGGCACACTCACATTTTAGAAGCAGAATTTTTAAAAATCTTGTTTTTGGTCGAGTGCAGTAGCTCACGCCTGTAATCCCAGCATTTTGGGAGGCCGAGGCGGGTGGATCACCTGAGGTCAGGAGTTCGACACCAGCCTGGCCAATATGGTGAAACCCCGTTTCTACTAAAAATACAAAAAATTTAGCTGGTTGTGGTGGCATGCGCCTGTAATCCCAGCTACTTGGGAGGCTGAGACAGGAGAATCACTTGAACCCAGGAGGCAGAGGTTGCAGTGAGCCGAGATCACGCCACTGCAATCCAGCCTGGGCCACAGAGTGAGACACCATTTCAAAAATAATAATAATACTTTTTTATTGAAGTAACATTCACATAACATAAAATGAACCATTAACCATTTTAAAGTGTACAATTTGGTGGCATCTACTGCATTCACAATGTTGTATAAGCATCACCACTATCTAATTCCAGAACATTTAATCCTAAAAGGACACTTCGTACTTATTAAGCAGTGACTCCCCATTGCCTCTCCTTTAACCTCTGGCAACCACTAATCTACTTACTGTCTATACAGATCTACCTATTCTAAAAGTTTCTTATAAATGAAATCAGAGAATGATTTTGTGACTGTCTTCTTTCTCTTAGCATAATATTTTTAAGGTTCATCATGTTGTAGCATTTATGAATTCATTATTCCTTTTTATTTTTTAAAATTTTATTTTTGAGACAGGGGTCTCACTCTGTCACCCAGGTTGGAGTGCAGCGGTGTGATCTTGGCTCACTGCAACCTCTGCCTCCTGGGCTCAAGTCATCCTCCCACCTCATCCTCCTGAGTAGCTAGGACCACAGGTGTGCGCCATCATGTCCAACTAATTTTTTTGTGTTTTTGATAGAGACGGGGTTTCACCATGTTGCCCAGGCTGGTCTTGAAGAACTGTTGAGCTCAAGCAGTCCACCTACCTTGGCCTCCCAAAGTGCTGGGATTACAGGTATGAGCCACCGTGCCCAGCCCATTCCTTTTTATGACTGAATAATATTCCACTCTATAGACATACCACATTTAAAAAATTCATTCATTCACTGATGACCATTTGGGTTGCCTCCACATTTCGGCTATTATGAATAGGGTTGCTATGAATATTCATGTGCAATATTTGTTTGATTACCTATTTTCAATGATTTTGGATATATACCTAGGAGCAGAATCACTGGGTCATATGGTAATTCTATATTTAATTTTTGAGAAACTGCTAAACTACTTTCCACTTGGCTGCAACATTTTACATTCCCACCAGCAATGTGTAGGGAGCTCCCATTTCCCTACATCCCCAACAACATGTATTATTATTATTATTATTTTAAATAGCCATCCTAGTGGGTGTGAAGTATCTCATTGTGGTTTTGATTTTCATTTCCCTGATGACTCATGATGTTGAGTATGTTTTCAGGTACTTACTGACCATTTGTGTATTTTCTTTGGGAAATGTCTATTCAGATCCTTTGCACTCGCCCTCAACTTTCTTTTTTTTTTAAGAGACAGGGCCTCACTCTGTTGCCCAGGCTGGAGTGCAGTGGTGCAATTATAGCTCACTGCTGCAGCTTCAACTTCCTGAGCTCAACCAATCCTCTTGCCTCAGCTTCCCAAATAGCTGGGATTACACACCATACCCAGCTAATTTTTAATTTTTTTGTAGAAATGGGGTCTCACCATGTTGCCTAGTCTGGTCTTAAACTTCTGGCCTCAAGTGATACTCCTGCCTTGGCCTCCCAAAGTGCTAGGTTGACAGGCATGAACCATCACACCTGGCTGTCTTATTTTTATTTTTATTTATTTATTTTTGAGACATGGTCTTGCTCTGTCACCTAGGCTGGGGTGCAGTGGTATGATCATGGCTCACTGCAGCCTCGACCTCCTGGGTTCAAGGGATCCTCCCACTTCAGCCTCCCAAGTAGCTGGGAGTACAGGTATGTGCCACCACGCCTGGCTAACTTAAAAAAAAATATTTTGTAGAGATGGGAATCTTACTATGTTGCCCAGACTGGTCTCGAACTCCTGGCCTCAAGCAATCCTCCCAACTTGACCTCCCAAAATGTTGGGATTAAAGGCATAAGCGACCATGCCCAGCCTGCCCTTTTTTTGTTTTGAGATAAGATCTTGCTCTGATGCCCAGGCTGGAGTGCAATGTCATGATCACAGCTTGCTGCAGCCTCGACTTTCTGGGCTCAGACAATCCTCCCACTTCAGCCTCCTGGATAGCTGGGACCACAGGTGCATGCCACCACTCCTGGCTAATTTTTTGTAGACACAGGGTTTTGCCATGGTGCCCAGGCTGGTCTCGAAGTCTTGGGCTCAAGCAATCTGCCCACCTCAGCCTTGTGAGGTGCTGGGATTACGGGTGTGGGCCACCACACCTGGCCTCTGGCCTGCCCATTTTTAAATTGGATTGTTTCTCCTTTTGTCATGGAGTTGTACTCTTTTTATTCCTCAATCCCTCCATTGCTGCTTTCTTTTGTGATTAGCTGATTTCTTTTTCTAGTGTATAATTTTGATTCCCTTTTCATCTCTTTTAAAATATAGTTTTTAGTTTTTTTTTCTTAGTGGTTACCATGGGGATAAAATTAGGATCTTAACTCTATACCAATCAAATTTGAATTAATACTAACTTAGTTTCAATAGTATGCAAAAACTCTGCTCCTTTACAGCTCTATCTCCCCATTTTGTGTTATTTCACAAATTCCATATATATAGTATGTTTATTAACACAGTTTTGTAATTATTGTTTTATTTCTTTGTCTTTTAAATCATATGGAAACAAAAAAGAATGACAAAGAGAAAAAAGGAGGCATTACAAATTGTATATGCAACACCACCAGCTTTTACAATTACCCGTGCAACTACTTTTCCTTTTGTTCTTTATTTCTTCATGTGGATTTGGGTTACTGTCTGGTGTACTTTCATTTCAACCTAGACGATTCTTATCCTATTGCGTGTATTGTACAGGAAGTCTATTTGTGATGAACTTCCTCAAGTTTTTGTTTATTTGAGAATGTCTTAAATTTTCCTTCACTTTTTGCAGGATAGTTTTGCTGAATATATAATTATTGGTTTGCATTTTTTTCAAAAATTTAAATGTCCAACTGCCTCCATGGTTTCCGAACATAAACTGTTAGTCTTATTGAAGATCCCTCACATGTGATGAATTACTTCTCTCTTGGTTTTCTGAAGATGCTGTCTTTGTCGTTTTTTACAATTTGACTATTATGTGTCTTGGTGTGGATATTTTTGAGTTTTTCATGTCCGGATTTTGTCATAATTTTTGGATGTGTAGATTCATATTTTTCATCCAGTTTGGGAAGTTTTTCATTGTTATTTCTTCCAATATTCTTTCTGCACCTTTCTGTCTCTCCTCTTCCTCTGGGAACCTGCTTATTCATATGTTGGTAAACTTGATGGTGTCCCACAGGTCTCAGGTTCTGCTCATTTTTCTTCATTCTTTTCTCTTTCTGCTCCCTTGACTGAATGATTTCAACTGACGTATCTTTAAGTTCCCTGATTTTTTCTTCACTTGTTCAATCAGCTATTAAATCTCTCTAGTGAATTTTTAATTTCCATTTCTATTTGTTTCTTTTAAAAAATAATTTCTATCTCTTCATTAATATTTTCTATTGTTTTATTGGTTTCCTCTAGGTTTTTGCATATAGCTGATAAGTCATTTAAAGTCTTTGTCTAGTAAGCCCAGTGCCAGGGCTTCCTAAGGAGTAGTTTCTTTCTTTTATTTTTTCTTTTCCGTAGATACACCATACTTTCTTGTATCTGCAGTTCTTGTATTTTTTGTTGAAAACTGAATATTTTGAATTTTATAGCATAGCAATTCTGGAAACCAGATTCTCTACCTTACCCAAAATTTGTTTTTGTTACCGATTGTGGGATGCTGTTACTTCTTTAGTGACTTTTCAAAACTGTTTTTGTAAAGTCTATATTCTTTGTCTTATGTAGTCCCTGAAGTCTCTGTTCTGGCACTCTAGTGGTCAGCTGGTGTTTTGATAGAGTTACCTTAAGTGTCTGGAGCAAATAAAAGATAAAAGGAAGAGAAAATAAAAAAGAAAAAGAATGACTCTCCCAGTCTGTCATTGCAGATTGGTTCTGTGTTGGGGTGCTCCTTCAATGCTTAGCCAGGCCATTTATCTCTGTCTTAGCTTTCACTTTCTACTTTCACAGAACTTAGGGCTAGCCAGAGGTTAAAGCTTAAAGTCTCCTCAGGCCTTTTCTGAGTATGTTTCCCATACAGGGCATGTATATGTATTTCTTGATTCCTTGGTATACACGAGAGCTTTTTAAGGCCTTTATTCCCACATGTGGCTCCTTTCCTAACCTCTTTCTTTCCAGGATTATTGATCTGCCTGTTGCTTGTCCCAAATGCTTTTCCTTGCCCCAGGCTGTTGTAGCTGGTGCCTTTATAAGCTTTTGTCTAGGAAACTACTCTAGCATTGGGAACTCTCTGAATTGGACAAAATAAAAGGTAACCTTTGTTCTGGTCCATGAGAAAAATGCCAGACAAATCAAGACTCAATTCTTTGAGAATAAGGTCCATATTGCTCCCTTTGGCACTGGCACTGGCTATTGGCATCAGAGGTATGGGCCTTGGTTCACATGGCCACTGCCAATTTGGTGTGTGAAGAATGGTAGGCGGGCAATTTAAAATAGCACTGTGCTCTTTTACCTCAAGGCAATCACTTCTTTCTCCTGGAGTGCGGTGGCGCAATCTTGGCTCACTGCAACCTCTGCCTCCTGGCTTCAAGCAATTCTCCTGCCTTAGCCTCCCGAGTAGCTGGGATTACAGGCGTGCACCACGATGCCCGGCTAATTTTGTAGTTTTAGTAGAGACGGGGTTTTGCCGTGTCGGCCAGGCTGGTCTCAAACTCCTGACCTCAGGTGATCTACCCGCCTCAGCCTCCCAAAGTTCTGGGATTACAGGCATGAGCCACTGCGCCCAGCCAAGAATACTTTTAAAAGAAATTTCTGAATGCCAAATGTTCTTTATGGTTGGAGGCTGGCCCATAAGTAGAATATGGTTAGATTGCTTCATTACCTGTCTTTGGTTCTTTTAGAAGCCTGCTATATAGCAAATCTCAAGTCCAAAGAGCATTTATGGGAACTCACAGGAGTGGTCTTTGTTGGAGGTGTCCAGGAAGATCTACACACCTCCAACCAGTGTGGCTTTAGTGCTTGTGTGGTCTGAGATTGGGCCATAAATTGAACTTGAGCCTCATTTTTTCCCTCCAGCCCCGCCACTGGAGTACACCACTGCCTGCTCAGAATTTTAGTTTCTCTTGTCTGTCACAAGGCCCTAGGAATGTAGAGAAGATAAGATGCACTTTTGCGTTCAATAGAAGTGGAGAAGCATAGCCATTTAGGAAAGCAATTAGCGATTGATGACTGGAAGTAGTTGGAAACATGAATTCAGTTTTTCCCTTGTAGTATATCTCATATCTTTTCTTGTAGTATAGCTCATATTGTGGCTTAATGGGCCAACTTTTCACAGGCTCTGGAAAGCATATTCAGCTTTCTAGTAACATTTTCAAGTTAACCCCAACTGAAGATGTGGTCATTTACAGAATGAGATTTGAGGAAGCAGCTGGCAGTATACTTCTCCCTCCAAGTTCACTGCCAGTCATTCCACAATTTCTCAATTTCTTTGTGCCTTCAGGAAACTCCTAGCAAAATACCAAGTTCAGTATGGGTTCTACTAAAGTCTTTTCAGAGTAGACTCCCCTGAAAAGTGACTTTCTTTCCTTTTCATCAACTTTTGGAGAGCAGTCAACAGCATGGGGACCATCAAAGTTACACTGAGGGAAATGAGGATATCAGAAACTTTCCAGATGGCTTGAAATGAATGCAGGTGTGCCTGGAACTCTGCCATTGCTCCTCATCCTGAAATGGTAGTCAGTAAATGCACTTCTGGTAAACAATTCCAATTTTAAATGTGTCAGTGGAATATGCCAGCTAAAGAAATCCAGGAATGAATCTGTTTGTTCAGCAAATAAGTCTCCCTGTTTTTGAAGTTTGCATTTTTATTGAGGTTTCTTAGATTCTTAAAGTGGTTTCAGAAAGTTTCATCACAAAAGATATTTAACCTAAGTAGACAAGCTGATTTAGATGGTGAGTTGTATGCATATATGGACAAAGGAGGAGAGAAGGGGAAAGATTTGTATAGATGGGCTATGGTGTGTACACATGTGTGTGTATCTGGCAGGTAGAGGTGACTAACATTTATTGATGTTTACTATGTGTCAGGAACTACACTAAGTGTTTTTCAGGAACCATTTTTTTTGACTCTCATGTCAACTCTGAGGTAGATACTATTATTCTCCTCTTACTGCTTAGAGAGGTTAAGTAATTTGCTCAAGGTCACAGTAGAATGGAGATTTGTTTCTAGGTAACAGGAGAGGCAGTTCTAGCTGTGGGACCTTAGGCAAGTTCTCTCTCTCTCTGGGCTTCAGTTTCCTCATCTGTTAAATGAAAGGTTGTCTTTAGAGTACTTCTGGCTCTGACAGTCTATAATTCTACATTTCTGGGCTGCTTCCTATGTTTTCTGGGTGTTGTTTCCTAAGGAGAGAAAGGCCAGAAGTCAACAATGACTGACCTGCTAGTAGGGATATTTCACAATGTTGTCAGAGACAGCAGGGTACCATGGACAATACATTTGTTTGGGTTTTTGTGTTGTTGGTGGTGGTTTTTCATTACCTTGATCTGAGTTCTGGACGCTATTAAAACACTTCGTTCTCATCATTAACTTCTGTCTTAAGAAAGACGGAAACCCAGACCATTTATTGTAATTTTTCCCTGACTACATTTTTATTTTTCAGTGCTTCTTATTTTCCCAAAGTGCTGTCCCTGTGTGTTCCATTCATTTAATGACAAATATTTATCGAGTGTCTACTATGTGCAAAATATTTTTCTAGGCACTGAGGATACATTGATGAATAAAACAGGCACATATTTCTGCCCTCATGGAGCTTATATTTTAGTGTGGTGAACAGGAAATGAATGAAAGATAGTCATTCAATATACAGTAGTATGTTAAATGGTGATAAATTCTATGGTAGAAAATAGAGCAGAATGAGGGACTTGGGAGTGCTCTGTACAATTGCTTACTATGTCCTTGGGAAAATCAGTGCTAGTTTTTTTTTTTTTTTTTTTTTTTATCAGAGCATGGATAACAGGACATTTCTTACTTAGGCAAATAAGCATAGACTTTGGAGTTAGATAGACCTATTTTGATTTGCGACCTTGGGCAACTGTATCCCAGCTTTGCAACCTTGGGCAACTAATTTTCATTGAGCCTTGTATCAGCCAGTGTTCTATCAGAGAAGCAGAACCATTAGGAGTGATACAAAGCAAAGGATTTATTATGGAGATCAGATCTTATGTAATTGTGGGAGCTGATTAAACAGTTCCTGTAAGTCTGTTGTTCTGGGGCCGGGCACGGTGGCTCATGCTTGTAATCCCAGCACTTTGGGAGGCCGAGGCGGGTGGATCCCCTGAGGTCAGGAGTTCGAGACCAGCCTGGCCAACATGGCAAAACCCTGTCTCTACTAAAAATACAAAAATTAGCCGGGCATGGTGGCGCACACCTGTAGTCCCAGCTACTTTGGGAGGCTGAGGCAGGAAGATCGGTAGAACCTGGGAGGCAGAAGTTGCAGTAGCTGAGATCGCACCACTGCACTCCAGCCTGGGCAACAGAGTGAGACTCCATCTCAAAAAAAAAAAAAAAAAAAAGACTGTCGTTCCCGATCTGATGCTGGGCCTGAAGTCAGCAGGGCAGATAGTCAAGAAAGATGGATGTGAAGTGGGAGGAGAGCAAGGTCACACTAGAACTTATGAGGATTAGCTGGAACCCAAATATACCTCTCACAGTCTCTAAGCCTCCAACTTCAAACTTGGAGGTATCATGCAGGAGAAGCTGGTATGCTTCATCACAGAGCTAAACACACACATGGCCCCTGAGTCAGAGAAGCTGAAGGAGGAAATCCCAGGGGAACTAGAGAAGTTGTGGCCTATGTGTGTTCTCTCAGAAATCAGAGAAGCTGGCCAGACGTGGTGGCTCATGTGGGTAATCCCAGCACTTTGCGAGGCTAAGGTGGGTGGATTGCTTGAGGCCAAGAGTTCGAGACCAGCCTGGCCAACATGGTGAAACCCTGTCTCTACTAAAAATACAAAAATTAGCTAGGTGTGGTGGCACGTGCCTGTAGTCCCAGCTACTGGGGAGGCTGAAGCAGGAGAATTGCTTGAACCCAGGAGGCAGAGGTTGTAGTAAGCCAAGATCATGCCACTGCACTTCAGCCTGGGCAACAGAGGAAGACTCTTCCCAAAAAAAGAAATCAGAGAAACTGAAAGAGGAGCTTTAGCAGTTGCTGTGGGCTCAGACATGCCCCAAGCCAAAGTTAAGAGCCAGGAGAGAAGAGACAACATACTTAAGCTGCAACCATACCAAGTACCCTCCTCTGATCTTCTGGGCCTAAGAAGATGAGGGTAGCTGCTTCACTTCTGCCTCCCGAGTTTCATGCAACATATATCTGGTGGTCCATGCTAACCCAGCCTATTTAGAATAGAGAAGGGAATTGTAGAGATTCTAGTTCCAGCTTAGCTTGGTTGACAGTGTACAAATCCATCACAAGCCGATATCTTAATGGGAATAATAATACCTAATTCACAGGATTTTTGGGAAGAATAAATGAGTTAATCTGTGTAAAAGTATCTAGCACATAGTAGATAATCAAAATTTTTTTTCTTTCTTTCTCCTACTCTTTGGCCAAGGAATAGCATAATTTCAGGCCTCAGGGCCGTGAAGATTTTACGTATTTATTTACTGGGGGAAGGTGCTGTGGGGACTGTGAGGATACCTGTTTAAATTATTAAATGATTATATCAGATTGCAAATTACTTGTTATAACTATATTTGAGGTTGACTCTGTTTGAGGATGTGGAATATACACTGAATGCCCCAGGCCATTGAAGATACATTTAGCATACATACATATACAAACAATGAAAACAGATAGAAAGAAATCATATAAATTGGTGGAAAAACAAATTTAATTTATGAAGTCACAGAGTCAAAGAATGTCAGACCTGGTAGGAGCTTAGGAGGAGGTCAAATATTTCAATACTTAATTTTCACAGATGATAAACTGAGGCTCAGAGAGGAGAAGTAAATTGGGTAAATTCACTACTTGTTTGGTCCAGAAACATTTTTTATAGGATTTTTTTAGGATCCTATAGAACTTGTTAAATATATTGTAAGGATATTGTTGAAGACTTCAGACACTTTATTATTCAGTATCTTCTATATGACATCCCCACATGAGAAATTTTAGAACTAAGTGCCAGGAAAAACTTTGTTTAACCCGAAGAAGTAGTATGCTTTTATTCCTCATGGACAATATAAATCTGGTAAATGATCATGAGGAAACATGATCATTTTGCTTTGGCTGCCAGGATGTTCAGAGCCAAATTTGTAGCCCTAACTTTACTAACCATGTAGGTCTCTATGAGCCTCAATATAGATGTCTTACCTTTGCCTCTGGCTTTGTTGCTTTTTTTCTTCTTGTCTTGATTTTTAGTTAATAGAATTTTTATATTTTTAGTTAATATGATTTTTATATTTAATGTGATATATATCACATTATATATTTTATATATATATAATATATATATATAAAATAAGTGGCCTCAAATTCTTTGTGGTATGAGGAAGGATATAAACACACAAATAGAAAAATCCTATATTATTTGACCTCTGTGGTGCAGTGAAAAAGCACTGGGCATGGAATAAATTCTAGTCTAGGCTCTGCCATTTTAATAGACTTCTCTGAACTTCAGTTTCTTTGAGCAGCTTGGATATTGTAACTTCTGGTATGATTCAGAAGACAGCCTTTTTAGAAGAGTATAGAAGTGTCTAAAACCTTGTGTGTCTGCCCCTTATATAAAAAGTGTTTTGGGGAACTTGACTCTCAGTTAAGAGATTCAGGGTGATTTGAAATGAGGATTTTACTCAATTCTGGATAAGAGACCAGAGTTAGATTAAGTTTCTAGATTGGTGAGAGAATAGTACATAAAGTAGAATGTGTTCATTTATTTGCTTGGATTTTTATTTTTTTTAATTTAAAAAATTATACGGTAAAATGGACTTTTTGGTGAGTACGCATTCTATGAGTTTTAACACATGTATAGATTCACATAACCACCACAAGCAGGAAACAGAACAGTTCCATCTCCTCAGAAAACTCCCTCTGGCTCTCCTTTTATAGTCAAACTCTCCTCCCACACATATGCCTTGATTTTATTTATTTTAAAATGTCCTCCCCAACATTTTATGAGAATAGATTAAGATAAATTTGATGCAGCCATTCACTTTATAGAGTTCCTACTGTATGCTCACCACTGTGGTAGGTTCTGCAGGCTGTGTAAGGAGTATCATATGTGGACCAGGGCTTCAGGTATGTTACAGTGTGGTTGGCAAGGTCAGCTTAATACATTGGAAACAATTAGAGGAGCCTATAAGACACTGTATAAGCAAGTGTTAAATTGGTACAGATCAGAAGATGGGGAAACATCTGTCTGTGTTTGAATATAGGCTTCTGCAAGCGAATGACACACTACTCATATTTGTATGTATCTTTCTGTGTGAGGACAGACTGAAATGTATTTAGAAATGTAGAGTTAAGTTTTACCTCTAAAAGGGATATATTAGTCTAAACAGATGAAAGAGAATCACAGGATTGTGAGAGTATTTACAAAAGTCTTCAGAATCTATAGTCAAGGAAGTCTACCTAAGTGCAAAAAACTATTTTATTTTTATAAGATGTGGAGAGACAGATGATTGCCAAATGGCTTTGCTCTGTGTCCAGAGAAATTTAACGAAGCTGACAGCCAGATATCTATTGCAGAAGTCTGACTAGAATTTTCCATTATGAATACAGTGCATGTGAATTCTGAACATATGGCTTCCATCAGTGATCTATGAGGAGGTGATGGAATGTAGGTTGGCGAAGACAAGAGGAAGGCCAAGTCTCTGACTCTAAAGTGAGAGGCAGCTGGACCCCATATGTGTGTATGTTTAGAGTTGGAGCCAGCTTTATGTCAAGGGAGTAGGCAGTCACCCAAGCCTCATGATTTGTAGGGTGTAGAGAAAGGATCTTCCTTTGCCAAATTCTTTCCCTACAGGCAAGCCCCAAAGCCTGAACTTTCCATTAGAGAAAGAAACAAAATATTGTGTCTTCCAAAGCCCCTCTTTAAAATATAAGGAGCTGGGTAGGGGGTGGGACACCAACCCATTAAACTGGAAATAGCTATCAGAGTCTTGATGTAGAGCAGTTTATCTAATAAGCCTAGTGAAACTGGAGGGAAGAGTAGGACCCATGAGATGGGGTAGGTCTGTGTGTCTGTGGGTGTGTGCATGTGTCTTCATGTACACACATGCTGGGAGTCAGTGTGTTTGCAGAAAACCTGGCCCCCATACAGATTAGAATGGTAATATTGAGTGCACATTTACATATTCCAGCTCATTTGCTACATGTTGGGTGCCTGCAATGGTTTACTCTCCAAGGTGGCAGGCCTCCCTGGTATCAACCAGGATACAGGTTACTGCAGAGATTTGTTAAGAATCGATTAAGAAGACAACCTTCTGAGGTACCCTTGGCCTGAATATCTCGAAGGGCCTTTTAAGACACCTTCCAGCCAGCCCTCGCAGAAAGTGGGGGTAAAGTCAGGAGTGTGAAGCCCATGACATGAATGGAGAGAATAGCTATTAAAGAAGTTGTCACTTCTCTAAAAATAACCTAGATATTTAGGGTACAAGCAGGACTGTCTGGTGTGTATGTGATGAGAGCCAGAAGCCCCACCCTTTCTGAGCAAATGAGGTGATATGAAGAGCAGAACTTTCTGACCATGTCCTTTATACCTGACACCCTAGGTATGGTCCTGTCTTGCATCCTGAAAACTGTCCTTACTTCTCAACAAAATTGCTTCTGGAGTCCTCTTTTCAAGCTATTTTTAGCAATTAGTCCAACCTTGCTAAGCTGTGAAAGCACATAAAGCTTATTTTTCTTTTGAAAATGAAGGAAAATGTATTCTAAGAAGCTATGAAGATGTGCAGGATCTCACTAAATGTTAGATTTGACTATTTGAAATGTGCAGGACTAATCAGTTCAGAGGATTGTCCAACCCTTGGAATATGGAAGAGCATTGGACCTACAGAGAAGGAGCTTCACAAAACTTAAAATCTAGTGCCAAAATGTCTGCTGCATTCATTGATCCTCTTTGACATCAAAGTGTTAATTTGGCCGTGTACGGTGGCTCACACCTGTTATGCCAGCACTTTGGGAGGCCAAGGCAAGTAGATCACGAGGTCAGGAGTTCAAGACCAGCCTGACCAACATGGTGAAACCAAACCCGTCTCTACTAAAAATACAAAAAAATTAGCTGGGCGTGGTGGCGCGTGCTTGTAATTCCAGCTACTCAGGAGGCTGAGGCAGGAGAATCCCTTGAACCTGGGAGGTGGAGGTTGCAGTGAGCCAAGATCGCGCTACTGCACTCCAGCCTTGGTAACAGAGTGAGACTCCGTCTCAAAAAAAAAAAAGTGTTAATTTATCTTACAATTTGGTGTGATTTCGGTAATTATATAACTGAGCCTTTTGTATTAAAAAGGCAAGTACTTTGCAGATTGGTTTGGGGTGGAGAAAATCAACAAAACCCCATGTGGGTGTGGTGCTGGCTTTTCTGAGTTCATTGTTGGACGGAAAATTCAGACTACTTCTCAGCCTGAGTCATCTGAAAAAATTGGATTTGCTAATTTGCAGGTGGAAAATGTAATGTGCCTGTTAATTTCTTCAGATGATGACATTTAAAGGTGAAAGTGATAATGGTGCTGGGGAGGTGTACCTGGGGATCATGGGCTTTATGGTGCTGGGTCAGAGCTGCCATTGAGGTCAGGTGAATTGGCTTTGGTCAAAGGGCAGAAGCCAGGGCTCTAGTATAATTTCCCTGTAGACTGATAATGGAAATTTCCCATTACAACTTGTGGGCATATGATGTAATTGGAGATTCATAAATAGATTTCTTGGGCCCTGAGACCTACTTTCTGTTGGCCAAATTTGTGTTTGTAACTTTTGGATGGTATCCAGCAATGGGGACACTACCAACTTTCTCAATAGCCTGTTCCATTTTTAGAGAGGCCAAGAAACTCTTATTTCTAGCCATGCTGCTCCTACTTAAATCTACCCATTTCTTCTTGGTCAGTGTTTCATTTACATGAGAATAACTTCTCAGCATTGTTCTCTTCAAATTCCTTCATGGACTATTGGACCACACTCCTCAAGTCTTCTCTAGGCTAAATAACTTTCTGTAGTGATAATGTAGGCCTTTCTCAATTCACTCATAAAGAAATGAGTCTTTAGGATTCTTGCTTTTACAATAATAACGATAACAATAACAATAGCTAATAATTGCCCTTTCTTTTTAGAAAAAGCTGACATTTATGGAGTGCTTACTAATTGCCGGCCAGTGTACTAAGGATTTTACATGTGTTGGTTCATTTTATCTTCCTGATAACCCAGTGCAGGTACGAGCTACTATTTTGCTCTTTTAAAGATTAGGAACTTGAAAGTGAGAGTTAATTTGTCCAGTTCATACTGTAAGTTTAACGAGTATCTTTCTGTGATGCTCTATGTCTTCCCTGATCATTGAGATTATTCTGGCTTTTTTGTATTTATTGTTCACATATGTCTGTATACACACACACACTCACTCTCACACACATACATACACAAACATATGGGAAAATAAGTGTGGGTAAATTTGCTAGATGCATGTCATGCTGCCTTGTGCCATGCCAAGGTACTAACATCTTTAAAGGAAAGAGTAGCTGACCTTCATCTGTACTGAAATTATTCCCTTAGGAATATTTCATTTCTCTTTTCCATTAATAAGCTGCCTTGAAGAGCAAATTAGTTCGGTGAAGGATGCTACATTAAGTTTCAAAGTGCTAGAGCCAAAGGAATTTTAATATTTTCACCTTTATTCTGTCCACATATGTTGTAGATGATAAAATTCTACAGCAATTCCTACTGTGTGCATTGCCTCTCAGACCTAGAGGCTGTCAGGTGATGGCTAAGAGGAACCACTGCATATCCCAAGTGAAAGGACTACTGTATAGGCCACTTTGTAGCCCTTTACAGTCTAGTAGGAGAAATGGGCATAAGCATATGTTGTAGGTGAGAACAAACCATGCTGCGTGTGGTACCTGTGTACTACATACATTTTGAGAGTTGCTCCTGGCCGTTGGAGGAGAGAGTGAAGTGTACATTTTCAGGGGATTTAATAGTGCCTGAAAGTTCAGAAATCCAGGATGTGGCATTTGGTTTTGGATTTGAAGGCAAGGAACCAAGGAAGAGTAGAGGAATTCCTGAAGTGGAATTCATTAGTTTTGTATCGGAATTGAGCTGCCAGTCACAGATTGGCACTGCTGTGTGCCATGATGGGCTGGAGGCAGAAGGAAGAGCAGCAAGACTTGGATCCTAAACCTGTCTTTGCTACTTTGGAGGTCTGTAACCTTGGGCAAGTTAAATCGTACCTCTGGGCCTCAGTTTCCCCACTTGTAAAGTGAGCACAAGACCATATGTACCTCATAGGCTTGTAATGGTTAAAAAGATTAATAAATGGGGGATGGCTTTGAGTCTAGAAAGAAAATTAGAAACGTTAGCCATCACTAATAATTATATTTTAGATGTACTCTAGACGAATTTTTTATTAGCTTTTTTCTTTCAAAACTAAGTCTATTACTTTCCCAAATATGTCTCACAGTATGGAATTGAAAAATATTGTTTTTAGCACATGATAGAATAAAGTTTAGCCACTGATCCTATTTTGCCTCCTTTAGCCCAAGCTCTGAGCAGACTTGGGATGGCCTTCCCCTGGTTGGGGACAAGGAATGAGTTTCTCAACTCTTTTTTTTTTTTTTTTTTTTTTTTTGGAGACAGTCTTGCTCTGTCATACAGGCTGGAGTGCAGTCGTGCAATCTTGGCTCACTGCAACCTCAGCCTCCCAGGTTCAAGTGATTCTCCTGCCTCAGCCTACCCAGTAGCTGGGATTACAGGCACGCGTCACCAAGCCCGGCAAATTTTTGTATTTTTAGTAGAGACGGGATTTCATCATGTTGGCCAGGCTGGTCTCAAACCCCTGACCTCAGGTGATCTGCCCACCACAGCCTCTCAAAGTGCTGGGATTACAGGCATGAGCCACCCTGCCCGACCATTAGTTTTTCAACTCTTAAATTAATGCACTGCCTGCCACTCACCTACTCATTTGGCTTTAATTCTCATGGCTTGCCCTTAATCAATAGCTTAGGACAGTGGTTTCCAAAGTGGGGATGTATGGATCCACGGGGGTTGTGCAAGATGATCTATTTGGGTGTGGAGAAAACATTAAAATTTCTATTTACTTTTTCTATTTTTTTTTTTAGAGCCCAGGGTCTAAGAAAAACAAAACAAAACAAAACAACTCCTGGGCTCAAGTGATCCTCCTAACTCAGCCTCCTGAATAGCTGGGACTATAGGTGGATTCCACCATGCTTGGCTTACTTCCTAGTGTTTAATCTTTCAATTGACAGTGCTACTCATTTGGACCTGTGTTAGAGATGTGTCACGTATGTTTGTCAGCACCCTGCAGAAAGAGTAGGGGTTTCATAATTCAAAGTGATTTTCAGCAATGGCCTCACTCGTTTTTTGCTTTCAGTATATTGCAAAATACTGTGGTTTACCTGTGCAGGGAGAAGGCTATAGTTTATATAATCTTAACTGATAGACTCTTTTATATGGTTTGTAAGGAGATGGAGATTGACCATGAAAATCTTTAGTGCCACTCTGAGATCTCACTAGTTATCTTGAGGAAAATATTTAAAAAATTGTTCAACTTAGGGATGAGTTACATACAGTATTTTTCTTCTAAACAAAGACAAGTGTTCCAAATTTGCTTATCTTTTCTTGCTAAGCAGTTGGCAATACCCAGAAGATATTGTTTTTTAAAAAGTGAATTTTAATAATGAGTGAAAAGTAAATGCTTTAAAAAAGCATATCTTAAAAATGGATGCTGAAAAATGTTTCTATCTTCTCTGTGGTTTTGTTGCTTTGCCACCTACCATAAAAACCCCTAGTACCTGCATAATTTTAAAAGTTGGAAATAAACATTTCTAACCTCTTTAAAGCTTTTTCAAAGGAAAGATTTTGGCAAATTTTGATCCCATTTGTTAAAAATGGCAATATATCACGCCTTCTGATTAGTTTGCAGGCACAGCTGATTGACATCAGGAACTAAGAAAATTTATTAGACAAATTACAGCAAACACGTTTGAATAATTGAAGGATGAAGTAAAAAACACATTCAGGATTACATATTAAGCATAGACAATGATGTACTTCTTTTTGAATCTATGTATCTTTATGAGCTCTCTTTTTCAACCAAGATATTTATTAAAACCTAGCAAATAATCTGATTTAGAACAAGTCCTTCAAACTGCTGTAACGTAAGATTTAAAAAATTAAACAATGTTGGCTGGGCGCGGTGGCTCACGCTGTAATCCCAGCACTTTGGGAGGCGGAGACGGGCGGATCACGAGGTCAAGAGATCGAGACCATCCTGGCTAACATGGTGAAACCCCGTCTCTACTAAAAATACAAAAAAAATTAGCCAGGCGTAGTGGCGGGTGCCTGTAGTCCTACCTACTTGGGAGGCTGAGGCAGGAGAATGGCGTGAACCCAGGAGGTGGAGCTTGCAGTGAGCCGAGATCGCGCCACTGCACTCCAGTCTGGGCGACTGAGCGAGACTCCGTCTCAAAAAAAAAATAAAAAAATTAAACAATGTTGAGTCATATAACTTTCATTTGATAAATTATATCAAACAATAATTTTAAGTGAGAACAAAATCATTTTTGTACCATTTAGAGTCTTAAGTATTGCTGTTTTAATAATTCTTTTAAAATTCATATTTCTGTATATGTTTATATCATAATGTATGCAATAATATAGTTGTACTGTATAAATAATTTGTAAATAAATAAACTCATATTTAATTTTGGGGTGGCATGGGCTTTAAAAACCTGATTGTGTTAAAATTTGGAGGCCGCTAAACTAGACTACTAGCTGCTCTAGACACTTGACAGCGAACATAGCCTTGAGTTATCTGCTACAGTTCCCAGGCAAGAGCCTGGCTGAGAGAGCTGAAATTTAGGTAAGGGACATGCTAACCATCCCTCCCACTGACTCAAATAGGTATTATGCATTCAATCCTTGGCTCAAGCTAGACCATTGATAGGCTACATATCTAGCTTAAGGATAGGTTAAGGTGAAATCGTAGAGCAGGCAAGGTGCTAGAAGGAGCGTATGGGTCAATAACTGGAGAAGGAGAAGCCAGGTGCGGTGGCTCACGCCTGTAATTCCAGCACTTTGGGAGGCCAAGGCGGGTGGATTGCCTGAGCTCAAGAGTTCGCAACCAGCCTGGGCAACATGGTGAAACCCTGTCTCTACTAAAATACAAAAAATTAGCGGGGCGTGACGGCATGCACCTGTAGTCCCAGCTACTCGGGAGGCTGAGGGAGAACTGCTTGAATCTGGGAGGCGGAGGTTGCAGTGAGCTGAGATCACGCCAGGCACTCCAACCTGGGCGACAGAGCGAGACTCTGTCTCAAAAACAAATCAATCAAACAAACAAAAATAAAATAACTGGAGAAGGAGAAATGAATCAAGGTATGGAAGGATTGAAATTTTGTGACACTCTCCATCTCCAGACTGACCCGCCTCAGGTCTTAGAAAGGTCATCCCGAGGTAATACTCTACAGCACATCTCATTCCCCTTATGAACCTGCCTCTAGTCAGTCACACAAAGCACACAAGACCACAAAGAAGACAAAGCGCTGAACGGTATTATCTTCTCTTGTTCCTTAATCGTTTTACACATGTAAACCCTGGATAATGTGGTAGTAGTTAAAAGCAAGAATATCAGACAGACCTTAATTTGAATCCTGGTTCCACTGGTTGCTTGCTGGCTCTGACTTCTTTTGAATCCTAGTTTCTTCATCCACAAAATGAAGATACTAATACCTACCTCTCAGGGTAGTTGAGAGAATTAAATTCATAGGAAGCATTTAGTAAGTAATCTGGCATATATCAGGTACTAATAATGATGGCATTATTCACCAGATTGTTACCTCCTGATGGTTGGAACCATGCTAGGTGCTCTTTTTTTTTTTTCTATACCCACAATGCCTAACACAGATCTAAGTATACACTAGGCGTGCTCATTTACTACTTGTTGAACTGAATAGAATTAGTGGGAAAGACGTGTCAGGACAAAGTTGATTTAGGAATCTAGTGCAATCTGACATTAGAGACTTTCAACTAATTTACTTTCCTTATCTCTGCTGTATGAACTTATTTTATTTTGTGTCAACTTTTATTTTAGATTCAGGAATACATGTGCAGGTTTGTTACATGAGTATATTGCATAATGCTGAGGTTTGTGGTATGAATGATTGCGTCACCCAGGAAGTGAGCATGGTACCCAATAGGTAGTTTTTCGGCCTCCGTCCCTTCCCTCCCTCTCCCCTCCAGTAGTCCCCAGTGTCTACTGTCCCCATCTTTATGCCATGTATACCCAATGTTTAGCTTCCGCTTATAAGTGAGAACATGAAGCATTTGATTTTCTGTTTCTGTGTTAATTTACTTAGGATAATGGCCTCCAGCTGCATCCATGTTGCTGCAAAGGATATGAATTCATTCTTGTTTATGGCTATGTAGTATTTTGTGGTATATATATATATATATATATATATATATATATATATATATATACTACATTTTCTTTATCCAATCTACCATTGATGGGCACCTAGGTTGATTCCATTCTTTGCTATTGTGAATAGTCCTCCGATGAACATACGAGTGCATGAGTTTTTTTGGTAGAATGATTTATTTTCCTTTGGGTATACACCCAGTAATGAGATTGCTGGGTTGAATGGTAGTTCTATTTTATGTTCTTTGAGAAATCTCCAAGCTGCTTTCCACAGTGGCTGAACTAATTTACATTCCCACCAACAGTATATAAGCATTCCCTTTTCTCCACAGCCTTGCCAACATCTGTTAATTTTTGACTTTTTCTTTTGAGACAGGGACTTGCTCTGTTACCCAGGATGGAGTGCACTGGTGCCATCATGGCTTACTGCAGCCTTTACCTCCCAGGCTCAAGTGATCTTTCCACCTCAACCTCTCAAGTAGCTGAGACTATGGGCGCATGCCACCACACCTGGCTAATTTTTAAAATTTTCTGTAGAGATGGGGTTTGCCATGTTGCCCAGGTTGTCTTGAACTCCAGGGCTCAAATGATCCTCTCACCTTGGCCTCCCAAAGTGCTGGGATTACAAGTGTGAGCTGTGCCTGGTTGACTTTTTTTTTTTTTTTTTTTTTTTTTTTTGAGACAAGGTCTCAATCTGTCATTCAGGCTGGAGTGCAGTGGCACAATCACAGTTCACTGCAGCCTTGACCTGCAGAGCTCAAGTGATGTTCCTACCTCAGCCTTCAGAGTAGCTGGGATTACAGGTATGCATCACCATGTCCAGCTAAATATTTGATTTTTCTGTAGAGACTGGGTTTTGCTATGTTGCACAGGCTGGTCTTGAACTCCTGGGCTCAAGTGATCCTCCTGTCTTGGCCTCCCAAAGTGCTGAGATTATAGGCATGAGCCACCACGCCCAGCCTTTTTGACTTTTTAGTAACAGCTATTGTGACTGGTGTGAGATGATATCTCCTTGTGGTTTTGATTTGCATTTCTCTGATAATTAGTGATGTTGAGCATTTTTTCATATGTTTGGTATGTCTTCTTTTGAGTAGTGTCTGTCCATGTCCTTTGGCCACTTTTTAATGGGGTTGTTTTTTGCCTGTTGAATTGTTTAAGGTTCTTATAGACTCTAGATATTAGACCTTTGTCAGATGCATAGTTTGGGAAATAACTTATTTTTGAAAGCCATTCTGAATTTTTTCTAACCCCAAATCTTATTGCAATAACTCTTCTCATATATTTATACATATTTCTTCCTTTTAGGGGGAAAATAAAAATCATCCCATTTTCATCAGTGGTATCAGTTTTCTCTTCATCAGTGAAGTCTGAAATATTTGACTTTATCATCTCCTTCAATCCTAGTAGAAGAATGCTAGCAATATCATTTTGCTTCTCTCTGCATAAAACTATTCATAAATGGCTCCTTTCTATCTACTAGTGAGCCCAAACTCTGAACCTGGCACTGAAGACCTGGCATTTAACCAGGCCCCATCTGACCTATCCAAATCTGTTTCCTACAAAGCTTTCTGTTGCAGCCAGGCGGGTCTTACCACTGGGGTCTAAGCACTATGCACAACTCAAACTGTTTTCTTTTGCTAGGTTAGGATATCCCATTTCTAAATGTGAGGCTTTACCTAGCTACTAATGCCCCATTGAGTTCTTCAAGATTGCTCACTAGCTATATCACTCATTTGGATTCTAAGCTCTCTGTTTCATGTGTAAAAGATTTGACCCACCTGAGGGCAGGGAGAGGGTCTTATTTCTTATTTCCCATTGTGCCATGTATTGTGCAGAGCACATAGTAAATGATTAAGATGAAAGAACCATGAAGGTGCTTTTTAAACCTAAATAGCCATGGATTATCGAAATTAATCTGTGCATATAATAATCATTTACTGAGTACCTACTGCGCTGGATAACTAGGATGGATGTAAGGACTTTCTAAGTGTCCTTTAGGGACTCTCAAAAATTCATAGGGAGGAGAACTTGATAAAAGACTAGATTTTCTGCAGTTAAGTGGGATGAATGCTCAGATTTGGTCATTAAAGTTTTGTGTGACCTCACACACCCATATAATTACAGATATTTAGGTTGTTGATGTATTAACCTAATTGAAGCAAGAATGTGCCCATCAGAAGGGACTTGTTAATATCTTTATTGCTCACTATTATATCTCAGTGTCCAGAACACAGAATTTGGCATATAGCAGTATTTTAAAGGACACTGTTGAATGAACAGTGAGACTTCTGGAGAATTGAATTTACTCTGGGTATGCTGTCAAAGTAAGGCTCCTGGGACCATAAGGCTGAAGGTCACACAATGGAAAGTTCACTGGGTTGTTGCTACTCTGAAAGATTCTTGGAAAACACCTAGCCAGGCTCCCAAAGAGACCTCAATCTGTCCCTTTCTATTAGAAACTTCTTTAAAAGCACTTTTTGGCAGTAATAACACCTTTTCCTCTTATCTGAAAGCTAAAGTAACTTTATACAATTTTCATAAATAATGAAAACACTAAATCTTAGTTTATCTTCTTTTCCATATCTTGCCTACATTCACTGTGTTACATTTTGTAAATATCACTCCGAGACAACCTACATTAGTTAGTCTGCATCTCTTACTTGTGGTATTTGACACTCAAGTTTTCAGTTGGACACCTTCTTCACTTTTAGCAACCTCATAGTAAACCACACCAAACTATGAGAAAACAGTTATTCCATCACCTCAGAAAGAAGGTAATATGGGAGTCATTTAAAAATAAGTGTAAAAAAACTCAAACCAATTGCTGTTGCTGTTATTGCTACCCACTATAGGGAGGGAAAGGTCCTTAAATGTTGAGAATCATTTTCATTCCACTCTGCAGAGCCAAATCATCTGGTCTGTGTGCTGAGTCCAAAAAACACTGCTGCATAGTTTCCTCAAGGAACAAACCAGGGAAAGGGAATCTGAAAAATCACAATAGGTTTTCTTTTTTGTTGTTGTTGTTGTTTTTAAACAGAGTCTCACTTTGTTGCCCAGGCTGGAGTGCAGTGGCGTGATCTCGGCTCACTGCAACCTCCACCTCCCAGGTTCAAACGATTCTCCTGCCTCAGCTGCCCAAGTAGCTGGGACTACAAGTAAGCGCCACCACACCTGGCTAATTTTTGTATTTTTAGTAGAGATGGGGTTTCACCATGTTGGTCAGGCTGGTCTTGAACTCCTGACCTGAAGTGATCCACCCTTCTCGACCTCCCAAAGTGCTGGGATTGCAGGCGTGAGGCCACCACATCTGGCTCACAGCAGGTTTTTAGGTGAAAAGAACTTACAGGAAAGAACCTCCTTGAAAATAAAGGTTATATGTGATGAAAGTGCTGCTTTCCAGCCACTGCCTCATCTGTTTTCTCTCTTACATTAAATGGCAGTACTGGTCAAATGCCATTTGCTTCTCTGTTTGTTCATGACCTATTTTCAGCACTATTTCCTTCATTTCAGCCTGTAGGTTGCTATTCCTCAGTGGAAAGCGCGTGGAAGCAAACATAGGATGGAGACTGACATCTTGTGTGTTACTGGATGCTTTCACTCAGCCATATCAACATTGGTCCTATTGCTGGCTCTAGGAACAAGCATTGTAGTCTGGGTTCTGTCTGAGTTGCTCTTCACTTGGCTCTTGGTGTGTTTAACTCCTCATTCTTCATGCCTCAGCCTATATGTCACTTCTTCAAAGAGGTCTACCTTGACCATCCTATCTAACGTATCCACCCCCTCCCCAAGCTCAGTCACTGTCCATATTGAATTCCTTTAATTTCTTTCACAGTAACTTATCTAACTTAAGTATCTGAAGTGATCTAGTTTATTTACTTGTTTTTCCTCTCTTCCCTCCCTAGTAGGATATAACCTTGATGTAGGGATTATGTCTGCCTCATTCAGCTGTTGCATATACCCAATGCTTAGCATGGTGTCTGGGGCATTCCAGGTGATCAGGAGCTATTTGTTCAATAAATGAATGAGTGAGAAGAACAGAGTGCAATGCAGGACTGTCATAATTTTTCTTTTTCATGGTGGGTGTAGCCACAGAACAGAGTCTGCCAAGATTTGTCATGCTCACTGACCTCTCCACACATCTGCTGATTCACACAAGAACAAATGATATAAGTGAAAGAGGAGAATTGTCTCTTTAGTGATTCTAAAGTTTGATGTGAAACTTGAAGGGCTTGGGAGTACAGGTAGCATTTTCATTTCTTTCATAGGGTAAAAGGAATGACATAGGCAGATAATGAAAGATACAGGAACTTGGCTGGGCAAGGTGACTCACGCCTGTAAGCCCAACACTTTGGGAGGCCATGGTGGCCTGATCACTTGAGGCCAGGAGTTTGAGACCAGCCTGGCCAACATGGTGAAACCCTGTCTCTACTTAAAAAAAAAAAAAAATTAGCCAGGTGTGGTGGTGCACGCCTATAATTATAGTTACCCGGGAGGCTGAAGTGGGAGGATCGGAGGATCACTTGAATCTAGGAGGTGGAGGTTGCAGTGAGCTGAGATTGAGCCACTGCCCTTCAGCCTTGGTGACATAGTGAGACTCTGTCTCAAAAAAAAAAAAAAAAAAAAGATGCAGGAAGTTAACAGTAGACTACATTCATAATGTTGAGCAGGATCTAATTTTCTCAAGTGTGCAATAATGGGTTGCTGGTAAAGAATGAAATATAGGACCAGGCCTTGTGGCTCATGCCTGTAATCCCAGCACTTTGGGAGGTCGAGGTGGGCAGATCACTTGAGGCCAGGAGTTTGAGAGCAGCCTGGCCAACATGGTGGAACCCTATCTCTATTAAAAATAAAAAAATTAGCCAGGTATGGTGATGGGTGCCTGTAATCCCAGCTACTAGGGAGGCTGAGGCGGGAAAATCACTTGAACCTGGGAGGCGGAAGTTGCAGTGAGTGGAGGTTGCACCACTGCACTCCAGCTTGGGCAACAGAGCAAGACTCCATCTCAAAAAAAAAAAAAAAAAAAAAAAAGAAACATATTTCGTGAAGACAAAAATAATCTATTTGTCAGGAGATTCACAAACCTCATCAAAAGTGTAAATTTCTAGATTGAACTAAACCAGGTGCCTAGTTAAATTTGAATTTTGAATATCAAACAAACAATGAATAATTTTTTTTAGTATAATATGCCTCATACAATATTTGGTGTCCTGTCTTTTATCTGGCAACCCTGTAAGAGTATTTTCATCCAGTTCTCATTACTCTATATCATTCATAGGGATATTATAAGAACTTTACCAGATGCCTGGCTGACTTCTAGACTTATACTCCTAATTAGGTTGGTGCAAAAACAATTGTAGTTTTGCCATTAAAAGTGCAAAAAACTGGAATTACTTTTGCAGCAACCTAATAGGAAACAAATTTGTTGGTTTTATAACATCTCATGTATACTATACATTACTTAAATGAATGGTTTTATACGACACTTAGCTTGTGACTACTTTGATGCAGGCCAGAGTCTGGCAACATTTCCCAAACCATATTCCATAAAACCATAGGGCCCCATAAATGGTCAAATGTATTTAAATGGTCAAATATATTTACAGAATAAACTGCCCTCTTAGTCGCAGTGCACATTAGGATATTAAAGGTGCTGAAAGTCCTGCAGAAAAGGCCTGCATATACATACTTCCCCCAAATTTGCTTCTGTTTTGAGGCTCCATGCTCTCCAACTGAATTATCTCCCTCTGGGATTCTCATCCTCACCTCATGTGACCAGCCTTACCAAATGCTTTGACTCTGTCATTGGGCCAGGTTCTGGACTGGCTGACTTTCACATTTCCCTCTAGGGGCAAGGAATACAGAAAGCTAAGATTTGGGCCCTGAAGAAACATTATTTCATAGTCTTCCTGAGGGTCTCACTGCTTATTCTCAGGTGTGTTAGCAAGCCAGAGGTTCCGGGGCCTGCTTGCACATGTGCCCAGCTTAGAAGAAATCCCATAATAGGACTCGTTCATTGTATTAGACATATTTTGTTGTCATGGTTTTTAAAGTACAGTACAACAATATTTGTATGGAAAAAACCATGCTTATCATAGGATGTAATTTGTGCATAATTTTCTAGATGGAGTCCAGAATACATCTTTTTCAAAGGTAAACTTAATGACATTTGTTTCATAAATACCATCATTCTTCACTGTCAGTCCTCTGTGAACACTCTAGCCTCTGACATTCAGTGAAGCAATAAAGAAATCAAACATGCCTACCTAACCTTTATGAAAATATTTAAAATTATGATTTAATTTTTAATCTCCCATGGCAGCAGTAAAATAAATGATATAAATCTCAACAGGACTGTCTACTTCACAATAACACTTAGGGTATGGCCTAAACAGGCAAGAATTCCTCTTAATCATAAACTGATGCGGCACAGGTCTGGGCAAAGGGAGGGTGGTAGATGTTGACATTTCGCATTTCCTGGGGACCCAGAGGGTAGAGAGTGGAGAGGCAGTTTTGAAATGTCCTGTACTAACAGTTTGGGTATAAATACAATGTCCTGTTCTTCCTTGCCACTGAATTTTTCTTTCTTGTGATTAAAACAAAACAAATAAAAACCAAGAAAACTCAAAACACACAAAACAACCGCCAGGCCAAAAAGAAGTGTAAAGACAAGGAAAAGCATGTATTTTAAACTTTTAAAAGGAAATGAAATAATCTACTCAGTCTAAAAGGATGGGATTTAAGGTTTAGAGTCCATTGTGAAATCTCTTACACAATTAGCTAAGGTCTGCGGCACAAAGCTATGGATAAATTTAGGGATGCCAAATTAAATACGATGGTTTACTGAGTTAAAATGATACTAACATAATACACTGTAGATATAGTAACTAGTTTCTCAATGTTTCCACAGTTTAAAGAGCAGACATAAAAAAAATTCTATTAGATTGGTGCAAAAGCAATTGCGGTTTTGCCATTAAAGTGCAAAAAACTGCAATTACTGTTGCACCAACCGAATAGGAAACAAATTTGTTAGTTTTATAACATCTCATATATACGATGCATTACTTAAATGAATGGTTTTATATGACACTTAGCTGGTGAATACTTTGATGCAGGCCAGAGCCTGACCCATAAATAGGTGCTCGGTACATGTATGTCAAATCTATGAATGTCCTGTATATAATTATAGCTTTAAGACAATATAATCAAATCTATGAACAGTTGTTCATCTGATCAAATTTTTCTGGAATCTCTGGCAACTCAGCTGATTTAGATTATATCGACAGGGTTCATCAACCCTGACACTATTGACATTTTGGGCCAGATAGTTCTTTGCTCTAGGTTCTAGCCTTTGCATTATAGAGTGTTTAACAGCATATCTGGCCTCTACCCACCAAGATGCTAATAGTACATCCTAACTGTGATGACCAAAAGTATCTCCAGGCATTGTCAAATGTCCCTGTGGGAAGGAGAAAGTAAAATAGCCCCCAGTTAAAAATCACTGGGTTATAAGTGCCCATCAGTGACAGAATGGATAAAGAAAATGTGGCACATATATACCATGGAATACTATGCAGCCATAAAAAAGAATGAGATGTCTTTTGTGGGAACATGGATGGAGCTGGAGGCTATTATCCTCAGCAAACTAACACAGGAACAGAAAACCAAATACCAATATGTTCTCACTTCTAAGTGGGAGCTAAATGATGACAACTTATGAATACAAGAAGGAAACAACAAGCACTGGAGTCTACTTGAGGGTGGAGGGTGAGAGGAGAAAGAGGAGCAGAAAAGACAACTATTGGGTACTGGGCTTAATTCCTGAGTGATGAAATAATCTGTACAACAAACCCCTGTGACATGAGTTTACCTATGTAACCTTCCCATGTACCCCTGAACCTAAAATAAAAGTTAAAAAATAAATAAATAAAAATCACTGGGTTAGAAGACAGTACAGGTTTAGGCCGAGAGTTCCCATGAGTTGACTCTAATCCTCTACAGATTACCTGGTTCTGCCACACTTGTTTTGACAGATGGAATCCAAAGACTTTCATGACTGCAAGAGGTGGAGAATCAAGAAGACAGGCCAGGCTAAATGTCCATCAGTATATGAATGGATAAACAAAGTGTAACACATCCATAAAATTGGATAATATTCATCCATAAAAAGGAATGAAGTAATGATACATGCTACAATGTGGATGAACCTTGAAAACATGCTAAATGAAAGAAGCCAGACATTTCATTTATGTGAAATATTTAAAATAGATAAATCTATCGAGATAGAAAGCAGTTTGTTGGTTGCCAAGGGCTGGGAGAGGGGGAATGGGAATACTGCTTAATGAATGTAGTGTTTCCTTTTGATGTGATGGGAATGTTTTGGAACTACCTAGAGATGGTAGTTGCACAACATTGTAAATGTTGTGTATGTAACATTTGTAAATGTTGTGTGCGTAATATCCATTTACATGTATATTACATTTATTTACAATGTAAATGTAAATGCCGCTGAATTCTTCAGTTTAAAATTGTTAATTTTATGTTATACGAATTTCAACTTGATAAATTTAAATAAAGGAGAGGCCAGACGGACACAGCAGAGGCCCAACCTAAGGAGAAGAAAGTGAATCATGGGAAGTAGAATTGCCTATTTTTTAAAGCTATGTTTCATGGAGTGCTGAGGGTTCTGAGGAGCTTCACTGGGGCCATGGGGAAGGTGGAAAACAGATGGGGCCCCAGGCTCCCATCCTCTCTCTTGCTTTAATCAAGGTTAGCTATCCCTACTGATTATTGGAGACTTTTGAAGCTGAAAGCACAACTTCCTTCACAGGGTTGTTCTAAAAATCCAATGAGATAATGTATTTAAAGTTGCTAGCACATAGAAATTGTTCAATAAATAGCGATGATTATTAGTTTTAGGTCTCTGCAGACAGGCATCTTCCTCTCCTCTTGGATCCTCAACCCCCATGCAAAGACAGGCTAATTTGAGCTCTTTGCCAGCAATGCCTCCTCTCCTTTCACTGGGTAAGTTAGAATCTACTCTTTTCATCAGATTTACATCAAAACCAATCATGCCTCTGACTATGGTACATAAAATAGGTTCACTTTTGAGGCCAGCTGAAGGTCAAAATTGATCATGACACCCAGTTTTACAATCATATGGCACAAATTGGCACAAGGAAATGACTAGTCAAAAGAAGTGCAGCTGGGCATGGTGGCTCGCACCTGTAATCCCAGCACTTTGGGAGGCGGATCACTTGAGATCTGGAGTTTGAGACCAGCCTGGTCAATATGGTGAAACTCCATCTCTACTAAAAATACAAAAATTAGCCTGGCGTGGTGGTACACGTCTCTAATCCTAGCTACTTGGCAAGCTGAGGCAGGAGAATCACTTGAACCCAGGAGGCGGAGGCTGCAGTGAGCCGAGATCGCGCCATTGCACTCCAGCCTGGGTGACAGAGCGAGACCCTGTCTCAAAAAAACAATTAAAAGAAGTGCTTCAGTGTCCCGGACATGGGAGAGACATTTAAAGAGGTAAGCTGTTCCTCTTTTAGTGAGAATTTGAAAGGAACAAATGAAAAACCCAAATAGTTCAGGGTTAAAACTTAGCACTCCCACTCTGCTTCTTTAAAATACAATCTTGATAACTCATGACATGTTTCATAGAGGGAACTATGAGTATGTGTGAGTGTGTAAAGGGATGTGAAGAAATGTGCCTGTGTAGAGAGAAACATGAGTTGAAGGGGCTTTGAAATGGAATGCATCTTGAGTTATCTCAAATTCCACGCTGGACTTAGGTGGTTCTTTCTGCTCTCTATGAAAAACAAAACCAAAAGGCTTTGGAATGCATCTTCTCCATTAGTATTAGACCCAGTTATTTTATATAAGTATGAAAGAAGCAAATGGGGTGCTTTGTTCTGGGAGTGTAATTATGTTTCTCCTTCTGATGTTATCTTCCCAGCAGATTCAAGAGGCGTTAGGAGAGGTGAGGTAGAATATTCAGTATACAGAATAACAAGCAAATGTGTACTTGATCCACTGCTGCCCCTCAGACTTCCTCTTTCTTGGTCTTTCTCTAGTAGTATTGACAGGTATTGGCTTTATATCAGATCCAGAGAGAGCTGGAGGGAGCTGTGAACTGACTTTAAACATCATCTAATGAAAATATAATGCCTCTGTTTTAGGAGAGCTAAAATTGAATATAGATAAGCATCTTTTATTGTTTGATTTGAACATTACATTTCATTAGTAAATAGTGTAAGCTTTGTTATTCTGAGGAAGAGGTGTCAGAGGGGCCTCTGGCACTTTCTCTCACGGCAAAGCACCGGCTCCTTTTGAGGGGAGGAGGGTGGTTCTTTGAGCTGGTCAACCTTGCGTGCTCTGCCTCCCTGCAGCCTGCCTGCTTCAGTCTAGCAGAGACTTCAGCTGGCTGCAAAATGTGGCCACCAGGGACATATGCTCTGGTATCTATAAACAGACCAGAGATAAAGAAGTCAGGACCTGGGCAAGGACTCTCGTATTCAAGCATACAGTAGGCATTGCGAGCACAGTAGAAGCATAAACGAAGCTCTGACAAGGTTTCTTGTCTCGGGGAGTAGAGCAGAAGCCTCCACTTTTTCCAATAACTTTGCAGTGTCAGATGCCTTAACAGTTCAGAGGCAGATCCCAGGAGGGAGAGGGCCAAACCCTGTGACTCTTCTCCAGTTCCAGGAAAATGAATAAGAACGATTGATTTTTCAGAAAGGGAGCCATGTGCAAAAGAGGGCTCTTGACCCCAAGAGGCAGCAAGGGGAGGGAGGAGGAAACAGATGTTTGAGTAACAGCAAAGGGACCCGGGAGGCTGTAATGCTGTGTCAATGATGTAATGCTCAATTGAAATGACTCCCAGAGATGCGTGGGCTGTCCCTTGCCCAGGGAGTGAAGAGTATTCCCATGCAGGTGCAGGTACCTGAGTCCCAGACAGCAAGTCACAGATGAACTTGTGCTTGCTTCAATTTTCTTTGTCTGTTTGGCCCAGTCTGGGCCTTAGCTCCTAGATGCTGACTACTCTGGGGATAAAGACTGAAAAAGCTTTGAAATGTGATTCAGGAAGAGCCAAAAAACCAGGGCCAGAGAAAGAGTGGTGATAGAGCTGTGACAACATGTTTATAGCTCTCCCAGCCTTATGCTTTCTTAGATTGCTTTCCTTGGACTGAAGCTCCCATTGGATAAGACCCCAGAGCTTTTCTTATCTATGAATTTCTTCTGGAAAATCCCAGCTGTGCATAGATCCTCCACAAGGTCTGGACTATTCTTCAACCCTGACTTCAGATGCCATGGAAGAAAAGAATACTTGTAGAAACGCTGTCATTTCCTTGCTTTAAACCTTCTGGTGGTCTACTAACACTTGTCCCCCTAGCTTCATCTTGTGCCTCCAGTTATTATTCTCTTGTCTCCCTGGCTTTCTGTCAGTTTCTAGAACACTCCAGGCTTTATCATACAGCAGGGATTTGGCACTAGCTCCTACTCCTCTTATTCAGTTCTCAGAGCCTTGCCAATGCCTAGTACATACCTGGAACCAAGGAAACACTGAGTGGGAGCAGACAGTAGCGGGGCAACTGTGTTTATTTTGGCCTATAGATGTTTGGTGGAGAGGTCAGGTTTGGTGATGGGGATGAAGATAAAGGGGGAGGAATTCTGTAAGTAAAAGGAACAAGTGTAGAGCAGCGTGAGAAGAAGAGGGGTCGTGGGTGACCCTTGGGTTTCATCTGTTATCCATGGGGCAGAGCTGAAGCACATGGCTGGGCTCTAGTACTGGGACTTCACTGAGAGGGGCCACTCTAACCCAAACCAAGGAGGAAAACACCAGGGCAAATTCATTTATTGTCATAATCTAAAAAAGCCAGATAGCAGCCCGTGGGATTGGTAGGGAGAATTTCACTTATACTTTCAGTCAAGAAACTGATTATTGAACAATTGTCTCTTCATGGCTTATCTCTATCTATGAGAGGGAAGTTTTCCCAAATTCCTTTCCATCCTTGGCTGGAATTGATGCCTCTTTCATATGCTCACAGTACTAGGAACTTCTCTCCATCAAGTCACTGATGTCAGTATACTACGCTTGGCAGGTGTGAGTCTGTCTTCCCTATTCATCTGTGAGGTCAGTGAGGAAAGGAACCGTATCACTAACAGGTGCCTGGCAAGTGCTCGGGTTTGTTGTTGAATGAGTGAATGAAATGTTCCTTGATCATCAATATGGCTGCCTCTTGCCTTACCACGCTCACTCACTCATTTGCTCATTGATTAAAGAAATATTTTTTGAGGAACTGTTATGTGTCAAGCCTTCTGCTAGGCGTTAAGGCTACAAAGGCAGAAAAAGACCCTTCTCTTTCCTCGCGGTGCTCACTGTCCAGTGGAGGAGACAGACAAGCTAACAGGTTATTGTAAGGCAGTGTGGTGAGTGCTAACAGAAAGTAAAATGTTCCCTGGGGGCAAAGACAGTTATGGCATTGAAGAGTATGCCAGGCAAAGGAAATAGCATAGACAAAGGCCTGGAGGCAAGGCAGCATGGTATCTTTGAACAATTGAAAAAAATGTAGTTTAGCTAGAGTAGAAAATACATCTGAGGGTTGTAGATCTGCTGCC
Source organism: Homo sapiens (assembly GCF_000001405.40). NCBI lineage: Eukaryota > Metazoa > Chordata > Mammalia > Primates > Hominidae > Homo > Homo sapiens. The sequence continues at coordinate 124,276,814 of NC_000023.11, forward strand.
AGCCAGAACTTGTGGCTTTGGAAGTTACACATTTTGGGTCAGCCATCACCCGGGCAAGTGAGACAAGCACTCTGACCACTAGGCCCGTAGACTACATCTTCAAAGAGCCCATAGAGTTAATCCACCTGTCATTCTGTCCAACAACAGCAACAACAACAACAACACACACACACACACACACACACACACACACACCCCTACCTTACTATAAACAAAGTGAAAAAACAAATATTAGTATACAGACTATATTGAGAATTCCTGTAAATCAAGAAGAAAAAGGCAAGCAACCCAATAGAAGAATAGGAAAAAAAAAAAAAAAAGGAAATCCAGAGTAGTAAACACAAATGGCCAATAAATAAAAGAAAAAAATGCTCCCCATTGCTAATCAAGGAAATACAAATGAACTATGAGAGGTCATTTTATACCTCTCAGGCTGACAAAAATTAAAAGTTTGACAGTTCCAAGTGTTGGTTAGAGGGTGGAGCAAAGAGAGGTGTCTTTTATTGTTGGGTAGGATGTAAATTGGCTTTAGACGCTTGAGAGAGGAGTTTGACAATATCTAGTAAACTTGGCAACATGTATACAATCCAGCATTAACACTTCTTGGTATATATCTAGATATATTCTTGTACATATGGACAAGGACCATTCATTTGGGCATTGTTTCTAACGGCAAAAAAAAAAAAAAAATGAAAACAATCTAGGTGTCCATTAATAGGAGTATGAATATACAAAATAAGGTATATTCCTATAATAGACTTTTATATAGTAGGTAAAAGGAATGATCTAGATCCATAGGCAGCAAAATGCCAGATGAATAAAGCAAGTTGCAGTGTATGTACATTTTAAAACACACCCGAACTAAACTCTGTGTTGTTAATGGATTCATATGAGTGCACTTAAAGTATAGAAGGTATTTTGAAATAATGCACACAAAATTCACAATGGTTATTGCCTTTGAGGAGTGGGAAAGATAATGGGTTTGAGAGTGGGTCCAAGGTGATCTGACTTTATCTATAAGGTTTTCTTTCTTTTATATATGAAGAGTAGTATGATGATAAATATTTAACAACCGGTCCTCCAGGAATTAAAAAAAACCCCACTGATTCATAGCATTTGAGGATTTCTGTGCTGAAATACTCCCACTATGGCTGATTTTAAGCTACCAAAGTTTTAGCAACCAGCTGGCAAAATTCCTGAAAATTTAACACACAGTTACCAAGAACAAGTATGAGCTGGCACAGCACAACGTTGTGTGTGTGCATATGTGTGTTGTATGTGTATAAAAACTTGAAGCATTGATGACAACATTAACAATCTTCAGTTTTGTATACTGGAAACATAGGTGTTTGGTTATCTTAGTTTCTGAAGTTTTATGTATATATTAGATTTCTTGGAAAAAAGGAGACAGTTCTATAAGAATAAGAGTGGGTAAAAATATCTGACGGATTAAATTATAACTGGACATAGTGTAAAGCAGGGCTGTCTTCTGGATGCCCTTCTCTATATCTTCCATTTTCATAACTTAATACTCATTGAATATATTGAATAAACACAGTAAGTCAAGCATCTTCCTCTCTGCTGGTTACATGATTTTATGAACGAAGAGCAGCCTTTAGAAATAGCTAACTTTTATGATTGAATTAAAAAAACACTCAAAAGAAAAAATACCAGTTAACCGAAGAGAATGGTTTAAATAATTCCCTGGTATCTCAATACTTTTTTGACATGCTATTGGAATACGTTTCACTTCATTGATGCGCCATAAAAACAATTGCTCGATTGTTTGTACAATGTATTTTTTAATGAGCCTCAAAGTCTTAGAACACTGATGATACATAATCCTACTTTATATACGCTATTACTACTTTCTGTTACCACAACTGAAAGAGGCTTAACTGTTATTGTGGAAGGAACGGAGCAGTTAAATGTAATCACGGATTCCCCTGTTTCCCATTCATCTGTTATTTAGTGAGTGCCTAAAATGCATCTAGTTCCTCTGGCTTTAGAACAGTCCATTGAAGCATACACAATGAGGAAGCTATTCTTTCCTTATTGATTTCATCTTTCATTTTGACTTCTGGAGATCAAAATGGGAAAACAGGAATCCAGAGAGAAATGCCTCAAAATGCCTCCTTTTTCCCACTTCCCTCAACCTCAAACATTTAGAAAATATTTTAGAAATAATATTATAATCAGAAATTAACTTTATAAATAAATTATATATATATATATATATATATATATATTTTTTTTTTTTTTTTTTGAGACAGGGTCTCACTCTGTCACCCAGGCTGGAGTGCAGTGGCGCGATATCAGCTCCCTGCAACCTCTGCCTCCCAGGTCCAAGCAATTTTCCTGCCTCAGCCTCGCGAATAGCTGGGATTACAGGCATGCACCACCATGCTCTGCTAATTTTTTGTATTTTTAGTAGAGATGAGGTTTTGCCATGTTGGCCAGGCTGGTATTGAAATCCTGACCTCAAGTGATTCGCCCGCCTAGGCCTCCCAAAGTGCTGAGATTATAGGCGTGAGCCACCACGCCTGGCAAGTTTTATATATCTATATTATAAATGTATTTATATTAATAAAATATTTTATAAGTAAATTATATTTGTAATGTTACAAATTATATTTCTAAAAATTAGAAAATAATAAATTTATTTGTAGAATAAATTAGAAATTTATATTTTATAAACAAATAACCCTGGAATAAATTGTATATTTATCAAGGAAATTTCTGCTTTGGAATTAGATATAAAGAAAATTATTAGTTGCTATGACAATTACATTCAATAAAAAGTCTTGTTATATTAAATATTTACATAAAATATAAGTAAACCCTGCCCACAGAGAAGTGCCACACATATGATGTACATTGTATGTTCTTGACTGTGTGTACCCTACAGAATGCTTTTAATTTTTTTTTTTTTTGAGATGGAGTCTCACTCTGTCACCCAGGGTAGAGTGCTATGGCACGATCTCGGCTCACTGCAATCTCCACCCCCTGGCTCGAGAGATTCTCCTGCTTCAGCCTCCTGAGTAACTGGGACTACAGGTGTGTGCCACCATGACTGGCTAATTTTTTATATTTTTAGTAGAGACGAGGTTTCACCATGTTGGCCAGGCTGGTCTTGACTCCTGACCTCAGACGATCCACCCGCCTTGGCCCCCCAAAGTGCTGGGATTACAGGTGTGAGCACACTTTTGAGATGATTTTCCCATAGAACCCGATCATTGTAAGCAAAGATTTACTCATATTCCTGACTAATTGAGATTCCAGTTCTCACTTAGCACAAGACACTGAAAATGTTCTTTTTCTTATCTTTAATATAGCCTATGTGTTCTAATCTTCAAATTCTACAGATGAGGGGGAATTGTTTTGCAGGCAATAATTTGAGATCTGTACCACTTATTTTTCACATTTTGTTTTCTTTATTAAAAATGTTTCTCAGGATAGAAGTTACATTTGTTCTTTGTAGGAAAAAGGAAAGTACATAAGAAATAAAAGGGAATTTTTGCTTTTTAAAGGAATTTTCACTTTTTGCATTTTACACTTCTATCCTCCTTGAATTTAATACTTTGAGCTTCTATTACTTTCGTAATTAAAAACAGTAAAGAGCCTGGTGTGATTCTGTCCTGCGCAGCTGTTCCCCGGAGCAGTAGTTGTTTATCTCCACCCACCTCATTTCTCACCTAAGTGCACGTTACCACCCCATGGAAGGTTTGATGGACATGGACATGAGCCCCCTGAGGCCCCAGAATTATCTTTTTAATTGTGAACTAAAGGCCGACAAAGATGATCACTTTAAGGTGGATAATGATGAAAATGAGACCAGTTATCTTTAAGAACGGTCAGTTTAGAGGCTGGTGCAAAGGGTGACTTGCACATTGTTGAAGCAGAGCCAATGAATGACGAAGGCAGTCCAATTAAAGTAACACGGGCAACTTTGAAAATGTCTGTACAGTAAATGGTTTCCACTGGGGGCTTTGAAATAACACCACCACTGGTCTTATGGTTGAACTGTGGTTCAGGGCCAGTGCATATTAGTGGACAGCACTTAGTAGCTGTGGAGGAAGATGCAGAGTCAGAAGACGAAGAGGAGGAGGATGTGAAACTCTTAAGTATATCTGGAAAGTGATCTGTCCCTGGAGGTGGTAGCAAGTTTCCACGGAAAAAAGTAAAACTTGCTGCTGGTGGTGAAGAAGAAGATGATGATAATGAAGATGATGATGATGATTTTGATGATCAGAAAACTGAAGAAAAAGCACCAGTGAAGAAATCTGTAACGAGATACTCCAGAATGGAAAAGTCTCAACCAGAATGGAAAATACAAAATACAAAAAAGTCAAACCAGAATGGAAAAGACTCAAAACCATCAACACCAAGATCAAAAGGACAAGAATCCTTCAAAAAACAGAAAAAATCTCCTAGAACACCAAAAGGACCTAGCTCTGTAGAAGACATTAAAGCAAAAGTGCAAGCAAGTACAGAAAAAGGTGGTTCTCTTCCCAAGGTGGAAGCCAAATTCATCAATTATGTGAAGAATTGCTTCCAGATGACTGACCAGGAGGCTATTCAAGATCTCTGGCAGTGGTGGAAGTCTCTTGAAGAAAATAGTTTAAACAATTTATTCAACATTTTCTGTCTTATTTCATTTCTGTAACAGTTGATATCTGGCTATCCTTTTTATAATGCAGAGTGAGAACTTTCCCTACCGTGTTTGATAAATGTTGTCCAGGTTCCATTGCCAAGAATGTGTTGTCCAAAATGCCTGTTTAGTTTTTAAAGATGAAACTCTGCCCTTTGCTTGTTTTTTTGTATGGAATGTCATGATAGGACATAGTAGTAGCAGTGGTCAGACATGGAAATGGTGGGGAAACAAAAATACACATGTGAAATAAAACTTAGTATTTTAATAAAGTAAAAACAAAACCAAAAATCAGTAAAGGAGGCTTGGCATGGTGGCTCATGCCTGTAATCTCAGTGCTTTGGGAGGCTGAGACAGGAGGATTGCTTGAGGCCAGGAATTCAAGACCAGCCTGGGCAACATAGCAAGATCTGTCTCTAAAACAAATAGCCAGGCATGGTGGCACGTGCCTGTAGTCTCAGCTAGTAGGGAGGTTGAGACAAGAGCATCACGTGAGCCCAGGAGTTCATGGCTACAGTGAGCTATGATTACACCACTGCACTCCAGCCTGGGCAACAGAGTGAGATCCCTTTGCTAAACAACAACAACAACAACAAGTAAAGAAAAACATATATATTTTAATATTCTTTCACTAGGTAATAAATAATGACCCAAAGATGAGTTAGATTTAGTAATAAAATAAAGTTTAAAAAAATTGTTTCATTGATATAAAAACAACAACAAAAATAATGCACTATCAATACCCAGGAATTTGCATCCTTAACTTTTACTGTATTTTCCTTCCAACAATTTATGTATACCTAACATATATATTATATAATATATTCATGGTCTTTAATCTTCACTGTGTATTAAAATCACAAGGGAATGTTTTTTAAAAATACTAGTGCTAGGATCCCATACCCAGACCATTTTAATCAGAATCTCTGGGTGTGAGATCCAGGTATGGTTACTTTTAGAAGTTCCCCAGGTGATTTTAACGTGCAGTTTCAGTTGAGTACTACTGTAATATATCTATATATTGCATCATTTTGAATTTTTGGGTTGCAAGGAACAGAATCACTAATAAAACTGGTTTTAAAAATAAAAGATTTTTTTTGGTTACTGTTACTTGAAAAGTCTAGAGGCAATGAAGGCTTCTGGCACCACGTGATTAGGACTCCAGCTAAGTTTCTCTGAAATTCTCTTCACGGGTCTCCTTCAATGTGCCAGTGTCTCTGGTGGTTCAAATCTAGAGGGAAAAAGGAACATAGGTTCCTGTGACTCATAGAAGCTTTGAATAAAAGTCTTAAGTTTTACTCTGATTGAACCAATATGAACTAAAAACTGTGGCTAGATGACTACTGTGGGCTCTTGCCTTGGGCTTAATGTTACCCAGCCATGAACTATGACAAGGAGGGAAATCTGTATGCTTTTAGAGAGGGGACAAAGGAAATTGGATATTGGTTGGGCAATCAATGGATGTTCACTACATATATGTTTAGCCACTTTGTATTATACTACATATAGTTTATTATCCTGATTTAAAAATGTACATATTATATTTTAATACATTTTGAAAAATGGTTTTTAATTAGCTACATAATATTGTATCCTATGAATGTAATGTCATTTAACCTTTGCTTTTTTTTTTTTTTTTTTTGAGATGGAGTTTCACTCTTGTCACCCAGGCTGGAGTGCAGTGGCAGAATCTCAGCTCACTGCAACCTCTGCCTCCCAGGTTCAAGTGATTCTCCTGCCTCAGCCTCCCAAGTAGCTAGGATTACAGGCACCTGCCACCAGGCCTGGTGAATTTTTGTATTTTTAGCATAGATGGGGTTTCATCATGTTGGCCAGGCTGCTCTTGAACTCCTGAGCTCAAGTGATACACCCACCTTGGCCTCCCAAAGTGCTGGGATTACAGGTGTGAGTCACCACGCCCGGCCTCCTTTGCCCTTTTTTTGTATATATATTTTTTTCTGATGGAACAATCAATGGCCTTAAACTAGTTATGACCATATGACCAAGTTTACCTGGGACCATGCTCATTAATGTCTGTTGTGCTGGAATAATTATTAATAACGCCCTATTAACTCTCAAAAGTTTTCTGGTTTAGAGGATAAATTATATGGCCATCTTACTTTAAACCTAAATATCTGTCCATTTATCTGATCATATCCTTAAGATAGATTCTTGGAAAAAGAATTTCTGGCTCAAAGAACAGAAACATTTTAAGGTTTTGATACACATTGACAACCTTTTTTTCCCCTAGAAATTATGCCCATTTAATATTCCAACCAGCAGTGCACAAGTTAGACCATCTCATAAAATTCTGTCAGCACTGAGTATTACCTTCCTTCTCTTTTTTAACATTTGCCAATTTGATAGGAAAAAAGGAAGGTATGTTAATAATTTGATTAGTAGTTCCTTGGTTATTGGTGAGCCTGAATATTATTTCTGGATGCTTCGTGACCATTTTTATATCTTAGTTTATGGCTTGTTTATGTCCTTTGCTCATTAAGAGCCCTTTGTATATGAATACTTTGTTTACCATATTTGTTGAAAAAATTTTCTTGTTTATATTTTGTTTATTGTCTTTTAAAATAACATTACAGACTTTACCTATTTTTTTTTTTTTTTGAGACAGTCATGCTCTGTTGCCCAGGCTGGAGTGCAGTGATGTGATTTCGGCTCACTGCAACCTCTGCCTCCCAGATTCAAGTGATTCTCCTGCCTCAGCCTCCTGAGTAGTTGGGATTACAGGTGCGTGCCACCATGCCTGGCTAATTTTTTGTATTTTTATTGCAGACAGGGTTTTACCTTATTGGTCAGGCTGGTCTCAAACTCCTGGCCTCAAGTGATCTGCCTGTCTCGGCTTCCCAAAGTGTTAGGATTAAAGACTTTGCCTATAAATTTATCTATAAACACTTTCCTTTGTTATTTTTTTCATTGCCATTATGCTGGAAAAGTCCTTTATCATCCTGAGATCGGATTGATATTCCACCTTACGTTTATAATCTACTTTAAATTTTCTTCTAGAATTTCAGTTTTCTTTTTTCTTTTTTGTGGAGATAGGGGTCTCACTCTGTCACCCAGGCTGGTGTGCAGTGGCATGATCATAACTCACTGTACCTCGAACTCTTGGCCTCAAGCAATCCTTCCACCTCAGCCTCCCAGGTAGCTGAAAGCACAGGTGTCAGCCACTATGCCTGGCTAATTTTTAATTTGTTTTGTAGATATGAGGTCTTACTATTCTGCTTAGGCTGGTCTTGAACTCCTGGGCTCAAGCAGTCCTCCTGCCTTGGCCTCCTAAAGTTCTGGGATTATAGATGTGAGCCCCTGGCCTAGAATTTCAGTTTTTTGAAATTAACTTTTGAATACATTTGGAATTTATTTTGGCATAAACTTTGAAGAGATGTTCTCAGTTTATTTTGTCTTTCCAATAGTTAAATAATTTTTTTCAATATCAATTTGAATGAAATTGCCTTATAGCTATAACTTAAGGGAATAATTGACACCTTTATGGTTATCAGCCTTGTGCTTATTATCCAGGCACTTGTATGTCTCTCCATTCACTCAAGTCTTTTTTTTCTTTGTATCTTTCATTTTATCCATGGTATTTTCTTCAAACAGGCCTTGCATACTTCTTAGTGAGATTATTTCTAGTGATTTCATATAATATACTGGTAAGGTAAATAGACTCTTCCCCCCATTATATTTTCTCACAGGTGGTTGCTGTTGTATAGGAAACCTGCTGATTTTGTATATTTATTTTGTATACAGCTACTTATTAGTTTTCATGGATTTTCTGTTGATTGATTCTATTGGTGTTTTAGGAAGACCAATTTATTATTTATGTATTTATGTATTTATTTATTTATTTATTTATTTATTTGAGATGGAGTCTCACTCTTTCTCTCAGGCTGGAGTGCAGTGGTGCTATCTTGGCTTGCTGCAAACTCCGCCTCCTGGGTTCAAGAGATTCTCCTGCCTCAGCCTCCCGAGTAGCTGGGATTACAGGCATGAGCCTCCATGCTGGGCTGGAAGACAAATATTTAATCTGTAAGAATTATAATTGTGTATCCTTTCTAATAGTTATGCTTCAAATTTTTTTTTTTATTTTACTAATAGCACTTTTAGAAAAGTATACCTAATGCTAATTGTAGGGGGGATTCTTGTTTTGTTCCTGACTTTAAAGGGAATGACTCTACTGTTTTAATTTTTTTTTTTTTTCTGAGACAGAGTCTTGCACTGTCACCCAGGCTGGAGTGCAATGGCGCGATCTCGGCTCACTGCAACCTCTGCCTCCCGGGTTCAAGCAATTCTCATGCCTCAGCCTCCCAAGGAGCTGGGATTACAGGCATGAGCTACCGTGCCCGGCTTTGTTTTACTCTTAAATAAGATGTTGGCATTTGAATTCAGAAATACATTTTTATCTTTATTAAGAAACATCATTCTATTTCAAGTTCAAGAGTTTTTTCATTTCTTTTTTTCAAAATTGAATTTAACCAAATGTATTTCTGCCTTTTATGTTTATAAACACAATATTTTCTTCCTTTGCTTTACTGATGTGATGAACAATATAAATCGGTTTCATTATAATGAAATATCCTTGTATTCCTGAAATAAACCATATTTAGTTATATAGTGTTCTTTTTATATGCTGTTAGATTCATTTTACAGGCACTTTTAATGGGATTTTTGTGCCTATACTCATAAATAAAAATGGTCTAGTGTTTGTGTGGAAAGATCATGGAACTGATCTATTCCATAACCCAGGGAACTCTGGTGATGGGCTTTCATTATTAGGATTGGTTATTTCTTTATGTTCCACTTACTTCTCCCACTTCTCATTTATTAACCACTCCTTTACTCTTTAACCTCCTGTAATCTTACCTCCATTCCCGGTACTGTATTGAAACCATTCAGGTCTACATGTCCAGTGACCTTTTTATTGCCCAGAGGATCTTTTCTCAGCTCTCATGGTCCTTGCTTTCTCTGTAATAATTGACACTGTTGATATCTTTAAATTCTCTCTTCTCTTGGCTTCTGGCACTGTGCACTCTCTTTTCTTGCTCTTCCATCTCTAACCAGTCCTGTCTCATGGTCCCCTAATTCTCATCTTCTTTAAAACCCCTTAAAGTTGAACATTTCTTCCCCCAGGTCCTGTCTTCAGCCTTTGCTCTTTTCTTTACCCACTCTTAGTAATTGAGTTCATTTCTGTGTCTTCGACTATGCACATGCCACCTGGGAAATTTCCTAGTAGTTACTATTACATGTTAGGTGATCAAGAAATGTTACTTCAATTTGGGCTTCAACTCTGTATGTCTGGGCTTGACAACTCCTAAGTCTCAGTTTTGAATTTCCAACTGACTTGAATGTTTTTGATGGGATATCCTTCTCACACCTCAAGTTCACCATGTGCACATCAGAACTCACCAACTTTCCTGCTCTCATTTCCTTCTTCCCAATTTCACTATTTCTATTAGTTGTAGCACTTTGTTCTGCCATAACTCAATGGTTCTGGTGTAAGACAATGTCTCATGGTGGGAGCTGTGGAGATTGACAATACCTGCTTTGTTTTACAGAGTGGATGTACCAGCAAGTTATTGTCATGCAAAAATATTGACCCAATATTGCCAGATATCAAGATTTTTCAGGAGAAGCTGGACATTAACAAAACATCTTTAATGTCAATTTTCAAATGTTTACAACTAATTCAGTTTTTAAAAAATTGAGTCCATCCTCTAGTGGATGCTGAGGTTGGAAAAAAAAGAAAGAAAAATGAGTCTAAAACAAAACCTATCTATGGGCTAATTTTGACCTATGGGCTACCAATTTGCAATCTCCATGCCAAAGAGTTTTCAGAATCATAAGTTGTTTTTTGTTTTTTTGTTTTGTTTTTGAGACAGAGTCTCACTCTGTCGCCCAAGCTGGAGTGAGGTGGCATTGGCTTACTGCAAACTCTGTCTCCCGGGTTCAAGCGATTCTCATGCCTCAGCCTCCCAAGTAGCTGGGATTATAGGTGCGACCATCACACCCGGCTCATTTTTGTAATTTTAGTAGAGATGGGGTTTCAGCATGTTGGCCAGGCTGGTCTTGAACTCCTAACCTCAGGTGATCCACTTGCCTTGGCCTCTCAAAATTCTGGGATTACGGGCGTGAACCACTGTGCCCGGCCAGAATAATAGTTTTAATACTTTTTTTCCTGTAGGTGTTTTAAATAATTGGCTTTATTTTATTTTGTCATAGAGCTTGCATTATTTTTCCTTTATATATATTATTAATTGATACATAATAATTGTGCATATTTATGGGGTATATAGTGATGTTTTGATACATATAATGTATAGTGATCAGATCAGGGTAATTGGCATCCCACCATCTCAAACATTTATTATTTCTTTGTGTGGGGAACATTCAATATTCTCCTTCTTGCTATTTTTAAATATAGAATAAATTATTGTTAACTGTAGTCATCCTACAATGGTATAGACTACTAGAACTTATTTCTCCTATCTAGCTATAATTTGTAATCCTTTCAGAGATCTCTCCCTTTCCTCCCTTCTGCCTACTCTTCTTGGCCTCTAGTATCCTTTGCTCTACTTTTTCCTTCTATGAGATCAACTTTTTTTAGTTTCCCCATACAAGCAAGAATATTTTCTTTATTAGTCCGTTTTCACACGGCTATAAAGAACACCTGAGTCTGGGTAATTTATAAAGAAAAGAGGTTTAATTGACTCACAGTTCCACATGGCTGGGGAGACCTCAGGAAACTTAAATCATGGCAGGAGGCAAAAGGGAAGCAAGGCATGTCTTACGTGGCAGCAGGCAAGAGAAAGGGGAGGAACTACCAAACACTTTTAAATCATCAGATCTCATGAGAACTCACTATCATAAGAACAGCATGGGTGAAACCACCCCCATGATCCAATCACTTCCCACCAGGCCCCTCCCTCGACATGTGGGGATTACAGTTTGAGATGAAATTTGCGTGGTGACACAGAGCCGAACCATATCACATGTGGTGTTTAACTTTCTGTTCCTAGTTTATTTCACTTAATGTCCTCCAGTTCCATCCACATTGTGAATGACAGGATTCCATTCCTTTTTTTTTTTTTTTTTTTGTGATATAGGGTGTTGCTCAGTTACCCAGGCTAGAGTACAGTGGCTCGATCACAACTCACTGTGGCCTTGACCTCCCAAGCCCAGGTGATTCTCCTGCCTCAGCCTCCTGAGTAGCTGTGACTACAAGTGTGCACCTCCATGCCTGGCTAATTTTTATATTTTTTGTAGAGATGTGTTTTTGCCATGTTGCCCAGGTTGTTCTTGAACTCCTGGGCTCAAGTGATCCTCCCACCTCAGCCTCCCAGAGTGCTGAGATTACAGGTGTGAGCCACTGCACCTGGCCCTAGGGTTTCATTATCTTTTATGGCTTAATAGTATTCCACTGTGCATATATACCACATTTTCTTTATCTACTCATCTGTTGTTGGACATCTAGGTTGATGCAATTTCCTGGCTATTGTGAATAATGCTGGAATAAACATAGTGCGGATGTCTCTTTAATCAGTTTTATTGATATATAATTTATGTAATATAAAATGCATATGGTTTAAATGTGTAAGTTAATGAAGTCTTTGTATGTATAACAAATGTATATGCCTATGTAATCACTACCCCAATCATGAACAGTATTTTCTTGTTCCTTTCTGGTAAATCTTTCCCTACCCACAGCTGCTGTTCCGATTTATGCTACCATAGTTTAGTTTTGCCTGTTACAGAACTTCATATAAATGGAAACAAACAGCATACACTCTTCTGTATCTGCCTTCTTTCACTCAGCATAATGTTTCTGAGATTCATTCATGTTATCGTGCATCTCTGTCATTTTTTAAATTGACATATAGTATTTCATTTTACAAATATACTACAATTTGTCTACTTAGTTTCTTGTTGATGGGTGTTTTGGGATTGTTTCCTATAGGAATTTTAAGTAAAAGTAGAGTTTAAAAAAATAACTATAAATACGCAGTTAAAAAACCTAGACATCACCGAGCAAATCCAGCTTTTGATTTTAGTTAGCTTTTGTTCAAGAGTAAGTTGCTTTTCTGTTCTACTCACTGCTGTTTTCTTTACCTTGGGTTTTTTCCACATCCCTGTCACCATTATCATTCATCATCCATTGTTACTGTAAACAATCCACCGGAGTTCACCGTAAATAGAGCAGGTGTGACCCTAGCAACCCCTCCTTCATTTGAGGTACTAGTTCCTGATGGCAGTGCTATCTGGTTATAACCTTTATAGGTCTATGTCATGCAGATCATATATCCTAATTAATTAATTGTGTTAGGAAACCTTACTAGTAAGAGAAATGCCTGTTTGCCATTCCTGGATATTCATGCTAGAAACCTTGTTTGAAGTATAAACAGGAAGGACCGTGAGTGAATTTATTACCACTCTTAGGTTAGCTAGTCTTGAGTAATTAGCCAGGAAATCTTTGTGAATATAAACCTGGAGATGAAATAGAAAATATGCCAGATATTGGGATATTTGATATATATATATTTATGAATTTCATATTCATTCAATAAGCATTTATATTTTGTTTGTTATGATTTTTCAAAAACAAATAATGTGACCAGGTACAGTGGCTCGCACCTGTAGCGCCAGCACTTTGGGAGGCCAAGGCAAGAAGATAGCTTGAGGTGAGGTGTTCAAGACCAGGCTGGGCAATGTAGCAAGACCTTGTCTCTAAAAAAACAACAATAATTAAAAAAAACACACTTCAGATACTGTTGAAACACCTTCCATACTATTTCATAATTCTATTTCCTTCTCCCATTCTTAATGAAGACCACTGTCCTGAATTTGATATGTAACATTTTCATGCATATATATGTGTGTGTGTATATATATATATATACATTTTTAATAAATACATATCCATGAATGATTTTTAGTAGTTTTCCCTTATCAAACATTATACAAATGGCATTATCTTGCATTTATTATTTTGTAGCTAGCTCTTTTGCTCAACCTTATGTCTGTGAAAGTTCTCATGCTGATACATATAGTTCTAATTCATTTTAATGTCTCTGTAGTATTCAACTGAATGAATGTGCCACAATTTATTCATCCATTCGCCTGTTGATTGTCACCTAGGTGGTTCCTAATTTGGTTATTACAAACAATGCAGCAATTATCATTTTTATGCTAGTCTACTTATATACACATGGAAGAGATTCTCTGGGTTTTTACCTAGAAGTGGAATTGCTAGGTTTTGGGATATGTGCACCCTGCCCATCCTCCCTACCAGATGTTTTCACAGCTTATTAACAATTATTTAACTTCAGTTTCTCTGAGAATTTATGAGTGCCTTGTAATAGAGTTTAGACTAAGTCAATATAACAGAGTTACAAAATACAGTGGTCCAAACAAAATAGAGTTAGTTTTCCCATGTATTACAGTCTAGAGTCCAGTTCAGGTAGGTGGCTTTTCTACATGAACGCAGGTTCCTTGTGTCATATAGCTCTGACATTCCCCAGGCAAAGTTCTGCAAACTACAGTCCTTAGGCCAAATCCTGCCTACCACTTGACTTTTTTACAGCCATGAGCTAAGAGTCATCTTTATATTTTTAAGTGGTTAAAAAAGAAACAGAAGAATATTTCATAATGCATGAAAACTATAAATTTCAGTGTTTAAAGTTCGATTGGAGCACTGCCATTCCTATTCATTTCCATATTGTCTAGGAGTGCTTTTGAATTACAGCATCAGTATTGAATAGTTGGGGCAGAGGCTATATTGCCCACAAAGCCTAAAATATTTATTATCTGGTCCTTTAAAGAAATAATTTGCTGACCCTTACCTTAGGATGTTGTCCATGTCTACATGGTTCAAGCTAGATAATCACCAAAACTTTATTCCAGCAATGGGATGGAGGAATGAGGAGTGGAGGACAGCCAATTTCCTTTTCAAAAGATTTAATCCTCTCTTGTCTCATTGGCCAGAACTTAGTTATCCTTTTCTTTTATTGTTCTAATTTCTTCAACTTTATTTTCCAGCTTCAGTTTCATTATATGTATATAATATGGTTTGGATCTGTGTCCCTGCCCAAATCTCATGTCGAATTGTAATACCCAAGGTTGGAGGAGGGGCCTGCAGGGAGGTGATTGGATCATGAGGGGGGACTTCCCCCTTGCTGTTCTCATGATAGTGAGTGAGTTCCCAGGAGATCTGGCTGTTTAAAAGTGTGTAGCAACTCCGCTTTCTCTCTCTTCCTCCTGCTCTGGCCATGTAAGACACGCCTGCTTCCCCTTCACCTTCTGCCATGATTATAAGTTTCCTGAGGCCTCCCCAGTCATGCTTCCTGTACAGCCTGTGGAACTATGAACCAATTAAACCTATTTTCTTTATAAACTACCCAGCCTCAGGTAGTTTTTATAGCAGTGCGAGAATGGACTAATACAGTACACACACACACACACACACACACACACACACAATTTGGATATATAATATATATATTCATTTATGCTATCCAGTTTTTAATTTCTAAGAGCCCTTCATTTTTCATTGTTTAAATGTTCCTTTTCTAGAACCC
Source organism: Homo sapiens (assembly GCF_000001405.40). Lineage (NCBI taxonomy): Eukaryota > Metazoa > Chordata > Mammalia > Primates > Hominidae > Homo > Homo sapiens. The sequence continues at coordinate 124,292,048 of NC_000023.11, forward strand.
TGTTTTGTTTTTGCAGATGCTGTCTGTTTTCTTATCTCTATCTATCTTGATATTTAATGATATTTTAAGTCTTCCCCAAATAATCTCTTTCCTCCAAATTGCTTTTAAAAAATTTTTATTGTAAATAAAAACAGATGCAGAAAATAAACAAAACAAACATATATCGCTCAATGAAGGACTGTATGAAAACATCCTTGTAACCATCACCCAGATCACTAAACAGAATTTAGCCAGCTACCCCAGAAGCCCTTCCATGTTCTCCCTTCCAATTACAACTTCCTCATTCCCATTCTAAGGAACCACTATCCTGATTTTTGGTGTAATCACTATCTTATGTTTTAAAAATAGTCTGATTAAATCTGCACATTTTGATATATTTTTAATTAAAATCTGTTAGTTCACCCTTCAGATCTTTCTCTTCTTTACAATTTAGCTCTTGAACTCGGAGAATAATATCTGTAATTTCTCATAATCTGAGTTTTGCTAATTTCACATTTATGTGGAGTCCAACACATTTTTCTGTCCTTTGTGTTTTTGACAAATTGGCAGGTGGATCCAGAGACTGCATCAGACTCAGATTTGATTTCTTTGGCAAAATTATAGGTGGTGTTTGGCAAGACTATGGGAGGCAAATAGTGTCTGGTTGTCTATTTTTTTGTGATATGAACAGATATTAATGCTTAATGCCTATATTTATCAAGTCACAGAGGTTGTAAAGTTGTGGTATTTTAATTCTATAATATTTCCTACTCATTAGTTGAAATAGTTTTATATAGAACAATTATCCTCATCTACTATTGGGTTACCAACAGTACAGTTCATATGATTCAAACATATTAGATGGGTTTCTATCCTTTGTAATTTTTATTAGTTTGGCTAAGCTGGAATTACATTTTCCAGAATCCCCTTCCCTCCGTGGCACCAGGTGAGAGTTGGCCAAAAGAGAAATTTGTGCAAGATTTGGAAGACAGAAATGAAGTAGCTATTTCACTCTCTGAGGGTCGTTGTTACATGCAGCGAGAACTAGACATAGAGGTGCCTGCTGATTCCAGCTTATTCTTGCTTTTCTCCATTCAGAATTCAGCTCTTCTTCCCAATTGCCAGTAAGAGTGAGTAAACCCAGGCTAGTATTGCAGGTTGCCAGATAAAATGCAGGACACAGAGTTAAATTTGAATTTTAGATACACTATATTTATTAGTATAAGTATGGCCCATGCTCTATATACACATATGTGTATATATATATATGTTTTACATATGTGTGGTTTTACGCATATTTCACACTTATATAATTTACATACATATTTTACACACATTGTACATATACACTTATAGTATGTGTGTACATGCATGCATGTGCAAAATCTGGCTACCCTACCCTAGACCCACCACTAGATGCAGAGGGAAACAGCTTTCCAGGGACTTCTCTATCAGCAATCCTTTCCATTCCCACTCTGGTAACTGGATACGTCTGGCTGTTTAGTGACTTTCCTCTGATCTTCCAACTCTCTCTGGTCCTTACTTTCCCAGCCTCTTTCCCAATTATGTATGTTTGACCCTTGAATAACACATGTCTGAAATGTGTGGGTCCACTTATATGTGGATAATTTTCGGCCAAACACAGGGATGTCAAACACACTTATACAGAGGGCTGACTTTTCATGTATGTGGGTTTTACAGGGCTGACTGTGAAACTTGAGTATATATGGATTTTGGCATACACTGGGGATCCTGAAACTAATTCCATGCATATACCCAGGGATGACTGTAGTTTTATTACTATAACAAATATCTTCTTCCATCATACTCATAATGGTTCAGTTTTCCTGGCTAAATCCTCACTAATACAATCCTGCAAATACAACCAAGGCTTTCATGCCTTGTCCATAAGGTAGACTCTAAAATTTGAAAACCAAGTAAAACAGCATATATGTTTGCATGATTATTCAATTCTGAGTCATGTAATGTTGGGTCAAGAAATGCCAAGACAGTCAGTGTACTAAAATTACATTACATCCTCTATGGATCCTAGTGTTTTTTTTTTGTTTGTTTGTTTTTCTGAGACAATGTGTCACTCTGTTACCCAGGCTGGAGTGCAGATCAAGGCTCACTGCAGCCTCTATCTCCCAGGCTCAAGTGGTCTTTCTATCTTAGCCTCCTGAGTATCTGGGACCACAAGCATGCATCACAAAGCCAGGCTAATTTTTCTATTTTTTGTAGAGATGGGGATTTGCCATGTGATATGGTTTGGCTCCGTGTCCCCACCCAAATCTCATGTTAGGTTGTGATCCTCATGTTGGAGAAGCAGCCTGGTGGGAGGTGATTGGATCATGGAGGTGGACTTCCCCCTTGCTGTTCTCATAGTGAGTGAGTTCTCACAAGATCTGGCAGTTTAAAGATCTGTGGCACTTCCCCCTTGGTTCTCTCTCTCCTGCCAGTCATGTGAAGATGTACTTGCTTCCCCCTTTGCCCCCCTCCATGATTGTATGTTTTCTGAGGCCTCCCCAACCATGCCTCCTTTACAGCCTGTGAGTCAATGAAACTTTTTTTCTTCGTAAATTACCCAGTCTCAGGTAGTTCTTTATAGCAGCATGGGAACGGACTAATACACCATGTTGCCCAGGCTGGTTTTGAATTCCTGGGTTCCAGTGATCCTCCTACCTCAGACTTCCAAAGTGCTGGGATTATAAGAGTGAGCCTCTGCACCTGGCCTGGATCCTAGTCTTAAGGTGAAATGGATGTTCTCTATGTGGGTGTTTTATCGTATTTTCTTAAATCCATCAATCAAATAAAACCTGTTCTATTTCAGTTTGCTTGATGTTTGGATCACGATTTTCCTGCACATTTAAAAGCTTTTCCTGGAGTTTGCTTTTATTTATTTATCTCCTCATCCTTTACCCCTTTCTTTTGTCATTAGAGTTTTGGAAAAAAAAAAAGCCAGATGAAGTATTGGAGAGTATACAAAATCCAATTTGTTGTTACTTAAATATCTAAAGCATTGCAGCCCTGTTAGGATAGAAAATATTAAGAAGACAGAATCAGACAATCAAGTGGTGAAGCAACCTGGATGTGGGGTTGTAGACTCAAATTAGAAGGAAAAATTATGTAGTGTATAAGTTGAATTCAGTTTATTGTATTTGGGCTATGAGAGCACACCACTGGAAAATCTGAACATAAGGGTTTCTACTGGCATAATGACTATTAGAAAAAGCACTCAACTTTTCCATCCACATTGTAGAAGGTATTAGAATCTCAGGTCCGAGCCAAAAGCTCTGGTCAATAAACATGAAATCCTCTGTGATAGTGATCCCAATTTTGAGAAAGTATTATTACTTCCACAGTGGGTAGCTTTTTAATGTTGGGAAAGTTTAGAATTGTGTATAGACATCACTAAATAAGTGAAAATGAAAACACCAGTACTTTCATGTTAAGTTCAGAAATGGTGTTTTTGTAATCATTGAGGCAATTTGTACATGTGGTGTTTTAAACATTTGTAATGTTTAAGATAATTTGACGTATAAAAGTATCTATCAGATTAGTTTTATGATTCCAACTGAGTAATTGATTTTATACTTGTGTTTTCATCTTGAAAAGAATAAGAAAGCTCTAAGTTTCTAAGCAGTATTAGAATGTTCACACAGACTTAAAGATTCACCCATATTTATACATTTCATTTATTGTATTTACTAGAATTGTTTAAGTACTTGTTTAGTTGTTTAGTGCTTGCTAGGGTCATTTAAAGTATTTAAAAAGAAAATTAGATATATTAAATTTACAAATGCAGCTGAAAATGTTTAAGATAATTTAGTTAAGTTAGAAATTGGACTGACTAATAAGTAGAATAATATTTGTAAATTTAAATTAAAAGTTAAGGGAAAAGCTAGCTTTTAAATGTTCTAATTTAAACAAATTGAAATTAAACAAACCAATGTAATCATAGTCTTTGTGTGTGTGTGTGTGTATTTGTGTGTGTGTGTGTAGAAGTCACCTTTAATCACACCAAGAAACTTGCATTTTCAGTTTCTTCTAACTTTATTTAACTTTGTAATATCTTGAGATTTTTTTCCAAATCTGTCACTATGCCATTTATCCCATTGAAGTCACATTCCTTTTTTAGATTCTCTGTTTTCCTGTTCTGATCTGGTCTGGTTGTTCTTGAGGCCTGCTGCACAGCTGTAATACCAGAACTTCCCTCTCTTGCTTTCCTAAGATAAATCCACTGTTTTCTATATCAGATGACCAAGACTGCAAGTTGCCCTTCAATTTCCATTCTCCCCTTCTAAAATAGTAACAAATCCCCTAATTTTTAGATGAGCAAATAAAGATAAGTCCTGGCATTTCTTGCAGGTAGGTGTGACTATGTAACTAAGTTCTGGCCAGTGGAATACAAGTGGAAGTGACACTTGCAATTTCCAGATTGTGTCCTTCTTACCTGCTTCATCCTGTTGCCTGGAACATGGATGTATGTGAGGGTATACCAGCCTGGAACATGCATATGAGGGAAACAATTTGGGTAAGATAAAACAACAGGATGAAAGAAGCCCAGATTCCTGATACTGTGGATTCCTGGTCACTCATTCATGTTGTTTAATTAAACAAAATATTTCAACCCTTTCTTTTGAAATAATTTCTAACTTAAAAAATGCTGTAAAATACTACAATGAATTCTTATATATGTGAATGTCTTACACAACAAAAGCACAATTATCAAAATTAGGAAATTAATATTGATAAAACACTCTAATTTCATCAATGGAATTTATTCAGATTTCACCAATTGACCACTAATGTCATTTTCCTGGTCTAGAATACAATCCAGGACCACATGATGTATTTAGTTGTTAAGTCTACTTTAATGTGACAGTTCCTCAGTGTTTCATTGCCTTTCATGACCTAACACTTTAAAAGAGGACAGTCCAGTTATTTTGTAGAATGCCACTTTATTTGGGTTTGTCTGATATTTCTTCAGGATTAAATTCGGGTTATTTATGCATTTTGGATAGAAATGATGTTGAGTCCTCAGTACATCATATTAGGAGGCACATGATGTTACTTTGTCCCATTACTGGTAATGTTAGTTTTGATTGTGTAGTTAAGTTGCCCATGTATTTTTAAAGTTGTGTTAAAAATACAGCCGAATTCTACCAGATGTTCTACGAAGAACAGCTGGTACCATTCCTACTGAAACTATTCCAAAAAACTGAGGAGGAGGGACTCCTCCCTAACATATTCTATGAGGCCAGCAGCATCCTGATGCCAAAACCTGGCAGAGACCAACAAAAAAGAAAACTTTAGGCCAATATCCTTGATGAATATCAGTGCAAAAATCCTCAACAAAATACAGGCAAACTGAATCCAGTAGCACATTAAAAGCTCACTTACCACAATCAAGTAGGCTTTATCCCTGGGATGCAAGGTTGGTTCAACATATGAAAATCAATAAATGTGATTCATCACATAAATAGAACTAAAGACAAAAACCACATGATTACCTTAATAGACGCAGAAAAGGCTTTTGATAAAATTCAATATCCCTTCATGTTAAAAACTCTCAATAAGCTAGATATTGAAGGAATACACCACAAAATAATAATAGCTATCTATGACAAATCCATAGCCAACATCATACTGAATGGACAAATGCTGGAAGCATTCCCCTTGAAAGCTGGCACAAGACAATGTCCCTCTCTCACTACTCTTATTCAATATAGTATTGGAAGTCCTGGACAGAGCAATCAGGCAAGAGAAATGAATAAAGAACATCCATATAGAAAGCGAGGAAGTCAAAATATCACTGTTGGCAAATGACTTGATTCTGTATCTAGAATTCCCCATAGTCTCAGCCTAAAAGCTCCTTGATATGATAAACAAGTTCAGCAAACAGGATACAAAATCAATGTACAGAAATCACTAGCATTCCTATACACCAACAGAAGCCAAGCTGAGAGCCAAATCAGGAAGGTGATCCCATTCACAATTGCCACAAAAAGTATAAAATACCTAGGAATACAGGTAACTAGGGAGCTGAAAGATCTCTACAATGAGAATTACAGAACACTGCTGAAAGAAATCAGAGATGACACAAAGAAATGGCCAAACATTCCATGCTCATGGTTAGAAAGAAAAAATATCATTAAAATGGCCATACTACCCAAAGCAATTTATCAATTCAATGCCATTCCTGTCAAACAACCAATGACATTCTTCACAGAACTAGAAAAAATCATTTTCACATTCATATGGAACCAAAAATGATCCCAAATAGCCAAGGTAATCCTAAGCAAAAATAAAAAAAAACAACAACAAAAAAAAAAAACACAAAAAACAAACAAACAAAACGAAAACCAAAACAAAGGTGGAGACATCATGCTTCCCGACTTCAAACTATTCTACAGGGCTACAGTAACCAAAACAGCATGGTACTGGTACAAAAGCGACACGTAGACCAATGGAATAGAACAGAGAGCCCAGAAATAAGGCTGCACGTTTACAACCATCTAATCTTTGACAAAGCTGACAAAAACAAGCAATGGGGAAAGGACTCCCTATTCAAGAAGTCATGGCAGGATAACTGGCCAGCTATATGCAGAAGATTGAAACTGGACCCCTTCCTTATATCATACACAAAAATCAACTCAAGATGAATTGAAGACTTAAATGTAAAAGCCAAAAGTGTAAAAACTCTGGAGGACAACCTAGGTAATACCATTCTGGACATAGGAACAGGCAAAGATTTCATGATGAAGATGCCAAAAGCAATCACCACAAAAGCAAAAATTGACAAATAGGATCTAATTAAACTAAAGTACTTCTGCACAGCAAAAGAAACTATATAAACAGAGTAAACAGATAACCTACAGAATGGGAGAAAGTATTTGCAAACTATGCAACTGACAAAGGTCTAATATCCAGCATCTATAAGGAACTTAAATTTGAAAGAAAAAAAAAAACCCATGAAAAAGTAGGCAAAGGACATGAACAGACATTTTTCAAAAGAAGACATGCATGTGGCTGACAAGCATATGAAAAAATGCCCAATATCATTAGAACATTAAAGTAATGCAAATTAAAACCACAATGAGATACTGTCTGACACTGGTCAGAATGGCTATTATTAAAAAGTCAAAAAATAACAGATGCTACTGGGGTTGCAGAGAAAAGGGAACAATTATATGTTATTGGTGGGAGTGTAAATTAGTTCAGCCACTCTGGAATGCAGTGTGGTGATTCCTCAAAGACCTAACAGCAGAACTACCATTAGACCCAGCAATCTCATTACTGGATATATACCGAAAAGAGCATAAATTGTTCTACCATAAACACACATGCACGTGTATGTTCATCGCAGCACTATTCACAATAGCGAAGACATGGAATCAACCATCAGTGCCATATTGGATAAAGAAACTGTGGTACATATACACCATGGAATACTATGCAGCCATACATATACACCATGGAATACTATGCAGCCATAAAAAAGAATAAGACTATGACCTCTGCAGGAACATGGATGAAGCTGGAAGCCATTATCCTTAGCAAACTGATGCAGGAACAGGCAACCAAATACTGCATGTTCTCACTTATAAGTGGGAGCTAAATGATGAGAATTTATGAACACAAGGAAACAATAGATACTGGTGTCTACTTGAGGGTGGAGGGTGGGAGGAGGGAGAGGAGCAGAAAAGATAACTATTGGGTACTGGGCTTAATTCCTGGGTGATGATGACATAATCTGTACAACAAACCCCCATTATGAGTTTATGTATGTTACAAACCTTCCCATGTAACCCCATACCTAAAATAAAAGTTTAAAAAATTGTGTTAAAATGCATGCAACATAAAATTTGTCATTTGAGTATTCAAGTCAGTGATATTTGAGTACATTTGCAGTGTGCAGTCATCACTTTCATTTAGCCCCAGAACATTTTTATCACCTGAAATGGAAACCTCATGCCCATGAAAGCAGTCACTACCCATTCCTCACTTTCCCAAACCTTAGCCACCACTATTCTGTTTCTGTCTCTATGAACTTGCTTATTCTGAATATTTAATATAAATGGAAGAATACAATATATGGCCTTTTGTTTCTGGCTTCTTTCTCTCAGCATATTGTTTCAAAGTTCATCCATGTTGTTACATGTATCAGTACTTTATTGATTTTAGTAGTTGGATTATGTTTTATTGGGTGGTTATTGCACATCTTGTTTGTCCATTCATCAGCTAATGGATATTTGGGTTGTTACTTTTTGGCTATTACAAAAAAATTCTGCTCTGAAGATTTGTTACAAGTTTTTGTGTGAACATATGTTTTTAGTTCTCTTGGGTGTATACCTAGAAACGGAATTGCTGGGTTATATGATAATTCTGTGTCCAACGTTACTGAGGAACAACCAAATAGTTTTTCACAGTGGATGCACCATTTTCTTTCCCACCAGGGAATGAGTGAGGGTGCTAATTTCTCCATGTCCTTTTCCGTTTTTTGATTGTAGCCATTCTAGTGGGTGGGAAGTGGTATTTCATTGTGGTTTTGATTTGCATTTCCCTAATGACTAATGATGTTGAGCATCTTTCCTGTATGATTGGTAATCATATGCCTACTTTCGTTTCTGATTTTAGTGATTTCTATTTTCTCTCTTCTTTCTTAGTCAGTGTCGCTAAAGGTTTGTCCATTTTGTGGATCTTTTCAAAGAGCAAACTTTTGGTTTTATTGATTTACTTCATAGTTTTTTATATACTATTTCATTTATATCTGCCTTAAAATTTATTATTTCCTTGCATCTACTATTGTTTATTTGAGAGTGTGTGTTGTTTAATTTCTACGTTTTTTGTGTTATTGATTTTTAAGTTTATTTTATTGCACTCAGAGGAGGTATTTTGTATGGTTTTAATATTTTAACATTCATTGAGACTTATTTTGTAGCCTACCATATGGTTTATTCTGGAGAATACTCCACTTGCACTTGAGAAGAATATATAGTCTGCTATTTTTGCATGGATTATTCTATATAGGTTTGTTAGGTCTAGTTGGTTTATAGTGTTATCCTCTATATCTTTATCGATCTTTTGTCTACTTGTTCTATCCATGATTGGAAGGGGGATATTGAAAAGTTTATTATTGTACAACTATTTTTTTCTTCCATTCTGTTAATTTTTGCTTCATATATTTTGGGACTCTGATGTTAGGTACGTATACATTCATAATTGTCATACCTTATTGATAGGTTGACTCTTTTTATCAATATATAAAGTCCCTTTTTGTCTCATAATAATTTTTGACTTAAAGACTCTTTTGTCTGATATTTGTATAGCTACTGGAGCTCTCTTTTGGTTACTATTTACATGGAATATATTTTTTTGCATGGAATATCTTTTACTATCCTTTCACTTTCAGCCTAGTTATATCTTTGCATCTAAAGTAAATCTCTTACAGACAGCATATAGTTTGGGCCATGTGTTTCTTTCCATTCTCCCAACCTGTCTTTTAATTGCTAAGTATAATCCCTTTGCATGTAGTGTAATTACTGATGAGGAAGGACTTACTTCTGTCATTTTGCTATTTGTTTTCTATACATCTTATATCTTATTTGTTCCTCAACTCCTTCACTACTACCTTTTTTTTCTTTTTTTTTGAGACAGAGTTTCGCTCTGTTGCCCAGGCTGGAGTGCAGTGGCACCATCTCTGCTAACTGTAACCTCTGCCTCCTGGGTTCAAGTGATTCCCCTGCCTCAGCCTCCTGAGTAGCTGGGATTACAGGCACGTGCCGCCACGCCCGGCTAATTATTGCATTTTTAGTAGAAACAGGGTTTTACCATGTTTGTCAGGTTGGTCTCGAACTCCTGATCTCAGGTGATCCGCCCGCCTCGGCCTCCCAAAGTGCCAGGATTACAGGGGTGAGCCACTGTGCCCGGCCCATTACTGCCTTCTTGTGTGTTTAGTTGATTTTTTTAGTGTACCATTTTGATTACTTTCTCATTTCTTTTTCTGTATATTTCTCAGTTATCTTCTTAGTATTCCTAACAATAACAATTAATATGTTAAATTTATAAGAAACAAGTTTGAATTAATATTAACCTGGCTTCAATAGTATATAAAAAATGTATATATATATATATAATATATATATCTGCTCCCATATAGGACCATCCTTCCCTCTTTATGCAAATCGTGTCACAAATTACATCTTATACATTGTGTGCACATTAGCATAGATTTATAGTTATTGTTTTATGCATTTGTCTTTTAAATCACATAGGTAAAAAAGAGGCATTACAAACCAAAAATACAATAATATTAGATCTCCCCAGCTTTATTTTCATATAATTGAGAAATAAATATTATATATATTGAAGGTGTACAACATGCTTTTTTAATATATGTATTCTATATTTACCTATGTAGTGACATTTACCAGTATTCTTTATTTCTTCATAGGGCTTCAAGTTACTGTCCAGTGTGTGCTTTCATTTCAGGCTAAAGAACTCGTTTTAGTATTTCTTATAGGACAGGGATACAAGCAATGAACTTCCTCAGCTTTTGCGTATCTGAGAATATCTTAATTTCTACTTCATTTTTGAAGGATACTTTTGCCAAATACAGAATTATTGATTGACAAGTTATTTTTTTCTTTCAGCAGCACTTTAAATATTTCATAGTACTGCGTTCTGGGCTTTATGGTTTCTGAAGTGAAATTGGCCGTTAATCTTTTTGAGGATCCTTTGTGTGTAATGAATCACTTCTTGGTGATTTCAAGATTTTCTCTTTGTCTTTCAACAATTTGATTATTAAGTGTTTTGGTGAGTTTAAATGTTTTACTGAGTTTATCCTACTAGATATAAATTGAGTTTCTTGGATGTTTAGATTCATATATTTCATCTAATTTGGGGACTTGGGGCCATTATTTCTTCAAACTTTCTTTCTGTTCATTTCTGTTTTTTAAAATTTTAATGTATTTATTTATTTTGAGAGTGGGTTATGAGACTGGCTAATTATTATTATTATTATTATTATTATTATTATTTTGTTGTAGAGACAGAGTTTCATCATGTTGCACGGGCTGGTCTCAAACTCCTGGGCTCAAGCGATTCACCTGCCTTGGCCTCCCAAAGTGCTGGCATTACAGGCATGAGCCACCGTGCCCAGCCTGTTAATTTCTTTCTATTTTCTCCTTCTGAGACTCCTATTATGCCTAAGTTGACATACTGGATGATGTCCCACATGTCATTTAGGCTCTATTCATTTTTTTTTCATTCTTTTTTCCTTCTGTTCCTCAGACTGGATAATTTCAGTGGCTTATCTTCAATTTCTGTCATTCATTCTTTTGCCTGCTCAAATCTGCTGTCGAATGGTTCTAGTGAAATTTTTGTATTAGTTACTTTTCTTTTAGGCTCCAGAATTTCTATCTTGTTCCTTTTTTACAATTTCTTTTATTTTATTGGATTTATTATTTTATTCTCTATTTGGTAACATGGTGTTCTTTTGGTTTCCTTTAGTTCTTTGTCCATGGTTTTCTTTAGCTCCATGAGCATGTTTAACACACTTGATTTAAAGTCTTGTCTAATAAGTCCATTTTCCTGGATTCCCTCAGGAACAGTTTCTGTTGATCTCGTATTTTCCTCATAACAGACCATGCTTTCCTATTTCTTTGTACACTTTATTTTATTTTTTTTTAAATTAGAGATGGGGTCTTGCTATGTTGCTATGTGGGCTGGTCTCAAATTCCTGGCCTCAAGTGATTCTCCCATTTTGGCCTCCCAAAGTGCTGGAATTACAGGCATAAGACATAAGTTATAATTTTTTGTTGAAAACTAGACATTTTGAACATTATTTTGTGGTAACTCAGGAGATTAGATTCTCACCACTTCTCTTGAGTTTTTGTTGCTGCTTGCCTTATTTATGCTTATTTGTATAGTGCCTTTTCTAAACTAATTTTGTAAAGATGATATTCTTTGTTGTGTGTGATCACTGAAGTATGTGGTCCATTAGCTTGGTGGTCAGTTATTATTTTGACAGGGTTTCCTTAAATGCTTAGACCAGGAGAAAGAAAAATCTACTCTCAGTGTTGACATATTAGATCTGTGTTGGGGCACTCATTCATAGCTTAGCCACATTGCTTACAAGTCTACCTCAGCCTTCACTTCGTGCTTGTGCAGAGCCTAATGGTCATCCAGAGGTGAAAGCTTAGGGTCTTCTCTGGCTTTTTCTGTACATGTATCCATCCTTGGCTAGTCTTATGGTTTTCTCAATTTCTCAGTGTATCTAGGAGCTTTAAAAAGCCATTTTACCCACATATAACCCCTTTCCTAATCTCTTCCCATGCTTCTTGGTCTATCTATTGCTTGTCCCCACTGTTGTTCCTTGGCACAGTCCACTGTGGCCAATACTTGTACCTTTACATATTTATGTTAAATGCTGCCTTAGAAGCTGTCCCAGCCCTGGGAATGCTCTGAGTCAAAAAACAAAGGCAGCCCATGTGCCTGTTCTTCAGTGGGCCACCAGACTGCTAGAAATGGACATCCAGAATTATTTGAGAAAAAGTTCCATATTGCTCTCTCTGGTACTAACAACCTTTACCAGGAGTGTGGGCTGCTATCCTTAGAGCCACTGCTGATCTGGGAGTTGGGGGATGGTAGGCAGGCCATTTTAAATGCTACATCTCTCTCTTACCATATTGCAGCCATTTCTTTCTTCACCATGCCTTCCCTAGTGATTGTAAGTTTTTGACTAGATTTCAGAGTTCTGCAAAAGTTGATTCTGACAGTTTTTGACAGTTTATTAGTTGTTTTTGTTGTGGATGGAGCACTGGAGTTCCCTTGCCATTTTCATTGATATCACTACCCTGTCCTTTTTCCTTTTTTTTTCTTTTCTTTTTTTTTTTCTTGATGGAGTCTTGCTCTGTTGCCCAGGCTGGAGTGCAGTGGCACGATCTTGGCTCACTGTAACCTCCACTTCCCAGGTTTAAGTGAGTCTCCTGCCTCAGCTTCCTGCATAGCTGGGATTACAGGTGCCCGCCACCACGCCTGGCTAATTTTTGTATTTTTGGTAGGGATGGGGTTTCCCCATGTTGGCCAGGCTGGTCTCAAACTCCGGACCTCGCGATCCACCTGACTTGGCCTCCCAAAGTGCTGGGATTGCAGGTGTGAGCCACCACACCCGGGCCCATTTGTTTTTTTTTTAAGAAAAATTACTGGGTAGCTGGTGTGGGTTTTCCATTTGCTATTGCATAAAGCAGCTTTGTTTTCCAGGTACATCTCTCCACTGATGGCTCACTGGGATATCTGACAGGAATGTCTTTATGTAGTAGGGTGGGGATGGGGGCTGGTTGCTTGGAAAGTTTTGTTTTGGGCTGGGAATTGGCTCTCTGGCTATTAGCCTTCTAAATGCCTAGTGAGAAGGATATTTCTCTGAGAAGCCTATATTCAAACCAAAAGTTTTAGCTTTATTCATAGCATTAATTTCTTTTCAGATAAAAGCCTTCTAGTTTTTGTTTGTTTGTTTGTTTGTTTGTTTTTTTGCTTGTTAGCAAATGCGAGTAAATGGTACTCTAGTAAGGAATTTGGGAGGAATATGGTGGTGGGGACTGATACAACTGTTCTGTTTTACAAATCTTCAATTCCCCAGTTTAAAGCCCCACTTCTCATTCCTGTTCCCTTCTGTACTTGCTGACTTACAGCCCAGAGTATCTCCAGGATTCTGCCAAATAGGCTGGCTCCTGTTTCCTCTGGAGCTTCCTTATAACATTTTCTAGGCTGTGGTTTTATCTATCTGTTTCATCTGCCAACTTGCTCATATCTACTTTCCTTCTTCCAGAAACGTGTTGGGATCTCTTTTTGTTGGTAATTTCCTCAACTTCTGTCTAGTTCTTTTTGCCTTTGGAGGTTTATTCCCTTATGTACTGCTGTACTTTTATATTAAGGGAATCTAGGAGGCGTTGGGAGCAATGTATGCAGCTAGTCTACCATCTTGAACTGGGGTCAACAAATAGTTTTGAGTACCTTCCCTGTACCAGGTACTATGCTAGGTGCTAGGGGTGTAAACATGAATGAAACTTATTTCATGGTATCAAGGAGCTCATAGTGTGGTAGCATAGGGAGACCCATGCAATGGATATTACAATGGGACTTGTCTCCAAAGCTGAAAACAAAGGGTATTAAGGGCTCACATATTCTAAAGAGAGGTGACACACCATTTTTACAGAACTTGCTAAAGGACAACTTCCAAAATATGATTTGTGTCCATTAAATCCTTTGAAGGCATGTAAAGGAAGCTGGGGATTGACTGAGAGGAGAGTGATAGAAAAGATAGTTTTGAAGAGAGGTATGGGAGTGCTATGGAGTTTCTCCTGCTCATGGGGGAGTGGAGGAGGTGTTTCCCACTCACTTAAGTGGAAGGTGGCTACAAGAGAATCACTCCAGGAGCTTTGACATGTGTTCCCTGGGGATTGATATTTGTAGGAGCTGGTAACTTACTCGTACCTAAAAACAAAGTCTAAAGGTGAAAGGGGCTACGGCTACGGCAGCCTGTGAAAACAGAGGAAAGAGAGAGGGCTACATTGGCAGGGAGCTGTACTTCTGCCAGTGTGTGGGTGAAGCTGTCTGTTTCCCAGGGGCCAGAGGTGGTCATCAGGATAGAAAGTTAGAGTCGGGTCATCTTATTAGGGGTCTCCCCTAAGAGGATTGCTTAGAGGTATGCAATGATCCAAACAGAGGAATGGACTGATGGAAACCCAGGACAGAGGAGTTGAAAAGGGCCTGCCAGATGAAGTGTTGCCTAGGCCAGGAAAACTGCAGGTGAGAGATCTCCAGTGATGGGAGGCTCCAAGGAACCCTTTAGAGAAAGTGTCAGCTTTGGACATATGCCACACTCTTCAATCAATGCCAGGTTAAAATTTAACCAGTCAAGGAAAGCTCTTTTTTTTGGCCCTTACTTTTTCTAGTCCTTCCCTGGCAGACTTCTTTCAACTCCTCGGTCCTGGGATTCCATCAGTTCATTCCTCTGTTGGGATCATTTCAGAGTTGGAACAGCATAGGGAGTGTGTGTGGTGGGGTGTGTGAGGAGGGATCAGAAGAGGAAATGGACCAATGGGGAAGTCAACCATGCTCCACATCCTTCCCCTACTGTGTTTCTTGGCTGAGTTAGACCTGAGCTTGGGGAGGAGATAAGCTTGGAAATGGGTGACAGATTGAAGCTATAATATACTAGACTGAACTGAAAACTTTAATGCCTGAAAACAAAACTATGTTTTAATATCCGAGAGTGACTGAAAAAGATATGAGATCTGTCTGAAGTTTTATGCAGGGGTGGGGAAAAATGATTCCACAGAGCTTGTGATGTGAAAGAATTATATTGCTTTCTGCTTACACCCTACTGTGTCTAGCTCATTCAATAAACTAGTTTATATAAGTGCTACACTATATGTATAGTCAAGGTTCAGTGAGTAGGTAGCACATAGAAGAAAGTAATAAACTCTTTCCAGGGAGGCCAGGGGAAGGCCTGACACTTTCTCTCAGAGGAGTTAGTGTTTGAACTGGGTCTTAAAGAATAAGAAGGAATTTCTTAGGTGAGGATGAGGCAGGAGGACATTTCAGAAAGAGGGAACAGCATGTACAAAAGTAGGAGGTGTATATGGGTGATTGCATGTGGTTTGGTGATTCTGAATCATTGTAGTGTAAACTGCTGTTGGGTGGGGAGGGAGGTCATACTTGCATTTTAAAAGGTCACTTTTGTCACAATGTGTTAAGTGGGATAGTGAGAATTGTGGAGACTGGGAAACAATGTCAGGTTAACCCAGACAAGGAGAGCTCTTGGTTATCTAGAAATATCCTAATAATAGACCGATCTACATTTAAGAACATTTGAAGCCAGGCAATGTGGTGCCTGCCTGTAGTTCCAGCTACTCTGGAGGCTGAGGCAGGAGGACTGCTTGAGCCCAGGAGTTTGAAGCTGCAATGAGCTATGATAGTGCCACTGCACTGCAGTCTGGGTGACAGAGCAAGATTCCATCTCTTAAAATTTGTTTTCATCTAAATATAGTAGATTCCCAGCTTGAGTTCTACCTGGGAATTGGACCTGTCTGGGATTATTCAATGAACCGCAGGGATGGGCAGCCATGTCTTTTAGCATCAGGTCCTGTAAGGTCCCCCTAAAGTGAGCTCATTCTAAGCCAGTGGTCCTTAACCTGAGGTTCACAAATAGAATCCATGGGGTCTGTGAACTTGGAAGGGAAAACAATTACATCTTTGAAACTTAGTGCTTTCCCCTAATTATGAACATACACAGCAAACTACAGTGGCATTAGCCATATCTGTGACCCTGTCATGGATAGAAATCACAGACATTTTCATATCACGTTGCATTTTTTTCAGATGTCTCAAAATAGTATTTACTCAGGCATTGCTTTGAGTTATTGCGGTGTTAGACCTGCTGCTGGATCATTTATTTAATGTGTTAATAAAAAGCATACATGTTATATAAAATTTGTTCTAAAAATAGTTTGATAACTATTACAATGTAACGGGTTTCCTTTGTAATCCTATGTATTTTGTTTTATGCATTTAAGAACATTAGTCTGAGAAAGGGTCCATGGGGTTCATTAGAGTGCCAAAGAGTTGCATGGCACAAAAAAATGGTAGGAACCCCTGTTTAAGGAAAAAAAGAATCACCCAAATTTGTCTCCCTGTCCACTTACACGCAGGACTGAGTAGCTGATGATGAAAAGGGATACCTGCATGCTCCCTGTGAGAAAGAGGCTTCTGTTAACTTATACTATCCGCCCTTCCTTTTTTTCAGTAAAAAAAGATAATAGAGCATAAGCGGCCTTCTTCCCCACTTTTCAGCAGAGCACCACGCAGATCTGCCATCTCTAGGCTCCTCAGCTAAAGCAAGACATCAAGGAGCCTGGTAGGAGATGGCAGGAGATGCCTAATGGGGGACAGTGATGCCTGGCTGATGCCATAATGTCCAGCTAAGAGAGTGAGGAACAGAGGTGGAGGCAGAAGAAAGAAATGGCAGAAACCGCATCGTGGGTGATAGGACAGCTGGTTAGACTAGTTTGTGCTTGCAGGTGATATCCACTCCCTAAGAATGCCTGGAGACACTCTGGAGGGCTTTTAATTGAAGAAGCCCTCGACCCACGACAGGTTGCGGGGTGTGATGTTCCCCGCCCTGTGTCCAAGTGTTCTCTTTGTTTAATTCCCACCTATGAATGAGAACATGCAGTGTTTGGTTTTCTGTCCTTGTGATAATTTGCTCAGAATGATGGTTTCCAGCTTCATCCATGTCCCTGCAATACAAAAAACAGTAAAATTTGGTGATTCCATTTAATAGAACCCCTTTTACTATCCACAGGCTAGAGAAACCTGAAGAAATTTGGGTTCCAAAGCTATTTGTTGTGGGAGTGACAGCCTGATTATACTGGTTTTATTACTTTTTATATAAAAAAGCAAAAAAACAAGTGAGTTCTCCCTTTCATGTTCAATATTCCATTAGTTGAACATCCTCTACGTGTGTTCATAGAAATATTTTATGTCCTGAGAATAACTTCAGAGGTTGAGAGCATATCTTCCCCAGCGTTTGCTTTAGAGCTTACTTGAATAATCAGCTCCCTGCTTTCAGAACAAATCTTAGTTTTCATGAACAGCAGTATCATCAGTCATTCATTGATGGATATTTGAATGGAAAAAGTGCCAGGTGTTTCAACTTCCTCTCCAGCAGGTTTACAATTAAGCTGTTAGTAGTTTGTTGTTGGTTTAAAAAAATTTTTGGTTTGTTTTATGCACAGAAAAGGAATTCCCATAATCCATCAGATGGAGATGTGCTGCTGGAAATGCTGCTACCTTGTGACCAAAATAAATAAATAAACAAAAATAAAAATAAAAATAAAAAATTGCTGGGTTACCATCAGCTGTGTCCATTCAGATTTATCAATCATAAATTGAGGTTCCTTGCATTACAAATGTGGGCTATTCTTTTTTTTATTATTATACTTTAAGTTCTAGGGTACATGTGCACAACGTGCAGGTTTGTTACATAGGTATACATGTGCCATGTTGGTTTGCTGCACCCATTAACTCGTCATTTACATTAGGTATTTCTCCTAATGCTATCCCTCCCCCTGCTCCCCAACCCACGACAGGTCCCGGGGTTTGATGTTCCCCGCCCTGTGTCCAAGTGTTCTCATTCTCGTTGTTCAATTCCCACCTATGAGTGAGAACATGCGGTGTTTGGTTTTCTGTCCTTGTGATAGTTTGCTCAGAATGATGCTTTCCAGCTTTATCCACGTCCCTGCAAAGGACATGAACTCATCCTTTTTTATGGCTGCATAGTACTTCATGGTGTATATGTGCCACATTTTCTTAATCAGTCTATCATTGATGGACATTTGGGTTGATTCCAAGTCTTTGCTATCGTGAATAGTGCCATGAAAAACATACGTGTGCATGTGTCTTTATAGTAGCATGATTTATAATCCTTTGGGTATATACTCAGTAATGGGATCACTGGGTCAAATGGTATTTCTAGTTCTAGATCCTTGAGGAATCGCCACACTGTCTTCCACAAGGTTGAACTAGTTTACATTCCCACCAACAGTGTAAAAGCGTTCCTATTTCTCCACATTCTCTCCAGCATCTGTTGTTTGCTGACTTTTTAATGCTCGCCATTCTAGCTGGCGTGAGATGGTGTCTCATTGCGGTTTTGATTTGCATTTCTCTGATGACCAGTGATGATGAGCATTTTTTCATGTGTCTGTTGGCTGTATAAATGTCTTCTTTTGAGAAGTGTCCGTTCATATCCTTTGCCCACTTTTTGATGAGGTTTTTTTCTTCTAAATTTGTTTAAGTTCTTTGTCGATTCTGGATATTAGCCCTTTGTCAGATGTATAGATTGCAAAAAATTTCTCCCATTCTGTAGGTTGCCTGTTCACTCTGATGGTAGTTTCTTTTGCCATGCAGAAGCTCTTTAGTTTAATTAGATCCCATTTGTCAATTTTGGCTTTTGTTGCCATTGCTTTTGGTGTTTTAGTCATGAAGTCCTTGCCCATGAAATGTGGGCTCTTCTTTAAAATAGGCCATGTTATTAAATGAAATGATATGCAACACGTACTTAGAACAGTGCTTGTTGCTACACAGCAAGTGCTTGATAAATGTTAGCTATCATCATCATCATTGTCATCATCATCATCCAGCCCAAGAAGTGCATATTTAAATATACACCCTAAGCTGTTGTCTTTCTATATAGATTATATGTGTGAGCAGAGGGGCAGTGAATTAAAGTGATAAAGAATGTGTCCTCACTTAGGTGTGTGCTGGCTTTCTTGCAAATTCCTATGGAAAAGGAGATAAACTAAAGCCTCAGTTTGCTTGGCAAGAGCTTAATTTGTTTACGAGAGCATTCGTTAAACCTTTTTCTGTGGAAAATTAGTCCTGCAAGATCACTAAGTGAAAAGTGATGCCTTCCTGAATAAGTTTATAAAGTTCTCCCTGTACCCCACCTTGGAGGGTCATATGTCCTAGAGTACATTAAGCAAGCTGAGAAGTCCCCCAGAAAAAAAGGCTATTTAATTTTTTAAACTCAATTTGACAAAGTTCCTTGACTACATAACTCCTTTTTGTTGTAATACTTCTTAATATCCCCAGGCACTGGTGTTTTACATGTAGTGGGATGTCCTATCAGAGATGATTATCTTTTTTCCTCTTCTGAGAAAGGAATTGCCAGTCACTCTCCATACAGGCAGAGTGACAAGGGCATCTTGGAACAGGTCTTCAAGAGGTCATCTTAGTTATCCAGTGTTCACCAGACAGATGTGCATATGCCTGGAGAGAGGGTAGGCCATTCACCATACATCCATGGAAAGAACTTCCAATCCATTTGTTGAGACTTGGAGTTAGGAGGAATGATCAAGGTAGAGAGGGCCATTCTTTTCAAGGCCCAATGTCAGGAAAGGACAATAGTATCCATAAAATAGTGTGTCAAAAAAACAGAGTGTGGTCTGTCTGGTGGGCTGGCTCTGGTACTGAGTAAAGAGGAAGAAAGGGGATGGTGGTGGGATTGACTATATAATTTACAGTGCCCAGTGCAAAATGAAAATACAGGGACCCTTGTTTAAAAATTATCAAGAATTTCAGGGCTGAGCGCGGTGGCTCACGTCCATAATCCTAGCACTTTGAGAGGCCAAAGCAGGTGGGTCACCTGAAGTCAGGGATTTGAGACCAGCCTGGCCAACATGTCGAAACCTCGTCTTTACTAAAAATACAAAAATTAGCTGGGTATGGTGGTGCATGTTTGTAATCCCAGCTACTCGGGAGGCTGAGGCAGGAGAATCACTTGAACCCAGGAGGTGGAGATTGCAGTGAACCGAAACTGCACTACTGCACTCCAGCCTAGGTGACAGAGTAAGACTCTGTCTCAGGAGAAAAAAAGTATTTCAGGAGAGCAATAGTAGAGCATTAAGCCAAATATGGGGCCCTTCCAAACACAGTGCTCTCTGTGACTGCACAGGTTGTATACTCATGAAGCCAGCCCTACATTGTGGTCTTTGGTTTTCTGAGTCTGTACACAAAAGAACTGCCTGGAAGTGGCTCTACTAGGTCTATATTAAGACCTTCAGAAGTAATTGATTGTGAAGTGAGATTGCTGGTCACTAAGAGATGTAATGAGATGCACTGAGGGACTTCTGGTCCTAAAATGGCAGTATAGAGGCAACCTGGCTTCACTCTCCCACACAGAAAAACAAAAACAGATATAAAACACTGAGATTTTACCAGCAACAATCCAGAGCTCAGGTATGAGGACAAGACAGTTCCCAGGGCCACCAAGTAGTGGAAAAACTCTAAGTAGTTGGTGGTAAAATCAGACTTTCACATCTGTGATTCCTCCCCACCACCCAATTCTGCCAGGCACCAAGTGTGTGGAAAATCTCCCTCCAACTTATGGTTTCTATGCTGGAAAAAGTGAAATTGAGGTGGTGAACTAGCTTCTTCACTTTCTTGGGTTCCCTGGCAGGAGACCTGTCCTTGCCTTAACCTAAGAGACACATCTTGACTGCCTGAAGGGAGAAATATCATTGAGGACAGGCAGAGCAAGGAGAGGTGGGGCTACCATCTTCAGCCCTGGAAACTCTGCTCTGTAGCTCAACCAAAGGAGATACCAAATCAGAGTAGCTGTTCAGCAGCACCACACTGCAGGAAGTACATTCTCCAGGTCCCCTGGGCATGAACCATTAGCCAGACTTCCCATACTGCTGGGATAATCCCTTTGGGACTTCCCCATTTGGGACAGGCAGTGCTCCAATCATTTACTAGAGCTGAGGTGAACCTGGGGTTAAGGTGCCACCTAGAACTGAAAAGAAGGCAGTGGCCTAGTGGCAAAGATTTGCTAAGCAAACATATTCAAAAGGAAAACAAAACAAGCCAGAAAAAGAAAACTGGAATAAATAAACAATCATTCAATGCCAAGACATAAATGTATACCCACAAAAAACAATAGCAAACAGGGAATCATGACCTCCCCAAGGGACAAAGCAAAACTCCAATGACTGACCCTAATAGGATGGCAATTTGTGAGCTCTCTGAACAAGGATTCAAAATAGCAGTTTTAAGGAAACTCATAGTGAGCTCCAAGGTAACACATAAAAACAATTCAGAAATTTAGCAGAGAAATTTAACAGAGATTGAAATTTTAAAAAAATCAAACAAAAATCTTGGAAATGAGAAATGTATTTGCTGAACTGAAGAACTCTTTAGAGGCTCTAGACAGCAGAACAAGCCAATCAGAGGAAATAATTAGTGAGCTCAAAGAAAGGCTATTTGAAAGTGCACCATCAGAAGAGAAAAAAGAAAAGAGAATGAAAAGGAATGAAGACTACCTATAAAATATAGAGAATTATCTCAAAACACCAAATCTAAAAATTATTGGTGTTCAAGAGAAAGCAGAGCAAGAGGAAAGTGTAGAAAGCTTATTCAAATAATAACAGAAAACTTTCCAAAACTTGAGAAAGATATAAATATCTCGGTACAGGAAAGTCTTAGACCACTAAGCAGATTTAACCCAAATAAGACTGCCCCAAGGCAGATAATAATCAAACTCTCAAAGGTCAAGGACAAGGAGAAGATCCTAAAAACAGCAAGAGAAAAGAAATAACATATAATGGAGCTCCAATTTTTCTGGCATCATACTTCTCAGTGGAAACCATATAGACAAGGAGAGAGTGGAATGACATTTTTGAAGTGCTCAAAGAAAAGAACCTGCCATCCAAGAATATTGTATCCAGCAAAATTATTCAAATATGAAGAGAGATAAAGTCTTTCCTAGAAAAACAAAAGCTGAGAGAATTCACCACCAACAGATCCATCTTGCAAGAAATGCTAAAAGCACTTCTTCAATCTGAAAGAAAAACCACTGATGTGCAAAAGAAAACATTTCAAGGTATAAAACCCACTGGTAAAATTAAGTACATAGGTGGCCCGGCACGGTGGCTCACGCCTGTAATCCCAGCACTTTGGGAGGCCAAGGCAGGCAGATCAGGAGTTCGAGACCAGCCTGACCAACATGGTGAAACCCCGTCTCTACTAAAAATACAAAAATTAGCTGGGTGTGGTGGTGTGTGCCTGTAATCCCAGCTACTCGGGAGGCTGAGGCAGGAGAATCGCTTGAACCTGGGAGGTGGAGGTTGCAGTGAGCTGAGATCGTGCCACTACACTGCAGCCTGGGTGACAGAGCGAGACTCTGTCTTAAAAATAAAAATAAAAATAAAAAAATAAAAAAATTACATAGGCAAACCCAGAATACTCTATTGCTGTATTTGTGGTGTATAATTCACTCATAACCCTAGTATGAAGCCCAAAAGACAAATGTATCAAAAACAATAATAGCCACAGCAACCTATTAAGAGATAGGTAACACAAAAATATGTAAGTTGAGACAACTAAAAGTCAAAATGGGGGGAAATTGAGTTAAACTGCAGAATTTCTTTGTATTTTTTTGCCTTTGTTTCTATTATTTGTGATCTAAGATAAGTTGTCATCTCTTTAAAATAATTTATTATGTTTATAAGATGTTTTTTGTAAGCCTCTTGGTAACCACAGCACAAACATCTGTAATAGATTCACTAAAAATAAAATGCAACATATTAAAACATACTAACAGATAATCAGCCACAAAGGAAGACAGGAAGAAAGGAGGAAAGGAAGAGAGGAGTCTCAAAACAACCAGAAAACAAGCAACAAAATGGCAGTAGTAAGTCTTTCCTTATAATAATAACACTGAATATAAATTGTCTTAATTCTCCAATTTAAAAAACGTAGAGTTACTGAATAAAGAAGTAAGACCCAACTCTATGCTGCCTTTGAGAAAGCCACTTCATTGATAAAGAACATATGCCGAGAGTGAAGGGGTCAAAAAAAATATTCCATGCAACTGGAAACCACAAAAGAGCAGGAGTAGCTATACTTACATCAAATCAAATCAAAGACTGTAAAAAAAAAAAAAACTACAAAGAAGGTCCCTATATAATGATAAAGAGGTCAATTCAGCAAGAGGATAGAACAATTATAAATATCTATGCACTCAACACTGGAGCTCCCAAGTATATAAAGCAAACATTGATAGATCTAAAGGGAGAGATAGGTTGTAATATAATAATAGTAGGGGACTTTAATATCCAACTCTCAGTAATGGACAGATCAGACAGAAAATGGACAAAAAAATAGCAGAGTTAAACTACATACTAGATCTAGTAGCCTAACTGATATTTCACATTCTTTTCATCAGCCTGTGAAACATTCTCTAGAATAGGCCATATCTTAGGCTTCAAAAACAAGTATGAACAACTTATAAAAAATAAAAGTCATATAAAAGTCATATATCTTTTCTGACCACAATGGATTAAAACTAGAAATCAATAACAAGAGGAGCCTTGGAAAATACACAATGCATGGAAATTAAACAACATACTCCTGAGTGATCAATTGGTCAAGGAGGAAGTTTAAATTTAATTTTTAAGAAAAGAAATTTAAAAATTTCTTGAAACAAATGAAAATGGAAATACGACATACCCACATACCCAAATCAGTGGGATATGGCAAAAGCACTGCTAAAAGGGAAGTGTATCGCAATAAGAACCTATATAAAATAGTGGAACGACTTCAAATAAATAACCTAACAATGCATCTCAAGGAACTAGAAAAGAAGAACAAAACCAAACCCAAAATTAGTGGAAAGAAAGAACGAATAAATATCAGAGCAGAAATAAATGAAATTGAGGCTAAAAAAATAATACAGAAGATCACTGAAATGAAATGTTGGTTTACTGAAAAGATAAACAAAACTTTAGCAAGACTAAGAAAAAAAGACCCAACTGAAATTGGAAACAAAAAAGAAGACAAAACAACTGAGACATCAGAAATACAAAGAGGCCAGGCCCACGGTAGCTCACACCTGTAATCCCAACATTTTGGGAGGCCAAGGTGGGTAGATTGCTTGAAGTCAGGAGTTTGAGACCAGCCTGGCCAACATGGCAGAATGCTGTCTCTACAAAAAATACAACAAAATCAGCTGGGCATGATGGCACACCTCTGTAATCCCAGCTACTCAGGAAGCTGAGGCGTGAGAATTGCTTGAGCCTGGGAGGCAGAGGTTGCAGTGAGCCAAGATTGTGCCACTGCACTCCAGCCTGGGTGACAGAGGGAGACTCCACCTCAAAAAAAAAAAAAAAAAATTGAAGAAAAGGGACTAACTCCAAGCTCATTCTATGAGGTCAGCATTACCATATCAAAACCAGACAAGGGCACAACAAAAAAAGAAAACTACAGGCCAATACCACTAATAAACATAGATGCAAAAATCCTCAACACAAATACTAGCAAACTGAATTCAACAACACATTAAAAAGATCACTTACCATAATCAAGTGGGATTCATCCAGGGATGCAAGGATGGTTCAACATATGCAAATCAATAAATGTGATCAATGAATGTGATACAGAGTCGAGAATAAAAACCATAGATGCCGAGAAAGTATTTGATAAAATTAAACATCCCTTTATGATAAAAACCCTCATCAAAATGGGTATAGAAGGAATGTATCTCAAAATAATAAAGGCCATATATGACAAACCCATAGCTAACATCATACTGAATGGTGAAAAATCAAAGGCCTTTTCTTTCGAGGACTGGAACAAAAACAAGGATGCTCACTTTCACCATTATTATTGAACATAATACTGGAAGTTCTAGCCAGAACAATTAGGGAAGAAAAAAAAAAGTGATCCAAATTGGAAAGGAAGAAGTCAAATAACCGTTGTTCACAGATGACATGATCTTTTACCTAGGAAAACCTGAAAACTCCACAAAAAAAACTGTTCAAACTGATAAATGAATTCAGTAAATTTGCCGGATACAAAGTCAACATACAAAAATCAGTAGCATTTCTTTCTTTCTTTCTTTTTCTTTTTTCTTTTCTTTTCTTTTCTTTTTTTTTCTTTGAGACAAGAGTCTCACTCTGTTGCTCAGGCTGGAGTACAGTGGCATGATCTGGGCTCACTGCAACCTCTGTCTCCCGAGTTCAAGTGATTCTTGTGTCTCAGCCTCCCGAGTAGCTGGGACTACAGGTATGTGCCACTGTACCCAGCTAATTTTTGTATTTTTTGGTAGAGATGGGGTTTTTCCATGTTGGCCAGGCTGGTCTCAAACTCCTGGTCTCAAGTGATCCACCCGCCTCAGCCTCCCAAAGTGCTGGGATTACAGATGTGAGCCACCATGCCCAACCCAAAAATCAGTAGCATTTGATATGCCAACAGTGAATAATCTGAAAAAGAAATCAAGAAAGCAATCCTATTTACAACAGCTACAAAAATATAAAATACCTAGGAATCAATCTGACCAAAGAAGTGAAAGATCTATACAAGGAACTATAAAGTTCTGATGAAAAAAAAAATAGAAGAAGACACAAACAAATGGAAAGCTATTTCATGCTCATGGAATAGAGAATTAGTATTGTTTAAATGACAATACTACCCAAAGAAATGTACAGATTCAATGCAATCCCTATCAAAACACCAATGACATTCCTCACAGTAATAGAAAAAAAAATCCTAAAATTTATGTGAAACCACAAAAGATCGCAAATAATCAAAGCAATGCTGAGCAAAAAGAAAGCTGGAGGCACCATACTACCTGACTTTAATGTTTACTACAAAGCTACACTAACCAAAACCGCATGGTACTGGCATAAAAACAGACACATAGACCAATGGAACAAAATGGAGAACCTTGATGTAAACCCATACATTTACAAGCAACTCATCTTCAACACAGGCACCACAAACATACAAGGGGGAAAGGACAGTCTTTTCGGTAAATAGTGCTGGGAAAACTGGATAACTATATGCAGAAGAATAAAACTAGATCCCTCTCTTACATCATACACAAAAATAAAATCAAAATGGATTAAAGACCTAAATCTAAGACCTGCTAAATTCAACTACTAGAAGAAAACATTGGGGGAAACGCTCTAGGACATTGGTCTGGGCAAAGATTTTTTGTGTAAGACCTCAAAAGCACGGGTGACCAAAGCAAAATTAGGCAATTGGGATTACCTCAAGCTAAAAAGCTTTGCAAAGCAAAGGAAACAATCAACAAAGTGAAGAGACAGACCACAGAATGGGAGAAAATATTTGCAAGCTATCCATTTGACAAGGGATTAATTATCAGAATATATAAGGAGCTCAACTCAATAGGAAAAAAACGAATAATTTGATATAAAAATGGGCAAAAGATCCGAACAAATATTTCTCAAAAGAAAACATACAAATGGCCAACAGGTATATGAAAAAATTCTCAACATCACCAATCATCAGACAAATACAAATCAAAACTACAATGAGATACCATCTCACCCTAGTTAAAATGGCTTTTATGAAAAAGACAAGCAATAACAGATGCTGGCAAGGATATGGAGAAGGGGAACTCTTGAACACTGTTGGTGGGAATGCAAATTAGTACAGCCACTATGGAGAACAGTATGGAGGTTCTTCAAAAAACTGAAAATAGAACTACCATATGATCTAGCAATTCCACTACTAGGTATATATCCAAAAGAAGGGAAATCAGTATATCAAAGATGTCTGCACTCTCATGTTTATCGCAGCACTCTTCACAATAGCCAAAACATGGAATCAACCTAAGTGCCCATCAATGGATGAATAGATAAAGAAAATGTGGTATATATACACTATGGGATATTATTCAGCCATAAAAATAATGAAATCCTGTCATTTGCTGCAACATGGATGCAACTGGAGGCCATTATGTTAAGTTAAATAAGCCAAGCACAGAAAGACAAATACCACATATTCTCACTTATATGTGGGAGCTAAAGAAAATGGATCTCATGAAGATAGAGAATAGATTTGTGGTTACAAGAGGCCAGGAAGGGCAGGGAGGGGGGATGAAGGGGACAAAAAAGAATATAAGTGTATTTATTACCACTGAACTAGACACTTAAAAATGGTAAAGATACTAAATTATATATGTATATTTTGCTTAAATAAAAAATGCATTGAAATCAATTTCTTGCAGCAGCAACCCAATGTTTTAAATTTTTATTGCTGCTATAACAAGTTATCACAATCTTAGTGGCTTAAAACAACATAAATTTATTATCCTATATTTCTGCAGTTCAGAAGTTTGAAATAGGTCTCTGGCTAAAATGAAGGTTTTGGCAGGGCTGACTTTAGGTGAGAATCCATTTCCTTGCCTTTCGCAGCTTCTACAGACCACTTTTTTTCTTAGCTCGAGGTTCCTTTCCTCCATCTTGAAAGCCGGTAATGTTGCATTTCTCTGTGTCTGTACTCACATCTCCCCATGACTCTATTATTTTTTCACTTTTAAGGACATTGGGCCCACCTGGACAATCCAAGATAGCCTCCCTATCTGCTGATTAGCAATCTTAATTTAATCTGCAGTAGTAATTTTCCCTTTCCATGTAACCTAACATGTTCACAGGTTCCAAGGATTAAGACATCTCTGGGGACCATTATTCTGCCTACCATACTCAGAGATAACCGAGACAAACTGGACCTTGACTTTAAAACAGATTATTGGAGTATAACATATAAAATGTGCTCAAATCTTAACTGTACAGCTTGATGAATTTTCCCATACATATATAACTATTTAATTTGTAAATGTACACCTGTGTAACCACAACTCATACCAAGGAATGAAATATATCCAGTACTTCAGGAGGCTTTTATGTGCTCCCACTCAGCCACTATCCATCCCCCAGCGGTAACTACTATTCTGTCTTCTATCACTGTATCAGTTACCTATTAGAAAGCATTCCAAAACTTGGTGGCTTAAAATAACAACCATTTTTTTTGGCTTCTAATTCTGTGGGTCAGAATTATAGGCTTGGCTCAGCTGGGCAATTCATCTGCTGGTCTCACCTGAGGCCACTTAGGTGATTGCAGTCATTTGGCAGCTTGACTAGGGCTGGATGGTCTAATATGGTGTTATGCATATGACTATGGTTGGTGCTGGCTATCAGCTGGGCCTCTCTCCCTCCATTTGTATGCTTAATCCTCCAAGAGGGTAGAGTGGGCTGCTTTACATGACGATCTCAGGGCAGCAAGAGGGCAAGAGCAGAAGAATGCTCAGAAGTTGTACAATGTCATCCCTGCTGAATTCTACTGGTCAAGTCACAAGGCCATTTCAGATTCTAGGGGTAGGGAATAAACTCGCTTGATGGCAGGAGCTGCAGAAAAGCTTGTGGTTATTTAAAAAAATCCACCTCAGTTACTGCTGTGGCTTGATGGGTGCCCCCAAAAGCATGTGTTGGAAACTGAATCCCCAATGCAACATTATTAGGAGGTAGGGCTTAATGGGAGGTGTTTAAGTCATGAGGGCTTCACCTTCATGAATGGATTAATGCCAATTATAAAAGGGGTTGAGGCTGAGAGTTTGACCTCTTGCTCTCTTTTGTCATGTGATGCCTTCTGCCATGTTATGATGTAGCAAAAAGGCCCTCATCAGAAGCTGGCACCTTGATTATTGACTTCCCAGCCTCTGGAACTGTAAAAAATCAATTTTCGTTCTTTACAAATTACCCAGTCTCACGTATTCTGTTATAGCAGCCCAAAATAGACTAAGATAATTACCATATGTGTTTCCTGTTCTTGAATGTCATATAAATGGAGCATACTGAAAGTACTGTTAGGTCTAGCTTCTTTTGCTCAACATTATGTGAGATTCAACCATACTTTTGTATGTGACGGTAGTTCTTTTTTTAAATTGCTGCTTGTCATATTCAATTGTATGACTATACCACTATTTATCCATTCTACCATTGATAAATATTTGACTTGTTTCCTGTTTGTGGCTATTATAAATAATTCTGCTATTAATATTCTTGTGCATGTCTTTTGAAGGGTATATGTACTCAGTTATCTTGGGTATGTATCTAGAAATAGAATTGCTAAGTCAGAGGGCAGGTTAATAAGCTTCAGAAGATATTCTCAAGTAGTTTTCTTAAGTGGTTGTACTATTGTACAGACCTGTCAGCAATGTATGAGAGTTTTGTTTGTCCCATATCCTTGCTATCACTTGATACTGTCAGCCTTTTAAATTTCAGCCATTTTGATAGATGTTTAATGGTATCTCATTGTTTTCACTTGCATTTCCCTGGTGACTAATGATGTTGAACACATTTTCACATGTTTAATGGCCATTTGGCTATGTTTTGTGATGTGCTTATTCAAGTGGTTGTGTGAAATGCCAGTTAAAAAACTGAGTTACTTGTCTTTTTCTTGATTTGTAGCAGTGTTTTTTCTAGAGTCTACATATGAGTCTGTAATTGTATATATGTATTACAAGTGGCTTGTCTTTTCCTTCTCTTAATTGTGTCTTTTGCTGAAAAGAAGTTCTTAATTTGAACAAAGTCCAATTTATCAATATTTTCTTCTATGATAACAACTTTTTGCATTCTGTTTTGAAATCTTTATTCCAGTGGACCTTGATTTTAAGAGTTTTATAGCTATAACTATTATGTTTAAGTCTTTGGTCCATTTTAAATTTAGTTTTTTTATATGGTATGAAGTAGGGGGTCCAAATTTATTCTCTGGTATGTGGTGTTTCAGCAGCATTTGTTGAAAAAACTGTTTTTCCCTATTGAATTGCCTTGGAACAAGACAAGTCCTTTTCTGTCCCTTTAGTGGGAGTTTCTATTTCAAGGACACCAACTATCTTTGTCTTGGATCATCATTGTCCTACATATGTGTTATTTTCTAATTACTTTAATCTCATTGACATTATTTTTTTGAATTTACTGTAATTATCTCAAGTTTTACTTTATGCCATAATTTGATTTTCAGTAATATCTATTCTGGTTTCTTGTTATTTTTGATCTATTTAATAGATCTGTTAAGGTGCCTTTTTTTTTCTTTTTTTTTTCTTCTGTAATCTCCCCTTTCTGCTTTTTCTGTTGTTATATTATTTGTCTTTGAGCCCTTGGTTTATTAAATTAATATTCTTGTTAAGTTCTTTTATAGCACAACAATCCTGTGGGGAATATACCTCTATTCTTTGAATTATGTTATTTTTATCATCTGGATTCTTTTTCCATGATATTTGTTTTCATTTTTGCAGAGTTAACTTGGTTATGCCTAATGTGAAAAGCTTCACTTAGCTCTTCTATTTGCTCTGACAGAGTTTAGGTACATTCTCCTTGGCAACCTTCCCACCTTATCTGGGATAATTTTGTTTCTCCCTAGGAGTTAGAATTTGGAAACCGAGTGCTGCTTTCAATTTGCCTTTAGGCCTTCTGGTTTCTGGTAATGGTGAATAAGTTTATTCAGATCAATTCTCCCACTGAAAACAACAAAAAATTTTGGATACAGTATTAATGATGGCTTCTCAAAAGCACTGAAGATTGACAATATAGTAAGAAGTTACCATGTCAAAAATGAAGAAAAGGTGGTAAAGAGCAAGGAAACTCACCATTATTAACATACAATATAGACATTAAGGTAAAATCATTACTAGAGGTAAAATTATTACTATGTTTGAAATTTTTATACAAATAAATGTTTTGATTTGCCAGAAAGACATAACAATTAAAAATTTTTATGTTCCTAATAACATAACTTCAAAGTATAAAAGCAAACATTGAGAGTGCAAGGAGAATTAAACAAACCCACAGTCATAATGGTAGATTTCAGTATACTTCCTTCAGTAATTGACAATACAGGCAAAAAAGATTCTCTCTCTGAACAACATAATGAGTACATTTTTTAAAATAAATCTTTTATTTTGGAATAGCTAAATATAGAGAAAAATTGCAAAGTAGTACAAGGAGGTCCCATATTCTCTTCACCCCGCTTCCCCTGATTTGAACATCTTAAGTAACCACAGTATATTTGTAAAAACTAAGAAACTAACTAATGTACAGACTTTATTAAAATTTCACTAGATTTTCTACTAGTGTCTTTTTTTCTTTTCCAGTAACCAATCCAGGATATCACATTTCATTTGGCTGTCATGTCTCCTTTTCTTCTCTGATCTGTCACAGTTTCTCAGTCTTTCTTTGTTTTTCATGATCTTGCCAATTTCAAATGGTCAGGTATTTTGTAGAATGTCTCCCAATGTGGGTTTGATGTGATGTTTTCTCATGATTAGTGTAGGGTTATGAGTTATTGGTAAGAATACCATAAAGGTGAAGTACCCATCTCATCACATCATCCATAGAAGTGAAGTACCCATCTCATCGCATCATATCAGGGGGTACATTATTTCAATATGACTTCTCACTGGTGATGTTAACTCTGATCACTTGGTTAGGGTGGTGTCTGCCAGGTTTCTCTACTGTGAAGTTACTATTTTTCCCTTTCCATACTCTATTCTTTGGAATTGTGTCATTGATCTCAGCCCATATTCAAGGAATGGACAGTTACGCTCCCCTTACTTTAGGGTGGAGTATCTACATAATTTATTTTGAATTCTTTTGCATAGGAGATGTGTACATTTCCCCCATCTATATATTTATTCTATCATTTATTTATATCAGTATAAACTCTTATTTTATTCTTTGTGTTATAATCCAATATTATAGTTATTAATTTTGTTGCTCAAATTGTACAATGAACAAATTTGACTTCATAAAAACGATATAGATTACTATGCCAAAAGCATCAGAATTAAATAGTTTTCAAGCACACATAAAACATTTATCAAATATGACCACGAACTGGGCCATGACAGTCATAATGCATTTCAAATAATTGAAATCATGTGTGTGTTTTCCAACTTCAGTGCATTAAAATAGATATCAATAATAAAAACTAGAAAATCCCCATAATTTTGACAGTAAGAAATAGATTTCAAAATAACTCTTGTATCATAATGGAAATTAGGAGATATTTTGAACTACGTGACAATGGACATATTACATATTAAAACTTGTGGTATGCAGTAAAGTACTACCTGAAGGGAAAGCTACAGCCTTAAATATCTATATTAAAAAGAAGAATGGTTCGAATTTAATGAACAAAGTTCATGACGTTAAAAAAGAAAAAACCCAAAGATCATAGAAAGAAGAAAACAAAAAAGGTAATGTAAAAGACAAAATGCACCAGATAATTAAGAAGATGACTTAAATCAGGCTATTGAAATCCAGTGAATGTACCTTAGTGAGGAATGTCTCAAACAAAAGGAAGGGAGCCTGGAGGTTTTAATAGAGGCAGATAAACAAGGAAATTGGAAGTAAGTCTTATGGGACATGAGGAGGATAGAGATGGGTCTTTTCTGCATTGCGGAAGAGTGCAGGTGGGTGTTTTCTTGGGTTATATGACAGCATGGTGGTCCTTTACAAGTTAGCCAGAGCACAGAAGGGTGGGAGTACATGGCTCACATAATGTTCAACATTGTCAGTAAGAACAAAAATATACAGTAGACTTTGGGGACTTGAGGGGAAGAGTGGCAGGCGGGGAGGGATAAAAGACTACAAATATGGTGCAGTATATACTGTTAGGGTAATGGGTGCACAAAAATCTAACAAATCAGCACTAAAGAATTTACTCATGTAACCAAATACCACCTGTACCCCAATAACATACAGAAAAAAAGTATATGGAAATGCAAAAAAAATAATAAAAATAATATCATTTCTACTTCAATAAAAAAAAGAACAGAAATTAGCTGGGCACAGTGACTCACACCTATAATCCCAGTACTTTGGGAGGCCAAGGTGGGCAGATCACCTGAGGTTAGGAGTTTGAGACCAGCCTGGCCAATACTACTAAAAATACAAAAATTAGCTGGGTGTGGTGGCACGCACCTGTAGTCCCAGCTACTCAGGAGGCTGAGGCACGAGAATAGCTTGAACCCAGGAGACGGAGGTTGCAGTGAACCAAGATGACACCACTGCACTCCAGCCTGGGCAACAGAGTGAGAATCTGCCTCAAAAACAAAACAAAACCAAACAAAAAAAAAAAAACAAAACAGAAATTAATTAAATACAATACAAAATAATAATGCAACAGAGTGGACCAGCAAAAGTCATTCCTTCTAAATGAAATGGAGAAATCTCTACCAAGACCGATGAAGACAATAAGAAAATGTCTAATTAATATCAGAAATGAAAAATGTGGTATCACTACTTATGCTACAGACATTGAAGAGATGAGTATATTATAAATGAGTATATTGGAAAATTTAGATAAAGTTTAAAAATTCCTAGAAAATATTATATAACAAAATGGACTCAAGAAAAATTAGGAAATTTTACTTCTATTCACTGTCACAGACCACATCTGTATAATTGGAAGAAAATTACTGAAAGTTGCCAGACTTTTGTCGAGACTCCTTTCCTCAGTATTAATTATGAAAGTGAAGGTGGGTTTAGAGGTATCATAAACTTTTTTCTCCTGGTTCTTTTTTGTTTAAAGTTTACAGCATAAGGTGTTTTCCTTTCCTTGTCTGGCTGCTGTTGATAAATTTGGGCAGCTAAAAAAAGTACTTTTTTCTTAATTTAATTAGAAATCTTAACACAGAATACAACAAAATGAAACAATTACATGATAAACCCCAATCTTTTTTTTAAAGTTCAGCTTTTTATTGAACACATTATAAAAGAGGTTTAGTCAAAAAGACCAAAGCCCATGTCATCATCAGACTCCTCAGATTCTTCTTTCTTTGCTTCCAGTTTCTTCTCCTCAGCTGGCAGTCCTTTGGTAAAAGCCAGGTACATATTCTATGGTAGTGCAGCCACATATATTGCTTTCTAATAGTCTAATTAATATATGATTAAAGAAGAGAAAAATCTGGAATAGTGTGCATGGTGTGTGGTCAGAATACAGCTGATACAAACTCTGAGTTCACAGATCAACTGTATCTGGATCATCTGGTGAGCATTTTGAGGTCCTACTCTTTTTTTTTTTTCTTTGAGACAGAGTCTTGCTCTTGTTGCCCAGGTTGGAGTGTAATGGCATGATCTCGGCTCACTGCAACCTCTGCCTCTCGAGTTCAAGCAATTCTTCTGCCTCAGCCTCCAGAATAGCTGGGATTACAGGCACCCACCACCATGCTCAGCTAATTTTTTGTATTTTTTAGTAAAGACGGAGTTTTACCATGTTGGTCAGGCTGGTCTCGAACTCCTGACCTCAGGTGATCCACCTACCTTGGCCTCCCAAAGTGCTGGGATTACAGGCATGAGCCACCTCACCCAGCCATCCCATTCTTAAAGAGTCTAATTCAGTAGATCTGGGACCACACCTTGAAATCTGCATTCTATAAGCCTATTGGGTGATTGTCATGGGCAGTTGGCTTGGGAACCAAGCCAAGAGAGAGAACCATCTTGTTTTCCCTCTCTTAGGCATCAATTGTCTTAACTGTGCTATCATATTTAAGATGGCCCTGTTTAGTAAGTTCCAAGAATACAGAAATTCTGTATTTGTAGTCAGATTGAAATATAATCTTGTAAGACTTTTCTGGAGAAAAATTTAGTAATATATAATAAGATTGTAGATGCATGCATGGGGAAATTCCACTTCTAAGTATATACTTACAGATGTATACTACCAGTCATGTACAATGTTGTTAATTGCAACTGTTGCTAATGATGATAATACTGGAAATAACATAACTGCACATTCAAAGAGTGAACAGCAGTTAAAATGAATGAACTAACCTACAGTTATCAACATAGGAAGATATGGAAAATATCATGTAAAGTGAACAATGCAAATTTGAAAAAGTTGATATTGTTTACCACAGAGGTAATACTACATAATGTTTATAGATAAATACATATCTATAAAAACATACACAGCAAGGTATATGGCTTGGGTTAGTTTTGAGGATGGAAGGCACAAGGGAGGGAAGGAGAAAATATGATACAGGAGGACTTTAGTTGTATCACTAACATCAAATTTCTTTAAGTAAAAAGTTCTAAAGCAAGTATGACAAAGTGTTCACAACACTGTTAAGTCCACCACTTCCTAGCTGTGTGATCTTGGGCAAATTACTTATGCTTAACCTTTATGAGCCCCAGTGCCTCTGTCTGTAAAATGGGTTGATAATTGTACCTTTAATACATGGAGTTGTTTTGAGGATTAAATGAAGTAAAGGCATTTTTTGTGTAATAACCCCATAGTAAACACTCCCTAAATCATGGCTGTTATCATGAGCAAGAAAGTGTCAAAAGCATACATTCAGATGTGGGTCAGTAAAGGCAGATGGGAAAAGGTACATTCCCAAGAGAGATGACATATGGCACTTTAGAGTAGAAGCACCTCTGGTGAGGGTACAGGGCTCTGAGTGTGCCCTTGGGCAGAGAGCAGGGCTGATTTTTTTTTTTATTTTTCTCCTCTATTGGGTGCAGTGTCTGTCTCCTCTAAGTTGTATGTGTGTGTGTCAGGGGCGGGGATTATATTTATTATGGGAGTGAGTGATGAGTGCCTTTACCTGGCACAAGGCACTGTGTGATCTGGATTCTTCTAAACTCAAATCCCAAATTTCTAAAGAATGGGGTGGCACCTTCAGAGAGTGGTCTGCTTTCTAGACACTGCCTTGTGGAAAGCAAGATAATAATGGAGTGCGGATTCCAGGCACTGGACAAATTGGTGACAAAGTCACCATCCTCTCTTCTTAGCCATGAGTGAAGTCTGAAAGGAAAATTGATTTCTTCTATCAATGGCTTTTGGGCCTGTCCTCCTTAGATTAGGAAATTTTGATAAAATCCTACTGGATCTCACTGTCTAATAGCAATCTGTACCTCATTGCTCAAGGCTCAAGACAGTGGTGGAAAAATGACAATGGTAGCTCAAGTGGCATTTCAAAAAGAGATTGTGGGGTGGTGTGGGGTTGGGCTTGTCAGTACTATCCTCACCAGTGCAAAATAGATGCTGACTTCACCTCTTCTGGTTTATTCAATTGTCAGATATAGCCTACTGGACCTTCAGGTATCTAGTGCTTTCAGAAGTCACCCTCTTGCCATTAGATCAAAACCAGAGTAGCAGTCATTTTATACTCCTAGTATCGATGTATTTATATTAATTTTTGTAAGTGGCGCTATTGATAGGCTATTTCTAATAATTGCCAAGCCAAAGGGGCCTGTCAGTTTCCTCCAATTCAGGTCCAGCGATTTTTCTTAAAGGTTGTTTCCCCCAGCCTTTCTGTACCAGTCAGTCTATGCTCATCCTGGGGTAACTAACTGCTCATAGATCTGCAACCTACTTGGTTCTTCCCTTTATATTTCAGCCTCCTACCTTCTGCCCCAACCTTAAGACTCTCAGATCCTTGGGGATTCAGCATACATTCTCCTTTGTTTCATACCCCTTCACTTGGCTGATGAATCATCTGCCCCTGCCCTTCCCTCCAAGAGTGGTGATCTAAGTCTGACTTGCCAGCCAGTTAGTTGGCTAGAGCTTAAATGTCCCAGAGTTCCTGCTTCCTTGAGTCCTCCAGGCCACATTGGCATGTAAGCAGACATAAGAGATTGTGTGTATGGGTGTGTTTGTGGTGGGGGTGGAGGTGGGAGGTGTAAATTTGTGAATGGTTTCCGTGAGAATATTCAATAGGGATGTTACTTACAGATACTAAAGGGCTAACAAGAAGAAAGAAAATACAAAAACCGTTTGTCTATGGAAAACAAATTTATGTCTGCTTACTCTTTATGGCTAATTTTACCACATACACAATAATAACCATGAGTGTTGTCAAGATGGGTCTGATGAAATTGATTGTAAAGTATATTCACTTACAATGTGCCATTGTGCTCAGCTGTGCTCACACTTGCGTTGATTATTGACTATGGGCTTCTGCCCATGTATTCTGCTCACATGGAAAAAAAAAATTAAGGGGATGTGACTCTAGTCTTTTTGAGATTAACTGCCTAGCTGCCTCCTTTCTTTTCTTTTGGCATCTGTTGGGTAGCTGTATTGAATGGGTCACTGTGGGTACAAAGTACAAGAAAAGAAAGTATATGTAATAAAAGGTGTAAATTTTCCTAAAGCGGCATGAAAATTGTTCCTCAGTACTCAGCATATATAGCTTATATTTACTCCATATGCCTTTTCTCTATTCTGTTTACCACCTTTGATTCCTAGGAGATTAAATCTGCACAAACGTAGATACATACTAATACTATGAACTTTAAAATGTTATTTTCCTTCCTTTATCATCAATGATTATCATTTAGAGTTGTTATGAAGGCTTTGTGACAGAGGTTATACTAAAATTGAAAGTATAAGAACTTACTGAAAATCATGTAAAAATTAGCTATGTTTTTAATGTGGTTTCTCAGATTGATTAATTTATGCAATTGAATTGTTCTACCTCTTGTAAACATACATTCACACTTTGCAAACTTGCACACCTGCAAAGTAAAGTGTGGTGGTATTTGTGATATTATCATTGTTTTATCAAGAATGATAACTCAGCCAGGTTACCCTTTAAATCTCATTTTATAGGCCATTATATATCACCTTCCTGTCTCAATATAGTGGAAATTGATTCCATAAAGGGCTGAAAGGCCAAAGGACTTTAAAGTTAATAATTTAAAAACACATTGGCATTTATGAAGTGTTGTTACATTAATTTGGAAATAGTTTGAAATTGTTATGAAGTTTAACAGTATATGAAAGCACTTCCCCAAAAGATAGATACATCAGTTTGGATACAGTGAATGCTTTTCTTTAGGGAAGTATGTGTCTTTAAAAAATTATTTTTCTCTGAATTGAAAATATGACAAGAATATTCTCTTACAGCTTTCAGTCTGACTTTTAACCAAGATTATAGAACTCATGAAGTAGTCTCTGTTTTCCCCTTTTTCTTTCCTTTTTCACTATCTTCCATTACTTTGTTCCCTCTTCTTGGCATTTATAAGCAATACATGTAATAGGAACCATATCAGGTGCTAGAAATCCAGAGATGAAAGGCCACAATCTCGGTTCTCAAGGGACTAAGTCTAGTTGAAGAGAAAGAAGAATAAAAAAACTAATTACACAGTATTGGTGGTGTAGTGGTCAGGAAAAACTTCTTGGAAGAGGTGGTGATTGAGCTGGAAGGATGAGTGATAGGTGACAAGGAGATAAAATTAATCTTACTTGGGATATTAATAGTTTTGGGATATGATAGCTCTCTTTATAAAAAAAATGGCGAAGTAGAGAAATTGAGGTCCTATCCCTTCATAAAAGCATCTAATGGAGCTGGAAAATACTGTCAGAATTAACTTTTGCGGAACTCTGGAATCTAGTCAAAGCGTATAACAACCAGGGGAAAGCCAAATGAAGAAAGAAGCTGCTGCCTTGCAGTAAGGGAGTTCTCTGGTGTTTCAAATTGCCTGTCTCCCTTTCCCCACACACTAGATTGGAGGCAGCCATGAAGACAGTAGCCTGTACTCCTGGTACAGGATGCCATGTGCCAGATGGAGCAATACAGACCTTATTCTCAAATAATTGTGGTTGTGTGTTTTAATCTGTCTGATAGCTCCCTGAAGGACAGATGTAAGGGCTTACTTCTGTTTTGCCCATCTGACTCAGAATTTGCAGGGATGGGGCAGCTTTCCAGGTGGCATTTACCAAAAGCATTTAAAGGCAAAAGTATTGGCTGTAGCAGCCTGGGACAAGGGATAGCAGTCAACACAAGCAATAGATAGACCAAAAATCCTGGGAAGAAAGAGGGTGGGAAAAAGAGATATGTGGGAGAATGAGGGCTTTTAAAACCCATAATGTAAACCAGGGAATTGAGAAAGCCTTGTACATGCCCAAGACTGGACATGCTCAGAAAAGGCCTGAGAAGACCCTATACTTCTACTTGTTGCTGACTTTCAGGTTTGCCACAAGCAGGAAGTAAAGGCAAAGGAAGTAAAGGCAAACGCAGCATTATAAATGATCTGGGTAAGCATTAAAGGAGTTTCCCAAAACAGAGTCAATATATGGTGCTGTTCCTGGGTTCCTGGGTGCTTGAACCCGTCTCCTGGGTTCAAGCAATTCTCCTGCCTCAGCCTCCTGAGTAGCTGGGATTACAGGCACTCGCTGCCACGTCCAGCTAATTTTGGTATTTTTTTTTTTAGTAGAGACGGGTTTCACCATGTTGGCCAGGATGGTCTCAATCTCCTGACCTTGTGATCTGCCCACCTCAGCCTCCCAAAGTGCTGGGATTACATGCATGAGCCAATGCACCCGGCCTTCTTTCTCTTTTCTTAAAAAAATATTTTTGGGGCCAGGAGTGGTGGCTCAAGCCTGTAATCCCAGCACTTTGGGAGGCTGAGGCGGATGGATCACCTGAGGTCAGGAGTTCGAGACCAGCCTGGTCAACATGGTGAAACCCCATCTCTACTAAAAATACAGAAATTAGCCGGGCATGGTGGTGGGTGCCTGTAATCCCAGCTAATCGGGAGGCTGAGGCAGAAGAACTGCTTGAATCCAGGAAGCAGAGGTTGAGGTGAGCCGAGATCCCTAACACTGCACTCCAGCCTGGGCAACAAGAGTGAAACTCCGTCAAAAAAAAAAAAAAAAAAAAAGTAAGTTACAAGCCAAAAATACGTTAATCTTGTCTTGTGTATTTACCTACATTGTTATCTTTACCGTGTGGTTTTTGTTTGAATTCTAGTTACTGTCTAGTGCAGCCCAGAGGACTCCCTTTAGCATTTCTCCTAGGGAAGATCCAGATCATGGACGAGCATTTAGCCAAAAGGAAAAAGAGATACCCTCTGAGATCTGGGTTGACCAGATAAAGATGGAAATGAATTTACAGGACCTTCATGGCTCAATTACTTGCTTTTCTTGATGACAGGGACTCTAAGTTCACCTGTTCAGGAGCTAAGGGAAGGGTGCACATAGCATGACTAACTCTATGGAATGTTTGAAGTAGTAATTGAGAGTACAAGAGATGGAGGTGAGACAAGAACAGCACCCATATATACACCTATCCAACTCCATCACCTGGCTAGGGATTCATTCCATGATACTGGATATTGTCCTTCCTAAGCTATTGGAAACAAAGGTTCTGTTGGGTCACTACAGTCTGCAGCGCACCGATTTTCCCTGTGGGGAGCGCTGTGCCAAATGAAGCTGGTCCCAGCAAGCCTTGCCGGTCCCAGCCAGCCTTGCGGCACGACTCAGCTTTTCTCTGTGACATGTCGCGGAGTCGCCGGTAGGGTTCGGTGTGGCGAGGGGGACCTGCTTCTCTCTTTGTGAGAACCAGGGAGTGAGGGAGGAAGGAGGCCAAGGAGGAGGCCAGGACTGAGCAAGGACTAAAGTAAGACTGAAAGGGGAGGTGAGGGGTGGACTGGTTGTCGGCAGCAGCCGGTACCGGAAGTGGCGGCAGCAGC
Source organism: Homo sapiens (assembly GCF_000001405.40). Classification (NCBI taxonomy): domain Eukaryota; kingdom Metazoa; phylum Chordata; class Mammalia; order Primates; family Hominidae; genus Homo; species Homo sapiens. The sequence continues at coordinate 124,332,871 of NC_000023.11, forward strand.
TGAGGCGACGCACCGTGAGGCAGCTGCTTGACTAGGCCACAGCCGCCATGGCGATGAATTTTGGGGACCATGCCAGCGGCTTCCGCCACAATGATGTGATCAGGTTCATTAACAATGAAGTCCTCATGGACGGCAGCGGCCCAGCCTTTTACGTGGCCTTCCGCTCGCGGCCGTGGAACGAGGTAGAGGACAGCCTTCAGGCCATTGTGGCCGACTCTCAGGTGCCGCGCGCCATCAAGAGGGCCTGTACCTGGAGCGCTTTGGCTTTGAGCGTGCGAGTGGCCACGAGGCAGCGGGAGGAGCTGCTGCACCACGTTCGGCGGCTGCAAAGGCATGCGGAGGAGCGCCAGGCGACCTCCTGGGCTCTAACGTCCCAGCTGCAGCAGCTGCGCCTGGAGCATGAGGTGGCGGCAACACAGCTGCACCTCGCGCAGGCTGCCCTGCAGCAGGCGCTGAATGAGCGTGATGGGCTGTACGGGAGGCTGCTCCAGATCGAGAGGTTTCCCCAGGCCGCTCCACTGGCCCATGAAATAATGTCTGGGCCGCAAGCAGAGCAGAATGGGGCTGCGGCATGTCCCCTGGCTACAGAGCAGCAGAGCGATATGGTGGCCATGGGGACACATGCTAATGCCCAGATGCCAACCCCGACAGATGTTCTTTATGTGCCAGGACCTCTGAGTCCCTGGGCCCAGGGCATGCAACCCCCTCTGCCAGTGCCACATCCATTCCCACACCCACCACCATTCCCAATGAAATTCCCATCCTTGCCACCTCTACCACCTGCTGTAGTCACGGGGGCAGAAGCAGCAGCAGTCCCACTTCAGATGCCTCCTACTGAGATCCACCCACCTTGCCCGTGGCCTGCAGTGGGCTTCCAGGAGGAGATGGCCCCTCTGTGGTACCAGAGAAGCTACATCCAGGAGGAAGATTCCAAAATCCTTCAGGGGTCATTCCCCTTAGGAGACAGCAGAAGCCACAGCCAGGGAGAAGGTTCAGAGAGGTCCCAAAGAATGCCCCTCCCCGGGGACAGTGGGTGCCACAACCCGCTGTCAGAGAGTCCCCAGGGGACAGCCCCACTGGGGAGCAGCGGATGCCACTCCCAGGAAGAAGGTACAGAAGGACCCCAGGGGATGGATCCCCTGGGGAACAGAGAGAGACAAAATCAGAAAGAAGGTCCAAAGAGGGCCCGGAGGATGCACACCCTGGTGTTTCGCAGGAGCCACAAATCAGAAGGTCCAGAGGGGCCCCAGGGGACGGTCCCCCAGGGAGACAGCAGAAGCTACAGCCAGGAAGGATGTTCAGATAGGGCCCAGGAGATGGCCACCCTGGTGTTTATCAGGAGGTGCAAACCAGAAGGTCCAAAGAGGCCCCAGTGGACTGTCCCCCTGGGGGACAGCAGAAGTCATATCAAGGAAGAAGGCCCAGAGGGGCCCCAGAGGATTGTCCTCCAGGGAGACAACAGGAGCTATAGCCAGGAAGGAAGCCCAGAGAGGGCCCAGGGGATGGCCACCCTGGTGTTTAGCAGGAGCTGCAAACCAGAAGAAGGTCCAGAGAGGCCCCAGGACACTCCCCTGGGGGACAGCAGAAGTCATATCAAGGAAGAAGGCCCAGAGGGGCCCCAGAGGATTGTCCTCCAGGGAGACAACAGGAGCTATAGCCAGGAAGGAAGCCCAGAGAGGGCCCAGGGGATGGCCACCCTGGTGTTTAGCAGGAGCTGCAAACCAGAAGAAGGTCCAGAGAGGCCCCAGGACACTCCCCTGGGGGACAGCAGAAGTCATATCAAGGAAGAAGGCCCAGAGGGGCCCCAGAGGATTGTCCTCCAGGGAGACAACAGAAGCTATAGCCAGGAAGGAAGCCGAGAGAGGGCCCAGGGGATGGCCACCCTGGTGTTTAGCAGGAGCTGCAAACCAGAAGAAGGTCCAGAGAGGCCCCAGGGCACTCCCCTGGGGGACAGCAGGAGCCATGGTGTCAGAGAAAGCCCAAAGAAATGGCAACCTCAGAGGCAGAAGGCCAAGAAACCAAAAGTGAATAAAGTCTCGGGATCCCAGCAGCAGGAGAAGCCTGCCTCATTTCCAGTTCCAGTGAATTGGAAATGCCCATGGTGTAAAGCCATTAATTTTTCATGGCGTACGGCCTGCTATAAATGCAAGAAAGCCTGTGTGCCATTTGAGAGTGGAGGACAAACTCAGTGATTTCAGGAAGGTAAGTAAGAATGGACACACTTCAAAGAGAAAGCAATTTCCTAAGACCCTCTTCTGATTAAAGTATAACTTATTTACTTCACAGAAAAATTGAACCCCAAATTATGGAGAAAATTAAATAAAATAATTTATTATCCCATTACCCAAATTAGCCATTTTAAAAGTTGTTTTGGATACACATACATACAAATATATATGCATTTATATTCTCATGTTATTCATTTACTTGAACAGAGATGGACTACTTTTGATTTCTCCTGATTGCATTTAAATTTTGCAGGTGGTGGATTCTGGATGGCCGATGCTGATTGGTTAATACCCTGGAGAAGCTGAAGTCATGAAGCCTTTTCTTTTCCTTTTTGTTTCACTCCTTTTCCTGAAAAAGCCATGTATGTGGCTGGGAGCAGTTGTGTGATTTTAGAGTTAGAAGATATGTTGAATTTTAGGAACAGTACTTTTCCTTGAAAATGCTGTTATTCCTTTGGAAACAAATTTTAGAATCACCACACTTCCTTGAAAATGCTATTATTCCTTTTGAAACTACTGCAATCTTCATGTTTTCTTCATTTTGCTTTGTTGGTTTTATAGGTGAGGTTCTGTTTTTGTATCTCAGCCCCACCAAACTTGCTTGTTGCTGAAGAAGCTGAACCTGTTCCATTAGAAGATCTTCCAAAGCCAAAAGAAAGTGAGACTGACTGCAGACTTACTGGCTGCAGCAGAGAGGAGTAAGAGGAAGTCAGAGAAGAAGAGATGATTTGACACTCATTGGGGGAAAAGGAAGAGCAGAATTGTTTTGTTAGAATTGAATTTTTCCACTGGGACAAGGAATTAACTTGGAAGAGTTTGGGGGGTTGTGTTCAATTCTGTAGATGGTAGCAACTTTGATGAATTTCGTTTAGTTTGTTAAATAGTTATTGTCTAATATGTGTTAGGAGCTAGACTTATAGGTTATTATTTGGTGCACACATCATAATCCTTGTTGCTGAGTTGGTTAGAAGATAGGAGAGAGCATAATTTGGGATACAAATTAGATCAGGGGTATCTTCTTTGCCTTGCATGTAGTGTTGCCTTAGGTAAAACCAATTTAAATAACATCTAGATCCATTTTTGCAGTTTTGTGGGCAATGTGAAAGAGACTTGCATGAAAGGTCTTGAGTAACCAAACTGCTAGTCTCATTGGTTTGCAGGTGAGACAAATAAGCAGTGGCAAAGTTCAGGAAAGTGGTCTTACAGAAGTGCAGGCAGGGCTTTTCTGATTGTCTGCTGATTTCCTCCTTTGAGAGGGACAGATATTTTCCTGGCTGCCAGTAAGCCTGCCTGAAAGACCACTGGGGTGTCTTGAAGAAAGACAGTGCTCTGAGGAGTATTCACTACACACTCCAGCCCTCAGCCTCGGGCTGCCCCCATTCCAAGTCCCTTTCTAGTCAATAGGTGGATGAAGAACAAAATGGATTTCAAGGACAGACAGACAGACATAAGGGCTGTGGGCTATGGATGGTGTTTCTCTTGAGAGGACTAATTGGGTTAAAAATAAAACTGGACAGGGGCGAGCACTCTTGGGAATGCCCCTGGACCCTTCCTCTTTGGCGTGTTCTCTGCAGGCTCCCCCAAGGCAGCTGCTGCAAGGCAAGGAGGGATCCAGGGTAGAGCTCAGGGATGGTGGGTTAGATCTGCCTCCAGTCCAAGCTAAAGATGTCTTCAAGTTTCCCTGTAAGATCCCGCCCAGCTCACCAAAATCAACCTTTGTCAGGGGTTTTCTGATCCTAACTAGTAATAAAGAGTGTGCACTGGACTGCTGTGTCTTCTGTGTAGTGTGTATCTCAGGGCAAATTTTCTCAGAGGTGGAAGCTTAAATCTTCATCTTTCCTTCATCCCACTGAAGTTCAATCTCATTTACTACCGGAGGGGCCTTCCTCTTATGAGGAATTACCCAAGAATTGGGGGCACTTCTGTAGGACCTTCAATCCATCATGATTGTCCTTTCTATCCTCACAGTCCAAGTCCACATGGTCCCGTGAAGGTTAGCATATCTTCTGCTCCAGGGTGGTGGGGCAGGAGGGGTGAGTTGGGGAGGGTGCTTCTACCTAGGCTTGGAGCTCTGATGCCTGGAAGCCAGCCTTCTGTGTACCAAGAAGCCATTTCCCTGAGATCCTGTCTCCCTGAGGTCCCCTAATGTCCCATGAACAGAAACTTTCCTCCTGCATTTCTGCCTTCCAAGTCACTGTCCCCTCTCCCCTATGCATAATCCTATCAAGTTGTTTAGGATTCTGGAAAACAGCCAGGCTGTAGCCTGTCTGCTCACAAGACAAATGTTCCCTGAGGTGAAGGGGAGTGGAGGCTGGCTACCTGCTTGGTATGGGCACAGGAATGGGGACAGAGAACAAAAGTGACCTTGCCCCGCCAGCATTCTCACTTCCCTCAGAGTCATGATTACTGGGAGGTCCTTGGTTACTTTGGAGGGGAGCACTTCAGAGGAAGGGATCCATTAGGGATGTCAGACCCAAAGCTAGGTTTTCTGGATTGGGGGCTGGTTTTATGATACTCATGTGGGCTGATAGCTCCTTGGAATTTTGGGAAGATGGGATACAGATGAGACTTGGACATGTTTCAGCATAATCCATTTTCGTATACCAGCAGGTCATTCTAGATTTCACTATAGTTGTTTCTTTTATGGCTTCAAAATGGACTCTGTTGTTAATTGGCATGCTTTTAGGCCTTTATAAAAACAGACTCACCCTGTGTATAGCTTTTATATATTTTAATATGATTACACAGTCTTTCAGGGGCAACCTTTTTCAAAACAATATGAATCATTGAGGCTGTCAGATCACTACTCTCTTCCAGGCTGCATACATGCAAGAAAAGGCAGCAGGTTTCTGTGGCATAAACCTGGGCTTTGGAGACAGAGAAAACGAGTTCAACTACTTGATCTATTATTCAGTAGCTGTGTGACCCCAAAGAATTTACTGAATGTCTCTGAGCCCCACAAGTATTAGTTCCCTTTCTCTATCTTCAGGGTTCTGCTCTGGATCCTGTGGTCATGAGTGTATGAGATTATTAATCATAGTAAGAGCTACCATTAGAGTGCTTACTATGTGTTAGGTACTCTAAGGACATTGTCCCTTTTGATGACTGTAAGGTATTATAGGTACCCATATTAATAGTTTTCAAAGTGGGTACTATTGCCCCCAATTTACAGGTGTGGTAATACCCAAATTTGGGACTTAGTGAAGCCTGGCTTCAAAATGAAATTTTACTAGTTCCAATGTCTGTACTCTCCATCATATCACACCACCTAAGGTTTTACCCTTACTGAGGGATACATGTGCATTTTAACAGGGATCATAATACCTAAACCCAAAGAAATGACTGTGATGGAGGGAATTTGAGGTATAGTGGCAGTCTGGTGGTTGTGGAGCTGCTCTTTTAGAATATCTCAAATTTTGCCTGGGTGTGGTAGCTCAAGCCTATAATCCCAGCACTTTGGGAGGCCAAGGTGGGCAGATCACCTGAGGTCAGGAGTTCGAGACCAGCCTGACCAATATGGTGAAACCCCGTCTCTACTAAAAATAGAAAAATTAGCCGGGTGTAGTGGCATGTGCCTTTAGTCCCAGCTACTCAGGAGGCTGAGAGAGGAGAATTGCTGGAACCCGGGAGCTGGAGGTTGCAGTGAGCTGAGATCATGCTACCGCACTCTGGCCTGGGTAACAGAGCAAGACTCAGTCTCATAAAAAAAAAAAATTCCAAATTTTGGGATATGTGATCGATAACCCAGGCTGCCACTGAGTAGGGCCATTTATTGTCTTAGTCACCAAGACTGCAAAATAAGGGCAATGATTTAGGCAGTGGGCATGACTTGTGCTGATTCAGCAGACTGGACTTACGAAAAGTTTATATCTGAGTTTAGTATTAAGATAGGACACATCTTGACTGCTTACCTAAAGTCTGTCTGAATTATTCAGTTTTTGTTTTAAGTGAATAAGGTGGCAGCTGTATAAGTCCAATATACAGTATATATATATATATATTTTTTTTTTTTTCCAGTGAGGAAGGAGGGGAAAATTAGATTTTGAAAACTTCAGGCTCATGTTGCCAAACGGGGATGTTTTTTACATTATGGTGCTAAATCTACAACAGAATGGCAAAGAAACACATAACTTCCTTATCACATGCTTTGTAAAGACTCAACACGGAATGGTAGCGGCTGCTTCTTATGTGGTACAGGTGCTGCACAACACTCTTCAGTGGTTTCTTCACTTCTAGCATGTGATAGAGTCAGTGCATCCACTGGCACTAAAACTCACATACACTTAATGATACTCAACAGCCCTAGCCTGTGACCTTATGAGGTTGCTGTTGAACAGATTTTTCTCATTCTCTATACTGTTTATTCTTTGGTGTTTAAGAAAAGGGTTCAGAAATAGTGAAATAGACATAGTAAGTGTTGCTGCACTGGGTATTAATAATCCCAGGAGACCTAGCACAATTTTTTGAGCACAACTCCCTATTTGGTTCACTGTTGGAGGCACTCTCTTCAATGGACTTAAGAATTACTCTACTAGGTCAGATCCTGGTCCGTCTAGGCTAACTTCTCTGGGGCATAAAGCAATTGTGGAAAAGCACCATATCATCCTGAGTGATAATTTTAAAGGTAAGCAATGCCACTAGAAATCTCTAGCTTATTTTATTACTTTACACATCAAGTAAACAGCATTCATTCAAGGCAGGATTGTTATAAGCTGGGCAATATGCTTCACTCTGTGGAAGTGATCGTTATTACCCTCAGTGACCTTGTATTCTATTAGAAGAAATAAGGTAAATATGCACCAAACAGTTCGCAGTCTTTTCATCAATTGTTCCATCATATTTTTTTGCTTGTAGATGCCAGCTTTTAAAATATTCTGTATGCATGTCAAATGACATCAATTAATAAAAGATTGCTTGTTCATTTAAAATTAAGGAAACCTATATAACTATAAAGTTCTCTCATACAAATTCTTACCAAATATAATTCTAACCTAAAAGCAGCCACTTGCCATTTTTCATTTAGGATTTTGGTGAGGATTCAATGAATTCCATTATTATTATTATTACTATTATTATTATTATTATTACATGCAGCCTAATCCCAGCAAATGGACCATTTTACTAGGCTCTTTGTAAAATTGACAATACCTCAAAATCAATATTACCTTCTTAAAATTCTATGAACCTTGGGAACACAATTTCAGGAACAACCTCTGTAGAAAGCTAGTAGTTTTAATACATGTTAAATGCCAGTGAGTGCTAAAGGATTTTAGAGAAGTGCAGTATATACCATTTTGGGTTCCAAAGCTTCCATGATAGCCAGATGGTTCCGAATTGTGTCTGCAGTCTACAAAAAGGTTGCTAGGAAAATTGGCTTTGTTTTACTTCAAAATAATATGTGGTATTACAGCTTCACTTGAGACATTTTCCAGCACTTTGTTGCTTGTGTCTATATCTGCTATTTTAGATTTTACTCTTTATTCTGCACTACATTATAAAAATAATTTAACACAAGGCAGAAACCTACGATTACTTTTGTGGTAGGCAGCATTAAACCATACCCCAGTGTTTATAAAATGATGACAATGAGCTATCTGAGGATTTTGTCTGTAAGTAAAAGTTACAGGAGATTTAATCTCATTTATTTTTTGCTTGATATATATGTTTATTTTGATAGTTTCAGTGAACCATGTTGGTTCTAGGAAGGAAAAAGATTGGACAAGTATTGAAAATTTCATACCTTTACCACTACAATTCCTGATATCGTCTAGACAGTTTTGTAACTTCAGAACATTTATGACTTGCTTTGTAAAAGGCTCATAGTATTTAACTCCTCGCTGATCAATGATTCTAGCATTTTTTTCATGAAATATTTATTACTGAGAAGGAAAAGCAAAATAATGTCAATGTTGCATATGTAACTACAAAATGCATTTAGAAATTCACCACTAGCTGTTTTGTTTGCTGGGTTATAATATTTCATTTGCATTTATAAAACTGCTTAGGGAAATGTTTATAGTTCGCTTCATTCCATTCCTTCGCGAAATTTTGGTATTTGTGATGTATACATCAAAGTGGTCATCTGTGTTTGAAAACATCAGAGATTTCTTTAAAAATGTTCAGGCAAAAATATATAGACAAAATAAGAGTCTCTTGGACTTTAATCTTTTCGATTAAAGCTCCAGTGGTGGAATTTTATTCTTGAGCTTTCAAGAAAGAGAACAGATTTTTTAGATGAAAAGCCGCAGACTCATTTACAAAGACGTAATATTTTCTTGTGCTGATAGCATACCCTGAGGGCCCCCACCCAGGATAAAGAGAGGCGGAAAGAAGATTCTGTCGCGATCCAAAGGCAACTGGTTGATGAGGCCAAATAAGTACATGATGATTTATTTGTGTGTCAGGTGCCAAGGTGTGGGATGTGAAGAGTTATATCTATAAACCAAAATGAGGCAGACCACAGGGTAGACGTTGGTAAGTGATGAATGTGAAAGAAGTCAATGTCAGAAATGATATACTTCTTGAGGCAAATTAGAAGCCACATTCTCTGCAGAGGGTTCTCTCTATAAAGGGAAAAAAGAGGGGGAAAGGAAGGGAGCTAACTAGGTGCCAGGTACTCTTTTAGGTTCTGGGTGTGCTAAGAGGAATATGACATCATCTCTGTCTTCCGGGAGTTCACAGGCTAGTAGGAGAAAATAATATTGTGTATTTGTTAGGCTCCAGGCACACCGCATATACCATCACATCTATCTTCATGGAAAAAGATAAAAACTAATGAGGAGTGGCCTTCATTTGGTCTAGAAAACATTCAAAAAGGAGAATGGGGTGATAAGACCTTATCTGTGTATCCAGGTCTTCCCAGGAGAGAAAATATCCGTATCACTTTAAAAACAAAACAAAACAAACCAACCAAACCCAAACTACTCAGTGTTCTGTTACTTTGGATGGATGAGCTTATGATCCTGTTTCCAGACCCATAAACCCAGGAAACAAAACTTGACTGTGAACTGAAGACCCTTCCAAGACATAGTAAATAAAGAGAATGAGGCTAAAATAGTATATCTGATTTGATAAGACATATAGTTATATATAGACATGCTATGAGTCAGGGCATGGGACCAGTTGACACTTGAAATGTAAGAAGAATATTCTAGAAGTCCAGATTACAGTCGCTAGATAGGAGACTGAAGCCTGAGCAATCCAGTGCAGTGACCTCAGAATTAATGTTGGGAGGCAGAAGAGGATAGTGGTGAAGTGCACAGGCTCTGCAGTCAGTGGCCTGTGTTCATATCCTGGGCCTGACATTGACCAGTTGTGCCACCTTGAATAGGCTACCTAGGTTCTCTGGGTTTCAGTTTCTTTGTCGGTAAAATGAGACTAATAATAGTATTTGCTTCACAGGGTTGTTGATATAAATAAATGAGATAATACATTCAAAGTGCTTAGCAGGATGCCTGGAATATAGTATGCAGTTAACAAATATTAGCTGTTGCTATTATTCCGAGAATGAAACCTCAGAAGCATGCAGAGTTTCAGCTAGAATGAGGGAACTTCCTTTGAGTCACGAAGGAGGCAAAATTCGTGCAATAAAAAAAAAAAAACCTGTACACAGCAGACAGAAAGATAAAAACACTTTCCATCTCGAATAGATTGTGCGAGTTAGAATATAAGTTGAGTTAGATATGCCACTACTATGTCCCTAGAGCCCCATCCTTTCCTCTATCTCAGCTCTTGTTAAGTGAATTATAATTGTCTGTTTGCTTGTCTGTCTTCTTCACTGGACCTATGAGCTACTTAGGGGCAGATACTGTACTTTTCTGTAACCTAAGTACCTACTATAATGTCTGGCATATGGTAGATGCTCATAAGTGTTGGTTGAAATAATAAAAATATTTAAGACAGGCTTAAATAAACACACACAACAACCCTGTCTCTGGCTTCTCACTTAAAAAGGGCATTTAGAAAGATTGGCCTCATAGGTAAACCCAGAGATTATCAAAAGGAGGTGCTCTTTTGTAAAAAAAACAATTTTTTTCTTTAATCATTTTTGTAAAGGAAGTGAATTTTAGTAAGTGCTGAGAGAATGTGTAAACTCACCACAGGTAACACTGTCATAACACTGTCACAGGAGAATTCACACCTATAAATGAGCTAGTGGAAGAACAAAGTTAGTTTTGAAAGGTCAGAGAAAAAGATTTTGAAATGTCAGAGCCACTCTATAAAACTGACCACCCTTGGCATCATTCTTTTAATCTACCTGGGTTTGAGAATAGCCTAGGGCATTTGAAATGAAGACAATTAGCACCTCAGACAGGGCTTCCACATGCAAAATTCTGTCACCTCTCAGAGACCTCAGGAGTTGACAAGTTTGGTTAAGAAGATACTTTCAACCTTGGCTGGCAGTTTTTCTAAAATTTCAATGCTTTTATAATCTGATTTAAATGGCATCTATATTCTAAAAGGTTGTAACTGTGAAGCTCTCTTCCTCCATTCTATGATTTTCCCCCTTAAGTTATTGTAAAATGTCAAGAATGAAAATATTTCCTTTATTGAGGGAGATTGAGGAAACAGGTCTTTGTTCTTGTGCACAAATAAGTTCAATTCATTTCCCCTCTGTTTCTCTCTAAAACACATTTGGCTTTTGTTTAGAGAATAGAATGTTAAACCTAGACGTGACCTTAGGGGTCATCTGGTTCAATTCCATTTGACAGATGGAGAAAATGAGACTCAGAGAGAAGTGATTTAGTGGCAAAACATGGCATATATTTCAACTCTCCTACTTACTGGACTACTGCTCCTTCCAATTCATCTTGTCATTTCAAAGACGACCATAGGCATGTAGAACCAATATTGTGTGTGTGTGTGTGTGTGTGTGCGTGAGTGTAAAAGAGAATTTCAGTATTTTTTCTTTTATTGAGAGCATTAAGTTCATTCATTCATTCATTCACACAACAAATATATATAGCACCTACTACTTGCCAGACACAGGATACAGTGGTGAGCAAAGTACACAAAATCCCTCCATCATGGACCTTACATTCTAGTGGGGGACACAGACGATAAACCATTAATTAAATAATTCTGCTCCTAAGTGGTTTATACTTGTACTTGGGGTCCATTCTTCCTAACTCTTTCTCTGTTGGTGCCTCTACTATCTCCATTGCTCTCCTCTTTCATTTTCTCCCATTTCCTCTCGTGTGTATGGGGAGAGAAGGAAGAGAGTCATTTCAATTCCTCTTTTCTCTACGCTTCAAGCTCAGTGTGAAGTTTTGAATTTGCTAAAGTCAGGTTTAGTACTGGTGTAGGATTAGAGTGAAGATGTCAGTATTTTTCATCAACACTGCACTAGTGGGCTGGCTCGGCTGGCTCAGCTGTCAGCTTGCTTGTAAGATGACAATGAGGTACTGGATGTGAAAGTTGTACTATTACCTTATAATTTATCTGTTTTTTAGTGCAATTTTAGTTGTGCTGAACCCCGTCATACCTGGCTGCTTTGACAGGTGTGCTATTTTAGCAACATGGAACAAAACAGAGAAAGAAAAAAAGAGTGCATGGTACGCTTGTGCTGTCAGATCCAGGTTGCTCTGTTCCTAAGTTTATGGATGATTTGTTCAGAGTTGTTAAGAGACAAAAAAAGGTTAGGTTTTGTTTTCACTTATGTGACACTGAATGTTCTCACAGTTCACCTCACAGGTCAGCTGTTGCTCATATGGACTGATATAAAGGGATCCCTTTCCCTGTCTCCTTTCTATTTGAAATTCCACCATTTTGATTAATTCCTCTGGGCTAACCATTTGCCTGCTCAATATATGGAGAGCCCAAGGTGGACAACCTTTCAAATCCTTAATGTTGGAGTATGCATTCATATATCAGATTAATTTCTTCCTTGATCCAAAGCATGAAAAGGGGTAAGAGGTGGAGTTGGTCAAAAACATGTGAGGAAGGAAGATGATAAAATAATATTGGTCCCATTCCCCAGAGCCATCCCCAAATGTCACCTTGAATGCTTTAAAAAAAAATTCTTAATGCTGAAAATGACTAGTAGGAGACTTATGTTTATACTTTGCATACTAAGGCTGGACACTCTTCAATCAAGAAGAAAAGTTGCTACCAGCTACCACTGAAATCTTAGAGGATTGTTCTTAATCCTAGTAGATGAAGAGCAAATATCTGCCTTTGGTGCAAGTCAGCTCTGTACATCCAATCCATTGGTAAGACATGTGAGGAATTAAGTGTCGTTCTCGCTATTGAGTTCCCAGCCTTGCCATATTCTCAAAGAACTACACACTGAAGTTGCAGAAAGCATATAATAGACGACATAGCTTCAGTTATTTAAATTCAAATTTTAAAAGTACTTTACATAATCTAAAGGTACATGTACAAGACCATTCAGCTTCAGCAATAAATAAAGTCTTACTCTAGTGAAAATGCAGGAAGCTTTGCGGAAATATTACCTAGCACATTTTGAAATAGAAGCAATGTTTTATTTCAGAGAAGAAAATGAAGGTTGAAAGGTTTTAAAATATTAAAGACAGTTTAGCCTCAATCGAAGAAATAACATTTTCTAGAAACAACAGAGAATAAAAGTTACAACAAAATTATCAACAACTTGCAAATGATTCAAAACAGATTTTATGGACAAAATGCTGAAAGGTGGGCCCTGTACACCAAAGGGCACATACAAATCCACATAAAGGCAAAGCACCAGTTAAATGATTCACAGTCTCATCTAAAGCCCATCAAATAGATACATCTGGAACATCTTTGGATGTACATTGTGACTTTTGTATCTCAACTAGCACTTTGGGACCTTGGACAAGGTGTTAGGAAAGAAATCAATATTTGCTCAGGATCAAGACTTCTCAAGATGACTGCGTGAGGTAGAAGGAAGAGGGAGAAGAAGAACTTGCCCAGAGTTCACTGTTCATCTACTATGTCTGATTCTGTAGGAGTCTTCATGGCCATGTTCAGTAATGATTGCATACTGACAGTACTGATAAAACTATCAGTGTTTTGTTCTCAGAGCTCTTGGTCCTTTCATTTTGTCAGTGTGTTTTTGCCCTACGTAGTGGGTCCACATACCAACAGAGACATGTACAACTTGCCTCTATCATCAACTCCTTATGGGCTAGTTGAGCTAAGTTATTCCTGGTGGCCTCTGAGTAAACCGCAAGAACAGAAGCATTACTAAGCATCCCCGTCTGAGTGCAAGGGTGTGTGTTGGCAGTACAGCCCCAATCTTGCAAAATCCTTCTTCCAATGTTCCTCCCCTCTCTGTATGAACCCTGTGTTGGGGGGCAGAAGATGGAAGCCCTTGGCAAGCTCGATCGAACCAAGCTACTAAATTGCTGAGCTCGTTTTAACTGAAGTGTGAGAAGGAGGTTTAAGGCAAGTAGACAACATCCTGTTGTTGGGGTGCTTCTCTCTTTTTTGCACATCTGGCTGAACTGGGAGTCAGGTGGTTGACTTGTGCCTGGCTGCAGTAGCAGCGGCATCTCCCTTGCACAGTTCTCCTCCTCGGCCTGCCCAAGAGTCCACCAGGCCATGGACGCAGTGGCTGTGTATCATGGCAAAATCAGCAGGGAAACCGGCGAGAAGCTCCTGCTTGCCACTGGGCTGGATGGCAGCTATTTGCTGAGGGACAGCGAGAGCGTGCCAGGCGTGTACTGCCTATGTGTGCTGTGAGTATGATACGGTGGACATGGGCCTGCTGAGGGTGTGGGCGGTGGGCAACAGCAGCTGGGGCCAGGGTGGAGGCCGAGGCAGGCAGGGGCGCCGGCGTTAGCAGCTCGCCGACGCCTCCTCCGTGGCCCACCCTCAAGTCCAGCCCAGGGCCGTGGTGGAACACACTTTCGCCTCAATCCCTCGCTGGGGATTTCATTCCCTGGGCCTCCTGCTCTCCAGAAGGCCCTCACCAGAGCCTTTTGGGGCAGCTGCAGAGAATGCCATTTCGGGTGGTGAAATGTGGTCCACAGTTTACCTTCGCTCCGGGAAAGACCCAGGCTCCCCACTTCCATTTTGACCCCTATCGGGTGGCGCCCTGCGAGCCTTACTCTAGCTCTCTTTAAACGACTTTTGAAGTGTCATCCCAAAGGAAGAGCATGACATTCAGAGAGAGGAGGCACATTAAGAAACAGAGTCAATTACTTTAAGAATGCAATGCCAGTTAGGTCGAGATGCTGAGAGAGGAGGGGGATGTGTGTCAGTAAAATCACCTCTCTGGATCTGCTGATGTAGCATCCTTTAGAAAAGTAGTGGGGGGTGGGGAGGGGCAGGGGATTTCAGAAATAGGACCCTTCTTGATAAACGTTAGGACTCACAATAGTCTTAAAGGGAATGGAGGGAAAACACCCTTGTTATGATTCAGCTTTGCCATTTGCCTAGGCATGTCTCATTCTAAGGCTTCATTTTGAATCAAATTCATCTGCGTCTTTGCTCCAGGGCTCCGGAGTCAGGCAGATCTGAGACTTTGTCCTGTGCTCGTCAGATGTTAGGTTTGTGACTTGGGCAAATTAACCTCTCAGTTCCCCAGTTTTCTTATCCATTGAATAGGTATCATATTACTGCCTACCTCATAGGATTGTAAGATTAAGTGCCATAATGCAGTAAAAAAATTAGCACTGGGGCCTGACACCTAGTAAATGTTCAATAAATGTAAGCTATTGGTATTATTATTATACCAAAGATATATTATTATTTTATCTTCTCTTTTCAGTTGATTTCTTTTAGGAATCATGGGGGCATTTCTAAGGAAGGACCTAGCTCAGGCATTATTGTCAGCAGGATAAAAAAAAAAATCCATGAAAACAGCAGCCCTGCATTGTAGGTTCTAGACAGAAACCAAATGAGGTTAAATGCTTGGTAGTAAGTTCAGCATCTGATAATACCCCACAAGAGTTTGAAATACCTTATGGGTCAGTGAAGAAAGATTATCCTGATGCTGGTGCTAGAAGATTTTTCACTGTATATTGTTTTTTAAAAACGGTCAAGCCTTGTTTGTGGCAGCTCTCAGGTCATGCTAAATACATTTTTCACAAAGGCTTCAAGGGAAATACGTGGAAGCTATTGAATGTCTTGGGCTTGAATCTTTATGTTTTGCTTATATAATTATTGTTCCCGTGTGGAACCTAGGGAAGGGCAATGAAAACCAGCTAGGATTCTTAGGCTCTTTTCTCATTGAAAGAAGGTGGAGTGAGTGGGTGGGTGAAAGGCGCTGCTTTAGGGAAGCTGACAAAGGAGATAACATGCTCCTTAACCCAAAGGTGAAAAAGAATGTACAAAACAAGTCTGGGCAGGGGAGGGACAACAGGGTATAGTGAGAGGCAAGATATACCTAAGGCTTCAGCCTCACGGGGCTCCTGGCCGTTTCTCAAGCTCCTCAAAAATGCCCCCACTTAGGATTTCTGCGCTTATTGTTCCTTCTGCCCAAAATACCTTCAGTTCACATGTTTGTTCAACTGTCTCCTCCCTCAGAGAGGACTTGCTTGACCACCTATCTAGAACAAGTGCCCTCTCCCTGTCCCTGATACACTCACTCCATCTCTTTATTTTTCTTCAAAGAGCTTTAAACTATCTGATAATTTGCTTGTTTACCTACTTATTGCTGGGCTGTCCTGCAAAAATATAATCTCCATGAGGGCGGAGATACTGTCTCCATCACCAGAAACACAGGAACACATAATAGGCACTCAGCAGATATTTTTGAATTAACAAACTGTCAAGGCAAATTCTGTTCTTTACTGCAATAAACGGAATGGCCATTGAGAGGTTAGGGTATGGACTCTGGGAAAGTCACTCAAATTCTCTGGGACTCAGTTTCCATATTTATAAAACAGGAATAGTAATGTGTATCCTACCTTCTGCAAAAGATTGCCTTAAGTACCTTATGCAAGAGAGAAGGGCAGCTTTAGACTTTTGCCTATGTAGGCCGGAACCACATGAGGAATTAACTTAGGCAGGTGAGAAATTATCAAGCATTTAAGTTTTCGCCCAAAGTGAATCTTGCATAAATGCAGTTTTTATGACTCTTAGTTCTCCATGAAAACCTCCTTGTGAAGTAGCGGAAAATACTAGACAAATTGGGAGTTCCCTTACGGTGTCTTTCAAATGGTACACTGGGGCCTCAAAGTCTTATGTGACTGTTAGGGTGATAGCCAGAATGTGCTGCAGAGGGAAGATATGAGGATACATTGCCTTTTATCAGTTTCTCAATGTTTTTGAGTTGAGTGTCCCTTTTGATAAATGTAAAAATTTCATTCCCTCTTTTTGGTGCTACACTGTAATTATAAAATCAGATTTTATTTAGAAATAAACCACGTACTCATTTTAAACCAGAACACTTATGATATGCAGTCGAAATAACAATATAAGTGGTATCATATACACATGGACAACAAGGTATAGCTGACAAACATGCATTGATTGTAGGGTTTACTCAGAATGGTTTCTCATTCTATCTTTTGTTTACTCCTATTAACCAAGAAGATTTAATTGAGCTATAGTTTTTATATTTTTATTGTAGAGATAATACATTTCATATGCCTTCAAACTGTACTTTAAACTGTACTTTCAAACGATGCTTGCCCTTTTCCCCAGTTCTGAACCTCCTAATCATGGCTTTCAGATATGGCCTTTTCTTCTGTTCTGATTTAGAAAATCGAAAATTGAACTGCTTCATAAAGCACTAAAGGAGTTTTCCATTTATAGGATTGCTCACCTTCATTTTAAGTAATAAGTATTTCTTTCAATTACTTTCTCTAAATAAATATAGATTTTTGTATAAGTCTATTAAAAATAGTTCCTTATACCTATTCATTATAGAAAATTTGAAACATATAGATAATAGAAATTAGAGAAAAATCATCTATAGTTTTATAACCTAAAGATGACTATTGCTAAAAATTAGGTGAATTTTCTTCTATATTTTAATAAGATGAATTGCTTTTTGAGCACGTGTGCTCTTACAATTGTATTCTTACGAGTGACGTATTTGACTACTAAAAAGTTTGATTTTTGTATGCGTCAAAAAAAGTAAGGGCAAACACCAAATGTTATATATTTATATATATATAAATATCTAATATATATAATATATAAATATATAATATAAAATATATAATATATAAATATATATTATATAATATTATATAATATATAATATATAAATATATATTATATATAATATTATATAATATATAATATATAAATATATATTATATATAATATTATATAATATATAATATATAAATATATATTATATATAATATTATATAATATATAATATATAAATATATATTATATACTATATATAATATATAAATATATATTATATACTATATATAATATATAAATATATATTATATACTATATATAATATATAAATATATATTATATACTATATATAATATATAAATATATATTATATACTATATATAATATATAATATATACTATATTATATATAGTATATTATATACTATATTATATAGTATAATATAGAATATATTATATATTGTATATAAGATAATATATTATATATTGTATATAAGATATAATATATTATATATTGTATATAAGATATAATATATTATATATTGTATATAAGATAATATATTATATATTGTATATAAGATATAATATATTATATATTGTATATAAGATATAATATATTATATATTGTATATAAGATATAATATATTATATATTGTATATAAGATATAATATATTATATATTGTATATAAGATATAATATATTATATATTGTATATAAGATATAATATATTATATATTGTATATAAGATATAATATATTATATATTGTATATAAGATATATTATATATTGTATATAAGATATAATATATTATATATTGTATATAAGATATAATATATTATATATATATTATAAATATGTATATTTTTATATATTATTATAAATATATATATTTTATATATATTATTATAAATATATATTTTTATATATATTATTATAAATATATATTTATATATATTTATATATAAATTTACATGTGTTAAAAATATGATTGTGTTCTTGTATTCTTACAATTGTATACGTTTCCCATTTCCCACTTAATATGAAAAAAATACACTCATATGTAATGTTCTTAGAGACAACTTTAAGATGTTATTTTTAATGGCTGCATGGTAGTCCAGCTAGCTAGTAAGTATACCATATTTTGCTTAGCCAGTCACCTACTTTTAGACATTTGACTCATTCCATATTTTTGTTATTATAAATTCCATCAGGATGTATATTTCAGTACATTAAAGTTTCCTTGCATTTATGATTATTTCCTTAGAATGAATTTCCAGTGTGGAATTTCTAGGTCAGAAAACATAAACAGCTTAGGATTCTTGATATATACATGATCATGAGATATTTTCCCTAAATGGTTATTCCAATTTACATGCTCACCTGTAATGCATCAGTGTCCATTTCACCACACCCTCACTAGAAGTGGGTATTGTAGTTAAGAAAATTTTCCCTTGACATTTGGCCTGTTATTCTTTATTTTATATTTACACTCTATCTCTTTATTTTCCACATTTTATATTCCTTTGGTTAGTGACTGTCATTTTATATGGTTGTTAAGCTGTTGTATTTCCTCCCATGATTTGGCTTTTTGTGTATTTTTCTCATTTAACCAGTTGAATCATACTTTTTTTAAACACACTCTATGTGTATATATATATATGTGCACTAATCCTTGATCTATTGCAAGGTATCCTTTCGAAGTTTGGTGTTTGCCCTTACTTTTTTGACACATACAAAAATCAAACTTTTTTAACACATTGTAAATTTATATATATACTAATCCTTGATCTGTTGCAAGGTATGTTTTCTAAGTTTGGTGTTTGCCCTTACTTTTTTTGACACATACAAAAATCAAACTTTTTAGTAGTCAAATACGTCACTCGTTTTCTTTGTGTTTGATTTCTTCCTTGGCTAGAAAGTCCTTTCCCCTTGAGATATGTCATAAAACTTCACTGCAGTTTTTGTTTTAAATTACGGTTTTGTTAGTTTACATTTACCTCTTTAATTCCATTTGGAGTTGTATTTTGATGTGGATAAAAGATCTAATTTGATTTTGTTTCCAGATAGCTAGCAATTGTCCTAATATAATTTATAAATACAACTTCCATTCTTCATTGATTTGCTAGCCGACTTTACCATATATTAAATTCTTATATATAACAGTTACTGTTTCTGGACTATCTATTTGTCTCAATTGATCCATTTATTCTTGCACTGATAGCACTATAGTATGATAATGTTTTAATATATTTTAAAAATTATTTGCTATTCTTATCTGTTGGTTCTTCAAAATGAAATCTAGAATCATTTTATTAAGTTAAAAAAAATTCATTGGACCAAATGTTTTAGCTCTCACATGCCAGTGAGAACACATGATATTTGTCTTTCTGTGCCTGGCTTATTTCACTTCACATAATGACTTCCAGTTCTATTTACATTTCTGCAAATAACAGGATTTCATTCTTTTTAATGGCCAGATAGTATTCAATTGTATATGCATAGCACATTTTCTTTATCCATTCATCTGTTGCTGGACTCTTCTATATCTTGGCTACTGTAAATAGTACTGTGATAAATGTATGGGCGCAAGTATCCCTTTGATATATTGATTTCCTTTCCTTTTGATAGATACCCTGTAGTGGGATTCCTCAATCATATGGAGATAGAGAGTAAAATGATAGTTACCAGAGGTTGGGAAGGGTGGAAGGCGATGAAGAGAGGTTGGCTAATGGGTACAAACAGACAGTTAGATAGAAGAAATAGGTTCTAGTGTTCAGTCGCACAGTACGGTGACTATAGTTAACAATATCTTATGTATTTTGAAATAGCTAGAAGAGAGTACTTGAAATGTTCTTACATATAGAAATGATAAATGTTTGAGGTGATAAATATCCTAAATATTCAAATCCCCTGATTTGATTATTACAATGCATACATGTGTTGAAACATCACACTGTACCCCATGAATATGTACAATTATTATGTATCAAAAATTTTTTTGAAAACACCATTGGGGTTACATTAAATTTATTAATAAACTAAGAATGAATTGTCATCTTTAAATAATTTAGTCTTCCCTTCCCATAACATAAGTCTCTCCATTTATAATTTTTTTGTTTATATCCATCAATCAAGTTTTATAGTTTTCTTTTTGTATGTCTTATACATTTTTTGTTATTTCGAGTTATTGTGTGTATGAATGTGTATGCTGATTTTTAAAAATCATAAATGGGATCTGTTTCCACTATATTTTCTGTTTCATAGGAAAGCTACTGATTTTATGTTCTGTTCTTGTATTTATCCAGTGTACTGAATGCTCTTATTAATGCAGATAGTTTTTTTTTTAAGTTTATTCCCTTTGTTTTTTTTAGATACATCAAGTTTCTTTTCACTGAGGTACATATGTTCTCTCACATTTCTTCCCTTCTCACCCTCAATGTAGACAGCCATTGGGAAAGTTCTGACTGCCCAGTGGGATTGATGGTGATAAGACGAGAACTAATTTAAAATATTTAAAATAATTAGCTCAAAAAATAGTTTATTTCCATAGTTGGCATCCTTCTGGACATATCTGCCTTTGTTTGCTACTTATCTGATGGAAGATTTGGAAGAAGAAATGCTGTTATAATTCTTTAGCTTCAAGGACACATAATGAAGTCATTTGACATGTATGTCTTTAGATAAATGCATAATTATCTTTTTGTCCTTTAAGTTTTAAAGGGACAACTGGGAATAAAGTGCCTGTCAAACAACTGAACTGGAGAAATGGGGGAGGAGCAGTGATGAAATAAAATTCCAGTTTATCAGTTGCAATAAAGGGGAACAGTGTGGCAAAGAACTTGAAATTATAACTTAACTTCATTTAGTGAGAAATTACAACTTGCATTTAGTTTTTGAATTCAATTGGATATGTGCCTTGGTGCCACATTTATCTTCATGATAACTTAGGCCACCAACATTATTTTCAATTTCCTGAATACAATCCAGTGGTAAAGTGAGCCTGAAAGCCAGCCTAGGATTGTTTGCCACATATAAACCACCGAATGGATAATTCACGGCAAATAAGCCAAGTACTGACTCTGGTTGACAATGTAAAATTAAAGTTGCAAGATTAGCCTGAAGATGTCATTTAGCTTAAGCAAAGGGGGAGTCTGGGTTGATCTCTTTCGGGCTCTCCCCACCTGGCCTCTTCCCTTCAGCTCCCTCCACTGCCCTCCTTCTCTCAGTGGACAGTTCTAGCTCCATGTCCAAGCAGATTCCCTCCCTTTTTGAGAATTGTGCTTTTGGAATTGTCTTAAAGACCAATTTGTTAATACATTCCCTCTAGTATAAGAGAGGGGCAGCACAGAATGGTGGTTAAGAGCCCAGATCTTCCAGCCAGATCTCTGGGTGTGCATCCCAGCTCTGACCCTTAACTAGCTATTTTCCCTTGGGCAGGTTACTTTAACTTTCTGTGTCTCAGGTTTCTTACCTGTAAAACGGCAGATGGTGATAATGAGAGTACTTACCTCACAGGGTTGTTATGATGATTATGACATGAGTTAATATTTGTAAAGTTAACATGTAATATGTGTTTTTTAATATGAATAAAAGCTCTATAAATAATTGTAATACAAAGTTAGAACATCATAAGTATACGTAAATAAAACTTGATATGGAAGTTCAGGGGAAGAAGTGGTTATATTTATTTTCATGACTCATCAAAATATCACATAGTTTTACCATCACACTTGAAGTTGAATGACTTTCAACTGTTTCAAAAATTAAAATTCTCTCTGAAAGAATAAAGTTTGGGCCATTGTAAGTTTGGAAAGCTCTTGAATCAGAGTATAGTCTCAAAAATAATGGCTTTGTGTAGGATACTATTCCTCTGGATATAAAAGTTCTGAAACGTTTGTTAAAAATCATTATAGTTGTGTCTTGAATTTTGTATGTAGCATTAGTTCGTATAGACGTAGAGGGCATAGGTACTGGCTTGCTTTATTTGAAATGTCATGAAGAAGTCAGATGTAGCTAAATGTTTTCTTTTGTGTAGTACTTGACGTGGTATAAAAAAGGAATTGATGTGGATTTGTCAGTTCTAAACCAGGATCTGTCCCCAACACTGACCCACTGAGAAAATAAGAAATAAGTCAGGTTGGTTGCTTCTTGCTTCTTGTCCATTTCTAACCTGGACACTTTTTTACAGTTAGGGACAACTTTTGATGAAATAAAGACAAATTTCAATATCAGCAGAGACTAGATTAACACATGCTTTATAGTAATTAAAATAAATTAAAGGCAATGATAAAACTCCACCGTTCTTTAACAATTATTCATGTTCTGATTTTTTTGGTGATACATTTTAAACTCTAGGATTATCAAAAAGTCCAAAAAAGCTTTAATGAGGGAAGGAAGTTAAAAGTACACTACATTGCTGGTTTGTCTGTATTAAGGGAGGGAGTCAGAGGAAATATAATCCTGAAGGGGATGTAACAATTTAAAAAAATGAATTACATTTTTATGAGTTGTGATTTGCTTAGGCTAGGTTTGTAAGGCTCCAAATTGTAATTCTGCTTGTTTTTCTTAAAAAATTAGTCACTTAAATAACTACATGAAAAAATAACATGCAAGAATGCATTTACGTTAGTTTAAATTTACTTCTAGTTTATATACACACAGGGACAGACAGTTTTGAATAGTTGTAATCAGAGTGGCATCCCCTTGTGCCCACTTTTTACACATACTGTCATTTTATTTTTTTAT
Source organism: Homo sapiens (assembly GCF_000001405.40). Taxonomy (NCBI): domain Eukaryota; kingdom Metazoa; phylum Chordata; class Mammalia; order Primates; family Hominidae; genus Homo; species Homo sapiens. Next base: position 124,355,895 of record NC_000023.11, read on the forward strand.
TTTTATTTTTTGTTTTGTGTGTGTTTTTTTTAATACTTTAAGTTCTAGGGTACATGTGCACAACGTGCAGGTTTGTTACATATGTATACATGTGCCATGTTGGTGTGCTGCACCCATTAACTCATCATTTACATTAGGTATATCTCCTAATGCTATCCCTCCCCCCACCCCAGGACAGGCCCCAGTGTGTGATGTTCCCCTTCCTGTGTCCAAGTGTTCTAATTGTTCAATTCCCACCTATGAGTGAGAACATGCAGTGTTTGGTTTTCTGTCCTTGCGATAGTTTGCTGAGAATGATCGTTTCCAGCTTCATCCATGTCCCTACAAAGGACATGAACTCATCCTTTTTTATGGCTGCATAGTATTCCATGGTGTATATGTGCCACATTTTCTTAATCCAGTCTATCATTGATGGACATTTGGGTTGGTTCCAAGTCTTTGCTATTACACATGCTATCATTTTATGTCAACATAGTCCACATACTTAAAGTTTTCTGGAAAACCTAAGACTCTAACATTTTTGAATTTTGGCATAAGATTTTATTTGTTTATTTATTTATTTATATTTTTTGAGACGGAGTCTCTCTCTGTCGCCCAGCCTGGAGTGCAGTGGTGTGATCTCAGCTCACTGCAACCCCTGCCTTCCAGGCTCAAGCGATTCTCCTGCCTCAGCCTCCTGTGTGGCTGGGATTACAGGTGCGTGCCACCACACCCAGCAGTTTTTTGTTTGTTTGTTTTGTATTTTTAGTAGAGACAGGGTTTCACCATGTTGGCCAGGCTGGTCTCGAACTCCTGACCTTGTGATCCACCCACTTCAGCCTCCCAGAGTGCTGGGATTACAGGCGTGAGCCATCGTGCCCAGCCAGCATTAACATTGTAAACCTTCACCTTTGACATAGAAAGTGTAATTTTGAACCATTGTTTCTGCTATAATTCCTTTATTTTTCCCTAATTTATATATTTATTTCTAAACTGGCAAAATTGTATATATGTATTGTGTATGACATGATGCTTTGAAATATGTATACATGTGTAATAGCTAAATTGGGATAATTAGCATATGCATTACCTCACATACTTACATTTTGTGATGAGAACACTTAAAATCTACTCTCTTAGCAACTTTCAAGAATACAATACATTGTTTTTAACTATAGTTGCCACGTTGTACAATAGATCTCTTGAACTTTTTCCTCCTAACCTAAATCTTTTATCCTTTGACCCAAATTTCCCAATCCCCACCCTGCACGCCCCTACGAGCCCCTGGTAGCCACCCACCATTCTACTCTTGGCTTGTATTAGTTCAACTTTTTAAGATCCCATGTATAACTGAAACTACGCGGTATTTGTTTCTCTGCGCATAGCTTATTTCACTTTACAAACTGTCCTCCATATTCATCCATGTTGTTGCAAATGACAAGATTTCCTTTGTGTTTAAGGCTGAATAGTATTCCATTGTGTATATACAACATATTTTCTTTATCCATTCATCTGTTGATAGACATGTAGGTTGATTGCATTATGTCTTGGCTATTGTGAATAATGCTGCAATATACATGAAAGTGCAGATTTCTCCTTGACATGATGATTTCATTTCCTTTTGATATATACCCAGCAGTGGGATTGCTGGATCATATGGTGGTTCTATCTTTAATTTTTTGAAGAACTTTCATACCGTTTTTTATAATGGCTGTACTAATTTATATTCCCACCAACAGTGTGCAAGGGTTCCCTTCTCTCTGCATCCTCTCTTGTTGTCTTGTTTTTGATAATAACCATCCTAACAGGTGTGAAATGATATCTCATTGTGGTTTCATTTGCATTTTTCTGATGATTAGTGAGGTTGAGCATTTTTTCACATACCTGTTGGTCATTTGTATATTTTCTTTTGAGAAATGTCTATTCTGGTCCTTTGCCCATTTTTATTTTATTTTATTTTTTTTGCAATGGTGTCTCGGTCTGTCGCCCAGGCTGGAGTGCAGTGGCGCGATCTTGGCTCGCTGCAAACTCCACCTCCCAGGTTCATGCCATTCTCCTGCCTCAGACTCCCGAGTAGCTGCCTTTGCCCATTTTTAAATGGGATTATTTGTTTTCTTTCTATTGAGTAATTTGAGTCTCTTATATATTTTGGATATTAACTCCTTATCATATGTATGGTTTGCAAATATATTCTCCCATTCTGTAGGTTGTCTCTTCACTCTGTTGTTTCCTTTGCTGTTCAGAAGCTTTTTAGTTTGTTGTAATCCCATTTATCTATTTCTGCTTTTGATGTCTGTGCTTTTGGGGTTATACCCAAAAACAATTCCCTTATTTTGAGCAATTATTCCTTATTTAGGGGTGCTTAGGTTAGTTCCATTTTTTTCACTATTAAAATAGGGCTAGTATGAAAATCTTTGTCAAATTGCGTTTTCCTCTTGACTTGTTTCCTTGGAGTGTATGAAGATAAGCAAGGTTATGCAGTCAAAAATATGTATGGTTTTATAGGTCTCGTTATATAACTTGCCAGTTTGAATAGCGATTTTCCATGGACAGGGACAGAGTATGTTTTGTTTGAAAAGGCATATTCAATATTTTAGTTTAATTTTATGTTACAAAATTACTGGTTTATAATAGAAGCTATAGAAAATAAAACTAAGAAATATTATTGGGGAAGAAAGGAAAAAATGGTTCAGAAACACTGTCCTGTGAAGACTGAAATGATTGACAAACCTTCAGCTTATACTAAAATAAAATTGCATTCTTAAAGCATAGACTGAATGACTACGGAGGAGGTGGCACAGAACTGCCCTGGGCAGGTGGAAGAAGCCAGGTTGACAACAGGGAAGTTGCCATCAATATTCCCAATGAGATGTGGGCATTCGCTTTACATTTTAATCAGTCCTTCTGTAACTTTAATGTTCATACAAATCACCTGGGCATCTTACTAAAATCCAGATTCTGATTTAACAGGTCTGGGTGGGGCCTGGAAGTCTACATTTCTAACAAGCTCCCAGGTGATGTTGATGCTGTTGTCCTGGGAATGCAATTTGAGTTGCACTGTTTTAGATCTCTTCCTTGTATGACATATTATAGTAAGAGTTGACTACAGGGGATCCTTGGTCAGTTACTTCAGTAACTTGAAAGTGAAAGATATAAACTGCTGGCCTATTTGAGGGGTGAAACAATTTTGCTCATTCAGAAATTGGAGGGGTTGTGGGGAGAAGGAAATTGTTAATATTAGATGAGTTAATCATGAGAAGTTTTATGTACCATTCACACCAGGTTGTTCAGAGACTGAAGGAGGTACGAAGTTTTGAAGTGGTACTCAGGTTCCTGCTACTTAACTGAAAGTGAGATAAGATCAGATTCGTTAGGAAACAATTCTCAAAACAGACTCATTTACTTTGACTAAATGCGTCTGAATGATAGTAGGGAGATAGAGTCATTGTATTTTTTAGAGACCCACTGTTTTAGAAAGTGGAAAACTTGTTGCTTACCATTCTGCTTATCTTGTTGCTGAGATTTTAAATAATGAATCTCCACATCACCCTTATGATACTGAATTATTGCCATTAATCATTTCTCATAGGGAAAATGGAACTAAGAACCTATGCTGTTTCACTGCTTCCATCTCCATTTTGCTATGTGGCTTTAAGAAAATCACTTAAAGGCTTATGTTGAGTTCCCATGGTGAAAAATGGAAATCAAAGCTCTTGCCTTGTTCCCCATAGAGTACTTGCTGAAGTTAGTGGGCTTTGAGGTAGATTTCAAGTGTTTAAAAAGACAAAAGACTTTAACATTGTAATATTGTATATTTATTCAGCATATTATATATAGGCATATATCAAGCTATTTTATATATGATCTAAATATTCTGGCAATCCTTCGTAAAAAATAAAACATCATATAATCCACATCAGTAGTTAAATTGACCTTTTGTTCAGTGTCACGAATCAAGTAAATCTGAATAGTGTGTTTCAGATTTGTTTTGGCCCTTTAGGTAATCAGTTCTGATGCATATTGATGAAAGATATAGTAATTTTTTTTTTTAGATGGAGTCTCACTCTTGTCGCCCAGGCTGGAGTGCAATGGTGCGATCTCAGCGCACCGTAACCTCTACCTCCTAGGTTCAAGTGATTCTCCTGCTCCAGCCTCCCGAGTAGCTGGGATTACAGGTGCCCACCACCACGCTAGGCTAATTTTTGTATTTTTAGTAGAAATGGGGTTTCACCATGTTGGCCAGGCTAGTCTCGAACTCCTGACCTCAGGTGATCTGCCCACCTCAGCCACCCAAAGTGCTGGGATTACAGGCGTGAGCCTAATTTAATTCACATATTTAAATACTTTTATTTCCAAAGGAGGTTAATGGTAAATGTGATCATCAAGTCAAGCATGACACTCTGCTTGTAAACACATTGATTTTAACCAGAGTTCAGTGCATGTCCTGGCTAGGTGTGGTGGCTCACACCTGTAATCCTACTACTTTGGGAGGCCTAGGTGGGAGGATAGCTTGAGGCCAGGAGTTCAAGACCGTCGTGGTCAACAGAGCAAGACCCTGTCTCTGCAAAAACTAAAAAAAAAAAAAAAAAAAAAAAAAAATTAGCTAGGCACAGCAGTGTGCAACTGTAGTGGCAGCTACTCAGGAGGCTAAGGCAGGAGGGCAAGGCTGCAGTAAGCTATGATCACCCTACTGTACTCCAGCCTGGGTGACAGAGCAAGACACCATTAAAAAAAAAAAAAAAAAAAAAAAAGCATGTGTCCTAACCAAAAGATCTCTATTGACCCAAACTTGTGCCCAAGAATAGCAATCAGAAAATTTATGAAATGAATGATTTAGATTCACATTCAATTGATTCACAATTGATTTTGATTCACATTCAAAAACTGAAACAATTCATTATAAAGTTTACCTTACTGTTTTATGAGGTAAAATTTTATTAGGCAAATTAAGTAGGATTACTATATATACTAAAATATAACAAATAATCTATATCCAGTACAGTGTGGGGATCAGGAACTGGGGATCTAGAATCAAATGGGCCTGATTCAAATCCCATTTTTGCTTCTTAATCTCTAGACTGATTTTGGTTACTTAACATCTCAAAGTCTCAGTTTCCCCATCTATAAAATAAATATTACAACATAAACCTAATAGGATTTTTGTGGGGTCCAAAGGAGATAATGCATGTGCTAGAAACTTAACTTTTTATCCTCCTAAATTCACACGTTTAAACCCTTACCTCCAATATGCTTGTATTTGGAGATAGGACCTCTAGGAGGTAATTAATGATAAATGAGATCATAAGGATGGGGCTGTAATCTGATAAATTTGGTGACCTTATGAGAAGAGGAAGAATGCATGTACAAAGAAGAGGTCATATGAGCACACAGCAAGAAGGCGGCTGTCTACAAGCCAAGAGAAGAGGCTTCAGAATGAAACATACCTTACCAGCACCTTGATCTTGGACTTCCCAGTCTCCAGAATTGTGAGAAATAAATTTCTGTTGTTTAAGCCACCCTGTCTATGGTATCTTGTTATGGCAGCCTGAACAGACCAATACAGATTTTGGTACTGAGAGGAGGAGTATTGCTGTAACAAATACCTAAAAATGTGGAAGTGGCCTTAGAACTAGGTAATGAGTAGAGGCTGGAGGAGTTTTAAGGTGTATGCTAGAAAAAAGCATAGACGGCTGTGAACAGAATGTTGGTAGAACTATGGATGTTGCAGGTTATTCTGATGAGGTCTCAGATGGAAATCAGCAACATGTTACTGCAAAATGGGAGAAAGGTGTTCCTTGTTATAAATGGTAAAGAACTTGACTGAACTGTGTTCTAGTATTTTGTGGAAGGTGGAATTTGTTGAGTAAAAAAATTGACTTTTTATCTGAGGAGATTTCTGAGCAAAAAGTTGAAGGAGTGGCTCAGTCCCTCCTGACTGCTTATGGTAAAATACAAAAGGAGAGAGATGAATTGAAGAAGGAATTGTTAAGCAAAAGGGAACTGGAACTTAAACATTTGGAAAATTCTGAGCCTTTATGTATTGCAATAAATGAGGAAGCTTGTTCTGGAGACAACACTAAGGGTGTGGCTGGACTATCTGTCACTACTTAAGATTACTTATGATGTTAACCAGCCATCTGAGCAGAAGTCAGGAATAGAGTTTGGAAAAAAGCAGCAGAAATATTACCAGTTTGGACCAAAGAGAACAGGACAGTATGGTATAGTTATTTGGCTGCAAACATGGTTTATCTTTCAAGAAAAGGGAAGAACGACCCTGAGGGTGATTCAGAGATAACCAGGGCTGCCATTCCTACTATAGGCCCAAAGTGCACAGGCCTGGAGGGTAAGGCTGCCTCTACCTTGGTTTCAAAAAGTGAGACTGACATCCAACAGAGCCACATAGGTGGGGCCATCACCCTAGCCAAAGGATGTGGCCACCTTACAGAGCTGTGGGGGTGATGCTGCTTTTCCAGTGAACCTGAAGGGCAGAATATTGAATCGAAGAGGATTATTCTTGAGCCTTAAGAGCTAATGGAGTTTGCCTTGCTAGGTTTTGGACTTGCTTGGGACCTGTGACCCCTTTATTTCTTCCAATTTCTCCCTTTTGGAATGGGAATGTCTATCCTCTTCCTGTAGCACCATTATATTTTGGAAGCACATAGCTTGTCTGGTTTCATAGTTTCACAGCTGAAAATAAATTTTGCCTCAAGATGAATAATACTGCTAGTCTCACCCACATCTAATTTTATTTAGATGAGACTTTGGACTTTAGATTTTAAGTTGATGCTAGAATGAGTTAATTTCTTTTGAGGCCGTTGGGATGGTATAAGTGTGAGAAGGACATGAGTTTTGGGGGTCGAGAGTGGAATGATATAGACTGAATTGTGTTCCCCCATAATATGTTTAAGCTCTAACTTCCAACATGACTGTAATTGGAGATAGGGGGTAATTAAGGTTAAATGAGTTAAATCATAAGGGTGGGGCTCTAATCTGATAGGATAATCATAAGTGTGGGGCTCCAATCTGATAGGATTGGGGGCCTTATTACAACAGAAAAGGCTGTCTGAGTACACAGCAAGAGGTCAGCTACTCACAAGGCAAGAGAAGAGGGCTCAAAATGAAACTTATGTTGCTGGCACCTCGATCTTGGACTTTCCAGCCTCCAGAACTGTGAGAAAGTAAATTTCTTTTATTTATGCCATTCAAGGTATGGTATTTTGTTATGGCAGCCAAGCAGACTAATACAGCAAGTAAAACTCTTGGCATGTAGTAGAAATCAATTAGACAAATATACAATATAGATATAAACTGAGTAATGGGAAGGAATGTTTACCCCATTTAAAAGGATAAGCTGCTTTTAGGAAAATAAAGTTACAACTAAGGCACTTTGGAGATAGTCCTAGTTTACAGAATTTTAGAGTTGCTCTTCCACAAAAGTATAATTTAAAACAAGCAGCACTTGTTTTTAATTCATATATTTTTTACTATTACTTCATTTATAATATATTATAGGGTAATATAGTAATACAGTCATGTGCAATATAGCAACATTTTCCTTAACGACGAACAGCATATACAATGGTGGTCCCATAAGATTATAATGGAGCTGAAAAATTCCTACCACCTACTGATGTTGTAGCCATTGTAATGCCACAGCACAATGAATTACTTATGTATTTGTGATGACACTGGTATAAACAAACCGACTGTGCTGTCAGCTGTATAATAGTATAGCACAGGCCAGGTGTGATGGCTCGCACCTATAATCCCAGCACTGTGGGAGGCTGAGGTGGGTGGATCACCTGAGGTCAGGAGTTCAAGACCAGCCTGACCAATATGGTGAAATTCTGTCTCTACTAAAAATACAAAAATTAGCCAGCCATGGTGGCATGCACCTGTAGCCTCAGCTACTCGGGAGGCTGAAACAGAATTGCTTGAACCCGGGAGGCGGAGGTTGCAGTGAGCTGAGATTGCACCACTGCACTCCAGCCTGGGCAACAGAGCGAGACTCTATCTCAAAAAAAAAAAAAAAAAAAAAAAAAAGAAAGAAAAAGAAAAAGAAAAAAATGTATAGCACAGACAATTACATACAGTACACAATACTTGATAATGATAACAAATTACTGTGTTACTGGTTTATGTATTTACTGTACTATACATTTTATCATTATTTTAAAATCTACTCCTACTTATATAAAAAAAAGTTAGCTGTAAAACAGCCTCGGGCAGGTCCCTCAGGAGGTATTCCAGAAGGCATTCTGGAATATGAATATCATAGGAGATGACAGCTCCGTGTGTGTGACTGCACCTGAAGATCCTGCAGTGGGATAAGATGTGGAGGTGGAAGACAGTGATACTGATGATCCTGACCCTCTCTGTAGGCCTAGGCTAATGTGCGTATTTGTGTTTTAGTTTTTAACAAAAAAGTTTAAATAGCAAAGAATACATAAAATAAAAATTTTGAAACAGAGAAAAGCTTATGGAATAAGGATATAAAGAAAAACAGTTTTGTACAGCTGTACAATGTGTTTGTGTTTTAAGCGAAGTGTTATAAAAGAGTCAAAAAGTTTAAAAAAATTTACAAGTTTATAAAGTAAAAGAGTTGAAGCTAAGATTAATTTATTATTGAAGCGATACAGTTTTTTTTTTTTGAGACAATCTCGCTCCGTCACCCAGGCTGGAGTGCAGTGGCGTGATCTCGTCTCACTGCAACCTCCGCCTCCTGAGTTCAAGCGATTCTCCTGCCTCAGTGCCTCAGCCTCCCAAGTAGCTGGGACTACAGGTGCGTGCCACCATGCCTGGCTAAGTTTTTGTATTTTTAGTAGAGATGGGGTTTCGTTGTGTTAACCAGGATGGTCTCGATCTCCTGACCTCGTGATCTGGGAAATATAAATATTTTAAAATAAATTTAGTGTAGCCTAAGTTTACAGTGTTCATAACATTCTAGTAGTGTAATGTCCTAGGCCTTCACATTCACTCACCACTCACTCATTGACTCACCCAGAGCAATTTCCAGTCCTGCAAGCTCCATTCATGGTAAGTACTCTCAACAGGTATAGCATTCTTTATCTTTTATACTATATTTTACTGTGCCTTTTCTATGTTTAGATAGGTTTAGATACACAAATACCATTATGTTACAATTGCATACAGTATTCTGTACAGTAACATGCTGTACAGGTTTGTAGCCTGGAGTAATAGGCTATACCACATAGCCTAGGTGGTATACCATATAGGTTTGTGTAAGTACAGTCTATGATGTTTGCACAACAACGAAATCACCTAATGATGCACTTCTCATAATGTATCCCCCTTGGTAAGTGATGCATGACTGTGGCAATATTATATTGCTATACATTATAATAGTAATTTTATAAAAATATAGTTATATTCAATTTATAGTATTATATCCTTATACTATTGCCATTATATTTATAACAAATATTATTAATATTAATAATTATTTATGTGGGCCTGATAGTGTATTATCCCAGTGAAATGTTTTCACCTTAAGTTTCGATATGTACTTAAAAATAAGTCTATTGTTTGTTAAAACTATCTAATAATTCATGGTTTTATCAATTACAACAGGTCCCTGTTGTAGTTTCTTTCTGTCCAAATGGTCTCTCAACTTGACAAATCTTTAGGAGCATGAATTTCCATATTTCAAAAAATGAAAAGATAAAGAAATCTCACTGGAAACTGTGGTTGGGCAGATACAATATGGAGACAAGTTAGATTCACTATGCTTTACTTCCTATGAATGCAATGACACCATATACGTGTGTCCTAGTATATGTGACATTTATATGTAATATTAAGCTCAAATTTAAAGTATCCATTGTTCTTTTGGAATCTTTCAGTAATGGAAGTTTATTCTTTCACAGGTATCACGGTTACATTTATACATACCGAGTGTCCCAGACAGAAACAGGTTCTTGGAGTGCTGAGGTATAGTTGTATTTATTTTTGCTTCTGGGGGTGTCAAGGAGGTATTTGAAATTTAGGCTGGTTTTATAAAAGAGCAAATTATACATTATTAAGTATTCATAAGGTTTAAATCTCTAAAGCTCCAATCCAAAATTGTTCATGGATCATTAAGAAAGCTTTAGAGAATTTTGGTCCCAGTCCTGTTTAGCCATCATTTTGCAGAGTTGTATGACTTTGGGAGAAAGATAAAAAAGTTGAAGAATTATGTCAAACTTTTAGTGACTATGTGAAATCTTAGCATATCAAAAGTAGGTAAAATAATTAAATGAACAATTATTTACCAAATGATACCAATATGAGTATTGGTATCGTGGGAGATTAAAAAACATGATGCTTATTTTCTAAGAGACTACAATATACTTGGGAAGTTATAACTTGAAATTAAACAGTTATGAGTGGAAGAAACTAGGCTTTGTCAACAGGTGAATCTGGGTTCCAGGTCTGGTCTCCCCTCCTCTCTGATAGGTCTATGATCTTGGGCAGGTTACTTGACTTTTCTGTGAGCCAGTTTCTTCATTTGTAAACGGAGCCTAAGAATCCTCCCTTATGCACAAGGCTCAATTTGAAAAGTAAATAAGATAACACACATAAAGAAGCTGTTTGCCACAAGGCCTGGCACACAGTGAGCCCTCAAAAAAGTGAACTCCTGAAAATTGCCACAACTCCTATTAATAACTCAATCTGTGCATTTAAAATTTTCTGAAGTCTAGACTTCAAGAAGTTAAAATAGCTCTCACGTTTACTGATTTATCAGTAAGTTGGAAAGTATAAATTACAGACCACAAATGTTTTGAACCACTGAGATGAATTAGGCCAAGTTTTCAAACACACTTTTGCTGTATTATGTAAGGATCATTAAAACTATAATACTAACTAAAGATAAAGTTATACCATTTCTAATTGAAACTATTTATACCTGTTTATTTAAAAAATTCTCTGTATCACTGCAGAGATGATTGAATAAGAAATTAAACTTTATTATGAAGAAAGTTATGTGTAAAATATACTGACAAACACACACACACACACACACACACACACACACACACACACACACGTTTGTATATTATTTCGCCAGAAATAGCTCTTCTCCCCAGAGAAATACCCTTCAGCTGCTGAAGAATATTATGTAAGGAAAGGATCTTAAATGCTTAGGGTTTAACAACTTTGTTTTTCAACTTGTTTTCCTGCATTTTGAGTATAACATCATATGAGATTGTTACATGCTTGTGATCATGTTAAAGAAGAGAGGGCTTATTGAACACAAATGCCCCCTCATCCTGTTGTCTGATCTGACGTTGTTTATGTAATAATATTGTAATTTTCTGCACCAAGAGAGCAGAAGATTGGCATGACATCCGCAAATAGAAAATAGTTTAAAAAATTCTTTAATTTTTGAAATGCATATTGCATTTTTTTCTATCTACTAAATTTACCTTCTTAGCAGTGCTTTTCTAAGGTGAAAATTAAACTAGTGTATATTCTCAGAGCTCATACCACCTGACTGGAAAAAATTTCTCTAGAGCATATTGAAGACCAGCTGTGATCTAATACATGTTTCCATGGATAACTAAGAGGTGACAGTATGGGAGATTTGCAAATTTGAAGAATAGCTGAGTTCAGTGACAGGATGAGAGTTGTCAGTGGTACAATTCTTGTGATAAATGTATTTTCGAAACTGGGTAAATGATAGATATTAATACTGATTTTTGGAACAATGTTTTAGTTTGCCATGCTGCAGGAAAAATCAAGGCAGTAGCATGCCACCATCTGTGCATATATTATGCTAGAAATCTAGGTAAGTGAGATTTGTTTTAAAGAGTGTAATGAAATCAAACCCTGGCCCCACTGAATTATGAAAGACAGATATCATGTGTTTTTCTAGTTTTAGAGAGACTTTTAGGTTAAATCTTTGCCTAGTGTATTATCTTATATGACTCAGACTAAAAGTTTGTTACATTGTTAATTTAGATAATTCCACAATCTACTTTCATTTATTAATATGTGATTTGTTGGCAATACATTATTAAAAATGTACTGACATCACCCTGTTGACATCAGTGTCTTCAGGCTTTACTGGGTATATGATCAGGAGATCAGCAGATGTTAAATAATTGTCCTTATTAATCTAAGTAAAACACTGTAAAATAGGCCAGTCATTTGCTTATGAAACATCAGATCCCCAATTCAAATAGCTTCCATACTTCCAGTGCTATTATTCATTTCTGTTAGCATGGATAATCAAGTGTTAGCTACATATCAGTACCCATAAAAATGTTGCTTCTCTGTTTTGTTTTGTTTTGAGACAGAGTCTCACTCTGTCGCTCAGGCTGGAGTGGTGGAATGGCCCGATCTCGGCTCACTGTAACCTCTGCCTCCCAGGTTCAAGTGAGTCCTGTGCCTCAGCTTCCCAAGTAGCCGGGATTGCCACCACACCTGGCTAATTTTCATATTTTTAGTAAAGCCAGGCTTTCACCATGTTGCCCAGGCTGGTCTTGAACTCCTGACTTCAGGTGGTCCGCCGGTCTCAGCCTCCCAAAATGCTGGGATTACAGGTGTGAGCCACTGTGCCCGGCTATGCTTCTGTTGATAAATGACTTTACAAGCCACAAGAAGCTAAAAAGATGTGTGGTTTGAAATCTTTCCACACTTTAGGTGTGTATAGTTTTTCTTCTGTTTGATGACCCTAGCTTCGCTAGATCCTGTTTGGCCCAGTTCTAATCTGAAAGGCAAGAGACTGGGTCCTGGGATTCTGAGCCAGTTCTGCCTCTGGTTGTCTGTGTGACTTTGGGCAAGCTGATTAATTTCTTTGCATTCATATTTTCTTATCTGTCAAATGGGAATAACTGAATCAGCCAATAACTGCCATTTTGTGAGGAAATAGTGAAGGCAAGAGATAGGAATGTGCTTTGAAAATGAAAAAGTGCACTGAGGAAAGTATAAGGAGGCAATTTGTGCCTATGACCTGCATTTGCAATTTGGAGACTCTATCTTGGAACCAACGAACTGTTTGGACTTCTGCAAGAATGGCCATGTTATTTTGGATGAGTTCTCAATCGAGCTTTAGGAAGGTGGAGGGTAGGTGAGAGAGTGGGGTGGAGCTGGGTGAGAGAGTGTTCTACATCTACTGTGAACATATGGGGGAACACTAATATAGAGCTAAAAAGAATTTTTGTCATGTTTTCAATGAAAAATTACCCCAACATAAGGAAATGACTGAGAGTTACTATGGATAGTGTAGTATGCTATCTTCAGCATACCACTATCTAGCTGACAGAAGTCTTCATGCTCGCCTTCATGTTTTCTCATTAAATGCTAAAAAAACAAACAGCTCCCACCTCAAAAATCTACCAGATGGAATAGCTGAAAAACAACTTAAAAAAAAAACTAGTCATTGTTCAATTGCTCATAGCAATACTATTTTATTTTACGTAAAATGACAGGTTTGAGCTGATGCCTGAAGCTTGGCTCATAAGCTTTTGCAGGAAATTGTTGTTGATTTCAGGCAGTGTCTTTGCAAGACAACTGATGTCAGGAAAGGAACACATTTTAATAGTCACCTGCAAATAACTGTCTCTTTAAAAACACACAAATAAATAAATAAAGGTGACCTTATATAGTCTTTCATTTTCATGTCATAGAGAAAACCTTGTTACAGTGACGTGCTGATGGAGAGAACAATTTTGGGAGTATAGGGAAGTTTCCCAAGGAGGAAAAAATTTAATGTGAAGAATGGCGCAGGAAATATTGTGAGGTGAAAGAGTATGAGGACTGAACTAGCCGTGCACTGTGTGCATCATAACAGCCAATTTTTAATTTCCTGTGTAGCATTTTATATTGTGGGATGATGGCAGGGAGGATGGGTTGTTGGTTTTTCTTTTGTTGTTGTTCCTCAGGCTTTTTATTAATGACCTGTAGGATCTGTTTTTTTGTTTTTGTTTTTGTTTTTTCCTGTTTAACTGCATCCCCTCTGTTGGTGAATTCATTGTGGGTAATGGCCTGTATACCCTTAGAGGTTTGAGATGTCTGATGGGGAGCAGGCAGGAAGGGCAGGGCAATGAGCAAGAGCTTGTACAAACTAATACCACCTTTGGGAGAACTGAAATGACAGCTCATTAGCTCCTCTTGCAGGGAAATTCAGCCAACCAAAGTAAGCTCTTCTGGAATGTTGTTTTTCCTTCTTCCTTATGTTTTCAAATATTTCAACAAGTTACACAAATGTTACTTCTCTTAGCATCCCTAGCACATTTTGTAGGTCTTTTTGTATCATTATGAGATAGGTAAATAATTTGCTTGGCCTTTTATTTTCCAGACAGCACCTGGGGTACATAAAAGATATTTCCGGAAAATAAAAAATCTCATTTCAGCATTTCAGAAGCCAGATCAAGGCATTGTAATACCTCTGCAGTATCCAGTTGAGAAGAAGTCCTCAGCTAGAAGTACACAAGGTACTACAGGTATGATTTCCTCTTAATTTTTGACAGGGTTTGGAAGCTCAGAGTTATGAGTCAACCTGTTCATAACCATATAATCAATTAGAAGTTATGTAAGAAAAATGCAGTGAGAAAGTAGATGTAGCCAGCAAGTCAAATGAGAGGTGACAATTTATGTGCTATAATTTTCATCTATTATTCTAATAACTTTTAATAAATCTCTGTAAAAACATCAAAAATTCTATAAGCCCATAACATTTTAACTGCTCTTGTCTGTCTCATCTTGTTCTTTCCTGTCCCTTTAATAGGTAGCTAAGTATGATTTCACTTCACTAATTCAGACACAAATAATGTGAAAGATGGTATAATTCAGAGAACACCTGGGCTGTCCTTTATCTTTGCTTAGTAAACTGTTTTTTCCTTCAGGGACATGAAAGCTAACGTTAGCCTGGCACACATGATTCTGATTTCTGAATTGGTGGTGCTTGAATTAATGACATTTTTCTGAAGCAAAGGAAATTAAATAGTGCACTTTATTGTTCCACTGGCACATATTGTTACATATCCTGAGCAAACCTATTTTAGTGTATGTGTCGTGCTAAAGACTGAATACCAGCCAATGTCTGTAGCTATCTGATACGTGACTGTTTACTCCTCTATTGAATGGGGTTTATCATTTGTTTGGAGTAAGAGGATAGGCCTTGATTGAAACAATAAATATTTATGATAAAAGAAAACGAGTCCCTTTTTGACAGGGACCTAGGCTCAGGCATAAACTGACAATTAGACTCAAGTGGTGAATTAAATTAATGAATAGTTAGCCTTTATAATACAAATGCAAATAGAGCTCTAATTTCCAAGTTGGCTAGTTGTTTTTTTCTGCCTAATATTCCATTCTTTATAACTCAGTTTTAAATAATAGTTGCTTGAGGTATATTACTGTGTTGTGTCATTGTGAGTTTTATGCAGTTGGAAATTTTATAAGTTTGAGTTAATCTGTAATTTTAATAGTTTGTAAGTTTATTTTTTCTTGATTTTTGTTATTTTTCTTTAGGGATAAGAGAAGATCCTGATGTCTGCCTGAAAGCCCCATGAAGAAAAATAAAACACCTTGTACTTTATTTTCTATAATTTAAATATATGCTAAGTCTTATATATTGTAGATAATACAGTTCGGTGAGCTACAAATGCATTTCTAAAGCCATTGTAGTCCTGTAATGGAAGCATCTAGCATGTCGTCAAAGCTGAAATGGACTTTTGTACATAGTGAGGAGCTTTGAAACGAGGATTGGGAAAAAGTAATTCCGTAGGTTATTTTCAGTTATTATATTTACAAATGGGAAACAAAAGGATAATGAATACTTTATAAAGGATTAATGTCAATTCTTGCCAAATATAAATAAAAATAATCCTCAGTTTTTGTGAAAAGCTCCATTTTTAGTGAAATATTATTTTATAGCTACTAATTTTAAAATGTCTTGCTTGATTGTATGGTGGGAAGTTGGCTGGTGTCCCTTGTCTTTGCCAAGTTCTCCACTAGCTATGGTGTCATAGGCTCTTTTGGGATTTTTGAAGCTGTATACTGTGTGCTAAAACAAGCACTAAACAAAGAGTGAAGGATTTATGTTTAATTCTGAAAGCAACCTTCTTGCCTAGTGTTCTGATATTGGACAGTAAAATCCACAGACCAACCTGGAGTTGAAAATCTTATAATTTAAAATATGCTCTAAACATGTTTATCGTATTTGATGCTACAGGATTTGAAATTGTATTACAAATCCAATGAAATGAGTTTTTCTTTTCATTTACCTCTGCCCCAGTTGTTTCTACTACATGGAAGACCTCATTTTGAAGGGAAATTTCAGCAGCTGCAGCTCATGAGTAACTGATTTGTAACAAGCCTCCTTTTAAAGTAACCCTACAAAACCACTGGAAAGTTTATGGTTGTATTATTTTTTAAAAAAATTCCAAGTGATTGAAACCTACACGAGATACAGAATTTTATGCGGCATTTTCTTCTCACATTTATATTTTTGTGATTTTGTGATTGATTATATGTCACTTTGCTACAGGGCTCACAGAATTCATTCACTCAACAAACATAATAGGGCGCTGAGGGCATAGAAGTAAAAACACCTGGTCCCTGCTCTCAGTTCACTGTCTTGTTGGACGAGAAAACAATAACGATAAAAGACAGTGAAAGAAAATAACGATAAAAGACAGTGAAAGAAAATAACAATAAAAGACAAGGAAAAAATAACAATGAAAGTTGATAAGTACATGATAAGCGAGGTTCCCCGTGTGTAGGTAGATCTGGTCTTTAGAGGCAGATAGATAGGTCAGTGCAAATACTCTGGTCCATGGGCCATATGAAAAGGCTAAGCTTCACTGTAAAATAATAACTGGGAATTCTGGATTGTGTATGGGTGTTGGTGAACTTGGTTTTAATTAGTGAACTGCTGAGAGACAGAGCTATTCTCCATGTACTGGCAAGACCTGATTTCTGAGCATTTAATATGGATGCCGTGGGAGTACAAAAGTGGAGTGTGGCCTGAGTAATGCATTATGGGTGGTTTACCATTTCTTGAGGTAAAAGCATCACATGAACTTGTAAAGGAATTTAAAAATCCTACTTTCATAATAAGTTGCATAGGTTTAATAATTTTTAATTATATGGCTTGAGTTTAAATTGTAATAGGCGTAACTAATTTTAACTCTATAATGTGTTCATTCTGGAATAATCCTAAACATATGAATTATGTTTGCATGTTCACTTCCAAGAGCCTTTTTTTGAAAAAAAGCTTTTTTTGAATCATCAAGTCTTTCACATTTAAATAAAGTGTTTGAAAGCTTTATTTACCTAATTTGTCTTGAAATATTCCTTATAATTCCTTATAAAATATTCAGAGACTGATGCTATTAATAAACCAAATAAAGGATTGATGATTATCTTATCGGAGTGATTCCCTGGAAAAGGTAAGTGCTTTTCTGATTTTATTGCTGTCCAAGTTCCCGGTTGATGAGCCTACTTCCTGTCTTCTTTGGCTGGCCTTTTATTCATCAAGTTTTTTTTTTTTTTTTTCACCTTTTCTTTCCCAACATGAGCATCCTTGCTATTTTCCAGTACGTAATCACTTGCACCTTTACAGAAAGGTCATATCCTTGCTGTATCTAAAATATTGCCATGCTAACATATTGTAAGATGCTGAGTCAAGGTAGAAAAATGCACAATATATTTCCAAGTGTGCAGCTCTCTTCAGAAAAAAAAAAAGTGTGTCAGCAAGCCCAAAAGGAACATGACAGCTTATCAAATACTTATTCATTTCCTCTGAAATTTGTTCTTAAGAGATAAGGTCAGTAGGGAGACAAGCTTAGGTAATTGTCTGTTTGGCTGTTACAGGCAGGGAACCTTTGTGGTAGTGCACAGGTAGAATAAGTCTATAGAGAATGCCTCTGATTAAGTCCTCTGCTATAAATAAAGGGCTGGATTTAAGATATTCTTTCGGGTAGAATGGACACAGAATTAAAAATGTGAGAAACAGCTTTAAACTCTGTTAATAATGTTTCAACATCAGCTTATGTTTTATTTGATTCACTTCGTTAAGCTTAGAATCCAAAGTCTACTACTAGTAAAACCCAGATTTGCCCTTGAGCATTTCAAGGTTATAGGATGCCTGGTCTTCCTGTTAGGATGCTATACATTCAACTTTGACACCTATGTTTTCTCTTGCAGTAAATGGGATACCACTATTTTGTAGTTTGCAACTAGGGGGGAAGTTAAACTACCCAGTTTGGACATTTTCCTAATTTGGGGTGATTGGCCAAACTTGTAGTAAAAGGCTGAATTCTTATCATTAGGTCATTTAGTTCTTAAATGAAGATTTTTTTTTTAATGTAGCAAGATATAATAAGGCTGACTAACTGGATAGAGTCCATTAACATATATGGAATTGAGATATATATATACATCTTGGTTGCACACATACACGCAGAAATAGAACTGTTTTCTCACAAGATGACAAAAGGCTATACTACGTATCACATTCAGTATTGGACAGAGAGAGTAAAAGCAGGAATGCATAAGAACTGATTTTTTTTTCTTTTTCTTTTTTTAGTCACCTGGTGGGCCATTTAAACATTTTATTTATTTATTTTTTAATTTTTATTTTACTTTAAGTTCTGGGATGCATGCGCTGAATGTGCAGATTTGTTACATAGGTTACATGTGCCATGGTGGTTTGCTGCACCATCAACCCGTCATCTAAGTTTTAAGCTCTGCACGCATTAGGTATTTGTCCCAATGCTCTCCCTCCCCTTGCCGCCCACCGCCTGACAGGCCCCAGTGTGTGATGTTCCCCTCCCTGTGTCTATGTGTTCTCATTGTTCAACTCCCACTGTTTTTCATCTTTGTCACTGATTATCCACGTGACCTTAGGTAAGTCAGTCTGTTACTGTTACTGCATTTGCCAAGTAGGAATAATTAAGTCGTACTAACCTCACAAGATTATTAAGGTACAATAATTTACATATATGTGTGTGCGTAATTACATATATGTATAACTTTAAGGTAGTAATATTACTGAATGTTTAAATAACATTGACTGATAGTCACAGATCTCTAAAAGGGAGGGTGAATAGGGAAGGAATATACAAACGTCTCCTATTATAATTCTCTCTCTATAGGAGCTCCTGCCCTTTTAAAAAATACCCTGAGTGTGAGGTGGGATGCATATTTTGAAAAAAATTTCCAGATGATTGATACTAACAACCCCCTACCCCCATTGTTTTTTACTGATGGGTTGTGTTGAGATGATCAAGGTTGTCTTCTGCTCCATGAGTCTTTTCACTCTCTCTCTCTCTCTCTCTCTCTCTCTCTCTCTCTATATATATATATATATATATATATACACACACACACACACACAGACACACACACACACACACACACACATAAAAAAGCAGCAGGGCATTTTGAAGTGGTGTAAATTGCAGGATTCCAAGTTTCAGTAATGGGTTGTTTGGACTACATGTGCTCCGCGAGTATCAAGATGAATTTTTGAAGATCTGTTGGCCAGATTTCCCAGCGTCACTTGTAAATGTCTTCTTGTGAAAAACAAGTGCCAAATGGCAATTGTAATTGCATAGGATTTTTTTAGTGTTTCATGATTGCCTCCCCTCCCTGACACCCTTCCCCACTGGCTGCTGCCCCAACATCCATTATTTTTTGCCAGTGCATTTGGACACCCTGAACTCCTATATATCTCTCCCACCCCGTTTTTATAATTTTTTATTTTCTTTCTATTGCTGAGAAAGGCACCAAAAGGAGAGGGAAGCCTTTTTAAAGGAAGTCACAGCCTAGAGGCATTTAAATTTGCAGCAGCTACTCTTCTTTGTTTATTAAATGGTCACTTGTGTCAGAGATCCTATTTGTATGAAAAATAAAAATGAAGAGCTGTCTGCCTAGGATTAGTGACTTTTTGATTTCTGTACCTGCATTTTCAAGATGGTGTGGTTTTATTGTTCCCTGTTAGTGAGCCACTTGTCCTATCTAAGGTGACCAGACTGATTTGAGAATGCAGTTTGGCGCATAAATAAAATGGGACACATTTTTCATTGGCAATTTTATTTTTTAAAAATGAAATATTCAAAGTACTTTTCTTTCAAATATCAACACATAATGTTTAACTTTAAATATTTACAGCATGTTGTTGTGATGCTCTTGTAGAAAAATGCATGCTTCTGGCCTGAAAGCCAGAGCAAAATGCAAAAGACCATTTAACTGCAGCCAGAGAACATGAACCTGTACAGTATCCAGTCACTTTTCAGCACAGGAGAGCAGGAATACAAAATTGGAACCTATTGTTTCCTAGCAACATGGCTCAGACCATTATAACACAATTTTCAATATGATTAGAACCTCTACCTGTTGTTATACAGAAACTGAAAACTTGGCATACACTGTAAACATCTTTACTTTTCATGAGAAAGTAAGCAGCTAAAAAGAATGTTTTTCTGACATAAAGGCTATACTTCTCTTTTTCGCCTTCTTTCTTACTGATGCTTTTGCCAGAAGAATAGTAAAGATTTAGACGTTGTCATGATTCATACAAGTAAAATATTTTTCAAGGACACAATCTGATATACTAACATTTATTTAAGAGGTTAAAGTCCACCACTAAATCTAAGGAAAGATTTTTAACTGCCAAACACATTTCCTTTGACAAATAATGTAAGATGACAACTGCCAAGACAAAATCCACAGCAAGTTTAACTCTAAGTATTTTCAGTTACTGTTTAGAAAGTAATTTCTTCTTATGAACAGTAGTATATTTGGTCCTTAATAGCTTTCACATGAAGGACACACTGAAAATAATAGTCACTATTTATGGTTGAATTCTTTTTTGTTGTTTGTTTTCTGTATTTTTAAATTTTACTTTGCTTTTTTTTGTTTTTTTGTTTTTTGCGCTTTTTTTGTTTTTTTTGTTTTGTTTTGTTTTGTTTTGTTTTCTTTGCAGAAGAAAGAACCTTTATAGAAGGCTGTGGAAGAGCTGAAGTACTAGTCAGGTCAGCTATGTGTATGTGAATTTCTTCAAGAAAACAGGAATGTTCCATTCCATCTGTAGCCTTATGTCTTTCCACAAGCTATATATAATATGCTCCAATGTCTCCAAAATTTTCTTTTCAATACTTCGTTACTGTACTTTTGCTTCTATTACCAATGAACTCCATTACAATCACCCTTACATGAACACATCTTCATAAATGCAAAAACTTTGCCCTGACTCTCTTAAGTGATATTATAGTGGGGCCTGGTCTAGTTAAAAATATATTTTTAAAGAAAAAAAAAAGAAAAAGAGTCAAAATAACATGATGGAATGCTTGAAACTGTGTCAACAGTGATGAAAATGTCTCATGAAAATTATAACTTAATTTCATACCTGTCTACATAGGTAGCATGTGAATTCCAAATTATACATTGTCAAGTTTTCATACATTTGGCTATGTTGTATATATTATATATATGTAGTCTATATATTATAGATCTTCTAGATAAATTGACAGTAAAGGACACACTTATTTTATACATTTTTTGGGTTAAAAATAAATCATATACTTATTTATATGGTAAAAGTGTTTTGTTGCAAGTTAGTATGAATTGAGATTTATTTCCCTTTCCTTCAGGAGTCATGCTTCTAATCAATAACGATTAGAATGACAACTAAAAGTAAACATATTTAAATGTGTTAAACTTTGAACTTTTCAGTTCATTTGGATCTCTAGACTGTAGTGCAAGAGTGAAAACAAAACAAAACAGAAAAGCACAAACAAAATGGGCTTAAGTAGGAAAAAGAAACAACCATGGAGTATTCCCTGCCTCCAGCCCAGAATGTTCTTCATAGGAGAGTCCAACTACTATGCTCTCACTTTAACTTACTCGAATGGTGTGTGGCTGTGCAGTGTCAGCCATCTGTCTGCTGGGTATGAGAAATTCATATGTTTCTCTGAAAAATGCTTTTACTTTCATCAGGAAATGCAAACGAATTGTTCTTTCAATAATTTAAACTGCAGAACTGCAAGTCAATGAAGGCATTCTTTCTATTCAGCTGAATAGGAAGTGATATACTCAATATCTCCATCTTCTTCTTAAGAAATGCCAAAATGTTTCTCTTCGATTTACTACTGATTAGTAGTTTTGTTTTTTTTTTCTTTCCTCCCTCAAGCTTTAGGAGTTGTAAAAAGAATAATAATAGTTCAAGGCAGTATTAAAACCACAGCTGTAAGTAATAAAAAGTGCATTTCCTGAATATAATACAAATGTAACTTTAACAAACTAAAGGCACGAACCAACCAAATACGTATTACAAACTAGAAATGCACAGTTCAAGGTAATCACTATTAAGTAAAAGCTTCAAATATTTGTTTCTAATGGATATTTAAAGCAGTTTGAAAATGATACATCATCAATGAATTGCAAAAACGTATAATTGCTTAAAATATAAGCAAAATAGACTCTAATATTGACATTTTGGATTTGTGATAAAATACATAATCACATTTATGAATGCACTCTCTATATACAGTTCACAAATTATTTTTCCATTAATTTAAAAGAACATCAGAGGTTCTAGGAACTTAAGGTCCATTTTTAGGTTGGTGTGGAGGTATTCAAATTTTCAACAAGTTTGTTAGTAATTTTAGAATTCCATTCTGAATAAATACTGTACCATTAATACAGGCCTGATTCAGAAAAAACCCAATAATATGATTTTAGTATGGATTAGCAATATATCAAGCTGGTGTGTTTCCAGTTATAAAGAGAGATGAGTTCCTCATGAATTCTGTCTCTCAGAATACATGTGTAAGTGGTATTCTAACCCGAAGGTTTTGAAAATGAAATGTTTGAATACACCCTTCCCTACTGTTTGCCAGGGTCATTTCCTTTCCCTTGCTTTCCTTTGTGTAGTAGGAGGCAGACTCTTGAAAAACCTTAACATGAGCTTATGACTTTGCATATTTTCAAAGAAACTGTCATCGCAAAGCAAGGCAATGACCCCACACTGCATTTAGGTAGCATCTGGAAAGAATCCAAACTAACATTCCATCATAAATTTGCCTTCAGACATAGCAAATGTTCAGATTCGGTGATGAAAGTGCAGAAGCTGGCTCAGGGGAATTTTCTACGGGCCACATTGTGCTGTCATGTATTTTCATTTGTGGTAACTTACAATTACACAGCATTTTACAAACTATCTCTTTGTCACTGGGCACAAATCTTCCAGCTCACCAAGGGGCTTGTTTTACTGCAGGATTCCTAGAGATTGAGAAACTGCAGCTGATATTAACACTAATCCTGACCTTTCTCCAAATTTTAAATGATCGCAGAACAAATAACCCGTCCTGGAAAATAGTTATTTTCCTAGGCAGTAGAGACGATTAAATAAAGATAAATGGGTAAGTACGGAGAACGAAAATAACTAACTGTATAAATTATTTTAGTAAAAAT
This sequence comes from Homo sapiens, assembly GCF_000001405.40. Classification (NCBI taxonomy): domain Eukaryota; kingdom Metazoa; phylum Chordata; class Mammalia; order Primates; family Hominidae; genus Homo; species Homo sapiens. The sequence goes on from NC_000023.11 coordinate 124,379,301, forward strand.
GAGTCTGCCTCTCTATAGTTAGTTGAAATGTTTTCGGTTGGAAAGGATTTACTTGATTCGATTTCCTGAAGATGGCTGGGAGATGTTCAATACAGAATTGTACATTTGAAAGATAAATCTAAGTGGGCTGAAACAATGTGGCAGCAACTGCTGTGATGTTTGGTCTGGTCTTCCCTTTAGTACTTTCACTTAAGTACCAGGTCTATTTTTTTAAGGTTTTGGCTCTTATGAATTTCTGCAGTAGTAGTTAATGTATGTATCGGCATCCCAGACACGTATGCCTGCTAAAGCCTTTGTTTGTTTTTGTACCAGAATCATACTTTTAAGTAAATTACCGTTCATGTGCACAAAACCATTGGGTCAGTGTATAGATACTGAATCACTAATGTGAAACTATGACCAAAACACATCCTATATATAAATGAGAAATTCCTACCCAGGTTAATAAAAGCTATGTTTACATGATACCAATACAGCTGAACAACTTTTAGTAAAAAATTGAGTCAAAACAGGTCGTGTGAGAGAGGTCACGCTGGCCAGCTGCTTTGGTATCATGTACACACGAGCAAATAGCGGCTATACAGTCTGGTTACCACACCCACAGGGAAGCATGGTAGACAGAACCCAGCCACCACACGCCAAAACACAGCACAACAATATGGCATTTACTTTAACAAGCAAGGAGGAATAATCAAGAAGGAAGGGCAATTGGGTCCTCACTCTAGGAGATGGTGGCTGAAGACATTTTACACCTGTTTTTAAGTTTCCTATAACAGATCTGGAAAACGTCAAAGGGCTGGCAGTCTTTCGAAAGGCAAGTTTCAGATACTATTGCACCACCTATTCAAATAGCCCGTAAGTTCTGCCAACAGTTAAGGATGAAACTGCTTCTCACAATAGAGATAGAGAACCTTGGGTTCTTTCTGGATATTGGAACATATGCATGGCTCGGCAAATTGAAAGTGGTGCTTTCTGAAAACTGTTTTTAGCTGTTTGAGTTCTACTTGTGTTATTTTGAATACTGCCACACAAGAACTAAAAATCTCTGTCATTTCTTAAAGAGTTTAAACAAACAATATTAAAATACCATCTTCCGTCACATTGAAAGGCAGTTGGATATGTTTTTCCTCCATATTTACATATACAGAGTTCTGATCTAGAAAACCAATACAATAAACCATTTTATGTTTTAAAAACAGGCAGTCTTTGGTGACGCAAAGGCAGAGATATTTTTGTTACCTCCTGCCTATTTCGCTCTGTCTCATAAAGTGAATATTATTGGCACTGTCAGAAAGTTCTAAATACTGCTCAACAGACAAAACAAAATACCCATCGTAACCTTGTACCCGCCCAGTGCTCAAAAGCTGCTGCTTTTCCCCTTCTGTCCATGCCCTAATCCCCTCTTCCCCCTCTTGCAGCCTTCTTTGTTCCTTAGTCCAGGCCTGGGCCACTGCGCGCTGTCTGGCAATCTCCAACACGTGATTCTTTTCCTCTTCGACAGTTGTCCCATACCGGATGTTGAAGCACAGGGCTCCATGCTGGAGCTGAATATCTGCAAACCGTCTAGTCCTCCCATTCAACACAGAAGTCATCTGGGACACAGTGACATTGACACCATTCTCCAGAATCCGCCTCCCCCCAGTGTTACCGATGAGCACCAGGTCTTCCTCCAGAGACCCAAGCTTAATGAAGTAGTGAGTGTCCCTCCCCTCTATGGTAAAATGTAGGTTTTCCAGGTAATGGGCATTATTGAGAATGGCAGCAAGCCGCCTGCTATCTTCATTGGCTACTCCTATAATATCAGCTGTTACTATGCCATCCTTGATGGCAAATTTTATACCTTTCCCAAAAACAGAAGGGACAGCAGCAAACCTTGGTTGCTTCCCTCCTTCAAGGCACCGTCCATCATTGTATCGGGGAGTCATAGGTAGTTGGTCCAAGGAAATGAAATTCCTGAGCTGTTTCTGGAGTTCACACTGAATGCCCAGGATAGTCTAGGAAAGAGAGGCACAGAGCAGATGCAGCATGGAGTTAGACATCTGTCAGATACTTGGTGATTGTGGAAAGGACAGGCTTGCAAGTTTGCTTCCTTCTCTCTTTAATTTGTCAGTGAGTGATTTAAAAATAAGCCAGATTTGGAATCTCTTCATCAGAGATTTGGAAAAGACTAACAGGTGACTACCTAGCATTCTTATATCTTGGTGGAGTTAAGCATAAGGAAATACATTTAAACTTGAAATCACAGAATTGCAGAGCTGGAAGGCACTTTAAGTTGGTCCAGCTCTCCCAAAACACAGACATTTTATTTTCACTGATTTCACTCACACTGACTAGATGTTATTACTACATGTAGAGTAATACTTAGGCACAGTGAGGCACAAAGAAATGCATAAGGCATAGTTCCTACTTTAAAGAGTTTAAGACCTTATAATTAACTATGGCAAATCAGCCAGAAATTCATTGATCTTTTTATGTGGACTTAAAAAAAACCTTTTTTTTTGGGCAATTTTCAAACATACTAAGAAATAAAGAGAAAAGACTAATGAACCTCCAAGTATCCATTATGAAGCTTCAGCAATTTTCAACATTTTGCTAAATGTTTTTTAGAAGGACTTTTAATTACAGAAAGCATTTACATCTTTACAAAAAGGGATGAATTTATAGGACCTATCTAGAACTTCCTGTCCCTTATAATTTTTTAGACTTAAATTTCAAGGCCTCACACCCAAATTTCAGTTTTATTCTATCAAGCCCATTTTGTTTTCGCAAACACAGATATTCATATTTCTTTCAGTTGAAAGAAAAAGCTCCTTATTTTCATTTGTACCTCATACTTCTGGTGATATCATCTGCTGAATCTTAAATGTTTTGATGTTCCTATTTTTTCTCAAAACTGTACCCTTGTAATATTTATTATTTTTGCTTCATTGTGTTTATGTATTTTTTCTTTATCAGAATAATTTTATTCTGTTATTCCCATGCTCTTAAGACATCAACCCCTAAATTATTTTACAGTTGGAAATCTGATGTTTTCGTGTCTCTTACCGAACAATTTTCTCTAGGTAGAATCCATAATTGCTCTTGGTAGCCCATTTCAGAATTTTTAAAGTACAGTTCCTCTTTCCTCTTATGTACCTATTGCAGCAGTCATCAAGTAACCTGTTAATCTTTTTTTTCCCCCAAAACTCCAATTCTCTGATCTTTTTTCTCATGGAGCTTTTTTTATACCTTCTCATTAATTGTGCACGTTTTAGTGAATATTCAAGAAGACTAAAAAATCAGTAAGCAAACATATGTATATATAATTTCTGGGTATTGAATGCCCTTCTGTTGTTTCAGCTAAAAGGAGGTGATAAAACTTTTACTAACCTTTCCAGGATCCCACTCTTGAGTTTTTGTCTGAAGCCGTAGAAGCTCGTAAGTTAATTCTAAATTTTCTAATTCAGGTTTGGGAAATCCAGGTAGTACATTGTGTAATTGGAAACCAAATAGCTCCAACCAACTTCTGATGTCTGTGAGACACAATATTAAAAAAAGAAAATGAAAAATCCCATACTTTATAAGCTTTGTTGAAAACTTGAAAGATACCTCTCCTGCCTTCAAACTGTTTAGGCAATAGAAGTTAGGAATAAAACTCCTATTTATTTATTTATTTATTTATTTATTTATTTATTTGACATAGTCTCACTCTGTTGCCCAGGCTGGAGTACAGTGGTGCAATCTTGGCTCACTGCAACCTCCACCTCTTGGGTTCAAGCGATTCTCCTGCCTCAGCCTCCTTCCTGAGTAGCTGGGATTATAGGCATGTGCTAATTTTTGTATTTTTAGTAGAGATGGGGTTTCACCATGTTGGCCAGGCTGGTCTCAAACTCCTGGCCTCAAGTGATCTGCCTGCCTCAGCCTCCCAATGCTGGGATTACAGGTGTGAGCCACCGCACCCAGCCTAAAACTCCCCTTTATATGGCCCACACTAAAACACCTGATCCTCTCTCTACAGGGTAGAGTGTTGATTTGTGGATAACCCTGGATTATAATATCAGCTTATATGATGAAACAAGAATCCTGAATTTTTCTTTTACGAAATTATTCATATAAGCTTGTAAGAGTAAAACACAGAAACAGCTAAAAAATGTAGTAGGATGCAAAAGTATTATATGTTAACATGCACGTTTTGCTCACTCTAGAAAACTAAGGAAGACAGCAAATGCACAATAACTTGCGGGCTAACTGTCAGGAAGAGGAAGCATATTTACAAAGGCATTGAGATTCTGTGATAAAATCAACAGTACTGAGTTACTCAAGTTTAGCTTAAAGTTTTAAATAGTTTAAATACCTGTGGTATACTTTGCAACATCTTGAATTTTGCCAACTGGGTAGTTATTTTCAAAGGAGTAGAGGTTGAATGGTTTAGGAAGGAGGTTCAACTGTTTCCATATGTGATGATTAGGCGTTGTCCATCTGCCAGCAACAACATCATAATCCCTTTGCCCCAGGTGCACTAATTTAGTAAGGAAATCATAGAGTCCTCCATGAAAACCAATAATGACCTGAAAGTCAGGGTAAGTGTCATGATAGATATCGCCATAAGGTGTGTATAGTATCTCCTTTATGACCTGACCTCGGCTGCTGAACACAGCTAGTGGGGTACCTGTATTATCACAGGCTACATAATATTCTTCACCACTGCTTAACTCCATGGCAATAAGGTGACCTTGGAGATCATAATACAGAGATGTAATCTCCGAGCTTGTGTGGTTGTACAAATGAGTAACTCTTATGGGGTTGGTAAGGTCTGCATAAAAGAACTGAAGGTGCTGCCCTAGGCTGGACTTACTCGCGACACGTCGCCCAAGCCCATCATAGTAATACTGCACAGTCCAGCCAGAAGCCTTATTGTAGGCTTTCTGCAGCAGGCCATTAGAATTATATTCAAAAATATCATTTCCCCTCTGCCTCAGAAAGCCATCTTCATCCATTTTATACTGAATTTCTCCTAATCTGGTGATGCGGTCTCGGAGGTCATATCGGAGAGGAGTAAGACGAGCACTCTTCCCATGGCTTAAGAGGTTGATGTTTCCATTCAGATCGTAACTATAACGCCACTGGGTTTTGTCATTTACAGAAACAGTCTGAAGTTGCCCATCAGCATCGTATTCATAGAAGTACCTTGTTATATTGGCATCTACTCCTACCCTTATGTCACATATTACCATGCGGCCCACATTATCATATTGAATGGTCATCCAGTAGGCAATTGCCTTTAGGATTTCATATTGGACTTCAATGACTTGTCCATTGGCACTGAAGATTTTGGTGTGTTTCATCACTGTAGTAGTTATGACCTGATTTAAATCGTAATTAATTACACTGAATTTTCCAAACTGCTCTGTTCTGCCAGAGACATCAACATATCGGTAAAGATCTATAGGCAAAGGGGTTTCATTGATTACAGCTTGCATGCTTGTGACTCGGAAATTGTTGTAGCTGTAGTCGAACCGTGCATTCACAAGGCCTTCTTCACTGAATCTGAAAATCTGGCGTCCAATAAGAGGTCCTGCAGGAACCAAAACAAAAACAGTAAGAAGCTAGGCGATCAATGTGGAAGAGTCAGAAAGGTCTAGTGTTATTTTATTTAGTACTGGTGCTTTTATATTCATAATACAATATTAGAGACTGATCTCTGATATCAAATGCCTGGGCATATTACCTCATGGATATATATTCTCATAGTGGTAATCCTCAAATATAAAAAATTAAAATACTCTATAGTTATAGAAAATTTTAATTATAGAAACTACAGAAGTAATAACACATCCAGTAGCCCAGGGTGATGAAATTGATACTTCTTGCTATAATCACTGACAAAAATGCTTTCATTTCATTTAACCTTTGCTACAAAGTCAGAGGGTCAGGTTTTGACAAATTCCAGCATTAAAGTAACTGGATTTGGGCATTCTATAAACCCAAAGGGTGAAATACATTAGAAAGTTCTGACTTGTGAAGATATTTTGTCATCAACTGAGGCTTATAAAGGTTACACAGGGCTTGAGCTAGTTTCAGTGAGACTTATATCTTGCCGTTTCATCTTTGAGAAGATTTGGTGCTGAGCAGGAATGGGTATACAGTTACACTAGGCACTTGGATTTCAAATTACTTGAGAGCTGAAAGAAAGAAATGCACTATATGTTTTTAAGAAATCAGCTTTCATCAGACTATAACATGCTTTACATTTTCAATGTCAGATAATTTGATAAGTAAAGTGAAAGTTGGGTTGAATGTGTGTAGATTAATGCTTCTATCTCACACTGTGGTCAGTAAAAATGTCATAAGAAAATAGTGATGTTGTTGTACACACCACCACTCTTTCACAACAAACCTGTTTGCCTGTATCTGATTGTGCAGATGAATCCGTCATGCATCAGGTGTATTGTCTTAATCACTCCAGAAGACTCTTCATATGTTAATGTGACCTGAGTGGTATCATAGAGAACCTCAGAAAGCCTTGCTTGCTTGGTGTACTTGTATAAGACTCTGCGCCCTGTCCCCAGATGCAGGGTCTGTAGCAATCGGCCATCTCGACTATAGTCTTGGATAAAAGAAGTGCTACTGTCCGGTGGGGTGTAGATGTTCCGGTAGTAGCCCACTGAAAGCATGGTTTGTAAGCTGTGACGCACCATGCTAGGCATGGTGACTGAGAGCAGACAATCTGGTTGGTCATACTCAAAGATGTAACGCCGCTGGCTGTGTAGGAGAAGCATCACAGACTGAAACGAGACAAAGGCAGAATAGCATATTATGGACAACTAAAGTTGAGGCGACTAAAGAAAATACACATTCATCCATTCAACACAAATCAATCAAGCACTTACTGTGTGCCAGACACTGTGGCAAACCCTAGTGGATACAGTAGTGCACAATAGTGGTGTCTATCTTCATGAAATTTACAGTTTTAATGGAGGAGAAAGACAAGTAACCAAGCAATTACAATATAGTGTGAAATGTGTTATGACAGGGGAGTTACAGAGTGCTTCTGGAAGGCAGAGGAAGACCAGCTTACTCAGACTTGAGAGACCAGAAAAGGCTTCTTGGATAAAGTGGCATCTGAGTTGAGACATAAAGATTGCCTAGGGATTGTCCAGGTGAAGGCAGGGAGCCGGGGGCAGGGGTAGGGAAAGAGTATTCTTGGCAGAGAGCACAGCCTTGTGAGGGTCTGGATATGAAAAAGAACACGGCTTTTTCAGAGAATGAGAGAAATTTTGTGTGGCTAGAACTTGAGTATGTTGGGAGTGGTGGGAATGGCAGGAGATGACGTCAGCTATGTAGGCTGAGTCCAGATCATGCTAGGCTTTCTAAGCCACACTAAGGAGTTTGGATTCAAGTATGTTGGCAACAGGGAGTCATCGAAGGGTTTCTATTTTATTTCATTTTTTTAGAGCCAGGGTCTCACGGTGTTGCCCAGGCTGGAGTGCAGTGGTGTAGTCATAGCTCACTGCAGCCTCGAACTCCTGAGCTTAGGCTATCCTCCTGTCTCAGCCTCCTGAGTAACTGGGACTACCAATGTGTGCCACTGCATCTGGCACTCTTGAAGGGTTTTAAGCAAGTTAAGGGACGGTTGCAAGAGGGCACTTGCAAGCTGGGAGAAACTGTCAAGTTGGTATTTTAGAAAGGTTACTTCAACGTGCATATGTTTCAGAGGAAGGTAAATGGATGGCAGGGCATTTCACAAATTAATTTATAGTTATCATAAAGTATTGATTGACTTCACATACTAGATGTCTTCCTAAAAATTGTGCATAAAATATTATTATGGCACTATTAATGTTTTGCAATTGATGTTTTAACTTCACATTTCCATTTGTGTTTTAATATTAGGGAAGCATGTCATTAAAACTGAATGATTCTCTGGTTATGCAGCCCCTCTCCCCCAAACTGATCTGTATTTTAGAAACAGTTGTTTGTTGAGGTATAATGCAGGTAACAGGTGTTTCATAAATATTGATTGTCTTGTTTTAATTCTAAATGCAGACATAAAAGGAGCACTGTTTTAGGGAGGACTCTAATTGACTGACATGTGCATCTCATCTTTTAATAAAAATAAAAATTTCTCATCCTTGGAGATTCTGATATGACTCCCTAGAGGAGCTTTATCCTTCCCCTTTAGAAAATTACCTTTTCAAGCAAAGAGATTTAGTTGAGGGTTATTTATTCAAGTTTGTGTTATGAAAACAATAGGTATATTTTCATTTTCTAAGCACAAATTATATAAATATTTATGAATGTGAATTACACAAGTATATGTAATGTACATTTATATCTTCTAAATATGACATTACATTCTAATATTGAATGTGCTTTCTGAAACTGCATATCCTCCCTACCCTTCTGAGAATTATTGACTTTGAATTGCATTTCAGTACCATGAAGTCAAAGTCAGTGGTTATTTGCTCATTTGTTCATTCTTTCTTTTCCACCAACATTACGCCTGCAGAGCCAGAGGTGAGTGCAGAAATCCTGTCAATTCGTCACTTGTGGACAACCTGCAGCTTGCCACAGCCTACAGTTCCACCACTGTGACCTCTGAAAACCTCCTGAACAAAAGGAAGGAGACTTGGAAATCCTGAATGGGCTTGGAGACATTAAGGGAGAACTGCCTCCCTGGACCAAGGCAGAATTCAATAGAACCAGCAAGAAATTTTCCTATGAATGGGAAAGCAGGTGGCAGGGGGCAGGGGTGGAAAAGCTTTGTACAGGAATTGTGGAAAAGCTTTTGCATTATCTCTAGTCTGAAAGTCACATTTCTCAGTTCCTTTCCACTCTCTTCTGTCAACTTGCTGTGAGTAAATGACATCTGTCACCTGTGACACGGGCCAGGGACTATCACCATATGGCCCCCACACATTATCTAGTACCAGCCTGCCTGGGCCATGCCTTTTCCAGTCACTGTACCAGCCTTTCCAAGTATTTATGGCACGTCGTTGTTATTCTCTCCTCTGTTCCCATCCTCCTGCCTGCAGTAAACCACTGCCTGAACCGTGTTCCTAGGTGGTGCTGATGCTGGGCTGTCTCAAAAGCCCTTAGTCTGTTTCAAAGCTTCCTGCCAATGGCAAGAATGTGGATGATGTGATTAGAAATCAAATGAATGTAACTGTTACATTGCCAAAATACCATTTAGCTCTCATTTGGCTGCTTTTTCACTTTGGGTGGGCATTATTATCAGTTTGCTCAAAAACAGTGCTTATGAATCTATCCAATGTCCACAATGCTGTTATAGGATAAAAGGCCATTTCTTATTAGTCCAAATAACAGAGTGGGAGACTTTTATTCTTTTAATTGATTGTGAGGTTCTAAAAGAGATAATTGTAAAAGCAACAACAACAGCAACAGCAATCATGGCTGTATGCTTATTTGAACAAGACTAGAAATGAGAGCAGAAATTTGAAAAGTTAAAGCATTTGAATGACCACCAGATGGCAGTGTGGGGCCACCTGGAAGCTGAAGCCAAAGTCGTCGTTCTGTCTCTCTAGGCAGCCTCTGAAAGTGTCAGCCCCAAAGAGGCAATTGCTGTAAATGTATAAGGCTAAAGTATCTTATTAAATGATTATAAAATATATTTAAATGCATTTTAAAAATGAAGTTCATAAGAATTATTTTAGGAAACTGAAAGGTTTACATTTACTCTAATACAAAATTTTAGCCCACAAGTCTTCAAAATATAATTAACTCAGAGAAGTCTCATAAATCAAGACAGAGAATTAATGACCACATAGAGAAAATTTAAGAAACAATAATTGATTTTTTTAATAGGGAAGAGATCATTAAGCAACCACAGCCATTACCCAAATAATTATTTTTCTCCTAATGGCTACAACCATTGTGCATGAAAATGATATGCATAAGTTTCACTTACTCTAGAAGAAGTCAAACTATTTTCACAAAATTTCTGCGTGTTAAGGTGAAAAATCTGCTGCTGCTTTTTAATACATCGTGACACAGGTATGGCAAGCGAATTCACAAGGTAATACCAGAGTATTTTGGGGTGTAAAAAGAGAAATCCATTTTAAAGTTTGAGAATTCTTAGTTTAAAATATACTACAAGAACGAGCCTCTTTATCCCTGCTCTGCCCCTGTCATAGTGGGAGAATGTGCCACAAAGGCCATATTAATGAGAGGACTGGAAAGAACACAAGGAGATACAAAACCTCAAGTCAGTGAAAAAGTTACATGTTACATGGGATTTTGGTAAATTCAATGTTCTTTCCCTTTTTCCCTCTAGAATCACAATTTCAAAGATGCTTTAATTTCCTCCCTCCCTCCCTGCCTCCCTCCCTTCCTTCCTTCTTCCCTCCCTTACTTTCTTCTGCTCTTTCTTGTTTTGATTTACCTCCAAGTGGCAGTAAGTGCTAGCTAGCATTTAAATTCTCTACTTGGGTGTTTTATATTAAGTTATTTCATTTAATTATATCTATTCAGTGAATTAGTTATGATTACTGGTAATAATAATGTTAATAAAATCAATTTTATGACAAATGACTTTTGGAAAGTAAAGAATCGTTCCATAATTATGCGTTCTGTAGGTTCTGAGTTTTGCATAACAGGACTGCTTAAATCAGTAGCTACCCTTTTAATTAGAGAACAAATTAAATATAAAATCAAGAAAGGAACAAAAGTGAACTCAAAGGTACAAATAAGCTGGTTTGTCTCACTGGTCAGAAAGTTACCAGGACTTGTCTTGATACCTTATTCTGGGTGAGGAAGGTCTTATTTTTGTCCACTGCAGACACTGGCAGTCTCACCGAGGTTTTTGTTTGTTTGCTTAGCAATTATTGCCAACTACGTTTTTGTAGCAAAGAGAACTTGTGAAGTTTGCTTCACGTGATTCTTTGCTTAAGTAAATTTGATGGAATAATCAGTGAATTCGGAAAAGAGAAACAATAAAATCTCCTCATTGGTGTCAGAGAAGAGGCTAAATAACTGCACCCAGGGATGAAATTGAAGTTTTCAATAGGCTCTTATGTTATTGTGCAGATAGTCTAAAGGGAAAGTCTTTTTTTTATTATTATACTTTAAGTTTTAGGGTACATGTGCACAATGTGCAGGTTAGTTACGTATGTATACATGTGCCATGCTGGTGCGCTGCACCCACTAACTCGTCATCTAGAGGGGAAAGTCTTATGAGACCTAGATGTGACTGTCTATAGGCAATTAGCTCAGTTGGTCGGACTCTGGTGCCAATGAGGTTGGAATTATGAGTGCAATCCTACGTATGCTTCTAAGGAGTGCTGGCTACTTAACTAGTCACATGGGGGACCTGTGGAAAGATTGGTGCAAACCTGTCTTCCTTTCTGAAAAACTAACTCAGCTAATATTCTGTTAGTGATCAGTAGCACTGTTTTTTTCATATGAAGGTCATCAATATACACCTTAAGAAATACTTTGCCTATGCACACATACCAGCAAATTTTTGGATTCAGTTAATGTTGTAACAGGCTTGGCATTCTGTAGGCACTAGTCACACGGTTTTGCCAATCATTCTTGTTACCAAAATTCAAAAGAGGAAAGACCTGCTCTATAAGATTCAGATTTTGCCAGTGTAGAGGATAGATTATAGATTTGATAAATATTTCTAGCAAAAAAGGACATGAGGTGGATTCACCAAAGGACTCCTTCCTTTTGCCCTGGCTCCCAAGTGAACTCTGCTTCATCTCCAGGCATTTCCAACTTGGTAAATTCTCCAGCAACAAACTCTGGGAACTAGTAACATGGTTTGATAATGACATATAACCACTGGCACACTATTTTTGTTTAACTTTGGGGAGGGCGTATCAGAAAAGTTGGGCATTATTTGGTACCAATAGGGAAATCTGTCATGTGAGCTATGAGCTCCTATGACTTCTCTAAGAACATCTAGAAGCTACCTTGTACTGATTACCCTTGAATTCTCAAGGGAAGCCATTTTTCAATTTTTGTAGAAATTAATTTAGGACTGATGAATTCCTAAATGTGTTGAAAGAATAGATTTGGGAAACAAGAGGCACTATCTTAGGAGATTAGACATTGAGATAGAGATCAATTACTCTTACTGTCCTCTGGTACCAATCTGGCCAGAAACCATTTTGCTCTGTAGGGGCTGATGTTTGACAAATGGTTCCTGTAGTGGGATTAAAATATTTTTCTATTATTCCCAGACACAGGCCACAAGCTCCCATTATGGATGCTACTGGAGACTCAGTGTACAGAAAAGAGTATTACCAATGAGGCCCCACTACCACCATTCCCGCAGGCTGATTACTTTTGGAAATTAGTCTTCAAATGTATACAACTAAAACTTCACTGACTATCCTAACAAAATTAGAATTGCTTATCCTCTGGGTAAAAAGCCCTTTACCAGAGCTGAGTACATTAACACAATTTTATAATTTTCTAGCTATTTTTCCCTCGGTATGAGCTTTCATAATAATAAAGATAACCTTTTCAAAAGCATGAACAAAGATGTTCAAATGAGGAGAAAGCTAAGCCGTTATTCTGACTTTAGTCTGAAAGAGTACTTGGCAGAGTCTGGGACTGGGGAAAATTTTCAGCTGAAAAACAGTTTATCCTTATAAGTTCAACATCTTTTTGTTACTTCTACAGAACAGAACAGCTGGAACACAGACTTTTCTCCTGCAGGTCCTCACCAAGATGGACAATTAGGGCCATTTTCGATAGTCTCATTCAGAAACTTGAAACTTGTCTTTTTCCCCTATGTACTTACTTTTTCTAAGTAGGTATAGCTCCAAATTTTCCCATCAGCCCAAGTTCTTGAAATAATTTTCCCACTCTGGTCATATTCCATTTTTTCATTCCACGTTCCTCTTTGAATAAACGTCACCAATCCCGAAGGTGAATATGTGATGTTCACTTCATTATATCTGCTTACAGGAGACCACAGAATGGGTCGCCCAGTCTGGTCATAAAGAATTCGAAGGGTGAATTTTCGATGGTCATCATAGATCTTTCCTGTGCGGGTTATATGATCAAAATCTATGGAGAGTAGGTTTCTGTTGTGGGCCTATGAGAAAGAGATATGAAATACATTTTAAGCACAGCCTTGTTCCCCTCATTAGAGCACTGACAATCATGAATCCTTTCCTGATTATCCAACGATAGAGTCTGTCTTGCCTCTGAAGCCTCACGGCTTCACATTCCACAGATGCCACCTGTCTTTATTCCTCTACCACATTGTACACTCTCAGAGAGCAGGGCTATGTCTTAAGTACTTGAAATACTCTAGACTCTCAATAGGTGGTTGTTGATTGCTTTTTCCCCAGCTCAAGCCTTAAGTGCAGTGCCACAGTTTTCAGTAATTATGTGATCTTATTTTATGTAAGTCAGTTGCCTACTAAGGAGTGGGTATTCCTTCACCCTTTTCACCAGTGAAGTGGCCATAACATAAAAGGGTGAATTATTTGTGTGATTAGAAATCAGACAAAAGGAATACAGTGAGCCCCCTCTAACTTATACAGATTCCCTTCTTTGGTTTCCTCATTCACCTGGGCTTGGAGTTTTATATGATTTCACACCTATTATAGGGGAACTCAGGTTGCCTTGCCCTCTAGTTATGGAATCTCACTTAGCAATACTTTCACGGAGGCCTGTAGGTAAATGAACTAAGTGTTGGTAGGTCCCCCAGCATTCACAAGGGCAGCACCACTAACTGTGGTTAAAGCACAGAGTTAAGTTTGGATTCCAAGTTTAGAAACAGTACTTTCACATGATTCTGGTTCTAGACTTTTTCTACCGTATGGTAGCATTTTCTCTGGGCACCTCAAAACCTTGTAGCAGTCCCAGAGTGATCCTGATTCAAGGGATCTTGAACTGGATTCCATGAAAGACAGTATTCAACGGTGCCTGACTGATAAAATTCATCTGGGTTCACACAAGATAACCAAATAACTAAATGACTTAGTAAAAAAAAAAAAAGTTTAAAAAATCAGCAGTGGGACAACTGACCTGATTTTTTCCACGTTTCAGCTGGTAGTGTCAGTGTTTGCTAGATCTACCAGTAACTTCTGCTATGGGTAGCTGATTACAACACAATCACTTAGAAAATGCAATCCTCAACTGTTTTTTTTTGTGTGTGTGTGTTTCAGAAAAAAAAAAGGTGTTCTTGATTTTAGTCATTAAGAGGTTCAGTCCCTGCTGGCCAGTGCACTGAAGAAGGCCCTGTGGAAGAGGGGAGCTTTGAAGAAGGCATAGGTGGAAAGTGCAGGAAGGAATTTTAAAATTTATTTTATTTTAGCTTAGCTCAGTTTAGTTAAGTTTTAGTTTTAGTGGGTTTTATGTTTTGTTGTGTTAAAACTTTTTATTTTTACATAGTCTGACTCACAAGAAGTTGCAAAAATGGTAGAGTTGCTGTGTACCCTTCACCCAGCTTTTAGGGGACAGACTTCTGATTTGGGTGGAGAGAGTCCTAGTGTATCCGGCAGGAACAAAAACAAGAATGAAAAAGGAGAGACTTTGAGGAGTCTAAGTAGCAGTGAACTGCAGTCAGGAGACATTCAAACTAGTTACTTGTCTGTGCACCAGTCATTTCTTCCATCTGCGCCTTAGTTTTCTTATCTGTGAAACAAGAGTGATGTTACCACTTTACACCACAAACTTGTGCTAAGAATTAAACGATATTCCATATACAGGTACTTGGTAAGCTGTGAAACAACACTAGTAATTGTTATTTGTATAACATAATGATTACTTTTCTCATTTTATTTAGGCTTGTGAATAGGACCACATTTCAGATTCCAAGGTGATTGTAGCTTAGTGTACTAGATTTATATCGGTAAGAGTTGTCAACATGATCCTGAATGAAATGTTAAATATCTTGTTAATGAAGGGGAGGAGTGAAACTCACATTAGGATTTGACTACATTAATCATAGTCAGATTAAACTGATTCACTAGCTACTCAACTAAACTTGATGTTAATTTTAACTTTTGTGGTCAAGGATCTGTTTAACTATCTGAAAGCTATGCAATGTATCCCAAGAAAAGTGCATATAAAATGCATATATATTAACATTTTTAATATACTCTTAGGGGGGCTTTGAACCTTTCTGAAAAACCTAAACATAAAACCTTTTCAGGTCTCAGGAATCCAAGATCAACATCCTGGTTCAGAAAGAGTTTTGATCTTAGAGGTCTGGATGGCTGCAAAGCTAATGCTCTCATACCAGACTCTGGTCTTCCTTTGTTCAGAATCTTGTGCTCTTTGCTTTAAAAAGTAACCTTTCCCTCCCACCCCCAAATATAAAAGAGATAACTTTTTCATGGCAGAAAAATTAGAAATATAGAAATGTACAAAGGATATAATTACATGTAATCCAACCATCCAATGAAAATCACTGTTAACACTTCACTGTATTTCATTTCATTTATCTTACTTTTTTGGCATAATCTCTGTGCATACATTTAAAACATACAACTAGGATTGTATTTAAAGTTTTGTGTCCTACTTTTTCAGCTAATGTTTTATCTTTAGCATTCCTTGTGTTATTCAATGTTCTTAAAATATACTTTTTAATGGTTGCATGTCTTACTACATGATAAACATTTATTTATCTATTCTCCCAATTAGAAATCAGAAAGTAGTTTTTGTTTTTCTCTTTCATATTGCATGTTTTGCTGAACATTTTTATAAGTAAATATTTCCATAATACAGAACCCTATGAGTGAAATTACTGGGTCAAATGAGACATGTTAAAAGACCCCTGATGCAACCTGAGAGATTACTTTATAGTGCACAGAGGTTGTATAAATTCATACTCCCATTAGCTAGTAGTGGGAGAGGCTATCTCAGTCCATCCTTACTAGCATTGAGTATTATCAGTTAATTAACTTTTCCCAATATGAGAGTGGGAAAATGATATGCTGCTGTGGCTTAAATTTGCATTTATTTGATTACTACTGAGGCTGAACACTTTTTAACATCTATTGGCCACATGTGTATCTTCTATAAATTGTCTGCTCATGATATTTGCCCATTTTTCTATTGGGGTGTGACACTTTCCTTTTTAAACCTCTTTTGGTTTCAGTTTCTTCATTGGTCAGCTGGGGCTAATGTTATTTGCCCTTAATTTTGAACTTCTGAAAAAAAAAAAAAGAAGACCTACCAAATGTTCCATGCCATGAATTGTATCTGGAAGACTAGTGGTTAGATGCTTAAATTATCTGGGGGCAAGTGCCGTTTGTGTCAGGGGTAGGTTTAATTCAGGGAGTACAACCACAAATTGGGACTCTTGACTCTTTATACCATCTGTGGCCAATGCATGCAGTGTTGTCTTGCATACATATACAGCCACCTGTTGTTATGTGCTTATGTGTTGTTATGTGCACCTAAAAGGTGATAAGAAAAGCGCATATTTCCTGTCTTTTGATACAACGGGCCTGGAAGCCTATAGGAAACCAGGTGTTCTTGAACTACCCTTCCTGTGGTTTCACAGCCACATATCTCCAACTGTAATACTGTTCATTTACAATAGCTGTAAAATATCCATGTACTCCCAGAGATGGTTGTAACTGTTGCAATTTATGCTATAATGATAGTTAAAGAGCCAAAGTAACAAGTGATTTCCAGTTCAACTAAATTTGTGGTTTTATTTGTCTGATAGATTAAGTTTACTACTCAAGAACACATTTCTTAGTAAAGTCATTATAGCTACATAAGCAGGGATCACTGTTTAAAATCCACCACAAAGCAAGCAGAGGACAACTCTGCCTAATGTTCTTTCTCTGCCTGTCAAGACGTCTGCCGCTGTGCTTCTCTGTTTATGGATAATGCACTCTGATATTCCAGTGCTGCTGAAACACTAGTTTCAAAGTCAGGTTTGGAAGTTAATGTAAAATTCGGCTAAGAGCTAAAAAAGAATGAAGGAACTGAAGATGCCACAGGTTCCTCCCTGAGTCTCCTGGGGAAACCATGTGTGAGAAGCCTGGCAAAGAGAATGCTTTTCCAGCTGAGCCTCTCCCAACCTTTTTTTTTTTTTTCGAGCCGGAGTTTTGCTCTTGTCACCCAGGCTGGAGTGCAATGGCACGATCTTGGCTCACTGCAACCTCCACTTCCTGGTTCAAGCGATTCTCCTGCCTCAGCCTCCCGAGTAGCTGGGATTACAGGTGCCCGCCACCACGCCCAGCTAATTTTTTTGTATTTTTAGTAGAGACAGGGTTTCGCCATGTTGGCCAGGCTGGTCTCGAACTCCTGACCTCAGGCAATCCACCCACCTCACCCTCCCAAAGTGCTGGGATTACAGGCATGAGCCACCACGCCAGGCCTCCAACCTCCTTCTTGAGTGCTCACGTGCCACCAGCCTCTATGATAAGAATAAGAACTAGGCTGAACACTACCTACTACTGGGTTTGTGGGCAAGGCTGAGAAAGCTCCACATTCATACAAGTGCTTGCTTTCCTGAAAGATGATAGCCCTTGACCTAAGTGTGGACCATCAATCTTTATTTCCACTCTTGTTTCAGTATTCAATCTACACTAATCCTTTCCCTGGAAAAGAGAAGGGGGGGAAAAAAGGATTGAAATTTGGGAATAGCTCCAAGTTAAAAAGGGTATCTTTGGATAGCTGTGCATTGAATAAAACCTTTGAGTTTGGCAACTGACAGGCTGTGTGGTGTGGTAAGAAAACTGTTTGGTAATAGGTTTTTAATAAGGGAAGATGGATCTACGCTGTAATGCATCCTTCGGTTTCCCTTATGTTTTTTTCAGCTATACTAGGAGACAGGCCTGATTGTTGTTCATACTAGGACCAGAGAGGAAAGAGGGAAGAGTGTGCTCTGGAGAGCCACGAATAGTGTTGCTGGCAGAAATGAAAAGGCCTGTAAAAAGAGGGTATATGGGGAAAAGCAAAGCCCTTTCCTGCTCTTTCTGAGGACTTTGTGTTCTAATTGTTCAAGAGAAAATCCTTTCAACCCTTCTGATTTGAAAGTCGTTCAGTTAGAAAAATAACATTGTACTACGTTGATCTAAAGGCAATTGGTGATATTTAGCTGTTTTTGACCTACACAAAGGGCAATTTGCTATGGTTCAACCAACTACACACTTGCACACCCACGCCTGTGAATGTGCTGAACTCTGAGCTATGATCACTGCAGTTGATTTTCTCCCCTCCTTAAGGAGGAGAAGGCTGAATTTTCAAGAACACTGTCACTAGACAACTGTGTTACTTGTTTAATTTTTGCTGAAGAAGTTGGAAGGTAAATAAGTGAGATGGGCCAAATAGCCACGTCAGAGTTTGGAAGATCCTGCATTTAATTTTTTTGTTTTTGTTTTTGTTTTTGAGACAGAGTCTCGCTCTGTCGCCCAGGCTGGAGTGCAATGGCATGATCTTGGCTCACCACAACCTCCACCTCCCGGGTTCAAGGGATTCTCCTGCCTCAGCCTCCTGAGTAGCTGGGATTATAGGCACCCGCCACCATGCCCGGTTAATTTTTGTATTTTTAGTAGAGACGGGGTTTCACCATGTTGGCCAGCCTGGTCTTGAAGTGACCCAGTGATCCACCCGCCTCAGCCTCCCAAAGTCCTGGGATTACAGGTGTGAGCCACCGTGCCCGGCCTCCTGCATTTAATTTTTATGAAGTTGTGAGAATGGATAGAAAAGTCACAGTTGGGGCTGGGCGCGGTGGCTCACGTCTGTAATCCCAGCACTTTGGGAGGCCCAGGCGGGCGGATCACAAGGTCAGGAGATAGAGACCATCCTGGCTAATGCGGTGAAACCCCATCTCTATTAAAAATACAAAAAATTAGCCGGGCGTGGTGGCAGGCGCCTGTAATCCCAGCTACTCGGAAGGCTGAGGAAGGAGAACTGCTCGAACAGAGGAGACGGAGCTTGCAGTGGGCCAAGATCGCGCCACTGCCCTCCAGCCTGGGCGACAGAGCAAGACTCTTAAAAAAAAAAAAAAGTCACAGTTGATCTTAAAAAGTACCACATGCTACTTTACTCTCACTAGTTTTAAGGTAATTAGTATTTGATTTTTAGAAATCAATCACTACATTAATTCCACAGATTTTTTTTTTTATTGGTATCTCTTGGTAGACAATCAAAAGCTTACTTAAGCCTACTTTTATTTCACAGAGATGCCTACCAATGAACAGGGCATATGTTCAGTACTAGCATCAGCCTCTAATATTTCACCTGGAATTCCCATTTTTTTCTTTCTTTTTGAAAGAGAACTAAACTTACTTTTAAAATAGATGGAATAAATGTATAATTTCTCTAGACATTTTATTCTTTAAAAATTATTTCATATTTAACAAGAATCATTGTATGACATTTATGCAGGATTTTCTTTTTTTCTTTTTTTTTATTTTTTGGTGTATATGTGCTTTATTATTTTAAAATCAACTTTATTTGGATAGTTTACACACAGTAGGAGTCACCAATTTTAAGCGTACAATTTAATGAGTTTTGACAGTCATTGAATCAGGTAACCACTACCACAATCGTGATAGCATTTCCATCACCCCCAAAACTTCTCATTTCCCTTTACGTCAATTTAACATCCCCACCAACTGTTTTGTCCCCCATGCAGGATTTTCAATCATTTGTTTACATAGTGATAGATTTCTAGAAAAGTTTACATGACATCATAATAACCTTTGACACAAAACTGCTTGAGTTAGAAGGAACCCTTCTGTTCACTCTTATCCGACTACCCACTGTAATTTACAATCACATACAACTAGTTGTTTCTAATTCTTTTGAAGAATTTGATTCAATAATATAATGTTTTTTACTCCCAAGACACTCCCTTTACTTTGCCAGCATATAGAACCTTATCAACAGAGGGGATCTTAGGAAATGGGCTTTTGAGCCAGACTGCCTGAATTCAAATCCTGTGATCACTGCTTACTAGCTGTGTGACCTCTCTGTGCCTCAGTTTCTTCATCTGTAAAATGGGAATGATAATGATAAACCCATCTGGTAAGGTGTTATAAATAGTAAATGAGTTAATATGTGGCAGTATACATGGTAAGGCTTCAAGGAATGCTAATTGCTGCTGTTATGGTTAATACTACCACTAATAATATATTGCACCATCCATGTCCCTCTTTTTATAGATGAGAAAAGTGCAAAATTATGGGCATACCAGTTCTTCCTCAAAATCATACTCATTTTTCTCACCCAACTTTGGCTATATTATTTACCTTGGACATTTTTTGCACTATGCTAATTTGCCCTTGCTTAAGTACTTTGCTGTTGACCAATTCATCTGTGTAACCATACAACAGATATTTAAAATTTTTTTATACCAAATCATTAATGCTCATATACAGGTGAAATGGTATATGAAATAATTCTTTCTTTCTAGTTATCTTAGTGAGGTTGATCCAAGATTAACAAAAATAGGCTAGGCACGGTGACTCGTGCCTGAAGTCCCAGCACTTTAGGAGGCTGAGGTGGGCGGATGGCTTGAGTCCAGGAGTTCAAGACCAGCCTGGGCAACATGGCAAGACCCTGTCTTTACAAAGAAACAAAAACAAAAATTAGCCGAGCACGGTGGCATGCGCCTGTAGTCCCAGCTACTCAGGAGACTGAGGTGGGAGATTCGCTTGAGCCCGGGAGTTAGAGGCTGCAGTGAGCCAAGATCGTGCCACTGCATTCCACTCTGGGAGACAAAAAACAAAAAAACAAAAACACAACCAAATATAGCAGGTTCTATGATTTGGAAGCCCCAAGAATTCCTGGACCCCAAAAATCAATACTGCCCAGTAGCCTTGATATAGGAAATCTCCTGTCTCCAGGGGGCTCCTTAGGGGGAAAAGCACTGTTACTTGACTGAAAACTGCAGATATATTTTTAAATAGATTAATCTGATTAATATATCTCCAGTCAGGCTCCTTATCTAAATTTTCACAAAATAAATGCTTCCACCAAACCTGAGGAGAAGGAAGTTAAAATAGTGTCAAGTGAATGAAAATCCAACTCTGAGCACCCTGTAGCTGAGGACCAAGGCAATTTCTCAGAATAGAGGGAAAGGCCAGAGCCCTCTTGGCTGCCCCCACCAATTCCCCATCATTTGTCAGCCTGAGACCCTGTGTTCAACCGAGCTTGTTTCTCCTTCTCAGCTCACATCTGAACACTCACGTTTCATTTAAAAACCAACCTACCCTATTCTCAGTTATGTTTGAGTAGAGGAAAAAAGTAAATTGGGAGAGTTTTAGATAAGTCCTTGCTTCATTTCATTTGTAAACACATAATAATCCTACCTGATTTTATAATTTTGGTCATAAAGTGCTAAGCCCCCTCCATTGTTTTTCTTTTAATAAAGGAGGCTGCAGTTCAGGGATTTTGCTATAACCTTACAACTCAGTCTACAAAATCTTATAAACAGCTCTGGGATCCAAAGCTGGGATACATCTCATATGACAGCATTGTTATCCATGGACATAGCAAGGTACAAACTGGATGTAGTTCCTAAACCAGTATGCTTTTGGTAAATGCCCAATTCTTTTTACAATTGCCTCTATTGTTATCTGCACTCTAATTTCTCTATTGTCCAGGGAAATGTATTTATGGGGACAGATTGATGCAGCAGATAAGCAGATACATGGACTAGATGCAAAAGTGCCTTGCAAGGAAGGAAGATGAGTCAAACACAACTCAGGTTGGAGGGAAATGGATTTTTTAAATAAATGAAATTTCAGGATGTTAATGTGACTTATTTCACTTAATGGAGCTGGTGAAGGATGGCTCAGAGGTAACAAATCCCTTGCCTGCTCAGGCTGAGCAGGGTATCATGTTTCCCAAAAGTTTGCCTCCCTCACCTTAAAAAGGATCCTGACGTTGCATGAAAAAAAATCACTGATTATTCTCCAAAGATAGGTCTATCCTTTTCTGATTTTTTTTTCTTTCCAGCTAAAAGGTCTGGGGGAGGTGTGATCGGCAGCTTTTGGGAACATTTGACGTCTATCATCTTACCAAATGGGCCTTTAAATGAACCTGTCATTTTGTCCTTGAACAATTAGTGCTTTATGGCCTGCACACTTGCAAATTACAACCACACTTTTGTGTGGGTTTTCAAAAGGGAGCCCCATTTCCCACAGTACAGAAGGGGTTTCTATGTTGTATGACTTGGAAATTCTGTCTCAACAGCTCTGATAGCTCCACCTGCCCTCAGTCTGAAATGACAGCTTCACTAGAAGAAATAAATGATTCAGTCCAAGGTATTGAGGAACTTGAGAGCATCAGAGAAGCTTATTCTTTGGATGCTTACAAATGGGTCATTGCATATTTTGGTCCAGGAAGAGAGAAAATTGGCATCAGCTTGTCCCTTGAAAGCTACCAGAAATGAAGGGACGCCATCTCGGAAATAATAACGTCAGTGGGGGAAGAGAATTTGCTTTGTCAAAATTGGATTCACATGTCCCTTTTGGGAGCATACTCATTTCATTAAATTGGAAATGCCAAATCTGGGGAAATTGAGGCATCAGCATAAAAAAAATCACTAGGAATAGGGAGATCGGGTAAAAATTAACCAGTTAAGCAGCCTCCTTCCTCTTTTTGCCTGCTTCATGCTTTTCCTGCCTGGAAGCCAGCCAGTTGTCCTGTGCCTCCCACACTTGCCAGTACATTAGAGTCGATTATTTGTCCCTTTTTGTCAGCATTGAAATGAGGAGTCAGGCCCTGCCAAGGTAGCTCCACTGAGTGGGGCAATGATTTATAGATTAATTATTTTAAGGAACAAGGCAGCACAGTGTGATGCAGTAGAAAGAGTGCCATGCTAGGTGAGGACCTGCATTTTAGCTCTGGCTCTGATCCTTAATAGCTGGTTGACTTTGGGCAAATCACTTAACCTACCTGGGCCTTGGTCTCCTTATCTGTAAATTGAAAGTAACAATTGACAGCTGTGGTGATCAAATAAAATCCTGGCTATGAAACCATTTTGTTCACTCTGAGGCACTAAACATATGTAAATGATTGTTATTGTTATTAGACTTCTGGGGCATGCCATGGTAACACCACCTGGCCAATAAGGGGCCTCATTTTTCAGTCACAGGACCTCAGGGAGTAGCCTAGAAGTGATATAGAGAAGAGGGCCTTGAATTTGTTGCCCTTATAGTCCAGTCCGCAAATCTGCTCAACTCTGCCACAGGATCGGAAATGGGTCACATTATAATTAGTACTAACTAAACACTTTACTTCTTAACACTAATGAGCTCCCAAATGTTTTATGACAATTAGCTTCTCAGCACTAAGAACAATTTGGGATATGGGGTGTAAATTACAGTTTATAGTTTCTCTCCATTATCTGTGCATATGGAGGACAGAAAACAGGATGGGTTGTTCTAGAAAATGGAAACTTCCAAGGTCACATAATATAGGATGAGTTATCCTAAAGAATGAAAAATCCCAAAGTCACATAGTATATGATTTGGTTCAGAAAGTTTTTTTGAGGCTATATGCTGGGAGAGGTACTAAGAAATCATGTCTTCAATACAATTTTTCTGTGATGAGTCCATGAGGTCGATAAGCCATATGTAGATAATTCTTACTTTCTCTAGTAGTACACTTTTATTTTACAGGTGAAAAAAAAAAATCAAGGCATTTCTTAAAGCGTTTGTAAAATAGGGTATCAAGGCCAGGTTCTCTAACTTCCCCATCCAGGGTTCTACCCAGGAGGTCCTATTTCTCAAAGAATTCCGATAGAAATCTTTACTGCTACCCACACATTGGTTTGATATTTGGATTGGTTTCACTTCTCCATTCAGTGGCATATCTGGTAAATATTCTGTCAGAAACTTGTCAATAGAATCGAAACATAAAAATTGACTTGTGCACATACAAATTTCAGTAGCTTTATAAAAAAAAAACCCAAACAAAACCAAACAACAACAAAAAAACCACCCACTAAAGTCTGTGGCTGTGTGTCACCAAGAGAACTGATTGAAAAGTGAGCACTGGCCGGGCACGGTGGCTCATGCCTGTAATCCCAGCACTTTGGGAGGCCGAGGCAGGTGGATCACGAGGTCAGGAGATCAAGACCATCCTGGCGAACACGGTGAAATCCCGTCTCTACTAAAAATACAAAAAAGTAGCCGGGTGTGGTGGCGGGCACCTGTAGTCCCAGCTACTTGGGAGGCTGAGGCAGGAGAATGGCGTGAACCCGGGAGGCAGAGCTTGCAGTGAGCCGAGATCGCACCACTGCACTCCAGCCTGGGCGACAGAGCAAGACTCTTGTCTCAAAAAAAAAAAAAGAAAAAAAAAAGAAAAGTGAGCACTGCTGTAGATTATTTTGTTCATATCAAGCCATATGACCGGTTTGACTGCCTCTCTCTGGAATTGGGTGGTTGTTTGGGGGTTGCACTTCCACAACCTTAAGGTTACCAAATTTTTGATATGAGTTCTACATTTCTTTTCAAATAATTAATATGTCAGTATGTTCAATTCTTTGCCTTCTACTTTTAAACTTAACTTCCTCGTAAAGCAACCTTTTTCAATTACCTACTCCACCCTGACTCATTCCGATTACCTGCTCCACCCTAAATCATTCGGATCACCTGCTCTACCCTAACTCATTCAGATTACCTGCTACCTGCTCTGCCCTGACTCCCGCCAAAACACTCACCCCGTCATTCTCTTTAAATTAGCCAATCGGAATTAGTTTAGTCTGTGCGGTCTAACCCTAGCCAATAGGGGAACGACACAGCAACACGTGCGTCAGGGATAAGAGCCCCTTCCCCTCCCTTGTCCAAGTGTGCACTCACCATTGCTCCATCTGTAAGGGCGCACCCTTCTATAGAAGTAACTTGCCTTACTGATAATTAAAAAGAAAATTTTATATTCGAGTGCTATTCCTTTTGCGGCACCGAAACTTTATATATAACAGAAACCTTCCCGGTATATCAGGCGTGACACAGGTGCTCAAAGCAGATCTGGCCTCAATAGTGAGTGATTATTTCCCGCAGGCTGGCAGTTGCTCTAGGGCTGATATTGAATGTTACTACATGTAGAAAGCTGGCCACATCATCCTAACACTGGTTAACGTTCAAGAGGAGGCAGGTAGACAGAGTGCTATGGCGATTGTAGGCTTTGTGTGCTGCAGAAAAGCTGACCGAGGTCTCCTGGTTAACTCTGGTGAACTGTGCTTGGTAAGGACTTTAAAACTCCCTAATCTATAACTTCCTCCAGGCAGCTCTGAGTACCTCAGCCCAATCTCAGTACCAGTCCTTTATCCCTCTGGCCCTGGATATGTATTCATGGCAATGCTATAATTCACTGATTTTTCCTCTTGTCTTTGCCCAAATGTTGCCTTTTGTCTCACATCCTTTTGTGTGTACCTGCGAGGTCTTTCCAAAGAGCTACCTGGAAAGCAGGGACCTCGGTCAACTCAGTGAACCTGATAGACATCTCCAGGGCATGCTGGGAGGGGTGCTGGAGGGCCTCCTTTGACTAAACACATTTCTCCAGCCAGACTTTCTTGGTGAAATTGCTACTATTAGAGCACTTTAGCTGGCTAATGACAAAGAAAGCTCCTATTAGAATGCTCATTTAAGGATACTGAACCATTATCGGCCATTAGCATCCTCTTTTGAATTAGTATATCATATAAGCCAGTCAGTCACTTAGAAAAGCTTTGGAGAAATGGGACTTCAGTTTAGGGAGGCTCTGCAGTTAAACAAACAAACAAACAAACAAACAAACAAACAAAACACCTATAAAAGTTCTATATCTTGTGTAAAGTCAAGCCTTACCCTCAGCCTCCTTTCAAAAGCCGAAACATTGCCTTTGTTTTGCTCCTTCCTCTGCCGCCACTCGATGAGGTTTGCATTGTGCTCTCCGGGCAATGAGATGTTGCATTTGCCCAGGGTAGGGTTGACTGCCCCTGCCAGGATGTGGGGCTCTGAGCTGAGGCCGATCTCCATCCCGCTGGCAAAAGTGACACGCAGGGAACCATCTGGATTCACCCGATAGGTACTTTGAGTATTTTCTGTAGACAGAAGAGCAAAGGAGGAAGAGGGGGAAGGAAGGGAAGAGCAGGAAGCAGAAAAGAGACAGGTTTAGTTTTAGGAGGCACGTTTGGGGGATAAGCAGGTGGGGTGCTGTGGTCCTATCTGCCTTCTGGGCTAGACTACCGCTCTGACAGGCAAACGTGTTCCCTATCCATTTGGGTCTTGTTATTTTCACAGCTGGAGTATCTGTTTCTTGGATAAAAGACTCTTGTCTAACACTGCAGGCTGTTTTTGTTTTTTTCTTTTTTCATTTTTAAAGAATTCCCTCCCTCACTGACTTGTTGGATCAGCCTCCTCAGTTTGATATGCTGGGAGCTAGAATGAGAAGAGTGTGAAGTTCAACGTAGCACCTTACCACCTGGGCCCACCATCACAGTTGCCGTACTCCACAAAATACCACTAACAAAAGTTAGTGTACTCTTAGAGTGTCTGGTGTCACCACCTAACAACAGAATGAGGTCTTAATGACAGGGCAGAGAGAAAGCAATTTCTCTTTGTGCACTTGTCCTCTAGCTTCTAAGACATTCCAAATCCTATCTCCCTTCCTTCCTTTCTTCTTCTGTTCTTCCTTACTTTTCTGTCTTCAAATATAATGAGTTTTTAATTCTCTCATTTCACTTATATTCTTGCTTGGTCTGTATCCTAAGATTTTCCTTTTTCTTCACCCATGTTGGCATTGATCTAGAATGCCAAGCTCAGCTGGAGC
Organism: Homo sapiens; assembly: GCF_000001405.40. Lineage (NCBI taxonomy): Eukaryota > Metazoa > Chordata > Mammalia > Primates > Hominidae > Homo > Homo sapiens. The sequence goes on from NC_000023.11 coordinate 124,405,995, forward strand.
CCAGGCTCCATTTATTTAATATAACCTAGCCAGACCCTGAAAGACCTTTGCAAACAGCTGGGTATTGGGAAATAAGTTGATAGCAGAGCAGACTTGGCAGGGATTGAACCTCATGACTCCCACAGAGATGGGCCCAAAGTTGATGTGAGAACTTGTAAAAGGTGTGAATTTTGTCTGTGTTTCAACTTCCATAGCTGGAAAACAGGAAGAGTACATCTTCTCAGCTAGAGGTGAATTCTGTTTATGAATGGTGTACGCAGGTTTCAAGGTGGATGTTGACATAGGGGCTGTTACAGTCAGATATCGTTGGAAACAATCTTACCTTGTTTTAAAATATATATGGTACTAGTTGCCGTCAAGTTGGTTGACATGAGGACATTTTCACGGTTGGAAGTATCTAGCTCCACTTTTGTCAGCTTCTCCAGGTCACTGTGGAAGCTGCTGACCTCTCCAGTGGGAAACGTTGCATTGGTCAGGTGTCCCTCGGGGTCATACCTGAGGAATGTAACCAATCCCAGCTTTGAAGCGTCTCGGCAGTGATAACAGGACTTTGCAAAATAAAAATCACTTGGCAGCTAATACAGTTTAACTTTGAGTGATAACAAGTATTATTAACCTTGTTCAAGAAGAAGAAAAAGGTCAGAGAGATGATTAATCAAACGAAGGTATTTTTTGCAGCTTCTGAATTCTTGATAACTTCCTTGAGCTGTGCTGTTTTACAGAAAAAATATATCTGGTAATGAATCACCAGGGTGGAACACTGATTTATGAATCATGTCCTGCTGTGTGCAACGTTGCAGGGAGGCCTCCGTTTGCGATTTGGGTCGATCCCATTAGAGGTGATGGATTACAAAACCCAGCAGAGGGTGCTGTTGTCAAAGCAAAAGAAGGTACAAAAGGGCCCTCAAAGGCTGAGAAGCCAATATACTGACTTTGGGTTATGATGGGAAAATTATAATTTGCTGCTGTTTAAGTTGCCAAATTTGAAATGAATGAATCATTCTTCCAACAAAATGAACAGGCACAGAGGATAATGGAAACATGTTCATTAAAACATTCTGGAGCCCTCTGATCTTGATGTCACTTAAATTTTAAAAATCTTTTTAGGGTATAGTACATAAGGTTTTGTAATTTGTCTATATGAGTAAGAGACAAAAAATAATTACCTGGGATAATAGGCTATAAGCTATATCTAGAAATATAGTCTAGGGAGTTTACTTTTTCCAAAAAAAAAAAAAAAAAAATCAGAATTATTGGCAATCTCACTGTCCTCCAAATGAAAACTGCTTCCCTGAAGGCTTTTGATGTGGAGCTGTTCTTTTATTGCCAATAGAACCATGAAAAATAAACACTTCATTAAAAGTAAACACATGTACTTGGAAACCCATTACTGTTTTCTTTTCAAGTTGCAAATTACAAAATATTTAAGCACTTTTATTTGCCTTTTAAAATGTTAAACAATTATATTCTTTTTACCCAAAATGAGCAGGATTCAGCCTGGACACAATGGTAGAGACTGGCTGTACTACTCCCTCCCCCAACGATTACACAAAGTGGCATAGTAATTCAGTATCAATCCATTATATTCTAAAAAACTCAGCCTGGGTAGTTGCTCAAATTTTAATAACTATACCAGCCTTTGGAAGGCTTGGGAAAAGCAGTTGGACTGTACTTTATAGGACAGACTTGAACTTGAGCCTATACATAATGCCACCTAAAGTTCAGTTCTGCATATACACGTGCGTGTGTGCACACACACATATATATTATCAGTTAAAACAGTCACATATGTGAATAGAATGAATCAAATAGGTTATTGACATCACAGATATGCCTAGCCTTAGATGTTAAATTGGGTGTCTCCTTTGTTTAAATGGATTTCAGTCGAAATGGTTGGCACAGTGCTATTATGCAGCTAAGGACGCGTTATCAAAGAAAGACTGAAGAGTGCTGTTTCTTCCTGGGGTTAATGGCAAAATCCTTCCCTCTGCAAAGACTGCCCACGTTCTGCCTGCTGTGGGGCTCTATAGCTACAAGAAGCAGAAGAACGGAGCATAGGAAGGCTCGAATACCCACTTTAGCCCCAACCTTGTCTGTTTGGTCTTCCATCCAGGGGAGAAAAACAATAATATCCAGCCTTTTTTAAAAAAAATTAATTAATTTTTTTGAGACAGTCTTGCTCTGTCACCCAGGCTGGAGTGCAGTGGTGTGATCTCGGCTCACTGCAACCTCCACCTCCCGGGTTCAAGCAATTCTCGTGTCCTAGCCTCCCTGAGTAGCTGGGATTACAAACGAGTACCACTACATCTGGCTAATTTTTGTATTTTTAGTAGAGATGTGTTTTCGCCATGTTGGCCAGACTGGTATCCAACTCCTGGCCTCATGTGATTCCCCCTGCCTCAGCCTCCCAAAGTGCTGGTATTACAGGCGTGAGCCACCACGCCCGGCCCACTGTCCAGCCATTATTCTCCCAAGGTAGAGGAGGCAGGAGTTTGCAGGCAGTAGACCGAAGGAAGCTGCTGCATGCCTTTCTTATCAGGGGAACTGTGGCCCCAACAACCTGGATTATGCAGGCACTTCCTCTCTGTTCCACATGAGGCACCAGCAACTTTGCCTCATTGGTTTCCCTTTCCTGATTTCTTTCTTTCTTTCTTTCTTTTTTACAATAGTAAAACTTTTTTTTTATTATTATACTTTAAATTTTAGGGTACATGTGCACAATGTGCAGGTTAGTTACATATGTATACATGTGCCATGTTGGTGTGCTGCACCCGTTAACTCGTCATTTAACATTAGGTGTATCTCCTAATGCTATCCCTCCCCCCTCCCCCCACCCCACAACAGGCCCCAGAGTGTGATGTTCCCCTTCCTGTGTCCATGTGTTCTCATTGTTCAATTCCCACCTATGAGTGAGAACATGCAGTGTTTGGTTTTTTGTCCTTGTGATAGTTTGCTGAGAATGGTGGTTTACAGCTTCATCCATGTCCCTACAAAGGACATGAACTCATCGTTTTTTATGGCTGCATAGTATTCCATGGTGTATATGTGCCATATTTTCTTAATCCAGTCTATCATTATTGGACATTTGGGTTGGTTCCAAGTCTTTGCTATTGTGAATAGTGCCGCAATAAACATACGTGTGCATGTGTCTTTATAGCAGCATGATTTATATTCCTTCGGGTATATACCCAGTAATGGGATGGCTGGGTCAAATGGTATTTCTAGTTCTAGATCCCTGAGGAATTGCCACACTGACTTCCACAATGGTTGAACTAGTTTACAGTCCCACCACCAGTGTAAAAGTGTTCCTATTTCTCCAAATTCAACAACCCTTCATGCTAAAAACTCTCAATAAATTAGGTATTGATGGGACGTATCTCAAAATAATAAGAGCTATCTATGACAAACCCACAGCCAATATCATACTGAATGGGCAAAAACTGGAAGCATTCCCTTTGAAAACTGGCACAAGACAGGGATGCCCTCTCTCACCACTCCTATTCAACATAGTGTTGGAAGTTCTGGCCAGGGCAATCAGGCAGGAGAAGGAAATAAAGGGTATTCAATTAGAAAAAGAGGAAGTCAAATTGTCCCTGTTTGCAGATGATTGTATATCTAGAAAACCCCATTGTCTCAGCCCAAAATCTCCTTAAGCTGATAAGCAACTTCAGCAAAGTCTCAGGATACAAAATCAATGTGCAAAAATCACAAGCATTCTTATACACCAATAACAGACAAACAGAGAGCCAAATCATGAGTGAACTCCCATTCACAATTGCTTCAAAGAGAATAAAATACCTAGGAATCCAACTTACAAGGGACGTGAAGGAACTCTTCAAGGAGAACTACAAACCACTGCTCAATGAAATAAAAGAGGATACAAACAAATGGAAGAACATTCCACGCTCATGGGTAGGAAGAATCAATATCGTGAAAATGGCCATACTGCCCAAGGTAATTTATAGATTCAATGCCATCCCCATCAAGCTACCAATGACTTTCTTCACAGAATTGGAAAAAACTACTTTAAAGTTCATGTGGAACCAAAAAAGAGCCCACATCGCCAAGTCAATCCTAAGCCAAAAGAACAAAGCTGGAGGCATCATGCTACCTGACTTCAAACTATACTACAAGGCTACAGTAACCAAAACAGCATGGTACTGGTACCAAAACAGAGATATTGACCAATGGAACAGAACAGAGCCCTCAGAAATAATGCTGCATATCTACAACTATCTGATCTTTGACAAACCTGACAAAAACAAGAAATGGGGAAAGGATTCCCTATTTAATAAATGGTGATGGGAAAACTGGCCAGCCATATGTAGAAAGCTGAAACTGGATCCCTTCCTTACATCTTACACAAAAACTAATTCAAGATGGATTAAAGACTTAAATGTTAGACCTAAAACCATAAAAAACCCTAGAAGAAAACCTAGGCATTACCATTCAGGACATAGGCATGAGCAAGGACTTCATGTCTAAAACACCAAAAGCAATGGCAACGAAAGCCAAAATTGAGAAATGGAATCTAATTAAACTCAAGAGCTTCTGCACAGCAAAAGAAACTACCATCAGAGTGAACAGGCAACCTACAGAACGGGAGAAAATTTTTGCAATCTACTCATCTGACAAAGGGCTAATATCCAGAATCTACAACGAACCCCAACAAATTTACAAGAAAAAAACAACCCTATCAACAAGTGGGCAAAGGATATGAACAGACACTTCTCAAAAGAAGACATTTATGCAGCCAAAAGACACATGAAAAAATGTTCATCATCACTGGCCTTTCCTGATTTCTAAAGGGATTCCTCAACCCTTGACAAGCTCACTCTATCATTCCTCCAGGAAAGCTGAACTTAGATGCTGTGGATGCAGGTTCCACATGGACTTTCCAGCTTGGGGGCAGTTTCCTTCAGTCACACAGCCCCTTGTTTTAAGGGAAGATCTCATGTAAAGATATGAGCAGTGGTTATATCCACTCATCAGAGCAAGATGACAAGATCAGATACCAACTGGGCCATCCATGCATAGGGGTACAAGGGTCAAAATTCCCAATGAACCTTTGCAGTGACCTGTGGCTAAATCTGGTTTCCTAGTCCACCCACCCAAACACCTTTTCAGCTAAGTTATTGGTGGTCTTTGTCTGATAAACATTTCAAAGCTTATTTCCAAGAGCACAGGCATATTCCTACATATTTTGTACCCATCCCTCCTCCCCATATTGACGGTGGTATATTCAGAGAGGCAAGCTAAAGATTCCTAGATAAGACTGTAATTACCCAGATAGATTTAGCTGGGAGACTGCTTGGTGTATATGTGTGTGTTTGTGTGTGTGTATGTGTGTGTGTGTGTGTGCACGCACGTGTGTGTGTGTTTTCTGGTGAAGGAGGCAATGGTGTTGGGAATAAGATATTTCCCATGGGTCTGTCCAGTTGTTGGGTAGCTGGAAAGTTATATTGCCTCATTTCCTTTCTGTGGCCAGAGAGGCCAATGAAAGTGTACATTTGACTGTAACTCCATGATAAACAAAGCACCCCAACTCCAACACACTCACATACCCCAATTCTGCTAGTTCACAGTTAAAGCAATCACATTTAATGGTATCTGCAGGGTGGTGTCTCTGATGCTCAATATGGCCCTGGATCAAAACATACAGATCCCACCTCTCTTCTGTTGGGTCATTTCCAAAGGAAGAACAACAGGCAGATGTACACATCAGCGGGTAATTCCTACAACTTTGGAAAGATTGCTCAAAGTGGATAAGAAATAGAGCGAGATTTTGATTTCTTATAGCTTACTTGAGTTTTTTCTGTCATCACAGGGGAATGCATCTTTCCAGACTGAGTGTCGAAGAAACAAGTTTAATCAAAATCTCTTCTGCTGTGTGTTTCCCTTCGGTGCCTCCATCCTTTGGTGCAGAGATACAAGCCGATATGCTCCAACGAATCCCTTCAGGCCACAGCATGGGAGCAAACCCACCCTCTTTGCATGCAGGGCACAGCACTCACCTAACCAGGCTGCAAATTATAGCTGCTGAATTGTGCCATCAGGAAATGACAGTTGCCTTCATAGCCATCAGAAGTGGATTTGGTAAGAGGAGATTTGTTATCAAATTGTCCCTTGCTGTCCTGATTTTACAGAGTTCCACTGTGATGGTCTCAGAGGGTACCAGACAGTTAAGTAATGAGTACACTCACCCTTTTCCTCAGCACTGTCATAGGCTGTGTGCATGTGCACTTGAGTGAGTGTGTGTGTGCATGTGCACACATGTGCACCCCAGTAGAGCAAAGGAAACATTTGTAAAGAAAATTCAGAATCCATTCTTGTCCTTGAGAAGCATATAGTTTAGTTGGAGAGATGATATTTACACATGATTAAAAATATATTTGGCCTGGTATTTTCTCATAAGGGATAGCTTGCCCTTTCCTCTGAGGACAATTTAAGCCAGAGTTAAACTGTTCAAGATAAAACTAGAGGCTCCCACACCTTTGCTTTAAAAAAAAATTGCAGATAATAGAAGAGAAATTCATTACTTACTCTTTTAAAGGAAATATGAAAGAGTCAGACCCTCTTTACACTTTCATGTCAGAAAGCTGACCAACCTAATAAGAATTCTTTAGGAAATATGGGATTCCCCTTTCCTCACTAATAAATTCCTTTGGCTTCCTATGATTCAGTTCCAAGTCCATAATGTCCTTCTATCTTCATTTGTCCTTCATTCAATAAATATCAGAGTCTTGTGCTAGGGACCAGGGATACAGTGCTGAATGAAATTCACAGTCTAGTGGGGCAGATAAGATATGCACACAAATAACTCTAATGCCAGAATATTGCCATGAATTTCTGTAAAGAAGAAACTAGAATCTCAGAAGAGGCAAAGGTCATTTCCAGCTGGGCTGAGCAGAATAGGAGGAGGAAGAGCAGAAGCAGGTGGTGTTTGAATCCTAGAAGGTAGGTAGAGATTGGGAAGGGGAGGAAGGCATTCCAAATGGAGGTATGAAGAAAGGCACGCTGACTGATGGGATGTCTACTGGGGGACCAGCATTGCTGGAGCACAGGGTTCCTCTAGGAGGGTAGTGAGAGATAAGGCTTATACAATAAAGAAGCATAGACAGTTTTTCAAGGGGATAAAAGGATGATCCAAACAGTGTTTTGGTGGCAATGAGTCTTGGAAGGGGAGGCAAGGAGCAGGGAGAACTGTTAGGAGGCTGCAGACCCAGTTCATATATGAGAAGATGGTGGTCTGTTGCCTTCGTTAAATATATTGTGATTGCCTATCATTCAGATTTGTCTTCCCCACTAGACTGTACAACTCTCACATCTTTAGAGGGAGGACACAGTGTCTCATTCATTTTTATATTCTCCGTGTCTGGAACAGAGTAGATCTCACTCCATGTACTTGTTGAATGAGTATAAATAGGATGCTGCCAGTGAAAAAAAGGATGGGGGTGGATATGAGAGCCAATGTGGTTACAGAACAGACAGAACCATCGATAGTGCTTCTGGGAGGGCACACTCAGGTTACATAGATGTGCTATGGAGTTCAGCGGAACTTCCCTACCAGCTTCTGTTACTTCTGTTCACTCTGTCTTTATTTCAGTTCTTCCCAGAAATACCGACGATAATTCTGTTTTACTCACTCTTGATCCTTATCAAGGGCATAAAGCACAAGGAGAGGTGACTGAGCAAGGGTGTCAACTCTCTATTTCTAAAGATCTGAAGGAACAGCCAACATTTCTATGTTCTTGTTTAATTGAAATCATTCACCTGCCTGGAGGCATGTGCCTGAACCATACAATGCCTTAGTTCCTTTTCTACTCTGGGATTCTAGAAGGCATTGGAAACGTCACATGTGTTTAGAATGACTGATTATTACATAAGCATTTCTGCATGGGAATCGCATCCTATCCCCAGGCAAATATCTCACCCAGAGACATGGCTTGTTTATCTTGCCCCCTACCCCTTCTGATCTTATAAGGGAGAAGGGGGAATCTGTCATTAGCCATCCATGATAAAACTGGGCATTTGTAAAACAGTCTAGAAGATACCCAGAGATATTATGAAGGCTTCTCCAACCTGTCAGTGGGTGGTGTTTTTGTTTGTTTGTTTGTTTGTTTTTTGTTTTCTTGATGGGAGGAGAGGATGTGTTAATAAAGTCTGAAAACAGAGAATGCAGAAGACGAAGGATCAAGAGATCATGTAAACGGAGAGTCTCCTTCAAGTGGGAGGGCTTCCCACAAAGGGCAAGGGGCCTGACGAACCGTCAACTCAGAATGGACCAGCAGCAGTGACACGACTGATGCTTTGGCCTTAGTCTGGGACCTTTTCAGTTTAGTAGAGCAGAAGCCTTTGCCAGGGAAACAAGCAAGGGCATCCTGGCTACTTTTGCAGCCTTGTGGAGAAAGGCTTGTCTGCTGTGCGAGTTGCTAGGCCCCTCCCTCAGATCTCAGCTGCTGCGGGGTTATTACAATTAGGAGCCCACCTGTGCCGCCTCAGGCCAGTATTCGTGCCTTGACAATCACTTCCTTGTTAGCTGTTTCTCTGTGGTCAGCTTTTCCCCCTGACACTTGGGACACTCATGGGCAATGGTGCATCAAATACTAACACTTGGGGTGTGCAATTTTGATCCTGGTCCAAGTCAAATGGAATTATGAAAATTAGTGAACTATGTAAACAACATCACACTACCTAATAAAAGCCCAGGCACTACCACTACACAAGATGCATTTTAAAATCCCATTTGGATTATCCACTGTTCAGGGTCATCTATGTCATTTTTCCTCCTGATAGCTGCAGATAATAGAAAGTTGAATGGATTAGTGACTGGCCTACCTTTACACTGCAGTCTTCCATCCTGCCAAATTTCACTTCTGTTTCTGTTTCTCTCATGCTCCTCTCAGAGCAGAACTTATACTTCCACCTGTGCAAACAATTTGTCCCCTTGTCCACATAAAGAAGCCTCCCTTTTACCTCGGGGAATTACTCGAGTTCTTTTAGGAGGGCCTGGTATCAGTGGTATAGCAGCCTTCTACCGACCTTAGCACTGCTCTGACCCTGACTAGAAGAGTAGGTCAAATGCTGTGTTCTCCAACTTCAGAAGGACAAGAGAAAACTTGAAGGAGTGCTCAGAACTAGCCAAAGGACTAGAGGACAAAAGTGAAAAAAGTCAGATATTGTATAAAGACTGTAGGAGGAATTAGTCACATTATGAAGGTTGGAAAGTTGCTCATTTCTGTTTACAGGCAAGAAGGGACAGGAGCTGTGTTTTGTTAAAGACTGCTGTTCAGCACCAGAATAGACTGCTTCAGGAGAAGAGGTACCTTCTCCTTTCAACAGATGCTATTTGACCAAGAGGGTTTCAGTATAATTCTGGCTGGAGTTAAGAAGGTGGGAGAAAGAACAAATGGTTATTCAGCCTCCCTTTTCATCTCCTGGTGCTACCTATTCCTCTTTTACTGCTACTTGAGGGGAAACTTTCTAGCTCTCTAGATTTTGTATGGTCACTCTCGTAAGCCCACATGATCCTCTGTTTTCTGTTATCCTGACTCTGGATAAGCCAACTAGCATGTGAATGGGCACGTTACTTCCCTATTCTGGGTTTCGGTTTCTTCATTTGTAAAATGACATCTAATGTCTCTTTGTGGCCATAAAATTTCATGACTACCCCCATGTGGATGTCTGTGTTTCTCATAGCTTAGTGGCTCGAGATTGGTTACTCACCAATGATGTTAGTTGATACCTTTTCACTCACTGTTGGCCAAATTCTGGTAACAGGCCTGGACCCCATTCACCGTGAGAATCTTGCCTACCACACAGTGCCTGCATCAATGTGATGCCAGTGGAAAACAGGCACACAAATTGATATGACAACAAAATTATCTTCTCTCTTCAGCATCATCAATTTTCCCCTCTATATTAGATCATTTTTATCAGTATACAAATATGCTGTTATTTCTCTCACTTAAAAAACTCTTCTGTTTACTCTGTTTCTCCTCCAGCTCTAATTTCTCTGCTCTTTACAGCAAAACTCCTCAAAAGAGTTCTTTACTCACTGTCTCAGTCTCTCTCCTCCTAGTCATTCTATATTATTATTATTGAGATATAATTCTCACACCATAAAAATCACCATTCTAAATTGTACAATCCAGTGACTTACAGTACATTTGCAATGTTGTGCAACCATCACCACCACTTCTAGAACATTTCTATCACCCCCAAGATAAACCCCATATGAATTAACCGTCACTCCCCATTCATTCTTCTCCCCAGCTCTTGGCAACTACAAATCTATTTTCTGTCTTTATGGATTTGCCTCTTCTAGACATCTCATATAAATGGAATCAGAAGGGTCCTTTGTTTCTAGATTCTTTCACTGAGCATAATGTTTTTGAGGTTCATCCACATTGTAGTATGTATCAGAACTTCATTTCTTTTTATGGCTGAACACTATTTCATGACATGGATATATCACATTTTGTTTGTCTTCTCACCACTTGATAGGCATTTGAGTTGTTTATATTTCTCAGCTATTATAAATAATGTTGCTATGAAAATTTGTGTATCCATTCTCTCTTAAGAGAATATTCTACTCAGGCTTTGGTCCCTCATGTGTCACAGCGCCTGCTCTTCACAGTGCTAAATCAAGTGGTCAATTCTAAGTCCTCATCTTACTTATCAGGAGTATTTGGCACAGTGGCTCACTCTTTCCTCCTGGAATCACCTGTTTTATTTGGTGCTATGGTCTGAATTTGTCCCCCTAAATTCAAATATTGAGACTGAACTGCCGATGTGATAGTACTAACAGGTGAGGCCTTTAGGAGGTGATTAGGTCATGTTGTCTCTGCCTTCATGAATGCAATTAGCAATCTTACAAAAGAGCTGGAGAGAGCCAGCTAGGTCCCTTTTCACTGTCCCCCTTCTGTCATATAAGGACTCAGCAGGCAGTGCCATTTTGGAAGCAGAGAGTAGCCCTCACCAGACACTGACTCTGCTGGCATCTTGACCTTGAACTTCCCAACCTCCAGAACTGTGAAAAATAAATTTGTTCTTGATTAATTACCCAGTAAAAGGTATTTTGTTATAGCAGCACAAACAGATTAACACAGTTGGCTTCCAGGACATTCCACTCTCCTAGTTTTCTTTCCACTTCACTGGCCTTTCCTTCTCAGTGTCTTTTGCTGGTTCCTCTTCATACCCTCAACTCTTTTCTTCTCTTTCTTTTTTTTTGAAACAGAGTTTCGCTCTTGTTGCCCAGGCTGGAGTGCAGTGGCGCCATCTCAGCTCACTGCAACCTCCACCTCCCGGGTTCAAGTGATTCTCCTGCCTCAGGCCTCCCAAGTAGCTCGGATTACAGGTACCCGCCACCACACCCAGCTAATTGTTTGTATTTTTAGTAGAGACGGGGTTTCATCATGTTGGCCAGGTTAGTCTTGAACTCCTGACCTCAGGTGATCCACCCGCCTTGGCCTCCCAAAGTGCAGGGATTACTGGTGTGAGCCACTGTGCCTGGCCCATATCTTCAATTTTAAACATGGAGTGCTTCATGGTCAGTCTTCAGATCTCTTTTCTTCATTGTCTACACTCACTTTCATGGAGAGATCTCATCCCATCTCATGGTTTTAAATACAATCTAAACACCAGTACATCTCAAATTTCACTCTCCACCCTCTCCCCTCAATTCTAGACTCATATATCCAATTGTCTACCTGATATTTTCACTTAGATGCCTAACTAAATTGATCATATCCAAAACTGAATTCCCAATCTCCCACCTCACAACCTTCCAGTATAATATGTTCCTTGTATAGTCTTCCCCTCTTGGTAAATGAAAACCAGTTGCTCAGGCCAAAACCTTTGAAGGTATCTCTGACCCCTCTTTCTCCCACACTCAATACTCAATCTCTCTATAAGTCCTGATAGCTCTACTGTCAAAATGTATTCAGAATTTTAGCACCTCTTACTGGCCCAACTCCCTGGTCCAAGTCATCATCTTTTGCCTGCATTATTGCAATAGTTCCTCCTGCTTCCCAGTTAGGTTCCCCTGTTTCCACTACACAGTCCATTTGTAATACAGTGTGATTTTTTAAAAAATGAAAGTTGGCTTATATCACTTCTTTACTCAAAACTCTCCAGTGGCTCCACTTCTTAGAGTAAAATTCAAAGTCTTTACAGTGGCCTACAAGGCCCTACATGAAGTAGTTCTGGTTACTTAATTGATTTCATGTCCTCATTAACCTTACTCATTCCACTTCCATCACAATGGCTGCCTTACTCTTCCTTGAATGTGTCAGGCTTACTCCTGCTGCAGGGCATTTATACTTGCTCTTCCCTTTGCCTGGAATACCCCTCATACCACCCCCCACCCCCCAGATATTCATATGGCTTACTCTTACCTCCTACAGATCTTTATGCAAAAGTCACCTTCTTTCTTGGTGAGGCCTTTCCTGTCCACCCAATCTGAAATAAAAACCTCTTCTGCTCCACCCACTTGATCTCCCTTACTTTACTAGATTTTTCTCCATAGAACTTATCACCATTTGAAATTGTATACATCTTCCTCATCTTCCTCCAGTACAATATAAGTTCCATAAAAGTAGGGATTTTTATCTGTTTTATTCATAGCTATATCCCCAGCGCCTAGAACATTGTATGGTATGTAGTAGGTGCTCATGTGTTTGTTGAATAAATACATGAATGGTTGAACTGGTTCTTTTGAAAACTAGTTAATACTTCAGCCATCTCTTGCTGGGGGACTGAATTCCACCATTAGCTTTCAAAATAGTTGTTTGCCTAATTTCAGCTGCAGTGTGATCCGGCTTGAGTTTTTAAAAAAGACATTAAAACTTCTCATTAGAAATTTTATCTTTTCTAAGGGTAGTATATTTAAAAACACAGGCTCTTGCTGGTTGAATCCTGGGTATTTATGTGAATCAGGACAAGTTAACTATTTTGTCCTTCAGTTTTCTCATCCATAAAGTGGGCATACTTAGGGGCACCTATCCCATGTTATTATGGGGATCAAATAAAGTCACATATGTAAATTACCTAGCCCAGTACCTGGCACTTAGTAAATCTTTAGCTAACCGTAGCTTTTATTACTCTTATTAAGATGGAAGAGAATTACTTTCAAAAAACAGAGGAAGACTTGCAACTGAAACAACTGAATACATTTTTCTAAGTGAAACCAAAATAGCTGTCTGGCTCTTTTGTACAGATGGCATTTCTTTGGAAAATGATCCAAAACTTGAAGGCCAATTGTTTTGTCCCTTTCTTCAAGAGGCTTTCATGGGACTGGACATATTCTCTATATCCTCCCAAAATAGTCACACTTGGAACCCCTTATACTTTAACATCTCCACTTCTCACATTCTTCAACTTTGATGCCATTCCAGACTCTGAATTCAGATTCCATGGATTAGCTCACTCAGTATACTGGTAAAAAACTCAGCAATTCCTTTTGTGGGGAAAATGCTTCCCGAGTGCCAAAAGACCAGCTTTCTAGATGGGCTTACTTGCAAACAAGGTCATCCATGCCTTAAAAGGCAAGGACAATGGTCTCTATTTCTGTGTTACGGCACCTCCTAGTAGCTTGCTGTCAGACACATTTTGTGTTAGTTCCCCATTAAACAAAGTTATCACAGTTCCAGTCTATAAATGCCAAAATGTGCTGGATTATTCAACTTGTGCAGGGACCCTGAGGAAGCCCAATCCCGTACAGAGCATTTGGCTCTTCCTTTTACAGAAGCAGCCAATGGAATGGAGCCTCTCCTATTCAGCATTTGCCCCACATAATTCTTCTCTTGCTTTCCAGGGTCCACTTCTTATATTTGAACTTCTCTCTTACCTCCCACAGCAACTTATACTGAGCTGGGCTGGGCTGGGCATACATTCATTTATTCATTCATTAAACCCCACAGGGCTCAATAAATAGTTGTTAAGTCACACTGCTTCTTTGCTGCTTTAGAACTACAGTTTTGTTATTTAAATGAAATTGTACCTTATCTTCCCAGGGATGTTGTAAATTTCTTGAGTACTTGTACTTCTACCTCATTCCTGTCTCCTGCAGTGCCACACTTGAGTCTTCCTTGATGCAGTCTGTTTTTATTATTATGCTCTGCAAACTGCTCTGGAAAAATGGGTCTGAACTCTAGGAATTAGGTAAAATTTTCTCCTTGACTTTTCATTTTTTAAAATGGTGGTTGTTAGGAGAAAACAGCATGCAACACTCAGCAATTACTAAGGCATTTTCCCAGTATAATACAATTTCAAATAAAAACCTAACAAAGCCCATGTCAAGAATTAGAAACTTACTCATAAACGGTTGTCCATCCATTTTCGTTACTTTTGGTAGCCAGAAGCCCTGTGTTTCCTGGATAGGTCATTAAGGCCAGATTATAGCCTTGGGCTGACACTCTTTTCAGGACTCCATTGCTGCTTATAGTCAGCCAGTATACTTGTCCGCCAGGCACCACAAGCCATAGCGGCATTCCGCCTGCATCACGGCGAATGTGCACTGAATTGCCATTGCTGCTGGTAATCGCGCCCAAGTCACCTTCAGAATTGTAGGTGAAGTTATAAACATAGTCCCTTGTTATCAAGTTCAGGGTGTGTAGGTGGGTTCCATTTACAGTGAACTGGTACAGTTCCTGATCAGCGGGTGAAGCAATCTCATAAATGTTCATGTCATTCAGGTGGGCTTGGTTCCTGCTGATGGTACGAATTCGAACATTTCCGAGGTCTGCCACATAGAGGGTTCCATCAGGCGACACTGCTAAGGAGGAAGGGGCTTTCATCTTTGCATCTTTGGCATAGCCACCATCACCTGTGGGAGAAAGACTTGATTTTAACAATTGGCATCATAAGCATTTACATGAACATACCACAGACATAAAGCTCTGTGCATCAAGAATCATTTTAAAGGAAACAATCAGTGAACCAACATTCTCTGTATTCCCTCCCTGAAAAATATGAAGCCTATTATTCAAAAGATTGTAATTCTTGAGTCAGTACCACTGCAGATGAACAGTAAGATCTAATTATCTCAGTTATACCAATTTTGTGAAATCCTCAATCCTGCTGTTCAGAATCTATTGTATTATAAGAAACAAGAACTGCAAATAATGATAGCCACACAAAATTTGGCTGGAAATCTGAGAGTTATGCCTGTCAATGCTTTCAGGATCTGTTTCAGGACTTTCCAGTCCTACTGTGCCTAGATGCCCTTTCTTCTGTTAATTCCCATTGTCACACTGTCAAAGTACACTAAGTCTATAAGTACAACAATGATTCAGAACATCAAATTTGATACCTGGAATAAACATTAGATTTGCTTTGACCGAAAGATACAAATTAGCAAAATATCTATAAAACTAATTGTCGAAGAAAACATTGGAAATATTGATCAAAAGTCATATTGACCAAATTGCTCACTCCTGACTCCTCTGGCCTAAGGAAAGGCAAAGGTTAAGAGAACCATTCGGGCCTGGATGAACAGTTTAATAGCACTGCGTGTAGTATGGAGGGATTTCCACATCCCAGCAATAATTGTATCTGTTGACATTAAGAGGACCGTTTGCCATCTGAGATATCCACTACATGTTTTGGGGAGAAGGCTCTTTTTTTTTTTTTTTTCCAATTTCGATTAGAAGAAAACTTCACTATGGGTTATTGAGAAAGTCTTAGCTTTTTAAAAAGCAATGTATCTAGCAGACCAATGTCCTGAGAACTCTCCATTGCCAGATTTAATTTTGCTCATCTATCCCAAAGACAGTCTGTTCTTAGTCCCTTTGAGTCTCAAATAGCACATGCTTTTAATCTGAAAACCAACCACTTATGGGGAAGTAATTTTTTCCTCAGCTAAACCAGTAAATGTGGGTTTTACCTAGTTTTCCTTTCTCTAAAGTACAAATATTTAATAATATCATGATCTTTCATTTGTATAGTGGTCTCAACTTTTTAAGAGTCTAAACATTTTTATTACACTAGTTTATCCTCAGAATAGCAAGGTGATATAACTGAGACAATGCCATCTTTATTAAACAAATGAAGCAAATGAGTCATGAAGAGATCTTGCAGCTTTGCTAGGGTCACTCAGTGAGTCAGTTGTGAGAACAAGTCGGTGATCTGACTCCTAATCCATCGCTTTCTCCACTAGCTCATACCAATGTTTGCAAGTAACACTTTGCTTTTCCTTTTCCTTTTGACTTTACTGGGGCACGTTTTTCTTTTCAAAACAGAGAGGGGAAGCTGGTGAATTGCTAAAAAGGTCATACCTGAAAAACAGTCACAGTTTGGATCAATTTTGCAGTCACAGTCAGTGGGGGCACCAGCGATGATGTAGATCTCCCCATTGGTGGTTACTTGCTGAATGCGGTTTACTTTCCTCTCGTCTGTTTCAGCTATGAAGAGCAGCCCGCTGTGGGAGACACTGATGGCCCTCGCTGACTCTAGAGTGGAGTGAATTGCTACCTTGCTGACCAGGAAATGATCGATGCCTGGCACCTGGCAGTGAATGGGGCGTCCTGCGATGATCCGAACACGCCTGTTCTCAGAAATTTGCAGCACAATGTTGTTATCCAAGACATACAATGAATTGTCCATAGGATTTACTGCAAGGTCTGTTGGCCACTCTAATCGCACCTGTGAAACGAACAGAACACATACCATTAGGTTACCATGTCTTTCCATGGACAGTTTTAACTTGAAAAAAAGAAAAAAAAATTGGTGTATTGTTTCCCCCGTCTTATGAATTTTAGCAACATTGGTGATGTCTCGGAAAGTGGAGGGCAGGGGGAGGATGGTTAATCACATGTTCTGGTAAACGTACTTATCATTTATGCCATTTACAATATAATGTAATTTTTTCCAATAATTTCAGAAGGATCATTTAGAGTAGAGGTTTTCAAAGTGTGTTCTCTGGATCAGCAGCAACAGTATTATCTGGGAACTTGTGAGAAATGCAAATTCTCAGGTCCCACCCTAGATCTATTGAATCAGAAACCCTGGAGGTGGGGACCCAAACATCTGTGTTTTGCCAAGGTGATTCTGGGGATCATTGCTGTAGGAATTCCGGTAGCTATGATACTCAAATCTCTCTCACTGTCCTGTAGACGTATAGGAGAGCAAAGTCATACAGGTTTCTGGGTGACAGAATGCCAGAGAAGCCAGATTTTACTCAATGAGCAACCTTTTGCAACAGGACCTGCTATTAGCATAGACCTAGCATCCACTTTGTGGAACACTCAGGTACAGTTCGTCAGCTGTTGATTTAGAATCCTGGGGTGTAGCACACTGCTTACTTAGCTTGACCTGGTTCACTCCATAGGTTCCCCTTTTTAGCAAAGAAACAGGTTGTTTTTTTCTTTCACTGAGTATTCGCTGAGTACCTTTCTCTGGGTTAAGCCTTGTGCTAAGCTTTGGGGGCTCAAAAATGACTACGACACGGCCTCTGTCCTCAAATGATTTGTGGTATAGTAGAGCCCTCAGAGGAACCATTAGACAATTACTCTCCACGTTATGAAAAGAAGGCAACAGAGGGGATAAGATAGCACTTCACCTGGACTAGGAGTCAGGAGGCAAGATATTCCCAGAGCAGGTGGTACCTAAGTAAGGTCTGAAATGAACAGTAGGAGAAGAATTGGGTGGAAGTTGAGGGGGGAGGGGCATCAGAGTTGAGGAAAATCTGGGTACTAGGAAAAGCATGGGTGAAAGTCCAGAGGTTAAAGACAGCATGGCCCATCCAGGTTACTAAAACTAATTCAGTAAGACTAATAATAGGCTGGGTGTGAGGGAGACCTGAGGGATGAGGCCAGGTGTTATGGACTAAATTGTGTCCTCCCCAACTTCATATGTTGAAGCCCTAACCCCCAGTGTGACTGTATTTGTAGACAGGGCCTTCAAAGAGGTAGTTTAGATTACATGAGATCATAAGGGTGGGGATCTAATCCAACAGGACTGATGTCTCTCCAATAAGAGGAAGAGATACCAGGAATGCTTACGCACAGAGGGATGACTATATGAGGACACAGCTAGAAAGCAGCCACCTGCAAGCCAAAGAGAGACACCTCAGAAGAAACTAAACTCACCAACACCTTGATCTTAGATTTCTAGCCTCCAGAAGTATGAGAAAATACATTTCTGTTGTTTAAGCCATTCAGTCTATAGTATTTTGTATGGCTGCCCTAGCAGACTAATATATCAGGTGCTCTGGTTTGAATGTGTCCCCCAAATATCATGTGTTGGAAACTTAATCCTCAAATTCATATGCTGATGGCATTTGGAGGTGGGGCCATATCCATCACCTCAAGCATTTATCATTTCTTTGTGTTAAGAACGTTTAAAATCCACTCTTGCAGCTATTTGAAAATATATAACAAATTGTTGTTTATTATAGTCACTCTATAATGCTCTAGAACACTAGAACTTAGTCTTCCTACTTAGTGGTAGTTTTATATCCATTAAGCAACCTCTGGCTATCCCTGTCCACCTTCCCAACCTCTAGTAACCACTATTCTACTTTCTGCTTTTATGAGGTCAACCTTTTTAGCTTCCATATATGAGTGAGAACATGGGGTATTTATCTTTCTGTGCCTGGCTTATTTCACTTAACGTAGTGTCTGATATGGTTTGGATCTGTGTTCCTGCCCAAATATCATGTTCAATTGTAATCCCCAGTGTTGGAAGTGGGTCCTGGTGGAAAGTGACTGGATCATGGGGGTGAAGTTCTTATGACTGATTTAGTACTGTCCCCCCTTGGTACTGTATAGTGAGTTCTCATGAGACGGGGTTGTTTAAAAGTGTGTAGCACCTTCCCCTTCTCTCTCTCTTCCTCCTGCTCTGGCCATGTGAGGTGCCAGCTCCCCTTCACCTTGGCTATGACTGTAAGTTTCCTGAGGCCTCCCTAAAAGCCAAGCAGATGCCAGAATCATGCTTCTTGTACAGCCTGTGAAACCGTGAGCCAATGAAACCTCTTTTCTTTATAAATTACCCAGTCTCAGGTATTTCTTTATAGCAGTGTAAGAATGGATTAATACGGTGTCCTCCAAGCTCATTTATGTTGCCACAAATGACAGAATTTTGTTCTTTTTTGTTGCTAAGTAGTACTCCACAGTGTATATGTACCACATTTTCTTTATCCATTCATCTGTCGATAGACACTTAGGTTGAGTTCATGTCTTAGCTGTTGCAAATAGTGCAGCTATCTCTTTGACATACTGATTTCCTTTACTTTTCTGAATCATAACAGTTCTATTTTTAATTTTTTGAGGAAACTCCATATTGTTTTCCATAATGGCTGTACTAATTTACATTTTCCTTTCTCTGCAACTCACCAGCATTTTTTTTTGTCATTCTGATAACAGCCATTCCAACTGGGGTGAGATGATATCTCATTGTGGTTTTGATTTGCATTTCTCTGTTTGAAAGATAATTAGGATTAGATAAGGTCATAAGGGTGGGGTCCCCATGATGGGACTGGTGGCTTTATAAGAAGAGGAAGACAGACTTGAGCTGGCATGTTTTTGTCCTCTTGCCATATGATGCCATTCCACCATGTTATGATGCAGCAAAAATGCCCTCACCAGCTGCCAGTGCCATGCTCTTGGACTTCCCAGCCTTCAGAACCAAGAGCTAAATAAATGTTTTTCTTCATAAATTACCCAGTCTGTGATATTCTGTTATAGCAACAAAAAACAGACTAAAACATTGGGTAATAGAGGGAAGCACATGTCCAGTTTTGTTTTGATGGCTGTGGGAAGCCACTGAAGGGCTTTAAGTAGGGGTGTGAGATAGTCATATTTGGGTTCTAGACAGATCATCCTGGCTGCTGTCCAGACCATATTAGAGAAGGAGGCGAGATAGGAGGGAGGCAGGCATTTAGGGGGCTCCTGCACGGGCCCAAGTTAGGGATTATGGTGCCTGAACTGGGATGGCAACAATGGGTATGGAGAAAAGCAGATGGATTTGAGACATGTTAAAGAGTTGGAAGCAAAAGGACTGGTGTGTGTGTGTGTGTGTGTGTGTGTGTGTGTGTGTGTGTGTGTGTGTGTTTGGTGTGCCTTGTGCCAAGAGATGTGCTAGGCACTGGAGACATGCAGGCTAGCCAAACATGGCTTCACCTTAGTTCCTTTCTAGACACAGGAGTTGATTCAATGCCTACCCTGACATCTCCTTGACAGTAACTATTTATCCCTAGGTGTTTCTCAGGGAACTGTGTTCCACACCATTCCCCACCCTACCACTCACTTGTTCTCTATTTCTTTTCTTTTAGGCTAAAGGCAGAAAAAAAGTCCCATTCATGGCCAAAATAGTAACAGTAATGTAGCCACTTTTCTTTTTTGCTTTGAGTGAAAGCCCACAGAAGGCTTTGTTTTTCTTGTGGAATCTGAAAGTCTGAAAACAAGGTATGAGCTGTCATTGCATTCTGCGGCCTACTACTTCCCCAGCTCAAAGAGGCTTACAAGCAATCAGTAATGAAGTGGATAAAGGTCAATTTGAGATAAGGCCTTTCTTCTAATTGTGTCTCATTAGGGAGGGCAACTGGTGATATTGTGAAGAGGACAAAGGTTGTCTTTGACCTCCTCTACTGCACCATGTGGGGCTCTTTGCCCATGTCTGAGTCTCTCCCATACATCCAGCAGCCTCATTCTGTTTCTATGTTTCTGTGTGCCTTCCACCTCTATCCACATAGACTGGCCTTCTCTGGTCAGTACCAGATGCTTCTGTGCAGCTAGGAATTTGAGTGCTAATGGGGTATAAAGCTGAGCTTGTGTTATGCATGTTCTACAGAGCCTTTCAGACTGAGGCCATCGGATAAACATTAAACACCAGCCTTAACAGCTCCCAGAGCAGTTTGCGGTGATGTGTTCCTCAGCACGTCTGTCTGAGGCCTTTGCATGTCAGTGCCCTGCCACTGAGAGGGAGAGTGAACGCCTGCTGCTTTGGAGGGCGCTGACTCCTCCACTGTGTGCCCCTGCCTTGGACCTCTATACACTATCATGCTTGTCCAGAAGCTGTCTGTGTGCACTGGTCCTACGGAGCATAGTCCCCCAGGAAATGAGCTGGGGCTGGCTGAGGAAGAGGAAATGAATTCATTTCCGTACAACACTCCCATTTTGATTGAGTCTCAAGTCAGTGACCCAGAAAAAACAAACCTGGCAGAAATGACGTTCTAATTATCCCCACTCTGGGAGCCGAGGCCAGGGCAGAGGCTGGGGACAGCACACACCTGGCAGAAGCCAGAGAAGAAGCATGTTTCAGATTCTGTTTTTAGCTATCAAGGCTGCCTCTGAGATAAAGGCTGGTAGTTGGGAAATAAGCTGTTAAATTCTCCAACTCACCCAACCAGATTTAAACCAATACGATTGGTGTCATGTTTATTATATTTAATTTTGCCTCAAAAATACACCAGCTATTTTGTCTGTTTGTTTTCTTTTCCATGGAATAAGTCACCCTCCGGCATCTTCCTGTGACTAAAGTGCCCTTTCTGCTTCTGAGCCATTTTCTATACAAACTACACAGATTCCCTTTAATTCCCATTTGATTTGGCCGGGCAGCTTGTCTATGCAATCTCCACAGATGAAAGATGTGTGGCTACTTAGTAGTTGAGAGTCTGCCTTTTCAGAAGCTGGACCTCTTCACCTCTCGTAGCTTGTCAGTTCCTTTTATGTCCTTCTCATGTTAAATACTCCTATTGCCAGGTAAGTTTTCAAGGAACTGGTGCCTTATGCTCACACAACAGAAATACTGTATTTACTACCAAGACATTTTCATAACATACAGCTTAATATAAGGAATGGAGTCTTTGAGCTGATTCTGACAGTTAGAATTAGTATCTACTAGTTGCAGAGAGACCCTAGAATTATATGATACTAAGGTGGGGCTAAGGTTGGCCCCCAATTGCTGCTACCATTTGTCCAAATGATTTCTTGGGGTAAATAAACACTTCTTTTTTGGGGGGGTGGGAACAGAGATTGAAGAGCAGCAGCAAAGCTCTGTAAACTCTGCCTAGTGACCCAACCTACAGGCAAACTATTTGGCCTCATTTGTGGTGGTTGCCACACCTTGTAAAAATACATTAATTTGTTTGAAATGTCAAAATGCATTTAAGCTAAACTAGCATTAAAGGTCACTTGTGTAGCCGCCAGCTGGTGGAATGTGCCTATCTCCCAACAACCTTCCCTGAGAAATAACCCTGAGCATAAAGGAGCTCTTGGTCAGGATGTCAACCTTTGACAGCATTACGTCTTCCTCTGCTAATTGAAAACTTGCCTTGAAGGGAGTTGACTCTCAGGTCAACCAGTCCCATGATTGGTTTAGAGATCCAGCTAATTTTGACCTAAGTAGCAATTTATAAAGCAGCAGAATCCTATAGGGAGAAATTCATGTTTAAAAGCAATATCTAAATATAATCCCTTGGTTAGACTAAACTGGAAAATGTCTAAATTATGTATAAGCCTAATCCCATACTGTATGCTCAAACCACCATTTGTATACTTGGGCTCCCTCCAACAGTTTGAGTCCTGGTTCCCACCCTTATTAGTATGTAACCCTTGGCAAATGAGGTATATTCTACGAGTCTCTGGTTTCCTCATCTGTAACAAAACAAGGAGGCTAGTGATAGTATATCTACTTGTAAAGTTATTGTGTGGATTAAATGAGATAATGGTGTAAGTTGCTTAGCCCAGTGCCTGGCACATAGTAAGGGATAGCAAGTGGTATTAATAGTAATAACAGTTTTTATAGTCATAGACCTTTAGAGCTAGGAGGAACCTGGCCCAGTTACCATTCAATGTAGCTCCTTTTCAACTGTGTTTCCCAGACTTCAATTGTCCCTGTGCCACCTTTATGAGTTTTGCCTCACCCCTACATCACCTGCACTATTATTGACTTAATATTTTGCTTTAAATTGACTTCTAAAAT
Organism: Homo sapiens; assembly: GCF_000001405.40. Lineage (NCBI taxonomy): Eukaryota > Metazoa > Chordata > Mammalia > Primates > Hominidae > Homo > Homo sapiens. The sequence goes on from NC_000023.11 coordinate 124,428,918, forward strand.
GTGAATAGGTGCTGCCCCTTCCTTTGAACTGTTATGTAATCAATAACACATGAAATTACAGGCCCAGTCATCTGAGCCATTAATAGAAGTGACTACTGTTTACTGAATGCCTGCTGGGTGTCAGGTACTTCATATGGTTTACCACTTAATATAAAAATTACCTGAGAAAAACTATTAACATCTCCACTCTCAGATATGTGCTTTTAGCCCCTATGCCATCTGATTCGTCATTCCCAAGACTGGACATGTTTCTTCATTCTTGTCTCACCAAATCTGGCCTCCCCTTATCCCCTTTTGAATCAACCTAAAGGTTTCTCTCTTTGGCTGTGAAGGTCAAGACTTTTTATGAGTTGAGTGATTTATCTTTTTCTTTGTCATCTATTATCTTTCAGTTCAATGCTTTATGAGTTTTGACCACGTGCCAGGCACTATGTTATAAAGGTAAACAAACAGATTTCTGCTCTTGATTAGTTCAAGGCAGATACAGAAATAGATAATTTAACATAATGTGGTTAAGTGTCATGAGTGCCATGATAGATGTATGCCCAGAATGACATGGAAACACAATGGAGGGAGTTTGGGGCAAGATTCCTAGAAGAGAAATGTAAACTTAATTTTGAAGGATGAAGCAAAGGTATTGAGAAAAAGCAAGGCGGGAAGGGTGATCTTGGCAGAGGGAAAAGAATGAACAAAAGTACAGAAGCATGAAATCATATGAGAGTGAAGGAACTAACTGCTGTCTGGGATTTCTTAGGCATAAAATAAGGTAGGTGGTAGTGGTGAATGAGTTCTAAATGTTTGCTAGGACTAGGTCCAGGTTCCTCCACTGAGGCTCTGTTGTCAGGTGGTGCCAGTCCTGTGCATTGTAGGATGTTCAGCAGCATCCCTGACTTTTACACATTAGGTGCCAGTAGCACCTTACCCCCAGTTGTGGCAACTGAAAATACCTCCAGACATTGCAAAATGTCCCTTGAGGGGCAAAAATGTCTCTTGCTGAGAATCACCGCATTAAGTCATGGAGAGTGGTATATGCTGATAGCTTTAGACTTAAACTGTGTGTGTTGAGGAGTCTCCACTTTAAAGTGGAGAGCTGACATGATCAGATTAGTATTTTAGAAAGATTACTTAGGCTGCATTTTGGGGGACAGGCCGGAAGGAGACCAGACTAGATGCAGGATAACCAATTTGGAGGACAGCCATTCATTGGTACATTCATCCCTTAATATATCCTTTTATCCAACCATCTGACAGATATCTGGGTCCTGATCCAGATAGACATAGTCCCTGCCTTCATGGAACTTGGAGTCTGGGACACTGCTTCTCATACTTTTTTGATTTACTCATCCATTTGAGAATCTGATGAAAGCTATGTACTCTCTCCCTAGAAAAAGGCTTCAATGCACTAGAAGGAAGTAGTTAGGACCTCAGGCTCACGAGTTAAGATTTCTGGAGTTGAAAATTCCATCTGTGTCATTTGCTATCCCTGTGACCTTGGCACGAATCAGTTAACCTATCTGAGCTTCTGTTTCCTCATTTACAAATTGAATATAGTAACACTATCTTTTCAAAAATTATTATTGGAATTAGATAGGAAAAAATACATAGACCATCTAGCACAGTGCTTGGTACATTAAAAGAGCTTTGTAGAGGCTAGCTATTTTTGAAAATTATGGAACATGTGTGTATTTGTGCTGGTCCCTGTCTATTGTTCTGTTCCTTGGCTAGTTCATAAACTCTTAAGTTTAATCATATAGTCATGCTTTCAAGGTTTCTCTTGATTCTATGTCACCAGTCATTTCCTCCTTGTTTATCTATGCCATTCCTTGAGAATCTTTCTAAGCTATATGTCCTCCAAGAAATATTTGGCTGGTATTGGGATATATTATCTCATATATATCTGTCAGCCAATTTCATGGCTAATATTTTAGCTTATTACTTGAACTCCCCACTGTTAATTGTAATAGTACTCTTGGTACAATTCCAGCTACAGAAAATGCTACCTTAATTGATTTCCTTTCTTCTGTCAATAAATGTCTATTTATCTCATGTTAGGTACCATGCTAGGCACTAAGGAGCCAGCTTCAGTCAGGATAGACTAGATTCCTCCCCTCATAATGTTTATAGTCTTTTGCTGACTTCATTTCCTTCATCTTCCAGTATGTACAAGGGGTTGTTAGTGGCATAGAGCAGTAGACTATTTCTGTTCCAGTTTATTCATTTTAAGAAGTTAACATTTATGGAAGTGCTCAAAAACATATCATGACTGTTACTATATTTTACAATTGTCACCAAGTGCTAATAATTTCTTTTCCCAAAGTTCAAGTGTGCTGAAGAAACCAGTTGTTTCCCAAAAGGTCCTGCCTCCCCATTTCAAACATGACACTTCTAATCTCCCTCTTTTACTACACTGGGAGCCTTGTGGCTCATTTAAAAAATGACTCTGTTTGATTTTGATCTGTGAGTCCTCTTCAGTAGGAATTTCCAGGAAGCGTATGATTATCTCTTCTGTAGTATGCCAGCCCTGGGGAAGATACAGTGACAGGACTGAGTGCTCTCTGCCAGGTGTTATGCCAGCTCCATGTTAGATTTTTCCGCACTTCTAAAAGCTGACAACTCCAGATTGTTAGCATCACTTTTTGTCAGTTTTCAAATGGTCTTCTCATTTCTTGACACTGATACTCTCTGAGCTTCTTCAAATGTATAAAAGAGGGAAAAAGCCATCTGGAGAAAGTTTGGTTTTTTGCACTTGGAAAGCATGATGACACCTTTAAGAGTGATGGCCTTTATTGATCTTGCTTTTAAAAAGTGGAAATTATTAGAAGATGAAATACACCAAGATTACATGGCCTTGTCAACAGGGCAAATTATTTCCCATTATCTTAGATACACACTCTTGTGTCTCTCTGCATAATGGCTGGAGAGTTTGAAGAACCTCTCAACCTTTGGTCAAATGCATTGGCATGGTCTGTTTCCATGGCTTCCCAATTAGAGTAACTGACACTTAAGTTGCATTGTTCATTGCAAATGAATAGCTAGGATCAATCTAATCAAGAGTAACAATTTGGCTGATCTTGAGAATTATTCTACTGCAGAGGATATAGATTAAATTGCATCTCTCCCAATGTTCCTAAAACATTTTGGAAGTGGGGAAAACAAAGCAAAGCAAAACCAAACCAAACAAAGCAAAACTTCCAAAGTAGTCCTAGTATATTTCATCTTCTAATAATTTCCACTTTTTGCAAGCAAGATCAATAAGGGCCATCGCTCTTTTAGGTGTCATCATGTTTTCTAACTGTAGAAAACCAAGCTTTATCTAGATGGATTTTCTCTCCTATTTATAAATTTGAAGAAGCTCAGACAATATCAGGGTCAAAACAAAATGTTAAATTTGTGGTTCCTAAAATTCCTGTGGCAGAGACTGCTGGTTCTAGGCCTATTCTTATATTCACTCTTTCCTCCTGATTACACTCCCAGTTTATTTATTTATTTGTTTGTTTGTTTGTTTGTTTGAGACAGAGTCTTGCTCTGTCGCCCAGGCTGGCGTGCAGTGGCATGATCTCAGCTCACTGCAACCTCTGCCTCCCAGGTTCAAGCAATTCTACTGCCTAAGCCTCCTGAGTAGCTGGGACTACAGGTATGCACCACCACAACTAGCTATTTTTTTATTTTTATTTGTATTTGTATTTTTAGTAGAGATGGGGTTTCGCCATGTTGGCCAGACTGGTCTTGAACTCCTGACCTCAGGTGATCCACCCACCTCGGCCTCCCAAAGTGCTAGGATTACAGGCATGAGCCACCACACCCAGCCAACTCTGTTTTTGAATCTGAGTACATTGCTGTTTAGAATACAAGACATTCCAGCCTTATTTGCAATTATCTGTAGTCAAGTGAAGTTCCAGGCAATAATATGTAAGAGGAAGTGTGGAAGCACCCACACTTACAAATAGATACTTAAAAAGGCTGCTTAAGGAGAGCTGACCCAAGTGGAAGGAAGCTCTTCTTGCCCTTTCTTCCATTCTGCAATGTGGATATACCAGTGAGAGTTCTAGCAGATGTCATGGACCATGAGGTGGCCTTGAAAATGGAATTTATGTGTTAGAGTGGCAAGGCAAAAATACAGAAACCTGGAACCCAGATGACACTGCGGAGCTGCCATCTCAGCCCTAAACCACACATCTAGCCTGGCTGCTCTCTTGCTTACATCACTGTCATGTTAGGGTTTTCTGTTATTCTTGGTTGAATCTAATCACGGGGAAGACAGTGCTCTGTTAGGCTTTGGTCTTGACTGGAGTTACTCACTACAACATTACATTCAAACTGGTCTAACAGATTTCTAGTTTTACACCTCTGGATGAATCACCTATGATTGGAAAATTAAATTAAACTAAATTGAAATAAATTAAGTCTGAAAGAGACTGATGCATGTAGCAAAGTCCACTAGGGCAGTGTTAAGGGGATGACTAATTGCTTAAACCTAATGATTAACCTCAAGCATTCTTGAATACCTAGGGCTCCATCTTTGGGTACTTCAAGCTCTTCCAGCTCCATGACTCCTTCATTTAGATCCAGTACTTCTCTCTTATTCTAAAATACTTGTTTGTCTTCCTATGTTCTCTACCAAGACTATGAGTTTTCGACGGCAAAGATGAGAACTCTTTTATTTTTGTTTTCCTAGTATCTGGCATTAAGCTGGCAAACGTTTGTTGAATGAAAATATTAGTGCTTCATTGACAGTAATGTTTTTGGTCCATGAAAGCATTTAAAAAAATTATAACATGCAAATAGGCTCTAAGAAAAACTATTTCTCATCAACATGTTTGTGTCAGTAAATCTGGGTTTCCAGAGACCCACTGAGGTTAGTGTAAATTGCCATAAATACCTCAATTTTAAGAAATGCATTTCCCACTGCCTCCATACTTTAACTTTTCTGAAGTGAAGATGTATCTTATAGTCAATGTGTATGTTTGATGGTACATTTCTCCCCATTACCCAAAGATATCGAATTGATGTTATGTCTTATAGTCCATGGTGTCTTAGAATTTAGGAAATATGGTATTTCCATTTTGGTCTGGGGAGTCTGGGAATTCCCAAGTCTCTTTCAGAAAGTCTATGAGGTCAAAACTATTTTTCAAATAATATTATGTGCATTTTGTACTTTATCATGTGTGTACAGTGGGGCTTTCCAGAGGCTACCTCAGGCTAGTGTATCTTCAGTTTTAAAAAAAATCACACTTTTATTTTCTAATAAGGTAAATATTCATAGGATAAAACCAACAAAAGAATAGCTCGTTGGGGCCCCCAACAATTTTTAGAAATGCAAATGGGTCCTGAGACCAAAATGCTTGAGAATGGTTATCCTAGAGGAAAGAAACAGTGAAAGACACCACTCTATTATATAAGGGTTTCCTTGAAGCTCATTAAGAAAAAAGCATATATTCCTCCTAAGATAGTTCCTGGGGCCATAAGTCCTGTCCAAAAGCATACTGAAGGAGTGGCTGAAAATCTTCACTTCCTCTAGAGACCCAATGCCTGATGGGTACCATAAAAGTTTGTTCTTACAGGCTGCCTCAGAACAATCAGCACGTACACACTCTCTCTGAGTCTGCTGTGTAATTGCCACTACCTCATCTTAATAACAGGCATAATTGCTCTGAGTTTCCGTCGACCCTTTCTTGCATCTCCTCTCTGAAGCCTCAATTTTGGAAATGGCACTTGTGAATACACAGAATGTTTAACCACTTCCAGTTTTCAATTTACAGTCAAAGTCATCTATCAGCAGGAGATGAAGGCCCAGTGTGAAAACTACAGAATGTCCTTCAGACTCCACAGCTAATTTGTTTGTAAATTTGATTGTTATTGTAAGGAGAACATATTGTACATGATGCTACTTACATGATGCTACTTGCCGATTTACTGTTTGTATCTCTGTTTCTCGGGTTTTATCATTACGCTAAAGAACTGAACCCTCTCAGCCCTTCTGGGGGTGGGAAGAGGAATATGAAAATGTTACTATGTTTTTTTATTTTGAGTCTCTATTTTAATTTAATTTTACATGAATTCATTAAATATCTACTGTATATCTAGCACTGTGGGGGATACACATACAGAAGGAGAGGCAATCAGAGTACACAGTTCAAGGTAATAAGAAATCAAATTTGAGGCTGCGTGATGAGCCCATAAAGTCTGAGATAATTCAGAGTAAGGACAGGACCTCTGCTGGTCTTAACACAGTAGGAAGTGAGACTCTTGTCCTCTTGAGATCCAAGGCTTTGCTTGCATAGGAGCCAGAGACTTATAAAGAAGCCCCTGAAATCATTCTGCAATTTGTTTCTGCTGAGAAGTTGCAGAAACTTGTCTGTTGCAGGTTGTTAATATTATAGTATTGGCTTGACAGGACAGACCAAGCTTCCAATTCCCTTTGGCACCTAAAGCAATTTACAGGCCAGAAGTATGACTGCACAGCTTTTATGAAATGGTCTGATTTCATTGATCAGCCACTCTGAGATTATGTTTTCATTTCTGTAGCTACTGCTAACCCTTCTTTCTGTTATAATATTTCAGGAAGAAACTATTAAAAATTTTCACCATGGAGATGTTAAGCTATAAGTGGGCTGGGCTCTGAATGGGAAGGTAAACATCACAACTCATGATTGTTCTACTCAAAAGTTCATTTCAAGTTATACTAGAATTCCACAGATTGTCTCTCTCATCTTAACTCTGTAATGTTTCCAAATGATAGGGACACTAATAAGAGCAGATGGCCTAATGAACATTTAGAGGGAAGATTTAACTGGTGGTATTTTCATTAGGCCTCCAGTGTGCTTCCGGGTTTTGCCCACCACTTCCCTGTGTGTAATACAAAACTGCACTCACTCAACAGATGGCCCAGCTCAAGCTTCATGCTTCTAGAACTCTGGAGATCGGCCACCTGACCACTTACCATGTGTACAGAATCATTTAAGGAAGCATGCGGGCTATAGACTTAAGCCTGAACAAAAGCAAAAAATGGTGATGAATAGTGAGTATCTGAGCTTCAATAAAAGGGGAGGCAAAATCACCCTCACGAATAGCAAATCTGGCTGAGGTCTCCCAATAACAGGTTCTTACAGATTCAGTAATGATGAAATCCTCTGTGACAAACAGTCCACTCTAATTAATGTTTCATCTAAACTGTAAGCATATCTGAGTGACTCCAGCAGCAACAATGACATGAAAATCTAACACCTCATTGCACAGTGTGCTAGTTATTAAGCTACTGTCTCACAGCTCCCAACTCACCCCTTTAAAGATGCTGCTTTGTGATGCTGGGGTTGGGACTCGGCAATCTACATTTTTCTTTTGCCAGCTAGATTTCTGATAGGTCCTGACGATACAGAAAATAAAGAGATTCTGAGAAGCTAAAGGAGGGAGAAGGGACTTGATCCTTCCTGCTTGCTTTCTGTTCCTGTCAGTGTCATCTCAACAGTAGCCCTTCATCCTGGAAGCAGTACCTGACTGCACTTCCAGCTCCTCTCCCTACCCTGAGAATCAGTCTCATTATGCTGCCTCAGAGGCACCAGAAGCAACCAGCTGGCATCTTCTTTTTTTTTTTTTTGAGACTGAGTCTCACTCTGTCGCCCAGGCTGGAGTGCAGTGGCATGATCCCAGCTCACTGCAAGCTCCGCTTCCCAGGTTCATGCCATTCTCCTGCCTCAGCCTCCTGAGTAGCTGGGACTACAGGCACCCGCCACCTCGCCCAGCTAATTTTTTGTATTTTTAGTAGAGATGGGGCTAGCTGGCATCTTCTTCTCAGAGGACTAGGTCCTACCTCCATGGAGCAAATTCTCCAACTTTCTAGGTTCTGACAACCCCAACCTCTTCCCTTTGTTTCCCCAGTCGGAGAGATGGTGGCCACTTCCTACAGATATTATCTCTATCTCTTGTTTTTTTCTGACCCTGTAACATCTGTACATCACATTCTCTATATTAAATCCTCTCTGTTAAAATAACGAATGTACTTTCTGTTTTTCTGACTGCATCTTTTTTTTTTTTTTTTTTTTTTGAGACTGAGTCTTGCTCTATCCCCCAGGCTGGAGTGCAGTGGCATGATTTCGGCTCACTGCAACCTACGCCTCCTGGGTTCAAGCAATTCTTGTGCCTCAGCCTCCCAAGTAGCTGGAATTACAGGCACCCACCATGCTCGGCTAATTTTTTTTTTTTTTTTTTTTTTTTTTTTGTAGAGACGGGGTTTTGCCATGTTGGCCAGGTTGGTCTTGAACTCCTGACCTCAAATGATCTGCCCGCCTTGGCCTCCCAAAGTGCTGGGATTACAGGCATGAGCCACTGCGCCCAGCCTCTGACTGCATCTTGACTAACATTCACAACATTAACCCACATACAAGGATAGAGGAACAGCAATACACTATTGTAGGTCAGTGGTAACAGAAAACTAGTAAAGGTGAACTGGAAGCAGCAAGGACTATTTTGGCCCCAGAGACTTTGCTATGAAAGTCCAGAAATCCACTGTGCTTGGATGTTATAAAGTTGGTTGTGAATGATTTTATCCAGAGCTTCTCTGACTCTGGAAATGCCATGTTTATGTCATTATTCTCTAGAAACTTCTCATTCTTGCAATTTTTGAGAATGATTTCATGGTCGATCATGTGACTCTCCCATGTTATTCGGAGACACAATTCTGTACCAAATGGTTCATGAAGTTGCCCCGTGACAACATTTCCTATGTGCTCAATTGTTAACAGTAATACATTAGATATTTACTATTAAATTTCTTTTATATTCACTCTTGCTAGTTTTCTTGTCAGACATTGCAATTACTCCTTCAGAATCCTCTTCTCATTGATTTGGAGTTGGAAGTGTGTTTTGAGATGCGCCAAATGAACCCCTGCTCTTTGTTATGTATCTCAAGATAAACACGTTTCAACAGGTGTAGCCTGTTGGTAACATTTTATATGTCCCCATGTTTACTTTTCCAAACACACCAACTTTTGCATGAAAAGATGGCACTCTTGCTGACAGCCAAATAACTTTCTCTTTGAGTTGTATTTCCATTTGATAAAGAGGGGTTGGCACTGATTCGTGCACTTTCCCCTCTCATAATTAATAGAGAGTGGGAGTAGGTTTAAAGGTACAGTGTAGTCTGAAATTTAGTTAGGCCAACTGGCTTGCATTGGGACTCAGCACAGGATGTTATCCCTAGAACCTGAAGACACTAACCACTGAATTTACTTCTAGAACTCCTGGCATCAGGTGATCTGCTTGCCTCGGCCTCCCAAAGTGGTGGGATTACAGGCTTGAGCCACTGTGCCTGGCCTCTGACTGAATCTTGACTAGTATTCACAACATCAACCCACATACAAGGATAGAGGAACAGCAATACACTATCGTAGGTCTTCTGTATCTTAGAGAGATACAGAAGTATCTTAGATATTTCTGTATCTTAGAGAGATACAGAAGTATCTTAGATATTTCTGTATCTTAGAGAGCTTCAGGTTCACCTCAGGTCATGGCACCTGCTGAGCAAAATGTGTGGAAGACTGAGTGGTTCAAAAGCAGGTTTGCAAGCCTTGCATCTTGTGACTTGCCCTGAACTTTGAAGATGCTTTTCCTCTGGTGCTTAATAGTTTTAATAAGAGCTAACGTGCCATTGTCCTTTGTGTGGAAAGAGGACACTGCTGAGGGAGTTTTATTTATGTGATAAATTATGTTTTTGATATAGCATTGAGCACGGTACTTGACTTTTATTTTAAGGCCCCTGACAACTTTGGCTATTTGCTTGTGTGCAGACATTTCAGCAGAATTTGGATATGCTGGAGCTGAGGATGTTGGCCTGCTGTTCTCTACTTATATAAACAACCTGAGCTGTCACTTTGGAGGGAGCAATGGAAATATCTCTGATAACAGGTTATTATATTGTGATTTTACCTAAGAGATGCAGGCCTGAAAAACAGTTAAAAAAAGGTTTAAATAAATTTGGAGAAAGGATACAATATTTAAATGAACTCTGCGGATAGTCTCATTGCATTGTTTCTCCCAGTTTATCATTTTGTTAAATTTGGTTTTTTTTATATATATAATAGACTTAAGAAAACTGATAGATGTGTTGGAAACTTGAATATCTTGATAAAAACAGAAGTCATTAGTTAGATGAAAAAATTCATAGACCAAACTTGCTTCAAAAATCCTAGGATGCTGCTTTCTTCTTATGATATATCAGCTTCTTTCCTTTTGACTTCCCACTTAGCTGGGAGCCTTTTTGTTTTGTCTTGGGAAAGTCATATTCTTCATAGTGACCTAGATAAACTCTGTCTTCTTTCTTATGTACTCTAATATTTATTTTTTTGTGTGTGTGAAATTGACCCACCTAGAATGGCTGCAGGCCACCCACTGAATGAGCTGCTTTTTTACTTCTTGATTTCAAAGAGATAGAGGATGATCTAACATCTTACATTCACAGATGTATAAAACTCATACTACATTCCAGCCTCAGCTCCATAGTCATCACAACAGTATGTGAAAGTAGAAAGAAGATGAAGTATTTGGGGCACCATTCAATGACTATAGTGAACATTCATTAAGTGATCTAGACAGAGCTTCACATCAGCACTAGGGAGACAAAACATTCTGGGAAGGTCACAGCAGGTTAAGACCAGTCTCTGGAACATGTTTGCTACAGCCCATCACACTCACCTACAGACAGATATATGCCTCTCTGTAAAAGGTACACCTATGTGAAAAGGACAGAAAGGAAGATTATATAATTTCTCTATCAGTTCTAAACTTCTTGGTCCCTTTTAGTTTTGTAAGCTATCAGTTCAATTCTCTTTTGTGAGCAGAAGGTCAAATACTACTACTACTACTATTACTAGTAATAGTAATAATAATAATGATAAAATAATAATCTATTGAACGCTTATGAGCCAAACACTTTGCTAAGTGATTTATGCATATTACCACATTAAATTCTCACAACCTCCCTATGGGGAAAGTAACATTATCACCCCCATTTACAGATACAGAATTTTTTCCCAGGGGCACACACCTAGCAAGTGGTGGATCTAGGATTTAAACCCAGGCAGTCTGTATTCCCATACCATTAAGCTTTACTGACTTTATATATTGGTATAATTATGAAGAACAGTCTACCCTAAAGGCCTGATTTTGTCTCTTGCATCCTCTATTAAAGGATTAGAGAAAGGTTTGGCTCTCCTTTGCCGTTCCAGAAGGTGTTTTTCTGCATTTGACAGAGCCAGGAGACTAGGTCTGGGTTGCATAAGCAATAAATAACATTAAGCAAAAATGCATTTAAATTAGAGACTGACAACTACAGATATTCAAAATCAGAAAAACCACCTTGCAGACTTACTTGGTTCTTGTGTCCTCCCATTTTAGCAAGTGTATGATGAATCAACAGAAAATACTTCATGAAGATGCCAATTAACATCTTACATCATCTCTTTTATTTGTAAAGCCCTTCACACTTTTCCAAGTGCTTTCACATTAAAAAAGAGAGGCCACTTAATCAACAATTGGGTCATTTATTTAATTAGCCTTCATAAGGAGGAATAATTAACCAGCTCCAAAATTCTAGTGTCAGTTTTTACATCTAGTACTGAATCCAAAATTATACAGAACCTTCATTTGGGTCAAGAAATAGAAAAAAATGATTTAACATTTTTTTCTGTATTACCATCTTTCAGAGGAGAGCAGAATAAATGATACAGAACGAAATGTTATTTTTCTAAAATATAGACCCGGTAACTACAAATAGTGTTTATTTAGCATTATTATGTAATTTTCAGCCATAAACTCTAATGGATCTCTCATTTACAGGTGAGTAATAATGTGGAGAGCCACTAGGGACTCTGAAAAAAGCCTTTTTAAATGGCTTTTGGTGCTGTTGTCAAATCAGAGTCTAAACAACTCTTCCTGCCATCTCATGCTCTGTGACAGCATAATTTGATTGCTATGTAGACTGAAGTTTGTGCCACTTTCCTTCCACATGCCTACCTAACTGACATGGCAAACGTACACATAAAAGCCAAGGTTACATGTAATGCCATATGGTCTCTTTTTTCACTTCTGATCGGCTCCAACAATTTATAGTTGCAAGTGCCTTTCAAAAAAGAAACTTCCTTCATGTGTGTTTTCTCATTTAACTGACATGACCTCCTTAGGAGACATTACATGTTTTTATCCCACTTTTTATTGGTGGAGAAACTCAGGCTCAGAGATCTTAATTAACTTGTCTGAGGTCTCACTGCAAATAAATGGCAGAATATGGACTCACACCCAGGATTGTCTATACTCCTTCTACTAGAACACTCTTAGTCAAAGGAAAATAGGTGAATTAGGCAACTGTCCAGAGAAGTTTGGTAAAACATGCCTCTGTACTCCTGAAGAAATATGAATAATTGTTCCAGGCTTATAAACATGTCTGGTAGAAAGTTTGCTCATTTTTATTCAGTAGTCATCACTTTCTGATTTAAATACTTTCACATTTAAGGTAATTGACATATTGAGGTCTTTGAGAAGAGTGTGGCTAAGTTAACAATGCCTTCCTGCTATGGTTGATGTAGATTGAGCTCCCTCTTTATCTTGTAGGAACTAACAAGCACTCCCATTTCTGCACTTATAATATAAGCCTTTGGATCAGCGGGAGGAATTGGCTGTGACTCGTGGTTTGACTGAGTGCATGTGGCTCAAATGAATAGAACAAAACATTGCTGATTTAGGATGCTTATGTTTGGACTCCTGCAATAGCCCATTGCTGAGCAGTTAAAATTGCTGCTCTATTGTTGTGGTCCAGGCATGAGAACGGTGAAAGAAAATGGGAAAATACACTGGAGGTTTGGTTGGTATGGCTTTTAATGCCATCTAATCTATTAGTTGATAGTTACTATGAAAATAGTTAATTCAATTGGTTAAACTAACCATGACCAATTAGGATAGAGTAAATGTTTGGCATAAGGGCCACCAAATGACATTTTTCGTTCCATTCTACTACTCCCTGGGCCTCATTAATTTGCTGTTTGATCTTCTGTCCACTCTCTAATCTTCTCTTATCCTTTCTTCACCTCTCTTTTTTTCCCACCTATTTGTGCCTACTGCACACTGGTATTACTGACCCTTGAGAAATGTGTTTTCAAATATTTCAGATATATAGCTTTCATCGTCCCTGTCTTGCTGTCTACCTGTAACTCACTCTTTCCTTCTACCACATGCCCTTGTGTCTGAATTATCTGGAGTGTGGCCAGAGACCTTTTCTTTGCTTTGACAGTGAGATAAGTTCCATAGTCATGGAAACATTGAGAGGGTGTGGTGGGGTGGAGGTGGTGAGATTTTCATCTTTGGTGGCAAGAACTTTTAAAATAAACTTTCTTTTCTTTTTCCCCTGGGAGATCCCTTTATTCAAGCAAACTTATTATAATTCAGATTTTCTTGATTCCCTACAGAGCTTCACAAAACTCACAAGTCTGTCCCTGCAGGGAATTTCATTTATAGTGGCCTTCATTTGAAAGATCTAATTCTGTTCTCTTTCAGTGTGCACATGGGAGACTGATGGAAGTGCACAAAGAAAAGCAAGTAATCCATGAAGAAGTTGAGTTTCAATATCATCTGTATCAGTATCACTCAGGATGATGAAGGACATTCTGTAGACATGAAAGGGTTGGCAAGGGAGAGAGGGAAAGACAATGACAGATGTTAGGCAAGAGTTTAAGAAGGGGAAAAGAAGGTGCCTTTTCTGTTAAAGAAAATTTTTTTTTGAGACATTGTTTCACTCTGTCATCCAGGCTGGAGTGCAGTGGCACAATCACAGCCCACTGCAGCCTTGTCCCCTGGGTTAAGGTGATCCTCCCAACTTAGCCTCCCGTGTAGCTGGGACTACAGGCATGCACCACCATGCCCGACTAATGTTTGTATTTTTTGTAGAGACGGGGGTTTCGTCCTGTTGCCCAGGTTGGTCTTGAACTCCTGAGGCTCAAGTGATCTGCCCACCTCAGCCTCTGAAAGTGTTGGGATTACAGGCATAAGCCACCATGCCTAGCCCTCTTCTGCTTTAAAACTACTGTTTTTTTTTTTCTTTTTTTTCCACCCAGATTGCTGTAACTTTTCATGCCTGGATGACTATGTGTGTGTGTGTGTGTGTGTGTGTGTGTGTGTGTGTGTGTGTGTGTGTGTGTGTGTGTGTGTATTTAAAACAACAGAAAATGCTGAACCCACTTGTATAAAATTAAATTGACATATAGATTTTGAAGAGGAGGCTGCATATTACCCCTTCTACAGAGCTGTGTTATTTTATCTGAAGCTTGCAAAAAAATCTAAGGACAAGAGAAAGTTGTTTTTTCAGTTATGTAGAGAGCAGAAGACAACCAAGGAAGGCAGAGGTCTGCTGCTTGGGGCAGGTGGTATAGTACTGATGGATGAGAGAGAGGGGAAGGTTTTGTTTTCTCTGTTAAGGAGAATGACGACAGAGAATATTGATTCAGAGTTACCAAAGCCAAAAATGGATGAAGGGATTGTAAAAGAGCATCTAAATTCTTTAACTGAGTTCAAGTTTTCTAGCTAGGAAGAATCACTCCTTATAGAGAACATGCAAATGGGGTTTAGAACTTTTTTGTGTAATTATTGAGAAATAGTGGGCACCAGAAGATTAGAGATGGTTAAATATAGTTCTGACTTCAAGAAGAATCAGAAATGTGCCCCACAACCTGCATGGAGGGAGCTTTATGTTGATTTGGAAAAGATCTTCAATTGTATTATGAAACAGTTGTTTTTTTAGCTCTTAGATGAGGAAATGATGTTTACAGACACTGTGACTAGAAACAAATTTTTTCAAGTGGTTCTTATTTCCTTTTAAACAGAGTTACCAACCTGGTAAGGTTTCTCATGACACCTTTACAGATAAGTTGGGGGAAATATCAGTGAAGAGAGTGGCTTTCAAACTTGTTTTGACTGTGACACTCACTAAAAACTGTATTTTACACCATTATCCAGTTGAAATAAAAATATTATGAAACACTACTCACCCTCATTACACATGATACACCTTGATTTTTAAAATTGTGTTTCACCTTTTTAAAAAGCTGGTCATAGGCCATTATATTGATTTCCCAATGTATTATGAAGAATCACAATGAGTAGGTGAGAGTTCAAACACATGGGTTCATAATCTAACAGATAACTAGTCTATTGGTGCCACAATTGCACCTACCTATCCATCAATTTTATAATGGATGAAGGCATAGAAGGCATTCATCAGATACATAGGCGACACAAGGCTGGGAAGGATAGTGAAAATATTAGATGATATCAGAAGAGTATAAAGAATTGGACTAACTCAAACAACATGGAATTGAATAGAGACTAAGGCAGGACCCAGCAGTATGTTGTAAATCACTAATGGTGCAAGTGTAAGATGAGGAGATGGGAATGAGAGACACGTGAATTTTTAGTTTTCTGTAATTACATCACATCATATGTCAAATGTGTGATACAGCTGTGAAAAAATCCCGGTCAACTTTAGCTGTGGTTCTTTAATCTGTGCCCTTTATTTCTTTAGCATTTTGCAAAAGTGCCTTTGAGGTCACCATGCAAGCTACCATCACACGGAAGTAAGCTTGAATAAAGAAGGTTCTGGGACACCACCTCTTGTTTGAATCTGCTGTTTGCATCTATTTTATAAATTGAGACTGATTTGTTTGAAGTAAATGTTCTGTGGCTAAAGTTTTTTTTTTTTAAACAATCAATGGGCAAAAGGAAAAGAAACAATATAGAAAGGGAGTTGTGACAGTTCCCATTCTACCTCTGAGTACTCAGAGCACATCTGGATTATTTTATTCATTCTGGAAGCCATGGTGGCTTCCATTCTGGAAGAATGGTGAAGGAACTCAAAACCATGTAAAATGAAGTATAGTTAAATGAAGTGGGAATGTGACTTAAGAGGCATGAAAGAGTTGTTTTCTTGTACTAAGAGGGCTGTCACGTGGAGGAGGCAGTTTAATGTAATTTGGTGAAAATAATGTGGGCTTTGGCGTCAGGTTGACCAGGTTCAAATTCCAACTCAGCCACTTATTGGTTGTGCGGCCTTAACCAAGTTACTCAATTCCTCTGAATCTTGTTTTTCATATGTATTAAAAACAGGGGAACATAATACCTATCTTGAAGGATTGTCATGAGGATTAAATAAGATAACATATATAAACGTACCCAGTATTGTGCTTGATTCACTAGTAGATTGATCTCATAGAATATAGATTAAATTTATAATTCAAGAAAGCCTGAACAGTTGCAGTAAGACTGGATGGTGAAAGTTAAAGGAAGACAAAAAGTCAAAGGGATCCAAGAAGAGCTTGTCATCAGTCAGAGGTATTCAAAGATGGAATGTGCTGCCTGGGGGAGGTAGTACTAATTCCCTAACACAGGAAGCATTTGAAAATAGGTTGGATTGTTACTACATGGTCAGAATATTCTGGAGAGGAGTCAAGCATCAAATAACTGAGAAGAGTAAGATTCCTAGTGGACTAGTTCAATAGATGTAATATATGAGGACAAAGTTTGCTCCTCCAAAGAATGTTACCTTCCTTCCTGCACAACTATGGATGATGCTTCCCCTACCCGTGTTAGACCCATCTGACAAATGGGTGCTGTTGGAAACCAGTGGGAAACACACAAATCATCCAATAAGCACTTATGAAGCCCTGGCTGTGTATCTGGATGCTCTAGACAAACACCTCAAAGTGTGTACCTTATGGGCAGTAGGTCAACAGGATTTCCTATGCATGCAAAAGGTCCATCTTGCTTGTGTATCTCCTATTGGGCTGACTTTGGGAAAAGCATTAGGCTGGCTCCAAGGAGTAACTTGCTATCCCATCAAGAAACTTGCTCTAACTCCCAATTCCATTCTAGTCAGGCATCAGATGGAAGTGAGTTACCAGAGCAGGATGATTCAAAAGCAGCAACAGAAATAAAGCACCCAGTGTCTTGATAATCAACTCATCTCCTGAAGTGAAAGGCCTGGTTGCTTATAGCAGTGCTTACAAAGGGCAGTTATGCTTCAGAGTTTATACTGAGAGTTCAGTTTCAGATTTCAGTAAATCAAAAAAAGATATTGATTTTGAACAAATGGATGATTTTATTGTCAAAGCAAATTTCATTTCTTGAGATGATTAGATTTTATTAAACTCTTTCCTAACTGCCACTAAACACACATTCTGTGAATAAACAGCATATTCTTCAACCAAGCGGCATTTGTCACTCAGCTAAATACAATGCTATTTGGCCATCTCCAGAGGTTGGAAAAATGCACACTTGGGTTCAGAAAGCTTGTGCCAAAATCTTAGTTATATCACTCAATAACTCTATGGTCATAGCACAATATATAATCCCTCCGACTAACAGTTTTCTCCTCTGGCAGATGGGGATAATAATATCTACCTCTCAAGGGTGGTTGCATTGTGTAGACAAAATAGAATAGTGTAAATTAGATTCTTAGCATAGTTCCTGGTACATAGTGAGCTCTCTATAAGTGGTAGCAGTTATTCTTAGACTTACTATAGGACTTAATGATCTGCTAAAGATTAGGACAAGCCCTGAGAACTGATTCTTCTTTGGGCTTAGGTTTGCCACAGAAAAGTACAGAAGATGAAGGCAAGTAAGATGAAGAGGACCATTCTCTCATATCACTTTCTAACCTCCATAGGTACTATGCTAGTATACATGGGCCTTTCTTTGTTGGAGATCTTTTGGTTTTGAAATGCTGGAATGCTGGAAAGGTAACAAGAAACTTTAGAAATTTGGTTGTATTTCTGTGGAGACACCTTTGTGGAGTTGGAAGGAACCTTGAGAAAACAGTTGGTCCATTTTCCTGGCTCCAGAGAGGCCTGTATGTCAAGCATTCATAGATTATTGCTATCCAATATTTGCTTGAAAAGTTTCAAAAGGTGGGAACTCCACAAAAAATTTTTAAAAATATATGATGCTGCCATGTAGTGTTAGAAACAGTAAGCTTTTCTTAAGGTCTGATTCAAATCTTCATGTTGCAGCATAGGCCTCTATTTTCTCTCCTGTCCATTCCTGTCAGCAGAAACAATGCACTCTCATTTAGACATTTGTCTGTGCCCTCACCCGTCAATATATTTTGATTTACTGAAATATGAAACTCAGCACTGTGTAAGCTCAGCTGGATCACTGTAAGTACTACTATAAACAACTGGGGCTTTGCTCTTGGTGGGTGTTATGAAGCTCCCTGCTCAGCTTTCTTCTCTCTAGCTGAAGATGGCCCATGTTCTTAAGTACAGTCATGGGAAACATCGGTTGCCAATCTGTCACAGTTGTCTAAACAGATGGGAAGCTCTGGTCATAATGGCTGAGCATCTAGGAAGCTGTGCCACACACAGGCTTTCTCCTGGTAAACTCTCTATCAACTGACCCATCAATTTCATTCGGTGTTCTCCAGCTTTAGTCCACCTGTGCCACATCTGGGTGCTGATCTGCCCACACCTGAGAGCTGATTTGCTTCAATGCCAAAGCCTCTTCTTCCCAGCCAAACATCTCAAAGAAGTGATCTATTTTCCGTTTCTCCATTTCCTCACTTCCTACTCTGCCGCTGGTATCTGACTCTCATTAATTAGCACTCTATCAAAGGTACTCTTATCAGAGGCGTTAATGCTGTGAAATCTAATGGCTTCTTTAAAAAGCACCTCATTTTTTATGATCCCTAAGCAGCATTTGATACTGACCATTCCCTTCCTCTTGAAAAACTTGCGTCTCTTGGCTTTTTTGACACCTTCATGGTTTTCCACCTAATTGCCAGGTCTCCTTCTCTCAGCCTCCTTTGTGGGTTCTCATTCCTCCGTTTTTTCTTGAATACTGGTGTTCCATAGAGTTTGGTCTTGAGCCTTCTCCTCTTTTTTATGCTGTGTACCCTCCGTGAGAGAGCTCATCCACTCCCCTATTTACCATTGCCATGTGTAAACTAATAGCAATCACAACTCTAATCTGTAGTTAGACCTCAAGCTTTAAACCTGTATCCAATTTCCTGCCAGATATCTTTATCTGGATGCCACACAGGCACCTCAACGTACCCCAAACTGAACCCATCATCCAACCATCAAGCAAACCTGCTTCTCTTCCTCTTGTATTCCCTGTACCAGTGAATGGTACTACCATACACATGTTCCCTCAATTCTGAAATTGTCAGTCAACAAGTTATTTGATATTGGCTCCAATGTTTAATGAATCTATCTACCTTTCTATGAGATTTTAGGTTCAGCCATTAAAATTGCTTGCCTATGTAGCCTGCATAAAGCTGAGCAGTGTCATGGAAAGTCTCATCCAGAGTTGTATCCCAAAGAAATATCAGCTGAACATCCCAAAAGCATTGGAAAACAGCTTAATTTTTATAGCAGTCCCTTGGAAAGGGGCTGATCATATCTACATTGATATGTTTTTTCCTTGTCATACCTGGATTTCTTCAACTGTCTCTTAAGTGGTCTCCCTGCCTCTAGTGTTATTTTGCTTCACTTGGTTCTCCATGCAACAGCTAGAATGATCTCTGAAAACTGATTTCCATGCTTAATACCATTTTAAAAATGCATTTCCCTTCTTAACGCTGTTATTATCTCTTCATTGTTCAGTATAACTTCATTATGCTTATAAGGAAGGCCCTTCACCATTTCACCCTCACTTACCTTTCTAGCTTCATCTCTCACTACTCTTTCATATTCTTTTTACCATTATGTCCTTTTGGTTCAGGTATAGATGTTAACTGTACCTGCTGAGCCCTTCCTATGCATGTTCCAGGAACACACAGTCTACTGTGGGAGACGGGTTGGATACACAGTTTGCCAACAAAGATCAAATTACATTTAAGCATGGTGATACTAAATTCCAGTAAGGGATTGAAGCAACAGTGAGGACTAGAACCATCAAGGAAGGTTCCCATGGAAGAGGTGAGGTGTGAGGAGGATGGAGAATGGGATTTGGACCAGCAGAGGTACTTCCAGACTGGGGAAATGGGGCCATGAGAAGTAGGCCTTTAATAAAGGTAGAGGGTGATAATCTGGACACTAATCAATACAGTCTCCTTGTTTTGAGCCAGTCTGGGTGGACAAATTGGATTTACTCTTTAGTGTGTCTCAGGCACAGAACAGGAAATGGTGGATAGCAGCAGAGTTACTGGCCAAATAATCTGGACATAAAACCTGCTTTCTTTCCTGGTAAATCCTGCTGGCTTCTGCCATCCCCTTCTCATACCACACAACCTCCCCTGCCTCCAAAAAAATCTACTGTATCTCTAAAGCTAAAGTTGTGTACAGAAAGGGGAAAGAGGGTACTTCAGAGAAACTGAGGCTTGGAATGAAATGCCATAGAGAAAAGTTTCTGTCTCCTGGTTACCAGGGCTTCTTTTCAGTGGGCTGCATTGTATTTCCCAACCTGAAAAGGATGAGGTAGATTTTATGGTGGGAATTATGTTTGGAAAGTGTCATGTGAAAAAGAACCCTTCTCATGGTGATGATGATCATATGTTTGCTCTACTAAGACAAATAATTCTCTTTTCAACATAACTTTTCTACACAGAAACAGAAAAGTTGTTTAGAGTTGACTGATTGCAATACTAAATGCCCTATTTTAAGTTAAAAATATCCCACAAGTGAATCATACATGTGCATCTTCTCTGTCCCTCCTCCTCCATACAAATACATTCACACCCTTCTTTATTGCCATAAATAATGCTCCTTTTCCTTGCCTTCTGCAGCATTTTGAATCATGGAAAGTTAGACTATTCTAGGACTTGATAGCCTGACCCATTCAAGTCTCTATTAAAAAAGGGTTTGTTCATTTTGTCAGTTTTCCAGGCCCAACTCCCCATTTCACTTTTGTAGTTGACTATATATGAACATTTCTTGAGTTTCTGGGGCAGGGCAGGGGCACATAGAGAAGCAGAAATTCAAAACAGGCCAGTGTTTTATAGAGTTGTATGCTCAAGGTGGGTGGAGGTGGCAGGAGATCTTAGAGTCAATGACTAAAGCAAGGTTTCTTAGGGGTGTGTTCCTTTTACTTACTAATATGGTTTTGCTGTGTCCCCACCCAAATCTCATCTTGAATTGTAACTCCTACAATTCCCACAGGTCGTGGGAGAAACCTGGTGGGAGGTGATTGAATTATGGGGGCGGGTCTTTCCTGAGCTGTTCTCGTGATAGTGCATGAGTCTCACGAGATCTGATGGTTTTAAAAATGGGAGTTTTCCCTGGCTAACACAGTGAAACCCCGTCTCTACTAAAAATACAAAAAAATTAGCCGGGCGTGATGGCGGGTGCCTGTAGTCCCAGCTACTCGGGAGGCTGAGGCAGGAGAATGGCGTGAACCCGGGAGGCGGAGCTTGCAGTGAGCCGAGATTGCGCCACTGCACTCCCGCCTGGGCCACAGAGCGAGACTCCGTCTCAAAAAAAAAAAAAAAAAATGGGAGTTTCCCTGCACAAGCTCTCTGTTTGGCTGCTGCCATCCATGTAAGACATGACTTGCCCCTCCTTGCCTTCTACCATGATTGTGAGGCCTCCCCCACCATGGAGAACTGTAAGTCCAATAAACCTCTTTCTTTTGTAAGTTGCACAGTCTTGGGTATGTCTTTATCAGCAGCGTAAAAATGGACTAATATATTTACCTTGTTTTTCTAGGTTTTAGGTGGTATGACAAATGAAGCAACAGGAATATCATAACTGTGGGGTACACTGCTCATTGCCTCCCCAGTAGCAACCCTTTACTCCTTGCTAACAGAACTCTGATTTTGGTTTAAGAATCAGGTAGCAATGTGCTCAGGGAAGGGGACCCACTTCTAAAGGGTCTGAATTCACTATGGAATCTCATTTCCCCTTTGCCAGTGACTGGTGAAGGCATGGGCATGTGACTCAATTCTGGCCAATGTGACACAAGAAGGAAATTTGCTGGCATCTTTGCCTATCTTTGGACAACTCGTTATGTGAGATAATTAAACTTTATTGTTTAAACAACTTTTAGACAAGTATTTTATTACTTGCAGACAAGACCATCCTCTGTGATACACTAATCAATTTGAAAACTCTCAACATCCACTTTAGTGTTTTTGAAAAGATTATTTAATAATCTACTTTATTAGGGTCACAAATTTATGGAATGTTAGAGCTGGAAGGTTTGAGGACTGTCTAATCTATTTCCTTCATTTCTTGTTTCTGCAGACTAAAAAAGTCAGACACTGAATGTTGGGACTATGCTGTATGCTCTATAATCTCTTTAAATGTCTAATACTGATTTTGTAGAATTGTGGTAAAATCAGAATTTTGGACCCAGATGAGAGCTACACTGAATTTTCTTTTATCCTCACTGGCCTAAAAAAAAAACCAAAAAAACACAGATTTCCTAAATAACAGTAAAATAGATCTCAGAGGGGATGTTGCTTTTACTTAAGAAAACTTCCAAACACCCTAGAAATAGCTATTTATATACATGTGAATAACAACATGCTCATATATTCATTAAAAAAGATGTCTAAAGAGACTTCGTAGTCACTATTTTTCTAAATTTCAGTCACTGTTTCATTTGACTTTCTTCACAGAATTGGATAAAACTACTTTAAAGTTCAAATGGAACCAAAAAAGAGCCCGCATTGTCAAGTCAATCCTAAGCCAAAAGAACAAAGCTGGAGGCATCACGCTACCTGACTTCAAACTATACTACAAGGCTTCAGTAACCAAAACAGCATGGTACTGGTACTGAAACAGAGATATAGACCAATGGAACAGAACAGAGCCCTCAGAAATAATACCACACATCTATAGCTATCTGATCTTTGACAAACCTGACAAAAACAAGAAATGGGGAAAGGATTCCCT
Source organism: Homo sapiens (assembly GCF_000001405.40). Classification (NCBI taxonomy): domain Eukaryota; kingdom Metazoa; phylum Chordata; class Mammalia; order Primates; family Hominidae; genus Homo; species Homo sapiens. The sequence goes on from NC_000023.11 coordinate 124,451,783, forward strand.
ATTTAATAAATGGTGCTGGGAAAACTGGCTAGCCATATGGAGAAAGCTGAAACTGGATCCCTTCCTTACACCTTATACAAAAATTAATTCAAGATGGATTAAAGACTTAAATGTTAGACCTAAATCCATAAAAACCCTACAAGAAAACCTAGGCAATACCATTCAGGACATAGGCATGGGCAAGGACTTCATGTCTAAAACACAAAAAGCAATGGCAACAAAAGCCAAAATTGACAAATGGGATCTAATTAAACTAAAGAGCTTCTGCACAGCAAAAGAAACTACCATCAGAGTGAACAGGCAACCTACAAAATGGGAGAAAATTTTTGCTATCTACTCATCTGACAAAGGGCTAATATCCAGAATCTACAAAGAACTCAAACAAATTTACAAGAAAAAACAAACAACCCATCAACAAGTGGGCAAAGGATATGAACAGACACTTCTCAAAAGAGGACATTTATGCAGCCAACAGTCACATGAAAAAATGCTCATCATCACTGGCCATCAGAGAAATGCAAATCAAAATCACAATGAGATACCATCTCACACCAGTTAGAATGGCGATCATTACAAAGTCAGGACACAACAGGTGCTGGAGAGGATGTGGAGAAATAGGAACACTTTTACACCGTTGGTGGGACTGTCAACTGGTTCAACCAGTGTGGAAGTCAGTGTGGTGATTCCTCAGGGATCTAGAACTAGAAATACGATTTGACCCAGCCATCCCATTACTGGGTATATACCCAAAGATTATAAATCATGCTGCTATAAAGACACATGCACACGTATGTTTATTGTGGCACTATTCACAATAGCAAAGACCTGGAACCAACCCAAATGTCCAACAATGATAGACTGGATTAAGAAAATGTGGCACATATACACCATGGAATACTATGCAGCCATAAAAATGAGTTCATACCCTTTGTAGGGACATGGATGAAGCTGGAAACCATCATTCTCAGCAAACTATCGCAAGGACAAAAAACCAAACATCGCATGTTCTCACTCATAGGTGGGAACTGAACAATGAGAACACTTGGACACAGGAAGGGGGACATCACTCACCCTGTTGTGGGGTGGGGGGAGGGGGGAGGGATAACTTTAGGAGATATACCTAATGTAAATGACAAGTTAATGGGTGCAGCACACCAACATGGCACATGTATACATATGTAACTAACCTGCACATTGTGCACATGTACCCTAGAACTTAAAGTATAATAAAAAAAATAATAATAGAATTACTTATCTTGGAAATATTCAATAAATGAGATTGGCCTTACCCTCTGATTAATTCAAGCTTGAGAGACTTTACTTAATTGTATGTCAATATTCTACCTGACATTACTTCCATCCTCGCTTACCATTTTCTCCCAACTAAGCTTTTCTAACGAGGAAAAAAGTAACTTACATAAAGAGAAACTTCTGCTATCTGGTGTTATAACAGATATGCCAGGCTTCCATTCTACCTCATTTCTACATGAGAAAATTGTTATCCATTTCCATGATGCCAAATGACAATAATACTTGAAAACCAGTGATGCCTACCTGAGTGATGTCCATTCCTGAGTCACAGCTCAGTGGTTGTGTGGAAGTCAGACCATTTGAGCCGATTACAGTTGTGATCACAGCATTCTCATCAATTTTGCGAATCATAGTCCCATCCACAAAGTAAATAAATCCATGCCTATCAACTGTGATGCCTGTTGGGAAAGAGCAAATGAGCATTAGTAGTCTAGTGAACCACATTTGCACTAAGCTCTGTATTTTGAAAAAAGCCATAGCAATGGAAAGGCATTTTAAAGACATATAGATTCAATTTTGCTCAGCACAGACAGGACAGTAATGGGAGAGGTTTGTTGGGGCATACATTCACTTCTTTGTGTATTGAGAAGAAATGACAAAAAGTCACACGCGGAGATAAAGCCAGGTCTAATAATTTTGTCCAGTTTTACATTTCCACCCCCTTGATACTTGCTTGCCCCCACAAACAATAAAAAATCATCTTTAAGATAAATGGGAAAAGACGGGGAGATCATGTATATTACATTTTTTTTTAGGGTGCTAATGCACAGGCTGCTGCTTATTTTCACGATTGCATTAGGAAATAACTGACTTGAAAAGCATTATAATTATTTTCATCAATTCAGACTTTGTTAAAAGGGAGTTTGTAATAACTTTGATGAACCGGGCTGAGTTTTTTTCTCCATATTATCTATTAAAAGGGGAGTTGGCGAGCAAAATTATAGTATCACAAAGGGAATGGCTAAGTTTCTAGAAAAGATAAAAGCCGATAAAATTTTCACAGCAGTTTTTACACACAGTGTTAATTACAGCCTGGTTTCTTAAAATTTTTATTATAATAGCAGTTAGAAGGCTTGGGTTCTAATACTGAATACCCCACTTACAACTAATGTGTGACTCTGATTGAGTCATTCATTTGCAAATTTCAGACTCCTCTTTGGTAACATAGGGACAGGATCGTCTGCCTTACTTAGCTAAAGTGATCTACTGCTCTGGTTTGGCTGTAACTGAGGCAGAGCTCAGTTTTAAAACTAGGACCATCCTTGACAAACCAGGATGAGCTGGTTACTCTATATCTAGGTATATCTAGGTGTTTTTTTTTTTTGTTTTTGAGGGAGTTTTGCTCTTGTTGTCCAGGCTGGGTACAATGGTGCAATCTTGGCTCACTGCAACCTCCGCCTCCTGGGTTCAAGTGATTATCCTGCTTCAGCCTCCCAAATAGCTAGGATTATAGGAGCCTGCCAGCACGCCTGGCTAGTTTTTTGTATTTTTAGTAGAGACAGGGTTTCACCATGTTGGCCAGGCTGGTCTCGAACTGACCTCAGGTGATCCACCTGCCTCGGCCTCCCAAAGTGGTGGGATTACAGGCGTGAGATATCGGGCCTGGCCCTAGGTCGTTATATCATATGAAGTAATACATATAAAAAGTATCAGATACACTTTAAGAACATATGGCTCTACTCCTATTTCCCTTGGTGCTTTTGACAGTGCTCTTGAAAATAACCACATGGCATTTTTCAAACTAGTCTACAATTTAGTCTTTTCCCCACTTCCCTTTATTTAGGTCTGGTGAAACTCATTGAATGGATGTTAAAGTCAGAATTTCTGTGCTAACAAGCGTGTCCTTTTAGCACAACACAACACACAAACACACACACACATGAATTTTCTGGCAAAATGTGAACTCATCTAGAGTCATTTTATAAACTCAACTTAATAAACTGCTTTTAGATGAACTAATTCATTGGCAGGAAGTTAATATTAAGACTTGGCTTTATGGTATACTTTGATTAATCCTGATGTTTGATTAATCCTTAACATCTATAAAAGTTACAAATTCATTTTAATGTCCCCTGAATACTTCTAAAGTCATCTATGTTTTGGTGAGTTCTCCAAGGAAACCAGCATGTCCAAACAAGGGAATTCCATGTCCATAAATCCCTTTATAATTTTTAGAGGTATAAGGACCCTTAAGGTGGTTTATAAAAAGACTTTTAAGACTGGGGCAAGTTAAATGATGATGGCGTATGAACAATTATTTTAATCTCCAGAACATTTTGGATGAGGATGAACCAAGGGGGAACTTCTGCCTGTTATTTTTGTGTTTTGCAACATCAATTTCTTGATTGCTTAAAATTTGGTGTGGTTTGTGGCAGACCTATTATTTAGAACCACCTTCTATGACCACTATATTAAATATCGCTGAGTATAAAATTTCAAATTTGGCTGTCATAAAGGGATAGACTGAAAGATCAAGACTCAAGACTCAAGTCTGGGGATGGAAAGACTGAAAGGAGATGTGCTCGACATGTACGAAATCATGAATCATTTACTAAACACTATGATTACTAAATCGTAGTGAATGTCACCATGCTAGGCTCTGTGAGGGTATAAGGATAAAGAATCTGGTTACACTGAAACTAAGACTAAGAGGAATACTCTGGAACTTTAGTAAATTAAGGATATTAAAAATAAAATGAAGTGTTGCTCTTATGAGGAGGTAGTAAACTTAGAGGATCTGATCCTCTAAAAATTTGAGCAGGTTCACAAAAGGTACAGAGAAATAAATGTATTCTTAACTAGTATACATGGGAAGGTCTTTACATGTCTTTGCTGATATCAGGGAGGACAATTCTTTTCCTTGACTACCACACTTCTCATCCCATCAGAGTGCAAAGTTTAGGCTGATCCAGGGAGGATAATCTGGGACTTTACATAGTTTTCTTACTTTTACTTTTTGTGAAGATCTAAACACTGTGAACTTCTTTGTCTCTGTTCATGTCAGCTGAGTTCCACAGACGAGTGCCCTTTGAAATAAGTCTGGGCTTATTAAATACTCACTAGTTGCCTTCAGGGCTTGTTCTGCTGACAGTTTGTAGAATATTTTCCTTTCATATATTTGTGTAGCAACTTCTTTTATCATGGTCCAAATTCCAAACATACTTCTTTTTCCTTGAGAAGCTTTAATTAACTTTGATTGGGTTACACTTATGTTTGGAGTTGAAAAAGAAACAGTAGAAAAGGCTTTGAGGAAACTATGTGATAGGTGCTTCATAAATGTACCGAGCATATTTTATATGTACATATTTTCCTCTCATTTGCCTTCCCTTACCAACCAATCAACCAACCAACACATAAATTCCCCAAACAACAATTTTGCAACCTCTTTGCTGGTGAAGCTTAAGGGGTATTTAATTTTCACTGAGGGTAAAAATCAAATTGGAAACCCCAGGCATGAAAAAGAGAATAATATTTGTCCATCATTTGGGGAGGTTTCCCCTCCCATAATGCTTATTGTTATAACCCAGGGATAGTGATGATGCTGTAGATATATTACTGCTTGTCAGAATGAGTGAAAGGAGGTGACACATTCCCAGTATATATTTTAAGCTTTATTCTTTGGAGATGGGCATGTGAGTGATTTCAGATCACATAAAGCCATCTGGGGCTAGCAAGATCTGCAGATTCAATTTACTTTCCAATTTTGATATTGCTGTGCCCAGATCTCCAAAACTTGGTAACCAATGTTGTGGGCAAAATTTGTTCCAACGGTCATGTTCATTGATGTGTTCACTGACAGCATTTTCATTAGCACTTAAACAATCAAAGGTACAGTCTCTGGATGAGAAAAGATTTAAAGATTTAAACTGTACTAAGAAAACCACTTCCAGGTTTAAAAATTTTCAACCGGAATTCATTTTTGTTTTCAAAGCAAGTAAAAATACAGAGATCTCTGATATTACCACAAGGTTAGGCCGTGATGCAAGGCAGGTGGAGGTGGAAGTGGGAAGAAAACACACAATAGCTTGAGTCCCCTCAATTTAACTTTGAATTTAAAAATCCCCCTGCACCAAGGAAAACACTGGCCTCAGATGCCCAGACAGCATGTTTAGCTTGGAGCACATTTTTACATTTGGGAGAAAATAAATAAATCCTTGTAAATTAGTGCATATAATGAAAGCACTGACAGACCATAACCTGGAAGTGTGAATGGTGCTGTCTCCATTCATCAGCATTAAGCCCTAACAAGCTCTTTCTATGGAGAGACCTGCTCATAAATAAAGTGCATCTTGTAAAAAAATTATTCACAACATCCCATGCAAAGTAGGGGATATTATATAATATCTGAACTGCAGGCTCTTTTCTCTGTGAAGCAGTGCTCTGTATGAAACAGCTGCAAATTATAGGCAAAATTATTTGACTTCTTCCCTTGTCTTATTATCCTCCAATGAATAAATACTTTAATTCTTTAGATGACAATTGCCTAAAGCTGGGGCAGCCTGGATAGTTACTTATAAATTTATCACCTGTGAGGGGAAAAGATGCTACTGATCAATACTGAAGGAACAGGGGCATCCTGATGTAATCACTGAGAGTCCAGATGTGGTGCTTAATAGCCTGGAAATAGTAGCTAAATCCCAAATTAGATAACAGTGAAGATTTGAGTTTTTGGCTGTGTAGAATGCCAATTTCAAATGTTGGCAGAAGGCATCTCTGTACTTAATTTTTTAAAATTACAGCTGTTGAGGCCACCTACATTTTTATTATTTCTATATAAAAAATGAAACATCTTTCAGAATATAAGCTTTGGAAAGCAGTCATAACATTCTCTTCATCTATAGCCCTAGCAACAAGAAAACTGAAATACTGGATGTTTTTCTGCCACAATCTGCTGTTTAATTTTATCAGACAAAGATAAATGGTTAAATCAACTTCCAGGGAAATTCCTAAGCCTAATATGGTGTCAGCTCAATCTCCAATACTGAGAGTGCTGAATTGTGTAACTGATTCAAAAATGTTCTTTTAGTCAAGGAGAATTTTTCTTTGTTCATGTGCATTCCAATTCTCTGAAAATTGGTACTATATGTGTGGTATATATGGAAACTCTACTAGGCAGAAAAGTCCATTCTTCAACCCATCTGACTACTGTCCACTTAATTACCCTCTGGGATCAGAAAGGCCCAAGTTACTTATGCATAATAAGCCTGTTAAGTTTTCTCACTATGTAGCCACTAAATGGAGCTTCTAGAACTTGGAGGGTTTACAGATTTCTGTGTGTCACTAGAGGTTGGAAGGAGGCAGAGCTTAATGACAAGCTGAGATGATTTCACTGTGTGGTTAACAGTGGCATCAGGATTTCTCCAGTAAGGAGACACTAATAAACTCACTGTAATATTATATGACTAGTGAATAGTGAGTTATTTAATCAGATATTTTGTTTAATAAAATGTTCTAGTATATTCTACATAGTAAAGGTCAATTTCCAAAGAACATAAACACAAATTAAAAATGATAAGCTTTCAAACTAATATTCTGCTGACTGGAATGTCTTATTTTGATTACTCAAAAGGCACTTCAAAGGGCTTCATAGTCATTATAAAGAACAATAAATTTGTGGGCTAGTTAACCAAGAATTCTGATTGAGAGAAAGACAGACGACACCAGTGTTTAGCATTTGTCTTGTCTTCAGCTCCTTGTGATCCTCTCAAAACTTTAGACTTCAGCTTTGCCATAAGGCAAAGTGAATGGACAGCCCTTTTAAATCCACCAACCACTATTTTTCTTAAAGCTTACTGAGAAAAATGTTTTTCTGTTTACTCATTAACTTATTCAAGATTTATTCTGCACCCTCTGCGTGTGAGCACTGTCCTAGGCAATGAGAGTACAGGAGACTATAAAACAGACATGGCGTTGCTCTTAGAAAGCCTGGAAACTGGTAGAGGGAGACAGAGAAATAACCAGGCAATTGCAATGCCATTAGATAAGCACTAGTTTGGGGCAAGTCCAAGGTGCCATGGGAGCATCCTTGGGGGATGGGCCGGGGAAATGAAAGTCACAAGTGATTTCTCAGACTTAAGTGATAGGTAAGCTGAAATCTGAAGAACCATGTTGAATTCTAGATGAGCCTAGTATGTATGAAATCCAGGTAAACACCACTGAAAATCTATGAAAGATGACTAATATTACTAAACAATAATCATTTCCATTTGCCGAGAACACTATGATATTCCAGGTACTGTGCTGGATTCCTTACATAGATTTTCTCATTCAATCCTCCCAACAGCCTTGTGGAGTAGGTACTAATGTAATTTTTTAGATGAGGAAATGGAAGTGCAGAGAGGTAGAGTGACTAACTCTAGGTTACATACCTAGAAAGTGCTAGTTTAAAGCGATGGGGAAAGGACTCCCTATTCAGTAAATGGTGCTACAATAACTGGCTAGCCATATGCAGAAGACTGGAACTGGACCCCTTCGTTATACCATATACAAAAATTAACTCAAGATGGATTAAAGACTTAAAAGTAAAACCCAAAACTATAAAAACCCTGGAAGAAAACCTAGGCAATACCATTCCAGACATAGGCATGGGCAAAGATTTCATAATGAAGACACCGAAAGCAATGACAACAAAAGCAAAAATTGACAAATGAACTTCTGTACAGCAAAAGAAATTATCAACAGAGTACACAGGCAACCTACAGAATGGGAGAAAATTTTTGCAAAGTATGAATCTGACAAAGGTCTAATATCCAGCATCTATAAGGAACTTAAACAAATTTACAAGAAAAGAAAAAAACAAACAACCCCATTAATAAGTGGGCAAAGGACATGAACAAACACTTCTCAAAAGAAGACATACATGTGGCCAACAAGCATATGAAAAAAAGCTCAACATTACTCATCATTAGAGAAATGCAAATCAAAACCACAATGAGATACCATTTCACACAAGTCAGATTGGCTATTATTAAAAGTCAAAAAATAACAGATGCTGGCAAGGTTGTGGAGTAAAAGGAATGCTTATACACTGTTGGTAGGAGTGTAAATTAGTTCAACCATTGTGGAAGACAGTGTGGTGATTCCTTAAAGACCTAAAGACAGAAATACCATTGGACCCAGCAGTCCCCTTACTGGGTATATACTCAAAGGAATATAAATCATTCTATTATAAAGACACATGCACGTGTATGTTCATTGCAGCACTGTTCACAGTAGCAAAGACATGGAATCAACCTAAATGCCCATCACTGATAGACTGTATAAAGAAAATGTGGTACATATACACCATGGAATACTATGAATCCATAAAAAGGAATGAGATCATGTCCTCTGTAGGGACATGGATAAAGCTGGAGGTCATTATCCTTAGCAAACTAATACAGGAACAGAAAACCAAATACCACATGTTCTCACTTATAAGTGGGATCTAAATGATGGGAACACATAGACACATAGAGGGGAACAACACACACTGGGGCCTATCGGATAGTGGAGGGTGGGAGGAGGGAGAGGATCAGAAAAAACAACTAATGGATACTAAGCTTAATACCTGGGTGATGAAATAATCTGCACAACAAACCCCTATGACATATGTTTACCTACGTAATAAACCTGTACATGTACCCCTGAACTTAAAGTAGAAGTTGAAAAAAAAAAAAAAGAAAATGCTAGTTTAACACAAGTTTGTCTGAGTTTAATGCCCATTCTCTTAACCACTATGCCATGTAGCTTAAATGAGGTTATCAATTGCTTTACCACAGGGATGGGGTACAGACTGGCTTAAGAAGGTTCAGAAACTCCATGAAATTATCCACAAAATGTTTTGTGTATGGGTATTATCATGGGGAGAGAGCCCATTGGCTTTGTTAGATTGTCAAAAGGATCTCTGACCCGTCCCAAAAATTGTTAAGAATTCTTGTATTCCTATAGATCTCTTAGACTTCTTCAGAATTATTCTTCAAAGGTATTCTGTGGCTTCATCTTCACAGAGCTGATGAGTTTCAAGAAAGTACTCAAGACCTTCCATGTGGTGGGGAGTTCAGTAACTTTACTATTATCATAGAATTACCACCTAAAAAGGAGACCCCACGCAGTGGGATATCAACTCACCTAGGTCAAAATAGCTTTTATTAAAAAAGATAGGGAATAATGAATGCTGGTGAGGATGTGGAGAAAGGGGAATCCTCATATATTGTTGGTGGAAATGTAAATTAGGATAGCCACTACAAAAAATGGAATGAAGGTCCCTCAAAAAACTAAAAATAGAACTATCATATGATCTAGCAATTCCACTACTACTACTGGGTATATATAGAAAATAACGGAAATCAGTATATCAAAGGGATATCTGCACTCCCGTGTTTATTGCAGCACTATTCACAACAGCCAAAATATGGAATCAACTAAGTACCCATCAATAGGTGAATGGATAAAGAAAATGTGGCACATATACACAATAGGATATTATTCAGCCATAAAAAGAAGGAAATTTTATCATTTGCAGCAACATGGATGGAACTAGAGGTTATTATGTTGAGTGAAATAAGTCAAGCACAGAAACACAAATATCACATGTTCTCACTGATACGTGGGAGCTAAAAAAGAGAGTAGATTAGTCGTTACCGGAGGCTGGGAAGGGTAAGGGAGGATGAAGAGAGGTATATTTATACCCATTAATCAATGATAGAAGAAATAAGAACTAGGGTTTGATAAATCAGTAGAGTGATGTAGGTTACAATAATCCATTGTATATTTCAAAATAACTAGAAGAGAATAATTTGAATGTTTCTAGCATAAAGAAAAGACAACTATTTAAGGTGATGAATATCCTAATTATACTGATTTGATCTTTACAAATTATACAAATGTATGAAATTATCACACATAGCTCCCAAATATATATATCTATATGTATCAATTAAAATTAATAAGGTCGTTTCATTTTCAGTATGACAGAGACAATGCTATGTGTTCATGTCATCCCGTTTCTCTTTCTTTCTGAGAACAGAGTTAGATTACGTTTCTCAGCCTCCTTTCCAAGTTAGGTGTGGGCAGAAGTAATGGATGCGACTTCTAGGCCTGATCCTTAAGGAACTATCTACTGAGTTTCTGTATGGATTACTACCTTCCACTGTAGGCTGGCTGCATGCAGACCATCCAGTAGAGGACTCCAAGGCCTAAGGCATTGAGGAATCACTAGATGGAAGAAGGCTGGTTCCTTGAATCACTGCTTGGAGCAGAGATTCTTCCACTCCCCAGGCAACCCACATTAAATTGTGATGTAAGAATGAAATAAGTTACTATTTTTGTTAAGCTATTGAGATACTGTGTGTGTGTGTGGGGGGGGTGGGGGTGGGGGGGAGGGTGTGTGTGTTTAATATGGTTGTTAGCTTGGCCCGAGTATTAACATTCAGCAACCCAAATCCTATTCACCTTTTAAGGCTTTTATAGGAAGTTTCCCTTTCATGAATCCTTCCCTGCAAACTCCAGTTCATTGTGGTCTGTTTTCTAACCCACAGAAGCTGTTACTTATTTATTTATTTGTTAATGTGAATTCTCCAATCATGATCCATGTAGGTAATAAGCTCCCTGAGGACAGGAACTGGATTTTAGAATTAGTTTTTATATCTCAAATAATTCAGTACACTTGGGCACAAATGTTCAATAAACCTTCCTGATTTACAGGACTAAATTTCCATGCATTTATACTGAAACATATCTACCTTGAACAAAATAAAGCATGCCAGGAGGCCAAGAACTGCATATGAATTTCACTAGAAATGAGCTTAGAAAGGATGCAGTGACAATGTCTTTCTCTAAAGTCCTTTAAGAGGAATACAGTCCCCTATCAATTAGTGATGATTGGAATATGGGAAAAGTGGGGTTGACAACCAAGAGCAAACAGACAAAGGACCATGGATCAAATTAACTGCAAACAAATGTGATCCATGTGGATAGCTACAATGAATAGCTCATGACACCGCTCCCCCCACCACACACACAAATCCAGTTGTTCTGTCAATATAACTTTGTTTGCGATCTTGTGATCTCTTCCGACCTTACCATGTTAGGAGTTCTGAAGAAACAGAAGTGCCTCAGGATTTTTTTTCAGGCTGATTTTTCTTACAGAATAGCTGTAGAACTTTGGATAATGCATTTGACCGCTCAGTGTCTTGATTTCTTAACTTATATACTACCTACTACACAAGGTAACATGGTGTGAAGCTCACAAGAGCCAATGAAATGAAAGGACTTTGAAGAAGATAAAGTATTATGGTGGTGCTAAGTGGTATCTTAATTGCCTAGTTATTGCTATAATTCTTTCTGACAGTGACTTTTCTAAGCCTAGAATCATAGTCAAAAATTTCCACACAGGCCCTGCTTGAACACTTTAGGCTTTTCTGTGTTCTGTAAATAAGATTTAAGTCCATGGAGCATTATGTAACCCTTGTCAGTAGGAGAGCACCCTATGTTAGATTCACCATAGAGACAATTCAGTAGTTGAAAACAGTTTTGTTAGCTCAGGGGAAATACTACACTATTAAATTATTGGTGTAAAAGCCTTCAAGCTTTTATAAGATGGTTAAAGTTTCCGTACACAGAATCAAATAAATGAGGTTCCATGCCGTGCAACTCGCTAAGGAAGACCCTTGGCCAAGGTGGTGGTAATGTCTCAACATTTAACAGTGAAACCAGACACTGATAATAATGTGATTTATTTTTCTTTGCTTTATAGAGGTTGGGGTGTGTGTGTGTGTGTGTGTGTGTGTGTGTGTGTGTGTGTGGAGAGAGAGAGAGAGAGATTGGGGTAAGTAGATGGTGCTAGTTCAAGTTGAAATGCACATGTCTTGTTTTATTTTTGTGTTAGAGTTCCCACTCAAAAGATGCCTGCAGGCTGAGATTTAAGGGTTCTCAGTATATATGGGCTAAGATAAATGAGGTTTACTAAATCTGAGCTGCATATTTTATATCTCCCCCTTTAGAAATTCCTCAAACATCAAGCAACGATATCTGAGACACTACTCAGATACATTTGAAAGAACTGTCGCTGTCATCCTAAGGAAGGCAACTGCCACACAAGAACGTTAGTGAACAATTAGCCCTAGGAAGGAAAGTTCGTTTATTGCCCATGGACCAGCAAAAAACTAATTGCAGTTGTTGCACTCTAGGGAAAATGAGTCTATCTCAAGGTATGTGAATGACCAAGAGGTTCTAATATAAAAAGCAAACTAAGTATACCTTGTCCCAAATACTCAATAAAAGCAGGATATGAGGAATTAAGCCAATAGTGCTCACTATTCACAAAAGTGGGGTAACTCAAGAGGAATTAAAATTTCTTTAGGATAATGATTTGCATGTAGTGCCCATTCAAAAACAACACAGAGGGCCCATTTAAAATTCTCCCTGCATCCGTATGTCTTGACTAATGAAGCTAGTGCTAGAAGAGAAGTTCACAAAGTCAGGAGTGGTAGACAGTCATTTGCAAAAGGTAAGGCAGGGTAATGAGCACTGCGTGAATACACATTTTAAACCTTTTAAGTGGAGGTTCAAGAGACGTTTGGGAGAACTGATTTGGGCTCAATCAAGAATATATGAATATAACAACAGCATACACACACAGACACAGGCACAAATATGACAGCGGAACAAAAAGCGAAAAATAGTCAAAGCAGTTGTTTAATGAGATAAACAACTTCTTTTACTGTTTTTACCTTTCCACACTCTGACCTACAAGTGTGACAATCTGTGGGCACAAGAACGCGACATTGAGAGGCATTTAAAATGCTGGGATGTTTTGTTCAAAGGGGGCTGGTGACTTCCTTATCCTTGTCTTGATTGAGATTGGAGTTTCCAAGGCCATTTCCCTGTCTATTTTCCTCTAAACTCAAATATCCAGACAAGTTCATCAGAGCTATGAGAGGTGGAGTAAAGAGTCTGGGCTAGAAGCCAGAAGATCCAGTTGTGAGACTGACTGTGACTTTAACAAATTTAAATAGTCTCCCAGTCCTCAGGTTTTGCCTTTGTCTAATAGTGAGTAGAAAAGCTGAGCTGCTCATGTCAGTGGATGACTGTAAAGACCATATAAAATAACTTCTATGTGTGAAATCTTTCTGAAAGCTCAACACAAGTGATGTTAGTATTTATTTATGTTTTGGTTTTATTACTTATTTATAGAGACAGGGTGTTGCTCTGTCGCCCAGGCTGGAGTGCAGTGGCATGATCACAACTCACTGCAGCCTCGAACTCCTGGGCTCCCGACATCATTCCCCCTCGGCCTCTCTAATAGCTGGGACCACAGGTGCATAACACCACACCTGGCAAATTAAAACAATTTTTTTGTAGATATGGGGGTCTCACTATGTTGACCAGGCTGGTCTTGAACTCCTGGGCTCAAGTGATCCTCCTATCTTGACCTCCCAAATCTTTGGGATTACAGGCCTGAGCCACCGTGCCCCATCTTAGTTATGCCTTATTCCTTGATCTCTTATTTCTTTTGGAGTTCACTTAACCCATCAGGAATAGAGGTTAGAATCTAGTTCCTAGTTCTTTTTTACCTTTGTGTCCCATCCTTTTTCAGATTCCTTCCTTTTTCTCCACTTCTTCCCTGTTCTCATTTTCCCCCTTTTTTTTTCTCTCCAAACCCCAACCAGCTCTCCAGTCTGCGAATCCCCGTGGTATTTAAAGTTGATGCATGCAACCTAATTCTGTATTTTAGTCTTTTCTAATGAGTCCTCCCGTGTCTCCCCAAAGAGATAATATTCCACTCAAGGGCAGGGACCATATCTTCTTAGTTTACTTATGATTTCCAAATTTGTTGCTTGAAAAACTTAACAAAACAATAAAGCTCAGTGAATGTGGTTCTTTTTCTAACAAGATATACCAGGCGCATGATGTGGACGTGCTACAGTAGCTAAAACCAGTGGGAATCTTATGAATAGTAAGGTGGGGCCATTGACACTAGTGTGTTGTTGACATCAGTAAAATAAATATATTTAAAGTATTAATTAATATAATGGCATCTCTGGATTCCTGTCGGATAACCAGTAAGTTTGTGCTGCAACAAGAGATGGTTGTGGTGTTTGACTATAGCATTTAGCACAGTTCCTGCCATACAAGACTACTTTATATATATAAACACACTTTATATGTTCATAAAATAGATGATTAAGGTCTATTTTAGAAACATAACAATTTGAGCAATTTAAAAAATGAGTAATTAATAACAGGCAGTGACTCTGATAAAGGAATGAAAACAAAACAAAACTGAGTTGTATGAAAATACTTCCAGACGCCATTGTTACAACTACAGTGATTCATTCCTTAATTCAACAGCTCAAACATCTCCAGCATTTCCAGGAACTAGGAAGATATCATTTTAGGGCCAAAGCAGAAGCAAGTGGTTTTGGTCATTTGTAAATTGGCTAGTATTTTTTTTTAACATTCAATACATTATTTGAATAATGTCATACTGTTAAAATTAGATCAGATATACTTGGGAAAAAGTGCCCAGCATTCGTAAGAAAAGTACAACGGAAAGAAACATTTTAGGGTGCTAACTGTTGATCTGTGGTTTCTCAAAATTTCAAGTATAACAAGTGAAAATCAGAAGATTTCAAAGTAACCCTTCTTCTGTCCACTCTCCCTGGAAATGTCCCCAGTTTTACTACTCTGGGAAAGGTGAGATCTTGCCCCAATTCATTAAATAGGGCTCCAGTAGTAGCCTGCCTGCAGTTCTGATTTTACTTTGCTCAAGAGAACACAGAGAAAGGATTATGAAAACCAATATAGGTAAGCTTAGCAGAATCTATTCTGATGGATTTTGGCTTGCGGAGGGACAAAGCAGACCTATCAATCTATTACTATGGCTTCAATTTCCTCGGGTTAGAGATGCTTTCCAAAATGAGAAATAATTCCTGCCCACTAAGAGAAATTACCACTGTAGTCAGCTTCCTTTCCTGAGTAAATACAGGTAAAATGGGGCACCTACCCACCTTCCTTTTCCCCCAAACCCATTAGACTGTTTCCCCCAAATGCAGTCTAATAAGCTTTTTGAAAATTGTGTTGCCCCTAAACACAGTCTAATAAGCTTTTTGAAAAATCAAATGGAATAGCTAGTAAATGAAACTGGAAGAAAAATAGAGCAAATAACACTGGGGCTTCCTGGCTAGGCTTTGATATTTGAGGCTTGAAGATAACCTCACATTTGAGTTATTAAGCCTGTGATTCCTCAGGGGGAAACTTTAAATGGGCCAGAACTCACTCCCAAGGGAACAGTGACTTTCTTCGGTCAACGATAAAGCTGACTCATTATACGGAGGCTCTCTCAGGAAGTTCACTGTCAGCCATTTAGGAAACTCCACATATGGGTACATACTAGAGGTGCTGAGGTGATGGTCTCTACAGCTAATGGAAGAGCTTCAAAACCAATCTGTTCAGAAAATAACGGATTAATGCAGGGGTCCTTGATGAACCTGCTCCAAGGCCAAAACTGGTGTGTGTTCTCATATGTTGGTACCTGTGCGTTACAGGATGTTAAATATTTTGACCATCATTTCTATAGGAGTGAAAGTCTTATTTAAAACAAAACAAAACAAAACAAATCACTTTCTGAAATGGAATAGTCAGGCATACATTTGTAAGTTGATTTCTAAACCCTAGTTTTGTTTGTTTGTTTGTTTGTTTTTTGACAGAGTCTCACTCTGTCACCCAGGCTGCAGTGCAGTGGCGCAATCTCAGCTCACCACAACCTCTGTCTCCCAGGTTCGAGTGATTCTTCCGCCTCAGCCTCCCGAGTAGCTAGGATTACAGGCACACGCCACCATGCCCAGCTAATTTTTGTATTTTTAGTAGAGATGGGGTTTCACTGTGTTGGCCAGGCTGGTCTCGAACTCCTGACCTCAAGTGATCCGCCTGCCTCAGCCTCCCAAAGTGCTGATATTTCTAAACCCTACTTCTGACTTAAAATGTTTCAAAATTAGGAAATATTTCAACTGGTTAGAAAAGTCAGAAAATAATATTACAGACCATCATGCATCCACCACCAAAATTTAATAGATGTTATCATTTGCTTCACATATCTCTTTCTTTTTTTTTTCTTTTTGAGATGGAGTCTCTCTCTGTCACCCAGGCTGGAGTGCAGTGGCGTGATCTTGGCTCACTGCAACCTCCACCTCCCGGGTTCAAGAGATTCTCCTGCCTCAGCCTCTTGAGTAGCTGGGATTACAGGCACCCACCACCACGCCTGGCTAATTCCTTTTTATTTTTAGTAGAGATGGGGTTTCATCATGTTGGCCAGGCTGGTCTCGAACTCCTGACCTTGTAATCTGCCCGCCTCGGCCTCCCAAAGTGCTGGGATTACAGGCGTCAGCCACCGCGCCCGCGCCCGGCACATATCTATTTCTTAAAAAGGAAATGATATGGATATAGCCAATCCCATCTCCTTATCCCTATCCTCTTTTTCCTTCCTTCTCCAGAGGTAACTACTGTCCTGAAGTTAGTGTGTATCATTCCCATGCATGTTTTTATAAATTTTCCACATATGTGTATATATCCATGAATAATATATAGTATTGTTTTTGTGCTTTAAAAATTTATGTAGGAGATGGATGACAGTGATGGCTAAACAATAATGTGAACGTACTTAATGCCTCAGAACTGTATGTATAATAAAATAGTAAATATTGTTATGTATATTTTACCACAATAAAAACACGTAAATTATATTACACCTTATGTATCCTTTTGCAATTTTCTCTTTTATCCATGCAACATTATATTTTTGACTATTAATGGTTTTACATGTAGATCTAGCTCATTCATTTTTACTGTTGTATAAATGTTCCATCATTTGACCAACCCCCTGTCAATGGATTATTAG
The DNA here is from genome assembly GCF_000001405.40 of Homo sapiens. Taxonomy (NCBI): domain Eukaryota; kingdom Metazoa; phylum Chordata; class Mammalia; order Primates; family Hominidae; genus Homo; species Homo sapiens. The sequence continues at coordinate 124,468,971 of NC_000023.11, forward strand.
GTTGTTTCTATTTTTTATACTACAGTTAATATCATAGCACATGTCTTATGCATGTGTGTACTTGTGACTGTCCATACACTCTTCTTCAGTCAAGCACCCTCTAGCTCATCTCTCTGATGTTGCAATTTTTCCCCTTTAGTTGAACAATGAATTTTCCACGTAAACAGAATTAAATTAGGGCTGTGTCTGTACAATCAATGAAGTCTGAAAGAAGAAAATTTGAATGCAGTCAAACAATTTTGAAAACAAAATGTTTATTACAAATCTTGAAAATAATCTACTTAATAATAGTTATTAGCTTAAAAAAGTATTTTAATACTTATCCTCTTTCTCATCATCATACTTCATTCAGTACTTATTCTGTGCCAGGCACTGTTTAACCCATCTTGCGTCATTTCATCCTCTATAAACCCATAATGAAGGTAGGTACTATTTCCATTTTACAGATGACAAAACAGTGGCTCAAAGATGGATTCAAAATAAATTTGAGCCCATTTTTATCTGTACTATTCCAAAGTCTCTGGTTTTAACTACTGCAAACACTTCCTAAGTTTTCCAAATTTCACAGGGCTCAAATTGGAGAGGCACATGGTATGATTTAAGGGTCACTAAAAAGTCTGCCCACCTGCCTTAAATATATTATATCTTTACGACAGGAAGATTCTTCCAGCTGGACACAAACTCTAGAGATGTTAAGAAGATATATTGATAAATCTGACCATATGAAGTTAGAAAATTCTATAGGGTTAAAAAAAGAGAAAAAAATGACAAGCTTGGAAAAATATTTGGAACACATATGAAAGACAAAGGGATGTTTTTCTTAATTTCCAGAACAGAAAGGACAACAGCTCAGTAGAAAAACTGGAAGGGGATATGAAAGTGAATTTACCAAAAAAGAAATACAAATGGTCACAACAGATATGAAATGAGACTCAAATTCATTGATAATTAAAGGAATGGAAATTAAAGTTACAAGCTACAAGACACCATTTCCCACTGCTCAGATGGGCATACATTAGGAGGTTTATATTGAGAGCTGCTGAGGGTATTGCAGACTGGCACTCTGATACACTATTAGTGAGACTGTAAATGTGTTCAATCTTTTGGGAGGACAATTTGGCAATATCTACTACTGCTAAAAATTAACCCTATGTATATACTCACAAAAGTGCTCCAAAATATATGAACCAGGTTATTCATTGCAGCACTGTAATAATAAAAGATTAAAAACAAGCAACAAGTATATCAAGAGGCAACTGGCTTAATACATTATGGTGTATCCATATGTTATAATATCGTGCAGCTCTTAAAAACAAAGAGGTAGAAATGTACCTGCTTTTATGGAAAGATCTTCAAGACATATTATTAAATAAAAGAAGCAGGGTGAGGAGTAATCTATATGGTATGGTTTCCTTTTATGTAAGGGAAAAATATATATATAGGTCTGGAAGGAATCTCAAAAGCCTGTTAAAATTGGTTATCTTTACAGAGAGAGACCTGGGTGTGTTTGTGGCAAAGAAGCCTGAAATTTCTTTTGTATCTTTCTATACAGTTTGAACTATCAAACCATAGACATTTTATTACTTTTACATTTTTATGTTTCAATGTCAAGAGTGCTTATCTAGATGCCTTTTAAATTTTTCTTCTTTCTCCTACTCTTTTTTAAAAAAAATAAATGTAATTTAAATATCTTTTACTACTGGCCTGCCAGGATTCCTTCAAGGTCTTCCATTTAGGTTTCTTCCTTGACTTACGGTATTGCCCCTTCAGCAGGTCTCCTGTAACATGCTCAGGTGGGAGTAACCCATTGTCAACCATCAGTACTATGACACTCCTTCTTGGAGAGCTGTCATCTATGAAAACAGAGAGCTGAGTCCTCAGAAATCGGGCCATAGGACAAGACAGGGTGTGTATGTGAGAAAATAACATACATGTATTTTTAAGAAAAATACAAAAGTTGCACTTTATTTCATAACTAGACATCAACTCAAAAAATAATATCTGGTCTTTTGTTGAATTATAATAAATGCTCAGAAAATTAAAGAGAAGAAAAGTCACTTATAATTCCTTATGCCCTTATATAGCAATTATCATTGCTAACATTTACATATACTCCCTTTCAAACTTTCTCTCTCTATATACATAGAGAGAAATATATAATATATAGTAATATATAATATATATTATGTCATATATAATATATAGTACTATATAATATATATTATATAATATATAGTACTATATATTATAATATATAGTACTATATATAATATATAATAATATATATTATAATATATAGTACTATATATAATATATAGTACTATATATTATAATATATAGTACTATATATTATAATATATAGTACTATATATAATATATATTATAATATATAGTACTATATATTATAATATATAGTACTATATATAATATATATTATAATATATAGTAATATATTATATATTATATAATATATAGTACTATATATAATACTATATATAATATATAATATATAATATATAGTATTATATAATATATAATATATAGTAATATATAATATATAATATATAGTAATATATTATATATAATTATATAATACATCATAATATATAATATATAATTATATAATATAGAGTAATATATAATATATAATATAGATTAATATATAATATATAATTATATAATATACAATATAGAGTAATATATAATATATACTTATATAATATATAATATAGAATAATATGTAATATACAATTATATAATATACAATATAGAGTAATATATAATATATACTTATATAATATACAATATAGAGTAATATATAATATATAATATATATATTACCCTTACACCCTTACAGATGAGGCAGCATACAGTACATACAGCTTTGTGTCCTGAACTTTTCATTGAATGCTATCTTGTGAATATCTTCCTTATACCTGCAGGGGCGTACCAAGGTTTGGGGGAGCAGGTGGGAGTGGTTGGTTCTGGGTATAGAGAGTAAGGGGAAGTGCATTTTCTGTTGAAATCTTAAAAAACAATAATAAATCTGGTGAATAGTAGGTCTGCTTTAACTATCAACATTCGCTGGAAATTCCAAATAATGTCAGTGATAAAATACTTCTTCCACTGTCCCATCCCCCTTTAGTATGCCACTTATACCCACCCAGTTCTGATTAGGGAAGAGAGGAGACAAAAAGTTGGATTTCTATCTAGGAGAGATAGACTGAGGGCTGCCGCAAGGGGCTCAGAGTTAGGCAGGGAGTCACTGAAAGATGGGATGAAGAGGAGACATTTTAAACATCCCCTATTTTCTGCTTAGATCTGTCCAGCTTAGATAACTTTTAAACATATGCTTGACGTAAAAAAAAAAAAAAAAAAAAAAAAAAAGCGGCTGACTATGAGGTACTCCTGGGTTTTTTTTTTTTTTTCCCAACAAAAAAACCCAGAAGCTGTCTTTATGTTGCATATAACTTATGTCATTAATGATGCTGTTGTAAGTGCCCTGAGTAGTGACATCTATAAACCCTGGGCTGAAGTGGCCAAAAATGGAATCAATTGTTCAATTATAAAATAAAAAATGAACTTCTTTACTCTATTTCCAGCTGTGTTTTAGCCTGTGACAGTGTTAAATTCATAGATTTCCAAAGAAATCTTAGTTTGCTGCATGTTGTTTGAATTTTACACTATAAAACTACTAATTTATCCAGTATTTCTGGAGGATCCATGAAGCTAAAATGATCTTTTATGACTCTGCTAGTGTAGAGTGAATATTCTGGATTCCCTAGGAAGTCAACACACTGTAGACTTCAGATTCCTTCAAAAATCAGCAAAGCATGCTAGTCTCACCAGGAAATGACTTCCCAATTTCTTTAATTTTATAGTCAGCTCCATGCATTTGGTAATCGTGAAATTACTGGACCATCTTGTATTGATGGTGGACTAATATGGAGCCATGATCAAAGTTCAACTCTAATACAGCTTTATGTTTTAGAATCTTAAAAACAAACATTTTGCATGGACAGAAGTGTCCTAATTAACTTCTGAAGAATCTGTACATTAAAACATCTTACCCTGCTGGAGAAGACTGATAAAGCAAACATACTACCTTTTGCTGAAGAGAAACTGTATTTAGAAGGAACTTGCTATTCTCATAAAACTTTCAATAGGAAGAAGTGAATCAAATTTCTTAATTACCATTTTATGGTTGGTAAAAGGGCAAATTACATGCCATCCATTTCTAAACTTCTAAATGTCTCTGGTGCTTTTAATTAAAGCTGCCACCTAGAAACTACTAAAGCAATTTTACACAATTAGTTATTTATAGGTTACCATAATACACCACTCAAAATATGATTTAAGTGATTTGCAGCCTATTAGTGTGTGATCTCTGTCACTTTTTTGGCAGGGGTGGTGAGGACTCTTCTTTTTCATCAGCTGAGGCAGATAAGAAAAGTGTGACATTGAGGAGCTGTGATAGGGAAGCAAAGTTATTTTGGCTAGCGATCTTAAATAAAAAGAGGAACCAGAATTCCAAGCTGTCAGTCTTTGCATGTAGGCGTCCAAGTTTCATTCTAGACAATACTGTGGAGATGAAGTATATCAGTGCTATTCCTCCACCTCTTCCCACTTTGCAGCTATTCTGCCATATACCTAGCACCACACTTCTGCATGCTACCTTCAGTGGTTCCCACCTAGGCTTGTCTTTCTCAGGTGATCTTGTCAATCCAAACATATCCATCTTCTGCTCCATTCCCTCCAGGCCCCCATTCCCTCCAGGCCCCCATAAAGTGTTTTAATGAAGAATTAATATGCTGCTCTCCTAGACAATTCCCTGCACCACATACTAAGTTTGCATCTGAAGAAAATCCTTATGGGAATGAATTTAATTGTGAAATAGTACGCTGCTAAGGGAATTACTTTAGTTAGATGGGCCTTGTGGGGCTCCCCAAAATATAACATGTACAAGGAACCAACACTAGAATTGCTGCATCTCAAGGTGAGGAGGGGTCGGCTAGTCAAATCACATACAACATGTGAATTCCATCCTACCTTGACTCTTGCTTCTTCTGTGGCACCCATCCTACCTAGAAATTATCAAGTCTCAGATTGACCTACAAGGACATAATGTTTCCTTCCTTCCAAAGTAACTTATTACATATATGGGTCATTATTATAATTATTATGACTATAGCAACAAAACAGCAAGACTGAGCATAACAGTAAGTAATACTGTTATGTAATACAGTAACATACTTTATGCTGGGTGTCACACTAGGCAATTTACATACATTATCCAACAACCCATTGTGTAGGCACTATTACTAGTTTTCCAACTTTACAGATGAGGAATCTGAAGCTCAGGGAAGTTAGGTGACTTGCCTAAGGTTAAACATTTAATTAGCAGTGGATCTGGGATTTGCCTCCATTTCTGTTTGACTCAAAAACCTGAAAAATTATCTACCATGTTATCTGGCCTCTAAAATATTACCTCTGTGCTTGCTAGAATCTGATGCATACATGAAAATTAAGACAAATGCAGAAGAAAAAGTCATTTAATAATGCATCTGTGGCTTTATAAAAATTGAAAAAACTTAATATAGGTCTTCCAACCATGGATGCTACCTAGACCAAACAGGCAATGAGCCAAGGCTAGATGTAAGTGCCTTCCTTTTGTCTGACTTCTCTCATCAACAGCTTATGGCTTTGGGATTGCAACAGAACAGGCCGGAAGGTCCTCAAGTTCCAGTTGCTGACATAATCTAAGGCCAAAATCTTTTGACTACCCTAAGCAGATGCATTAGATGAACTGTGCATAAAAAACAGGTTAACCTCTAATTCTGGTTGTATAACAGGCACTAACTCTTCTGTTGCAGTTACAGTAAGCTGAGAGACCACTAACAGTGTTTGAGACAGAAACCCCCCCTAAATGAAAACAGCACAAGGTCATTGAGGGATAAACAACAAATATTTTGCCTGAATTTTAAGGCTTTATCAAACATGTTTTTTTCAAGATGTTTCTGATTCTAAAACAAGGTTGTTGGAGTAAAATTCTCATAAGAAATGTCTTGAAACTGGGCTAGGAATTTGGCCATGGGTGGTAGAATGCTGTCTTACCCAGAAGGAAGACTTCAGTAAGTGCCTCTCCTAAACCTTTCCCACTTACACCCTCATTTTAAGCAGAACAGATCCACTTCTCAGAACACGGAGGCTATCAAGATGAAGAATCATCACTCTTCTAGCTTCTCCTACTACAAACTGATCCTCATCCCTATACCCTACAAATAATCGCTTCAGTCTCCCCTCCTATTCTAGGCCGACTTCCTTCCAGTTTCCTCCATGCTTTGATTTATTCCCCGTCTTCTTTATCTTTCCATTGACTGATAAGCATTGCCACATCTCCCCTTATAGAAAAAGGCTTCCTGAGTTCATTGGCCTCCCACGATTTATCACTCCATCTCTCACATTCAAGCTTCTCAGAAGAGTGAGCTTCACCAGTGATATTTATTTTCTCATCTCTCATGGGCTCATCAAATGACTAAAATCTGGCTTCCACCTCTACCACCATCCAAACCACCAATGGCAGGGTCACCAACGAACTCCTCATTGCCTAATGCAATAGCTACAAATGTGTGACACTTGATACTGTTTTTCACACCTCCTTGAAATTAACTACTCTCTGGCTTCCTGGACAGTGTGCTCTTTTGGTCCACCACCCTTTTTTCTGAAGGTTTCTGCTCTGTTTCCTTCATTAGATCCTCTTCCATTGCCAATCTTATACAGATGAGTACTCCCTGTCATTTATTTGCCCCAGTTTTGCTCCAGCGCATTTATTACCCTGTCGCCAACATTATCAAAAACGCATGCACAAGGTGGGCATCTCTCCTGCTTCAAATCCTTTCCCTATAGGATAAAATCCAAACTTCCTTTTCTTGCTTCTGCCCCCCTTTCCTATTACTCTCCAATATTCTTACTCTAAGAATACTGAATTATTTGCAGTTTCCTAAATATACCATTCTTTTTATCCATGCTATGGCTTACCCGTAATTTTGTTGAGGGCTGTCCCCAGTGTCAATCTAAATGGCTTTGTTACCAAGATGGATCATATGCTAAAGGAATTTAGGAAAAACCATACCACTTCCATTGAACAGGAGAACCAAAAGAACATTCTATGTCTGTTTCTTTACTACACTGTCTCCCTCATAGACACCAGTGACATCAGCAAAAAGTCACTGATTATAGCCTTAGCATCTTTCCATTAACCCCAAATATAACTTTTCACAATAGCATGCAGATGCCAGGAGAATGAGTAGGGCTTCAGGATGTACTTCAGCTAGACCTGGATAGGGACAAAAACAGATTGTTTGTGTCTAGACTTTGTTATTCCCAGATTTCTTAATTTCCAATAAAGTTAAGATGAATCCCGTAAGGTTAGTGTCATGTATACCCTAAAAACACTTTTGGAAGCCGTCAAGATTTAAGGATCATTTCCTTCCTATGGAACAGCTCAGAGGCTGTTTGCACTTGTCTGGATATTGCCTAAGTTCTGCTCCTGCTGAGTTCTGGCGTCAGTTTGCCTGAAGATGTACATGAGAATAGAGATATAACCCTTGGTGAGGTCCAAGAGAACCAAATTAAGTCACTGATTAATTTCATCCTGTCCAGTCACTCCTTCACCTTCCGTATCTACTTAAAAAAATAAATGCATCCAGCTTGTCACAAATTTTATTTTATATCCCCACCTAGTACCATTTCACATTCTGCTTAAGTACTTGGTCATCTATTACATGACTCATTAGTTTCAGTTCTCTGTAGAATTAAAGAAAGTTGCAGTAAAAATAATAAATGGAACCTAAGTTTCAACTACATCATCCATGCATGTTTTAAAAGCATCTTTCAAAGTCAATTCAAACTCATATACAATGCCAGGGATTAGTACTCCATCAACCTCTTTTCGAAACTTTTTTTCTTTGTCCCATTACATTGAAGTATTGATGAGTAAAATGGCAAATGTTTCTCTTTGTTGAGATTCAGATCTAAGTGCATAAAACTGGATCAGATAAAGACTTCCTCCCAGGAGAAGTACCCAGAGGCTATCACATGAAATTCTATTTGGGGACGCTTCCATTTTTCCTTCAAACAAAATTTGTAGTTACTACTGTAGTCAAGAAATTTAATAAAATGAAGATTTCCTGCCTGTGTCCCTTAAGGAAAATTTGGTGAAGTTTCTAATTACAGAATCTTCCAAAGAGAAGTGACAAGGTTTCCTGGAGATTTATTTGAATAATTACATTTACAGAGTATGTAAACGCTATCTATGTAGTGCACTATGGGTACACTACTAGGTCAGAAAAATCTGAGAAATGGTTTTAATAGGAAAAGGAAACTAGACTAAAAGTTATTTATCTTGTAAATAAAAATATTTTGTTCCCATTGAATACATGTCCTCAGATTGAAAAGCATTTTTTTCCCCCAATATTTCCAACCTTCCCAGAGATCATAGATTTTAGCAGAAAGGCAGACAGTGTGGTATGGTGAAGTAAAGTGTGGCCGAGGTGGGCGGATCACGAGGTCAGGAGTTCGAGAACAGTCTGACCAACATGGTGAAACCCCGTCTCTACTAAAAATACAAAAATGAGCCAGGCGTGGTGGCCCCTTCCTGTAATCCCAGCTACTCAGGAGGCTGAGGCAGGAGAATCGCTGGAACTCGGGAGGTGGAGGTTGCAGTGACCCATGATCGTGCCACTGCACTCCAGCCAGGGTGACAGCGAGACTTCGTCTCAAAAAAAAAAAAAAAAAAAAAAAATGGCATCATGGGTTTTTCGGAGTCAGGCAGACCTGGTTTGAATTCCAGTGTTGTTATCTGTAAACTGTGTGAAACTGGGTAAATTTCTTTTTTAAAAAATAACTTTTATTTTAGGTTCAGTGGTACATGTGTAGTATGTCCAGGTAAATTTCTTAACCTGTCTGATTCTCTATTTCCTCTTCTGTACAATGTGACTAATACTATTTACATCATGCATTGTTGTGAACATCAGAGAAACTGTGTAAAATATCTAGCACAGTGTATGGCACACAGTAGGCACTGAACAAGTTATAGTTACAGTTATTTTAATACATTAGAGCTGAAAGGGAGATCATCCTGACCCCTTCAGTTTACAACTGAAGAATTTCAGGACCCAGTGTTTAAATGCCCAATGTCATAAAATTAGTCAATGGCACCACTCAGCCTGTCTATCTTCGTGTTCGGGTAAATGAAACCACAGTGAGGTACAGTGACTTGCACGGAGTCATTGAAAGAAAACATGGGCATTACATGTATTGAAAAAGAAAGTCCGGGCTCCCTCCTTTGGTATTTACCAAAACTTGCTGCCATTGCTAAAAACAAAAACAGAAACAAAACCAAAACAAAAAATTCCCATGGCTCCTGACCTGTTACCTTTCGCTGACTGGTTTTTAACTCCATTGGATAATTTACTCTGAATTTAGAATGAATGATCTCAAAAGCAAATTTTATTTCATCCTATTTTTAGAACAGATTTAGAGAGTAAATTAGCTGTCGTACAGATTAACATTTATTTGACTTACCTTGCATAATTAAGGACATGTTGGAGAACCTTCCTATAATTGCAATATGTTGCTTGTTAAAGTCTTGGAGCGAGCAAGCTCTTTTCCCTAACCTAGAAATGGTGCTCCCTAGATGTACATTTCCATTTTCTACTGATCTACAGCTTTTCTTTATTAGCTTCTAGGTGGAGGGAAAAATCAAACCTCTCCTTAAAGAAATTCATTAAACGTTTGCTATCTACTAAGTGGAAGGAAGAAGGAGCTGATGTACAGGGTAGTTTTAAAGCAAAAAACAAACAAATTGGGCTTTCTTGAGAAACAAAGAATCTGTAAGAGAACCTCAAAGATGAAATGAGCAATTAGCAATACTCTCCTCTCATTTTGTACACTGTAATAACTTTTTGCATGTTTTTTCCTTTTATGGAAGTCTATGAAATCGCCCTGCAGCATTTCATTTAAAGAGAATCTCACTTCTAATTCACTGACAAAGGTGAGTGCTGACTATATTCAGCATGGAGATAGGTGCCATAGCTAGGCACCTAAGTGTTCTGACCAGCATTTTCAGAGCAACTGATGGCTGGACAGAGGTTCTGCCAGCTGAGTTATTATAAAGATCACTGACAGGGTCTTCAAACATTGTTAGCATGGTTGAAGGAGATGTGGTGGCTACCTAGTGTGAACCACACATCCCACTCCTTTAAGCATTCTAGTTCACTCACTGGATCAAAGCAGATGTTGACAACACCAGCTTCAGGAACGTTATGTGTAAGCTGTCCCAGATGGATTAGACATTTAGCTGTCTGAAGTCTGGGCCAGATGTTATCAGGGCTCTCTTATTGCTTTGGAATGAATGAAGTGTACCAGATTATGGCAAAGGAAGCTCTCGGATAGAAGGATGAGTAAATCAAGACAAAGGAAAATGTAGTAGTGGCTATGACAAGAAGAAAAACTTAGTTTAATATTAGCTTTGATACATAAATTTCAGCACTCTCATTACTGACGCTTCAAGAGTTCATGTAAATCCTGTTCATCAGTACTTTATTACTGCTGCTTTCCAAGAAAAAAAAAAGCTGCAGTGAACCAATTATTTGCTTTATTTGGAAAAGCTAAAATATTCATTCTCTGTGTGGCAGGTTGAATGCAGTAGTTGAGGTGAATGGTTTTCAGACTAGCAGCAACTCAGGAGGATGTCAATTTAAGGCACAATACAAGCTTGATTCCTCTCTATTTTTTATGCAGAAATCTTTATAATACCCTCAAGAATTTTAAACCTGTGTAAAAGGTGAGACCCAGCCTAATGTATTTTCTTGAAAGATGAGCTGATCACATGTTGCACCCGAGTTATTTATTCAATCATTAAATACTTATTGTGGACCCACTATGTATAAGGAAAGAGCTGGCACAGAGAAATAAAGAAAAAATTTACCATAATACTTGGGGCGGGGCTTGTGTTCCCTTAGGGAAAATAAATCACCCCCTGTAAACACCATTGAAATTCCTTTTAGGAATTCCTGGCATAGATAAGAGTTACTTAATTGATCAATTACACAATAAGTATGTGTAGTGGGTCCCACACTATGCTAGAAGTTGGTGGGGAAGTGGGGAAGATTCCATAATATTAGATGTGATTTCCCATCTCAAGCGACTTATTTCAGTAGAAAAAATCTCCCATTCATGAAAGCACTGGAAGCAAAAGAAGGCAAAATAAAATCAAGTGCTAATTGTGTAGTGTAGACACTGTTAAATAAATTCAGATTTAATGGTATGGGGTTAGCCAGAGGGGCTTTATAAAAGACAAAGGCCTTGAAGAAAGTGAAATCTTTAAACTGTGATACTAGTAGGAATTCAATCCCAATATAGCAAACGTCAAATGGTTAAAGAGTAACCTCTTAAAATTTAAAGTAATAAGTGACCATCTAATAAATTAAACACATTGACCTCACTACATTTATTGGCATGGAAAGATGTTCATAATACATTGTGTAAAACAGGTTACAGAACAGCGTTGTATAATATGATTCTACTGTTACAGAATTAAAATATCTGATATGCATGGAAAAGTCTAGAAGGATAAATACTAAAATGTTTACAGTGGTTTTCTACATGTAGTAGGCTTATGGGTGATTTTAATTAAATTTTTTTATTCTCCCTTTTCTAATTTTTCTGCAACAAATGTTTGTATTATTTGTATAATAACTAAGAAAACACTGGCTTTGTAAGCCCAGTAAAATGAATAATTTCTAAAATCACTAACATAAATGCATACATGTATGCATGCATGCAGATACACACACACACACATACACACACATACACAAACATCTTAGAGAAGGAACTGAGAAGAGCAGTTAAATAATTAAGATGACAGGGTCAATGATATATGATGACAGACTTAAAAGTTGACTATCCTTCAACTTTGTGGCCTAAGATTGGCATATGATCCAGAAAATCCAGAAGTTAATTGGGAGACACAGATTTGTTCACTAGATTCTAGGCAATTAAATTGAAGGTTGGTCTTTGAAGACTGAGAAGTAAATTTAGGACAAATAAAAATAAGGCCAAACTCCCACAGAAGGCAACAGAAAAAAATTGGAATTTGTTATTCTAGAGGCAATATCAACTGAAAATATAAGTAATTTCCAGAATGATTTAGATAAATTAATGGAAGAAAGGTTCATTGAAGATTCATAATTTTGTTAAGCAAAAGTCAGGAATGTTTAGGGTCTGTGAGATATTCAACATACTTAGCAGTGGTAGAAGGTAGGCACAGACCTTATCGCAAGCAATGCAGGCTGAAGAGCCAAAGCAGGGGTCTGCAGGCTCTCTGCTGGGTCAGGTTAACCCTTTAGTTGCTGGACTGTGGGGAGTTTCCAGGAGGTAATTCTGGGGTGGGTTGTGGTGCCAGGGAGGCACTCTGAGGGTTCTGGCTAATAGTTATTTATCAACTAGAAAAGAAAGCATTTCATTCTTTTAATAACAGCTATAACCATACTAATGAATATTGGCTAAAAATGCATTATGTGCCTTGGATGTGTCTACTGGGACAGACTTCAATATTTTGGCTCTCAGAGGCAAAATATTGAGATTAGTGGATGGGCTAAAGTGTGGCAACAGTCTCGGGATTTTGTAAAGTCAAATAAAATCTTTAGATGACCCAAGGGTATATATATATATATATTTATTTATTTATTTTTTACCTCGAGGGCTATTCAGTGAAGCTTCCGATGCTCTCCCACCATCTCCACAATGACTCTGGTCAAAGGGAAGGCACTGATCACCAGTTCCTGCCACCACTTCAAAATTCTTGGACAGATCTTTCGTCTCCACAAGAGATTTCAACTTGTAGACTTTGCGAGTATTGGTGTCTGATAGATAGAGTGATTCAGACACAGGGTCCATAGCCAGATAGTATTTGTGAGCAGGACTTGTGCTAAGGAAGAGAAAAGTAAAGTTATTCAAGGCAATTTTTCAACACGAACCCCCTGGGCTCAGCCTTTTTTCACAAATGGAAAAATCTTTTGATAGATGAGTGAATTCATTTATCTTCCTTCTTAAGTACCAAGGAGATGGATACTTCTCTGTTTTTCTAATAGTGGGTCTAGGTATGAAACAAATCTAATGTATACTGCTAATTCATAATGATGCTGACATTCCGATACCATCCATTTGGGGATAGAAAGAAACAGAAGACAGGAAATCTCAGGAGGTCATTTTTCTCTTATTCTCCATACTCAGTTATCCAATTACCTACTAGATCACTGCTGGGTGTCTCAGTCACCTCAAACTCAACATATCCAAAACAGAAGTTACTTTCTTTTCCTGCTTTCCCCATCCCTCATAAACCTACTTCCTTTCTCTTGGGCTTCTCACCTTGCTTGTGGACAATACCATCCTCCCAGGCCCCAGTTGTCAATTGAAAGGCATGTCCAAAGCTCAAGGAGTGTCGCTAAGGGAGGATCATGCTGGAGATCTACTGCCAAACTTCTTTCCAAGTTTCCCTTTTTCAATTGACTACCACAGTTTTCTAATCTGGTTTTTGTTCTTTCAGGACATAATGGAACTGGTTATATTTAACCTTTTTAAAGTTATAATGGCAATCATATGATTGTGTAATCGCATAGTTATACCTCCTAAAAGTGACCCTAAAGTTACCTTGTTTGGATTCTGGCATTCTTGAAACTTTTCTATTACATACTCACAAGGAATCTCAAGTTATTTTTATCTGTATAGATGGCTGAGTTTGTTTATTATTTTGATTCTTCCTAATTTTAGTTTTTCAATGGCTACAATAACCTTAGTTTTGGAGACATTTTACTTGAACCTAAGGTTTGTGTAATACTGACATCATCCAAACCCCAAATGTGGAAGTCATCCCTAATCCCTCTTTTGCTCTCCACATGCAATTGTGTCTGTAAACTAACTTTCAGAAACATTCTCATCTTCCATCCCTATGCCATTACATTAGTTCTATCTTTCAGTATCTCTGGCCTGGAATATTTTCTATAGATCGATATGTAGGATGTGTTTTTGAAATCTTAAATCATTTTTTTCCCATGCTGCCTGCAGAGTTATTCTGATCATTTGGCTCCCATCTTTAAAAACTTTTTAATGTTTCTTGGTGTGTTAGCCAAGCCTTTCTTCTCTTAATTCATTCTTACATGTCTTTTGAGGCTTTATTTGGGCATCATCTCCTGAAGGAAGCTTTCCCAGTCTTCCCTTCTCCAGTCTGGGTTATTTGCATTATCTTACCTCTATTCTGGGGATTACATATCATATTAAATTATTTGTTTATGCGTTGTTTGCATCTCCCTCTCCTGCCCTGCCAGTTGCAATAAAGCTTGGTGGAGAGCAATCTTGTCTTGTTCATCTCTGATATGTTCATTGCCCATACCTCTGCCTAGCACCCAGTTGTCAAAGCCAGAAACCAGAAGCCATTCTTTTCTACTTCCTTCTTTCCACCATTTCCCACATCCAGTGAAAGGTGGTTTTTAAATTCTACTTTCTAAATTGTTTTCCAGTCTGCTCACTTCTTTTTATCTCTGCTGTTTTTACTCTAAGGCCTCATCATCTCTCATCTGAACTACTTCCTTGGTACCATTTCAGTATTGTGTATTTGTTTACTAATTCATTAAAAATCATTTATTAAGTGCATACAATGTATCCAAGAACTGTGCTATGTTCTAGAGACCTACTTGTGTGCAAGATACACACAGCTTCTTTCTTTATGAAACTCACAGTCTAGTGGGAGAGACAGATAAGTAGACAGGATATGACTACCATGAGTCCAAGTGTTATGACAGGAGAAACAGAAGGAGAGAAATTAGTAAAGAAGAGGGACTTGTGTCTTAGCAGCACCTATTGTATGGTATTAGCATTATTTTTAAAACTTATTAAATGAAGTCCATACTTATTAGATTTCCTTAGTTTTTACCTAATGTTCTCTTTCTGTTCCAGGATCCCATCCACGATAACAAATTATATTTAGTCGTCATGTCTTCTTAGGCTCTTCTGTGCTGTGACAGTTTCTCAGACTTTTCTTGTTTTTGATGACCTTAACAGTTTTGAGGAGTACTGGTCAGGTATTTTGCAGAATACCCTTGACTGAAATGTGTCTGATTGTTTTTTCTTACAGTTAGACAGGGGTGATAGGCTTTTGGGAGGAAGAGCACAGAGGTAATAAAGTGCCATTCTGATCAAATTATATCAAGGGTACATACTACCAACATGATGTACACTAATGGGTTTGACCTTGATCTCCTGGCTGAAATAGTGTTCGTCAGATTTCTTCACTGTAAAGATACTCTTTCTCCCCTACTTTCCACACTTTACTCTTTGGAAGGAAGTAACTATGCGTAGCCAACACTTAAGGAGTAGAGAGTTATGCTCCACCTCCTTGAGGGTGGAGTATCTACATAAATTATTTGGAATTCTTCTAAATGGGAGCTTTATCTCGTCTCCATCTATTATTAATTCAACCATTTATTTATATCAGTATGGACTCATGGATATTTATTTTATACTTTGCATTAAATCCAATGCTACTTTATTTTGTTGCTCAAGTTCTTCCAGCTTTAGCCATTGGGAGCTCTTTTCGTTGACTCATGTGTCCCTTTGCCATATCCCCATCAATGAGGGATTTTTTTTTTAGCCTTTCCTTTCTTTCTGGCACTACCAGATGCTCTGGGCTCATCTGCTATACCCCCTGCCCCAATCCTAGAATCAGCCATTTCTCCAAAGACTCCCCTGGTTCCCTTTATTGGAGAATGGTATTAGAAACCAAGATCTGGGTGCTGGGTGTAAGCACTATTTTTTTTCCTAACATATCTTTCTCTCCAACTACACTGTGAGCTCTTTGCAGGCAGGAACCATATTCATCTCTCTATTCTCAGTGCCAACAGAGGGCCTGACAGGATTGGTGCTTAGTACGTGCTAAACTAAACTGAACTGCAGGATATAAAACTAAGACATAAAAGAGTTCAGGCCTTGCTACTTAGGCAAAATGGAGGGGAGAGGGTGGTGAGAACAATCAAGATACCTTTAAGGACTGGAATGTTATTAATTGTATTTGTAATTATATTTGCCCTCCAAGCATATTTATGTATGTTAATAATAATCAGGCCTGCAAATACTAATTTGAGACTGTTTATAGTTTTAATTGGAAAAAATTAGGTTCAATTGGAATACTTAATCTTTTCCTACTTACCTTCATCAAGTAAGAGAATCCAGTAGATTCCAGGGACACCTCCAACCCTGGAACCACCATAACAGGTGCTGTAAATAAACTATGAAGGGCCCCAACAAACTCTAGAATTGATTTGGTAGCCATACCAGACAAGGCATCTCTCTGGGAAAAACTGCTTCAATAGGGGTTTGAGTAAAATTCTTTACATATATAGTTAAATTTTTGCCTTCAGAATAAAATTTTTCCAATGTGCTCAGATCTTTCTAGAAAAAAGAAGGGGTCAAAACCCTTCTTTGAAACAACTACAATATTTTGATAGCCAGTTTGTGGAGTTTCAATTCAGTCAGATTAGTCATGCTTTGTTTAGGAAGAGTCCATAGGCCATTTTTCCAAGAGAAATGCTATTTTGCTATTTGCACAAAAGCACTTTGGAATGCAGTACATTCATTCATTATTGAATACCCCCAGTGTGCCTGTGAGGAAAGTTAGAATTAGCAATCTCCTCAAATCTCAGCTGGGGAAACCCAGACACATAGGGAGCTTGTCCGGGGTCACTAACAAGTTTGGGCCTGGACCAAGATTAGACTAGATTATATGTGATTTTGTGTGCAAAATACCATCAGAATACTCTTGCTCTGAAGGCAGCAAAACAAATCAGCGTTCCTGCTTTCTAATGAGCAACATGTCCTATTTTGCTCAGCCAGGCTGTTCTCAAACTTTGTGTACTGGCCCTTAGAAAATAGAATAGCCCAACATACCAAAGTGAAATCTAATCAATGTTATTTTCTTGATAGCCAGCAGTCAGGAAGGTCCCTCCTATCAATATGTAACTTGCCATTTCATGTCATTTCTCAAGTGTACTTTAGCTCTTTTGAGGCTGATTTCTTTCTACTTTCTGAAAACAAGCCACACCTGAGAAAGAAAAAAACCACTGGACTATATTCCAATTTGCTTTAATCCCTTGTGTCTCAATGCAAATTGCAATTTGAGATATGTGAAGATTTCTTTTACAACTTGGGTGTTAGGTTTACTATCACCTTTTGGTTAGTTTTACATTCAAGCAATGCTCTTCAACTTAGCAAAGATCACTTCATTCATACTAGTTAAAAATCACATAGATTGTTAAATGGGCAATTAATGTTTATAATTAATACTGTGCAACATTTTACCAGTAAGCTATTTGACAACCAACTTAATTTGCTTAAGGAATCAGTTATGCCAAAGTAGCAAGGCTGATCGTCTGTACTGGCATTTAGGAAGTGGCATTGCCCAAATGAAATCCAGATTAGAAACCCCATCAGTGCCATTTTGATGACAATTGGCATTCGGGAGTGAACAAATTCAATTTTCTCCTTTGCAATTTCAGGCAATTTAGAACAGTTTTGACAAGTGTAATGCGTAAACACATTGAATAGAAATATTCATTATGATTAATTTCAGAGCTATGTACCATTGTCTGCAAACGGTCAGTTTAAGGTTTTCCTATTATTTCTTTTTGGTGGAAAGAAATAGAAACAGTGAGGTCACATAAAAGAAAAAAAGAAAAAAGTGTATTAAAGAAGGTCATCATGGTCACTGTCTCTTAATACACTTAAAAACTGTACTTCTGGATCTAGGGAGATTGCTGTATTACCTCTTTCTCTACCTGCAATTTGAAAACATCAAATCTATTTGAACTTACCAACTCATTTGTGTTATCACCTTAGGGAAACATAATGAAACTTAAGGCCTTGCTTTCCCATGAAGTACTCAACTGTCAGCTTTCACTTATGAATTGTTTTCTTTTTAGTATGTTTTGATCCTCCAGCAAATCCTACATAGTGGACCCTTCTTCTTTTGGAAGACACTTACCTGAGTTATAACTTCCAAATTTATGTTCACACTATTCTTTAACCTTATTTAGGAAGAAAAATTTCCCTATTAACACATTATCAGGAGGTAGTCTCATAGGCAAGAGGGGGCATTAGGTAGCTGCTGATGTGATTTGCTTACCTATGTCTGGTATCTCTGTTTCTAGGGTGCACAAGGTATCCACGAGTGGCAAGCAAAAGCAAACAGAGAGTCATCAGTATCATTGAACATGCCAAACCTAACCAGACACACCAATTCCTAACTCAGATTGCGGCATTTAGAGAGACTCTATGGGGATCATTTAGTCAGGCGTGCAAGCCAAAGTTGATCCAATCCCTCCAGGCTTTGCCTCCTAAGATGGTGTCAAGGCGATTGCATATTTTGTTTGGTGGATGCGCAAAGTTCTAAGGCAGATTTTTCAAAAGGTTCTCTCTGGACCATCTGCATCAGAATCACTTGGATTCTTGCACTTGTGCACTTTCCTAGGGTTCTCCCTAGCCCTACTGAATCAGAATCTTGGGTGGAGGTGGGGCCTGGAAATTTTACTTTTAACAAAGTTGGCTGGCAATTCTGATGCAAAATAAAATTTAGGAACCATTGAACTAGGGGTTGAAGAAGCAGCCACGGCAGAGGGACTAACCATTTTAGGCTTTGGTTTGATAGCCATAAGCACTCTATCAAAGTGTAAAATCACTGTTTTATTATCAAATTGTGTGTACAGACAGACATCCCAACACTAACCCTAAGCCACTTATCTGATCTCAGAGATAAGATAGGAACATCTGTTGTGCAAATTCCTTAGCAATATTAAAGAGCTCCTTAACAAGTTGAAAGTGTAAGAGTTTTCTTTTAGACCATGACAGAATATCCCTGACAGCAAAACTGCTGATCAAAACAACTTCAATAAAACACATTGTACATCAACTATTAGGGCTTTGTGTCTTCTAGCCATCCATGCTCTAAAGGGCAACTGGGGTAGGCACTAGAGGACTGTTGGGCCAGAAGAAGGACAATACTTTGGTGGCTCCTGATCTGTAAGCCTCTTGGCACAGGGTATTGCCTAGGGCATTTCATGATGGGACCTGATATGAGGTTTCTCACACAGGGAGTGCAGTCTGTGTATAGGCCTGACTTTGGGTCAAGTCTGCCCAGAATTAAAAGGCTATAATCATCTGTGAAATACGATCATTTTAATTTTTAAAATCCTTTTAAATCTGGCCCTATGTCATTTTGAAAACATAGAGATAACCATTTTTTTATCTAAACTAGGAAATGGTCTTATTCTTTGGAATCTCAGGGAAGAAGAAAATATACAAAATTTTTCATCTGAAGTTATCTGCTACAGCAGATTCAACTCTTTTTAAAAAGAACCTTTCTGAGATTTTACTAGTTGGGCCACAGGTCAAGGTTCACTGACTTTTCTGTTTCCTTTGCTCATCTCAAAAGGGTAGGTATCCTGTGGGTTGAAACAAAGGTGAACTGATAAGGATGAGGAGCTCTGATTAGAAACCTGGCCGCAGGCATTTACGCCTCTTTCAATTTGTTTGTCTCTAGAAACTTTCATTTGCACCTCTTTCAATTTCCTTGTCTCTAGACACTTGCCTGTTTTTGTGGCCTCTAAATTATAGAATGAGTGTGTTTGAGCCTAGCTGTAATCACTGTGGCATAGGTGCTCCTCCTGAAAGTTTAGTTGTGAAAGTACTAGAAGGATCTCATTAAAATATGGTTTCATCAGCAGCAGATTCTCATGGTACAGAACCATTTGTGTGGCTACAAAGGGTTTTGAAATTCTTACATGATGGCAAGGAGTGAGAGGGGGATGGTTTGACTTTCTTGCAGCTGCTTCTGATTCTGCCAATAATGTCACTGTGAATTTGGAAAGATGTCCCATATTATGCAGAGCAGCTTCTCTCATTAACATCTCAGAGGGAGGAAGTGAAAATGACGGAATTTATTTCCAGTGTGTGACCTTGTTCTGTCTCAGAATTACTTTTCGTTAAGGATTTAGGACTGAGCCACCACCAAAGTCAGTCTGCTATCTAGCTACCAACTGACTACATGCTGAGGTGTCAGTGTGTGAGCTCTTCACAAGGGCCTGGGCCCATCCGTGGGCACCACCACCTGGCAATGGACCAACTTGAAGCTTGCCATGAGTTAGGAGGAGAAAGAAATGGAATTTCAAATCTTTTTAGAGCAAGACATGCTTCCAATGATAAAGTCTTTAAGTTGACCTTTGATTTTCTCAAGATCCAGGTGATGAAAGGGTCATGTACTCTTCTTTTTTAATTTAAAAGAAAATTATTGATATGATTTATATACCATAAAATTCACCCTTCTAAAATGTGTAATTCAGTGGTTTCCAGTACATTCAGAGAGTTGTGTAGCCTTTACCATTATTCAATTCCAGAACATTTTCATCATGCTATGAAGAAACTCCATACCTATTTGTGGTCACTTCCCATTTTTCCCCTCCCTCAGCTCCAGGCAACCACAAGAATACCTATTCTGGATATTTCATATAAATTGAACCGTTAAATATTTGTCCTTTTATGTCTAGCTTCTTCCACTTAACATAATGTACCATCTATTCCTTTTATGTTTTTGTGAGGTAAGGGATGGAAAAGAGGACATATGCCAATTTTGGAGCTGTTTTCTAGTGACCTGGCATCATGAGACTCTGACTGGCCTGCACTGTGGTGGCTGCAGCCCTTTACTTGTTCTTCATGCTGTTCTCAGCTTCTTTTCATATTCCTGGCCAGAAACATTTGACATTGAAGAATGGTCTGCCCTTCCTGCTCCTCTTTCCTTGGTCTTCTTGCTTTAGACATCAGAGCACACTCCTGACTGTCACTGACTTCTCAGGTCTTCCAACTCCAGCGACCCTCATCCAAGACTACCTTCCCCCATGCTCTGGCTCTGTTCCTTGCCCTTATCACAACTTACCTGTCCTGTTTTAGGGCCCTGTTTTCAGCTAGCAGTCCCTTTGAAAAGCAATCTGATAAATGAATCCATATCAAGGGACTCGTGAATGCTTTTAGCTTGATGAGCCATTCTAAAAGAGGTTCATGTTTTCGGAAATCTTAGAGATGCAATATTTCAATTCAAAGGAACATATTTCTTAGAGTGAAAATTTTGGGCACCATGGAAGGCCAGTGAAGATGTCTTTGGGTGAGGTGGAGGGAATCCTTGAGTACCACTGCTAATACATGAGATCAAACTGGGGAGGTAACCACCTATTTCATCTACACGTAGTGTTTCTAGTATTTGTAGCTCCAATGCTGTTGACAAGAGGATGGTTCATGGCCATTTCTGAGATATTTGTAGAGCTCTCAAAGCTCCATTTCCATTTGTTCCTTCAGCGGAGAGCTCTACAAGTTCTCCTGCCTCTCAGCATTCTAACTGCCCCTAAATGGCTGCTATTCCAGTTCTACTCCATTCCCAGTCAATGACAGGAATCAAGTCCAGAGCACAATGTATGAAATATTAAGCAGTTGCTGGAAAAGAAACAGGAAAATCTCAAGAGAAATTTTCATATCACATTGACATTTGTTGAATCCAAATTACTCAAGATACCAAGAAGCATTTGCCAGGCTCTTATTTTCTTATCTCTTTCACTTTTAAGGGAAGGACAAAATAAATATCTGGAGAATAACAAAATCTTGAACAACAGCAGCATGAGGTTTTTATAAAGAATAAATCATTTCCAGTCATGCTTAATGAGTTTTCTAATAGAGTTGTGAAATTAGAAGATGAGAGGGGTACAGGGGGATATTACATATTTGAATTCTTGCAAAGCACTTGATATGGTGTCTCCTATTTTTACTTACATAATTATCCCTGTTGGTTTCAGAAAACTTAAAAGTGGTCCTGAGGCTATAACAATTTAAAAAGTCAGCTAAGTCATAATTGATGGGAAATAGTTGAAGGACTTGTAGATGTTTAGACTGAGGAAGATAAAGCTCAGGAACCTATGACAGCTCTCCTCACACTTGTGAAAGTTGTCAGGTAAAAGAGGGAAGTGACTTCTGTACTGTTTTAGATGCTACCATTTGCCACTACTGAGTGAATTTTTCACAAACGCAGATTTTGGCTGAATATAAGGAAGAATTTTCTAATGGAGCAGTCCAAAGATGCAACGGATCTTGAGAAGTATTGAAGTTTCCCATGATTGAAAGAGATCAATGTAGAGACAACAAACCATCAGGCATGGAATGGGCACAATTTTGGACCTGATACCCTCATGGATCCTTCTAATACTAAGCTCACAAATCTGTGATGTCATTTTTGTTCTACTGAAATCTGTGTGTGGGTCTGCATACATGGAGCAAATCCCTAGTGAAACCAACTCCTAAACTATCTCACATAGAAGTGAATCTATCTTAAAATTTTTTTCAAGGATGTATTTTTAAAGTCGCAGAGGTTTAATTGTATGATCTTATAAGCTTTCCTTCTTTATTATCTTACCTCAATCTCCCACTGGAAGGAAGCTTTAAGATGCATACATACGAATGAAATCTGCAGGAAACAGGCAAAGGGGTACTATATACTTAAATAATAAGAAATAATATTGTTTCTCTTGGCAGATTTCTAATGATAGTGATATTGCTGACTTTTCCTTTTCCTCCTTGTTCTATCAATGGAAATAAATGATTGGCAACCAATGAAAATGAAGTTATTTTTGAGGTCAGATGTTTCAATTGGAAACGTTTCGGATCAATAGGGCTGAGGCAGAAAATATCTACAGTCCTCCAATCTTTAAACTGCCAAGGGACATCTGGAATTACTCGATGTGGCCAAATATGAAACAAAAGGATCTAGAAGGGCATCCATTAGGGGCAAACTATATGTCCTCCCAAAATGTCATCAAACTTTGGGCTGAGAGCTACACATCTGTGGATCTCTAAACAGGTTAAATTGTATGTGTCATGTAAGAGGATGCTCAAGTATAAACCTGAAGTCAATTTTATAGATAAGGAAGAGAACTACTAGAGAACATAGTACATCAGTTACATAATGAATAACCTGGCAGAGGATCAAAATCTATAAGGCTCTCTATCCCATTCTACAATAATCTGTTGACAATATTGCTTCTCCATTCACAATTTTAAATACAACCAATAACATAATGGCTATATTCGTCTGTGTTTCCAAGGAAACAGATGACTCAACCAAGTAAAGTGACTAATTTGCATGGGGCACAGAGCAATTAAATTAACTGATCTTAAGAAAAATACTGGTATGAAGTGAGGTTTTTATCTAACTACAGTAGAATCAATGAACATTATGGTTCTTAAGATAGCACAGCCTTATTAAATCAACTTATTTCTCTCCAGGAAGTTTAAATTTGGAAAATTTATAAAGCAAATATATAAATCCACAAATTATATGTACAATGTACAGTACACATATAGGCAACTGATCAGGATAGATGCTTTTTTTTTTTTAAAAGTGAATCTAATAAGAGCTATATTAGCTTCTGAGTAAACATGACAGCTAATGACAGCTAATGTGTGCTGACATAAACTGGTTTGATGGTTTTGAATATAGTCAAACAGTTAGGGAGTTACCTGTCAATTAGATCAAAATGATCATGTATATTCCATTAGCTTATTTCTTTGATGGCCAATCACAGGAGTGTTGGAATAGAGAAGAAATAATTGCCTTTTCTCCTTGAACCTAATGCAGGGGATATTAACCATGAGTCTATCAAAGGGCTTCATCTACAGGGACTGGTTGCTGGTGGGGCAGTGGGAGGCAGGGAACTCTAAGGAAGGGAAAAAAATGCGATCCCTTAAATCACATATGCCATTTTGTGTGATTTTGTTTTCTCTAGGGAGAGGGTCCATAGCCTTCAGTAGATTCTCAAAGGAGTCTAACACTAATAAAAAAAAAGTTAAGAAGAACTACTCTAAAGGATCTCAACTCAGAAAAGCCGGCTAGCTTGAGAAAAGCTCTCAAGCTAAGTGAGAGAGCCTTGATGTGTAAATTCAAAGTGTGTGCATGCCTAAGTGAAGAGCTGAGACAATGAGAGAAAATAGTGTCATGGAATAAGAATGAATAGAGGCATTGGATAGTACTTCAAACTGTCAAAAACTAATTTTTCTTTATACTGTGAAAATCAGTTTGCAATTAGAGTCCAAGTTATTCTATTTTATACTTCAAATGGCTTTGTATTGAAGGTCATAAGGTACTTTGGACTAAAATGCAAATTTGTAAACTGTTAAGGATCCTTGACCAAAAGAGAATCTCATCAATAAATGACAATTGCTCCACTTTAGGTAAATTTACGTTTAAATTACAAAGAAAAGGACTAAATTTAGCTGGAGTTTAAAAAATATTAATATAATTTTTTGTTTTGTTTTTGTAGATAATTTTACTGTTTTTCCTTTGAGGAGTTAGCTATATAGGGGTTAGCTATACAGGCTTTATAGGGTTAACTATGTAGACTCAGCAAGAAAAGGTCTCTGTCTACCTGACAGTCTGGATGACTGGAAACATTCAGATGTTGAATGAATTGTTCAGCGCTCCCATCTATATTTGGCATTATATAGATAGAGCATCCCTAGGGTTTTGAAAACAATGTGGACTGTTGTATAAATCATTTCCACATCCAGGCATACAAGCAACCATCTTGGCCTTCCTGTTGACTTTCCAGTAAGTAGGTGCCCAAAGAGATATGCTGCTGGAAATGACAAGTCCCCATGAGGTGTAACATTCTGAGGTACATGAACACTTGATTAGGGTAGGGTGCTATGAATTAGTACCTCTCTAGACTCTCTAAAAGTGCTTTGTCTTTATTATAAAGTCTTAACTTTACAGTCTGTTTTTTCATTAGCTAAAGGATTTAACAGCTTTCTTCCCTATGACAGCCTTTGCTACTATAATTAAGAAATGTATTAAAACTGGAGTGAATTAATGTGAAAAATGGATGGGGGCTTGGGACTAGAAGATTTCCCCAGCTAGGTGTTAGGGAATAACACTCAGTATTAGAAAATGGAGGTATATTCCATAGCAAGCATGAGAATCTGAAAAATTTTGAGAAATGCCCTTTGGACTTTCACATGCTTGTGTGAAAGTAAGTGTTAAATGAAAATGACCCAAGACTTTTCATGTGTTTTAATTGGCTTTGATGATGCCATGCACATACAAGTTGCTCTGTCAATGTCTATGCTCTTCTAGTCACTATATTTGATCACTATTTGTCAGGTCATTGAGGAGATGCCTGAAGAAAAAATTGTTTTATGGAATAGTTCATAGGATAGCATCTAGATCTTCTGAACATAGAGAAACTTAAAGCCAAATGTTCCAGAGGCATGTGTCAGGAATACAGCTGTCATAACTAGAAAGAAGGCTCTACCAGTTTACCCAGGGGAAAGGAAACAGGTTTGTTTATTCTTAAGGAGACAGGAGTTGAAGCTTCCCTTTTCTTTTATTTATTTATTTATTTATTTTTTATTATTATACTTTAAGTTTTAGGGTACATGTGCACATTGTACAGGTTAGTTACATATGTATACATGTGCCATGCTGGTGCGCTGCACCCACTAACTCGTCATCTAGCATTAGGTATATCTCCCAATGCTAT
Organism: Homo sapiens; assembly: GCF_000001405.40. Lineage (NCBI taxonomy): Eukaryota > Metazoa > Chordata > Mammalia > Primates > Hominidae > Homo > Homo sapiens. Next base: position 124,494,653 of record NC_000023.11, read on the forward strand.
CCCTCCCCCCTTCCCCCACCCCACAACAGTCCCCAGAGTGTGATATTCCCCTTCCTGTGTCCATGTGATCTCATTGTTCAATTCCCACCTATGAGTGAGAATATGCGGTGTTTGGTTTTCTGCTCTTGCGATAGTTTACTGAGAATGATGATTTCCAATTTCATCCATGTCCCTACAAAGGACATGAACTCATCATTTTTTATGGCTGCATAGTATTCCATGGTGTATATGTGCCACATTTTCTTAATCCAGTCTATCATTGTTGGACATTTGGGTTGGTTCCAAGTCTTTGCTATCGTGAATAATGCCGCAATAAACATACGTGTGCATGTGTCTTTATAGCAGCATGATTTATAGTCCTTTGGGTATATACCCAGTAATGGGATGGCTGGGTCAAATGGTATTTCCAGTTCTAGATCCCTGAGGAATCGCCACACTGACTTCCATAATGGTTGAACTAGTTTACAGTCCCACCAACAGTGTAAAAGTGTTCCTATTTCTCCACATCCTCTCCAGCACCTGTTGTTTCCTGACTTTTTAATGATTGCCATTCTAACTGGTGTGAGATGGTATCTCATTGTGGTTTTGATTTGCATTTCTCTGATGGCCAGTGATGGTGAGCATTTTTTCATGTGTTTTTTGGCTGCATAAATGTCTTCTTTTGAGAGGTGTCTGTTCATGTCCTTCACCCACTTTTTGATGGGGTTGTTTGTTTTTTTCTTGTAAATTTGTTTGAGTTCATTGTAGATCCTGGATATTAGCCCTTTGTCAGATGAGTAGGTTGCGAAAATTTTCTCCCATTTTGTAGGTTGCCTGTTCACTCTGATGGTAGTTTCTTTTGCTGTGCAGAAGCTCTGTAGTTTAATTAGATCCCATTTGTCAATTTTGTCTTTTGTTGCCATTGCTTTTGGTGTTTTAGACATGAAGTCCTTGCCCATGCCTATGTCCTGAATGGTAATGCCTAGGTTTTCTTCTAGGGTTTTTATGGTGCTAGGAATCCAACTTACAAGGGATGTGAAGGACCTCTTCAAGGAGAACTACAAACCACTGCTCAAGGAAATAAAAGAGGATACAAAGAAATGGAAGAACATTCCATGCTCATGGGTAGGAAGAATCAATATCGTGAAAATGGCCATACTGCCCAAGGTAATTTACAGATTCAATGCCATCCCCATCAAGCTACCAATGCCTTTCTTCACAGAATTGGAAAAAACTATTTTAAAGTTCATATGGAACCAAAAAAGAGCCCGCATCGCCAAGTCAATCCTAAGCCAAAAGAACAAAGCTGGAGGCATCACACTACCTGACTTCAAACTATACTACAAGGCTACAGTAACCAAAACAGCATGGTACTGGTACCAAAACAGAGATATAGATCAATGGAACAGAACAGAGCCCTCAGAAATAACACCGCATATCTACAACTATCTGATCTTTGACAAAACTGAGAAAAACAAGCATTGGGGAAAGGATTCCCTATTTAATAAATGATGCTGGGAAAACTGGCTAGCCATATGTAGAAAGCTGAAACTGGATCCCTTCCTTACACCTTACACAAAAATCAATTCAAGATGGATTAAAGACTTAAACGTTAGACCTAACACCATAAAAACCCTAGAAGCTTCCCTTTTCTATAACACCAGAAGATACACATTTGTGTCTTATAATCTCAGAAAGGGAAGAAATAAGTGAATTAAGCCACAGTCAATTTAGTCATAATCTTTGTGGAACTTCAGGATATGGAATACTAAAAGCTACGAATTCCTTACAAAAGGTGTCAAAATACTTTGTACTCTCAAGAAAATTCCTAAACCATGTGAGAAAATTTAAAGATAAATGCTTTAATTATCATGGGGTAGGGCTTTCAAGGGTAAAGAACCATTTCTCCCTCCTTTATCATGCCATGAAAACCAGATTTCCGTTTTCTTGTTTATGAAATGACCATTTCCAAAGATTGGAAATAAAAACTTATGAAGTTTAGCCTTTTGGATCTGACAATACCTCTCCCAACTAGAATGGAATAGTTTTGATGAGTCTTCACAGTGGCTAGCAGTGAATGAGTGACTTACTTGAGTGCTTGGAAGTATTGAGATCCATGTCAGTGTCAGCACTGTTTACAGGGAAGGACATACATACAGGGATGTTAACACTTCCTGCTTCTCCAAAGTAGTGCTCAAAGGATCAATCCTTCAAGTAGGAAGAGTGAGCATGTTGACCTTTGTCCCTATTCCTGCATCTTAACTCAGTGCTACAATAGGGGCAACTACATTTTCTGCTTCTACTGGCAGTGCTTTGTCTTTTCATATTATCTTGCTTTTTGCTTTATCTGCTAAGCAAATATATAGAGATTAGAGAAGACTTACCTTAATTCCAAAATACTAACGGAGTTTCCCGAGGGAAATATTCTCCTTACAAAATTGAAGTCGCCAACATACACACTGCCATCAGGGCCAGAAGCTAAGGCGACAGGAGCAAAGAGTTTGTTGTTGTGGGCTGGGCCATTGCAGTTGGTGCAGGCTACACTCCTTTGGTGTCCATTACCCATTATGGTTGATATGACTGGGGGCTGCTGGGAAATGAACATATTTTCTCCATTCCCTTTATGTATGATTCCTAGATTCAAGGAAAACAAAAAGAGAATTTAAGAAAAGCAATTACCACAAAATAATCTCAGCAATATTTTAATTTATTCTTCATCATCCCAAGCAGGAAGGAGCTTTGGCCTGGCATAAGAGAACCTGAGAGTGAAACACACACTTTCCTCGGTTTTGTTTAACTGCATAACCACAACAAATAGTAGCATAATACTTTGCCTCAGTTTGTCCATCTGTGAAGTAGGGTAATACAACCAGTCCTTGTAATGTTGATTCTAAATGACTCAATAAAGCATTTGATGACTAACTTTTAATGACCTATTCACTCTGGGCTCTGTGAATCATCTGTGGCTACATTTTCATATCTGGCTGGCTCTTTTCTGATGCCTAGCACATACCCGTCTGACTTCAAATTACCCTCACTATGAAACCAGTTCCTGAAACGAGAATATCGGTCAATTTTAATATTAACCTTAGCAAAACACAATCAGGAAGGTAATCTACTTCTGTGAAAAGAAAAGAAATCCTACTGCTAGAATGCACTTCAAAGAAATATGAAAGAAACTTGAATTTTCCACTCTTTTGGACCATATCGCACTATCATCAGTGCAGGAAATAGAGATACTGACTTATGAAAATGCTTTGCAGACATTCTGTGTGGGCAATCTCATCCATACCCACGGCTTTAACTCCCATTTCTATATGCTGAAACTTTCTCCCATCCAGAGTTCTTAACTGACATGCCATTTCCTTCTAGACCTCTTTACTTGGATCCCCCGCAATTACTTCAGACTGGAACATACAAAAACTGAACTCATTATTTTTCTGCAACCACTCCCAAACCCTGCTCTTCCTCTTGTGTTCCCTAATCATCTTGTGAGTGGTTGTACCATGCATACAATTACCTAAATTGGAAATCTGGACATCACCATGGCTCTTCTTTCCCCCCATTCTTGAAACCTGATTAATCATTAACTCCCATTGAGTCTATCCCTTAAAATGTGTTGAAACCAGTTCTTTCTCCCCTATTCCTACATTAGTTTAGTTTTTCTTAACTTCTTGGTCTCCTGGTCTCCATGCATATCCATTTCCAGATCTTCGTCCCCACTCCTGCCATAGAGATTATTTCAGTCTGTGGTTTAATACCTTTCAATAGCTCCATATCCCTTTAGGATAAAGGGCACATTCCTTACTGTTAAGGCACAAAAAGTCCTTCATGATTTGGCCCTTGACTACTTCTTCAGTCTCCCCTCTCATCATGCTTTCATCTATATCCTGAGATCTAGCCAGAACAAACTACTTATGGTTACTTTCACCTACTTCCATTCCTCTATGTTTTTGTCCATGCTATTGTCTTTATCTTGAATGCCTTCCTCATCTTGTCTGCTTGGGGAGGTTCTATTCATCCTTTAAAGCTCAGCTCCAGTTTTCCTCAATGCTCCATCCAGGCAGAGTCAGTTACTCCCTCCTCTGTGTGCCCATAGTTTGTTTTCCATAGCTCTGTTATAACATTTACCACATGTGTGATACAGTTTTTATTACTTCTCTGTCTTTCCCATTAGAACATGAATGAGCTCCTTGAAGGCAGATCCTCTGTCTTACTCCTTTCTGCATTTTAGTGCCAATCCCTGTGGCCAAATCATTATAAGTGCTCGGTAAATGTTGAAAATAGGCTTTGAGTTTCTCGTAGTTTCCTTGTCTAAATTCCAATGATTTTGCAAACCTGCTGAGCCTGGGCAGAAAATCCGAGGAACAAGTACTGCTGTGCTAAATAGCTCAAGTCAGCCCAGAGTGAGCCAGGGCAGGTGAAACATCCATGTTGTGGGAAGGCATGCCCATGTGTCAGACTGAAGTCACTAATAGCAAATGAATGAATGCAGTTATACAGTTAAGCCTTATTTTTTTCTCCCTTTCCCCCTGCTGTCTATCTCCTTGCATTGCCTGTTATTCTCCCTAAACATTTCCTGAAATGTCTCTTTAGTTTTCTTCCAACTTTGGGTACCACAGTCCTACCACAGAAACTATTGATCACTCTGAGGTAGGAACATTGCTGGCAAAAATAAACAAGAGGGTAAAACATGCTATAATACCATGGTGGAATATATGGTTGGAAAGGGCCTTCCAGCAAACAGAAATCCCATCCATCATATAGTATTGGATTTCAAATTTAAGCATTTTTACTTTTCCTTCCAGGGTGATTTCTGGCTACTTTTGCAACACATGATTTGCAGGAGCAGCTGTGAGTTTATGCCCTAACAAATTGGTCTTTTATTGCAGAACTATGAGATATCTTGAGGATCACTACTTTCTTATTATTTTATTAATAACTTTATTAGGTAGTAGGGACCTTTCTTAAGATTTAGAATAGTTAATTAAGTAAGATGAATAGGACTGAATTTCTTTTCTCAAAAAACATTTAATTGCAGTGTGGTCAATATTGTAATTCAAATAAATTAGGAGGAGGTGAATGAGAACTGGAATGACAGTTGCACAACATCATTGAAGAGAAATCTCCCGATGATTGCTAACAGAATATTCTACAAATGAGACTATGATATGTTCTTTAATAAATGAGGAAACCACTGTTTAGCATGTCAGTATTTCAGCAATGCACTATAGTGTATATCATTCAAAAATCTTTCCAATTATTGGCTTGGAAATACCAGATTTGCTATTAACATCTATTTTCACAGGTAGATCTCCATTTTTTTATATCAATATAATGGTATAGTTAACAATTACCCTCAAAATGACATGTTATTACCAGCCTCCTGGCAATTTTAGAACTAAAGATGGCTATTCTAAACCATTCTTCTAAGCCTGCAATTCTAAAACTCCCCTTTTCTATTAGAAAGCCCAACACTCCATCAAAGAAGAAGAATGATTAAAGGAAATAAAACATAAGGCAATGTACTTTCTGATTACATCTCAACAATTGATGTCTGGCTTTCATGCAAGGTACTAAAGTGCCCGTGTACTGAAATGACCATTTCTGTTTAAAGCTGAAGCAATCAAAACAAAAATGGGCAAACCCCTTTTGTATTGCCCTGGAAAAATAGATCATTTTGAAGGGTGTTTTTGTTGTTTCAAGAATCTGTTTAACCTTCCATTACACAGAACCAGGGCATACCATCTAGCAACCATGATTTAACACCAATTCTTTTGCAAAATGTTGCTTTGAAAATATTTTGTTTATGTTCCTAGAAATCTTGATCAATTACTGCTGCCTCCTTTCCAGTTTCTTCTGCCACACATGCTCATTTTGAAAAGGGAATCCAATGATCCTAGGACAACACACATTATTTATGTGAAGGCCAACTTCCTGCTAAGGATTGGGTATCTTGTTTACAGTTAACGAAACCCCACTGAATGGGGCTTACTGCACATTTTCTCTTCAAAGTTTTCCTTTTCTTTGCCAAAAAGCCAAGCCCATTGTATAATAAGGTAAGCACACTTTTAAACATACCAGTCATACCCTCTTGCTACTTTGTTCAGAACTTCTTTTGATGCTTATAAATATGTCTGAAATAAAAAATCTCCTTGAAAGCCAGTGGGTGGTGCTTTATGCTGATTTCAAGGAAGAAACCATTTTTCAGATTTATGAACAACAAAGAGACACAACACATATTTCTCTTAGTACTTGACTGAGAGGATATAAACACAAACTGGGAGGTATGCCAGTGTGATCAATGGACATTTACTTCTCCTCCCAGTAAAACCATTTGTCGGCAAACTACTGGCCTATTTTGGAGGATAAGTTAAAAGAAATTCTTTACCAATTTTGAGACAGATGACAATACCCACTTAGTGCCCTAGATTGTTCTTTTTAATAATTTTAAACACTCGACTGCCAGGAAACCCTAGGGGATATGTTTGGTAAAAGATACACCAAACAAATAGCTTAGTTCTGTAACAGATATGCACAACTTTCTTATAATTTTAAAGAACTGAGTTTTCTTAAAATGAATGAATATACCCTCTTTATAATCACTAAGAAGATGAACTTAAAAGGAATAATGTTGAAAACCACAAGTTTCTGATGTTTTTATCTCAGTGAAAATCAGAACCATCTTTATATATCAGGCCTAATATTGGGAAACAATTCTCCACAACCAATGGTTAACTGTCAGGTAAATATAATTGCAGCAATGGAAATGACAAATGGTCTGAAAACACTGCCTGCTAGAAACTACCCATTGCATAATGATTTTGGAGCCAAAGAAAACTGAAGAATAGAATGGCAACAGACATCCAGTCTAATTACAGGTGTCTTTTTAACCAGTGAGAGGAAACTGGGGGAAGATAGATTCTTGTTTTTAATCTGCTATCTGTCTCTGATCAAAAAAGCAGGATGCCTAAAGAGTTACGTTTTTTTCCAGAGAGAAGCAGAGTGGGGGAATTTGGAGAGATGTTGCTCTTGCCTTAATCAGCTTAATCAGTCAGAAAAGACTGTCTGACCCGAGGGGGAAAGAGCATTGCTTTCTAAATTGGTCTTCCCAAAGCTGCTCCATCACACTTATCATTCCTGCCTCTAAAACTGCCTTTGTGGGTGGGATTTAGACTTCGAAAACATCCCAAGAGAGGTTTTCGTGTCCAAGGTCAGGCTGAAAGGCAGCAGCAGAGCTGGCTTCAGATCTGTTTCCCGGCAAGTGTGATGAGTTCTTGGTTGGAAATACACATCTACAAATGAGATGATAAAATGAACAAATGTTCCTTTTTAAAAGACTATCCAAAGGAAGGCTTCTTTCTCAGAATAAATTTCTCAGAAAGGTAGAAACACAAGCAGATTTAGTGGGGCTGTGAATGAGCACACAAAATCTTTTGGGGGTGATAAAAATATTCTAAAACTGGGTTTTGGTGATGGTTGCACAACTACAAATTTACTAAAAATCACTGAAGTGTACATTTATAATGGGTAAATTTTATGATGTATAAATTATACTTCAATAAAGCTGTTAAAAATTCTCAGAAATAATTTGATGCCTATTACCTAAAAACTAATTACTGGTGAATTGGAGATAACACATTTGTGAAAATCAGGGGGCCCCCCCCAAAGCCAACTTTCTGAATGACTCCCTTCTGTTCTGAATGTTTCAAGTCTGTGTGAAGCAAATGGTAAGAGGATACAAGACTGGGAGCACACAGCTGGGGGCTGGCTCGATTGAGGTCATTTCCCACTTTGTGTTTAATGTCAATGACAGGCATTTGAAAGAGACAATCCATACAAGCCAATATAAGTGAGTGGAAAAGAAACGGCTGCTTAAAATGTCAAACTCTTTCAAATCAAAACAGAAAACCTAATAATTTAATAAGTGGCATCTGCCCTTTCATTTTTGTACTTTTAAAACTGTGGCTTTCCTTTTGACAACAGAAAAAAGTTGACCTTTTATATCTCAGCCTGAATCTTTGCTCTTAAAAAAAAATAAACTGTTTGATATGGAATTCAGAATCTTCCTTGAAGGAGGAGAAAGAGTTATAATGGGGGCATACAGCAATAGACTCATTCACCTTCAGAGTCCCACACTGGGACTATAGTAGGCGGTCTCTTTCTATGGTTGAAGTAAATCTGGTTAGCTTTGCCATTCAAAGTTTCTCAGCCTGTGGGGCTGGTTGACATAGCTGATTTGGCTATAGTACAGATGAAGTGATATCATAGGTGTGATTATAAAATGGATCCCTTAGTTTGGTCAGTTCATGGCCTTATAAGATCGCCTCGCCTTAACCACCTGTTCCACAAAGTTAGGATGGATACAAGGATGGCTGGATGGAAGTGTGTAGGGGCTTCAGTACATTCTGATCCCCAATTCTGGAAAAATAACCCAATGTACATGTCCTACTATAGCTTGTTCAGAATCTGTCTCTTTAGATGAAAAGGGATATGATTTCACAGTAGACGCTCAGAGGAAAGCTGTATGAAAACACCAGTGACGGGTTTCCCACTAAGATGCAAGAGTAGGTGAAGGAACTTGGATGAAGGAGTTATAACCAGGGTAGCAAACTCAGTTTGTCTGGGAAAAGCACAAACTCAGGGGCCACCTCTGCCCCCTTCTCCTGATTTGTTTAACATTTAAATCGCAAACAAGGAGAACAGCAGGGAGAGTGGTCCAAAGAAGGGATAGATTAAGATGAGAGTGTTCCGATTCTTACCACACTAAGAGTAATTCAAAATAGAATTATTATGTTTAATGCGGTCATCTCTAAGTAGTATTCTCACAAGTAATTTTTATCTTGTACTTTCCAAATTTTCTGCAATAAATATGTATTATACAGCATTAGGAAAGTAGTATTCATACAAATTTAAAAAGCTACTTACCACTTTGAGGATTCAAAATGTGATGCTTATTCAAAGACCAGCCTCCTAGGTTAGAAGCATCCATCTCAAAACCTTGTAAAACGACTGTCCTTTGCTCCCAGAGAATAAAGTCAGGGCACGTTTCATATTCATATCCCACAGATACTGCAAACAAAGAGTTAACAGCACATTAGAAAACTGTAAAATATTTGCTTCATGTTTATACTAGTTGATAATTCTGTGGATATCACTTTGGCTACTGAATTCTGATTAGAGTTGAAATTTGACTGCAAATTTCTTTCACCTAGCACAGTACAACATTGCATCTAGCATAGCATTGGTCACTCAAAAGTGATCAGGGCATATCGGATAAATATATGAAGGAGTGAGTAAATAAATGCTCTTATTAGGTTGGTACCATATGTTTATGGACATTAGGCTTTATTTTGGGCTTTTGGGTTGGAGGCTGTGCTGTAAAACTGAAGAGAGATGCTTTCTGCAGGATTAAGCTGTGGTAGTATTTCTCTCTGCCTTTGTAGGAGAAGTGCAGGTAGGGCTGGTTTTTTACCACTATAGTGAAAAATGCACTCAGCAAGCTGCCTTTGGAGTACTAGGTCACTTATACAGCAACCAACTACATATGCAACTAATACAAATGGATTTGCCCAATTTATGTTTTCCTGTGCTAACTGGCTTTTGGTTTGCTGAGACTAAGTTTGCTTAGAGTGTTGCAAGTGTAAATTCCACTTTGTGCACGTTATGTTTTGGTTTCTGCATATAACTAACCAATGGGACATCACCCAACATTTGTCCTCAACTGCTATGCAGCACAGATGTTGTACATTAAACGTGGAACCTCGGTATGCCACTGAAATGTGAAATGCAGAATGTGGTAGCTTGAGAGTCTTTGCTCTACTGAACTATGTATAGCTTAAGTATACCAAGTCCTAGCCATTTTCCCTCTTGGAAACCTGCTCACCTGTTGGAACCCCAGATTTCTGATTCTTAAATTTACAATGCTTTCTATCCTCATAATGTTCTAAGCCTGAGAACACTGGCTCATTATACTGCATATCCTGAAGCGGCTTTCCCTCTTTCTGGCAGCTTAAAATAGCCCCTGTTGGTCTGTGGTCTGCCATAGCTTTCGAGTACCTGCCTCTGCCTGACTCTTTAGATGCCCCTGAAGAGCTCAGTCCTTCCTTTGTCATTTGGTTATGAAAACTGGAAGTGAAAATGCGTGCTTAAACAATGCCAGAACAATAGGTCCGAAAGTGAAAAAATAAAGCCAACTGGTTTTGGTTTTTGGCATTAGGTGAAGGGAAAAGATGGTAATTTTAGTCAAACTGATTTGTGTGTGCATGTGCATGTGCATGTGTATGTGAGCACATTCACAGAGAAGCCAAAAAGTCCCTGTAATCACAAATATCCAACTCTCTGACTTTGTGGATCATTTGTGGCCAATTTTAAATTGCAGGCTGGCTTCTCTTTGTCCTCCACTCTACCAAAGCTTATAACAGGGATCAGGGCCATCTTCATGGATACGACCCATGCTTAGGAGGGCCCCACACTTGATTTAATGCTCTGCAGTCACTGTCTTGAAGTTTGTAATACTTTTTAAACAAGAGGCTCTGTATTTCCGTTTTCATTTCACTGGGCCCTGCAAATTATGTAGCCATTCCTGGCGGGGATGCCCTTCTATCAGCCATCAGCTGGTAAAGACTCATGAAATGCAGACTCATTTTAATATAATCCTCAACCAAGCGTTATTAGCAACAGAGGCCAACGGACTGGGGGCGGGGGAGGAAACTAATCGTCTCTGTCAATGCTGTTCTCTATTAACAGTGGAAATAGACTCTCAGAGGGGAAAGGGATCTCAAAGGTAATCTAGTTCGTTACACTTATGGTACAAATCAATACTGTCTACAGTCTCCCTGGTATCTCCTACAGCCCCTCTACTTGCTAAAACAACTCTGGTAAAGTGCAAAGAGTTGGTTTTGGACCAAGAGTTAGAAAAGACTTCAACTCTCAGATCTATCATTAACTAGCTGTGTGGGCTCAGGCAAGTTATTCTCCATTTCTGGAGTTGGGCTTTTCACTGGTAGCGTAGTGGGAGGGAGTGACTAGAACTGGTGGTTCTTAGACGCTTTTGGGTCAGGGAGCACTTTGTTGTGAGTCTAATTAAAGTTATGGACATTCTTCCTGGAAAAATGCATATGCGTACAAAATTTTCTATATAACTCTAGGGAGTTCACTGACTTTCTGAAGTCCAAATAAAGATCTCAGATCAAAGACAACTGTAGTAGACAATCCTTTTAATCCTTCTTTAGCACTAACACTCTAAATTGCATTCTTTCTAGATTACATTTGGTAACTTCTGGTTGAGGATCAAACCCAAAAGCCAAATAGAACACTGAATCTTATGCTGGAAAAATCAGGTGGTTAGAGAGCACACTGAGGGCCATGTTGGTGTGTAGGATAACACAGTTTCTGCTTCTCCTGCCAACATTTAAAAGTCTTGATTAATAAATAATCACAACGACAATAATTACAAGTTCCCTTAAAGCCATCATCTCCTTCCCCACAGTACTCCTGGCAATTACTGGATTTGCCTTCTGTACATTGTAAGTCTGGTGAGCTCTCCTAAGAATCCCTTCTCCGGAAGGTGATTGCGCAGTTTTGCAAATAAGTAGTGTGCCCTGGTGACCTGTGATGGTGGTTTGGAGCCTGCTTTTTCTCTCTCAGTAACAGTTAAAGATCCTCCCAACTCTGCAGCAGGAAATGCTTACATAAAGCATCAATTAAGGAGTTCTCAATGCAGTGGTAATGAGACATACATACTCTTTTCACCTCCTCCTATCTGCTCTCTGAATTGCTCTCCAGTTCACAACAAAAAAGTGCATTGGCTGCAAACCCCACAATTATATTACTTTTTTTCCCCAGCCACAGCAAATAGCAACAAGGCAACCACTTACTAAGTTCCCTCTAATTTTTATTAGATTTACTTTCTCCCAAGAAAGCTCTATGAGCTAATGAAGTTATAATTTATATTTAAGACTTGTCCAAAATTTCCAGCTGACTTTAATGAGGATAGCTGTGTGTCGGGGTATTTTCGTATGTGGCTCCTTGCTCAGGGTAACAAGGCAAAGTTTCTTTCTCACAGCAGCCCACTTTAACATAATCCTGGAACTTGCAATCAGCTTATGAGAAGGCAAATGTTTCACCCCATGGAGTTGAGCTTCTCTCCAAGCTCACAAGAACTAGCAAATACAGTAGCAACTAATCCTAGACTTTGTCATGGAAGCAGACTATAATGCACTAAATGCCTACTTTTTTCACATAATTAAATATAGGGAAAAAAGGTTACACTGCAGCTGGCACTGAAAACCCTGTCTTGACACCATGCTCTGCCTGACACTATGACAGCTGAGCCTCAGCTAAATAAGCACAGTGGACCACTACCATTTCCCAGGCGGCCTGTTGTCTATCACGTCTGATCATCAACATAGCATGGTACAGGGCACGGATTCAGTCTCTAGCACTCTGGAGTAGGGACTAGGGAGAATAGTGTAATAGAAAGGAAAAAAAAATTCATTAACATCTCAGAGAAGCTGTAGAAAGTAGACTAGACTGGCAGTGAGCAGGAATAAGTGGATAAGGGGTCCTGGACTACACTTCCCAGGGGTTAGCATAATGGGTTCGTGCTGGTGTGCATATATTGAGAAGGCAGTTGAGAGTGAGTAATTATTATGGAATAATACTTTCTCTGAGCCATGTGATCACCTCCCTTGTGACTCTTCTAATTTCATCTGGATTTCTGCCTTCCTGTATTCTCTCCTTCACCTCCACACAGAGATATTAACGGAATGCTCCTTAACCAAGAGTCACTAATTGTCTAGATAGTCGTGTTACTTTTGCAGAGGATTCTATCCTCTGGTCACAGGATTGCACCTCTGACTTCACTGTTAGTCATCTTGCAAATATTACACTGGCTTGTAAAGAAGACTGAGTAAAAGATTGTAGCTTGCTCCTCCAAAGCCATTTGACATTGGAAAAATAACTGAATGTTCATTCTACTTATCAGAGCAGCAGCATTTGTATGACATGGGGATGGCAAGAAGGCTGAGGGTCACGGCGTCCCTGATAACTTAGTTTAGTTACTGTGACATTCATCTATAAGGGCTAGGATAGGAGATTGACATTAAGTAGCCAAGGTAAAGGTGCCATGCAATGAAGCTGACGTGTGAAATATGACAAGATTAAGCAGATGACTTTCAACAGCTTCAGGCTAAGGCCTCAGAATTTATAATGGTTGCATTTATGAAGGCAATATATAATTACAAGTCGTCTGATAGTCAATGTGAGAAATTTACATGTTACCTTCATGAACTCAGGGAACATCTAAAAATAATTTCATGATATTTAAAAGGTACCTAATTACAAGATGAAAATCTTCTTCTCCGAAAGGAATTATTGAATATAGCAATAAATATTTTCCATTCTTTTAAAATACAAGATTAATGCAAAAACAAAAACAACAACAAAAGACAAAAAACCGAAAGAACCAAATGAAGGCCATGGCAAAATAGACCAATACTATGTAGACAAAATACTATCTATGTAAAACAAGTACCTGCTCTCAGAGATTCTTCTATCTTTCCCTATTCTCTAGTGATTTATCGTAGGATAGGATGAGCCCAGAGGTTTCTCAATTTGACACACTGCCCAGTGGCCTGAAATACTTTGTTTATCTATTATTCCTAGCTTACTAAGAGTGTCAGAATCAGGTGTTGAATTTTCATCAAGTGTCTTTTTGACACTTACGGACAAATTCACATAGTTTTCCCCTTTAATCTGTTAAGACAGTGAATTATAGCAATAGATTTCCTAACGTTGAACCATCTTTCTTGCCCTAAAATAAACTTTACCTGGACATGATGTATTATCCTTTCAGTGAATCACTGGATTTGATTTGGCAATCCCTGACTTAAGATCTTTACCCTATCTATTTACAAAAATAAGGGTTAAATATGATAGTGTTAGAGTGAGGCAGTTGAATGAAGAGAAAGTACAGGTAGGAAATTAAAAGAATCCAGGAGTGAGACAGCTATGCAACACTTTTGCCAAGAGGTTCCGTACAGTAAAACCTGATATTATGAGATTTTTTTCTGGCTGCTTTGTCCAAGCCTAGCTGCATAAAAGCCAACATGGATAACCTATATTGCCATCAAAGGCAGAGTGATATACTGGCTCATGTATAACATTTGTGAGTGCCTTTGTGTACCTGGGCACTGCCCTCCTCTCTCTGGGCAGACCCACCATTCCATTATATAGGCAAGGCTAAGGGATCACCCTGATCCTCTGTTGGTATTCATTTCTTTGTTCGGTCATTCAACAAATATGCAATATTTCATGGGTACCTCTTGTTGACAGGCAGTTTGTGGGGCACTGGGGATATGAGGTTGAACAAGACAGCATCCCTCCCCCCAGTGGAGGTTATATTCAAGTGGGAAGAACAAATATAAAAGTAAAACAAATAACACACACACACACACAAACACACACACACACACACAAACACAAATTGTAATAAAGGTTATGATGGGAGAATGCTGAGCATTATGAGAGAGTGTAACCAGGAAATTTATGTTGGACTGTGGAGGCAAGGAAAAGCCTCTTTACCAAGAAAGGGTTTACCTTTATAGGGGAGGGCATTCTAGGCAGAGAGAGTGGCATGTGTGGAAGGCCTTGAGACTTGGTAGCTATTGAGAGATTTAAAGAAGGTCAGGGTGGCTAGAGAGTCAGTTTCTCTCCAGTGCATCAAAAACAAGTGAAGAACAACAACCCTCCCTGTCCCTACCCAGTAAAAAATTGTAAGATTACTATCCCCTAGCAGTATTTAGGCATATTTTGAGGGGAGGCAGGGGTTTTGGAAACAGACTCACCTTGAAAATGGACTGGCTATCCTTTGAAACAATGTGACCGACTAAAAGGGATTCAATATTGTAATGGAAAGTGAGGTGCTGTTATTTAATGACACAGCAAACCTTCGCCAAGCTGCTCTACGTGCCAGGCAGGTGATCTGTGAAGCACTGGAGATATACTGAATATTATACAGGGAAGGATAATTTTTCATGTGAGAGAAGCCATACCTTGAAGGATTACCTACTTTCTGGAATTTTTTTTTTTTTTTTTTTTTTTTTAGACAGAGTTTCACTCTTGTTGCCCAGGCTGGAGTGCAGTGGTGTGATCACGGCTCATTGTAGCCTCCACCTCCCAGGTTCAAGTGATTCTCCTGCCTCAGCCTCCCGAGTAGTTGGGATTACAGGCATGTGCCACCACGCCTGGCTAATTTTTTTTTTATTTTTAGTAGAGACGGTGTTTCACTATGTTGGCAAGGCTGGTCTTGAACTCCTGGCCTTAGGTCATCCACCCGCCTTGGCCTCCCAGAGTGCTGGGATTACAGGCGTGAGCCACCATGCCCAGCCTACTTTCTGGAATTTTTATCAATGATCTCCCTAATAATTACCACAAAATAATATGCCTTACATTTGTATAATACATAACAATTAGATATGTTTTTGTGCATATGACCTAATTTGAAGACTCAAACTCATGAGGAAACTATATTTACTCCAGTTTGATAGATATCATAGAGACTCAAAGAAATGAAGTTATTAAGTCCAAGGTCACATGGTTAGTAAATGGCAAAGCCAGAGCTCAAACCCAGTAATTCATAGGCAAATGCTTTCATCTACTATGCTAGATAACAGCTACTAAGGGGGAAGACCCGCAATTCAGTAGTGCTAAATAAATAACTTTTTATTTGTTCAGAATTTAAGAGACAAGGACTGGAAGCTAGGGATAGCCTTGAAGTAGAGGTGCCATGTAACCCAAATGGCCAAAAATGGTGCTTGGTTATGTTGTTTTCTTGATGTAATTATTAACAGTATCTCCTTTTACTCTCAAAAGTATCTGGTTTGAATGATAAATTATGTGGTCACTCAATGTTGAAGGCATACCTCCGTAGTCCCCTCTGATATGGGTTGGTAGAGGGGACCAGAAGACAAGAACAGTCATAAATGCTGATTTGGAAAATAAGTCACATGGTTTGATAAGTCATTTAATTTTTCTGTTTCTGGGCTTATCATCTTACCAATGGCTTTTAAACTTTCATGTCTGAAAGTCATGATGAGAAACACAACTCGTTAATTGTGACCCAGCATCCACATGGGGAGATACACACACACACACACACTTGAAGTTTTTCTGAGACAATACTGTCTTTGTAGCATCACATTCTGGTATGTTCTATTTAATTCTGTTCACTTCGGTTCTATTATATTCCATCACATTCTATTCAATTTTTCAAAACGAAAACGCTGGTTGACTCACCAAATAGATTTCACAGTCTACTAATGGGTGTGACCAGCAGTTTGAAATGGGCACAAGACCACTTGCTTATGAAAGTATTAGTGAAGGCCATTTGAAAACCTTGGTAGGAACTCTTACTTTTGGATATCCTATATCTTATAACCCATATTAAAATGTATACAACTCATATCCTACATTAAACATATTTCATATGTAAGGATGAAAATTGAGTTGTAGTTCACAAGCTGACATGGTGCTCCATTTTTCAGACACTTATTTAAACATTTATTAACGTTGATTTTCAGATTTCCTTTTCATCTTCTGGTGACAATAAACTGGTTTTTTAGGTAGCAAACATTTTGTAGGTCCGTGAAAATCTCATATCCTTGGCACTGTGCCTATGAAGTTGAATGGATAAAACAGCCCTGCTTTCAGTTAACGATTATGAATTCATGAGTGGAGAGAAATGATGAAAGATTATTATCTCTGCTAGCTTCTCTGATAGAAAACCACTGGGGCATTGAATTGGGTACTCAGTAAGGTGGGTTGGTTACTTTAGTGAGGAGAGGCAGCATTGAAAGGCATACACAACTCAGGACTGGGAGACCTGAGTTTGAATCCCTGCTCTGTACAGGACTCTAGGCCAGTTACTTTTTCTTTCTGACCCTCAGTTTCCCCCTCTGCAACATGAAGATCATGCTAATTCTGCCATGCCTACCAGGCAGGAATGTTATAAGGATTAAAATGAGATAATATATGTGAAAGTAGTTTGCAAATTGTAAAGCACTACTCATTTATTATTAAAATATTCAGTGGATGCTATTTTTGTGGCTGCCCAACCTGCTTAGGTTTTACTGAAGGGAAATTTATGAACGCTAAAGCATCGTTCTCAGGAATGTTTTGTGTGCACAAAGCAACCATAGCTTAGCACCTATTACTATTAATGTTCCCCTGTTTCTCTCTAACACAATTTAGACAGACTCCTATGTGTCGTGAACCTTTAGGAAGTCTAGTTTTCCCAGAAACACCATTCTTCGTTGCCAAACTACTATACTAAATAATTATGCAATTGTTGTTGCCAATAACCTTGAAGAAAAATAGAATTGTTTATAGCAGAGCTACTAACAGCGGATGGCTGATTTCCTGAACTTCCAGGACTCCAAACTGCTGCAATTTAATTTAATTAAAATAAAGACGAGGCAGAATGCATTATTACATATTGATAATGTATGCAGACACAGGCGGACATCGGGAATTATTTTGACAAAATTCACATAATGGATGCAGATCAGAGCCCCTGAACAAGCCAGTTTGTCAAATTAAATAAGCCATCTCTAGAATTTTAACAGCCCTGTGAACTTAACAGTAATGATTTTTTTTTTTACATTGTTTTGCAAGCAGCAGAGTTGGGAAAGAAACTAAATAAAATACAATGATTTCCAGACATCGTACTTTATTTAGAGTCAAAGAATAAAGCACTAAGTCCAAATTATTTAAAACGCTCACATGGAGTTTTTAGCAGGGGAGGCTTGTCTGTGTATCAGACAACAAAATCTTTAAGCCGGATGAACTAGTGACTGTGACTTTTGTACTGGAACCCTGGGGATGATTTTACTCTTCTTCCACTTGATCAATATTGTACTTGGATTAATCAATCTTATCAGTTACCACTGATACTTCTCCAAGGAAGGAGTTCATACAACCCCTGTTTGTAATTTATTCACTCTGGTATTATCCCTTCAGTTGCAAAGTCTGTTTCCTTACAAAAAAATGGTGGTATATCCTAGGATCTCAAGCACTTCTTTTCTCATTTTCATTGTCTCTCAACACTCTATTCTTCTCTTGTGATATTCTAGCCCTTAGAGATTATACCAATTCCCTACAGCCGAGCTACATGGAAAACAAGAGTCCCACAACTATCAAACTAATTTAGATATTCACCATCACTTTAAATTCAGCTTGTTTAAACCTGAACCCTTCTTTCTCCATCACCCAGAAGTGAGTGGGCCAGAGATTCATATTTAACTGGCATGGGAGGAGAAAGAGTGGGAGATCTTTCTAGTCACAGTTTTAACCAAAATCATTGCTCTAACTGGACTGCATGAATGCTGGTCATGTCTTATATTAGTTTCCAATGTCTGCTGTAACAAATTACCAAAAACTTAAAGGCTTTAAACAAGAAAAATTTCTCATCTTACAGTTATGGAGGCCAGAATTCTCAAATGGGTCTCACTGAGCAAAAATCAAGTGTCCATAGGGCTGAGTTCCTTTCCAGAGGCTCTAAGGGAAAATCCATTTCTTTGCCTTTTCCAGCTTCTAGTAGGTGCTTGCACGCCTTAGTTTGTGGCTCTCTTCCCTCATCTTCAAAGCCAGCAATGTTGCATCTCTCTGTGCCTTTCTTCCATAGTTATATCCTCATGTAACTCTGACCTCCCCTTCCACTCCCTTCTCTGTTTATAAGGACCCTTATGACAAATTGAGCCTACCCAGATAGACCAGGATAATCTCCAATCTCAAATCAGAAGCTAACAATCTCAATTTCATCTGTAACCTTAATTCTCTTTTGGCATGCAACATAACATATTCATGGTTTCCAAGGATGGACATCTTTGTGGGGGTGGCTATTATTCTGCCTACCAAATAGCTATACTAGTATTTCTGAATTTGAAGCAAATCTGAAAAGTGTCAGATGCAGCACTGTTGCTGGTGCAAAATTCAGTCTATTTCCTCCCATATCAGTTAAGTGATTACAAAATATCACCAGGAGTACAAATAGACATTTCCTTCTTTGTTTATTTAGATTTAATCATAAATATTAAGGTATCAGCTCAATGGTTGTATATTTGATCCTATGTGTTTCCACTCATTTATCATCTGAACTATTTATCATCTACTGTGTTCTTATGGAGCTCACAATCCATCTTCAGAGTAGTAGATTCTCCAGCTTCATTCTACCAACTGTTCAGATGCTTTACCATGGTCAGAAAATGGATCTTTTGGAAACATTATGCCATGAAAAACAAGCCAATAGATAAATCCATATAGACAAAATGGAGATGAGTGGATTCTAGGACTTGGGGGAGGGAGGAGTGGGGAGTGACTGCTAATATGTACAGGGTTACTTTGTGGAGTGATGATGAAAATGTTCTGGAATTAGATATTGGTGGTAGTTGTACAACCTTGTGAAAATACTAAAAGCCAATGAATTGTACACTTTAAGTGAGTGAACTTTATGGTCTATGAAATATACCTCAATAAGCCTGTTATTAAAAAAATGCAGCTGAGCTGCATTTATGTGAACCCTAGCAAGAAATGACTACTAGATGCTGTACTGGTCAGCTCTTCATGAGAGGACTGAGAAAATTTCTAAGTGTCACAATTTAAGAAAAAAAGCAAAAAACAAAAACAAAAACAACCCCCATCGAAACCCAACTGGGGTCTAAGGAAGATCATAAAGAATTAGAAAATATGAAAAACTATTTAAAAGATCAAAAAATTCAGGTGTTGGTTTTTTGAAAAATTAGTAAGATATATAGGCCACTAGCTAGACTAATAAAGAAAAAAAGAGAGAAGGTCCAAATAAATACAACTAGAAACAACAAAGGGGATGCTACCACTGACTCCACAGAAATGTAAATAACCATCAGAAAATACTATGAACACCTAGAAGAGATTAATAAATTCATGGACATATACACCATCCCAAGATTGAACCAGGAAGAAATTGGTTCCCTGAACAGACCAATAATGAGCTCTGAAACGGAATCAGTAATAAATAGCCTACCAACCAACCAACCAACCAACCAACAAACAAACAAAAACCCCAGGACCAGGTGGATTCACAGCGAAATTCTAGCAGATGTACAAAGAACAGCTGGTACCATTCCCACCAGAATTATTCCAAAAAATTGAGGAGGGAATCCTCCCCAACTCATTCTATGAGGCCAGCATCATCCTGATGCCAAAACCTGGCAGAGACACAACAGAAAAGAAAACTTCAGGCCAATATCCCTGATGAATATTGATGCAAAAATCCTTAAAAAAAAAATTTGCAAACTGAATCCAGCAGCACTTCAAAAAGCTAATCCACTATGTTCAAGTATGCTTCATCCCTGGGATGTAAAGTTGGTTCAACATACTCAAATTAATAAATGTGATTCATCACATAAATGGAACTAAAGAAAAAAACCACTTGATCTCAACAGATGCATAAATGGCTTTGATAAAATTCAACACCCATTCATGTTAAAAACTCTCTATAATAAACTAGGTATTGAAGGAACATAGCTCAAAATAATAAGAGCCATCTATGACAACCCCACAGCCAACATCATACTGAATGGGCAAAACCTGGAAGCATTCCCCTTGAAAACTGGCACAAGACAAGGATGCCCTCTCTCATCAGTCCTATTCAACATAGTATTGGAAGTCCTGGCCAGAGCAATACAGCAAGAAAAAGAAATAAAAGGCATCCAAATAGGAAGACAGGAAGTCAAACTATCCTGTTGGCAAATAACATGATTCTATATCTGGAAATCCCCATAGATTTGGTCCCAAAGCTCCTTTAGCTGATAACTTCAGCAAAGTTTCAGGATACAAAATCAATGTACAAAAATCACTAGCATTCCTATACACCACCAACAGCCAAGCTGAAAGCCAAATCAGGAACACACTTCCATTCACAATATTCACAAGAAGAATAAAATACCTAGGAATACAGTTAACCAGGGAGGTGAAAAATCTCTCAAAGAGAATTACAAAACCACTGCTCAGATAAATCTGAGATAACATAAACAAACAGAAAAGCATTCCATGCTCATGGATAAGAAGCATCAATATCGTAAAAATGGCCATACCACCGAAAGCAATTTACAGATTCAATGCTATTTCTATCAAACTACCAATGACATTCTTCCCAGAATTAGAAAAAAAAAAACCTCTAAAATTCATATGGAACCCCCCAAAAAAGCCTAAATAGCCAAGGCAATCCTAAACAACAACAAAAAAAGCTGGAGGCATCACATTACTCAACTTCAAACTATACTACAGGGTTACAGTAACCAAAACAGCATGGTACTGGTATAAAAACAGACACACAGATGAATGGAACAGAATAGAGAGGCCAGAAATAAGGTCACACATCTACAACCACCTGATCCTCAACAAAGCTGACAAAAACAAGCAATGGGGAAAGGACTCCCTATTCAAAAAACAGTGCTGCAGTAACTGGCTAGCCACATACAGGAGATTGAAACTGGACCCCTTACTTACACCATATACACAAATCAACTCAAGATGGATGAAAGACTTAAATGTAAAACCCAAAACTATAAAAACCCTGGAAGACAATCTAGGTAATACCATTTTGGACACAGCAACAGGCAAAAATTTCATGAGGAAGACACCAAAAGCAATCACAACAAAAGCAAAAATTGACAAATGGGATCTAACAAAATTTAAGAGCTTATGCACAGCAAAAGAAACTATCAAGAGAGTAAACAGATAACCTAAAGAATAGGAGAAAATATTTGCAAACTATGCATCTGACAAATGTCTAATATCCAGCATCTATAAGGAACTTAAACAAATTAATAAGAAAAAAATTAGCAACCCTATTAAAAAGTAGGCAAAGGGCATGAACAGATGCTTTTCAAAAGAAGACATATATGTGGCCAATAGCATATTTAAAAAAGCTCAATATCACCCATCATCAGAGAAATGCAAATTTTAAAAAAGTCAAAAAATAATAGATGCTGGCAAGGTTGTGGAGAAAAGGGAACAATTAAACACTGTTGGTGGGAGCATAAATTTAGTTCAGCCATTGTGGAAAGCAGTGTGTCAATTCTTCAAAGACCTAAAAACAAAATTTCCATTCGACCCAGAAATCCCATTCTTTGGGTAGGAATATAAACCATTCTACTATAAAGACATATGTACACAAATGTTCATTGCAGCACTATTCACAATAGCAAAGACGTGGAATCACCCTAAATGCCCATCGATGACAGATTGGATAAAAAAGATGTGGTACTTATATACCATGGAATACCGTACAGCCATAAAAAAGAATGACATTGTGTCTTTTGCGGGAACATGGATGGAGCTGGAGGTTATTATCCTTAGCAAACTAACGCAGAAACAGAAAACCAAATACCGCATGTTCTCTCTTATAAGTGGGAGCTAAATGATGATAACTCATGGACACAAAGAGGGGAACAACACACACTGGGGCCTATTTGAGGGTGGAGGCTGGGAGGAGGGAAAGGAGCAGCAAAAATAACTATTGGGTACTAGGCTTAGTAAATGGGTGCCAAAACAATCTGTACAACAAACCCTGTGACACGAATTTACCTATATAACAAGCCTACACACATACCCCTGAACTTAAAATAAAAGTTTAAAAATAAATAAATTAGGATTATAAATCATGCTGCTATAAAGACACATGCACACGTATGTTTATCGCGGCACTATTCACAATAGCAAAGACTTGGAACCAACCCAAATGTCCAACAATGATAGACTGGATTAAGAAAATGTGGCACACATACACCATGGAATACTATGCAGCCATAAAAAAGGATGAGTTCATGTCCTTTGTAGGGACACGGATGAAGCTGGAAACCGTCATTCTCAGCAAACTATCGCAAGGACAAAAAAACCGAACACTGCATGTTCTCACTCATAGGTGGGAATTGAATAATGAGAACACTTGGACACAGGAAGGGGAACATCACACACCGGGGCCTGTTGTGGGGTGGGGGGAGGGGGGAGGGATAGCATTAGGAGATAAACCTAATGCATATGACGAGTTAATGGGTGCAGCACACCAACATGGTGCATGTATACATATGTAACAAACCTGGACGTTGTGCACATGTACCCTACAACTTAAAGTATAATAAAAATAAATAAATAAATAATAAATTAAAAGGAATTGGAAAATAAGGACCTATAGAGAAAAATTGGAGGAATTTTGGATTATCTGCCTAGTGAAGGAAATGCTGTAGGATAATATCATGGAGAAGAGAATTAGAGGCTTTGAGTATGATTCAGTGAGGGTCTCAGCAGGAATGAGATGTCGCACTTGTAAATGTTCACCGCAGAGAGTTCGAATTAAGGCATGGGCAGAGTTAAGAGAATTATCAAGGAAGGGAGAGCCACCTAAGCACTGGCATAACTGGTAAGCCTTCTGGGCTTGTAGGGGGAAGAGGATGGAGTGATGATACAGAAGGCAAGAGAGAGCATGGGGATTTGGAGGAGGGGCTACTAGACAGGGGCTGCTATTGTCTAATGTAGTCTGCAGTAAAGCGGGGAGAGGGATAAATACCCTGAGTTTGTTCTCTTTCTACAGTCTCTAGATGGTGCCACTCATTGACCAAATCAAGTGGGAAGTTAAAGAGCAAGGTGTTCAGGGAATGCAGTCCATGGAAGCCAGCCTCTCAGAGCACAGAGAAGGACAGAAAAGAGATTATGCGTGTGTGTGTGTTTGTTGGGGGCGGAGGGGTGGGGCGGGCAGGGAGGGCAAATGGAGAGTAAGTAGCACAAAGTGCTTGCCTGTTATACTCACAACACCCTTCTTAGAGAAGCTAAGGCAACAAATACCTGCATAGACTCCATGCTTTATACTATGTGATCACAGTACCCTGGCCACAACAAAATGAAAAAAAGCAATACCAGCAACTGACATTTGTTGAATTCTTACAATGTGCCAAGCATTTTATGTTACTCACCTCATTTAATCATTATATCATAACAAACCTATGAGTAACATAATCTTTATGATATTCACTTTATAGATGGAGAAACTGTGGCATTTGGAGATTAATTTATCCAGCGTCACACAGCTCGTAAGTAGAGAAGGAATTATTTGAACCCGGGGAAGGAGTCTGGCTCCAGAGTTGTTCTCATAACCACTACACTCAATAGAATAGGGATTAAGCAGGACTCTGTAGGCTGGTCAGCAACTTTCACGGCAGCCTAATGCTAAAGTTCTGCCTTACAAGGGTGTTCTGGACTGCACAGTAAATGGCTGACACAATACAATATTTTCTCTAAGAGGAACCTGAATATGAGATACACAGCAAGTTAGCAGACCACATAGAATGTGAAGAGCTGAGAGAGAGAAGGAGGGTAGTTAGTATGGCAGGAGGAGAGATGAAGTCAGTCTTAAGTATGGCTGAGTCACCACTGTGGGAAGCAGTGGACTTGGAAAAACTTGAGCTGGTTTTAAGTTGACAGAGCAGATGCAGACCTTCTAGAAATGCAATGTGTCCTGAACAAGGCTATAGGTTTTGAGTCCTGCTTGTGAGGCTACCGATGGTATTTCTTGTACTTTCTTATTTTTTTGTGTGTCTTTACAATAATTTCCCATTTACTGAGGTAATATGAACCTGTCCATGTTCCTTGCATTCCAGTAAAGTCCAACACAAATGAGTTAATTATTTAAATATATGAGGGTCTCTTGGGCAGAGAAGAGTCATTAGTCTCTCTCTCTCTCTCTCTTTCTCTTTCCCTCTGGGAAAAGAAAATTGACATACTATAGTCTAAGAAATATAGGTCAGCTCTGTAGGAATTATACCATGCTAGACACTTCCAAGGGAGGATGTCTAAATGTCTCTTTTGGAGAGCTTTAAAATAATCTTCTCATCTGTCCAAGGGTGATCTACATGAGCTGCTTCCTGAAGGTACAAGGATTAATGGCTCCCAAACTGCAGGTCTACAGACCTGTATCAGAGATACAGAAACCTTAGGAAGGTTTCTCTGTTTTCTACAGAGTGAGAGAGATAAAGACTTTGGTGTTAGTTTATCTCTCTCTGAGTGTCAGGGTTCGATTGCTTGCCATCATTTCTTAAAACAGACTATTTTTTTTCTTTTCTGCTATTAAGGTATCCCTCATATATGAAATTATGGTAGTGGTAGGAATAGTATAGTATAGTGAGTTCTTTTAAAAATATTCTTACTTGACAAAATAAAACATTGGCAAATCTATCTCTGCCTCATTTTAAAAAAATGCCTTTTGTCTGGGAGAATTAAATACCTGAAAACCATAGGCCCAAAGGACCTCTTAAGGTCCCTGCTATCTATAAGATTCTAGGTTTTAAAGTCTTGAGATTAGAGAAAATCAAAAGGAATAGGAAGGCAGGATGATTTTTTATTTAACCTGAAGAAGTAACAAGTTAATGAAGTCTAACCATCTTAGACATAAAAGATAGTAAGTGGAGATGGCCATAAGTTAGAATTTTGTAGTCTCTAAGTAGAAATGACAGTCTAAATGTCAAATCCAAAAACATGGCCTTATAGAACGCCACACCAAAGGTCACATTTAGAAGGCAGCATTTGGCTCTGGTGACAGTTACAAGTCAGATATTGCATGAGTCCATTGGTACGCAGCCATCATGAAAGGAGAACTAAAATCTTTTTGAAGCAAAAATGTGTCAAAAGGGAACTCTAAACTGGCCTCAAGGTAGTGTTTAAATTAAAAATGCCTTAGGTCCTTTAAACAGAAGAAAATCAGTAATTATTCCAAATACAAATTAACATGTAACAAGTATTTTCTGTTCTGTGCATGTAATACTGCTATTTACATATAATTAGTTCAACATACCCAAAGCCTCTGCCAGGCCCCAAACCTTCTGTCCATAGATGTCGGTCTTGTTCCAAGCAAATGTGTAGACAAGATTAATTGCGGCGGGAAACCACTTCTGTGTGAGTCGCCCTTCCACAGCTACTGTGAGGTGTACTTTTATCATGCCTACAGGAATCGTTGAATGTGTCAGAAGGATCCGTAGCAGGGTTTTATACCCAGGGGTGCGGCTGCTCAGGTAACTCAGCCTCACAAAGCTGGAGGGAATGGGAATTTCCTCCTGTACAACCTGAAATAAAAAAAAAAAAAAAAAGCCAAATAGGCTCTTGTCAGTGGTCGCAGGTAGATGAGGATATTGCATGCTTTGTTGTCTTTGAAACATGCCAAAGGAGAGAGCTTAAACAGGTCTAAGGACGTCAAGGCATTTGTTCTTGAATCTTTGTGAGACTGTATGATAATAGGTTTTGAATTTTGCACCAAACCTGAATGGAGACAAGACCCAACCTTAAGGATTGCATTTATTTTTTCCCCATGCCAGGAAAGATTGTGTAAGGAACAATTTCAGCTTTTCAATAGTGTTCCAAAAACTGCTTAGTAGGAGTTGAAAAAGATCATACCGCTGAATGTCAAGCAATTCAGCACTATGGGCTCCATTAAGGGGTCTTTTTCTTATACAGACATACACAAAATCTTGTTTGGTGTTAAGTCATATATCATAAAACCATTGGTGTAATCCTTATTCAGGCTAAGCTCTCTAAGAGGAAGAACTCAAGAAGCAGGCCCAGCAAGTGATATTTTATGACAAAGATTATAGTTTCCCTAGAATTAATCTTTACCGATGCCATCAAATTCGTTTTCCTTGGAGCTTTGAAATGACCCTGAGGCCAAATTTTTAATCAAATTTTTCTTACATATTTCTCTGTGCCTGGATGTAGCAATGGCTGGGAACAAGTTTCTCCAAGTTGGCACTTGTGACTGAGAAGCAAATAACTCTCACCAATTCCTCTGCAAATTTTACACTAAACGTTGGTCTCAGAGTAAAAATACCATGTGGCTTTAATTAATTGTTATTACTTGTTTGCTTATCACCACAGATAAAGTTAAATAACCAAAGGTGGTAACTAAAATTGAATCATGTGTTCTTTGACTTTCATCTTTCAAAAGACCTCTGAAGAAAAAGCCCATCCTATTCAATACACTTAAGGTGACATGAATAGCGTAGATATTTTCATGCTCTTATTCATTTTTACCTCAGAACCTTGTTCTCTCTTACTTTTCCAAACTTGTGCACATAGAAGAACTGATTGTTAAACATATGGCATCTCATATTGTCCAGCATTTTTGGTCTTTCTCCTGTTTCTGAGGACACGATACCTTTTGTGTACACTTTGCCAGTTTTTCTTCCTCTACCTTAGCCATTTGATACCAGAGTTGTCCACCAGCTGTCTTCTCAGTTGGTGACAGAAGTACAATAGAGAAGGATAGCCTGACACTCACCAACTTAGTAGTTCATTTTCCTAAGAAAACATGCAATCCTAAATAAGCCTGGAAACTTTCGTGCTGAAAGAAGACCCGTACTTCCTAATGACATCTGTGAAGGGATTGGCATACCAATCAAATGTACTCATTAAACACTGTCTTGTTTTTTCTCCCTTTGTAAGCAAAGGGCAATGGAAAAGATAAGGGGTAGCTCTTTGGACTGCTTTTCCTGAAGGGCAGTATTTTTGTGTGAGCCTTATCTAAGTGGTATTCTCTAG
This sequence comes from Homo sapiens, assembly GCF_000001405.40. Classification (NCBI taxonomy): domain Eukaryota; kingdom Metazoa; phylum Chordata; class Mammalia; order Primates; family Hominidae; genus Homo; species Homo sapiens. The sequence goes on from NC_000023.11 coordinate 124,522,253, forward strand.
GCACTGCTAAGAGCTGGTGGGTGGTGTTATGATGAAAGAACAATCAATTCTATCTTGGAGCATGCATTTCCTTCTGGATTTCTGGATCTGTTAAGACCTATGAGTCCATTTTGGTGGTTTCCACATTTAATTATCATTAAAATGTTTCTATAATGTGGTGAGGGAATTGTACTATGGTTGAATAGTTTAATATTGAAATGACAATATTGAATGTTCAATAAAGAATAATTCTCAGGAATGTTAAAATATCGAGGTTCAAAAATGTCTTCTCCTGACTATAAAGCTTGAACACTCAGAAGCAAAGCTTTTTTAAAAAAAAAAACTGCACAGGCTTGAAAACTACATTTACTTTACACAGCTAGATGAGAGAACTTGTCATGTCTTCTAAGAACAATGACAATGATACAAACTAGACAACAGGAAGAAAAGTAGATTTCTTTTTTTTTTTTTTTGGAGACAGAGTTTCACTCTTGTTGCCCAGGCTGGAGGGCAATGGTGCAGTCTCAGCTCACTGCAACCTCCGTCTCACGGGTTCAAGCAATTCTCCTGCCTCAGCCTCCTGAGTAGCTGGGATTACAGGCATGTGCCACCATGCCTGACTAATTTTGTATTTTTAGTAGAGACAGGGTTTCTCCATGTTGGTCAGGCTGGTCTTGAACTCTCAACCTTAGGTGATCTGCCCACCTTGGCCTCCCAAAGTGCTGGGATTACAGGCATGAGCCGCCACGCCCAGCTCAAAAACTAAATTTCTTAAGGAGCTTTAATTTCAGAACCACAAACAGTCCAAGCTCATGGATTATACTGTTATTACTAATAAGCCAGCTAGCTTTGTTCTTAGAGCACAGTGTTTATTAGGTCAAAGATTGGAGTTTAATTCTTATGAAAGCTACTTAATCTTGTTCTATTCCATGGCCACAGACAGCATTCTAATGCCCTGACCAATTGTCTTAAAAATGTATGCCAGAAAAACATTTGAAGACTTCTCTTGACAAATAAAGGGCAGCACATTATAAGGATGGTAACAAGAATAGGAAAAGGAATTTAGCTATTATACACTGTTGACCACTCCATGATATTATTATTTTATACATTCAAAGGCCAATATACTCACCTGCAGCTCAGGAACAATAGTTCCCCTCTCTGGACAGGACCCTCCAAATGATGTGAGCGGTGAAGGAAGCACAATAGGGTTTGGGCTGATAAAGTTGGAGATATCGCAGGATGGCGGGTCTGATACAACTCTCTGCATGGTGACTTTCTCTACCACAATAAACTGATTCCAAGGCAACCAGAGTGTTCTCTTCTCAGGCAGGAAAGGGGATCGGTCGAAGATTAAGATGACAGAGATGCCACCGATGGCCACGAGGTCAAAGCTAAGAAGGAAAAACATAAGACAGTTGCAATCAAATGAAAAATTAAAAAATTACAGTTAAAAAATAGGTTAATTTCAGTGCCCTTTCCTTTTTGGGGGGACTCAACTATATCCACTTGTATTGTCTATTTTATAAATTCTCTCTAGCAATGTATTCATTCCGTAGATGACTTCTTTTCACTATCTAGTGGTCTTCTAGGAAGACATTCCATGTCACCAGTTGATATTCCCTTGAAATTTGTAAACCAATTTTTTTTTTTTTTTTTTGAGATGGAGTCTTGCTCTGTCACCCCAGGCTGGAGTGCAGTGGTGTGATCTCGGCTCACTGCAACCTCCGCCTCCTGGGTTCAAGCGATTCTCCTGTCTCAGCCTCCCGAGTAGCTGGGACTACAGCTGCATACCACCATGCAAGGCTAATTTTTGTATTCTTTAGTAGGCATGGGATTTCACCATATTCGTCAGGTTGTTCTTGAACTCCTGACCTTAGATGATTCACCCGCCTTGGCCTCCCAAAGTGCTGGGATTACAGGTGTGAGCCACTGCGCCCAGCCTGTAAACCAGTTAATTTTAACACTATCTTAAACAAAAATCACTGCATGCATTTCTGCAAAGCCAAATCTGACACAGCTGCTCCCCTTATGCTAAAGATAACAGAAAGATGACTATCTAACATTTAGCAGCATCTTTGAGAATGATGCATTATTCATTTTCCAAAAAATCCTATAATGTAACATAAGAAAAGTAAGGAGCCAAAAGGTTAAATATCTTGTTCAGGGTCACAAACATCGTGTCAGAAAGCAGACAGTGTCTTTGAGATGGCATTTGGAGAAAGATATCAGCAGAGGACAATTGTTAGGGAAAATTTCTTTGAACTCAGCTATGCCCGACCAAGCCTTCTACATTTGACTACCCTCTTTGGCCTCCTAGTCTACTTGCACCTCAGATTTAAGATCTCTGGTTTGCTTCACAATGGTTTTTGGTTTCTTTTTGTAAGACAGCCTGTAATGAACCCTGCACAACTTCACCAACAACTCCTTCTCTATCCATGACAAAGCAAGACTACCTCTGCTGTAAGCCAGCTCTGTCTATCTCTAGATGTGGTCTATGACAAGACTATTGCATTGGAGCTGAACAGATTCAGATTTCATTTCATTCTGCACTAGATTACTTCTCTTTTAAGTATAATGACGTCTTTGAGATGACGTACTTGAGAGCATCTGAAAAGCATAAACTCCTATATAAAAAAGTAAGATAATGATAAATTATTATCATTTTTATGTTAAAAATGGATAAAGGGCAATATGATGTTACTTAATATTCAAGGCAACTTAAATCCACAGGAGAGAGATGTAAGCAATTGCCTGCATTAAAAAAGATCTTTCAGCAAAACACTTTTTCAACGATAAAAAGCCCTGATAGGGAATCAGACTTAATTATGGACATCTCATCACTCTCTTCCTATGACATTTATTATATTTATTATAGTATTACCAATCGTGTTTTGTTGCAGAAATCTTGCAGATAAAGATAAATGAACAGTAACAAAGGATGGATAATACCGTGTTTTTTATTGCTGCTTTTTCAGTAAAGTAGCTTAATATTAAGGCAGTTTCCAAAAAGAGGATTTGAAGAACTGCATTAGCTACAGAAAATAATTTAGGTTTGAACCAAAAGAAAAAAGAAAACACAAACGGTTTATGGTTTAAGACAGAGGGTCTGAATTCATAATACTACAGGAACAGTTTAAGGCAAGTGTAGTGGGGAGAATCTGACACTACTTGTCAAGAAACCTTTCCTCTAGTTCACCTTCTATGTGGATTTAAGTATGTGTTCTTGGGGAAGTTTATCTGCCTCACCCAAACCTTGACTCTTGACTCAAAATTGAAGTGCTTATTTATTTAAAAACAAAAAACAAACACAAACATGAAAACTAAATAAACTATCCAGATAAAAACATAGGTGCCTGGAAATTATTCTCTCTCTTTTTAAAAAAAAACTTTTATTCTGTACTTCTGGAAAGATTACACAGACAGGCCAGGCATCTTGTTTTGTAGAAAGAATGTGGGTTTGGTTTCATATATATCTGGGTTTGAATCCCAGCTCTGCCCTGTTAGCTTTGTGTCTTTGGGCTAGTTATTTAACCTTCCTGAGATGCAGTTTTCTCGTTAGTAAAATGAAGCCTCTATAATCTATCTCTTAGCTGCTATTGTAAATGAATGAGATAAAGACTTAAGGGTCAAGCATATAGTAGGAACTCAACAACTGTTACATTTCTTCTCAAATCAGATTCATTGCCCTACTACATTTGCCATATGTTTTCTTTTTTTTGTAGTTCAAGTGAACTATAGGTCAGCTTTTGATTATCTCCATGAGCAGATACTGATTTTTAAGGTCTCCTTGGGACTTCCCTTAGGCTTCTTATGATCGTTCATTTTATATCTCTATTGCCTAGGTTATAGTTCTAAGTTATTTAATGAAACACCAATCTAGGTATTGCTGTGGAGGTCTTTCGGAGATGTGGCTATTATCTATAATCAGTTGAATTTAAGTAAAGGAGATGATCCTTGATAATGTGGGTGGGCAAAACTGTTTCTGTGAGGAAGAAGAAATTCGGCCTTAAGACCACTGCATCTCTTTCCTGAGAGTTTCCAGTCTTCTAGCCTGCCCGACAGATTTCAGACTTGCCAATCCCCACAATCTTATAAGCAAATTCCTTGGAATAAATCCCTCTCTCAAGACAATAATATCAATATCTATATCTATGTCATATGTTGTTTCCCTGGAAAGCCCTGACTGATACACTTCTCATCTTTCCACCTCGCAGTTATACACAGTAAACACTGCCTGGCTGACTCATTAATTGACATGGAGACGGAAGGTGGAACTGTGGCCAGAGATCCATCTAAACCATTTCCAATGCCAAATAGAATGCTGAATGATTACTTCTTTGGGATTTCTCCCACCACAAAACACCTCCATTTGCACGGGCCATTAATAACAGGTTATTAAGTCATATGAGAGTGGATATAAAAGACCCAAGGGAGAGGATTTATTTGTTTGGAGATTGTTGTCAACACATAAGTCCAACCAGTCCTATCTACAGATGGAAGGCTATTGACACCTATGCAAATTGCTTATCTCTCTCTGCCTCATGGTATCCATAAATGAATAAACTTTTGCCTTGAGGAGAATCAAAGGGAACCCTCTCTTCATCTTCTAGTCTTCAGAACAAAGTTCTTGAGACCTTTAATACTTCTCAAGAAACTTCTAAGAATGTCGTCACTTCACCTGTTTTGCTTATCATTAGCTGAACTATTTACAAATAGTTCTCTTTCAACACTTGACTGAGGACTGGTTATATACCTAAGTTGAAGGTGGTAAATCATAGAAGAAAAGAGCAAGATTACTTGGGTTTAAATCTTGAACTCTATCCTTATTATCTGGATAAATTTTCTCATACAACAAATGGGGAGGATGATAATAATGATATTTATCTCAGATAGTTGTGAGGATGAAAACAGAGACATTCATGAAAGTGTCTAACATACAGTAGACACTCATAAACATTCACCTTTCCTTTAGAATAGGCTTTTTTCTTTTCTGCTAAGTAGTCCCTTCTCTATGTGAGTATCTAATCTCTTCATACTTTTAAAGGGCTCAGTCTTTCAACACCATCCTTCCTTCTGCTTTGAATAAATTACTTTGGTCCCATGATCTAGACCTTTTCTGGTTCTTTAGGGAAACTTGTCAGTTTACTTTTGCAAGTAGTTGATAATGGGGGTAAATATTTCTACATCCCACATGACATATTTGCATTCAACGGGGACTTTGAGAGAGCTGACAGCTTCACCCAAAGCAGTGATACCATTGGTGAAAAGTATAAGCACTGTGGCCGACTGGAGGGATTGAGATTTGGACATGGAGGATCCTATCAGCAACTCTCATATCACACTCTCTACTAGGTATCTAGATGCTAATCTCAGCCTTTCTATACTCTTTTGACCTCAGGTATATTTTTCTTTTTTCTTTTTTTTTTTTTTTTGAGACAGAGTCTCGCTTTGTTGCCCAGGCTGGAGTAACGTGGCGCGATCTCGGCTCACTGCAACCTCTGTCTCCCAGGTTCAAGCAATTCTCCTGCCTCAGCCACCCGAGTAGCTGGGACTACAGGCGCCCGCCACCACGCCCAGCTATTTTTTTTTTTTTTTGTATTTTTAGTAGAGACGGGGTTTCACCGTGTTAGCCAGGACAGTCTCGATCTCCTGACCTCATGATCCGCCCGCCTCAGCCTCCCAAAGTGCTGGGATTACAGGCTTGAGCCACCGTGCCCGGCCGACCTCAGGTATATTTTTCTTATGATTTTCTACTTTTGAAATGTACTTACTCAAACTGAGGTAGCAACAAGCAGAGACATATAAATGGAAACTCTCATCACACTGTCACTTTATGTCCAGGAAATGACAGTGGAACAGTCTGGTTGGCATTTGGGGCCCATATTTTGAATGTTTACACCTTTATGGAGCCTGAGGGGAGTTATTGCTAGAGGGGATTCTGACTAGTATCTGTCATCTACATAAACTCAGTTGTCACTGTGAGTTCAGCAGAGGAGGGGCTTGGGGCATTTCACTTAAAACTAAAGACACAAAAATAACAACAAAGATTACCCTCTTTAATGTTCCCTGTAAACTGTACACAAACATTTTTAGACTTTTTAGGTATCAAGATTCTTTTAGGTTCTTGTGTGAATATCAAATAATTCACCGAAACCTTTGTATGTAAGCTAAAAAAATGAGGTCTTACCAGGCCTCCACGAGAAGTCAAAGTCAAATGTCTCAGAAGACATATTCTATTTAGAGAAATAACCCATTTCTCAATTTGTGGCATATGGTTGAAGATGTTTGCAAGGGTGAGGCTAGTTTTAAGCACCAGTTACTGGTGAGTGCACTACCAAAATTCCGTTATTCAATCTAATTGGGAGAAAGACCCATTTGAATTAATAGAGAACTCTGATTATAGAATATTTGAAAGGAAATGAAGTTTTATATATATATATATACACACACATATATATGTGCATATATATGTACATATATGTGTGTGCTACCAAAATAGTTCTGCTGAGCTTGTTATAATGAAGAGATGGTTAGTTAGTAATAAGCAATATAATTTATACATAAATAATTTATATAATTTACTAAAGTCCTTAAGAACAGTTTATTTTCTTAAGTAGGCTAAAACTCTTTCTTATTATCTTTTTAAACTAATTTTTTATAAGTACTTTCTTGACAGGCTCTTGGAAAAATAAATCCGGCACAGCCCAAGTTGAACAATTAACATTTCTAAAGTGTCTAGGACTAATAAGGTTTGATTGTAGGTTCTTGAAATGAGATAGTTTCTCACAGTGTGATAAAGCTCGAAGCCAACAGGTCTTTTTTTGCGTATGATTATTGAAGTGGCTTGTTATGAGTAGGACATTTTAAGGGTAGTCACCTGGAGACTAGGGCACCTCAAAGCCATTATTACAGTGTCCCTGAGAGTCATAAATAGGTACCTTTAAGCTGGACACATGGGCCTATTGACCCAAATATTCTGAATCAATGTCTGTCTAAATGACGGCAACAAAAATGTTGTTGTGAGCAAATCCTTTTCCAGGATGAGAAGGTTTTACTTCAAGGTCTTGCTTCTCAGATCTTAGAGAACCCCCTTAGAGAGCAGCCTGGTGGTTGGTGCTTCAGGATAAATCACTATAATTAAGTAGGCTGGCCAAGCTTGTCTATCAGTTGCAGCCAATAGTCAAATAGGCAGCCTAGGGAGGACACATTTTTAAAGCTTCTCCATTAATGTGGTGGAATTCTGTACTTTTGGAAGAAATATTTTTGATGCATTCATTTCTGAAATATTTGGGGGTTACTATGGAAAAATAGCCTATGTGTTCCATAGCTCCTTATTTATCATTTGCATAATGTCACTGATCTTTGAAGTTGGATTTATAGATGGAATTAGATAAAGGATAGAAAACTTTTCACATGGCCTGGGTTTCAAGAAGACTCGAGAAGGATTAGAAGAGGAATCCAGTTTGAATTAATTAGGAAATAGAGGAAATAAATATCACCAATGACTTTTTGAGATATAACTTGAAGAAAGATGGGTTTACCATCACTGTATCATCTGAGCCCTGGTTTTACCCCTGGCTAGAAGTCAGTAATTGGCCCCCACAATGATCAGAAACAACATTGACATACCTTCCATCTTGCCGGCTGATGGTAAACCCATAATCACTGTGGTGCAAGAAACTGACATTCACTCCCACTAGAGGAGTTCCATCTATGGCCACCACTTGGCCTCGAATCACACAGGCACGCCTGCAACACAAGACCAAAGGCAAACAGAAAAGCATGTTGAGACTAGATTCTAGAAGTCAAGTTGTAGAAACTTTGGAAAACAGTCAAGTATAACAAAGAAAACAATAATTTCACCAACCAGTAGAAAACTACTAATAACATTCTGGGGAGGAGTTTTTTTTTTTCCCCATCAAAATTAGAATCATACTAAGTATGGTTCTGAATCTAGATATTTTAAGGTTAAAAGCATATTATTAATATTGTCCAATGTATTTAGAAATTCCTTAATATATCATTTTTGTTATTATATAATACACCCTTAAATTAGTATCCTATAACTTGCTTAACCTACCCCTGATTTTCGGACATTTTGTTGTTTCTTAATTTTTTTCTGCCTTAAATTTCTTATTATTTCCTTGAGAGAGAGTCCTAGTTGTGGAATGATACTTTTCTCTTATCAAAATTAAAGTTAATTACATTAGTTAATACATAAATATATTGTAAGATAAGACTAAAGTCCCTACTGACCGCCTTTTTCCTGCTTCTTGGTGTTCTCATCAGAGGTACTCAGCACTATTAGTTTGTTGTGTGCATTTTCTATGCATTTACATATATAGTATGAATATTTTTAAGCCTCCTGATATACACTGCTAAAGTGCCTTTTTCTGGTAAAACAACCAGCCAACCAAACAAACAAATTTAGTTGAGCACACTTTAAGTTAAAGTCTGCAAAAGAGACATGATCCCTGACAATGGTATACTGCTTTTCTTGCCTAATTTAAATAAAATATTTCAAGACACTTTCCCTTTAAACAAATGAGTCCCATCCTTACTAAAAAATGGAATTCCATTAAACTAGTCCCTAAATAGGGCTCTCTTTCAGGGACATAGTCCACTAAAACATACAAGACTTTCAGCGCTAGCCTGGCTGACAAGCTGTAACAAATTTCAGGAGGCTGGCAGTTAAGAAGAGTGCCCTGGGACAAATCCCAAGCAAGGATTTTTTTCACTGGTCTGCTGGGAGGAAGGGACAGTTTTTTCACCAGAGTTTAATCCTAGTCTTGGCAGCCCTGAGCTCTTGGACATGAATTTTATAGCTGGAGCTGGCAGGGTTGAGGAAGGTTGAGCAAGGTCAGTGATTTTTCCTAGGGCATCAATACCACCTTTTTTTTTTTTTTTTTTTTTTTTTAACCAAGTGGGATTCTGGGTATCCAGGGCAGCTCAATCTTGGATTAAAGGGGACCATGTTATTCAGACAAACATGGCTTTTCAGATTAATCCTAATCATTTCATCCTGGAATTATACATTCTTTTAACAGAATCAGAAAGTAAAGGGAGGAATGTAAAGGCTCATGGCCACAAACATCATTTGAGAGAAAGTAAAACACCTTTGAATAAGCTACAGATGGTAGCTTATAATAAGCCAGAGTTGGTTGTATATGTTTTAGCCAATAAACCTCACTACTAAATTCTGTTGCAATCAGAGGAATTGGTTATAAGTTATGCTAATAGGATTTATCCTCTTCTACGTAAGGGCTTTCCCAACAAAAGTTACAAGCCATTAAGTATTACGCAAAGTAAGCGAGTGTAATTGTTGCTATTAGTGTTTGTGTATTTTCTGAACTCTCAGACCAACATTCATAGCTCTGTGACATAGATCAGTGGCTTTTTTCCAGTGAGCTGTCCATTTTATGAATTATGTAAATCATGGTTCTGAGTGGCATGCAAATGGCATACTGGCACTTGCTTCGCCATGTTTGATTGTCCCAATTTCTGTATCATTTTGAAATCCCATTTGTTCTAATAGAGAAGACATTTGAAGTCATTGAGTTCTGGATTTTGAACTAATTCTGGCAGATCTGGTCCCAGGTTCTAAGTCCAATGTAACAAGAAATGAAAATAAAAGGACATCTCTGATTTTATACAGTAACCTTTTAGATGTCTTTACAGAGCAACTTTTGACAAGGTGGGTGTAGATTGAATGGAAACAAGCTGAGAAAATCTCCTGCAAATGACATATGGATTGGTTCCAGGGGGGCTGTGAAGAGACTGTAGTGATGCCAAACAATTTAGAAATTAGTTAAGCATTGTTTCCTGAGCTCTCAATGCTGTTAGCTGCTTTGGGAGTATGGTGGGGGTTAGTTATTACCTTGCCAAGCCTCCACCAGTTAACAAGGTGGCCTTTACAACAATAACACCTACCTAGGTGCTTGCTGATTCCCTATTCGCAAGACAATTCCAAAGTCACTCTTTTTATTTGCTCACATTAATCTAGACATTGTGTCTTTCCACAGCTGTACTAGGCTCAATTATTTTTGTTTTTATTTTGTCAAGCCTAGTTGGCATTATTTTCTCATATTTTATGACACACACAGACCTGTCTCTCCTCTCTGCTGTTCTTTTATTTTCTATATGGCTTATATTTATGAAGGTCCAAGCTGGTGAGTGAAAGTCTCATAAAAGTTATCATTATTCTGTGCATTTCCCTTGTATTCCTCTCTTCCTTCATTCTGTATCTCGTTCTGAGTAGACTTGTCTTTTGACTCTTCTGCTTCTTAATATTCCTCATGTTTTATGAAGCACACATATTTGTGTGATAATGACTCATCAAAGTCATCATTATTCAAGACACTGTCTACCTGTTCTTCTTTTCATTCATTTCACTCTTCATCACTCATAAATAATGCTCACAGACTTGTCTTTCAACTCCCCTTCTTTCTTATTCCTCATATTTTATGATCCACACAAACTTACAGCATATGATAAAACCCCATAAAACTTATATTCTACATTTATCAGTATTGAACTCCCTTTGTAATGTATTAGACTTTAAATGTTCCAAGATTCCCTGTATCTTGCTGCATTTGCTCCCATTATTTATACACTCCATGTCATCCATTTTTCACGAGAATAACTCTTAGGTCTTTTTATTCCTGGATTACTAGTACTTACTGTAATCTTTGAACAATATCAGTCATCCAGTGTCAGTTTAAATTGTCTAAATTTCAGGACAGTATTAAAGTATTCTTTTTAATTTGCAGTAATCTTGACTGACACTGCATGCAGAAATTTAGGAAAAATCTACCTCTTAGGCAAACTCTCCATTTCAAAAAGAAAGCTCTTGAGTGTACTTGCTTTCCCAGGCAGGCTACATCAGCTCCAAATGGCCATTAGGGAGCCTTCATATATATTCTTTGGAAGTATGGCATATTGTGCCACTTCGTTCAGCTCAACTGCCATTTTGTGCACTCCCAGATTCTAAATTCTATTTTCTTAATAATTGTGGATGGTAGCCTTGTATCTGGTTTGTTTTTCCTGATTCCCCACAGCCACTAAAATATAGTTCCTTCCCTCCCATTTATATAAACTATTTTGATTATGCTTCTTATATCTAAGGCAGCCTGTATAGTTCATTTTTTTCCAAAGTTAGATCCTAGCTGAGTAGTGAGGTATGTACGGTGAGGGTCTGCCTTTGATATTACCACAGTCCTGCTTTCTGTGTTTTTCCTATTCCCATTATGGTGCCTCCCTGTTTCCTCTTCCAGAGAGTCCCTGGCTTCCTCAAATCACCATTGAAATTAGTCAGCCCTACTTGGCCTGTACTTGGTCTGCCTCGAGGAAGCATCTTGAGTTCTTGAATTTTTGCCACATCAAAACTACCTTCAACCTGAGTTTTGGTCCTTAAAAATTTGTCTTTTTCTGAAACATTTTCAATTCAATAATATATAGAACTCTTCTAAATCTTTCAAGTAAGATGATAGAAGCTACTGTCTGGACTGTCATGCGGCTGGCCCTGCACATGTGTACAGCAGCTATGTGCCCAGCATAACTGTCGTTTGTGTTGGTTTTGTGTGTCTATATGTGTGGTCTTGTGTACGCTCAACGGCAGGCATTGCATACTTTCTGTCTTTGCTTGGGCTCTCCTTTGATTCACAGACATGAATGAGATGGATGCTTTGCTTGGTTGAACCTTTGAAAACAAGAACTTCTCCCTGCTGTTGTTGGTTAGAGCAAGATAACTTGAACTTAGATGGGCATGTCCAATGTGACTCTAGAAACATGCATGGGGAATATCACCCCTCACAAGTGTCTTTTTTCCTGTTCTCTAGAGAATACAGGCTGCTGCCAAGCTGTCTACCTGCTGTCACTATGCTAAAGCAGCAACCCCAAAGGAATTGCTTCTCCACTTTAACTAAATGCTGAATCCTCTAGGTGTTTGGAGCTTGGTCTGAAGAACAGAGCATCTTGGGAAATGCAGGTCAGAATACACTTTACTGGGAGCCTTATTTAACTAACAAGCTGCTTGTTAGACAGTTCTGATGCAAAAGGTCTAATTCATTCTGTATTTGTTATTTTCATGGAATAGTCAAATTATCCCTAGCCTTCAATCAACTCTTGGTTCCATTCTCCTCTTCCCTTATTTGTTGTCTTTTGTCTTCGGTGTCAAATCTCCGATATTCGTTTAACACCTCAGGCAACAACATTAACCTCAAGCACAATAGTTGGTTTGAAAAACAAGGCTGAAAACTAAATTGCTGAAAGAAGATGCAATTTACTACATTGCATTTCTGATTAATGTCTTTCGAAAGAAAACAGACTCAGGGCTAGAAAAGTTACAGCGATTTCCTTTTGTTGCTAACAGGAGCATAAGCAGCCTTTGAAGGGTAACATTCAAAATCAAGGACCTAGCCAGCAGGGGATCTAGCAGCAGGTGGGCAGGTTAGGTTGTTTTTTTTCCACAGGAACAGATGAAATCCTTTCTACAGCTGACAGCTCTGGTCAAAAGGTAGCACTGAGAAGGACTGGGCTGAGAGAGGCTATATGAATCCTCTGCTCACTAGTGTTTGAATCCTGCCCCGTAAATTCCTCTTTGAATTGTCAGTTGGTTCAAGTCTCCAAGGGATAGAAATTTGTCACATATGAGGTGTGACTGGAGGATTCCCCTAACAACTGTAGCTACTGGGGTCTCTGTTGGAATGCAAATATCTCTGAATAGTTAGGACAAAGGGTTTGTGATGTTCCTGTTACCACTGCCATCACATAGTGAATAAAGGGGCTTCTCTTTAGAAAGTAATTTTGGGATTGTGGTGTTGGTCCTCAGTCCTGTATGATAATCTCTCTCTCTTATAGATCAGTGATTCTCAAACTTGATTGTCCACGAGAATCACTGGAAAGCCTTATTGAAACACAGATTGCTGGGTCGTATCCTCAGAGTTTCTGATTTAGTAGGTCTGGTGTTGGATCATAGAATTTACATTTCTAACAAGACAAACCTTTGAGAACTGCTGCTTTAGGAAAAGCAAGGCCATAACATACTCAGCCAATTAAGGCATATGAACTCCTGGAGAGGGAGGCAGAAGGTATAAACCATAAAAAGGCAGGCAAATCGACCACTGGTTCACAATCTTACCCTTATGAAATCTGTCAGGCATGAATTTTAACTCTTCCATATAAACTTCTGGAAAAGGGTTTGCAACAACTGTAGTTTGGGGAGTCATGTTGAAACTGTCATGACAAAAGGGGTGGCTGTACTACAAGATGAACTACAGGGTCTTCAAATTCAGAGATTATAAAATGGAAATATGTTTTAGTCCAATTTATTTGTCCCAAATAAGTGTCCATTTCTCCTCCATCCTCATTATTCTTATTATACAATGCTCATACTTGTGTTATTGCACTTATCATAACCGGTCTTGGATGACAGTTTTAGATCTGTCTGTCTTTTTATTAGATAGCCAGGGCAAAAACTGTGTGATTTTCTTCCCTGTGTCCTTCTCAGAGCCTGATGTACACAGCACATGCTCAAGACAGGTTCATAGAATTTCAACTCAAATATTTAAAAATATAGTTGTAAGATCCTTGCAACCTATGCTCATGGCACTGCTTCAAGCAAGGGCTTCAGTGACTACGTTGAGATTCCTGTGTAACAGATGCCTTACACTTTATTTATTAGAAGCCAACACTCTGGATTGAGCATTAGGACATTCTCATCAGGAGTGTTTTGTTTGATACTTGACTATTTTAGGGAATTAAACAGTACCTATTGTGATCGGGAAGATGAAATGATTAGTCTTCAAATGCTTAATTTATGCACGCTAGCCCCATTCTTCCTTTATATATTATTATATAATTACTATTTGCTATTTTATAATTTAAATGCATTTGGGACTTCTAATATCCAGATATTTTGGGGGTTTCCTTACAACACGTGCTACTTTTGATATATGTTATCTAACCTGGTACAGCACTATGAAAACACTTAATGTTATAGCATAAACCTATTTCCATGTTCTGAAAATTCAAATGCAGTGAATGCTCATATGCAAACCCAATACAATGTCCTCGTTAGTTTTTATTTTAATATGGTGGGTTGATTTAATCCTACTCAGTTGGTCACTGCCCCAAATAAACAATGCCTACCAAGTGGGTAGCATTAAAAGCAGCTGGGAGCATTAGCCATCAACATTCTAGGACTCTGGGAAAGGTGGTGCTATTGAAAATGCAGATAGATTTTTAAGCAGAATTATTTTCCTCATGGCTAGTGATGTTTCAAGTAAAACAAAATGGGGGCACTCACCCTGAGGTAGGGTGGCTATTTTCCCATCTGCCTTGGTAATTGCTTGTCAAAAGTACGCTTGCTTTGGAGGTCTGAGATCCCCAAAGTAATGGGAAAAAGATCAAGTGTTTTGAAGCAATAAGAAAACTGACGACACAGTCACATTTTCAGGACTGCGTAAGTGCCAGTTTGCTTCATTTAGACACATGATTATTTTCGTCCAGAATTTGAATCCTGAAATATTTGTCCTGTAAGCCCTTGCAACTCTTGAATAGTCTGAAGTTAGTTTTTCCCTTAAAATTTTTGGTTTGTTTTTTGCTTGTTCTACACATGACTCAAATGTTTTCTCTTTGCAATCAGCCTTATAGGGTTTTGTTAACCTCATTAACCTCTCTTGTCACTTCTCTGAATCTGCCTTTCGACTAATGGATAGTCATTAAATATAGGACAGATCCTTCTTGTTGGCCATCTCCTGGGCATATATTACTCTTCCCTCCACAGACGAAGAAGTGTGTCTTTGCTCTAGCCACAGCTGTGTTCTAGCTCTGGCTTGCTAGTAACCACCATTGTTGACTTTTCCTAAGAAACAGAATTAACTCTTAGCTCTGTTTGCTCTTTATGTAGGGTGGGAATGTTCTTTCTTCCCTGACCTCTCCCCGGTTACCTCACAAAGATGTCATCATAGTAAAATTACCCAGTAAAATGATCACTTTTGAACTAGGCCTTTCAAATTCTATTGCTATGTACCCTGATAATTATTAGATATATATGTTGTATAAATAAAATATTTATTATACTATGAATCAGGTACTATGCCAGATACTTTCCTTACCTTATTTCATTTAATGTCCACATAACCCTGAGTAGGTAAAGCTATTAGGCCCATTTAAAAAATGAAGAAACAGACTCAGAGAAGTTAAAAGTTTTGCACTTAACACAGCTCATAAGTGGTGGAGGGGTGGAGATCTCTTGACCTGGCCCCCAAAGAGCCTGAGCTGTATTGCAGATCTTTCTGAGTCAAGATATAAACAATATGGCTACAAATGAAAAGAAAGTGATCGCCTACAAAGATGGTGCTATCTACAGAATTATGGCTACCTGGAGAAATTTACCAACTGCTGAGCACTTCCTATGTGGAGTGTGTGTAGTGGAGATGAGCTATAGCATGTCATTTGTTCTTTCTTCCCAAACTTGCATTCACTTTGTCCTCTCCAGGGACAAAATGAGATGACAGAACCAGCTAGAGAGTCATTACAAGCAAATAGTATGACTGAGTAGTAGGTAATAAGGATTTGAGCCTTTTAACTTTACATCCTAATGGAGCAGCAAGTAGGATAGATAAAATATTAGAAAATACCTATTCATGCTGAGATAAGTTGTAGGTAGCTACTGGTATCATTAATTATAACTGTTAAGCATCTCAGAACAACTGAGTTTCAAAGTATCATAAATCATCAGTTGAAACAGCCTTTTGAAGATCTGTGTTCTGATTTTTCATTCTTCTTTGCCCAAGAGCATTTGCAAAGAAGTGAAAGTCTCACATTGTTTCTTTTTGGTACCTTTAGGTGTTGACTGCTGATTTCAGGAGACAGTCAGCACTATAAATCTGGGAACCTTCTGCACTTTGTAATTTTTTAAATGTGTTTTGAACATGTGTTTTCTGAATTTTAGCATTAGACAGTATAGTCTGAAAATCAAGAGATCCCATCTTCAGTAACACCTTTCACATGAAGATCAAAGTGCTTTATTAGGAAGCAGCAACAACCGTACTTCCCAATTAGGACAACAACTTCAGAGGTGATAAGCAAGGGAGATTGCTCAGGAAAAGCAACGGGGACAGACAAACAGAATAACAAGTAACCACGGCCAATCCAAAACACACTGGAATTCTTTTTCCAAACGTGAGCAGGTCATCTGCAGTGCCTTCCTTTAGAAAGGAAGGTGAACAGAAGGTATATTTGAGGATGTTGATGCTCTATAAAGAGCTTACCCGATTCTTAGTCTATTCAATTTATTCAGCAATTGTCGCACTGTGTATTTATCAACCCCTAGTTGTGTACTTGGTGTAATGTTTTTCATGTTCCTAGATTAAAAATACCCAAAAATCTGCCATTAGCAAGTAGACTTAGAGGTCTTTAACAAATAGATTCATGAAAAAGCTAAACGCAAGGCATATGGATTCAAATTTGTACCTCAGTGAAATTACAAATGTTTATGTTGTCGACCTTCTGGGGTTACTCGTAGATAGACAAAACTGCAACATGTTAATTCTGTGAATGCTTGAATACTGTAATAGCACTATATTTCCTTTTAAATATTTTAAAATATAGGCTTATCTTTTAAAAATAATTCCAAATCAGTAAGTGGTTTCTCAATATTTGATTTATTCTAGGATTAACACTAATTGATGAAGATCTGCTATTTTTTTCTGTCATGCATGAGTTAAGTGGTCTAAGGCTGTTACTGATTTCTCTTTCCAGGTCCTAGTCAGTTGGTCTGAGGTATTCAAATTTTCTCAATGTCCTCCTGGAGGGCAGGCACCTCATCCATTTATCGGTAAAACCCAGTAACCAATATGCAGTAATTCCTTGACAAAGGTTTGTTTTACTTTTCCATTGCACATTATGTCACAGAATTTTGATTCAACAGGCCCCTAAAAGTCAACAGCAGGCTCCAGTTTCTGTTAAAATCTATTGCATAGGGGTCCAGGTGGCAAGAAACATTTATACCAAGATCATCTAATATACAGATGAATGCTATTCAGGGTTCTGCTCTAGTGTCACCTCCTCAGAGAGGTGTCCCTGGGCCACTCTGTGTAAAATGGTCCTTCTCTGTCCCTAACTTTTATCTCACCTTACAGTATTTATACCTTCCTGACATTTACTTTTTTCATTGTTTGCCTCCCTCACTAGACTGTATGGGGAAGAGATTTTGTCCACTATAACCCAGAGCTTAGAAGAGTACCTATCACTAAATGAAGAAATGAACCAAGTAAACATTATAATGTTCATACATTTAAAGAGTGAAATGATTAATCTTCCCCCAATAGGGATTGTCTTGAAAGAAACTGTAGGATCTATTGTTTTAAATGACTCCAAAGTGTGGTTAATGGGGATTTTTTTTTCATTGTGCTAAATGGGATTTCTTTTGGATGATTGTTTTTTTTTTCCTGGAATTTATGTTTGGTACACACATTTCAAATTGTAGAGAAAATTATTTATAGCCCCAAATGTCAAAGGATGATGAAACTGTTTGCATATAGTTAAGCTGTTCACTGTCCAAATAAGCTTTGTATTTTTCTTGCAAGTCATCAATAGTCTCCAGTGTGTGTCAATTTTAGCAGCTCTTCATGCTCACCCGAGCCAATTAGTCCCATCTCTGGATTATTGCTGAAAACTTCCAGGTCAGTTTCACTTCTATAGTTGTTTAATGACTTTGTCTAATTTGCCAGAATACTTCTTGTCTTACAGGGCTACCTGTCTTCCCCATCAAAACAGTTGAATTTGGACTCCTGAGCTGATGAACTCCAAGCTCCCTTAGAAATCTGATGTTCCATGATCCATAGACTTACTGCAATTCATAATTATTTTAATTATTTATGTATTTACTTGATGTTTTGACTGCTTCTGCCACTACAATGTAAACTCTGAATAAGGGGACTGTGTTTCTTTTGTGTATCTCCATCTGCACAGTTCCTGGCATAAAGTGAGTACTCAATAAATGTTGTTGTATGAATGAGTGAATGCATATCCTTCATCACTCTTGAAAAATGAATTGATATTAGGGTATTATATTACATTAAGAATGGCAGAAGAATCTGGTATCTCTTCTATCTCTTTCTGAGGTAGTAAAGTCCTCAGTTTCTCTGGAAATACCAATATTGTAATAAAATATATACTTAAAACAGTAATTAGTATCTGTCAATTATGGTTATTCTTAAGTCTCAGTCTTTATTCAAGATCAGCAGCTTCTGCAGCGATGACCATCTTCCTGCAACCTTCCCTCGATCTCAGTCTTGGGTCAATAATTTGTTTTGCCATTCACAGAATCTCAAATGGTATACATTCCCAGCTCAACTGAGGGCAGAACGCATGTTACATTAAACAAGTTATGATGAGTAATTATGGCTGTCACCAGGTATCATGACTAATCGGGAACAAGAATCAAGAATGTATTATTGAGTAGGGTATAGTAAAGGAGGATGAAGGCTTAGGTAAATAAAAAGTTTGCCAAAATTCCATGTTCAAGGCATTTGAAGTACTTCAGTTTGTTTTAGGGCACTTCTCTTTGGTTTTCTTGCGAGACAGAATAATGATGCACACCAAAGTGAGCCAGTTAGCAGCAGTCTTCCTGCTGACCTCCTGATATTGCTCCTTATATTCCACTTTTCTCTTAGCACTAAATTTTGATTATCTAACCCATTGAAAACAGAATTATTGATGCATACACAAAATCATAAATGATGTCAATTATTGGCAGGTTGTGACAGTGATGGAATATATCACAAGTTTTAAAAAAGAATAATTATTTTGCTATTGTTATATTATCACTATATCTTTCATGAATTTTGTTTCTCTGCTATTTGGAGAACTGTAATCTTACCTTTAGGCTGGTTCTACATTTGAGAATTGGATTATTTAAGGTCCTAATATCATTTGTGTGTTCTAGGCAACCAAAATGAGTTTTTCATTAGCAAATATGAGAAGAGCATGATATAGTTTGTATGTTTGTCCCCGTCCAAATTTCATGTTGAATTATAATCCCCAGTATTGGAGATGGGGCCTGGTTAGAGGTGACTGGATCATGGGGATGGATTTCTCGTGAATGGTTTAGCACCACCTCTTGGTGCTGTCATCACAAGAGTGAGTGAGTTCTCATGAGGTCTGGCTGTTTAAAAGTGTTTGTCACCTCCTTCTCTCTTTCTCGCTCTTGCTTTCACCATGTGACATGCCTATTGCCCTATCACCTTCAACCATGATTGAAAGCTTCCCGAGGCATCACCAGAAGCTGAGCAGATGCCAGCATCATGCTTCCTGTAAAGCCTGCAGGACTGTGAGCCAATTAAACCTCTTTTCTTTATAAATTACCCAGTCTCCAGTATTTCTTTATAGCAATGTGAGAATGACCTAATACAGAGCACTCACACTTCAAAATCATAACTAAGCTACTCACTCACTTGTTTTTCACCTACTTCATGCCAAATACTGTGTTAGGATCTGGGGATACAGTGGTATCATAGATTAAAGGTGGCCAAAAATTATTTGATACTGCTCTCATCAAGAGGTGGGATCTATGTCCTTCCCCTTGAATCTAGGCAAGCTCTGTGACTGCTTTGACCAACTGTGTATGACACAAGTGACACTGTGACAATTTCTGGACCCAGGTCTTAAGAGACTGGCATTTTCCATTTCCTGTCTCTTGGAACACTCACTCTTGGAGCCCTAGGCTACCATATAAGAGCTCTGACAAACCTAAGGCTAGCTACCATGCCAGTAGGAGGCCCAAGTAGTCAAATAGAGAGGCTACCTGTAGAGAGAAGGATTTCCATCTGCTGTCCAGCTGTTCCAGCCCCCAGTTATTTGAGTCATCCCAGCTGAGGCTTCCAACATCATGGAGCAGAGATAAGCCATGCTAGCCATGCCTTATCTGAATGTCTGACCCATGGACACATGAAATAGGATGATACTGAATTGTTTTAATCCATTACTTGGAACAATTTGCTACATAGCAGTAGATATTCAAAACAAGAAGAGAACAAATCGGACTTGGTCTTTGTCCTTACAGAACTTAAGATTTAGAAATGATGACAATTCAGAGCTAACATTGTACATCCTAGGGTGAACCAAGAAACTGAAATGCAGCAATTCCAAAGAAAGCTAGAAGAAACCCATCATCTTGTTTCATTTTTTTTTTTTTTTGCTTGTTAATATTGCTATTATGTGCCTAGTGCTGTACTAAATTTGGTCCTAATTCTAGAAATTTTCAATTAAGGGTAGGCATTCCACCAGAGTGGGCAGAAGAGGTCAACACAATTGATTCAGCAGGACTGTTGCAAGATTTTAGATCTTTAAGCTGTTCTTAAAATTTACTCTAAGTTATAGACATAATAATCAAATTCCTGCGAACATACACATTCTTCTCATAAAATGTGGACTTTTTTCCTACTTTGGTGGGACCGGGATTATCTGATATAATGGGTGGGATGTTAAGACATCATAGGTTAAGATCCACTGGCCTAGAGGAGTTTATTAGCCTAAGGTGTGAGGCAGAGTGTATACCAACTTATTCATGAGATATGCAAAGGTACTCCAGCGAACTAAGGGGAGAAATATTGTTCCATTAATGTGATTTCTAGATCATGTTCAGTCATCTTTTTCCTCTTTTTAAACCACTATAATAAAAGTTCAAAAATTAAGTGAAATGATAATGTTGGGTATTTAAAGGCTCTCAGGGAAAAAGATCAGAAAGAAAAACAAACACTTAAGATCTTTCCTTGGAAAGCTGCAGAAACTGTATAGACCAGAAATCACAAACTCAAATGCCAGCAAGGCCAGGCATGACATTGAAAGTGAAGGACGTGAGTCAAGTGAGTGGTGAGCTAGAAAGGCATGCCATGTCCCATCCAGAGGGGCAGCTGGCCCTTAAGCGTCAGACCACCTATGCCGTGCCCATGCATCCTAGGTTGCCCATGCATCCCAAGCTGTGTAAATTTTCTGGAGAAGGAAGATATTCTGATTTTTATGTTGGATCTCCTAATTTCTAAATGTCAGGACAAACAAAATACATCTGTGGGCTGATTTTAAGCAACCTCTGATATGGACATCTGACACGGATTGACGTGAGGATCAGCCTCTCATGGTTACAAAACAGACAGATGAGTTTGGTTAGACCTTGCTGTCAGCCGCTGCACTAACCCTGGTAAGATTTTGTTTTTTTAAATGCACTTCTCCACTAGTGATGGCGAGTGAAATGTCTGGCTTTGCAAATTACTGCTGTCATTTAGTTTAATGTACTCCTGCTTTTACATATTTATAAAAACCTTTTACATTATTAATAGTGATTAAATGCTTAGACACTAAAGATCAATAATGCTTCTGTTCACCTATTTACATTTTTAAAAAGTAATAAGTCGTACAGGGCTCGTAGAATATGTGGTTTACTTTGCAGTCATGTTTGGAGTAGTTGAAGAAAACAAACTCGAGCTACAGGATATAAATTGCATTTAGGAAAAAAATGGCAACTCAGTTGAGTTTGCCCAAGATCTTCACCATGGGCAGGGTGCACGTTCACATTGTTGTTACACCATCACACGGCACAGAACATACATATTCCATGGGCTTTCACATGTGGGTGCAGCTAACTCAAAACAAGAAGGTCTGGTCTCTCTTGGTTGCACAAGGATAAACAATTTTTTAGCTTTTGTGTGTCCTTGCAACACTTAGTCACCTGTGTGCCACCATCTTTAGCTCCAAAGGTTTCTGATGGTGGCAACATTCAGCAGCAAATCAGCTGTGTGGGTCGCATTTTGCCGGTAGGCAAACAAGCCCCTTCAAAATGCTTTCTTCACCCGCCTACCCAGCTCTCTCTCTCAATTATGCAGCAAAAACTAAAAAGCAAAGTGGTTTGTTCACCTGATTATGGCACATAAGTGTCCTAGATCTGCCTGAGGAGAGCAATCCTACAGTCCGAGATGTATAAGAGCCATAAGTATTTCACATTCAGCTAGCCCAGCTTTCTAAGTAGCCAAAATGGCCCAGCATAGTGGTTTAGAGACTAGGCTGTCAGCACCAGTTCAAATTCTGGGTTCGAAATCTGACTGACACTCATTAATTGTGACCCTGAACAAGTCATTTACTGGGCATCTCTGTTCTTATTTCCTCACTGACAAATGGAGATAGTAATAGTACCTACCATATAGAGTTTTTGTGAGGATTAAATAACACATGTAAAAGTTTAGCATGAGATCTTTGACATAACAAATGCCCAAGGACAATTTACATGTATCAAAAGGTCCATTTCATGAGTCACTCAATTGTGATCTACAAAGAAAAAATTCATTAGCACTGATTTGAAGTTTGTAAATGATGTCACTGAAATGTATTAAATTGAACTGGATTTTTAAAATGTCATTTGGTTTCTAAGTTTCTTGTGTTGACCCAAATACCATTTACCTAGTATAAATTTGGTTCACGTCACCAGGCTTATTTAAGGACCCATTGAAATGGGGCAGCTGTGGCGTAATGGAAAGGTTACAAGAGTTGCTACAATGCAAGCTTTCTGCATGTGTGATTTGGGGCAAGTTATTTAATCTCTCTGAACCTCAGTTTCCTTATATATAAAATGCACCTAATACAAGTATCTACTTTACAGGGATAATGTGAGGATAAAAGGACATAATGTATGTTTGTTTGCTTTGTAAACTAAAAAGTACTATATAGATGTAAGAGACTGTAGCTATTATGATTTATATATATGATCAGAGTTGGACTTATTTTGCCCAAAGATATCCCAAATAAAAATGCATGTGTTGATTTTTTAGAGGAAATAGAATTAGATTGTTTGTCCTCAGCTACTTTCCTCACGAAAAGCCTTTGCCTTTTCTGATAGAATGGATATATTTGTAAGAGCTGAGACCCCTGGATGAAGGAGACCCATCGTTCTGAATTTAAATGTGACTTGCAGAGCCAAATGATAACTTGGAGCATTTTACAAAAGAATGAGGGAAACTCAATCAAACCAGGAGGAGGAGAAGGGCATTAACCACCACAAGAAATAGGTTTATTCACTCTGAGCGGCTGGCAAGTGCTGCTGATGCATGAAGCTAAACCGCAGGGATTTAAGTTTGTCCTCACTTTTCTAAGTTTATTGCTCACATGCTCTGCTCTGGGTCACAATGACTTGTCTCTTGTCTCTCTTAGGTCTTGACTTTCTCCCCTTACTTGAGTTTAGTGAGTCATTTAACACTTCTCCATGTCATGGAGGTTGTTATTTCTTTCACTTCATTTCTTTTTTTTGGATCAACTTTTCTCTATGAGTGAAGAAAGCTACAGAGTTGATGTCTTACCTCTACCTTAAATAGGAAAACAGGGATAATGGTTGCTTTTTGTTCTTTTTGTTCCTCTGGTGTATAATAAATAAGTCTCGACTATCTAAATAATCACTTTGACTATACCACATCTGAAAGTCACTGCAGAGTTGTTATTGAAGCTGGAAGAAATACTTCAAAATGGAGATGACTGAATCTCTTGGAAGAAGGAAAACTTTGACTAGATCCCCTGGCAGAAAAGCCCTTTCTTGTGATTCACTGGCAGTTGGATTTTGGGTTCTGCCAGAGACCTAGAGAGTCAGAACTACACAATAAAAAAAAAATTTTAAACTTTTAAGTTTCAATAACAGTTCTAGTATACAACTGAAGGGAAGGGAGTTGAGAGTTTGAAATTTCCATGCACATCTTATTTTTCCCCTTTTCTACTATGTATAGGTCAAGATGGAGTTGTAATTTTCTTAGATTGTCACTGATATCAATATAAACTCTTGACCAAGTTATTCTTGGGGAATGATAACTCCCACCAGGCTGCAACTGAGGGAGTGGGATGTAGACAGGAGTTCCTGGACAAATACTTTCCATGTTTCTTAAAAATTCCTGTTTGCAACAGTCTACAAAGCCAGTGAAATATTGACTTGTGGAATGCATACAGGAGAACATTTTTGTGTCTGGAAATGTTGACTTTAGTGACTTACCTCTAATGCTAATTAGTAAAATATATCATCGCTGAAGATGAATTAAAGAATAACAGTGAGCAAATTCATGTTATTACACTTCATATAAGTAAGCTTATTTTAAAAAAATTATTTGCCTTATGGGTTGGGCTTTGGTCTGAGGTCTTAAGTGACAATTCATGCATTTGAGCTTTCCCGGAAGACAGATTTTTCACGAGTCTTGCATTTCACACTAGGATGTCAAACTTATTCAACCCTTTCCTATGGAAACATTTTTCATCATGAAATAAAACTTAAAATTTAGTTTTTGAAATTCAAGATTTTTTCAATGAATCAATCCAGAAGCTAAACAATAAATTTGCAAATTATATTTCCCTCCTGTTTTTGTTATTAAAAGCCATATTATATATATACATACACAAACATACACACATAATTTTATGATACAGAATCTCTAGAAATGAGTTTTTTCCTTAATCAGTAAGGGTTTTGGCTTTCCAGAGAAGTCCTAAAAAGAAATGAACGTGGATTATGTGGAATGGGAAGTAACCTGATCCTTAGAAGATATCTTCCTTTCGTAGTTCAGGAAAAACATGACCATTGTTCACTAAGGAATAAAATAAATACATATGTACCTGCTGTCAAATGACACCTCAGGAGGAATGACATGAGTACTGTCCTTGCCAATGAGGAATTTGATTCGATCATAAAAAAGTCTTGAAGTGTGCTGAGAGAAGAGAGTTTGGCTTTGCTGAATGAGGTCAAGAGGATCTGGTGAGCCCTGGCAGAGAGGACTTATATAACAGTTGCTTTGTTGACAACAGTCAGGATCCACACAGTCGGTTAAACCATCTGGAAATAAAACCCAAAACCAATATTGATTATTTAGCTTCAAGAGAAAAATATAGTTTAAAATATACATAAATGGAGAAAATTCTAAAATATAGCCAAAGATAATCAACCTTGTTTTGAGTTCAGAATTTGTTAAATTCACATTTTTCATGAATTATCACTCACTCTGAGTTCACATGGCACCTCAGAGAAATTCAAAGTATTTTGTTCATAAATTTTTCTTTCCTGAATTATCCAGCATTTATCAGCTGGAGAATATAGTTTATATAGTTATTGTTTAGAGTTTGGGTAAACAATTCTATTACATATCACTGTTTAGAAATTTCTTCTTCCTCAGTGAGACCATTCTTTCCGAATGCGATGATTTCTTGTAAGTACACCTAGTACATCTATGAGCACACAATTAACAAGTACTTGCTACCTGAATTTGTATTTTTTTAAAAAATCCTCCCAATATTGTTGTCTACTGGTAATGCTCAAAATAGAGGTTGGGATTCTCATGGTGAAAAAAGATATTTCGAGCAATGATTTTCAAATCTGTTGTCAATTACCTAGGGAGCTTATAAAATATGCATATTCTTGAGCTCCACCTACTGACTCAGAATTTTTACAGAGCCCAGGATTATGCATACTTAATCTGGGTGATTCTGAAGCATACTAAAGTTGCAGAACCAGTTTTTTAAGGAATTTATAGAAGGAACTAGAGTTAACATGCCTAACAGCAGTTTTTTGATGCAATTACTATTCTATTTTATTTATTTTTTGAGACGGAGTCTCTCTCTGTCGCCCAGGCTGGAGTGCAGTGGCACAATCTCGGCTCACTGCAAGTTCTGCCTCCCGGGTTCACGCCATTCTCCTGCCTCAGCCTCCCAAGTAGCTGGGACCACAGGCGCCCGCCAACACACCCGGCTAATTTTTTGTATTTTTAGTAGAGACGGGGTTTCACCGTGTTAGCCAGGATGGTGTCCATCTCCTGACCTCTTGATCCGCCCACCTCGGCCTCCCAAAGTGCTGGGATTACAGGCGTGAGCAACCGCACCCAGCCGATGCAATTACTACCAAATCTGACATACATGAATGCGATGACTTTCTCTGTTTCATTTTCTGGCCCTTCACCATTTGCTGTAGACTGCTGAATCCACTGTTGTACCACAAATAAAACTCATACAAAGGCTTTGTTCTTTGGTAGAGAAATGATATAGGGAACAGGGATTGTGAGGCAGGGAGACCACTGAGAATCTAACAGGTGCAAAATACTGTTAGGTGCTTGCAGAGGTGAAGAGATAAAAATACCCTTTTCCTGTTTTCAAGAGCTCTGGGCTTAGTAGGAGAAAGAGATATGTAAACAGCTAACTCTTATACTAGCAAAAATGTAAGAAGTGCTTTAAGAGAGTTACATGCAAAGAGAAGGGGTTGGAGTGATTAACTGAGCATATGGACACTTCATTCCATGCCCCATAAGCAAAAAAATTAAAGTTCTTCCCAGGTCCTTAAAGAAGGCAAGTGGCTCTAATTCAGTTGTTTAACAAGGGTAAATATAAAGACACTAATCTTCTTGGCTTGCCTTGGAATAGGAAGGTTCGGATGGATCACCGTCTCCTTAAGGCTGCTGCTGCAGCAAGTTACTAGCACTGATTTCCTGCAGCTCTTTTGCTTGCTCTCTCTCCCCCACTTGTCTGCTCCCGTGGAGTTAGAGGCGGGTGTACCACAGCTGGGGGCAATGAAAGCGAGGAACACCAAGAGAGTAGACGTTTGGAACAGCAGCCCTAGGGCACCCAGGAAATATTTTTCCCCACATGTGGTCCTTTCAAATTCCCTGTACTATAGACACTACTTTGATTTAAAATGCAGTTTGCTTTTTTTCTTGCCTTCCCTGTTTGTTCAATGTGTTTTTGCCCCTGATTTCTATTTCTCTGTATACATATTTTTTTCATTGATGACTTTTTAGTGTGAATTTGTTTCAATAAGAAGTTTCTTTCTGCTTCCCCTTTTCCCATCATTCAGCAAATTATATTAACAGATTTTTTAGGGATTTTAGATACCACTACCACCTCTCCCTCCAATACGCTGTTCTCAGCCTCTTATTAGCACATTATCTCTTTACTCTGCTAATTAAACATCTGGATGCGCTGAAAAGCTGGCAAAAATATCAGGCTGATTAAGAGAGTTCTCTGATGTCTGGAATTGGTGCATAATGCACTAAACAATGAAAAACTGCTTTTCAAATGGGCAGTCACTTTTACATTTTTATTGAATACTGAATTTGTTATTGAGCTAATATATGTGGAAGTATCCAGTGTCATGCCTGGCAAATATTAACAAATACACTAGTAATAATCACATTGGGCAGTCACAGGTTTCAACCTGTCAACCACAAAATTCCGACTTATTTTTGAAAATAAATAGATTTTAAATAAATATTAATGCCAAAAACGATCTTAAAAAAAAACTAAAAAAATCTAAACATAGAACCAATTCATAATTGGGACTCACATTCTCATCTAGTAATGTTCTATACATTCCAAGCTAATGTTTCATATTTAATCATTGCCTATTATGTAGGGCTGACCCTTTAAGACCTCTGTTTTCTGAGACATCAGCAAGGCTCCTGTTGAGTCTAGAAAGACCTCAGGCAAGCCGATCAATAATGGCATGCAAACCCCGTATTATAATTTGTAGGTAAGTCCAGCACACGGGCAAAGATGAACTTACCAATTATCACATTGACTAACACCCCATATAGTACGTCTAGACTGTTGCAAAGAAGTGCAAATGACAATCACACTGAATATGTGCCTTGTTTTTTGGCTATTAACAGTTTTTTTTTTTTTTTCTAATTGTTCAGAATTGGAAGCTGTGGCACCCTACTGACAGCCAAGCTCAGCGTCGTCAGATATGGGCATGTCAAATATTAACTGATTTTTACTTTTAGGGCCTGTTCTCTTCAAAGGAATAAAAATACTAGGTAGCTAAAAAAGAGGGAGGTTACACTGACTTGAAGGACTATCTATGGCATTCATTGATCCTAGCTTTGCCAACCAGTTTGGGACTTTGCCAGTTGGCTCAATTGGTGTTGATGAAGCACTGGTTTCTTTGCTGCGTGATCAAGTCATCACTAGTAAACTTATGCCTACTAATTGTATGCCCTTGGCTGAAAGGGGAAATGGATGAAGGAATATGAGTGATACAGAGGAAACCCATACTTTCTAATCCTGAAAATGAATTTACAAATATATATCCTTTAGAGACAGCACTTGTATTATCACCTTGATAATAATGGGTGGTTAATTCATGGTAGGTTATACAAAAGGATTTGAAAACACGTACAGATTAGTTAATATTTGCCAGGCACTAGGTACATCCACGTATATTATCTCAACAAATCCCTTCAACAAGCCTGTTAGGTTGATATTCTCATCCCTATATTACAAACAAAGAAGGGGAGGCTAAATGTAGTTGCAGTGGGAAGTAACCTGGGAGTCATATGAACACCTAGTGTTATGCATGCAAATCACACATTCACATCATCATCTAAACAGTGTGTATTACTAGTACTGATCTAGGCTGTAGGACTTCCAAGTGCATGACTATACATAGGTATTTAGAGCACATGAAGTGGTTAAGGTAAAAAACAAAACAAAAGAAAACAAAAACAGACTACTTTGGCTCTATTTTTTTTTTTTTTTGAGACGGACTTTTGCTCTGTCGCCCAGGCTGGAGTGCAGTGGCGTGATCTCTGCTCACTGCAACCTCTGTGTCCTGGGTTCAAGTGATTCTCCTGCCTCAGCCTCCCGAGTACCTGGGATTACAGGCACCTGCCACCATGCCCAGCTAACTTTTTGTATTTTTAGTAGAGATGGGGCTTCACCATGTTGGCCAGGCTGGTCTCAAACTCCTGGCCTCAGGTGATCAAACTGCCTTGGCCTCCCAAACTGTTGGGATTACAGGCGTAAGCCACCGGGCCAGCCCTGCTTTGGCTCTAAGCTTAACGTTGCCACTTACAATCTGTAGAATCCTAGACAAGTCAGTTCCTCATTTGTAAGATGTAAATAACAATAATACTCACTCTATAAGTTGTTGTAAGTATCACATGCTATAATAAAGATGAGATTGGGTGCACTCAGGGTGGTATAGCCATAGACTGGAGAACATTAGGCTAAGTGAAATAAGTCAGTCATAGAAGGGAAAATACTCCATGATTGCTCTTATATGAGGCATCTAAGATAGTCAAACATATAGAAGTAGACAACCGCATGGTGGTTACTTGGGGATTGGTTATGGGGATATGAGGAGTTGTTTAATGGGTATAAAGTCACAGTTATAAGATGAGCAAGTTCTCGTACAACATAGTACTTATAGTTAATAATGAGGTATTGTGCAGTTAACAATTTTTTAAGAGGGTAGACCTCATGTTAAGTGTTCTTAACACACACACACCCACACACACACACACACACACACACATACACACACACTCCACCCCAGAACAAAGGGACAAGAAGAAAACCGTTGGATGTAATGGATATGTTTATTACCTTGTTTGTGGTGATGGTAACATGAGTTTATACATATGTGTAAACTGACCAAATTATTTACATTTATTATGTTCAGGTTTTGTACACCATTTATACCTCAATAAAGCTGGAAAGGTAATCATAATAAGCTTACTATCTAGTACATAACCAGCACTTGATAAATGTTAGCTGTTGTTATTATATCAAATTCTAAAACATACAGACTGCAAAGAATCTAAGGATAGAGTCTTAGGGGTAGATGTCAATGGTTTGCAATGGCAGCTTAAAGCATTCAACCCCTTTTATTGAAGTTGCCTTATCACTGGCCAGAGGGTAATTGATTTCTGTGTAGCACGTTCCAGTTGTTGGAATGTGTTCATTTTATGAACTATGCTTGGTTAGGTTGTCAGGTAGGTAGGATCTTATGTGACTCTGAGTAGACAAACACTAATACTACAGAAACTTTTCATTCATTGGATTTGATTGATTCAGAATTTGTCACCATTTGGACAGGGGTTGGATTTAAGCTTAAGCTTTTCAGCATCTGTAGAACAGTGGGTCTGCTGAGCAAATTAATAGTGAAAATAAAATGGAAGGGCTGATCATTCCAATGACTCAGTAAAGCAAAGTCTTCTTAGGCATTTTAGAAAGCCATAAGCAATGAACTAACTATAAATCATTCATAACTCTTTACTAAAGCAGGCCTCCTACTAGGCACTCCTGTTAGCTTAGTTGTTGCCCTTACATGTATTGAAGGTAATAGGACTGTATTTCCTCTGGAAATAGTCTATAATTCATATTCTTCATTTCTTCAGGCTGATTTTCACCCCTGGATTTACTGTATTAGAAAAAAGAAAGTGAGAGAGACTCAAGTGCACTCAGGATTGGCCTGCCCAAATCATTATTGTTGCTATAACCACATACCATTAAACTTTTCTGGGTTGGGAAAATACGTTGTTTGTATGCCACTAATGTTCATGTCCTCCTGGTGCCTACCTGCCATTGATGGCTTTTCATATCACTTAGAATAAAAGCCTAAGTCTGAACAATGACTTATTACCTCACAGTCTGATTCTTTGCCATCTCCCTCTTACCTCTCAGATCTTACCTCTTCTGATCCACCCAATCTCCTTCCCACTCCTCTGGCTGTTCCTTAATTTCCCAGGCAATGTTATCAGGACGTTTGCACACACTATTCCTATGCCTGGAATGTTCTTCTCCCTGGTATCAACATGGCTTAACCTTCACCTCCTTTGGGTCTTTATTCAAATGTCATCTTCTTAGTGAGATTTTCTCTGGCTACCTTATTTAAAATTTCCCCGTCCTACACTCCCTGTCCTTCCTTTTCCTGCCTTATTTTAATCTTAATTTTTTTAATTTTAAATTTTTGTGGGTACATAGTAGGTGTATATATTTATGGGGTACTTGAGATATTTTGATACAGGCATGCAATGTATAATAATCTCATCATGAAAGATGGGGTATCTATCCCCTCAAGCATTTATCCTTTGTGTTACAAACAATCCAATTATACTATTTTAGGTATTTTAAAATGCACAATTAAATTATTGACTGTAGTCACCCTGTTGTGCTATCAAATAGTATGTCTTGGCCAGGTGTGGTGGCTCACGCCTGTAATCTCAGCACTTTGGGAGACTGAGGGGGGGGGTGGATCACCTGAGGTCAGGAGTTCGAGACCAGCCTGGCCTATATGATGAAACCCTGTCTCTACTAAAAATACAATAATTAGCCGGGCGTGGTGGTGGGCATCTGTAATCCCAGCTACTCGGGAGACTGAGGCAGGAGAATCACTTGAACCCAGGAGGCAGAGGTTGCAGTGAGCTGAGATAGCACCATTGCACTCCAGCCTGGGCAACAAGAGTGAAACTCCATCTCAAAAAAAAAAAAAAAGTAGGTCTTATTCATTCTTTCTAACTATCTTTTTGCACCATTAACCATCTCCAATTCCCCTTTAAATCCCCATTACCCTTGCCAGCCTTTGGTAACCATCTTGCCTTTAAAAAAAAAAAAAAAAAAAAACAAATTTTCTTCATCACATTTACCACCTTCTATCATAATATGTATTTTTAAAATTTGGTTTAATTTCTGCCTCTTGTAACTAGAATATAAGCTTTATGGAAGCATGAATTTTATCTTTTTTATGCATTGCTATTTCCTCAATGACTAGAACAGTACCTGGCTTAAAGTAAGCATTCAAGGCCCAGCACGGTGGCTTACGCCTGTAATCCCAGCACTTTGGGAGGCCGAGGCAGGCAGATCACTTGATGTCAGGAGTTTGAGACAAGCCTGGCCAACATGGTGAAAACCCATTTCTACTAAAAATACAAAAATTAGCTGGGGGGTGAGGGTGGCATGCACCTATAGTTACAGCTACTTGGGAGGCTCAGGCAGGAGAATAGCTTGAAACCAGGAGGTGGAGGTTGCAGTGAGCCGAGATTGCACCACTGCACTCAAGTCTGGGTGACAGAGCGAGACTCCATCCTCCCCCCCAAAAAATGAACATTCATTATATATTTGAATAATGAATAAATGGATGCCATAAAAGTCCTATTTCTATGACATTTGTAAATGTGCCCAGAGATTAACAAATGTCCAACTAATATATCAAATTGTTATTAACAGATTCTTCATTGATAACACACTTTTATTGCCCACTTTAAATGACTGTATTTCAACTCTTTTCTCATTCATTTTCATCACTGCAAAGTAGACAGATATCAAGTATCAGTAGCCTTAGTTGGTAGATAATGTGATGGGCCCAGTCATACAGTGGTGAACAGTTACAGAGTTGAGATTTTCTACTTTGCAGTTGCATCTGGAGGCACTTGGGCAGTTTAGGCTCTTATAACTAAGTGATGATCCATTAATAAATGGGTTGCTTCAAAATTAAAGGGGTATGGTGAGAAAAGAATAATTAGAAATATGCTTTCTGATGCCAAGTCTTTTGTCTCCAACCAAATCTCAAAAGTAAATGTGAAGATGTCTGCCTCTTAAATAGAGTAAATGTTATAAATTCATTGTTCCTTCTCTTTCATTTTCCTATTTATTAAACACTGAAGCATGCTGGTGCCATTCTAAACATGAGGCTCATTGATCCATGAGCTTGTATGTGTTCATAACTCACCCATGGTGCTGTTTTCTGGATCTAGAAACACTACATCATAAAAGAGGCTTGCAAATAGCTATTGCTCTTAATGAATGGTGACTTGTTATGAAGAATGATTCCTGGAAGATCATTCTCTTTTAGGCAATTAACTTATTGATTTTACCAATGAATATGAATATAGACCACTGGAAGAGTTTATACCAGAGAAGCTTGGACAAACGTGATAAATACTTAAAAGATCAGAGAAAAAAAGGCTGTTTGGATTAAACACTCTTACTCTACATTTTTTGAGCCTCCTTGAAAATATTTCCACAATATCAGAGACCACTTTCCTTCCTCCATAAGTCGAGTGAATGAAATGGAATCTTTGTATGGTAACTGAAGATCTTGTAAAACTCACAATGTTCTGTATGATCTGGCCCCTGACTACTTTTCTATACTAATCTCTTCCTGACTCATGTTCCAGCCACAAAGACATGCCTTTTACTTTAGAGCCTAGTACATTTCCACCTCAGGGCATATATACATGCTGTTTCCTCTGTCTGGAACGTTTTTCCCCTGACTCATGTGAGGCCTCTCTCACCACCCAGACTAGGTCAGGTCCCCATGCACATTTATAGAATTACACAATTTTAAAATTATAAAATTTTTCTAGCACTCTTCACAGTTGTAAATATATAGCTATGAGGGATCTTCAAAAAGTTCTTGGAAAATGTGTATCATGAGAAAACTATGCAAGGAGTTCAAATTTTTTTTCCACTAAAATAAAGTCATACTAACTTGTTGTAACACATCTGAACAGGATCTAGTTTGAGGCACTAAGAAGGATAAGGCATCATTTTGAAAAGAGTCCCTGTCAGAGCAACATGAATTTTGCTGAAATTGAAGCAAGAACAAACATCAAATTTACGATGAAACTTGGGTGGAAGAATGATGACATCACTGATACTTTATGAAAAGTTAATGGGGACAATGCCCCAAAGAAATCAGCAGTTCACAAATAGATAACTCATTATAAGAAGAGACAAGATGATGCTGAAGATGAAGCCTGCAGCAGCAGGTCATCCACATCAATTTGTGAGGAAAAATTAATCTTGTTTGTGCTCTAATTGAAGAGGATCGATGATGAACAGCAGTAGCAGTTCCGACACCACAGACATCTCAATTGGTTCAGCTTACACAATTCTGACTGAAAAATTAAAGTCAAGCAAATTTTCCACTTGATGAGTACAAAACTGTTACTCCCAGATCAGCAGCAGACAAAAGCAGAGCTTTCAATGGAAATTTTAAATAAATGGGATGAAGATCCCGAAGCATTTTGTTGAAGAATTGTAATAGGAGATGAAATGTGGCTTTACCAGTATGACTCCGAAGACAAAATACAATCAAAACAATGGCTACAAAGAGGTGGACGAGGTCCAGTCAAAGCAAGAATGGACTGGTCAACAGCAGTGGTTATCCCAGCACTTTGGGAGGCTGAGGCAGGCAGATCACTTGATGTCAGGAGTTCGAGATCAGCCTGTCCAACATGGTGAAAACCCATCTCTACTAAAAATACAAAAATTAGTCGGAGGGGCGGGGGTGGCATGCACCTATAGTTCCAGCTACTTGGGAGGCTCAGGCAGGAGAATAGCTTGAACCCAGGAGGCAACAGTTGTTTGGGGTCCTCAAGGCATTTTGTTTGTTGTCTTTTTGGAGGGCCAAAGAACGATAATATCTGCTTATTACGAGAGTGTTTTGAGAAAGTTAGCCAAGGGTTTAGCAGAAAAACACCCAGGAAAGCTTCACCAGAGAGTCCTAATCCACCATGACAATGCTCCTGCTCATTCCTCTCATTAAACAAGGGCAATTTGCAAGAGTTTCAATGGGAAATCATTACGCATTTACCTTACTTACAGTTCTGATTTGCCTCTTTCTAATTTTTTTTTGTTTCCTAATCTTAAAAAATCTTTAAAGGGTACCCATTTTTCTTCAGTTAACAATGTAAAGAAGACTGGTTAAGTTCCCAGGACCCTCAGTTATATCAGGATGGACTCATCCCTTACAAAATTGTCTTGAACTTGATGTAGAAGTAAAGTTTATATTTTTGTTGAGAAATAAAGTTTATATTTTAAAATATTTATATTTCAAGTCTCCCTTTCCATGAGCTTTTTGAAGTCCCTCATATTTGTGTGGATTATTTAATATCTACCTGCCTTGCTAGACCATAAGCTCCATGAAGGCAGAAACTTGTATTGTTTATCATTTTCTCTCCAGTGTCAAGCACAATAGTTAGCAAGAAGTAGTAATGAATTAATGGAAAACCAGGTACTTAATGTGAAATGTTTGGCCTAAAGGTAACATTTGAGTGAAACATTTGGATCATCACTATCCAATATAACTTCTCCTAAAGCTAGGAATGTTCTAGTACTGTGCTGTCTAGTACAGTAGCTACTAGTCTCATGTGGCTACTGAGCACTTGAGATGTGACTAGTGCAGTTGAGATCCTGAATTTTTTTATGTTATTTAAGTTAAATTTAAATACTCACATGTGGCCAGTGGCTACCATACTAGACAGTGTAGATTTTGATGTCTGCAAATATTTAGATATTGGATGGTCTACACATTTAGCTAAACATTATAAAAAAGTTTTACATTTTTACTAAGTCAAATTTATTGTTTTTTTTTCCTATTATGGTTTCTTTTTATGTTTACAAAGTGCTTTCTCATTGTAAGATCTATCACCACTTTTTTTTTTGAATTGTTTGTTTTCTTTTACTTTTAACTCATTAATCCAGTTGAAGTGTTTTTATTTATCTTATTCTTTAGGTATATGGTATGAATTAAAAAATCTAAGGCATTTTTCTTAAGAGTTGTCACAGTTCCGTTTATTTAATAATGCTTATTTTACCCCATTGATTTTTGATGCCAGTTTTATAATATACTAAATTTTGTACTTGGGTGTGTTCTAGAGCTTTTATTCAGTTGCATTAATCTGTCTATTCTCACATCAGTGCCACTTTGCTTTAATTATCATAGCTTTCAAATATGCCTTAATGTCTGATAGTTCTATCTTTCACTATTGTTTGTTTTAGCTATTCTGACTCAGTTAATATAATGTCCAAACTTTTTTTCTGATGTTAATTCATATGTGCATGTAATGTATGGTGATCATATGTAACCAACTCCAAATTAGGACACATGATTAACAAATGAAAATGTGGTCACCATAGTAAGTTTTTTCCTCCAAGTATAGGGTTGTGCATGTGGTAGGTGCTTCTTGATTAAAGAGATGAATGAGGTCAAGACATTTCATAGGTTTGTGACTTCTATAGTAATTAGTTCTTGTATATACAATACATAAGATAGCTTTCCTTTTTTGCACTTAAGAAAAAACATCCAAAGGTTATTTTTTCTCTGTTCTGTTTTTACTGTTCAAGGAGCTTTTAGGTAGTTTCTGGACCAGCGGTGTCACCCACATATTCAATGCAGCCCAATTAGTTACTGAGAATCACAATGCATTGAATCAGAGGGTAACTAAAGTCAAAGCTTCAGGAAGTAGCAGCAATACTAATGAGTATTCAAAGCTGATTAGAATGCAAAAAAATTCCACCATTCTTTAAGTATCAGTTATAATATGGAGTAATCAGGTAGCAGCTACTTGAAGCAAATGCTTGAAAGTGATTTTTTTTGATTGGGAAGATTTCTTAAGAATTACATTTTTAAAATTAGAACTACTTTTTCCCAAAACGGTTCAATTGGTGCTTTCTAATGTAATTAAAACACACACATATACACACATGCACAAACAAGTAGACTAATATTAATATTAAGCAAATATTAATAATTAGTCATATTTAACTAAATGAAACCAGCCATTATGGATAGCTGGAAAGCTGAGACTACCAAATGAAGGGCATTTAATATATTCTCAGGGGTAATATTTGAACAGTATAAAAATGAAATTATTGGTTTAAAATCTTAGTCATGGGGCTTTCAGAGTTTATTCAATCTATCTTTCCATCTCAAAGTAGAACTGAATCTATATTTATCATCAATATCATCTTAATCCTACTATAGGGAAAAATGGTAATCGGAAATCTCAAGGAGCTTTCCCCCCGTTCCCTAAAGAGACGATCATAAAAATATACTGAGCTCATATTAAGGTCTTTGATTTTTAATTTGCATATAGATACATAGTTTTAAGGAATGTTCACAGGTCAATACACGTTCAGTGAAATCTTCTATGTCTTCTGAATCTACATAGACCACAGGCATTGAGAATTGATAATTCATTAATTCATTAATATTTAATTGATCCATTCTTTAAACATTTTGGCTGCCTTGAGATGACCTTGAGGCCATAAAAAATGGTGATAATTAAATATTCAATTATTTTTATTACTTTACTAAGGCAGGAAACATTGGCTCAACCTTAACTGAGCCAGAAATTATAATTGCATAGGTTGTTAATGTGTTTTCTGAGCATAACATTTTAATCAATACATAACTGAGAAATTCCTATTATTATACCAAATCCTTTTTAGAATGAAGCAGACTACCTAGGTTTATATCCAGGACCTATCATTTGCTTACTATGTGATTTTTAACAACTTACTTGACTTCTCTGTGTCTCAGTTTCCTAATTTGTAAAGTAGTGTTAATGGTAGTTCCTGGCCAGGTGCAGTGGCTCACACCTGAAATCCCAGCACTTTCAGAGGCTGAGGCAGACAGATTGCTTGAGCCCAGGAGTTTGAGACGGGCCTGGGCAACATGGTGAAATCCTGTTTCTATTAAAATTATAGAAATTAGCCAGGAGTGGTGGTGTGTGCCTGTAGTCCCAGCTACTCAGGAGGCTAAGGCAGAAGGATTACCTGAGCTCCAGAGGCAGAGGTTGCAGTGAGCTGAGATTGTGCCACTACACTCCAGAATGGGAGACAGAACAAGACCCTGTCTCAAAAAGAAAAAAAAATGTTCCTACATAATGGGGATTAAATGAAATAATTCACATAAGGGGCTCAGCACAGTGCCTGGCACATAGTAAATCCTGAATACAAGTGAGATACTATTATTTTCAACATATTGGGAATATAACTATGGGCAATGGGTCATGCTTAACATGCAACAAGAAAACCATATACAGAATATAATTAGGTGTTTGATTGTATAGTGCATATTATCAACACCATGGGTAATTGAGGAGGTGGATGTCAGAAGTTTCATGGGAGATATGGTTTAAGTTGAGACTTAAATTATGGACAGAGAACAATGGGTGGAGAAGACATGAAGATGTGCCAGGTAAAAGGTATATAATGAAAAAGACAAGAAGGAAAGTGAAGATGAGTCTTAGAGGGCCATAAAAATAAACTAAATAGTTTATCAGTGGATCATTAGATTGAAAACTTCACTCCGGTTTCCAAAACAAGGTTTTCAAGTTATATGGGTAGTAAACAGTCTCTTCAGAAAATAGTCTCTTCTATTTGTGTGTGTGTGTGTGTGTGTGTGTGTGTGTGTGTGTGTGTGTATGTGTGGTGTAGTTTACTATCTTTCAAGTGGCTCACTTGAACTATCTCATTTAATACTTATTACAACCCTATTAGACAGTGTGTGTCTAATTATTCAACCTATCCTTCTGTCTCAAAGTAGAACTGAATCTATATTTATCATCAATATCATCTTAATTCTACTATAGGGAAAAATGGTAATATCATTTAATATCATCAACCCCATTTTAGAAATAAGGAAATGGAAGCACAGAGATATCATAAAACTTGTCCCAAATCATGCAGCTAGTATAAGAGCCAGAGCTAGTATCTGAATCCAGACAGTTTAACTTCAAATCTCTGTGTTCTTAATCACAAAGTTGCCTCCACTTAATTTTGATAAGGTCTTAAAACTTTTAAAGGTTAACTGTTAGCCAGAACAAGTAAAGGAAGAAACTCTTATAATGCAG
Organism: Homo sapiens; assembly: GCF_000001405.40. NCBI lineage: Eukaryota > Metazoa > Chordata > Mammalia > Primates > Hominidae > Homo > Homo sapiens. The sequence continues at coordinate 124,560,664 of NC_000023.11, forward strand.
TTTGGTGCTTAAGCCATGACTGCTACCTTATTAATATAATCCTGCCTCATGTCTGAATTCAAATGACAAGGAATGCAATTGTCTAAGCAGATATAGAAATGTGAAGTGTCAAATTTAATAATATACTTCATTTTAAGCTAATATACAGAAATTCAAACAAAATTTTTTGTTAATTTTATGTTTCCTCGAGTAGAAGGTATGTGGAAAGTGAGGATTTGTTGTTTTAGGCTCACTCAGAGGTGGTTTGGGCAGTTTTGATGTCTGATCATACAGTGTGTTAGATGTTTTGTTGGCTTTCCTAAGAGAAGTGGTAACTCTGAGGTCTTGGAGCCACAGTGGTTTTAAAAAATATCATGCGCAGCTCCTTGATTAAATATTTAAAATTCTACCATAAATTGTCTCGATGCTATGTCCTCTGAAAGGTATAAAGTGCTACTAAAAGGTAGACACACAAGAGGGAGTTCCAAATAACTAACAACAAAGAAAAATATTTTAGCATGTCTAGTGCAAACTATGCTAACATCAAACAACTTGAATAGTGGTATGTTAATTTAATTTGATATGATAAATGCCATGGGTATGGGAGGTAGCATGGTGTAGTAGTTGAGAAAATATGCTCTGAAGTCACATAGCCCTAAATTGGAGACTTGGCTCTGCTACTCTCTAGCTATGTGATTCTGGATAAGTCACTTACTATCCCCACCCAGAGCATTAATTTTCCCATCTACAAGTGGGGAAAATAGTAATACCTATACCTCATAGGGTTATTGTGAGAATTAAATGATACATAACACATGCAAAAAAAATTGGAGTACTGCCTGGTCATAGTAATATTCAATAAGTAATGTCTTCTTAATGTGATTGAGACTAAAAGGTAGCATTACCCTATATAACTCAGTATCATTTATACTAGAGATTCCTAATTTTCACCCTTGGCCAGGTTGATTACCACTGTGCTAGAGGCTGGGCTATTCCTTTCTTACGTGAACATTTTATAAATGACTCACCTCCATCATTGTCCAAGTTATCTCCACAAAGCATTTCCATGACAACATTGCAGCCTGTCCCACTCCAACCCACCTGACACACACAGTGCCAACCATTTTGATCCAGGGTACATCGTCCATTTCCAAAGCAGAGCCCTGGGCAGCCATCTGAAAAGACATCAGAGAGTAACCATCACAGAGACATCAGAATGGGATTGGCCAACAATGATGTATTTGCCTATAGGGAAGCATCTAACCATCTGGGCCCCATTCAGATGAGGTGTTGAATAAATGGAAGAGGAGCTTGCTTGCCTGCAAAACCTTCCCAGGGAACTTGTTATCCCTTACTCTGCAGTGGTTTTCCTTAGAGAGCCAATTAAGCTTTATTAATGCTAACCCCAATTCCCAACCCCTGGTTCATATAGGAAGAAAACTATGGCAGGGGCAAGAATTCTTTTTTTCTTTTCACTAAACATATCTCCTCATCTCAATCAAAACTATACGGATGACACTGTATCTAGTTATGGCCAATATGTTGGGAAAAGATAGCAGTCCCTATGAAGAGAAACTTTCCCTACTACTTCTAGTCTGTGCTGATTTTCCCTTATGATGTATTGCTTCAGGACTTAAGTATGTTGGTATACAGTTCAGACCACACCATTAAGTATTTGTTCATATGGTGCCTTAGAAATGTGCTGTAGTTGCTTTATATTTATTCAGCTTTTCTCTTCAAGATTATTATTCATCTGCGGGCTAACGATTGAAATCTTTACTTCCATGGTATCTCTCTCAAAAGCTTGCATGATATTATGCTTATAACAATAATATTAAATGTTAAATAAGTGTTTATGGAATTAATACATGCCAGATCTAGACTTTCTGAATTATAGAGAACTGGAAAATATCAAGTCAAGAGGAAAGTGTAGCATTTAAATAACTTTTATCCATTGATAAAGCATTAACACTGACAATGGTTCCTCTTTAGACTTTAAATTTCTCAGGGATGCCCTACTCTTTGTACCCGTAGTCTGGAGTTCAGCTCTAGCAAAGGGTAACTTCACATGCGCCACATGCGCAGTGGGCAGATGAATGGAGAAAGCAACTATAATGCTACTGGGTATTTTCCTAGTAGCAACACAGGACCAGACGTGAATTTTACTGGGAATAGCCCAGTCAATATTCATTTCGGTTTCTTTCTTTGAAAGAAAATTCCAAAAGCATAAAGAGCAAAACAAAAAAAAGATTAAAAAATCTGTAGAAGTAACCCAGTGTTCCTTCTAAATAGTTTTCCAAGCAACTATCAACAGACAAGAGGAAGAAAAAATTTAAAAATAAAATGACAGATGGTTGTTAGAAAATATGAAAAGCTTGATGTACGTAATATACTCATGACATGGCATATGATAAACATACATAGGTTTGAGAAGGGAATTTTTGTAGTTCTATTCTAATGGATAGGCAATAGATAATTAAGGTGAAATAAAGAATAATTTGGGACATATTAAACTTCTGAAGCTGAGGTAATGAAAGGCACTAGGATATCTGGCAGAAAAACCCTTGCTGTCTCTGTTAAAGGAAGCTCCTTGGAGGGATGGATGATGGGATACTTCTAGGAGGATAATTCTCCTGCCCCTGTAAGGACTTAGGAGTCCTTGTATATGGACTTGGAGCCATATTGTTATGTTAAAGAGAAAGTTCATCTTCTGAACCAAATTATTTAATAATTATTAAATTATTAAAAATTATTTAATAATTATTAAATTATTAAAAATTATTTAATAATTACCTGTGTAATACACACAGATCCAGACACACACACATACACAGAACTCAATATAAAGACAAGAAAAAGTAGTCCTTAAAACTGCTTATCAGTCCATTCTATACTACGGGAAAAAGTGACTCTTTGATGTTGAAAAAACAAATTACCTTTTAGTGTGACTATTTTAGCATGAAACTGACAACATTATATTTAAATAAGATTGCCAAAAATAAAAACAAACAACACAAATGCCAAAAAACGCTACCCTTTCTTTCTTACATGCATATTTTCTTTTAAAAATATATTTCTGTTATAAAATTAGTGAGAAAAATCTTACCTCGGACAGCATCTAAGTAGTGAGCTAAAAGGGAGGGGAAAAGAGTGATCAAATGAATTTCTGAGAGACTAAAGCTATACAATATGTACTAATGGTTTACCATCTGTTGCCTGGGAGGAGAACAGCAAACTGCGCACTGCTGAAATGCCTGCAGCTCAAAAGTTGGGTACATGGGCCTGTGTAGTTTGTGAATAATATTTTCTGTGAGAACAATATTAATGGCATTTCTGCAAGAAACTCTATTAGGCTTCATAAAAAGTGTCATATTTCATTAGAAGTATAAGAACTGCATTTTCACATTTCAGTAATAACTCCTGTGAAAGAGCACTGGCTTCAACTTCTTATTAGTAATATCTTTAGAAGAGAGTTCTGGAGTAACCACCTATGGTAATCATCACAATATTTAAATCCTCTTATGTAAAGGCAATAAACTTACTGTAGTACAGGAATGTAATTACTTAAGCTACACATCTGAATCTCACCCCTCTCCACCTTTTTAATGAATCTTAAATATTTCCCACAGTTGCAGAACAAGACTTACTGTACCTTTAGTAGAGAAGTAATGCAGTTTATGAAGATTATATGTTATATGTATTATATATATTATACATTACTTTGGCAAGCTCCAACCATTATAACAAAATACTTTCACCTAAAAATGAAAGCTGTAGTATAGTCTAGTGAGGGAAAAGCCTACAAACAATAAATTGGGTATCCAGAGGCCCACATTTGCCTTTGCTCTGCATGAATTTTCTGTGTAGTCAAGGAATGCCACTGGAACACTCTGTGACCCCCTTTCTTTAGCTGAACAATGGGAATCATACTTGTTACTCTGTATTAATGACAACCTTTCTATGCAAAGATTTCTTGCATAGAAACCTTAGCGGTGGATAGAAATATATGTTAAGGGCTTTGCTTTTTTTCAGAAAAAGAAAGTGTTTTATAACTGAAATATTTATTTTTAATATCTTTTATAGTGTGAAGATCACATGATAAATTAATTATTACATAGGCTTTTCCATATTCACAGATCATTTTCCCTTTGTGAAATTAGCAATAAGGGGTGAAGGGAGAGTGGTGGCTTCAGGACCAACTCTCTACACTACCGGATAAACAATTCAACACACATGTTCTATTGATGATAGGTCAGAAGTGCCTTCCTCATATACATTAAAGACAGCCTCTAATGATATCGAATGGCCCCTGTTAAAGTAGTCCCATTTAATGAAATTGCCTCTAAGTGCTTTCAACTGAAACAACCTATACTTTTCAAAAGGAAAAATGGGCAGAGAATGTTACCTTCACTACAAAAGCACTTTTCTTATTAACTAATGACACCTTATTCCAATGTAACATCTTTCACTTGAGTAACTCAAAGCACTTGAAAGCAGAAAACATAAGGAATACTGAAGTAATAAGAAAGGAAATAACACAAGAAATACGTAGAATGTCATCGACAAAAGAAGAAACCTACCAGTTCACAAAACTTTAAAACTTGTAACCAACCCTCCTTCTCCTCCCCTACTCCAACCTCAAATTCTACTAAATGCCTTGTGATTGACTCACTAGACTGCTCTTAACTTCAACTAATCCAACTTACTTTGGTTAAAGTATGGTGGTACTTACCAATTGTGCAGTGGTCGCCCTCCCATCCAGGGCTACACTCACATTTTCCATCTTTGCATTGGCCATGCTCAGTACAATGAGAATGACAGGAGCGTTCCTCACATGTTGGTCCTACCCAGCCTTCTTCACACTGGCAAATTCCTCTTGAGCAGACTCCATGGCTACCACACTCCATGGTACACAGCTCTGTGGGGAATTCAAAGAAGACATATTAACATATTTTGTTAAAACCAGCATCCATTCTTCCAAAAAACATTATAATTACCAAAAATCCCTGTCTATATTTATATTTTATTTATTTATTATTTTAATAGAGATGGGGTCTTGCTGGGTTAACCAGGCTGGTCTTGAACTTCTGGCCTCAAGTGATCCTCCCATCTTGGCTTCCCAAAGTGCTGGGATTACAGATGTGAGCCACCATGCCCTGCCCATACTTATATTTTAAACAAAATGTTAATAAACAATTTATATAAACAAGATGTCACAAAGATCTCTAGCATCTGAATGAATGTGCAAGAAACTCTAAAAAGAGGTAGTTAAGTCTCTAAGAATAATATAAAACTCTAAGCCAAACTGATTCTGAGAAGTCTATAAAATGATAATGGCATTCAAGGCTTAGAAATGAGATTAATGACAAACAAATGCCAAGTGGGTTTCACTAAAAATTCATTAAGATCACAGATAATGTTGCAGGAATTTTATGATAGTATAAGGTATCACTGGGGGAAAAATCCCAATAAAACAGTGCCCTAACTTCATTCAGAAAGACAAGTTCATTAATTGGAAAGATAATAACTTTCTAATAAAATTCATAATATACAAAAGGTAAAGATGCCAATGATGACAACCAGCTGGTTTCCCTGATCATACTAACAATATTTGCATTTATTTTAAGCATATAAAATTAACCCTGGTTGATTAAAGTACACATCCTTCTTATCTTCAAATGCTACTAAGTATTTAGACAGTATAATAATGATGATGTGTACTGGCTCTGCTGAGTTTCTTTCCTTTGTCCCTTTGACTTTTTGTTGAGAAATGCTGAATATTAATAAAGTCATGACAGTAGATAAACCAACATAAAAGCATGGCAAGCCTCTTTCGTGATCTAATTCCCTTGCTGGAGGAAGAGAAGTAGGATAAAAACCTACGGAAAGAATGAAATATGTTTTGGGAACAATAGGCCACATATTCCTGAAAGGAAAAGAGGGTGTTCTGGAAGCCAGGTTGTCTCTTTCACAGTCTCAAATTCTGAAACTAGTTTAATATATTTAGAGGCATTGATATTAATATTCTCCACAGATAGCAGAGTTATTTTTCAGTAGATGACAATATTCTTCTGATAAAGCCATGATTATGAGTTTTATTATAATCTGGATCAATTTGTTCATGGGTTTACTCACAAGTATTCTTTGAAGGTCAGGGTATGATGGGAAGAGTAGTAAATTTGAAATAAAGATAACTGCATCCTTGATTCCTCTGCTTAGTACCTATGGACCCTTAGGCAACTTACTAACATATTGTCTTAATCTCTGTTTGCGTAAGAATGCAATAGAAGTAATAATACTTATACATCACAAAGCTGTTGGACAGATTTGAAATATAGTTTAGAGATGTAACCAACAGGACTTGCTCAAAATTGGATATAAGGGATGAAGGAAAGGGAAAAATAAAAGTTTGGCTTAAACAAGTGGATAGATAAAGCTGTCATTAATGAAATGGGAAAGGCTAAGGGAAAAATAAGGGTGGAAGATCAAAAAGATTAACCCTAAGATATATGTAAAAAGCCAAGTGAAAATGTCAGTGCAACCAGCAGAATATATGATTCTGACAGGCCAGGACTGGAGATATAAAATTGGCCATCATTAGCATATAGGTGGTATTTAAAGGCATGGAAATAACTGGTTGATACCTCTAAACAGGGAATAGAAGAGCCCTGAAGAAAGATCAGGTAGAAAAAAAGAGGAACCATCAAAGGAAACTGGGATGGAGATGGCAGTGAGTGATAGGAAGAAATCCAGGAGATTGTGGTGTAACTAAAGCACAAGAGGACACTTTTCAATAAAGGAGTGTTTAACTACATCTAATATTGCTGAGAGGTCAAGTAAGGCACGGGCAGAGAAGTGCCCATTGGATTTATCAACATGGAATTCGTTGATGACTTTAGGAAGAGCTGTACTGATAAAGGTGTAGTTGAAAAGCCAAATTGGAATGGGTGGAAAAGTGAATGGAAAGCTGTGCAGGGACTCATCAGGTTGTGAGAAAAGTCTAGGGCATAGAAAAACGTATCTTAAAAACGTGGGCCTTGGCTTAAAAAGTGGTAGCTCAGGTAGAATTATCCCAAAAGAACCCCTGGTCCCGAATCTTGGTCTGAATCTCTGATAATTTGTATTTATAACTTCAGTCCTTGTAGTAAGGCTGATATTATCATTCTGTTCCCCTTCACGGCCTCCTCCCAAGACATTAAAAACTGAACTGAAAGGGCCTTTATAAGATTAGGTGCTAATTGGTTAAAGCTAATCAAGTCAGCTCTGCCTAGAATAGTTAGAAGCAAACATTTTTCATATATTGCTTTGTACAACTATAAATCTTAGGCATAGAGGAGTATAACATTCTGATTTCTGTTTGAAAAGTAATAGGACTAGATGAACAGTATTGGCCAAATAGCAGAGTAGGCTATTTTCAAACTATCTCTATATAAACCATTAGAAATGTTGGATATAATGTAACAATTTTTTAAATTGCATGTCTTGGCTCACAAAAAAAGAGAAATCTTCAAGTGCCAGAAGCAAAGAGGATGCTAAAAGCCAAAGCAGTCAATCCTCTGGTAGCCTTGAGAGTTATTATACCCAATTACGACTAGGGGCTTGGGTACTTAAGTCCACAAGGAAAAAAGAGATGAGGTCTTGGCACCATTTCAGATGGAGTTGGACTAAATCTCCAGCATAAAGTTGGAGCCACTTGAAAGGCTGCAATCACAGTAAGATGGTGAGTAATAAACTGTACCCACTAGCCCAGAGAGATGACAAAGAAGTACTGACTATTGAGTATAAAATAATAATAATAAAAAATCTGGAGCTAGGAAACAATGTAGAAATAAAATACTATCGTTTAATAATATGTAAGATGGAGTGTCCTGAATGAAATATTTGGAAAGCCTTATATTATTCGGGAGTTAGGTAACTGGTACTTTGTCAAGTATGCATATGAAAACATAAAGGTGGAATTCTGTTTCTAGTAATAGGGACCTAAGTAATTTTTACTATTCCCTTCTGATGAGAACTAGAAAATCTAAACAAAATATATTTTTAAATCTTTTGGGAGTTAGTGGAGTTCACAAAACAGTAAAGAATTACTGTGCCAAGTTCCAGAAGAAAAAGAAAACCCAGAGAGAAGAGCCTGACATTTATGGATGCTTTTCCTATAGCAGCATCTGTCAATTATACTAGAGGGAGCTAGAAGGCTCAGAGGCTGAGTAGAGCTTTTTCAGTCTCATGGAATCAGAAAAAAAAATTGAATTGATAATGGCTAATACATTTCTAACATTGGCCAGGCACATTGGCATACACCTGTAATCCCAGCACTTTGGAAGGGTGAGGTGGGCAGGTCACTTGAGCGCAGGAGTTTGAGAACAGCCTGTGCAACATAGTGAGACTCCATCTCTACAAAAAATACAAAAAATAGCTGGGTGTGGTGGCATGTGCCTACAGCTACTCAAGAAGTTGAGGTGGGAGGATTGCTTGAGCCCAGGAGGTCGAGGCTGCAGTGAGCCATGTTCATGCCACTGCACTCTAGCCTGGGCAACAGAGTGAGGCCCTGTCTCAAACAAACAAACAAACAAACAAAACCCAACACTGAAGAAAGCAGTAAGCCAAATAAATGAAGCAAAATTGAAAGAAGAAGAAAGGGAAAAGGACAAATTCACAATCATAGTCAGAGACTTTACAGCCCCCCTCTCACACCAACTGATAGAGCAAGCAAACAAATCAGAAAGAATATGAAATATTTGAGCAACATGGTTAACAGATTTGATCTAATTGATACATACAAAACACTGCCATAAATGACTACAAAATACACATAATGTATTTCAAATGTATATAGAACATTTACAAATATTGACCACGTGCTAGGCTCTAAAGCAAGTCTTGATATATTTAGAAGTATTGAAATCATACATAGGATATTTTAAGCCCAGTATGAAATTAAATTTGAAATTTGTAATAGCAGATGAATCTAAGATCCATACATGCTTGGAAATCAAGAAATATACTTTCAAATAAAACATTAAACGAATAAGACATCATCATGAAAATTAGAAAAGAGATGGAAATGAATGAAAATGTGTAATATAACTAAATCCATGTGTACAGAAAAATTTATAAGGTAGAAAGAAAAACGAGCTGAAAAACCATGACCTAAGTATCGATTCTTAGAAATCAGAAAAAGAAAACCAATGTATACAAGAAAGTAGAAGGAAGAAAATGCTAATTATAAGAGCTGAAACTAATACAATAGGAATAAATATACTACAGAAAGAATCAACAAAGTCAATACTTGATGATTGGCTCAGACCAATAAAATTGATAAACTCCCGGTGGAGACTGATCAAGATGAAAATACAGAAGACCCAGATAAACAGTATCGGGAATAAAAAGTATGACATTGCTATACATAGTACAAACATAAAACATCCTAAGACAATATTACTAACAGCTTTTTGCCAATACATCTGAAATTTTTTATGAACAAATTTCTAGAATAATACAACTTAATAAACTACAAGAAAAAGTGGAAACTGAATAGTTTCTTTAAAGAAACTTAATCCATAATGGAAAACATTACCACAAAGAAAATTCCAGTCTCAGATGACTTCATTTGTAAATATACCAAACTTTTAAGAAAGAAAAATTGCCAATCTTAAATAAACTTTTCCAAAAAATAGAAAAGAGGAAACTCTTAACAATATGCCTTATGAGGTCAACATAATCCTGATATAAAATTCTGAAGGATATTATTTAAAAAATATATGACAGTCTTTCTCATGAAGATCTCATTCATGGATACAAAAATCCTAAACAAAAATTAACATAGCAAATCTAGCATTACATAACAAGAAATAATATCATGACCAATTTGTGCTTATTCTAGGAATATATTATAAGATTGCTTTCACATTTGAAAATTAACAAATGTAATTCATCACATATATGGAATAAAAGAGAAAAATCAAATTATCATCTCAATAGATACATAATAGGTATTTGATAAAATACTAAACATCCATTTATGATAAAAACTTGTAGCAAACTAAGACTAAAAGGAAATTTTAAGTTAACTTGTAATTAAAAGGAACTTTCAACTTTAATTTTAAAACTAAGACTAAAAGGAACTTTAAATTTGATAAAGAGTAGCTACAACACCCCATAGCAAACACCATAATAGTGAGATGTTAAAATCTTTTTTTGTGTTATTAAGACTGAGAAAAGATGCCTATGATCATCATTTCTACACAATATAATTCTGGAGGTCCTAGCCAATGAAATTATGCAAGAAAAAGGAAACTTGTATAAACACTGAAAAGGAATAAATAAAGTCATCATCACTCAAAGGCAGTACAACTTTAACTTAATGGACATATATAGGACCTCAAAGCTATGACTATACAATACATGTTCTTTCCAAGCACACACAGAATAACCCACAAAAACTGACAAAGATTCATCTACAAAGCAAGACTCAATAAATGCCAAAGATTCCACAGCATATGGATTATTCTGCTTCACAAAATGCAGTAAAATTAGAAATCAATAAACAAAAAGATAACAAAAGAAAAATCCCAGAAAGGTGTTCTTTAAAAACACACTTAAAAAGAATTCATGAATTATGTTTCAAAAATTACATTGGAATTAGAAATTGAGTAACAATGAAATACTATTTACAAAAACTTGTGGGATGCAGCTTAGACAGTAACTTAGAGGAAATTTACAGCCTGAAATGCATGTAGTAGAAAAGAAGAAGAATTGAAATCTAATGAGCAAAGTGTCCAAATCAAGGATTTAGAAAAAGGACTACATATAAGTAGATGAAGGACACAACAAAGCCAAGAGCAGAAGTTAATGAAATTGGAAACAAAGAAACAACAGAGAAGATCAACAAAATCAAAATCTGCATCTTTGAGATGAATATAAAAAATAGAGAAACCCATGGCAAGGTAATAGAGCTAGAAAAAAGGAAAAGAAAGAATACAAATAAACATTAAAGATTAAAATTCAAAAATAAATTAGAGACTGCTATTAACAACTTTATGCAAGTAAGTCTGAAACCTTAGATAAAGTAGATGTTTTTCCAGAAAACAAATGGACGTGAGAAGAAATAGAAAACCTGAGTACACATTAAAAACATTGAAAATTGCCCAGATGGTTTTACAGGTGTATTTTGTCAAATTTTCAAAGGACAGATAATCTCTATTTTAAACTATACCAGAGAACAGGAAAAAAGGGAAACCATCTTGAATCATTTTATAAGAATATAATCTAGTTCCAAAACAGTTCCAAAATAGGGTAAGAAAAGGAGAAAATGATTTTTTTTTTTTTTAAAGGTGGGATGTCTCTATTTTGCCCAGACTGGACTTGAACTCTTGAGCCCAAGTGATTCTTCCACCCCAGCCTCCCAAGTATCTGGGACTGCAGGTGTGTTCCACCTTGTCCAGCTCTAGAACTGATTTCTTAATAGGCCAATCTCACTTATAAACATGGCTGCAAAAATCTTCAAGAAAATATCTGGTAATCAAACCAAAAATGCACACACATACACACACACATGCGTACACCAGTATATAGAAGTCACAGCCAAATAAGCATGAATGCTAGGATGGTTTAACTTTAGAAAAATCTATCAATGTAATTCACCACTGAATTATTCCATTTTACTTTCACACATTTCATAATGATTAAAGAAAAATTATAATTTTATTATTATATGTAGAAAGAGTACCATTTAAAATTTAGTTCCTATTTATGATAGAATCTCCTAGAAAAACATGGCTAAAAGATAGCTTACTGAGTATGGTAAAGGTGATTTACCAAAATCCTATAGTAAGCATCATATTTAGTACAGAAACAGAGTAATATATTCCTTTTAATGTCAGAAGAAGTACTAGAATTAACTACAGCTTCTAACTCAATGTTGTATTGGAAATCTTAGTCAGCACAAAAAGGCAACCAAAGACATAAAAAATTGGAATGCCTGAAAAGGAAGAGGTAAAATTGAACATACAGGTAAACTATGAAAGCTACAAGGTTTCTGGATGTAAAATCAAAAGGAAAAAATCAATAGCATGCCTAGATATTGGGGACAGCAAATTAGAACACGTACTTTTTTTTTCTAAATAAAAGGTTCCATTAAAAATAATAGCACATATAGCAAAAAAAAGGTTCCATACTCCTTTACATAAAATTTTAAAACTTTATTGAAGAACACATAAAAAGACCCAATCAATGGAAAGATATACTGTGTTCATGGCTCACAAGGCTTAATATCATTAGAATGTCAATTTTTCTGTACTAGCTCTATAAATTCAATGTAATTCTGGTAAATATCCCATCATAGAGCTTGAAACATGATCCTAAAATCTATATGAAACAGAAAAGGCCAAGAATATCCAAGAACATTTTGAAGCATACCTATTAATACTAGGGGGTGTGTATGTCTGTCTGAACCTAAATATCCATCAATGGGAAAGGATATATAAATTTTAGTATATTTATGCAGTGCAAAAAATATAGCAGTTAACTTGAATAAGGTAGAGATCCATGCCTGAATATGGATAAACTTTAGAAACATAATGATGAAGGAGGAAAGCAAGTTATTCATATGAAATTTAAACACATGTAGAAAAATACATTTTATGGATATATACATATTTGGAAAAGCCTAAACATGTGTATTGTATGACAATGAATAGACTGAGGATAGTGGTTTCTGCTGCAGAGAAGAGAGGCAGATGGGATCACAAAAGTATACATAGGGACTTTGTTTGTATTTATTAATTTTTAAAGCAAAGTAGTGGGTTTACAGCTGTTCATTATGTTATCTTACATGTCTGAAATATTTCATAATAATTTACAAAAGAAAAAGAGAATCAGTAAAAAACAACTGTCTTTAGAACTGACTGTTCTATTGAATAAATAACTGGAGATATTACTTAACCTAACTCTTACACAATACCCTCCACAGATACAAACCACAACCACGAGTCGGATAGGATTCAGCACAGTAAGAATCCAGGTGGGAAGCAATATCCTCATGAATGAGGGAATCCTCTACAAAATGAATTACTACAAATGGAGAAGCAGATCTTAAGCAATAAGCATTCCTCATTTTGAACTGCATCAACATTTCTGCAATTGCATCCAGTTCCAAATAGAGTTTCTGGACTGATTCTAAGATGTTTTTCAATCCCAATCTTCCTATAATCAGCAGTGGGGTTGGTGTGGGTGAAGAACTAACAGAAAACAGATGCTGGCAATTGTATAATTTATAAACAAGATAGAAATGATATTTGCTCTAATACATTTGTCTCATGAATAGTTCTATTTCCTGTGTAATATTTTCTATCTTGTTGAAAATACATTAACATTACAGGCTACAAAATATGACAAAAGAATGCTAAAATATAAACATTCTTCTGTGCAAATGTATTGGAAAAGAACATGAAAAATATAGGCAGACACTTTAAAGTTCTATTGAGACATTTCATTTTTAATAAGTTTCTTTATGCATGTCAACAATGAACAACACTTGTATAAATTGAACTCAGATACAACTGGAACACTTCTTTGTTGCATGCTGACAAAGAACAATTTGATTAAACAGTAAATCCTTCAGAGCCTCCCTCAGAACCACTTCTCTGAGATTTACTTTTTAGGCAAAAGTTTCTAGTAATGTAAACTCTGTTATTCTTGACCCCTCTGCCTTCTCCAATATTAGATGGTGATCATATTTGGCACCCCAAAAGATTAAATCTGGTTATCAGTTTCTAAAGTATACATTTATGTAAAAATTTCAAGATTAAAATATGGCATTCTAAACAAGGAAAAGACACCTCTGATGTAAAAATTCATAAAAATTAAGAAATTATTACATATTCACTTGCCCAGCATCTGGTAGAATCAATTAAAGATCAGAGTAAATTAGGCTGAAAGGGAAAGCACAGGGAAGAACAGAGAATGAATGAGCCTGAATAGACAGAGACCCTCTCTTTCTTAGACTTTACTGCAATTTTTGTTGGGGAAACTAAACTATGAGGATTTTTCTCATTGTTTTGTATGATTAATATTAGAAATAACAGTAAGAAAAAAAAGTAAGGTTATATTGGCAAGTGTAGGCAGTGCCAGCTCAAGCTGTTTGTTTAAGGGCTGAAAAAAATTTTGGTGTACACCAAAAATTTCACTAAAATCAAGCAATGATTCAACTAATAACAGTAAACATTATTACAAACAAAAGTTTGTGTACTGTGTGTTGTTTCACCAAGTATTTGGATCATTTTCATTTTACTGATTTCAACTCCTTCCATTTCTCAGTAGTAAATATTCTACTAGAAAGTAGGACTACTATAAGTCACTGTTAACTTTATATCAGTAGAACACACGTGCACACATGCATGCACATGCACACATATATACATGCATGCACACACATATTTTTGGTGTCTATTTCTCTAAAAGTAATTAGAAGAACATATTAGTTGATGAGGTATCATATCTGTTTTATTGCATATGGTTAAATTAAATACCATCTCTAACCAATCTTTACAAGTACCTTGCTATGATAAAGATTTGGCTTTACTGTGGGATAAGTATCACGTTTTCTATGCTTGAAGTATAATAGTATCTCCTCATTTTAACACAGAAAACCTATAACATAATACTTGTCCCTCAGCCTCAGCTTTACAATGATGCTTCAATGTATCTTAGTAGTTTTAATACTATCTTAAATCTGAACAATTAAACTGAAGAGATTCAAAATGATACAAAATGTCAGCTAGCTTTAACTGAACAAATAGCAACATACAAGCAGCATAACAACAGCGACACACTCCAGCCTATATAAAACCTTGAGAGGATTCTCAAATTCTTGATGGATAAGAACAAAAATCCCAAGGAATCTAGCATGTGAAGATCAAAAGTTGTAATGACTTTGAGCTTAATGTTTCATGGATCTTGACTGTCACATGGTTTTGGATTTCCTTTATAAAGGAACTGGTTAACTGTTCTTTGGTAGGTCTGAATAACCTGACAAGACAGAAAAATCCATGCCTGACTTACAACTTTTGAATTCGATAAAATAAGTCAGTTGGCCTTTTCACTATACAGAATCTTTCCTTTGGAATAAATCCTGTTTCCTTGCTTGCTAAATAAAATATTCTCCCTAACTCTAGATGTCACATTTTGGTTAGCTTAGTGATCAGAAGCTCAAACTATTGAAGATGAGGTGAACTTCTACTCATTTGTAGCTACAGACTGCAAGAGCATGTTTCAATCCTTTGATTATAAACCTGACACTTTTGCCTATCCAAATAGTATCCTCAAATGCCAAAGAATGTTGAAATCTAGACATTTGCTTATCATTTGACCCATTAGGTACCAGATTGTCAGGGTAAAACCCAACCCTAAAGGAGCAAATATTAACTTTTTTTTTTTGAGACGGAGTCGCACTCTGTCACCCAGGCTGGAGTGCAGTGGTGTGATCTCGACTCACTGCAACCTCCACTTCCTGGGTTCAAGTGATTCTCCTGCCTCAGTCTCCTGAGTAGCTAAGACTACAGGTACACACCACCATACCCAGAAAATTTTTGTATTTTTAGTAGAGACGGGGTTTTGCCATGTTGGCCAGGCCGGTCTCGAACTCCTGATCTCAGGTGATCCACCTGCCTCGGCCTCCCAAAATGCTGGGATTATAGGCATGAGCCACTGTGCCCAGCCCCGCAAATATTAACTTTTAAGGCTCATGATCTGTCATGAGTGGTAGGCCATGGGATTGCTCAGCCATGGCAGAGTTTGTTTTTGGTTTATCTACAGCTTTTCACTTAGACTTTCTTATCATAATTGCCGTCTAGGTGCAGTTTGTGACCACCTAAAAGGGCAAGCTTAACTGCCTCACAGAGGCATGAAATGCATGTCTTAGACATCAGTAAAACAGTGCTCTCACTTATAAAACTATATACACTATATAGTGTATATCATTTATAAAACTACTACTGGAACAATTATACTGCATCTTGTCTAAGAGTGGCTACTTAAGAACTATTTCTTGGTAAGTTAGAAAGCTACTTTTCGTATATAAAGTTTAACATTCTTGGGCATAATTTGGTAAAAATGTTAAAATTGCACCAGGCAGAATTTTTTCTCCCTTTTATGAATGATATTTGACCTGCTTTCCCTTTTTCAGAAAATTCTGACATTAGCTCTCCTCAAAATGAATTTTTGTTAGTCCCCTTAATGCACATCTAAATTACCTACATGGTGTTATTCTAAGGCAATAAGCCTCCCAACTTAGCAAAGAAACTCTACAAACCAAAGATCTTCAAATACACGTCTAAGTCCCCAAGCAAATCTGATAGCATACTTCAGTGGCAAAGCCAAAGCTGTATGCTGGAAGAACACTTCACGAAGACTAAAAGTCTTACTCTAAATGAGAAAGAGCTCACAGACTTGTCTTCCCCATCCCATTCAACACTATTGCTAAGGGCTCACCATGCTTTAGAACGCTAACTCTAACTGGAGTCCACAAGAGAGACGATACTAGCAATCATCAGGCAACCTTTGCAACGGTGGTAGGCTTCTGCATCCTGAATGCAGAAGGTGTGTTCAAGGCATTACAAAGGCATGGAAAGCAGCTTTCTGTCAAAGACCTGGGCAGGGGCTGCATACATATTTACAAAGCTGCCATCATAGCCCAACAGACCATGCACCAACAGTTTATTTTTACCCTTATAAATAAGCATGACAGGGGAGAAAAGAAACGTAAAGAACCCAGAGTCAACAAAATCCTCAGCATGATGAAGAAAAAAGGCATATAAATGTCCTTATATAGTATTTCAATGCATAGTTTAGTGTCATTTAAGACATTTAGTTTTAAAAAAATTTATAGTTTTACTCTATGGCAATCATCAAGGCTCTATGGTTATTAGTGTCATCTGAACTTTAAGACATATATTTTGTCTTAAGACATATGTTTCCTATGAGTCGCCACACCCATTCTTCTAAGGATTAATAATGGAGTAAAGTATTTGACTTTATGTCTATCCTTGTCTTATGCTATCGACATTCTAGTGAGGTTACAATGTACTGTAGGAAAGCTATGAGGAGGTAGTATATCAATCTAGGTACATTTACACGAAGTTAAAGTCCTTGGCTCACTCTCAATTTCACAAATAACATGCATGCTACGCATTTCTACCTGGCTAAGCCACCGGCACCTTTAAACTCAACATGTTTATAACCTACATTTTAATCTCGACTCATGAATCAGTTCTTTATCCTGATTTCACTATTTTTTTTTTTTTTGAGGCAGGGTCTCACTCCGTTGCCCAGGCTGGAGTGCAGTGGCTAGATCATGGCTCACGGTGGCGTTAACCTCTCAGGCTCAAGCAATCCTCCCGCCTCAGCCTCCTGAGCAGCTGGAACTACAGACACATGCCACCATGCCCAGCTAATTAAAAAAAATTTTCTGTAGAGATTGGGTCTCACTATGTTGCCCAGGCTGGTCTTGAACTCCTGGGCTCAAGCAATCTTCCTGCCTTGGCTTCCCAAGTAGCTGGGATTACATGAATGAGCCACCACATCCAGTCTGATTTTACTATTTTTGTTAATATCGTGATAATAGTCCTAGTTTCCAAGGTTAGGATATTTGGCATTACGCTTTCATTTTCCTTTTGCCTTATGCTCATATCCAACTACATCTTTCAGTTCTTCTGTTTTCAACACTTCTTCAATTTCTCTCTCTCTGGAAGGCCAGGATAGCATAGTGATTAAGAGTACGGACTCTAAAGCCTGATTTCCTGGTCTCGAATCCTAGCTCAGAGATCGATTAACTATGGGACCCTGAGCATCTCACTAAATCTTTCTATGCTTTGGTTTCCCATCTATAAAATCGGGTTGGTACAAGGAACAAATGAGTCAATATATGTAAAGTGCTTACATATATTACATATAGTGCTGGGTACATAAGTATTACATAACTGTTAGAAATTATGACTGCCTCTGTTTCCAATACACTTATCTGGCCCTTCACCATCTTTTGTCTTGAGTCTCACAAAAGCCTCCTCATCGGCTTCACAAATGCTCTGTTCTCTTTTTAAACATCCCACATACAACTATAAGCTAGAACAACAGAATCTTAGGGCTTGGGAAAACTTTAAAATTCATCTGGCCAGCCCCTCACTTTGACATACAAACTTCCTACCTTTCCAATATTTTCCCAAAAGTTCAGCTATACGTCACAAAGCCAGTCAATTCTATATTTACGCAGCCATATTAGAAAGTAATTTGTTGATTTGAACTGAAATCTGCTGTCCATCTTCTTTCACCAATTAGATTTATTTGTGTCCTTTAATTCTGCCAAAAATTATCATACTCTCTTTTCTACTGGTCAGCCTCTCAGATCATTGAAGATAGCTATTTAATCTCAATTAAATTTTTCTTCATCTAGCCACCCTTGAGTCCTACAAATGTTGCTCATGTTACATTGTTTGCTTACCCTTAACATATTGGTTACTCTTCTCTGCACAAAGCACAGCTCTGGTCACACACTACATATAAAAATATTTCATAGTTCACCAAAGCACACTGAAGTCCAAAATCCTTAGCCTAGAAATCTAAACTCTCTCTAACCAAGCCCCAATTGTTACTTTTTTGACTTTGGTTTTCACGGTTCTCCAGCTTGCATCCTTTGCTACAGACAAATTTGACTGCTAGCCCTATTCTATTTAGTAGAATCACCTTCTTTTCATGCTTTGGGGCTCTACAATGTTTTCCCTTTCTTTTTCAAGGCCTTTCCCACAGCCTATCTCTACCTGCACAAATGATTTTTCCACTTGAAGCTTGAATGACACCTTCTTCAGGCAACAGTCCATGGTCTAAGATGCTCCAAGGCAGGGATGACCTTCTCCTCTTCTATACTATTATAGAGTTTTGTTTACACATATATTATGATTGTTATTGCATACCATCTTTTATTGTAGTTTTTATACATATGCATTATTCTTCCCACTATATTGTAAGTTGATGAAGGCAGGAACTAGGTCTTAATCCTTTTTTTCTCTTTCACACATTTCTAGCACATAAGCACTCAATAAATATCTGTAGGATTATTTCATGAATTGATTTAACAAACATTTATTGAGTACTCTGCATAGCTCAGGGCAAACTTGAGCTTTATATACTTTGATTAAATAAATTACTGATGAACATAAAAGTATCTGAAATTTTCAGTCTGAGTGACTAGAAAAATGTTGGCATCATTGAGGGAAACCAGGAAGTCAGGATGAGTTATGTTTGGTTTTGGTTGTGTTTAATTCAAGGTGCTGGCAAAAGATGCAGAATGATAGGTATTTGCTAAGCTGGCATATGGATAGGCATTTACTAAGCTAAGATTCTATTATTGGAGCTTACAGTTGTGTGTGGGAAAGCTGCATGCTAGGTGCTAATGTGGATCAAAAAAGAGGCAGGAAAGAGGGTGGTGCTAATTCATCGGCACTTGTCTGAGATTAACATTAAATCAAAGTAACGACATAAAAAATAGTGGCTACAATGTAAGGAAACACTGTCAGTGTCCATTGACAGACAAATGGATAAAGAAAATGTAGTATATATACAATAAAATACTATTCAACCTTAAAAAAGAAGGAGATCCTGCCATTTGCTACACATGTGTGAACCTGGAGGATGTTACGCTAAGTGGAATAAGCCATGTGCTGAAAGGTAAATACTCTATGATCTCACTTATATGTGGAATCTTATATATATATATGTATATATACACATATACATATATACACATACATATAGATATACATGTATATATGTATGTGAATATATACTCATATATGTCTATATACACATGTGTGTGTATATATATGCACACACACATACACACAGAGTTAGGGAATAAAATAGTGGTTATGGAGTGGGGTTGGGGAGAGGAAATGGGAAGATACAGGTTAAAGGACACAAAGTAGCAGATATGCAGGATGAACAAGTCTAGAGATTTAATGTACAACATGAGGACCATAGTTAATATAATTGTACTGTATTAATAATTTTTTATTTTTTATTTCATTAAAAAGTTTTTTTACCTTTTATTTTAGATTCAGGAGGTACACATGCAGGTTTGTTACCTAAGTACATTGCATAATGCCGAGGTTTGGGGTATGAATGATCCTGTAATCCAGGCACTGAGCATACTACCCAACAGCTAGTTTTCAACCCTTCTCCCTCTCTTCCTCCCCCTATAGTAGTTCCCAGTGTCTTTTGTTGCCATCTTTATGTCCCTGAGTATTCAATGTTTGGCTCCCACTTATAAGCAAGAACATGCAGTATTTGGTTTTTCTTTCCTGTGTTAGTTTGCTTAGGATAATGGCCTCCAGTTCCATCCGTGTGGCTACAAAGAACAATACTTAGTTCTTTTTTTTTTTTTTTTTTTTTTGAGGTGGAGTCTTGCTCTGTCACCCAGGCTGGAGTGCAGTGGCACAATCTCAGCTCACTGCAACCTCCACCTCCCGAGTTCCAGGGATTCTCCTGCATCAGTCTCCTGAGTAGCTGGGATTACAGGTGCGTGCCACCACGTCCGGCTAATTTTTTTGTATTTTTAGTAGAGACAGGGTTTCACCATGTTAGGTAGGATGGTCTCCATCTCCTCACCTGGTGATCCACCCACCCCAACCTCCCAAAGTGCTGGGATTACAGGCATGAGCCACTGCACCCGGCCTATTTAGTTCTTTTTTTATGGCTACATAGTATTCCATGGTACATATGTACCACATTTTCTTTATCCAAGCCTCCATTGATAGGCATCTAAGTGATCTCAAGTCTCTGTTACTGTGAGTAGTGCTGTGATGAACATGCAAGTGGATGTGTCTTTTTGGTAGAACAATTTGTTTTCTTTTGTATATATCCCCAGTAATGGGACTGCTTGATTGAATGGTAGTTTTGTTTTAACTTCTTTAAGAAATCTCCAAGTTGCTTTCCACAGTGGTTGAACTAATTTTCACTCCCACCAACAGTGGATAAGTGTTCCTTTTTCTTCACAGCCTCACTAGCATCTGTTATTTTTTTTAACTTTTTCATAGCAGCCATTCTGACTTAGGTGAGATGGTATCTCACTGTGGTTTTGATTTCCATTTCGCTGATGATTAATGATGTGGAGCATTTTTTCATATGTTTGTTGGCTACTTGTATGTCTTCTTTAGAGAAGTGTCTATTCATATCTTTTGCCCTTTTTTTTAAAAAGCATTATTTTATTTTAAGTTCCGGGATGCATGTGTGGGATGCGCAGATTTGTTACATAGGTAAACAGTGCCATGGTGGTTTACTGCACCTATCAACCCATCACCTAGGTATTAAGCCCCACATGCATTAGCTATTTTTCCTGATGATCTCCCTTCCCCACACCCCAATAGTCCCCAGTGTGTGTTGTTCCCCCCCATGTCCATGTGTTCTCATTGTTCAGCTACCACTTATGTATAAGAACATGCAGTATTTGGTTTTCTGTTCCTGTGTTAGTTTGCTGAGGATAATGGCTCCCAACTCCATCCATGCCCCTGCAAAGGACATGATCTCATTCTTTTTTAAGGCTGCATAGTATTCCATGGTGTGTATGTACCATATTTTCTTTATCCAGTCTATCATTAATGTTTTTTGTCAATTTTAATGGGATTATTTGTTTTTTCCTTGTTCAATTGAATCAATGGATTCTTCCAATCTATGAGCATGGAATGTTTTTCCATTTGTTTGTGTTATCTATGATTTATCGGAGCAGTGTTTTGAAGTTCTCCTTGTAGAGATCTTTCACCTCCTTGGTTAGATGTATTCTTAAGTATTTTATTTTTTTGTGGCTACTATAAATGGGATTGTATTCTTGATTTGGCTCTCAGCTTGAACATTATTGGTATATAGAAATGCTACTTATTGAGGTGGAACAGCTCCGGTCTACAGCTCCCAGCGTGAGCGACACAGAAGATGGGTGATTTCTGCATTTCCATCTGAGATACTGGGTTCATCTCACTAGGGAGTGCCAGACAGTGGGCGCAGGACAGTGGGTGCAGCACACCGTGTGCGAGCTGAAGCAGGGCGAGGCATTGCCTCACTCGGGAAGTGCAAGGGGTCAGGGAGTTCCCTTTCCTAGTCAAAGAAAGGGGTGAATCGGCACCTGGAAAATCGGGTCACTCCCACCCTAATACTGTGCTTTTCTGACAGGCTTAAAAAACGGCACACCAGGAGATTATATCCCGCACCTGGCTTCGAGGGTCCTACGCCCACGGAGTCTCGCTGATTGCTAGCACAGCAGTCTGAGATCAAATTGCAAGACTGCAGCGACGCTGGGGGAGGGGCACCCGCCATTGCCCAGGCTTGCTTAGGTAAACAAAGCAGCTGGGAAGCTCGAACTGGGTGGAGCCCACCACAGCTCAAGGAGGCCTGCCTGCCTCTGTAGGCTCCACCTCTGGGGGCAGGGCACAGACAAACAAAAAGACAGCAGTAACCTCTGCAGACTTAAATGTCCCTGTCTGACAGCTTTGAAGAGACCAGTGGTTCTCCCAGCACGCAGCTGGAGATCTGAGAACGGGCAGACTGCCTCCTCAGGTGGGTCCCTGACCCCTGACCCCCGAGCAGCCTAACTGGGAGGCACCCCCCAGTAGGGGCAGACTGACATCTCACACGGCCGGGTACTCCTCTGAGACAAAACTTCCAGAGGAATGATCAGACAGCACCATTCACGGTTCATGAAAATCCACTGTTCTGCAGCCACTGCTGCTGGTACCCAGGCAAACAGGGTCTGGAGTGGACCTCTAGCAAACTCCAACAGACATGCAGCTGAGGGTCCTGTCTGTTAGAAGGAAAACTAACAACCAGAAAGGACATCCACACCAAAAACCCATCTGTACATCACCATCATCAAAGACCAAAAGTAGATAAAACCACAAAGATGGGGAAAAAACAGAGCAGAAAAACTGGAAACTCTAAAAAGCAGAGCACCTCTCCTCCTCCAAAGGAATGCAGCTCCTCACCAGCAACGGAACAAAGCTGGATGGAGAATGACTTTGACGAGTTGAGAGAAGAAGGCTTCAGACGATCAAACTACTCCGAGCTACAGGAGGAAATTAAAACCAAAGGCAAAGAAGTTGAAAACTTTGAAAAAAATTTAGAAGAATGTGTAACTAGAATAACCAATACAGAGAAGTGCTTAAAGGAGCTGATGGAGCTGAAACCAAGGCTCGAGAACTACGTGAAGAATGCAGAAGCCTCAGGAGCTGATGCGATCAACTGGAAGAAAGGGTATCAGTGATGGAAGATGAAATGAATGAAATGAAGCGAGAAGGGAAGTTTAGAGAAAAAAGAATAAAAAGAAACGAACAAAGCCTCCAAGAAATATGGGACTATGTGAAAAGACCAAATCTACGTCTGATTGGTGTACCTGAAAGTGACGGGGAGAATGGAACCAAGTTGGAAAATGCTCTGCAGGATATTATCCAGGAGAACTTCCCAAATCTAGCAAGGCAGGCCAACATTCAGATTCAGGAAATACAGAGAATGGCACAAAGATACTCCTCGAGAAGAGCAACTCCAAGACACATAATTGTCAGATTCACCAAAGTTGAAATGAAGGAAAAAATGTTAAGGGCAGCCAGAGAGAAAGGTCGGGTTACCCACAAAGGGAAGCCCATCAGACTAACAGCGGATCTCTCGGCAGAAACTCTACAAGCCAGAAGAGAGTGGGGGCCAATATTCAACATTCTTAGAGAAAAGAATTTTTAACCCAGAATTTCATATCCAGCAAAACTAAGCTTCATAAGTGAAGGAGAAATAAAATACTTTACAGACAAGCAAATGCTGAGAGATTTTGTCACCACCAGGCCTGCCCTAAAAGAGCTCCTGAAGGAAGCACTAAACATGGAAAGGAACAACTGGCACCAGCCACTGCAAAATCAAGCCAAAACGTAAAGACCATCAAGGCTAGGAAGAAACCGCATCAACTAAAGAGCAAAATAACCAGCTAACATCATAATGACAGGATCAAATTCACACATAACAATATTAACCTTAAATGTAAATGGGCTAAATGCTCCAATTAAAAGACACAGACTGGCAAATTGGATAAAGAGTCAAGATCCATCGGTGTGCTTTATTCAGGAAACCCATCTCATGTGCAGAGACACACATAGGCTCAAAATAAAAGGATGGAAGAAGATCTACCAAGCAAATGGAAAACAAAAAAAGGCAGGGGTTGCAATCCTAGTCTCTGATAAAACAGACTTTAAACCAACAAAGATCAAAAGAGACAAAGAAGGCCATTACATAATGGTAAAGGGATCAATTCAACAAGAAGGGCTAACTATCCTAAATATATATGCACCCAATACAGGAGCACCCAGATTCATAAAGCAAGTCCTGAGTGACCTACAAAGAGACTTAGACTCCCACACAATAATAATGGGAGACTTTAACACCCCACTGTCAACATTAGACAGATCAACGAGACAGAAAGTTAACAAGCATACCCAGGAATTGAACTCAGCTCTGCACCAAGCAGACTTAATAGACATCTACAGAACTCTCCACCCCAAATCAACAGAATATACATTTTGTTCAGCACCACACCACACCTATTCCAAAATTGATCACATAGTTGGAAGTAAAGCTCTCCTCAGCAAATGTAAAAGATCAGAAATTATAACAAACTGTCTCTCAGACCACAGTGCCATCAAACTAGAACTCAGGATTAAGAAACTCACTCAAAACCGCTCAACTACATGGAAACTGAACAACCTGCTCCTGAATGACTACTGGGTACATAACGAAATGAAGGCAGAAATAAAGATGTTCTTTGAAACCAACCAGAACAAAGACACAACATACCAGAATCTCTGGGACACATTCAAAGCAGTGTGTAGATGGAAATTTATAGCACTAAATGCCCACAAGAGAAAGCAGGAAAGATCTAAAATTGACACCCTAACATCACAATTAAAAGAACTAGAAAAGCAAGAGCAAACACATTCAAAAGCTAGCAGAAGGCAAGAAATAACTAAAATTAGAGCAGAACTGAAGGAAATAGAGACACAAAAAACCCTTCAAAAAATTAATGAATCCAGGAGCTGGTTTTTTGAAAGGATCAACAAAACTGATAGACCGCTAGCCAGACTAATAAAGAAGAAAAGACAGAATAATCAAATATACGCAATAAAAAATGACAAACGGGATATCACCACCGATCCCACAGAAATACAAACTACCATCAGGGAATACTACAGATACCTCTACACAAATAAACTAGAAAATCTAGAAGAGATGGATAAATTCCTCGACACATACACCCTCCCAAGACTAAACCAGGAAGAAGGTGACTCTCTGAATAGACCAATAACAGGCTCTGAAATTGTGGCAATAACCAATAGCTTACCAACCAAAAAGAGTCCAGGACCAGATGGATTCACAGCCGAATTCTACCAGAGGTACAAGGAGGAACTGGTACCATTCCTTCTGAAACTATTCCAATCAATAGAAAAAGAGGGAATCCTCCCTAACTCATTTTATGAGGCCAGCATCATCCTGATACCAAAGCCGGGCAGACACACAACAGAAAAAGAGAATTTTAGACCAATATCCTTGATGAATATTGATGCAAAAATCCTCAATAAAATACTGGCAAACCGAATCCAGCAGCACATCAAAAAGCTTATCCACCATGATCAAGTGGGCTTCATCCCTGGGATGCAAGGCTGGTTCAATATACGCAAATCAAGAAATGTAATCCAGCATATAAACAGAACCAAAGACAAAAACCACATGATTATCTCAATAGATGCAGAAAAGGCCTTTGACAAAATTCAACAACGCTTCATGCTAAAATCTCTCAATAAACTAGGTGTTGATGGGACCTATCTCAAAATAATAAGAGCTATCTATGACAAACCCACAGCCAATATCATACTGAATGGGCAAAAACTGGAAGCATTCCCTTTGAAAACTGGCACAAGAGAGGGATGCCCTCTCTCACCACTCCTATTCAACATAGTGTTGGAAGTTCTGGCCAGGGCAATTAGGCAGGAGAAGGAAATAAAGG
This sequence comes from Homo sapiens, assembly GCF_000001405.40. NCBI lineage: Eukaryota > Metazoa > Chordata > Mammalia > Primates > Hominidae > Homo > Homo sapiens. The sequence continues at coordinate 124,586,717 of NC_000023.11, forward strand.
GTATTCAATTAGGAAAAGAGGAAGTCAAATTGTCCCTGTTTGCAGATGACATGATTGTATATCTAGAAAACCCCATTGTCTCAGCCCAAAATCTCCTTAAGCTGATAAGCAACTTCAGCAAAGTCTCAGGATACAAAATCCATGTACAAAAATCACAAGCATTCTTATACACCAATAACAGACAAACAGAGAGCCAAATCATGAGTGAACTCCCATTCACAATTGCTTCAAAGAGAATAAAATACCTTGGAATCCAACCTACAAAGGACGTGAAGGACCTCTTCAAGGAGAACTACAAACCACTGCTCAAGGAAATAAAAGAGGATACAAACAAATGGAAGAACATTCCATGCTCATGGGTAGGAAGAATCAATATCGTGAAAATGGCCATACTGCCCAAGGTAATTTATAGATTCAATGCCATCCCCATCAAGCTACCAATGACTTTCTTCACACAATTGGAAAAAACTACTTTAAAGTTCATATGGAACCAAAAAAGAGCCCGCATTGCCAAGTCAATCCTAAGCCAAATGAACAAAGCTGGAGGCATCATGCTACCTGACTTCAAACTATACTACAAGGCTACAGTAACCAAAACAGCATGGTACTGGTACCAAAACAGAGATATTGACCAATGGAACAGAATAGAGCCCTCAGAAATAATGCCACATATCTACAACTATCTGATCTTTGACAAACCTGAGAAAAACAAGCAATGGGGAAAGGATTCCCTATTTAATAAATGGTGCTGGGAAAACTGGCTAGCCATATGGAGAAAGCTGAAACTGGATCCCTTCCTTACACCTTATACAAAAACTAATTCAAGATGGATTAAAGACTTAAACGTTAGACCTAAAACCATAAAAACCCTAGAAGAAAACCTAGGCATTACCATTCAGGACATAGGCATGGGCAAGGACTTCATGTCTAAAACACCAAAAGCAATAGCAACAAAAGCCAAAATTGACAAATGGGATCTAATTAAACTAAGGAGCTTCTGCACAGCAAAAGAAACTACCATCAGAGTGAACAGGCAACCTACAAAATGGGAGAAAATTTTCACAACCTACTCATCTGACAAAGGGCTAATATCCAGAATCTACAAAGAACTCAAACAAATTTACAAGAAAAAAACAAACAGCCCCATCAAAAAGTGGGCGAAGGACATGAACAGACACTTCTCAAAAGAAGACATTTATGCAGCCAAAAGACACATGAAAAAATGCTCACCATCACTGGCTATCAGAGAAATGCAAATCAAAACCACAATGAGATACCATCTCACACCAGTTAGAATGGCAATCACTAAAAAGTCAGGAAACAACCGGTGTTGGAGAGGATGTGGAGAAATAGGAACACTTTTACACTGTTGGTGGGACTGTAAACTAGTTCAACCATTGTGGAAGTTAGTGTAGCGATTTCCTCGGGGATCTAGAACTAGAAATACCATTTGACCCAGCCATCCCATTACTGGGTATATACCCAAAGGACTATAAATCATGCTGCTATAAAGACACATGCACACGTATGTTTATTGTGGCACTATTCACAATAGCAAAGACTTGGAACCAACCCAAATGTCCAACAATGATAGACTGGATTAAAAAAATGTGGCACATATATGCCATGGAATACTATGCAGCCATAAAAAAGGATGAGTTCATGTCCTTTGTAGGGACGTGGATGAAATTGGAAATCATCATTCTCAGTAAACTACAGCAAGGACAAAAAAACCAAACACTGCATATTCTCACTCATAGGTGGGAATTGAACAATGAGAACACATGGACACAGGAAGGGGAACATCACACTCTGGGGACTGTTGTGGGGTGGGGGGAGTGGGGAGGGATAGCTTTAGGAGATATACCTAATGCTAAATGACGAGTTAATGGGTGCAGCACACCAGCATGGCACATGTATACATATGTAACTAACCTGCACATTGTACACATGTACCCTAAAACTTAAAGTATAATAATAATAAAATAAAAATAAAAAAAGAAATGCTATTTATTTTTGTACATTGATCTGTGTATCCTGAAACTTTACTGAAGTCCTGTATCAGTTCCAGGAGCCTTTTGGCAGAGTCTTTAGGGTTTTCTAGGTATAGAATGATAACATCCATGAAGACAGATAGTCTGAGTTCCTCTCTTCCTATTTGGATGCCTTTTATTTCTTTCTCTTGCCTAATTGCTGTGGCTAGCACTTATAGTACTATGTTAAATAGGAGTGGTGAGAGTGGGCATCCTTGTCTTGTTACAGTCCTCAAGGGGAATGCTTCCAGTTTTTGCCTGTTCAGTATGATGTTGGCTGTGAGTTTGTCACAGATCGCTTTTATTATTCTGATGTATGTTCCTTTGATGCCTAGTTTCTTGAGGGTTTTTTTTTTTTTATCATGAAGGTATTTTGGAGTTTATAAAAAGCTTTTTCCACATCTATTGAGATGGTCATATGACTTTTGTTTTTAAGATGAATCACATCTATTGATTTGTATATGTTGAATCACTCTTACGTCCCAGGGATGAAGCCTACTTGATTGTGGTGCACTAGCTTTTTGATGTACTGATGGATTCAGTTTGCTAGTATTTTGTTGGGAATTTTTGCATCTATGTTCAACAGGGATACTGGCCTGTAGTTTGTTGTTGTTGTTGTTGTTGTTGTTGTTGTTGTTGTTGTATCTTTGCCAGGTTTTGGTACCAGGGTGATGTTGCCTTCATAGAATTAGTTAGGGAGGAGTCACTTTCCTCGATTTTTTGGAATAGTTTCAGTAGAATTGGTACCAGCTCTTCTTTGTACACTGGTAGAATTTGGCTGTGAATCCATCTGTTTGGGGCTCTTCTGGTTGCTAGAGTTTTTATTACTACTTCAATTTTGGAACTTGATATTCATCTGTTCAGGCTTTCAATTTCTTCCTTGTTCAGTCTTGGGAGGTTATGTTTTTCCAGTAATGTATCCATTTCCTCTAGACTTTCTAGTTTGTGTGAGTAGAAGTGTTAATAATAGTCTCTGAGGATCTTTTGTATTTCTATGGGATTGGTTGTAATGTTATCTTTGTTATTTCTGATTGTGCTTATTTGGCTCTTCTCCCTTTTTTATTTTTTAATCTAGCTAGTGGTGTATCCATCTTTTTTATCCTTTCAAATAACTAACTTTTGGTTTTGTTAATTCTTTGCTTGGATTTTTGAGTTTAATTTATTCAGTTCTGCTCTGGTTTTAGTCATTTATTTTCTTCTGGTTGCTTTGGGGCTAGTTTGTTCTTGTTTTCTATTTCCTCTAGGTGTGAAGTTAGATCATTAATTTGAGATGTAACTTTTTGAGGTAGCCATTCAGCGCTATAAACTTTCCTCTTAACATAGCTTTTGCTGCATCTTAGAGATTTGGGTATGTCCTGTCTCTGCTTTCATTTATTTCAAAAATTTTTTTTAAATTTCTGCTTTAATTTCATTGTTTACACAAAAGTCATTCAGGAGCAAGTTGTTTAACTTTGACATAACTGTGCAGTTTTGAGAGATCTTCTCAGTATCAGCCCAAAATCTCCTTAAGCTGATAAGCAACTTCAGCAAAGTCTCAGGATACAAAATCAATGTACAAAAATCACAAGCATTCTTATACACCAACAACATACAAACAGAGAGCCAAATCATGAGTGAACTCCCATTCACAATTGCTTCAAAGAGAATAAAATACCTAGGAATCCAACTTACAAGGGATGTGAAGGACCTCTTCAAGGAGAACGACAAACCACTGCTCAAGGAAATAAAAGAGGATACAAACAAATGGAAGAACATTCCATGCTCATGGGTAGGAAGAATCAATATCGTGAAAATGGCCATACTGCCCAAGGTAATTTGATTTCTATTTTTATTCCACTGTGGTCCAAGAGTATGGTGGTATGATTGCAATTTTTCTGAATTTATTGAGATTTACTTTAAGGCTGAGCATATGTTTCCTCTTGGAGTATGTTCCATGTGCAGATGAGAAGAATGAATTTTGTGTTTTTGATGGGTAGAGTATTCTGTAGATGTCTACTAGGTCCAATTGGTTGAGTGTCTAAGCTAAGTTCAGAATTTGTTAGTTTTCTGTCTCAATTATCTGTTTAATGTTGTCAGTGGGGTGTTGAAGAACCATACTATTATTGTGTAGCTGCCTAAGTCTTTTAATAATTCTAGAAGTACTTGTTTTATGAATCTGGGTGCCCCAATGTTGGGTGTGTGTATATTTATGATAGTTAAGTCTTGCTGAATTGGACCCTTTATCATTATGTAATGACCTTCATTGTCTTTATTTACTGTCGTTGGCTTAAAGTCTGTTTTATCTGATATAAGAATAGTGACCCCTGCTCTTTTTTGTTTTCTATTTGCATGGTAGATCTTTCTCCAACCCTTAACTTTGAGCTTCTGGGTGTCATTATGTGTGAGATGAGTCTCTTAAAGATAGCAGATGGATGGGTCTTGTTTTTTTATCCAACTTGTGACTCTGTGTCTTTTAAGTGGGGGCATGTAGACCATTTATATTCAAGGTAAATATTGACATGTGAGGTTTTGATCCTATCCTGAAGTTGTTAACTGGTTGCTTTGTAGTTTCTATTGTGTACTTGCTTTATAGGGTATGTGGGCTATGTACTGGAGGGTGTTTGTGTGGCAGCAGGTATTGTTCTTTCATTGCTGTGTTCCTTAAGGAGCTCTTTTAAGGCTGGTCTAGTGGTAACACATTCCCTCAGTGCTTGCTTGTCTGGAAAAGTTTTTATTTCTCCTTCACTTATGAAGCATAGTTTTGTGGGATATGAAATTATTGGTTGGAATTTCTTTTCTTTAAGAATGCTGAAAACAGGCCCCTAATCTCTCCTGGCTTGTAAGGTTTCTGCTGATAAGTCTACTGTTAGCTTGATGGAGTTCTCTATGTAAGTAATCTGACCTTTTACTCTGGCTGCTTTTAAGATTTTTTTCTTTAGCACTGATCTTGGATAGTCTGCGGACTACATGCATTGGTGATGTTCATTCTGTATAGTATTTCTCAAGTGTTTTCTGCTTTTCTTATATCTGGATATAAACCTTTCTAGCAAGATTAAAGAAATATTTTTGAATTATTCCCTCAAATGTTTTCCAGGTTTTTGCTTTTTCTCCTCCTCTCCCAGAATGCCAAAAATTCACATTTTGGTTGCTATATATAATCCCATATTTCTCAAATACTTTGTTCATTTTTTTATCATTCTTTTTTATTTATTTTGTCAGACTGGCATAGTTCAAAAGACTGGTCTCCAAGCTTGGAAATTCTTTCTTCGGCTTGGTCTAGTCTATTAATAAAGCTTTCAATTGTATTTGAATTTCAACTGTATTTTGAAATTACTTGAGTGTGTTTTCAATTCCAGAAGCTTTGATTGATTTCTGTTTAGCATATTAATCTCTTCCTTTATTTCCTGGATTGCTTTAGAAGTTTCTTTGTGTTGATTTTCAACCTTGTCTTGGATCTCATTGAGCTTCTTTGTAATTGTGCTTTGAATTCTTTACCTGTAATTTCTGAATTTCTGTTTTGGTTAGGAACCATTGCTGGACTTGCTAGTGTGATCCTTTGAAGCTGTCGCTACATTCAGATTTTCATGGTGCCAAAACTCTTGTGCTGGTTCCTTCTCATCTGGAGATGTTGGCACTTCTAATTTTTGTAATTATTTCCTTGCCAGTAGGTTTTTTCTTCATCATTCTTTACCTATAATATTATTGGTTTTTTTTTTTTTTTTTTTGAGACAGAGTATTGCTCTGTCACCCAGGCTAGAGTGTAGTAGTACAATCTCAGTTCACTGCAATCTCTGCCTCCCAGGTTCAAGCTATTCTCCTGCCTCAGCCTCCTGAATAGCTGAGACTACAGGTGTGTGCCACTACGTCCAGCTAATTTTTATATTTTTAGTAGAGATGCGGTTTCCTATGTTGGCCAGGCTGGTCTTGAACTCTTGACCTCAGGCGATCTGCTCCCCACCCCACCGCTCCCCTTGGCCTCCCAAAGTGCTGGGATTATAGGCGTGAGCCACCATGCCCAGGCCTTACTGTTTTTTTTTTTTTTTTTGGTTTGTTTAATTTCCCTTTCCTTTTCTCCCCCTCCCTAGGGGGTGTGACTGCAGAGAATGCTGGGTATGGGCTGTCTTTTGGCTTTGCTTCTATAGTTCTATGCACTTCTCTTAGCAGGTTTTATAGTTAGACCTACAAGCCAGTAGATGGTGCTTGTAGGTAAGAGCTAGCTAGCTACAGCTAATGTGGCTGCATATATATTTCATCCTTGTTTACTGGTAGAAACTCTCTGTTCTCTCAGGCAATGGACTGATTCATGCAGTGCAGAGTGCTCTGAACTCTGCTCAGCCCTAGGGTTGTGGGGGACAAGATGAATGGGGCCAGACTAGGCAGGTCCACCTACAGATCTTCCAATGTCAGGCACAAGCACCAGTGCCAAGTGATAATCCAGTGGGCAGCCACCAGGTGAATAGGTGCTTTGAATGCCTGGAGATCTCCCTGGGCATGCAGCAGAGAGGGCCTCCCTGCACCAAGATCTCTGCACAGGAAGGATGGGGCAGGTCAGGATGCCAATCCAGGTGAGTTGGTGCTCCAAATGCCTGGAGATCTGCCTGGGCTTGGAGTAGAGAGAGCCTCACTACACCATGATCTGTGCCCAGAAAGGGTGCAGCAGCTCATGGTGCTGAACCAGGCAAACAGTTGCTTTGAATGCCTGGAGATTTGCCTTGGTGTGGAGCGGAAGGGGCCCTGCGGCACCTCAATTTATGTCCGTGAAGGGTGAGGCGGCTCAGGCTGCTAGTCTAGGCAAGCAGGTGCTCTAAATGCCTAGATTTCTGCCTGGGCATGGGGCAGAGAGGGCCCTACTGGACCAAAATCTATGTCCAGGAAGGGTGGAGCAGCTCAGGCTTCTGGTCCAAGTAAGTGAATGTTCTAAGTACCTGAATTTCTGCCTGGGGTGGAGTGGAGAGGGCTCTGCTGCACCATGACCTCAGGGGAGCAGGCTGGGGCACTTAGCAATGGCATACACAGACCAGATGCAGGTTGCCAAGCTGGCCCTGGCTGCAAATCTCACTTCCCAAGGGAAACTGCAGTTCTCCTACCAATCCGGGATTGCAGTCGGGGAGAGCACAATTCCAGTGCCTTCTGCTGAGGTGCTTTCCGTAGTTCTGGCTGTGGAGGCCCCTACCCTACTCCAGAGCAGGTGCTCCAATCTCTGGCCTGAGGCTAAAATGCTTGTGTGGCCACACTTCTAGGTTGCCAAGCAATGGCTGATTTTGTATGCACCCAGATTAAAAATGGCATCTGGCTCTCATTCTTGGGTCTGGGAAAATATCTGCAGCTTTTCCTGGTATCTTTCTCTCACAGCATCTCCAAGCCTCTTTCTAAGTTAGCTCTAGGGCTTGGGCAAAACAAAGTGCTTTCCCTTGGCCTAGGTTGTTCAGATCCACTGTGGAAAAGTGAGTCACAGAGGGAAGCTCTCTGCCCCCTTGTGTACTTGGGCTTCACTCACTTTTATCAGCTGGATGACATCATAGGGGCTGTTTGCCAGCATTCACCTCCCTGGGATCTGGAGTGTCCTTCACAATTCCCAGAATAATGCTTTTTTAACTTAAAAAAAATCTTCTCATGTCAGAGGAGAGTGGACCCCAGGCTGGGAGAGAAATGTCTTAGTCACCTTGGGTTGCAATAGCCAAATGCCATAGAGTGGGTGGCTGAAACAGCAGAAATTTATTTCTGACAATTCTGAAGGCTAAAGTCCAAGATCAAGGTGCAACATGGTCAGGTTCTGGTGAGGTCCCTCTTCCAGATTGTGGATGGCTGACTTCTCACTGGGTCCTCCAGGATTTTTTTAAATAGATAGATTTTAGCTGCTCTTGTCACAAAAAGTAACATGAGATGATAGATATTTTAATTTCTTTCACGATAGTAACCATTCTACTATCTATGTGCATCCCATAATATCATGTTATAAACCTCAAATATATACAATAAAATTATTACGTAGTCCACAAAACTAATGACTATGAACAAAGTCAATCTTTTCTCATGTACTTGGAAAACTCCTAAATTTCTCTGTTTGATACTCAAAAGTAAACATTTGAATCTCTGTTTTCATTCATATCTCCATTCAGTGAGGACTTCTATAGAATCACTGGTTTGAAAGGCCTAGAATGTCAGGATAGTTAATTCTTTTTGAGGCTTCAAAGGTCAGTTCTCACACGTTATAACCTCCTGGCCACTTGCAATCTATCAATAAACACAGACAAATGTCCTTGCTCTTTTGAAGGACAAAAGTGTTGTACTCCTTTGTGGTTTGGTTTCTAACTTTTAAGAGCACCAAGAGCAGTCCAAATTCAAAGGAAAGAAGCAGCTTCCTCCCACTCTGTTGTCAATTATCTTCTTGGGAAGTTTCTTTGCAGAGTTTTTGTGCATCTCTGAGCCAATTACCACAAGAAAACAAAATGACCTTTAAATTAAAGCAATATGAGTATGCTTGAAATTTGCAGTGAGAATAGATCTTAAGTGTTTTTGCCACATACACACACACACAAAAGTAACTATGTGAGGTGATGGATGAGTTAATTAACTTGATTGTGGTAATAACTTCACAATGCATATGTATAAAATCATCACTGTGTACATCTTAAATGTATACAATTTTATTTGTTAATTATGTCTCAACAAAGCTAGAGTAAAAAAGAAGAAAGGAAACAATCTGAAATGCAAATGATTGACTAATAATTTCCAATTATGTAAAATATTCTTTTGTAAGAAATATGAATACTCACTTGACAATTGTAGACTATAGCCACAAATAAAAACAAATATATTGATCATTTATATTAAAAATGAAAATATACCCTTAATCTTTTTCTTCTTAGCATCTAAGTTCAGACTGTGGTTTACTTGGTCGGCTCTTATAAAAAGAAATAAAAGCCAAAACTCTTATTTAGGTTTTAATACATTCAACCACATTTCAGATTTTCCTTAACAAGCCTAAATATTAAAACAGCTTTTAAAGATGAGTATATAAAATAAATCATCTTTATCATGAAAGCACTCCGATTATACTTTCCTTGCATTTTTAAATGATGACCCTTTTAGAATTATCCAAACCCTGTAACTGTCACATTCTTAACTTTCCACTTTTTTAATAAAAATGATTTCCATAAAGATTAGAAATTAATCTGACCTGACTCTGAAAACTAATATAGTTTAGCACGGGAAGCTGTAAAAATTCACCTATCTAGGTTTAATAAAGAAAGTTTTTTCAATTTAAATATGCATTGCATTTAATAAGCTTGCATGATAATTTCAACAATGTTCATGGGTTCTTTAAATTACCTTCCTGCTGTGTCCAGGAAACAATCCAATTTTATTTTTAAGCAACTGAATTAAGAAAAGCTTTCAAAATCACAAAGCGATTTCTGAATGACACAAAATGTAATGATTAGAAGCCAGCCAATCAGATTGCTCTGATGGCTGACTTAAGAGAAAAAAAAATTGTTTGCCTATATTTCTGTAAACCCCAAATATATGAGTTTTTGGATACACCTAAATGTTTGACTCTTAGATATCTTCTATCCAAACATTTGTCATTGTGAGGATCAGCATTCCATCCTTTTTTCCTTCCTTTTGACTTTTCATTCACACGAGTTAAACATGGTGCTAACTGGCAGAATACAACAACAAAGACAGATATGGCCCCTGCCTTTATGGAGCATGGAATCTATTGCATACATACTCAAAGAAATGTGGAACTACAAATTGAGAAAAGTACTATGAAGGAGCAATGCAGAGTGCAATGGGAGACTGTCACAGGGTGACCTAATTTAATTTGAAGGTGTCAGGATTTTGACCATTTTTAGGCATTGGCATTTAAGTTGAAAACTACAGGATGAATGGGCAAACGTATGTGGCGATGGGGAAATGAAATAGATAATATGTGTCGTAAGGAGAGTAAGAGAGAGAGGCAGAATGAATGGTATGAGATGGGGCTGGACAAGCAGAGGTCAGAGAATTCAGGCCTTTGTAGGCCTTGCTAAAATTTTGGACTTTATTATAGTAGCAATTGAAAAACCCTGAAAGGTAGTAGAGAGTAACAAAAATCATATTTGCCTTAGAAAGATCTCTTTGGATATAATATAGAGAATGGAGTAGAAGGAAGAAGAGGATATATAAGTGGCCAAAAAACATATGAAAAAATGCTCAACATCACTAATGACAAGGGAAATGCAAATCAAAACCACAATGTAATACCACCTTACTCCTGCAAGAATGGCCATAATTTTAAAAATCAAAAATATCATAGATATTGGCATAGATGTAGTGAAAAGGAACCCTTTTACACTGCTGGTGGGAATGTAAAGTAGTACAACCCTATGGAAAACAGTGTGTAGATTCCTTAAAGAACTAAAAGTAGATCTACCATTTGATCCAGCAATCCCACTCCTGGATATCTACCCAGAAGAAAAGATGTCATTATATGGAAAAAGACACTTGCACATGCATGTTGATAGTAGCACAATGTGCAATTGCAAAAATATGGAACCAGCCCAAATGTCCATCAATCAACAAGAGGATAAAGCAAATGTGGTATATAAATACCATGGAATAATACTCAGCCATAAAAAGGAACAAAGTAATGTCATTCACAGCAACCTGGATGGAGGTGGAGACCATTATTCTAAGTGAAGTAACTCAGGAATGGAAAACCGAACATTGCATGTTCTCTTATAAGTGGGAGCTAAGATATGAGGATGCAAACGCACAAGAATGATATAACGGAGTATGGGGACTTGAGGGGAAGGGTGGGAGAGGGATAGAGGATGGAAGATGGGTGATAAAAGACTACACATTGGGTACAGTGTACACTGCTTGGGTGACGAGTGCACCAAAATATCAGAAATCACCGCTAAAGAACTTATCCATGTAACCAAACACCACCTCCTCCCCCCAAACCTATTGAAATAAGAAAAAGAACCCTATCTCTCACCATGTACAAAGATCAAATCAAAATGGATTAGAGACTTAAATCTAAGACCTCAAACTATGAAACTACTACAAGACATAATTGGGGGAAATCTGCAGGACATTGATTTGGGCAAAAAGTTGTTGAATAATACCCCACAAGCATAGGCAACCAAAGCAAAAATGGACAAATGGAATGACATAAAGTTAAAAAGCTTCTGCACAGGAAAGAAAACAATCAACAAAGTGAAGAAACAACCCACAGAATGGGAGAAAATATTTGCAAAGTACTCATCTCACAAGGGATTAATAACCAGAATATATAAGGAGCTCAAACAACTCTATAGGATAAAACCTAATAATCTGATCAAAAGATGGGCAAAATATTTGAATAGACATGTCTCAAAAGAAGACATACAAATGGCAACCAGGTATATGAAAAGGTACTCAACATCACTTATCATCAGAGAAATGCAAATCAAAACTGTAATGAGAAATCATCTAACCCCAGTTAAAATGGCATACATCCAAAGACAGTTATTACAAATGCTAGTGAGGATATGGACAAAAGGGAACCCTAGCACACTGTTGGTGGGAAGGTAAATTAGTACAACCACTATGGAGAACAGTTTTGAGAACAGTCAGTTTTTATAAAACTAAAAATGGAGCTACCATATGATCCAGGAATCCCACTGCTGGATATATATCCCAAAGAAAGGAAATGAGTATATCAAAGAGAAATCTGCACCCCTATGTTTGTTGCAGCACTGTTCACAATAGCTAAGATTTGGAAGCAACCTAAGTTGTCCATCAACAGATGAATGGATAAAGAAAATGTGGTACATATACACAATGGAGTAGTATTCAGCCATAAAAAAGAATGATATCCTGTCATTTGCAAGAACATGGAGGGAACTGGAGATCATTATGATAAGTGAAATAAGCCAGGAACAGAAAGACAAACATTGCACTTGCTCACTTATTTGTAGGAACTAAAAATCAAAACAACTGAACTCATGTGGACAGGGAGTAGAAGGATGGTTACCAGAGGCTGGGAAGGGTAGTGGGGTTTGGCTGAATGGTGTGGGAGGGAGATGGGGATGGTTAGTGGGTACAAAATAATAGAAAGAATGAATAAGACCTACTATTTGATAGCACAACAGGGTGACAATAGTCAATAGTAAATTAATTGTACATTTAAAAATAGCTAAAAGAGTATAATTGGATTGTTTGTAACACAAAAGATAAATGCTTGAGATAATGGATACCTCATTTACTCTGATGTGATTATTATACACTGCATGCCTGTATCAAGATATCTTTTGCATCCCATAAATATATACACCTACTTAGGATGTATGTGTAGCAAACAACATAGTATATATAGGGTTCAGTGCTATCCAAGGTTTCAGACATCCACTGGGAATCTTGAAACACATCCCCCAGTGGATAATGGGGACTGCTGTATGCAAAATATTTTTATGAAGTAGAATTACAAGACTTGGTGACTGATCAGATAAAGAGTGCAAAGGATATGGAAAAGCCATGCATCATGTCTTAGTTTGGCATGTGCAACTCTCTGGGTGTTTACTCTATTTCTTATCAATATAGGGACTGCTGAAGGATGAGTTCAGCTTTAGACCTGTTAACCTGAGGTGCCTGTAAAAAATTCAACTAAAAGTGGCAAGGAGGCAGATGGATCTATGGGTCTGGAATTAGGAAGAGGTTTCACGGGCAGAGATTAAATTTTTAAGTCACCAGTAAAAATGGTCATTGAAACCAAGGGAATTTGTGATGAGTGTGATGAGAAATGAATGGGGCCTAAGATTGTGGGACTTTAACAATTAAAGGTCAAGTGGAGGAGGAGATCCAGCAAAAGAGAGAAGGATTTTCTATAGATGTAAAAGAAAAATCAAGAGAATGTAGTATCACAGAAACCAGTGAAAGAGAGTTTTCCACGATTAGGAGTAGTTAAGTATCCCAAATGGTACTGTAAGTCAAGTAGGGTGAACATTAAAAAGTGTCTGTCATATTTAGTAAAATGGTGATTACTGGTAACATAGTGACAGCTGTTTTAGCGGAGTGATTGGGGGTAGAAGCCAGAATGAAATAGGTTAACAAGTGACTGGAGTAAATATATAAAGGATAAGGGGATCTTGATTTTACATTGTCAGAGAAGAGAGTTACAAATATGAAAAAGGAGAAAACAAGAATGAACCCTGTGGTGTTGAACTGGAGTTGGAGGTAATAATGGAAACTCATGGTTTTCTCTAGATAGATAGATGATATATAAATAGATAAAAAGGTGAATATTGATAGAAATTAGTATGTATATATATATGTGTGTGTGTGTGTATATATATATATAAATGTATGTGTATATTTCCTACCTCTGTTCACCATGAGGGCCTGGGAATAGCAATACCCCAATAGCAATGAACACACCTAGTGCCGAGAACAGAACTTGGCTTCTAAATACCACGCCGAGAAAAGAAATTAGCCTCCTTAGAGAAATGCCTGATTCCAGGCACAGGGCAGGGAAAGTGCAAGGTGAGACTGGAATATCCTATTAAGACAAAAAGTGCTCAGAGAAAGATGAGGACATGTCAAAAACATGCAAAGTCCACCTTGAAGTGGCAGTCAGTCACTGTTTACAAAACAATTTGAGCATCAAAATAAACAGAAATAGCAAGAAACTATAATTCATTGAATAATATGAAAAATCCTGAGTTATCACAGGTATGAATAAATGAATTAATAAATTGAAAGTTTGATGAGCAATACATAGCTTCAAAGTACCTCCTCACAAAACACTTCTTAATTACAAGTGCATATGGGATGAGTACAGTGGAGAAGCCTGGAAGATACCATATTAATTAAATGATCAAAGTTAACATTACCAGTAGTGGGCCAAATAAATAATGGGTACCACCTGATAGGATATAATGCAAACACAACATTAATTCTATGATATTCTTGCCAAAGATGTACAACCCAAATCTAAGTATGAGGAAACATCAGAAAACTCCCAAATTGAGGGGCTTTGTATAAAATAACCAGTATGTAATCTTTAGGAGTATCAGTCATGACAGTTAAGGAAAGATTGAGATAATCTTCCAACCTGAAGGAGACTAGAGGGCATGACAACTAAAATGTAGTGCTTTATTCTGAACCAGTTCCTTTTGCTATAAGGGATGTTGCTGGGATATGTGATGAAATATGAATAGAATCTAAGCATTAGACATTAGTAATGTATGAATGTGAATTTCCTGTTTTCTATAGCTGTATTGTGGTTATGTAGAATAATGCCTTTAATTTTAGGAAATACACAATAAAGAATTTGGGAGAAAAGGGTCCACAACTTATTCTTGAGTGTTTCAGGGGAAAATTATTTGTACTGTACTTTCACTTTTCAGTAAGCTTGTGATTGTTACCAAATAAAAAGTAAAGGGTGAATGGAAGGTAAGAAAGTGGAGAAGTTGAAGTTGAAACATTAAAGAAGGCAAGAGATAATTAACTAGCTAGAGGAGAACGTGGGATTCAAAAAGGAATTTCTTTTTCAAGTGGGAGAGACAAAACCATGTTTAAAAGCTCTTGAGAAGGATCTAGTAGAAACTTTGGAGTCAAACTTACGTGTGAGAGAAAGTGGGAGAAAAGTGGGATCCAGAGCACTGGTGAAGGGACTGACCTTTCACAGGACTCTTCGAGGACTGTAATGGGAGGAAGAAAGAGAGCCTGGGTGCAGATCCAACCTGATTTCAGACTTGATGGCAGGAAATTGAGGGAGTTCTCATGTGATGGTTATTTTTTCTGTGCAGCAGGAGGCAAGGGCATCCATTGAGAATGAATGGGCAGAGGAGAAGTTAGAAGTTTGAGAAGAGAAATTCTGAAAAAGTGTCTGTGGAGAATAACAAAATGAGGTAACCTGAGGAATACAGTAATATTTCCAGGCACTTTTGACATCCCAAGTGAGGTTGGTGGCTGAATTTTTATTGGTATCAGTCTACCCAAACCGTATGATTTTTTTCCAATAGGGCTTGGCTACTGCTTGTATAGGTAGGGGCAAGGCTGAGAGTTGACATAATTCATTGTTTGAGGCTTTTCAGGAAGGACCAATGGGGCAATGGATTTTAGAGTATTTGCAAGAGGGATTAAAATGATAGACCATTTGTATTGGAACTTGGGAGAATACATTTTTCTACATTCTTTCTTAAAGGAAGTCCTACTTATATAGAACTTCTCTAACCTTTTACTGATGGAAAAAGCACTGCAACTATAACTTAGTAAACTTCTGAAGTGTTAGAAAAATTCAAAGTTGGATACTTTTCAAGCTGAAAATCTTACTCTTCCCAATAAATTACAATAATGTTCAGTAGTTTGCTCATTTGGCATCATTAATCAGAACTTTGAAGTGCGGTACATAATTTTAGGTTGAGAAGGTCCTATCTGTTCAGGCCATTTAAAATGGGTTAATTATATCGATTCTAAAGTAAAAGGACAGCTATCCCATAGTGCCTGAAATCCCCAAAACTAAAGTATTATCTCATCATAATTCAGATACCTGTGTTTCTACGTGAGCTGCTTAAATGTTACCCATTTTATTTATTGGAGTTCAGAAGAAGATTTAACTGGAAGTTTCTGCTGTCAAAAAATGAAGTTCAAAACCACTGATGGGTCTGTTGAAAAAAACCCTTGACCAATTTTCCAAAAATTTCAATTATAATGCCTGTATTATCTTCCTCACCAGAGTTTTGGAACAATGAGCTAATGAAGCTTTGTTAAAATATATAATAATAAGATTATTGGTAAGTTGAAGGGAGAAAAATAAGTCTAGAACTTGAGGCATTGCTCAGAGTAAGCAAGACTTAGGTAGGGTGGCTGTTGGGAGTCTTAGGCAGAATGAAGGTGTTATGGTGCAAGGGTGAGGGACAAGGACAGAAGAGCCACATAGGGAAACGCAGGAGCCTAAGGGGAGATTATAGGCCACTGAAGAGAAACTTTGCTATTTTCACGGTTTTAATGGTACTGGTTCTTGCCTTGGGAATATCTGAGATAAAATGATACAACCCTTTCCCAGGATGTGGCAACCTAAAAGATGATGAAGCCAGAGAAAGTGAAACTGAAGATGTCTTACCAAGTGTATTGGGTTAAATGGTACGTCCTTGTCATAATTCCTAAATCCTGTGCACGAGACCTTATTTTGAAAAAGGGTTTTTGCAAATGTAATTAAATTAAGAATCTTAAGATTAGATCAGCTTGGATTAACCTTGTGGGCACTAAATAGAATGACAAATGTCTTCATAAGAGACAGAAAAGGAAAAGGGAAGAGGAGAAGGCCATATGAAGACAGAGGCAGAGACTGGAGTTATGTAGTCACACACTAAGGAATGCTGCCAGCCACCTGAAGCTGGAGAAGGCAGAAATGTTTCTCCCCAGAGTCTCCAGAGGGAGTGTGGACCTGCTGACATTTTGATTTTAGACTTCTAGCCTCCAGAACTGAGAGAGAATAAATTTCAGTTGCTTAAAGTCACCTGGTTTGGGGTAATTTGTTATGATAGCTCTAGGAAACTGATATACTAAGCATGTCATTTAAACATATAGCAGTTGCACTGTAGTTATCAAGACCTCATGATGCAATTTAAACATGCAGGCCTGTTGGCATTAAGCAATAATTACAATAGTAGCAGCCACTGCAAACATTTATCGGGAATTTTAGATACTAAGCACTGTGCTGAATGATGCAAATGAATTATTTTCCTGAGTCCTCAGAACAGCTCTATGTTAGAGGTACTGTTATTAACCTCACTCTACACATGAGGGGACTGAGGCTTAACACTTTGTCTAGGGTTTTACAACCACCAGGCAGTAGAACAGGGATTTGAACCCACACAGCCTGATGCTGGAGCCCACACTTTTAACCACTACACTAAACTGCTTTCAGAAGTTATTTGGATACACCACAGTAGTTGGTAATAACTTATGTTCTAAATAAGTCTGATTGGCTGAACAATAAAGATATTTTTGTTTTCAAGTTCAATCTAAACTCAGACATTTCATTGCTATACAATAGACACAAATCTGTATCACAAAGAAACAAAAGCTTTTCAAGACATGTCCTGTTACTTACTTCAAGTAACTAGAGTTGAGTAAAGCAAAAAATGATAACTTTGATAGTACCATACTTACCCTAGCCAGAATTAAGTAGGGATGTTGTTTTAATAAAAATGTTCATTTTACTTTTTTTATTTAAGCTATTTGCCCTATAGTATATGCAAAGGATACTTTAATAAAATCATTACACCTTATGTAGTAGTTGTTTCTTTTGATCACAATAACATGTTCACCCTTTAATATGATCATATTCTTCCTTCTTTCTCACATCTTTGTACTAACTTCTGTTGTCAATTTATTCAGTCTACATAAAATAATCGGTATAATAGCAAAATGACATAGTAATATGGTGCTATCTCAAAATTAGTAGTTGCTCCTCAAAAATAAAGGCAGTCTGCTCTACCTTGATGTTTGGATTGCTCAGCTGTCATAGGAAACCCTTCTGCCTAGACAGCTCCAGTCCCTTGGCATTCTTTCTTAATGATATTTTATTTGAGAAGCTAACAACGACATAAAAGAGTAATAATGTGTAGTAGGTTCAATCCCATATTTTTTAATATCTCACTGTTTGAGACATCTTAAAATGCTGGCTTCCTCAAACAGAACCACATTGTTATTTTCCAAAATTCTATTCCTTCAAGGGATAGAGTTCTTTACTTTTCTTAAATGAAAATGCCCAGAAATGATCAGTTTGAAGCTGTTGGGGCAGAAACTCATCTTCAGGTCCAAAATCGTTGATGTGTGAGTTAGAATTAATAGACCTAACTGGGAGTCCCAGATCTGCTACTTATTAGCCATGTGAACTGGGATATGCTCATAGCATGTCTAAGATGGCGTCTTCATTTGTAAAATGAGGATGCTATCATCCATCCTAACTTACAGGAATGTTGGAAATATAGTGTAACTATTTGAAAAACACTTTGAAAACTCAAGCAGTAAACCAAAGTAATCCTGATACATAGAAATGCATGAACTTTCATAATGGACAGAGTTGGATTTGAATCCTAGATCCAGTAGCTGTGTGGGCTTAGAAAATACTCTTCCCTTGATTTCCTAACCTGTCAAAGGAGATACTTCTTAGAAGCGTTGTTTAAATAGACGACGTTTATGAAAGTAGTACACTGACTGGCATATATTATTTTTTTTCTCTCTCCTCTCCCTTACATGCCCTATTTCTGAAGAACATCTCTAGATTCAGAGCAAATAGAGGATTCCATTTAGGATCAATGGTAGGTTTCCCTTGCTTGGGACTCTTCAAAAAAGCCCCAAGAACAGTGCTGCAAGGACTACTGTGAAGTCAAAGTGTCAGGCTTCAAATTTTCTTAGAAAAATCAATTTGAGCCAACCAAAAATGAGGCTGCATTTTGGAAAATTGGCCTTTAATATCTAGAAAGTTCAATACTGCTTTCACCATACTAGATGGGCTTTTCTTTCAGTAAAGAAAATAAAAGGAGTGAGTTTTACTACTTTTGACTAGGTGACTTTATGTGTATAAGAACGGTTTCATCCTTTTCTAGGTCCAACAGAAAGTTTCACCTTAAAAATCACAGATAAAACCACTTTTTTCTTCTTTGGTCTATTCCTCCAAATAATTCCAGGTGTGATCTACAGGACCTTTTGTTGTATATGGAGTCAAGGGGGCAAGAGAATTGTTGGTGATCTTCAGGAGCAAATTCCACTTTCTAATCTCCAGTATCTTTTTCCAATGTTGAAAGCACAGCTACCAAACATTTTCAAATACCCTTCTGGTTTTGCTTTGCCATTTTTGTTTTCAGTAATGTTTGCTTTTCTCAGTGTTGTCTGTATATTCAGCCTCTGAGGACTAATGTCACTTGTCCAGTAACCTAACAATGATGTTAAACTCAATGTTCTCATAATGAGACATTACTCATCCTTGGGATATTTACAGTAATACAATGCACTGGATAATATGGAATGTGATCTACTGTTCCACTGGAATACCAATGTTGCGCATCATTAATAAATGCACAGTTTCTATTATATGTGAGGCTTTCAATTAGCATACATATTTTTGTCATCATATATCAAACCAGCTGACTTCTTCTCATCTTGTTATTTTTGCTGACTTGAAAAGCTGAATTCTTATTGTAGCAGTGTATATTAAAGTCTGAACTTTGAAAACCACTCCAAATGATTTTCAGTATTGAAATGGAAATTCGATTTTTTCCAAGCTTTCTAAATGAAGCAACATGATGTTTTTCTTCTTTCAATCATTTCTATGGTACCTTTGCAAAAAGACCATATGCTGTTAACCTAAACCTGGTGTATTTAGATTACAATGCATTTTGCAAAGTATGGCCCACAGAGTGCCTGCTTGGGATCCAGTTAAAAAATGCATATTCTTGGGCCCCACTGCAGATCTACTGAGTCAAAATGTGAGGGTGAGGCCTGGAAATTTTTCTTTTAACAATATTCTAGGTAATGTATTCTAAAATTACAGGATCACTGATTTGGTGTTGAGAGAGTTGACACTCTTCCATTTCTCATTTCTTTGCCTCTATAAGAACCTTTATCATCCTCATAATCTTAATCCTTTCTAAGTAACATGCTGTCCCATTGACTATTTAAAGATACCTAAGTGTTCCATTTAGGACACAGGACTGGAAATAAGAAGATTCTAGTCCTCATTTTGCCATTTATTTTCCATGTGACATTGGACAAGACTTAATATTTCTGAGCTTTATTTTCACCAACAGCAAAATGGTGAAAAGTAGGAAAGAAGGGAGAGGAAACAAGATGGTTAGATACATTAATGTCTAAGATTTTGTCTGGATCCAACATTTTATAATTTCATGAATGTTTCAGCTGCTAGAAAGAGAGTAGGAGAGGGAAAAAGAGGACAGTAAGATAAGCTGCAGAAGTCACTAGGTTTGGAGGAATGGAATGAGCATGGGTTCTAGAATCAGACACATTAGGGTTTAGACCATAGCTCTGATATACTAATTATGTCATCTTGAGCAAATTATACCATGCTTTGAGCTTTAATTTCTTTGTTTATTAACATGGGGATAACATATATTCTCACAGAGTTCACGTTATGATTAAAAGAGATAGTACACTATGTACAATAGTACCCAGCAACAGGTGCTCAGTAAGTTAATGGATATGATGAAGAAGAGAAGGAATAAGAGGATGAGGATGAGGAGAAGGAGGGAGAGGCAGAAGAGAAGGAGGACGAAAAGGAGGAAGATGTGGAGGAGGACAAGGAGGAGGAGGATAAGGGAGGAAACATTAAGGAATGAGACAAAATGGTGGGCATTTGGTACCTCAGATTTATTTGAAAACAAATATCTGTTGGGAATCTATGATGAGCCAAGTACTATTCCAGGCAATGGCTATACAGTGGTGGTCAAAATAGATATTTTCTACTTTTGTGGAGCTTATTTTCTGATGTGTATGTGTATGTGTAGGGGGTGATGGTATGGCAGAGAATAATAAATGAATATGGGATATTTTCAGTGGTAATAATGGCTCTGAAGAAAATTAAAGTAGGGTGAGAGGGATGCAGAGTAATGAAAGGTGGGTAGTTGCTATTTTATATTGGGTGATCAGGGAAAGCCTCTCTAATAATTTATCAATTGAACAAAGACTCAAAGGAAGTGTGAGAACTTCACAGCTATTTGGAGGGAGGCAGGCAGAAAGAATACCAAGAAGAAATGTTCTAAAACAGGAGCATTATGAGAATACTGAAGAAAAAAAAGGAGGCCAGAATTCTGCATATGTAGCTGGAGCAGCATGAAAGAGAGGAAGAAAGGTTAGTAGGAGATGGTGTGAGAGAGGTCACAGAGGTGGGAGAAGCAGATTGGGTAGGGCCCTGTAGATTATAGTGAGGAAGTCACCTTTAACTCTGAGTGAAGTGGGAAGACCATGGAAGCTTGTGAGCAGAGGAATGACAGGACCTGATTTACAAAGGATTACTCTTGTTGTTCTGCTGAGAATAGACTCTAGGGGGAAAAGATGGAAACAGGGAGACCAATTAACAGGCTATTGCAATAATACAGGTGAGAGGTGATGGTGGCCTGGGACCAGGACAGGAGCAGTGTAGCTGGTGAGAAATGGTCAGATTCTGGATATATTTGAGAATGGAGCCAATTAGATTTGCTGATGGACTAGATGTAGATATGCAAGATAATGATGATCCCAAGGTTTTGGGTCTGAGTAACTAGAAGAACAAAGTTGCATTTAGTGAGATGGGGAAGACTAAAAGAGTGGCAAGTATAAGGAGGATAAGTTACATGTGTAAATCGATTGCTACAGTAAGGAGTCAGCCGACTAACATTTAGTGGGCACTCCTGTGTGAGAAGCCCAATAACAGGTGCGCTGAGATTTTATTAGTAAAGTGCTCTTGTTAGTATTATAAGGAAACCAGAGAACATTGTCTTTAGTTTTAGTCGAGTGCTTGTAAAATTATTTTGGGAATAAGCTGCAGTCTTCCTAATGCGTGGGAAGTCCACATCAGAGTTAATATACATCAGTTTTCAGCTTTCCAAAGCCATGTTCATTATCTCTGAACTTCAGCTTTAGCCAAATCAAATAAAAACTAGTACAAGTTGAGGGGCTGCAACTTTGCTATTTGCTTACTCAGAGTGATGCCTTACCATCGCTCCAATAACTGCCTTAATTGTTTTCTGGAAATAATGCTACCCCATCTGGTGGGATGTTTCTGAAGCATTAAGTGCTCCAAGGAAAAGAGCTTCTTTGCTTTACAGTAAGCGCGCTGCTGTCAGGAGCCTCACTGGCTGTTTTGTACTTCAGTTTGTGCTGCTTCCCAAGAGCTGAATGGAACTCTATTTTGTCATTTAAATCTAAAGAAGGCATTTGCACACTGATGATGTTATCTGAAGTTCTAATTTGTGCAAACATTGATCTGCTTTGAGCAGAAGAGAAATCTCCATTCAGACAGCAAGAACTGAGCTCAGATTAATAGTCAGGGGAAAGAACTGAAGCACCAGGAAGAGTAAGCTTTTTTTTTTTTTTTCATTTTAGGATGCTTTATCAGATTTTCTTTCCAGATTTATTTCTGCTCCAACAAAGAATATTCTTTTTGAGCTAAATCTAATTTGTGTATAAAAAATACACACCCATATTGATTTCACTCTGGTTTAAAATGGTATTTTTGCAGCGCAAAAATCTAATCAATACAATCTTATGAGTTGGACTGGTAATGGTAAACATACTAACAGATATTTCATTTCATGGGGCCAAAGCTCTGGAAATTGATACCACTGAAAAGGATTACTCATTCACCATTGGGTATAACTTTGTTTACCCAACCATGATATAGGTGTAAAGCAGAAATACAATTATGCTGTGGCCAACACACAGGGGGTTTTTGAATAGTAGAACTTGCCTTCCCCATTTCCCCTAAGGGCCATAGATCGTACAAGTTGGCAGATCAAATAAGGATATTGTGGGAAATCGTTTACTATAAATGAAAAAAAGTTTAATCTGATAGGGTAGAAAATTAGACTGACATAGTCGCTGAAGAAAAAAAGTCTCCCAAGCCAAGATCAACTTTTTAAAAATTCAGCTTTTAGAGGAGATGGATTTGTAGATCCTTGAACCCATGCTGCTTTTTTTTTTCCTCACACATGTATCTAAAGCCTTTGGTTTTGAGCGAGACATGCTACGCCTTTGGTTTTGAGCAAGACATGCTACAAGTGAAATTGTAAGACAGTAGTTGCCAGGGATTCAAATTGCAGCCAACAAGCCTTTTAACATGCTTAATCAAAACTGTAGCAATACCAAAGGAACTGTGTTTCACCATTTCTAGTGGGCTTAAGTGTGAGGAACTGAAAT
This sequence comes from Homo sapiens, assembly GCF_000001405.40. Taxonomy (NCBI): domain Eukaryota; kingdom Metazoa; phylum Chordata; class Mammalia; order Primates; family Hominidae; genus Homo; species Homo sapiens. The sequence continues at coordinate 124,609,618 of NC_000023.11, forward strand.
TAATCAAAAGATATAACCTGGACTTACCTCTGCCTCATGCTCACATAACTCTTGGTTGCCCCCACTGGAGTAAAATGTAGTGAAAACCTACAGTGCAGGAGCATACAAAGGGTTGAGACTAGAAGAAATAATTCAGCTAGAGTACAGAAAAAAGCACCATTGTCCCTAAATATTATGACCCTGGAATATAAGATTGATGCCTAAAGCCAAGGAGGCATGAATCTAAGGAAAACAGATGGCTATTGCTGTTAATGTACAGTCACCATAGGAGGTGGATACTAAAAATTCAGATATAGATTTTATGCTGGAATCAGCCAAGGGCAGTCTGGGCAATAACGATAATGCCTGTGAGTACCATGTTGTGATCGCTGTGGGTGACCAGAAGACAATAATTGATATTTCCTATAATCAATTTATAAGGGGGCCTTTCTCACAATAGCTCATAGTGCTTTCTAATTCACTAGCCTAGGTTGACATAGGCACAAAATCACTCCATTAGACGGAGAGGAGATAGGTAACTATTTTCATTTTGATAATTGGAAAACAGAGGCCCAGGCTAATTTGTCCAAAATCCTATAGCAATTTGGCTGTATTTCTTTGAACCCCTTCAGAAAGCTGACAATATATCAACTCAAAATATTATCAGATTCTGTTTATAGTGCAATAATAGGAAGTAATTCTTCCATGCAATACGTATTTATACAGCTTAGACAGTAGATGTTCAGTCTTTACCTTTGAACATACGAAGTCACTAAAGGAGGAACATAAGTTTTAAATATTCAAATTTCACTGCCTTTGGAATCTATTTTTCAGTAAATAAGTGTCATAATACAGAAAAGCTATGAATTCTACCTTAGTCTTCTGGTCTTTAACAAGTTTGCAAAGTGTATTGTCAACTCAACTCTTTGATTACAATAAGTATTGTACTTCTTCCTACTACTAAGCATGTGTAATCAAATATCAACAGGAAATGTTATTTCTTGGTGGGTCCTTATTAAAATGAATCAGTGAGATTTAGGTATAAACAGTGGCCTGAATAAGGGATGATACCTCCCTCCTTCATTCACACAAGATCTTTTCTGCCAGGGAGGTATTTAGATCTTTGTCCTCCCCTTCGTAGAAACTTTGAGGGTTATACTGGTTTGTAAACATCTATATTGATTATAGTTTCTAAAATGATATTATAATTAATTATTCTTTAATATCTAATAAATCACTTTATCTCCCAAACATGCTAGGAAGCATGCGACTTCCTTATTTATGCTTTATAGAGTAGGAAACTGAGGCTCAAAGAAATGAGGGATTTGACTAAAGTCACGGGTTACTCAGTAGCAGTGCTGGAACTAGATCTAGGACTCTTGACTCTTAGCTTCAGACTCTTTCCACTACAGCAGTGGCTTGATGGGACACTTGGACTAGTCAGTATAGGTTAGATTAGGTTGCAGATGACCCACCTCCCCACAAGATAATAGTGGGTGGAAACAACAGATGCTTATTTTTCATTCATGCTACATGTGCAATGCAGTTCAGAAGGTGGTGCTCTGAACACAACTTAGGACACTGTCATCTCAGCATGAAGCTTTTAGGGCCTTCCAAGGCAGGCTAAAAGAAAATGGAGATTTGTGCAATGGCTCTTAAAAGCTTCCACTCAGAAATGCTACACATACCATCTGCTCACATTTCATAGGCCAGAGCAAGTCACGTGATGATGCCTAACTGAAATGGCACTGTGCCCCAAAGGATAAAACAATTGGGATCTTGGTGAACACTAATATGTCTACCAGAATACTTTCCATTCAAATGAAGTCTTAATCAGAACCCCACTATATAAAATAGATATAAAGTAGGGAGATCCAAACCTACTTAACTTACTCCTTGTTTCTTTGGAAGCTCCTAAGGTACTTTTAAAGAACATCAGGATTCAGTGAACCCAATTCAAAATCAGCTGCCTCCAATATACAAAGAAAGCCAGCACACCAAATAAGTATCTTTATAGTAAAGATAAGAAGACCAATAATGTTTTTCAGGATCATGAGATAAAATAGAAGCTAAAGTGGGAACAGATCACAGAATGATCCATTCTTTATCTCTTGTTCTACTCACTAGACTTTGGTTCTCCCACTGTGATACAGAAAATCTTCAAGAATATTGTGACTTTTCATGTCACAATGTATTAGGTGCACATAATGCTACCCATAACGAATGCTAAGTCTCAAGTGCACAGCATGGTTCAGAAACTAATTTCTAAAGGAGGCACACAGTTTTAGATTCATTTTGAACTCCACAGCTGCCTCTTAGTACTAAGCAACTTGACTTGCATGCAAGAGTAAATGTTTTAATATAATATGCCTGTACATTTTCAGCCTTGCTGAATTTTAAAATATGATTTTTTCAGAAAACAAAAATTATTTTATTGGATTGTGGCTGGAAGGAAAATGATCCTTTTAAAGATGAGGAAGGTAATTCAGTATCACTAGTTTTTACGAAGAACATTTTCAATCAAGACAGAAAAATAAAAATATATGTGTATTTCAGGGATGCTTGTTTAGGCATAGAATAAATATGGTTAGAACAATGATTTCAAGGTGTGTGTGTCTGTGTGTGTGTGTACATGCATACATATGTGTGTGTGCTAGGGGACACATCAAAACCACTGGGGTGGCGGGGAGCTTTTCAAACTACACATACTCCACTACCCTCATTCTGATAACTCACCCCAAACTGAGAATCTGTACTTTAAAAAGTCACCATTACTTTTTATGAAAGGAGTAGCCTGTCATAGCCCTGAGGTGAGTTGGGTAGAATAAAAATGTTGAAATCTACTAGGTTGGAACAGTGTTCTGTACTATAAACATCTGTGGCAACATTTTTTTCTAAGAATTAAACCTAGAATTCTCCTTCCAGCAGTGTCACCCATCCCAAACTATGTTGATAACAAGCAAGCCATTTTTTTACCCAACAACAAATTCCCAAAAGAGAAGAGATTTCTTGTGCTATGCGTTTAAAATGACAACAGATCACATAACTACACAGAATAAAGATATTTTTGTTCCAGGCCTCCACATTGGGTAGGCAGAGGGGAGAGGAGAACCTATTAACCTGAATGACCTCCTTCTTTTCCTTGCTTTCTCCCTCCCTCCCTTCCTCCTTTTCTCCCAACTATCTATCTATCTATATCATCTATCTATCATTGATCATCTATCTATCATTGATCATCTATCTATCATCATCTACCAAAGCACACTCCCACATCAATTTCATGTTCACATGTGAATGCAAAGACTTTTCACATATAAGTATGCTGCTGATCATCCAGCAGATTAGTGAATCAATTTACCAGTCCTGCAATCTATTTTCTTCCCAGAGCTGGAAAGAAAATAAAATCCACATTAATTCCATCCTATGGATGGAACGTTACCTTTCATTGCCTTCTACAATGTGTAAAGTTCAGTGAAGGCCCTACCTCAAAGTTTCATTTTGGTGGTGAGAGGTACTATTTGAAATAAGGTTGCTATAGAAAGATGCTTCCTTCTGAGATGATGAACAACTGACATTTGTATAGAACTTTACCTTTTACAAAGCATTTTCTGATTAATTATCATAATGTCTCAAGTCATGTACATCAGCTTAAACTTCCCCTGTTTTCCAGGCCTGAGGCATTATGAGGAAAAAATAGAAATGACCCGGATAAGAAGTGAGGTTGTGAAAATCCAGGAAAGGGACAACTGCTGATCGCATTGTGTTTGGTTTTAATGTATATGTAAACCAAAATTATTCTGAATACAAAAAAAAAAGGAAGAACAGAATGGTTCCTCAAGTTCTCTTATATCAGCAAACTATTTAAAAAATCATGTCTTTGAAAATTTAGATAGAACCCAGGGACAAAATGAAGAGACAGTGGCAAATGGGAGATCCAACTATCATATGGGTCAGGAGGTTATAAAGTATTTCATTCTTCAAATTATTCTGGTGTCCTCTAAATATGTCCACCTCACCCTTTATTTCATTTCTTTCACTGCTTGGTAATATCTCATTTGATAATATCATGGGAATCTTTTCCTCAATGTTTTTTTCTACAGCTCTAGGTAGTTTTGACTTAAGTTAAAGATACTGAAAACTGTAAGAGAGTATATTATTTCTGACCCTAGCGTTGCCCTTAAATCTGTCAACTAGGGTCTATTTTGACCTATTTTAAATGGCATCATCTGGTCTTCCTTCAGCTACCCTCCTCTTTTGGGGTGAAAAGTCTACTGGGCCAATGGTATAAGCTTATCTGGAGTTTGCACTCCTGATCCCCAATAAGACTACTCCGTGGGAAGCTGGGTGCCTAGAATGCCCTGTCTACATGGCCCTAAGCCTACTTTCAGGGCCTATGGAGGACTCTGGCAAGTTTGGACTATGTTGCCGATATATGCGCCCCAAGGCTTGAAGGATAGCTAAAGGACAACTGTTTTCTGGGGGGGTTGGGGTGGTGGCGTGGTATGTCAATAGAGTTTGGCTGGTATGGCTGAGTCCATGTATATGAAGCCTCTCATAATATGGAACAGAGTCAGGGCTGGGAGGAGAAAGGGGTTAGAACATAGGCAGAAGGTCTCTATTTGTATTTTTGCTCTATGTTCCACAAACGTTAAGGATGGCCCTATCTGTACCAATTATATTTGAAAAGAATGCAGCTTTACGTAAAATTCTCTCCTGATATCCCCCTATATGAAATCTCAAAGTAATCTAGAAAATTGGTCATGGTATAGATCATTGCACCTAAGAAGTTAATACATCTACCTCCCAGGAAGCTCCATGCTATGCTCACTGGCTTATGAAAACAATCTTCTATTCTCCTATTTCTGGGTCATGCATGTAAAATAAGACTAGACTAAAATGGGGTGGCTGTCCATGGGATGGGAGATAGGAGGAGAGGAGCCAGGGTTTATTCAAGCTAGAAGTGGGGTTACCCAGACAACATTTTAGAAGTACTGAGTGGTAACAGGCTGGGCGTGGTGGCTCACGCCTGTAATCCCAGCAAGTTGGGAGGCCTAGGCGGGCAGATCACCTGAGGTCAGGAGTTCGAGATGAGCCTGGTCAACATGGTGAAACCCTGTCTCTACTAAAAATACAAAAATTAGCTGGGCGTGGTGGTGCATGTCTGTAGTCCCAGCTACTCGGGAGGCTGAGGCAGGAGAATCGCTTCAACCCAGGAGGTGGAGATTGCAGTGAGCGGAGATCACGCCAATGCACTCCACCCTGGGTGATAGAGCAAGATCTGTCTCACACACACACAAAAAAAGCAGCATTAAGTGGTAACTAGAAGGCAGAGCCAAGGATAGAGACCAGGAGGAATTGATCATGCTTCAAGAGCTAGGAACATGCCCAAGATTTAGTATCAGGCCAGTAACTATAAACTACCCAATATTATGCCTAGAAGCCATCTTCTCAACAGCATTCTTAATTCCTGTTTTTCCCACAAATGGAAGAAGACGGCAAAGTGTTTTGATGATAACACAAAGAATTTACGCTTACTTTTTAAAAAAATATGTAACCTTGGATGTAGAATGACAGGCAAAGTAGCTAAGTAAATGTTGGTTGAAGTAGCATTTCATGTCTACATCACAGGTGTTCCTGTATGAAAGTGTCTTGGCTTCAAACCCTGAGTTAAAAGACTTAAAATTCAAACACATTTATTGACACTCAAGCATGGTCCCAGTAATTAAACAGTCTGTGGAGGGCGAACTGTACTACCAATTCAAGAAACTTAGTATTTACTCTGGGTGCTTCATGACTGGGGAAATTTGAGCAAATCACTTATCTTCTCTGTGCCTTAGTTTCCTGATCTGTCAATTGTGAACAATCATTTCCTCACAGGTTGTTGTACCAAATATAATAACAATTGGCAAAGAGCATTGAAAAGTACAATGCCATACAAAAGTAAGGTTCCGTTATTTTTAGATGAAACATCTTACAAAAAGTAACAATTTATCCAAAACATCTTACAAAATCTAACAATTTCTAGAGAGTAACCTGGAAAAAGAATGATAATGCATGAATTACCTAAGCTTTTGTCCTTTTTCCTCTCTTTCTGTCTTGGTTTTTAGTAGTGAGATATATATATACTTCTATCACAGCTACTTGATGACTTTTGGATATAGGTTAACTTCTATGAAGTCTCGGTCACAGAGAAAATATTTTTATTGAGCATCTACTAGAGCCCTGTAATAAGTATTTTTACATGTTATGTCATTTCATCCTCAATCAAGTTGGTATTATTATGTTTCTTTAGGGATGAGGACATAAACACTTTTTTGCAGTGATAAGCTGTAAACACTCAGATCTGAACCAGCCACTGGTGGGGTCACACACACACACAAAAACTGTTTCAATGGAAATTACTTAAAGTATTCTTTAATCCTTGTCACTATGATAAGGAAAGAAATTAAACTGTCTTTGGTGTGACTTGCCAGACTTTGGTCATGTCTAAATGTTGCCTGCATGGCGCTACCAGCTCAGTTATTATATTGGATATCTGAATGGATAAATTGGCCACATATCTATTCTAATTGATACCACAGCAACTGGCTATTAATATGACCAAAAAGCCCCAAATCGACCACAAAATGGTCATTTTCAGGCGATGCCTGGACTTCTTATATGAAGAAGATGCTGAACATCTCTTTTCTGCGTTCTGAGAAGACTGAACAAAAGTTGATAGCCTCAAATTAAACTATATAAAATACTAATTAACTATCAGGAAGAGTAGAGACAGTGTTCTCAATGTGTTGTCCTTGTAATACCTGCATTACAATCACCTGGGTAGCTTGTTAAACATGCTGCTCTCTGATCCTCATTCCAGACTCCCTGTATTAGGCTTTCTGTGGGGAGGGTGGTGGCAGAAATCTGCATATGCAACAGGCACTCAGTTATGTCTACGAATTTAAGAAACACTGCTGTAGAATCTGTCCTCTTACAGAGCTTTAAGAAACACATTCAACAAGTGTATGTGTGCTTGTTCTTTGTAGGGTTCTATAGTAGAAATAGAACACATGGTCTCTACATACTGGACCCTCTAGAACTTGAGTTCTGTGAAGACAGGAAATGGGTTTGGAGTTTTTCACTATTGTATGTGCAGCATCTAAACATAGTGCCTGTCACATAGTATTTTGTAAATAGCTATAGAATGGATCAGTGGAAGACCTTACATAGAAAATTGACTTCATGTGAATGTACAGTAGAGAACTACAGCAATTCAAAGAAGAAAAAAAATGAAGGAAACTACCTGCCCAAGATGTGCCTATCTGAAGAAGGGAGACTACAAACATATATTAAGAGTCCTCTCCCCTTTTGCCTCTTGGTGCTAAGGAAAGAAAAGCATCTAACAAGGGTAAGTGATCTTTAGAAAGATGAAGAATCCACTGAGATTCCCCAGGATATGAAATTCCACTGTTATTAAGATCCTTATAGTCTTAGGCTGTTTTTATAATTTTAAAATTTCTTGTTGGCGGTATCAGTTTTGAGTGCTGGTACTACTGATGGTGTTAATTAAGTTTCCTTCTTTTAAGTAAAACTTAAGGTGCTTGGTATCTTGCCATATGCCCTAAAAGGCAATCCTGAATAGGTATCACTAAAGAGGAATGACAAAGTTGGCTTCAGACAAAAGGATCAAATGGATTTCTAATTGTCCCTCCCTAACTTTCATACCTGACTAGACTGAACAGTGCCAAGTATGAGGAAAATGATATATGTGTAATAAAGGTAGACTTTCCGGAGAAAGTTTATTTTTGAGGTAACTGGAGCTGAAGCAGAGGGAAATTGAGAATTGACTAGATATAACACAAAGAGGAAAGGGGGCAGGGAAGAGGTAATATTTCTGACCCTCCTGCCAGTAATATCAAGCAGCAAATGATCAAGTAAAGGTTGGCAGGCTAGCCTCCGCCTTGGAGGTTGCCTTGTTGTAACTCTAATACCTTTGACATATCCTGTCTCTCAAATCAATGAATGACTGCATTAGGCCCTTCTAGTTCAGCTTGGACTAGTTCCAGAAACCTAGGGGTTTCCATCCTGCTGCCCTATGATTTTTACTTTAAATTCCTCGGAGACTTGAATTAAGTTTTTCTTCCTGTTATGATAATGCTGTTTCTTTTTTGTTTTTTTCCCAGAAAGGAAACTAGTTCACCAGTTAGTTTTTCCCCTGAGTTCTTTTAGAGTCTATAAGAAATACTGAGATTCCGGGACAAAGAGACCATCTTTAAAACTTCACCAGAAGAGGCAAGAAGCTGTCAGTGAAATGAAAGAGAGGGTTAAATGAAGGGAAAAGAATACCCAGACTCCATTCATAGCCATAATAATCCTTAAGAACTTTCCTTCCTTTTCATGTCATCACAGAAATGTAAAATCTTTAAATAAAAATATAGACCTTAAGAATTATGAAATGTCAGTATACTTAAGTCAGTAGCATTCAAACTTCTTTATCCTGTGGAATTACTCCTAGTTGAAGGAATTCTGTAATTTTTCCCATTCCATCCTTCATTTTCCCACTTAATCAGAGAGATATGGTTAGACATTCACGCTGCTTGGACTGGGATGAAGCTTTCTGGAATATATTGGATTATCCATCCTATCCTTACAGATTATCATACTCCAAATTATTATGTATATGTACCTGTGTTGCTTTCTAGACTTTCTACTTTTCCATGATCTGTTTATTGAGGCATCAATACCAACTTGTTGTATTTACTTAAGCTTTATAACACATTGTGACACCTGGTAGGGCAAGTCCTCATTCATTAGTCAGTAGAGTTTTATATTTTTCTGCACATTTTCTGTTATTTAATGCTAAAATTATTTTACTTGGTTTTGTAAGCATGATTTTTTCCTGTTATATTTTCTGTCCCATTATTTTTTCCCATTATATTTTGTCATTATATTTTCAGCACATTTTTTGTATTATTTAATGCTAACTTCTTTTTTGTTTGCTTTTGTAAGCATTATTTTTTCCCATTACATTTTCTGTCTCCCTCCATAACCCTGTTGCCATCATTCTTTCTAGATCTGGCCACTCTTTTTCCTTGTCAAAAGCCACAAACATCTATTTTAACCAGTTGCCTTCATTTCCATATTACACACCTGTTTCCTAAGTTTTACTCATGTTTGTTTTTAATTACATGCTATTATAAGTAATTAAAAGTACATTCAAGACTGGGCACAGTGGCTCATGCCTGTAATCCCAGCACTTAGGGAGGCTGAGGCAGAAGGATCACTTCAGCTCAGGAGTTTGAGACCAGCCTGGGCAATATAGCAAGATCCTGTCTCTACAAAAAATTTTAAAAAGCTAGCAGGGTATGGTGGAGCACACTTGTAGTCCTAGCTACTCAGGAGGCTGGGGCAGGATGTTCACTTGAGCCCAGGAGTATCATGTTGTAGTGGACTATGATCTCATCACTGAACTCTAGTCTGGGTGACAGAGTGAGACCCTGTCTCTACAAAAATAAATAAAAAACAAAATAATAAAGATTTAATGCATATTGAATTGAATTGAAAAATACAATTCATATTGTAAAACTTTCTGCTATGAATAAAACAATAATATACCTTGAGCTGCCAATTGTAGTTCCTTCGTGAGACGGTAACCCCTAATATCTCTTTAATAAATACTTTTCTGTACTTTTTAATACATTTACATTAATAAATGCATGTAGATACATAACTAATTTGTGGGTATATTTTAACCTGAATGGTATAACATTGTTTATATTTTTCTAGAACTGGGAAATAGCTCCAAGACATATTGTTAAGTCCATATAAAATTAACTTGTTCTTTTAGACTGTTATGTAACATACCATCATAGTCTGGATATGTCCTATAGTTTAGCCCTTTACAAATGGATATTTAGATTGTTCCTAAACCTTTTTTCTATTGTAAACAATGCCTCTTTGTGCATATGTACCAGCATTTCTCTAGAATACTTCTTAGAAATGGAATGACTGAGTTGAGGCTATATGTATTTTAAGTTTTGATAGGTACTGATAAAATATTGTACCAATTTATATAACCACAATCAGAGTAAGAGTATACTTGTTTCTAGATACCCTTCACTGATGTGTCAATATGGAAGAGTGTAAAAAAGTCTCTTTTAAATTTTTATTTCCCCGATAACTAGTGAATCGAGCATCTTTTTCCCTTGCTATTTAAAAAACTATCAATATGAGTTTGAACAGATTTCAGAATGGCTCATAGTAAAAGGTATAATATTCAGAGGCCAGAGTTACACCATGTACTTACTCTGTCGGCATGGAACAAATGATGCAATCAAAGGACTTGAACTGACTTCAAGAGTACAATCAGCCAACCCTTCTGCAATCAGGAGACTGCCTGGATTGTTCCTAAATCCTTATAGGCAGATGAAAAATTGCTGTTCAAATCCTCTAAAAAGGAAATGGCATATATGCCATCATAAGCTATTCTAATTTTTGAATTATTCTCTCTCCCAAATGAAATTCTCCCTTCTAGCCAAACTTGATTTCTCTGTATATTACTTACTTCTTTTCTATTCTTTAAAGAATGGGAGAAGACCTGGTCACCATACCCTATCTTAAAGCTTTTCAAGTACTTGAAGATTATTACTAAGTCTCTTCTGAACTCTCTTTTCTCGGAATGAATGGGGGCCTCAACCTGTCCTCAATAATGTTTTTGACCATGATTTTAAATTATGTTGCTTTCTACATTCCAAATCCTCTGAGTCCTTAATACAAAAAAAGAGTAAAGAAGGAAAAAAAAATCTCCCAATTTAGCAAAAAACACTCTTGATATTTTGGCATCTTTCCGTTAATTCTGTACACTACGCACCTTGTGGAGATATTAAATACACATTTTAGCATACTTTTAGACTTCCTCTGCCTTTAAAAACTTTCTAATGTAAATTAAAAATTATTCACAAATATTTGTAATAGTTATATAATATTCCAAATGCACCCTAATTTACCTAACCATTCTGATTCTGTTGCACACTTAAGATGTACCTGACTCCTTCCTACTTTGAATAATTGCTGTGAATAACCAAATTGCCAAACTTCTATCTAGAAAAACTAGATGGATTACTACAGTATTCTGTTTGTATATCTCATTCATGTAACGCATAGGATTCAGCACACAGTAGGGGCTTAATATATTCTTGTTGTCTTACATAGAGCCTGAGTCAAGTTTTCTCCAGAGCTGAAATGATTCGTCTTATCTTATGGAAATAATTATTATACATGATTAAGGCCACAACCAAACAATGTACAAAATATCACCACTGTGTCACTGAAGAATACAGGAGTTACTTAGAAGAAGGGAGTGGATTATATCTTGTCATTCCATTTAACAAGGAGTTACTTAGCGGCCCAAAGAGATAGGAAAAGAATAAAACAGAATTATAGGCACCTTCACCGTCAGAGACTGGGTTCAATCCATGTAATAGAGAAATCTAGACACAAGTTGAGTATCCCTTATTCGAAATGCTTGAGACTAGAAGTGTTTTGGATTTTGTACGTTTTCAGATTTTGAAATATTTGCATAAACATAATGAGATATCTTGAAAATGGGACCCAATGCAGGGTGCGGTGGCTCATGCCTGTAATCCAAGCACTTGTGCAGGAGGCGGGCGGATCACATGAGGTCAGGAGTTTGAGACCAGCCTGGCCAACATGGTGAAACCCTGTCTCTACTAAAAATACAAAAAATTAGCCGGGCATGGTGGTGGGCACCTCTAGTCCCAGTTACTCGGGAGGCCGAGGCACAAGAATCGCTTGAACCTAGGAGGCGGAGGTTGCAGTGAGCTGAGATCACGCCACTGCATTCCAGCCTGGGTGACACAGCAAGACTCTGTCTCAAAATGAAAACAAAACAAAACAAAACTGGGACCCAAGTCTAAATATGAAATTCATTTATGTTTCATACACACCTTATACACATAGTCTGAAAGTACTTTTATATAATATTTTAAATAATTTTCTGCATGAAACACAGTTTTAACTGCATTTTGACTGTGACCCATCACATGAAGTCAGGTGTGGAATTTTTCACTTATGGTGTTATGTTAGTGCGCAAAAAGTTTGAGATTTTGGAGCAGTTCTGATTTCAGATTATGGATGCTCAACTTGTAATGTTGAAAAAGATTTCATAAATCCCCTCTCATGTAGGGAAAGCTGGTGGTGAATGTTTTTAGCATTTAGCAAAAACTGGAGATATTTCCAATTTTAAAGTATTTGGCCCTGATACTAAAAATGGAGAAATGCTTTGTGCAAGCTAGCTTACAACTGAGCATAGTCTGAATAAACAAAAGATCCAGACAGGTGAGGATGCGCTTGAGTTTATTTGTGTTGTAATTTGGACTACTTAAAACATACCTCTTATTTAATTTTGTCCTACTAAGTTTTGGGTTATGTATGGCAGATTGGCACTATTTCCATTTTTTAAACAAATAAGTTATTATCAATTAAGTAACTAGCTACATGTCTCAGAAATTATTTTTAGGTTACTTTTCATTACACTGCTAGCATCAGAACAAGAAGGCCACTTTCCAGATAATTACAACTCCCTTTCCTCCCAAATCCAGTTAAACTAGAAATATTAGATTGAACTTTGTGAAAATATCACATTCATAGGTCGAATATCAGCAATTTCATACAGTTCAATCTAATATTAGGGGTGGGAAAAGAGGGAGAGACGCATAGCCTGACCATTTCCTCCAGTCTAGTGTCAACCGCCAGCTTCATTTGCAAAACGCTCACAAGGTCAAGTCTTGACAAGACATGCAAGACTTTTGTTGAATGATGCTCTCACAATGATGTGTCTTTCTTTTAAGTGAAAGAAATACCCAAGCTAGAAATCAAAACAGAGTAGCAAACTGTGTGCGCGATTCAGTTTTCAAGAATATTTTAAGTTGCATATGTTTTCTTTTCATTGACAATCCTTACCCTTGCCATATCAGGATGACTGACACTCTTAATTTGCAATTTCCTAAATTTCAAGAGGGTTTTTTCTTTTTGATTGCTATATAATGGTTTACCTAATTATTTTTTTTTCAAGTTACAGTTTCGGATGTTTAATTTCAAAATCAATTTGAGATGTCTTGAGCTCCATTAATACACTGTGATATTGCTTCACTCATTTTCTAGCAAAGCACTTACTTTAAAAAATGCATCATTCTAATGATTTTAAATTACTCTACAGTGCACATACCAATTTACAACTATTACAAAATTTTACATTTTTTCCCAAAGCACTTCACATTTAAAGATGTTCTGTATTTCAAGACAGAATGAGAGAGAGTTAACTTTTAAAGGGCATGAACACAATTTAGGGCCTTTAAAATTTTCTGCCCTCTCTGATGTAGAATGTAACCTAAGTAAATAAAATTTTAAGTGTTCAGTGTGCATATAACATCAGCTTAGGATGAGGACATTATTATAAAATAATTTTCTTTTTATTCAAACTAAGGACAATATTCTTTATAAATGGAAACAAACCCATTGTGTGTATGTGTGTAAGAGCAACAATCTGTTAGTGTGTCAATTTATGTGTAAATATGCATGGGTGTATATGAGTGGGTAAGCATGGGCTTGAATGTGTGCATGAACGTGCAACAGTGTGTGTATATGTGTGATTGTGTGAGTGTGCATATATGTGTGAGTGTGCAAGAGTCTGAGTATATGTGAATGTGAGAGTGTATAAGGGTTGTTTGGGTGCATGTACATGAGTGTGTGCATGAGTGTGTTTGGGTGTATGTGTGTTCGTGTATTCGCTTGACTTTGTGATAGTGTGTTTGACTGTATGAATATGCAAGTGTGAATCTTTCTGTTTCAAATACATGCTTGGAGATCAAATGTTATTTGTACTTTTATTTAGGCAGTCATTAGAGTGTGCTCTAAGAATTACTTTACTAACCTCAGAATAAAATGAGGGAAATGAAGCACCTCCCAACTGTATCTATAATACATCTATAAGATATTTGCATTAAACACACACACACACAATTTATACCTTGCTTGAAATTTGCAGGGAAAAAATAGCTATATTCAAAATCTGCATCTGGTAATATCAGTTTAATAGATGTAAATCAGCTGCCAAAGTTGGGAAACCTTCCTTCCTCATTGCCCTTTAAAAACATTTTTGATTACTTTATTCTCTCAGAATTCTTCATTCACAGTGACACATGCCACTGTCAAAGCGATTGAGGATACTTTGGGATTAATATTTAAAAGACTATAATTATCATCTGTTTTCGCCCCAGACCACCCTTGAAGTTGCAGAGAGCACTAGGCACATTTCTGGAATGAGCCTGATGCTCATTCATTGATATAACATTTTCCTTTTGTTGGTTAAAACATGCTGCTCTAGAAGGTAGAGGCAAAGCCCTGGGGGCCAAAGCTACCATGTAATAAGTGCCAGGCTCAGGGCTAGAATCTTTGCATACATTATCTCATTTAATCTTCACTACAACCTTGCAAGATAGTGTTAGTACCAGTTTTCAGAGGAGGTGCTGTGGCTCAGAGAAGTTAAATGACTTGCTTAAGGTCATGTAGCTAATTAGGAGAGAGGCTGGTATCAATTTTGAGTTTGTCTCACTCTAACACTGTATTCTTTGAATTACGCCATGCTGAAAGGTATGACCTTCCTAGTATTTATATCTTCCCTCACTGGGAATGGGGTTTCTTTGCCTGCCTGCTACTCTCTGCCCCTCAATTGTCTTCTCTAACAATCCCTAAAAACTTGGTTGATGTCAAGTTCAAATCTACTTTAGAGGCAATATATCCAATTTATGAATCATACTTCCGATGTTAAGATTCACTATGTACTTATTTTAGAGTATACTGGCTTGGTTAAAAACTCACTACTGTCTGTGTAATAGACACTATTTGCTCAATAACTATTATGTGCCAGAGGTTTTACACATATTACACCCATTTTACAGATATGGACAATGAAGCTTCAAGAGGTTAGGTAATTTGGTTAATGATACAGAAGCAGAACCAATAAAGTCTACATCCCTGCTGACAGTCCTGTATAAGCTTCTTTGGTTAGATCTGGGTAGGTCAATAAATCTAATGGAGCCTCAGTTTCTTCATTTATAAAATGGGGATAATGGTACTCTCACTGCAGGAGTTATAAGGATGAGAAAATATACATAAAATGTCTAGAACATATTAGATAGTTAATACATGATAGCTATTATCTGAGCCATTATTGTTAATGATGAGTATGGGTTTTAGCATTAAATAAACTTGGCTTCAAAAGCTTTGCCTCCTACTGGCTATTTGATTGAAATCTGCTGAATTTCTCTAAGTTTTCATTTCCTCATCTACAAAATGAAGGTAGCATTTTACAGCACCTTTTCCTAAAGTATACTCCAAAGAACACTGCTATCTGCACACTATATTTAAAAATGTGAGGTGATAACTGGGTTTCCTGATCAAAGATCCATGGGAAACTCTGGTAAACAGATTTCCTTATACAGGGCTTTTTTTAGTATCTCTAATACGGGAATGTGCTTTGTGAATTTCCAAGTGGGAGCTAACATATGCAGTGTTTTTCCCTTTCATTATACTATAAAAATGCATTTTTATTTTTCTATAATATCTTGCAATAAAAGGATTATATAGAAGATACTTTGGAAAGACTGATTTGTCCCAAAGATTAAATGGATAATATTTGTAAAGCACATATATAGTAAGAGCTCAATAAATGCAACAGTATTATTATTATAATTACCATAATCATCACTATAATCATTAAGAAGGGATTAGAAAGAATAAGTTTAAGAGGTCTACTATGCATCATGGTGACGACACTTAATAACAATATATTATATAATTGAAAATTGCTAAGAGTAAATTTTAAGTGTTCGCATGAAAAAACAAAATAAGTGTGTGATTGTATTAGTCCATTCTCACACTGCTATACTTGAGATTGGGTAATTCATAAACAAAAGAGGTTGAATTAGCTCACGGTTCTGCAAGCTGTACAGGAAGAATAGTGGCTTCTGCTTCTGGGGAGGCCTCGGGAAACTTACAATCATGGCAGAAGGCAAAGGGGGAGGAAGGTGTCTCACATGGTGGAAGCAGGAGCAAGAGAGAGGGAGGGGAGAAAGGCTGCACACTTTTAAACAAGCAGATCTCATGAGAACTCACTATCACAAGAGCAGCATCAAGGGGATCATGCTAAACCATTCATGAGAAATCCAACCCCATGATTAGAGAAGCTCCATCAACCAGGCCCCACTTCAAACACTGGGGACTGCAATTCTACATGAGATTTGGTGGGGACGCAGATCCAACCCATATCAGTGAGGGAATACCTATGTTCAACAGCTTGATTTAACCATTCCACAATGTATATATATGTCAAAATATCATGTTGTATACCATAAATATATACAATTTTTTACTTGTCAATTAAAAAATAAAATTTAAAAAGCCTACCAGAGTGTCGGTGATCTGAGTGAGAAAAGGCATGTCTAATACACCCCTAGGAGTAGGGGTCTACAAACTCTATAGCCAGAGGATTTCCTTTGCCAGATTAGGGCGAGCTACTCCAACGGAGGTAGAAGCTTCAGCAGACAACCTACCACATAATTCCATTGAATGTATGTATTTATTAAAATAGAATTTTTAGAGCCACCAAAAGGTTCTTTGATAACTAAGATTTTTTTTGAAACTCCTCAGGTTGGAATTCCACAGGCAAGCACTCTTATTGTATTGCACTTTCTGATTGGTTTTAATGTTCTCATACGATCTTGTTTTTAGCACAGGTATCTTCCCGTGTATGAGTTTTGTCTCTTTCCCTCTCCACTTATCTAAGAAACAACAGCCACCATAAAACTTGACAGATGTCAGGTGGACTGCTGCTGAATGCCTGACTCATACAACTGGATGATCTTCCTTTTGGTCCTGATTCAGTTTCCCAGCAATCTAGAAATGATTTGCCTTTGTTCTTGTATATCTCCTGCCAAGGTGCACATAGTTTGCTTAGATATATGGTCCTTTTAAAATCATCTTTAAACTTTTATCTATTACCTGCTCCTTATGGTAGAGTTAATCATTCCTTGGGAGCTGAATTTCAGAATGGTGGTGGATCCTATTGCTTTCTACCAGAAGTCTTAAGGGACTGTGTGAGTTGCTTTCCCATGAAGCAGTGTTTTAGAGGGAGATGCAATAACCCAAAAGGAAAATTCCTCACACAAATAAAAATGTATTTATACACCAATCCTGCTGATACTGAATAGTAGGATGTGGGATAAATCTGTAAGAAAGTTTGTCTGTATCTAGCCTGGTGGCAAACATTATAGATTTTACTTGCTGCATAGGACTATTGACTAGGATTAGATTCTCCTCTCTAACTACCCATCGTTAAGATGGATATTCTGAAAAAGGTAGACATTAATCATTTCTTCACTATTTTGATCCTTGGTATAGCTGTTCCAGAGCTATGTTTGCATTTACATTTTGATTTACTATGTAAGGAGGCTGAGAGGTGGTGATGGATTGAGAGGCTTTCACACACTATGGGCATTCCATTGACTCCCAAGGACCATTTCAACCCTGCCCTCATGTGCCTTAAGTGAGGGGCAGCTCCCATTATGGATGAATTGCTGCTAATTAAAATGGATATATACACTCTGTCCTACTGTCATAGTATGTGGTTTGATAAGAATGATGGGCAGAGAAAAACAAACAAAAAAATTCTGGCCAAGTTAATGTGGTGACTAGCAAAAATAAATTTAGAAAAGGCCATTTGGATTTTATCAGAGTCAAGTCTATATATGAAAAGCTTATTGCTAAGTAAAACCTCAGATTTAATATGACCTCGTGGGAAAATGTGAATTTGGCCGTTGCATCCCCTAAAAAGGCCAGGCTCCGTGGCAGTTACACAAGGTATGGATTTGGAGAATGAGGTCATGGCAGCTCAGATGCCAACTGACAGCTTGGTGATCCCGAGCCACCTCTGTCCATGTCCCTTATACAGCACACATGATTTTTTAAACACACAAGCTAAATAAAGCATCAGAGGAAGACTTCATGGTGGGAGAACTATTCAAAGACTATTCTAAATGATAAACTCTAATCCTTACCAGTTTGTTTATAGTTATTATCTCCATAGGTCTTCTGGCTGGCTGGACCCAGAGTGTGTCTAACTCATTTTATGACATTAAAATTCTGCTCTCTCCAAGTTACAAACCTATTACTTTATTAGACATTTTATCTAAAGCATATGCTGGCTTCCTTCTTGAGAAACCGAAAGCCTGAGTTTCCCCAGCCTATATTCTATATAAGAAACAGGTTATCGTTAGGTATTTAATTATTCCACTGTCATTTCATATTTGTATTCTTTATCATCTTGTGTAGAGCTCTGAGTATTAACAACTTGATGTTCCTCTTGTCTTAGGAAATATAAATATATTTATTCCTTTATATTTCCTGGATACGATTTTATTGTCATAAACTAGAAGTAGATTTAAAATGGTTACCCTTGCTGTCTTATTATTGCCAAAAAGGATTGTTAGTCAGTTACATTAAGACTCAAATAATCATTTTTGGTAGACCTTCTCCATCTTTAATCCACTTTGTCAATAATTTCATACTGCAAGTTAACTTGTTTAGTTACCTTGGCGTTGGAATAGAATCAGTTTAATTTGGAATATATATGTAGTTACATTTTCCAGGCTAAACTTGATACTGCCATATGCTAAAGCACTGCTGCCCAAGAGAAATATAATGTGAGCCTTAAGTGCAAGCCACATATATTATTTAAAGTTTTCTAGTAGCCACATTAAAAAGTAAAACAAAATTATTTAGTAAAAATTATTAAAATTAATTTAAATAATATATTTTATTTAGCCCAATATATCCAAAATATCATTTCATAATGTAATCAATATAAAAATTAATAAGGAGATATTTTAATTAATCTTCCATACAAGTCTTGAAGAGGAGCTAAAGGAGAAGTGTCTCATTGGTTTCAATGAAAAGAAAAGTTTTATTTTAATTGAGCTATGAGTTTGTCTATCTTGAGGACACTGTGAATTACATAATTGATCATTTTTCCCTCTTGTGTTGGCTAAGAGGGAGTTAGAAAGCTACAGTACAATTAGACATTACTTAGCTATGCACATGACTTCCTTAAATAAAGATTACATTTCTCACTTCCTTTACAGCTAGGTGTTTTCACATGACTAAGTTATCGATCAATAAAATGTAAGTGAATGTTTCTGGCAGTAGCTTCAGTGAGGTCTTCTTAAAAGAAAGTAGAGAAGTCCCTTTGCCTCGTCATTTCTTCATTTCGCCTATAGTGAGGATGTAATAGCTAGAGCACTGGCTCCCACCGTGTACTATAAGGGTAAGGGCTCCATCCTAGAAATAGTACAGTGGTGAGCTGGAAGAAGCTTTCTTTCTGAAGTCACCATACAAGCCCTGGACTGCCTGCCTCTAGATTTCTTTTGCCTAAAATAAAATAATACTTCTATCTTGTTTATCTCTTTTTTTCCCCTTGGGGAGGTACTTCCAATCACTGAACTATAATCTTAGTTGACACATCAGGAATGTAAATTTTCCTTGAATGTGATTTTATAATAAACAGCATGGCTCAAAGTAAAGGTAGTGAAGAGGCAGAATAGCTACTTGTTAACTGACTTTCCAGTAAAACATATATCTGTATTCTGCAAACACAGGAAACAATACCATTTGGATAGTGACAAAAGAACATAAAGACTTTGGAGTAGAAAGAATTTTCATACTTCTTCAAATTAATTCAGCTTTACAGTGTTTAAAGATGAATTTCCTTGAGATTTATCATCTACTAATTTATCTTCTACTTACAAAAGATTTGTCTTTGAAATGTGTCTTTACATTGAGAATTGACATACAATGCCAACAATAGCTACAATCTATCATTATAATTTAGTGCCCACTATGGGAAAAGCATCATGCTATGTGTTGCACATATGTTATCTCATTTAACCCCTACAACTATATTACAAAATATTAATTATTTCCCTATTTTACAGGAGAGGCTCAGAGAATCCAAGCAACTTACTCAAGGTAATACAATAACTTGGAAACAGGCCTGGGATTTGAGTTCATTTCTGTCTGAATTTTTCCATGCTGAATCTCTGACAACTTTTATAACATTCTGATAGTCAAGAAAAAGGTCCCAGGATCCTTCCCCATATATGCTCATTGCCAACTTTCTAGAGATTCAGTGGAACTGTTGACAATGGGTAGAATCTGTTAAATTTATAGAAGGCTCTCTGAATGGTATATTGGATAAAAGATCTAAACCAGAAATCACAGTACCTGTTTTTCATACTAACTACGTGCCTAATGAGCTATATGACTGTCCATAAGTCATTTGACCTTTCTGGAACTCAGTTTCCTCATCTATAAAAGGAAAGGGCAGAACTAGGTGGCATCTAAAATCTCATCTATTGTCAATATTCTATGATTATGACAAGTCTGTCAAAAAAAGAAATGAACAAAAAGAAGACTGTTGGAAAAGAAAGTAGGCAATCATATTTAGAGTGCCTTAACTTTCATTGCTTGATATGCAGAATTCAATTTAAAAAATGAATGAACCTTCAATATCTTTCTTGGTAAAAAAGAAAAAAACTGAATGAACCTAGCAGAGAAGTGTGGGAAGCTTGTTTTGATTGTTGAAACTACTTATTCTTGACTCCACTATTAACCTCACTGACTTTAACTGCTATGGTTCCTGAAATGTCTTTTGAGCAATATTTCTTAGAACATTCTTTGCTAGCATGGAATAAGCTCTTCTAGTTTTGTGGAACTGGATCTAATATTGTTACCCATACCTTAGTAGACTACATTCTTAATTTTACTGGAACTTAAGTTGTTTTATCCACTTAGAGGAAAAATGCTAATCACTAAAAATGAATTGAAATGTGAATTTAGGTTACAAATAGTTTGCAGATGTGTAAATTGAGACCCATAGTGGTTCACGTGCCCAAGATTATATGGAAAGTCAGAGCTGTGCCAGGACATGGGTCATCTGCTGATTTGAGTGACCCAGAGATTTCATGAGGGTCCAGAGTGAGCAAAAGTTTTTAGCTACCTTGGGCCTGTGCAAGATTAGGGATATATATTGGGATATATATCCAATCTGGAAGAAAATGCGTGTTGCAGAGACATAGTAGAAGAAAATGATCTGTCTTAGTCTTGGGTCTATGAGGATGTTAAATATCAAGCCTCCTCTGAGACCTCATGGCCACTAGCCAGGTTTCATGTGGGTTTAGGGTTCGTATTTGTACTCTTTATTTGGCCTAAAGAATTGCAACATGATATTTTAAAGTTTACGCTGATTTGTAGCGTAGGCAGGTTTCTGACAGAAACAAATGTAAATCCTCACCAGAAGAATACTTTCTTCATACAGGACTTAGAGAGATTTCCAACCTGTTTGAGCTCACAATTTAAGAAAGCCAAAAACAAGAATGCAATTAATATCCAAGAGTTCAAAGAAGTAACAAACCATAGACCCACATCCACAAAGACTTCATATGCTGTATTTATCAGATACTGTATATAAAATAACCATGTTTCATGTAACCAAAAACACAATTAAGATGCAAAAAATTACCCAAAATAATGAGGCATATTTTTTTTAAAAAACTAAGTAAATATTTTAGAAACAAAAAGTAATCATTGAAATGAAAAATTAATAAAAGGGTTAAACATTACAATAAGCATAGCTAAAGAGAGATTTAGTGAGCTAGAAGATAAATACGGAGAAATTGCTTATAAGATAACAAAGGGAAACAAAGATAGTAAGTAAGAAAAAGGAGTAAAGGACATGGAGGCTAGAATGGAATGGACAGTCTAAGGGAACTTCCAAAAGGATACCAAAAGGGGGAAAATCAAGATTCAAAGAAATAAGGACTGAAATTTTTCTATAATTTATGTGAGACATGGGTTCTTATATTCAAGAAGCTCAGCAAGTCCGAAGTAGGATAAAAATAATGAATCTGGCTGGATGCAGTGGCTCGTGCCTGTAATCCCAGCACTTTGGGAGGCTGAGGCAGCCGGATCACAAGGTCAGGAGTTCGAGACCAGTCTGGCCAACATAGTGAAACCCCATCTCTACTAAAAATACAAAAAAATTAGCCAGGTGTGGTGGCATGTGCCTGTAATCCCAGCTACTTGGGAGGCTGAGGCAGGAGAATCACGGGCGAAGGTTGCAGTGAGCTGAGATCAAGCCATTGCACTCCAGCCTGGGCGACAGTATGAGACTCTGTCTCAAAAAAAAAAAAAAAAAAAAATCCATACAGTTTTTTTTTTTTTTTTGACAGTCTTGCTCTGTCACCCAGGCTGGAGTACAGTGGCGCAATCTCGGCTCACTGCAACCTCTGCCTCCCGGGTTCAAGCAATTCTCCTGCCTCAGCTTCCCGAGTAGCTGGGATTATAGGAGCATGCCGCCACACTCAGCTAATTTTTGTATTTTCAGTAGAGACAGGGTTTCACCATGTTGGTCAGGCTGGTCTCAAACTCCTGACCTCATGATCTGCCCGCCTTGGCCTCCCAAAGTGCTAGGGTTACAGGCATGAGCCACCACGCCCGGCCCATACTGATCTTTAAGAAAGGATATTGGGGTGTGAATTCTACCAGTGGCCTCAACTCTGAAGCATACACAATAAAGTAACTTGCCCTGCCTCTCAAAGTAAAGGAGTTCATTCAACTCTAATATGAAGAAACTATTACTTACCCTACTCATACCGTGTGGGTGTTATGAGACTAATAGAAACATTTTTGCTAGGATACTGGAAATTTGGTAGCTGGGGTACAAGTCAAGTTCTTTATAGCAGACTCAACTACCCATTCAGAGTCTCTATGAGCCTGACCTTAACAAGTTTCTAAGTGAAAATTTATTGTCCTCACTCTTTACTGAAGAACTAATTTATGTCCTTCCCATCCCTCTTCTCCTTCTCTCTAATGATTCAGGGAAATATATATGTAAATCAAATCTCTGGAACAGTCCTGTAGGTATTTTGTATCATCAAAGCTCAATATGCAATCCAAACTCTAATAATGACCCTGGATCATGGCCATAATGATGAAATAAAAAAAAACACTGGTATGTATTTGGAGAAAAAAAATAAAACAATCAGATAAATGCAGGATATTTTTATTACAGGAATAGTATCATTCAGCTTATTTGGGGTAAGCATATGGGGTACTCTTCTATATCTCCAATCACCTGATTTTGGAACACAGGATTGGGATAATTTATTCTGATCCTTCCCCATGGCCACTAATTTTTACACAATTGAATTATGGCTTCCTTCAACCTCTCTCAGCCATCTCCACCACAGAGCCTTTCTACTTTATCCTCCCCTGTCAGAGAATTTCCATGGCAGCAGGGCAAGCTGTAGTGGTAGACACTTTCTCCATAGGATCTCTCATATACAGGGACAGACACACCTTGTAAATACTTCCTTTTGGGATCTATTGTCACTTCATATAGCTAAAAATGAATTGAGAAAAATGACAAATAGCCAGTGAATCTAGAATTCAGAATAAGAGTTGAAGGAAGGGGAATAATGAAACACAAGATTTACCTGTTTTCTTTTGACATTTCCATTGGTCTGTCCAAATGGATTCTTACTGTACTGTACTTTATGTAAATAAACATGCACTCAGGTTTACTTACATTTTCTTGCTTCACAATTGCCATCTTATTTAAATATATGTCTCTGGTTTGAAAAATAGTTTTAAAGCTTTAATGGTTTGGAACAGTTAGTAGAGTTAGCTCAGACTTATAGAGAGGCAGCCGCAAACTTACCTTTTACTTCAAACTTGTCAAATTGTCAAAAGTTTCACTATATATTGCATTGTTGCCTGCTAATAATGGTATAACGTGTGGTTTTATTGTCTCAGAACAAAAATGTAAAAGATGTCTTTGAAAACATTTGATATTTGATGTGCTTTAAATTGCCTTACAATCTTAAATTACTATATATATATATAATTATAAAATCTTATGGCCATTAAATGAACTTTTGTATAAAGATAAAGAATTTTTGGATCTGAGACTATTTTGTGGTTCAATTTCTACTTTCATTTGGGCCAAAAAAGGCCTGGGGTGACAAATCATCTCTGAGTCGGATGTATGGCTATGATACCACTATAATAGTGTGATTTTTTTTCCATTTCATATCTACCTCCCAAAGATATTCCTGTAGATTCAGTCTTACACACTTAATTTGACTTGGAATTGTCTTAAGGATGCTTTTGAATTGTATTTCTAGTGCCACCAATGAATTTCATTTACTTCAATAATCTAGAGTTAATGTTTTAATCTCACTGTAATGTTAATGAAATAGCTACCATGTTTTATGCAGATGCTTGTTTTATTTAACCAATCAAATCAGAGTCACCTTAATGTTTATCTTTTATTTTTTTACTGAGTAGAAAAAGAATTATTTAAAAATAAATGTGAGCACAGGTTGTCATACTTTGAATATCAAGATGAAAATAATGAAGCCTGCATATGAATTAGGCATAAGCTTTTTGTCTTTTATCCACTAAAAAGCACTATAAATCCTCCTATCATATTTCTGTGACTACCTATATTTCAACTTTTTTATTGCCCCATATGATCTGCAGAAATGAACTTTAAGTCCAGGGAATTTGTAGCATTATGATAATATTAACATTATTGCTAACTAATAGAAACTTTTTTTTTCTGAGAACTCAGTTACTATTTCTAAGAAACCCAGGTGTGTGTCCAAAGCTGCAGAGAAGAATGTACCTGCAATCGTAGGTTCCTAATATGGTGACATTAACTGTCTCTTTGTCTACTGAAGATGCTAAATTCTAAATATCTTATATGTGAGTGGGCTTTTCCCTTCAGTGGCATGATGAATAGCTGCGTAGTTATCCTCATGGTGTTTGCATTACATTTTGAACAAAGATTCTTTAACAGATGGCATGTATGAGCCTGCTGTAACTGTTATGTGTAAAGGAAAAAAAAACACTGTGTACACATGAATCATTTCATAAGACCTAATAAATTCCTAGAAATTGCAGTAAAGTGATGCATTACATGTGCTAGACACGCAGAGTCATGTGAAAAATCTTTTGATTACTGGCACTTTCAATAAACGGGAGAACTAATAATGTTTTTAAAGCATATGGTACTTGTATAATCAAGGAAAGTTTCCTCAGCAACAACAATTATATAAACCTCTTACAACCTCCTCCTCTAATTATCTGTTTTATTAGTAGATGCATATCGTCATCCATTAGGGAACACTTCAAAACGTAATGAGACATTGTTATAATGAAGATATACACACATACACATGTTTATGTGTGTATGTATGTGTATCTCCATACATAAAGGGAAATCATCAAATAACATAGTCTATATATCAAAATGTGGATGTCCTTATAATGAAAACAAAGCTATTTACAATTAATAAACTCAAGAGAGTTTATGAACTAAATCTATGGACCATTCATAATCAGTGTCAATAGTTCAATATACAGTATTAAGAATCATAGATCTCAGTGTTGGAAAAGACCTCATGGGCCATTTTGCTAATCTTCCACTATTTCACAAATGAGGTGGCTAAGACTAAAAGAAATTAAGTTATTCATGGTCACTGTGTGTGAATACATGCACACCCACACATATACTGATATCTTTCTGATGGACAAGGTGGACACATGTCATAGGATAGTGTAAAAAGAAATATCCTTATAACAAAGCCTTCTGACATGTTAAGGAACTAACGTTCCTTAGAAGGGGCACATCATGATAATACCTTATATGATTTCTGCTGAATAGCAAATAGTATGTTGAAAAGAACCTCCAGGCCTAATGCTTCACATCTCTCCAGCTGATTAACCCACTTCTAAGATACAGCATAATCAGAGAGGATTGTAGCAGAGAAAGGACAAGAGTTGGCCTCTCTATTAAATGCCTACCACTTATAAATTTTGCTGTCAGTTATTTGCAAGTAATGATAGAGGGAGTGGTTCAAAGGAGGTTTCATCAAGAAGAGAGTAGTACAAAGTTCTAAACTGCTTTTATGCTCTCTTTCAAAGACTATGTGACCAGGACAAGTCAGATTTTACAAAAGGAATATAGCAGATACATTGTGCAATGCTGATCTCAGAGGCTAGGGCCAATACCCTTAGAATAGGCTAAATGTATTACTGAGATTTCATGATAAGGAGTTATGTTTTAAGGGAGCATGATTTGACCTGTAGTATATCCAAATCTAAAGTATATTATAACAAGCTGCTATTGTATTCCTCTTCAGGTATTTTTAAAGAATGAGTTAACCTTTGTGAAGTGTCGTGAGGCCATCAGGTTAAAGAAGCCTATATCAAATATCATTTTAGAGCTGTTAACAATACTCAATGTACCTAGAAATACAGACTGAAAATAATCAGTAAACCATTCACTATAGTCCCCCTGGTATCAGAGCAGCACAGTTAACATGCTAACAGCTAAGCTTCATGTGCTTAGTGGAAGAAAATGATCAATGGCAAAGAGCATATCCACCTTGGAAATGACATGATCCATTATAAGAATCAGATGTTAAATTGCTTCCTGTACTGAGCACACTCAATTAAAAGTCTGCACAGTGAGATCATCTCGATGGTTAAATATGCTCTGTGGGAACAACCTTTATGGAGCTTAAAAATCACAGAAGGACTATTCCTACCATGACACTGGAGATTTGGAAGGCATTTCCTTCCCTTATTTTTCAATCTGCTAGTTTTATTAGGAAGCCTTTTGCCTGAGAGGCTGCTGAGTTTTGGGTCATACCTATCCACCCTTTTGCTTCTGTGAACAAGAGATGATTCTAGTGATCTTTTTTCTTTGTGATCCAGAATGGATGAATGTGGCTTTGGTCCAGACCTCTGTACAAAAATGTGTCATTTATGTACTTGGTATTTGATGTCCTTTATCTCCTTTTCAGCAAACTAATCTATTCACCTGAGTTCTGTCTCCTTGTCTAACTTTTCCTTCTTCCTTTGGCAGGAGTAGGGCCTGAGGGCTGAAAAGAATGCTAGACATTACATAAAATCAGCAGACCTGGTTTCTTCTGGCAGGTTTGCAATTAGCCGGGTCTATGACCTTGGACCAATTATTTAACCTTTCTGGTTCTCAGTTTCTTCATGTTTCAAAAACTCATATATTTCTTGTTCATTTTTTACCATCTGTCTCTCCCTGACAGACTGCAAGCTCCATTAGTGCAGGAATCTTTGTTTTCTTCACTGATATATCCCAAAAGTGTAGCAGATGGCACAAAGAAGATATTCAATGAAAATTTGTTTAATAGATGAATATTTCACATCTCCGTTAGTAGTGTTACCATTCATATAGTCTCCCAATATAGAAATCATGGAGTCAGTGAAATTCCTGTCTCCCCTTATACCCACATAGTCACCAAGTGCTATTTTCTTTTTTCTTTTCTTTTCTTTCTTTCTTTTTTTTTTTTTGTGACGGAGTTTCGCTCTTGTTGCCCAGGCTGGAGCGCAGTGGCACGATCTCAGCTCACTGCAACCTCCGCCTCCCGGGTTCAAGTGATTCTCCTGCTTCAGCCTCCCGAGTAGATGGGACTATGGGCGCACGCCACCATGCCTGGCTAATTTTTGTATTTTTAGTAGAGATGGGGTTTCACCATGTTGGCCAGGCTGGTCTCGATTTCTTGACCTCGTGATGCACCTGCCTTGGCCTCTCAAAGTGCTGGGATTACAGGTGTGAGCCACCGCGCCTGGCCCCAAGTGCTATTTTCTAACCCCTCTCATGTCTGTCCTTTCCTTTCCATCTACACTTAAATTCCCTTATATCAAGTTTGCGTCATTTTTTTGACTATATTCTACAAACCATTTACCGAATGGTAATGGTAATGGTAATCTCCAAGTCATTTACCGAACGACTTTGCTAAAATGCAAGCATGGTCATGACACTACCCTCTTTAAACACCTTAAATGGCTTTCCTATTGTCCTCAGGGTCAAGTCCAAGCTCCTAGGCATGGCATACAGAGACCTTCATGATCTGTGGTCTTTTGTGATCACTTCCTCAACCATCAGTAAATATTAAAGACTCTTTGCACATTGTATCTCTCTCTCTATCTTTTAGCATTTAGTGCAAGGTATTTTCACCTTTATTCACATTTGCCTCCCCAACTATAGATGTTTCATCCTTCTTTGTATACTATTGCCTCACATGCTGTCGGAGACATAATAGGGGCTCAGGCTCAAGAAATGTTAGGCAAATAAACAAGTAAATGAGGAGGTTTTGACTAGTGCAGTAGTTCTCACACTGTGAGGCAAACTGCTTAACTTCTCTGTGCCTCAGTGCATTAAAATCCATAGGGATGCTGAGATGGATGGAAGAGGAACATTTAATGAATATTGAATCAGATACCTACACTTTTTTCCAGATCTAATATTCTATAGGGCTATCATTTTTTTCCCTCATCATTTCATTTGTTTTGGTGGGTAAGGGTTGTTTGGGGTGAGAAAGGAGTGGGGTAGGGTTTAGGGTACTTCATCTGGAAGAGAGAGAAGGAGGGGGCAACATACAGGCATGTTCATAATTACCCTTTTCCTCCCATTCTGTGATTTTCTTCTTGGCCAACAGGACTAGTGCATGTCTTTGTGTGTTAGGGAGTAGGAATGGGCAGGGAAAGAGAAACTCTCAGTACATTGAATTTAATGTTAACTCAATGGAAATACAAATATTTGAATTTATGCAACTGGAGAGTAGTACATTACCAGGAATTTTATCTAATTCTGAGGCATCAGGAAGGGCACATAAAGGATGTGAGTGATCTGAGGGAGCAATTATATGATTCAGAATCACTGTTTGATCAATATGTATTTATTAAATCATATATAAAGAGGCAAGCTTTTGACTCACTGTAAAGCACCCTACCATAGTAAAGACATTAATGTTGGTGTTCTCTAGGGTTCTGATTTTCTTCATTCTCATTTTCCACACTCTCCCTGGACAGTAGCTTGCATTCCTGTGGTCCCAAACTATGTTCCAAATATTTGTCTGTAGCTCAGGATTCTTCTCTAATTTCATTATTGACTATCAACCCCTCGCTGGCCATATGCAAGCGGGATCTTCTGCAGATGCCTACAACACAGCATGTCCACAACTGAGCTCACCATAGCTGGCCCCTCTGCCCCAAACCTACTTTTCGGCCTATGTCTTTTCTCTCTCAGTTGGCGGCACTTACTTTTGCCTAGTCATCCAAAGCAGTTACCCTGTCTCTTTTCTCTACATCTACCGTGGTCATTCCTCTCTAGTCTGTTTCCACCTCACCATTCTCACAACTACAGCTTCAATTCAGGCCCTTCTCACCATCATGCTCCTTGACTACTCCAATAATCACATTGCACATGTCTCTTAGTTCCTTATATCATTCAGCTACAATTGGTCTTCTCAATAGTCTATCTCAAAGGTGGTTTGTTTTAAATCACTCAATGCTTTCCTATTGCAACAAGAAGAAATGCAAATTCCTCAGCATAGTGTGTAAATAAAACTCCCTATTTTCTGGCCCCTGCTCATCTCACCAGTTTTATCTCCTTCTGCACTCCTAGGCTATAGCTATACCCAATGGCTTGCAAGTCCCCAAATGTGTCATTTAGATTCATAGCTCTATTTCTTTGTTTAAACTGCTCCTTCTGCCTGAAATGTTCGTTCCTCTCTTGTCCATGTGATAAACATGCAATCATCATTCTGGTGTTAATTCAAATGTTAAGACTTCTACAAAACCTTACCTGACTGTAAGGCTTCTTCTCACAAAAATAGTCTACTGCTCCCTCCTTTGTGCTCTGTGACACAGGGCCCTGGACATGGTCCAACAATGATACATTTTTATATGTGGTGAGTTAGATAATAAATTTTAGAGGACAGTGCAGTATAGTGGTGAAATGTATGAACTGTGAAGCCAGAAGCTATATGATTATATGATTGTCTCTGGGCAAGTTATTTCACCTCTCAGTGCCTTGGTTTCCTCATCTGTAAAGTAAGCATGATTATCATACTTACAGAGTTGTTATCAGTGAGTTAATATATGTACAATGCTTACAATAGTGACTAATACATAATAATTATTATGTGTTTGCTACAATAATAATAACATTAATATTATCATTTTTAACTTAAAGCTCTAAGCCATGATAGTGTATCTGAAACATGGAAGGATGGAAAGTATTCAGTAACATTTAGTAAGTAAATTAATAATCAAGTTAGGTCCCTATTGTACAGTCTCATAATACCCAGAAACTTTCCCTTTGTAACCTTTTTCTAACTTGTTCAATGTCTCTCTGACTAAACTGTAGGATCCATTTGTGCAAGGACCACATCCACCGTGTTCACTACTATAACCCTAGCATCAAGTACCATGCCAAGCACTTAGCAGGCACATGTATATTTGTTAGACATAAAGGTTATAGAGGTTATATATACATATAACCTCTATATGTATATAGAGATATACATATCTATATCCTATACCTAAGGATATAGATATATATGGTTTTTAAGATTTTCATTTTCGTTATTATTAGATTACCTTTAGCATTTTGATCATTTTCTGAAATTGTAAAATGTATTCCTCTTTCCTGTATTACGTCTATGTGAGGCAACAAAATTTCAGTGAAGTATTGTTAGAATTGCAGTGAATTATTACGCTAAAATTAAGCCTTTTAACAGAGAAATTCTCCTCTTTCCTTACGGTGTAGGATCACAGACTTTTCAGCTCATGAGCTAATCCAGTGGTACAAAAAGTCCCACAGTGCTTCAATCTTTCCTGCTTACCACGTCATTTTACATCTTTAACAAAATTCATAGGCAGAGGCTTTCTAAGAGTTACCACTTATTAATTATACTTATTTAATGAGTACATGGTTTGAAGAAAAATGGTATAAAGAATGACTTGTTATTTTTAGAACTTATAATTCAGGCAAAAAGACAAGCCATGTGCACACATATCTACATCACAATGTTTTCTGTGCTCTTTAGCAATGTGCATGGTAAGATTTCAGGGGATCCTGGCCGGTGCAGTGGCTCATGCCTTTAATCCTGCCACTTTGGGAGGCCAAGGCAGGCGGATCACGAGGTCAGGAGATCGAGACCATCCTGGCTAACACGGTGAAACCCCATCTCTACTAAAAATACAAAAAAATTAGCCGGTCGTGGTGTCACGCGCCTGTAGTCCCAGCTACTCGGGAGGCTGAGGCAGGAGAATCACTTGAACCTGGGAGGCGGAGGTTGCAGTGAGCCGAGATTGCGCCACTGCACTCCAGCCTGGGCGACAGAGCGAGAATCCATCTCCAAAAAAAAAAAAAAAAAATCAGGGGATCCCTGTTGATGTGATCAGGAAACATTTTATGGAATGGCTAAAATTATAGTTAGTCTTGATGGACGGGTTGGATTTCACTAGGTGGAAGTACAATAGCATCTCATGAAGAGGAAAAGGCATGGAGAAAAGCATAAAAATATGGTTCATTAAGGGTAAGGAGAGCACATAGATTACTTTGGCAAAGGAACGATTTATGCAGGAAGCAAAAATAGAAGATAGGCTGGAGAAAGATTTTTGGAATAGTTTGTGGTAGGCTTTTGATCATAGACTAGGACACTTGAAGTTTATCTACAGATAATGGGAAACTATAGAAGATGCTAGAGTAGGGAATGAAAAAAGGAAAGCAATGTTGTAGGAATAGCAATTGAGTGGCAATATAGCAATATGTAAAATGGGATAGAGTTCCTGGGCTAAGTTGTGCTTTTAAGTGATGGGACACCCAGTAGAAATATTTCGCAGATGGTTGGAAATGCCAGATTATTTGAGTTTGGGAGAGATATAATTTGAAATCATCTGCATAGAACTGACAGTAGGAGACTTGGGAATGTATTAAATAACTGTAGGAGAATACAAAATGAAGACAGAAATTCAAGCACAGACCTACAAGGAAAAACAAGATGAAAAAAATAGGTAACAGCGTATTATAAATAAAAATGCAGTAAAATACTAACCTAGGACATACCTGGAAACCTCTTAGGACTCACAAAGGTGTACAGATCATATTTTAAGAAACACTGCCTTAAGGAAGGAACAGTTAGAATTTAAGAGTAGAGGAAGGAGAAGGAAATTAACTCCACTACACCTGTTGAGCAGTCAGATCCTGTCCACTTGGGATCACAGCTGCATACTCCAGCGTCCAGAAGAAAAGTTCCGTGTCCTGAGCACTGCTCTTGACATACAGGAAGTGGTGTTTCACAGTTAACTCCTCCCCAGCCAGTAGAACAGTGACATTCTCCTTTTACACAGATGCCATGGTTGGAACACATTGGGTCTAGGCAGTCCTCTGAAGGCACAAAAAAGTGGGGGGGAGGGGTGATTAATAGTGAACAGGTATGGCCAACATACCTTAGTATGATGAAACGGAGATTACATTGATTTCCTAGTTTATATCATCAATGCTGCTTTAATTAGGCAATAAAATGACTCATGCAAACACTCTGTCCAAACCATATTATTAACACTTCAAAACATGGTGGGGTATCACAATGGTTGCAATCTCAATTGAGAAGGAAAAGGAAACCACACATGTGCTGTGTGAAACTGTGAACAGTGTGCAGTACCCCCACACAAATAAGTGGGTGGAGTACTGTGGGCCTTCAACAGGAATTGCTCAGCTTCGCAAAAAAGCCCAAGAGTTTTTGCTAAGTCATTCCTTATCCTTTCTGAAAATGGAAGCGATAGCTCCCAGAGAAGACTTTTACTTGATATGTCTAGAGGAGTTTATATAAATTTTTGAAATTTGGATTATTCAAGGTATTGGGTGAGGTGAATGCTGTTGCATGAAATAATAAAATTTACATCAATTTATTATAATCTCTCATTTATTCCTTAAAAGTACTGAAAATGTAATATTTTAAACTTAATTTAAAAATTCACTTCTTCATGGCTTCTCCTTCTATGAGAACACGGTGACATAGTTTTCAGTGTCTTAGAATATCACAGATCCAATTCCATTTGTCTCTGATTCTGTGAGTCTGGAAATTTTTGTATACATTCTAACAAATGTGTATACTGTTTTAGAGGTAGGTTCTTGTGCTTGCCTGGGGGAAAAATTGTTTTGTGATTTTAACTAGTAACCATTCCATGGGAAATAGAAAGGTTGATTTCCAAATTTCTAGTCTTTCTATACAAATAAAATGAGACTAAAATAACTAATCGTAATGAGGACGTATGATTTGAATTACTTCTCCAGCAATGCAAATAGACTGTGACAACCCGCCTGCATTTCCAAGACTGCCTAGTTTTAGGGTGTGGCTTGGGTCTGTGGAACAGAGTAAGTCTAACTAAGCACTATTATAATTGGTGTTATTGCCACTATAATTAGCCCAAGAGCTTGGAGTCATTAGCACAATAATTTATTATCTGAGCTAATAAGCAAATAAATACCAGAAGGTACATCTAATTTGATTCATGATTTGAAGAGAGAGGGAAAGTCCAAAGTATAGAATCTGTTTTCAGAAGAAGGCCATTTTGTTATATTAAAGAATAATAATTTTAATAAAGTAGTATTTAACTTAATACAGCCTATTTTATTAAGAAGCCTGCTTCAATGTATTCATGGAAGTCATATTTAAATCATTCATGTCATATTTAATTTAGAAGCACAAAATCATATGGCTAAAGGGGCCAGGCAGGTGGCATACAGGAAGGAAATGGGCCATATGGAAGAAAAAAAGGGTGTGTTGGGAGCAAACTGAAAGCAAGCGCCCTTTTAAAAAGAACTGCTGCTACTTGGCTCCAGTTGATTGCCACCACGTAGCAATGTGGGCCCAGGGTCACCAGATTTTCTAGTGTTTAGAGAAGCCAGAAATAGGAATTCTCATGTGGCAGTTCCCTATTTTTAAATTTTGGCAAATAAGTCACATTAAACAACAGCAACAGCAGCAACACAGTGTGAGCCAAACAAAACCCATTCAGAGGCCTGGTTCAGCCTGTGGGCTCCTGCTGCAAAGTTTGACTTAAAACATCTTTTTTTCTATTGCATTGGAAAAATTTATACCATTAAATGTACTGAGCATTATTCCTTAATATCTTGGTTATTCTACAGATATTCTTAGTGACCCCGGAGAAGACAAATTTAAGTGAACTCTTTTCTAAACTGCTTACAAAATTTAAATTAGAGGGGTCTAAATTAATTAGATTACATGTTTTTCATGGCAATTTGTAGATGTGATAGTATTTTTTTACTAACACTGTGTGGGTCTATATAGCATATGAATTTGCAACTTAAATATAATTATTTCAGCTGGATCACCATAAAAACACTTTCTGAAAGTAACTCAGAAACTCCAGTGCCTTGTCTAGGCCAAATGCCATTTATATATAATATAAATGGCATATATATATATATATATATATATGTGTATATATAATATAAATGGCATATATATATGTATATGGCAGATATATACATATATATGCCATATATATATATAAATTTATATATATATGGCATATATGGCATATATATATATAGACATATATATATAAATTTACATATACATATATATATATATATGGCAGATATAATCATCACACCAAAATTCTACTATCGCTAATGGGAGGTGAAAAGCTAAAGTCTTGCTTGTTCATGGAGTGGAATGAGATTAAACCCGTTAGAATGCTGTGTAATAGTCTTAATGAGCCATCTTTAAAAAGC
The DNA here is from genome assembly GCF_000001405.40 of Homo sapiens. Lineage (NCBI taxonomy): Eukaryota > Metazoa > Chordata > Mammalia > Primates > Hominidae > Homo > Homo sapiens. The sequence goes on from NC_000023.11 coordinate 124,644,368, forward strand.
AATTATTGTGCATTTCCAGCAGCCTCTTTCCCGAACAACAGTTATGATGAGACCATCTCCCATGGTAATGGTTTAATATTATTTCTGAAATCAGTCTTGTTTGAGGAATGTAGCATGAAAAACGTCTGATTACTAGTAAACTTATTTTCCAGTGCGTCTCTTTAAATGATAAAACTTGCCATTTCAAAATTTTGGGGGGATAAAGACTCCTTTGGGGTGAATTTAATATAAAGGCATGGCTTTGAAACTCATTAGTAGTAAGCCTGCTTCCTTAGGCATGGAGGTCAAGTTTCAGCATGAGGTATGTAAAAATAAATAATATAAAGCAATAATAGTAATGGTAATTACAAAACACTCCCAAAGAAAACATTTGCAAAATGGCTGCAAACGTGCATATATTATTATTTTTATTATGTGCTTTAAAGTGAGATGTAGCATAATGCATTCTGTAATAATGAAATCATATGAGTTAACACCTAAAATCATCAATATGGACATTCTCAACCTAGAAAATAGTGAGAGAAATTAGGGATGTACAATACTATTTTTCATTATTGCTCTGAAAGTGTCACAGATACAGCCTCATGTATAACATTAGAATCTGTCAGAAGAGACAAGAGCTCCGCTGACCCAAACCCTCTGCTGCATGTACTAAGACGCTGAGCATTTATTGTTTGCAAAGGCCACTTGCATCTCTACTAGGAGAACAGAATGACACCTTGGACAACTGAGTGAGAGAAAAGCCTGAAGCAATAGATTAAAATGGGATTCTGACCTTCCTCGCATATTTCTCCTTTGTATCCTGGCACACAGATGCAGACTCCCATGATGCAGGTGCCGTGGCCAAAGCATGTTGGATCAATGCATTGTTCTTCCGGAACGTCACACTCTGGCCCCTTCCAGCCATGCCGGCAGACACAGTGTCCTTTCTCGTATTCTCCATTCCCACCACACAGCACAGGGCAGGAATCTGAAGGTTGGCAAATGAACTTGTAATGTTCTCATAATGCTTTCAAAGTCTCCAAAGAGCAATTCTCTATTGATTTTCGTATTTCAGGCAAAAAATTGTACTATTTCTGTCTTACCCTTTATTAAATAGGCACATGTTCATGATTACAAACAGAATTTTCCTCTTATGGGAGTGAAATAAAGGTAAATTAAAAATATCCTGAGTGGAGAAATTATTTCAAGTACTTGCATTTGATCTCACCCTACTCTTAAACTGTTATTGTTATTATTTTAAGCTAGGATTTTTCTTTCTTATATTTTTCTTCCTCAGGGAGATATGTGTTTACTTTTAGGAAGCAAAATCTGAAAATTTAAAAAGCAATAAATGAAGTTATTAATGTTATAAAATATTATCTTTAAAAAGTTGTGTAATTAAATAGATTTCTATTGGACAGATGTCTGTTCCTATAACACATTGTGCAGACCTTTATTAGAATGCTAATTCTGCTTTGTCATTGTTAGTCTCCTTATTAAAACTATGCACTTTTTGAGGACAAGGCCTGTATTTTTTGTCTTATTGATTTTTTAATACCAACCATCACCTCCACACTCAACCCCCACCTCCTCAAGATCTATCATGGTGCTGGGAACCTAGCAAGTGTTTTAGAATTCGCTACTGAATGGAATTTAATAGAAAGAAACCAAGTGTCTGAGAAACCTGATATTAAAATATTAGCAGACTGGGAACTTTAAGAATACAGTGAAAATGAGCAGAAAACATCTCTGAAATAATAACTGTAAGTCTACGGGAAAACATGATGTGATTTACCTAAAGCTTTTCAAAAATTAAACTATGGGCAAGTCCAGGAAGAGTGAAGTTTGCTAAGTTTGACTTCTGACTTTCCAGTCGTTACTTTGTAGGCTCCTTACTCATTTGGTGATAACCCACCCCTTCCACATACATTGGTGTGTACAAGCAGTTATCAACTTAGTTCACTTTTAAAGTCAGCTCATTATGAATTAGTTTCTGAAGGAAATACAAGCATCACATAGTGACTGGTCAGACAACCTATCTACAAATCCCAGCTGTTAGGTAACCCTGGTTAAGTCACTTAAACTCTCTGGCATTGTTTCTTTGCCCATAAAAATTGGATAATAGCAGACCTATCTCATAGGGCTATTGTAGGAAGTTGGAATTAAAAGACGGAACACAAAGTGTTTAGAACAGTGCCTGGCATAGTAAGTGCTCAGCTTTTGGCAGCAGCCATAGGGAACACTGCTGCTGTTGCTGTCACCACTACTAATGTTACTTACTATGACTATTACTACTAATTCTGGGTTATGAAATCACATCTATTTTCCTAAACCAATCAGAATAACAGAGCAACATTACCTCTAGCACAGTCAGGTCCAAGGAATCCTGGGAAACAATGACAATGGCCAGAGATACACTCTCCATTTCCATTGCAATTGGTTGAACAGTCATCCATTATTTCTAGTAATACAGAGAAAAAGATAAAAAAAATGAACGCATCTCCAGGCTGTAGAGTCTTTATTTTTTTTTAAGTTGCAGGAACTCTGGACCTATGACAATTTTGCCCTTTGCTGTTTGTGGAGCACTTACTGCTCAAAATCACATACAAAGACATCTGTAAGATGTCACATGCAGTACAAAATTATAAAAAGGGCCCTGGGTTTGCTGACTTGGCCAATCAAGAGTGGAACCAAAAAACATCATTATCTCTAAAGCACATAAATGTTCTAGTTCAACTGTATTCTTAAGAGACATTCATGATAAAGCTAAAAAATGTACCAGGATTACAGGGCATTTCTCAAAAGCAAAACAGGCTTTAAAATGTAACACAGATGACTAAGTCTACTGTTTATTTTTCAAATTTAGGTTTTAGCAAATAAAGTTTCTTCTCTAGCAACTTATTTAATCTACTATCTTGACAGCTTAAATATGATATTCAGTATTTCATTTTCATTAATAAGTGACAATGGAAGGCTTTTAAAGTAAGTGTTCATATTAAATTCACCACCACTAAAAGCATTAGAACCTAAGTATTTTGTTGAGAAATGCTTTCTGAACTGTAAATGCTTATCCGTTTTCTGCCACTAATTTCCTTTCAATCCATTCTTAGAGAAGAATGGATTTCAGATGAATTGAGATGGCTTTGAAGGTACCGATAGGTAGTTCTGGTGACATAAATATGTACCGTGCAACAGAACTTTTATAAGACTTACAGTAACTTCTCTGAAAATCTATAATATTATACAAATGTCAGTCTCTCTGACAATGAGGTGAAAAAATGTTTGTATTTTAAAATTGTGTTTGAGCACAATAATGATCAAATTCTAAGTCTGAACTATTATGGTACCTATGCTTTATTCTCGCAGGGATTTTTTTTTGTGGTGTGTGTGTGTGTGTGTGTGTGTTTGTGTGTGTGTGTGTTATCGTCTCCTCATTACACCTTTCTATAAATTTCTCATACTCAGCATTCTTGGACTCTGAGTTTAGTGTTCTGGCCTATTAAACTCACACTTTTCTTGTGTACCATTTTTTCCCTTTTCAATCTAAATTACCTGCTTCACCAAGTTTCACTTGGATAAGCTATTTCTGATTAGAAGGAGAGATTCTAGGAGGTGGTCCTGATATCTTCCACTGAACAATAAGAGTGAGAATTTATAATGAGGGTCGAGAAATAGCATTTCTACAATTGTGGCCTGTGGATTACTTGTATCAGTAGATCACCTGGGGCACTTAAAATGGAGATGCCTGTGTTTCAGCTCTAGATCTACCAAACCTGCTTCAGAGGAATGCAGCCCAGTCATCTACATTCTGACAATCACCACATGAGAACATTGAGAACCAATGCTTTAAATAGTAACCTTCCATAGTTAGAGAACTTTGTTCTAAATGTTGCATTTTTGCCTTGAGAAGAATAAAAACAAGAAAAAGAAAGAGGTATCTAGTCCATTTGGGGGATTCTTAAAAGCTGAGAATGAATCCAGTGGCTGGATAGCCACCCTATTATCAATTGAAGATATTATTTGTCTAACCACTATGTGAACACATGCCTTTTGCGGGTTTATGCCAGTCTGGTCCCTCATCACAGTGTTAGAAAACTCAAATGGATAAGCAAATAACACCTGACATTCACTTAACCACACCTGGGCTGACTGAAATGTAGCATTCAGCAAAGAGCCAACTATTTTTAACTCATTAAAACACTAGTTATCATCAGAAAATCACTAATTTACTTGACAAGTAGTTATGAAAAGGCATAAAGAGACTTTTTATCATTCAGAGATGGAACAATTATTTATCTGTTTTCTACTTATCTAGCTTCCTTGTACCAAGCAGTAGTGCCACTTCTTAAGTCTACATTTGAATTTCCCCCATGCTGGATGGTTAGTAGAAGGCCATAGAGGAAGCTTTCAAAAATAAGTATAGTTGAATTTAATTTCATACCAGATCCTATTGGAAACTTTATGGAAGCAGCCTTGTGGGAATGTAGCTCTTCTGGAAAAAATGTTTAATAAAGCTTGCTATCAAAATAAATAAAAATCCGTACATCTTATTGACTTATTTAAGAACTGTCCCTGAGCTCAAAGGGCTTTACAAAGCTTAACCCCAGCAATGCAAATGAGAAGAGAAGGCAATATAGGCTTTGAAGCTGCCACTTCCACTGGGTATCAAAGAGACATTGGAACAGCCGAGGGACTCCAGGAGGAAGATGGCTGCAGCAGGAACACATAAACAACTAGCCATGAAAAAAAAATGTGTTTTTCTATTTATGTTGGCCTCCAGTAATCTTTGACTTCTATCTTTTAAATCTTACTTCAGAATTACTTCCTAGAGTCCAGTTTCTTAGAGGTGAGAATAATTTTGAAGTTCTATGTTTAAACCCTGTTCTTATGCTACAGTCAAAAGCCCCTTGATATTTGCATCTTCGCTGATGATAGGTTTTGTTTCTGGTAGTTATTCTCATGGGAGAAACTAAATGTAATGAATACTCTTATAGAATGAGTATAGTCTAAAGGGTATGGAATTTGGAATCAGACATACTGGTTCTCAAATTTCAATTTTGCCACTTGCTGTCTGTGAGACCTTGCCAAATTATTTAATCTTTTCAAGCCTCCATTCAGTTATTTGTAATATATGTATCACTATTCCTGAGCTATCTGGGTTGTGATGAGAATCAAACAAGATAACTGAGTGTAAAGCATCTAGTACAGTGCTTGGAGCAGAGTGGCATTCCATAAATGCTATCTATTATCCTGCTACAGAGCAAGTTGCCTGAGATTAAGGGATACTGACAATGCTGCCTATACTACTGGAAAATAATATATAATAACTTAGGCCAGTGTTTGACCTATATTAGTCATTTAGTAAATGTTAGTTATTAATTGTCTTCATCCTTGTTAGTAGCAGACCAAATATAGTTGAGATCAATCAACTGATTCTAACATTATCATGAAATAGATAAATGAGCAGCGTTTAGAGCAAATTCATACAAATCTGACTTTGTTTAATCAAGTATATTGGCTTCTTTTTACTCTGATTAAGATAAAGTTCAAAAACAAAAATAAAATGAGGAGGTCAGGCATGGTGGCTCATGCCTGTAATCCCAGCAATTTGGGAGGCTGAGGCGGGTGGATCATCTGAGGTCAGGAGTTTGAGAGCAGCCTGGCCAACATGGTGAAACCCCGTCTCTACTAAAAATACAAAAATTAGCTGGGAGTGGTGGCAGGTGCCTGTAATCCCAGCTACTCTGAAGGCTGAGGCAGGAAAATCACTTGAACCCAGGAGGCGAAGGTTGCAGTGAGCCGAGATCGTGCCATTGCACTCCAGCCTGGGCGATGGAGAGAAACTGTCTCCAAAAAAAAAAAAAAAAAAAAAAAAAAAAGAAAGAGGAGAATTTAGGGTGAATGACTTACAAGCCTTTTGATTTTGGGAAAATTTACTTGAGTTTTCTTTAAGTGGAATGGTAGCAGAAACGTTTCTGTTGCTTCTAATTTTAAAAAGACAAGAGAAAAGTAAAGAGACTGACTTGCATTAAGCAAAGAGCAAATATGTTGTTGTATATGAAACTGACAGCTTGATATGTGGATGATATGAATTGTATCTCAAAGTTTAGGTTCTTTGGGGGAGGAAGTAAGGGACAGGAAAAAACCTCTAAGCATGTTTCTGGGTCTATTGATTTTTGGAAGGTTAATAGATCGGTTAGTGTTTTAACTTGAGCTGAAAGAGTAAGAATAATAGGAAGACAGAAAGTCTTCACAAATATTTTATTTCTTCTAATTTATCTAATTTTTAGGAGAAACTCAACCTTTTATAACTCCTCGACATGCACATAATTAATATTAAGCCTCCATAGAAAAATGCCATGAAATATTCATCCATTGAACCTGCCCCACTGAGCCTGTCAATAGCAAAACAGTGACATGACTTAAAAATTTATTTTCTATTTTAACAAACAAATATTTTGTCTTTTGAAGATATAAGATCAGTGGAGTTTTTCTCTAGGGGAAACATCATCATTTCCATTGTATTGACTTTCTGATTACTTTAGAAGAAAGTTTTGATAATCTTACGGCTGAAATACCATTTTCTATTGACTCAAGGTCTTCAGCATCAAGTAAAAATAGAACATAATTGTTAAAAAGAGCAGATGGTATATCTATTAAAGTCAACACATCTTCCTAAACATATGGCTGAACAGGTTAACTAAAGGATAAAGTGGTGAGGATTGTATTGAAAATTGACAGCTGTAAAATATTTTCTTGTCTTTTAAAAGACATGTGTTTTAGGAAAATTCACACAATACGATACTGTGTCTATGAGTTGTTTATTTTCAGGACTCTAAAATTGCTAAGGAGCTCAGCTTTATTCACACAAAGGGTCACGAGGACTATTTATCCTAAAATGACAAAAGAGTGAGACGTCTGAAACTAATTAGGGTGAAAGTGAATGAGTATAGGCAGGCATCGCATTAAAAAGAACATGTTTTAAAAGGCCCTGAGCACACTGAAAGAGACATTGTGATGAATTTCAAACTAAAATATTCTATAAGAAAGGGCTTTGAATGTCTCAAGTTATTATCCTTAATATTCTTCTGTAAATAATCTTATGTTGTATTTTAAAGCCCTAATGCTTCTAGAACCAGTTGTTCTAAAGAAGAACTGTACTGATACTAGTTTTTTCTATTTGAAAAAGGTATTCATTGCTTTTTAAAAATAACAGAACTTAAATTAACTTGCTTATTCCCTTTTTCACTGAAATTGTTCATCTATGTAGCCTTGGTAATAATATTACTAAGGTAATTATTTCTGTTGAGAGCACATAAAAAGATGTATGGCAAGTGTCCTAGAAGAGCAACAAATAAAGTAGCATTAAAAAAAATCTTAATCAGCATTTAAACAACATCAATGATAACAACAATATAAACTTTTATCATAGTAACCTTTCCTCAATAATGACTTCAACTCAAAGTGAGCAATAAGCTTAAATAACCCCCAGGACACTGTCATCACTGATTGTGTCTTTCTAGGGTTGAACTGTCAATTCAACATATTAGGCAAAGCAGCTTACCAATTGCTGTAGTTAACACGAATACTTGCTCCATCTTTTTTCCATCATTGTAAAACGCCAGATACCAAGGTCCTTGATCCATATACTCTATGAAACCTGTCTCCTGAAGCGAAGTTAAGATCAGGTTCCGAGGGGAGTGCTGTGTATCATCAGAGCCCTTGGAGTCCTGCTTGACCAGCTGTTTGCCATCCATTAGTTTTACAAAATCAAACTGGAACAAATACAAACATGAAGATGAGCCACTACTTTTTCTTCTAGACTGATAAACATCCCTAACTTCAACTGCCCTATTTCTTACTTCTTTGCTTTGAAGTTGAGCAAATTGGAAGAGGAGGTTATCAATTTTTAAGTATATTTAGACTTGGCCAGGCACGGTGGCTCATGCCTGTAATCCCAACACTTTGGGAGGCGAGGACAGGAAGATCACTTGAGCCCAAGGGTTTCAGACCAGCCTGGGCAACAAATTTTATAAAAATTTTTAAAAGTTTTTTAAAGAGCATATTTAAACTCAAAAACATATTATTAATTATGAAGAAACCCTCACTGTAATTAAAAATATTATAAACCTTTCAGTTTGAGAGTATTCAAAATAATTGTTTAAAAATGAATAAATAAAAAACAGAAAGAAATCTTGTTTAGTATTATGCAGGAGAATCTTGACATTTTACTAAAGCATCTGATAGAAGATACTTGAAAATACACCTTCCACTCATAAATGTTACTGTGACCTTCTCTACAAATTAAAAACAGTTGTATAGTCTTTAAAATAAATGAACAGTCAAAAATTTGAGAACATTCATCATAATTTACTACGTTTGTGGGTGACATATTTACATATTCAAAAGGCCCCTCCTCTCCATTTTTTCTAATCAGTTGACAAGGACCTGGCACATGTTTCCTTGAACATTTATTTTTTGAATCACATTTGAATGCATTCTAATTCCGTTTCTATTCTGGCCCAGAAGGTAAGGTTGTTTTTTAGTTTGTTTCTTTGTTTAGCATGATCTCTTGACTAACTGAAGGTAAGGTTTTAACTATAGTCATATCTGTTGGGGAAAAAACAAGCCCCAGTGTTTGATCACTTTTTCTACTTCTTAGATGAAGTAGTGCTCGAAATGGGTTCATGTGGGGAAAAAATAAGGAGAAGAAAATAAGAGAAATGAGATGTTTAAAGTTTATGGAAGGGCTATAAAAATCATAGAAGTTTTACACATTTAAGTTATTAACAACAGTAAAGAAAAATTTCTACCTGTAAGACAAAACCTAACTTTTTGACTAATTTCTCACTAATTTCTGATTAATATGCGTTCCTTCATTGGGAAAAGGGGACACAGATGTATGAAATCAGTGAAGGGACTGTGGGCAGTAAAGCTAAGCAAGATGAGAGGTCTGGGAAGCTCATGAACAGCCGGTTCCAGGAAGCAGAAGTCAAATTTAAAGGGTGTGTCTTAAACTTTCTTTTCTGAATCTGCTCTGCTAAATGTTATTCCTTATTTCTCCATGTCATTTTTTTCATTAGTTTCAGTGTAATTATTCTGGATATTTATTCATGACAAATATTTTTCTGTCCTTACCTTTGACAACCACATATTTCATAAGTCACAAACCCTGAACTGTTCAACCCATCACCCTTGAAAAGGGTTTAAGAAAATACCTATAATATCAAATACCTGAGTATGTGTAGGTGGAATGTTTCTTCTGCCATAAATTCCCAGCAGAGAGTCCTTGGCTAAAGAAATATTGAACTTCAGATATATTGGATGGTGGATAGTAATCTGGAAACGCCAGAATAAACCAGGTGGAATGGTCTGCATGACCTGTGCACCAATGTCAACTTCTCCAGTGTCTATCGCCCGTCCCTTCTGAAACACTAGTTTTAAAGGTAGAGAAAATTACACACCATGTTAATCTTAATTTATAAAGCAATGGTTTTTAGCTTTTCAAGAACAGATATATCAAAATAACTTACTCAGCTTTTTCTTCCTCCCCACCCCATCTGTCTTTCAAGGCCTTGCCCAAATTAAATATCATCTAAGAAGCCTTCCCCAACCACCCACTATGTCAGTCTCTCTCTTCTCTTCAAACCCTATTGCATTTATTTCAATCAATTTCACTCCTTTTAACCATTATTTACTGAGTGCTGTCTTGGTAGCTGCAAGAGATACAAAGATGAGTAAGAGGCAGTTGTTGCTCTCAAGGAGCATTGAAAATAGGGAAAATAGGACAAGCACATATAACCTCACTGTAAAGAAAAATAAGTGCTCTGTGTATTTGAAAGAGGGAAAGTTATTTGGTTGGAGGATACTCCTCATCTCTAGCTATCTCTATCCTCTTTATCTTCTTGTATTTCTCCTTAGCACTTATCACCATCTAACATACTACATATTTTACTTATTTATTGTTTATTGTCTATTTTTCCTCAATAGAAAGTAAGCTCTGTGCGGACAAGCACTGTGGCTGTTTTATTCGTCGGTATATTCCCAGTACCTAGAACAATGTAGGCAACTGTAGGCAAAGAACATAGACGATACATATGTATTCATAGAACAAATGGATGAATGAGAAAAAGTTACTATGGGAAGTGGCACTGAAGATGAGCCTTAGAGGAGGACAAGGATTTCAAAAGAGTTATTGGGAAGAGTGGCGCACATGGAAAGGATGGCTTGAACTAAAAAGAGGAAAGAAACTGTAAAGCTAAGGTGTAGGGTATGTGTCTATAGAGAGGAGCAGTTGGAGTTAGGGCTGGAGGGAAGAAGGAAATCATGTTGTCTAGGGCCTAGAGGACCAGTCAAAAGGGTTTATTTAATAAAGGATAGAAAGCCATTAAAGGTTTTTCAGAAGAGGGAAGAGGTTTGGGTACATTAGAAAGGCTAATCTTGAGGCAGAGGTGGGACGAATTAGAGCAGACGGACACAAGAATGACATAGGAATTATGGGTGATTCAAGTGAAATGACATGAAGATCTAAATTTAGGGTATGCCCAAACAGCTCATATAGAAAAACTACATCTCAGTGAAAAATAATTTCATGTGAATGGAAAGAAGGAGAAGATATGAGAGACAATGCTAAGGAAGATACTGCAGTAGAGATTCTCAAACTTTAATGCGTACAAGAAGGCAGTTTTTTAAAATACAATTCTGATTCAGAAGGTCCAAAGTCAGACATTTTTAACAAGTTCCCAAGTGATGCCCATGTCGCATGGTCTACAGCCCACACCCTGAGAAGCAAAGCTCTAGAGAACATTAAGTGTTGGGGCCAATGGAGGGTCAAAGCTAACCCCGTGATTGTGAGTTGGGGGATTTAGACAGTGCTAATAGCAAAAACAGGAGCTGGTCTGTGAGGGAGGATGTTGAGTTTGGGCAATCAGAGCTTTATTATTTATTGTCATATTTTCCAATGATTTCTGATGTGCCAGTTTAATATGTGTTTTCATGGAATTTTTTGTTTTGTGGTAATGGGGAGGGTAGGAATACAAGAGGAGGAGCAAGATTTAGTTTGCCTTGATTTTAAGCAAGGAGGGTTACATCTCAGGTGAGAAAGCTCAACTTGGCCTCATTTCACATCACCTTTATTTTTTTCAGCCATCAACTCCTTCTCCAGACCAAACACAGTTTTAAAACACACATGGTCTCTGTTCTTTGTGCTCACCCATTATAAAGTTAACAGCCCATTAAGAAACACACCTGCAGTGGCTTTATTCAGTGGCCAATGCCTTGCAGCTTTTAACTCCCTAAAATACCTCCATTATTGCTTTTTGTGTTAAGGCCAACAGTAATAACTATTTTAAGAATGTTCACTGTTAACTGTTAATAATAGATTTCAAATGCAATTTTGTACATAATTATGTATTACAGGACACATAATTTTGTGGAATTGACATTTATAATAAAATAGGCTCTTTGAAATGATAAATGACCAACTGAGGACCTTATTTTTCACTGAAAGTTACTTTTTTCCATGTGAGACAGATCAATTTGGCCCCTAAAGGGCTGATTATACATTTAACTCTTAAGTCCTAGAGCTGACAATGTCTTCAATGAGCAGACAATTAACAGACCATGTTTATGTGGCACTTCTGTTCGCAAGTTAATGTTCAGTTTATTCAACTGCTATCCTCATTAGGGGCTTTTATCAATCTTAAAATGCATCATTTGGTTATGCAAACAATATTATAAATATAAAACAATTCAAAATGTTCTAGGTTTGACAAACACTGTTTTAAAGGTGCTAAGAATAGACTTTAATGAATAGATATTGTCATTTTTTAAAAATCTGAACAAAACTGGTTGATGGACATTAACCTTTATATTAAAACCTTACCAAATACTACACCATCTCTTTATTCTGCACTTTATAGCATCATATATTACATAATGAAGCTACTTAAATGTTATTCAATAAATCAAAAGAAAGGAAGTTGTGTTGTTGGGCTTCTCTGTTTATTAGCAAGTCTATGTATCTGGAGTACATATGCATAAGTTATTCATGAAAATAATTTTAAAAGAAGTTGATCTCATCCCTTGAAAGCTTCATTACAGCTAAGACAAGGTAGATGAACAGAGATGACAACATACGAATGAGCACGTGGACTGTAATTTAAATAAAAATAGGCAAAGCAAGCTAGTTGTGGTGATTTGGTATTAGAGAAGAGACATTCTCACAGCTTGTAGGTGGAAAATTTCTCAGCCTCTTACCCTTTAGAGTTTCATGCATCAGAAAGGAAGATATTTCCCTGTTAGCAATCTAGACCACTAAATAGACTGCTCCATTTTATCATCTCTCAAAATTTGTTATAGACTATAGTACAATAACTATGAATTCATTATTTAACTATTTTCCTTAATGTAGCCAAAAGGTGTGGCAAACTAAAGAGAAGGAAATTAAATGTAGAAAAACAATACAAAATAGTATTTTTTGAGGCCAGGTGCGGTGGCTCATGCCTATAATCCTAGCACTTCGGGAGGCCAAGGCGGGTGGATAACCTGAAGTCAGGAGTTCGAGATCAGCCTGGCCAATATTGTAAAACCCTGTCTCCAGTTAAAAAAAAAAGGATTTTTTTTCCAAAAATTTCTGTATTAATATAGGTAAATGGGATCTATTTGGCCAAACTTAACACTGACTCTGATCCTTTGTTTGCAAATTGTAAACAGCAGAGATAGAATACAGCATCCAGGTACAATTTTATTTATTTTTGCAATATGCCTGTTCTAATTGGCATTTAATCTCTTATTTTACTAAAGCATACTGGAAAACCTAGGAAGACCATATTCTCCAGTTATAGAACACTTCCTTGCACAAATTTGAGATTAAATGCAGAGAGCCACAGATCATATCAAGCTGTGCAGTACTGTAGTTATCACAGTCTCACCAATATCCACCAATTTAGTTTGAGCTAAACACTCTCTTTATAGGTTGCAACACAGGCATCAACTGCTGAGCAGGAAAAACCAATGGTAGACAGGCTGTGTTGAAAGAGGGCACACTAAGTGATGGTAACTCAGTTCCAAAAGAAAAGGTCAAGATACTTGGAAGGTGAAAAAAAAAGGGGCCTGGAATTGGTGACAGACAATGTGTGCAGTGGCGGTATCACCTAAATCAAGACTCCATTATATCTAGACTCAGACACACACTTGAATACTAATTACATGATTACTAATGACATTGTTCATATAAAATAGGAGGTAAATAACTATATTCTGCACATATGTGTATATTTATTTTTTCTATTTAATATAGCTAGACGTGGTACATTCAATGATCCTATGCAAAACTCGGTTGAATATTGATAGAAGATAGTGAAACATGGTCATTAAAAAGATTCCACCATTACATTTTAAGGTAAAAATGATCAAGTTAAAGGCTATGGTATAGCCCATAACAGCAATCTGAGTTGTATTTTAAAGACATTTGCAAGTTTCACAAAGTATCTAAGCTATGTTTTCCAAAGAGAAGAAATATATGCATTCAGAGCATATTTGTCCTTTACTTCACCCTATAACATGCTCAAAATCTTTAAAAGATATTGGTGTGTTTTTCAGCCAAATTAGACCTAGTGTGTGTCTCACGATATAAGTATCATCTTCTTTATGTTCCTCTGAATATAATACTTGTTTAACAGTAACAAGTCTTCGCAAATTTAGATTAGCAGTGCTTGGAGCAAAATGGGAGGTGGAACTAACCTCTTCCCTGTGATTAAATGCTTTAAAGGGTTCAAAGGGGTATAGCAAAAGCCATCTGAAAGGTAGGTGGAAAGCTACTGTTTCCATCTATGTAGCTTAATGTAATTTTCCTTACGTGAACTATCGAAGAGAAATATGTATTCAACTCTCAATTTTTCAGGGGTAGATTTTCTGGGTTATGGATTACACATGCTTTTGTATCCATTATATTACCCAAAAGTAGTCAAGAGAAAAAGAAAAGAATAAACCTTGCGCCTGGTGGGAACTTGGTAAACACTGCTTGGATACATTAATAAATTAGTAATGTTGATAATTTTTTTGTTGATAGTAATTTTGATAATATATTTGACATTTTAGTCAAAACGTACAACTTTTTTTATTACTCTCAACTATGTGATAGGTAGGTCATCATATAATTGTTTTTATTAAATGTCCAGTAAGTAGATGTCAAGAATTTACTGGTGAGAGGAAGAATTATAACTATTTACACACATAGGCCTTGGCAATTAACTGTGAATAAAATATGTTTGTAAATAAAATCCTCTGATATGACACTGATAATAGATAGCTCACTGTGTAGAAAAGTTAATTAACTAATCTTACAATTGAGAAATACATTACTTGTATAAGTGTAAACAATTATGTCCAAACACCAAAAGACTACAGATACCAGTACAGTAGCTTATTTAGTATTGCTTACATCTTCTCAGGTAGAAGTAAAATGGCATTGCTAAAATCTTATCCTTAATTAAAGGACTTATTTTGAGTTGCATTTTGACTCTGTATATCTGTTTTTGAAGCTATATCATTTAAAAGACACAATTCTCTATTTAGAAGGATTTCTTTAAATTTTGTTGTAAAAACTTCCACATTCCCAAAAACTTTAGTTTCACAGTTCTTCTGGTGTGGTCTGTTGACCATTAGGTAGCATTCAGAAAAATGAGTTTCCAAACTTAAGGCTCTTGTGACTTGCTATACAATCTCACACGGTGTAATACAAATTACATTTGTAGACGTTTCTGTATACGGATTACAAATGGGTACATGAAGTAGCCAATTACTTTGACTTTTCTTGGTGAAAACTAAAATTGATATAAAGCACAAATGTATCATCAAGTTGTTACATATTCAAACATTTACTCAGACTCATGGGTCAAGGTGGAATAAAATATCTCTTGAAAGAAAATATTGCCAATTGCAAAAAAATCCAAAGATTTATGAATAAATATGACTATATGCAATGAAAACTCCAAAGTGAAATTAAGAAGAGAATGTCCATTTGTAATATCATTAAAAAGAATAAAATACTTAGGAATAATTCAGTAAAAGAAACTGTGAGATTTGTATACTGAGAAACTACAAGACATAATTGAAAGAAATTAAATATTTCCTAAGTAAATGGAAAGATATCCTATGTTCATGGATCAAAAGACTTATTATTGTTAAGATGGCAGTACTTCCCAAATTGATTTACAGATTCAATGCAGTCCCTGTCAAAATTCCAACTCTCATTTTTTTTTTAGAAATAGACAAGCTGATGCTAAAATTAATATGGAAATGCAAGGGACTCAGAATAACTAAAGCAATCTTTAAAAAGAACAAAATTGGAGGCCTCACACTTCCTGATTCAAAACTGATTACAAACCTACACTAATCAAGATAATGAGTACTGGCATTAGGATAGATATATAGATCAATGGAATACAACTGAGAATCTAGAAATGAAACCTCACATTTATGGTGAACTGATTTTCGACAAGGTCACCAAGACAATTCAATGGGGGAAAGAATAATACTTTCAACAAATGATACTGGAACAACTGGATATCCACATGCATAAGAATAAACGTGACCCCCTTCCTCATACCATATACAAAAAACAACTCAAAATGGATCAAATGCCTACATGTAAGGGCTAAAGCTGTACAATTCTCAAATGAAAATACAGGCATAAATCTTTGTCACCTTGGATTTGTCAATAGTTTCTTAGACATGACATCAAAGCACAAATAACAAAGAAAAAAATACATAAATTGAACTGGGAGGCCGAGACGGGTGGATCACGAGGTCAGGAGATTGAGACCATCCTGGCTAACACAGTGAAACCCCGTCTCTACTAAAAAATAGAAAAAATTAGCCAGGCGTGGTGGCGGGTGCCTGTAGTCCCAGCTACTCGGGAGGCTGAGGCAGGAGAATGGCGTGAACCCGGGAGGCAGAGGTTGCAGTGAGCCGAGATCGCACCACTGCACTCAAGCCTGGGCGACTGAGCTAGACTCCATCTCCAAAAAAAAAAAAAAATTAAAAACTTTTGTGCTTCAAAAGACACTATCAAGAAAGTGGAAAAACAGCCCACAGAATGGGAGAAAACATTTGCAAATGATATATTGGATAAGGGGCTTGTATCTATGGTATATTAAGGAGGCTTACAACTCAACAATAAAAAGTTAAATAATTGAAAAAAGAGCAAATGATCTGAATAGACATTTCTCCAAAGAAGACAGACTAATGACCAATAAGAACAGTAAATGAAGCTTAACATCATTATTCATCAGGGACATGCAAATAAAAACCACAATGAGATACCATTTTACACCCATTAGGATGGCTAAAATAAAAACAACAGACAATAACAAGTGTAAGGATGTGGAGAACTGGTATTCTCATACATTGCTGGTGGGAATGTAAAATGGTGCAGTTGCTTTGGAAAGCAGTTCATCAGTTGAAGAACTGTTAAACATAAAATGTTAAACACAGAATTACCATATGACCCCGTCATTCCACAACTTGGTGTATACTCCAAAGAATTAAAAACAGGTTTTCTAATAAAAACTTACACATGAATGTTCATAGAATCATTATTCACAATAGCCCAAAAGTGAAAATCCACAAAAGATCTATCAACTAATGAATGGATAAACAAAATTTGGTATACCTATATTATGGAATATTATTCAGCCATAAAAATGAAGTATTGATACATTGCTGTATATTATATGATTCTATATGAAATGTAGAAATAGGCAAATCTATAGAGACAGTAGATTAGTGGTTGCCAGGGGTTGGAAGGAGGTGGGGATATGGAGTGACAGCCAATGCCTATGAGGTTTCTTTCTGATGTGATGAAAATGTTCTAGAATTAAATATTGGTGATTGCTACACAACTCTGAATAGGGTAAAGATCTCTGAATTGCGCACTTTAAATTAGTGCACAATTATATTATGCTATATAAACTATATCTCAATAAAGCTGTCACAAAAATACAGTTAGATAGTGTGAATTGGCATAGCATATACACAAAAACCATCATGTACTGTCACAAGAGTTTTGATGTATTTCCAAGTGGTTTTAGAATGTTACCTGCTACCTAGAAGCTGAACTATCCCCTGGCCAGTATTTTAGAATGTGTGATTGGTAGTACACATCAGGGATGCCCATTTTCTATATTTCATACAATGTTAGATACTGTTATATGTCAGTTATCATTATCACATCATTCTTAACTTTGGATGGTGGCAGGATGGCTGATTATAGCTCAGTTAATCCAGTTCCCTCTCCTTTATTTTAGAATATAAGTCCCCAGAGGATAGAACATTCACATCTGTCTAAATTTTCGACAGCTACTCATTGGGCATTTAATAAAAACAATTATATGATGAACTACCCATGACATAGTTGAGAGTAATGAGGGAATGGCATATCTTGTACTAGTCCTCCAGACTTGCCATATTGCTATAGCCTTTGATTTCTACCTTTTAGGCATGCAGAAATCTTCAATTACATGAATTAAAACTTCTCACAGACAAAACCCATGTCAGAGAGTAATAATAATAATAATAGATGCTACCACACTTACTGTGTCCTCTTTTTCAGTTCCTATCTCTTATTTCTAAAATACCAAAATGCCTCTTTCATACTCAGTATGCCATCCAATTTGATGTCCCAGTTTATCTCTAAGGCTCCTCCCTCCTCTTCTCTCCTGCTTATGCTGGGACTTTGGTCTTTTTGCAATCTTCTTTCTTACTCATACTCGGTGTCTCCCTCTCTATTGGCTCCTCATTCTTTGTCTTCAAACAAACACAAGTCTCTCGCAGTGGCTCACGCCTGTAATCCCAGCACTTTGGGAAGCTGAGACGGGCGGATCACAAGGTCAGGAGTCTGAGACCAGCCTGGCCAATATGGTGAAACCCTGTCTCTACTAAAGATACAAAAAATTAGCCGGGCGTGGTGGTGCGCGCCTGTAATCCCAGCTACTCAGGTGGCTGAGGCAGGAGAATTGCTTGAACCCGGGAGGTGGAGGTTGCAGTGAACCAAGATCGCGCCATTGCACTGCAGCCTGGACGACAGGGCGAGACTTCATCTCAGAAAAAAAAAAAAAAAAAAAAAGTCTCTCTTCTTTTGAAAAATTTGTAAAAAAACTAATAACATGACCCAACTGCCCTTTTGTCAAATTATCATACTGTTTATCTCCTTCCTTTCCTTGCTGAACTGTTTCTATCAGCTGCACTATTGTTTCATTATCCACTTACCACCTAGGCTATTACCATCTGCATTTCCCCCTTACCATTCGATTATTCCATTCTCCTAAAAATGTACTCCTCAAGATCACTAGGAGTGATTTTTCTTGTTTTCCAAGGTCTGGCGCAAACTACTTCTCCAGAAACAGTCGTATTTTAATCTTCTTTCTTTTAAGCCTGTTAATCACCTAACCATCTTATTTTTATTTCTGTACAACAGTTTGTTGCATGTTGTTTGTATTGTATGTGTATGTATGCATGTTTCTTCCAGCTCTCCTATGTAACGGGAATCTGCTCAAGGGCAAGCACTATGTCTTCTGTTTTATTTGTTAGCTTTCCACAGTACTTAGTACAGTTAAAGTAGCAGCTTGGCTGATACAGGATTAAAAATTATGAGCTTCTGTGTTTCTGAATACTAAGAATTTCATTTTTGTTCCCTTGCTATTAGTTTAATGGAGCATTTGAGGTGGTCAGGTATGGTTTCTCTTTCAACTCAACTTTTTAACTGTTATTCTTCCCTCTCCTAGAACCAAGAAGAGAAGATGGTATCTGTGTATAGCTGTGGCTGACACTTTCAGTATAATTATAATGAAAATAGAAAATGACCATTAAAATGACTAAGGGAAAATGGAAGCTACAAGAAGAATACAGAAGTAAACGCAAGGACTCTTAATATTAGACATGTGTAGGCTAAAAAAGAATGTGTGATTATCATCTAGGAGATTACAAAAGTTACACGCAGGAAAAATGCAGATTTGTGCATTAAATTCTGGAACTGTAAAACTTCATAGTCAAAAGTAAACTTCAAGTAACTAGAATTACATTGGACTCCACAAAAAAGGCTAGTAAATGTTTAAACTTCCTTGAAAAGTAATACAGGTTCAAAGATATAAATGGATACTCAACAGAATTAAATATACACATGGCTGATAAACCTCTACAATGGACTAGCTCCTCCACAAAACTAAAATGTTGTAAAAATGTTATGGGAAGATCCCTTAGCTTTGAAAGGACTAGTCCAGGAGGATAAACATGGCATTCTATAGCATACCACTTAGTGACCCTGTCAGATGCAGACTGTTAGACTAGAGGGACCACAAGACAGACCTATTTCTTACTGCATCACAGGAAAGGTGTGTATTAGTTTTTTTTTTTTTTTTTAAGTAAAATGAGGATGAAAATGAAACAAGAATGAAACACTAAACATATATGACCAAGGACATTTAACGTGAATTTTTAATACAATAAATAAGTTTGTCTTTCAGCATAGGGAACCCTTTCCATAAATCTGTTTTAGAAGTCAAGTCTCCAGTATGCTTTAGGAAAGCTTTTGTTAAAACTGAAGTATATTGATAAAGTGATTTAATATAGTTGAAAACAAGCTGCAGCACTCTAGCTGGGCCCTCTGAAACCTTCTGTTAGGGAAACATCTATATAGCATTATAGGAAACATTTACTGTAATTCGCCATCAATCTTTAAAAATAATACTGTTACACTCCCAACAATGTTGTCTTTGTTAGCGCATTACTTCTATTTTATTCATGTGGTTTGTTGTGCTTACATGAATTATTCCCAATTCTACCTCAATATCTTGGGCTATAATATCCTTTAAATAAAAGATACTGAAACTATGGGTTGACTCAAAGGGCTGCTGAATATCCACATGTCCTATGAACCAATATTGCAGAACCACAGAATTATACTGCAGGACTGCGTTCCATCTGAATGCACAATGATTACCTGGGTGGGGTTGGTGCAGTTTTTTAGTTTGGTACCACATAATGAATCTTTATCTACTGATTGGGTCTGTGAAATAAATATCTGCCAAACCTTAAGTAAATTAAAATTTAACCTGTTATTTCAGGTCCACAATTGGCATTGTATAAAATGTTCCAAGGCATTTATGTCTCAGATAAAGCAAAAGAAAAAAAAAAAAAAAAAAAAAAAAGCAAAACACACACATACACACACAAACACACCCCTCTTCTGGATAGGTCCACAATGAAAGGTGGCTGTAAACAGTACATTTTGCACTGTCATTTAGTTTTCAATTCCCAAGAGTACTTGTGGGGTGTGTGTGTGTGTGTGTGTGTGTGTGTGTGTGTGTGTGTGTATCTTTTGCTTTGTGGAGGAGGGAGAATGCTCGCTGAAAGGAGATCTTAGATGTGAAATATAAGATTTGCCAAGTACTCTTAAGGAAGAGTACAGTATTTGAACTGTATGCATTGAGATTTTTAATCAAGATAGCCGTTATTTAAACAAACTGGCTTTGAGAAAGGAATTTTTTTGAAAAATGAAAGAAAAAGCCCAAGGAAGGGTGCTAACAGTAAGGAGAAACTGGATCACAATCTCAGCTCTGCCTTTAGTTATGTCTATTGTCTATTGCGCAAGGCAAGTCATGTAACTTTCTTGTGTTTTCCTTTTCAACTATAAAACATGGGTAACACGGCTGGGCGTGGTGGCTCACGCTTGTAATCCCAGCACTTTGGGAGGCCGAGGCGGGCAGATCACCGGAGGTTGGGAGTTCGAGACCAGCCTGACCAACATGAAGAAACCCTGTCTCCATTAAAAAAATTACAAAATTAGCCTGGCATGGTGGCACATGCCTCTAATCCTAGCTACTCGGGAGGCTGAGGCAGGAGAATCGCTTGAACCCGGGAGGCGGAAGTTGCGGTGAGCCGAGATTGCGCCATTGCACTCCAGCCTGGGCAACAAGAGCAAAACTCCGTCTCAAAAAAAAAAGAAAAGGTAACGATAGCTGCCACAGAATAAAACTATTATGTGGATAAAAGACATTAAAGTATTTTACAATTGTAAATGCTAAGTGCAAGCTGTGTTATATACATGTCAAAACTCCAAACTTATAAGGTAGGAAACTGGGAATTAATTGTTTGAATTGCAACGGAATTCTCTGCAAGTATTTTAAATGGCAAATGTGGTTTTACAAACTTTATAGATATACATTTCAACCTCTTTCCAGGAGTATATCCCTTTTGCAAAAATAGGTCCACTTTTACTTGTATTGGCTCATTATTCTTCCTTAACTGCAGAATTTGAACACTAACGCATAGTGTGTACAGCTGAAAGGGATCTTACAGATAAGTTAGCCTTGTGTTTTGTCAAAGCCTTAGCAGCTGCTGAGAGAATAGAGGGCAAATAAAGCAAAGAGGAAGGGAACGGGAGTTTTGCCAGGAATCTGCCCCCTTCCCTCGCCATATCTGGAGAAACTTGGCTTTTATCTGTTTTCTATTTAAATTTGTAATTTCTGGGTAAGATTTAATTTGTAAAAACGTTTTCACTGCCTGCTAGCCCCGCCTCTTCTCTGCCCCTAGAAACGGTTGAAAGCCAACTCCCTTATTTTTCAGATGAGAAACTGGAGCCTAGAGAGGTGAGGCAGTAGTCACTATTTGGTCTTGGCTAAAGCATCTTCATGACAGGCTATAAATTGTGTCATATCAATCAGCTGTATTTTGTTTACATGGTCATATATTCAGCAGACACTGACTAGAAAAACGTCATTTTTTTTCAACTTTGTGGAGATAGATTGTGCAGGATGAATTTAAAAGAAATGCCACTTTCCCCCAAGGCCAGGCTTATGCAAAATTGTAATGGAGATAAAGGCTGCTTTTAGTATTCTTTAGTTCTGTCTTTCCCCACCCATCCTTCTTTGTTCCCAGTGTTCTATTTTGGCATCCAACCTGCAGGAATTCAGTATCCTCAACTACCCAATAAATTTCATCTCCATTTATATTGCTACTGACAATACAAGACTTTACCTGAGCCTTAATGCTCCTGGAAAACAATTTTGCTTAAGAAATTCCCCAACCTTTTGTTTTCCGAAATTCTCCCACTTTTTTGTGTCCTGGGAAATGGCTTATGCAAAAAAACCGTAACAATGACAACAAACAAACAAAAGTCCAAACAAACACATACAAAACACCCTTCCCTAAATGACTTAAGATAAAACTCTCTGTCCCTTCTTTCCCATGATTTCCCTAAGACTCACCTATAATTCCACCCCTGAAAAGACCAAACACAGACTTTTCCCCTATTGCCTGAACCCACTGAAAGGCCGTATACAGACCCTCCAATTTCCTATTCTTTGTCTCATGAATAATTAGTTGAGATTAGAACTGTCTGTTTCCCTGAAACTAGCTAGAAACAAAGATACACATTTCCTGTTCAGCTAACTGATACTTCCCCTGATTGCAACACGATCCCACCAGTAAATCATCTCACATGTAACCCATCTACCCCTTCCTAATAAGACCAAGACAAACCTCCCTATTGCAATAGCCTGAATAAAATCAATTGTTTTACTTGTTCAGTTTTTCTCTGTGATACTTATTGAAAACCTTTTCAGAAATTTATATACTTAGTTTATCCTATACTATTACAATAACAGGTGAAAAATATAAAACGTGAAACTCGGTACCTTCTCTCCTAGTCCCAGCTCTTTCTATGTGATCTCAACTTTTCTGGACCTAATTTTCTTAATTTCTAAATAAGGATATTGGATTTGATAATCTTTAAGATTTTAACATTCTAATTTATTGATAAATTACGTGGGGGTAGTTATTTTTAATTTTATTTATAGACATTATATAACTCAGGTCTAGGAATAAGTCTTTTATTTGTTCATATCCTCTGCTCTGTTTAAAGCAGTTGTTACATAATGTTTACTGGTTAAATAGTTATAGGCCAGGCACAGTGGCTCACGTCTGTAATCCCAGCACTTTGGGAGGCCGAGGCAGGTGGATCACTTGAGGTCAGGAGTTTGAGACTAGCCTGGCCAACATGGTGAAACCCCATCTCTACTAAAAATACAAAAATTAGCTGGATGTGGTGGTGGGCACCTGTAGTCCCAGCTACTCAGGAGGCTGAGGCAGGAGAATCACTTGAACCTGGGAGGCGGAGGTTGCAGTGAGCCGAGATTGCACCACTGTACTCCAACCTGGGCGACAGAGTGAGACTCCATCTCAAAAAAAAAAAAAAAAATTATGACTAGTTTGTAAGACTCTAATGTAGTGAGGGACTATTTTGGTACAATACTTTCAATTTTATAAATATTTAATACTGACAACTGAGATTTTTCTGGTAGATTACAGTATGTGGTTGTGACTTATATCTGCTTATTGAAATTCTAGAGTGTTCGTAAATTTTTTAGCATACTAAATGTCTATAATCAAATACTCTTTTTCTTTCATTTGGATAACTAAGTGGTGAGAAAATTCTGTTTTCTCATGAGAAGCAGATATATAATATATATATATAACAACTGTTAATGGGAAACCAATTCCAGTAGAATTTGATGTTTCTTTAAAAAGTGCCATTCATCGCCATTCTAACTGGTGTGAGATGGTATCTCACTGTGGTTTTGATTTGCATTTCTCTGATGGCCAGTGATGATGAGCATTTTTTCATGTGTCTGTTGGCTGCATAAATGTCTTCTTTTGAGAAGTGTCTGTTCATATCCTTCACCTACTTTTTGATGGGGTTGTTTGTTTTTTTCTTGTAAATTTGTTTCAGTTCTTTGTAGATTCTGGATATTAGCCCTTTAGAATGGCGATCATTAAAAAGTCAGGAAACAACAGGTGCTGGAGAGGATGTAGAGAAATAGAAACACTTTTACACTGTTGGTGGGACTGTAAACTAGTTCAACCATTGTGGAAGACAGTGTGGCGATTCCTCAAGGATCTAGAACTAGAAATACCATTTGACCCAGCCATCCCATTACTGGGTATATACCCAAAGGATTATAAATCATGCTGCTATAAAGACACATGCACACGTATGTTTACTGCGGCACTATTCACAATAGCGAAGACTTGGAACCAACCCAAATGTCCATCAATGATAGACTGGATTAAGAAAATGTGGCACATATACACCATGAAATACTATGCAGCCATAAAAAAGGATAAGTTCATGTCCTTTGTAGGGACATGGATGAAGCGGGAAACCGTCATTCTCAGCAAACTAACACAAGGACAAAAAACCGAACACCGCATGTTCTCACTCATAGGTGGGAATTGAACAATGAGAACACATGGACACAGGAAGGGGAACATCACACTCTGGGGACTGTTGTGGGGTGGGGGGAGTGGGGAGGGATAGCATTAGGAGATATACCTAATGTTAAATGACGAGTTAATGGGTGCAGCACAACAACATGGCACATGTATACATATGTAACAAACCCGCACGTTGTGCACATGTACCCTAGAACTTAAAGTATAATAAAAGAAAGTGCCATTCATCATTATCTGATGATGATAGTGGTAACAGTTTAAAAATAATAGGTTTTAGATTGGTGAGTAGAGACCAAACTTTAAAGAGAGAAAACACTTCGATCTCAAGAAGGTCATCATTCACTGCAAAGTTCATAGTGGTTTGAAAGCAGGTTCTATAGCACCTAACGGAATGTCAATGAAGTTCAAAAACCTCAAGGTGATTTTCCAATCTTTTGGTCCGATAATAACTGCTGCTAAATTAAGCAATGTGTCAGACACTGTGCTATATGCTTTATATCAATTGTTTAATTAACTCCTTACTATGACCATATGAGACAGGTACTATTATTATCACCCTTATTTTACAGATGAGGGCACTGGCTGGGCGAGGTTGTGTCAATTACTTGAGGTTGGAGAGATAATGATGGTACAGTTAGTATTTAAAGCCAGGTCTCTCTGACTCCAGAATCCAGGCTTTTAACCACAGTGCTATAATGCCCAATCTTCTAGGAGAGTAGAGAAAACAATTTAGGAAGAATGGTCTGGTTGTCAGTTTCATATTTTAGTGCATACAGTATCAGGACAAGCTTCTAGAGCTGTATTTATGGGATGTGTCTTATGTAGAAAATCATAAAAGGATACAACTGAACATTTGAAAATATCCTTCTACTGTATTATATCTTCTGCAAGGTTTGGATTAGTATACATATGGCATTAAAAAAAAAAGGAGCTATGTTTTTACTTGGTAAGTAATATGCAGTAAAGACCTAATACAGCAAAACCATGATGTGCAGTTATAGTTAAGGTTTTGTTCAGGCTTCCAGAAAAAGTCAGGATAAGCTAGCAACTTGGTATATGAGGCATCAACCCATAATGATTTTTCTTAATAAAGTATTTAATTGAAGTCGGTTTGCTCTGTTTGTTGTTATAATTGAGCAGAAACTTAAATCATTTTTCATTTATGAGACTTGTCACAACACATTAAAAATAGAGGTGAGTAGAATTTCTCTAAAATCTATCACGAATAGACTCTGGGACTTTGCTTTCATTGTGTAAAAAGTTTTTTGTGGTCTTCACAGATATTCCATATGAGGATTTTAGTACAGTGTAGAAGTTAAGAGACTGGACTCTGGAATCAGACCACCACTTACTAGCTCTGTGACACTGGGCAAGTTACTTAACCTCTCTGTGCCTCTGTTTCTCATTTGGACAATGGGGACCATAATGTGACCTTCATGATATAATCCATGTAAAGTTTCTGGAACAATTCTTGACACGTGGTAATTTTAATTTAATTTTAGCCATCATCATCAACTTACTTTATGGAAAGGAATCAAAAGAGGTCTGAATTAGAATATAAAATCAAATATACTATAATGACAACTATGTGATGACCTGCTGTCTTGCATGTTTCATTTTCCTCAGACAGATAAATTCTGATTTTTAGTGTGAATGGCAAGAAACCCTAGGCAGATAATACCAAATGATAGCTCTTGTACTTTCAGATATAAGGGGATAAAACAGCAGAAGAGAAGGTAAGGGAGAAAAAGCAGGTAAGGGAGATAAGGAAGAAAAATCTGAGCAGTGAGTGTGGCAGACTTTCTTATCTGCCACCTCTGACCCCTCTACTCTCCTCAGCCACTCTCAGGAGTAACAGTGAAACTGCTGGGAAAGGTCACTCCAGGCTAGAAACAAGTATTTTGAAATGAGAACATACAGCAAACTGCATCATGAATTGAAAACTAGAGCAAACCATAATATTTTCCTGAACCCTAAGCATTAATTTTTACTGAAGCATGGATTACAGTTACCTTTTCAAAAGCACACAAAAACAAGAGGAAACAAAACCCACAAACAACCCCCCCGCCACCACGAAAGGAATTAAAAACACAAGGGAAGAGTAGTAACCCAAATAACTACTGTATTAAAAAATGATGTCTTAGTTGCAACTAATGAACCAAAATAAGACTGTGTTACCACCTGTATAAAATTGTAAGCTTCTTGGAGGTAAGGTTTTGGTCATTCATTCATTTATTTACGTTTGGTCTCCAAAAATTACTCAGGATATTGCTGGCTATATATATTATTCTCAATTTCTACCGTTTAAATTGACTTCCTGGAATTTTACAAGGCTCAAGTCCCTCTGTACTGAATCCTATTTCAATAAAAATATAAATTTCCAGCTATTTTCACTGCTTGTATATTAAGACTAAGATCATTCAGTGTGAATAAGATGTTGGGAGTGCTGGTACTGTGACATTTATTATAAATAAGTCAGGTAGTTCAAGCTCATGTTGGTTAAACTTAACAGTTCAGGACTCAAAGTGATTTTTTTTTTCTTTCTCCCAACTAGGAAGAATTCATGTTCCCAAACTAGAAAAAAATCATGTTATCCAACTTTGACATAAACATTCACCTTTACATTAAGCAGAAAAAGCTTTTTCGTATTACAAACAGAAGAAATTTCCATATACCCTTTGTAAAATGTTATATATAAATGCTGGGCTTGGACACAGAGAATGTAATCAAAATCCCACGTTGCTTCAGGGTAGTTATATGCGAAATGCAATTTCCATTGTATTGAAGCCTCCATTCTGTAAATATTTATCTATTTTCAAAATTGCCAACATATTTGAAAACTTTAATTGGTTTATACTCAAGGCACTGGAAACAAGGAAAATTTGCTTTCACAAGATATTTACATGCATTTATTCTGTCCACGTAGAGGACTTCTTTCAAGTGATCATGAAATTTAATGTGAAGTGAAACCATCCCAGCTACAGTTCTAATGACCAAATTAGAAGAAAAGTAATCAACAATCAATCATTTTGATCACTGTACCTTTTTTCTCTGATTTATCAGAAACTTTTCCTCCAATTGGAGAGTAAGTAGTGTCCATGGACTCGGTCCCCCTGTTCCCTTTGCTAACTCCATTTGCATACAGCTCTCCTTCAACTGGTTGCAACTGCCAAGTCAGGCCGAACAAATGCACTGCTGCAAGAGAACAAGCCATACATTAATTTATTCCAGACTCACTGAGAACATCTCCAAGCCAGGTATCCCTTTGCACCTAAAAATGTTACGAACAGTTTTCTTTTAGTTAGGCCAAGTAACTGGGAGTTTATACCTATACATCATACATGTAGCTACTTACATGCTACGACACACATATAAGTGTTAACAGCTGTTAAAGTAGCTGTTGTTAACATTTTGAGGCTAAAGCTATCCCAATGATAGGATTAGAAATTGGAATCAACTATAGTACAATTAGACTTAACTTCTCACTGCTGTGACCCTTTCCTTTTCCATTCCCCTTAGTCATGTAACACTAGTTTCCATATGGAAACTATTACAGAGTAATGGTGGACAGACTACCATGAGAACATGGAAGACCTTCTCTATGGCTTTAATTCAATTCAGTTCAGCAAATATTTCCTGAACGCCTAGTATGAATAAAGCCCTATGATAGTTGCTGCCGGTGTTAAAATGTAGATGCTTATTAGGGTGGGATTTGGTAGTAATACCAGGATAAAATAATATTATGCAGAATGATTGACATAAGACAGGTTTAAACTGCTATCAGAAGATTAAAAAGTACCCAGTGTTGGTCACTGTGCAGGAAGATGGGCACTCTCATACACTCCTGATGAGAGTATAAAAATACAGTGACCTTTTTTGGAGGGCAATGTGGCACCATTTATTAAATGAACTTAAAATCTGATTTACCCTTTGAGCTAACAATTTAATTTCTGTGAATTAACTATGAATGTTGCCAAAGTACAATGCTGTCTATTGTAACATCTGAAAACAATATTAGAAAGTTATGATCAATCTAAATATTCATCAAGAGGGGATTAATCAAATAACTGATGAGATAGTAAATAATACAAGATTATGCGGCTGCTAAAAATCATGTTGCAGAAGACCATGCAATGGCATGGGAAATATTCATAAGGTATCAAATGAAAAACATTAGGCTACTAAACATTATAAATAGTGTGATCTGAAGTGTGTGTGTTTGTGTATGTGTGCACATGTTCATGTCTGGAGAAAAAAAGGTTTGGAAGAATATATAGCAACATGTTAACAGCATGGGAAGCTTACAGAGAATTTTTATTTTTTTTATGATTTCTGTGTTTTCCATATTTTTTTTACAATGAACATGTGTAACATTTGCCATCTGTGAAAAAGAAAGCTTTCGGTTTAAAGGAACAGGAGGTTAAAATAGGTTGGGCTGATCAAGAATAATTTTTGAAGGAAGTGGGAGTAGATATAGACCTTGAAGGATGTGTAGGGCTTTGACAGGTGACAACGATTGGTGGGGAGAAGGGACAGGGCTGAACAAAATATGACTTTGTAAAGTACATGATGTATCTGAGGCAAAAGAAGTTGCTGGGGTTCACTGGAGCTTAGCTATGTGCTGGTGCCAGTGGAAGTTAACGCCAGAAAGGAAGATTAGAGCCATATTGTGGAGCACACTGGTGCCACACTTATACATTTGGATTCAACTTATTAGGCAACGCAGAGGCATTTCTATTTTTTGACAGGTTGAGTGATATGATCAGAATTTTTCGGATGATTAATTTGAGAGTGGGGAGCACTGAAGGTTTTTAGGCAAATAACTGATATAATAAAAACATCCTTTGCAGAAAGATAAATCCAGTAGTAGTATGGAGAAGAATGAATTGGAGACCTAAAGGTTTGGCAAATAAATCAATTGGGATGGCATTGCAATAATTTAGGAAAGAAGTAATTAGTGCCCCAATTAGAGTAGTGTCACAGGAGTGTCTCAGTTATTTGCAGTGGGAATGCAAAGAAGGAGATTTCTTAAGGAGAAATTGCATAAATGGCATTTCAGGATTTGGCAAGAAGTTTCTTTCTCTCTCTCTCTCCCTCTCTCTCGCTTTCTCTGTCTCTGTGTGTGTTTGTATACACATTCATGCATGTGTATAGGTGTGCTGTGGGAGGGCGTAGAAAAAAGTGAGAGAAAGGAGGGAGGAATCCAAAATGGTTAAGGTTTTGAGTCTAACTGAAACAATGGTGGAACCATTAATAGAGTTAGAGAATTCTTTATTAGTCTAGCACTTGCTACAAATAGTTGGTACTGGATTTGTGTTTTGTTGATTGATGACTATTTGAATATGTGGCTTGAGACAGGATGAGAAGATGCAAGGAATGCAATGAATTCAGCCTTTGGGGTTGTTGGGTGTCTGGGACTGATGGGCCCTCCAGATAGTGAATGCTAACTATAGGAGGTTTGAAGTTCTGGAGGATATTAGAGCTAGAAAAAGAATGAAAAGTCATATATGCACAGAGGCAATAGTTGAAGTTGTGAGAGTGAATGAAGTCACTGAAGGGAGAGAATGTTAGGAGAAAACAGTTCCTAGGGCAAAAAGCTGGAGAAACCTCTTGTTTGTTTTCTCATTGCATTTTTCAACATCAACCAAATCCTATCAAAAGGCAAAAAAAAAAAAAAAAAAAAAAAAAAGTGAATCTGCTCATAAGCCATTTCGTATTTCTCTTTGTGTTCCTAGGTGAACTGAAAGGGGCTAATTAGTATGTGTAACACTCATGTATAGTATTTGAGTTAGTGACCGAGAACAGAGAAGGATAGCCTATTTAAAAATCATTCATCCACTTTTAGTTGGAGCTAAAGAGATTTCTAACACCTACTTCCTAATTTATCCTTAAAACTTTTAAGCATTTAACTGGTTTCTACCCTTTTCTTTGGATTAAGGCCAGTGCTGCCTGATGAATTTCTCTTGCAATTATTGGAAATAATTTTAACTCAAAGGATAGTGGTTCTGAGTAAGGTATGGTATGGCACATTAATAAAGCTATATTAGTGACATCCTTGAGATTTCCTTGCCAATGGACTCTAGTTTAACACACCTGTTCCAATTAGAGGTATTTTTCCGTTTTACAGAAAATTTGGTCTACTCTGCCTCCCAAATAATTTGAATATGATGGATAGTAGGAGCTATATTGAAAATGTGTTTCATTCCCTGGGTTCAATTACTTCTGTGAAATTAGATGGACCATATATAACAAAAGGAATAGTAGATCTCATTTAGAAGACTAAGGGGGCTATTTTATATACTTTAAGTTGAGCCACTTTCCTGGCGGCACTTGAAAATGCGAGAAAATGCATGTGGTGAGATTCACTTCAAAATATATAAGGTAAGGATTAATTTTTCACCATCGAATGAAATGGACTGCTTCCAGCCAATCAAGACAGATAAAGAGGTATGGGCACATTTAGTAGAACACTCTTTGAGAGCAGTGAAGCTTTGTAATTTTTTGAACTTACTATATCTTTCCCAGGGAACAAGCTGTTTGTAATATATGTTTGTGTGAATATATAATGAAAGTTAATTATTTGCTACAGACCACAGACAGGTATCATGGCAAGGCTACTGGCCTTTTATTTCTTCCAAACATAGGTACTGGCCAACCAAAATGGCTATCAGATATAAACAACTAATACAGTCTAACCAGTGTGTACACACTGGCTGAATGTCAGCTTTAGATGCAGTATAAAGACAGCTTCCTTAGTTTCTAGTGGATTCCCATCCAGATTTATGCTATGTGTTTAGAGCCACACTGTTTAGGTGAGTCCCCCAAACCCAAGAATAGACATTATGAGCCAATTGGCTAGAATAAGGGTAAAATTAGTAATGAACAAACAGGGCAATATTAAGTCATATTCACATGTTGATTCAACAAATACTTTTTTGAGTGCTTACTTTAAACCAGGCACTGTTTTTTTTTTTTTTTCTGAGTTTACAGCAGCAAAAACATAAAAAAACCTCTACCCTCCCAGAACTTACATGAGAGGGTAGTGGGTTAAGACAGGCAAATAAAAAATACACGATATAAAATATAAGATAGAATACAACGTTAAGGGAACAAACCAAAAAACAAAAAACAACAAATAAACAAGATAACGTTGGGTAGTTATAAGTGCTATGAAGGTAAAAATAGGTAAGGGTGGTCAGAGAAGGCCTCTTGGAGGAGGTAACATTTGAACCAAGATTAGAATGAAGTGAAGCCATTGTGAATATCTAGTGGAAGAATCTTCCAGGCAGACAAAACAGAATTTATAGAAAGCCCTGAAGTCTTACATGAAGTGTGTGAGAAATACTAAGGAGCCCAGTGTGAGCTCAGTCAGAAAGGCAAAGAGTGGTAGGAACACTCATACACATAAGTCCTGGACCCATAATCTTGTTACCTCAGTACGCTAGCCAACTTTGCAAGCTGGTCACCAACAAATAAGAATTAGAAAGTAATAAACCTAAAATCTCACATACCAGAATATATACCTCCAAATGAGCACTGCTGGTTGAAGTAGATGTAATATAAGCACTCTTGACTGTAAGCAAGGTCAAAGTTACTGTTCCCTAAGACATATATAAAATATATATATATATATATATATATATATATATATATATATATATATATATATATATACTCAATGAATGGAGATGGATGCTACCCAGATCTCTGAGGGAGTACCCATCCTGTTATTTGCATTTCACTGAAATTCAATGGTTGGACAGAATGTTTATGTCTACTCAAATATTCCAGGAATGGTGTATTTTCAGCAGATTAAAAATGGCAGTCCCTAATGCTCTTTTAGCAAATGTTCCCTGATGCTGAGCCCTGTACATTTTACAATTATTCTCCTTCCTTTTCTATCCAATTGCAAAGAGCTGTGCTCTAAAATTATAAATTCATTACAAAGTTCAGGTAATGAATGGATTGTCTTGGCTCTCCTCAATTCCAAATTCAATCAAGCACCTTGGAACTCAAGGTAGGCTGACCCCATGTACAGAAGCTCTTCCTCTTCTTAACGTACACATTTCTGTAGCAACCTCCAAGTCTCTCTGCAGTTTTCTTTCTGCGTACTGTTAGAATGTTGGACTATGTTTCTCATAAATAAGACTGGTGGTCTCTAGCAACATTTATAATCAATAATCCTTTCCCATCCCACTCTCTTTCAAGAGGCACTCATTGACTCAAAAAAAAAAAAAAAAAAATCCCACAGGAATGCGTCAGAAGTAAATGTGGGAAATACATGCTGAATAACTTAGGCCTATGCTATCCAATATGGTAGCCACTCATCACATGTGTCTGTTGCACACTTGAAGTGTGGCTAGTCAGAGTTGAAGACTTGATATAAAAGAAAAAATATAAAAGATCACATTAATATTTTTATATTATTTACACATTGAAATGATAATATTTTGGATATATCAGGTTAAATAAAATATTTATTTAAATTAATTTCACCTGTTTCTTACTTTTTTAATATGGCTACTCTAAAACTTTAAATTACATACATGGTTCACAATTATTTCTGTTGAGCAGTGATGATCTTGGACTACCTACATTTCACAAAGAGATATGATGTTTCTCTTTTAGCACCCTATCATAGAATCTACCATACTATATTAAAGATATCTGTTTACATGTCTGTCTCATCATTATTAAGCACTCCAAAGGCAGGAACAATGCCTTCTGCATTTTTCTGTTTCTGGTACCTAACTCTGTGATTGGTAGTCAGGAAGTACTCTTCATTGCTGATAGGAGTGTACAGTGGTAAAGTGGCTTTGGAAGACAATGTTGATATCTATCACTATTTAAATTGAGAATATTCCTTGACCAAGGAATTCTACTTCTAGGAGTCTGTACTAAAGAAATAATCACATGTGGGGCATAAAGGGGCATGTGCAAGGAAATTCGCCATTGCATTGTTAATATATTGACTTTATTAATGTAGTTAAAAATTAGAACAACCAATATACCCATCTATGGAAGAGTGGTACACGCTTACTATGAAATCCTTTATAAGAATTAAAAGGACTGATACTGAGAAATTATCAGATTGAAGGAAACTAAGGAGACATGATGACTAAATACAATATGGGGATCTAGAAAGAATCCTGTAACAGAAAAGACTGTGGAAAAACTGGAGAACTCTGAATTAAACTCTAAGTTTAGTTAATAGCCTCATACCAATGTTAATGTCTTAGTTTTAGTAATTGTACTATGTGCAAGATGCTAATATTGGGAGAAGCTCAGTGACAGGAATACAGTGATTCTGTGCTATATTTGTAACTTTTCTGTAAGTCTAAAATTATTTCAAAATAAAAAGCCAAAAAGAGAGAGAAAAAGGACTGATCAAGTGATATGCTGGAGCTGGCTTATACTGGTTTACAAAAGCCAACTGTGCACATCTCTTCCCAATTCCACCTCCAATGACTTTATATTGGCAGTTGAAATTGACCATGGCAGGTGTATTTACATCCTGGGAATTAGGAAATGTGGCAGATCAGGCTTTTTGGGCCAGAGAGCTTGTTAAACATTTATCAACACATCACTGGATGATCTGTATGTACTGAAATGAAACAAGCTCTAAGATTTTATGAAAAATATTGTAGAACAATGCATATTCTACGATCTGGTTTTAGTAGAAAATATGTATTTATATATATTTACATTTTTTAAATGCATAGAAAGAGACCTGAAAAATGAATACCAAACTATTGATGTTTAGAGTAGGGAGCTGTGAAAACCAAAAGGATACTTTGACATTTTCATAGTATTGTTAGAATCTTTTACAATGATAATGTATTCATGTATTATTATATAATTTTAAAATACCAGGTGCTCAACAAACCTTTGTTAAGCTGAATGAATAGTTTCATTGTTTTATTCTATCTCTTTTATTGCTATTTTCTGTCTAAAATTGGGCTTTTCAAAACATTTCAAAGCAGCAGAACCATTCAGCAATTAAATATGAACAGTTCCCAGATACATAAAACAGATAAAACAGAATTTGACTGAAAGGGATTGGCTGTCCAAAAGATCCAAATAATATAGTTTGAAATCTAGTGGCCTACAAAATTATCTTCAAAATATCTGAATAAGGAAAATTTGGGTGTTGGGAAGAATTCCTTTTAGGTATTTAAATTTATTGAAATATCTTTATAGTGCTACTGTCAGGAGACAGGACCCCTTTTCATGTTATTATGTATCTTTTGGGGTTTTGTGTCCACTCTCTTACAGGTAATTTTTGAATACACCTAACAATAAATAGGGCTTTGATAATAAATATACAAGTTAACCTTGAAATTATAAGACTTTTAAGACAAATGTAACTTTGCTTTCAAGGAATTCATCTTGCACCTTGAAATGCAAAGATATTCAGCTAGGGGTGTTATATTTATTTGTTGCAAGAATTTTGGGTTTTTATTTTCTAAATCCACTAAATAAACCTATTTAGAAAGTTTGAAACCTATCTTACAAATAAAGTCCTGACCATTATGGATCATGTCCTGCTTCGCAGCATGCCAAGACAAAAGCATATAATATTTTCTAAGATACTTTGTTTTCCCTTTTTGTCAGCATTCTCCCCCTACTAGTTCCCTTCATGTTCCTTCAGGCTAGGGAATGCTACAGCTGTTGTACTTTACTTCCAAGGCTTGTCAAAACTACAGATCTGCTTGTATGTTGGACAGTTCCCTTCCTGAAATATATACGAAGTACATTACCCAGATGGTGACCCCTGATGACTTCAGGCTTTCAACTAACTCCCGTGGGAAGCAATTTCACCAGACCGATACTTCAGTGGCCATGATGTGAGACTAGATGCTTCTGCAATAAGGAATATCACTGCAAAAATAAATGCTACTTGAATTAAATGCAGTGACTGCCAACATTACAGAAACCAGGTTATCTTCCCATCTTAAAATAAATCCCATTTTTATTACATTAAACATCAAATTGGCATATGAGTGAACTATAGCCCTTTGATAAATTACCTTCAGATCTGAATTTTATCCTGATAATAACCATATTACATGCAGGATTGAAAACTATTAGTTTCAGAGAAGCATTTTTCAAGAACTAAATTAAAGAAGTAATGCATGTTTATTTATGGTATCTACTATTGCCTCAGCAGTTTCATTCAACTTTTCTCTTTTTTTCCTAGGGCTATACATATACATTTTATACTAAAAATATTATTTGTGCTTGCACTACATCATGAACATAAATAAAACATACTTAAATGTTTCTTTTTAAAGCAATTTAAATGTAGTCAGTATGGTTTTGAGGTCTCTTTCAAACATTTTTGAAAACCCGAAAAGCTGTTGTGTCGTATATAGGTAGAATTCCCTTTGAAAGAAAGAACTTCGCTAATTAAAAGAAAAAAAACAAAAGGCATTTTAACTTGAACTGTTTTACAAAACACATTTTGCAAGTCTGCCATGATGAAACATTAAAATTAAATGCCAATTAAGAAAAGATTGAGATAGTATAACAGAGCAATGAGGACACCTTTTTTGTTGCTCCACGTGTTTGAATCCCTACTTTTCCTCTCCTAAATGAAATGAATTATTCTCTATTGCAGCATGCTTTTTTCTTTTGCCTTAGTATGGTGCTAGTTTTATCCAATACTCAGGATGGAAAAGATCCTATCAGAGTAATAAATCATTTTAATATCCCAGTTCTGTATTATATTATCTTAAAACTTTCATTTACTACGTATTTTATATTTTCCATTCCAAGACTACAGCAATATTTATAAATAACATGTCTAGTTAGGTACCTTATCACAAGTTTAATATATGATCTCCATTTGCAGTTGCATAACGGGCCCATCTGTGTATTCCTTATCAGACAGACACAATTATTTAGTGGTTTCATCTCAAGTCACAGCACCATTAAGTGCTCTCCATAACTCAAATCTTATTTATTTTTGTATTATTATTTGCTTTGTGGAGTCAGGAAGAATAAGCAGCATAATGATGGGATAAATTTAAAAAACAGTTTAATGAATAACGTAGCAAAAATATAAATTTAGACATGAATCAGTACTTTTAATTCTTCTTTAAAATTTTATTTTTTTTCTATTTTACTTCATTTTCTGCTCAACTAATTCTCCCTTTCTCTATGGTCCAAATCACTGCCAATCACTTCTTCATTATTGATGATGGGAGTTTCTCAGATTCCTAAATATTCTCCTACTCTCTTTCCTGGTTTGAGTACTTATTGGCAATAGTAACCAGGTTCTTTTAAAAAGACCCAAATAAAACTTGTGACTATAGAGAGTAAGAAATAGACATACACAGCTATCTCTTCCTCTTACCCATTTGACCTGTATATTATTTAAATTTTTAAAATAGAAATGTATTCATTGATTTATATCCACAACCTCTGGTAGCTGATACTTTGAAACTCACTTTTCTGAGTTAGCATCATGTAATCATAGCCATAAATATGTGGTATGTGTCCTTCTGCAAACTTTTAGATATTGGAATTTTAAAAACCCTGTCATTAACTTATTATTCACAGTTAACGTTAAGGAGCAGGGCTTATAAAAGGCTGGGAAGACAGGATATGATAGAGAAGATGGAAAACGATGAGTGATGAAAAACTATGAAACCTTCTCATCTGCCTTATAAGATGTGAACAGATGAGGAGGTAGAGAGAGTGAAGTGGTGATTATAAGGACCCAGTTTGTTCTGGGTTTTCTGAAGTGACACCATGACAGTGTTCTTCTGAAAGAGTCACTAATGTATTATTCAAATGGGGTTGATTCATGATCCGGATCCTCAAGTCTTCTCCTTTAATGCAGTAATTATTTGTTGGCTGGATCCTATGTATTAGACATTGTCCTAGTTGCTGAGGATACAACACTTACTGTTTGGTTGCAAAAAGAACTGGCCCTGTTGGGGATTTCACTCTGTGTAAAGGGAGGCAGTTGTCATATGGTATAATAAAGAGCAGGGACTCTGGAGCCAAGGTTTCTTGGTTCAAATCTCAACTCTGCTGCTAACTAGTGTGTGTAATAATCTTGGGTAAGTTATTCTCTGCCTCTCAGTATCTTCACCATAAAATGTGCACAATAACAACATCTGCATAAGGTTGTTGTGAACACTAAATGAGTCAGTATATGTAAAGTACCTAGAAAAAAATGCCTGGCACATACTAAATGCCCAATAAAGGTTAGCAATCATTATTAAGCCTGTTTAATTGATCCCTTTACAAAACCATCCTGGAAGTGGAGAAAGGTAGAAAGTCATTGACTCATTGAATTCTCTACTTTCCTGCCCTAGGAGATGATTGTGTAGTTGTGATTCTCTGAAGAGAGTAACACAGAGGGCCTCCGGTCTTTGAGAGAACTTCAGCTGCCATCTTCACACAGCTGTAGAGTTAAAACAAAAACCTCACCTAATTTCCTGATTCCAAATCCTTGACTTAATATACAACAGACATTCATTTATGTTCCCATCCCCATCAACATCCCCCAAAGCTGCAAATTTCTTTAATTTCCTTTCCTCTATCATCAGGGCACTGGGGATCTGGAAGTTGTAGGTTTTGGGTTTTCTTGGTAAAAGGATTCCAGAAATTAGAGCATCCCTAAGATTTTAAAAGGTATCATCATTTCTTAGTAGAGTACACTTTTTATAAAGGTTAGCATAAAGCAGTTAGAGTCTCATTTTATGAATAATAACTGATAATTCTCACGTAGCTATATAGTATGAAATGGGTCCCAAGAAAACTTTCAGCTGAGTTACCCAGCACAAGTATGCAATCCTGGGTGATGGATTCTACTCTATCAAATTGATCTGCACAAGTAAGGGAATCTGTCTGCAACAATAAAATCATGCTATGTTAGAGCTCAAAAAGACCACAGAGTAATCCAGTATGGTTTAGAAAGGAGGGGGCCAGTACATTTAAAGTGAAGAAGCCTGGAAAACACTACCTCAGCTGGGTTATCATCAATGATAGCATGTACATTATGGCACAGACACCTGATATGATGCAATGATAATGGCACCTCTGTGGTCTTCCTCTCCAAAAGCATACTGCCAGTTTAAACATAAGCACAACATCAGCAAAACCCAAATTGAAGGACATTAAAAAAACAACCTGGCCAGTGCTACTCAAAATTGTCAATGTCATCTAGGTCAGAAAACTGTTATAGACCATGGGAAGATAGGAAAACATGACACGATATAATATCCTATTTTGAATTGGATCCTGGAAAAGAATAACTGGTGACATCCAAATGAAGTGTCAAATGCAGTTAAGAGTAATTATTGATGTTCATTTCCTAGTTGTGACAAATGTACCATGGTGATATAGGACGTTGACAATAGAAGAAACTATGACAGCCTTTGTACTATCTAAAAAAATATATGAGAAACTAAATGAGGAGTATATGGTAATTCTCTGTACTATCTTTGCAACTTTTCTGTAAGTCTAAAAGTGTTCTGCAATTAAAAGGATATTTTGGAAAGAACACACCACACACAAGCCATTTGCCTCAATCTCCTCATTTTACAGAAGAGGAAAATAACACCTAGAGAAAGGAAATGCTTTGCACCTAGGACACAGAGAGCTGACACTAGGACCCTATTTTTCTACCTCAGTCTTGTTTCACCCAACCACACTGATTCAGTCTTACTTAAGGCCAAGAGAATACGTAATCCATTTCTTCTTTTCAATGACATTTAGTACTGAAGTAATTTGACTGGAATATCGGACTAATGAGGCCAATGTTATAGGTTAAGTTTTTATTCCAACCCGTTACTTTTGCATAGGGAAAAATTCCACTATTTGTCATAGCCTGATTATTCAAGCTATTTTTTCCATCAATCTCAGGTAAGTACATAAGAGAGAAATGGGAACTCTGTAAAAACCCTCCAATTCAAAATACATGTACATCTGCAAAATCTTTTTATAATGACACTTAAATTTTATTGAATTACTGGGTCACATGTAGCTGAAGTAAAATACACTGTATATATTTTCTACTGGTTCTACAATCTTTTCTCTTGTCTACTTCAATCTTCTTAGCATTTTTGTCAAAATGGATCACTTTGTTGTCCTAAGCTTTGCTCACTATTTTTGAAAAAGATGCAAGTTTCTCTTTAAAGAAAAGGTAGGCAGTGGGAAGTTAACTCAATTTCATATCACCCCTGAAAAGGAGTCAAAATTTTTTCTTAATGTTTCCTGAAATGCTTTACCATGATATCAATAGATGTGGGAAAATAATATGGCAGTATTTTAGTTTCATTATTTTTGTATGGTTTGAAACTGTAATTTTGGATTTTAAACAATGTTAAAATATGCAGTTTATGTTAAAATCTTCAATATATAAAATTTCTTATAAATCAATAAATATCAGCTGCACCTTTCAATAGAAACATGGACAAAAGACATCAATAGGCAATTCACAAAAAAGAAATGGAAATTAACAGAGACAATTTAAAATATTCAACCATAGTGGTAATTTTAAAACGCAAATTAGAGGAGTGATGTCAACAGTATGGCAGAATAGGCATTTCCAGTGCTTGCTCCCTCATGGAAACATCAACTTGAACAATCATTCAGGCTAAAAAATTCCTTCACAAGTGCTAAGGAATTCAGGTGAGAGATTACAGTATCTGGTGGAACACAGACATAAAAAAAGATGCATTGAAGAGTGTAAGAAGAATAGTTTAGCATTACCTGCAATACTACTCTCCCAGGCTTACACAGCACAGTGTGGAGAGAAATACCTTCCATGTGGCAGAAGAGAGTGAAGTAAACACCTAACTTCACTGTAGAACCCAGCACCATGCCCACCCCAGGGAACCCTGGTGCCAGGCTGGCACCCAATGACCAAGCTTACAGGCCTACCCTAGTGATAGGCAAGGCCTCAAGGCCTGAGACTCCAGGCTGGTCCACATAGACCCAAGCTCCAGGCCAACCACTAAACATGGCTGGTCCCTGTGGCTCCAGGCTTTAGGCTAGCTCCAATGGACTCAGGCTCCCACCCCAGTATCAGGCTGGTTCCCACGGATCTGACCTTTAGTAAAGCCACTGCCAACCCAAGATCCAAACTCATCATAGCACAAGGATGGCCCTTATAGCCCTAAGCTGCATTCATTCTTCATGGCCCAAGGGTTTAGGCCTACCCTAGGGCCAGGCCATCTTCCATGGCCCCAGGTACCAGTCTGGCACTGGTGAACCCAAGCTCCAGGCTCAACCATCATTACTGACCCAGGAACCGGGGTGCCATTACTGACCCATGCACCAGGCTTACCAGCCCAAGGATTTCAGCAAAGCCAACCCAGAGACCTTCCCTGCTGGTCCACACAGAATCCCTGGACAAGCTGACAGGTGAAGAGCTTCTCCTGGTGAAGCCAGTCTTTAATGACTGGAGAAGGTGCCAATGCCACAGGAATCATGAATAATCAGGGAAACATGACATCACCAAAGGGAAAGCAAAAAACAAACAACAACAACAACAACAACAACAACAACAACAAAGCACCTGTAACCAACCCTAAAAAAATGGATAGCTATAAAATGCCTGAAAAATAATTCAAAATAATTAACTTAAAGAAGCTCAGTGAACTACAAGTTCAGTGAGCTACAAGAGAACACAGATAGACAAGTGAATAAAATCAGAAAACAGCACGTAAGAAATATGAGAAGCTCAGCAAAGAAATAGAAGCCATAAAAAAAAATCCAGAGCTGAAAAACACAATGACTGAACTGAAAAATTCCATCAACAGCTTCAACAATAGTCAGTGAAGCAAAAGAAAGAATCAACGAGCTCAAAGGCAGGTCATCTGAAATTACTCAGTAGGAGGAACGAAAGGAAGGACAAATGAAAAAGAGTGAAGAAAGCTTATGGTCTCTTCAAGCAAATCTGTTTTTTTTTTTTTTTGAGATGGAGTTTTGCTCTTGTTGCCCAGGCTGGAGTACAATGGCATGATCTTGGCCCACCACAACCTCTGCCTCCTGGGTTCAAGCAATTCTCCTGCCTCAGCCTCCTGAGTAGCTAGGATTACAGGGATGTGCCACCATGCCCGGCTAATTTTGTATTTTTAGTAGAGACAGAGTTTCTCCATGTTGGTCAGGCTAGTCTCGAACTCCCAACCTTAGGTGATCTGCCCGCCTTGGCCTCCCAAAGTACTGGGATTACAGGCGTGAGCCACCGTGCCTGGCCTCAAGCAAACCTGTATACACATTATGGAAGTCCCGAAAGAGAAAATAATGAGAAATGTGTGGAAAGATTATTTAAAGAAATAATGACTGAAAACTTCCCAAATCTGAAGAAGGAAATGAAAATCCAGATGCAAGAAGCCCAAAGAATCCAAAATAGAAATAGATTGAACATAAAGAGATATATACTGAGATATTATAATGAAATTCACACAAGTTAACAACAAAAGAGAATTTTGAAAACAGCAAGAGAAAAGTGGCCTATCATATACAGAGAA
This sequence comes from Homo sapiens, assembly GCF_000001405.40. Taxonomy (NCBI): domain Eukaryota; kingdom Metazoa; phylum Chordata; class Mammalia; order Primates; family Hominidae; genus Homo; species Homo sapiens. Next base: position 124,686,133 of record NC_000023.11, read on the forward strand.
CCTTCAAAGGAATATAAGTGGATTTCTCGGCAGAAACTCTGCAGGCTAGGAGAGAGAGGGGTGATATAGCCAAAGTATTAAAAAAGAAAACCCTACCAACTGAGAATATTATAACTGGCAAAGCTGTTCTTCAGAAATTCAGGAGAAATAAAGGCCTTTCCAGACAAACAAAAGCTAAGGGAATTCATCACCATTAGATCTGCTATTCAAGAAATGCTAAAGGGTGTTTTTCAACCTGAAAATAAAGGATGCTAACTAACAACTAAAATAAATATTAGAACATACAAAAGCATAAAATTCAGAGCTTGATTCAGCCATTCGACAATATATACATATTTTAAAACAATATATTGCTTATCCCTGATGAACATTGATGCAAAAATCCTCAATAAAATATTGGCAAACCAAATCCAGCAGCACATCAAAAAGCTTATCCATCACGATCAAGTCAGTTTCATCCCTGTGATGCAAGGCTGGTTCAATATATGCAAATCAATAAATGTAATCCATCACATAAACAGAACCAATGACAAAAACCATGTGATTATCTCAATAGATGCAGAAAAGGCCTTCAATAAAATTCAACATCCCTTCATGTTAAAAACTCTCAATAAACTAGGTATTGATGGAATATACCTCAAAATAGTAAAAGCTATTTATGACAAATCCACAGCCAATAACATACTAAATGGGCAAAAGCTGGAAGCATTCCCTTTGAAAACCGACACAAGACAAGGATGCCCTCTCTCACCACTCCTATTCAACACAGTATTGGAAGTTCTGGCAGGGCAAGCAGGCAAGAGAAAGAAATAAAGGATATTTAAATAGGAAGAGAGGAAGTCAAATAGTCTCTGTTTGTGGACATGATCCTATATTTAGAAAACCTCATCGTCTCAGCCCCAAAACTCCTTAAGCTGATAAGCAACTTCAGCAAAGTCTCAGGATACAAAATCAATGTGCAAAAATCACAAGCATTCCATATGAAACCAAAAAAGAGCCCATATAGCCACGACAATCCTAAGCAAAAAGAACAACGCTGGAGGCATCATGCTACCTGACTTCAAACTATACTACAAGAAACCAGCATGGTATCAAAACAGACATATAGACCAATGGAACAGAATGGAGACCTCAGAAATAAGACCACATATCTACAACCATCTGATCTTCGACAAATCTCACAAAAACAAGCAATGGGGAAAGGATTCCCTATTTAATGAATAGTGCTGGGAAAACTGGCTAGCCATATGTGGAAAACTGAAACTGGACCCCTTCCTTATGCTTTAAAACTTTAACTCAAGATGGATTGAAGACTTAAAAGTAAAACCCCAAACCATAAAAACCCTAAAAGAAAATTTAGGCAATACCATTCAGGACATAGGCATGGACAAAGATTTTATGATGAAATCGCCAAAAGCAATTGCAACAAAAGCTAAAATTGACAAATGGGATCTAATTAAACTATAGATCTTCTGCACAGCACAAGAAACTATCATCAGAGTGAACAGGCAACTTACAGAATGGGAGAAAATTTTTGCAATCTACCCATCTGACAAAGGTCTAATATCCAGAATTTACAAGGAACTTAAACAAATTTAAAGAAAAAAACAACCCCACCAAAAAGTGGGCAAAGGACATGAACAAACACTTCTTAAAAGAGACAAAGCAAGACACAGAAAGACAAATACTACATGATCTAGCACACATGTGGAATCTAAAAATGTCAGACTCATAGAAGCAGAGAGCAGCGTGGTGGCTGTCAAGGACTGGGGGTAGAGAAAGTAGGGAGCTGATGCTCAAAGGGTCCAAAGTTTCAGTTACACAGGATTAGTAAATTCTCGAAATCTAATGTATAGCATGCTGGCTATAGTTAATAATAATGTATACTTCAAGATTCCTCTCCACTCCTCTCCTCTCCTCTCTTCTCTTCTCATAGCATGCTGGCTATAGTTAATAATAATGTATACTTCAAGATTCCTCTCCACTCCTCTCCTCTCCTCTCCTCTCTTCTCTTCTCATAGCATGCTGGCTATAGTTAATAATAATGTATACTTCAAGATTCCTCTCCTCTCCTCTCCTCTCCCTTCTCTTCTCTTTTCTCCCTTCCCTTCCTTTCCCTTCCTTTCCCTTCCCTTTTTTTTCTTTTCTTTTCTTTCTTTTGTCCAGGCTGACATGCCTGGGATGTAGGCTCACTGCAACCTCCACCTCCCAGGTTCAAGCGATTCTTCTGTCTTAGCCTCCCAAGTAGCTGGGATTACAGGAGTTTTCTTTTATTTTATTTTTCTTTTATTTTTTTTTAAAAATAAGTACAATTTCCACTTTATTTTTCTCCAGAGAGTAGTTTTCCTTCAGTCTGTAAGGACTCAGCTCCTTACAGGGGCCTTGGTTGGGGCCATGGGGAAGAACCCACAGGTCTAAATAGTGGTAGGGGTGTTTAGTCCTTGCAGGCTTCACGAGATCAATTCCTGACTACCTTGCTGTGAATGGTACAATTCGCACAGCAATATAGCTTCACATACAGCTTGGGAAACACTGTGAGCATTGAGGGCTCACTTCAGAAATGTCCCTCACTGCTGTGGCCTCTGCTATGTTTTTAATGACAAACTTCTTAATAGCCTTATTCCTGGGCATGCATTGAGCACAGTTCTTGCAGTGAACAGGCTGCAAGTGAATGGCATGACCATTGTTCCTTCTTTCCTTTGGCATTTTGGAAGCAAGGATCCTACTTGAACATTTCTAAGAGAGTGGATCTTAAATGCTCTCATCACCGAACAATAAAAGGCAACTATGAGGGTGTTAGACATATGAATTAATTTGATTATAGTAATCGTTTCATAGTGTATACTGTATGAAAACATCACATTGCGTACCTTAAATATACACAATTTTTGTCATTTACACCTCAATATACCTCAATAAATATGGAAGGAAAATGCAAACTAAGACACTGAAATACCCTTTTGCCTATCAAAATGGCTTCTTTTCTTTTTTATAAATGATGATGTCAAAAGTTTTCCAGAGTTCAGAGGAACGAACACCCTCACATACTGCTGGTAGTGTAAAGTGTTGCAAAAATGTTTGGACAAATTGGCAATATATATCCAAAGTGTTGGATTTTTTAAAAAATATTTTTATCAAGCCATTTAATGTTTAGAAATTTATGGTAAGAAAAAGGTCTGAATAGATTTAAAACATTGGTATTCAGCGTATTGTATATAATAGCAAGATTTTGAAAATTACTCAAATGTCCAACAAATGGGATCAGTTAGACAAATGACTATATACAATAGAAGATCGTGTTGCCATTAAGAATATTACAGAAAATATTTCATGATAGAGAAAAATGTTTACAAAGCAAGTGCAATAAAGCAGTATATAATATGAGCTCCATTTTAGAGGCTGTTTAGTGTAATAAGTGAGGGCACAGGCTCTTTTTGTGTCAGACAGATTCGAAGAGTAATGGCTCTTCTATTTATTAGCTATGTGATGTTGTACAAGCTCCTAAGCTCTCTGAGTCTCAGTTTTCCTATATGTAAAGTAGAAATAATACAATAAGCCCTCCTTATCAGTGAGGAATATGTTCCAAGACCCCTAATGGATGGATGAAACCACGGATAGTACCAAGCTCTACATATACTATGTTTTTTTTTTCCTACGTGTACATGCCTAGGATAATGTTTAATTTATAAATTAAAAAGATGAACAATAATAACAAAATAGAACAAGTATAACAACATACCATGATAAAAGCTATGTGAATGTGGTGTCTCTCTCAAAATATCTTATTGTATGTAATATTTTCAGACCATAGTTGACCATGGGTAACTGAAATTGTAGGAAGCAAAACTGTGGATAAGGCAGTACTATTGTAATACCTAATTTGGATGAGACTATGATTATGCATAAAGGGACCTACATGAGTTAAAGTAGAACACATGCCTATTTCTAGAAATTAAATGATTAATTTTTCCATATTACAAATATTAAATTCTTTTTGTTGTTGTTCAGTGTATAATCAATTACCACCATTCTTCTTTCTGACACTCAAATTTGGCCAAGGGGAATCCCTTCAAGTTGGCTCCTGTGTCATTTTGGCATGCCTGAACACTTCCTTGCTTTCTAGCACAAGATATCCCAGGCTTACCTTATACTTACTTTCCCTGCCACAGACCTAGAAACAGCCAATCCTTCAAGGAGATTTTGGTAGGAAATGTATTTAGAAATCAAAGTTTGGGTATAAGGTGTATTAATTACTACTGAGGTGTTATTGCTTTTAAGTCCTTTCAGAGGACAGACTAGGAATATACAAACAAATAAAAAAATTTTTAGATTTTATAACCTGCTTTGTTAGAGTGTGTGTGTGTGTGTGTGTGTGTGTGTGTGTGTGTGTGTGTATACACACATATATGTGGATTGCTACAGTTTGGATGTTTGACCCTCCAAATCTCAGGTTGAAATTGGATTCCAAATGTTGAAGGTGGGGCCTAATGGAAAGTGTTTGAGTCATGTGAGTGGATTCCTCATAAATGGTTTCGTGCTATCCTGGCAGTAATAAGTGAGTTATCTTCTTGTTCTACTAGTTCTTGCAAGTGCTGGTTGTTAAAAAGAGCCTGGCACCTCCCTCTTCTCTCTCTTGCCTTGTGATCTCTGCACACACTGGCTCCCCTTCTCCTTCCACGATGAGTGGAAGGGCTTTGAGGCCCTCACCGGATGCAGATCCTGTGCTATGCTTCTTGTAAAGCCTGCAGAACCATGAGCCAAATAAACCTCTTTTCTTTATAAATTACCTAGCCTCAGGCATTCCTTTATAGCAACACAGACTAAGACATGCATATATGCAGTTTAAAAGCACAAGCTCATATATATATATATATCCCCAATTCTAATCCAACACTTCAGAGTTCTTCTTTCTCATTCCATATTTTTATTTCCTTTTCCACACAATGAACCTTGTTCCCAGTAACATCAATATATTTACCTGTTTGCTTATCCTATAAGATGCACAAAACAGTATTGGAATTATTATAGCAAAACCATTACTAGAAATGAGCCTACTAAGTAAAGTTCAAATTTTGTGTTTTTGTCCTTAGAATATATTCCCCTGAGGGTATACAGTTAGAGTTATGTATTCAAAATAATGACTCTTCTTAAACTCTTAAAATTTGAGACAAAGAAAAGAAAAAGAAAATGGAAAAAAAGGCAAGAGATATGAGCACACAGGTAACAAAAAAGATCCTTAAAAATATGAAAAGATAGTCAACCTTACTTTTTCTTAAGAGAAAAACAAAAGAAAACTACACTAAGACGTCATTTCTAACCTGTCAAACTGACGATTCAAAAGCTTGCAGCACAGTTTGATGGCAATGTCCGTGGAGACGTAAACACGTTCATACATTGCTGGTGGGTGTACGAAATGGCTCAATCATTATCAAAAAGATTCATGAAAAGTTGCCACTTACAGTTTTTTACAACTTTCCTCTGTTTCAATGGTTATTTCTCCTCATTTCTTACTTCGTATATATTTCCCCTTTTCTCTTGATTTCAGATTATTTATGGTCTGCCTACTTGTTAATTTTTAACACTATTTTATTTATCTTTCTATTATTTTTGTTTCCTACTCCATTAATTTCTGCTATATCTTTCTTATTTCCTTTCTTGTGTTTTCTTTTTATTGATTTTTCAGATTTGTTTTCTTTTATTGATGTGAATTTTCATCTTATACAAGGTTTAATAGTAATTTAACATGTGGTGTGTTCGTTATAATTTTTCTTAGATATTTTAAAATTTTATGTTTTATTTCCCCTTATACACAAGAATTGTTTAAAATTTAAAAAAATTACAGATAGAAGGGCTTTTCTGGTATTTAAATATTCTTATTAATTTGTACGTTCATTTCACCATGATCTGGTAATGATGTTTGTATTGTTTCTAACTTATGAAACTCACTGAGTTGTTACCTAATATTTGCTCAAATTTTGTGAATGTTTTATGAAACCTTGAGAAGAAGGTGTATTCTCTAATATCAGGGTGTTTAAGTTCAATACATAGCCATGGGATCTATCTTGACTAAATATTCTCCCTTATAAGTGGGAGCTAAACATTGAGTACACATGTTCACAAAGAAGGGAGAAAGAGACACCGGGACCAACTTGAGGGTGGAGAGTGGAGGAAGATGAGGATCGAAAAACTACCTATCAGGTACTATGCTTATTACCTGGGTGACAAAATAATCTGTATATCAAACTCCCTTGACACAAAATTTACTTATAGAACAAACCTGCACATGTACCCCTGAAACTAAAAGTTAAAATATTATTAATAATTACTATTATAATACATTAAAAAGGATCTATCTTACTGATTTTGCTTTCTTAGGTCTTCTTCTATATATTTACTATGTTTTTGTCCACCTGACATGTCTTGAACTGAAAGTGGTGGGTCAAAATTTCCTAATCTAGTAGGGCTTATGAGTACAGTATTCTCTGAGTTCTTGCATGTTTAAAGTATTTTTCTAGATCCTTAATAATTAAAGAATAACTGGTTTGAATAAAATCCTTGGCTCATACTCTTTCTTGAGTTATTTGAAAATTCTGGCCGGGCACGGTGGCTCATGCTTGTAATCCCAGCACTTTGGGAGTCTGAGGTGGACGGATCACCTGAGGTCGGGAGTTCGAGACCAGCCTTACCAACATGGAGAAGCCCCGTCTCCACTAAAAATACAAAAAATTAGCTGGGCGTGGTGATGCATGCCTGTAATTCCAGTTACTCGGGAGGCTGAGGCAGGAGAATCACTTGAACTTGGGAGGTGGAGGTTGCAGTGAGCCAAGATCATGCCATTGCACTCCAGCCTGGGCGACAAGAGTGAAACTCCATCTCAAAAAAAAAAAAAAAAGAAAAAAAAAAAGAAAGAAAGAAAATGCTGCTCTACTCTTACCTTGCTTTGTCTGTTGTCAAGATGTCTAATTTCAATCTGATTTTCTTTCTTTTACAAATGACTCCTCCCACTAAAAGGCCCAGAGATGATTATAAATAATAATTGAAGTTTAATATTTTTAGTAGCACATGACTAGGAGTTGATAGTTTTGAGTCAGTTTTTGAAGGTACTTGGAGGTAATTCCAAGGTATTAAAGGTTGTGCCCTTCAATACTTACAGTCAGGCCTATTATTTCTGGAAAATTTTCTTTGATTATAGTTTTAAATATTAGTTTTATTTCATTGTTTTGTTTTTCTTCTTTGGGAACCATTAATATAATTATATGTAGTTTGTATTTATTTGACTATCTTCTACAGCAATTATTTTCTCTGATCTTTTCTTAAACTTCTTTCTTTATTTCAATTTCGTTCCCTTTGCTATTCAAGTGCCTTTCATCATTGCATCTTTTTCATTTTAATATCTTTTCTCCCTTCGTCATCAGTCAGTATAGTATTCATTTTCACGATGGGTTTATCTTTTTCTTCAATTTATTCCCTGAGTTTAGTCAACTCTCATTTTGTACATTTCTGTTCTGAGTTTTAAACTTTATCATTTGAGCCTTTTTCATATCTTCAAATGTTTGTTTAAGGCTTATTAGGACTGAGATGTTTTATTGCTGTTTTTTTCTGCTTTGGGGTTGGCTATTAGAAGTTTTTTTTTTAATCAAATGAAATGATTAATTCTTATTTTCTAGTTCCTTCTTATAGAGCTTTGTGTAGGTGTTGTCTCCCTTTTATGTTCATTCTGAAATATTTTAGTTTCCTGGACCAGTAATAGGAGTTGTATGTAAATAGGAATCAGGAGTTTGGTGACTTGTTAGATTACTAGAATTATTAGTTCTTATTAAAGTGTAGCTTTTAAAATCAATAATGGCTTTTGGATAGGGGGTTTGGTAGGTCGCTTAATTTTGTGATTCACTTTTATTTTTGCTGTATCCTGAAATTATACCTCTTGCTTTCTTCTTTCTCTTCACCACCAAGCCTCCAAAGGACATCTCTTCCAAGTTAATGCCCCCATGCCCTCAGAGGTTGTGCCTTCCCAAGGCTACCAACTTTACTTCTGTGAACTTTAAAGTACATTCCTTTCCATTTTCAGTAGCCATTGCTCTCATATGCCAGGTCTGAGATTGTTCAAACAGTTTTTTAATGGGAGTAATTCTTCTTTTTAATGGGAGTAATTTGATCAAGTCTGCCATAGCTGGGCCCTAGCTCTCATGTCTTCTTTTCCATTTAGCCTCTATCTGACTCTCAGTCCTGGCATGGGCTACAGAGACAACTCTGAGTAATTTGGGTGCTTATTTCTCTACCTATGTGTAATCTGAAGTTTGTAGAATTATCTATCTCCTATTTATGTTATTGAGTGGGTTACAGGTGGTTTTACTTGCTTCCCTTCTGCATTTGAATTTCTTTTTGAATAAGGGAATGGAGAGATTTGGATTTAAAAGGCCAATGTTACCCTATGGGAACCCAGAACTCACTGTTAATATTTATTTTTACGTTTATATAATACATATGCAGACACACATACCTGAACATTGTGTACCCAGTATCTATAACACATTCATTTGAAACAAGTCTCTAATAATGGGTATGAAATATAATTTTACTGCATGCTGTTCTTTACGTTCAGTTCCATGCATCTATGAGAGAGTCATCCATGGTTAGGGCCATGATTTGTAACTGTGGATAAATCCAGGTGTACTAACAGGGTGACTGTGTTGTATTCTTAGGCATGTTTTCCTGCCCTTCACATAATTTCTCCACCTGGATTTTTAAGGCTTGGAAATTCATAGTGAGTATCTCACTTCTTTGGCTTAAAGTAGTGATGGCAAATATATTTCAACTTCTGAGTTGACTCTAATTGCAGAACCTAGACTTTTTTAGAATTAACACTTTGTCTCCTGATAAAGTGCAAATTACGTAACGGAGATATAATACACTTATCTTTGTTATAGCCATTTATACCTCAGTGTGAGTTATTTTATTATGTGGCTTCAGGCTTAGATATCTACATAGAAGGAAGGCAGATAATATAAAAGAGTGAAGAGGGTAGGATGGGTATTCGATGGACTGGAGCGTTCATGGTCCTATTTAGCCCCAGTTGATGGTTCTCATACTATTTTTGCCACAACAAAGACTGAAATAATACTTGACACATAGTAGGTACTCAATAAATGCATGGGGAAATGGGAGAATGCCGGGCCAGGGATGACAGATCTATTTTTAAAGAGAAACAAGACATTTTATGTAAAACCTCTTGACCTAAGATTCAATTCTGAATTCAGGTTTTGTTAGGAAGTAGAAGACAGGACTAAGTTCCTGATTTGGGGAGGGAAACGCAAAGGGAGATTGAGACTATGGGCTTTGGTAATGAAACAGAACAGAACTGAACTGACAGATTGAAATAGTAACTGAGCCCATGACCTCAGCCTCATTAGCGAGAATGCTACTGAGGCAGTCAGTGAGTAATCCAAATATTTTTATTTCTTTCCTACCTACTCAAATCACAAAAGACATATGCACTGTAATTGCCTATAAAAAAGAACTATATTCTTTAATTTGCTATGCATGCTAACAATGAATTATGCTTCTTTTAGGCCAAAATATGTCCCTACCACTGGACTCCACAGTCTTCATTTTTTGAAAGTCTATTTAACTGTGATTGCCCATTGAACCTCTTATTTTTAAAATTGAGGGATTTTTTTTTTCCTTCCAGTTAATGGGTTATACATTTAATAGTTCATTGATTCAAAAGACTAGATTGTTGCCTATCAGCAAAAAGATTTATATGATGGCTAACCCAAGTTATATAATGGCAGAATTTGTTCAGAGAAACCAAACTAAAAACATACAGAGGCAGGAAAAGAAACCAAAGATACTAATGGTTTGTTTGGGTTTTGTACAATCTTAGAACAGGCTGTGTTTTAGGCATGACAAAGAAAGGATCTATTTGTACCATCTGGCTTTCAATACTCCCACAGTCTCCTATGTTGGTAAATCTTAAGTAGTGCTATCTCTACAACATTCTATGAGATAATATTGGAGCATGTGCTATTATAGCCTGGAGTAGCATTGAATATTTCCAGTCCTTTACATTTTCCCACTGGTATAAGAACTTTCACCTCTAAAGAGCCAAATAGTTCAAGTAGGTTCAAAAGTCATCTGATTCTTCAACTACTTATCGACTGATTGAGGCTAGATTTACCACTACAATCAGACATTTAAAAAGAAAAACTTCTTGACTCTCTGCTAGGTGGTACAAAAACCAGTGAACTATTTGTTAGCTTCAGAGGATTAGGGTTCAATAGGTTTCTATGTCTGGAGGTAGCACATGATCTTTAACAAAACCACTCCATTTCAAAAATTTCCACTTTCTTTCATAGTGCAATATACTTGTTCCTAGTTTCTTGACAGCTGGTATCTCTCTCTCTCTCTCCTCTCTCTCTTAAGCATTGTACAACTAGTATTGGCTTAGCTGCTTGTTATGAGTAAAATCCAAAATCTTTTATCTGCTCTCTTTATTTAATATTATTTTCATTTAACTCCATAATTTTATTAGTTAATTCTGCAAAGTATTTGTGGATATGATATATATAAAAGACTGCATTATTGTTATTTGCCATATTTAATATCTACGCTTAATTAAAATTAAAGTTCAAAACCAAAGGAAATGTAGATTCATAAGTGAACAAAGGGTAAAACTGAATTAAGAACGTTGAATAATGGGCTATTTGATTTAATGAAACCTATGACTACCAAAGAGCAAAGTCTTTGTCTGTGTAGCACAGAATGGTTGCAGTCAAAAATCACATTTCCATTCATTTTTGACCAGAGCTGCAGCTAGTTTATCTGAGAGCTCAACCACCTCCTCTGGTATTCTATGTATATATGCTAGCCTACAGTTCCCTGATCATTTGATCAGGAAAGCTCCTTTAATATGAGCTAAATGAAATAGAAGCAAGAGTGCTTTTCAAAGTGCCAGATCATATATCTTTTCTTCCTGTTAAGAATTTCCCATTGTCACATCCAACCCAATAATCAAACATTTGTGAGGCCCTTCCTTAGAAACTCTTGACTAAGCAATTACCCTGGAAGTTAACTATAACACAGTACACAAGGTCTATGTTAATTAGACTGGCAACGCTTTGATGAGGCTTTGACGAGTAGAAAATTACAGTGAGCCATCTTGGATCCTCTTAATTTGTTCATTACTGTCCCATAGAGAGGAGTAGGAGCCCCAAGGAAGGTGTTCCTGAGAAGTTACACTGTAATCTGAAATTCCACGTGGGTCTTGCCTGTATGGAGGATGCAATACAAACTAGTGCTATTATTTAAATGCTATCTGTACTTTGGTGTAATTTGTTAATGGGCTTGTAAGTCTACCCAGGAAAGACTACTTTGTGGGATCATACCTAGACAAGAATCTAGCCTTCCATGAACAAATGACTTAGTCTTAGTACTTCTTTATTGCCCTTAAAAATTACTGAAGATGCCAAAGAGCTTTTGGTGACATGAGTTATATCTACATTAGAAATTAAAATGGATAATTTTTAAGTATTTATTAATTTATTGAATAATATATAGATACCATTACATTTTAACATAAATGACACATTTTGTAATAAATAATTATATAGTATTTTGCAAAACCCAAAAAATTAGTGAGAATAGTGGCATTGTTTTACATTTTTGAAGTTCTCTTTCATGTTTGGCTTAACGAAAAACAGGCGGACTCTCATAGCTACTTTTGCATGTAAATTCTTGTGATTTCACATGTCATGTGGTCTCTGAAAAACTACACTGTACACTCCTGAGAGAATTACAGTAAAAGAGATAAATAACACTTTTATGGTATTATGAAAATAGTTTTACTTTATAGATGCTTTGACAGGTCTTGGAATTCCTAGTGGTTGCTAGACCTCACATTGAGAACCACTATTTTATCTTCACCATAGAATGTTTTCTTCCAATCTTTCTAGTTGTTTCTTCATAGTCTGCTTAGCAGATTCCTTTTCCCTGGGCTTCTTGAACACCAGTATTTCCCAGAGTTCAAGTCTTCATACTCCTTTTTCCTTCCTACTCCTACGATTTTGGTGTCCTCAACGGTAGTTACCTCCAAAGTTTCAGCACCAAATATTTAATAATGTTCTAGGTATCTCTACCTGTAGGTCCATTTTCACCCTTAAGCCTCTTCCTTCCATTTGCTATCTATCTTGACTAATAGCATCACCATCTACCCAGTCCCTAAGCCAGATAACAACATTCTCTCCTGATACATCTTATTAGTCACTAAGTCAAGTGAGTTTTATCATTTAAATATTTCTCCATTCCATCTCCTCCTTCTCCATTACCAGAAGTTTATGCTCTCACTATCACTAATCTGTATTACTAATATAGTCTTCTAATTTATCTCCATGTTTTCAATTTTACAAACCCATCGTCCTGCCTGCCAAACCCAACTTCAATACTGCCATTAGGGTGATTTTTCTAAATGTAAGTCTGAGCAAATAATTGTCTTGCCCTAATGAAAAACCACAACAACTCTCCATTTGTTCTGGGAATAAATTTCAAGGTCCTTACCATGGCTTAAAATGCCTTCCATAATCAGCTCCTGCTTACCGTCTTCATTTCCTGCCACCTTTCTGTATCTTTCCTTTTTTGCTTCCCCAGGTATTGCAATATATTTGTATTTATTAAAACATACTATGCTTTTCAACCTTTCTGTGAAGCAAATATTGCTGAACCCTAAATGGATAAGCCTCCACCCTGTAAGATGCCACCTGTTAGTGTTGACTATGATAAATCAGATATTTTGTTGGTGATACTGGCCCTCCCCACTCTGGCTGTTCTAGATAAAAATTTAGTCATATTTCTGAAGTTTAAAATGGGTTAACCTGCCATCTGTTTAAAAGCCATTGCTCTAATTTAGTTTATTCTTATTCACTTCAGAGTAAGTATAGCTTAACGACTTATGCAATGTGGCTCTAAAATATTCACATATCTATGTATGCACTATATATACAATTTGGGTGGAGAGAAACTGAGTTAAACAGGAGCTAAATTTCTTCTTTATGAAATAGAATTCAAGTTATTTACTGTGAAGTCATAGATTTCTTGAGAGATTTTTTTTTTGGTCTGAGTTTGCATGATTGATTCTTACTGTTCTAAAATGTCTTAAGCATGCAAAACTCCAAAATGACTAACCTCCTGTCCAGTCCCCCTTTATTATGCCTACCAGTAGATCTTTATCTATTTCACAGAGTCTCATTTTAATTTTCCTAGCCGGGCTAAGAAAGTACTGTATGAGAAGTACTTAGTAGAGTGATTGCCTCTCCTTGAGACAATAATCTCTTGATGCAAGACATATATTTAGTATCTACTACTTGTTCACCCAATAAATTATTTCTCTTACTCTGTGTCTTAAATACATTCTGGAGTTCTAAGAAAAAAAAATAAGTGCAGTATTTGCCTTTCACCAAGATGCCCTTAGTCTGAACAACAGGACCTAACTCTGATTCTAGAAATTAGTTTTATTTGACATGGATTCATCATGTCATTTTAGTATGTTTAATTTGGATTGGATTTATACTTTTATTTATGACAGGCAAGAGTGCCACTTAACATGGTGGGGATAAAACTTATGGAATATATTATACCAAAAGGTGATGTAAGAAGAGTCTATAAATCTTTTTTAAAGAAAGGTTCTGGTAAATGCATGGATAGCAGATTTGTAATTAGACTGAAGTCATACCACCATTTTCCAGATCCCTGCTTAGAGACATTGCTAGAAGGTTGGTAGATTCATGAATAGGAGGAAAAGTCAATGCTAATATAAAAACTGTCAGTATTATCATGATTGGGTCTATAAGAGTGAATTGGAAGAAGTAATAAGTATTAAGCATGACAGCAAAAGGATTGATAACGGTCTATAGGATAATGTGAAATGCTTTTTAGCATTTTATGCTGAGTCATTTCTTGAATGTTATAAGCTGTAATGCATTTTAATGAAAACGTGTTTCAACCTAGATATGGCCTTCAGATAAAAATACAAAACCATTTGAAGGGTCAAAACATCATAGAAGAGGGATATTAGTAAAATAAAGGCAAAGTGACAGCTATTTCAGACCAGGCAGAAGGAAACAACAAACTCATTAGAGGATTCTTGTGAGACAGACATTCATGCTCTGAAAAATTGTTTTAGATGACTTTGGAAAGAAGGGAAACAAAAGCAGTTCATGTTAGGATGAATTATATCCTCATTACCCTTACCCCAGCTCAAACTAAATAATCTTCATAATAATTCTATTTCACTAATAATTATCATTAATCTTTATTCAGCTGTGCTAAGCAATGTCCTGAGTGTTTTACAAGCTTCAACTCATTTAATTATAAAGACAATCCTTGAAGAAAGTATTATCAACATTCCCATTTTATAGATGAGGAAACGTAGGCACAGAAAGATTAATGAAGTTGCTAGCACTATAAGTGAAAGAGTTGGGCTTTGGTAAGCATATTTATCTACATTTAGCAAATACTGTGTGAGGGAGCATTTTTATATTTAGATTTAATGGGGAAAAAACTCCATTTCTATCCTCTCTGTTAAAAAAAATCTAAATTCTTGAATTTTCCAAAGTCAGCACATGCCACAGTCCACTTTATGTCTTCCCTGTATAGTGAGGTATTTGCACTTTCTTTTTGAGGCGGACAAAATGAACACACACCACTCCTTTCATTCTATTATTTTCAGCACTCTTTTACTCCACTGTAGTAAACCCCCAAAATAGGGCAATTTGGGCCAGTGCAAAGAGGCAAAAAAAGCACTTGAATCTATGTTATTGAATTTTGCTGCAGAGAGCAACATGAAGAAGGCCCTTTGCCCTCTTGAATAGTTTCATCTCTAACCTTTGGATCAGAGAACTGGGTACAAAACTCTATCTCTTCTAGTTCTATATTGTTAATATCCATTGTGGTCAGCTTTCTACATGTAGGCTATATAGTATGTCATGACAAGATTTATGGACTGAAATTATTTCATCTGCACAGTTGGAATACTACCTGTATCCCCTGAAGGTGGTATGGATTGCTACTAATCTCATGGCAAAGGAAAAGGATCATCCATGTCATTAACTAATGATAATGGGTACGAGAGCCAGAAACCCCTACTCTTCAGCTCATTCAATGTAACAGCGCACTTGACCCCAGGCACAATGTATTCATGTGAGTTTCCATGTATGTGAGATTCTGTAGCCTCTTATACAATCTGCTGACTGTGAAGAAACTTGATCAAAACATCAAAGATTGCCAGAGAAGCTGTGTTTGTGCCCTTCACAACCACTGATGAAGTACCTTAACCTCGCCTTCTCTTGACACCTTGCATATGGTCATCTGTCTTCCTGACTACTACTTCATATGGCTTATTTGTAAATTCAAGCAAATGTGCTTCTGACTGGCACTGATACATCACTGATGCCAAAATATCAGAAAAGATGAAGCATAAGGACATACTTTTTGATTCAGATGGAAAATATTACAGATTTACGAGGAAGTGATGACAATAGCCATTCCATGCTATCTTCATATAATCAGTATTTTTCCATGCCTCTCTTCACCAACTTTTTTGAACTCAAAACTTATTCAAAGGAATGATTTTTTTCCCTGATCCAAAAGGTATAGTGGGTAGGTGTGGAGATAGGACTGGTTGGCTGAACAACCCAGCTCTGGCTTTTCACGTGCTGGATTTCCACTGCTTTCCAATGACCACTTACAGAGCTATAATGCACAGAATGACTATTGATGTCCCATTGATATCGATGCGATTTCCCCTAGTGGATTGAGGGCAGCACAGCATACAGCCATTAGTATCTAAAGGTTATGTATAATGGATAATAGAGGAAAATGAAATAGCAGAAAGGAATTTGCATGGGAAACAGAAGCAGCAAGTAGTTTCAGTGAAAGATTTTACTTGGGTTATACAGCAACTGCAAATGGGGATTGAAAAAAATGATGACTTACAGACTCAGCAATAGTCGAGAATGAAATGGTTTCATATTTTGAAATATAATACTTTTTTATTTCAACCACAGAAAGCCATTTAAAAATCATCTTGTATATTACAGCTCTTATGTGCTATCTTTCACCTGAATGCCTATTTATGAATTTTTACTCTATCCTTCTGAGGTGGTCACCAATATGGCACAGATGGGATAAATCAAGAGAGATTTTTACTGACTTATCCAGTCACATAATGTCCAGTTCATGACAGAACCAGGAACAAAGTTCCAGTGTTTGCCATAAACATCTTCTCATATTGAACCCACTCAAGTTACTGTGCCAGCATTTAGCCTGATATTTCTGCATCTAAAAAATCTCCCAGTAAATGATTTCAACAAATATTGCTTACCAATCAACCAATCTTAGTGGCACTCACCATGGGAATAGATGACTTGGTATATCTAATTGAATTTGTAATTTAATAAGAAAAAATATCTGGTGGATTTATTCAGTAGACTGAGAAGTAAACAAGTTATAAAGTTTACTTCAGTGCTAGAAGAGCAGCAAGGCCTAGCACTCAAGAGTCAGTCTGCTCTGGCTTGAAGCTCAGCATCCTTATTTCTTAGCAAGGCACCCTCTTAATCTCAAAAGTGGCCTCTATGTGACCTCTTAACTTTGTTGAGCCTCAGTTTCCCCATTTATAAAATACATATGTATTGATACCTATCCTTAAGGATTGTTGTGAGAATTAAATGTGCTCATACAAGGAAAGAGCTTAGCATAATTCATTTTTTTCCAACAAACTTTTACTGAAAGGGCTTACACGTGCCAGGCACTGTTCTTGGTGCTGAGATACAGCCATGAACAAAATTGTTAATTCTGGGAACTAGTGAATTTTAATCGTGAATAATAATTATGATGGTAACAATGGTAATATTAATGATAATATTTAACATTTATAGGCTACTTACTATATTTCAGGCACTACTCCATGTGCTTTACTTATATTAACTCATTTAATTCTTCTAACAATCCTATGCTATAGGTACGATTTTAAGCCTGTTTTACAGATGAGGAAATGGAGACCTGAAAAGGTTAAGTAACTCACCCAAGGAAACACACCTAATAAGTGGCAGAGGTCTGAAAAATCTATGTTAATAACTATTGAACTATACTGTCTTACTTCCATGCCAAATTGATATGCCATTGTTTATTCTATTAAAAAAGACAGTCCTTGAAATAACTGAAATGTTCCACTTTTGCTGATGAAATGAATAAACATACAACTGAATTAAACAAGTTTCAGAATATGTAATAAAATTTTGATATGGGAGTGGCCATAATAATAAATTTAAATAGAAAATTAGTATTAAACATGGTATAAACCTAAATAAAGAGCTTGCTATTACTTGAGCTTGTTTACACCAAGGGTTAGGCCTTGTATCTAAAACATTATCTCTCTATATAGTAAAAGTTAATAGAAAATAACCCATATAAAAGTTTATCTCAATTGAGCAAGACCATTTTAAAGGGACTCTAATGTATTTAAACTTTTTATATTATTCCTTGTTCTCAATGATATATGAAAATCATGTTTGAGTTGTAGAACTTTCTCATCCTTCGCCTCCATTCCTTCAGCAGTATTTCTCATTACAGGTCACCACAAACCAAATAAACACACATGTTGGGTTATCCTGAAATGTCTGAGATAAAAGACACAGTTTTGATATTATAGGGTAATATAATCCATGTTAAATAGAAGCATTGTTCAAATATATTCAGCTTGTGTGATGAAAATATAAAAGAGAGAATCATGAACATCAGCGCAGGCTATGATCCTATACTGTTTACATCATCAGTGACCTCCCTACAAAATATAGCCGTTTATTTACTTACCATCCACTGGTCTATGATGCCCACACAAACTCATTATGTGAACTTTTAGATTATTCTCATTTTAGATAAATGGGAATCAACCAAATGTACTTTATTACTTAAAGAAAGTCTAAGTCTCTTTTTATCTGCCACTCAAAATCATATTCATTGTCTCTTAGTGGGTAAATCTGCTTCAAATAGGTAACTGGGGTAAACCTGAAAATAATTTATTAGGGATATACTTGGATAGACTTTGTTTTCTACAATGACATTCTATTCCTTCTAGGAATAGTGCTGCCACAAAATACACACATTTCTTAAGTCAGTTTACATTTTAGACTGCAGAACCACTCAAGAAAGTAAATTAATATTCAGTCACAATAAAATGACATCCAGAAAAATCAATACAATTTGCTACCAAATGAGGGTGACTTTAATCAGGGTGACTCAAGAACAACAACATTTTTCCTAAAAGTGGAAAGAGCACCTTATAACTGCTCTCTGCTTTACTTTTCAAGACATAGTAACTAAACAATTTTGCAGTCATTTACCTAGTGAAATAAGAATACATTTTTTGGTCACAGTGTAAAAATCTGAATTCTTGGGAAGAAATTATGTACTGAATTTTCTGATAGCTTCCAAATAACTGGGGCTTTAATGAAATTGCTACCTGAAAATTCCGTAGCAGTATTATTGTTTAACTGTAATTTAAGAAGCTATTGTAGATTGGTACTTATGACTTCTAATGGGAAAACCATAACAACCTTTTAATTGAAGGGAAAATGGTTAACTACAGTAATTGCGATCAATAAGACTGTGTTAGTAGTATAAATATTTCTTCTCAAAGAGCATTCCTTACTCTCCTCAGCAGTATTTAAGGTTAGGAAGAAAAAAAAAAAAGAAGAAAATCAATTTGTTATCATACTAAGCCTAGGTCCAAATGTGTACATGCCAGAATCGAGAGAAAAACCCCCCATTCCCACCACAAGCAAAACAAGACTTTGATTAAGAACAAAACTGAGGCATGACAAAAAGGACTTACCAATCACATAGGCTAGTAACAAGGCCAAAGTCACTGTGATTGCAGTGGCGCTCAATGCTGTGCACTTCCAGTTGCAGCACCTGTAAGGTTTGTTAAAGGTAAAGGCAGGTCGGGAAAAGGTGCTTCGAGGAAGAGGCCTGGGAGGGGGCGAGTACACGGTATTGGATGTCAGAGGGTAGTTCTGACTGGCTGCACTGAAGATCGCAGAGGAACCAGATCCATGTTTGAACAGGAAATGCCTGTGAAAAGGAAACACAAGTTTGGGCTATAAAAAGCAAAGCCAGTTGCTACAAAAACACAAACTCCATTAATTTCAAACAATCATGCTATAGCCAAGCTCAAGAGAACTGGATGGAGCTCAGCAACATTTTCATATACCTAAGAGATAATTCTAAATTGCCCTTGTTGTTCTCTCTCTTTTCTTTGTCTTTTTTTTTCTTTTTTCATCTAGACCTTTAAGAAACAGGCCTTGTGTTCCCCGATTTGCTGGCTAGTGAGTGCTAACATTCCACATTTGGTGTTACACACTACACCCTTCCCTTTCATTAAATATGATCATCAAGAGTTGATTCAAAAACAGAGATGCATCATTAGGCATTTTGATCATTAGAATGGCCTAGACACCAGTGTTTGAGATTATCCTCACTACCAAACTTTAGAGACTAGCTTCACAGCCATATTTTCATTCAACATTTTATTATAAAAATTATCAAATATACAGCCAAGTTGAAAGAATTTTATAATAAACAATCACATACTCACTAACTAGATTCCACAGTTAGCATTTGACTGAACTCACTTTGTCACATACTTATTCATTTCTCCATTCTTCTCTCCATCTGTCAGTTTTTAGTTTTTTGTTTTGTTTTGTTTCTGTTTCTGTTTGTTTGTTTGTTTGTTTGGTTTTGTTCTGAGATGGAATCTCGCTCTGTCACCAGGATGGAGTGCAATGGCATGATCTCGGCTCACTGCAACCTCCATCTCCCGGGTTCAAGCAATTCTTCTACCTCAGCCTCCTGAGTAGCTGGGACTACAGTTCGCACCACCACGCCCAGCTACTTTTTGTATTTTTAGTAGAGATGGGGTTTCACCATGTCGGCCAGGATGGTATCCATCTCTTGACCTAGTGGTCCGCCCGCCTAGCCTCCCAAAGTGCTGGGATTACAGGCGTGAGCCGCTGTGCCCGGCCAGTTTTTAGTTTTTAAGCATTTTGAAGTATGTTGCATACATCAGTACACTTCCCTTCATATATTTTAACTCACATATTATTAGCTAGTTTGATAGTTTTACAAATTTTAATGTAAAATTTATGCATAATAAAATGTGCAGTTTTATGTGCACATTTGCTGTAGATTTGACAAATGCTGTCACCTATGCAACCCAAACCCCTATCAAGATGTATAACATTCCCATCAAGACAAGAAGTTCTCTTCTGTCTTTTCTAGGTAAATCCCTATTTCTATTCCCAGAGAAAACCACTATTCTGCATGTTTTTGCCACCATACATTTGTTTTGCCTCTTGTAGAACTTCATGCAAATGGAGTCATGCTACTGTCATGTTTGAATTACTAAAGAATGATTGTTGAGTGTTCATGACTATTGTAATATGGGCATTTTGTAAACAGTAGTAATGTATTCACATGGAAGGAGTTGCCAAAAACAAATAAATAAATAAATAAAATTGCATATACTTCTTTTATACAACAAATAAATAAAAGTACTTTTATACTTGCTAAGTGCCAAGTGTTGTGCTGAACACTCATTAGTATCTCTTTTGCTCTTTACTCTTATGAAATAGTCTATATTATTCTCATTGTGTATTTATAGAAATGGAGACCAAAAGAGGTTAAACAACTTGCCCAAACTCACCTAGCAAGTGAAGGACAGAGCCAGAATCAGAATCTAGGTCATTTGGGGTTCCAAAGTCCTTAATCTTTTTTTTTTTTTTTTTTTTTGAGACGGAGTCTCGCTGTCACCCAGGCTGTAGTACAGTGGCACGATCTCATTCACTGCACTCCAGCCTGTAACTTCCAGATCTCACTGCACTCCAGCCTGTAACTCCAGCTCACTGTAACTTCCACCTCCTGGGTTCAAGCAATTCTCCTGCCTCAGCCTCGCAAGTAGCTGAGACCACAGGCTGCCGCCCTGCCTGGCTAATTTTTTGTATTTTAGTAGAGACGGGGTTTCACCATGTTGCCCAGGCTGGTCTTGAACTCCTGAGCTCAGGCAATCCGCCTACCTCAGCCTCCTAAAGTGCTAGGATTACAGGCATGAGCCACTGTGCCTGGCCAATCATTTTTTATAAACTTTTTTCTTTTCTTTTTTATCTTTAATTGACATATATAACAATTGTGCATATTTATGGGGTACATATGAGACAGGAATAATATAGTGTGGTTGCAGGAGAATAAAAAAATTCCAGGCAGCAGTTTCACATGATTAGAGGCTATGGGCTATTAAGACCCTGAATAATAGGATTTGAACCAAGCTGGCTAAGACTGACTGGACCCAACGTGGTGCGGGATTTGACCTAGGTTTCACCTCGGACTTCATTATATCCTCATTAACATACTAAATCACGCAACCCACCAGCACCATGACAGTTCCAGAAATACCCATGTTTGGTGTAAAAATGGGTGGCACCACAGTTCCGATAAATCTCCACCTTTTTACAGGAATTTTCATGAATATTCTACCCCTTGAATAAACAAACCCCAAAAGGTAGCAGCTCCAAACCCCCTTGTGGGTGATTCTCTCTTGAGTACACTTATACTCCCTTTTCTTGAGTGTGTACATTTCCCTTTGCAATAAATGTCCATACTTCCACTATTTTCCAACTTGTCTTTGAGTTCATTCTTGCAACAGTGTCAAGAGCCTGGACACCAGCTGTGGCCAAGATCCCGCCAGCATTTGGGGACTTCCCCCAGCCTACCAGCATCACATAGTGTTGTTTCAATACATATACATGTAGAATGAGCAGATCAGGATAATTAGCATATTCATCACCTTGACCAAAGTCTTTAATCTTAAGCAGTCTACCGTATTACCTGGGGCAGTAAAATAACAAAACACATTCGAGTGCTACATTTTAATGTACAACAAAAAATTTCACTAAGCATAAAGCCAACATCACCTTGTACATGTAATGTGTGCACAAATGCATAAATTACTAACATTATTTTAAGACTGACTTCTAGCTTCCATATTTAAAGAACAAAAGCATATGTATTTAAAGGGATTAAAAAAACCCTATATGAATGTTAATGGAAAATACCCACAACAGAGAATTTTGCTTCAGTATCATGAGGTTAAAAATTTTTTAAAGGACTGGGTTGCTGAGGGGAGTACAGATTCACAGGTCTTTCTGGAGGGCAATTTGGCATTATGTATCAAATGACTTTAAAAATGCCTATTCTTTGATGCAATAATTATGGCTATAGGAATTTTTCCTCAGGAAATGATGTGTATGACAATCCATATAAGAAGCCATTCATTGCAATGTTATTTATAATAGCAAAAAATAAACATCTAAATGCCCAGTAATTGCTATTTCATTAAGTAAATTATTTTATAAACACATAATGTAGTACTACACAATCATTACAAATTGCGTGGCAAATGACTGTCTATTCACTGGGAAAAGTGTTTACAGATATTACCAAGCAAAAAAAGGCAGGCTTCAAAAGAGTATGGGCAACGTTATTCAATTTTTAAAGGAAAAAAAGTACATATGTTCAAGGAAAATAATAATTTATGTTACCTTTGTATGGTAGGGGTATTTTCTGAACTTTTCTGCCTTGAGCTTGTATTGATTTTGTAACTAAGATAAAAAAAAAGATTCATGAGTATTAGGGAGTGGAAAACATTTACAGGATAACACCAACCACAGGAATAGTTGGTTCCATTTAAGTTAACGTGATTTATTGAGCGCCTAGATGGGCCAGGCTCCAAGTTAGGCACTTTGTCTCCAATTTTGATCCTTATATGTCTGTGAAGTTGATACTATTATCCTAATCTTCTAGATGACTGAACTGAGACCCAAAGAGGTTTAGTAGGAGTAGAGCGGTGATAATAGTAATTATTATAATAATGTTAGTAAGAGATAACATTTGAGTGATTATTTTTGACAGGCATTGCTCTAAATACTTCACAAAGTATTATATTATTTAATCTTCATAACAACTTTATTACAGTCGATATCTCTATTTTACAGATGAGACGATCTAAGCACAGAGAGGTTAAGTCACTTTTCCTTGGCCCCACAGCTAGTAATTGATTAAACTGAGTTTCAAACCCAGGCAGTCTGGCTGCAGAGCCACTGCTCTTAAACAATATACTATAACATAGTGTATTGTTTGTGATGGGAATACAGGCCTGTTGAGGCATAGAATAAGTATGCTTTGTGTTGAATTTGGCATGAGGATGATGTTTAACTGAGCCACACTATTACATTCCTTTTCTGACTAATAACAAGAATGTGAGAATGATGGCTACAGAATCACAGAGTTGGAAGGGACCCGCAGAAATCATCTAGTAGCCCATCCCTCTCATTTTGACGTTAGGGAAACTGAGGCCAAGAGAATGAAACTTTCTTACTTAAAAATAACATAGCTAGCTAATAGGCATGGATGAAACTGAAATCTGGGGCTTCCAAAATAGTGTATTTACATTACCCCATGCTACTTGACAACCACAGTCTTCACCAGATTAGCATCAGGTTCTAATCATCTGGGTTAACTGACCTGGGCCCAACAAATACTATCTGTTCAAACAGTACTACATAATACACATCTATTCTTCTGTATGTCAAATGTTCTTCTAGTAAATTTTAAAGACTGTCTTAACTATTTTGGATGAATGGGTAAGCATTACAAAGAAACTACCCTTTAGTTGATGAAAACCTAAAAGAGTTACTACTGCTTCTAAAGGCACCTAATTTATCCCCAGAATGAAGAAACAATATAAAAATAATAATAAGATTAAGTATATTTTAATGAATAAGTGACTCTTAGTTGTCCTCTTTTCATTTGATTGTGCTGTTACTTTAAGGCTTTTAAATAAATAACCTCCTCCGCACCATAAAAAGATGAATTTCTTTTTTAATGTCTGCTTAACTCTCCCAGACTGTTTTTTTCCCCTTTGACCATTTCATTTACTAGTGAGCAAGAAGTGTAGCACTATACAGGCAGCGTAGGGATGTAGCCTCCCTACCTCCCCACTCCTGCCCTGTGGTTACTTTGGAGGTGACAAAATGTCACATATTATGGATTCGATGCAGCAACACTCTGATATGGTCCTATGGGACAAAGGAGAAACCCAGCAGAATGAGGTTCCTTTACTTAATGTTTGGAGATAAAATCTTCAATCTTTTGCACATTTATGAAGGAGAATAATTGGATTTTTGAGACAATGTAAGTGTTCCAATATGTTGGATATTGATTTGGTTTGGTATAATATTAAGAGGTGGAAGGAAGGAAAACAAAAGACAGAGAATTGTTGGCTATTATGACGGCAATTACAAGAATAATCAATATCCCTGAGCCCTGTAATTTCATCCTGATGTACACCAAAGGATTTCCAAATGCAGTTTCATAAGTAAAATATTACAGCATAATGAATAAATTCAACAGTTGCAGCAGAACAACATTTAAACTAATTTTTATTTGAGTGGAATCCAAATCACGGTTCTCAATGAGGGTAGATAATAAAATGAGTTCATGTACTAAGGTTCTTGTTTTCTTATTAACAAACTCAGATTAAGATTCTATGCTGAAAGTGATCTGTACTTTGTTGTGAACCATGAAAAAGAGCAATGCAAATGACGTGTTTTGTCATAGGCTTTGCAGTCCATTGTTGGAAAGTCAAACTAGTGCCTAAATGTGTTTTCATAGTCCCTGAAAGAAGCAGGAGCAGAAAGACAAATGCTCAGTGCTAGATGTTAGCTATGTGCTCATACAATCAGATCATCTGTCTAAGCACATTGCTTTTCCCTGGGGACCTGAGGATATACTAAAATGTTGCTATCAATTTCATACAATTGGGTTTTTTTCCACAGAGCAAATGATAAAAATGCAGTTCAAGAGTTTATGTGTAAGTAGTACTCTTCTTTGCATCTGTTTTAATATTCAAGTTCAAATTTAAAAAGGAAAGGCAAGATATTACCAAAAGGAAATGGGCATATAAAGAAATTAAAAAAAAAATCTTCAAGAATGATGAGACCCAGTGGTGGTAAATGGGAATATAATAAATGCCCCTGTAAGGATTTTAAAATCATCTATAAAAAAGGGGAAAATGTGCTCTCTATTTTTAAACCCCTCATACTACATAATTCTGAGGGTATCTGCTAGCACTAAATAATGTGATTTAATGTGGCACTTAAAATTCTATAGGAAACAGACAGAAATCTATGACTTTCTAACAACAGATGCATAAATAACCAATGATTTTTTTCTTTTACATCTTGTAAACATTCTTATGAGACGCATATCTATACCTATATTCCCTTAGCTATAAGCATCTGACTCATTTTTGTACCCAGAAGAAGGAATTCAACTTGCTTCCAGTAGAAGCTGAGGTTGGGTTTTTAAAAACAAGAAGACTAGAAGTTAATAGGACCAAACCATATTTGGATAGCATAGTAGAATTTAGGTATTTTTTTAAAAAAACAAATTATAAAATGAATTTTTATTGTGATAAAAAGCATATGGCATAAAATTTCGCATGTTAAATTTTTTTAGTGTATAGTTCAGTAATGTTAAGTATTATTGACATGGTTATAGAACAGATCTCTGGAACTTTTACACCTTGCAAATCTGAAACACTATATCCCCATTAAACAATTGTTCTTTCCATCCTCTTCCAAGCAACCACCATTCTATTTGTTTCTATGATTTTGACTACTTTACATACTTCATATAAGGGGAATCATACAGTATTTGTGTTTTTGTGATTTATTTCACTTAACATAACGTCCTCCAAGTTCATCCATGTTGTAGCATTTGACAGGATTTCCCTCATTTTTAGGCCAAATAATATTCTTTTGTATGTATGTACCATATTTTGTTTATCTATTCATCCACTGATGGACACTTAGGTTGCTTCCACCTGTTGGCTATTGTGAATAGTGCTTCTGTAAACATAGAAGGTGTGCAAATATCTCTTTGAGATCTGCTTTCATTTATTTTGGATAAATACCTAGAAGTAGGATTGCTGGATCATACAGTAGTTCTATTTTTACTTTTCGGAGGAACTTCCATACCGTTTTCCATAGCGGTTTCTACTTTACAACACCACCAACCATGTACAAGGGTTCCAATTTCTCCACATCCTCACCAATACTTGTAATTTTCCTTCTTCTTTTTTTTTAATAGTAATGATTCTCATGGGTGTGAGGTGATATCTCATTGTGGTTTTGATTTGCATGTCTCTGATGAATAGGGATTTTGAACATCTTTTCTTTTCTTTTCTTTTTCTTTTTTGTTTTTTTGGAGACAGAGTTTTGTTCTGTCACCCAGGCTGGAGTGCAGTGGCACAATCTCGGTTCACTGCAACCTCTGCCTCCCACGTTCAGGTGATTCTCCTGCTTCAGACTCCTGAGTAGCTGGGACTACAGGCGCTTGCCACCATGCCCAGCTAATTTTTGTATTTTTAGTAGAGACGGGGTTTCACCATGTTGGCCAGGGTGGTCTTGAACTCCTGACCTCAAGTGATCTGCCCACCTCGGCCTCCCAAAGTGTTGGGATGACAGGCGTGAGACACCGCACCCGCCCTTGAACATCTTTTCATATGCTTTTTGGCATTTGTATATCACTTTTGCTTAAATGGCTATTCATAGGTATTTATTCTCATGCCTCCAAAAAACACAAGAAAATGCCATGCTGGGTCAGCCCCATTTTCTTCTCTAACAAGAATACTTAGAGTTGTTTTGTGGAAAAGAGTCATTACTGGCAAAGATATCAACCTCAACATCTCTACTAACAACTATATAAAGGAGAATTTCATTTTATTTGCCCTGTGATTCTTTCTTCCAAATACTAAGCCACCTCTGTCCACATATTGCTTCTAAACCTCGGACGCCAAGTGTTGATAAAAATTCCATGCTCCGTCCACATCGTTCATAATTTTAAGAGCTTTTAAATGAATTTCTGGATACCTATCTAAGCTTTAATTTTCCTAGGCTTAAGTCTTAGTTCTATAATATATTCTCAAATAGAAATACTCTGTAGTCTAGATCGTTACTATCGTGATTTGCAAAAAAAATTTTTTTTTTTTTTGAGATGGAGTTTTGCTCTTGTTGCCCAGGCTGGAGTGTAATGGCGTGATCTCGGCTCACTGCAACCTCCGCCTCCTGGGTTCAAGCAATTCTCCTGCCTCAGCCTCCCCAGTAGCTGGGATTACAGGCATGTGGCACCATGCCCGGCTAATTTTGTATTTTTGGTGGAGATGGGGTTTCTCCATGTTGGTCAGGCTGTTCTCGAACTCCCACCCTCAGGTGATCTGCCTGCTTCGGCCTCCCAAAGTGCTGGGATTACAGGCGTGAGCCACCATGCCCAGCCGGGAGATCCTTTTTAAACCTTTCAGTGGTTATCATCCCTTCTCCTCTTTTATTCAGAAGCAATATCTGCCCTATCTGGTCAACTATCTCTGGATTGCATATTCCTTGAGGACAGGAAACAGTCTTAATTTCTAGGTACATTGTCTCTTACTTCAGAGGTATTCGATGAATACATATTGATTTGTATGATGCCTTTGTTTCTTCTAAATGGGTCTTGAATCACTATGCAGAAGGAACAAAGGTTGGGTAGTCTAAGGTAAGTGTTCTATTTGCGGGCAAATATTTCTTGGCTTGTTGAATGTAAAAACAACTATATGCGCTCATTTCATTTTCACATAATCTAAAATAAATAAATCAAAGAAATAGTTGATTCACATTTCATGTCTTCTTGTGAGATATTTTAGTCATGAAAGAATTACTATTAATAATTATACTAATAATTTAAAGATAATTGCTGTTAATGATAATGGCAACATCATTGTCCACTTACTGAACATCTATTATGTGCCAGGTACTCTGCTAAAGTACTTCATGTGCTTTTTCTCACTGAATCCTCACCATAATCCTATAAGGTAGATGATATTATCTGCATTTCATAGGTGAGGAGGCTGTGGGTCAGATAATAGGATTAGATACATTTCATCAGGTTACACAATTGGTAAAAGGCAGAGTTGGTAATCAACTTCAGTTTTGTTGATTGCTAGAATGTAAGCTACATGAAAGTACAAATGCCTATCTTATTTATTACTGTATCTTCAGTGCTTAAAATGGTGCATAATAAACAGCAGGCACTCAATAATATTTTAAAATCCATGCCTACAATATCACTCATAATATTAATCATTGAGGTAGTATGATCTTCTTAATTCACCTGGTCATCTGATATTTCTCTTCTCAAAGATGAATACATATAAACTTCATATTTCACTGAATATGTTTTTATGGAATTTGTTTTCAACTCTTAAAATTACAGAAATGATCAAATGATATCAGGAGGATACTTATCATCATTGTGAAAGTGAGGTAATTGTCATGGCTCCCTGCTTAGAATGTGGGGGACATCAGAAAAGTTTCATGCAGTACTGTACTGGACTTTCCCATGTCAATTAATATAAACATAAATATAAATTAAATATAACTAAATATAAATTCAACATTCTTTAACAGGATGTTTAGAGATAAATTGAAAGTAGGAGTAAGGGCATAGATACATAAATGGTATAGAAAGAATATACTACATATTTTACAATGTTTGATCAAGTTGCTTTAGTAGACCTCAAAACTAATTAAAATAAATAATTAATGCTTCTCTTCATAATAATGCCCTTTCAAGTCACCCTTTCATTCTCCTTCCCCAAGTTAGATCCATGTTCTGTTAACCCAACTTTAATTTAAAATTTGATATTAAAAAACTCTATATCAGTTGAAGAGTAAATACCAAATTAATATTTTCTATTAATGCAAATGTTCCTGTATTAAAAGGCTCAGGCCAACGTATAAAAATTATTTACTTAGATAAGTAAGCTTATCATATTTTCATTCTCTTTATATTTAATGCTAATTTAGGTTTTGAGATAATGGTGTGGAAGCTATAATCCTTTCAAACTACAAAATAATGTGGAAAGCTATTGGTAGGTGAGCTTATCAATCCTCTTACAATTTTATACATTTTCCCTATGGAGGAATAATGGAATGCCACCCTATAGTTTTCAGTAGTTCATTCCCTAACAGAGACTAATCAAAATAGGAACAAACAGGTGACGCAGGAAATACTTGTGACTATACATTTAAAAGTAAATCAGACTCTAAATTTCCTAGGACTTAAAAAAAAAAAAAACTCTTCATTTTGTAAAGAAACTCAATTACATTTCCCTTTGCTGAAAGTCAGTTCCCAATTTTACTCAACAGAGAAACTGATGATTTTATAAAATTGATCTTCAGTGGTTACTTGGATTATTATGGTTATTTTTTTCTTTATACAGGAGGGGGTAGTGGGCAGAGTATTATACACTTTTATTACCTCTTTTTTCATCTTCTCTTTTCTTTTTTTTTCCTTTTCTTTTCTTTTCCTTTTCTTTTCTTTTCTTTCTTCTTTCTTTCTTTTTGAGACACAGTTTTCACTCTTGTTGCCCAGGCTCGGTGCAAAGGCGTGATCTCGGCTCACTGCAACCTCCACCTCCCGGGTTCAAGCGTTTCTCCTGCCTCAGACTCCCGTTCAACTTCATTTTCCACAGACATGTCTTTTCCTGGTTTATTTTATGAGCCAGTTGACATGGTATACTTTTCTGTATCATTTATTTTTATTGAGTTATAATGTACCTCGATAAGGACATCTTATATAAAAAAAAGTTTCAAATTAATTACAAAGAAGTACAAGAAGGACAGAGCCTAAGAGTTTCTCACTAAACACTTCAGGTTGAAAATCTAGATCATTATGCTAATGCAACTTTTGAAGGATCTTGATCAACATTTGGCTTTTATCAGCTTTTATTTCTTTGAAAGACTTATTCATACATGTACATTAAAGGTAAGAATATTTTATAATGTCATAAATTAACATAAGAAATGCCACTCAAATCAGTCCCTTAATCTATCCAGCATAACATTTTTCTTCTCTAAAGAACAAGCTGGCAAAACACATGAATGTCCTTTGAAATAGCCTCAAAATAAAACAGCCAGAAGCAGAGACTGCTTCTCACCAACACCCATGTTCTCCTCTCTTCCTGGGCACACAAATGGAGTACAATTTCCCAACCACCATTTTTGTTAGGTGTGGTCCTGCGACTGAGTTCTGGCTAATGAAATGTAAAGTGTGAGCAAAAGTGATGTCTGACACTTCAAGGCTTGACCCCTAAAACTTTCCACCCATGATCCCCAATCTCCTTCCTCATCCACTGGCTAGAAAAAAGCAGACCCAAATATGGAAGGAGCCTAGTACAATTGTTACAGGTAAATAGGCATGAGTGGGGCAGGAGAGGGCTCTCCCTATCACCCACTAGAAATGTCCATTGATGGTTCAGCAATTATTGCATTGCCTTTCAAACAGTGACAAATTGGTAGCCGGTGCCATTTCCTGATAGTCCACACCTGTTAACATCAAAATGTTAATTGAATGTAGGCCCCAAGGAGAAGCAACTTCCTGGACATGCACATCAAGAGACAAAAATAGCGAAGTATGATCTTCCGGGTACACGCCACTGGAAAAGGAAAGAAAGCCTCAGATGGGCATGTGTATAACTCCCTAAACACACTGTGCGTGCTCAATTCCAAATGGTAAGGAACGCACTGAGTATGCAGGAAGCCCACCCTAAGGGTAGAATCATGGGAGAGACGAGCCTATAAAGCCCTAGGATCAAAGTTAAAGGCACCTTTTTTTTTGCTCTCTTTTCTCCCTTGGACCTTCAGGTGCCCCCTTGAGTCTCCTCCAAGCAAATTTTCCTTTCTTTCCGTCCTGAAGACTTTTAAAATAAACTTCCACTCCTGCTCTGAAACTTGCCTCAGTCTCTTTTTCTGCTTTATGCCCCTCAGTTAAATTCTTTCTTCTGAGGAGGCAGGGACTGAAGTTGCTACGGACCCATATGGATATGCTGCTGGTCAGGGTAACTCAGATCTCTTCTACTGGTAACACATTCATTCCATGGAATATTATGCAGTCAGAAAATCCAAAGAATTGGTAACCACATAAGCATATTAGATATGTAGATCATTGTCTCTCAGCACAGAGACCTAGACAGGACATCCATGATCCCCCTATGCCCACTCCCCACTGCCTGCAGCCATAGTCCAGAATTGGATAACCAAACTTAGAGGCAATCGTATTCTCTCTTTCTCACTCAGAAATCTAGACATAGACACACAACTGGGGAAGCCAAGATGCAAGGTCATGTTGAGCCAGAGCTGGAGTTACAACATTATAGGGGAACAGACAAAGAAATCCCATCTAGAGTGAAGCTTGAGAATGGAGCATATCTCTAGAGAGAAGAAAAGATGAGACATCACCTGGTCCCAGAAAGAAATAGAATGATGGAGAGAGTTTCATCTTTCATTAGGCCTGGCTGTACTTACTGTGCTTTTCTTTCACTGTGAGATTACTCTGCATCTTAAAAAAAACCTTTAAAAAGTTTAATTTAGTTGTACAGGTTTTCTGCTCCCAGTAACTAGATAATTTTCCATATTGAGCAAGAAACAGAGTTCATGCATATAGTACAACCACAATTACGTGCTGTCCCCTCCCACACAAAACCAAAAGCAAAATACAACCCCAAATCCCCATTCCACAGACATCTGATCTAGAAGAAAACAAAAGGAAATCTTAATAGTAAGTATCTTTGGATGATGGAAATTGTAGTTATTTTTCCTGGTGATTATCCATGTACTTTCTATTTTTGAAATGAAGGTATACTACTTTTATAAGGTCCGTCATGACCTGGCCTCTGCAGGCCTGTCAGCCTCACTACTGCTATTGTCTACAATGCCCTCTATACTTCTAGCCATCCTATGTTATGTGCATCTCCAAATGGGCCATTTTTCTTTCAGGTTTCTGTGTCCTTGTAAGCTTTTTGCAAAGAACAATATCAGAAGAGCTAAGACATGCCCCCAAATAGTGCAGGTCTAAAGTAAGGCAGGAAATAGAGGACAAAAAGTGAACATAGGGAGAATGAAGAGTATAAGAGAAGAGAAAGGAATAGAGTAAGAAAAGAAATCTTACAGATAGATATGGCTGTCTTTGCAAGGTTAGAAGATCATTCGTTAGTTGCTTCAGGGGTCACTCTGGTCTCCTTTGCTATAGGTTGTTTAGTTTTGATCTAAATAAATAGTCAGCAATGACACACTGTATTTTTCCATCTTTATGCATTACCAGAAAACAAGTCAATTAAGTATAGTACAAACAGGGTATATATTCAATGTGTCAAAAATGTATTTCTCTTGCTTAAGACTCTCACATAGAAATGCAGGATATGACAAGTTAATTGGGGATAAAAATTATATGACGAGTTGCCATTGCATTAAAAGTAAAGCAATGCAGAGAGGCTCAGATTTAAATGGATGTAGTTTAATGGTTTCTATCCCAAACTATAAACTGGAGAATTGTCTAAACCTCTAACAAAGGCCTTGGAAGAAAGGAATAGGAGGAGGGAAAGATGGGAAGGGAAAAAAGAAATTAAGAGTTTGAAGAGTGGTTTGAGTAAAAAGTGATCCAGCAACAATAGATTTTGTCTTACCAGTACCAGGACTAAGTTGGGAAACATCGATGGAAAAGAATGTTTCTCAAACTGGCTACAAAAAAAGTGTTTCTCAACAGGGGACCAACTGGTCCATGGGGAATATTTGGCAATGTCAGTAGACATTTTTGGTTATCACAACTTGGGGAGGGGTACTACTGGCATCTAGTGGGTAGAGGTCAGATACGCTGCTAAACATCCTGACAGTCTACCTCCTTAAGACATATGTAACAAGAAATTATTCAGCCCAAAATGTCAATAGTGGTGAAGTTGAGAACCATTTGTCTAAACTCTTCATCCAATTGGAACGTGAAGTTTTGAGGTATTCTACATCTCTACAGGAGAAAATCTGTCACTCTGTAAAGACTCCCAGAGGAAGATTTTCATGCCAGGCACTCCTGATCTTATCTTCCTCCCCAAGCTCACAGCTGTTCCTCCTTGATGCTCTATTTGCACTTGGGATTGGTCTATTATCCAAACAAATACCCTGAACCCTAGGGCCAGAGAGCATATACAACTCACCGATAATTGCCTCAAACATTTACCCTTACTGACCAAACAAGGAAATCTTTGTAACAATAAAAAAAAATTGCTTTTTAAACTGTACCCCTCATGAACCTGTCATGAGGCAAAAATCCAAAACCTGAACTGATTAAAATATGCAGAATATATAATAATCATAGCAATTGAAACAACATTAACTCCTCTTAGGTTAGGTCACTTAAGAAACAGTCAAATTCAGCTTTGTGCTATGCTCTAAAGCTTAGTGACTACAATTCCACTTGAGCACAGGAGAATTTGTGGAAAGCAGGCCTGCCTTCCACTAAAATGTTCTCTCCCTAGTTCCCTGCTGTGTGGATTTGAGAGTGCAAAGAAGAAACACATTGGTTCACTTTAATTATTCAGGGACAGCACAGAGAGATAAACAAGGTAAGGTCAACGTCAAGAATATAGGGATTTCATGCACTCTGCTGACCTCTAAATATGCTTTTGTACTTGGCAAATATAATATTAAACCTGGACTTATTTTTTCTATGCATCATTGCCTATCCTTAGAAAACAAATATCATCACGGATTCACGGGGTGCAGTATAGAAATGGCTGGTTGTAACTTAAACCTAAACCAGATTATATTTTTATCTTTCAATAGGAAACATAATATGAAGCTGTATTTATGTCATAGACTGAGAATGACAACATGAAGGAAGATATTGAAACTGTACTGCAGCCTCACACACAGTATGACCCAAGGCAGAGTAGACTTCTATACAAGGTGTTGCATCTTGAATCTTGTCACTATAAAGGTGCAAACCAAAAATAAAATTCGAAGGCCCCAAATCATCCGAATGGACCCCTCCTCTTGGCCAAGGGCATTTCAGAGTTAACCTGAAAATCTAATTCAAGCCATGATGGAAGATGGAGTTTAACATGCCTCGTTATATCCCTCCAGTGTTAACATCAACATAGACCTTAAGTCTGATAAGAAACATATACAGTCTATTTTCTCTAAAGCAGGCATCATCTGCATGATAAAACCTAAGTCTCCACAACCCCTTATTGTAACCCAGACATTGTTTTCTACTAATAATTCTTTCAACTAATTGCCAGACAGAAAATGTTTAAATCTACCTATGACCTGGAAGCTCCCCACCTTGAGTTGTCCCACCCCTCCGGATCAAACCAATGATGTAAATCATACATGTATTGATTGATGTATTAAGTCTCCCTAAAATGTGTAAAAGCAAGCTGCACCCCAACCACCTTGGGCACATGTTGTCAGGTTCTCCTAAGGCTGTGTCACCAGCGCATCCTTGACCTTGGCAAAATAAACTTCCTAAATTGACTGAGATGTGTCTCAGATATTTTGGGTTCACAAAGGGTTTTGTTTTAAAAATGCATTTATTTAACAAAATTGTATCAAGCACCTATTGCGTAACAGGAAAAATGACTTCATAGACTAGTCTTGCACTGGCCTAATGTTGCCTCCTTAACTATAGTTGCCTGCCATCATCACTACCCTTTGACAGAAAGGGAAGTGTGGTGTCTTCTTCAGTTCTTCTTGCCTATAGGAAATTCAGAAAGAATCATGACTGCTCAACTTAAATCTATCTCACTTGTTTGGGGACCTCACCTGGAATTAGTAAACTTGCAATTAATTAGAATCCAACTAACTGGAAAGCTCAATTAAGCAGGATTCTTTCAGTGGAGGAGCAAGAGACAAGAAGCAAGTCACAGAATGACAGAGATTGTAAAGCCAGAAAGGACCTCGAATATCGTTTAGCTTCATTTCCTCATCTGACTATTGAGGAAAATGAGGTTGAGAAGAAGAAAGGGATATCAAGGTTACATAGCTATTTAATAGTGAAATTGGACTTGGACTCAAGATTTCTAACTGTAAATCTAGTGCTTTTTCAAAAACTCACACGGGGCCATTAAAAATTTGCAACGGATATCCTGGGACCACTAGACATTTTGTCCACTCTACAACATCCCTTTATACCTAGAACACTTTACAATAACAACTCAAGCTTAAATGGCAACCCTGATGTACTATAAGATTTTCAATTATAAAAGATTAAATTATGATCATTTGGATTAACATGGAAAGTAGATTCATATTTAAGAATGATTTTCAACAAGGATGGCAATTTGTAAAAAGTTCTATTTAACCTTAAGCTAACCACCAAATCCAATTAACCAGAATGCCCCAGTTTCCTGGGCATTTAAGATTTTAATATAAATAGAATAAAAACTAGATTATATCTCCAGGCAGGGAAACTTAACCGAACCATAAATATTCACTGAAAGACAAAAAGAGATGGCGTGGAGTTCTTTATATACCAGAGACAAATTGTTATAGTGCAAAGAGCATTGGATTGTTTGCACAGGACTTACATTCCAACACCAAATCTTGCTCCAAGAAATTTTAATAATTTAATAACACATGCTCCACATGAATGTGTTATTAAAATTTCCCAAGACTCAGTTATTTTACCATTAAATTGGGCATAGTTTCTATTATGTCTACTTTCCAGGGTTTACAGTTTGAAATGAGATAACTAGTGAAAATACTTTGGACAATAGCAAATTATGCGTGCATACTTATATATGTACACATGCCTATATGCACGCACACAAACATACATGCATACATATACAGTACATTATCAAATAGCTAAGCCTTTTGATTTTGACAGACAAGAAAAAGTATTTAGCTACAAGTGTATCTACTAAAACACAACTACCCACATTACCATAAAATTACCTAAGTTAATGATACTATTCACTATGGTAAATGACAAAATTTGAAAGATTAGACTGTCATAGATAAAAACAATGATTTTAGTTGAAAGGTGAGAAAAATATCAGATTGTGACTATTTTATGCCAGAAGAAATTCAATTTACTTATGAAGCTAATATCATGTTGTACTTGATATTTTGATAGTTTGAATTGGAAATAGTCATGTTAGCATCTATGCTGTCAATGCAAGCTCTGTGCATACATATGTCACTATTAAGTATCTTCTTCAGTAACAAGGGACCGCCTAGTGTTTTTTGTATGCCAGATAGAGATAAAAAGTTCGAGTTCTAATTGTGTCTTGGCCAGTGATAGGTGCTTGCCCTCGGAAATATGATGTATATTTGAGAACCAACTTTAGATAAGAGTGGGAAGATGTAATATCACCTCTACTGTGAGAATACCAAAGGCAAACTTTTTATTTTATTTTAATCCTCCTCCCAAAGGTGAGGATTAATAAATCCCCAGCTCGGCCAGGCGTGGTGGCTCACGCCTGTAATCCCAGCACTTTGGAAGGCCGAAGCGGGCGGATCACGAGGTCAGGAGATCGAGACCATCCTGGCTAACATGGTGAAACCCTGTCCCTACTAAAAATACAAAAAATTAGCCAGGTGTGGTGGCAGGTGCCTGTAGTCCCAGCTACTTGGGAGGCTGAGGTAGGAGAATGGCTTGAACCCGGGAGGCGGAGCTTGCAGTGAGCCGAGATCATGCCACTGCACTCCAGCCTGGGCGACAGAGAGAGACTCCGTCTCAAAAAAAAAAAAAAAAAAAAAAAAATTCCGAAGCTCTATGTCCTTGTTGGGACTTGGCAACCTGGGAAGCCTGTACTGTTGTATGGGATCATGTTGTTTTCTTCTGAATTATGTGATTATCACTGCATATTTCTATATACTTTATCATTAAGGCAACTTGATCTCTGACTGGGTCTGTTTCTTCTTGTCACTCACAGCACTATCCTGATGTCTAGTGTATACCTCCTCACTAATGTAGTTTCCCTTGTATTTTGCCTTCCAATTCACATGAAAGTTTTGCCCTGATTCAGTCTGCTCTCAATCTACTGCCCCATTTCAAAACCCTACTTTACCTTTTGTTTCCATTTTCTTAGCTCTTACCAATTCTTCAAATCCAACGTGGTATGTGGCTTCAATCTCACTACTGTACAGAAATTGGCTGCTTAAAATTTATAATTGATAGAGTCAATGGTCTCTTCTCATCCATAGTTTATTTGATTCCTCTGTGATATTTGAAAATCATGATCACCACCTCCTGGAAATTTCCTTCTGTTTGTTCTCTTCCGTGATTACTTTTCAGTCACCTACGCTGGCCTTTCTCCTCTATGAACTCCTAATACATAAGTGTTGCCATGGTTTGGTTTTTGGCTTTCTTTTAGTCTTGCATAAAACTCCATCTAGGTTTTTCAATACTTACTATTATTACATTTACCTATGAAAGTCTTAATTATCTACGTCCATCATGAGCTCTGGAAGCAGACATATCTGGTGGGTTTTTTTTTTTGTTTTTTTTTTTTTTTTTTGACGGAGTCTCACTCTGTCATTAGGCTGGAGTGCAGCAGCATGATCTCAGCTCACTGCAACTTCCGCCTCCCGGGTTCCAGCGATTCTCCAGCCTCAGCCTCCGGAGTAGCTGGGAATACAGGCGTGTGCCACCACGCCTAGCTAATTTTTGTATTTTTAGTAGAGACGGGGTTTCACCATATTGGCCAGGATGGTCTTGATCTCTTGACCTTGTGATCCGCCCGCCTCAGCCTCCCAAAGTGCTGGGATTATAGGCATGAGCAACCATGCCCGGCCGAAGCTGGGTTTTAACTGACTCCACTACACGTAACTGATGACCCTGTGGCATGTTGTTCAACATTTTTAAGCCTTAGTTTTAATAACACTAAGTTAAAATAAATGTGACAGTTACTTGGAAAAATACTTGGCACATAGTAAGCAAGTAGTAGGAGAATATTTTTTCTCTATTTATTCCTTTCCTTGGACTCAGATCCATATTTTCAACTTTTTTTGATACTGAACATTTCAAACTAGATGGCTCACGTAGGTGTTCCAATATTTCCAAAATAATATGCACTGTCTGCTTCCATTAACTTCTGTTCCTGATTTCAGAAATCTACTCTATCTGTAGTTCTCTGCTCACTTACTCTGTCCATGCATTTTGTTGAACGATATGAGCCAAGCACTGAGGGATCAACATAAGAAAAGGCATAGCACTTTACTTAAGTTTCAGTGAGGAACAAAGACAAGTAAATAGAAGTTTTTGAGGGCAAATATACAATGAAATAAGGCGTTGTGATAAACATATTGGCAGAGTGTTATGAGATCATAGATAAGGGGTTTCTACATGAAAGTTGAAGTGGGGAGGTTGCTATAGTCTGAATGTTTGTGTCCCTTCAAAATTCATATGTTGGCCATGTGTGGTGGCTCACGCCTGTAATCCCAGCACTTTGGGAGGCCAAGACAAGCAGATTGCTTGAGTTCAGGAGTTCCAGACTAGCCTGAGAAACATGGCAAAACCCCATATCTACAGAAAATACAAACATTAGCTGAGCATGGTGGCATGCACCTGTGGTCCCAGCTACTCCACAGGCTGAGGTGGGAGGATCCCTTGAGCCCGGGAGGTTGAGGATGCAGTGGGTCATGATTGTGCCACTGCACTCCAGCCCGGGTGGCAGGGCAAGATCCTGTCTCAAAAAAGAAATCATATGTTGAAATCGAATCCCCAATATGTTGATGTTAAAAAGTAGGGCTTTTGGCAGGGTGATTAGGCCATGAGGGTTCTGTCTTCATGAGTGGAATTAGTGTCCTTATAAAAGAGGCTTCAGGAGCCTGTTGGCCCCTTCTGACATATGAGGACAAAGCAATAACGTGCTGTATATGAAGAACAGGTGCTTACCAGACACCAAAATCTGCTGACACCTTGATCTTGGACTTCCCAGCCTCTAGAAATGACAGCAATCAATTTATGTTGTTTATAAATTACCCAGTCTAAAACAGAGGTGATGGCAGACTAGGAAGACTCCTAAGAGGTATCTTTGACTCCTCTCCCCGTTTTCCCATATCCCATCTAGCCAGACCCCAAGTCTTGCAATATTATTAACCTCAAAAAAGATCAATGTTTTAGGGGAAAGGCTCTCTCCCCCTACTAGATTGTAAGCTCATTAAAGGCAAGGTTTTTATTTGTTTTGTTCTCTGTTGTAGCCCCAGCAACTAGAAGAGTGTTTGGTTTAAGGTAGGCACTTAATAAGTATTTGTTAAAATTTGATGAAACTAAAATAAATTCATTATATTATTTATAATGAACTGTTTTTCATTTAAAGTATTTGCATTATATACTTTCTAATACCCTCAGATATCACACCAATTTTTTAAACAAAATAGAGAAGCAGATGTTACTGTTTATTTGCTTATCTGTTCACCAAAGGGGACAATTCTTTTTGAGCTTTCTTGTTCTTTAAATAAAATACTCAGTACCACACTTTCACAATTCTTGCAAACATATTTCAAAGACCTCAAGACTTAACCAGATCTTATCTTTTGCTTTGAAAGCTACAAACATTTTTGTGTTATGGAGTTAATACAGAACCAGCTGGATTCTTCTAAAGGGAGATGCTTAGTAGCACATCTTTTTGATACACACATACACACACACACGTGCAGATACACATTAACACCCTGATAGAAAATAAGAATAATTGACAGGAAATTTATTTTCTGCTGCTTTAAATATATTTCATGCTCTTAGTAAAATAGACAAGTATCTATTAACTTGACATGGTAATGGAAATATTTGTTATGATTCACTGGATAAGTAACTTTGCAGTGAATGAAGTTGTTAAGAACTTGTGTTCTCTCTTGTTCAAAACCATACATCTCTGTTTTAAATATAGTCGGTATAGGGAAGTGTATAAGTATATGGTGAGGGAGGGCAAAATGATGGGTACAGAGATTTCACTAAAATTTAATTTTTGTTTGCTATACTCGTATATTACATCAATCAACTCATTTTTAAAAATTCCCTAAAACATTTTTAGATTCACATTTGCATTGCCAAGTAAATCTTCTCCATATTAAAATCAGATTTCATCTCACCTATGGTGAAGCATTCTTTCCCTATAAAATGAAACAAATTATGTTTGCCTATGGTTTTATTTTGAAATGAAACTGAGAATAGTCAGTTGAAAAGCATGTTTAAAAATAATGCTGCCACCAAAGTAACTAGAGACTGTATCACACTGATCTCCAAAGTATTGTTCTTCACTGCCTAAGCACAATAGACTTATATTTTACTCTCAACATGTAAAACATATTTTAAGACTACAGCATTCTCTTTGATGTAAATTTAACATATTCCACACCCATCATGTGGTGTAGGCTGAAAAGCTTGGTTGAGCTTGGTTAAACAGGATTTATAGGTCATAGATTAGTTCTACAGCGTCTTTTCCTGTCTTAAAAAGAATCTTTAAATCTGTGGCTGAAGATAGATTTTTGCTAACCTCCGTGCTGTTAAAGGATTAAAGCCTGAGATACTGTTGGATCTAAGCACTGCATATGTACATTTTGAGATTTTTTTTCTCCAGTCATTATTGAAGGAAAAAATTTAGTCTCTATTTTTCCATTGCAAATGTTCTAGAAAAAAACTACTTATAAATGTTAGGTATATTTTAGCAGTGCTGTATAATAAAGACATATTACTGCTGCTGGAGAACTTACATTTATTGGTTAATACTTAAAGGGTATTTTTCCATAAATAAATTACTGCAATCACCATTAATGAGTATTTCCTCCAAATGATTCTTTTTTCCCCAAGATAGAAACTAGCTCTGGAAGTATAGTAATACACATTGGTCATATAAGTTTCATTTCTGTTTCCATTCCTTGCCAAAATCTCCTTTGCCAATGGCCCTGGCTCTTCTTTTGTAAAAATAACCCTGTAGACTCCATTTAATTGTCACATTGGCCTAAAGCCATCAAGGGCAGTTAGCCTCATACCAAGCTGCAGCCATCTGTCAGAATATGCTAAAAATCAATGAAGATGGTTACTTGCACTCTCCTGCCCCGGCATGATTCCTCCACACAATTCTGATTTGTCTTTGTGAACTGAAGTGGTCATGTTAATCCCAACACCAGGTTTTCTCTAGTGTTGATAATCACAGCAAAACCTTTGAGTAAGATTCATTTTGGTAAATAGATCATGATTACTATCCATTATCATCATTCTGAAAAAATAATTACCATCTAAGATCAGGCCAAGCAAAATTAGTTGTCTTGAACCAACACTTGGCCAAAAATTATCATGAGTAATAGAATATCAAGTAGACTCTGAATTAGGAATTTGAATTGGGGGACAGCAAAGAGAGTAAATAAGAGTAAACAAAAATGGCTGCAATTCCACTTAAAAGTGAACCTGGATGAAGAGGCTGAGAAGCAAAGGGAACTATTCCAGTGCTCTGCAGCAAGGGGGCTGTGTTTGAATTCCTGACAGAAATAAGCACCTCTTCAATTAATTGGGTGTTAAAGGCAGGTCAATCTACTTGCACATAATTTCATGGATAGAATGAAAAAAACATTCTATAGAAAAGAAGGAAAGCAGTAAATCATGATTGTGAGAAGCTAGAAAGGAATAAAGCCAGTGCCAGGGGATGGACATGGGAAGAAGAGAAAGAAGAAAGGAAACTAAAATGAGGGTGCAAATTTCATGTGCGGTATGAAATAATACTTGTAACAACCTTATAAAGTGAGTGCTATTAACCCATTTTTAAGTTCAAAAAACTGAAATTCAGAAAGGTTCAGTAATTTGCCTAAGCTCATAGAGGTAATAAGAAGCAGAATGGGACTTTGAACTCAGTTCTATTGTTTTCTTTTTTTTTATGTTTTAAACATTTTAGAAAATATTTAATCTCACTAATAATAGCAAATGCAAACTCTTAACCAGTCTTACAGAATTTTATCAAGCAGTCACAGGACTGTGCCACCAAAGCCATATGATACCTTTGGGATTGAGGCTCATGCCACAGGGAAGAAAAAGAGACTTTCTGAAGAAAAAAAAAATCAAAGAATAAAAGAAAGAAAGGATCTGCAAACTCTAGTATATCTAAGGATGGGCCTCTGGATAAGGAAGGATAATATGGAAGTTTAACAGCAGGAATTTTAGCATGAAATTTAGATTTCTGGCTCATAGCTTGAGAATGATAGGTTTTCAGTTCCAGAATGGTTGTCTCTCATTAGTACTAGAAAGAACATGCTTGCTCACAGAGTGGCCAACCTGGTCAAGAGTATTTAAATGGCAAATGAAGAAGGGAAAGAAATAATAAAAAGAATAGTGCCTAATATCACTTAGATAACTGGTGACTATGCACAATTTTGATTGTGATATGTTATTCCCAGAATGCCCTTTCCTCCATTTTTCACTTAGTATCACCTCATGATTTTAGAACAAAATGATTTTTAGGCCATTTTCTCAGGGAAATTTCGACTTTCCCCCCTTCTACCTACCTGAACACTTCCTTAGTCTCTACTATTCCTACCTTGGTTAGATCTACCCCCCTCCAAGGGTTCTTACCTTTGGATTACTTAAATATAACAAAACACTTGTGATGGTACTGTTATTTATTTACCTTTGCTTCCCCTACTACAGAAAGTCAGTAATGCATAGTGGTTAAATATGAAGATGCTAGACCTACAGCCTAGGTTCAAAACCTGACCTGGATCTGTCATATCCTACCTGTGGGATTTTACAAAGTTCCTTAACCTCTCTGTACCTCAGTTGCTTCATCTCTCAATTGAGGATGGCAACACTAAATAGTACGTACCACATGGGCACTAGCATATGGATTAAAGAAGTTGATTCATAAGGGCTTAGAATAGTGCTTGGCATATAGTAATGCTGTTTAGCATAGTTAGATATCGTTATTGTTACTAGTACTAAACCATGCATTTCTGGAATACAGGGATTCTCATTCCTCATAGAAGCGGCAGTGCACCAGGAATAACTAGTAAATGCTTGCTGAATGCCTCGCTGTGCAGGACACGCACAATAATCCATAGACTGGGAAGTATATGTGAATACTGGATGTTTTTACAGCAGATTAAAGCTATTGTGTCTCTCTGAATTGTAGTAACTCTGAATTCATCTACTTGCCAGCAGGTCTGTGCCAGGCTATTATACTGAATTGAAAATAGTAATATTTATTGCACACTTTCTATGTGCCTGGCTCTGAGTAGACATTTTCATATATTATCTCATTCAGTTCTGAAAACAGCCCCATGAGGTAGGGTCTGTCATTTTTGACACAAAACAAACAGGGAAATTCAGGTCTATGGAAGTTATGTCATGTGTCTAAGTTCACAATAACATAAGTAGTTTAGTCCAGGGATGTTGGAGTACATATGCTTGCACACATCACCCAGCCTCTCCATCTTTGGCAATGTGCCCATCTTTCCGGGTTGCAAAAAACACCCTGCCCCCAAAATATAATCTAGACATTGGGAATTTTGAGAAGAAGGCTTGGAGAAGGAGATAGCAAGGCTGACGTCTGAGTAAGGGAGGGCTCAGGGCAGGGCCCAATCCCCAATGTACTGGGTAGACAGGGCATTGTTTTTCTGAATAACACAGAAGGCAGGCAGCAATGCACAAGCTGTTTTGAAGATTGATCACAGGGCAGTCTTAAAAAGCCTCACAGGTATGTATCGTCAAAATGTGGGAGAAGGGGGATGGTTCTGATGATTTGGAACATGGTGGTGAAAGAGTATATTCTATTTATTTATTTAGAGACAGAATCTCCCTCTGTTGCCCAGGCTGGAGTGCAGTGGCGCGATCTCGGCTCACTGCAACCTCTGAACCATCCCCACTCCCCGCCGGTTCAAGCGATTCTCCTGACTCAGCCTCCTGAGTAGCTGGGATTACAGGGACCTGCCACCACACCTGGCTAATTATTGTAGTTGTAGTAGAGATGGGGTGTCACCATGTTGGCCAGGCTGGTCCGGAACTCCTGACCTCAGGTGATCCACCCGCCTCAGCCTCCCAAAGTGTTGGGATTACAGGTGTGAGCCACCGGGCCAGGCCAAGTGTATTCTATTTAAAAGCATGCTAAGAGAGGAAGTGGAATGATGTTGTATATGTTTACTTTGAGGAAATTATGAATGGAAGGGTAGAAATACCTTTAGTTAGATAAAGATAGCAATAGGGACAAAAAGTAAAATAATCTCTTGTGTTATTATTGCTATTATTATTACTAATATTTACGGAGTGCTCATTATGTTCATGGCTGCTCTAAGCACATTGCAATTAGGAACTCATTTAATGCTCACAATGGCCTTATGAGCTAGGTTTTACTATTATCCTTACTTTACAGATGAGAAAACCGAGACATGGTGATGATAATTAATGTGCCCAATGTCACATGACTAATAGGTAGTGGATTGGAGAGTCTATAATAAGACACTTGGCCAGAAGGAGACAACGGATGCTGATTTTCAACACAGATCACAAAAGCGTCGTAGGAGGAAAGGGTAGTAAACATGAGTGATTTCAACTCCATAAACATCTGCTAGTTGTATCGATTTGCAAAATGCAAATATATGGCAAGTTCCCAAATTTTTGTGTTAATGACTACACCTCCCAAAAGGTAGAGAAAATAAGAAACTTGCCTCTCTGACTGACTTAGAAAAAGAGAAACTGGTGAGTTGAAGGTGATAGGAACCTTTAGAGGAAGTGAAGTATTTTATCTTAGAGTCCATAAGTACCTTATAAGGCCCAAATCCCAGACTTTAGGAAAAGAGCTTGCTGAAGTAAAGTAGGTACA
The DNA here is from genome assembly GCF_000001405.40 of Homo sapiens. Classification (NCBI taxonomy): domain Eukaryota; kingdom Metazoa; phylum Chordata; class Mammalia; order Primates; family Hominidae; genus Homo; species Homo sapiens. The sequence goes on from NC_000023.11 coordinate 124,730,909, forward strand.
ATTTCATGCCCTGAGATACTCTAATATGGAGATGAATTAAGAGAGTTGGGAAGTTATTATATTTTATTTTTTTTAACCTGTTGAAACCAGTGTGTCTGTACTGGGTGTTATCCATTCACATTCAGTTTGGATTTCAAAAGAACAGGTGCCAAAATAAAGGGATGAAAACCAAAAATAAGTAAGTTTAAGAGGGCATGATGAAAATAATGCTAAGAAGAATTATACCCCAAATGAGCCTGAGGCTTGAGAAAAAAACTGCTAAAGATGACAGAAAAGTGCTTTTTAAAAAATATATTTAAACCAAGAAGAGCAAGGGTAGGAGAGACATGCAACCCATGAAATTGTTATTGGATGGCCAATATCTGAGAGGCCTTCTCAACTACTGTACTAGTTTTCTTTGTGAAAAAGAATGATGATAGACTTGAAATGGTAAAATCAATATCAGTAACCATAAATTGAAGCTAAAATAGGCAAAGCAGTCATTAAAAGGCATTTGGCTGTTCTATAATAAATGAATTAAAATTCTATCCCAGAGTGGTCAGAGGTCTTGGAGATTGGATTACCCTGTCACAGTTGCTAAAGTTTTAGCAACTGTAGTGTGGTTGAAGTGTGACAGGAGACTAGAAACAGAAAACATTGGCTTTAGTTTTCAAAATAAACAGGAAGCATATGGACTCCTTAGACTAGACCAAGAAACAGGTTGATTAAATACAAAATTCTACAACAGGTTAATAAAAGAACAGTTTGTGAGCGCTTAGGAAAAAAGTAGTAACCATAAGAAAGCAAGCAGTATAAATTCTCTAAGAACAAGTTATGTTAGACAATCTCATTTCATTTCTATTCTTGACATGGTTATTAGATTGGAAGATCGGTAAGAATGTAAGCATACTATATCTGAATATCAGCAAGGCATTTAACAAGGTCTCCCATAATATGGCTATGAACAAGATGGAGAAATGTGGGTTGTTAGTAAAAGAATGTTGCCTAATAGATAAATGTCACCAGTGGCATGCACAGAGATCTAACCCTAATCTGGTCTTATGTAACATTTGTATCGATAACTTACATAAAAAAGAGGGAAGCATACCTAACAAGCCTACAGATGACATAATTCTGAGAGCAAAAGCAAATAGTTTGTATGGTAGAATTAGAACTCAGCAACATTTCCACATGCTAACAAGATGAGATCAAATTAGGCCAAATCAAGGCTCCAAATATATTTCCACTGTTATCTTCCATACCAAACACAAAACTGAAAAAGAATCAACTATGTACTTACAGAATAAATAAAACGTGGTTTAGCTTCAGAACATGTTAAACAGGCTTTGGGGTTTAGTTTCCGGTGTTCTCAATGTGTATGGATAGTGTCATGTGGCCACCAAAAAAGCTGATACTGGAGTAGACAGCATTAACGAAAATACATAATTAGAACAAGAGAGGTGGCTAATTGTTGGTCATAGCATAAAATCCTCAGTGAATCAGTCAAAATGACTGACTGCTGAGAGTCCCATCTAAGGAACATCAAATCTGCTCACGGTCCTTCCTCAAGGGACAACCATAGATGGCCATGTTGTTTATTTTAATCACATGACTTTTCTCTCCCCGTAGCCTCAGTTGACTATGAGAATAATTGCCAGGGCTTGCCAAAAAACTGAAACACAGCCTGCTATAAAAGGGATGAACTGGGCTAATCAAATTCCCTCTTAGGGTTTTGAGCCTACAGTGACCAAGATAATAATGCAGTTAGCAATGGGACATGCAGCTGAAGGGATGAGGTGAGAGGTGTGAGGAGGTACTCTTGGAGTCATGTGGTACAGTGGAGAAAAGACATCGTTATGAGATAGTAGAAACTATGTGGTAGACAAAATAAATATTGAGCTGATGGAAAGAATAAGCTATTGGACAAAGAAACAGACAGAGAGGAGCAAAAATGCAGAGAACTGCTGAGTCTTATTAATGCTAGAGATCCACAGTCTTTGCCTTTCCTTTGGGGATTGACCAGAGTTTCCCGCGTTCCCGGGGACTGACAACACATACACTGAAAAGATGTTCTCAATTACTCGAGGCAACCTGAATGTCTCTGGCTTCTTGCAACCAGAGAGGCTAATAAGAACCCACACCTGCATTCAGCCTTGAACATTACATTTCAAGAGCAGTTTGGACAAACTGGAGTGTTCTAAAGAAAGAGACCAGGAAGGGAGATTTGAAACCCATTAATGTGAGGAACAGGTTGAAGGAATTGGGGAAACATTTAGCACAAAGAATAGAGGACTCAAGAATAGTGAAGGGCTGTCAGTTGTAAGGGGAATTTTACTTATTCTGTGAGACCCTAAAATTAGATTTGAGAAAAATGGGCAGAGTTAAGAAGGGATAGATTTTGGTTCAAAAAGAATCTTCTAGTAGTTGTTTGAGGTAGAGTGGAATAACTTAGGAATAAGCCAATTACCTATTTTGGAGATATTTATGCAAAGGCAAGTGGCCACTTAGTAGGGATAGTAATGTTACCTTTTAATTGTGTAGTGCTTTACAGTATATGAGGCACTTTCTACTACGTTAGTTTGATTTTCCTAATTAGGAAGTCAGGCATTTGTATATTCATTTTTACAGATGAGGAGGCTGAGGCTCAGACAGGTTCTGTTACACAGTTCATGTATAAGTTCCTGGATACCCACAGTTACCTTTATTGACTACATGAGAAATGAACATTTTAAAGGCTATATTTGAACAATGCTAGTTGATAGAGCTAATAACGTTTCTGGCTTTTAAAAAATCATCATTGTGATGCTAAATATATGTTCAAATGTACTAAAAAGGTACTCTGTTCACTCTTACATGAAAACTTATGTTCTTCTCTGCGTCTTAAGAAACTGAGACCAATTAATATATTCCTTGCATAGATACAGAAGGTCCGTGGGTGCAGTTTGTACAAACATGCCTAGATGTACATTTCAAATAAGAATAATTTTCTCTCTCCATTTGCCTGAACCCATTCCCCACTCTCTCCCAGATTTTCTGTTATTTGGCTTCAAAGACGAAAGGAGTGTGTTTGCTTGTCAGAACTGCTACTTAACCATATTGCCCTGTTGTTTCCTCAGCTCTCTATCACTAAGCTCTGCAAATGAACTAAAAGTAAAATGAGGAAATAACCACTGTTTGAAAACTCCTTGAAGAAGATATACATTGTTCTTTGCATTTTACCCTTTACTCACCTCCCCCTTTCAATTAAAAAAGAAAGAAAAGAAAAGAAAAGAAAAGATACAGGGCTGGGCACGGTGGCTCACGCCTGTAATCCCAGCACTTTGGGAGGGTGAGGCGGGCAGATCACAAGGTCCGGAATTCAAGACCAGTCTAGCCAATATGGTGAAACCCTGTCTCTACTAAAAATACAAAAATTAGCTGGGCGTGGTGGCATATGCCTATAGTCCCAGCTACTCTGGACGCTGAGGCAGGAGAATCGTTTGAATCCAGGAAGTGGAGGTTGTAGTGAGCCAAGATCTTGCCACCGCACTCCAGCCTGGGCGACAGAAGGAGACTGTCTCAAATAAATAAATAAATAAATAAATAAATAAATAAATAAATACAGAAACTCTATCACTAGTATAGTTCTAATTGGGTTATTGTCACCATAGGTGCTGACTGCTATATTTTTCTCTTGGAATGTAGCAGAAATCACCCTTTATGAAACCATTTAATCTGGTAAGTGATGGATGATACTGTTTCCTGGACATGGGCCATAGTACTTGCAGTTTGTTGATGGTGAAATATTCTCTGATGCCATGGTTGGTATTTAATTTAATATGCTGCTAAACAACAAAAACAATAACAACCAGTCTTAGGAGAGTTGACTAGTCCTTCTCTTTCCATTCCAATTCCCAGAGATCAGATTAGAAGGTGATACCAGACATTGTTTATCAAGTAGTATATTATACCCATTTTTTACATACAAATGTCTTTAGAAAAAGTTTCTGTAAATTGGATAGCTATAGGTAGAAGGAAACTGGACTCCTATCCCTCACTGTATACAAAAATTAACTCAAGATGGATTAAATACTTAAATATAACACCAGAAACTATAAAAATACTAGAAGACAGCCTAGGAAAAAACTCTTCAGGACATTGGCCTAGGCAAGAAATTTTATGACCAAGACCTCAAAAGCAAATGCAACAACAACAAAAATAGACAAATTTGGCTTAATTAAGCTAAAAAGCTTCTGCATAGCAAAATAAATAATCAACAGAGTAAACAGACAACACACAGAATGGGAGAAAATATTTGCAAACAATGCATCCAAGAAAGGACTAATATCCAGAATCTACAAGGAACTTAAACAAATCAACAAGAAAAAAATACCCAAAAATTCCTGTTAAAAAGTGGGCAAAGGACATGAACAGACATTTCTCAAAAGGTGCTGTATAAGTGGTCAACAAACAGATGAAAAAATGCTCAACATTATTAATTATCAGAGAAATGCAAATTAAGACCACAATGAAATACGATCTCATACCATTCAGAATGGCTATTATTAAAAAGTCAAAAAACAACAGGTATTGGTGAAAATGTGGAGAAAAGGCAATGCTTATACACTGTTGGTGGGAATAAAAATTAACACAACCTCTGGAAAACAGTATGGCGATTTTTAATAGAACTTCCATTTGATTCATCAATGCACTTCTGGGTATCTACCCAAAGAAAAATAAATCATTATATCAAAAAGACACCTGCATGCATGTGTTTATCACAGCACAATACACAAGAGCAAAATCATGGAATCAACCTAAGTGTCCATCAATGAATAATTGGATGAAGAAAATGTGGTATATATACACCATAGAGTACCACAGAGCCTTAAAAAAAAATCATGTTTTTTGCAGCAACATGGATAGAGCTGTAGGCCATTATTCAAAGTAAGCTAACTCAGTAACAGAAAATCAAATACCACATGTTCTCACTTATAACTGGGAGTTAAACAATGGCTATTCATGGACATAAAAATGGAAATGATAGACCCTTGGGACTCCAAAAAAGGGAGGATGGGCGGGGAGTGAGGGTTAGAAAATTACCTATTGGGTACAATGTTCACCCTTTAGGTGAGGGTACACTAGAAGCCCAAACCTCACCACTGCACAATATATCCATGTAACAAACATGCACATGTATCCCCGAATCTATAAAAATAAAACAAAAATAAAAGCTTCCATTGTAGAACTAAATAAGGCACACAAAAAAACAAGGGGAAGTCCTTGAATTTCAAAGAAAATAGAATCTATGTTTTATTAGTTAGTGTTTTTCTATGTCAATATAAAGTTGTAATGTTTGATTTAAGAAAGTGACTAGAAATGATGAATAATTTCTTTATTAATTGTATCTGGTGCTAAAATCTATCATGATCAAGGGACCTAGAACTGCAAAGAGTAGAACTTTTATCATGACAAAGCTCTGAGGAGTCAATCTAGAAATCTAAACATGTGAAGAAAAACAGAGGCAAACTTTTTTGCTCAAAAGACCAAAAGCTTCACCCTAAAGGCAGAATTTAGTTTTTAAACTTACACATATACTTCCATTACATGAGGCTGATCCTTTTTTTTTTTAATGTTTGAAGGCAACTTATTTTTTCAAAGAATCTTACAATAAATAAAATAGAAATGATCACTCCTCCTCCAGTTGTGTTTGGGTTTTCTTGTAATACTGCAGTTTTTTAAAACAAGGGACAATTGCCTTTCACTTTGAGGCTGCAGTGACAGCTTAGATAATTGCTTTGTTTTATGTTTTTGTGGATATGTGACAGCAGGGTGTTTATGTATCTGCGGCTTCATCTTTTCACGTGTATCTGCTTTGGTCTGTGGCTGTGGCTGGATCTAGATGTTTGTGTCTGTTTGCACATCTGCGCCTGTGAAGGAGTCTTCCTTTTTGCCCATGCATCTGGGTGTGTATCGGTTTGTGCATTTGTGTGTCTCTGCAGATGTGTGTGATGAAATGAGTTTCTGCAATCAGTAGAACCATCCTCTGCCAATACTTAAGTTTAGTGGGATCAATAATAGCTCAAGTACCTGGTCTCCAATGGTATGTTGCTGTTCAGGACCCAGCTGTTATGCAGATGGACTGAATCCTGCGTGCTGGTTGGGGGAGCTGGAGCAGCTGGGCTGGGCTGGCTGCGGGTAGTCATTGATCTCCTCTGAAGAGAGTCCGCTGCAGGGGGTGGCTTCCTGGCACAGGTGCAGGCATGAGGAGGCGGAGGTGGCGGTGGGAGGGGTCTGAAGGTGAACTGGTTGTGTGGGCTGCTCTGCACATCTAAAGAGGAGAGAAGAGAAACATAAAATAGAGACTTACTCTCCCACTTGGCAGTCAGGGAAACCAGCATGACAGACTTACCAGGATTTCAGATAATAAAACCTGTGGGGTGAGGGAGGTTGTTTTAAGTTCAGTCTATCTGTAAAAATGCCACTTAACTTACAAAAGCACGTGCAGCATGCTTATGAAATGTAAAACATTCACAGTTGCATTTACATGTAAATTCTTTAGGGCTATAGCAGCTAAAAAGTAAATGAGGCCGCCTCACACCATTTGTCATAGTTTCTGCTACTGAACAAATAAATCATCAACAAGACACCAAGTTACAGAACAGAAGTGAGCTGATTTCCATCAGTTGCAAAATTCTCACTTCAGAAAATGCTAGTAAAAGGCACAAATTTGTTGCAAGGAAAATCATTCGGCACTTCAAATAAAAATATAAGGCCACCTTCTGGCTTACCTCAGGAAAGGATGTGAGCTTGCCTATACGGGAGCAAATCCATATTTTAGAAAAACAGCTCACGAGTGTGTCGCTTGGCTGTGTGAAACTAATCTCTTTGTCAGCCCCCCAACTAGAGTGCTACTTGTAAAAGGTAGGCTAAAAGAAGTTTGTTCAAGTTGTTATACATATTTCCATGGTCATGCAAAGCACAGTCTGCAACTTTTTTCCTTTGCCACACCTTTCTAGGAGCTCTGCCATGTTAGCGGCAGCTTAGGCAGCAAGGAAACAGATTTTTTTTCTGCTCGTTTGCAGAGGGGCAGCCTGGGACAGCGGTCCTCAGGCTTCTATTGTTGCTATTGCTTGGTATTTTTCCATTGTTTTCCTGGCAGGCACACGTAAAGACAGTGAGTTAGAATTTGGCCCATGAGAAATACCTCAATTAAACCCCTTTAAAAAGAAATCACTATTGTAGCTGATAGCCACCTCTCTTCCACAGGAGAAACATAATAGATGTCAAGTGATTTCTTGTAACACCAGCACGTTCTGGATAAACTTTGTGGACAGCATGGCCTTGTCCCACCTCCCAAATGACTGAGAGTTGAAAAGCAGAAAAACGCCAGAGGCTTTCGATGCCTAGCAAAGGACTCAGCTGGTTTGTGCTGAGGCCCACTTTGCAGTGGCTGATCACAGAAAAAAAAAAAATCACTTCTTTCAATCTTTTTACTTCAAACTTGAATTTTAAAGACATTGGCATGGTTTTTTATTTTTAAAAACGATATTAGCCTCCCAAGAGCATGACAAATTCTTGGCTGTATTTTCTAGCACAGGTGGCTCTCCCTTTAAATAAACTCACTATATGAAAATCTGAATTGTACAAAAGATAGATAGAGAAGGGAGTGGTGATCATTCATTTTATAAAAAGGATTCCTTTAGATGGTCAGCTATCCTTGTATATTTTAAAAGAACTAAAATGTTTCATGAATTTCCTAAGTCACCCCCATTATTCCAGGCCCAGCTCAAATCCCATATTCACTAAAAAAAATCATCACAAATACTTAACATCTCATTAACTTTTTTTAAACCTCTGGGCTCATACTCATAACCGTAACTAGAAGTGTGCTTTCCATTTTGGGGACTCAAAGAAGCATAGAATGTTGAAACCCAAAGGACTTTGGAGATGCTCTCATTTTGCAAATGAGAAAACAAGTCCAGGGACACTTGGCAAGTTAGTGGCATGGCCAGGACTAGAACTCACATCTCTTGACTCTCTGGCTAATGCTCCATTCCCTGTATTGCAGATCTCTGTAATATGAGTTCTCTTTTCCTTCATAAGATTTAGAGACAAAGAATTGTCCACATTTTCTTGATTTTTCACTTAGGTTTATTACGTCTGCTTTTCTCTTTGACCATGACTCCTTAAATGTAGAAAGGAAGGCAGTGTGGTGTAATGGTATGCAACACAGCACAGTGGAAAGAGGAGAGGACTTGGACTGGGATGTATGGCAAATCTGGGTTTAAGTTCTGCCTCTACCCTTTAGAAGCTTTAACCCCTCATTTGTAAAATAAGGATAATAATAATCCCTTTTCCTAACAATTAAATTTAATTCATGTAAAATGTGCTTGAGCATGCATTTTATTGACTATTTCTTTATTGAATGTAATAAAAGTATAAAAGTATAAAACTATAAGGCTGGAAGAAATCATAGGGATCACCTAGTTAAGCTTGCCTCTCTCCACTCGCCATTTTACAGATGAGAAACCCAAGACCCAAAGAGGTGAACTGACTTGCTCAAGGTCATTCAACTTGGATACTTTTTCCTGCCCATGCCAGATGATTTCTTTACTCTTTTTCTGTACGTGTTTTTGTAAATTAAGTGACATTTTAACAGATAGACTGAACTTAAAACTCTCCCCCACCCCCATGGGTTATGTTATCTGAAATCCCAGTACTCTGCCCAGCACTCTTTCCATTATGCTACTTCGGAACATAAACATGACTCTCTTCTATGACTTTAACATTTACTATTTTTGCCATAAATTTGATCCCTGAGTTGGCAATATTATAGCATCCCCATCATATTCTATGTGTTTTGCCTTTTCTCCCAAAATAGACTGCATGTTTCTTAGAATAAGGTTTCCTTCTACTTCTCCTGTATGCTGTATGACATTGAGCAAAGTACTGGGTACAGAGCAAGATCTCTAAAATCTTTTGCTAATAGAAGAGGGTTTGACTGGATCATGGGACCCAGATAATCACCTTCTGTGTTCCCTTTGGCTCTCATTCTGATGTAGCCACTGGCTATCTATTCAATTGACAGAGAAGTAGGTTTTCCCCTTGAAGATCTTAGTGGAATGCCTCCCAGAGCCATGACAAAGGACAATGATACTCTGAAGAAGGTGCTTAAAATGATGCCCCTTCATGATGTGAAAAAAGCACCAGTGACACACTACAGATCTACTGTCTAATGCCACGTGTGGGAGAGCACTTAATGACCCGAGGGAAGGGAGGAAAAGGTGCAAGTCCAAGGTTAGAAGAAAAAGAGGAGTCAATTTGAGGTCTTGTGCTCAGAACCCCTCTAAACAACATGCATGACATTTACTAGCTTAATCAGTAGGGGTTTCTGTCAGCACAGTTGTGCAAGAGAAAGGGTTTCTCTTCAGTACAGTTGTTCAAAAGAAAAAGAATATCTCATTGACATCAGATTTATTGCCTGCTAGATTACCTCACAATCTTTGCAACTCTATTATGAAAAATGATAAAAATTTTACTTCATTGAAAAGTGCAATCATAGTATTATTATTTCTGTTGCAGGTAGAATGGCTTTGTCTAGTCATTTAGATTATCTACGTATAATGCATATCCATATACATATATGGATATTTTGATTTTCATCTATTTTACTGTGTATTTTTATTTCCACATTTCAAATATGTGGAAGTTTCCCTGCTAGTTCATATTGTCTTTAAACGCTTTCACAATATTGGATTGTTGCACTGAGTGGAATACATCCAGACCTTAAGCCTTTATGAAATGCAAATGATCTCAGATTCATTCTTTTTTTCACCTCAGGAAAAAGATGGGGAATGCACTTGTTCCCTCCCAAATGAAGTAATTTAATACTTGGGATCCATGAAATGGGATTTCCCAACATTAAACACTAATGAAAAATACATTAGTGTTCAGTGTCAGAAGCTCTAGAACACCAATTCTAGGGGTTTGCGAGTCACATACACTCACTTCCAAATGTATCTGGCAACCATACACTTCTGTGCCCCAGAGAGAGGAAGGGAGAAGGGGGGAGTGGTGATTATGCAAATGTAGATATCCAGACTTACTTACAAAGCTTTCTGAAAATAAATTAAGTTTTCAAATGGAAAGGTCTAATTCACATAATATACTTGGATAGTAGCCAGTTTCAGGTTTGAGGTCCTAAAATAACTTGGTAAGATAATTTCTCAGGAGCAAAATTCCTCCAAACTGTAGATTTGAGACATTTTAAGTGTGGCAGAGCTACTAATAGAAGTATAAGCCTTCAGAAACAACATTGCCTCTGTCTCCAAAAGGTAAGTGCAAGAAGAAACGTGTCACGCATAGTTTTTTCTTTTTTCCTTTTCTTCTCTTTTTGCCAATACACCTTATTTTGGATAATGTGTTAGAGAAAGCTTTCACAAGAAATTAGAGTATCTCTGCTCAGAAATACTGTGGCAACTTATCAGAGTGTCTATCAGGGTGTTTTGTCCCTTACATTTCATTAACATATACAGTCAGTTCTGCTACAAGACAAAGCATGCATTTCTGCAATTCACTGCACTATGCAAAATCACACCTAACCAAAGGGTTATGGAAAAAATGAAGTTAGGGATGCAACATTCAGAAACATAATCAATGACGCATTAAAAAAAAAGGAACCTAATAAGAATGACAGCATAGTTTGTCATATATTAATGGTTAAGGGATACGCGAATGCCATACCAAATATGACACTTTATCTTGTGAAAGTGGGTGCCAGAAGAGTTGCAAATTGTGAGTTATTGTGAAGTGGTGAAAAGGAAAGTTATCTGATTAGGACGGAAACTTCTAAATACCAGATGTGGATGGGACAGGCTCCTATCCACATGTGGTGAGCTGAAATAGCTGATGGATATTGCAGGTATATACATGTGCCCATTTTGTGTATTCTTACGCAGTTCATTCTGCTGTATGCAGTTTTCTGCATTCATCTAGTGCTTTTAACAGATGGAATTGCGCATATGCAAACGCAAAATTTGTCTTAAGTTCAAACTGTTCTCAAACATCCCAATGGCAAAGGAAAAAATTAACCTTTATAAAACGAGCACTGTAGCAGCACTGGCTGTACATGCAAAATAATTTTCGGTAGGTGTTAAAAATAAATATTGTCAGTATTACAGTAATGCCAAATAGACATTTTTCTTGAAAAATTTGACCAAAGTAGATACATGGCTAGCTTTTCTGAAATCCATGTACTAAATTGATCATTCTTTTCTTTAGTGACACTGTGACAATACCTTCCCTAAATATGTTTTTTCCCAAGGTTACTATGCAGTGTACGTTGTCAAAAGGGGCACATATATTCCTATAGCTCTAGAAAAAGGTCACGGAGAGTCAGAAATCATGTCTGTACTTCCTGGTCTTAGTATGTGTTTCATTATCTCCTTGGCCAAGGGGAAGGGTAGCTCCACAATTCTTTATCTACAACTATGGAATCAAAGAATCTCTGAAAAATGAGTTTGTTTTCCCCTAACTCACTGGGTGGCAAAAGCTGACCTGAAATGCTTTGAGGATATTTATGGTCTTTACTTATTTATCTAATTTCATAAATTTTGGTGGCAAAGCCTGACCTGAAGTGATATGAGGACATTTATAGTCTTCATTTATTTATCTTATTTTGTGAATTTTCATACATTTAGGTAAGAAAGTATTAATGCATTTTATTAAGGGGTGCTGGCCCATACCTCACTCTGGGTGAGTGTATATATAATATACAGTATATGTACAGCAGCACCTTTGTAAAATTTGAAAAATTCTAAATTCTGAAAAAAGTGGACCCCAAAGGTTTTGGATAAGGGATTATGGGCCTGTATTAGTATTTAACCACCTTCCTGAGCTCTTATGAGGCAATATTAATTAATGCCTCTGAAGACCATATAATCTACACGTGCAAAGAACATCAGGGCACCAAGAGTTATTGCCATACTACTTATGTCAGATCTCTCAAGGCCAATTAGAAGTCTTTGGTTCCTGAGGTTGCTTTTCTGAGCTGCCCTCCCCTTCTAGGCAGGAGTAGGGGGTAAAAGGAAACAGGCTTAAAAGAAAGAGAAGATATTTTCTTATTAATATTAACTATTACTACTAACTCAAAATGTATGTTACTACTTAATGGTATTTTACCTGTCACAAAGAGCTTTTGTAACTTGTGAGCAGGTAGTTTTAAGATTTGCATGTTACGGCTAATATCCATTAACTTCATAGTGCTCAATGATCATCAAATTAGACTTAAATGTATCTGGCTGTTCTGTTCTCAACCTCGTAATTATTATTAGAGGCTCAAAAGAATAAAAAGGTAAGAAAACTGGTTTTCAGAAGAAAATAAACAATACAGTTTATCACTTTTCTGGCTCAAATAATACTGCTTTAATATTAATATACCAACATCCTTTATTAAAAGCAGATTTATCAGTTAAATAAACCATTGGATTGAGAATGGAAATAAAGTCCATTCGATAGGTAATGCTTAATAAATACTTATGTATAAATGGGCATGTGCATGAGTGACGCACAGACAACAACAGAAAGAGTCAGAAGGAGAGAGAAATAGAGAGGAGATATCACAACTGAAGCAGATGACTGAAGGAGAACAGTCACAGAGGCTCTGGGGGAAAGCTAACAATAAATTACAATGTTTTCTAGTTTCCATGGGCTCAACCTGGTTCTGGATTACTGCATTCTGCATGGCTTCCACAGCCCTGGATACTATTTACTGTTTTTCGGATTGTCAAGTACATCCCTTTGAGGACTTTGAATGGCCCTCTCACTAAGCCAGCAGGTAAGATATAGTATGCTGTGTTAATTTCTGTCAGTTAGGTTGATCTTTGTTACAATCACTGGAAATGAAGGTCAACAATAAAGCACCTATGATCCTTTGACATGTTTGTGCTGAAATTCATATTTATATTTTAGTCTCTCTATAAGCTGATACTCATCTTTAGAGGGAGTGCTGGTCTACATCCAGAAAGTCCAAATTTTCTACTTTCTAGTTTAATTAATCTCTTTTCCTGTTCTCCAATTTGTTGTGCAAGCATACAAGTTAGTCAAAGATCCACAAAGCAGCCCTCCCCCAGCCCATTTCTTCCTGTCTCTGTTATAGAGGGAAGCCAACTGTGCTGTACACTGTATTGGTTTTACATAGTACAATCAGCCAACCTCAGGCATAATACTCAATATTCCTGCCAATAAGTGTCTGGTTTTTTAACTCAGTCAAACAATCCAGGACTTTACAATCAAGAAAAAAAGATAAGGCTGTGGTAAATGCCATTTTGTTTAAATTATTGTAGTAATTGCTCAAACTACCTAATTTTCTTGGTTGTGAAAATACAAGATGGATATAACTCTGCTAATATTTGTAGAGTAGTTTCGTAATGTTAAAAAAAAGAAAAATGAAGCCAATATATTTGTCATCTTAGAAAATTGTCATTTTTCTAAGTAGAGTGGTAAAGAGCTCTACTTTATGGCACAATTTGGAATTTTAAATGTCAATATTTAAACGTTAGTATACGGTATTAGTTAGCAATTAAAATTAGTGGTTGGCCAAAGCCTTTTCACTATAGCCTTGAAAGAAACTGTTATCTGTTATGTACCATGAAACATGAAATAGATAATTGCCCTGTTTTATCTTATGTTGACAATGATATTGTGGCTTCTGTTATTACCCAGTGAAGTATATCAAAAAGAAAATATAAAAAAGTAATGATCCTTTAAAATTTCATATTTAGTTTATACTCAAACTAAAGTCTTATGTAGGTATTTCAATTATTTTCAATCTTCAAGTTCATTATTTATTTGCAGGTAGGTAATGGAGGGTTATGAATTAATTGACAGTGTATCATTTAATGAATTAGCTAATAAGAGATATCCTGAACATTTATAAAGTTTTCATTTTCAGGGCTTTATTTTTATTACACTGTTATAAATGGTCACCCTGTATTTGTTCAAAAGGCAAAGAATGCAAATCGCTCCAATGTTATTTATAAAGATAGAACGCAATGTTTGAAGCACAAATCAGGAAAACATTACAACTGTGTCTGAAGTTTCAAGAAAAGTATTTTTCAAGCTATCATATGTTAAATAGTGAGGGCACGCTATATTAAGAATAAACAAAAAAAGCAAAAGGCAAAAATTCTAGAGTATAAAAAAGCATAGAGGCTAGGGAAGCCTCGGAAAGGTTTCACCCTTGTCCAAATTTTTCAAATAAAGGCTGAAGAAAATGTTCTCGTAACCACCGTTGTCTGGTTATTTGGCAAGAAAGATCCCCTGTACTCCATAGTTCCTCTCCACCAGCACAACTTTAAGAACAAAGGGCACTCATGGACACCTAATGGAGTGATGGAGAGGAACCCTGGCATCTATAATTGGGAGCTAAACAAGTACATAGCCCTCATCTGGGACAATGGGAAGAGATGTCACTATTATAGCAGTATTCACAAGAGCCAGAGGATTCTCAAATTTCACTCATGTTTTGGCCCTTTGCTCCAGTTCAGCAATGCTCAGATATAGGATCAAAACATGCCAATGTTTTGCGGTCACCTGTTGCTATAATAGAGGGCTGAAATTCACAAATGATTTATTTTTAAAAAGTATAGATGAGTGGACTCAGGGTGATGCCTCTAATAGTGCCACTCTCACTGAGTTGCATTTGGATGTGCTTTCTTGGATGGGAGAGAAAGGGGTTGGGGTTATAGCTAGTGATAGGAATTGGGTACAACTCTGATCTTATAAGCAATTGTAATAAGTGATTTTCATATCCATATGCTTGTAAAGTGATTCTACTCATACCATGGGAGGGACGAAGACTTGCTTATCTTTCCCCTCTGAACGACAACAACAAAAAGGAAATAGGAAGCATTAAAAAAAGGAGTCCTGGTATTCTCATATGAGTAACATGTACATGTTATTCAAATATGTCGGGGCCAAAACATTTTTTTTTCAGAATTATGATCTTAATGATTGCTGGTAGAACACTACTGGCTGCCACCAATCTTTCTGTCTGACATCTAATGGGCTAGTGAGGGAGCCTCCTAAGAAGTATGAGCAGGAAAGTAACAATTCTGTAGGAAGGACAGAGAAAGTTTTATTTCCCCTCTTGCATTCAAGCTATGCATATACTTGTCTTGTATCAGGATGTGAGTCTGAATCATCTTTATATCTCCCACATACAACCCATAATTTTATTCAAGTTTATTATTTTGTTTATTTACAAATTTAATTAATTTGAGTGAATTCAAAAATTTAAAGTTTGAATTCAATCAAGTTTTATTTTATAAAAAAGTTATAGCAACCATGGTGGGTGAGAGTGTTTTATGATGCCAAATAACTTATTTGATTGAATTATTCACATTCCTAACAGCTGTTTTGGCATTGTGTGGGCACAGCCTGTATCTGAAAAGTTTTCTGCTTGAAATGTTCATTGATTGATTCATTATTACAAATTTTCATCTTCTTGTTTTTCAACATGGCATTTTAGTGAAATGTTAAATAGAGCTATTTTTTGGGAGATATGCCAAAATTACAACCTATTACTAAGCCTATCTTATAAACTTTGCTTATGCTAAGCTATGCATATTTAAGTCATTTTATTTTTCCTTCAAAGTCTGATTCATTCTCTCAATTACATTACTGCTTATCTCCCCGGACTCACTCCAATTTAACTAGGTCTTTATGGTTCCCCAAACAAAATGCAACATTCTGGATGAACATCACCCAGAATACAAAAAAGTTATCTGATAAATTCTTTTGTAATGATGTCTTTTCACATGTAGCCTCAAACTATGTGTAGATTGCACTTGAGACTTCATTAACTAGAATATGGCTAATGAAGTTGTGAGAAGGCAGCTCAATTAGGAAATATACTGATCTATTGATATAGATGTGTCTGCTAGTGGATCAAGTGAAATGTCTATCAAGCAAATTAGGCCAGGGGTAGTGGCTCAGGCCTGTAATCCCAGCACTTTAAGAGGCTGAGGCAGGTGGATCACCTGAGGTCAGGAGTTCAAGACCAGCCTGCCAACATAGTGAAACCAAACTACTAAATTATGAAATTTATTAATTTTGTACAAAAAAATACAAAATTAGCTGGACATAGTGGCACGTTCCTGTAGTCCTAGCTACTCGGGAGGCTGAGGCAGGAGAATCGCTTGAACCTAGGAGGCAGAGGTTGCAGACAGCTGAGATCACACCACTGCACTCCAGCCTGGGCGACACAGCAAGACTATTTCAATAAATAAATAAATAAATAAATAAATAAATAAAATTAAAAAAAATAAAAACGCAAATTAGTGGAATCTGCTCATATGATATTAGAATGAATTGAACAACAGTGAATGCAGGTACTCCCCTCCAGCGAAATGAACATAATGTATAGATGCCTTCAGAAAATGAAAAAAATTAGCTCATCTCAAGGGGAAGAGAGTCAGCTTGCATAAACAGAAGAAAAAAATGAGAACACATGTTAATGAAGCTGTGAATATGAGACTGCAGTAGTAAATATAGATGGAAATCCTAGAAATTAAGAAATGATTTCATAGGTAGTGATTGATAAATATGTCCTTTAAGCAAGTATTGGGTTGGTGCAAAAGTAATTGCGGTTTTGCCATGGAAAGTGATGGCAAAAACCTCAATTACTTTTGCACCAACCTATCTCTTAAGCAATTTAGTTCTTCGTTAAGCTCATTCAAGTAAGTTTTTCAAAAGGTACTCATGTACCTTGTGAAAATACATATGTATGATAGGTGAGATGCTGAGAGGGACAGTAGATTAAACATACATTACTTATGTGAAACAGTTTCTCAGAGAGACTTCTTGTAGTGCCTGAAGTCAGTGAATGAATGCACAGACGCTCCTTTCTGTGTATTAACACTGGAGGTCTGGACCAGAGCAGACCACAGAGTGTGATCTGGGTTCCTGGATGGGAATGATGACAACCTGGATTTGATTCAAGTTTGCTTTTACTTTTCTTGACTCCCAAATAGCAAACACGTACCACAAAGGATAGAAATGAAATTAAAATGCAAGCATGTATACATGGTTCCCTTTTGCTTCCCCTGTACTTCATGGAGACAAGCCCTCATTTTCTGGTTTTGGTAGCCCACACAGAGTGAGCTGTCTCCCCCTCAGGGTAAAAGAACATACTACTATGGAATTGCTCTGTTTTATGCTCCTGGTCTCATCAGCATTTGGAAACTGCTTATGTAAAGCATAATTCCATTACTCAGGAAGCCATTGTCACTTAGGCTTACTGACCAGCTACCTGATCTTCAAATTCTTGCCCTGGCAGCACTAGGGCAATTTCCTCTTTTCCATACTTACAGTACAGGACTTAGATGTTTCCCATTCTGGGTAGTTTTGAACATTGTGTATCATAGGGCTTTCTAGTGATAAACATACAAAATGGGTTGCATGTCAAGGTATACAGATATATATATAGAGAGAGAGATTATATATATATATATTTAAATTTTATTGTTATGTGTACAGAATAAAAGGTCAAGTGCTGTCTACTACTGAACTATACTCTTCTTTAAAGTAGGGCTTATCCTACTTATAACTTACAAAATAAATGATGAGGAAGCCAAAGAAAAGGAGAAATTAACCTAAACGTTTAGGGAACACCTTATATTTAGTAGTAGAAGACAAAGAGGAGAGTGTCTTAGTTTCATTTGTTTGTTTTCAATAAGGTGAATCAAGTGTAGAGTACTTTCTCTGCTACTAATTTACTTACTTAGAGATATCATCTGTATATAACTTGTTTAAATTAGTAAGTACATCATAACATTTTCGAATGACACAATGGTTAAGTTACAGATATTAGAATCAGACCTATGTCGGTTTAAATCACAGCTCTGTCATTTACTATCAGTTTGCTATAAACCTTTTCAAGCCTTTGTTTCTTCATCTGTAAAATAAGGATAGTAATAAGCATCTCAATGTTTTTTGTAAGAAATAAATGAGGTAATGTGTACAAAACACTTAGCAGAGTGCTTGGCACATAGTAAGCACTAAATAATATTATTAAATGAATGATCAATTATTGAGCTCAATGAAATCTATAAAATCAGGTGCCATCTAGTAAGTAGCCTAAGAGGATAATCTACTTGACTCCAAGACACTTGATTACTTAAAACTTCTGCATTATAGTTGATTTTTTTTCACAATTTTCAGTTTTCTTATTTTCTTCTAAAAGTTCTAAGAAGCTATTATTGAAGTCATGAGTCAATATAAGAACAGTTGACACCTTTCTTTTCCTCTTCCTCCAAGCCACACCAAACACTCTCTATTGATCAGCTTCTTTATTATGCTGCAAGTTTCTTTCACTTCAGATAATAGTCTCTATTTCATGATTTTTAGTTAAGTACTCTGACTGTGTTCACTTGCATTTTCCTCTATACTAAAATGATCTGGGGGTATACATGCATTTCTAAAGTATCCATTGCAATAACACCTTGAGACTCAGACATTAGAGCAAAGGATGTGAAGAAGAGCCATTTCCATGAATACAACATTAGTGCTTTGTATTTATGAAGCACCTTTCATCTGCATCTTTCAAAGACTTTCACAAATATTATCTGATGCTTTATTCACTGGGCCAAGCTGCAAGCAAAACTGGCTTTCAAATAATTCC
Source organism: Homo sapiens (assembly GCF_000001405.40). Classification (NCBI taxonomy): domain Eukaryota; kingdom Metazoa; phylum Chordata; class Mammalia; order Primates; family Hominidae; genus Homo; species Homo sapiens. Next base: position 124,749,552 of record NC_000023.11, read on the forward strand.
CTCACAGTACGTCAAACCCCATGAGGGAAGGAGTTGTGGATAACCGTTTGAAGTGTCAGGAATGCTCAGAAACATTTTTAAATAGTATATACAAAAATACCACCTAACAAACGATGACGACTATTTAGAAATGTGGCGCTTTGTAGGTATACCGCTCATAGCAAATAAACAGGAACTTTATCATATTGGCATTAAGACCAACATCCACATTATAAATGAAAGCTATCTGCTCAATTTTGTAACTGTGTATCAACCTAATTTGGGACATACGACTTGCCTCATAGTGTATCCAAATATATTCATTAAAGCATTGCATATTAATTATAGTATATGTAAACAGCATGGGTACCAGACCAGGATTGTATGTCAAATACTTAGCATAGTGCCTGGTACATGTGACACATTCAGTTAATGTTAGTTACTAATATAATTATTATTGTAATTATTTCCAGTATGAATTTAGATTATGAAACCAATTTTCTTTCAAAGAATTCAGTGATGACTTACATATATTCACATTTGTTGCTGTTGCTGCTACTGCTACAACTATTACTTCTTTTCCTTATGCCTGTTAGGATATATACTTGCAAAGTAGGAAGAAAAGAAAAACATGTCCCCTTCCTCTGTTGGAACAGTAGACCAAGATGGGGAGAGGTAAGGCTACACAGATGTTAAGGCCTCTTCCCACCTTCCAACTGAAACCATTTACACAGAGTCTTGTTGTCATGAAGACTATGGCTGTGGGTATTCCATTAAAACGAGTGGCTAATCATTTCTGGGGGGAAGACAGAATCAAATTAGAGACTTTTTATAACCCAAATGAAATAAGTGACCTACAAAGTTTTAGTAAATTTTATTGGTGCCATGAAAAAAATAACATGAATTTAGACACACTGACTGTGGAGATATCACAAGTTTCATTTACTTCTTTTTAGTGTTTTTATTTTTGGCCCTCTAGTCTCTCTTATTTTACATTCTTGTTCACATAACTGGTATGCTGTGAAAATGGACTGTTTGAAAAAAAGAGTCATTATTGTTAAGAATGTGTAATTTTTAAAGTTTTCTGAGGCTATAAATAACTTCCACAGCCTTGAAGAAAACACAGTGTTTCAACATTCATATGCTGTGCCCATTTTAGAGATGGAGAATATGAGTCTGAGAGATGTGGAGAACTTAGTGCAAGGCCTTGGGTACCATAGTATTGCACTGATTCCATTTGTTGCCACTCAGCCATCTCTCCTGGCCTTCAAAACAAACAACACCAACTGTGCTTATACCAATCTTGTCATTCCTCTTTATTGCAAACAATTAATATAAAATGCTGAGTCTGAACAGCTATGTAATAACTTATAATGAAATCTATGTAGTGGGTTATTTTATTTGTAAGTCCGATTCAATATGCTCAAGCACACATCATTAAATGTTTCCTTTTAATTTTGAGTAGCAAATATCTTCATTTCAGTAGCACCTACATAATTTATGTAATCTATAGTAACAGTTGTTAGCTTATTTGGTGTGTCATTTTATCCCAAGTTGATGCTGAAAATATCAGAAGAGGCTGCTTGATGGGCTTGCTTTAAAAAGACAACTGAGCAATTTATGTATGCTGTTTTTCTTCCTGCACATTAAAGTTTAACCACATTTACAAATGAAATATTATGTACCTAAAAAAAATTCTTATTTAATACAATAACTGGCATTCATGATGACCATCTCTCTACTATGGGAAATACCAAATTGGCTTCAAGTAAATGTTATTACAATAAAAAGAATTATCTTAAACTATGAGTCACATGTAGGGATTTTCCTTCTCTAAATACATGTTAGATTACAACAATAGATAATTATGAGGATAGTTTAGGGTTATGGTAATTCAACTAGAAACTCTAGAAATAGTATCACTACATATGTCACTCAGTATAATAGTTCTTTTTTCATTTTATTTTATTATTATTATACTTTAAGTTTTAGGGTACATGTGCACAATGTGCAGGTTAGTTACATATGTATATATGTGCCATGCTGGTGCGCTGCACCCACTAACTCGTCATTTAGCATTAGGTTTATCTCCTAATGCTATCCCTCCCCCCTCCCCCCACCCCACAACAGTTCCCAGAGTGTGATGTTCCCCTTCCTGTGTCCATGTGTTCTCATTGTTCAATTCCCACCTATGAGTGAGAACATGCGGTGTTTGGTTTTTTGTCCTTGCGATAGTTTACTGAGAATGATGATTTCCAATTTCATCCATGTCCCTACAAAGGACATGAACTCATCATTTTTTATGGCTGCATAGTATTCCACGGTGAATATGTGCCACATTTACTTAATCCAGTCTATCATTGTTGGACATTTGGGTTGGTTCCAAGTCTTTGCTATTGTTAATAGTGCCGCAATAAACATACGTGTGCATGTGTCTTTATAGCGGCATGATTTATAGTCCTTTGGGTATATACCCAGTAATGGGATGGCTGGGTCAAATGGTATTTCCAGTTCTAGATCCCTGAGGAATCGCCACACTGACTTCCACAATGGTTGAACTAGTTTACAGTCCCACCAACAGTGTAAAAGTGTTCCTATTTCTCCACATCCTCTCCAACACCTGTTGTTTCCTGACTTTTTAGTGATTGCCATTCTAACTGGTGTGAGATGGTATCTCATTGTGGTTTTGATTTGCATTTCTCTGATAGCCAGTGATGGTGAGCATTTTTTCATGTGTCTTTTGGCTGCATAAATGTCTTCTTTTGAGAAGTGTCTGTTCATGTCCTTCGCCCACTTTTTGATGGGGCTGTTTGTTTTTTTCTTGTAAATTTGTTTGAGTACATTGTAGATTCTGTGTATTAGCCCTTTGTCAGATGAGTAGGTTGTGAAAATTTTCTCCCATTTTGTAGGTTGCCTGTTCACTCTGCTGGTAGTTTCTTTTGCTGTGCAGAAGCTCTTTAGTTTAATGAGATCCCATTTGTCAATTTTGGCTTTCGTTGCCATTGCTTTTGGTGTTTTAGACATGAAGTCCTTGCTCATGCCTATGTCCTGAATGGTAATGCCTAGATTTTCTTCTAGGGTTTTTATGGTTTTAGGTCTAACGTTTAAGTCTTTAATCCACCTTGAATTAATTTTTGTATAATATGTAAGGAAGGGATCCAGTTTCAGCTTTCTACATATGGCTAGCCAGTTTTCCCAGCACCATTTATTAAATAGGGAATCCTTTCCCCATTGCTTGTTTTTCTCAGGTTTGTCAAAGATCAGATAGTTGTAGATATGCAGCATTATTTCTGAGGGCTCTGTTCTGTTCCATTGGTCTATATCTCTGTTTTGGTACCAGTACCATGCTGTTTTGGTTACTGTAGCCTTGTAGTATAGTTTGAAGTCAGGTAGCATGATGCCTCCAGCTTTGTTCTTTTGGCTTAGGATTGACTTGGCGATGCGGGCTCTTTTTTGGTTCCATATGAACGTTAGTTTTTTCCAATTGTGTGAAGAAAGTCATTGGTAGCTTGATGGGGATGGCATTGAATCTATAAATTACCTTGGGCAGTATGGCCATTTTCACGATATTGATTCTTCCTACCCATGAGCATGGAATGTTCTTCCATTTCTTTGTATCCTCTTTTATTTCATTGAGCAGTGGTTTGTAGTTCTCCTTGAAGAGGTCCTTCACGTCCCTTGTAATTTGGATTCCTAGGTATTTTATTCTTTTTGAAGCAGTTGTGAATGGGAGTTCACTCATGATTTGGCTCTCTGTTTGTCTGTTACTGGTGTATAAGAATGCTTGTGATTTTTGTACATTGATTTTGTATCCTGAGACTTTGCTGAAGTTGCTTATCAGCTTAAGGAGATTTTGGGCTGAGACAATGGGGTTTTCTAGATATACAATCATGTCATCTGCAAACAGGGACAATTTGACTTCCTCTTTTCCTAATTGAATACCCTTTATTTCCTTCTCCTGCCTAATTGCCCTGGCCAGAACTTCCAACACTATGTTGAATAGGAGTGGTGAGAGAGGGCATCCCTGTCTTGTGCCAGTTTTCAAAGGGAATGCTTCCAGTTTTTGCCCATTCAGTATGATATTGGCTGTGGGTTTGTCATAGATAGCTCTTATTATTTTGAGATACGTCCCATTAATACCTAATTTATTGAGAATTTTTAGCATGAAGGGTTGTTGAATTTTGTCAAACGCCTTTTCTGCATTTATTGAGATAATCATGTGATTTTTGTCTTTGGTTCTGTTTATATGCTGGATTACATTTATTGATTTGCGTCTATCGAACCAGCCTTGCATCCCAGGGATGAAGCCCACTTGATCATGGTGGATAAGCTTTTTGATGTGCTGCTGGATTCAATTTGCCAGTATTTTATTGAGGATTTTTGCATCAATATTCATCAAGGATATTGGTCTAAAATTCTCTTTTTTGGTTGTGTCTCTGCCAGGCTTTGGTATCAGGATGATACTGGCCTCATAAATGAGTTAGGGAGGATTCCCTCTTTTTCTATTGATTGGAATAGTTTCAGAAGGAATGGTACCAGTTCCTCCTTGTACCTCTGGTAGAATTCGGCTGTGAATCCATCTGGTCCTGGACTCTTTTCGTTGGTAAGCTATTGATTATTGCCACAATTTCAGAGCCTGTTATTGGTCTATTCAGAGATTCAACTTCTTCCTGGTTTAGTCTTGGGAGGGTGTATGTGTCGAGGAATTTATCCATTTCTTCTAGATTTTCTAGTTTATTTGCGTAGAGGTGTTTGTAGTATTCTCTGATGGTAGTTTGTATTTCTGTGGGATTGGTGGTGACATCCCCTTTACCATTTTTTATTGCGTCTATTTGATTCTTCTCTCTTTTCTTCTTTATTAGTCTTGCTAGCGGTCTATCAATTTTGTTGATCCTATCAAAACACCAGCTCCTGGATTCATTAACTTTTTGAAGGGTTTTTTGTGTCTCTATTTCCTTCAGTTCTGCTCTGATTTTAGTTATTTCTTGCCTTCTGCTAGCTTTTGAATGTGTTTGCTCTTGCTTTTCTAGTTCTTTTAATTGTGATGTTAGGGTGTCAGTTTTTGATCTTTTCTGCTTTCTCTTGTGGGCATTTAGTGCTATAAATTTCCGTCTACACACTGCTTTGAATGTGTCCCAGAGATTCTGGTATGTTGTGTCTTTGTTCTCGTTGGTTTCAAAGAACATCTTTATTTCTGCCTTCATTTCGTTATGTACCCAGTAGTCATTCAGGAGCAGGTTGTTCAGTTTCCATGTAGTTGAGCGGTTTTGAGTGAGTTTCTTAATCCTGAGTTCTAGTTTGATTGCATTGTGGTCTGAGAAACAGTTTGTTATAGTTTCTGTTCTTTTACATTTGCTGAGGAGAGCTTTACTTCCAACTATGTGGTCAATTTTGGAATAGGTGTGGTGTGGTGCTGAACAAAATGTATATTCTGTTGATTTGGGGTGGAGAGTTCTGTAGATGTCTATTAGGTCCGCTTGGTGCAGAGCTGAGTTCAATTCCTGGGTATCCTTGTTAACTTTCTGTCTCGTTGATCTGTCTAATGTTGACAGTGGGGTGTTAAAGTCTCCCATTATTATTGTGTGGGAGTCTAAGTCTCTGTGTAGGTCACTCAGGACTTGCTTTATGAATCTGGGTGCTCCTGTATTGGGTGCATATATATTTAGGATAGTCAGCCCTTCTTGTTGAATTGATCCCTTTACCATTATGTAATGGCCTTCTTTGTCTCTTTTGATCTTTGTTGGTTTAAAGTCTGTTTTATCAGAGACTAGGATGGCAATCCCGGCCTTTTTTTGTTTTCCATTTGCTTGGTAGATCTTCCTCCATCCTTTTATTTTCAGGCTATGTGTGTCTCTGCCTGTGAGATGGGTTTCCTGAATACAGCACACTGATGGGTCTTGACTCTTTATCCAATTTGCCAGTCTGTGTCTTTTAGTTGGAGCATTTAGTCCATTTACATTTAAAGTTAATATTGTTATGTGTGAATTTGATCCTGTCATTATGATGTTAGCTGGTGATTTTGCTCGTTAGTTGATGCAGTTTCTTCCTAGCCTCGATGGTCTTTACAATTTGGCATGATTTTGCAGTGGCTGGTACTGGTTGTTCCTTTCCACGTTTAGTGCTTCCTTCAGGAGCTCTTTTAGGGCAGGCCTGGTGGTGACAAAATCTCTCAGCATTTGCTTGTCTGTAAAGTATTTTATTTCTCCTTCACTTATGAAGCTTAGTTTGGCTGGATATGAAATTCTGGGTTGAAAATTCTTTTCTTTAAGAATGTTGAATATTGGCTCCCGCTCTCTTCTGGCTTGTAGAGTTTCTGCCGAGAGATCTGCTGTTAGTCTGATGGGCTTCCCTTTGTGGGTAACCCGACCTTTCTCTCTGGCTGCCCTTAACATTTTTTCCTTCATTTCAACTTTGGTGAATCTGACGATTATGTGTCTTGGAGTTGCTCTTCTCGAGGAGTATCTTTGTGCCATTCTCTGTATTTCCTGAATCTGAATGTTGGCCTGCCTTGCTAGATTTGGGAAGTTCTCCTGGATAATATCCTGCAGAGCATTTTCCAACTTGGTTCCATTCTCCCCGTCACTTTCAGGTACACCAATCAGACGTAGATTTGGTCTTTTCACATAGTCCCATATTTCTTGGAGGCTTTGTTCGTTTCTTTTTATTTTTTTTTTCTCTAAACTTCCCTTCTCGCTTCATTTCATTCATTTCATCTTCCATCACTGATACCCTTTATTCCAGTTGATCGCATCGGCTCCTGAGGCTTCTGCATTCTTCACGTAGTTCTCGAGCCTTGGCTTTCAGCTCCATCAGCTCCTTTAAGCACTTCTCTGTATTGGTTATTCTAGTTATACATTCGTCTAAATTTTTTTCAAAGTTTTTAACTTCTTTGCCTTTGGTTTGAATTTCCTCCTGTAGCTCGGAGTAGTTTGATCGTCTGAAGCCTTCTTCTCTCAACTCGTCAAAGTCATTCTCCATCCAGCTTTGTTCCGTTGCTGGTGAGGAACTGCGTTCCTTTGGAGGAGGAGAGGCGCTCTGCTTTTTAGAGTTTCCAGTTTTTCTGTTCTGTTTTTACCCCATCTTTGTGGTTTTATCTACTTTTGGTCTTTGATGATGGTGATGTACAGATGGGTTTTTGGTGTGGATGTCCTTTCTGTTTGTTAGTTTTCCTTCTAACAGACAGGACCCTCAGCTGCAGGTCTGTTGGAGTTTGCTAGAGGTCCACTCCAGACCCTGTTTGCCTGGGTACCAGCAGCAGTGGCTGCAGAACAGTGGATTTACGTGAACCGCGAATGCTGCTGTCTGAAGGTTCCTCTGGAAGTTTTGTCTCAGAGGAGTACCCGGCCGTGTGAGGTGTCAGTGTGCCCCTACTGGGGGGTGCCTCCCAGTTAGGCTGCTCGGGGGTCAGGGGTCAGGGACCCACTTGAGGAGGCAGTCTGCCCGTTCTCAGATCTCCAGCTGCGTGCTGGGAGAACCACTGGTCTCTTCAAAGCTGTCAGACAGGGACATTTAAGTCTGCAGAGGTTACTGCTGTCTTTTTGTTTGTCTGTGTCCTGCCCCCAGAGGTGGAGCCTACAGAGGCAGGCAGGCCTCCTTGAGCTGTGGTTGGCTCCACCCAGTTCGAGCTTCCGGCCTGCTTTGTTTACCTAAGCAAGCCTGGGCAATGGCAGGCGCCCCTCCCCCAGCCTCGCTGCCACCTTGCAGTTTGATCTCAGACTGCTGTGCTAGCAATCAGCGAGACTCCGTGGGCGTAGGACCCTCCAAGCCAGGTGCGGGATATAATCTCCTGGTGCGCCGTTTTTTAAGCCCATCAGAAAAGCGCAGTATTGGGGTGGAAGTGACCCGATTTTCCAGGTGCCGTCTATCACCCCTTTCTTTGACTAGGAAAGGGAACTCCCTGACCCCTTGCGCTTCCCGAGTGAGGCAATGCCTCGCCGTGCTTCGGCTCGCACACGGTGCACTGCACCCACTGTCCTGCACCCACTGTCTGGCATTCCCCAGTGAGATGAACCCGGTACCTCTGATGGAAATGCAGAAATCAGCCGTCTTCTGCGTCGCTCACGCTGGGAGCTGTAGACTGGAGATGTTCCTATTCGGCCATCTTTGTCACTCAGTATAATAGTTCTAATGGTTGGCTGTATTAAATAAATACATAGTGTAGCACTTCATAGGTATGCCAAAATCTAGTCTTAAAATTCGAGGGATACTAGAGAGCTGTCTTGTTAAAAAATGTGAATTGAATGTTATTTTATATTTTATGGATTTGGGGAACTTCTTACACGTAAATTATTGTATTCTTCATAATGTAACATACTAATACACTCAATTTGTATAACATCTCCATTTGAAAGAACTGAAAATGTAAGACAAACAAACAAAAGCATTCGAATTCCCTAAACATTTTAACAGAAGTTTGTTTATACGGGAGTATAATGAGTAGAAGTATCTGAACAACAGAATTTTTTTGAAAAAGGGCTTTAAAAATGATTGTTCATTTTGTGCAGCAAAGGAAACAATCAAAAGAGTGAAAAGACAACCTATGAAATGGGAGAAAATATTTGCAAACCATACAGCTGAGAAGAGATTAACATCCAGAATAGAAAAGGAACTCATACAATTCAATAGCAGAAAAAACAAAACAAAACAAAACAAAACAAACAGAAAAACTAAACAACTTGATTAAAAAATGGGCAAAGGACTTGAATAGATATCTTTCTAAAGAAGACATGCAAATGGACAGAAGGTATATGAAAAGATACTCAATGTCACTAATCATCAGCGTAATGCAAATCAAAACCACCAGGAGATATTATCTTATACCCATTAGGATGGCCAGTATAAAGAAAAATGGAAAATAAAGTGTTGGTGAGGATGTGGAGAAATTGGAATCTTTGTGCACTGTCGGTGGGAATGTAAAAAGGTGCAGCTTCTATGGAAAAAAGTATGAAGGTTTTTGAAAAAATTAAAAATAGAATTACCATTTGATCCAGCAACCCTATTAAAGAGAATATATCCAAAAGAGTGGAAAACAGGATCTTAAAGAGCTATTTGCATTCTCACGTCCATTGTATTACTCAGGACAGCCAAGAGGTGGAAGAAATCTAAACGTCCATCAAGGGAGGAACGGATAAAGAAGGTGTGGCATATACATATGATTGAATATTATTCAGCCTTAAAAAAGGAGATCCTGTCATTTGCACAAAATGATGAATCTGGAAGACATTATGCTAAGTGGATAAGTCAGACACAGAAGGACAAATACTACATAATACCACTTATATGAGGAATCTAAATCTAAAATAGTCAAACTCTTAGAAAGTACTAATAGTGATTTCCAGGAGTTGAGAGGAGGGGGAAGAGGGAAGTTGTTTAATGGGTATAAATTTTTGATTTTGCAAGATGAAAAGGTTCCAGATATTTGCTATACAAAAATGTACACATAGTTAACACTACTGTACCATACACTTAAAATTGGAGATGGTATATTAAAATTAAGATGGTATATTTTATGTGTTTTTATCAAAATAAAAAGTCATGCCATTTCTTCATTGAATGGAATATTTATCTATAAATAATTGAATAAATAATTCAATCTTTTATTTTACTTAAATCACATGGCGATAGTGTGATTCTGTGGGTCAGCAATATCACAGTGGACAAATGAAAGCGTTATGAATAGGGCAGACAAGTTATAATGGATAATTACATGGTCATCAACACAGATTTTGCTGGTAACCCAAGAATTGTAGTGTTCTTAATAACGTATGTTTTAATAGATAGAAATAGTTTTTTAAAAAAAAAATTATTTCCATAAGCTTTTGGGGAACGGGTGGTATTTGGTTACATAAGTTCTTTAGTGTTGATTTGTGAGATTTTGGTGCACCCATCACTCAAGTAGTATACACTGAACCCAATTTGTAGTCTTTCATCCCTCACCCCCTCCTGCTCTTTTTCCTGAGTCCCCAAAGTCCACTGTATCATTCTTATGTCTTTGCATCCTCATAGATTAGCTCCCAGTTATGAGTGAGAATATACGATGTTTGGTTTTCCATTCCTGAGATACTTCACTTAGAATAATAGTCTCCAGTTCCATTTTAATGCACTGAATTGTGTACATATATATCATACAGCCTATTCCTTAATGTAAATAATCAGTTGTATTTGGAAAATTTGGGCTGTGTCAAGTAATGATAAAAGTAAAAGATATGTGCTTGCTAGCCAACAAAACCTGGAGATATACATCCATATTTCTAAATAAATAAAATAATAAATAGCCGATTATCTTGGTTTAGGTTGCCATAACAATACGCCATTGACTGGGTGGCTAAAACAATAGAAACTTATTTTCTCACAGCTCAGAGACTAGAAGTTCAAAGTACCAGTGATAGAGACAGGTGACAGTCAAGAGTCCCCGGCAAAACCCTGCTTTCAAGCCTATAATAGCCTGAAGGCTGAAAAACCAGACTGCTGGTCCCGGATGAAGCCCACCCTTTCACGACTAATTGTCTCTGAATACAGCCCACCTGTGCACTGGGAGGAAGGGGTGGAGCCTCAGGAAGTTCTCCCCATTTGCAGTGGGGAGGAGCCCAACCTCTCCTGTTCCTGTGTGGTGACCTGGGATTCAATCTGTGAAGTGGAGGGCCTGTTAGCATCTCACTTTGCTGAGTTTTTTTTCCTTTTTGCCCAGTAAATTCCACTCCTCACCCTTCTATGTGTCCGCAAGCCTCATCTTTCCTGGTCGTGTGACAAGAACCTGATTTTAGCTGAACTAAAGAGAATGTTCTGCAACACCAGTATGGTTGGTTTCCGGTGACGGCTCTATTCCTAGCTTGAAGATAGCTGCTTTAAGAGAGCTGCTTCCTCTTTTCCTAATTGAATCCCCTTTATTTCTTTCTTTTGCATGATTGCCCTGGTGAGAACTTCCAACACTATGTTGAATAGGAGTGGTGCGAGAGGGCATCCCCGTCTTGTGCCAGTTTTCAAAGGGAATTACACTTTATACAAAAATTAATTCAAGATGGATTAAAGACTTAAATGTTAGACCTAAAACCAAAGAAAACCCTAGAAGAAAACCTAGGCAATACCATTCAGGACATAGGCATGGGCAAGGACTTCATGACTAAAACACAAAAAGCAATGGCAACAAAAGCCAAAATAGACAAATGGGATCTAATTAAACCAAAGAGCATCTGCACAGCAAAAGAAACTACCATCAGAGTGAACAGGCAACCTACAGAATAGGAGAAAATTTTTGCAATCTACACATCTGACAGAGGGCTAATATCCAGAATCTACAGAGAACTTAAACAAATTTACAAGAAAAAAATCAAACAACCCCATCAAAAAGTGCGCAAAGGATATGAACAGACACTTCAAAAGAAGACATTAATGCAGCCAATAGACACATGAAAAAATGCTCGTCATCACTGGTCATCGGAGAAATGCAACTCAAAACCACAATGAGATACCATTTCACACCAGTTAGAATGGCGATCATTAAAAAGTCAGGAAACAACAGGTGCTGGAGAGGATGTGGAGAAATAGGAATGCTTTTTCACTGTTGGTGGGAGGGTAAACTAGTTCAACCATTGTGGAAAACTGTGGCGATTCCTCAAGGATCTAGAATTGGAAATACCATTTGACCCAGCCATCCCATTACTGGGTATATACCCAAAGGATTACAAATCATGCTATTATAAAGACACATGCACACGTATGTTCACGGCGGCACTATTCACAATAGCAAAGACTTGGAGCCAACCCAAATGTCCATCAATGATAGACTGGATTAAGAAAATGTGGCACATATACACCATGGAATATTATGTGGCCATAAAAAAGGATGAGTTCATGTCCTTTGTAGGGACATGGATGAAGCTGGAAACCATCATTCTCAGCAAACTATCTCAAGGGCAGAAAATCAAACACTGCATGTTCTCACTCATAGGTGGGAATTGAACGACGAGAACAATTGGACACAGAGCGGGGAACATCACACACTGGGGCCTGTTGTGGGGTGGGGGGAGGGGGGAGGGATAGCATTAGGAGAAATACCTAATGTAAATGACGAGTTAATGCGTGCAGCAAACCAACATGGCACATGTATACATATGTAACAAACCTGCATGTTGTGCACACGTACCCTAGAACTTAAAGTATAAATAAAAAAATAAAAAAACATGAATGGGATCATACTATTTCCATTGTTTTGTAGCATGTTTTTCTAAGAAATGCATTTGGAGATCTTTCCACGTATGTACATACAAATAGACCTTAATTTAAAAAATAATGCTTCCATAGTATTCTATAATATAAATGGATTATAATTTTAAACAACTTTTTGTGGGTATTCTGATTACAAGTGAAGTGGAGCATCTTAAAAACAGTTTGTTAGCCATTTAAATTTTATTTTTTCATTTTTAAAACTGAATCGCCTCTTTATAACTTCTGTCCATTTTAATGTACATTGGATGTTTGGTCTTTTACAATTGATTTGAAATTATTACATAAAGCCCAATATCAATCCTTTTGTGTTAAATACATTGCAAATATTTTCTTCCATGAAAAATAAAAAGATAGCTGCTTCCTCGTTGTGTTCTCACATGGTGGGGAGAAAGTATGTCTCTTCTTAGAAGGGCACTAATCCCATCATGTGGGCCCTATCTTCATGGAATGATCTAAACCTAATCATCCCCCAAAGGCCCAATTGCTAAATACTATCACATTGGTGGTTAGGGCTACAACATATAAATTTGGGGGACACAATTCCATACATAGCACCAACTCATCTAGATAATGTATTAACACTAAATAAATGTTTTCTTCAACTCATGTTTTAAAAACTTGTTTATTTTCTACCATATCTTACATTCCATATTATGTGTCATGCTTTCTAAGACAGATGGTTTTAAAACTTATTTCTTACTATACTTTGCATCTTACACTATATAGCATAAATTGATTAGCTAACATGCCTTTAAAATTGTTATGCTCACTTGGAACTAGGATATCTAAATTCCAATATAATAGAACAGGTCAGGTCTCAGACATTCTGAGTAAATGATTTGTTACTGTATTTAATCATTTTCAGCTCTCTTATACACAGAGAGGTGCAAATAGCATTCCATTTATATATCATTCCAATCATCATTCTCATTATAAGATGTGGTAAGTTATTGTGATTATAAAGTTGCTGGTACAATAAATACTTACCTTTAAATATAAGGTAAGGAAAATGAGGCATGGAAAATTTATGTTATTTGTTGAAGATTACATGGTCAACCAGTGGTGACCATTGAGATGAGTATGCCTTTACTCCAGGTCATAATCACTTTCCAGCTTTACACATAATGGTCAGCATCATACTTGTGTATGATGCTGTAGTCTTTACTGTGTAGTCTTTACTTGTGTAGTCTTTACTGACTAACCTCATTCCAAAGATTACAGAAATAAATCTGCCATTTAACCCTTCTTCCTCTTCCCCTAACAGATATATCTGCCTGAAAAATCACCAAAAGGAATAGTGGATGGTCATCAGAAAAGGTTATGTAACTGACATGGGAGGAGGGTAAGCACATGCATATTAATACAATGGAATGATGAGCAGGTAATTGTAAACAGTGGTAGAGTTGAAAAAGAGAGAACAGACTAGTCTACAAGGTTTCACAGAAAAGTTGTATGATACACAGGGAAGGGAAATGGCCCTAATGAAAGGGAGCAGGGTGCCTCAGTGGCTTGGGCAATGGTACGAGGGAATGGCAGAGCAGCAGAAGTAAATATAACAATTAAGAGAGGGGAAAAATTATAGACATGCTAATGCTGATTTAATAATTTTCCTAGCCCAAGCCAGCTATTTAATTTTCTAAACAAACATTTTTGTACTGCTTATTAAGTGTTAGGTATGCTATGTGCCCAAGTATAATGGTGAAGGTGAAAGTCACTTCTCTCAAAAGCGCACACACACACACACACACCCCTTTGAAAAGCTTAGTCAGTGAGAAGAAATGGTGAGACATGAGGTTCTTTGTGTCTCCAGGAGCTCATCTCCTATTCTCAGCTGAGTTGCAACTACTAAATGTCGCATTAATCCATTAATAATCACTCCACAAATATTCTAGGTTTCATGTGAGAACAGGTCTCTATTGTAGAGCCATTTATATGTGTGCTTTACAAGGTGATCAGTGCTATGTCAGTAGCTGAATCAGGTAATAGGCACAGAGATATCTCTCAGATTTAGGATTAAGTTGGAATGTTCACCCTAGATATAGTCTTCTATTTCTGGAGGGCATTCCAAAGAAGCAAAATATACCTTTCTATCCCAGAACAGACTAGACTTTGTTGAATCCTATTGTAACCGTGTCACCTTGGATTAGTTACCTTCTATGTCCTGGAGAATTAGCAAGGGAAAAACTGTTGCTGGTACATCTTGATTATTTAACATATAATGGTTATTTGCAGGGTTTGGCTAAACTTGAATCCAACGTTTATAAAGAAATTTATGTTTAAAGCCCTTATTCATGTTACTTTATCAAAGGCAATCAAATTTTATCAGTGATCATTGCTTGCTCTTCTGCCTTCTATTAAGACCTCAGGTCCTCAAAGGACAATATTTTCCAGTGACAAATAAGTTTGCCTCCCTGGAGAGGAGAGCATGACTAGGTAGAAGTGGTAAATGGACATAGTCAAATGAGTGCAGGCGTGGGGACAGCAATTGGTAGATGGTCTTTAAACCCAAGACCAGATATTTCAATTAGAGAACCAATTAGGTACCTTTTTATGTTGCTGTGAAGCTTAGAGCACACTGAGGAGAAAGGAATCTGAATAGGTAAGCAAGGAAGCCAATGAGGGAGATTGGGTGGTAATATCTGGGTATAGTGTTTAGGGAGTGTGAAAGTACTTAGTGACAGCTGTATAAAAATACCTGCTTCTGCTACATTTATGTTTGTGTTTGGGCTTGTCTGTCTTGTCCCTCAACTAAATGGCAAATTCTAAGAACAGGGAGTTTCTTATTTTATCAATCCACACACTGCCTAGTGCCATGCCTCACTAGATAAGCTTGTCAATGGAGTGACAAATGTGTTCCAGTTTCTGCAAAATAAACTGAAGCAAAGGCCAATGGAAGACATTTTTGAGGTATGCTTTGTTTGGACTGTTTTTTTTTTTTTTTTACATTGGAAAACTATTGGACATTTAAAAAATACGTACACATGTAGATTGACTATATTACATTTAAATTCAAAAGTTTTAGAACACTTTTTGAGGGGTTAAAAAGGTATGATTTTGGCCCAGTATACCTTTGCATATTTCCTGTCCTGCAGCCACACTGCAACATTTGCCATTCAACAGACCCACTGGTGCTCTCTCCATCTCTGAATCTTTGCATTCATACTTGACTTCCCACCTTGAATGTCCTTTCATCCCATATTGTTTGCATCCTACTCTTCTGAGGCCCATTACCAATGTTACCCCTTTTATTAACCATTCTTTGAAATCTAAAGAAAGAAGCTACAGTAATCTCTTCTGACCACCTATAGCACTGTTTCCTATTATGCCCCCAATACCTCCTAAGACACATGAAGCCAGGTGGTGGCAGAAAGAGAACAGACAGATATAGAAAAAAGCAGACAGGAGGCAGTTACTGTGTCAGGAATAGCAGAACCCTGGATTGAAAATTCACAAACTCCTGCTGCTGAAATTTCTAGAGCTTGGTTCATTTTCAGATTTTGGACATGCACGCTTATAATAAATCCTTATCATCTGAGCTAGTCTGAGTAAGTCTCTGCTTCGTGCAATCGTCCAACAGGCCTAATGTTGTGCTTTGTATTTGTATACTTGTTTTATCTTCCCTAACAGAGGATAAAGCCCTTTGAAAGGTAATGACTCTCATAGCACCTGCAGTGTGGTACACAGCCAGTACTTAGCAAATGTTTGTTGAAAAACTGAATGGAGAAAACCAGACAAGTCATCCTCAAATCATATTGAATTTCCATCCATTTTTAGCAAGGCAAGAACTGAACATAGGTAGTTCATAATAATATTTTACTAAACAATGCTTTTTCAAATGAATGATTTGCCTGCTTCCCTCTTCACTGTTATAGATTTCTTCCTATTAGTGTTCTGCAAATGCGTTTATGACACGTCTTTGCCAAAGGCTAACTTCAGCAGCAGCACCATGTATCAAAAAAGATGTGTCACATATGCAAATTACATAATATAAAGCCATGCATTCCTCTCATTGTTTTAACTATCTTTTAGTTTAAAGGGTGCTGGTCTGTTTCACATTTCTTTCAGAGAGGCCAAAAACATACACTCTACTTGAACTTATGTCATTTACTCATAACGAGAAACACTTTGTCAACCTTATTTTCACATACATCTGGTGTGACTAGATACCGTCACGGAAATTATTTTTAACAGTGAATTTGAAGGATTAAAAGGTTCACGAAAGTCACATGAAATACATAACTATGAAGTATAGTCTCATTTTATGGATATCACCTCCTTACACTTATATAGTGTTTTATGGTTTGCAAAACACTATATTATCTCATTTGCTCCTTACAACAGGAGTCTGTGAGATAGACATGGAAGGCATCATTCCCATTTTATATATCAAAAACCAGAGGAGTTAACTGACTTTACTAAGGCCATAGAGATTGTAAGCAGTAAAAAGAACCCAGAAAAAGAACCCAAGTCTTTCAACTTCCAATCCAGTATCTTTTGACTTCAAATCCAGTTATTTTCAACTATTCTATTTATAACAATGTTTTCCAAATGTCTGGCTATGATCAATTGATGGGTTATGAAACCAATTTTGACTAGGATAAAAAATGAAATAGAATATAATATATCCTAGAACATCACATTTAGTAAAGATTTTAATTGTTTCATGAAACTTTTGTTTCAGTTTTGTATATTATGATGCAAAATATATTTTAACTGTGGGAAACGGTGAGAAAAATAAATTAAAAGTCACTGTTCTATACCATGTTGCCTATTAAACTAATTAAGTAGTTCAAGAGTACTTTGTGCCACCAAAATGTCCACATTATTGGTTTTAACATTAAAATAATTGTAGATAATAAAAATATGGTTTCTGGCAATCCTTGAGTTAGGTATTGTTTATGTGCCGGTAATTTCATTGCTTGAGTGCTTTTAAGAGTTCTACTGGAATATTATATAAAAATTTGGGTTTTTATACAGGTATGATGGTGGTTTTATTACTGCTTTTGTGGAAAAAAATGCTAATTGTGCTTTATAAAGAAATCATCTTAGAAAATCTTCACCTGACTTAAATATATTCAGGAGAATGTAGGAAACACTGACTATAGATAATACCCTGGTATTCACAGATCTAATTCTTATTAAATTAGGATATCTGATATCTCTGTAACTTATTAACAGCTTATTTAATTATATGTATTACCAATGAATAATCAAAATGAATAAATCCACAACTGTTTTCTTAATTACAATGAATACAATGGCTCTTCATTATATGTAACATATAGTACAAAATCATTAGTAGGGCCTATAAACCCCAGCAGCTTTATCCCCTATCTCTCTACTCTGCATAAGCCACGCACATCTGTGTTTCCACAGTACTGTATTATACATGCTTCCTTTGCTTTGATGCTATTGCTTCTCACCCTTCTCAGTGGAGCTAGGTCTTAAGGCATGAATGGAAGTCTTTTAGGCAATGTTACCTCTTCTGTGATGCTTTCTTCCATTTTCCTTTCTGTGTTCTCACACAACTTATTATCTATCAGAAACCAACATTATCATGAGTATTTGTGTGTGTGTGTGTTGTGTCAGTGAGGCAGTGAGTTGCTTGAAGGTGAGGTCTATTTATTATTCATTTTTGAATCTTGGTGCCCTGCACAATGTCTAGGTCATAGTAGGTACCTGATTAAATATGTGAGCAAATAGTATTAATATTTACCTTGAATTTACTTGGGCAAATGCAAAAATACATAATGCAATTTTACATGTGGTCATAAGAATTTTTAGATAGATCTATCAATCTATCTATTCTTTTTTACACCGAAGGCTTTATTGTTCTTTACTGAATGATTACATATTAAAATATTAATTTAGGGGCAGAAAATTATGCTTAAACTTATTATTCTGTGGTTCATACAATAGCAAAGGAGCTGGCTGATTTGGTCTGTTCAAGCCAACACTTAACCAAATTGCTGACATGATTTTATTCGACGACGTGCATAATATGGACCAAGGCATTTTTATTTTCCCACAGGCTGAGATGGTGGTTTAGAGATATAGCCTAAATGTTAGAATTTTCTCTCTATAATTTAGTCATCATTGTACTATGAAAAAAACCTAAAAGATAAGCAAATTTTTATGGATAGTTGGGTCATTTAATATTTTCTGATATGGTGCTATTAAAATTTCATTTATATTCCTATAGGGTTTTCTCCTCAGTGTTTCAGCTAATAGACTTTGAAGTCCCAATGTGTCTATCTCTCCTCTGAGGGATTTTAAAAATTGTTGCTCTGAAAACAGAGCACTAACTTTCCCAACAGATAAAACACACGAACCACAGCTGGAGAAGTGTGAACGTCAATTTATCCTTCATAGCACATAAAATTAGACTCTATGATTGTAGAGGAAGGCAATACTTAATTGAAAGATATTTTAATACATAAACATATTAGAAAACCATCTGTCTGAGGACTCTACTGTTGTGTATCTATGCTACAAAGTATTTTTAAAAATATGGTAGGCTAAAGGATAATCCTAATTCACATGTGAGTTTGGGAGATAAGTATTTTTTATTTTCCTGGCTTGAATTCTTTATACATTTCTCCCATGTATGTGATTGCTTACATGTCTAACCTTCAGCTAAATAATAAGCTTCAGATGGTATCCAAATCTTTCTCATCTCCAGATTCCCAGAGTGGTCAACACCATGTTGGCACATTATAAGTGTTTAGCAAATGTTTACTGAGAAAATAAATGACTTATTATTAAAACCCTGATGCTTTCAACATTTTCCCTAGGAGCCATTTGATATTTTCCTTTGTGTTACAATGTTACAAAGATGAAAACCCCACAATTTCTTTCTTTGCCTGTTCAAAGATGTGGCAGTAATGATAGAGGAAGAAGTTGGATTATTCATAACATACAAGATAATCTTTCACGGCAATCTAATTCTTTGGCTTCCATGTGCAAAACATCTGAACCAATGGTGAAAAATGCAAATAATAGAATTTGTATCTTCAACTAAAAATCAAACTGCTGAATAGCAGGAAACATCTGGGTGATTAATCCATTCACATATTCAGTATTGAACACTCAGAGAGTTGCAAGAATCTAAATGTTGTCCATTGCTTTTGGATTACTTGTAGAAATCACAATTGGCTTTCCTGTGTTTTATTTAAAGTTCAGTGTAACTGAGGATTCATTATGATTTTGTATTTTGAGATATTAGCAGGTCATATTGTACATTTTTCTTATTCCCTTTTTCAAAACCTGTATTCTAGGTTATTAAAGTGCTTTTAAAATAACATTTTTAGAAAATAGAAATTACACCTATCTAATGTTAAATACAATTATTATTATAACAAATGTAAGAAAATATTCAGGGAAACATACTTTGTCATCTGATTCCAACCAACAAAATATTTTTAATGAGTGCATGTCTATTAAAAGAATCCTCAAGATGCTATAATTATTATTCATTTTCTAGAATTGTTTCACCATGAAGCTTTATGCTTCTATGGGGACTTTAATGTTTATGTTTTGTGATGGCTACATTGACTATTAAAAAGCAATTTGGCTGACATTTTAGGTCTTTTGTTGCCAGTTTTAATTGGATTGTTCATCAAGCATCAACTCCCCCGTTAACTGCAAAAATTTCAGGCCAACGTCAGTTTACAGTAATGACTGTTTAATGATTTTATCCTGTCAGTATACAAGCTTCGTATGGATATATGCATGATTAGTTTCATATCAAGACCTGTAATTAAATAATTGAAGCCTAAACAGAATGGATATCAAACATGAACACATATTTAATAAAGACTCAGAAGCTTATCAAAATACTGATTAGCAATTAAAAGTCAATGTTTTGAGTTCATCTGGTGTCAGTACATTTATGATACTTTAGTAAATATTTGTATGAAGATTTTGCGTAAAGTTAAAAGACAGAAATTCTTTTTGGAAAAGCAGCAAAATTGCTTTTTAAAAAGGTAATTTATATCCAATGTGTATCTATCTGACTGAGTGAGAAAACTCATTTTAAGTATTATTTCATCTGGAGAAAAAATTAGCCAAAGCAGAAGAACTCTAGAGTACCAATAAATATTCTTATCAATCAGACACAATTCCAATCCTTAAAAAGTTGACCTATGTACACCTAAACTAAGCTGTCACCTGTTTGCATGTTAGAATGAAAGGACTGAGGAGGGCCTTGGAAACTATTTATTCTAACTTACTTATTTTACAGATATCGAAGTCCAGATGAGTAAAGTGACTTGCCTAACATCATATAGCTAATTAGTGGCAGAGTCAAGACAAAAAATCCAGGTCCAACATTTTAACTTATATATTCCTGGAAGAAAGCAGTTTAAAACATCTTTTGTGTATTGGTAAATTTATTTTCTTCCCATTTCATTACATTAACATGCTTTGTAACAAAACAAGCTAAGAAACAAATTGTTTAAAGAGGTGTACAGTAAGTTTCACTTTGTCTTTTCTCCCCACCCACTTCATTTCTCCTCCACCCCCTGTAACCATTTTTACTAGCTTCTTATTCATCTTTCCATTATATTTCACACCAGTACAGAATATCAGAATATATATTATAATATCACTCTTTCTGTACACAAAGCATAGTATATTATATTTACATTTTTACACCTTACTTATTTTTGAGATAGGGTCTTGCTCTGTTGTACAGGCTGGAATGCAGTGGTGCAACCTCAGCTCACTGCAACTTCGACTTCCTGGGCTCAAGTGATCCTCCTACCTCAGCCTCCCGAGTAGCTGGTACCACAGGTGTGCACCATCACACCCAGCTAAATTTCTTAGTTTTTTTTGTAGAGACAGGGTTTGGCTGTGTTGCTCAGGCTGGTCTCAAACTCCTAGGCTCAAGCAATCCTCCCACCTGGGCCTCCCAAAGTGCTGGGATTACAGGCGTGAACCACTGCACCCAGACCATTTTTTTTTTTTTTTACTTGACAATACATCTTGAGATCTCTCCATACCAGTGTATAGAAATCTTTCTTGCGTTCTTTTTCTTTAAGCCTGCATAGTATTCCCTTCATGGATCTTATAGTTTATTCAATGTGTTGGCAAATTATTGATCATTATTTGAAAATGTTTTATATGCTAAAAATTATTTCACCTACATATAGGAAGTACATATTTGCATAACTGAAACTTAGAAAATGTAGATACTGATATAAAGGCTGAACTCCAATACACCGTGCACAGCACTAAGGAACTAGAAAAACCATTACTTTTTCTTTGATTTAAAATTCTAGTTCTATATGTATAGTTATTATTTATCAATTATAAATAAAAATTAATTTAAAAGATCATAAAAATAAAGTTCTAGTTCTAAAGCCTGTTGAATAAGATGTTTTTCAGCATTTACTGGCATGGGTGAGTGAAACAATGTGTTATTAATTAAAATGTTTACAATGTAGCACACAGAACTTTTAAATTTTAAGCTATGTTCAGTAAGCACAACATTTCAAAACTCTCCCACCTTCAGTCCCATAGATCATACTACTTTCTTTCTGTTCATGGTAACCCATATATAGTCTTCAATTTAAAATAGTTTCATTAAACATTAAAATGGAAGGCCAGCCTATGCTGCTATAGTATAGTGAAAGACATTAGGGAGACAGACCAATTAAGGTAGAAGCAGATTTCTTGTTAAATGACAGATCCCAGATTCCCATTTCATGAAACATGTATTCCTGCCACATGCCAAATTCCCATTAACTTCAAGAAGGAATTATGCACAGAAATACGTAAGCTGAAGAAGGCAGGATGAATTAGTCCAGCGCAATCCTTAAATGTCAGTTTAAAATGCACTGGATGCTTTAAATTATGTGTAGTCATGTTGTTTGAATTGAATATTATCCACTCACACCTACTCTCTGATCACATCTTCAAAATGAATGGGGCAAAGAATTGCTTGGAATAGAGAAGAGACATGAACAGCTCGATTTGGAATTGTAAGAAAAGATAAAATTCAAAGGTGTGAGTCATGAAAATGTAATGATTCCTCAAGAAAACAGCTTAAGAGAAAGAAACTACTTTCCCTCAGCATATAAAATATTTACATTTAAGAAAATGTGTAGAAAGATGTTAAAAATCCTATTAATTCAGGCCAGTTGGAGAGTCAAGTTGTATTAAGTGTTAAGTCCATATAATATTTAAAATATAAATGTGTGATAGTTACTTTCAAATGCACTGTATGAATGTTAGTCACTACTTACTAGTATCCTATAGAAGTTTCTAGACTCACTGGTTTAAAGAAAAACAATAAAAATCTTCATTGTACTACTATTGCTTTTAAAGTTCTTAAAATAGTTTATTCTCTTAGGCAGGTGAACCAAATCCCCTATATTCTTTCTTTTTTTTTTTCTTGAGACAGAGGCTTGCTTTGTCGCCCAGACTGGAGTGCAGTGGCACCATCTCAGCTCACTGCAACCTCTGCCTTCCGGGTTCAAACAATTCTTGTGCCTCAGCCTCCTGAGTAGCTGGGACTACACGCACACGCCACCACACCCGGATAATTTTTGTATTTTTGGTAGAGACAGGGTTTCGCCATGTTGGCCAGGCTGGCCTTGAACTCCTGACGTCAAGTGATCTGCCCTCCTTGGCTTCGAAAGTGCTGGGATAACAAGCGTGAGCCACCGTTCCCTGTCCCCCTACATTCTTTATACTACTCTTTCCATGGAATATTCCGGGGTAAGATTCAACTAGTACTGTCAAAAGTTTTTAAAATTATGAGACTTTTCTATATTAAATGAATAAAAAATTTGCCCCTTAAATGGCATATAAAAAGTGTAAACATTTTTTAAAAATATGGTCTTTAAAATAGAATAGATACTTGGTAAATAATAATCTGAAATCATCTCGGTAAAAACTCTAAAATAATATTGTATACTACAAATTTTTTTCTGTGCCATAAAAGAAGATTTTCATTAAAAAGCTGATGTTGAAAGGGCTGATATGTCATACTTTGTCAATTATGCCAAAAAATGAACCTTTTCTTATTTTCATGAATTGTGCAGACCTCAGTTTGCAGGAACATTTGCCACTAGATGGGACCTTATATCTGTGGTAATAATCTAGCAGCCAACTTCTTTTCATCCAGTTTTTATAGGACTCAGGAACACAAACCTTCTTAAGAAAAGTAAGTCTTTATTGACAAAATAAAACTTTATAACTTACGCAACTAGCCAGCTGGGTCATTGTAGGATTATTTCCTCACTGTTTCTCAGTAGATGATCGAAAACATAACATTTAGGGCAATTTCCTTGAATCAAACGATGTCCTACACTAAAAAAGCAGCAATGTGCCTTTCTAATACTCTCAAGCAAGACCTCTGCTTTTCCTTTAGTGATACAATGGCAAGCTTGGTTAAAACATTCTCTAGAATTTATCTGCCTAAGCATGCCTGTGACCTCTTCTAGTTGCCTTGGAAGCACTGCAGTTTTCTCTGAAACCAGATGTATCAAGATTTTTTTTTCTAATATCATGATTTCTTATGCTATAAAGAGAAGGTGTGTGGATGGCAAGTGAATTTTGCTGTTTGTTAACCAAACTACCCTGAGGCAATATAGAGTAGGAATTAAGAATTCGGCTTCTGGCAATAATGGTGGACTAGAAAATGTAAAAAGTTTTAGCCTACAAAAAAAAAAAAAACATGT
Source organism: Homo sapiens (assembly GCF_000001405.40). Taxonomy (NCBI): domain Eukaryota; kingdom Metazoa; phylum Chordata; class Mammalia; order Primates; family Hominidae; genus Homo; species Homo sapiens. Next base: position 124,773,443 of record NC_000023.11, read on the forward strand.
AAAAATACTGGATAAACATTGCATGTGTCCTTTTAAATGAAAAATTGAGCTCACAATATGTGGAAACAAAAGCAAAAACAAAACAGGAGTCAAAACCAAGGTGGGAATTTTAAACCTGAGTGGCATGTTCAGGAGTCTATGTTGCAGCTTCTCTGCAAGTAGGTAACATAAAGATATGGGTTTTAAGGCTAAGGTTGTCGAATTAGGAGGTGATGACTTTGGTCTTCATAAGGTAGGGTTTTGCAAATGAAACCCCCGTATGTTGCCAATATATGGACCCCCAGAATGCTACACTTCCAAAAAGAATATACTGAAAGAAATCTGCCCACTCACACAAAGGGATAACAAAGAAGCCTGTCTGCCCTGGACTGGGCTCTGGGTGAAAACAATAGAAAATTGTTATTGAGAATTTATAATTATGGGCCTATATCAAGGATGGATTTAGAGTTGAGTGTATACTATCCATGTGTTCTAATGACTACCAGTAAGAGAAATTAACATTAATACAAAGGATTAGAGAGCCTGGCAGAGGCAAATGCAAATAAGATCACAACCTAAAGTTAAAAATTATATAAGGAAATAATCCAACTGAAACAAAAGGTTCACCAAACTATAAGATTAGGTCCCTAAGAATTTCAGATAACACAGCTCTTGTTTAGAGACTGTAAAAAATGCATACGTTTAAAATGGTTAAAGAAAGAATGAAAAGCATAAGAACAAAGCACTATTTTTAAAAAGAGATCATATAGACTTAAAAGAAAGTTGTCCTAAAAATATATAGTATCAAAATGTGAAACTCAATGGAAAATAAAAGCTAAAGGGAAAGTTCAATAGCAAATGAGGCACAAATCAAGCAAGAATTCATGAACTTGAATGTGTATCTGAGGAAATTACCCAGAATACAGCACAGAGATATAAAGAGATGACAAATCTAAAAGAAATGTTAAGGGTCATGGAGGATAGAATGAAATGATATGATATGGATCTAATAAACATTCTAGAAAAAGAAAATAAAGAAAATGGGAAGAAATAATGATGATGGAGAATATTCTAAGACTGATTTAAAAATCTGAGAATCTGAAAAAATTTTCAGATTCAGGAAGCATGACCCGTCAGTAGGAAAAAGGAAAATTCATAGTTAGATTATCTAAGGCAGCTATGAAAATGCACCTCCCAATCTATTTATGTGCATAATTGAATGATAGCCCCAGCTCCTGACCTTCTGAATGTAGTACTGGATTCATGCTGAGTCCACACTTCTTATGGGCTACTTCCAGCCAATGACTGTACTAATACAGGCCATTCCTACAAGATGGAGGACCCCTATAATGGGTAACTTTGGTTCAAGGGGTCTCCATCAGCCTGGCCAAAACTTTCTTGGATCTGCATTGTAGTCTGAAACTCTTCCTACTTAATATTCCCTCTTATCTCCCTCTTCACAGGTCAGACCCTGCATCATTCTAAAGGTTCTCCCTCCCTTCTCCTGCTCCCTCTCCATTATCCTTCAAAGGATCCTCCAAAACACTCTAGCACATCTTATTCCATCTTGGCAGCTGCTTCTTGGATGATATGAACTAACACAGCACCATACATAAAGATATAATAGAACAACTAGATAGAACAGACAGATTAGCTACAATGAAGCTATAATTAGTTAGAATAACAACAGATTACTTAATGGCACCATAAACCCCGTCTCTACTAAAAATACAAGTTAGCCAGGTGTGGTGGCGTGCACCTGTAATCCCAGCTACTCAGGAGGCTGAGGCAGGAGAATTGCTTGAACCCGGGAGGCGGAGGCTGCAGTGAGCCGAGATCATGCCACTGCACTCCAGCCTGGGCGACAGAGCAAGACTCCGTCAAAAAAAAAAAAAAAAAAAAGTATGGAAAACTGTTGTTTGCTTACCTAGCAGCCATTAACCTCTTTTGCATTGCTAACAGAATTCTTACATTGTTCAGGTATGAAACATGTGCCCCACTCCAAACTCCATTACTGGTTTAAGCAAGTCATAATATTTCATTCTTCTTTGCCAGTGACTATATTAGTGGGTGAGCATGCCACCCAATTCTGGCTGAGAGGAAGTCTGAAAAAAGGTTTCTGGAAAAGATTATCTTGTCTGATAGCGAGAGAGAGATAGGCAAGGAGAACTTGGCTCTTCCTTTCAGCCTTTGGACATTATCATCGTGAGGACATGATGTTTGCAGCTGGCTGTTATTTAACAACTATAAAAGAAAAGCCAAAAGTGTCACAGAGAAGCTGACTCAGATTTGTGGTATATTGAGCTGCTCAATTAACCAACCCTAGTACTGCCTAGCTCTGAACTGCTTGTTATGGTAGAAAGTACAGGTGACTCTTGAACAACACGGGTTGGAACCCTGCAGGTCCACTTACATGCTGATTTTTAAAACACAGATAGAAAATACAGTATTCATGGGATGCCAACTTTTGGTATGTGCTAGTTCTGTGGGGCCTACTGTGGGAATTGTGTATGCAAGAATTTTGATATATGAAGGGGTCCTGGAACCAATCTCCAGCATTTACTGAGCTATGACTGTGTACATCTTTATTGTTGAAGACATTATTGTTGGATAGTATGTTACTTGTACCAGGAATAAATCTGTTAGTTCATGAAGTAATATTTTCAAAATGCTTAGAGAAAACAACTGTCAGTATTGCATTCCTTATCTAGAGAATTTCTTAGTCAAGACTGAGGGTAAAATGAAGACAACTTCCTACAAAGAAGGAGACTTTACCACTACAGACCCTTGCTGAAAGAATTATGAGAGGATGTACTTCAGGAAGCATAAAACTGAACCCAGAAGAAAGGCATGAGCTGCAAGAAAAAATGGTAATGTAAGTGGTAAACATGTGGGTAAATCTAAATAAGCATTGAATGTGGAAAATATTATAATAAATAATTTTGGGGTGTTAAGAAGAAGTATAATCAGAATACTGGATGATAATTACATGTAAATGAAGGGATAATGATCAAAATTAAAACAATTTAATTTCCATCTGTTGTTTAGGAAAAGGGTAGAGATACTGATTTAATTTTAGACTTTAAGACAAGTAAGAATGAAAACAATGAAAGGTATCTACAAAAGTAATAAACCTTTTCGATGAATATCGATTGAAAAGCATACCAAAAATATTTATCTGTTTATGTGCAAAGTTTAAAGTTTTACAAAATTTTATGAGTAAATATTAAATAACATTTTCAGTATGTCATAAATATTTCATAACAGGAAAATAAAGGCCAAAAGAAGTGGGAGATAGCAAAAAAGCATAATAAACTTGTCTGGACATGTTGGAAATTAGATGGGCTGGACACACAAATATTCCTTTTTTGTGAGTAGCCTTCCTGAATCACTTTCAGTGATAGTCTGCTAATTGAAAATGCAGAGCTCTTCTTCACAGAGGAGACAGACATAAAGAAGAGAGGGATCCAAGCAAGCAGAACTTTTAAATTTAGTTTTATTATTTTATTTTTTTTAATTCCAAGCAAGCAGAACTTTAACACTCATCCACTCTAGCTTCATCAACATCTTCATTTATTTTTGGTTTTTGTATCTTGGGTTTCCGCTTAAAATATTGCTTTAAGAAAGGGTTCTGCAAATTAATTCTAAGCAGTCATCCTCCTTCTCATGTTTCCTCCCAGTATTCCTGACATTAAACTCCTGAATCTAAAATAAAAGTTGGAATTATTTAAAAATAAGTAAAATAAAATTAAATAAAACTCCTGTATACTAATACTAACTTTCTGCTTACTGCTCTTAACCTCTGAAGGTCACAATGCCACCTTCTGTTAGCTTGAGATCAGTGTTAGTATTCCTTTTTTGAAAAAAACGCCACTTAGTAATCCTATGTCTGAATTCTGATTGTATTCAATGTAGTTATATAAACTTAACAGGAAGGAATGAGTCCCTTCTGACAAACTGTTGTTTCACTTATGGTCCTTATAGCCCTGAGTTTTGTCTTTGGAGTACTTTGTCAAGTATTCAAGGGTTCTACTGAAAAGTTAGTACTCAGCTTACCATTGGCCTTTTTGACTTTGAAGAATTGGTAAAGTCACCACTCATCATTTTCCCCAAATGTAAGAGTCTCTTCCATTATTCAGTCTAGTATAAATTCATTTTTCATTCTCTGAATTTTATTCAATTCCATTTTATGTATTTTGATGTGCAGTGACTGGAAGAGTTTAGGTGCAGTAGAATTGTGCAACAAGGAAGAAAGAAGTATTCTATTTAATTGCCAATACCTTTCCTGATGATAATTAACATTTAAAGTGTGGAATATCCTTCCTTGTATTGATAAATTTGCTCACACAAACATATATAATATTTTATTTGCCATTTCAAATAATTTAATATTGCAAAGGTCAGCAAACCTTTTCTGTGAAGGACTGGACAGTAAATACTTTAGGCTTTGCAGGTCATATAGTCTCTGTGGCTAGTATTCAACTCTACCAGTTTAGCACCAAAGCAGCCACAGACAATGTGTAAATGAATGAACACAGCTATTTTCCAATAAAACTTGATTTTCAAAAACAGTCGATAGGCCAGATTTGGCCCACAGGCCATAGTTTGCTGACCCCTCTTGTACTGTCTTGGTTTTCATTATCCAGTGGATTCGTTTCAGGAAACAGAGTTCACTACCAGGATATTTAATTGTTCTCTTAAATTGCAAACTACTTTTGTTCCAGTAGGGACAGTTAAATGCCTAGGCAGATAAAACGGGGTCCCTGGAGAATCTGCAACTGGCCTGCGCACTGGGAGGACGAGGTGGAGCCCCGGGAAGTTTGCGTTGTTTGCAGGTGGGAGGAGCCTGGACTCCTCAGTTTTTATGTGGTGACCTGGGATTCAATCTGTGAGGCAGAGGGCTTGTTAGCAGGACTCCATCTCACTTTGCTGAGTTTTCTTCCTTTTTATCCTTTTCGCTCAGTAAAGTCCTGCTCCCCTCACCCTTCAATGTGTCCGCATGCCTAAACTTTCCTGGTCATGTGACAAGAATCTGGGTTTTAGCTGAACTAAGGAGCAAAGCTCTACAACACAATGAGTGGAATTTTAGTGCAAAAATTTGCTTTTGAGGACTGAAATAAAATAATGTTGCTTTGGTTTTTCAATATTCTAAAGGTATGTCAGCTTAATAGTCAAGGGAATGCATTTATATTTCTAGTATATTTTAAGCCATAAAAAGTAAAAGAAGGAATTTCATCTGTCAATGTGAGTAAATCATATGCAACTCAATCACCTCAAGGAAGATTATTTACAAATTTTACATTTTAATTCGTAGATAGCACCTAATCTGCCTATAATTTTGTTGACAGCTGAATTTCTGCTATTTTATCTGCCTACAGAGAAGCCCTTGAAATTGTAGAATCTGTATGGTTTACTGCTTTATTTGAACTTGATTTCTGAAGCATCTGTATAAAAATTTAAGTGAAAATTATATTTTTAATTAGCTGCCATTTATATTTAACCAAACAATTCATCTTTATTAAAAAATATGGATATCAGCAGGGTCATGGTATAATGTATGCTGATTACACACTGTACAAGAGTGCTCCATTTCAGAGTGTGCCATTCACATTGGAGATACTAGGGATCGTAGAGGATAATGAAAATCAACAGACTTATTAAAAGGTTTCTGGAATATAGCTGTAGAGAGTCTTATTCTAACAACTAGTATTTTACAGTAAGTTTCTGATGGCAGTAAAGTGTCTTGAGGGAAGGCTGTCATTCAATAATTGTGGGCATAGGTTATAGCCTACCTCTTTGACAATACTGCAGAAAAGTTAGGAAATCATGAAAAGTTTATACTGCCCTCCTCAAAGACGATTCATTTCTCATGCTTCTTTACAGAGGGGTAGTTCAGTAGGCATAGTGCACGATTTTCTTATAAGTCCCGATTGCAGTGCTTTTTACCATACATTTAATAGAATAAGCATTTAGATCATACAAGGATCTACCAGGAACTATGCAGTGCTTTCTTAGAAATCTTGCTTTTCTTTTAATGTCATGTTTTAAGTTCCCCTAGCACTTGTAAACGTATGCCACTGAGGGAATGGTTTTCAAATTGTATTTCATGAGCACGTCTTAGGGACTAGGATGGGGCCTGAAGCTTTGAGTATCTCACCTTTACTTTTACCCATTATATACTTTGAGGTCACATATAGGATCTTTGTGCAAATGGGAAAAGTTTTAAAACTGTTATATGCAGAGGGCAGTTCCAAATACACTTTTTCCCCTGGAAGTTGACTCTAACTGAAAGATGCCAACAACAATATTTGTGGCAGTAGCAATTCCCACTCTTTAAACACCTCATACATGGTAATTCCCACCATATAATCTCTAATTCTCACAAATATCCTGCAAGGGGTAGTTGATACTATTCTCATTTTACAGATGAAGAAAGCAAGGCTCAGAACATTTAAGTAACTTGCTTAAGGCCACCCAGTTAGTAAGTGGCAAATTGGGAACTAACCTTAAGTCTGTCTGACCTCAAATATTCACAATCCCATACTTTTATTTTAATATAAGTTATTTATTAGCAGGAAAACACAAAAGAGGTTTTAGATACCCCCCATTTTAAGAGGATCATTCTTCCCAGTATAGATTAGGGATTAGGCTCATGGAAAATTAAACCACAAGGTCTAAATTACAATATACTTATTTAGTGCATAAAAACACATATGAGGCTAGACAGAAAAATGCCAATGAAATAAAATTGCATTTTCAAACTCCTTGCCCAAGCACTCATTTCTCAACTTATTATCTTATTCTGAAATATCTCCGGTTAAAATTACAACCCTTCAAGGACCAAAGCGTGCTTATACACTTCAAACAGTAAATTTCACTAAGAAAATATGGTTGTTAGCTTTTAAGAAATATAGTTCTGCTAGAGTAAGAGAAATTCATACCATTGGTGATTCACATCACATAAAACTTTATTTGTTGCCTCAATCTGATTTTGAATTCAAGATGGTGTTTGGTGATACTATTATTTCAGTTAGGCATCTCTCTTTGAGCAGAAATTGGGACTTTAGATGGCTTATATCAGTGATGGTTTGCAACTGTGATTTAAAACAACCAAATATACCTGCAAATGACTTTGTAGCCTCAGGAGAATGTAAAGTGAGGTCACCAGCAGGGACAAGCAGAGCCTTCAGTCACTGATGGAAAAATCATTATTTCACTACCTCTGTTAATTAGTTAGATGTCTGAAGTTGAAGAGAAGTGTACTAGATACACTCGCCAGGACTACAAGAAGGCATATAGGAATAGAATCCATTATTTTCTGAGCATCTCAAAAGGGACAAGTACTATGCACAAGGGTACAGATATTAACACGACTTGGTCCCTAAATTCAGGGAACACTAGGTTCAGGGAACACTAGGCTTCATCTCTTGCCAACCCACTTTCCTTGTCATACCTTCATCTTTGCTGCTGCATTGGAAAGACCTTTCTTCTCTCTCTTTCATCTTTAGTTTGTGTGGTCACTTGTACTGTTATTCCAAGACAAGCTCAAGAGTTTCATGCTTAACAAAGATTTTTCTTGAACATTCCTTCCTTTGTGCCCCAACCGGACCATTCTATCATACCACTTGTTAAACATTATTGTACTGGTTGTTTACCTTTATGTTAACCTTACTGTCCCATATTACTTATTTCTAATAAATCCCTCAAAAGTAAGGGTTATTTTTTGTTTGTCTCATTAAATAACTAATATTTTATTCAACAAATATTACTTGAGCCTTTTTATGAACCAGCAGTACAGTTATCTAAGCACACCATACACTTAATACATGTTTGTTAAATGAAAGAATAAAATCCAACTTCCAAACTTACATCCTAATGATCCCATGCATTCTTAAACACAACTCTTCCACCAACCCCTCTAGCACTCGGATTCAGTTTGTGTTGAATTAACTCACATTTACTGATATACATAAAAGTTGTCAAGTTGTCATTTGGGTGTATTCTCTCTCCTCAGATAGATTAAAAACTCCTTGAGGGAAAGGGCCATATAAAATACTCTACTTTATTTTCCTATAGCTCTTGACAAAGGGCTCTGATCTATCAAACACTCAATTATTACCAGTCTAAGTAAGCAATCATTTTTTTTGGATGAGCATTATTATCATGATATAGAGTAATCACCATTCATCTAGGCTATCAACCTATTGCTCAAGTCAACAAACTCTGGCCCCTGAATTCTCAGTCATCAAATCTGGTCTCCAAAATGTATCCCTGTCTTATCCCTGATGCAAGTGGCTCCTTAAGCATTGCCTTTAGGACCTGACTATCTCTCACTTGCACTATGAAAACAGCCTCTTATCTGCTCTCCTGCTTTTAGTATCTCCTCCTACAATCCATCACTGACACTGCAACCAGGGTGGGCTTTCTAAAAACTAAATCTGACTATTTGTGACAGAGACCACCAAGTTGTTCACTACATTCCTCTCCTCTTCTTCCAAGGAAGAAGTTAGACCTCATTTCCCAGGCTTTCTTGCAGATAACTGTATACATATGACTGAGTTTAGAAAATAGAAGTGTTGAGTACCATTTCCAGGTCTGGTCAATAAAATCTTCCACTCATGATCTTTGCTCTCCTCCTTTCCTCTAGCTTGATGTAGACAAACATGGCAACTTTTCAAGCCATGTGTTAAAGACAGTGGCGCTACAAGGATGGAAAGAGCCTGTGCCCTAAGTCAAGCCCAGGAGAACAGCCTACTAATCAGGAATTCTCCAGTTGCATTTTAGGTGAATGAGAAACAAACTACTATTTTTGAGCCATTGTACAATTTTAGGTTAGTTTGTAACAGAAGCTAGCATTGTCTTATACACCATACACTGTGCTATTTCTCTGGGCAAGATCCTTAATTCACTGGCTATCATATTGTAGGCAAATTTCTTGGAACAACACCTATAAGGCCCTTATAAATCCAAATGTGACTCACTCTATAGTCTCATTCTACTTTTAATCCTTGACTCTTACCCCCCTCCCATGACCATATATACCATACCCTATGCTTCAACCAAAATGACTTACTTGGTATTACCAGAAAAATAAATACTTTCATGCCTACATATACACTGTTCTTTCATCTTGGAATACATCCCCTTCCTTCAGTCTCATACCTGAAATTTCTTTTTATCATTCATGGACCAATTCACCTCATCATCTCTCATACATCTCTGATTCTCTTTGTCAGAATCAATTGTCCTCCCATTGCCACTCCCATAACACATTTAAAAAAATCTATGTCATAGCATTAACTACATTTTAAAAGCTAGATTGTCATCACCTTGAAGACCGATATTGCATCCTATTCATCCTTATAACCTCCGAGACTCTTATACACAGCAGATACTAAAAAATGTAGGTCAAACTGATATTACTCATTTATTTAACAGTTTAAACTTTTTGAAGTATTTTTCATATACATTATTTCATTTTTAGTTTCACAATGATTGTATGGATTTAATTGACTTGACTTAAATAAGGAAAAACAGTTAATTGTAGAGTGCAGTCTGACAATATTCTGACATTGGGCATGGTTATGGTTTAGCCACCTGAAGGAGAAGGAAAAGAAAATTAGTTGGGTAAAGCTACCTAACCAGAAAAGTTCGTTCATAAAAATGATAATGCAAATTTCTCTATGATATGAGTGTACTCAGTCTGCAAGTTTGTGTATGTGTGTGAAAGTTGTACTAGTAGTAGCAAATTTATGTTAGATAATTTAAGATTTAAGATGATTTGGAAAGATACCTATGATATATTGTGAGTGTGAGAAAAGCATATTGCAGAAAGATGATATATAGTAAAGTTTGACTTGTGTAAGAAATATCAGGAAGAATACTCATCTCTCAGAGTAGAATAGTGGGAGAAATAGAACTTTTAAGTGTACATTACATAATTCTGTACTATTTATTTCATGATCTAGTTATTATATAAAAATTGCTTAGAACAATCTAGCATATATTGTGTTATACACATACTCGTTATTTTTATGATAAGCATGTGTTATAATAATTTTTAAAAAGAACTCACTATAAAGAGCAGGAAGTAATGTCGAATAAGTGGTGAGAAGGGTATAGTTTAGTAAGCTTCTATCATAATCTATCTTTCTGCAGGTGATAATCACTAGACAAAATTCAATAAAAAAATCGATGACCTTTAGGAACTGGAGAGTGAACAAAAGAAGCAGATTATGGTGGGGAATCAACACTTGGAAGAAGGGAAGGCATGGGTTAATTTCCAGTTTTTATTTATTTATTTTTTATTTTTTTAAACCAGAAGGTAGGAAACAATGAGGCAGCACAGGGTGGCAGAAATCTTGACAGAAAACTCTCAGTATCTCTCACATAAAAAAATAGGGAACAGAGTTTAGGCAACCACAACCACTGGAAAGTCAAGGGGGCATCCCCCAAAAAAGATAAGAGAGAGAATGCACCCCATATTCTGTATATAAACTCTGCCCAAATCTCTCCCTGACCTGGAATCATGCATGTGTGAGGCTGACTGCAACTGAGAATGAAGAAACTCAACTGAGATTTGAGCTGCAGCTCAAGAAACAGAATTTGTCATTGGAGTCCAAAAAATTTAATTGCCTTCTACATGAAGAGAAAAAAATTAAAACTATTTAGAATAATAATAGAACAGAATCTACAGTCTCCACAAAATAACAATCACAATGTCCAAAATACAGTCCAAAATTATTTAAAATATGAAAAACAGAAAAATGTGACTCATTCTCAAGAGAAAAGACAACCTATAGAGAATAACTCCAAGAAAACCAGATATTGGAATTAGCAGACCAGGGTTTTAAAGTAGATACTATAACTGTGCTCAGGATATGAAGGAAAATAGGCCCACAGTAAACAGAAAGAAAGGAAATCTCATCAGAGAAATAGAAAACAAAAAAGAGAATGGAAATTCTAAGGTGAAAAATCACAGTATTTGAAATAAAAAGTGAGGAAAGACAAGTCATTCATGATCATGCCTAAGTCTCATTAGTCTCTTCATATACAGCAGCCAATTTTTAGATATTTGCTTAGCTCACCTTCCCTTTCTCTGAAAACTGCCCACTATCCACAGAGATAAGGCTCCTGTGGCAGTTATATGATTCTTCCTCTAATATTCTGAGAGTCAAATACTCTGGCAGCTGGCCCCTGATCCAAGTTTTACTAATAAGATGATCTCTCCTGGGATTTTAAAGTTGGGACAGAATATTAGTTAGTCAGGTTTTAAAATTTGAGATATTATGTCCATTCATGATCAGAAGTATGGCCCTTTCTGGTCACATACAGAGGGAAGGAGAGTTCATCTGCAGAGAGAATAAAACAAACACACAAGAGGAATACATGAAAAAATTGAGGGTGTGGGAGTTACTGATTTCTTTCCAATTCCTAGTCCAGTCCCTCAATTAGGCCTTATAGTGATTTCTGTCCTTGGGTTCTGAGATACTCCTATATTCTAATAATAAATTGAATTTCTCACTTTTTTGTTTACATTTCTGTTATATACCATCAAAAGAATCTCAATTACATGGCAATGTATATTTCTATTCTTTGGCTAGTCACCTATTGAGGAAGCGTTGGATACAGCAATGGTTTGAGGCTATTGTAGGCAATATGGACATGAAAGTCCTCCCAAATTTAAAAGTAAAGACCATTAATTGAGAATAAAATTAGGAATAAAATGTAATGAATGAGATTAGTTGTAGAAGGAGCCCATTCTAAGTAATAATCTGTAACTGAGTGGTCAAGTATTTTAGGAACAGCCAGATGTGATTAAGCTGATATGGTAATAGTTACAGTAGTGGGAAGAAAGAATGTGCTATTAGAAACATGGGACATAGAAAAGGAGAATCATAGAAAGAATTTATCATTGTTATCCTTACCCATGCTGTCTAGTTAAACGGGTCACCTTATTCAGGAATCTAAGTATCTGATGCTGGGCCAGGCATATCCCATAATGGACTACTCAGAGTTTGGTCTTCCAACTAACTTCTTTTTTCTCTCATATCCATCCTTGTAAAGGAACCTTCTGGTTATCATTTGGTTTCCCATGTAGCTTCCCAACAGGAAACAATACTTTGACCAAATACTTTGACCACTGACAAGAATATTTTGACTTGCTTTGAAGTTATATTTTATATTGTAAATGAATCAGTTGACTGACTGGTTTTATACATCAGTCTCAATTTGGTTAAGGTAAGGCAGACCTTAGAGGTCAAATCACTTTAGATGCTGTAACAAGTGCTAAACAGAATGGACTTGAAGTAACAGATAATGGAAAGGATAATACTTCCTCATGAGACCCGATTTGTCAGCCAGTCTCCTGGACAATGATTCTATCTTGTCATGCTGTGTAATAAATATTCAAAATGGTGACATTTCAAATTATTCACAAATATTGTACTTTGCTCAATAGTGTTTACTCTAATTTTGAATAATCCATGAATATTTGGAGCATCTTATAGTAGCTTCATATGGTGAATACATTTGCCTCAAGTAGCGTTTATATAGGGCCCATGTATTTACTATTAGTATAATAGGTCAATGTTGCTCCTGAATATAACAATAATCTACATATATACAATTTTTTGGAGAATTTCCAAGTAAAGCTAGAAAATATACATCGTAAGAATGTTAACTATAAAGCATAATATATATTCACTATGATATTATCTTATTTGGAAGCAGGAAGATAATACTGCACTATATTCTCTATCTTAACCATGCTTTTTCAAATTGGGAAGCAGTTGATATTTGTACAGGAAGACACGAATAAATAGGTATTTGCTTCTGCCATTCAGTTTTCAGATATATCTCTTGCATATCCATCATATGTGATCTGGCAAATGTATTATTATATAAATAACTGGTGCTCTGTTAAATTATATTTTGACTACATGATTTAAAATAAACTTGTAGTAAATCGTTTCACAAAACAAAGAGTCTCCCTTTCATATAGACTACTCCCTCTAACACCTACTCACACGAATTTAGGTTTCTGGCATGCAGGAGGACTGCGTGGTCAACTTCAAAGGATTTAGTGGTCCATCAGTCAACATTTAAATTATTTTTTCAAACACTGATGAAATTCTTAAATGAACACTATCCACAAATTGAACATTTCTGGAAATAAACTGTATCCAAGTGAAAGGGCTTAATAGAACCATATATATGCAATTGTCACAAAGCAGGTTTGAAAAACCAATGGAGTCTTGCTGTTCCCATGCCTGAGTTTTAATATGGAAAACAATATTATTATGGTTCAACAATTTGTTAGTTTTTTACTGAGCAACTGTTTATATGGACAAAGCTAGTAATTTCTGAATGCTTACCCTTCCCCTTCCTATCCATGATAAGGCAAAAAGCAAGCCAGAAAGACAAAGCAAAGGAATGAACATGACCTAACAACTCAGTAAAAATATGTACTCATTCTTTAATATGTAATAATAAAAATATGTACTATTCTTTAAAAAATAATGTAACTCAATATAAATATATGACATCAAAATCTCAATTCAAAAGAGGTTAACAGTTCTGTACTCACGGGAGTCTTATACTTTCAGTATTCATGGAAACATTAGTAATTTCATTCAATACCCTGTTTTATCATTTAAATAAAAAATATTATTGCCCACTCAACACAACTCTCAAAGTATTATGCAACATTTCATTACAGTGCTAATTTTTAACCTTTTATGTACAAAAGCAGAGGCATATTAATTGGAACTGATTTGAGGTCATCAGCTATAGTACTGCTCAGTCATTGAAGTTAATATTCTGTGAAAATATCTGGAAAGTGTATTATTAATAACAATGTATCTCCAGACACATTTTGTGTATACTTTCACCATATGGAATTAACTCACTTAAATGATTTTACAAACTTTGGGAAAGTTTACCCTCTTGTAAATCTTGCCTGGATGTTACTGGCTATACACAGAATTTGAAATAAGTTTGATTTGGGCCCCTTTCCTTTTTCTTTAATCCTTTGATTTCAGGCCCTGCCTTTAGCAATACTCTTGATGTAGGTGATATCCATTGCTTATGGTATCAGAATCCACCTCCATCAAAAAGATGTTGGAAAGTCACAAATTCTCAACAGGTTATCTCTTGTCCCTAGAGAGCATATTCAGATAACAGCATTGAAATTTGCCTGTTTGGGGAGAAAGGTATTCTGACAATGGTGTAAGCTTTTCTATTATTTTCTAAGATTAGACTAAAATATAAGCTCTTAATATTATCTTTACAAATTTCCAATAAAAATATTTTAACTCCTCCAGTTCCCTAAAGGTGTGCTAAATTATTTACAATGCTTAAGAATGCTAGAGAACAATGAAATGAGATAGATTCTATAATATAGTATATGTGCTTCAGCACTGTATTAGTCTGTTTTCACACTGCTGATAAAGACATACCTGAGACTGGACAATTTACAAAAGAAAGCGGCTTATTGGACTTACAGTTCCACATGGCTGGGGAGGCCTCAAAATCATGGTGGAAGGCAAGGAGGAGCAAGTCACATCTTATGTGGATGGCAGCAGGCAAAAAGGGAGCTTGTGCGGGGCAACTCCCGTTTTAAAAACCATTAGATCTCATGAGACCCATTCACTATCATGACAGCAGCCCAGAAAAGACCTGCCCCTATAATTCAATAATCTCCCCCCAGGTCCTTCCCACAACACGTGGGAATTATGAGAGCTATATGATGAGATTTGGGTAGAACACAGAGCCAAACCATATCAAGCACTAACATAAACTAGCAGGAAAGACCCATCCCCATAATTCAATCATCTCCCACTGGTCCCCTCCTATAACACACGGAAATTATGGGAGCTACAATATGAGATTTGGGTGGGGACACAGAGCCAAACCATACCATTCTGTACCTGGCCTCTCCCAAATCTCGTATTTTCACATTTCAAAACCAATCATGCCTTCCCAACAGTCCCCTAAAGTCTCAACGCATTTCGACATTAACTCAAAAGTCCACAGTCCAAAGTCTCATCTAAGATGAGGCAAGTCCCTTCCTCCTATGAGCCTGTAAAATCAAAATCCAGTTAGTTAATTTGTAGATACAATGGGGATACAGGCATTGGGTAAATACAGCTATTCCAAATGGGAGAAACTGGCCAAAACAAAGGGGCTACAGGCCCCATGCAAGTTTGAAATCCAGCAAAGCAGTCAAATCTTAATGCTCCAAAATGATCTCCTTTGACTCCATGTCTCATGTCCAAGTCACACTGATATAAGAGGTGGGCTTCCATAGTCTTGGGCAGCTCCGCCTCTGTGGCTCTACAGGGTATAGCCCCCCTCATGGCTGCTTTCATGGGCTTGTGTTGCATGTCTGTGGCTTTTCCAGGTGCATGATACAAGCTGTCAGTGGATCTACAATTCTGGGGTATGGAGGACAGTGGCCCTTTCCTTACAGCTCCACTTGGTGGTGCCCCAGCAGGGACTCTGGGTTGGGGCTTTGTCCCACATTTCCCTTCCACACTGCCCTAGCAGAGGTTCTCCATGAGGGCCTCTCCCCTATAGCAAGCTTCTACCTGGATATCCAGGCATTTCCATACATCTTCTGAAATCTAGGTGGAGGTTCCCAAACCTCAATTCTTGACTTCTCTGCACTTGCAGGGTCAATACCATGTGTAAGCTGCCAAGACTTGGGGATTGCACCTTCTGAATCCACAGCCCGAGTTGTACCTTGGCCCCTTTTAGTCATGGCTGCAGTGGCTGGGATGCAGGGCACCAAGTTCCTAGGCTGCACACAGCAGGGGGGTCCTGGACCTGGCCCAGGAAACCATATTTTCCTCCTAGACCTCCCAGCCTGTGATGGGAGGGGCTGCTGTGAAGACCTCTGACATGCCCTGGAGACATTTTCTCCATTGTCTTGGGGATTAACATTTGTCTCCTCATTACTTATGCAAATTTCTGCAGCCAGCTTGAATTTCTCCTCAGAAAATGGGATTTTCTTTTCTATTGCATTGTCAGGCTGCAAATTTTCTGAACTTTCATGCTCTGTTTCCTTTTAAAAACTGAATGCCTTTAACAGCACCAAGTCACTCTTGCTGCTTAGAAATTTCATCCACCAGATACCCTAAGTCATCTCTCTCAAGTTCAAAGTTCCACAGATCTCTAGGGCAGGGGCAAAATGCTGCCAGTCTCTTTGCTAAAACATAACGAGAGTCATCTTAGATCCAGTTCCCACCAAATTCCTCATCTCCATCTGAGACCACCTCAGCCTGGATTTCATTGTCCATATCATTATTAGCATTTTGGGGAAAGCCAGTCAACAAGTCTCTAGGGAGTTCCAAACTTTCCCACATTTTCCTTTCTTCTTTGGATCCCTCCAAACTGTTCCAACCTCTGCCTGTTACTCAGTTCCAAAGTCGCTTCCACATTTTTAGGTATTTTTTTCAGTAGCGCCTCATTCTACTGGTACCAATTTACTGTATTAGTCCATTTTCATGCTGCTGATAAAGTCATACCCAAGACTGGGCAATTTACAAAACAAAGTGGTTTATTGGACTTACAGTTCCACATGGCTGAGAAGGCCTTATAATCATAGCAGAAGGCAAGGAGGAGCAAGTCACATCTTACATGGATGGCAGTAGGCAAAAAGAGAGCTTGTGCAGGGCAACTCCCCTTTTTAAAACCATCAGATCTCATGAGACCCATGCACTATCATGAGAACAGCACAGGAAAGACCTGCCCCCATAATTCAGTCATCTCCCACCAGGTTCCTCCCACAACACATGGGAATTATGGGAGCTATGAGATTTGGGTGGGGACACAGAGTCAAACCATATTAAGCACTAACAAATAAACTAGCAATTCAAAGGTAGCACAAATGTAGCTCAAATTAGGCTAAGGCTTTCATTTGGAATGTATGTGGTTGTACTTTGTCATATCTTACCATATTCTCCTACTTTTTCTAACATTTGATGACATTTGTATGGCGCTTTATACTTTACAAAATGGTTCCACCTGACTGTTTTTGGGTACGAAGTCACTCAGAGAAAGTCAGAGGCTACAAAAGCTACTCCATAAACTATTTCCAAATACACTCTCATTTTCTCCAAGAGCCGTGAGGAGTACTACTTCTCCAATAACTTTTTATTGAGAACATATCTGAAAAAAGTAAAGTTAATGGAAAAGAGGAACATCAAAGACTATTAATTTTTTTAGCTGCTCCAAATTAAATCCAAGTTAACTTGGATGAGTAAAGACAAGTTTATTTTTCTCTATTATTCAGCAAAGAAGAGAAATTTGTAAGCAAAAATATGGGAGTAGCATTTAATTTTGGCTGAAAGAGTTTTATAATTTTACCATTTAGCCATGTATTATTTATATAATACTGATTTATAGAATACTTATTTATATGTATAATATTGACAGCCAAAGACCAAAAGTAGGTAATGTCCACAATAGAAATAAAAAAAATAGTAAATGAATGGGTTAGCATTTTACTTAGGCTTCTACTGTGAAGAATACTAATTTGTTAATGTGCAAGGTGACACGTTAAAGTGCTAAATTAGCCTGAGCCCTTGTTGTAAAATTTAGGCAAGCAGAAAAGTTCAAATACCTTATCACATATTAATTGCCAATAATTACTTGCATCAAGGTAACTTGTGTTATTTAAAATAAATTAACAGATACAGAAAGAATCCTAGTTAATAAATTTACCAATTATCTGCCTTGGTATAAATATGAATTTATGTTCTGTTTTTAGTCCTATTCACATATGACTATGCATTCTATTTATAACGATTTCTGAAAAAGCAGCGGTTGGCTACATGACCTGTCCTATTTTTTGTGACCATCATTTCTTTATCTCTTCTCTCAATGCTTTCTCATAGAATGAAAGCATCAAAGCAAATGATAACAGTCTACATATATACAAAATATATCACTAGGAAATAATTTCTTTTGAAAAAAGTTACCCCATGAGGTGCCCAAACAATGCCATACATAAAAGATAAACAATTCAAGCCAGCCACTGTATAATGAGATTTAATTGTCTCCCATTCTTTTAATATGCATGGACAAAAAACGCTTCTTTTCCATTACCTCATCTTAAGTAGTTTTTTAAATCAAACACATACTCACGCTCATGCTGTCACTGATAATGGATCTCATGTCAAAGAAAAAGAGCAGAAAGGACCTGATAATAAGTGCAATTATCAAACATCAAAAATGTAGATCAAAGTGGATTTCCTGACTCTTCTACATGCAGTCACTTCACAGAATTTCACTATTCATATTATGTGACCCTGACAGGATATATTAATTTTCTCCATTATGGGAGCAATGGGATAGGCATACTTCAGTAGGAAGCTGGCAATAAGTAGAGTTATTATTTCACTGTCTTATTTAATGGCTTGTGTGTGCATAATTGCGTGTGTGTGTGTGTGCATGTGTGTAAAATATGCTCCCCAGACACACCACACTGTGTCTCCAGAGTTGACAGAAAGCCTTCAGGGAGATGTTAACCTTCCTATGAAGGATGGATCCAGGGAAGGATTTTATTTCTTTCAGATAGTACAATATTTCCTCTCTCTGGGAAACACCCGACCTATCTTTGGGAGGACTGAATTATCTCAGAGGGAAATTGGGAGTACTTCTAGAAGTTTGCCATTCTGAATCATTTCAATAACTCAAGTAATCAAATTTCCACTTCTACCCCCAATCCCATACTCCTTCCTTTCCCCAGAACTTTCCTTGATACATTTTTTATTTGAAAAATAAATTCATTTTCTTTTCCTACCAAATGCTGAATAAAAATCATGTGCTAGGTGTTCTGTAGTGAAATTTCCAGAGTCTATACAGCCTACACAGATTTCCAGTAGGCATAGGTCGTTTTGTTTTTAGATTGTGCCTATCAGTTGGTCAGTGCCTTAAACATGCCAATGTCACAGGAATGACCATTTCTGAACTCACATTCATCCGAAGTATTCTTGAAGATTATAAGAAGAGAGAGAATTTTCTAGTTCTTTTCACAAACATCTACCTATAATTCCAAGGGACAGACTTTGACAGTAATAAACTCTTTAGAGTTGTGTTATGCCATTTCTCACCCAGAAAAAAAGCTAACATTGTTACATATCTTTTATGAAAATTCGAAGCATATTTGTTAGAAGGGAAATAGACCATTTGCAAAAGGCAAAGGGCAAGCCCATAAGGCACAATGACAGATGAAACCTAGCCATGAGAAAAAAAGTATCCCTAGGATGAAAAAAAACATTTTAATAAAGCAAAACACTTTCAAATTAGTAAATTAAAAATCAGTTGATTACAGCAAAGTTTCAAGGAGTTTTAAGTATTTCGAAGTTAAAAAATAACTAGACAATATCATTATTTTTAACTTAATAATTTTGCTTTGTTTTACACATTTCAGTCAATTAAACTTCTCTGTATACTTGGGCAGTTCTTGAATGTTAGTTTGAAAATAGACTAATTTCTAAACATGGGCCCTAACATATGGCTAAGTTAAATTAAAACCCTATCATTAAAGAAACAAATATTACAATATATAGATTAGTCAATTAACATACTTTTTTTCTATGGAGTAAAATGACTCTGAACCTGGAACAGCAGCTGGAGTTGTTCACCACAATAGTATTAGATGCAAGTTTCTGGAATTAAATGTGCCAGGCAGGAAAATAATTTTATAGTCTTTTCCTCATGGGAGGAAGTCTGGATAAAGAGTGTGAGATGTCAGACCTCATCAATAAATTATGATCAATATAATAGGGTTGAAGAATTGGGTAGTGGTTTCTATGATGATCAGTAAATACTACTCTGGTAATTATTTTTAAGGGGCAAAGGGCTAAGAAATATGAGAAAATAAAAATGAAATAAAATAGAACAAAATCACAGAATATGTAGACTGGAAGCAGGTATCTTAATATTATACAACCATCATCATAATTATTCTCCAGGCCATAAAACATGTAGAACTTACAGGACAAAAAATAATGAAAACTAAGATTTCTCTGGTAGTCTTGGTAAAAGACCTGCTTATTAGAAAGACAAAAAAGACATTTACAATCACATGTTATATTATACTGAAACTGAAATATATAGTGTAATGGTTAAGACCATGGGTTCTGGAAACTGACTGCCAAGATTCAAATCTTAGCACACCACCAAATGCCTTGGTGAATTTAGAAATTACGGAACTTCTCTGTGTCTTCTTCTTCATCTGCAAAAGTGGCCAAACGCATATTTCATAGCTTTCTGCAGAGAACTACATGAGTTAGTTATGTAATGTACTTAGATCAGTGCTTGGCATACAGTAAGTGCTTACTAAATTTTTCATTTTTATTAATAAAAAGGAACTCAAAAATTTACAGAAAAATATCTAGTAGCAGACCCGGCTCTCTCCAAAGTTGTGAAATGACTCAGTTTCTTTTACAGCACTATTTCCATCTCTTTTTAAAAACCTCTTTCCCTTTCTATCTTCCTCCTCTTCTCCCAAGTGGCCCCTTGCCCTCTGGACTGTGAAATCCCACCCAAATCTGCCTTCTTAATAGAACTGCATAATCCAGACCTTTTAAATAAAAACCTTCTGTATCCCAACGGAACTCATTCACCCTCTGGCACATTGTCTCGGGTCAGTCTCAGGAAACAATGTCTAATATGTGGAACCACCATTGAGATAGTGCTGATATTTTGAGTAGAGCCATCAATGCCTGAATCCAAAGGAATAAGCATTCGGGAACTAAAAAGAACTGTAATGACTCTAAATGTCGCTGTTTGCTGACTCCTCCCAGTCAGTAGCAGGCTAACTATGTGCTCCTCAAGCCTAGGTTTGTGTATCCAGCCAAAATTCAATAACAGTTTGGATATCTCATAGACAAGTATTTAACATACCTAAAACATAATTCTTGATTCCCCTATTTTCACTATGCCCTTTTGCTCATCTAGCCTAAGTGACACCACAAGGTACTCAGTTGCTCAAACAAGATAATAGAATCATACCGATTTCTCCTTGTGCCTTAACTTCCACATGCAATACGTCACCACATTCTATTGGTTTCCTTCAGAAATATATCTTCTCTCTATCCACCTCTCTCTGTTTCCACCGTCATCTCTCATCTGAATAAGTACAATAGTCAGCTTCCTGGTTTCCCCACTTCCAATCCCCCCGCCAACCTATTTACTGTACAATAGTCAGCCCTAGAATAAACTTTAAAAAAACAAAACTGAACATCCCACCCCTTGCTTAAACTCCTTCAGTGGCTTCCTATTGTACTTAGGAAAGCATTTAAGCTCATTGTAATGGCCTCCAAGACCTTCTGTGACCTGGTTGCTGTTTAGCTTAGAGTTTCCTCTGTTGAGCTATTCTCCCCTTAGTCTATCACATTTTTGACACACGGGTCTGGTTGCATTTCTTAGATGGGGTCATCTTCTTCCACCACAGGCCCTTTGCATATGCCGGAAAGGGTCTTCCTGCCCTCACCATCCATTGAATGATTGATTTTCTCTTCTCATACTTCAGGTCCCACCTCAATTGTCACCTCCTAAGGAAGGATTTTTTTCAGCTTTCCCTACTGTTAACGTAGTTTCCACAATCACCTCCCTTATTCTCTGAAATGAATGGTATTACCATATCTACATATTTCTGTTTTGACTTTTTGCTTCTTTCTCCCACTGGGATATAGGGCAGCATTGTTCAATGTTACATCTCTAGCATCTGGCACAGTGCCTAGCATGTTGTTAAGTGCTCAAATATATACTGAATACATAAATAAGTAGTAGTTTCAATACTTGAAGCCTAGTAGTTTCAATACTTCAAGCCTAGCATGTTGTAGGTGCTCAAATATATTCTGAATACATAAATAAGAAGTAGTTTCAATACTTGTTGAATGCATGACTGGGAGGGGATGTCCTTTATCTCCTCAAATGAAAAGATGTAGATAGCTTATAATTCCTGCATAATTGCTGCAATGTATAAGACTAACCCATTATCTAAAAATAGTTACCTCAATACAATGTCCATGTGGCATTTTGATCATACAAAAGCTAACTATCTTGCAAAGAGAGCTAATATTTTAGTGGTAAATATGATGGTAAGTGTAATATAGCCTGTTTTTCTTTGTCATACTATGTTCCAGTTAGTGCCTACTATACTTGTGAAGTGTCTTTGCTTTCTATTGAAGTAGTAAGTTCAGTCACCTCTTTTAATTCAGAAAAAAACCACCCTAAGAGATGAAATGTCACTTTAACCTAAGGTGGCAGTTTCTTTTTTTTTTTAAATTTAGGCGGTGGTTTCTGAGTATTCAGTATGTAATGTGATAATAACATTTTTGACAGGCCAAAATGTGGAACAAAAGTGGGTTTAAAATGAAAGGCATGAGACAGCTCTGGACTCCAGCTTATTTTGAGGATCTGCTTCTGAAAATGGCCTGAAAAAGCAACAGAATTGCTTTTCAGAATTGTAACTTGATTATAGGCACTTTCCTTTTAAAGATTAGTAAGGGTTACTTGGTTCTATTTTACTTGGTTCTATTTTATTCTAATAATACTCTAATGATGTCAATTAAAAATCACTCTCATCTACTCTCAAGGGCTGAGATAGTCTCTCAATCAAACTGACTTTATTAGCTTTCATTTTGATCCATGCCATCACATTCAAAGAGGATTTTCTTTTTACAAGAAATAATATTAAGAAAATTCAAAAAAAGAGCCAGCAAAATACTTTCATTTCCAGATTTACTCTTTAAATCTAACGAAAATATGACAATCTTATTTGTGTTACCTTTGCAGTACCATAATTGTTCTCTGTGAGAAGGAAGTTATTTCTTATGAGGAATTCATATCCCTAACTCCTTTAAGTGATTTGGTATCAGATTAAATATTAATTTGAAGTACATCTGTGCTTATTCAGTTCAGCAGGTCCTGCTTAGAACACATTTTCATTTTGCAGCCATGGCCATATGCACTACATTGCTTTTCCACCAGGGATCACTATTTTGGAACAGATAACAGACCCTTATGACCTTTGCATTATATTTTATGTACTTCTCTATCCAAGTCAATTTATAAAATCGGGACTTCTCGACTTAAAAACACAGGAAAATCTTGCTGTTTTCTTCTTTCTAAATCAAGTACCTTGAGTACGACTATCTTGGGACTGGCATCAAACATCAGATTTTAAAAATATTGTTCTCTGCTGGGAAGAGCTCATTATTATACTAAATATAGAAGATATGGTATATCAGGCAGAATAATAATTTTATATAAAATATCAACCTATCTTTTCTGGAATGCCAGATACAGTCTTAGTTACTTAAGCCTCAACTATAAGATTTACACTTAAGGAATTTGACATTTATTGTTATAATTGGCCTCTTTATGAAAAAAAGAGACATTTTCCTAGATTGTGAATGATAATTATATATAACTGAATTTTACCTTGGTGTTTAAAGCAACCATTTGATTACAATGAGTATTTCTAGATTTCTACTAGCTTCTCTTTCATGAGAATGTCATGGTTAGGAATAAGGAACATCAGTCTAATTTGAATCAATTTATCTAGGAGTTGAAAGAGATATAGTCATTTCTCTTTCCCTAGCCACTTCACCATGAGCTCACTTCCACGCTTCTTCCAACTCTGAAATGGATTAGATTTGTATTTGTTCCGTGTCCAAAAGTAGACTTTAAACTCCTGGCATTTTTGGGTTGTAGCTTACTCAATTTTGTAGCCCATGAAGTGCCCTGTATATAGTAATGAGTCAAATGTCTGTTGAACTGAAGTTCGTGCTGATGTGACTGAACTGGATGGGTCTGGCTTTCTCTCTTCAATCAGGCAAGTAGATAAACAAGGGCAACCTGCAGTTGATTATTCTTTGAGGGGTTTTCCATAGCACATAGTTCCTTGGGGCTGCCCAAGATGGATTTTAGGATACCTTCTTCCACTGGCTTTTTAGTCACTAGGTATTCCTAGAGACTTGTCCATCCAGATATAAAATTACTATGATGAGGCTGAAGGATTAAAATACTGGAATTCAAGAACTTCCTTTCAAAGGCCCCTATTAACTTGGTTGCATTTTTCAGAGACAGTGGCATGACTTATTTTTCCCTGGAAACATAATTAAAGTGTTAACATTATAACAGAGTTAGCTAGGTAATAAGAGTCTTTGATGAAGGATGGGCTTATTAGTTGTTCTTAATAAAGGGATTTGGTTACTTGATAAAGTTAGCCGTAAAGGTTTTTTTTTTTTTTAATTTTACTTTAACTTCTGGGATACAAATACAGAATGTGCAGGTTTGTTACATAGGTATATGTGTGCCTTGGTGGTTTTCTGCACCTATCAACCTGTCACTTAGGTTTTAAGCCAAGCATGCATTAGATATTGTCCTAATGCTCTCCCTCCCTTTGTCCCCACCCTCCAACTGGCCCAGGTGTGTGTTGTTTCCCTCCCTGTGTCCATGTGGTCTCATTGTTCAACCCCCACTTATGAGTGAGAACATGCAGTGTTTGGTTTTCTGTTCCTGTGTTAGTTTGCTGAGGATGATGGCTTCCAGTTTCATCCATGTCCCTGCAAAGGACATGATCTCATTCCTTTTTACAGCTGCATAGTATTCCATATATGTGCCACATTTTCTTTATCCAGTCTATCATCAATGGGCATTTGGCTTGGTTCCAAGTCTTTGCTATTGTGAACAGTGCTGCAAGAAACATACATGTGCATGTGTCTTTATAGTAGAATGATTTATAATCCTTGTAGTATATAACCCATAATGGGATTGCTGGGTCAAATGGTATTTCTGGTACTAGATCCTTGAGGAATTGCCACCCTGTATTCCACAATGGTTGAACTAATTAACACTCCCACCAACAGTGTACAAGCATTCCTATTTCTCCATATCCTCTCCAGCATCTGTTGTTTCCTGACTTTTTAATGATCGCCATTCTACTGGTGTGAGATGGTATCTCTTTGTGGTTTTGATTTGCATTTCTCTAATGACCAGTGATGATGAGCTTTTTTTCATATGTTTGTTGGCTGCATAAATGTCTTCTTTTGAGAAGTGTCTGTTCATATCCTTCACCCTCTTTTTGATGGGGTTGTTTTTTTTCTTATAAATTTCTTTATGTTCCTTGTAGATTCTGGATATTAACCCTTTGTCAGATGGGTAGATTGCAAAAATATTCTCCTATTCTGTAGGTTGCCTGTTCACTCTAATGATAGTTTCTTTTGCTGTGCAGAAGTTCTTCAGTTTAATTAGATCCCATTTGTCAATTTGGGTTTTTGTTGCAATTGCTTTTGGTGTTTTAGTCATGAAGTCTTTGCCCATGCCTGTATCCTGAATGGTATTGCCTAGGTTTTCTTCTAGAGTTTTTATGGTTTTAGATTTTACATTTAAGTCTTTAATCCACTTTGAATTAATTTTTGTATAAGGTATAAGGAAGGGGTCCAGTTTCAGTTTTCTGTGTATGGCTAGCTAGTTTTCCCAACACCATTTATTAAATAGGGAATCCTTACCCCATTGCTTTTTCTTTTTCAGGTTTGTCAAAGATCAGATTGTTGCATATATGTGGTCTTATTTCTCAGGTCTCTGTTCTCTTTCACTGGTCTATATATCTGTTTTGGTACCAGTACCATGCTGTTTTGGTTACTGTAGCTTTGTAGTATAGTTTAAAGTCAGGTAGCATGATGCCCCCAGCTTTATTCTTTTTGCTTAGGATTGTCTTGGCTATATGGGCTCTTTTTTTGTTCCATATGAAATTTAAAGTAGTTTTTTTTTCTAATTCTGTGAAGAATGTCAATGGTAGTTTAATGGGAATAGCACTGAATCTCTAAATTACTTTGGGCAGTATGGCCATTTTCATGATATTGATTCTTTCTATCCATGAGCATGGAATATTTTTCCACTTGTTTGTGTCCTCTCTTATTTCCTTGAGTAGTGGTCTGTGGTTCTCCTTGAAGAGGTCCTTCACATTCCTAGCTAGCTGTATTCCTAGGTATTTTATTCTCTTTGTAGCAATTGTGAATGGGAGTTTATTCATGATTTGACTCTCTGCTTGTTTTGGGGCTGAGACAATGGGGTTTTCTAAATATAGGATCACACTGTCTGCAAACAGAGACAATTTAACTTCCTCTCTTCCTATTTAAATATCCTTTATTTCTTTCTTTTGCCTGATTACCCTGCCAGAACTTACAATACTATGTTGAATAGGAGTGGTGAGAGAGGGCATTCTTGTCTTGTGTCAGTTTTCAAAGGGAATGCTTCCAGCTTTTCCCATTCAGTATGATATTGGCTGTGGGTTTGTCATAAGTAGCTCTTATAATTTTGAGATATGTTCCATTGATATCTAGTTTATTGTGAGTTTTTAACGTGAAGGGATGTTGAATTTTACCAAAGGCTTTTTCTGCATCTATTGAGATGATTGTGTGGTTTTTGTCATTGCTTCTGTTTATGTGATGAATTACATTTGTTGATTTACATGTGTTGAACCAGCCTTGCATCCCAGGGATGAAACCAATTTTATCATGCTAGATAAGCATTTTGATGTCCTGCTGGATTCAGTTTGCTGGTATTTTATTGAAATTTTTTGCATCCATGTTCATCAGTGATATTGGTCTGAAGTTTTCTTTTTTTGTTGTGTCTTTACCAGGTTTTGGTATCAGGATGATGCTGGCCTCATAAAATGAGTTAGGGTGGAGTCCCTCCTTTTCAATTACTTGAAATAGTTTCAGAAGGAATGGTACTAGCTCCTCTTTGTATCTCTGGTTCAATTTGGCTGTAAATCTGTCTGGTCCTGGGCTTTTTGTGGTTGGTAGGCTACTAATTACTGCTTCAATTTCAGAACTTTTTATTAGTCTATTCAGGGATTCAACTTCTTCCTGGTTTAGTCTTGGGATGGTGTATGTGTTCAGGAATTTATTCATTTCTTATAAATTTTCTAGCTTATTTGCATGGAGCTGTTTATAGTATTATGATAGTTTTCATTTCTGTGGGGTCTGTGGTGATATCCCCTTTATCATTTTTTATTGTGTCTATTTGATTCTTCTCTCTTTTCTTCTTTATTAGTCTAGTTAGTGGTCCATCTATTTTGTTAATTTTTTCAAAAAAACAGCTCCTGGATTTATTAATTTTCTTTGAAGGATTTTTCATGCCTCTATCTTCTTCAGTTCTGCTCTGATCTTCATTATTTCCTGTCTGTTGGTAGTTTTTGGATTTGTTTCCTCTTGCTTCTGTGGCTCTTTTAATTGTGATGTCAGGGTGTCAACTTGAGATTTTTCTTTCTTTCTTATGTGGGCATTTAGTGCTATAAATTTCCCTCTTAACACTGCTTTAGCTGTGTCCCAGGGATTCTAGTACATTGTCTCTTTGTTCTAATAGGTTTCACAGAACTTCTTGATTTTTGCCTTAATTTCATTATTTACCCAGTAGTCATTCAGGAGCACATTGTTCAATTTCCACGTAGTTGTGTGGTTTTCAGTGAGTTTCTTAATCCTGAGTTCTAATTTGATTGTGCTGTTGTCTGAGAGACTGTTATGATTTCAGTTCTTTTGCAGTTGCTGAGGAGTGTTTTACTTCTAATTATGTGGTTGATTTTGGAATAAGTGCCATGTAGCACTGAGAAGAATATATATTCTGTTGATTTGGGGTGGAGAGTTCTGTAGATGTCTATTAGGTCCACTTGATCCAGAGTTGAGTTCAAGTCCAGAATATCCTTGTTAATTTTATGTCTCATTGATCTGTATAATATTGACAGTGGGGTGTTAAATTTTCCCATTATTATTGTGTGGGAGTCTAAGTCTCTTTGTAGGTCTCTAAGAACTTGTTTTATGAATCTTGGTGTATTGGGTGTATATACATTTAAGATAGTTAGCTCTTGTTGTTGAATTGATCCCTTTTCCATTACGTAATGCCCTTCTTTGTGTTTTTTGATCTTTGTTGGTTTAAAGTCTGTCTTGTCAGAGACTAGGATTGCAATCCCTGCTCTTTTTTGCTTTCCATTTCCAAATCTTCCTCCATCCCTTTATTTTGAGTCTATGTGTGTCTTTGCATGTAAGATGGGTCTCCTGAATACAGCACACTGATGGGTCTTGACTCTTTATCCAATTTGCCAGTCTGTGTCTTTTAATTGGGGCATTTAGCCCATTTACATTTAAGGTTAATATTGTTATGTGTGAATTTGATTCTGTCATCATGATGCTTTCTGGTTATTTTGCACACTAGTTGATGCAGTTTCTTCATCGTGTCATTGGCCTTTATATTTTGGTGTGTTTTTGCAGTTGCTGGTACCAGTTTTTCCTTTTCATATTTAATACTTCCTTCAGGAGCTCTTGCAAGGCAGGCCTGGTGGTGACAAAATCCCTCAGTATTTGCTTTTCTGGAGAGGATTTTATTTCTCCTCCACTTATTAAGGTTAGTCTGGCTGGATATGAAATTCTGGGTTGAAAATTCTTTTCTTTAAGAATGCTGCATATTGGCCCCCACTCTCTTCTGGCTTGTATGGTTTCTGCTGAGAGGTTCATTGTTAGTCTGATAGGCTTCTCTTTGAAGGTGACCTGACCTTCTTCTCTGGCTTCCCTTAACATCAAGGTTCTTAGCTTCTTTGCATTGGGTTAGAACATGCTCCTTTAGCTCAGTGGAGTTTGTTATTACTGACCTTCTGAAGCCTACTTCTGTCAATTTGCCCATCTCATCCTCCTTCCAGTTCTGTCCCCTTGCTGGATAGGCATTGTGAGCATTTGGAGAAGAGGCACTCTGGCCTTTTGGGTTTTCAACTTTTTTTTGTTGTTGATTCTTTCTCATCTTCATGAGTTTGTCTAGTATCCATCTTTGAGGCTGCTGGCCCTTCTATAGGGTTTTTGTGGGGACTTTTTTTGGTGCTCTTGTTGTTGCTTTCTGTTTGTTTTTCTTTCAATGGTCAGGTCCCTCTTCTTTAGGGCTGCCGCAGTTTGCTGGGGGTTCATTTCAGGCCCTATTCATCTGGTTCACTCCCGTACCTGGAGATGTCACTCGAGGAGGCTGGAGAACAGCAAAGATGGGTGCCTGCTCCTTCCTCTGGGATCTCTGACCTTGGGGGGCACCAACTGCCTCCCTTGGCTGGGGGGCTGGGGGCTCCCTTGCCCCATATGGCTCCCACATGGGCCACCACACCACACTGTTCTTCTTTCCTCTCTGTGGGTCACACCAGCCGCCTAGTCAGTTCTGATGACAGAACCTGGATACCTCGGTTGCCATTGCAGGATCCACATGCTGTTATGGTTCTTTTCGATGGGAGCCTCTGATTGCTGCTGGTTTTAGTTGGCCATCTTGGCCCCACCCCCCAATAAAGGTTTCATTCTAAGCCCCACTGCTTCAGCCTCAAGTAGCTCTATTAGTGCAAAAACAAACTATTGTACTGCAAAGTAGGGTGCAGCAGAAGGATGTGCTTGTTGCCAAGTTATTTCTATTGATAACATAGTAGTATCTATGTCATCAATAGATAATAGAGTTTGCTAATAGATATCAGTAGTGGCTAAGGGTTTGAATACCCCCAAGTAAAATTCAAAGAAATATTTTTAAAGAGGCAAAAATACATTAACAGTTTTTAACTCTTTCTTATAACAAAGCCCAGTTCATACTACTGTAAACAAATTTTAAAATCTACTTTCTCACCTCTCATTCACATTTTTTCCCAGTGATCAAACATTTTAATCACATAGAAAAGTACCAAGAGTAATATAACAAACATCCATAAATCCACCAAGGGATAATAATGAATGTTAACCTTTCATTATATTTGCTTATATTTTTTATTAAAGAATTAAAGTATTACAGTTGCTCTTGAAACCCCCTTCTTACTGCTTCTAAATTCTGTTCTGCTCCTTTGCTCCCTGGAGGCAACCACTACCTTCAAGTTGGCATGTATTCTTTCTGTCAATTACTTGAAGACAGCAAGCTGTTTCTTGCTTCAAGGCCTTTCTAAGCGCTCTTATCTCTTGCTGGTATGCTCTTCTCCACTCTCTTCACCTGGATATCACCTGTTTATCCCTCAAGCTTCAGTGGAAATGCTGCATATTCATAGAGAGCTTTCTATCCTCTCTATCCAAACTGTACTCATCCTGCTCCATCATGAATTCTAATGGCACCCTCTCATTTTATACAACAGTACCTATAACAATACTTACCTAGTTGTATGCTTATTTGTATGTGTATTGCTTGTTTATTTGTGAAGCCCAACTACACTGTAAGATTCATGGGGGCAGAGACCATGTCTGCCTCATTCACCATTGAATACATTGCACTTAACCCAGTTCCTTACACGGAGTAAGAAATAGAAAAATTTTTTAAAGGACAAATCAAAATAATCTGACAATCAATATAATCCATAATAAATTCTCAATATTTGGCTACAATCATAAACTCAGCCAATGTACTTTTACATTTCATTTGAACCTCATATGTGGCATTGTGCAAATAAATGACAACTTGAAGCATTGGGTAATTAAGACTACAAGTTATAGTACATGCCTTGTAGGAATCTAAAGCACTAAGATGTATACATGTATTTTAAATTTTATAGGTGATATAACTGTGTTCCCACAGATTTTAATGTTTTAAAAAATCTTAATTGGCAGTAATTGCACTATTTACATGTTAATGAACAACACCTGGCCCCAGCTGAGTATAAAGAGGCTGACAATGATTTTCTCTCTTCTCCCTGGCAAAGAACTAAGCATATGCAATTTTAAAGAGACCTGCCTGCCAGGAATAACACATTCATAATTGGTAGGACAATATGAAATTAGTTTGCATATTTCACCATTCTCAAAAAAATGCATAACATTTTTCATGTTTAAAAAAAGCTTTATGATTCAAAGAGGACCTTATTTCCTACACTTGGTGATTATTCACAATCATTAAATTATTCCTGTCAATGAATGTGCCAGAAACTGGCTAAATGGAAGCCCAAGTGGCCTCCTATAATAACGGCCCAGTTCCTGGCTTAATACCTTGAAAAAACTGAGTTTCCTTTGAAGTCATTCAAAATCTATAATTAAATATGTTAATTTCCTGGTTCTACTATCCTATGATATTCTAAATCACTGCAGTTTTGATTCCATTTCCCCCTACAATCCTAAAACCAATGAAAAGGTTTTCAAAAATGACTTCCAATAACAAAAATTTCTTCCACTAACAAAGAACGAAAATTCTTCTTCCTAAATTTTGTATATCATCACCTGTGAACCAACAGACATTAACAAGGACCACAAGAAGATGAAAAAATAAGAACCAAGTTCTCCAATTGTTTGTTTTCCTAGAATTATATTTTACCAATAGATATAACAAAGTTTGACACTGCTATTCTATTTCGAGATATAGACAAACCAACCAACAAGTAGTTATTGAGTGCTTGGTATCCTCAGTGTTATAAGAGGTGCTTTGTGGAGGGAATAATGGATGTACAAGTAGAAGAATTCACATAAAGATGTTTATAATATAGTTTGCAATTAAAAATACAAAAAAAAATTGCAAAATGGCATTGGTTTTTGTGACCTAGGGAGTATTTTCAATTCAGAGGAGAGAGAGTGTATTCAGGCAAGTCTTCATAAAAAACCCTGTGGAGTGAGGGTGGGAGAAAAAAATTTAGTGTCTTCCATGTGTTGGTAAATATGCTAGCTGCTTTATCTCATTTATCTTACTCAAAGTCGCACAATTACTAAGACCTAGTAAGAGCTGGGACAGGAACTCAGATATGACAATATGTGTATTGCTCTCTCAGCTACATGCTAGCCTTGAAGGATGGCAAAAACAGATAAGGTGAGAAGAATAACATGAGTAATGGGAGGAATAATTTTGAAATGTGTTGTGCTGAGGAGATTGCTGCAATAGCAAATACGTTGAGGAGTCATAGAAAATAACAACAAATAGGCATTAATAGAAGCAATATATAATAGTTCTAACCTTGAGAGCCTGGAAAAAATTTGAAATTCATAAAGTAGAAATTCAAGTCAAATGAGTTATGTGGTAAAATGGGCATACTAGTTTTTCAGAGGCTGATAAGATTTAAAAAAGTGAAAGAGGAATGAAGTATCTATGGACTAAGCCTCCAGACCTGCCCTGGCACCAGATGGGAAAGCATAGCCCTTGTGCAGTGAACTCAATGTGTGTCCCTGCTGGATATCTACAGTGGCCGTGGGCCCTGGATAAATGTCAGTGGCAAGCAGGCCTCAGCAACCATGGGGCTTCTGCTGCACCCCAGCACTGCCCCCAACTCAGCCACAGTACTACACCGACTACAGTGGTCCCTGGCATAGGGCACTCCCCTAGCACCACAACGGCCACAGCCATGCCAGGCTTAGGGACCAGGCCAGAGGGCCTGCTGGAGTCTCCGGAAGGGCTTATTATTTAAAAGCATTCCCAGGCAAAGCCAATTTAAAAAAACTGGAATAAGTAACTATTTCTTCAAATATGCAAATATCAACATATGGCCACAGAGATCAAGAACAATCAGAGAAACAAGACATTATTAGGGAGACAAAATAAAGTGCCAGTGACTGGCCATAAAAAAACAGAGATATACAAACTACCTGGCAAAGAATTCAAAAGAACTATTTTAAGGAAGCTCAGCCACATTAAAAAAATACAGATAAATAATTAAAATAAATGAGAAAAACTGTAAAGTAACCAGAATAAGAAATTTAACAAAGAGATAGAAATAATTTTTAAAGAATCAAAGATAAATCCTGGGGCTGAAAAATACAATGAAAAAAACGCAATAGAGAACATCAACAACAGAATTGATCATGCTGAAGAAATAATATGTGAACTTAGATTATTTAAGAGTATCTAGTCAAAGGAGAGAAAAAAAGAATTAAAAGGAATGAAGAATGTCAATGGGATTTATGGAACAGCATTGTAAAAGCAAATATTTGATTCATTGGATTTTAAGATGGAGAGAAGAAAGATAGAAGAGTAGAAAGCTTAGAGAAATGATAGCAGAAAAACGTCCAAACCTTGAGAAAGATGTACATCCAGGTACAGGAAAGTCAAAGGTTTCCAATCAGATTCAATCCAAATAACACTACCTCATGACATATAATCAAATTGTCAAAAATCAAAAACAGAGAGAATCCTGAAAGCAGTAAAAGAAAAGAAGCAAAGAACAAATAAGGAAGTTCCAATACACCTAGCAGCAAACTTGTTTGCAGAAACGTTACAGGCTAGGTGTGTTAGTCCACTTTTGCATTGCTATAAAGGAACACTTGAGACTCCGTAATTTATAAAGACAAGCAATTTAATTAGCTCATGGTTTTGCAGGCTCTACAGGAAGCACGGCATCAGCATCTACTTCTAGTGAGGGCCTCAGAAAGTTTACAATCATGGTAGAAGGCAAAGGGGAAGCCAGGGTATTATGTGGTGAGAGCAGGAGCAAGGGTGGGGGAGGTACCATTTTCTGTGTTAAATCTGTTCTTGCATTGCTATAAAGAAATACCTGAGGCTAGGTAATATATAAAGAAAAGAGGTTTACTTGGCTCATGGTTCTGCAAGCTGTACAGGAAGTATGGCAGCAGTATCTGCTTCTGGTGAGGGCCTCAGGAAGTTTACAATCATGGCAGAAGGCTAAGGAGGAGCTGGTGTATCACATGGTGAGAACAGAAACAAGAGAGGGCAGGGGAGGTGTCACAGTCTTTTAAACAATCAGATCTTACATGAACTCAGGGCAAGAGCTCATTCATTACCATGAGGATGGTGCTAAGTCATTCATGAGAAATATACCACCATGATCCAAATACCTTCCACCAGGCCCCACATCCAACATTGGGGATTACATTTCAACATGAGATTTGGAGGGGACAAATATCCAAATTCTATCACCAGGAGAGAGCTGTATGATATATGCAAACTGCTGAAGTAAAAGAACTGCAAGCCAGCAAGCTGTCCTTTAGTAATGAATGAGAAGTAAAGACTTTACCAGACAAATTAAAGCAGAGGGAGTTCATAACCACCAGATCTTGTTTACAAGAAATGCTAAAAACTAAAGGAAAAGAATGTCAATGAATAACATGATATCATCTGAAAGTATAAAACACACTGGTAAAAGCAAATACAGAGTCAAATTCAGAATAATCTAAAACTATAATGGTGGTGAGTAAGTCACTTATACTTTAGTATGAAGGTTAAAAGACAAAACTATTAAAATAATAGCTACAATAACCTGTTAAGTGGTATGCAATATAAAAAGATGTAAATGGTGACATTAAAAAATCAAAATGTGGGGGGAGTGCAGTAAAAGTGTAGAGTTTTTAAAAATTGTCATCAAAGTTAAGTTGTGATAAGCTTAAAATAATCTGTTATGACTGCAAGATATTTTGTAAGTATCATGGTACCCACACAGCAAAGACACACAGTAGATGCAAAAAAATACAAAGTAAGGAATCAAAATATATCACTAGAGAAAATCACTTACACACACACACACACACACACACACACACACACACACACAGAGGAAGGAAGGTACCAAAGAATCTACAAAACTACTAGAAAACAATTAACAAAATGGCAGCAGTAAGTCCTCACCTTGAATGTAAATGGATTAAATTCCTTAGTCAAAAAACAGAGTGTCTCAGTGAATAAAAAACAACATTCAGCTATATGCTGCCTACAAGAGACATATATAATCTATAAGGACACATATAGACTGAAAGTGAAGTGGTAGAAAAAGATGCTCCATGCAAATGAAAGCCAAAACAGAGCAAGAGGAGCTATAATTACATAAGATAAAATAGACGTTAAGGAAAAACTATAAAAATAGACAAAGAAGATCATTATATAAAGATAAAGGGGTCAATTTAGCAAGAGGATATAACAGTTGTACATGTATGTGTACCCAACATCAGAGCACCTAAATATAAAAGGCAAATATTAGTAGAGCTGAAGGAAGAGATAGACTGCAATACAACAATAATAGGAGACTTCAACACTCCACTTTCAGCAATGGACGGATCAACCAGGCAGAAAATCAATAAGGAAACATCAGACTTAAACTGCACTCTAGGCCAAATGGACCTAACGGACATATTTAGAACATTTCATCTGACAGAAGCAGAATGTGCATTCTTCTCAACTTCACATGGAACATTCTCCTGGATAGATATGTTAGATCATAAAACCAGTCAACAAATTTAATAAGACTGAAATCATATCAAGTATCTCTTCTGACCTCAATGGTATAAAACTAGAAATGAATATCAGAAGAGACTTTGCAAAATTCACAAATACATGGAAATCAAGCAACATGCTCTGGAATAACCAGTGGGCCAATGATGAAATTAAAAGGGCAATTTAAAATTTTCCTGAGACAAATGAAAATGGAAGCATGAAACATAGCATGCCAAAACCTACAGCATACGGCAAAATAATTTCTAAGAGGAAAGTTTATAGCAATTGATAACTACATCAAAAAAGAAGAAAGATCTCAAATAAACAGCCTAATATTGCCTTAAGGAATTGGAAAAACAAGAACAAACTAAGTCCAAAATTGGCAGAAGGAAGGGAATAATAAAGAACTAGCAGAAATAAAATAGAAATTATAAAAACAACTGAAAAGATGAATGAAACAGAGGTTTTTTTTAAAAGATAAAATCAACGAACCTTTAGCTAGACTGAGAGAAGACTCAAACGAAAATCAGACATGAAAAAGACATTACAACTAGTAACACAGAAATACAAAGTTTCATGATATGATTATGAACAATTATATGTCAACATATTGGATAGCCTAGAAGAAACGGATACACTTTTTGATACATTCAATTCAATTATTCATGAATAATGAAGTCATAGAAAATCTAAACCGACCAATAGAAAGTAAGGACATTGATTCTGTAATAAAAAGTCTCCCATCACAGAAGAACCCAGGACCTGATGGGTTCACTACAAAAATCAAACAAGGACACAGCAAAAAAGAAAACTACAGACCAATACTCCAGGTGAACACAGATGCAAAAATCCTCAATGAAATACTAGCAAACCTACTTCAAAAGCACATTGAAAATGTTATTTACCATGATCAAGGGGATTCATCACAGGAATGAAAGGATGATTCAACTTGTGCAAATCAGTTAAATTTGATACATTACATTAAGAGAATAAAGGACAAAAACATATGATAATTTCAATAAAAGCAGAAAAAGCATTTGGCACATCCTTTCATGATAAACAATTTCAACAAATTAGGGATAGAAGGAAAGTACCTGTATTAATCCTCACGCTGCTATAAAGACATACCTGAAACTGAGTAATTTATAAAGTAAAGAGGCTTAGAGGCTTAATCGACTCTGAGTTCTGCATGGCTGGGATGGCCTCAATAAACTTACAATCATGGTAGAAGGTGAAGGGGAAGCAAGGCATATCTTACATGACAGCAGGAGAGAGAGAGAGAGAGAGAGAGAGAGAGAGAGAGAAGCAGGAAGCACCAGACACTTATCAAAATGACCAGATATTGTGAGAACTCTATCACAAGAACAGCAAAGGAGAAGTCTGCCCCCATGACCCAATCATTTCCCACCAGACCACTGCCCCAACATGTGGGGATTACAATTCGAAATGAGATTTGGGTGGGGACACACAGCCAAACCATTTCAGTACCTCAACAGAAGAAAGACCATATATGACAAACTCACCTTTACATCATACTCAATGCAGAAAAATTGAAATATCTTCCTATGAGATCTGGAAGAAGACAGGGATGCCCACTCTCATCTCTTCTATTCAACATAGTACTGAAAATTCTATCCAGAATAATTAGACAGTAGAAATAAATAAAAGGCATCCAAATTGAAAACAAAGAAGTTATGTTGTTCCTGTTTGTAGACATGATCTTATATATAGAAAATCCTAAAGCCACCACCTAAAAGCTGTTAGAACAAATAAAGGAATTCAGTAAAGTTGCAGGATAAAAAATCAACATACACAAATCAGTAGTGTTTCTCCAACTTAATGAGTTATCTGAAAGAGAAAGAAAAACAATCCTGTCTACAATAGTTACAAAAAAATACTTAGAAATAAATTTAACCAAGGAGGTGAAAGATCTCCACAATGAAAACTATAAAACCTTGATGAAAGAAATGGAAGACACAAACAAATGGAAAGATAGCCTGTGTCCATGGATTCAAAGACTTAATACTTTAAAATGTTTATTCTACCCAATGCGATATACAGATCCAATATAATTCCTACCAAAATACTAATGACATTCTTTACAGAAATAGAAAAAAAATTCTAAAATGTATATGGAATCACAAAAGACCCCAATTAGTCAAAGCAATCTTGAGCAAAATGAACAAAACTGGAGTCATCACCCTACTTGACTTCAAAATATATTACAAAGTTACAGTAACCAAAACAGCTCAGCACCAGCAATTTCAAAAAGACACATAGACTAACATAACAGAATAGAGAGCCCAGAAATAAACCCATGGATTTATAGCCAAATGATTTTTGACAAAGGCAACAAGGGCACACAACGGGGAAAAGACAATCTCTTCAATAAAGTTGTTAAGAAATCTGGTATCCACATGCAGAGGAATGAAATTAGGGCCTTACCTCATACCATATAGGGAAATAAATTCAAAGTGGATAAACTATAAAATGACCAGGATAAAACACAGGGAAAAATCTCCATAATATTGGCTTGGGCAATGATTTGACCTCAAAAGCACAGGCAATCAAAGCAATAATAGAAAAATGAGATTACATCAAACTAAAAAGCTTCTGCATAGCAAAGGAACCAATCAACAGAATGAATATACAACCTATAGAATGGGAGAAAATATTTGCAAATTATAGATCTGATAAGGGGTTAATATCTAAAATATCTAAGAAACACAAACAACTCAATAGCAAGAAAACAAATTACCTGATTAAAAAATTGGCAAAAGGTCTGAATCAGTGTTTCTCAAAAAGTCACACAAATGGCCAACAAGTATATAGCAAGATGCTGAACATCACTAATCATCAGGGAAATGCAAATTAAAACCACAATGAGATATCACCTCACTCCTGTTATGATGGCTATTATAAAAAAAGACAAAAGATAACGAGTGTTGGCAAGGACGTGGAGAAAAGAAAACCCTGACAAACTATTGGTGTGAATGCAAATTAGTACAGTCATTATGAAAACCAGTATGGAGATTTCTCAAAAAATTAAAAATAAGACTGTCATATAATCCAGCAATCCCACTATGGGGTATATATCCAAGGGAAATAAAATCAGTATGGCAAAGAGATATCTACACTCCCATGTTCATTGCAGCACTATTCACAATAGTCAAGATATGAAATCAACCTAAGCGTACACTAACAGATGAATTGATAAAGAAAATGTGGCATATATACACAATAGAATACAATTAAGCCATGAAAAAGGAAATCCTGTCATTTGAGACAACATGGATGAGCCTGCAGGACATTATGTTAAACGAAATGTGTGGAATCTAAAAAAGTTGATCTCATAGAAGTAGAGAGTATAATAGAATGAAGACTACCAAAGTCTGTGAGGTTGAGAATGGTTTTTCCAGAAGTGAAAATTGTATTTTCTGAGCAGATGTTGGTCAAAGGATAAAAACTTACAGTTAGATAGGAGGAATAAGTTCAAGAGATCTATTATGAAGCATGGTGATTACAGTTAATGACAGTATCTTGTATTCTTGAAAAATGCTAAGAGAATGGATATGGTGTTTTTACCACAAAAATGATGACTATGTGGGGTAATGCATATGTTAACTAGCTAGATTTAGCCATTCCACAATGTGTATATCCTTCAAAATCTCATGTTGTACATGATAAATATAATTTTGTCTGTCAATTTGAAAATAAATGAATAATAAAAATTTGAACAAGCTAAAATAAGATAGCATTTAATGTATCATTATGAATAATTTGTTAAAATATTGATATGTGTCAGGAAAGAAAAGAAACAAGTAATCTCAATTATTGCTAAATATGAAGATTTATTTTACATTCCTATAGATCCATGCAACTCTAACGTCTATCTAGCAAATGTCATGAATTTGTCAGTATGATTAGTGATAGTATCATTATCACAAAACTTGATAACTTTTTATAAATCACTTTTGGGAAAAGACTTTCAAATTGTTTCTACAAATCAGAAACAGAGATCACAATAAAAAAAATGCTGAAGGACTTCATTGATCCTTCTTATTCTATTTTTACCTTTATATGAATAGACTGTGGTAACAAGGAAAAATGTTTTTCCTTCCTCATATGCCAGTTTTCCAAGTATACAATGAGCACATATATAAAATCATCTTTAGAATTAAAAAATGTAAATTAAAAATGGAAATACATGATGTAAGAAAGTAGTTTGGATTAAAATAAGTAAAACCACTAGAACTTTCTCAACTACAGCCCAAATGAGCCAGCCAATTTAGAAATTCTTAAAAATAGAACTTTTTTTTCTTTAGATTTCTTGATTAACAGGTATAGCTTGCTTTTTCCAGGAGGGGCATTTTTAAATTACATGGAACATTTAAAAAAACAATTATACACACTCACACATACCCACAGAAATGATAAAAGACAAATAACAAA
The DNA here is from genome assembly GCF_000001405.40 of Homo sapiens. Lineage (NCBI taxonomy): Eukaryota > Metazoa > Chordata > Mammalia > Primates > Hominidae > Homo > Homo sapiens. Next base: position 124,813,028 of record NC_000023.11, read on the forward strand.
CTGGGAAAAGTCTTTGTAAATCAAATCCCAAATAAATGACTACTACTTTACTTAATATATAAATAGTATCTACAAATCAATAATAAAAGACCAACAATCCAACATAGTAAGCAATCTGAATGATTTACAGAAAATGTAATATTACTGACTTTTGAACATATGAAAAATGGCTGCCTCTCCTTCATAATAAAATAAATGCAAAATAAAAATACAGCAATATTGGATTTAGTGTTTATCAGATGGGCAGGATTAAAAAGTTTGATAACACCTTATGTTTACAAGTATTTGAAGAAACAAGTACTCTCACAAACTGATAATGGGAATTCCAATTTATCAAACTTCTATGGAGGGCAATTTGACAATATTTGTCCAATATCATTAATATTTATCAAAATAAAAAATGCACAGATACCTAGGAAGAAATTCCACTTCTAGTAATTTACATGTGTAAAGGCACACACATAAATATATTAACTACAGTATGTTTTTGTAATAACAAATCAATGAAGCCAACTTAAATTTCCATTGAGAAGTACTGGTTAAATACATTATAGTACAGTTGTGCAACTGGAAACTCAGCAGCTGTTAAGTGACAAAATGCAAGATGTTGAATAGTGAATACAGTTTGCTTCTATTTGGGCAGAAAAGAGGCAAATATCTGCATATGTGATTGTATATTTACAGAATATCTCTCTAAAGGTACTTTAGAAACCGGAGGGAGTGGTGGCTTTCAGAGAAACTGGGGTGAGGGAGATATTTGCCTTTACTGCATGCCCTCTACATTAGGTTGAACTATAAAAAAATGCCAATATGCAACTTTTTTGACATAAAAAAGCAGCAATTCCATATGGTTCAAAAAATACCAGAATAATTTCTACCACGTGCATGTGCTACCTATTACAAAAAAAAAGAAGTGTCTTAATGAAAGCTGCATTGCATGAGAATGATTTTATTATTTCTTAACAGAATTAGTATAGTGTCATCAAATGAATTTAAGACCTAGTCAATTGTATAGATGGCTGAAGGATAGAATGGCCAAGAGGGAGACAGCATAGTTTACCTTTTGGGAGGCAGTTGTAGTGCAGAAGTTAACAGCTTCATTTCTAGAGTCAGGCTGCCTAGGTCTGAATCCTTGCTATGTGACCTTGGACATGCTAAATAACTATACCCCAGTTTCATCTGCACAATGAAGATAGTGCCTAACTTACTAGGCTATGTTAGGACAAAATAGACATAATGGATAATGTGTTTGGAACAATGCCTGATACAGAGTGCTCCATGAGTGTTAACTGCTGTTATCGTCATCACCATTATTATTGCTATTGTTTATTATTATTAACATGGCTTATTCACTTCTTAGGGGTTCAAACTCATTTTCACACTTTTGTTCTCTCATTTTCCTTACAGTAGCCCACTACAACTGTGCTTGTTTTGGGTCTGATTGTCCTCAGATCCATGTCCTTAGATCATATTTCTCCTTCTCTGCTCCTTATCCTAGCTCCCCATTCCAAGGTTTCCATATCAGCTGACTCTTCCCTTGTCCCTCCACCCTAGATGCATTGGTGTTGCTCCCTGTTGTTGCTTATAGTTAGGTGGCTGCAATGTCCCATATTCAGCTTCTCAGTTCTTCCATGGCCTGCGTAACCAAGTTCCATTAGTCTCCCTGTTTTAATTTATATTTCCACTTTCCTGGTTAGACCTTTACTGATAGAGTAGGGTAAACACAAAGGGGTGTGATAAAGGAAAAGGGAGGGGCAGGATATGATTGGCCAGGAATAATTCCAGTTCCTGACCTGCCTTATTTAACAGCCCTTTGGGTATAAGCTAAAGCTGAAAGTAGCCTCCAATGCCAGGTTTGTGGTAACTAAGTCCTAACAGTATTTAACATTTTCACTAAATCAAACAAACAAGTTATTTCTGTCTAGATGGTGTATATCCAATGTTTTCATCAGTAAATGCTGCAAACTATTAATTTAAAGTTTAGAGTTGGCCTAAACAGTACTGAAAGCAAATGTAAGCATCAGTAGTAATGCATAATCAATTGCATGTATTTATGACTGTTCCCTCATTATTTCCTAATGAGGAGTTCAAGAGGCTATGCATGGCTGTGGATAGCTGGTAGGCTACTGCATCAATATCTTGGGTCTGTCAGAGTCAGCTCAGGGTTTTAGAAATGCTTATTTATATACTTCATGAAACCAATGTGCATAAAATAAAAGGTTTATTCTCTATTTATCCTCTATCAAATTATATGCTGTAGCTCAATTGCAAACATATTATAAAACAAAACAATGGAAGTCATAGTGTTCTTCAGCATCCAAAAGACAATTTTCAGTTTTATGGAATAAAACATTGCATTAAAGAAGCTTACCTAAAACCAAGACACAACTGACTTGCTCTGCTAAAACTAGGGAGTTTTTTTCCAACATTGATTTCATTATACAACAAATTTTAATGTTCTAATTGGGACTTTCTAAAACACTAGACAATATTAAATTTTAAATAACGATTGTCCTTTGAAATAGTTGCCAGAAAAATTATGGGCAGAAGCAAAACAGATTCTATTTTTTTCTTTAAAATACCCTCAGTATGTATACAGCATTTCATATTTTAGAGTCAATTTTCAATAATAACAGAATCTCTGTTCATTAAAAAAGAGTACTTTAGTTGAATAAAGAAAAAAAATTAAACACTGTACTCTAGAAAATAAAGCTGATTTAAAACATTGCGAATGGTTCAGTGAAACAGAATTATTGAATGAAACAATCTGAAGAGACTCTGTAAATATTTATTTAAATATTAGATAGAATAGAAAGACTTCTATGCAACAAAATAAGGTAAAATAGCTGAGAGAAGGATTCCTCTGTATGAAAAATGGTATTTGTTTCCAATTTTAAGCAGTTTTAAAGAAAGTTTCTTTAGGGGTTAAGTAGATTTGGAAGTAAGTAAAAGAATTTTAAAATATTGTAAAAGTGTGTTGATGAAAAAGAATTGGGTTTGAAGTTTGAAAATGAATAGAAAACGTTTGTGTTTCTTCTTGAATATTTTGGAAATTATTTGATTTGTGAATATATTCAAGAGATGATCACAAAGATAATCATATAGCTGCCATAAAGACAAAATCAATCATTGGGCATAAAATGGTAGTTATATCAGCATCACTGGGAAGAAAGGAGATGATAAAATAGGTGTTGATAAAACAAAATACACAAAATAAACTTTTCTCAGACCAATTTGCAAAAAAAGTTTGTAAGAACTACAGATCATTAAAAAATAAATGCATAATATGTATGAATGCATGTATGTGTATATGAATGCATGCATTTGTGTGTGTACTCACACCATATTCAAAGTATACAATAGTTCAACATAGGCTAATAAAATATCTTTAAGCACTTGCTTTTGGAAATACAGAAGAATGACTCATAATTTGCATGTTATTTATATGTAAATGAGTGCTTATAAAGTGTTTGAAAACACTTTAGTTTCTCTCAAACATTTTATACTCTCTGGCATCTTATTTCATGTCTGAATTTGCTTATCAATCCACAGCTTAAACAGAACAAGGAGATGCAGCCCAGCCACTGTACTCATAATCATAAATAATTAATGGTTTCAGAATTAATACATTTTCCTGTAGAAAACTTATAAAATGGACCATTTGCTCTAAGATTCAAAAAAATTACCTTAGATTAGTATTTTATCATTGTCATTTTCTACAAATGGAACAAAGTACCTTTCTAATTAATCATTTGTATACATTCCATATAAAATCTGCCATTTTCCTCTTTTTATTTTTATTATTATTTTTAATAATAGCTTAATTTATTTTTTCAAACAATGTTCCTATTTCTTTTTTTAAAATTTAAAAAAAATTATACTTTAAGTTCTGGGGTGCATGTGCAGAACATGCAGTTTTGTTACATAGGTATATACGTGCCATGGTGGTTTGCTGCACCCATCAACCTGTCATCTACATTAGGTATTTCTTCTAATGTTATTCCTCCCCTAGCCTCCCAACCCCCAACAGGCCCCAATGTGTGATGTTCCCCTCCCTGTGTCCATGTGTTCTCATTGTTCAACTCCCACTTATGAGTGAGAACATGCGGTGTTTGGCTTTCTGTACTTGTGATAGTTTGCTGAGAATCATGGTTTCCAGCTTCATCCATGTCCCTGCAAAGGACATGAACTCATCATTTTTTATGGCTGCATAGTATTCCATGGTGTATATGCGCTACATTTTCTTTATCCAGTCTATTATTGATGGACATTTGGGTTGGTTCCAAGTCTTTGCTATTGTGAATAGTGCCACAATAAACATACGTGTGCATGTGTCTTTATAGTAAAATTAAAATTTGCCATTTTCAAACAATATTCTTTTACTTGTGCATCATATTTCATGTATTCCTGAAGCAAGTTATATATTTTTAAGTTGCCTTCAGACCCTATATCCTGGGATTCTCACAGTAGTGGCAGCAGCTATGTCAGAGGACCCTTACATACAGGACCTTATTCAATCGCCATAGGAAATCTTATACTAAGTGGTTTTACCTCCATTTCACAGGAGAGGAAACTAAGGCTCTGAGATGTTAAGAAACTTGCCCAAATTACACAGCAGTTAAATGACAGAACAAAGATTCTAATGCAGTCATTTCCTGCTTCAAAGCCTTCGCTTTCTCCACTATGCTCTATTTACTGGCTCTCCATAAAATATGTACAAGGGAATGAGAGAGTTGGCAGAGGAAAACAAGATAATATTAAAGCTTCAACAACATAATCCCACCCATACCCCCAGGAAAGAAGAAAAGAAAAGAAAAACAACTTCTAGAGAATGTTATGGCATTATTTATACATTTAGTCTAATGTATTATATTACACATTTTCTGTTTAAGATACTGCATAAAACAATTGATGCTTGGAGTTTCATCTGGGGCCCTGAGAAAATCTTCAATCAGCTATCCTAAAATTCAAGAATGTCTTCTAGATTCTATTTACTGAGGCAGGGCTGTCACTGATTTTTTTTTTTAATTGCAATTAAAAGGATTAAAATTTAAAAAATTGAAATGTAACGCTCTGTTAACCAGAAAATTCAATTAATTAGTATACTTCATTTCCTGAAAACTGATATTAGTGAAAGCTTTATTTAGCTTGGCTCTTTCACAGATTTGTACTGAATGTGATAATGCATGTAAAGAGCTTAGAGCACTGCCTGACTCATCAGTTTGTCAAACTGTTTTCCGTAACTGTTGTTCACTGGTTCATGTAACAAAAGTTTACTAAATGCCTACTATGTTCCAGGCAAAATGCTATGTGCTGGAGATAGAGTGGTATATAAAACAACATTCCTGCCCTTGCGAAATTTATCTTTTGGAGGTATAAATGTGAGGCGGTAATGCGGTTGCTATTTTATTGTTATTTTCAAAATCATTATCATTGTCATCATAATTATTTCTCAATAAACCAATGTCCAAGGATACACCATCTCTGAACTTAATACCATGGCTATATATATCTTCTCTCACTATTAGGAAAATCTATTATATGGCAGGACATACACTCTTTATAATTCTCCTTTAGAGAAGTTGTCTCTCTTAATCTCTAAAGCACCTGAAAGGATACCTGAAAGGATAGTGAACTAGGATTTTCTTGAGATTACAGAACAGGTTACATGAACTGTTTTATGTACTGAAATGCTAATAAATGTTTAAATAATAAACATTTGTGGTAGGATTTGGTTTGAGATTTTCTTTGACTATAACCCCATAGTGAGATTTTGGAGAGAGTCACCCTCAACCACCGTAAGACTTCTTTGGAGGTTACCATTATTTATCAAAAAGAACCTAAGCATTCTGCATGATAAAATTGGTTCAGGTCAGTACACAACAGAAAGCTGTTGGGTTGTGTAACATTAAACATTAAAAACAAACTAAACAATTTGCCTAAGAGCAAGCATAGTAAACCCAGAGTAAGGTTATTGCAAGGGTATGCACCCCAGGCCAATGTCAGGCAAAATAAGACAATGATGACATGATTCTGGGGAGAAAATATAAATTTCATATAATCCAACAAAGATTTAAAAGTTCAACCACAAATTTCAGTGTAATTTAAATTGACTATGTGTTATTATTGACAGCAAAATCAAGAATGGCTAGCATGAAAATAATTATTGAAATTCATCTGAATTTCAAACCATCTGGGTGCTTGAATAAGTCCTAAATTTAAAAATATTTTCATTGCACAGTCTTATGAACCAAGTCACTTAAAATAAGAGGAAGAACAGAAAGAAGGTACAAGAAATTAGTGAGTTTCTATTGCACCTTAAAAATTCCAAAGTGATTTTACCCCATGAAGTGACTGTCCTCATTGATTAAATGAGAAAACTTATGTGGGAGAGGTTTAGTGACTTGGCCTATCATTGGCAGAGTATAGACCAGAATCTAGAATTGGCACTAGATCATACGGTCTCAGTGGTGTGACATCTACAGTCTTAAACTCTAATTATTTCTTTACTACAAAATTGTGCAAATCAAACTTTACCAATAGTGGCTCTTCCTCAGGCAAGAGGCAAGAGAACATACGGCGTGAGAGGGTGGGGGAAACTGTTTCTGGCCTACATAATTGTAGGAAACTTCCCTTCTTTAGCTACTGCTAATCTTAGCCCTCTCTCACTCATCAGCACCACGAAATTGTCAAGCTCCAAGATTTTTAATTAATCTGAATGATACTGGGCTATATGACTTTAAAATATTCCAGTAACATTTCCTTTCCTTTCCTTTTTTTTTTTTGGAGACAGAATCTCCCTCTGTTTCCCTGGTTGGAGCGCAGTGGCATGATCTGGGCTCGCTGCAACCTCTGCCTCCTGGGTTCAAGTGATTCTCATGCCCCAGCCTCCCTAGTAGCTGGGATCATAGGTGTGTACCATCACGCCAGGCTAATCTTAGTAGAGACAGGGTTTCACCATGTTGGCCAGGCTGGTCTAGAACTCCTGACCTCAAGTGATCCACCTACCTCGGCCTCCCAAAGCGCTGGGTGCTGGGATTACAGGAGTGAGCTGCCCCGCCTGGCTCTGTTCCCTTTTCACGTATGGGTCAATGTGTTTTTGTCCTAGTATTTTGCCTTAATTTCAGTTCTCCAACATGCAGCCCATCATTTTCATTTCAATTCTTCCCGGTCTCAGACAACCCATTTTGCTTCCTTACTGGCTTTTACTTACACTTTTCAGTAAGTCATACATTACTTTCATGTCTTTCCTTATACAGTTTTATCTTACCTAAAGTGAAAGAAATCCTTCCTCCCAGCCGCCCCCCCACCACAGATCTTCCATTTTTATTCATTTCATTTGGGTTCTCTCCAATTCAACTGATGAGTAGAGACAGACATGAAAATAGCATCCAATTTAGATCTTCTGGGGATTTTTAGTGAGCAAGTGGGATCTCACATTTTACCAAGAATCACAAAGTCCCAGCATTAGAAGGGTCCTTGAAGTTCATTGAATGCAATCACTCAAAAATCTTATGTAATCTTTGTCCATTAAGGCTTGTCATCAGTGAGAATGTGAACTCCTCACACTTGTACTGTTTAGTCTCAGTACTCTGCATTCTCTCAATGTAAGTAAGCATTTTATACTATGTATATGGTTACATAGTTCAAATAATCACATAATCTGTTAGGGGCCATAATCCACTTAATTGAACTCCCTCATAGTGCAGGTGGGTAAACTAAGGCCTAGAGAGAAGAAGAAACCTACTCAGGGTCACATATTCAGTTGGTGATATCCTTCCTGAGAACCAGATCTTCTGCCTTGCAGGCCAGTTCTTGCCTTCTGATGTAACCTACACTTAACATATTGCCTTACCAGTATTGCTTCCCCTTTTGTTAAGTACATGTTGTCTTCTATTAGATGAAGGCAAAGGTTAACCAAAGGCTGAGCTCAATCTCCCTTCTTTACGTAACCCTCCACAGCATCTACCACAAGATCTGGGACAGAGCAGTACTTTAGAAAATTTCATAAATATGCTCTTATTTCCTTCTCCTAATTTTCAAATTTCTCAACACATTAAGATAAAACAGACTTACCAATGACTTACTAAATACTTCCCTTGTCATTTATCAATATCTTGTACTTATCATTTAGTTGACTATCTCACTAACTCCAAGACTGAATTAGCATTGCAATTAAGATTCCATAAGACAGGTGATCACTACAGAGAGGTGGCTTGTCCTTCCATTTCTGAGTCACAAATAAATCACTATGTTAACAGGATAGAGAATGAAAAGTTGCTTAAAAATAGACATTTCTTCCAAGCACTCAAAATCCCCAATTGGTACAATTCCTGAGCTTGGGTAAGATGATATGGCACTTCAGATTACCATGAAAAATTAGAACGATTAGAAAAAATACACATCATGAAAGCTATACTCTTCCCATGATATTATTACCCATGTAATTTTCTACAAAATAGTTCATGAAAAGAGAACTATTATTTGAAATGTTGAAATGAACTTGCTGAAGAGGTTTTCTTCTGGCAAATGACTCTTTAAAAGCAAAAGAGAAGAATTTAGTATAGAATAAAACCGTTCAACCAATCTTCCCTTGACACTCTATTGTGAGAAATATTCTTCAGAAGAGCAGAGAATTCAGTGCAGGTGGAAGCACTGGTTCTGTAATTCACACTTTTATCACCCATTTCTTCACAGCCTAGGTCACTTAAGGACAAATATATGAACTTTAAGAAGCTAAGAGAGTTTTACTCAGTGATAGCTTTAGCTAGGCTTTGGGAATGGTTTGAATTCTATTCCATGGGAATAGTGACAAGAATATCTTGGGCTTAAGCCACTTGTACAGTAGAAAATTCACTGTTTGGGGAGATGAACTAGCCATCACAGATTACTAGGGTACAATTATGGCCTGATGATAGTAACAAATTGTTCAAGAATGATAATAATAATAGCTGGGGCAGAGACTATTAGCTATCCACCAAAATCTGTTTTCTTTTTCTTCCTTGGTAATGGAGTTATAGAAATCACATGACTGCTCAGCCAGAGAACACACTTTCCAGCCCCAGTTCAGGTAGGCAACTACGTGCTCACCAATGGAAGCCTTAACACATCACAAGTATACTCCTAACACTTTTTCCCCTTTCTCCTTGCTAGAATTAGGATGTGGTAGGAATCGTTTCAAATACTCAGATGATAACAATGGTTTTAGAGGATGATGGAAGAACATGAAGAGATGAATCCTGGTCCCTGCATAGTGACAGACTGTGTGCAGCAGTGTCTGCTCACACCTCATGGACTGTTACATGAAACAATCTTTGTTGTGTCATTTCGTTACAGCAACTAAGCTTTTTACTCTAACAAATGTAGCTAATGCTTATTATATACCAGAGACTGTTTAAAGAGTTTATTACATGTGTCTGTTGCATCCATTCACTTGTGCCAAAGTACTCCTTGTACTGTAGGTCATAACTGAAATGGAACTTCTCCACAAATCCTTTCCAATTTACCTTCAAGCTTCCACTGCACTTGAACTTATTTGCCCCTTTCTCAAAGGACTTCTGATTTTCTAACCTCATATTATAAGCCCTGTTTTTATATATCTTATTTCTTCTAGCAGAGCAAGCTTCCAGAGAGTAAGTTCATATCTTATTCTCCTGTGTAACCTGTAAAGTGCTGGTACTGTGCCTCTCTCAAGAAGTGCTTATTGACCGAGCGAAGGACTGGGACATTTGAGCTTCATGCTGTTTGTCTATAATCCAGTGTTGCAGCTGAATAAGCCTGGAGCAAGCACACATTTGTCATGGGCAACAGAAGCAGAAAAGAATCTAGGACCCAGAATCGGTAACAGGTTGAATGCAAAAAACTTTTACCTACAATCCTGCTATCTTATGTCTTATGTTTCCAGAATTTCATAGTAACCAAGAAGATATAGGAAAGTAATGGATGATAGCTGAAGAGCTTACATTCTACTTATGACCAAGTCCTAACTGGGTTGTGGGAAAACGCTCATTGGTAACAACTTTTGTCCTCTTGCAAAGTCTTGCTAGAGTCAAATGCTAATAGGCTAAGTACTATTTTGAGTCTAACACCTACACTGTTATACTAAGCTGCTTGCTTTTCTTTTACTTGTCTTCATATCTCACAACTATTCCTATAATATGGTAGACATCTACATGTTATATTTGGTACTAAAGGGCAATAGGCATTGGTAAAAACGGAAATTCAAGTGAAATTTTCAGAGAAATTAATTAGACGGATGTGTTATAACAGAGTCTGGCATGAGGCAGTGATCATTTGAGCTAAAGCTGATCCTCAAATAAATTATGTAGAAACAAATAAATATACTGACAAATTTGCACATGGGATCTTGGGCTGGGATTTATTATTATTTTTTGCATATCATTCTAAATCAATGTAAAATAGGAAAATTGGAGCAAAGCAGACTACTTAAGTTTTTTTGTCTTTGTGTTTTGATATATCATTATCATTAACATTTCTTAATTCCTTTTGCCCGGCAAAGGAGAAAATTAAAATACAGAAGTCGAAATACTAAAAAGTAGCTTTTAACTATGGACCCCAAAAGAGTAGTATGTGAGTATACTACTCTTATAGATTTAGTTTTTCCTCGTGAAAAAAATTTAAAATTTACAAAAGTAATATAGGTTTCACACACAAATTTAGAAACAATATTAAAATGCTATACTAAAGATAAAATTTAGAAACAATATTAAAATGCTATACTAAAGATAAAATTCTGTAATGAATGAAAAAAAATCTTGTCATCCAGAGGTAACAATCATAAGCAATCATAATCATAACAATTGAGTGGATATTCTTCTCATTGATTTAAAACATAACTATGTTTTTCAAGAAATTATGATCATCACATAGATACTGTTTTATTACCAGCTTTTTTCCACTTAACATATCATGAAAAACACCCCATGCCAGTTTTCTAAAGCATTTCAGCTAATACTGCATAATGCTGTATGGTATAGGTACACCATGATTTATTTAACCAGACCTACATTATAGGACTTCCTTCCTTTCTTTATTTGTCTTCATGCCTTCACATTTATTTCATTTACATTTAACTGCACAAAATGTTAGGGTGAAATAGTTATCAATATTTAATAAAATATTTTATGAGGAATTTGCTTTTTTGACAAAATTTTTCCTAAAAACTTTTAAGAGAAAATTGCAAACTCCAAACTGAAATCAGTTTGATTAACTGTCTGGTGACAGGAAAGGAAAAAAAGAAAAATAATTGCTGTTTATTTAACTCAGCTGATTAATGGTAAATGAAGCAAATGTCATGGATCTGTCAGCATCTATTTTTCTTAACTGCTCTATTCACTTTACACATTTTCTTTATGCACTTCATAGACAGCCACAAAAAGACAACACTAAGTGTGGTTAGTAGCCACCTGATGGAAGGAAGAACCAAACAGCTTAAGTAAAAGAAGGAGTGCCACATACATGCCTGTACTCAGGCAGTCTGCGATGAAAAGTGTGCTATACCTAATTCCCAATAATTTTATGATCTTTGCATCCAGCTTGAGAGGTAATAACATTTTCCATTTTACAGATTAAAACACATTTAGTTTCCAAGATGTTAAACTGTCTAAGATCATATAGCTGGTAAAAGGCAGCAGCAAAATTGGAATCATGAGTGTTTGGCTTCAAAATCTAACCACTCTTAACCACTGCAAAGTTGTTCTTACCATGTCCAGATAAAATCAGAGGAGGATATCATTTTGAATATTAAAAACACAATCCATATACTGTGTAGTACTACTAATGTGCAATATTACTTCTTACCTTTTCACACTTTAATGTCAGATTCATGTTCCTCTTTAGGGTGGGATGTTGGCCAACTTGAGGATTTCCAGAAATAAATTAACCCCACATCCTAAATCTTGCCTTACCAAAAATAAAATTTTAAAAAGGACAGAGATTTCTTCCTCATTACACAAAGGTAACTTACACTGAAGTAAAAATGATGAAATGGGAACGTGACGAGACACAGGAAAGTAAGGAAAATAACATTATCTTATATATTGATTTTGGATTGTATGATATTCTATTAGTAGAAATCAACAAATTTCTTTTTCATACATAAGCTGACTTTCTTTTTTTTTTTTTTTTTTTTTTTTGACGGAGTCTCACTTTGTCACCCAGGCTAGAGTGCAGTGGTAAGATCTGCAACCTCCGCCTCCCGGGTTCCAGTGATTCTCCCACCTCAGCACCCCAAGTAGCTGGGATTACAGGCGCCCAGCACCACTCCCAGTTATTTTATATATATAATATATATATTTAGTAGAGACAGGGTTTCATCATGTTGGCCAAGCTGGTCTTGAACTCCTGACCTCAAGTGATCCACCCGCTTCAGTCTCCCAAAGTGCTGGGATTACAGGCTGGAGCCATCGTGCCCAGCTTCTTTGTCTCCTTTTAGGTGGAAAACTGGATAGGACATATCAATTTCAAAAGATGTAAACAATTCAGATATGCTACTTCTGCACATTTTAAGTTTTAATCCTGTGGGCTATAATATCCATGATTGAAAATAAAGAAAAGAAGCAAGCATTAATTATGCAAATGTTTTTCCTTTTGATTCTTTCTAATCCCCAATTAACCACTCTTTGCATTTAACTTATATATGTTTGCATAATATACTTTAAAAATATTATTTCAAACATGCATCGATACTTAATAGGTGATTCTTACTGTAAAGAAAGGGCCTTGTCTCCTTCAGAAGGGCCTGTGGTGTAGGATGTAGCCGTCAGGTGTGCCATTGAGTTTACATTAGTTTGAAAATTATTCAAAGAAAGAAATGGTAATTATGCTCACCAAATTAACACAGTTAAAAAAATAAAATTCAGTGCTGGTGAAAGTGAGTAATAGGTCCTCTCATACACTATCGGTTGTAACATAATTTAGTTAAGTTTTTCTGTAAATTAATTTGAAACCATATAGCAGAAAATTTTTAAATGTCTATTCTGTCTGACCTATTATTTTACTGCTGGAAGCTCTACTGCTGAAATAATTTGAAATGTAGGCAAAGATACATGCAAGAAGTGCTCAATGTAGAATTATTTAGAGCCTGGGCACAGTGGCTCAAAACTGTAATCCCAGCACTTTGGGAGGCCTAGGTGGGCAGATCGCTTGAACCCAGGAGTTCGAGACCAGCCTGAGCAACATGGAGAAACCCGTCTCTATTAAAAATTGAAAAATTAGCCTGGCGTGTTGGCAGACACCTGTATTTCTAGCTACTCAAGAGGCTGAGGTGAGAAAATCACCTGAGCCAGGGATATCAAGGCTATAGTGAGCTGTGATGGTGCCACTGCAATCTAGCCTGGGTAACAGAGTGAGACCCTGTCTCAAAAAAAAAAAAAAATTATTTAGAGTGCCAAAAAATTGAAGACACCCTAAATATCCACTGTTAGGGGAATATTTAAGTAAATTATGAGCCATAATAGAGTCATTAAAATGATTTCCAAAAAATTATTTACAGATGTTAGAACTTACATGTGGCAAGTGTTAAACGAAAGGCAAGATGTAACATTACATAAATAATATGATCCAAATTATGTAAAAAATTCAGAAATCTGCAAGCAAATAAGCCAAAATGTTAGCAGTTGTTCTTTCTGGGTTGTGACAGAATAGTTTCCCCCCTTGCATTTTTATATTTTTCTGTACTTTTGAAATGCACTTGTCTGTACTTTCTACATTTTCTAAAATGATCATCTATTTTCTCAAAAATTAGGAAAAATAACATTTAAAAATGACTTGACATCAACAGTTTAGAATCTGAGTTTTATTAACAGGACCAATATTTGGGAAGGTCACACTTTTTGCTCACTTCCTCATCCCTTGGTTGTTTCTTCCATTACTGGTGTTTAAAAAAAAATGTTTCTAATAGCAAAAATGAGTCAGTTCTCTCCAAATTACAGATTCTTTGCAAGAGTAAAGCAAGCCAAGAAAGATGAACTTGCTAAAACTTTTAGGCAGGTTTTTAAATTTTTGTTTGTTTGTTTTTTCTGAGACAGAGTCTTGCTCTGTTGCCCAGGCTGGAGTGCAGTGGCGCGATCTCAGCTCACTGCAGCCTCCGCCTCCCTGGTTCAAGCAATTCTCCTGCCTCAGCCTCCTGAGTAGCTGGGATTACAGGAGTGCACCACTACACCTGGCTAATTTTTGTATTTTTAGTAGAGACGGGGTTTCACCATGTTGGCCAGGCTGGTCTCGAACTCCTGACCTCATGATCTGCCCGCCTCGGCTTCCCAAAGTGCTGGGATTACAGGCATGAGTCACTGCGCCCAGTTGGTTTTTAAAATTTTTTATCAAGCCTACCTGGATTACTTTCACTTTTCTAGCTGAGACATTTGCAGGTACTCAATAAGGAAGTGTAAATACTGCTCAAGCAGCCCCACAACAAAGGGGCTTCTCATGCTAAACCTGGCAGGGAGTGAAAATGCCTTTATTTTGCAGTGAAGTGAATCTGAGGAAATCCTGTGTGAAAATTTTGCTTGAGGGCCCTAAACAAAACACAGATATTTGGCTTCTATCCAAGGTCTGTGACCTTCCCTGTGGTCAAGGTTCACATTATTATTTTTTTTTATATGGAGGAAGCCCTGAATATGGGATTGCCACCAAAGTCAATAAAAATATCTTCTGCTTTTGAAAGAAGTGTCAATCGGATAAGCAGCGTGTACCCTTATTATTCCAAGAAGAGCATAGTTATAATGCCAAGTCAGAGCTTCATAGCTTTACTGCATAAAGAAATTAACATACAACTTAAAATACCTTTGGCCTGAGTTAACTATTCACAGGTTTTCCCTCTTTAAGAAAACTCAATATATTTAACACAGGCTTAAAGAATAAATAAAAAGAGGTAAATTATTATTTACACTGCAGGTCAATCCTTTATATGTATATATTTCAACAGAAGACAACCTTTAAAATATGAAGGGCCCCAGTGCTACAATTTTCAGATGACATAAGGAAAGTAGAGAATTAAAACTTATGATAAACAATCAGGAGTCATGGCCAATTTAAGAGTAATCAGAAAGAAATGTAACAGATGTTAAAACTGAATATAAAAAAATTTAAAAACAGGTTTTAACAAACATTTACAGTTTTTCAACAATGTTTTCATTTCTAACAGTAAATGATCTTAATCTAGGGTTAGTTTCAGAAATACCACAATCCTTCTGCTCTGATATTAATACCTAAGTATTTATAATAGTCATAGGATACATGAGAATATCATCTTATTGAAACACATTTCTTTACAATTCTTAGATCTATTTGGCACAAGCACGGATAATAGCAGTGCCCGCTCTATGCTATACTCCTAGTATAGTTGTTATTATATTGTTTTAGCCACAACTAAATAAAACATAAATTTATTTTCTAGTGAGCATTTGCAGTTTATGAGTCAAGAACTCTCTGAGAAGATAATTTCATGTACTTTCCACCTGCCCTTTTATCAACATTAAACAAACAGTATGTTTTACCACAACTCATTTCTGACATTAACAGTTGCTTTTATTTCTCTGCCAACCTCAGCCTTGTCAGCAGGACTTCAGTGTGACAGCAATGGCAGCTCATGCCAATTAGATCCTTTTCAAATAAATTTCTTTTTAGCACTGTACACATTTGAATAGATCAAAAAATGTAAAAAATCATTATTAAAGCGGCTGAGGGCAAGGAACTAATCCATCCTGTATATGCCTGTATCTCTCCTTATTTAACAACACTGACTTCCAGCTAAACACAAGAAAGAAAGAAAGAAAACAAAAGAAAGAAAGATGCAAAATGCATCCTGAGTGTAAGTTCTTTGGTAGTTTGAAACACACCACTATATTTATATGTTCTTTGGAAACGATATTGATGATTAGAGTATATTTCCAGGACTTGAATTAATAACAAGTGGTAGAACTCATTTTTTCATGAATTATTATGGAAGTAGTAGATGGGAAATTTTTGTCCTGAGGATTTCACCCACACTCTTCCCACACACATATGTACAAATCCTCTAAAAAATGGCTTCAAGAAAGTCTCCCCTCTCTTTTATTTAACAAGGCAGCTATGCAGCCTGCCATCCTGGGCTAACAGCCAGAAGAAGATTATGGCAAAAATAATCACCTTTGCAACATTAAGGAAAACATGAAACTGGCACTATGATTCAGGGGCTTATTTCTTTCCCTCTAAATATGATAACACTTTTAAATTTTTATTTGGGAAATGGTTTTCTGCAAGATGTATCTAAAAAAAAGAGTTGTTTTCTTTTCAACAAATAGCTAGAGGTGCTGAGAGATTTCCTGTTAAAACTGTGTAAGGCATTTGACTACTTAAAAGGGAATTTAGTGCTGATGAAAGATGCCAGTTTGACAGTCACGGAAAATGAAGGAAGCATTCTTTATTCCCAGAGCACGTCATCTCAAAATGAGGAATCATCTCTTATGGTTAAGAGGGTCACACCCTATTTTTTAATATTCGTTGGGAGTACACACATGCTAGATGATGGAAAGATACACATGAAACACACTCTGTGTCCTCTAAGATATTACATTCTTCAAGCCACCATATTCCTCATCTCAGGGGCATAGTATACATAGACTAGTGGCCTCTACTTTAAAAGGGACCAAGGCAACAAAAGGTAGTGGGTGAGAGATTCAAATGAAGGACAAAAGAGAGCTTAGTTTGGACAACTTCACTATTTCCTGTAAGTGTTCTCACTCTAAACTTAAAAGTTAGACCTGCTTAGGCTCTTAGTTGTATGTTATCTGTATTTATAATCTGTGGGCAATATTCATCACAAACCCTATCTACGTCTACCCCATCCCTCCCAAAATTAAAACATCTTCATAAATATTTATTCATTGTGTGCCTTTTGATAGTTCATAAAACCTGGGAAAAATTATTCAGCCCCCGTACCTCAAACATAGTACTATCGGTGGCACTTGGGACACCTGTGTAGTTAGGTGGTCCCGGCTTAGTGTAAACTAAGAGTGGGCATGGGGAAATATAACATCTCCCAGGGGAGTTTATTTGCATTAGTTAATTGAATAGAAAGTAGCAGGAAGAGGTGTTTGAGGACATGTGTCATATGCAAATTTGTGGTGGGAAATGTGTGGGGCTAGAAATGAAGAAATAAGGACGTGGCTTGGCATGACACATGTCCTCTGCCTGGCTCCCTGAGTCCATACATTGATAAGTGCAGCTGACAAAGGTTGAAGGAGTTCATGAAGAAAGGAGCATAAGTGGTGCTGCTTCAGAAACTGAGCGAAAACATTTGACACAGAACAGGGGAGAGGGGCAGTCTCCCCATTTCTGCCTGGTACATAGTATGGCTCTGGCAACACAGTGAGAACTGAGAAGCAGTAGCAACGTCGTGCATTGAGAGATGGGTGGCTTTGGGAGTCCTGAATAGGAAAGGGTTCACTCAAAGAGGGTATCATTAGTTATGGCAATGGCCACCTGGATTTCTTGCCATGTAGTGATCATCAACATAATTTTTAGAATGGAAATCATGAAAAGATTGATCTTGAACATGTGAGATACTTGGTGATCTCAGAAATAATTGGGTCGACTCAGGTTGCAAGAGGCTGTGATCCTGCAAATTGCAGGGGAAAGACTGTTTACTGGGATGCTAGGTAAGTCTGCGTGTGAACTCATTTGTTCCCAAATTAATGAAGGGCTATGGTATTCGTATAATGAAGAAAAAAAATCAAAGCTTTTTCTAAACAGGTTGTGGAGCCTATCTACCACCATTCCCACCTCTTATACACACAAAGATTTTTACAAAGTTTGGACACTGAACTCCACAAAACCTCTGCAGGGGGGCTAAGAGCATCACATATATGTCATAAGCCACTGGAGTTCCATGCTGGCTTTTGTTTGCTTATGTTCCACGTTTTTAGGTATTTTCGTTTTTAGCTCCTGGGGGTAATGGGCTGTGATGATTTAGTGCAGGGCCAGTCCAGAGTTGTTTTTGCCTTAGTCAAGGACAATTTTTGAAGATCTGCATTTCCCTTGTCTTTTTACCTTATCCCGAAAGCAACACTCTCACGACTTTATTTTCTGTGTCTTGAGTGCTCTATCTCTGGAGAGTGTTTCTTTAGTTTCACAACCCACTGCACCCTTCCTCTTTCCCTAGCCTAAATTTCTTCTCAGGGCTCAAACTAAGAGCTTCCTAGGCATCCTCTCTCTCTGAATCTCTTACTCAAAAGTTCTGAACAAAACCTCGAGCACCTGAAAGTTCAGCTGATTTAAGGGAGCTCATTGTACAAGCATCCCACGGGCTGCACTAAATATTGAAGCATGTATGTGTGTGATGAGAAACGGTACTCAATGACTCTTGCAAATTTGGAAGCGGCTTCTTTTTCATTATTTTATTTTATTCATTAGCAAACAGAAGACTGAGACTTTAACAAACTTTGTACCAGCAAAATGGTGTTATGTAAGGAAATTCACTCACTGTTTATCCAATGGTCCAGAGAAAAAGCAAGTTTACAGTCTATTAAGGCATGATGAAGAAGAACTTCGGAATTATCTTTAAAACAGAGTGGTACTTCAAGGATTCTAAACCTTGGAAGTACTTTAATAGAGGATCTGCTGCTGTTTCCAAACAATGAAACCCAAAGTTGACATCCTGAGAACTAATAACGTAACACGTTACTCTCAAACTTCAAATGTCCTGGCATTTATTGCATTATTAAAATTGTGCCCTCTGTGAAGTCAACTGAGTATAGTGTGGACAAAAAAAAAAGAAAACATTAAAATAGGTCATGGTATGGCAGCAGTCAATGACTTTCTACCCTCTCCAAATATATGTTTGTCTCAGAGAAATATTTCACCGACTAGCACTTTGTCACGGGGCTCGCTTCTCATTACCATTTCAAATGTGCTTTCTGTGCTCTGAGGTACCTCTCGGCTGCTCTAGGGCTTTGCCGAGACACTAAAAAGTTTAGTTGCAGTGCATAATATACAATGCAAGTTACTAGTATGAATTTTTAACAGTGTTTTGTTTTATCACATCCCAGAGTCCCTCGAGATACAAGAAGTGGGGGAGGCCTTATTTATTTATTTATCCCTCCTCCCCCTCTTTTAATGCAACTCTTGCCATTGCCGTGGGTGTATGTTCATAACAAAAACTTAAACAAAATTTGGGCAAATGAAAACATATGCATCTTAAGGCAATTGTCAAAACAAAAATAACTGCCTGTATGAAGGCTTTAGTAGAGGCAAAATGAGATAAATAAATATTGTTAAGGGAATCATAATTATATCTGAATAGACCAGTGTTGTGTAATGTTCAATATAGTGTCAGTTTCTTAGCCAGCAAAAGTTAGAGGTTAGTCTGATGAGGTGGTTAAGAGCTTGGGCTCCAGACTCAGACTGCCACTGCCTGTGTTTGAGTACAGGCTCTGTAATTCACTTGCTGTCTGATCACCCATAAAGTACTTAAGTCTTCTGGCTTTGGTTTCTTCTTTCATAAAATAGGAATAAAAACAGTATCTATCTCATGTAAAGATTACAGGAATTTACATATAGAAAGCCCTTTCTTGAGACAGGGTCTGGCTCTGTCACCCAGGCTGGAGTGCAGCAGTCTCGGCTCACAGCAGCCTCTACCTCCCGGGCTCAAGCGATCCTCCCACCTCAGCCTCCTGAGTAGAAAGGACTATGGGCCTTCATTACCACGCTGGGCTAATTTTTGTATTTTTTGTAAAGACGGGGTTTTGCCATATTGCCCTGGCTGGTCTTGAACTTTCGGGCTCAAGAGATCCTCCCGCCTTGGCCTCCCAAAGTGCAGGGATTACAACTGTGAGCCACCACAGCCAGCCAGAAAGCCTTTGAAACAATGTCTAGCAAATAGTAAGTATGCAATAAACCTTAGATGTTATTATTATTGGTCATTAGTCGATGTAAGAGGAAAACAAATGGTTGCGTGCATTTTGACCATTAAGGCACATCTTTTTTTAATAAAAAATAACTAAAAAGAGCCAAAGGAAGGTTCAATGGAAATTATGTCCTGTAATGACAGGTGGAAATTAACAAAAGCCAACAGCTAAAAGTTAGGTATGCAGTATAAGTTAAACTGAGAGATTTATACAGGAGAAAGTTGAACTTCTAAACATAAGCTAAATCAGTTCAAGAGGTGTTTACTAACATTCTTTAATGATGGATCTACAATTGGTTATCAAATGATCCCTCTAGCTCTGTAGAAGCATTTCGTGGAAAATCACCACCATACTTTCAAAAAGTTTCTGCCCAGAAAGATAATGAGTTGAGTGAACAACAAGGTAGGTTTTGTGCAGCAATGCTTACGTTCTTTGCAAGATACTGGAGCCATAGTGTTAACTGAACATAATGGACTCTGTAGTCCATTTCAGCTTTAGCATCCTATGATTTTTTGACTCATTATATTTCTCATATTTTATTACATTACTTGCATCCTTGAAATCGTTCATTAGCTTTCAGTTAGAACCTACAAAGAGTAACTCCTAACCTCCAACTGTCTCATTAACCTTGCTTAGCTTTTCTTTTTTCCCTAGTTCTCTACCTCACAGTCACAGCTTCTCCTCCTATTTCTAAACCATATCCCCAAATATAAATAAGTACACAAATAATATTGTATACTTTTTCTCTTATTACTGAGAAACAAGCCATTTATATCACTCTTCAACTTATCAGGGGCTTTGGCTGCCACTGACCACTTTATCTGAAGGGAAATTATGGGAGTTACTGTAGATTATGTCCTTTCTATCAACCCCTGCATATAAGTGGTCACCAATCTCGTATATCGGACCATCATAATAGCATGCTAAATACACACTCATGTCAGGGACTGTGCCACATCACTGTAGCCTCAAGGAAGTTAATAACTTGCTAAAGCCACAGAGATAGATAGTAAATGGTATTGCTGGTGAGAAAAGAAAAACAGCTCCGACCAATCTGAGCTCTGTGAGGTCTGCAGGTCCAGAAAGACATAAGTATGAGACTTCAGTCATGCCCCCCGCCATGCCTGGGGCAATTGTTGTCATTTTGTTTCTCACTAGCTGCCTCAACCAATATATTCGTATTCCTGGAATTTTGATGCAAAGAAAAATATATAGTCAATCCATAGTGTATTTTATGTTATTAAATTAATTAATTAATTTTGAGATGGAGTGCTCTGTTGCCCAGGCTGGAGAGCAGTGGTGCGATCTCAGCTCACTGCAACCTCTGTCTCCTGAGTTCAAGCAATTCTCCTGCCTCAGCCTTCCGAGTAGCTAGGATTACAGGTGCCTGCCACCACGCCCGGCTAATTTTTGTAGGTTTAGTAGAGATGGGGTTTCGCCACATGGCCCAGGTTAGTCTCAAACTCCTGAGCTCAAAGTGATCCACCTGCCTCGGCCTCCCAAAGTGCTGGGATTACAGGCATGAGCCACTGCACTGGCCAGAGTATGTTATTTTAATATAAATTATTGGTAAACAGCTCAGGAACTGCCTCTACTTTCCCTTTAAAAAAATCCACTTGTAACTGCTGCTAAGGGGAGTGTATATTCAGGGCAACTTGGATCTATGCTCCCAAGTGCAACCCTCAAGCTTGGCCCAAATAAACTCTTTACTGGCCCAAAAGAACTCTTTACTAATATTAATTTTGCCTCAGCTTTTTCATTTTAGGTCAATACTGGAATTAAAAGTTATTTCTGGGAGACTCTAAAGTTCATGCTCACACTGGTGATGCAGCTTCTCCCCCGTCATCTTGTTTCATCTTCCACAATTTTAGTAAACCAATATTTCTCATTTGAGCCAATGAAATAACCTCTTAATCAACTACCTTGTCTCCAGATTTAACCATTCCTCAATCAATCTTTATTTCAGGATGCTGTTAGATTTAGCTTGCTGAAATGCAAATGTAATCATGTCACTTATATGCTCCCCACTGCCTTCAGAAGAAAGTCTGAATTCTACAGATAATATAAGAGGGCCCTTCATAAAGTGGTCTCTGCCTACTTCTCTGCCCTCAACTCCCCAACAGGCACCTTTCACTCTGGTTAAACTAAACTAGCCTTAGTTTCTTCAATAATTCCACGCTCTCTCATGCCTCTGGGTTTTTGCATATGTGATTCCCACTGCCTGAAAAGGTCAACCTCATTTTGTGACCTGGCCAACTTCTGTCTGTCCTTTAAAACTTCTCAGCACACAGGAGGTACTCAGTAGACATCTTTTGACTAAAACATTTATAAGACTACCTCCTTTGTAAAATTAAGGGATAGAGATGAACATGGGTAAATACAGTAATCTGATTTGCTAAAATGCTATAAAAAGTACATTTGGGGCTTACGCTTCTAGAAATTGTTTTCCCAGCCTTGACCTCTCATCTGTGAAATGCTGCCCAGTGAGCAGATCATAATTATGAAATATAATATTTAGATATTAGGCAGTAGAATCCTTGCTGTATTCATTAAATATATATTAGTTGATATTTATAAATGTTTTATATATGTATTACAAAATGTTAAAATACATTTCTGCTCTATGAATGAATTTGTTACAACGTTAGGTTCTAGCTTTTATTAACCTCTTACCCTAAGTGTTAATATTTCCCATCCTATTGGGAGCAATAGGACACATTTCCCACATTAGCTTCTAAGAGGTCACTGATTTGTTTTCAGTTTGTCTGGTCACTGAGAGTTGGCATAGAGTTACCTTCATAAATGATTCAAGTTAATGGGAAATATTAAAATGAAAGAAATTACAGCAAAAACAGGACTCCATAAGTGAAAAATGATCATTGGAATATCACTCCACAGGGGAGTCATCCCACTTAGCTATTCGTTAAAAGTAGCTTCAAGGACATAGGGAAGAGGTGTAGCTGTTTCAGGCCCAATAGGAATGCTTTTCGAGGGGATGAAGTTGGGTTTAAAATATGTAAGGGTGGGCTATGGAAAGGCTCATGACAGCATTGCCAATAAAATAATTTTCCGTGGACCACAGGTGGCTTAGTGATTTTTGGCTTAAGGAATAAGCAGGTGAGAATTAATTACAATTTCATGTCATACCATTAAAGCATGTTCAACATAATTTGATACCAAGAACTGCTGTCTAAAATATGCTATATCATTCCCTATGTCTACATCAATTCTATGGGAGAGTACATATATGCATGGATGAGAAATATATTTGTTATTATGCAGGAAAATAAGTCTACCCCCATTTTTAAAGTACCATCTATCTTCCCCCACTCCCAGGTCCCCTTTTGCTGTTAGTGTCTAAACCTCTCTTTGAAGTAGGAGAAGTTGTTTCCTAACAACTCTTACTTTAAAAACTTTATATCTTCCTTCTCATTCTCTCACCTCTTTCTTCCTTCCTACACTGCTCACTTAAGTACTCTTTACCAGTCTGACCACTATCTTTTATCTGTATATTATAGGCAAAATAAAGTCTTGATTTTTTAGAAGGGAAAGTTTACTTGTACTTTTCTACCTCTTGTATGTCCAAGACCTAGAAAATTTATAAAGATTGAAAATGCAGTACAACCACCTAAATATTCTATACCAGTGTCTTATTTGCCTGACTGCTGGTCTGCCTTTCTCATGAGACTAGACAGCTCCCGATAGCGGGATTTAACATTAGTCCTCTGTGTTTTCACTTTCTAGAATCAGAATCAAAACATGTTAAAGCTGGAAGAGCCCTTGCAAATAACTGAATCTCTACATTCTTAGATGATGAAATTGAGATTCAGAGAAACGAAATTACCTGCTTAAGAAAACAAACAGCCTCCACATCATTTCTTGGTTTGCTACTACTTGATCTTTGCTTTCCTCCCACGGCTTTGTTTTTTTGAGTTTGGTTCTTTACTGTCGCTCTCACAGTATATGTTTTGGATCTTGGCTCTTTATCTGGATTTGGACTCTTACACTACCAATGTCAGTTTGTTAACCCCATGACTTATGATGTCATTCAGGTTATGTTCCTGGGCTTCTCATCTGCTTCAAGCTGGTATAATCTAGATTCTTGTCTGAGCCCTGGGTTTTGTCATCCAACTATTACATACAGATCTTATTTTCTCTGTCTCTTTTTTCTTTTGAGACAGAGTTTCACTCTTGTTGCCCAGGCAACAGTGCAATGGCATGGTCTTGGCTCACTGCAACCTGTGCCTCCCGGGTTCAAGTGATTCTCCTGCCTCAGCCTCCCAAGTAGCTGGGATTACAGGCATGCACCACCATGCCCGGCTAATTTCTGTATTTTTAGTAGAGACAGGGTTTCACCAAGTTGGTCAGGCTGGTCTCAAACTCCTAACTTCAGGTGATCCACCCGACTCGGCCTCCCAAAGTGTTGGGATTACAGGTGTGAGCTACGACGCCCAGCCTTTTTTTCTCTATCATTCCCTAATCAGTTAGTTCAGTGACACAGACTTCTAGAAAACAGAGTTTAAAAAATGACTTCTTTCACTTTAAGGCAATTATGTCTAAAGAGGTGAATATGGCTTCATCAGCATAGGAAACAAAGGCAGAAATGTTCTCTGTTTGGTGAAAATCAGTGAAGTGTAAAATGGTTTATGTTCAAACCATATAAACACTGCCTCTAAACATTTCATATTACCATCCATCCAGGAACCTTAAACATTGACATCTGAGTGAATGTGACATGGCCTCCTCCACATCTAAAATGTCCACTGGGCCTATGGGATGACGAAAAGGAATTACTGAAACTCACAAAGATATTGACAATGAAAAAATATTTTAAATGCAGCACTATTTTAATTCTAGGTTAGACAGAAAAAAAAAACAGGTAGAAAGAGTTTTGCAATATTGCAGAGATAGATGTTACCTGCTGCCTAGTTAGGTGTAAAAAACCAAAACTGCATTGCCAAACATTTTTCATTTTATGAACATGTATTGGAAAAGCATCCTCCCTAATCTTATTCACAAACAGAAAATACATTGCTCGCACTTAAAGAAAATGAAATCAAACAGGATAAAACATGAGCAGAGAGGTTTCAGACATGTCCCCCAGGCATACCAGCTCTCAGACTTGTGAGAAGAGCAGTCCTCTAGCTAGACAGAGATTCTTCCCTCAACTGGGCAGATGGGCTTGGGAAACGCATAAGCAATTAGCTTTTCTGCTGAAGCAGAAAGAAGACTAAGAGGAAAAGAAATGTGTCCCACATCAGTATGATCCCAAATAAATCTTATCTTGCCCTGTAATCATAGAAATGCAGTGATATTTTTAGAATTTGGGCTTGAGTTTTAACAAGTGTGGAAGTTATATGGAAGAAAGGAAGAGCACAACAATTATATTTACAGAAACTATCTGACTTTGCCTATTAATAAGGCATAAAACTCAGTTTTCCATAATTTGTTTTTATTTTGAAAACTGAAATAAAATAAAAATATTGAAATAGATTAGAAAAGATAAAGTGAAAAGGCAAGACACAGACTGAGACAAGATATTTTCAATGTATATAACTAAGGATCAATATCTGTAATATATAAAGAATTCCTATGAGTCGATTAGAAAAATAAAAACTGCTCCAAAGAAAATCAAGAAAAGGACAAAGTGATGCAATTAAAAGAGGAAGAGACTCCAATGTCCAATACTGAAAAGATACTCAATCCCACCTGTTACGCAAGGCAGTACAAATTAAAACCACCACACCCATTAGACTGAAAGAAAATAATAACTCTGTTAACACCAAGTGACGTGTTGGTGATGATATGGGAAAAAAGTGTTCTCTCTCTGTCTCTCCCTCTCTCTCTATATATACACATACACATAAACACACATATATACACACATATACATATATGTATATGCATATATACACACACATATATATGGATATACGGAAATGAATACAATTACTTTGGAAGGCCATCTGGAATATCTAATGTATTTGAAGATAAAAACCGAATTCCACTTCCAGGTATCTATCCCAAAGAAACTCCCATTTGTGTTTATCAGGAAATAGGCATAAGGAAGTTCATTGAAGCCCTGTTTGTGTGGTTAAAAAAAAGATAATTTGAATGTCTCTCAGCAGAGGAAATAGATAATCTGCGGTTTATTCATACAATGGAATATTACACAGGAACAAATTATCTAGATCTGCCTTTATCGACCTGAAAAAAATCTCAAAAACAAAGCTGTTTGAAAAAATCTATTTGTAAAACATGTAAAATATTTATGCAAATTTTAGGAGTAAAAAGAGTTTTAGTAATTTATAGTTATGGGT
This sequence comes from Homo sapiens, assembly GCF_000001405.40. NCBI lineage: Eukaryota > Metazoa > Chordata > Mammalia > Primates > Hominidae > Homo > Homo sapiens. Next base: position 124,839,252 of record NC_000023.11, read on the forward strand.
ACTTACATATATAGTAACATTATACTATACATGCAAGGAATGATACAAACTATATCGACTTTAGGAGAGCAGTTAACTCTGGGAAGGAAAGAAGGAAGTGAAGTTTTACCTAGGTCTTTTAAATTTTCTACCTTTGAAAAGAAAGAGTGCTATGAAGCAAATGTGGCCAAATGTTAATATGAGTTTAATATTGGTTGTGTGCACATAAATGCCATATTTTCTGCACTGTTCTTGTATGTTTAAAATGTTTCATACAGAAAAAGTGTATGTGTGCGTGTGTGTGTTTAGAAAAGACTAGGGAAAGAAAATGGAATACTCAGTGTACAAAAGGGTGATGAAAAGTCCCTGATTAAACAGAAGTGTCATCATTAGCTCTGTTCTTCTGATGAAAATGTTTATTAGCTAGTCATAAAAGTTACTATATTAAGATGAGGGAAATTAACGAAGCATTATCTTTACAGTATTTTTTTCTAAGTGAAGTACATCAATGGTCATTTAGGCATGAACCAAAAAAAAGTTATTTTAAATCGTCTGGTCCCTGTCCTTCAGATGCAATCAGCTTCAGTTCATTTTGTTAAGTGATTGGACCTTATCTCTTTGGTACATCACAAATGAAGGAGATCCTGCTGCTTTTAGTTTTGCTTATAGTAAATCCTTGATGGCTTCACAGCTGAGTGACAGGAGTGGATAGGGCACAGGATTGGATCCTTGAGAATTCAACCTCCGGCAATGACTTCTTATAAGTTGGACATGTGGCTTGACTTCTCTGGACCTCTGTTCTTTCGTCTTTCAAATGACGATAATAATATTGACCACCAAATATTATTTGCACGTATTTTAAGCAGGATCTGATTAACCTAACACTACTTTTAAAATATACTTCTTTTCTTAGATGCCCACCATTAGATAAATTCAAGGTGCTACACAATAAGCTTATAATAATGATGTCATTGGAACTTATAACATGAGATTCTCTTATGGGCAAAAACCACTTATATAAGTTCTTTTGATACACCCATCAACTAAAGTCTCTTGGGAGAGGCTCAAGACTGATCTGCTTCATAATGAAAATTCTGAAAGCATAATATAATTTTAAAGTATTGATTATATTTTAAGATTGATCATCACCTAGCTTGGAGCATTAGCTATTCAATTTGCAATGAGACTTAGTAATAAACATGGCAGAAACATTGGGAAAAATTCAATCATTTATTTCACTTTGAGAATGACTGCTCAGGTATCTGAGTACAAATTATGGGTACATATTGTGTTAGATGGTTAATTTTAGAAACAGCTCAAGACTAACCCCTTGAGAGCACATTTACAGATAAATGCACAAAAAAATAAAGAGAGGAGGCTGCTTATGCATAGTTTAGAAGCTACATGAATCTGCAAATGTACATAGCACAACATCTCTGAAATGCCTTATGTTCCAAAAAGCTGCTGATCTGTTTTCGTTAGGTTAATCAGATCCTGCTTAAAATATGTGCTAATCAGTACTCAACTGCCTAGTTGGCCACCTTAGGTGAAGCTCTAGGTGCTCATTACTAATGAAAGTTTGCCAAAGAAAAGCTTAAAAATACCCACATATATAAATATATCATTTTATAATATACATTATAATTTTACTTAGACATTAATATGTTACAGCAAAGTTAATATGCCATTTTACTTTTACATTTCAGTTCAATTTCTCTAGCAGAACAGGAATGAAGTTAGAACATGATTTGCTGTGCTTATTTCAAGGTGATTTACACTTTTCTGTTGATCAAAATAGGCACATAGTTGCCATGGAAAAGATATTTCTATGCCTAAAATTACCTTCAGAAAGTTTGTACTTGAGGGCTCAGAAGAGTAAAACCTTGTCATGTAACTCGATACTTTTTACTAAAACAACAGGCAACAAAAATAGTCAGAAAACAGTACTCTCTAAACATTACCTTCAGTTGGGTGGAAAAAGTGTTTTCTCCCCCATGCCTTTCTCCTTCAGTGGAAAACACACACACTTAGATAAACACATCATCTTTTGTCCTTTTGGTTAAAGAAAGGCAAAACAGGGAGCAAATGGATCAGCAATAGAATTTAAACTAAACCTAAACCCAGCTACAATACTTAGGGAGCTTGGATTCTGTAAATGAAAGCAAGGACTCCTGCAAAGGCAAAAAGATTTCCTCGGCATGCAACATGTGTTCCCTGTTATTAGGAAAAAGTGGACAAAACAAGGCGCAGAGGAGTACCAATCATGCACAATTGCTTCTGTACTATTCCTGGTAACCTGGGGTTTCTCAAAAGCTCTGCATGCACAGCTTAGTTTGTGACCCATCTTGGCTAGCAGGTGAGTGTTGTGGCTGCCTCTTTCTGTGAATGATTAAAAAAAAAAAAAAAAAAGGAATGGACTTGGAGATAATTTGATAGACATGGAATCAGCATACCACCTACTGGTCCTTTTACCTGTGGTCAATGTTCACTATGTCTTTATCACCTCAGATGCTCTCAAACCACTGTCCACTTACTAAACAGGAAGGCATGTGATGCCAGCATCATCTTAACAGAAATAGAGGCCCCTCCTGGGGATTATACGAATTCTGGAAGATCTCTAAACGAAGACTACAGGACACATTAAGAACATGTTGAGTAACTTTGTCTCTCATGCATAATCACCGTAGGTTGGCTTTTTTTGTGGTTTTTCAATAGCAAGTTATGTTTGTAATTGAATGGTTGGCCTCTAGAAAGTCGAATTGATTCCCTAGAAATATTCCAAAGTTTGCAGCATTTAATCTCATACTTATAGTGTTACCAGGACTGGGTATAGGCAAAATCATGACAAGTCTTTCCCTTCATTTTCCCTTAGTTTTCTATGTCTCTTCTGGTATTTCTTCCTCATCACCCCTTGGGATTTCTGTGCTCTCAGTCTACTGCCTAGAACTCCATATTACCATGGCCCAATACCTAGTGTACCTTCTGATACAAAGTATATGCTCAATAAATATTTCTGAAATGAGTAAATGAACAAATGAAAAACCCCTGAAGACTGACAGAATTCCTCAGGGCTCTGCTAAATGACAGGAGAAATCAGATGAATTCCTGTGCTTGAAACAATCAAAGTCAATATGCGCATGTCACCCACCTTTACTCACAAGCAGCAGGTTCCTTTGCTGATGCTCTATTTATGAAAAGGAAACCAAGCTGGAAGTTGAATGACAATTCCACTGGGCCTTAGCTTAGGATGCCACAAGAAAACACCACAGACTGGGTGGCTTAAATAACAGACATTTACTTTCTCACCGTTTTTGAGGCTGGAAGTCTGACATCAGGGTACCAACATGATCAAGTTTTTTGTGTGGGGTCTCTTCTGGCATGCAGATAGCCACCTTTTTACTGCGTATTCACAGGGTGGAGAGGGAGGGAGCAAGCTCTCTGGTGTCCCTTTTTATAGGGATACGAATTCCATCATGAGGGCCATACCATCATGACCTCATCTAAACCTAATGACTTCCCAAACACCCCATCTCCAAATACCATCACATGAAGGGTTAGGACTTCAACATATGAGTTTTGGGAGGGACATAATTTAGTCCATAGCATACTGGTTTCATTTTTAAGCTAATTACCAAGGATTTCTAGCCCAAAGGTCAGAGTACAAGGGGACTATATTCCTCTGCATTGAACTGTACAGAAGTCCTTGACATTATACCGTTAGTCATTCCATTCATGGTCCCTTAGATCAAATGATGCGATTTCCTACATCATCCTACCTCTTCTCTCAAATCTCAGGTCCTTTCATCAAGCATGAACAAACCCGCAGTGATGAACGCCTTAAATGTACTTTCTGCTGTCATTCAGAGTATCATTTTTGCCTTGTCCGAGCTTGAATGCAAGCTGTAAAAAGCGATCATGTACTGGGTATTTTTATTGGCACATCACCCATGTTTGAATTAGATAATCAACAGTGCACCTGTAATAAAAAATTAAACTTGTTCTCTTTAAGCACTGTTTCTTTCAAAATGAGATCCTGTCATTCAAGATGCATTATTTTCCACTTTTTCAAACCCATGTCAACTTCATTAACCTCCTGAGCAGCTTTGCCAAGCATTCTGCTCATCTAGAGCCACTTGTTGTTACTGCTATTTGCAATAGCTTCAGTACTTGAGAGTTTACAGAATGTGCTGCTTGCCACTCTATTCAGAGCCTAGAAGTATATTAACTACAGCTGATTCCCGTTGCCTCCCCCCCTCCCTACTCCTTTCACCAGATCACTCATTTAAGAGATCTGTTCCTCACCTCAGGAATCCTCCTTAGTGGTTCTTTAGCCAGTTTGAACAATGCATGGAGTTGTTCATTTATGAGTAGAATTAATACATTTATTCTTCACGTATTTCATAAAATACTGCAACAGTCCATTGGGAGGAAATGCAGAGTTTTAGCACCTTTTCTTTCCCAGGAAAATTGCTGTTGTTTTAAAGGAGGGGTCCAAACTTGTTTGTGTTCTTCTTCATAACCCCACAGAATTCCTGATGCAGATTTCAGCTGGGCTTCACTACCTCTTAAAGAGTATCATTTGGTGCTTGTAGTTCCATTAACTGAGGGGCCTACTTTCTTTAGTGTTTTCTTCATTTTGTGTAGTTTAACTGCGTTGAGGTTTTATATTTTATGTTCCTTTCCTCCTTCTATGCCGTAGGAATGCAAGGAACAGATGCATTCAATGATTCATTATCATTAACAGCCAGGGTGAAATCAAGAACTTCATCTACTTCTCGGCTTCCTTGTTTTGTTCACAGGGGAGCCACATTATGCATGAGTGGCTCCTCTCACCCTCCTCTCTAGATGCACACTTTATGTAAGAGACTCATCTTTTTCTACTTCAGTGCTGTGTGGAATCGTTAGTTAGATACAGGCAAAGCCACTCCTTTAGTGCTTTCTCTAGAGTTGATGGCACTAGATCTTTTTTAGCCAAGTAGAAAGCAATTTTCAAGGGCATAAAAATAAGTGTTTTCCTATTTATAGCACACAAACTATTGTTACCTTGTATTCCAGTTTATCATTTCCAATGTATTTAATTAATCAATTCCAGAATCTATTGCCAGGCAAATAGACACATAATAGACCCAAGTCATTCTCAAGTTCTTATAAATGCATGGGCTACAGTCTAGAGAGCTACATTTGATCCCTAAGAGGAAGTTCCCCTTCCGTAACACTGCCTTTGGTGCTCCCAGCAGTAGTCTCTTGGTCTTGATGGACTGTGTGGTTGACGGGGGTGGTAATCATGGTGGAGGGGAAGGGGTGATCATATTTTTGTGCTATGTTTTGAGTGCTTCCAGTAGAAGATTATGTACATTGATAGCTAATGATAGGTAAGGCTTTTAACCACAGGCCCTTCCACAGAACTAATATTTCATGTTGAGAAATAATATGTCACTGATTGTGGAAACTCGGCAAACATGAATAAAAGTTGCACTGAAGGTAAAATATGCTATTCACCTGGTTCCCTGAAAAAGACTGTCAACTGGTGTTGTATTTTTAGGGACGTACCTTCAGTTAAGTTGATGCAGATGGTATTTATTTTAATATATTTACATTTCATTCTGTCTCCCTGTCACTCCTGACCCCCTACTGTTTCTCAAAATGAGGTCCATGGACCACCTACATCAGAATCACTTGTGAAGCTTGTTAAAACTACAGATTCATAGACCTATCACAGGCCATGTAATATACAATTTCTGGGGCTGTGGCCTAGAGATTTGTATGTATAAGAAGCACCCCAGGTGACTAGTAGGGCCATTATTACTGGAGAATCACTGCATCCTTGGAGGAGATGGGGTAAAAACAAAAGAAACACATTTAATTATTCTAAAATTTAAAAATTACATATTCTCTAATTTTCAAAACACTTAGATTAATTTTGGACTTGAGGTTCTAAAAAAGTAATGCTATGCCAAATAAATAAAAGGTAATTCCCTTTCAGTCTTTCACACTTTTAACTAAGACACATATCCAGCACAGTGCCAGCATTTTTTCTAGACTGCTGCTTCTCAAATTTTAATGTGCACACAAATCACCTGGGACTCTTGTTAAAATCCCGACTTTGATTCAGTAAGTCTTCAGTGGGCCCTAGATTTTGTATTTCTAACAAGGTCTCAGATGATACAGATGCTGCTAGTCTGTGGACCATCCTTTGAGTAACAAGATCATGTAGCATGTAAGGGGACTCTTTGGGCTTTTAGGTTGTGTAAATTTGCAGAAACTCTGCAATATGTAATGTGTAGTAACATTATTTTCTGCAAACAAAAAGCTGCATTAAGGTCCTGTATTCCGAGCATCAGATAAGTCCCTTGGTTTTGTCTTTCTCTAACACAAGTAACCTAGAGAGACGTACATTGCCTTGAATGCCCTGAGTGATTAAGGATTACAAAATATATATAGGACCTTAGAGCAAAGCAAGGAAAATACACCAGGACTTACCTCCCTCCCACTTTTTAAGATAAGGTAGGGAAATTACAGGGTGTGATGGGGCATGTACGGAAGCGGGTAGGGTAGATATCCTAGAGAAAAGTCTGGCAGGCTGGGAGGGTTATGGGTGAGTGGATAGGGTGGGGGTCAGGGAGAAGAGAGGAGAGTACAATGTTCCAGGCACCAGGAACAGGTTATACAAAGGCTTAGAAGTAATAAAAGCTTTGCGTGAATATGCACCTGGCCAAATTGTAGCCTTCATAGAGAATATATTTAATTTATTCAGATCCAGAGGGGAGGCTACTATGGAATTTCAGGCTTCGTGGCAGTAGTACAAATATTTCTTCTTAGGGGGAGTGGGGTAGTTGGAAGGAGGTTAGGAAGAGATATGCCCCACATCATGCTAGGTATAAGCCTTGCCCATGATACAACGCAGGGAAAAAAGTAACCTTTAGTACTTTTGTCCTGCTAGGAAATTGCTGACCTGCTTTTCTTTGATTGGGAAGAAAAACGACATCGGTGGGTGTCAAGCAGCAGGTGGTGACCACTGTTTCTTTAAAGACAACATATGAAACACTGAAAATTTATTTCCCAATAAACTTGACTTTCTGAGCTGAACCGCAAAAAAACTGCCATATAATAAAAGGATAAGGAACAAGGATATTTCCAATTGCCATTAAATATAATCCAAGTGAAGTGATTCACCGTGGCTCAGGTGCAGGTTCCCCATCAATACAATTTATAAGGGTTCAGCTTCCAAAACTACACTTCCATTTGACAGTAATTTCCTTTTTTATTTTGTTTTGTTTTAAGTTGACTACAATTTTCAATCACAGTTATCAGTTCATCACCTGGATGAAGGTGACCCAGCAGTCCTTCTTTATCTAATTCCTGAGATGTCCTTAGATTATCTTTCACAAGCAAAATTAACAATGATAACAGGAAAAATAAATTAATTCAAAGATGAAGCTTTATCAAATGCCATCTTCTGAGGGCTGCATTTTTTTTCATTAAACATGATTCAAATAATCTTTTGAAAAAAGAGATCTGGTTATCCAGAATTATCTTCTTCCCCACTGCATGACTAATTCCACAATCTTAATAAGTTTTTAATGATGAGTTTTATAAATAAAGCTGCCATCAGTTTGCCAGCCAAGTGTATTCTTTCAATATTTTTGAGATACATGTGTATTTTTAAGAGGAATTAAAATTTTCATCAAATTAATTAAAAGGAACGATATAACATTAGCACGGTAAACACTGAAATAAGTATTTTACAGCTAAGTAATGCTAATGCTAGGAATGATATCTCTTAAATTTACATTTCTTTATGTGTGGAAATGTCAGTGAGAGTTTTAAGAGAAAAGAGTTCTCAATACAAATAAATTTGGAGAACTTTGTGTTGAACATATCTGTACAGGTTTCTTTATTAAAGGACTTCTCAGAGCCTTTAAATATGCTAGTATGTACTCTCAGTCACCAAGAGTGGGCTGTGGTAATCAGCACTTCCTGAATATATGGGCTATTTTGCTTTGGAGTCTAGTACAAAACTAGGGCTTCACTATAACATATTTTGGGAAATTATAACATATTTGAAATAATAATTTACTTCTAAACGTAAGAAATAATATAAATCTTGTTTAATCATTCCCTTTAAAAATTGCTTGTGTACAAAATACCTTCGAATCTTTCAAAACACTACTGATGTTCTATAATCAGCAACTTTCAGCAGTGGCAGTGTAGTGTGTCTGTAACTTCTGTATTGGACATGCAATTCAGGGTGATTAAACCAATTGGTCTAAGCCAAGATTACCACTTTACATGATCGATCCATAAATTGTAGACATAATTAATTGAATGTGTGTGTGTGTGTGCAAAACAGAAAGCATGGAGTAAGGTCTATCTTCTTGTTGTCTTCCTCTCATGTATTCTCATTCAAAAGAGAATAAATAAATGGGAGTACTCAGAATATATCTGTCAGAAATTGGATAAAACTGAGTATTTCTGCAGCATTTGTAATTACTTTCAGAAGACTGGACAAGAAATGCAAGTCTCCACAAATCACAATGGTTAGGATTGAGCCTTAAGATTCTGAGTAGGCTTTGTAATCAGCAAATTGAAGAATCTCCATGCAGCTCCAGCAGTGGCATTCTACAAAATATCCTTTGGCATTATTATATATTATCAAGACAATTGTATTTCTTTGGCAGGGGTATGAATGGTGACTTATTTTATGACAGCTATCAGCGGGCTTTTTAGTAATCTGATAGATAACCTAGTTTACAGACCTATTTTACTTGTTTTAAGGGGTCTCTAATCATGTAATCACAGGTGCTTTGGAAATGGCTTTGAAGAAGGACTCTTAGAGCTGTTGAGTTAATAACACGCATTATCAACATTCCCTGCTATATTTTTATACTTCTAAAATGTTCACTCTCTAAATGAGCTATTCTCATTCTCTCTTTCTTCCTCCCTCCCCACACATGCAGGTATGTGTGCATAATGTGGGCTAAATCTGAATGACTACTCTAATTTATACATCTCTTGATATCATACAGCCTTGGAAGTAGTTTCCAAATTTTTTAGTGTATCTAAATTTTCTGTGGTCAGCCAAATGGATACTGCCCCTGTCAATAGTTTCCAGGGATCTTTCACTCCTACTCATCCCCATCTGCAACGACCTCTATTGCACCTCCTATCACGTTCCTAAGAGTAACACATTGCTGATTTTGGAAAAGACCTTAATGTGGACAAAAATGAGACTCTTGAATAAACACTGTTGCTAGGATTGTAAATGTATCTGGTCTTTTTGGAGGACATTTTACCAGTATTTAAATATCAGATAGCTTCCATTGTTTTCCTGTCAAAAATTAAATGTGTATACCCTTTGACCCATCAATTCCATTTCTAGGGAATCTATTACTGCAGGATAATTCCCACAGGTACATAAATATGTACATACATAGAATTCATTGTAGTGTTGCTCATAAAAGTAAAAAATGGGAAATCTCCTAATTGCTCACACATAGTAAAAAAAAATCAAGCAACAGAGGCAGATCTATCTATACTGTCATAGATATTCAAGAAACATTGTTTAAAAAAGAATAAAGCAAGTTACAGAACGCACATATAACATGATCTCATTTATGTTTTAAAAATATTACAGAAGAATAAGTATCAAACTATCATCCTTGAGCACCTCTGGATAGGGGAAGGGGTAAAGGTAAGGAGGAGGTGCAGAATAAATTACTTTTTCATTTTATATTGTTGTATGGTTTAATTTTTCTTGTTTTACAAAAAGAATATAATCATGTGTTACTTACGTAATTAATATTTTTAAAGTAAAATTATCCTTCAATAATCTCCAAAATATTAGTTTCAAGAGTCATAGATTCAGGAAAAAGAAACATGAGGTATTTGCATGTTGAATTAGGCATGTTAAACTATTATCAAGGGATACTACCCATTATTTCTCTTAAGACTTAGGCCAGTGAATTGTCTATTATTTCTTTGAGTATTGTGGCACAAAGACCCTAAGATGGCCACCATATTTATGCCATTTTATAATCCCCTCCCTTTTAGTTTGAGTACAACCTGTAACTTCATTATAATCAATAGAATACAGCAAAGGTGGTGGGATATCACTCTCACAATTATATTACCATATACATATAGGACTCATTTTACTAGTATGTAGTAAAATTCTGCCTCTCTCTTTCTTTTTTTCTCTCTCTCTCTCTCTCTGTTGCTGGCTTAGACAAAGCTGCCATGCTGTGAGTAGACCTATGGAAAGGGCCACGTGACAAAAACTGGAGAACAGTCTCTAGTAGTTGAGAGTGACCCCTGGCTGACAGCCAACAAGAAAATAGAAACTTCAGTCCTATAATCAAGGGAACTGAATTCTGCCAAGAAGAGCATCATCAGATGAGACCTCAGTCCCAGCTGGCATCATGATTTCAGTCCAGTGAGACCCTGAGCAGAGGACCCAGTAGATGTGTCCAGACTTCTGATTCATAGCAACTGTGAGATAATAAATTGCTGTTTTAAGTCCTTAAGTTTGTGATAATTTTTTACACGGCAGTGAAAAACTAATACAAGTACCTTGTTCTAATATTCTGTCTGATGTCATACTAACCAGTGGAAGATAAGAGAAAGCACTCAATCAGCTATTTTGTTTACTACTTTCTGATACTAAACTACCACCAAATGCAGACACCTGAACTCTATAAATCACTTTCTATATGTTAGGCATCATCCTATACATTTACAGTTCTTACTCACACAACTTATCCTCACACTACTCCTGTGAAGTGGCCATAGATTAGGATATTGTGGCTTTAAGAGGGTACAAAATTTGCCCAAGGTGGCAAGGCTGGTAGTCAGCTATACCAGGATTTATACCCAAAGCCTGTGTTTAATGGGATAAAAAAGACTGAAAAAGAAACAATCCAATATTTTAAATCCCACTTCCCTTTCAGAAAATACTTCAAAAATATAGTAGATCTAATTCTACCTCTTTTCCCCCAAATCTGTTACATTTTCCAGCCCTCATTTTCAGTGACTTAAAATAAAAACCCAGTTCAGAGTTATTATGCTAGAGCCTCACTACAATGTGGCTCATTATCACACAGCTTTATATATTCTGCCATTCACATAATTTCCTTTTTGATTTATACCTGAATAAGGTAGTGGCTGGAAACCCATGTTATAGGTAGTTCTGTTCCTTAATATGAGAAGATTGGTGACTTTTTAAGTTCATACAGGCTTTCTATTAAGGAAGTAAACTCTACAAAACTAAAAAGCCAGGAGCACAGAGCCGCACACTAGGATATGGCACTATCAATGTAATCATCAATAGGCAGGTTGAGATAAACATCATACTGACAGGATATGTGCTGAAGAAGGCCAGAGGAGGAATGACTCGATTTTATTTTTCCCATGGGCAAAGGCAGAAACGGTGTCATGATGAACAAATTAAAGTCCTACCACAAAGCATTTGTACAATGTGCCATGCCAGAAAGCAAAGGGCAAACCACTAATCTCAGCGGATAATAATTAGAAAAAACACAATAGAAGAAAAAAAAACAAGAATACTAGGATGAATGGATGTTAGGAAATATCACTATCAATTGTGATGACTCTTCTAGAATATGCATTTTGACCGATTTTATAGAGTGTGATTTTTCTAACCACAGGCATTTAGAATTGGCATTCAAACACTATGAGAGCCAAGTTTAATTAACTTAAACTTCTGAATAAAGAGACAGCCAGAGAGCAAGAAGAACTTCCAATGCTATAGCTACAATTTGCTGCAATTTGCTGTTCAAACTGCAGAATCATATGCACTGCTGTTTTTATTGCCTCTTCACTTTATCAGCCAAAAATTGTTGACACATCAACAAAACGATCTCTGTGATCAAAGTTTTATCCCATCTATGACTTTCTCTCTTCTTTTCTGTTTTCCTGTCTGAATCAGTACAATATCTAATTTGGCCCCTGAGATCAGAGACTGAGGTCAAGAGGAAAATCTTGACCTTTATAAATCACTCTCTGTATGTTGGGCACTGCCCTATGCATTTACATCCCTTATCTCAGTCCTTATTTACAGGGCTCCAGGAGAAGTCCTTTGAATGATATAGGATAATACAAGAGTATAAATCAGATTATTCTTGAGGAATTAGAAAACTTTCAGTTTAGACTTGGTAATTTTAGGATAAGAATGGGTAGAAAAGAAAAGTATCTAAGGGGCATGTATGTGCATATGCATATAAATACACAACACAATAGCAAACTTATGACATTTAGGAAATCCACAATCAAGCTCAAATCTCCCTGTCCCAATGTCCATCTCACTATTCTACTTGAGCTATCTTTTCATATTGGCTCAGAGCATAATCCTCAAGTGAAATACTGGGTCCTTGCTTCTTGACTTATCCAAAAACCATTTAACCTTGAGAGCTGCTTCCTCTGTGCAGCCTTCCCTGATGATCCAACCCCATGAAGTAATCCTGATTGCTTCCATTTCTCCATTCACAGTCCATTTCTATCATATGATCATCATATCATACCTTGCACTATTTACTCTTTTAAGTAAGTGTGCTATCTCCTTAGCTAGACTATCTTAATTACTTGAGGGCTGGGAGCTCACAGTTCAGTGAAAAGATAAACATGCCAACAAAGTTTTTGAAACACAATGTAAATATGTTTTTTTCATAGAGATAAACGATACAGAATGCTCTAAGGTAAAAAACCAAGGTGACTTACCTTGTGAGATTTAGAGATCTACAGAGGAGCTGCTATCTGAACTGGCTATTGAATAGTGCTTAGAAGTTTGCCAGATACAAAGGAAAGAAATTGACATTCTGGGTAAAAGAAGCTGTCGGTCTGGAGTTGAGAAAGTGTGTGGTGTAGTTGGAGAAAAATGAATAAAGTTACCTGTAGAGTTTTAAGATGTTGGAAAGGTAGGTTGAAGCTAGGCTTTATGGAGTAAAAAGTTTATCTGAGAGTACAAAGGATAGTCGTTGAGTTTCAAGAGGGGACAAGTATGGAAAGATTTGCATTGGCTAAGGTATTTATGGTGACAGTATAAAAGCTTGATTGGATTTGGGCAGGACTGAAGGTAGAAAAAAAATCAGGTAACTATTATTATATCACATGTGAAAAATTATGAGGGCTGGAGGTAAGGCAGAGGTGAAGAAGATGGAGAAAAAGGAATATGTTAGAAATGGAATTAGGAAGTAGAGTTATTAGAATTTGGAACAGAATTGGAGGCAGGGGAGAAGAAGAAGCCTAGAATAAATAAAAAAATGTATATATCTTGAGAGACTGAGTAGATGTTGATGCCATTAACTAAAACAAGGCATTCAGGAAGAAGAGAGGGTACTGAATTAATGCTGGTTGTGTTGAGTTTGAAAAACATACAAGCCATCTAGTAGATATCCAATATGCAGTTAGAAACGTTCTGGAAAAAAGTAGGGACTAGAAATCTAGACTGGGAAGCCACTGGCAGTGTTTAAAAAACATAGATACGGATGATACTTCTCAGAAAAAGAGTGCAAGGAAGAAAAGGTCCGAGGACAGATATCTGGTGAACACTGATACCTTTCAAGGGTGGAATGAAGAGAAAACATCAGTGAAGGAGTCTAAAAAGACTGGATAGCCCAGATAAATCATTTTTCTTAAGGGAACAATTGTACAATTACACAAACTTCTACTAAAAGTAGGATGAGACCTAAAATGAGGACTGGATTTAGCCATAATCTCAACGATGATCTTTAGGACTGTAATAGCCTGGTGGAAATAGAAGTCAAATTACATTTAATTTATTCAACAAATACTCATTTTGTTCCTGCTATGTGTCAAACTTCGTTTTAGTTGATAAGAATTCAGGCAAAATCCTTGCCCTATGGAGTTTATATTCTATTGGAGAAGGCAGATAATTAATAAGAAAAATAAGTCAAAGCATGTTAGATATTGACAAGGGCTAAAGAGAAAGTTAAAGCAAGAAAAGAGAAAAGGAAGTAATTGTGTGGATACAGTATCTGAAGCTGTGATTTTAAATAATGTGATCATGGAAGGCCTCACAGAGTACGTCATATTTGGGCAAAGGGCCGGAAAAAAATTAGTAGCAACCCATGAAAACTGAGGACTAAATGGTAAATGAGGAAGTATTTATGAGGGAATAGAGAGATTAATAATGCAAGCGAGAAGGCATTGAAAGTGTAAGCTCCAGAGGAGGTGGGGAGTGTATGGGATCAAAAACACAGAATGAGAGTTGACAATGAAAAGGGGAAAGGACATTTCTTACTGTGAAACATGTGGTAAGACTAAGTATAAATAGAGGTATATTTAGTGTAGGGTGGCAGGGAATAGAGGGGACTTCATGATTGATGGCCTTTATTTTTCTATGAGGTAGAAAGCAACATTTTCTGCTGTCTGCGAAGGTGTGCGTGGAGTAAATATTTCAGAGACAATATCATTAGTGCAGTAAGAATGGGGAACTAGAATGGGAACTGACTTAAGAACAAAAATCGAGACAGCTGGGCAGTTTTAAGGGCTTGGCTGAAGTTGGATATTATGAATTTGCACTGGCACCAGTCAATCAGGTATGTGATTTTCTTTGGCAGAAGCAGTATAATGAAAGAAAGAAGAAGAAGGAAAAATGAAAGAAAACATCAAGGAAAGCTGATTAATGGTTGAGGATTGGCAAGATGGTGCAACTACAAGAGTGTCAATGAGTTCACGGTTGAAATAGGGTAAGAGAGAGAGCCTGAAAAGGTTTACGAAATAGATAGGTAGCTAGGGAGGTATGAGGGCCTTGATGAGACCAGAAGTGATTCAGTGAGAGTGAAGGAGGGGGAGAAGAGGAAATGAATTGTGGAAATGGAGTGAAGGCAATGATTATTGGCCAGAGAGAGGTCAAGAAACTATGAAGTTAGGGTTTCAGATGAGCTGCCTGTCAGAAAATAGAGGCAGATAAAATGGAAAGAAATAATGGTATTTGCAACAACTTGGATGGAGTTGGAGACCATTATTCTAAGTGAAGTAACTCAGGAATGGAAAACCAAATATAGTATGTTCTCACTTATAGGTGGGAGCTAAGCTATGAGGATTGAAAGGCATAAGAATGATATAATGGACTTTGGGGACTCAGGGGAAAGGGTAGGAGGTGGGTGAAGGATAAAAGACATTGGGTACAGGGTACACTGCTCAGGTGACAGGTGCACCAAAATCTCAGAAATCACCGCTGAAGAACTTATCCATGTAACCAAACACCACGTGTTCCCTCAAAACTACTGAAATTAAAAAGAAAGAAAATGGAGGCAGATTATTTCAGACAGATATTTTTCCTAACAGAAAAGTAGATTTATCAGTCCAAACCAAAAATAAGGATGAGTATAAGTCTAGCACATATAGTATCATTCTTTTGGCTTAAGAAACATTAAAATACCAATTATAAAAAGTTTACTGCAACAGGACAACAGAAAATATATTTCATAAATACTATCTGGGAAAGAAATTTCAAAATCTTAAGACATAACTTCAAGTAAACACAATACTCTAAACTGTTGTTTGGAAAAATAGTGGAAAACATTTAAGTTTAAGTAAAGATTTTCAAAATAGAAAAATGCACTTACTCCAGGCAAGTAGGAAAAACTTATTCAATAAACATGAGTTCAACTGTACTGCATTAAACTCTGCCTGGTAGGATAATAGAAAAATGTAAAATTGAATTGGATTAAAAATTATCTTTTTCGCAAATGGACATGTAATAAATATTTTATACTTGGAGACTGAATGGTAGCCAACATCCTCTAAAGAAAACAAAATCATTTATTCAAGTCCAGTTTATAGTCTTATTACCTATATAATTTTCATTATTGTTATTTTGAGATGTTCTGGCTTAATTAAAGTTATTAGTGCCCGTGAATAAGTGCAAGTGTATTTGGCATTTCATAGGTCTGTGATACTTTCATATGTTTCGCATTTGACAACAGGGATCTAAGCTTTTATGTATTTACTTTCATAAGTCATAATTCTTAATTGAAATAAGGATAAGCCTTCACTATAGAAGTATATTCTACACTTTTATTTATAATTTTTCTGTCTTTTCTCTTTTCTTACCTGATTTGGGAATTATCTATTTACAAAGTATATACACAAAACCAATTTTCTGAGCCATTATTGGGCATGACTTAAGTGTACTACTTTGTGTGAAATTCTCCACCCACGGCATTAATAATCCCACACAAAAAAGACCAAAATGAAGTGCTTGATTGAGCTTTTATGATTAACCAGGCTGGAAACATAGACTTAAAAAAGAATAGCATTTGAATAAATAAAATAGAGATGTGTAACAAGAAAGGTTCTACTACTTTCACTTTCTTCCTTTTTAGGGTTCCTTGAATCCTTCATTGTGTGTGGTTATTGCTTGATCTTCATTTTGCAATCTACAATTAAGTTCTCTGAAAGTGCAGGGTAACAGGTAAAGAGGAAAGAAGCAAAGTTGAAGTTTCTGCCCGTCTCTATAATTCAGTTTGGTGTTTCCTGTCAATTGTACATCTTGGATTCTTCTGGAAATGACAGCCACAAGTACAAAAGAGACAGGAAGATTGTGGAAGTGGAAAAATAAAGAAAAGAGGAAAGGAAGATTTGTGTATAGAAGGTAGGAAGATACTTTGGAGGAGTTTTCCCAACTTGTATGTGTTTGTGGAGAAGTGTGGGAAGAGAAAAAGGAAGAAAGTCAGCAATGAAGTCACCATAGGAAGAGAATAAGAGTACCCTTCTATTTAGGAGTTATGAAGGAGTGTTGGGTACGGTGGTGGGAGTTTCAGTTTGTTTTTTTTTAATAGGTCACCAACACATGTAATATTATCATATTGTGTCCTATAGACACATTTTATTCACTGGCATTTCAATTCCGACTGCCAATTTTCCTTCCTTCTAGAATATAAGCTGTTAAAGCCAAATTTAGAGAAGTGAGTCATATGAGAAATGAGTCTGAACTGTCTTTCATGTTATTCTATCACTCTCCATGGGAATATTTTGCTTATACTTCCTTGGGACTTGTCATTCTAGAGAAATCATGTCACCTTAAGGCATCCTTTAAAATACAGAGGGAAAGGTCCATTTAAGTTATATACATTAGATTAAAAGACCTTAAACTATTAGATGAAAACATTAGATCAAAAAACTTAAACATTATATTAAAATGCCCTAAATTCCTTATAATGCCTTATATTTAAGTGGTACATTTTACATTCCTAGTACAAAAGAAATGTTATGAGTCATAATAGGAAAGTTAATTCCCAAGAGAAGGGAATAATATTCATAGCACAGTTACTCTTACTGTTCTGAAGGTAATGAACTATACCAGTAATTATTCTTTTGCTTCTAAAGGTCAGTAGGTTAAGAATGGAGGTGTCAACATAGGGGCTTTTTATTATTCACCAACATTTGATGGGTATCAACCAATAAAATAAAATACCATTCTTTAGTCATTGCCTCAGAAAGATGAGATGAATATTTCTGGACACAGAATGTGTTCTGGTCTCTCTCCTATAACAGAACTTCAGATTTGAAATCTGAAGTTTACAAAATTTCAGATAGTGACGTGGTAGTGGGTTGTGAAATCAATGTATGGGTCATGTAATGTACATTTAAAACAATAGACTATAATATGACAGGGTAGATTGGATAGGGTAGAATAGAACAGAAAAGGTTAGGATAGACTAGAATAGGATAGGCTATCACAGTGCACTGCATATAGTAAGCATAAACACTGTTTTGTGAAACTTTTGTTTAATACATACACATAAATTATGTATGTACTGGGTTGTGATGAAAAATGTATTTCTTATGAGCCCTGGCCATAAAAGGTCGGAAGTCACTGTCTTATGAGCTGCCTCTACATCTCACAGATAGTAGAGAAAAATTTTTCTTAGGACCACAGATATGATCAGATTATTTTCATCTGAGGGAAAACCACATTTATCATATTCTCAGTAGAACATATAATTATCAGCGGGGAAAAATAATTTTTATCCAAGATGATAAAAAAATTGACAAGATGGAACATTAGAAAATTAAAAGAAAACAAATAGAACACTCTCTGTGAAATCAGAAGGGCAAAAGTGGAAACAATCCAAATGTCCATCAACTGGTGAATGAACAAACAAATGTGATATCTCCACGCAATGAGCCATTATCTGGCAATTAAAAGGAATTTAACTGATGTGTTATGACATAGACAAATTTTGAAAACATGCAAAGCGATAAAAGCCAGACACAAATTGACAAATATTATATGATTTAATTTGTATGACATCTCCAGAATAGGAAAATCTGTAGAGACAAAATGTAGATTAGTGCTACTTACAGTTGGGGGATAAAGGAGTAGGAAGATGACAGCTGAGTGTAAAGGGTTTTTGTGAGGTGATGAAGATGTTCTAAAATTGATTGTGGTGATAGTTGCACCACTCTGTAAATATAATAAAAACCATTTAATTTTACATTTTAAATGAGTGAATTGTATGATGTGTGAAATCTATCTCAATAAAGCTGTTAAAAAAAAAACCCAAAACCAGAAGCAATCAAATATTTACCTTTTCCTAGTCACTCACAAATGAAAGGGTAGTAACTGATATACATACTAATGCATGTGCATGTGTGTATACACATGCACAAATATAGAAGAAAATAAAGAAAAAGACAAAATATTCATATCCATACTTCAAGATAAAATTCAAATATTACATTCTCTGTGAAATCCTCCTAGATTTCTCCAGCTTATTTTCTTTGTGCTTCTAATGCATGCATTTTACATACACCTATTACAAGGCTTACTACATTGCACTATAATTATCTATTTATATGTCTACTCCCTTACTCTGCCCACTGATTATGAACTTCTCAAGGTCAAGGAAAATGTCTAATTATTTATTTCTGGATTCTTAGTCCTTTGACAAATGTTTGTACAATAAAAAATTGTAGTTTTGAAACAAATTCTAATACATGCTAACAGATGTTTTCACTTTAAATTTTAGAAAGCATTTTTTTCGACTTTATATCTTCCAGACCCTTCAAATGACTTTACTCACTGAATCAATTCTGGACATGAATAACGACTTGAAGAAATCATCTGATGAGCTTGCTCTTATAGAACTCTTCCACCACTTGGCACTTGCTCACTACCTAACTGGCATTTGGTTTCTCTCAGTGTGGTTTATTTCAGTAATCTTACCTAATGAATTGGATTGACCATGCCATGATCCAATCAAAGCCATGGTGATTGGCTGTCTTGACAACTGGGAAAAAATATTGATCTTATTCTGGTCAATTGGCTGAGTTATATAGAGATAGGTTAATAATGTCATCAGAATTACTCTTATCAGTATCATTAAGTCCAAGTAAGCAAGCTGCTAAGCTGTGAGCACATCTGTAATCCTTACATTCCCCTTATCTTCCCACTGTCTCTCTCCTATAAAAGTGCCTTGTTCACAGAAGGAATTTTTAAATGTTTAATAACCTAAAAGGTCTCACAAAATGGTAATGATATTTCATACGATATCTGAAGCAAAGCAAATTCAAATATTTCAGTTAGTTATTTTTAAGTCATCAAATGATTCTTTTTTTTTTTAACACACTGGCATATGAAACATGCTGCACATTTATACAGGGAAATCTTGTCATAATGGCTTGTTCTATAGATGATTAAGACTGCAACATTTATATTTAATAGTCCCAATCATATATTTATGATGAATTTTGCTATTTTAGAAAATGTTTTCCAGAAGAAATTCCTTCCTCTTCTGAGTCAGTGGAACTAAGTTTAACCGAATTTCTTAGAAAAATTCCTCTTTTTTGTAAATATGTTAATCATTTCCAATTTAATGTTTTTATCCTTTGGCTAGAGGTACCTGGTAATTTAAATATTTTTGGAGTCTAGATGAGCAATTAAACATTTTAAGGCTTGGATTTGATATGGGGAAGAGTATGTAGGGAAACATTTATTGCTATTTAGTATGTACACTATTCTCAAAATGTGTTAAAAATGTTTGAGGTTGGCCAGGCGCGGTGGCTCAAGCCTGTAATCCCAGCACTTTGGGAGGCCGAGGCAGGTGGATCATGAGGTCAGGAGTTCAAGACCAGCCTGGCCAAGATGGTGAAACCCCATCTCTACTAAAAACTACAAAAATTAGCCAGGCACGGTGGCAGGCGCCTGTAATCCCAGCTACTCAGGAGGCTGAGGTAGGAGAATCACTTGAACCTGGGTGGCAGAGGTTGCGGTGAGCCAAGATAGTGCCACTGCACTCCAGCCTGGGTGACAGGGTGAGACCCTGTCTCAAAAAAAAAAAAAAAACAAAAAGAAAGTTTGAGTTTATTTCTTTATTATCCTGATGATAACTGTGGAAGTGTAATGACAATATAATAACATTTTAGGTTTTGCAAAATACACGGGATACATATAACCAGTAATTTAAGTCATATTCATAATGCAGTTCCTTGAGAAAGGATCCTGCCTGGAGCAAGTGTTTATGGTTTTCTTATGTCCATATCCCTCTTGGGTTAATTAAAAGTGCTATTTTATCATATCCAAGTTGGAAAATGTGACATTTAACATGACCAATTTATTTAACAGAAAAAGATGAACAAATTGCTGACCTAATATTTGTGAGTCATATTTCACATATTTGTATTACACACCTATCACATGGAATAAGAGTTGTTTGATGAAACAAAAACCACAGGAAATTAGGAAAGAAATAATGCTAAATATTTTTCCTTCAGTAAACACAAATTCCCCCTTTCCTATAAATGAAGTAAGCTTTAACTGAATAAGAGAGAGAGTCCACCTTAAATAAACCCAACAAGCAAAAATCTCGAGTTATGAAAATCGTGAAATTTAGGGGCAGGGTAATTATTCACATTATAATGTGACAAGATTTTCTAAAAGACTCCTCTACATAGTGACCTCACACATTAGGTAAAGCTATAAAATTATTTGCGTACAGGACTTTAGGAACATACCCCATGTATGTAATGAGAGACAGCTGAATCTCAACTGAGCACTTAACCCACATTCTTATACCAGCTGGCAAGTTCTCAAATGTACAATGGAAGAGAGTAGTGCTACGGCATTAAAGTTACAAGACCTGTAACCATATTATTGGAGAGTGCTTTTCTGGAGCAAAACAAAAATTGAACTGGCATAAAGAAGGAGAGAGCCAGAACACTGAAGAACATGCAGCAGTCTTTTCTCATCCATATCAGGATGGTGTAATAAATTACTCTCTTCTCTCTCATGCTGTCAGGAGAAAACGATGTTTAGATTAAACCTCGCTAAGGACTAAAAGGATAATTTGTCAGTATTTTCCAGTTTACTACCAATGCAGTATTGATTTGCTAGGGTCCTTCTTCCTATGTTATTTACACTAATTCAATCTGGAACAACTGAAACCCAAGTTGTTGGAAAGCAAGATATTTCTTTAAATCTCCCAGACCCAAGGTATAAAGTACAAAAAAATTATTATTTCTAGTTCTTGTGGGTAAAGACCAACCGCTTCGTTGGAGGCAAGTTATTAGAGAAAACCACTTTTCTCCTGAGATTTACCTTGGGCTAATTTCTTTTTATAAAATTATGATTCTTGGGAGAACGTGATAAAAAAAAATTCTGAATGCCTGCCCAATTTAGCAGACTCGTGACTCTAGTTCTAGGCAGCTGCTTAGAAACGAGAAGTAAAACAGAAACATCTTGATAAACCTTCTTGTGGCTGAAGCTGATAAAAATGACAGTATTAGTTTGATATACAAATGACAGAGCTTAGGGACAAAACTACACTGAGGCACAAGATAAAATTACTTCCCAAATCCTTACTTCTCCCTATGCAAGTTATACAAATGAGCAAACAGTATCCTATAACATCCAGAAATAAAACAAAAGCAACTAAAGGTTAAAATAATTTATGTATTGAGGGCGAGTAAAAATATATATCAAGTACTTAATCCATGGAGCTAGCATTGTCTGTCTACCTTCCTTATCTTTCTGTTTTTTGGTTGTTTTTGTTTTGTTCTGTTATGTTTTGTTTTTGCTTCCTGGGGTACCTAAATGTCAGCTGTGGCATTGTTTTGACTGCAAATAAATATGGGAGGACTGGTAAAAATGTCATGAGTTTATGGGTTTATGATTCTTTTAAGGCTGAAGTGCTGAACTTCCATTTGCCACACTTTTCAACCTCTACAGATATTTCCTCAAACTCCGACATGATTCAGGATTAGTAAAATCTCACTTTAACACCTTATTCTTTCTTATTCTAGTCTTACTTTAGGTGTGACTACCCTATAGATCCACATTTATTAAAAACTTTGATGGGATTGATTGATCATTCTAATTGGAATGCTTTCTAAAAAATCAATTGATGCATTATTGGATAAAATATGATTATATCTTCATAAACTAAAATTTCAATAGTTTTTACTGGAATTACTAGGGAATTTAGTCAGATGACATATTAATTTAGGCAATGTCTTATATGAATCGACCTATTTGACAATTTTGATCAACTTGCTTATTTTCATAAATCACTCAAAACAATACATGCATGTGCTTATTTATTTATTTATTTATGGACATTCAATCAATTGGTATTTGCTATTTCCTTGTCTTAAAATGAACTATGCTGAGTATAAAGTTCTTCTACAACACTCATTTGACTAATTGTGATTGAATGTGGTTGTGTCTACATGCATTGATTTGGCATATCAATTGCAACTATTTCTCCATGCACAAGTTAGCTTGAATATATTACCATAAGGGCCAGTATAGTCATCATAAACTGAAACGGAACAAATCCAGGAAACCAGAAAATAGGTTTCACTGATTCAACTATTAAGAGTTTAAAAACTACTGACTTCATCGAGCTGATTGACCAAGTCTTTCAGAAACCAAACTGGCTTACACATATAAACAAAGCCTTTAAAAATCAATTGTGCAAGAAATAGGGGGAGGATGTGGAGGAAGCAGAATAGAAAGTTCCACCCATTGCCCCGCAAAAGGCACCAACTTAACAGCTATCTATGTAGAAAAAACACCATAAGAACCAAAAATCAGGTGAGCACTCATAGTACCTGGTTTTAACTTCATATTGCTGAAAGCGGCACTGAAGAGATAGAAAAAACAGTCCTGAATTACCAATACCCCCCTCCCCCCATTGCCCGTGGCAGCAGCTGTGTGGTGTAGAGAGTATCTCTGGGCGCTGGGGGAGGGAGAACACAGCAATTATGAGACACTGAACTCAGTGCTGAACTGTTTGTTAGAGCAAAAAGGATAACCGGACCAAACTCAGCAGACAACCACCCATAGAGGGAGCATTTAAACCAGCCCTAGCCAGGGAGGGAATCACTGATCTCAGAGGTCCAAACTTGAGTGGGTACAAACCTCACCACTGAGGGCTACAGCATTCTGTGCCTCCAAGTAAACCTGAATGACAATCTAGGCCATAAGGACTGCAACTCTTAGTTGAGTCCTAGTGCTGAAGTAGGCCTAGAGACAGTGGACTGGGAGGGGCATGTAACATACTTGAGACACCAGCTGGGGCAGCCAAGGGAGTGTTGGCAGCAAAACTCCCCTAACCCCAGGCTGCACAGATCACAGCTCCAAAAGAGACCCCTTCCTTCTGCTTGAGGAGAGGAGAGGCAATAATGAAGAGGCCTTTGTCTTGCATCTTGTATACCAGCTCAGCCAAGGCAGGATAGGGCTCTGGTCAGAGTCATGAGGCCCCTGTTCCAGGCCCTAGCTTCCAGATGACATTACTGGACAAACCCTGGGCCAGAAGGGAACCTGCTGCCTTCAAGGAAAGCACCCAGTCCTGCCAACAGTCATCACCTGCTAATTGAAGAGCCTTTGGACCCCAAATAAACAGCAATGATACCCATCAAAAGCCTTGAGTGAGCCTCTGAGACTTGCTGGTTTCAGGTGAGACTCAGCACATGATCAGCTGTGGTGGCAATGGGGCAAAACTTCTGCTTGAGAAAAGCAGAGGGAAAAGCAAAGGGGACATTTTCTTGCACCTTATATACCAGTATGGTGAAGTGGGGCTAGAACACCAAGCGGGCTCTTGGGGTCCCCAGTTCCAGGATTTGACTATTGAACAGCATTTCTGGACCTGCCCTGGGCCAGAGAGGAGCCCACTGCTCTAAAGGTTGAGTTCCAAGCCAGGCAGTATTCACAAAAAGCTGATTTAAAAGACCCTCTGCCTTAAATGAACATCAGCAGTAGTCTGGCAGTACTCCCTGTGGCCTGGGGTGGCGGTAACTACCAGGCGAGGTTCCTCTGTCTTTTGAAAGGGGAAAGAAGAGTGGGAAGGACTGTCTCTCGTGTTCTGAGTACCAGCTCAGCTACAATACAATAGAACGCCAGGTATTCTTCAAAGGCTTTTTTTTACCTCTAGTCCCTGACTCCTGGACAACACTTCTGGACCTTGCTGACCTGAAGGGAAGGACACAGAGCTGGCTGGCTTAGACACCAGCCAATTGTAGAGCCCCCAGGCCTTGAGCAAACATAGGCAGTAGCCAGGGAATGGTTAAAGCCAGCCTTGGGTAAAACCAGTGTTGTGCTGGCATTAGGTCTGAAACAGCACAGTCATAGTGGTGGTGGCCACAGAGGTGCCTGTGTCACTCCATTCCCAGCTTTATGTGGTTCAGAACAGAGAGATAGACTCTGTTTCTTTGAGAGAAAGTAAGGGAACAGAACAAGAATCTCTGCGTGATAATCCAGAGAACTCTCCCATATCTTGTCCAAGACCATCAAAGTGGTACCTCTACGAGTCTGCAAGAACCACAGTATTACTGGGCTTAGAATGCCCCCTAAAGCATATATCACAACACACAAGTCTTTTTAAATGTCTGGAAAGCCTTCCCAAGAAGGTTGGCTACAAATAAACCCAGACAGTGAAGACTACAATAAACACCTAACTCTTCAATGCCCAGACAACGAAGAATATTGATTAGCATCAACACTATCTAGGAAAACACGGCCTCACCAAATGAACTACATAAGGTACCAGAGACCAATCTTGGAGAAACACAGATCTGTGACCTTTCAGACAGAGGATCCAAAATAGCTGTGTTGAGGAAACTCAAAGAAATTCAAGATAACAAAAAGAAGGAATTCAGAAATCTATCAGATAAATTTAACAAAGAGATTGGAATAATTCAATAGAGTCAAGCAGAAATTCTGGAGCTGAAAAATGCAACTGAAATACTGAAGAATGTATCAGAATCTAACAGCAGAACGGATCAAGCAAAGAAAGAACTGGTGAGGTTGAAGACAGTCTTCTTGAAAATACATAGTCAGAGGAGGCAAAAATAACAAGAACAAAAACAAGAACAATAAAGCATGACTACAGGATCTAGAAAATAACCTTAAAGGGGCAAATCTAAGAGTTATTGGCCTTAAAGAGGAGGTAGAGAAGGACAAAGGGGTAGAAAGTTTATTCAAAGGAATAATAACAGAGAACTTCCCAAACCTAGAGAAACATATCAATAATGAAGTACAAGAAGATTATAGAACACCAAGCAGATTTAAATCAAAGAAGACTATTTCAAGGCATTTATTAATAATACAACTCTCAAAGGTCAAGGGAAAAAAAGGATCCTAAAAGAGAAAAGAGAAAAGAAACATACAACATATAATGAAACTCCAATATGTCTGGCAGCAGAGTTTTCAGTGGAAATTGTACAGGTCAGGAGAGAATGGCATGACATGTTTAAAGTGCTAAAGGAAAAAAAAGTTTACCATAGAATAGTATATTCAGTAAAAATATCCTTCAAGCACGAAGGAGAAACAAAGGCTTCCCCAGACTAACAAAACCTGAGGGATTTAATCAATACCAGACCTGTTCTACAAGAAATGCTAAAGGGAGTACTTCAATCAGAAAGAAGAGGACATTAATGAGCAATAATGACCTGAAGGCACAAATCTCACTGGTAATAGTAAGTATACAGAAAAACACAAAATATCGTAACACTGTAACTGTGGTGTGTAAACTACTCTTATTCTAAGTAGAAAGACTAAATAATGAACCAATAAAAAGAATAACTACAACAACTTTTTAAGACATAGTAAGTACAATAAGATATAAATAGAAACAACAAAAAGTTAAAAAGCAGAGGAACAAGATTAATGTGTAGAGTTTTTATTATTTTTCATTTTGCTTGTGTGTTTATGCAAATAGTGTTGATTGTTATCAGGTTAAAATAATGGGTTATAAGGTAGTATTTGCAAGCCTCATAGTAACCTCAAACCAAAAACATACAATGAATACACAAAAAATGAAAAGCAAGATAGTAACTCATATCACCAGAGAATATCATCTTCACTAGAAGAAGACAGAAAGGAAAGAAGAAAGAGAAGACCACTTAACAACTAAAAGACAAATAACAAAATGGCAGGAGTAAGTCCTTACTTATCAATAATAACTGAATGTAAATGGACTAAACTCTCCAATCAAAAGACACAGACTGGCTGAATGGGTGAAAAAAATATTGATCTGTTGCCTACAATAAAAACACCTCACCTGTAAAGCACACATAGACTGAAAATAAAGGAATGGAAAAAGATATTACATGCCAATGAAAACCAAAAAAAAGAGCAGGATTTGCGATACTTATATCAGACAAAATAGATTTCAAGACAAAAACTATAAGAAGAGAAAAGAAGGTCACTGTTTAATGATAAAGGGGTCAACTCAGCAGGAGGACATAATTTTGAATACATATATGCAGCCAACACTGGAGCACCCAGATATATAAAACAGATATTGTTGGAGCTAAAGAGAGAGATAGGCCCCAATACAATAATAGCTGCAGACTTCAACACCCCACTTTCAGCATTGGACAGATCTTCCAGACAGAAAATCAACAAAGAAACATCAGACTTAATCTGCACTATAGACCACATGGATGTAATAGATATTTACAGAACATTTCATCCAAGAGCTGCAGAATACACATTATTTTCCTCAGCACATGGATCATTCTCAAGGATAGGCCATATTTTAGTTCACAAAACAAGTCTTCAAAACATTCAAAAAGTTGAAATAATATCAAGCATCTTCTCTACCACAATGGGATAAAACTAGAAATTAATAACAAGAGGAATTTTGGAAACTATAAAAATACATAGAAATTAAACAATATGTTCCTGAATGACCAGTGGGTCAATGGAGAAATTAATAAAGAAATTAAAACATTTCTTGAAACAAATAATGATGGAAACACAACATACCAAAACCTATGGGACACAGCAAAAGTAGTACTAAGAAGGAGGTTTATAGCTATAATGCCTACATCAAAAAAGAGGAGAAACTTCAAATTAACAATCTAACCATGCATTTTAAGGAATTAGAAAAGCAAGAGCAAGCCAAACCCAAAATCAGTAGAAGAAAAGAAATAATAAAGATCAGAGCATACATTTCATTTAATTTCAATGAAACTGAAATGAAAAACAATACAAAAGATTAATGAAACAAAAGTTTTTTTAAGTTAAACAAGATTGACAGACAAAGAAAAAAAGAGAGACGATCCAAATAAATAAAATCAGAAATGAAAAAGGACACGTTACAACTTATGCTGCAGAAAATCAAAGTATCATTAGTGTAATATCTGCAACTATATGCTAATAAATCAAAAAAATCTAGAAGAAATGGACAAATTCCTAGATACATATAACCTACCAAGATTGAACTAGGAAAAAATCCAAAACCTAAACAGACCAATAATGAATAACAAAATGGATGCTGTAATAAAAAATCTCCCAGAAAAGAAAAGCCTGGTGGTTTCACTGCTGAATTCTACCAAACATTTAAAGAAGAACTAATATGAATCCTACTCAAACTATTCCAAAAAATACAGGAGGAGACAATACCTCCAAACTCATTCTATAGGTCCAATATTACCCTGATACCAAAACCAGATAAAGACATATCAAAAAAAGAAAACTATAGGCCAATATTTCTGATGAATATTGATGCAAAAATCTTCAACAAAATAATAGCAAACTGAATTCAACAGTATATTATAAAGATCATTCATCATGACCAGAGGGATTTATCCCTGAGATGCAAGGATGGCTCACCATACACAAATCAATCAATGTGATACATCATACAAACAGAATGAAGAATAAAAACCATGTGATCATTTCAATTGATGCTGAAAAAGCATTTGATAAAATTCAACACCACTTCATGATAAAAACCCTGAGAACACTGGGGATAGAAGAAAGATATCCCAACATTATAAAAGTCGTATTTGGCAGACCTGCAGCTGGCATCATACTAAATGCGGAAAAACTCAAAGCCTTTCCTTTAAGACCTGGAACGTGACAAATATGTCCACTGTTACCACTGTTATTCAACATAGTATTGGAAGTCCTAGCTAGAGTAATCATATAAGAGAATGATATAAAGGACACCTAAATTGGAAAGGACGAAGTGAAATTATCATTGTTTGCAGATGATGTAATCTTATTTGGAAAAACATAAAGACTCCACAAGAAAACTATCAGAACTGATAAACAAATTCAGTAAAGTTGCAGGATACAAAATCAACATAAAAAATCAGTAGCACTTCTATATGCCAACAGTGAACATTCCTAAATAGAAATCACAAAGTAATCCCATTTACAATAGCCACACAGAAAATAAAATACCCAGGAATTAATCAAAGAAGTGAAAGATCTCTATAATGAAAAACTATAAAACACTGATGAAAGAAATTGAAGAGGACACCAAAAAATGGAAAAATATTCCATGTTCATGGACTGGAGGAAACAATATTGTTAAAATGACCATACTATCCAAAGCAATCTACAGATTTGATGCAATCCCTATTAAAATCCCAATGACATTCTTCACAGAAACAGAAAAAAAATCCTAAAATTTATATGGAACGATAAAAGAGCCAGAATAGCTAAAGCTATCTAAGCAAAAAGAACAAAACTGGAGGAATAACATTACCTGACTTCAAATTATACTACAGAGCTATAGTAACCAAAACAGCATGGCACTGGCATAAAAACAGACAGATAGACAGTGGAACAGAATAGAGAACCCAGAAACAAATCCACACACCTACAGTAAACTCATTTTTGACAAGGGTGCCAGTAACATACACTGGGGAAAGGACAGGCACGTCAATAAATGGTGCTGGGAAAACTGGATATCCATATGCAGAAGAATGAAACTAGACCCCTATATCTTGCCATATACAAAAATGAAATCAAAATGAACTAAAGACTTAAATCTAAGACCTCAGCCTACGAAACTACTACAAGAAAACATTGGGGAAACTCTCCAGGATATTACTCTGGGCAAAAAATTTCTTAAGCAATACTCCACAAGCACAGGCAACCACAGCAAAAATGGGAAAATGGGATCACATCAAGTTAAAAAGCTTCTGTACGGTAAAAGATACAATCAACAAAGTGAAGAGACAACCCACAGAATAGGAGAAAATATCTGCAAACTACTAATCTCCCACAGGATTAATAACCAGAATATATAAGAAGCTCAAACAACTCTATAAGAAAAAACCTAATAATCCTATCAAAACATGGGCAAAAGATTTGAATAGACATTTCTCAAACCCAGACATACAAATGGCAAGCAGGCATATGAAAAGGCTCAGTATCATTAATCATCAGAGAAATGCAAATTAAAACTATAGTAAGATGTGATCTCACCCGGCTGGGCGTGGTGGCTCACGCCTGTAATCCCAGCACTTTGGGAGGCCGAGGCAGGTGGATCACTTGACGTCAGGAGCTCGAGACCAGCCTGGCCAACATGGTGAAATACCGTCTCTACCAAAAAAAAAAAAAAAAAAAAATTAGCCAGGCATGGTGATGTGCACCTGTAATCCCAACTACTCTAGAAGCTGAGGCATAAGAATTGCTTGAACCTGGGAGGCGGAGGTTGCAGTGAGCCGAGATCATGCCACTGCACTCCAGCCTGGGCCACAGAGCGAGACCCTGTTTCAAGGAAAAAAAAAAAGATGATTTTACCCTAGCAAAAATGGCTTTTATCCAAAAGAGAGACAATAACAAATGCTGGTGAGAATGTGCAGAAAAGGGAATACTTGCACACTGTTTGTGAGAATGTAAAATAGCACAACCACTATGGAGAACAGTTTGGAGATTCTTCAAAAACCTAAAAATTGAGCTACCATATGATCCAGCAATCCCACTGATGGGTATATATTGTATAGTATATAGTAGCAGTATACCCAAAATAAAGGAAATCATTATATAGAAGAGATAGCTGCATGCCTGTGTTTGTTGCAGCAGTGTTTACAATAGGTAAAATTTTGAAGCAACCTAAGCGTCTATCAACTGGTGAATGAATAAATAAAATGTGGTAATATACACCATGGAGTACTGTTCAGCCATAAAAAAGAATGAGATCCAGTCATTTGCGACAACATGGATGGAACTGGAGATCATTATGTTAAGTGAAATAAGCCAGTCACAGAAAGACAAGCATTGCAACTTCTCACTTGTTTGTAGGATCTAAAAATCAAAATAATTGAACTCGCAGACACAGAGAGTAGATGAATGGTTATCAGAAGCTGAGAAGGGTAGTAGGGGGCTGTGGGGGGAGGTGGGGGTGGTTAATGTATACAAAAAATAGAAAGAACAAATGAGACCTACTATACGACAGCACAACAGGGTGACTATAGTCAATAATAACTTAATTCTACATGTTAAAATAGCTTAAGAGTGTAATTGGAGTGTTTGTAACTCAAAGGATAAATGCTTGAGGGGATGGATACCCCATTCTCCATGATGGACTTATTTCACATTGCGTGCCTGTATCAAAAAATCTCATGTACCCTCTAAATATACACACCTACTATGTACCCACAAAAATTAAAAATACTAATTGTGCAAGAAATAATAGTTCATATCAATCAAAACCAGTTATTCAGTTCTGTGTAAAGACATAGACATAAATCATATACCAAAAGTTACATTCTATATTCATTCTTTCAAAAGTACTTGTTGAACACCTGCTAAGTCCTAGAAACTATTCTAGGGCCTTTAAGGACTTCAGTGAACAAAACACACAAGGATCCTAGTCCTCAGAATTTACAATTAATGTAGATGGAAACAGACAATAAACAATAAGCATAGTATATAAGTAAATTATATAGAGGTTCATACATGCTATGGAAATAAAGACAAGGTAGAGCAGGGTAAAGGTATTAAGAGTTCAGGGATTATGGTGCAAACTGCAGTAGTGTGTAGAATGGGTCAAAGTAGACCTCACTGAGAAGCAGACATTTAAGCAAAAGCTTGATGGAGGTGTAAGAGTGAAAACATGCAATACTTGGAGGAAGAAGATTCCAAGTAGAGGAGTCAGCCACAGTGAAGTACCTAAGGCAGAAGTGTGCCTCAAGTATTTTTTTTTTTTGGAGATTGACAAAGATGTCAGTAACAATGCTGCAGAGTTAAGAAAAAATGTAGAAGGAGGTGAGGTAACAAGGAGCTAGATCATGGAGGGTATTTTAGATCACTGTAAATATTCTACTCTGAGTGAAAT
Organism: Homo sapiens; assembly: GCF_000001405.40. Lineage (NCBI taxonomy): Eukaryota > Metazoa > Chordata > Mammalia > Primates > Hominidae > Homo > Homo sapiens. The sequence goes on from NC_000023.11 coordinate 124,870,796, forward strand.
GAGAAGCCATTTGCAATATTTTTAGCAGAGTCGACTCATATATTTTGTCTACTCTTTTATTATTTTTAAATAATTGACACATTATAATTGCATGTTTATGGGGTAGTGTGATGTTTCAATACATGCATATTTTATATAATGATCAAATCAGGATAGTTGGCATGTTCATAATCTCAAATCTTTATCTTTTTTTTGTGGTGATATCTTGCAAGATCCTCTATTCTATTTATCTTGAAATATGCAATACATTTTTCTTAACCAGCTATGGTCCCTCTACTGTGCAAGAGAACACCAGAATTTATGTTTCCTATTTAATTGTAACTTTGTACCCACTGACCATCTTCTCCCTTTTCCCCCTTCCTCCTCCCCTGTTTGGTCTTTGGTAACCACTATTCCACTTTCTACTTCTATGATACCAATCTGAAAGAAAAGGATGCTAACCTGTAATAAGAAAATATTTTAAAAAGATCACTCTGAGAAGCATAGAGACCTGTTACAAGGCTGTATGATTTAACCCAGATGAGAGATGATGGTGGCTTGGACAAGGGTGGTAGCTGTGGAGCTGGAGGTACAGTGAACAGAGTTTGCTAATACAGTGGATGTAAGGTATTGCAAGGAAGAGAGCTTTCAGGATGACTCCAAGGTTTTTGACTTGAGCAAGTGGTAGGATGGAGCTTCCGTCAACTGAAATGGGAAGTCTGCAAGTTTTGGGTAGGAGGGAAAGATCAGGAGTTTAGTTTTGGGCAAGTTGAGTTTAAGATATCTATTAAACATCCAAATGAAATTACCAAATAAGTAATTGAAAATGGATGTCAGAAGAGAAGTCTTGGCTGAGAAATAAATTTGAGAGTCATTAGTGTATTAGATGGTTTAAGCCTCAGGACTATAAGAGGTCACTGAGTGGGTATAAATGGTGAAGACTTGAAGACAAAAGCTGAGCACTGGTGTACACCAAATTAAAAGGTTAGAGAGTCAGGCCTGTAATCCCAGCACTTTGGGAGGCTGAGGCAGGCGAATCATGATGTCAGGAAATCGAGACCATCCTGGCCACCATGGTGAAACCCCGTCTCTACTAAAAATACAAAAATTAGCTGGGTGTGGTAGTGTGTGCCTGTAATCCCAGCTACTGGGGAGGCTGAGGCAGGAGAATCGCTTGAACCCAGGAGGCCGAGGTTGCAGTGAGCAGAGATCGTGCCACTGCACTCCAGCCTGGCGACAGAGCGAGACTCTGTCTCAAAAAAAAAAAAAAAAAAAATAGAAGGAAGGAAAAGAATCAGCAAATAAGACAGAGAAGTGACCACTGAGATAAGAAGAAAACTGAGAGAGCATGATATCCTGTAAGCCAGGTGAAAACAGTGTAGAGAACTCAGAATTTCTTCATGGAATGGGATATGACCTTAGTTTTATACTAATTTTGTTTTGGTCCATGTTTAGCACTAGTAACCTGGGATTATAAAACATGTGGTATAAGGAAAATTCTTGGATTATTTCACAAGGCTACAAATTTTCGCATGGTAAAATGGATCAAACAATTACACAGCATTTTTGTGCAGGCTACACAATCTCTCCAACTTCAGAAGAATTATTTCAGCAAATATAAACTTTGAAGGAACAATGAAAATACGGGACAATTTTTTACCAACAAACTAACTTTTCACTTACAAACATCAAAATAAATGAAAATTATTTAAGCAGAAATTTCCAATTGAAAACAAAACGTTAAAAGTATCAACTTTGGTGAATAAGGAAACTCTATTTAAAATCAACCATTTAGCATAATAGTCATTTGTTCAGGGAAACACAATGATGTGTACACTGCTGAAATTGTTAAATGAAAAATACATGTTTTTGGTTTCAAAGGAAAATAGCATGGTATATATTAATATGAAAAGTTTGAAATTTGCAGCTGTGTTCTTGTTTTACAGCTGCTAATTTTGGCAAACAATTTTGAAACATAAAACTGCTTGTCCACTAGATAACAATACTTCCATGCCTTGCTTCCTCTGTAAGACAGAAACTTGATCTCCAAACATAGTTCTTTCAAGCAAACAAGAAAGTATATCCCCTCTATACATGGGGCTGTAATTTCATTAGGACAATCAATATGAGCAGGTGACATAATAGTAATGTAAAGAGCAAAATATTATTTGCAGTATAATAGATTTGTTTCCCACTTTATTTTCAGAAGGAATATACACATACAAAGCTACGTTAAAGAAATTTTAAATTTCTATTTATGTTAAATTTAAAATTTAAAACATTGGAAGGAGCCCTTTAAGCAGCAAGTATTGGCTATTTTAAAAAGTGGCCAAGAAAGCAGGTGAATTGGATTCATTAATCTATGACATCATTTTCCTTTTATTTTGAAAAATTATGTTAAATTAAAAAATTTAATAGCACATTATCAAAGTACAAACGGGACAAAAGAGCATGCAGGAAAAAAAAATCTCCCTCCAATCCCTGTCCCACAGCCACTTACTTCCTCTCCACAAATGCAATCAAAATTATTCATTTATTGTGAATATTTTCAGAGAAATTCTATGATAATGTAAGCATGCAAGCATATAGCTTCATTAAAAATCACACATAAAGTGTAGCACAGTGGACATCATCATTTTCAAACTTCAGGTTGTGATCTATTAGTTATAAAATGAATTTACTGGATCACAATTAACATTACATAGATATGAAATGGAATCGAATAGAAGAGAAAATGTCAGAGCATGTTGTTTCATAGTAAGGGTAGATATCGTCTTATGAAATTTTTGTTTTTGTTCTTTATTTATGGATTCATTGTGAACTGGGTTAGAATGTAAAATATATTTCTTCAACTGGGTCATAGACAAGAAAATCCACTACTATCGACAACGATTCAAACCCTGTGGCTTTTGTTTAATGATGCATCTTGAAGACTGTTCAACTTCAATAAATACAGAGTTGTCTCATTTTGTTTGTGCTAGATTTATTTTAAAAATTTCAGACACCCATAAAAGGGTATAAAGAGCAATATTATAATCACCATGTACCCCATTACTGAGCTTAAGAAATAAAATATCATAAATAAATACATATACAAATAGTGTCAATGGAGTTAAAACCCCCTGTGCAATTCCGCTTGAGCCACCCAACTTTTCTTCCTACTTATATGTCTTATTCTCTTTAAGGCTGCAGAGTATTCCACTGCATAAATTACTCAAATTATTATACCATAAATTATTCAAGTGGCTTCCTATTGATAAACATCTTGATTGATATCACTGATTTTTTGATATTTCAAACAGTGCTAAGTGAATATCTTCATACATACCACTGCATGCTCATTCAATATCTGTAGGATAAATTTCAAGAAGAGAAACTGCTGGATCAAAGAAGATAATTTGTCTTTGCTAGATATTGTCAAATATCTTTTCATATCGACTGTATCTATTTTTACTTCCATAATCAATATTTCATACACATTTTCCAAAAATGTATGTTATAAAATTTTAATTATTGCCAATATTATAGGTGATAAATGATAAAATTTAGTTCAGTTTTAATATGCATTTCTCTTAGGAGTGAGTTTAAACATTTTTTTTCATATGTCCAAGAACCATTCTCATTTCCTTTACTATGGCATATATCAATTTTTTTCTATTACATTATTTGGATTTTTTTCTTATTGATTATAAGCACTCTTTATATAGGAGGAAATTGACTGTCTCTGTATGCTACACATATTTTAATATACATATATATACATATGTATATAATTTTGTGTAGTCAAATTTGACAGCAGTTTTATTTATGGCTTCTAGTTTTTTGGGCTATATCTAGAAAAGGTTTTCCTACTTTAAGGTTGGAAGAAATTCTCCCATATTGCTTTATAGTACTTATTTTCACATTTAATTTTGGGTCACCTAGAATTTATTCTGGTGTAGGGAGTGAGGTACGGAGGGAAGCAACTTTATTGTTTTCTGCATGGCTACATAATTGTCTCAACACTTTTCATAAACAATTTATGCCTTCCAGACTTATTTGAAAGGTCATCTTTATCATATACTGTACTCCTGTTTGTATTTGGAACCATTTCCAGTCTTCTTCCATCCTAACACTTTGTTTATTCATATAATAGCACCCCGCTAATTTATTTACAATGAACTTAAATATATTTTAATATCTGGCAAATCTATCATCATTATATTATGTTTTTCCCCATATATTTTCAAAGTATTCTTATGTTTGTTTTTCCCAGTTGAATATTAGAGCTGGTATGTTAGGCTTTTTATAAGACCAATTGATATTTTGTTATTGAAGGCATGTTAAAATGATAGATTAAGGGGAATTTTTATGGTTCTGAGACTTATTTAAGAAAAAAGTATGGCTTTCTACTTATTTATGTTCTTTTCTATATTCCTCAATAGCATTATGATTTTTGTGTGTGTGTGTTGTACTTTTTGCTTGTTTATTCTCAGGCATTTTGATTGCTGTTGTTGCTACTGTAATCATTTATTCAACTATATTTTCTAAGTAAGTATTGTTTGTATGGAAGGAAACTATTAATTTGGTGTGCTAATTTTATACCCAACTAGCTTACTAAATTCTCTTATTTCTTGTATTAGTTTCATGTTTGGTCTTAGATTTTTTTTTTTTAGATATACAATTATATAACCTAAAAATAATAAAATTATACCTCATTTTTCTAATTTTATTCCTCTTCTATTTTCTAATGTGGACAGTTGCTACTTCATAAGTTTAAAGTAGTTAATTAGAGCGGATATCCTTGTTTTGTTCTTGTCTCTAATAGAAATCCTTCTAGAGCCAGGTGTGGTGGCTCACAACTGTAATCCCAGCACTTTGGGAGGCCAAGGTGGGAGAATGGCTTGAGCTCAGGAGCTCACCAGCCTGGTCAACAAAGGGGACATCCATTCTCTACAAAATTTTTTTTTAAACAGCCATGGCATGGTGGCATACACCTTTAGCCTCAGCTACTCCGGAGGCTAAAGTGGGAGGATCACTTGAGCTTAGGAGGTCAAAGCTGCAGTGAGCCATGATCTCATGACTGTACTCCAACCTGAGAAACTGAGTGAGACTGTCTCAAAAAAAAAAAAAAAAAAAATCCTTCTAGTGCTTCCTCACTTCAAATAAAACTGGATTTTGTGATTTTACATGATCTTATTCTAAGAAATTATATATATATATATACGTTTGTATGTATGTCTATCAAAAATTGATGCATGACAGACAGTATAATATCATGGGTAAATGCAAGGATTGAACTGCCTGGTGTAAATACTGACTTTACCACTTACCAGCCAAATCATTTTATGTATCCTTATTGTGCCTTAGTTTTCTCATCGTAAATGGGAATATCATTTGTACCTCAGTTATGGAGCGGTTATGAATATTAAACTCAATATTTGTAAAATACTTAGAGCAATGTTTGGCACAGAATAAACACATTTGTTAAATAAAATGTTGGTTTTTATCAAAACCCTTTTGAAAATCTCCGCCGTTTTTAAATTTGGTTTATCTACATTGATGTACTCATATGGTATGTTAGAGTAACAGAGTTTTTAATATTGAATAATCCTTGCATTCTTAGTATGAACTGCACTTACTTGTAGTGTATTATTTTTCTGTTATATTGCTGGACCTTGTGGGCTAGTATTTTATTTAAGAATTTTGCTTCGGTATTCAGAAGTAAAATTGATTTGAAGATTTATTTCGTACTTTCCTTTTTTAACTTTTAGATATCAATTTTTTTTGCTTCCAAAAAAATCTTTAAAAGATTTGGAAGCTTTCATTTAATTATGCTGTTAAAACATTTAAGTAGCATTGAAATAATGTGTTCCTTAAAGATGTAGCAAATTTTGCCTGTGACACTGCCTAATTACGCTACTTCTTTTGGTTTAAGTAGTTCTTTGGAAGTTTTATTTCTATTTTACAAATCAGATTTCTTTCTCTACTGAGAAAATTTTCTCTCCCTTCTGAGACCAGTTTTAGTCATTTGTATTTTTTCTATGAGATTATCCATTCCAACATGGTTTTCAAGGGTACCTTAAAAGAGGTGCACAAATTGGTCTCTTATGAATCATTCAATATCCTCTGTCTCTTTAGTTATTTCGACATACTCACGTCTTATTTTCTCTTCTTTTCCTGATTCTGCTATTTTACTGCTTATGCCTATAAGAATTGGTTCTTGAATTTATTAGTTAGTTCTCAGATTTTATCATAGTTTCCTTAAAAAATCATTCCAGTTCAAACGAAAATTTAAAGTCATTATAAAAATTGTTAAATTCCAGAATCAATAAAGGACATCCAGTTAAAAAATTATAATTATTTATTTTGAAATAGGTGATCATACAGAGGAAAAAATTCCAAATTATACAATATAGCATTCAGAGAAAGAATATTTGTTCAATTAACGCACTGCAGATCTTCAGATTTCCACTTTCCTCCACAGAGGTGACCATGTTACCCATTCATAGAGACAAAGTATTAATTGCAGTGGCAGTTGATTTTCATTTGTAATTTTTTGGCTGCAGTTGGTAAGTAATGATATTCTGCTCTTTTAACTTTCAACCCCTGACTTGAAAGAGGTTAATCATTTTCCATTGGTTCCTAACAGTGCTTATTTTTCCAAAACAAAATAAACTCTCTCTAGAATATAAGTTGTGACTTCTGAAAGTGACTGGTACCTCAAAGCTTGGCCCACATACTCATTCAAGGAATTTAAGATAATTTGGGGGTATTTGGAGGTAGTCATGGACTACTTTATAATCTAATGAAGGACATGGATCCTTGCCAGAGGACTGCATATCTATCAGAGTGCATTCAATATTACATGCAATTTGAGGCATTCACAGACTCTCTGAAACCCATTCATAGAACTTCTTGGAACTGATTTATTTATAGGTTTATTAGTACAGCTGACGCTTGAGCAGTGCAGGGGTTAGAGATGCCGACTACCACACAGTCAGAAATCCATGCATAATTTTTGACTCCCCAAAAACATAACTACTAGTGGTCTGCTGTTGAGTGGAAGACTTGCCAATAACAAACAATTGATTAACACATATTTTGTATGTTATATGTATTATATACTTAATTCTTACAATAAAGTAAGCTAGAAAAAAGAAAATGTTATCAAGAAAATCATAAGGAAGATAAAATATATTTACTATTAATTAAGTGGAAGTGAATCATCATAAAGGTCTTCATCTTCATCTTCATGTTGAGTATGCTGAGGAGAAAGAGGAGGAACTGATCTTGCTGTCTCAGGGATGGCCAAGGCAGAAGAAAATGTATGTATAAGTGGACCCCTGTGCAGTTCAAAACTTTGTTGTTCAAGGGCCAACTATATGTTCATGCTTCACACATTTAATGAGTTTTTACCTTGGGCCAAAATTTCTTTACATACATCTGTGATCAGCTTGTTTTATTTCAATCTAGTTGGGGGATACTTACAATTAAAGCCCAGTGTGATGCAGCTATGACGAGGCTAGTCCAGAGAACCACAGAACTATAGAGGAGGAACAATCTCATCCAGAGGTCTGAGGGTGGGGATCCAGAGTCAAACTGGAGAACTGATCATATAGTTTTGCATATTTGTCCCCTCCAAATCTCATGTTAAAATGTGATCCCCAGTGTTGGAGGTGGTGCCTATAGGGAGGTATTTGGGTTATGAGAGTGGATCTCTCACGAATGGCTTGGTGCCCTCCCGGTGGTCATGAGTTCACATGAGATCTGGTTATTTTAATGAGCCAGGCATCCCTCTCTTACTCTCTTCTGGCATGTGACACTCTAGCTCCCCTTCCACTTTGCCATGACTAAAAGCTTCCTGAGGCCTCATGAGAAGCCAAGCAGATGCAGATGCCATGCATGTACAGCCTGAAGAACCATATGTCAAATAAACCTCTTTTCTTTGTAAATTACCCAGCCTCAGGTATCTTTATAGCAACAAAAACAGACACACAGACAAATATAACTGATTTAGATGGGGCTAGTGTCCTAGGTGCCTAACCCTACAAGTTGTCATCCCCTCATGGCCAAGGATGAGCTGCAGAGTGAAGGCTGGCTCACGGAAGACCAGAAACAACTAAACAATCTAAGCCTTTCTGTCCTCTTAAAGTGTTCCTCAAGGCTGCCAGGCTTGATTAATATTTTTATAGCTTCTGAATTTTCTTCTGGATGACATTTATTTTTTTAAATGTTTTTATTGAGAAATAAAATTTTCATATTTATGGGATACATGTGATATGTTGTTACATGCATAGAATGTGCAGTGATCCAATCAGTGTATTTGGGGGTATCCATCATGTTGAGTATTTATCATTTCTATGTGTTGGGAACATTTCAAGTCCTCTCTTCCAGGTATTTTGAAATATACAATACATTGCTGTTAACTGTAATCATCCTACTCTGCTATTGAACATTAGAAATTTTTCCTTCTATCTAACAGTATCTTTGTAACCGTTAATAAACCTTTCTTGATCTTTCCCCATATCTCCTTCCCATCCTCTGGTATCTATCATTCTAAACTCCATCTCCATGAGATCAACTTTTAAACCTCCACATATGGGTGAGAACATATATCATTTTTTATTCTGTGTCTGGCTTATTTCACTTAGCATAATGATGTCCAGTTCCATGTTGCTGCAGATGACAGGATTTTATTCTTTTTATGGCTGAATAATATTCCATCATATATATGTACCACATTTTCTTTATCCACTCATCCACTGATGGACACTTAGGTTGATTCCACATCTTGGCTATTGTGAATAGTGCTGCAATAATCATGGGAGTGCAGGTGTCCCTTTGATATACCGATTTCTTTTCCTGTGGATAAATGCCCAAGAGTGGGAATGCTGGATCCTATAGTAGTTCTATTTTTAGTTTGTTGAGAAATCTCCATATTGCTTTCAATAGTGGTTATACTAATTAACATTCCCACCAACAGTGTGTAAGAGTTCCCTTTTCTCCTCGACCTTGTCAGCATCTGCTATTTTTTGTCTTTTTAATAACAGCTGTGATAAGTGGGATAAGATTATATTTCATTTTGATTTGTATCTACCTGATGATATGTGGATTTATGTCTGGGTTCTCTATTCTTTTCAATTGGTCTATGTGTCTGTTTTTATACCAATACCATGCTGTTTTGGTTACTATGGTCTTGTAATAAATTTTGAAGTCAGGAAGTGTGATGCTTCCAGCTTTGTTCTTTTTGCTCAAACTTGCTTTGGCTACTCAGGCTTTTTTTGGTTACTTAAGAATTTTAGGATTTTTTCTATTTCTGTGAAAAATGACAGTGGCATTTTCATAAGGATTGCATTGAATCTGTAGATTGTGTTGGGCACTATATTAATTCTTCCTATTCATGAGCATCGGATGTCTTTCCACCTGTTTGTGTCCTCTTCAATTTCTTTCATCAGTGATTTGGTAGTTTTCTTGGTAGTGGTCTTTCAGTGCCTTGGTTCAATTTATTTCTAGGTACTTATTTTTTTGGAGCTATTGCAAATGAAATTGTTTTCTTGATTTTTCCTCAGCTAGTTCATTACTGATGTATAACAATGCTACTAATTTTTGCAAACTGATTCTGTATCCTGCAACTTTACTGAATTTATCAAATCTAAGAGTTTTTTGTTGACGTCTTAAGGATTTTCTAAGTATAAGATAATATCATCTGCAAAGACAGAACATTTGACTACTTCTTTTTCAAATTAGATGCCTTTTATTTCTTTCTCTTGCCTGATTGTTCTGGCTAGGACTTCCAGTACTATGATAAACAGGAGTGGTGAAACTGGGTATCTTTGTCTTCTTCCAGTTCTTAAAGAAAAGGCTTTCAGCTTTTCCCTATTCAGTATGATGTCAGCTGTGGGTCTGTCATATATAACCTTTATTATGTTGAGGTGTGTTCCTTCTATGCCTTGTTTTTTGAGAGGTTTTTAATTTTTTATCATGAGGGGAATGTTGAATTTTATCAAATGCTTTTCTACATCTATTGAGATGTCCATATGGTTTTTGTCCTTCATTCTGTTGATGTGATGTATTATGTTTATTGATTTGCATATATTGAACCATCTTTGCACCTCTGGGATAAATCCCACTGAATCATGGTATATTATGTTTTGATGTGGTATTAGACTTGTTTTGTTGATGTTTTCTTGATGATTTTTGCATGTATATTCATCAGGGATATTGGCCTATAGCTTTCTTTTTAAATTGTGACTTTCGTGGTTTTAGTATCAGGGTAATGCTGGCCTTGTAGGATGAGTTAGGGAGAATTCCACCTTCTTCAACTTTTTGAAATAGTTTGAGGAGAATTGGTGTTAGTTCTTAGAAGGTTCGGTAAAAATTGTCAGTGAAACCATTCTGTCCTGAACTTTTCTCTGTTGGGAAACATTTTATTACTGATTCAATCTCATTACTCATTTTTGATCTGTTCAGGTTTTCTATATTTTCCTGATTCAATCTTGGTAGGGTGTATGTGGCCAGGAATTTATCCATTTCCTCAACGTTATCCAGTTTGTTAGTGTATAGTTGTTCATGACAGTCTCTGATGACCTTTTGCATTTCTATGATATCAGTTTTTGTTATGTCTCTTTTTTCACTTCTGGTTTTATTTACTTGGGTCTACTCTCTTTTTTTTTGGTTAATGGTTTATTGATTTTGTTTATCTGCTGAACCTACTTTTCATTTGTTGTTCCTTTGTATTACTTTTTATAGTCCATATTTCATTTAGTTCTGTTCTGATCTTTATTATTGTGTTCTTTCTACTAATTTGGGGTTTAGTATGTTCTTGCTTTTCTAATTCTTTGGGGTGCCTGATTAGGTTGTTTGACATCTTTCTACTTTTTTGATGTGCGCATTTTTTTCCCATAAACTTCCTTCTTAACACTGCTTTTGCTGTATCCCATAGTTTTTGTTGTTGTTGTTGTTGTTGTTGTTTTGTTTTGTTTTTTTTTTTTAGACAGAGTTTTGTTCTGTCACTTAGGCTGGAGTGCAATGGCTCAATCTTGGCTCATTGCAACCTCTGCCTCCCAGGTTCAAGCAGTTATTCTGCCTCAGTCTCTGGAGTAGCTGGGATTACAGGCACCTGCCACCATGCCCGGCTAATTTTTGTATTTTTAGCAGAGACAGGGTTTCACTGTGTCGGCCAGGCTGGCCTCAAACTCCGGACCTCAGGTGACCCGCCCACTTCGGCCTCCCGAAGTGCTGGGATTACAGGTGTGAACCACCAAGCCCAGCAACCCCTTAGGTTTTGCTATATTGTGTTTTAGTTTTCATTTGTGTGAAGAGATTTTTTAAAATTTCCTCCTTAATTTCTTGTTTGACTCAATGGTCATTAAGGAGGATATTTAATTTCCATATATTTGTACAATTTCCAAAGTTCCTTTTGTTACTGATTTCTAGTTTAATTCCACTGTAGTATAAGAAGATACTTGATATGATGTTGATTTTTAAAAACTTGTTGAGTCGTGTTTTGTGTCCTAACATGTGGTCTATCCTGGAGAATGTTACATGTGCTGATAAGAAGAATGTGTATTCTGTATCTGTTGGATGAAATGTTCTGTAGATGTCTGTTAGGCCTATTTGGTGTAAAGGGAAGTTTAAGTCCCATGTTTCTTTGTTAATTTTCTCTCTAGATGATCTGTCTAATGCTGAGAGTGGGGTGTCTAAGTCAACTATTAACATATGTAGTCTATCAACTATTAATCTATGTAGTCTATCTCCCTTCTTAGGTCTAATAATATTTGCTTTATACATCTGAGTGCTTTGGTATTGGCGGCATATATGTTTAGAATTGTTACATAATTCTCGCTAAAGTGATTGCTTTATCATTATATGATGACATTTTTGTCTATTTTTAGTATTTTTGACATAAATCTATTTTCTCTGATATGAGTAATGTGATGCCTCCAGCTTCATTAGGATTGCTTTGGCTACTCTGGCTCTTTTTTGGTTCCATATAAATTTTGGCATAGTTTTTTTCCTAATTCTGTGAAACATGTCATTGGTAGTTTGACAGGAACAGCACTGAATCTGTAAAACTGCTTTGGGCAGTATGGCCATTTTAACAATATTGATTCTTCCTATCCATGAGCATGGAACATTTTTCCATTTGTTTGTGTCATCTCTGATTTCTTTCAGCAGTGTTTTTAATTCTCATTGTAGAGATCTTTCACCTCCTTGTTTAGCTGTATTCCTGGGTTTTTAATTTAATTTAATTTTTTGTCTCACTGAATTTAATATCATTATTTTCCCAGGATTTCATAAATTATTTTTTCATTAGAATCTGTTGATAGATAATTATTGTGTTCTTTTGAGGTATCATATTTTCTTGCTTTTTAATGTTTCTTTTGTCCTTAACATTGATATTTGTGCATCAGGTATAACAGTTGCTCCTTCTAATTTTTTTGTATTTGCTTTGGTAGGGGAGGACTTTTTCCTGAACACATACCTATATGTTGGTTGGGTAGAAAATTTTTGCTTTGCTTCTGGGTGCCGTGCCGTAGTGTCATCTCTGTGTGACTCCTTTAGCTGTAAACAACATCAGTAGTGTCTATGATGTCCTCAGTGGCTTAGTGTGCAGTTTTTAGTGAAGGCTAAAGCAAAGTTTTGCTGCAGATGAGGATGCCAGCTGGGCCCCTCCTTGAGCTGCAGTGGTGGCAGTGGCAGGCCAAGTGTGCCTGTTCTTGGGCCCATTCAAGGCAGTGCATGCTGGCACCAGTCTTAGTGGGTCCAGGCAGGTTGATCATTGGGTTTCCAGAAAGCTTGCTCAAGTGCTGGCAATTGCAGCAGTGGACCAAGTGAGTGGGTGGGCCCTTGGGCTGCTGGCCAGCAGGTGTGGCATGGACAGTAGCAGTAGCAGTGACAAGACAACCTTCTATTTTCCAAGTGATCTGTGCTTGTGTTGGCAGTGGCTGTGGCAGGTTGGACAGGCCAATTCCCAGGTCTGTAGGTGGTGCATGCTGACGGGTACAAGCTTTGGTGGTATCAACTGGTTGTGTTGGCCCAACTTGAGGCTTCTGGGAGGAGTGCTCAGTTGTCAACACTGGTGGACTGAGCAGGCAATCCTCACTCTCCTGGACAATGAGCTTGGACACTGGTAGTGGTGGTGCTGGGCCAGGCAGATCTGTATTAAGGGCCTCCTCTTGTGGTGCATGCAGGTGCTGACTGTGGTCGGCAGGGGTAGGGTGATCCCAGACCTCTGGTGGAATGCTTGGGTAGGGGTATCAGTGGCTGCACTGTGTCCCTGATATCAGGGAGCCACAGGTTGTTTTCAGTGGCAGCAGCAATTGTCAGGCAGGTAGGGAGTGTGCACTTTTGCCCTGGGTAGTAGCTACAGCAGGGTAGCCTGTCATTAGGGTGCTTGCAAATGCAAGAGGCTCCACTGCTGGGGGCAGTGGGGTTGCTTCCAATGGCTCATACTTTGACCCTGGTAGCAGCAGCCAGCTGCGGTGGTGGCTGTAGGCAGAGGATGTTCATTGTACTCCAGGGATGTGTAGAGGCAGAGGATGTTGACCCCCAGGGCAGGATGCTGTCTATTGGAGACCGAGCTCTCAAAATGGTGTCATGCTGTAGCTGTTTAGGATTTGGGGGTGGGTGGGGGGTGAGACCCAATGTGACATCTCTCTCTGGAGCAATGCCGTCACATAATCTCCAGGCATATTCCCTATGTTAGTCTCAGGGCCCACATGGATCAAGGGTTCTCCATAGCTAGGACTGCAGGAGTTCACAGTGAGACTGCTGGGGTCTCTCACTTATCCTTTCATCATATTGGGGATCTTTTCCAGGTCCCCAGCCCATTCCAGCTGAGCAGGCTGCCTTGCTTCCCTCTTTTTCCTTGCCTTAGGTACTTCCTGTCACTTCTTTGCTGAATTCTAGCATTCTCCCATAGATGATGTATTTGAAGTGTGATTACTAGCTATTTTGGTTCTTCTTTGTGGAGGAGGTAAGTACCAGATGCCTCTAGTCAGCTAGCTTCCTTTCTCTCTCTAATGACATGTAATTTTAAACAACATACAGTCATGCATTTCTTAACGACACGGATACAATTTGAGAAATGTGTCGTTAGGGGATTTTGTCATTGTGCAAACATCACAGATTGTACTTACACAAACCTGGATGGTATAGCCTACTACACACCTAGGCCATAGGTGTAGCCTATTGTTGCTAGGCTACAAACCTGTAAGCATGTTATTAATACTTCACCGAATATTGTAGGCAATTATAACACAATGCTAAGTATTTATGCATCTAAATATATCTAAATGTAGAAAAGGTACAGTAAAAATATGGTATTATTATATTATGGGACCATTCTCATATATATGGTCTGTCATTGACCAAAACACTCTTATACAGCACATGACTGTAGTTATATTTTTCACATTTCAAATTGGTGAAAAATATTTTAAAGTAAATTATCTAGTATCAGTGAGGGTACACTAAAATGGCCACTATCATGCTTTACTAATGGGGGAGTATGAATCTTGATATAATTTGATAATATATATCTTGAACTTTAATGAAAATATTTTAGAACCCAGTAATTTTATTTGTAGAACTCTACTAATAATGAATAGATCAGAAAGAGACCTATCTTTGATTACAAAGATGTCTATTTTAGTCTTTTTGCTCTAGTGAAATACTGGAAATGTTAATATTCAAAAATAGTGTATAGTTAATTATGTTACATCTACCTAATTAATATATTTAAAATAACATTTAATTAAGACTTAGTAATATTGGAAATTGCTCACATTTTAATTTAAGTGAAATATCAGGTTGTATGGATCCTGATAAGGACACATGATGCACGGAAAGAAAAAGGTAAGATGCTAATTCATGAGAGAATATGACTAATATTTTATTTTGGAGAGAACCTTAAGGATTTTTTCCTGTTTTTCAGTAATTTCCCAATTTTCTTTAATAATCTATTTATTAAAAAATATTACTTTTATAACAAAAAAACTACTGAAAAGATAGTCAACTTGCCTCTGAAGTAGCCAAGATGATTCCCCTTTTCTCTAAAGATATTATTTCAATTATTTCAAAAAATGATCAACTAGGATATATGAAAACAAATTCAACTGCACACATTCAAATTGTGAGCTATTCTGCATTCCACTTTAAATACCTACCCAAAAAATTAACTCTGACCAGCAATCTCATGAATATCTATCAAAAGTGAAAAGATGGACAGTGCAAGGTAACACGAATGACTTAACATGAGCCCATTCCCAAACCAGAAAAGAACAACCAAAAGCATAAGTCCTAACTATGGCAATTGAAACATTATTTTCAAATTCAGATGACAATGTTGTCATTTTATTTCTGGTGAATATAGGCTCAGCCATATTTTTTTCCTTCATTTTCTAAGCTCTTTTTTAAAACTCTGTTGATAAGAGCACTTTAACTCATTTTGGCTTCTTTCACAGTAATATACTAAAGAAGTAAGAGAGTAAATAATATATCAAGATCAACTCCAAAGACTAACTTCTAAAATACTAATTAATTTTAATAGCTACGTTATTTGTACTGTATTTAACTTCTACATTCAAGTTTGCTTTCATGTAAATATATCCATATGTATGTATTATATATTACACATATGCATACCATACATTCACATTTATTATTTATGTGTAGATATTTATATTCTGTTTTTAAATTAAATTTTTAAGCAATTTATTTTTCAAATTGTGGAAATTATAGTACTGCTAGCAAAAACATATACATATATATATATATATATATATATATAGAGAGAGAGAGAGAGAGAGAGAGAGAGAGAGATCCACCAGCTATAAAGTACAAATAGTTGACTTTTACCACTTAAAAATGTAAATCTTATCATATACACACACACACAACACACACACAATGCACCTACTTAAAAAGACAAATATCACACTAGGAAAAATGCATAATATGTAGTGAAGGTTTTTTTTTTTTTTTTTTTTTACCCTTAATATAGGAAGTACTCTAGAGAACTAATAAGAAAATATAAAAATTCATATGGGAAAGTGGGCAAAGTATGTCAACAGGAAATTGAGAGAAGAGATGGAAATGGGCCATTAACATTAAAAAGATGACCAAGGTCACCCATAAATAGAACAAATAATAGCAAGAAGAAATACTGTATTTCATATTGCAGATTGGGTATTAGAAATCTTTCTCATCATTGCCAGTGTTGATAAGTATATGGGAAAACAGGCACTTTTATATAGCTTTAGTAGGTAAATAAATTGGTAGGTCTTTTTTAAGGGGGAAATTTGGTAATATCTAAACAAACATTAAATGCATATATTTTCAACCCATCATTTCTACTTCTAATAAATTATACAAGAGGTGTGTAAAAGATGTGTACAAGGATATTAAGTGCAGCACTGTTTTTAATATCAAAACACTGGAAATCTAGATGTCCATCAACAAGGGACTGGCTAAAAAAAATAACACATATATAAACAGAATCCTATGCAGTCATTAAAAATGACGAGGCAGATTTGTACTACAAATATGGGGAAATATCCAAGATAATATGAACTGGAAAAAATTATGAGACTTTTTGTAGTATGTGATCCCATTTGTACATGCGTGGAAAATTTGGGGAATTATATATAATACATTATTAACCTGACTGTGTCTCAAGAGTGAAACCTGAAGGATGGAGAGGGAGGGGGATGATACACTTTATTCACTTTAAACCTGTTTTTACTATTAATTTTTAAATCACTGGCCAATATTACTTTAACATAAAGATAATAGTAGCTAAAATTACCTACTGAAAAAGAAAATATGAGCTTGTTATATCTACCTTGATAATGGCTTGAAATTCAGTATCATCAAAGTGGTTTTTAATTTTGAATATCACAGTCACCACAGAAGTGTCTCACCCACACATAAAGTAATCCCAATCACTTCCACACTTCCTCTGATAGTGTAACATCTCCAAAGGAGCTGTTACAGAGTCAACTGCACTGTCTCACACACGCCTAATGGGTCCAACAGAGCCATTAGGATGTCAGTTATATGGCAGGGCTCCTGCTGAAGCTATTACCAAGTCATTGCATTGTTTCATACACTTCCTTTAGCAATCAGATGGTTTCTGAGGAATTGTTATCACTGCTATGTAAGGGTCCTATATAACTTACACTACCAGGGGAAAACAAAAAAAAAGCAAAGGAAAGAAATGGAAAACAAACAAACAAATTCCCTCCATCAAATGTACATGGTCAAATATCAGAAGAAATAACTCATCATTTGGGTATAACTATTACATGTCATTCAAGAAACCCAGGCATTAGGCTAGCCATTTTTTTCACAACTCCAGCGGTTTCCTTGAATGAATTTAGGGTCTGAGAACAGCATATGCATGGCTATGATGGTATGTTTATTGGTAGCACATACCGCACTACTTAGGTTCTGTGGTATGCAGTACAGAAGCAACAGGGAGCAGTACTAATGGATTTCTTGGCTGTTATGAGATTGTATCAGATATTCCCTTACCTGTAAAGTTGCTGAACAGAACAACATAGGGAGCTCAGCCGCCCAACAGTCAAGGAAATCAACAGGACTTCTGAGTACTAATTAAAATCCCACCTCTCCCTTAAAGGGTTACTACAATGACAACGGGAAATACAACAGCACAAGTTAACCTGCAGCCAGGTCTGAAGTGCCTCAGGGAACTTCCTCTCACAGTCTTCTAAGTTTAGCAGAACAAGGTTGTTGCCTATTAATAAAATGTTGTATTATTTAAAATAAGACAAGTGCAAGGATTTTTACCTACTTTAAAATGAGCAGAAAGTAGGCTGGGTTCTGCTAGGCTAAAGAGTTCCCTGGGATATTAGGTGTTTCAGAAGCTATGCTGCCTCTTTGTCTAATACGTGATAACAGGTACCTTACCTGATAGCATCTGTCCCATAATACGTGCATAATAAATTAATAGTGATAAACAACAACCACAACTGACATTTATAGAGCATTTCATTTTAACAGACACACTGTAAAGTGCTATATATCCATTTTCTCATTTAATCCTCACCACAAAAACTCCCAAGACTTTGCAGTCACCATTTGACAGATAAAGAAACTAAGACTTGGAGATCTTTAGTTACCTGTCCAAGGACATATAGCAGGTAAATGGCAGAACTAGTGCAAAAACCTAGGTCTGTCTTACATCGTGGTTATTCTTAACCACTTACTATACAGAAAACGTTGTTTATTTATATTGTATTAATATTACCACTTTTACGTTACTAAATGGTTTCACATCCCTTGTGCTCTCAGAGCAAGCTACCGTATCTTTATCATGGTATTAACTAAAGTGTATTAAAATTAGCTTTCAATCCTCTCTAGTAGACCTCTTTGGGTATACATATCCATTTGACACTGACAGCCCTGCATTGGGAATTGCTTCGAGAATCAATTGGGTAGGCTTCCAGAAAGCAACATTTGTATTACTGACCTTACCCCTCATTGTAGCTGATGAGACCAGTGGTAGACAGCTGACTCAAGTTGAGAAAATTATTCTGTCTCCTTGGAATTTAGAAATGGCACTAAAAAAAATCTGGTTAATCTTAGCTTCTTTCCTGAATAGAAGAAATATGAACTAAGGTTTTATGGGGTATGGGGTTTTTATACCTGTCCTGTAGATGGAAACTTAGAGAAACTCAACCTGCAGAGACAGTGTTGAAGGAGATGGGTTTCAAAACAAAAAGCAAGGTCTTAACAATTCTTCTGAGAATTGTTAAGGGACTGCAACAAGTCCCTTCTTGTGGTATAGCCACACTCTTGCCCTGAGTCCAATGGAGCATTCTCACGTACTTTATTTTTTTAAATTGTATTTCTTGTGGGTACCTAGTAGGTATATATATTTATGGGGTACATGAGATGTTTTGATATAGGCCTGCAATGCATATTAATCACATCATATAAAATGAGGTATCCATCCTCTCAAGCATTTATCCTTTGTATTACAACTGATCATATTTCACTATTTTAGTTATATTAAAATGTACAATCAGACTATTACTGACTACAGTCACCTTGTATTCTTATGTACTTTTAATACAATTGTTTTCAGTTTAAGCTAGCTCAAGTTGATTCCTGTTACCCATAATAGGCGATCTTAACTAATAGGGCATCAATCTCTCCCAGTAGACGGTAAATTCCTTGACATTGGGGAATGTGTGTTATTCATCTTTCATATATTCCCAATCTCTAGTACACAGTTTGGCAAAGAGAAGGTGCTTAATAAATATTTCTTGAACAGAAATATCATTATCATCAAGGCTATAACTATAAATAATTTATTTGCAATTTATATTTTATTAAAGATTACAATACTTTTTCACTACCTAGAAAATGTGTTTCCATTTAGCTTCTTGATAAACAATTTTTATTTTCACATTTTATAGTTCAACTGTTCCATTCAGGCCACATGTGAAAAACACATTCTTGGAAATTGATTATTCAAATTTAGCTGTTGATACTGTTTTTTCCTCCAGTTCAATGTGTAGCCAAATGTAACTGCTGAGGGGTACCCTAATCACTGAGGT
This sequence comes from Homo sapiens, assembly GCF_000001405.40. NCBI lineage: Eukaryota > Metazoa > Chordata > Mammalia > Primates > Hominidae > Homo > Homo sapiens. The sequence continues at coordinate 124,890,346 of NC_000023.11, forward strand.
TGATACTTAAGTAGGACTGTCAAAGTCTTCTAAGAAATGCTTATTAGAAAGTAAAGATGGGAGAAAATATTTGCAAACTACCCATCTGACAAGGGATTAATACCAGAATGTATAAGAAGCTCAAACAACTCAATAGGAAACAAAAATTAAATAATCTGATTTTAAAATGGGCAAAAGAATAGACATTTCTCAGAAGAAGACACATGAATGGCCAACAGGTATATGACAAAATGCTCAACATCATTAACCATCAGAGACCTGCAAATCAAAACTACAATGAGATAGCATCTCACCCCAGTTACAATGGCTTTTACCCAAAAGACAGGCAATAACAAATGCTGGCAAGGATGTGGAGAAATGGGAACACTTATATACTGTCGGTGGGAATGTAATTTAGTACAGTCACCATGAAGAGCAGTATGGAGGTACCCTAAAAAAAACTAAAAATAGAACTACCATATGCTCTAGCAATCCCACTACTATGTATACATGCAAAAGAAAGGAAACATATCATAGCACTATTTACAATAGCCAAGACATGGAAGCAACCTAAATGTCCATCAACAGATGAATAGATAAAGAAAACGTAGTACATATACATAATATAATATTATTCAGCCATTAAAAGAATGAAATCTTGTCATTTGCAACAACATGAATGGAATTGGAAGATATTATGTCAAGTGAAATAAGTCAGGCACAGAAAGACAAACGTCATCTTCTTACTGATTTGTGGGAACTAAAAATCAAAACAATTGTACTTACGGAGATAGAGAGTAGAAGGATGGTTACCAGGGGCTGAAAAGGGTAGAGGGAAGTGGGGGAAAAGGTGGGGAAGGTTAATAGGTGCAAAAATATAGTAAGATAGAATGAATAAGATCTAGCATTTGATAGCACAACAGGGTGACTGTAGTCAATGTTAACATCATATATTTTAAAATAACTAAAATATTGGAATAGGAATGTTCCTAACAAAGAAATGATAAATGCTTGAGGTGATGGATACCCTAATTACCCTGATTACACATTGTATGCCTGTATCAAAACATCACATGTTGTAACCCCAGCACTTTGGGAGGCCGAGGCAGGCAGATCACGAGGTCAAGAGATTGAGACCATCCTGGCCAACGTGGTGAAACCTTGTCTAAACTAAAAATACGAAAGTTAGCTGGATGTGGTGGTGTGCACCTGTAGTCCCAGTTACTTGGGAGGCTGAGGCAGGAGAATCATTTGAACCCAGGAGGCAGAGGTTGCAGTGAGCCACGATCGCACCACTGCACTCCAGCCTGGCTACAGAGCAAGACTCTGTCAAAAAAAAAAAAAAATCACATGTACCCATAAATATGTACACCTATTATGTACCCATAACTAAAGATAAAAAAATTAAATGACCATTAGATCACCTGTCAGAGACAGAGTTGTATATTAGATGACCAGAGGTCTGACACACTGTAGCACTTTTATCCTTATGAGAGTCACACAAGACAAGATCAACAAAAAATATATTTTACCCTTAGAACAATGCATATTTTTCATTTATTTAGTGCCTACTGTGCTCTAGGTCCCCTTGCTAAGTACTGAAGCTACAAAAGTGAATAAATTAGACCCTTTCTTCAAGTAGCTTCCAGTCTAGTGCTTATTAACAATGATTGTTAGGATATAAAATACACAACTCTAGTATTAGTCTATGAAGAGTAGTAATGTTGTTAGTAAGGTGAAATGGGAATAAAAATGACATAGAATAAAGCATGATGGTTGATATCAAAGTATCACCTAGGTATTGACTGTTCACAGGTCCCAGAATGAAGCTAACTTGAATGAATCTGCATCTTTCTTGACAGACAATTCAGCATCAACAGATGATGAAGGGTTTACTTAGGACAAATTTGAGAGAATGGAAACATAATGCATTAGTGCTCTGATACCCCTGTGAAAGGCTCCAGATCCCCTTCTGTCACCTGATGATTTCCCTTCCAGTACTTCAGGCCTTTAAGTTCAAGTGTTTTAGTGTTGAAATTAAGGGTTATTTCTTATAATCCTTCATGAGTTATAAAATGTCAGAGACATAAATTCAATTAAGGGCAACCAAACAGAGTTAAGGAAATGAGGAAAAAAATTCTGAAAGGCTTGGCCAATTAATGAAATAAAAGAAACAAGTCCTTATAAACATGATTTTGGAAATGTAAGTAGAAAACCAAAGTAATATTCTCCTAGGATGAATAGAATAGTAAGCATCTTTGAAATTACTTCTCAGAATATTTCTCAGTTGGACAATTCACCTAAATTAACAATTTCCTCCATCTTCACTTTTTCTAACATTCAGAGCAAGTGAGGCTCAAATGTTCCTAAGCTGATCCATGATATCATGCCCACTGCCTCATCGATAATCTAAAATTCAGAAAGTATATGAAGACAGAAACAAAACAAAATGTCATTAACATTAATTGAGCCACAGGGATGGGCTGGCATGGAGTCTGAGGTAGCAAAACATATACATAAAAAATATTCTAAGTAGTTTTACTTTTTCAGATATAACATGTATAAACTCAAATTAATAAAATAGATGCCTTGATAAGCATGCTTTCATGAATGGATAAAGTCAATGGGAAATAAATAGCAACATTTCCACACAAACACCAAGTTCATTCATTGGAAATAACTTGTTTCCTCAAATTAACATGCTTTTGGAAAAGCCATTTACACTCTTATCTTAACTCAAACCAACTCCTCAAGGATCTATGGAAATGCTGAAGGCAGGCCAGGCATGGTTGTCATCAATTAAAATCTGTGGAATCCACATTGGTAAAATCTTACCATAGGTGATAAATAAGGACCCAAATTATATACTCCTTATTGAAAATATTAGTAGGAGTCAAAGTAAGACATACAGAACAGAGCAGGGAAAAGTTGTTCAAGTTTACATATTGCATACACACATGATCCAAAGGAGAAAGCAAAGCATACTTGGAAAATAATCCATTGCATTCAACTAGATTGTTTCTGAATTGCTGTTTTAATACTTCCTCATATGTAAAATGGAAATAATAGAATTTGTTTCACAGAGTGGTCATAAGGATGAAATGGGATAAAGATATGAAAAGTGTGTTTGGAAATTTTGAAATGCTAATCCAATAATAACAGTGAACATTCATATTCTTCCTACATGTTAAAAACACTGTTCTAAATCCTTATATACTAGTTTCATCCCATTTTTGAGTCACTGCCCTGTGGTGGGATGCTTGGACCCTACCACGAGGTGTTAGAGAAGGGCCCAGCACAGGCCCAGTTGTGAAAACCATTTATAAATGTTACTTTCAGTAGTATCCCTCTCCAAAGGGGCAAAACCCAATGAACACAATGAAGGCAAAAGTAAAAATATACACCAATGCCCCCTTACTAAGGAATGACACAGTGTAAATATAGGTTTACAGAAGAGAATGAACATTTTTTTTTCATTTGAAAGTGTTATTTATGATTGATGACATGGATAAAGTGTGATGCTAAAGCCAAGCATGAACACCTGGAGGAAGAGACCAAGGCCAACTGCTAGGCAACATCTGAAAGTTATGACAATACCTAAACTATACTGAGTTAATTATGAGAGCCATGTAAAACATGGTAGATTTGTAGAAAGTCATGAAGCCAAATCCAACCCAACCTGATTTCAGTCTCTCCTCCCAGGTTAAATAAATGTTTTCTCATCCTACCTGGAATCCTGTTTTATCCTTCTCCCTAGCTCCCCCTTCACCTCCTCTTCACCACCAACATTTTCACATGAAATTTTCAAGAAGAAAACAAACAAATAAGCTGCCACTGTATTCTCTGACAGGTTCATTGAGCAGGCTTGTATGTTGTTTGTCAGAGAAGCAGGGTTCCATTTTGTGGGGGTAGGGTGCCAGGGATGGGGTGAAGTAAAAATAATTTGTGATCAAATATTTGAAAACACTTGCCTTGAGTAGACCCAGCTTGAGCCTCCATGTCACAACAAACAGGAGAGAATTTGAAACCTGTAACAGTAAACATTTCACTAGTTAAGCCTTGTCCAAGTCATCTGCAATTCCTCAAACTTCAACCCTTACCCTTCATCTAGTGGTGCTTAAAAAAAACCCAGCTTTATTGCAATATAATTCACATATGTAATATTCATCCTTTTAAAGCATACAATTCAGTGGTTTTTAGTATTTTTGCAGAGTTGCACAACCATCACATCTATCTAAGTCTAGAATATTTTCATCACCCCAAAAGATACCTCATAACAAGAGACTTGCAAAGGTAGAAGAATAGCAGAGCCCAGTGGGGAAACTTCTTTCATTTTAATGTTTCAACCCAGTGAATATGTCCAGAGTGAGATGAAGGAGAAGATGTCTTGCCAATATAAGAGATCACCTACCACCCCATTTCATATAATTTTGATCATTGTTTTTCCCAACTGAAAGACGAAACCCAGAAAACTGTAGTGACCAGTCAAAGGTCTCCTAACTTCTATCCTAATGCCTTTCACTTACATGAATATGCTACATATGTCAAATATGTTCCCTTCTCATTTCCGTACGTTACTTCCTATACTCTTGGCCAAAGTCAACAATGCATACATGAACACATACATATATGAAAATAATCTAAAAAAAATCAAGACCCCAAGGATACTTGGTGATATTGTAAAGTGTTATGGTCTACTATTTAGGACGTGATATTCTAACTAGTAGGCAACCTCTAATTCCTGATTATATGGCCAGTATCACCTTTGGATTAAAGGAGGCAGAAGAGGACAAAATAGAAAAAACAAACTGCAGGTACAGGGCAGCTGGCTATCTCTCTGCCACCTGAAAAAGTACTAATTACCACTGTTAACAGAGTAAGCCTTGTGGTCATGGTAATGGGGACTTATAAAATGTACACAAACAGAATGATGGAGAGACTAATGTGTTTAATAAGCAGTAATGTGCTTTTTATGAAAAGATTTTGTTCTCTGGTAGGAGCAAAAGAACAGAAATAAAATAAATTAACCCCTTTCCAACAAATCAAAAAGACAAAATTTTCCTTTTATAAAAGTTGCAAGAAAATCATATATGATTATGACATAATGATACTGCTGCTAGTCCTTATTGTCAAGCAAATGGATGATGTTCATTCACCTTCTGGTTTTTTAAACCACTTCAGTCCAACCTGGTTAATTTGCGTTTGTACATTCAACAGGTTAATCTGAATCCAAATAGTAAGCACATACAGAATATGCTTGCTACACAACTGTTCATCTCACTGTTCATTTATTGATATAAAGCCAAAATACATGAAATTTGGACATTCTATAATAAATTCTACTAGTATTGCCGTGGAAAATAAAGATGAAAATAAAAGGTGAGTAATAAACAAAACATGCACGATATTATGGATTACATGAGATTATTTCCCTTGGGGGCTCACCGAAAATGAAAAGTATTTTGTCTGTTATTATAAATAAATGTCTATTTGCCAGATACTTAGGTGCATGCCTTGTCCATGAGTCCCTGCTAACTTGTATTTCCATTCTGCATATTAAATGAAAGAAGGGCAGATATAGGGAAGGAGAACAAAGCAAAGGCTAAAAACTGCATTCTTTCTGTGTTTTACTTAAACAATTCAAGTAGTTTATTACCATTTTCCCCATCAGACTTCCTTTCATGGTCAGTGTCAGTCAAGGATAATGCAGAGTTGGCCCGGCTGGACAAACAGGAACTATGCTCTGATTTCATTCCCCTTATCCACATTCTTAGTGCATGGTCAGGTGAGGCAGCACCTTCTGTCTCTGTGTCCACATCAGATCCCATCTCTAGCTGGTAGCCATGCCGAGAAACGCTGTGCATGTCTGTTTGGTAGCCAGAGCACAGAGTGTGAGAGGTTTCACAGAATTCCATCTCTGAGAAGAAACAAAGTTCAGAGAAAACGTTTAGAAGTATGAAGAAATCCCCCAGAAAATTCTACTTTTTGTTCTCATTCCCCTCTCCCCCATTGGTAGTAATTACGTGTTTTTGCAAGTTAGAATTCTGGCCTTTTATTCATGGTAGCTAGGACTCTGTGCTTATTTTGCACTTCTGTAGCTTAAAATTATGCTCCTGTTGATTCTTACAAGGTTCTGGAAAAAGCGCGCCCAAAATAGTTCTATAGCTACAATTTTAGGTTTCACAAAATGTAATGAAATAAGTGAGTGCAGAGGAGTATAAAGTGTAGAGAGGTGTCCTTTAAAAGATATTTCTTTTCTAGGAAGAATATATATGATCTGCAGAGTGTACCTATGCTTAAAATATTAAAATGATTTGCTTTTCTAAGTATTCCATACACATTGGATTTAAGAATAAATAATTCAATGTGAAAACTCTGAGAAAAAAGCATTAAGTTCAAATGCACTTTTCTAAAGTATTTTTCCTAAAACATGTTAATTTAAACTCTAAATCATCAGTACCTAATATCATTATTTTCCATTGATTTTAACGGAGTTCAAGGCTGACTTTATGCTAATTATTCTATGTAATTCATTTTTTTCCAATAAATACACACAAAAATTTAGTCATATATTGTACCTTGGCAGTGGTTCATGGATTGGATTTCCTCTCCTTTCCCCCTAGATCTTAGAGTTATAAAATTTTCAGAACCTTAAAGATGATGCAACGAATTCCTTCTTTTTATAGTTGAGGAAAATAAACTCCAGAGGATAGATATTATTTTTTCATAGCTCACATCAGATAGCAACAGAGCCCTTTTTCCTAAAACACCCATGTAGGCATGGTTTCTGGTATACAACAACGATGCCCCATCAACTTACTGCATGAATATCAGGCATTCAGTCTTACAGTCAATTTTACATTCAGTTATAGCAAGGTGTCAAAAAGGGGAAAAGATGATTTAACAATTGCTAATAAGTTAATGAAAAATGACCACATGCCAAGACATATCATCTGAAATGTCCATGTAATACTTAGATAAGGTAATCCGGAGATGTAGTACACCATACAGGATTTTCTCAGACTGACATCAGAGACAGGATATGTCATTTGGCTGGGAAGGAGCTTAACTGAGTGCATCTAATCCTTAGCACATATCAATAAAATGCAAACTCTAACATGAATTTAATTCTCTGAATACAGAAAGTACTGGATTTTAGACCATACACTAGAGGAAAGCAAGCAGAATATGAATATATTTTTAAAATAACTATTTTTGGGGCATATAATTACCAAATAAGGGTTTAACAAAAAATTCTTATTGTTTACTTAATACCACTAGGTGCATAGCACTGTGCTTTGTGAAACATATAGTAGGCAAATAAAGCTACTATAATGTATTAGAAATATTCAATTAAAAATTAACTCTTTCAGGGTTATAAGTCACTGCTGAGTATGTTACCTTTTGATTTCCATGATGAATGTATTTAAGAGTAATTCCCTTTTTCTACAAAAACTTGGCTAAATTCCAAAGGAGTAGTATTCAAAAAATAGTCGTGGTTTCCACTTGTCAAACATAACATTTTATGAAACCATGCTTCTTCCTGCCATAAGGCTAAAAGTAAAAATCCATTTTGCCCAATATAAATTTTAGCAATCTAGAATATTGGGATCAGCTAATATTCATGCCTCTTAATTTCACAATGTTTCATTATCCAATCCTACTGTGCAGTTGTTGCTACAGCAACCTGGTAATAAACCTTTCAGCTTGAAGCTGCAAGAAATGAATTTTATATAGGTCTGTAACAACTTACTTCACTCCCCTAGAACAGTGGCTCTCAAACTTGGCTGCTTCAGAATCACCTAGAAGGCTTGTTAAAACATAGATTGCTGCACCCCACTCCCATCCGTGCCTTCCAATTTAAGTTTCTGATTCAGCAGGTGTGGAGTAGGGCCAAAGAATCTGCATTTCGAATGACTTCCCTGGTGAGACCCATGCTGTTGGTCCAGGGATCATACTTTGAAATCGACTGCCCTAGAGATTTACTTGAAGTGGATGGGATCCAGGGAATGGGTAGTAGTGAGGGTGCAAACTTATCATGGCATTACCACAGATTTTGCTGCATCATCTTTAATTCTGTTTAAAGATACAAGAAAGGGAGTTTTTGCTCTGAATTGCTGTGAAGTGTCTCCATTTATTTCCCCTGGATTCAGGGCACTAACTAGAAAATTTACTTCCAAGAGCACAGACTTGCATTTAGTTTCACTCATACAACGGCATATGAGATGTGGCTTTCCAAAGATTTTAATATGAGCATCTGAGTCATGGCATTCGTTGGAAAAGGTTGAGCAAATAAAAATAAATGTAGGTCCAATTTGTCATTCCAGATTAATAAAACACCAGATAAAGTTTTTTAAAAAGCACTGACAGATGTAAGCAGATTTCTTTTTTATTAAAGAGATATTTTTCCCATTCAAAAGGAAATTAGAACATGGATTTGCTCCCTTCTAAGAAAATGCTGTGTAATCTGATTAAAAATTACATAGAATAAACAATTTATTTTCTATTGTAACTATATCCTGCTTTGCCTACAAAGACTGACTCATAAATTCTCTAATTAAATACAGTCAGATAAAAGTACACTTTCTTGTCAATCTATAATTAGAAAAAGTAACAATCCAAATTAGCTATCAGTTGCTCTTCTTTTTTAAGTGGTAAAGCATAAAAAAAGAAAAGAGAAAAAGTTTCACTTACTTATAGTAACCGATGTTTATTGAAATGCCTCATTTCCTTTTCTTGAAATCAATGTCACCATTGTAAAATATTTTCCTAAATACACAAACGTCTTGGTGGTGCTCAAAATTCCCAAAAGATGCATTATCTATAAAGCACTTACAACGCACCACAAGTAGTTGTTTTCTAGCCTTGTACATATAACCTTGTTACCTAAAGTACTACATATTCTCTAGAGAAGATAAAGTTCAGCAGCGTGATCAGGGCTCACTGCAGCCCTGACTTCTGGGCTCAGGTGATTCTCCCACCTCTGCCTCCTGAGTAGCTGGGATTACAGGCACATGCCATCACACCTGGCTAATTTTTCATATTTTTTATAGAGATAGGGTTTCTTCATGTTGCCCAGGTTGGTCTCGAACTCCTGGACTCAAGCGATCTTCCTGCCTTGGCCTTTCAAAATGCTGGGATTACAGGTGTGAGCCACCACACCTAGTCTGTACCACATTTTCTTTATCCAATCTGTCATTGATGGGCATTTAGGTTGATTCCATGTCTTTGCTATTATGAATAGTGCTGCAATGAACATCTGAGTGCATACGTCTTTATGGTAGAATGATTTATATTCCTCTGAGTATATAACCAGTAATGGGATTGCTGGGTCGAATGGTAGTTCTGCTTCTAGCTCTTTAAGGTATTGCCCTACTGCTTTCCGCAATGGTTGAAATTCAATTTTTTAAGTGGGCAAAAAGTTTAAAGAGACACTTCACAACAAACAATAGAGGTGGCCAATAAGCAAATGAAAAGATGCTCAACATCACTGTTACCATGAAAATGCAAACTAAAGCCACAATGAGATACCACTACATACCCACTACTATGGCTAAAAAAAATTCTGCCCACAAGAAGTGTTGAGAAAGAATGTGGAGCAATTGCAATTCTCATACACTGGTGGTGAGAAAGTAAAACTGTGCAACCACATAAGAAAAAAGTGTGGCAGTTTTCTGAAAAGTTAAAGCCATACTTACCAAAAGAGCAATTGGACTCTTGGACATTTATCACAAAGAAATGAAAACTTCTGTCCAAAACTGTACAAAGTTGTTCATACCAGCTTTATTCAAAAATAGCTAAAAAGTACAAATGTCCCAAGTATCTATGAACACATGAATGGATAATCCACCTGTGGTATATTTACATAATGGAATATTACTCAGTCCTAAAAAGGAATGGACTATTGATGCATAACAATGTTATGGACTTCAAAATGACTCTGCTAAGTGAAAGAAGACAGACAAAAATCTACATATGGTATGCTTCCATTTATATAAAATTCTAGAAAATTCAGACTAATCTACTGTGACATAAAGCCAATACGTGGTTGCCTGGGGAAAAGGGTGGAGGGAGAGATGGATAACAAGGGACACAAAAAAACTTTGGGGTGATCTAAATGTCCGTTACCTTGATTGTGGTGATAGTTTCACAGGTGTATACATGCCAAAGTTTATCATATTGCACACCTTAAGTATACGTAGTAAGTGTAGTTTATTATACTTCAATTATACCCCTACAAAGATTTTTAGTTGATTGTACACCACCAGATATTAAAACAACAAGGAGACTTTTGAATCAATTTTCACAGCTAGAAGGAGGTCTTGCTCTTTTCTCTCTAGTGGAATAAAGTAAATGTAACACGAACAAAAAGGTAGTCAAAATGTCATCTTGCTTATATCTAAGCCAAGAGGCCATGAAGACTAACTGATGCATGATTTATTTTTTCTTTCTTTCTTCTTCTTCTTCTTTTTTTTTTTTTTCTTGAGATTGAGTTTTGCTCTTGTTGTTCAGGCTGGAGCACAATGGTGTGGTCTCGGCTCACTGCAACCTCCACTTCCCGGGTTCAAGTGATTCTCCTGCCTCACCCTCCCAAGTAGCTGGGATTACAGGTGCCTGCCACCATGCCCAGCTAATTTTTGTATTTTTAGTAGAGACGGGGTTTCACCATGTTGGCCAGGCTGGTCTCGAACTCCTGACCTCAGGCGATCCATCTGCTTCAGCCTCCCAAAGTACTGGGATTACAGGCATGAGCCACTATGCCCGACTGATGCATGATTTCTCAGTGATCTTCTAGGGTGTACTTTTGTCCTAGACACATAAGAGTTGAACATCAAATTTAGGAGGGAAACTAAGGATGAAACTCATCACTGCTAAGCTTTCAGCAGCTAGGGAAACATTTATGGTTGAGGATCATGAGATTGAGTAGAGCTGGTCTGGCACATAGGACCACCTTAGACATCTACTAATGCTAACAAATTAATAATTTTTTTTTAAATGCTATGAAGCACTGAAAAAAAAATAAATGACTCTACTTTCTGAATCTAGGGGTTGATCATCAGGTGTTCAGCCTAAAGAAGCCATTTATCAAAACTTGAGAAGGAAAGTTATAGCTATCTGTATCAGTGTTTTTCTAGAAATGCCATTTCTGTGTTTTGTTTTGTTTGTTTGAGACAGGGTTTCACTCTGTCACTCAGGCTGGAGTGCAGTGGCACGATCTTGGCTCACTGCAGCCTCGACCTCCCAGGTTCAGGTGATCCTCCTCCCACCTCAGCCTCTTGAGTAGCTGGGACTACAGGCATGCACCACCACACACAGATAATTTTAAAATTATTTGTAGAGAAGAGCTCCCCCCAGTGTTGCCCAGGCTGGTCTTGAACTCCTGGACTCAAGCATTACAAGTATTAGCCACCATACCCGGCCAATTTCTGTGTTTCTGATAAGCTCAAGACTATTTTTTCTAAAATTCTACCTCCCCATGCTTCCTCTAAAAAGTGAGCTTTAAGGCATTATGCTCCAAATAAGTAATTGGAAGTCAAGAAGTGTGATTAATTTTAACCATGACCTGAGAAATTTGGGATATAACTTTTAAAGAGTATAGCCCATTTCCAAAATAAAGGAGAGGGGGGAGGGGATAGAATTATTAGTTTAATTACTGTGACTCATAACAACCCTTATAGATTACATGCAGAAGCAAGTGTTATTAATTATCCATTTGGTTTTTGGATAAGTCACTTAACATTTTGGGGGCTAGTTTTCTCATTTGTAAGATGTATGGATCCAACTAGAAATAAATCTCTACGTAACTGCCTTGTTCTAAAATTCTATAATTATAACCCGAACCTGTTATCCAACATATGTAATGGTCAATGTGTTCAAATGGGAAAAGAGTTAGTAGTTTCATGAATCAAGGAGCCATTTATACTTCTTTGTGAAGGATATAGTACATATTAGTTAAATAAGATCTTGTGCCATAATTATAATTCCTGCTATATTAAAGTATTGATACAGCCTATGTACCTACTATGAATTGCAAGATTATTGATAGAGAAACAGAGAATCTACAACTTAAAATGTAAAAAGCAACTGAGTAAATTGTTACTCATCAAATATAAAAGTATCCATTTACAACATGGCTATTGGAAACATAATGAATAAAATTCACACAATTAAAAATATTACTGACCCACTAATAATTCATTACTGGCTCCAGGGAAAAATGCAATGGATTATTACAATCTTAAGCAAGAAATACAGAGACAAAGAAGTAAGTAACACCAGATAAGAGGCAAATAATTTTCACTACTGGGTACCATTTTCTATTTCTCAGTTTGAGGGCTTTAAAAAGAAAACGGTATCAAATTGTCAACCAAATCAGTTCAAGTAAATTTACTTAAACACAGCTTCACTGAACACCCACTCAATTTAAAGTAAAGAAATCAAAACAAAATAGTCTCCTCTGATTTCTCTTAGTCTTAGAAAATTAGTTCAATTTAATTTCCTCCTTTCTTCATGAAAATGTTTTATCAAATGTACAGTGCTATACTAGGCAGTGAGCAGAGTGAGTTAACAGGACCTTGTCATGTCCTTTGGGAAGTTCCACACAGAGCCTTTTTAAGCCCCTAATGATAACAAGGTAATAAAGGCACATTGTCTAAACCTGACTTTTATTTTTCTGCTGAGGGCTCATCAGCTTTTTCTGGGGCACAGGAGTGAGAGATGGAATGCTCCCATGTGCAAGACTGGAGCCTGTGGTTATAAGATGACTTAAATAAAATAACTAAGCTTCCTGGAGCCTAATCTCCCCTTGACAGTTCCAAATGCACCCATTATCTCGGCACTCAGGACCTACTAATTATGCCTTATTTAATTTTCAAGATTTCTCCATCTGTCAGTATACGGAAAAGCATGGCAACAAATCTGGGCAGAGTTAAAAGCCTGAAGTAGAAACATTCATGCTTTGTGACCAATATTAGCTAACTGGAGACATCCCAGAATGCAGTTAAAAGGCTATGTTAATATCAAAAAAAGGATGCTCTCAGGAGTACAATGAATTAAAAATCTGTAAAAATGGCTCAAATCAGAGGACACAGAATTGTATCAGGACTCAAAAGGAAAGAAGACGAGGTAGAAACCTGGAAGAAATCAAAACAACTCCAATCATATTTAGAGAGAGATTAAAATATCCTTCAGCAATCTAAGAAGAGGAAGAAAATTTGATGTGGGAATAAGCAAATGCTAACTATTTCCTTAAACTAATTTTCACCTTAGTGAACGGCTCCATTTAGACTGTATTCACATAAGATGGGAGCACTTGTTTTGAAGCTAACTCAGCAGTTACCACTACAATGACAAAAATTGGATGCTTGCTCTACAATATTTGTAATAAGAGTCTGGAAAAAGAATCAGGGACTAGAAAAGATGGTGGGAGGTCCTGGACTTCAACAGAAATTTAGATCAATGAGAACCTGTGCATGTTCCCTTTATTTCAACATTTTGAATGAGACAGAGACTTCCTGGCCTAAATGAGAAATTTTCAGGGCTACTGAACACTGAAAATGCATGGTGCTCAATGGCCCTAAAAATTTCTCATTTCTTACATGTGCTGGCCCAATTTTCTGGCTGGTCATAACTCGTTGGAACCTGAATCCTTGTTGCCCATTGTGGTCTTCCAGGTATACTTGTGTATTTCCATTATGTTCACTAAGTATGTGCAGCTTTTTGGTCAATGGGTGCGTGTGTGTGTGCGTGTGTGTGTGTGTCTGAAATTTTAAACTACATCAATCTGCTGCACAATTCTATCTAGAGAAGTGAGATCAATGAGCTAGAGTTAAATAACCATTAAAAACACTTGTGAGTGCTTCAAATACATACTCATAGAGGCAAGCAATATTATTTCTGTAACATTCTATACTTCTCTGTAAGCATTTACTTTGTGATGAATGAGTAAAGATGCCAAGATAGAATGGTACAACAGAGTCAGCGTCCATCATCAACTACAGAATAAATTACATTCTAAGGTGGTATTGCCATCCCCTCAGAACTTAGACTACTTCTAGGCAAAGAGTGACCCTAAACACCAAAGTTTAAAAATTAGTAGTTAACATGGAACCACTCTTGAAAGGGTTAACAACTTGAACCCAATTCTGACACATTTGAGGTGGTTTAGCTTAACATAAAACAATGCCTACCAATGCAAATTGAAAAATTGTTATTTTGGTAAATTAGCTGTCTGTTTCAAATAACAGATGTTCCACAAATTTGGCAAGAGGAGAAAGACAGCAGCCCACTGGCTGTGAATTCAGGAAAATACAATTTATAATATTAGACTAATGGAGAACAAGTACTCAGTATCATCTTCTGACTGAAATAGTCACACAAAGGAAGCTTTCTACACTATACTTTTTGGCATAATGAACTGGGAAATAATTGCCTGTTAAAATTCTTCAGAAATGTACTCTAGGGTGTAGAACTGGGGAAATTTTACTGAAACTAGTCACAAAGCCTTGGTAAAAGACCATCTTTAAGCTGGCTTGAATAGAAACTTCTTTTGTCATTCTCATCAACCAGTTTCATGCCATATCCCAGATAGAATTTATCATCTCAGTAAGTTTGTAGAATGCCCTGGAGTGGGTATGTAGCTCTTCTGACAGCCTGTTTTCAGGAACTCAGAGAATGTTACTAAAAAAAATAAGTCAGGGATAGAAAAAAGAAATTCTGGCTGGATGTGGGTGGCTCTTGACTATAATCCCACCACTTTGGGAAGCCAAGGTGGGAGGATTGCTTGAGCCAGGAGTTTGAAACCAGGCTGAGTAACAAAGTGAGACTCTGTCTCAATTAAAAAAAAAATTAGCCAGGTGTGGTGGCATGTGCTTGTAGTCCCAGCTACTTGAGAGACTGGGAGGATCACTTGAGCCCCTGAGTTTGAGGCTGCACCACTGTTACTCAAGCCTAGGTGACAGTGTGAGACCTCATCATAAATAAATAAATAAATGAATGAATGAATGAATAAATTTTCTAAGTTGGGAAAGATTGAGAAAATAACTTTTTGGACACTCATCAGGAACTTGCAAATTTGAATTCCATTCAGAGGAAAACATTAAATTCTGGAGAAGACTTCCACTTGCAAACAAGATGGAGTGACAGCAACCAAATTTATTCTCCTGCCTTAAATGACAACAACGAAAGCCACACAAAATGTATGAAACAACAGTTTTCAGGCATTGGACAACAGATAATGAAGGACAACAATCCCTGAGATATGAGAAACAAATTAGGTAAACCCTGTAAGAGTTTCCAGGCCTCAGGACAAGGAGGGGGATCACAGGTAGAGCCTGGTAGTCTCTTTGAGTTGAGAAGACTAAGCTGGTAGTGCGGGAAGGCCAAGATAGCTAGAGTTTGCAGTACGGAGTACCAGAGAGGAGAGAACTGCACAGAAAAAGAATTCCATAGATCTTCAGAGGGTCCCCCCTGCATATTCACCTGCACTCTGGACAGCACATGCGTGCAAGAAAACCATCTGAGAATGGAGAAAGAGCCATCAGAAAGGAATAAAAGAAACAACTTCTGAATCTGAAACAGGGCTGGAAATAGTCACTGTTTCCAACATCCACAGTGGAAAACCTCATAATTCATGGGCATTGAATAGAATACTCAAAACAGATTTTGAATTCATAGATAGATGTTCCTCGACTTACAATGGGGTAACATTCTGATAAACCCATTGTAACCTGAAAATATTGTAAGTCAAAAATGCCTTTAATACACCTAATCCACTGAACATCATAACTTAGTCTAGCCTACCTTAAATGTGCTCAGAACACTTACATTAGCTTACAGATGAGCAAAAGCATCTAACACAGAGGCTATCTTTATAATAAAGTGCTGACTATCTCATGTAATTTATAGAATGCTATACCAAAAATGAAAAACAGAATGGTTGTATGGGTACTCAAAGTATTTTTTCTGCTGAATGTGTATTGCTTTTAAACCATCATAAAGTAAAAAAAAATTAAGTTGAATCATTATAAGTTGAACCATTGTAAGTTGGGGACTGTCTGTATATATTTGCGTATAAAGCTTTGTTCTAGTGTGTGCTTAAATTACTTGGCAACATTTTTATCCTTTTGGGTCTTGCTATTAAGCTTTGTTAGGTGGGTGCAGAGCAATGTTGGCCCTAGATATCTTCATGTCTTATAAAGTTATATGTACACTTACCATATGATCTAACTATTCCAACCCTCAATATTTACCAAAGATAAATAAAATCACATGTCCTTACAAAGATTTGTACACAAATGCTCATAGAAGCTTTATTTGTAAGAGCCAAAGCTGGAAATAAAGAACATCAATAGGCAAATGAATGCAAACTCTGGTACATCCATACAATGGAATACTACTGAGACATAAAAAGGAATGATCTATTAATATAAATAATATAACGACATAAACAAATATCAAGATAATTATGCTGAGTTAAAGAGGCCAAATAAAAAGTCTACATACTGTGTGCTTCCAGGTATGTAAGTATCCAGAAAATGCAAACTAATATATAGTGAGGGAAAGCAGATCAGTAGTTGCCTGGACTGGGGTGTGTGGGGAGTGGAGGATATAGGCATTATAAAGCAGTGAAAGGAAACTTTTAGGGGTGGTAGGTAGGTTCACTGTGATGATTGTGGTGATGTTTTCATGGATATATACATATGTAAAATTTACCAACTCGTATACTCTATATATAGTTTATTGTATGTCAATTTTACCTCAATAAAGATGTTTCTAGAAAATACAGGGGGAAGACAAGAATGTACTCTGCTTGCCTAATTTAAATGGCCAAGAAGAACACTGGGAACAATGAAACAAAGCAGCAAGGCTGATAAAACAGAAAAACCAATCTGTGTTCACACACTGTCATCAATGAGGGAAATGGACAGATCAATTTCTCTCAACTTGTCTGCCATTTTACTTTTACTCCAGGGGAATCCGAAGGGCTTAAATTCTGGATACCAAAATCCTGAATGGCTAGATTGGTACAGACTAATGCAAACATGACCAACAAATGAGGTTTATTCCTAATCTGGCAGGAAAGATTCATGGGCCAATCTGGGCTCAATGATAAAGTACCATGACAGATTAGGTAGACTCAATGATATCGGTGACACATTTGCCATTTCCACCTTAACAGTCTAGTTGCCTTTGTTTTGTCCCATAGCTACAAATTTCTCTCATAATCCTGGCTATTCATTCTGGTTGAATGCATGTCATTTATTTCCAAGAACTAGATGAGAGGATATGGTTAACTCAGCGCAAATGAAGCCCTATTATTTAAAAAACCCTCAGAATCTACTTCTCAACAATAAGAGGTTGATAATGTACCCTTTGTTTACCATTAATTTCTACAAAGACTCTTTAGTGGCATAGCATATATAGTCAATGGCAGAATGGGTTATTATATGCAAACACTAACATAGTAGTCATATACTCTTATAATCAGGGTCAGTCAACCTCATTCTGAAGTATAGTAGATCTGAACCAACACAATTATTTTTGAGAGTGGTATTTACATTACAGTCCTATCATTACAAACTTTTATTTAGAAAGAAAGGCCATTCTCTATTAGCTGTGGAAGTTGGAAAACTAACTTATCTCAGTTATCAGAAAATTCACTTGCAACTGACTAAGCACAAGATTTTTAATTTAACCACTTCTAGGTAGTTCTGATTTCAAAGCACGCATTCCCTAGTCCTGGGGCAGAAATGAATGGAGGTCAAGCTAGCAAAAAGCATGCAGTTTTACATATCAAAAAAAGAAGAAAGTAAATCCAAACATGAATTTAGCATCTTCTTTTTTAAATTTTATTTTACTTTAAGTTCATGTGCCAAATGTGCAGGTTTGTTACATAGGTATACATGTGCCATGGTGGTTTGCTGCACCTATCAACCCGTCACCTAGGTTTTAAGCCCTGCATGCATTAGGTATTTGCCCTAATGCTCTCCCTCCTCTAGCCCCCTACCTCCTGACAGGCCCCAGTGTATGACGTTCCCCTCCCTGTGTCCATGTGTTCTCATTGTTCAACTCCCACTTATGAGTGAGAACACACAGTGTTTGGTTTTCTGTTCCTGTGTTAGTTTGCCAAGGATGATGGTTTCCAGCCTCATCCATGTCCCTGCAAAGGACATGAACTCATCCTTTTTTATGGCTACATAGTATTCCATGATATATATGTACCACATTTTCGTTATCCAGTGCCCATCACTGATGGGCATTTGGGTTGGTTCCAAGTCTTTCCTATTGTACATAGTGTTGCAATAAACATACGTGTGCATGTTCTCAGAACTTAAAGTAAATTTTTTTAAAAAAGAAGATGCTAAATTAATGTTTGGATTTACTTTCTTCTTCCTCTTTTTTAATATGTAAAACTGCATGTTCCTTGGTAGCTTGACCTCCATGAATTTAGCATTTTCTATGTACCAAGCCCTGAAACATATATTATTTCATTTAATCCTCAGAGTAGCCCTGAGAGAAAGGTTGTTATTATTCCAATTTTTTTTTTTTTTTAGATGGAGTCTCGCTCTTGTCTCCCAGGCTGGAGTGCAGTGATGCGATCTTGGCTCACTGCAACCTCCACCTCCCGGGTTCAAGTGAGTCTCCTGCCTCAGGCTCCTGAGTAGCTGAGATTATAGGCACCCGCCACCATGCTTGGCTAATTTTTGTACTTTTAGTAGAGACGTGGTTTCGCCATATTGGCCAGGCTGGTCTCGAACTCCTGACCTCAGGTGATATGCCCGCCTCGGCCTCCCAAAGTGCTGGGATTACAGGCTTGAGCCACTGTGCCCAGCTTATTAGTCCTGTTTTTCAAATAAAGCAACCAACATTCAATGACAGATTAAATAAATTGTCCAAAGTCACACAGATACCAACTGGCAATGCTAACTTGGAACCATTTTAACACCATCCTAATGACCTCATGCAGCATATTATAAGCAGCACATTCAAATTCACAGCTTAGTCCTCATTTGTGCAATGTGAATGTGGCGGATGCTAGAACTTCCTGCTTCTTGTCTCCCAGGTTTCATTCAGTTCACTGCTGTCTCCATCTGGATTTCCACAGCCAGCCGCCAAAATACTTTGAGGGATATAGCAGCCAGGAGACAATGGGCACTTCTTTTGTCACTGACAATATAAAAATAGACCCTTAAACTATGCATATATCATTAATAGCTTATTGTTCTATATGAGTTTAATGCATTTTTGTACCTCCTTTTGAAGTATTATTCCACTCTGTACTAATTCTTATGGATTCACTTTACCCGCAACTTGTCACTTTGACTCATTGAAAACAACAATGATATTTTAGAGCATATTCTGTGCTTCCAGACAACACAAACAACATCTGTGTCTGCAGGCGGACAAATAAAAGAAAACATTGGCCTCTCTTGTGTTTAGCTCCCTAGCACAGAGCAGCTGCCTTGAGGAGAGTTTTGAAATTATTTAACAACATTAACAAAGATGAGAGGAATAATATTCACTGAGAAATGTGTGTTGGGGTATTACTTCAGCATGTTATCACCCAACTAGAGGAAGCAATCAGATCAAATTTTGGGGGCAGTTCCTGTTTACAAGGTAGTATTATCATCTCATGCTAAATAGACTAAGCCTATATCTGTGATCTACATTCAGAGTTTTACACGTATCACAGTACACAGAGAAAGGCTTTGAGTTGAAAATATTCTACAGTTTATGGTAAAATGTTTAGGAACATTTTTCTTTATTTGAAATTTATCAAGGAGGTATGAAATTAGATAAAGGCATGCTTCTCTTTACCTCCACACTATCATTTAGTGCTAACACTGCAGGCAATTCTTGCAAAATGCATTTTCCAAAACCTCTCAAAGCTAGAAAGCAAATGCAAACAGCAACAATGACATTAGTGCTTTTGAACTGGAAACTTATATTATCCAAATCCTTATTATCATTGCCCCAAACACTTAATCTGAACAATCAAATTAATGTTTCAGGCATTTAAAAAACAATGGACAATCTATATACATGAATGCATGTTCCTTTTACACATTTTGGAAGGATGTGCAGGTAAAACAATCTATGAGGATTGCCCAAGGACATTAATGATATACAGGATAGATGTAATATGAGTCTACATGATGCCTGGAACAGTTGACTCCATTTGGTCCCCAAATCATCACCTTGGGGGGAAAAAGCACAAAGAGCCAAATAGTGATTTGATAGTATATTGACAAAACACATGCTTGGCTAAATGTTCACTTTTGACATAGTTACTTGGCTTTGTCACTGGTTCCAAGGTTTCTCCTAGGCACAATTTAAGGTAGATCTGTTCCTTTTGTCCATCCACTGTCTGTCACCCTCTCCCTCCCCATATTCAGCATCAATTACTTTGGCCGTTTTCACTTCCTTTTCCAGAATTCTAGCTCCATTTGTTTTTTCCCCCTTTCTTGTTCAAATGTTCTCATTTCTTGGCCAGTTGCCTAACAGCACAGCAGTATGTTAGCGAATCTGAAAAAGTTAAGCTAGGTTTGGTATACTTTCTCTTCCCTGACTAATGCCAAATTATATATTATAATTTTTTTTTTTTTTGAGACAGGGTCTTGCTCTGTCACCCAGGCTTTGGAGTGCAGTGGTGCGATCACAGCTCACTGCAGCTTTGACCTCGTGGGCTTAAGCCATCCTTCTGCCTCAGTCTCCCAAGTAGCTGGGACTACAGGTGTGTGCCACCACACCCGGCTAATTTTTTAATTTTTTATACAGATGGGGCCTTACTATGTTGCCCAGGCTGTTGTCGAACTCCTGAGCTCAGGTGATCTTCCTGCCTCCACCTCCCAAAGTGCTGGGATTACACACATAAGCTACGGCACTTGGCCTATAATTTTTAATAGAGCACTTCAACCCTTAGTTTTCATGCCCTCAGTCCATATGTTATTCAATAAGCACTCACGGAGCACCTATGGTGTGACAGACACTGTGGTAGGATCCAGGCAGATTAGAGAGAAGGAAAAAGATACGTCCTCTTCCCTCGAAGGGCTGACAATCTATTGCAGACATGGAAATGATGATAGGACAAGGAGGTAAGTAAGTGCCGTGATAGATCTATACATAAAGGGCTGTGGAGTCTAAGCAAAGTGAGGGACTCACTCTGCCTGAAAGACTGAGACAGGCTCCAGAGAAGTGATACTTTGAGTTTCATCTTAAAGGATGAATGCACTTCTGGTAGGTTAAAAAGTGGATAAGAGCATTTCTAGCACAGAGAAGTGTGTGTTCAAGGGCAAAGACAAGTGTAAGGGAATAATGAAATTAAAGAACAGCAAACAATTTTCTGCATCTGTACTATAAGTGTAGGGGTAGAAGAACCAGTAAAGTGGGATGGAGCCAGTTTGTAAAGGGCCTTATATACCATACTAAGGAATTGGGCCTTGTTTGCCTTAGATTATATCTCATGCTGCTTACTATTCCTGTGTGCTAGGGCTCCAGAATCATTAATCTGAACACAAATAACCGAGTTTACAATTTTTTTGCATACATCTACAAAGCAGCCTGGAAATTCGCTAGCTGTGAGTTTTAATCCAGAATGTAAGAAAATTCATTTAACTAGAAAATATTTATTAACCACCTAACGTAGCAAGCATTGTTCCAGGTATCAGAGATAAAGCAATGAACAAAACAGGCAAAAATCCCTGCCGTCATGGAACTCATATTCTAGCGGAAATAAATTTGTAATAACTGTGCTCAGTCAAAATTTAGTATCAGAATCACACAGATTTTCATCTGTATATTAATCTATATGTTATTGTCTGTGCATTTCATCTCGGTATTAACTCAGGTTCCTCCAGAGGGTCAGCAAAATTGAGTATATGAAAGCAGTGACAAGTAGGAATTTAGCTTCTTCCATCGAACTGAAATCTACTAGGTGAAAACCATGTCAATGGCTTCTCTGTACAGTATCCTCCATTTGAGGGAAGTTGAGGACCCTGGGAGACTATGCTGAGATATGCCACATTTGTCCCTGTTCTGTGTGTTCACTTTTCTTCCCAAAATATTTTTGGCTAAATACTTGGAAACTCAATATCCTGAGAGAGGGGATAAGGAGAGAGGGAGCAAGAAAGAGGGATGGAGAAAGGGTTGGGGAGAGAGTTTTATTTTGTTGGGGGGAAGAGCTCTTCTAGTCAACCCAGAGCCCACCTGCAACACCATAATCACCATGCACTTCAGAGATGGGGAGCTGGGGTGGGGTTGGGGGAAGAAAAATTGAATTACTCTACAGTGTAGCTATAAAATTATAAGTGTAACACTGTTCACTTCATGACGTATAATCAATAAATAAAAGTCCAGTCTTGAAAGGGTGTGCTATATAAATGCCAAATAGTATTTGCTCTGAAAATTCCAAATCTGGGTAGGGTTATTTAAAAACAGTCCACTTGCGAACAGTTTGATTTTAGCATTGGGCTAAAATTATAAAAAGACAACTTTCATTCATCTAGGAAATCAGTTTTATTTCTTAAACTACATAAAATTCAAATGGGCCTTAGGAGAGGTGTGAAAAGAAAGCTAACTGGAAAGGCCATTTTGAATTATAATTATTCATATATAAAACTAAAATATATATCATCTACTGGTATATTAAAAATATCACTAGATTCCAAGGGTACCTTTCAATAAGAACCTCTTTCCATTAAGAATTAGTAAAAAAATATAAAATTGGATGCACTGGAATGTAAAAGTTGGAAAAACATTGATCATAATTTTTTTCTTACTAATACCATTGACTTAAAAGAGATACTGGATTTTTATAAATAGAACTAGCAATTTATATCTACTATACATTTATATACGTTCCCATAGTGATTCCATAAATAAATATTTTACAAATATAAAGAAAAAAACGAACTTCCACACCCTCTCCCCAAGCTCTTCATATTAAAAAAGAAATATCCTAGTTCTCCTAGTAAGGTGACAGAAAACTACTTACTGCTCAGACATGCATTAGTGTGTGGAGACTAGGGTACCATTAAAGCAACTGGAGGAGGTAATTTAGTAAAAGCACCCCCTACTAGTTTGAAGAGTTAATGTGTTTCTCTCCTGTTAAGTGGGTGATTTCTTTTTGCTTGCCAGCAACATAATGACCAATATATGGTACACACTGTGAGCAATGGGCCTTCTTGATAAAAATGATTAATAGGTATATAGGTCTATACATATATACACATGTGCACACAATTCTCACATTGTGAATTTAGCCATACCTTAATTTATGCTTTATGTAACACAAGAGACTGGCTCCAGTGGAATATTCTATAAAACCAGAGGCCAACCTCCAGCCAAAAATAAAGACAACAAAATTATGACTGCTTTCTGAAGTAGAGAATAATGGAAAATCTTACTATACTATAAAGTATGGAGAAACAGGCATATGCTTATACCAATTTTTGTATTCACTAACTTGTCACCTCACCATAGCCACTGCTTGTCATATGTAATTATGGTATTTTTTGATCTCCACAAAAGTAATAATAGTCATAACAGCAACAACAAATAATGGTTATTCTAGTGCTTGTCCTGTGGCAAACACTGTGCTATACACTTTACATACATTCTGCATTTAATACTGAACAATAGCTTCCTGAGGCATGTATTATTATCTTGTATTGATAAGCAAGGAAACTGACTCTGAAGGGTTAAAATACTTGACCATGGTCACCATTCCTAGTAAGAGGTGAAGTCAAAATTCAAATCCAATTTTGTTTGTATTTAACACCTTTTGCTTCTAATATTGCTTTAGTGGCAGAAAGGCTATGCATTCACTTCGTTACAGGTAAAATGATCTCTTACTACATGTATATCTGCTGGTGGTAAGGAGGTATAATGTAATCTAATATGGATCTCTAATTTCAACAAACTTAATGTCTGGTAATGGAAACAACATATATCCCCATATATATTGTAGAGTATATAACTGGAACCTAATGATTGGTTCAGGCAATAAACACTAGGAGAGGGCACAGAGGAGAGGAAGAATAGAATGAGAAAAATGGGTCAGTGACTCTTGTGGAGTTGGTAGATTAAGCTAGGATTTGATGAATGGGTAAGGCTTGAATGAAAGAGGGTAGAGTTTAGACTCCAGTACTGTTGTCCAGGTTGTATATCCAACTATTCATTTGTCATATAGATATTTA
The DNA here is from genome assembly GCF_000001405.40 of Homo sapiens. NCBI lineage: Eukaryota > Metazoa > Chordata > Mammalia > Primates > Hominidae > Homo > Homo sapiens. The sequence goes on from NC_000023.11 coordinate 124,914,522, forward strand.
AAAGACGCCTTACATTTTTAAAAATGTCCACAGCTAACTTTATTATCACTGCCTTCAAATTGATCCTCCTTTACCATTGCCTTTTTGTGAATATAAGTATCATCCATTCATTTGCACAGGCCAGAAACCTAGGCATCCCCCATACCATCATTTTTATCTTCTAATTATATCTTGAGCCAATACAGTTTTTTCCATTTTCACATTCAATAATCTCTGGCCTAGATGACTGCAATGACCTAACTGGTACCCTTCCATCCAATCTTGTTACCCTCTAATCTATTGTTTGCAATGCTACCAGACAGAATGCTAAAAACTAATCACATCACCTCCCTTCAGTATATTCCCATTACATTTAGGATAAATATCAAAATCTTTAACATGCTTTACAAAGTCTTATGTTATTTGGTTCCCTGTCTACTTCTCTGGCCACTCACTCTCTTGCTTCTGCAACATGTACTTCTTCCAGTTTCTCAAATACGCCATCCTACTTTTCACCTCATGACATTTGTGCATGTTGTTCCTCTTCTCCTTCCTGCCCCTTTCCATCTCTTCATTTGGTTAATTCTTTCTTATATTTGATTTCATCTCACTTCCTTGACCCTCCAGACCAGATTAGGTCCTTCTTTCTCTGGAGTACTTATCACAGTCATCACATCATAATTTTAGGATCAGTTTTATAATTACATAAAAACTCTCTACTCCTACTAAAATGTAAATTCTCGGCTGGATGTGGTGGCTCACGCCTGTAATCCTAACACTTTGGAAGGCTGAGGCAGGCGGATCACCTGAGGTTAGGAGTTTGAGACCAGCCTGGCCAACATGGTGAAACCCTGTCTCTACTAAAGTTACAAAAATTAGCCAGGCATAGTGGTGCATGCCCGTAATCCCAGCTACCCGGGAGGCTGAGGCAGGAGAATCGCTGGAACCCAGGAGGCAGAGGCTGTAGTGAGCCGATATCGCACCACTGCACTCTAGCCTATGTGACAGAGTGAGACTTTGTCTCAAAAAGAAAAAAAGTAAATTCTCTGAGGGCAGGGACCATGTCTGTCTTGTTCATCATTGTATAACCAGTATCCAAAAAACTTTGCACACATAGAAGCATAAATAAATATTTGGTGAATATAGCAGTGTATCTCAAAAGCATTCTAAGCAAGGATGATAGTAGAAACACACCATAAAGAATGATGATTCCATATCTGGAGGACTGATGATTGCATGAGTGTAGCTTCACACGGAGTGCTTTGCTCAGTAAATATTCAAGTCTGGCTGGTTTAAAGGGTTCATACAGATGGAAAAAAGGGAGAAAATACTGGAAAAAAGATTTTGAAGGTCTTAATAAGCATCTCAGGATTTATTCTACAGGCAATAGAGAACAACCAAAGGCTTGAGGTGGTTCAGAACTGCCTGTCAAAAATCTGCTGCTATCCCAACTGCACATGTATTCTCCATTTTAGCCTGGTGCTTCCAAATACATGTCCCTACTTTCAGCATCTCTAGACCATTCATGTTTGGAGAGACTCCTACCCAACAGAACTGCCACATGGTGGAATGTTTGGCTTACAGTGATTCCCCCAGTGACCATCTACATACTGCAATCTCACCTCTTTGAAAAAAAACCATTGTTTTACCCCCATTTTAGACTTGTGATCTGAAAAGCTCCTACCTTTGTATTGCAGTCTTTGCCACAATTATAATTGTTTAAGGGGTGGACACCTGATCCAGTCTGGGCCAATCATATTTCCCACCTGCTATGGTTTGAATGTTTTCCCCCTCCAAAACTCATACTGAATTTTTTTTTCTTTTTGAGATCTGGTCTTGTCCTGTCACTCAGGCTGTAGTGCAGTAGCATCATCATAGCTCACTGTAACCTCGACCTCCTGGGTTCAAGTGATTCTCCCAACTCAGTCTTCCTTGTAGCTGGGACCACAGGTGTACATCACTATGCCCAACTAAATTTTTTAAAAGATTTTTGTAGAGATGGGGGTCTCACTTTGTTTTCCAGGCTGGTCTCAAACTCCTGGATTAAAGTAATCTTCCTGCCTGGGCCTCCCAAAGTGCTGTGATTATAGGCAGTTCTCATGTTGAAATTTAATTGTCATTATAACAGTATTAAAAAGTAGGACCTTTAAAACACGATTGGGTCATGATGAGGGCTTCACCCTCATGACTGGATTAATGCCATTATTGTGGGAATGGGTTTGTTAATTTGTTACCACAGGAATAGGCTCATTATAAAATGGCGAGTTCACCCCCTTTCTCTCTCTCTCTCTCTCTCTCTCTCTTTCTACCTTTCCACTCCTCATCTTTGCCCTTCTGCCATGTGATGACACAAAAAGACATCTTTAGCCACTGGACTCCCCAGCCTTCAGAACCGTGAGCCAATAAATTTCTGTTCATTATAAATTATCCAGTCTATGGTATTCTTTTGGAGCAGCATAAAACAAACCAAGAATGGACCAAGACACCTCCTCCCTGTCCCCACTGATTAGTCCAGATATTGATATGGGAAATAAGCTAGTCCAATCCAGGTTCATTTTCAGGTTTTCTTAATTTTTTAAATGTTTACTGAAAGCAGGCAGAAGAGGATCTCTTTCCTTTTAGTTAGCTAGGCTGTAAGGTTGACAGCCCGGAGCAGTCAGCAGTAGCCAGCTGTCCATCTTGTACATAATAAAGCTGGCCTGCAGAGAGAGGTAGGAATACAAGGGAGTCTTGACAGTTTTCCAGTCCATGACTCCAACCTGTGTTCCAGTTTTTGCTAAGACCATGTTCCACCTTGTTGTTTGGTTACTTGAGCCAAAAAAACTTTTTTTTTCTCTTAAGCTAGTTGGAGTTGGGCTACCACCATTCACTGTCGGAGTTCTGACTAATACAAATATCAGAAGTGGTGGCCTAGAGATGAATTAGCAAAGTATCTTCAGGATCAGGTCTCTGCTAATGAATGTTTGTAGCTCATTCCTTAACCCCACATAGACTTCCTGCTTCTCATTTTTTGACTTGGATTTTAAACTGTCCTTCACTATATCACCTCCACAACCACAGGACCAAAGAAAGCCTGGTGCACAATCAGTGCTTGATAATTATCTATTGAACTGAATTGAGTTGTGATAAATTCTCCTATAGATTTTTAATCTTCTCATCTCTTCAACTACAATATGCCTTGTTTATGTGCTTGCTCTGCTAGCTGGTCATTCCCTTTTTTGCTGCCTCCTGATATAATTTGACTCTGAACACCCCTGTCTAATTCATTCATTTTCTGTGCAAATTTCTGCTCCTTACTAGTATATTCACTGGGTTATGTGCTTTTCTCAACTTTATCAAATGAAATAAAGCCACTTGACTATTATTTGCTCATCACTCTTCCATGATAGCCAGGTAATCTATAGGCTTAGAATTCTCTACGCTCTGACATCAGCTTTGTCCCTAGAAATGAAATAGAAAGGGAACATCTAGCTCATAAGATGTGGACTCAATTTGAAGCTCTGTTTTTGATGCTGGTTTCTTAGCTCAGGTTAAACAAACAGAAACCTTCTCTACATTCTTCCTTTTTCTACCCAGACTCCCTGGCCTGAGCTTCATATCCTAGCTTGGGCTATTTCTGGAGTACAGGAATTGATATTTGCAAGTAGGAATTAGAGGGAGACAACACAAAGAAGATACTGAATTTTTTTTTTTTTTTGAGTTGGTGTCTGGCTCTGTCACCCAGGCTAGAGTGCAGTGGCATGATCTCGACTCATTGCAATCTCCGCCTCCCAGGTTCAAGCGATTCTCCAGCTTCAGCCTCCAGAGTAGCTGGGACTACAGGCGCGTGCCACCACGTCTGGCTAATTTTTGTATTTTTAATAGGGATGGGGTTTCACCATGCTGGCCAGGCTGGTACTGAACTCCTGACCTCAGGTGATCCACCTGCCTTGGCCTCCCATAGTGTTGGGATTACAGGCTTGAGCCATCGCGCCCAGCCGAGGCTGAAAATTTGAGCCAGATAGTAACCAGTTTTCTAACAGAAGCAAAGGAATGTCATGGTGAGGCTCTGAGCCTGAAGAGAAATTACAAAAAAAAAAAAAAAAATACTATTCATTGCCCTACCCATTCAATTCCTTGAGAAACAAAAGTGAAAGAGGCCTTATTCAAGTCAATGTTAAATAAGAGAAGGGAACTGACATTAAGAAAGTGCCTACTTTGTGCCAGACACTGTGCGAAGACCTATCCATATATTTCGCACTTAAAGATACAGTCATCACAATGACTCAGAGAGGTAGGCATTATTCACTTTACAGATGAGAGAACAAGGTCAAGTCAAGTAACCTGCCATGTTAAGTAATATTGGCAATTTTTTAAAAAATGGAGCTAGGATTTGATTACAGATCTGTTCCCATTTAGACTGGGTAAGCCAGACCTTCAGGTACCTACACTCCAGCCACATCTATGCTAAACATTGTCTGAACATTGTCCTATGTTCCCATTTTGCAGCTCCAGTGATTCTTTGCATAGAAAGCCATACTTCCCCATATCTACCTCTTGAAAGTTGTAACAGTTTTTCAAGGCTTACTTCAAATTATCTCTTTTCTAAGCCTCGCTTTAGCCAAAGTTAACCTGGCCCTCTCCATAGTCTCACAGTGCCCTATTCAAACTTTTATTTGATACTCATTGAATGCCTTATAGTGGTACTCTGATTTGTCTATTTATTTCGCTACAACACTGAACAGACAGATCACAATGGCCATGTAGGTTCTTGGCAGATTGTGATATCTGTGATATTTCGATCAATTGAAAGCTGTGCCATGATAGTCTACAAAAAAGACTACAGGATAAATAAATTATGGTTCAGTCACACAATGGAATATTATATAACCTTGAAAATAAATGAGCTATGTACATTAACATGGATGCATGTCAGTAATGTAACATTGAGCACAAAAAGCAATTCATAGAAACACAATATGATTATATTTAAGAAATTTGTAAACATATGAAACTGAAAAACATATTTTTAGGGATGCATACATACATGGCAAAACTATAAGGAAAAGCAAGGGAATGATAAACACATTTCAGGATGACGGTCATCTAGTAGGGAAGTGAGGGAAGAGGGCTGGGATCTGAAAAGATCACACAGCAGAGGCAAAAAGGTAATTAGTAATGCTCTATTTCTTAAGCTACATGGTGAATACATAAAACTTTAATTATTGAAACTCAAACCAAAAATTTCAACCAAATGACTTTTTTCCCTCTAGCTTTCTACTGTAAGAAAATAAAAGTGAATGAAAAGCAAACACATCATTTCAGGGATTTAATCAATGAGGGTAGCTACCAGGGGCTTTTCTGTACTGAAAAGAACTTGGCATCAGAGAACTGGGTTTGAATCCTGGCTCTATAAATGTAGCAATTGTCATTATTATTAGGGCTTCAGGCAAAAAGAACCGATACTCAAAATAATGAACATAAGTCACTAAAGATGATCAGTCATAGAATGAAGGTTCAAAAATGCTTCCTCGATGTCACACTGGGGTAGAAAAGGAGTCATTTTAGAAAGATTTTCAACAATTAAAGATGGGAATTTAAAAATATATGATTAATTCTGAATCAACAAAAAAAATACGGATTAATGAAAATTCCTCATTCCCTAAACATCATGCTGACTGAAAGGTTACTATACTTTCATTGTTTTTATTTATTGTTTGAAAAATGCAGAAAACACATAAATACATAAACACATAAGCATAAACACTTTTTTGTGTTTTTACAAGACTGAGATAATGTTATATGTAATGTTTTGCAATTTTCCTCTCAATAGTATGTCATGGATATCTTTCCTGTGTTAGAACACGTAGATCTACTTAACTTTTTTTCATATTTGCAAGGAATTTCTTTGTCTGAGGCTACTATAATTTATTTGACCAGAACCACACATTTAGCTTATTTCCAAGTATTTACTATTATAAGCAATGTTCAATGGCCATCCTTGCATATACACCTTTCTGCACTCTTGCTTTATTCTTTCTGTAAGATAAATTCCTGAAAGTCTGATTGCTGGGTCACAATGCATGTGCTTTTTGAATTTTATTAGATTCTCATAAAAAATTGTTCTAGTTCATATTTCCCCCCACAGTTCCAGCTTCCTCATACCCTTACAGTAAATATTTGAATCATTTTCTTTTTCCTTTTGCCAAATTAGGTGAAAAAGTTACTTCATTTTTATTTATATATATTTATACTTACTTTCTATTAATTTGAACATCATTTCATATATTTATTGGTATTGTGTAATTCTTTCATTTTTATATGGAATGTGCTATCCATATACATTGCATTTTGTATGTACCAGATATTATCTCCCAACCTATTGTTTTCCCATCCCCCCTTACTGTTGTTTATGGGCATTCAATTTTTACATTATCAAATCTGTCATTTTTTTTTCCTTTATGGGTTCTGGGTTTCATGCTTCACTTAGGAAGTCCCTTTATATAACAAGACTTTTTTTTTTTTTTTTTTAAAGACCTTACCTCTAGTTTCCCCTAAATCTCACGCCCCTCTTTTAATGACCAAATAATGCTATCAACTCAGGCTTTGTCTGACTTTATGAACAGAGGTCAAGTCCCTTCCACACATCAAGAGCTATTGCTGCTTATTTCTCTTTATCATTCTTATTTATACTGTATAAGATGTTTTAGAAATTACCCCCCCAAATTCTCATTATTACAATTAAAATAATACAGTTGTTCATAAAGACAAAATTAATAAATAACTCCCTATCTAACTTCTCCAATCTTGTCACAAGGCAACTGATACTCATTGTAGAGTGAAGGTCTTTCCATACCTTTCTCTAGACCCATAAAAATATATACAAACAGACACATTAAAAAACTTTCCATTTATTTTTATGAAAATTGGGTATTTTATGTATTATACTATACTTGTTTGTTTTATATAACAATATAACATGCATGTTTCCTTAAGATAGAATATGCTTCTAACTCATTGTTTCAAAATCTGGAAATATTAAATGTTATATGTTATAAATGTACCATTAATTATTTAACTAATGCCCTATTGCTGGACATCCAAGTTGCTTCCTTTTGTTGTCATTGTTAACCCTACAATGTCACTTTTATAATCCTTCTCACTTCTCTTCCTAACCCCATGAGATCTTCTGGATCTTGTTAGTCCTCCCTTCTTCTCACTCCCACTCCTGTGTTTTGTTGGGATAGTTTAGTATATTTATTTAGACGCTTGTGCTGTCCATATGGTAGCCACTAGCCACATGTGACTATTGTACACTTGAAATGTGGCTAGTCTGAACTGAGATCTACTGCAAGTACAAAATACATGTGGGATTTTTAAGACTTAGCACAAAAGAAGAATGCAAAGTATTTCATTAATACTTTTTATATTGATTACACGTTGAAATGATACTATTTTAGATATTTAAGTCAATCTGCCTTTCCATTTAGATTTAATTACTTTTCCAGAGAGCCAGGTTCATTGCCCATCATTGTTTCTTCTCTCATCTTGAAGTCTCCATTCCGATTCATTTATTATTTAGTTTGAGTTTTTTCTCAAATATTTTTTCACTGGTGTATGAGAGTGATATACTTTTTGAATTCTTACATGTCCTCAAACATCTTTCTCTGACCCAAGTGGATGAATGATACCTTGACTGGATGGTAAGTTACTTGGTTTGCAGTCTTTTTCTCTTAGAAATTTCTAGATGCTATTCCACTGTCTTCTAGCTTCCACGATATAGATGAGAAAACCATTTTTTTCTTTGTAGATGATTCAGTTTTTCTGCCAAAAAGCCTGAAAGATTTTCTCTTTATCCTTGAGATTTAGGAAGTATATCAGTGTATTTTTCAGTGTAGAACAAAGTATGCCTCTTTTATACATATTTTCGCAGACCAGCTTTTGGCTTTGTTAATTGCACATTGAAATTTTGTAATTATTTTAGCTTATATTTTTATTACTTTTGTACAGATACTTTTATGTGAAATATATATCTATATATTCTTTTTCTGTTCCTGAGTTGAAAGATTTTTTTCAATATTTCTTTAAATTCAGTTAATGCTATAAGGAAAATTTATAGCGTTAAATGAATTTAAAGAAATAATAAATTTTAATTTAAATGTATATTTTGTGCAAAGTCTTGAAAATCCCACATATATTTTTTACTTGCAGCTCTCATGTTTTTAGCCACATTCCTAGATTATTTAGGAAGTAATATAATTTTTGTTCATTTTTAAATAATTTTAAAATTTTCTTTTGATTTTCTCTTTGATCCAAAAATTACTTACATAAAGTATTTTATGGTTCTTCTAAGTTTTTTCCTGTTTACCTTTTCTGGTCTTTGAATTGTTGATTTCTAGCTTTACAGAATTCTTGTCAGAGGATGTTACCTGCCAGTTTTCCACTTGAGAATTTATTAAGGTTTTCCTTGTGGCAAAGTACATGATAAATTTTGTAAATGGTCCAGGGGCATAAAATACAAATGTGGTTTTGTTTTTGGCATTAGAGTATCTAATTCTATTTATTTGACAAAATATTAGGTCAAGCTTCATAATTATTCAAATCCTTGGTATTATTTTTTGCCTACTTTTCAAATTCTGAGAAATCTGTATTTCACAACTGTAACTGCAGTTTTATCAAATGCTTCACATATCATTCCATACAGTTACATCTAATAAATATTTGTTTATGGAATGAATCCCTCTAGGTTCTATTTTAATGCTTTTGGCCTTAAATTCCACTTAATCTGATATTGACATCCTTGCCCTATCCTCTCCTTATTGAAAATTCCCTGGCATATCTTCATCTGTTCCTTTATTTTGAAACAGTTTCATCATTTTGTTTAATGTTTGTCACTTATATATGTACTTAGCTAAAATGCGTAAATCTGAGTGGTTTTGTCTGGGAATAAAATTTGTCAACCCATTTCCATTATTGTAACAAACACAATGTCTTAATCATAGTATAACAATGTATGTTTATTATCTTTGTGGTAGGCAGAATAATGCCTAAAGACATCCATATTCTAATACCCACAACATACAAATATGTTAGGTTACATGGCAAAGGGAAATGAAGGTTGCAGATGAAATTAAAGTTAATAATCCGTTGACATTAAGATAGGGAGACTATTCTGGATTATCTAAGTATACCCAACGTACTCACAAGGGTCCTTAAAAGTAGACGAGTGAGGCAGAAGTATCAAAGAATGTATGACGGGGAAGATGGATCAAATAGACATGAAATCGCTGGCTTTGAAGATGGAGGAAGAGATCATGAGCCAAAGAATATGAGCAGCCTCTAGAAGCTGGAAAATGCAAGAAAAACAGGTTTTCTCCTAGAGCTTTCAGAAAGGAATAGAGCCTTGCTGATATCTTGATTTTAGCCTGGTGAGACTCATTTCATACTTCTGACTATCCAGAACTGTAAGATAACACATTTGTGTTGTTTTAAGCCACTAAGTTTATGGTAAGTTGTTATAGTGGCAATAGAAAACTAATGCAATATTATAAAATGTAAATAACAGTTTGTTTCCAAATTACTGTGGACAGTGGATGGATAACGGGGAAAAGTCAATTCAAAAATTAAATGAATTAATATTCTTACATTGTTTATTCTTCTTTCCATTTCCTTGTTTAATTTTCGAATTGACTTTTTGTCCCTTATCAAACCCCTTCTTAGAAATCTGCAAATTTACTGGTACTTTTATTTTATAATACATTTCAATCTAAACTAACAAATCTTTCAGTTATAATGCCCCATTTCTCAAGCATTCATACTATCTGAAGTCTAACTGTCTTTTAAATTTATAAGCAACAGATAACATGAGGATTGGACCTAGGAAGAGGGTGGCAGGAACTATGTCAAATTTAACCTTATTTCACTTTCACCTTCTCTTTTCTAACGTTTCTTTCCTTTATCTCTAACACCCTGCCCCCAACCAAGTATGTACTGTTCAAGGCTCTCTACCACAGAGCTTTGTGCTAGGCATGACCTTCCTGGCAAATATCTTATATTTAGACCAAACTTTCCTATTTCCGTCCTTAAGAGTTACCTGCTCTGCGTTACCTGTTCTCCCAGGGACCATGACATTTTGTTATGCAAACCAATGAACAATTTCATAGTGTTAATGAAGCCAACACTATTTATATGTGGGACAATGGCTTAACCTTTTTGAAGTGGTTTTGTTTTCCGGACAGGGATGAAAATTTAACCAAAGAAATGACTATTTGAGGCTGGAAATTTCAGGCATTGTGGCAGGCTATACAGGAAGACATTTGTGGCTGGACGAGGAAGGAGTCTTCATGCCATACTTCACTGTGCACTATCGAAGTGGGCTCCTACTCCACCTGCATGAAATCAAACATGTACTAACAGTGTATGAACCACCGAACAAGCTAGATATCCTGGCCATAGAGGCTATTGTGCCTCAGGGCCGCTCTAGGGCAACCACAAGAACAGATAATTGGGCCTGTGAGCTGACAAATCAACTTGTACCCACACCATTAAGCAACTGTAATTCACTCTGAGTCTAGCAGAGATCCCATTGTTTACTGCTATAAAATAAACTCTATAAAACTTATAAATATGGAGACAGAATTTAACATAATGCTGCATAGGGTACCTTATATCACAGAATACTAATAAAAACTTTTATATTATAGAAATACATTTTAATAATGTTGTGCTTAAGAATAATTATACTTTGAATGATTTTCATGAGAGGCATCTTTCCCTATATTCACTTCAATATTATGACTGGGTTTTCTCTTCTAACCTATATTAGGTTAATAAATTACTTGGATTTTAAAGGCTATGGTGAATTATAGACTTAACTAAAACATGGACTTCTAAACTGGCTTGCATGATTCCACATTGGCAGAATTTAACTGCCATTATGAATTACTTGTTAATTATGCTATTTACAGTTTATATGCATGCTTGAGAATTTTAACATGTTTAGCATGTTTCACTTTTTTCTGCATAAAGACTAAAAATATATAGGTTTGTGTGTGCTGCACTGAATCATATTTTAAAATAGAAAAAGTAAAGAAATTAATGTGCAATTTTGGCTATTGTTTGCATGGTTGTTAAACCATAAAAGATAAACAAAGTGGAGAAGAAATGAAAGAAAAAAACTCATTTAAGTATAACTAAGTTGTCAAAGGAATAGTTACAAGGCTTATAACTGAGCCCGAATGTTCAGCATTGAATCAAAACTTTGGAACTGGAAGAGGGTTTTTCATGTATTTGTTCTAGTGGGTCACAAATTCAAATATTTACATGGGCCAGGTAAATAACATAAATGAATGAAGTGGCTCAGCTATGACAACATGGATTAGTAGTGGCTGTGGAAACCCAGAGAGTGCATGCTCTGTCTCAGAGGGATCATGCTGCTCAGCTTCAGCTGGTTTCTGCCCTATGGGAGCACAGGCCCAATTTTGCTGGACTTTTCAATACTTTGAGACAAGCTGGAAACCAATACTTCTATATGCAGCTTTTTACTTTTAAATGCTAATAACTAATTCAATTTTTAAAGTGTTAGTATCTGTGGAACATATAGGGTACATGGGATGTCAGATTAAATCTCTGATGAAGCCCAACAGAAAGGAATTGTACAGAAAAGAATATGGAAACATATACTAAGTCACTTACGTGCTGGCCACATGTAGTAGAAAGAACATGGGATTTGAACTCAGGCAGATGCAAGTTGCAATTCTAACTCTGTCACATAACCACTAGGTAATGTTAGGCAAGTTTTAAAAACTCTCTGAGCCTCAATTTCCCTCTCCTTAAAATGAAGATAACAATACCTGTTGCATAGGATGCTTGTGAAGATTTATAAATAAAAGTAACGTGTGGGAAGTGCCTATGGTAGATCTTGGCACCTATGAAACATCCACTCTTTTTACCCTTTTCCACCAGTCTATGTGCCTACCCTGTTTTATTATTTTTTTCAATAGCAATTCTATAGACTTGGAATTATATTATGCTCCACTTCCTACTAGAATGTAAGTTTACATGATGGTAAGCAATGTGTCTATTTCTTTTCACTGCTGTATTCCCAACACTAAAAATACTGCCTGACCCATAATAGGTGTTCAATTAATGTACGTTGGATAGATAGATTAATGATTTTAACAAATTTTAGTACACTGACTCCTTCCCTTTAATGAATAAACACACACAAGTACATATACATATATGTTATCCAAGCTCATAAACCAAGTTAATGCTGTACTGGAACTTGAATTCACATCAAGTTATTTCGCTATGATTATTTTCATTGCACTATTAAAGTCTGTCAAAATTATGCAATGTTCTACATGGACATACTCATCTCTTGGGATTATAGAAAATACAATCTTTGAGGTATTTGAATAGCTTTGCAAAGGAAGTCTTCCTCACACTTCCACTGACTTTGGTGGTTAAAGGCACTTGCAGTGCTCTGTGGATTATTCTAGGTTTTTCATTCTGACAAAAAGACTATTAACTGCCTTTGTAAATCATAACGACAACAATTTTACATATATCTGGCATATTATACTTAAAAATACTGTAAAATGAACTCATAACTACAAATGTCAGTTGAATCTCACATCAATCTTTTGGGGTAGATGGGACTGGAACTATTTTCCTCATTTTAAAGAGATATCAGAGACACCCAGTGATAAACACCTTACCTAAAGTCACAGTATGGATAACTAAAAAATCTGGCAATAAACCATAGTTCTAAGGTGATATTTTATATTCACAGGACCTATTGAAGACTTCCCACTATAGCCAAGACTTCTGTATTTTACAATCTGGATTTTTTCTTCCCCTCCCCACTTACATAAAAACTAGCCTGTCCTGGGCCCTATTTCTAATCCTGCTACCTCTTATACTTGTACTTGGTATTAATACAACAAACTTTACTGGCCAGAGCCCACTGAGTGATAGAAAAATAAACAAACCAAGGACCTGCCCTCAAGAGCTTTCTATCATCAGTGTAACACAAATATTTAGTCTGGCTAAAATATATGTCCCTTGTAAGAAGTGTTATGCCTTAAGGGACTATATGAGGGGGGAAGAGAGAAAGATGCTGGTGCTAATCTAATACAGTGCTTCTCAACTCGGCATACCTATTAGAATCCCCCGAGGAGCTCTGGAAAATACCAAAGCTTGGATCAATCTAGGGTGGAGTCTGGGCAGTGGACTTTTTGAAAGTTCCCATAGGGATCCTAAGGTACAGCCAGTGTTGAACCACCACCAGTCTAAATGGAATAAATTGCACTGTAGGGAAATAACCGAGGAAAGCAAAAGACAAATACCTAAAGACAAACTTGACCTTCTTTTCCCTTGTAATGCCATTTAATTAAACAGATCTTAATACCAATTATATTTACAAGATTTTCATTGAGGCTGTAGCTTTCCTGAGACTTAATCTCCAATGATTTTAAGAAAAATATTTTCCTCCCTCAAATCTGACAACCAGTGTCATTTGATGATGATGTAAATATGATCAATTTTATACTAACTTACAAAGTTTGGCAGGTGAAAACCTAAGTGTATACACAAGCAAATGAATCAAAACTGAAATAACTGTCTTAATTTTTATGCATAATTCAAGTGAAACTTGGTTTATGTCCTGATTTCTCTGCATTGCCCATTTTCTTACTTTAGTTTGTTTTTATTTGGGATGGCACTTGTTTACCCTTCTATTTTCAGCTACAACCTAGGTTTGGGTTCATCCATCTAAGTTATTTTGGTTTGCTTATTTTTACCTCTTACTTACACATATTTCTTTTCTTTTTCTTAAAAAACCTCCATATTTTTCATACATTCCAAGTTTCCTAGAATAGTCATTTCCAACATACTACATCAAACTTAGATGGAAAAATTTGTGAGCTCGGTCTAATAAAAAGGAATGGCAATTCCTTAAAGAACATCTGTACAGATTGAAGCTAATTAGAGACACAGAGATTTTATCCAATGATGTAAGTGCATATAGTCCCTTCAGCCTTGGAAACTGACTCAAACAATAGGTTTTCATATTTATGTGTGAGATGTGCCTCTTTCAAACCTTGTTACAACTTTGGCACATTACCCATCTGATGTGAACTTAGATCTTTTTAACACTTTTATGTTTAACATAAAAAACAACGGGAATCTAGGATTTTGTTGGGAATGGCCTGAATGACTTCCTTGAAGGGTGAAATTGAAGTTAAATATGTGCTTATCCAATAGCTATAGTAATATTTGTATACCTTTCTCTACCCTCTCCAACCTGTCCAGTAAATCAGTACCATATTAATTGTGCTAAAATGCCCCTTAAATGACCATGCTATGCTCCCACCTTTCATCATCACACGTCTCCCATTTCTTAATGTATTGTATTCAAAACATTTGACTTGGTTTTCAAAGTACTTTGATACTCTGGCCCGACCTAACTTATTTTCTATTGATTTCAAACATCTTCCATGTCAATCAAGCTGGTCTCCTGTTGTACTATATAAATACCAGGGTGTTTTTGTTTTGTTTTGTTATGTTTTGTTTGTTTTTTGCCTTCCTCTGAATTGTTCTCAATGTGCATAGATTTCCTTCCTTTTCTCACTCTTACTCTTTAAATTCGACCTGTCTTATGCGTTATAGGATGAGTTCCAATTCTTTTCTGAAGACTCTCCCAATCTAGTGCTCTAACTGATCTCTCCTTTTTCTAACATCCTAAAATACTCACCCTCCCTCGAATGTGGCATTTGATTAAATATAGCCTTGTCACTATTTTAGTTACTTTAAGTATGTCAGCCCTGTAAAGAGTCTGAGGGGATTGTTTATGCCTGTTCTAATATATCCTCCTTGCTTCTAACTTGGTTCTAGGCATATGGTTAAGGCATAATAAATATTTGCTGACTGCTAACTGATGCTGGTGTTGCCTAGTAGCCTGGGCCTATACACACTGTCAGTTCTGTCAACAGAGGCTGCGAAAATTCTACCAGAGATTATGTCTGCACAAAAATAAGCCTCTGGCATAAATTGCGATAGCTGCCACTAGAGAATTCACCTGCAGGAAAGGGACCTCAGGCATATTACCTGGTGCTCCC
This sequence comes from Homo sapiens, assembly GCF_000001405.40. Lineage (NCBI taxonomy): Eukaryota > Metazoa > Chordata > Mammalia > Primates > Hominidae > Homo > Homo sapiens. The sequence continues at coordinate 124,929,602 of NC_000023.11, forward strand.
AGAGACTCTTATGCCAGGTTTTCCACTGTCAAAATACAGCTAAACCATGTGCTAATGTAGTGATGTGAGTCTCTCCAATAATTTACTGTAAATTTCTACTTGCTTAGTTTTCTGACATGGCTTTAGCATCCTAATTTCCCATAAGCTATGCCTCAGAATTACTATGGATTACAAATTTGTGGAAAAATTGGGCATACTCTGAGAGTCAAAAATTAGCATTTTAAAGAAGCACTTTATTTTCTGTAAAAACCCTATTTTCAAAGTTAAATATTCTATTTTATTCTGAATGAGCAAAATAAGCCTAAGGTTTCAGAGAAAAATATATTCAGAAGGTAAAGGATTTAATTCCAAGATCTGGAACTGTGAATCCTTTCTTTGAACACAGCCTCTCTTTTCTTTTACTCCTTTCCCCACTTTAATTGCTGTCACCTCATACCGTAACCTCTATTTCCCAGACTCTGCCGTACTCTCCAAGTCTCTTTATCTTGCTTCTTCTTCCCCGCTGCCACCCCATACCCCGCACAGACATGCACAGACACACGCGACAAGCATACGGCCCACCCACCTCCCTAGCCAAATTTCAACCCATGGTCATACAATTGACACTTTAAGAATGTATTTCTTTACAGTCTATATTGTCTTGCTCCCTAGTTCTTCCATTCTTTTTACATTGACACAAAGTAAAAATTCAATTGAATAAACAGTAGCAGTTACTATTATTTTCATATAACACTATCAGAATACCAACTTTTCTGCACGGTGCATTGCCTTACTGAAGTCCCTGAGGACACTCATGATGAAAGCCCTTAAGCTCACACCATTCACTCCTCTGAGGCTCTCACTATATCTTTCCAACTGTGATTACACATTCATTTTATGCCCCCTTTGTGTACCGAATTGATACTCATGTTGCACCTATACATCTGACATCTTCAACATGTACCCAAATCTTTTATATATGTGCACTTTTTCTCCCTCACTTCATCCTAAAGGACAGGTAACTTGATTCCTTAAGTGTTAAAATGGTATGCTTGCTTCTTTTGTACCTTACCATGGGACCACTGTAAGGGTCCTGCACACTGTGGGGGCTTGATAAATGTTATATTGAGAGTCAAATACATGCCTGAAAGAATCCTTTTAAAGCTAACCCTCAAATACCTATAAAATGCCCAAGGGAGCCCCACAGAGGAATAGGTGAGACAGAGCACAGCAGAGCTTATTAAAAACGATCTGGGCTTGCAATACAATTTCTTTTAGACTGGATTTTTCCTTAGGCTTAAGACACGTGCTAATTCTCTCAGCTGCTTTAATCATGTAGATATTAAACAATGAGGGGGCATCAAACAGTCTTTTAGAGTTATGAGAAGTGCATGCTATGAATAGACACGAGGGAAGATGAAAGCCAAGCATGTGGCGACTGGCAGTCCCAGCAGCAGGTGTCTTGACTGAGGACAGACCCCAAGATCTACTGGAAAATGCAAAATGGAGAAACCCAACGCTGTCAGAGAAGAAGGCTTCAAAACTCAATCCAAATCAAAGAGGGCTGCAGACTTTTATGGAGGCTTTTAAAAGGAAAGTGTTAAGTTTGTCTGAATTGTAAACAGAATCCATCTGAAGATGCATTTTCCCTTAAAAAGTCATCCCAAAACACAAAAGCAAAAAAAAAAAAAAATCAACAATCACAACAATAACATTTCAAAAGATTCTAAAAGGAGGGAGGGTTGACAGCCAAACCTTTTTTTAAAGTAATGGTAGCCAGGAAAGAAGACGATGGGTTGTAAGAATTCACCACCTGGAAAAGAGAGTTACCTGGGGAGTGACAGCTGCCATAGGAAAAGTAGAACAAACACACCTGCTGTCAGGCACACCTGTTCTTTTCAGGGAGAGGAACCATGAGGCTGAAACAGCAGAAAACGCCCAAGAAAAGGGTAGGATGACTCTTGCAACCCTTAAATATTTTCCCTTACTCCTCTGGAGTTATTTCCTCGGCAGGAATGGATGCAGAGTAACCACATAAGATTTCACCTAAGTCTTTCAATTTTCATAGTCTCTCAAATTCCTCTTCTAGCTGATAGAAAGAAATTCCTTAAAGGCCCCAAGAGAGAAGGGAGGCAAACATTTTCTGTGGCCTACGCTGGAGAAAGAAGATACACTATTATGTGCTATATTAAAATGTGACTTAAAGGTGTTGAATCTGAGGTGGCATGAAGCCTACTGGGACTGGTAAGGTAGACAGAGATTGTAAGGGGAGGGAGGACGCCAAGCGCACGCACACACACACACACACACACACACACGTACACGCACACACACCTGCCAAAAGGCCTTACTTCCCCATAGTAATTGTTTCGCCTTTAACTGTGGATGCTCACTTAAGAACATGCCATCATTTCTGGTTCCACAAAGCGGCTACCTGGTCATTGATGCTTGCAAAAGTCGAATTCTGGGCTTCCACAGTAGCCCAGAGAATATTTAAGGCCAATGAGAATAAATCAGACCAAAAGGGCAAGATAGCTCTGTAGCAGATTAGCTATACTAGCTTTGTAAACGTTCACAATGCCCTACAGGAAAGCCTGCTGCCAGCAGATAAGCCAAACTAGAGTTCAATATCAGTGGCAATATTTTGTCCTGCCTTGTAAAAAAAATGATCTAGCAAGGGATGCAACTAATTGAGGCAGTGGCAATAGTGAGATAGAAGGAATTTTAAATGTAATTCATGCATAGTCCATAAATGGACTAAAAAGTACAGTATTTTTGAGTACCTACTAGGAACTCTATGTTAGGTATTGCAAGGAATTCAAAAGACCTCTATACCAATACAATTAAAAGTATTTGCAATCCTTAAGGAACTTAACATTTCACTGGGGAGACAATCTTTACAACCAGTGCTTAAGCCAGTAAATAGTCAACTGCAAAGCTGTGAATGTCAGACAATAAAAACTGGAGTTCACAGAAGGCAGTGAGCAATATATGTGGAAGTCAGAAGTTGTGAAGGAAGACTTTATCAAAGAGGCGAGACTTGAGTTAGGCCCTGAGGATGAATAGGATTTGGAAATGCTAGAAAGAATCCAGAAAGAATGTATGAAACTAAGATGCAAAGGAAATATGAGATTCCAAACATGACCTTCAGCATGAGTCTCAGTTACTATATTTACCCTTGTGTGTAAGAATCAGTGTATTCTTATTAATGTGGAAATGTAAGTCCCTAGGGATTCAAGTGAAATAAATTACCACCAATTTACATGGGGTTTTTCTAACCTTGCACATAATTCAAACGGAAAAATAAATTTTTAAATTTTTACCTTAATTAAATTTCAGGCATCTCTGCATACTTAGGTTTAAGATCACAATCAGTACTGGAATAAAAAATCCCAAGAGTTGCCTCTGAAAGGGTTCCACAGTCAAGTCACTACACTTGGTGAGTTCATATTCAAATCAATCATAAATTCTATTTTAAAATAATCCCAGGAGTAATCTTAAAACCAAATCCTCCAACTCTATAGCTCCAACTTTTGATTATTCATGTGGTTGTAGTAGAGAAAATTAACCTCTGCTTTTCATGAAGCCCTACTTCCAGATTTTTATGCTGGGGTAGCAGTATTAACCAGTTTGTATTTCACCTTTTTCAGCTCTCCACACTGCCAAGAAGGTGTTAATGAGCAGTGAAAAGGCCAAAAGGCCAGCAGCCAAAGGAAGAAAGGCACACAAAATACAATTGGGAAAGCCCTGTTCCAACAACCCAACTTTGTGAGCATTTGATTCACCAGTCAAATAGAATATGTCCATGAGTTCAAAGAGTATAAATAAATCCAAAGATTTATCAAGAGTGATTAGAACAGTCTTGAGTCATTTCTCAACTTACAGACAATTTTTAATGCAGTATTTCAAAGTGCACTTTAAAAGGAGGGACTAGAAATTATCCATTGTTAATTTTAGAAAGACGTTTAAAGTCCTCGTTAATGTTCTACAAATCCAGAATTTGTTAAAATTTCGACAGGCTTTGTTAGAAATTTACTATTAGTGAAAAATGTGCATAAAACAAATTAATTTCAAAATTAAAATTTGGAGAGGAAAAGCTTAAGCTTCTTAAAATAAGCTTTTAAAAAGCACTTTAAAGGCATACATTTACATTCCAATAACTGGTAATCATTCTTATCTGTTCATTAAAGCAGGAGTCAAAGGATCTCTATTTGGCCACACTTTATTTACCCAGTTTAAATTCCATTGCATTTTAGGACCATTTTTGCATATTCTACTCTATAATTTTTATAGAGCTATATAATATTACTTGTACTATTTTGCACAATTTATTTTCCACCTAGACATTTTCACATTTTATCTCATGTTTTTATTACAAAGAAGAATACTTTGTAATACACACATTATATCTTTTTATGTGCATATACCTTTATATATGTGTATCAAATGAAATGTGTGCATATTTGTGTATACATGTATGTGGATTACATATTTTCAATGAAATTTGGGAGCTTTTGATGCAGACTGTTCTATACTTGGTTAATTTTGTTTAACAATATAATGTATTGGAGATATATCTGTCTACATCTTTCTCAATGGCTGCATAGATGGAAGAATTTATTTTTTAACCAGTCACCACAGATGGAGATTTAAAGCATTTCCATTTTGTTTTTGTCAGATATTACTACAAGTGTCCTCCAAACAGACTGCATTACATGACAGTGCCTGACTCCATGCATTTTAGAATAATGAAAATGCAATTCTTACTAACATATTCAAACATTCAGATGAGCTTATTCTCAACTGGTCTAAATTAGCTAGGTCCTACTATACAATACTTTGCTTTTGGAGACACTGCTGCTATTGTCATGGCATACTCTGCCCTCTTTGCTAAAGATTTCAGCTCCTTTATATTGTGTATTTGGCATTTCAGGGACAGAAGGGAAAGGAAAATGGATTATGTTCTCTCCTTTTGTATTCTTCTTGACTACTGCCTGTATGGCTTGTGAGGAACTGCATTTCTTAGCGTGTTAGAAACAACGGTGGCAGAACAGGTAGGAAACCAGTGGTGCAGCAGATCAGAGTGTTAGTCCGGCAGAAGATAGGAGCAGTAGAAACAAAAGGGCTATAAGATAACCAAATATAATTGAATTTTGAGTAATCAACTCTTTCATCTTTCTCCCAAAACCCCATTGGTTTGCCCAGTGGAAGAAAATGGAGCCCTATAAATGGTTTAGGAATAAAGAGAATGTGACTATGAACATTCTTTTGAAAGATTATATTTTAAATATCTCCCTGTATGTTACACAAAGCTGTTTAATTGTATAGGTATCACTTATTGAAAGATCGTTTCACATTGTTCACTGTGAATTAAGTGGAAAATAATAACTGAGGAGAGTTGAGAACAACAAAATCTCTCTGGAAATAAAATATCCTCTTGTAACAGGTGGGCAATTTGAAGGATTAAATTAATGCTTTGGGGCACCATTTAGACAGTGGATTGACAGTAAACTTACAATATTTGAAAACAAAAAAGTTATAGTAGAATTATTGATGATTTGGACAGTTCACTTCTCCCTGAGTCCAATTCCCTTTCTGTAAAGCTAAGTGGCTATACTAGATGATTTCTAACAGCTCTTTCATTTCGATGATTCTGATATTATGGACATATTTAATAATAATTGTAATAGGCATAAAATATTCTGTGGCCAGAAATATTAAGATGCTCACTTTTGTATTTTTCTTAAATCCACTATTGGTACAATTTTTCCTAACACAGCCTTTTGCTCCTCTGTGCCTGGCTAGATTTTACTTTTGAACTTAACTCAGATGTCATATCTTCCAGGAAACTTTCCCCGACCCTTCTAACCCCTTATTTGAGTTAGATGTTCCTCCTACTGTTATTATCACACTGTGTTTTAAATTATCTGCTTTTTTTTCAGTCTCCTTATTTGATTATAATAAACTCCTTTTTGGCAGCAACTATGCCTTTGCATTCCCAGTGCCTAGCACAATACCTGCGACATAGCAGAGACCCAACAAATGTTTACCAAATCAATTAAAGCATGACATTCAAACACTCATGTCAATAATTTTTTACAGCAGAAATATCTGAAATTGCTACATCATTGGCTGGTAAATGCAACTGCCTATTTATATTCTTAGATGTCTCATGAGTATCTAAAAATGAAAATATTTAAAACAGAATTCTTGATTTCTAACCTGAAACCTATTCCTTTCTCAGTTTTCCGGACATTAGTTTCCTCCACCAGAACCCTGACTGATTCCTGATTCTTCCCTCTTCCTGTCCACTCAAATACAGCCCTGAACATAAGGTCCTTTAGGTTATATCTCAAGAATATATCTCAAATTAGTCCACTTGCCTCTAGCTTCACCTCTTGCATGGACTTCTGCAGTAACTTGATAACTGATTTCTCTTGTTCCTTTTTGTATTCCCCATCCATTATCCAAACAACTGCCAAAGTACTCTTTTATATATGTGAACCCCACTGCTGCCCCTGATTAAAACCAATCAATATAGTCCCATTACCTTAGGAGAAAGTCTAAAATCTTTGGCATAGTTTTCAAAGCCCTTAGGTCTTGTCTCCACCTGACTCCCCAACTTCATCATGTAGTACATTTTCTCTCCCTTTCTGCAACATAATCACATTGGTTTCCTTACAGTCATTAAAACACACCAAACTCTTTCGTGCCTTATAGTCTTTGGACATGCTGTTTCCCCTTGCTTGGAATGCTCAGTCCCTGGCTCTTCACATGCTCCGCTCTTCCTTATCCTTCTTATCTCAGCTTAAAGATTACTTCCCTGGACACACTAAGTAGATCCCTAGCCTCACCCTGTTATCTTCTAAGAATACACTCTGTTGGTCACCATAGCACCTCATAGCACTATTTGGTATCCCTAAGTAGTTTATCAGCTCAATGAAGACGGGGTATATATTTGTTTCATTCACCACTGTACTCAGTGCTTAGTACTTTGTCTGGCACACAATAGATGTTCTCTATTTCTTGATGTAACACTAAGCAAATGCAAAATAAATACTAAGAGTGCAATGACAATGCTGTACTGTTTTGGTGCAAAATCAAGCCTGGTTAATCACAGAGGTACAATCTTGATGAACAGATATTCAGTGCCTATTCACAATTCTTAAAAAGTAGTATAACTAGGCCGGGCATGGTGGTTCACACCTGTAATCCCAGCACTTTGGGAGGCCGACGTGGGCAGATCACCTGAGATCAGGAGTTTGAGACCAGCTTGACCAACATGGTGAAACCTCATCTCTACTAAAAATACAAAATTAACTGGGCGTGGTGGCACATGCTTGTAATCCCAGCTACTTGGGAGGCTGAGGAAGGAGAATTGCTTGACCCAGGGAGGCGGAGGTTGCAGTGAACCACGATCACGCCATTGCACTCCAGCCTGGGCAACAAGAGTGAAACTCTGCCTCAAAAAAGAAAAAAAAAAAAAAAGTAGTGTAACTATTAAGCACTTATCCACGATCTTTCAGCCGTAAATAAATACTGGCAAAAACCACTAAAGATATTCACCCATTTATTTACTCATTTATTCAACAAATGATATAATAATAGAAAATCAATAATGACTATAACTATATAGAGATACACTGTTATCATAAATGAATGGATTCGATTACAAACAACATGGAACAATCAGCTAATTTCAATTTTTTGAATAGTTATATTTAAGTGCCTTTAAACTTCCCCAAAGGCATATGTTTATTTCTCCTGTCTAGACTCTATACATAGAGGATAGGGTCCATAAATTGTATGTTTCCTGCTCCAATAGTGCTTATTGCAATGCTCAGCAAATAAATAGATGATGCTCATCTAAGTGCTTCTCCCTGTATCTGTACCAACATAGACCCTGAGCTTTTCCATAACAAAACTCATACTAAGATCCAAAAGAAGATACTCCCTGAGAAAGGAAAGAGAAAATACAGATAAGAAAAGAAAACCCTAATAAGAGCTGAAAAGTCTGTCAATGATGATGGACAGAAAAACATTAGAAGAAGCACTACTACGCAGCATCAGATGCATATATTTACATTTAATTTGAGGGTGATAAACTTAGCACCATACAAACGATGTTTGTTTATGCCTTCTAGTAGCTTACTATCCAAGATACTGATTATACTGCAAGGTACATAAATAATTTAAAGGGCTATTTTTCATCCTGCCTCATATAGCAACTCGATGGGCTATGTCATTGCAGTATATTATTTGTTATTGAATTTCCTCATTTTCATTTGCTGAGCTGATTTTTATCAATATTATTACAGCTTCTTTTTATTTATAGCTTCTATTAATCTTGACATCATATTGCTTGCGTTGAAGATTGGTCTGAAGTGTTTCTATTAAAATTATTAACATTTTTCACTGAAATTTAGCCAAAATATTAAAGAAAATACATTGTAATATAACTCCATATATGTTTATGCAAAGAGCAACATAATTCAATTCCTGATGTAAACCCCAACAACCCAGTCTCCTTAATATAATAAAACACGAATACAATATAAACCTATAAATGTCTGGACATGATGCCATTTCTGAAATAGGATAGCAATTAGGTAATATTTGGCCAGAGAGGAAAAGCAAGATTTTTGGAAATTATCCTCCTAAAGCTATAAATAACCTGCTAACAATTTCAATTGAAGTTCAAATTATAAGGGCAAACTGGCCACTCAAACTGTTTTCCGTGAGAAAAAGGAATTTAGAAGTGCCTTCATTGTTTTTCTGCCTGTGTGATGTCAAATATCTGCTTCATTTAAACAGTTGAACTTCCACTTGGTTGTTTCAATATCACATAAACATTGCCTAAAAATGATTTTTACAATAAGAAAGCCTGTGATATGTGGAGACGACTACTGCAATTTTAGGTTTCACAATAGCCACAGTAAATGATTTGCCTCTAGCAAATCCATCTACTTACATGCCAGTAGAGGAACATGGTTTAATAAATCTGAATTGGCTCTGAAATGGGAATTGCATAAGGATGACAATAGTGAGAAATATGGTAAAATGGAAGAACTATTTTTGAAATCTCTTTTCTTCATGCAGAAGACTACTGAGAGTTTCTAGAGTTGCTGAAAAGGGTAGAAACTACATGTGTGGATTTCTTAGTGAACATAATCTCTCCACAGATTCCTGGCTAAATAGTAAAACTGCAGCATTCTGGTGAGTAATTGTATATACATCGATGCTCAAATGAAGGCACTCTGTAGAAGTTGTATGCACAATAAATCACCATCTGTACTTGGCCCTTGGAGTCTATTTGAATGCCCATTCAGTCCAAGCTGGCTGGCTAGATATGTCATTGATTTTCTTCTTCAGTGCCATCCCTGGGAAAAAAGCCAATGTTTAATAATGGAAAAGATCACAACTTAAAAAGGGAGGCGGGGAGATAGAGTATTTTTGAACCCCAATCAGCAAGTTTTTGGAAACTGGGTACACTAACAAGGTATTTATGGACTTAGGTTGGATACAAATAAATATATAAAAACAAGTATTCATCTGAATAAGAAAGGACATTACAACACCTTTGACTAGGAAATCTTACTCCGCCAATGATAGCCTATGCTTATACCTATTGGACTTCCTCATGGCCATAAAACCTACTTTTCAACCTTGACAAAGACCACAAGATTGATAACCTTCTTTTATTTTCCCAATCAGTCCCTCTCCTAACTTCTGCTCTTTTCTATGGTGGTCTGGAATCCAGGATCAGCTGTTTTAACTAGTCTTTCAACAGCATTACCTCTGCCTTCTCCCTCATGTTTCTACTTGACCTATCTTATCAGTCGAACCTCCAAGAAGTTTTACCTTGGTTTCCACTGTTTCTGCACCTGGACTGATAAGAAAATTAAAATTACTGTATTTAATATCCCTTTCCCAGGAACGTGGCCCTCAATTCGAATGATTACTATAAGAAAAGGCACTTGATTTGACTGGATAAATCCTAATAGCCATTCCTTACAGTGGCTTCAAAGTCCTATGTGATCTAGCTCCTGCTAACTTCTCCCACCTCATCTCACATTACCCTTCTCTTCACTCACTAAGATCCACTCACAGCGGCCCTCTTTCTGCTAATTAAATATCCCAAGCTTATGTATCAGTCAGGGCTTTTGCCCTTGTTCTTCCCTCTGTCTGAATAATATTCATCCAAATCTTCAAATAGTTGGCTTATTCTTGTGATCCAGGTGTCAGCTATTCAGACTTCCCTGACCATCAAGGCTAAATAAAGTAGACCCTACTGCCAGTTACTCTTTGTTATAATCCTGTTTTAATTTTTTAATAAAATATATCAATAGCCAAAATATATTGTTTATTATCAATCTCTCCTTACTAGAGTATAAGCTCTTAAAAGTAGGGACCATGTCTATGTTTTTCACAACTCTATCCCCAACACCTAAAACAAGATCTGAAACATTGTCAGAACACAAAAAATTCTCATTGAATGATGGACTCAATTGCCACAGTCATCAGTTCATGTGTGAACATCTGACCTAAGCTTTGTCAATCAAAGTACATTCTGCAGGTCCTACCCCTGGCCACAAGTGATTGATGCAGGAGTGGGCAACTGAACAAAGCAAGGCTAATCAAAGTCCTTGCTTAGGATTCTAGGTCTTGGACCCATTAAATACACTGCTTCTATATCAGGGTGGTAAGAAGAGATGGTCAAGAGCCTGTATGAGCCATGTTTCACACTTTGTGTTTACTAAGCCTGTGTACATGAAAGAAAATGAAGTTTAAATTCAATGCCCACTAGAAAAATATAAATACTATATTGATCATATTTGATTCATTAGCTCCAGTTATTTCCTATGTCAGTCATATCCTTGCCCTTTCTACAGTTTGCTATTCTAAACTTTCTTTTGTTCCCTGAGCCAATAAATTCATACCACTTTTTGCTTAAGCTAGTTTGAGTTGACTTTCTGTCACTTACAACCGAGATTCTAACTTATATACTAACTTTCCCTGCAACCCTACTACCACTTTCCAGATTTTTTTCTGTCTCATTGTTCATTCTGCTAATGTTTCTTACTCTACTCACAGCCCTCTCTCCCTGAATCTTGGCAGACGACATTGTCTCCTACTTAACATAGACAGCAGATGCTACGAGACATGACACATTCCCTCAATTATCCCTGCTCCTCTCATGTTTCAGAGACCAAAAATTCCATCTGTATTCTGGATCCTTTATTTAGGCTTTCTCCAGGACCTTGCTCCATCAGATACTACCTCTCTTTTCTATCACTTAATATTTTTTCTTCATTAGTTCATTTTCCCTTGACTATAAGTATTCATTCATTCATACTTCAAATATTTATTCATTGCCACTGTGGGAGGGGCAGGACTAGGTTAATGTACATGCTTATGTTTCTTTTCCATCCAAAAAAACAAATTAATGAGACAACAAAAAAATTCCTTCCTAAAACCTGTGTTCTCTTTTAGCTATTGCCCCTCTCTCCTTGACCATCCCATCACTTCTCAGCCAAGCATCTTAAAAGCCTATACTTGATGTCTCCACTTCCTTTTCTTTGCATTTATTTATCAACCCACTGAAATCTTTCTTATTTCTCTACTACTACACTAAAAATCTCTTTTTTCAAAGTCAGCAATAAACTCCTAAATGCCAAAACTGGTAAATATTGTAGTCTTTACTTAACGAGACCTTTTTTTCATATACGATACTGTTCCCTCTTTCTGGATTATTTGTTCTTTCTTGTCTTCTATAATACCACTTGTCTTGAATTTCCATTAGTCCACTTCTCAGCAATTTTCCTGGGATCCTTTTCCTGTCAGTCATTTAAATGTTTAGTGTGCTACATGATTTTGTCAATTGCCTCTTCCTTTTATGTTTTCTACTCTGTACATGCTCTTCCAGTGTGATCACACCAGTCTCAAATATCAGTTATGTATCAACAATATCCAGATCCATTTTCTAGCCCCAGTACTCCAAGTCTTGTATATCTAACTTCAAATTAGATATTTCTATCTGGAGAAACTACAGCCCTGTGAAGTCACGTTCAAAAGAGAATCATTATTTTTCCCCCTAAAACTCTGCCTTCTTGCTTCCCTACCTTCCTTTGTTGATTGCTAGCACCATCCTCCTCTTTAATGACTTGCCAAAGATAGAAATTGTATTAGTTCATTTTCAAGCTGCTGATAAAGACATACCCAAGACTGGGTAATTTATAAGGAAAAAGAGGTTTAGTGGACTCACAGTTCCACGTGGCTGGGGAGGCCTCACAATCATGGTGGAAGGCAAAAGGCATGTCTTACATGGCAGCAGGCAAAAGAGAATGAGAGCCAAGTGAAAGGGTTTTCCTCTTATAAAACCAACAGATCTCTTGAGACTTATTCACTGCCATGAGAATAGTACGGGAGAAACTGCCCCCATGATTCAATTTTCTCTCACTGGGTCCCTCTCATGACATGTAGAAATTATGGGAGCTACAATTCAAGATGAGATTTGGGTGGGGACACAGCCAAACCAGTTTTTTTCAGAAATCTTTATTATTTTCTCTCTTTCATTGCTTACAACCAGTTAGCCCCTAAGTCTTGCCAATTTAAATTTATCTCCTATGTATGTCTCCCTTTTAGAAAATTTGGATATTTAATGCCTAAGTTAAGCTCCTAATCATCTCTTTCTCTAGATTATTGCAACATTTTCCTAACTGATCACTTTCAACCTGTCTTTCACGCTTCTAATATATCCACCTCATTGCCTACAGAAACGACAAAAGTTTTGAAATCCTCCCCACTGGAGAGGAATGTGCTTAAAGCACACTAAAGTTCACCTTGAAGATTATGCTTTCCCCCCCGCCCCGCAGGGCTCACTATGAATAGTTCCAAAATGTACCTTTGAATTTTTCACAATTATTTTGATAAGACTACAATTAACCAAGTAAAGTAGAAGTCTATTAACAGTAACAGGAAGTCACTGAATACTGGTCATAGCATTGGGCAGAGAGGTAAAAAACAGCGGAGAAAAAGAAATGGTAATGTAATTTAGAGGAGAACTAAATTCTTACCTGCCTTTTTGTTACAATTTGTCTATTGCTAGGGTTCAAACACTTCTTCTGAACCATGTCTTCATGTATATCATGCTCAATATTATATTAGCATATAACTTGGAAGTCATTTCTGTTCTTTCGTATCTCAACACAAGCAGATAAAGACATATCGCCAGTTTTATTATTTTTATTTCAAATAGATGTCTTGTCACTTTCTAAGGTCTGTTCTTCAAATGAGGAATTATAAAGAAGAATCTCAGAAACGAGCATTTCAGTTTTAGGAGACTAAGGAGGATCAGACAGGCCAGTGCTGAAAAGGAAACCATCACACAGAGATCTTGTTGATTATCCTAGCAAATCTCTCTTTTCATTTTACTTTTCTTCTTTGGTTCGAAGATTCTCTCTAGAGGCAGAAGGGAGGGCTGTACATTTCAAATTATTTTTAGGTCTTTGATTAACTGTGCCACCAGACCCCAGGTGACTATTAATATACTAGTAAAGGCGGTTAAAAGAAGACCTGAGGTCATTCAGTGAGTGAAAGAAGCAAAATTGAAAGCATGAGTTTTGACCCAGTGATATGATCTTTCTAGTAGACCACATAGTAGAGGCAATCCAAAAGGGGGCAAATGGGAATAAGGGACACTATCTGCACAAAAGGTTAGAAGACAAAGCTACTCAGCATGGAATTCAGAATTAAAATGAAAGAACTTACCTAGTGAACTTTCAATTCAACCATATCTCAATAAAGCTCAATCCTATTATAACACAGCACACGATTATAAGGCTACAAATGTACTGCAGAGAAAATCCTGTGTCTTGAAAAATAAAAGCTCAGTAAAACAAAAGCCAAAATAAAAAAGCTATCAGTTATGCTTCTCAACATGAGTTTTATAAAGCGGTGCTGCTGTATTAAATTTTTGTCTGTGACCAAAAGAAAATTTCTTGAATAGCAAATGCTCCATAAATGCTTGTCCAATTGAATTATCTAATTGGCTAATGTCAACTTTTTAATATTTAAGGATCACTGGGGATTATACATTGATTAGCTAACAAGTACTTCTTATCCAGAGAAAACTGGAAGCTCATGCCATAGCTTACTAGGATTTTTGCAAGAGGAGACAAACAGTCATAAGATTGCTGTTAATTATGTTTCCACTTCTCATGAATTGTTTACTTTTATTATTTACCTATGTCTTGAATGGTATTGAAGCAAGCCATGTAAGTCCCTTTGTCAACTGCCAGAAGTATAATTCTCTACAATTAATCAGTAAAAAGAGAATTAAGCATTGCTTCTTTAGAATTAGGAAAAACCTGCTGCTGATAAATTGAATGCATTAAGAAATTAACATACCAGTAAATGATTGATCATTACAATTATCTGAATTTGCATTTCTAGAATTTCACTGAAAGAACTCAAAATCATTCTTTTAAGATATTTTTAGCTATGTTTCCCAACTGGATGAAGTATAAAAGAGATATCCTGCTTATTATTATAATGATAAGTTCAAGAGTCTTTTAAACATGTTCACAACTGGACATTAAATAAATTAATCCAATATATTTTAAAATAGGAACTCATACAAGGGTTTAGGGTTTACCAGCTAATTTTTTTTATTATCTACCCTGATGTATAAAAGAAAAATTCATCTGTATGTCATGAATCACAAAGGCTTGTAAGCCACCCAACTACTAAGCATCCTGATTAAAAAGCTGGAGAAGAGCAGGCCACTTAAATAAAAATTATTTGGCAGATGCAAACATCTCTATACAGGCAGCTCATAAAAATATTACTGAGGAGTAAATAAAATAGGGCAATATCATCTAAAATATACCATTCTCACTCAGAGCTGAAAGTAATAGCTTTTGTTTGAGGACAAACAACAACAACACTAATAATAAGTATTGATAACAATAAGCAATATTGAAAGATAATTATGTGCCAGACATTATTTTAGTATTTTGTTGGTTTGCTTTACTTAAATAAATATTTACCACCTGGTTAGTGTGTCCTAGGCAGTGTTCAAACACTGGGACTCAGCAAAGAACAAAATACAAAATTCCTTGCTCTCACAGAACTTAATCTAGTATGAAAGACAGAAAACAAATGAATACAATAAAAATATACTAATAAGTATAAATGTATAGTTATACATATTTGAACGTATAGTACAGTAAATATGTATATAGAAATATAAATAAATATGTAAAGCATAAAGAGAAATAAGCAAAATAGTATGTCAGATGGTGATAAATAGGGTGACCATAATGTCTCAGTTTTCTCAGATAGTACTGGTTTATATGTGTGGTCTTAGTGTAATTACTCCTAGCACACCCTTTCACTCTAAAAAATGTCCCAGTTTAGACAATAAATCATATGGTCACCTAAATGATAAGCACTATGGAAAGAAAAAAGCAGGAAAACAAATGTGTTGGAGGAGGGTTGTAATTTTCAATAGCGTAGTCAGGGAATGCCTCTCTGAGAAGGTCACATCTGGGTAAGAACCTGCATCAGGCAAGAGACCGAGCCAGGTCCCTATCCAGGTAGATATCAAGGGAAAGAACATTTCAGGCAGAGGGAATAGTGATTGCCTATATTTTTCAGAATCACAACAGAATGGTTGTAACAGAATGGTTGAGAAAGAGAGTAGCAGGAGATGGAGTCACACATGGAAAGGGAAGCCACATTATGTAGGTCTGTGTCCTCAGTGAGATGGCGAGCCATGCCAGGTTTTGAGCAGGGAAGTGATAGGCTTTGGGCTTTAAGAGTATCACTCTGACTATTGTATTTTGAGTAAATTGTAGGGGTGTAAGAGCATAAAAGGAGAGAAATCAGTCAAAAGCCTATTGCAAAAATCAATATGAGAACTGATGGTGGCTTGGACTAGGGTAGTAGCAAAAGAGGTGATGATAATTAGTCAGATTTTGGATATATTTTGAAGACAGAGATGACAAGGTTTGATGGTAAAATGGATGAGGTCACGAATCATATCAAGGTTTTTGATATAAATATGTGGACATAAGAGTTGCCAGAATCTGAGACAGAAAAAGTCGGAGGAGCAGATTTTGAAGGGAGGGTCAGGAGTTCTGTTTTGAATATTGTCTCAGCTTGGTTTTCCCAAAAAGCAGACAGTGAAAGAAGGGATTGTGTGTAGGAAGTAAATTTTGGAAAGTGATCCCCAAAATAAGAATGGAGGATCAGTAAAAGTGAAATAAAGAAGTGAGGCAAGTCAAAGGGTGAGTTTTTGAGCTGGTCACAGCTGAGAGCAGCTGAAGCTTGATCTTACAGGGCACCCTCTGAAGAGCTTGTAAAATGCTTGGGAGAATTGTCTGCTCAAATACAAAAGAGGGAGGCAGTCATGAATGATTCTTTCTCTTCTAGATCAAGGGATGTCCCATGATGTGTTAACCCTCTCACACTTCCAGGCTTGCACATGCCTCAGAATGGCTGAGTGGGTTGCTACAGGCATTCCACATACAAGTAGCAGAAAAGGCAGGAATGAGAGCTATCTGATGCAGTTGAAAAAAACGTGTTGTTAGTGTATATCTGCATGCAGCTAGTAGGCGCAGCAATAGCTGGAATAAAAAGGTGGGGTGAAAATGCGAGGTGAATCAGAGGTGTCCGATACAGATATGTTAAGTTTGAGATACGTATCAGACATGCAAGTGGAAATAAAAAATAACCAGCTGGATATATGAATCCGAATTTCAAGGGAGAGGTCAAAGCTGGTGATGTAAGTGTTTTCTGTATATAAATGATATTAACCGTATGAAAGAGGATGATCTGACCAAGGGAATAAGTGTAGCAAAGGTAAGAGAAGAGGTCTGAAGGCTGGATTCTCAGGCTGTCTGATGTTTAATAGTTGGGAGGATGAGAAGGATCCAATAAAAGAGAGTTAGAAGAATGGTCAGTAGGATAAGAGGAGGCTCAGAATATGATATCTTGAAAACCAGGTAAAGAAGAAACAGTGAATGATCAGCGGTGTCAAATGCTGCTGAAAGGTCAAGATGAAAACTAAGAATTGACCATTGAATTTAGCACCATGGAGACCTCGGTGATCTTGACAAGAGCTAAGTATTTCAAGAAACTCTAAGAAAAATCATTAACCTAAATGTTGCGTTTCCTGCAAATAGTGGTAGGGAATGAAATAAGAAAGACCACGATGCAAAAATCAAACGCTGAAAAATGTCTGTAAGTCTGAAGATTGACAAACCACCTTAATGAGGTAGAAGGAAGGAGAAAACAATAGTCAGATGGTATGAACTTTAAAAGAAGTGAAGCTGTAAAACTGAAAAAAAAAAAAAAACTAAAAAGAAGTCACTCTGAGTAGACTTAGTTGTCAAATAATCCAGTGAACACCTTGGAGTAAATTGGTTATCATTGAGTAAATTATTTTTGGCTCAGTTAATTCAGCTAGTTAGTTCATAGTGTTAGAAAGAGAGAGGTCAATAATTTGATCTTCACCCTAGACAGCTCATCTGGCAAAGGAAAGAACACTGTCCCTTGGCCATGGCATACACTTCGGTCTTGCACAGCAATCTTGCAAATTATATTGGCCTAATGCTAATCATAGTGGATCCCTGACATTAAGTGCAGAGGGCTCAGGGTATACCATTCCCTATTAACTAGGAAAACCATGCAGATATTTCTAATTGTATGTAAAGAGCATCAGCTCTCATTATAGACCCATTTGAACACCAATGACTATATTTTATGAATGCCTTTCTACATATACATTACAGTATATTGATTAAGGGCATGATACTTAGTGTCCAGTAGACATATGTTCAAGTTTCAACTGGGCTGTTTACTATAACCTCCTTCTCCATGCCTCAATTTCATAAATTGTAAAATGGGGATTAGAAATGTGGCTAAATATTACAGGGTTATTTTAAAGGTTAAATGAGATCATGCTTAACACAGTGTCTGACACATAATTAAAGATGAGCTATTATTGTTCTTTAAAATGGGTAAGCACGAGGATTTACTTGCTGAAGTATAATGGTTTACAAGGTCCCATCCTGCTGTCGTTGTTATTCTAGAAGCATTTTTCTGTAACAGCTTTCAACTTCATTTTAAACTTGGGAACTCACCAGAGACTGATTTTTGTTTTGTTTCAGCTGTTCAGAAGTCACCTATGAAGTTAAGCCTCTTATGTGGATTAAGTCAATGGCAATATTGATTTATACTTTTTATGAGCTACCAATTCTAGTTATCCTAACCTTTCAAGGAAGAAAAAAAATCCCTTGGAAGATTAGAAACTCTTTCATTCTCACTCTGAGTAGACTTAGTTGTAAAATAATCCAGTAAATGCTTAGTTAGGAAGGCCATCTGTATCATAAAGAGCAATATTTCCATTTATTCAAACTACAACATCAATAGAATCTGCCTCCCATAATCTAGCAATAAAGGACACTGTTTGGACTAATTTGTTCAAAATTTTAACAGTTCCTGAACTTCACAATAAAATGATCCACTAGTATGTACAGAATTTTTAATAAATATGGCTATGTAATGATAGTAACTGAAGTAATAGTTGTTGGTAGTAATTGGATCATAAAACCTTTCAAATGAGTTTGTGGCATGAAGGCAACAGAGAACGTGATGAAGAACACTATGGGGAAAGACTCATCTGCTGTTGAAGATTCACTAAAACTCCATTTATGGGGTCAATGCCATCAGGATGTATTAGAGGGAGCACAAGATCTACTGCTGAGCTATTTTGCATAAAGTTTACATAATCTACAGTGTACAAAAGCCATGATGCTTTAACAAGTTGTAGTCAAGCAAGACTCTTCTAAACCAACTGATTAATGTGCATAAAAAAGATAAATGTTAGGAATTTTATTTTAATCAATACTCTTTCAGGGTTTAAAAATTGTATTATCTGATGTTAATTGTGTATTTTTGTTGTTGTTGTTGTTGTTGTTTTTGAGACAGAGTTTCACTCTTGTTGCCCAGGCTGAAGTGCAGTGGCACGATCTTGGCTCACTGCAACCTCCGCCTCCTGGCTTCAAGCGATTCTCCAGCCTCAGCCTCCTGAGTAGCTGGGATTACAGGTGTCTGCCACCATGCCCAGCTAATTTTTTGTATTTTTAATAGAGATGGTGTTTCACCATATTGGCCAGGTTGGTCTCGAACTCCTGACCTCAGGTGATCCACTCACCTTGGCCTCCTAAAATGCTGGGATTACAGGCGTCATTTTTATCAGAGACATTCTCTAGAAGATTTGAACTGAAAACAATTCTCCAGTGTTTCATAGCAGCTTAATTGGAGGTATTACAACTGTAGTTACCATGATAGGACTAAGAATTTTGTTAAACCTGTTTCCACTATTGCTCTATTTCTATACCATGAAGTTACAGAGCAAGGGCATGGGAACTTAAGATCCTCAACAAAGTCCGACTGGCTGGTGTGGAGATAGGATTCTCCCTTATTCCTATGTATAAAGTTCCAATTCATTCTGTTATTTACAGTGACACAACTTACTAGATCCTAAGTATGAAGAGAAAATCTCTCTCTGAAAATGGCTGAAACTGGCAATCTGTGTGTTAAAAGCATCTGTGAAAGGATTTGACAATCAGGAATAATTCTTGTGTCCTGGCACTTTTCAGAATGATTTATGTATACAATTTCCATTGATCCTCTGCACCACAGCGAGGAAACATCCTCACTTTACATAAGTGGAAACAAAACGTTGTAAAAGTTATCTCATTATAAGAAAAAAACTGTTGAGCACTTACTATATGACAGGGTTTATAAAAGTAAATAAGGCATAGTTCCTGACCTCAATAAGTTTACAGTCTAGGTGGAGAAACAAACAAGCCAATTACAATTCATGGTGATTAGTGCTACAGTAGTAATAAGTACAGACTGCTGTAGGAGTATACAGCAGGAGCATCCACCCAAGATTGCACGGCACCAAGGCAGGCTTTCCAGAGCAAGTAGTTTCTAGGTAGAGACTCTAATGGAGACTCACAGGCTGAGAAGTACCTAGCCAAGTAAAAAATTAGAGGACAATCCCATTACAAATTGATCCACTTTATTGTTCCTTCCCCTAGAGGGGAAGAATGGGTTTGGAACAGTGTTTCAGTCAGAGATGAGAGCTGGTGCAAATGTACCCAGGAGTATAGCCAAATTTGGATCAATAGGAATAATTTTATCAGATCCAAAAACATAAAAGAAATGAGGTGCCATGCCTTTAAGATTGGTAGGGGTATAGCTGAATGGCATGTACCATGAAGTAGGTTTAGTATTTTATTGAGGCTTGTTGGTTTTTAACATAGGGTAGAGGAGTCTTAGTGCTGTAGTAAAGAATTTGGTTTGTAGAGCATAGGATAATGAAGAGTAGGCTCCAAAGGCACCCTTGATGGAGAAACAGTGGCCTCAGGGGAAAGCCATCCTTGAGGCACATTGAAAAGTGAGAGGAGCCATATGAGAGGGTTGCAGGGGAAAGGGGGCCCAAGGCTTCATTTATTCAACTCAATTCATTAATTCATTCAGGAAATATTTCCTAAGCACTTATTCTGTGATGATACTGTGCTAGGCTATTAAGTAAAAGAGCAATTTGAACCCAAATTGCTATTAGTTCAGTATTCTTTCTATTATACCATCATGAATAATTAAGCAACAAATACATCAAAACAAAAACAATCAACTTTTTAATTCAATTTACTAAATGTTTGTTAAATACTTGACCTATTACGTGCAAAATATTGCACTGTATCAAAGTATCTACTTACTGGTTAATGGTTGTTGGTTATACTCCATGCTCTCTAAGAGGAAAGGACCAGTGGAATTTTAGTAAAATGTGCTTAGTACTAAATACTGTCAAACACTAGAAAATGGTAGAAATTTCCTGATGCCTTCAAAATCAGTGATCAACAAATAGGTATTGAATACTTCTTTTGGAAATAGTGATTGCTGAGTTGAACTCTGGTGAGACTTAAGTATAAGTAGAATGAAAGTTTATGTAGAATTATAATAATGTAGGCAGTAAAAAATCAACACACTATCACAAAAGCTTGGTGATAGGGCTGAAATAGAATCAAATTTTATGTAATTTTTAGCTGGGTAGGCTTAGTGTGGTCCTGCCTGAAAGGTATGTTCTCTCAAGGTCCTTGACAGCCTTGTGATTCAGTTTTAAGTGCTATGAACTTTGGTTCCGAACCTGAGTAATAAAAACTGCATAATTGTTTTCCTTTTATAGTTCCCATGTTTTAAAGCTTTATTTTAGTAAAAGTGCACGTGTTTTACCAAAAGAATGACTGTGAAAAGTCTGTTTAGTTTGTTAAAAAGGCAACTTTCTCAAGACACTCTTGTTGAATTCGGATGTCATGTAAGATTATAAATTCTACTGTGACAGACTTCACAGTATTCTTATGAAGTCACAATTCTAACAACATAGGCTTCAGACTTTATATTGAAATGTACATTTTAATCCCACAGTACATAAATACATGCAAATAAAAGTTTCAAATATACATTTTGAATCATCTTATTAGTACAGTGCAGCCACAATTAATAAAAAAAACCACAGAATAAAAAGTAGCCTTGTTTAATTGGAATATCTACATTTCCATTCACCCCAGTAGTTGGCATTGATAAAAATGAGACAAATATCAAAAATACAAAGCCACCTCCAAGCTTTTAGGTTCTCTTCATTTCTACATTGAGGCCATTCTTCAATGGCTTCTATATCTATAGTCTAGTGCAATGAAAGTGGAAGCAGCTGACCAGAATAACATCCTTCTGTGTATACAAACAATGTTCTAAACCAATTCCACATCCAAATGCAATTCTACAAACCAAGGAGTGGTATAAAGAAGACACATGTATTTTAGAAAGCCTTTAGCCAATAAATTTTAGACTAACTCTTGTTAACTGCAAAGGGTTATGAACTTGGACTTCAGTTGTGTAATTATTTTATCTAAACTTGATTTTTATGTTATGACAAAACATCATTTACTAAAACTACCACATACTTTTCTATGAAAAGTTAAAATATATATATATATATATATATATATATATATATAACAATCAATGTGACAAATAGGGAAAATTCTAATTTGAGTCTCTTTCCAACTTAATTTACCAAAAGAAAGTGCTGTTATACATTTAATAAATTAATTTGTTCAATAAATATTCACTGAATACATATTATGTGCCAAATACTGTTCCAAGCTCTAAAGTAAATTATAAAATCATGGTGGCAGAATGATGGTACAGCCAGCCCGCTTGTAGCTTGTACTTTTAAGTTAAATTGATCAGGTATGTTCCCTGGTCCATTGGCCAGATGCTTTGGTACTGCCAATCATATTGCAGATTCGAAAGAACACACTGACTAAATATCCTGGCTGTGTGTTATGGTTAGAATGCTTCAGAAATCAGGTTGATTGTCCTCTATCCTAGAGGTAGTCTGAAGGAAACCAATAAGAAACATAAAGCTTGCCAACCACTAGCACTTGACAAGCATACCTGGGGCTTAGAGTATGTGGGATGGGAAGCTGCAGGAGAAAAAGGAGCATAAGCATCCATGTTTGAATGTTAGTTGCTGCTCCATATAACATCTCTTCTGTTTTGCCTTTCCATTATCATATACTAGTACATCTTGCTTAAGAAAATGCAATCAATAGAAAAAAATTAGAGAACAACCCCATTACAAATTGATTCACTTCACTGTTCCTTATGTATGGGGTGTGTGTGTGTGTGTGTGTGTGTGTGTGTGTGTATGTGCATCTGATTACTAAATATATGACATTAGTATGTATATGTATTCATATAAAACATACAATAAAATTCTGCATTTCTTGTGACCATCTCATTTATCAAAACCACAGATTACTTTTTTCAAGTCAGTGAAGGTAATTTTTGACCATATTTATTGAATAATTTGAGACACATTAGCATTCAGCCTGGTTGTATGTCAATGTGATAATTTTTTAAGTGTTCTTGAAACTTTGGACTTCAACCATTAATGAGAAGACATAATTGGACTTTAGTAGTGAAGCCTTATAAATATCTCAGTTGAAGCTTGAGAAATAAATCTTAACTCAAACCTTTAAATTTCATGAAAGGTTTGGGTGTGTCCTTATTAATTATTTTTGCCTTTGAGCTTATTTCTAACTGCTTTCTTCCATGACATAAAAGACACAAAGGGTCATTTCCTCTAACAGTTTGACTCTGGTGTAACAAAACTAAATACTTCATGTGTCACAAGAATGACTGGCACCAAAATAGCACTGCATATGGCTCAGTTTATACTGGTGGGACAGAAGAATTCTCATCTTTTGGTATAAATGCTTCAAATGAGAATATTGTCAAGGTCTCAAGGGATTCAAAGTTTATCTTCCGTCACCTCTAGACCCTTTCAGAATTATAATGAGAAAAAAGTGTTGAAAATAAACAGAACTTATTTGTATATGGAGCCAGTTCTGCATCACAGATGACCAAAAAAAGCAGAATAACAGTTTGCTGACAGGATGATTTCCTGACAGGACATGTTGGCATACCTCATGGTTATGCCTTTGCAGATATTTAAAACTGCTTTTGACTGTTAATATGAAATATTGCTACATTTCAAAATGCCATTTCTGAATCTTCCTCAAATCCTTGTAATAAAAGAGAAGCAGCATGTAATTTGGATATAGTTCCAATAAATCCTATGAACTGAAACCCTCCGAGGTTCCCTGTCATCTACTGAATCAAATCCATGTCTTTTCACTTCACTCTTTAGGTTTAGCAACTGATTCCTTCTATATTTCACTAACTTTCCTTTTACATCATTCTTGAACAGTCCCGCTACTTCAGCCATGTTATCTATTGTGTTAGCCATGATATCTATTCAGATTATCTTACTGACCCGTGTCTCTGCCTCTTTGTGTTAATTATATAATAAATGGGTCCTAAAGTATTAAAAGAAAAAAAGACAAAGCTCTTTTTCCCAGTCTTCACAGTCCCATGAATATGTATCCCCTTTGATCCTGCCCAGTAGCTGAAGTAATTTAAAAGGAGGAACAAAATTATGTACCCCAAAAACCAGTTGCTTTGTTTCCCAGGGGACAATCATCTATGTGACACTTAGCCAGGGAGTCAGTCTTTTCCTTCTGATATTATGTAGATCCTCAAAAGAAATACACAATTCCATTTGGTGAAGAGTTATTTAAGAAGAAAACACTAGAATCAATTCTCATACTATGGTACAGTTTTTAATCTAGATTTAGGAAGAAGCAGCAAAGGGTTGAACATAGAATTGAGCAAAGTGGGCTCAGAGATAGACCACAGAAATAGAATGAATGCGCAGAGGCAAGAGCTATTTTCAGACTGAGATCAAAAAGTCATGTAGCCTCAGAAGCAGCAAGACCAAAGAATTTTGAAACTGACCTAGCTTTTCCTAGCTAAAGAATGTCCACAAAGAGACGTGATGGTCAAAGGTAAAATTACATTTGTGTAATACGTATGTAGTTAGCTGTAATTGTATATTGTTTCATAAAGTTAATTTAAGAATATATATAGCAAATTATTTAAATCAAATTTAGCCCTACTAGGTGACTCCTACCATTTGGTAATAAATTGGTATCTAGGAAGTGATGGACTGTCACTGACTGTGGTTACCTATACTCCTAGCTAACTGATGAAGGGGAAAGAGGGAGTTTTACAGAAATGATGACCTTCAAAAAGATGCCTGAAGGTGCAACATCTACACTGCACCACTATAAACCTCCCTCCTCCATTTATCCACTTTTCTGGCTTCTTTCCCTTCTCCAATACTGGGTTCCAGACTTACCTGTACAATATATACATTCATACTCATCAGCAAAATTTGTAAAATCATTTATATGAAGGGATGTGTTGTATAAATGTTTATATAAGGAAATATTACCTCTCTTGTTAGAAACAAAACCCAGACCATCTGTGGTTTTGGCACTAAGTGGAAAACTTCCTAGTTGATGGTGACAGTAGTAAATCAAGATGACATAATGGCAAGGGAGGGTGAAATGTAGGGGCAGAGTTTACTGCTTGGTTGCCTCCCACCACCATGATAATTATCTTTACATCACAGGGTTGCAAATAAGGACTAAATAAAAAATATATGCAAGCTCAGTTAGCAGAGTACTTGGCACATAGTGGTCAACAATATTTATTGTCATTAATGTTCCCACATCTCCATCTACAGTTCCACCTCACCTGAGCTCTAGATAGGCATGTGCAATTCTGTTTTGGCCTCGTCAAAAACTTACCTCACTACTCATCTGAAGCCTTTGACTTGATTCACACTTTCAGCACATAACCCTGTCTCTCATTTTTCTTGGGTGAGACCATCAAGTCATAAACTACTTTAACTTCTCACCACTATATTTTGTAATTTACTTCCTGTCTTAGAGGATGCAGTGAACATTCCCCTTTCAAAGCCTTTCCTTCCAACTGAGATCCAGAAACATTCTCCAGTTGAGCCTTATGGCAATAAACTCATCTACATTCACTTGCACTCACCCTTCAAATCCTTGTGAGTTGGCATCTTTCTCTAATATTATTGAATATTATTGAAACTGCTTATTTTAAGGCAGTGGATCCCTATCTTGGATGCACATTGGCATCCCCCAAGGATATTTTTTTTAAATGCCTGAGTCCCGCCCACTGGAAATTCTGATTTAATTGGTCTGGGGAACAGTCTTGGAATTGAGGTTTGTAAAACTCTCCAGATGATTTTAATGTCCAGTCAAAGTGGACAATCTCTAGTCTAAAGTCAGCAATGACCTTCTAAACTGGCTGTGTTACTGTCTATTATTTGACAATATTAGTTACATCTTCCTGCTGAAAAGTCTCCTCCTTTGGCTTATGTGATACTCATTCCTTTTTGTTCTTCTATGACATATCAAGACCACTTCATTGCTTCTGCCCACTATTTTAAATTCAGTGCTTCTGAGGGTAAGATAATTGGCTCTCATTATTTCTGATTGTATGTATTTTCACTGGTCATCTCTTTTACTCCCGTAGTTTCATAGAATAGAACCACCTATTTCTATTTCTAAGAAAAATTACATTGGGATTTTGATAGGGATTACATTGAATCTATTGATCACTTTGGGTAATATGGACATTTTAGCAATATTACATGTCTCCAAACACATGCATAAACAGATACAACACACGCGCACGCACACACACACACACACACACACACACACAGACACCATTTCTTTAAAATTGATCTAAATTTACAGCAGTCTATCTGTCCATAGTAGTTATGACAGTGGGCTCTAATTTCAGACTGCCTGGGTTCCGATGCTAGTTCTATCACTTACTACCTCTGTAATATTGGGCAAGTTACTTAGCATCTCTGTGCTTATTTTATTCATTGTAAAATGGGTATAATAATGATCCCAACCTTATAGCATTGCTGGGAAGATTAAATAACAGAATCCATTTAAAGTGCCTTACTTCCGGTCTGTTGTTGCATAAATGCTAGATATTTCTCTCATAATCAATGTCACCATGCCCTAGGCAGAATACACGGCATGGTTCTAGCTTCTAGACCCCCATGGTACTTTACATATACCACTATTATCACATCAATCATATTGCATCACTATTGCTGATTGACATGTACCTTCCCAACTGTACTATGAATTTATTGAGGGCAAAGATTGCTTCTTACTCACCTATAAACTTCATAGTTTAACAAAGAACTTTGTACAGATAAGCAAACCAAAGTTTAGAAATAGGTTTTGTCCTTTTTCAACTCTAATTGATTGACAATGCTTGCGTGAAATGCCATTTTGAAAGGGATGTGAGGCTGAAGCTGGTCTCAACAGGGGAAAGAGCATCATGATTAATTAGGGATGTCTTCCATGGGACAAATAGAGGGAGCAGTGGCACAAGTGTCATGGACATTCCATTCCAGTTTTAGATGCTGTGTAAGTAAATACTTATTGAATGAATTTTCATGAACAAATGTTACTAGTTGAAAGACATGAGCCAATTAGAGTTATTGTTAAATAACTTGGCTAATTTCTCTTACAGTCTAAGTTCTTTCAGAGCAGTCATTATGGATTTTGTGCTAGAAACTTGTGACATCTAGAAGCATAGTATGCTCACAGCAGACAATTCATTAAATGTGATCAAATTCTGCTGAAATTTTCATTTCATAGGTTTTGCCACATTAATATTACACCTGCCATCTGTGATCTTTGCCATGTAAATACAGATCCTGAGATTAAGAGTTCTTTCAAGGATTTTGAAGGAACTGATATCTAAACTGTCTACATATAAGCAAACAATCATTTAAACTACTGCTAAATGCCTGATATAAGAATAGAGAAATGCACTTCTCAAATTTTGAGGGCAAAGACTGCACAGGTGGCAGTGCTGCTTAAGCATTTTTCCCTGTGGGATGAAGTGGCTTATCATACTGGGGCAAAAAGAGAGAAAATCATAGTCACTAGGGTACATTTATTTCAAGATTAACTTCATTTACCTAGAACAGTACCTGGTACATAGTTTACATTAAATAAATGCTGATGCATAAGTGTATAAATGAACAAATGGACGGATGGATAGATGGATGGATGGATGGATGGATGGTTGGATGGATGGATGAATGGATGACAGATAAACTTTGCTTCCATGTAATCTTGGCAAAAAAAAAAAAATTGGCAGTTTGGGCTGGGCATGGTGGCTCACACCTGTAATCCCAGCAATTTGGGAGCCTGAGTCGGGCAGATCACTTGAGGTCAGGAGTTTGAGACCAGTCTAGCCAACATGGCGAAACTTCGTCCCTATTAAAAATACAAAAATTAGCAAGGTGTGGTGGCACACGCCTGTAATCTCAGCTACTCAGGAGACTGAAGCAGGAGAATCGCTTGAACCTGGAAGGCGGAGTTTGCAGTGAGCCAAGATCATGCCAATGCACTCCAGCCTGGGCGACAAAACTCCAACTCAAAAAAAAAAAAAAAAAAAAAATGGCAGTTTAAATTTTTTTCCACCAGATGGCAATAATGTGAGATATAGGTTTAGGTTGTAATCCTGAAGAGAAAAACAACCAACCAACCAAACAAAAATGCTATTCGGAGAAAAAGAAGCGTTAAAAGAACAGATTTAGATGACAGAAATGAAATGTTTGTGTCATCTGTAATACCTTAGGAGTCTATGACCTTGTGAGACTTGTATCAGGTCCTCAACATACCTCCTTTTTATGCATGGATGACTTCTCATTCATAATTACTTTGCAGTAAAATGGAGATATTCAAAAACTAATCTTATCTATATAAAATTATTGGCCAATTCACACAACTAAAATTATTACCCTTGGTATATATATCTCCATGCATTTATATTTTCATTTTTAATACTAATTTCTTAGTTAATTGATGCCTCCCTTGGATGTGAGGCTGCTTGGGAAAAATAGCTAGCCTGTGTGCCTCTAGGAAATCTTCCCCTGCTATTCAACCTGCCAAAAGTCATATGAAATAAGCCTGCCTAGGGCTCATTCATCCTGTTAGCAAAGAATTGTGAATAATATTATATTAGTGTCCATCCCTTAATTCAAAAGCTTTTGGAAAATAAGAAATTCAGTTTTAGAGTCCAGCATTCCACATATACATGGAGTAGGGCACTGCTGTTTTGGAAAATAAAGATAATATGAACATATCTTCAGCTGGTATAGAGTATTTTCTCTTATTAATACTTCTCAAAACAAGTCTTCAATTGGATAAAACATTAACTTCCCTAAAAAGTGGAAATAAGCAGACTCAGGAATATTTCATGGTAAATTATAGAGCATATCATCTGCCCTTTTCTAATGATAATCAGAATGAAAAGGCGTTTAACCTCCTTATAAACGCTTGGTCACTGGAGGCTGGCAAGGTTGTTGAAGAAAATGAAGGGAAACTAACATTTTTTGAATTCCTGAAGATCATCACTCTCATGATGGCATTCAATACTTATCACAACCTCCTGACATAGGTATGGAAGACAGTGTGGTATAGTGAAGAATGGGGGCTTTAGAGCCATCGACTTGATTTCTGATCCTAACTCTCACCTCTCCTTTAGCTGTGCAACCTCTGGCAAGTTATGTCTCTCCAAGCCTCAGTTATCTCATCTGTAAACTGGGGATAATAGCGCATACCTCATCAGGTGTTTATGAGGAGCAAATGTAAAGCACCTTGCAGAGTGCTAGAATAGAATAGGTACAATTCCAAATTTATCATTATTATTGTGATGATGGTGATGATGATGAAGTCAATTTTGCAGAAGAAAAAGCAGATTCAGAGCTGAAGTATCTTGCTTAAGTTTACATAACTAGTAAACTTAAAAGGCATCTAGTACCGTACCTGGTACCATAGCAGGTGCCCAATCAACATTTTGTTTGCATTCATCCTTCCTGATCTAAAACTCAATTATTTTTTGAGATCTTCTTCCTTTAAAATAATGAGTTAGGCTCAACTTTACCTTGGTTGATGCAAGATTCAACTACTGACATACATTTGCAAAAATTAAAAACATTTTTTTCTGACTCACAGGTGGTAATACATGGACTAAGACAATAAAGAGGATTCCAGATCTTACAAAAAAAGATGATAATTAGGCCCACTATTTCGCCTAACATAAGATAAGTCATTTCTCCTTCAAAGGGGTACATATTTTCCCTCCTAGGTGTCTCTACTGATTGGCAGTCAGTGGCAGATGAGATACTGTTTCCAGACTTTTAGTTCCCGGGTCTGTATACTTTATTTTATATAAGTCAGTGCACTGAAGGATGGTGCTGGCTAAAAATATAAATTGGTTCAAAATGTGTTTATGTCAGTTCATGGATGATAGATTCAGGTTTTTGTCCTTGGCCTTTTTCTAGTCTCAACCTTCTATACACTCTCCCTGGGTAATCTCATCCATCCCCTGGCATCTCTATTCTGAGACACTGATGAGCTCAAATCTACTTATAACAACAGCCCAGATCTGTTCTGAATCCTAGACACACTTTTCCAATCGCTGATGGGAAAAGCTACCTGGATGTCATACCAGCATCTTAAACTTAACATGTCTAAAAAGAAACTCATTTTCCCTTCCAAACCTGCTCCTCCTGCTGTGTTCCTTCTCTTGGTAAATTAATCACTATTCTCTCAGTTTCCCAAACTTAAAACTTTAAAGTCATCCTTGACTCTGTTATTTCCTTCAACCTCAACCAGTAATCAATTATGAGGTTCTATCAATTCGAACACACTTATATCTCTTGAGTGTGTCTCTTCATCTCCACAGACATTGTTTGGACCTCTAATGCGATTCTTAGCTCTAGCCTAATTCAGTGGCCTCACAGATTTTTCTCCCTGCATCCCATTATTTCCAGTTGCAATCAATCTTCTACACTGCTGCCTACACTTCTACAATTCCCCTGTATACACTTCTTATCCTAAAAATTACAATTGATCATGAAATTCTCCACTAATTGAAAGCTTTCTTTTCTGATGCTTAAAGGGAATTTTAAAAAACTCCTAAATTGGGCATGCGCGACTTCACAATCTGGCTCCAACATTCCTTGCTCTAGCCATATTGAATGTTTCACCATTACAGGCCTTCTTCAGAGCTGTATACTTTGCACTTGCTTATCTGCTCTCTAGGAATGTCCTTCTGGTAAACTTTTATTCAAATTTTAACTTAGATCAAATATCACCTTTCTATGTACTCTGATTCCTCTAAAGAAGTTAATTGTTTCATTCTGTGTACTTCCACAGCACCTTTTTTATCTGTAAAACCACTTCATACATTTAATTGCAATAATGTGTTTTGAGTGTCTATTTTCTCCACTGCACTATAAGTTTCCTGCAAGCAGTCATCTCCATCCTCAGCATTGGCTTCAAGGTCTGACACATATTAATTTGTAAATAAAAGCTTATTGAATAAAAAGAATCCGTTGAAAGGACGTTAGAATGACATCATAGAGACAAACTTCCCTCACCCCAAATTCCTTTTGATGAAACTGCACAGACAAAATCTGAGGCTGGCCAGCTCTTTATACTGACTCAGCATAAAATTGCTTATGTTTTTAGAACTGTCACCAGAATGCATTCTTATTTCTACTCACAATATATTAGGTCAACCACTCTACACCCTAAACCCACAACCCATAAATCACAATTGTAAATTCATCTTCTGTAAAGACAAACTTACAGATAAGTATTTTAATGAGAACTAGGCATTTCCTAAAGCCAAAAACATTTCCATAGGAAATAATTTCCCAATTGTCAGGCAGAAGAAGAGAATTATTTTAGAACGAACTTACATGATATTAACTGAAAAAAATGGGAAATATTAAAATGAATTCCTTGAAAAGAAAGATATAAAACTTTTACCAATTACGTTAAGGGATGAAAATGAGTAATATAGTTAACATCACAAATATTTAATGTATATTTGTTAGAATGAATATCTTAAATTTTGGCTCAATTTAAGGTTGTTTTTAAAATGTAAGATTCCAGTACTAATTAGAGTACTGTAATTTTCATTTGTAATAATTGCATTTGACATGGCAATATTTAAAGAATAGTTTTCAATGCATGATAAGCACTTATATTTCAGTTGATAGCAACTAATTCCTTAAATGAAACAATTATAAAGCATATATTATATGCAAAATTTTATGGAAAATAGAGATCTGTCATGATCCCCATCTTTATTGAGTATACAGTCTAGGAGAATATATATAACCATAAGAAGAGGTTAAAAAGAGGCCGGGCATGGTGGCTTATGCCTGCAATCCCAGCACTTTGGGAGGCCGAGGCGGGCAGATCACATGAGGCCAGGAGTTCGAGACCAGCCTGGCCAATATGGTGAAACCCCATCTCTACTAAAAATACAAAAACATTAGCCAGGCATGGAGGCGCGTACCTGAAATCCCAGCTACTCGGGAGGCTAAGGCACGAGAATCACTTGAGCCTACGAGGCAGAGGTTGCAGTGAGCCAAGATCATGCCACTGCATTCCAGCCTGGGCAACAGAGTAAGACTCTGTCAGAAAAAAAAAAGTAAAAAGAATGTATTTTCAAAGTTCACAGAGGAAGATCACCTACACAGTGAAACAGTGATGATGTTGGGGGTGATGGTGAGGCAAGGATTCAGTGGGAAAGGATGCTTGTAAGCTAGGCCTTGAAAGATGGTTGAATATGCATAAAGAGAGATAGCAGCAAATTGTATCCCAAGAAAGATGTAACAGCACAGCAAAGGGATTGAAAAGAGATGAGGTGAGATCCCGGTAGACCAGTAAAGAAACAAAAAACAGTCTAGGTGAGATATAATGAGAGTAATGATCATGAAAATGGAAAGGAGAAAATGGATTTGAGAGATGTAGAGATTAACTCTGCTGGATGAGGAAACTGATTAGATATAGTAAGTATGTGTGGTTGGGAGAATGGGAGCATCATTAACAGATGTAGGTGATACAAGGAAGATGAGTGGGATTAGGAGTGTTAAGATGATTGCTTCCACTTTAAATAGACTGGTTTAGAGGTGTCAGTGTATTATTCATTTGGAAATGCCGGGGAGGTTAACTGAAAATTTAGGACTAGAGTTTAGGAAGGAGGTTAGGTCTGAAGATAAATATTTGAAGGTCACTCAAATAGATGTGATCATTGAAGCCATCTGAGTAAAAATATTTCGGGGTTCAAGCAGTAATCTTCAATCTTGAGCAGGAATCAGAATCCCCTGGGGATTTGTTAAACCACAAATGGGTCCCACCCCCAGGGTTTCTGACTCAATATGTCTAGAGTGGGGCTGGAGAATTTACACTCTAAAAAAATTCTCAGGTTTTGCTGTTGTTGCTAGTCAAGTCCACACTTGGAGGACATAGAAAATTAAGTCTATTACTTTTTATCTCAGCATTAACTTATTCATAAAAAAGATAACTTGTGCCATCCGGGCGCGGTGGCTCATGCCTATAATCCCAGCATTTTCGGAGGCTGAGGCGGGTGGATCACGAGGTCAGGAGTTTGAGACCAGCCTGACCAACATGGTGAAACCCCATCTCCACTAAAAATACAAAACGTAGCTGAGTGTGGTGAGGCGCACCTGTAATCCCAGCTACTCAGGTGGCTGAGGCAGGACAATCGCTTGAACCTGGGAGGTGGAGGTTGCAGTAAGCCGAGATTGCGCCACTGCACTCCAGACTGGGCAACAGAGTGAGATTCTGTCTCAAAACAAGACAAAACAAAACAAAACAAAACAAAACAAAAAAACAAAAAACCTTGTGCCAATGTCAGTATCTTCTACGTCATTAAAATAGTGTCTAACACAGTTTATCTATCAATTGGAACAGGAAATCGTATTTCTACTAGTTTTTTGTTAGAAACTGTCTTGTCAATCCATAATTGAGAAACTAAGACTGCCCAAAGAATATGCTCCAAAATATGGCTATTGTAGGAAGGGTTCTAAAAAATTCTTACTTTCCTTTCAGACTCGGCTACACAATGTTTCTACATTACGGTGATAGACTTTCTGGAACCCTGTTTGGTGGTCTCCACTAACCTGCTAGCTTTGTCAGCAGCCAAATATTTATTTGAGACTTCTGTCCCATATAAGCAATGGCTTGAAAAGCACTTAGCTGTTTACTTTTCATCTTACTATAAATTATTTATCCTTCAGTCTATAAATGGCTATTTGTAGGATTACACAAATTTTGAATGCTCTGATAAGAGGACTGCAGCATCCAAATTCATGCATAATCCATAAAAAGCACATGTAACCTACAACCTCAGCTGGGCTGACATATGCAATAGATTCTCTGAGCATATATAAGCAGTGCGAATTATTAACCAGTTAACATTAGCAAATTTATTTTTGAAACAAAGTTTATGCACACAAGCATTCTCTAATGAGAAATAATATTTGTTATAAAGATCCAATAAAAACATACCTTGAGTAGATTTTTCTACTTCTTTCCTCTTTCTACTCTGGCTATTGTAATTCATCCTCAGCTCCTGGTTATACTCGTGCAGGGTCTCCCTGGAGTTGTATGACTGTCTTGGTTTTCTTCCATCTTCACTCTCATCAGAAGAACTGGTGTAAGCTAGATCCATTTCATGCTTGACTTTTGGTAGAGGCTGGTAGGGTTTGCAGTCAGTTTGCTCCATCTCTGATTAAGCAAGCTCAGTTTCATGAAAAAAAGGATGAGGAAGTCCTTTAATGCAAGCAGTCCTGGAAGAGAAAGGGAAAAACACAAGCCTTCTTAGATTTATCTTTTTGTGAGGAAATGCATCTGGCAGATTCACAATTGGTCCTGATAATACCATCAAAGGAGAGAAGTAAAAGACAAACTAGATGACATGAAGCTAGCCGGAGGCAATAATAACACTCTGTGTTACATGCATACATTGTCAAGCATTAAGGATTAAGCTGGAGGTTGCAGCATCAGAAAATACTCAAGGTAAAAGAGAGACAGCCTTCAAAAATATTTGTATTGGAATTCAAATAGAGGACAACGTTGTTCTATGGTGTGTGCGTGTTTTTAATGTTAAAATCAGTGGTTAGATTAAAAAACGTTATCAGATTTGAAAGTGGTGAGGAGTACAAAGATTAACCCTGCACATTCCACATTTGAAATGAAAACTGGTAAGAGAACTACATTCAGAAAGAACACATTCTTGCTTCTGGTTTAATATTACATTTAAGACAGGGGCTCTGAGTAAGGGAAGGATTCTGAGTGAGAGAGCTCATGGAATAAAGTATCCTTGAGGGGGACTGAACTCTTTGTGCTCATATTGTGGCTTTTGAGCCTCAGGCCTGCAGAGCATTCTTAATGAGTTAGGTGGTGGTAAATTTTTGTTCTTCATAGTACTGAGAGGATGTAAACACTTCTGGTGAGTATACTGGTACAGCAACAGCAGGATCTAAATCAGTTTTGGAAATAGCAATTTTAAACTTCATGATAAATCACCGAAAGAACCCCCTTTCCCCATAGAATGCTGAGCTAGGAGCCACTGAAGGTCTTAGGGCCAGTAGAGGCATTAACTGCTCTACTTAGCACGGAGAGTTTCGAGACGATCAAGTGTCATCTGAGATGTCAAAGTCCTCTGTAAATTTAAAAGCCCTGTAAAAATGTTCTTATTTTCATTCTTTACATTATTTTGTCATCACCATTTCAGTCCACTGTTGCAACTTTGCAACTTGGTCTTTTCATACAATGTTTAAAAATGTAGTTAGAAACCAATTAACTTTATGATTTTATTTTGCAGTGAAACTGACTCTTTTATTTTTCTTCAGCTCTTCACCATATGTATTTTCAAAGAAATCTATAGACATCCAAATGGTGGCTCCTCTATCATGTACACTATCTCATATTTTGGAATTCTTATTGCATTTATGCCAAGCACATAGAACACAGAAATCATTCAAAAAAGGCTTTTAGCTTTTCAAAGTATGATGTAGGCTGATTTTTATTGATCAATTTGATTGATTGATTGATTGATTGATTTAGAGACGGAGTCTTGCTCAGTCGCCCAGGCTGGAGTTCAGTGGTGCGATCTCGGCTCACTGCAAGCTCCGTCTCCCGGGTTCACGCCATTCTTCTGCCTCAGCCTCCCGAGTAGCTAGGACTACAGGCACCCGCCACCATGCCCGGCTAATTTTTTTTGTATTTTTAGTAGAGACGGGATTTCACCAAGTTAGCCAGGATGGTCTCGATCTCCTCACCTCGTGATCCACCCGCCTCGGCCTCCCAAAGTGCTGGGATTACAGGCGTGAGGCACCACGCCCGGCCTATGTAGGCTGATTTTTTAAAAAAGGCTTACACATTTGACTGATATATGTTTTAAATGGTTCTTCTTTTGTGGTATGAACAGTTTCACAAGTCAAGGTCTTCTTTTCCTAATCAAATGTGAAGGTCTTGAAGGCAGGATGTGAGTCTTAATGTCTCTTTATATCCCCCACACCGCTAAGTATTACTTTAGGCACACACGTAGTAGAAACTATTTAACTCCTGAACCTACAAACTGTGTATGGAGACACCTAGTTTGGTTTGAACTAATATGAGAGATGAGCATGCTTAAAGAGAAAGCAGCAGATATGAACATATACATATATATATATATACACACACCAATGATTCAACAACAATCTAATCTCACGCCAGTATATTGGCTTCATATACTGTCTACACACCCATAACTTCTCAGTTTATAGCTTCAGCATGGGTCTTGACCCTGAGCCACAACTTTGAATATCCAACTGCCTACTCAATATCTGTACTTGGGTATCTAAAAGATACGTCAAACACAGTATGTTCAAAAGTGAGCTCTTAATTCCCACCCCTTTCCAAACCTAATCCTTCCATAATATTCTTTATATTGATATTAATAGATGGCCACAAGGCTCTTCTGTTTGCTCAGGCCAAAGAACTTGAAGTCATTTTTGACTCCTGTTTTTCACATCCCACATGCAATCCATCAGTAAATCCTGTTGGTCTTGCCTTTGAAAGGTATCCAGAATCCAACCAGATCTCTTCAATTTCCCACTACCACATCAGTTCAAGCCATCATATCCCTCCTGGATTATTGCAATTGTTTCCTAATTGGTTTCCTTCTTACATTACTGCCCTCCACACCGCAGCCAGAATAAAACTAAGTCATATCACGTCTCTCCTTTGCTCAGAAGCATGTACCCTACTCTACCTTTGCTCATGTACCCTAGCTGCACTAACCCTCTTGCTGTTTGTGAAAACACCAGGCATATTTGTGCCTCACAGCCTTTGCAACCTCCCATAAAAAAATACCAAAAACTCACGCCTGTAATCCCAGCACTTTGGGAGGCCGAGGCGGGCGGATCACGAGGTCAGGAGATCGAGACCATCCTGGCTAACACGGTGAAACCCCATCTCTACTAAAAATACAAAAAATTAGCCGGGCGTGGTAGCGGGCGCCTGTAGTCCCAGCTACTCGGGAGGCTGAGGCAGGAGAATGGCGTGAACCTGGGAGGCGGAGCTTGCAGTGAGCCGAGATCGCGCCACTGCACTCCAGCCTGGGCGACAGAGCGAGACTCCGTCTCAAAAAAAAAAAAAAACCAAAAAATGGTACGTCTCGTCTTTCTTCTTGTCTTTCAAAGAACTTATTACCAAATTACACACTATATATTTTTTATTTATTTGCTTATCATCTGCCATCTGTCTCTGCCCACTAAAACATAAGCTCCATGAAGGGAGGCATTTTTATCTCTTCTATTCATTGCTATATGATTCAGAAAAAGCATAGTACCTTGCATATAGTAGAGACTTGGTCAATACATGTTGAATGAATAAATAAACAACTGTTGAAAACTCTCAAGAGGGGCTGGAGAGAACGTGGAAATGCATAAGACATAGTCTCGGCCCCTGAGGAACTCATAGCTTAATATACACAATAAGTAAACAACTCTACTACAAAGCAGAATGAAGTGGCTTGTATACACAAAAGACAAAAACAGTAATGTTTGAGCACTAAAGATGAAGATATTGGAAAAGGATTGCACTTGATTCAACTAGTTGTCACCACAACCATTGAAATTCCATTGAGCATCTATAACACCAGTTTTAATCTCTTTCTTCTTAGGTTTCCATAACATGATCTTCAGGAGATGCTATGGAAACCTAAGAAGAAAGGTGGACAGTTGTCTTACTTTGCTACAAACAGTGCAAATTGAGAACTGTACCAATAGCAGGCTTCCAGAGATGTAGTTTTACAGCCAAGGATTAGACTTTCACCCAGAAAAGGAAGCATCTATAAAATTCACCTAACGTCTAAACAGGTCTTTCCTTTCTACAAATGCCACAGCTTCCCCGGTCCATCCCATATCCAGCCACGTCTTTTCTTTTCATGGAACGCCGATGATTCATACAGCTTTAATCTAGCCCCGAGAGCTTTCTTAAGCTATGTGCACCTATTTCAACTGTAAAGTGGGCAGCTTTACTCGAAGGTCCCTTAGGTATGGCAAGTCAGTATTTCCTCCCTCCCAAAATGTGTTCATGTTCTCAAACTTCCCCATCTCTGTTAATGGCCACATTAGTAGTTCAAGTCAGAAACCTAGAACTTACCACTCCTCCATCCACACAAGCATCTAGCTAATTGCTAGGTCGCATTGCAATCTCCAGTCTCTCTCTTCCTTTCCATCCCAGTTGCCACTGCTTTAGCTCAGTCCCTCATCAGTTCTGCCTGAACTGTAGATGTTCCTTCCCCCATACCCTTCCTGCTCCAACCCATCCTCCACACTGCCACTAGGGTCATCATCACAATGACCAATGTAAAGTTCTTCAGTGGCTGTGAGAGCTGAACTATAAAAGAAATGTATTAGTGGACTAGATACTGGAAACAACAAGGGAAAATAAATTTGACAAGGGTAGTTGCATTATTAAAAATATACAAAGATAGTCTCAAATTTCTAAGCTGCTCAAGAATATTAAATACTCAAAGTAGAGTTTAGGTAAATAAAAATGGTTGCTGAGTGGGATAAAACATATATACAGAAACTTTGAAAAACGTGCTTAGTTTTTCTGTTAAAGTAAAACAACACCAAAAAATTAAATCTATTAATTAAAATACAAAAATAAAATTAAAAGGTAAAAATAATTCACCTAACTTCATTTCAACGAATTCATTTCAACTTAAGCTTTATTAACTTAACTTCATTTCAACTTAAACTTCAGTTGATTATGAATCTCTACTAATCTTAATGCCACTCAAACCTAACGATTTAAATTTAAAAAAGAAAAATGTCTCACTTTGAATGCTGAATGTTGTGTTTTGGCAAATATGATTTATCATGTTAAAATCACCCTTAATTTTATGCATGGAAACCTAGGCATTCTCTTTTCCCTCCATAGGTTTATTTGTAACGAGAGAGAGAGAAAGAGAGAGAGACTTTCCTATAGCCATCTGGAAACCCTTTCAAATTTCCAATCATAACTATTCATAGCCATGAATCAGCTAGGAATGTCATATCTATTCAAGGTTATTGAGTGCCCTTGGAAGCACTCTTCCTTCAAACCACAAAAGTAGTATAAACTAAGAGAAAATAATCCTTTCCTGCTCCTCGACACTCAACGATAACTTTTTGTCCTAAAATTTGTGTCAGTGGACCCAGGTGACAAGGAAAACTTTCCAGGTCTCTCAAAGCATGTGATATGGAGGTGCACACAATTATGTGTGCCTAGAGTTGTGAAATCATAACTGTGATATTTGTCAAAGGCTTGAGAAACAGAGTTTGAATTCACTAATAAATAGCTCATTTTTTTCAAAATAAAAAAGCAGAAAACATTAAGAAAAAGATTAATATTTTAAATCCACCAATGGTTGAAAGCATAATAATTCTGAAAGAATGTTGTTCCAAATACTCTATGGTAAAGGATAGGTTCCCATGTGCTTAATTGACTTTTTCAGTCAGTGCCCATCATGGCATCCTGGGGGTCCACTGTCAAGTAAATGTTATTTAGACATGATGATGAAACTGTCAACTTACAGAAAAATCAAATATATATAAAATGCTATTCACATCCAAATAATATCATTTCTATATTATTTTGATAATGATAAACTCTAAGACAAAGCAAATGTGTATGGAAAACACATGCTGCTATGGAACAGAGTGCAAAACAAAGAAGTCAATTATAGTTTTTACTGCAGAAGATGCCTTCAGATAGTCCACAAAGTATGAATTCAAATGTCAACATCTGTGGCTTGCTCTTGTGCTTTAAACTCTCTACTTGCTAACAAGACAAACTCTAAGTGACTTTAGAAGACAGCCATGGAGACTTATGTTCATTTATTTAGTCACTGTAAGGTTAGGGAGAGACAACTTAGTATGTGGAAATCATTGACCTTCAACTGACAGAATTATCACAATAAAAGTAACAGCAGCAGCAGCTGTAGCAGCTAACTCATAAAGCAGTTATCAGGTACCAGGTGCTATATTAGTGCTTTTCCTACATTAACTCATTTAATTCTTGTAGCACCCTGTGAGGTAGGTACTGTTTTAAATGCCCATTTTGCAGATAAAGAAAACCAAGGAACAGAGAAGTTAAGTTTCTTGCCAAGATCACACATGTAGTAAACGGCAGGACTGAGATTTCAATTCCTACAGTCTGTCTCCAATGGCCCGACTCTTAACCACTCGTCTACACTGCTCTTCAGAACATGTGGCAGAATGATCTTAGGAAAATCACCTCCCCTTTCTCAGGGCATTCTTTTTCTAAATGTAAACTAAGGAGATTGGATTATCTCAAAGAACTCTTCCAACTCTAAAATTCTACAATTGTTTATGAAATGTGAAGGGAAGTTTAGATTGATTTGCAAAAAATAAAATGATGAGTATAAAGACCATGTTTACATTAGTTATCATTCCTTCTCCTCTTCCCTTTCTTCCTTTGTCCTCCTCTCCCTATCCCTAGCCTTCTCACACATACTCCAATCTACTGTAGCATAGCTGAACTAAAATATTGTTTTGAATCCATGGACCTGAGTATATATCTATGCACTGGGGATAACCTTTCCTCCACTATCCTTTTATTTTCTTTCCGTTTCTCATTCTTAATCACATACACTGCCCCCTCAAAATGGGAACCTGTTTCCTGGTTTACCCTCAGAAAATACAGTCTGGTCCTACTCACAGCAGATGCTTATAGTTTGGAACTTCCTCCAAATAGTCTCACTCCACCTCAGAAAAATAAATTAAAGGGTACATAGAACATTGCCTAAGGATACCAGGCCTTCATAGCACAACAGATAGAGGAAATGAGGCCACACAGTGCCTGAGGAATAGCTGGCAAAGGAGGATAGTACTCTTTGGAATTATTACAATAATTTTTCCTTAATAAGGACTTATTACATTAATGCAGATTGACTGATTCAGAAAACACTGTATTTAGGAAGCTCTTAAAAGAAAGGTGAAATTCTGACTGATTCTCCTCTTAACTTTCTTTGTTTTTCTAAGAAAGCACTTAAGAAGTGAACTGCTGTGGGTGTGAGAAAATAAAAGCTATAAAAGTACAAACAACAGGTGCTGGAGAGGATGTGGAGAAATAGGAACGCTTTTACACTGTTGGTGGGACTGTAAACTAGTTCAACCATTGTGGAAGACAGTGTGGTGATTCCTCAAGGATCTAGCACTAGAAATACCATTTGACCCAGCCATCCCATTACTGGGTATGTACCCAAAGGATTATAAATCATGCTGCTATAAAGACACATGCACACGTATGTTCATGGCGGCACTATTCACAATAGCAAAGACTTGGAACCAACCCAAATGTCCAACAATGATACACTGGATTAAGAAAATGTGGCACATATATACCATGGAATACTATGCAGCCATAAAAAAGGATGAGTTCATGTCCTTTGTAGGGACATGGATGAAGCTGGAAACCATCATTCTCAGCAAACTATCACAAGGACAGAAAACCAAACACCGCATGTTCTCACTCATAGGTGGGAATTGAACAATGAGTACACTTGGACACAGGAAGGGGAACATCACACACTGGGGCCTGTTGTGGGGTGGGGGGAGGGGGGAGGGATAGCATTAGGAGATATACCTAATGTAAATGACGGGTTAATGGGTGCAGCACACCAACATGGCACATGTATACATATGCAACAAACCTGCACGTTGTGCACATGTACCCTACAACTTAAAGTATAATAATAATAAAAAAAAGTACATAATCACCTAATCTCCCCCATAATCCTACCAGCCTGTAAGAGTGACTACTGTCATTCTGGTCCATTTCCCTTCAGTCATAATATGCACACAAATTTCTTCATGTTGCTTCCTTCGCGCTAGATGATTTTTTGCATGCTTCTACACAATATCTGTAACAATCATTTTTAGTGGCTGGGTAGAGTGAAGGCACAGTAATTTACATATGCATTCCCCAATTGTTGGCTATTTACACTCCTCCCTCACCATTTACAAGTATTATAACTGAAGCCATATAAAGATACCATGAACATCTTCAATTTTTTTATTATTATTTCCTTACAGTAAATTCCAAGAAGTTGAATTAATGAGCCAAAAGCTTTGAACATTTTTGTGGATTTAGGGGATTGTAATGATTTACACTGCCATTAGCAATGTGTGGGAACACTCTCTTCTTTCATTGTACCCTTGTCAACTTTGAGTATTATTTTTAATGTCTATTTAAAATAAGTAAATTAATTGTGCTTTTAGTTTGAATTTCCTTATTAGTGAGGCTGAATACTTTTTCTGTACGAGTTTGCTAGTTATATTTCCTTGCTTATTAACTGTCTATTTATGGGGCTTTTGCACATTTACCTATTGAGAACCTGAGTTTTAAAAAAATTAAATCGGGCTAGGCGTGGTGGCTAACGCCTGTAATCCCAGCACTTTGAGAGGCCTAGGCGGGCAGATCACGAGGTCAGGAGTATGAGAACAGCCTGGCCAACATGGTGAAACCCCGTCTCTACTAAAAATACACAAAGTAGCCAGGTGTCTTGGTGGGCTCCTGTAATCCCAGCTATTCGGGATGCTGAGGCAGGAGAATTGCTTGAACCTGGGAGGCATAGGTTGCAGTGAGACAAGATCGTGCCACTGCACTTCAGCCTAGGTGACAGAGCAAGACTCCATCTCGAAAAAAAAAAAAATTAAATCATATTGATGCCATAAAACAAGTATATTAACCCTTTATGCATAGTATTTGTTGAAACTATCTTTCACAGTCTGTTTGCCATTTTCATTTTTGTTCTTTTTGTTGATGAATGTTACTCTAAAAGGAAAACATGGTCACCAACTGGACATAAACAAGTTGCTTTAGAAAAATATGACAAAACTTTGTAAAACCAAGAGTTTTTCCAAAAACAATTTGTTAGTCTAATTATTCAGTGGCTGCTTGATTGACTTCATTTAGTTAGTCAGAAAATGAATTATAGTTTGATTGAATTCTAACACTGAAAAAGAACACATCAGTTTGTGTGTGATGACAGCTTACATAAGCATATAAAGCTTAAAGGACTAGTCTGATTTTATCATGGAATTGGTCAGTTCTTTTGGTTTCACGTGGAAACAGCCATAACATTTTAGTATATAAAAAGAGAAGTAAATCACCACTTTTTAGGAGATGGGCTGAGAATTTTATGTACTGAATATGGGACTTCTTCTCCAGAAAATGATGGCTTTCAAAGTAGACTGCTTGCATGGTACATAGACATTCTATTAT
This sequence comes from Homo sapiens, assembly GCF_000001405.40. Lineage (NCBI taxonomy): Eukaryota > Metazoa > Chordata > Mammalia > Primates > Hominidae > Homo > Homo sapiens. Next base: position 124,972,819 of record NC_000023.11, read on the forward strand.
GTCAAAGAGATAACACTCAAGAGTTGAACTGAAATTATTTACTGCTATCTTAGTTTGTTTTGTGCCATCTTAGTTTGTTTTGTGTTGATATAACAGAATACCTGAGACGGGCTAATTTATAAAGAAAAGAGATTTATTTCTTACAGTTCTGGACACTGGAAAGTCCAGGTCAAGGGGACACAACTAGTTAGAGCTTTCTTGCTGTGTCAATTCATGATAGAAGGTAGGAAAGCAAGAAAGCCATCTTGAGTTAATTTTTGTATAAGGTGTAAGGAAGGGGTCCAGTTTCAGTTTTCTGCCTATGGCTAGCCAGTTTTCCCAATACCATTTATTAAATAGGGAATCGTTTCCCCACTGCTTGTTTTTGTCAGGTTTGTCAAAGATCAGATGGTTGTAGATGTGTAGCATTATTTCTGAGGTCTCTGTTCTGTTCCATTGGTCTATATATTTGTTTTGGTACCAGTACCATGCTGTTTTGGATACTGTAGCCTTGTAGTATAGTTTGAAGTCAGGTAGCATGATACCTCCAGTTTTGTCTTTTTGCTTAGGATTGTCTTGGCTATACGGGATCTTTTTTGGTTCCATAAGAAATTTAAAGTAGTTTTTTTCTAATTCTGTGAAGAAAGTCAATGGTAGCTTGATGGGGATAGCACTGAATCTCTAAATTACTTTGGGCGGTATGGCCATTTCCATGACATTGATTCTTCGTATCCATGAGCATGGAATGTTTTTCCATTTGTTTGTGTCCTCTCTTATTTCCTTGAGCAGTGGTTTGTAATTCTCCTTGAAGAGGTCCTTCACATCCCTTGTAAGTTGTATTCCTAGGTATTTTATTCTCTTTGTAGCAATTGTGAATGGGAGATCTCTCATGATTTGGCTCTCTATTATTGGCATATAGGAATGCTTGTGATTTTTGCACATTGATTTTGTATCCTGAGACGTTGCTGAAGTTGCTTATCATAAAAAAGGATGAGTTCATGTCCTTTGCAGGGACATGGATGAAGCTGGAAACCATCATTCTCAGCAAACTAACACAGGAACAGATAACCAAACACTGCGTGTTCTCACTCATAAGTGGGAATTGGACAATGAGAACACATGGACACAGGGAGGGGAACATCACACACTGGGACCTGTCGGGGGAGTGGGAGAATAGGGGAGGGAAATACCTGATGTAGATGATGAGTTGATGGGTGCCACCATGGCACATGTATACCTATGTAGCAAACCTGAATGTTCTGCACATGTATCCCAGAACTCAAAGTATAATAATACTACCACTACTACTACTAATAATAATAAAGCAAGAAAGCATAAGAGAGCAAGAAGGCATCAAAGTTGCTTTTACAACAGACCCACTCTCTTGATAATGAACCCACGCTCATCATAATGGCATTAATCCATTGATGGCAGCAGAGCCCTCATTTCCTATTCATCTGTTGAAGTTCCCACCTCTCAACACTGTTACTTTGGACATTAAGTTTCCAACACATAAACTTTGGAGGACACATTCAAACCATAACAATGGCATTAGTTTACATGTATTTGTTTAATCTACCTGTTCTATTAACATTTTAAAACTATTACAATGGAATAATAAAAGGTCCATCCTGCAAAAATATTCCTTCAAAACTGATTTGACTCAATTGCAAAAACACCTGCAGTCCATATCCTCAAGGTGTTTTGGCAGGCTCTTTAGGACACTTTAAAAGAGAAACATGGAAGTTGCTTAATTCTACAATTAAATAGCGATGATCTCACATCTCTTTTTGTAGATTCTTGATTTTTCTGAATGAATGTGTCTTTATTTTTCTCATTATTTTTGTTAAAGCCTCAAAACTTTTCATGGACACCAATGTTGGATCACATGAGACAAGTGGAGAGGTAAAAAATTAGTGAATGGAAAAGTTGGTGGTGCCACTGATTTCCATAAAGAAGCTCTAACACAAATTATTTTGGAGGCTTACTCTCATTTAGTATTTACCATTGCTGCTTAGGGAATCTTGACTCCAAATGTACCCCATAGATACCACACACACACGTCTGAACAAAATTCTCAGGGACTGACACTATATATATATATAAAATAATTTTGAAGATTTATTGAGTATTTCATATGATCCCATTAGATAAATGGCAACAGCTTAGTGCCTCCCAAAATGCGGGCCCAGGAACTCTGGTTCATATCTCAAATTCATTGGAGCAGAAATTTTTTGTAACGGTGTAAATACCTAGCATATTTCTATCCCTTAGTAATTTGCAAATAATATACAGTTCTGAGTTGCAGTAATATCCATCTCCATCACACCCTTTCTTTTGGAACTCCAGCACCTTCTAAAGTAATTTCAAATTATCTTTTTCTTATTACTTCTCAATATCCTTTGTGGTGGATTATGTAGATCACCTAAACACTTCATATAGGAAACAATCTTCAAGGAAACTGAAGGTAACTCGATGTATAAAAGCTTTTTTACTCTTTAGAGAAGAACAATAGCTGCTTATTTCCACAAATAAACAATCATATTCAATTCATTTTTCTACAATGAAATCCATTGGGGTTTTGTAAATTTTATAGTAATTTTAGCATTAAAGTACTTATGCAAAATGTAATATCAAATTTAATACAGTATCTTGAAAAGTAATAGGCTTTAAATATGGTCTTATACAACCAAAGATATAACTTTCTTCTAGAGTTTCCAAATAGCAAGTATTAATCATAGCTTTCTACTGCCATTCGTCTTCAGCATTAGCTTAGTGAAATCAACACTGTATCTGTAACCTCCTCAAGTTTCATGTATAACAACTGGAAGCAGTAGCATTTCTACTGCTTACTACTGGAGACTCATTTTCAATTATGCTAAAGACTAGACTGAAAAGGAGCTAATCAAATTAACATAACATATTCAACAAAGATACACACCCTTTAGTGACTTAATCGCAGAGGTGGATACAGAGGTTAACAATGATTGTCGGGACTTGTACCAAATATTTTGCTGTGGTGGGCAAATGATAACTATGCCAAAGGCAGCAGACTGTATTAGAAAGATCTGTATATAAGGGTTCTAAAAGGAAGCTCTAGACCCAACTTTATGACAAAATAGCATTCCTTTATTTCATATCTGTAAAGTGGGGAAATACCTACTATCATTATTTTTATGAATCTCACAGGGTTGTCATGGCTAGCACATGAGAATAATTAGACTGGAAGTTTTAAAAAATACAAGTACCAGAGGAAAACTTCTGGTATAGGTTAAAGTTGTCAGCTTTCTTAAATACTACTACAAATAATAATTAGTAATATTATTTAATACTATACTTAGTTAATATTAATTATAACTAATCATTATTTTTATCAAAATTAAAAGAACTAGAAAGAAGATACAGGTACTCTTTTAAGCAACTTTCATCCATAATCACATTTAATCCTCAAAAATGTTATAATATGTTTCCTTATTTTACAGATGAGGAAACAGAAGCACAGAGAGGTTAACTAATTTCACCAAGATCACACAGCTAGTGGAGCTAGAATTTAAATCCGAAAGTTCTGGCTCCAGAGCCTGTACTCTTAATTTCTTTGCTATGTGGCAGTCACAGAATCTCTGAAATAAGGTTCAAAGGAAGCTGGAGGAATCACTGTAGGAAACTCAAGTAAGACTTTCAGGTGCAGTTTGGAAAGAGACTAAGAAGACTTTAGATCCTACAGAGCATCTGAAAAAGTATTTGGCCTTGCTTATATAACAAAGAAAATAAGCTTCTTGGATAAGAATGGCATAACGAGGCCCAGAAAAAAGGGAATCTATATCCAGTTTCATTCATAGCATCCTAAGATCCTAAGATGCTATGAATGAAACCAGAAAAGCTATGAAGACATGGCTGCTCTGCAAGGTTATTAGGTGTCAGTCTATAACACAATTCCCCCTACCTACCCTATTTCTCACTTACTACATAACCAGATGAAAGAGGGCTAGAATTGACTTGATGTTGTTGGGTCAATGTGTAATCAGTTTGATACAGATCTCCACGCCATTCCAGGCCACAAGCAGGAAATTTGCTGACTTCCTCAGCCTCCCTACCAGCAAATATTCAGGAAGAACATAGCACAAATAGAACTGTAATTTTCTCCTTTGTGATTCCCTCTTCTAATATCCATATTTTCATATTCACCTACATGGCATAGTACAATGTAATTGCAAATGGGTTGCTACCATAGAGAGTAGGGTTGGCATAATGTAGCAGAAAGGACATTGAACTTGGAGTCAGGAAGTCTGAGCTTGGGCCCATTGTGTCACGTACTGTATGCCATTGGATAAATCAGTTAACTTCCCTTCCTTTTTCATACTAAAGATTAAATGCCCTTTCTCCCTCAGAGTGCTGGCAGATGACTCAAATAAAAGAATACACATGAAAAGGCCATGTAAACCGTAAGGCATTTTATACAGTTATGATTACTAATACCTTTTGTGATTGTAAATGTATCAAAACTAGGCTGTCTGTTGTTTTGAGAAAATATCATTCAGGGAGTCAATGTTTATGCCAGATGTTGTGGGCCATACCAGAATAACTAAGTACTAGATCAAATTACTGAACTTGTTGCTTTGTTTTTGTTGTTGATATGTTTACTGTTTGTTTTTCTAAATAGCATTATTGAGTTTAATTTTCATAAATACAATTCACCCATTTTAAGTGTAAAATTCAATGATTCGGGGTTCATTTACAGAGTTGTGAAACCGTTACCACCATCCATATTTGAAACATTTCCATCACCCTAAAAATAATTCCTAAATCTAGTAAGCAGTCATTCCCAATATCCCTTCTTTCCCAACCCCTGGCGACCACTAATCTACTTTCTGTCTCTATGAATCTGCCTGTTATGGACATTTTCTGTAAATTAAATTAAGTCATACAATATATGGTCTCTTCCACTTGGCTTCTTTCACAATGCTCTTGAGGTTTATCCATATTGTAGTGTGTATCAGTATTTCATGTCCTTTTAAATTTCTGAATATATTCCTTTTTACATGTTGTGTTATTCTGCCCCTTTCTCTGTCACCTTCTGGGACTCACATTATGCATGTGTTGATATGCTTGATGTTGTCCCACACATCTTTGAGGCTCTGTTTAGTGTGTGTGTGTGTGTGTGTGTGTGTGTGAGAGAGAGAGAGAGAGAGAGAGAGAGAGAGAGAGAGAGAGAGAGAGAGAGAGAGATCTTTTTCCTCTCTGTTTTTCAGATTGGATAATATCTACAGATCAATCTTCAAGTCAGCTGATTGTCTCTTTTGCCATATTCGATCTGCTTTTGAGTCTCTCTAGTGAATTTTTCATTTAAATTATGATACTTTTGAATCCTAGAATTTCCAGTTAAGTCTTTTCATAATTTCTACTTCTTTCTTGAAAATCAACAATTTGGTCATTTTTGTCATACTTTCCATTAAGCCTTTATTGATGGTTTATTTTACTAGTCTGAACATATGTATAATAGTTGCTTTGAAGATTTGTCTGCTAATTGCAAAAGCTGGAGACACTCAGCGACAGTTTATATTGACTTTTTTGTGGTTTTACTGAGGATGAGTTATACTCTTCTGTTTATTTGCATATATCATAGTGTTTTTTAATGTTGAAAACTGGACATTTTAGATAATATAGTATAGCAGCTCTGGATTCTGATTTTTTCTCCCTGAAGGTTATTGTTACATTTTGTCCATTAGTTTCTTTATGTAGTCACTTGCCTGGGCTATATCTGTGAAATATGTCACTCTATGGTATGTAGCTGCTGATTTCCTTTGTCAATTTTTCTGTCACATTCTTTTTAAGTCTGGTTTCCTACGGGTCACTCCTGTGTCCTTGTAGCATTGTGGCTGGTCAATGATTGCGCAGAGGTTGTGCTCACCCATCTTGAGCAGGTATGTGTTCTATTCTCCGACAATGGATCTGTGTGTGGGAATGAGAGCTCACTCAATGTTGATGCCATCTTCATATTTGCCCTGCAGCTTTTATTATCCACAGGGCTTTTCATGTCTCCACTGTGTTGACTAGCAGTGTGTGGCTGGCTTAAGCCCTCTCAGGTAGTTCTCCATTGTCTGCTGCACATAAGCTCAGCCTCAGTCAGAAACATGCTTTTCCCAGTCACAACCACAACCTCAGGTTAGCAGAACTGCTAGCCTTCCCCACCGGCCCAAGTTTGAGACTGTAACATCTACCAACAATGGCACTGGGTGTGGGCATCATTCACCTCTTCACAAGTGAACCATTTTCAACCATGCCAATGCAGCTACAATTCTTACAGCCTGCCCCACCACAGCAGAACCTTGGCATTGGCCAAGCTCAGAGTTGAAGGTGGGGATCATGAGCAGTCCCAGGCCTAATCATCATAGATTCCCACTTTTATTACCCACAGTCCAATAGTTTATTGAAATACAAATGCTTCTTGGATTGTTGTAGGCCTTTGGTTGATTTCCGGGTACTTAAGTGTCGTTTTTGTCAATTCGTTGAGCTTCATAATTGTTTTGGGGAAGGTCATTGTAGATTATCTCATTAGACTACAGTCAGAAGTTCTGCCCAAATAACTGATGTTTTAATGGCAGGATTTTATAGAAGTGCTATACATTGGGGATTTTTTTGCTTAAGATTTCAAAGACTTAGTAAAAAAATGTAAAATGTTTCATTAATAATTTTATTTTGATTATATATTGTTATAATATTTTGAATATTCTGTTAAGTAAAATATATTTTTTAAATTAATTTCATGTGACTTCTAGAAAATTTTAAATTACATATAGGTCTCAGATTGTATTTCCATTAGGCAGCAGTAAACTAGGTCTCATAGCCAGCTTACAGGAAGTACTGGAGATGGAGAAACATATCAAATAATGCAGTGGGGATAGAAATAGCAAAATACAGAATGTGAGAAAATCCATAGGAAAAAATGGCCGAGTTTTTAAACAAATAATTGAAAAGAAAAAATAAAAGAAGGAAGGGAAATATGAGGATCATAAAAGAGATTTAAGAGACATACTAACAAATTGTAATGTGTGCATCTTCTTTGGGTTTTCATTTCAACAAAGAAATGAAAATACTATACACATATTTATGAGATCATTTGGGGAAATGGGAATGTACAGGATATCTAAAGATATTAAAGATTTATTGTTCATTTTTAATGTGCAATATGGTATTGTAGTTAGGTTAAAGAAAGTTTTTATACCTTGTTATCACATGCTAAAGTTTTATGGATGAAATTATATCTTGGATTTACTTCAAAAATTCATGGAAGAGGCTGGGCTTGGTGGCTCACACTTATAATCCTAGCACTTTGGGATGCCAAGATGGAAGGATCGCTTGAAGCCAGGAGTTTGAGACCAGCCTGGCCAAGATAGCAAGACCCCATCTTTAATAATAAAAAAAAGTCATGGAGGAAAGAAAGGGGAGTTGAGTGGCTTGTAGGTGCAGCAATATGGTTTATGAGTTGAAAATCATCCAAGTTATATGACTGATAAGCGCTGGGTTCATCTAATTGTGTGCTTTACTTTGGTATACAGATGCTCTTTAACATATAATGGGGTTAACTCACGATAAACCCATCATCTGTCAAAAATACCATAAGTCGAAAATGCATTTAATACCCTGATAAACCCATTGTAAAGCTGAAAAATGTAAGTTTAAAGGTCATAAGCCAAGGGCCACTTGTATATTTTAAAATATAGAAAATAAAAAGTTAAAATAGTTTTGGATAGTATCTGATGATGTAGGAAAACACTAGAAAACAATTTTAAATAAAAAATATGATAAATTTAATAATGAAAATTATGTATTTAATAATGAAACTAAATTTAAAAATGAAAAAATGTTAATATTAGTTTCATAGGAAGAAGGGGTTAACTTTCTATTAAATTCTCTATAATAAACTGTTTAGAATTTGTGATCAGAAAAATAGAAAAATCCCTCACAGACAGGGCTTATTGCCAATCATTTGAAAAAAAATACTGAAGAGAAATGCACCAAAATATTTAAATAGCAATAATCTTTGTGTTGGGTGATTATGAATGATTTTTATTTTCTTTACATTTTTCCTATTCTCCACATTGAAGATGTATTGTTTTTTATCATAAAATAGCAATTATAAAAGTTTTGGATGGAAAATTTGAAATTTGTACTTTCCTCTCTGTTCTTCCTATCCATGTTCATATAGATGTGTGGTATTCAGCCATTCATTAGAAAGTATATATTAATAGTACCTTGTACTTTGCAAAGCACTTTAGACTTTTTCCAATATTGAACTTTCACACACAATATTATAATTTATATGCCTGATACCCCGCTGACATAGCAGATCAGAAAAATATTATTACTCTGACTTTCAGATGAGAAAACAGAGGCTCAGATATTTGCCAAAGGTCACAAAGCAAGGCAATAGCAGACCTTGGGCAAAAACCCCGGTTTTATTACTCCTATTCTGGCACTCTTTTCACTATATCATGTTGCCTCCCATAAAGAGTATCAAACTCTAGATACTACCCATTTATCAAATAACTAACTTAAGCCCAACTGAATTCAAGTTAGTTACATCAATTAAATGTACTATCCATTTTACTTAACTGCACCCGAGAGCCATGTGCAGGAAAGAGGCACTCAGATGAAATAACAGGGAGGAAGCAGTAGAATTTTGTGACATATGGCATGCTTGTTGGTGGAATCAAAGGTATGTTTCATGCCAGCTTTTTGTCTGCAAAGTGTCTTTCATTCCACTAAGAGGTATACCCCATGCCAGGAAATGCACAACCTCCTAGCCCTTTCTTTTGAAATCTAAACCCATGGGAGCGTGGACTTGGCATGACTTAATGGAACACTGAATGCAATATGTTTGACCCATTTGTGGGTACAAACTCTCCAGATTATCTACTGTGAAGAAGGACTCTAGGTTGTCATCTAGATTCCCTATCAGCCCAGGGAAAGTGGAGATGCCATTGAGTCTTAGGTTTATCCCTGGTTGGAGAATATGGTTTTATAATTTCAGAGAATGAAAATAACCTCTGGGAAAGAAAATAAAAGCAAAAACAGGTGCAGCGCACCAGCATGGCACATGTATACATATGTAACTAACCTGCACAACGTGCACATGTACCCTAAAACTTAGAGTATAATAAAAAAAAAAAAAAAAAAAAAAAATGCAGGAAATGAGAGAATGTCTGCCCCAGACATAGCAGCGTGTGGTAGCGTGATTTTGTCTAAGGTGAATACTGGGTTCATACCATTTTAAGCATTTTTTTTTCTTTAAGCTTCTCTCTCTCATTAGAAGCCCATTTTCTCTACGTGTAAAACAATGGAAGTATTGCCCGAAAAGGTAAAGTGTTGTGCATCTACGTGCTAACTTTTCCAGAGTTAACTCTAAAAAAATGTACTAAGTAGTTTTTGAAATTAGACTCCACTATGCATCTTAATACATAAAAGAAAATGTGAAAAAAAAAAAAAAAAAAAAAGCAAAAACAGGAAGCAACCAAGTGAACTAAAAATGTTCCACAAAAGCAACTAAGTTCTCCTATGCAGAATAATATCTTTGCACTTTTTACCCTAGGGGGTTGTAAACCAACCCCTCCAGCTGACCCTAGTTTAGCCCAAAAGATCTAATCTTCGCAAGAGTGTCTACCTCTTATCCAGCAGGGAAGGGAGATGCCAGAGAGCAGGGCACCATGGGGTATTTGAAGAAGACATCTCTGTAGATTTTTAATGATATAAAATTTACTTTGCTGCTACAAGAACCTTTGCTACCAGCTCAATAGACACTCTCAGGAAAAATACTAACTTAGAATGAAAACCTCATATTTAAGTGAGAGGTGAACTTTGTGAGAGACATGGGCCTTTTATTTTAGAAATATCACTGTCATTTCAGATGACTTGGTCCTCCAGTTGATATTCTCAATCTTATTCATTTAGTAAATCTTGCCTTACATGCCAATGACTCCTACTAGGAAGTTGGTTTGTATGAGGGAAGAAATATTTTTTACTTCATTCTAATTGCAGATGTTTAGTTGGCTAAAAGGAGTATCAGTCCCTAAACACTTCTATTACAGAAGAATGAGAAGCAGAATATTGGAGAAATCTTTTGAGTCCAGAGTGAGCTCGGTTCTACTACCAGTTCCTCCATTCACTTAACCTCATGTTTCCTCTTCTAGAATAACAATATCTACCTTGCAATGTTGATGTGAGAATTAACAAAAACACATGTTGTATGTCTTTTGTAGCAAAAAGTTTGAAAGTACATATATCACCAAAGTATTAACAATGGTCAGATAGTAGAATTCTTAGGTAGATTATTAGATGGTGGCACTAAAGGTAGTTTTTTTATTGTTCTCTTTTTACTGTCTTTTTTTTTTAGACAATGAACACATTCTAACATTGCAATGAAAAAGAAATACACATACTATTTTAAAGTAATCTATGTTAAGTTCCTACTCTAGTGTGGAGCACACAATAAGCACTCACTTCCTCATTGTTCGCTGCCATTGTTGCGATCATTAACATTATCATCCTCTTCTTCCTATTGTTGGTGAGAAAACAGAGGCTTAGAGAGAATAAGTAGCTTACTTAATTCCATATATCTTGGAAGTAAATAAAGTGACTAGCACGCTGCTTGAAGTATACCATATATAGACACATTTCTTGAATCATGAATAAGTTGATCTGGTAGAGAAAGTGACCAACCCAAACTTGGCCAACACATAATAGGCCCTCACTGAATCAGACTCCTGAAACCGTAACAAAATTTTGACAAAAGGATAGTGTATGCAAGAAGTGATATGAAGTTTTTTTGTTGTTGTTTGTTTTTTGAGACAGAGTCTTGCTCTGTCACCCAGGCTGGAGTGCAGTGGTATAATCTGGGTTCACTGCAACCTCAGTCTCCCAGGCTAAAGCAATTCTTGTGCCTCAGCCTCCTGAGTAGCTGGGATTACAGGCATGTGCCACCATGCCCAGCTAATTTTTTGTATTTTTAGTAGAGACGGGGTTTCGCTATGTTGGCCAGGCTGGTCTCGAACTCCTGTCCTCAAGTGATCTGCCTGCCTCCGCCTCCCAAAGATTACAAGCATGAACCACTGTGCCCGGGCAATAAGTGATATGAAGATTTGAAGGACAGATATATAATCACATTAAAATAAAAGAAGGAATTTCCAATAATAAAAAGTAAATAACAATGCTATTCAATAATAATTTACTAATTATCATAGGTTATAACCAATAACCAGAAAAGGTTTTGTCTGATATCACCACCTTCAGTCTCTCTCACAATCATGCATGTATGCATGTGTGTGCACGCATATACATACACATACAAGAAATCCCTTTCTCTTACCTCTTCAGAATTATCAGTGGCTTCTTGTTGCTTCCAGACTGAATAAAATATTCTAGTATAGTGCCTTCCCTTTATTACCACTCCAAATCTATTCTTCTCTTTCATCCAAGGTTACTTGATCTGTCTACATCCTTTTCTCTCATGTCTTTTCTAGATGTCTACCTGTCAACACTTTATTCAAGATGATTAATGATTAATGACTAATTGGGACGAAACGGGTTATCTCTCCCAGAACAAGTTAATTTTTTACAGAGGTCATCTGGAAATTCAGCGTCTTTGTCTAAAGGTATTAATTTTTAGTTTTGAACTTTTAGGTCCCATAGTAGACCATTAAGGAAGATATCTTCTGACTGGAGAGTGCTTTCCTTTGTTCTCCCAAAGTCAAAGTGATTCCAGCAATCACTGATTTTATGGGGTTGAGTTCTTACTGAGCCTGATTCTTTGACCTTCAGGGCAGAGACAGAATTGGCCTAAATCTTTATGGAATGGCTTCTGTGGATTTAACATTAAGTGAAGAGAATTGAGCTCATTTCTAGATAGAAGCTAACAATGATAAATTCTCTCTCCTCCTCAGCCTTGGATAGAATCAGTGTTATATCACTGGTAGCTGGAACATGTGATTAACACTATTGAATAGAATAAGAATTTGGAATTTCCTATTAATTGTAGTATTCATGTCCTTATATATAAAATTCCTCTAATAGGTTTCACTGATACAAAGCTAGGGCTCCTTCCCACTCTGCCAACATTGTAGGAGTGCTGGAGAAGCTTCTGGCTTCAAGTTGCTAAACAAGAATTGGTATTTCTTGAATTTTCTTGTTCACTGAGTCCTATTTGGTGTTTGTTTCAAATATCAAAGGTTAAAAATGTCCGAAGTAACTAACTCTGACCCTTTCGTCGTCAACAAAGCATATGAATTACAGTCAACCCTCAGTGTTCTGGCATTCTGTCATCAAGAAATATCTATTGACTGGGGATTCAGCCAATACTCTAATAATTATTGCTAATGATGACCCTGCTTAACAGCACAAACTGGAAGTGCCTTCTGAAGATTCAAAGAAAGACTATAATCCATTCACTGTAGTTTTACATTTAACTATAGTTCACTAAATTCTTACTCCTTGGAAGTGATGCAAAGCATACTCTTTGATTAAGCAGAGCACCTGATCCTTCAATCTTGCTAAATTTATTTAAAAATACAAAGACACAGATCTTTGAATCACCCTCTAGGCCCACTATAACTTTCTTTGATGCAGTGTCACCTTAAAGCACTTATTCCCAGGCAAGTATGACTAACACATGGGTAATATCCACTATGTTGAGCGATAAGTAGTCATTTATATCTTTAGGGTATCCTGACATCGGAATACACATAAGCTGACAAATGTAGCATGAGCGGTAATCATTTACAAACTACTTGTCACAGAAAATCAACTAGGTGTGGGTTATCTTTTGGCAGTGGGGTCAGTGTTTTATATAATATGTAACCTGTACCTCAAAGTGCATTTAAGAAAACATTATAAACACTAATCAGCTGCATTTGATTTATAAATCAATTTAGAGTTCACAGTTTAAGGGAAAAAAAACTAAAAACAATAGACATGGTCTCTGTGCAATGTAATTAATGTTTGGGAAGCAGTCACTGGGGCACAGCATAATGAGGCTGACAAGTCAGTAGCTCTGACATTTCTACACAACATCACGCTCAAACTTCATTTTAAAAACCGGCAAAAATTAAACGTGGCACATCAACTGTCGTGAACTGCAGTGCCAGTTGGTGGTGGGGGAGACAAAATCTGGTCATTAAAAGTTTGCAATGTCTAACTGATAAAACGTAAGTTAGAAAGAATGGTGTACAAGCTGACACACAGGGAAATATAAGGAGAGGTGTTCACTATTATTTATTTGAAATAATAATAGTAATAATAGGTCTATTCGAAATCAGAATTATCTTAAGAAATTATTTCATATTCTATTTTCTGTATTCCCTCATCCTTGATCCCAAGACCTTTCAATCAGTAAAAATAAAATATTAAAATATGTAATGGCTTTGGGAGGGGCTAGACAATGGTATCACAGCATATACACTTGAACTGTTTTCACAAAATTTTCAAGCATGATGATCAAGTTTTCTCCTCTTATTAAAAAATGAAAGTTGCTACTTTCATATAACAATTAAACTGTATGCTGAGGAAGAAGCTGAAAGACCCTTTAACTCTTTCAAGCATGAAGGCCGCTATCCTAAGGTTTAGGTAATCATAGAACACTCTCTTTGAGGTGAGCATTTCTTATGAAATACTGGCCATGATTCCCTCTGAATACAGCACAATGTATTGCACAACAACCTTAGAACCAATCATATTATTTGCAGCCTTGATTTCTTATAGAAAACTTAATATTTAAAATGACTTTTCTATGGAACAAGGGCTTTCCCGTGGATGTGTCTCAGATCTCTCAGAAGTAGGACTTCTTTTTTGTTTGTTTGTTTGTTTGTTTGTTTGAGATGGAGTCTTACTCTGTCGCCCAGGCTGGGGTGCAGTGGTGCGATCTCAGCTCACTGCAACCTTCACCTCCCGGGTCCAAGCAATTCTCCTGCCTCAGCCTCCTGAGTAGCTGGGATTACAGGTGCAAGCCACCACATCCGGCTAATTTTTGTATTTTTAGTAGAGACAGGGTTTCACCATGTTGGCCAGGTTGGTCTTGAAATCCTGACCTAAGGTGATCCGCCTGCCTCGGCCTCCCAAAGTGCTGGGATTACAGGCATGCTCCACCATGCTTGGTCAGAAGTAGGACTTCTTAAGATGCTATATGACTTTACCCTGGTCACTGGAATTAACTGCATACGCCTGCACCACCATTCCTTCACCACATCCTTCACCTATCCCTGGGTTCCTTATACATCCATGGTCTCTGGCGTGCTCGGAGTTTTCCTATGTTTCTGCCAGAATATGTCTTACCTTTAGCTCTCAATAATTTATTTTTGTATGCTAAATTGAGATCCCATAATAACAATACTAATCACCATACTCAATATGTAAAGAATTCCAATAAGTTCATGATCACAAAGTCTCTGTGGTTAGCCAAATTATAAAAATATATATGGCTTTCCTCTTTAATTTCAGGTTATAATCTGACTTCTATAAATCTACCCTAATTAAGTAATACAAAATACGGGGAAAAGTTACATATATGAATATGTTCATCTCAGCCTTGTTTCAGAGAATTGAAAAATAGGAAAAATCTATTGGGTCAAAGTAGGGAAATAGTTATATGTTATTACAGCCACTAAACTGAATATTATGTCATCACTTAAAGTGAAGGCAAAGAAAAATATGTAGAAACTTGAAAACATGTTTATGATACAATGATAAGTAAAGAAAAAATAAATAAACTATAGTTTAAAACTAAGTTGAAACAAATCTGTGTGTTAAAAGGACCAAATAGAAACACACAAGAAAGGACCAAGTGAAAATACAGTATAATGAGACCAGTTAAGATGTTGACACTATGGATGACATATATTGACCACATGTTCTGCATTTTGTGTGTGTGTGTGTGTGTGTGTGTGTGTGTGTGTGTGTGTGATTACAAAATTTTTTACCTTTAAAATGTGGTTTGGGACTATCTTCAAATCCAGCTGAGATTTTATGCTTCTTAGCTACTTTAACGTTTCACTCCTCAGGATTTTAGAACACATCTAAACCTTGAACTCTAGATTATTAAGTCAAGCATTTACATTGATACCTGGTTCTTACTTGTTCTTCAAATAATCTGAATATTACTGCATTTTACCAGAGTTGAAAGGTGTTAGGTATTTTTGGAGTCAAGTACAAGATAATAGATTGCTTCTTATTGGTAACAAAAATCAGTAAATAAAATAAAAGTAGTTTATACACAAAAAAGGTATTAAGCCTTTTGTAGTAATTCGGGAAAGACAGAGCAGTGATTATAGAGGGGAGAGAGAAATAAATACCTTGAGATTAAGAAGTGCTGGCTATGGAAACTAAAATAGGATACATTCATAGTTATACATTATTCAGGCTTGACCAATTTCTAACTACCACCAAATAAAGTGGAAGAAATATCAGGAATGAAAATGGAGACATTGCTAAAGAACCTTTAAACATTTAGGAACAACTTTGTAGCAATAAATTCAACATCATAGATGGAATTGATAAATTCTTCTAAAATTGACAGAACTGGCACAAGAAGCTATATAAAATCTAGTTACCCCGTATCTATTAAAGACATTGAATTTGTAATTTTCAAACCAAATCCAAAAGGGAACTTTTGAACTAGAGAATTTCACTGGTCAATTCTATCAGACATTTTAAAAGTTCTTACACTGTTTCAGAAAATAACGGAGAAGGAAATATTTGCAGATTATTTCACCAGACCAGTATAACCCTGATACCCAAATTTAACAAAGACATCACAAGAAAAATAATTGTATACCAATATCTGTCATAAATATAGGAAAAATCATTAATACACTATTATCAAATGTTATGGAGTAACATATAAAAAAGGGTACTAAATCATAACCAAATACGGTTTAGCCCAGGAATGAAAAGTTGGTACAACATTCAAAAAGCAATCAATGCCATTCACGTTATGGAGAGGATAAAAGAAAAAATATTATATGATCACCTCAATAAGTACAGAAAAACATTTGACAAAATTTAACACCCATTTATGAATACAACAACAACAAAAAACCTTTCAGCTACCTGGGAAAAAAAGGGAACTTCCTTAACCTGTAAAGGCTATTTAAAAACTTATAGTTAACATCATACTGAATAATGAAAGACTAAAAATTTTTTCCCTAACATCAGAAACAAGGAAGGGCTATCTGGTTCACCGCTTCTATTCAATATTGTACTAGATGTTCCAGACCACACAATAAGGTGAGCAAAGGAAATAAAAGCAATACAGATTTTTAAGAAGGAAATAAAGCTGCCATTATTTGCAAATGGCACAACTATTTATATAGAGAATCCTAAGATGTTGAGAATTAGCTACTAGAACTAATTGGGAAGGCCAGAGGATTCATGATCAATATATGAAAATCTGTTGTATTTCTATTTATTAGCAATAAACAACTGGAAAATAAAATTAAAAATGCCAATTATAGCATCAAAAAGCATAAAATATTTTTAAAGAATTAACAAAACTGCAAAGACCTCAATGCTAAAAAATATGAAATATTACAGAGAAAAATTAAGTAAGATCTAGTTAAATGGACAAATACACCATGGTCATGGATTGGAATATTCAACATTAAGAGGTCAATTGTCCCCAAATTGCCATCCTAATAAAAATTACAGAATGCTTCCTTTGTAGAAACTGACAAGCTGATTCTAAAATTTAGGTACAAAAGCAAACGGCTTGAAACACCCAAAAAATCTTGACAAAGAATAATATTGAAGGATTTACACTACCTGATTTTAAGACTTATTACAAAATGTCAGTAATCGAGAAAGTGTGGTATTGGTGTAATAAAAGATAAATAGATCAGTGAAACCAAATGGAAGCAGTTTCAAAAAGAAGTCTTCTGCAGGAAAAAAAAAAAAGTATCTGAAACCTCTGATCTGGCTTGATGATATATGAGACATATGAGATATATTTATTTATTAATAACTTTCACATTCCCATTGTACTTTTCACAGTTTCTGGTGTATACTTTGTGTTCGTAAAACATTTGTTGAATAAATGACTAACTTAAGCATTCACACTATGGCAATAAAGCATTTGGCAGCTCTTTCATTAAGTATCTGTGATAAATGGCATCATCTCGTTACTTGAAAATAATCTAGTTTCATGGAACTAAAAATATATCACTTTTGTATAAAAGCTGACTATGTGCGTATGTCTCAGAAAGTTGAACTTGCTAAAATTTTTAAAATACTCTGGTAATATATTTCTTATAGACCTCTTAAAGAAACATTTGACTAAAATGGGGTATACCATGGTGAGTTAAACTGAGGCCTTCTGGATTAGAAAAGGGTACAAAGTGAGATTTTTTTTTTCCTCTCCTGAGATATCATATTATTTGCTCCCCTTCCCAGCTTGAAAATAAGAACTACATTCAGTGTGGCATACTGTAAGCACTGCAAACAAACATTTCATAATAATACATTTTGGACATATTTTATCTCAAAAACAATTTCAATTCAAATCCTAGATAATTAATCTTATTTTCAGCACCATGCATCTTATTAGGCTTAGCCATTTGTTTTTGCCCCAAAGGGCTTGAGGTTTTGCTCTAGAGAATCAACAAATCTAAAATAACACTAAAAAAGAACAGCAATAAATAATAATTCTGGTTTTTAAAAATTATTCATCAAAGCTGGCATAACACATAGGTGGAGTAGGCAGGTGCCCATATGGTGTCACTTCTGAGACATACATAATATCACCTTCTCCCACAACTGCAGCTGGACACTGATTCTGGCTTTCTCACCCTCAAGATTCATTCCTTTGCCTTCAGGGATTATCTCCAGAATTGCTCCATTAAAATGCAAATACGTTATATAGGAGGGATGACACATTAACATACTCTCAGTAATTAATCTGCTGCTATCATCCTATCAGGATTAATTTATCGATTGTCCAGCAGAAATAAGGCGCTGAGGACATCTAATGTAGAAAAGATACAATTTAATGTGAGTGAGGCTAGGGAGGAGCTCAGGTATTCTAGCCTAGGTAGCACTCCATGGTCGGCAACTTTGAGTAGCAAGGGAACAACATTTACTCACTTAAGTAGCAAACTCCCTTGAGTGCCTATGACAGACACTGTGCTAGTCACTAAGGCCATGAACAGGAATAAATTAATTTTTAACCTTACTCAGAGACAGAGAAGAATTAGGTGCCTGAAGAGAACCTCAGATTTCCTATAGACAGACTGAAGCCATATGATTGTGCATTTGTTGTTGAACAGATGAATCTGAACTTAATCTGATATCCTGCCATGTTGGGGAGAAGGAGATTGAAAGGTGATATGAGAGAAAGGCAAAGGTAGATTTTACTCTTACTTAGGAGCTTCATATAGGACCAGCCCTGGACACACTGATACTTTCTACTCCTCTGTGTCTTCTCTGAAACATATTTCCTCCAAACAAACCATGCAGCAACCATCTCTTCTTAAAAGAGGAGTAGCCAGTAGAGGGATTTTGTAATGTTCATAGTGGGAGACTGCTAAGGTTGAGGCAAGCACATCACACCACAGATAAGGCCATGTACACTAAAGGCTAGCTATGCCCTTCTTGTGGATCCATGTATTTGTGAGTGTGAGTGGGATGTGTGTGTGTCGGGGAGTGGGGGAGAGAGGGAGAGAGACAGAGAGAGACAGAGAGACAGAGAGAGACAGAGAGAGAGAGAAGAGAAAATTAAAATTCATGTAGCAAGTGGTTCTCAGGACTACATTTCTATTATAATTTTCAGCCAAATGATGATGCAAAAAAGGGGAATTTGTACTACTTTTCCTGCTCTGATAATGATAGGATACTTAATTTTTTTACTCCATATTCTTCTAATATAAGCAGTCGTGTCATTAACCCCACATTTATCTTCAATGCTCCCACCCCCATTCCTGAACCTGGGACTCTAGGACCAACGAATTAGGCAAGTAGAATAATATAAAGGGTATAAGTGACTCAATTGTCTGACATCAAATCAGCTTTGCTGCTAGACTTGTTCTGAGCCTATAACCTCTATTAGTATTTCACCATTGTTCCTTTAAAATTAAGTCCCATCCTTGATCCCAGTTCCAGGAACCAACTCCTTACCTTGCCTCTTTGTAAATCCCTTGCTTAAATCTATCATTCCTCCAAGCCTAGGGTAACACACTCACAAAAGTCCTTCTAAGGAAGGGAAATCAGGCTCCAAACCTCAGGCCCCATCATCTCCTGACAGAGCTAGACCTGACATTTACTGACTACCAAAATACCTGAATATCTGCTACTGGCCTTCCCTGAAGCATGCTCAACATGCTTACTAGGTTTTTAATTTACTGCTGGGCTTCCTTGAGGATAATCACAGGTCTAAACTTCCTCCTGCTCCCCACTGCCAAGACTGTCCTGGATCTTTGTAATGCTCTGCCTAGCCCTCTTTCTGGCTTCCAGATTTTGTCCACTCTTAGTTTGGGCTCCCCTATTGCTGGTCATGTTTCATCATGATAGTGTTGGGGATCAGAAAACAACACCCCAAAATGAAGGCCTCAGAAGCAGCCTCATAAGCAAAAGCTTCTCTCTGACCTTCTCCTGCCCTCCTGTCTCTTAGTCCCATTCTCCCCGAAGACTAGTCATAGAAACTAGAACCCCTGTTCTCCAAGGCAGGTCAGAGAAACAATAACCCCCTTTCTCCAAAGCCAGCCATAAAACCTAAATGTGTTATTGTAACTTTCCCTCTTCCTTTCTGTGTAAAAACTGGCTATGAAGAAATTATCTGACCTATCTCGGTTGACCGTAGGTTATAAGACCCTCATTCCAGGGAAGGACCTGCCCAATACCCAGAAGGAAAGAATGCATGCTCAAAGAGGACAAGAAGAATCTGGACAGACAGACCATGCTGGGCTTCCCTGCTCTATTTCTATTAGCATTGTATCATATTCTTTTATTGTCAAGTTATATATATACATGGCTATTTATCCTTCATTGAACTGGAGAGTGTGCTCTGTATCTTTGGGTCTTCATTCTGAAGGCTGCCATATATACATATTAAATACATTTGTATGCATTTTCTCCAATTAATATGCCTCTTGTTAGTGATTTTCAGCAAACTTTCAGAGGGCCAACGAGAAAGCTCTCCCTTGGTCTCTAAATAGACAAGACTAGTGGCTTTGATTCAGTGCTATAGCTAAAACTTCTGCTCATAACCAGTGTAAGCTAAGACTTGACAAACTCTCTGCTTCTCCCCTCCAACCATCTCCGGTTAGAGTGTTCAATAAATATTAAATAACAATAATATAGCATGGGAGAGAAGGTATCTCATTAAATAAATCATGGAAATGTCAATCTACCTGTCTCAAATGGAAAGAATTTCATGAAGAATATCTTTGGCTTTAAAGCTTAGTTTTCTTATATTCATTCATAACAAGCTGAAAAGAATGGAAATGAGCTAGTATTTTATAAGAATGAATTATGGGTATGATTCGATTAAAATTTTTACTTTTTCCTGAGATAGTCAATTATTCACCCAATTGCCGTAGTCTATATACTCAGAAGCCTCATTTTGCATACTTATTATATAAGTCATGTTCAAACATGGTTAACCCCTGATTATCCCTATTAATGTTGAGGAGTAGAAAATCATTTCATCCAAAACAGCATATTATTCAAACCCTATATGTACTGAGCTTTAGAAGTACATTATAAGATGCTTCTACCCTACCCCCGCACGAATATTCATTGAGGAGTGCTATAGGCAAAATATATACCAACTGAGGATGAGAGGAAGCTACTTCAGAGAAATATTAGGTGACAAGGCCAAAGACAAATGAGAATTAAATACAGACCACCCACAAAGTTAAGATTAAGTATAATCTCAACAAAAAGTTAACAAAATTAGTAAATGTCCAAAACATTCATTAAGTGAAAAAAGTAGATTATAATATTTACTATATAATTTTATTTCCCTAAATGCATACGTGTGCATGCACACACACACACACACAAATACACACACACACAAATACACACACACAGCATCTCCATTACTGGGCTGTCCCACTAGTCATACTTGATGCCTCAAGACAGTGATAGTGGCAACATCCATGACTAACAGGAGGCAACATCAGCAATAACAGTAACTTCTACTCAAATAGTAAGTGCTTAGTATAGCCCTATTTTCATGATGATTTTTCTGATTTGCTTTACTCAGCTTTTCCATGGGTGGGTCAGCCATATTCTCCTGATTGTCATCCCTTTTGTTGGTGGCAGGGTCTACTGTAATCATAATACATATAGGTATATCCCCCTCAAGTCTACTATATCAACTAATTTTACTGATTTGACTCATTAACTCATGACACAATCAATTCTTCATTTAATTGACTGACTTTTTTTTTTTTTTTTTTTTTTGGCAATTGACCAAATCAATTGGCAGGTTTGTGTTGACATGGTCTAAGGATTGCTATATCTGGATAACTGAGGTTCAATGCTTTAGTCCAGCTATAACAGCTGAGTGAAGTAGTTTCAGTCCACAAAACTAAAAATACTATCCTTCCCTTTACAAAAGAAGTTTGCCAAGCCCTGCTCTAGAAGAGATCTCAGAGGTTCATTGTCCTTATCTTATAGATTAGGAAACTGAGGTCCAAACAAGTTAAAAATAACTGAAACTCAACATATCTGATAAAGAAATTCATGACCTCTGTTACCCTCCTGGCCGTGACAAAACAATCGCAGTTCTATAGTGTTCTTCATTTCAAGGAATGACACACCATCTACCCAGTTAAATGAGCCTGAAATCTATGAGTTATCCTTGACAGTGCCCTCTTGATCACCTCTGCATCGAGTCTAGGCTCCTCCAATTTCATATCTTCTCTATTGAATCTTTCCACTTCTCTTCACTGCCACTATCCTTGTTCAACCTGCCACCATCACGTTCCTGAATGACTGCCACAGTCTCATAAGTGATCTCCATCCTTCTCTGGACACTTTCTGATTTGCTTTTCATACTGTAGTCAGAGTTATCTTTTCAAAATTCAAATCTTATCCATCATTTCTCTGCTTGAAACTCTACAAAGGCTTCCCACTGATCTTAGGATAAAGGGCAAACTCTTTTAATGTTCGTAAAGGCCCTATACAATCTAGCCCCTGTTGATGCCTGCAGCCTCACTTGTGCCATTTGCCTCTCCACTCCTTCTACTCTAACCATTCTGCCTTGCTTGCAATCCTTTAAACTCATCAAGCTCCCTCACACCACAGGGCCTTTGTACATGCTTCTCTTTTTCCTAGAACACTGTCCCTCCTCCTTTGCTTAGTTTACTAATCATAATTTCCTCAGGGAAGTAGGTTCTGACCTTCCTAACTATGTCAAATCCTCATATTATATGCTTTTATATAGCGCTGTATCTTCCCTTCCATGTACGTACCACAGGTATAATAATACAGTTTATATGTGTAATTATTTTAATACTGTCTGTCTTTACCACTAGACTGTAAGTTCCATCATGGCAGGAATCTTGTCTATTGTATTCTACTGCCTCAATACCCAGCCCAGTGCCTTGTTCTTAGTTCAATAAATATTAATTTAATAAATGAATGCATGAATTTCCAGAAGTTCACACAGTTAGAATCCAAGTTTCCTGAGTCCTAGCATAGAATTTTTCAAGGCACAATGCTGCTCCTATTTAGGCCAACAACACAGGATTGGGACATTTAGCATTTTTCTATTTGTTGGCTACAAACTAAGCCCCTAACTTCTGCCAGATGCTACACGTATGCATCGAATTTTTCACCAAGGGGAGTATATGAATGCATCAGCAATTCAGTCCCACTACTACAATAATAAATCATATGCCTTGAAGAAGGTGAGTACAGATTGTTGTTATTATCATCAAAGTAGTATGTATGTTAATTTTAAAAGGAAATATTTGAGCACTAACCATAGAAGGAAAACATGTAGTGCTGTTATAAGCATATTTAAGTTCCTTTTGAAAAAAAGTTTCCCAATACTTTCAATTTGCTGACCTGGGTTTCTGAATTTTATTTTTCTTTAAAATACCTACAGTTTTCATAGAAACATCACAAATAACCTTTCATAGACTAAGTTGTTACTCATTTGGAAGGAAAAAAAACCAAAGAGAACACTATTCTTTCTTGAAAAAATCCAAGTTGAAATATGTGCACTTTATACTTTTTAAGCTAAGTGAAATAATAAAGAAAATTTATGAAATGCTCTTCTGGAAAATCTACTTATGGAAGGTTTTTATTTTAAACCAATAAGTGGACTTTTAATAGTGAAATCTGAGAATTGTGCATATTCTTTAGAAAATCCAAGTTATAATCCTGAAGTACTATAATCATCTAATAGGTGCCTGATCTTTCAAATTCTTTAATCCTTCTTCACATTAACTTTCTGACCTAGCTTTTTGCAAACACTCCTAAGTCCCTGAAAATATTTTCATGACACAAAACCGTAATTAATTGAGGTTGCCCTATGTTAGCAACTAACTTACAGATGTAGTTGGGTTCTGAGTGGTTCATAGGAAAACGTTTGTCTAATACAGCACTCCTAAAAATAGATATTCCAGTTGAAAGTCCAATTTTATTTTCTGGATTTCAGGATTAGAAACCCAGCAGCTGCTTACCAACAGATTCCATGTTAAATCAGGAGGGGATTTACTGATTCCATTACAGCTAAAAGACATATGACTAAAAAAAAAAAAACCACACACACACACACACACACACACTTTTATCCACCCAGAATAATATAATTGCAGCTTCAAATGAAATTCAACCCTATATTTTATTCATCATAAAATTTCCACATCCTCAGAATCTCCCTCATGGTAGGCAATATATACTCATCAAATAAGCAATTTCGAAGGTACAGCAGGCTAATCAACCTCTTGAGCATAGATCAGTAAGTGTTTTTTATAAGCTTAGCACTGTGTCAGACACTATGGAGGATATACATCAAGAGAATGCAGTCCTTGCCCACTTGGCCATCATAATCTTGTTGAAAAGATCTACCCATGTGAAACATTTATCAACTAGTACCAGCATCTAGCACTTAGCCCCAAAGAAATTAAAGAAAAGAGAGAAAGCGAAGTGGATGCTATAGCACAAGGAAAACTTCCAAAGAAAGGGTGAGATTTCAGTAGACTTTAAAAGACGGTGAAGACATCAGCTTGACTAAAGTACAATGGGGAAGGCCTGGGAGAAGGAAGAATATAACTGATTTATTAGGCTACTACCATGTTCAGGGGACGTACAAGAGATTTTATGAAAGGATAAGGCAAATCAGGGCCAGATTATGGAAGGCCTAGAATGCCCAATTAAGAAATTTGAATTTGAGCCAATAGCAATTACAACTGTATTCCAATATTCCTCCAAAGCACAGCTTTAGTTGAGAGTGCCATGTCTATGGCCCTGAGATACTGTTCATTCCAACTCTTCAAAGTGAATGAGCTGAATTATGGTACAGAATATAGTAAGTATAATTAATTAAAGGAAGAGGGCCTTTTAAATTTATATTGGGGCAACTGGATGCTCAACTACAGAAATGAAATCCAAATGGCAGCAAATAAATTGGATCACAGAAGAGTCCAACCCAGATTAAATAAGGGTCCTCCTAAACCTCACTTTAAAACCAAATGTCAAGTATCGACAAACACAGATGTACATAGTGATTTGGCTGTTTCATTACTTTGCATAATGAGAAATCTCAAAACAGAACATTACTCTGCAGAGACAAAAGATCTCAGTTTAATGTGCTTTAACATTACTGGTGTGCTTTCATCATTAATGCTGCCATTAATTTAGGTCAAGTGAACGATAAGAACTTAGATTGTGTACCCTCTCAAATGCCAAAGTCTCTCATTCCCTGGTACATTTTGGGCTGGTGTGAGGCAGTGGCTCTGGACACCAAAAGGAGACACAGAGGAGACCTGAACACAAATTGGGCTGTAATTTTCCACTTTAGATCTGATTGCTCCCTTATCCCATTTTCAACATGGATAGTAAGGTTGTTCAAGTAGAACAACCTCTGACTATTCTTTACACCACCCTGGAAAGCCTTCATTTCCTAAACCATTGTTTTCACCTATATAGAAGGTCAAGGCAATGATCCTTGCATTTGCTTATTAACAACATCAGTTGTCCATATTCATTTCAGAAAAGATGAGTTTTCCAATTGCTTCATGTGTGATTCCGCATTATGGCCTATCAGTGTGTGGCTTCAAAATGGAGAGTTTCATTTTAGAGAAAAAAAAAAAAAAAAAAGGATTTCCCACAAGGATTTCCCCTAAGTGTCTCTCAGATTGCCACTAGTTTCTTTTTATGTAGCTATGATATTGTTGTTATTTATTAATGAAATTTACATGATACTTGATACCATAAAGAAGTATAGTCCCTGACTTCAAGGAATGTAATAGAATATATGCATTGAAATTGGATTCAAGGAGATTGACGTTAAAATAAAATTGAAAGGGGAGCCACTGAGAGGTTTCAAGAAAAGGAGTAAGCTCAAAAACAGATGAAGATAATTTTAGCGGGAGGGCTATGCATGGTCACCTGAATATAAGAAGACTAGAATTCAAAATATAAAATTCGACAACAGCATTTAAGAAAAGAAGGTGAACAAGTATTTCTAAAAAAAAAAAAACAATGATAATAGTATTAACGATGATAGCAGCTAATGTTTACTGAGTATTTACCACATGGCAAGCTCAGTGTATAACTGATTTTCATGTACTCTCATTTACTCTACACAGCATCCTATGAGATAGGCATTACTAAAATCATTTGACTTATGGGAAAAATGAGGCAGAGTATTTAAGTAACTTTCCTGAGGTTAAATGTCTGGTTGAGGTGTGAGCTTGCATTCTTGTTAAAGCAATAAGACTTGGATGTATACTTCAATATATGCCTCATGTGAACATAGTAATCATAGATTTACTGTTAACAGTATAGACAAATTTATACAATGAATAAGGATCATCTTTAGTCAATTAGGAAACCATGCACTTATTACACTTGCAAACATTTCTGGAATTCTTCTTTAGTAATTGTGTTCTAAATCTGAAACACACTTTTAGCCTATTCACTAGGAGGAATCTTTCTTTGAGGTTGAATTTAAATTTTATAAATACTGAAAAAAATAAGTTGGAATTAACTAGGTCAAATGAAGTGCGATATCAATCCGGATAAATTCATTTGGGAACAAAAACATGATGTGGCATGAAGAAATTAGATGACTTTTTTTCTGAAAACATTCACCCAAAATTCTAGAGCAGGAGAAGCATCTTTCAAATCAATAATAGCTTCCCTAGAAGAAAATGTCTTAACTCTATTAATTCTGGTTCTAGTATGTGTGTTCATATTAAAATGTAAATGTTTTATATTATAATTAACAGGTTATACATTTTATGTAAGACTATTAAAGAATAGTATTCCTACATATGAGATACGCAAGCACAGATACATTATAAATAGTATGGATATTCAAATGTGTAGAAATCAGCATGTACTAGATTACTTGACAAGGGCTTCATGGAAGGAAGTAGGGATGAACCTGGGCTTGAAGAACAAGTTAAATTTCCGTGAGGGATCATCTATGTAGGGTAGAGGAATCTGACGTGATTAACTAATAAAAGCAGACTTGACAAAGAGTCTAATTCAAATGAAATAGGAGCTGTCCTAAAATACATTTTTAAACCAAACATCAGCAAAAGCAGATGTTACTATCTGGAGCACAGTGAGAGACAAGCATAGATAGTATGATGGACTCAGATTACATGGGGAGGGGGTTGCTAAGTGATTACCAGCTGAGGAGTTTGAACATGATCTAAAGTTAGCCTATTATCCTTCTACCGGTGATTTTGTAAGTCTCAAGGATCTGTCAAGGCCCACTAATAAATGTCTTGCTCTACAAAGGCAATTTAAGGAAAGAAAAGAAAAGTAACATGGATACTTCAAATTCTCTTTCCCTTGAGTAAAGGCCCTCCCACTGACCTTGCTTTAAAGACAGGAATTGCTGGCAAGAACTGAAAAGGGCCATCAGCAGTGTGTAGATAAGCTTTTAGAAACACCTTATTGTCTTTCAAACAGATGAGCAGATTTTCTGGTAAGATTCAGTTAATGCACGACATTCTTTTTAACAAGTATGAACTTTCTGGTTATTGGATACTTATTTTTTACATAAAATACAGCCCTACAAAACCCTTGTTATTTCTTTAATTAAAGTAAATACTTGTTTACACTACTCTACTGCAAATTTTTAAAGTGTGAGATAATAATGAATCCCATTTTTGCAGTGCATTGTAAATCATATTAGTAACTTCTGGTGCTCTCTAGGTTTAATAGGTGATAGTTTATTATTCATGTTCAGCATAAACTAAGTTGTTAAAATTACAAATTTACAAGTAAGCTACAAAAAGTATGCTTGTCTTCAGGATTATGGTTTTAATAATTGAAAATACTATCTGACGTAGAGCAAGTAAAATATAGAAACTTGAACGTTCACCTGAAACTCATGGCTGAGAGTAACAGAAGTCCCTGAACACTGGGGCCGTCTTTCTATTTATGTCAGGATAGACAAGCCAGTAAATGAACCAAGGAAAGTTACATTGTTTTATAGGATTTATATTTCCAGAATTCCTTTAGGAGGCTCATGTTTCTAAAATGCAAACATTATAAATATGAAAGGAGACATGTTAATGCATGTTAAGTTAGATTCTGGCATGAGCAGAAGATGCTTGTCTTCATATCAAAACATGTCTTTATTTTTATGCACAGAATGCTAAACTGCATGGAAAATTCTAAACCCTGAGTGAGTCTGGTTTTTTACATACAATAAGAAATGACCACGTACATGTTGAACTTGTTGCAACCAACTGGCTTTTTTTCTGGCCAGCAAGCCTAGTCATTCAAGAGATATCTTCTGAAATAAAATCCTTCCTAAACTCATCTTGAGCTCCTCATTACATGAGGTTGAGACTCATGTTTCTAGCTTTTAAGGCCACCAGAGGCTTCCAATTCCAACCAGAGACTGACTTCTCTGGAATACAATTTACTTTGAATTGAATTGAAAAGAAAGCCTCCTTTGTTTTTTTTTCCCATTTGTTCCAATTCAAATTAGTGCATTGATTAAATTCCAGAGAAGACTTGGCTCATAATAAACCTGCCAAGGGCTTACTCAGTATCCTAAAAGACTATACTCCAGACATCTCATAATTGTATGGGTGACCTTGTTTTTTTTTTAATAACTTTGATTCTTTTCAAATTCTGCTATATAGTTGAAATAATCCATTTACAGATAAGTTTATGAAATAAGAGAGTCCAAGCACCAGAAAAGTGAATAATGTGAATTAGCTAAAATGCCCCTCTATTCTAACTTACAAGGTAATAGAAAGCAGGACATACTATGATTTATTAGCTATTAACTCCTCTGGTCTGGCAGCGCCCTTTCTATATGAGATAGGGCCTCCACTTGGTTGACTGAGTTAGGTGAGATTCACTGAGAGAAATGATAGACTTTAGGACTATTTTCCAGATTTCAGTTTCCTCATCTGTAAAACAAGGTACTTGAAACTAAACAATCTCTAAGTTCTTTTCTCTGCTTTAACCATCTATAATTCTACTCATTTTGAATCTACTCCATTATTTGATTTAATAATGTACACAAATCTAGAAAGTTATCTTCAACAGACATGATAGTCACTAGGGAAACAAAGAGGTCTAAGAATCTAGAGGAGGCTAGAAACTTAGTTATGGAGATAAAATATGTCCATAAAAGGATATGTAACAATGCAGAGTAGGAAAAGGCTATGTGTCAAAATGGGAGGCATGAATGCAGAGCAGAATCCCTCAACCCCTGTTTATTCCTAATAGTCCAATACACATTGGACTATAAACTTTCATTGTATTTAGCCACTGTGATTTGAGGATTCTTTGTTGTATATATACACCTCTCTCTACCTCTAGTACAACAGTAGTACTAACTGCTATAACAAACTATAGATAGATACACACACACACACACACACACACACACACACACACAGCTCTCTCTACCTCCAGTCCATCTGTCTAGAGAGATCACACACACACACACACACACACACACACACACACACACACACACACAAGATCAAGTCAGGTCAAAAGATGAGGCCCTACCTCCTGTCATGAAAGTTTATATGATTCCAGAATGACTCAACTGATCACAAATAGGGAGTATAAATGTTTAAGTTTATTCCTTCTTGGATTATAAGCCCCAGGAAAGCAAGAGTCATGTCTTTTTTATTCACTGCTACATTCTCAGCACCTAGTGCCTGGAATGTAGTTGGTATACAGTATGTTGTTAAAATGTTTGTTTAGTGAATGAATGAGAGTTTCAATTGCATAGTGCTTCACAATTGGGCTCCTATAGCACCCTGGTCTTTCGCTATGATTGTAACTGCTATAGAATGCCTATCTTCTTTCCTAGAGAGCAAGGAGCTCCATAAGTATGTTTTTATTCAAGGTCCAAACTCGGTAAATTTCTTTTAATACTGAAAGAAGTAGATGACACCTTCTGGAGCCAACAGAGGAGACCTTGGGTTGTGTATATAAAGGCCTTCAATCAGACCTGTCCTCTAAGACACTTTCTCTCCCTGTGAGTTATCTAGGGTCGTTTCCTGCTTCAGCCAAAACTCAAAAGTGTCTTGTTACTCCTGAGTTTCCTGAACCTTGCCCTTTTCCATCACAGACTTGCCTTTAACCTGTCCTAGAATGACAGCCCAGTTTCCTGCCCAGAGTCCCCAATATAAAAACAGCTTCAACATTTATTGCTGTACATTTGACACACAAAATCAAGCCTTTGTCAGATGGGTTTCAGCTAAAATGTTTCATATAGATTTAGGAAAAAATCAAGCAAAATAATAAAATGGACTGCTTCCATAAGACTTGTTCCCTCAGCTTTTCCTCCTCACTATATGCTGCTACAGCAACTGCCAGATAAAGACCCAGGAATGGGTCCAGCCTTTACAAACCAAGGGTCTCCTGGTTTTACTCCTCACTACTTTATAAATTGCCTTCTCAACTGTTCCATGGGATTTGTTAAATGGGATTCAGAAATTTTTGCAGTCCTTAATTGCTCTAGAATTGAACAAATTAGAAGTAGGCAGGAAAAGGAACATTATAGATAGCAAAACCTAGTGCAATACTGATTGACTGTAAAAGGTTAAAACATGCCCTCAATTTTCCAGCAGAGCAGTGCCAGTGGATCTCACACTACAGATGTCAGTATTAGAAATGGCCATGGTCTCTACAGAAGCAAAAGCTTCTGCCATCTTTAAGTGGGACTAGAGAAGTAGGAAAAAGTTTGAGGAAATTACCTGTGATGCTATGCCTGATCCTCCTTTCCATAAACATTAGGGAAGAACTTTTGGCAAGTGTTATCTTAAAAAGTGAAATATGATCAACAAAATGGTCCTCTTCATTTAAAAATGTAAGAATAAAGGGCTATATTACTCTGAATTTAGAATACATACATAATGCCAACTATTCAATTAGAGAAAGGTCCCCATATTTCCATTTCCTCATCAATTTCCACCGGTATAGAAATGATTCTTCTCCAATTCAATAAGTTAATAGTAGAGTACAAAGCTTTATGGATTTCTCTGAAGAAGCTTGATTAAGAATTTTATTTTCAAGATATAAGATGTTAGCCACCTCTAACATAAAGCCTCAAGGGGAAAGAGTTTGTGGGCTGCTTTATAACTTTTAGAAGCCTCAACCTCATGGCTATGGGTTTTTTTTTCTTTTTACCAAATTTGAAAGGGGCCGTTCCACCTCAGTGACCAGCTACTAGTTAAATGGCAACTGAACCCAAGCACTGTGCTCCAGTAACTTGTGTGCTTTTAAACATGCTTCAGGCATGGGGATAGAATATCCTTGTCACAAAACCAAGATAATAAGACATCAACAACTGGAATGATGTGTCTAAATACATCTGCACAATGAAAACTTCTCTTTCCATCCAGTAAGCATGCCTTGAGTGGGTCGGGCCATTGTGACATGCATCAGGGTTCTCAGGTCATTAACACAGTACACACACACGTTCTCAGGTCCTAACTCCATCTACTCAACCTGTGTAAACAATCATCTAACGATGGAGAAAGATGTTAAGTTAATCAATAATAGAATTCCTGTTTACTGTTTTCTATTATAGAATTAAGACTTTATGGAATGTATGACACCACAATACTAATGAGTAATGACGGAAATAGAGTTTTCATATTGCACTTCAGTCTTGTGTTGTAGATCAACACAACAGGTGATTCTCAAATCTGAACAAGCATCAAAATCATCTGGCAGCCTTGTTACAACACAGGTTACTGGAACCCACTCCGAGCATTTCTGATTCAGTAAGCATGAGATAGAGCCTGTGGATTTTCATTTTGACAAGTTCCAAGTAATGTTGTTGCTATGGGTCCACAGAACACGCTTTGGGAATTACTATGTCAGGGCACGGTCATAATGAACCCTAGGTTTCAAGTTCAAATCTTATTTTAGCCAGCAGATATTACACAAAGGAAAATTCTGAGGTAACCACCCTAACCAGACATGACAGTTCAACAAATGTCTGCCCTTGGTTACAGGGAGGACAAGATGACAAAATAATCATGCTTCTTTGCAATCCCATACACTGTTCTATAAAATCAACGTCTGTATTAGTAATTGCAACTTTACATACAAACAGCATAATACTTTTTTGAATTTTTAAAACTTTTTACTTTGAATAATTTCAAACATACATAGAAATAGAATAGCAGAATAAACACACATATACCTATCAACTATATTGTTTAATTATTAATATTTTGTTAAATTTGCTTCATTTATATTTTAGCTAATGTATTTTAAAGTAACTCCAAGACATCATCATATTTCTCCTCTAAATAGTTCTGTATATAAAAAGAGCAAAACATTTTCTATGTTTTTTTCTTTTTTAATTACTTTTGCTTTCAAAATACTTTAATTTCTATTATTTTTCAACATCTACTAAGTAATTAGGGCAAGTAATCTTACATGCTTTTACACAAGAACGTTTAATAATCAAATATTGAAACGACTGGCTCAGGATACTAGAGCAAGTTAGTGACAGAACAGAAACCATGACTCATTAATTCACTCACTCACTTACTGACTTAATTACTCAGCAAATATGTGCCTTTTGGTCTCCTGCCTCTTGACCTTATCCTCTTTCCAGAAAACTAAATTTCTATTCAAAATTCAGTCTGAAAGAAATTAGACCAGCATTATCAAAAGTGTGCTCCACATAATACTAATTCTTCAGGATGCTAAAAGATGTATACATACACACACACACACACACACACACACACACACACACACACAAATAATTCTATGGCCAAATCAGTTTGGGAAATCATGGATTAAATAAACAGCTTTCTTTATTGAAGAGCTTTTCAGAGCCTCTAATAAACTATTATGCATTGGAATTCTGCAAGAGACACAACCTTAAGTGTGCAGTATTTCCCCAGTGTATTAAACAATCTTTTGACCTGACTTGGTTGTGTGTGTGTGTGTGTGTGTGTGTGTGTGTGTGTGTATTTTGTTTGTTTAAGGAACATCTCTATGAAACATATTTTGATCAATGTTCCACTAGTAGAGTCTAGGGTTTGTTTGCTCTACATGTTCAAGAAAACTTTCAAGGAAAAATAATGCAATATTCCAATGATAGAAACTAAGGGGGAGGGGCCAAGATGGCTGAATGGAAACAGCTCCAGCAGCTCCCAGTGAGACCAATGCAGAGGCGGGTGATTTCTGCATTTCCAACTGAGGTACCCAGTTTATCTCATTGCGACTTGTTAGACAGTGGGTGCGACCCATGGAGAGCGAGCAGAAGCAGGATGGGACGTCGCTTCACCTGGGAAGTGCACGGAGCCAGGGGGCCTCCTTCCCCCAGCCAAGGGAAGCTATTAAGTGACTGTGCCACCTACCCAGGGTACTACACTTTTCCCACGGATTTTTGCAATCTGCAGATCAAGAGATTCCCTTGTGAGCCTATACCACTAGAGCCCCAGGTTTTGAGCACAAAACTGGGTGGCTTTTCAGGCAGGCACTAGGCTGCAGGAGTTTTCTCATACTCCAGCAGCTCCTGGAACTCCAGTGAGACAGGAGAACCGCCCACTCCCCTGGAAAGGGGGCTGAAACCAGGGAGCCAAGCGGTCTTGCTCAGTGGGTCTGACTCCCACGGAGCTTAGCAAGCTGAGAACCACTGGACTGAGATTCTCACTGCCAGCAGAGCAGTCTGAAGTTGGCCTGGGGCAATCGAGTTTGGTAGGGAGAGGGGTGACCACCATTATTGTAGCTTTAGTAGGTGGTTTTCCCCTGACAGTGCTAAGGAGACTGGGAGGTTTGGACTGGGTGGAATTCACCACAGTGCAGCAAAGCAGCTGTGGCCAGACTGCTTCTCTAGATTCCCCCTCATTAGGCAGGGCATCTCTGCAGGAAATCCAGCAGCTCCAGTGAGGGGCTTACAGACAGAACTCTCACCTACCTGGGACAGAGCACCTGTGGGGAGGGAAGCCTGCAGTCACAGGTTCAGCAGACTTAATCTTTCCTGCCTGACTCTGAAGAGTGCGGCTGATCCTGACAAGGGGGATTCTCCCAGCACAGTGCTAAGGGACAAACAGCCTCCTCAAGTGGGTCCCTGGCCCCATGCCTCCTGATTGAGAGAGACTTCCCAACAGGGGTCAACAGACACTTCATACAGGAGAACTCTGGTTGGCATCAGGCTGGTGCCCCTCTGAAACAAAGCTTCCAAAGGTAAGAGCAGACCACAATCTTTGCTATTCTGTAGCCTCCACTGGTAATAGCCAGACGAACAGGGTCTCGAGTGGACACCCAGCAAATTGTAGCAGACCTGCAGAAGGGGGGCTTGACTGTTAGAAGAAAAACTAACAAACAGGAAGTAAAAACAGCAACAATGTCAACACAAAAGAACCTCCCCCCAACAAAAAAACCCATCCAAAGGTCATCAGCCTCAAAGATCAAAGGTAGATACATCCACAAAGATGAGGAAAAACCAGTGTAAAAATGCTGAAATTTCCAAAAGCCAGAATGCCTCTTCTCCTCCAAATGATTGCAACACCCCTCCAGCAAAGGTGTAGAACTGGACAGAGAATGAGATGGATAAATCGAAAGAAGTAGGCTTCAGAAGGTGGGTAATAACAAACTCCACTGAGCTAAAGGAGAATGTTCTAACCCAATGCAAAGAAGCTAAAAACCTTAATAAAAAGTTACAGAGCTGCTAACTAGAAAAACCAGTTTAGAGAGGAATATAAATGACCTGATGGAGCTGAAAAATGCAGCACAAGAACTTCGTGAAGCACACACAAGTATCAATAGCCGGACTGATCAAGTGGAAGAAAGGATATCAGAGTTTGAAGACTATCTTGCTGAAATAAGGCACGCAGACAACATTAGAGAAAAAAGAATAAAAAGGAACGAGAAAAAAAAAAAACCTCTGAGAAACATGGACTATGTAAAAAGACCGAACCTACAATTGATTGGAGTATCTGAAACAGACTGGGAGAATGGAACCAAGTTGGAAAACACACTTCAGGATATTGTCCAGGAGAACTTCCCCAACCTAGCAAGACAGGCCAACATTCAAATTCAGGAAATACAGAGAACACCACTAAGATACTCCAAGAGAAGATCAACCCCAAGACACGTAATCTTCAGATTTTCCAAGGTTGAAATGAAGGGGAAAAAATGTTAAAGGCAGCCAGAGAGAAAAGCCAGGTCACCTATAAAGGGAAGCCCATCAGAATAACAGCAGACCTCTCAGCAGAAACCCTACAAGCCAGAAGAGAGTGGGGGCCAATATTCAACATTCTTAAAGAATTTTCAATCCAGAATTTGATATCCAGCCAGACTAAGCTTCATAAGTGAAGGAGAAATAAAATACTTTCCAGACAAGCAAATGCTAAGGGATTTCATCACCACCAGGCCTGCCTTGCAAGAGCTCCTGAAGGAAGCACTAAATACAGAAAGGAAAAACCAGTACCAGCCACTGCAAAAACACACCAAAATATAAAGACCAATGATGTTGTGAAGAAACTGCATCAACTAGTGTGCAAAATAACCAGCTAGCATCATGATGACAAGAACAAATTCATATATAACAATATTAACCTTAAATTTAAATGGACTAAATTCCCCAATTAAAAGACACAGACTGGCAAATAGGATAAAGAGTCAAGACCCATTGGTGTGCTGTATTCAGGAGACCAATCTCACATGCAAAGACACATATAGGCTTAAAATAAAGGGATGGAGAAAAATTTACCCAGCAAATGGAAAGCAAAAAAGAGCAGGGGTTGCAATCCTAGTCTCTAATAAAACAAATGTTAAACGAAAAAAAAAATCAAAAAGACAAAAAAGGGCATTATATAATCATAAAGGGATCAATTCAAGAAGAAGAGCTAACTATCCTAAATATATATGCACCCAATACAGGAGTACCCAGATTAATAAAACAAGTTTTTAGAGACCTACAAAGAGACTTAGACTCCTACACAATAACAGTGAAGGACTTTAACACTCCGTTGTCAATATTAGACATATCAACAAGACAGAAAATTAACAAGGATATTCAGGACTTGAACTTAGCTGTGGATCAAGTGGACCTAATAGACATGTTCAGAATTCTTCACCCCAAATCAACAAAATATACATTCTTCTCAGTGCCACATGGCACTTATTGGAAAACCAACCACGTAATTGGAAGTAAAACACTCCTCAGCAAGTGCAAAAGAACTGAAATCATAAGAAACAGTCTCTCAGACCACAGTGCAAACAAATTAGAACTCAGGATCCAGAAACTCACTAATACAACACAACTCACTGGAAATTGAACAACCGGCTCCTGAATGACTCCTGGGTAAATAACAAAATTAAGGCAGAAATCAAGAAGTTCTTTGAAACCAATGAGAACAAAAAGACAATGTACCAGAATCTCTAGGACACAGCTAACGCAGTGTTAAGAGGGAAAGTTATAGCACTAAAGGCCCACATCAGAAAGCTAGAAAGATCTGAAGTCGACACCCTAACATCACAATTAAAAGAGCTAGAGAAGCAAGAGAAAACAGATCCAAAAGCTAGTAGAAGACAAGAAATAACTAAGATCAGTGCAGAACTGAAGGAGACAGAGACACAAAAAACCCTTCAAAAAATCAATAAATCCAGGAGCTGTTTTTTTTTTTTTTCCGGAAAAAAAAAAATAGACCACTAGCTAGACTAATAAATAAGGAAAGAGAGAAGAGTCAGATAGACACAATAAAAAATGATAAAGGGGATTTCACCACTGCCCCCACAGAAATACAAACTACCATTAGAGAATACTAAAAACAACTCTACACAAATAAACTACAAAAGCTAGAATAAATGGATAAATTCCTGGATACACATACCCTCCCAAGACTAAACAAGGAAGAAGTTGAATCCCTGAATAGACCAATATCAAGTTCTGAAATTGAGGCAGTAATTAATAGCCTGTCAATCAAAAAATTCCCAGGAGATGGATTCACGGCCAAGTTCTACCAGAGGTACAAAGAGGAGCTGGTACCATTCCTTCTGAAACTATTCCAAACCATTGAAAAGGAGAGACACCTCCCTAACTCATTGTATGAGGCCAGCATCATCCTGATACCAAAACCAGACAGAGATACAACAAAAAAAGAAAACTTCAGGCCAATATCCCTGATGAACATTGATTTGAAAATCCTCAATAAAATACTGGCAAACTGAATCCAGCAGCACATCAAAAAGCTTATCCAACACTATCAAGTCAGCTTCATCCCTGGGTTGCAAGGCTGGTTCAACATATACAAATCAATCAATGTAATCCATCACATAAACAGAACTAATGACAAAAACCACATGATTATCTCAATAGATGCAGAAAAGGCCTTCAATAAAATTCAACATCCCTTCATGTTAAAAACTCTCAATAAACTGGGTATTGATGGAACATATCTCAAAATAATAAGAGCCATTCATGACAAACCCATAGCCAATTTCATACTGAATGGGCAAAAGCTGGAGGCATTCCCTTTAAAAACTGGCACAAGACAAGGATGCCCTCTTGCACCAGTCCTATTCAACACAGTAATGGAAGTTCTGGCTAGGGCAATCAGGCAAGAGAAAGAAATGAAGGGTATTCAAATAGGAAGCGAGGAAGTCAAATTGTTTGCAAATGACATGATTCTATATTTTAAAAACCCCATCATCTCAGCTTCAAAACTCCATAAGCTGATAAGCAACTTCAGCAAAGTCTCAAAATATAAAACCAATGTGCAAAAATCACAAGCATTCCTATACACCAACAATAGACAAGCAGAGAGCCAAATCATGAGTGAACTCCCATTCACAACTGCTACAAAGAAAATATAATACCTAGGAATACAGCTAACAAGGGACATGAAGGATCTCTTCATGGAGAACTACAAACTACTGCTCAAGGAAATAAGAGAGGACACAAACAAATAGAAAAACATTCCATTCTCAGGGATAGGAAGAATCAATATCTTGAAAATGGCCATACTGCCCAAAGTAATTTTTAGATTCAGTGCTATTCCCATCAAACTACCATTGACATTCTTCACAGAATTAGAAAAAAAAAAAAACAGGCCGGGCGCAGTGGCTCAAGCCTGTAATCACAGCACTTTGGGAGGCCGAGACGGGCGGATCATGAGGTCAGGAGATCGAGACCATCCTGGCTAACACGATGAAACACTGTCTCTACTAAAAATACAAAAAATTAGCTGGGCGCGGTGGCGGGTGCCTGTAGTCCCAGCTACTCAGGAGGCTGAGGCAGGAGAATGGCATGAACCTGGGAGGTGGAGCTTGCAGGGAGCCGAGATCGCGCCACTGCACTCCAGGCTGGGCAACAGAGCAAGACTCCGTCTAAAAAAAAAAAAAAAAACATTTTAAATTACATGTGGAACCGAAAAAGAGGCCATATAGCCAAGACAATCCTAAGCAAAAAGAACAAAGCTGCAGGTATCACACTACCTAACTTCAAATTATACTACAAGGTTACAGTTACCAAAACAGCATGGTACTGGTACCCAAACAGACATATAGGCCAATGGAACAGAACAGATACCTCAGAAATAACACCACACATCTACAACCATCTGATCTTCTACAAACCTGACAAAAACAAGCAATTGGGAAAGGATTCCCCATTCAATAAATGGTGCTAGGAAAACTGGCTAGCCAAATGCAGAAAACTGAAACTGGACCCCTTCCTTACCCCTTATACAAAGATTAACTCGAGATGGATTTAAGAGTTAAATGTAAAACCCAAAACCATAAAAACCCTAGAAGAAAACGTAGGTAATACCAATCAGGACATGGGCATGGGCAAAGACTTCATGACAAAAACACCAAAAGCTAGTGCAACAAAAGCCAAAATTGACAAATGGATCTAATTAAACTAGAGAGCTTCTGCACAGCAAAAGAAACTATCATCAGAGTGAACAGGAAACCTACAGAATGGGAGAAAATTTTTGCAATCTACCTATCTGACAAAGGTCTAATATCCAGAATCTACAACAAATTTGTAAACAAATTTGCCAGAAGAAACAAACAACCCCATCAAAAAGTGGGCAAAGGATATGAGCAGACACTTCTCAAAAGAAGACATTTATGTTGCCAACAACAGACATATGAAAAAAAGCTCATCATCACTGGTCACTAGAGAAATGCAAATTAAAACCACAACCAGATAACATCTCATGCCAGTCAGAATGGCAATTATTAAAAAGTCAAGAAACAACAGATGCTCGTGAGGCTGTGGAGAAATAGGAATGCTTTTACACTGTTGATTGGAATGTAAATTAGTTTAACCACCGTGGAAGACAGCGTGGCGATTCCTCAGGGATCTAGAACCAGGAATATCATTTGACCCAGCAATCCAATTACTGGGTATATACCCAAAAGAATATAAATTATTCTACTACAAAGACACATGCACACGTATGTTTATTGCAGCACTATTTACAATAGCAAAGACATGGAACCAACCCAAATGCCCACCTATGATAGACTGGAAAAAAATGTGGTACATATACACCATGGAATACTATGCAGCCAATAAAAAGAATGAGATCATGTCCTTTGCAGGGACATGGATGAAACTGGAAGCCATCATCCTCAGCAAACTAACACAGGAACAGAAAACGAAACACCACATGTTCTCACTCATAAGTGGGAGTTGAACAATGACAACACATGGACACAGCTAGAGGAACAGCACACACCAGGGCCTGTCGTGGGGTGGGAGCCATGGGGAAGGAGAGCATTAGGAGAAATACCTAATGCATGTGGGGCTTAAAACCTACATGACGGATTGATAGGTACAGCAAACCACCATGGCACATGTATACCTATGTAAAACACTTGCTCATTCTGCACATGTATCCTGGAATTTAAAGTAAAGTAAAATAAGAAAACTTAAAAAAAGAAACAAGAACAGATTCTTACCCACTTTCAAACACTAAAATGAGACTACACGCTTAGAAGCGAATTGACTCCTTAGAACTTTAAAGTACTGAAGTAGACATTCAAGTTAAATATATTTAGCATCGTACTTTAGAATAAAAGCATTATATAATTGTAATAATTTAATCAAACCACCATACCCAGAGACAGTTCTATAGTTTCTAATAACTAAAGTGTTTCATTTAATATATACCTTAATAATTTCTATATCCAGTTGGAAATGACTTAGATATTCATAGGATAGCATAATAATAATATTTGTAAAAAAAACTCACTCCAAATCAAATGCGCACTACATTTAATGTGAATTAGCTTTTGTTATACTTAAAATCAATTTAAATGAAGGCTAATGGAAGGAAACATGAAAACGCTGATATAGCACAATACCAAGAATGTATGTATATAATATTAAAACAATTCAAGGGTATTACTTGAGGTAATTCAGTATCTAGTCGGTTGAGTAACAGGGCATTCTAACTTTCTGTAAATATATACACAAGTATACAAGGTTGTCAACTATCTGATTTACAAGTGAAAATAATCAACCAGATGTTTTTAAAGTGCCTAAAAGTTGGGCATTATGCTTAGGTAACAGCAGTGTTTCACTTTTCCTATGAATGGTTTTGCCATCAGAAAAACAGAGCTCCAAAATGTTCAATAGCTACAGTTCTATCTAGTGTTGGCTGAGGAAGAAGCTTTATGAAGGTCCTTTGTGAAGTTACTTATTTTTTCTGCATTTCATTGTCCTCATCTCCAAAGCAGCTCATAACCCTGTTAGACATTTTATGAGGATAAACAGAGAAGACTATACTGATTGTCAAAAATCAGAATGTCTAGGCAAATTGGGATGGGCAATCATACATGAAGATTAACTACAAAACGATTGCTTTAAGTTAGGATTTTTGACATTTTATCTAAATTTTATTGCTGCAGAAATTTTGTTTCAAGATAGACTATGCATTTTAAAGTGAATCTGATAAATATCTTAGTATTTAATTTTAATAGTAATCAGTACTGAATATTTTAATCTGCAATAACCTTAAAATGTATAATTTATATTATAGTAACCATGGAAGATCCTAATTATTCATTTCTGCCTTTTGTTAACATGAAGTGCTAATATTGGGTGCTGAATTAAATAGTAAAATGGTGTTTTCATACTCTTCTGCCAAAAAATTACCTATGTAATTTGTGTTTTCCTTCATTTAAGAAGACTGGATATGACTGGATATGACAAATGATAGTTCGCATTTGAGTAAAATGTGATAATCTCAGAAATCAGTTTAATATTTATTACAGGTTAATTAAATCAGGGGGTAAAGATTTCTGAGTCACTGTGTTATCCAACTTGAAAAGAGTCAATAAACTACAGTTAATTGGCAGGCAACAGCCTAACCAGATTAAGTGTGTAAACTCTGGACTACTACAACATCTCAGCAAGCTTAATCCACAAGTGGATGATACAATAGAAAACATTTTTGTTAAATATCTCTTGGAATGATGCTAAACCGTTATTTGGATAAAAATTAAACAAATACCTATAAGCAGAATTAACACATCTATCTAAGCTTCTTTTTTAGGGCTATAATTATCTGGATATTCATCTTCTCATAAAACCTTCCTCCTTTAAACCTAATAGTTCATATATCAATAGACTCCTGAGGCACAGAAATATGCAATAATGTAATTATAAAAACTAATTCAATAAAACTAAAAACAAGCTAAGATTTACAATAAAGATTATAATCTAATCCTCAATAGTGTAACGAGGCATCTCTTCACTGTGAGTTTTAGCTTCCTCATCTGCTAGATGGGAATAATATAATTATATCCCCATGTTGAATGGATATATGAAAACAAATGCAAGATATTATAATGTAACAATTGTGGACAACAATAAAAAGCTTTTCAGATTTGTATGTAGCCTGTCATCTTTAAATGCAGTAGTCTTCTGCTTACGCAGAAAAAGTCCAAATGGCTGGTCAACTTAGAGGGGATAGGGAATTGGAAGTTAATAGATTCTTTAAAAGCTAACTATTTCTTTACTTTTAGGTAAACCAGTGGATTCCAAACTGAAATTTTTAATCACTAAAACAGAATAGAAAAACCAATATTTTAAATAAACATTAACATAATTATGTTATTATTATTTAACCTTTGTTACATAAAAAGTCACTCTTTGAGTAACACTGATTTAGAAAAAAAATATATTTAAGTAATTGAAAAATTAGTAGCTTGATTGAGTACTTGACTTCTCATTGATTTGTTTTGGTATCTCATAGACCACTGATTCTCAGTTGGGGGCCTTATTCTCAAGAGATGGATTTCAAAATCTTTAGAGTAGTGTTATATGAAGTGTAGCTTGAAAAAGCATGCTTACTATCATAATATAATTTTATATTTGTAAAATGGAAAAGATATATTTTCATAAAGAAGCTACAGAAAATAACACTCTCAATGGAGTTCAGGGACATAAGCTTTTATGTATATCAAAAAGAGATATGTGTTTGAATATGATGACAAATAAGGTGGAAGGCTTGGTCCCAGCTCCCATAAGACTCTGGGGAAGGGATTCTGTTTATGCCTGCATCACTAATCTGTTAACAGGTCATGTAA
The DNA here is from genome assembly GCF_000001405.40 of Homo sapiens. Lineage (NCBI taxonomy): Eukaryota > Metazoa > Chordata > Mammalia > Primates > Hominidae > Homo > Homo sapiens. The sequence goes on from NC_000023.11 coordinate 125,015,029, forward strand.
ATTGCCAGCATTAGCAACTGGCCCACAATAATGCTCTGAAGATTCACTACACACAGTAAAGTGGTTGGTGAGCAAAGCAATCACAACTACTAAAATCAAGCAATGAAGAGCAGGCTGTCAGCAGATTGGGACATCCTTGGGTGTTTAGGCATGACAAATAACCTAGGGTTGCCAGATTTAGCAAATAAGTCCCATTTGTGACCTATTTATACTAAAAAAAATTTAACTGTTTATCTAGGGTTGAAATGTAACTGGGCATCCTATATTTTATCTGGCAACTCTTGTGAAACCCCTCTCCCAGCGTATCAATAGGATGACACTTCTTGAAGGATCATGCAGTATGTCACAGAAGCAGATATATATACAAGAGTGAGTAACTCAACTTGATAATTTAGTAAGAAAATGTTCTTGCACCTATGTTTCCCACTACCTCTTTAATGAGAAAAGGTTATGTTGTACATTAGTATTGGTTGTCACTGCTGAGATTCAACCTATGGTAGTGACAGCAAATAAGAACTGATCTGCTTTTGGAAGAATCGTTATTAACCTTAAAAGGATAATGTACATGCATTAGTTTAGTGCCTATGCTTTCTGTGTTGTGAGAGTGAAACCTGATATTGGAACATAGCCTAAAAAAAATTCACCTACTCAACCCAAGTCATTGGAAATGAGGATTGAGGAAACAACATAAATAAATTAGAAGAAACATAGTATTATAGAGGAAAGGGCATTGCGTAGAATGAGATTCAAGAGACCAGAATTCTCTTATTTCTCTTCTGCCATTAGTTCGTGCAACCACATAGAATTATTTAACTCCTTTGGGCCTCGGTTTCAAAAATAGTAAAATTAAAAAGTTATACTGGTTACTTACTCATCATTTGTTTACTAAGCATCTGTTATACACTAGACCTAGAGCTAAGGAGTAGAAATACTCCTCTCAAGGAGCTCATAGTCCACTGTCTTTTTAGTTTGAATGTTCTAAAATTTGTGTTTTTCTGCATTTGAGCTTTACAAATAGCTCCTCCAAAAATTTTTTTTTATCTACCTTGTGATGTATATAAAAATCTCTTGAAAATTCCATTTGTTGCTAGTGCCTAAAAGAAACAAGGGCAGATGTGTGTGAAGAACATCAACATCACCATGGTTTTAAAGCTATTCAACTTAGTATTGGAAGTTCTGGCCAGGGCAACCAGGCAAGAGAAAGAAATAAAGGGTATTCAAATAGGAAGAGAGGAAGTCAAATTGTCTCTGTTTGCAGATGACATGATGGTATATTTAGAAAACCCCATCGTCTCAGCCCAAAATCTCCTTAAGTTGATAAGCAACTTCATCAAAGTCTCAGGATACAAAATCAATGTGCAAAAATCACAAGCATTCCTGTATGCCAATAATAGACAAACAGAGAGCTAAATCATGAGTGAACTCCCATTTGCAATTGCTACAAAGAGAATAAAATACCTAGGAATACAACTTACAAGGGACGTGAAGGACCTCTTCAAGGAGAACTACAAACCACTGCTCAAGGAAATAAGATAGGACACAATCAAATGAAAAAACATTCCATGTTCATGGATAGGAAGAATTAATGTCTTCAAAATGGCCATACTGCCCAAAGTAATTTACAGATTCAATACTATCCCCATCAAGCTACCACTGATTTTCTTCACATAATTAGAAAAAACTACTTTAAATTTCACATGGAACCAAAAAAGAGCCTGTATAGCCAAGACAATCCTAAGCAAAAGGAATAAAGCTGGAGGCATCACATTACCCGACCTCAAATTATACTACAAGGCTACAGTAACCAAAACAGCATGGTACTGGTACCAAAACAAATATATAGACCAATGGAACAGAACAGAGGCCTCAGAAATAACGCCACACATCTACAACAATCTGATCTTTGACAGACCTGACAAAAACAAGCAATGGGGAAAGGATTCCCTATTTAATAAATGGTGTTGGGAAAACTGGCTAGCCATAGGCAGAAAACTGAAACTGGGCCCCTTCCTTACACCTCATACAAAACTTAACTCAAGATGGATTAAAGACTTAAATGTAAGACCTAAAACCATAAAAACCCTAGAAGAAAACATAGGCAATACCATTCAGGACATAGGCATGGGCAAAGACTTCATGGCTAAGACACCAAAAGGAATGACAACAAAAGTCAAAACTGACAAATGGGATCTAATTAAACTAAAGAGCTTCCGTACAGCAAAATAAACTATCATCAGAGTGAACAGGCAACCTACAGAATGGGAGAAAATTTTTGTAATCTTTCCATCTGACAAAGGGCTAATATGCAAAATCTACAAGGAAGATAAAGAAATTTACAAGATAACAGATGCTGGAGAGGATATGGAGAAATAGGAACGCTTTTACACTGTTGGTGGGAGTATAAATTAGTTCAACCATTGTGGAAGGCAGTATGGAGATTCCTCAAGGATCTAGAACCAGAAACATCATTTGACCCAGCAATCCCATTACGGGGTATATACCCAAAGGATTATAATTCATTGTACTATAATGACACATGCACATGTATGTTTATTGCAGCACTGTTCACAATAGCAAAGACTTGGAACCAACCCAAATGCCCATCAATGATAGACTGGATAAAGAAAATGTGGCACATCTACACCATGGAATACTAGGCAGCCATAAAAAGGATGAATTCTTGTCTTTGCAGGGACATGGATGAAGCTGAAACCATCATTCTCAGCAAACTAACACAGGAACAGAAAACCAAATACTGCATGTTCTTACTCATAAGTGGAAAATGAACAATGAGAACACATGGACACAGGGAGGGGAACATCACACACCGGAGCCTATCAGGGGTTGGGGGCTAGGGAAGGGATAGCATTAGGAGAAATACCTAATGTAGAGGATGGGTTGATGGGTGCAGCAAACCACTGTGGCACGTGTATACCTATGTAACAAACCTGCACTTTCTGCAGATGTATCACAGAAGTTAAAGTTTAATAAAAAAATTAAATTTAAAAAAGCAAGGATCAAATTCAGTATTAGTTAACTTTAAAATAGTCAAGAGAAAACTCAAAGTTTTGCTTTAAACCATAAGAACTCAGATAATTTAAAGTTAATGATATCTGTTTTCTATGCTTAACTTAAAACCAGAATGATTCAAGGCAGTGAATTGTGCTGAAGATATTCAGATTATGACCAGTGCTAGGACAATGAATTTGATCATTCCAACATATGTTTGATGATCCAACAAATAGGTTCATGGAGCTCAGATGTTAAACTTTACCATAATGATTTGGCTTGAGAGCATTTGTTTAGTTTTTGGTTACATTGCCACACTGAGACCAAGAGCCATCAACTCCATTTTTATGTTTTTTATACTATGTTGAATTAAAAAATTTATGACATTAAAATGTTTATTTTGGAAGCATTTTTGAGGTCCTACTTGGAGAGGAAATCTCTAAAACTCACTATATTAGTTATGCAAACTTCCCCAAAATATTTGTAGAATTTGAGTAACTTAAAAATTAATTAAAAGCTAAAAATTAATTAAAAGCAAGCATAATATTTTTAAATTTCCTAACTCCTTCCTCAAAGTTAATATTAAGTCATCTAAAATTAAATTATGGACCTTAGAGATTATGAAACTGCAGTCTTTGAAGTTTGTACCTTATTTTTCATCTAGGGGTACCGTAAGTGTAATCTTAAAGTATAGATAACTTTTCAAATATTGCTTTATAAAGAATTACTTGAGTTATAGGTCACATGTAAGGAAGTTTAAAGGCCTTATTGACAAGCATATCCCTACAGACTAATATGAGCGGACAGATCTTAGCTTATCAGTTCAGGTTGGATGAAAACATATAATTAACAGATTGAACAAGTAATATAGATGTTTCTCATCAATCTTTGACAAATGAAAGGTAAGCAGAGCTGTGTGCTTCTCATAAATTGCTGAGTTTGTTATGCTGAGGTTTGTGTTATACTGAAAATGTTTTACATCTGTGAATGGAAAATGAAAATCCTGTCAACCTTAGCCAAATGTGTTTTGCACATAAGATGATCTGCACTACTTTACTATGGACATAAAGTCAATGAATATCCCACAAGTCCAGGCTAGCACAGGTGAGCATTTTAACATCAGTGCTGGAAAAGCTTATAACCAAAACAGAACAAAAAGCAAACCAAACAAACCCCCATCTAATTGCAATTTTACATTATGACTAATTTTCTTTTCAAAGGACAGCTCTTCTAAAAACAAGTCAGCAGCAATGTTATTTACAAATCTGAATTGCTTTAAAAAGAGGAAGCAAAAATTAAATATAAATTTAATTAAATATTTAAAATTTAATGTACAAAATTAAATATTTAAGCACCAAATATGAATATCATGTGTGAAACTATATGAAATCAATCACATCCTCTATTTTGATCATAACCCATCATGAAAGTTGAGACTAAAAATTCTATTCTGAATACTTTTCCTAAAGTAGCAGATATTAAAGAGTCTTACTTTATTGTAGACACAAATATGTTGTCTGTTGTGGATATTAATTATTATTCAGAACCTTATCTTATAATTACAGTATGGTTTAAGATAGAATAGTGTAATAAAATGAGCCATTTGGATATTTAGAAAAAAAGTCTGGCTTCAAGGCCCTATCTCTACAATTACTAAACTGTTCTCTGGGCGGCCTTGAGCAAATTACTCGATCTCCCTGAACCCCAAGTCTTCTTTTCTACAAAGTAGGGATATTAATATACCCACACTCCATGAGATTAAAATGGAATATGTGTGAAAATATCTCTTAACTTCAATGGATAATTATAATATTAATTACAATATAACAAAAATAATGATAGTAATAAGTCCATGGCATAATTGTCCCTCAAAGATGTTTCTGAGTATTGGTCAGAAAATATAGGTTGAGTTTTGATGTTGAGCATAATGAAATAGTCTCTAGGATGGACTCTGCCTCCACGTTAGAGTTAATGTTATGTATTTGAATGTGTCTTCTCTAAGATCTCCCCAACATTCATCTTTCTCATCATTCAGGTCTCAGCTCAAAAGCCACCTCCTCAGGAAGGCCTTCTCCATCCACACTAGCAGGAGTAGTGCTCCTCATCTCAGTCTCCCTCTAATTACTCTGTTTATCACATAGAATTTTTTCCTACCTGAAATTATTTTTTAAATCACAATTATCATCTATTTTTCTCCACAAGAATGTGAGCTCCAAGAAGACAGGGAACCTATTTTTCTTGTTAACTTGTTCACCTCTGTATTCCCAGTGGCTTCAAAAGTACTTGGCATGTATTCAATAGTAGGATTTTATAAATATTTACTAAATAAACAAGTGAATGGATCCGCTAACTCCATGAACCTATATAATTATAGGATACTTTTTAAAATCAAGAAACCAGGGTTCAGGCCTGATGTTAATGGGCTCAAACTTTCCCAAAGTTTTTTTCCTGGATGTTTTTTTTTTCTAAATGGAAGGCCCAGGTTTATTTTTATTATTATTATTATTTTTGCCTAGCCAAATGCTTCAAAATTCGAGTTAATTTTCCAGGTGAGTAATTAGGATAAAACTTAATTCTTCAGAGGAATTCTGAAGAATTGATTATTTCTCTAAAGGCCATTGGGCTGCATTTAAATCACCATTTCACTTTGGACTCTGAATGATCCAATTTACAAATCCCAATGAATCAAATTAACTATATAACTGCCAAAATGTAATCCCATTCAGGCAGTGAAATATCTGGTTTTATTGTCTACATTAGTTAAATGAACTCCATTAATTAAACTTCACTTCCATTTGTGCTGTTTCAACACAGCCTATGTTGTAAGCTTTTAGCCCTAAAATGGATATAGTCTTAAAATTGTGTGATTTTACTTACATTATTCAAAATTTGGTATTTCACTCGTTTCCCTCTTCTAACATTGATTTAACACTCTACATACACACTTACCCCATAGGTATATAAGCATCTCACTAAAGCTTTATAATTGTAAATAAATTGCCAACATTTTCTATATGACTAGTTGTTAATACTGGTTGATGCTATGAAAATTTTAAAGAAATTAGGTTTTTTTTGCCTTAAAAGAGAAACTGTTTTATGGTCTTGTCAAATTATGTGAACTTTTTGCGAGGCTGTCTATTAGAAATCCATCCCAGGGATTACACACATGAATTAAAGACAATTTTTTTTTTTTTTTTGCCTATGCTTCTTAACAGGTCATTGGTGCAATTCCTGTGTCATTTCTACCCTTTTTTCAGTAAAGATTTTACATTTTCATTTCAATTTCCATTCTTTAAACATCTGGCTGCAGCTATACCTGCAGTTTTCTATGAATGTGGACAATTATGGTAGGAGTTACCATCCTATTCTTGCGCATTAGCACCTGTTACCATTATAAGGCCCACAAGCAAATAGCTCAGAAATAATAGCAACATATTTAGAAATGAAATAGTTGTAACACTTTTGTACTTATATAGCACTGTTTTTCCCCTAGTAGGTTTCTTTATGAAAACCATGTCATGAATCTTTTAAGTCAGGATCTGGCAAACATTTTTTTTTTCTGTGAAGAGCCACAGAGTAAATGTTTTAGGCTTTCTGGTTCATATGGCCTCTGTTGTAACTATACAGCTCTGTCTTTGTGTTTCAAAAGCAGTGTGTAAATGAACGAATGAATGTGGTTGTGTTGCAATAAAGCTTTTTTATGGGCAGTAAAATTGGAATTTCACATAATTTTCACATATCACAAAATACTGTCCTTCTTTGATTTTTTGTTTTAACAATTTAAAAAGGTAAAAACAATTGTTAGCTCACAAACCATACAGAAATAGGCAGCAGGCTGCATTTAGCTGAGGGATGCAGCTTACTGACCCCTGCCCTAAGTTGTCCCATAATACTTTTAAGTGTCAGAAATTATTATCCCTTTTTCCCTCTGGTGATGACAAATATGGTACTAAAAAGTTGAAGAAGTTTTATCAAGTTTTAGAAGAATTTATGACAATCCATTCATTCAGCAAATATTTGTTGAGTACCTATTTGGCTAGAAATGAATGTTGCTAACTCCTTGTGTTCAATATCAAGCGTACCCCTGAATATTGAAACATTAATATGTGCCTCATTTATACTAGTCAAATAATAAGTTTATCCACAAGGAGAATGACATAGCTTTAGAGCTTAGTGACTTTACACTCATTAGCTGAAAGATCCACATAGGTTTTTCAAGGAAACTAAAGTTTTAAGAGAAATATAACCTGAACTTTACAAATTTAAGTCCTGTATATTTACCTCAGCTAGTGTCCCAACACAAATGGGGAAAAAGAAATAAGCAGAAGTGTGAAGAAGCAGAAAATATAAGCACCAGGGTTCGATAAAATTTGTTTGAAAACAATATAAAAACTTTCAGGCCAAAATATATGGAATATATGATCTAGCTTAAGGTTAACTCCTCAGAGGTTCAGATGGCATTATCATGTGGGGGCTAAGTAGCAAAATCATTACTGTAAGTAGAGTTTGATCCTTGGTTTTAGAAACTTTAATAGTCTGGTGTTCTAAAAGCTCCAGCCTCAAATATGATATATAATGAACTACTTTAAGAGCATTCTTATGACTACAAGATTTCTTTGAAAAATTTGTGTTTAGCAGCCCAAGCAAGCATCATCGAGCCTAATTAATTTAGAACAAGGCAGTTCTTACTAAAAAAGACAATATTTCCCCCTGAGGTATGAGCTGTTGCACAATTGATTTTATATTTGATAAACTTAGGGCTACATTAGTTGTGTATATATTTTCTGTGCACCCCCTCAAAATACAACTTTAGTTCATAACCCTTTTTCATTTCTCTTTTCTTATGTTCAGTAATCATCTGTTTAAATATAAATTTATTACAAATCACATATTCTGCATAATGGGTTACGGAAGTACAGGATTAAAGAAACAAGGTGATCCACTAAGCTTTGGCCACATCAGTTCTGAAAACCACAAGTATAAGGCTGTGGAGTACACCATTTGGCTAAGTTTTCAGCATAGACCCCTGCTGACTTCAAATTTAGATGACAAGCTGAAATGGTTAGGCTTTGTGTTCTCACCCAAATCTCATCTTAATTTAAATCCCCAGGTGTTGTGGAGATACCTGGTGGGAAGTGATTGGATTATGGGGGCGGTTTCTCCCATGCTATTTTTGTGATAGTGAGTGAATTCTCATGAGATCTGATGATTTTATAAATGGTAGTTTTTCCTGCACTGACACACTCACTCTCGCCTGCTGCCATGTGAGACGTGCCTTTGCTTCTCCTCCACCTTCCACGATGATTATAAGTTTCGTGAGGCCTCCCCAGTCATGCAGAACTGTAAGTCAATTACAACTTTTTCCTTTATAAATTACACAGTCTCAAGTCTTTATAGCAGTGTGAGAATGGACTAATACACTAGCCAAGATCTTATGGCTCTGCGTCAACCAGGTAGATAAGATTCTGGAGAGAACAAGGACAATGCTACAGAAGAGTAACATTGGATGATGACAGATGATGACATGCAGAGAATTTTACTGAGCTCCTTATGCACTCATGAATAAGGACAGAAGAATCTTAAAAAAAAAAAACTTCTGTGGACAGGACCATGGTGGAAAGAATACTCAGGAATGGTTCAGTATAAAGCATGTAACCACTACTCTCAGTCATGGTCACTAGTAGAGGAGACACAAGTCTTCAATGCCTCCCTGAGGCTAAGACCTAGACTCTTACTATCCATTAAAATATTCTTAACATCCTACAGGACAGGGGAAAATATTTGCGAACAATGCATCCAACAAATGGCTAATATCCAGTATCTACAAGGAACACAAACAACTCAACAAGAAAAAAAATAACCCCAATAAAAAGTGGGCAAAGGATATGAACAGATATTTTTCAAAAGAAGATGTATATGTGGCCAACAAACAGACAAAAAAATGCTCAACATCATTAATCATCAGAAATGTAAATTTAAACCACAATAAAATATCACTTTACACCAGCCAGAATGGCCATTATTAAAAAGTTAAAAAACAATAGATGTTGGCATAGATGTGAAGAAAAGGCAATGCTTATACACTGTGGGTGGGAATATAAATTAGTACTGCCACTATGGAAAACAGTATGGAGATTTCTCATGTAACTACCATTCAATCAAGCAACCCACCACTGCACATCTACCCAAAGGAAAAAATATCATTATATCAAAAAGACACCTGTACTCATATGTTTATCACAGCACTATTCACAATAGCAAAGTCATGGAATCAACCTAAGTGTCCATCAATGGATGACTGGATATATATATATACACACATACATATGCACACACACACACACACACCACACACACACACACACACCCCTACTGAAACACTACTCAGCCATAAAAAAAGTGAATTTGCAGCAACATGGACGGAACTGGATGCCATTATCTTAAGTGAAATTATTCAGAAACAGAAAGTCAAAAACCACACATTCTCACTTATAAGTGGGAACTAAACAATGAATACACATGGACATACACTGTGGAATAATAAAGGCTGGAGACTCCAAAATGTGGGATAGTGGGAAGGGGATAAGGCATCAAATACTACCTATTGGGTACAGTGTACACTATTCAGGTGATGTGTACACTAAAATCCCAGACTTTACCATTAAACAATATTATCCATGTAACAGAACTGTATTTAGACCTCCCAAATCTTTAAAAATAAAATAAAATAAGATATGCTTAGAATAATGCAGTTAGTTAGCTTTATTATTCTCATCTAATTACTATCAATATGCTTTACTGAATGTAAAGCGGATCTTTATATTTTTATCTGTTTTTTCAGTGAAGTGATTAGCTCTCACTAAATCTCTGGATAAGTGCTTAGAATGCAGAGAGGCCGCCAATTTCCAATCAATTCTGTTGGCCTTATGGTTCACTGTTACTTGAACAAGCTAGTTATCAACAGGCAGTGTGACCTTCAGTTTTATACTGGAAAATTGAAATTTTAAAAAGTAATATTGAAAATATCGAATACAAGGCAAAAGTAGTATTCATTTTCTTTGGGAATAATCACCTCTGAAGGGTCCAAAAACAGAGGGCAATGTTCCTGTAAGTATTATACTGTGTGACCATAAAACAAAGAGGAATTTTCAATATTGCATAAAGAGGGTGTGTAGTCAAAATAAAGGATTAATTGAGACCATGTATGTATACATACTATTGTGTTTTTCTGGGGTGGGGGTGCGGTTTGGCTGGGAAGTGAGGGTGCTACTCCAGTTCTTCCTCTTCACAGAGAAGTACATGTTTTAAAACTATGAGACACAGAAATTCAAATTAACTCATTCTTCTACTCTAAATACAAAGAAATGAAAGATAGTGTATAAAAGGAGAAGAGCAAAAAATATAGCTCGGTTCAAAGACAAGATTTAACATCTTTTTAGAATAGAAACAGAAAAGAGTCTGAAGCAGCTGAAGCAGTGAAGCAAATGGCATGCTGGGTTCTGAGTTCAGAAGCATGCGGTGTTACCCACGTCAGCTCCAGAGGTGTGTCCATGATAAAAGTGCTGGGAAGCAGGCAAGGTGAATAATACAAAGTCCTGATGTTGGGCCTTCTGAAAAAAGGTTACAGATTTGTAAGAAATTAGTGACCGGGGAAGAAAAGAGAACCAGGCATAAGCTCTTGGTAAGAGACCTAAAACACAATTATGAGCACTAAGAAATCAACACTAAAATGATAGTCCCAAACCCCTTGTATAATAACTTTTAAAGCACCGCTAAATACCTGATAAGTTAACAATTAAATTGCAATGGGAATTTAAAAAAAATTAGAATGTAAAGGTTGCAAAAGTACTACATACCAACATTTGTGGGATATGCCTAAAGGTATACAATGAGGGAAATGTATAACACTAAATGCCTTTATTCATTAAAGATGGAAAGATAAGTGAGTTAAATATTTATCTCAAAAAGTTGGAAAAAATAACATCAGACTAAATGTGAATAAAAGAAAAGGAAAAAGTAAAAAATAAGTACAGAAACTAGTGCAATAGAAAAAAGAAAGCACAACCAGCAAAAATAAAACAAAAATCTGGTTTATTTAAAATGCTTGTAAAATAAACAATCCTCCAGTAAAACCAATAAATAAAGAAGGAGAAAAGGCAAAGGAAAAAAAAAACCCTAATACTCAAGAGAAAATAAAGATACAACAAAAATGATAAAATCATAAAATAAGACCATAAACAATAGCATGCAAATGCATTTGAAAAACTAGATAAAAGGAATAATTTTCTAGAGAAATATAAATCACTAACATACTCCAAGGAAAAAATTAAAGAATGAAAAATAAACAATTGCCATTAAACAAATGAAATGTATAATCAAAAGTCTCCCACTCACCAGCTCAGACAATTTTAAATGCAACATTTATCAGATTTTTGAGAAATAAACCCCTGTCTATATAAACTATTTCAGAGGCTAAAAAAGAAGGAAAGCTATCCGCTCATTCACTGAGGCTTGTGTAACTACGATACAAAAATCTGACAAGGGCAATTTGGAAAAGGATAATTACAGACTAATTTTATGCAAAAATCCTTAAAAGAAATTACTGAACCATATCCAGCAATGTGTAAAAAATATAATACATCCAGGCCAAGTTGAGTTTATCCAAAAAATGAAAGGCTGCTTCAAAATTAAATAAATTAATTAATGTAATTAACTTAATTAACAAAATAACAAAAGCGAAAACATATGTCATTTGAATGGATGAAGAAATAGCATTTAACAAAAATCAACTTCAGTGAAGTTCATTTAAATGTGATGAAGTAAATTCATCACACTTAAAAACCTTTTTTAGAAAACATAGCAAATTGGAAATATAGCAGTAGTCCCTCAACTTCTTAAAGGGTATCTATTAAAAACCTGCAGTAAACATAATAATCAATGGTGTAATTTTGGAAGTCTTCCCATTAAAATCAAGACAAAAACACCCACTTTCATCATTTCTATTTAAGATTTTAATGAAGGTCCAAGACAATGCAATAAAACAAGGAAAACAAATCAGATATAAAATGGAAAGCATTAGACAAAACTGTCACTATTTGCAAAGGATATAACTGTCTACACAGAAAAATCCAAGTGAGTACAAATTATTTGAACTAACAAAATGTTTAGCAAGGTTTCTGGAAAGAAAATCAATGTACTAAAACCAATAACAAACTTCTATATGAGTAATAACAAATTAGAGAATTCAATAAGAAAAAAAAAGCAAGGTTCCATTTACAGTATTAACGAAGGCTGAAACAGAACCTAATAAATCTAGTAAAAGCTGCAAGAAACCTTTATGGAGTGAGCAAAAGTTATTGAAGGACATTAAAGATTTGAACGAAAGGAGAGATAAAGTATGTTCATGAATTAGAAGACTGAACTTCATGAAAATATGAATTGTATTCAAATTAATCTGTAAATTTGATGCAATGCCAAAGGCATAAGAAACAAACTGAAAGCCCAAGTCAAAAGTTTGGAGAAGATAATTATGAGGATCATAACCATAACTGACAAAGATTTCTTTTTCTTTTTCTTTTTTTTTTTTTTTTTTTTTGAGACGGAGTCTCGCTCTGGCGCCAGGCTGGAGTGCAGTGGTGCGATCTCGGCTCACTGCAACCTCCGCTTCCCGGGTTCAAGTGATTCTCCTGCCTCAGCTTCCTGAGTAGCTGGAACTACAGGTGGCAAAGATTATTTTTAAGAAGACTCTTATGACTAAAAAGTAGCAAAATAAATACATTATATGGACAGGGAATTCTCAGACAAGAAAATCTGAATTGACGATAGACATGTGAAAAAGTACTTTACCTCACAAGCAATCAGTGGAATATAAATTAAATCAGTGTGGACCTATAGCATTGTGCAGACTGGCAAAAATTTAACCACACTAAATGTCGATACGGATATAGAGAATTAGGAATTTCACATACTGCTAGTAGAAGTCTAATTTTGTGTGCCTTGAAAAACAATTTGGTAATACCTAGTAAAGTTGAGGATATTCATGCTCTTCGACCCAGAAATTCCACTTCTAGATGTATACTTTAAAAAACTCTCTCTCACACACAAATACTCATAAGAATATTTACTGCTGCACTGTTTGTAAAATTAAATTCTGGGAAAAGTCTAAATATCCACCAATAATGGAAGATTTGTATTTTCATCCAATAGATTCATTTTATATATTAACAGAATGAAATAGAGCCTCCCATTAGCATAGTTAAATCACAGAAATAAAGTTAAGAGACAAAAGAACATTGAAGAAGAATATGTGTTTAATGAAAACCTATATGGATGCTGTAAAAACAGTAAAACATACATAGAAATGAAAATTATCCTTCGCAAACTAATGCAGGAACAGAAAACCAAAAACTACATGTTCTTTCTTATAAGTGGGAGTTAAATGATGAGAACACATGGACATATAGAGGGGAACAACATACACTGGGGCCTATCAGAGAGTGGAGGGTGGAAGAAGGAAGAGGATCAAGAAAAATAATGGGTACTGGGCTTAATATTTGGGTGATGAAATAATTTGTACAACAAACCCCAATGACACAACTTTACCTATGTAACAAACCTGCACATGCACCTTTGAACTTACAATAAAAGTTAAAAAAAATATTCATATATCAGAAATGTTCACAATGAAAACAGGAATAATAGTTAACTTATTAAAAGTCTGCAACCAATAAAAAACAAAGAAAAATATCAAATTCAGGATATTGCTTACATCTAGGGTGAAAGAGGGAAGAATGGCATGGGGGGGACATAAGAAGTTTCAGCTTTGTCTGTAACGTTTTATTCTTGAAAATAGATTTAAAGAAAAGGTAACATGCTAGATTTGACATAACTTAGTGAAAGAATGATAGGTATGCGAGAATTTGCTATGTGAAATCCTGTGCATTTGACATATTTCATCATTAATAAAAATAATATTTAGAGGAACACAGAAAATATTTCATTCAATGTTACTGAAATTTTTCTTCAGTTTAGGAACTAGCATAGCATTAAAAATGCACATTGAGTAGTGATGGCAGTTGGCTTGGGTTGGCCTTGAGGATGGCTGACACTGACCTTACAGGAAGTTCTTTCACTCTTCTTCTGGAGAGCTCTCTGGCTCAAGTCCATTGAAGTCTTACTTATATCCTGATCTATGTCCTATTTGATTTTCCTTAAATTTATTTAAAAACCACTTGTTTAGAATAGTTCTAATTTATCCTCAGGCTACATCTCAACAAGAGCTGCCAAATTTCCCTATCTTGGAACCAGGTCTGTATTACATCAACTCTTTCCAATCTCCAGAGGAAGATATCCCATCTCTTCGCATCTCTTGTAGCACTTTAAAAGCAAAACATCCTAGCAGGGTTGTAGGCATACTTTTGGCCATTTTACAGGCGGGAAACCGAGACTCAAAGTGGTGCAGCAATGTGCCTGAGGTCACACAACACAGCTCATATTTGTCAAATTTGGGTTTCCAATTTAGGTTGGTCAGATTACAAAATCCATATTATTTCTCCTGTGCGAAGTATTACTTAGTAAACCTCAAAACTATATTATACACTGCCCTGCTATTTTTATTTCCTGGAATGCACACAGCCAGTACAGTACAGAGAACCAGTAGTCTCCCCATAGGAAACACAGGCCAAAGTTCACCACAGGCATCATTTAGAAGGCCAAGAGGAGACTGGCGGTTGTGTATATAGCTGTAGCCTGCCTATGGCCTATGCAAAAAGCCTTCTGGCAGTTGACACGTGGCCCAATCCAGTTCACCAGGGTAGGGCACTGATCACAATTTAGGACCAAAGCTACCAAGTAGGGAAACTTTGGATATGGTAGATATTTGGAACAGGATTGAAGATCATAATCCTAACCTATTTACCGGCACAACTAAAAGAAAGAGATTTGCCTGCAAATTAGATCTGTGTCATTTGTATTTTCAAAGTGATTGAAGTTGGTAAGTGACCATCTACAGTATATCTGTTTATCTGTTACTTTTTAGCTAATGTGTATTTTAAGGCATTTTAAATATATTTATGTGGCATATCAATTGGTTAATCAAATTAATGTTTTGAGAGTTCACAGGCAGTATGAAGTCTTATTACTTCCTTCAAAGCACAGAATCGCAATTGGCTAGACATTCTCAAACTTAAATCCTAAAACATCCGAAGAAGGTCGGCGTTTAGGAACCCATGAGTCTCAAATGGACTTTCATGGGAAAATACATCTCTCATTCTTTACCACATTGTTTTCTGTGCTCCATAAATTTGTTTACTCTGTTCTTTAGTTGGCCTACCAAAAACAATCAGCTCAAAAATATATCAAAATGAATTTAACTGCCAAGACAAAAAGACATTACATTTTTTTCTAGGTGTAAACTACCAAAATGGCTTTCTATATCATTCAGGATTTTATATTCTATAGTTTGTTAACTACATGTTCATGAAAAATGTTCAAGCTTATCCCTTCTTTTCCCCAGAATGCTTTTTCAAACTGTGTATGACAGATGTGAAAAGTTTACTTATCTTTACCTAAATAGTCTAACAGTTTTTCTGCTTAATGTTATCTGTTAACACATATTATATAGAGAATAACATTTTAGTAGTGTGAAAAAAATGTGAATTATTAAAAACAAAATGTCTAAATGTTAAAATAGTTTAATTAATGCAACAGTTGCATTAGTTTAATTCACAATGTTTCTTGCTGTTAAGTGTTACTAGTAGTGGTCCCTTAGGACACTTAATGAGTAGATAAGAATAATTAGAATCTAATATATTGATTGTATATAAATGGATGCCTGAATAAAATATGTTTTGGATATATATTCCTATAAACGTTTAAATAACCAACCTAGAAATCTTGCATTAGTATATTAATTTTAATTTTTTTCTTTTTCTACTTTTATTTTAGATTCAGCAGGTACATGTGCTGGTTTGTTACCTAGGTATATTGCATAAAGCTGAGGTTTGGGGTATGACTGATCCTGCTATCCAGGTACTGGGCAGAGCAGCTAACAGTTTTTTAACTCTTCCCCTCCTCCCTCCCCACTCTAAGTAGTCCCCAGTGTCCATTGTTCTCATCTTTATGTCCCTGAGTATCTGATGTTTAGCTCCACTTATAAGTGAGAAGATGTGGTACTTGGTTTTCTGTTCCTCCATTAATTCACCTGGGATAATGGCCTCCTTTGCTGCAAAGGATATAATTTCATTCTTTTTTATAATTTGAATCTTATTATAAATTAATATAAATTAAGGAGTTGTTGCCATTTATATTGCTATATTAATTATATTGTTTCTTTTCTGGTTATCTTAAGTAAATGGCAATTGATCTGAGAAGTAAGGACATACATCTTTCCCTCTTCTAAGTCCCCTCAACTGAAATGTAAAAGATTGGTAACTGAATAAAATAATCTACAAAGAATTCTTTTTTAATTTTCATTTGTATTTTAAGTTATAGGGTACATGTGCAGATGTGCAGATTCGTTACATAGGTAAATGTGTGCCATGGTGGTTTGCTGCAGAGATCATCTCATCACCTAGGTATTTACAAAGAATTCTTTTAGGTCAGATTATATTGAGTTAATATAGCCTAATTCATCATCAGGTTGTTTTCAGAAACGAGATGGCATTGCTCCTCTGTGAACTTCATCCATTCATGATTCAGAACCTCTATCTTTAGAATTAAGTGTTTCTTCTTATTTTCCTACTTCTCCTAGGAGCAGATCACATTAATTTCTGAGTTCATTTTACTTTCCAACTTCTAGTACTTCAAAAATTTTAAACTGTGAACTAAGGGTTAGAAGACAAAACTAAGCAGATTTTTAAAAATTATAAAAGTAATAGAATGTGTTCCATTGGTACTAGAAGGGCAAGGAGAAGTGAAAGAAAACATTAATGAGTTTAGGTATCAAAAAATATTCCACTACCTAAAAGAGATGAAGAAACAATAAAAGAAAATATGTGGATGAGAGAACAAACAAGAGATTGAGATGGTGGGAGGCGGGGTGGTAGAGTGAGCAAGACAGAGTATTATTTTCCAGCTAGATTATGGTAACAACTTCCTAACTAGTCACCAGTCTCCAGTATGTTCCTTTTTAAATCATTTTTTTTTTTTTGAGACGAAGTTTTGCTCTTGTTGCCCAGGCTGGAGTGCAATGGTGCGACCTCAGCTCACTGCAACCTCTGCCTCCTGAGTTCAAGCTATTCTCCTATCTCAGCCTTCTGAGTAGCTGGGAATACAGGCATGAGCCACCACACCCGGCTAATTTTTGTATTTTTAGTAGAGACGGGGTTTTACTATGTTGGTCAGGCTGGTCTTGAACTCCTGACCTTAGGTGATCCATCCGCCTCGGCCTCCAAAAGTGCTGGGATTACAGGAGTGAGCCACCGTGTCCAGCCAAATTCATCTTATATTCAATAGCCAAATTCGTCTTAAGACTTCCATGATGTTATAACCTTATACAAAAGCCTTTGGAAGTAAACTGTTGATTATAGGATCAAGTTCAGCTGTCTACAGTCTTGCTTACTACTACCTATTCAAACATCCCTTGTACTATCCCCCAGACAGTTTTCCAAACCAGTCAGCAAGGTTTCCTCCAAACAGTGTTTTATTATTTAATTTTGCTGCCCTTATTTACAGGGGCTGCCACTCTCCCATTTACTTTGGTAAACCTATTTATCCTTTAAGCACATCCCAATACAATAAATTATACAGCCCAGCACAACACAGCCTCACGTCCCAGAGCCCTAATGTACTAGTATTCTGTCCCAAGGATTCTTGCATGTGATT
Organism: Homo sapiens; assembly: GCF_000001405.40. Taxonomy (NCBI): domain Eukaryota; kingdom Metazoa; phylum Chordata; class Mammalia; order Primates; family Hominidae; genus Homo; species Homo sapiens. The sequence continues at coordinate 125,032,861 of NC_000023.11, forward strand.
TTTGCTCTGCTTAATTATTCTCCCATTGTCATGTTGCATGAATTCATTCTTTCAGAAAATATTGATGGAGGGTTGTCTATCATGTGCAAACTGACATCCATGATGCTGTAAAACAGTGACTCTCAATTGAGGGAGCACTTATCCCAAATTTGGAAAGGTGTGGAGGTAACTTCGGTTGTTACAGTGACTGGGAGATGCTACTGACATTTATTGTATAGGGGAAAAAGATAATAACGATAACACAATGGGGTGGGCCACTCCCATAATATGAAGAATTCTCCATCTCAAAGTGTGAGTGTGGAAGACCCCAAGATGAATTAGACATGGCTCACAGTCTCAAAGATGTAAGTTTTGAGTTCAAAAGGAAGATGAGATGAGTATCATATATGAAAATGTTTTATCTCAACATGTAAACTATTTTGTGTCAGGACTGTGTTGGTTATTTTCCATGAATTCCTCATGGTGTCTTGTACTAGGCTGGACACATGACAGATACTAGGTAAAGACTTACTGACTTGACCCATATGAAAAAAACCCCAAAAACTCAATGAGTACTATGTAGAGAAACAGTTCTACAGATAATCATGTTATCCTCATTGTATTTTGAAATTGATAAAGAAGACAAAGCTGTGACGATACAGCCTGCTAAACCTCTTGAGGGGTGACTGTGAAGTTGAGAGTAGAAAAAGCAGCCTCTTACAGTAAGTAGCAGGAGGAAGGGAAGGACAAAGGGTTGGCAAAGTGTGAGAAGCTACAGTTCCTTCTTTTGAACCATGAGTTTGCTATGGAACATTTTACCGTTTTGATATGGAACATTTTACCGTATACAGATGGGAGCTGAATAGCTGCAGATTTGCTTTTTTTTTTTTCCACATCCTCTTCCTGACTGCAACAATCACAACTTGCATACATGGCAGAAGAAAAATTTACTTTGCTCATCTACACAATATTCATTTTTTTGTTTATAACCAAATGTTATTCATCTGTACCTCTTTTTGGGCTGCAACAGTTAAATAAAATAACATGACATATTTTTATTACACATGTAAACAACAGAAAAATACATACATGCTTATCTAAGAATACCACTTTGGATGTCTATTTTGCCTTTCTTCTAAGGCAACATAACCTTTTTGCATTTGCCCTTACAACAACACTGTGAGACAGACAGCATCATCCCATTTTATAGCTGTAGAAACCATGGCCCAGAGAAATAAAGCAACTTGCCAGAAGTCTCAGAGTCTGTGTCAAGGCCTGGACTAGAAGCAAGAGCTCTTGACTCCCTAGGCAATGTATTACTCAGGAGACTACCATTGTTGCTTCACAGACAGGAATACTCATTCAGGAAAAGCAACAAATCTACATACCATCCAAGATGCTAGACTTGAGCAATCTGTTTGGTTTTGCAGAATTTTCTATGTTACACTGCTCTTAATTAACTATATACCAGAGGAAGTGGGGACCAAAAATTGCCATTTGCAAAAGTTAGCATTAATCTCCACTGCCCGACAAATTCTTGCTCAGTAAGTTACCTTGCTATAAAGGTACAAGTTTGGGACCTGTGCCTTTAAGTACCAGGGGAAATAATAAAAATTTTGATCAAAGATCACTGGGAGGCTTACAGCAAACTCGCAAACTAACAACAGTCCAACAGGGATGTAGGATCTTCTCTAACAGACAAGAAAGATCCTGTTACATGCAATATAATGCTTTTGAATAAAAATCACAAAAAGTAGATTGATCTAAAGAAGATTAAATTTTCACTCACATCTTAGTTTTGATACATTTATCAATCCTTAAAAATTAAATATACAAATGTTAACTTCAGAGATATCCACCAGAAACCAGAATTAATAGAAATTCTAATTCACTTTGTGGAAAAAGGAAAATGCAGTTGACTCAGAAAACTAGATATTGGATGTCTAGTACATTTTTGGGTAAAACCTCCTATGCCTCTCAGGCCATCCTAGGGAACCAACTAAATCTAACCTTTATGACATCACTTCAAATAGACTATAGCCTGTTTACGGGCAAGGAGAATTTCTTATAGGCCCACCATTAGATGTAATGATATAATGCATGTAAAGTGATTACTCAATGCCCAAAATATACTAAATAACTAACAAATGGAAGTTTTAAATATTTTCATTCACTATAGTGACAAGCACAGTGTTTGGATATAGGAGGTGGTTAATGCTTATACATACTGCTATTTGGCTTCTATTTTCCAGATAAATAGAATGCTCTCTGATTTCTTAATAGTAAAATAAATGGAATTTACTAGAAATGGTATACCTATATTTGGAAGTATCGGGAAGTGAGTATGGATAGCATAAAGGCCAGTGCTGGTCTTCAAGTCCTATAATTTTAAATGTATTTCCCAGATTTTTTGTAGAGTTGATAAGAGCACCAAGAGTCCATTATGACTCAAATGCAGTTGATACTCTGCTATAACAACCAGAGAAAAGCAACTGCCAAGCTTATTAAGCTAGTAAATACAGCAGATCATTGGAATTTATGGATTTAACATTTGCAATTTTGACTATTCAGGAAGTGACTCCATGAGTCCATGACCTGTAGTTACGTGTAATGTTGCTGACACCTAAATTTGGATCTTTGGTGTTGAATATAACTAGTGAGTGAGTTGGCCAACTGCCCAACATCCAAAACTCTGCTCTTCTATACTTGTTGGGGGTATATGCAGCAACTCTACTGAAGTGATGACAATTAACTTTAATTCTATGTGAAAAAATGGCCCTGAAAAGAAAAACACAACTGCTAGTGATAATGCTAGCAGTGAAAAGGAAGTGCTAGTTCTTAGCCAGAAAATGGCTTTGTAAATGACTTTAGTCTTGTATTTATAGAACCATTAATGGTCTGAAAAGGGTCTGTTAAATTTTTCAGTTATACTTTACTGCCTTTTATGAGGGAAATTATATGCTAGAGTGATATTTGAGGCTGTGGGGAGTCAAAAAGGTCTCAGGGCCTATCCCTTGTGAATGGAGAAGGTGTGCTGTCCTATTGTGATGCTCCATCAGAAACAATAGCATGTCACTCTCAACAAGCTGATAAAAAATATTATGGGAACTCTGCTATGTGTTATCTCTCAGGCTACTCTGGAGACTGAGGGTTAGTAATCTGGTTATAAGGACAATTGAATCATTATTAAAATTCCACAGAAGCAATTAAAATGCACGCTCTCACTAACAAAAACTGCAGGTCCTTATTAATTGACATTTCACAAACAGAGATGCCTTTAATCTTCCCTAAATAAATGTAAATGTATTCTTTAAGTCATTGCAACATTATGTGGCAGTTGGCACTTCGTCAAAATTTTCTATTTCTACCTGATTTCTCTTTGAATGTAATTTATGCCTGTTGTTGCTTTTGTTATATTCATTTTAAGGAAGTATTTGTTGAAAGCTCAAGCACTGTATCTTTTAAAAGAATTATTTTTCACCCTAAATAAAGCATCGTGGCTTTGCAACGTATTTGTGTTGATTTTTAACAGCCGAGAATTAACAACACACTTACGTTTGAAATGCTTGTGAGTTAAAGTGTCAAAATGTACCAAGAATTGTAAAGGGGAGACATAAAGACAAAGACTGTGTAGAGTTTGGCTTTAATAGTGTTGGGCAGAGTTTAAGGCAAAATCTATTTGTATTCAGATGCATTGTAATACCCACCAAAACTTGGATCATCTATAAGAATATTGCAAAGGCCAACTGGGACTTGATGCTTTACTAACATGGGTGATTTCTACTTACAGAGAATTAAAAAGATAGGAAACCTCTTTGGCAACCTATGACATAAAATAGTCTTTACTTCTTCTACCAGATCAATGCTGTGAAGCATGCTAATTTATTTTTCTTTTCAGCGGTACCATCAGGCTTCCACTGTGTGCAAAATGACTTAATTTGAATACAAAAGTGACTGCTTCAGTAGTGGCTCACTCTGGACTCTTGACTTCTCCCAAAGAGTTTAAGTATTATGATTCCAGTCAACACCTTCCTGATGAAGTAGGCATAATCAAGGGTGCAAAGGCAGGAAGTAGTCAAAGGAAGAGCTTAAACATCATTCTGTGCTAGTCCAATGAGCAACACATAATAATAGCTACCATTTATTGAACATATACCTTTTGTGGGGCTTCACATACATTAGTTAATTTAAAATATTTAGTTATGGATATGTATTTTTGCTAACTATATTTTACAGATGAGGATATTTTGATTCAATGAGATTCATTTATTCGTTCCTTTATTCCTTTATTCATCCTATAGATAATAAGTGAACACCTACTATGTTAAATAAAATCCCTAATTTGCAATCTCTAATCTCCTGGGTTCCAGCATCTGGTCTCTGCTTGAAATAATGCTTCCCCCATCTGGAGAACAGGTTTTGATTCTCATTGGTGCCCTCTATTTTCCTGTAGCAACATCTATCCAGAGAACCAGACACAGAACTACTCAACATACCACGGGGTAGTAAGATGCAAAACATAATAACCTTAACTTGCACTATAACATTGTTATGGGGCAGGATGGGCAGAGACCTTAATAACTGTAAGGGATATTACACTCTAGAACCAGAATATTTAACCTATACTTTATCTACTCAATATACATCACTGTACCTTCCCGTTCACCCTGCTGATATTCTTAAAGGCCATACTGGGCCCTTGTTTTGTTTTATTTTCTGAAACTATTTTACGGTATAATAGATATGAACTGTCAACAAGTTTTATAAGCTATTGTGCCAAAACGATCCTGTCCGAAATTACAACCAATGTTTCCAGTTTCATCTATTTGTGTCCCACTAGGTAAATCCCTTCTCTCCCTGGCATATTTGTTCTTCAAATACTTACAGACAGTTCTCATGTTCCTCATTAGGCATTACTTAGCCAAGTTGTATACAATTAATCCTTTTAATCTTTCCTCATAAATTAGTCTCTCTAGGCTCTTGGAATGCTCTCAGTACCGTGCACCACACTTCCCTAGTTTTCCTAGGCTTTTGTCATATGGTGCCTTGTTTTCCACATGCCATGTCAACAGAATCAAGTGGGAAAGAACTTTATCTGTTTCACATCTGCATATGGAACTCCACATTCACAGGTGACTTCTGCAAAGGCTGTAATCATTATTCCAAGGCAGCAAGACTGTCAGTAAAATAACAGAGCCTCACAGTCCTGTTTTTCACATTTACTTAGCCCTGCTTGTCTCACATTTTCTCTTTATCTCATTCCAGGCACTCCAGTAGATCATTGCTATAAGTAGCTTCTCATCACTATATATGTTTTAGGATATATTTTTCTAGGTGTGAGATAGCTTTGCTCAGCTACTTGTAGAGATGTTTCTTGCCCTTTCACAGTTTAGCCTTTTTTTTGTTTTGTTTTCCTTACCATACCTACTCTATTCAGTATGACTCTGGAGAGTGACACCAACTCTCCCATCTGCTACTTTGAGTTCTGTGACGTCGGTCAGGTTACTTAGCCTGTCTGTGTCTCAATTTCATCATCTGAAAAATAGGAATAATAATAATGCCAAACCTCATTGATATAGTCTAAAGATCAAATTAGCTAATATATTAAAGCACTCGAAACAGTGCTATATATATTTTGCTTTATAAAACCACCTTATTGGTTATGAAAGCTACTATAGACACACGGCATAATCCTCTATGTAAGCTATGACTTTTACTATAATTTTCTCTGAGGACCGAACAGGAGTAGATTTAATAGACACTATGGTCTAATGGACACTCAAATCTGTTTTGAATATGACATGCCTATGTCTACAGTAGGCAATTTTCAAATTAAAATTGTAAGTTGGCCTATAAATCTGTCATTTTTCAATTTATTTTTCATCTCACAAAACAACTATAATTGACCTAGACCTTTATACCAAAAGTGAATATTGGAAAAAAAGGAAGTGAATATGAATTTAGTAGTACATCAGCAAATGCTGACTGCTAGGACCGCCAGTGGCAATTGGCTTACAGACTTAAGTTTAAAGAACTATTGTTTAATATTCCAAAAGACTAGGCTTAAAGAATATTTGATGCCCAACATGTATTTAAATAAATAGACTTCTGCCACTGAAAGGGACTGACTTCTTCATGTATACAGAAAGGGACAACTCATAGAATTCAAGCGACTTTCTGAAAGTCACACAGTTAACTAATAATCAAGTCAGGAAGAAGTATAACCAAGGTTCTACTCTTTCCCAATGAGCTAATTTATCACATCTCTATCTTTAAATTCTAGTTGTTTACCTATGAATACATCCAAATAGCACCCATTATCTTGCTCTTGACTGTACACCTTTAGCTGGATTTATAGCCAAGCTCTTATCAGTTTTATATTTGGCACAAATCAATATCAGATAAGGTTTTTGTCTTCCCGCAGGTTTAATTTTTACGATGATTTGTGTTTTTCAGTTAGCGTTTTAAAAATAAACCATAACCCAAATGGTGGGAATTTTCAGACACCAGTGCACGACAAAGGAGGAACTACTCATTAGCAAGTATCTGTGGTATACATCAAATGGAACCACCAGGGGAGTCAAATGCTTCCCTAATCTCTACAGGTGGCCCCCAAAGCATGAGTCAATTTTGTTCAGCCACCATTAGTTAGTATATATTCTAATTGTCTTGCTAGTAATGATACAGATATATCTTTAATTAAGCTTCTAATGAATTAAAAAAAAGACATAGGTAAACCTGAACCTAATAGATAAAAAGTGTGTGCACAAAGGTTCTTATTGCAACTGAAGATAACTGGATGCTGTTATTTAGTGACCAACCCAGAAAACAGAATCAGATGCCTAAAAGTATAGTGATTTTAGATTAAATTGCAGTTTATGTCACAAATTAAAACTAAATCATTACTTTGATCCTAGTTTTCTTTTCACATGTTACAGAAGACCGTCTGTTCAAAAGGGTATTCTCTGAAAACACTGAGCCTTTTCTTATTAACCTTGATCAGATTGAATGTATTTCTTGGTAATTCCCATTTAACTGGTATAAAATGTACTATCAGTGATTTAAAATAATTGTAACTACATTTCTCAAGATGCATTACATAAAGAAATACCAGATTGTCACTGCACTATCAAAGTTTAATTGATCTAATTTAGATCTCATCTTATCAAACTGTGCATTATAATTCTGTCTTTGACCAACTGATTACAATTTTTTCATTTGTATTTTTGAATGTTATTAACATATCAAAAGACTTCCAAAATCAAAGGGTTGTAGTTTTTGAAAAATTTCTCTCTTCTTCACTGATCAACTATTAAATTATTTACTAGTATGTGCTGCATGCAGGAGTGGATTTACCGTAAAGCTTAAACCTCAGGGCACCTCCCTTGCATAGGCCCCTCCTAAATATTCACATTCATTCCTAATTTTGCATTTGCGATCTTGTATTCTGTTTAAAAAGAGGGGCCCCCAAAGTGCATAAACCTCAGGTCCCCACAAAACCTGGATATTTACCTGTCTGCATATCATCCAGAAATAGAACATTTTCTGAAGGAAAAGCTGTAGAAACTTAGGACAACAAAAATCAAATAACTGAAACTCTATGGAAGTTTGGACCATAAAATGTCATTATATGATATTTATTTTTCTGCCTCATAATTAACACATCTCTAAAACTAAGATTGCAGTTTCTACAAACTGGGAAATTGAAAAACTCCATCTATTTCAAAAACCCATTCAAATGCTTAATATGGGCAACTCTCATCAGTTATGATATTTTAAAACATCACTAGATGTATGTTATATCATCAACTGTCCTCCTAATTAGCAAAACATACTTTGATTAATTAGATTCCATTTGGATCCAGTGTTTCAGTGCACAATAACATTTCTCTTTGGATTCAGTGATTACATCTATTTTGCAATATATAACATCCTTTCCTCTGATGTTAAAAGTCTGAGCTGAAGGAAAAAAAAATTGATACTATTCATCTTTTCGACCTTTGCAATAAAATTTAGGCTCATGACCTCAGTAAACTTGTTTTCACCAGATATTGCTATTTGTTTTCAGAAAGTAATCTTCTGGAGTTGGAAGAACCTGATCTACAACTCATTCTCTTTTCTATTAAAGATCACTTAACTTGTCTATTGTTTTAATGTCAATTGGGGAATCATTAAAACAATAAGAATTACCAATAATGCGACATCCCTACCCAATTTTCATACTCAGCTATATTTCAAAGGTTCTCTTAGAAATTGTATGTCTTGCCAGAGACGGTTCTATTTCAGAATCACTTTTCCCTCTTCCCATTTGGATTATTTTTCTATGGTTGTCATTTCACTATTTAGAACATCCATAGTATTGTTGTGTAGGCATGTTAACAAAAATATGTCTACAAAGTAGTAGAAATTCAGATAAGGCATTCACACAAAAAGGTAATTATAGGGAGCAATCCAATGGATACAAAGATCCCTGGATTGGGAATCAGAATATTGAACTTCTGGTCACACTTTCTCCACAAAAAAAGGCTCCAGAACTATGAGCTCAATTTTTCACTGCACAGAACCCCTAAGCTTCCACAGAACCAGTAACGAGCAGAGGTGAGTCCTAATGTTCTCCTAATTCATCTATTTTCCTCATTGAACTTTCATTATCTTTAAATATCATCTAAAGAAAGGACTGACACAAATGAAAAGGAAATAAAACAAGCCAACTTTAATTAAAAACTGTTCATGACCTCAAAGATCCTTTCTAACTCTAACATGCTAGGTTACACAAGTCTTAAAAAATGGATCATTTAATCTTCTCTCTGCTTTCTAAGGAATAAATGTGAGTGTACTTGCTTTGGACATTTGCATTATGATTTTTATGATGTTTTGGGGCTAGTGCCCTAATCACAAACCATAACCAAAATTCTGAGAATTTCAGGCACATTACAGGACAGAGGGAGAGACACACTCTCAAATGGTACCACTTAATAGTACATCTCATAAGATTATATATTCCCTTAGCTTAGTGATGTTGAGGATAGCTGAAGAAGGCATGGATAAACAGTAAGAAAGATAAAGAGGAGGAAGAGTAGGAGAAAAAAATTGAAGAAGACATAAAAAGGGCAAATGCTAGCAATGCTTATATAAATACAGCAGTCAAGTAGAATATGTGTGCTTTAATGACTTTTAAAGAATATAGTATTCATTGTACTTTTCAGTGAATAATAAAACCTCTCATATCTGAATATATCGTATACTTCAATTAATGGCACTTTTTATTCAACAGCTTTAAGTATGACTTCAGTGCTCTTAGAGAAAAAACTGCTTGAAAGTTGAGGTTGTTCATTCATTTCTTTTCATCACAGAATTAGACAAAGTTTAAGTTTAAAAGCAGCAATATACCTTGAAGTGAACACCAGAAATGAGCTGAGTTACTTCTAGAGGTTTGAATCAGGCTTGTGAAGAACAGTAAAGTAGGTAACTTTGGTCTTTGAAGAGCTATTTTTCCTTTTTAAGTCCTCTTTCCCTATTTCTATGTCTCTCCCCTTACTTATCTTAGTAGGTAACACCTGTAATTTCACACAATATTCTGATTTAATAGCAGAATTGTCAAGAACACAATCTTGAGACATGCCTTTGTCTCCCACTCCTGAGCAACACCAAAACTTATCTTCCCCTTAAGATAGCTCTCAAATGAGAAATCTGAAAATGACCTGGATAAACTAATCAGGCAAAAATATGTCAATACAGGTAATTTTATTTTAGCATGGACCTCTTTGAACAAAAATGCCTTAACTCTATAGAAGGAATTTCAGCCACCAGAGTGCAGTAGGTGGGAGCAGTTTGGAGAGGAAAAAAAGAGAAAAATATTCACATATTAAAAGAGTAGGACATTCATGTGAAATCCTTCCTCTTTTGTAATATATATTAAGTGAGCCTGTTAAAAGAAGTAGAGAATATTATTAGGCAAGGCATAGACAGTATCAGCTGACAAAGTTCAAGGGTTTGACTAGATGCTAAAATTTTTACAATATCTGGATGGATGATAGGTGCCAAAAGTCAGATTCAGGCCTAGAGTTTGACAACTGGCTGGTTAGTACACTATGCAAGTTAATTGCATTTACTTGCAAGGAAATCAACTCTAGGTAGAAAGTTTAGGAACAGGCTAATTTGACCTTGATCTTTAGAAATGAATAGGTATCTCACAAATTATAAGAATAAACCATAAAAACCCTAGAAGAAAACCTAGGCATTACCATTCAGGACATAGGCGTGGGCAAGGACTTCATGTCCAAAACACCAAAAGCAATGGCAACAAAAGCCAAAATTGACAAATGGGATCTAATTAAACTAAAGAGCTTCTGCACAGCAAAAGAAACTACCATCAGAGTGAACAGGCAACCTACAACATGGGAGAAAATTTTTGCAACCTACTCATCTGACAAAGGGCTAATATCCAGAATCTACAATGAACTCAAACAAATTTACAAGAAAAAAACAAACAACCCATCAAAAAGTGGGCGAAGGACATGAACAGACACTTCTCAAAAGAAGACATTTATGCAGCCAAAAAACACATGAAAAAATGCTCACCATCACTGGACATCAGAGAAATGCAAATCAAAACCACTATGAGATATCATCTCACACCAGTTAGAATGGCAATCATTAAAAAGTCAGGAAACAACAGGTGCTGGAGAGGATGTGGAGAAATAGGAACACTTTTACACTGTTGGTGGGACTGTAAACTAGTTCAACCATTGTGGAAGTCAGTGTGGCGATTCCTCAGGGATCTAGAACTAGAAATACCATTTGACCCAGCCATCCCATTACTGGGTATATACCCAAATGACTATAAATCATGCTGCTATAAAGACACATGCACACGTATGTTTATTGCGGCATTATTCACAATAGCAAAGACTTGGAACCAACCCAAATGTCCAACAATGATAGACTGGATTAAGAAAATGTGGCACATATACACCATGGAATACTATGCAGCCATAAAAAATGATGAGTTCATGTCCTTTGTAGGGACATGGATGAAATTGGAAACCATCATTCTCAGTAAACTATCGCAAGAACAAAAAACCAAACACCGCATATTCTCACTCATAGGTGGGAATTGAACAATGAGATCACATGGACACAGGAAGGGGAATATCACACTCTGGGGACTGTGGTGGGGTCGGGGGAGGGGGGAGGGATAGCATTGGGAGATATACCTAATGCTAGATGACACGTTAGTGGGTGCAGCGCACCAGCATGGCACATGTATACATATGTAACTAACCTGCACAATGTGCACATGTACCCTAAAACTTAAAGTATAATAATAATAATAAAAAAAGGAAAAAAAAAAGATTAAAAATAAAAAAAAATAAAAAAAAAATAAAAAAAAAAGAATATTAACAATTATAAAATCATCACATTCTGTGGAATCTTCCTCAGTAGATCCTAATTAAAATAGAAATGGGCTGGGTGTGGTGGCTTACACCTATAATCCCAGCACTTTGCAAGGCTGAGGTGGAAGGATCTCTTGGGTCCAGGAATTTGAGACTAGCCTGGGCAACACAGTGAGACCCCATCTCTACAAAAAATTTTTAAAAATTAGCCTGGTATCGTGGCACACACCTGTTGCTCTAGCTACTTGGGAAGCTGAAGTGGTAAGGTCACTTGAGCTTAGGAGGTCAAGGCTGCAATGAGCTACGATCACATCACTGCACTCCAGTCTGGGCGACAGATTGAGACCTTGGCTCCAAAAAATTAAAAAATAATAATAAAAAATAAATGAATTTCGTAAGCCTGAGTATTATCAATAACCACAACAGAGACTATAAATTCCAGGTTGTGGCATATTGTCAACCTTGAAAACTTTCACACGTCTATTAAATCCAAGTCCTTATACAAGGATACTCTATGAATGACAAATGAACCATCTGAAAGAATGGAAAGCTAACATACTACCAAATCTTCCATCCTGAGGAAAAATTTCAAATTTGTTAGAACATACAACAATTACATTTTCAATTATCTCAACAATAAATATTTGGAATTATGCCTGAGCACGGGGCAGAGAGGGTGCAACTGCACTAAGATCTCTCAGGAAGGGTATTAATCCATTCTCATACTGCTATGAAGAACTGCCTGGGACTGAGAAATTTATAAAGGAAAGAGGTATGACTCACAGTTCCACATGGCTTGAGAGGCCTCACGAGACTTACAATCACAGCGGAAAGGGAAGCAGTCCTGTCTTACCTGGTGCCAGGCAAGAGAGCAAGTGTATGTAGAAAAAAACTGTCAAACACTTATAAAACCATCAGATCTTGTGAGAACTCACTCACTATCATGAGAACAGTATGGGGGAAACAGCCCCCATGATCCAGTCACAGGTCTGTCTCTTGACACGTGGGGATTACCATTGAGATGAGACTTGGGTGGGGACATAGAGTCAAACCATATCAGGAAAGGAGGGGTGAATCAGGCTCCATAGCGTTAGTATTCCATTTGTGGTTTGTTTTCTAATGGTTAGTTCTTCTTCCTGAAATATACCTTAAACTAATGATATATTCTATTTAATTCCAAAAGCTATATATAGTGGTCTCTGCTTTTATTACTGGTTGAAAGCAAACTAGATTCTAGATTAAGATACAGTCCATTCCTGTGCATTTATGTATTAGGGAAGATGGAAACATGTTTATTTGTTTTTCCTTTACTGTTTAACACTTTACTACCTGTGGCTATAGACGATCTATATTAAATTCCAGGAAAATTGTGAAATCTACATTCAGGATTCAGAAAACCCACATTTTAATTACTATGCCAGTTAGGCATAACACTTCCCATGGAAATTCTGCCCATCATTGTGACTTCAGTGCAGGTAGAAAATAATCTATTTCCAACAATTAAGACAGTGAATAATCGTCACCAGTCAGCCCCAGATTCTCTTCTACCAGCAAATACTTCATTTATTGCAAGGGTTTAAAGTACATCAGTGACTCATTCAGTTTAAGCCAAAAACACTTTCATCAATTAATTTTAATTTAATTTCAATTAAAAGGCCCCCTACATACACTTCAGTACACCACTTTTTCATCTACAAACACTAGAAACATATTCTCTTTTTTTTCTCTTGAAGAAGAGCAACCAGTTTCTACATTTGCACTCCTTATTTGGAGGTAGTTTGGGAAAAGCAAAATATTGAAAGAGTAATATTTAAAAACAGAAACAAAAAAATATTTAAACATTTCCAATCAATTTCTGGTGGTATAAACCAAGTTGAGAGGAGGTCTACTAAATAACCAAATCTGTTCACTTTTTACATATGTATTGAAGGATGAAGGGACTACATACAAATATATTACCCTATTAAAAGGTGTTATTTTTATCCATATGTATGTATTTTATAAAGAATCAAGGCTGCTTACCAACTAAAAATATTTCCTTGACTTTAGTCAAAAAACCTGCAGCCTGTTTGAATACAGTGGTAACCTTAGACATGAGATATCTTAGATGGCTTGCCAAAGAAAGTATGTGAACCTTCCCAAGCATTTCTAGTGGGGAGAAAAGTCCTAGATACCTACTATGTCTTCTTTGTCAATGGCTGTAAAATTCCTAGTTGTCTTTTGCTGCTTACCGTCTTCTATGTAATCCCGTATCAGGTGGCTAAAGCCAAGCACTAATGAGACCAAGGTTGAAGTTCCATCCTCAAATGGGCCAATGATGTTTTCTCTGCTACACGGATACAGAAGAAAACCTAACTGCAACCAGCTGCTATAGAAATGTGTGCCACAGGTCAAAAACGAACTGGCAAGGCCATCTAAATTTCTAAACAACTCAAGGGACATGTCCTGCCGAATGTGGGTCAGTGAGGACATCTTCATTTCACTTCTAACCTTTTCATGCCCCCAAATGAACTAACTTCCCAAAAAGCCAGACAACTCAGAAAATTGAGACAAAAGAACTGATAGCAGATTTACTCATACAATTATGTGTGTGTGTGTGCATGTGTGTGTGTGTGTGCATGCGTGTGTGTGTGTGTGTGTGTGTGTGTGTGTTTTGGGGGTTGGGGTAAGGAGAATACATTTAAATAAGTAAATGAGGCTTATTACTGCCCAAGCACCATTTAATAGAAATACTCAAAAGGAGGGTATACACATCTGAATATTCTTTAAAAGCAGTGATAGATTTTAATTCCTCCCCAAAGTTTCCTGTTTAGTAGATGTTTATTTTATGCATATATTTCTGCTTCGAGAGGCCACAAACTGACTTCGATAAAATGTGATTCTACACTCTATTTTAGAATAAGAACCTTGTTGCTTTTAGAAACAGTTTTTGGAATTATGTAAAATAAACATTAGCGTATATGAGTTATTAAATATTTTAAGCATCCAACATGGTTTGAGCTTATCCAGCACAACATAAGTGTTTGAAGCTTATACAGTACGAGCAATAACAATATTGTTTCCCCTGTTAGCACAGAGTTGACAAGCTGTAGGCATCCATTATGAGTAAAACATATTAGTTAGAATTTACTACTAGGCTATAAGAGTTTACTATAAATCATTTTTAGAGACCCCAGCTGTTTTTATTATGCTACCTTTAAAAATAAATCATCAAGAAAATTTCTCAGGGATATATGATGGCACCAAATATCTGGCCAGGTTAAGTGAGAACGCATTAATTCTTAATTCAAATAATGTAACACTCACAAGCATATTTCAGAAATTAGAGGTAATTAAAACTGGAGCACATTAGTATGTGCACTGTGAGTGAATGGGATCATGGAACACGGCTCCTAGAAATTTTTTCTACTCATTTTGCATTAGCCACTAATTGCCACTAAACTATAGAATATATATCTTCTCTCAAATACGTAATTTGGTGCATAGTCAAGTATGGTCAGTTTCATTAATTCAAAGGTGACTTTCTAAATCCAACTCCAATCCAAAAATTCCTTTTTATGTTTTTGTTATACTTAATGAGAATTTTAAACTCCACCTTTTAATTTTTAGGTTAATTGTAACCCAGGGGACACTAGTTACCTTTTGACACTCCCCTAAATTACTTGTTAACTGGAACACATACACTCAAATTGAAGTCAAGAGGGTCAGGAGGAAAAGTAGTAGCTTCAGGACAAGAGGAGCAGGAAAGGTTTCTAGCAAAGCCACTTAGCAAAATCATTTAGCTAGAGGGCACTGTCCCAATTTTAAAGGCAAAGAAATTTCCTGACAATTTCTGCAATTTTTCCCAAAAGCAAAATATACTTTCTGCAATCAAGATATTCTTTTTCTTGAGTAGACTCAGCTTCTCAGTAAAATAATGTAGGTAATTCCAGAAACAGGGCAAATCTAAACCTGTAATGGTTCCCCTTTGCCTTTAGGAGTCCGTTTAAATGATGCTGTTTCGAAGCATTTTTTTTTTTTTTTTTTTTTTTTGAGATGGGGTCTCACTATGTTTCCCTGACTGGAGTGCAGTGGTTATTCATAGGTGTGACCATAGCTCACTGCAGCCTCGAACTCCTGGACTCAAGTGATTTTCCCTACCTCAGCCTTCCAAGTAGCTGTAACTACAGGCACAGGCCATCACACCTGGCCTCCAAGCAATTTTTAAAGGGAATCCTATTGTCTCATTATTCCTTGGTCTTATCTAAATTGACTAACAGAATCTGAATAGAATATACAATGATGCAAATGGCTATAGGTGGCAGTATCAATCTACCACCATAGAGACAGATTGATGGTTGCATAGTACTGGGCGGATGAGGGAGTAGAGAGGTGATATTTAAAGGGTACTGGGTGAAGGTTGTTAGTAAGACTATTAAAATGCTCTAAAACTGACTGTGGTGATGGTTGCCAGTATCTATGAACATACTAAAAACTATTAAATGGGTAGTTCATTTAAATGAGTGAATTGTATGGTCTGCTGTGCTTTGTATGGTCTGCTATGGTCTGCTTTCATAAAAAATGTAGGCAGAAATGCATGTAGTAGTTAAAAGTTCAAGATGGTTACCTAGATTCTGAATTCTAGTTCTTGGAGTTTTACCCTCTGGAAACCTGGGCAAATTACTAAGTAACTTAGATACCATTATTAAGCTTCAATTTTCACATCTGTAAAATGGAGGAAATAATAGTACCGATGTACATATAATTGTTGTGAACATTAAATATGATCATGCATACAAAGCTGCCAAGTGCAATGCCTACAACACATAAGTGCTCAATGTTGGCTATTTTTCCTGTTTTTTAACAGCTTTATTGAGATATAATTCATATATCATAAAATTCACCCTTTTAAAGTGTACAATTCAGTGGTGTTTAGTATATTCCCAGAACTGTGCAACCATTACCACTAATTCCAAAACATTCCCATCACCACAAAAAGAAACCCTGTACTCATTGACAGTCACACCTATTTCCCTCTCCCCAACAGTGGCAACCAATAATCTACTTTCTATTTCTATGGATTTGGCTATCTTTGGCATTTCATATAAATGGAATCAAACAATTATGTGGCCTTATGTGTGTGGTTTCTTTCACTTAGCATAATGTTTTCTAGGTTTATCCCTGTTATAGTACTTCATTCCTTTTTATGGCTGAACGATATTTCATTGTATAGATATTTTGTGGATTTCCACTTCTTTGTTATTATGAATAAGCTACAATGAACACTTGAGTACAAGTTTTTGTGTGGACATAGATTTTCAATTGGGTATATACCTATGAATGGAATTGCTGGGCAATATAGAAACTATGTTTAACTTTTTGCTTGTGAGGCAATGACAAACTTTTCCACAGTGACTACACTATTGTACATTTTCACAAGCAATGTATAAGTGTTTTAGTTTCTCAAAATACTTGGTATTGTCTTTATTTTTTATTATAGCCATCCTCCTATGTGTGACATAGTATCTCTTCTTGGTTTAGATTTGCATTGCTCTGATGACTAATGATATTGAACCTCTTCTCATGCTCTTATTGGTCATTTGTGTGTTTTCTTTAGAGATCTTTTGCTCATTTTTAAATTGCCTCATTTCTTTTTTCATTATTGACTTGTAAGAATTCTTTATATATTCTGGATATGACTCTCTTATATGGTTTGTAAATATTTTTTTCCATTCTATGGGTTGTCATTTTGATGTCTACCTCTTTACCTTCTTTATTTACTATTATTATTAATAATAGAAAGTTTAAAAGTGCTCATCAGAACTATCAATGCTGTGACACCCTTATTCATGTTTTCTTGTAGTTTTTAAATGGTTCTGATGTAGGCAACATGGGCAGATTACTCTAGAACCCGACTGCTGGAGAACTATAGAATCTTTTTATTATTATTATTATTATTATTATACTTCAAGTTTTAGGGTACATGTGCACAACGTGCAGGTTAGTTACATATGTATACATGTGCCACATTGGTGTGCTGCACCCATTAACTCGTCATTTAACATTAGGTATATCTCCTAATGCTATCCCTCCCCCCTGCCCCCACCCCACAACAGGCTCCGGTGTGTGATGTTCCCCTTCCTGTGTCCATGTGTTCTCACTGTTCAATTCCTACCTATGAGTGAGAACATGTGGTGTCTGGTTTTTTGTCCTTGCAATAGTTTGCTGAGAATGATGGTTTCCAGCTTCATCCATGTCCCTACAAAGGACATGAACTCATCCTGTTTTATGGCTGCATAGCATTCCATGGTGTATATGCGCCACATTTTCTTAACCCAGTCTCTCATTGTTGGACATTTGGGTTGGTTCCAAGTCCTTGCTATTGTGAATAGTGCTGCAATAAACATACGTGTGCATGTGTCTTTATAGCAGCATGATTTATAATCCTTTGGGTATATACCCAGTAATGGGATGGCTGGGTCAAATGGTATTTCTAGTTCTAGATCCCTGAGGAATCACCACAGTGACTTCCACAAGGGTTGAACTAGTTTACAGTCCCACCAACAGTGTAAAAGTGTTCCTATTTCTCCACATCCTCTCCAGCACCTGTTGTTTCCTGACTTTTTAATGATCGCCATTCAGGCAGGAGAAGGAAATAAAGGGTATTCAATTAGGAAAAGAGGAAGTCAAATTGTCCCTGTTTGCAGATGACATGATTGTATATTTAGAAAACCCCATCGTCTCAGCCCAAAATCTCCTTAAGCTGATAGGCAACTTCAGCAAAGTCTCAGGATACAAAATCAATGTGCAAAAATCACAAGCATTCTTATACACCAATAACAGACAGAGAGCCAAATCATGAGTGAACTCCCATTCACAATTGCTTCAAAGAGAATAAAATACCTAGGAATCCAACTTACAAAAGGGATGTGAAGGACCTCTTCAAGGAGAACTACAAACCACTGCTCAAGGAAATAAAAGAGGATACAAACAAATGGAAGAACATTCCACGCTCATGGGTAGGAAGAATCAATATGAAAATGGCCATGCTGCCCAAGGTAATTTATAGATTCAATGCCATCCCCATCAAGCTACCAATGACTTTCTTCACACAATTGGAAAAAACTACTTTAAAGTTCATATGGAACCAAAAAAGAGCCCGCATCGCCAAGTCAATCCTAAGCCAAAAGAACAAAGCTGGAGGCATCACGCTACCTGACTTCAAACTATACTACAAGGCTACAGTAACCAAAACAGCATGGTCTTGGTACCAAAACAGAGATATAGACCAATGGAACAGAACAGAGCCCTCAGAAATAACGCTGTATATCTACAACCACCTGATCTTTGACAAACCTGAGAAAAACAAGCAATGGGGAAAGGATTCCCTATTTAATAAATGGTGCTGGGAAAACTGGCTAGCCATATGTAGAAAGCTGAAACTGGATCCCTTCCTTACACCTTATACAAAAATTAATTCAAGATGGATTAAAGACTTAAATGTTAGACCTAAAACCATAAAAACCCTAGAAGAAAACCTAGGCAATACCATTCAGGACATAGGCATGGGCAAGGACTTCATGTCTAAAACACCAAAAGCAATGGCAACAAAAGCCAAAATTGACAAATGGGATCTAATTAAACTAAAGAGCTTCTGCACAGCAAAAGAAACTACCATCAGAGTGAACAGGCAACCTACAGAATGGGAGAAAATTTTTGCAACCTTCTCATCTGACAAAGGGCTAATATCCAGAATCTACAATGAACTCAAACAAATTTACAAGAAAAAAACAAACAACCCCATCAAAAAGTGGGCGAAGGATATGAACAGACACTTCTCGAAAGAAGACATTTATGCAGCCAACAGATACATGAAAAAATGCTCATCATCATTGGCCATCAGAGAAATGCAAATCAAAACCACAAGGAGAAATGTAGAATCTTAAAAGTGACAGCAGAAACAATATCAAATGTCAGACAGAAAGCATGGTCCCATGGGGGCGTTTAATGTGCTGTTGGAAGTAATCAGTGAAGCAAACAAACCATACTTAGGACGACAGACCAAAATCACAGAAAATTGGGAAATCTCAAATGGACAGGGCCAAATAGGAACAGTACCAAATGGCTCTTCGAATGGTTGTTTCTTGCATTGCCAGAAACGAGAACACATAATTAAACTGAATGCTGTCCTTTTCAATTAACAAAGTAATTGGATGCACTGGAGAAATTTAATGTATTTGATTTTAATCGAAGACACTTTACACTGAGGAGAGTCACCAATACCTAAGGCACCAAAACCTTGCTTACCCTCTTGTGGGAGAAAACTGAACTCCTATAATAGTGCCACACAACCAAATATCTAATAAAAGGAAATGACTAGATTTCCCAACCCCTTTAAAGACACAATAAGAGTAATGTGAAAAGGGTATTTAGTTCATATTGTGCATTAAGATTGATATTATAAAAATATTTTTAAAAATTTTAATCCAGTGGACACATCTCTCAAATAAAACAGATCATACAACCCCCAGTCTTCTGTCCAACAGCACTGAGTGTTTTTAAGAGAAGGACAAATGTTCCGGGCTTCGCCAACAGAAAACGGAAGTAGTGAAATTGTTGTTCCCTAAAGTACATTTTCCAAAAATGGCACAATTTTAATTAAATTTTTATTTTTTCTTCGTTTGATTGAGGTATAACTGAGAAATAAAAATTGTATACAAGGTATACAACGTGAATGCTTTGATGTACATATTGTGAAATGATTACCATAATCAAGCTCATTAAAACATCCATCACCTCACAAAGTTACCTTTTATTTGTAATTAAAACATTTTAAGATAGTATGTTGACATGAAAGCTGCTAAAACTATAACAAAAAGACAGAAAGAGACTGTGAGAATCTTAGAGAAGAATAATTTAATATTTATTGTGCTCTAGTTTACTAAGGTCCAATTTAATTGTAGTTAAACAAAGTTAACAGATGACTCCAAAATCAAAGAGCCTCTTTGGAGAAGGTATCTGTGTTCTTTGCAGTTGATAGATGTGGTAGCTAACCTGTAAAAATGTCTGTACCCTTTGGCTTGCTTTTCTAGGTGTATTTGAATCCCATCTCTGCAGTTTACTAGCCATATAAGCTTGAGCAAGTTATTGAGCCTCATTTGAAAAAAAATTGGGAACTATTGTGAAGATCAAATGAGTTAATATGCCTGAAGCAATTTTCTCATTCGTAAAAAGAAGTGATGGGCTTAGATTAGTGATTTTCAAAGTATTTTCAGATTTTCAAATTATGTTCAGGCTTCCCCTACTAGTGGAAAAGGAAATGGAGGTACACTGGTAGTGGCTGCAGGGTGGGGTGTGGCTTATGGCTGACCAGTGCTTCACCTCTGCCACCCTTTTCCATTCAACCAGAGTAGCTTTTATTTTGCCTGCTGTATCGTAGGTTTGGGTTCTATAAAAGATTACTTTTTGGAAGACATATTAAACATTTAAATGTCACTTTCTTTGTGCTGAGCGGGGTTCTAAGTGCTTTTCATGTATCGGCTGATGTAATATTCAGAAAAAGCCTATTAAATGGGTGGTAATATGATCCCCATTTTTCAGATGAGAGAATTGAGACACAGACAAGTTAAGTAAATTGATCAAGTTCTTGAAGACAGTAAATAAGAGACACAGATTTCAGCCCAAGCAGTCTGGCTTCACCACCCACGCTCTAAACCACTATGCCAAAACAAAATAAAATGAAACAAAACAAAACACTTTCTGTTGCTTAAAAAGTAAAAGGTAAACTTGAGAACTCCATTAGACTAATCAAATTCTAAGGACCTTTTAGCTTTAAAAAGTCCATCGTTCTACCATGAGGTAAGTAAACTAGTATCAGCATTTAGTCACAGGGTAGGCCCAAGATCAACTAAATCTATAGTGATTTTTTTTCTGCACAGGATTGTAACTAGTGAGGATACAGGATATAGGATATCCTATTCCCACAAGATCTTGTTTAAAAGTGGGTGGCACCTCCCCGCATCTCTCTTCCCCCTGCTCTGGCCATGCAAGACGTGCCTGTTTTCTGCTTGCCTTCTGCCATGATTATAAGTTTACTGAGGCTTCCCCAGCCACGCTTTCTGTACAGTCTGCAGAACTGTGAGCTAATTAAACTTCTTTTCTTTATAAATTACCTAGTCTTAGGTATTTCTTTACAGCAGTGTGAGAACGGATTAACACAGTTGACACTCCTGCTCCAAGGCAAATATTGTCTCTTGTTTGAGAGATACATTTAAGTCTGTCCAAAATATGATAAAAAGTTCCAGAAGTGCAGTCAGTTTAAAAAAAACCTGTCTATAAATAGCCAAATAATTTGGCTGATTTCTTTCCAAATGACTGAATATTTCACCATTAAGTAGAAAAAGCTTAAAACCATCAACATAAATGACAGAGAGAAGAAAACAGCAAGAGAAGGAGTTTCTGCCATAAGTCAGGTGGAAGTGTTTTTGTTTCTTTATTCAACACTGACTTTTGATGTCTTAAAGTGAGTCTGATTTGACAAGGAAGATACCAGAGAATAGAACGGAGACATGTGGAGGAGGCGAGGGTAACATTTTTCTGTGCACTGCCTTTCTTGGCATGACCTTTGTGAGGGAAAGAGGGAGGAAAAATGTGTGAGACAGTTCGGTGGCAAGTGAAATTACTGTGTTTAAGGGAAGCATAACATGCATGCCATGCTGGACAGATACAAAATATATCAGCATAAAAGTATGTTTGGTGTATTCTGTAAGTGCTAGTAAGGCTTTCGGAAAATATAGTCATTTTCTTCTCCAATATCCGTCACTTTCTAAATTGTAAAAGTCTTATTTCCAAAAAGAAAAAAACTCAGTAATACATGATGCGATCCTCATAAGCAAATTATATATTAATAAGTATCATCCTAGTTGCCCTTTATTTACTGTTCACAAAAGACTAGTTATATCACATGTATACATTATAAAGTGCACTCAAGTTCTGTATGGTCATTATTATTACGTCAGTTTTACAGACAGAAAACTGAAGTTCACAGAATTTGGGTAACTTGCACCACGTCTTGCGGCTACTAAGTGTCAGGGCTGGGATTTGAATACAGGTTTGCTTTTTATTTATTCTTTTAATGGAGGAAGAGATTGAGAAAGCCCTTAGTTTCACTGCCGTGAAGATACTTCTTTTCCAGAACATTATATATTTGATTGCCCTGATAATCAAATCTCTCCCTACTTCAACTTCTATTCTCAGATTAGGAGTTCCTGAAGGGCAGATGTCATCTACTTTATTTCTATTTTCCCACCAACTACCACAGTGGTTGGCACACGGTAGGTATTCAATACACTTTTTGAATGAAAGAATGGCATTTTTGCAAATATAAATTCAATAAAACCACTTAAAGACACTCATACCCACATTTTGTCCATTCCTTTGCAGTGACAAGCCATGTTCTGAAAAGGAACAGACCAGTGCCGAGGAGCATGGATGTCCTCATTGAACAAGAAGCTCAGGCCACCTGACAGAGTTTCATTATAAACCTGAACAATTATGTATTTAAAACATAAGTGAATCGACGTTGTGTTGCTATGTATCTTATAAGAAAAAAATTGTTGAAGGAAATATGCAGGTATTCTAGAGCACTGTTCTTCATTTTGAAAGCCAGGGACTATTTTCAGGACGCTTATTAACAGTCCAAAACATTAGCGTCCTCCTATCTACTCTATCATGCTTAGAAATCAAGTTTCACTTCTTATTAATGGCTTTAATAATTACTTTCATGTCCACACACAGTACCATAAATCTTCTTTACAGCATAGTGCAATCAATGTTTTTCCTAGTTCTGTTGCATCTACTATTTGTATATTTGCGTATGTTGCAGAATGAAAAAAAAAACAGAATTATATGTGCCATGGTTCTTACCAAAACTTGGCAAGATTATTATTGTTCTCTTCATCAATATAAATTCTAAATTCCTGTACTGGTCATCAAAGCCAGTGAAAATATAAGCTGTCTTTAAGCAAGGAATTATTGAATGTTAGGCTATAATAATTATTTCACTAAGTGACAGCTTTTGAAAAGTTAAAAAAATCTCAATATGAATGGTGAGAATGGTGATAGAGAATTTCTTAAGATGTATAGCTTTCTTATCTGAAGAGATAAGAAATTAAGTTAAGCTAAACTGAAACAACTTATCTGTTTCAGAAACAGACTATAATTAGACTTTTTTAAATAATAGATTTTTTAATGAAAGAAAGAGCCATTGTACCACTGGTAATTAAAGATCTGCAGGAAAATCCAGGGGCTCTTCCTCATTTCTAAGATTGTCATTATACCCCAGGGCTACTGTCAGAAGCAGAAGTCTGTGCTGGATGCAGCAGACTGATGACCTAGAATGATGCTTCTTAGGCCTGTAGGGAGAAGATCTAAGGCAAATTTTGTAACCAGAACAGCAGAACTCTGAAATCCAAAAACCAGCACAGTAGAATTCATACATTCAAATGAACTCCAGCTCCGTAATTGATTCTGTCACCCTTGTAATACCAAAAACATACAAACAATGCTGTCAGTACTCCAAACGTTTTTGTAAAACCTCATTGATAATTATCTGTAATGTTTGTCTATGAGCTGCTTAAAACAATCAGCTTTTTAACTCTACTGATTTTTGATCATGTCATACCACATATTTTGAACACCTGTCTTCAACAGACTTGACTCCAAATAGTCTCTGGTTTTTCCCCAAAATCAAATCCCTCTTCAAACAAACAAAAAAAAATCCACCAGTAAAAATATTTAATGAGAATTCCCAAGGTCTAAAAGCAATAACCAGAAATCCCAAGAAAATTTTTAACGAAGACAGTATTAGAACCAATGTACAGCCTGAGTCGATTATTCCTAAAGGATGCTCTCTCATTTTTATGCATATATATATCTTTTATGCAAGATAATATGTTCTAATGTGCACACATGCACTAATACATACCCATCCATTTGCACTCACATAGAATTTCAAGAAATACACATAAAGAAAATTTATACCCTCTCGGGCATGTGAATGGAGAGTCAAGTGACCGGGGTGGGCAGGAGAGCTTTTATTTTATTTTATATGTTCTGTTTGTAATGATATATCTATACATACATACACACACACACACACACACATTACTGTATGTATTACTTTCATAATAACAAGGGAAGAAGTAAAGAAGGAAAAATATGAAAATAGAAATGAGTGAGGGAAGGAAAGAGAAAGAGAGAGGGGAGGAAAAAAGTAAAGTAGTTCCAAAAGTTAATATCCTATTTTCCAGTCTTTTATGTTTATAATTCCATTTTGTACATTAAACCATTTTATGTGACTTTTTGTCTCCATGTTAAAAATGTGTGTTGTAAAGACCCTTATGTGTTATATGAAAGGAGTAATAGAGTTAAATTAGCAAATAATGCAAGCACAGTGACAGCTGCTATATTGAGTAAAGTGAGAAAGCCCTGGCAAAGGAAAAAATATCTGAAATCTGTTCAATGTTATCATGTTTTTATTGATCAATCTGTGGCCAATTAAAATAAACAATAAAAATACCCTTATCTAAGAGCAAACTTCAGGATGATAATTAAGAGATATCCAATATCCATGAGGACAGGATATTGCACAGTGGAATACTGAAACCACTGACAGTTTCAGGGTTTCCTCCAGAGGGAGCTTCATGGACTATTCAAAAAATAAGTGACATAAGAGTGTGATTTCAGTTTGGACTGTATTTTCTATTGTACAATCCAATCTATTTGAAAGCAACAAAATGAACACTTTAAAAATGTATCCATCCAAAAAGTATCATAAACACAATATAAAGACAAAAGAAAAAGTGGTGAATCTTGGCAGCATTTATGACAAACATGGGGCTAATTTTCTTAATGTTTGAAGAGATCTTAGAAGTCAATAATAAAAAGACCGATAACACAATAGAAGTATAAACAAAGCACACATAAAATTGATAAAAAAGAAATGCATATGGACAAAAAAAGTTCCATCTCATTCACTGTTTAAAACTGAAATGAGGAATCATTTTTTGCCTATCCTACTGACACAGATCAAACAGTCTGATAATATCCAGTGTTAATGCATCAACAAACACTGTGAAGTACTGTCAAAGGGAGTATAAATTGGCCCAACTATTGTATATGGCAATGCGGCAATAACTTATCAAAATCTAAAATATACATTCCTTTTGACTAGACAATTTTATGTGTAATAATTTATTCTTCAGATATATTTTTGCACTGTCTTGTAAATAGATATGAAAGAGTGTCCATGCAGCATTTTCACAAGCACTGAAAAGAATGCAGAATTCCTCAGGAGGGAAATGTTTAGATTTTGGTGCATCTGCCTAATACTCGGACTACTAGACAGCTGTTCAAAGAATGGTAAAGATGTATATATGGGGATACAGAAAGTTTTTAAAAAAACAATATTGACTGAAAAGTC
Source organism: Homo sapiens (assembly GCF_000001405.40). Classification (NCBI taxonomy): domain Eukaryota; kingdom Metazoa; phylum Chordata; class Mammalia; order Primates; family Hominidae; genus Homo; species Homo sapiens. Next base: position 125,058,697 of record NC_000023.11, read on the forward strand.
AAGGGACAGAACAATATTTGGGGGAATACAGGAATATTGACAGTGGTTACTACTGTAATTGCAAGTGGAATGGGGTGGGGGTAAGTGCAGACTGGGGTGAGAGTGACTTTCCATTACAAACTCTTCAATTGCTTTGAATTCTTTTCCTATGTATACATTACTTTTTAAGAACTTTATTTAGATATAATTCACATGCCATCCATTTAAAGTATAAAATTCAATGGTTTTTAGTGTGTTTACATAGTCGTGCAACCATCTCTACAACTAAGTTTAGAACATTTTCATCATCATCACACACACACACACACACACACACAAACTGTGCACCCATTAGTAGTCACTTCTCCTTTCCTGCTCTCTTCTTACCCCCTCACAACCAGTAGCCTACTTTCTGCTCTATGGAATTTCATTCATTTTTATGGATGAAAAAGGAATGAAATTGCCCCTAAAAGATATATCCCTAAAAGACAATCCACAATCAGAAGAAGTAGGACCTGAATAACACCCCATTCTCTTACTGTACAGATTTGTGATGATTTATTTTTTGTGTGAATAGCTAAGCCATGGTACCCATCTTCTGGTCAAACACAAGTCTGGATGTTGCTGTGAAGGTATTAATATTTTAAAAAATAAACTTTCTTTTGTTTATTTAAGGCATATAACATGGGATCCATACCGATAGTAAAAAAGTTACTATAGCAAAGCAAATTGACATATCTATCATCTCACAGTTACCCATTTTTTTTTGTTTTTGTAGCAAAAGTAGCTAAAATCTACACAGTTAGCATGAATCCCGCAACAGGTCAATTTTATCAGCTATAGTCCTCATGTTGTACATTAAATCTCTAGACTTGTTCATGCTACATATCTGCTACTTTGTACTCTGACCGACATCTCCTCATTTCATCTTCCTCAACCCCTAACTCTGCTAACCACTGTTTTTTCTCTATCTCTATATATTCAATTATTTTTCTTTTTAGATTCCACATATATAAGTGAGATCATGCAATGTTTTTTCCTTCTAAGTATTCATCAACAGACAAATGAATAAACTGTGGTACATATACACAAAGGAGTATTATTTAGTCCTGAAAAAGAATGAGATATTGCCATTTGCCACAATGTGAATAGGCCTGGAGGACATTATGCTATGTGAAATAATCCCAATACAGAAAGAAACATATTACTGTGAAGGTGTTTTTTAGATATGATTAACATTTAAGTCAGCAGACATGGAGTAAAGCCACTTACCTTCCATAATGCCTTCAATTGGTTGAAGGCCTTAAAAGTATGGAAGCCTCAAAAAAAAAAAATCCTACCTTCAGATTGCCTTTCAGACGCATGCTGCAACATCAACTCTTCCCTGGATCTCCAGCCTGCTGGTTTCCAAGCCCCATAACTGCGTAAGATAATTCCTTATAATCAATTTTTCTCTCTCCCCCAACTTTCGCTCTCTCTCTCTCCTCTCTCTCTCTCTCTCTCTCTCACACACACACACACACACACACACACACACATCCTATTTGTTCTATTTCTCTGTAGAACCCTGACTAATACAAGATTCAATTAGTGTCAGTGTTAGAAAGTACTTTACAGATCACCTAAGTCAAATCCCATCATTTTATAGGTGGAAAGACTGAGGATCAAAGAGTTTAAGTGATGTGTATGGGTCTACAGACAGATCTACAATGAAGGTAAAGTAATCTAAGGACCTCTAGAATGATAATTTGTCGCAAAAGTTTTGAAAAGTGCATAGGAATAAGGCTACAAATAGTGTTTTCAAATCTCTGTGGTCACGACACTTGAGACATAAGATAAAATTATCAAATTATCATTTTAAAAATATATACAATGTGTTGAAAAACTTTCAGTTTTGTAGTTTCCCCAAACTACTTTATAATATAATTATATGGTTCCTGGAGGCTAGTTATAATTGAATTATAGGGTGTCTTGTTCACATTCTAGCTGGTGAAAAAAATTGCTCAGCTCTGCTTTGTGGTTCTCTAAACACTGGCTAGAATACTCACGAGGCAGCTTATAATTCAATTATAACTTCCCTCTGGGAACCATATAATTATATAAAAAAGACCTAAGCCGTCATATGTTCTCCATTTATTTTTTGTTATGAAAGGATTTGTCTAAAGTCTGATATTAAATTTGAATAGGTCTGAGTCAATTTGCACCTCAGAATTTAGCCAGATACTAAGATAATAAAACCATATTCACCTAGCTGAATGATACTAGGAGTCGACCTGTTTATCCTCCAAATCATGAAATATAATTTTTTCTTTTTTCTTGGAGATTTTATATATATATATATATACTTCCACACTGGTACACCCTCATGTTTTTAATTTAATTTGTAATTAAATTACTGAAAATTGTTGCATAATTACAACCGATTTGAATAGAAGATGTTAATGTGTTATATCAATTAATTAACGGTTCAAAAGAGTATGTATTTTACAGAAATAAGAAATGGGGACAATTGATATTGATCTTATTCCAGGGAAACTCTCTCTTCCTCTCTGCCTCTTTCATTTATTTATTTCCCAGATATTTGCTGAGTACTTGCTCCATGCCAAGCATTGTTTCCCTTAATGCCCACGGTTCTTTTGAGAATGCATGTGAGCTCATGACCGTGCATGCACACATGCATACCTCCTCTAGGAGAACATATCTCATATGAATTGCAAAGTTTGTCACTTAATTCCACAAGGATTTTATATATGCCCCCTGTTTAGCATTGTGCTTGGCTACAGTATGTGGGAAACAAAGGAGTAGGTATAAAATAAACCGTACTCTTCAGAACCTTAAAGTTAAGCTGAAGAGATAAGGACAGCATACAAGTAGAGGAAACTCAGATGATGGCAACAAGATACAGTGAGGGTAGCTGTATGTGCAGAAGAGGAGGTGAAGCATGTCAAAAACTAATTCTGCCTGGGCGCAGTGGCTCATGCCTGTAATCCCAGCACTCTGGGAGGTCGAGGCGGGCAGATCGCTTGAGGTCAGCAGTACGAGACCAGCCTGGCCTCCATGATGAAACCCCATCTCTACTAAAAATACAAAACAAACTAGTGGTGTGTGATCTCAGCTACTTGGGAGACTGATGCAGGAGGATCGCTTGAACCCGGGAGGCAGAGGTTGCAGTGAGCCGAGATCACACCACCACACTAACTCTGTATGCCCCACAAGTTTGCCTATGAGATGTTCTGAAACTGTATCATGATTGCCCTAACAGTTCAATCCTTCAGTGTCTAACCTGTGTTCTCGAGCAATAGAGTGAAAGGTTCAGATTCCAAACTATGAAATCAGAATGCAGAGCTTCCAGCTCTAACATTTGCTAATCATGAGATTTGGGGCAAGTCACTTAATGTCTCAATGCCTTCATATGATCATATGTAAGATGTAGATGGAGAAAATTATAGAATTTATCTCAAATGATTGTTTAAAAATGAAAAGAATTGATATGAAAAAAAATCACTTAGAATAGTTCCTGGCACATAGCATTTAATAGATGTTAGCTATTATAACACTTTTGTTGTTATCACTGCCATCTCCATAATCATCATCATCATTATCTGAGAAATACTGACAGAATAAAGGGGAAATTTCCATAAGATTAAGATATAGCTGCAACTAGGAACTTTTTGACAAAGCCGTATTTTTTAAATGGTGATTCTAAAAGATAAAAATCAGTGCATATAATCAAGAATAAGGTCTGACTCACAAAACCTAATACAACTCATAAAAGATGTGGAGGCCAAAAAAGGCAGGACTGGAGACTTTTTTAGTTATATGAAGGGCAACATTAAAAATGAGTAAATAAGAGCATTGTTAAAGTCACTGTTGTAATGATGCTACTTGTCAAACAATTCCTGGAATCAATAGATAACCCCTACTTTGCATCTGCCTTTTCTGTCAAAGAGATTTACTTTTGAACCAGAAATAATAACAGAATCCTTAGTAAGAATAAATAAAAGACCAGTATTCATGAGGAGGTAGTGTTGAAAATATTTATGTTTCTGGGCCCTCATGAAAGATTTCCAAGAATATTGACTTAGCTCTGATACTAGGGAGCAATCAGCACCAGAAGCCAGCATGGGCACACTCTGAATATGTCTTGCCAGACTAACTTCAGTCCCCTTTTGAGCAGGCTGATTAAATTGACAAGACAGGGAAATGGGTAGATGTGCTTCACATTCAGCAAGGCATTTTGCAAAGTATCTTATAATATGCTATTGGATGAGGTAAAAACTATGAGATAAATGACAGCACAATTAACACACAAATGAATGAACAACCATATTAAAGTAGCTGATTAATTTGTCTCTAGTGATCTCCTTTTCCTTGTCCTCTATGACATTTGTATCCAAGTCATGAGTGAGAAAATATAGTTTGTAAATAACAAAGAACTAGTAGGAGTAACTAGCCTGTTGAATGACAATCATCATGCCCCAAATTCATGCCAGGATAGAACTATGAGCCAAATATAACACATTATAATTTCAGAGACAGATACAAAGAGACTTCAAAACGTTCATGGAAGAAGCATATTATGAAGAAACTACGTATGGACTTCAATTTTTTTGCACCAAAATAAAATTGCACTAACTTGTTATAACATGTGTGAACAGGATCTACTTTGAGGCACTTAGAAAGATATCTGTTCAGAGGCAACCACAGAATGGGAGAAAATTTTTGCAATCTACTCATCTGACAAAGGGCTAATATCCAGAATCTACAATGACTCAAACAAATTTACAAGAAAAAAACAAACAACCCCATCAACAAGTGGGCGAAGCATATGAACAGACACTTCTCAAAAGAAGACATTTATGCAGCCAAAAGACACATGAAAAAAATGCTCATCATCACTGGCCATCAGAGAAATGCAAACCAAAACCACAATGAGATACCATCTCACACCAGTTAGAATGGTGATCATTAAAAAGTCAGGAAACAACAGGTGCTAGAGAGGATGTGGAGAAATAGGAACTTTTACACTGTTGGTGGGACTGTAAACTAGTTCAACCATTGTGGAAGTCGGTGTGGTGATTCCTCAGGGATCTAGAACTAGAAATACCATTTGACCCAGCCATCCCATTACTAGGTATATACCCAAAGGATTATAAATCATGCTGCTATAAAGACACATGCACATGTATGTTTACTGTGGCACTATTCACAATAGCAAAGACTTGGAACCAACCCAAATGTCCAACAATGATAGACTGGATTAAGAAAATGTGGCACATATACACCATGGAATACTATGCAGCCATAAAAAAGGATGAGTTCATGTCCTTTGTAGGGGCATGGATGAAGCTGGAAACCATCATTCTCAGCAAACTATCGCAAGGACAAAAAACCAAACACCACATGTTCTCACTCATAGGTGGGAATTGAACAATGAGAACACATGGACACAGGAAGGGGGACATCACACACCGGGGCCGTTGTGGGGTGGGGGCAGGGGGGAGGGATAGCATTAGGAGATACACCTAATGTTAAATGACGAGTTAATGGGTGCAGCACACCAACATGGCACATGTATACATATGTAACTAACCTGCACGTTGTGCACATGTACCCTAAAACTTAAAGTATAATAATAAAAAAAAGAAAGAAAAATTAAAAAAAAGAAAGATATCTGTTCAGGAGAGCACATATCAGAGTAACATGAATTCTAATATTGAAGCAAGAAAAAAACAATATTTATGGCAAAGTTTGTGTAGAAGAATAGTGAAATCATTGATGCTTTACACAAAGTTTATGGGGACAATGCCCTCCCCAAATCAGCAGTTTACAAGTGAACAACTCATTTTAAGAGGGGATAAGATGATGTTGAAGATGAAACCCGCAGTGGCAGACTATCCACATCAATTTGTGTGGAAAAAAATAATCTTGTTTGTGATTTAATTGAAGAAGACCAATGATTAAGAGCAGAAACAATAGCCAACACCATAGACATCTTTTTTTTTTCTGCAAGCTCCGCCTCCTGGGTTCATGCCATTCTCCTGCCTCAGCCTCCTGATTATCTGGGACTACAGGTGCCCACCACCGCGCCTGGCTAAATTTTTTGTAATTTTAGTAAAGACAGGGTTTCACCATGTTAGCCAGGATGGTCTCGATCTCCTGACCTCGGGATCCACTGCCTCAGCCTCCAAAGTGCTGGGATTACAGCCAACACCATAGACGTCTTAAGTGGTTCAGCTTACACAATTCTGACTGAAAAAATAAAGTTGAGCAAATTTTCCACTCGATGGGTACCAAAACTGTTAGTCCCAGATCAGCTGTAGGCAACAGCAGGGCTTACAGTAGAAATTGAAAACAAGTGGGATCAAGATCTTGAAGCATTTCTTCAAAGAATTGTAACAGGGGATGAAAGATGGTTTTACCAGCACAATCCAGAAGACAAAGCACGATCAAAGCAATGGCTATGAAGAGATGGAATGGTCCAGTCAAAGCAAAAGCAGACAGGTCAAAAACACAGGTCATGGCAACATTTTTTGGGGAATGCTCAAGGTGTTTCACTTGTTGACTTTCTGGAGGGCCAAAGAATGATAACAGCTGCTTATTATGAGAGTGTTTAGAGGAAGATTTAGCAGAAAAATGTCCAGGAAATCTTTAACAAGCGTTTTTCTCCACCAGAGCAATGCTCCTGCTCATGCCTCTCATCAAACAAGGGCAATTTTGTGAGAGTTTCAATGGGAAAGCATTAGGCATCCACCTTACAGTCCTGATTTGGCTCCTTTTGACTTCTTTTTGTTTCCTAATCTTTAAAAATCTGTAAAGGCCACCCATTTTTCTTCAGCTAATAATGTAAAAAAGACTGCATTGACATGGTCAAATTCCCAGAACCTTCAGTTCTTTAGAGAAAGACTAAATGGCTGGTATCATCACTTACAAAAGCGTCTTGACCTTGATAGAACTTATGTTGAGAAATAAAGTATACAACTTTTAATTTTTATGATTTAATTCCACTTTCCATAAACTTTTTCAAGTCCCTTCATGTGTAAAGTCCTGCATTTGTAAAAATATCTCTACTACACAAGTACATGGAAACAAAAATTGGTATAAAAATAGCTGCATATGGAGACTAAGATTTTAGTTGACTGTAAGCACAATGAGCTGGCAAGATGATGTGGGTGATGTGAGCATAGGCTGTGTAAATGGAAATGTGGACTCTAAAGAAAAAGATAATATTCTTGATCTGATTTCAGCTGCTCAAAGTGTACCTGGAGTCTGTGTTCAATTGTAGGCTCCTCCTCTTTAAAAGACCATGAAACAAATAGAATGTGTTCAGAAGAGAGTGACCAAGATAGCTGAATGACAGGAAGATGTGTCATCCTTGCATATGTTTAATAGCCATTTGTGAAGAAATTGGTGGAAAGGACTCAAGTAACAGGAATATATGACTTAAAAAGATTTTTCTAAGCCTTATGAAGGGCAAACTGGTAGGAAGCTGGTAACTAAGAGTGGGAGCTGAGAGGAAGCTGGAAACCAAGGAACACAGGGTTGCCACAACGTTAAGAGTATTCCATGGATCATTTATGCCTGGGTCAGTTTTTCTCTGAAATGCAGATGGTCTGGGACTACTTCCCTAGTTCTATCTACTACTGACATTTAGCCCAGAGTCCCTCCTCCCAATAAGCACAATTCTGAGCTTACATACTTATGCTAATGAAGGGAGGTAGAGAATTAGCAGCAATTTGTAACTTTTTATTATTGTTCCCTTCACATTACAATCCTCAAAGTGTACACTGCAGAGGGGATATCTTGCAGTATTGGAAAGATCACTGAGCTGAGAGAATACCAAGGTTATATAAGACCTGCATTAGTCCATTTTCTCTGGGTCTCAATTTTGTAACCTAAAAAAGGAGGCAGTCAGTTGAAATGGTCTCTAATGTCACTTTCAGATTGAAAATATAGTATAATTCTATTGACACTGTGTTAATTTTAAAATAATATTTTATTATTTTTTTCAAAGTTTATAACAAAACATGAAAACAAATTATCTATTTGGCTTAGTGAATCAAACTAAATGAAATATTGCCATGCTACATATTCAGTGCAGAGAATGCTGAGAACTTTAAGTTTGGTGATTCAGGCAAACATAGTTTTATTTTCAGTCCTAATTGCTTCACACGTTGCCTTGTTTGTTGTTTGGTTGGTTTATTTAAGCTTATGTCCATTTTTTAAAACATTAGTTCATTTTGGTGGAATATCATCTAGTTGTTCTTTAATGAGCTGACTCTTGGCATAGGAAGTGTAAGATCGAGCAGAAAAGGAACTTGTGGCCAAAATGCAATGCTTAGGAGTGAAGTTCAGAGGCTCTATAAGACAGGAGTGAGCTTGGGATCCCCTGCTATGAACTTCCCCTGAGTGATTTGCAAATGTAATTTTTTCTGCGTAACAGAGGTGGCAGCTCAGATAATCAATATACACTTCTCACCATAAGAGAACCTTGGTTTGCAGAGATGGACAGCAAATATGAACAGCTCATTTTTGCCTCAAAGTCCCCAAAGAAAGGGTTATTTTTTCTTAGAATCTAAGTCAAGGGATCTTGGGAAAAATCCAATCTTATCAAAAATCCAATGACATGAGTAGCTCCTCAAGCATTTTAGACCATTTATTCCCAAAACAACATTGGTGCTCAAATAGTTTTCACTTTACTACATTGGAGCTTTCCAGGTAAGGGAAATTTTGCCAGAACCTCTAGGGAAAAAAAAAAACTGAAATGCTATTCTTTGACAGAGCGAGGGAAATATATAGTTTATCTAATGAAAGCTTTTCCTTTTGCTCCTCTCTATTTTAAAAAGCATTCACCTCTGCTCACCACTTCTTGGGTTCCAGTTGACCTATTGTCTCACTTATCTGGGCTTTCAGTAACTCAGTTCAGTCATCAAAAGAAATGCTCAAAGACTATTGGTGAGGCAGGCAAACTTCTATCACGTCTGAACTAGGTAGCAGGCCATGGCTTTTCTTAACACAGCTAAAGTCTGAACTGGCTTCTAAAAGTGGTTGTTCATTGTTTTTGTTTTGTTTCAAAAGGGGATGCTTTTGTTTTCAAACTTTTACATAAAGAAACTGACTTCAGGCTTCTAATTCAACTCTTTATACTCTTCCTTCTCATCTTTCCCTTCTTTTTTTGAGAGAATAAAAGTTGGCTTTGAAATAGCCTAAAATTTTCTATAAATTCCAGTGAAAAGTTGATTCAGAGTTGACCTACAATGCTTTGAAAGACACATGTTCAAAGGCAGAGTAAGAGCTAACATTCTAGTACCATACACTAAAATGCACATAATTTTAAGTAAAACACACTCTGATTTGCACTGTTGAGCAAAGAGAGACAAACTAATAATAAGCCACTGACTTGGAAATAATTGCAACTGCTCTGCAATTCAATGAGAATTGGGAGCTGTCCTGGGAAAAGCAAGCTAAAATGAAAAGAGGTGGTGATGGTGGTGTGACAGTGTTTAATATTTTTCACCTAAAATGAATGGTGCTATCAGTTGCCATAGCGCTCCCTAATTAGGCCTGGCCTGGGGTCCTGCTCCATGAGATATGGAAAAAAATCCAGAAAGACTTAATTAACGGAATGGGGAACAGACAAAGAATTTAAGTTTGTTTAATCTGGAAAGACAAAGGGTGAGAAGAAAGGTAAATGATGGATGTCTAACAAATGAAGTGAATGAATAAAACGTCATCGCACTCCAGAAAGGTAAAATTAGGTAACATTCCATAAAATTTATTAATAGAGTTGATGACTAATGAAATAAAATACAATAGATATTTATACATTAATTTTTCAAATATGTTAAATCTGAGAAAAGAAATATGAACAAGACATGGTATTTAACCTCAAAAGTTCACATTTCAGCTGGGGAAATACATAAAAACAAAACAGGATAAAATTTTATGAATGATTTCACAGGGGCACGGGCTATAATTAAGAGTATAAGGATATATTAAGGACTTGTTTTCAGAGAGAAGAAGGTAGGTATGAAGAGAAGTCTAGGAAGATTTGACAAAAGAGAACAGATTTGATCTGGGCTTTGAAGAATTACTTGAAAGTGCACTGGCCTCAGAAGGGATAGCAGGGTATTCCAGAAGAGGAAAAGCATTCAACAAAGGCATAAGTGAAGACAAAATAAATGATTTGTTAATGAAACGGACAGGTCCAGGATAGCTGGACTATAGCCTCCATGGAAGAAGTAATGTTAATCAAGGCCAAAGGTAGGCAGAGCTTTAAATACTACAATAAAGAACATGTACATTATCTTGTGGCCAACACAAGCCAATAGTAGTTTTTGTTTGTTTGTTTTAGATGCAGGGGATACATGTGCAGGTTTGTTACATGGGAATGATGGGGGGGTTGAGCTTCTAGTGCATCCATCACCCAAATAATGAACATTGTACCCAACAGGCAATTTCTTTAACACTCACCGCCCTCTCATCCTCCCCAATTTTGGAGTCCCCAATATCTATTGTTTCCATCTTTATATTCATGTGTACACATTATTTAGCTCCATTTGTAAGTGAGAGCAGGCAGTAATTTTCCTTTTCTGAGTTATTTCACTTAGGATAATGGCCTCTAGCTCCATCCATGTTGCTACAAAGGACATGATTTCTTTCTTTCTATGGATGCATGGTATTCCATGGTATATATCTACCACATTTTCTTTGTAAATTCTTTGTAGATTTTCTTTAGGTTGATTCCATGACTTTGCTACGGTGAATAGTGCTGCAATAAACTGATAAATACAGGTGTATTTTTGATGTAATGATTCCTTTTCCTTTGGGTAGATACCCAGTAGTGGGACTGCTGGATCAAATGATAGTTCTAATGAAACCATATGGACACAAGGAGAGAAACAACACACTCCGGGGCCTGTTGGGGGCTGGGAATACAGGGGAGGGAGAGCATCAGGATAAATAGCTAATGCATGCAGGGCTTAAAACCTAGATGATGGGTTGATAGGTGCAGCAAACCACCATGGCACATGTTTACCTGTGTTACAAACCTTCACATCCTGCACATGTATCCCAGAACTTAAAATAAAATAAAAATTTAAAAAATTATAAAAATAATGATAGTTCTACTTTTAGTTTTTTGACAAATCTCCATACTGCCTTCCACAGGGGCTGAACAAATTTACACTCTCACCAATATACCCTTTTCTCTGCATCCACATCAATGCCTATTGTTTTTTTACTTTTTAGTAATAGCCAGATTGGCCTGGTAGCCCATGCCTATACTCCCAGCACTTGAGGCCAGGAGTTCGAGACCAGCCTGGGTGACATAGTGACATCCTGTCTCTACAAAAAAATTTTAAAAATTAGCTGGGCATGGTGGTGTGCACCTGTGGTCTTAGCTACTCAGTAGGCTGAGGAGGGAGGATCACTTGAGCTTAAAAATTCGAGGCTGTAGTGGGCCAGGATCACGCCACTTCCCTCTAAGCTGGGAGACAGAGACCCCGTGTCCAAGTAATAATAATAATAATAATAATAATAGCCATTCTGACTAGTGTTAGATGGTATTTCACTGTGTTTTTGATTGGCATTTCTCTGATGATTAGTGATGGTGAGCATTTTTTCTTATGTTTGTTGGCCACTTGCATGTTTTCTTTTGAGAAATGTCTGTTTATGCCCACTGCCCATTTTTTAATGGAGTTGTTTGTTTTTTCCTTGTTGTTTGAGTTCCTTGTAGATTTTGGATATTAGACCTTCGTTGGATGCACAGTTTGCGAATATTTTCTACCATTCTGTAGGCTGTTTACTCCAACAGTAGTTTTTAAGCAGGAGAGTGATCTTGGTACTAACTTCACTTTCTGGAGAACAAGTTTACTTGTTAAGGTTCAGGGGAGTAAAAATTAGATCCAAGGAGGACATGTTTGTCTGTCTCTGTCACTATCAAGCCGTATGACCTTAAATAAGTCATTAAGTTTCCTGTGCCTTGGTTCCCACCTCTGTAAAATTAGATGTTCTCAAATATCTAAAGGACTGTAATGTGGAAGGGAAATAGATGTATTCTGTGTTCCTCAAACTGGTGGGTGGACAGATTTGAGCTCAATATGAAGAAGAACTAACAGGGGCAATCATGGATGAAATGGTTGCTTTTGAAGTTCTCCAGATGTTCCTAGTCACCTAACAGAATGATGTAGAAGGAAATCAAATACTACATGAACAGATGTATAAGAGAAGGGGTTAGAACAGATAACCTTTTGGGTTCCTTCCAGACTGGACATTCTACTCACTCTTCTACAAATCAGCTCTTCAAACAGAAAGAAGATGGATATATCCTCTTTTTAATTTATTTCTTCACCCCAATTTGCCTTCCTTTTACCATTTTGCATGTTACATGCTCTAATTTCACCTTTCTGGTTGAGATCTTCTGGATACTGTCATGTAGCCAGCTATGTTCCTAACCAAATTTCACACCCAAAACTGAACATACTATTTCCCACAAAAGCGACCAGATCTCTCTGTTAGTAATTAGGATTTTATGTACAGTAAAACCTTAATTAACTGAAGTCCAACTAATGAAACATTTTATTTCATGTTCTACACTCATTTTTATGAGAAAAACAGACATGGTGACTAAGCAAGCCTTTATGTTGAATTTACTGAAGGAAAAATAAATTCATCTCCCAAGAAGTAGTCTGAGGTCAATAGAGATTCATCCCAATCTCCTACTTTTCCCGTACAATAAGAACAGATTTCAGAATGATGAACTTGAGACTCTGAAAAAATGTTCCAAATAATAAAGTAAAATGCAATTATGTTCACTTAACTGTACTTATTAAAGTAGTAAAATGGACTACAGTTACATGAAACGTTTCAACCACAAAGACTGAAATAAAAGATAGATGTGCTACTTAATTTTAAAAAGCCTCAATTAACATCCCCTTCCCTAAATATTTTAGTAAATCAAGACTTTTCTATATTTAAGATCCACGTCCTTCACTATTATGTATAAAGAAAAAGGGAATATTTCATTTTCACCTCTCTATACCTACCAGTGATAGGGCACCTAGGTGTTTATAAATGTTTGTTGAATTGATTAATAATAGACACATATTAGTTATTATTATTAGCCTGTTTCAGTAGCCATTTCTTTTTTGTCTTCAAAAAGTTTCAAACTCTATATTCATATATTTCTGTCAGATCATATAAATAAAATATATAAGTATAAATATAATGCATATGGTACTATTTGCATTCATATTAATAAACTATAAGATATTAAAACCAAAAGCAGTGTCGAAGGTCATCAAATTCAATTATATAATTTTACAGAGGTGGGAACCAAGGCACAGGAAACTTAAATGACTTATTTAAGGTCATACAGCTTGTTAGTGACAGAGACAGGATGGACTAAAATATCGGGTTTCCTTTTTCTCAGTCCTGTGATTTTTTTTCTTCTACAAAAAACTAGCTCTGCATTATTTAAAGTCAAGTAGGAAACAATTTTCATGCTGAAACAAGAAGGTACTCAGAAATGTTCTTCCATTTCAACACTAGAATTCTCAGACACAAAGAAGTCTGGTTTTCCTTTCCTTTATTGGAAAGGTATCTTGTGTATTTATTTTATATCCTTGCTACTCTAAAATCAATCTGATGCTGTTTTAAGAGTCAATAAAAGCCAGAATAATATGGCATAGATTTATCTATCAGTGGCAGCAGTGCAGGAATTGCCATCTACTGTAATTTGTCGGTAATTTATAAGAGTGCCTATTGGGCACCAAGACATGAAGAGTTACCTTGTGTTATTAAACTAATAACTTCTCACTTCATTTTTTAAAAAACTGCAATTCTTGGTAAATGAATTGTCCACACAGGAAGTGTCATTAGGCAAGGTTTGGGACTATAATACTCAAAGTTTTGAGGGGTGTAATGAACAAGAAATCTTCAGAAGCTTGGGAAAGAAATTGCACACCAACATGGCACATGTATACATATGTAACAAACCTGCACGTTGTGCACATGTACCCTAAAACTTAAAGTATAATAATAATAAAATAAAAAAAAGAAATTGCAAGGCAGCACTGGTAAACCTTTCAGATCTGATGGAATCTGCCATGTCACCTTGGTTTTATACATTACTAAATCTTATGCTCTTACGCTACATTCACATAATAATATTATGTAAGGTCTTTTTTATGTTAAAGGAGGAAGTTTTGGTCATTTGCCTTATAATTACATTGAGAGATTATCTCTAAAAAGAAAGTTCAAAGAAAATTTAAAATTTAACCCAGAGAATTAAAAAAAGTTACTCATGATAGACATGCCTCAATAGGGACTCATGAGCTGCTAGTCTACACAAATATCAAATATATGAGATCAAACCTTTTGCATCACATTGAGGCACAAAAGCAGAGGGCAGGAAAATTTGTATGTTGTATGTTATTAATCCTCTAAGAACTCAATAATCTATGTAGGCATGGAGGTAAATTTTAGCAGAAAGAACCCGATAACTTATGAAAAAATTAAGAAAAGCAAGCAATATGAAGAAAATGCAAAACTAACCAAATTTCTTCAGTTTGTGAGGTGTAGTGTCTGTGGTCTTTGGGGACGCGGGATACATTGATGATGAAGGGATTTAAAACATTCTAAAACGTAATGGGTGATCAACTGAAAAATATCACTTACTTACTTTGCTGTTATGACCAATCATAAAATGTATCTCAAAAAATAAAACTGCAATTTCAATTTCCTTGATCTTTTATGTTTATATTATCAAAAATGATAGCATAGTTTTTAAAATTTACACATCAGAAAGGCCATTTGAGGAAAAATGGGCTTTCACAACTCTAATCCTTTATGGTTTTTTCACTTTTATAATGGTGATTAAAACTCAAAGTAGGAGTCACCTGCAGTATTTTTCATTTCTGTATCTGTTGATTGTCAACACTGGTCTTTCTGTGGCATTGTAGGTATGTGGGTAAAAAAAGGAGTAGTCATCATTTTCAAAATAAATCACAGTATGGATAGTGTGCAGGAGGCCCTAATGTCTGCCAAGGTTCCTGTCCAGTTTTTCACTTCAAGGTCTACCTAGTGCATTTTTACTTCATTAATCAATGATTGAACACTTAATAAGTTCCTTCCAAGTCAAGGTACATCATTCACCAGACCCCATCATTGCAGGGCTGAACTGGAACAGATTATTGCCAAAACAGATTACTGAGATGCTTGACAAACTAGCTTATAATGTTTCATTCTTTCCTTGTCAGGTAAAATTTAGCAGAATTAGGATTGACATCAAAGACATTTCTGAAAAAGTCATGATCTTATCACATCACTGAGATTAAGCACTGTAAGGATTTGCCTCAAGTTGGGCGGGAAATCTTTAAAATTCTATACAACTTTGAGAAGACATTTGGAGATTTCTCCCCCAGTGACCTCACTAGATTTGTTGGAAAGCTGGAGGGCATAATCTTGACAGAGCTGCTTACTTAAATAACTCACAAGACTGGAAGACAGTTTAGTCAGTTCTCACATGACTCCAAGAGCAGCCAGAGAAAAGATAACCAGCTGGATCACTTTTATTTTTCTTTCTTTTTTTTTTTTAACCTAGATGGGTCCACCATATCACCTTTACCCTTTCGACTCCCAGGTTGGCCACTCTGGGTCTGCTTCCCCAGGCTGGCCCTTCTAACCTACTTGCCCAGACACAAGTTACTGCTTAGGCACCTACCATATCACACCACACCATACCACACCATATCCTACCATCTACAATCTTCCCCAGCTCAGCCTCTAAATGGTTTGGATCAGTACCAGCCAGCTGCAGCCAGAATAATTCTATTTCTAGCACCCAGGAAGCCCACTGCTCCTCGACAAAAGCCATATCTTAACTATCTCTATCATCTGGGGCCTCTATCACTTGAATCTCTTCATTTCTACCCACTCATCAATGGTACATGTGAGGCACATCCTACCAGTCCTTTCCCAGTCTTAGGTCTGATTCCAACAGCTTCTTATCTCTCAACTATCCCAATATTCCCTAGTACTAACTTCCTAGTCTAGTCAGCTCTATAGTAAGACAAATTACACCAGGTCTATTCTCTCTCCAGGCCACTGCCCATACTATTTTCCTATTATTTCTTCTTCACTTTCCCACTTCCCTATCATCTAGGCAAAGCTATCTGTCACTCATCATTAAAACTCCAGTTCCTTCAGGAGGCTTTTCCTGATTACTTAAACAACAAAAAAGCTACTGTTAGTTGAGCATTTATTACTTAACACTTTGAATCCATTACAGCTTTATTGAAATATAACCAACCCACTTAAACATATAATTCAATTATTTTTAGTTAATTGATAGAATTGTGCAACTATCAGCACAAACCAGCTTTAGGATATTTACATTGGATATTTACACCATCTCCAAAACACTCCCTGTGTCCCCTGTGGCCATTTGCAATCACTACCTGTTACCATACCCCACCCTTGGCAACCACTAATCTATTTTCTATCTCTATAGGTTTGTATTTTCATAATATTTGACATGAATGAGATTGTACAATAGGTTTGCACAATCTATTTTGCATGTGCTTTATTTTACTTAGCATAATGTTTTTGAGATTCATCCATGTTGTAGCATGTATCAAAACTTCATTCCGTTTTATGGCTGAATAATATTCCATTGTATGGATATATTATATTTTGTTTATCCGTCCATCAGTTGATGAACATTTGGGGTATAGCCACTTTTTGGCTATTAGGAATAATACTATTATGAACATTTGGGCATAAGTTTTTATGTAGACATATGTTTTCATTACTCTTGTATATATACTTAGGCACAGAATATAACCTTAAAAGCCACTCATTTAAAATGTACAATTTGGTAGATTTTAGTATATTCAGAGTTGTGCAACCTTTACCATGATCAATTTTCAAACATTTTCCCTATCCCCAAAAGAAGCCCCATATCCTTTCATCCATTGTTGACACTCTTCATAGGAACCCTACAAGTTAGGTATTACATCCCTAGTTTTTCAGGAAAAGAAACATAGGCTCAGCAAATCCATAAACCTAGTAAGTATCAGAGCCTGCATTTTAACCCAATTTGTTTGACATAATGGCTTACAGTATTTCCACATCACCATGCTGCCACTAATCCTCAGAGTTCCTCTTCTCTGAGATCATTCTAGAATTCTCATTTGATTTCCCATGTGTCTTCCTTTTGTCACATAATCATAAACTTCCTTATCTATATCTTACACCTCAAAATGAATATCTTCTCTCTACAAATAAACCATAAGCTACTGAAGAGTAAGGAGTGCATGGTATATTTCCTTTGACTTCTTCCTAAATCCAAAAACTACTATAGAAAAAGTAAGATTTCTATATGTTTTATAATCAGTAAAAAGTTATTCCTTATGATTAACCTAAATCTCTACTCTTACAAAGGTCAATGTTTAGCTTTTTCCTTTTAGAGTCAATATAGCACCAGCAGTTGAAGCTTCATCACATTGTAAAGTCACATCATACCCTAACAGATCTCTCCTTTACTTGGAATCATGCCAGAAACGTGTGTATGGTCTGCACCATGTAGTCTTTTAGATCTTTATGTTTTACCTGAACTTGAATTTGCTCTGTAGATATTAATGTAAATATATTATGTATTGTCTTCCCAAACTGATAAAAAACTTTTCATGGTAAATATCATGGCTTCCTGTTTTGGGTCCCATGTGTTAACCAACACAGTGATGAATAAACAGCATGTTTCTAGTAAATGCTTCCTCCAGTGTTTGAATATCATCATCATGAAAAGGATCTCTCGTGATGATGGGTTCTTGCTCTGGGAGAGTGGAGTCTGGCATTTTTGTGTGCTGAGGCTGCTACTATTGTGCTGTGTGCATTTGGTAAAATTGCAGCTCGGCCCTGGGCCTCTGTTTTGCCATCTATAGCATAGGCAGTGTTTGGATTAGAATATCTCAGCATTACTTGCCACTCTTGAATCATCTTCTCTATATGTTTACTAGACGCTCTCAGTTTAACATCCACTAGTTTCAATATTCAATCTTTTTTACCTTGATATTAACAATGTGCCTACTAAAAACTCTTACCATCTTCCTCATTTTTGTTAACTTGAATTAGTTTTCCCCTTTTGTGTTTTAGGGTATAATACCTTTTACTCAACTTGAGATGCCTTTGTTATCCTTATCATACTTAAACATTTCAAAATTTTTTTTTTCATCCAGATTCCTTCCCTCAAAGGATGATCTGCTCTCTCAGATTCCCTTCTTAGCATTTCCTACTTCATTAAGTTTGTGTTTTAATTTTCCCTTTCTGCTACTTTTTTTCTTTGGAAAATGTATGACAGAAATATGACTCCTGGACACTAAATGCCATCGTATTTCAAAAGTAATGAAGACGTTTCTCATTAACTGATTAAAAAAAGAGCATAAAATTTGATAAGCAATAAAATAATCGGAAGGAACTGGAAGTTTTCCATAATTTTCATCCAGACAAATTATTTTTTAAAATTATCTTATTTTTAAACAGCATCTTACCTTATATATAGTACTAAGGAACCTAAACTAGCAGGTTAATTTCAAAATGTTATTAGATAACATATATACAGTTAATAATAGATCCTGTTGCCATGGAATCTCAACTGAATTTTTGAGCTCCATGGGTTGATTTTTTTGCGAATTAAGACCTTAGCTCTAATGTTTCATTAACAGATTTTTTATATGAATGTAATTATTTGGATGAAGATTTAGAGTACATTTCCTAGTTTGCAAATGATATTCAAATTGGACTAAAAATAGAGGATGAAGGAACTGTAACCAAAAAAGACACATATTTTCCAGGTGACTGAATCAATATAGGGTGAAACGTATTCTCATGTTAAGAATGCTTGGGACTAAGAAAACCCATTCACAGATCCTCCTGCTCTTTGACCTCTCACCACATCTGCTCCTACCTTTTACCACTTCCTCCTCCCAATATGCACTCCCTACGGACAGGAAAAATTAGAAATGATCAGGAGAGAAGAGGGAAATCCTGGACAAAGGAGAACAAGGAGATTATTGGTGGCTTAATAATCTGCCAATTCTAAGACTATAAATCAACTGAAGTCATCCCACTTATGTCCAAGGTGCTTATTATAGTACATCTGGACTTGGAATGGCAGTATTGATCATTTTCTTTCTGTTCTGGACCACTGCATCAGAGTACTACTTACTAATTAAAATGTGATAGCTAGCCCAAGTGTTGAAACAGATGGAGAAAGACAATGTTTTCATATTTGGATTATTCTCACTGAATGGAAAATCAGAACTACATGATCATAACTCTTACCTACACAGAAAAGGAGGACAAACCCTGGGGTATGATAACAGAGGATGTGCAGTCTTGGGTTGGCAGTGACTAGAGAATTTGGAATAAATGATCAAGTCATGTGGTTCTGGAGGCAGGAGCAGCAGTCTGGCAGGGAAATGGCAGAGGATGAAGTATTCTACAAAGAAGCTTTAGATTTAGATTCACAGTGTCTTTCTGCACAAATATGGGTTATGAATTCCAAGTTGTCACATGGTTACTGAAAAGTAGAACTGTTATGTGAACCCAATTCAGTTATTTTTACCAAGAATTATATTTCAAAAATTTTTAAAAAAGAAGTGCGGCAATGCAGTGTTTGCAATTAGTGAGCAGTCAGTTTGAATCCCGAGTGACCTGAAACTTGTTGCTAAACCTTTATGACTTTCAGTTTCCTAATTCATATAATTATTGTGAACAATAAAAGAGATGAAATAAAGTGTCTAACAAAGTAAAATAGGTACTTGAGAAATAGGTGTTATTATAATTAGTATTAATTATTAGTAAGAAAGTACATGCTTTCCATTTATTTCACCTCATTACCTACTGCTTATTGGTAGCAGTTTTTCTTAATTGCAGGTTCCATTTATTAAAATTTATAATGCATCCCTTGGTAGTTGTATCTTCAAACTAAATCCATAGTGATGATGGCAAACAATACAGAAATAATAAATGCACTGAAGGAAATACACAGAAAATAAAGTGTATTGCTCGCATACCTAAAATGTGTTTGTAGTCTGGCTGGGGAGATAAAACATGAGCATTGACATGAAATGGTTTACATAAAACATCATTAATACAATTAGCCAATATATTCTGAATGCTTAGTAAGAGTTTGCAGTTATGCTGGTCACAGTTTTGGCTGCTTTATGCATATTAACTCATTTGTAACCCATAACAACCCTGTAAGAACTATTATTATTCCCATTTCACAGACGAATAAACTGACACCAGGAGCTTACGCAAGTTCTCCAGAGTTACACAGGTAATAAGGAGCACCGTCAGGATTCAAATATGTTTCTAAAGCTCATGCTTTGAAATACCTCACAATACTGCCTCTCATATCAATCAATCAAGTACAGACAAAACATCTAAAGGGCTGTGGATGAAAACTAAATGAACTTAAATAGCAATGCAAGACTGAATAAGATATAAAAATAATAAATGCATCTAAAATCACCAAATGAAACTCAATGTTTCATTTATAAAGAGAGTGGATCATGGTGAAAGAGCCAACAAATCCAGGAAGACTGTCACCATCAATTTCTGCTTTACTTGCTGAAAAGCAAGATATCTGAGGATAGACAGTAGCATCTGAATACACAGCCTGTTTCATTGTCCATTTATAAAAGACCTTTCTTGAAGAAGGAATAATTTTGCAATAAAATATACTGGTCATACTGGAAGAATATATTTGAAAGCCACATTTTTATCTCAATAATCATAATGAAAATCTTTCTGTATATTCCAAGTATTTCTGATAAACAATATATGATTTATATTGAATGATTTTTCATCTTTCCCAAATTTCATTTCTAATGATTGCTTATGTTCTGCCACAAACATTTCTCAGATAAACTTCTTTTAGTTGTGGGAACAGTTTCTTGACTACGTTATTTCTCCATTGTCCTATCCATTCAAACAGGCTACAGTAAACTCCCATTATGTGATTTTTCATGGGATTGAGAAAAGAAAACATCATAAAGAGGAAAATGATAAAAGCAAGATATATTGCTCCATGGAGGCTTTCCTCAGAAGCTCTCTTTGTAGTAGACAGCTGTGCACTCACATCTGTTTCAGGACAACATGGAGGCTATAAGGAATCATGAGCAGCATTCCTGCTTTTCTAACCCCATTACTCGCCTCCAAATTCTCTCTTTATGCTGCATATAATGTAAGAGAACCACTGGAGGCTGAAATGAGAAGCAGGAGTAATCACGGTTATCCTGCCTCATTTATTTGAGAATCAGATCACTGATTGCCGCAGCTCTGATATGTTTTCTAGTGTCCTCCAGATACGTTTCCTAGCTCCATGTTACTCAAGATGTGGTTCCTGGAAAGCAGCACCAGCATCAGCATCACCTGGAAGCTTGTTAGAAATTCAGATTCTCGATCCCACCTCCCTTTTAGCAGAGAGGGAATATATGAAAAGGCCAATAAACAATGAAAAGTGAAAGGGTGAAATTAATAAAAAATAAAATAAGTATAAAACCAGACATATTTTCAAAGTATAGAATGCCTGTCCTAAGTTAAAAATGATCTATCAAAGGTTTCTTGAATGGCACAGCTTGCCTATGTGCCTCATTAACTTCATTTCTTTCCTTGGTCCTTTGGGAGGAAATATGAACATCATGGAGACCCATACCAGCTCAGCTGTGGAGATTCTCAACCTTTGTTACTATAATCAGAATCAATATCATTATAAGCTAACATTTATTTAGTGTTTACTATATACAAGACATATTGTTAGGTGCTTTGCATACTTTTGCTCCTCATTTTACAGATGCGGAAACTAGGATTCAGAAAATGTAAATTACCTAAGTCCCTTAGCTAAAGGTGGTAAATATAAATATAAAATCATATATTCCTGAAAATATAAAATATAAAATAATATATTCCTGCTTTTGGAGCCCGAGCTAGTAACTTTTTACTGCCTTTCTGGTCTTTTGTCTACCTGTGACTCCAGAATTTCTTTTCTGGCACAATGTTAATATCTTCTATTCTGTATCTACTGGAGATGAGAAAGACATTTTTCCAAAAGGCTAAAAATTCCTCTCAAGGCTTCAGTTCTGCCTGTGTGTACTCCAGAAATATCCAACCACACTCCTGGAGGTATCCCGGGCTCTTATCATTTCCTACTTCCCCATCCCCGATACTTACCCTGGACACTCATTTTCTCTGTTTTATTGGCTTAACAGGCACATACTGGCTTAGCAAATGTCAGGCTTGTTTTGTTCTTTACAAAGCTCAATGTTTTCATCTATTTTTCTCTGCTACCCTTTTGTCCTGGTCCTCTTATCACCCATGTAACTTTTCATTCTAAGCCCTGTGAGGACAGCAGCTTTATCTATGTGGTTTTCCACTGTATCCCCAAATCTTGGAACAACACCTAGTATATAAGCACTCAAAAATATTTGTTGACTGAACAAATAAGTCTTAGTGAGAGTAATTTATATGGAGTGTGTGTTTGTCGGGCCTCTTCTCTATCTGCATTCATTTGCTAGATTGTCGTATTTTGTCCAATAGTTTCAATACCATGTATCCACTTTTTAAATTATAACTTCAATCCTGACCATAGCCTAAACTTCATACTCATGTATACAGCTGTTTCTCTTAATTTCCACTTGGTTATAGTATAGGCATCTCAAATTCAATAGGTCCAAAATCTGTCTTTCAATTTCCCTCCCAAATCTTCCCAACACTTACACCTTCACATCAGTAAATGGCATCACTGCTTACACAGTTACTAAGATAAAAAAGCTTGGTGCATTCCCTGATTCCTCTTTCCCTCCTATCTCACACAGACTCAATCAGCAAGTTATATAGATTTTTAGCTTAAAAATACTTACTTTCTGAGCTAAAAATAGAACTACCATTGGAGCCAGCAATCCCACTACTGGGTATCTACCCAATGAAAAAGAAAAAGACACCTACACTTGTATGTTTATTGCAGCACAATTCACAATAGCAAACATAGGGAATTAACCTAAGTGTCCATCAACAGACGATTTGATGAAGCAAACATGGTACATACACACTACGGAATATTTATTCAGCCATAAAAAATGGAATCTTGTTTTTTGCAGCAATATGGATGGAACCGGACAGGTCATTATATTGAGTGAAATGAGACAGACATAGACAAATATTGCATGTTCTCGCTCATAAGTGGGAGCTAAACAATGTGTAGATATGGAAATACAGAGGGGAGTAATAAACACTGGGGACTCCAAAAGGGGCAAGGAGGTGGAAAGGCAGTGGACAATGAGAAATTACTTAATGGGTACAAGGTATGTTATTTTGGTGATGGACACCCTAAAAGCCATGACTTGACCACTACATAATCTATGCATGTAACAAAAATGCAAGCCCCAAAATTTCATTACCCCTTAAGTTTATATAAATAAAAAATAAATAAATGAAAGGCAAATGTAAGTGAAAACTCATTCTTTACCACCTACCCTTGTCCACACCACCATCAGGATGTAACTAGAATATGGCAATAACTTCTTAACTGGCCTTGCTGTTTGAATTCTTGCCTCTCTAAAACCTCTTTTGATCTAGCAGCAATGGTTGTTTTTCTACAACATATGAATCAGATCACCTGATTCCTCTGCTCAAAAGCCTCCAACAGTATTCCATCATACTTAAAATAAGATGAATTCTCACATTGATCTACAGGGCCCCATACAAACTGGCCCCTGCCTCCCTCCTATTGCTAAAGTCCAACCATACTGGCTGGCTTTGTTTTTGTCTAATAGTGCATGCTTAATACCACTTGAGGGCATAGTTGATTATTCATCAATCTGTTTGGAATGCCATCCTCCTCCCTCCAGATTTTGTATGGCTGGCTCCTGTACTTCATTCATTTATTTGTTTAAGTATCACCTCCTCAGAGAGAAGGCCACTGACAATCATAGCTAACTAAAATAGTATCCAGGTGCATTACATCATTTTTTGTCCCCTTGTCTAAGTTTATCTTTATGGAATTTATCCCAACCTAACACAATATATATGTATGTTTTAATTTCTTCTTTTTAAATTTTGTGTGTACATAGTAGTTGTATATATCTATGGGGTACATGAGGTATTTTGATACAGTCATACAATGCATAATAATCATATCAGGGTAAATGGAGTGTCCATTACCTCAAACATCTCCTCTTTATGTTACAAATAATCCAATTATACTCTTGTAGTTATTTTAAAATGTACAATAAATTATATTTTATTCATTTATTACTTTCCGATTACAATGCAAATTCCATGAAAGAGGGGACTTGATCAATCTTGCTTACTGCTCTATCCCTGGTGTCTAGAACTATCTGGCACACTGTTGGCACATTGAAATGTTTGTTGACTGAATGAATAGTGGTGGATATCACCTTTGTCCTTGGAAACTTCTTAATTCTGTTCTGTTTTGAAGCCAACTGAATATGTACACTTTTGTTCTTTCATTAAGCTCAACATCTCCTGGAGTCTTTCCACAAAAATTCAGCTTCCTATTGAATAAATGCATCTACTTATGGCTTATTTACATAGTATAAATAATTATTGTACTTTGATTCCAGTGAATGCTTAATCCTCCTTCTAGTCCAGTTTATATTCCTGAGCTTCTGGGGTCTAGATTCTATTTTGTACCCTTATCTCTCAAGTCTAATTAACACCACATCTATTGGTCCCTGCTCCTCTATTACCCATGAGGCTGAATGCATCCTTTCATCCCTCTACCCAAGATTCTGAACTCTGAAATCTTGACCTTACACACATCATACACACACATATGTTACTGTAATCTGTGACATTACTAAGTTTTTGAAAGTCAAAAAAACCCCACATATATTGAAAGATGCCAAAAAACATGGTAATGATATGCTTCCAACTTTTTAGAACAGCCCTAATTTCAGAGAATGTTATTATTTTCAATAACAGTAACTCATTTAAAGGAGATACAATATATACAACTCTTGAAATTGTTAACATGAATATATCCACATATTGAAAATAAATATTTGGTCAGACTGTGTGTCCCAATTTAGGGTTCAGAAAATAGGTCACTGTAGCCATGGTCTTATTGCCCTGTTAGCCTAGATTCTGGATCCCCACAGACTTTAGGAACAGCTCCCAGGAGTAGTCTCTGCCTTATCATATTGACATATTGTCATAATTTTTACTAGGAGGGTGGAAGTGAAAGTGGGGATGCTCAAGTTTGTAGGTGAGACCACAAGATGTTTCCTTTCTTCCAATATGTTCTCAGCTGTTTTAGCTGTGTGTGGAAACAGGGTTTCAAACAATATAGAAGACAGGAAGGATTTTGCTCAAAAAGTTGAGAGGTAGATCTTTTCAATACCCTTTTATTTCTCTTTGTTTCAGCCTTCCCTCCCCTTTCCCCATACTTATATCCTCTCTTCTCCTGACACACATGCACAGGATTCCTTCATATTATGCACTGGCTACCAGGGGCTTTGATTTGTCACACCTCAACCAGCCATCCATCCATCCATTCAAAAAAATCTTTATTGAATACTACTATCTCCTGGGAACTGTGCTTGGTTTTTGGGATAGATAAGTGGATAAAGCATGGTGCCTCATTGCCACTAGCTTAGAGTGTCTCCTGAAAACTATTTTTTTTTCTTTATGTCTTATATACTTAGACTGGCAGCTCAGCTGATATTCTGTCGCTTTAGTAGTATTACCTATTAATGTACCTTTTTCTAAAAACATCAGTATTTTCTGTAGAAATTCATTGGTCTTCCATAGTCCCTAGTACATCATCATAATAACAATAATAGCTACCATTTTCAGTGCCTACTATATCCCAGGCAATGAATTAAGTGGTTCATATACATTTCACCTCTTAATCCATAACAACTAAGGAGAGAGGTTACATTATTTGCCCAAAGTCACCAACTAACTGGTAGCCAGGCTGGAATCTGACCCCAAATCACAGACTCACCATACTGCTTAATGATAGGTTAGGTGTCTTAACCCAAAGCACAGCCATTTTGAACGGCAAAAGATTGTTTGAGAAATCTACATTGTACCTCCCCGATCATACTAGGGATACAGCAGAGGACTAATTAGAAATATGGTGAACAACCAGGAGAGACTATTAACCCAGAAGTCAAAGAAAGAGAATTTCCAGAATGTGAATGGTCAACTTTTTTATATGCCTACTTGGGAGTGAAATCTGAGTTCTTTACTGAGGCATAGTTTCTGAGGTCTTTTCAGGGTTAGGTCCTCTAAGTAAGTGGCACATGTAATTTGATGCCTACAATAAAAGCATCATTCCTACCCAAGCCAAAAGAGCCAACTGTAAACCAAGGAATAGTGACTCTCTAGAGTTTTAGAAATTTTGTAAACTCTCATTGACTCAACTACCAATCGTTTATTTTAACTTGAACAGGCTCAGGAAGGAGACATACAGGGCAAAAAAAAAAATGTTACCTACACAAATGACAACTGAAATCATGTATACAAACATGGTTTTAAATACCTGCCCATTATTCTATTATAAATGATGTACTGTAATGTTTGTAATGTTTTCATTTTGTTGGCTTTCAGATTTTTTCCAGTCTTTCATCATTAGTACTAATAAGAAAAGGATTTTCCTTGCATATGAATATTTGTCTACATCCTGATGATTTCCCCTTGGTAATTTTCTAGTTACAAGATTCTTGGGTTAAAGTTTAATAGCTTTTTAAGGCTCTTTGTACATATTGCTATTTACTTTCCAGAAAGATGATACTAATTTACACTCCTCCAGAAGTCTAACTGTGAGAGTGCCTGTCTCACAACACCTTCACAAAAACTTAATTTATTTCTAATATTTGTGAATATGATTGTCCAAAAATCTGCTTTTAACTTGTATTTTTCAAATGTTTATTTTCCATGTATATTTCATTTCATTTCCTATTCTGATCTTTGTCATTTTCCTTTAGAGGTGTTCATTATTGCTTACTGATTTATAAGAGATATTTATATATTACAGACATTAGGCTTTTGTTATATATGTTGCATATATTTTCCCTATTTGTGATTTGCCTTTTCATTCTGATAATGATGCTTTCTGACTAGGAAAAATTATTGGTTGCTGTCAATTGAAATCCAGCATCTTTTTCTTTTGTGATTTTTTTTCTATATGCTTATGATTAGAAAATACTTTCTCACCATCAAAGGAATTAAATAGTAAATTCTATTTGTTTCTATTCTTAAACTTTTAAAATATTTAACTCTTAAATGATTCAAAAATTATTTAGGTGTTGAGTGTAAAGTAAAACTCTAACATGAGATTTTATGGTTTATACTTGCCTCCCAAATAGCCATTTTTTCCAAGAATTATTTATTAAATGATTATTTTCCCCTTTGCTTATGATGTTTTATAAAAATAATATTTTTTCAAGGATATCTGGTTCATGTTATTCACCTCTCCATTCTTAAAATTTTACCACACTAGTAATTACTATAACTTTGATGCATTTTATTATCTTATTCATGTTTTAAAAACATTTTAACTATTAAAATCTGTTTATTCTTCCAAAATGAACTTCAGAATAATCATTTTAAAAGTAAAGGTAATTTGTTGTTGAATTTATATAAAACCTAGGAATTAATTTGGAATGTACTGTATCTATAAACCTATAATCAACTAAACAGAAAAAAACATATATTTTTAATATTCAGACATCCTAGTCAAGAACATGGTGTATGTCTCCATTTATTCAAATTCTACTTTATGTTTCTCGAAAAAAATTTGGTAGTTCTCAAGAAAATATAAGCCTTGCATTTTTCTTGCTGGAATAATTCCTAAAATTTACAGATTATTTATTTTAAAAATATTGTCGGTAAGTTTTCTTTACATTTATAATTTCTAACTGGTTATTGCTGGCACATCAACAGAGAAATACAGTATAATTCATAGGGACTACATTAATAGGCCATTAAAAAAAGAAGAATAAGAAACACTCATTGCCACTTAGAAAACATATTCTCTGCTGGAAGTTGCCTGCTGCAGAATCAAAGAGTTATGATATTACACACTACCCATCAAACTCAGAGAATTTAAGGCCATGTTCTCATTCAACAGTCATCACTCTCAGATGGGAGAGAAACCATTTATCAAGACACAGGAAGAAAGAAAGTCGCTATCACACAAGCAAAAGTACTGGGACAAAAACAATGATTCTGATTAAATATTCAAAAGGAATTTTTAGTCTGCAATTGTGTTTGGCAAGTTTAAATCCCAAATGAAATTTTAGAGATATTATATGCCCTTGAAAAGCAGGTTTATAATGAAAATGCTGACAGACCTTAAGAGAGAATACTGTAATACATGAGCATCTCTACTGTCACTTATGTTTAAGTAATAGAATATTTGTATAGATAGGCAGGATATGTAAACTGGTAAGTTTTTTTCTCAGAATCATTGTCTTATTTATCATTTTCAATGTCAATTGCCTCTCTTTACTTTAAGTTACTATTAGAATATAACCTATAAAACTTTTCAATTCCTTAAAAAGTGAATATTATCAATATTTTATATACAAAATATATATTTTATATACAAATTGTTGATTCAGTAAATCTAAAATCCACTGAAGGCATTGTAAATCTATGAAAATCATTGGTCACAAATTGCAGATTTCTTGCATAGAAAACAGCTAAACTTTGGGGACAACCAATATAAAGCATGAGAATAATTCTTAACTACAATCTGAAGTCATAGATGAAAGATGAGTAAAAATATGAGGTCACATTGCTTTTCAGACTCATTAATAAGCTTTGTCTGATCAGCTGTGATCTTCTATCAGCTTCTCTTAAGATAACTAAAATTAAAAGCAAAGAAGTGAAAATACAAAGTGAGCCTAGAGCATCCTGTTGTAACAAAAAGTAAGTAAATGCTCAAATAAAACACTAAAACCCTACATTGCTGGAAGTATGTCTAAGGGACACAGGAATCAAGTGAAAGAGCCCCCAAAGACCAAAACTGGAACAATTCGAGAAACAAAAAAGTAAAGTAGTATTGGATTATTATAACCCAAAATAAAAAATAAATATTTGTAAGTCCACACTGATATATATAAATGATTGAATAAATAAATAAATGGTGGAGATGAGGCAAATATCCTGTGAAGCAGTCCAAATAATTTGTGTAGATACTGTGCCCTCAAGGATGTGGAATATCCCTTCTCATTAAGTATATAGGCTGCACATAATGACTTCCTTCCAAAGACTACAGTATAGAAAGGTGGGTGGGAGGAGTAACTTTACAATGGAGAAATCTTACAAACATTCCCTCTACCAGGTGATCTAAGGCCAGCATTATCAGTGATAGGTCATGTTGATAACATTTACCCTTGATTTGATTTGAATTAAATGGCATTTTATATGCTTCTATGATCTTCCCCTCAAAAATCCAAACCCCAATCTAATCATAGGAAAAACAAGACAAATTCCAACAGAGGGATATTTCATAAAACACCTAATCAGTACTGCCAAAGTCATCAAAAACAAGGAAAGTCTGAGAAAATGTCAGAGCCAAGAATAGCCTAAGGATACGTAACAACTAACTGTAATGTGGTATCCTGGATGGGATCCTGCAACAGAAAATGGACAGTAGGTAAAAACTAAGGAAATCTGAATAAATCAGGGACTTTAGGTAATAATAATGTATGAGTGTGGTTCATTGTGACAAATATATCAAAATAATGCAAGATGTTAATAATAGGGGAAACTCCATGGAATGGAGGATGGTTAATCTCTGTACCATCTGCTTAATTTTTTGAAAATCTAAAATTGATTTACAAATAAAGCTTATTAATTTTTTTAAAATTTTTTTTAAAGAAGTAACAAAAAGGTGAGAAAAATTAAGGAGTTATAGTGAAGAAAGGGGGGGAAATTGACCTGTTGGAGCAAAATGAGTATACAGACAAAAACAGATAAGCCTTTCTGAACATCAAATCCACTTTATCTAAAAGTCAATGTGAGATACAATGTACGGTATTTGGGTGATGATTACACTGAAATCCCAGACTTCACTACTATGCGATATATCCATAACAAAAATTGCACGTGTTCCCCTTAAATTTATACAAATTTTGAAAAGTCGATGTCATAACTCATGACAGTAGGAAATAAAATATATTGAGTCAAATCATAGCTTCAAAAATACCTATACACTATAAAATCTTAGTGTTCCCCATCACCAGTGACGTAAAAAGGACTCACTGTATTCCAAATTACCCCAAAGACCACTTACTTTAGTTCATTTTCCTAAATGGGATGCCAAAAAGAGGGATCATAAAGCCGCATAGAGGTTTGTCTCAGAAACTTCAATATCAAGCATAAATTCTAGCCATAGGATCTTATAGCTCAAAGGACCTCAAAAAGATCAACTGGGGTGCTGGTCTCTTATAAAGGTCTGCAGAGAGGTTGATAAATTTTCGGGGTCATTTTTACGGTTAAAGATACCTCTGTTATAGTTTTCCCAAATTCATTGGTAAAACCAATTATTTTGTAAGACCCAATTTTGTTAAAAATTCCTAGCATTATCTACAGCCAGATCATTTTAAGATTGCTGGGTTTAAGACTATTTATTGGGGACACCTAGCTTTATTCAACTAAATTCCAAAAAACTGCTTAAAATTGAAAAGCAGAAGGAATGCCTCATTGTAGTTGATATATGAGAAGATATCATCCCCTAAGGGTATAGTAAACATATTTCTCAGTACTGTATGGTTTGGCACACAGTAGGTACTCATAATCTAATTGTTGAATGTGTGGATAAATGAATAAATGGGGCAGCCTTTCAACACATTTAGTTTAAAGGCTCATATAATTTAAACATGTCATGTCTCTTAGTTGGTGGCTGGATCTATTTAGAGCCTTTTGAGACAGAACTCAAGAAAAATATTTGGCATACTGTAATACCAAGTGGGAGGAGACTAAGAATGGCAGTAGTTGGGGAAGGGAGTAAGTTGAATCAACCTCCTTGTGGGGTTTCAGCCATGGAGAAGCATAGGGAATGACATTTAGGAGCATAGTCAAGTGGTGAACATGGCCCTTTGGGAAGGCACTTCTGGGGAAGATGTAAGCTACTGGCTTATTATATTCATGCTTAAGAGGATAAAAGGAGGTGCCAGATAGAAAATTTAGGGGTCTGTGTATGTTTGTCTGTGTGTGTCAAGTGTTCCATCATTGTCAGCTACTCATTCTATCTCACTCTATTTCTCTTTGTATCCCTGCCCCTCCTACTCCCCACATTACACAAAAGCCTCAGCTAGTGTGTGACTTTTGCAATCCAGTAATTACCTGTCATTATCTATGCCATCTCTTGCTTTAATTTCACCAGTTTTCTTGTAATGTTGTTTATTCTTTCAAGTGTCTGGAATTGGAGGCTTCAAATGAAACCCGAGCTGCTTACTTGTCATTCTTCCATTTGCTCATTCAATAATATGTAGGGACTTTCCACTGTATGTCAGGCACTATGCTAG
Source organism: Homo sapiens (assembly GCF_000001405.40). NCBI lineage: Eukaryota > Metazoa > Chordata > Mammalia > Primates > Hominidae > Homo > Homo sapiens. The sequence goes on from NC_000023.11 coordinate 125,090,247, forward strand.
AAGCTTGAGAAACAAAGATGACTAAGGCATGATGTTCACCAGGCTATTAAGGACAGAAAGGCACACAAACAGATAATTGCAAGGCAATGTGGAGATGCTGTAATAAAAGTATGCAAAGGCCAGATACGGTGGCTCACGCCCATAATCGCAGCACTTTGGGAGGCTGAGACACGTGCATCGCTTGAGGCCAGGAGTTCGAGACCAGTCTGGGAAACATGCCAAAACCCTGGCTCTACAAAATATACAAAAAAAAAAAAAAATAGCCAGACATGGTGGTACACTCCTGTAGACACAGCTATTTAGGAGGCTGAGGTGGGAGGATCACTTGAGCCCAGGAGTTAGAGGCTGCAGTGAGCCATGATTGCACCCTTGCACTCCAGGCTGGGTGACAGAGCAAGACTCTGTCTCAAAAAGAAAGCATGCAAACACAGCCATGAAAATATGTAGGACTTAATGCTGCCTAGGGGTGGACTGGAAAAGGTGTCATATGGAGGCAATATTTCAAGTAAGTCTTGCAGGATGAGTAGAAACTCACCCTGTCCAGAAGGTGGGTAAGATATTTTAGGAAAGGGAACACAAATACTTGCATAGACCAAGGGACCAGGATATAAATGTGCATGGTATGACCAGAAAACAGTGACTATGACTGCATCAAGGGGAATGGGGGAAAATTACATTATAACACTTCAGATTAGGAAGGACTTTGTTCGCTATGTTACATATTTTAGATTTTAATTTGCAGGCAAAGAAGAGTTGAAAGCAACTCAGTAACATGATTTGAGTGGTGAATCATTTTTGCTATGTTGTGGAGCATGGACTGGCAAGTTAGTGGAGAAGACTAGAGACAATCATAGTTAGAAAATGACAGATGATGACAGCCTGAGTTAAGGGACCTGCAACAAGAAAGTAGAAAGAAAAAAAAGATGAAAACATATTGGTAAAACACGCCTGTTACTCAAAGACAGGAGGAAAAGAGAAAAAAAAAAGCTTGATAACATTTTAAAGACGAGGATGAGCAAAGTTGAGGGAGTTCATGCTTGATGACTTCCATTTTCATGATGAGATTTGGAGAACCTAATCATCTAATTTGAAGGAAGAAGACACAGCTGGAGATGGCTATTGGGTGGAATGAGAAACAAAGCTGACTGTGGAGGAATAAAAAGACTGTCTTTTAAAAGAAATGCTGAGGGTTCCACTACATTTGGACACCTCAAATTGCAGCATAGCCAACTAACAGGAAACCAGGTAGGTTGAGTGTGTTAAGCAAATACCACCAGGGAGTCCAGAGAGCTGATTCATGGGGGTATAAGAACAGATGGCAAGACACCTGCCCTCAGGTAGACATAAAACCAAGAAAGCCATTTCACAGGTAAGGGGACTAGCCCAGTGTGCATTCACAATATAAGTTTATAAGATCCCAATTTATCAGCTAGGTAACCCAACACATAAACCTAGGAGAGGCCGGGCATGGTGGCTCACACCTGTAATCCCAGCACTTTGGGAGGCCGAGGTGGGTGGATCATGAGGTCAAGAGATAGAGACCATCCTGGCCAACATAGTGAAACCCCGTCTCTACTAAAAATACAAAATTAGCCAGGCGTGGTGGTGCATGCCTGTAATCCCAGCTACTTGGGAGGCTGAGGCAGGAGAATCGTTTGAACCCAGGAGGTGGAGGTTGCAGTGAGCCGAGATCACGCCATTGCACTCCAGCCTGGGCAACGAGAGTGAAACTCTGTCTCAAAAAAAAAAAAAAAAAAAAAAAAAAGATTGGTTTCATAGAGCTTGGGATAAATTCACACCACTATCTGCCAATGCGATGTTTTGAATAGAAAAATACCCTTAGGAAAATAGAAAAAAGAAGCTTCCAAAAATCTCTACCAACTGCTAAAATTATGCCGCACCCTTGTATATAAATTTATTTTAATTAAAGCACACATCAAAATGAAACTGTCTAGAATGTGACAACTCAAAGAATCTACCAAACACATTTCCTTCCTAATCAGCTTGTCAATCTAAGGATCCCAACAGAAGTAAGCTATTCAATCAAAAAAAGGATTGGGAAAGGTTCTGTTAAACTTGATTAAGTATTTTATGCATTATAAGATTATCATTCTTTCTGATACTACTTTACACTTCCAGTTTTGTAGACTTTATAGCAGCCAAAAGAAGTTGTAGAACTAATTTAACATTACTCTCAAAAATGTCACCAATGGAAACAACAATTTAAAAAATCAAAGACACATTAAAAGGAGTCATATGAAAAACAATGCATTTTAGGGAAGTAAAATGCAACAGTAGATGTGATATCAAAAAATGTAGATGATAGAAAAAACAATTTGGGGATGGAGCTTAATTCTATGGTCTAATGTGAGTAAAGTAGGAATTTGTGAACCAGAGAAATCATAAATTAATATGGGTTCTGAACCAACTCCTACCAGAAAATAATAAGGAACAGATATGGAACAGAATTAAGTAAGTGAATCACAGATCAATTTATAAAAACAATTAGCAACCAACACACAGAACATTCTTTATGATTCAGTGTTGTTTACTAAAAATATTTCGATGAATGGTAAGCGTTTTCCAGTAGGCTTTTCTCCACAATCCTGGAGCTAGTAATAATTATAAGGATATTATTGGAACTTGATTTTGTAGCTATTTATTCTTAGGTTACTTTTTAGTATTCCTGCAGAACAACTTATGCCTGACAGCAGAATCTATTAATGTAGCAACAAAGCTACTAGAACTTCCAGTTGCTTTTCCCATTCCTGTGTGAATAACAACCTTGTAATATTATTGCTGATAAGTGTATTCTGTATGGAATGGGCACTTCTCTACAGAACTAATTCTACTAGAGAAATTAAAGAAAAAAACTTTATTAGCAGAATAGGATTATTGTAGGCCACCTGTCAATTTCTGAAATGTTTGTAAGATTAGCTCAGTGGACCTAGCACCAGCTGATTTCTGTGATCTGGTTTGCTGCTCTCAAATCTCAAAATATTCAAAACATAGCGGCATGGGTCCTCTCCTCTCTGCAGCTCAAACCCCAAAGGGCCAGATTACAGCACAAAGAGTCACTTCCTCTAAGTCCCAGAGGCAGCCATTATATAAGAAATGGTTCTCTGAATTCCTGAATTCACATAAATGTAAAGTATCATACATATATTCTATCAGTCAACGTGCACCAGAGGTGATTTTCACCTAAGGTAAATATTATAGATAGGATGATGATTCTGCTTTAAAATAGCAAAGAGAGTCATTTCTTTGTCTCATAAATCATTCATTTCTTTCTACTCATGTACCAAATTTCATTGAAATTTAATAACATTTACAGCGTATATATGACCATTTAAAATGTTATAGAGAGTCAATCTGATTTATTTATACATGCCCCATTTTCCATTAACTTGATCAAGGTCACAAAGCCTGGAGATACTGAAATTAGAAAGAAAATCCAGGGCTTTATGGCTTTCTGACTACAAAGTCCCAGTTCTTTTTTTATTGTACTGTTAAGGTATCATTTACCTTACTAAATTATCATTTCAAGAAATATTATAGAAAGAAAAGCATTGTTCTGGGAGGGACCAAGTCATTTAGCTCCTAAAACAGGGCAAATTCTCTATTAAAGGGTCTTGTCCCTTCATATACAGTTATAAGACACATGGGAGCAGAGCCAAAGTCTGAATGGAAACTGATTGCCAGGTCTGCACTCATTGTGAAGCACCTTTGTTTAAAATACAATAAGACTCTTCCTCTGCGTGGAAGAATTACCACAAGGTGCCACCTTCAGGCTGAACAACTATAAAGGGCCCACTGTGAGTTGAATGCAGGCTATGTTACAGTTCAAATTCACGTCCCCCTCAGCAGGGCCTCCTTGTGCAGAAAGTAATTTGTACCAGCGTCCCTGAGGCCCTGCTGACTGTCTGATATCATCTATTGAATTTGTTCTCTGAGGCTGTCTCTTCAGAGGACTTGGGCTGTTGGCTGGTCTCATCCTCTGAATCCTTACAGGACTGGTGATAATTAAATCTCATCATACTTTTAATATTAAATAGGGGTCTACTCCACCCAAAGATATTTCACTCAGAGCCATGGTACATGTATTTCTGTAACTTAGGCTGTACCTAAGAAATGAAAAATATCCAGACAAAATTTTAATCAAATTAGCTGCCTTTGATAGGGAAACAAAATGTCCAGAGCCATGTCCTAAACATAAATTATCTTAAAGAAGCCCACTGCCACTTTGACAAATTCAGGCGAGTTAAGTATCCAATGGGAAGGGACCATTATTTTGTTTTTATTTGTTTGTTTTCTGACTGACTGTCTGGACCACATCTTGGCCTAGCAAGAGCAGTAGATCCTATTACCCTACTTGTCCTACTTACAAGATGCATTTCAGCCCAATGTGGTGTTATGATTGAGATATGTTTTGGGTTCTATTGATGTGGTGACTGTGTGAAACAGATTTTCTGAAATGGTCTGAATTTCAAATATGCTACCGTGTTGTATAAGTCAGGTGATATAATCCATCATCATCATGAAAATAGAAGACTTCTGAGAAATATGATTATTTTGATTGTCAGAACCTTGTGCAAATTAAAGTCTCATTTTTAACATGCCAACTTTTCGTGGACATTTTAAGGGTTTTTCTTATAGATAAAACTTAAGAGCTTAAGAATCACTTATCCAGTTTTTAATGTGTGTAAGGCAATGTGATAAGTGCTTCACTTGAATACACTTCATGTAATCTTTAAAGCAATCCTATGAGGTAGGTATCCATCATCATCCTTTTTTCATCTTACAAATGAGGAACTGATATTTAGACACATAAAATAACTTATTCAAAGTGACTCAGCTAGAAAATGGCATGGTGTCAATCATGAACTCAGGTCTTTTCAGTCTCAGAACTTGAGCTCTCTAGTGCTTCTGACACACTCCTTTGTAAGTTGACCTTAACAATGAACATTTAAAGATGCTCTGATATTGAAAAGTAGATTCAAAATCTCAGTAATACTACACTAGGGATTTGCAAACAAAGCAAAAAAATCTTCTCCAGGATCCAATTTAGTGTTAATAAGTAGTTGGGGCTAAACCTTTGCAAACATACTTGCATAAATATAAATAAAGTACATTTAAAATAGGATGTCTCAGGTAAGTTTGGGCAACAGATTGGATTTTTTTTTGCTTTGTGCAGAGATTAATTAACAATAAGCCACCCTAAACCTGCAGTTAGTTATAGAAAAATTAATTAATACACATCTTTTAAGTTAAATGTTTAAACAGCAATTATATTTAAATACTTCATTTGAAAGCTGTGCCTCCCACACATTTAAAAGTATCTATTATTTTACAAACTATACTAATTAGCGTATACAACTTCAAGAAACTATTCCTTCAGACAGAAAATTACAATACAAACGCAAATATACCGAAACCATACAAACTAAATTATCTATGCACAGAAAGACACCATGGATGTTTTAAGATATTCCAAAAACATATTCTGCAAAATATGAGGCAGGATTTTGACCAACATTACTTCTTCAAAAGAGATGGCATTGGTTTTATGAAGAGCTGATGAGCCACTATATTTAGAAACCATATTATTACCAGTTTCTCCTCAGAAAAAAATTGGAGAGCTAAAAATAGGGAAACATGATTTGGCTCTTGAAAAAAAGGTTTGCAAACCACAAAGGCTAGAGGCATGGATTATTGGAAACTCTCTTCTGAAAAATTTTTTACTAATTTGGGAGATTAACAGTCAGAATCAATGGGTGATGGTTTATAGAGTGATACCAACCTTGTCCAGTCCTGCTCATCATTTCCAATCAACAAAATGAATAAAGATGAAGAGAGTATGCTTATGACATCAGTGAATAGTACAGATCTCAGACTGCTGAAGAATGTACAAGATGACTTAGCCTGGATCCAAAAAGCCAAGCTGGAGAGGTAGGGTGGTTCCAACAAGACAAAATGTAAAAACGAAGACCAATACTTAAGACCAAAAAGTCAAGCCAAACAAAACATGCTGATGTGGCTAAACAGCAAGTTGTGCTAAAAAATAAGACTCAAGAAGTCAAAGGTCAGTTTTATATGAATCCAAAAAGCCAATGCAATTTTAATTTGCTTTAATAAATATGTATTATCTGGAAAAAAACACATACTACAGTGAGTTTTCTGTGGAATGAAATACTAAAGCATGTTTTCTTGGAGAAAGAGTTTCCATGACCAAATAAGTTGGGGGATACTCCAAGTTGATATAAACAGGTTTATTTTCTACAGGAATACTCAAAGTCGATATGGTGACTATTGCTTCTCAAAGTTATTTGAACATGGAACACTTCTTTTTGTAGTACCTCTTGAGGCTGGTGTTAAAGAGAACACTCTTGAGAAAACACTGAACAAGGGCTGTCTCAGGAGGCAGTTCTCTGTAAGTGGGACTCTTTTTAAAAACAGAAGAGATCCAAACATCAGATGAGTGTTGGTCTAAATGACCATAAGGTTTCCTCCTACCCTCGAAGTCTGTAATACTTGGTTATCCAGACCTAACAAACAATCCTAATTCCCCATGACACCTGGACCAGAGTTTCTGATGAGAGAAACTCTAGAGAAATACTAGTAGCAGAGTAATGATTTAAAAAAAAAAAAAACTTTTCCTCCAATGAGTGCATGCTTCAAAAGGGCTGATTTTTCAACTACCTTAATCTTTTGTTGAAAAGGTGTCAGAAATAGCAATGTGTAAACAAGAGCCTGTTAACACAAAGAAGATAAAGAGTGGAACTCTGTTGTGTGTGCTGAGCTGCCATGTAACAGTGCAGCCTTGTCCTCCAGGGCTGTTCAGCTTCCAGACTCACCAACCACCACCACCCTACCCTCATGTTAGAAGGTTGGCTACCCATTTGACCCTAACTACTGAAGACCAGGTTTCTGGTACTGAGTGATGGTTGTGACCTCTCGCCTGAGAACAAGTTTAGGTGAAAAGAAGTTGTTTTCTGCTCCTTTTTTTTTAACCCCTTTCAGGATAATATACATTAGTTCACAGCGCAAAGAATTTTGTTGGCCTATCCCCTAACTAATCAGCAAGATACACTTTGAATTAGACATAGATTCATTAACTATATTGTCTCTATCGATTCTGAGTAGCACCAATCTTTTTTTCAACTGAGGTGCATGTGTGTATGTGAGTATGTATGTACATGCAGAAATAGTCACAAAATTTTATTTCTGCAAATTCAAGCAATGTTGTAAAGCAACACAAAGCATTTTAGTACATCTCACCTAAGGTGCAAACAGCTGTTACCAAAAATTCTAAATACATTTCTCACAAATCAAAGCCCCACTGATTTTTAGTTCCTTCCATTTAATTTACTAAATGTGTTAAAATTGAGGTCTGTGACACAAATATGATACAATATTCCTTATTTTGATCCTGAGATAATGTGCCTTCTGAAGAAAACATGCTTAGCAATGTGAGTTACATGATTGCACAGATCGTTACAAAAAACTCTGTCCGTGTTATTTTAAAGGGCTGAGAGTCAAGCAATTTAAATTTCCAGTTAAGTCACTAATTCAGCAAATATTGTTGCTGTCTTCACATTGTTACTACTATAGTTGTGACAATACACTACGCCTACTGATATACCTTCTGTCATCAACTTGGCCTCCTTTGGCTAAAAATCTGGTATGTTAAAATTTTAACTTGACTAACGTCAAATTTTAAACTTAAGAAAGTGTCGGCCGGGCGCGGTGGCTCACGCCTGTAATCCCAGCACTTTGGGAGGCGGAGGCAGGCAGATCACGAGGTCAGGAGATCGAGACCATCCTGGCTAACACGGTGAAACCCTGTCTCTACTAAAAATACAAAAAAATTAGCCGGGCATGGTGGTGGGCGCCTGTACTCCCAGCTACTCAGGAGGCTGAGGCAGGAGAATGGTGTGAACCTGGGAGGCGGAGCTTGCAGTGAGCTGAGATAGTGCTACTGCACTCCAGCCTGGGCGACAGAGCAAGACTCCATCTCAAAAATAAATAAATAAATAAAAGGGTCGTGTTTTGCTATGTCCTCAAAAAACTCCATAGGATCTATTTAGCACAATACCTTGAACAGGGTCAGCATACATAAATATTTGTTGAGTGGGAGAATAAATTAATGAATGAAGCTTCAATGCTGAAATTTACTTTTAAATAGCATTGTCAGACAAACTGATGGATTGATTGCGTTTGTAGTTGGCATTTATATTGGAAGAACAAAATAAGTGAATATTGGCTTAAATTCCAACAAAAAATGGCGTTATTTCTTTTCAAGTTCATAAGGTAGGAACTGTCAAGCATAAAGACAACAACAAGAAAATGCAAAACATAATATCAAAGCAAAAAGAAAAACATCTTTCTCCCTATATCTTTAATAATGGGGCATGGAAAACTTTTGCTTAGCAAGCTTAAGTTGCGGGCTTGTTCTGCAGCTCTGTGGATCAGACTGTGATTAGACACTATCTTTTGCCCAGGAAAAAGGGCTAATAAAATTTACCATCCAATTCGTGTACAGGGTAACAGCAACTGCTGATTAGGGACTAAAAACTAGTTGCAACAACATTTTAATTACATTTCAATGTAAGACTATAAATTAATTTATCCAGACGAAATACGGTACTATATTGGTTTACAAAATGGCTAATTAGCCCATCCAGAACTTGAAGGAGACCAAAGGACTTCCCATTTAATATATAAAGAAAATAATGAATAAACAACCACCAACAAATTATTTCAAGGACATAAACGTTTATTTCAGGCCAGAATCAATATTAAAGTAGGTCTAGCTTCAGCTTCATTACTTCCTAAGTCACTGCTTAGCAGTAGAAGGCTCAGTATTTAATAAGTGTTAAGAGGTATTTCTAATAGTTGCTTCACTTTTTCAGCTGCACAAGAGCAAAAGGTTTTAAAAGGAATGGGGGAGGTTTTTGCTAGTTTGTCTGTTTGGGTTTTTTTGTATTGTCTATCCCATTCAGCCCCTTAAGCTCTGTTGAGAAGAACCCAGACAGAAGCATTAATCCACCCAGGGAGTTGCCATTAAAGAAATGCTTTTGTCAGAGTATAAACTCTTTCAGGCTATGCACAGATTCCGTGGCAATTATCCTTTCTTACGTATGAAACCATTCTTTAAACAGTGGCACTATTTCTCTTCTATTCTTTACAGTAAAGAGATGGATGCACACCTTTCAAGAAATCATAGTTATCAGAGAATGGACCTTGTAATTTGGGGCTGCAATAAAGGAAATGGAATGTCATCACATCACAGGCAGTTCTGCCCTCTACAGCACATCCAGCACTACACCTCAGAAACCAAGTGGCCAAAGAAAGCAGCTTCCAGTAAACTGAATGCTATCGGTTCCATCTCCTCTTCTTGGGATGCATTCTGTGTGTCTAGAAAGCAGAGGTGACAATAAGGCCTTACCATATCAGAAACTTTTTAAAGGTTAATGAATTCTGACATAAAATAATGTCAGAGCCATAAACAACTCATAAATACAAAATCTAGGAAAACCACGGAAACACTCATCACACTTCTGAGAATGGCAGAACCCTGGATGATAAAACCACTATGGACTTCTAAATTATCCTTTTAATAAACTTGGTGGAGTATTATACTATATATCAATATTTATGATATCAGCTAATGACAGTTCAGGGATGCAGAATGCAAAATGCAGTCTGCCTCAGTACAATTGTGTACTGCCTTGGTAATTACTTCTAGATTGAAAACAGGATTCAGTTCAACTTGGGTAACAAGGAAATCAGTTTCCAATTTGGCAAGGTAGACATTTAATTAGAAGTCCTCTTCCCCTTTGTTATAAACCCATCTCCACATTCAAGCTGATGTGCAGAATCTCTATTGTGTTATGTGTGTATGTATGTATGTGTATGTATATCTAGATTTCACAAGCAGAATAATCAAAAATTAGGGGGAAATTTATTATCTACATCATTAAACATTAAGATTGTAAAGTGCCAAGTAGAAATGAATTTACCTCATATGGTGAATTTGACAAGTTGGGAGAGACAGTGGAGTCCTAACAATCAGATACCACATTGTGGAATTGGTGGAGTGAGGCAGAGCCACAAGTGGTTTATGTAGTGTCTACCTAAAATGGACGATACAAAAGAAAAATCAAAGAAGCTCAGCTTCTGGCTTAAAGCCATAGAAGCAAGGAAAGTTGTAGTTAAGGATCAAAGCTCCAATATCTAGTCATAATGTATTTCTAGTCTTAAAATTTCACAATACCATTGGGTGCCTTAATGTTGTACTACCCAATTTGATCGGTACATGAGATGCAGAGTCTGACTATACCAAAAATATATAATACTTATAAATGAAAATGTACATGTTCTGGTCACTATTCTGCACAGCTAAAACTACGTTTTTGTTTGCTTGCTTTCGTTCTTAAAAGTCTAGCAGTTAGCATTATGTGTTTTGAGTGAATATGTTGAGTGAATATGTTGTTTCTTATAGGATGATGTTTTTCCCCTCCTTCTCCTCCTGATTTTGTAAAGTAGAAATGCTACTTATACACCACTTTTTTAACCAAAATACTATAATATAAATTCAACTAAGTTTCATCTTCAAAGCAACCTTATTGTTTAACTGTGACTCACAGATAAGGAAATTAAGATTGACCTGTTGGCCCAAAATGGTAGCACATAGCTAGCTGGTGGCAGAGGCAACATAAGAACTCACTATACAAGACTCTGTCACTGTATGACCTAGAAAAAGTCCTTAAATATAGCAGATTCTCAATCCCTCATCTTTAAATCCAGGTAATGGTACCTAATTTAGAGTCTTAGCATAGAGATTCAATAAGTTAATGTACGCCTGGCACAGAATACTCACTAGATATTCTCTTTCTAAGGTCAAATATGTTTGCTAAATGCCAAGTTAAACAAATTAACCAGATATTTTTGCTGCAGGAATCCTCAGAGCCTTTAACATGCAGTGTGTTGCCCCAAGAGGCAAACAGAGAGTCTAACATTTCTCCAAACAACAAAACAACCAATTTTTTTTTCCAAGAGGCATCTATTCATATCTCATGGAATACTGATATTCCACAGGAAACACTTTGGGAACCCTGCAGAAGACCATAAAATACTTTGGGGAATATGTGAAATGGGTCATTTGGATATGATTAATAAATTACCAGTTTGAATAACTTGTTCTGAATACACTAATGACTTTTTTGAGGTCACCCCAAACATCTAACACATAGGAAATAACAGTCACTTGGAAATGGAGCCCCATGTTTGCTTAGAAAGACAATGGAGTGGGCCAATTTTAGTGAAGGTTGGACATATTGTATGAGTACTTGTGCTTCCAAAGTAAAAACAGAGGCTCTTCTCAAAAGAAGAAAGATTCTTAGTGATTCTGCCCATTGCTCCCGATATGCTACATCATGTTTTCTGTGGTTCGCTACTACATGGGTCAAATCTTCGGGAGAGTAAAGAGAAAGGGAAGAGCAGCAAAGGCTTTTTATTTTTTCTTTTTCAAGAAACTAGAATCTTTTATGTCACAATATATGAACTCTGTTCTTTCAGTAGGATACTGACCATTAAAACTCTGCTCAAATGTTTGAGAACTGTGACCCACATATGCCAACAAATAGTTATTAAATACCCAATTCTGTGTTAAGCAGTGCAGGTTGTAAGCAAATAGATCAGAGCAACTTACAATGTTGTAGGTAAGACAAGACTTACATCCAAAGAAAAAAGAGTGGGGAAGGTATAACACCATACAGTGCAATGAAGAGCTTGATCTTGAGGTACAAAATACAACTGTCATATGAACCCAGAGAGAGATCATTGAGCATTGTGGGCTGGAGTTGGCTCTTGAGGTGAACCTTGAAAGCCTGTAAGAGGTTGTCACAGAATTTCTGTAAGCAAAGCCAGTTCCATCACCCCCTAATGTTCACCAACTGTCAAGGGAATGTGTAGGGCCACTCCTTTTTTTTTTTTTTTTCCAGGAACAATAGAGAGAATTCAGGGAGTTTTACTTCTTTGCCTCTTCTTTCTGCAAGGGATGTATGTATCAGCTAAAGATCCTCAAATCCAGCAGCCCTTCCCTCTAGGTCAGAGTGAGGATTTGGCTGCTTGCCTGCCCAATAAAGAAACAGAAAAAAACCCAACCATAATAACAATTTAAGGGTTAGAGCTGCATAAGAACAATTCAGCAGTAAAAGAATCTACATGAGCTTGTGTGGAAAGACAAGTGCTATTTTCTGCTTCAGTCTGTGACTGGTAGAGAATCACTCAACCCTATGATTGTATTATTTATACAGAACTCACTAGGGCACCATCTGGTGCTAAGCTAACTGCAAAAACAGGAAAATCAAACCCAAAGCCAATTGTCTTCATTGGAGTTTTCACTAATGACCTGTTCTTTGCCAATATTCCAACTGATCACATTCTAGTTTCAAACAGGAAAAGACATTTAATGTTTCAAAGAGAATTCTTAACGGGAATTTAGTTAGACATACCCTTGAAAAGTTTCTGTACCTATCTAGATCTTCTCAGTTGAAAGGGCATTGCCTCTATTTCAGGTCTTATTACATCTTATTAAATTGTCAGATCAAGTTCATAATGTCCCATCTCAGTACCCAGTCACCAAGAGATAAGGGTGAGAGGTGATCCTGCAAGATTATGTCCTGGAGATGGAAACTTAAGCCAAAATTGTGAGGAAAATTCTGCTGAAGTGCAAGAAGCAAACTAAAAAGTATCCACGATGAAAATCATTCAAATCTAAAATTACTTTGGGATCCCACATTTGAATCTCAATAAGTTATTCTCACTGAGGTAGCAAACTTGACATTGCAAATATATTTTCCTTTGTAGTCAAAAATGTTTACAACTATAAGGCAAAAGGTGGGTGTATGTGTTGAACTTATATTTCTAATTTTTAAAAACCCAATCATGAAAATTTCCCTTTTCAGTTCTTATTGGCTTTTCCTAGGTTCTCCCAGCTCTCGTAATTTTCTTTCTGGCACAAATACTGTAAAATGGTACCTAAATTAATTTGTCTTCAATATTATAAATTTGTCATAAAAGCTGTGCACATATCTTGTCTCATTTTGTTTTCATTTGAAACTAATACTGCAGGTCTTAATGGTACCTCAATACATAATAATCAGGTGCCTTGGTCCCCATGTTGGTGAGTGTTTGGAGTTCTCTTGGGCTCACGGTGTGATTTTTCTCCCTTTAAGGTTCTATTTTATTAAAATTTTTAGATATTTTGACAATTCCAACAAGCAACTAATCAAAGCGCCAGAAATAGTGATATTAAGGGGGTTGCTCTACTAAACCTAACAGCAGAAGGAAGATTCATATAAAGATTCATAAAGCATCTTTCTACAACTCAACCGTCTGACTTCCAGAATTAGGGAAGTTAATCCTGCTTGCTTAATATAAAATTAAGACTAGGCCGGGCGCCATGGCTCACGCCGGTAATCCCAGCACTTTGGGAGGCTGAAGCGGACAGGTCACTTGAGGTCAGGAGCTCAAGATCAGCCTGACCAATATGGTGAAAACCCATCTTTACTAAAAATACAAAGATTAGCCAGGCATGGTGGCACTCACCTGTAGTCCCAGCTACTCAAGAGGCTGAGTGAGGCAGGAGAATCACTTGAACCCGGAAGGCGGAGGTTGCAGTGAACTGAGATTGCATCACTGCACCACTTCAGCCTGGGCGACAGCGAAACTCCATAAGAAAAAAAAAATAAAAGACTTAACTACAGTAAACAGCTAGGTTATGATGCACGTTAGAAAATATAAACGAATCAGCAATCTTAATTAAGAAAGTTCATTCATGTCACCACAAGGGCTGTAAAGGAAAGAAAAAGTAGGCTTTGGAGTCACCTGGGTCTGAATCTTTAATCTGCCAGCTTTGTCCCTTGATCAAGGTACTTAACCACTTTAAGGGTCAGTGACATCCTCTCATCTCCAAAAAGAGCTTAGTACTTCCTCTCAATACTTTTGTGGAAAGTAAATGGGATAACACTCAGAAAAATCTTGCCACAGTTCCAAGCACATTGTAGGAGGTCTGTAAATATGAGTTCAATTCCTCTTTCACAGTTACTTCCCAAACTCTTCCTCAAGACCAACAACTCTGTGAAATAGATGTGATTTACATGTAGCACACCACTGATTACAAAAGCCTAGGGAAACTGAGATGTATTCCTGCAATTATGACATTGACAATGTCCTTCACAAACTTCTGGACGTCCTTGGGTCCCATCTGTCACTGTATAACTGGAATCTACTCTTTATTAATAAGAGCTTCTCTCATTTCAAAGGTCCAGCTCTCTTCACCCCTGTCCATATCTCATGACCCACTAAAGGGAAGAGCCTTTTTTTTTAACATAAAACTACATTATTAAACAATGTACTTAATATCAGCATACAGAATATTCACAATTTGATTACTTAATCCAGAGCTACACCAAGGATGAAACAACTAGAAAGAAAAAAAAATAGAAAGAAAAGGAAATGCCTTTCTAAAAAAATTTATTTTAGCTGTATGAAACTTAAACATAACAAACTACTTGGAGAATTAATAACTTCGTTCTACAATAACAACTTCTATAGACTAGCCCTAATTCAATTTTTCTGTCCATGGCAATGACAAAGATGCTGTATTATGCATCTTCCATAACTAACTATAAAAATATCCCATTAGCTCTATTTTTAAAGGATTTGCCACATTCATTCATTTCTCTATAGTTTATGTAAAGATTGACATTTTCCTGGGGTCATTTTCTATGGTCCTCAGTTTCATAATTTTTAACATAGAATTAAACCTTGTAGGTTTGGTTTGATGATAAAATTAGATTGTGCATGTGACAAGGTTTGTGAACTGGAAAGCACGGTACAAACCGAAAAGGTTATTTTTGACAATAGAAAGGCAGCTTGATACACACAAAATCTGTAACTACAGAGTTCCATAGGCATTTTTACTCCACTCTGGTGGAATCCCAAACCACAGAGACTGCCTTTCTAAGGACGCAAAGCCTTGGACCAAGCTGAAGGCATGCAGAAATCTCAGATTTCTATCTAGCTCACTTTTTTTCAAAATTTCTTATTAAACACCAACAGCTTCCATCATCCTGACATCTCGTGAAGAGTATGTTGAAATCAATGACACTGCAGAGATGTCCCATGAATTTCCTCTGAGATGGAGGCCTTCCTGGGTACATGTTCTCACCTGGGCAGCTACACTTTCATACATCTGCCTGAGGGGTGCTGCTGCAAAAAAATTGCACTCATCTACACCAGGAAGATTTTTGTGGCCTTTCAAGGATGGAATCTTTTTCTGACCTGATCCACAAATTCTGGAAAGGCCCCTCTGTTGACAGAAATAAGGAAGTCTCCCTCAGATCCCAGGCAGGGAGAGGTGAAGTCAGGGAAGGACAGTGACAGCACAGAAAGGATGGTTCTAGATCACTGGGGAGCTAATCACTTCTCCAGGCTAGTGAAACCCAGGCAGGATTTGCTACAGGAAGAAGCAGGATGCCAGGAAACAAGAAGGCCCTGAGGCAAATCTCAGAAGCCAGAGTGATAAACCCAACAGGGACTTCCCACTTTCCTTGGAATCAAATTTAAGCTTCCTATCATGGTCCATGACACCCTGAATGATCTGAACTCTGACTGCTTCTCCATTTTCAAATCATGTACTCACACCTGCTTCATTCACAATGGCTTTCTTTCTGTTCCATAGACCCGCCCACTCATTCCAGGCTTCAAAACTTTGTACCTGCTGTTACTTCTGTCTGGGATCCTCTTCTCCCACATCCTTGCCTAAATGAGTCCTTCTCATCACTCAGGTTTCAGCTCAAATGTTACCTCCTCAGAGAGGGCTTTTTAATAATCTTAGTTAATGTTTCCCAGCTCTCCACTACCACCACCACAAAATCACTGTTTCCCATTATCTTATTTTATTGTCTGGTATGAATCACTATTTGAAATTATTTAGTTCACTTACGTATTTGTTTGTATATTATCTGTCTCCACCAGTATAGAATGTATGTATAGGTTCCTTGCCAGTTTTGCAGACTACTTATAGCTCCAATGTTTAGTATACTATCTGACACATAGCAGGTAATCAATACGTAAGTTTTAAATTTTGAATAACTTTTTTTTTTTTTTTTGAGATGGAGTCTCGCTCTGCCGCCCAGGCTAGAGTGCAGTGGCGTGATCTCAGCTCACTGCAAGCTGTGCCTCCCGGGTTCACACCATTCTCTTACCTCAGCCTCCCAAGTAGCTGGGACTACGGGCGCCCGCCACCACGCCCGGCTAATTTTTTGTATTTTTAGTAGAGACAGCGTTTCACCGTGTTAGCCAGGATGGTCTCCATCTCCTGACCTCGTGATCCACCCACCTCAGCCTCCCAAAGTGCTGGGATCATAGGCGTGAGCCACTGCGCCCAGCCTAAATTTTGAATGATTTAATGAACAGTTAGGGATATGAGAAATGGCCATTTGTAAAACTCTTTGCAATATTAACAAAGAAAACAACCTTTAATGTGATACAAAGTATCACTGAGGCCTTTCATTTCCCTGAGGAAAGGCCTCATTTATAAGCTGTGTTATAAAATGAGTAGTAGGAGTAGGAGAAAGGAAACGGTCACAGAAATGCCAGTTAGTTAAAATTCTGCTGACATAATTCTGCAGCTACTTCAGACAGAATGATAGTCAGAAAACTAGCCTGGACATCAGTGCAACTCCAAGCTTTACAAACAGGCTCAGCACCAGTTCATTCTCTATTGCTAAATGTTACTGTTGTAGGTTGGGTCACGGTCTTATGTTTAGTTAATCTGAGGTTAAAGATTTGCGTGGTTGGATATACTAATTCAGAGTAATCAAGTATTGATTTTGTCTTTTAGCAACAGTGAAATAACAATACTCCGGTTTTATTCAGTGCCCTGTTTTATTTATTTCACAAATGCTGAAAGAATCATAGTTCATTTAAACAGCTATATTGTAATGCATGATTGAAATATTTTTCCTAAATTTAAAAATGAATACAAGCTCAGATTGTTATTTTACTACATTTGGAAGTTTCCTTCAGAAATTTAAAGCATAAGTTGAAGGATTTCCCCCTGACTCCACCAAATTTTATCCAACAGCAAGCCTAAGAATATTTACTTGATAAAACACAACATTTATACTTTTTGACATAACTATATTGCCACATTTAAATGGGGAAAACAGCCCAACCTCTGAGTGGTAGGCACCTTCTTCTCACCTCCATTGCTCCCAATGTATAGCTCTCACCCCAGCTCCTAGCTGACAACCCAAAGCCTCTCACAGGTACTTCAGAGTCCCATCCCTAACACCCCCATGCTAAGGGACAATCCAATAAAAAGAATTCACACTATGCACAAGGCTCTTTGCTAAATGTTGGCTAGTTTGTAGAAATTCATCAAGGAGGTCTCTGTCCTCAAGTAGCTGATAATTTGATAGAGATCAGAGAGGTTTAAAAAAAACTACATAACACTAGGAAGCTTATGCTATTTCACAAGGAGAATGTAAAATGTTTCAGAGAAAGAAGTACTCCATCCCTGATGCTCTTCTAACTTTATACATTCCCCCTGGGTAATTTTATCCATAATCACACCTCCTACTATTGCCCAAATGCTGTGGTCCCAGGTCTCTATATTCTGTCCAGACCTTTCGACTTGTATTTATAAGTCTAGTGACTACCTTCAGTCCATTTCAGATATTGAAGTTTATAAAACATACAAATCCAAATGTATTAATGCTCCCACTACCACTCTTCCCCTCCTAAATTTTCCATCTCTGCTAATGAGATTATGACATCTCGCAAATTAGAAACCTTAGAGTCACCCTCCATACTCCATGCCTCTACTCTAGCCTTCAACACCAAACAAGTTACCAGGCCACATTAACACTATCTTTCTATCTCAGAGGATGCCTCAGAGTCTAATCTCTCTGCTCTATTTTCACCTCACCATTGGCAATGCCTCATTCATTCATGTTCATTGACTCTGCGGTCCTATAGACCTAGGTTTATGCCTTGGCTCTACCATTTCCAGCTGGTGATTTTGAACACTTATTTAATCTTTGCCTCAGTTTCCTCACTTATTAAATAGGGATAATAATATTTCTTATAGCTCATATGATTGATAAAAAGCTTTTTAGCCTGGAACAGTGGCTCATGCCTATAATGCCAGCACTTTGGGAGGCAGAGGTGGGCAGATCACCTGAGGTCAGGAGTTCGAGACCAGCCTGGCCAACATGGTGAAACCCCGTCTCTACTAAAAATACAAAAATTCGCTGGGCATGGTCGTACCTGGCTGAGGCACAAGAGTTGCTTGACCCCAGGAGGCAGAGGTTGCAGTGAGCCAAGATCGTGCCACTGCACTCCAGCCTGAGTGACAAAGTGAGACTCTGTCTCAAAAAAAAGGGCTTTAAAAATGATTATATATATATATACACACACACACGTGTATATATATATATACACAGATGTGTATATATATACACATATATGTAGCATTTTACGCAGTGCCTAGAGCATACTAGGTGTTCAATAAATGATAATTACAATTATCATTGTAATTTAATCCCTAAATTGGCTCCAACCTACCTTCAGAGCTCCATTTATCATTATTTTCAACTCCCTTCTTATCCCAAGACTGTACTAAAGTCTCATTAGACTTTGTGGGACTCCCTGAACACACCAAACTCTTTCACACCTCTATTCATTTGCATCTTCTGCTCCCCTGTCTCAAATGTCCTCCCTTTCTTTCCATTACTTGGTGTGCTTGTTGTTTCTGGAATGTCAAATATCTCAAGTTCCCATTCAAATGTTACCATCTTAGTAAATGATTACTTACATCAATTTGTCACACTTCCCTTCATGTGTCTACATGACGCACACACTTACACACACAGACGTATGCATGCGCACATACACATACACCTGGAAGAATCATATCATATTACAATTAGATAAAAACATTTGTCTTTCTCCTCTTTGTGATTACATAATCAAGGAGGAAGCACTGTAGTGCCCATTCTTAGCACCATGACTTATAGAACTGGGACTCAGTAATTGGTCTTTTTTTAATCAACTTTTATTTTAAGTTCGGGGGTACGTGTGCAGGATGTGCAGGTTTGTTATATAGGTAAACGTGTGCCATGGTGCTTTGCTGCACAGATCAACCCATCATCCAGGTATTAAGCCCAGCACCCATTAGCTGTTCTTCCTGATGCTCTCCTTCCCATCGCCCTCCCCACTCCCCCAAACACGCAGGAACAGTAATTGGTCTTTTAAAGAAACACTTTCTGGCTAAGACAATCTAGGCATACTTCATGGGACAGAGGGAGAGAGAGAAAAGAGAAACATGGTTTTTCTCTGATCCTGCCCTCCCCTGTTTGAAATGCTATCAGCACCCCCACCATCATACCACTAGCCTCCCGGCAAAATCAAGGCTCTATCCTTAAACAACAAGCCCTGAGTTCTGTTAGAGAAACACTAGTGTCGACAAATCGGGCTTGAGTAAAATGTTCATGTAGGATTGCAGAGAGGAAATAGTCGGGCTCAGATTGTGGAGGACTCTGAATACTAGCCTAAGTTTAAACTTTACCCAATAGGTGATGGGGATCCATTGGAGATTGTTTGGCAGGGCATAGCAGATCCAAAAGGTGTTTTAAGCGATTTCTAAGCTGTAGTATCTAGGATAGTTTGGACTGGGGAAGGAAAGGATGCATTGATGTTTATGAAACAATGAAATTAATTCTTATGGGACAGAAGAAAAGAACTAATTTTCATGGATGGGCACTTTCTATGTACCAGTCACTCTTATAAGCACTTTATGTACATTATCTCATTCAATCCTAGCAAGAATCATATCCATAAGGTGCTCCCTCTCATTAACTCTGAATTGAGAAAGCAAAGAATTAGAGTGGTTAAATAACTTGCCAAACGTAAAAAGGTCATAAATGTATGAGCTAGGATTCAAACCCAGGTCTGTTTGCTGTCAAAATCTAAGTTGGGTATTTCTGACTTATTTATATACCCTGGAGGCATTTGAGGACAGAAACTGACATCCTTTACTAGAGCCAGTTTCTGTGATTTCCTTCCCTTCCCTTTCCATCCCAAAAGCTTAAAATCTCATTCCCATGCTTATGGGTATTTTTCTCTTCTTGTCTTTTCATTCAGGCTATTCCACTGGAGAGTCTGAAATGGCAAGGCTGAAGTGGTGAGGGAAAAGGGAATAGTGAATAAAGCCCTAGAAGATGCTCTCACCAGCACTGTCCTAGCTGCTGTTTCCCCTATCCCATTTTTTTTTTTCCTTCTGGGTCCTCACTGACAGCATAAGTCCCATCCAATTTCTGCAGAAAAAAATGCCTTTCTGTAGCTTAAAATTGTTTCTCCTCTCAAATGAAGCTAAAACTTCATTTTGAATAGCCAAAGATCCAGTGCTAATTTTTATGTGCCAATTTGTTTCTCCAGAGACAAAATTAACCAAGAGAATAAGAAAGTATGGAAGGGAGCCTCTTTAAACATTTGTTGTCTTTCTTAGAATCCTACCATGGAAATGCCTTAGAAGTCTTCCAAAAAGCTGTGTGTCTGCTTTAAGTTTAGAAAGTAGTGGCAGAAGGCTGTAAGATTGTAAAGAAGTCCTAACTTCTACCTTTAGAACATTAGCTCTTCAAGCTCAGAATCTTTGTTTTGTTCACTGGTATATTCTAAGCACCAAATAGTTCTGGGCACATGGTAGGTACTCCCTAAATATTTGTTGAATAATCGAAAAACACTTATTATGCAATAGCTAGGTTATAGAGGACTCAACATGATAATATATTTAACAGATTTGCATTAAATTAGTTTTTGCTGGACTGGCCTGTTAATTTAACCATCATTCACAACACTGTTTCTATGAGAAAATGCAAGCGGTGCACCTAAACAATCAACATACATATGAACTTTTTGAATATGGATTCAGTACTACAGTAGCAAGGGTAAAGAGTGATTGGGGAGCTGGGCATGGTGGCTTATGCCTGTAATCCCAGAACTTTGTTAGGATGAGACAGAAGAACTGCTTGAGTCCAGGAGTTCAAGACCAGCCTGCCCAACACAGTGACACAGTGAGACCTCGTTTCTATTAAAATAAATAAATAAATAAATAAAAGAGTGACCAGGGTTATTTCAAGGGTGTTGGAAAGGAAAGAAAATATTTAAGTGATGCCATAACAATATTATTGATAACTGTGAATATTTATTGAATACTTCACTATGGGCTAAGCACTGAGGTAAAGAATTAATATTTACTATCTTACTTTATCCTTATATTAACATTCAAAGGTAGGTATAATTATTAACTGCATTTTACAGAAAAATAAACTGATGCACAGAGAGGAAGAATAACTTGCCAAAATACACAACAAGTAAGGACTGGGATCAGGTTTCAAATACAGTGGGAATAGTTTTAGAGTCAACACATTTAATGACCGTGCTACAATGCATAAAACTGATAGTATTCACTGACTGAATTTGAGGTGCAAGAGAAAGAAAAGAATCGAGAATAACTACAATTTTTCAAACATGGAGTGGACTAACATTATGAATGACAAAATTATTTTATGATTTATTCAACCTGATGAACAAAAATGGATTTGAGGGGTCCCAGTTTAGGCATCACCTTCTTTGTGAAGTGCCTGAACCCACCAGTAACAGTTAGATGCTTCCATAATAATCTTTCTTTACCCCTATTATGCAATTTTTCAGATTATGCAATGAAACTTTGTTTCCATTTATGTCTTTTACATTAGGATTTAAACTCATCTATTTGTACCAGATAGTAGCAATGTGTTTGTTTAATGAAATTGTGTGTGTGTGTGTGTGTGTGTGTGTGTGTGTGTGTGAGTGAGGGGAGAGGTGTTTGGTTTCAGATATGCTTAAATTAACAAACCTTTACATATGGAAACACCCAGCAAAAAATAGATGATTTACAACTAGAGTTTTGATAAATATTGGGCTCGAGATGTAGGCTTGTGAGTTTCCATAACTGAGCTACTAGATAAAGCTATTAATGTGGAAGAGACTTCTGAAGGAGGAAAAAGTATTTTTATGGCCTTTATGCCAATAAGTCAATGAACAAACAACATGTATAATATGTATAACAAATAACATGTATAAGGCAATAGTCAAACATAAGGAAGCCAAACCTTAGGGGAAAGTAAAAGGCTCATTTGGAGATTCTCATTGAGGAGAATATATGCCTGCTTCCTTAAAAGACATTGATATAAAAAGCTTAGAAAAAAAGATATACACAAATTCCAATTACTCACCAGAACACTTGAAATTTCAGATCAGAAGGCTTGTTGGTGTCAATCACAAATTAATTTTACGAAAACAGGCTGCACTCCTGGATAAGTTTCACTGTCTCTTCTCTCTTGATATTTAATTTTTAAAAATTTGTTATTATATATAGGCATAAATTTAACAAAAGAACATGACCTGTACACTAGAAAGCAGAAAATATCATTGAGAAAAATTAAAGATCTAAATAAACGGAGTGATATCCCGTTTATAAATTGGAAGGCTCAACTTGTTAAGATACCAGTTTTCCTCAAAATGATATGAATTCTAAGCAAACCCAGTCAAAATCTCCCCAGGCTCTTGTGGTAGAAATTGACGAGCCAATTTTTTACATGACAATGCAAAGGACCTAGAAAAGCCTAAATGATTTTGAAAAAGAATCATGATATGTAGTATCAGCATATACTACACATAGTCTAATGGAACAAAATAGGGAGTCCAAAAATATATCCACCTGTATATGGTTAAATGGTTTTTGAATAAAATTCAAAGGTAAAATTCAATGAGAAAAAGATAATATTTTAATAAATGTTGCTAACATAACTGAATAACCATAAGGAAAAATTGAACTTCAACTCTTACCTCATGCCAGATAAAAAATTGTCTCAAAATGTATTATAGGCCTAAATGTAAAAGCTAAAACTATAAAACTACCAGAGGAAAATGCAGCGGAAAACTGTCATGATCTTGGAATATGCAAGAACACACAGGACACAAAAAAGCACTAGCCACTAGCCATTACTAATCATCAGAGAAATGCACATTAAAACCCCATGAGATACAATATTATACCAGTCAGAATGGTTATTATTAAAACCAATTAAAAGACAAGGACTGGCAAATTGGATAAAGAGTCAAGACCAATGAGTGTGTTGTATTCAGAAGACTCATCTCACATGCAAAGACACACATAGGCTCAAAATAAAGGGATGGAGAAATAATTACCAAGCAAACAGAAAGCAAAAAAAGCAGGGGTTGCAATCCTAGTCTCTGATAAAACGGTCTATAGACCAACAAAGACCAAAAAAAGACGAAGGGCATTACATAATGGTAAAGGGATCAACACAACAAAAAGAGCTAACTACCCTAAATATATATGCACCCAATACAGAAGCACCCAGACTCATAAAGCAAGTTCTTAGAGACCTACAAAGAGACTTAGACTCCCACACAATAGTAGTGGGAGACTTTATCACCCCACTGTCAATATTAGACAGATCAATGAAACAGAAAATTAACAAGGATGTTCAGGACTTGAACTCGGCTCTGGACCAAGCAGACCTAATAGACATCTACAGAACTCTCCACCCCAAATCAACAGAATATACACTCTTCTCAGCACTACATAGCACTTATTCTAAAATCGACCACATAATTAGAAGTAAAACACTCCTCAGCAAATGCAAAAGAACGGAAATCATAACAAACAGTCTCTCAGACCACAGTGCAATCAAATTAGAACTCAGGATTTAAAAACTCACTCAAAATCGCACAACTACATGGAAACTGAACAACCTGTTCCTGAAAGACTACTGGATAAATAACGAAATTAAGGCAGAAATAAATAAGTTATTTGAAACAAATGAGAACAAAGACATAACGTACCAGAATCTCTGGGACACAGCTAAAGCAGTGTTTAGAGGGAAATTTACAGCACTAAATGCCCACAGGAGAAAGCAGAAAAGATCTAAAATCAACACCCTAGTATCACAATTAAAAGAATTAGAGAAGCAAGAGAAAACAAATTCAAAAACTAAGATCAGGGCAGAACTGAAGGAGATAGAGACACGAAAAAACCTTCGAAAAAATCAATGAACCCAGGAGCTGGTTTTTTGAAAAGATTAACAAAATAGATAGACTGCTAGCCAGACTAATAAGAAAAGAGAGAAGAATCAAATAGACACAATATAAAATGACAAAGGGGATATCACCACTGATCTCACAGAAATACAAACTACCATTAGAGAATACTATAAACACTTCTACACAAAAAAAAACTAGAAAATCTAGAAGAAATGGATAAGTTCCTGGATACATACACCCTCCCAAGACTAAACCAGGAAGAACTCAAATCCCTGAATAGACCAATAACAAGTTCTGAAATTGAGGCAGTAATTAATAGCCTACCAACCAAAAAAAACCCAGGACCAGACGGATTCACAGCCGAATTCTACCAGAGGTACAAAGAGGAGATGGTACCATTCCTTCTGAAACTACTCCAAACAATAGAAAAACAGCGACTTCTCCCTAACTCATTTTATGAGGCCAGCATCATCCTGATACCAAAACGTGGCAGAGACACAACAAAAAAAGAAAATTTCAGGCCAATATCCCTGATGAACATTGATGTGAAAATCCTCAATAAAATACTGGCAAACTGAATCCAGCAGCACATCAAAAAGCTTATCCAACACTATCAAGTTGGCTTCATCCCTGGGATGCAAGGCTGGTTCAACATATGCAAATCAATAGACATAATCCATCACGTAAACAGAACCAATGACGAAAACCACATGATTATCTCAATAGATCCAGAAAAGGCCTTCGATAAAATTTAACACCCCTTCATGCTAAAAACTCTCAATAAACTAGGTATTGATGGAAAATATCTCAAAATAATAAGAGCTATTTATAACAAACTCACAGCCAATATCATGTTGAATGGCCAAGCTGGAATCATTCCCTTTGAAAACTGGCACAAGACAAGGATACCCTCTCTCCTCACTCCTATTCAACATAGTATTGGAAGTTCTGGCCAGGGCAATCAGGCAAGAGAAAGAAATGAAGGGTATTCAAATACGAAGAGAGGAAGTCAAATTGTCTCTGTTTGCAGAGGACATGATGGTATATTTAGAAAACTCCATCGTCACAGCCCAAAATCTCCTTAAGCTGATGAGCAACTTCAGCAAAGTCTCAGGATACAAAATCAATGTGCAAAAACCACAGCATTCCAATACACCAATAATAGAAAAACAGAGAGCCAAATCTTGAGTGAACTCCCATTCACAATTGCTACAAAGAGAATAAAATACCTAGGAATACAACTTACAAGGGATGTGAAGGACCTCTTCAAGGAGAACTACAAGCCACTTGTCAAGGAAATAAGAGAGGACACAAAGAAATGGAAAAATATTCCATGCTCATGAATAGGAAGAATCAATATCTTGAAAATGGCCATACTACCCTAAGTAATTTATAGATTCAATGCTATCCCCATCAAGCTACCATTGACTTTCTTCACAGAATTACGAAAAAAAAAAACTACTTTATATTTCATATGGAACGAGAAAAGAGCCCATATAGCCAAGACAATCCTAAGCAAAAAGAACAAAGCTGGAGGCATCACGCTACTTGATTTCAAACTATACTACAAGGCTACAGTAACCAAAACAGCATGGTAGTGGTACCAAAACAGATATATAGACCAATGGAATAGAACATAGGCCTCAGAAATAATGCCACACATCTACAACCATCTGATCTTTGACAAACCTGACGAAAGCAATGAGGAAAGGATTCCTTATTTAATAAATGTTGGGAAAATTGGCTAGCCATAGGCAGAAAACTGAAACTGGACACTTCCTTACACCTTATACAAAAATTAACTATAGATGGATTAAAGACTTAAACGTAAAACCTAAACCCATAAAAACCCTAGAAGAGAACCTAGGCAATACCATTCAGGACATAGGCATGGACAAAGACTTCATGATTAAAACACCAAAAGCAATGGCAACAAAACCCAAAATTGACAAATGGGATCTAATTAAAATAAAGAGCTTCTGCACAGCAAAAGAAACTATCATCAGAGTGAATAGGCAACCTACAGAACGGGAGAAAATTTTTGCAATCTATCCATCTGACAAAGGGCTAATATCCAGAATCTACAAGGAACTTAAATTTACAAGTAAAAAACAAACATCCCCATCAAAAAGTGGGCAAAGGATATGAACAGACACTTCTCAAAAGAAGACATTTATGTGGCCAACAAACATATGAAAAAAAGATCATCACTGGTCATTAGAGAAATGCAAATCAAAACTACAATGAGATACCATCTCCTGCTAGTTAGAATGGCGATCATT
The DNA here is from genome assembly GCF_000001405.40 of Homo sapiens. Taxonomy (NCBI): domain Eukaryota; kingdom Metazoa; phylum Chordata; class Mammalia; order Primates; family Hominidae; genus Homo; species Homo sapiens. The sequence continues at coordinate 125,116,715 of NC_000023.11, forward strand.
AAAAAGTCAGCAAACGGCTGGGCATGGTGGCTCACGCCTGTAATCCCAGCACTCTGGGAGGCCAATGCGGGTGGATCTCGAGGTCAGGAGTTCAAGACCAGTCTGGCCAACATGGTGAAACCCCGTCTCTACTGAAAATACAAAAAATTAGCCAGGTGTAGTGGTGTGCGCCTATATTCCCAGCCACTCAGGAGGCTGAAGCAGAAGAGTCATGAGAACCCAGGAGATGGAGATTGCAGTGAGCTGAGATTGTGTCATTGCACTCCAGCCTAGGTGACAGTGCAAGACTCTGTCTCAAAAAAAAAAAAAAAAAAAAAGTCAGTAAACAACAGATGCTGGAGAGGATGTGGAGAAATAGGAATGCTTTTACACCATTGGTGGGAGTGTAAATTAGTTCAACCATTGTGGAAGACAGTGTGGCAATTCCTCAAGGATCTAGAACCAGAAATACCATTTCACCCAGCAATCCCATTACTGGGTATACACCCAAAGGATTGTAAATCATTCTACCATAAAGACATATGTACACGTATGTTTATTTTAGCACTGTTAACAATAACAAAGACTTGGAACCAACCCACCAACCCAAATGTCCAACAGTGACAGACTGGATAAAGAAAATGTGGCACATCTACACCATGGAATACTATGCAGCCATAAAAAAGAATGAGTTCTTGTGCTTTGCAGGGACATGGATGAAGCTGGACACCATCATTCTCAGCAAACTAACACAGGAACAGAAAACCAAACACTGCATGTTCTCATTCATAAGTGGGAATTGAACAATGAGAACACATGGACACAGGGAGGGGAAACTCACACACCAGGGCCTGTCAGGGGGTAGGGGATTAGGGGAGGGATAGCATTAGGGGAAATACGTAATGCAGATGACAGGTTGATGGGTGCAGCAAACCACCATGGCACGTGTATACCTAGGTAACAAACCTGCACGTTCTGTACATGTATCCCAGAACTTAAACTATAATTTAAAAAAAAAGTCAAAAAAACAACAAATGTTGGCAAGGATTCAGAGAAAAGGGAATGCTTATATACTATTGGTGGGAACATAAAGTAGGACAACCTTTATGGAAAACGGAATATTTCTCAAAACATAAAAATAGACCTATCTTTCAACCCAGCAATCTCACTATTGGGTGTCTACCCAAAGTAAGATAAATCATTATATCAAAAAGACACCTGCACACATATGTTTATTGCAACACTAACAATAGCAAAAATATGAAATTAACCTAAGTGTCCATCAATGGATGACAGGGTAAATAAAATGTGGTATATATATATACACCATGGAATACTGCTCGGCCATGAAAAGAAAATGAAATCATGTTTTTTTGCAGCAACATGGATGGAACCACAGGCCATTATCATAAATTAAATAACTCAGAAAAGGAAGTCAAATACCACATGTTCTCACTTCTAAGTGGGAACTAAACAAAGGGTATGCATGGACATATAGAGCAGAATAAGACATTGGAGACTACAAAGTATGGGAGAGTGAGCGGGGAGTGAGGGCTGAAAAATTAACTGTTGGGTACAATGTTCACTATTTGGGGGATGGGTACACTAAAAGCCCAGACTACTCCACTATGCAATATATGCATGTAAGAAATCTGCACTTGTGCCCCTAAATATATAAAAATAGAAAATGAAAAATAAAGCACTTAGCTGTTAAAGAAAAAAAAGTTAAGTTGATCTTCATAAAGATTAAAAGTTTTTGTCTGTTAAGAAAATAAAAAGGCAAGCCATACACTGGGAGAAAGTGTTTGCAATACATATATCTGGCAAAGGACTTGTATCTAGAATATATAAAAGACTCTTACGACTCAATAATAAGAAGATAAACAACCCAGTATTTTAAAATGGGCAAAACATTTGAAGTGACACTTTACCAAAAATATACACAAATGGCCATTAAGCACACGAAAAGATGCTCAACATCATTAGTTATTAGTGAAATGAAAATTAAAATCACAACAAAATACTGATACACATCTATTAGAACGTCTAACATTAAGAATAATACTATGTGCTGAAAAGATACTGAAACAAAACCAAAACAAACCCTGTTCTGAGTGTTAAGAACTCATATGTAAAAAAGTAAATACTGTATTATTCCTCTGATATGAAATTCTAGAAAAGACAAATCTAATCTATAGGGACAGAAAGTATATCAGTGATTCCCTGAGGCTTGGGATAATGAGAATGGACTGGGAAGAGGCAGAAGAGAAATTCATGGGGTTTTGGAAAGATCCTATGTGTTGGGTAGTGTGGTGACTCTATGTGTATATATATTTCTCAAAACTCATCAGTGTATGCACTTAAAATGGGTCCATTTAATTGCAAAATAGCTGTACTTAAATAAATTTGATTTAAAAAAACTTGTTCTAGTTCCTTCAAAAACTGTTGTTGAAATTTTCAATTTTAATATGGAAGTTAAGTAGAAAGGACACTACAACAGCTTTTTTAATGTTTTATTTTATTTTTAATTTACACAACACTTGCACATATTTATGGGGTACAATGTGATGTAATGATCAAATAGGTTAATCAAAAAATCCATCACCTTAAACAGTTATCACCTCTGTGGTGAGAACAGTTATTTTTAAGTGAAAAGGATTATGTAAAAACAACATAATATTTGTTTTGAAATATTGGGGTTTTATAAATGTGCACTATTTTGGGACCTCACAAAAAACAATTCTTGTTATTTACTGCTTTTTTTTTTTTCATCGTAATGGACCCAACACCTATTTACATTTTCTTCTGCACTATACAAAGCAGAACACAAAGAGTATCTGACCCAAGACAGGTTTTCTAGCCTAATTCCCCAATGTACTTATTGGGGGTACTTTGACTTTAAGGTAAAAAATGAAGAATACCTTCCAAGTTTGTTAATTAATAATATCCCTAGACAAATATCTTCTTACTGCTCTGCCTGATTACTAAATCTCTCTGCTTCAAGGCAACAGATGGCTTAAGTTCTCCCAGAATTAAAAAGGAAATAATCTAGAATTCGTGATTCAAAGGACTAAATTTAATCAGGTTATCCTATTTTATAAGCTACAAATATCCTAGAAAAAAAATGAAGATGATGAAAATGGAAATGAATGGGTGTCATCTTATAATTGCGTGGGTAGTATATAATAGTCTTTATAGTACTAGTTTATGATACAGTGCTACCATAGTATCAGCATGTACTAAACTCAACCAAATCCTACGTCGGTCTTTCTTCATTAACTTTTCCTTATGACAACACTCTTCCTCTCTAGAATAAGAAAATAATATAAATTGTGGGGTACCTTGAGCAGCCTTCAATACTTCTACTACAAAAGTCTGTCTAAATAACATAACCTTTTCCCAGAAAGTTCACCTTAAGGTTCCCTTGAGTAAGAGACTTTTTCCAGATTAACCCAGTCTGTATCAGTCCTACGCACTAACAATATTTAAATACTTGTCTGAACAACATTTCCTATTTTTTTTACCGTAAACAACTTTATATTTTAATAAGTATATAAGCATTGATAACCTCATGAATTTAAATGTCAACCTTAATGAATTTCATGTCATTCTCATTCTAACTATGTATGTTTTTAAGTTCCAGTGTAAATGTTCAGGATGTGCAGGTTTGTTACATAGGTAAGCATGTGCCATGATGGTTTGCTGCACCTATCAACCCGTCAGCTAGGTATTAAGCCCAGCATGCATCAGCTCTTTTACCTAATGCCCTCCCCCAACCTGCCCCCCACACGGCCCCAGTAAGTGTTGCTCCCCTCCCTGTGTCCATGTGTTCTTATCTGAACAACATTTTCAAAACTAATTCTTCTTTACAATCACTTGTATGTTAGCATGTTATGTGATCCCCTTTAGAAGGCTTCATATGGAAGCCTTTAAAAGGCAAGAATTAAAATGTGTTCAATCCATTATGTTAAAAAAGCAAATTACTCATGGGTGCTCAACAAATTCATAATTATTGACATCATCTTAACATCTGCCTGTTGTATGGGATATACCATGATGAACGTGGCCTTATAAAATATATCACCAGTTAATCCCACATCGGTGCTTGCTATTATTATTCTACTCACTCAAATATTTGCTTACTGCTGCATATATGTATAGTTGAACAGGTCTCTTGCAAAGAGACCTGTTTTATACACAAAGACCCCTCCAAATTGGTCATATTTTTCTCATTATGGCATGAGTAAATGGTATCCTCTGCACATGTTCTAGCCTTTCCACTGTATTTTCCAACATGTTATCATTAAAGTGGGGTTAACTTTTAGTCTCAAAAGCACATTTCTTAATAGATATTCTTTATTATTCATGATTTAGCAATATCAAGAGGAGACAAGTGTACAGCAAAGAATGGAATAGGGTACCTGATATTTTGATAACGTGACAAGGTTTATAGTCAGATTATTTTAAATCAAGCAGTATGTGAAACAAACATCCTCATTCTTATCTTTGGACCTCATCCTATCCCTGATCTATATACCAGAAGACTATGAAATGACAAGAAGCTCAGAAATGGGGTAGGGAACGAGGTTGGGATAAGGCACCATGTGGCATCCACACGACATAAAACTAGGGGCCACATGTTTATCACACATGATTTTCTCACAAAGGGGCAGCAGCCATAATTTATGTTGTTGGCTGAATGGTCACCATTCTAAATTGTCTAATCTCTTAAGGTTTACAATTGCCATACTTATTTAATCTCTACTGAAATACAGATTTAGCAATGTAATTGTGGAATTTGTCCCATTTTCCAGTAGAAAATATTTTTAAATGGCTACTTATTTGTGTAGGCTTCTTGATTTTTCAAATCTCGTAAGACACTGGGGATGGGGTATGAGAAAATTTTCTCTAACAATTTCTACAGTAGCATATATACACTATGAGGTAACACTGTTTTACAATCCTAGTTTTTGGGTAAAAAGCATCCCTCCCCTTGGAGGTTGACTCAGTTGTAAACATTTTTAAAAGAGTTCTGTTTTTATGACTACAAAAGCAATAAGTTTTAATAAAAAGTCAAGCAATACAATTATGGGTAAGGCCGGATGTGGTGGCTCACTCCTGTAATCACCAGCACTTTGGGATGCCAAGGCAGGAGGATCACTTGAGGCCAGGAATTTGAGACCAGCCTGGGCAACATAGGGAGACCCCATGTCTTAGAAAATTTAAAAATATTAGCCAGGTGTGGCGGCACATGCCTGTAGTCCCAACTACTCTTGGGGCTGAGGCAGGAGGATCACTTGAGCCCAGGAGTTTGAGGCTGCAGGGAGCTATGCTCATGCCACTGCATTCCAGCCTGGGTAACAGAGTAAGGCCCTGTCTCTTAAAACAAAAATGGGTAAAGTAGAAAGTGAAAGAACCATGAAGTCTGCTGGGGGATACTAAGAGATGGAACTAAGTTCAAAATGTCTGATATGATACACAGTCCTTGGGTAAAGAAACCAATGGCCAATGGTTTTATATTAATGGTTAATATAATCCTGTTAATATATTAATGGTTAATATAGAGATATTTGGATGTGGTTATGTCAATATGACTCCATCAAAATAGTCATGTTAAACACCCATATCAAAATGCTTTACTGTGAGAAGGAAACCAGTAAAACACAAGAGAGGGAGTATAGGGCTAAGACCTAGTGAAGGAGGGTGCTCCTGAGAGGTCTAGATCATTTCGATCAATATTGGGGAAGCTATCAAGGGAATCTGATAAGCAACTTCACTGTAATTGAAATTTCATTCATTTTTAAAATCAATTTCTGGGTCAGATTATAAGATGTTCCTAAATCATATTTCCAAATTGCTTAATTATATGCACAACAAATTAACTGATTCAATAACAACTTGATACCTACTCATTGCCAGGCACAGTTCTTTATCCTTTCCATGCATTATACTATTTAAGTATCAACCATAGTAACCCAGGGAAGTAGTTATTACCTCATTTCATAGTTAAGAAAACTATGGGTTCAGGGAGGTTATAGAACTACAAGGTCATACAGACTTAAAGGGTTATGATAGTCAGCATTTATTTATTTGGTGAATAAGTAGAAACTTATTTTTCTCTATATTCTGGAAGGGTTATTATTTTTAATTAAAAAACAGTCATTTCTAGGGTTAAGTTTTTTCTGTTATTCTGCAGAAAAAAATATCATTTGGGTTGAAAGTAAATAAAATAAAAATCTTGAATATTCATAAATTACTAGTAGAAGACATAATGAGAATGCAATTATATCACAAGATTTCTACACATGTAGAATCATACAATTTCTTTCTGTAGTGACTGGGCTTTTTCTTCAGCAGAAACATGTAAATATTGAATCACAGCAAAATAACTGATTGCATTATAACCTAAAGCCAAAAGTACATTACACAACTGAACATACTTAATTTAAGCCCTCTTTTTAAAGAGTAATTTGTACCAGAATATCTTTAACGGTCCTTACACATAGCAACAGATAGTTCAAATGAAGCCATATCATTTTTCAATTTTGGTATTTGGCTTGTTTTATAAATAAGGTTGTGAAAAATAGAAATCCCAGCTTTAAAAACCAAGGTTGGGTGTGGTGGTTCACCCCCAGAAGTCCCTCACTTTTGGAGGCCAAGGCGGGAGGATCACTTGAGCCCAGGAGTTCAAGGCCAGCCTGAGCAACATGACAAAACTCCATCTCTACAAAAAAATAAAATAAAATAAAATAAAATAAAAATAAAATTAGCCAGGAGTGGTGGTGTGCACCTGTGGTCCCACCTACTTGGGAGGCTGAGGTAAGAGGATCTCTTGAACCCATGAGGTCGAGGCTGCAGTCAGCTATGATCACATCACTGCACTCCAGCCTGGGTGACAGAGTGAGACCCTGTCTTAAAAAAACAAAACAAAATTTTATGAATGTGTGGGTGCAAATAACTTAACTCTACTTTTGCCATTAAATATTTTTGTAGACTGCTCCTCAATTAAATAATTGTAACTTATAAAACAACATTAATAAACACAATGCTTTAAATTCTGATATCACTCATGCATTTAATTTATTCCAGTGTCTTGTATAAAACAATTTAACAAACAAAATGCATACTTTTACCTTGATGAACAGTACTACACAGATTTACTCCAATGCATTTTGATTTAGCCATTATTATCGAACATATTTTCCACATTTATTTAAATGCTTTGTAATGTAGAAGTTAAAAACAGGCAGATGTACATTTGAATATTGGCTCTGCCACTGAGTAGCTGGTGTGATGCTGGAGAAGCTGTTTAACATCTTTGAGGTTGGGTTTCTTCCTCCATAAAAATGGGGATAAAAATAACTACTGCACACTGTTGTTCTGAAGTTGCCATTACATGTGTGACAGTGTTTGGCCCAGAGAAGGCACCCAATGCGTGTATCTTTCTCTTCTTAAAATATTACATGACTAATTTGGAATTGTGTAGTTCCAAGTATTCAATTAAAAGGGCTTATCTATGTGTTTCAACTTACCCCATATAAGCAACCAATTCTTAATGTTGTTTAAAATCACAATTAGTGTAAAAAATACACTCTAGCTATTATTTATCAGTTGTCACAAGATATGAGAATTTAGTGACGTGCTTTTTGGATATGATAAGAAAAGTCAGGATTTTCTTTTAAAAATGACTATGACTGTACATCTAGTAGAAGGATGGTAACAATAAAAATGAGCACTGGGTCATTTGGTTCATCTGACTTTTCCACTGTTTAAAAAGATAGATAAAACAATAATTACACAAATCACTTGGGTGTTGTGGCGACCAAATGCGACTAGGAAGCAGCTTTATTACCAATCTATGTGTTTCATAAAAGTACAAAGTCATTGTATTGCTTTTCCATTTCAAGCAACTGTCATGCCAAGTCATATGTGTTTTCTGCCATCCATGATGCATATGTATATATTTTCAGTATTTTAAAACAATTAATAAGACAGGTAAGTAAAAGGCAGAATTTCTTGATTCCAAACTTAAAGTGTGTAAGATGTTAAGGCAATTTTCTAAAACATCATTTTTATAAAACAATTCCCTTGATTCACGAATGTGCCTCTTTGTCTAACCTAGTGAATTACAGACGTTTTGGAGTGGAAATAACTTCTCAGCCTCTTTTGACAGTTGGTGAATATTTTTGTCTGCACCCCACAATTTAACCAGTGTCCTTGCATAAAAGTGTTACTTGTTTTTAAAGATCTAGGTCAAAATAGCCCTTAACTTTTATTTCAAAAGGGCATTCAAATGCCTTCAGGGTAAACAACAATGTTAATGATGGCCTGTACAATTAGAAACAAATTTCTGCATCATTGGATCATGTTATTGAAAAGGCTGGTTAAGATATTGTAAAAATATAAATGTCAAACTCATTATTAAAGTGGAATTAATAGCTATTGAATTGCATCAACTCACATCTAGAGAATTCTGGGGGAGATCAACAAATATACCACCTTAAATAAATGTGTTCCTTTGATCCTGCCAATAAATCGACACATGACCTCATCAGGTTTGGCTAATAACAGATTAGTGAAGAAATAACTTTAAACAAATATCCATTACAGCCCCAGATCACTTTACATCTAATCCAAATATGATTTTTAAAAATTACTATTTAGAATTTATTTTTTTAACTCTGTGGAAGTCCAGTCCTATGATTAACTAAACTTTTAAATATGAATCCTTATTAAAAATAACCTCTCGCTACACTTGAGTCAGTACTCTTCTTACCTGTCTCAAGTTCAAATTTCAAGAAAATAAGGTAGTAGCATGTACAGATCCAATACGACAGTTTGAGCTTTACCTTTTCCGCAGAAAAGTGGTCCAAAGCTTTGGATTTTTCACCTCTTCTGGAAGCTTACAGACGCAGGCTTTGCTGCCCTGCTTTCGCCAGTGCATGCCAGAGTGCTTTAACCTTGCCCAGCTGTTCTAGTTATTTCCATGTCTTAAATTTCCCCTTCATGACGACCTTGATGTCCCTGTCTGATGTAAAGCTGCACTATCTTGAGGAGGCAGGTTCCTCCCACAACATAGTTAGTAACTTAGTGGTATAGAATCAATACATCATAAGAATCGTTTGACTCACTTTGGAGGAAGGCAGTTAAACTTGACATCTGTAGTCATGATTCTTTACTTTCCAGCCAACAAGAAATTTTAAAGCATATCAAAAGATGTCATTCAAATACTATGGCTACAAATAAATAAACTCCATCATGACCATATATGCTAGTCCCAAAGCATTTCTTTTTTCCTTATTTTAAACCAAAATATATTTTTTAAATGGTTCAAACTGGCTGTTTCTAAACGTTTACTTCAATGCACACTAAGCCTTTGGAAATAATTATTCATAGCAAACTAATTTATGTGTAATGTGAGTCTAGGAGATTATCACACTTATCTTACCATTTATTTGAAAATACTTTATTCCAGGAAGACTCCTTTTGTGTCACATTTAATTGCCTTTGAAGCTCCTGCCATTTGAATCTGTCTTCTGGAACATGCATTTCATCATTATTTTTTAGCCTTGTTACATCAATCACCACAACTGCTATAGAAGATTTCTGGGCTGTGAAGTGATAATTTGTTCCAGTGGTATTAATGAGGCAAGCAGTGGTCTTGAGGGAGGTGACAGCCCATTGCTTTACAGACAGCATCAGATTAAGGTGCTGGACTATATACATGGCTTTAAGCATATACTCCAGAGCCTTTGAAGCATTTTATAACTTCACTTATCAAACTTAACATAGAAGAGGTACCTCCAACAACTTATCTGCAATGTGCTAGGCATATCTAAGTACCAAGGGGGGAACATTAATAGTGTTACTCAACTTACCTTGAGTTACAGACACATCAGAGAAACTTTGTACTGCTTCCAATTTGAAGGCACCCTGCTGCCTTATATGCTCTAAATTGGTCTATTTCCATTACCATGGTTGTAATGGCATGTCCCTAGCCACAGAAAAGTCTAATTCCCTGAAGTGCAGCCAATGAAAACTTGTATTTCTGGGAATTAAGTCCCAGAAGTAGAAATGCCGATTTGTTGGTGTTATAATGCCATGCCCATGAATACTGCCTCTAGGAAGCAGTGCATCTGGAAACAACAGATGGTACATGTGGAAATGGGTTGGATGGAGTATTTTAATACCCACACATCTCTAATTCAGTTCTACACGTCTGATTTCAATGTTTTTTCAGATTATAGGGTGTTTCAGATTGGTAAGACAGGCCTGATCCGTATTATTATTACTATCAACACTGCCGGAAGAAAGCCGAATGTAATATCATTGTCTATGAACTCTCATTTGGCCACTTATATATGCACATGCAAAAATCCTGACTTGGCTTTTGATAATGGAACAAGTTAGTCAAGGGCACTTCCCTACTACCCCTTTACTATCAACCACAGAACACAAATTTATTTTAAGATGAAACTATCCTAGATTGCTACTCTCTTCAATATAAGCAGGAAAATTTTAAGTTATTTCATGCTGTCTAAACAGTTTATCCCCCACTCTACTACTTTTTTCAAAAGCTACCAGAACTCTTATAGTATTGGAGAAATTCGACTTAGTATGGCAGGAAAACAGTTTTGCTAGAAAGATCATTTCTTCTTGTGCTTCAAGAAGGCTGAATTAAATGGTCTTTGTAATATGTTGGCATTTTAAGAAGCATACCATCTGAATGGTATGAAGATAACTTTTAGAAGCTTAGAAGTTCATATTCTGTAGTTTGTTATCATAACTTAGCTAGAATTAGGATAGTATTGTGCTGTCTATAAAAAGAAAATGAACTTTCAACTAAAATATCAGAAGAGATTTAAGAAAGTATGTTTGTTGAACATTGTAAATCAAACAATGCACCATTCAACATGGTACATTGGAGAGGCAGCCCCATCCAGGTGGCTATAAAACCCATCAAGATGCAAAAAACAAGTGGCAACCTACTGTAATTTAGTTTAGTCCTGTAACCACTTAGGTAAAAGGGAAGGGAGATTTCCCATCCCTCCTGTTTTAGATCACTTCAGGAATCCTTTAGCCCAATGGGAAGCAGTATCCTAGTCCTTGACCTTCCAATTTGTGCTCAATATGGACAAATGACTTTAAATTCTAAGATGACTTTATATGGTCTCTCTGGACAGTACAACCTCCCTTATGAAGAGGTAGTTAGGCAGAGACAGGCAAAGGACTCCATATACTTTGATGTCACAGCCAAACACTAAACACATTCGAAGTATCTCTAAAAATTATGTCAATAAGGAAAAAGACCCTAAAGGTGAATAAGCTATTAATGGTATTAACAAGTATACATGATTGCATATAAGAAACAGCATCCAACCCCTCCACAAAAAGCTTGTCCTTATTTGTTCTCCTTCCTTCCTTTTTTCTTTCCCTTCTTTCTTTAGTAACTAAACAAATTATAACTAAACAAAATTTTTGATCTATTAAAACATCTCTGAGAGATGGTCAAACATTTCAAACATTCACTATAGCAATGAAATAATACTCTTACCCCTAGTTCAGAAAGAAGAGCACAGTGATTAAAAGCAACCCTCTGAAGGAGACTGAGTTTCAATTTAAATTACTAGTAGTGTGACACTGAGCAAATACCTTCTCTTCATTGGTAAAATAGGGACAATGATGGTACCTACCGATTTAGATTACTATGAAGATTAAATGAGTATGCTAGTTACTGCTAATGCTACACTAATAACTGTATTGCCCTTTTCTCCTCCTCCTGAACACACAGGTTGACTGCATTTCTCAGCTATTAGGTATAGCCATGTGACTAAATTCTTGCTAATGAAAAACGGTCACGTGGCACTGCTAAGCATGGCCCATGAAAACCTCCCATGTGCTATCCTTATTTTCTTTTCCCATTCACCGGCTAAATAGAAAGAACTTCTAGAACTCAGAGGAGGCCACAGCCACAAGACGGAAAGAGCCTAGGTTTTAAATAATTACATGGAGAAAAGCCCCTCTCACTGGTCCTCAAGTGATTGTGATAAGCCACAGAAATAACTGACTGAAACAATGAGATAGTTCATTTAAAGTACTTATCACAGTAACTGGCACACACAAAAAAAGTGCTCAAAAAAAGTTATTATGAACATTATTGTGCTGATGCTGTTGGTGTTGGTTATGGACTGAATGCTTGTGTTTCCCCCAAATTCATATGTTGAAGCCCTACCCTTCAGTGTGACTATATTTGGAGATAGGGCCTCCAAAGAAGTAATTAAGGTTAAAAAGGTCATAAGGGTGATGCCATGATCCAACAGGATTAGTGACCTTATTAGAAAAGATGCTGGAGAACTCCTGTCTCTCTTTCTATACACACAAGCCCTAAGGAAAGGTCATGTAAAGACATAGTGAGAAGGCAGTTGTCTACGAGCCAGGACAAGTACCTTCACCAGAAACTCAATTGGCTGGAAACTTGATCTCAGACGTCTAGACTCCAGAACTGTAAGAAATAAATTTCTGTTATTGAAGTCATCCAGTGAATTGTATTTTGTTATGGCAACCTGAGCTAAGACAGCGCTCATATCCAAAGTCCTACAAGAGAGTATTAAAAACAAAGTACTTTTTAAGATTTTGGTGGGTGCATAGTAGATGTATATATTTTTGGGTTACGTGAGATATTTTGATACAGGCATGCAATGCATAATAATCACATAAGGGTAAACAGGATATCCATCACCTCAAACATTTATTATTTTTGTTACAAACAACCCAATTATACTCTTTATGTTATTTTAAAATGTACATTATTTTTCACTGTAGTGACACTATTGTGCTAGGAAATACTAGGTCTTATTCATTCTTTCTATTTTTTATACCTATTATCTCCACTTCCCCCCACCCCCATTACCTTTCCCAGCCTCTAGTAACCATCCTACACCCTATCTCCATGAGGTCAATTACTATAATTTTTAGCTCCTAGAAATAAGTGAGAACATGTGAAGTTTGTCTTTCTGTGCCTGGCTTATTTCACTAAGCATAATGACCTCCAGTTCCATCCATGTTCCTGCAAATGACAGGATCTCATTCTTTTTATAGCTGAATAATATTCTATTATGTATATATACCACATTTTCTTTATCCATTCTTCTGTTAATGGACACTTAGGTTGCTTCCAAGTCTTGGCTATTGTGAATAGTGCTGCAACAAACATTGGAATGCAGATATCACTTCAATATATTGGTTTCCTTTCTTCAGAGCAAATACCTAGGAGTGGGATTGCTGTAGCTCCTAAAATCATTAGACAAATTAAATTACTTACTAGCATCATCTATAACTCCTTACAGTTGAATAGAATTTTACATTTCCCAGATAATTTTTATATATCTCAATAATCCTATGAATAGGCAGGACAGAAATTACTATCTTGTGTTTATAGATAAGGAAATTGAAGCTTGGAAACATTCAGTGTTTTTTCAAAAGTTATCTGGTTGCTAAGATTCTCTTTACCATGCTACAACCAAAACTTCAAAGATGTACTTGTAGAGGCAGTTTGGATATTTTAAAAATAACAATACAGGCATTCTCTAAATTCACCTAATTTTATCACCATTTTAATTCCTTATTTTTCTAAAATATTATACTACTACTCAAAACAGAAGTAAAAACTGAAATTAAAGAGCAAAATACTAGTAAATCATAGTGTTATCAATGACAAGGTTCATTATCTTGATTAATGATATAAAAACAGCAGGCAAATTTGGCATAATTACTTAAAAATTAATTACCTTAGATACCATCAAGTGTTAACATAAAGACATCCATTTAGGTGATGATAGTATTTAATATTTTATGATTATAGCAAAACAAAATTAAAATATGTATACTATAATATGATTTACTTTGATTATAATTGAAATTATTTTTAAAAGATAATTTTAAATTCAACTTTTAAGTCAGCTTGACTTTATATACAAATCAGCTTGGCTTTATATACAAGCTGACTTAAAAGTTGAATTTAAAATTATCTTTTAAAAATAATTTCCTTTTGGTAATTCTTCCACGCATTCACTTGAATGTATACTGAGCACCCATTATCTGCCAGCCAGTGTTCTATGTGTTGGGAATACAATAATGAACAAAACAAAGTCCTTGTTCCCATAGAGCTTTCATTCCAGAGGGGATAGGGGAGACACTCGGTAAATAAAAAAGCAGGTAAAATATAAAGTATGTCAGAATGTAATAGGTACTGTAGAGTAAAACAAAGCAACATCAGAGGGTTATGGAGTATAAGAGAGGGTAAGCCCCTGCTGATAAAATGACATTTCAGCAGAGACTTGAAGGAAGTAAATTTTCAAACAGCAAAACACATAGGAATAAAGTATTTTATTAATTCACTTCATTTTGACAAACCTACTAATGGAATTTCTTCAAATTGTTATTATTTAAAGAAACAATCACCTTGTTCTACTACTATTAAATCCTAAGCTACTGTGGTTAACACAGAGGATTTCTTTTCTCATAGGCTCTGGTTTAATATTTCATGGCTCACATTTTCATGTATCTGTCTCTAAAAGACAGCTTTACTGATGCACTAGTCTAAACATGTGTTTATAGCCATCCCTCACATATATATTAAGGAGCTCCTGCCACCTAGTGAATAAAGAGAACACTGCTTTGTTTAAGGTATCAGCTGCTCTACCAGGTCAAAATTCCAGATCTCAAAATGTGGGAATTTTCTACCCAGAACTTAAAAGTGCCACCTGTCCAAAAAGGATTAAATCCTCATCAACTGCTGTCCAATAGTTTTGTATGTTGCACTTCAGTACTTATGAAGGTGACTTAAGCTTGGAACCAGGGATTTCTCTGGTGGCAGGCATTTGGCTGATTGCCTTGAAGAATGGAGTAGGGACTGACAATGAATCAGTAGAAATGGTGATGACTACTAGAGAAACAAATAAAAAGGGTCCTATTTTCTGTCATTTTTATATTGAAATGAAGGTCAAACCAACAATAGCAGGGGAAATGCATTCATCAGGCTAATTTAGCTCAATCTGGGTTATAAGAAGCTAGCTTTCTTGTACATCTAGACATGTTACAGTCATTACTCTTCCAATGGTTGTACATACTTGAGTACTTTGTTGGGTGCTGTTGTATTGAATATCCCTAAGCAACATCAAAATTCATGTAAATGAGGTGAAATTGCATTAAAGCGGCCAACATAACAGTTTCACACAACATTTGCATGATTTGAGCAATATTTAGAACGCAGAAAGTCCATGGAGCATGACTCATTTGACAGTTGGGGTGATTTCAATTTTCAATAAATTTGGTTAATTAATACTTTAATGATCGATTATTCCCTGTATCCCACAGTTAAGCGTGTTTTTCATTGCATGTGCATGGCCTTGGAACTAGTTTGAAAATGTCTTTGAGTTAGGGTTCAGATCTATTAGATGAGCTCTACATAGTGGCTTTCTCAAACAAAGCCTAATGAAAGCCTCTCCATGAGTCTCATTGAGTGGTCACATGGGGTTCTATTCTCCACAATCTAGTAACCTCAGGGGTTCAGAGAGAAAGGGTTGTTCTAGTGCAGGATACACTGAGTATGGCATCTGAGACAACTGCTTACAAGTGAGCTTCTAGTGATTACACCTGTTAGTATAAAGCTCCTTTTATCTTCCTTTTAAATTTTGCCTTTTCTCATTTTTCTCATGGCCTTATCTTTTCATCTTCTACTTATGCACATTGACTTTCTCTGGCTCCACCACTCTTGCTACCACTAGGAGGCACTATAATGTTGTAGAAACAACATAAGCTTTGGTGTCTGACACATCTGGATAGAGGGGGTAAGGATAACGCTGATAACGGTGATAACTACAAAGCAGATACCCTTTTTGAGTAGTTGGTGTCTGGAACACTGTTAAGTGACTTATACATATTATCTCATTAAATATCCACAAAATTCCTATGATTGATTGTAGGTACTATTATTGTCCCTGTTTTATTGATGGGGAAACCAGGCACAGAAAGTTTAAGTAGCTATCCCAAAGTCATACTGGTAGAAATTAGGGGAAGCCAGAATACAGGCTCACCTGCCTTTGCCTTTAGGGCCTAATTCTTAACTACAGTGTTTAAACAAGTTATTTAACCTCTCTGAGCTCCGGTTTACTCAACTATAAAATGAAGATGATAATGTATACACACTCATAACATTATTATGAAGGTAAAATATACCTAACTGATGAGTGCCTTTCCCTCCCATTTCTCCTTTCTTCTTCTTCTTTTTTTTCTTTCTTTTTTTATTATTATACTTTAAGTTCTAGGGTCTCGCTCTGTCGCCTAGGCTGGAGTGCAGTGGCATGATCTCTGCTCACTGCAACCTCCGCCTCCCGGGTTCACACCATTCTCCTGCCTCAGCCTCCCGAGTAGCTGGGACTACAGGCGTCTGCCACCACGCCTGGCTAATTTTTTTGTATTTTTAGTAGAGACAGGGTTTCACCGTGTTCGTCAGGATGGCCTCAATCTCCTGACCTCGTTATCCGCCCACCTCAGCCTCCTAAAGGGAGGGCCTTTAGGGATTACAGGCGTGAGCCACCGTGTCCGGCCTTCTTACTCCTTTCTTAGGAACATAGGCCACTGGTAATTCTTCAAGTATCACTAAGAACTTAATTTGTCAAACTCAAGGTGTAGCCTTAATTTTCTTCTTGAACTGACTGTCTCAGAGTTTATTTAGAACAGTTTCCCCATCACCCCATCCCTACCCCCAAGGTTACAAACGATACTCTCCGGATCATTACTCCAACATCAAGATAATCCTTTAAGCATGCACAGAGGAATAATGGCATCAAGAGAAATTAGCAGCTTTTAAAGCATCCCCTAAAGTCCTTGTCTCCTCCCCTCTCACTTACTTCAAGGTTTATGTTTGGCTTTATTCTAAAAGAGCAGTAGTATCTATTTATCAGGTCAGTGTTTACACTATGTAGAAATAGTATCTTTGTCCCAGTTGAGACCAGTATAGTGGCTACTGTCATCAAACTAGAGGTCCAGATGAAGTCCTGTAACTAAGAGAATAATCGCCTTTGCTCCAGAAAAATAAATAAATAAATAAAAATTGGAAATTGTTTTTTAAAAACGGGCTGATTTCATACTTACCAATGGACAGATTTACTGATCATTGGAGTTTACCACAATCCAAGGTGCCTTTCTGAAAAGCCTATTGCCCTTAGGGATGAAAAGATTGGAAAAAACCTTCTGTTTAGATATCAGTTGGTTTCCTCAGTTGTAAATGTTAAAAGCTGCTTTGGTGGAAGTCAGCCTGATTTTTGTATTTCGTTGCCAAGAAAGGGGGAGTTCTAAGAAAAGGTCCATGTATACTGCAACCACACCCCAGACACTAGATATCATCTGACCTTTGAATAAGTGTTTTGTTCATATTAATCTTGTCTCAAAGGTAAGATAAAGGTAAGATTACAAGAGCTCACTGTAGTGTATCAGTATATGTTATAATACACATAGTCTGCAGCAGCCTGCCTCACCTGAGGAAGCAGCCCAAACCAGTATTCCAGATCCAAATACAAGAGAAAGGCTGTTTAAAATCAGGGGCAAATGAAGGAATATAGATTTTTCACCATGGCTGTGTAATTAGGAGGACATGGCTACCTGTTTTGAATCTGGGCTAAAACTCTATTCCCGGTTTCTTCTTGCCTGAAATGAATCCTGACCAAGTTGCTTGTATGTTTGGACTCCAGTCTTGTACCCTCTTACCATGCTTAATCCTCTGGATGCAGTTCTCTAGTCTACATATACCAAACTGGGCTTCTGTTTGTGCCTCCAGCATGGCTGGATTTCTCACATCAACCACTAGTTTCCCCGAAACTCCCAATTATGACACAGGTTTGCTGGTTTGGCCTGATACCTTTAGCCCCAAGTTTGCTCTCCAAGATCATGCATCATTCTGTCCCTCCACACAGTGATCCACACAACCTGGCAGTCACTGCTAAATTTGAACACTCAGAGGGAAGAAAATGTGTCTCTGTAATTCTCTTGGCACAGCACACATGCAGTTAAGTGCTTTTTGATTATGATAACTGAATGTGCTCAAAAGTTCTCATAATAGAAACAAATTAAGTCCCTTCACAATGAAATTTATGAAGGCCCAGTAGATTAATAGTACCTCATGGTAGTGGATGAAAATGCCTTTTCACCACTAGTATAAATGAATCACTCTAAACTAACAGGGTGGTCTCTTTAAGAATAGGTACAAGAGAAAAGTGGATGGGAGAGAAGCAGAGAAGGTCCTAAACAGCAAAAACCACCCAGAGACCTGCCACATCCAAACAAGAATTTTATGAACATCCACTGCCTTCAATCTCCTTTATCTGAATTCATTTCAGATAGTACAATTTCTTTCAAAAGATCAAGGAAAAAAATGGCCTTGGGTGTGTATTCTATGAACAATGGTTGCAAAATGTTTTTTTATCACTAAAAGTTGCTGGGTTTCATCCTTAACACAACTTTTTTCAAAGCTGAAGTTATCTAATGCCCACAATAAAAAGCAGATCACTCTACTTGTGTGATCTGTTGTGATTTTAGCTCCCTGGGGATGTGACCATTTCTAACACAGGCCTATAAAGCACCTTCTGCATTACTGGCTTTCAAATGCTTGGCAGCAATGATTGAAAGAAATTGGATAGGAAGTTTAAAAATTAAAGTTCTCATTACAATGGTTAATTGGTTATGTGTAGGATTTTAGATTAACAGGATGACTACTAAATGATGTCTATCAAACCCTGGGGCTAATTATCTTTTCTCCCTCTGAATATCACTTTTACCGACACTAAAAATTACATAAAGCATGTGTTTCTATAAGCTTGGTATTGCATTAATGGGTGTTCTACAAGTGAAGTTATACAACAGAAACAAAAGAAAATTCTGGAATAAAGTTATTAACATTGCAATGAATGTTAATAACCTTCTATCTTGGTACTTTTCAAGGATATTCAAAGATTACTGATATGCTTTTATTCAAAAGAAAAGTGTAGAGTATCACATGTCCCTAATCTTTAGGATAGTTCAACTTTATAGTGTCCCATATTCTTCTCAATAAAGATGACTCAGAAAATGTATAGCTAAATGCAACTTAATTGTTATGCTTCCATGTATCTTATTCTATAAATCAGAATACAAATCTGAAAATGAATTCTTTGTTGGACTATGTGTCCTAATTTTTGGTTTAGAACATATGACAATCATAGGGCTAGGTAAATAGACATGAGTTCTACCTTTACAACATTTTAAAGGTTTGAGATGCTTGGATATATGTTATTTGTTTTGATTAGGGTTAGTTTTCATTTATTATTTTTTTCTAATGCTGTCTCAGCAGAATCACGTTTTTATTTTTATGGTTATTCTTTAGACCTTAAGGAAGAGAAGACAGGCTGCTAAAAATTGAAGTATGAGAATCAAGATTTATTTTGTAATGACAGCCTGGATTCAATTGTTAAACTCTGGGTGTAAGGAAACGTTTTCTGATCCTGATGGAACAGAAAAGGCTTCTAAGAGAGCAACTGAGTTAATTACTGGGAAGGAGAAGAGACACTGCCAAGGTGCTCTAAGTTCAAAAACCAGTCCTAGTATCTTTGTTATTAATAGTCTTGCACATCTACTACACACTCGCTATTATTTTGATATATACTTTCACTTGCATCATCTCCTTTAATTCTTAAAACATCTTTATTAAGTGAGTTCTATTATTTTAACTATTTCATGAAAGAGGAACCTGAGCCTCAGAGAGGTTAAGTAACGTGCTGCAGGTCACAAAGTTGGCAAGTGGCAAAGGCAAGGTTCAAACCTAGTACTGATTACTACTATGTTAAAAGTGACCAGAAAACAAACCAGACGAACCTAGAAAGATATCCAAATCAGAAGTTGTGTTTGTTTCAGAGTCTTATTTGAAATATAGTCAGCTCTCCACATCCATGGGTTCCATATCTGCAGATTCAACCAACCACAGATTGAAACTATTTGAAATTAAAAATTAACAATAGAACAATAAAAAAACAGAAAAAACAATACAGTATAACAATTATTTACACTGTATTTGGGTATTATAAGTAATCTAGGGATGATTTAAAGCATACAGGAGAATGTGCATCCATTATATGCAAATGTATAAGGGACTTGAACATACTCAAATTTTGGTATCCATGGGGTCCTGGAACCAATCCCCCACAGATATCAAGAAATGAGTGTAGACCACGGTTCCCAAAGTATTAAGAAAGTATGGTGTAGGGAAGGAATGTGGGCATTGGAGTCAGACAGACCCGAGTTCATAATTCAGTGCTTGAACAAATGAGCAATGTGGCTGAGGACTAATTATCTGACTGGGCCAAGACTCATTTCCCTCATTTATTAGTGGAGTGGTGGTTGTGCCTGCCTTGCCAGATCATTGAGAAAATTAAATGAGATAACGTATATAAAGTGCCTACCAGTTCTTGGCACACAGTGTGTACCCAATAAGTAGTCTAAGTGATATTGATTATTATTGTGTATGGAGCCATAGTGGCCTGCAAAGACCTTTCAAGCGGTGTCTGGACTGGTTCAATATGCAGGTCACACAAAATTGTGGGTTTTAAAAGTGTCATTTTGACCACTTTAAAAAGCAATAAAAACATTTTAAAATGAGGCCCAGTAAATAATAACTCTTTACGCAAGCAACAGCACAATACTTTTTTTTTTTTTAATGTGTGGTACTAGTATTGGAAGGAATTAAATAAATGGTGTCTTTTGCCTCCAGGTGGTCTCTGGCATAAAGTCTAAAAATGCTTGGGAGAGACAGAGATCGACACACTGCATGAGCCAAAAGAACACCTTCTTTTATTACTTAAGTTTTAAGGCATTTTTTAGACTTAAAGAAACCTGATAATCATCAAATGAAAACCAAAAGATCTTTCCCTTCTAATATCATGCCATCTAGCCCCATGGC
This sequence comes from Homo sapiens, assembly GCF_000001405.40. Taxonomy (NCBI): domain Eukaryota; kingdom Metazoa; phylum Chordata; class Mammalia; order Primates; family Hominidae; genus Homo; species Homo sapiens. The sequence continues at coordinate 125,137,680 of NC_000023.11, forward strand.
TCCAGGCACACTTGCATGAGAACCATGCTGAACAGATGGCCAGTGATTCCCCAGCCTTTTTTTAGTAATTTGTGCAAGTGCTTGGCAACCTTCTTTGTCAGGGGGTGCTTCTCCATTATATAGAACTCTAGAAGAGTTACTCTACACCTTCCATATATTACTTGATGCCATATTTATTTTTAAAAAGGAATTTTGTAAGGGAAGGTTATTAAGGTGTGTTTAATTAAAGCTCCCTTTCACTGTCACAAAAATATATAACTCATGATTAATAACTCAAAGAGATTCCCTCATGCTGGAGGCCTGTCCTTGCCAATTTTAAATCATGCATAGTATCCTATTTGTATCCCTTTCTGTGTAAAGTCCAGAAACTTAATCAGTTTTTTCATCACCCCTCCCCTATAGGTCTTCTCATAAATTCATGCACATAGAGGGAAACAACAATGTCCCTAAACTCAGATTAATAAACACCTCCAGGACATATGCATTGAGAATCAATAATTAAATGCTGCCCCTGGTATAAAGAAATGGCACTATTGACACACCTCAGGGAGACAGCACGGGCTCAAAAGATTTTTTTTTTTTCTGCAGTAGCAGAGATGGATTTTCGGTGGATTAGTAAGTATTTTTCCCAAGGGCAGATATTTGTAAGCTGAATGTTTAGGATTTGGGAAGCAAGGCTAGAGGAAGCAAAGAAGGCACAGTGAATTTAATAGAACATGGCTCACTTCAGCACATAAATCTCCAATCATCACTCTATATAACTAGCCTCCTTTCCTCATTACGTTGCCCTCTCATTGTGTCTTGGGATTCATTTCCACTTGTTTAAAAACATTAAGTGTGGGGAATGCCACAATATGGTTGATGGATGGATCTCACAAACATAATGTTGAAAGAATAGAAACTGTATACTTCCATTTATATAAAGTACAAATGGGCAAAACTAATGTATGCTGTTAGAAGACAGAATAATAGTTAACCTTGAAGAAACAGTGACTGGAAGCAGGCATGAGAGGAGCTTCCAAGGTATTGGGAATATTGTTTCTTGATCTAGGTGCTGGCTACATGTGTATGCTCATTGTATGAAAAATCACCAGTCTGCACATTTAAAATAGGGACATTTTTCTATTAAGTATATTAAATATTGATAATTATTCATTTTGAATGGTAGGTGTGGGGACTTCTAATATAACATGATTTGCCCGAATCCCCCATCCCTTTCTCCAGGGATGACTGGTATACTAACCATGTGCACATGAGAGACACAGCCATTGTGCCAAGAGGTTCACTTTCCAAAGTGAAATGACTTCTGTGGCTGCTTTGTTATCATGGATGATAGTGTTCTACTACTGTTTTCTTCATTCACCAATCCCTAAAATGCTTATTGAGCCCATTTTATATGTAAGGCACTGTATAAAGCACTGGGGATACCAATGTTGACTAACATAGATATGGTCCTTGCCTGCTCAGAGCTTACAATCTGATGGGGGATACATTCAATAAAACACAAAATGATTAAATAAAATAATTGCAGATTGTAATAAGTAAAATTTGGACAACAAAACAGAATATGAAGTGAGAGAATGGGGGGATGAGGAAGTTTGCTGTAGATAGAGTGGTCAGGGAGGGCCCCAATGAAGCAAGAAGTCATCATCCGTGAAGTATAGGGGAATCATAAGATATGAAGACTCTAAAGTTGAAAAACTTGAGCAACCACAGAGGGGTTAGCCCTCCCGAAGCTACCACCACATCTGCTGATATTGTGCAGAAGGCAAGGGGTGGTGTCTAGAAGCAAAGCATTTCCATGAAAAACTCTTCAACCTGAAAATGATACATTGACAAGTTTGGGAACTTGGTGATTATGAACTTCTTTTTTACTTTCTTAGTTAAATGTCCAGAATAAGAGATGGCTAGGGAGTCCCAAAGAAACCTTTTTAGGCTGTTTACAAAATTGAGAGCTGCTATATCACAACATGATACATCAAGCCTGGAATAATGCATACTAGAATAATTTCAACCAAGTTCTTGTACATCATAACCCTTATAATCTACTCAAATCATAACCCCTAGAGACAAAGTTTGATATCACTTCTTTAGCCTATAATAAAAGCATTACTTCAGGTTCACACTGCAATTAGCTGCCCTCAACACACACACACACACACACACACACACACACACGGAGAGAGAGAGAGAGAGAGAGAGAGAGAGAGACAGAGAATGAGAGAGAGAGAAGTAGAGAGAGAGTATTCAAGGAGTAATCAAAGACTGCACTATCCTTTGATGATGATCTTTGAAGTGATTTTTAAAATACTTTCGTAATATATTACTGGGCATTAAAGTACAACAGCATCATAGATACTTCTCTCTTGAGCATGGATGAGTTTATTAGAAACAAAGCATCCAGCACATCTTATTTATAGAAACCTGGTTTCTACCACTTGTACATGTAACACAATTTCAGGCAAGGTGAACTACACCTACGTTTTTGATCCATGTCTAACGCGACTGTGCCACATCGTAAAGGCTTTTCATGTTGTTCATACTAATCCAAAATTTTAATGAAATACTATTCAGCCATAAAAAATGAATAAAATGTCATTTGCAGAAACATGGATGGAACTGGAGGTCATTATGTTAAGTGAGATAAGCCAGACACAAAAAGACAAATTTCACATGTTCTCACTCATATGTGGGAGCTAAAAAAGTTGATCTCATGGAGGTACAGAAAAGAATGATAGCTACCAGAGGCTGGGAAGGGTGTGTGGGTGGATGGATGAGTGGATGAAAAGAGGTTGCTTAATAGGTACAAACATACAGTTAGACAGAAGGAATAATTTCTAATGTTTGATGGCGGAGTAGGATGACTATAGCTAGCTAACAACAATGTATTATATATTTCAAAATAGCTAGGAGAGAAGTCTTGAAGTGTTCCTAACACATAGAAATGATAAATGCTTGAGGTTATGGATATCCTAAGTACCCTGACTTGTGTATTACACATTGTATGCATGTAACAATATATCACATGTATCCTATAAATATGTAAAATATTATTTATCAAGTACATTTTAAAAGTTGTTGCAAAAGTAATTACCTAAGTAATATTTTTTCTACTTCATTTCCTACAAAGGTTTCTGAGCCTTCTGCCACACTCTGGGATGTCCAAATCTGGTTGAGCTAAACACATCAACCACCACAAGCCCTGAATGGAACAATCTAACTTCCTTTGTAGGAGAAAGTCCTGCTACCCACAGGGCTCCCTCCTTCCCTTCTTCTCTAGAGTAATTAGGGTAAAGGAAGGAGAGTATATCTGGAAGTAAAGTCCAGTATTGACGAAAGTATACTAGACATATCTTTGGGTTTAGGCCCTACCTATAATCTCAACTGAAGGGACCATATTCGAACCTGTGACCTGTCACTCCATTATAGCTGATTGGATCAGGGTTGAACACCTAACGCAAAAGAGGATGTATTTATAAGCTGAGCTGAGCCAACCTTATGCCCACAAGACATTAAACTTAGAGATATGGAAGAAAGTTCCAGGCACTGGATCTGAAAGCCCATGCAGAGTTAGGGCCAGGCCATCCATACTGAGCAATGCTAAAGATTCCTAAGCAGAGGGAGCCAATTAAGAGGAGCAGAGGTGTGAGAGGGAGTAAGAGCAGATGTGCAGAAAGAAGCCATTTGAGAGAAGCAGACATAAGAAAAACTATGCACTCACAGAGAGGTAGAAAAGCCACCTCACTTCCTGGCATGGCAGTTACATCTTGCCCCTGCATTCTGTGAGGTACCTCTATATTCTTTTAAGGATCTTCTCACTTTACTATCTTAACTGGGTTTTCATTTCTTAAAACCAACAAATACCGTGTCTAGATGAGAGGAGGACCCATATCTCTTAAGACTGTGCAACAGTGAAGGTGGAAGTAGAGAGAGAAGGGAAAGAGGAAAGGAGAGAAGCATAACAGAAGAGGAATGAGGAAGGAAGAATATATCAAATATATTGCATATAAAAGGAAGGGGCACAGATATAGTGGTATATAAACAGCAAATGAAAAACACTGTGTTTGTGGTCAAGTGCATCTCTATACATATTTTTCAGGACAATCTTGTGTTTATAGTTCATAATATCCTTGCTTCCCTTCACTATATTTCTGGAAATATAGCACAGGACTGGAGAAAGGGTATGAGCATTTGAGCCAGCCAGATTAGGGTTCAGAACCCAGACCCTCCACTTCCTAGCTGTGTGATCTCAGGTAAGTTTCTTTATCTCCACCAGCCACATTTTTATTATTTGTAAAATAGGAATAATTTCCACCTCCCAGGATTGTTGTGAGATTTAAATTAGAGAATACTATATAATGCACATGACAGAAGGTTTTTCAGATAGTAGATATTCATCAAATGTTAGTTCACTTTCTATCCACACAGCAAATAAGAGGCTGGGCTATGCAACTTGGCTTTCAAATTACTTGAACTTTTATTGCTTTTTACGCTTAATTTTTTGTTAGGGTGGTAAAGATGAGAAGGTTTTTGTTTCTTCGACATTCCAGTTTGGATAGTGGGACTGCTTTTATTTTAACTGACATGATTTCCCTAGATAGCTGACACCCCAATTTTGAAATGCAGTTTTTAAAAAATTTCAGTCAATGATCGATGATTTTAAAAAAGAAAAATTATTCGTACCACAATGGTTATCAATTTCATTCCTCAGAGCTTTAGTACTCCACAGAGGTTCTTGAAGGGTCACGGAGTGGGGTGACAAGGAGGCCTAGCAGAAGGCAAAGCAGATGAGAGAGTGGGTCTCAGCTCTTTCTCTGCTTTGGGCAACTCCATATTCTTAATTGTTGTAGATATTGGGGTTCTACAGAAAATTTTACTTAAAAACATTATTTTCTTCTTGAAAAAAAAAAGCTGAAAAACCCCACTGCTATACAACATGACATCTTTCCATTAACACGGACAGGCAAGCCTGGACTGCAATTCTACTGAAGTCTGACCCTTCTACATCTCTAGGCATCTCATCCTGGTACAGCTAAAACCACAAAGCTTCAGGTCATTCTAACAAGGATAAGATGGGCCATCTGAAAATATAACTGATCTTAAGTATCACAGTGTCATGTATGCTGTCTATACATAGTCCCAAAATTCTTATCCAAAGGAAATAGCAGTGAGAGTATGCAAAAGCCCTTTGGAAATAAGATGTAGGCCCCTAAATCGGCCCATCAAGACAGCATCTGTTCATAATCAGTAATACTTGACATGGTGTACCAAGAAGAAAAAATGAGATAAAAGAATATGAACAATAAACACAATTCAAGTATGAACCATCATCATGGGATGCATACACATGCAAAAGCAAAACATGTAAAAATATTTGATAATCTCATAAAAAGGTGGAGTCAAATCAAGAGTTTTTCAGGCAAGAAATCTATCTCAGAGGGTCCTTCTGGAGCTGAACAAACTGATTGTTTTTCAAGTTGCCCAGAGTGTGTACGTCTATTCATAACATGATTAGTCTTAGAGTCAGAGATAAATGGGTTCCCAACAGAGCAGGAACATATATCTCCACTATACACAGTTTTCCAATATATTTTTTATTCAGCCTCAAAGCAACTCCCTCTAATTTTATTTAAAGGAAAATTTGTTATTCTTGAATGTGTTATAATATCAGATCATAAAAGATTTCCTGATATAGACTCAGTTGGGATTTTACCCTAATATTATTAACCTAAATGAAAACTTTCTTGAGTAAAGCTGATCTTGTTTCTATGTTGTCAAGACTGACAATAGTTTACACACCTTCTGTCATGGAAACTAATGTTAGCTACTAGGTAAAAGTAGTACAATCATTTGAAGCTTTCTTTAAAAGCACCTATCACCAAAATAGCAGCTAGCATAAGAGATATTAGAAATTAGAAATTCTGACAAAAGGAAAGTAACTATTCTCTACATAAAGCAAGGCAAATAAAATTCTAGATTATAAAACATGAATTTTTCCGACATTGTGATACAATGTTGAAAAAGTCACAAGATTTCCCTGAAAAGAGACCAACATAGCATTTACTTCATCTACCTTTATGTTATCTAAAATATACATTCCAGGTATTAGGGAAAATAGTCAAATCTAGATGTTATTTTTTTCTAGACTATGAAATTAAACATATGGATTTTAAAAATCTGGATAATTTATAGATTTTTATTTTTTCATAGATGTCCCTCATGTCTCATTGATCCAGAATAATTTTGAATCAAAAAGCAAATTCTTTCATTAGGAAAACAAGAAGTAACTAAATTATTCAAAATAAAATGGTTTTGAATGGTTTTGTTCCCCACTGAATTGTAGAATAAATCTAAATGTACAAAATGTCTGAGTATCATTCTGGAGATACTTTTTAGCTAAATTCATTAGCATTATCAGTGGTCCTAAGTCATTTATAAATATAAGTTGGGAAAACCAACCTTTCAATGAATCCAAAGAGATGGCTCAATATTCACATTGTATGCCTCTCTTACACATTAATATTTGTTCTGATAATATATAAAATTTAAACATTGAATAATATAATTATAGTTGTAATCTTAGCTTACTCCATAAACTACAAAGCAAAAAAATGGTCTATAATAAATATCACCCTTACCTCCTGTGCTGCCAATGCTGGGCTTCTAATTCCTGCCACTTTCCAAAATGATTATGAAAAGCTTTGAATGGAGTCATGTCTGCCTACAGAACACTTCACATTTGCTAACCCATTGTGAAAATTAGGCAGTGATGAGGGAGTATGGCAAAGAGAGAACAGCTAAGCATTTCATGGCTCTTTTGTTCAGCTACAACTCTCCTTCCCTCTGTCCTCCCCTCTCTGCACCTCAACATCTTAATCATCTTAACTAATTTGGAACTTTGACCATAATGAACCAACCAAGTTTCCAAAACAACTAACAGAATACCACAGGAGCATAGGAGCATCCACATCTGGAGGTAACGAACAACCATGAGGACAAGGACTTCATCTGTCTTATTTGCAGAACCCAGCACAGGATGTGGCACCTGGCAGGTGCTCATAATTTTTTTTTTTTTTTTGAGACAGTCTCACACTGTCGCCCAGGCTGGAGTGCAGTGGCACGATCTTGGCTCACTGCAGCCTCCGCCTCCCGGGTTCAAGCGATTCTCCTGCCTCAGCCTCCCAAGTAGCTGGGATTACAGGCATCCCCTCCCCCACCACGCCCAGTTAATTTTTTGTATTTTTTTTTAGTAGAGACGGGGTTTCACTATGTTGGCCAGGCTGATCTCAAACTCCTGACCTCAGGTTATCTGCCCACCTCAGCCTCCCAAAGTGCTAGGATTACAGGCGTGAGCCACCTTGTCCGGCTGCTCATAAATATTTAATGAGTGAATGAATGAGTGAAGTGAAGCCATGTCCAAGTCCTCCCCCTTCCAATTTTTTTATTTTCTCCATTAACTATTAATTTAATCCCCATCTCCCACAGAAAATCTGGGCCTGATTTCTTTTTTGGGACTGCAAGCATTTCACAGCAGCCAGAACATGTGGCTCCCCTATGGAGTTCATATTAGTGGGATTGACTTGTATTAGATTGTGGAAGATTCTCCTTCTCAATTACCATAGTTCTCAATTGCTATAAGTAGTATGATAATTAGGACATCACTACAAATACTGGAAATCATCAAGGCTGTAAGCTAAGTTTCTTCACAAATATTTCAAATAAATGTAAGTGATTCTCCAATCTTAAAATATTTGCCAACAATTAAAATGCACCTGAAAATTTGTAACTTGGCCTTAAAATCTACAATTGCTATAAATTCTTAATTTGCAAAGTTTGCAAAATGTAACCATATATTTATTTAGCAAAGCTACATTATGTGCAACATTAATATTAATAAAACAAGCCATCTCATTTGTCTTTATTAACAAGACTGTCACTTCATAAGTTTTCAGCTAACATCCAATGACTTTTTTATATTTGAATGCAAAAAAGACAAATTAAAATTCTTCATCCATTTCACTTCAGCTGGGGGAAATCGAGCAGAAAACACAGTGAGAACAAATGCCCTCTTGGAGCTGGGAACTTGAGTTAGTTTGATCAAGGTTGGATTTACCGGCATAGGACAAAGTTAAATCTTTACAAGTTGCTTTAAAACTTTCTTAATCATAGAAGCCATAATGATTCAGGAAACCGTGATAGTAAAACTAACTAAATCTTTGCACCTCTTCAGACCACAACTTTTATACCCAGAGACCTTTTAATTGACACAAATGATCAACAGAATTTTACTAGGCAACATATATAAATTTTATACAAATACAAGGTCAGTCTTACATGTAAGTAGGATAAACACCAATGTGATAAGACTTTAGAGTCATTAGACAACCTGTCTACCCAAAGTAAATAATGTTCCCCATGATTTTGCCATAATATCTGAGATTTTATGGTGTCATTCCTTTGGGTTGAAACAATCCCTTCAGAAGGCTCTTATCAATACACTAATATGTTATCTCATTGGTACCAGTTGCTTTACCAGATTATTGTGAAATTGGGCAAAATGGTGGAAAAATTTGGTGAGGGCAAAAGGAGATAAGGAAGGGAGAATCCAGGGTGGAAAATAGACTCTGGGGAGGGGGTTTAAGGATTTGAGGGTCAACGTTAAGAGCCATGGGATTAAAGACATGTGTCACTAACACACCTATATACAATTTGGTCATTTCCTCCTTCAGGCACCACCATTTCCTCCTTTTATTTCTCTATTATAGCATGTATTATGTTTTATTGTTATTTAGGTATTTATCTACATTTCTAATTAAGTGCTAGGAAATATTCTAGGCACTGGGCTTAGAACCACTTGTGTGTGTCAATAGAGGTATAAAGTTCAATTCATGAAGATGTTTCTGAGATAGAGAGAATTAAGGGTACATAAAGTGAAGGGTAGAGTAAATTTGCAGTTTCTCCTATTAATAAGGAAGACCTACTTAAATTCTAAGTTACTAGAATGCATATCTAGTGAGGTATAAGAAAAATTAAAGGGTTTAGGATTAACATGCAAGACTTCCCTTACTCACGGTTTGTTTTTGCCTCCCCAATGCCCCAAAACATGCTGTAATAAAATTTGGTTAATTTCTGGCCATTTCTTCAATATATTAAAATCTTGAATTCTGAGCCCACCTACCAAGAATATGACCATAGTCCCTAAAAATTTCCATTATCACCTCTCAGGTCCAATCTTTGGCTTTTTACTTAACAGAGATTCATTTTTTTCCACGTTTGTATTTTCTCAAAATAGTTGAAAGAAAAAATGTATAAGACACATATGAAATATACACACACATACAAATATACACACATGCATACATGTGTCTGTGTGTGTATATATATCTTATTTTTATACACACACGTGTGTGTATATATATCTAATTTATATATATCTTATTTATATATACACACATATGTGTGTATATATATCACATATATGTGTGTATATATATCACATATATGTGTGTATACATATCTTATATACATACACACAGACACATGTATGCATATGTGTATACATGTGTGTATTTTATATATCTTATATATCTACATAAGTATAGTATATACCATACTATAGTATATATGTGTGGATATATTGTACACACACACACAGACACACAGAGCATTTCATTTCCAGCTTCAGTTTTTCTGATCTTATTCCTATAAGCTGTCGCAGCTCTAATCACTGGTACACACTTCACAGGAGTTTAAAAATTCTTTTCATGTTTTACTCAACATTACTTTTTAGTTATAAAAATTAGTTAAGCCATAATAGACTCTCTACTTAAATCTGCAAGACTCTAACCTTATAATTAGACTTCAAAATATACTTCTTCACTCCCACTAAACCTCAATAAGACCTCCAACCACATCCCTTGTCTCTGAGTTGCTAGTCCATCAGTGTCTTCCTAACTTCCCTTATATGCCTACCTAACCCTCACTAGTGATCACAGGTCCCTACGCGGCTTACCTGGTACCACACCTGACCTGCCAATTCATAATCCTGCATCCATCCCTGCTTCATTTTATTTTTCTCTTCCTGCTGCTCACAAGCAGCCAAGAGCAAGAGAAAACCCTCATTATCTTGCTGATTGGTTACACCGCAGATTTATAAATGTTTTTTACACAAGTTGGTTCTCAAAAAACTATCACTGGTGCTGATAAAGTATCAGCCTTACTTCACTTAGGCCAACTCACTGTCATGGCCGCCAATGACTTTTTCTCTTATTCATAGAGAAATCAAGTCGTCATGTTTGAACTCTCAACTTCCCTTAACTATACCTTCAAAATCTATTTTCATTTATTCTTACTCCTTTTTCTTCGCATCAGAGGAAGAAATGTCCTCTTAATTTTTCAAGAATCTTTCTCACCTGTGTTTTTTACCCCCAGTCTGCGCTACTAGCCCGTAATGCCTCATCTGAAAACTTGCTGTATCAGTTATATTCCCTCTCACTATTCTCTCTCTTTGTATATATGTATATACATACTCCTTTCTCCTTTTCAATCTCCTTTGCTCTCTCTTTTCCCGCAGCATTCAATCTAAGTCTATTCTCTCTCAATTTTTCTCCCTTTCTTAATTTATCTCTCTTCTCATTCCTTCCATACCTGCTCATTCTTTTCTATCAGTTACCCAACAGCACTGGTTTTCCTGTAGTCCAATTATGACATCTGTAGTGCAACTACTTGATCCCTTTGTCTGCTTCTCTTTTTCTACCAGCTTCTTAAAACCCATCCCCCCTACACCGAGTTATTCCTTCTTCTCTGCTCTCTTCTTATTCTATATGCTTTCATTGAACAATTGCACTCAGGTTCATGCTTTTAACTATCTCAGATATGGTGATGACCCTCAAGTCTGTCTCTAACTCTAATTCTCTCTTGAACTCAAGTTCCATAGTTCTAAATGTCTAACCTCTTACAGTAATCTTACAACAAACACTTCCAACATCACCTTTCCTAACCAAAGCTGTTCCTCCTTCTCCTGTGTTCCTGTTCGTAGTGGCTGGATCTAGAAGCCTTGGGATCATTCTTCTCTGTTGCTCCTTATTCTCCATATACAAGTGGTTACTAAAGTTCTGTCTAACATAACTAAGAAATATGTCATCATTTCCATTTGCAATGCCCATGTCCTAATCCAGGCACTCATTGTCCATCACCTAAATAATTATAGTAAACTCCTAACTGGTTCCTTAATATCCCACATCTTCTCCCTCCAACCCATCCTCAATACTGCTAACAGAATTTTCTCTCTAAATTAGAAACCAGATACTGTCAAACTCCTGCTTAAAACACTTCAGTGGTTCTCCTTTGCTGTCAGGATAAAATCCAAATTGATTAATAGGCATTCAAGGTTCTGTCTATCTTTCTAGTATCATATACTTTAAGTGTCCCAATGCCACTGATGCTCTAGCCACACTGGAACATATGACATGCATATCAACAAGTCAAATATTTCCATGCCTTAGCTTATGCTCTGTCTGCAGTGTGGAATGGATGTTATCACCTCCAGCAATATACACTGCTACTTTTTTAACTGGCAAACTCCTCTCCATTTTTTAAGACCAGCTCAAGTGTCATCTTCTTTCTGGACAGCCTACCCTGTATCGCCATTAACAGAATTAACTTCCTCTATCTGCCATGGCACATTGTATCTATCTATACTATAGGTCTTGTTTCACCAGACCACAGTTATTTGTGTCTTCTTCTCTTCCAATAGATTGTTCTTTCCTGAGGATAGTAATGGCATCTCATCCATTTGCATCCCTAGTGCTCAGCACAGGGTATAGGAAATATTTCGTTCTTAATGAATTTTTAGGTAGTAAATGAATTAACTAATATATTAAATTATTAAGGAAAATAATTCCATCCAATAGAGGATAAATTCTAATGCATTTTAAGTTTTATTAAATTAAGTATATATTTAAGGTATTGTACAATAATGCTACATAAAACATTTCCTATCCTTATCTGGGAAGAGATGGATATTGCGATCATTGAAAAAACTAAAAGTAGAGGAAGACAGGACCATTTTTTCACTTCAACAGTAAGAATACCCTGATAAAAGAAAAAATAAAATTAAGTACCTTCTATATGTAAGGCACTGAATTAGGATGACAGTGTGCAATGAAGGAATACAACACACAATCTAACCACAATGTGTATCTGTTAGTTTTTTAGTATCTACCCCTTCTAGGGTCCAACACAGGCAACGTTCTAATTTTGGAGCCTAATTAGACTATTGTTTCAGTAACCAACACATGCTTCTGGCATCAAAACAAGGGATTTTAGGATTTCTCCACGAGTTATTGAAGGATAAGAGAATTAATGAGGATCACCACCAGCTAAACACTGCTATCAAGAAATGAAAGGAAGGAAAGAAATAAAAAAGAATGAAGAAAAAAAGAAGGAAGAAAGGAAGATAATGGCAAGTCCAAAATGGTGGTTAGCTGTGAAATGGGACTTTTCACATTTCATACATGCAGACTACGCTTACATGAAGCCAGTTACTGTTTGATTTTTATTTTGATTTCCCCTTCTTAGCTGTTCTAAATAGACCTAATATATTGAAAAAGGTAGGGCTTAGTCAAAACTCACTGAGCTCACATTGTAATTGAAAATGCTAAGATAAATAAACCTAGTAGTTTATATTATTCAAGCAATTTTTTACAGTGATGACTAAACTCTGCCGAGCCTGCATTCCTTTCACGTGGCCTCTGTTGTGAGACAGCTGGCCTGGGTTAGAAGGCACAAACTGGTGACAAGACAAAGTAAAATGAGTGGCTCATTTGGGGGAATTCTAGTTTATTTGCTCCCAAAGCAACCAGTCACATACCATTAAACATACATGTGGCCATTAACCACCTCTCTTAGTGATACCTAACCTAAAATAAAATTACAGTCTTCTGTTTTGTCCCTAAATATATCTTTAGACAAAAATTAAGTTCAAAGCTAGTTAGTATTTAAGTATGAAAATTATTTTAAAAAAGAAAGAGAAGAGCAAAGCTGGTAACATATTAAAAAGCTGCCCTTTATTCATAAAAGATTGGGTAAACAAGCTGCACAAGGCATCACAATAGATTTTAACCAGACATAATTTCTGGCAAAATTTGAGCAAGGATAAAACTTCTGTGTGATGAAAGTCTTTCTAAGAAAAATTGCTTCAGTGAGATCGTGATTCAATGTTTGACATTCCCTATTGTTTTCTATTAAAAGGCTTTTAGCAGTTCTCAGCAGAAAGTCAAACCAGTTCATGCACCAATATTTATCACTTAAATGGCACAGTGAGGTTTATACAAAGTCAAAGTTATCTTTAAATAGAAAATCTGTCTGTATAATATTCCTGTGAATGTCAGGGGAAAAAAATCAAAATTCCAGTGGGCCTACAGATCTTGAAAATGTATAATGCATCCCGAGCTTATAGCAGCGGTTATATTGAAAGGGTAAACTTAACAAATAAATCATCAGAACATGATATCTTACAAAGGAATGCTGGCTAAAAGTCCTTAGTAGAAAAGAAATACTCCCAAATATTAAAATAAAATATCTTTAATGTTTCCAAGAAAGTTACAAAGCAATTGAGGTATTTATCCAAAATAGTTTAGCATCACTGCTTTAAAAATAATGGCAAGTCAGCATAACATAACAGATCGGAGACCAGCGGAAAAAATGACACAGATGAACTGTTTGTGGTATATTATAGATTATTGCTTTGTGAGAGAAAATGCTTGTAAAAGGGGCTTGGGTAAAGACATACGGATTATTTGGATATAATCATGTCACAATCATGGAAAATAGGTGAGACTATTTGTAACTCTTCAAATAATAGGAAGTATATGGAAGGTTATGAGTATAGTACATACAAACAGTATTACAAGCATTAATTGAAAATTGTGTATATGGTTTACATTGAAAAATGATTGTATCTTTTCAGTGAAAGGCCAGGTCCTAGATATTCTAAGCCAGTAGATCTCAACTGGGGACAATTTTGCTCTCCAACCCCAACTTTGGGGACATCTGTCAAAACTGGAGACATTTTTGATTGTCACAACTTGGGCAGGGGGTAGGACTGGCATGTAGTGAATGCTGCTAAATATCCTACAATGCACAGGACAGACCCTCACAACAAAGAATTATCCAGCCCCAAATGTCAATAGTGTCTATGTGGGGAAACCTTGGCCTAAAGTGAATATATCGATACTTCATAATAACTTTAGCTAAAATAGAGGGAAAAAATTCATAAAGAATATCATCTTGAGGCCTGAGCACGGTGGCTCATGCCTGTAATCCCAGTACTCTGGGAGGCTGAAGCTGGTGGATCTCTTACAGCCAGGAGTTTGAGACCAGCCTGGCCAACATGGCAAAATCCCATCTCTACTAAAACACAAAAATTAGCCAGGCATGGTGGTGCACACCTGTAATCCCAGCTACTCGGGAGGCTGAGGCACAAGAATATGTTGAACCCGGGAGGTGGAGGTTGCAGTGAGATTGCACCACTGAACTCCAGCCTGGGTGACAAAGCAAGACTTTGTATTTTTAAAAAAAAAAAAAAAATAGTGTGAATGTGTAAAGAAATGTGTATGTATGTGAATGTATGGGAGTTTAAGAAAGTAAGAGATGACTTGACCAAAACAGGTGTGGTTGAAAAGAAAAAATAATAAAAGTGACACATATGAAATATTACTTAATTGTCATAAAACGAAAAGATATGAATTATAGAAATTTTGTTAATTTGGTCAAAATCAACACAGGCACTTAGATTCTCTGGTCACAGTATTCAGAGAAAGCATTCCTGTGTAATAGAAGCCATCCTTCCATAGGGAAATTTCTAAGGGGAAAGCTATAGCCATACAGTTCTAGGAACATAAGGAACCAGATTTTCCTAAATAGTTTCTGCAAACTATGACACTGGGAAGAAGGAAGCTTGTGACAACCAAGTTTATTGCCACACAAAAGTATCTTCAGAATTCAAAATGGATTAAATGGTCAAGAGGCTGGTTGATGTTATTGAAGAGGGCAATATGGCAAGCCTAATTCAAATCACACTTGCTGAAAGAGTTGCTTGAGAGAAGGGAGGAAAGAAAGGAAGACAGGACAATTAAATCAGTGATGGTACAAAGAATGGAGGTGTGTCTTTAAATCCCAAACATCCAATTTCTTTGTAAGCAAGCTGAGTCCCAAATGAAAAAGCAATTATGGGGCTAGAGTTCCCCAACTGCAGTTTTCTCACTGGAGGAACTGTCTTAGTAATATTCAGTTACCGCTTGTTTCAAGGAGAATGGAATCTGTCAGGAACTCAAGAGAAGCTTGAGGTAAAAACTTTGTTTCCCCCAAGAAAGAGCTAAATGAAGGAAATCTAGTGCTTACGGACTGCCAACAAGTGTTCTCTTTCAATGTAGAAAAGGTAAAACCAGCAGAATTCTCTCCTTGAGTTTTAACCATCAGAATGTCCTTAAGACATATGACTTTGGGGGAGGGGAATTCTATTCAAAAGCAATTTCCAAAATCACTTACTTTTACCTGTAAAATGGAGATTTTTTTAAAAAATCACTTACTGCATTAATTATAGGCCTTTTTACAGCAATTAAGTCCTTTAAGAAAAGGGTCTTTTCCTCTTACACATGTAAACGTAAATAATCATCTGGATTAAAACAAAAACAAAAACAAAAACCTGACTAGCTTAAATTCCTCAGGCAATACTGCTGAAACAGAATTCAAAGTTATTTCTTTTTCTTTTCCTTTTCTTGATGGGTAATTACAGAAAGTTAATAATCAGCACAACTAAGGTTATTTTAATGCCAAACATAGTTGAATAAAAATAATCCCATCTAACATTTGTAGAGCTTTCACTTTCATAAAGTACTTCCTTACTGGAGTCCTCTTATACCAACTGCATAAAACTGGGATTTTCAGATTAAGCTATTCTTTGACCCTTAGTTTCTCCCCTACTTTGCTACTGTGATTCTGAGAGGAAACAAATTGGGTGTTAAACGTAAGGCAAAAACTCACAGACAGCAATTCAGCATGAAAGTACTTCAAAAGGGAATACTTGGAAAGGATTTGAATGTAGAGCCTGAGCAGAGATGAATAATGCACACACACGTTTCCCAGCAATGACACAGAAATCTCTTACATAGGACATCTGTCTCTGCACTTAATAGACCAGTTTGATTGTCATTTTCACTACATGTATGTTGTATCTACTATTGTTGAGTGGTATTTCTCCCATAAGCTAAAGCTGCATTTTAATCCTCAAGTCATCTTTTTAAGCATTAGTATTCTTAAGACACTGTGTGATAAAATATAACATCATTTACAAAAAGAACAGCAGGATGTTTTTACTGCTTCATACATAACTCAATTGCAAACATGGAATTAATAAAAAGAAAATACAATCAATTAGTTAAATGTTACCTGATTCACTACCCAACTAGATTTACTATAGGACAAAGTAATTATCAAATCCCAGCTATGCCAGCATTTGGAGCCAATATACACTAAAAAGAAAGGGCACTGGCATTACATTTTTTTAATTTACATATTTAAATTGGAGTCATAACCCTGGGGTTTGGGATAAGATTCTGAAGTCATCGAAGTCATGAGAAAGAGTAAGAGATGAAAACTAGTTAGAAAGTTTTCTGTTTGGCAAAGTTTCTGAGACGCAATTAAGAGTAAGCTAGATTTCAAAGTTGGAAGTTACAGCAAGAGTATAACCCAAACACCTTACCGTGTTAACAGACTTGAAAACTACTTTGAAAATTCCACAGAGGTCTGTTGCTCTGTTCACACAACAAATATCTACCTTCCTCCCCTTAATATTATTATTCAAAGAAAAAGCAGACTCACCTAGAGTACTGTTTGTCCACATTTCTTAATGGACGTAGTGTGTCCGGAATTGGTGGGTTCTTGGTCTCACTGACTTCAAGAATGAAGCCACGGACCCTCGCGGTGAGTGTTACAGTTCTTAAAGGCGGCGTGTCCAGAGTTTGTTTCTTCTGATGTTCGGATGTGTTCGGAGTTTCTTCCTTCTGGGTGGGTTCGTGGTCTCGCTGGCTCAGGAGTGAAGCTGCAGACTTTCGCGGTGAGTGTTACAGCTCTTAAGGCGGCGTTTCTGGAGTTGTTCGTTCCTCCCGGTGCGTTCGTGGTCTCGCTGGCTTCAGGAGTGAAGCTGCAGACCTTCGCAGTGAGTGTTACAGCTCATAAAGGCAGTGTGGACCCAAAGAGTGAGCAGCAGCAAGATTTATTGCAAAGCGAGAAAGAACAAAGCTCCCACAGCGTGGAAGGGGACCCAAGCGGGTTGCCACTGCTGGCTCGGGCAGCCTGCTTTTATTCTCTTACCTGGCCCCACCCACATCCTGCTGATTGGTAGAGCCCAGTGGTCTGTTTTGACAGGGCGCTGATTGGTGCGTTTAAATAAATCCCTGAGCTAGACACAAAGGTTGTCCACGTCCCCACCAGATTAGCTAGATACACAGTGTCCACACAAAGGTTCTCCAAGGCCCCACCAGAGTAGCTAGATACAGAATGTCGATTGGTGCATTCACAAACCCTGAGCTAGACACAGGGTGCTGATTGGTGTGTTTACAAACCTTGAGCTAGATACGGAGTGCCTACTGGTGTATTTACAATCCCTGAGCTAGACATAAAGGTTCTCCAAGTCCCCACTAGACTCAGGAGCCCAGCTGGCTTCACCCAGTGGATCTCGTACTGGGGCTGCAGGTGGAGCTGCCTGCCAGTCCCGTGCCGTGCGCCCACACTCCTCAGCCCTTGGGTGGTAGATGGGACTGGGCTCCGTGGAGCAGGGGGTGGCGCTCGTCGGGGAGACTCGGGCTGCACAGGAGCCCACGGAGGCGGGCGGGGGGAGGGAGGCTCAGGCATGGCGGGCTGCAGGTCCCGAGCCCTGCCCCGCTGGAAGGCAGCTAAGGCCTGGCGAGAAATCGAGCGCAGCACCGGTGGGCCGGCACTGTGGGGGACCCAGCACACCCTCCGCAGCCACTGGCCCAGGTGCTAAGCCCTTCATTGCCCGGCCGGCCACTCCGAGTGTGGGGCAGCTGAGCCCACACCCACCCGGAACTCGTTCTGGCCCGCAAGCACTGCTGGCAGCCCGGGTTCCCGCCCATGCCTCTCCCTCCAAACCTCCCCGCAAGCTGAGGGAGCCGGCTCTGGCCTCGGCCAGCCCAGGAAGGGGCCCCCACAGTGCAGCGGCGGGCTGAAGGGCTCCTCAGGTGCCGCCAAAGTGGGAGCCCAGGCAAGGGAGGCGCCGAGAGCGAGCGAGGGCTGTGAGGACTGCCAGCACGCTGTCACCTCTCAGTAGGAGCAAGAAGGAGACCACAAAAAAGTAGGAAATTAGTAGTTTTATGTAGGTTACAAACACCTTGAGGTCAGGGCCCCTGTATTTTTTTGTTTTGACAGTTTGGTATTTTAGGCAAGAAGCAGGCATAATCTACCACTAGTTGAGAAGACCTCCTGGTGAGGGCTTTTGTGAGATCATCTCTTTTGTAACCATCCGCAGGCCTCTAACTGCTATAAACATTTAGCAGTTTTTAAAAAGCTTTTATTTTGGGTTCAGGGGTACCTGTGTAGGTTTGTTATATGAGTAAATTGTGTGTAATGGGGGTTTGCTGTACAGATTATTTTGTTACCCCGGTAATAAGCATAGTACCCAATAGGTAGTTTTTCAGTCCTCACACTCTTCCCACCCTCCACCCAAAGTAGACATTGGTGTCTGCTGTTCTCCTCTGTGTCCATGTGTATTCAGCGTTTAGCTTTAACTTATAAGTGAGAACATGTGGTATTTGGTTTTCTGTTCCTGCATTAGTTTGCTTAGGATAATGGCCTTCATCTGTATCCATACTGCTGCAAAGGACATGCTTTCATTCTTTTTTTATGGCTGTGCAGTATTCAATAGTGTATATATACTACATTTTCTTTATCCAGTCCATCATGGATGGACATCTAGGTTGATTCTATGTCTTTACTATTGTGAATAGTGCTGCAATGAACATATGCATGCATGTGTCCTTATGGTAGAACGATTTATATTCCTTTAGGTATATACCCAATCATGAGTTCGCTGGATTGAATGGTAGTTCTATTTTAAGTTCTTTGAGGAAATGCCAAACTGCTTTCCACAAAAATGTTGGTTTTTGAATGCCTGGATAACTGAGTCTAAATGTTCAGCTC
Source organism: Homo sapiens (assembly GCF_000001405.40). Taxonomy (NCBI): domain Eukaryota; kingdom Metazoa; phylum Chordata; class Mammalia; order Primates; family Hominidae; genus Homo; species Homo sapiens. The sequence goes on from NC_000023.11 coordinate 125,156,898, forward strand.
TCTACCGATTCTAGAGATGGTAACTTTGCATGAAACAAATATTTATTGAAGTATTATGTGCCAGGCACTGGCCTGGACAAAAGAGTGTAGCAGTAAACAAGACAAATGATGGCTCCTATCCTCATGATGCATAGTCAGGTTCAGTGATTCTCAACTTTGGTTGCACATTAGAATCACCTGGGGGCCTTAAAAATGCTGATGCCTGGGCCCCATTCTGACCAATTGCACCAGAATCTGTGAGAGAAAGAACTGGTTGTCTTTATTTTTTAAAACTCTCCCTAGCTGATCTTAATATGCAGCCAGAGTTGAAAATAACTGGTCTAGCAGATCATTTTTACTTAATTACGTAAAAGATGATTCCATAGTCATACATGTAGACATAAGTTGTTTGCCTCCTGTAAGAAGCTCTGGGACAGTTTTCTGCTTCTGCTTCTGTTTAACTAGATTGATGTGTCAATCACCCCAATATGCAATATAGCTTGAAAATACAAGTGTCAGCACCGAGTTACTACCTAAGTGCTCAGTACAATGCTGCATGCAGATAGACATTTACACATTACATATGCTTTTGTATCCATCGACTGATACCATATTTTGTTACTGTTATGGATCCTGGAGCACTATACACTATGCATGTGTAATAAAACTTGATGATGATTGGTTTCTCTGGGAGCAATTTCCAAGAATGGCCGATCTCCCAATAAGTCGATGTGGTGGGAACGAACTAGCATGCCTCAATTTCCAAGTAACTTTGCATTATGAATTCAGCACTGATGGTCATGTTTAGAATGCATTCCTAAAGTGAATGGATTCAAAACCAAGGTATAAAAAAGCATTCCTATTTTATTCAGAGCTTAATTAGAGTACAATTCATGGAAGAAAACATGGATATAACTAAGTATGTTTCCCAAAACACTTCACTTAAACACATACCCGAGCAATTATCTCTAAGTCAGGGGAAAAGTGTCATTATTTGAACAAACTCACTAGCTGTTAAAGTTAAAAAGGACTATTCAATCTTCTTCAGTATTCCTAAAACCTGTCTTTCAAGCCAAATGTATATAGAAAATATCATACTAATATGAGGATAACTTTCTAATACACATAACCCTAACCTGAAAACAGAGACATCAAATTTATGGCGGAGAAGGAATATTTTTTGGATATGTTCTTACCTACATCCTGACATAGGTAATAAACAAATATATATATATTTAAATCACATGGCCAGGTGTAGTGCTGCATGCCTGTAATCCCAGAACTTTGGGAGGCCGAGGTGGGCAGATCACGAGGTCAAGAGATGGAGACCATCCTGGCCAACATGGTGAAACCCCGTCTCTACTAAAAATAAAAAAATTAGCTGGGCATGGTGGTGCATGCCTGTAGTCCCAGCTACTCGGGAGGCTGGGGCAGGAGAATCCCTTGAACCTGGGAGGTGGAGGTTGCAGTGAGCCAAGATCATGCCACTGCAGTCCAGCCTGGTGACAGAGCAAGAATCCATCTCAAAAAAAAAAAAAAAAAAAAAAAGCAAAATGTCAAACTGAGTCAATCATGGTCCTTCCTAGTCAAGGTGGTCTTTATAGAAGTATCAAGGAGCATTCTGGAGCAGAGATACAGGGTCATGGTTATCCACATGATATCAATCAGAAAAATTTAGGGTTGTACCAAAGCATAGCCTTTTATAACATTAACATTCATGTCCCTCAAAGTAATTTTTGGGATGGTATACTAGTACTAACTAGATGCACATTTTAACTACTCTTGGGAGCCTGCAAAATACCAGTGTTTGGGTTCCACTCCCGGAGATGCTGATTTAATAGATTCCCAAGAGAGAGCAAGGACCCATGTGGTATTAGTAGGCAAATTGCCCACCCACAGTTTTAAGACACTGACTAAATGGCTTCTAAGTTCCTTTTCATTTATAAAATAAAATATGTTTATGAATCTAGAATTTTAAGATACCTGAAAAACATCCAACATAATATTGACAATGAAGAAAGAGGAAATGGTGGTTGGCTAGGCAAATAGCAGTGTCTGATAACAAAAAAAAAAACAAGTGCTTACTTAAAGAAGGTTAGAGTCAGCTTCCAGAGATCCAAGCTGTATAGCAGAGTAAAGGCAGAAACAGTCTAGCAGCACATGAAGAGGTGAGATTCTGAGACACAAAAGAGGTACAACTAACCAGTAGTAAACAGTCCAGTCAAAAAAGAAATTGGGTACTATAGCCCACAAATGGTCATGGAGGTCCACACAGCAGCTCTATGGGTGTATGATTGCTAATCACAAGAAAAAAGCTGTAGACTCTCACTTTTGGTTTTAAGCCCCTTAACGTATCCTCATGCTAGCTCCCTTGGAACGCTCAGACTGAATTTAGTGTTGGCCTAAGGATTTACAGGACCCGCACACCCATCTCCTGAGTAAGACTTCTTATGCCCATGATTATGTTTCTAAAAATTTACTCTTTGCCATGCTTCACCAAACCTAACTCCTGCTTTTGAGGTAAATGAGCCTGACAAATATATGGTCCTCTAAGAACTGGTGTTATAACACCAATCAGCTATTGTAACATCTATATCATCTATCACAGTAACCAATAGATCAGCCCAGATGAATTTTAAGAGTTATATTTTTATACCATATTTCAATTATATAATTTATTATTAGATCCAAATATGCTTGCCTATTATGCTGAATCTTTCCTGAGTCAGTACCTGAAAATTTTGATAATTCAAATAATGTATCAAATGTAAAGTTGAAGTAAATCCAAAAAAGTTACCAAATTAAGTTAAATAAGAACATTTTTTGTATTTATTTGTGACCAGACTCTGTTATTGGTCTATAATAGTTAATTCTCACTTCTTTCTTTAAATAAAGAATGTTAGAGTCAGCTTCTAGAGATCCAGGCTACATAGGAGATTAAAGACAGAGCAGTGCATGAGCACATGAAGAGGTGAGATTTTGAGACCCAAAGGAGGCACAACTAACCAGTAGGAAACAGTTCAGTCAAAAAAGAAATTGGAGGCAGGGCATGGTGGCTCACGCCTGTAATCCTAGCGCTTTGGGAGGTGGAGGCCGGCAGATCACTTGAGGTCAGGAGTTCAAGACTAGCCTGGTCAATATTGTGAAACCCTGTCTCTACTAAAAATCCAAAACTTAGCCAGGCGTGGTGGCAGGCGCTTGTAATCCCAGCTACTCGGGAGGCTGAGGCAGGAGAATTGCTTGAACCTGGGAGGCAGAGATTGTAGTGAGCTGAGATCACCACTACTGCACTCTAACTTGGGGGACAGGGTGAGACTCCACCATCAATGAAAAAAAAAAAAAAGAAAAAAGAAAAAGAAAAAGAAAGCTAGGCATGGTGGCTCATGCCTGTAATCCCAGTACTTTGGGAGGCTGAGGCAGGTGGATCACTTGAGGTCAGGAGTTTGAGACCAGCCTGACCAACATGGTGAAACCCCATCTCTACTGAAAAAAAAAAAAAAAATTAGCTGGGCGTGGTAGCGCATGCCTGTAATCCGAGCTACTTGAGAGGCTGAGGCAGGAGAATTGTTGAGGTAGGAGAATTGCTTGAACCCGGTAGGCGGAGGTTGCAGTGAGCCAAGATTGTGCCACTGCACTCTAGCCTGGGCGACAGAGCAAGACCCCGTCTCAAAAAAAAAAAAAAAAAAAAAAAAACAGAGAGAGAGAGAGAGAAAGAAAAGAAATTGGGTACAATAGCCCACAAATGCTCATGGACGCCACACAACAGTTCTATGGCATTGTCTTAAAATCATCCCAGATTTGTTCAGATATCCTCGCTCCTCCACTTATCTATATGCTTCAAGAAAGACTACAAATCCATTATAACATACTACTTCACACTCACTATAATAGCTATTAAAAAAGATAACAACTGTTATAGAGGATGTAGAGAAATTGGGATGGGACACTCTTAAATTGTTGATGGGAATGCAAAATTGTTCAATCACTGTGGAAAACAGTTTGTCAGTTCCACAAAATGTTAATCATAGAGCTAACTGATGACCCAGCAATTCTGTTCCTAGGTATATACCCCAAAAAACTGAAAACATGTTTATACACATACTTGTACATAAATATTCATAGCAATGAATATTGCTTTGGCCTTTCGACAATGGCCAAAAAGTAAAAAAAAAAAAAAAAAAAAAACAAAACCCAAATGCCCAACAACTAATAAATAGGCAAACAAAATATCTGTATCCATACAATGGAATATTATATATGGTTATCCCTTGATATCCTCAGGGTTGGTTCCAGGACTGCTTCAAACACCAAAATCTGAGCATTCTCAAGTCACTTATCTAAAATGACATAGTATTTGCATGTATCCTACACACATCCTCTGGTACACTTTAAATCATCTCTAGATTACTTATAATACCTAATATAATGTAAACGTTATAGAAATAGTTTTATACTGTATTAGTTTTTAATTCAAATTATTTTTATTGTTGTATTTTTACTGTTTTTTTTCTAATATTATCAATCCACAGTTGGTTGAATCCACAAATGCAGAACACATAGAGGGCTGACTGCTCAGCCATAAAAGGAATGAAGTGTTGATACCTGCTACAATGTGGATGAACCTTGAAAACATTATGCTTAATGAAAGAATCCAATCATCAAAACCCACATATTGTATGATTCCATTTATATGAAATATCCAGACTGGGAAAATCCATAGAGACAAAAAGTACACTAGTGTTTGCCAGGGATTGGGGAAGGGAAAATGGAGAGTGACTGTTTAATGGATATGGGATTTCCTTTAGGGGCAATAAAACTGTTCTAAATTTGACTTTGGTGATGGATGCACAACTCTGTGAATAGATAAAAAGCCATTGAATTTTATACTTTAAATGGGTGAGTTTTATTTTATGTGAATTGTATTTCAATAAAGCTAATTTGAATAAAGAAAGTCTAGTTCCAGACCCAGACCCAGACCCAGGTCCCAGCTAAAGCTGCATCTCCAGATCCTGACTCAATCACAGAGTGTTAATCTTGATTAGTATAGGTGGATTATGGTAATTACGTGTTCTTTTGCCAGTGATTGGCTAAGGAAGAGTGATGTGACCTAATTCTGTCCAATGAGATATGAGAGGAAGGCTCCTTGCGGTAAAGAGGTGAGAAAGATTTCTTAGCACTTAAAAAGTAACAAGAATCAACTAGGTTTTTTTTCTGCCCCTTTCTGCATTGTTGTATGAGGTTGTCATGCCTGAAGCTGCTTCAGCTATGTTAATATTATGAGGGGCAAACTACTCTAGATACTGTAGATGGAAGAGTTAGACTGGATTCATGGTGGATAAGCATATGGAATGGGGATGCCACCTAATGAAGCATTTGAGCACTCTCAGAATTAAAATCCATAAAGCTAAGACAATTTTCCCATTTCTTTTTACTTTATCACTATAGCTTCTATCACTGATGATGTGTGACACAGAATGTATCTCTTCTACTTCCTCAGTAACTCACTCACTGCAATATGATATGTGCTCTTTCTACTACACTGAAATTTCTCTTTAAATGAAGTTCACCAATGTGCCAAATCCAGGTGCTTTTTTTCAATTTTCAGCCTATTCAGCTTTTCTGCAATATCTGATGGTGCTGACCACCTCCACATCTCTTGATTCTCTCTGTTCCTTTAGATTCTGAAACATTAAATTGTCCTGATTCTCATTCTTCTTTCTGCCATTTCTCTAACATTTTCATTGGCTACTCTTCCTCCACCAGCACCTCAAGTCTTTTGTTCAATCCATTTTATATTGTTTTGTTTTGCTGGCTCTCTATATTCCCTCCATGGGCAATTGTATCTGTTGCCACAGCTTCAATTAACATCTAAATTTTGAAGATAAGATGACTCCCATATCTACATCTGCAGCTTGAATCTCTTTTCTAAACCCAAATCTCACAACCCCAACAGTTGCCCCCTTGAACACTGCAAAGACGACATGTCCAGAATAGAACATCTTTCCCCATCACAAACCTACTCTACTTCCTGAATGCCCAATTTCATTTAATAGCACCCACACTCTCAGTCACCCAAGGTTGAAGCCTTGGAGTCATTCTGACCCTCTCTCTTCTCACTCTCAGTATTCCAGCTTCCCAGAGTTACCAATGCTGCCCCCGCTGCCACCACTTTATCCAGGCTAACATTAACTTTCTCCTGGGCTGTGCCAACAGCTTCTTAAATGGTATTACTGCCTCTAGCCTCTCTGGATGCTATATAATGGATATAGCTATTATCTGGAAGCTGGACAGAACTCAATAGTAGCAGTGTGTGTTTGTTGGACAAGAACTGCCACAGAGAAGTGGTTCTTTTCTCAAAGGGCTTTTCTTGCCTCATATTGCCCCACTCATCCTAGGATCAGTGTGATTAGCTGGTGAGCCACTCTTGCAACAGGCTGTCATGACCAGCTAACTTACTTGGCATTGCCAATGACATCATAATGATTATCTAGAATGCATCAATAGTAAATAATCAAGACAAATCAGTATAACTATTGTATTTAGGTTGGCTATTAGGAACAAAAATAAAGATGCCCCAGGGTATTTTTAAGGATGGAGCAGTTCATGTTCCTTCAGGTAAAGTAAGTTTGACATGACATTCAGATCCGAGAAAATAAATGTTTAACAAATATCCATGAACTCTGCTTAATGTTCAGCCTGATACTAACTCTTCGGAATATGGTTTTAACAAACACACTGTTTCTCTTCAGAGAAGCCTGTTTCCTAACAATAGTCATGTTTTCCAATATGGATTATTTTTAAAATGACATATAAAAAGTGTTTTTGTCACTTTTTCCTTCTCATCCTTTCTTCATTCTATTAATATAATTTTTAATTTATACATTAATTATAAACCACTGAAAATATTTAATAAAATATACTATGTGTGTCTTGTCACTTCTTTCCATAAGGACTTATTTTGCTACTCTTGATAACTTAAGTCTGTTTCCTAACAACTAATTCTAACATATCTTAGTACTGCCTGCCAATATCTATGGAACTCTTAAAAGGCTGTATCGACACAACACTGAAACTTCCAACTGAAAAGCCAAATTTTTAGGTAATCTACAAGCTTGTTTGCCTATAAGCCATGAAACAACAAGCTTAAGTGATTTTTTTTCTGAGTGTAACTAACACATAGTGCTTATGTAATAATGAGCTGATCTGGAGAGAAACAAGTGAATTCAATCAAACTGGTTGTTTTCACAACAGTTTCAAGTCAGCTAATTTCAAAACAACTAGTTACTTGACTGATTTCAGCCATGTATGTACACAAAGCCTGAACTGACCATTTGTTTAAGTGATTGATAAATATAGCTAACTGCAATACCCTTCTAAATGATAAACCCTCACCCTCCTCCAGCCACTTTCAATCCCTCTCAGAATACTATTTGACCATGGAACATACCTGCTTAAAATTCTCAATTTACTCTTGCCTATCAAATAAAGTCTGAGGCATTCATTATGTCATTCTGCCCAAGTGGAATATTTTCACTACTCTTCTTAATCTCTCCAGATTGTAGATCTTCCTCAAGATCCAGTGTCTCAACTGCTCTACAAAGCCATCAACAAATAATACAGGCTACACTAAATTTCTCTTCTCTGAATTTGTATTGCACTTAAGTCTAAAGCACATAAGGATAACATTTGAAATGTCAAAATTATTGCTTTGCACCTGGCAGAGCACCTAGCAAAGAACCTAGCACATAGTAGACAGTTTATGAATACTTGTAAAACTTGCCTCATTGACTTTTTTCATCGGACTAAGAATGCACCTAAGGCATAATCGCAACATTCCAAATTATACTTCATTGAGTAAATAACAGGGAAAAGTTCTTTTCCTCTGTGTCTTTAATTCTCTACTGACTCATTAATTTGTATAAGTATGCCATCGTTGTAAGCACTGTTCTATTACTGAAGACATACCAGAGCAGAGTCAATATGTATTGGTCCTGAGTACGGTAAGTTTCTGGAAAAGGAATATGGCTTACATCCAATACCAGCCATCACCTCCATTCAACTTCTACCAAAAAGGTGTTCATTACTGAATATCATGTTCATGACTAGAAAACATCCAGAAGGACAAAGGTTGCTAAAGCTGGCATAAAAAGCTGTCAGTGACACAATTGACATTGAGTGTCTGTCATTACAGATTAGTTTACAGTGAGAAAGTGATTCTCCTTCACATTATCTAGACCATCAAAATAAACCTTCTCTATTAATTTGCATAGCCTCTAGTTAACAAAATTATACCAATTCTTAACACCATTATGAGGATGGAAACGACACAGGAGGAGAAAGCAGGAAAGAACGGAGTGGAAAACAATTGGTTTTGCATATTAAACATAAATGTGTAGAAAGTTGGATTTTTGCCATATTCTCTGGCTCTATTAATAGCCACTATACCCCTGATTCAAAACAAAACCATTAAACACTAATACAGACACATGTATATGCAGATCTGAGACATTATTTCATTTATAAGATGTCCTCTCCATAGGAAGCCTAAATTACTACACTGCATGAAATAAAAAAGTGGAAAAAGAAAAATTCAGACACCTGCATCTTAAATGCATCACAATGACAGGTAATGTTCCTTGATGTGGTGAGACTCCCATGGATACAGGTAAGGGAAAGAGAAGCAGAGATGCTTTTAATGACAGTGGGAAGACAAAAGCTGAGCTGCTTTTCTGCTCAACTTCTGAAAGCCTGGTGGCACAGGGCCCACAGTTCAGGAAGAACATTATGCTAACTTCTTAACCTTGCTTCAGTGGAGAACTCAGGTGGTGAAAATTACATGGATATTTCTTTTGGAAAACATTTTGTCTTCTCCCTGTTCACTATATAGTTTATCACTGCATGACTAATAAATTAGTCACATTTTCAAGCCATCATGGTTGGCCTGAGTTACTTTCTGGGTGCTTTAAACAGCCGCGATTCTTGCCATTAAAGAGAAAATAATGTTAGTAAAAAATAATTCAAATGATTTGATGCTGATGACACTTGAGTTTTGCAAATGTGGTATATATTGAGCTAAAGCATGTTTTAAAAATGCATACGAATATATAATGTAGTATAGCAAGCAGAACAAATTAATATCTGTACCTCATTTTTTACACCCTACTCGTTAGGGAGTAGACACTAATTATATACACTGCTTTAAGTAAAAACAATATTAAATATATGCATTGGCTCTTTTCATTTACACTTGATAACTTTAAAACATCATAACCTTCTTAGAAAACAACATGTAAGTTCAAAGGAAACAATTTTAAGAATGCTGTGTTCACACTAGAAAATGATCATTTACAAAATTTAAGCATATAGTGAATTTAAATAGCAACCTCATCCAACTTACCAACCATTATTATTACTAATAATAACTCCTCTGTCCATTGTTCTCCATTTTCTATAAAGTTTTTCTATGTACACTATCTTGATTTTTTCACAAGTGCCTTGGGCAATAAACTGGAAAATAGAGTCCTGGAGAGGTTGTGATGACTTTTTCACCGCCACACTGCTAGTTAATAATAAAGCCAGCAGCTAACATTTAAGGACCCAGTTTCTTAGTCTAATAAATTTAAGTGTAAAGTGAGATACTCAGGATGTTTGTGCTAGACCATATTGAATACTGAGGCTCAAATTTTAAATTTAATCTTACAAGGAGATTTTTGGAAAAACATGCTACCAAAAATATTTGGATGTGAAGACTGGTATATCTTAATGTGTCTGTGAAATGACTTATGAATAATTGAAGACAGATAAAATTGCATATTAGGTGGTATCTAAAAGCCTGGAACCATAAATTCCTTCTTCCTCTTAATCAAATCCTTATAAGGAGTTTGGTTTATGGCTTCATATATGGCACTGTTGTTATCTCATTGAATTTCACCTGCAGAAAACAAAAATTGCAGTGGATTCCTGAGAGAGACTTTGCAATTGGATTATGAGATACCTATATAAAGCAAACGTTCATTCTTTTCAGGATTTATTGCCTGACATGCTTTCCCAATGACAAAATGGAGCAGCTTTAGGTGACCAAGCAGTCTCTTCAATATACTATGTAAAACCCGGATGCAGACAGTAAGGCTACAAAATGAAAAACTGACTAAATATTTGGCCTGAAGTAGCCTGAATAATAGAAAGAACATAAAATCTGGAGGAAAACTGGATGAACTAAAAAGTCCCAAAGTAGATTTGAACAAGCAGTCAGCAGTGTCCTGACATTTATTATCATAACTGTCAATTGTGCAATAGCCCATATGAAATGATTTGGTGATTTCAGTCTCATTCCCAATGGGTAAATGTTCACATCATTACAATCATTGTGAAAACAGGAAGCTTGTTTGCACTCTCAGTAGAGAAATCAAGAAACTAATGGGGCACGAAGAACCTATTCACTGGAAGTGGTCCCTCTAGGTGAGTCTGAGGGTACATTTTAGGGACAACAACTTTTCATAAACTCTTGAGTATAAATACTCTGGCTTCATAAAGAACTCTAGCCTACATGATTTGGGGCTTAAAAATGAACAATGGACAAAGGATCCACCAAACACAGAATGAGAGGGTCAAGCTTATATGTGGTAGAACTAGTGAAGCTGGATAATTTGTTTTCTATATTATTTTTTTCCTCCACCTCACTTCCTTCTTGTTAATTCATAAACATGGCATAGAAAACTCTGGATTTGGTGTGAGAAGACCTAGGGTTTCGCCCATGTTTTTCAGTATCCTGCTTATCTAAATCTGGACAAGAAATCCCTCTATAAAGTGGGCACGGTAAATTTTGCTGTGTGTGTGTGTGATAGAGCTGGTGTTCAGATCCAATAAGGTAATAAATAGAAAAAGATTAAAGCAAACATTAAGTGATATGTAATGCAACGACTAAACTGAGAAGCTGCTTTGCTATCTACATGCACTAATTGAATAGACTGAAGAGTCAGACCTCCAAACCCTGGCCATGATTATTACAATTTTCCACCTTCCACACAAAGTAAGTAAAGAGGCCAGAATAAAGCAATCATGATTTTGTGTCAAGGGATATATTTGGAAATTGTTATATTCAGTCAAACCTACTTATACTGCTTTGTAGACATGCTTGTGTGTGTGTATGTGTGTGTGTGTCTGTCTGTGTGTTTGTCATATTGTACCTCCACAGCAAGATATAAGGAACTCATAGCTATGAGTAAACATATTTATCATCATCTGTGTCTTTAGTGTCTCTTTCTCAGATAACAGTATTTAATAGGGTTCTGAAGTCTTCTGGAATTGTGCATTGTATGTTTTCAAGAGTTACCTAGGGCACTTGCCATTTTGCACTTATTTCAGCCTCAGAGCTTAGCACAGGTCCTGGTACATGGCTAGTGCATAGTAAACTTGCTGGATAAATGCAGAGATCACCCTTTTGCTCTGTGTTTCCTCAGTCCCTGTACATACTTTCCATTTAGACTTGTTGTCCATACCAAGGTACTTGTATTGTCATTGCTTGTATTTAGTGTTTTCTGTGTGTGGCAAACACATTCTAGTATGACACTCACTAAGTCCTGCCCTTGTGTAATACCTTCCCCATGAGTGTGGGCAGAACTTATAACTTATTTCTACCCAACAGAATATGGCAAAGGCAAAAGGATTTTCTATTTGTATTAGAGCCCCAGTCAGATGACTTTGACTTAATCAGAAATCATCCTGGGTGGGCCTGGCCTAATCAAGAGAGTCCTTTAAAAGGGGGTTAAAGTCACTCCCAAAATTAGAGATTTGAAGCAGCAGAGACTATCGGTCTCAATTACCAGCTTTGAAGAAACAAACTGCCATGAATTCTACACCTACAAAGAAATTAATTCTGCCAATAATCTGAGGGAGTTGAAAGTGGACACTTCCCTAGTTGACCTTCCAGATGAGAATAAGCCCAACCGACATCTTGACTGCAGCTTTGCGAGACTGAGCAGAAAAACCACTAAGTCATGACCAGACTTTTGACTTAAAGAAACTGTGAAATAATAAATTGGTGTCATTGCAGGCCACTTAGTTTGTGATGGTTTGTTACACAGCCACAGAAAACCAGTATCTCCTGTGTGTGTGTGGGTGTGTGTGTGTGCGCACGCAGATCATATTTTTTATCCTAGAGGGTAAGCATTTTGAGGGAAGAAGCCACATCTTTTGCTTTTGCCTCTATCTCAGTGCCTAGTGCCCAGCCATGTATACCCCAGGAATATTTGCAAGCTGAAATAAATTGTTTCTACTTATGATCACTAGATATTATATTGTAACTCCCGCTAAAGCTGTTTACTACTGAGAAAGTAAAAAGCAATATACTGACTTCTGTTTTGTCACGTATTTGTCAGGAGAGTGGCAAAAATTAGACACATATGAAAAACAGTGGGAGTTGTATACCTACTTATCAATGCATGAAGCTGAAAAATGACCCCATTCCTTTTAAAGATGGCAATAATGTAGGATGAAAAAAATAAATAACTCAGAAATCCAATTCCAATGAACGGGCTAACAAACTGGCTATGGTGGCCACACATGGCTGGTATAAATCAGAGTAATTTTCTTCTTTCTTAATTTGCTGCACAGTCAGGCTTTGGCCTTGCTTTTAAAGGAACTGAGATATCTAGTTTATATCTGACCATCAGATACATTTAATAGTCTTCATTTTCTCTCAATACTAACTACCCTGAACCCACCCTAATCTGCACATCTAAGATACAATTCTTTCAATAGCTAAGTTTCTATTCAAAACCTTAACAATATCCTTGTCAATCAAAAGTCAGTTTCTTAAACTCAGAAACATATAAGAGAAGTCTAAATTAAGGTCCCATAGGAAAGAGCCAAAGGCCCAGAAAGTCATTTCTTCATTTTTTTTTTTTCATTCTCATTCTTCTTTTTATGCCTGGCTTGGTCTATTCATTACTATAAAGGGAAACAGTAAGTGTGGGAAATAACATAGAAATTCAAATGCTTTATACTGTTTTTATTATAAAAATCTAGCTGTAGGTTCTCATTTCAGTTGCAAAACCTATCAAACTTCAAATAGCTTAATATTATTGGACACGATAAAAGGACATGAAGTGTTATCAGTGATTTCATGCTATTAATGTTGGGGTAGTACCTATCATTAAGATAAGATACCAAATGTCTCCCTCATTGGACTAGGTGCTGCTGTAAAATTTAAAGCTTGTGATTTAAGTTAAGCAAGGCCTTTATCTCCTTAAAATGCAAACAGCACTGGGAGACTATCCCACTGAGCCTTAAGAGTCACTTATGGTTCCAAATGACTAAGTTCGTCAGTTCCTTTTCTTAGAGCAGGCCTTATGTTTTTGAGGGAGAAGCGAGTAGACACAAAGAAAGAGGATAAATGTGAAGTCCTTGGTTGCCTGAAGGGAATAAGAGACATCCACCACTGATACTCGAAAAGTGCACCAGAAAGAGAAGTCTCCATTCCAAGCTTTGCTGAATAAGCTTCTTGTATTCAAGCCTGAATGCAATGTAGTCTCAGTTGTCTATATTGCTATCTACTGCTGTGAGTTGTAAGAGTTCAGTTTCAGATGCATATTCAGGGGTTTCCTCCCCTATTTTAATTAGTCATAAAATGAGTTCAGACGATCTCACCATTCCTAATACACATTCAAGAGAAAAGAACAAAAAATGACTGTCTTAAATATATAGGACAGTTGAAGAAGTTGATTCTGAAGATTTCACGACAGGAAGAAAATAATTGCGCAAGTTCCTCTTATAGACCAGCTCTCCCACCCTATGGGCTTCTTCACATTTAGAAAATGCTCAAGGGTGTATACCCTCTAGGGAATAAAATGGACTTCGAAGGTCAGTGATAAGCTAAAAACCTTATTACCACTCCAATACCTTCTCATGAAATGCTTTCCCTGAACATCCTGTAATCTGACTATACTATATCAGATAATCTCTCAGATATATTGCATGTCTTTGTGCTTTTACTTTAATATATTTACTAGGATGCGCTTCCCTACCTTTTCTGATAACCAAATTCCTAGTCATTTTCTAAAATTGTTACCTTTGAGTAGTATATTCCGAGACATAAGCCATAAGATATAGTAAGATGCTTTCTTGTCTGTGATTCCAAATCACTTCACATCTACCTCTATTACTGTTCTTATTAAATTATATTGTAGGAGTTATTTTGTTTGTTGGTTTTTGTATCTATTATATCCCAAATTCCTCACTGTGAAGCAGTCAGGGCAAAAATTATTTTCTATCAATCTTTACACACACCACTTTCCCTCCAACTCACCACAGAGTCTATCACAATTTTTAACATATAATGTGTGCTCAATTTATTTTGGCTGAATTAGATTGGAAAGTTGATATTAAAGGTCCAGAAAAAAAAAATAACCAAAGTAACACCTTCCTGTCAAACAAGGACTTGCTTCACATAAATTATACCCCGAGATCTAAAGACCCAGAAAAAGTATTTTTCATTGTAATATTAATTCAATTTAAGGGATCTAGAGGAAATTATTCATAATTTCAGAGGAGGTGCTATGGTCTGAATGTTTGTGTCCCCTGCCCCCACTCTAAATTCGTATGTTGAAATCCTAACACTCAATGTGATAGTATTAGGAGGTAGAGCCTTCAGGAGGTGATTAGGTGATGAGGGCAGAGTCCTCATAAATGGGATTAGTGCCCTTATAAAAGAGGCCCTAGAGAGACCCTCACCTCTTCCAGCATGTGAGAATACAATGAGAAGTCACATCACTGTCAAGTCACCAGAAAGCTGGCTCTTTATGAACCAAGAAGTCAGCCCTCACCAGACACTGAATGTGCCAGTGCCTTGGCGTTGGAATTCCCAGCCTCCAGAACTATGAGAAATAAATTTCTATTGTTTATAAGCCATATAGTTTATGGCCAATTTGCTACAGCAGTTGAAACAGACTAAGACAGGAAGCCTCAATATACCATAAAAAGAGGCTATCTTTGTTCATACTTCAAGTTCTTTCAACCCAGGTGATAAGTGATTATAATCTAATCCAAATCAATTGATACTTTTACCTACTTTAGAATATAACAGATTCCATGAAGAAAATAGAGGTAAAAGGCATAGTTCCTGTATTCAAGATTCTTGTAATCCAGTTGGAAAGATAATTTTAGTGGACAAGAAAACACTTAGAGAGCTAGATAAAGAGAATTAGACAAGCATAATTATACAGTATAAACATGCTAAATACTGCAATCTGACTATAAAAATGCTGTTAGGACTTTTAAAAATGAGAAAGTCAAGTTGGAATCATGAACCTTGGAATGTTTCACGGGCCTTAAAGAATAGAAAGAGCTTAATACTGCAAAGAACCTGGAAAGAGAGGTGGCCTAAGACTTTACAACATCTCAAAGAATTCTAGAGCATGCAATGAAACTGAGAGATGATTCAACCTCACCCCCCCCCATTTTAAACGAGAAGAAACAAACCCACATAGAGCAATTGACTTGCCCAAGGTCCCACGGTGAATGTGGGCCATCCTGCATTGTTCCTATCACCTCAAGTTGTCTCCCACAGCCTTGCTTAAATTACATAGAAGCTGTTGTTTATTTTCCATTTATGTGGGGGAAGAAGAGCTCAGATGCATAATTTCTCACTAGGAAAAACGTCCTGTTAAAATATTGTCTAGACCAATTTTTTAAAAAAGGAACTGGAAATGTTGGCGGTGTAACCATAAAAACTTGAGTAAATCTACTGCATTTGAAAAACAGCAGAAAATGACTTCTGGAGAGAGGGAGGCGTGAAACTAGAATAACATATCTATTATAGACTTTTGTGTTATAAAGATGTGAGTTACGTCATCATATGTACATGGAATAGGATTTTCCCCGAAATATAGTTAAGCTTATTTTATGAATGAATTATACTCTTTCTTAAAATTGGCTAATGGTTAAAAAAAAATGGCACTGCCCAGCAAATACTACACAAATATTGGCTATTTGAGAAAGAAGTTTCTTCCTTTTTTACATGCTAATTCTTGACATGCAGAACCAATTTTAATTTATATTCTGGAAGCATCTCAACTGCAAGAAACTGAGGGTGCCGACATCTGGCTTGATAAACCACATAGCTGTAAGCAAGCTTATAAATTAAATTATTTAAGTATCCCCATTTAATTTTCAACATCTCTAAGGACAGGATGACAGACTGAAATGTGTCAAACCCAAAGAAACCAGCCTAAGCTCATCTCAAACACAACACTTTAAGTAATTCAATAATATTCCACATTTTATAAACAGACATGAAAACACATTTCACCCTATCAATATAATTTGTGGTGTCCAAGTAGAATCATGTCATGTTATCCCACGAGAAATATAATTTAGTATGAACATAAATTTTTCTTAAAGATTCAATTATTGCCTTAAATATATGGCCATGTGGAAAAATCTCAGCATATTAGGTGCAATCTCCCCAGTTTAATATATTAAAGTGAATGAGGCAAGTCGTCAGGAGACTTTTGTTCTCCTCTTTTGGGACAGCACAGTTGTCACTATCATTGGAGCTTATTCATTAATTCATTCAACATATATTCATTAAATACTACTAGTGCTAAGTATAGTGCTAGGTCCTGGGAATCCATCAGTGTTAAAGCCTACATAGTCTCCATTGCCATGGAGCTTATTGTCTCACCCTCACTAGATAAAATGCCCTGATTGTCCTTTTAAAGCATTGGAACTCATTAATTCTGGATCAATTTCAGTCCCCTTCCCTCTTGTAGCTCATGAAAGACATGTATATAACACTGAGTCTGACAAAAATATATACACCTGAAAAGAATATTGGTATATATCTGGCTACCAAAGAGATGGATGCACACATGCAAGAAAGATAAACTCAAAAAGGCTGGGTTCCAAAAGTGCTCATTGTTGCTGGAGGCAGGAGGTAACCTGCACCTCAATCACAAAACCAAAATACTCTGAATCCCTGCTATGGGCAAGGCCACATACTAAGCTTTAGAGGGCGAATAATGAGTAAGATGTTAAACTGTCTAAAGTAGAGATAAGCTCATGGCAGTGGTACAGAAAATAAAGGATGGAAATAAAGGACATTATGAAGCAATGATGGAACCTAATGACTGGTTAGATATGGAGAGCAAAGTACAAGAAGAAAGAAAAGAAAGCCTCAAGGTTTTAAGCCTCAAGGGTAGCTGGAAGAATGATGGTATCATCAACAGAAACTGGGAAGTTGGACAGGGGATCCAACCTCGGAAATATGATGTGCTCACCGTTAGAAACACAATGAGTTTCAGATATCAGCAGAATATCCAATTGTACATGTGTGGCAAGAGGTTGGAGACATGGGACCATAGTGTAAGAAATATTTTAAAAATTATTTATATAAGAAATAGCAGTTAGAGTTATAAAGGTAGATGAAATCCCCAAGGATAAAAAGGTAGAGGGAGAAAAACAAATAATGGATCTCAAGTACATTCACAGTTTGAGTGTAAGAAATAGAAAATAAGCCAGGAAGAAATGTCCATGTTCTTTACTCAAGGAGGCTTCATGGGAAGTAAACAGCACTGATATCAGACAAAGAGAAATTGGTTCATCTTGGAATGGTGATATGGGTAAGCAAAGGATTAGGGCATATCAGAAAATGGAGTTAAACTGATTCACTATATTGTGGCCCTTTCTACTGCAAAATATATCTACCAGACTCATGTTTTAGTGGGGTCACATTAGAATCCTTTAGTTGAGGTATTCCACAATAAAAACATTCTTTGAGCAGGAGTCTAAAATTCATCTGCCATATCTAAAGGCCCAATCCAAGATTCAGACACCTCAACTTAAGAAGTCCTAAATGTCTAAACAAGAGAAAACAGATCAGATTTAAAGAAACCAGAATTATGCTGTTAACAGTTAGTAACAAATGAAGACTCAAGGGAATAGTAGCTGAATACCCTGAATACTTGCCTTACCACTTACCTACTGTGTAACGTTACTCAAATTACTTTAACTGCCCTTGGCCTCAGTGTTCTAAACTTGCAAATTGGAGATGATAACTGTGCAACCTTCATAAAGTTATTGTGGAAATTAAATGAGATAACACTTTAAAATGAATAGCGTAGTACTTGGCACACAGTAATTGCTCGTAACTTGCTAGATCATACACATGCGCACACACAAGTCAATGAGCAACACACAGAGAAGTCTACATAAGGAAGAGAGTGGCTTGAAAACTGAACTGTCTACTATAATTTAAAATAACAACTATGTCAGTCACCTAAGATTATCTATGTCCTCAAGAGATAAGTGGAAAGAGCAAGGTTAGCAGTTTTTGCTAAAGACCTACTAAGTTTATAAGATTAAAAAACACAAACTCAAGAATGAGATGAGAAAATACAAAATGAAGAAAGCATATTCACCCTTTCAGGAATGAGGCAGAAGAGAAGATTCTCATGTGGTTTGGCAAACTGGAAATTTAATATGAGAAAGTATTATTTTAAAAATATTCCATACACAGTCCTCTTTAAAATTTTAGTCTTATCCAAAAAATATTATTATTAAATAAGTGATATTATGACACCGGAAGTAACTATCAGTGCATGCTATGTGGATACCAAATTATTCGAGAACACTTATTTCTATCATAAAATGACAAGTCATAGAGATGAAAGCAAAATGATAAAATAATCTACTTTGATTTCTATAACAAATTTGACATGAATTCCATGACATTCTCAAAAGCAATGAGAATAAAGGGCTTACACTAGAGTTCAGTAACCTCATTATACTGGAGGACCCCAAGAAGTCTGGAACAATACTAAGGAGGGCCACATAGCAGAAAAAGGAAACAGGAAAAGATGTGTAGAGAAAAAATAAGGGGAGGCGAAAAAGGGGTAGAAGAGGGAAAAAAGCAATACCATGACAAATGTGTCCAGTTACTATTGTAGAGTGCTTAGCACAGTGCCTGGCACAGAGTTAAATGCTGTATATATTTGCTAAATAAAGAATTTGGTATTCATAGTTAAATGCTGTATATATTTGCTAAATAAAGGATTTGGTATTCATAGCGCTAACGACATTACTTGCTTACCCTTTGTGTAGACATTCACATATTTGAAAGCAAAAGCCTAGGGCAAATGATTTCTCAAGGTCCTCTGCAGCTTGGTTATTTCATAGTTCTGTTTTCCATCATTGTAAGAGATTTTACTAGAGGAAAAACACTGATGGTATTGTCAACACATCAGAATTCTGTTTTCTATGTCATCACTTTCCATTTTACCTAAATGTATAATAGGACTATATTTTTCTAACAGCCAGCACTCACTTGGTAGACTTTTTAGAATTTGTGGGCATTATATATTTCATTTGATACTATACACATTAACAACTTGTATTATTCTTTAAAAAGCCCATTCATTTGTAAGATAGCCCTGTCAGTAAGCTCTACTGTAAATCATTTGGTACACAGAACTCTGTGTTCCCATCAGTAATGAAGTAGGCATTTTTATTCAAATGTTAGCAGGATGTTCAACTCCCAGGATAATGATTAAGCGAAGATTTCCTTTTTTATTCTGCAGACAAAGCAGTTACCACACTTACAGTTTAGGCTCTCAGGGACAAAAATCTTAATGGAGGCCAAGATTTTCTCAGACTTTATGGAAATAACCTTTTAAAAAGTTTTCATTCTATGGTCCCTCTCTATGGCAATTCTGATTTCTTTTTCCTGGGGTCAGAACATTCTTGACAGGCTTCCCACTCCCATGGTATTCTTTAATACTATTGTGATTTCCACATTTATCTTTCTAATAAATATTTCATCTGTCTGAAGGCATAATCATTGTGTGTTTACCAAATGACAAAATGACTTACAAAAATGTACTTAACTGAAAACCAGCCTTTCTTAGAATTACTAAAGGATTTTCTTAGAGCTTCTCCCTCCGCCTTTTCAAACTACTGCTCAGCAATAAGATGAATAATAACTTCATGTACTTTTTTATGATTAAAACTATAAACTTGGTGCAAACTGGTACTCAGCTGGCACTCACATTTTCCAGTATGTAGATGTAAGCTTGGATCAGGCATGTACATAAGTGCATCTTTTATTCTGTGTTCATACACCATATACAAAATATTAAAGCATTAATCAGGGTGTTTTTGAACACAGGTGTAAAATTAAACAAAATTAAGAAAGGCATTGAAAATTTGTATTATTGATATTAACTTATTGAAGGTTTACATCATACACCTAAAGGTTTACATATTATAGCCATACCATTTAACTAGGTGAGCATTTTGCAAATAAGACGAGAACAAAACCAGTGATCTATTACACACAGTGACATGCTCAACTATGTCACTTGAAGTGTACATTTTAAAATTAAATTTCATGTGCAGTAGTACAGATGAGTCTGGGACAAAATAAGTAGCTGATGCATTCACAGAAAACAGCTATTTAAAGTCATATGAGTTGAACAGTTTCATCTGACATATGTCAGACATTGAATGAAAACAGGACAATATTTGAAGGTCACCAGCTCAACATCTATACTATAGAAAAGACCCTTGCTACTTCAGATATGGTGCCACAAGGCATGGGATTATATTGTCCCTTTGTACATATTTCAGAATTTTTGTCATTGTTTTTTATTTTTCTTTACCTTTAAAAAAAGTATATATAGTGATTCTCAATATACTTTGGAAATATGTAAAGCTGAAGAAATAGTGATTTCAAATTTATTAAGGTGAAATGGAGGTCTGTGAAAAAGCTGGACTTTGCCTCACCCAAAAGACACATTTCTGCATTCAGCTGTCAAGTTAGCAATATCATGGGGCTGAAATAACACTCCTAAGGAATAACTTCTTCTCAGTGAGATTTCCAAGAAACTACAAGAGCCATTTCTATTAACTCTGATCCCATTTCCTAAGCATCCAATGTTGGACTTTTTGTTGATATACATGGATGCATTTCAGATCATGGCTTATCTATAAACACGTAGCAAAACCCCAAGGTTTTGTTTTTAGTTTTGTAGTTGTTTTTCTTCCATATTTTTTTCTGGCATAAAAGAATAAGTACTAAGGAATGCATCTTATTTTCCTGGAAAGATCGGAGCTAAATGTTACAAGAAACTGAATTGAGTCTACAAGTTAAGGTTCTTTATGAGCCTTGCAGATGGAAGTGTATGGGTGGCTGTCCTATCCACAAATTACAAGTACATAATCAGTCTCTAAGATGAGCAGCCTTCAAAGGAGAATGAATGATACAGTTAAGTGTATCTTTTCAAGGAAGTTTTGGCAGTGAATGACTATAATTGACCATCTTATCATATTTTTGCTCCCCATATTAAGATGATTCTACAGCTTTGTGGAACTGCAAGCTGACAAGTAAATTGATAATTTTAATATGCTAGAATATTTGTAAGGATATACTATGTGCCCAAAATGACTGATTTACCAGTACAACTGCCCCCTTGCAACAAAATCAAGTCTATCAATTTAATCCTTTTTGTTTAGTATTCACTTCTACTGCTCCTCAAAATTCCCTATATTATTCCTCATCTCACCATTGCATGTAGGTACTTTATCTTGTTTTAAGATCTTTCCTTTGCCTACTCTCAACCTTAGAGAGATAGATTCAGTGAAATATCTGACCATTACTGAAATAAGCTACAAAAAAAAAGAAAGAAAAGAAGAAAAAGGTCAATCTGTATGGTACTCTTCTATTTTCCTCTACTTACCCACATGGATATTCTGCCATACTTTGATTTTTCCTTTTTGGTAAGGAAGTAACGTAGAGAAAGCTAGGTCACACGGGTGTTCAAGGGGAATTTTAAAATAAACATGTTTTGGATTCACTGATCTATACTATAAAAAGGATGATTGCCACCTATGAGCAAATTTAACACTCAAAAATCCTTATAGGACTGACAGGAAATATGCACGATAGCTCAATCTAGCCTGGCATGGTGGCTCATGTATATAGTCCCAACCACTCAGGAGGCTGAAGCAGGAGAATTGCTCGAACCCAGGTGTTCAAGGCTGCAGTGAACAATGATTGTGCCATTCACTTCAGCCTGGGTGAAAGCGTGAGACCCCATCTCCTAAAAAAAAAAAATGACCTATATTTTGACTACTCCAGTTTTGCACAAAGAAGAGTTAATATCCAACCTGAAATAAGGAAATGACCTCATTTTAAATTAAAAACGAATAAACAAAAACTAATGCCTAAATTATTTTTTCAGGTTTTCTCACTTAGATGTTCTGTTGGCTCACCAAACTCAACAGGTATAAAATGGAATCCATTATTCTACCCCCTCCCAGAGTTGTACTTTCACTTCCGGAATGTGAATGGCACCAAGGCATATAAATGGGGGTGGACTGGGAGCAAGAGAAGCTAGTAGTACAAAAGTATAGAATCAAGCTGCCCAGAAGAAAGCCTAGGATCTGATCATAAATCTTGTTTAAAGATTTTTAAAGGCCAGGTGCTAATCCTGGTGCTTTTGGGAGGCTGAGGCAGGAGGACGGCTTGGGGCCAGAATTTCAAGACCAGCCTGGGCAACCAAGTGAGACCCCATCTCTACAAAAAAAAAATAATAAAGATTTTTAGCTGCCCTCTCTTGCTAGGGTTATGAACATTTTCTTTTTCAACTCAGCCTAAACTTGCTTTTAGTAATGCTGAATAGTATCACTATCTGACTAGGCTTTCAAGCCAGAAACCTTTCCCTTATGCCCATATCTAATAAGTGACCCATGCCTGTCAGTTCTACATAGCATATCTCAAATCCCATGGTTCTCAAAGTGTAGTGCCTGGACCAGTGGCATCAGCATCCCCTGGGAACTTGTTAGAGAGGCAAAATCTTGGGCCCCACCTCAGACCAACTGAAACAGAAACTCAAATGTAGGATCCAGCAATTTGTTTCTCAACAAGCCTTCCAAGTAATTCTGATGCATACTCAAGTTTGAGAATCACTGTTCAACTCTGTCTCTTCATTGCTATCACCATTGGTAATTGCCATCTGCCCCCATCATCTCTTATCTAGCTTTTAGCAGTAGTCTCCTAACTGGTTTATTGGTCTTCATATTTGATCCCTCCAATCCATCCTCCATACTACCACCTGGGTGGGCCCTCTATATCACAAACATGATTACTGACGTCTTTCTCTAGTTCCTCCTTCCCTAGAGCAGTGACTTTTTTTTTTTTTTTTTTTAAAAAAAGAATTCCGGCCCGGTCCCCCGGGGGGAATTGAATGGGTGAAATTTGGGCCCATGGAAACCCCCCCCCCCGGCCCCCAGGGTTTCCCCGGCCCCACCCCCCAAATTAGTGGGAATAACGGGTGCCCCCCCCCCCCCCGGGAAATTTTTTTTTTTTTTGTATTTTTAGTAGAGACGGAGTTTCACCATGTTGGCCAGGCTGCTTTTCAACCCCTGACCTCAAGTAATCCACGTGCCTTGGCCTCCCAAAGTGATAGGATTACAAGCGTGAGCCACCGTGCTTGGCTGAGTGGTGACTTTTAAACCATGTTCCACCAGGTGTGGTGGGTCATGCTTGTAATCCCAGCAATTTTGGGAGGCCAAAGCAGAAGGATCACTTGAGGAGTTGAGACCATCGTGGGCAACACAGTGAGACCCTATCTCTAAAAAAATAATAATAAATAAAAATAAAAAATATATATTTATGTAAATAAAATCATCAGTGTTCCTAGGTGGCTGTTTCAGGAGTTGCCCTTAAGCAAGAAAGAGGTTCAGAGGGCAATAAACCAAACTTCAAATTTCACAAGCAACATTAGAAAACCACTGGCCTACAGGAAAAAAGGAGATCCACCTTAGTAGGATACAGGCTAAGGAAATCCATCTATATCTGTCTCCAGCATACTTCTCTATGCTTATCTCTTCTCATGCTTACATTCCACATGACCCTCTACCTGTAAAGACTGATTGCAGTTTCCCTAAGAGACCAGGGTATTTGATATTTCTCTGCCACTTATTCTTTTGCTTAGAACATATTCTCATCCCTACCATTTGTTCATCTGACAATACCAAATTACCATTCCCTATTCCCCAGCAGTCCACACTCACATGCCTGGTCCTAGTATTACCGGCATTACCTCCTCCACGAAGCGTTTCCAGATATCTGCTTCTCATTCCCCCCTACCAGATGAAATTGTTTGCCCATCCTTTGTGCTCTTACTATAGCAAGAATAGTGGCAGAAGTAATAGCTAATATTTATCGAGCATACACTATGTTATATGCCAGGCATTGTGCAAGGTGTTTTATGAATTATTTGCATGCCATTTTCAACATCACAACTCTGTGAGGTATAATTATTATTCTCATCTTAGAGGTTAGGAGATTGAGATTTAGAGAGATTATTCTTAATCTACTTGCCCAAGCTGTACAGTCAATATGTGGCCGAATTGGATCTTCTCTTGGTTTTAAACCCCAAAGCATATGCACTTACCCTCTACTACAGAATTAAAGAGGACACACTCAAGCTACAGCATTTTTAAAAAGGAAGAAAAGGAGAAGAGAGGAGAGAAATCATTCTGGGTTGCAAACAAACGTATCTGAGGACTGGCCCTGAGCAATCGGCCACTAGCTTGAAACTTCAATTTCACACTCTACTTAATACCCAACACCTAGATTGTCATGAAACCCATGCCAGGGTAACTTGTTAGGATATTAGTGCCTATATCATTCTTCCTGCTGCGGGTGTCCCATGAAAGAAAAAAAGATAATTTTTTACTTCTCACTTATCAACAAACCTTGTATCCTAGGTATCAATGTGGAGGGATATGGGACAAGGGGATAGGAGGAGGGAGCACAAGTGGTCCACAGAAGGAGAGGGAAGGAGGACTGAATTCTCTCTGAAATTGGGAGTGGCAGTGATAGAATTGCCAGGTTTTTCAGGGACCTCACAAATCGCTGTAGTTCTGATGGAGGGACCTGATATGGATATCTAGAAAAAATGGTCACTAGGTAAATAACCCTGTGCACCAATTTCAGCATGAAGAATGCCTTTCAGTAATCATGATCAACAACTAGAGACTACTCCTTACATTTTCCGTACTGAGTAAACCTCAGTGTACTAGTTTGCCATTGCTGTTGTAATAAATTACCACAAAATTGACAGCATAAAACAACACAGACTTATCTTAGAGATCCAGGGGTCAGAAGCCTGAAGTGGGTCTTGATAGGTTAAAATCAGGGTATCGGCATGGCTGAATTCTTTCCTGGAGGCTCTAGGAAAGAATCAGTGTTCTTGACTTTTCCACTTTCTAGAGGCCATCCACCTTCCTTGGCTCATGGCCCCTTCCTCCATTTTCAAAGCCAGTAAAATCAGGCCAAGTTCTTCTCATGGGCCCATCTCTCTGTTTTTCTCTCTTTTGTTCTTTTCTTCCACTTTTAAAGATGCTTGTAGTTACATTGGGCCCACAGAGATAACCAGGATAATCTCCCTATTTTAAGGTCAGCCGATTAGTAACCTTAATTCCATTTGCAATCTTAATTCCTCTTTGTCATGTTCACATGACATGCCATATTCACAGGTTTCAGAGATTAGGACACAGACATCTTTTCGGCGGGCGGGGGGGGGGGCATTTTTCCCACCATAACCAATGATTACTGCAGATTTGAGTGGAGAGCTATTTTAGATTACACACATCATTGCCTTACTCAGTAGGTTTTGATATATGAATCTTTTAAACTTATTTTAAAAATGCCATGAGCAAGTAAATTCATAGAAACTCCATACCTACAACACTTGATTATTTTATTTCTCTGTGTATAGCACAGTCCCCAACTCTCTACTATGAGCTTATGAGTAAGGACTATGTTCCATATTACTTTTTGTTTCCCCAGCACCTAGCACCATGCCTGGCACACTGTAGAGACTTATAAATGTTTGTCACAGTAATAAATAAATAAAAAGTGCTTCTTCTGGAAAAGAACATTTGTAGAGTTGTATTTGTAACTTAGTTCAGAGCTGTACATATCTTGAAAAATGAATCTACTGCTAAAAAAGAGGGGAAAAAGCTGAACATACACTATTTAAAAATCAATTTAAAATAGATGTCAGAGGCATTTTTTATTATTTCTAAATTAGATCATTCATCAGTGGAATGCAGAGCAAAAGAAAGGGAACTGCTCCCCTAAACCAAATGAATTCTTTCTTATATCTCATTTCAAATCAATAAGGTGAAAGTCTCTTCTAAAATATTATGATTCATGAACTTCATTTACTGCTCATTCTTTTGGTTTCATCAGAATAGCCATGTTAATATAGTACTAGAATTGTTGATATTTTATTGCATTGCCACATCTCATTATTATGTATTAAATGCTATTATTTATGGTCACTACTTAATCTGACGTGAGACAGAAAAATTACTGAAGGCTCGGCACCTCAGAAGTAGGCATTTTATAGGGACAAAGAACTGACTAGGAAGAGTCAATGGTCCTTCAGCTGCCCCTCAGATCATTAACTCCAAGTGGTTATTTGTTCTCAGGCACTGTCTTGTGCCCAAGTTGTTACTGCTGTGATATGTAGATGAAGGAGAATATATTTTAAATGTTTTAATATGAACTCAATGCTCATGAAAGGTGCCAGATTGAAAGCATTGGAGTCTGAAGTCATCAGGTTACGCACTTGGATGGTTTCAAGGTACAGAGAGATGCTTGACCTCGAACGACCATCATGCAAGAAGGTGAAAACATAGTTTGCTGAACTCCAACAGACTGGCAGAGAAGAAGCACAGCAGCATCCCAAAGTGAAGCATTTTTATCAAGGAAGAAGACTCAAGACTACTAGCTAAACTTCAGCTTGAAACTATTTATTATAACGCCAGTACTAGTACGCATGGAGTGAGTGAGTGATAGTGGCATTAGAATACACAATTGCTTTAAATCAAGGAAAAATATACTATTACCAACTCACTAAACCACTTAACAAGGAGCAATCTTTTAAATGGTGTGTGTATTCCAATTTAATTGCTAATCTTGATTCCGTATTGCATATCTGAGAACAGCCCTGAATTTTCTAAAAATCATACAATGTTTGAACAGAAAGACAGTTGGAGTTGTTCAGCCCAAAGTTTTTATAATAGACTTGAGAAAACCAATGCTCAGAGTGAAGAAGTGACCTGATGAGAAACGTATTACTAATATAAGACTGAGAGTAGAGCCCAGGCTTCCTGATTGACAAACAAGGGCTTTTCTACTATGTCATGTTGTCTTTCTAAAAGAGGGAAACTAGCTGCTCTCTGAAACTTTTAAATATTTAGTGCCAATTATTTTTATAAGTGTGCATTCTTTGGGTCTGTCAGGCATTTTCCTCTCCATTCTGATCCATTCATTCACATTAGCTTAGTAAGACTAACATTTTCCACACATTTAAACTTTCCTAGTGTGAAAAATACTTTGCAATTAGTATTGCACAACTGGCAGACTCATAATTACCAAATTAAAAAAATTATTTTCACAAATGACATTATATGCAAAATCTCGACTTACTTTTTAAGTAAGTTTATCTTTTAATGTCATTTTATTTTCTGATCTTACATTTTTTTTCCTATAGTAATCTGAACTTTTTGGCAATAGTATTCCCTTAAAGACAGTACCTCTGAAAGAAAGGCTAATAGAACTACATGTATAGTCAAAACTGACAAATACGTTTTAAATTTCTGATACAGACTAATATCCAATAATTGGAGCCCAATTAAGGAAACCCTTAATGAGATATTTGTGTTATATTTTTAGAAGGGCAATGCAAATTCTGAGAGTTTGCAGATTTCTTTTTTACATACTCTTAAAGAAAGTATCAAGTGATGCCAAAGACTTACCACAAATTCAGATCATCCTTTTGACTTTTTTACAGCTTGAAATGAGAATTCACATTTGAGTAATGATGCATAGCACTGCAAGATATAGGTAGCAAAGGGAAAAAAAATCAATGCTTTCTGTGCCTTAGTTACTAAGGACTGAACATTGACCAATATTTTAATAAAAATTAAAACCAATGAGGGAGATCCTTCATCTTGCCACATTTTCTCACGTAGTCCACCTAACAGTGGACTGACTATAGAGAAGCAAACACTCTCAAAGCTCCATTTGAATTATACCTACATTGGCACATTTACCACGAAAAAAGGCACAATAACTTTTGCCCCAAAGTTGCTCAATACCTGTTTATTGGACATATATAGATAGATAGATGGGTAGATGAAGAGAGGGTAGAACGGAAGGGTAAACAAATGAATGCAATACCTGTGTAAATACAAATATTTTACATGAGACTTTACTAAAGAATCAAAACATTCATTTCAGGAGGCAAATATTTATGCCAGTAAAATTTTCTAAATGGAATTATCTGTTCCATTGATATGGAGAAATATTTATTTGTAGTCAGTAAGAACTACTAAATAGTTTTGCAAACATCTTCTCTGGCTACTGCTGTTCCTACACACTCTGCAGATGTTCCCATTAGTTAAGAAGACTCCTGATTTGAGTAGCTGTATGTGGAAAAGGTCACAGAATTATTCAGACATGTAAGACAGCCTGCATATTTGTTTTTGCAAAGACTAAAAATTATGAGGTACAGACACAAGCTTATCTATAAAATGGACAAATAGACTTTAAAAATTTTAAAACAATGCATTTCATTTACATGACATGCAATAAATACAACTGACTATATCACCAAAACATTCCATTCTTTTCACATTATGTAGCTATGTGTTCAATTCTCAAAGTAAAATTCAGTGTAAAATGCACATACCTTGATAGGTCCAGAAGTTATGGGAATCAAAAAGGAGACAGCGGAATAAAGGTCACCCTTGTAATTCCTGTAAACAAATTAGGCCAAATTATCCTTCAAACATATGTGCATGCAAATCCAAAGCAGTCCTTATATGAACGAATGGAAGAGATACATGTGGGGTAGGGTTGGAAGTGGAGATGAGGGTTGTGAATATAAGAACATTCATTGTGCAATTCACAAGAGATAAAGGGGTCCGCTTTTTAAAAGGTCTACTTGAAATTTCAACTGATTATATTAAGTATGCTGCTAACAAAGAATTTCTTAATTATAGAAGAGTATACCTGGAGGAGTATGAAATTCTCACCCATTCCACATAGACTCTCTCAACTGAACACTATTCAATTTCCTTTTTTTTTCAATTTTCACTCAACATACCAGTCATTTTGAGATGAAATGCCCACAATTTCAAAGTTTCCACTAGTGTAAACAATTTATAATAGTCCTAATTTCTTACATTAAAATTGTCCTTTACAATTTATAAAAAAAATCATATATGTATTTCATCTATTTCTCAAACAACTCTGTTATAAGATTAGGAAACTAAGGCCCAGAGAGATTAAATGGCTTTTTCAAACTCACATATGTGGTTAGTGGCAGAGCCAGGATTAGAATTCATGTCCCCTCACTTTTGGTTCAGTCCTTTTACCAACGTCCCACATGGCATCTTTTATTCAACAGGTATAAAACTGACTATAAAATGTGTCTCCACTATGGTTTGGATATGGTTGGTTTCGCCCTGCCACAAGTCACATATTGAGATTTGATCCTTAGTGCTGGAGGTGGGGCCTGGTACGAGGTGTTTAGATCATGGGAGTAGATCCTTCATGAATAGCGTGGTGCCCTTATCATGCAAGTAAGTTCTCACTCTTAGTTCCCATGAGAAATGCTGGTTGAAAAAAAAAAAAGCCTGGCACACACTCTCTCTCTCTCTCTCTCATCATTTAATCTCTGAATATGCTGGCTCCCCTTCACCTTCTGACATGATTGGAAGCTTCCTGAGTCTTCACCAGAAGTGGATTCTGTTGCCATGTTTCTTTAAAGCCTGCAGAACTGTGACCCAAATAAACCTCCTTTCTTTATAAATTACACAGCTTCAGGCATTCCTTTATGGCATGACGAATAGACTAAGACAGTCTCCCATGTGCCATGCTTGGTGCTAAGGAAGGAGCTGTGCTATTATATAATGATCCCTACTAATTTACTCCACTTGAGAGATACACTTCTTCCTCTGATTTATATATACCCAGTATGAAGTCACCTGGATTTTTAACATATGAACTTTTAAAAAGTCATTCATGGCAGGTGTGGTGGCTCACGCCTGTAATCCCAATGCTTTGAGAGGCTGAGGCGGGTGGATCACGAGGTCAGGAGTTCAAGACCAGCCTGGCCAAGATGGTGAAACCCGGTCTCTATTAAAAAGACAAAAATTAGCCAGGCATGGTGGTGGGTGCCTGTAACCCCAGCTACTCAGGAGGCTAAGGCAAAGAATTGCTTGAATCAGGGAGGCGGAGGTTGCAGTGAGCTGAGATTGCGCTGTTGCACGCCAGCCTGGGCGACGGGGCAAGACTCTGTCTCAAAAACAAAAGAGAAAAAAGTCATTTATTAGTAATGTAAAATTGGTGCAATATTTATGGAGGGCAACTTTTCAGTAGGTACCAAAACCCTTAAAAATATGTCCTCCTTGTGATCAAGTTATTTTACATTTAAACATTTCAAAAGGAGTTATCAGAGATATATACAGAGAGGTATGTATAAGAATTTTTCATGATGTTTTTATAGTAATAAATATTGGAAATTTCCTAAATATCCAATAATTGGAGTCTGGTTAAATAAATCAAGGATTTATTTATGTGATGGATTACTAAGCAGCCATTAAACATAATATGGGAACTGTTAGATGTTAATGATCACTTCATATAATTTCTATGTATATCTTTAATTTGCTGCTTCTAAGTGACATTCTGGAAGAGATGGGGGAAAGGGGACTACACATTTTTCTTTTCATTTTTTGGTGTTTTCTTTCAACTCTGTTTCTCTTTGTCTCTGTCTCTCTCTCTCTTTCTGTGTGTAGGTCTGTGTGTTTATGTGTGTGTACGTATTTATATATGTCTGTGTGTATGCACATATCTGATATATTTTATTCACATAGAAAGATGTTCAAAAATATTTATTTAAATAAGCACATTATAAAGTAACCACAATGTGAGTTGAGCTTAGATATAGATGTATGTAAATTATATGATTTTCTTCTTTCTGTGTATCTGTATTTTCTAACTTTCCTATAATAAACATATATTACTCATATATAGAAAGTTATAATATGTTTTTAATTCTTCAAAAATCCATTTTAGAAAAGGCAGTGTGGGCCACACAGGGTGGCTCACACCTGTAATCCGAGCATTTTGGGAGGCCAAGGTGAGAGGATCGTTTGAGTACAGAAGTTCGAGACCAGCCTGGGCAACAGAATGAAAGCCTGTCTCTACAATAAAAATAAAAATATTAGCCAGGCATTGTGCTGTGTGCCTGTAGTCTCTGCTACTTTGGAGGCTGAGGTGGGAGGGTCATTTGAGCCTGGAAGGTTGAGGCTGCAGTGAGGCTGCAGTGAGCTGTGAGGTTGAGGCTGCAGTGAGCTGGAGTGTTATGCACTCCAGGCTGGATGACAGAGCGAGACTTTCTCTAAAAAAATAACAAAGGAAAGAAAAGAAAAGAAAAGAAAAGGCAGTGTGTAAATTAAAGCAGAAGAAAAAAGAAACTTCAAAATTTAACATTCCAATATTTTATGACTGGCACTTAATTAACCTTATGGTCCCAATTTATTAATGAAGTAATCCCCAAACCTATTATTTTTATATTTGAGGAAAAATCTCAGTAGTAAGAGTAAACAATTTAAAATTTTTACCAGTAAATCAAGACAGAAGACAATACTTAAATGCCATATTTAAAATGTAGTTCAGTAACATCATTGTCACCTTACAAATATCTTACAAAGATCACCAAGGTGACCTTATAATGACAACAGGGTATCATATTATTACTAATGATCTCCATATCCAATGCACTATATATAAATCATTCATACTAGGCTGAAGTGGTGCTCTTGATTAGTTGCAATCTAACTGCCTGATGTGCATTTTTCATCACTGTTAATGTTGCTCAAAAAAGACGTAGTTCTGCTCAGATGTTCATGTGGTTCCAGAATAGTGCTAAGTTAGAATCTTTCAAGGGAAGACATTTCAGAAAGTACTTAGATCCAGACTACAAAAAATATTTCTGGCTCTTGTGCTGCATATACCAGAGCAAGTCTGTAGAAATTGGCTTCATATACATCAGGCTGATTCTGCAAGGAGGCTAGCAAAAAATGCTTTAAAAAATAAACTGCCCTATATGTAGCATTTTGCCTTGGTGAGATAAACAGAAGACTGGGGAAAAACAAAGGGCTCTTCTCTGCTCACTTCTCCATTGTTTTCAAGCTGGTTCCTTTAGGAGTGTGTCACCCCATTTATGACTAGAGAAGGCCAGTTAATACATTGATCTATGTCAGATACCACAGGTTACTTGCCATCACTGAACAATTCCCAACATGTACAACTTCCCTCACCCTTTATCTCTCTATTCCACTCAAGAATTCATTTCCAAAAAATAAACTGTTCACTGTCTTAATACTGAATGTGGGCTAACTACCGTTTAAGAAAAAGAAATTAGAATGTTTGACAGGACCATCACTGAACTCAGCCAAATAATGCATACCAGAGGCAAAAACAGCAGAAGCTATTAAACAAAGGTTACAAATACATCTCACAGGACTGACTATTGGTTTTGGAGATAGGCTAGACCCTGCAAGCAGAGCCCTATGTCCAAACCTGGACAGCTCATTAAGAGATCATCTAGCCCAGACCTTAATTAGCACCACTGCCTGTTGTTTCTTCCTACATAGATAATAATATTCTACTTCCTTCAGTTCTCAGCCTCTTATAACAAAACGGTCAGCAGAGATTGGCTATGGAGGTAAAATACATAAATTGGAGGTGAGCAGAAGAAGGGCCTAAAAGCCGGGTTCAAGATGTTGACATCAAATAATATATGTATATATGAATATGCACATAATGTGAATATGCATACATGTGTATGGATAGATATCTTTCTCAAATAGATGTTAAAAGTATGATTTCTGTTAGTTTAGAAAATGGTACAAATTTTTACTTTTTAAAAATAATTACCTGATTATACTGTAATTTTAATACCTATATTAATGCTATTTCTATTTTCAAGGGACTTTGGGCGGCATATAGGTCACACTTTATCTTATTAATGAGTATATCTTTACATCGCTATATATGCTTTGAAACTCCTAATGCAATTTTTTTAATGGGACGTTTACTCAAAGACTTCGCAGAAAATAATCGTGTTAATAAAAGAGACAGTTTTCCCATTACAATGATCAGTGCTCTCAGACAATTAATGCTGCAACACTCTGTATTGTCACTTTCTTCCTCAAGGCCTAGAGAACTTCTCGGTTTACATTATTGGCTGAAGCTTCTTTTCTTTCTGGCAATATAGGCATTTCTAATGATGAGACCTGCCAAAACTTGTCAATGCTATTTTTCTTCTTTTCCATTAGAGGTGACTGTGGCTGAATAGCCAAGTAATCTATAGTCTAACTTCATTTAATTGTTTTTACTACATGACATGAAGAAATATAGTGAGTAATCACTTCTGTTTTACATGAAGCAAATTGCTAGTGCTTTCCACAGCAATATGAACAAGACTTAATTTGTGCAATTTCCCTTGAACATCCTGTTCAAATCCTAGCAGGGTAAGTTCCGCCCTCTTTGGTTCTCTAGTGAGTGAAGACCAGATTGGATCAGTGGATCTCGATTATTTTCCCTTCTGTAGTCCTCTTCAAAATAAAGTCAGAGAATAGTTGGTCTTGGCTAAAACTGGCATATTCCTCTCCCTCCAGCAACATCTCTCAAGAAAAATGGGTTTATTATCTTTGTTTATTTGTTCCCAAACCTCACTTCTCATATGGCAATATTTATTTTTTTGTTTTTTTAATGGTTTTGTTTTGTAAATACACGGTGTCTGATAGTTATATAGTCTAATTACAGAAAATTTGGAAAATACAGATAATAAAGGAAAAAATGACCTATTACCCACCTTTTTCAATCAGAAATAATCATTTTTAGCACTTTTGCATATCTTTTTCAAGTCTTTTTTCTTTCTTACATATTGGATACATATAATTTTACACCTTGGTTTATCATTTGGTAGTATAACATAAACATTTTCCTTTTATCTTAAAATATTTGTAAACATCTTTTTTTAATGGCCATTATGTATTGCCTTGTCTAGATATATCATAAATCACATAGCATTTGCCTTGTTGAACATTTGGGTTCCTTCATATTTTCTATTATCACAAATAATGCTTGGTGAAAATATCTGAAATGAAGTTTTTTCTTTATTTCATATTATTTATTTAGGACAAAGTCCCAGAAGTAGAATTATTGGTATGAACATTATTAAGGCTTTTGCAGCAAACTGCCAAATCTACACCAACTAATATTTCATCATGTCCTTATTAGTCATTCATTTACTCAACCAATATTTATTAATCACCTACTATGTATCAGGCACTGTGCTAGGTGATATGGATATAGTAGTGAGCAAAAAAGAAACAAAATTCATGCCCTCAAGGAACTAATATTCTAGAAAAGTGGATAAGATAAAAATACAGTATGATACCAGTTAATGATGAGTAATATAAAGAAAAATAGAAGCTGATAAAGGCATAGAAAATGAAAGACAATAAAGTTCATTACATAGGATGGTCAGAGTAGGCCACTATGATGAAGGAACATTTGATCAAATATCTGAATGAAGTAAGAAAGTAAACCTGGAGAGGTCTGAATGAAAATTAAATGGGTTAATACATATAAAGTCCTTAGGACAGTGCTTTGCCTAGGAAGCATTCCATATGTGTTAGTTTTTATTATTACTTGTAATGCTAGAATATTCCATTCACCTTTTCTGGTGACATTATTATGGTGGTGTGATCCTGAAAGAGTCAAAAAGGATCTATCATATACTTCTATTATTTGATTGTTTATGTCCCCTCCAATATTCATGTTTAAACTTAATGCCCAATGCAACCGTATTAAGAGGCAGGACCTTTTGGGAAGTGATGAAGACATGAATGGATTGGTAATTTATAAAAGAGGTCCAGGGAATAAGCTAGGTTTTTTTTTTGTTTTTTTTTGTTTTGTTTTTTGGCCCTTTCAACTTCCACCATGTAAGGACACAGGGTACTTCCCTCTGGAGGACACAGCAAGAAGGCAGCATCTTGGAAGCAGAAGGAGTAACTGCCTCCCGCACTGAATGTCAGTGCCTTAATCTTGGACTTCCCAGCCTCCAAAACTGTGAGAAAATAAACTTCTGTTCTTTATTTTAAAACAAAAGTAAAGTCTGCAGAAACCTTGGAGAAAAATCATTTTAGACAGATAAAAAAGCAGGCACAAGGCCCTGAGAAAAAAAAAGAATGCATGGCATGTTTAAAGAACAAATCAAAGGGCAATATGGCTAGAAGGTTATGAGCAATGTTTGAGGGGGGACATAGCAAGACATGAAGTCCAATAAATAGTGACCAAATCATGTAAAGCCTTGTAGGGCATTGTAAAGATTTTTTAAATTTTTCAAGTTTTTTAAAGTGTGGTGAGAAGTCAACCTTTGGAAGCCAGAGAGCAGACAGATCATAAGATCTTGTTTAAGTTTTAAAATGATCATCCTGGTTGCCGTGTGAAAAACTATATGAGAACAAAGATGGATCTAGGGATATCAATTAGAAGGCTGTTTCAGTATTCCAGGTAAGAAATGATGGTGGTTTGTTCTAGAGTGTTAGTAATGAATGAGAAGAAAATTATTCAGATAAAGAATATAGTTTGAAGGTAGAGTCAGCATTTGTTAATTGGTTGGGTGTCAGGTGTTAAAAAAGAGAAATCAAGAATGACTAACATTTGGGACTTGAAAAATTGCACTGAGCATTATTTTAATTTTTAAAATAAACAGGCATTTATTGTTTCTAATTTGTATGTATACATGTACATACAAATTGTGGTAAGAACATTTAACATGAGATCTACCCTCTTAAAATTGTAAGTGTACAATACAGTATTGTTATTTAAGGCACTATGTTGGACAAAAGATCTCTAGAACTTATTTGCCTTGCATAAGAGAAACTTTATATTCACTGAATATCATTTATGTTGATTACTGAAGGTTGAGGTTTTTTTCAGTTATTTTTTTTCCATTTCCCATTTCTATTTCCTCTCTTGTGAATTATTTTTTCATGTCTTTGCCCAAATGGCATTTATAAAATTATTTCCTCCCTTAGCTTCTATTTTCTTGTTATCTTGTATGGCTTGTACCTCTCTGATCTTATTCTAACTTCCTCTCTCTTGAAGGCTCCTCTTATTTCACTAAACTCTTAAATGCAGTGTTTCTCAATATTTCATCTTTGCTTCTCTTTTTACTCTATACAGTCAACTTTCTGTATCCATGAGTTCCACATCTGTAGATGTAATCAAACGTGAATCAAAAATATTTGGAAAATAATTCCACAAAGTTCCCAAAAGCAAAACTTGAATTTGCTGCACAGCAAGTACTTTGTTGAATCCATGTGAATAAAGTGATGTGTAGGTATTGTATTAGATTTTCTTTTTTAGAGATGGGGTCTTGCTATGTTGCCCAGGCTGGACTCAAACTCACGGGACCAAAGGATCCTCCTGCCTCAGCCTCCCAAGTAGTTCGGACAATAGGCATGTACACCCTTGCGTCCGGTGTATTAGGTATTGTTAAGTAATCTAGAGATGACTTAAAGTATATACTTAGGTCATATGCAAATATTATACCATTTTATATCATGAACTTGACTACCTGTGGATTTTGGTATCTATGGTGGGGGGTACTGTAACCTGGTCCCCACAGATATCAAAAGATGACTGTATATACTCTCTAGCTAAGCTCACCTACCTGCCCCTACGATTTCAACTACTATGTTGATTGATGACACCCAGATCTCTAATTCTAGACTTTATCTTCAGATCTGTATTTTTTTAGAACAAGCTCTTGCTCTGTCATTTAGACTGGAGTGCCATGGTGCAATCATGGCTCACTTGCAGTCTCAACATCCCAGGCACAAGCAAGCAATCCTCCCACCTCAGAGTGCTGAGTAGCTGGGACTAAAGAGATGTACCACCACGCCCAGTTAATTTTTTTTTTAAAAAAGAGATGGGGTCTCACTATGTTGCCCAAGCTTGTCTGGAACTCCTGTGCTCAAGTAATCCTCCTTCCTTGGCCTCCTAAGCTGCTAGGATTACAGGCAGGAACCAGTGCGCCCAGCCAGATCTGTAATTTCCATCTGGCACAATCCATCTCCATCTGGATATCTAGCTGGTGTCTCACATCGAATAAGTCCAAACCTGACTGCATTATCCCCACTGAAACCAACTTTTTCTTCTGTGTTCCCTATTCTGCTTCATGGCATTACCTAGTTTCCCAAGACAAAAGCCTCAGAGTCACTCCCTCCTTCTTCCTCACACCCTAAATTAAATCAATTTCCGAGAATCATTGATTCTACCTTATCAGTGCTTCTCAAATTTGTCCACTCCTCTCCATGTTACTGTCACTGCCTTGGTTCATGTCCTCATAATTGGTCACAGTTGCAGTACTGCCTCTTTATTGGTCTCACTGCTACTATACTCCTAATCTACTTCAATCCTTCCTCCATACTGGTGATGTCTTTCTAACACAAGGTTGATTCACCTTGCCCTCACTTTAAAACCCCTTATCTCGTTCAGTTGACACTACTACAACATAGCACACTGCTTAATTTTGGATAAACCTCAGGAAAAACACCATTTTCTAGGATTATCTCCATGCAGCAAAATACCAACCCATTCATTCATTCAACAAATGTGTACTAAGCCTCTTCTGTATGTCAGACACATAAATGGAAATAAGACGTTATCCCTGACCTCTGTTCCCCAGGCTCGGATAGGAAATAAAATGGCACTCTCTTGTCCTAGATTGGTATTCCCCATTGCTAATTTAACCTAGTGTTCTTTCACAGCCCTAAGGTCATGTGGAATGTGATTCTCCATATTCTCTGACTAAAAAACATCCTAGACACTCTTTAAGAATCAATTCAAATAACTGACTATTTATAAAACTATATCAATCTTTGAGTTTCCAGAGCATTCTAATTATTCCTCTACTATAGCATTTGTTATATGACCGGAGTATGCTTATATATCTGTCTCCCAAAGATGATTTTTTAATGTCTCTGTAGCACCAGGTAAACAGAGGCTTTGAAGAAGGTTTGATAAATTAGCAAATGAATGAATGGAAGAATGAGCAAATGAAAATTTTCCTTCATGAAAATTGTTCTGTGATATATAACCAAAAGTATGTAAACTGAAGTTTTCAGTAAAAGGAGAGACCAGTGCATGAGACCTGGAGAGCCTCTGTGGAAAACAGGAGCCTTCAAGACCCATTGTCACAGATCATCAGTGTAAATGTTAATTTTTTTCCCTTTCAATAGTAAAGCAGTTCCAAGTATTTTGCTAAATATCTGGGACCAGTGTTCTCTCACTATGTCTACTGCTGTTTTACACATTTTCTTAAGGATACTTTATTCCATGTTTTACAGAAGTAAATTGTTAAAACTTTCTCTCTTCCATGTTAAATTACCAGTTAAAATACTTCCCTTGCACTGAACTCTAATTGTTTACATTAAAATTACCTCACTTTCACAAGTTGTCCGATGTTTCATCAAAGCAATATCTCAAATAGTGAAAAGAACAAAACAATGAAGAAAATGTAGCATCCTTATGTTGACACTTCATGAATTCTAAACCAAAAATAAATGGTGTCACACCTAAGTGTTGCGATTTTATTAGACTAAACAGGAAAGATATATCACAAATGTACTAGCAGCATATGAATACATGAACAGAGTACATCTATAATAAATACCAACCCAGTAAAGCAGTGTGACATTATAGCCCCTACCCAAGATAACTGAAAGAAGGTACGAACTGAAAAAAATATAAATAATAATATCTCATATTATGTTTATAATTATCTGGAACATATATAAAGAATTGGCCAGAATCAGAAGAAGAATAAAAAGAGTAATCGCTCCCAATATTTTAGTGAGTGTCCTAAAGCCTATTTCCTTTCTCTTAAAACTGTATACCAACCCAAACCTTAAAAGTAGTTTAAAAAGAGAAGAAAAAAAGAAGGAAGGAGGGAAGGAAGAAAAGAAGGAACGAAGGAAGGAAGGAAGGAAGGAAGGAAGGAAGGAAGGAAGGAATTAGAGTGATTTTATTGATAATTTAAAATGTAAGATTATTCTCAAGTCTAAGCAATAAGTATTAATTGGCCAATCAACTGTACTGTTCTTCTCCCTTAGCGGTCACTAGATCTCATTAGTGAAATTAATACTATCTTCCCCAAAAAAGTTTCTTTTTTTTTTGACTTGCTTCACAATTCTGAAATGCTTTCTTACATTGCTTAAAGCTTTAAGCGTATGAGTCACAGTCACAAAAACATATTCATTTGAAGTATAAAGTAAGCAAATAAGTGATGTATTCATGTGTCTGTAAATGATGCTTATGAAATCCTTGTCCACAATGTATGTATGTTTTCATAAATATTCATTTAAAAAGTGTCAGCCCCACACACATAAACACAAACACATTTTTGGGCTACTTAATAGAACAGATCACACATCAGTATCACTCAAATGCTTACAATTAAGCAGAGCAGCTTAAAAAAAGAAAATCATTAATGTTAAAGGCAGGAGGGGGATAAGGCACAGAGTTTAAATTCAAAATGTTGACCACAAACTTTTTGTTGATAGGAATTGAGTAAGCTAAAAACAGTACCAAAATTTTAGGTTGAGAAGGCTTCCAGCCACTGTGTAGTTATAGTGTATTTATACACCTCTATATTTAAACACAGGTGGTAATTAGCAAGATTGAAACACCTTTAATAAGGTATCATCATAGGTGCAAAGGATGTGTAGCATAAGATTAGTTCATTATCAATAACTTTCCTGAATTAATCATCTCTTAGGACATTTAATTTTAAATGTACCTGAAAAAAACCTGGATTATTGAGATAAGCCATCTGCAGTATCTCTTTCTAATTTCTCTGAACAACTGAAGAGTTTTCTTAAAATGTCTGTATGCAGCTGGGGCATAGGGATTGCAATATCTAATAAACCAATTGTCCATCTAATCTGGCACCTTCTCTTTGACAGGTGTCTAAACCAGATAGAGACATTAGAGGTAATATACACACTTAGAATCCACCAATTATGCAAAACCATGCAACTGGGAAATTTTCTCTTTGACCTTAGCCAGTGATCAGATTTTCCCAGAAGTATGCAAACTGATAGCCACGTACTTTTATTTTGGCTGTTTAAAAACCATCATTCATACAGGCAACTAAAAACACTAAGTCGATTCCAAACCTTAAAACATTAAAATGAAAGTGGATTTCCTTTAATATAAATGCATAGAAATTCTATTGAAAGTTACATATATATGTATAATATGCATCAGCATCCTGAATACTTACAACACCTTTCAACTAAATAGAAAAACAATTGAAAAATAAATATATGGTGATTTCAAAAGGGAAACCGAGGCTATAGAACCATAAAAACTGAGGATTTGAGTAAACAGTGGAAGCTGGAACCATCCAGATGAATGAATGACTTTTTCCATTGTTCATCCAAATGCAAGCATCTGCTGAAAGGTTAGAGGAAATCGACATGACAAAGAAGATACCAATATTATGAATTCTACAAGTTCCGTGATAATTGTCCCAATTTTTTTAAGTTTTAGTCAGATTTTAGTATCACACAGATATAGTCCAAGTAACAAAAAATACACCAAAGAATAAAATACACGTAATTCAACACTCAACAACTGGATACTGATATTCTCAGTATTCCCTAAACTGTAAAAATGTGGATATTAATTTTCCTAAACTTTTGAATAACTGCTTCATTCTATCATTAATAGTTCTACCTTGAACATATATATTTTGAAATTTTATTAACTTTAAAACAGAAAAATACCTTCTGACCTTTACATATATTTATCTTTCCATTCTTTGTTTCATTATCAAAGATCTTCTCTCAGTCGTAATACAGAAATTTGCTTACAGCTACAAATTGACAGAAAAGTAATATTAGTTTCTCAGGACTTTAGCCGGTATTGCAAAAGACTTGACATGGATTGCAATTCAGCTCATCATAGAGATTGTGATTCCAAAATTTAATTTCATAACTCATAATCAGCCACAAAAACATTACAACAGAATATGAGAAACATTAAAAGGCAATTTCCTCATTGTTGACTACTTATTAATTTACAACTTAGTCGAATAAAATTAAAACAACCAGTATGCTTTCTGGTGACTGGTAAAATGACTGTTTTACAAATTTCAAATAAATGTATTCAAATGCATTTGGTCTCTGTAATAAAAGTGGGACATAGATATTGTAATAAGACTTTTTTTATTTGAAAAGGAAAAATAACCAATTCTACTGGAAAATTCAAGCATCATTTATATTATGTTTTCCTATCATCACTAACTAGGCTTCTTCAAAGTCTACAAAATCATAATTTGAAAGAACATATTTTTTCAATGTAATAGCTATTATGAAACTATTTTACAGCTGTGAATGTTCTATTAGAACAAAAAATGCTCCATAGAATACATACATACCAATAGGAATGCACAAATCAAACTTCTCTTTCTGTGATTATTTTTTAAAAATTGCTTGAGTAGGGACAAAGAGGGTTGTAGGAAGATTTTCAGGAAAATGACAGAGATGGCACTGATTTTTCGTTCAGCTTAATCATTTATTTCTAGCAAATTCAATTCCCCAGCCTTTTACAGCAGTTACTTTCAGGGACCAACAGGCTGGCATGAAATTAAATTAACAAGCAGATTCCCATTCTGAATTAGTGACTCCCAGCTGTCTGTCCCATCTAGTTTCCATGGCAGTAGCACAATCAGTGGAAAATGAGGTACAGGAAATTTTAAGAAGCCACTGTATCAAGCCCCTTAAGTCAATTTCTTTAAGCTGATGAATCAGTACAGTGGGCAGGGGTGGGGGCAGGGAAGGGGGAGTAGGGTGTAGAATTGAATTTAAAGTTTTTAATTTCCTGCCTTGCTGAAAAGGTCAGTGTGTTTCTGTTTCTGTAATTGTTGTAGAATGCAAGCAACATCTCCTTATACATTTTATAGAAGGCTGTAGATTCACGATGGCATTTAGTTCATTGGGCATTTTATAGTAACCCAAGAGTGTTTAAGATATTTTACATGTATTTTAAAGTGTTTTATTTTATTTTTTCTTTCTCTTTTGACATGGATATTAAGGGTCATCGGCCTGTTAAGTGACTCCAAAACACCCAGAAACTAGGTAAACAATTTTCTCAAACAACCAGATGTTTTTCACCCCAAACAGTTGGATGGTTAACAGAATGGTGCAGTCACATATTTGGGTGTCACCTAGATTCAGTCATAGAAATTTGTCATAAGCACCCAGAGAAAAAGTATTAACCTTGGCACATATCTACCATAAACAGAAATATAAAGGCTCCCAGGTAAGAACTTCATAGGGGATTATCCACCCATGTGAAAAGAGATTTTTAACATGTTTTTATGTGTCCATTTTCCAATTAGCTTCTCCACTCTTACAGTTAGAATAGAGCGGGGGTGGAGAATCCAATATTTCAGAATCATTACATCACATTAAAAACATCATCCAAGAGGTAGTGGTTAGTTGGCATATATGCATGTTTCACCATATGCTATTGTTTACCTAAAGTGGAGGCTCGGACAGGAAGTACAATTTAGAATAATTTTTTAAGTTGTAAATTATCCAAGATTATACTTCCAGGCCTTGAAATGGGTCCTGAAGTTACATAAAAATCTAATAGACTTCATTTATTAGACTCTAAGTTACTATTTTAAAATATTAGGGATCCATGTCACCTGTAAAAATATTTACTTTTCAAATTTAAATTAGCTTAATTTCTATACAGAAATGTTAGCATTGCAATTGATATAAATATTGTTATATAATAATTTTCAGTCTATGCCATCATATTCCAATTTCCTCAGCCCTATTTTTCATGGGTTCCAAATGTAAGCAATTTTGCTGGTCTTGCTAAATTGTACCACAGCACGTCTAGCAAACTACAAAATCTCTATACATTATATAAATTGCCATAACAGAGCACCGAATACTGAACAGACACCTATGGTTGGTCATCAAGGTTGTTAAGAATAATTAAAAGCTGTGTGAAGCCTTTTATAGCATTCACCTGCTCAAACTAAGCATGGTTCTAGCTGGTTATATTTGATATTTACTTTCCTCTGTTCTAAAAAAAATCAATGGAAAACAGAAAGGAATAAAAATAATATATTAAGCCAGGATTCAGAATATTTTTACCTTTTAGGGGAAGGAAAAATAATAGCAATCTCCATTCAAAGTAGTGATTTAATCTAACACTCAGAAGCTGTAGAAGATTTAAAGAAATTGTGGTATATGTGAGCATTTCTGAAATTTGATTCCTTTTAATTTTTATAATCAGCAGTTACACTTCCAGTCGTGGGTATATGCTGTTGGTCACAATTGCTAAATTCTGTACCTTACAATATTTTTCATCTGCCTGTAGTCATACTAGGAATCCAGTTTAAACCTTTCTTCTAAATGTTAAGTGATGGGAAGCTTTTTAAGTACGCATGGATTATTAATTTTGTGGTTAAAATCCACAGCAATTTAACAAATATATATAATTTTAATAAAGCTATTGTACATGTTTTATATCTGATTCAAGGCATTCACAAGCAATTGCTTCCGTGTGTGTGTGTGTGTGTGTGTGTGAGAGAGAGAGAGAGAGAGAGAGAACAAATATGAGTACTATAAGAAAATTTGTTTTCATCAAAAAAATTAATCACTGACTCAGTTATTCAAAGTACTGGTCTTCTTTTGACCTCTGGTCATTTATAAGTAAGTAAATAAATAAATGCATAAATAATAATAATTAACTTGTTTTGGGAAACTTTAGGGAATTTATTAACCATAATCTATACCAACTACTTGATAGCTTTACTTAAATCTGAAACTGAATGACTTAGGAAAAGCAAGCTTCAAGCAAAAATTATATGGACTCCAAATGTCTATCTCTAACATAGAATATGAAAAATGTTTGTTTTATTAATTAACACTAAAATTTCTTACTACTTCCAAGTTTTTAAGGCTGTCACAGAAAATAAATTTCCACTAAGTTTTCTGTTTTCAGAAACAACATATCAGGAATGTTTTGCAGTTTGACAATTTAAAGTAATATTGTATAGAATAAACTTGAATGCTAGACTGTTCTGCTTCAGCAAGAATCTTTCTGGTAAAGGTATCAGAAAGGATCAATGACTATGAGGGAAACTATGATTATGTCGGTGTTATTTACACATATAATAGCTGAATTGAAACACTGAGAATTCTAGGGTATTCAGACTGAATTAGGCCTTTGAATGTGATGATAGTTATGTATAATACAATTTTATTTTAATACACCTAAACGTTTGAATATTTGAAATCTTAATCACCTTTACAGCACAATGATTCTACAAAGCATTCTTTCCTTTAGCCTCACTGTATATTTTGTCAAATGACATGACTGTCCCTAATTCATAATTGGAACCTAAACCTAATGGAAAATACTACTTCATGTATGCAAAAATATTTGTGGGGTTTTTTTCTGCTATGTATAGCTGACATTGTTCTCAGGACTGGACTCTACTAGTTTTATTATGAAAATGTTAACATTTCTTCATAGAGTTGTTTTATAGAAACACCTGTTTTTCAGAAACATTCTGGGGAACAACCTGAAAACTTTTAAATAATATTTAGAGCATGGATTTATTTTAGGAATTACCTGATCCCTTTTTAAATGCATATTTCGACTTTCTTTAATCATGAAAAGTT
This sequence comes from Homo sapiens, assembly GCF_000001405.40. NCBI lineage: Eukaryota > Metazoa > Chordata > Mammalia > Primates > Hominidae > Homo > Homo sapiens. Next base: position 125,201,757 of record NC_000023.11, read on the forward strand.
TTCAACATTATTTTGTCATACCTGAAAGCTTTTAATTACTCTTAAAAACCCCAACTTTGCCATAGTAAATTATTTAATGCATCACAAAATAGTGTTATGAACTTGAACTAAAATGGCAAAATTGGGATTCTGTTTCTCCAGTTATGTACTTTGAGGGTCTTACTATGCCTTATGAAAATTCATTTTTCCCCACGTTGCAGATATGAAGAGCAAGGAGCGGGGGTGAGCAAGCAAGCAGATGCTGGGTAATCATGGAGCAGAAGTTAAAGGTGTGGATCGCCTTTTCATTAATTTTGTTTTTTAAGCCTTTCCCTCTTAGACTCTTCCCTTTCTTGGTAACACTGGAGTATCTACTGCTCCAGATCAGAAGACTTCGGACTAGGAAGATGAACTGGGCTATTTCAGCCAAAAAATATAATAGAGCAGACATTTGCCATGTTCTCCTCAAACACGTTAAGAGTAGCAATTGATTCTCACAGTACATTGTTACCTGGCTTGTTAATTATAATCATAGAACAAGAGTCTAAAATTCAAGGAAGCTGTCTGCGACACTTACTCGTCACAAACGCGATCAATTAAACGCTAATCTAACAGTACCTATTAGAGTGCACTGGGATGTTTCGTTTCCTTTTGGTCTTTAAAACCAAATGGCTACTAATTTCCTTTCTGTAGCACTGAGAACTTCTCTTTGTATTTCTTTGGGCCACCTCAAAAACACCTCCAGGTTGGTATCCCAGGAAAACAACGGTTAAGTTCAGGACGTTTACTGACCAATTGCTTCATATTGGAGATGTAGAGCTTTTCTACCCCTATTAGCATATCGCCAGTAGCAGTGATGCAGATCTGCTCAACCCGAAGCTGCCGACGGCGAGTACGAGCTGCAAACCAGCCCCCGCCCCCGCCCCTACTCTCCCAGTGGCGACACAGACGTGGAAACATCTACTAGTGGAGTGAGATCCTCTGTCTCCGCAATTGTAAACAACTGACTGCATCGGGTTCACTGAAATGTTTAAATACACTCCTGACTGCAAACACATCCACTCACCAAGTAGCGCTAACAATCTCCCCTTCTCCGCCTCTAGGCAAAGCATCCTGAAACTAAATTGGCAATCCTCCTGTTATGGAGTGGAAGAAAGTGAGGTTACATTTCCCCAAGCCTGCCTAGCGGGTGCTTGGCGCTCGCAGATATGCTGGCCGTTGCTGAATCTCGGGGACCAAGTCTCTGGATGAAATGCGGAAACACACAAACCCGCACATTGGAGCGCATGGTTAAAGTCAACACCGACGGCTCCTGGAGCACCGCCTGGGTTGTAATGACTATCTCTTTTGACAAAGATTGACAAAGGTATAGGGAGGACGCATCGGGTGGGGCCCTCGACGGCGGCGTAGGTTAGGAGGTCCTGCAGTTCCCCCGGGAACCCGGGCTCCCTGAGTGAGGCTCAAATAGAAATTCAGAAGCAAACAGGTACTAAAGTGCGTCCTAGCCCTTGGGCATATTCTCTGCGGAGACAGCAGGACCTGGACCCCAGTGGCAGAGCCCCAGGCGAACGCTCCAGGGTGGGAGGGATGCCAGAGAAGCGCCCCTTTCTTTCTTTTTAGACCGAGCCTCCCATCCTCACCCCAAGCACCCAGGTCCACTTGTTAGAGTGACTGGGCTCTGCGCGAGAGCCGAGGCGAGGAGGCTCCCTCTCAGAACTGAAGGAGTTGGTTGGTAAAAGTGCCGCCTGGGAAGCCCAGCGAGCCCTCGAAGGGCAGCGTCCCCAGGGCCCGCTGGAAGCTTGAACTGCGAACAAGGCCGACCTCCCTTCTGCCCCAGATGGTCCAGAGCCCCATGGCCGGCGGAGACCGGGAGAAGAAGGATGCGGAGGCTCTGCCACCTCGGGCAGGAGTCCCAGAGCGGACTCAACCGGCCGCTAACAGCCAGGAGCCGCCATCCGCCGCCTGCAGCCTCGGGGCGAAGTTCGCCTGTAGTCCTTGGGGTAGAAGGTTGGGGGTGGCGGGCGGGAGCGAGAAGGAATGGGGTGGGAGCCAGGAGAAACGCACCTACCTATTCCAAGCGCAAGTTTCGGCGGCGTCCCCAGGTGCTGTTCCCCCGCCCCCTCGCCAGGTGCTCGGCTCCGCCGGGCGCTGCCAGTGCCCGGGACTTAGGGCGTCTCGGCCGACTCCTGCGGGAAACGACTGTAAATCCACATTACTGTTCGAGCTGCCGCTCGGGCCCCCGCATTGCTCTCCTCCGGCTGCTGGCAGCGGTGCTCTAAACCGGCGGCCGCCGGAGGCAGGAACCGAACCTAGCTACTATTGCACCAGCGGACGACCGCTGCCAGAAGGGTGCTTGCGCCCAGGGTCCTATGTGTGTGCGAGAGAGTGTGAATACGTGTGTGTGTGTGAGTGAAAGAGAGTGTTCGTGTGTGAGAGAGCAGAAGGGGTGAGCTCAGCCCCCGGGGCACTCGGAGGTGAACTCCGGGCTGAGCCGAAGCTCGCCGCGCTCCCGGGTGCTGGGCGTCTGCTCGGCTGATGGCTGGGCTGATGTTGCCGTGGCCGCCGCCGCCGCGCTCTAAGGCTGGTCGCGGTGGTGCAAAAAATGTTTCTCCGCTACTCGAGACCAAAAAACCTGCCCTGTCTACTGAGCATGCCCGGTTTGACAGCTTCACAGCCGAGGTTTTTTTTTTTTTCTCCTTTTCCCCAAGACTCCAGGTTTTAGCCGCAGCTGAGATGGGAGGTGGAGGGAGGTGGGGGGAGGAGGAGAGGGAGAGGAGGAGGAGGAGAAAGAGGAGAAGGGCTTAAGGAGCAAGTATCGGGCAGAGGAAGGGAAGTCGCAATGAGAAAGATCAGGGTGTTATAGGGTGGAGAGGGGAAGGAGAAAGCTGGATATGGAAGCAGAGGAAGGAAATATGGATCAACAAAATTTAGATTTCCTACTACAGTGGATAGATGCCTGGCCAGGTGACTCACTCGATGTTTTTTTTTTTTTTTTTTTTTTAATTACTTTCTCCTGAGGGTGAGGGGTGGGGTGGGGGGTTCGGATGAGTATTTGTCAACCCCAGGATCAGCCTGGGACAGTGTTACCTAGTCATGACATACACAAACATCGCGTGCACACACACGCGCGCGCACACGAGCGCACACACAGGAGCACAATCACTGCTTCTATGTTCAAAGCCTCAGGACTGACTTAGAATGCGAAGTCTTTTGCCAGTATAACTTTGGCAAAAAAAAAAAAAAAAGGGCGGGGGGAGAGAAATTGTTTGGTTTCCTTTTCTTATTCTCCTCTCCCCCGCCTTCCAGAAAAGCCAAAAGCCCGTGAATGCGGTGCATAAGCGACCCACAAGCTCTCGTGCGTCTGTCGGTGAGAGTGCACCGCCGACTGCGTCCTGCTGACAGTGTGACCCCAGAGCGCCAAGGCCGGCCGGCCACATGCAGCCTACTGGCGGCGCATCAGATCAGCAGTAACGACGTCCACCTGAAGGTGGTTGGGGGAAGAGGGGAGCGCTAAGGGATCCTGCCCTGCCTGGCCGCCCAGGTTCCTGGGCTCCCTAAACGGCTCCGCCCCTCACCCAGCCTGGCACCAGGGCACGTACTCGGGCGAACCCAGCGCGCTGCCCCAAGCCCTGGATCCCTCCCTCCCTCCCAACCCTCCTCAGCTTCCTCGAAAAAGCGGAGAAGCGGAATCTGCACGCCCAGAAACTCGCGTCAGAAGCCTTAGTAGTCCGACTGGGCATGCTCGGGACTTGGGGCGCTTCGCATGGAGGCACTCTCCAGCGGCTAACATCTGTCCGACTGGGCCAGATGTGAGTCTGAAGTAGGAGGCTTGGATGCACGCTAGAGCAGGCTCTGGTTCCGGGAGGGGTGGCGGCGACGCCCACAGCAGTCTTCTTTCCGGCTTCCCACAGAGAGCAAGACCGTGGGAGATACCAAGTGCCGAGCCAGGGGAGCTGCACAAACTGGAGAAATAGGAGTCTAGCGGATTCCCAGGCCTCCTGCCCCGCGGTGCCACCCCAGCCGTAGGCAGGTAGGGGGCGCGCAGAGCAGCTAGGGAGCACCGCGTGTGCTCCCAAGGGACTGCTGACCTCTAGGTAAAGAAAAGAGAGCGTGAAGAGTCGAACATTCTTTGGGCGAAGGACGTTTACTGATTTTTTTTTTTTTAAGTAAAGAAAGAAGGGCGTGTGTGAATGCGTATATGTGCACGCACGTTTTAAATTTTCCTCCGCAAGAACAGGGACAGGAGAGCGAGAAGCTATTGCCGAGTTGGGAACCCGCTAGAGGTTACAATAAGGCAGGCTTGGAGTCGTGGCTGGTGCTAGTTACCGGGAAGAGTTCCTCTTGGCGCGGTGGGCGAACACCAAAGCTTCCAACTGTTCCCTTCCCTGGGTGGCGGCAGCTGCCCAAGGTCGGCTTCCGGGCTGGTCTCTGTGCTCCTGAGCAGGGGGACCAGATTCAGTTTCAGAAAGAGAGGTAGTACAGAGTGACGCCAGGGGGAGTTCTCTGAACCGTGTGTTCCCATTTTCCCAGCTTTTGATATAGGTATTTGCAAAGAGGGAGCATTGTAAGACCATCACACCACCAAGGGGAGGAAATACAAAGAGCTGAACACTCTAGGGGGAAGAATCAGGGAATCAAGAGCACGTTTATTCCCATCGTCCCTTCCCAACAAGGTCTTCAGCTTCAGGCAGGAATCATTTGGATCCCTGCGGCTCAACACCCTCCCACTCCCGTCCCGCCCCACCGCCCTGCCAACAAAGAAACAAAAGATGACAACCAGGCTCTGTAGGGGCATAGCAACTGCTTCTATCACCGGCTCTCTGTTGGGCTGTTGAGAAAGCAGTAGTGAAAGGATGGGTATAAAACCTGTGTCTTGCCACAAATATGTAAACGAAACCTTCCTAAAACCCACTACCCTCCTACAAAACAAAAACAAGTTATTTGTATAAACATATATAGATTTAAGTATCCTAAATAAAGATTCCACATTATGAACTGCCCAAACCCTGAACTGTGGAAGGAAGACTTTCAGGATACCTCCTCAATCCTTACCAAAGAGTTCTGGAAGGAGAAAAAAAAGAAACATCTGGCCAGTCACTTCTCCAATGACTGGAAATACTCTGGGTGTTTCCGTAACCAGCGATTAAGAAAAGAACTCCCCATAACAAAAAGGGAATTCTGGCCAAATGGGACATGGACAAACCCTAATGACCAAGGAAATGGAATATGAATTTAAAAGCATGATTATCTCACTCTCATTCTTGCTGTTCCTTTGTTACTCTTCTTGAAGATACTGGCAGAAAGGGAGAGTTGATACTTAGGGATTTCATGAAAGGAGGCCGAGTTTGTTTCTCTCCTGGCAATTCAGCAGTCCCTGTAATCATTTTTTTTTAGAAATTCTCTACCACCTCCTCTTTATGCTGTATTTTCTCTAGCATTCTTCCCTCTCATTTCCTTACTGGTCTCCTGTGGCTCCCTGGTGTCCTTAATTCATTTGGTCTGCACCTGTCTCCCTTTAGTTCCTTCAAAACATTGTTTCCAGTCCTAATTCCGAAGTACAGAGGGCTCTGTCACTTTTCTCTGTTTCCTAAGAACTGATTTGCTGCTTCTAGACGCCTATATCCTGATATTGTAGGTGGATTTCCTAAGGCATTTATTCAACTTTAGAGATTCCCCAGACACATTTAAGCAACATGAAATTGCAGAATTTTCAAGTAGTTTTGCTCATGGGACCAAGAATTTCTATTTCAAATATGAATATCAGGAAGAAGACACACTAAATTGCTAGTTTCAGAATAGCCAATGTAAATATAACAGATTGTAATGGAGCATGCAATCTCTATATGACAGTTGTCCAGTTGCCAAGTGTATATTATTAAAATAATTTGCTAGGAATTTTAAGATATATACCTTTTTGTTAACAAAGACACACACACACACATGCACTCATACACCTTTTTATGTTTATTCCCAAAACTAATGTAATTACATAAATTCAATTCAGCAAGTGATTATGGAACATCTACTATATTCCAGGAACTGTGCCAGCATTGGGAATAGGCAAAGAAATTGAGACTTAAAGAAGCTAAGAAATGTTCAAAGATGTGTGAACAATTTGCTAATCAACAAGTATATACTGTGTGACTGTTACCGTGTATCTAGACTATTTCACTCCTAGAGAACAATATTTAGATGTTCTGGCCTTGATTTTTTAAATATATTTTTAATCTATAGGTTGCATTCTGTGAGAAGAATGCATAATGGAAAATATGACATGTCAGTTTTGTTTCTAAGTACCCTCATAATAAGAATGTAAGTACAATAATATTTGTATTAGTCTATTCTCACGCTGCCAATAAAGACATACCTGAGATTAAGTAACTTATACAGGAAAGAAGTTTCATTGTACTCACAGTTCAGCATGGCTGGGGAGGTCTCAGGAAACTTACAATCATGGTGGAAGGGGAAACAAACATGTCCTTCTTCACATGGTGGCAGCAAGGAGAAGTGCAGAGCAAAAGGTGGAAAAGCCCCCCATTATAAATCCATCAGATCTCATGAGAACTCACTCACTATCACAAGAATAGCATGGAGGCAACCACCCCTATATTCAGTTACCACCCACAGGATCTCTCCCATGAAACACAGAGATTATGGGGACTACTATTCAACATGAGATTTGGTGGGAACACAACCAAACCATATCAATATTAGAAGACTAAAGTCAATATCAATTACATAAACAAAATCAATGTGCACCATCTGAAATGAAGGAGTTTTGTTTGGTTGCTTGTCTAATGGCAAGATGTTTTCAAAGGCATAATTTCAACATGTACTCGTTGTGGTAGACTATTATTTCCTATTTCAACTGATAACAACACCATCCAGAGATCAACTAGCAGAGATTATGAGTAGTGCTGGCACCTTAACTTTTGGCTACAATGATTGGAAGCAGGAAAGGTAGCTTAATGATTTTCTACCCAAACAGCTTCCATAAACAGGGCTGTAAAATTGCAGTCACCAGCTTGCTGCAAGGGAGTGCCCATTTCCGGCCAGCTGTGGGCTCCCCCTGGGGAAAGCAGCCACCTTGGAGGAAGCTTATTTGAGCCTGGATATGAACAGTTGGTGGCCAGGATTCTGCATCCATCTGTTCAGAACAGAGTCAGACACACTATTTTTCACATACCCAAGTAAGGCTCAGGAAAACAACTGGCAAGCCAATTAAAGTCTTCTCTTTACCTAATCCTATTTAGTATCCAAATGGACCCTGTGGAGCTACTTCTCTGGCCAGAGTGCGAAGGAGAAACAAAATGCCTTTAAAAAAAAGTTTGGGCTTTAGCAAGGCACTTTGTATTCCACACAGCAAGTTCTGCTCATGGAAGTGTACATTCATATATAATATCCCTCACTGGAAAGGCTCCATCAATGCTGCTTTACCTTACTCTCAGAATAAAATACATCCCTAATACAGACTAATCATAACCTTCAGAAACCAAAGCTTCTCAATAGGGTGCAGTGGCAATTCATTTGTATTATTGCTATAATGGATTCAAATAACTGCCTAAATTTAAATTTATAGATAGTTTTAAAAATGGTACCTTGGTCCTTAATTTATATAAAATTCACTTATATTCACTATCCATACACATAAACCAATATGGCAATAATAATAATTTATACCCTCATAAAGATAACATAGTGCCTTCCCTTGAAGATCTGAAAGCTGACTTAATGCTAGTGTTTGTCTTTTTATTGGAAATACTTTTAAGAATATTACTTTTTAGCATTTTTTAACTATCACAGTTGTTGAAAAGGGGAAAAAAATTGATTTCAAAATGTACCGTGATTTCTCCTTAAGAGATAAAATTACACTCCAGGAAAAGAACTTGAAAAGAGTATAGAACAATTAGTATTACTCGGTTGGCATTTAAATGCACTTGAACTTCTCTCTAACTTTGTGACCTCATTATCATAATCTTTTAAGTGAATTATTGTGATTGACTTATACAGGTAACTACTAATTTGTATTGAAATAACTAAAATATTTAGTGCTTCTAAAACACATGCTTAATAATGGCCATAAGAAGACTTTTATAGTCACATACATTAACAATTACTAACAAATGCTAACAATTATTAGGATAGTCCTTCATAAGCAGATTTAAAAGGCATTTTAAATGAAAATTTGGAACTAGGATGTTATCATTTTCCATACAACACAATAAACATGAATAATTTCTTCTCAGACTAAGAAAATAGGCTCCCCGTATGTATCTTCATTCTCTCATTTATACTTTCACTAAGTAAAGATTTACAGAATACCTGCTATGTGCCTATTCGGTGCTAAGTACTGGGAAGACAGTGGTAAACAAAACATACATATTCTTGCCCTTGTAGAGTTTACAGACTACTGGTAGGAGACAAACAGAACCAATCATACAACGAAATATGTAGTTCTAAACTGATGGGTGTTCTGAAGGAACAGAACAAGGTATTTGCAAGAGAACAACAGAGGAGACCCATTTCAATTGAGGTTGAGGTGGTTGGGTAGGCATTCCTGAGGCAGTGGCTATTAATCTGAGGCCTGAAGAATGTGGAGTAATTGGCATTCCAGGCAGAGAGAACAGAATCTATGGTATTTGATGTAAGGAATGTCTTGGTACCTCAAATAATGCAAGGTCAGCCTGTGCACCTAGAGGGTAAGGAGCATAATAATGTAGGGGAGGAAGTGATGTAAGATGAGGCAGGAGAGGCAGAAAGGAGCCAAAACATCCAAGACCTCAAGGGCCTTGATAAAGATTTTGGATTTTGCCCTAAGGACCACAGGAAGTCAGGAAAGGAGGGAAGATATGTTATGATCTGATATACCGTTGATAGGATCTTTACCCCTGTCATTCAAATCCTTACACTTGCTAATGCTCAATAAAACATTTTCTATCCTTAATCTTCCTGACCTCTCTATGTCATATGCTATCTGTTCTTAAAGTATGGTCAGGAGTCCCCCGGAGGCCCCTTAGAGCCTTTTAGGGTGTCTGTGCAGTTAAACTTATTTTCCTAATACTAACATATTATTTGTTGACAGAGTGTGATGGCTCATGCCTGTAATCTCAGCATTTTGGGAGGCCAAGGTGGGAGGATTGCTTCAACCCAGGAGTTTGAGACAAGCTTGGGCAACACAGTGAGATCCTGTCTCTATAAAATATTTTTAAAAATCAGCCAGGTGTGATGATGTGTGCCTGTAGTCCCAGCTATATGGGAGGCTAAGGCAGGAGGATCAGTTGAGCCTGGGAGGTTTAGGCTGCTGTGAGCTATGATCTCACCACTACACTCCATCCTGGGAACAAAGACCCTGTCTCAGAAAACAAACAAATAAAAGACATTATGTTTTTTTCACTCACATTTTCTTTTTTTTCTTTTTTTTTTTTTTTTTGAGATGCAGTCTCACTCTGTCACCAGGATGGAGTGCAGTGGTGCAATCTTGGCTCACTGCAGCCTCTGTTTCCCAGGTTCAAGCGATTCTCCTGCCTCAGCCTCCCGAGTAGCTGGGACTACAGGCGCGCACCACCACACCCAGCTAATTTTTCTATTTTTAGTGGGGACGACGTTTCACTATGTTGGCCAGGGTGGTCTCCATCTCTTGATCTTGTGATCCACCCTCCTCGGCCTCCCAAATGCTGGGATTACAGGCATGAGCCACCACGCCTGGTCCACTCACATTTTCTTACATGTGTGCATCATCAATTAACTGAATGCAGAAGCAGAGATGAGATTTCAGCTGTGTTTTGTTAAGCCAGGCATTAAAGATCATGATACCACCCCTCTCAATTATTTTATTTTACATTCACGGTGAACATGTGCATGTTTATTATATGGGTATATTGCATACTGGTGGGGATTGAGCTTCTAGTGTACCCATTACTCACATAGTAAATATTGTAGTGAATAGATAATTTTTCAACTCTGGCCTCCCTCCAGCTGTCCCCTCTTTTGGAGTCCCCAGTGTCTATTATTTCTGTCTTTTTGCCCAGATGTACCCATTGTTTAGCTCCCACTTATAACTTAGAACGTGTGTTTTTTTACTTTCTGTTTCTGAGTTATTCCATTGAAAATCATGGCCTTCCGATCCATCCATGTTGCTGGAAAGGATATGATTTCATTCCTTTTAATGGCTGCTCAATAATTTTTTGTTTCACAAAATATAGCAATTTTTCATGAAGATACTATTTATGTTAACATGTAATGGGTTTATTACTGTTATTTTAAGTGAATCAATACATAAATATTTAATTTATGTTTTAACTTCTGATACACGAATATCAATAGGTATAACTCACAGGGACAACAGCACTTTGGGGTCATCAGTAATTTTAAAGACTGTAAAGGGGCCCAGAGACCAATGCCAACCTTTGATCCTATTTTCTTAAAACTAGTTATGGTTTCTGTCCTGTCAGTATATTCTACTGTTTCTAAAGGATTAGTCCTTAGACTCACAATTAGAAATTGATTTTTATATTGCAATCCAGCGTGAATACTTATAACTGCTATGTGATACATTCTGAAATTATCTATCCTATTCCAACCTTATCAATTGCCTTCTTAACCCAGTAACTCACCCTGTGAAAAAGTGTGGATGATATCACCCCATTTCCAGGCTTCAATAATTACTTATAGATTGACATCTTCCAGACCTTTTTTCAACATTTCTCCTAGACTCCATCTCTAACAGCTGGCTGGACATTTCCTCATTAATATTTCACAATTACCTGAAGCTCAACTTTTTAAAAACTGAACTGATTCTGTATATATTTTAAATAGGAAAAATTGGAGATTACAAAAGGGTATAACCCCAACTTTATATGAATAGACTAAAGCAAAAATATTTATAAATAGAGGCATGGGGAAAAAACTGGGAAAAATAAATTACAATATTAATAGTGATTCATGGGGTTGCCAGCAGTTTTAATTTTCTTTCGTATATTGTTTTCTATAATAAACATGCATTACTTCATAATCAAAAATATATTATTAAAAACATAACAGAACTATTTTGCCTTACACATCCCATACCTATCCTTACTTTTCATTTTAAAGGTCTGATCCTTTTTATCTCTAAATTTGCAATTAACACATTTTTTAATTAATATCATTATAATAGTGCAGACTCCTCCTGGACCACTTTGTTTTACCACCAAAGACATTTCAATCACAGGATGGGCATAGGTAGGAGTCACCTACCACCAAAAAGTAGGCTCATCAATATTCTAGGCTACTTGGATGCCTTAGTTGAAGTTCTAGGTGCTGCAGGTTACTGTTGTTCTTGGTATTCGTTTGTTTTCACGCAGCTGATAAAGACATACCGGAAACTGGGAACAAAAAAAGGTTTAATTGAACTTACAGTTCCACGTGGCTGGAGAGGCCTCAGAATCATGGCAGGAGGCAAAAGGCTCTTCTCACATGGCAGCAGCAAGAGAAAATGACAAAGAAATAAAAGCAAAAACCCCCGATAAACCCATCAGATCTCGTGAGACTTATTCACTACCAACAGAAAAGCACAGGAAAGACCGGCCCCCTTGATTCAATTACCTCCCCCTAGGTCCCTCCCACAACACGTGGCAATTCTGAGAGATAGAATTCAAGTTGAGATTTCGGTGGGGCCACAGTCAAACCATATCACTCTCTCTCTCGAAATTGTGTGAAGTACAGTTTATTCCACGGGCTATCAGATGGACACTTGGGTACAGTGAAACCGTCTACTTTTTTTTGTTGTTGTTCAAATGCTATTGTAAATAAAGCCTATTCTACAGTTCAAAACAATCTTTCATCTACTTGGAGTGTCCTTCCCTCTCTATTTCTAGCAATCTATACATTTATGTGAGATTCATTTTCTTTTTTTTTTTCTTTTTTTTTTTTTCTTGAGATGGAGTATTGCTCTTGTCGTCCAGGCTGGAGTGCAATGGCACGATCTCGGTTCACTGCAACCTCTGCCTCCCGGGTTCAAGCGATTCTCCTGCCTCAGCCTCCCGAGTAGCTGGGATTACAGGTGCCCACCACCACGCCCAGCTAATTTTTGTATTTTTAGTAGACCGAGGGTTTCACCATGTTGGCCAGGCTGGTCTTGAACTCCTGACTTTGTGATCTACCTGCTCGCCTTCAGAAACTTGTTTTTTCTGCTAAAAAATATAGCGAGGTGATATATTGGTGCTGGCAGATCCACCTCATTTTTAAAATGGCTGCATGGTAGTCCACTATTTTGATGTACTATAATTTTATTTAACCATTTCTTTATTGATGGATGCTCAGATTGTTTCCAATTATTTTCTATTACAAATGATGCTATGATAAATATTCTTGAATTCATTCTCTTTTCATTATATATTTTTGTGCACTTGTATGAGAATTTCCTTAGAATAGATTCTTGGAGTGGATTTCATGGATCAAATACTGTGGGCTAGATACTGTCAAGTATCCCTTCAAAAAGACTTCCACAAGAGTGTATGAAAGTGTCCATTTCTTCATGTGTCTGTTGGCTGCATAAATGTCTTCTTTTGAGAAGTGTCTGTTCATATCCTTTGCCCACTTTTTGTTGTGGTTGTTTGATTTTTTTCTTGTAAATTTGTTTAAGTTCTTTGTGGATTCTGGATATTAGCCCTTTGTCAGATGAGTAGATTGTAAAAATTTTCTCCCATTCTGTAGGTTGTCTGTTCACTCTGATGGTAGTTTGTTTTGCTGTGCAGAAGCTCTTTAGTTTAATTAGATCCCATTTGTCAGTTTTGGCTTTTGCTGCCATTGCTTTTGCTGTTTTAGTCATGAAGGACTTGCCCATGTCTATGTCCTGAATGGTATTGCCTAGGTTTTCTTCTAGGGTTTTTATGGTTTTAGGTCTAACATTTAAGTCTTTAATCCATCTTGAATTAATTTTTGTATAAGGTGTAAGGAAGGGATCTAGTTTCAGCTTGCTACATATGGCTAGCCAGTTTTCCCAGCACCATTTATTAAATAGGGAATCATTTCCCCATTTCTTGTTCTTGTCATTGTCAGGTTTGTCAAAGATCAGATGGTTGTAGATGCGTGGTATTATTTCTGAGGGCTCTGTTCTGTTCCATTGGTCTATGTCTCTGTTGTGGTACCAGTACCATGCTGTTTTGGTTACTGTAGCCTTGCAGTATAGTTTGAAGTCAGGTAGGGTGATGCCTCCAGCTTTGTTCTTTGTCTTATGCACATGTATGTTTATTGCGGCACTATTCACAATAGCAAAGACTTGGAACCAACCCAAATGTCCATCAATGATAGACTGGATTAAGAAAATGTGGCACATATACACCATGGAATGTTATGCAGCCGTAAAAAAGGATGCATTCATGTCCTTTGTAGGGACATGGATGAAGCTGGAAACCATCATTCAGAGCAAACGTTGTGCACATGTACCCTAGAACTTAAAGTATAATAAAAATAAAAAAAATAAGAACTGTCCAACAAGGGTAAACAAACAAACAAAAAACAATAAAAAAAAATTTTGTGCTACCAGCAACAACAAAAAAAAGTGTCCATTTCTCCAATAGGCAACAACATTTTGCATCGTCAAACATTTTAAATTTGATGGACAAAAATATCTCACTAAACATTCAATATACATTTGCTTGATTGCTAGTAATGTTGAACTTTTTCATAGGGTTATATATTTTGTCATTTGTGAAGTGCCTATTACAGTATTTTTTCATGGATTTGTTGAACTCCTGATATATTTGGGCTATTGCCCTTTTGTTTTATATGTTGCAGATATTTTCTCCAGGTCTGTCACTTGAGATTGTGAAATCTGTCAGTCTTCTCCTTCATGGAGTCTGGGTTTCATACTTTGCTTGGGAAGACCTTGCCACTCCATATTTTTTTTAAGTATCCATTATTTTATTCTATTATTTTTAATACTTAAAAAATCAAAACTTTGAAGTTTATTTGTATTCATGGTTTCAATTAAGGGTGCAGCCTATTTTTTTCTTCATTTGGTTGGCCATTTTTCCTTTTATGACAGGTCCATCCTTTTCTCAGTGATCTGAAGTTTATCATCAACCAAATTAGCATACCTTTACACATCTATTTTTTTTTATTTTTTAGCTCTGTTCAACCACTGATTTGAATGACTGTCTGTAAACTAATACCATGCTGTATTACTATTGTTTTATAGTATGTTTTGATATCTCTCAGGTAAAATGTTCCTCTTTCTCTCTCACTCTTCTTTTTTTAAAAAACTTTTTGTTTACAAAATATTTTTGCTTTGGGAAGCTGAGGCAGGTGGATTGCTTGAGCTCAGGAGTTTGAAACCAACCTGGGGGAACATAGGGAGACCTTGTATCCACAAAACATAAAAAAAAGTTTGTGGGGCATGGTGGTACACACCTGTCATCCCAGCTACCTGGGAGGCTGAGCTGGGAGGATCACTTGAGCCCAGAGAGACAAGGCTGCAGTGAGCCATGATGGCACCACTGCACTCCAGCCTGGGCAACAGATTGAGTCTCCATCCAAAACAAAAACAAAAACAAAAACAAAAAACAAAAACAAAAACAAAAGTACCACTTTCACCTAAATGAGCTTTAAAGAAAATCTTTCTTCCACCATATTTTACAATCACCCCACCTCTCTTTCAGGAGTTCCGTGGAAAATTGATTATAAATTTGGATTATTGTTACATGAGAATTAAAATTTAGGAATGTGTTTGTATTTCCCAGAGAAAAATTATATGTAATACCAAGGAATAAACTTCTGTCAGGGTAGAGAATCCATAAGAGAAATCTACAGAGAAATTAGGTGAATAGAGCTCATGAAGCAAGTGAAAATGATAAAATATTAATATGAAGAACCCAAGAGCTAGGACACAAAAGGTAAACATCTTGCTCTCAATTCCCAACTTAACCCTACCCAATTGAATAGATATGTGTTTCAAGTAAGCAGACTTGGGATGGAGCTTCTCACTGGATTACTTTTTTTTTCTCTTAGCAGTGGACCTTGCAATTCACTCTTCCACCCAAGAGTCCCAAACTACTTGCACCTGTCATTCTGCCTGTAGTGGACTCCTTCCTTTACCAATTGTCAAGTAAGCCAAACTCTTAATAGTTGGCAGTTTGTTATTCTTTCCTTGTTTTCTTTTGTTCTTCAAATCTGAAGGAAAGGAGGACAAAAGAAGGACCAAGAAAGCCACATAAGAGTCATACAACTCCCTCTGGTCATGGCAGAATCATCTAAAAAGATAGGAGGGA
Source organism: Homo sapiens (assembly GCF_000001405.40). Lineage (NCBI taxonomy): Eukaryota > Metazoa > Chordata > Mammalia > Primates > Hominidae > Homo > Homo sapiens. The sequence continues at coordinate 125,216,984 of NC_000023.11, forward strand.
AACTACAGTAGTCCCCCTTTATCTTCAGGGGATACTTTCCGAGACCCCCAGTTTGATGCTTGAAACCACAGATGGTAACAAACCCTATATATTACTATGTTTTTCCTTATATATACATACCTATAATAAGGTTTAATTTATTAGGCAGAGTAAGGGATTAACAACAAAAACTAATGATAAAATAGAACAATTACAATAATAGGCCAGCATCACTCCTCTTGTGCTTTGGGGCCATTATTAAGTAGGGATTACTTGAACACAAGGACTGCAATACCCATACTGTAGCAGTGAATCTGATAATAGAGGAGGCCACTAAGTGACATCTGAGGTAGGATGAAGCAGGATGGTGAGAGATTTCATCATGCTACTCAAAACAGCAAGCAATTTAAAACATGTGAATCGTTATTTCTAGAATTTTCTATTTAATCTTTTTGGAGTGCAGTTGACTGTGATTAACAAACTGCTAAAAGCAAATCCATGAATAAGAGGGGACTACTGTACTGGTTATATCATTATGCAGAGTTGTTGTGGTTTGAGCTATGTAATTTATGCTTCCCTTTATTATACTTGGTGGTACTAAAGACCATTAACAGACTATTGGTTAGTAAGCATATTCAACCCATACTTTTAAACCTTAGCATCTCCTTAAACTCAGGAGTAGACTAGGTTCAGTCTCTAAAATTGTCCCACAAGCAAAGCAAACATGATCTATCCAGATTTAGTTTTCATATGCCTGTTTTCTAAGTAATTTAAAGGTGTTGCATTCTGCATTGCATTCTATGTTGTTTCATCACAGGAAGACTGCCAAAATTATTAATATAATTTCTTTAGAGGAAAGGAGGAGAAATTGTTTCCCTGATGTCTGCGTAAAATTTAAATGAAAATGAATGTGATTTGAGTGTTAGTATTCATGGCTGCTAGTTCTCTGTTAATTTACATTTATATTCTTAATGTCTAGGTTGAGCCTAGGGAAATTTAAAACTCAATTTCATTAATGCTATAACTTCCATAGGAATCTCAATATGCACAGAAGTTCCTAGATTGTGGAGTTGTTGGATGAGAATATAGCAGGCAAGCATAATTGCTGAGTGGTTATGATAGTTAAATATGTAGTGTCAATTTTGATTTTTGAAATTCCTCTGGGCCTAAGCCCAATGTCCAAAAAGTTTCAAAAACACGAAGCTAATATAGTAATGAATTTTAACATCCTTAAAATGGAAACATTACATTTCTGAACTATTGCCCATTTCTGATTAAATATGATTTAAACTAGATCATGTTTCACATTTGCCACAATTACATTGACATACATGATGTTTGCGATTACTGCATAACTTGAGGTTTGCAAGTTCAGCTCACTGGAGTTAGGTTTTTTTTTTTTTTCATTTGCTTGCTTTTATTGCAAATATGATACACTGCTCCCAAGTGGGAAAGGTACTGTGAATAGGAATACATGAAACAAACAATAATAATGTCCCCTAAGTCTCAGACAGATATATCTTTATTTCTTACTTTATAAGCTATGTGTAGATATACTTTAAACATATAATATTTAAAGATTATGCTTATGAAGTAATCTTTTTAGAAAGAAAATCCCTGAACATCCCACAATTTCTTAAGAGAAATGACACTTCAACCCCGTTCTTAATCCTTACTTTAATCGTTTTGATTAGACTACTCCTTCAATCTCCCTGAATGATGTCTTAGAATTATATCTATTCCAGAGAGGTTCTGCAGTAATACTTTAGTCTTTCAGCCTCTTGCAACTTTAGGCCATGAAAATTTTGGCCTAAAGCCAGATTGGTCTTATTGTCCTCTTATATAATCTTCAGCCAAAGTCCATCTTCTAGATTTCAATTAACTTGCAGCAGTGGTAAGATAGAGGAGAAAGAGTAAAGGAAAGAAGAGGAAAGAAAAGAGAGGGAAGGGAAAGGAAATACTCTATTATTGGACAACACTGGAAAGTGGTTATCAACTTCTTTGCCTCCAGGCACACTCATGGCTACACCGAAGGTTACGGAAATAATTCACTACAAAGAAACATCCTCCCACTGGGGCAATATGTGGTGGGACTGAAAGGGAAGAAAGGAGGATGGGATGTGTGTAAGGTTTGAGAAAGTTTTCCAAGTAATATGCACAATTGAAATGAATTGCTTTAAAAGCAGACTTAAACTAACTTTGTGATAACATAGTTTAATATTTCTCCTCCATTTATAATTTTGAAAATTTGATATTTTATATATATTTTTAAAAAATTTATATAGAGACAGCATGTCCTTATGTTGCCCAGGCTGGTCTTGAACTCCTGGCCTCAAGTGATCCTCTCACTTTGGCCACCCAAAGTGCTGGCATGAACCGCCGTGTTTGGCTGCAATTATTTTTTATTAAAATATCAGGCACGGTGCAGTGACTCACACCTGTAATCCCAGCACTTTGGGAGGCTGAGGTGGGAAGATCACTTGCACCCAGGAGTTCAAGACCAACCTGGGCAATATGGTGAAACCCTGTCTCTACAAAACTTAGCCGGGAATGGTGGCATGCGCCTGTAGTCACAGCTACTTGGGAGGCTGAGAGGATCACCTGAGCCCAGGGAGGTTAAGGCTGCAGTGAGCCATGATGGTACCACTGCACTCCAGCCTAGGCAACAGAATGAGACCCTGTCTCCAAAAGATAAAAATAAAAAATAAATGCATGATATGTGTTCAGCAGAGTATTCAGGAATCTGCTTTTTTTATTGTTAAAAATCTTACACATAGAAAGTGGCTACATGTAAATATAGATTAAAAATTCATTCATCCAGCATGATAAAGTGGTGCATGAGCTATCTTCCTGGCACAACTATTCAGGATATGTTGAGGGCCTTGCCTGCCACCGTTTATCAAAGCCAGTGTGTGGTGTAAGGCCTAAAATTAAAGCCTCATATTATGTACTGCCTTGATATCTGGCGAAACTGAGAGAGCCTCCAATGGCCTACCTACGAGTTTTTCTCCCTGCTGTGCTCCCACAGATAAGTTCCCCTAGCCTAACAAGACTCCTTATCAAGGAGACCAGGTGCAGTTCCTAAGTAGTGGCTTTCAGTTCTTTGCCGGCCCATGGAATTATTCAAATAAGCCAATCACATCCTCCTGTGGGAACTAAGGGTCATTCCACCTGTCTGATAGTACAAAGCTTGCCTCCCACAGCCCCTGGTTGCTTGGTCTGCTCCAGAGAGCAAACTCTGTGTGGTCCTGTATGGTGTGTGGTGTCCTCCTCCCTTAGGCTGTGAGTATATGTAATTGATAAACTGTGATCAGTCTCATCTGTCCAGCATTGGGTGTTGCGTGTTTGTCTATCCCCATAACCCTGGGGTGGGGATCCCTCCCTCCCCAATGGGATAAAGAGAAAGCAATAAAAACACAGTGATGAACTGGAGAATATGTTTTATTACCATGGGTAAACAATAATAAATCAGTAGTAATTTTGAAATTCTGGGTAGAAATGGAAGTAGTTAAGACATACGTGGAACTTCCAATTTTTTTCTCATGACAAGGAACTGGGGGAAGCCTCAAGGAGCTAGGAGAGGTCCCCAGACAAAAGCCATCAAGAACTGAGAAAATGGGGATCTCAGCATCAACTACAAGAAACTGAATTCTGCCAATAGTCAGTGAGATTTTATTTCAGTTCTTAGGTTATTTACTTTCTCTACTGTTCTCAGACTGTCACTACTGAAGCGGCATAGTTGTCTGGGGTAAATACCCGGGGTTCGTCATCTCGCACCAAGAAGATTAAGGACACAGACACACATGAGGAGTGAGTTTAGGAGCAGAGGTTAATAGGCAAAACAAAGACAAAGGAGAGCAGCTCTACCTCTCTCATGAGAGAGAGGAGTGTCCAAAAGGGAAAAGCCAGCCTATGGTGGACCACAGCAGATTTCATATGGAGGATTGAGGAGGTCTATCTGATTTATGGTTCAGACACATTGGTTCGACCAGGCGTGACGTTTACATAGCGCACAGGGAAGGCTGGTCTCCCCACCCTAATCTTATTATGCAAATGGGCTTTCCACTTTCCAGTGCCACTTGTCTGCTTCTTACTGTACAATTGGCTGGCAAAGAGAAGGGAAGATGGAGCCACCATTTTAATCATGCTTAGTCCCATGTAGCCTTTTCCTATTAGCACAACTGCTTTCACCCGTGCAAGCTTCCGGCTTGCTTGTCTATGTCTGCAGCTCAATTTTACAGGCTGCTCTTTGTTAGAAAAGAAAATGATCTGGGGGCTGCTTTCCATTAAAAGGAAAACCTTACAGAGGACTTCCTTACCCTCACTATCTGCCTAAATAATTTCTTTTTAACTCCTATGACTCTACTACAGTTTAATAGTGTTTTCCTAATTTCTCTGATAAGAATCTCCTGGCATGCTTGATTTAAAACAAATTCTGAGAACCCACCCCACACCCACTGAATAAGAACCTTCAGGAAGATAGGCTTGGTTATCCATTTTGTCAATAATTCCTTTTAGTGACTCTTACCCAGGAAATGCTGGTTAATAACATGGCCCGGCAAAACAGCTCATCCTATTTGACACCAACTCTGCATCCACCTGATAGATCACCATATCCTTTCAATGCTTCCAAAATAATGGTGGATATGGTTTGGATCTGGGTCCCTGTCCAAACCTCATGTTGAATTGCAATCCCCAATGTTGGAGGTGGGGCCTGGTGGGAGGTGATTGGATTATGGCGGTGGCTTTTAATGGTTTAGCACCATCTGCCCTAGTGCTATCTTGTGATAGAGTTCTCAAAAGATCTGGCTGTTTAAAAGCGTGTGGCACCTCCCCACTCTCTCTCTCTTCCTCCTGCTCCTAGACATGTGAAGTGAAGTGCTGGCTCCTCCTTTGCCTTCTGCCATGATTGTAAGTTTCCTGAGGCCTCCTCAGAAGCTGAACAGATGACCAGCATCATGCTTCCTGTACAGCCTGCAGAACTGTGAGCAAATTAAACTTCCTTTCTTTATAAATTTCCCAGTCTCAAGTATTTATAGCAGTGTGAGAACAGACTAATACAAGGGTATTCAAATGAGAAAAAAATGGAAATTCCACATATGTCCCAACTACTTCCATTTCTACCCAGAATTTCAAAATTACTACTGATTTATTATTGTTTAGCTATGGTAATAAAACATATTCTCCAGTTCATCACTGTGTTTTTATTGCTTCCTCTTTATCCCATTGGTGAGGGATGGATCCTCACCCCAGGGTTATGGGGATGGACTCCCTATAGGAGTTCAAAATGTGGATGTTTGCTTTCTTTCAGGTTAGCAAAAATACCTCTCTGACACTTCACATTATTTTAAAGGACTTACCTGGTTATTTCAGGCCCACTCAAAATAATCTCCCTTTTGATTATCTTAAACTCAACTGATCAGTAACTTAATCATAAAAGTGATATCATTCAAGAGGAGGGACATGTACATTTTCTGAACACCAAGAGGAGGAAATATTTGAGGTCATCTTAGAATTCTGTCTACTACAAATATAATTCATAATAGAATATGATAATGGAAATAAAAAACAAGGATCACGGAATGACATTGTCTATCAAAATGAGCACCTATGTGAAAATCTAGGACTCCAGTGTAGAAATGTAATGAGGCTATTTTATAAGGCTAGAGGAAAGGAGGGACAAATGATATGGTTTTTAAAGTATATACACACTATCCAGATAGATAGATTGAGAATATGGTAGATATCTGTATTCAGATATACCAATTCTTTTTTTTTTTTTTTTTTTGAGACAGAGTCTCACTCTGTCACCCAGGCTGGAGTGCAGTGGTGCAATCTCGGCTCACTGCAACCTCCGCCTCCTGGGTTCAAGCGATTATCCTGCCTCAGCCTTCTGAGTAGCTGGGACTACAGGTGCATGCCACCATGCCCAGCTAATTTTTGTATTTTTAGTAGAGACAGGGTTTCACCATCTTGTTCAGGCTGGTCTTGAACTCCTGATCTCATGATCCGCCCACCTCTGCCTCCCAAAGTGCTGGGATTACAGGCCTGAGCCACTGCTCCCAACCCAGATATACCAATTCTTACATAGCAAGACATTATAGGGATGAGATTGTCAACTATGTACATATTTTATAATTATTTTAGCTAAAAGTAGAAACAGATACATTCTTGTCTTGATGCTGCTGAAAATTTATTTTTTAAGAAGGAGAGAACAACAAGGGGAAACATTGGTTTGGACTTTAATTTTACTAACAATGTGGAATTGATTGAGGAAATGATAGTGATGAAAGCATTCAGAGAGGGTGACCCCTTTTCAACTTGAAATAGCCAAAAAAGGAACTGTGAACATAGTCAATACACTGCAGGCCTTAAGGGGGAAATGACATTTAAAAAGTTGAGACAAAAATAAAGGTAATACCTAAATACTACATATTCTAAAAGAGAAGACATATTGGAAGCTGTAAAGGTAGGAGGGAAATTAGTCAAGAAAGACTCCTCACAAAAAAGGAATTCCTGAGTTGAAACTTGAAGAACCAGACAGAATTATACAGGTCCAGAATCAGGGGTGGTAGTGGTGAATGGAGTGAAATAAGAAGAAATGGTTCTGTTTCCAAAAAAGGAAAGTATAAAGTGAAAAGAGAAGAGCACCTAAGACAGAATTCTGAGGAACACCAACATGTAAGGATGCTCAGTGGGAAACAAGAGATAGGAAGAGAATTTAGGAATATATAATATAATGGGAGGCAAAGTAAGGGATCATTTAAAAATGAATGACCTACAGTCTGTTATGTCAAATAAATTGGATTTGTCAACCAGGAGTCACTGGGGACCTCGGTGAGGATACTTTCCTTGCGGTTGTAGGACAAAAGCCTGATTATTATAGTCTAGCATAAATAGTTTACTGAAAGGAGACAAGGAAGCAAAAATAGAGACAATGGGTGAATATAGTCTAGATATCCAGAAAGGCAATAGCAGGTGTCAATAAACTCTGACCTCAGTCTTACATATTTTTGTGTGTTTCATCCTGACTTCATTATATAACCGTCTTATATCTCAGAAAAAGCATTTATAAGCTGATTTGGCCTCTAAATACTAAATAGTGATAAAATGACCATTAGAGTTGTAGATTTCAGTAATGAGATGAGTTAGATCATGGTAAAGCCATCTTCAAGGACAAGGTACTTTAACAAGGGAGTAGAGAAGTAATGGTTTCAAAGTGGTAAAGGAGAACTAGTGGTAAAGTATACTGCCTTGCACTCTCCTCCCTCATCTCACCCAAGGTGTAATAATAAGTAGCTTTTCCTCCAGGAGACTTCTTGGTAAATCCTGTCCTTGGGAGAGAGCAAAGGTTTAAGTTAAGTCAGGAAGGTGGATGGAGTGCTTCATGGAGAGTTAGGTTATTTATTATGAAGCAGATTGACAAAGTGAAAAACATTGTAAAGGAGGAAATGCTGGAAGGATGGAGAGGAGAAATCTACCCTCCATTGACAGGAAGAGAGGAAGGATGAAGTTCAAGGCAATAGAGGGTTGAGGGTTTGAGAAAATGTACTTGTTGAAAATGTTAGAGACCAATTAAGATTACATGTAAATAGAATGTTGTTGCTAGATTGTTTCAGTATAAATGTGTCCATGAGAAAGATGGAAGGGGAAAACATGTAGGCATTCCTTAAGTTTTGAATGCTTGACTGTAAAGCTTTCTCCTCATCTTGTCTAGAGTAATATTCACACAATGAAAACAAAACCTCATGTTTATGACATTTTGAGGACTGTGACTCATGCGAGTATGTGGATAAAACTGATAGGATAGGCACAAGGTCAATGAAATCACCAAAATAAAATGTGTTGGGCTGATACACTGCGTGGAAAACCTTTTAACTACGTGGATGCATGATCATATGTAAAAAGTTCAAACACCTCTGCATCAAGCAACGATTTTGGCAAAGGCATTCTCTTTTCAAATTGCTTAAGAACAGGCATAGTGAGATATCAGAGGGAGATGTTTTTCTCAAGAAATTTGCTTCAGGAAATGAATAGATAATAACTTCAGAATTGAGGAAAAGCTGCAATAATGAAACAGGTGAATCCTTTCACACTTATAGCTTACAAGGCTCATCTTCTGATCTTTGACCCATAAGAAATTAGGTGGTAAAATAAGCATCTTGTGTTCTTTCTCTGAAAATATTCCATATGAAGAATGGTTTACAGAATTTGAGGTGATTCACTAAAGAAAGAGAAAGAACATAATTGCTCTTTAAAAATACTGTCATGAGGAGAAGAGATTAAGCATATTTCTGTCTTTTTCAAAAACTCAACTAGCCCTAACAAATGGAAGAACAGACAATCTGGTAGGACAACAATATCTAAAAATTATTACTGTACAATAATTGAATGGATTACTTTTCATGCTTCTCTATGGGTCCCTTATCACTGGAAGGGTTAAGGAGAGACTGACTTTCCACCTGCCAGTCGTAGTACAGAGGGAATCTCTGCACTGCTCGTAAACTGTGCTTGGTAACTCTTACAGTCCCTTCCAATTAGTAGATTCTATAGTATCCAAATTACCTGTGAATTTGGGCAGGGATATGGGGTGAATCAGAGTGCTTTGGCATTTTGAAAATATTCATACATATATTACTACTATTATTGTAGCAGTAGTATTTTACTTCTGGCATGATGTAGTAATAGATACACCCCATCTTTAAAACAGCAAAGCACTGCACAAAGTGCTTTTAATTAAAGCCTATAGCTCCTTGTGTTTTAATGTTGTCTTTTGTACATATTGTGGCACAACTGCCCCTTCTTCAGTGGGGCATAGCCTTGGATTGGTTTCCTTTGTAGTAGAAGCAATAGATTTGCTATGAGTTATTCATTCTCTCTGCCTAAGTCGTCTTGTCTTTGTGCCCTCTATACAGTTATGAAACTGACTGGGCTACTGGTCAAGTCTGTGGCTTTGTAACAAAGTAATGTAATCACTGGAGGGGCTCTTCCTGCCAGCTGCACAGACAAAATCGATTCACTGAGAATCTGGCATTACAGTAGAGGAAGAGTTTAATTGATGCAAGGCCAGCTGACATAGGAGAACTGGAGTTATCACTCAAATCAGTCTGTCTAAAGGATCAGAGCTTAGAGTTTTTATAGACAATTTGGTGGGCAAGGGGCTAGGGAATGGGTGCTGCTGATTGGTTGGGGATGAAATCATAGAGATGTGGGAAATGGACCTCATGTTCTGAGTCCACCTCTGGGTGGGGTCATAGGATCAGTTGCATCCTGGTGGGGTCAGCCTGAAGGAGATAACAAAACAATCCTAGAGGTTGGAAGCAGTGCCCAGGCTGGGCAACAAAGAGAGACCCTATCACAGGAAAAAAAAAATTAGGTTTTAGAATAGTGATATTTTCTATAGGAACAACTGGAGAAGGCACACATCTTGTGACCTTTGGCCACATGGCTCCTGAGCAGTAAAAGATTATAGAAACTACACTTATTTTGTGACCTCTGGCCACACGACTCCTGAACAGTAAAGGATAATAGAAACTACACTACGTCTTAGTAGAGTTCAGCACACTCCTGTAATCCTATTCTTATGGTTTTTTCATTAGTCTTACAAAGGTGGTTTTCAGTACCTGAGCAAGGAGGGGGTTAGTTTTAGAGAGGTGCTATAATCATCATTTTTTTTTTTTTTTTGAGACAGGGTCTCGCTCTGTCACCAAGGCTGGAGTGCAGTGTGCAGTGGTGTGAACATGGCTCACTGCAGCCTTGACCTTCTGGGCTCAAGTGATCCTACTGCTTCAGCCTCCCATGTAGCTTGGACCACAGGTGTGTACCACCATGCCCAGCTAATTTTCTTGTTGTTGTTGTTGTTGAGATGGGGTCTCACCATCTTGCCCAAGCTGGTCTTGAACTCCTGGGCTCAAGTGATCCTCCCAACTCAGCCTCCCAAAGTGCTGGGATTACAGGTGTGAGCCACTGTGCCCAACCTTATCCTTGCTTTCAAGTTAAACTAAAAACTAAATTCCTTCTAACCTAGCTTGGCCTATGCCCAGGAATGACCAACAATAGCTTGAAGGTCAGAAGCAAGATGGAGTCAACTATGTCAGATTTCTTTTGTCATAATATGTTTGCAAAGGCAGTTTCAATAAAACTGACAACTTTTTCCATGAAGGTACCAACATTTTAAAATTTTTAATTTCATTCTCCAGTCAATTAAACTGGACCACACTATCCAATGCAAACTCTAGTTAATTTTATGAGTGTATTCTGTATTTGGTTCATGGCATATGTGTGTGTCATTAATTGACTTTAGTTGATACTTTGCAATCATCAAAAACTTTTTATGGGTATTGGCATTTCCCACAAAAAAGTGGAGTATTAGAATATTATGAATAGTCTGTGTGGAGACAGTATAACATGGTGGGTTATATGTATAGGCTCTGTAGGCAGACAGACCTTGCTTAGGTTTAAATCTCAACTTCATTATTTATTAGCTGTGTGATTTTGGACGAATTATTTAACTGCTCAATGCCTCAGTGTCCTCACTTCTAAAACGGAATAAAGTAAAAGGACCTGTCTTAATTTTTGCTATGAGCAATAAATGAGATAATACATGTAAAGCTGAAATTGTAACTATTGTTATTATCACTGAGATTTCATAACTATGTAAAACTTAAAATGTATACTATACAATAACATAAAACATTTAATTCAATTTGAAAATAAATATAGGAATGGTCTTTAAGAAGCATGTTTTAAAATGTGTTATTCTATTTCATTCATAAAAAAATATTCATACTGTTCTCCCAAAGAAAGCAATGAATGGATACAGCAATTGTGCATTTTAGTCTAGGTATAGCTAAAACTGTCCTGGAGGTAATGTAATATAAAATATCATCTGTTGCATCCTCTAAATCATAAGGAGTTTATTAAAACTAATGAACTGAGTTTGTGAAACAAAGTTTAAATGTTAGAAAATGTATGACTGTAGAATTTCTAGTTGAAAAGCGGTGCACAATAAAAACATTTTCCTACTAAAGAAAAACCAAATTTTGATTTGCTGTTAGCTACCCAAGCTGTGATTTCTATAATTAGCATAATCTTTCATAAGATACTGAAGATAAAAATTTGTATGATTCCTCACTCTCCTTGTATTGCCAAAGAAAATGTAGTTCTGCAAGCCACAAATGAACTGTGTAAACAATTATGGGCTGGGTGCAGTGGCTCATGCCTTGTAATCCCAGCACTTTGGGAGGCCAAGGTGGGTAGACCACCTGAGTTCAGGAGTTCAAGACCAGCCTGGCCAACATGGTGAAATCCTGTCTCTATTAAAAATACAAAAATTAGCCAGGCATGGTGACAGGTGCCTGTAATCTCAGCTACTTGGGAGGCTGAGGCAGGAGAATTGCTGGAACCCGGGAGGCACAGGTTGCAGTGAGCTGAGATAGCGCCATTGCACTCCACCCTGAGCCGACAACAGCAAGACTCAGTCCAAAAAAAAAAAAAGAACGATTTGACGGTAGAACAACATTATCATTGAGAAACCTAATTTGGAAGAGGTATAAATTGAGTGATGTCTAACCAGGTCACATTAAAGCTGTGTGATTTGGTTCAACATTATTAGTGTAATTTCTCTCTTACCCCAACCTTTAAAATTTAAAAAGAAAACATACACAATGGGCTGTGTATTGTTACTCACAAAATCTGCAGTGGGATGACACAGAATGAAACCATTTTTATTTCATTTTGAAACATCTTGCACATTATTTTTTCATCAATTAGGTGTGGAAGAAATAGTCCTTCTTAAAAATGATTTGTGTTTTCCTTTTAAAGGTTACATGGTAGAAAAATGACAAAGCTTACAGAATGGAACACTTATTTAAACTGGAACAGAAATCTTATGAATTTTGAAAACTGAAGTGCAATTAAGAAACCTATGTATACATTAGAATTATTTCCTGAGCTTCTATACTTCTAAAATTCTATCAGCTGCTGAGATCCAAACACCTTACATGTTTTCTGTATGCAAGGTTGACTTTCTCATTAGACACATGCCTAGGGCCCATAATACTTTTAGGGGTTCACAAAAGTATTATTTTAATTTCTTTTAAAAGGAGAAGAAAAATTAATATAATAGTAATGTATATACATTTATGATAACAATAAATATATAAGTATTCATCTTTATATCAATGCAGTCATAACAAATATTTTTAAATTTATTTTTATGGAGGATAGGGCCACAAAAGCTAAAGTGTGTATGGCCCATGGAAGCCATAATGTCTTAGTATGTAGTTTAGGAGGGCATGGTAGACTGAATAATGGAGTCAAAAGATAACTATGTCCCAATCCCTGGAACATGTGAATTTTACCTTATGTGGCAAAAAAAAAAAAAAGACTTTGCAAATGTGCTTTAAAATATTGAGATAGGGAGACTATCCTGGATTATCTCAGTAGGACCTAATTGTAATCACATGTACCCTTATAAGAGGGAGACAGAGGAAAACGTAACATGCGGAAGAGAAGAAAGCAATGTGACTGTGGAGGCAGAGATTGGAGTGGTGTGGCCATAAACTAAGGAATGCTGGAAGCCACTAGAAAATAGAAAAGGCAAAAAACGTGTTTTCTTCAAGATCCTCTGAAAGAAGCTGGACCTGCCAACACCTTCATTTCAGCCCAGTGAAACTATTTTTAGAATTCTGGCCTCCAGAACTGTAAGAGAATAAACGTGTTGTTTTAAGCCACCAAGTTTGTAGTAATTTGTTACAACAAAGATAGGAAATGAATAGAAAGGGTGTTCAACTTTAGTTTTAATTTGTTCATTCCTTAAATACAACTCTCCATTTGTACTTAAAAGGAAAAAAATGAATGATATGTCAAGGTAATGAACATTGATGAAATAATGAGCCATTTATAATATTTAAAGAAAGAAAAATGTCAAGTTATGCTTCAAATGAATAGGAACTGTAGTTAAATGAGTAGCATTCCTATTTTGTTCATGCTAATTAACCAATGATAAAATTTTAAGTATGCTTTATATCAACATATATTATACCTGCAACATATAGCCTAAACCACTTTTTAAAAAAGACTTTAATGAATTAACCTCAGAAATCAACCATAATCATGAACACTAAACCTTTACCTCATTACCCCTTTCCCTATTAGAAAAAAATACATTTCTTTTTATCATAAGAGGAATGGAAGGGTACAAATTTTCTGAGCTGCTGAACCTTGTGATTGAAATTAAGCTTTATGACACTGCTTACAGAAATAAGAAGGGCAAATGTCATTACTCTTTCAAAAGCAAAGGCAAGGAATGGATTGTTAAATGAGCAGAGTTAAGTGGTCTTCTGAAAAGGGCATCTACTAAAAGTGATATGTCAAAGAAGTAGTCTTAATGTGTTGCTACAGATCGGTTACTGTAAGCTCTGCATTCAAAAATATCCTTGTTTTAACATTTAATATGTTTGAATCTCAATGGTTTTCAGTGGGATTGATCTGTTTAAAGGCTGAATGACTTGGAAAATAGCTGTCCCTTTGCTCCTCTTTAAATAAAAGAGATGTGTATTTCAGAGTTTATCAAGAAGTGGGGAAGTAGTGCTGTAGTGTTAAACTATATATATACAATATACATTGTAAATATATAATATATACACACAATATACATTGTATATATAATATATATACACAATATACATTGCGTGTGTGTGTATATATATATAAAAAAATATAAAATATATATATATAAAATATATATATAAAATATATATATATATATATATATATATATATATATATATATATATATATATATATATAATATACTGTAACAAGGGCATCCACAGTTCCTGGCTGATAACTCCCATAGCCCTTGTTACAGTCTGTTGTTACGGTGTTGGGAGTGTTAAGCCTTAGGGACACGCCTCAGGGAACAAAATCTGACCTTCTCTTGCCTTCCTTTTACCTGTACCAAGACAGGACTCTAATCTTCTACCTTTCTAATTCTGGGTCATAAATCCCTCATTCCAGAGGGTCTCACCCCATACCCTGGGGAAATAAATGCTGGTGTCATGAAGCTTTCATAAAAACCCAAGAAAACAGCATCCAGGGAGCTTCCGAATAGCTGAACATGTGAAGAATCCTGAAAGGTGGCACACCCAGGGAGGGCGTGGGAGCTCTACACCCCTTCCCCTGTACCTCACCCTATGCATCTTTTCATCTGTATTGTTTGTAATATCCTTTATAATACACTGATATACGTGTTTCCCTGAGTTCTGTGAGCCACTCCAGCAAATTAATGGAACCCAAAGAGGGGGTTGTGGGAACCCATACTTTAAGCCCATTGACCAGAAGTTCTGGAGGCCTGGACTTGCCAATGGTGTCTGAGGGTGGGAGAAATCTTGGGAACTGAGCCCTCAACCTATGTTATCTGACCTATCTCCAGGTAAGATAGTGTCAGGATTGAATTGGAAGATACCCAGCTGGTGTCTGCTGCTTGGTATGTGGGGAAACTACACACACACTTATTTGGTCACAGAAATCTTCTTTGGTGTTGATGATTGTTGTTGTGATGTGTGAGAATGGTGGGAAAACATGGTTTGAGAGTTTTTCATAAAACAAGTACCCTTATTTTCTCTAACATAATCTAGTCAATTTTCCTTTCTAAGTTTATAGAACCCAGTAAACCATATGGATATGAACATTTTCTAGTTACTTATTCAAAAAGTAATTCATTACAGAATACTTTTAAAATCACAATACTTTTTTATAGATATTTTCCTCAATTTCTTCCTATTCATGAAAACGAAGTATGTCCCAGTGTGACTTAAATTATTTTACAACCAGCTTTTCCTATAATATATATGTCAACAGAAATAGTCATTGCTGTGTCTTCTAGATAATATCTTATACTTAGAGAAATCATCTCTAATTAACCTGTAACCCTGAGGGCAAAGACAACAACACCAATCTTGCTTACCACTGCATTTCTAGTGCCTAACACAGTGTCTGGCTCTCAATATTTTTTGAATGCATGAATAGATGAATAAATGAATGAATAAATAAATTAATTAAACCACTATACCATACTAGAAACTTGTGGACATTATAGTGAAAAGATGTGACAGGTAGAGAACTACACATCAGCCTCCAAAAAGCTGTTCTCAGGAAGGGAGTCTGGATCCTGCAAGGCATAAGAGGGCATTGAGAGTCTGGAATGGTGAATTCTGAAAAAAAAACAAACAAGGAGGAGCCAAAGGAAACCTCACTGGCCTCAAAATTGTACCTGAGGTCAATCTTGTCCATTTATGACCATTTATCAGAGGTGAGAATGTTGCTTTAGTTTCCCCGTCTAAGCACCCTTTTTTGTTTGTTTTCAGAGATGTTCGATTTGTTTTGTGTATATATATATATATATATATATATATATATCCTGTTCACATAGGCAATATCTTTACCCTGTTAAAAGTGATTGTGTTAGTCTGTTTGCATTGCTATGAAGGAATACTTGAGACTGGGTAATATGTAATGAATAGAGGTTTATTTGGCTCATGGGTCCTTAGGCTCTACACAAAACATAGTGCCAGCATCTGCTCCTGGTGAGGGCCTCAGGAAACTTACAGTCATGGTGGAAGGCAAAGAAGAGCCAGCGTGTCACATGGTGAGAGAGGGAGCAAGAGAGAGGAAAGAGGTGCCACACGTTTTTAAACAGCCAGTCTCAATGAGAACTCAGTCATTACCATGGGGATGGTGCTAAGCCATTCATGAGGGATCCGGCCCCATGACCCAAACACCTCCCACCAGGCTCTACCTCCAACTTTGTGGATCACATTTTAACATGAAATTTGGAGGGGACAAAACATCCAAATTGCATCCGTGGTACTAAGTGGAAAAAAAAAAGCATGTAGTCATGAGGCCAAAAGACTTGTAAATCAAGGGGACTTCTTCTGACAAAATTGAGGGACAGGTTTCATACTAGCACTATACCTCCAGCTTTCCATGAGTATCATGTATCACTATCACTTAGTTCCTACAGCCTCTTCTACTGGATTTAAGGTATTTTAAGACAGGGGCTATACCTTGTTTTTTATTTTTATTTATTACAATTATTATTTGAGACAAGGTCTTGCTGTGTTGCCCAGGCTGGAGTGCAGTGGCATAATCACAGCTCACTGTAGCCTCGACCTCCTAGGCTCAAGTGATCCTCCCACTTCAGCTTCCAGAGTAGCTGCAATCACAGGAACATGTCACCATGCCCAGCTAATTAATTTTTTTTTTTTTTTGTAGAGACAGGAGCTCACCACGTTGCCCAGGCTTGGGGGATATGCCTTATTTACTTTTACATCCCCTATACCTACCACAGAACCTGGTAGATACTAGGTGCACAATAAATATTTGATGAATCAAAGCAAATATAAAAATTAATGATACAGGCCAGGCACGGTGGCTCACGCCTGTAATCCCAGCACTTTGGGAGGCCGAGGCGGGCAGATCACCTGAGGTCAGGAGTTTGAGACCAGCCTGGCCAACATGGTGAAACCCCATCTCTACTAAAAATACAAAAATTAGCCAGGTGTGGTGGTGCATGTCTGTAATCCCAGCTACTCAGGAGGCTCTGGCAGGGAATCGTTTGAGCCCAGGAGGCGGAGGTTGCAGTGAGCCAAAATCATGCCACTGCCCTCCAGCCTAGATGACAGAGTGAGACTGTCTCAAAAATAAAAATTGATGATACTCAGTAAAATTTTTTAAAAACATGCAAAGCAGCTTGAGTTAGCTCTTTCTTGATATCTCCTGATTTTGGTGGGGGCGATGTTATGTCTGTGATTATAAAAGAACCCTATTGTGAGACCATTTCATTTATAATACATTGGGGTCCCGTGCCATAAGCCCCAAAGACATCTTAGTAAGGTGTTGGTCTCTGGGTGGCCATGTATGCTTGTTTGAATGCATTCATTGCCTATGCTTTCAGGCAACATATGCTACTTGCTAGAGAGCTTCCTTACTGTGCTTGTTTATGAATCAATCACTTTGCTCACTTAGTAGAACTTATTATTCTTAATGTGTACTTTGATTCTTTATGCCTTTATCTTTGTTTTGAATTTCTGGGGAGTTTCCTTCTTTGGGAAACATCAGCTTTCCAATGGAAGCCATTTCTATTCTGCCTAGGGTATTCTATTTCATCTTGTTCAAGTGTTGCTTTTGTTCAAACAGTCTTTTTGACTTGGAGATTTTTTAAATCAAGTTTTTGCTCATTTTTTTTTATCCCTTGCAGGGGGTATGGATTAATTTACTTCCTTCCTGTCTTCCTCCTAGTAATTTTGAGTTAATCTTGGTCACACATGCTAAGCTTGTGTCTCACTGGTGCTTTTCCAAATTCCCTGCTTTGATTAGTCTACGGAATGAAGATTTTTGGTAACAAGGAGGAGGATAAGCATTCATGTAGCCTTGAATTTTTGAAGCAGTCACTGTTTTACTCTATAGTTAGCTGAATATAATGGAAACAAAAGTATTAGTAAGACCAAATATTTCAGATAATTGAGACGAGTCCGAATAATGCATGCACATTATCATCAGATCTTGGCGTTTATCTCTACTGTTTTTCCATGCAAATCTGCACTCTTTGCCCAGTGAAGAACTGGGACCTGTGACTGTCTTCATGACTACTCCCAACATCACTGATTAACTGAAAATCTGGACTTTTTTGCAGTAGGCTCTAAATTGTATGGCCGGTCTGGTGTCTCAGTATTACAACATCAAAACTCTATTGCTTAATAAAATGAGAAATTGTGTTTATTGTTCTGCTTTATCTTTTAAGATTATTTATTAGATGTTTTTGTTTGTTTTTGATGCTATCCACTTTGTCTCACTTAAAAGAGTTGCATTCGAGTATGCCACTTTGAAATCAGTTAGATCCTTCCGAAATGAATTGGGAACTTCCTTAAAGAGGGAAATGGGAAAGAGAAGGACCTTTATTGAGGGTCTATTCTGTGCCAGGCTTTATACTAAGGACTTTCCCCACATAGTTAATTTTATTCCCACAAGAACACTAAGCATGGTATCTGTCCAGCCTGACCTATTCATGGGATTTTGGTTCTTGCACCAGAGCACTTGTTAATGTTTGTTGCGTGTTGGCTTCCAGGGCCTCACTTTCTGCTCTTCTCTGAGGCAATCTTACAGGTGTCTCCTCTCTAGTTTATTATTCTTCCCACCTCCAGAGGTTTCCATACAAAAGCAGCTGTCCCTGTTTTTTTGACACCATGATAGACCTAATGAATCAGAATCTTCATGGGCAGGTCCCAGGCTTGTCAGATATTTTGCAATAGCTTCCTCTCGTAATTTTGATGTATATTCCCGGTTAAGACCATAGAAAGAGCTTAACTCTTTCATTTTGTAGATTAGGAAAAGGGCTAAAATGAATTAAATGATTTGTATAAAATAAATCAGCTCGTCAGTGGAAGTTACAATTTAAATGTTGATTTCCTGCCTCCCAGTCTGATATAGTTTGGGTCTGTGTCTCCAGCCAACTCTCATGTTGACTCGTAATTCCCAAGGTTGGAGGTGGGACCTGGTGGGAGGTGATGGATCATGGGGGCAAATTTCTCATGAATGGTTTAATACCATCCCCTTGATACTATCTTCATGATAGTGAGTGAGTTCTTGTGAGATCTGGTTGTTTAAAAGTGTGTGACACCTCCCCCTTGGCTCTCTTGTTCCTGCTCCTGCCATGTGACATGCCTGGTCCTCCTTCATCTTCCACCATGACTGTAAGTTTTCTGAGACCTCCACAGAAGCCAAGCAGATGCCAGCATCATGCTTCCTATACAGCCTGCAGAACCATGAGCCAATTAAACCTCTTTTCTTTATATTTATCTTCAGGAATCACCTGAAAAACTTGTAAAACTACAGCTTCTAATTCTGTAGATTTGGAATGAGATCTTGAGAGTCTGCGTTTATCTTTTTTTCTCTCTTTCCTTTTCTTGCTCTAGGGAAAGAGAGTTTTCATTTCTAACAAACTCCTAGGTTATGCTAATTCTTCTGGTTCATGAATTAGAATTGAGTAACTAGTTATTAAAGTCTTCTCCAAAGCTTGGCTTAAGCAGAACAAACTTCTGACATGAAATTGTAAACATGCTGCATTGTTAATGATAATAATAATAATTGCTAACACTTATTGAGAAATGTAAGTTATTTTATACACATTATACAAATGAATCCTCTTAAACATCCTATGAGGTCGGTACTAAATTGTCTATTAGTTTACAAATGAGGACACCGAAGCTCAGATATTTAAGTAATTTTCTCAAGACTACACACTATTGAATGACGGACTGATGAGGCACACTGTGTCTTTTCAGATTTCATCGCTTAACCACAAAGGCTTTTTCTTTTCTCTGGAAAGTGCCAATATTTAGAGAGGTAAAGGAAAGCAGGAAGAGGTGAGAGGAGATAGAGAAGGGAACTAGGTTTTATTAAGAAGCTGGTGTGTGCCAGAGATTATGCTAGTTCATTTTTCATCTCTCATTTACTCATCAAAACTGTGATGGAAGTTGGGCATTATCATCTTCCTCTTAATGATGAGGACATCAAGAATCACAGGTGTTAAGTCATTTCTCCAAGAACATATACTCACACAGTTAGTAAATGGTAGAGTTGACGATTGAACACAAAATTTATGTTAAATCCATTAAATGATCCTCATTCTTATTGGAATCAGTTGAGTAAAAGTTGGATTTACAACTTTTAGAAGGTAAATGGGGAATTCTTAACTAAGGTCCAAAAGATCCCTATGGTGTCCTTGATTTCCTTTCTATTCTTTGGAAAAAATATTATTAAGGCATTGCCGCATTCTAAAAGAGTCTAGAATGGTGTAGTAGATACTATTACTACTCACCAATATCCAGTTCACTTCTCCTCTGGGTAACTCTAAGACTACACTTTCCAGCTCCATAACATATACATGGGGCCATATCCTATTTATAGTCAATGGGCTGAGCAGACATGGTATGTATTACTTCTGGCCTGAAACACTTAAGATGCAGTGCTCAATTCTTTAGCTCTAACTTCTCTTCCTTAGCAATTGTGGAACCTTGTATTAAGATAGTTGAGTCAATTATTGCAGGAGTATAGTCTAATTATTACAGAAATCACCACAACGTGAAGGGAAACTCCCTTGGAGAGTTGCCCTGACACATATTGATTCTTGTGAGAGTGAGAAACTTCTGTCATATTGAGCTACTAAGATATAGCTGTTTGTTACTGCAATGTCAGTGTAGCCTAGTCTGCCTAGTACAGATGACAAGGCATTGCTAGATAAGCACCATCAGTATATAATCCTCATTATTGCTGCATTTTGACATCTGGAATTATTTTCCTTCCTAAGAATAAAAGAAATTGTATTCAGCTATTATAATCATATGTGATTGCTTTTGATTACAATGAATCTACCTTAAGTTTAAAAACTTTAAAAGAAAAAAAAACATAATATGTAAGTATCCACTGATTTCCCTTCATTACTGGACATGACAGAATGCAAAACCTGTGACACTTCTAATGTGACACGGTTCTAGCCAATGGAAGATGAAGGAACATGTCTGTACATTTCAAAAATTACTTTATTTTTAATGAAACTATTTACAGAAAAGATTACTCATCCCTCACTTTATAGATAGAGTCTACTGAATATAACTCCCATTTAGGTAATGAGTCTAGGTCCTCATTATGAACACTCCTATTCTGTGATGCCTATAATACCGTGTTCATAATGAGAACCTAGACTCATTACCTAAATGAGAGTTATATTCAGTAGACTCTATCTATAATGGAGAAAAAAAATCCTGATACTCTTTTAGACGATTGGAATACCTGCAGTGCTTGGCCACATATCTGGCTTTCCAGATTGATGAGGATCAAATCTTTCTACATCAGCATCAAAGGCAGACAACAGTTTTTGAAGTTTTTTCTATTGGCCTGAACATGAGTAGCTGGGGCAGGAAGTGGGGAAGTTGTACCTGGGACTGGAAGGTGTTTTGAGCCTGGTCTCTATATATGTGGTTACAACCAAGCTAAATTAGCAAAGGCTAGCTTATTTCACTTAGCATAATGTCCTCCAGGTTCATCCATGTTATTGCAAATGACAAGATTTTCTTCTTTTTTAAGTCTGAATATTACTCCATTATGTAAATATACCATATTTTCTTTATCCATTCATATGTTGATGAACACAGGTTGCTTCCATATCTTGGTTACTGTAAATGCTGCTACAATGAATATGGGAGTGCAGATATCTCTTCAAGATTCTGATCTCAATCCCTTTGGATAGATACCCAGTGGTAGGATTGCTGGATTACATAGTAATTCTATTTTTAGTTTTTTGAGGAACCTCCACACTGTTTTCCATAATGGCTATATGAATTTATATTCCTACCAACAGTGTGCAAGGATTTCCTTTTCTCCACATTTTCCCCAATGCTTATTATATTTTGACCTTTTGGAAATAACTATTCTAACAGGTGTGAGGTGATATCTTATTATTGTTTTGATTTGTATTTCCCTAATGATTAAGGATGTTAAGCATTTTTTCATATACCTGTTGGCCATTTGTATGTCTTTATTCAGGTCCTTCAGCAAAAGCTAGCTTCTTTACAGTGCCCCTCTGAGTTGGCACCAAAAAACTTATGCCCCCTTCTGTTCTCTTTTTGCTAGACCTATGATATGGTAGAATTTATCAGCTTCCTGAAAGCCTGGCTGTTGAATCATCTTTTCCTAAAAAGAGCTTTTATAAAGAAATGGGAACAGAATTTGAATTTTCTTACTCCACGAGAGTTTTCTGGCTTTCTAAAAACAAGTACTGATGTGTTTGATTGAAGTACAAAAACAAATTTATTTATTTATTTGTTTATTTAGAGCAAGCTCACTTTCAGAAGAATAGTTTGGCTTGATGATTTTTGGTGATAGGGATACAATAATTCTTTCAATTCAAGGTCTTGTAGTCACAATTATGTTTGCCATGGGAAAAATTTACAAGATTTTTTGGTTTGTTTCATTTCATTTTGGCCAAACTTTCTATTCTGGAAGCGTAGAGTGAACGCAAGCAACTCTACAAACTTTGTAAACTTGAAGGAGATTCGTCTGCTGGCTGGAGCCAAGATTGCCAAAGCTTGTTCAATTTTTCTGCTGGTAGAAATGTGTACATACCTAAAATAATTACAGAATTATTTTAAAGTTTCTTCCTGGCTGGGCGCAGTGACACACCTGTAATCCCAGAACTTTGGGAGGCCGAGGGAGGAGAATTGCTTGAGGCTAGGAGTTTGACAGTCAGTTTGGGCAACATAGTGAGACAAAAAATTAGCCAGGCATGGCAGCGTGCACCTGTAATCCCAGCTGTTTGGGAAGCTAAGGTGAATCGCTTGAACCTAAGAAGTCTGAACTACAGTGAGCCTTGTTTGTGCCACTGCACTCCAGTCTGTGCAACAGAGTGAGACCCCATTTCTAATAAATAAATGAATGAACTTTCTTCCTACTCAGATGATTTTTAAAATGAACCACTGATTTATAAACACTCCCTTACTAAAATGGACAGCATCAACAATGGAAATTCTAACAAAAAGATGGCTTTATTCATTTGAGAATTAAGGACATGCTGGAACATGCTTTTAATTGGAAGAATCTTGGAGAATCCTGAGGCGATTTGACATAAGTTTATTCTTATCTGGCAAAGCTGCATGAGCTCTGATTTAGTTTGTCAAACTATATAATTTTGTGAGTTATCATTGTCAGCATTTGTGGCCATCAAAAGTCAAGTAATTTGTTGAACTCAAATGTATCTGTTGCTATATAAATTTTAAGGTCTTTTACAAAACAAAGACATTATTATTAAAATTTACCTTTTAGCAAAATTAAAATTTATTCTTATTTTGACAATTTGTTTTTTTTTTATTTTTATTTTTATTTTATTATTATTATACTTTAAGTTTTAGGGTACATGTGCACAACGTGCAGGTTTGTTACATATGTATACATGTGCCGTTTGGTGTGCTGCACCCATTAAGTGTGTTTTCATGAGTGAAAGAGACATAATTTTTTAAATGTTATATTTATGTGAAATAAACAGTATAATTATTAGCATTTTCTGAAAGAAGGGTATAATTTAAATCAAATTATCAGAGTGGTTTGCAAATCCAAAGAGGTTAGGGACCTTGGCATTAAATTACCTTGCTTTAGAGCTACCATTTGACCCAGCAATCTCATTACTGGGTATATACCCAAAGGAAAATAAATCATTCTATGATGAAGACACATGCACATGATGTTCATTGCAGCACTCTTTACAATAGCAAAGACGTGGAAACAACCTATGTGCCCATCAGCGGTAGACTGATAAAGAAAATGTGGTACATATAAACCACGGAATACTATGTAGCAATAAAAAAGAATGTGATCATGTTCTTTGCAGGAACATGGATGAAGCTGGAGGTCATTATTCTTAGCAAACTAATGCAGGAACAGAAAACCAAATGCTGCATGTTCTCACTTATAAGTGGGAGCTAAATGATGAGAACACACGGACACGTAGAAGGGAACAACAGACACGGGGGCCTACCTGAGTGTAGAGGGTGGAAGGAGGGTGAGGGTCAGGAAAAATAACTAATGGGTATTAGGCTTAATACCTGGGTGATTAAATAATCTGTACAACTAATCCCTGTGACATGAGTTTACCTATATAACAAACTTGCACATGTACTGCAGAACTAAAAATAAAAGTTAAAAACAGTGATTTTGTTTTTCAAATAATTATTATTTATTAATTAAATTATTGAATTATTTATTAATTCAGCAGTACTACTTCTAGGTATTTACCCTGGGGAAGTAATGAAAAATTTAAGTATCAAGATGTTCATCATAGTGTTAATTATAATAATGAAAAATTAAAAACAACTTAATTTCTCGACATTAGGGGAAAATGAAATATCCAGATAGAATATCACATAGCCATTTAACATTATACTTTAAAACCTTTTCAATAACATAAGAGGGTACTTATGGTATAATCAAGTTAAAATGATGCAAAAATCATATAAATATTATTTCAACTACATAAAAATTTATAAAAACATTTGGAAAGATTTTTGTTAAATTTTTAGCAGTGATTATCTCAAAACGGTAGGATTATGAAAAGACCATTTCTTTTGTAATACATTTTTTACAAAATTTACAAAATGGGCTGGGTGTACTGGCTCAGGCCTGTAATCCTAGCATTTTGGGAGGCTGAAGCCGGCAGATTGCTTGAGCCCAGGAGTTTAAGACCAGCCTAGGGCCAGGCGCAGTGGCTCACGCCTGTAATCCCAGCACTTTGGGAGGCCGAGGCGGGCAGATCACGGAGTCAGGAGATCCAGGCCATCCTGGCCAACATGGTGAAACCCCGTCTCTACTAAAAATACAAAAATTAGCCAAGCGTGGTGGCACATGCCTGTAATCCCAGCTACTCAGGAGACTGAGGCAGGAGAATTGCTTGAACCAGGGAGTCGGAGGTTGCAGTGAGCCGAGATGGCGCCACTGCACTCCAGCATGGCGACAGATGGAGACTCCGTCTAAAAAAAAAAAAAAAAAAAAAAAAAAAAAGACTACCCTGGGCAACACGGCAAAACCCTGTCTCTACCAAAAAAAGATACAAACCGTTAGCCAGGCATGGTGGCGTTTGAATATAGTTCCAGCTACTTGGGAGGCAGAGATGGGAGGATCACTTGAACCCAGGGGGTCAAGGATGCAGTGAGCTGTGATCACGACACTGCACTCCAGCCCAAGACAGTGAGATCCTGTCTCAAAAATAATGCATATGCTTTATTTTTATAATCAATGTGGAACATATTAAAAACAAAAGAATTCATACAGAGAGCATTTGGCTCAGTAATCTCTGTAACATATATGTTATTTCAAAAGTCCCTCCAATTAAAGAAATAATAATTTATGAGGAAGAAATAAGTCTGAAAATAAATTTTATTCATGCTTCAACATTAGGCAGTTCGAAACTGAAGCATTAAGCACTGATGTTTTCTCTAGATTTTGTGACAGGCACATAAAATTCTGTGTTTCCAGAGCTATACATTGGCAATGAACACACAAAACTCACTGGTTTTTATTTGTTTGTTTTCAATGAAGGTTTAGAATGTTTTCGTATTTGAATTCTTCAAATAATCTGCAGTCAGTTGTCAGGAAATATAAAAATAAAAATGTGGCAAGTATCTATTTTTAAATCACTGCGATTCTTCCTGGAGCATTTCCACTGAAAGCACAAAGGATACAGAAATCTAAGTTAAGCACATTTGGGAGTACAGAAGAATCTCAAGCAACATAGTCTCTC
Source organism: Homo sapiens (assembly GCF_000001405.40). NCBI lineage: Eukaryota > Metazoa > Chordata > Mammalia > Primates > Hominidae > Homo > Homo sapiens. The sequence goes on from NC_000023.11 coordinate 125,242,311, forward strand.
ATTAGCTAGATGTGTTCAGATAGCTTGGTAGAATTTTGCCTATGGCTATAAGAGCTGTGTGGCTCCAGAGAATCAATTTCAGTTCTCTCTTTGGGATTCACTGGTATACAAAGTTCTTCGGAGGATTCTTTTTCTCACTAGAAATACTTTCTCTTCTTACCTAACCTAACCTGTATCCCTCAAAAATATAAGCCATTTACCTAACATTTTTATAAAACTTGATAGTGAAAAGAGTCCAGAAACTGACATGGAAGAAACTATATCATAAAACCATGGAGACACTTATTTTGTTATATAAAATTTTAGAGTATGCAGATGTACTGTCTGATATATATGGTTCAATTTAAAGAAAATATAATTGATGCAGGGTGGACACAATGATATGTTAAAATTTGCTGAAAGACAGAAAAATAATATAAATGTATTTATTACAACTGAACTGTACACTTAAAAGTGGTAAAGATGGTAAATTATAAATGTATATTTTACCTCAATAAATTTTTTTGAATTTCATTATAGTGTTGTCACTGGTCGACTTTAGCTCTTCAAGTTCACGTTCAATATTAAGAGGACTTTATTTTATTCTTCCAAAAACCTGAATTTGAAAATTGTATGGGTCACCACTAAATGGCAGTGGCACTTTGGTTATTACTAAAATCAAACAAACTAAACTACAGGGTTGTTTAACATTTATGTGGGGGTCGGGCGTGGTGGCTCACGCCTGTAATCCCAGCACTTTGGGACGTCGAGGCAGGCAGATCAGGAGGTCAGGAGATCCAGACCATCCTGGCTAACACAGTGAAACCCCGTCTCTACTAAAAATACAAAAAATTAGCCGGGCGTGGTGGCGGGCGCCTCTAGTCCCAGGTACTCCAGAGGCTAAGGCGGGAGAATGGTGTGAACCCAGCAGGCGGAGCTTGCAGTGAGCCGAGATAGCGCCACTGCACTCCAGCCTGGGCGACAGAGCGAGACTCCATCTCAAAACAAAAACAAAAACAAAAACAAAAACAAAGAAACCCTTTTATGTGGGATTTAAAGAATTCAGGCAGGGGCTTGGCATGGTGGCTGACGCCTGTAATCCCAGCACTTTGGGAGGCCGAGGCAGGCAGATCACTAGAGGTCAGGAGTTTGAGACCAGCCTGGCCAACATGGCAAAACCCCTTCTCTACCAAAACTACAAAAATTAGCTGGGTGTGGTAGTGCATGCCTGTAATCCCAGCTACTCAGGAAGCTGAAGCAGAAGAATCGCTTGACCTAGGAGGCGAAGGTTGCAGTGAGCTGAGATCGCACCACTGCACTCCAGCCTGGGCAACAGAGTGAGACCCTGTCTCCACCCCCAAACCCTTCCAAAAAAAAAAAAAATCAGGCAGGATAGGGTAGGGCCTGCTGACTGGAGTTTAGTGGTACAGTAGCTGACTGTAGCCACCACAGGGAGAAACAGGCCATGTGTCTTTCTGTAGGTGTGGAAGTAGGTGGGTATGTAGGGAGTAGGTAGAAGGTGAGTTTCACCAGTCTCTAAGGGACTTCGACTAGAGCTTTGCTATCAAGTGAAAAGTCATTCTATCATTTCATAAACAAAGTCTCTCTATGGCTGGGCATGGTGGCTCACGTCTGTAATCCCAGCACTTTGGGAGGCTGAGGCAGGTAGATCACTTGAGGTCAGCAGTTCGAGACCAGCCTGGCCAACATGGTGAAACCATGTGTCTACTAAAGATAAAAAAAAAAAAATTAGCTGGGCGTGGTGGCATGTGCCTATAGTCCCAGCTACTTGGGAGGCTGAGGCAGGAGAATTGCTTGAACCCGGGAGGCGGAGGTTGCAGTGAGCCGAGATCGTGCCACTGTGCTCCAGCCTTGGTGACAGAGCAAGACTCTGTCAAAAAAAAAAAAAAAAAAAAAAGAGCTATGGAGACAACTCATTAGATAATCTAAGTACTCAGTCTGATCTACAGAAGTGGTGCTTGAAATATGGCAGCAAAGGAACCAAGAACCGGAAATATAGAGACAATAGGGTGAAAAGTCACGTACTAGTAAGGTCACTTAAGAGACATGCTGAGGTAAGTTAGACTATAGAGAGAGGCAGGGATTGGAGCTGAATCCTCAGAATAGAGATGTAAGGATAGAGTTGAATAATACTATTTTGGACTGAATTGTGTCCCTCCAGAATTTACATGTTGAAGCTCTAATCTTCATGGTGAGTGAATTTGGAAAAGGGGCTTTAAGGACATAATTAGGGTTCAGTGAGATAATAAGTGTGGGGCTCTAATCCAAAAGGAGTGGTATCCATATAAGAGGAAGAAACACCAGCGACCTCTCCCTCTCCCCTTTTCTGTTTCCTTTTCTCTGTCTCTCTCCCTCTTTCTCTCTGTGTATGTACACATATGTACAGAGGAGGGGCCATGTGAAGACACAGGGTAAAGACAGCCACTGGCAAGCCAGGAAGAGAGCTCTCACCAGAAATCAGTTCTGACACCTTGATCTTGGACCTCCAGCCTCCAGAATTGTGAGAAAATACATTTTGTTTACTTAAGCCATCTAGTCTGTGGTATATTGCTATGGCCACCCCAGTAGACTAATACGAGTACATAATCCATGACCCTGAGCAGCTGGAGAGGAGCCAAAGAGATAACTGATTCTGATGCTGAGCTCATCTGAAGTGCTGAGTTGGGGGCTCTTACCTCTGGCTCTTCTGGTTTACAAGGGGTAAGGTGCCTCAGGGTCATGTTAGGTGGGTTCTAATTGCCACTTCCTCAGTAATAGCATTCTTCCAACACCGACACTGAGCACTTTTTAAATAAGTTTTTATTTATTGGATTTAAAGTGATGTCATGATAGATCTGAAAATGACAACGGATAAAGGGATGGGATTTAAAGGAAAAGTAGATATATTTTTGTAGTAGAGAGTACAGGTATATTAAAGATGTATTATAAGAATTGAGAAGAGAAAGTGTTGTTTGTGTGTCACATGGATAGAAAGTGACAGTGGAAAACCTGTATAATGAACCTCACAAGAACTAGATATTATATAGAATGACAGAAATCATTTTCTAAAGAATGGGTTTTAAATAGTCCCACTAAATGAAATTGGCACTCTAAGGAGAAAGAAAGACAATTAGTAAAGGGAACTTTTTTTTCTTTCCTCCATAGATACAAAGGAACAAAGAACTCAGCAATTACAGAAATTCTTCCCAGAATATCAGTTTTATGATTTACCAGAACCCATTCTGACCCTTAGAGAAAAGATTAACACCTTCTGTGATGTCAGGAATTGAGAATACAGGGATAAATGAATATGAATTCCCCGTAGAAGATGAGTGAGCAGGAAGAATAAAAATGGTAAGATTCTTGCAATCTCAAGTCATGAGCATGATTCAAAGACATATGTACTCTCTTTTGTATAAGAAGTTGACATCTTTTGGTCATTTATTAGGAGAAATATTGTTTTTCCCCTAGGATACTCTGTTCTGAGTCCTCCACATTCCCTTAGAAACATACATTTGCACGTTATTGGATAGGGGATGTAGCCTGTGACAAGGGAAAATCAGATTTTTCTCCCTGATTACCAAACAGCCTACAAAAAACACATTGGCAATTCCATATTCAAGCTTAGATTAGGGAGAATAACTAGTCCAGCCTAGGAGACAGAAAGTCCACTAGCAATAATATGTAGTAGGGCCGGACTCGCCAAGGTAATACTAAGCAAAAACAACAAAACTGGAGGCATCACTTTATCTGACCTCAAATTATACTACAAGTCTACAGTAACCCAAACAGCAAGGTACTGGCATAAAAATAGACACATAGGTCAAGAGAACAGAATAGAGAACCCATAAATAAAGCCATGTATCTACAGCTAACCGATCTTTGCCAAAGCTGACAAAAACATAGCCTGGGGAAAGGACACTCTATTCAATAAATGGTGTTGGGATGGACTGCCATATTCAGAAGAATGGTGTTGGGATGGATTGCCATATTCAGAAGAATGAAACTGGACCCCTGTCTTTCACCATATACAAAAATCAGCTCAAGATGGATTAAAGACTTAAGTGTAAGACCTGAGAATATAAAAATACTAGAAGGAAACCAAGGGAAAACTTGTCTGGACATTGATTAGTCTAGGCAAAGAATTCATGACTAAGACCTCAAAAGCACAAAGAACGAAAATAAACAAATAGGACTTAATTCAACTAAAAGCTTCTGTACAGCAAAAGAAATAATCAACAGAGTGAAAAGACAACATACAGAATGGGAGAAAATATTTGCAAACTATTCACCCAACAGGGGACTAATATCCAGAATTTACAAGCAACTCAAACAACTCAACAAAAAAATTCAGATAACCCCATTAAAAAGTGGGCAAAGGATATGAATAGACATTTCTCCAAAAAAGACATACAAATGGCCAACTGGAGTATGAAAAAATGATGAATATCATTAATCATTAAAGAAACACAAATTAAAACCACAATGAGATACCATCTCACACCAGTCAGGATGGCTGAAAAAAGTCAAAAAAAAAAAACAAAAAAAAAACCCAACCAAGGAACAGATGTTGGTGAGTGGAGAAAAGGAAAGCTTATACGCTGTTAGTGGGAATTTAAATTAATACAACCTCTGTGGAAAACGGTATGGAGATATCTCAAAGAACTAAAAATAGAACCACCATTTGATCAAGCAATACCATTACTAGGTGTCTACCCAAAGGAAAATAAATTATTATATCACAAAGATACCTGCACATATATGTTTATTGTGACACTATTCACTATAGCAAAGATATGGAGTCAAAAACTGTGTCCATCAATGGATGATTGGATTAAGAAAATGTTATACACACACACACACACACACACACACACACACACACGCACCACGGAAGAGATTCAGCCATTGAAAAGAATGAAATCATGTCTTTTGCAAAAACACAGATGGAACTGGAGGCCATTATCTCAAGTGAAATAATTCAGAAACAGTTAAAAACCATCTCACTCATAAATGGGAACTAAATAATATGTACATATGGACATATAGTGTGGAATGATAGATACTGGAGACTTGAAAGGGGGGTGGGGGTAGGAGGGAGGTGAGGAATGAGAAATTACTCAGTGAGTACAGTGTGTATTATTTGAGTGATGGTTACACTAAAAGTGCAGACTTCACAACTATGCAGTATATCCATGTAACAAAACTGCACTTGTACTCCTTAAATGTATACAAAACAGAATATTTATCTTGTATCATTACAGGTGAATTAAAAAGAAAAATAGAAAATAATATGTAATAATATAATATTTATAATTAAACATTACTATAATATTTTAACATACCAGCTTTCCCTTCTCTAGTATAACTTTTTAATAACACAGAAACTATGTGTTAAATAATTACTATCAGTAAAATTTCTTTCATCTGTACAGTTTGATATACATCATCATCCAAGTTTCTTAGGCTTTGCCACCTAATACTTTTTTTCTTGGTATTATTCACAACTTAAATAATTATGTACATTATATTTTCTGTGCTCCTAAAAATAAAGTGCTGCCTTCTTATTAATTGGAAAGAAAAAATTGTACTGTGCTGTTTACCACTTGTACTAGGCACAGTGCCAGTAGGGCATAAAACCCAAGCAGGAAAAGATAGACCGTAATGTACATGGTCTATGTTTGTATTGCTATGAAATAATGTATCATTCTGGGAAAGGGTACGATAAAGAAATTTTCACCAATTTCACCTTTGGGTTTTTGTGTTGAAATCGACCAGATATTGGAGATGTTGGAGATGACCCATAGTAAAATATAATGTTTATCAAGGCTAGTCCAAGATTCAAGGCCAGACAAGCTTCAAACTTGATTCCGTAACATGATTTGAAAGTAGAAAGCAGTATTCGAGGGAGGGTATTTATGATACAAGACAGTGCTGTCTTTAAGAGCAGAGCTCTAAATTGAAGTCCTTTACACCCTATAAGCATTTTGCTGTTCACTTTATATAAGCATATATATTGTTTTCAAACTGTTCCCATGTTTTACATTTGTTAAATGCAGAATGTAAGATGATATTATAGGGCAGAGATCTTTGTTTTATTTACTGGTGTATTTTGTGTGTTTAGAATAGAGCCTAGCACATAGCAGAAACTTAATGAATGTTTAATAGATAATTGAAGTGGATATATTTTTGTCCCAACTGAGATATAAGCTCTTCAAGGATAGACACTCGTACAAAAGTAGTTTATAATCCATGTAATGTGTGATAGTATGTAAGGTGTTGCAAACACTATAGCCATCATTATTATATGCCTCTGTTTCCCCAAAATGAAGTACAAGTCACCGCATATATATGGACACTCAATCAATACTACTTAAGGTTTTAGTGTAACATATTCCTTCAGGAATCTGATAAAAGCTATACCTGTTTTCCCCCAAAGAAATGTACATTCTGATACGTTTTGCAGACGATTTCAGGGAGTTTAGGAAGCAAACCTCTGAAGCTGTCCATGTATGCCTGTTGGGTCCACATAAGTTTATCAGAGTTTCTTAATAAGCCAAGAAAACAAAAAGAATGGCAGGACTCCAGGGCAGGATTGAGGGCTATTGGCCAAAAAAGTAAGAACAGTAAAAGAGTGTTTTAGTATCATCTAGGAAACCAGGCAGGATATCTCCAGAAGGCTAATTGCATGGGCACAGGCCAGACAGCTGAAAAGAATCTGCATGGTTTGTTTTCCCCTTTTTTTCCAGAAAAAGCCACTGTGCCTTGGGTACCTGTAAACTTTTCCAAGTGCCCTTCTCTTTCAAGGGTTTATTTGTCTTGCTTTGTAGAGTAACCTCACCCTAAGTAGGACTCCAGTTTTTATGTTCTTTGGCACCTGACACATTCTCAGAGATTGACTAAGTATATGTGTAAAACATGTCAGAGTCTACAAGTAAAAATATGACTTGAAAAAATGATTGAAAGAATATTACTTTATTGCTATTGCTCAGTTTTATTCTTAGTAATCTGTCAATTCTAATCTGGCATGTTCTGCCCCTTCTGTGTGCATTCATCCCTATGGCTCTTTGGTAACTACTTTTTCTCTTTAAATCTTATTGTAACCCTAGTGCTTTCTCCATCTGCATGGCTGATGCAATATTTCTGATTCTGGAATGTTAAACAATGGAACATATTATTTTAGTTAGAAAGACTAGAACATCCCTAAGTATGAAAATGTAGCTCCATATTTTAAAAGAAAATAAGGTACTCCTAACTTACATTTATCAATTTCTAGAAATTAATTATCTCAATGGTTTACAATATTGAAATAGAAAATGTATCATCAGAATTTAAGTATTCAATAAAAATTATGGTTTTTTTCACCCATCAAACACCATAATTGAAAAAAGGGATGGTATCTAGTTATATAAATTAATGCAAACTTTTAAATATTTTTTTCAGTAGTTCTGTCACTCATTTCTCTTCTACAATGTATTAAAAGGGATTTGTGTATTTGGGAGGAAGATAATACAGGGGATAAGATCAAAGATCTTCCTGAATTCTGGTCAAAGCCAATCTGTTGTTGTTACTACTTTACCAGTAGAATTTGAGACAGAATTGTGTAACTAAATGAAGCCACAGTGATTCTTCTGACCTAAAAAGCATTTTGCAATGAATTGTACGTAGCTAACATTTCTTTAATGTTGACTCCATATTTCTTTTCCCCCCTACCAAGAATCTCTTCTACTTGTACTATATTGAATTTTCAACTTTTAAAAATATGCAGGGAGAAAGAAATTTTGTTCCATGCAGAAGAAAGAAATCTGGCTGTGTGTTAGTCCATTCACCATTGCTATAAAGATCTGCCTAAGACTGGGTAATTTATAAAGAAAAGAGGTTTAATTGACTCACAGTTTCACAGGCTGCACAGGAGGCATGGCTTGGGAGGCCTTAAGAAACTTACAAGCATGGCAGAAGGCCAAAGAGGAAGCAAGCACGTCTTCTCATGGTGTCAGGAGAGAGAGAGAGAGAGAGAGAGAGGAGAGAAAGTGGGAAGTACTCCTAACTTACATTTAAGTACATTGAAGTACACACTTTCCAACAACCAGAACTTACGAGAACTCGTGAGAACACCAGGGGAGAAATCCACCCCCATGATCCAATCACCTCCCACCAAGTCCCTCCTGCAACAATGGCGATACAATGCAACATGAGATTTGAGTGGGGACACAGAAACAAACCATATTACTATGAAAAGACCATGAATCTACTAAAATAACATATTTTATTTCCCAGTTAACTCTGCCAGTTTTGAAAGAGTCAAAGGTAAGATCTGTGAGCTGCCTATAGATCAAGAATGCTGTGAGTGAGGCTGTTACTTAGATCACTGTTACATTGATTTGGTAAATTGTAAAACAAATTGTTTTTATTGAAATAACACTAATGGTAAAATTTAGCATAGACTCGTGGACATATGAAAATTGTTGAGCACATCATCATTGCATAATACAGTCACGTTTTGTATAACGGCGTTTCAATGATGGAACACATATATGACAGTGGTCCCATAAGGTTATAATACAGCTATATAATGGAGTAGACTACATACAACATGTAGGTTTGTGTACGTACACTCCATGATCTTCACACAATGAGAAATCGCCTGATGACACATTTTTCAGAACATATCCCCATTTTTAAGTGATGCATGTCTGTATATTATAAACTCTCTCAGGAAAAATTCTCATCTGGACTGAGTTTCAAGTGAAATTGAAGTTCTTCTGAGAAAATGGTCTGTTGTTATATAATACTATGATATCATAAATTATGGAACTCATAAGATTTCCCTCTTTGCATTGGCTGCTAGAAAGCCTAGAGCCCACTTGAAATAATATGCATCTATAAGATGTAGTTTTATGTTTGCCTCAGTCTTAGGTTTCATTTTAGGTTCCTATTCTTATGTTGTGTTTTCCCCTTTCATGCCTATATTTAATTTATACTATCATGTTTTATGGTTTGCATCCTTCTACACTATTTTCACCTTTTTGAAACAAAGCAGATTATAAATAAAGAAATAAGGATGGTCTGCAAATAGATTGTTAACTGGCTACAACAGATGTCATAACAAGTTTGTGTAATAGTTTAAACAATGAAAAATTTATTGTGTTACAGTTCTGTAAGTCAGAAGTCCAAAAAAGTTCTCACTGGGCTAAATTCAGGATAGTTAGCAGGACTATGTACCTTTCTGGAGGCTCTAGGGGAAAATCTGTTTCATTTCCTTTTCCAGCTTCTAGAGGCTACCTGTATTCCTTGGCTCGTGGTCTCTCCTTCCATCTTCAAAATTAGCACTATCACATCTAGCTGTGTTTCTGTAGTCATCTCTCTCTCTCACTACATCCTGGAAAGGTTCTATACTTTTAAGAACCCTTGTGATTACATACCCAGATAATCCAGGATAATCTCTTATCTCTTACCCTTCATCACATCTGCAAAGTCCCTCATGCCAGGTAAGGTATCATTTTCACAGGTTCCAGGAGTTAGGATGTATACATCCCTGGGAAGGCATTATTATGCCTACCATATTAACCCCAACTAGTTATTAAGAGAAGAAAAAAAATGCTTTTTACAAGAGATAGTTAAATTTTCATTCATAATAATGGTTAAATACTAAAATCTCAAAAGATTTTTCTGTGGATAAAGAATATAGTGCTTAGATTAGAGGGAGAAAAACATGTTCTCATAAATCTTTAATACCAAATTAAGAAGGATGTAGGAAAGGCTAGACTAAATTAATTTAAAAAAATTCTTTAGTATTTTAAAATGTGGTGTTTCAGGAAATCTCAGTTTGAGAAATGGACTATCTGAGGAACTACAATATTTGGACATTTCTGCAAGGTTGGTAGAGTAGATTTGCAAGAACACAATTTTCATGTAGGACCAAAAATCTTAGTATTGTAAATATTATTTTTGGATATTTAAGATATTTTATATCTAAAAAAAATCTGTAAGAGAAAAATTACTGTTAGGGATATACACTAAACAAGCATTGGCAAACAAGAGCTAATTGGCCAAGTCCAAGTTTGGAATATGTTTTTGTATGACCTTTAGCTAAAAATGTTTTTTGCATTTTAAAAAGCTTGTTAAAAAGAAAACAACAACAACACGAAAAACTGTTAAGTGACAGAGAACATATATGGCACACAAAGGCCAAACTATTTATTATCTGGCTCTTTATTTAAACAGTTTGCCAGCCCCTGTTGCCTAAAATACCAGTTATGCCTATCTCTGGATTATTAGATTATGGAAGATTTTGATTTTCCTTTTTGTACTTTTGTATTTTTTCCAAGTTTTCCATACCACTTTTATAATGAAGGAAATATAAACAACTAAAATGACTTTTAAAGAGGGCCTGAAAACCTTGCATGCTTATAAGATTGAAATCTGATTTAAACACTTAATTACATAGAAAATCATTCTTTTATAGTTATTACAAAGGCAAATCTCAGTTCCACATCCATCTTGACTATCAGAGATTCTGAATTAGCCGTTTCTAGATAAAGGAGGTGTTACTGCAACTGATAAGAGTGGTGGTGTGAAAGTACTATCTCAGACAAATGGAGTCTAATTTCTTTAAGGATCCTGTGGCTAGGTACTCTAATCTCTTTAGACCTTTTCCCACTCCCTGATTCTGTATCACCAATTTTTTTATCTCCATCCGAAATCTCTAAAGATCTATTTGTGTTACCGACACACAGTGAAGTAGTGTTAGAATTTTTGATTATTGATTTATGTAAATGTTTTCAATTGGTTTGCTATGCAAAAGATCTATAATAAAATCCTGATAGTTCAACTGAAATTTTTGATTGTATAAATGTGTTTACTAGTCACGTTCCCAAATCCTTCAAATAACTTTCAACTTGCAGCAGTGCTTTGTATGCAACATAATTAACTTCTCTATATCATGCACACATTTTTAATTTTACAAATGGTTTGCACAAATGTGTACTGCCTTTTCCCAGAACTTTCCAAGAGTGTATGAATTTCCTGTAAACCAATATCTGAAATATGAAAGCAATGAGAAATTCTTTGCCAGTAAAAGCCCTGCAAAATACTATGGGGAAGAGTGTGGCCTATAACTGAAGAAAGTAGAGTGCCGTGCGAGTATTGTCTCAAAACAATGTTTTCAATGTGGGTAACTCAAAAAGGATACTTCAAAGCATAATGCATTTAAATATTCCAAAATCTCAAAGATAAGCTTATCTAGATACACAAAGTGCCAGCACATAGCACTTTCCTGGAAAGTGCATGTTATTGTAGGTTGTAATTTTATAGATTCTGATTCTGAGGTTTGGGGCATTTTCATTTGGGAAATCGAATGAATGAATAAAGAGAACTGTAAAATGCTAAATGGTGTGCTCTCTCACTGATTCATTTGAGAGTTACTTTCTTATATAATTTCTTCATGCATCAATGGAAGAACAGGTCCCATAGAATTTTTTTTTAGCCAGCAAATAAAAATATTAATGCATGCATATTGGAGCATAGTCAACATTCTTTTTGTAGATCACAAAGCTATAATTGTATTTTTTTCCATTGGGCACGAATGCCATAGTTATTTTTCTACTTTTAATTTAAAAGATTAAAAGTCATTTCCACCCAAGTGTATCTTTTTCAGATTTGAGTCAGATGCCCCACTGCTTCGATGTGTCATGCCTAGTTCTCACAATCGTTTTGCATAGTAAGTCAGTCAGGTTATATTTTGCCACAGATCTATTATTGTAAATTCTAAATAATAAGGAATTCCTCATGCTAGAGGCAAAAACAAACAAACCTTTTTTCTGATTCCTTTCTTTTCTTTTCTATTTCATTCCTTCCTTCCTTCCTTCCTCCTCTTTCTTTCCTTTTTCTTTCGTCTTTCTTTTCTTTCTCTCTCTCTTTCTTTCTTTCCTAATAAAAATAGTTATATAAACATACATGATAAAATTCTAATTTAAGGCTCAATACACAGTAAACACTGAATCTTGACTCTCATGAAAGAAACTATTATAGACACTATTTCATTTTGAATGATTCTGTCTTAGAGATCATCCATCCATTAATTGATACTTCTTTGAATACCAGATTAAATATACATTCCTGATTTAAAATAACAGGGAGATATACAAACTTTAATATTCACTTAAACATTTATATGAACAGGTCTCCATATATGTCAGTGGACAGACTTTTTTTGTATGTGAGGGTAAGAGAACATATACAACCAGGAAGTAATTCAATCATATCAATTACTCAATATCTGAACTTGCATTTTTAAAACAAAATATTTCTATCTGTACTGAAAAGTGAATGGAAGAACACTAAATGTTAATAGTGTTTATGTGTAGGTGGCAGGATTTGAAGATATTTTTTTCTTCTTTTTCCTTGCCTGTATTTCTCAATAGAAGACATGTTGCTATAAGAATAAGCAAAAACAGAGGAACAACAACACAACAATATTTACCGAAACCACAACACCTGCATTTTAAAACACAACTGGATGGCAACAGTGTAAATATTTTCAGAATGTAAGAAAAACTCAAATATAACAATGATACCAAATACTGATCTAGGAAGATACATTTATTCATATAACATTTGACAGAGCAAGGGAGTCCCACCCTTAGCTGAGCTATTAAATAATTCTTCCTGTGAGAAAATAAGAACATTTACTTATTCCAGGTACCTTACCTCCCATTTCTTCCTTTGGTATGGCCCACTGCAGTTTCTGCAGCATTGTTTTCCAGGTAGGCTAAAATTACTTCATGCTGACTGTATTCCTAGAATATCTCGAATAATACTCCCCTTGTACCTTTAGCAATAGATGAAGCTTTTTATGTAATTTAGAGGTAATACGCGCAGTTAGCCACTCCTTAGGAGTAAGTTACAAGTTTAGAGAGCCCACTAAGGTACTAACCTCTTCAAGCAGTTATGCCTTAAGTAGCCTAAAAACATTAATATACCTCCTTAACCATTTCATTCACTCCCCAGGGACTTAAGCACAGGAGCGTATATGGCCAAATATATTTTATTTTATTCATTGTGTTTATAATGCCTACTACTCTCTAGGCACACATAAATATTGTACAAAAATCTGGTTTGTATAAAGTCAGCTTTGATCAAGAAAGGGTTTGTTGATAAGGTTCAAAACCCGCTTATGAGAGGTGACAGCGTGCTGGCAGTCCTCACAGCCCTCGCTCGCTCTCGGCACCTCCTCTGCCTGGGCTCCCACTTTGGCGGCACTTGAGGAGCCCTTCAGCCCACCGCTGCACTGTGGGAGCCCCTTTCTGGGCTGGCCAAGGCCAGAGCCGGCTCCCTCAGCTTGCAGGGAGGTGTGGAGGGAGAGGCGCGAGCGGGAACCGGGGCTGCGTTCGGTGCTTGGGGGCCAGCTGGAGTTCCGGGTGGGCGTGGGCTTGGCGGGCCCCACACTCGGAGCAGCCGGCCGGCCCTGTCAGCCCCGGGCAATGAGGGGCTTAGCACTCAGGCCAGCGGCTGCGGAGGGTGTACTGGGTCCCCCAGCAGTGCCAGCCCACCGGCGCTGCGCTCCATTTCTCACCGGGCCTCAGCTGCCTTCCCGCCTGGCAGGGCTCGGGACCTGCAGCCCGCCATGCCTGAGCCTCCCACCCACTCCATGGGCTCCTGTGCAGCCCGAGCCTCCCCGACGAGCACCGCCCTCTGCTCCACGGCGCCCAGTCCCATCGACCACCCAAGGGCTGAGGAGTGCGGGACTGGCAGGCAGATCCACCTGCAGCCCCAGTGCGAGATCCACTGGGTGAAGTCAGCTGGGCTCCTGAGTCTGGTGGGGACGTGGAGAACCTTTATGTCTAGCTCAGGGATTGTAAATATACCAATCGGCACTCTGTATCTAGCTCAAGGTTTGTAAACACACCAATCAGCACCCTGTGTCTAGCTCAGGGTTTGTGAATGCACCAATCGACACTCTGTATCTAGCTACTCTGGTGGGGCCTTGGAGAACCTTTGTGTGGAGGCTCTGTATCTAGCTAATCTGGTGAGGATGTGGAGAACCTTTGTGTCTAGCTCAGGGATTGTAAACGCACCAATCAGCGCCCTGTCTAAACAGACCGCTGGGCCCTACCAATCAGCAGGATGTGGGTGGGGCCAGATAAGAGAAAGCAGGCTGCCCGAGCCAGCAGTGGCAACCCGCTGGGGTCCCCTTCCACACTGTGGAAGCTTTGTTCTTTCGCTCTTTGCAATAAATCTTGCTACTGCTCACTCTTTGGGTCCACACTGCTTTTATGAGCTATAACACTCACCACGAAGGTCTGCAGCTTCACTCCTGAAGCCAGGGAGGCCATGAGCCCACCGCGAGGAACGAACAACTCCAGACGCGCCGCCTTAAGAGCTGTAACACTCACCGCGAAGGTCTGCAGCTTCACTCCTGAGCCAGCGAGACCACGAACCCACCAGAAGGAAGAAACTCCGAACACATCCGAACATCAGAAGAAACAAACTCCAGACGCGCCACCTTAAGAGCTGTAACACTCACCGCGAGGGTCCGCGGCTTCATTCTTGAAGTCAGTGAGACCAAGAACCCACCAATTCCGGACACACTTATACTTTTTTTGTTAATCTCAAGCTCCTATTTGGAAGCTTCCACTGCACAATTATGGGCTAGAAAGGGCTTGTCCTTCAGTAAGGGAAATGATTTTAAAGCTCCAGCTTAAGTCCTTGATTTAAATTGAATGAAAGTCTCCAAATCCCACCAATGTGCTGCTTTGCATATCAGAAGGTTTCTTGCTGGGCTGGAAAGGTGGATCTGTATTTGAGCATTTGGTGCCAGTAAAAAATGTCACAAAGTAAGCAGAGTCTAAAGGGTTTTCTTCCAAAATAAAAATAATTACTTTCATCCCACATCACTGTTCTGACTTAGGTTCTTTTTCAAAATGCTCTTCCCCTTTTTTTGGTCAGTAACCTAATAATATCTTTGTGAGGGCAGTGAGACCTAAGTTTTCAATTCCTTATTTAATAACATCTTTATAATCTTCTTTCATCCTTAACATTACTATACTGACTGCTGATATGTTTTCTTCTTATAACCATGTGCTTAACAAGGTCATGGTACTTTGGTTTCTTTTTGTTAGCTGCCTGTGAATGGAAATACCTGGGGCAGTTTTACGCAGTGTTGTTTGTTTTAATTGTAATGTTACTGACAAATGTTTTTTATGAAGTAACAGTAGTTGGAAACTATCAATGAAGGTTATTGTCTTTTTAATGCTATAAATGTTTCAGTGTGAAACATTTATAATACAAAGTGCATCAGCTGTGCACTTTGATTTGTAGCATAAGTGATTGATTAATCTACAAGGGTTTAGACTAAACAAACTCTTCTGAAAATGAGTTGCTCTTATAAAAGGCAGCATTCACTGAACCTGGAATTCGGGAAAAAACTCCAATTAAAGACATTTCCTTCCTTTTATTTCTCCTAAAGGTAAAAAATAACCTGCCCAGGTTTTGTCACCTTGAATGGGTTTTAATGAAGGAGGTAGCATCATAGAGTGGGAGAAAAACATTAAAAGACAGAAGACTTTGTTTCTGGTCTAAGCCCTATGATTGTAATAGCCCTAGGTCATCTTACACAATAATTGCTTAATATCTAAACCTCAACTTGCACATCTATAAAATAGGGAAGCTAATATTAGATTTTCCTATCTCGAGAGGTTAGGCATAGTTATTCAGAGGCTTCTTGTGTAATTGTTCTTATATTTCCCTAATTTGGGAGAATTTCCAGTTTTCATCTAATTTTATTTATAATTAATGTTCACGAACCTCAATCTAACCTCTCAATTCAGTGGGAAATAAACTTAGTCAAATTAGCTTTAAATGTTTAATCTTTTGGCCTTCTGCACATATAAGCTACTCACAGTAGCTCACTCATATTGGCTGTTAAGATTTAGTACAACCAAGGTGCCACAGTCTATTTGCACAATGCAGTTAGCCGAAATCAATGTCAGTGGAGCCAGTAATACATTGCCACACCCCTTAGCAAGTTTCTACAAGATGTCATAACGACCAGCATTTTGATCAATTTCCTAAAAAATAAAACAAAAGCCACGATTTCATTTTAGGGCAGATTCAGGACCTAGAAAAATTAGCTTCTAGGGTAACTAGTTCCTAATGAAACCCTTAGACTACCATGTAGTCTAGGCCAGTGGTTTCCAAACATAGCTGGTCATTAAAATCACCTGGCAAGTTTAAAAATCAGAAAGATTCCCAGACTCTGCCCCCAGGGATTCTGGATCAGTAGATGTGGTGTGGAGTGTGAAAATTCATACTTTGAAAAACTGCCCAGGAAATTCTGAGAATCAACCAAATCTGAGATGCGCTAATCTAAGTTATCCTGACATGCATAATGACAGGGATTTGTTCTCAGTTTTGTGTTCTTTAGAGACAATTGAGTACTTAATTCAGGTTTTTACAGTACAAATGCATCCTCCATTGTGGATCTATATTGTGAATATAAATGATATCTCATTGTCAGAGACTAAATCTTATGTTTAGGAAAGTAATTCTCAAACTTTATGTGCTTTCAAATCACTTAGGGGGCTTGTTGAAAATTTGAATATGGTCCTCACTCCCAGAGATTTGGATTCACTTAGTTTGGGATGGGGACCCAGCACTCTGCATTTTTAACAAGTACCACAGATGATTCTGATACAGATGATCTAGGGAGTCACACTTTGAAAAAACACTGGCTTATGTAGTAGGCTTTCAGTAACCTAAATATGTTGCCTTTACTATATGTAATCATAATTTCAAATTAGTAATTCAGATGAATATACACATTCTCACAAAGAGATAATCACCTCTTCCTAATGTTTTATACTTTATTCAAGTCCTTTTAAATATGGATCAGAATTAAATGGGCCTCTTTGGACTTATATAGGACAAAGTTGAAAAGTGCCAATGAATTATATTTTTTCTATCTTTAGCTTTGGAGAGTTAAACCTAATTTTAGAAGAGTAGAAATGGATCAGTAAGGATTATGTATATGATTATTTGGCTCATTAGAACAAAATAAAATATTTGGATTGTCTCCTGAACATTTCACTATGAACTAATTATAGCTCCTAGATCACCAGAATATTAACTGAAGCTGGATCAACAATTCTTATAGCCTAGTCTTTCTTCTGCTTTGGCGTATTAATAACTAAAATACAACACAGTTCCCTGTCAGTCCTGTTTCATCTTTCATATGATTTTTGTTAATAGTCTATTGTCAGGCTAAGTTGTGGGTGTTGCCACGTGTAAATCATAATGCAATGTTCAAAGAAGAAAATGAAAATCACCTGAAAGTCCATTTCCTAGCGAGGACACTATGAATATTTGGTGAACTTACTCTCTCTTTCCACTTCTCTCCCTCTCTCTCTATAACATATATATGTATATATAATGTTATATATATGTATATAATGTTATATATGTATATATAGTTATATATATATAAAACATGGTATACATATATGTTCATATATATAGAACATATATATATAAACATGCATATATATTATATATATGTATACCAGAACTAATATAATCTTATATACAGAGCTTAAGCATTAAATCATATGCGCTTTCTCGTTCCATTAAATGTTTTCTACGGCATCATTTTCAGAGTTCCATTTTAATGGTAATATACAACCATGGAATAAATAAAAGATTAAGCCCACAAGTAGATTAGATACATTTATTTATGTTTTTTTAATATTCGAAGTTTCTACCTCAAAAGACTTAAATGAGTTAATACATATTTGCCACTTAGGACAGTCTGAGGCATAGCAAGTGCTCAATGAATGTTTATTATAATTCAAAGTGATTGCTTGGGCCCAAGCAGTGGAGGGAGAAGATGGGAAGGCAAGGGAGGGAAGAGAAATGGGCGATGACTACTAATGGTTATGGAGTTTCTTTATTAGAGGAGGAAAATGTTCTAAAATTGATCGTGGTGAAGATTGCACAGCTCTATGAGCATCCTTAATACCATTGGTTTGTACATTTTAAATGGGTGCGTTGTATGATATGTGAATTATATCTCAATAAAGCTGTTAATAATATATAGGTATACTGAATAAATGACACTAATCATCTGAATATTTCAAAAACATTATAAAAACCATTTATTCGAATATATGGGAAATACTGATATTCCTTCTTTTATATTCTTTACAAATAAACTTTGAGTAAATTCCTCAGAAATGTATTGTTGGTTTTTTTATGTTAACAAAAGTTACTAATGCCTTGGATAAGCAGATGCCATTACATTTCTCCTGGTTTTTCCCATTAAAGCAGCAAAGTTGAATATTAATGAGTATAGAGAATTATGTTGTCATGCATGTTAGTCTGGAAAATATAAATTTATCTCATAAAAAAGTCAAAGATCAAATAAGGTTTTTACTGTTAATTGGAAACAAAGTGTCATTGGTCTCCTGATTTAAAGGGCACTCAACTATGATTAGCTACCTTAAAAAATCAAAGAAAAGAAAGAAAGAAAAATAATTATGGTTAAAGTGAATTTATTATTAACCTTTATTTCAGTAAGGTCTTTCTCATAGCCCATGGCACCAAATAAAATTAAATATAGAAAACTTTCATAACTCACAATGACATTCTCAGTGTTAAGACATTTTAAAATAAAAAAATCCCGCATTATGGAAAGCATACTTCAAAATTATTAGATGTAATATTTTTATAGCCAAAAGCATTTAAATTTGAAGAATTAAACAACTAGGTGACTGGATACTATTTATGGATGTAAAAAGATTTAGTCTCTTTCATAAGTACACATTCTTTCTCTTTAAGCCACCTGTTCTCTCTCAGAATTGGTTTTGTTAAAACTAATCTCAAGATTCCAACTATTTTCTATTCCAAGGGAACTACATCAAGAACAAAATTGGATATTTGTCTTAATTATTGGTAAAGATTCAGAACAGGTTTATGAACAGACAGTTCACTAATTTGTTATAGTCTTTCTCATAACATTTTAAAACATGGTCTGGAAAATATCAGAATAGGCTTCCAAAAATAAAACCAAGCAACTGACCTAAGTTCAGTGAAATGCTTGAAACATATATTACCTGAAACTTTAGCATAATGAGTTCCTTAATTAGGGAAGACCTAATTTAAGGTGTTAAAAAGTCATGTGGCTGAGTATTTGAATTACTGTATGTTTACATTCATTTAGCTAGAAACTTCAATTATCAATTAGAAATCCAAATTAAAATTGTACTCCCACTTCTACCACAGCTAAAATATTTCTAAGGAAGTATTAATGGAATACTTTTGTTATATGCTGGACACATTTATTCACAGTTATTCATTTCCATAAATAAGAATTCAAGTAAATGAATAACACTAAAAAGGATACTTGTTTAAAAATGTGGTATTGTCTAACAAACAACAACTAACAGTCTCTGATTACAAGCATTCTTTTTTAGCATAGTATATTTACTTTTAAATATATCTAATATGTTTCTATGTGTAACCTTTATTTAGCCAATTTATTGTAAGTTACCATTAGAATGGAACTCTGAAAATGTTTACAAAGAATTATAATATACGTGGGAAAATATGTAAGATATGGAATGTGGGAGAAAAAAAGGAAGTGGAATACAATGGTATATAGAGAATTAGCTTTAAACTTCTAAACTTTCCCAATTTTCTACGATAAGCATATAATCTTTTTATAATCAAGAAACATAATATTCATTTATTTATTTTCTGTGTGTGTGTGTGTGTTTTTTTTTTTTAGATAGGGTTTCACTCTGTCACTCAGGCCGAGTGTAGCAGCACAGCTAATTTTTTATCTTTTGTAGAGACAGAGGTCTCACTGTGTTGCCCTAACTGATCTCAAACTCCTAAACCAAGGGATCCTTCCACCGTGGCCTCCCAAATTGCTGGGATTACAGGTATGAGCCACCATTCCCAGCAGGAAACATATTTATTTAAAGGAACCCTAGTCAATGACCACAATTACAGTAGAACAATTAGAACACGCATGTATTTTGTTTTACTTATGGCTCCATGAAAGTATAATTTATTATTTCAGCATTTCACATCATAGAACCTGACTCAGAAAATACATTCATTATTTACCCTTTTATATGTTGATGATGATAATCAAGGCAGAAGCCACTTATGAAACACATTTTAGCTTTTAGTGCTGCAGTTTAAAAAGAAGAAAGATTTTTTGCTTGGTACAGTCATTAGCTGAAACCATCAACAGCAATGTGTTATTGGCTAAATAACAAAGCAAGAATTAGAGCTATAATCATTTAGTCAAGATGCTCATGATGTTTAATATTTTATCATATATAAAACATTGATCTACAACTAAAAGATGAGAGGATTTGCATAGATACACCTTAAACATTCTGCCTCCCATTGACTGAAATATCTTTATTGTACATTTCATTCTACCTTATGGTTTTAAAAAATCTAGTTGGCCACCTGTTTTCTTACATTTATTATACTTATAATTTTTCTTTATATGATAATATTTGGAAGATATAGTACTTATTTCGTTTTTTAATTCCTTTTGCTGGATGAAACTTGCTGGTATACGTCATGATGAAACAGGAACTATTCCTTGACCCCTTTCATGGGACTCAGGACAGGGATGCCTTGCTTACTCAGCCTGCAGCTCTCAACCCCTCACAGGAGGGGGAGCATGTAGAGGAGTGGGTGCAGGAGCTGGAGCGAACACTTTTGGGTGCTGGCAGGAGCAAAACTCTGTGCTGCCCCCGTCTAGGGAGGTGCCTGTGACCCCTGATGCCCCAGAGGGCATGTGTTACAGTGCTCTTTTAGCTTTGCTGTCCACAGATGGCTTAAGTGTTCAACAGCTCAGTGGACCCTCTGCCTTTTTGCAAGAGCAGAGGGTCCGTGTGACAGCTTTCTGTATCCCGAGCTCTTGTCTGGTGTCCAGGAAAAATTAGTTCACATGAAGGATAATAAATGCTGGGGATTTTATTGCTGATGGAAGTGGCTCTTAGCGGGATGGGGAGCTGTAAAGGGGATGGAGTGGGAAGGTATCCTTCCCGTGAAGTCCAGCCATCTCAGGCCATACTCTTCTCCGAAGTCTCGCTGAGGTCAAGCTGCTTCTCTCCAATGTCAAGCCACAGTCTCTGACATCCAGCTGTTTCTCCTCTTTTCCCCTTCTCTGCTCTCTACTGGTGGAGCCTAGGGTTTTTGTGGGTACAGGATGTGGGCTGGGGTGGGCCATGGGAGGTATTGGAAAAGGCAACATTCAAGCAGGAAAACAAGAATGCATGTTCTCACTTTGGGCCATGGTTCCAGGCTCCAGGGTAGGGCTTCTCCAAGGGTCCCATCCTTTTCTGCCTAGAATTTTTCTGCCTCCTGTCCCTATCAATAAGATAATATATAATAATACAATAATTATTCTAATATAATAACACCTTCACTATGGCCATGTCTACCATTTTTGACAGTTAACGGCTCAGTTTCAGAAGAAACAGACTGGCTTACTCAATTGTGGCATTATATTTATTTATTTAGCCATAAGAAAGTCTATCTGGGGCTTATCATGAGAAGTTTGGGGTTTGCATGTGTATCTAGATATTTTAAACTATGTTTCCTAGATCATACCTAGGAAACAGGGAAACAGTCAGTGGAATCAAATAAACCACTATGAAAATACTAATTTTCGTTCACACCTCTGTATGTTTTATTTAATAAATTATGAGTAAAGCCTATTCAATTATTAATCTGGAAAATAATTAAATCAACAGTAATTTTTAACAACAGCAAATAGAAATAAAGCTAATTTTAAAAGTTCATCAATAAAAAGAACAGATTTTGTAGCAACACATTACAAACGGACAGGATTTAGGATGTTTCTAATTACTTTTAAATCTACATAGGCATTAGTTATTTTCTAAATTCAATCTTTGTTTACATGCACCCTCCAAGATCATGAAATGTGAAAAAGTGAAAGTAGGATTCTGCATATATAAAATTGCTTTTCATACTCAGATTCTGTGAATTAGGTGGGGTGAGGATAACACTCTTGGGAAATTGTGTTAACAACTTATTAATTTGAGTAGTACATGATCTCAACAATAATGAAGTTAATGACTCTCTATACTTATTTGATCAGTTACTGTAGTTCTCTTTTCATAATATTTATGTGCTTCCAAGATATAAATTAGTTTCCTGGTTTCTAGTTATTAATAAATATTTATTTGATACCTGATATTTAGTATTATATGCATGCATATTAATTTTAGCCTATGATAGCACTTGCTAGTATACTAAAGTTACTCTGGCTTTCAACAAAAGTGTTTATGTGAACATCAATACTGCAAAAATAGCCATGACTCACAGAAGAGTATTTAATCTTATGGAGATGACAAAGGCTCTCTTTAATAAACCTTTAATAACTCCAGGTGAGATTACATATAGATGTGATGAATGATTCAATAAATGTTATTTAATAGATACACTCTGTATCTAATCCTATCTTGGGATATTAGAGGGATAAAACATGGATGGGAGTGAATGTTGAAGACTTGGAAAACTGTCAATATCCTCAAGGCACTTAAAATAAAATTGGAAAGAATTATAAATTAGTGATACAAGATAGAACAAAATTGAGTGACAAACTGTGTGGTACAGATAGAGATGGATTTATGATGAAACTAATGAAGCTTAAGATTCAGGAAACCCTTACTAGAATGGGTCCCTCGAAAGACCCTAATGGGACTGTATCAATTGCTATGACTTCCAAGACATCACAGACTGGTTGTATTTTCCCACAATTTTGGAGGCTGGAAGTCCAAGATAAAGAGGTCAGCAGGGTTGATTTTTGTCTAAGGTCTCGCTCCTTGGCTTGTAGATAGCCATCTTTTCTGTGTGTCTTCACATGATTTTCCCTCTGTGTGTGGCTCTGTCCTAATATCTTATTCTTACAAGGACATTAGTCACATTGGATTAGGGTACACCCTAATGCACAACAGAGCACTAGTGATATATTTGCATCATCACATGGTTTTGCAAAATTTGTAAAACTAAGATTGTTGTGGTTTGGCTGTGACCCACCCAAATATTGTCTTGAATTCCCACATGTGTGGGAGGGTCCCAGCGGGAGGTAATTGAATCATGGGGGCTGGTCTTTCCCATGTTGTTCTCATGATAGTGAATAAGTCACACAAGATCTGATGGTTTTCTAAGGGGGAGTTCCCCTGCACAAGCTTTTTGCCTGCTGCCATCCAAGTAAGACATGACTTGCTCCTCCTTGTCTTCCACCATGATTGTGAGGCCTCCCCAGCCATGTGGAACTGTGAGTCCATGAAATGTCTTTTCTTCCCAGTCTTGGGTATGTCTTTATCAGCAGCATGAAAGTGAACTAACACAGTAAATTTGTACCAGTAGAGTGGGGCACTGCTGAAAAGATACCTGAAAATGTGGAAGTTACTTTGGAACTGGATAACAGGCAGAGGTTGGAACAGTCTAGAGGGCTCAGAAGAAGACAGGAAAATGTGGGAAAGTTTGGAACTCCCTAGAGACTTGTTGAATGGCTTTGACCAAAATGCTGATAACAATATGGACAATGAAATCCAGGCTGAGATGGTCTTAGATGGAGATGAGGAACTTGGTGGTAACTGGAGCAAAGGTGACTCTTTTTATGTTTTAGCAGAGACTAGTGGCATTTTGCCCCTGCCCTAGAGATTTGTGAAACTTTGAACTTGAGAAAGATGATTTAGGGTATCTTTTGAAAAAAATTTCTAAGCAGCAAAGCATTCAAGAGGTGATTTGGGTAATGTTAAAGTCATTCAGTTTTATAAGGGAAGCAGAGCGTAAAAGTCTGGGAAATTTGCAGCCTCACAATGCAATGGAAAAGAAAAACTGATTTTCTAAGGAGAAATTCAAGCCAGCTGCAGAAATTTGCATAAGTAATGAGGAGCAGAATGTTAATTCCCAAGGCAATGGGGAAAATATCTCCAGGGTATGTCAGAGGTCTTCATGATAGCTCCCCCCATCACAGGCCCAGAGGCCTAGGAGGAAAAAATGGTTTCATGGGCTGGACCCAGGGTTCCCATGCTGTGTGTAGCCTAGGGACTTGGTGCCCTGCAACCCAGATGCTCCAGCCATGGCTGAAAGGGGCTAATGTAGAGCTCGGGCCATGGTTTCAGAGGGTGCAAGCCCCAAGCCTTAGCAGCGTCCATGTGGTGTTGAGCCTGCGAGTGCACAGAAGTCGAGAATTGGGTTGGGCACCTCTGCTTAGATTTCAGAGGATGTATGGAAACTCCTGGATGCCCAGGTAGAAGTTTGCTGCAGGAGTAGGGACCTCATGGAGGACATCTGCTAGGGCAGTGCAGAGGGAAATGTGGGGTCAGAGCCCCCACACAAAGTCCCTACTGGGGCACAACCTAGTGGAGCTATGAAAGGAGGGCCACCATTCTCCATACCCCAGAATGGTAGATCCACTGACAGCTTGCACTGTGCACCTGAAAAAGCCACAGACACTCAACACCAGCTGGGGAAAGCAGCTGGGAGGAAGACTGTACCCTGCAAAGCCACAGGGGTGGAGCAGCCCAAGACATGGGAACCCACCTCTTGCATCGGCATGTCCTGGATGTGAGACATGGAGTCAAAGGAGATCATTTTGGAGATTTAAGATTTGATGGCCCTGCTGGATTTCCGACTTGCATGGGGCCTGTGGCCCCTTTGTTTTGGCCAGTTTCTCCTATTTGGAATGGCTGTATTTATTGAATACCTGTATCCCCACTGTATCTAGGAAGTAACTAACTTGCTTTTGATTTTACAGGCTCATAGGTGGAAGGGGCTTACCTTGTCTCAGTTGAGACTTTGAACTGTGGACTTCTGAGTTAATATTGAAATGAGTTAAGTCTTTAGGGGACTGTTGGGAAGGCATGATTGGTTTTGAAATGTGAGGACATGAGATTTAGGAGGGGCCAGGGGCAGAATAATATGGTTTGGCTGTGTCCCCACCCAAATATCATCTTAAATTCCCAAGTGTTGTGGGAGGGACCCGGTGGGAGGTAATTGAATCATGGG
Organism: Homo sapiens; assembly: GCF_000001405.40. Taxonomy (NCBI): domain Eukaryota; kingdom Metazoa; phylum Chordata; class Mammalia; order Primates; family Hominidae; genus Homo; species Homo sapiens. The sequence goes on from NC_000023.11 coordinate 125,267,355, forward strand.
GGCAGGTCTTTCCCATACTGCTCTTGTGATAGTGAATAAGTCTCAGGAGATCTGATGGTTTTACAAGGGGGAGTTCCTCTCCACAAGCTCTCTTTTTGCCTGCTGCTATTCATGCAAGACATGACTTGCTCCTCCTTGCCTTCCACCATTATTGTGAGGCCTCCCCAGCCACGTGGAGCTGTGAGTCCATTTAACCTCTTTTTCTTCCAAGTCTTGGGTATTTCTTTATCACCAGTGTGAAAACAGACTAATACAAATATATATATATATGTATATATATATATATACACACATATATATATATACATATATATATATTTTTTTTTCCAAAAAAAAAGAGGTTTAATGGACTCACAGTTACACGTGGCTGGAGAGACCTCACAATCATGGTGGAAGCTGAAAGGCACGTCTTACATGGCAGCCGGCAAGACAGAATGAGTATTTTTAACCAATATCTCTTTTATATTTTCTCCCCACTCACTCTTCCTTGCATAGAATGGGACTCAAGTGACAACAGGCACATTAGGGAACTGGCTCAGAAGAAGTTCAGTTGGAGATTATTTAGTCTGACTTCAGTAGGATATATCTACATGATCCACAGTCACATTCATGTATAGTTATTATTACCTGCCCCAGGGTAGGAGTGGCTTCCACAAATATTCCTACCACCTTCTGTGCATACAACATGAAGATGAAAACCTGGAGTCACGTTGTGATATGAACAACAGCTACAGCTTCCAGCACTGGAAATATGAAGATAGTAGAGGAATAGCAAGATCTGAAATGTACAAAGCCAAAAACCCGTCTATGCAAAAGTCTTCCCATCATTAAATGTATAAAATTATAAAAAGAGGATTAAGTTATCCTGAGTCTAGTCAAATGTTCTCTACAGTTAGTATTACACTCAATAATGTGATTATAAAAGAACCATTTAAACTTTTTTATGGAAATAATATAAAATATAATTTATGCAAATTTATGTGATTGTAGGGCAGAGATTTATAGAAGTATGACAAACAATAAATATGTTTATTATGAAGTCATGTTTTATTATTACTTATTAATAATAATAGAAAAAGCACCAATTCTGATCAACTATCAAAGGTCTTTTTATGAATTTTAGCATCTATTGATTTGACCATATTGTCCTTTATTCTGTTGATATGATGTATCCCATTGCTTGATTTGCATATGTTGAATTATCTTTGCATCCCAGGGATAAATCCCACTTGGTCAAGATGAATGATCTTTTTCACATATGGCTGAATTTGGCTTGCTGTATTTTGTTGATTATTTTTGCATCAATACTCATCAGAGATATTGACCTGCAGTTTTCTTTCTTTGATATGTCTTTGGTTTTGGTATGAGGATAATAATGGCCTCATACCATAAGTTTGAAAGTATTCCTTCCTTCTCTATTTTTTGGAATAGTTTGAGTAGAATTGCTATTAGTTCTTTTTTACATGTTTGGTAGATTTCAGCAGTGAAGCCATTGAGTTTCAGGCTTTATTTGAACAATTTTTATTTCAACTTTGATCTTGTTATTTCTTATTTGTCTGTTCAGGTTTTGAATTTCCTCATGGTTCAATCTTGGTAGACTGTAGGTGTCTAGGAATTTGTCTATTTCTTCTATATTTTCCAATTTAATGGCATGTAGTTGCTCACAGTAGCCACTAATATTCCTTTGAATTTCTGTGTATCAGATGTAATGTCTCCTTTTTCATCTGTGATATTATTGATTTAGGTCATCTCTGTTTTTTTCTTAGTCTGGCTAAAGAACCGTCAATTTTGTTTATCTTTTCAAAAAAACAAACTATATTTTATTGATATTTTGTATTGTTTTATTCATTTCAAAATTATTTATTTGTGCTTTGATGTTTATTATTTCATGTTGTCACTAATTTTGGATTTGGTTTGCTCTTGCTTTTCTAATTCTTTAAGATGCACCATTAGGTTTGTTTTTTAAGTTTTTCTTCTTTTTTGATGTAAGCACTTACAGCTATAAACTTCCCCCTTAGTACTGCTTTCACTATATCCCATAGGTTTTGGTATATTGTGTTTCCATTATCGTTTGTTTCAAGAATTTTTTCCATTTTCTTCTCAATTTCCTCATCGACCCACTGGTCATTCAGGAGCATATTATTTAATTTCCATGTGTTTGTATAGTTTCCAAAATTTCTCTTGTTATTGATTTGTAGTTTTATTCCATTGTGTTCAGAGAAGATGCTTGATGTAATCTCATTTTTTGAATGATTTAAGGCTTGTTTTGTGACATAATATATGGTCTATCCTCGAGAATGATCCATGTGCTGAGGACAAAATGTGTACTCAGCAGCCATTGGATGCAATGTTCGGTAAATGGATCTGTTAGATCCATTTGGTCTCTAGTGCAGATTAAGTCAGATGTTTCTTTGTTGATTTTCTGTCTGGAAGATCTATTCAATGCTGAAAGTGGAGTGCTGAATTCTTCAGCTACTATCGTATTGTGGTCTATCTCTCTCTTTAGCTCTAATACTATTTGCTTTATATATCTGTATGATCCAGTGTTGGGTGCATGTATATTTATAATTGTTATATCCTCTTGCTGAATTGACCCTTTTATTATTATTATATAATGACCTTCTTTGGACTTGGACATTTGGGTTGATGATGGAATCAGTTAAGACTTTGGGGGACTGTTGGGAAGGTATGATTGTGTTTTGAAATGTGAGAACATGAGATTTGGGAGGGGTCAGGGTTGAAATAATATGGTTGGCTTTGTCCCCACACAAATCTCACCTTGAATTGTAGTAATCATAATCCTATATCTAGTAGGAGAGACCCAGAGTCCCCACTGGTGCACTGCCTAGTGAACTTGTGAAAAGAAGGCCAATGCCCTCCCCACCCTAGAATGGTAGATCCACTGACAGCATTTTATGTTGTCAGTGTTTGGAGTTTTGGCCATTCTAATAGGTAATGTAGTGGTATCTCAGTATTGTTATAATTTGCATTTTTCTTATGAAATATTATATTGAAATATTTTCACATGCTTCCTTGCTATCTGTTTATCTCTTTTGTTGCAGTATATGTTCAGGTCTTTTACCCATTTTTAATCAGACTTTTAATTTCTTATTCTTGAATTTTAAGAGTTCTTTATATATTTTGAATATTTTCTTATGAGGTGTGTCTTTTGAAAATATTTTCTTCCCATCTGTAGCTTGTCTTTTCATTCTCTTGGCTTTGTCTTTTGCAGAGCATAAGTTTTTAATTTTAATGAAGTCTAGCTTATTAATTTTTTGTTTCATGGATCATGCCTTTGATGTTGTATCTAAAAAGTTGTCATCATATCCGAGGTTATCTAGTTTTTCTCCTAAGTGATCTTCTAGGAGTTCTATAGCTTTACATTTTACATTTAGATCTATGATGCACTTGAGTTAAGTTTTGTGAAGGGCACAAAATCTGTGTCTAAATTCACTTTTTGGTATATAGATATCCAATTGTTTCACCACCATTTGTTGAAAAGACTATCTTTTCTCAATTGTATTGCTTTTGCTCCTTTGTCAAAAATCAGGTGATTATATTTATGTGGGTCAATTTCTGGGTTCTTTATTCTGTTCCTTTGATTTACTTGTCCATTCTTTCACCAAGATGACACTGTTTTTATTACTGTAGCTTTATAGTAAGTCTCAAAGTTGGGTAGTGTCAGGATCCTGATTGTTTTCCTTCTTCAATATTGGGTTGGCTATTCTAAGGTTTATATGGAAAGACTATCAGAGTATATGACCTCCCCATGTAAACTTTAGAATAAGTTTGTCAATAACCACAAAATATCTTGATGATATTTTGACTCGTATAGCATTGAATATACAGAGTTGGAAAGAACTGGTATCTTGACAATATTGAGTCTTCCTAATTATGAAAATAAAATAGCTCTACATTTTTAAGGTTCTCCTTTGATATCTTTCGTGAGATTTTTGTAGTTTTCTTCATATAGATCTTGTATATATTTTGTTAGGTTTATATGAAGCATTTCTTTTTTAGGGATGCTAATGTAAATGGCAATGTGTTTTTAATTTCAAATTTCTCTTGTTCATTGTTGGTATGCAGAAAAGTGATTGACTTTTCTGTGTTAACCTCATATCCTGCAGCATTGCTAAAATTGTTTATTAGTTCCAGGTTTTTTTTATGATTCAGATTTTCTACACAGAAGACCATGTTGTCTGTGAACAAAAACTATTTATCCCATCACTATATGTATATATTTTCTTTTCTTGTTTTATTGCATTAGCTAAGACTTTCCACGTGATTTTGAAAAGGAGTGGTAAGAGAGGAAATCCTTGTCTTATTCACGATCTTAGTTGGAAAGCTTCAAGTTTCTCACCAATAAGTATGAAGATAGCTCTAGGTTTTTTGCAGAGGTTCTTTATAAAGTTGAGGATGTCCCCATTCCCATCTGTAGTTTGTTGAAGGCTTTTATCATTCATGGGCATTGAACATTGTCAAATGTTTCTTCTGCATCTATAGATAAGATCATTAGATTTTTCTTTTTCAATCTGTTGATGTTATGTAGTAAATTAACTGATTTTAAAAGGTCAAGCCAACCTTTTATACCTAGGAAAAATCCGGCTTGTTTGTGGTGTATGTCTTTTTACATGTTGTTGGAATCACTTCTTAGTATTTAATTGAGCCTTTCTGTATCTGTGTTTATGAGAGATATTTGCTTATGGTTTACTTGTAATCTTATTGTCTGATTTTAATATTAATTTTGACATCATAGAAAAAGTTAGGAATATTCCCTCTGCTTTCAACTTTTGAGGTAGATTGTAGAGAATGTATATATTTATATATATAATACATATTTATTTATTATATATATTTATATACAATATATATTTATATAATATATAATTATATATAATACATATGTATATATTATATATATTTATATACAATACATATTTTATATTGTATATATTTATATACAATACATATTTACATATTATATATATTTATCTACAATACATATTTTTATATTATATATATTTATATATAATACATATTTATATATTATATATATTTATATGTAATACATATTTATATATTATCAATATTTATATATAATATGTATTTATATATTTTATATATTTATAAATAATACATAATTATATTATATATATTTATATATGATATGTATTTATATATCATATATTTACATATAATATGAAATTATATATTATATATAACTATATATAATATATATTTATATATTATGTGTATTTATATATGATACATATTTATATATTATGCATATTTATATATAATACATATTTATATATTATATATGTTTATACATAATACATATTTATATATTATATATCATATATATTTACATATAATACATTTATATAATATATATACTTATATATATTCATATATAATATATTTATGTATATATTTTATATAAATACATTTAGATATATTATATATATTATATACATGATATATATTTATATATCATATATATTTCTATATGTGATATATATTTATATATCATATATATTCTATACGTGATATATATTTATCTATCATATATACTTATAAATATAATATATATTTATATATCATATATATTTATATTATATATTCATATATTACATATTTATATATTATACATTTATCTATTATATATTTATATGTATAATATTTATGTAATAAGTATTTACATATAATACATTTATATAATACATATTTATAAGTTATATATTAATATAATACATATTTATATGTTATATATTTACATAATACATATTTCTATATAATATATGTTTATTACATATATTTCTATATAAAATATGTTTATTATGTATATTTATAAATAATAAATGCTTATTTATTATGTATATTTATATATAAGTTTATCCTTATATTTATTTATATAATATAAGTGTATTTATTACATATTTATATATAATATATGTTTATTACATATATTTACATAAAATATATGTTTAGATAGTATATATATTTACATATAATATATGTTTATATATTATATATATTTACGTATATGTTTAGATATTGTATACATTTACATATATGTTTATATATTATATATATTATACATAACATGTTTATATACTATATACTTACACATAACATGTTTATATATTATCTATTTATACACAACATATGCTTATATATTGTATATGTTTATGCATAACATATGCTTATATATTGTATATATTTATACCTAATATGTACTTATATATTGTATATGTTTATACATAATATATGCTTATATGTTGTATATGTTTATACATAATATATGCTTATATATTGAATATGTTTATACAAAATATATGCTTATATATTTTATATGTTTACACATAATATATGTTATATATTGCATAGGTTTATACATTACATATGTTTACATATTATATATGTTTATATATGATATCTGTTCATATATAATATATGTTTATACATCTGTTTATATATAATATATGTTTATATATTATATCTGTTTATATATAATATATGTTTCTATATTATATCTGTTTATACATAATATGATTATACATAATATGTTTATATATTATACATGTTTACACATAATATATTTTTATATATTATATTTGTTTACATATAATATATTTTTATATATTATATATGTTTACATATAATATATTTTTATATATTATATATGTTTACATATAATATATTTTTATATATTATATATGTTTACATATAATATATTTTTATATATTATATGTTTCTATATATTTTTATATATTATATATGTTTCTATATAATATATTTTTATATATTATATATGTTTCTATATAATATATTTCTATATATGTTTCTATATAATATATTTTTATATATTATATATGTTTCTATATAATATATTTTTATATATCATATATGTTTATATATAATATATTTTATATATCATATATGTTTATATATAATATATTTATTTCTTATATATGTGTATATATAATATATATTCATATATGATATATGATTATATATATTTATGTATTATACGTGTTTATATATAATATATACTTCTGTATTATATATGTTGATATATAATATATACTTCTGTATTATATATGTTGATATATAATATATACTTCTGTATTATATATGTTGATATATAATATATACTTCTGTATTATAAATGTTTATATAATATATACTTCTGTATTATATATGTTTATATATAATATATATTTATGTATTATATGTTTATATATAAGATATACTTATGAATTATATATGTTTATGTATAATAAATACTTAAGTATTACATATGTTCATATATAATTTATACGTACGCATTATATATGTATTTATATGTAATATGCAGTTATATATCATATGTATTAATATGTAATATGCATTTATATATCATAGTTATTTTTATGTAATATGCATTTATATATCATATATATTTATATATAATATGTATTCATACATCATATGTATTGATATATCATATGTATTTATATATAATATATAGATGTATCATATATATTTATATAATATATGTTGATATATCATATGTATTTATATATAATATGTATTTATATATCATGTGTATTTATATATAATATATATTTCTATCTTTTACGTATTTAAATATGATATATATTTGTATATTATATGTATTTACGTGTTATATGTTTATACATGTATATTTATATAATGTATACATTCTATATTAGATATATTTATATATTATATATTATATATAGTTATAAGTTATATATTGATATATTATACTTATTTACATATATATATATTACATATATATACATTATATACATACATTATTATATATAAATATGTATATAAATAAATATGTAAATTATAAAATAAATATATATATTTATGTTATATATAATACATATTTACATATTATATAAATTATAGATTTACATATTATATATAATATATAAATATATATATTACATATAAATACATGTTATATAATTAGAATATACATATTATATAATTATGTTATATATATGAAATATATATTTATATATTATATGTAAAATACATGTTTATGCATGACATACAGAAAATATATTTTATATGTTGTATATAATATATATTTATACATTATATATACAATATATATTAATATGTTATATATAATATATATTTACTATATATAATATATTTATACTTATATATATAATGTATATGTATTATATATAATATATATTTATATATTATCTATAATATACGTTTATATATTATAGATAATATATATTGTACATAATTTATATATTATAGATAATGTATATTTGTATAATATTTAATATATTTACATATATATCTATATTATATATTTACATATTATATATATTTATATTATACACATTTATATATTATAGATTTATTTACAATGTATATTTATATATTATATATTTATATTATGTATATTTATATATTACATATTCATATATATTTTATATTCATATCATATATGTATATTATGTATATTTATATATTATATATTTTTATATGATGTGTATTTATATCTCATATATATTTATATATAATGTATATTTATATACTATATATTTATATTTAATATATATTTATATATTTTATATTTATATTTAATGCATATTTAAAAAGTACATAAAATTTTCATATTTTAGGTATATTTATATTTAATGCATATTTTTATATTATATATGTATAAATATAATGGATATTCATATATTATATATATTCTATATAATATATTTATATAGTGTATATATTTTTATTTATGATGTATATTTATATATCATATGTGTTTTTAAATTTAATATGTATTTAGGTATGTAATATGTTTTTGTATATCATGTATATTTATATGTGTGATACATATTTCTATATAATATTTATTTATTTATCATATAGTTTCATAAAATACATATTTATGTATAATATATATTTATATTGATAATATATATTTATATATCACATATGTTATGTATATCATATGTATTCATATATCATATTTATTTATATATAATGTATATTTATTTATTATATATTGATATATAATATATTTTTATTTATTATATATTGATATATAATATATTTTTATTTATTATATATAGATATATAATGTATACTTATGTATTATATATTGATATATAACATATGTTTATTTATTATATATATTGATATATAATATATATTTATTTATTACATATATTTATATATGATATGTATTTATATATCATATATATTTGTATGTTACATATTTGTACATTATATATTTATATACTATATGCATTTACATATATTTGTAAAATATATGTACATATTATATATATTTATATATTATATGTATTTATATATTCATAATATATATTCATATATGATATATATTTATATATTCATAATATATATTCCTATATAATATATTTATATATTATAATCATTTATATATTATATACATTTATATATTGTACATATTTATATATTCATAATATTTATTTATCTATTATAGAGATTTATGTATTCATAATATGTATTTATATATTATATAGATTTATATATTCATAATATGCATTTATATATTATACAGTTTTATATATTCAAAATATATATCATATATTTTATGCATAATATATATGTATATATTATATTATATACATTTACATATTTATAATATATATTTCTATATTATGTATAATATATATTTCTATATTATACATAGTAGAAATTTCTATCTTATACATAGTATATATTTCTATATTATACCTAATATGTATTTCTATATCATATATAATATATATTTCTATATTTTACCTGCTATATATTTCTATATTATACATATTATAGATTTCTATATTACATATAATATATATTTCTGTATTATATATAATATATATTTCTATATTATATATAATATATATTTCTATATTTTATGTAATTTATATGTCTATATTTTATATAATTTATATTTCTATATTATATATATGTATTTCTGTATTTTATATAATATATTTCTACATTCTATATAAAATATATTTATAGATAATATAGAGTATATAAGTATATATTATATATAATATATATAATATACATTTATATACTATATACAATATATATTTATATATTATATATGATATAGAAATATATATTATGTATTATACATAATATATATTTATAATACATATTTACATATTATATGTAATGTATATTTATATATTACACATATTTAAATGCTTATAATATATATTTATATATTATACATATTTATATGCTTTTGATATATATTTTTATATTATACATATTTTACATATGTATACATATATTTATATTATACATATATTATACATATATTATACATATATTTTTATTATACATTTATTTTATATTATACTTATTTATGTATTTATAATATAAATTTATATGTTATACATATTTATATATGTATACTATATATTTTTATGTTATATATAATTATTTATGTATAATATATATTTATATATTATATATATTCATATATATTTATAAGATATATTTATATATTATATATATTCATATATATTTATAATATATATTGTATATGATATATATTTATAATATATATTATATATGATATATATTTATGATATATATCATATATAATACATACAATTTTGTTATATTTACATATATTATATTTAATATATATTTTCTTTATATACATTATATATAATATATTATATTTATATAGTACATTTTATATATATTATATTCATATATAATATATAGAGTATGTTTTATATCGATATATAATATATAGAGTATATATAGTGATGTATAATATGTAGAGTATATATTCTATTGATATATAATATGTAGAGTATATAGTATATTGATATATAATATATAGAGTATATATTCTATTGATATATAATATATAGAGTATATATTCTGTTGCTTTACAATATATAGAGTATATATTCTGTTGATATATAATACATAGAGTATATATTCTGTTGATATATAGTATATAGAGTATATATTCTATTGATATATAGTATATAGTGTATATATCCTATTGATATATAGTATATAGAGTATATATCCTATTGATATATAATATATAGAGTATATATTCTATTGATATATATTATATAGAGTATATATCCTATTGATATATAATATATAGAGTATATATCCTATTGATATATAATATATAGAGTATATATCCTATTGGTATATAATATATAGAGTATATGTTCTGTTGATATATAATATATAGAGTATATGTCCTGTTGATATATAATATAGAGAGTATATATCCTATTGATATATAATATATAGAGTATATATTCTGTTGATATATAATATATAGAGTATATGTCCTATTGATACATAATATATAGATTACGTTTCATATTGATATATAATATATAGTTTATATGTCATATTGATATATAATACATAGATTATATGTCATATTGATATATATTACATAGATTATATGTCATATTTATATATATTACATAGATTATATGTCATATTGATATATATTACATAGATTATATGTCATATTGATATATATTACATAGATTATATGTCATATTGATATAGAATATATAGATTATATGTCATATTGATATATATTACATAGATTATATGTCATATTGATATATATTACATAGATTATATGTTATATTGCTATAGAATATATAGATTATATGTTATATTGCTATGGAATATATAGATTATATATTATATTGCTATAGAATATATAGATTATATATTATATTGATATAGAATATATAGATTATATATTATATTGATATAGAATATATAGATTATACGTTATATTGATATAGAATATATAGATTATACGTTATATTGATATAGAATATATAGATTATACGTTATATTGATATAGAATATATAGATTATACGTTATATTGATATAGAATATATAGATTATACGTTATATTGATATATACTATATAGATTATACGTTATATTGATATATACTATATAGATTATACGTTATATTGATATATACTATATAGATTATATGTTATATTGATATATACTATATAGATTATATGTTATATTGATATATACTATATAGATTATATGTTATATTGATATATACTATATAGATTATATGTTATATTGATATATAATATATAGATTATATGTTATATTGATATATAATATATAGATTATATATTATATTGATATATAGGGAGAGTGTATATTATATTGATATATAATATATAGAGTGTATATTATATTTACATATAATATATAGAGTGGATATTATATTTACATATAATATATAGAGTGCATATTATATTTACATATAATATATAGAGTGCATATTATATTTACATATAATATATAGAGTGTTTATTATATTCATATATAATATATAGAGTGTATATTATATTCATATATAATATAGAGAGTATATATTATATTCATATATAATATATGGTGTGTATATTATATTCATATATAATATATAGAGTGTATATTATATTCATATATAATAGAGAGTGTATATTACATTTATATATAATATATAGAATGTATATTACATTTATATATAATATGTAGAGTGTATATTATATTTATATATAATATATAGAGTGTATATTATATTTATATGTAATATATAAGGTTTATATTATATTTATATGCAATATATAGGGTTTATATTATATTTATATGTAATATATATGGTTTGTATTAAATTTATATTTAATATATCAGGTTTATATTATATTTATATGTAATATATAGGGTTTACATTATATTTATATGTAATATATAGGGTTTACATTATATTTATATGTAATATATAGGGTTTATATTATATTTTTATGTAATATATAGGGTTTATATTATATTTATATGTAATATATAGGTTTATGTTATATTTATATGTAATATATAGGGTTTATATTATATTTATATGTAATATATAGGGCTTATATTATATTCATATGTAATATATAGGGTTTATATTATATTTATATGTAATATATAGAATATGAATTACATTATTAAATATTGTAATTTATGTATTATATATATGATTAATATATATAATTTGTATATACAATTAATATATATAATGAATTTGACATATATAATATATATAATATTATTCATGTTATATATATTATATATGTAAAATACAATTTATAAATATAATATATCATTTATAATAGAATATAATATATATTATATTATTACATAATATTATATAGTATATATTATATAATATATAAATATAATATACATTAATACTATATTATTATATATTGTATAATATGTATAATGTATATCATATATATAATTTATATGTGATATATATTATATATATTTTATATCATATATATTTGTATATTATATATCTATTCATGTATTTTATATATCTATGTATGGAAATGCTTGGTAGAATTCACCAGTGTACTCATCTAGGCCTGGTGCTGTTTCGAATGGTTGTAGGTTATTGATTAAATTTCTTTAACAGTTATAAGCCTATTCATATTTTCTTTTTTTGTTTGTGTGAGTTTTGGCAGATTCTGTCTTTCAAGGAATTCTTCCATTTTATCTAGGTAATCAAATTTGTGGGTTTAGAGTTGTTCTTAATATTCCTTTATTATCCTTTCGATGTTCAGGAGATCTTCAGTAACGTCTCCTCTTTCATTTCTAATGTTAGTAATTTGTATCTTTTTTTCTTAGCCAGGCTATGGGCTTATTGATGTTATTGATCTTTTCAGTGAGCCAGTTTTTGATTTTGTTGATTTTGTGTGTTGATTTCCTTTCTTCAATTTCATCAATTTCTGGTCTGATTTTTCATTTTTCTTTAGTTCTGCTTATGTTGGATTTAATTAGATCTTCTTTTTCTAGTTTCCTATGGTAGAAACTGAGAAGATTGGTTTTATATCTTTCTTTTTTTCTAATATATGTATTCAGTTCTATAGATTTATCTGTAAACACAGCTTTCACAATATCCTACAAATTTTGGTAAGTTGTATTTTCATTTCAATTATTTCAAAATATTTTAAAATTTGTTTGAGATTTCTTCTTTGACTCATGTCTTATTTAGAAGTGCATTGTTTAATCTCTACTGTTTTGGAATTTTCCAGCTTTCATTTTGTTACTAATTTGTAATTCCAGTGTGGTCTGAGAACAGACATTATATAATTTCTATTCTTTTAAATTTGTTGTTGTTTTATGGCCCAGAATATGGTCATATGATCTATCTTGATGAATGTGTCATGTGAGCTTGAGAAGAATTTGTATTATGCTGATGTTAAATGAAGTAATCTATAGATGTCAATGGTATCCAGTTCATTGATGGTGTTATTTATGATTATGAAATGCCCCTATTTATCCCTGAAAACTTTCCTTGCTCTGAAGTCTGCTATGTCCAAAATTAAAATAGCTACCCTCTTGAGACTTGAAAAACGAGAAGAAAAAAACAGCTACTCCCACTTTTTTTTGATTAGTGTTAACAAGGTGTATCTTTCTCCCTCAAATTTTATTTTTTATTTTTTTCTGGGACTTTGTAGGACATTTGATCCCTCTATTTACTTTCAATATAAGTGTGTCTTTAATATTTAAGGTGGTTTTCTTAGAGATAATGTATAGTTGAATGTTGTTTGTGATCCACTCTGACAATCTCTTTTATTTGGTATATTTAGGCCATTGACAGTTAAGGTAATTGTTGATATAGTTGGATTGATATCTGCCATATTTGGTACTGTTCTTTATTTGCTGCCCTTGTTTCCTGTTTTTGTGTTCCATAATGTTTCTGCTTTTGTGTTTTTTATTGAACATTTTATATAATTCTACTTTCTCTCCTGTATTAGTACATAAATTCCTATATATTTGTTTTGGTGATTACCCTAGAGTTTGCAATATACATTTACCACTAATCCAAGTCAACCTTCAAATATCAATATCCCAATTCACAGGTAGCAATAGTATCATAATAAAAAATATTTCCAATTCCTCTCTACTGTTCCTCGTGTTATTTTTGTAATTTATTTTACTTATAATAAGCATATGTAAATATATATATCCAATATATATATTGAGTACATTGTTGCAATTATTATTTTGAATAAACTATCTGTTAGATCAATTTAACTAAGATTATTTAGCCTTCATTTATTTATTCTGTGACACTTTTCTTTATGTAGATTTGAGTTTCTGACATGTATCATTTGTCTTTTCTCTGGAGAACTTTTAACATTTTGTGCAAGATAGGTTTATTGGCAAAGTCTCTCAACTTTTATTTGTCAAAGAAGTCTTTATTTCTCTGTCAGTTTTGAAGGATAACTGCACAGCATACAAGATTCTAGGTTGATGTTTTTGTCTCTCAACATTTTGAATATTTCACTTCATTCTGTTCTTGCTTGCATACTGTATTAGTCCTTTCTCACATTGCTATTAAGAAATACCTCTGACTCAGAAATTTATAAAGGAAAGAGGTTTAATTGACTCACAGTTTTGCATTGTTGGGGAGGCCTCAGGAAACTTACAATCATGGTGTAGGGCAAAGGAGAAGCAGGCACCTTTCTCATAGGGCAGGAGGAAAGAGTAAGTGCAAGCAGGGGAAATGCCAGATGCTTATAAAACCATCAGATTTCATGAAAACTCACTCATTATCATAAGAACTGCATGGGGGTAACCACTCCTATGATCTAAATGCCTCTGCCTGGCCCTGCCCTTGACACGTGGGGATTATGGAGTTTACAATCAAAGGTGAGACTTGGATGGGGACAAAGAGCCAAACCATATATTCCAACCCTGGCCCCTCCCAAATCTCATGTT
Organism: Homo sapiens; assembly: GCF_000001405.40. Taxonomy (NCBI): domain Eukaryota; kingdom Metazoa; phylum Chordata; class Mammalia; order Primates; family Hominidae; genus Homo; species Homo sapiens. The sequence continues at coordinate 125,283,174 of NC_000023.11, forward strand.
TTCCACATTTCAAAACCAAGTATGCCTTTCCAATAGTCCCTCAAAGTCTTAATTATTTCAGCATTAACTCAAAAGTCCACAGTCCAAAGTCTCATCCAAGATAAGTCAAGTCCTCTGAAATCTAAGCAGAGGTTCCCAAACCTCAATTCTTGACTTCTGTGCACCCGCAGGCCCAACCGCTTATGTAAGTCACCAAGGCTTGGGCCTTGCATGCTCTGAAGCAATGGCTTGAGCTGCATTTTAGCCCCCTTTAGCCAAAGCTGGGATGCAGGACACCAAGTGTTGAGACTGCACAAAGTAGCAAGGCTCTGGAACGGGCCTATGAAATCATTTTTTCATCCTAGGCCTCAGGACCTGTGATGGGAGGGGCTGCCATGAAGACCTCTGACATGCCCTGGAGACATTTTCCCCATTATCTTAGAGATTAACATTTGGCTCTCATTACTTACGCAGATATCTGAAGCTGGCTTGAATTTCTCCTCAGTAAATGGGTTTTACTTTTCTATCACATCATCAGGCTGCAAATTTTCCAAATTTTTATGCTCTGCTTCCCTTTAAAACATTAAGTTCCAATTCCAAACAATGTCTTTGTGAATGCATAAAACTAAATACTTTTAAGAGCACCCAAGCCATGTCTTGAATGCTTTGCTGCTTACAAATTTCTTCCGCCAGATACCCTAAATCATCTCTCTCAAGTTCAAAGTTCCACAGATCTATAGGGCAGGGACAAAATGCCATCAGTTTCTTTGCTAAAGCACAGCAAGAGTCACCTTTATTCCAGTTCCCAACAAGTTCCTCCTCTCCATCAGAGACGACCTTAGCCTGGACTTCATTGTCAATATCACTATAAGCATTTTGGTCAAAGCCATTCAACAAGTGTCTAGGAAGTTCCAAACTTTCCCACATCTTCCTGTCTTCTTCCGGACCTTCCAAACTGTTCCAACCTCTGCCTGTTATCCAGTTCCAAATTCGCTTCTACATTTTAAGGTATTTTTACAGCACGTAAAATTGGTACCACCTCCAGTACCAATTTACTGTATTAGTCTGTTGTCACACTGCTATGAAGAAATACGTGAGACTCAACAATTTATAAAGAAGAGAGGTTTAATTGACTCACAGTTTGGCGTTGCTGCGGAGGCTTCAGGAAACTTACAATCATGGCAAAAGGCAAAGGAGAAGCAGGCACCTTCTACACAGGGCAGCAAGACAGAGTGAGTGCAGTTATAAAACCATCAGATCTTTTGAGAACTCATTATTATGAGAACAGCACGGGGAAAACCACATCCATGATCCAATTACCTCCACTCGATCCTGCCCTTGACATGTGGGGATTATGGGGATTACAATCCAAGGTGAGACTTGGGTGGGGCCACAGAACCAAACCATATCACATACTTTCTAAAAAGAAGTCAGGTATAATTCTTGTATTTGCTTCTCTGTAAAGTGTTTTTCCCTCTGACTCCTTTCAAGATTTTTTTCATTATCTTCTGTACTTTTGAAATTTGATATTATCTGCCTTGGTATAGTGATTTTTGGTAATTTATCCTGCTTTCTGTTCTCTGAGCTTCCAGCATCTATGGTTTGATGTCTGACATTAATTTGGGAGAAATTCTCAGTCATTGCTTCAGATATTTCTTCTGTTCCTTTCTCTTTTTCTGATATTCCCATTATGTGTATGCTCTCTCTTTTGTAGTTTCCCATAGTTTGTTAGGGTCTGGTAAAACTCAAGCAGGCTAGCCTCTGGTTAAATAATTTCTCCTGAGGGCAGGCTTTATTAAGAAGAATCTAATGTATTTCCCTCTACCTGCTGGATGCAGGAAGGGGTTTTCCTTTGATAAACACTGTGAAGATCTAGTAGAGCCCGTGGAGGTGAAACTAACCAAAGTGTGAGTGTCCCTTATGACTGGATTCTGATGAAGATTTTATTTCTTAGGCTTGTTTACCTGAGCCTCCAGCAATGTTTTCGATTATTGTTTGGAGTTTTCTACCCTGCAGAAGTTTCTGCTGCTGGGTTTCTTCTCAGTAAGTTGTGATTCTTGGTATCTACTTGTTGGTGTCTCCAATTTTTGAGGTAACAGTTCTTTGACAGATTTAAGAAGAGTTATTAATTTCTCAGTGTATTTAACTTTAACTTTTTTTTTTTTAATTTGAAACTGAGTCTCGCTGCCACCCAGGCTGGAGTGCAGTGCCGCGATCTTGGCTCACTGAAACCTCTGCCTACTCAGTTCAAGCAATTCCCCTGCCTCAGCCTCCTGAGTAACTGAGACTACAGGTGCCTGCCACCATGCCCAGCTAATTTTTGTACTTTCAGTAGAGATGGGGTTTCACCATGTCGGCCAGGCTGGTCTCGAACTCCTGACCTCAAGTAATCTGCCCGCCTTGGCCTCTCAAACTGCTGGGATTACAGGCCTGAGCCCCTGCGCACAGCCTGTTTAACTTTTTACTTGTTAAAATGGAGTGAAGACTTCCAAGTTCCTTACATGTCAGACAGGAAAGTGGAAGTCTGGAGACATATCATTTTCATATCTGACATTTGCTTCTAATAGACAAAGCAGAATATTTCCATCAAATTTATCGGAGACAAAATAGGTGCTTATTGTTGCAAATTATACTGCCATTATTGCAAGTGTGGGTTAGTTATTCAGGGGGTTGCTAGTTATTAAGTGGGCTATTTTAAAAGTACATTTGGCCTACTCTTGCTCTCAACCTTTCTTGCCCTTCCACCTTCTGTGATAGGATGATTCAGCAAGAAGGTCTTCACTAAATTCTGGCACCATGTTCTCATACTTCCCAGCCTCCAGAATCATGAATGAGCTTTTATTGCTTGTATCAGTCTGTGGTATTCTCTTATAGCAGCACAAAATGAACCAAGACAAAAACTGGTATTGAGAAGTAAGGCTTTTGTTAGAATAAATACCTGTAAATGTGGAAGCAGCTTTGGAACTGGGTCATGAACAGAGGCTGGAAGAATTTGGTGGAACAGGCTAGAAAACGCATAGGTTGCTGTGAATGGAGTGCTAAGGGCAATTCTGGTGAGAGCTCAGAAGAGGGAGCACTGTAGGAAAGAGTGCAATCTCTTAGAGATTACTTAAGTCATTGTTATCAGAATACTGGTAGAAATATGAACAGTAATGATAATTCTGATGAGGTATCAGGTGGAAATGGGGAACGAGGTATTGGAAACTGGAGGAAAGGCCATCCTTCTTACCAGGGCTTGCCCAAGGGCTTTATAAAAGGTGGAATTTAAGAGTAATGGACTAGAATATCTGGCAGAATAAATTTTTAAGCAAAATATTTAAAAAGATATGTGGCCATTTTAACCACATATAGGAAGCTATGAATAGAGAAATATTACTTAAAGATGAAATTTATAATGAAAAGAGAATTAAAATGAAAAGATTTAGAAAATTATCAGCCTGGCCATATAAGAAGTGAAAAGGCACATTTAGAAGAACAAACCAAGGGTGTGGCCAAGCAACACTTTGCTAAAGAGACTACTAAAGATAGAAGAGAGCCAAGTGCTATTTATCAAGACAATGATAGAACGACCCTGAAGGCATTTCAGAGATCTTTGAGTAGGCTGCTCCTCCCATTATAGTTTCAGAACAGGGCTGTGAGTCAGGGCAACGTATCCAGAAAGGGGCCCATGGGACTTCAGCATGCGCTGCTTATGGCCACCTCATGATTCTGCTCCCCACATTCTGGCACACTGCTCCTTGGTCACCTCACCTGTGGCTCAGGCAGGCCCAGGTGAACCTCATGTTGTTGCTCTGGAGGGTGAAAGTGATGTTGATGGCGGTGGCAGCCTATCTGGAGTGGCCACTGCCATGATGCTGGCTACAGTGGGGGAGGCACAACTTGGACTGCACACTCCATGGAGCTGGCGGGAGCTAGGAACAGGGAGAAGCCCAGCCCCCTTCCAAGTTGGAGAAGAAGGAGCTTCACCATCCCTGGTGCAGCTGCAGCCACACAGCAGCAGCAGCTGTGCACCCAGGCATCTCTGCACTCTTGGGGGCCCATGAAGCCCCCCTGCCCCTGCAGGCTCAGAAGTGCCTGCTCCTGCTGCATGGCCTCTCTTCACTCATGGAACCCACTTTGATTTCAGAGCAAAGTTGTGGCTGAGCCTGGGTGCTGTCACCACCCAGCTGAGTGTGTGCACACTTGGGGCAGTGCTGACATACCAGCCCCTTGCTGCCTTGGCCCCCTCTGGACTTTAGGTGCCAATGAGCACAGTTGGGAGGATGGTGGGGGTGGTAAGGGTGTCTCTGGGCAGGACTTCGGGCATCCCTTGGCACAAACAGCCTGGGCGCTGTGCACACCATGGACAGCAGGTTAATGGTGGCAGGAGGCAGGCTCCTAGGCAGAAAGGGGTCCCTGGTGAAACTCCACCTTCAGGCCTGGGACGGCCTAATGCCTGAGGGCCAGGCTGCCAGTTCTGAGGACTGGAGTGAGAACTTATGGTGCTTTTTCTGGCCAGCCCATGGCCACTCATGGACCAATCAGCACATACTTCTTCCTCTTTGAAGTCCATAAAAACCCTGGACTCAGGCGGACTCAGGCAGATGACAGGACCACCTGCCTGTGGAGAGGAGCTACCCAATGTGAGTCTCCTCTCTGCTGGGAGCTGAGCAGTTGATGAGACAACCTGCCTGTGGAGAGGAGCTACCTGCTGTGGGTTTCCTCTCTGCTGAGAGCTGAACAAACATCTCGATGACCTGCCTATGCAGAGGAGCTACCGACTGTGGTTCTCCTCTCTGCTGAGAGCTGAACAAACGCCTGGATGACCTGCCTGTGCAGAGGAGCTACCGACTGTGGTTCCCCTCTCTGCTGAGAGCTGAACACTCTTCAGGATGACCTGCCTGGGGAGAGGAGGTACCTATTGCAGGTCAGCTCTGAGCTGTTTTGTCACTCAATAAAGCACCTCTTCACCTTGCTCACCCTCCACTTGTCTGCATATCTCATTTTTCCTGGATGCAGGACAAGAACTCGGGACCTGCTGAATAGCAGAGCTGAAGCAGCCGTAACACAAACAGGGCTGAAATGCACCCCTTGCTCACCACGTTGAGGGTGACAAGAAGGAGAGAAGACAGAAGGAGAGAAGAGCTGCGGCCCTTCAGGAAGCCCAGACCTAGGAGCTTCCTGAGCTAGGGCTGTGATACCCTCTTTGGGGATCTGTGGTTCCTGGCATCTCCAAGCTTCTGGGTGCCACTGTGTTCCTTGGTGCCAGCTATGGAAGCTACTTGCGGTACACCTGATCCAGCTGTAGCCTTGCAGGGAGCTGGTGCCTGTGCCAGCCCCTGAAGCTTCCCACCCCACTGCAACTGGCGTGCCTTGCTGTGTGAAGTGGCTGGACCCTACGCTCACTCACTCACACACTCCTTGATGCTTTGCTCACCCTTGGCAGGTGAGGGATCCAGGCCGGTATCATGAACCGAGAGTAACCTGGCAGGCTGAGTGGGAGGAATGAGCCCCACATGCCAGAGCAAAACTCAGGCAAAGGCACCACTGGCCACAGAGGTTTCCAGCTGGAAAAGCAACACCCCAAGGATCCCATAACAGTGTGAGCCTTGGCAGTGGTCATGTGGTGCTGACTCTGCAGACACAGAATACATGAGCTATGAGGCCATGGTGACCTTCACCTAGATTTCAAAAGATGTATTGGGCAGCATGCGGGTTCAGGAAGAAACTTGTCACAGGGGCAGAGCCACTATAGAGAGCCCCCACTAAGGCAGTGCCTAGTAGAGCTCTGAAAATGAGGCCACTACAGAGAGTCCCTATTAGAGTAATGCCTAGTAGAGCTGTTGGAGTAAGTCCGCCATCAATACCCCAGAGCTATAGAGTTACCGGAGTGCAATACCAGCCTGAGAGCTGCAGGCATGTAACTCCAACCCAAGGGATCTGAAGCATGGACTGAGCCCAGTAAAGCTGTTGGGGCAGGGCTGCCAGAAGCCTTGGGGGCCCGATCTCCACCCCAGTGTGCCCAGGGTGCTGAACATGGAGTAAAATGAAGTTATTCTCCTGCTTTAAGACCTAACGTTGTTTTCTCTATTGAGTTTTGGACTTACCTGGGACTGGTTACCCTTTTCTTCCTGCTTATTTCTCCCTTTTGGAATGGGAATGTCTAGCCTATGACAGTCCCACCATTGTGTATTAGAAGCAGATGATTTGTTTTGATTTCATAGGGTCACAGCTGGAGAGAAATGTGCCTCAGTGTGAATCATACCTTGTGTTCATGCATATTTGATTTAGATGAGACTCTGGACTTTGGACTTTTGAGTTGATGCTGGAATGAGTAAAGGCTCTGGGGCTATTGGGGTGGAGCTAATGCGTTTTCATATGAGAAAGATATGCACTTTAGGGGCCAGAGGTAAAATGCTATGGTCTGACTGTGTCTCCCAATGTTGATGTGTTGGAAACTCAATCCCCAGTGCAGTAGTTTTAGGAGGTAGGACATTCAAGAGGTAATTAGGTCATGAGGGAGTGGGTTTGTTATTGTGAGTGGGCAGTTATGAAAATGAGGTTGGCCCTCTCTTACTCTTTCACTCTTACCCTCCCACCTTCTGCCATGAGATGATGAAGGATGAAGGCCTTCACCAGATGTCAGTGTCATACTCTTGGACTTCCTAGTCTCCGGAACCATGAGCCAAATAAACTTCTTTCCATTATCTTTTTTTAAAGACAGCCTCACTGTTGCCCAGGCTGGAGTGCAGTGGCATGATCATAGCTCACTGCAGCTTTGAATTCCTGGGCTCAAACAATCCTTCCATCTCATCCTCCTGAGTAACTGAGACTATGGGCACACACCACCGTGCCTGGATAATTTATTTTATTTGTTATTTTTTTGTAGAGATGGGGTCTTGCTTTGCTTCTCAGGCTGGTCTCTCAAACTCCTGGTTTTAAGTGATCCCCTTGCCTTGGCCTTCTAAAGTGCTGGAATTTACAGGCATGAGTCACCATGCCTGGTATAAACTTATAATGTTTATAAATTACTCAGGATGTGGAATTATGTTATAGCAGTACAAAACGGAGCAAGACAAAACCAAAATGAGGGTCGATGCCTGTCATATTTCTCAAAGTCTATGCCATGCTCCTCAAAGCATTCATACAATAATTAAATGCTGGTAACATTTGTCTCTGTAGACAAATATTTTTGGTTTCTATTATTAGACAATAAGAACTATAAAATCCCATAATGTTTTCAATTTATGTTTGAGTCCAAGAAGATGAGCACTAAATTTAGGGCTCAATTGCAACTAAATCAACCTGAAACTCTTAGCAAAATTCAATTTTTACTAACAAATGGCATTTAATTTACATAGGCTTAGCTTTAATATTTAAATCAATTTATATAATTTTAATGAATGGTGATACTATCAATTAATAAAAATGAATTTAAAATAAGCAAAAATATACATCTTTTAATAATTTCAGATTTTTTTTTTTTTTTAACTTTAAGTACTGGGATACATGTGCGGAATGTGCCGGTTTGTTACATAGGTATACATATGCATGGTGATTTGCTGCACCCTATCAACCCATCATCTAGGTTTTAAGTAAAAATCATATGCAGATAAGAATGCAGAAAATATAATTAGAATTTGGAAGAATTATAAATGAAAATATAAATGTTTATTTTCAAGTGCTTTTGCTCATATTTAAAAATTCAGTATTTGGAATTTAAAGGTCTCTGCTTATTTTAGAGTTATTCCAAAATAACTGGGAATGTCATGGTTCTAGTAATTTTTTTTTAACTAGCAAGACAAATATGTCTAAAGAAGGATTAAGCTTGTTTGTTGATGTGGAATTGTCAGTAATGTGTTTAGGGTGGAAATGTATTTCAATTTTTTGGTGCCTTTCCTTGAAAACTATAGAGTCTTCAGAGGCGTTTTCCCTAAGGGTCATACCATGTAGCTATCTTAAAGGGAAAAGAACTTTATAAGTAAGTACTTCTGATGCCTAAGGAATTAGTACCCTCATACTAGTACCTTTTTATATGGTTTAATTTTCCATCTCACAGTAACCAGTTTTATGTCATATGGGGAACAAATGCAGGGTCATTCTTTCTTTTTAGATTTGAGACAATTATCTGTACTATTTAAGTAAAAAGTAAACTGTGTGCTCCAGAGTGGCTGTCAATATTGACTAAATTGACAGAGCAATTACTCAACTTTCTATTTCATTTGCCTTTGTACACATAGCCACAAATCAACTGGCTCAGTTAACTTACTCTGAGGAATTAATTTCCTTTGAAAACCTAACTTTTTAGCATGGTACAATTTAATAATAAAGTAGAAATATTTACAGTGGGCAAACTTTGAAAATAAGTATAAAATTAAATTTGGTACTCAGATACTTGATATAAATTATGGTTATATTCATTTCAACCATTGCAATGACTCAAGCAGATTTATTCATTCAACAAGCATTCATTGAGACCTAATATGTGCTTTTCACCGTGCTAGATCTGGGGACACAATATAAAATATCATGTGTCAGCCTTCAACAAATTCATAGTCCAGTGGGAAAATCAGACACAGAAAGAGATAATTATACAACAATATGGTAAGTGCAGTGATAAGGTTGTATAAAATAGTGTTTCAAGAAAATTAATGTAGTGGCACCATGTAAAGTGCATTTGAGTTAAGAATATGACATTAGTAATATAAAGTAAGTATTATTACTATTCCTTTTTTATGTATAAGGAAACTTCAGAGGCTCAGAGAGATTCAGTCATAGTCTGGGATCACTGAGCTTACACATTCATGTGTTTATTCATTGATACATTCATTCATCAGAAACGATTCTGTAAGCCACGAACAGAGCAGTGATCAAAACAAACTGGATCCTTTCCTTATGGATCTTATAATAAATCCAAAAGTGCTCTGAGAATTCAGAGAAGAAGAAGATAATGCTACATATTTGAAATTTTAGAACGTGCAATTATACATTAAGAGGCAGAGCTAACAGGCTGGGCTCATCCCACTTGTCTGAAATGTAGTTCTTCTATGTTCTGCCAGCCAGGCTATGGAGTATGGAGTGGGCTTTCATGATGTTTATACATATATGGGCCTGCAGCATTTACTGAGTTATATTGTCTGAGTGGAATTTAAAATACATCATGGCTGTATAAACAATGTGATGAATAACATTAAAAAGTTAATTCTAATTAAAATCCCAGGGGTAACTAATTAGCATATGAAATGTCTTTATCTGAAGCAACACTTGGGGCTAATTAGCAGGTGAGGTATCTTAAATGAATACATCAACTTAGGGTTGGCCAATTTGCACAGGAATGTTAAAAATATTTTTTGATTGGAAAAAATAACAGTATTTTAGATATGTGATTGTCTGTGAATAGTGCAAGAGGACCAACCTCATTGGTATGAATAAGGTGTTGGAAATCTGCAAGGTGTTGGAAATCGGAAGTCTTGTGTCATAGGTACATTCCAGGACTGAAACTTATTGGTCTTGCATCTCCTTTTCACTGAAAATCTTACCCCTTGATAGGACGACAAGCTTCCACATTCTGCCATTTAGGTGAAAGAATGCAATTGCATTTGTTTTAGAGTAAACTTTTTATGCAAGGTGGACTTAAGGATAGAAAGAGGGGCCTCTTTTATCTATAAACAGGTTGTGAAGAAATGTGAGTACCTTTGTTGGAATTTGGTCTGAGGATTGTTTTCTCCTCATAGCCAGGTTTTTAGGGTTAAGGACAGATAGCCTCTATCTGTTTTTTAGTTACTGGTGAATACTAATTTTTATCAGAAAGACCTGACATTCACAGAATCACGAAAACAGGCTCAAGCCTGTTTGTTGTGGTGAAGAATTCATTGCCAACTGGGAACCAGAATCCACAATTCCCCAAATATCAAACTATCCATGATCAGAATGTTGGTGGTCAGTGGGAAGGAAGGAATTTATGTTCTTGAGGAAGAATAGTCAGCTAATGGTCGTATGGTTTCTATCCTCTAGAGAAAGTTAGAACAGAGCAACAATACTTTGCTTTTATTCCTGAATGCTTCACAAAGATGGTAAGGGTTCATTATTTCAATCAGCCAATACTTACTCTTTTCTTATTAGTCAACCTTGATTATATACTGAAATTGACTTTATAGGGACCCCGTCTTAGTCTATTTTGTGTTGCTGTAACAGAATACCTCAAATTAGGTATTTTTCTAATCAATGAAAATATTTTTAAAAACTTTTTATAGAGACATGGTCTCTCAATGTTGTCCAGGCTAGTCTTGGACTCCTGACATCAAGCCATCTTCACGTCTCAGCCTCCCAAAGTATTCAAATTACAGGCATGAGCTAACTCCACACAGCCATGTAATTTGTAAATGATAAAAGTGTATTTGACTCACGGTTCTGGAAGCTGGGGAGTCCAAGAGCATGGCACCAACATTTGGTGAGGGCCTTCCTGCTGCATCATCCCATGGTGGAAGGTGGAAGGGCAAGAGAGCATGAGAGCAAAACAGCAAGAGGGAGCTAAACTCGCTTTTGTTATAAGCCCCATCTAGAGATAAAAGAACTCATTTCTATGATAATAACATTCATCCATTTATGAGGGTGGAACCCTTATGACCTAATCACCTCTTATTAGTTCCTACCTCCCACCATTGTTACTTTGGGGATTAAGTTTCCAACATATGAAGTTTGGTGAACACATTCAAACCATACCAGACCTCTAACTTCTAACTGGTTGTAGATCTTGATGAAGACATTTCACAGCACTGCACTCAGTTTTGCTAGTGGTTTCCAAATTTCTCTCTCCTATCATTTGTTTTGCAATTTAACCTTTTCTTTTTACATCACAGTTCTGGAAGTTGTGTAACCCTAGACTCAGGCTAACAAGTAATTGAGTAATTGTGACACTGCTTTAACATACATAACCATTATTTCATTCAGGAAGTTACCTTTTCCTTCAGTCTATCTGAGGAAGTAGCCCTGGCTGCTCATTACTTCCTCCTTATGCTAGTCTCATCACTTTTTGGAGGATTTTATCAAAGAGATTATAAACAGACAAAACTTGATGACTGGTTGAATACTGGGAGTCATTTTGAAAGAGCAGTTAAATATAATGCCTAGGCTTCAAACCTAGGATTCCTGAAGTATATTAGTACCATTAATAAAAATGAAACTGAAAATAGGACCTGGCATAGCAGTCATCTAGAGTAAGTGAGACTGTATCTTATAGATATTATTTGCAAGTTATTGGACTAGAAGTGAGAACAAACTTCCTGCAAACATACTGCTTAATGAGTTCAAGAACTAAGGCTGTCAAGGTTAACATTACTTTACTATTTCAGGACATTATTGCCTAGGAAAATAAAGTTGCAACAAGGTTTTTATCTGAACAATAAGCTGATCAGTTAGCTGCCCTGCTCAAGGCAAGAAGTTACTCATCAGGGTAAATATCACCATTCTCAGGATGACAGATCACTCAATGTGCAAACTGCTTGCTTATCAAATGATTACTCATCAGGACACTTCAAAATTCTTGCTTTGCTGCATTCACCAATCTAAAAATCTGTGTTACAACTTTTTTTTCCGATTCCAGGCAGATCCCTTCTTTGAAAGACCTTCCTTAAGACAAATCCCAAAACTGTATGAAGATCTGCCCTTTCCCTTCCCCTTCCAAGACACTACTAAAAGTCTATCAAGGTGGTGTTTTCTCTTAATACAACACAGAATACATTCAACTTTGTCAGATCAACAAGATATTTTGGTGGTCTTTTTAGGGGTCAGCAGTCATAGATGTGATAGTTAAAGCTATGAAAATAAATTAGTTTTTTTTAGGGATACGCATAGCATGAGAATATAAAATGGCCTAGGAGAATGCACACAGAAAGTGAAAGGAAGAAGATGAGCCAAAGAAGACTATAACAAAAGAGAAAAACAGGATATTATTATAATTTAGAGCCAAGAAATGAGAGAGAACTTCTGTATTGGTAGGGTGATCATAATTGTCATGCATGAAAGGTTTAGAATAATGAGAATTAAAAGGAGACTGTGAAATTTGTTTAAAGGAAGTTTAGGAAACTTCAAAGAGAACAGTTAGGCATGGAGTGGATCTTTGGTTATTAAATGTGGCCAGTGGGTCTATACTAAATCTAAAAGAATTTAACTGAGAAAAGAAAGTGAAAATACATTACCATAGTTGAAAGAATCCCCTAAATCAAATTTGGCTTAGTGAAGCTTCCACTGGACTGGAGATATTCAAGGTAGTAGAGAAATGACGTAATGGTGCAAATGATTTAAACCAGACTTAAGCAAATTTTTTCTGTCAAGGGCCCTTCTGTCTGTGTCACAACTAGTCAACTGTGCCATCATAAAGCCAAGGAGGTAGCTAATACATAAATGAAAGAGTGTGGGAGGATGTGTTCCAATAGCACTTTGTTTAAAAATTGGTTGGCAGACTAGATATGACTCATGGACTGCAGTTTAAAGACCAGTGATTTAGACTAAGAAAGTGTTATGAAATAAAAGAAGTCTTTTGCAATCCAAATAGTCATGATAGTTGTCGATATTAAATACATTAACTGGACTTGAGCAACTATTCACAGTGTTTATAAAGAATGCCTGAAATTGCAGCTTCTGAAGACAGCTCTTCATTTTTCCCTAAAGAAAAATATTACAGAGCTGAAGCTGGCATATGATCTGTATGCATCTTGATCACCATACTGGATTATCCTACACTGAAATAAATAAGTCTTTGCGTGACACCACATTTTGCATAAAATGTATGTTTCCTAAATTAATAGCTTTTGTCAACTTAGAATTTTAATCAATGCATGCTACTTTGTTATTCAAATCTCCTGAAAACGAGAATAGAAAAAATTAAGATAATTAATACAAATTAACAAGATACTTAAGTTAATCCATTGAGTACTTCCACATTCACGTTTAGACTTACATAATATTAATGCCCTAAAAGAAGTTTGGATAGTGTTATTCTGAATAGGGAAGTAAATGACGGAAAAAGGATATTGCAATAGGTGTGGCTTGTGAAGCTCAACTATAGAAGTTTTAAAAATTTACTTTGTAATTCATTTTAACTTTAATTATCTATGAATCACGCACGTTTCATAAACTAGATGCTTGCAAATAATGTGTTTTGGGGATTGATATTATTGTCAAAGTGGAACTAAATAGTGATATTTAGTAATAAAGTTACAACAAAGTACTATATGCATTATAAACTAAATAATGAAACCATTTTTAAGATTAAGAAGTCTAAAAAAGGTGAGGTGTCTATATAGCTTTTTTATGTTTATTTAATCATGTTTAATCATGAACATGCACAATCATAGCATTTTATGTGCCTTTTATTTATTATAGATTACACTGTTTTGATTACTTAATCACTTTCCCTTTTCTTTAAATTTTATTTTTAATTGATGCATAATAATTATACATATTCATAGGGGACAATGTGATATTTCAATACATGCATGCACCGCATAATGATCAAATCAGGATAATTAGCATATCCATCATCTCGAACATTATTTTGACTTAGAATTAAGAAAAAACAAAACTTAAAATGTACTACATTGCAACATATAGGCCAAGTACTTTATATTGCAACACTATATTTTGTTTTCATAACAAATCTTATAAGTATTATTATTATTGTCATACTACAGGTAAGAAAAGTAAAGCACAAAATGATTATTAAACTTTGTAATAGTAATGGAGTTACTATTACAGTTCTGTCATAAATGGCAGAACTGGGACTTGACACAGTTCTATCTGACTTGAGTTCCCAATCACTAAACTACCCTAATATATCATCTCTGAAGAAAACTATTAGAGATAGGGCTGGGAAGTGCAACAATACAACTCATTAAGTAGTAAGTGTCTAGTATATGCCAGGTTCTAGTCCCACACTGGATATGCCAGATTTCCTATGGAAGAATTTTTTTTTTGACAGAGTCTCCTTGTGCCACCCAGGCTGGAATGCAGTGACATGAACATGGCTCACTGCAGCCTTAACCTTCTGGGTTCAAGTGATCTTCCCATCTCAACCTCCCAAGTAGCTGGGACCACAGATGCACGCCACCACAGTTTGAGTAATTTTTAAATTTTATTATTGTTACTTTTATTATTTTTTCTGTTAAATAGAAATAGGGTCTCACTATGTTGCCCAGGCTGATCTTGAACTCCTGGCCTCAAGCAATTCTCCTGCCTTAGCGTCCCAAAGTGCTGGGATTATAGGTGTGAGCCACTGCACCCGGCCTGTATCTTTTTTTTTTTTTTGGTAGGGGGCGGGGGGAAAATTCTTTTACCATTCAATAAAAGTTAAAATATGATTAAATATATAAACACTGAACATTTCAAGATCCTTTTGTGAATATAAGCTAGTAATACAAAGTGTTTTACCTCAAACTTATCACCAGCTGAGTGATTTCAACAGGACAGCATGGGATATATCAGAAATATCTGAGAAGTCCTTCTTTGTGAACTAGACTGTGAATTCTTTAAGAGAAGGAGGACTAGGATGTTCCTCACCTTTGTATCTGTAATGTCAAATATAATGCCTATCACAAAACACAAAATGCTAGATGCCCAGGGGAACCAGTCTCTGACCAGTCACTTACCATTTGTGTAGCCTTGGGCCAATATATCCTGTTTCATTATTTGTAAAATATGGTTTTCTGCCAGGTAATTGCAAAATCTGAAAAAGATATATATTTTTTTCTGTTATGCAGCTTCCCATCTAATGTGTGGAAGACAGAAACATATTAATACTTATCCTGTCTTGCTCACAGAATTGGTGTAAAGGTGAAATGACATACTGTACATATATTACACATTATAAAATTCTCCACAAAAATTAGTATTTTAATTTTGATCATGTATGGTAATTCTATCTCAATTATTCTTGAATTATTGCTGTTGGCTATTCAGAGTTTCTATGATATGTTATGAAATGCTCACAAATATAAAGTTGTTATCATCCATCTATTAGTTTGGATTATATTGGTTGCAAGAGAAATCCAACTCCCACTAGCTTAAGAGGGAGAAGTGAATATATTAAATACATGTAGAGTAGCTCTCCTAATCAAGAAAGAAAGAAAAAAAAAAAGCTATAAGGACAGGGCAGCTATAGGAATCTCAAGTATGCAAAATACAATTTCAATCCTATGGGTCTTTTTTTTTTTTCTCCCTTTCTCTTTTTCTCCCTCTTCTACCCACTATTGGTTGCTTTGAATGTTAGTTTCTTCCTTTCAGCCTTCTCCACTTTGTGGAGAAAATGGCCTCTGACACCCATAGAGTCATATTCTTATAGTTCCTTGACATCCCTACAATTCCATAACTACAGGGAAGAGAGACACTTCCCTACCACATTTAGCTGAATAATCCCGAGGAAGACCTCAGATCGTTCTGGCTTGTTCATCCGTGGGCCAATCAGTGGGATCATACAGCTGGGTTGCTATGATGGTCTCAGCCTAGGTCACAGGCTCACTTCTTTTTATAAGATATGGGGCTGGGAGAATATCCTGAGCATGACAAAAACAGTAACTACCACAATACCATAGCTTCATTTGCTTAATGCTATATCTATTAAAATACAAGTTTATTGATAGGATAACAAAGATCATCTCTGTTTCTCTTATTCTATGGTAATACTTGCAAGCTGGATCGGCTACATAATTTGCAAGGCCTAGTGAAAAATGAAAATATGAGACTCTTTGTTCAAAAAGAAGAAAAATGTGTAGTTTAGGGTATTAAAATATAAAACTTTTTTTAAAAAATATTTCATTACTTATAAACTTAATGGGGTAGATACATGAATAACAAGATGAACTTAATGCAAAGAAAATAATATTTTGGTGTAATAATTTTATATAATATAATAAATGATTTTATTTATTTATTTATTTATTTATTTATTTAATTTATTTATTTATTTATTTATTTATTTATTGAGACAGCGTCTTGTTCTGTCACCCAGGCTGGAGTGCAGTGGTCTGATCTCAGCTTACTGCAACCTCTGCCTCCCAGGCTCAAGTGATCCTCCTACCTCAGCACCCCAAGCAGCTGGGACTACAGGTGTGTGCTACCATGCCGGGCTACTTTTTCTATTTTTTCTAGAGACAGGGTTTCACCATGTTACTCAGGCTGATCTCAAGCTCCTGGGCTTAAGCAATCAGCCCGCCTTGGCCTCCCAAAGTACTGGGATTACAGGTGTGAGCCATCGCGCCTAGGCAATCGTACTTTATTAACATGACATCTTGATCCGTCAGAAGATTTTTCTGGCTCACTTTTCTGTACATTTATTTATTAAAGTCATCAAAATACACACTTTTAGCCACTTAAATTTCAATTGCTATAATTGAAAGTGGTGTCAGTTGCTCTTGGCAAATACAAGAATGCAAATAATTTTTGATAATTTTTAAGTTTTTAGAAGGATCTTTCTGCTGATACCACTGTTAAGAGTATTACATAGGCTATAATAATATTGAGATGATTTCTGATAAATTAGGTCTAAATATAAGTTTTAGTACATGTGGAATTTATATTTCTTGCAGAACAATTTTTCTAAAAAGATTTAACTCTTCATTCAAATCAATTTCATTTAAGACTAAATTTAATTGTAAATGTAAATTTATATGATGGAATTTTAATGTTTTCTCTGACATTTTCTGTAATTTGAGAAGGTGGTAGAAGAAACTGAAAGTGGTTTCATGATTTATTTCCAATTCAAAATGGCTGTTTATGCATTCTATTGCTATATATTCAATTACAAAGAAAAACAATTTTAAATTTTTCTTCCTTATTAATAATTGATTAATGTAAAGCCTCTAATAAAAAATTGTGTTCTTTAAATTTAATTGCTATTACTAAGTCCATGGATATTCATTCTGTAATGTTGCAACCGTTTTCAAATTTAGAAATTCTATACACTTTAAAGAATTCTAATAATTTGTTGATATGTTTTATTGCAATGTTCATGTGTTTATTTTTGTTTTGTAGTAATTCACTGGCAAAGTTTACTGACTAAGCTCTGGCAGTTCCTGCCCAGAGTTAGTATTTATACAGATGCTGCAGGGATGCGATGCCAGAACACGCAAGCTTATCACCCATCTTGAGTCCCAGCATTTTCCTTATATGGAACCCCTCCTTTTTCCCAGGATGCAACTATTCCTACCACCACTGGTATTTCTACTGCTGCTACCAGCAGAGCTCGATATCTGGGCTCAGGTCATGGCCTAAGATTACTCCCTTAGGTCCCTGCAGACCCCTAACCTGTCCCAGGCCAGTGTGTGTGTCTCAGGCAGCCAAGCTAACTGCTCAACACTTACTATGCTCCTGGGTCTGAACTTGTGGTGTGTATGCTGCCACAAGGCATATCTTCTCTGCTCATGTGCATATTCCATTGTTCTATTGGACTTCACTTTCAAAACACAAAGTCAAAGGCCGAATTATTAAGAATTTCATGATGGTTAAAGCAGAGTATGAAGTTAAGTGTGGGGCTCCTTCCAAGATCAGGCCCCGTTTTCTCTACAGGTCTCATGCCCATTTTAAAAAGGAAAACTGCATCACAATAAAATTTTAAAGAGTTTATTTGAGCAAACAATTCATGAATTAGACAGCTCCAAACCAGAAATGGTTCAGGAGCTCCACTGAGAGAACATAATGGGGAAGATGTCATAGGATGGGTATGGACGTAAAGCAAAGAAAATATTTGATTGGTTACAGTTACACAGTTGTTATCATATTTGGTTTATCATGTTGAGAAGTCCCAAGTTATATAATTATAAATCTGTTGGTTGCTTCTGATTAGTTAAGCTTAAGTTTTTCTTCATTATAGGCATTTTAAATAAATAGTTCAAGTTAAGCTTTTCTTATGTTTTCAAATATAGCAAGGTTGAGGTCACTTATGAAGCCTAACTTGCTTTGTCTACTCAATGATTCTTCAGGCCTCATCTCCATTTAAATTTACTTTAACACCCATAAAGCCTGTCTTGCATGTGAGATGTGCTCACTTGAAAAAACTGGTTCCTGTTTATTTTCTGAAGAACAGGTAGTTTCTCCAAAGTGCTTGAGAAATCCTTGATTTGATTTTGACTTATACAAGCATGTGTCACACAGGTACACACACACACACACACACACACACACACACACACACTCTCTCTCTCTCTCTGCCTACCTGAAAAAAAATGTTGTGAAAGAATACTTAAACTTACTGTGTGGCATGCACTTTTGTTTTTTAAAAATGCTGTTCCTTACCCACTTTATTTTTTTTTTTTGAGACGGAGTCTCACGCTGTCACCAGGCTGGAGTACAGTGGCACTATCTTGATTCACTGCAACCTCCGCCTCTTGGGTCAAGCGATTCTCCTGCCTCAGCCTCCTGAGTAGCTGGATTATAGGCACATGCCACCACGCCCAGCTAATTTTTGTATTTTTAGCAGAGACCAACGCATCCTGGTTTCTCTAGGACTTTCCTGATTTTAGCACCATAAGTCCTGTGCCCCAGGAACCTCCTTAGTTCCGGGAAAAGCAGGAGGAGTGGTCACCCTACCTCCATGTCTTTATTCTAACCTTACAAATCCCCTTCTTTGTTTTAACTTTTTTTCAAACTCTGGCTTGAAGATGTGGCTTAAGAAGTCATTCTCCTCCAAGAAAATGTTTCTCACACTTCCAAGTAGAGGTAAGTGCTTTTTCGTCTCTGCTCTATTACAACATTCTGGGTATCATTTTACAGAATTTATCAAATTGTGTTTTAATTGTCTGCTTATTTTGTTGTTTGTCTTATTAGATAAGAGCTCCTTGGGGCAGGAAGTGCGTTTTATTGTCTATTTCCTTAGTGCCAAACGGTGCTGGGTATCTAATGAGTAATCAATAACATTTGTTGAAAAGATAACTGAAGGACTGGATTTAAAACTGCTCTTTGTCATGAAGATGGCAAAGGTGAACTAAGCATCAGTGGCCAATTATCCTTCACTTTCTTGAAAAATCAGATCGGACAATGTCAGCTTCCTTCAGAAACACTAAACAAATGGACTTACTCTGTAAATGTTAGGAGTGAGTTCAACTTGTTCCTTATCTACTAGCTTCTTTGTGTCACCCTAACCTTATTTTACTAAACAGGGTATATTTTCTTTAAAATGGAAACAGTAAAGTCATTACAGACAAAAAATAATGCTGCTTTCTTTCATTTTGATAACAGATTTCAGTATCCCTGGACATAGTTGTAGAACTGTAATGTTACTGAAAACTCAACACTAAAATGTGCATATAACACACTTAAGACTTTTAAAAAACCATGTTGATGTCACTGTGAGTTAAGTTTAAAAATGAAGATAGGAGATTAAAGTTTGGATTTAGACTCAATAAAAGTAAAATAAAGTTTTGTTTGATAATTACCTATCTAATGCTGGCATAAGGCTGATGGATGGAATCAGTTTATCTAGTGTGATGAAAATATCCTGGTTGAAAGGCTTTGATTTTCATGAAGGAAAGGAAATAGTGAAGGTCTTAGCTTTGTGCACTGAAATGTATAATTACATAGATTATGAGTTTGGTTTAATGACTGACCATAAAATTAGTATTGCAGACTTCAACATTGTTATGAGTTATACTGTTCAAAAATTTAAAAATATGTTAGGTGAGGAACTATTTGTACAATTCTGATTCATTATGCACATTTGCAGTGACCAACTTCTCTTAAATATTTTTGTTGTTATACCTTAAGTCACTTCCTACTGGACTATTGCAATGACTTCTCATGCTAACTATCTGGAGTTAAGCAAAACCTCACCAGTTAAGGTCATAACCATCAACAAGACTGCTCTTATGTCACATATCAGTCACCAGCTCAGAGTTTCCCAGGCCACTCACACTTCTAACCAATGGGTTACAAATTCATGGTTTTCTACTATTCCCTCAGTTCAATAATTCACAAGAATGACTCAAAGAACTCAGAAAAGCATTATATTCATAATTACAGTTTTATTATAGCAAAAAGAATACAAATCAAGGCTAACTAAGACCATCTAAAAGAAGAGTAGCAAATATTGAGGTCTGAGAAGTTCCCAGCTGTGAAGCTCCCAGTGTCTTCTCCAAGTAAGTCAGGATATATTGATGTGTAACAATATGTACAAAGCATCGCTAACCAGGAAAGTGCACCCGAGCTTCAGTGTCCAGACTTTTTCTTGGAATTTCATTATATAGGCATGATTGATTGAATTATTGGCCACATGGTGACATAATACATTCTCCAACCCTACTCCCTCCCTAGAGGTCACATGGCTCAAAGTTCCAATTGTCTAACCACATGGATGGTCTTTCTGGCAAGGTCAACTCCCATCCTGTACTATCTTCTTTGCTTAAACTATCTAGGAGTCCACAGTGAGTTCACCTCATTAACATAAACTACTAAGGCTCACCATGGATAATGAAGACACTCTTATCCTTGGGAAATTGCAAGAATTTAGAAGCTACCTTCCAGGAACTGAGCACAAAGGTCTGCCAAATTCTTCATTATACTATAACTGTCATTGACAAGTTGGAAAAGTATTAAGATTTCTTACGTGTGTACAAGGCTAATATTCTTTATCTATGGAGCACACACTTTATTTTATATATTTTAAACAGAGTACACCAAGAGGACAACATTTTATTCATACATGGTTGCAACAATATTTTGATCTATTTTCTTCATTTCAGGCCAACGAATAAAGATTTAGGCCACTAAAGCTTTATTCTGTATTAGTGTCCTTGTTTTATTGGATAACATTTAGAAAAGCAAAATAGCTCCCTGTGTGCTTCACATTGTTCCATCTTTGTAATACTACTCAAGCTCTTGCCACACCTATGGAATATGCAACTGCTGAAATTGGATAGTTTTAGTGTTCTGCTTTTTCCCTTTTATTGTCCCATCTTTTCTTCTTGCAAGGGTATTTATTTCCTCTGTTTATTTCATACCTTAATGGTTAATCTCAGATCCTCTGTAGCCAGACTGTCTAGGTTCGAATTCTTGGTCTTTTACTCATTATTTGCGTGACTAGTCAAATTACTTGGCTTTCCTATGTCTCCATTTTTTCATCTATAAAACAAGAATAATAGTAATATTTACCTCATAGGGTTTTAGTAAAAATCCAATAAATCATATATGTAAAATACACAAAAAAGTTTTTGCAACGTAGGTACTCAATAAATATTAGCAATTATACATTCAATTTGAGCATAATGGATATTTTGGTATTTTAAGGACAACCACTGCTCTATATAACTAAAAGTTTCATTTGACACCAGCTAGTCTAAACTTTCTTTACTTTCTTCTTTTTATAAATTTCCGTCTTTTACTTTTTATATTAGTAATAATGTTTGCACTTTTTTCTTTCAATTATGAATGTAGGCAACCAACCTCAGATAGTTTATAAATGAAGAAGTTGAAGACCAAGGGAGGCAAAATGACTTGCTTAAGGTCACACACTGTGTGGCATAATTGAGATTGGAATCCTTATTTCATGTTTCCAAGCCCATTGCTCTTTTCACCATATTGTACTGCATCAAGGTGAATGCAGTTTATATTTTCAAAGGTAATACCCCCTCAGAATGCTGGGAAAGAAAGACTGAAAAGGCCTGATATGCTGAACAAAACTCAAGCTAGAAGTACTTTCACTGAGAATACCTATAAGAGCATACCTCAGTTTCTCCAAATGTGAGTTTATGTGCAAAAGTTTGTGAAGAGAGTTTCCGTACATATTTCATGGTGAATATATTTTTATATTTTAATTTATTTTTTGCTTTGTTCCTTAAATTGACTTCTCCTTTCTTAAGAATATTTTCATTTTTTCTTTTGCTTTGGCTGTTGACAGATTTATTTTCAATTCAGTACAGCTCACTGAATTGCAAGGGAAAATAACTAGTGTGAAAGTGTTACAGTACACCCACGTAGTCCTTCCACCTGGTTGCCCTATCCTTCCAAACAGGCATCACCCCAAAGTAAACCATGTTGCTCAAAAACAATGATGAAAGAAGAAAGGTAACAGTCTGCTGAAATATTCTAATTCAAATCTATCTTGAATGGTATTCATGGCTGTTAAGATAAGGGCAAACCTGATCTTGTGATGAACAAGTCAGCACTTTTAAAGTAGATTCTGTGTAATGCAACTCCTTCTTAAATACTAATAAGTATGCCACAAAAATAAGTGGGGATTTTTGGGGGGCAAATACTCTTGGAAAAGCCTGAGTTTAGAAGGCTGGTTTTTTTTTGTTTGTTTGATTTGTTTTTTGTTTTTGTTTTTGTTTTGTTTTGTTTCTTGACTTCTCTGAACCTTTAATAGGCTTTGAAACACATCTTCAGGAACACTTTGGGAACACTATATTAAGATTTTGTTAGTGCAGGGGTTCTTAACATGGAGTATAATTTTTTTAACTGCAAAAAATTTCACTTAAAATTTTTTGTTACCAAGGTAATTGTAGATTCACATGCAGTTGTAAGATACATTGAAGTCCTGTGTATGCTTTACTCTATTTATCCCAATAGTAATAACTTGCAAAACCATAGTACAATATCATAGCCCTGACATTAACATTTGCACAATCTACTATTCCCATTCAAGTTTCTCCAGTTTTATACTTACATGCATGTGTCTTTGTGTGTGTGCCTATATGGGTAAGTTTTATACAATTTTATTATATATGTAGGTTCACATTTCTGGAGGAGTCTATGGCTTTTTTGGGGAAGTGGACACCTTTCTATGAAAATCAGCGGAGATTAGGAATAACAATGAGACCTTGGAATCTTAAAGGATGAGTAGCCAAGTGGTGAAGACAGCTTGGCATGGGTATTCCAAGCAAGGAGGGCCTCTGGAGCAAAGGTATTTATATTAATGGTGGGAAAACACAAGTAAAGTTGCTGGAGCATGGAGTGCAAGACAGGAAGTAGCACGAATTTAGATGAAAAAATTTGGTAGACATTATGTTGTCAGGGCCTTGCATACAAATGAAATTCAATTTTATCCTAACGTCACTGGGGAGGCAGGGTTAGGGTTAAGGTAGTGGAATTAACATGCTTCTTTTCATTTGTCTCAAATCACTGGTGGTGTGGTTTGGAGTGGGTAAAACCAAAGGCAGGGAGACAGAAATACAGATTCAGAAAATTTGTGAAGGTAAGGTAAATAGACTAGGTTTATTTCTTCTGGAGAATGGATGGCTAAGGGGTGACTTAGTCACAGTTTTCCAACATAAAGTTTATAATATGAAAGATTTTTTTCTAGTCTCTGATCCCCCCCCCCAAAAAAAAAAAGGAAAAGAGGAAAGAAAATGATAAAAATGGAGAAGTTTAAGCTGGTTACCAAGCAAACTCTCTTGATCACCAGGATGATGAGTCATATATTTAAAATCTTTATCTCCAGAGATTTTCACAGGGAGAATGATAGTGGTTGCATTACCACAGATAGACAACAACTTAACAAATGTCAGAGAGGTATGGATGTAGGGCTGTTGAGATTGATTGATTGATTGATTTTCTTTTTAACGTGACAAGATTGTCATGAGAGATAATTTCTTTTAAAAATCTGGTGGCTTAACTATTATTATGTGAAGGCTAGATTCAGATTCAGGGCTGCCAGTTTCCTCAATCTGTGGTTTACTCATTCACTTGGTTTTAGGAAGGGGTCTGAAAAAATTAGGTGCTCCTATGAAACCCTGTTGTGCCTTGTGGTTCTCTGAGAAGATGATCAACCAAGTAACATATATTTAATGACAATTTACTAGGTGCTGGGTAAAATACAAAGAGATTTAATGTGTAGTTTATGCTGTCTAGGATCTGACCATTTACTTTGGGAATATAGAACATATGGATGGGAAACTAACAATATAAGAGATAATGTAAGTTCAAACATAACTTGCGATTAGTCCATAAACTTCTGTTGAGTTAAATTAAGTTATAAACTACATTTAAAAGTCAGTGTGTTACTGGAAGTTTCCCTAATGATGTCATTTCTGAGAAACTCAGATCAACAGAAATGAATGCATTTTAGAATGGACAGTTAAACCTGACATATCTAGTTCTGCTATGTTAAAGGGTAAAAGGGTTAGAAATGAATAACGATGCCACAAATTTTATCTGAAAATTGAAGAATTACATTAACATTTATTCCAAACATTATTCGGTTTGTGCACAAAAGGTTTATAGATTCAGCAGAACAAAGATGTTCTAGAATATGTAATACCTCACAATTTGTTTACTCTTCTAAAATAAGCATTTATAATTGTTTACATGTATGCAAGCTAAGAGGCAGTGTAGAGTGGTGGAAAGCGTAATGGATTGAGAATTAATCTGTTCTTTTAATTTTACTTCTGCCCCTAATTAGTTCTATGATTCTCCTGATTAAAATGCTGTTGTAGTAATAACAATCTATTTTTTCCCAAGGCATAACAAATTGGATAAAATCACCATTACTCTAAGCCTAAGAAAAATATTGAGATTTGCAAGCCAATTAAATGGAAAAAATGATAAATGCAAAATAACACTGATGAATGGCCTAAAGACAAATGCCTAAATAAAATTCAGCTACCAGGAATGTTTGACATGGTAGGTAATATGGCACTTGGAAGAGGCTAAGTTTTGTTATTATATCACAAATTTGAGGGAGACGACCATAATAATAAGTAAAATTTTGATTCCTCTTTCACATAGGAAGCAGAGCTTTAGCAGTGAGATACATAAACCTCCTTAGATATCACAATTTCATAAAAGGGCCAGAAAAAGGAGGAGGAAAGGGAAAGGGATAAAAAACATTTACTGAGTACTCATTATTTGTGAAAACCTTTACAATCCATTTTCACATGTACTACATTCTATGAGTAAAGTTACATAAACCAGTGTTTCCCAAACCTGTCAGGTCTTTATATTCATCTGGGACAATTGTTAAAAATGCAGATTCTCTGCCCTCAGCCTCTCTCCAGAATGATAGTTTCCAAAGGAGAGAGACTGATAGTCTATTTTGCATGTGTCTTAGGGGATTCTCATGATTAGGCAATTCTAGGAAATACTGCTGTAGACTCTTAAGAGTCCCAAAGTACATATCTAGAGACGGATATTCTCAATATTGCAAATACTACTACAATCGCTATAGTTTCCCATGTACAAGTTCTATTTTGCTGGCTAAGAACCATCACTTTCTTGCATCTTCCCACTTTCTTTTCATTGCCATCACAAGCACTAGCAGTTGCATCTTTTGGGGTAATTTTTTTTCCACAAAAAACCCGATAAGTTTTATGACTTCTGAGGGAGGTCCTAAGCACAGGAGGAAAAGGGAACTATGAAGACACACTGATGGTAGGTATGTACTTCTCTGAGTAGACAAGTAACAAAAATGGGCATCTCACAGGTATAAATGCTGAGACTAATCTTATTTTTCATAAATCTATAATATAATGTTTGCTAACTATATGCTGACTGAAACTAGATGGAAAAATGAGTCTACAATACATCTACCAAGTCGGGAGTTAACACCATAGTCTTTAAAGGAGTGAAATGTTAAGTCAAAAGTGGTAAAACAGAGGAAAAGACATTCTCTGTGAGATTTCTAACTTTCTGTAATGCAAAAAGATGAATTCAATCAGGGACTCTGTGGGACCACTTTTAACATTTCCTTGACTCAAATGAACTGGAAGATGTGTCATACTGATAAAAGAATATGGGTTTTTAAAGGTGAGTGGGCAGAAAAATCATGAGTAAGATTTAGAGTAGGATACAGCATGCATTTGAGGAAAATAATCTAAATTATACTCATAGGCCAATGGGTTTCTAGTTTATCAGTCTATCTAGCTTACATCTATAGAGAGGAGCTGTGAGTCTGTCTAAATTAGCCTCTCTGGGGACCCAAGTACTATATATTACAGCCACTTATGTTATTTTCTTTATAGCATTTGCCATGCATGCTGTATGCTTTTTGTTTATTATCTATGTCCACCTCTTTCACCTTTAAAACAAGATGCAAACTCCATAAGAGTAGGGACCATGTTTTTGGTTATCTTTGTTTGCTGTACTATATTATTTATACATATTAAATATTTAGTGAGTTTCTGATTGTCCTAAAGATATCAACTTAGTAGTATCAACACAGTAGCATGCTACTGTGGTCAAAAGGTCAAAAAATAATGAGCATAATCGTGATGTACATTAACATAAAAAATACAATATTCTACTTTGTATACATAATTAGGGATTTGCCCGCATATCTAGAAGATGTGTTTGAACTGGAGAAGATCTAAACGTAAGTAGCAAGTAACAAGTAACGAGGATAATTAAGGAGAAAGATCTTCAAGAGTAGACTATAAAGAATAGGATTGGCAGGGCGCGGTGGCTCACGCCTATAATCCCAGCACTTTGGGAGGCCGAGGTGGTTGGATCACGAGGTCAGGAGATTGAGACCATCCTAGCTAACACGATGAAACCCCGTCTCTACTAAAAAATACAAAAAATTAGCTGGGCGTGGTGACACACACCTGTAGTCCTAGTTACTCAGGAGGCTGATGCAAGAGAATCACTTGAACCCGGGAAGCGGAGGTTGCAGTGAGCCAAGATTGAACCACTGTACTCCAGCCTGGGTGACAGAGCAAGACTCCATCTCAAAAATGAAAAAAAAAAAAAAAGTAGGATTATTTTATCTGAGAAGATGGAAACTGAGGGCTAGACATTATAAAAGAGAAAGGAGAAGGTGAGTTTAGAGTTGTTCATCAAATCTGCATGCAATAACTAGGAGTTACCTTTCATGTTCCTGCATTCAATAAACATGCATTGTATAACAGGTATTGTGCTAAATGCTAGAGATACAAAGATGAACAAGATAGAATAGACTAGTTTATAGAATAGTAGGAAATAGCCTTATGTGCAGATATGAAGAATGCTTTCTAGATAAGATGAAACCTACACTGAATATTAAATTATTATTAGAAGTTAACCAGGTAAAGAGTGTTTGAAACCAGGCAGAGAAGACAGCAGAAACAAAGCCAATTGCATGAGAAACAAGAAGACATGTGTGAGGGATTATAAGCAATTCAGCATTGTTTGAATGTAGCATTTGATAAGGGAGTGGATAAAAATTAGATCAGTAAGGCCAACAGGGAAAATTGTGAGGTGCTTAAATAAGACATTAAGGGTGTTGTACAAGTCTAGGCAAATGCTGATAGTTTCTTTGGGTAGTGATAGTACAGATGTTAAAGTAATGAAAAAAAAAAGGAATATAAAGGAGGACATTGCCACTAATTGGATATAGGGACAGGGAAAGAGAGAGAGGAGTCTATATGACTTTAAAATGTCTAGTTTTGGTAATTGAGTGGATGATGGCAACAGACAATGCATAATTACAGGAACAGGATAGGATGTGATATGGGATGTAAAGATGAATTCAGTTTGTGCCATTAAGGTTCCTGTGAGCCATTTGAGGAATTCAGCATATAGTTTGGTACAAGTCTTAAGCCTGAAAGAGAGACATAGGTTAGAGATACAGGTGTAGGAGTTATCAGCATATGGGTAACATTTGAGAACTTGAGCATAAATTTGATCACTTGGGAAAAGGTGTAAAGTGAGAAGATCAGAGGAACAACACTGACTCTGGGGAACATCAATATTTATTGAGCAAATACGAGAACAGGAGCTCATAAAATAAACAGAAAAAGAATGGTTGGAGATATGCTATATTAACTAGAGGTGTTTGATTTCCTGGAGTTCAAAAGTGAAGAAGTTTAAAAAAGAGGGAGTGATTATCAGTACCATATTCAATCGGAAGATCCAGATTGAAAATAATTTCCCTTGGATCTTACAATTAGGAAGCAGTTTGCAACATTAGTGAGATCAAACATGGTAGAGCAATGTGTATAGGATCCAGAATCCAGAAAATTGAGGATTGAGTGGGATACTAAGATAATAATATTTAGGATAAATAGAAGGGTGTTCTCTCCCTTTCTTTTACAAACAGCAGACAGAGGAGCACAACAATTTCTAACTTCTAAAACATGATGCAAATTGAAAAAACTCATTTTTTAGATAATTTTGTGAGTTGCAGATCTATAATATTTGTTAATTTAAAAAGGTTATTTGTGGGAACATTATTAACTTGTGAAATGGATCGATGGGAAAGGAATTTTTTATGTTTTTATCATAACATATACTCATAGGACCATTTGTAATGTAGTCTGTGTTGATACCAAATGGATTAATATCACTCATAATTTGCCCTACTGACATACAACTACAGGGGCAGGGATGGGAACATATGACTGTATATGCGTCTTAATTTTTTTGCCAAGTTAAAACACAATCTGGGAAGGGTAATCCAATATCTCTAGCTCTCTGACAACGAATAATGAGAGAAAAACAACAGAACAACAGAAGGGGTGGAATAAAAAAAAAGCTCTTCTTGGAAATACAACACAGCAAGATTGCCACTACAAATATTACCAATGATAACTGAAATAGGTGGCTCAAAAGCAATCGTATTATATTACAGTGATTTAAAATTAAGTGTAATGCTCATTACATATACAAGGTCAGTTCTTGTGGCAGAAGATAATGAAGGTGTATTGCTTTAGTAGAACGTTAGCAGTACTACAGCATGTAACCAAACTTTTATTTTTTTGTACAATTGCTACCACAGGCATACCTTGTTTTATTGTACTTTGCTTTATTGTACTTCACAGATACTGTGGGTTTTTCTTTTTTTTCACGAATTCAGGATTTGCGGCAACTCTGCATTGAGCAAGTCTATCGGCATTAGTTTTCAAATATCACGCGTTCACTTCATGTCTCTGTTTCACATCTTGGTCATTTTCACAATAGTTCAAAATTTTTCATTATTATTATATCTGTTATGGTGATCAGTGATCTTTGATGTTACTATTTTGATTAAGACACCACAAACTGCACCCACATAAGAAGGCAAACATAATTGATAAAGGATGTGTGGATTCTGACTGCTCCGCCTACTGGCCATTGCTCCTTCTCTTTCCCTCTCCTGAGGTCTCTCTATTCCGTAATAGAGAGGCCAATTAATAAATGACAATGGTCTCTAGGTGTTTTAGTGAAAGGAATATTTGCACATCTCTCACTTTAAATCAAAAGCTAGAAATGATTAAGCTTAGTGAGGAAAGTATGTTGAAAACTGAGATAGGCTGAAAGCTGGCCTTTTGCACCAAACAGATAGTCAAGTTGAGAATAGAAATGAAAAGTTCTTGAAGGAAATTAAAAGTGTTACTCCAGTGAGCACATGAATGATAAGAAAGCAAAACA
Organism: Homo sapiens; assembly: GCF_000001405.40. Taxonomy (NCBI): domain Eukaryota; kingdom Metazoa; phylum Chordata; class Mammalia; order Primates; family Hominidae; genus Homo; species Homo sapiens. Next base: position 125,312,436 of record NC_000023.11, read on the forward strand.
GCCTCATTATTGATCTGGAGAAAGTTTTAGTGGCCTGGATAGAAGATCAAACCAGCCATTTGGTTGGCTGGGACATTCCCCCCAGCCACAGCCTAATCCAGAGCAAGGCCCTAACTTTATTCAATTCCATGAAGGCTGAGAAACGTGAAGAAGCTGCAGATGAAGTGTTTGAAGCTAGCAGAGGTTGGTTCATGAGTTTTATGGAAAGAAGTCATCTCCATAACATAAAAGTGCAAGGTGAAGCAGCAGGTGCTGATGTAGAAGCTGTAGCAAGTTAGCCAGAAGATATAGGTAAGATCATTGATGAAACTGGCTACACTAAACAGATTTTCAATGTAGACAAAATCTTATACTGGAAAAAGATGCCATCTAGGACTTCCATAGCTAGAAAGGAACAGTTATTGCCTGGCTTCAAAGTTTCAAAGGACAGGCCGACTTTCTTGTTAGGGGCTCATGCAGCTGGTGACTTCGAATTGAAGCCAATGCTCATTTACCATTCTGAAAATCCTAGGTCCCTTAAGAATTTTGCTAAATCTACTCTGCCTATGCTCTATAAATGGAACAACAAAGCTTGAATGGAAGCACATCTGTTTGCAGCATGTTTTACCAAATATTTTAAGTCCACTGTTGAGACCTACTTCTCAGAAAAAAAGATTCCTTTCAAAATATTACTGCTCCTTGACAATGCACCAGATTACCCAAGGACCATGATGGAAATGTACAGGGAAGTGAATGTTGTTTTCATGCCCACGGACACAACATCCATTCTGCAGTCCATGGACCAAGGAGTAATTTTTACTTTTACATCTTATTTAAGAAATACATATTGTAAGGCTATAGCTGCCATAGATAGTGATTCCTCTGATGGATCAGATCTAAGTCAATTGAAAACCTTCTGGAAAGTATTCACAATTCTAGAATTACATTGGTTATTTATGGGAGGAGGTAAAAATACCAACATTATCAGGAGTTTGGAAGAAGTTGATTCCAACACTTATGAATGAATTTATGGTGTTCAAGACCTCAGTGGAGGAAGTAACTGTAGATGTGGTGGAAATAGAAGAGAATTAGAATTAGAGGTGGACCCTAAAGATGTGACTGAATTGTTGCAATTTCATGATAAAACTTTAATGGATGAAAAATTGTTTCTTATGCATGAGCAAAGAAAGTGGTTTCTTGACAGGGAAACTACTCCTTGTGAAGAAGCTGTGAACATTGTTGAAATGACAACAAAGGATTTAGAATATTATACAAACTTAGTTGATAAAGCAGCAGCAAGATTAGAAGGATTGACTCCAATTTTGAAAGAAGTTCTACTGTGGGTAAAATGCTATCAAAAATCACTGCATGCTACAGAGAAATCTTTCATGAAAGGAAAGGTCAATTCATGTGGCAAACTTTATTATTGTCTTATTTTAAGAAATTTCCCTAGGCACCCCACCCTTCAGCAACCACCACCCTGATCAGTTAGCCATCACCAATGCTGAGGCAATACCATCCACTGGCAAAAAGGGTATTACTCACTGAAGGCTCAGATGATTGTCAGCATTTTTTTTTTTTAGCAATAAGCATTTTTTATTAGGGTCTACACATTGCTTTATACAATGCTATTGCACACTTAATAGACTACAGCATATTATAAACATAACTTTTATATGGACAGGGCAACAAAAAATTTGTGTAATTTGCTTTATTGTGATATTCACTTTATTTTGGTGGTCTGGAACCAGACCCACAGTATCTCTGAGGTATACCTCTATCTGTAATTTCAACTATTTTGAAGGGCCTTCAAACAAATGAGAACTGTTACAAATAACATCATATATGTGATCCTCTCTGAAATTATAATGATTACCTTGATCAGTCTAGGTCAAGGAAGTAAACCTGTGACTTTGTGAATCATGACATAGAGTTGTCTCCTAGGGTAGATGTACCTTAGTGTGGGCACCCCATTCCAGGTTATGCTCCTCAGTTTCATAAGTAAGATGCTCAATTTGGTCAGATACTTAAATGATACCAGTCTCTCAGAGAGTAGCTTGTAGCAGTTTAATACAAAAGGGATCAATGTATAAATCTGAGTGTTATCTCGTTTTTCTTTTTCAATAAACATAACTGTCAAAAAGACTGCAGCAAGTAGGATAATGATCACTGAGTTTCCTCCATAATTATAAGTTATACTGGAACATATAATTATCAGGGCGCATAGGTCAACATGGAATGAGAAAAACTGGGATTTTGCTTGAGTGATTTTCATAGATATTTGTCATGGAACTTTTGTGGCTTAATGCGTCTATCACTACAGGTATAGATCTGGCTAGAGGACTGGAATGTTCTTATTCATTGGCTAGAACATCTTTTATGTTGGAAAGGTTCGTAATATCAGTTTCAATTTGTACTCTCTGATTCCTGTTTTCTATGTTTCAAATTGATCACTCCTCTTCTTTTGACCCATTTTTTAGATACATTTGGGCTACCTAATAGGTTATAGGCAAGTTTTGTTCTTCTTGGCTTTGGATTAAAAGACATTTTTGTTCAGTATAAGTTTTGCACATGTATTATCATGTCTACAATATGTTGATTCTGTTAGTTTGAGTCTCAGAGTTATGAGGAAATGTGCCATTCTGGCTGTAGAGTTTAATTTTAAGACCATGGATTTTAATAAGATATTAATTCTGGCTTCCTAGAATTAAAACGCTAGCTGTGGGTCCTTGTAAATGTTATTTCACTCTCTTAAGCCCCAATTTACTTATTCCAAAAATGGAAGTAATACTGTTACTTAACTCACACGGTTGTGGTGATGATTGCATAAGATAATACACACAAAGTATCCACAGGGCCTAGCACATTGTAAGTGCTAAGAAGGTATTCATTATTTATTACTGTATAAAAAGGTCAGAAGAAAAACTTTTTATTAGCACCATTATTATTGTTTATAAGATGAATACACAAAAGACTATAGAAAAGAATCGGTGAGCAACTTTAGCGTTAGTTTATAGGAAATCATTTCTACCTTCACTTAATACGCAACAATGATTAGTGCCAATTTGAAAATTAGAGCTGGCAATATTGATAACTGCTTCTCTTACACCTGAGTGCCTTTTTATATGTCTAGAAAAACAGTTCTGCTCCTTCTATTTATTCAACACTTGGCAAGTTGAACCGTCCAAGTATGAAAATATTATTTTCAGGGAAAGCTGTTATCTGTTTATCCATATAGAGTGATAAATACATTAAGTTTTTAAACATATTTCTGAGTCACATTAAATTTTTCCATTGCTAAACTAAGAAGATATTATTATTATTATTATATACAAAATCATTTACCCTCATAAATTATATCCTCCTAATATGTGTTTTCATATTTCTGTATATTCCAAATACAGAAATTATGTTTCATTTCTAATCAGAGGCAGATGATGCCTTCAGTACCCAGAAGCCAACATAGATCCTGGAAATATCACAAATGCCAGCACACACATGGTGTCTCCTTGCTGGTGTCAGATGTGTAGCTCTAGCAAAGAGCATCCATGGAAATAGCTGAAAAATAGAAGGCAGGTAGGTGGGGGACCAGATACCAGCTTCTAAAATCATAATGGAATGAAACCGCAAGAGGCAGTTGTCCAATGAATTGAGAAATATAATTCAACTGGATATGGCAGAACAGGGTGACCTGGTACAAATCTTGGCCAACCAGCCAATTGGTAAATAATAGAGAAACATCTTTTATCAATTTCAGGTTCATTTTTCTCCTCACTGTCCTCATCTAAATTCTACCCATTGTTCAAATTCCAGTTTAAGTCTCATTTTATTTAATAGTAATATGGGTGATGACAAAAATAGTATTTACATATATGTTCTTATTTCATCTTTGCAACAGCTCTTTAAGGAAGTGGATCCTCAGAAATGTTAAGAAACCTGACAAGCTATTTGTCCAAAATAGTATTGATGAGTTTAGGACTTGTGGAGAATACGGCTCTTATGCAAGATCCATGTGAAAGTTTGTAGGAGGTTTTTGGCTAGGTGAGTCTCAAGTTTGAGGGTCAAAGCATGACTAGACATAAAGTTTTGGAAATCTTTAGCAATTAATGATGATAGCTTATAACAAGAGAATAGATGAGATCACACAGAGAGAGTCTCTGGAATAAGGCAGGGTGTCTGAGGTCTGAGGGATCTTAGGACAAAACTCAGGAAGACACCGGTATTTAAAAGGTGAATGAAAGCACAGCAAGCAGCATAAAGAAACTAGGAAGGAGCAGCTAGAGGGGAAGAAAATCAGTAGAGTTTGGTGTCACAGAAGAAAAGAGAGGACTGAATTTCAAAAAGGGATTGGTTGAAAGAGTCAAAGTCTACAGAAAGGTCAAGTTAAAAGAAACTTGTACTATTGGGTGGGGAAAGAAACTTGAACATGCTCTTACTGTGATGGGAAGGAGCCAGTGAAGAGGAAGAGGCTGAAACAGATAAGAGAATGGAGCGCTATGAATGGATCAAACTCCCCGAGGAGATGGGAGAGGCTGGTATCCAAACCACAGGTGAAGAATTTAGTTTTAAAGTTGAAAAAGAGAAAAATCCTTCCTGTGAGAGTGAGTGAGGCAGGAACTATGAAGGAGGCTTGAAGACAGTATGGCTACTGAGAAGTATAAGAGAAGGAACTGAGCAAACAGGCAAACAGCAGCCTTCCTTCCCCCACACCGTAATAGAAAATTTATTCATATGGCTTTTGGTATCCTCTTGAAAGCCCTCAGAAACATCTGAGATCCAACATCATTACTAGTATTCACTTTTCTCACACATGTTCACACACATTTTCTCATCATTCATCAGAGCATTCTATCTCAGGATGCTGAGGAAACAAAAATATGTTACAGCAGTCTGAACTAAGTGAGGTATATAGTCCCAGAGGGACATGAGTATGGGACTTTAATCATATCCTCTGTGTCCGTATCTGTGGGCAATTATTTAAAGTCATTTTGTTTTTGACAAGTTGTCTTACCCAATATCTTTATGTTTTTAAAATTTGTAATACAAATAATAATGTATAGCCAATTAATAGTTTATGCTATTTTAATGTAAATTTTTAATAAATAACTAAGGAACGCTCTCTTAAAAAAATACTTGTAACTGTCAATTGGGGTATATATTTAGGACAACTTAAATTTATACTCTGACATTACAATCCTCAAACTTGGCCCAAATAAACTCACTACTTATATTAACTTTGCTTCAGTTTCTTCCTTTTAGGTTGACCAGGCTAAGTTCTGAAATGTCTTCTCCTGTTCACCGAATTAGGTCATGCATCCTAGTAGCGGCCTCCTGTTTTTGATAGCTCCCTGTCTTTCCAGAACATCTTGGTCTGACTTCCCTTCCTGCCTTATCTACTCAGCCATGGTAGTGGTGCTTTTTCTAGTGTCCCTGGTTAGCCTTCACCTGTGGTTTGAATCTTGTAATCCCTCTAACAGCTGCCAGCCTCTCACTTCACTCATGTACAGGGCATACAACTGAGCCTGGTTCCCACTGTTGGCCCAACAAGGGCATCTGCTCCACCAGCTTGTACCCTATTCACTTCCCTGAACTGAGAGCCTTGCAACTTTATTTTCTTCCATCTACACCTACATCCCCCTACTCCTCCAGTCTCCAAACCCCACCCAGAAGGTCTCTGAGCTCCTTTCACCTGTGTCCAGAATTTGTGGGTTCTTGGTCTCACTGACTTCAAGAATGAAGCCGCGGACCCTTGCGGTGAGTGTTACAGCTCTTAAGGTGGCGCGTCTGGAGTCTGTCCCTTCTGATGTTCAGATGTGTTCGGAGTTTCTTCCTTCTGGTGGGTTCGTGGTCTCGCTGGCTCAGGAGTGAAGCTGCAGACCTTCGCGGTAAGTGTTACAGCTCATAAAAGCAGCGTGGACCCAAAGAGTGAGCAGTAGCAAGATTTATGGCAAAGAGCAAAAGAACAAAGCTTCCACAGTGTGGAAGGGGACCCGAGCGGGTTGCCACTGCTGGCTCTGGCAGCCTGCTTTTATTCTCTTATCTGGCCCCACCCACATCCTGCTGATTGGTAGAGCCCAGTGGCCTGTTTTGTCAGGGTGCTGATTGGTGTTTACAATCCCTGAGCTAGACACAAAGGTTCTCCACATCCCCATCAGATTAGTTAGATACAGAGTTTCCACACACAGGTTCTCCAAGGCCCCACCAGAGCAGCTAGATACAGAGTGTCGATTGGTGCACTCACAAACCCTGAGCTAAACACAGGGTGCTGATTGGTGTGTTTACAAACCTTGAGCTAGATACAGAGTGCCGATTGGTGTATTTACAATCCTTGAGCTAGACATAAAGGTTCTCCACGTCCTCACCAGAGCAGCTAGATACAGAGTGTCAATTGGTGTATTTACAATCCCTGAGCTAGACATAAAGGTTCTCCACGTCCTCACCCGAGCAGCTAGATATAGAGTGTCGATTGGTGCACTCACAAACCTTGAGCTAAACACAGGGTGCTGATTGGTGTATTTACAATCCCTGAGCTAGATATAAAGACTCTCCACGTCCCCACCAGACTCAGGAGCCCAGCTGGCTTCACCTAGTGGATCCCGCACCAGGGCTGCAGGTGGAGCTGCCTGCCAGTCCCGCGCCGTGTGCTCGCATTCCTCAGCCCTTGGGTGGTCGATGGGACTGGGCGCCGTGGAGCAGGGGGTGGTGCTCGTTGGGGAGGCTCGGGCTGCACAGGAGCCCATGGAGTGGGTGAGAGGCTCAGGCATGGCGGGCTGCAGGTCCCGAGCCCTGCCCCGCTGGAAGGCAGCTAAGGCTCAGTGAGAAATCGAGTGCAGCGCCGGTGGGCTGGCACTGCTGGGGGACCCAGTACACCCTCCGCAGCCACTGGCCGGGGTGCTAAGTCCCTCATTGCCCAGGGCCAGCAGGGCTGGCTGGCTGCTCCGAGTGCAGGGCCCACCAAGCCTACGCCCACCGGAACCCCAGCTGGCCCACAAGCGCCGCACGCAGCCCTGGTTCCCGCTCACGCCTCTCCCTCCACACCTCCCTGCAAGCTGAAGGAGTGGGCTCCAGCCTTGGCCAGCCCAGAAAAGGGCTCCCACAGTGCAGTGCGGGGGGCTGAAGGGCTCCTCAAATGCCACCAAAGTGGGAGCCCAGGCAGGGGAGGTGCCGAGAGCAAGAGAGGGCTCTGAGGACTGCTAGCATGCTGTCACCTCTCAAACCCACCTTCCCTTTCAGAGCAGAAGTGTGTGTGTGTGTGTGTGTGTGTGTGTGTTTGGGGGTCCATTCCACTCCGGGTGTGCAAATAGCCACTTTATTGTCTCCAAAAAACCTGCCCTTCCCTCTCCGTCTCTGGGCTCGCTGCAGTTCCCAGCTCAGCCGCTTGGCGACTCTCCATTCAGGAAGTGCCTTCTCAAAGGAAGCTGGTCCCAGCTGGCCTTGCGGCATGACTCAGCTTTTCTCTGTGATGTGTCGCGGAGTTGCCGATAGGGTTCGGTGTGGCGAGGAGGACCTGCTTCTCTCTTTGTGAGACAAGGGAGTGAGGGAGGAAGGAGGCCAAGGAGGAGGCCAGGACTGAGCAAGGACTAAAGTAAGACTGAAAGGGGAGGTGAGGGGTGGACTGGTTGGTGGCAGCAACCTGTACCGGAAGCGGCGGCGGCAGCCGAGGCGACGCACCGTGAGGCAGCTGCTTGACTAGGCCGCAGCCGCCATGGCGATGAACTTTGGGGACCATGCCAGCGGGTTCCGCCATGATGATGTGATCAGGTTCATCAACAATGAAGTCCTCAGGAACGGCGGCAGCCCAGCCTTTTACACGGCCTTCCGCTCGCGGCCGTGGAACGAGGTAGAGGACCGGCTTCGGGCCATTGTGGCCGACCCGCGGGTGCCCCGTGCCATTAAGAGGGCCTGTACCTGGAGCGCTTTGGCGCTGAGTGTGCAAGTGGCTGCGAGGCAGCAGGAGGAGCTGCTGTACCAGGTTTGGTGGCTGCAAGGGCATGTGGAGGAGTGCCAGGCGACCTCCTGGGCTCTAACTTCCCAGCTGCAGCAGCTGCGCCTGGAGCATGAGGAGGTGGCAACACAGCTGCACCTCACGCAGGCCGCCCTGCAGCAGGTGCTGAATGAGCGTGATGGGTTATGCGGGAGGCTGCTAGAAGTTGAGAGATCCATGCAGGTCTATCCGATGCCTCAGGATTTTGTACCCGGTCCAGAAGCCGGCCAGTATGGGCCTGTGGCCGGGACTTTAAATGCAGAACAGAGTGAGGCGGTGGCCACAGAGGCACAGGGAATGCCACATTCGGAAGCCCAGGTAGCAGCCCCAACAGCTGTGTATTACATGCCTGAACCCCAGAGTGGCAGGGTCCAGGGCATGCAACCTCTTCTGCTAATGCAGGCACCTCATCCAGTCCCATTCCATATGCCTTCACCAATGGGACTGCCATACTCAACACCTCTACCACCCCCAGTAGTAATGGAATCAGCAGCAGCAATTGCACCACAGATGCCTCCTGCAGGGATCTATCCACCTGGTCTTTGGGCCACAGTGGGATCCCAGGAGGAGACGGCCCCTCCGTGGGACCAGAAGTGCCATGGCCAGGATGGATATCCTGAGAATTTCCAGGGAGTATATCACCCAGGAGATAACAGAAGCTGCAACCAAAAGGAAGGTTCTGAGTGTCCCCAAGGAATGACTTCCCAAGGGGACAGCAGCAGCCACAGCCTGAAGAAAGATCCAGTGATGCAAGAGGGCACAGCTCCCCCAGAGTTTAGCAGGAGCCACAGCCTGGAGAAAAAACCAGTGATGCCCAAGGAGATGGTCCCCCTAGGGGACAGCAACAGCCACAGCCTGAAGAAAGATCCAGTTGTGCCCAAGGAGATTGTCCCCATAGGGGACAGCAACAGCCACAGCCTGACGAAAAATCCAGTTGTGCACAAGGAGATGGTCTCCCTGGGGGACAGCAACAGCCACAGCATGAAGAAAGATCCAGTGATGCCCCAGAAGATGGTCCCCCTGGGGGACAGCAACAGCCACAGTCTGAAGAAAGATCCAATGATGTGCCAGGAGATGGTCCCCCTGGGGGACAGCAACAGCCATAGCCTGAAGAAAGATCCAGTGGTGGCCCAGGGCACAGCTCCCCTGATGTATAGCAGGAGGCACAGCCAGAAGAAAGTGCCAATGATGCCCAAGGAGATGGTCCCCCTGGGGGAAAGCCACAGCCACAGCCTGAAGAAAGATCTAGTTGTGCCCAAGGAGCTGGTCCCCCTGGGGGACAGCAAGAGTCACAGGATGAAGAAAGATCCAGTGATGCCCCAGAAGATGGTCCCCCTGGGGGACAGCAGAAGCCACAGCCTGAAGAAAGATCCAGTGATGCCCCAGAACATGATCCCCCTGGAGGACAGCAACAGCCACAGCCTGAAGAAAGATCCAGTGATGCCCCAGAACATGATCCCCCTGGAGGACAGCAACAGCCACAGTCTGAAGAAAGATCCAATGATGCACCAGGAGATGGTCCCCCTGGGGGACAGCAACAGCCATAGCCTGAAGAAAGATCCAGTGGTGCCCCAGGACACAGCTCCCCTGATGTTTAGCAGGAGACACAGCCTGAAGAAAGTGCCAGTGATGCCCAAGGAGATGGTCCCCCTGGGGGACAGCCACAGCCTGAAGAAAGATCCAGTGATGCCCCAGAACATGGTCCCCCTGGAGGACAGCAACAGCCATAGCCTGAAGAAAGATCCAGTGGTGCCCCAGGGCACAGCTCCCCTGATGTTTAGCAGGAGACACAGCCTGAAGAAAGTGCCAGTGATGCCCAAGGAGATGGTCCCCCTGGGGGACAGCAACAGCCATAGCCTGAAGAAAGATCCAGTGGTGCCCCAGGGCACAGCTCCCCTGATGTTTAGCAGGAGACACAGCCTGAAGAAAGTGCCAGTGATGCCCAAGGAGATGGTCCCCCTGGGGGACAGCCACAGCCTGAAGAAAGATCCAGTGATGCCCCAGAACATGGTCCCCCTGGAGGACAGCAACAGCCATAGCCTGAAGAAAGATCCAGTGGTGCCCCAGGGCACAGCTCCCCTGACGTTTAGCAGGAGACACAGCCTGAAGAAAGTGCCAGTGGTGCCCCAGGGGACAGCCTCCCTGGGGTTCAGCAGAATCCACAGCCTGAAGAAAGAGTTAGTGATGCCCGAGGAGATGGTCCCCCTGGGGGACAGCAACAGCCACAGCATGAAGAAAGATCTAGTGATGCCCAAGGAGATGGTCCCCCTAGGGGACAGCAACAGTCACAGCCTGAAGAAAGATCCAGTGGTGCACCAGGAGGTGGTCTCCTTGGGGGACAGCAACAGCCACAGCCTGAAGAAACATCCAGTGATTCCCCAGGGCACAGCCTCACTGAGGTTTAGCAAGAGCCACAGCCAGAAGGAAGATCAGGAGAGGCCCCAGGTAACCCCTCTGGAGGATAGCAAGAGCCATGGTGTGAAAAATAGCCCATGGAAACACCAGCCTCAGGGGCAGAAGGTCAAGGAACAAAAAAGGAAAAAGGCCTCAGAATCCCAGCAACAGAAGCCTGCCTCATGCTCCAGCCCAGTGAATTGGGCCTGCCCATGGTGTAATGCCATGAATTTTCCACGGAACAAGGTGTGCTCTAAATGCAAGAGAGTCCGTATGCCAGTTGAGAATGGCAGCGTTGACCCAGCGTAAACTCATTGATTTCAGGAAGGTAAGTAAGATGGAAGCACTCCAAAGAGAAACCAATTTCCCAGGACCCCCTTCTGATAAAAAAGTAACTTATTTACTTAACAGAAAATTTGAAACCAAAATTGTAGAGAAAATTAGATAAAATAATCCATTATCCTATTACCCAAATTAAGTACTTTTTATCATTGTGAGTATACATACACACAAATACGTATGTATTTATTTTCTTATTTTATTCATTTATTTGAATAAAGAGAGACTACTTCTGAGTATAACACTCAGTCTTTAATTAGGGGATTTCTCCTAATTGCTGTCAACTTTTTCAGGTAGTAGATTGTGGTTGGCTGATACTAATTGGTTGACACCCTGGAGAAGCTGAAGTTATAGTTATAAAGCCTGTTTTAAATCAACCATTTTCTGTTTTTTTTTTTTCTCTTAACCTCCTTTTCCTGAAAATGCCATGTATTTGGCTGGGAGCAGCCATGTGATTTTAGAGTTCCAGGCTATATTGTATTCTAGAAACACTGCTTTTCCTTGCAAGTGCTATCATTCCTTTTGAAATTACTGCAGTGTTGATTTTTGCTTATTTTTGTTTTATTAGTTTTACAGGTGAAGTCCTGTTTTTGTGTCTTAGCTCCACCAAACTTGCTTGTTTCTGAAGAAGCTGAACCTGTGACATTAGAAGATCTGCCAAAGCCACAAGAAGTAACACCTCAATTCTGATGGACCCACACCTCACTGAGACCCCAACTGGCTGCAGTCAAGAAGAGTGAAAGGAAGTCAGGGAAGAAGAGATCATTTGACACTCATTAGGGGGAAAAGGGAGAACAAAATTGTTTTTGTAGAGTTGAATTTTTTCATTGGTATGGGAATTAACTTAGAAAAGTTTGGGGAGTTGTAGTGTTAAATTCTATAGATGGTAGCAACTTTGATGAATTTCACTTAATTCATTAAATGAGAAGTTTAGGGAAAGAGTTTAGGGGGTTGTAGTGTTAAATTCTATAGCTGATAGCAACTTTAATTAATTTCATTTAATTCATTAAAGAAATAGTTATTGCCTAGTATGTTTTGGGAGCTAGACTTGTATGTTATTATCTAGTACACACAGCATAATCTTTTATTGTGAATTCGGTTAGAAGATAGGAAAGAGCATAATTTGGCATACACATTAGATCAGGGATGTATTCTTTGCCTTGCATATAGCGTGACCTTGGATAAAACCAATTGAAGTAACATCCAGATCCATTTCTGTGGTTCTGGGGCCAATGCGAAAGAGACTTTCATGAAAGGTTTTTTGTTTTGTTTTTGTTTTTTTTAATTTTTTGGAGAAATGAGGTCTCATTTTGTCGCCCAGGCTGGAGTGCAGTGGCATGATCATCATAGCTCACTGCAGCCTCAAACTCCTGGGCTCAAGTGATCCTCTGCCTCAGCCTCCCGAGTGGCTGTGAGCCACCATGCCCAGCCCTTATGAAAGGTCTTGAGTAACCAAACTGCTTGTCTCATTGGTCTCAGGTGAGATAAATGAGCAGTGACAAAGTTTGGGAAAGTGTCCTCACAAAAATGCAGGCAGAGCTTTTCTGAATTCCTCTGCTGATTTCCTCCTTTGAGAAGGATAGCTATTTTCCTGGTTGCCCACCAGCCTGCCTGAAAGACCTGGGGTGTCTTGAAGAAAAACAGTGCTTTGGGGAGTGTTCACTACACACGCTAGCTTTCAGCCTCAGGCTGCCCCCATCCCAAGTCCCTTTTCAGTCAGCAGTGGATGAAGAACAAAATGGATTCCAAGGACAAACATTGGGGGCACCAGGTTATGGATGGTGTTTCTCTTGGGAGGATAAATTGGGTTAAAAATAGAGCTAGACTGGGGCAAGCACTTTTGGGAATACCCCAGGACCCCCACCTCTCCCTCTTTGGTGTGTTCTCTGCAGGCTTACCCAAGGCAACTGCTGCAAGGCAAGGAAGGAGCCAGGGTGGAGCCCAGGGGTGGTTGGTTAGATCTGCCTTCAATCCAAGCTAAAGATGTCCTTGAGTTTCCCAATGAGATCCCACCCAGCTCACCAAAATCAATGTTTGTCAGGGATTTTCTGGGCCTAACTAGTAATAAAGAATGTGCATTTGACTGCTGTGTCTTCTGTGTAGTGTGTATCTCAGGGCAGGTTTGCTCAGAGGTGGCAGCTTAAATCCGCATCTGCCCTTCATCCCACTGAAGTGAAGAAAAGTTCAATCTCATTCACTATTGGAGGGCCCCTCCTCTTCTAAGGAGTTACCCAAGAATGGGGGCAAGGTACTATGTGGACTTAGACAATGATTCCCCCCTACACTCATTGTCTAAGTCCACATAGTACCTTGAAGGTGGGCATTTCTGCTGCTGTGGGGCCAGTGGGAGATGGAAATGTCTGCTGATGGTGGAAGCCTTGATGCCTAGGGTCCAGCCTCCTTACATGCACCATGTACCCATTCTCCTTTGGGGCCCTGCTTTCTTTCTGGGGTCTTTGCATAGAGTAAGGGGTGCTTAGTTATCATGAGCAGAAATCTCCTTCTTTTCTTTCTGTTCTCTAAGTCACTCTTCTGTCAGCATAATTCTTTCAAGATGTTCAGGATTAAAGAAAACCAAATACAGGCTGGAAGCATAAACCTCCCCTAAGATAAGGCAGGGGAAAGATCTGGGCATCTTCTTGGAATGAGTATGGTGAGATAAAGGGTGAACAACAAAAATAATCTTACCATACCAGAAATTTTTCTCAGAGATGTGACAAACAGTAAGGGCTTTGTTTACCTGGGACAAGAGTACAAGAAAAGAAGGGGGCTGTTGGGGAACAAACACCTTAACTTTTGTTGGGGAGAGGGACAGATACTATAATATTTTGTATATCCTAATGGCTCCTGTATGTTTGGGAATATGGGTATGTGCAGGTATTTTTTTTTTCCTACTGGGTCTAAATCTAGAGCTGATATGATACAGGAGGAAGAGTAGAAATTGTAGTGGTGGAGGAAGAGGGGAAGGACTCCAGGTGCTGCCAGTAGTGATGGTAGGAGTGGGCCTGGTGCTGCTGCCTTGCAAGCACTTACGGAGGTGGTGGTGATGGATGAGGAACATGGGTATTGCTCTGAGCAAGTGAATGCAGGGGAAGTGGGAAGAGGCCTATTAGAGTCTTTGAGGGCCTCAGAACAAGAGAAGCAATATTTTCTCTTACTGCTCACCCATTCCTACACTTCTTCATACCCTGCTAGTGAGCCTAGGCAGGAGCAGCATTGCCTTCACACTCCCATTTCCATTTCTACCCTTTAATATAAAAGCAGAATCAAAAGAAGCAGCTTGAATAAGGGCATGTCCTGTGTGTGGGACATCAGTTGGCAGGATCGAATGTGGAAAATGCTTCTCCGCCCGCCTCAGACTCCCGAAGTGCCTGGATTATAGGCGTGAGCCACCATGGCCAGCCTAAAAAGCACTTTTTAAGGGACCTTGGAGTTTTTCCTCAAATGGCTCAACCCTGCAAGCCGGACTGGTCCCAGCACCCCTACCAGAGAGCTACAGTCAATGCTAGGGGTCCAAGTGCCCCCAGCAGACTCCCCCCAGCTTTCTCCTGGAAGAGGGTTGGGGCCAGCAGGGAATTCTGGGGTTGACACTCATGGTCCAGGAGCCTTCTGGTGCCCAGAGGGTAGAGTGGAAGGTCTGGGGGTGCTCAGCCCTGCTGTGTCCTGGACAGGCTGGTCCCCATGGAAGCTCAGAAGGAAAGTGTGCAAGAGCAGGTCAGGAAGGGACCTAGTGGTCCGCTCACTGCCTAACACCCAGCGGTGCTCTCAGCAGCACCCAGCAGCACTCTGCTTCACGTGGCACTGCTTGCAGAAGAGATGGTTGTCCAGGGGGTAGCAGCCTTGGTTCCTGGGCTCCACAGACAGGAGGATCCTGCAGTCCTCACACCTGTAGCAATTTACATGGAAGTTTCTTCCCATGCACTTGATTTTGAAGGCATCTTTCCCATCCCGAGGAATAATGGGATTCTCACAGATGCTGCATACGGGAGCAAATTTCTTGTAGAATTCGTCTAGGCAGTACATCTCGTTTTGGCTGCCCAGGGCAGAGCTCTCATCCTGGATGCACCGGGCACAGGTCACACACATGAAGCAGGAGGGGTGGAAGGCCTGGCCCAGGGCCCTGATGATGTGCTCCCGGACCACCTGGCCACACTTGCCGCACTTCTCCAGTGTGTCCTGGTAGCAGGGTTTGCAGAGGGGTCGCCCATCCTGGTAGAAGCTCTGCCCAGCTAGCTGGCGGTGGCAGGTGTGCCACGTGAAGCACTGGGCATGGTACTGCCTCTTTATGGCCTCCACAGCCAGCTCTTGCGGGGGACACGGTTTTGTGGCAGAAGGCACAGATGTCTGTGGACGACTCTCTCTCAACAGGCTCTGCTGGGGAAGGCGGAAGCTCTTCCTCCCCAGGCCCGAGGGGACTGGGCCCAGGCTGGACTGAAGGTCCCTCCACTGGGGCCTGTGGTCGGGGTGGGGGCGAGGGCAGGTGCAACCGCTCTAAGTCTGCAATGAGTGAGGCCCCCATTGGAGCAGGAGCCTCTTCTTCAGAAGACAGGAGCACCGGAGGGGGCAGTGGAGGGGGTGGGACGAGGTCCAGGTCAGGAAGTGCGTCCTCACCATCCAGGACAGGAGGAGGGGGTGAGCATCCTCCATTGGAGAGCTGCAGAGGTGCAGCTGGCACTGTGGCTGCAGCCCTGCCAGGGGGTGCCCAGGGGCTGGGCTTTCCCGCTAAGCCAGCTCCGGGTGCCTTCATGGGGGCAGGAGCCTCCCAGGGGAGGCCACATCAGGCCTCACAAACCGCCTGCCCCCTTCCTCAACCACAGCTAAATCGTGGCACAGGGGTGCAAGGGTGATAAAGACAGACGATGCCACACTCTTCTCAGGCTTTGAGGCCATGGCTTCAGCTCCTGGTGTGGCTGGGATCCAATTCTCCTGGAAGGTCCGAAGGCCCGGAAGTTCAGGCCAGCTCCACTTGTCAGCCCGCGCCCGGGGGCTGCCATCCGATGCCCTCATCCATAGGATTCGACCACCTTGACTTGGTTAACTGGAGGTTGCTTGCTTGAACCGTTGCCTCATGTGCTTCGATAAAGTAATGCATGAAACCACCAACTGGAATAAAACTTAAAAATTCACTAGAAAACAGTGTAGGCTCAGCATTTGACAGCCAGATAGAGTTTTCTCAGAGAAATTTCCATATTTTTATTACCATCTAGAAAAAAGTAATACTCATCGTATTAGTTTGCTAGGGCTGCCTTAACAAAGTACCACAGACTGGATGGCTTAAACAACAGAAATTTAGCCTCACAGGTTTGAAGGCTAGAAGCCCGAAACGAAGATATTGGCAGGGCTGGTTCTTTCTGAGGGCTATGGGGGGATACTCTGTTCTAGGCCTTTCTCCTGGGGGTGTGAATGTCTGTCTTGTCCCTGTGTCTCTTCACATTGTTTCCCCTCTGTGTGTGTCTGCCTTTGTCCAAAATTCTGCTGTTTATAAGAACAGCAGTCATATTGGATTAGGGGCCTCCCTAGTGAGCTCATTGTAACTAATTAAATAAGGTCACATTCAAAAGTACTGGAGTTTAGAACTTCAACATGAATTTTTCGGGGGGACACAATTCAATCCATAACACTAATAAATATAGTTTTTCTACTTAGACATCTGAATTTTAGAACAATTAAGACTATTAAAACTCTTGGAACTCTTGTGTAGTATAGTGGATAAACAGATTTTGGATCCTAGCACCGGCAATTGCTAGCTATGTGATATTAAGCAAGTTGCTTATTCTTTCTCTGACTCAATTTCCCCATCTATAAAATGGGAATAATTATACCTACAGAATACAGGTGTTAATTAATATATGAAAACATGCTTAGCACGTACTAGTTTCAGTTTATAAAACCATTTGTATGATTATTCTTCCTTACCCAGAAGTAACAGTGAAACCCAACTGATTGGCATTAAACAGGCAGTCTCTCTGAATAGCTATCAAAAAATACATATATATGGACATGTACAAATTTATAGTTTCTCACTAGTGAATGGCAAAGCTTGTTAATATCCATGATTCATTTAAAAAAACAGTATTCATTTGGCAGAGAGGAACATAGTGCTAAAGAGTCTTGAGTTCCGTTCTATCGAGGGCAATTAACTTCACTCATTATTTCCATGGTTTAACCAATTAAGTGAGTCAGTTACAGACCAATTGGTACACATATCACCCATTGAATATAACGAAAAACATTGCAAGATAAATCAGCTTTTTAGTTTTTATGGTAATTTCATCTCTTGGTGCTCCCTGTTCTATAAAGAAGAGAAAACATCCTTGATTTTGGAGGAAGTGAAAATGTAACTAGCAACACATTAATTTGATTCCAGCAGCTAAAATTTCAGTTGAATGCACTACAATTTCTTTATAATTGCAAGCATTGTGGTGTGGCTAGGCTACCATGCCTTTTTCTCTGACTGATCATCTTCCTATACTGTAATCAGATTCTAAGGATCAGTCTGTAGCTAAAATAAGAGTGATTTTTATTGTTGATTTCATATAATTAATATGTGAGGGTAGTACATTGGAGCTTTTCATTATAAACACTATGGTAATTGATCATTCCAACTATTGGTTTGAATAACTTAAATGTAACCTGTAATTTCCACAACCTGAAATCAAGAAGGTACATTTATTTCTAATTAAATGGATGCAAAAATAAAACCTAGCTAAAATGTGCAAATAAAAACAATAGTTTTAAGTACTGTATTGGTTATCTATTGCTGTGTAACAAATTACCAGAATTTAGCAGTTAAAGTAATGCACATTTATTATCTCAGTTTCTGTGGGTCAGGAATCTGGGTATAGCTCAGCTGGGACCTCTGCTTTAGGGTCTCCCACAAAGCTGCACTAAAGTTGTAAGCCAGGGCTGGGAGCTCATCTGAAGTCGCCACTGTGAAAAGATCCATTTCCAAGCTCACTCATGTAGTTATTGGCAGGTGCGGTAGACAGAATAATGGTCACTGAAGATGTATGTGTCCTAATCCTTGGAAAACATGAATATGTTATTTCACATGGCAAAGGAGAATTAAGATTGCTAATCAACTATCCTTAAAATAGGGAGATTATCCTGGATAATCTGGGTTGGTGCAATGTCATAATAAGGGGTATAAAAGGTGGAAGTGAGAGGCAGAAGAGTAGTCAGTATGAGAGTGATGCAATGTGAGAAAGATATTCATACACTTATGAATGTTCCGTACTAATTTTGATAGGGGTATTGAGTTCTTAACTTACTTTGTGTCGACTGCAGGTCATATCCTGTATTCAGTGAACCACATACCCTAACATTTTTCATTGCAGAATTAAATTGATCAAGGATTTCATAGGAAAAGTAACTAAAGGACTTAAATTATAGATTATTACAAAATACAGAAACCTCTCCTAATCTCTTATCAGAGACACAGAAACAGAGCTTTAAATTAAATAAGCTGATTCTTGAAAACCATGTACACAAAGGTCTTACATGTGTCTAAGGCCTTCAGCTCTTTTTCGTGGAGTTTATCATGACCCTGAATAGCTCAATATTTAGACATGTAGAAACAAGTCTCAACTGAGAAAAGCCACTTCTCCCCTAATTTGTTATAAGTAAAAGATTGATTGCAAGCACTGAAAGTGAAGATTATGTAATGAGATTTTTCCTCAAAAATGACAACTTGACAATGATTCAAACTGGACATCCTTTTATCTTTATAAGAAAAACAGCATGAATATGTTGATTTAATTTCCTCATCATAATAATGAATTACATGACCAGCTAAAACATTGTTAAAGAATTCACATATTATCATATTCCACCCCGGGGAATACTTGAATGCTTTATAGAGCTACTTTGAGCTAAGATTATATTTAAAGAACCCACAAACATATTTTTATTTGGAAAAAAAAAAACTCACTCTATGGCCCTTTGTTATATTCCTCACTTTTCAAAGAAAGATATGACATTCTTTACTAGATTGGAATGAGTAACTCACCTTTTGTTTTGCCTACAGTTTGCTTTTACAGGTTGAATGCTTTATGTTTGATTAAAATAATTTATGAATGTGCTTATGTGTGTCTGTGTGTGTGTGCATAGGGTCTCTCATATATGTAAAATGGAAGACAGACCAACTTTTCTGTGAAGCTTAAGGCCCTAGCTTCTCCTGGCCAGAGAAAAGGTGACCAAGTAAACAAATGAATAATTGCTGTGGCATTTTACAAATGCACATAGCATTCATTTTCTCTTCATCTTTGTTTGCACTTGTGATATTCTGTGATACAT
This sequence comes from Homo sapiens, assembly GCF_000001405.40. NCBI lineage: Eukaryota > Metazoa > Chordata > Mammalia > Primates > Hominidae > Homo > Homo sapiens. The sequence continues at coordinate 125,331,427 of NC_000023.11, forward strand.
TATATGGTCAAAATAGAATCAATACTGTCCACTAGTAATGATGAAAAAGTGACTGAAGGAGTATTTGAAAATATGGTTGTCTTCTATAGCATAACAAACAACATATGATGTGGTAGGATTATCTCTTTTTACCTTTAAAAAATTATTTAAATGCAGATGTGCATGAAATTACTAAAATAAAAGCAATATATTGGGGCATTTGTGTTCACTTATTGACACCATTTTCTGTTGCCTTTTGATATTTATAGCTGTGACTTTAGACTGCACAAAACACATAGCTTCTGGAAATCATTAATTCATGTATTTGTATGTACACTGTTGTGGATAAATATTTTATTTTGACCACCTAATATTTTAAGGATTAATGTTTCATGATGATTGGATGTTATGCTATTGTTTGGTGTGCCAAACTGTGCTATGATACATTAAAGGATCCCTTACTGCCTAAATGCTGTATAGTTGCTTTCCCAGAAGCAGTGATAAAGGTGGTTAGAAATGTAAGAATGAATAATACCATTGATGACATGATTAGTGGAACCAGTCATTTTATTTGGGATGCTTTTTTAGACTCTCTGTTTTGATAAGTGGCCTGCCAAAGCAAATAAATGACAAGAAAGAGCCTGTTCACAGGGGAATTTGTAAATAAATGACAAAAATTCAGCAGTGCTTTGGTAATTCAACTTTTTGGTGATTTACATATTATTTTTGTTGTTTTAATGATTGAATAATCTAAAGACTATCATCTTATTAGGGGTGGTCCTAATGGGATTTTTCTTTGTAATCAACAAACCAGTCTGCCAAAGTGGGCAGTATTTGAAGTAAAGGGGCTGTTTGCCAGCCACCAAACAAACAGAACATCTGGATGTCTGCAGCCATCTCAAATTTGCTCCCAGTAGATCAGTCTGAAGTTGGGGATTCAGGTTGCATTTAGCCAAAACCAAAATAAAAAGTGAAAAAATAATCTGTCATACCTTTAGTGTTTTATATGTATGAAAAAAACTATACAGATATTTTGAAAATACTCAGACTGAATTTGTCCCTCTAAATCTCTTAGGGACCAGAGACATATTAGTATTCATGTAAGTACTTGACACTTATCTGGGGTTTGTTATACTTATTCCTTTAAAATACACATTTATACTACTATAAGTTTTAAGTTTGCTTGATGCCAAAGCAGTGTCAGCTAATATATATAATTTAAAATGTTTAATGTAAGGATTTGTAATCCTGTGGAGTTTTTACATTCCTCCTTAAAAAAAAATTTAGGGACAATCCTAAAGTCATAAAATAATATATAGTATATACAGTAATTATTTCTAAAATTATTTACTTTGAAGGTTGAAAAGGACCTTGAAGGTCATTGTGTACTAAAACATTCTGACAGTTTAATCCAATTTGCGACATTCCTGCAAAGTGATTGTTTTGTTTCCAAGTGAATACTTCACTCTTTCTTTTTACCCAGGAACTTACAACCTCCAGAGGCAGCAAAACTTTTCCCTATATTTGGTAACCTTCACCAAGGTGAAAGCTGACGTGTGGTAACTTTCACCCAACTGTTCCAATTTCTTCTTCGAGAGTTTTACATAAGGAATTTAAGTATTCATCCATTGGCTCCTCTTTTTCAGATTGAACATTTCTAGTTCCTTTACCTGTTCTTCATATAAAATGGTTTCAAATTCTTTCTTCAGTTGACTGCTTTCATACAAACAAACTTTTAAGTTATGGCTCATGGAACTGAGCACTATACTCAGTTATGGTCTGTGAAAGATTGTCAACTCCTTTATTTAAAATACTATGGTTGTATTAACATAAACTATAACCCAGTATTAATTATAACCTAATTATAATTCAAATTTTAAGTGTGGACTCATTTTGAATTCATTTTAAGCTAAAATATTCAAGTCTTCTTCTTTTCTTTTTTTTGCTTTTTCTTTTTTCCTTTTAAAAATATATGCATTGTTGCTAAGTCATGTCTTTCCCTTGCTGTACTTGTATAGTTGGCTTTTTGGATCTGAATACCAGACCTTATACTTATCCCTATTATAATTTATCTTGTTAGATTTCACTTGTCCTTTGTACCAGTCTGTGATAATTCATAGGGATTCTGATTTTGTCATTTAAAACATTTTCTCCCAGTATTAGTTTGTTTTCACACTGCTATAAAGATACTACCTAAGACTGGGTAATTTATAAAGAAAGGAGGTTTAATTGACCCACAGTTCCATATGGCTGGGGAGGCCTCAGGAAACTTAACAATCATGGAGGAAGGTGAAGGGGAAGCAAGGCACGTCTTACATGGCAGCAGAAAAGAGAGAGAATGCAGGGGAAACTGCTACTTTTAAAACACATCAGATCTCATGAGAACTCCCTTACTGTCACAAGAACAGCATGGGAGAAACTGCCCCCATGATCCAGTGACCTCCCACCAGAACCCTTCCTTGACATGTGGGGATTACAATTCGAGATGATATTTGGGTGAGGACACAAAGCCAAACCATCACCCCCCAACCCAGATTTGTGGTATCTACCAACTTGCTATTTATATCATTCATATTGGCATGTTGCTGGAGATCTCCTTTTAGTTTAACATTACTCCATTTCAAGTTGACATTATCCCATGAAATAGCATTTTTTTTGTTGTTTTAGTCATTCACATTCTAGTCATTCGAATTTAGTCATTGCATCCTTTGTTTTAGTTCTGTATACTATCATCTGGGTCACATTTCTCTATCCTGTTAAAATCTGATATCTAAGCTGGGCACGGTGGCTTATGCCTGTAATCCCAACACTTTGGGAGGACGAGGCAGGTGGATCGCATGAACTCAAGAGTTTGAGATCAGCGTGGGCAACAAGATGAAACCCAGTCTCTACAAAAAAATAGAAAAAATTAGCCAGGTGTGGTGGTGCATGCCTGTGTTCCCAGCTACGTGGGAGGCTGAGGTGGGAGGATCACCTGAGCCCAGGGAGGTCAAGGCTACAGTAAGCCATGATCACGCCACTGTACTCCAGCCTGGGAGACAGAGTGAGAACCTATATCAAAAAAATATCTGATATCTACAGGCACTATTTTGGGTTATATCCCTGGTCTACCAATTATTAACCCTTCTAGAAGAGAAAATGAAAATTAAAAAGAGGATTGTTTTTTTCAAAATATATTAACCCAGCATATAAGTTTTTCTGCAGGTGGTAGGACATAGTTCTGAAGGCATCAGAGTGATGTTTCACCTGTTATTATACTACTTCCTGAAATAAAATAAGCAGTTATTTATTTATTGATGGTCTACTTTATTTAGAATATTGTCATAGGCAAGTAGAGCACCAAAAATAAATATATGATCCTTTTCACTGAAACACATTGTGTTTTATGGTCACAGACTGCCCTACTCCAATGTTGCCTACTCACCCTTGAATTTGATGGCAGTGATCACAAACGGGACTGACTGGGTAAGACATTATGAGTAGCACATTGTGAATACATCCTGTTAGAAATAAAAACCAAATCCCAAAATCCAAATATAATGTAGTGTTTTTCGAAATTTTTTTACCACAAAAGAAGTGAATTTTACATTATGGCTTTACACACACACAAACACACACACACACACACACACACACACACACACTATGTATACATATGTACATACATGTATATGTGTGTATGTGTGTGTATGTATATTCAAGTTGAGTATCCCTTATTTAAAATGCTTGGAACCAGAAGTGTTCAAATTTAAGATTTTCCCAGATTTTGGAATATTTGCATTATACTTAAAGGTTCAGTATCCCTAATCCAGAGATTTGAAATCTGAAATGCTCCAAAGAGCATTTCCTTTAACTGTTATGTGAGCACGCAAAAAGTTTTAGATTTGGGATTTTCAGATTCAGAGTGCTCAACCTGTAATTGTATCTGTATATGTGTGTATATAATACAGAAAACAAAATCATATATTTCACAATAATACGTTTTCCCCATTGCCAAATTTTCTAAACCGGTTTAGTCTATTTAAAAATTTTGTTTGTAACCACTGCATTGCTTTTCTGATTTTCATTCTGTGACTGTTCTAAGGTGGAATCTCTAATGATTGTGGGTCTACCACATCATCCTTATACTTACTACAGGGAGACATATACTCAAAGGCAGCAGAGATATTTTCCCAGTCTAAGCACAATGAGGATTTGCAGCCCTCTATTATCTAGGCTACCATCTCCCCTGTATGATCTATTATGATTTTTTTTGTAGAGTAGGGCACTCAAGAAAACAATATTTATTTGTCTATTCTCCCTTGGAACAGGATAGATGTGGGTAGACTGTTGGAGACAGGAATGGAAGTGAACATTTATCAAGTGCCTATCATGTACCAGACATTAATTAAGGTGTTTTTAAAATTTGGTTAGTTTGACCTTCAAAAAATGTGAGGATCAGAGACTAGAGTAATCTGCCCAAGATCACCACACTCCTTTATCCAAGAAATCTGGACTTAGGCCTAAAGTCTTTCTGACTTCAAAACCCATGTATATTCATGACAATCAAAAATATCTCCAGATGTGATACTTAATATTGAGTGTCAACTAGGTTGAATTGAAGCAGGCAAAGTGTTGTTCCTGGGTGTGTATGTGAGGGTGTTGTCAAAGGAGATAAACACTTGAATCAGTGGACTGGGAAAGGCAAACTCACCCTCAATCTGCATGGGCACCATCTAATCAGCTGTCAGCATGGCTACAATAAAGCAGGCAGGAGAAGATGGAAGAACAGACTTGCTGAGTCTTCCAGCCTTCTTCTTTCTCCCATGCTGGATGCTTCCTGCCCTCAAATATCGGAATCCAAGTTCTTCAGCTTTTGGACTCTTAGGCCTACGCCAGTGGTTTGCCAGGGGCTCTCGGGCCTTAGGCAACAGACTGAAGTCTGCACTGTCGGCTTCCCTACTTTTGAGGTTTTGGGACTCAGACTGACTTCCTTGCTCCTCAGCTTGCAGATGGCCTATTGTGGGACTTCACCTTGTGAGTGTGTGAGTCAATACTCCTTCATAAACTCCCTTTCATACAAACATCTATCCTATTAGTTCTGTCCCTCTAGAGAACCCTGACAAATACACCCTATAATGCCAAATATACTTGCAGCCCCACTGAGGAGTCGGGCAAGGTACAAAATTACCCCATTAAAAACCACTGCTTTAGGTCACAAGCTTGTAAGTGGGGAGCTAGTATTCAAATTTGAAGGAAATTAAAACATTTTACCCCAAGATATATTTCTTTGACATATTTTGAAATGGCTGCCAATTGGCCAGCAAACAGAAGTGGCCTTGCAAAGCTGTTTTCTGGTGGGAAAAATTTGCATCTGTAGAGCATCTCCATTAATAAAGCCATACCGCTGCTTTCCACATCTTTCCTAGATCCAGGAAGGACTGAGAGTCTCACACCTTAAGAAACCTGAAAAGAAACATTTACCATCTATTCCCTCTGAAAGACACTTCATCTTCATCGAGACAAGCCTCTTCCTTTCTTCCTCCTATAACCTGCCTTGCCACTAAAGCCTGTTTTTTGACATACTTTAAGTTAACATTCTTTCTGTAATTTCAAAATGGTATACAAGTTTCTGTTACTTATTGGAAAGTTGAGTCATCATTTAGAAGGCGCTCATGTCTACACATTAAATAAATTTACATTCCTTTTCTCCTATTAACATGCCTCATGCCAGTGTGAACCCCAAAAATCTGAGACAGGTCTCAGTTAATTTAGAAAGTTTATTTTGCCAAGGTTGAGGACACATGCCTGTGACACAGCCACAAGAGGTCTTGAGGACATGTGCCCAAGGAGGTCAGAACACAGTTTGGTTTTATGCATTTTAGGGAGAAAAGAGACATCAATCAACATATGTAAGATGAACATTGTTTCGTTCTGGAAAGGCAGAACTACTCAAAGCGAGGAGGGGGCTTCCAGGTCATAGGTGGATAAGAGACAAATGGTGGCATTCTTGTTAGTTTCTGATTAGCCTCTCCAAAGGAGGCAATCAGATATGCATTTATCACAGTGAGCAGAGGGGTGACTTTGAATAGAATGGGAGGCAGGGTTGCCCTAAGCAGTTTCCAGCCTGACTTTTCCCTTTAGCTTAGTGACTTTGGAGCCCCAAGATATTTTCCTTTCACACAAGTGACTTTTTAGTAAACTTTTGGGGAACCGAGAACCTATGGCTTCCACTAACTGAAGTATTTGATTCTAAATGACATGATTTTCAACATTATGTGACACTGTAGAATGTGCCATACATAAGGCATAAACGGTAAGCAGGAAAAAAAAGGGTACCTGCTGTGGGAAGTTAGGTCTGGATGCCAAACTTGACCTAATTCACATATTTTTAACTGGAAAACTCACCATAATTGGCTCCTTATATTAGAGCTCCATACTACTAAGGGGAATGTAATAAGCATGAGGGCTCCAGGCCCTTTCTGAAATTAGTTAAAAGAGCTTCCAGGTCAGGGACACACATGTGCAGGTGGTAGGAAGAACTGCAGGACATCAGGCCCTTTAGCATTTTCTCAAAGTACTCAAAGCAATAGAAGTAATTCTGCAAAGCTCTGACATGAACCAAGATATGTGGATATACTCGAACTACTTTTTGTTGACCCACTAAAGTGAAGGTACTAGAGGATCAGGGTAGACATCTTCAAATTCATTTAAAAATGGTAGGAATCTGAGATTCTCATTAATGTGCTTAGTTCTCAGAGAGAGTTATATTCTGAACCTCCTTTCAGTTCAAGAGAAATATTAAGCAACAAAATGAAAACCAAAAGAAGGCAAATTTTGGACCCTGGAACTCTGCACCTAGGCACCTTCCACATGATTTACTGCTCACAGTGCAGAATACAAATAATGGCCATGCCAGCATGTGAAAGCTTAAAATACATTCTAATGAAGATCACATTGTGAACATTGCCAAGGCAGAATAAAATGCAATCAGGATTTAAATGTGTCTAAAATAATAGCTCCTTGGATTCAAGCACACTGATTAATGTCAGAGACACTTATGAAATGTTGTTGCCTGGTCATCAGTGTTATTTTTCTTGTGGAACATTTTGTACAAGAAGCAATAAATGAGGGCTAATAAACTAAGAAAAGAATACCTTATTCTATAAAATTAACATGACTCAGGTGAAGTGCTTTAGTTACAGGTGATCTATGTTCCAGGATTGACATGATATCAGCATAACTTACTTTGAAATATGCATACTACAAGTATTTCTGAAATATTCACCTTTCACAGCAGATTCTCTTGCTTTCCTCATATCTGCATATAAATGTAAATTTTGTGCTTACCGTATAGTCAGCTTTTTTTTTTTAATTTGAGGAGCTGAAATTAGCTTTAAAGATAACTCTTATATTGTAACCAAGTAGCTTAGCTTCAAAATGAATTTTAAAACTTTTTTTTCTTTTTGAAACTCTTTGTTTCCCTCCCTTCCCACTGGACACTCCTTTCACTGTGCTGCTTTATCTAATTATGTGCTTGCTTAGAAATTCCAGGGGCTAATCTTCAAATGAACCAGGCATAGAGACTCAGCTATAGAATCCTCCCCATCTACAGATTACCTCAAAGCGGTAAATCTATGACTCAGTCATTGTTGAAATGGCACCAGCTCACACTCCAGCCGGACAATAACTCAAGATAGCCATTGGAATGAGACATGTAGTCCCTGTATCCCTCACTCCTCAAGTATGTTTCTCATACCAAGTTTCTTTTCTTAAACTCCTTACCAAGGCTAAAATTTGAAATGGTCTTTTGGAGGCATGCACCTAGACATTTCTCAACAGCTAGTGTTTAATTAATAAAGCTGCTTTCCTTTCACCACACCTCACCTCTTGTGTGATTGGCTTCTCAGGCAGCGAGCAGCTGGACTTGCATTTGGTTACAATATCATTTGAGGAAGAAAATGTGCTTAAATCCTAAAAAGAACATCAGAGTAACCTGAAAGCATTTCCCACTTCAATTTTATAACTTGAGATAGTAGTTAAACACATGTCTACAAAGGCTGACATGTTTAAAAGACTGGGTCATAAGAGTTAGTGATAAAAGTACGTGGTAAATGCTATTACTCTTCTTTGTCTGAAAAACAAAACAATAATGAACATAAAGAAACAGGCTCACAGTGTGCATCTCTCATACCTCATATATGCTCTCTCTTGTGAGGATAAAGTTGTTATGGAGCACAATACTCATAAAACATCTTAATGAAATTATCACCCATTGCTAAGAATGAATTAAAATCGATAAAATTGTTCACTGTTACTCTTTTCAAATAACACTTTGATTTAGTAAGGAAAAATGCTGGTCATTATAAAATTTCAGCATTGCCATGCAGCATTAACTATATATCTATTAACTATAGCTCTATCCCCACTATCACCATTATGTAGCACAGAGAGGAAGGGTTTGGGAATGGACACCCATATGCTAGTGTTGGTTTTATTTCTGTTTACATTTTTAGTCTCTTTCCATCATCTGTAACACAAGGTTTTGATAAAGACAAAATGAGGAATATATGTAAAGCAAATGCAACATTGTTGGAGCAAAACAGTTGGTAGATCCTATTTATAAAATTATTAGTACAAATGCTAGATTTGACCTGTTATGGTAGAGTAGGAAAACTGTTTGACTGACAACCAAGAAACCTGGATCCTGGTTGAGTACTGTCACTAGTTAACTATGTTACTGTAAACAAATTGTTTAGGCTGTCTGTGACTCAATTTCTTCATCTTTTAAATGAAACATTAAATCAGATGATGTAGCACTGTAATTCTTTCCCTTCCAATAATTTACATTTCAGTGATGTTCCTCTTATGGAAAAAACAGATCTTGGCCGTAGCTACCTGGGAACTGCCTTATTATCATTCATTGTAAAATTATTACTAGAGTTTAAAAGAGTTACTTAAGAATTAGTGCAGCAGACTTAAAATATAAACAATTTCAGCATGATGCTCATTGGTAAAGAGCTAAGTATAGCAGTTCACACAACATGGCATATTGAACTAATGCATATGCCTTTTTAAAACTTGTTACATAAATGAGCCAAAGATGTCCTCTGTATATTGGCCCCTACGTTGTTTATTTCTTCACAGCAGGCTGAGACTCGTTAGCTCGAATGCTCTCTGGCACCACACCCAAATTTTTACACATCCCATTGTTTTAAACATACCCCAAATAAGCAGATTTTTAGCCATTTAGAGTCTGCCTGCTTTGCATATTCTGTGAAACTGCACATCTGTTAGCCCTAGATAAGAGAAATCCTGTGGCTATAAAGGCCCCAAGCCACTGCTGCCCTTCAAAATTCTCTGACCCAGTGATTCCCCAAAGTGCTGCTGAGTGACATCACCCCATCACATGAACCCCCATCTTTAATTCCCGTCTCCCCTGGGAGTCCTTGTGTCCTATTCCTCTTCTGGATGGTTGTCCTGTACCATAGCCTTGGGCAGTCTCATGCTGTGAGGGACTTCCCTTGCATGCAAACCTGTCAACCAATGTGTCACCCAAATAAAGCCTGTGTGTGTAGCTGCTATATGTGGGAATTAAAAACACCTATAGGGACAAATTTTTAAATAAATAATGATCTAAATTAGAAACCATAATGGAGATTATTAAATACTTATAAGTGAAGAACAATAAAACCACTATAAACCAAAACTTGTAGAATGAAGAAAAAGTAGTATTTAGAAGGACCTTTATAGCCTAAGATGAATGTATTTGGAAAAAAAGAAAGATTGAAAATTACTGAGACAAGTATTCACTTTGAAAAGTTAGACTAAGAACATTAGTATAAAGTAAAATAAAAAAAAAAGAAAAGAAAAAAAAAGAAAACCATAAATAGAAGAGCAGATACTAATTAAAAGAAAAGACAAACAATAGAGAGGATTTCAAAACCTGATATACTAAGATATAGAAATTTCTGGCAATGTTGTTGAATAAATAGAAGGCACAATCAAATAGTATTAGTATTAGCATAAAAAGGGGGTCATAATATTGCTTTGGTAGGAACTTTTAAATTTCCAACTTATAACAACATATTATGGACAACTTGATACCACTAAATGGGAAAACCAAAATGAAACGGGAAGTTTTTTAGGTAAATATGGATTAATAAAATTGGATTAGGGCTCACTCAATTGCTCAAAATAGTCTTACAAACATTAAATATATTGGATTAATATTATAAATGTATTTCTTTCTAAAAGTATGAGGTCTGGAAGGTGTCATTAGGTGTGCTTTGCAAAGCCTCCAGGAATAGATAATTCCTGTCTTTATTCAAACAGTTTCAGAGAGCAGAAAAAGAAGGTGTTTATTCTGCTCATTTTATAAAAATCTTATAACACTGATATACAAAACTGATAAGAATAGTATACTTTTTTATTATTATATACTTTAAGTTCTAGGGTACATGTGCACAATGTGCAGGTTTGTTACATATGTATACATGCGCCATGCTGGTGTGCTGCACCCATTAACTCGTCATTTACATTAAGTATATCTCCTAATGCTTTCCCTCCCCCCTCCCCCCACCCCACAACAGGCCCCGGTGTGTGATGTTCCCCTTCCTGGGTCCAAGTGTTCTCATTGTTCAATTCCCACATATGAGTGAGAACAGGCAGTGTTTGGTTTTTTGTCTTTGTGATAGTTAGCTGAGAATGATGGTTTCCAGCTTCATCCATGTCCCCCCCCACCAACAAAAAAAAAGAAATAAAGAAAAAGAAACAAATTACGGAGAAACAAAACCCTTTCTTTCTTTCTTTCAGAGATTTCCAGAAAATGTACCCTTACAAATGAGAACCTGTGTCTTCATGGGTTAGAGAATAATCACACCTTGTGCATAAAAAGTTATTAAGCACAATTCCTGAATTATACATAATTACTAGCTATCAGTCAGTTGTGCATTTCTGTGTATGCTGGTCTCCACTTGATAAGGCTTCATTTCACAGAAAAGAAAAAAAAAAGAATAGTATAAGATAGGACAATAATAGGCCAGTCTCAGAAACATAGATCTAAAACACTCAATATTACATTAGCTAACATAATTCAGCAATGTATTTTTAAAATGTAACACAAGGATGATTTATTCTAAAAATTAAGGATGGTTTAATATTAGAAAATTCACTAAAAAATTAAAAGAGGTAAAGAAAATAAGATCTGCATCTATTAGATGCAGAAAAATCTTTTAATAAAATTAACATATAATTCTAGCAACTTGTAAACTTCTTTAACTCTATCAATGGTATCTATCAAAATCTTACATAAACACAACACTTGGTAGTAAAATACTAGGTGTATTATTTAAAGCCAGCAAGCAGATAGAGATGGTCATTCTCATACCTTTTCAACATTGCAATAGAAGTTTCTACCTAGTACAAAAGAAGAAAAAGAATAGGGATCAGAAAGTAATAAAATTTGTCTTTAATCAAAGATGATTTAAGTTTCTAAATATATAACCTAAGCAAATATTCAGACCAAAGTGTGTGTGTGTAATTAGAAAACAATTAAAATTTAAAATATGATTTTCTCAGAAAACCCATAAGGTAATTAGTAGTAAGTCTAACAAAAGATGTGTAAGACCTATTTGAAGAAAATTCTATTTATATCTTCATTATGTGTCAAAAGATAGTATAAAATAAACATACACATAATGGTGGCATGCAAGGATTCAATAAGGTTCAGAGGTCAATTCTTACCAAACTTTCTTTTAAATTAAGTGGAATTTCACTTCAAATAACAACTGGATTTTTAGCAAATCCATGGAAATATGATGAAGAATAATCAAAACCATTTTTAAAAGGGTCCATTTAGCCATCAGTTTTCAAAACATATTATAAAGATACAAACAAAAAGTATGTAATATTGGAGGGGAGTGTATGTCTGTGTGTGTGTGTGTGTGTATGTGTGTGTTTGTGTATGTGTGTGTGAGAGAGAGGAGAGAGAAGAAAACAGTGTAACAGAAGAAAACTACACTTAAATGAGAAATTAGTATGTGACAGAAGTGGCATGTATATTGGAAGAAAGGAGGGATTAATCAATAAATTCTTCAAGGAAACAAGGGATTAGAAAGTGTTAGTGTTCAGTATTTATCATAGTGATTACTGTAAATTAATTAATGCACATTTTATTATTAATGTAAAACTACTTAGTTCTTGATTGTTCAGAAAACCTGTTATCCAGATTGTGCATTATTCTTCACTTTCTATCCTTTCTCTTATCTTTTTCTATTTTGGGGTATCAACTTAACTTTATGTCAGGGAAAGGAGAAAACAAGCAAGTTCCAACATACTGGTTGGAAGAAGATTGAAATTTCTAATTCAAGTTCTATTTAGGAAAATTTCCACTTCTTGTAATGGCAGACTAGGTAATGCTGACCAACTCTTTTACAGAGAGCAACTAGAACACCTGAACAAAATGTTTTCTAAAATTCTGTTTGAGGCATGATAAAGCTAAGTAATATTAAAGAATTATGGCATCAAGAGCTCAGTGTGGGGCAAGGAAACACCAAAATAAATTCTTCTTTGGAACAGTTTTTTTTTTCCCTTCATTGGATATCTGCTGATTTTGGAGGAGGCTGCCGAGATACGAAGAAGCTGAGCAAAATTTATAGGGCTATTAGGGTCCACCAAAGAGTAGGAAGCCTTGTAAACCTCTTATATTTTGGGTTGAGATGCCAAAGGAACATAACTTGGATTAAAGTTGAGCCAGAAATACTCTAACCCCCTCAGAGACTAAAGATTTGCTTCACATAATTTTGGACTCTATAACTGGATTAAATTGATCTGCATTGATGGTATCTTACCCCTTCTCCCAGAAGCAAATGCAAATTTGCTATAAGGAGGAGGATAACATCATCCCAAGTTTCAATATGTTTTCAAGTGATTTTAATATACAATAACCCATCCCCCAATAAAAACAAACCAGGCACATGAAGATAATAAAACAAGGTGACCTTAAAGCTCTGAAATAATTCTTGACTTCATATCTTGCATCCAGGGCACACCCAAAGCCTCAGGCAGCCCTGTTCCCATTGCTTTGCTGGTCATAGCCCATATGGCTGCTCTCACAGTTGGAATCTAATGACTGTGGGTTTTCCAGGCTGAGGGTGCACATGTAATCGATCACCTGATGAGTTCATCTTGCCTGCTTCCTAGGAAAGTCAATGCACTAAGAACAGCAGTTTTTTGAAGAAAAGTTTAATAATCATGGTGCTGGTGAAGTGGAAGGACAGGAGTAATTACTCAAATAAGCTGCCCCAAGAACTCAGGGGCTAGGGTTTTTATGGATACTTTAGCAGATTGGGGGCTAGGGAATGGGTTCTGCTGATTGGTTGGGAATGAAACTGTAGGAATGTGGAAAACAATCCTTATGCACTACATCAACCTCTGGTTGGGGGCCACAGAATGAGTTAAGTTGTGAGTTAAGGGTCCAGGTGGAGTCAATCAGTTGCCAGAATGCAGAAGTATGAAAATCATCTCAAAAGACCAATCTTATGTTCCATAATAGTGATGTCATCTATTATCTATAGGAGTAACTGAAGAAGTAACAAATCTTGTGACCTCTGGCTTTATGACTTTTAAGCAGTAACAGATTATAGAAAGGCAAGCTAGGAAACAATGGCTGGTTATCATTTAACTATGCCTACATTTTAGCAGAATTCAAGGCCCTCCCATAATCCTGTGACCTTCAATTAGTCTTACAAAGGCAGTCTAAGCACCTGAACAAGGAAGGAGTCAGTTTTAGGGAGGGACTATCATCATCCTTGCTTCAAAGCTAAACTATAAATTCCTCCCATCGTTAGCTTGGTCTATGCCCAGGAATGAGCGAGGGCAATCAGCCTGTGAGGCTAGAAGCAAGAAGGAGTCAGCCATACTAGGTTTATCTCACTATTATAATCTTTGCAAAAGCAGTTTCACATGCTGCTGGTGGCTCTACCATTCTGGGGTCTGAAGGGCTGTGGCCCCATTCGCAGCTCCCACAACTCCACTAGACAGTATCCCAGTGGGGACTTTCCATAAGGACTCCAATCCCACATTTCCGCTTGGCATTGCCTTAGCAGAATTTTTCTGCAAGGGCTCCACCCTGCAGCAGGCTTCTTCCTGGGCACCCAGATTTTCCCATACATCCTCTGAAATCTAGGTAGAAGCTACCAAACCTTCATCACTCTTGCATTCTGCCTGTCTGTAGCCTTATCACCACGTGGAAGCTGCCACTTGCACCCTCTGGACTGGAGCTGGAGCAGCCAGGATGCATTGAACAGCATCCTGGGCCTGGATCCTGAAACAATTCTGTCTTCTTAGCCCCTGGGCCTATGAAAAGAGTGGTGGCCTTGAAGAAGGTTTCTGAAATGTCTGGGGCCTTTTTGCCATTGTCTTGACTATTACCAACCATCTCCCTTTTAGTTATGCTGATCTCTCTAGTAATTGATTGATCCATAGCACCCTCAGATTACTGCCACAGGAATGCTTTTTTCTTCTCTATCTCATGGCCTGGCTACAAATTTTCCAAAATTTCGCACTCTGTTTCCCTTTTAATTATAGAGTCCAACTTTAGATGATTCCTTTGCTCCCATATGTAATCATAGGCCATTAGAAGCACCCGCACCAATTCTTGAGCTTTGTGCTGCTAAGAAATTTGTTCTGCCAGGTAATCTAGGCCATCACTCTTAAGTTTGGCCTTCCACAAAGCATAGACACAATGCAGCCAAAGTTTTTGCTAAGTCCTTACAAAGGTGATCTTTGCTCCAGTTCCCAATAACTTCCTTATTTTCATTTGAGACCTCATCAACCTGGCCTTCACTTTTCTTTTTTTTTTTTTTAATTTTTTCTTTGAGACAGGCTCTCACTCTGTCATGCAGGCTGGAGTGCAGTGGCACAGTCATGGTTTATTGCGGCCTCAACCTCCCAAGTGCAAATGAATCTCCTGCCTCAGCCTTCTGAGCAGCTGGGGCTACAGGTGTTTACCATTGCATCCAGCTAATTTTTTTTTTTTTTGAGACAAGGTCTTGCTATGTTGTCCAGGCTGGCCTTGACTTCCTGGGCTCAGGTGATCCTTCCAACTTGGCCTCCCAAAGAGTTGGGATTACAGGTGTGAGCCACCGCACCCAGTCTACTGTTCATATTTGTATAAGCATTTTAGACACAACCACTTAACCAGTCTCTAGTAAGTTCTGAATGTTCCCTCATTTTTCTGTCTTTTTTTGAGCCCTCCAAACTCTTCCAACCTATTCCCATTATTCAGTTCCAAAGCTGCTTCCACATTTTCCCGTATCTTTATAGCAATGCTCCACTTCTCAGTATCAATTTTCTGTCTTAATCCATTTATGTCGCTATAAAGGAATACTTGAGGCTGGGTAATTTATGGAGAAAAGGTTTACTTTGTTCACACTTCTGCAGGCTGTAAAAGAAGCATGACATCAACATCTGCTTCTGGGTACTTCCACTCATGATGGAAGGTGAAGGGGAGCTGGCATCACATGGTGAGACAGGAGAGAAGAGAGAGAGAGAAGGAGGTTCCAGGCTCCTTGTAACAATCAGTTCTCACAGGAGCTAATGGAGTGAGAACTCACTCATTACCCCAAGGATGACACTAAACCATTCATGAGGGATTCACGCCCATGACCCAAACACCTGCCGTTAGGCCCCACTTCTACCATTGGGGATCAAATTTCAACACGAGATTTGGAGGAGACAAATATCCAAACTATATCAGATGGCTATAATCTTTTAAAAAAAGGAAAATAAGAAGTCTTGATAAAGATGTCATGAAATTTGAGCCATCTTACATTGTGGATGGAGATGCAAAATGGTGCACGTGCTGTGGAAAAAGTCTGACAGTTACTCATATGGTTGAACATATACTAACACACTATGATCTATAAATTCCACTACCAGGCATATACCCCAGAGAAATGGAAGCATATGTTCACACAAAAAGTTGTACATAAATATTTTAGCAACATTATTCATAATAGCTAAACTGTGGAGACAATCCAAATGTTCATCAATTGAGGAGTGAATAAACACAACTGGGTATAGTCATATAATGGAATATTAGTTAGCCATAAATAAATGGAGTATTGATACATGTTCTAACATGGATAAAGCTTGAAAGCATAATGCAAAGTGAAAGAAGACATATGTAAAAGATACATAGTGTGTTATTCCATTTTTATAATATTTCAAGAATAGGCAATACATAAGCACAGAGAGTATGTTTGTTGTTATGATATTGGAGAAGAGGAGAATTGGAAGTCACTTCTAACAGGTATAAAGTTTGGGATGATGAAAGTGTCTGGAATTTGTGGTCATGGTCACACAACATTGTGAATAAACTAAAAAACCACTGAAGTATATACTTTAAAATGGTGAATTTCATGTTATTTGAATTATGTCTCAATAAAAATGCAATTAAGAAATAGTCAATGCAATTTCAATGAAATATCAATAGGCTGCGTTGTTGGAACTTGATAAGCTAATTCTAAAACTTACATTGAAATGCAAAAAGCCAAGAATAGTATAAAACAATGTTGAAGATATAGTTCAGAGGATTTGGTCTACTGGATATAAAGGTCCATTTTAACGCTATGACAATAAAGGGAATGTACTATTGACACTGGATCAGATGAATAAACAAATGGGACAGAATAGAGTGAAAAAAATAGACTTGCACATATATGGACAAAGGACACACTGCAGAGAAGTGAGGAAAAGACAATCTCTTCAATAACTGTTGCTGGGTCAGTGGACATTATATGGGAAATAAAGTAGACTTAGATCCCCTCACCATATGCAAACTCAAATTCCACATCTAAAAGTCAAAGGCAAAGCAATAACATGTCTACAGGATAACATGGAAAACTATCTGCATGAACTAAGGAAATTCAAATAGAAAAATATTTATTAAACAGTAATGAAAAGCACTAATTTAAAATAAATACCTGAAAAATAGACACCATTAAAACCCACTTATGCCTAGCGTTCCATTATTGGAACTCTAAGCATGTGGGAGTTATTTACATCCTACTGCTGAAGGTCATCGCCAAGGTCTGACTGCAAAATTCAAAAAAATTCAACCCCAGGCATAAATAGGTTAATATAGTGAACACCCAAGGCATGGTATGGCAAAAATTATTTGTAACACAAATAACTGACAAAGGGCTTATGTACAGAAAATGTAGAAAACTTGCAGAAATAAACAATAAAGTTAGACAACCTAATAAAACTGTTGGGGATTTAAATGGACACTTCACTATAAGAGGGCATTCAAATGACCAGTAAACATATGTAAAGTTGCTCTTCCACCTTAGGAATTAGGAAAGTGCAAATTAAAACTATAGTAAAATTTTACCCCAGAATGACTATGATGAAAAGGATGAAAACTACCAAATATTGTCAAGAATATGGAGCAACGAACACTCTGCTGATTAGACTGTAAATTGATATACACTCTTTAGAAAATAGTTGACACTGAATTTGTACGTACCCATGTGACTTAAGATTTTTACTTTTATATACATACCTTATACAAATATATACATACCTTATAGAAATTTGCACTGAGACATGTATAAGAATGTCTCATTCTTGAAATATCTCTAAACTCAAAACAATTCAAATATCCATCAAGAGTAGAACTGATTTGAAACTGTGCTATATATTTATACAATGGATAGTATATTGTAATTAAAATTAAATTAATGAATTACAGCTACATGCAACCAATCATAGGGGTGAATTTTACAAATACATATGTGAATGAAATATGCCAGGCACAAAAAAACTACATTTTGATTGAGTCAATTTATAAAATGTCCCTAAATATGCAAACTTAACTATAATGTTTAGAAATGTAAATAATGGTTGAATACAGAGAAGAGGGAAGAGGTGGTAGTTGGGAAAGAGTAGGAGTTGGAGAGCCTTCTGGATAATAACTTGTTACATGAATATTCAATTTGTAAAATTCATTTGAGTTATTCATTTCTATTTTTGCACTGTTCTCAAGGTATGCTACACTTCACACACACACAAAAAATGAAAATACAGCAATGCTACTTCTGGGTATATAACCAAGATAACCGAAAACAGAATCTAGAAGAGATATTTGTACACTCATGTTCATGGCAGCATTTTTAACAATAGCCAAAAGGCAGAAGCAACCCAAATGTCCATCAACAGAAAAATGAATAAACAAAATATAATATATACATACAATGGAATGTTATTCAGCCTTAAAAAGGACACAGGGTGAAGCAAGATAGTAGAATAGAAGGTTCCACTGATAGCACCACCCACAAGGATGCCAAGTTAACAACTATCTACACAGAAAAAACACCTTCATAAGAACCAAAAATCAGGTGAGCACTTATAGTACCTGGCTTAAACTTCATATCACTGAAACAGGCACTGTAGAGATAAAAAACAGTCCTGAATCGCTGATGCCACCCCTCCCATACACCCATCAGCAGCAGTGTGGTGTGGAGAGCATCGAGCAGAAAAGAAAACCAGACCAAACTCGGCTAAAGCCTGCACAAGGTGGGAGCATTTAATCCAGCCCTAGCTAGAGCAGAAGTGCCAATCCCAGCCATGCAAAGTTGAGTTCCCACAAACCTTGCCACCATGGACTAAAGTGCTCTGGGCCTCTAAGTGAAGTTGAAAGGCAGTCTAGACCGTAAGAACTGCAATTCTTAGGTGAGTCCTTGTGCTGAATTAGGCCCATAGACAGTGGACTGGGGGGGCCATGTGACATATTGGGACAGCAGCTGGGGCAGCCAAGGGATTCACCCCTCCCCTAACCCCAGGCTGCACAGCTCATGACTCCAAAAGAGACCCCTTATCTCTACTTGAGGAGAGGAGAGGGAAGAGTGGGGAGGGCTTTGTTTTGCCTCTAGGATAACAGCCCAGCTGCAGCAAGATGGGGCAACGATCAGAGTTGTGAGACCCCTGTTCCAGGCCCTGGCTCCCGGACAACACTTCTAGACACACCCTGGGCCAGAAGGGAATGTGCTGCCCTGAAGGGAAAAACCCAGTCCTGGCAGCATATAGCACCTGCTAACTGAAGAGCCCCTGGGTCCTGAATAACAAGCAGTGATACCCAGGTACTACATTGAGGGCCTTAAGCGAACCTCTGAGACTTGCTGGCTTCAGGTACCAGCATGGCCACAGTACAGTGGAGCACAAAGTAGGCTCTTGGGGTCCCTATTTCCAGGACTTTACTCTTGGATGGTATTTCTGGACCTGCCCTGGGCCAGAGGGGAGCCCACTGCCCTGAAGGGTGAGTCCCAGGCCAGTCAGCATTCACCACAAGCTGATCTAAGATATCTTGAGCCCTCAGGCAGCATTAGTGGCAGTCTGGCAGTTCTTGTGGCCTCGGGTGGTGGCGGCTACTGGATGAGGCTCCCCTCCATTTAGAAAGGAGAGGGAAGCATGGAAAGGATTGCGTCGTGTGGTTCGAGTACCAGCTCAGCCACAATACAATAGAAAACCAGGTGTATTTCTAAGGTTTTTTATTTTAGTCTCTGACTACCAGACAGCACTTCTGGACCCACCTGGGTTTTGAGGGGCCTCACTGTCCTGAAGGGACAGGTCAGGCTGTCTTTGCCACCTGCTAATTGTAGAGCCCCAGAGCCTTGAGTGAACATAGGCAGTAGCCAAGGATCTGTTACAGCATGCCTTGAGCGAGATGCAGCACTGTGCTGGCTTCAAGTCTAACCCAGCACACTCATAGTGGTGGTGGCCACAAGGGTGCTTCTGCCACTCTGCTCATTGCTTTAGAGTACTTGAAACAGAGAGAGAGAGAGAGAGAGAGAGAGACAGAGAGAGAGAGAGAGAGAGACAGAGAGAGAGAGAGAGAGAGAGAGAGAGAGAGAGAGAGAGAGAGAGAGACTCTGTATGTTTGGGAGAAAGTGAGGGAAGAGAACAACAGTCTTTGCTTGGTAACCCAGAGAATTCTCCCAGATCCTGTCCGAGACCACCAAAGCAGTACTTATATGAGTCTGCAAGAACCACAGTGTTACTGGGCTTGTGGTGTCCTTAAAGTAAATGCAGCTTAGATCACAACACTCAAGTTCTTTCAAATATCTGAAAAGCCTTCCCTAGAAGGACAGCTATAAATAAACCCAGATAGGGAAGACTACAATAAATACCTAAGCCTTCAATGCCCAGACACTGTACAACATCTACTAGCATCAGCACCATACAGGAAACACATGACCTCACCAAATGAACTAATCAAGGCGCCAGGGACCAATCCTGCAGAAAAAGAAATATGTGACCTTTCAGACAGATAATTCTGGAGGAATTTTGGAAACTATACAAATAAATGGAAATTAAATAATAGACTCCTGAATGACCAGTAGGTCAATGAATAAATTCAGAGGAATTTAAAAATCTCTTGAAACAAATGATAATGGAAACACAATGTACCAAAACCTATGGGATACAGCAAAAGCAATACTCAGAGGGAGGTTTATAAGTGCCTACATGAAAAAAGAGGAAAAACTTGAAAAAAAAAATCTAATAATCTATCTTAAAGAACGAGAAAAGCAAGAGGAAAGCAGGAGGAAATCAAACCTGAAATGAGTAGAAGAAAAGAAATAATAAAAATCAGAATGAAATAAATGAAATCGAAATGAGAAAAACAGTATGGAATTAATGCAATAAAAAGTTGTGGGGTTTTTTGTTTTTGTTTTTTTTTTGAAATTAAAAAGAATTGAGGAAAATAACTGACCTTTAGCCAGGCTAAGAAAAAAAGAGAGAAGATCCAAATAAATGAAATCAGAGATGAAAAGGAAGACATTACAACTGATTCTGCAGAAATTCAAAGGATTATTAGTGGCTACTATGAGCAACTATATGCCAACAAATTCTAAAATCTAGAAGAAACGAATAAATTCCTAGTTATGTACAACCTACCAAGGTTGAATCAAGAAGAAATCCAAAAAAAAAAAAAAAGAAAAAGAAGAAATCCAAAACTTGAACAGACTAATAACAAGTAATGAGACTGAAGCTGTAATAAAAAGTCTTCCGGTAAAGAAAAGCCCACATTTCCTTTGGTCATTTCAATATTTTTGTCCAAAAAGCAACACAAGCCTTCATATTCTATTGTATTTCCATAATAGATTTAATACAGAAATTTGTGTCATTTATAAGGAAATATTTCTAAT
This sequence comes from Homo sapiens, assembly GCF_000001405.40. Classification (NCBI taxonomy): domain Eukaryota; kingdom Metazoa; phylum Chordata; class Mammalia; order Primates; family Hominidae; genus Homo; species Homo sapiens. The sequence continues at coordinate 125,352,597 of NC_000023.11, forward strand.
GCTATAATGTGGTGTGCTGGGATATTTCCTCCTGCCAATGTTTCAAGCCTTCCTTCAATGCAAAAAACCACTGTGTTTTCCCTGACATTGATAACTCTTTGTTACCAAGTTGAAAAGCTAAAAAGCTTTTGTTAAAAAAAAAAGGGCATAATAAGAGGCAGAGATATTCATATCTTCAACTATCTAAAATTATTAATTGGTTCTTAATCTCTTGTCAAATAATAGAACAGCTTTCTGTTTATTAACTTTAAAGGAACTTATATAGTATCTAATACAATTATATTAGGCATTTTTCAGCAAGATCAAGAAGCATATGTGTTTATTTTGGTATTATGTAATATATATGTGTATATATATTTATATTCACATACATACAAACATATGTGTATATAGTGTCTAATTCCCTCTCTTTCCTCCTAAAATGAGAAGAAATTACAGTGGATATATAATGCTTTTGATAAATAATCCCATTTATTTATAATAATCTCATTGTATTTTTATTTGTACTTTACAAATTATGTATAGTTAGTTATGATAATTATTTATAATATTTCAAATAAAATATCAAATTATTTATAATAATTTCATTAAATGTAATTTAATAGTTATAGATGCTTCTCTTTAAAGTCTCTATAGAATTGACTTTGTACAATGATGTGATATTTATCCCTTACATCAATTTTCATTCAGTTTATTTTAGATTCAAATTAGTTATACTTAACATGGGTAGGCTTTTTTACTGCTAGAATTTTAGCTATTTAGTTATTCGAATAAGATAATAGATGAATCTTAACTATGTCTGCAACAGATTATCTTTGCATAAATCTCAACTTTGGTTTCTCCTAGTTTTCACCAACCAGAATGCGTATTAAAAGGTAAATACTTAATAACTGATCATTGAATTATGACCCAAAATAACGCAAAATATAAGGGTTCTTTTGAATTGTGAAAGAAAAAGTAGCTATATTGTTTTATTTTTAGCATTAAGCATATTTTACTGGAGCCAAATTCTTTGAAGATTGGGGACCTTGTATGGCATATATGGTAACATTATATTGGTTGAAATAATTAATTTTAATATTCAATTCTCAGTCATTCCAAAAAATAACAGCTAAAATTTGTCATAATTGCATACTTCTTTATCTGTTTGCCAGAAAAACCTCAGAATAATGCTATCTATCTTTGGATCCTTGGCACTTAAGAACAGTTTGTGTTGTATGGTAATAGTGCTAGTAGTTAGTAGTGGCAGCAACAGTAAGTAACATTTATATTATTGGAAAAAATGGTAAAATCTAAAGTCTGTAGTTTAGCTAATATAATTGTACCAAAGTCAATGTCTTAGTTTTGATAATTTCACTGTGGCTTTGTCAGATGTTAAAAACTAGGTGAAGGCATTAAAACAGAACTCTGTGTTGATTTTGCAACTTTTCTATAAGTCTAAAATTATTTCAAAACAAAAAGTAAAAAAAAAAAGTTGAAAATATGTAGTTAGGGAACTCCACACCAAGTTGGGGGAAGTATCTGAAGTTAGAGAGCTAGATAGAATGTCTGAGCACCAAAACCTCTTTTCCATTATGGGTTTTCTCTGTCTATTTTCCTTACACAATGACCAAGTGTTTCAAGATCCCAAAATCCCCCAGTGTAACAGGCAATCTAAATATCCTATTCCCATGTATGGGAGTGCTTACTATATGCCAGACCCTGTTACAGTGTTACTCATTTAATCCTTACAACCTGCATATATATGCACTATTAATATTCCCATCTAACTGAGGCACAGAAAAGTTACATAATTGTAACTTGAGGTAACCCAGCTTGTAAGTCACAGAGTCAAGATTCAAAGCCAGGCAGTCTGGGTCTAGAGCTTATGCTCCCTCTATTTTACAGTTTCTTTTAAAGAAAATTCCATACAGTAATTCTGTAAATTCCATTAATACATTCTAGTATTACTCGAATGTATCAGCTTACTTCAATTTTATTATTTGTCTTTTGAAGTCATTTATTATTAATTCAACAATTACTAAAATGTCTACTATGTAACCATGGTGCCAGATACAAGACATACATAGTCACAGCTCTCATGAAACCTAAGTGCTACTGAAGGAAACAGATATTAAATGTCTGTTTCTGTAATCATTTAGTTATAATTATAATCAAATATGGATCATCCTTAGAGTTACCTATTTCATAAAATGTGTCTGAATCCCTCAGTCAGATGCCCTCTCTTCCTTCTCTGAATCCCTCTAGCACCCTGTACCACTCAAATGATATGTAGTATGGTTTACCTTATATTGCAGCTATTTGGAAATTTACTCTTTATCATTTTCTAAAGGTTAAGCTCACTGATATCAGGGATTGCTTTTTACTTATCTATGACGAATGCAATATCTTTTACATAGTAGACAGAGTAGGTTCTCAATATTTATCAATTGGTTAAATTAATTTATGGCAAATTTAGTCTGGTTTGATTGTTAGAAGAATGAAGAAGATGAGTGAGCCACTTCAAAAATAAGTCAACTTGTGCCTTACACTCATATCAAATACTTAAGCAGCTTCAATAGGCTCAAGTTGGGACTAACTCTTATACTTTCTATCTGAATTAATGAAACAGTAAAAACAGAGTAGACACTAAATTAATGGATTGCTACTGACAGCCTTTGTTCTCACCATGAGAATCATTGCTAAAGCACACAGAATCTCAAACACAGAAACACTTTTTTTAAAATAAAAGATTCCAACAGTCAGTTGAATCTACTCTGTTAGTTTTCTTGATAAACTTAAGAAAGGGAAGATTGGAAGAATCCAGTCTTATTTAAGCAAAAAGATATAAAATATATGTGATCATGTTATGGCACATAATCCAGTTTTAAAACTTTAAAAAGAGAACCTCTTTTTAAAGAGGTGGATTCGTGTGTCAGTAATATATCATCAAATAAACTTTTACTCTTAAAACATAAACTATATGTTTTAAAATTTGCAACATAAAATATGTTGTAAAGTATATGTTTTATACTTAAAGGAAAACAGAAAGCATATTTTATAAATTTATCATTAAAAACCACATGTTCTATGTTCTGGAAATGAGGCATCCAGACAAGTATATGTCAAAAGCTGAGATCGTCCATCATGACTATTACTTTTAGATGATGGAATACTTATCTTTGATTTGGAATACTAATTATATTTTTTTCAATGGTGGAGGTTAAGTCATTCTATGAGTTAATTACGCAAAAATCAAAATGAGAAGCTGATTAGCTTTGTTACCAGAAAGTTGTACTTTTTTCTTTGTAAACCTGTAATGACGTATAATTTCTCAGAAATACTGAATTCAGTTCCTCCTGACCTGTTTCTAACTACAGAACCAGAAAATATATACAGAAACATGTCAAATGATTTCTAATAAAGTAGTTCCTGAACAGCATCTTGTTTTGTTATTGAAATTCTCTCTCCTATTTAAAATATACACATGACTAAATAAAAAGTGTTTTATTACTCATAAAGAGCTCTTTATTTAAAATGATGGCATTTTTGAAAATTATAAAAACATAATACAGCTACAGGAAGATTTCTGAAGATTCTTAAGGAAAATAACAAAATAATAACTATTGGAAACAGAGTTCAGGTTTTGCAGTTATTCATAAAAAACAATGTATAAACTATGCTATGTTCTGCATAAACATATTTTAAGTAGAAGCAAAACTGGCACTTACTATAGGACAACCTGTTATATAAAAAATACAAGCTTAAAAAAATAGAACAAGAAATTAGGAAATAATCATAATTAGGATTTAAATGAACACCAAGTGTTCCACCATCTAAAAGTGAATGAAAAAATAAATAAAAATGAATGTGCAAACTACTCATCAAACTAATACTGAGAATATGCAAGTAACTCATACAACTCACCAGCAAAACCATCCAAACAGTCCCATTAAAAAGTGGGGAAAGTATCTGAAGACATAAAAACGGCTAACAGGTATATGAAAAATTGCTCAAAACTACAATGAGATATCATCTCAGCCCAGTCTCTTATTAAAAAGAAAGGTGAGGATGCAGAGAAAAAGGTCCCCTTATATACTGCTGATGTTGAGGCAGCCATGTGGGAATGGCTCCCTGGCAGATCCTCTGACAGACCTTCACACTGGGAAGAATGCATGCTGGGGTGGAGTCTTGGGAAGTTCATGCCATTTGCAGTGGGGAGGAGCCTGGCCTCTCCTCTTCCTGGGTGGTAACTGGTATTCGATCTGCAAGGCAGGATGTGCACTCACAGGACTTTGGCTTTGTGGAGAGTACCTGTTCCCCATTTTTTCCCTTTTTACCAAATAAATTCCATTTTTTTCACCCTTCAAAGTGTCTGTGAGCCTAATCTCTCATGGCTGTATGACAAGAACCCAGCTCTTAGCTGAACTAAGGAAAAAGTCCTGCAACAATGGGAATATAAATTAGTACAGCCATTATGAAAAACAGTATGAAGGTTTCTCTAAAAACTAAAATAGGGCTACCATATGGTCCAGCAATTTCACTACTGAGTATATATCCAAAAGAAAGGAAATCAATATATTGAGTGGATATTTGCACCCCCATGTTTACTGTAGAACTATTCACAACAGCCAAGATATGGAATCAACCTAAATGTCCATCAACAGATGAATGGATAAAGAAAATATGGTATATATACACACTGGAATACTATTCTACTGTAATTAGCCCCATGACTTTGCTGAGCATTGCCCTAGTAGGAACTTTCTACAGTGGCCTCACCCCTGTAGCAGTTTTCTATCTGGGCCCCACAGCTCTCTGGGACATCCTTTGAAATCTAGGTGTAAGCAGTCACACCCTCAAAACTTTGCTGAGTGTAGTGTTTTCTGTAGACACACCTGTTGAGGCTGAGAAGCGTGATGAAAGAGTGGAGGGAGCAGAGCCTGCCTGTGACAGTGCTGGGCAGCAGTGGCCTCTCTTTGAACTTGCGTCTTGTACTCTGGTCCTATAGTTGGAGGGTAGACATGATAATTTCCAAAATTCGTTAGGGTCATTCTTCCATTGTCTTGGACAACAAGTCCTGACTTCTGTTTAGATGATTGACTAATGTTCCCATTGTCTTGATGAATAGCTCCTAGTTTCGGTTGAGGTGGCAGATTCATATTAATTTATCAGATGGTAATTTGGCCATATACTTGGAATTCTGTCTGAATCATGCTTTCTCATTCTTTACCACATGGCTGAGATGAGAATTTTTCAAATCTTTTAAGTTCTGCTTCCCTTTTGGTGAACAATTTTGTCTTTAAATCATTTCTCTCTTTTCTCATTTTCCTATAAGCAGTCAAAGGGAACCAAGCCATACAGTTCACACTTTGCTTAAAAATAGCTTCAGCTAAATATTTAATGATATTGTTTGGCTGTGTCCCCACCCAAATCTCATCTTGAATTGTAACTCCCACAATTCCCATGCATTGTGTGAAGAACCTGGTGGGAGTGATTCAATTATGGGGGTGGGTCCTTCCTGGACTGTTCTCATGGCAGTAATGAGTTTCATGAGATCTCATGGTTGTAAAAATGGCAGTTTCCCTGCACAAACTCTCTCTCTTTGCCTGATGCCATCCATGTAAGACATGACTTGCTCCTCTTTGCCTTCCATCCTGATTGTGAAGCTTCCCCAGCCACGTGGAACTGTAAGTCCATTAAACCTCTTTCCTTTGTAAATTGCCCAGTCTCAGGTATGTTTTTATCGCAGCATGAAAATGGATTAATACAGTAAATTGGTACTGAGAGAGGGGTGCTGCTGAAAAGATAGCCGAAAATGTGAAAGCATCTTTGTAACTGGGTAACAGGCAGAGGTTGGAACAGTTTAGAGGGCTTAGAAGAAGACAGGAAAATTTGGGAAAGTTTGGAACTCTCTAGAGACATACTGAATGGCTTTGACCAAAATGCTGATAATAATATGGACAATGAAATCCAGGCTGAGATGGTCTCAGATGGATGTGATGAACTTGTTGGGAACTGGAGAAAGGTGATTCTTGTTATGTTTTAGCAAAGAGACTGGGAATTTTTCCCCTGCCCTAGACATTTGTGGAACTTCAAACTTGAGAGAGATGATTCAGGGTATCAGGAGGAAGAAATTTCTAAGCAGCAAAGCATTCAAGAGATGACTTGTGTGCTGTTAAAAGCATTCAGTTTTATAAGGGAAAGAGCATAAAAATTTGGAAAATTTGCAGCCTGACTATGCAATAGAAAAGAAAATCCCATTTTCTAAGGAGAAATTCAAAACAGCTGCAGAAAATTGCATAAGTAAAAAGGAGCCAAATGTTAATCCCCAAGACAATGGGGAAAATGTCTCCAGGGCATGTCAGAGGTCTTCATGGCAACTCCTCCCATCACAGGCCCAGAGGCCTAGGAGGAAAAAGTGGTTTCATGGGCTGGGTCCAGGGTCCCCATGCTGTATGCAGCCTAGAGACTTGTTGCCCTGTGTTCCAGCTGCTCCAGCCATGGCTGAAGTGGGCCAGTGTAGAGCTTGGGCCATGGCTTCAGAGGGTGTAAGCCTCAAGCTTTGGTAGCTTCCATATGGTGTTGAGCCTGCCAGTGCACAGAAGTCAAGAATTGGTGTTTGGGAACCTCTGCCTAGATTTCAGAACATATATGGAAATGCCTGGATGTCCAGGCAGTAGTTTGCTGTAGGGGCAGGGCCCTCATGGAGAACCTCTCCTAAGGCAATGTTGAAGGGAAATGTGAGTTTGGAGCCCCCATACAGAGGCCCTACTGCCTAGTGCAGCTGTGAGAAGAGGGCCATTGTCCTCCTGATCCCAGAATGGTAGATTCACTGACAGATTGCACCATGCACCTGGAAAAGCTACAGACACTCAATCCTAGCCTGTGAAAGCAGCCAGGAGGGAAGCTGTACCCACAAAGCCACAGGAGCAGAGCCACTCAAGACCATAGGAACCCACCTCTTGCATCCATTACTAGCATGACCTGGATGTGAGACAGAGTCAAAGGAGATTGGTTTGGAGCTTCGAGATTTGACTGCCTTGCTGAATTTCGGACTTGCATGGGGTCTGTAGCCCCTTTGTTTTGGCCAATTTCTCCCATTTGGAATGTATTTATCAAATGCCTGTACCCCCATTGTATCTAGGAAGTAATTGCTTTTGATTTTTCAGGCTTATAGGTGGAAGGGACATGCCTTGTCTCAGATGAGACTTTGGACTGTGGACTTTTGAGTTAATGCTAAAATGAGGTAAGGCATGCTGGAAAGGCATGATTGGTTTTGAAATGTGAGAACATGAGATTTGGGAGGGGCCAGGGGTGGAATGATATAGTTTGGCTATGTCCCCACCCAAATCTCATCTTGAATTGTAACTCTCATAATTCTTCTGTGTCATGGGAGGAACCCAGTAGGAGGTGATTGAATAATGGAGGTGGGTCCTTTTTGCTCTGTTCTCAAGATAGTGAATGAATCTCAGGAGATCTGGTGATTTTAAAAGCGGGAGTTTCCTGGCACAAGTTATCTCTCTTTGCCTGCTGCCATCCATGTTAAGACGTGACTTGCTCCTCCTTGACTTCCGCCATGACTGTGAGACTACCCCAGCTGCATGGAACTGTAAGTCCATGAAACCTCTTTCTTTTATAAATTGCCCAGTCTCAGGTATGTCTTTATCAGCATTGTGAAAATGGACTAATACATGTAATATATATGTAAAAGCAGAATGGTCATACTTATATCAGACAAAATAGACTTTAAGTCCAAACTGTCACAAGAGACAAAGAAGGACATTATATTAAATATAACAATAAATGGGTTATGCTATGGTTTGAATGTGTCCCCCAAAGTTCATGTTTTGGAAACTTGATCCTTAATATGATGATATTAAGTGGGGCCTTTAAGAATTGAATAGGCCATGAGGCCTCTGCCCTGATGAATAGATTAAAGCCATTATCTTGGGAGTGAGTTTATTACTGTGAGAGTGGGTTCCTATAAAAGAACAATTTCAGCCCCCTTTCTTTTACCCTCTCTTGCCCTTCTGCTTACTGCCATGGAGTGATACAGCAAAAAGGCTCTCACTAGGTGCCAATCCCTTGATCTTGAACTTCCAGCCTCCAGCACTGTGAGCCAATAAATTTCTGTTTGTTATAAATTACTCAGCCTGTGGTGTTGTTATAGCAACACAAAACAGACTAACAAGTCAATTCATCAGGAAAATATAGTAATTATATATATACATATACCCAACATCAGAACACAAGTGGTGTTGGGGAAACTGGATATTCATATACAGAAAAACAAAATTTGAACCTTACATACAAAAATAAACTCAAAATGGATTAAAAATTTTAATTAAATGTCTGAAATTGCAAAATTCATAGAAGAAAACAAATTCATAGAAAGCTTCGTGACATTGGTTTTAGCAATGATTTATTGGATATAACACTAAATACTTCTGGTATTTATTCAAAATAATTGAAATCAGGACTGTGAAGATATATTTGCACTTCCATGTTTATTGCAGCTTTATTTCAATAGCTAAGAGATGGAAAAAAACTAAATGTTCATCAGTGGATGAACAGATAAAGAAAATGCGGCATACGCATGCAATGAAATATTATATGACCAAAAAATGAAAGAAATTGTTATATGCTACAACTTGTATGAACATTGAGGAAATTACACTAAGTTAAATAAGCCAGTCACAGAAGGACAAATACTGCATGCACTTGTATGCGGTATCTACAGTCACTCAGAAATTATTTATATGCTTTTCCCACTGGATACACATTCATGGGAACACAAAGTAGAATAGTGGTTTCTAGGGCTTAGGAGGAAGAGGCAAAAGTTCAATTAGTTCAATTAGTATAAAGTTTTGGTCATGCAAGATAAAAATGTTCTAGAGATCTGCTGTACAACAATGTGCATACAGTTAACAATGCTGTACTGTACACTTAAATCTTTGTTAAGAGGGTAGATCTCATGTCATGTGGGTTGTTTTTTTTTTTTTTTTTCTGCCACGGTAGAAAAACATTAGGCTTTCATGGATTAATTCCTGAGACGGAGCATTATTTCTTGCTGACTCTTCAAATAGGAGAATAATGTTTTTTGTTTGAATGTTCTTGGAATACCAAGAAGCAAAATTTGAAAAGGAACACATTTCCTTAAAACAAAGAAGGCTGAACATTCTACTCTTCATTCTCTTTCTCCCTGTCCTCTCTCTTCTCTCTCTAACTGAACCATTAATATCCACAGCTGCAGAGAATAGCACATTCATCAGAATTGTCTCTTCAGGAAAGAAATAGAAATCTTTGTAGTGTATACTATTTTAAATATGCTATTTTAAATTTTCATAAATATTTTTTGAATTTTGAAAATCAAACTTGATTATGGTAACGTCATACTTCACCATTCAGTATTGCACACATGACAAGCTTGGCGTTTTAAAACCAAATTGTTTTTAATCATTTAGCAGTGAGAAAAGCATATAAATAATTTCTGAGTGACTAGAATATACATTTTAGGTCAAATTAACTACAAAAGAGTGACACATTGTCCCAGAACTTTCTAAAATAAAATGGGCAGTTAAGCTAAGAACCATGAAAACTTTTACCTTCAGAAATCTTTCTGTGAGAAATAAAAGACTTAAAATTATGTGCTTATAGTCTAGTTGCCTTTTTAGCCTTAATTATAGCATTCATGGTGACATTTTATTTTCTGACATGACACATATTTAAATGTGTTTTTACAGGAATTCTCTTATAATCAGACTCTTGAGTTATTTAAGAAGCAACCGTGATAACAAATATTCTGAAATTAAGGACTGACAGCACGACTTAAAGGAAATGAGAATGGCAAACAACTGTTTTCACCATTAGATACTGATCTTTACTTATGCAACTTTTTAGCTATAAGAGTGTATGCTATGTCCATTATCTGTATTGTTTGAATATGACCTTAATGATAATGCGTGCAGGTTATATGTCCCTAAGAAAGACAGTCTCCTCTCGATGTTTTTTCACTCATTCAATAACATGTTACTGTGAACCTGTGAGTCAGGCCCTGTATTAGACACACAGAGGTGAAATATGAAGTTACAACCCTCAAGGCATTCACAGTCTAGAGGCGTTATACTTCATGTATAAGCTAGGCAATAACATCCAAATATTAACAGGTAAAATATAAGGAACAATTGTATAACAGTTACTAACTACTGATAGACATTCATGGAACAAACATGAATGATATTTAAAGTACTAGAAAGAATGAGTGAATATATGATATAGTCGCTGTTTTCAGGGAGTCTAATGTAGTGGAGGTCAGGAAGGAGACACATGCGTAAAAAACTAAGTATAATGAAAGATGGAATAAAATAAGTTGAAAGAAGTTTTTTAATAGTGGTACAAAAAGCTGATATAGAGTAAAGAGGAAGGAATGATTAACACCAAATGAATGAGAAAAGTTTTTTGGGGGAGGTGAAATTTCAGTTGAGTCGTGAAGATTGCCTATATATATATATATATATATATATATATATATGTGTGAAGAGAAGGGAGAGATGGATGTTCTGTACTGGAACCATGACAGTAGGAATAGAGGCCTGAAAAGATATGGCTTGCTACGCTAGAGCATAGGATGGGTGTTAGAATGTAATCAAGGAAGAAGCTAGAAGGTTATTTTAAGGCCAGATGGTGATAAGCTTTAAATATAATTTTTTAAAAAAGTTTCTTCTACTTTTATTTTAAGTTCCTGGGTACATGTGCAGGATTTGCAGGTTTGTTACATAGGTAAATGTGTGCCATGGTGGTTTGCTGCACAGATCATCCCATCACCTAAGTATTAAGCCCAACATCCTTTAGCTGTTCTTCCTGATGCTCTCCCTTCCCTGCCAACAGGCCCTAGTGTGTGTTGTTCTTCTCATGTGTTTATGTGTTCTCATCATGAAGCTCCCACTTATAAATGAGAACATGCAGTGTTTGGTTTTCTGTTCCTGTGTTAGTTTGCTGAGGATAATGGCTTCTACCTCCTATCCATGTCACTGCAAACGATAGGATCTTATTCCTTTTTATGACTGCATAATATTCCATGGTGTATATGTACCACATTTTCTTTATCCAGTCCATTGTTGATGAGCATTTAGGTAGATTCCATGTCTTTGCTATTGTGAATAATGCTGCAATGAAAATATGCGTGCATGTATCTTTACAATAGAATGATTTATAGTCCTTTGGATATATACCTAGTAATGGGATTGCTGGGTCAAATAGTATTTCAGCCTCTAGGTCTTTGAGGAATTGCCACAATTTTAGTGGGAGTGTAAACCAGTTGAACCATTTTGTTGTTCAACTGATTTACACTCCCACTAACAGTGTAAAAGCATTTCTTTTTCATCACAACCTCACCAGCATCTGTTGTTTCTTGACTGTTTAATAGTTACCATTTTTACTGGTGTGCGATGGGATCTCACTGTGATTTTGATTTGCATTTCTCTAAAGATCAGTGATGTTGAGCTTTTTATCATGTTTGTTGGCCGCATATATGTCTTCTTTTGAGAAGTGTCTGTTCATGTCCTTTGCCCACTTTTTAATGGGGTTGTTTAGTTTTTATTGTAAATTTGTTTAGATTTCTTGTAGATTCTGGATATTAGACCTTCATCAGATGGATAGATTGCAAAAATTTTCTCCCATTCTGTAGGTTATCTGTTCATTCCGATGATAGCTTATTTTGCTGTGCAGAAGGTGTTTAGTTTAATTAGGTCCCATTTGTCAATTTTTGCTTCTGCTGCAATTGCTTTTGGTGTTTTCATCATGAAATCTTTACCCATGCCTATGTCCTGAATGTTATTGCCTAGATTATCTTCTAGGGTTTTTACAGTTTTGGGTTTTACATTTGAGTCTTTAATCCATCTTGAGTTAATTTTTGTATATGGTGTAAGGAGGGGGTCCAGTTTCAATTTTCTCTATACGGCTAGCCAGTTCTACCAGCAATGTTTATTAAATAGGGAATCTTTTCCCCATTGCTTGTTTTTGTCAGGTTTGTAAAAGGTCAGATGGTTGTAGGTGTGCACTCGCATTTCTGAGTTCTCTATTCTGTTATATTGATCTATGTGTCTGTTCATGTACCAATACCATAATGTTTTTATTACTGTAGCCTTATAGTATAGTTTGAAGTGGGGTAACCTGATGCCTCCAGCTTTGTTCTTTTTGCTTAGTATTGTCTTGGTTATACAGCCTCCTTTTTGGTTCCACATGAAATTTACAGTAGATTTTTCTAATTCTGTGAAGAATGTCAATGGTAGTTTAATGGGAATACCATTGAATCTATAAATTACTTTGGGCATTGTGGCCATTTTCACAATACTGATTCTTCCTATCTATGAACATGGAATGTTTTTCCTTTTGTTTGTGTCTTCTCTCATTTCTTTGAGGAGTGGTTTGTGGTTCTCCTTGAAGATGTCCTTTACTTACCTTGTTAGCTGTATTCGTATATATTTTATTCTGTTTGTAGCAATTGTGAATGAGAGTTCATTCATGATTTGGCTCTCTGCTTGCCTGTTGGTGTATAGAAATGCTAGCGATTTTTGCCCATTGATTTTGTATCGTGAGACATTGCTGAATTTGCTTATCAGTTTAAGAAGCTTTTGGGCTGAGACTATGGGGTTTTCTAGATATAGGATCATGTCTGCAAACAAAGATAATTAAACTTCCTATCTTCCTATTTGAATATGCGTTATTTCTTTCTCTTGTTATTTCTTTCTCTTGTCTGATTGCCGTGGCGAGAACTTCCAATATTATGCTGAATAGGAATGGTGAGAGAGGACATCCTTGTCTTGTGCCGGTTTTCAAAGGGAATGATTCCATCTTTTGCACATTTGGTGTGACATTAGCTGTAGGTTTGTCACAAATGATTTATATTATTTTGAGGTATGTCCCTTCAATACCTAGTTTATTGAGAGTGTTTAATATGAAGGGATGTTGAATTTTATCGAAGGCCTTTTTTTTGTGTCTATTGAGATAATAATGTGGTTTTTGTCTTTAGTTCTGTTCATGTGATGAATCACCTGTATTGATTTGCATATGTTGAGCCAAGCTTGCATCCAGGGGATGAAACCAACTTGATTGTGGTGGATATGCTTTTTGATGTGCTGCTGGATTCAGTTTGCCAGTATTTTATTGAGAATTTTTGCATTAATGTTCATCAGGCATATTGGCCTAAAATTCTCTCTTTTTTTTTTGTCGTGTCACTGCCAGGTTTGGTTATCTGGATGATGCTGGCCTCATAGAATGACTTAGGGAGGAGTCCTTCCTTTTCAATGTTTCAGAATAGTTTCAGTAGAAATAATACCAGCTCTTCCTTTTACCTCTGGTAGAATTCAGCTGTGAATCCATCTGGTCCTGGGTTTTTTCTGGATGGTAGGCTATTTATTAATGCCTCAATTTCAGAACTTGCCTAAATACTATTGTTAGTAAGTTTGGATTTTATCTTGCCGGCAATGTGATGATGCATAGGTGAGATAGAAGGACAACAGTGAAGGCTTTTGAGTAGTTTCCAAAAATGTTTTTTCTACATTTTTATTGGTCATTTAATAGTTATAGTCTTTTATGGACTAAGTTTTCTGAAAGTTCTACAACACTTTTATACACCAAATTCTTCTTTTATCTCTTTTATCCTTTCTTTGCACTGTACATCAACTTTCCTTGCTTCTATTATCATATTTATTGAATGTTGTCTTTTATTATACTTAATTTTTTCGTATGCATATGTCTTCCCGATGCTAGATTTTAAGTTCCCTGAAAGTAGAGATCATGTTATTTTTAATTTATCATTTTTCTATAATATGCAGTTAATAACATTACCAACTTCCATGGGTTATTGTGATGATTAAACAAAATAACGCACTTGAGACACTGATATAGTGATTAAAATTTCTAACTCAGGGACTGAAATGCCTCAGTTTTAATCCCAGTTCTGTCACTAGCTGTGGAAGCTTGAACAAATTATCTTTTTAAAAAAATGACTTCATTGAAGTATAATTCACACCACACATTTCACTCATTTAAAGTGTGCAATGCAATTATTTTTAGCATATTCACATATATGTGCAAACCTTACCACAGAACATTTTCATTGCCACAAAAAGAAAGCTCTATACCCTTTAGCTATCATCCTGTCATCCACCCTCCCCTACTTCCCCAGCCCTAAGCAACCACTAATTTACTTTCTATCTCTGTAAATTTCCCTGTTCTGGACATTTTATACCAATTGAATTATACAATAAGTACTTTTTTGTGACTGGTTTCTTTCATTTAGCATAATGTTTTCAAGACTCATCCATATTTTAGCATGAATAAAACTTTATTTATTTTTATGGCTAAATAATAGTCCATTACATGGATATACTACATTTTATTTATCTATTTGTTAGCTGATAAGTATTTGGGTGTCCATCTTTTGACTATTATAAATAATGCTGTTATAAACATTTGTGTACAAGTTTTTGTGTGGCCTTAGGTTTTCATTTCTCTTGGGTATATAACCATAAGTGGAATTGCTGGGCTATAGGGTAACCGTATGTTTAATCATTTGAGAAACTAATAGGCTGTTTTTCAAAGCAGCTGCAGCATTTTACATTCCCACCTGAAGAGCAAGAAAGTTGCAATTTGCCACATCCTTGTCCAACATTTGTTATTATCTGACTTTTTTTATTCTAGCCACCCTAATGTGTGTGGAGTGATACTTTTGTGGTTTTGATTTGTATTTCTGTGCTGACTAATGATGTCAAGCATTTCTTCATGTGCTTATTGGCCGTTTGTGTATCTTCTTGAGAGAAATGCCTATTCAAGACCTTTTCCCATATTTAATTGAGTTATCTTTTTATTATTGAATTGTAAGTGTTTTTCATATATTTCAGGTAAAAGGTCCTTGTCAGATATATGATTTACAAATAATGTCTCCCATTTTCTGGGTTGAGCTTTCGATATTTTATGGTGTCCTTTGAAGACCAATTCTGATGAAGTCAGATTAACTGATTTTCTTGTTGCTCTTGGTTTTGGTGTCATGTGTTACTTAATCTTGATGTGTCTCAATTTCCTCATCTGTAAAATTATGATGATTATGAGTTGATTAGGGATATCTCATAGGACTGTCAGAATTAAATTAATACATGTAAAGTAAGTTGTATTTGACATATAGTAAGCACTCAATAAATGTTTTCTGTCACCATTAACGTTATTGTTATTATGTAAAACACTTAAAACAACATCTGGCACATTACAGGGACTCAGTAATGTTAGTTCTTATTATGCAGCAATAATTTCCTGTATCTGGTAAGTAACAAAATATGGATTAAGCAAAAAATAAATATAAATATTCAGGGAGAAAAGATTTTTAGGGATATGAGGTCTTCAGGTAGGCATTGTAGGCTCATTTTATTTAAAAGAAGATTAAAAGAAGACTACAATTCTAAATACTTTATTTAAAGTTGGTTATATTAAAAAATCAAACTGGGACAATGATGAATGGTTTTAAATTTTCCTTTAATATGGTGTCTTTTATTTTGTCTTTACTTCTGACTTGGATAATCATCGGTGATAATTTGGATTTTATGGTAATGGAGGAAATTGGCAAGTCACTTGTGAAATATTATGGCAATAATGGTTTTGTACTAAAGATAAACGCTTTATCTTCTCCAAAGTAATATGAAGTGTCAATAAATGTAAATAAGAATCACATATATATTTGTTTAGCCAGTAACCTTTAAAGAAGCTTGCCATGTATGATAATAAAGGAGTTCAAATAATTTTCATTTTAGTCAAAGAAGTTGAAAAAGATCAAAATTCATTTCTGTTTTTCTTCAGTGTTCTAAGCATGTGTGCTATATAGATAAACACTCATTCAAATGAAAATATAATTGTGTCAATATGAAAAAATATTCACAATGAGCAGAAATGTGCAGGTAAATTATATACGCCAGAGAGAAAGATGAAAATAGAAGATATATAGCTAAAGAAGAACTTGGGGTTCTCATTAAAGATGGAGCAGTTAACTCATTGGTTGATTATGTTTGTGTTTATTTTCCTTTTGTCCACCACAATCCTTGCCTGCCCATCACAGATATCCTTATTTATTACAACCATTAATGGTTGCCAGTGACAGACAGTGTTTCTGAATTTCACAACTGTGTGGAAATTACACATTTGCTTTGTAAATCTGGACTTTTCTCAAATTAAAGTCATCAGAATGATCTTGAGTCTTCCTGAGCTAGGAGTGGCTGTTTTCTCTCTCTTTAATAATAATGTAAAGCAAGGGCTTTTGTATCAAGCGTAGCTGAATCAATGGATTCAGTATCTTTGTGAAGAGAGGGGTCTGCTTGTTACAGGTTTGATATTGCTGACTAGACTGGGAAATATCTATGGCTGTCCTTAACCAGGTGGAAATCTAATATGAAAACATTTGATCAAGGTTCTGATGAAAAGGAGTCTCTGCTCTTGGCTATGTCAAAATGATCTTGTCTGTTCTTCAAGCAAGGAGAACTGAGGTGAAAATGGCATTTTGTCACCTTAGTTGATAGGACACTTGTTAGTGTTTTATTAGCTTTAAATTTTAAAATAAAATCAAAAGGCCTTGCTGATTTCTTCACATCTTTCCTTACCATAGCAGAATTAATGTTATCATATTGGAATTAATGTTACCATTTAGTTACTGTATTATTTGCTACATATATTTTTATTTATAGAAGTTTTCCAGCTTTTTAACTCATGGTTTTTCTGAAAGGGGAGAGGAAGTGCTAACACAAGGGTAAAGCTCTAAAGGAGACCTCTTTTCCTATGGTTCTCTCTACTCCTGTTCCAAATAGGAGAAATTGACCAAACAAAGGGGTTACAGGACCCATGCAAGTCCAAAATTCTGTAGGGCAGTGATTAAATTTTAAAGTGCCAAAATCATATCTTTTGACTCTATGTTTCACATCCAAGTCACACTGATGCAAGAGGTGGGCTCCCAAGGTCTTGGGCAGCTCTACCCCATTGGTTTTGCAGGGTACAGTCCCTTGCCTGCCTGCTTTCACAGGGCAGTGTTGAGTGTCTGTGGTTTGTCCAGGCACAAAGTGCAAGCTGTCGGTGGATCTACCATTCTGGGATCTGGAGGATGGTGGCACTCTGCTCACAGCTCCACTAGGCAGTGCCTTAGTGGGGACTCTGTGTGGGGGCTCCAACCCCACATTTCCCTTCTACCCTGTCCTAGCAAAGGTTCTCCATGAGGGTCCCGTACCTGCGGCAAACTTATGCCTGAATATCCAGGCATTTCCATACATTCTCTGAAATCTAGGAAGAGGTTCCCAAACCTCAATTCTTGACTTCTGTGCACCCACAGGCTCAACACCACGTGGAAGCTGCCAAGGCCTTGGGGTTTGCACCCTCTGAAGCCACAGTCCCAGTTGTACCTTGGCCTCTTTTAGCCATGGCTAGAGCCCAAGTCCATAGGCTGCACACAGCAGGGGGGCCCTGGACCCAGCCCAGGAAACCATTTTTCCCTCCAAGGCCTTCATGCTTGTGATGGGAGGGGCTGCCACGAAGGTCTCTGACATGCCCTGGAGACATTTTCCCTTTTGTCTTGGTGATTGGCCTTTGGCTCCTCATTACTTATGGAAATTTCTGCAGCCAGCTTGAATTTCTCCCCAGAAAATGGGTTTTTCTTTTCTACTGTATCATCAGGCAGCAAATTTTCCAAACTTTTATGCTCTGTCACCTCTTGAATGTTTTGCTGCTTAGAAATTTTTTTCTGCCAGACACCCTAAGTCATCTCTCTCAAGTTCAAAGCTCCACAGATCTCTAGGGTAGGGGCAAAATGCCACCAGTCTCTTTACTCCAGTTCTCAACCAGTTCCTGATCTCCTTCTGAGACCACCTCATCCTGGACTCTATCGTCCATATCACTATCAGCATTTTGGTCAAAGCCATTCACCAAGTGTCTAGGAAGTTCCAGGCTTTCACACATCGTCCTGTCTTCTTCTGAGCCTTCCAAACTCTTTCAACCTCTGCCTGTTACCCAGTTCCAAAGTCACTTTCACATTTTAGGTTATCTTTACAGCAGCACCCCACTACCCAGTACCAATTTACTGTATTAATATCCATTCTCATGCTGCTAATCAACACATACTCTAGACTGGGTGATTTATAAAAGAAAGAGGTTTAATTGACTGACAGTTCAGCATGACTGGGGAGGCTTCAGGAAACATAATCATGGCAGAAAGGAAAGCAAACCCATCTTTCTTCACATGGAAGCAGCAAGGAGAAGTGCAAAGAAAACGGGAGGAAACCCCTTATAAAACCATCAGATCTCATGAGAACTCACTCACTATCACAAGAACAGCAGCATGGGGATAACCACCCCCATGATCCAATTACCTCCCACTGGGTCTCTCTCATGACACGCGGGGATTATGGGAACTACAAATCAAGATGAAATTTGTGTAGGGACACAGCCAAACCATATCAAGCCCTTTGCCTAAAATCACATGCCCTGACAGCTTTGTGAAGCTGGAGGCTAAAACATTCAAATAAATGGAACTACCAAATAACTCAGAAGAACTGCTAAAATATTATACTATCATTGTCATTAACATTTATTAAGATCATTTACTCATTCATCAAACATATAGACCAAATAGGTAATTTTCTCTACTGTTAAAGGTAGAGGTGGTGTTCTCTCTACTTCCAGAATTTGAATGTTGGCCTGTCTTGCTACACTGGGGAAGTTCTCCTGGATAATATCTTGAAGTGTGTTTTCCAACTTGGTTCCACTCTCCCCATCACTTTCAGGTACACCAATCAAACGTAGGTTTGGTTTTTTCACATAGTCCCATATTTCTTGGAGTCTTTGTTCATTCCTTTTCATTCTTTTTTCTCTAATCTTGTCTTCACACTTTATTTTATTAAGTTGATCTTCAGTCTCTGATATCCTCTCTTCTGCTTGATCAATTCAGCTATTGATAATTGTGTATGCTTCACCAAGTTCTTCTGCTGTGTTTTTCAGCTCCATCAGGTCATTTATCTTCTTCTCTAAACTGGATATTCTAGGTAGCAAAACCTCTAAGCTTTAATCAAGGTTCTTAGCTTGCTTGCATTGGGTTAGAACATGCTCCTTTAGCTTGGCGTTTGTTATTATCCACCATCTGAAGCCTACTTCTGTCACTTTGTCAAATTCATTCTTCATCCAATTTTGTTCCCTTGCTGACAAGGAGTTATGATCCTTTGAAAGAGAAGAGGCATTCTGGTTTTTTGAATTTTTAGCCTTTTTGTGCTGTTTTTTCCTCATCTTTGCGGATTTATCTACCTTTAGTTTTTGCTGTGGGTGACCTTAAAATGAAGTTTTTGTGTGGTCATCCCTTTTGTTGATGTTGATGCTATTGCTTTCTGTTAGTTTTCCTTCAAACAGGCCCCTCTTCTGCAGGTCTTCTGGAGTTTGCTGGGGGCCCACTCCAGACCCTGTTTGCCTGGGTATCACTAGCGAAGGCTGCAGAACAGCAAAGATTGCTGTCTGCTCCTTCCTCTGGAAGCTTTGTCCCAGAGGGGCACCCACCAGATGCCAGCTGGAGCTCTCCTGTATGAGGCATCTGTCAACCCCTGCTGGGAGGTGCCTTCTCGTCGGGAAGCAGGGAGGGTGAGGGGCCCACTTGAGGAAGTAGGCTATCCCTTAGCAGAGCTTGAGCATTGTGCTGGGAGATCCACTACTCTCTTCAGAGACGGCAGGCAGGAACGTTGAAGTCTGCTGAAGCTGCACCCACAGCCGCCCCTTCCCCCAGGTCCTCCGTCCCAGGGAGATGGGAGTTTTATCTATAAGGCCCTGACTGGGGCTGCTGCCTTTCTTTCAGAGATGCTCTGCCCAGAGGGGAGGAATCTAGAGAGTCAGTCTGGCTACAGCAGCTTTGTGGCACTACAGTTGGCTCTGCCCAGTAATTTCTGGTGGTTTTGTTTACACTGTGAGGGGAAAACCACCTACTCAAGCCTCAGTAATGGGGGACGACCCTCTTCCTACCAAGCTCAAGCATCCCAGGTCAACTTCAGACTGCTGTGCTGGCAGCAAGAATTTTAAGCCAGTGGATCTTAGCTTGCTGGGATCCACGGGAGTGGGATCTGTTGATCTAGACCACTTGGCTCCCTGGCTTCAGGTCCCTTTCCAGGGGAGTGAATGGTTCTGTCTCGCTGGTGTTCCAGGAGCCACAGAGGTACAAAAAACAAACTTCCTGCAGCTAGCTCGGTGTCTGCCCAAATGGCCACCAAGTTTTGCACTTGAAACCCAGGGCCCTTGTGGTATAGGCACCTGAGGGAATCTCCTGCTCTGTGGGTTGTGAAGACTGTGGGAAAAGTGTAGTATCCGGGTGGGATGGCTCAGTCCCTCATGGCTTCCCTTGGCTAGGGGAGGGAGTTCTCCAACCCCTTGTGCTTCCTGGGTAAGGTGACACCCCACCCTGTTTCGGCTCGCCCTCCATGGGTGGCACCCACTGTCTAACCAGTCCCAATGAGATGAACCGGGTACCTCAGTTGGAAATGCAGAAATCACCCGCCTTCTGTGTTGGTCTAGCTGGGAGCTGCAGACCAGAGCTGTTCCTACTTGGCCATCTTGCCTGGGAAAAAAGCTACTAGAAGTTTTATGGTTTTAATTTTTACTTTGGGGATATGGTCCAAAGTAAAAATAAATTTTTATGTGTGATGAGAAGCAGAGGTTAAAAATAATTTTCCCCATAACAATATTTAGTTGTTATAGCCTCATTTATTGAGAAAATTCTCTTTTCCCCATTAGATTGCTTTGGTTCCTTTGTCAAACATCAATAGTTCATGGTCTATTGGTCTATTGACCTAATAGAGGTCTATACTAGGATCCCTATTTTGTTCCCTTGACCTATTTGTCTATTCTTAAGCCAGTACCACGTTGTCTTGATTCCTACAGCTTTATAGTAAGCCTTAAAATCAGGTAATATAAATCTTTCAACTTTGTTCTTCTTTTGCAAGATTGTTTTAGAGATTCTAGGTCATTTGCAATTCCGTATACATTTTAGAATCAATTTATTAATGTTCACAAATAGACCTGGTATTATCTGTCTATCTATCTTTGGTGGTATTAGTATCTTAAGCATATGTTGTCTTTAAAATCCATGAGTATCGTATATCTTTCTATATAGAAAACCTTTAATTTCTCTAAGCAATGCTCAGTAGTATGCAGTACCGAGATTTTGCTTACTAGTTTTCTTTGGTTGCTTTCAAGGTTTCTGTTTATATCTAGTTTTTAGCAAGAGGACATGTTGTACCTATGTGTGGTTTTCCTTGTATTAATTTGCTTGGGGTTTGCTGAATTTTTAGTCTCCACATTTTTGTTTTTCACCAAATATGAGAAAATTTCACTAATTTTTCTCTTCGAATATTTTGTTTTTCTGACCCATTTTCTCTTCTCTTCTTTTTCTGGTATTTCATTAACATGCATTTTATTTTATTTTAACTTTTAAGTTCAGGGGTACATATGCAGGTTTGTTACATAGGAAAACTTGTGTCATGGGGGTTTGTTATACAGATTATTTCATCACCTAGGTATTATGCCTAGTTTCCGTTAGTTATTTTTCCTGATCCTCTCCCTCCTCCCAACCTCCAACCTCCATCCTTCAGTAGGCCTCAGTGTGTGTTGTTAACCTCTATGTGTCCATGTGTTCCCATCATTTAGCTCCCACATTTAAGTGAGAACATGCAGTATTTGGTTTTCTTTTCCTCTGTTAGTTTGCTAAGGATAATTGCCTCCAGCTCCATCCATGTCCCCGCAAAGGATATTATCTTGTCCTTTTTTATGGTTGTATAGTATTCCATGGTGTATATGTACCACATTTTCTTTTTCCAATCTATCATTAATGGGCATTTAGGTAGATTCCATGTATTTGCTATTGTGAATAGTGCTGCAATGAGCATACATATGTGCATGTGTCTTTATAATAGAATGATTTATATTCATTTGGGTATATACACAGTAATGGGATTGCTGGATCAAATGGTATTTCCGTCTTTAGGTTCGGAGGAATATACACACTGTCTTCCACAGTGGTTGAACTAATTTATACTCCCACCAACAGTGTATAAGCATTCTTGTTCTCCACAACCTTGCCAGCATCTGTTATTTTTTGACTTCTTATTAGTAGCCATTCTGACTGGTGTGAGATGGTAGCTCATTGTGGTTTTGATTTGCATTTCTTTAATAATCAGTGATGTTGGACTTTTTTCATATGCTTGTTGGCTGCATATATGCTTTCTTTTGGGAAGTGTCTGTTCATGTCCTTTACCCACTTCTTAACGGGGTTGTTTATTTTCCTCTTGCAAATTTGTATAAGTTCCTTATAGATGCTGGATATTAGGCCTTTGTCAGATGGATAGATTGCAAAAATTTTCTCTTGTTCCATAGGTTGTCTGTTTACTCTGTTGATAGTTTCTTTTGTTGTGCAGAAGCTCTTTAGTTTAATTAGATGCCATGTGTCAATTTATGCTTTGGTTGCAATTACTTTTGGTGTCTTTGTCATGAAATATTTGTCTGTGGTGTGTCCTATATGGTATTGCCTAGGTTGTCTTCCAGGGTTTTTATAATTTTGGGTTTTACATTTAAGTCTTTAATCCACCTTGAGTTAATTTTTGTATGTGGTATAAGGAAGGAGTCCAGTTTCAATTTTCTGCATGTGGCTAGCCAGTTATCCCAGCACCATTTATTGAATAGGGAATCCTTTACCCATTTCTTGTTTTTGTCAGCTTTGTCAAAGATCAGCTAGTTATAAGTGTGTGGTCTTATTTCTGGGTTCTCTAATTCCATTGGTCTATGTGTCTGTTTTTGCACCAGTACCATGCTGTTTTGGTTACAGTAGCCCTGTGGTAGAGTTTGAAGTCAGGTAGCATGATGCCTCTGGCTTTGTTGTTTTTGCTTAGGATTGCTGTGACTATTCAGGCTCTTTTTGGTTCCATGTGAGTTTTAAAACAGTTTTTTCTAGTTCTGTGAAGAATGTCAATGGTAGTTTAATAGGAGTAGCATTGAATCTATAAATCACTTTGGGCAGGATGGCCATTTTTACAATATTGATTCTTCCAGTATTATTAGCATGTATTTTAACCTTTTGATATTATTCCTCAGGTTGCTAAGACTGGAAATTTATTTTTAATAATGTTTTTCTCTCTTCTTCAGATCGGATAATTTCTATTGTTAATCAAGTTTAGCCTAAAGATGCCTCCTTACATATTTAAGTTCAGCCTAAAAGTTTTTCTGTACATCTTGAACTATAACAAGTGGAAGTGTAAACCGACCATAGCCTACACCTGTGCCAATCACTGAGTTTTGGCCAATCACATGTAGCCAGCTGTTTGAATCATGTTCAAATAAGGCAAATGCCAACCTGTAACCAATCCAGCTGTTTCTGTACCTCACTTCTGATTTCTGTAAGTCTTTTCCTTTTTTTTTTTTTTTTTTTTTTGTCTGTAAATCACCTTCCACTATGTAGCTGCACTGGAGTCTCTCCAAATCTGCTGTGATTCTGGGGGGTGCCTGATTTGCAAATTGTTCATCGCTCAGTTAAGCTCCTTTCAGCTTAATTCAGCTGAAGTTTATCTTTTAACACTATTTATCTACCTTTATGATCATTGACTTTTTCCTCTGTCATCTCCCATCTAATATTAAGTTTATCCAGCAAATTTCTTTCTCAGAAGTGTATTTACTTTTCTCAAATTTTCATTTGGGGCCAGGAACAGTGGCTCAAATCTGTAATCTCAGCATTTTGGAAGGCTGAAGCACGAGGATAACTTGAGGTCAGGAATTCAGTTGCCTAGCCTGTGCAATGCAGTGAGACTCTGTCTCTACAAAAAATGCAAAAATTAGCCAGGCATGGTGGCATGTACCTAAAGTCCCACCTACCTGTGAGGCTAAGGTGAGAGGATCACTTGAGCCCAGGAGGTTGAGGCTGCAATGAGCTATGATCACAGTACTGTACTCTAGCCTGGGCAACAGAGTGAGACCCTGTCTCCAAACAAACAAACAAAAAAACAAAACAACAACAAGAAGAAACAATCCATTTGGCTCTTTTTTATAGTTTCTGTTTCTTTGCTGATATTTTCTATTATGTAATTTATTACAAGTATATTTTTATTTATGTTTTTGAGCATAGTTATAATAGCTATCTTAAAGTTCTCTTCTGTTAATTGCCACATCTCAGTCATCTTGATGTTGTATCAATATATTGCTTTTTAATTTGAATATCAGTTGCATTGTCCTGCTTTTTTATGTATTGATGAGTTTTGAAGTAAATCCTGGACATTATAAAAAATATAATACAAAAATTCTGAATTCTGTGTACTGATTTTTGTTGTTATTTTTATTATGGCAGGCAGTTAACTTGGCTGGACTCATGCTCCTGTGTCTCCCCTGTGGTGATGAGGAATTGACATTTGTTTAGTTCTTTTAGCTTTAACTCGGATGCTTACAGCCTGTCTCACACATGTGTAATTCAGGGGTCAGGTACATGTACAGGAGGATATTGCACACTGATCTTAGGGGGCCCCTCTGTAGTTTTCTTTTTTTAAAATAGGATACTGCCTTCACTTTCTAGCTGCTGCCTTCGTCCCTAAGTCCGTTATCCATTTCTTCACATCATTATAGTTTTGGGTTTTCTATTCAATTTTATCTACTTCAGGTAGCACTGATTAGGACCTACTTTTAGGCAAAAACACTAAAATATGGAAACCCAACCAGTGCCCTTTACTCCTTTACTTCTTCCAAGTATAGTTACTCTGAAGTATCTGCCTGCTTCTGCTTGCCCTCTCATGCCTTCATACGTTTTCCCCAGAGTTGTTATCTGGGGGTTGCTAGTCTGCTAAGAGTTAATGCTTCATTTTCAGACAGGGAACATTTAAACTATGCGATTTTATGATATATAAATTAGATAAGATAGTGAATGGTACAAAATCTATATTTTGTTGGCTGTTGTACAAATATAACCTTATATCAGACAGTATAGAGCAAATTACATATACATATATATACACACACATAATGTTAACAACTTCTAATTTCTTGTATTTGCTCCTTTTTTGTTGTGAATTTTGCAGAAAGAACAATTAAGTATAGTATTTTAACTTGTCTCATTTTCTTTTGGTGACTTTGGCATTTTAAAATTTGCTTTTTTTTTATTAGAGAGTTTTCCTACTAACACAAGGATAAGTTTAGATTCATAAATAACTATAATTTTAAGTGCAAAAATGCATATGACCAAAAGTGATACGTCTGCTATTAGTGAAAGATTTAAGTCAAAATGAACAAAACCCATCTCTCTTAATAAAGTGAAATAGCAAATTTAAACAATTTGACTTTTCACATTGTATGTATTGTCAAATTGGTTTTAAAAAACAGATTATATACTTAGTATGACATTTTGCTACAGTTCATATTTCAAGTGCAAGTTTGTGGAATGGAGAGTATGATTCTTAAAATAACCTCAAATGCACTGTAAATTATAAATTTCTAGTACACGATAAACAGGATGTGTTGTTTACAACTGTTTAGATCCACTAAATATTTGTAGATTTGCTTCCTCAGCTAGAGCAGGAACATACTGGCTATAACTCCCTGCCTTGTTCAATAACTTCCAGTAATTATCAGGAATAAAATGCAGTAAATTTATGTAATAGACTGCCCCTTTGCTATAATATACAATCAGAGGCGATCAATGCTTCTTACAATAAGGAGAAGAATTACAACTGTGTTTTATTTTATAGCTTTGGTAATACAGCTTTGAAAACCACCAGAGGGAGTAGAGTTAAACTTCAGTGGTCAAATTCCATTGCCATAAAACATAGCCTCAGGCTGACATTTTACAAAGTAGCAACGCAACAAAGGGCTGTGTACTTCTTAACAGACTATTTTATTTGTTCACTCATCTAGGTAGTCAGACTTCCACGTTTTGCTGCTCTTTTAGTTCATACGCCTGGAATAATTATAATCTCTCTGAATATAATAAGTATAATCAAGTTTAACCTTTGACCACATCATTGGAAGAGGGGAGGGTTAGACCTAGTTGATAATGAGACCTCCAGTGTTGCAGTAACCCCCACTGACTTGTTCATTACAAAGTTATATTTGTCACAGTTTTAGAAATATATTTTCATTGTGGTTTAAATAAAGGCATTGTTGAGCCCTGCCTAGTTATGCTTAAAGTATAATTATACGCTACATATCTTGGTAAGTAAATGAAAGACTTTTCTTGGTTGTTTGTTATAAATTTCTATTTTGCCTGTAGCTAAGTGAAGGCCAGGCCTCTAAAGTGTTTCAAGTATAATGCACAGTGAATATAAAACAGTCCATTAATTGGGATAATAGGTCCCAGCATGTAATTGCATTTCTTAGGTACTATGGATAGCAACTGAGTGAAGTGGTATTTATTCAAGGTTGTTAGTCACCCGTGGATAACTTTATTTGTCCACTGATGCTTAAATAAATGCATCATCCATCAGTAAGAATATTTATGAAGAAATTTATAACAAAAATCATTATTGCGTCTCAAATTATGAAAGGAAACAGTATATAAAAGTTACTGAAGAATACCACAATAAAATCTTGCCAGTGCCTCAGGTTACTTGCTTTTATGTTGGTGGACCGTAAAATATTGTGGAAACTCAAGAACAAGTGTGAACCAAACACCTTTACTGTACTTTTTTTCATGTGCTACCCAACGAAATATCTGTAAGACATGAGGTAAATTCCATCAGCATTTTTCAGCCCCATGAACATGCAGTTTTAAGAAAAAAACAATTTGCCAACAGACAACCTGTCAATGTACCACAAACCTTTACAATCTCAAATAATGTATGTGTGACGCTTTGTTTACCATTGTAAAAACATTTGCTTTGGTTTTCATTTAATAGGCTATTGGCTCTTTCTAAGATGCTAAAAATCACATGTTCTATTTTATCATATGGAAGCCTCCACAACTCACTGAAAAATAGTCAAGGAGTCCCAGAGTTCCGTGAGCTCAAGCTGATTACACTCTTTCCCAGAAATTATTGGCAAGGCTGAAGGGAAGGGCTCAGAACTTTGATCCATCACCCTTCCCGACTCCTCGGTATTCCCACTTCACCTTCATTATGTGCTTTGAGGCTATCTGAATAAATCTCATAAATGTCATTTGTCCTGTATACATCGGTCCCTGAAAGAAGTCCAGTATTACTAGTATCCTAGATCATCCTATTCCTGACTGCAATCCCTATGAAGCTCTATGGACTGTGAGGCAATACATCCACCTCATCCTCCAAATGACTTCCTATTTCTTTGCTTTATCCTTCCTGTTTATTTGCTTTACTTCTTTACTATCCACCAACTTTTTATTTTTTAAATAATTTATGTATTTGTTTATTTTCTGTCATAGTAGATGCACTCGAAGTATTTTTTTAATGGCTGACTGAATGACTAAATGAGTTTCTTCCCTCTCTTTGGTGTAAAATAAATATTTCTAGAATTAAAATGGAGAGAATATCTATTGAAAGAGCACTTTGTGAAGCTTCAAAGGAGAATGCATAACATCTTGCTGGGCTATTGAGCAACGCTTGGGAAACAGAAATGTTTCTCCTACCAGTACTAGAAATTTTTTGTACTTGTTGTGTTATTGATCACATCATGCCCATAAATATGAGAACCATCTTGTTTATTGATGTGAGAAGTCTTTGCTGCTTCTGGTGTTTCTGTTAGACTATAATAGTTCGCACTGTCTAGGTTTTCCTCATCCTGTGTTTATGTGTAATCTTTCACATAGGTTAGGATGTGAATAATATAACACAAGTAAGGATTACTTAGCCCAGGAACTTTTAAAATTTAAATTGATATAGCAACTTAATTCAGATCAAAATTCAAGTTATCCCCCTTTTCTCAATTGTATTAAGAATTTAGAATATTGATATGAGATCATAAAGCTATTGGGTAAAGAAATGAAAATTGAGGAAACAATCTGTTAAGGGTTATGCCAATTTCACCGGCAAATTTACTCTTAGATACAAATGAACCAGTGTTCTAAGAGTCCTGGCATTTCCCTTTCAACTATAGAATAAATATGAGACAGAGATTAGTTACTTTATGCTTAAAAGATTGCAGATGCATTTCATTTTAAAAAAGAGAGATTGACTTATTCTCCAGGTTTTGCTAGGAGTAAACATTTTTCTAAAGAAAAAGAGTACACAAATGTTCTATTATAACACTGGATAGCAAGACAAATAGAAGATTTAAAAACTTAGTGGACAGAAATTTCTAATTTTAAAATTACATTTCATTTATAATCTAGCATAATATCATCATTAACTAATGTTGATAAGTCTTTAATAGGTTTCATGTTTCTGTATCTTTTCCACAACAAGTGAGGAGGGAGAGGCATTATGTTTATGATATGGTATTCTTAAACCTCTTGGTGAACTGTCACATTTCTGGAAAATATAATAAGATACACTGTCTCTTGGACTCTTATTTGGCATAATCATTAAAATTAGAATAACTGTGACCGGTTGCGGTGGCTCATGCCTGTAATCCCAGCACTTTGGGAGGCAGAGGGGAGCGGATCACAAGATCAGGAGATCGAGACCATCCTAGCTAACACAGTGAAACCCCGTCTCTACTAAAAATATGAAAAATTAGCCAGCATGGTGGCACGTGTCTGTAGTCCCAGCTACTTGGGAGGCTGAGGCAGGAGAATCGCTTGAACCTGGGAGGCGGAGGTTGCAGTGAGCTGAGATCACACCACGGCACTCCAGCCTGGGCTACAGAGAAAGACTGTGTCTCAAAAAAAAAAAAAAAAAAAAATTAGAATAACTGTGTTTTTCAGGGATTCAAATGGATTATGTGTTCTTAATACTATCTTAAAACTATAGAGGGTTATATTTATGTATAGTTTAATTGTTGTTTTATTTATGAATTAAACAATAAAAGTAAGATACCATTAAGTCTTCTAATGTGGTATACCTAAAGAAGTTTTCAGTGAAAAAACTCCATCTGTTCTGTCCCCAGAACATCCTTGAGAGAAAACAGGCAGTCAAATCTGTCATTAAATAATATACTGATATCCCT
The DNA here is from genome assembly GCF_000001405.40 of Homo sapiens. Taxonomy (NCBI): domain Eukaryota; kingdom Metazoa; phylum Chordata; class Mammalia; order Primates; family Hominidae; genus Homo; species Homo sapiens. The sequence goes on from NC_000023.11 coordinate 125,381,679, forward strand.
ATCTTAGGACAGCTCTTTCTCTGCAGAGCTTCCTTCCATTATGAAGTTTCTTTATTTTCATTTGAAACATAAGTTGAATTAAAATCTACTTTCTTAAGAAGTACCAGTGAAGGATTTTGAAATTACATTGTCTTTTACAGTGTATATCCCTTTTAATGTCTGTACATCAACTTAAAGTTTGTATTATACATCTCTCCTCAGAATGCTATTTGCATGTGGAATAGTGCCATCCATATTAACACGTACACAATACAGACTACAAATTTTACTTATGGTAGACTCAAAGATGTGTCATTCAAGGCCTTCAAAGAAGAATATTGTATTAAGCTGTTTTGTGTTGCTATAAAAAAATACCTGAGGCTTGGTAATTTACAAGGAAAAGAGGTTTAATTGGTTCACTGTTCTGTAGGCAATACAAGAAGCATGTTGTTGGCATCTCCTCCTGGTTAGGGCCTCAGGGAGCTTACAATCATGGCAGAAGGCAAATGGGGAGGCAGCATATCACGTGGCAAGAGGGAACAAGAAAGAGAGGAGGAGGAATTGCCACACTCTGAAACAACCAGACATCCTGTGAACTAACTGAGTGAGAACTCACTCATCACAAAAGGGATGGCACTAAGCCATTCATGAGGGATCCACCCCCATGATCCAACAATTCCCACCAGACCCCACCTCCAACATTGGGGATCACATTTCAACATGAGATTTGGAGGGGACACACATCCAAACTGTCACCCTTGTTGCCCTAACCGTCAACTCCTCTAGCTGGTGCCTCAACCACAGGGAATCATCCCGTGTGAGGTCATATGCTTCCAGTGGAATATGCAGTGACTGAAGTTGGGTGTAAACTTCCAATCATTCTGGTCCACGCTGGGACAAACATAAGCTACATAGCTCCTGGTGGAAATGATTAAAAGTTTATGGGGTCTGCACCACAGTTAGACTTCATCCTGTGTGAATTCTCCATCCTTTTCCTCCCTTCCAAATCTTAGCACCTGGTTCCAGAGACCCTCAATCGAAAACAATACTTTTTATACCTCTAGATTCTCATGCAAATCTAACTAGACTTTTGATCTTTTTCTATGTATAGATTCTCTAGTAAACTCACACTTTCCTCTTAAGCCTTCATTATTAATGTCAAAAAGGATGACTTTACCTTCAAAAATATGAACTATAATGACGGTCACATGTGGCAAACTTCTTTATGTATTCACCACATGAAAATGCTCCGTAAGTGCTAAAATGTTGTACAAGCAAAAGTAAGTCATATAATCTCTGAACATTCCTTGTGCTCTCCCTCCAGATCATATCTTGTCAACCATCGGCTACTTGTACAAAAAGATCAGAGAGTTCAAATGGTGGAGGAGAGAGCTCCAAGGGCTCATATCCTCAATGAAACTCAGAAAAAATTGAGCAAGAACTGTGAAAATCAACCTTTTTGGAACTCTTAAAAATAAACAAAGGTTTACAGCAACCAAGTAACTACTGAGTTAAGAAAAAGACCTCATATATAAGTGAGATCACGCAGTATTTGTCTGTGTCTGGCTTATTTCACTTAGTATGATGTCCTCCAGGTTCATCCCCACATTGTCACTAATGGAAAGATTTCCTTCTATTTTATGGCTGAATATCATTTCATTCTGTATATCTATGTATTTATGACATTTATACATATTATATATATATTATGCATACATACATACATATTACTACATGTACACACACATATCATATTTTCATCTATTGATCGACACTTAGTTTGGATCTTATTTATTGTGAAGAATGCTACAATGAATATAAGAGCACAGATACACAGATTTCATGTCCTTTAGATATGTACCCAGTGGTGGAATTGCTGAATCATATGGTAGTCCTATTTTTAGTTTTATGAGGAACCTCTATACTATTAATAATGGCTATATCAGTTTATATTTCCACCAAGAGTTTATAAGAGTTTGCTTTTCTTCAAATCCTTGCGAATACTTGTTATCTCTGTCTTTTTGTTCATACGAAAACTTGTACAACTTGTCCTGGCCTATGCTTTTTCTGCTTCCCTCTGCTTAGTTCTGACAGGGTAAACACAAAGGAAAAAAAAGAAAGAAAAAAGAAAAAAATCCAAAACATTGTACAAAGGTATTCATAAGAGCAGTATTCACAATAGTCAAAAAGTGAATGTTCATTAACTTATAAATGGATAGACAAAAATAAGGTTTATCTATTTAATAAAATATCATTTGGTCTTAAAAAGAAATGAAGTGGGCCGGGCACAGTGGCTCACGCCTGTAATCCCAGCACTTTGGGAGGCTGAAGTGGGTGGATCACCTGAGGTTAGGAATTCAAGACCAGCCTGACCAACATGGTGAACCCCCACCTCTACTAAAAATACAAAATTAGCTGGGCATGGAGGCAAATGCCTGTAATCTCAGCTACTTGGGAGGCTGAGGTAGGAGAATCGTTTGACCCTGGGAGATGGAGGTTGCAGTGAGCTGAGATTGCACCACTGCACTCCAGCCTGGGCAACAAGAACGAAACTCTGTCTAAAAAAAAAAAAAAACACATGCTGAAATGTGGATGAACTTTAAAAACATGCTAAGTGAAAAAAGCTAGACAAAAAAGGCTGCATTTTGTTTGATTTCCTTTGCATGATATTTTCTGAATAGTGGAGCAAATAGTATCTTGGGAGTTGTTTTAGAGGGCGATGGAAATATTTTGAATCTAGATAGGGGTGATGATTACACAACACTGTAAATGTACTAAATGTCACTGAATTTTATACTTTAGAATGGTTAAAATGGTGAGTTTAAGTTATGTAAATTTTTGATGTAAATTTTCGTAAATTTTATGTAAATTTACATACATTTTCCTACAATAAAAAAAGGCAGAAGAGGCTGGGCACAGTTTCTCATACCTGTAATCCCAGCACTTTGGGAGCCCGAGGTGGGAGGGTCACGAGGTCAGGAGTTCGAGACCAGCCTGGCCAACGTGGTGAAACCCTGTCTCTACTAAAAATACAAAAATTAGCTGGACGCAGTGGTGGGCTCCTGTAAACCTAGCTACTCAGGAGGCTGGGGGAGGAGAATTGCTTGAATCTGGGAGGCAAAGGTTGCAGTGAGCCAAGATCGTGCCACTACACTCCAGCCTGGGTGACAGAGCAAGACTCCGTCTCAGAAAAAAAAAAAAAAAAAAAAGGCAGAAGAAAGGTTTTAAAGAATATAATAGAATTCAGTATTACACAATGTTTCACATAGTAGTGTTTAATTAAGTTTAGCCAAAAGCCACCTCTTTACATATTTTAAAGGTTTCTCCATACACAGTGAACTATAACCTAACTTGATGTGTAAACAGACTGTAACCTACTCTTGTGCCAGTCCCTGAGTTTTAGCCAATAGAGGACAGCCAACTGTTCAAACCATGTTCAAATAAGACAAACAGCAAGCTGTAGCCAATCTGGCTGTTTCTATACCTCACTTCCATTTCTGTACTTCACTTTCCTTTTTCTGTCCACAAATCTTCTTCCACCATAAGGCAGGCTGGATCCTCTCTGAACCTATTTTGGTTCAGAGGCTTCCCAATTCACGAATCATTCTTTGCTCAATTAAACTCTGCTAAATTTAATTTGTCTAAGGTTTTTCTTTTAACGGTAGGTTCAATAAATATTGCTTAATACAGTGAGTTGCTCTCTTCATGGTAAAGTCCTGGTTATTCACAAGCTTGCCTCTCTTCTCCTAAGTCCTCTAAAAAAATGGAGAGAATGGAATATTTACTACTACTGTAAATAATGATAACATTTCTGTGGCAATTTATAACATATAAAGCTTTTTAAAATCAATTATTTTATTTCATTTGTTAAACGCCCCAAGTATGCAGGCAAAGGACAATTATTATCATTATACAAATATTATTATTATTTTATAAATACTAATATTATAGATACTGTATTTTATATTTTTCATATTTTTATTAAAATATCAGGTTCACGTAAATTACATATCTCACAATTTTAAACAAATTGTGCTGCCTTTGTGAATCAATCTTCAGTGTTCTGTCTCAAATCCTTGGCTCTTAAAACAAGGGCAAGAAAAAGATGGGAGTTGAAATACAGTCCAGGAAATTGTTACTTGGAAATATTACCTGACCTTGGGTTGCTTCATATGCACTGTATTTCTTTGTAGTTTCTGTATCTGGATCAGCTATGATGGAACATGTGGAATGCCTCAACTCCACTAAAGAAGGCTGAAATTAAAATTAATCTTATCTTGTTAACTTACAGTTTTACACATAGCTAAAAAAACAAAATATTTTCATGTCATATTTCCTGATCTCTCTACTAGGTATATAATCTTTCAACATAGTCACTTAATATATTTTGTTAGTTTTCACAGTGTACTTCCTATAGGATTCCTACACAGAAAAATGCAGGGCATTTTGACGAAAGGTTTTTCCAAGTGTTGTTTGCTAAGATAACAGTTCAGTTTCACCAACGAACAAGTAAATCGTTTAAATTTGGGAAAAATATAGATACAATATCCAAATGCAAAAACTCAGGGCAGTTAAATTATGTGCACTGCTGACAAAAAGAGTCAAATTCTGCACAATATTTGAAGAGATTTATTCTGAGCCAAATATGAGTGACCAATGGCCCATGACACAGCCCTCAGGAGAGCCTGAGAAGCTGTTCCCAAGGTGGTCGGGCTACAGTTTGGTTTTATACATTTTAGGGAGACATAATACATCAATCAATATATGTAAGATGTACATTGGTTCTATCAGAGGCATTTCAACCAGAGCGACTCCATCTTGAATAGAGGCTGGGTAAAATGAGGTTGAGACCTGCTGGGCCACATTCCCAGCAGGTTAGGCATTCTTAGTCACAGGATATTATAGTTAAGGAAACAAGTTAATAATGTTTATAAAATAGACCCCAAACTTAACAGACCCAGGAAATAACAGACAAAGGCAATGTCCTGATGTCCCGATATCTTAAGAACAAAAGCATCCTTACTTTAAGAATAAGTTTCACTTTAATGATTATAAAATGTATTCATGCAGAAGACAGTAGTTACACAAAGATTAACAATCCTTTGTCACAGCGCCTGTAGTAGAGCACATCTCTCCCATGATTTTTTGCTTTGTTTTCTTATAAATAAACAAGCATTGTACCTAAGGTGAGCGTGTTCCTCCTCTTGCTTTTGAGAATGCCCTGCTCTGTCTGTGGAGTAGCTGTTCTTCCATTCCTTTACTTTCTTAATAAACTTGCTTTCATTTTACTCTGTGGACTTGCCCCAGATTCTTTCTTGTGCAAGATCCAAGAGCCATCTCTTGAAATCTGTATCAGGACCCTTTTCCTGCAACAGTTCAGTACAGAAAGGTGGGACAACTCAGAGCAATGGGGGACTTCCAGGTCATGAGTAGATTCAAAGATTTTCTGATTGGCAATTGGTTGAAAGAGGTAAGTTATTGTCTAAAAACCCAGAATCAATAGAAGGGGATGTCTGGATTGAGATAACGGGTTGTGGAGACCAAGGTTCCTGTTACATAGGGGAAGCCTCCAGGTAGCAAGCTTCAGAGAAAATAGATTGTAAATGTTTCTTATCAGAGTTGATTCTCTCCTGGACAAGGAAAAAGTCCTGGAAAAGACAGATGATTCTCTTCAGAATGTATATTTTCCCCTCAAGAGATGGCTTTGCAGGACTATTTCAAGATATGACAAAGAAACATATTTGGGGTAAAATACTTTGACTTATTTCAGGGTCTCGTATCTTTCATGTGATGCTATACTAGAGTCAGGCTGGAATTTGGTGTCTCATTGCTATAAAGAGTCTGCTTTGTCAGTCTTAAGATCTGTTTTAATGTTAACGCTGGTCAGCTGTGCCTGAATTCCAAAAGGGAGGAGGGAATAATGTGGCATATCCAACCCCAGCTTCCCATCATGGCCTGATCTAGTTTTTCAGGTTAACTTTGGAATTCCCTTGGCCAAGAGGAGAGGTCAATTCAGATGGTTGAGGGGCTTAGAATTTTAGTTTTGGTTTACAGCAACCAAGTTAAAAGTGTGTGCTCCAGTGAGAAATAGGCCACAAAAATATCAGAAGTCTATCTCAACGTGTACAATTGAGGCAGGAGAATAGGGTCTGGAGACAGGGAACTTAAGGCCAATTTGTGCTAACTTCCTAAAAGAAATAACACCAAGGTCTGGGGGCAGGAAATCTAAGGCCAATTTGCACTGACTTCCCAAAGCTGGATCAAAAGGAAAACACCTGGGTCTGGGGGCAGGCAATCTAAGGCCAATTAACACAAACTTCTTAAAGCTAAACCAAAATAGAAAAACCCAATTTCCCCATGCCTAGTAACAAGGGATCAAAGGCTACTCTCCCTAAAATCCTTCCCCTTCCACCACATCTCAGATGGGAAAGGAGAGTGCCTTAGACTGGCCGCAGGCCAACCAGAGACCATCCCTTTATCTGCATAGGGCACCAATTCACCTCAGCCTTTAGCCACAGACCAAATCTTTCATCCAGATAAGGGGTAGCCGATAAGAACCTCAAAGGGGGTACTTAAAGCCTGGAAAAGTTTGTAACTGGGCTCTTAAGCCACTTGCTCGGGCCCACTGCCACCCTGCGGAGTGCTTTCTCGATTTCATAAATTCCTGCTTTCGCTGCTTCATCCCCGCATTTCATGCCTCTGCTACTTAGTGCGTTTTGTTCAATTATTTGTTTAAAATGCGAAGGACCTGGACAACTCGTAGTCAAGACCCTCCACTGGCAACACAATAAACAAACTGTGAGTATTTAGGATATTTCTATTCTTTCACAAAGGTCTTTTTAAAAAAATTATAATGAATGGTTAATCAGTATTCAGTAACTGAACAATGTTGGGGCCAAGGGAAAACTTCTTTACCCTCTGAAAGTTCTCTGAAAATAACTGACAAGAGGCAGATTAGTAGGAGAAAAGACATACAAATGTATTTAACATGTACATGGGAGCCTTCAAAATGAAGATCCACTCCCAATGGGGTGCAGAAATTTATATACCATCTTGAGGTTACTGAAAGAATGGGGGCTTGGATTCTGGCAAAGCAGGTTATGGGAATGGGAGAAAAATTCTGTTGGTGGGGGGCAATAAATGATTACTAGGGAGAATGAATGAATTGAGGAACAGAGTTTCATGCGTGTCCGTGTGAAGAGACCACCAAACAGGCTTTGTGTGAGCAACATGGCTGTTTATTTCACCTGGGTGCAGGCGGGCTGAGTCCGAAAAGAGAGTCAGCGAACGGAGATAGGGGTGGGGCTGTTTTATAGGATGTGGGTAGGTAAAGGAAAATTACAGTCAAAGGAGGGTTGTTCTCTGGTGGGCAGGAGTGGGGGGGTCGCAAGGTGCTCAGTGGGGGTGCTTTTTGAGCCAGGATAAGCCAGGAAAAGGACTTTCACAAGGTAATGTTATCACTTAAGGCAAGGACCGGCCATTTACACTTCTTTTGTGGTGGAATGTCATTAGTTAAGGTGGGGCAAGGCATATTCACTTCTTTTGTGATTCTTCAGTTACTTCAGGCCATCTGGGCGTATATGTGCAAGTCACAGGGGATGCGATGGCTTGGCTTGGGCTCAGAGGTCCGACATTCCTGCCTTCTTATATTAATAAGAAAAATAAAACAAAATAGTGTTGAAGTGTTGGGGCAGCGAAAATTTTTGGGGGGTGGTATGGAGAGAGAATGGGCGATGTTTCTCAGGGCTGCTTCGAGTGGGGTTAGGGGCGGCGTGGGAACCTAGAGTGGGAGAGATTAAGCTGAAGGGAGGCCTTGAGGTAAGTGGTGATACTGTGGGGATGTTAGAAGAAACATTTGTCGTATAGAATGATTGGTGATGGCCTGGATACGGTTTTGGATGAATTGAGAAACTAAATGGAATAACAGAAGGAGAAAGACAGGTATAAAAGGTCTAAGAATTGGGAGGACCTAGGGCATCTGATTAGAGAGTGCCTAAGGAGATTCAGCATAGTCCTGCCAGCAAAGATTATTTATTTAGTTCAAGAGTTAAGAGTGGCAGTTTGGCGATAGCACCGGGAGATATCAGCTGTGATGGCTTGGAAAAACAGTGTAAACTGGCAGTGTAAACAAGAGCAGGGCATGTATGAGTAGTTGAGAACGGTGAATAGGAGTATGACTAGACAGAAGATAGTAGGGATGACAAGTTTTTTGGGGCACTGTCTAAGTTGGTCTGGTGTCTGGAATGAGACTGGGGCCTAATAAAAAGGAGCGTCTATACAGGGGCTTAAATGGGCTGTACCCTGTAGCATTCCGAGGACAGGCCTGAATTCTGAGAAGGGAAAGTGGTAAAAGTATTGTCCAGTCCTTTTTGGTGGCTGAGCTTGGTGAGGTGTGTTTTTAAAAGGCCTTTAGTCCATTCTACTTTTCTTGAAGACGGAGGACCGTAAGGGATATAAAGGTTTCACTGAATACTAAGAGCCTGAAAAACTGCTTGGCTGATTTGACTAATAAAGGCTTATCTGTTATCAGACTGTATTGAGGTGGGAAGGCTAAACTGAGGAATTATGTCTGACAGAACGGAAGAAATGACTGCGGTGGCCTTCTCAGACCCTGTAGGAAAGGCCTCTACCTATCCAGTGAAAATGTCTACCTAGACTAAGAGGTATTTTAGTTTCCTGACTTGGGCATGTTGAGTAAAGCTAATTTGCCAGTCCTGGGTGGGGCAAATCCTGGAGCTTGATGTGTAGGGAAGGGAGGGGGCCTGAATAATCCCTGAGGAGTAGTAGAATAGCAGATGGAACACTGAGAAGTTATTTCCTTGAGGATAGACTTCCACGATGGAAAGGAAATGAGAGGTTCTAAGAGGCGGGGGGCTAGTGGCTTGTACTATAGTATAACCTGCCTTTGCTGGTGTGTGGCGATTAGGCCTGGTGGAACCGCTATCAATAAATCAAGCATGATCAGGGTGAGGAACAGGAAAGAAGAAGGAAATATGGGGAAATGGGGTGAATATCAGGTGGATCAGAAAGATACAGTCATGGGGGTCAGGTGTGGTATCAGGAATAATGTGCAAGGCCAGACTGAAGTCCAGGCCAGGAACAATGGTAATTGTGGGACTTAAAGAGTGAGTACAGCTGAAGGAGCCAGGGAGCAGAAAGTATATGCATCAGGTATGAGGAAGAAAATAGATTTTGGAAGTTATGAGAAGTGTAGAGAGTGAGTTGAGCATAGTCTGTGATTTTGAGGGCCTCTAAAAGTATTAAAGCAGCGGCAGCCGCTGCACGCAGACATGAGGGCTAGGCTAAAACAGTAAGGTCAAGTTCTTTGCACAGAAAGGCTACAGGGTGTGGTCCTGGCTCTTGTGTAAGAATTCTGACCACACTATGCCTAGGAAGGAAAGGAGTTGTTGTTTTGTAAGGGATTGAGGTTTGGGAGATTAATCGGACACGATCAGCAGGGAAAGCACGTATGTTTTTATGAGAATTATGCCGAGATAGGTAACAGATGAGGATGAAATTTGGGCTTGACTGAAGTAATGGGGGCTGCCTGTGAAGCCTTGCGGCAGTACAGCCTAGGAAATTTGCTGAGCCTAATGGGTGTCAGGGTCAGTCTAAGTGAAAGAAGAGAGGCTGGGATGAGGGGTGCAGGGGAATAGTGAAAAAAGCATCTTTAAGATCAAGCATGGAATAGTGAGTTGTGGAGGAAGGTATTGAGGACAAAAGAGTGTACGGGTTGGGCACCACAGGGTGGATAGGCAAAACAATTTGGTTGATAAGATGGAGATCCTGAACTAACTTGTAAGGCTTGTCTGGTTTTAGGACAGGTAACATGGGGGAATTGTGCGGAGAGTTTATAGGCTTTAAAAGGCCATGCTGTAGCAGGTGAGTGATAACAAGCTTTAATCTTTTTAAAGCGTGCTGCGGGATGGGATATTGGCTTTGAGTGGGGTAAGGGTGATTAGGTTTTAATGAGATGGTAAAGGGTGCATGATCGGTCACCAAGGAGGGAGTAGAGGTATCTTATACTTGTGGGTTAAGGTGGGGGGATACAAGAGGAGGACACAAAGGAGGCTTTGGATTGGGAAGAAGGGCGGCAATGAGATATAGCTGTAGTCCAGGAATAGTCAGGGAAGCAGATAATTTAGTTAAAGTGTCTCAGCCTAATAAGGGAACTGGGCAGGTGGGGATAACTAAAAAGGAGTGCTTAAAAGAGTATTTTCTAAGTTGGCACCAGAGTTGGGGAGTTTTAAGAGGTTTAGAAGCCTGGCCGTCAATACCCACGACAGTTATGGAGGCAAGGGAAACAGGTCCTTGAAAAGAAGGTAATGTGGAGTGGGTAGCCTCCATATTGATTAAGAAGGGGACGGGCTTACCTTCCACTGTGAGAGTTACCTGAAGCTCGGCGTCTGTGATGGTCTAGGGGGTTTCCGAGGTGATCGGGCAGTGTCAGTCTTCAGCCGCTAAGCCAAGAAGATCTGGGAAGCAGTCAGAGAGCCTTGGGCCAGAGTTCCAGGGGTTCTGGGAGTGGCTGCCAGGTGAGTTGAACAGTCCGATTTTCAGTGGGGTCCCACACAGATGGGATGCGGCTTAGGAGGAATCCCGGGCTGCGGGCATTCCTTGGCCCAGTGGCCAGATTTCTGGCATGTGTAGCAAGCTCCTGGGGGAGGGGGTTCTGGACGAATGCCTGGCTGCTGCGGTTCAGGAGTTTGGAAGTTCTTGTGTGCTGGAGATGTGGCTGGGGTTTGTCTCACAGTGGAGGCAAGGAATTGCAACTTTTTTCTGTTATTGTACACCTTGAAGGTGAGGTTAATTAAGTCCTGTTGTGGGGTTTGAGGGCCAGATTCCAGTTTTTGGAGTTTTATTTAATGTCGGGAGCAGATTGGGTAATAAAATGTATATTGAGAATAAGACGGCCTTTTGACCTTTTAGGGTCTAGGGCTGTAAAGCGTCTCAGGGTTGTTGCCAAACGAGCCATGAACTGGGCTGGATTTTTATATTTGATGAAAAAGAGCCTAAACGCTATGTGATTTGGGATAAAGAAAAAGGAGCATTAACCTTGACTATGCCTTTAGCTCCAGCCACCTTTTTAAGAGTAAATTGCTGGGCAGGTGGGGGAGGGCTAGTCATGGAATGAAACTGTAAGCTGGACCAGGTGTGAGGAGGGGAGGTGATGAAAAGATTATAGGGTGGAGGAGCAGAGGCTGAGGAAGAATTGGGACATAGCTCGGCCTGGCGAAGAGCAGCCTGGGGAGGAAGGGAGAGGTCAGATGGGTCTGGGTCTGTAGAAAAGGAAGATTAGAAAGACTCAGCGACGCTTGGGGTTGGTACTGAGGGGACAGGCAGGAGGGAAAGAAGGAAGATTTGGGACGAGTTGCACTGGGCACAGAGACTAGGAAGGGACTGATGTGTAAAAGAATGCCTGGATGTCAGGCACCTCAGACCATTTGCCTATTTTATGACAAGAATTATTTAGATTTTGCAGGATGGAAAAATTCAAAGTGCCATTTTCTGGCTATTTGGAACTACTGTCAAGTTTGTATTGGGTTCAAGCAGCATTGCAGAAGAAAATAAGGCATTTAGGTTTTAGGTCAGGTGTGAGTTGAAGAGGTTTTAAGTTTTTGAGAACACAGGCCAAGGGAGTAGAAGGAGGAATGGAGGGTGGAAGGTTGCCCATAGTGAAGGAAGCAAGCCTAGAGAAAAGAGAGAGTAGAGAAATGGAGGGAAGGGGTTCAGGGGGTTCTTACCTTCCAGAAAAGTGGGAAAAGGGGTTGGGGCGCAGAGATAAGAGGTCGGGGTGTGGAAATAAGGGATTGGGGTGCAGAGATAAGAGGTTGGGGTGCAGAAATAAGGGATTGGGGGTTCTTGCCCCCTAGAAAAGCAGGACTTGCTGCTAAGGGTGAAGGAGAAGGGGTTGAGGGGTACTTGCCCCTCTCCCAGAAAAGCAGAGAAGGGGTAGAGACAAGGAGAGAAGGGGTTGAGGTACTTGCCCCTTCCCCAGAAAAGCGGGACTTGCCGCTAAGGGTGAAGGACCAAGGCAGGCGTCCCTGTGTGGTCTGACACCCTTGAAACGTGGGTGTATAATCAGAGAGGCGTCCCTGCAATGATTAAACACCAAGGGAAGACTGCCTTCCCAGTCCGTGACCGGCACCGGAGTTTTGGGTCCACGGATAAAATGTGTCTCCTTTGTGTCTCCCAGAAAATGAAAGGAATTGAAATTAAGAGAAGGGAGAGATTGAAGAGTGGAAAGGAGAAAGTGGTTGAGGGACAGAGAGGTTGGAGAAGAAAGTAAGAAGAGGCCGCTTACCTGATTTAAAATTGGTGAGATGTTCCTTGGGCTGGTCGGTCTGAGGACCTGAGGTCATAGGTGGATCTTTCTCACGGAGCAAAGAGCAGGAGGACAGGGGATTGATCTCCCAAGGGAGGTCCCCCGATCCGAGTCACGGTACCAAATTTCATGCGCGTCCGTGTGAAGAGACCACCAAACAGGCTTTGTGTGAGCAACATGGCTGTTTATTTCACCTGGGTGCAGGCGGGCTGAGTCCGAAAAGAGAGTCAGTGAAGGAAGATAGGGGTGGGGCCGTTTTATAGGATTTGGGTAGGTAAAGGAAAATTACAGTCAAAGGGGGTTTGTTCTCTGGCGGGCAGGAGTGGGGGTCGCAAGGTGCTCAGTGGGGGTGCTTTTTGAGCCAGGATGAGCCAGGAAAAGGACTTTCACAAGGTAATGTTATCACTTAAGGCAAGGACCGGCCATTTACACTTCTTTTGTGGTGGAATGTCATCAGTTAAGGTGGGGCAAGGCATATTCACTTCTTTTGTGATTCTTCAGTTACTTCAGGCCATCTGGGCGTATATGTGCAAGTCACAGGGGATGCGATGGCTTGGCTTGGGCTCAGAGGCCTGACATAGTTTAACCCGTAAGTAGTTCTTTTTGGAATTTAAATTATTCTGAGACAGACATTATCTTGTGAAGGGATATTTTCAGGTGTGGTTACATTCTTGGTCTTTTTTTTTCTGCATTGATAATGAGATAACAGGGAAGGAAAGAAAAGACAATTGTTCACCTTAGTAGGTCCAGCCTTTAGTCAAATAAAGGAACTTCAGATAACAACTTCATTCTAGTCTAAGGGAGAGAGGCATGGGGTTGGGGGATCAGGGACGATCAGAAAGACCTTGAGGATTCTTTTTCAATTCAGCATGTACAAAGTGCCATATTTTGGGGTATTGATTTCTGAGCCCCAACACCTTACCAATTATATAAGAATAAAAATCTGTCTTGTGTATTGTCCAGCCATTGCCAATTACTTTGTAGGTCCACAACAGGGAATATTTTGTAGTTTTGTTAGGTATAAATTTGAATTATATTTGTCCTTCATTGTATGCATGAGGGAGTAAGTAACTTAGTGAGTGAGCCTAGTTATACCTACACACAGATATTACAGTGAGATGTTATTTTCAATTTGCACCTTGCTCTTCATAAGTCTTTTTGTTGTTTTGAATTTGGAGATTGTCAAGAATGTCACTGGTCTGCTCTATAGATACATACCTGTAACATGAAAACCTGCTGACTCAGTAGGTACTTTTTGATCTTGGATATTTAAGTGCATTAGAGTGAGTCATGATAATACTAGAGATGATGCAGGTAGAGTGGATACTGATCCTGTTTTGGGATTTTTGGGGGCGTTGATCAATCTGTCAAAAGTTTTAATAAGTCCTCATTGTCAACAAAAGGAGTCAAACTATGTAAAATATTTGAAGAAATTTATTCTGAGCCAAATATGAGTGACCATGGCCTGTGACACAGCCCTCAGATGGTCCTGAGAACATGTGCCCAAGGTGGTCAGGGTGCAGCTTGGTTTTATACATTTTAGGGAGGCATGAGACATCAATCAAATATATTTAAGAAATACATTAGTTTGGTCCAGAAACGTGGGACAATTCGAAGCAGGAGTTGGTGTGTGTTGGTGGGGCGGGGGAGTGGGGGAGCTATTTACTAGGCTACAGGTAAATTTAAACTTTCTCTGGTTCACAATTGGTTGAGTTTATCTGCAGACCTGGGATCATAGAAAGGAAATGTTCAGGTTAAGAGGAAAGATTGTGGAGACCAAGGTTCTTTTTAAGTCTTATAGTGGCTACCCTTAGAGATAATAGATGACAAATGTTTTCTATTTAGTTCTTTAAAAGGTGCTAGACTTTTAATCTCTTTGGGATTGGGAGGGTCTAGAAGAAAAAAGTGTAGCTATGTTAATAGAGATTCTTTACAGATGCAAATTTTCCTTCACAAAGGACAGCTTTGCAGGGCCATTTCAAGATATAGCAAACAAACATGTTTTGGGGTAAAATATTTTGATTTTCTTCCTTGTCTCCTAATGTTATGCCAGAGTCAGGTTGGAAAGTAAGTCATGATATATAGGGTTAAATAAAACCCATCTGATGAGAATTTATGATTTGTAGGGCATGACTCCCCAGACTCCTTAGATAGGAATTTGGACAAGATAAGAATATCAGAGTTTAGTCCTCATCAGTAAAGCCTTCACTTAACTTTTCACGCTCTTTCTCATGCAAGCAGAACATAATAGATATAAATGTGCAATTACTTGAAACATTCTGGTTACGTTAGCTTTTCAGTAGTCTTAACTTGAATAATATATAAATTAATCCCAGGAGGAAAACTTAAATGTGATTTTAGATACTTGGTGTGGACCAGTTAAAAAAAAAAAAAAGTAGGAATTCAAAACCCATTGAAATTCTAATAACACATTATTCCCTATTTGATTCTCTTTACCTAAAATGACTCACAAGGCATTTGTTTATTATAAAAATTGTTCTTGTTTTAGAAATTTTGGAAACATAAAAATCTATAAAGAAAAAACTACAAATATGCCATAATCTCACTTTATTTTCCTATGTTCTTATTCTTTTACAGAATTGACATTGAACTCCATATGAAATGTTGTGTCTTGTTTTTTTTTAATATGTTAATTTTTAAAAAAATGACAGGTCAAATAAATTGTTAGCATTTAGAGAATTTTGTTATTAAACTACATGGGATATTGCAATATAAGGGAGGGAACTCATAAAGCAAGAGCATGGATGAGGAAATAAGATGTCAGAGCTTTGGATTTAGAACTTACTTTTAGGAGTTTTGAAAACATGTAATTGTTTTATATTTCATTGTCAGAGGAGCTATAGGATTAGAAAAGAACCTGAGTTTATCTAGACCAAAGTGTCTCAACTTTTCTTATAAAGACCCTTATTTTTAAATCCTATTTCATTCTATTTGATTCTATTCTATTTGTAGAGCAAAAGATTAGAATTTGCCCCTGGCTTCATAGATGACTTATAATAACTTCTCAGTTCCTAGAAATCTACCATTTACAGGTTTGTAACCAAATGTCTAGGAGTTTCTCCCTGTACCAGCAAGCAGAACTGCCCTTTTTCTAACCTACAAAAAAAGGCAAGTAAATAGATATTATTAATATTATTAAGGAAAAAATTCAGGCTAAATTATCAAGTGATCTATTTTCCAGCATCATTAGGTTTGTCTTTCTGATTAGATATGGATCTCACTGAACAACAAATATGAAACAAAAACTCTATGAATAAGGAGCAGTTTGTTCAGTCATCTATTTGCACATTTAGAAGACAAAGTAACCATTAGAAATGTGTTAATTGTTATGCATTTACTATATGCTTAGAACTCTTCTAAATGCTACATGAGAAGAAAATAAAACAAAGATAATGTTCTTCATTTATTGACTTCTTAACTCTAAATCCCTAAATCAATTTAAGTAACATTACTCATTTTACAAAAAGTGATAATGGTGCCCTTCATACATTTACTTTTTTTTTTTAAATGCCAGACTGCACCTGTCCTAGGGTAAAGTAAAATGCAAAGTGTATCTATCCTAGATTTGTAGATTTGGCCAACCAGGGAAAATCTTATTCAGGGGCAGAAGGTCAGGAGGGCGTTTCCTTGTAATCACCATATCCCCTAGCTGCTATATATATATAGACGTTCCTAAGAAATGGACGTCGTTAAATCACAAATGCTTCCAGGGGAAGAGCCACAGTAATTCTCATATTTGTTTGTTAGGTTTTTTTTTTTTTTTCAACGTCGGTTTCATAAAGGGAATGAAGACTTTGATTTCCCTAACTGGAGATATTCACCTGCTTTAGAAGTGTGCTGTTACCATTGCAGTTCTAGCTAATGCCTCCTGAAACTTCCTGGAAATAGCTACAGGGACTGATCACATTTTCCAAAATTTAATTTTGTTTGTACTTTTGGTTGGTAGGTTTCAAACTGAAAGGGGAAGCCCAGCCAAGAGACTAATTTTAAAAAGGCCTAATGAAATCCAAGTTTTCCAATACATCATCTGTAAGAATATATTTTTTTTAATTAAAATGTTAAGTGAAGAGTTTTTCTTATTCAAAGCGGTTAATTATTGCAAGGTAAAATGCATCAATTACAATATAGTGGTAGAGAAAAATAACAAAACAATCCTGAATTTATAAATTGAGTTAGGGATTAATAGATTGGATGAGTATTTCTAACACCTATTATTGAGTTTTTGTATTCATTGCATGGACCCATTGCTCATTGGGGTCTGTGAGAATGTATACTAAAAAGACAAAGAGATGGTTCCTGCCATCTATAACAGGTTTTTTCTCACTTGATCTCATTCTTACAATGCACATTTTCCTATGTCTAAATAAAACGCTGATTTCTATTTAAATCTGTGTTTGTACATTATCCACCTGCTATCATGCTCTTTCAAGTCATTCACCTCCTGTCTCCCAGGCTCTTTAAGAACATTTTGGGAAGTGGTATTTAAACTCCCCTTTCTTGCTCTCTTTTTACTTTACTACCATTAATTCTCACAACTCACAACTTTAGTATTCGAAGAAGAAGATAATGTAGCCTTCGAATTTGACTCATTTGACCATCATTTCACCCCATAATCCATATTTACTCTGATGTAGCCTGTACTTCTTCCAACCAGGCTTTCCCGAAGGGACAGCTGGTTGGCATTCATCAGCGCTTATTGGCTACCTAATGAAAAGCTGTATTTAATTATCGATTTATCAGGTTGATGAGGGAGGGATTTTTGTCCTAAGTTTATGAGTATGCACAAATACACTGCACTCGACACTGAAAAAATGAGATTGACAGCAATCATTAGTCACATATACTCACAGCCCAGGGAAGGAGGACACTGCACACCACAGAGTCACACAGGGGTTGTGCTCAAGAATAGAGTGAACAACCATGGGTTGTGGAAATCAGGTTTTGCAGTATTAAGAGGGAGGATCCTCCCACAGGATGATGTTCTTGGCTTATTTGAAAAACTGCAGGCTGACAGAGAACCAAAACACACTACTCAGGGATCAGAGGAACAGTGCCTAGTCTCCTTGATAAGGGAGAAGGGGTTGCTTGGCTAAAGGACCTTATCTGAGAAAACAGAGTGAGAAGAGGAACATGTGGTTAAGCATATGAGGCCCTCCCAGTTTTGCTAGATGTCAAGGCAGCACATAATATTGAACCATAATTTTAGGCCTTATACCACAATTGACCCCTCAATGCCTTGACATCAATTTAAACCTTAGTAATGACTGGGACTCCTAGGGAGTAGGACAAATATCTTCTGAGGAAGTAAAGTAGGCCCTTGACAAAGAGGTAGAAGAGGTAGTAAAAACCTTGAACCTTATTCGTGTATTCTTTAGTAGACAATAAAGGCAATTGAGGAAACTGTGGCATTGGTGTAGGGAGTGCATGTTCCCATGTATTTAGGCTAATCAATGCCTGTGGCAATAGTGACACCCAGACGTGGATACATTTGCCACTTTGTAACTTAAATAAGTGTTGTTTGAGAAGCTGATTATTCTTCAGTTAAGCCAGTTTCCTGGGGCCTATAGGGAAGGTAGATGTTCCATTGAATGTGTTTTTCTAGATCCCAGCATGTGTGTTATAAGAAGTAAAATGAGTGCCTTGGTAACTATTAATAATGCCTGGGCCAGGCGCGGTGGCTCACGCCTGTAATCCCAGCACTTTGGGAGGCCGAGACGGGTGGATCATGAGGTCAGGAGATCGAGACCATCCTGGCTAACACGGTGAAACCCCGTCTCTAGTAAAAACACAAAAAATTTAGCCGGGAGTGGTGGCGGGCACCTGTAGTCCCAGCTACTCAGGAGGCTGAGGCAGAATGGCATGAACCCGGGAGGCGGAGCTTGCAGTGAGCTGAGATCGCGCCACTGCACTCCAGCCTGGGGGTGACAGAGCAAGACTCCGTCTCAAAAAAAAAAAAAAAAAAAAAAAAAAAAAAAAAAAAAAGACAAAAAAAAAATGTCTGGAGCTCTGATGTATATACAGAATTTTCTGGTAAGGCCTTGCGTTGTGGCCTTAGTATATGTAGAGATATCAATTACCTTGACTTATATTTTGGGCATCTGTGAGGCAAGAGCTTCTTTATTCCAAAGGGGAAAACTCTTAGGCAATGGCCCAAGAGTTTATAAAAAAATTACAGGTGGGCCCATTTGCTGAACAGAGCATCCAGTGCTAAGGTGACGGAAGTGTGGCCAATTGTGCTGATCATTGGGTTTGGTCCTCCATCAGAAATGGCCTGGTTAAGAGATGAAAAGGCAGAAACTCTCTATGAAGATCTGTCATCTATATGGTGGCAATATTGTCCATAAAGTGTATGAACTTCCATTGTTGTTCACTCAGTTGATCCCAAGGGAGTCTCCAAGCAGTAAAGGGGCTTGGGAGAGAAATGACCTCTTTTAGCACCATGACATTTGGCAAAGGACTTATCAGTCCCCCTGTGGGTGAGGCCACCTTCTCCTGCAAGTGGGACATACCATAGGGCCCAGGTTTTGCTCCATTCTGTAGCAAGAAGGCCTTGGTAACCAAGTCAAGCTTTCATGATATTGCTTTTATAGCCCAAGGTATAATTGATAGCTTAGCATGAAGGGTCATAAGTTCAGGGTCTGTGAAAGTCTCTGTTTTTAAAAGAGATCAGCAGGTGGCCAGCAATTGTTTTTATTAGTAATGGTTTTTCAGAGAAATAAAACCAATATATATAATCTCCTATTATGTATCAAGAAATAGATTTATTATAAGACGTTGCCTCATGAAATTATAGGCTCTGAAAAGTCCCACAATTTGCTGTCTTCAAATTGAAGGCCCAGGAAAGCCAGTGATATAGTTTGAAGGCCTGAGAGCCAGAGAGACAATGGTGTAGATTCCAGTTAAGATCTGCAAACCAGAGAGCCAGGAGTGCCAAGGGCAGGAGAAAATCAATGTTCAACTCATGCAATCAGAGAGGTGGTGAAGTTTTTTTTCCTCTCTTCAGGTCCTTGACAGTTTGGATGATTTCCACCCATATTGGAGAGAGCCATCTGCTTTACTCAGTCCACTAATTCTAATATTAGTCTCTTCCAGAAATGTCCTTACACCTAGAAATAACGGGCCAGGCACCGTGGATCACGCCTATAGGCCCAGCACTTTGCGAGGCTGAGGGGGGCGGATCACCTGAGATCGGGAGTTCAAGACCAGCCTGACCAACATGGAGAAACCCTGTCTCTATTAAAAATAAAAAATTAGCCGGGTGTGGTGGTGAATGCCTGTAATCCCAGCTACTCGGGAGGCTGAGGCAGGAGAGTTGCTTGAACCTGGGAGGCGGAGGTTGCAGTGAGCCGAGATCATGCCATTGTACTCCAGCCTGGGCAACAAGACTGAAACTCCGTCTCAAAACAAAAACAAAAACAAAAACAAAACAAAAGGCTAATTATCATACTGTTCTAGTGTAGTGCGTGGTCATGGAGGGCAATTTCTTGCATCAGAAGTCTATGGGCAACTTGTGGTTATCATGGTTGGTCCAGAGACTTTAGAAGACATGAGAGGAGGCTGTTAAAGCCTCTAAAATGAGAGAATCACAGGGCCATTAATAGAAATGTCTGTTGTATGGGAATTTGGACAGATTCTAGAGCCTTTATTGGAGAGGGTGTCATTCATATTGGGCTGATATGCAAGTAACAACATAAGTGAGATTAAATGCGATTTTAAAATGAGGAAAACGTTGCCTGCAGAACCTCAAAGGCCTAAAAAATGTTGGTCTTGTTTTAACATTGAGGGTATTGAAAGGGTCAATAGTTGTTTCCTGACAGTGTCAGGGATGGAGCAGCCCTTGGTTTACCAAATAATGTTTAGTTATTTAACCAAGGCAGTGTGGCCCTTGCACTATGTAGAGGACAATGGCCCATCTCTTTTTTGTGGACTTATTTGTAAGCCCTGAATAAGTGTATCAAATACATTTTTTCTTCAGAGGATGTTATGTATGTAATGTTATACCTGTGTCATTGGAGGAAGGTGGATGTAGTTAAGATATTGCCTGTAAAGGCAGTAGGTGATGGTAAAGCTACTGAGGTATCCCATGGACATTTAAGTATCATTTCCCTTTGGATATGAAGGCAAATTATGAGAAAAAGACTGTTGAAAGAGGTACTAATCAGAACATATTGGCCAAATATAATCACAAAATGTATACCAGTTGATGACTGGACGGATTTAGCAATTTTGGTAATATTAAGTATCACATATGGAGGCATTAGTGGATGTGACCACAGCTTGAAGGTTTTGGTAATCCACTGTAAAGAACCATTCATTTTAAGTTTAAGAATAGGCAGTTGGGAAGTTAAGAAGAGAAATAGTTGGAATAATCATTCCTTCACTAAATACAATAGGTCTTGTATAGTAGATTTTGATCCTTGAAGGCCCTGTTTTAATTTATATTGGGCCATATTAACTATTGTAATTGAGGATATGGTCCATGGAGTCCCATTTTTTTAAGCCAATTTGTGCCAAAGACTTAATTTAGTTTTAGTTTATTTCTCATTGTGTCAGAATGTCTGTGCCCACTATGAATTTGTCCCAAAATGAGGCCAATGGGTGCTATGATGATGGGGAATTTAGGCAAATCACTAGCTTCAATGGTTAAAGAGAAGCATATCTGTTTTCTGTTTTATATTCCATAATTTCCCTAAGATTATGGGTGGGGTGGCATATTCAAATTTAGTGAGATCTATGGGTATAACTAATCTGAACTCCAGTATTGATTAAGGCAATTAAGCCTTGGCAATTGGTGTACTGCAGCAGATATTACAGTTAATTCAGAACCTATGTTGCATAGGTGTAAAAGCCAATTAGCACTCTTATTTTCACTGTATAAACTTTTGTGGTACATTTTGAACTTCTAATTGGGTCAACTTGTGGACATTTATTTCAGTTCTATATTTTATCCCCTGTATTCTGGTTTCTTTCTTTATTTCCTATTCCTTGCATCATCCCCTCACCCTCACCCCGCACCACCTATGCACATTGATTATACTTCAGGAAGTGTCTCCTCTATTCTGCCTTTATTTATAAATTTCTTTCTCCAGAGAGCCTCAAATCAATATTGTCAGGGTTAGGGGTCTTCCCCATGTCAATAGTTGTTTCATGGGGTTTACGAGGCCCATGCTTGAGTCAGGTTGGAGTTAAACTCTTTATTCAAACCTGACTCAAGCTTGGGATATTTAAGCCTCATAAAGCAACTATTAACATGGGGAAGGTTTGAGTTAAGCTCTTTACTTTACAATGGTGCAGTGGGTATTTTCTCCTATAAACCCTGAGTATCAGGAACTTTGTTGTTATAGAGCCATAGGTGGCAGCAGCAGAGGTATTTAAAGATCCTGGTGAGTTGTCTGCTATTAAGAGTGTGGACTTCAGCATACTAATTTACCTCCTTTTCTCTCTGTAAAAATTTCTTCAGACTGTTTTGGATTTTTAGCCACATGAAGTGACAGCTTTCAGTTTCTGTCTCCATCTAATCACCCATAGTGCAGACTTTCTGGTTGGTTACAGGGAAAAGTTCGAGCGCAGTGGCTCACATCATAGGCTGCCTACTCCTTCTCCTTCAAGGAGTGTCTGTCAGTCTTCCCAAGGTGAGGGTCCACATCCAGTAATTTTATCTATGGCCTAGGTGGGAGTCATCAAGCCTCGTGATCACAATATTAATGCTTTAGCATGCTGGTAAGCAGCAGTGCTAAGCAAAGTCCAGCCATATTGGCTAGGTGTTTTTCATTGGGAGAGTAATTAAGTTACCTTGCTTAGTGTTTTTGAAGGCGCTGGTACCAAATACTTCTCCTTTACTTTTGTCATCAATGCCTGGGCGATGAACTGCCATGAATATTCACCGTGATATCTTTGAGGGTCAGGAGAGCAGCAAGAGAAGCAGCAGCACAGGAGATGGGTAAGGCTGCCTCTTTGCTTGAGCAACAAAAACTGTTGTTAGGCAGCTGGGATGCCATAGTTAATTGTACCCTGGGATGGTAGTCTTCTTCTTTTCCACTAACCTCACAACGGGCCATTCTCAGGTCCATTGTAAGGATGCGCAATGACAAACAATGTCTATATAGTGGTGGTCATGGGGCTAGACACAGTGCTCAGAAAGCTCTAACCTGTCTATTGGTAAGCAGGACTCAAGCACTGACTGGTTGAGACATGGAACTGTCAATGATTTTACATGCAAGGGCCTCAGAGACCATGTGTCAAACACAGGCTAAATCCCATAATATGTCATGTTGGGATATAGTCAACTAATAGTAATTTTTATCTTGGGGACACAAGAGCTTTGTAGGGTAGAAAGAAAGAGCAACATCCAACAAATACAACAAAGTGCTGCTTATGCAAAAGTGCAAGCCCACCAGCAGTTGGCAATTTCATCCCAGGTGGTCTTTACCATATCATGGAGCCAGTTAGACAAAAAAACTTTGGTAAAGCTGACCAGGTGTCCCTGGTCATAGTTGGGCCATTCTGTTGATGATGACAATTGTTTCGGTTGTTTTCTATTCACCCCTTTGATGACAGAGGGCTACTTGTCTTATAGTTCAGAGAATTGCCAAACACATAACAACAGAAGCAGGGCAGATGAGATTAACAGCAGTTTAATAATGACATATACTCACTGCCCCAGGGAGGAGGGCATAGCATGCTGTGCAGGGTTACAGTGGGGGTTGCACTTAGGAAGAGTGAAAAAGCATGGGCTATGGGAGGCAGGCTTTGTATAATAGCATCAAGATTGTGACATGATCCTTAGTACCTTCAGGAAAATGTGATTGTCATGTTTGAATAGTTACACAAGCTGTCAGTGAACTGAAACTGACTATTCAGAGATAAGTAGAAACTGTACCTGGTCCATTTGATAAGGAGGGTTGTTTAGCTTGGAGGCCTTAATTGTGGGAGAAGAGTTGGGAGAGGAAGTTGCATTTGAGTCACTTGAAGCTGTCCAAGTTTCACCAGATGTCAAGGCAGCACATAATATCAGGCCTCAGTGTTAGGCCTTATACTACGTGGTGTAAGCAACCAAAGTTGGCAATGGAAAGAGAAAAGGTGAACTAAGGAACTGTGAAAGGAGACTATTGACCTGAGAATTGACTTGGTGGGCAGTTAAAGGCCTGTGCTCAACAATACTCTTGTGGGTATTAACTAAACTTCATTTGTCCTATCCAGGCAGGCATTTGGGCTGGTTGTGGAGTTAGATACAACTGTCCTCCTTTCGCTGGACCAACTGTGGGCATTAAATTAAGTGGGCTCAGAAATACATCATTCAGTCATGAAATTGACATTGATAGCCCAGCACCTAATCTAATAGGGACACTGAATTAAATGAATTGGTCTTTTAAGGAATTAAGTTTCGGTACCCACTCATTTGGGTACCACTTTTTTTTGCAACTTGCTCTCCCTGGCATAATGTCCATAATCGGTAACCCATATCTAAATTGAATAAGGGGTAAGTGGAGTTCATCATATCTACCAGCTTTAGATATGAGTTACTCTTTAGCTATGAGTTACTCTTTAGATATGAGTTACTCTGTAATATTAAAGCTGGTAGATATGATTAACTCCACTTACTCCTTATTCCATGTTACAGTCCCATCTCTTTTCTCCTCTGAGCAGTCTCTCTGGGCCTCCTGAAGTCACAATTAGCTAAATTTAGGAGCCAATTTGGGCTGATGTGTTAATAAGAAAAGGCAATAGGTCCTATCTCCCTTCCCAAAGGGCATATGTGCATGTAAATGGTGCTTGGAAGAGCACTTTCTTTAACTCTGCTAATTAGATAAAAAATGAGTTCTACTACTCAGTGGTTAAATACCCAGACTACGGTCTTAAGCTATTGGATTCAGATCTGGATCTATAATTGCTCTTATGACCTTAGACACACTACTTACTCCTTTGTGTGCTCTGGTTTCCACATATGCTAAGTGAGAGTAATAATAGCTAACATTTATTAAGCACTTAGTATGTGCAGAGGCTATACATGTATAATCTTGTTTAATCCTCGTAACACTTCTATGAGATAGGTATCCTTATTTTCACATATGAGAAAACTATTATTATTTTATCTATTCTCAAGATCTTAGAATAATTTTACCTAGCATTTATTTATTTTTTCTTTTTCCCAGATCTTGGAGATTTATTTATTTATTTATTTACTTACTTACTTACTTTTGTTTTAGGTTCAGGGGTACATGTGAAGGTTTGTTATATAGATAAACTCATGTCATGGGGGTTTGGTGTACAGATTATTTCATCACCCAAGTATTAAGCCTAGTACCCAATAGTTATTTTTTCTAATTCTCTCCATCCTCTCACCCTCTACCCTCAAGTAGACCTCAGTGTCTTTTGTTCCCTTCTTTGTGTTCATGAGTTCTCATCATTTAGCTCTCACTTATAAGCGAGAACCTGTGATATTTGGTTTTCTGTTCCTGTGTTAGTTTGTTAAGGATAATAGCCTCTAACGCCATCCATGTTCCTTCAAAATCCACTAAGTAGCATTTATTAAACACTTATTATGTTCTAACAATTATGCTAAGTGCTTTATACACATCTTCTCATTTAATCTTCATAACTGCTGAATACATTTTCTGAATTATATAACAAGTGAA
The DNA here is from genome assembly GCF_000001405.40 of Homo sapiens. NCBI lineage: Eukaryota > Metazoa > Chordata > Mammalia > Primates > Hominidae > Homo > Homo sapiens. The sequence continues at coordinate 125,406,639 of NC_000023.11, forward strand.
TTATTCTAGTCTCAGTTTCTCCATTAGCAGATCAGGGATAATAGTAGTACTCACCTTATAAAGTTGGGATAGAAATTTTACAACCTCAAAAAGCTGTTGTGAAGGTAAAATGAGGTAATATGGGTAAAGTATAGCTTAAGCACATAGTATGTGCTGCATAAATAGTAGTTACTATTTTAATTCTATGCTTTACTTTCTCTGGGCATCTTAGTTCAGGTTGCTGTAGCAGAATAGCATATATTGGGGGGCTTATAAACAACAAACATTTATTTTTCACAGTTCTGGAGGCTGGGAAGACCAAGATAAAGACACTAGCAAATTTGGTGTCTGATGAGGGCCCATGTCCTCATCCATTGCTATTTTCTGACTGTAACCTTACATAAGAAAGAGCAAGGGAACTCTTTTGCACCTTTTTAATAAGGGCACTAATCCCACACATAAGGGCTCCACCCTCATGGCCTAATCACTTCCCAAAGGTGCCATCTCCTAACACCATTGCCTTGGGGTTTAAGATTTCAACATATGAATTTTGAGGGGACACAAACATTCAGAATGTAGCATTGTGTGCAAACTGAATGTGACAATGATTACTTACCTCCACTTCTTGCACAGGACATTTTATTTTTCCACTGCCTACCTCTGTACAGACAAGCATTCCTCTGGAATGCTTATTAATCTGAAAGAGGGGCCACACCTCACAACATCCACATGAACCCTTCACTTGTACAGTAGCTGCTGCATTTTCAGTAATGGATGCAATTTTTATTTAGTAGTAAACTTTATATAAAATAACTGAAGGTAAACATCTTCTGAGTATTCTAAGAACGAGTTATGGCCCTAGGACAATGTTGATGCAAACATTTATTGGACCTACTGTAAGATATGACTCATGGAGTCAAATATGCTTGCTGTGTGTCAGATACCACAGTAAGATGTAGGACATAATAAGATGTATTTCTCTTCTATTCCTTTCACCCATCCTTTGAACTAGGTATTCACTTTCTACTTTGCAGAGCATAAAATGTAGACTTAGCTAGATTAAGTCACTTGCCTGACATCATAAAGTTTGTAAGTGGCTAGTAATTATATCAGACTCCAAAAGCTGAAGTGACCACTTTTCTTTCCTGTCCTTCCAGTCTTTACGTGATTTAAATCTACTTTCCTATATATAGCACGTGCCAGTATAAACTCATAAATAAAATAAAACTTTTATCTTCTTTACAAAATAAAGGTATTAAAAAAGTTTCATTCTCAAACATTGACAGAGAATACTGTCAGGATTCATTTTCAGGACTATGAATTATGTATCACAAAATAACAGGTTTTTGTTGTTATTCTATAATATTAAGATTTAATTTATTATGTCTTAAAGAGTCTTCTAAGTGGATCCTTAGGCTTATGAAATAATCTTTGAAAAGATAGTTTTATGTTTAAATATGTTTGGAAAATTCTTCATACTATATTCCTTATTGAAGTTTAATAGTATATATTAACGTTTTAAAATATTTAAGAAATCTTTCAGTAAAAGAATATGTTTTACTGTATGTGATTTGAAATATACTTAGACATGGAAACATTTTTTTCACATAATACCTTTAATATCCCAAAGAATCTGTGTTGTGTATAACATATTTTGGAAAGGATTTACCTAATGTCATAGCAACAGTAAGGTATTTCTTGGGAAGAAAGAAGACTGATGCAGAAAATAACTATAGGCTGTGATTCCTATAGGGAGATTTTGATTGGGAATAAGTTGAGCATATACTGTTTTCCTAATGTAGCTGTGCTCTCTTTACTGGCACCAATTTCTCCTAGTATGAAGAGGAATAATTATAAGTTATCTTCCATTGTGGCTAGAGAACATATTTTGTATAATTTTAATTCTTTTAAATTCATTGGATTGTGTTTTATTGTCTCACATATGATCTATCTGGGAGAATGCTCCTTGTGTACTTGAGAAGAATGTGTATTCTGCTGTTTTTGGGTGAAATGTTCTATAGATATCTGTTAAGTATGATTAGTTTTAGTGTTGTTCAAATATTTTATTTCCTTGTTGATCTTCTTTCTAGTTATTCTACCCATTATTAAAAGTGAGGTATTTAAATCTCCAACTAGTTTTCTCTCATTCTCCCTTCAATTACATTAAGTTTTGCTTCATCTATTTTGGACCCTGTTGTTTGGTGCATATGTGTTTATAATTTTTATATCTTCTTGATAGAGTAACCCTTTTATCATGATAAAATATCCTTCTTTATCTCTATTAACAAGTTGTATCTTAAAATAGATTTTGTCCGTTATTAGTATAGCAGCTCCAACTATTTTCTGGTTACTGTTTTCCTAGTACATTGTTTTCCATCCTTTTACCTTCAAACTATTTGTCTTTGAATTTAAATTGTATATCTTGTAGACAGCAAATAGTTAAATAGTGTATTTTTTAAAAAATCCTTTCTGCCAAGCCCTACCTTTTAATTAGACTGTTTAATCCATTTTCATTTAATGCAATTACTGATAAATGAGGATTTATGTCTACCATTTAACTACTTTTAAAAATTTTATGTCTTTTCCCCCTTTCTCCATTTCTGCCTTCTTTTGTGTTAAATAGGTATTTTCTGTTGTACTGTTTTAAATTTCCTTTTCATTTCTTTTGCTATATGTATTTTTTTACTTAATTTTTTTAATTTTGAAAATTTTCTTTAAAATCAGCAAATTAGTGTATTCCTACCCTGTTCCCCACTGCTACTCTGATTTGATTTTCTATTCCCTCCCATGCCTGCTACACCTATGTCACAGAGAGAAAGACAAAATTTCTTCATTCCAGGTTGGGCCACTACAAAACTTGCAACATTTCCCACAACTTGGTGTGCAATTGGAGAAGTGTTGATATTAAGTCCAATGTCTGGGCTTCCTCAATGACAGTTTTTATTGAATGCTTTTTTTCATGTTCCTGGGTCATATTTTCTTGTTTCTTTGCATGTCATTTTTTAAAATAAAAAACTAGAAATTTGAAATATGATAATGTAGCAGCTCTCGATATCAGATTTTCCACAGTTCCCAGGTTTTTTACTTTTTGCTGTTAGTCATTGTTCTTTGCTTGCTTAGCTACTTTTATGAACTAATTTTCAAAAGTCTACATCTTGTTGTATGTGGCCACTAAAGTCTCTGCCCAGTTAGATTAGTGGTCAGTTATTGTACCAAGAGCTTCTTAAATGCCTGCAAAATATACGTTTCTCAGTCTTTGCCAAGGAGCTCTGTATGTTTGTTGAGTCATGCCTTCAACACTCAGCTAAGCAGTTGAAAAGTCTGCTTTAATCTCCATTTCCTACTTGTACAGAGCCTCAACATCAACCAGTAGTGAGAAATAGGGTCTTTTCAGATGTTTCTTGAGTATGCACACAGCCCTGAGCATGCACACAACCCTACGCACATGGACTTCTAGAGTCTCAGAAACGTGTCATAACTTTTCAAAGTTCCTATGCACATCTCATTCAAAAGATTTTTCTTTAAACCTTTTTGGATAATCTATTATTTACCCCAACCGTTATCCTCTGTTCTTGACAACCCCAATGTTAAACAATTTCTGTAATTGTTTTTGACCAAGCCACCTAAGGAAATTGATTTCATATTTTGTAAGCTCCTAAAAGGAAGACATCTTGTGAGTAGGATCTTTGGAAGATTAAACAACAGGTAGAATAATAATAAGTCTCTTGGAATGGGGCTTAAAATGATCTCCAGTTCCATGTACCTCTTCCAGTGCCTGCCAAGCTGCTGGGTTTTACTATGATTGTGAGATGGCAGTTTTCAATAGTAGTGCTGATCTGGGAAGGGGCAGATTAGACTAGAGTAAGTTAAAATACCATGAAACTTGCTGTTCTTACTGTTTTATTGAATATATATGACAAGAATTGCTATAAGCTGTTGGTAAATTCCCAGAGTTGTGAAAAAGTTGTTTTGACAACATTTTGTCGGTGTTCTCATTTCTTTATGGAGGTGATTTCATTGGAGGTTTGTGCACTGTAATTTTCACTAATATCACCAGACTATATGATCTTTACCTTTTAGACCTGTTAGTATATGCAACTGAGACAACTGGCAATACATTGCATAAGAATGTTTTGTGGCCTTTTAAATTTGCCTAATATTCTTTTGACATGAGTATGAAATGCAGAATTGTCATTGGGCTGTTTGTTAACTCTAGAATAAATAATCATTTACTTTAGCTTTGCAAGTAAGTATCAAACACTGAAGGTCTATAAATTAAAATTAAAGTGACAGAATTTTCATTACCATAATGTCTTACCATAAGGCTAGGTTCTCAAGACTAGATAGCTACATGTGCAGAATTTAGATTTCTAAGGCTTAAAACATGAAATCACAAGAACTAATTTGGAGAACATTATGCTGTAATTACCTCAAGATGATTTGTTAAGAGTTAGCAATGTCCACATATAGTATCTATAAATGAACAGATAATTGGTTGGTTAAAATATGTTCTATATTTGTAATCTATAAAAAGGAAGGAGAAGTTTTTTTTACATTACAATACAAAAAGATCTTGGCATCACTCCTACACTGGTAATTTTATTATAAATTCAACTATGATTTTATGAATTATTAGAAAAAGTAAATAAAATAAAATTCCATAGTTGGATGATATTATTGAAAATATTGAATTTGAATGTGAATAAGAAAAACATTTTTAGAGATGTTAATAATTGCTTGTAGGAACTAATGGATCAGATCTGTCTCATAGAAAGTAAAACAAAAATATAGGTAGTCAGACGTCTGCAATTTACTTAGAGTAAATAATCGGACTTGACACCTCATCTTATTTGACTGCACAGTAAAACAAAGGCATTGTTCTCCAGTGAAACCGATACTTAAGCTATATATACAATTTTTTAAAAGATTAGACCATTATTGTTTACCAACAGCAATGTCATTAAAAATGAATACACCCTTAAAAGAGAAGTGGCCATATTTCTTACCTAGCTGAAGACTTAAAGAAAAAAAAAGCTTACCATCAATATGTTTTTTCCTGTTGTAACACCACACATTGCTGTGTTACAAATAGGATTAAAGTATCCTGTATTGATTGCTTTTGTTTTTGAGACAAATGTTTAGTGAATGATATACAGGTTACCCATTCCTTCCATTATGCTCCTGGAATCAAATAAACTGAGTATATGAGTTATGAAAGTAAAACTATGTAAATAAAAATGAATAAATGCATGAGAGTTGTAGTAATTATTTATATGTCAAAATTGGAGTTTTAACAATATAAAGGAAAAAATTGCCTTTATTAGAGAAGTTTGTAGAGAAACATTCACATTCATTGTTAGATAATCAGTACTGTTAAGTATTGTGCAGTCTGTAAAAGTTTTTTTCCCCCCTGTGGGACAACAGTCTCCTTTCTAGATCCCTTCATCTCCCTGTTATCTATTTCTCCAGGGTTTTCAACTGGATTCCTCATTCTTCTTGATAGAGAAAAATAAATAGATGAATATTCTTACCTCTAAGACATTGGGAAATTTTAGTTCTCCCTTCCCAGGATGCTTGCATCTTAAGCAAATGGATATTTAACAGTGGGACTTCTGATATTCGTAGCCAACAAGCAGAGGAAAATGATTTTTTCAGGTGGTTTCTTTCCCAACCTCTTCAAATTTCAGTGCACAGTATCACCTCCTACCCCAATTTATAAGAATCTACAGGTTTCAAAGAGAATACCTTTTACAAAAGATATATGGATATGGGCCCCAGGAAATTATGGAATGCATGTTGAACTAAAATAGACAAATTTGTGGGAAGTCATTTCTAAAGTGTGATAATTGTACAATAAAATAACAGGTGTTCTAACAACATGAGCAGAGTTTATCCCTAGAATATTCTGGAAGAGATTTCAAAAGCAATTAATAGGTTGTGACATTTGTCAAATAATTTTCCAAAACAGTAAGGAGAAAAAGAATATTAAAAATAATCACTTGCCTTTAGGACTAGTATTAAACATTCTATAGTTTTAGCTTTTAAGCAAAGAAATAAAGATAATATTTATGATTTTACGATAAATGTGATTAACCCAAAACATTGTAATAAAAGTGTGAATACTATATCTACTTAAACAGTTGACAGTGTCTTTTGCTTAGAAGAACGTTTTGTAAACTCTGGTCCATATACCTGAATATTTCCCAAAAAGTAGTTTTTCCAAGTTCTGTCAGACAACTAATTCAAATTGCCACAATTTATATATTTTTACACTTTCTACTTTGCTAAAGTTAGATTTATTAAAGAATAATTTACTTGTAGTAAAAGTCTACCCATTTAAATGTATAATTCAATTTGTTTGAGTAACAGGTAGCCATGCTTGTTGGTCACGTAACCATGATCATTATGTAACCACCACTGAAATTAAGTTATAGAATATTTTCATCACTGTAAAAGTTTTCTTCATTCCCCTTTGTAAGTAATAACCTCACCTACTTGAGCCCCTGATCTGATTTCTGTCTCTATAATTTTACATCTTCAGAAGGTAATATTAATGGAATGATACCTTGTGTAGATTTTTGTTTCTGGCTTCTTTCTTTTAGCATAATGCTTTTGAGATTCATCATTGTCATTGCATGAATCAGTAGTTTGTTTGATTTTTTTAAGTAGTATCCTGTTTTATTAATGCATCACAGTTTGTGCATTCATTCAACAACTGAACAACACTGGGTTATTCCCAGTTCGTAAGGGGCTATGTAGAGATTCAAACATAAGTCTTTGTGTGGGCATATGGATAAATACACAGGACAAGGATTGCTGGGCAGTATGGTGAATATGACTATGTTTTACTTTGTAAGAATATTCCAAGCTCTTTTCCATAATATTTTTACTATCACATATTTCCACCAACAATACATGAGAGTTTCAATTGCTCTACATTCTCACCAGCACTTGGTATTGTCAGTTTTTATAAAAATAAGCCAATATGTTCTTAAGGTTTATATTTGTATTTAACCAATGACTAATGATGGTGAGCATGTTTTCATATGGATTTTGGCCATCTATATCTTTTCTTTGATGAAGTGTCTATTCAAATATTTTGCCTATTTTTATTGGGCTTTTTGAAAATCATTGAAGTGCACAAATTAGTAATCTATTTCAGATCTAAGTCCTTTATTAGAAATGTATTTCCAAGTATTTTATCCCAGTATGTGGCTTGTCATTTTGCTTTTTATTGTCATCTTTCAAAGAGTAGACGTTTAAAATTCAACAAATCACACACTGGGGCCTGTTGTGGGGTGAGGGGAGGGGGAAGGACAGCATTAGGAGATATACCTAATGTTAAATGAAGAGTTAATGGGTGCAGCACACCAACATGGCACATGTATACACATGTAACAAACCTGCACATTGTGCACATGTACCCTAAAACTTAAAGTATAATACAAAAATGAAAAAAGAAAAATAAAGTCATATGTCCATAAAAAGACTTGTCAAAAAACGACCATAGGAGGCTTATTTGTAATAACCTAATACTGTAAATATTCCAGGTGTACATCAAGAGTAGGATAGATAAACCCACCGTGTTAATCTATATAATGGGATATGATCCAACAATAAAAAAAATAATAAAATAAAATAAAATAAAATTCAACAAATATTTCTTCCAGCAATTGCACTTTTTGTGACTTTTCTGAGAGATCATTACCTAACTTAAGGTCACAAAGATTTTCTTCTATGTTTACACTAAAGGTTTTGTAGTTTTTGGTCTCATATTTAGGTTTATGAACCATATTGAGTTAAATTTCATAGATGGTACAAAGTAAGGAAGTGAGGGCTGAGGTTTTTTTTTCAGTATGAATATTCAGTTCTTCTAGAATAATTTGTTCATAAGCCTATCCATTCTTCATTGAATATTTTGTAAACTTTATTGATAAGCAATTGACCATATATATGTGAGTCTATTTCTGGACTTTATTCCATTGATTTATATGTCTGTCCTCATGCCAACACCACACTATCTTGATTACTATACTTTCATAGGAAGTTTTAAATCAGGTACTATGAGCCCTCCACTTTGTTTTTCTTTATAATTTCTGTTTTGGCTATTCTAGGTTATTTACTTTTCCATATAAATTTTAGAATCAGCTTTTTCATTTCTACCAAAAAAGCCTACTGAGATTTTGTTAGGGATTACATTAGATATATACATCATTTGGGGAAGAGTTGACATCTTAAACATATTGAGTTTTAAGATATACTAACATGATATATATCTCCATTTATATAGATCTTTAATTCTCTCACCTATGTTTCCTTAGTTTTCAGCATGAAAATATTTCACATATTTCTTACACATATCTTTCCTAAAGTATAACATAAGTTTATTCCATAAAATATGACGTTTTTCATGTTTTTAATGTTATTGTAAAAGGTACTTTTTATTTCATAAATTTGTATTATTTATTTTCCATTGTTTGTGTATAGAAATACAGTACTTTTTGTGTATTGATCCTGTGTCTTGTGATCTTACTATTATATTATTTTTAGTTTCTTTAATGTATATCTTTGATCTTTTCTATTTATGCAACTATGTCATCTTCAAATAAAGAGATTCTTATTTTTTTCTTCTCAATCTACATGTGTTTCATTTTTTTTTCCTTGCCTATTGCAGTGGCCAGGTCTCATAGTATAATATTGAATAAGAGTGGTGAGAGTGTACATCCTTGACTTGTTCCCACATTTATGGGGAAATCATTAAGCCTTTCACTATGAAGGATGATTTCAGCTGTTAAGTAATATCTCCTGGCAAATATGTGAAACTATCATAGCTCTCATCCAAGGTTGGCCAGAGTGTAAAATTGTGCAAACCTTTGGAAAAGCATCTGGCAGTTTCTTAGAAAGCCAAACTTATAGTCCAGCAATCCTACTCCTAGATATTTACATAAGAGAAATGAAAGAAGTATGTCCACGGAAAGACTTAGTTAAGAATATTCATATACACTTTATTCATAATGCCTCCAACTAAATTAGAAACACTCCAAATGTCTGCCAATAAGTGAATGGATAAACAAACTATGGCATAGTTATATAATGGAATGCTACTCAAAAACAGAAAGAATGAACTTCTCATATAAGCAACAACATGGATGATTCCATGTACATAAGATTTGAGAACAAGCAATCTAATAGCTGTCTTTTTTTGGTTTTGGGGTTAAGAACTGAGTGGTAAGGGTTATTAGGAAATGTTCCAATATGTTTTTATAGGAGTTTGAGTTATGCAACTGTATGCATTTTTCAAAACTCAGAAAATATGCATTTAATATTTGTGCATGTCATTGCTTGTAAATTTTACCTTGTAGGAAATAAAATACAGTTGATGCTTGTGCAACCTGCATTAGAACTGTGGAGATCCACTTATACATGGATTTTTTCCCACCTCTGCCACCCCTGAGACAACAAGACCAACTTCTCCTTTTCCTCCTCCTTCTCTTCCTTATGTGAAGAAGATGAGGATGAGGACCTTTATAATGATCCACTTCCACTTAAAGAATAGTAAATATATTTTCTCTCTTTTATGATTTTCTTAATAACATATTGATGTTTTAAATTTAACTTTAAATATGTAAATACATAAGATGGATTTATGATTGATTAGAAGGATAGATATGTAATACAACAAGCATAATTAAATGTTAGTGGTAAAATCTGAGTGGATGATATACAGGTGTTCATTGCACAATTTTTTCAACCCTTTCGTATGTTGGAAAATTTACATAATAAAACATTTTACAAACCAAGAAAAATAGGTATTTAAAACAACATAGAAAATATCTTGCCAGAATTTAAATTGTGGCACATCTGCACCTGGAATCCTGTGTTATGTTCTGATTACTCCATATTCATTAGGATATTTGGAACAAGAAAAGGTCAGTGAGAGTGACGCTAAAATGGTGTGAATTGATGTGGACTGCCATATGAATAAATAGCAAGCCAAGACTATCCAACTTGGAGCAGCAAAAGAAGAAATGATACGTAGTTCACAGCTATAAAATAATGAACATATGGACAAAGTTAATACGGATCTTGATGTGCTAACATATTTTAACAAATAAATTTGGAAAAATATAATTAATCCACAGATAATAGGTAAATACATGTAATACACCAAGAATTAACACTGTAAGAAATAGTGTACTCAAACACAGTTCAGATAAATCTATGAATGATAGAGCTAGATGAGGCTACTTTAAAAAGATGGGAGATATATATATATAGACTTAAACTTGAAATTTGACATCAGGTGAGACAACAGAATGCAAACAGTGCTGATTTATTTGGTTGGTTGGGTTTTTTTTAATCTACAGTTTTCACTGACATCTCTTCAGTGCCTTGAAAAATAATGAGCATATAGTAAATGCTAATTTTGTTGAATGAATGGATATATTCTTAGTAATAGAATATTTAGAAGTATAAACCAGGGTTACAACCTAGTATAGCAAATTCTATTTCAGTATATATTTTTTTCTTTTGGGTCATCAGGTAAATTTCTGGGCACAGACAGAGAGAAATCATAGATTACCACTGTGGTATTATTTGAAGAGTGCCAGAAGAAACACATCTACAAAGAAGTCTCAGCTGCAGAACTTATATTAAAATTTATATCACAACAAATCCTTTTGTTTAATATTCTGAAGGTTGTTTTAAAAATATACTCTTTGAAAAAAGTAGTTTTACATGTACTATCTCATTTAAACTTGATGACTTTACAAGCTAGATACTATTTTATAGATAATGTATATGATAGCACTTCAGATTAGTTACCAGATTGTCCTAGGGAAAGCACAATCCTCCCAAAATATAACTGAGAAAATCAAAGAGAGGGAGATAGATAGAAGAAAAATAGCCAGGATATTTGGAAATGCAGTGAAATAAATGCTCATTTGAAATAACTAAGTGAAAATTCCTGAATAGCTGGCTTTCAGAATGGGAGTATTTAAGTAAAAACAGGAGGAATACATTCATTAATACTTTTATAATCAGGTTTTTGTCTTCTAGCACTTTTCCTTGAACATAAAGACAGCTCAGATAATTTCATAAGTCTTTTCATCAATTTTTTTCTAGCAAATATGCATTCATATGGCTAAAATTCACAATATTTATAGATAAGTCAGATGAGGCACCTTATTTACAATAATTGAAGGTATACTATATGTATAAACAACATTTCCTGGTAAACCTAATGATAGCTGGAGAAAGACCAAATTGTAATAAGACAGTGCAGAAAATTTCCTATGGTCACTAAAACTATGTGTGAGTAATTACAGAAATTTAAAAAAATTACAGAAGAAAACAAAACAAAACACCTGAGTGTGCTTAACAACAACAAAAACCCCAGTACTTAAGAAGATTATTGTGTCAGAACAGTTCTCCCCACTTAAAAAAAAATATTCTCATGAAAATCATAAGAATCTTCAACCTTCCTATATGGTATTTGTAATTTAAAAATGAGTTAAATGTCAAGTTAAAAAAAGAAAAAATTGCAGACTTCCACTTATGGGAAGGTGGAGTAGACATACTTTTCTCTATTCTTCCTGCTAAGACAAATAAAAACTAAATATTATATATAAAACAAACAAGAGGACTCTGAAAGGTGACAAGAAGACAGTTCAGCTAAGGAATTCAGAACCCAAGGAATGACATAATGGCAAGTTCACTGGATTTTCTTATTTCCTTATATATCTCACACTAGGATCAGTAGAAGCTAGCAAAGAAGAAATATCAAAGGACACAGACAAAAAGAGTCACATCAAAAGTTGACTCTCTCCAGTCAAAGGATCAGGAAAGGGACAATCTAACAAGACTAAACTTTTAGGAAAAAAAAAAAAACACACACACACACACAAAACTTCTTTATTCTATCCAAATTCCACAGGAAAAACTGGTGTCCTACTCCTACCAAAACCAGCAGAGGCTGGGTGGGGGCCTAAACTTCTACCCTCACAAGGCTATAATGAGGCACCAGAACACCCCTGCTGGGGTAATTGATGTCAGAGAAGGTCAAATAGCAAGCTAGGACTTTCCTTACTTTTGGGAACTAATAGGCTTCTCTCCATGGTGTCAGTGGCAACCATGTGAGAAAGCTGACTTCTAAACCCACCAAAAGTAACCAGGTATCATAGCCTCTTTCCATTGTCATGGTATCAGTAAAGGTCTAGGACATTTGCCATTGGTTAGCAGTAATGAGGTCACCTCTGCTGTTCAGTGGAGGTCATACGAGGCTAGAACTCTCACCTCTGCTCAGCAGAATGAGGAGCCTTAAATGTCAATGGAAGCCAAGGAAGGAACTTGGACTTCTACCTCCAGTTGGCAATAATGAGGTGGTGGCCTTCATGCCCCCTGATGGAGCAATATCACCAGAAGCCAATTAAAACTAAAGGTCTAAAAAGGATATGTATCAAAATGAGATACATTAAAATAACCAAATTACATCAAAAAATTATTTGTCATATAAATAATCTGAAAGATAACAATATTAATGAAAAAGTCAATCAAGTGATATGAACATCAAGATAACAGAGATGTTAGAAATATCTGACAAAGATTTCAAGCAACAGTCATCAAAAAGCTTCAGTGAGTAATTATAAATGTTCCTGAAATCAATGGAAAAATAAAAAGCCTTATCAAAGCAATAGAAAGTCTCTGAAAAGAAAGAGAAGAAATAAAGAAGCAAATAGAGAATTTAGAACTAAAAATACAGTAACTGAAATTAAAAGCTCAGTGGATGGATTCAATAGCAGAATAAAAGGAATTGGAGAAAGAAGCAGTGAAATGGGACACAGAACAGTAGAAATTACCCAATCTGAACAATAAAGAGAAACAAATTACACACATGAAAAAACAGAACCTTAGGTACCTGAGGAACTATAACAAAGGGTCTAAAATTCACATAATTTGAGTTTTGAAAGGAGATGAGGAAGAGAGTAGGGCTAAAAAAGGACTTGAAGAAATAGTGCCTGAAAATTTCTCAAATTTGACAAAAGACAGAAACCTCCATATTTGAAAAGGCAAGTGAATTTCAAAGAGAATAAAACTCAGGAAATCCACCCCAAGGCACATCATAATTGAACTGAAATGAATAAAAACAGCCTGTAATGGAAATGCAATTTGAACAACATGGAGAAACCATGGAGGCCAAAAAGAATTGCTAAAACATTTTTTCAGATGCCAAAAGAAAAGCACTGTAACTACCGAATCTTATACCCCCCAAAATATTCTTCAAGATGAAAACATTTTCACGTGTGTGTGTGTGTGTGTGTGTGTAATTTAATACCTGGGGAAACCATTAAAAAGTTTTACAAAAAGACACTCAAAAACACTATAGATAAGTAAAATGGAATGCTAAAAAATATTCAAGTAACTCATAAGGAAGGCAAGAACAAATAAAACAATATAGGAACAGAGAGAATGAAGAGGACACAAAAGTATAATGGCAGCTTATAATCAGGTCATGTTAAAAATATGTTTCGCCAGTCTCTGCCTTTTAATTGGTGTGTTTAGGCCACTTAATGAAGTTCACACATTAGAAAAATGGAAAGGTTTCAAATCAATAATCTGAGCTCCTACCTCAAGAACCCAAAAACAGCAGAGCAAACCAAACCCACAGAAAGCAGAAGGAAAGAAATAATAAAGATAAGCAGAAATCAATAAAACAAAACAGAAAAACAACACAGTAAATTAATAAAACAAAAGCTGTTTTTTTGGGAAAAAATCATTAAGATTGACAAATTTATATTAAGTTTTTTACAAAACTAAACCTAAGATCCAGCAATCATGCTCCTTGGTATTTATCCAAAAGAGTTGAAAACTTACATTCACACAAAACACATATACACAGATGTTTATAGCAGCCTTATTCATAATAACCAAAACTTGGAAGCAACTAAGATGTGTTTAGGTAGATGAATGGATAAACTGTGGGACATTCAGACAATGGAAAATCAGTCACTGCTAAAAGGAAATGAGCTATGGAATCATGAGAAGACATAGAGAAAACTTAAACACATATTACTAAGTGAAAGAAGCCAATCTTAAGAGGCTACATGCTGTATGATTCCAACTATATAACATTCTGGATAAAGCAAAACTATGGAGACAGTAAAAAGATCAGAGGTTGCCAAGGGTTAGGGAGGAGGGAAGAATGAATTGGCCAAGTGCAGAGTATTCTTTATAGCCGTGAAACTACTGTGTGATACTACAATGGTGGATACAGGTCATTATACATTTGTCCAAACCAATGAAATGTACAACATCAACGGTGAACTCTAACGTAAACTACTGATGTTGTGTGATAATGTGACAATGTGGGTCCATGGACTGTAACAAACATACCACTCTGCTGCGGGATGTTGATAGTGGGGAGGCTATGCATGTGGTGGGATCAGATAGCATATGGGAAATCTCTGTACTTTCTACTCAATATTGCTGTGTATCTACAACTTCTGTAGAAATAAAGTATATTAAAAACAAATTATCACAACAATCTGACCCTTTTTCTTTGAGATTAGGAATATTTGCAGTGAGTAACTTTCTCCTTTTAAGAATGTTTACTTAATGCAGAGTTCTGATCTAAAATCTTACCTTAATAAGATTATTTCTAACTTTATCTTATTTTGCTGCTAGACGTATATAAGCACAGAGATACAACATAACTAATAATCAATGACAAAATCCTTCACTCATGCAAATTATTTCACTGGTAACTGAAAATTGGCCTTGGCCATCTCCTTCTAGTCTTCTTTCAGCCATTGCTTACAATTTCTCTGCTGCCTACTACATTTCTGGGCATTAGCTCTCTTGCCCTATCTAAACAATGCCTCAACTGCTGAAAAGACAGCCTTACAGGATACTGTTTTACATTTGGACTTAATGAGGCCTTTATTTGCCTAATACTTATATACTTGGTCCCAGACTCAGAGTAGTTATAACGTTAGTTATAACTTGTACCATGACCAGTCTTTTTATTTCTTCCATTTTTTCTATAATTTTTGTTATTAGTTATAAAGACCACTAAAATAACTATATTGTTTATATTTTAAATCGATTTTTAGCACCCGTGAAGAGAATATTGTATTCTCCATGTGATTGTCACCTTAAAAATAATGAATGCTCTTTCTTTAATTCTGTGTAGATTTTAGAGTTTTTAATAAGGAGATATCAGTATCTCTTACTGAATATGCCTATGCTCCCTGTTTTTATTGGCTATATAATTTGGATCCAAGTAAAAGTGACCTCCTTGCCCTGCTGGTCAGAAAATCTGTGCAATACGGAAAAGTTATTATATTTCTTCTATGATTTGCAATTATTTCAGAATAGCACCCATCATTTTCTTTTTGCAGGAATGGTTCTACTACCTCCTATGTAATGTTAATATTTTAGGCAACTGTATCAAAGCAGACATTTTGAGAACATTAAAAAATGAAAACAAATTATTTACGTTCTCAAGAAAATCTAAGTCAAATTTAAAGACTTCAAAAGATTCTCTGGAATTAATAAATACTAGATAACATGAGGCAAAATTTCATTCTTAAGCAAGCACATATTAATTAAGGAACATATTTTTAAAGAAGATATTAAATCCAGTGCAGGAAAATAGAGGCCATTCTGCAAAACTGAAACAAAAATAGGAATAATGTATTTTCTAAACAGACTTACAAAGTAAGTCCTTATCAAATAAAGCAGGGGGAAATGGCAACATGATTTAAAAGAGAATACATTTTTTTAAAAAGTACAATATTCTGATTTTATCTAATTTTACAGCAATTTTATGGGAAACAATTGTCAGATGTTTAATTGAAACAGAATGATAAAGGAACCCAAGTAATTCATTTGTTCATTTTTATTGTAACATGTAACTTTAGTAAAAGTATAACAGAACAAAACCCACCTGTCAGATGAATGTAGACAATAGTGATATACAATTACACTCATATTTATGAAAGAAACCAATAAAAGTTGCTACAAAAGTAAAACTTGTAACAGTGCTTGGAGCAGTCAAAATGCTCTGAAAAAATTTCAGAAAAAAAATGGTTATAGGTAAAAACTTAAGGGGAAAACACAAATTTGTTCATCAAAGGACACTATCAAGAAAGTGAAAAGACAATCTACTGAATGTGAGAAAATATTTGCTAATAAAATCTAGTATCCAGTATATATAAGAAACTCTAACAACTCAACAATGAAAAGACAGACAACAACCTAGTTAAAAACAGTCAAGAAGTTTGATTGGATGTTTCTGTAAAGAAAACAAATAAACAGCCAACACGCACATATAAAGAAGCCCATAGGAATTAGTCATTAAGGAAATGCAAATTAAATCACTGGATAATCCTTTATACCCAATAGATGGCTACAGTAATAATAATTAAAACAAAAGAGCAAATATTGCCAAGGATGTGGAGTAATTGGAACCCTCGTATATTGCTGGTGGAAATATAAAATGGTGCAACCACTGTGGAAAACAGCATGAGGGTTCCTCGTTAAGTTAATTACCATATGACTCAGCAATTTCACTGTTAGGTATGCACTCAAGAGATTTCAAAACATATATCCCCACAAAAACCCGTATACATGCATGTTCTTAGCAGCATTATTCATGATAGCCAAAAAGTGAAAAGAATCCAAATGTTCATCAACTGATGAATGGACAAATATAATGTGGTATATCCATACAACTCATTAGAAAAAAGAATAAAATACTGGTATATGCTGCAACATGAATGAAACTTGAAAAGAGTATGCTAAGTGAACAAAGCCAAACATAAAGGGTCACATATTGTATGTTTCAATTTATAGGAAATATCCAGAATAGGTAAATCTATGGAGACAGAAAGTAAATTAGTGTTTGCAGAGGGCTGGGGGTAGGAATGAATGGAGAGTGACTCCTTAATGGATATAGGGTTTCTTTTTTGAGTAATGAAAACATTTTGGAACTAAGAGGTGGTTGCTGCACAACATTGAGAATGTACTAAATGCCACTGAATTGTACAGTTTAAAATGGTTAATGGTTAATTTTATGTTATGTGAATTGTACCTCAATAAAAACAATGAAAAATAAAAGTTTATAGGAAGTTCTTAAATCAGGAAGAAATGTAGTTTAGATTCACATTTTAGATAAATTTAATAATGCACACTGATTAGATACAAATAAAATAATGTTCTTCCATTATAGCAGGTTGATTAAGTAAGTGTAAGGAGCTTGAGTTCTGGATCTGTCATTATTGAGCTGTGTGATTTAAGATAAGTCAGTCATGTTCTTTCTGCTTTGATCATTCTACCTGTTAGCCCTGCAGAATTGTAAGGAGCAATTTATTCTCACTTACATGAGTGATTTTATGTATGTAGGGGAGGGTGGCATTGTGGTTACACTGGAAAGGAGAGTAATGTGAAGGGCGTCGGAAGATAATCTTACAAAATCAACTCAAAATTTGGAAGATATAGAAGGCAGTTTCTTCATGCATTATCAAAGGAGAAGGACAAAACACCATACGTCAACCTGTGTTTCTTTACACAGACAATTGGTGTGCTTGTTATTTGCTGCATATGGGATAAGAGAATATCAAAACTGGAAGAATCCTACAGTTTAGAGGATGGCAGAGAACTGATGCAAAGGAATACCCGAATTATTCTAATTATTCAGATCACCTAAGACTATATTTTGAGGACTTGTTGAGGGTTCCCTCAGAGATTACTTCTCCTGAATCCTTATTCTCACCACAAATTACTTTGAGAGTCAAATGTTAGAATATCCTTTCTCCCTTCTCTTTTCAATGGGGGTTTTAATCAATTTTCTCATTATTCTTTACTTTGACCTGGCTTACCCAGGAAGGTAAGAATTAAATCACCCCATAAAGAATTTATTTATTTACACATAAGCTCGGCTATAAAGTGGATCACTTATTTTCACCCAATCCCCTCCCTCCCTTTTGTGGAATAGTGATTGAAATTTTTAGTAAGTGTATATAAGCCCAGAGGCCATTTAGAGCACTGGGTGCATTTATGAATCAAAGTATAACTAAATAAACACCTCCTCCCTACTGTTTTGAATAGCTGCCATCTCATTTCCTATTCTAAACTTGTGGAGTGCTGTATTGTGCCTTCAAATAACTTCTGGGTCCACACCCAGAGGTGACTACATTTCAGTGGACAGTGACATGATTAAAGTGTATATTCAGGAGATGTGATCCTGTAATCATTTTTTTTTTTACATAGAATTCCCAATGAATTTAATGGGAAATGTGTGCATGAACTGATTGCAGATTTTGTCTCATTACATAGTCTGTAAAGTTATTTAGGATCTTTTGAGATGAATAGTAGTGTATAAATATAGCTACAATGTTTTTGGTTATAGTCTCTTTCAAGCAAATTGCAACATTGAACACTATGCAAAGATGGGCAATAAAATTTTGGTTAAATAATAAAAGTAGGAGTGAAAGATGAAAGATAATAAGAAAAAATAGAAAGGACAGGCTTGAGCTGCATTGTAAAAGAAGTAGAGATAGGTAGGGATATAATTGTACATGGTTGCTTACATTATCAGTGATACATTAGTTCTATTAGTTCTATAGGAATTTATTCTGATATAATTTCTAATGCCACATATTTATATTATTCAGATATATTGTATGAAAGGAGAAAAATATGCAATTTAATATAAATAGTGCCTTGAGCTACCTAGGCTAGTTGAAAAAAAATTTTTTTCTGCCTATATAGACTGTGGAGAAAAACAAATACTCAAGTTTTGTTAAGAAAGCTTCCACATCTATATCAGATTGAATTATACTTTCAAAGAAAACTGTAGATATGCAGGGGCATTTTCAAAGGATAAAATTCATTTAGACAAACCTGAAAACATATCATAAACTCTATGCCAGGTTGCTTTTGGTTTCTAGGGAAAACAAATTTATAATGGAGCAAATAAATCCTGTGATTGGAGCAGAATATAAACAAAGATACAAAACAAATGTGTAATAATGACTTTTTCAGAAGTAAAAACAAGACAAACAATACTTTAAAACAAAACCAACATGAAAGGAAAATCATTTTCCAAGAAAGCATTTTACAATTTTTAAAAAGTAATGTTTTTCCATTGTGTATATATGTTAAGTGAAATAAACCAGGCACAGGAAGACAAACATCACGTGTTCTCACTTATTTGTGGGATCTAAAAATCAGAACAATTGAACTCATGGACATAGAGAGTAGAAGAATAGTTACCAGAGGCTGGGAAGGATGGTGGGGGAATTGAAGGAAGATGGGGATGGTGAATGGGTTAAAAAAAAAAATGCATAGGAAGAATGAATAAGACCCATTATTTGGGCTTATGCCTGTAATTCCAGCACTTTGGGAAGCAGAGGTGGGAGGATCTTTTGAACTCAGGAGTTTGAGATCGGCCCGAGCAACATAGTGAGACCTTGTCTCTACACACAAAAATAATTCAAAAGACTTACTATTTGATAGCACCACAGGGTGACTGTAGTCAATAATAACTTAATTTTACATTTTAAAACCATTTAAACAGTGTAATTGGATTGCTTATAACTCAAAGGATAAATGCTTGAGGGGGTGGATATCCCATTCTTCATGATGTTTTTATTTCATATTGCATGACTGTATCAAAATGTCTCTGCTACCCCATAAATATATGCACCTACTATGTACCAACAAAATTTAAAAATATAAAATTTTAAAAAATAATGTTTTTCATTTCTCTAAAATGTGAACTGTATCTATCTAATTTTCCTCCAGCTAAAGAAATACAAACTATGAAAGTCACTGGTAAATTAACATAAAGTACTCAAATAACACACTTCTTTCCTTCTGAAATAATTACCTTTTCACTCACTATTATGAACTAATTTCATATACATTTTAGTTGCATGAATTATTATATACAGGAAAAAGATACAGTTTACATTTATTATTAACACAGTAGTATTTGAAATATTTAATTTTAGAAAGACATTATTGTGAGATGATGTTAAATTTTCTTATTGCAAATGATTTCACTATTGGAAAAGCAAGGAAATATTGAGTAATTATAGCTCTGTTGCAATTTACATTCCTTATCAAGGCAGTGGCTTTTGTTCAAATACAAACTCATTGGGAGTGGATTTGTTACTGACCATGTAACAGGTTCAAATAACATCTTTCTTTTTCCAAAGCTATAGAATATTTGCACTTCCACTTACAGCCTGATTTTCCACCTCTGTAAAATGGAGGTTGTATCAATATTTCCGACATTCATTTTAGACCTGGACCTATTCTCAAGAGAGGCCCTTTTAAATGTGCTGGTAAAAAATTAGTCTTATGGCAAATTACCATAAGGTAAAATCTTGCTGTGTTCTGACTACATGTATACTATAACCTTCATCAAATCAAGCGTGGGGAGAAAAAGAAACAAAAAATTAACTCAAAAAAGTGATGAGCAGTGAAGCACAGGTCTTTAACAGCCACTGTCAATGGATGGAGAATTCACTATGGATGGAGCAGTGAAAATTTCAGACTACTTAGAGTTCAGTAGAAGTACACACAAGGAGAAAGATAATATTTACTCTTACTTCATTTTGATACATGTCATTTCCTCTTGGTGACATGATACCCAATAAATATCATATGATGATGTGGATGAAAGATAAGAGAAATATTGCATTAGCTAATTAAATTACCTGCGGTGAAACATACAGCACACAGCCTGCTTAAGCTCTTTGGCAGTCTCTGTGCTATTTTATCAGAGTTTTGATGCTTACTTGTGCTTGGAGCAAAAGACAGAAGTTCTTTTCCAAAATGGAAGTGTCACAAGAAAATCCAATTGAGGGCTAAAGAGGTAACAGTCTGTTGCAGCTATGGCTGACACTAGTGCTGCCTTCTCAACTTTCCAGGTACTTACAAAAGTGACTTCCTCTAGGTAATAAGCACTCAACCCCAATATACTTCTGCTTTGTCTTAAGCCTTTAATCAGCAGCTCTTGCTTTAGAACATTTGCTTTGAAACACAAGCATCTGTCTACTTCTGTTGGAACAGGTCTATTTATAATTACAGAAACATGGCCTTTGCTGGATGAAATATTCATGTACATTCCACTGCCAAACTGCACTTATGGCATAGTAAACTGCAAACATTATCATATTAAAAGCAATTTAGAAATATAGTTCATGCCAACTTAATAAAAATGTCATTTTAAATATTGTTTAAGAGCATTAGTTTAACAACTTTTACAACACTGGGCTACCACAGTATATTTATTATCTGCATTATATTTGGAGAAAGTAAAGTGGAAATGAAAACAAAATGGTTTAACTCAGTCATATAGTTCCTAAGTAATGACAAAACATTAATAAAGGGTCTTCATTCATTTCTGAACAATCTTGGAACATGGGAATGATCTGAACCATTTGAATCAGCTCCCAAGCCCCAGGCTGGTTATTGCCTGGCTCATACGTACACTGTAGTGCCTTGCTGTCTTGTAAACTACACTAAGACAATAATGAACAATTTGGCCTTTTTGAGGGTACCGTACTTCCTAAAGGATTAATACCAAGATGTGCTATTCTCCATATAAACTCCCTTAGTTTATTTCTGTTAATTGTTTGAAAGGGTCAAATCAAATGTGTATGTGTTTAAGAATATACTATGTGTAACCCAGATGTAGGTGTGGAATTTTAGATTATACAATGCACTTGTTAGTGATACTCTACCACTCTCTTCTTAGTGTATTGTTATCTCTCCCTCTGCTTTTCTCTTTTTCTTCTCCTTTTATTTCTTTTCCTGGGAGGCATTCAAGGCTATAGAGTATAGAAGCATTTACTGGGCAATAGAAATTTATAAAGAAAAAATAAGCTTCAGGCTGCAGTTCGGTTTTTAAATGTGGATAGTATATTGTCCCATCAGTTTTTTTTTTCACTAGAACATCTTAAAAGGTACTATTTGTCATTCAAATATTATAGCTTGAAAGGTTATCTTAGTCAGATTGTTTCATTTATGGAAACTATGACTAACAAGTATTTGCTGACTTAGTTACTTCAAGATGCTGTAGAATGAAAATAAGATGACTAGCAAACTCACTTTTTGGAGAAAAAAGTTAAAAAATTATCTTCAGAAAATCCAAATAAAATGCTATAGAATGTGGTACCAGATGGGCTTTAATATATGGCAGATTGTTATAGAATCATTTTGGGCCAACTGCAACTGTGAGAATTATTGTGTTTCAGTATTGACTCAAAAACTTAGGAGATACTTAGAGAAATGGCACTATTTAATCAATATAGTGAAATATTCCACTACACAATTCAAATATTGTTTTTCAATGAGAATTATAAATAACTCAGCCTCAAATCACTAAAAGCAAAAGTGGATTGACATCCACCACCTTGGCACTAATGTAGAAAGACAATGTGATAGGAAAAGAGATGTCACGACGTTGTAAGTGTAACAGCACACCATTTCTAGTAATATAAAAAGAAAATCCCAAAATATAGTAGGCAGCTGTAATTCTAACCTGTAGAATTAAACATTTAGTTATTGTCTGAATAAATTATCATTTGAATGTGCTATTCATTTCTTTTAGAAGAGCAGTACAATTATTAGGAGTAAGGATAGAATGGTGAAAAGTATTAGGTATCCAAGTATCTTAACACTTGGTTTGCCACTAACAAGCTATGTTACCTTAGTCACTTAACTTCTCTAGGTGTCAAATTTTTCATTTCTGGAAATAATTATTTAGATTTAAATATCTCAAAGGTCCTTTCTTTTTATATTAAATTTATGATTCTATTCAAAGTCATATTAATAGTGACAATAAGTATCTGAACATTTAGCATGTACTGTTTTAGATATACAACTTTTAAAATTACTGTGAATTGATGCCCCTGAACAGAAGTAAAAGCTGTTTTTCTTTCTTTACATAAATTCATTTGTAAAGAAAAACTGATTTTCTATTTTTCTAAGTATATTATAAGATTGCTTTGAGGAAAATAAATATTTAAATTATCACTAGCTGGTATTCACACCTAAATTGTCAAAGGGGTATGAACATTTCAAAATATACCAAATTTTTAGATTTATTCAGAGAAAAGTTAATTTGGGGTACTTGTTCATGTTCTTAGAAAATGCATTAGTTTTCCAGGCTGCAAAACAAATTACCACAAAAGTAATGGCTTAAAAAACACATATTTATTGTCTCATATATTGCTGTTAGTCAGGAATCTAGGCAGGGCTTATGAGTCCTCTGCAAGGCTGTAATTGAGGTATTAGGACTGGATTTTCATCTGGAAGTTCGACTGAGGAAGTCTCTACTTCCAAGCTTCCTCAGGTTGTTCATAAAATTTATTTCCCTTTGGCTGTAAGACTCATGGTAAGTCGTTTCTAGAACAAGATTCTAAAGTGACTCTGCTAGCAAGACAAAATTCTACAGAATATAACACAATGATGGGGGTAACATCCTATCATCTTTGTTATATTCTATTTGTTAGACGAATGTCACTAGTTCCACCCATGCTTCAAAAGGAGGGCATTATACGAGGGCATGAACACTGCAAGGCAAGTATCATGAAGGCCACCCAAAAGTCTGTTAACAGAAGAAATATGAGAGTGCAAACTGTGTTCCACTATAATTTCTTCTCCTCTTTCCTCATCTTCCCTTCCCTTTTCCCCCTTCTCCTTCTCCTGTCTCTGGCTGCTACGTTTTTCTTATTCTATCTTCTTTTCCTCCTCTTCCTTTTCCTCTCCTCCTCCTTTTCCCTTTCCTCTTCCTCCTCCTCCTTCTTCTCTCTCTTTCCTTGTCATCTTTTTTTTTCATTTTACCACAACTTATCATTGTAACTGAAATGTGCAGATGCTCTGTGCCCATGTGAAAATGCAACAGCTGTATTAGTGATGGTACACAACCTCGATTACAGGTAAATATCCTAAGGACAAAAAACTGGCTCTTCTTCTTTATCACAACACTAGCTACTAATGAATTATGTGATAATTTGTCAAGTGCTTGTACTATTGGCTATGTAATTATGTGGAAATCCCCTGCTGAAAACCTGAAACCTGTCCCTGAACTTCATATATATA
Organism: Homo sapiens; assembly: GCF_000001405.40. Lineage (NCBI taxonomy): Eukaryota > Metazoa > Chordata > Mammalia > Primates > Hominidae > Homo > Homo sapiens. The sequence goes on from NC_000023.11 coordinate 125,430,735, forward strand.
TTTTGGAGATGGAGTCTTGCTCTGTCACCCAGGCTGGAGTGCAGTGGTGTGATCTCAGCTCATTGCAACCTCTGCCTCCTGGGTTCAAGCGATTCTCCTGCCTAAGCCTCCCAAGCAGCTAGGATTACAGGCATGTGTCACCACACCCAGCTATTTTTTTTTTTTTTTGTTATTTTTAGTAGAGACAGGGTTTCACTGTGTTAGCCAGGATGGTCTCGATCTCCTGACCTCATGATCTGCCAGCCTCGGCCTCCCAAAGTGCTGGGATTGCAGGAATGAGCCACCGTGCCAGGCATGAACTTTATCTTTAACTATGTCAAGGTTCAAGTGAAGAATGATTTATCTTGGCAGCTAATGTAGGAGCTGTCTGTTATCTACCTGTGGCTATTTCTTCTCATTTCACAGCCCAATACTAGTGTCAGGAATTTAAAACCAATATTTTCAAATACTTCAAAATCTATTTATAAAAGAAAAATGTTTGCTTGGAATTTAGCAAATAGAGGAAGAAACATATTAAAATAAAAGTTGAAGTAAAATCACTAATATAAAATGAAAGAAGAAATGTTTCCCTAGGTACAATTTACTCTCAAATGTCCATAAATGTATCTGGATGCTCTTTTTTAATATCCTTCTGGCCTATTGCTGTTTCATTTCTCCTCACTACCTTCACTTTTGGGTGAGCGTGCACAAGCAAGTAAATTCAAATTCAAACTACTTTTTGGCCACTCTGATATGGAAGAAAATTGCTAGAGATTCCTCAAGTTAATTTTTGATTTTTTTCCTTCTGACGATTTTCTCACGTATAAATGAGAAGGTTTTTCTTCCTTTTGCAGATGAATGGTTCTGTGTGGGAGTGATTTAGGGTGGAGTTATTCATATTCTTTCTTGATCCAATGTTGAAGATTCTGATAATTTCTTGTCTATATGTTGCTTTTCTTTCTTTAACTTTTATTTGAGGTTCCAGGGTACATGTGAAGGTTTGTTACATAGGTAAACTCATGTCACAGGGGCTTGTTGTACAGATTATTTTATCACTCAGGAATTAAGCCCAGTATCCAATAGTTATCCTTTCTGCTCCTTTTCCTCAGCACACCCTCCACCATCAAGTAGACTCCAGTGTCTGTTGTTCCCTTCTTTGTGTTCATGAGTTCTCATCATTTAGCTCCCACTTATAAGCGAGAAGATATGGTGGTTGGTTTTCTCTTTATGTGTTAGTTTGCTAAGGATAATGGCCTCCAGCTCCATGTGTGTTCCCATAAAAGACATAATCTCAATCTCTCTTTTTTTGTTTAATGGCTGTGAAGTGGCTATGTTGTCTGGGGCATATACCCTAGGGTTTGTTGTCATGCACCAGGAAAATTTAGGACACATTCACACACAAGGAGTTTAGGAGCAGAGGTTTAATAGGCAGAAGAGTAAAGAAAGAGAAACAGCTCTATCTATATAGAGAGAGGGGTCTCTGAGTGGAAAGGATGGGCTGGCAGCAGATGGATGGGATTTTATAGTCAGGTTTGAGGAGGTGGTGTCTGGTTTATGTATGGCTTAGAGATTGGTTTGATCAGGTATGATGTTTACGTAGTGCACATGGAAGGCTGGTTGTCCCACCCTAATTTCATTATGCAAATGGGCTTTCCAGTTGATTGGCTCCATCTTGTCTGCTTCTTACTATACATATGGCTGAGGGGATATGTATAGAGAGGGGAAGATGGAGCCACCATCTTGAACATGTCTACTCCTTAGTTCCTGCCAGCATTCACCCATGCAAGCTCTCAGCTTGCATGTCTATGTCCACAGCTCAACTTTACAGGCTCCTCTTTGTTAGAAAATGATTTGGGTCTGCCTTTCACTAAAAAGAAAATCCTTACTGAGGACTTCCATACCCTTACTATCTGCCTAAGTGATTTCTTCTTAACTTCTGTATCATTCCCCACTCTGGAGTGGTAACCCTAACTGCTATTAGGGGATGTTCGAGCTATGACTGTTTCTGGCTACTTCCTGCTGAAAAGGGGCATCATGTGGGGAAGAGCAGCTAGGGCTCCTCCTGGGGCTGATTTAAGGGTCCATGGAAGAAAGGCATGTCCATGTGTGGTTCTGTCTTTAGTACCATTTGGAGTTTGATTGCTTCTAGGTGAGAAGAGATAAATTTCAGTATGAATATGAGTGTTAACATTGCCACTGTTAGTGGGGGTACTATAGGCCACAATCATAAAAGTAGAGTTTGATAGCTGTCAGCCATTTTGACTGATTGAAATACTGGTTTGCCTCCACCAGATGTTGCTGTACTTTACCAGAACTGTTGATATAAAAGCAACATTTTTTTCTTTGAGAAATACATATATTCTCCTCTTGATTTGCCATTAGGGGATAATTTCAGGTCTAGGTCATCTTTTATAACTTGCAATATGATTGGGAGAAATAAGTTATTGGGTGGCTAGTGTAATTTTAGTGTTAACCTTCGCTAAATCTTTTCTGCAATTAATTCCTTCATGGCTTCCTCATACCATCTATGACATGCTTAAACTTTCTGACTTGTCCTAAACACCTTTCTTTTTAAACAACCGACTATTCTTTCTAGGACAATTATTAACCATCTGCATAATCTTTTCACAACTTCCACGAACCACCTATGAAATGCTTAAACCTTCTGACTTGTCCTAAACATCTCTTTTTTAAATGACCAACTATTTTCTTTAGAATAAGTATTTACCATACAAGATTCTTTCTTATATAAAATCTCTGTCATTTATAATCTTCTTTGCATAGCCAGAGTGTGACATAGTATGAAACCCAATAAAAAGTCCTAGCTGCCTCAGTGATAGTAAAACTTTCATGCTTCCTTTTTGTTGGCAACTATTATCCCTGCTATAAGGATATTAATTAAGAAAAATACTATAGCAATGGAAACTCTCTGTCTGATATTCCAGTTAGATGGCGTTACAGTATATTGTCTCACTGCAAATAGAGTAAGTATAGCAATTCCTGCAAGTGTGGTGTAGTAGATAATTCTCATCTAAAATTTTACTCACCAAGACATAACACTTCCCTTTTTGGGGTCTATGAAATTTTGAATGCAAGCCCATGAATAATTAAATTATCCCTGCAAGTATGTGTCAAGAAGAAGTTCTAATATCTGGTGGCACATCTCAAGAGGATAAACATAAATAACTGAAGGTAAAAGTTGGACTGTGTAGGATGAGTAGACCTTGCTCATTTACTCATCCTTTATGATTTTCAGCTTAAGATAATCTATTTCTTCACATTGGTATTCAGGACATTCCTCTGGGCTGTCAGGGCTTGCTCTCTCAGCTTTCCAGGCTTTGACTCGAGTATGATGTATCCAGAAGTTGATACCTGTAACTTTTACCACTGAGGGGGTTGAAAGAAGAACAATGTAGGGCCCTTCCTAGCTTGGGCTTAAGGGAGGAGAGAGAGAAGGGAGAGCTTTTACTGATACCAAATCTCCTGGGTTAAATAAAGGCAGTCCTACTTCTTGGGGTTGAGCTTCTGCTAGTTGAATTAATTCCTGTTGAAAGTGAGCCAAAGAGGTTACACGCTTCTTTTGTTACCTCAGAGGCCTTTTCTGTATGGCATGGAAATGCTTCTACACAGTTAGTGAAAGTTTCTACCCACACCAAGAGTTATTGGATGCCCTGCATCTTTGTCATGTGGGTGAAGTCTATTTGCCAGTCCTCCTGTGGACAGATTCCACCCTTTGGTTTGAGAAGGAAGGAACCGTCTGTTCAGGGGATTATTTTTAAGACAGACTTCACAAGCATTAACAACCTGTTTTACTGTTCTTAGTAAGTTCTCTCCTGAAAACAATTTCTGGGCACACTGATTAAGTTTTATCCTTTTCCAAGTGAAAAGCTTGGTGAATAATTTTAAGGACTTTGCACTGGCTGGAGGCTGGCAAGTGGAGCTTGCCATCCTCTTACTGTAGCCATCTTGAGCGCTGGAAGTTGTACCCTCAAGAGGTGGTCCATTCTGTTTCTGTACGGGAATACTGAGGCTTGATTTCTCTTATGAATTTTTCTAAATTAGAGGGGCTTCAAGTGTGTTGATGTCATGAGGCTTCCTTGCTGCTGACTTGGCTGCCTGATCAGCTAGCTTGCTTCTTTTGGTTATTTCATCTATTCCTTTCTGATGTCCCTTACAATACATCATTGCCACCTCTCATTGAAGGAAAACTGAGGATAATAACCTGTTAATTTCTTGATGGTGTTTTATAGGAGATTCATTGGTGGTAAGAAAGTGCCTTTCCTTCCAAATAGGAGCATGAGCATGGAAAACTAGGAAAGCATACTTGGAGTGAGTGTAAATGTTAGCTACCTTTCCCTTGCTTAACTCAAGTGCACTTAGTGTAAATGTTAGCTACCTTTCCCTTGCTTAACTCAAGTGCACTTATAAGGGCTATCAGTTTGGCTAGTTGAGTGCTTGTGCCTGGGGAGATGCACATTCAGTAACATCATTCAGAGTGACTACTGCATATCCTGCCTTATGGACTCTTTGCTCTAAAAAAGAGCTTCCATCTGTGAAGAGGGTCCAAACTGGATTTTCTTTTCTTTTCTGTTTTTTTTTTTTTTTTTTGAGATGGAGTCTCACTCTGTCACCCAGGCTGGAGTGCAGTGGTGTGATCTCAACTCACTGCAAGCTCTGCCTCCTGGGTTCATGCCATTTTCCTGTCTCAGCCTCCCGAGTAGCTGGGACTACAGGTGCCTGCCACCAAACCTGGCTAATTTTTAGTATTTTTAGTAGAGACAGGGTTTCACCATGTTATCCAGGATGGTCTGTATCTCCTGACCTCGTGATCTGCCCGCCTCGGCCTCCCAAAGTGCTGGGATTACAGGTGTGAGCCACCGCGCCTGGCCTCAGTCTGGATTTTCTAGGGGAGTTTTCCTGAGATCTTCTCTGGCTGCATAGGTCTGTACCGCAATATGTTCACAGTCATGTTCAGGTTCCCCAGCTCCCTCAGGGAGGAAAGTGGCTGGGTTTAAGTGAGAGCAAGTTTTTAACTGGGTAGTGGAATCCTTTAACAGTAGACCTTGATATTTAAGGAGACTTTTGTCTTTTAACCAAAGGCTTCCCCTAGAGGACAGTAATCCTGCCACATTATGTGGGGTATAAACAGTTAAGCCATTTCCCAGGGTTAATTTGGAGGCTTCTGGGACCAGTAGGGCCACCACAGCAATGACTCAGAAGTGTGCTAGTCATCCTTTAGCCACCAAATCTAGTTCCATACTCAGGTAACCCACTGGCTGTTGAGCTGGACCTTGGGCCTGCGTTAAGACTCCCAGGGCCATTCCCTTCCTTTCTGATACATACAGACTGAAGGTCCTTCCTATGGGAAGGCTGAGAGTTGGTGCCTTAAGTAGGGCCTGCTTTAGCTGATTAAAGGCCTTTTGAACTTCAGGTTCCCAGGTTAGGAGATGAGTTTTAGCTGCTTGAATTTCCCTTATGAGCTGATACAGAAGATAAGTGATCTCATCGTACCCAGGTATCCATAGCCTGCAAAATCCTGTAATGCCCCAAAATCATTTTAGTTGCTTGAGAGTGTGGGGGAGGGGGAAAGAAAAAATAGGCTTAATCCTTTTTTCCCCTAATGCTCTGGTCCCTTCAGACAGCATTAAACCCAGGTATTTCACTGAGGTTTTGCAAAGCTGAGTCGTAGATTTGGAAACCTTCTCTCTTCTGTCAGCTAAGAAATTAAGAACAGCTTCAGTGCCTTCCTGAGATGCTTCCTCAGCTGGGGCATAGACAGAGCAGTTTATCATTCACATATTGCAAGACCTTGACCCGAGGATGAGAAAAGTCAGAGAGGTCTTTTGACAATGGCTGTTCAAACAAATGAGGGCTATCTCAAAATCCCTGAGGCAGCACCATCCATGTTAACTGGGTGATTTGGCCAGAGGAATCTTTGAAGGCAAACAGGTATTGAGAATCAGGATGTAAAAATATACAGAAGGCATTCTTTCAATCTAGGACTGTCCCTCAGGTATTTGGGTCAGCAAGGTATAGGGATTAGGTACTACTGGATGGATTGGGGCTATGACCTCATTAATGAGGCAGAGATTCTTCACTAGTCTCCATTCCCCACTGGATTTTTGCACTCCTAATATTGGGGTGTTGCAGGGGCTGGTTACAGGGTTTGAGGAGGCCATGCATCTGGCTTCTAGCCCTTTCCTAGCCTCTGGCTTTAGGGGATATTGTTTCTGTTTAGGAAGAGAAGTGGGATCCTTAAGATGGATCTGGATTGGCTTAGCAATTACAGCTTGACCTATTCTTCCTTGAGTTGCCCACACTTCTGGATTGATATTAGCTTCCACCAGGGGGAGACAAAGAATTTGTCCTGAGGCTATAAGGATGCTGGCCTGCATGCAAGCTAAAATATCTCTACCTAGTAAAGGAGTGGGGCTTTCTGGTATGATTAAACAATCATGTGTAAATGATAGGTTTCCCCATCTGCAACTAAGGGGTTGAGAAAAGTAAGGGATTAGAGTTTTTCCTGAGATGCTACTCACAGTCATACTACAGGGAAAGGGGAAGCCTGGATTAGAGAGGAGAAGAGAGATACTGGCTCTAGTGTTCACAAGGACATCCACCTTCCTTTCTTCAATTTGCAGAATCACCTAGGGCTCCTGCACTTTAATGGCAGTTTAAGCCACTGGAGCCAGGAGTTTGAGCCCCAGGACCCATCAGTCCTGTTAGACCATCTGTGAGACTGGCTCTGAACCCAGTGACCTTCATTTCCAGGGGCAGTCTGATTTCCAGTGCCTCCCACCACAGGCTGGATAAGGTTGAGGTGGCTTCCTTTTGCCGCCTGGGCACTCCTTAAAGTGCCCTGACTTGCCACACCAATGGTAACTAGTGGCACCTCGGTGATCCTGGACTTTGTAAGTCTGCAAAACAGCTATTAGGGCCTCTGTCCTTCTCTTTTGCTTCTTCTCTTTCTCCTGGACCTCCTTCTGGCTGCTATTATAAAAGCTGAGGTGGCCACCCTCAGGAGGTTCTCCAAGGTGCTATCTGGTCATATAGCATGCTTCTGTAGTTTCCTTCTAATATCAGGAGCTGCCTGTGTAATAAACTTGTCCTTTAGGATGAGCTGTCCCTCAACTGATTCAGGGTCTAAGGAGGTGTGTTTTATTGGTGCCTCTCAGTCTTTCCATAAAGGCTATGGGATTCTCATCTGGCTTTTGATATATCATGGACAGTTTAGAGTAATTAATAGATTTTGCCATAGTTCTTTGTAGGTCCTCCAATATGTACATTAAAATGTGTTTCCTTTTCCATTAATCTATGGCATCATTGGGGTTCCATTTAGGGTTGTTAAGAGGAACTGCTTTTCTTCTTATTAGAAATGATATTTCCATTATTTCTTCATCTTCCCTATCTCCTTTTTTCCTTTTTGGTTTACCATAGGAGACATGTTGTTCACCTCCAAAATTTTCTCCTCCCTGCAGAGGTGCCTGCTTTTCAGCTGCAGTTAGGGTTTGGCTTAGGAGCAGCATAAACATCCCTCCATGTGAGGTGAAACATGTGAGTTAAGTTTTGGAAAGCTTCTATTAGGGTCATCAGAAAATTGGCCTAAGTCTCCCTTTATTTGCCTAAGATCCTGCAATGAGACAGGAAGTTGAGGTGATGCCAAATAAGGGGTATTCTCAGTAGGTTCCTCCAGAAGTTGGTTTTCAAATTTTGGGAAATTATTATCTCTGGGCCTGCCAGATACGACTGCTAAAAGACCTCGGTTGATTATGTAATACCTGCAAAGGTCTAGTAAGAAGGCCATGTCCTTGTGCAAAAGAAAATGAGCTGCTTTTTTTTCAAAGTCTTGAGGTCAAAGCTTTCCCTGTGCTTCAGAATGCACTCCAGAGGATCTGAAGATGATAAGGGAAGTGAGAAAAAGGCGTCCCTTTAGCCTCCTTCCTTTTGATGTGACAGAGGGTGGAGAGGAAGACAGTGGGGGCATCCCTCCTGCTGTTTTCCCTCTGTGGTTCCTGGGGTCCTGGCACCTTTTTAAATGTGACACCCGTGGTTACAGGTGTGACTTCCCCAGCCATAGAACCAGAGGAAATAAGTGATGGGTTTTAGTCACCCTCACCCATGCAACTCTGGTCCTCTGCCTGTGATTTCCCTTTGACTTCCGAGACTTGTGTGGCCTGTGTGGCTTCCAAAAAAATGGATACTGGGAGAGACTTTGTAACAGTTGCATTTGGGCAACTGTTGCACTTCCCTCCTTAATGAAGAAAGTGTGCTGGTTTGAGCTTTATATCCTGCTATTATGGTCCATGCTAAAGCATTTACCCTTAGAAAATGGTTCCAGTTAACTTCCAGACTTAAAATCCCCTACTAATTAAGTACCATTCTAATTGGAGGCAGAATAGGTGCCTTAAAAGAATATAGGGACTGAAAGGCCATTTTCCTGCTGTTAGGACAGTATAGAGCCTAAAATTTGGTTCTCGAAGACATTTTACTCCTAATTGTTGAAGGCAGAGTTCTTCCATTCACAGAACTGGCATACAGCCTGGTTTCTAGTAGAGAGGCACAAAAAGGGGAGAGAACTGGGAAGCTATGGTGTTACAGTATAGGACCGACAATGTGCCTAATGGAGAGGATCCTTATTCCTCTAGGTGGTGGTGTTTACCTTGAGATGATGTGTGCTCTCCAGACCAAGGGCAGAGTGACCTTGACATGCCATATGCTCTCCAGACCAAGAGTGGAGATAGACCTGAAAGTGTCATGTGCCTCCAGACCAAGGGCAGAGAGTGATGCCCACTTTGTGGTGGGGGTGGGGTGGGGGAGACCCTCCATTCCTAGAAAATCACAAAAATGCCTTCTTTGAGCTATATTTCTGGTTACTATGACATTCCCTGGGTCTTGCGAAACAAGATTATTTGCCTGAACTGTAAAACTTCCCACACATTGCATGCACAGAGAAGATAAGAGATATGATGGTTGTAGACAGGAAAGGAGGAAACTATGATACGAAAGTTGGAGATCCTGTTGCTGACAGGGGTGGTTGGAAGCTGGGGTCAGTTCAGAAGCCTTTGGATAACACTGGGGGGTAGCCCCCACCAGAAATCCTCAATTGCTCCAGGACTTCTTCCAACCCCCTGTGATGGCTAAGTCCTCCAGGAAAAGAAGCTGATTCAAACATGGCCAATATGCCCAGCAACCCATGGGTACTGGGGGATTATCCATGTTCTCCCCAGCAAGCCTACCCCCAAGTCTTGTAAGGCTGGCAGCCAAACTAATCATTTTTAAATGGCTGAAGGGGGCCCAGTATTTGATTTGATTTGGTTCTAAAATGGAGGCCAAGAGCCTTGGAATGAAAGAACAGAGTTGAAGTTCACTCCTCTAGTCACCGTTTTGATGAGTGTTGTACCTTGGTATCTTGGACGAGGTCCCCAGTATGAAACAGCTACATTGTCTGGGGTATATACCCTGGGGTTCGTCGTTGCATGTCAGGAAAATTTAGGACACGAACACAGATGAGGAGTTTAGGAGAGGAGGTTTAATAGGCGGAAGAGAAGAGAAAGAGAAACAACTCTCTCTGAAGAGAGAGAGGGGTCTCCAAGTGGAAACGATCAGCTGGTGGCAGATGCACTGGATTTTATAGCCAGGTTTGAGGAGGTAGTATCAGATTTATGTAGGGCTCAGAGATTGGTTTGATCAGGTATGACGTATACATAATGCATGAGAAAAGCTGATCACCCCACCCTAATCTTATTATGCAAATGAGCTTTCCATTTGATTGGCACCATCTTATCTGCTTCTTACTATACATGTGGCTGACAAAGAGAAGGGAAGATGGAGCCACCATCTTGAACATGTCCAGTCCTTATTTCCTGCTGGCATTCACCTGTACAAGCTCCCAGCTTGCTTGTCTATGTCTGCAGTTCAACTTCATGTGTGGCTCTTTGTTAGAAAATGATTTGGAGCTGTTTTCAATTAAAAAGAAAAGCCTTACTGAGGACTCCCAGACCCTTACTATTTGCCTAAGTGATTTCTTCTTAACTCCTGTATCAGCTGCATGGTATTCTATGGTGTATATGTACCACATTTTCTTTATCCAATCTGTTAGCGATGGACATTTAGGTTGATTCCATGTCTTTGCTATTGTGAATAGTGCTGCAATGAACATACACGTGCATGTATCTTTATAATAGAATAATTAATATTCCTCTGGGCATATACCCAGTAATAGGATTGCAGAGTCAAATGTTCGTTCTGTTTTAGTTCTTTGAGAAATCACCACGCTGCCTTCCACAATGGTTGAACTAACTTACACTCCCAACAGTATATAAATGTTCCCTTTTCTCCACAACCTCACCAGCATCTGTTATTTTAAGAATTTTTAATAATAGCAATTGTGACTGGTGTGAGATGGTAACTCATTGTGGTTTTGCTTTGCATTTCTCTAATGGGCAATGATAATGAGCATTTTTTCATATGCTTGTCGGCCACATGTATGTCTTCTTTTGAAAAGTGTTCATGTCATTTGCTCACTTTTTAATAAGGTTGTTTGTTTTTCTCTTGTAAATTTGTCTAAGTTCCTTATGGACGCTAGATATTAGACCTTTGTCAGATGCATAGTTTGCAAAAATTTTCTAACATTCTCTAGGTTGTCTGTTTACTCTGTTGATAGTTTCTTTTGCTGTGTAGAAGCTTTTTAGTTTAATGAGATCCCATTTGTCAACTTTTGCTTTTGTTGCAATTGCTTTTGGTGTTTTCACCATGAAATCTTTGCTTGTGCCTATGTCTGGAATGGTATTGCCTAGGTTGTCTTCCAGGGTTTTCTAGTTTTAGGTTTTGCATTTAAGTCTTTAATCTATCTAGAGTTGATTTTTGTATATGATTTAAGGAAGGGGTTCAGATTCAGTCTTTGGCATATGGCTAACCATTTATCCCAGCACTATTTATTGAATAGGGAGTATTTTCCCCGTGGCTTATTTTCTCGGCTTCGTTGAAGATCAGGTGGTCATAGGTGAGCAGCTTTGTTTCTGGCTCCCTATTATGTTTCATTGGTCTAAGTGTCTGTTTTGGTGCCAGTACCATGCTATTTTGGTCTCTGTAGCCCTGTAGTATAGTTTGAAGTCAGGTAACATGACACCTCCAACTTTGTTGTTTTTACCTTGGCTATTTAGGCTCTTTTTTGGTTCCATATAAATTTTAAAATAGTTTTTTCTAGTTCTGGAGGAAAAATTATATTTCTTTTCAAAGAAACTAATTTACACTCCCAATTAGTTTCAGTCTTTGGCATATCTTTTAGGAACTTATCCATCCTGTTAAAAATATTTACAAGGAGAATATTATATGTAGACTGCAGTACCAGAATAGTGCCAGCACTCTATCTTTTTGCCCATGCAATTTTGTTTAATCCCAGCAGTCATTTCTTTGTTAAGCAGCAATAATTATTTATGTGTTGATAGTAGTAAAATATTTTTCAGGTAGTTAAATAGCTGAGTGGAAAGATAGAAGTAGGTTAAGGGCACAAAATAATTGAATGAAAATATCTCAGCAAAATAATCTTTAAAAAATGTTGCAAGGAATAAGCTCTTAAGTCTAGTAACTATAGTGTATAGTTTTAAGAAATTAGCTAAAGGAAAAAGATTTTTGAGTATTATAAGAGTCTGAACTTTGAATAATTTCCAAGAGAGAATGAAAATTCTACAACTATCATACCAGAAATAATAAAAATATTTTCTGGTCCAGCAGGGGCATGATATATTGACAAATGTGGAAGGACCAGGTCATTCAGACACCAGCGAAAAGGGATTGTCTGATACTGATTATCAGACAATATATAGTACGCATGCACAAATTTATACCCAGTAAAATGTATATATTCATTGTTGGTTCAGATTTTGTTTTCTTTCATTTTTTTTTTTTTTGGTTTTTATAAAGTTGAGAAATGAAAATGTAGGTGTATGTTTTAAGAAAACATTTACATTGGAGAGACCCAGTTGCCAATTTAGTGAAGGTCCTGGTGATTTTAAAAGTAACTGTTAGGCCAGGCACGGTGGCTCACACCTGTAATCACAGCACTTTGGGAGGCCAAAGTGGGTGGATCACCTGAGGTCAGGAGTTTGAAACCAGCCTGTCCAACATGGTGAAACCCCATCTCTACTAAAAATACAAAAAATAGCTGGGTGTGGCCCCAGCTACCTGGGAGGCTGAGGCAGGAGAATCCCTTGAACCCGGGAGGCAGAGGGTGCAGTAGGCCTAGATCACACCACTGCACTCCAGCCTGGGCAACAAGAGCAAAACACCATCTCAAAAATAAATAAATAAATAAATAAATAAATAAATAAATAAATAAAACAAATAAAAATAACTCTTAATTGGAACTTGTTCCTATTTGTGTGAACTGCTCTCAAAATCTTTTTATAAATGAATGATTCATGTAACAACTACTTAAATATTTTAAGTACCCTGGTGTCCTTATATGGAAAATGGGATGATTAATATTGGCTTATTTTTAACACATGCTTTCTATAAAGAATAACAAATAAAAATTACTGTAAATAACTTGATAAAGTACTAAGTATTGTACAAAGGTTTGCTCAACAGGAAGAACAGCAACAACACTTTACATTCTATCAATGCCCCCACTTTAAATCAAGTAAGTTCTCACCTCCAATTCTTTGTGTAATTTACTGTCAAGCACAAAAAGTATTTCAATTTACCTGTGCTCACTGCTGCTGACACTTAACTCATTACCTTGTAAGTAAAGTGTTTTGAAAGCACTTTGAGAACTAAACAAACTAAATGTGAAATACAATTCTTTTATATTATCCCTTGCCCACTACTCTCTCTTACTTTTAATAAACAAACATTAATATTTCTGTTAATTCTTCAGAAGTATTAAAGATAGAGAAAAATAAATCCCTTGAACTCTAAATTCCTGTGGCATTTCCACCTCAATCTCACTTTCATTCTGATCTTAGATAAAACAAGAGGTTTAATTTGGAAAGAAATTATAAAAGCTGAAATTTATTTTGCATTTCTTCGGGGCCTTTATCATGACTGACAAAATAACGTACACTGTTTGGATTTTAGAAAAAAAGACCTTTACTAGGTAAAACAGTAGAGCAGAGAGGCAGAATAATTTAAGAGATGCTCAAGGTGCTTCAGTATTTGAACTGTATATCCCCTCAGGATTTACAATCTCTTAACCCAAATAATCTGCCTACAACCTTCTCTTACATTTTCTTCTTAAAAACCTGTGTGCTCTCTATAAATTCAGTTTGTTCCATGGGGTTAGGACCAGAGTCACCTCCTTATCCAGAATTCATTGTGTAAATGCTCAGAACTGTAATACACTAAGCTGTGGAGGAGAGGTTTATATTTTGTCTCTGCTCTTTTTCATTAATATGTTTTTATAATTAGAAAACATTTCCAGTTGGTATCATTGCCTTCCTTTCTGTATTCTTCTACATATGTGTGATTATGATTATTTTTATCTTCTTTTTCTTCCTCTTCTTTCTGTGGATTTTATATTGGTGATACCTTTTGCAACTGAGTACTAGATCCTACAATGGGTTAGAAATATTACATGTTGGCCAACATGGTGGTCTAGAAACAGTTGCAGTTGAAGGCTCCCACTGAGAAGAGCTAAAGTGATGAGTGAATCCTGCACCAGCAACTGAGGTTTCCAGGCTCTCTCACTGGGATGGACTAGGTGGTTGGTGCAATCCACGGAGAGCAAGGAAAAGCATGGTGGAACGATGGTCCACCTGGGAGCTGCATGGGGCAAGGGGAGCTCCCACCTCCAGCCAAGGTAGATGGTGATTGATTGTGCTACCCCACCCGGGAAATCACAGTTTTTCTATTGATTGGTGCAACCTGCAGATCAGTAGTCCATGCCACCAGGGCCTTGGGTCCCAAGCACAGAGATGTGCATATTCTCATCAGCCACTTGACTGGAGACTGCCTAACTAGTGAGTTCCTGGGGGGAAGGGTGGCTGTCATCACTGAGGCTGCCTGCTGCCTAAGATGACTGAGTTCCCTGGGGGAAGGGAGCAGCTATCACTGCAGTTCCAGTTTGCTGTTTCCCACTGCTGTTGCCAAGGAGAGTGGATGATTTGGACCCAGAAAGAATTTCACACAGCACAGCACAGTGAGTGTGGCAGATCATGGCCAGACTGCCTCATTCCTCCTCATTGTGCTGGGCCTCCATGTGTTAATTTCAGCAACTCCACCCAGGGGTTTAGGGACAGAATTCTGATCTCCCTGGACTGAGCCACTGTGGGGAGGGGCGGCTACTGTCTCCATGAATCAGCAGACTTAGTCTTTCACCCTGCTGGCTCTGATAAATCCAGGCAGTTTGGATGTGTGGAATTCCCCCCAGCTCAGTGCACTCCCTCTGCCAAGGGGCAGCCAGAGTGCTTCATTAAGTGGGTCCATGATTCCATGCCTTCTGATTAGGTGAGAACCCCCAAAGGTGGTCAAAAGACACCTTATACAGGGGCATTCCCACAGCCATCAGGTTGGTGCCTCTCTGACACAGAATCCTCAGAGGAAGGAGCAGGCAGCCATATATTTTCTGTTCTGCAGCCTCCACTAACACCTCCAGGTGTGGGAGGGACCCAGGAAAATAAGGTCTGGAGTGGATCCCCAGCAAACCACAGCAGCCCTACAGAAGAGGGGCCTGACCATTAAAAGAAAAACAGACAGAAAGCAACAACAACAGCATCAACAAAAGTCTCCACAAAAGCCCCAACCAAAGGTCAGCAGCCTCAAAGACTGAAGCTAGATAAACTCACAAAGATGAGAAAGATCAATGAAAAAATGCTGAAAACTCAAAAACCCAGAGTGCTTCTTCTCCTCCACATGTCACAACACCTCTCCAGCAAGGGCACAGAACTGGGCTGAGGCTGAGATGGATGGACTGACAGAAGTAGCTTCAGATGGTGGGTAATAATAAACTTTGCTGAGCTAAAGGAGCACGTTCTGACCCAATGCAAAGAAGCTAAGTACAATGATAAAACATTACAGGAGCTGTTAACCAGAATAACCAGTTTGGAGAGGAACATAAATGATGTGATGGAGCTGAAAAAACACAACAGAAGAACTTCACAATGCAACCACATGTATCAATAGCTGAATAGACCAAGTGGAGAAAAGAATTTCAGCACTTGATGACTATCTTGCTGAAATAAGACAGGCAGGCAAGATTAGAGAAAAATGAATGAAGAAGAATGAACAAAACCTCCAGGAACTACAGGATTATATAAAAAGACTGAACCAATGACTGATTGGGGTACCTGAAATAAATGGGGAGAATGGAACCCAGTTGGAAAACATACTTCAGGATATCATCCAGGAGAACATCCCCAACCCAGCACGACAAGCCAACATTCAAATTCGGGAAATCCAGAAAACCCCAGTAAGATACTCCATGAGAAGATCAACCCCAAGACACATATTCTTCAGATTCTCCAAGGTCAAAATGAAGGAAAAATGTTAAGGACAACCAGAGAGAAAGGCCAGGTTACCTACAGAGGGAAGTCCATTAGACTAACAGCAGATCTCTCAGCAGAAACCCTACAAGCCAGAAGAGATTGGGGGACAATATTCAACATTCTTAAAGAAAAGAATTTTCCAGCCAGAATTTCAAATCTAGCCAAACAAAGCTTCATACGTGAAGGAGAAATAACATCCTTTTCAGACAAGCAAATGCTGAGGGAATTCATAGCCACCAGGCCTGCCTTGCAAGAACTCCAGAAAGAAGCACCAAATATGGAAAAGAAAAACCATTACCAACCACTACAAAAACACACTGAAGTACAAAGACCAATGACACTATGAAGCAACTACATCAACAAGTCTGCAAAATAATCAGGTAGCGGCATGATGATAGGATCAAATTCACACAAAACAATATTAACCTTAAATGTAAATTGTCTAAATGCCCCAATTAGTAGACACAGAATGGCAAGCTGGATAAAGAATCAAGACCCATTGTAGTGCTGTATTCAAGAGACCCATCCCATGTGCAAAGACACACATAGGCTCAAATAAATGGATGGAGGAAAATTTACCAAGCAAGTGGAAAGCAGAAAAAAGCAGGGTTTTGTAATCCTAGTTTCTGACAAAACTGACTTTAAACTAACAAAGATCAAAAAAGACAAAAAAGGGCATTACATAATGGTAAAGGGCTCAATTCAACAAGATCAAAATATACCAAATACATATGCACCCAATACAGGAACACCCAGATTCATAAAACAATTTCTTAGAAACCTACAAAGAGACTTAGATTCCCACACAAAAATAGTGGGAGACTTTAACACCCCACTGTCAATATTAGACAGATCATTGAAACAGAAATTTAACAAAGATATTCAGGACTTGAACTCAGCTCTGGATCAAGTGGAACTGATAGGTATCTACAGAACTCTCCACCACAAAACAACACAATATACATTATTCTCTTTGCCACATGGCAGTTCCTCCAAAATTGATCACATAATTGGAAGTAAATTACTCCTCATCAAATGCAAAATAACTGAAATTATAACAGTCTCTCAGGCCACAGCACAATCAAATAAGAATTCAAAATTAAGAAACTCACTCAAAACCACACAACTCCATGGACATTGAATAACCTGTTCCTGAATGACTCCTGGGTAAATAATGAAATTAAGGCAGAAATCAAGAAGTTCTTTGAAACCAATGAGAAGAACAAAGAGACAACATACCAGAATCTCTGGGATGCAGCTAAAGCAGTGTTAAGAGGTAAATTTATGGCACTAAATGCTCACTTCAAAAAGCCAGAAAGCTCTCAGATAGACTTCCTAACATCACAACTAAAAGAACTAGAGTGCCAAGAGAAAACAAGCCCCGAAGCTAGCAGAAAACAAGAAATAACCAAGATTAGAGCAGAACTGAAGGAGAAAAGACATGAAAATCCCTTCAAAAATCAACTAACCCAGGAGGCATTTGTTTGTAAAAAAGTGATAGAATAGATAGACAGCTAGCTATACTAATAAAGAAGAAAAGAGAGGAGAATCAAATAGACATAATAAAGGGGATATCACTATTGACCCCACAGAAATACAACCATCAGAGAATACTATAAACACCTATATGCAAATAAACTGGAAAATCTAGAAGAAATGGATAAATTCCTGGACACATACACCCTCCCAAGTCTGAACCAGGAAGAAGTCGAATCCCTGAATAGACGAATAACAAGTTCTGAAACTGAGGATGTAATAAATAGCCTACCAACAATAAAAAGCCCAGAACCAGAAAGATTTACCACTGTACTCTACCAGAGATATGAAGAGGGGCTGGTAACATTTCTTCTGAAACGATTTCAAACAATTGAAAACAAGGAACTCATTTCTAACTCATTTTATGAGGCCAGCATCATCCTGTCACTAAAACCTGGCAGAGATACAACAAAAAAAGAAATCTTCAGACCGATATCCCTGATGAACATCAATGCAAATATTCTCAATAACATAGTGGCAAATCAAATCCAGTAGCACATCAAACAGTTTATCCACCACATTCATGTCAGCTTCATCCCTGGGATGCAAGGCTGGTTCAACATACAGAAATCAATAAACATAACTTGTCACATAAACAAAACTAAAGACAAAAACCAGCTTCATCCCTGGAATGCAAGGCTAGATCAACATACACAAATCAATAAACATAATTTGCCACATAAAACTAAAGACAAAAACCACATGATTATTGCAGCAGACACAGAAAAGGCCTTTGATAAAATTCAACATTCCTTCATGTTAAAATCTCTCAATAAACTAGGTACTGTTGGAAGATACCTCAAAACAGTAAGAACCATTTATGACAAAACCACAGCTAATATCATACTGAATGGGCAAAAGATGGACGCATTCCCCTTGAAAACCAACACAGGATGAGGATGCCCCCTCTCACCACTACATGGGATTGGAAGTTCTGGCCAGGGCAATTAGGCAAGAGAAAGAAATAAAGCATATTCAAATAGGATGAGAGGAAGTCTAACTGTCTCTGTTAGACAGTTAGATGACATTGTCTGTATCTAGAATATAGATATTCTAGATACAGAATTGCAGATGACATGGTCCTATATCTAGAAAACACATAGTCTCAGACCAAAAGTTTCTTAAGCTGAGAAGCAAATTCAGCAAAGTCTCAGGATACAAAATCAATGTGCAAAACTGCAAGCGTTCCTATACACCAATAATAGACAAGCAGAGAGCCAAATCATGAATGAACTTCCACTAACAATTGCTACAAAGAGAATAAAATACCTAGGAATAGAGCTAACAAGGGAAGTGAAGAACCTCTTCAAGAACTACAAACCACTGTACAAGGAAATCAGAGAGGACACAAACAAATGGAAAAACATTCCATGCTCATGGATTGGAAGAATCAATATAGTGAAAATGGCCATACTGCCAAAAGTAATGTATAGATTCAATGCTATTCTCATCAAACTATCATAGACACTCTTCATAGAATTAGAAAAAAAATACTTTAAATGAAACCAAGATAGAGCATGTATAGCCAAGACAATCCTAAACAAAAAGAAAAAAAACTGGAGGCATCATGCTACCTGACTTCAGACTATACTACAAGGTTACAGTAACTGAAACAGCATGGTACTGGTACAAAAACAGACACATAGACCAATGGAAGAGAATAGAGAACTTAGAAATAAGACTGCACATCTACAAGCATCTGATCTTCCAGAAACCTGACAAAAACAAGCAATGGGGAAAGGGTCTTCTATTTAATAAATTGTTCTGGGTGAACTGGCTAGCCATATGCAGAAAATTGAAACTGGACAACTTCCTTACACCTTATACAAAAATTAACTCAAGATGGATTAAAAACTGAAATGTAAAACCCACAACTATAAAAACCTTAGAAGGAAGTCTAGGCAATATCATTCAGTACATAAGGAAGGGCCAAAATATTATGACAAAAACATCAAAATTAATGACAACTAAAGCAAAAATTGACACATTAGATCTAATTAAACTAAATAGCTTCTGCACAGCAAAAGAAACTATCATCAGTGTGAACAGACAACCGAGAGAATGGGAGAAAATTTTTGCAATCTGTCCATCTGACAAAGGTCTAACATCCAAAATCTACAAGGAAGTTAAACAAATTTACAAGAACAAAACAACCCCATTAAAAAGTGGGCAAAGGACATGAACAGACAGTTCTCAAAAGAAGACATTTATGTGGCCAACAAACATGTGAAAGCTCAACATCACTGATAATTAGAGAAATACATATCAAAACCACAATGAAATACCGTCTCATGCCAGTCAGAATGGTGATTATTACAGTCAAGAAACAACAGATGCTGGTGAGGCTGTGGAGAAATAGGAATGCTTTTACACTATCGGTGGGAATGTAAATTACTTCAACCATTGTGAAACACAGTGTGGTGATTCTTCAAAACTCTAGAACCAGAAATACCATTTGACCTAGCAATCCCATTGCTGGGTATATAACCAAAGGAATATAAATCACTCTATTATAAAGACACATACACACGTATGTTCATTGTAGTACTATTCACAATAGCAAAGACATGGAATCAACCCAAATGCCCATCAATGATAGACTGGATAAAGAAAATGTGGTACATATGCATCATGGAATACTATGCAGCCATAAAAAGGAGCAGAATCATGTCCTTTGCAAGGGCATGGATGGAGCTGGAAGCCATTATCCACAGCAAACTAATGCAGGAACAGAAAACCAAGCACCATATGCTCTCACTTATAAGTGGGAGCTGAACAATAAGAACACTTGGACACAGGGAAGGGACCAACACACACTAGGGCCTGTTGGGTGGGTGGGGGGCAGAGGGAGGGAGAGCATCAGGATATATAGATAATGCATTCTGGGCTTAATACCTAGGTGATGGGCTGACAGGTGCAGCACACTACCATGGCACACGTTTACCTATTTAACAAACCTGCACATCCTGCACATATATCCTGGAACTTAAAATGTAAAAAAAAGAATTGTTACATGTTGTCAATAGGTGAAATATTAGCTTCTCTTCTTTTGCAAAAGTTGGGGAAAGTTCTTCAGCTTTCCTTCCTTTCTACTGTTACTTGGGTCTTTCATTGTTGTGCAGGAAATATGGTCTTTTTTTACTGATTATATACAATATAATCAGTATATTACATATAAACTCAAGTGGTCTCATAATGAGGTCTCTGGCATTTATTATATGTGATAAGTATACTTATCACATATAATATCATATGTAATATATATAATAAAGAGACTCAATGATTATTTTGTTCAATGTGCTTCAATGACTGGCCCTTATGTAATTAATATAATGCTCCCTTCCAGAAAAGAAATGCATACACAAAAAAGGAGAAAAGAAGGGATGTAACTATTACTGAGCTACCAGATGATTACTGTGTCTACTATTATTACTTCTAATAAAATTGAGAGCAGCAGCAGTATGAATAGTAGCAGTATTATCCATTGAGCCCACACCATGAGCCATGCCCTGTGCTAATATCTTCACATATTTAAAAGTCTTACAAATGCAGGTTGATTTAAGTGATTGGCAATGCTGTTAAAATTAAACTTATTTTTCATGAAAACATCAAATTTGAGGATTCATATTAATATATTGTTATTTTTAACCAAATTCTTAATATTCATCTTGGTGTGGTTTTGATCAGTTTAAATAAACACACTGGCATTTTTTTCTGTAGCTTTGCTGTCTTTCTTGAGGCTATTGAAACACAAATGATCTCAGAATTAAGTCTCTGATATTTCAGGGAGTATTTTAACAGAGATAGGAGAAGTTTCTCCGGAGTAAATCTTATTATGGTGATGATTCACTGTATCAACAAATAAAGGAAACCATGTAAGCTTCTCAATGTTATTTCCATCTAAAAAATAAGATGGGAAATCTTCCTCTACCTTGAAAGTAAAAGAATCAAGGAGCAAAAATGTACAACATGAGAGCACCCAGCATGTTTAAAAGTGAGGTAGGAAAAGGCAGGGACAGTATTTTATAACATTGCCCAACTGTCACCTTGTCAGTTAAATTTACCTTTTTCCAAGCCTGTTCATGGTTCGTTTTGAATAAATACAATCGCTAAAGAGAAGGACAAGGGTCCAGGTTTCTGATTTGCCAGCTTCAAGAATAATGATGGCAATCAAAATGGATGTGGGAGTGCATTTTAAGTAACATGTTTGGGAGAGTGATTATCTGCATTTTTTCAGGTGTGTTTACAGGTAGGTAAAATTATGGATTTGTGATATTTAAAAGTATTTTTTGTTTGGTTCCTAAACTCATAGCAGTGGTTATGATTGTAGCAATACTAAAACACAGCAGATGCCTTCAAATTTGATTGCTGTTCTACTGGGGATTAGAAATAATCACAGTGCCTAAAGGAGGAAAAGGGTAGGAGGAAGCTACCTGTTTAGTACAAACAATGCTTCTCCCTTGGAAAAACTTCTTTACAGTCACCAGTAATCCAAGTAAAACCATATTAAAAGACTGATTTTCAAAAACTGATTTCAAAATATACAAAAACTCATAACACTAGACCTGATGAGGAGAGAAAATAACCTTCTTATATAGACGATCCCAAATCCATTGAAACATGAAAGTATATTTACTTTGTCAAGTGTTCTTCATTATTCACCAACTAATTCAAATACTTTCTCCTTTTCCATGGATTCACATACCTAATTTACATATTTAGGATTGAGTTATTTATCAGTGTAAGCTATCTATTGTTGCATAACCAATTCATCCTAAACTTGGTGGCTTAAAACAACAAATATTTGTTACCTCACGGTTGCTTTGAGTCATACATTTGCACAAAGCTTAGCTGGGTAGGACTAGCTTGGTGTTTTCTCTGAGGTTACAGCCAAGATGTCAGCCGGGGCTGCATTCATCTGAAGGCTTTTTTGGGAGGCTGGAGGAGTCAATTCCAAGTTCACTCACATAATTGATGGTAGGAGTCTTTGATTTCCTCTCTGGCTTTTGGCTAAAGATCTCAATTTCTCACCACACGGGCCTCTGGTGAGTGTCTTCATAAATTAACATTTGGCTTCTTCCAGAGTGAATAATCCAAGGAAGAGAGGGTTGGGTGAGGGAGAAAGGAAGCAGAAGTTGAGGGGCTTTTTATGGCCTAGTCTCAGAAATCACATAATGTTTTATTCTACTCATTGCAAGCGCATCCCTAAATCTAGTTCACACTCAAGAGGAGGGAAATTGGCCTTGACTTCTTGAAATGAGAAATATCATAAAAAAATTTGTGGACACATATTAAAACCACCACATTGGTACTTATACACAATGAAGTACTATTCAACCATAAAATAATGAGATCCTGTCATTTGCAGCAGCATGGATAAAACTAGAGATCATTATTTTAAGTGAAATAAGCCAGGCACAGAAAGACAAACATCAGACATTCGCACTTATTTGTAGGATCTAAAAGTCAAATCAATTGAACTCACGGAGATTGAGAGTAGAAGGATGGTTATCAGAGGCTTGGAAGAGTAGTGGGGGTGGGGCGGGGGGAAGGTTAATGGTTACAAAAAGTAGAATTCATAAGATTTGGTATCTGATAGCACAACATGATGACTATAGTCAATAATAATTTAATTGTATATGTTAAAATAACTACAAGAGTATAATTGGATTGTTCGTAACAAAAAAGATAAATGCTTGAGATGATGAATATCCCATTTACCCTGATTTGATTATTACACATTGTATGCCTGTATGAAAAAATCTCAAGTACCCCTTAAATATATATACCTACTATGTATCCACAAAAATAAAACAAATAAATTTAAAAAACACCACATTATTGGTCACATATCCCTCTTAGTCATTCCTCACAAGTCAGTAAGAAAGTCACCTGAATGAATTAGTTTATTTATCTCTAGCTTTTATGGCAGCTGTGGTGTTACATATCTGTAGATTTTTTTTCCTACAGTCTCAATGATATCTTTTTTATGTATATTTTGTTATATTGTTCTTTCTTCTACTTTGAACCCTGAGAAGCTAACATTGATATCTTAATATTATTCTATATTTTATTATAAAAGTGCTTTCCAATAAACTTTTGATGTTCTTTTCAGGATTTTTACAGTCACATTCAAAGCAGTCATCTGTATCAATTTTGCAGGAAATGTTTTACCTGTTCTGTGTTTGGCTCCTAATATGATTGTTGAATATAACATTTTATCAGTTATACCAGTGGTTTTGTGTTTCACCAGCATCTTTTATGATACCATATGGATTAGGTGTTGGTATTAAGCAGGAGTTTATTTTATTATAGATGGCAAAAATGATTAGTAGAGCACTGAACTTGTAGTAATTTGCTCTGTAAATAAATGTTTAATAAAGTTAATAGTAATTATCATTTTATGACAACATAAAAATGTACTGTGAATAGTTGTTTGGCTTATACAACCCAGAAAAGCTAAAAAATCATATGGATTTTGTCCAGAAAACAACATGAGGAACGTGTAGTTTAACCATTTTAATTTTCAGATGAGGAAACTGAGTAACTTATTTCCTGAGATAAAGAGCTTTTTAGATTACAGCAGAATATTTTGTGCACATAAGAAGGCAATAAATAATTTTTAACTAGCTAGTGATAATACCTAACTTCCTACTGTCCCCAAGACTTAGAATAAAATCACTAAACTTCAGCGTCTTTTAAAAAATTGCTATTATTATTTTCAATGTGATTAGGGGATATAATTCTTCTATTACTAACGTAATATCACACAAACCATCAATTTTATTCTCCTTGAAAGATTACAATATTATGATTGTTTTGCATTTATGAGTTAGTCTGCTGTTTAACGTGTTTTCATACATATTATCTGATTTTCTCTTCACAAAAATCTTGAGAGGAGGAAGTGTAATATATTTTTTTAGATTAGAAAAAAAGAGGCCCAGTTAAGTGGCCTTAGTACCTATTCTTTCCACTAGTGGAAACTTGCCCCTTTTGTCCATAATTTACATATAGTATATTTACTGATATATGCCCTATCTTGTTCCCAAAAAGATTTAAGATGATTTACAGAATTCACATGACATGAAAGTGTTGAAACAAAAAGTGAGACAGATCAATCACGACGAAATAAAAATAAACGTAGAAAAACAAAGTAAAGCCAGAGATGATATAAATACACAGAATTAGCACTGTAATGTCAGTACACTTGCTAGAAGTAGACCAAATGTTTACCTCTGAGCTTCCTATCATTTAATGCAAAGATAGGCACATGATTCACAGTAAATAAAAGATAAAAATAAGTCATTTACATAGAAGAAATACGATTATACATGGTACAGAGATGTAAGAGAAAATTTCCCAATGCATTGCTATAAAAAGTATGTTATATAATATGATGAACAATTTCCTCAACAAAAGCCTTACAGTAAATACAATGAAGTATTTCATACGGTTGTTGCTTTTGGGCTTCTTTGAGATAAGACAATGACATCCAAAAAAAATTCTATGAGTCCTAAATAATATGATGGAAGTACATCACTCTCTGCTGGTCTAACTTAATCCAAGGATACATTTTCTGGTAAATAGGGAGATGCATGGTTTGTATAACTTTTTAGACAACCTTCTATAAAGTCTATTTCTCTCAATCATTTTTACATAAATATTGATTTAGAATAGGTCTGAGGTATATATTTAACACAAAGTGTGGTGATGACTAGGTACAAACCCATATGCTTTAGCCATGAATGAGATATAGAAATTGCTTTTTATCAAATGAAGAAGCCTAGTGAGGGTGCATATTTGAAAAGAAGACCCTATCACCTCTGTATAGGTGAGTTGAGGATTGGTAAGTTCAATATGGCTTTTTTTTGTGACCGGGCCTTGCTCTATTGCCCACATAGAGTGCAGTGGCGTGAACATGGCTCATTGCAGCCTCGACCTCCTTTGCTCAAGTGACCCTCCTGTCTCAGCCTCCCTAGTAGCTGGGACTACAGGTGTTCACCACCATCTTGGCTAAATTTTTAATATTTTGTAGAGACGGTGTCTCACCAAGTTGCCCAGGCTGGTTTTGAACTCCTGGGCTCAAGCATTCCTCCCCTTTAGGCCTCCCAAAGTGCTTGTATTATAGGCCTGAGCCAGCGTGCCTGTTCGTTCAATATGTTTTGATTTGGATTTTGCTTTGCCACACAGATAAACAGATAACTGAGGTCTCAAAGTTCTACACCACATGCAACAAGTCTCATCTGGAAGAAGGAAAGCTCAGTAAATGACCCATAATATATCGAAAATGAAGCAATGTCACTCTCCAAGTAACCATCTAGTAAAAGCTAGTTGCAAACTATACCTCAAAGGATCAAAATAAGTTGACTCGTGAGAGTTTTATTTGTTATGAGTCAGTTAAATGTTAAGAAACATTTACCAAAAATTAGAGCTATTTTTGGAGTGCTGGAAGCCATTCTTTCTGACAGTCATTAGCTAGCAGTAGCTCTTGTCTATTAAGCCCATAGGACATAGGCCTTTAGTCTTCTCTCTTCCTTCTAACATATCAGCTTACATCTCTTCCTATATGGCCCATTCAATCAATGACACTTTGCTAATATTCTTCATTTTAAAAAATCCAGCTGCCTTACATTGTACCATCCTTTTAAGTACAACCTTGGTCCAACCCAACTATCTAACTTTGTGGAGTCTACAGAGGGGTGCTGAATATTGTTAAGAAAATAAAAAAGTCATAAGTGTGCAAATTGTTTCCAATTATAGAATATGGTCTTAGGAAGTGGGATCAGGATGAGGTACATGAGGTATTCACGTACCTTATCAATACATCACAAATAGAACATTGGGAAAGCTTTATTTCTTGATCTGTAAACTCTGATGTTTACCATTTTAATTATTTGTTATATATTTATATTTAATTCACTTTTCTGCATAGGTATTGTATTATTATCAGTGTTCTCCAGAGAACAGAACTGATAAGGTGTGTGTGTGTGTGTGTGTGTGTGTGTGTGTGTGTGTTATGTATATATGTATAAATGAAGAGATTTATTTTAAGGAATTTGGTCTCACCATTACAAAGGCTTGGTAAGTCAAAAATCTGATGGGAGAAGCCAATGGGCTGGAGACTCAGGGAAGAGCTGGTATTGCAGATGAATTCTGAAGGCAGCCTGCTGGATAATTCCTTCTTGCTGAGAGTGGGAGAAGTTCAGCCTTTTGTTCTCCTCTGGCATTCAACTGAATTGTATGAGGCCCACTCACATTATGGAGGGCAATCTACTGTACTTAAAGTCCACCAATGTAATGTAAATGTCATTCAAAATTAACCTCACAGAAACATCCAGAATAATGTTTGACCAAATACTTGGGCATTGTGGCCCAGCGAAGTTGACATAAATAATTAACCAACATAGATGGTATATTTCACTTTAAAATATTTACAGTAATCAATTGGTCAATCAATCAATCATCACTTCCTTCTTCAGAGGGGCCCTTTATGCTACCTGACATCATTTCTACATTTCCTGTTCAGCTCTCTCTTCCATTCTTTACAACAGCTATTTCAAAACTATTTTACTCTCTTCAAACTTACAAACTTCTACAGTTGATTAATACTTGCTCATTTCACAGAAAATATAGATACCATGAAATTGCTCCCCTGCACCCCCTCATCTCATCTCACCATTACGAAGCCAAAAATTAGACCTAAGCCAACACCCATATTTTCCTCCCCGTTCCTTTTTTTTTTTTTTTTTTTTTTTTTTTTACAGTGGAAGATGTGTCCTTTCTTTTTTCCAAGGCCAACCATTCTACCTGTGAGCTGAGTCCCACCCTTTCTTATCTTTATAGGAATCTGGGATTATTCCTTCTCTCTCTCGCTCTCTCTCTCTTTTATTTTATTTTATTTTTTTGAGTCTCATACTGTTGCCCAGACTGGAGTGCAGTGGTGTGATCACGCTCACTGTACCTCGATCTCCCAGGCTCAAGTGATCCTCCTGCCTCAGCCTCCCAAATAGCTGGAACTACAGGCATGCACCACGACATCCAGCATTTTTTTTTTTAATTTTTAGTAGAGATAAGGTCTTGCTATGTTGCCCAGGCTGTTCTGAAACTCCTGGGCTCAAGCAATACACCAGCCTTGGCCTCTCAAATTGTTGGGATTACAGGCATGTGCCATGACACCCAGCCTCTCTCTATTTTTTAAAATTTATTTTTATTATATATATGTCAAGTGTACAACATGATGTTTTGATATACATGATGGAATGATTACTACAGACAAACAAATTAATATTTTCATCACCTTCCACAGCTACTTTTGTTTATTGTGGTAAGAGTACCTAAACTCTACTCTCTTAGCAAATTTTTAAATATATAATACCATGTTATTAACTATAGTCCTCATGCTGTCCATTAGCTCTCTAGACTTATTCATCCTAAATAACTGCAATTTTGTATCCTTTCACCAAAATCTTTTCATTTTATCCTCTTTCCCCACTAGTAACCATCATTTTACTCTGTTTTTATTTATTTGACTTAAAAAATGATTCCCTATATAAGTGAGGTCATACAGTATTTTTCTTCCTGTGTCTTACTGATTTTACTTAGCATAATGTCCTCCAGATTCATACATGTAGTTGCAAATGGCAGAACGTCCTTTTTTTTAAAGGGTGAATGATATTCCATTACACACACACACACACGCACATACCACATTTTCTTTATCCATTCATCCATCCTTGGACACTTAGATTGCTTCCATATCTTGGCTATTGTGAATAATGATGCAATGAATGTGAAAACACAGATATCTCTATGAGGTGTTGATTTCATTTATTTTGGATATATACCCAACAGAGGGATCACTGGGTCATATGGTTGTTTCCTCTCTCTTGTATTGCCAAATGTATCTGCTCCGTTGACTCATTCCAAGCTTCTACCCTTATTAGTGGACCTCACAGACAAAAGCAACTTCTCCCATAAAGATTTATTACACTTGATTTTTTCTGGAGCATTGAGAAGTTTGCTTAGATCACAAGTAACTTTCTGTTCCTTTTGTTACTTTATTTGCATGTTGCCTCAATGAGCAGTCAAGGGTGTCTAGGTTTTTGCTCATTTTGTTACCCTACAGATCTTGACAAATTAGGTATTAAGGACAAGTTCCATCTTTTGGAGGCAATAGAACCTAGAGGTGTCCAGAGCTAGACTACCTAAATTCAAAGTTGTAGTTTTTCTTTTTCTTTTTTTTTTTTAATTTGTGAGAGTTTGGTTAAGTTACTCCCCCATTTACTCTCCATTTCTTCATCCGAAAATTGGAACACTAATAATGCCTTCCTCATAAGGTTGCTATAAGAGCTAAATGAGAGGGAAAGAAAATATATAAAGTACTTGTCACAGTATCTGACATATAGTAAGTGATATGGTTTGGATATTTATCCTGTTCAAATCACATGTTGAAATGTGATCCTCGATGTTGCTGTAAGAGCTAAATGAGAGGGGAAGAAAATATATAAAGTACTCATCACAGTATCTGACATATAGTAAGTGATATGGTTTGGATATTTATCCTGCTCAAAGCACATGTTGAAATGTGATCCTCGATGTTGGAGGTGGGGCCTGGTAGGAGGTGATTGGGTCATGCAAGTGGATCCCTTATGGCTTGGTGCTATCCTTGTAATAATGAGTGAGTTCTTGGAGATCTGATTGTTTAAAAGTATCTGGCACCTCCCCACCCTCGCTCCTGCTCTCACCATGTGGTGTGCCTTCTCCCACTTCACCTTCTGTCATAAGGTCATGAGTAAAATCTCCCTGAGGCCTCCCCAGAAGCTGAGCAAATGCTGGGGCCATGCTTGTACAGCCTGCAAAACTGTCAGCCAATTAAATATCTTTTCTTTATAAATTACCCAGTCTCAGGTATTCCTTTATAGCAATGAAAGAACAGCCTAATACAGTAAGTAATGGATACATGCTAATTATTATTATTTAATATAGACAAAATAAGTCTAAAATGATTAGCAATTTTTTGCTAAGAGGTTAGAGAAAAGTCCCCACTGAATAATATTGCTTACTTCCTTGGAAAATTAGAGTGGGAAAGGTTGAGCTCTAATTCAAATAAACAAATTATCTATAGAACTTTAGTGATACTTCATTGCACTGTAACATGGTATTATCATGTCATTAATTGATTTTGTGGCTTTCAACAACTATTATCTCTCGTGACCTTAGTCTCTTCATTTGCAAAATGAAGAAGATTAACTAGATGCTTTTTATGCTTCATCCTAGGTCTAATATGCTATGCTTCTTTTAAAAATATATTTTGGTATAGGGTGCAGTTCCATGCATCCATAATCCCAACTCTTCCAGAGGCTGATGCAGGAGCATCACTTGAGCCCAGGAGTTTGGGGCTAGCCTAGGTAACATAGCAAAACCCTGTCTTTATATATATATATATATATATATGTATATGTATATGTATATATACACACACACACACATATATACATATACAAAAAACATATATATGTGATAAACAATTATAACATTTTCTTGCTCTTTCTTATATTAGCTCCTTTTCCTCTTGGCAATTTATTATTTTATGATTATTTTATGACCCTTCATACATACTATTATATCATATTATATATTTTCCTTCTGTACTGAAATTCTCTCTCCTCCCTTGGTGTAACCATTGTTTTCAATCTATCGTTCACCAAATGTTCTCAACTATAACATCCAGGCTCACTCCTTCCCAGTTTTTACAGTTTGTCATGGTACCATGTACCTTAACTTCCCTTTCAGGCTGTGAAAATTCAGTCATTCTTTATCCATGTTTTCCTGGGTTTTGGCTGACAATCCAGAGAATTATCACAGTCACTTGTAAATCTCACAAAAAATAAGTTTCACCCCAAATTACATACAGTCTTAATCTAGTAGAGCCCTGTCTTCCTATATCCCCTTATGTATTCTGTTCATTTATAAAATGGAATAGTTGACTTTTGCTAGAATTATTTATTATATAAATAAACTGGGAGATGTGCCCTTACTATTTATCCTGTGACGAATACTTATTCATTTATCAATTGTATTCTTTGGATTATTGTTAATCAAGGCAATCTCAAAATGAGAATAACCAAGAAATAAATTATTTTTAGAATATTTTAGATTAATATTTATAAAAAATGGAAAAAATTTCAGATTATACCACAAAAGTATATTAATACTACAAAAGATTGATTCCTTTCCTATAATCGCTGAATATGGATGTGTGTATTTTATTATGATCAGGGTCACTTTCTGTGAGAGACACCTACCTCTCAATTATTTTGTATTTTATTTTCTTAGGTCTATGAATTCATTGTATCAATTATCATTTGGATAAGTTGCATCTGGTATATATTAATAATGCATTAGGCCAAAAATGCAATCAATATGGTAATTAATTAATGTTGGTTTTGAATCACTGCATTCATATAAGGCATTGCATTTCTAAAAGACCCATATTAAAGTACAGTTACAGTATTTTGGAAAAATTACACTTTGGTGATGATTGGTATGTATTGGCTATTTTGATTACCTGCCAGTGACCAAAAAATGGAACATCTGCTGAAGTAAACAGGGCCATATAAGTTCTGGTGTATGAAACGTTGCCCAGGTGAGGGCAGAAAGAGTGGAAACACTGTACTAAAGGATGCTGGGAATTTAGGAGCAGAGACAGAGGAAGGATTATTACAGAAGATATTCTCAAAGGTTTTGTTAAAACTTTTTTGCAGTCTGACTTCAGTTATCTAAAATAAAAGCCCAGAGCATTGTTTAATACCTCTGTGGGTGGTCATTTGAAAATCATGTCTCATATGTTCAGATTATCAAATGTGAAATGGAGGCCTGAGATTTTTTTTTAGCTACTCATGAGATTGCTCCATTTCTTTTAGATACAAGTATACAAGTCAAAGAGCTTAATAAACCTCAGTCAAACACAGGCAGAACTGAGACTATTATGTTCCAGATATTTTTATTCACAGAGTAGGTACTTTTCATTGATAAAGGTGAGATGTTTGGCAGTAATGGTTTGCCTTTAAAAAAATGTTACACCGTAATATTCAAACTTTTCATTTTCTAATCATGACTTTTGTCACCTAGTGGTTAAAAAAGACTCTGATGAGAGAAATAAAGAAATACCCAGTGTCTGATATTAGGAGGCTGCTCTCTCTGAGGGGTAAAAGCACTTGAGCAAAGGGTGTCATTTAAAGTCAAAATCATCAGTGCTGATTATATGCCTTGTGGTCACCACGGATAATTCTTTTTCTATTTTTTACCATAAAGGTAAGACATGTTATAATAGCTGTTATTAACTTTTTGCTGATTCACTATCCTTCCTCTTCGAAAATTTAAAATAGACATGGGAAATCAAATAATCTTATCTCATACTCTAACAAACAATAATATTGTTTATATTCACCACCATTAATGTTGTTTCGATGCAGAAGGGTCAGATGTCATTACATTAAAGTAGGAAAATAAACTTAGGTCATATAACTTTTAGAGCAATGTGCGCATTCAAATATTGATTGTTTTAGTGCGAATTTAGTAGCCTGATACTGTGGGAAGGAAAGTTGACCACCAAGAGTACCATGAATTTGCCTTACCAGAACTTAACTCAAAGCTTCTCGACCTCAGAGTTACTGGCATTCTGGGCCAAATAATTCTTTGTTGAGGGAAACTAGCCTATGCACTGTAGGATGTTCAGCAGCATCTGTAATCTTTGCTCACTACATATTAATAGCACGCCCCAAATTGTGACAATCAAAAATGCCTCCAGACTGTCAAATACCTCCTGGGAGACAAAATTGCCACCAGTTGAGAATCACTGACTTAGCTGATCCATTCTGAACAACCATTCAAATCCTTCCTTCACTATGGTATTCTCTGCATATTAGTTCTGAGTATTTAAACTTAAATTTTTTTTAAACTTACATGTTTTTGTAACAATGTTTCTAAGTGGTGTTATGCTAAATTACATATGACTGTTTTTCTACATAAATTACATCAATTCTGGGCATGCGGAAGACTTATTTTCTAATTTGCTCATAAGACATAATACAGTGCCTTGTGTAAAATAGGATCTTCCAAAATGTTGATTGGCAGTAATAACAACTAGATTTAGAAAATGTAGTGCTGTTTCTCTCTGCTTAGTTCAGGGCATTTTACTATTCTGTTTCTTTAAGGTAATTCCTGAATATGCAACTCAGGCTGCAGTACTATAAAGAACTTTTAGTTTATATGGTCTTAAAATAGAAATGTACCTTAAATTTATTTCAAAATCTCTTCACTCTAAGAAAATCTAGGTCCTACTTAGATAAAAATCATGAATATGAAGTGTCAAGAGACACGCACTAATCAGTTTTCAATCATTTTTATCTTATAAAAATAAAATAAAATAAAATAAAAAATCATTGCTCTGCTTTCTTTATTGATATATCTTGACCTTATCATGGATTCTTTAGCCATTTTAAAAGCTTTTAGTGCAAAGAGCATGGCTCACTATCTGGAGAGGAGAAAGCTGACAAGTTAATCAAGCAGACTGATGATGTGGTGGCTACAATAAAAAAGGTCAAAATCATGTATTATTTCTTGAAATGTATCTACTGATTTGATGATAATGTCAAGTTCAAATCTTAAAAGGCCGCTTAACAGAGTGCAAAAAAGAACTTTTCTTGGGGCAAAGCTATTTTGAACTCATAAAGTAAAGTCTGTGACCTATTTCAAATGTTGATCTGAAGTCATTTTATTCATTTGCTAATTCATCCATCCTCTCATCCATCCATCCATCCATCCATCCATCCATCCATCCATCTATCCATTCATCCATTCACTAGACACTTACTAGCACTAAGCTAGGTACTGAAGAAATTGCACAGAAAAATAAATCATAGTCACTGCTCTTAAGCAGCATACTGTCTTATTCACTATTTCCCAGTATGTATTCTGAAGAACGATGCTCCCGTAAGATACTAGTTATTTACTACAAATTATTATTTTTTGTTTCTCTTCTGAAGTTTCTGGAATAATTTTTTAAAATCTTAATTTGCTGATATGCAAGCTAGTTTTTTACATAAGAATATCTTAATAGAAAGTATTTTAATATTGACCTTGGAAAATGAGAGTGTTCAAAATATCTGGTATGAAACTTTAAAGTTGGGAGGCAATCTGGTGGTACTGTAGCAATTTATTTTGATGTTATCACCCTCATATAGGGGTGCAAAATTCACTCAGTGTAAATTAGCAAGGAAAGATGACTTTACTGAGACAATCTTGGAAATTCATTTCTCAGAATGGGCACGTGTGGGAGACTCTATAAAAAATGGATTTTAAAAGAAATTTAGTTTCTTTCAGAAAAGGAAGGCAAAGATTATCATTTGTAATTTATTTCAGTTAGATTTCAAAAGTTCACCTGCACTTTGGAAAGAGGAAAAGTAGGCCAAATTTTAATTAATGACAGCCATAATAAACATACCACTTTCCTAAAAAATGATAATGGGGTAAGGAGAATATTTAAAAAATATTTGTATGAAGAATATTATTTCAGTAAGTGCTTATCAATTAGCAGAGGATGGTGCTTAAGTAATAATTTTGTCTCTTCACCTTAGGTCGATAATTTATTTCCATTTGTATGCGTTTGTTGATTTATACAAAATAAGTTTGCAGATTATATTAGTGTCATTTTAAGGATGAATTCATGCTTCACACAGTTACAAACTCAAAACACAAAATTATTAATATTGTGGATGGTTAAACTTCAAAAGTTCAGAAATAATTCCCCTCTGATGATTGGGGTTAGATGACCCAGTTATTGATTACAAGTTTTTTTAAAAAAATATTTTCTTATTTGGAACTGTTGTAAAATCAGAGTATTATTTACATCAAGTGAATGAAAACAGGATGTGTCCAGTTTTATATTATTTTACTGGCATTGGAGGAAAGCTAGTGTTTGCAAGCATGTCAATGGACAATATTAAGTGTGTACATAGTATTGCATACTTCAAATAAAATACAAAGACAATATTTCTGTTATGCTAGTGCTTATGGTGATCACATAAATTTCTATGCTTTCAGTGATAACATATACTGTACAGAACCTGCAAAGGTTCTGATATTTTATCATATTTCTAGCTTCCTAATTTGTTAGACATTTCCATCATAGTAGATCATGGCTCCAAGCACCAAAGAATCAATTGGCATATATCTACCAGAACTCAGAATAATATAGTAAACAAAATGAAATAATAAAGAATAATTTATATTGGAACATTTTAATTTCTTCTTCTCACTAGGTAATTACCTCATTTTTCTTTATTCTTTTTAATTTTTTAAAGACAGAATCTCACTCCATTGGCCAGGCTGAAGTGCAGCGGCACAATCATAGCTCACTGCAGCCTCGAACTCCTGAGCTCAAGCAATCTTCTTGCCCTGGCCTCCGGAGTAGCTAGGACTACAGGCATGTGCCATGAGGCCTGGCTAATTTTCTTATTGTTTTGTTGAGATGTCTCATTATGTTACCCAGGCTGGTCTTGAACTTCCTGCCTCAAGCAATCCCCCTGCCTTGGCCTCCTAAGCACTGGGATTACAGGTGTGAGCCTCTGCACCTGGCAGTAATGACCTTATTAAATAGAAGGGAAGTAAAGTAGATGTTATATTCTTGCCACTCCTTCTAAAATATTGTTCTAATGTATATTCATACTCAAGCATTTTTATGTGTAATTTGTTATTCTTTAAGATTTCAAATGTATTGTGTTATAGATTATACTGTAGTAGCAATGTTTTCGAAACAAAGTACAGGCATACTTCAGAGATATAGAGGGCTCAGTTCCAGACTAACACAATAAAACAAAAATCAAAATAAAAGGTATCACACGATTTTTTTGTTTTTTCAGTGTATATAAAAGTTATGTCTGTACTATATTGTAGCCTATTAAGTGTGCAATAGCATTATATCTAAGAAACAATATACATACTTTAATTTAAAAATACCTTATTGCTAAAAAATACTAATAATCATCTGAGCCTTTAGCAAGTCATCACCTTTTTGCTGGTGGAGGCTTTTGCCTCAATGGTGATGGCTGTTTTCTGACTAGGGCATTGGTTGCTGAAGGCTGGGGTGGCTGTGGCAATCTATCTCTTGAAATAAGACAAAAATGAAGCTTGTTGCATCAATTGACTCTTCCTTTCATGAAAAATTTCTCTATAGCATGCAATCCTTTTTGCTAGCATTTTATCCACAGTAGAACTACTTTCAAAATTGCAGTCAATCCTCCCAAACCCTGCTGCTGCTTTATCAACTAAGTTTATGTAATATTCTAAATCATTTGTTGTCATTTCTACAGTGTTCACATCTGGAGTAGATTCCACTTAAGAAACCACTTTCTTTGCTCATCTGAGACCACTTTCTTTGCTCATCCATAAGAAGTAACACCAAATATGTTAAAATTTTTCATAATATTGCAGCAATTGA
Source organism: Homo sapiens (assembly GCF_000001405.40). Classification (NCBI taxonomy): domain Eukaryota; kingdom Metazoa; phylum Chordata; class Mammalia; order Primates; family Hominidae; genus Homo; species Homo sapiens. The sequence goes on from NC_000023.11 coordinate 125,466,231, forward strand.
GTCACATCTTCAGGCTCCACTTCTAATTCTCATTCTCTTGCTGTTTTCCACCACACCTACAGTGCTTCCTCCACTGAAGTCTTGAACCCCTCAAAGTCATTCATGAGGGTTGGAATTCACATTTTCCAAACTCCTGTTAATGTTGATATTTTGACCTCCTCTCATGAATTATCCATGGTCTTAATGCATAGAATCTAGAATTGTGAATGTTTTCCAGATTTTCAATGGAGTTTTCTGAGATTCATCAGAGGAATCACTATCTATGGAAGCTATAGCCTTACAATATGTATTTCTTAAATAATAAGATTGAAAGTTGGAATTAATTCTTGATCTGTGGGCTGCAAAATGCATGTTGTGTCAGTGGACATGAAAACAACATTAATCTCTTCGTACGTCTCCATCAGAGCTCTTGGATAACCAGGTGCATTGTCAAGGAGTGTTGCGGGAAGTCAGGGACCCCAAACAGAGGGATCGGCTGGAGCTGAGGCAGAAGAACATAAAGATTTCACGGACATTTATCAGTTCCCCAAATTAATACTCTTATAATTTCTTATGTCTGTCTTTACTTTAATCTCTTAATCCTGTTATCTTCGTAAGCTGAGAATGTACCTCACCTCAGGACCACTATTGTACTAATTGATTGTGGAACATGTGTGTTTGAATAATATGAAATCTGATTGTAAAATGTGTGTTTGAACAATATGAAATCAGTGCACCCTGAAAAAGAACAGAATAACAGCGATTTTCAGGGAGCAAGGGAAGATAACCATAAGATCTGACTGCCTGTGGGGTTGGGCAGAACAGAGCCATATTTTTCTTCTTGCAGAAAGTGTATAAACAGATATGCGAGTAAGAGAAATATCGCTGAATTCTTTTCCCAGCAAGGAGTAACCCTGGGGAAGGAATGCATTCCTGGGGGGAGGTCTATGAACGGCCGCTCCGGGAGTGTCTGTCTTATGTGGTTGAGATAAGGACTGAAATATGCCCTGGTCTCCTGCAGTACCCTCAGGCTTACTAGGATTGGGAAATTCCACCCTGGTAAATTCTAGTCAGACCGGTTCTCTGCTCTCGAGCCCTGTTTCCTGTTAAGATGTTTATCAAGACAATGTGTGCACAGTGGGACATAGACCCTCATCAGTAATTCTAATTTTGCCTTGCCTTGTGATCTTTATTGCCCTTTGAAGCATGTGATCCTTGTGACCTACTCCCTGTTCATACACCCCCTCCCCTTTTAAAATTCCTAATAAAAACTTGCTGGTTTTGTGGCTCAGGGTCGTCATCATGGTCCTACCAATATGTGATGTCACCCCCGGAGACCCAGCTGTAAAATTTCTCTCTTTGTGTGTACTCTTTCTCTTCATTTCTCAGACCAGCTGTCACTTAGGGAAAATAGAAAAGAACCTACGTTGAAATATTGGGGGTTGGTTCCCCCGATAAAGGAGCAGTAATATTTTGAAAGGAATCTTTTTTTCTGAGAAGTAGGTATCAACAGTGGACTTAAAATATTCAGTAAAACATGCTATAAACAGATGTGCTGTCATCTAGGCTTTGTTGTTCCACTTATAGAGCACAGGCAGAGTAGATTTGGCATAAATCTTAAGGCCACTGGGATTTTCAGAATGGTAAATGAGCCTTGACTTAAACTTAGAGACAGCAGCTGCATTAGCCCTTAGAAGAGAGTCAGCCTGTCCTTTGGAGATTTGAAACCAGACACTGACTTCTCCTCTATAGTTATGAAAGTCCTAGATGACATCTTCTAATGGGAGGCTGTTTTGTCTACATCGAAAATCTGTTTAGCATAGCCACCTTTGTCAGTGATCTTACCTGGATCTTCTGTAAAACTTGCAGTTTCTACATTAGCACTTGCTGTTTCACCTTGCACTTTTATGTTATGGAAATGGCTTCTTTCCTTAAACCTCATAAAACAACCTCTGCTAACTTCAAACTTTTCTTCTGCAGCTTCCTCATCTCTCCCTACCTTCAAAGAATTTAACAGAGTTAGGACCTTGCTCTGGATAAGGCTTTGGCTTAAGGGAATGTTGCAGCTGGTTTGGTCTTTTATCCAGATGACAAAAACATTCTCCATATCAATAATGAGGCCATTTCATTTTCCTATCATTTGTGTGTTTACAGGAGTTGCATTTTTAATTTTATTCAGGAACTTTTCCTTCCTCTTCACAACTTGGCTAGCTGTTTTGTGTTAAGAGCCTTAGCTTTTGACATGCCTTCTTCACTAAGCTTAATTACTTCTAGCTTTTGATTTGAAGTGAGAGATGTGTAACTCTTCCTTTCACTTGAACACTTAGAGGCCATTGCAGAGTTATTAACTGACTGAATTTCAATATTATTTAGTCTTAAGGAATAAGGAGACCTGAGGTGAAAGAGAGAGATGGGGAAACATCTGGTCAGTGTAGCAGTCAGAACACACATAATTTATCAATTAGGTTAGCTGTTTTATATGGGTGTGGTTTGTCTTGCCCTGAAACAACTACAATAGTAACATTAAAGGTCACTGATCACAGATCACTATAAGATATAATAATAATGAAAATGTTTGAAACATTGAGGGAATTACCAAAGTGTGACAGAGACATGAAGTGAGTGCATGCTGTTGCAAAACTGGTGCCCGTAGATTGCTTGATGCAACGTTGAACAAACCTTCAATTTGTCAAAAATGCAGTATCTGCAAAGAGCAATAAAGTGATGCACAATAAAATGAGGTATGCTTGTAAATATACATAGGGTAAGTGAAGTTAAGACTATATTGGGATTGCCTATGGAAACCTGGGACCTATGTTTGTTATAATTACCGTGGGCTACAGTGTAATAAAAATTGCACACATTGATTGAGGGCTTAGTATGTGCCAAATTCTATACTTTTAAAAACTGGCAAATAATAATTGTACATATTTATGGGGTACAGAGTGATATTTTGATATTTGTATACAATGTGTAATGATTGAATCAGTGTAATTAGCATATACATCACCTCAAATATTCATCATTTCTTTGTGTTGAGAACATCCTCTAACTTTTTGAAAATACACTATACTTTGATGCATTATCTTTCCCAATGCTCACAAGAAATCTGTGAGATAGATAGTATTTTTATCTCCTCCTTATTCCAAGATATTAAATACGTTGCCCCGGGTCACAAGGCTAGTAAGTAGCAGGGCTGAGTCTGAACCAATATTGTTCTGACTTCAAAGCTCAGGTTCTTGACTATCGGGTTATAGTGCCTCTTTGAGAATCTTTTAAGTTACCTAGATTTAAACGTTTCTTAGAGGTATACAATTGTTTAGACTATAGGCCTAAAAGGGTACTTCATTAATTAGTAAGTCATTAATGACACTACTCATAAACATTCTGAGCTGCGGAAGCATGGTCTTGCAGAAGAAAACCAAACAAGTATGTTCACCAAAATCTCTGACTCTCTTCTCCTTATGGGCATATGCATCCTCGAAGTTAGATATGGTACATAATGTGACTTCTCTATTAAAACCAGCAGAAGTCCTATGTGCCACTTCTCTGTAGTAGCATTTAAGGGCTGGTGTGACATTCTCTATTCTCTCTTTCCTTGCCATAGTAATTATGGAAGATTATGTTTGTTATATTGGAGGTGAGGAAACGAGACTCAGCCAGTATCCCAGAATACTGAATGATGAAATGGGCAAAAGTCCAGGAGATAAACCCAAACTCAGAGTGGACTTGGTGTGAGTGAGAAGTAAACTTTTCATATGCTAAGGTCATGGAATGCTGGTACGCAATGTCAACTTATTCAATCTGATTGACACATATTCAGAAAACTTGAGTTTTTAATGTGGCCCTAATTTTCACGGCCAGTAATTGTTAACACTTACCTTCTATGAGACTTATGTTTTTTTCATTTTAAAATTATGATTTTTCATCTATGGTTTCCTTCTGAGATTTTGGGGGTAGATCAGATGATCATGAGAGTACATATTTAAAAACCTTCTATAGACTGTAATGCAATATGAAATTTATTATTATTAATGTAGAATTCATTGTTTATTCTTCACCTTTATTATTTAGTGAATGGTGTTCAGTGATGTGACTGACTTTTCAAAGCTAGGGTTAGAAGACAAAATGCGTTTTGTGGGTTGGTGACAAAATCATAAAGTTCAAATGTATATATTGATTTATTCATCTCAAGAGAAAAAATTAGTTGCTCAATACAACATAGGGGAACATGCGATTTGCTCAGCCACAATAGGAATTGGGCAAGGAGTTATAATGAAATCTGTAAAGAAACAGAATCCAGGGATGACAACAATGAGAAATGTTTCTTTTAAAGACAACATAATGTTTTCAAATAGCTAGACTTAAGACTTTTAATAACTTTCATAATGTGTTAGGCATTTGTGAGATTTCTTACTAGTTTCCATTGTCAAGGATGGGAGATCCATACTTTAAAGAAATATTGAGATGAAAGGGACCGATCTCACCCTTGAAATTAACTGTCAAAATACAGGAGTTAAATTTTAGTGTACATTTCTCTTTCTTATCTTTCAACAGTCTGAGGAACATTAAACAGCTCCTAATGAAGCAAAAGTAGCCTTTAATGGTTTACTATGCATAAAACCCAGATGTGTCACCATGAACGTGACCTGAAATATACTCAAACATGAATCGACAGATTTTTATTTAGAATCTTCACGTGTCAGCATCACATATTCAGTCCCTTGATGAAATCTCTTCTACTGAGGGATGAGCCTATTTTAACTATGTCATTTATAAAAGCCCTTCAAAATATTTGTAAATACTTTTTCTTTCAGGTAGTGGAACTTACCTTTTCTCATCCCTCTTTGTGTGAACTAGACATAGTAACTCACTTCATAAGAATAGATTATGGAAAGTGAGAAATGCTAACCTTATAATTCAGAAACCTGAAAAATACTACCTTAAAAAAGTGATCGAGGTTAATGTAATTAGTGATGTCATAGGAATATGCACCTCTTGATATGATGCCATGAGAAGGGCACTGAGCCTTTGTAGTATTCTTCTCTCAAATTCATAATTCTAGTCTAATTATGAGAAAAGCATCAGAGAGCCCAAATTAAGATATATTCTTCAACTAGGTGACCAGTTCTCTTCAAAACAGTCAATGTCAGGAAAAACAAGAAAAGACTCTAACAAAGTATCACAGACCAGAGGATACTAAGGAGACACGGCAATTATCTTAGTCCATTTGTACTGTTGTAACAAAATATCTGAAACTGGGTAATTTATAAACAATAGAAATTTATTTCTCACAGTTCCAGAGGCTGGGAAATCTGAGATTAAGGCATCTTAGATTGGTGTCTGGTCAGAGTTATTCTGTGCTTCCAAGATGGTTCCTTGCTCCTGCATCCTCATACGGCAGAAAGAATGGAAAGGCAAGAGGGCACTCAGTTCACCCTTGAGACCTTTTAAAGGGTGCTAATCCCATACATTAGGGCAGAGCTCTCATGACTTAATCACCACCAAAGGCCACACTTCTATTACTGTTGCATTGGGGATTAAGTTTTAACATGAATTTTTGAGGGGACACCATCATTCAAACCATAGCAACAACGAAATGAATGCAATGTGGTATCTTTTGTAGGATCCTGGAAGACAGAAAGAACTTAGAGGAAAAACTAGTGAAATTCAAAATTCAAATAAAGTCTGTAGATTAGTTAATAACAATGTAGCACAGTTTTTGTTTTTTTTTAGTTTTTACATATGAATCATAGTAATGATAACATCATGAGAAAATGAAACTGGATGGGAACACTTATAATAATTAGAGTTCTCCAAAGAAACAGAATCATAGGATATATATATATACCATATATTATTATATATTACATATAATATGACATTATTATATATTACATATTGTTTATATGCACATAAATAATATTCTTTATTAATATTGTTTAATATTATTGTATATTATATATTATGATATATTAATAATATATTCTTAATATTGTTTAATACTATAATATTTTTATATATAAACAATATGTAATATTTATATAAATTATATATGTTATGGATATAAGTTATATATAATTATATATAATTTATGTAACATATGTAATATTTTTATAAATTATGTTATACTTATTACATATATTATAAATAATTTATACAAATATTACATATATTTATTACATATAATACATATTTCTAAATATACATTATATATATATATATATACATATATATATATATAAAATACACATACACATTCACACAATTGTGGAGGCTATTACCAAGATCTGTAATTGGCAAGCTGGATACTCAGAAAAGTCAATGGTATAGTTTCAGTGGGAATCTGAAGGCAGGAAAACAAAAACAATGCCCTAGGTGAATGCATCCAGGCAGGCAGGAGGAAATTTCCCCTTACTGGAGGGAGTGGCAGCATTTTTTCCCTTTTTTTTTGAGACAGAATCTCGCTCTGTTGCCCAGGCTGGAGTGTAATGGCATGATCTTGACTCACTGCAACCTCTGCCTCGCGGGTTCAAGTGATTCTCCTGCCTCAGCCTCCTGAGCAGCTGGGATACAGGCCTCCACTACCACCACCACACCCGGCTAATTTTTGTATTTTCAGTAGAGACAGGGTTTCGACATGTTGATCAGGTTGGTGCAGCCTTTTTTTTTGTTCAAGACTTCAACTGATTGAATGGGGCTAACTGACATTATGGAGGGCAATTGATTTCAATGTCAATCTCATCCAGAAACAACTTCACAAAGACATGCAGAATAATGTTTGACCAAATGTCCAGGCACCCTGTGGCCCAGTCAAGTTGACAAATAAAATTAGTCATCATCTCTCTGTACTAACTTTTAAACGTCTATAAATCTAAAATTATTCTGAAATAAAAAGTTCTTTTAAAAAATCTATCCAGAATATTTTAGTTATGACTATACAAGGATCAGATCGGATGGCTGCTGTAAATTCCTTCTAAGTGGCGCTTTGATACAAAGTCATGACAACTGCCCTCAAAGCACTGTAAACTCCTTGAGGGCAGGACCCTATGGCACTTATCTCTGTATCTCTAGCACCTAGCAGGGTCCTTGGCTCCTTGACAAATATTCATTGAATAAATAAACACTATCATCTCATGATAAACAGCTTTGAAGTTAATTTTCATCGAAATCCCCTCACTTCCCTTTAGGTAAAAAAAAAAAAAAATTGTCAGGGAAGGCTATTGGAAAGGGTAAAAAACATTTCTTTTATATATCAAGTGCAACAGTTGATAAAGCGAGTGGCTGTAAATCACTCTTGGGAGTCTCCCATCATACGAAAGCTGTTCAAGCTATTTTTTCATGTTTTATGATGTCAGCAAGAGCCTTCTCAGTGACTGATTACAACCTTGTATTTATTCACTATCCATCTTTTATTTTATAATGCAATTGCTGTGCTGGGTTGTAAATTTGAACATTCTTATTTGGAATTTTCAAAGCATGTAATCTAGAATCCTGTGGATGTATGATTCTTCATATTACTATAGAATCTTATCGCAAAATACATTATTTAACATTATCACATTTGTATTCAGAGGCATATCACACGAAGCTTTTGGGGGGAAAGGCCATGTATGTTTGATTTGAGATTTAAATATGCAAGAATGTTCAGCTTCTCTCTTGCTTTATTCTACAACCAGAAATAAATACTAAGTGAATGCCAAAGAGAAAGATATAATGTATACTCTTGAGCTATGAGTTTAAAGCATATCCAGCATGAATTGTTATCATAATATTTTCCCAATATTTTGTCTTAATTTGGAGTAGTTTTAAATATGCAAAATGGTAAACTTTAATCTAAAATATTTATTTTGGACGAACAGTTAAAATATTTTATTCATAATGTAGATCTATAGTTAAACTCTTGAAACAAATCCAAGTTAGGATGATGGAGAAAAAGAAAGGAAGCTGAGAAAGAAAAGGTTAATTATCATAGGAATCATGTATCAAGCTGGAAGGAGTGAGGGCAGGACACAGGTATGTACTATTATTTTCAGGGAGTTTTGACAAAGGATAATAAATCAAAATTTACCACTCTATTGGAAACTGCCCTAGGATAAAGGCAGGAGACTGCAGATCATTCTCCAATCCACTTGTCCAAAGAAGGGAGTCCTTACAATTTACTTATTTAATCACATTGATGAAGAAACTCTTGTCTATATCATTGTCATAATATGAGTTGTTTAGTCTTCCACCCATGTCTAAAGTGGTAGATGGAAACTGGAGGAAATGGACACATTTTGATCATGGAAAGAGCCCTCCCTCCTATCCCAGTCCCGTTTCAGCGAATTCAGATTATTTCTTTATCATCTGTGATGGTTAATTTTATGTGTGAACTTGGGCAGGCACTGTTATTTAATTAAACACTAATCTAGGTGTTGCTGTGACAGCATTTTGTAGATTTACTAACATCTACAGTCCACTGGGTTTAAGTAAAGAAGATCACCCTTGATAATGTGGGTAGGCCTCACCTAGTGGTTGAAGGCCTTAAGGGCAAAATCTCAGCTTTTTTAGAGAGGAAGAAAATCTGCCTAAGGACTGCAAAATCAACTCCTGCCTAAGTTTCTAACCTGTTGAACTTGTTACAGCTTTCATACTTGCCTGCTCCCCAAATTGAGTGTGATAATCACTTAAAAATAAATTTTATCTATAGATGGATATTAATATACAGAGATATAAATATAGGTGCAAGTATAAATATAGATATGGACATAAACAAATATCTGATATAAATATAGAAAGATAAATATCTATATCTATATCTAATCTATTGGCTCAGGTTCTCTGGAGAATCCTTACTGATGATCCACCATCCTCACTCCTAAATTTTTAAATGAAGTTAAAACTAAGTAAACAATAATGATGATGATTAGGCAATCAGAAAAATTATATATAATTATTTTCTTTTTGTACTCTTCAGCCATATCATTAATTTGATGTCAACGAACTTAGGAAAGCTATTTTAGAAAACGTATGAAGTAGAAAAGTCTTAATTTAACATTTTCTGGTCCTAATTAGAATTACTGGTAGAAGTGTTGCATAATCAGATAAGACTGGTCTTCGGTGTTTAGAAGTGTCTTTTCTGTGAAAGTCGAGTTCTACAAGTGGGAAAATGTAAATTCTCTTGAAGTTCTCAAAGCTTTCAAATATATGCATAGGTCTCATATCACTATCTATATTATTAATATACACAGCAGCATTGCACATAGAACTGTCTATGATGATGGATTTCTGGCTATTGAGCACTGGAAATGTGACTAGTGTGATGCAGAAATTAAATTTAAAATTTTAATAATTTTTGATTAATGTAAATTTAAATATAAATAGCTACATATAACCAGTGGCTGCCATGGTAGACAGTGCAGAATTTATTATATGCATTTTTAACATAAATCTTAAATTTAAGTCAAAAAGTAAACATTTGCAGGATCAGCATAAACTGAATAATATAATTATGGTTTATTAAACCCCCTCCTTATATCACTATAAATGTAAATTTCCATGATTATGTTCTCTGGAGATCATATGGAATATGTGTATTATTTTTTAAAAGTTTGCATTTAACCATGTGAATATTTTAACAACATTTTAAATATGCTTTTAATAATAAGTAGATTTTATCATTTAATAATTTTATATTGCTTAGTGTCTCTTGTCATTCATTTGTATGGTGGTGTTCTCTTTAGAGAGAAGTCCTTTGAGGTATATATACAAGATTAGCTTTGTCCTTTGAGTTGACCAAAACTTATTAGGAGTAATTTTTTATGTTTGAAATAATGTCTAGCTAAAATAAATGAGTATATTATGCCATAACATAACATATAACAGTCTCTTATCTAGTTTATACGAATAAGTATGTATGCATAATAATTTCAGTGCTAGATATCATTATCATTAGGCATATATTTTGGGACCATGTAATTCAAAATAATAAATCTTTATTTTGACTAGGGATATGGTGGCTTAAACATATTGGGATCATTCAAACTGCAAAAGATGTTATTCTTTTACAAAGCAGAAGAAACTATAGCCATCAGAATAACTTCTTACAAAATGTACTCTGGGCCTGTGAATTCAGCCATAAACGCTCTCCTTTTATATACTCTCATTTGAAGGTGAATGTCCCAGATTATCTATTTTGCCACAGTGGGGCTGTTGAATATTCATAAATAAAGAGCTACCCCAAAACTTGTCTAAGTCTAATTACAAGCTAAGCTATAGAGGAACATTTACACAGAATCATTTGAACTACTGGCAAAGCCACAACTAGATGTATGCCTTGGAATTTGCATGTAAGAATATACTTTTGCTTATTTTGAGAGTGCTTTAAACTGGGGCAAATTCAAGTGAATTTATGGAGATAATGGGTTATTGCAGAAATTCTGGGATATATGGTGGCTTCAAATATGATGCTTTCTTAGCTCACCTCTCTTGACATTTCAGCTGATAGCCCAAGTCACACATTTTAAATAATCAAATGGAATTTTTTTAATTTCCCAAAACATTTTTAAGATAATTTTAAGAATTTGTATCATTTGCCACTTTTCTTTGTGTGAGGGTGTAAGTTATCCTAGAACAATTGGATCTATTTTCGAACTTATGCAACGTCTTTCAGTTTAATTCAATATTGATTCAACATTGATTGGGTGCATATTGTATGTTCAGGCAAGAAAGTATAATTATGTATTTCTAGTAGTTCCTGTGTCTCTTCCCTAACTACCATTTTTAGACTATATGCTCTTTGAAGGAAATGACTAGATACATTATTTACTAGGTAACCTGACCTCTCCATCACTGCAAAATTTACTTATTGACTGAGGGAGGCTGTGCAGAAATGCATCCTTGGATGATAACCAGAAGGTTTTCTTGGCTAACTGTGGAAGATTTCATTGATATCAGTTCACCATATGGAAAGGGAATTGAGCATCTCCTCATTCAGATTCAACTCCCATTGACTTCATGTCAGATTGTCACTGAATAAAACCTTCAGAGTTATCCTTTTCTGATTAATTTCTGTTTTGGAAAAATAATATCATAAAACATTTTACCCACCTCGCTACCTACCACTCTTTCTTTCAATTCTGAGGGGTAGGACAGATTGAGTTAATGATACTGTTGGGGCTAAAAGGAATTGGATATATAATGCTTTTCACTTTATTTCAAATGACCCTTCAAATAGTTGCTTTGGGAATGAAACTCATCCTTCTGTGAGGGTAACACAGGAAACATTTGTTTTCAGTTGCAAACAAAATCCCCCTTGGCACAAGATTTTTTAAATCTTTGGCATTAAACCTCCCGAAACCCATCTGTGTTGAAAATTAATTTTTTGCTTTGGGGCATTTTATATTTACATATTTTATTTTTATTTTACAATATTTAATCTAGTGAGAAAATAGCTTTTTAGGCCAAGCATAGAATCCAACCCACAGGAGCACAAGGTGGGGAAAAACTCTGCAATGTGCAACTACAACTGAGTATATTATTTATAACAGTGATCATTTTTAAAACACCAAAACGCATGGTGATTTCCTCCTATCTTTCAAGCTTTTATCATTTATATAAAATTTATTTAACAGAGTTTGCTGAATTTTAACAAAAGTTGATAAAAATAAACTATGCCTATAATTACATATTCATAAATCTTTTTATTTATTAGGCAAATCTAAAATCTTCTAGTTCGTCAGAAAAGCAATGTCCATGATTCTGCCTTCTTTCTGAATTAAATAAAACTGCACTGAAGTATTCTTATTTGATCCTGTTTTCTTTGGTGATATCATCAAAAACCTTGGTTCTAAACAGAAGATGCTTTTGCCACTGAGGGGACATTTATTTTGTCAATTTCTGGAGGAGGCATGTTTCGTGTCATGACTGGGGAAGAGGAGATGCTACTGGCATCTACTGGGTAGAGGCCAAAGATTCTGCTAAAGATCTTAAAATACATAGAACTTCCCCCACAGAACAGAGAATTAAGCAGTATAAAATGTCAATAGTGTCAACATTGAGAAACCCTGGTCATAAAGAGTTTCAAGGCAGAAAATCTCAGCCACAAGGAAACTGGGTTTATGTCATACAATTATACCACATATGTTTGTATTGAATTGCTAGGTCCTTTCATAAATTGACCCCTAAACTTCTTTATTCAAAATACTTAAAGTAATGGAAACTTTAAAAATATAAAGAAAAATTAGAAACCTTGAATTTCTTTTGAAGAAAATTTTTAAAAATGCCGCGTCTGGAATCCCACTGAAACACGTAAAACTTGAACCCAGAAGAGCATAGGGCTATCTAAAACTCTGTTACAGGACAATATATATACACCGATTGCCTAAGGATGATTGACATCATGAGGATTATGAAGGAAAGGTTAAAAGAGATTGCTTATATTTAGTTTTTATGTGGAAGGCCACAGATGAAGCATAGGTCAGTTTGGATATCCTTTAAATTCTGGCTAAGTCACTAGCAGTGTGGCTGTAGGAAATTTATTTAGCCTTTCTAAGCCTCAGATTCCTGGTCTTTAAATTGGGATACTAATAATTACCCAAGGGGGTCATTGAGAGAATTAAATAAAATAAATATAGAAGCAGCAAAATGTAGTTGCAGACATTTTAATATTATTTACTTTACTGTAATCTATTTTAATATATTTGGTAATCCCTATGTAGATAACATATTAATTAGTATATTAACTAGAGTGTATGATTAATAAATGCCTATCATCCCAAATTGTGCCACTAAAAGCCATTTCTCTTAATAGAGAGATTGAGGCATTTGTAGATCTACTATAGGTAGCACTTTGGACTGGATAGAAGAGTTCAGTGTGGACATTTTGATGATTTAATTTTCTTAGCTATCAAACGAACTCAGAATTAATGACTAATCTGAAAGCAAACGTGTCAACAGTATATCTTCTTTCTTGATATCTTACTGTGTTCTTAGGGAACTAAAATGGAACCCTTATGCTTTCTGCAATAATAAGAACTGGATTTATTCCCTGCATATACAACATAAATGAAGACTGCTTCTTACTGTAATGCATACTTAAGAACTTTTGTTACCCAATGTACAGCATAATGATATAAATAGCTTCTTTAGGTAAATGTATATATTATATTATATATCCCTGACAGAATTATCAAGAGAAGTAAACAGTCTATAAAATATAATTCAACTTGTTGAGATTAATGTAATTAGAGGGCAACTATGATATTTTTTTCCAAAATCTCCACTCCTACAAATATTTTGGCTACATAAAGGCAATTAATGAGCAATAAGTTTTTCTTGTTGATAATTCTGGTAACTAAATATTCTTAGTAAAAGTTCCAGTATGTGCCCCAATTCACATAAACACCATATTTTAGAGGGTTGCCTGACAGCAGAGCTCCAGTGAATTATACATTTAAAAAAAAATCGACAACTTCAGATATTCACAATTTTCATCATCAACACACTTTCATACTTGTGAGACTAACACCTGATTTAATTGTTCAAGGACTTATTTGACAGATGAAATGCTATCAGCATTCCTTCCATTGCAGTCTATTGTGCTGGAAGCATATCACATTCCTTGCTTGATGAAATCATGGCCTAACCCTTTTGAACAGACACTTCTTGTATTAAACTGTGAAGGGAGTACTTACCGTTCTACTATTTTTATCACGTTGTAAACTCATATCAAATTTTCTACTTCTATCATCTTACTTCTCTTTGATTGTCACTGCTTTGCAGTTTTTTTCCAGATAGCAAGTGACTATACTTCAGCTTTGTTTCTCAAACATGTTGCATATGTCTTAATCCACATATGAAATGTATACCATTTATATAATGCCAACACTAACATCATATGAATTTAAAGCTGTCCAGAGGTCTAGATTCACTAACAATGCAAGAATACTAAATAATTAAACACAGCACATGATTTCTCCATGTACCAAACATTTCAAAAGATGCCCACAGATTTCAGTAATAAACAAATGAAATACTGCAACTAAACCATGCTTGACCTATAATGGAAGTTAGCATTTTAGCATTTTAATAAATAAATATTATAGAGAGAGCCTTTTTTTTTTTTTGGAGACAGCCTCTTTCTCTGTCATCCAGGCTGGAGTACATTATGGCTAACTTCAGCCTCGAGTTCCTGGGCTCAAGCAACCCTCCCACCTCAGCCTCTTGAGTAGCTGGAACCACAGGCACATGCCACCAAGCCCAGCTAATGTTTCAATTTTTTGTATAGAGAGGGTCTCATTATGTTGCCCAAGTTGGTCTCGAACTCCTGTAGCGGGACATATTTGGATCATTATGATTTTGTAAAACATATTCTATTTTAATTGCAGATAAATCATAGTAAATGAAATAAAATAACTTGCTGGTTTGGAGATATTTTCCAATTAAAATGACATTACGTACTAATATTTTAGAAGTCAGCATGTTGTGGCCTTTTGAAAAGTTACTTAAAAGAATATTCAAAATATGGTATGCAATAGTAATAACAATAGTTACATATTTTAAGTCAATAATATTCAATAACATCCTTCATTATTGATAGGGGGAGAAATTGCACTGAATGTAACCATTGCATTGAAAAAAAATGAAGTATTACAGCAACAGTGAGCTAAACTACATAATCAGATTAGCTTGTAAGTGCTGATTGCCATAGAATGCTTTCAAAAACATTGAATATAGATGTATTTGTTAAACTAAAAATGTGGAATTGACAAAATTAAACCTCTTCGATCTTTGAAGTTTCCAAAACCTCTCAAGCTTCTTGAGCAAGATGTACATATATAAAGAAAAAAAATCCTGAGAAACGTGATAGCCTTTATTCAAAAATTCTTTAAAAAATATTATATTGTGATTTTTGTGTGTTAGTAAAGTTTGATTTTAAAAAACGTACTTTAATTTTTTTTTAAATTTGAAAAGTGGATACTATTGGTTCTGGATATAGCACATATTTAACAAAGGGATTGTACTATTTAAATAGAAAGAGGTCTTTGTATTTTCTTGTTTTCTTGTTCTCCATTTAGCCTAGGAACCAGGAAGCATAATTATCTCTCTCACAGCTACAATTTCTGATGGGACTATTTCACCTATATAGTTCCATGTATGTTAACAAGAGCTATTTATTGCTGAGGTTATAGATGTGCATAAGGAGTACAGAATGACCTATGCAGTCTATTTCTTCTGCTAAATGCCTATGATACTGTATCTGCCATAAGTAGAATGGAAAAAGCATACAGCTATGTTTGGGTTAAAGCAGACTTATAAGTATGTACCATGGATTTAATTTACTTTGAACTTCCTATTTGCAAAGACATAAAAAAGTGCCTCTTAGTGGCAGAGATAGCACTTAGAATAACATGCATTTGTTGCTTTACCCAGATTAAGTGATAAACAAATCCTACCACAATGCCTAGTCATGGTACATAGAGAATAGTAGGAAAGATATAGACATAAAGCAAAGAATTACTTAAAATTGGAAAAATTTCAATGTTGAATTAAATTATGAATAAGTACATTTCTAACTTCTCCAGCAGACTATGAAAATTTTTGAGAGCTAGAGTTGTGTAATATTCATTTTTTATCTCTCACTCTGCCAAAAATAAAACTTTGTACATAGAAGCTGTTCAATAAATGTTTATTATATGTTCAGATGGTGTGCCTAAGTAATTTATTTCGTTTCAAGTTTACATATTTAATTTACCTCACACCATTTAGAGATGAAAATCAACAAAAATAATAATCTTACTACTAATGGTCACCCCTTATATTTATTACCAGTGTTCCCTAGCTTAAAGTAAAAATATAGCTGTCAGTGGACTGCAAAGCAAGGGTGAGTGAAAGGAAATTCTCATCATTTCACACTCTCTGGGGTAAGAGCAGTATTATTAGTCAACATGTATGTATACGTATAGCCATGGCTTACTCTTGAAGTTGGCACAGTCAGCAGTTGCCATGGTGAATGTGTGTACTGTGCCTTCAGAAAGTCCTAAACACACCATAATACTCTTTCCCTGGTCTGGCTCCAGTATTTAAGATTTTCACAGTGATTTTTCATCTCATTAGGTAACCAAAGTTTTCTGTTAACAGCATCTTAGTTTTGTGATGTGAAGTTACTGCATTAAGCAGTAGTGGTGAAGAGATCAGCTAAAGTGTGACTAATAGTACACGTATCAGGATGTGGCATAGATTGGAGAACAAAGGATGGCGGAAGGACAGAGGCAAAAGATAGGAAGCATGTGGATGGGGAAAGAGAAACTATGAGAATGAGAAGGAGACGTATGAGCACGAAATCTGGAGCCATGAGCTGAGAAATTAGGATTCTAGCTCTGTCATGTACTAGTGCTATGATTTTGAGAGACTTAAGTCTTTGAAAGTCAATTTATTCAAAATAAAATGCTGTATAGAAACACTTATTTCTTTTTTCCTTTTTTTTTTTTTTTTTGAGACAGAGTCCCGCTCTGTCCCCCAGGCTGGAGTGCAGTGGCACGATCTCGGCTCACTGCAACCTCCACCTCCCAGGTTCAAGCGATTCTCCTGCCTCAGCTTCCCAAGTAGCTGGGATTACAGGTGCCCACCACCACTCCTGGATAATTTTTGTATTTTTAGTAGAGACGAGAGGTTTCACCATGTTGGCCAGGTGATCCGCCTGCCTCGGCCTCCCAGAGTGCTAGGATTCCAGGCATGAGCCACTGCGCCCAGCCTAAATGCTGTATAGAAACATTTAAACATATTTCTGTTGTGTAGCACTAATATTTATTGCACTTGCTACACAACAGAACTTGAAAAACTAATAATTTCATCTATTTTACAATTTGTCAAGTACATTAGTTATTCATATTATATCAACTCAAGATAATGTTGGGTATCAACATTCCCTAGTTAATTTTAATCCTAACTAGAGTAGTTTTTCAAATATGCAGAAACCAGTCAACAAGTATCTTTGAGTGTTAATATGTACCTTATATTAGCTACTGTGAAAATAACGAGGCAAGATCCTTCCAGGTGAAAGACTTGAAGTGTTCCAGGAGGTGAGCTTGGCAGACATGGAGTAATAATTCTCATTCATTCATCCATTCATTCATTCAGAGAATGTGTATTGAGTTATACCAATATGCCAAGCGTAATTCTAGGCATTGGGATACCAGCAGATAGCTTCAAGTATAAATTTTATGGTGAAAGTCGGTAATAGATTAATAAAATAAATATATAAAGCCAAGTAGTGATAAGTATTATGAAGAAAAATAAAATAAGAAAAGAGAAATAATGACAGGGGAATGATTTTTTATAGGGTGGGTTCAAAGACTGCCTCTTTGCTAAGAAAGCATTTGAGCTGAGATCTGAAGTGAATAAACAAGAGATGTCTTTAGGCAGGGGAAAAACCAGTGCACATATCCTAAAGCAGGGGAATGCTTGGCATGTTCAACTAACAGTAAGGAGATCACAGTGGATGGAATGAGGTAAAAGCATTGGACCTTTATCTTACACTAGACGCAAAATCAACTCATATTGAATTGAAGACCTAAACATAAAACCTGAAAATGTAAAGCTTCTAGAAAAGAACAGGAGAAAAGCATTTTTACATTGGTCTTTGCAATGATTTCTTGGATATGACACAAAACACGGGCAACAAAGGCAAACATTGACAAGTAGGATCATATTAAACTAAAAAGTTTCTGCACAGCAAATGAAAGAATGAAAGAATCAACAGAGTGAAAAGGCAACATATAGAATGGGAGAAAATATTTGCAAATTGCATATCTGATAAGGGGTTATTATACAAAATATATAAGGAACCCCTGTAGCTCAATGACAAAATAATCCAAACAATCCAATTAAAAATGGGTAAAGGACTTGAATAGACATATTTTCAAAGAAGATGTATGAATAGAAAACAGCCATATGAAAATGTACTCAACATCACTAATCATCACATAAATAAAAATCAAAACTACAATTATATATCACCTCATAGCTGTTAGGATGGCTGTCTTTTTTTTTTTTTAATGTTGGTGAGGATGTGGAGAAGTTGGAACCCTTATAAACTGTTGGTGAGAATGTAAAATGGTGCAGCTGCTATGGAAAGCACTATGAATGTTCTTTTAAAAATCAAAGTAGAACTATCATATGTTCCAGAAATCCCACTTTGGGTATATGTACAATAGAACTGAAATCAAGATCCCAAAGAACCATCTACATTCCCATGTTCATTGTAACATTATTCGGATATTTGGACTCCAATATAATGGAATATTATTGAGCCTTAAAAAGAAGAAAATCTTGTCATTGAAACAACATAGATGAACCTGGAGGACATTATGCTAAGAGAAATAAACCAGACACTGAAGGACCGATGCTGCATAATTCCCCTTATATGTGTTGTTTTTACATGAGTATAAAATTTCAGTGATGGAAAATGAATGAATTCTAGAGATTTTCTGTACAACATGATATCTATAGTTAATAACATCATATTGTAGTGAAAAATTTGTTAAGAAAGTAGCTCACAAGTTAAGCGTTCTTACTACAAAAAGGAGGGTATTCAAAAGGAAACTTCTGGAGGAGATAGATACATTTATTACCTTGATTGTATCAATGGTTTCATGGGTGTATGCATATGTTCAAATCCATGGAATTATATACAATAAATATGTGCAGATTTTTGTATACAAATTACACATTAATAAACCTAAAAAATTTTGGCTATTGTCATTAGAAAATAACATGAGGGTCAGAATTTTGTTTCTCTTGTTCGCTGCTACAACCTTCTATTCCCTAGGAATTCCTCTCCTAGGGATGTATTCTATACTTGAATATTTCTTTTTTTTTTTTTAAGGCTCAAAGCCACCTCCCCTTTCC
This sequence comes from Homo sapiens, assembly GCF_000001405.40. Taxonomy (NCBI): domain Eukaryota; kingdom Metazoa; phylum Chordata; class Mammalia; order Primates; family Hominidae; genus Homo; species Homo sapiens. The sequence continues at coordinate 125,485,101 of NC_000023.11, forward strand.
CTGCTCAGCTTCTTTTTGTATCCTGGCTTCCACTCTGAGTTTCAGACTTATTTCAACTGCCTACTCAATATTTCTGACTGGATATTTAACCAGCATCACATACTTAACATGGCAAAAACATCATTCTTGATTGCCTCTCAACCTATTCCCATTTTGGTATTTCTTGTTTCATTAAACAGTACCAAAATTTACCCAGTTTCTTGGGCCAAAGGTTGATAGTTACCCTCAATTTCTTTCTTTCTTGTATACATCATATTTATCAGGAAGTCATGTCTGCTTTAACTTTAAAAGATATTCCAAATCCAATTAATTGTTACTTTCACTTCTCTCATCCTAGTCTAAGCCACCATAATCTCTCTTTTTTGGACTACATAAATGCATTATAATTAGTCTTTATCCTTCCTCTCTTGTCCTCCTACATTCAGAGCAATTTTTCTATAAAGTAAAATCAGATCATACCACATATTTGCACAAATGCTCCAATGACTTCTAGTGACATTTAGAATACAATCCACTCTTGTTTTCATATCCTTTAAGTCTAAACCTCATCAGGGTCCTGAATACCACTCAAGCCTCTTAGTGACTACTCTTCCCCATCTTCACTCCTCAGCAGCACAATGGTCTTCTTGCCCTTCCTCAAACAACTAAGTTCACTTATATACAACAAATTTTGCTTTGGTGTTTTCTGTGCCTGGAATGCTATTCCCCAAGACTATTATATGGATCTTTTCATTTCTTCATTTAGGCGTCTACATCAGTTGTATAAAGGCAATATAGTAATTATCACTAGTTAAAAGTATGTACTTGTATAGGTACTTTATTATGCTCTGCCTCCCATACCAGAATGTGAGTTTCATGAATGCAAGGATATCAGTTGTTATTATCACCGCTATATCCTAGTGCCTACCATATTGCCTAATAAATGACCAGGAACTCAACACACATTGACTGGACCAAAGGATATAGTTCTTAAAATGAATTTCATGAGGAATTCTGAGATTTTAAAGACCCTAAACCGATCAAAATCTATAATGGACATCTTTGTAGGGTTTTTTTTTTCCCAGTATTTTCTATCCCCTTCTTCAATTTTAACAGCACCCAGAATTTTCCAACCATGTGGTTTTGTTGCATCAACCTCATTTCATGCCCTTGGGATAGGTCTTAATTGACATAAGTCATATATTCTATTCATAAGTTAGTGTGATTGGCTCCAGTATAAAGACATGACATGAGTCATGTTCATCAGGGCCAGTAGGTATCACTTCTGAGATGTATATTTGAGCTATATGAGCAGCAGACTCACTTTCTTGCTAATTAGAAAAGGGGATAAATGTGGGCCTTGAAGCTTCTGGCATAGAAGGAATTGTACATATTTGAAGTGTACAATTTAATGAGCCTTCACAGATGTATACAGCCATGAACCCACCACAAGAATTAAGATATATGTCCATAAAACATATCTATCATCCACAAATGTTTCCTTGTGCCCCTTGGTAATTCTTCCCTCATGTCCTCAGGCACCCACAGTTCTGCTGTCACTATACATAACTTTGTATTTTCTAGAATTTTATATAAATGAAATTATAACTCTGACATTTTTACTAAGAATAATTATTTTGAGATTCATCCATGTAGATGCATGCATAAATAGCTCATTCCTTTTATTTCTGAGTAGTAGTACTTTTGTATGGATATACAACACTTTATCTTTTTTCTTGTTGATTGATATTTGGTTCGTTTCCAGGTTTTCACTACAAATAAAGCTACTAGTAACATTTATGCACAAGTCTTTGTATTGACATATAATCTAATTTCTCTTGGGTAAATATGTTGAAGTAGAGTACTGGATCATATGATAACCACCTCTTAGAAAACTGCCAAACTGTTTCCCATTTCCCAAAGTTACTGTAATATTTCACATTCCTACTAGCAGTGTTTAAGAGTTCCAGTTGCTCCACACCCTTGTCAACACTTGTATGGTCAGTCTTTTCAATTTTAGCCATTCTAATGGACTTGTAGTTTCTTTATCTTACTTTATTTTCCATTCACCTGATGATTAATGGTGGTTAGCATATTTTAATGTGCTTAAGTGTCATACAGTTACCTTCTTAAGTCAAGTGTCTGTGCAAATATTTTGCCCATTTTTTAAATTGGGCTGCTTATTTTGTTAAAGCTCTAAACGTATTTTATATATTCTAGACCCAAATCTTTTATCAGATATATGCTCTGCAAGCATTTTCTCTCAGTCTGTGACTTGTCATTTCATTCTCTTAACATCATCTTTAAAAGAACATAAGTTTTAAATTTTCATGAAGTCTAATGTATCTTTTTTTATGCATTCTGTCTTTAGGCTCATATCAAAGAAACATTTTTTAACCCAAGGACACAAATATTTGTGTTTTAATCTAGAAATTATAGTGTATGGTTTTACATTTATGTCTCTAATCCAGGTTTAAATAATTATTGTATATGACATAAGGTATGAATTGAATTTTTTTGTATGTATGTGTACAATTGTTCCAGCATAATTTGTTTAAAGGACTGTCCTTTCTCCACTGCATTGCCCATTGTCAAAAATATTCATTGATATATGTCTAAATACATTTCGGGACTCTATTCTGTTCCATTTATCTATTTGTCTATCTTGATACCAATACCACAACACTCTAGCTACAGTAGACTTTATAATAAGTTTTAAAGTAGAAAGTGTGAGTTCTCCAACTTCGTCTTCTTTTTCAAAGATATTTGGGCTATTTTAAGTTGTTTCAATCCCATAAAAATGTTTAGAATCAGCTGATCAATTTGTAAACTGCTTGCTAGTTTTTGATAGTATGTTGAACTTATACATCATTTTGGGGAGAATTAACATTTTAACAACATTGAGCCTTCTGACACATGACCAATGTGTATCTCTCCATTCATTTAGATCTTCCTTAATTTTTCTCATCAATGTTCTGTAGGTTTTAAATTCAGATGGCCTATACACCTTTTCTTCAGAGATAACTCTTAGTATTTTAAAAAATTTTTGATGCTATTGTAAATGATATTTTTAAAGAATATAATTTCATAATGTTTGTTGCTAGTATAGAGAAATGCAATTGCTTTCAGTATATTGATATTATATCTTACCACCTTGGTAAACTCACTTATTAGTGCTAGTAACCTTTTACACAATTTTCTACATATATGATCTATTGACTGCAAATAAAGACAGATTTATTTCGTTATTTCCAAACTAGATGCTGTCAATTATTTTTCTTTTTTTAATTTAATTTTTATTTTAATTTCAGGGGTACATGTGCAGGTTTGTTATATAGGTAAACTTGTGTGGTAGGGGTTGTACAGATTATTTTGTTACCCAGGTATTAGGCGTAGTACTCATTAGTTATTTTTCTGATCCTCTCCCTCCTCCCACCCTCCACCCTCTGATAAGCCCCATTGTGTGTTCTTCCCCTCTATGTGTCCATGTGTTCTCATTATTTAGCTCCCACTTGTAAGTGAGAACATGCAGTATTTGGTTTTCTGTTCCTGCGTTAGTTTGCTAAGGATAATGGTCTCCAGCTACACCATGGAATACTATGCAGCCATTAAAAAGAATGAGACTGTGTCCTTTGCAGAAACACAGATGGAGCTGGAGGCCTTCAATTATTTTTCTTGCCTGATTTCCTTGACTAGAACCTACAGTGAAATTTTGAGTAGAAGTGATGAGAAAAGGCATCCATGTCTAAACCTAATATTAGGGCTACAGAAGTCCACCTTTTACCATTAACTATAATGTTAACTTACATAGGTGAGGACTTACAAAGTTGGAAGACTCACATTTACTTTTCACTGGTGTCTTTTATCAGGATTAAGACATTTCCTTCTATTCCTAGTTTTCTGAGAATTTATAACAGAAATGGATGTTGAATTTTGCAAATCTTTTTACTGCATCTACGGAAATGATTCTACAGCTTTTGGGGATAATTTAAAAATATGGTGTATTCTATTGGATTTAAACCAACCTAGAATAAGCTCTATTTGGTCATAAATATATCATTCTTTTTATATATTGTTGAATTCAATTTGCTAAATCTTGTTTAAAATTTTGCATCTATGTTCCTGAGGGATATAAGTCTATAGATTTCTTTTCTTGTATTTATCTAATTTGAATATCAAGGGAAAGTTGGCCCTATAGAATGAATTGGGAACTATTTCCTACTTTTTATTTTCTGAGAGGGTTTACATAAAATTAGTACACTATTTCTTCTTTAAATGTTTGGTAGAATTTATTAGTAAAACCATCTGTGCCTAGATGGTTTCTTTGTGGGAAGGTTTTTTAACTATAAATCCAATTTTAAAAAATGGTTATAGGGCTAGTCAGGTTATCTAATTTTTCTTGACAGAGCTTTGGTAGTTTTTATCTTTTAAAGGTTTTATGTAACATAAATTTTCAAATTTTCTGGTATAAAGTTACTCTTAAATTTCCTTATCATCCTTTTAATACCTAGAATCTTTATTAATGTTATTTTTCAGTGAGATGTCTCATTCTTGCACTCTGCACTGCCTGGCATACTTTCATTCTTGATATTGAAAGTTTAAGTCCTATCTTTTTTTCTTTTTGATCATTATGGCTGTAATTTTTCAACTTTGTTTATCTTAAAAAACAGAATTTTATTTTTTTAAATTTTTTGTCTGTCATTACTTTTTGTTCTGATGTTTATTATTTTCTTTCTACTGCTTACTTTGGTTTTAAGTTGCTTTTATTTTTCTTGTTTCTTATAGTGGAAATTGAGTTAATTGATTTGAGACTTTTCTTCTTTTCTAATATAGGCACTCTGTAGTATAAAGTTTTGCTTAAATGGTGCTTTAGTGTCATAGCATAATTTTTTACATACTAATTTTCATTGATTGATTGTATTCATTAATTATTTTAGCTCAGTATTTAAAAAAAATTTGACCTTTACCTTTAACAAGTGAAGTTAATTTTTAAAAGTTATATTATATCCTATAAAATTACTCTCATTACAGTGATTATTCTTATTTAGATTTTTTTATTCTATTTCCCCTATGAACTTTATTACCTGAGAGTTACTTTTTAAAATTTGGTGACTCATTTTTCTTCATATATTTCCCTGAAACTCTAAATAGAACTTTCAGCCTGCTTAGCCTAAATGTGAAACATGTTCCAACTGTTGAATAATACAGATTTTGATTTTGATGTCTGTCTCAGGTGATTGAGGGAGATGACTTGAACATTGGTTTGCATGGAATGTATCCATAAGTTTTTTTTCTGGGTGTAGATGTTTCCTTTCCTTTCCTAGAGAATGTATTTGCTTCTCCAAGTCCACCATCCCTTATGGGAGTCTCTTGAGTCAGGACTCTAATTTCACACATTCTGTTTAGGCTTTATCCTGAGGGAAAATGCTACAATCAGGTATTTCTTTTACTTTATGTTCTCTTTCTCAGAATTATCTCAGGTTCCATTCTGCTTCTTTCTTAGGTTCATTACTCATGCTGGAAGTCATTCACTTTACTTAAAATGTAGTTCTGAGATTTTGCTCAGAATATGTCTTTATCTTTTCTCCCCCTCTGAGATCTCCCTAAAATGATAGTGAAGACATTAAAAAAAGTTATAAAGCCACTAGGACCAAAGGGGAAGTGATGAAAGCAGATGAAAGATGCTAACATTATTTCAAAAGATGGAAAGTGAAATGACAAATGGTAATTGACTTAGGTTTTCATTTTCTCTACTCTAAGTACCTATAAAAGTAAGAAAGTTGGGGGAAGGACACCATATGAAACAAACCAAATTTTACTCAGAAACCTCAGAAAATATAAGAATTGAAGGCCTAGGCATTAGGTAACTTTGGAGGGCAGGAGGAAAATTGGGTTAAAAACAGAAGTAATTAAAAGCCTATATAAGGAATGCTTTAACAATAGGTCCCATTTCCCAACTAACACTTAGAGATGGGCACCACGGCACCACTTGTAAAAGATGGGAATTTTGCTATTTGGTAAAATTGAAAGTGATGGTTTGCTCTGGAAGACGCCAGGCACAGTGGAGGACATGAATGAGACATCTCACTGAAAATATAAATTGTGTGAAATTCTACATGATTAATTCTAAGACCCCCCCGTTGCACCCTTCACTTATTCCCCACATACCTTGGGACTGGTGAGTATAACTCACTCTCATCAAACCAACTGGTTGGAGTATTCCTTTGATGAACCTGAGTAACCTTCAAGAAATTTTAAAATACTGACTCTTCAGGATAATTGTGTGACATAACTAGGTCTCCAATCAATCACTGAATGGGAGATCCACCAGTCACTAAACCTACCCTCACATACTCAGTTTCTAATCAGCTTTTTATTTGCCATTCTTATTCTTAAATATGACTGAACAAATATTAGTTTTTATTTTTAAGAAAGCTTTCATCATAAAGTTTGGAGGACAAAACAAACTGTACAACTTAGGAAGGAAGGGGACAGAGAATATTTCAGGAAGCAGTAAACCAAGAAAAATAAAATCTGTAATATCTTGTGAATAGATTATCTAACCCATAGAGAAGTGAAGAGATTTCTCAGGATGATGGTGAATAGAACTCCCAAGATCACAACTATGCGGTAGCACTAGAGAGAATCAGTTCTGATTGGAGGAGGAGAATAGAGTTATTCAAGAATAATGTCGTGGCTCACACGTGTAATCCCAGCACTTTGGAAGGCCGAGACAGATGGATCACCTGAGGTCGGGAGTTTGAGATCAGCCTGACCAACATGGAGAAACCCCGTCTCTACTAAAAATACAAAATTAGCTGGGCGTTGTGGCACGTGCCTGTAATCCCAGCTACTCGGGAGGCTGAGGCAGGAAAATCGCTTGAACCCAGCTGGCAGAGGTTGTGATGAGCTGAGATCACGCCATTGCACTCCAGTCCAGCCTGGGTGACAGAGTTAGACTCTGTCTCAAAAAAAAAAAAAAAAAAAAAAAAGAATGTCTCCAAGAAATGGAGTCTACAAATTATTTCAAGTGTGTGACCATATAGAGAGGAGCTGTAGAGTTGTGGCAGATACTTTAAAGATAAGTTAGTTATAGATATAAAGAAAACTAAACAAATAAATATTGAAGTAATTATTAACCTTAGGAAAAATATATAGCTGTACAGAAAAAATGTAATTATGGTTCACTGCTTGATTCAGCTTGAATATTTTATGTAATCTTAATAATTAGAGAACTAAATGTTGATTTAACAAGTACATGATGGTATGTCCATATTGGCAAGATGAAGCATTAACAATATGTGTGTTGCTGAATCAGTGCTAAATATTAATATTCTAAAGTTGGAAGGCAGAATACAATGTCTAAAATTTTTAAAAATAAGCAACAATGAGGTGGGAAAAAAAGAAAAATTAAAGAAAGGAAGAAAATAGAAATTAAAAAGAGAAAGAAACAAGCTGCCTGTGTTAGGCTGACTCGTTTCAAAGGCAGTAACAGGCAAATTTTCGATAATGTTATCTAAGGGCCAGAGCTCAAAGGAATGTGCTCTGAAGACTCTCCCAGCACTCTCTCAACATAAGGATGTGAAGAGATAAGTTTCCCTGTCTCTCCTTTAGTGTAAGTAAACTTCCCCCTCCAATCCCATCCCCTATACCTTGCTCCTTGCTCTGTAAGTTTTAAGAGTTTCTGTCTTTCCTGTTGTTAATGATTGTAGGTTCCTGCTTCTTCATCTAAGCAGTATAGCCTGAGCAGGTCTAGCTTGTAGCCAGCTAAACTCCATGGTGGGGGTCGCAAGATGAGTCTTTGTGAAACTCCTTTGAACTAACCAGATAATGACCATCTGGGCTGCATAGTAAGGAGGATACTAAACCTGAGTTATAAATGTAAAAAGTAAAATAGAGGTTCCTCTTCAAAGACTTTCCTCCCCATCTAATTAGGAATAAATAGTAACTTCTCATAAAAGTAAAATTTATTCAAAGACCTGTGCTAACATTCTTAAATATCTGCTAACCGTAATAAAGAAACCAATGTACTTTATGTTCTTAGCTCCCACAATTTAGCCTAAATATTTGCCCTGGCATGCTTATTACTGGTCTAAGCAAGCATTAGGTCATAGCCTGTTCCTCTTCCTTATTTAGAAGTGTTTTTATCTTTCTCAGCATTCCACAAGTTACTTCCTCCTTCCTTTGTTCTCCTCTACCTTTGCCTCTTTTAAAAAGTTCTAATTTGCTAGCCAATCGTGACAAATACAGAATGTGAGGTCTCCTTCCAGCCAATGGAAACCTGACACAGCAGTAGGGTGGAAGCATCAGATTATAAATGACCCTGTCTCCTTTGTTCGGTGTACTCTCATGGCAAAACTGCTGGCGAGCGTACCCTTTCTGCAGGGAGTAAAAATGGCCTTACTAAATAAATTAAATTTATGTTCAAGTGCCATTTCTTTACGATACTGGAGAACAAGCATTTCAAACATAAGCCTGTCTTAGTTTGATTAACGGCCTTTGTCTTGCCTCTGTACATTCGAGTTCGCGCCACTTAGGAGTGGGTATATGAGGAAAACCTTGTCTTTGTTCGGGGCCCAGTTTTTTGGATGTTGAGTCTGCTGGGCTGGAGTGCACTCAATGAAAGATCCTCCTCCTGCTATACCCCGAGGTCTCCCTTACCGTCCTGATTTTCCGCAACAACAACAGCAATAAAACAGTTAAAAGAGTTGTGTCTGGTTGCCTTTGAGGGGTGGGAAGTGCTTTGGGTAGTTGATTACCGTTTTTTAAATTAAACTTGTAGTACTTTGGCTTTTTAAAACTTTGTACATATATTTCCTAAATAATTTTTGAAGACAAATAACAAGAAAAAAGTTACGTAAGTTTATTCTGAGAACAAATATCACTGTGTCCTACAGTGTGTTATATGCAGGGTGGGAGTGGAGGTTCTAGCAAATGCAACTCTTTCATGTGCACTTCATTAATTAATTACCCTGATGATAGCACTAGAGTATGTACTGTTCTTTGTATTTGTTAACTCTGAGCATTGAGCATATCGGAGGATTTCTTACAGAAGAACTAGTCTCAACTCTACAATAGACTACACTTATTTGAGGCTGAAGCTTTACCTACTTTTGTTTCTCTGCTAATCTGATTCTAAAATTCCTAAAAATTTATAGTCTGTTGATTGTATTTATATATTTTTTCTTTGGATGTTAGCAATAATTCACTTAAAATATTTTTCTTTAATTTCAATTGGATTTTTACAGAGAACCAATAGTAGACATATGCTCAGGACTCTTTCAAAACAGTTCTTTATATAATCTCTTTAATCATTGAAAATCTAATAATCTACCAATTGTGTTAATTCTTTTTCCTTGTTTCAAGATCTGTTTGTGGATTATGTGTTAAAATTCAAGCTTAAACATACTTTGTGGTATTCAAATCAAATAAATACGGAAATGATTTCTTTTTAACTTATTGTTTAGAGTTTTTAAAACATTATATAGTAATTTCTCTGTAAGTAGCTGTATTTATTCATTTTTCTTCTCTCATTTCCTTTTTTTCTTCTTAACACTGTAAATCTTAGGCCTTCTGCAATGATCTTAAGCAAAAGTTACTGGAAAGAGCATTTATTCCTTTCATTTCTTTCTGCAATTTTACTGTAAAGCTCACTTTATCTGCCACAAACTGCTTTTTGAACATGATTACATTTGAGAAATTCATTTTGCCCTTTGACTAAATTATATTGACCCAGTTTCACTATTCATATTTGAATTTTACATTAGGCTTTTTTTCAAATAACCTGTCTAGTTTTTCATCTATTTTTGCGACAGAATTTTTAGGCCTGAAATCTAAAGACTGTGTCTTCCTAAGATGTGAATCCTGTGGAGACTTCCCATGGCACCTCTCAGAGATTTTACTAATAAAAAATGGAGGAAAGAGGGAAGAGGAGAAGTAACAAATAGGAATTTGAAGCAAATAGAGACAAAATGAAGACATTTATTCATCAGAAATCTAGGAGAGTGCTAGGTAATGGGGTTGAAGAACCAAACCAGGCATGTTCTGTGCCCTCAATAAGCTCTCATTTTGGGAAGAAGGCAGATTTATATACAAGTTAAAATATTTTGGAAATGTCCAAAGAGGATGGTGATGAGAGTGGCAGGATCTTACTGATCCTGTCAAAAAATTGATTACAGTATGTTGCACCCAAAGGCTGAAGAGAAACCAAGGCATAAGTATTAAATAAATTTCCAGAAGAAAAATTTACTCAAATGACAAGAGTTTCTTAGCTAAATAAGTTTGGAAAAAAACAACTTATATCTTATCACTATGAAACTGCGTGGCGGCTGCCTCTTAATAGCGGTAGAATATGTGATCCCAAAACAAACCATGTAACTGCAAAGTCTAGCAACACCTTTGGTGTTACCATAATGATATTAGCTTAAGACTGAGGTGATAAAGAATGATATAGTGTTGTGAAAGTGCCACTTTATAAAAAAATTACTAACTCATCTAAATGCCTAATTGCGTGTTTCAGTGTTGAATCTGGATAAAATATTTTAGCAAAATTTTACCCTGCTAGATTCATTAGACAGTCTTCTATTATTATTTTCCTCTTGTTTTCAAATAATGAGTCAATAAGATTGCATAAGCCATCAAACTCCAGATGACATGTTGCATAAAAGTTGAGTTATAGTCTTAAAATTATGTGATAGCCAAGGAAATGATCTCACTATCTTATTCTACTCTATCTACCCATTTTGCTTAGAATTGAAAGCATTTTAACAAAGTCATAATTCCAGTTAAGTTTGAAGTGTTTTCTTTCCTCAGACTTGGTTTCCTCCACCTCTTCCCACCCCATTCTATTAAGGTATCACCTCAACTACTCTAGTTTAGCCCAGATGGGTATCTACATCTCATCTATACCAAACCAAAAATCAAATTTATCTTCTAGCTCAAAGTCAAAATTATGTAAGTCTACTCTTATATTAACAATAGATTTCAAAGCAGAATATAAGTAGAAGTTAACACTGAAGGTTAATATTCCATGTGGTTTCAGAAGCTTAATGCCATAAAATAAAAATAACTAAATGCTATATAATGTATTGGGGGGGTAGAGAGACTAGCTTTCAGACAATAAGTCAGCAAACCTTTTAAAAACTAAATTATGTCAATGGATTAATAATTTTTCACTTTATTGACAATCATATATAAACTATAATTTTTAAATAATTCCACACCGTGACTTCTCTGTTACCAAAAGATATGTCTTTAGTAATATGCTTGAAATCTGAAACTCAAGATGTTATCTTTATGTTCCTAATGAACAGCATGGTAAACTTTTCCATCTTTATAATGAGCCTAATAAAATATAATGTTCTCCAACAGACTGAAAGCTCAACAGTCTGCCTATATTGCAAACATCAATTTCAAGATTATGACAATAATAATGAATTGACACTATTTTGGAAATGGAGGGACATCTAAGTTATGAGATTTGTTATCTTAGCAACCACAATCTTTACACTGGATGGGCAACTTATGATCTGGTACAACGTTGGTTTTTGAGATCAATTTAAAATACATGGATATAGAAACTTAAGAAAAATTCAGGAAACATTGACACCAAGGAATGAATAAATTTAGTAAAGATCTTTACTCTTATTTGTTTTGACAAGAAGTGTTAGACAGATTATGCGCGCCTTTTACATGCACCCTAAATCTTTAATGGTTGTCATTGTATTGATAGTCATGTGTATCGATTAAAAATAAATGTCCTAGGTTTTATTTTTCTTATATGCTTTATGGTAGTAGATCTGTGTTATTTTCCACAAAATACAATTTCAGTATGAAAAATCTTTGAGGTCTACATCAGTAAGCCATGATGTGGATATTTATTTTCTGGTGACACAAATTCTGTATATGTGTGTGTGTGTATTTGTGTGTGTGAGAGAGATGGGCTTTATTTTAGATTTTTTCTAATAGTTTGTAGTAAGAGTATATTGATAAAATACAAAATGCTTTTATGATAGCTCTCCAGTCTCCTTTTCCTGTTACCTCACATGATGTTTTTATAGCCAAGTGTGGGTTAATGTCAGCATAAACATTAAGGGAAAATATGATATCTTGATGTACATATCTGTTAGCCTGAAAACGGAAGCATCTGCCTTAGATATTTTACATTTATACAAATGGGGGGGAGGCAGGGATTATGAACCCATATCCAAACATACACAGGTTACTATATGAGATTTTTATTCCCTCCATATGAATGAGTTAAAAGTGTTTACTGATTTAAGTAGGCATTTGGCAACACTGCTCTTGAAGAAAGTGCTGTGTATTTTACTGGCACATACTGACCCAAAAAGGCACTGAAAGTGAGGAGAAAGACAAAGGAGGGAAGGTTTGGTATTCAAAGGCACTCTTGACTTTAGAAATCAGATTTCCATACGCCAGATGAGAAGCCAGAGACCATAAGACACAAAAAGGCTAAATAAGAAGGAAGGATTTTTAACAACATTTGGAACAGCAGAGGCATCTAAAAACAACTATGTGGCTGCACTGGGAAACCTCTCATGACCATATCGTCTTCAGAGATGTATGCAAAGGCAGCAAAATACGTACAATGAAGGACAAATACAAAATATTCTGCAAGAATATGGTCAGAAAGGTTAAGCACAAAATGTGCAGAGACCTATAAAAATGCTGAGGACAGAATAATGGGCTTTGATAACTGTGTTAAATAAAAGAATAAAATCCAGGACAAGCGAGGCCCTTTCCTAGACACATAATGACAGATGACAGAGAGGAATATAATGACTCAGCCCTATTTTGTGCTCAACCTTTAGAAGAAGAATAAATACCTTCCTATCAGAACCAATTGAATAAATGTGGTTAGGAATGACATGAGAACCATTACATGAGAAAGAATAATAAGGAGAACAAATGTGCTTTTTCAGTGCTTTAAGCTTCCACGCCAGATAAATTATATGCAAGAGAAATGGAAAAAGTTTCATATGTAGTCATGAAATCTTTGTTAATTATTTTTTGTTTGTTCTTTGTTTTTCTTTTTGAAATTTTTAATCTTTGTGGGTACACGGTAGTTGAATATATTTATGGGGTACATGAGATATTTGATATAAATATTTGATATATGAGATATTTGATACAGGTATAGATATTGGATACTGGCATACAATACATAATAATTACATTAGGATAAATGGGGTATCCATCACCTCAAGCATTTATCCTTTCTTGCATTACAAATAATCCAATTATACTCTTAGTTATTGTAAAATGTACAACAAATTATTGTTGACTATAGTAATCCTATTGTGCTATCAATACTAGATCTTATTCATTCTATCTAATTGTATTTTTGTACCCATTAACCCGCCCCATTTCCCCTGCCACCCGCTGACTACTCTCCCCAGCCTCTGGTAACCATCATTCTATTCTCTATCTCCATGAGTTCAATTATTTTAAATTTTACCTTCCACAAACAAGCGAGAACATGCAAAGCTTTCCTTTCTGTGCCTGGCTTATCTCACTTAGCAAAATGACCTACAGTTCCATTCATGTTGTTGCAACTGACAGGATACCATTCTTTTTTATGGCTAAATAGTACTTCATTATGTAAATGTACCACGTTTTTCTTATCCATTCATCTGTTGATGGACACTTAGATTGCTTCCAAATTTGGCTATTATGGGTAGTGCTACAATAAACATGGGAGTGCAATATCACTTTGATATACTGATTTCCTTTCTGTGGGGTATATACCTAGCAGTGGGTTTGCTGGATCATATTGTAGCTCTATTTTCCGTTTTTTGAGAAACCTCCAAACTGTTCTCCATAGTGGTTGTACTAATTTATATTCCCACCAACAGTGTGCAACTGTTTCTTTTTCTCCATATCCCTGCCAGCATTTGTTATTACTTATCTTTTAGATAAAAACCATTTTGACTGTGGCAAGATGATATCTCATTGTAGTTTTAATTTGCATTTCTCTGATGATCAATGATGTCAAGCAGTTTTTCATATACCTGTTGACCATTTGTATGTTTTCTTCTGAGAAATGTCTCGTTAGATCTTTTGCACATTTTGAAATAAGATTATTAAATTTTTTTTATAGAGTTGTCTGAGCTCCTTATATATTCTAGTTATTAATCCCTTATCAGATGGACAGTTTGCAAATATTTTCTTCTATTGTGTGTATTGTTTCTTCTCTTTGTTGATTGTTTCCTTTGCTGTGCAGAAGTTTTTTAACTTGATGTGATCCCATTTGTCCATTTTTGCTTTGATTGCCTGTGCTTGTGGAGTATTATTCAAGAAATCTTTGCCCAGCCCAATGTCTTGGAGCGTTTCCCCAAAGTTTTCTTTTGGTAGTTTCATAGTTTTGGGCTTTAGATTTAAGTCTTTAGTCCATTTTGATTTGATTTTTCTATATGGTGAGAGATAGGGTTCTAGTTTCATTCTTCTGCATATGGATATCCAGTTTTCCAAGCACCACTTATTGAAGAGACTATCCTTTCCTCAATGTTCGTTCTTGGCACCTTTGTCAAAAGTGAGTTCACTGTAGATGTATGGATTTGTTTCTGGGTCCTCTATTCTGCTTCACGGGTCTATGTGTTTGCTTTTATGCAAGTACCATGATGTTTTGGTTACTATAGCTCTGTAGTATAATGTGAAGTCAGGTAATGAGATTCCTCTAGTTTTGTTCTTTTTGCTTAAAACAGCTTTGGCTATTCTGGGTCTTTTGTGGTTCCATGTAAATTTTAGGATTATTTTTTCTATTTCTGTGAAGAATGTCATAGGTATTTTGATAAGGATTCCATTGAATCTGTAGATTGCTTTTGGTAGTACATACATTTTAACAATATTGATTCTTCCAATCCATGAACAAGAAATATCTTTCCATTTCTTGGCATTCTCTTCAATTTCTTTCATCAATGTTTTATAGTTTTTATTGTAGAGATTCTTTACTTCTTTGTCTCAGTTAACTCCTAGGTGTTTTATTTTATTTATAGCTCTTGTAAATGGGATTACTTTCTTGATTTCTTTTTTATATTGTTTGCTGTTGGCATGTAGAAATGCTACTGATTTTTGTAGCTGATTTTGTATCCTGCAACCTTTCTAAATTTCTTTATCTGTTTGAATAGTTTTTTGGTGAAGTCTTTAGGTTTTTACAAATATAGGATCATAACAGCAGCAAACAAGGATAATTTGACTTTTTCCTTTTCAATTTGTGTGCACTTTATTTATTTCTCTTCTCTGGTTGCTCTAGCCGGGAATTTGAGTACTATATTGAGTGACAATGGTGAAAGTGAGCATCACTGTCATGTTCCAGAGCTTGGAGTAAAGGCTTTCAGTTTTTACCCATTCAGTATGATACCTGTGGGTTGGTAATATGTGGCTTTTACTGTGTTGAAGCATGTTTGTCCTATACTTGGTTTTTTGAGCGTTTTTATCAGGAAGTGATGTTGAACTTTTATCAAATGCTTTTTCAGCACCAATTGAAATGATCATATAGTTTTTGTACTTAATTCTGTAGATATGATGTATCACATTGATTGAGTTTTGTATACTGAAACCTCCTTGCATCCCTGGGATAAATCCCACTTGGTCATGATGAATAACCTTGTTAATTTGTTGTTGAATTCAGCTTGCTAGTACTTTGTTGAGGATTTTTGCATCAACGTTTATCAGATATATTGGGCTTTATATATTTTTTTTTGGTGTGTCCTTGTCTGCTTTTGGTATTAGGATAGTAGTGGCTTCATAGAATGAGTGTGGAAGTATTCCCTCCTTTACTTTTCAGAACAGTTTGAGTAGGATTGGTATTAGTTTTTCTGCAAATATTTTGTAAAATTCAGCAGTAAAGCCATCAGGCCCTGGGATTTTCTTTGCTAGAATACATTTTATTACGGTATTGATCTCCTTACTTGTCATTGGTCTGTTCAGGTTTTGGATTACTTCATAGTTCAATCTCGATAGGTTATATGTGTCTAGGAATTTATCTATTTCTTCCAGATTTTCCAATTTATTGGCATATAGTTGAGTTGCTCATAGTAGCCTCCAATGATCCTTTGAATTTCAGTGGTAAAAGTTGTAATGCCTTATTTTTCATCTCTGATTTTATTTATTTGGGTCATCTCTTTTTTTCTTAGTCTGGCTAATGGTTTGTTAACTTTGTTTAACTTTTCAAAAAAACAACTTTTTGTTTCATTGATCTTTTGTATTGTTTTAATCATGTCAATTTCATTTATTTCTGCCCTGGTCTTTATATTTCTTCTACTAACTTTGGGTTTGGTTCAGTCTCGATTTTCTAGTTCTTTAAGATGCATCATTAGGCTGTTTATTTGAAGCTTTCTAGTTTTTGGATGTAGGTGCTTACAGCTATAAACTTCCCTCTTGCTACTGCTTTTGCTGTTTTCTGTAAGTTTTGGTATGTTGTGCTTCCATTACCATTTGTTTCAAGACATTTTTCAATTTCTTTCTTAATTTTTTCATTAACCCACTGGTCATTCAGGAGCATATTGTTTGATTTCCATGTGTTTGTATAAGTTTCCAAAATTCCTCTTGTTGATTTATAGTTTTATTCCATTTTGGTCAGAGAAGATGCTTGGTATTATTTAAATTTTTAAAAAATGTTATAAGACTTGTTTTGTGACCTAACATATGGTTTATTTTGAGAATTATTCACATGCTGAGGAGAAGAATGTGTACTCTGCAGCCGTTAGATGAAATGTTCTGTAAATATTTATTATGCCCATTTGGTCTATAGTGTATATTAAGTCTGATGCTTTGTTGTTGGTTTTCTGTCTGGATAATATGTTTAATGCAGAAAGTGGGGTGTTGAAATCTCCAGCTATTATTGTACTGGCATCTATGTCTCTTTTTAGCTCTAATAATATTTTCTTTACAAATTTTGGCAGTGTTGAGTGTTTATATATTTATGGTTGTTTTATCCTCTTGCTGAATTGACTGCTTTATTTTTTGTGACTTTCTTTGTTTCTTTTTATAATTTTGTCTTGAAATGCATTTTGTCTGATAAATTATAGATACTTTTGTTTACTTTTTTGGTTTCCATTTATATGAAATATCCTTTGCCATCCTTTCATTTTCAGGGTCTGAGTATCTTTATTGGTGAAGTGTGTTTCTTGTAGGCAACAGATCATTGGGCTAGTTTTTCATATCCATGCAGCCACTCTATGTCTTTTGATTAGAGAATTTTGTCCATTTACATTCAATGTTATTATTGATAAGTAAGGACTTACCCCTGACATTTTGTCATTTGTTTTCTGGTTGTTTTGTGTTCTTCTTCTCCTTTTCTTCCTTCTTGTCTTCCTTTAGTTAGGATAATTTTTTCTGGTGGTATGTTTTAATTTCTTTCTTTTTATTTTTTGTGCATCTGCTGTATGCTTTTTTGTTTGAGATTACTATGAGGTTTGTAAATAATATTGTATAACCTATTATTTTAAACTGATGGCAACTTAACACTGATTGCATGGACAATGAAACAAACTAACAAACAAAGAACAAATTAATAAAAACTCTGCACTTCAACTTTGCTCCTCTGCTTTTTAACTTTTTGTTGTTTCTATTTATTTCTTATTTTACTGTCTATATCTTGAAAAGTTGTTGTAGTCATTATTTTGACCAGTTCATATTTTAGTCTTTCTACTGAAGATATGAGTAACGTACACACCACAATTATAGGGTTATAATCTGTGTTTGTCTGTGTTGTTATTACCAGTGAGTTTTGTACCTTCAGATAATTTATTATTGCTCATTAATGTCCCCCTCTTTGAATCAAAAAACCATCTTTAGCATTTTTTACAGGACAGGTCTGGTGTTGATGAAATCCCTCAGCTTTTGTTTATCTGGGAAAGTATGTATTACTTGTTCATGTTTGAGGGATATTTTCACTGGGTATAATATTCTAGGGTAAGAGGTTTTTCTTTTTTTCTTCAGCACTTTAAATATGTCATGCCATTGTCCTCTGCCTGTAAGTTTGCTACTGAGAAGTCTGCTTCCAGATGTATTGGAGCTCCTTTGTATGTTATTTGTTTCTCTTCTCTTACTGCTTTTGAGATTATTTCCTTGTCCTTGATCTTTGGGAGTTTGATTATTAGATTCCGTGAGGTAGTCTTCTTTGGGTTAAATTTGTTTGTTGTTCTATCATCTTCTTGTACTTGAATGTTGATATATTTTTCTAGGTTTGGAAAATTATCTGATATTATTCTCTTGAATAAAGTCTCTACCTCTATTTCCTTCTCTACCTCCTCTTTATGGCCAATAACTTTTAGATTTGCCCTTTGGAGGCTATTTTTAGATCCTGTAGGCATGCTTCATCGTTTTTTATTCTTTTTGCCTTTGTCTCCTCTGAGTGTGCATTTTCAAGTAGCCTGTTTTTAAGCTAATTCTTTCTTCTGTTTGATTAATTCTGCTATTAAGAGGCTCTGATGCATTCTTCAGTATGTCAATTGTATTTTTCAACACCAGAATTTCTGCTGGATTCTTTTTAATTATTTCAATCTCTTTGTTAAATTTATCTGATGAAATTCTGAATTATTTCTCACTTTATATTAAATTTCTTTGAGTTTCCTCAACACAGGTAATTTGAATTCTCTGTCTGAAAGGTCACATATCTCTCTATCTCCAGTATTTGTTCCTGGTGCCTTATTTAGTCCATTTGGTGAGCTCATGTTTTTGTGGATATTCTTCGTGCTTCTGGAAGTTCGTTGGTGTCTGGGCATTGAAGAGTTAGGTATTTATTGTAATCTTTGAAGTCTAGTCTTGTTTGTACCAGTCTTTCTTGGGAAGGTTTTCCAGGTATTCAAAGGGACTTGGGTTTTGTGATATATGTGTTTTGGTCACTGTAGCCATATCTCCCTTAGGTGGCACCCCATGCCCAGTAATGCTGTGGTTCTTGCAGATTTGTAGAGGTACCACCTTGGTAGTCTTGGATAACATCTGGAAGAATTCTCTGGATTACCAGGCAGAGATTTTTGTTTTCCTCCCTTACTTTCTCCTAAACAAATGGAGTCTCTCTCTCTGTGCTGAGTGCCCAGATCTGGGGTAGGGGTGACATAGAACCCTTGTGGCTACCACTACTAGAAGTGCACTTGGTTAGACTTGAAGCCAGCAGAGCACTGGATCTCCCTTACGGCCTGTGGTAACCACTGCCTGGCTACCATCTATGTTAACTCAAGGCTGTAGTTTTCTACAATAAGCACCTGATGGGGCCAGCCAGACTGTGTCCTTCCCTTCAGGGAGGCACGTTTCCCCCTGGGCTCAAGTGAGTCCAGAAATGCCATCCAGGAGCCAGGGCCTGGAGTAGAAAACCTTAGTAATCTACCTAGTGGTCTATTCTTCTGTGGCTGAGCTGTCACCCAGGCCACAAGACAAAGTCCTTCCCACTCTTCCTTCCCCTTTACCCCACAGAGGAGCCTGTTCCCATGGTCACTACTACCCCAGTCCTGTGGTGAATACTGCCTGACTACCTCCAGTGTTTGATCAAGGCTCAAGGTCTCTTCAGTCAGCTTGTGGTGAATGCTTCTAGGCCTGGGACTATCCATTTACGGCATTGGGACTATCCATTTATGGCATTGGGCTCCCCTCTGGTCTCAGAAAGGTCCTGAAATGCTGTCCAAGAGCCAAGGCCTAGAATTTTTGGACCCCAATGGTCTGCTTGTTGCTCTACCCCACTATGGTCAAGGTGGTACCTAAGCTGCAAGTCAAAGCCCCTCCTTTACTCTTCCTTTTCCTTTTCTCAAGAAGGAATCCCTACCCATAGCCACTCAAGCTGGAAATGTGCTGGGTTACACACGAACCCAGTACATCTGTGAGTCTCACCCAAGGCCCACAACAAGTATTACCTGGTATCACTGCTGGTTATTTAGGACCTAAGGGCTCTTTAGTCAGCAGGTGATAAATCCTGCCAGGAATGAATCTTCCTCTTAAAGGCAGTTGGTTCCCTTCTGGTGCAGGATGTGTCTCAAAATGTCATGCAGGAGCTAGGGCTTGGAAAGGGAACATCAGGACTCTGCCTGGGGCCTTATCCTACTGTGGTTGAGCTTGTATCCAAGTTGCCAGACAAAATCCACTTTATTCTTCACTCTCTGCTCCTCAAGCAGAAGGAGGGGATCTCTTTTGGAGCTATTAGCTGCACTGCCTGGAGTTGGGAGGACAGTGGCACAAGCACTCCCTTGGTAGTCTTGGTTGGTGTCCCACTGGGTCGCATGCATCCCAAGTCTACTGGCTTTGAGCCCAGCACAGCACTATGACTTGCCCAAGAATTGCAATCCTTGTGTCTTACATTGCCTTTCATGTTTATTTAGGATGATGGGTCATTTTAACTCACAGTGTTGAGGCCTGCTGGAACATGGGTTCTTACCGCTGGGATGAGTAATTCTTCTCTGGCAAGGGCTGGCCCAAATACTCCTTCCATGGGTGCCAGCTGATTTCTGCCTGGTGTTGCTTTCTGCTATGACAGGGGGGCACTGAGTTCCAATGCAAAGTTCCACAATGACTGCACTCTCTCTACCTGAAGTGTACAGATTCTCTCTCTTTGCCATGCAGCTGCCACCAGGGGATGGGTAGAATCAGCAATTCAAGACTATCTTTTCTACCATTTTTAGTGCCTCTTTCAGCAAAATGATGTTAAAAACAGATACTGTGATCTCTCCCCTGACTTTTGGTTCTTATGAATATGCTTTTTGGTGTAGACAATTGTTCATTTTGGTGTTCCCTTGGAGAGGGTGATCAGTGGAGTCTTCTATTCAGCCATCTTGCACTGCCTTCCACCTGTCCTTTATTTTTATAGGTGGGCAATATTCCATTGTATAGAGGAGAATGTGGCATTCAAGGCACCATTTTAAAAGCAGATACAAGACCCTCATCAGAGATCAAACCTGCTTGCATCTTGATTTAAAAATTCCCAGCCTCCAGAACTGTTAGAAATTCACTTTTTCTTTATAATGTACCCAGTTTGTGGCATTCTATTGTACTAACTCCAAATGGACTAAGAAAAATGCACATGTATTTTTCATTTTTTTCTTTTTTAAAAATCAATTGTATACCATCACATGTATATACGTGTATTGTTTAATCTATAATGTATTGAAAGGTAGTATGTTTGATAACTGCACTATGGAGGTTAAGTGAGAGCAAAGTTGTATTGGAAAGCAAATAATACCTGATAATAAATTGAGCCCACAGAAACAGATAAGATATTCATAAACGTGAAATAAGAAGGCAAATATAACAACTAGTATAAACACATACATGTTCTGCTTTCTTTCCTCAGCTTCTTAAATAGACATACGTTGATTTAGGTAATAATTACAACAATGTGTTGTTAATTTTCTGATGTATATAGATTAAATATGTATAACAATATTAGCGCTTAAAGTGGAAGAACTAGGAGAGCTGTGTAGGAGTACCATATGTATATCCCACTGGAATAAAGTTTATACAATTCTGAAGAAAGATTCTGGTAAGTTAACATGTATATGGTAAAACTTATAGAGAACACTAAGAAATAACTTTACAAAGTGAAAAATCATTACAGTAATTCAAATATGACATTAGAAAATATTTACTTAATGCAAAGGAAAGTAGTAAAGGAGGAATTGAGAAACAAATATGGTATGAGATATATAGGAAACCAAGTGTTAAATGGCAGGCATAAATCCAACTATATCTTCATCAACATTAATTGTGAATGGACTAAAAAATGCAATCAGAAGACAAGGATTGTCAGATGGGATAAAAATAATAAGATTCAACTATGCTGTCTAACAACCTGGCGTCTATCAATGGATGAATGGATTTTTAAAACATGGCATATATACACAATGGATTACTAATTCAGCCATGAAAACAGGAAATTCTGTCATTTGCAACAACATGAATGAACCTAGAGGACATTACGTTAAATTAAATAAGCCAGGTACATGAAATGAACTTTTGATTTAAAGATACAAATAGGTTGAAAATAAAATAATAAAATAAGATACATCATTTAATCAGCAATCACAAGAAAGCTCTAGTAGTTAAACAGTAGTTCTCCCTTATTCATGCTTTTGCTTTCCATAGTTTCATTTACCTATGGTCAACTCCAGTCTAAAAATATTAAGCAAATAATTCTAGAAATAAACAGTTTATAAGTTTTAAACTGTGCTCTGCTGAGTAGTGCGATAAAATCTCACACCATCCTGTTTCATCACACTGAGGATGTGAATCATCTCTTTGTCCAGCATATCCATGCTGTATGTACTACCCACCCATTAGTCACTTAGTATTAGAGTGATGCAAAAGCAATTGCAGTTTTGGACCATGAATTTTAAATTATTACAACTAGGCTCAAACACATCTTTATTAATCAAAATAGAAACCATTACAATCAACACATTTTTGCCAACAAGAAGTGAGTTTGTTTATTCCTGTAGCGTAAAAATTCATGCTTTGGGATTCGATGAACTCTTGGAAATAATTTTCTGCATCCTGCTGGTTGTGGAAGCATTCTCCCTGCAAAAAGTTGTCGAGATGCTTGAAGAAGTGGTAGTCGGTTGGCGAGAGGTCAGGTGAATACGGCGCATGAGGCAAGACTTCATAGCCCAATTCGTTCAACTTTTGAAGCATTGGTTGTATGACATATGATCGGGCATTGTTGTGGAAAAGAATTGGGCCCTTTCTGTTGACCAATGCCAGCTTCAGGCATTGCAGTTATCAGTGCAGCTCATCAATTTGCTGAGCAAACTTCTCAGATGTAATGGTTTTGCCAGGATTCAGAAAACTGTAGTGGATCAGACTGGCAGCAGACCACCAAACAGTGACCATGACCTTTTTTGATGCAAGTTTGGCTTTGGGAAGTGCTTTGGAGCTGCTTCTCGGTCCAACCACAGAGCTGGTCATCACTGGTTGTAGTATAAAATCCACTTTTCATCACACGTCACAATCCTATTGAGAAATGATTTGTTGTTGTTGCATAGAATAAGAGAAGACGACATTTCAAAATGAGTTTTTTTGATTTTCAGTCAGTTCATGAGGCACCCACTTATTGAGCTTTTTCACCTTTCCAATTTGCTTCAAATGCTGAATGACCATAGAATGGTCAACACTAAGTTCTTCAGCAACTTCTCGTGTAGTTGTAAGAAGATCAGCTTCAATGATTGCTCTCAATTGATCGTTCTGTCAACTTCTGATGGCTGGCCACTATGCTCCTCATCTTCAAGGCTCTCATCTCCTTTGCAAAACTTCTTGAACCCCCACTGCACTGTATGTTCGTTGGCAGTTCCTGGGCCAAATGCGTTGTTGATGTTGAGAGTTGTCTCCCCTGCTTTATAACCCATTTTGAACTCGAATAAGAAGATCTCTCAAATCGGCTTTTTTGTCTAACATCATTTTCATAGTGTAAAACAAACATAAACAGCAAGTAGTAAGTCATTAGCAAAAAAAGGTAAAGTGAGAAATGCCCATTAAAATGATGTATAACATAACCACATTTATTTAAGAATGTATTCTAATATCAGACGGTAAATTCCAACAATACAAAACCGCAATTACTTTAAAAATTCCTATCTATGGCAAATAGGGATGAATGAAAATTAAGACACAACATAGCAAAATTCATGAAACGCAGCCAAAGTACCTATCTCGATTATCAGATCAACTGTTGTGGTATTGCAGTGCTTGTCTTCAGGTCACCTTTGTTTTACTTAATTATTACCTCAAAGTGTAAAAGTAGTGATGCTAGTATTTTGTTATAATTGTTCTATTTAATTATTAGTTATTGTTGTTTATCTTTCACCGTGCTTAATTTATAAATTAAACTTTATCATAGGTATGTATGTGTAGAGAAAAACAGTACAGTTGGCCTTATGTATTTGTGGTTCTGCATCTTCAGATTCAACCAACCAATGATAGAAATTACAGTATTTACAAGATGTGGTGTCTGCAGATACAGAGGTCCTGACTTTTCATGTCTACAGGTTCTGCAGGGCTAACTGAGGAACTTCAGCAGCCACAGATTTTAGTATCCATGTGGGAGTCTTAGAACCAATCTTCTGTGAACACTGAGTGATGACTGTATATACAGGATTTGGTAATATCTTTAGTTTTAGGCATCCACAGGATGTCTTGAAACATATTCTCCATGATAAGGGGAACTACTGCACTAATATTAGAAGAACACTTTAAAACATGAAATGCCTTTAGCTGTAAAGAGGAACTTTTACAATGCTAAAATGTTTAATCTGTCAAGAGGTAGTAATAATTATAAGCACATATGCACCTAAGAACAGAAATCCAAAATGTGTGAAACAAAGGCTGACTGAATTGAGGTTGGAAATAGACAATTAAATAGTAATGCCCAGAGACTTAGTGCCCAACGTTCAATATTAAATAGAACAACTAGAAAGAAGATCAACACAGAAATAAAGGACTTGAATAACAATAATACACAAACAAAACCTAACAGACATCTATAGGACTTTCCACCCAACTGCAGCAGAACATATGTTCTTCTTAAATGCACATTAAACGTTTTCCAGGATAGACAAATGCCAGGTAATAAAGCAAGCCTTAATAAATTTAAAGAAATGAAATAATATAAAGTATGCTCTCCTGATCACAATGGATTGAAATTGAAAATTAGTAACAAATATATTTGGAAAAATCTACAAATATGTGAACATTAAACAACACATTATCAAGTAACTAATGGTTCAAAGATAAAATCACAAGAGAAATTTGAAAATACATTGAGATGAACAAAAATGAAGACACAACATAATAAAATTTATGGGACGCAGCCAAAGTAGTGCTTAGAGGAGTATTTGCAGCTAAAAACACCTCCATTAAAGAA
Source organism: Homo sapiens (assembly GCF_000001405.40). Classification (NCBI taxonomy): domain Eukaryota; kingdom Metazoa; phylum Chordata; class Mammalia; order Primates; family Hominidae; genus Homo; species Homo sapiens. The sequence continues at coordinate 125,509,939 of NC_000023.11, forward strand.
GAAGAAATATCTCAAATAAAAAAGATAACCTTCTATCTTAAGAGACATGAAAAAGAAGAGCAAATTAAAGCCAGAACAAGGAGAAGAAAAAGAACTAGGTTTGCAGCAGAAAATTAATGAAATAAAAAATAGAAACACAATAGAGAAAATCAATGAAACTAGAATTTGATTATTTGAAAAGATCAAGACAACTGACAAAACAGTAGCCAGATTTACCAAGAAAAAAGAGGAAAAATTTAATTGCTAAAGTCATAAATGAAAGAGAAGATATTACTACCAATCTTACATAAATAAAAAGAATTATAAGGTAATTATGTGAACAACTGTATGCCAAAAAAATAGAACATTTAGATAAAATGGACAAATTCCTAGAAAGATGCAAAATACCTAAAGTGAATCAAGAAGAATAGAAATTCTTTTTTTTAAATTCATTATTATTATACTTTAAGTTTTAGGGTACATGTGTACAATGTGCAGGTTAGTTACATATGTATACATCTGCCATGCTGGTGCGCTGCACCCACTAACTTGTCATCTAGCATTAGGTATATCTCCCAATGCTATCCCTCCCCCATCCCCCCACCCCACAACAGTCCCCAGAGAGTGATGTTCCCCTTCCTGTGTCCATGTATTCTCATTGTTCAATTCCCACCGAGTGAGAATATGCGGTGTTTGGTTTTTTGTTCTTGCGATAGTTTGCTGAGAATGATGATTTCCAGTTTCATCCATGTCCCTACAAAGGACATGAACTCATCATTTTTTATGGCTGCATAGTATTCCATGGTGTATATGTGCCACATTTTCTTAATGCAGTCTATCATTGTTGGACATTTGGGTTGGTTCCAAGTCTTTGCTATTGTGAATAATGCCACAGTAAACATACGTGTGCATGTGTCTTTATAGCAGCATGATTTATAGTCCTTTGGGTATATACCCAGTAATAGGATGGCTGGGTCAAATGGTATTTCTAGTTCTAGATCCCTGAGAAATCGCCACACTGACTTCCACAATGGTAGAGCTAGTTTACAGTCCCACCAACAGTGTAAAAGTGTTCCTATTTCTCCACATCCTCTCCAGCACCTGTTGTTTCCTGACTTTTTAATGATTGCCATTCTAACTGGTGTGAGATAGTGTCTCATTGTGGTTTTTATTTGCATTTCTCTGATGGCCAGTGATGGTGAGCATTTTTTCATGTGTTTTTTGGCTGCATAAATGTCTTCTTTTGAGAAGTGTCTGTTCATGTCCTTCACCCACTTTTTAATGGGGTTGTTTGTTTTTTTCTTGTAAATTTGTTTGAGTTCATTGTCGATTCTGGATATTAGCCCTTTGTCAGATGAGTAGGTTGCAAAAATTTTCTCCCATTCTGTAGGTTGCCTGTTCACTCTGATGGTAGTTTCTTTTGCTGTGCAGAAGCTCTTTAGTTTAATTAGATCCCATTTGTCAATTTTGGCTTTTGTTGCCATTGCTTTTTGTGTTTTAGACATGAAGACCTTGCCCATGCCTATGTCCTGAATGGTAATGCCTAGGTTTTCTTCTAGGGTTTTTATGGTTTTAGGTCTAACGTTTAAGTCTTTAATCCATTTTGAATTGATTTTTGTATAAGGTGTAAGGAAGGGATCCAGTTTCAGCTTTCTCCATATGGCTAGCCAGTTTTCCCAGCACCATTTATTAAATAGGGAATCCTTTCCCCATTGCTTGTTTTTCTCAGGTTTGTCAAAGATCAGATAGTTGTAGATATGCGGCATTATTTCTGAGGGCTCTGTTCTGTTCCATTGATCTATATCTCCGTTTTGGTACCAGTACCATGCTGTTTTGGTTACTGTAGCCTTGTAGTATAGTTTGAAGTCAGGTAGTGTGATGCCTCCAGCTTTGTTCTTTTGGCTTAGGATTGACTTGGCGATGTGGGCTCTTTTTTGGTTCCATATGAACTTTAAAGTAGTTTTTTCCAATTCTGTGAAGAAAGTCATTGGTAGCTTGATGGGGATGGCATTGAATCTGTAAATTACCTTGGGCAGTATGGCCATTTTCACGATATTGCTTCTTCCTACCCATGAGCATGGAATGTTCTTCCATTTGTTTGAATCCCCTTTTATTTCCTTGAGCAGTGGTTTGTAGTTCTCCTTGAAGAGGTCCTTCACATCCCTTGTAAGTTGGATTCCTAGGTATTTTATTCTCTTTGAAGCAATTGTGAATGGGAGTTCACTCATGATTTGGCACTCTGTTTGTCTGTTGTTGGTGTATAAGAATGCTTGTGATTTTTGTACATTGATTTTGCATCCTGAGACTTTGCTGAAGTTGCTTATCAGCTTAAGGAGATTTTGGGCTGAGACAGTGGGGTTTTCTAGATATACAATCATGTCATCTGCAAACAGGGACAATTTGACTTCCTCTTTTCCTAAGTGAATACCCTTTATTTCCTTCTCCTGCCTAATTGCCCTGGCCAGAACTTCCAACACTATGTTGAATAGGAGTGGTGAGAGAGGGCATCCCTGTCTTGTGCCAGTTTTCAAAGGGAATGCTTCCAGTTTTTGCCCATTCAGTATGATATTGGCTGTGGGTTTGTCATAGATAGCTCTTATTATTTTGAAATACGTCCCATCAATACCTAATTTATTGAGAGTTTTTAGCATAAAGGGTTGTTGAATTTTCTCAAAGGCCTTTTCTGCATCTATTGAGATAATCATGTGGTTTTTGTCTTTGGTTCTGTTTATATGCTGGATTACATTTATTGATTTGCATATATTGAACCAGCCTTGCATCCCAGGGATGAAGCCCACTTGATCATGGTGGATAAGCTTTTTGATGTGCTGCTGGATTTGGTTTGCCAGTATTTTATTGAGGATTTTTGCATCAAGGTTCATCAAGCATATTGGTCTAGAATTCTCTTTTTTGGTTGTGTCTCTGCCAGGCTTTGGTATCAGGATGATGCTGGCCTCATAAAATGAGTTAGGGAGGATTCTCTCTTTTTCTATTGATTGGAAGAGTTTCAGAAGGAATGGTACCAGTTCCTCCTTGTACCTCTGGTAGAATTTGGCTGTGAATCCATCTGGTCCTGGACTCTTTTTGGTTGGTAAGCTATTGATTATTGCCACAATTTCAGCTCCTGTTATTGGTCTATTCAGAGATTCAACTTCTTCCTGGTTTAGTCTTGGGAGAGTGTATGTGTCGAGGAATTTATCCATTTCTTCTAGATTTTCTAGTTTATTTGCGTAGAGGTGTTTGTAGTATTCTCTGATGGTTGTTTGTATTTCTGTGGGATTGGTGGTGATATCCCCTTTATCATTTTTTATTGTATCTATTTGATTCTTCTCTCTTTTTTTCTTTATTAGTCTTGCTAGTGGTTTATCAATTTTGTTGATCCTTTCAAAAAACCAGCTCCTGGATTCATTAATTTTTTGAAGGGTTTTTTGTGTCTCTATTTCCTTCAGTTCTGCTTTGATTTTAGTTATTTCTTGCCTTCTGCTAGCTTTTGAATGTGTTTGCTCTTGCTTTTCTAGTTCTTTTAATTGTGATGTTAACGTGTCAATTTTGGATCTTTTCTGCTTTCTCTTGTGGGCATTTAGTGCTATAAATTTCCCTCTACACACTGCTTTGAATGTGTCCCAGAGATTCTGGTATGTTGTGTCTTTGTTCTTGTTGGTTTCGAAGAACATCTTTATTTCTGCCTTCATTTCGTTATGTACCCAGTAGTCATTCAGGAGCAGGTTGTTCAGTTTCCATGTAGTTGAGGGGTTTTGAGTGAGATTCTTAATCCTGAGTTCTAGTTTGATTGCACTGTGGTCTGAGAGATAGTTTGTTATAATTTCTGTTCTTTTACATTTGCTGAGGAGAGCTTTACTTCCAAGTATGTGGTCAATTTTGGAATAGGTGTGGTGTGGTGCTGAAAAAAATGTATATTCTGTTGATTTGGGGTGGAGAGTCCTGTAGATGTCTATTAGGTCCACTTGGTGCAGAGCTGAGTTCAATTCCTGGGTATCCTTGTTGACTTTCTGTCTTGTTGATCTGTCTGCTGTTGACAGTGCAGTGTTAAAGTCTCCCATTATTAATGTGTGGGAGTCTAAGTCTCTTTGTAGGTCACTCAGGACTTGCTTTATGAATCTGGGTGCTCCTGTATTGGGTGTATATATATTTAGGATAGTTAGCTCTTCTTGTTGAATTGATCCCTTTACCATTATGTAATGGCCTTCTTTGTCTCTTTTGATCTTTGTTGGTTTAAAGTCTGTCTTATCAGAGACTAGGATTGCAACCCCTGCCTTTTTTTGTTTTCCATTTGCTTGGTAGATCTTCCTCCATCCTTTTGTTTTGAGCCTATGTGTGTCTCTGCACGTGAGATGGGTTTTTTGAATACAGCACACTGATGGGTCTTGACTCTTTATCCAATTTGCCAGTCTGTGTCTTTTAATTGGAGCATTTAGTCCATTTACATTTAAAGTTAATAGTGTTATGTGTGAATTTGATCCTGTCATTATGATGTTAGCTGGTGATTTTGCTCGTTAGTTGATGCAGTTTCTTCCTAGTCTCGATGGTCTTTACATTTTGGCATGATTTTGCAGCGGCTGGTACCGGTTGTTCCTTTCCATGTTTAGCGCTTCCTTCAGGAGCTCTTTTAGGGCAGGCCTGGTGGTGACAAAATCTCTCAGCATTTGCTTGTCTGTAAAGGATTTTATTTCTCCTTCACTTATGAAGCTTAGTTTGGCTGGATATGAAATTCTGGGTTGGAAATTCTTTTCTTTAAGAATGTTGAATATTGGCCCCCACTCTCTTCTGGCTTGTAGAGTTTCTGCCGAGAGATCCGCTGTTAGTCTGATGGGCTTCTGTTTGAGGGTAACCCGACCTTTCTCTCTGGCTGCCCTTAACATTTTTTCCTTGATTTCAACTTTGGTGAATCTGACAATTATGTGTCTTGGAGTTGCTCTTCTCGAGGAGTATCTTTGTGGCGTTCTCTGTATTTCCTGAATCTGAATGTTGGCCTGCCTTGCTAGATTGGGGAAGTTCTCCTGGATAATATCCTGCAGAGTGTTTTCCAACTTGGTTCCATTCTCCCTGTCACTTTCAGGTACACCAATCAGACGTAGATTTGGTCTTTTCACATAGTCCCATATTTCTTGGAGGCTTTGTTCGTTTCTTTTTATTCTTTTTTCTCTAAACTTCCCTTCTCGCTTCATTTCATTCATTTCATCTTACATTGCTGATACCCTTTCTTCCAGTTGATCGCATCGGCTGCTGAGGCTTCTGCATTCTTCACGTAGAGAAATTCTTAAAACATCTATAACAAAGGGATTGGATTAGGTATCCTCCAGCTACCATCATACAAAATAGTGAAAGAGTGAATGTTTTTTCCCCTAGGATCAGGAACAATCTTGTTTGCTTTTACCACTTCTATTCAATAGTTTACTATGGAATAGAATAGTACACTATTTGCCTAGCTATGGCAAATAGGGAAGAAGAAGAAAGAAAATTTACCCATAATAGAAAGGAAGCATTAAAAGAATCTTAATTTGAAAACTATGTGATGTTAAGGGTGTATAGACAATCCTTAGGAATCCCCTAAAAAATTATTAGAAATAATACATGAGTTCAACAAGGTTGCAAGCCACATAGTATACGAAAATCAGTTGTATTTCTATACAATATTAATAAACAAACCAAGATGAAACTAAGGAAACAATTTCATTTGTAAAGGCATATAAAGTACTTAGAAAGAAATTTAACAAAAGGAGTGCAATTCTTATATACTTAAAAACCACCAAGTGTCATTGAAGAAATTAAAAACCTAAATCAATGAAAATATATTCTGTGTTCATGGATTGGAAAACTTAATGTTGTTAAGATGGCAGTATTCCCCAAATTAATTAATAGATTAAACACAATCCTATCAAAATTTCAGTTGCCTCTTCTGCAGATATTGACATGTTGATCATAATATTCACATGGAAACTCAAGAGACCCACAATAACAATAAAGTTGAGGGACTCACACTTCCTAACTTTAAAACTTACTATAAATCTACAGCAATCAAGACAGCATGGTGCTGGAATAAGGACAGACATAGAGATAAATGGAATAAAATGGAGAGTACAGAAATAAACTCATACATTTAAGTCCAATTGATTTTCAACAAGAGTTTCATGAAAGTTCAATGGAGGGAACGAATAGTCTTTTTAACAATTGGTATTAGGACCACTGTATATCTACACCCCTATGTCACACCATATTAAAATTTAACTTGAAGTGGATTAAAGATTTAAGTGTAAGAGCTGAAAGTATAAAGCTCTTAGTAGAAAACATAAGTGTAAATGTTTATGTTGTTGGATTAAGATATGACGTTTTTAAGATATGAGACCAAACATATAAGCAACAAAAATAAAATCAATAAATTGGAAAGCATGAAAATGAAACAAAACAAAACAAAGCTTTGTGCTTCATAAAACATCATCAAGAAAATGAATAGACAACCAACATTATCAGACATGAGGGAAATGCAAATAGAAACCACAGTCAGATCCAGCTTCACATGCACTCGACTGGAATAATAAGAAGATAATAACAAGTGTTGGTGAGAACATGGAGCAATTGGAACCTTTATATACTGTTGATGTGAATGTAAAACGATGCCTCTGTTTTTGAAAACAATCAGGCAGTCCCTCAAATGGTTAAACACAGAGTTAACATCTTATAGACAATCTATTCCTAGGTGTATAACCAAGGAAAGTGAAAACATGTCTATTAAAAAACGTGTACAGGAATGTCTATAGCAGCACTATTCATAATAGCCAGAAGTTGAAAACAACTCAAGCATTCACCAATTGAATGGATAAATAAAATGTGATATATCTATATAATGCAATATTATTCAGCCAATAAAAAGGAATGAAGTGCTGATATATGCTACAACATGGATGAACCTTGGAAAGATTATGCTAACTGAAAGAAACCAGACATAAAAGGCCACATATTGTATGATTCCTTTCAGTTGAAATGTCTATACTGGGCAAATGTATAGAGACAGGAAGTAGATTAATTGTTGCCAAGGGGTGCTGGGGTTGTTGAGATGGGAAGTCACTGTTAAAGGGTATGGGGTTTCTTTCTGGGAAAATGACAATATTCTAAAATTTACTTTGGTGATAAATGTATACTTCTGTGAATATATTAAAATCCACTTAATTGTATGCTTTAAATAATTTAATTTTGTGGGATATGACATATATTTCAATAAGCTGTTCAAAAATGGATAAAAGATATAAAGTTAGTAACAAAAAAGTAAATGTAAATAATAAATGCACGAAAAAATCCTAAAATCATTCATGAATAAACATAAATCAAGCAATTTTATTAAATTTTTGATTAATGGATTTAGATCAGCCTTGTAGGAGATCACGAGGGACTTGCCAACATGATATTAGTTCTTGCCTCGTATTTCAGTATTTGGTTCATGACGAATGAAGCCATAAACAAAACAAAACAAAACATTTCTCAAATTTAACACATGAAGTAAAGTTGACAAAAATGGATATTATTGAATTATAACTTATTAAAAAGGTCAACATGCTTCAAATGATGATCCACCATTGATATAATATTATGAAAAAAATGAAATCTAAGTGCTGTTCTTAGATAACAATATTAACTGTATGAATAAAGTATGAAGCAGGAATAGCTTGATAGCCTTCTAAATAACAAAGACCTAAAGGTTTTTGTTTACTGCAAGCACAATATGCTATTACAGTGACATGTGAATGCAAAAAATAAAAAATATACACAGTCATAGAGGCCTGCACAAGTTTAGGGTACTTTATTAATGTCTAATATTCTAAACAAGTAGAAGAAATAACAGTAATATTACAGTGTCATAATACTCTACAGTGGCAAAACCACACCTTTTACATTATATTCAGCTCTAGGTATCAAATTTCAAGACTGACAATGACAAACTGGAACCTATCCAGGATTGGTGACAAGAATGGAAAAGTATCTGAAAATGTAAGGAATGGTTGTGGGAACTGAAGATATTTAGCCCAGGGCAGAAAACAGGGAAGAATAGTGGTCTCCAGATATTTGAAGGAATGCCATGTGGAAAAGGAATTACTTTTGTTTTTGTGTGGCATCAGAGGGATGAACTAAAACGAACAAGTAGAATTTTCACCATACATTTTGACAGTATAAGCAAAAAATTTCTGACCATTAATCATGTTTAATAATGGCTGATGTGTGATACTGTAAGTTCCATTTCAGTGGAAGTTTTAAAGCAGAGGCTATAAGCCTATCCTTCAAGGGTGTTGTAGGGTGGGTTTCTGCACTGGATGGGATTTGTTCTAAAAGATGGAAAATAGTGTTTTTGAAACTTCAGAACAAATCCCATAGGGAGGGAATCTCAGGGATGGGGCCTGTCATCGTATCTTCTTAAAAACATAAGTGATTCTGATACAAGTGGCTTACAGCCCCACTTTGAGAAACATGACTTAATTTATTATCAAATAATAATATGTAAAATTATGTTGTCTTCTGAAGTGAAAAGAGGAAATTGGCTGACATACAGAGATCAGCAAAATTTCAGTCAGTCTGAAATTGTCTATTAACTAAAAACATTTAAAAATCACTCTTCTAGTAATGTCAACGTAACCCATGAAAAATGGCATAACTCGGTGAAAAAAATTCATTAGTTTTCATTACAGGCCAGATAAGAATACAAAACATTGTGTGCAACTTTTAAATGATAATCATTTCTGATTTTTTTTGTGGGGTGGGGAGCTTTATTGGCAACATTGATCAAGAGCAAATGGCTATGTTGTTTAATATCCTGAAAAGCCTCAATTTATTTTGCACTCCTTCCATATCCAAGGTACACTCTTTTTAAAAAGGGTCTTTGGCATAACCAGCATTCTTTGAGTTATTATAGAACAAATGACTACTGGCAGGTAAGTTATTAAGAAGAAATTAAGTGTTACCAGAGAATTTAAAAAGATCTTTTGGTTTTCCTTACTCTAAATTTGCAAAAGAAAAGCAATTAAGAAACTGAAAATGAAACTTGAATACCAACATGTTACTTATTCTCATGAAACTTGGAAAAACTTATTCTTTATTTCCCTGTATATACTTTCTTACCACCATTAGCACTCAAGTCAAGGGAGAAACAGAAAACTTGATTAATGAGAAGGAAGAGAAATAGTCTAAAATGAAGTTAGTTTTGTCTTTCTGTGCATGTAAATATTAACATCATTGTTTTTGTCTATACTTACTATTTTTTACTAGCTATAAATAAGAGCCATTTATTAGGAGTCCCTTCTTCCATGTACTTTCACAGGCACTCACCTGCCCAAAGGAACCCACCTGCGCAATACTCTTGAAACCAATTTTCCCTATGCCTGTGTTGTGTCTCAATCCTTTAGAGTTTTTCTAAGTGCTAGGTGATTACTAATGTAATATATGAATGTGTAAATAATTCCTGGATGCATTATCCCCAAAGGAGTGACCAAGGGTAGATTTTTTGACTATGTGGAAAGTCAATGGAATAAATAATTTCAAGTAATCAGATTCTGTTAGTGCTTCTCAAATCACCCTATCTACCAGTCTGCCCCGACTGCCTGGTCTATTAATTATTTGATGAGTCAGATCTTTTATCTCTCTTGGGAACATGTACTTCCCTATGCTCAGCACCTTGGCACCTGGGTTCTGTGAGAGTATTTCTGTCATTGTAAGAAAGTGCCATGAATTCTCTCAAACTCTTTTGATTCTTTTGCTCACTTACTTACCAAAAAATGTCTTCCCCCAGAGTATGAAAGGGAATATTGGGCACCAAGCCTGTGACTGCATGATTTTTCCTCAAATTGGTTTTAGGCCACTGAATTAATGTAGCAACTGAAGCCAGACTCTTTCTCTAGAGTCATCAACAGTTCTAAAAGGGATCAATCTATGCCCAGAGCAGAGCAACTGAACAGTTGCAAGAGAAAATTCCTACCCAAGAGAGTGATATAGAATGTGTCATTTTTTTTGGATGATCTTTTATAGGGTGATCAAGAGGCTTTCATTTAGTGAATACATTTGCTCACTCAGTTTTGGAGAGTCGCCCTTCATTTATTCTTTCCCTTTGGAAGTACTTTCGAGTGCAAATTACTGCTATCAGAAGCCTTGAACTGAGAGGCTATTATTCTCCTTGCTCAGATTAAATTAATTTTGAACAGTTTAATGCAGCATGTCCAAGCTGCAAGTCCAAGTGGTGTCAAATCTATTTCTCTGCTTTTTTTAAGCTGCACCTTCAAGGGCAGTATGATTCATGGTGAATGTGTTCTTCTAATGTCTTGCTAAGTGTTATTATTTTCTTTCATTTGCAAGTCATGAGGCTACAAATGTTAACCATTCTCCTCCTAACATTGTATAAAGAATGCATGATTTAAGCCAGGCTGATTTTCCAAAAGGGTGCTCATTACATTTACTTGCTTTACAAATGAAATAAAGAAAAATACTCTGGATCAAAGCAAGAAGTTTAAAAAGCTAATGAAACATTAGAAAGCGAACTGCTTTGAGAAGCACTACAACATCATCACTGTTGTGTTAAAAAGGAATTATCTCGATCTCGGCTTATGTAATAAAATAAAAGGGTTTTAATGATTGGCTATATAATTCTGTTTGTGTTTTTGCAGACTTGCAAAAAAAAAAAAAAGAATATAAATCTACTTATCTTCGTTCTTCCAGTTCAGGCAATCTACTGTCTCTCCAGTATTCACTTTATCTAATCTGTCCTTGAAATGTACTAATGAAGTTTTCTCTGTGTTATTGTAGAGCAAACAGTCAAAAGGATGCCAATCAATTAATGACAGAGTAGAAGATGTACTTTAAGCAGTTAGAGGTTTCAAAAACCTATCAACCTGTGTCTATATAAACTACTTAAATTGTACAGTCCAGGACAGTCTTTTCTACAGCTCTAATCACCAGTTCTATAGATTAAACAAATTAATGTTTTTACAGGTCTTGTATGGAGATTGATGAAAATACTATATCGCAGTTTTCCTTTGGAGTAGCAAAGAGCCACAGATCAAGGACATTTTCCTTTCAAAAGCTAGATAAGCACATTGCACTTGTGATAGTATTTGCTTTTTTAACAGATGAAATAGACTTATGTGAACTTATTGACATAATAGAAAGGAATAATGTTATTCACAGTCCAAAAGATAAACATAATAATATAGTTTTATACAACATTGCTAAGAACCCTTTAGTCCTTTATCAGTATCAAAACACAAGAATCTGTGACCCATGAAGACTTACCTGGGATTCAGGCACCCATGTGAAGAAAGTCAACATAGTATTTAATAACATGGATAAAATAACAAAAAGACCCTATAGGAGATGGGATGTGGGACAGGCAGAAGAGGAACTAGAGGGCCTGTCATATGAGTACAGAACACAGGGAACTGAAAGCCATATCTTATAAGATAAATGAAGGCAACAAACAGAGTATAAATAGACTTGTTCAATAAATGCTAGAATGTCAGAGTTAATGGGCATTCTTTGAAGTTGGAAGATATTAGCAGTTTCCATATTGGAAGTGACTATGCTTGAATTTCAATTTCACCAGTTCTTAGGTGCATTACCTTGGGCAAATTATTTAAATACTCAGTACCTCAGTTTTCTTATTTGCATAGTGGAAGTAATAGTAGGACCTACCTCTAAAGTTTGTTCTGAATATTAAATGATTTAAGAAATGTAAAGTGCTTAGCACAATGCATAGCATATGGTAATCACTATGTAAATGTTAGTTACTATTATTTTAAAAGAAAGTACGACTGAATGCAAAGTGGTAATCAATGTGTACAATTTAATTATCCTACAAGGCGGTAGAGAAAAAACTATGAATATCTTCCACAAAAGTTTAGATTAAAGAATGAAACCTCCGTCATGGATTATTAAAGCCAAGGATGTTAGGGTAAGTCCCTGACTTCTGATGTTGATGTCAAGGACAGCTAAGTTTTTTTTGCCAGTTTGTGTCTAGGCTTCCTGGAACTTTATGTAGCTTGATAGAAGTTCCTTATGGTATAACATAAACTGAATTATGCAAGTAGTCAGAAAGCCTAGATTTCTGTACTGACTTTGACATTTAAAAGTTGTAACTTTAGGAAGCTTGTTCAAGTTTTAAATTCCTTAAATGCAAAATCAGAATAATTATACCTTCCTCCCACACAGAATGTTGTTATGAAGGTTAAATCAAATAAAAACATATGTAAAAGCGTTGTGTAGATGATGAAATACTCTACAAAGACAAGGCATTATTCTTATATTCTATCACAGAATCTCATAAAATACACGGTGACTTTTCGGGTGATCTGACTTCTACTTCTTACTTCCTCAATCCAGTTGAGCATTTTGCAGTCCTTTTCTTACGAACTTCTTTGCAGAACTTGACACTGTTCACCATTCACTTCTTGAAACTCTCCTATCAGCTTTTCTTGGACACTATTTTTTGCTGCTTCCCTTTATATCTTTCTTAATATCCCTTCTTAGTCTGTTTCCATCACTCTACTTGCTCTATTCACTCTCAACAATTTAACTTTTTTTTTCACTTTATACTTTGTTCTTAGGTGATGGCAAACCAATCCTCCTTATATGCATTAGTCAGGGTCTTCCAGAGAATTAGAATTAATAGGATGTGAAAACAAAGAGACTTGTCATAAAGAATTGGTTCATGTGATTATGGAGTCTGTCAAGTTGAAATTCTGCAGGATGGGTCAGCAGGCTGAAGACCCCAGGAGAGTTAACACTGCAGTTCCAGTCTGAAGGCTATCTGCTGTAGAACCAGGAAGAGCTGGGGTTTCAGAATAAGTAAAGGAAGTCTGTTGGTGAATTCTATCTTGCCCAGGGGAGGCTGATCATTATGTTCTATTCAGGCCTTCAACTGAATGAGGTACACCCACATTATAGAGGTCAATTTAACTTACTAAAAGTTTACCAATGTAAATGCTCACCTCATCAAAAAACATCCTCACAGAATAATGTTTAACCAAATCTGGGCACCCTGTGGCTCAGCTAAGTTGATAAATAAAATTAACTATCGTGTTATGCAATAGCATGACTTTTGAATCAATACCTCTAGGGCTGATGACCTCTTTTCCTTGAGACTTACATTTCTGTTTCTATCTGGGTATCTCCATTTGGGTGTCCGTTAGGCACATAAAATTGTTCAAAAGTGAACTCAGTGTTTCCCTCCCTCTATCCATTCCCCTGCTCTCTTCAATCCTTTTTTCATATTCTCATTCCTAGCTAGTGATTCAGAAATCCTAGAGTCATTCTTGACTTCCCCCTTTCCCTAACAAATATAGAATTAATCAACAATGGCTTTAGATTTTACCTCCCAAATCATTTTCAGAGCTGTTTCTACCTTACCATATTTATGGTTACTTCATCAATGAAAAGTTTCAAAATCTGAATTATTGTAGCTATATACTAATTTGTCATTGTCTCAGGTATTTATCCTCTCTAATCTTTATTATTATTATTATAATCAAATCTGGTTATGCCATTTCTTTACTTAAAATTGCTCAATCTATCCTCATTCTTAATAGGATACTATATAAAAGTTTTGACTTTCTACGTAAGTCTTCTGTGATTAAACTAAACTGAGTGACTGCTACTTCCTAACCAATGAGTTTTATCTTTACTCTCATCTGTCTTTCCTGTATATAAGATTTATTAAGATGGTTAGTCATAGAATTGCCATTATTTTCTGACAACACTCAAATCCAAAGCATGCCCTGTTTTCTTAGACCTTCCACAATATCACCCAACCAAAGCCCAAATCTTATTTAAAAACTTCTTCTTATAGCTTCTTACCAAAGACACCACAATGAGTAATAAATCCAAGTTGTTGGATTATAGTTTTTGTGGTCTTTGGCTGAAGGGTATTAGCAATATAATGAACCTGTTACTGAAAACATGTATAAAAATGAAATTTAGTTCTAGTTAAAATTTACTTAAAAGATATATAATTTAGAATGAATCCTTTTGTGAAATGAGCAGTCACTGATTGATCAGTCATATAAACCTGTTTATAGTTGTTAAATTTGCATAAAGTGAGGCCATTCCTATCTTTGAAATTCAGTGCAATACATGGCTGGCAAAGACAATCTTAAAAACTTTCTCAGTTTTTTAGACTGTTGCAATGATATTACTTTTACAAGGAAAATAGGAAGACTCAGTGAAAGGGTTATATGTGTCTTTCTCTCATAGGACAACAAATCAAATATAACACGAGATACAAATCAAACATTGGATCTTTCAAAATGAGATGAATGTAGTGATTCTCAGTGCAAGTAATACTATTCTTTCAAAAGAAGATAATTCACTTCAAAAACTCATTCAAAAAACTGAAACCTTTATATATAGGATACACTGCTTCACTTTTATTTTCAAAGTGGTATATAACTTTCTTGGTTTATTGTCGTGAACTATGCTAGATTACAAGATTTGCAATACATTTTCTGCTATTATATGTTACAAGTTTTTAGTTGATAAATTACTGGTAGAATTAGTGTATTCTACATAAATTAAATCATTCTGATAAGATCTATGCATCATTAATTCTATTTAGGTTTATATGCATTTTTATATTAATACACTAAATATGTTTTAAGGCAAACAGTTCCCCCAAAAATTGAGCTAATAGATTCACTTTCACCAACAGCCCACAATAGCCAAACTGGTTAATTCTGGCCAAGAAATGCCTAGTAATAGTGAACCAAATTTGTCCCTTAATCTTAGTTCCAGCAGTCTTTTTGGAGAGTAATAAGCCTAGGCTACCATAAAAAAGCACAACTCTCCACAATTGGATATAGTTTAAAATATTTTTAAAAAAATTATAGTAGAGAGCACATAACACAAAATTTACCATCTTCACGATTTTTAAGTGCACACTTCAGTCATATGAAGAACAATCACAATGTTGTATAACAGCTCTCCAGATCTTTTTAATGCTGCAAAACTGAAACTCTATACCCACTAAAGAAAAACTTCCAATTTTTCCCTCTCCCTGCTTTACATGATCACCACTCTACTTTCTATTTCTATGAATTTGACGACTTTAGATACCACATATGTTTGAAATTATACAGTATTTGACTTTTGTGACTGGCTTATTTTATTAGGAATAATGTCCCCAAATTTAATCCATGTTGTAGTCTTAGGGAGGAGTTCTTTCCTTTTTAAGACTGAATAATATTCCATAGTATACATATAAAACATTGTGTTCATCCATTCAATCATTGATAGATATAAGGGTTGCTTCCACCTCTTGGTTATTGTAAATAATAATGCTATTAACATGGGTGTGAAAATATCTCTTTTGGATGTTGTTTCAATTCTTTTGTATATATACCCAGAAGTGGAATATCCGCATCATGTGGTAGCTCTATTTTTAGTTTTTTGATGAATGGATATAGTTTTCAGTGCCACAAGACTGAAAAAGTCAAATATATAATGCAACTCTTAGTATATTTTTGAGGAAGTGAGCCACTAAATTTTCTTAGAGTTAGAAAATGTACAGCTTCAAAAACTTTCCTAGTGGAAAAAAATAAGTCTGGCATGCAGAAATAAAATTGAAACTAGAGACATAGACAAGTATGTTACATATTTGGAGAGGCAAATATGTTATATCAATTTCTTTATGTCTTTGACTTTCTAAGAATAAAACTATTTCTCCTGCATATATTACAGTAGCCATATTTTTGTTTTCTTTTTTTAAAATTTTTTCCTTCCAGAAAATAACAATGCCTTCTATATTCAGTGCCTTTTTACTTTCAAAGGTGTGGGTCTTGCCAGTAAAAGTTTTTACTGAGTGTATTTCTGCTATTGTGGATGATGATGATGATGATGTGTGTGTGCATGCTTCTTCTTGAACTTTTTCCTAAAAATGATGAAATTACATTTCCTTCCTTATCTTCAGCCCCTGAAATCTAACCACGTTAAGTGTATTTATTTAAATAATATAACATAGCCCCCACTAGTTTTATTATTCTTTTTTAAAAAAATTTTGTGAGTACATGGTAGGCGTATATGTTTATGAGGTACATGCGATGTTTTGATACAGGCATGCAATATGAAACAAGCACATTATGGAGAATGGGGTATCCCTCCCCTCAAACATTTATCCTTTGAGTTACAAATAATCCAGATGCATTATTTTTAAATGTAAAGTTATGGTTGACTATAGTGATCCTATTGTGCTATCAAATAGTAGGTCTTGTCATTTTTTCCATTGTTTTGTACTAACTAACCATTGCCACATCCCACCTGAACCACCCACTACCCTTCCCAGCTTTTGGTAACCATCCTTCTATTCTCTATGTCCATGGGTTCAATTAATGTGATTTTTAGATTTCACAAACAAGTGAGAACATGCAGTGTTTGCCTTTCTGTGCCCTATTTATTTCTCTTAACACAATGATCTCCAGACTCATCCATGTTGTTACAAATGACAGGATATTATCCTTTTTTATGGCCGAATAATACTCCATGGTATATACATACGGCATTTTCTTTATCCATTCATCTGCTGATGGACACTTAGGTTGCTTCCAAATCTTAGCTATGGTAAACGGTGTGGCAATAAACACAGGAGTGCAGATATCTCTTTGATAAACTGACTTCCTTTGTTTGGGGTATATACCCAGTAGTGAGATTGTTGGCTCGTACAGTAGCGCAATTTTCAGTTTTCTGAGGAACCTTTAAACTGTTCTCAATAGTGTTTGTACTAACTTATATTTCCATCAACAGTGTACTAAAGTTACCTTTTCTCCACATCATTGCCAGCGTTTGTTATTGCCTGTCTTTTGGATATGAGCCATTTTAACTGAGACGAGATCATATCTCATTGTAGTTTTGATTTGCATTTATCTAATGATCAGTGACGTTGGGCGCTTTTTCATATGTCTGTTTGCCATTTATGTCTTTTTTTGAGAAATGTCTATTCAAATCTTTTGCCCATTTTTGATTGGATTATTAGTTTCTTTGAGAGTTCTTTGAGCTCCTTATATATTCCAGTTATTAATCCCTTGTCAGATGGATACTATACAAATATTTTCTCCCGTTCTGTGGGTTGTCTCTTCCCTTTGTTGATTGTGTCCTTTGCTGCACAGAAGCTTTTTAACTTGATGCAATCCCATTTGTCCATATTTTCTTCAAATGCTTGTGTTTGTGGGGTTGCTCAAGAAGTCTTTGCCCAAACCCATGTCCTGGAGATTTTCCCCAAACTTTTCTTGTAGTAGTTTCACAGTTTGAGATCTTAGATTTAAGTCTTTAGTCCATTTTGATTCTATTTTTGTATAATGTGAAAGACAGGGGTCTAGTCTCATTCTTTTGAATATGGATATCCAGTTTTCCCAGAATCATTTATTGAAGAAACTGTCTTTTCTCCAGTGTTTGTTCTTGGCACCTTTGTCAAAAATGAGTTCACTGTAGGTGTGTGGAATTATTTTTGGGTTCCCTATTGTGTTCCATTGGTCTGTGTGTCTGTTTTTAAGCCAGTACCATGCAGTTTTGCTTATTATAGCTCTATAGTATAATTTGAAGTCAGGTAATGTAATTCCTCCAGTTTTGTTCTTTTTGCTTAGGATATTGTTGGCTATTCTGGGTCTGTTGTGGTACTATACAAATTTTAGATTTTTTTCTATTTTTGTGAAGAATGTCATTGGTATTTTGATAGGGATTGCATTGAGTCTGTAGATTGCTTTTGGTAGTATGAACATTTTAACAATATTAATTCTTTCAACTTGTGTAAATGGAATATTTTTCCATTTTTGGTGTCCTCTTCAATTTCCTTCATCAGTATTTTATATTTTCATTATAGAAAGGTTTCACTTCTTTGGTTAATTCCTAGGTATTTATTTATATGTGTGGTGATTGTAAATGCATTTTTTTTCTTTCTCATGGTATTCACTGTTGGCATATAAAAATGCTGCTGAGTTTTTTATGTTGATTTTATAGCCTGCAACTTTACTGAATTTGTTTATCAGTTTCAATAATTTTCTTATTGAATACTTAGGTTTTTCCAAATATAAGATCATATCATCAGCAAACAAGAATAATTTGACTTTTTCCTTTCCCATTTGGATGTCCTATATATCTTTCTCTTTCTTAATTGCTCTTAATAGAACTTTCTGTACTATGTTGAATAACAGGTGAGAGTGGGCATCCTTGTTGTGTTCCAGATCTTAGAGGAAAGGCTTCAGTTTTTTCTTATTCAGTATGATACTAGCTGTGGGTCTGTCATGTATGGCTTTTATTATGTTTGTGTATGTTTCTTGTATATCAAATTTTTTTAGGCTTTTTATCATGAAGGGATGTTGAATTTTATCAAATGTTTTGCAGCATCAATTGAAATGATCTTATGGTTTTTACCCTTCATTCTGTTGATATAATATATCACATTGATTGATTTGTGTATGTTGTATTATTCTTGCATTCCAAGGATAAATCTCACTTAGTCATGATGGATGATCTTTCTAATGTACTGTTGAATTCAGTTTGCTTGAGGATTTTTGCATCAATGTTTATCAGCGATGTTGGTCTGTAGTTTTCTTTTCTTTTTCTTTTTTTGATGTGTCTTTGGTTTTGGTATCAGGGTAATACTGGCCTCAGAATGATTTGGAAGTATTCTCTCCTCTTCTTTGTTTCAGAACAGTTTGAATAGGATTGGTGTTAGTTCTTCCTTAAATATTTGATAGAATTCAGCAATGCAACCGTGAGTTCCTGGGCTTTTCTTTGCTGGGAGATTTTTTAAATTACAGCTTTGCTCTCATTACTTTTTATTGGTCTGTTCAGATTTTGGATTTCTTTCTGATTCAAACTTGGTAAGTTGTATGATCTAGGAATTTGTCAATTTCTTCTAGATTTTCCAATTTATTGGCATATATTTGCTCATAGAAGCCACTAGTGATCCTTCAAATTAACTGCAGAATCTGTTGTAATGTCTCCTTTTCCATTCCTGATTTTATTTATTTAGATGTTCTCTCTTTTTATCTTTGTCTGAAGGTTTGTCAAATTTGTTTAATTTTTCAAAAAATCAACTTTTGTGTCATTGATATTGTGTGTTGTTTTCTTCATTTCAATTTCATTTATTTCTGCTCTGACCTTTATTATTTCTTTTCCTCTACTAACTTGGGGTTTGGTTCACTCTTGCTTTACTAGCTCTTTAGGATGCATTGCTAAATTGTTCATTTGAAGATTTTTGTCCCTTCTATGTAGATACTTATAGCTATAAACTTTCCTCTGAGTATTGTTTTTGCTGTATCCCATAGGTTTTGGTATGTTGCGTTTCCATTATCATTTGTTTCCAGAAATTTTTCAATTTTCTTCTTAATTTATTCATTGACCTCCTGGTCATACAGGAGCATATTGTTTGATTTACATGTATTTGTATGGTTTCCAAAATTCCTCCTGTTATTTATTTTTAATTTTTTTCATTGTTGCCAGAGAAAATACTTAATATTATTTGTTTTTTTTCAATGTTTTAAAACTTGTTTTGTGGCCTAACATATGGTCTATCCTTGAGAATGATCCATGTGTTGAGGAAAAGAATGTGTATTCTTCAGCTTTTGGATAAAATATTCTGTAAATATGTATTGGAGCAATTTGGTCTATACTGCAGATTACGTCTAATGTTTGTTTATTTTCTGTCTGGAAAATCTGTCTAATGCTGAAAGTTGGGCATTAAAGTTTACAGCTATTGTATTGGGGGCTCTCTCTTTAGCTCTAATAATGTTTTCTTTACATATCTGGATGCTCAAATGTTGGGTGCATATATATTTAAAATTGTTATGTCTTCTTGGTGAACTGACACTCTGCCTCTTATAATTTTGTCTTGAAATATATTTTGTCTAATATTGGTATAGCTACTCCTGCACTTTTTTGGTTCTCATTGGCATTGAAATCTTTTTTATCCCTTTATTTTCAGTCTATGTTTGTATTTATAGCTGAAGTGTGTTTCTTATAGGTAACAAATTAATGATCCTTGTTTCTTCATCCATTCAGCCAGCATATGTCTTTGGGTTGGAGAGTTTACTTTATTTACATTCCATGTTATTATTTGTAAGTAAGGACTTATTCCTACCATTCTGTTATTTATTTCTGATTGCTTTGTAATCTTCTTTCTTTGTTTCCTTCCTCTCTTCCTCTAGTGAAGGTGATTTTCTCTGGTGATATGACTTAGTTTCTTGCTTTTTATTTTTTATGTATCCATTGTATGTTTTCTGGTTTGAGGTCACCATGAAGCTTGCAAATGCTATGTTATAACCCATTATTTTAACCTGATAATTTGACAATTTGTCTAAACAAACAAATAAGCAAAAAGAAAACTAATAAAAACTGTACACCTGAACTTCATGCCCCTGCTTTTTAACTTTTTGTTGTTTCTATTTATATTTTATTGTATTGACTATATCTTGAAGAGTTGTTGTAGTTAACATTATTATTATTATTATTATTATCATTTTGAAATGGAGTCTCTCTCTGTCACCCAAGCTGTAGTGTGGTGGCGCAATCTTGTCTCACTGCAACCTCTGCCTCCCAGGTTCAATCAATTCTCCCTGCCTCAGCCTCCCAAGTAGCTGGGTCTACAGGCACCCACCACTACACCTGGCTAATTTTTGTATTTTTTAGTAGAGACTGGGTTTCTGCATGTTGACCAGGTTGTTCTTGAACTCCTGACCTCAGGTGATCCGCCCACCTCGGCCTCCCAAAGTGCTGGGATTACAGGCATAAGCCACTGCGCCCAGCCTGTAGTTATTATTTTTGATTGGTACATCATTTAATCTTTCTACTGAGGATAACAGTAGTTTACACACCATGATGATACTGTTATAATAGTCTGCGTTTTCTGTGTAGTTACTATTACCCGTGAGTTTTTTACCTTCACATGAATATTTATTGCTCTTTAATATCATTTTCTTTATGCTTGAAGTACTCTGTTTAGCATTTCGTATAGGACAGATCTGGTATTGATTAAATCCCTCAGCTTTTGTTAGTCTGGGAAAGTCTTTTATTTCTCCTTCATGTCAAAGGTTATTTTCTCCAGATATACTATTCTAGGATAATTTTTTTTTTCCTTCAGCACTGCAAATATGTCACGCCTCTCTTGGCTTGTAAGGTTTTCATTGAAAAGCCTGCTGCCAGATGTATTGAAGCTTCATCACATGGTATTTATTTCTTTCATCTTGCTGCTTCTAGGATCCTTTCTTTATCCTTTAACTTTGGGAGTTTGATTATTAAGGTAGTCTTCTTTGGGTTAAATCTGCTTGGTGTTCAGCAACCTGCTTTTACTTAGATATTGATATCGTTCTGTAGGTTTGGGAAGTTCTCTGTTATTGTCCCTTTGAATAAACTTTCTCCCCCTCTATCTTTCTCTACCTCCTTTTCAATGCCAACAACTCTTAGATTTGCCTCTTTGAGGCTATTTTCTAGATTCTGAAGGCATGCTTCATTGCTTTTTAGTCTTTATTCTTTTTTTCTCCTCTGGATGTGTATTTTCCATTAGCCTGTCTTCAAGCTCACAAATTCTTTCTTCTGCTTGATCAGTTCTGCTATTGACGACTCTCATGCATTCTTCAGTATGTGACTTGAATTTTTCAGCTCCAAAATTTCTGCTTGATTATTTTGAATTATTTCAATTTCTTTGTTAAATTTATGTGATAGAATTCTGAATTCTTTCTCTGTGTTATCTTGAATTTCTTTGAGTTTCCTGAAGACAGATATTTTGAATTCTCTGTCTGAAAGGCCACATATCTCTGTATTTCCAGGATTTGTCCCTGGTGCCTTATTTAGTTCCTATGGTGAGGTGATGTTTTCCTGGATGGTGCTGATGCTAGTAGATGTTCTTCGGTGTCTCCGCATTGAAGAGTTAGATATTTATTGTAGTCTTCACTGTCTAGACTTATTTGTAGTTATCCTTCTTGGAAAGGCTTTTCAGATATTTGAAATTACTTGGGTGTTGTTATCTATGCTATATTTGTTTTAAGGTTAGCCCAAGCTCAGTAATGTTGTGATTCCTGCAGACTCATAGAAGTCTTGGACAAGATCCATGAGAATTCTCTGCATTACCAGGTGGAAACTATTGTTCCCTTCCCTTAATTTATCCCAAATATACAGTTAGGCTTTGTTCTGAGCATCCTAAAGCTGGGGTGGTGTGACACAAGCACTCCTGTGGTCACCAACACTATGACTGCACAAGCACCCCCGTGGCCACCACCACTATGGCAGGTCTGAAGCCAGCACAGCACTGGGTCTCACCCAAGGCCTGCTGTAACCTGTCCCTGGATACTGCTTGTGTTTGCTCAAGGATCTGGGGTCTACAGTCAGCAAGTGGCATAACCAGCCAGGCCTTTGTCCTTTCTTCAAGGTGGCAAGGTCCCCCAAACCTCGGGTGGGTCCAGAAGTGCTTTCTGAGAGTCAGGGTCTAGAGCCAAAAGCCTTAGAAGTCTGCCTTGTGTTCTATTATATTGTGGCTGAGCTGGCACTCAGACCACATGGTGCAGGCCTTCCCACTCTTCCCTCCCCTTTTCAAAGGCAGAGGATTCTCACCTTGTAGCCACCACCACACCAGGCCATGAGGAGTACTGCCAACCTACCACAGATATTCCTGTAAGACTCCAGGTCTCTTCAATCAGCTTGTGGTGAGTGCTGCTTGGCCTGGGACTCACCTGTCAGAGCAGTGGGCTCCCCTCTGGCTCAGGGCAGGTGCAGACATCTTGTTCAAGAGTGAAGTTCTGGAAATGGAGAACTCAAGTGCCCACTTGGTGCTCAAATTCCTTGTGGCCATGCTGGTACTTAAAACGAGCAAATTCCCCTTTACTTTTCCTTCTGCTTTTCTCAAGTAGGAGGCTTATCCTGTAGCCACCACAGTTGAAAATGTGCTGAGCCTTCTCTGAAGCCAGCAAGTCTCAGAGGTTCACCCAAGGCCTTCGATGTAATACCTGAATACCAGAGCTGGTTATTCAGGGCTCAAGGGCTCTTCAGTGAGCAGGTGATGAATGCTGCCAAGACTGAGTTCTTCCCTTCCAGGCAGCAGGTTTCCTTCTGGCTCAGTGTGTCTATAAATGTTTTCCAGGAGCTAGGGCCTGGAACAGTAGCCTCACAACTCTGACCCATGCCCTATTCTGCTGTGGCTGAACTGGTATTCTAGATGCAAGACAAAGTCCTCCCCACTCTTCCTTGTCCTCTCCTCAAGTGTAAGAAAGAGGTCTCTTTTGGAGCCATGAGCTTTGTAGCCAGGGTTAGGGAAAGGTAATGCCAGCATTTTTTGGCTGTCCCAGTTGGTGTCTCAGTATGTCAAATGCCGCCCCCTAGTCCACTATCTCTGAGCCTAATTCAGCACTAGAATTTGCTTACGAGTTGCGGTCCTTATGGCCTAGACTGCTTTTCAAGTTTACTTGGAGACAGCATGCTGTGGATTGAGATGGTGAGGTTTGTGGGAACTCAAGTTCCTACTGCTGGGATCACGGATTCCCCTCTGGCTAGGGCTGGTTTAAATGTTCCGTCCACAGGTGGGCATCTGCTGAGTTTTGTCTGGTTTTTCTTTCTGCTCTGATAGAACAGTACCGAGTATACTGCCTCATGATTGCTTTGTTTTCTCTCTCCCAGTGCCCAGAGAGGCTCTCCACAACAAGTGGCTGTTGCAGAGTGTAGCAGAGAGGTGGTGTTGGTAATTCAGGATTTAAAAAAATATATATCTTCAGTGCATATTTCAGCAATATGAAGTTAAAACCAGGTACTATGAGTGCTCACATAATTTTTGGTTCTTATGAAGGTTTATTTCTGTGTAGATAGTTGTTAACTTAGTGTCCTTGTTGGGGGTGGGGAAGATGATTGATGGAGTTTTCTATTTTGCCATCTTGCTCCACCCTCTCTTCTGAAATCCACTGCTTCTGCTTATCATCATTAAACATGAAGCTGTTTGTTGGTTTGAATTAAATAATTGTATATTTCATTGATAAAATATTTTTCTCCTTATTAAATAAGAAATTTTAAAACCAAGAATGCCAATTTGCAGATTATTCTCAATTGCTTTCATTCAACTATCTTCTCCTGGCTGGGTTTTCTGATCTCAGATTATTTTGATTTGCAACTACCTGCTTTGGCTTTATAAATGCAATGCTGTCTATAATCTCTTTGAAAATACAAATTAGACACTTTATTATATTTATCATCAAAAAACTAGAACCAACACCTTTAGTCTGATTCTTCAAGTGGTACCTTTCTTTAAATCTGCAGTATGTCTTCATAAACCCAGCCATATTTTTATATTTTCTAACTTTGAATAAATATACAGATGTGTTAGCTTTTTCTTGTTGTGCCAACTTAACCTCTTTCACACCACACTCTCACCTTGGAGGGATATGCCTTGTTAGGAAGAATTGTTTCCACATTAGCTTTCTGCATCTTGTCTTTATGTGCTCTCAGTGATTTAGTAGTATTAAAGGGATATGTCAAGGTCTTCTTCATTTGCTTCCCAGGCTTGTCAAACATTCTGAATGGGCATGTTAACATATCTTAGGGTTGTTAACATATCTATCTAGAATTTGTATTGTACCCTTCCTGCATTTCAGCACCATTAAAGGTTTTTACCTATTTTTATATTTTGCAATTTATTTCTACAGGCATGTGAAAGGTAACGAAGTCAATACTTATGATCGTGTCATCAATTTACCTAGAATTTCTAATTTTTATACTTTTTAACCCATAGAACCAATATAATAACCTTCATAAATAAATGGAATCTTCCATTTTACTTAATCTTTACAAGTCAATATTTGCGACATTTTATAAGTCTTTGCCAAGTATGTTCATTCAATATCTACATCCTTCTATAATTCAGTAATAATTATTGCTTTGTTCTATTTCTGCCTATTTTTGGTTAAGTGCACACAAACATTAATATCATTTGTAAAAAAAGTACTTTGTGAAAAGTGAATTGAAATTTATTATGAGTAATGTGTGAATTTGCAAATAAAGCTCTTTTCTGTATACATTACCAAGTCCAATAAATCTTATACTTGCCAGTAGACATGATTAATTTATATTGAAAGCATATTAGAGTGGGTATATGTAAATACTAACACAATTTATTTCAATGTACAATGGAACTCATTTGGCTAATGCATATTGCTTTTGTTGCACAATCAACAAAATCCACTGCTTTCAAACAAATAAGATAGAATAGTGATGTAGATGACTATCATCTGTGTTTAAAGAATTACATTGGATATATATCTATATTAAAAAGAAGTTTAATATTTCAACTGAAGACATAACAATAGCTTACAAAAATAGCATTGGGTTTCACTTCATCTCATAATTCAGTGTAACAGCATAATCATTCTATGTTGCATGATTATAAATAGGGCTGATGCGTTTACTGACCTTTACTCAAAAATATTTGACTATTTTTCTAGTAATGTTGCAGTTCTTCAGAATAGATCATGGTACTGGCCCAGGCTGGTCTTGAACTCCTGGCCTCAAGTGATCCTCCTGCTTTGGCCTCCAAAAGCACTGGGATTATAAGTGTGAACCACTGTGCCTGGCCTTGTAACATGTGTTTGAATGTAATCTACCTCTTAATATACATTTGATCTTCAAGCTAATCATGCTTGATGTCACTTAAAAGGTTGACAAATCATGCTTTGTTTCATAATTAATATATAATCTAAAAGAGGAGGAAAGAAATGATGGCAGATGGGAGGCAGGACTAGATTACAGCTCTCACTCAGAAGGACAGAACAGTGTGTGGAGGCTCACATTGTGAATTTTTGCTCCAGAATGACTGCAGGAATACATTAGGAAAGCCAGGAGAACCCACAGACCCTCCGAAGGAGGCAGATTGCTCCTACAGGGCCCACGAGACACCCCAAATACTGTGAGTGCCTAAACTGTGGAAGTGGAAAAGAGAGATCTTCTGCCCCCGAACACACACCCCCACTGGGGAACCTGAATGTCTAAATTATAGGAGAAGATTCTGACCCTACCTGGAGTTGAGTCCATTTAGAAAGCTGAGCAAAATACAGAGGTAGAGGAAGCAGTGGGAAAATCCCTGTGGGCTCGCTGGGTCCCCTAGGAAGCCATTTCTGCCTTGCCTCACAGGGGTCCTTGAGGAGGGCTGTCAGAAGCACTGGGAAAAGGCCACAGGGATAAGAAAACCTCCAGTTGAACTTTGTAACAATTTGAACCAATTGAGAAGCCTCCTGGCCAGAACTCAAGAGAGGGCATGAATCCATTGTGCAGACTCCACAGGCAAGGGAAGAAGGCAAGCCCTACTTACTTTCACAGCTGGGAGGTAAGTAGCCTGAGCCCAGTTGCTCACTGCCTGGAAACACACTCAGTACTGTTGGCGGGGGAGAGGGGCATGGTGGGAATGAGACTGGCCCTTTGGGTTGCACGGGAGCTGGGTGAGGCCTGTGACTGCAGGCTTTCTCCCACTTCCCTGACAACCTGCATGACACACTAAAGGCAGCCATAATCCTCCTAGAAACATAACTCCATTGACCTGGGAACCTCACACCCATCCCCCACAGCAGCTGCGGCAAGACCTGCCCAAGTAGAGTCTGAGCTCAGACATGCCTAGCCACACTGCCCCCACCTAATGGTCATTCCCTATCCACCCTGGTAACTGAAGACAAAGGGCATATACTCTTGGGAATTCTAGGGCCCTACCCACCATCTGTTACCCCCCATACTAGCACAGTTGATGATGCTCTCTTGAAAGCACCACCTCCTGGCAGGAGGCCAATCAGCACAAAAATAATGCACTAGTCAACCAAGGGTAAGGATCCTCACAGAATCCATTTCACCCTTTTGCCACCTCCATGGGAGCAAGTGCTGGTATCCATGCCTGAGAGACCCACAGACAGTTCACATCACAGGACTCTGTGCAGACAACCCCCAGTACCAGCCCAAAGACTGGTAGACTTGTTGGGTGGCTAGATCCAGAAGAGAGATAATCACTATAGCTTGACTCTCAGGAAGCCACATCCCTAGGAAAAGGGGGAGAGTACTACATCAAGGCAACACACGTGGAACAAAAGAAAACGAACAACAGCCTGGAGCCCTAGACCTTCCCTATGACAGAGCCTATCCAAATGAGAAGGAACTAGAAAATCATCTCTCATAATATGACAAACAAAATTCTTTAACACCCCCCAAAAATAACACTAGCTCACCAGCAACGGATCCAAACCAAGAAGAAATCCCTGATTTACCTGAAAATGAATTCAGAAAGTTAGTTATTATGCTAATTAGGGAGGCACCAGAGAATGGCAAAGCCCAGTGTAAGAAAATCTAAAAAATAATACAAGAAGTAAAGGGAGAAATATTCAATGAGATAGATAGCATAAATAAAAAACAATCAAAACTTCAGGAAACAATGGACACACTTAAATAGAAATGCAAAATGCTCTAGAAAGTCTCAGCAATAGAATCAAACAAGCAGAAGAAAGAATTTCACAGCTCAAATACAAGGTTTTTGAATTAACCCAATCCAAAGAAGACAAAGAAAAGAGAATAAGAAAATATGAGCAAAGCCTCCAAGAAGTCTGGGATTATTTTAAACAACCAAACTTAAGAATAATCAGCATTCCTGAGGAAGAAGAGAAATATAAAAATCGGGAATATATTTGGGGGAATAATGGAGGAAAGCTTCCCTGGCCTTACTGGAGAACTAGACATCCAAATACAAGAACACCTGGGATATTCATCACAAAAAGATCATCGCCTAGGCACATTATCATCAGGTTATCTAAAGTTAAGATGAAGGAAAAAATCTTAAGAGCTGTGAGGCAAAAACACCAGGTAACCTATAAAGGAAAACCGATCAGATTAACAGCAGACTTCTCAGCAGAAACCCTACAAGCTAGAAGGGATTGGGTCCCTATCTTCAGCCTCCTCAAACAAAACAATTACCAGCCAAAAATTTTGTACCCAGGGAAACTGAGCTTCATAAATGAAGGAAAGATGATCTTTTTAAGACAAACAAATGCTGAGAGAATTCACCAGTACCAAGCCAGCACTACAAGAACTGCTTAAAGGAGCTCTAAATCTTGAAAACACATCAAAACAAATCCTGAAAACACATCAAAACAGAACCTCTTTAAAGCATAATTCTCAAAGGACCTATAAAACAAAAATACAATTAAAAAAACAAACAAAAAGGTATACAGGCAACACATAGCATGATGAATGAAATGGTACCTCACATCTCAATATGAACGTTGAATGTAAATGGCCTAAATATTCCACTTAAAAGATACAGACTTGTAGAATGGATAAGAATTCACCAACCAACTATTTGCTACCTTCAAGAGACACATCTAACACATAGGACTCACATAAACTAAAGGTAAAGGGATGGAAAAAGACATTCCACGCAAATGTACACCAAAAGCAAGAGGAAGTAGCTATTCTGATAAACAAAACAAACTTTAAAGCAACAACAGTTAAAAAAAAAAAAACAAAGAGTGTTATTATATAATGACAAATGGCCTTGTATAACAGGAAAATATCACAATCCTAAATGTATATGTACCTAACACTGGAACTCTCAAATTTATAAAACAATTACTAATAGACCTAAGAAATGAGATAAACAGCAACACAATAATAGTGGGGGACTTCAATACTCCACTGACAGATCATCAAGACAGAAAGTCAACAAAAAAAATGGATTTAAATTATGCCCTGGAACAAATGTACTTAACAGATATTTACAGAAAATTCTACCCAACAAGTGCAGAATATACATTCAATTCAACAGTGCATGGAACTTTCTCCAAGATAGACCATATGATAGGCCACATAACAAGCCTCAATAAATTCAAGAAAATTGAAATTATATCAAGCACTCTCTCAGACCATAGTGGAATAAAACTGGAAATCAACTCCAAAAGGAACCTTCAAAACCATGAAAATACATGGAAATTAAATAACCTGCTCCTGAATGATCATTGGGTCAAAAATGAAATCAAGATGAAAATTAACAAATTATTCAAAATGAGTGACAATACTGACACAACCCATCAAAACCTCCGGCATACAGCAAAAGCAGGGCCCAGAGGAAAGTTTATAGCCCTAAATGCTTACATTAAAAGGTCTGAAAGAGCACAAACAGACGATCCAGTGTCACACCTCAAGGAACTAGAGAAACAAGAACAAACCAAACCCAAACCCAGCAGAAAAAAGAAAATAACCAAGATCAGAGCAGAACTAAATTAAATTGAAACAAAAAAAAATTTGTATTTATCTTTTGTAGATAAATAAAACAAAAAGCTAGTTCTTTGAAAAGATAAATAAAATTCATAGACCATTAGCAAGATTAAGCAAGAAAAGAAAAGGGAAATTCCAAATAAGTTCAATTAGAAATGAAAGAAGAGATATTACAACTGATATCAAATAAATACAGAAGATCATTCAAGGTTTGATGAACACCTTTATGCACATAAACTAGAACACCTAGAGGAGATGGATACATTCCTAGAAAGATACAACCTTCCTAGCTTAAATAAGGAAGAATTAGATAGTCTAAACAGACCAATAACTAGCAGCAAGATTGAAATGGTAATTTAAAACTTACCAACAAAAAAAATTCCTGGTCCAGACAGATTCACAGGAGAACTCTATCAGACATTCAAAGAAGAATTGGTACCAATCCTACTGACACTAATCCACAAGATAGAGAGAGAGGGAACCCTCCCTAAATCATTCTATGAAGCTAGTTTCGCCCTGATACCAAAACCAGGAAAGGACACAACAAAAAAAGAAAACTACAGACCAATATCCCTGATTAACATAGATGCTAAAATCCTTAACAAAATATTAGCTAACTAAATCCAACAACATATCAAAAAGATAATCCACTATGATCAAGTGGGTTTCATACCAAGGATGCAGGGATGGTTTAATGTACACAAGTCAATATATGTGCTATACCACATAAACAGAATCAAAAACAAAAATCACATGATTATCTCAATAGATGCAGGAGAAGCATTTGACAAAATCCAGAATTCCTTTATGATTAAACCTGTCAGCAAAATCGGCATACAAGAGACATACCTCAATGTAATAAAAGCCATCTATGACAAACCCACAGCCAACATAATACTGAATGGGGAAAAGTTGGAAGACTTACTACTGAGAACTGGAAGAAGACAAGGATGCCCACTCTTACCATGCCTCTTTAACATATTACTGGAAGTCCTAGCCAGAGCAATCAGACAAGAGAAAGAAATAAAGGGCATACAAATTGGTAAAGAGGAAGTTAAACTGTCACTATTTGCTGATGGTATGATTGTTTACATAGAAAACCCTAAAGACTCCTCCAGAAAGCTCCTAGAACTGACAAAATAATTCAGCAAAATTTCCAGATATAAAATTTATATACACTAATCAGTAGCTCTTCTATACACCAACAGTGACCAAGCTGAGAATCAAATCAAGAACTCAACTCCTTTTACAATAGCTGCAAAAAAAAACAAAAAAACAAACAAACTTAGGAATACACCTAACCAAGGAGATGAAAGACTCTACAAGAAGAACTACAAAACACAGTTGAAAAAAATCATAGATGACATAAACAAATGGAAACAGATCCCATGCTCATGGATGGGTAGAATCAATATTGTGAAAATGACCCTACTTGCCAAAAGTAATCTACAAATTCAATGCAATTCCCATGAAAATACCACCACCATTCTTCACAGAACTAGAAAAAAAAATCCTAAAATTCATATGGAACCAAAAAAGAGTCCACATAGCCAAAGCAAGACTGAGCAAAAAGAACAAATCTGGAGGCATCCATTACCTGATTTCAAACTATGCTATATGACCATAGTCGCCAAAACAGCATGGTACTGGCATAAAAATTGGCACATAGACCAATGGCACAGAATAGAAAACTCAGAAATAAAGCCAAATACTTAAAGCCAGTTGATCTTCAACAAAGCACACAAAAACATAAAGTGGGGAAAGGACACCCTCTTCAACAAATGGTACTGGGATAATTGGCAAGCCACATATAGGAGAATTAAACTGGATCCTCATCTCTCACCTTATACAAAAATCAACTCAAGATGGATTGAAGACTTAAATCTATGACCTGAAACTATAAAGATTCTAGAAGATAACATTGGAAAAACCCTTCTAGACATTGGCTTATGTAAGAATTTTATGACCAAGAACCCAAAAACAAATGCAATAAAAACAATGATAAATAGCTGGGACTTAATTAAACTAAAGAGTTTTTGCACGGCAAAAGAAACAGTAGGCAGAACAAACAGAAAACCCACAAAGTGGGAGAAAATCTTCACAATCTATACATATGATGAAGGACTAACATCCAGAATCTACAACAAACTCAAACAAATTAGCAAGGACAAAACAAACAACCCATCAAAAAGTGGGCTAAGGACATGAATTATCAAAAGAAGATAATAAGAACAACAAACAAAAGAAAAAAAGTTCAATATCACTAATGATCAGGGAAATGCAAATCAAAACCACAATGCAATACCACCTTACTCCTGCAAGAATGCCCATAATCAAAAAGAAAAAAAAAATAGATGTTAGCATGGATGCAGCAAACAGGGACACTTCTACCTTGCTGTTGAGAATGCAAACTAGTACAACCACTATGGAAAACAGTGTGGAGATTCTTTAAAGAACTAAAAGTAAAATTAATATTTGATCCAGCAATCCCACTACTCAGTATCTACCCAGAGGAAAAAGATACTTGCACATGCATGTTTATAGCAGCACAATTTGCAATTGCAAAAAAGTGGAACCAACCCAAATGCCCATCAATCAACGAGTGTATAAAGAAACTGTGATATATATATATATATATAAAATATATATAATACATAATATATATATAATATATAATACATAATATATATAATATATAATACATAATATATATATAATATATAATACATAATATATATAATATATATAATATATAATACATAATATATATAATATATATAATACGTATTATATATATTATATATAATACGTATTATATATATTATATATATAATACGTTATATATATAATATATATAATACGTATTATATATATAAAATGGAATACTACTCATCCATAAAAAGGAATGAATTAATGGTATTTGTTGTGACCTGGATGAGATTGGAGACTATTATTCTAAGTGAAGTAACTCAGGAATAGAAAACCAAACATTGTATGTTCTCACTGTTATGTGGAAGCTAAGCTATGAGGATGCAAAAGCATAAGAAAAACACAATGGGCTTTGTAGACTCAGAGGGAAAGGATGGGAAGAGGGTGAGGGATAAAAGATCACAATTTGGGTGCAGTGTGTACTCCTTGGGTGATGGGTACACCAAAATTTCACAAATCACCGCCAAAGAACTTACTCGTGTAATGAAACACCACGTGTTCCCCAATAACCTATGGAAATAAAAAAAATTAAAAAGAATGTATCATAGTACCTTAGTCATTTTGGCATGTTCTGTCTAATCATCTATATCTAACTCTCTTAAGAGTTTAGTTTAATCAACTTTTGTTTAGCACATTACCCATTTATTTGGGCTTTTTGCATAGACCTAGGGTTTTCTTGATTAACACCATTGTCATTTTTTATGTCAACAATTTGAGGAAAATTGGTGCCTTGATAGACAAAGATGATGATTTAGTTTGTCTTTATTGAAGAAATATTATTTGACTTAAATACAAAGAAAGTGCTTATACTTTAAACCATTTACACATCAACATACATGACAAAATGTGATATATGTTCACATAAAAAATGTCTCAAAATATAATAAAAAAACTATGCTTAAGAATATTGAAAATAATTTCAGGAATAATTTGTAAAATTATGGGGAATTTGAAGCATTTTAATTGATTAATATTATTGCTATGATAGCAATAATATTAAGCAAAAGTATATAAATATTATAATGAAACAAAATGTCATTTCATGAAACATTATTTGAGAGACATATAAGAATTATAACTGTATTTCATATGTTTAAAAAAGTGAAGCATAAGAGCAGCAAAACTATTCTGATGGTAGATACATGACACTATACATTTGTCGAAACCCATAGAACTTTATAGCACAAAGAATGAACTTTAAATATTTAAATTCTTAAGAAAATAATTTAAGAGGTTGAAGGATCACAGTAAAAAAATTCAGATTATAACAAAATAATCTAACTCTACCACAAATGTATGGAACAATCTCATGAAGAGGGTGAGAGAATAAGGTGCTAACCTGAGTAATGTTGGAAATAAATGGATTCTATGAGGCTAAAGTTAAAATAAAATATCCATAAGCACTGTGTTTAAGTCAGTAAAGTTGTTTCCCATGGGGTATGGTTTAACAATTCTGAAACCACTTTACAAGTGTACAAGAATTGAACAATTAAGGTAGTTGATGATGGTGTTTAGCTTAATATAGATACAGATACATTCATATTTATATATCCCTTTATGTTTGTATACACATAAATATGTGTACATACATGGGTTAATATACATACATATGTTTTGTTGCTGCCTCAGCTTGGAGGGCCTATAAACAATGGGATCTAAGTAGTAATAAGCACCCCACCACCCAATCTAGGTTTATAAAATTATTATCCAACAAAAATAACTAAGGCTCTTTGGAGAAATGGCTGATTCCAGGACTGGGGCTAAGAATATATGAAAGATGAACCTGGAGGATCTTTTAGTTGCAAAGAATAAGGAAGTGCTAAAGAGATTTAAAAAGATGGGAGTACATCAAGGAAACAAAAGAAACAACTGAAAGAACTCCCAATGGTCAAAGTTGAAATAATTTGAACAACAAAATAAATAAATAAATAAATACTGGATTATAAACCAAAGTATAAAATATCCATGAGTATATATTGATGTAAATAAATTATTGAATGGTAAATAAATTGGGGAGAAGAGACAAATGTCCCATTTAGAAGAATTCAAAATAATTTCACTTGATATTCTACCCTTAAGGTGGTGCATACTTCTCCAGTCCTTAAATGCGGGTTACATATAAAGACTTCCTTCCAAAAAGTACAGTGTTAAAGGAGAAATGAAACCTGACAAACACTAACTCAGCCAGGTGATCAAGATTAACACCAACAGATGGAAGCACATGGTAAAATGGTGGATAGGAGGCAGAACTAAGTTGCAGCTCCCACTCAGACTTGGATGGACAAAGCAGAATGTGGAGACTCACATTATGAAATTTTGCTCCAAGAACTACCACAGGAACATACCAGGAAACCTGAAAGAATCCACAGGCCCTTTGAAGGAAGCAGCTTGCCACTTTAGGCTTCCTGAGACAGCTATAAAACTGTGAGTGCCCTAAGCGCGTAAGAGGGGAAAGTCCATCCCTAACCACACATCCTCACTGGGGAAAAGGAAGGCCCAGATCACGGGAGAAGAATTTAACATTACCTGGAGCTGAGACAAATTTAAAGAGCCAAGCAAAATATAGGAGTAGAGGAAGCAGTGAGAAGAGCCATTTCCTCAGACTATGTCAGAACACTCTCAGTCCCCAGGGAAGCCATTTATGACTTTGTCTCACAGAGGTTACTGGGGAGGCCTGCCAGTGGAATTAGGGAAAGACCACAGGGAGAAGGAAACTTCCAGCTGAACCTTGTAGCAATTTTGACTGAATGCAAGTTTCCTGGACAGAATTCAGGGGAGTGTGGGAACATGCAGCACAGAAGCTGAATCAGGCGGGGAGGCGCAAAACCTGAAAGCCCTGCTTGCTTTCTCAGCAGGGAGGCTTGTAGTTTGGGGCAGGTTCTTTGCCCTGCCCACCAGCTGCCTGGAAATAAACTTGCTACTATTGGGTGGACATGTTGGGAGTGGGACTGGCCTTTCTGATTGCATGGAAGCTGGGTGAGGCCTGTCACTGCCAACTTTCCATCCCTTCTCTGGAAACCTGTATGACACAGCAGAGGCAGTCATAATCACCCTGGGAACATAACTCCATTGGCCTGAGAACCACAACCTCAGCCCCCACAGTGGCTGCAGAAAGCTCTGCCCAAGGAGAAGCTAAACTCAGACATGCCTAATCCTGCCCCAACCTGTTGGTCTCTCTCTACCCACCCTGGTAGCTGAAGACAATGGATATAATGTCTTGGGCGCTGCATGGCCCCACCCACCACGTGAGGAACCTGAATACTTATCCAGGTAACCCTAGGGCAAGCTTGCATCCTCCCTATACTATTGCAGCTGATGATATCTTGAAAGCACCACCTCTTGGCTGGAGGCCAACCAACACAAAACCAGTGGACTAAACAAAACTACAACCAAGGACCCTCACAGAGTCTACTTTACTCCCCTGGTACCTCCACTGTAGCAGGTGCTGGTATCCATGGCTGAGAGACCTGAAGACAGATTACATCATGGGACTCTTTGCTGACACTCCCCAGTTCCAGTCCAGAGCCCAATAGCTCTGCTGGGTGGCTAGACCCAGAAGAGAAATAACAATCACTACAGTTTGGCTCTCAGGAAGCCCCATCTCTAGGGGAAGCGGGAGAGCACGACATCAAGGGAGCACCCCATGGGACAAAAGAATCTGAACACCAGCTCTCGAATCCCAGAACTTCCCTCTGACACAGTCTATCCAAATGAGAAGGAACCAGAAAAACAATTCGGGTAACATGACAAAACAAAGT
This sequence comes from Homo sapiens, assembly GCF_000001405.40. Taxonomy (NCBI): domain Eukaryota; kingdom Metazoa; phylum Chordata; class Mammalia; order Primates; family Hominidae; genus Homo; species Homo sapiens. The sequence continues at coordinate 125,545,632 of NC_000023.11, forward strand.
TATTTAACAACCCGCCAAAATCACACTAGTTCACCAGCAATGGATCCAAACCAATAAGAAATCTCTGCATTTCCAGAAAAAGAGTTCAGAAAATCTATTATTAAGCTACTAAAGGGGGCACCAGAGAAAGGTGACTATCAACTTAAAGAAATTTAAAAAAAAGATACAGGATATAAATGGAAAAATGTTAAGAGAATTATATAGCATAAATTAAAAAACAATTACAACTTTTGGAAATGAAGGACACACTTAGAGAAATGCAAAATACACTGGAAACTCTTAACATTAGAATCAAACAAGTAGAAGAAAGAACTTCAGAGTTCAAAGACAAGGATTTTAAATTAACCCAATCAGAAAGACAATAAACAAAGAATTTTAAAAATGAACAAAGCTTCTAAAATTTGGGATTATGTTAAATGACAAAATCTAAGAATGATTGATGTAGAAGAGAAATCTAAAAGTTTTGAAAACATATTTGAGAGAATAATCGAGGAAAACTTCCCTAGCTTTGTGCATTAGTCAGGGTTATCTAGAGGGACAGAACTAACAGAATATATGTATATATGAAAGGAAGTTTATTAAGGAGAATTGACTCACATGATCACAAGGTAAAGTCCCATGATAGGCCATGTGCAAGTTGAGGAGCAAGGAAGCCAGTGATGGATCGGTCCAAGTCCCAAAACCTCAAAAGTAGGGAAGCCAACAGTGCAGCAGCCTTCAGTCTGTGGTCAAAGGCTCGAAAGCCACTGAAAAGCCATTGATGTAAGTCCAAGAGTCCAAAAGCTGAAGAACTTGGAGTCTGATGATTGAGGGCAGGAAGCACCCAGCACGGGAGAAAGATGAAGGCTAGAAGACTCAGCAAGTCTACTCTTCCATCTTCTCCTGCCTGCTTTATTCTAGCTGTACTGGCAGTTGATTAGATGTTGCCCACCCAGATCAAGGATGAGTCTGCCTCTTCCAGTTCACTTACTCAAATGTTAATGTCCTTTGGCAACACCATCACAGACACACCCAGGAACAATACTTTGCATCCTTCAATCCAATCATGTTGATACTCAATATTAACCATCACAAGTCCACCCCTTGTCAACTTGAACCCATACACATCAACTGAAATAATATATAACCTTCGAATAAAGACAATAATAAGGTCATAATTACACCTAATATAATACAGCTATCTTTTGTACACCAGAAGCACACTAATACTTAAGCTAAACGCTATTACATAAAGTTAACAACTTTATGTAATAGGAAGAAATAGAAACTCTGAACAGACCAATAACAAGCACTGAGATTAAAAGGGAAATTTTAAAATTGCCAAAAACAAAAAAAAGTTCAGGATGAGACAGATTCACAGCTGAATTCTATCACAGCTGTCTCTTCAATATACTGATTTCCATTCTTTTGGGTATATAGCGAGCAGGGGGATTGCTGGATCATATGGCAGCTGTATTTTTAGTATTTTGAGGAAACTCCAAATGGTTCTCCATAGTGGTTGTTCTAATTTACATTGCCATCAACAGTGTGTGAGAGTTCCCTTTTCTCTACATCCTTGCCAGCATTTGTTATTGCCTGTCATTTGGCTATAAGCCAATTTAACTGTGGTGAGATATCTCATTGTAGTTTTGATGTGTATTTCTCTGATGATCAATTATGTTAAGCACACCTTTTCATATGCCTGTTTTTCATTTGTATGTCTTCATTTGAGAAGTGTCTATTCAAATCTTTTGCCCATTTTTGGAACTAATTATTAGATTTTTTCCTATAGAGTTGTTTGTGTTCCTTATATATTCTGGTTATAAATTCTTTGTCAGATAGGTAGTTTTCAAATATTTTCTCCCATTAGGTGGGGTGTCTCTTCACTTTGTTGATTGTGTTGTATACTGTGCAGAAGTTTTTTAACTTGATGTTATCTCATTTTCCCATTTCTGGCTTTTGTTGCCTGTTCTTATGGGGAATTGTTTAAGAAATTTTTGCCCAGACCAATGTCCTGGAGAGTTTCCCCAATACTTTTTCATAGTAGTTTCATAGTTTGAGGTCTTAGATTTAAGTCTTTAATCCATCTTGATTTGATTTTTGTGTATGGTGATAGATGGAGATCTAGTCTTATTCTTCTGCTATGGATATCTAGTTTTCCCACCACCATTTACTCTCTTTTCCCCACTGTATGTTTTTGGCATCTTTGTTGAAAATGAGTTCATTGTAGGTATGTAAATTGGTTTCTGGGTTCTCTGTTCTATTCCATTGCTCTTTGTGTCTGTTTTTATGCCAGTCTGATGCTGTTTTGGCTATTATAGCTCTGTAGTGTAATTTGAAGTCATGTAATGTGATTCCTCAAGTTTTTTTGTTTTGTTTTTGTTTATGATAGCTTTGGCTATTCTGGGTCTTTTGTAGTGCCATGTAAATTTTAGGATTGTTTCTTCAATTTCTGTGACAAACGTCATTGGTATTTTGATAGGGATTGCGTTGAATCTTTAGATTACAGTCAATAATACTTTAATTGTACATTTAAAAATAAATGTACAAGTATAGCTGGGCATGGGGGTGCGTGCCTGTAGTCCCAGCTACTCGGGAGGCTGAGGCAGGAGAATCACTTGAACCTGGGAAGCAGAGGTTGCAGTGAGCCAAGATCGTGCCACTGAACTCCAGCCTGGTGACAGAGTAAGAGTTCGTCTCAAATAAATAAATAAATAAATAAAAAGGTTAATTGGATTGTTTGTAACACAAAAGATAAATGCTTGACAGGATGGATACCCAATTTTCCATGATGTGATTATGATGCATTGCATGCCTGTACCAAAATATCTCATGTAATCCATAAGTATATACACCTATTGTGTACTCACAAAAATTATAAATATTTTTAAAAATCATATGGTTACATTCATATACACAGAAAAAGCTTTCAATTAAATCCAATACTTTTTCATGATAAAAACCCTCAGAAAGCTAGGCATTGGAGGAGTATACCCAAAATAAGAGCCAACAATGACTAACTCACAGGCAACATCACATTGAACAGGCAAAAGCTCGAAACATTCCTCATAAAAATTGAACTATGACAAGGATGTCCACTCATACCACTCCTATTCAGGAAAGTAGTGAAAGTCCTAGCAAGAGCAATCAGGCAGGAGAAAGAAATGAAAGGTATGCAAATAGGAAAAGAATAAGTCTTTCTTCACAGATAATATGATGAAATAAAACCTAAAAACACCTAAAGACTCCACGAAAGGCTCGTGGACCTAATAAACGACCTCAGTAAAGTTTCCAGATACAACATCAATGTAAAAAAATTAGCAGCACTTCTATACACCAACAGTGTTCCAGCTGTGAGCCAAATCAGAACACAATCCTATTTACAATAGCTACACACAAAAAAGTACAGTATCTAGAAATACATCTAAGCAAGGAGGTAAAAAACTCTACAAGGAGTATCGGGGAATGTGCCCCCGATTTCACGTAGGTTCTTTTCTATTTTCCCTAAGCATCAGCCAGGTTGAGAAATAAAGGGACACAGTACAAAAGAGACAAATTTTAAAGCTGGGCATACGGGGGAGACATCACATGTCGGTAGGTTCCGTGATGCCCCCTGAGCCGTGAAACCAGCAAATTTTTATTAGTGATTTTCGAAAGGGGAGGGAGTGTACGAATAGGGTGTGGGTCACAGAGATCATGTGCTTCACAAGGTAATAGAATATCACAAGGCAAATGGAGGCAGGGCGAGATCACAGGACCACAGGACAGGGCGAAATTAAAATTGCTAATGAAGTTTCCGGCACCATTGTCATTGATAACATCTTATCAGGAGACAGGGTTTGAGAGCAACTGGTCTGACCAAAATTTATTAGGCGGGAATTTCCTTGTCCTAATAAGCATGGGAGCACTATGGGAGACTGGGGCTTATTTCATCCCTACAGTTTCAACCATAGAAGACGGCCACACCCAAGGGGGCCATTTTAGAGGCCCACCCTCAGGGGCGCATTCTCTTTCTCAGGGATGTTCCTTGCTGAGAAAAAGAATTCAGCGATGTGTCTCCCATTTGCTTTTGAAAGAAGAGAAATATGGCTCTGGTCCACCAGGCTCACCGGCGGTCAGAGTTTAAGATTATCTCTCTTGTTCCCTGAACATTGCTGTTATCCTGTTCTTTTTTCAAGGTGCCCAGATTTCATATTGTTCAAACACACATGCTCTACAAACAATTTGTGCAGTTAACACAATCATCACAGGGTCCTGAGGCAACATATATCCTCCTCAGCTTACGAAAATGATGGGATTAAGAGATTAAAGTAAAGACAGGCATAGGAAATCACAAAGGTATTGATTGAGGAAGTGATAAGTGTCCAGGAAATCTTCACAATTTATGTTCAGAGATTACAATAAAGACAGGTGTAGGAAATTATAAAAGTATTAATTTGGGGATCTAATAAATGTCCATGAAATCTTCACAATTTATGTTCTTTTGCCACGGCTTCAGCCGGTCCCTCTGTTTGGGGTCCCTGACTTCCCACAACAAAGGAGAACTACAAAACAGTGCTGAAAGAAATCATAGATGACACAAATGAATGGAAAAAATATTTCACACTCATGGATTGGAAGTGTCAGTATCTTTAAAGTGGCCATATTTCCCAATAGCCCCAAACAGCACAATACAGGTAAAAACAAACAAACAAACAAACAAACAAACAAAAATCAGATATATAGATCAATGAAACAGAACAGAGAACTCAGAAATAAAGCCACCTATCTACAATGAGCTGATCTTCAATAAACCCAGCAAAAATAAATAATGAGCAAAAATCTCCCTATTCAGAAAATGGGGCTGTTCTAACTCACTAACCACATACAGAAGAATGAAATTGGACCCCTGTTTATCACAATATACAAAAATTAATTCAAGATGGAATGAAGATTTAAATGTAGCACCTCAAACTATAAAAATCCTAGAAGAAAACCTAGGAAATACCTTTCTGGACATTGGCCTTGGCAAATAATTTATGATTAACTCCTCAAAAGCAATTACAACCAAAACAAAAATTGTCAAGAGAGGCCTAGTTAAACTAAAGTGCTTCTGCACAGCAAAATAAACTATCAACAGAGTAAATACTCAACTTACAGAATGGGAGAAAATATTTGCAAACTATCCATTCAGCAAAGGTCTAATATCAAGAAACTGGAAGAAACTTAAATCAGCAAGAAAATACAAATAACCTTATTAAAAAGTAGGCAAAGGACATGAACAGACACTTCTCCAAGGAAGTTATTTAAAAAGTAAAAAAAAAAAAAATAACAATGCTGGTAGGGCTGCCAAGAAAAGGGAACACTTATACAGTGTTGATTTCTTAAATAACCAAAAATAGAACTGCTGTTTGACACAGCAATCCCATTACTGGGTATATACTCAAAGGAAAATAAATAATTCTACCAAAACCACACATGTACTTGTATGTTTATCACAGCACTGTTTACCATAAGAAAGACATGGAATCATTCCAGGTGCCCATCAATGGTGGACTGAATAAAGAATATATGGCACATATACACCATGGAATACTATGCAGTCATAAAAAGAACAAAATCCTATTCTTTACAGTGACATGTATGCAGTTGGATGCCATTATTCTAAGTGAATTAACACAGGAAGCAGAAAGCCAAATATCACATGTTCTCCCTTATAAGTGGAAGCTAAACATTGGATGCACATGGACATAAATATGGGAACAATAGACAGTGGAGACAACAACAGTGGAGAGAGAAGGAGCGGGTAAGGGTTGAAAAACCACCTGTTGGGTACTATGCTCACTAACTGGGTGATGAGTTCAATCATACCCAAAACCTCAGCAGCATGAAATATAGCCTTGTAACAAACCTGCACATGTATACTCTTATTCTAAAGAAGTTGCAATTCAGAAAAAGAAACCCCACAAAAGTAGAGTTACAAAAAATAAAAAAATCATAGTACACAATTGATTCATGTCTTCATATTCTCATACTAACGTAAACATTGTTCCCTTATGTTCGACTTTTAGATTAACTGTAGGAAAAGCCTGGACAACTAAAATTCTGTTACTGCACAGTAGTATGTAAATGCTTTTAAATTTTGCAATGAATAAGTATAAGTATAGATTACAAATGTGAGAAAATGGAAAGAGGCAGGAGAACTCAAGGGAAAATGCTAGTGTTAATGTCCTCATCTTACAAGGTACAAATTGAGACTTTGTTTATGTTTGATGAACAAGACACAAGTGTACAAGTATATCATTTACGAAGACAATAAATATAGTTACTAATAAATAGAGACATCACTATATTTGTGTAGTATTTATATGATGGAGAATAAGTGAACTTATTCCTAAGCAATTATATCAGGAAGTCAAAAGATAATGTGTAAAACTGAGTCAAGATTTAACAATATAAGCAAATTAGAGACATAGAAGTAGCATTCAGAACTATTTAAGTGAAGTGTTTAAGAATGGTTCCCTCTGGAGTGGGGTAGAGCCTGGGATTGTTTTCATATTAAGTTCTCCTCTTTATTTGATTAAAACATATTATTTGATTTAAAACCACATTTTGAATGTATAAGTTTGAAAACATTTTTTAAATAAGCTAAAAATGATTACTGATAACTTACTAGTACAAATAAAATTAAGTCCTGAAAATATTCTATACATAAAGAGGTTCAAAAAAGTACATATTGTAGCACTGCCTCTATGGATGGTTATAAATGTATTTCATATTTTGCCTTCTTTTAGAGATAGAAAAATTTGAGTTTTAAGAAGGGGCTGAAAATTATCCCTTTAAGACGGAAAAAAATACCCTGATTATCACCTCTTAAATAATAATGGACATAGTAAGTGTCAATATCCATAGCTCCTCAGTGACTTAAACATATTCTTGAAAACCAGGAGACAACTGATGGGACTAAAAGGCAGTTAATTTAAAATGTGTAAACGGAATGGGCTTTTTGCAATAGATATGATTGACCTGTGTAATTTTCTGCTATAGTGTGTTACAGAGAAGAGTCATTTGCAGCTGGATTGAAACTAAATTTTGAATTTTCATGGTCAGGTAAACTTAAGAAAATAGCAGAAAGAAAATTAACTTGATAGGAAATGTGTCACTATAAAAATAACTATTAGAAAAATTATGCTAAACAATTATCAGATTGGGTACAGAAACCTTTACATTTTATTTCAAAAACTAATATATCGTGTCTCTGTTCTCTCTTCTTCAAACTTAGCCACAATTTGTAGAAAGAAACCCAATACAAAGAGAAACTTAATATTTTTCATTTGATAACAACTTTGGCTGGAAAATATAGAAAACACCAACACACATAGAGGTTATGTGTATCTCATTAGACTATCATTTTCTACTTGTTAGAGAGGGCACATTTTTTAGAAGAGATAGACATTTTCCTTATCACAACCACCAGTAAGTACATGGCAGAGAGGAAGAATGTATAATCCAAATCCAATATCTGAAAAACATTAAATTTGGCAAAATAGTTCGCAAACTATGCATCTGATAAAGGTCTAATATCCAGAATCTGTAAGAAACTTAAACAACTGAACAAGCAAAAACCAAATAACCCAATAAAAAAGTGGGCAAATTACATAGACACTTCTTAAAAGAACACATACAAACAGCCCATAAACATATGAAAGAATTCTTAACATTACTAATTATTAGATAAATGCAAATCAAAGCCACAATGAGATACCATCTTACATCAGTCAGAATGGCTGTCGCTAAAAAGTAAAAAAATAACAGATGCTGGAAAGGCTGCCAAGAAAAGGGAATGCTTATACACTGTTGGTGGGAATGTAAATTAGTGAAGCCACTATGGAAAGCAGTTTGCAGATTTTCAGATAATTTAAAAACAGAACTACTGTTTGACCCATCAATCCCATTACTGGGTATCCAAAGGAAAATAAAATTTTCTACCAGAAGGACACATGCACTCACATATTTTAATATGTTTACTTAACACATCAAGGTACTATAAAACTGAGCAATTCTTCTCCTAGGTATATATACTCAAGTTTATTGAAAACATATGTTAATACAAAAATCTGTACATGGATGTTTATAACACGGTGGCTCACGCCTGTAATTCCAGCACTTTGGGAGGCCGAGGTGGGCGGATCGCAAGGTCATGAGATCGAGACCATCTTGGCCAACATGGTGAAACCCTGTCTCTACTAAAAATACAAAAATTAGCTGGGCATGGTGGCGTGTGCCTGTAGTCCCAGCTATTTGGGAGGCTGAGGCAGGAGAATCACTTGAACCTGGGAGGCGGAGGTTGCAGGGAGCCGAGATCATGCCACTGCACTCCAGCCTGGGCAACAGAGCGAGACTCCGTCCAAAAAAAAAAAAACATTATTTATAATAACCAAAAAAAGTGAAAACCATGCAAATGCCCATGAACTGGTGAACAGATAAACATAATGTGGTATATCCATACAATAGAATATTATGCATCAATAAGAAGGAATAAAGTATTGATGCTACAACATGGATGAATCTTGAAATCATTATGGCAAGTGGAATAAGCCAGTTGAAAAAAATTCCCTACTGTATTATTTTTTATATAAAATGTCAAGAATAGGCAAATTCAAAGAGAGAAAGCAGGCTAGTAATTTTCAGGGGGTATGAACAAAGTGAGTGTATGGGATTTCATTTTGGGTAATGAACATTTTCTAAATTTAAATAGCGATGAGGTTACACAACTCTGTGAATATAGTAAAACCATTGCATTATACACTTTAAAATAGTGAACTTAGTGTTATATGAATTGCATTTCAATAAACTATTATAAAATAATGAAGTTATTCAATTTTTTATCAATATAGATTATATAAAAGCATGCATTAGTAAAATAAGTAACGGTCAATTTAATTATTTTTGTGGTTAATATCTAAACAAGTTAAGAATGTAGTTTCAACTAGGCCAATCTCTGAGGGCTGAGATAATTTTATGAATTACTAGTTTGGTATCAACTTGTATTAAAAAATAATTTGTTCATGCATAAGAGATATTCACTAGAAAATAAATGGTATAAAATAGAAACAGCCATTAAAATAAATTGCAGCATTACCCATTTACAAATATATATCTCCACATACATTCAACTACATTCTAGTATGCAATTAGAAATGAAGAGCTTTTACAATACATCCATTAGACCATTCCAGGGATAACTGAGGGATATGACACATACCATGTGATTACTCAGAACCATCCAAAACATTAATTAACTCACTAGTAATATGTTTTTGAGATCTCAACAACAAATAGTTAATGCAAAAATAATGGAAAAATATATAACTCAGATCAAAAGTATTGCTAAATGAATACAGAATAATGATTAATGAAATCATTACCAAGGTGGAGTTATAAGAAGCATTAAGGATGAAGCTGGAAACCATCATTCTCAGCAAACTATCGCAAGGACAAAAAACCAAACACCGCATGTTCTCACTCATACATGGGAATTGAACAATGAGAACACATGGACACAGGAAGGGGAACATCACACACCGGGGCCTGTTGTGGGGTGGGAGGAGGGGGGAGCGATAGCATTAGGAGATATACATAATGTTAAATGGTTAGTTATTGGGTGCAGCACACCAATATGGCACATATATACATATGTAACTAACCTGCACGTTGTGCACATGTACCCTAAAACTTAAAGTATAAAAAAAATTTAAAAAAAGGAACATAGTGAATGTTGATTCACAATAGAATGTCTTTAGAGAAAAGTCATCATATTGTGAACAAGTTAAATATATTTTGATGATGTTTTTTGTTTGGTGCTCTATGAAATCATTATTTTTAAATCAAATTCCAGCTTAATATCAAAATCTTTGTTTTTAAAAATGCCAGTTCCTCTTATTTGTACAATATTGATGCTCTTCCTTGCATTCTGCCCTAACCAGAAGTCTCTGGCTAACCTAATTTCTCAGTTGCAGCACTGGAATAAACCATTTCAACAAGGAACCATAGTGCTTTTTAATTGGCAATAGTATTTAGAAATCAAGATCTGGGGACTAGGTGTGCTTATTGTTAGTAGTGCCTTTACTTCTTTTAAATTTTCTATCTTAAATTGTAAATTGAAAAGTTATACCTGCATATATTTATGGGGTACAAAATAATGTTATGATTTAAGAATACATTGTGAAACAATTAGATTAAGCAAATTAACATATCTGTCACATCAAATACTTATACACCTTGCCTGGCTTATTTCACTTAGCATAATGTTCTCCAATTTCATTTATGTTGTTAAAAAGGACAATATTTTTTCTTAAGGCTGAATAGTATTCCATTGTGTATATATACCACATTTTCTTTATCCATTTGTGTTGATGGACACCTAGGCTGATACCATAATGGCTATTGAGAATAGTGCTGCAATGAACATGGGAGTCCATACACCTCTTCAACATGCTGATTTCAAATGTTTGGGGTAAACATCCAGAAATTAGATTGCTGGATCATATGATAATTCTGTTTTTAGTTTTATGAGAAACCTCCATATAGTTTTTCATAATGTCTGTACCAATTTATATTCCCATCAACAACGTACAAAGTTTCCTTGTTTTCAACAACCTTGCCAATACCTATTACCTTTTGTATTTTTGATAATAACCATTCTGACAGATATGAGGTGATATTTAATTGTAGATTTAATTTGCATTTTCCTAATGATTTGTGATGTTGAGCACTTTTTTTGTGTTTGTATTGACTGTATGAATCCTGAGAAATATTTATTCAGATGTCTTGCCCATTTTAAAATTGGATTATTTGTTTTATTTATATAGAGTTTTTTGAGTTTCTTATATATTTTAAATGTTCACTCCTTATTAGATGCATGGATTGGTGTCATATATTCAAGGCCTTTAGTGGAAGAGGCTGGAAAATACATTAATGGTAACAAAGAAAATCATACATTCTTATTTATATGCTCAACTAAAGTTAAACATTACATCAACTTTTCTGAACGTGTTTTTTATATCTGTATGCATTTTCTCTTAGATTCTTGGCAAAGATTTAACACAAACTATTTGATTTAGCTTATAAAATATATGATAGTTTTAAAATTGCAATGCCAATGTTGCCACTAAGAGTTAGATTAATAAGATGTTATTTTTCTCTGCCTTTTAAGACTTGTCCTTAAAATATATCCCACTAAAGATGTTCACTATCAATATTATGTTCAAAATTTACTTGAAACAGTTACTTTTCTGTGGCGTTGTATTATTAATTTGATTTGCAGTTAAGTTTATTTTGGCTTGTTTTCAATTGTAGGGTAATTATACTTTGAAAATATAAAATAAATGGTTCAAAAGCTTAAAAGAATATGAGAATATATATTCATAGAAGTCTTACCTCTATATCTACCTATAAGTAACATTTCTCCAGGTGAACTGTAGGAGGAATTGCATATGATATACTAAAGTAGGTCCAAGTATGTTTAAGTAAACTTAAGTGCCCTAGACAGACAAATAGTGGTTATTAGTGGATAAATTAATAACAAGGGGGATAATTATATCTGTCAAAATAGACTGTAAGAAATCATGAGATCAACATAATCATGGAGGAGTGAGTAGATCAACATGTTCCACTTTCTATCATATAAATTCCAGGTGATATCATACAGATTAAAATGGATTTCATGTTCTGTACCAGTTGTTCTAAATAATTTGTTTCTTAATGTTTTATAGTGGAAATGCATAAGCAAGCACACATGTGACTGCATAATAGTGAATCAAAGACGATTCATTTTCTGCATGCTGGCTTTAAGTGTAAATAGATGTGGGTCCACAGATGTTCTTTGTTACAGAAATCTGAGATCTAGGGGAAAATTATTCTGAATGAGGCAGAAAAGATACTATTGAATAACAACTCTCTAATAAGCTATGAGGGTGAATATCAATAAATATTGACTGTATGAAATAACAAAAGTAAAAATATGTTGCATTGAAAGTATATGATGATCTGGCCAGGCGCGGTGGCTCATGCCTGTAATCCCAGCACTTTGGGAGGCTGAGGCGAGCGGATCACGAGGTCAGGAGATTGAGACCATCCTGGCTAACATGGTGAAACCCTGTCTCTACTAAAAATACAAAAAATTGGCCGGGCATGGTGGCGAGTGCCTGTAGTCCCAGCTACTCAGGAGGCTGAGGCAGGAGAATGGTGTGAACCCGAGAGGTGGAGCTTGCAGTGAGCCGAGATCGCGCCACTGCACTCCAGCCTGGGTGACAGAGTGAGACTTCGTCTCAAAAAAAGTAAAATAAATAAATAAAAGTATATGATGATCTAAAGTACAGACAATTATAAGAGTGACAGAGGAAAAAAAGACCTTACTTTTTTTAGAAGTGATAAAAGTATTTATATTATACACTAGTATGTCAAGGATACATTTTGTTATCTTTAGAGTAAAATGCTAAAATGATAATAAAGAAATGTGTAAGTACCAAGGTAATCATAAAAATATTGACACAATGGAAGGCAGAAAAAGATACAAGTGAAGAAAAAGTTGCACAAATAGAAAATAAATACTAAGATGATGATGAAGAGTAATTATTCTAGTAAATACATTAAAAATTGAGTAAACATTCCAATTATCAGAGAATTATCAGAGTAAATTTTCAAAAGGACAAAGAGCATTATGTGCTACCTTTAAGAGATACTCCTTAAACATAAATAAAGAAATGTTGAAAGTAGCAGGGTGTAAAATGATACACCATGGAAAATACACCATGGAAACACTAAGTAAAAGAAAGATAGTGAGTTTTTTTACTAATATCAGACAAAGTAGATTTTGTACCAGAAGAATTATTAAATATGAAGATATTTTATAATGATAAAAAGGGCAATCCATCAAGAGGATATAGTAATTATAAATTTATATTTACCTAGTAACATACTATCTAAACATGTAATGTGTAAATAGACAGAATTAAAATGAGAAATAGACAAGTTCATAATCACAAAGGGAGATTTTAAAGACATATCTCTGTAACTAATATAAAAGCAAAACCTGCAATTACATGTGCACCAACCTAATAGAAGATGTCATGTAGAAAGAAAGGAACATTTTAGAACTGAAAGATACATTAACTGAAATAGAAAAGAAAATCACTGGATAGGCTTAGTATCAGCACGGACATGACATAAGAAAGAGTCATTGAACTTAAATCAAGTAGAAATTCTGGGGGTGAAAAATGCAATTGACATGCTGAGAATACATCAGAGTCTCTCAGCAGCAGAATGGATCAAGGGGAAGAAAGAATTACTGAACTTGAAGACAGGCTATTTAAAGATACATAGCCAGAGGAGACAAAAGAAAAACTAATAAGAAAGAATGAAGCATACCAACAAGATCTAGAAAATAACCTCAAAAGGGCAAGTTTATGAGTCATTTGCATTAAAGAAGAGGTAGAGAGAGAGAGAGCTCACAACAGAAATTATATTCAGAGAGATAATAACAGAGAACTTTCCAAACTTAGAGAAAGTAATATTCAAGGACAAGAAAGTCATAGGACACCAAGATTCAACCCAAATAAGACTACAATAAAACTTTTAAATAATCAAACTCCTAAAGGTCAAGGATAAAGAAAGAATCTTAAAAGCAAGAAGAGAAATACAACAACATATAAAAGGGCTCCAATGCATCTGGCAGCAGACTTCTTAGTGGAGACCTTATAGGCCAGGATAAAGGAGCATAACATATCCAAAAGGATAAATTAAATGCTGCTAAAGGCAAACATTTTTTACCTTAGAATATAATATTCAGTGAAAATATTCTCCAGACATTAAGAAGTAATACTTTCCCAGACAAAAAGAAGCTAAGGGATTTAATCAACACCAGATCTGTCTTACAAAAAATGCTAAAGGGAGTTCTTCAGTTTGAAAGAAAAGAACATTAACAAGTAGTAAGAAATCATCTGAAGGTTAAAAAAAATCATTGTTAATAATAAGTACAAAAACAAATACAGAATATTATAATACTGTAATTGTGTATAAATTACTTATATTTTGAGTAGGAAGACTAATAGATAAATGTATCAAAAACACTATCTACAGCAACTTTTCAAGACATAGACAGCATAAGAAGATATAAATAGAAAAAAAGTTAAAAAGCAGAGGGATGAAATCAAAGTGTAGAGTTTTTATTAGTTTTCTCTTTGCTTTTTTTTAGTTTCTTTATCCAATTGGTGTTCAGTTTTTGTCAGTTTAAAATAATGGGTTTTAAGATGATATTTGCAAGCCTCTTGGCAACCTCAAATCCAAAATAAGAAAAACTACAATACACAAAACACACACAAAAAACACAAAAGTTAAAACGTTACCACCAGAGAAAATTACTTTCATAAAAGGGAGCACAGGAAGAAAGGAAAGAAGGAAGGAAGGGAGGGAGGGAGGGAGGGAGGAAGGAAGGAAGGAAGGAAGGAAGGAAGGAAGGAAGGAAGGAAGGAAGGGAGGGACAAAATAACCAGAAAACAAACAACAAAATGACACTGGTAAGTTCTTACTTATCAACAATGCCATTGAATGTAAATGGACTAAACTCTCCAATCAAAAAACAGAGTTGCTGAATAGATAAAAGAAACACACATCACCTATAAAGATATATATAGAATGAGAATAAAAAGATGGAAGAAGATACTTCATAGCAATGAAACCAAAAAGAACAAGAGTTTCTATACCTATATCAGACAAAATAGATTTCAAGATAAAAACTGTAAGAAGAGACAAAGATCACTACATAATGATAAAGGGGTCAATTCAGCAAGAGGATACAACAATTTTGAATATATATGCACCCAATACTGCAGGACACAGATATATAAAGGAAATATTATTACAGCTAAAGAGAGAGATGGGCTCCATTACAATAATAGCTGGAGATTTCAACACCCCACTTTCAGCATTGGACAGATCCTTCAGACTGAAACTCAACAAAGAAACATCAGACTTAATCTGCATTATAGATCAAATGGATCTAATAGATATTTACAGAACATTGTATTCAATGGCTGTTAAGTACACATTCTTGTCTTTAGCACATGGGTCATTTTCAAGAATAGACCATGTGTTAGATCACAAAACAAGTCTTAAAACATTAAAGAAAATGAAATTACATCAGGCATGTTCTCTGATCACAATGGAATAAAACTACAAATCAACAACGAGAGGACTTTTGGAAACTATACAAACAAATGGAAATTTAAAAATATGCTCCTGAATGACCAATGGTTCAGTGAAGAAATCAAGAAGGAAATTCAAAAATTTCTTGACACAGA
Organism: Homo sapiens; assembly: GCF_000001405.40. NCBI lineage: Eukaryota > Metazoa > Chordata > Mammalia > Primates > Hominidae > Homo > Homo sapiens. The sequence continues at coordinate 125,560,949 of NC_000023.11, forward strand.
TGATGATGGAAACACAACATACCAATACCTATAAAATGCAGTGGAAGCAGTACTAAGAGGCAATTTTATAGCTATAAGTACCTACATAAAAACTAGAAACTTCAAATAAATAAACTAATGATGCATCTTAAGGAAGTAGAAAATCAAGAACAAACCAAACTCAGAATTATAGCAATAGAAATAATAAAAATCTGAGCAGAAATAATGTATTTGAAATGAATAATACAATACAAAAGGTTAATAAAAAAAAGTTGGTTTTTTTAAAAGTTCAACAAAATTGACAAACCTTTAGCCAGACTAATGAAGGCAAAGAGGGAGAAGACTCAGATAAATAAAATCAGAGATGAAGAGGGCCAAATGGCTGACTACAAGCAGATAGTGTGTGCCCCTCTCATGGAGAGAAAAAAAGAGTGGCAAGTAAATACTAACTCTTCAACTGGAATATCCAGGTGGACATATTGGTATTCATCAAGGAAACAACTCAATTCACAGAGAATAGAGAGTGAGACAGGATGACTGCCCACCTAGGGATGGCACAGAGACAGAGGAGGACCCCCACTGTGGGGAAATGGTGTATGAGTAAGAGTCCCAAAAGACCCACACTTCTTCCACGGACTTTTGAAACTTGGGCTCAGGAGATTTCCCATGAGCCTCCCCACCAGGTCCTCCAGACTGACATAGGCAGCTATATGGAGTGTGATCAGAGCTGCTGTCCAGACACACATGGAGTTCCAAGAGTCTTAGATCTCTGGGCAGCCTGACACTAGCAGCTGTAGCTCTGGCAATGGGGGAGGTCAGGCTCCCATGTATGCCCCCAGGAAAGTAGTCAAATTCAAGAGGCTGAGCAGCAGTGAATTGCAGGTTTCACCTCCACTGCACCTCACAGGATAAGGCTTATTGGCCTGGGACCTCAATGTGGCCACAGCAGCCATATCTGGGCTCTCAAGCTGGTAATAGCTGTGCACTCCCCTGGAACAGGGCTCTCAGATGAAGAGGCAGGCTGCGATTTTTGCTGCCCCACAGCCCTTGCCACTGTCACTCAGGCTCTGGAGGGTGCATTATGATTTGATACTGGCACAGATTCCCAGCACAGTGCAGCCACCCCATGGAAAAGTGGCCAGAATATTTTCCAAGATTGTCACCATTCCCACTTCTCCTCACTGGGCAGGGACTCCCGACCTGAGATTCCAGAGCAACTGTTGCAAGACTTTTCCTTAATTCAGCTAAAGTTGGGGTCCTTGTCACACGGCCATGAGCTATTAGTCTCACAATTTGAAGGATGAATAGGGTCAGATTTTATTCAGTGAAAACAAAAAAAGAAAGAAAAGGGGAAACAGAGACCTTTAGCAAAATGAGACAATGTGTTTCCTGCCAGTGGGCTTCCCACCTCCCAGATTGAATCCCAGGTTCCACCTAGAAAGAGGAGGGGCCAGGCTCCTCCCCACTGCAAAAAGTGTGAACTTCTGTGGCTCCACCCCAGTGTGCACTCCTTCCAGTGCACAGGCTAGTTAGTGTTTTTATGGGGATTCCTTCCCATCTGTCTGTCTCATTGCCACCTCTAAAGAAGTACATCTAACTGCTGTTGGAATAAGAATAAGGATAAGGATGAAGACTAATCTTAACTGCTTCCTGCTGACAGGGGGTGCTGTTTTGAGAAAATGGCAGTCAGATCCCCCTTGGAGGCCTATCTAAGGGTTCCCAGAAGAAAAGGCCATTGTCCAAGGCTCTGGTTGCATGAACTTTTGGAGGTTGATAGCCTGAAGACAAGAAAAGACAGACAAACTGTGTTGTTAGAAAGCGTGTCAAAATGAAACAAGGGGAGGGATAAGAACAAATAAAAAATGATGAGGCATTTTACCAGTTGCACAGGGAGAGGGAAGCCAAAAGCCTGACTGGTAAAAAAACAAAAAGAAAAAAATAAAAAAAAAACAAAACAAACAAAAAAAAACTGTACCTTTTGCTGGGATGTTTGGTTTCTGGGTTTCTTCCCCTGAGCCAAATAATAAGCCAATCAGTTTAAGATTTGGGAAATTAACTCTTTCCAGTTTGGAGGATGCATCTGAGGGGAATGTTGTATAGTATGGAGGCACAATTACCTGTCTGTGAAGAGAGAACCAAGGGGGAGAAAGGAAAAAAGAAGGCATTTTTTCAAAGGATTCCCAGGGTTTCAGCATGCATTCGAAAGGGGTACAGACTGAAGATGAATGGCCAACCATCTAGAAAGAGAGGATCAGGCATCTGTGGTTCCCATCTCTTCCTAGCAGATAACAGCGTACATGAGGGAGAGAAGGAAGAGTGTCCTCTTTCCCTCTTCTGTCCTTGCATTTCTGAGTCCTGGTGACCTTGGAAGGCACCACGATGGGTGCCAAAGCAGCTTGCACCCATGAAGCAGGGGGGTCTAGGGGTTGGAAATTATCAGCTCTACCCACCTATGCCCTATATCCCCTGCTGTCAGTAGCCTTGAATTCCCTAGACTTCATTTATGCCATCGATACTAACATGACCTTTATCCATGAATTGGGAAGATTGGCTTGATCGTCAGGAATCAGCCACACTCACCTGCACTGTGTCTTTTAACTTCTGTTATCATCTGCCCCTGGATCCCTAAGATCCAGTTTTACATTCTAGGGCTTTGGCCCAAAGCTTGGAATTGAGTTTGGAACAGAAATGTCTCTTGGGAGCAGGGGGAGGAGGGGGGTTCGGGGTTGCATGGACTCCTTATCATAAGCTGAATGCTAAGGTGAAGTTGTGGAATTGAGTCCTCCTCCAACAAGGGAGCAAAAATAATGTTTTGTGACACACCCAGATAACTGGTGGCTATAGTTATGCTTGCTAAGACTTGGGTGCATGGTGCTTGGCTTTTGTTAGCGCCCTTGGTCTTACTTTCCCAAAAAGGAAACCTCCAAGTGATGGGCATCCTATTTATTTCCATCACCCGGCAGGATTTGCAGGATAATTGCTCAGAACTAGAATATTGATCCAGATTTTTACTTTACACATCCCTTTTCTTCTTTCTGACCTGCAGCCAGAGATTGCTGGTTGGTTCACAGGAACAAGCAGGGTTAGACTAAAAATGTAGGCAAACACTTAAAAACAATTAATGAGTCTAGAATTTAATGACAAATGCATGATAACTTTTGAAACATAATTTCTCTCTCCAGTCCTCATTTTTGTTAAAAAAAAAAAAAAGAAAAAAAACATGATAGGACTGAGTTGTTTGCAAAATATACTTTAGTCTTAGCCTGATTATTTGCACAAAGTGCAGCAAGAATAACTATTTCTACATAGGCCTTTTAGACTGGCTTTGATGGAACTCTGTTCCACAAGGAATCTCAGATAAGACCTTTTAAAGCTGAGCCCAGCCATGGGCTTGTATCCTCAAATACTTGTGAGTTGGGTGATTCTTTCCTCTTGAGGGCCCATAATAAACTTGAAGCTCCTGGACCTGTCAGAAAGTGACATTCTTTACTTACCACAGGTCAGGAACCCTGTACAGGGACTGCATAGGCAAGGGTGTGAGACCAGTCTTCCCACGGGGCTTTTATTGGCTCTTCATGTCAAGATTGTCTCCTTAAAGGGAAACATACCCTTCCAGTCAAAGTCTTGATAAAATAACGACTTTCTCCAATTGGGTCCTGTTGCAAAAGATGCAAACAACTGTACTGCCATAGGTTAAGAATACTCGCAGATAGTTTTCAAATTCTAGAGGAACCATGCAGAGAGAAACAAACATGCTCCAAATTTTGTTCACAGGCGTATACCTTACTCAATTATTAAAGGTTGTAAATAGCTCAAAATAAGTTTCCTTGACTCCAATAAACAGAACTAAGATTAGCAATATTCCAAGCAAAAGTTAAAAAGTTGTTTCAGCTTTCTGAGTTTAGTTCATTTAGTTCTTGCTTTGCTTGATATTGGTGAACATTTTAGCTCTTCATGAGTTCTGTAAATTTTCCTATATTTCAATGTTACAATCTCCAAAATTATTAGAAACCTGTATTTGAGAGCACTTGTCAGAGTCCTGTAGCTTATTATAAACCATCATTTGAAAAGGATTAAACCAAGACAACAGTTGTCTGTGAATAGCAAAATGTCCAGGGCAGTTACGGTTAGAAACACAATTGTTTATCTCTGTGGTTTACAATAACATAACAACCTAATTATGATTGATAGCATATACTCTGACATTAGAATTTTAGAAATCCCATACAATTTTAGAACCTATATTAGCAGTATCTACCAAAATACAACTAAAGAAGATTGAACATTATTTTGGCAATTTCATGTAACTAAGCATGTCAAATAATCCTGTTTAGCTCTTTTCTAGATGTTTCAGGGGCTCTCTGATCCATCTAAAAAGCCAGGCATGAAGAAAGACAATACTGAAACTGAAGTTTGATTTTGGGAAGGCTGTTAAATACGTTTGAGATCTAAAACACTTGATATTATGAAATAGAATTGCAGATTACCATGTTGTTTATTTTACAAAAATGATGACTCAAAAATTTTAAAGAAGCAAGAATCTTTTATAACCATTTACAAATTTTGCCAAAGAGAAGATTAGCACCTTAGGAATACCTTGTTGTGCTTTTATTTTAATGTTCAATTTATAGAAAAACCATATAATACCTTTTTTGAATTTAGTCAGTATGTTCACACAGACAACCTCTTCTGCAAGATTAATTTTTTGAAACCTTCCACCACTTGTTTGAACTTTTAGCTTTATCTTGTGTAATTTAAAACAATCCTTTAACCCTAGGCAAAAATCTACATTTCCACGCCTTCTTATAACCTTTTACAAAAAATTAAAAGAAAAAAAGCCAGGTGCGGTGGCTCATGTATGTAATCCCAACACTTTGGAAGGCTGAGGTGGGCAGATCATCTGAGGTCAGGAGTTCAAGACCAGCCTGGCCAACATGGCAAAACCATGTCTCTACTAAAAATACAAAAATTAGCCGGGTGTGGTGGCAGGCACCTGTAATCCCAGCTACTTGGGAGGCTGAGGCAGGGAGAATTGCTTGAACCCGGGAGGCAGAGGTTGCAGTGAGCTGAAATCGTGCCATTGCACTCCAGCCTGGGTGACAGAGTGAGACTCTGTCTCAAACAAACAAACAAACACAAAAAAACCCACCACATTTTACTTTTCTTACATACCTTGTATGTAAATCTATTTTCAGTAGTCTCAATTACATGTAATGGTAACTCCTAGAGATTTTTAACTTTGATGCAAAACCTGGTAAGTTGTCTTAATTGTGTGCTAGGTGTAGCCAAAGTTTGACTCCCAGCATAATTAAGGGCATGGTTAGCTCCGTATGTCCCCAGGCCTTACCAGTTGTGAAGCCAGTAAGTCAAATAGTTCTCAAAACCCAAAAGGCAGTTTATAACCTTAAAACATGTAGCAAACCTTGCATCTGACCTGCATAATTTAGTCCACCTATTTACATTTTGACAACACCTGTTTTTACCAATAATCTTTAAGGCTTTTTCTTTATTATTCATAGATTAAAATCACATGAACTGAAAGGTACCATAGCTTTTATCTTCCCTTAAAAAATATTTGATTCAAGTGCTTGTCTTTCTTTAGGCCAAATTAATTAGAGCTCTTTTTTGCAGATATCATACACAACACATATATAGTTACACAGACAGGCAGAAAAAAAACCCAGTTCCTGGGTGGGTCCCTTTAAGAGACAGGGGTAGGAAAACTTGCAGATATTAAACCAGAAACAGACTCATTCCTTAAGTCAGGATTGCTAAACAAAGTCTTGCCATGGAGTTACAGGCCATACTTCCAGGATGTAAAAAAAAGATGGAGGCCTGCAGCAAAGTTTTCTATGAACCGTACAGACATGCAAAGCACACCAGATTGGCTACAGCTTAAGACCAGTCTCACACATCCTTTTTCACAATTAAAGCTTTACAGAGAATATAAACAGTGACCCTTATCATTCCTAGCCTAGCAAAACATCTTCCAAAAGGAAACAAACAAACAAACAAACAAACTTGCTTAAAAGTTAACTGCTGACAGGGTGTAGAAAGAGCAGAAAAAAACAGTTTACAAATGTCCAGGGATGAACCTCTTATTTTTATGCAAGTGGATCCTCCATCAGGAAGAGAAACTTAATTGCTGTAAGATGGTGCTAGCCTCCCTGGCCTGGAGAGAAAGAGACCCCATGGACATGTGGCAGAAAACATCAGCGATGCCCCTGGGGTGCCTTGGGCCATGTGTCCCATCCCCAGCAGGGAGGGGAAGGAGGCAAGAGCCACTGTTCATCAGTCCATCCTGAAAAAGGAAGAAAAAGGTCATGGAAAGGCCCCCGACCCCCGGGAGTGATGGGGGTGGGGGCATGGTTTCCCTTACCCTCAGCAGTCCAAGGATGAAAAGGCTTAGAAACAAGAGGGGAAATGATTTCTTGGTTTGCATCTCACTCACCACTTCTCGAGCCCCCACATTCCATGCCAAAATGTTGTGGTACTTTTCTTCAGTTCAGCTAAAGATGGGGTCCTTGTCACACAGCCAGAAAAGATTAGGCTTGCAGACAATTTGAAGGGTGAGACTAATTGGACATATTGGGCAAAAAGGTTGAAAACGGGGAAGAGGAACCCAACAGAGTGAGAGTTCTTCTAGTATAGGCTTCCCACCTCACAGATTGAATCCCAGGTACCACCCAAGAAGAGGAGGGGCAGGCTCTCCCGACTGCAAAGGGCACAAACTTCTGTGGCTCCACCCCAGTGCACACTCCTCCCAGTGCGTAGGCCAACTGGAGTTTCTCTGGGGACTCTGTCCCTCCTGGCTGTCTCACAACTATTCTGCTCCTGCCTGAACAGTTCTCTGAAGAATATATCCCAGAAGCAACCCACAGCTCCTCCATTATTGCAGCTGCAGTTGTGATGCCCTAACCACCACTGGGCTGAGGAAGGAATAAAGGGCTTGGTTGCTATGCTTGCACCTGTGGCACACTGCAGCCACCATATGGAGAGAGGACAGTTTCTCTTTTCTGGGAGCCCTTAACCCTCATTCTTCACCAAGAATGGTCCGCAGCTCAGGACCTTCAGCTAAGCATACGCACTGCCAGTGTCACTGTGTTTCTTTGGTAAGGATATTCCAAAGCCAACAAAAAGCCCCATCTCACTGCCATGTTCGTGGTTCCTCCCCTGTTGCCCTCTGTCAGGGGGAGGAACAAAGAGCCTGAGGGCTTCACCTGTACTTCCACCATGCTAGAGTTGCCATATGGAGAGGAGCCCAGTCTCTCTGTGAGCCCTCAACCTCCTGCTCTTCAAAGATAAAAAATCTATGACTAACTGGTGTCCTTGAAAGAGATGGGTAGAAAGCAAGCAACTTGGAACACATATTTCAGGATCTTATCTATAAAAATTCCCCAACCTCACTAGAGAGGCCAAATTCTGGAAATGTAGGGAACTCCTGTAAAATACTACACAAGAAGACCATTCCCAAGACACGTAATTCTCAGATTCTCCAAGGTTGATATGAAAGAAAAAATGTTAACAGCAGCTATAGAGAAGGGGCAGATCACCTAAAATGGAAATCCCATCAGGCTAAAAACAGACCTTTCAGTAGAAACCCTACAAGCCAAAAGAGACTAGGGGCCTATATTCAGAATACTTAAAGAAAATAATTTTCAACCAATAACTTTATAATCAGCCAAACTAAGCTTTGTATGTGAAGAAAAAATAAGATCTTTTTCAGACAAGCAAAGGCTGAGGAAATTTGTAACCTCTAGTCTAGCCGTACAGGAGGTCCTGAAAGAAGTGCTTAACATGGAAAGGAAAGATGGTTACCAGCCACTACAAAAACACACTTAAGTACATAGACCATTGACACCATAAAGCAACCACATGAACAAGTCTGTATAATAATCATCTAACAACATGATGACAGGATCAAATCCGCACATATCCTTATTAACCTTGAATGTAAATGGGCTAAATGCCCCAATTAAAACGCTTTGCACAGAGTGGCAAAGCAAGACCCAATATAGGTATGCTGACTTTAGGAGACCCATCTTACATGCAATGACACCCATAACCTCAAAATAAAGGGATGTAGAAAATCTACCAAGCAAAAAGAAAAAAGGTTGGGTTGCTATCCTAATTTCAGACAAAACAGACTTTAAACCAGTAAAGATCAAGAAAGATAAAGAAGGGCATTACATAATGGTAAAGGGTTCAATTCAACAAGAAGACTTAACTATCCTAAATATGTACATACCCAAAAGAGAAGCATTTAGATTCATAAAGCAAGTTCTTAGAGATCTATGAAGAGTCTTAGATTTTTACATAATAATAGTGTGAGATTTTAACACCCAACTGACAGTACTAGACAGACCATCGAGGCAGAACATTAACTATGATATTCAAGGCCTGAAGTTGACACTTGAACAAATGCACCTCATAGGCATCTATAGAACTCTCCACTCAAAAACAATAGAATATACATTCTTCTCATCAGCACATGGTGAATACACTAAAATAGGCCACATAATTGAACATAAAAAAATTCTAAACAAATTTTAAAAAACTGATATCACACCAACCACACTTTCAGAAAACAGCACAATAAAAATAAAGAACAATAATAGGGAATGCACTCAAAACTATAAAATTACATGGAAATTAAACAACCTGCTCCTAAAGGACTTCGGGGTAAATCATTTAATTAAGGCAGAAATCAAGAAAACCTTTGAAACTAATGAGAACAAAGATACAACATATTAGAATCTCTGGGACACAGATAAGTCAATCTTAAGAGAAAAGCTTATGTCACTAAATGTCCACAACAAAAAATTAGAATAATCATAAATTAATAACATCATAAGACACATAAAGGAATTAGAGAAACAATAGTAAACCAATCCCCAAACTAGAAGAATGGAAAGCAAAATCAGAGCTGAACTAAAAAGCCAGAAAAAGCATACAAAAAAACCATACAAAAGATCCACACATCCAGGAATTGGTTCTTCGAATATATTATTAAGAAACATAGACTACTAGCTAGACTACTAAAAATAGGGAGAAGATCCAAAAAAAACTCAATCAGAAATAAAAAAGGGGACATTATCATTGACCCCGCAGAAATTAAAAAATGAATACAACTCTCAGAGACTACTAAAAACACCTCTATGCACACAAACTTGAAAACCTAGAAGAAATGGTTAAATTTGTGGACACGTACAATCTTCAAAGACTGAACCAGGAAGATGTGGAATTCCTGAACAGACCAATAATGAGTTTGAAAATTGAATCAGTAGCCAAAAGGCTACCAACCAAAAAAAGCTCAGGACCAGATGACCGAACAGCTGAATTCTACAAGATGTATAAAGAAGAGATGGTATCATTCCTACTGAAACTATTCCAAAAAAATGGGGAGGAGGAACTCCTCCAAGACTCACACAATGAGGCAAGCATCATCCCAATAACAAAACCTGGCTGAAACACAACAAAAAGAAAACTTCAGGCCAATATCCTTGATGAACATCAATGCAAAAATAGTTTAAAAAATACTAGCCCACCAAATCGAACAGACATCAGAAAGCTAATCCACCACAATTAAGTAGGCTTTATTCCTGGGATCCAAAGAGGGTTCAACATATGCAAATCAATAAATGTGATTAATCACATAAACAAAACTAAAAAAATATGATTATCTAACTAGATGCAAAAAAGCCTTCTGCTAAAATTCAACATTCCTTCATGTTAAAAACCCTCAACCAATAGGCGTTGAAGGAACACACTTCAAAATATTAAGAGGCATCTATGCCAAACCTACAGCCAATATCATATTGAATGGAAAAAAGCTGGAATCATTCCTATTGAAAACTAGGACAAGACAAGGATGCCATCTCTTACCACTCCTATTTAACATAGTACTTGAAGTCATGGTCTGAGCAATCAGGCAAGAAAAGACATAATAGGAATCCAGTTAAGAAGAGAGGAAATTTAACTCTTCCTGTTTTCTGATGATATAACTGTATACCTAGAAAATCACGTAGTATCTGCCTAAAAGCTCATTGATCTAATAAATAACTTCAACAAAGTTTCAGGATACAAAATCAGTGTACAAAAATCAGTAGCATGCCTATACACCAAAAACATCCAAGCTGAGAGCCAAATCAAAAATGTACTTCCATTCACAATTGCCATAAAAGAATAAAATACCTGTGAATACAGCTAATTAAGGAAGTAAAAGATACCTATAATAAGAATTAGAAAACATTATTCAAAGAAATCAGAAATGATATAAACAAATGGAAAAACATTTTATGATCATGGATAGGAAGAATCAATACTGTTAAAATGGCCATACTGCTCAAAGCAATTTACAGATTCAATGCTATTCCTATCAAACTACCAATGACACTCTTCATGGAATTATCAAAAACCATGTTAAAATTCATATGGAAACAATAAGGAGTCTAAATATCCAAGGCAATCCTGTGCAAAAGAATAAAGCTGGAGGCATCACATTACCTGACTTCAAACTATTCTACATGGCTACAGAAATAAAACAGCCTGGTATTGGTACAAAAACAGACATATAGACCAATGGAGTGAATAGAAAGCCCAGAAATAATATCACACACTTACAATCATTCTATCTTTGACAAAGTCAACAAAAACAAGCAATGAGAAAAGGACTGTAAATTCAATAAATGGTGCTGAGATAACTGGCTAGTCATATACAGAAAATTGAAACTGGATCCCTTGCTTACACTGCATATGGAAATCAACTCATGATGAATTAAAGACTTAAATGTAAAAACTAAAAGAATAAAAACCCTGGGAGATAACCTAGGAAATACCATTCTGGTCATAGGACCTAGCAAAGCTTTCATTATGAGACAGGAAAAGCAATTGCAATAAAAATAAAAATGGAAAAATGAGACCTAATTAAACTAAAACACTTCTGCACAGCAAAATAAACTATCAACAGAATAAACAAACAAACTACAGAATGGGAGTAAATATTTGCAAATTAGGCATCTGTATCAGTCCATTCTCACACTGCTATAAAGACATACCTGAGACTAGGTAATTTATGAAGAAAAAAGCTCTAATTGACTTACAGTTCCACAGGCTGTACAGGAAGCATAGTTGGGGAAGCCTCAGGGAACTTACAACCATGGTGGAAGGCAAAGGGGAAGCAGGCACATCTTGATATGACAGAGCAGGAAAGGGAGAATGAAGGGGGAAGTGCTACACACTTTTAAATAACCAGATCTTGTGAGAAATCACTCACTATCACAAGAAGGGCAAGGAGGAAGTTTACCCTCATGATCCAATCACCTTCCACCAGGCCTCTCCTCCAAAACTGAGGGTTATAATTTGACATGAGATTTGGGTGGAGACACAGATCCAAACCACATTATTCTGCCGCTGGCCCCACCCAAATCCCATGTTCTTCTCACATTTCAAAGCACAATCATGCCTCCCTAACAGTCTCCCAAAGCCTTAACTCATTCCAGCATTAACTCAAAAGTCCAAGTCCAAACTCTCATCTGAGACAAAGCAAATCTCTTCTGTCTATGAGCCTGTAAAATAAAAAGGAGTTAGTTACTTCCAAGATACAATGGGGGTACAGGTGTTGGTTAAATACTCCCATTCTAAAAGGGAGAGATTGGCCAAAACACAAAAGCTACAGGTCCCTTGTATGTCCAAAACCCAGCAGGGCAGTCATTTAATCTTAAAGCTCCGAAATAGTATCTTTTGACTCCATGTCTCACAACAAAGCCACAATGATGCAAAGGGTGGGCTCCCAAGGCCTTGGGCATCTCTGCCCTTGTGGCTGTACAGGGTACACACTTGGCTGCTTTCATTGGTTGGCGTTAAGTCCCTGTGGCTTTTCCAGGTGCACAGTGCAAGCTGTTGGTGAATCTAACATTCCAGAAGCTGGAGGACAGTAGCCCTCTTCTCACAGCTCCACCAGACAGTGCCTAGGCAGTGGGATCTCTGCATGGTGGCTCCAACTCCACATTTCCCCTCCATGCTGCCCTAGTAGATGTTTTCCATGAGGGCTCTACCCCTGCAGCAGGCTTCTGCCTGGACATCCAGGTGTTTCTGTACATCCCTTGAAATCTAGGCAGAGCTCCCAAGCCTCAACTCTTGCCCTCTGTGCACCACAGACTTAACACCACTTGCAAGCCTTAGCTGCTTCCGGCTTGCACCTTTCAGAGCAGCAGCCTGAGACATATTTGGGGACCTTTTAGCCATGGTTGGAGCAGAAGTGACTGGGATGCAGAAAGCAATGTCCCGAGGTTGCACAGGACAGTGGGGCCCTGTGTGTGGCCCACAAAACCATTCTTCCCCTCAAGGCCTCGGGGCCTGTGATGAGAGGGGTTGCTGCAAAGATCACCAAAATGCTTTGCACACATTTCCCCCATTGTCTTGGCAATTAATATTCAATGTTACTTTTGCAAATTTCTGCAACTGGCTTGAATTCCTCCCTTGAAAAATAGGATTTTCTTTTCTACCACATGGCCATCCTGCAAAATTTTCAAGCTTTTATGCTCTGCTTCCCTTTTCAACATGAGTTTCAGTTTCAGATTATCTTTTTGCTCATGAATGTAAGCATGTGCTGTTTGAAGCAGACAGGTCACATGGTAAATGGTTTGCTGCTTAGAAATAGAAATTTCTTCCACCAGACACCCCAAATTGTCTATCTCAAGTTCAAAGTTTCACAGATCTCTAGCGCAGGGGCAAAATGCTGCCAGTCTGTTTGCTAAAGTATAGCAAGAGTGACCGTTACTGCAGTTCCCAGTAAGTTTCTCATCTCCATCTGATACCACCTCAGCCTAGACTTCATTGATCATATCACTATCAGCATTTGGTCACAGCAATTTAAGAAGTCTCTGGGAAGTTTTGAACTTTCCTACATCTTGCCTTGTTCTGAACTCTCCAAACTGTTCCAACCTCTACACACTACCCAGGTGCAAATCTACTTCCACATTTTCAGGTACCCTTATAACAATGCCCCACTCCTGGTACCAGTGTTCTGTATTAGTCTGTTCTCACAATGCCAAAAAGACATACTGGAGACTGGGTAATTTATGAAGAAAAGAGGGTTAATTGACTCACAGTACTGCAACCTGTATAGGACACAAGGCTGGGGAGGCCTCAGGAAACTTGTAATCATGGTGGAAGGCAAAGGGGAAGCAAACACATCTTCACATGGTGGAGCAGGAGAGAGAGAAAAGGGGGAAAGTGCTATACACTTTTAAATAACCAAATCTTGTGAGAACTCACTCACTATCATGAGAACAGAAAGGAGGAAATTTTCCCTCATGATCCAATCACCTCCCGCCAGGCCACTCTTCCAACACTGAGGATTACAACTTGACATGAGATTTGGGTGGGGACACAGAGCCAAACTGTATCAGCATCTGACAAAGGTTTAATATCCAGAATCTATGTTTGTAAATTAAACAAATTTGTAAATTTGTAAATTAAACACATTCGCAAGTAAAACACAACCTCTCTAAAAGGTAGGCAAAAGACATGAAAAAAACACATTTGAAAAGAAGACATATGCACAGCCAACAAGCATATAAAAAATACTCAACATTACTATTTATCAGAGAAATGCAAATCAAAACGACAATGAGATACCATCTCACAACAGTCAGATTGGCTATATTATAAAGTAAAAATATAACATATGCTTGTGAACTTGCAAACAAAAATCAATACTTACACACTTTTGGTGACAGAGTCAATTAGTTCAACCATTGTGGAAAGCAGTGTGGCAATTCCTCAAAGAACTAAAGACAGAACTACCATTCAACCCAGTAATCCCATTATTAGGTATATACCTAAAGGAATATAAATTATTCTACCATAAAGATACATGTATATTGATTGCAGTGCTATTCACAGTAGCAAAGACATAGACTCAACATAAATGCCCATCAATGGTAGACTGGACAAAAAAGTGTGGTACATATACATCGTGGAATACTATGTACCCATTAAAAAAAGAATGAGATCATGTCCTTTGCAGCAACATACATATAGCTGGAGGTCATTATCCTAAGCAAACTAATGCAGGAACAGAAAATCAAATACCACATATTTTCACTCATAAGTGGGAGCTGAACAATGAGAACACATTGACACAAAAAAGGGAACAGACACCAGGACCTACTTGAGGGTGGAGAGTAGGAAGAGAGAGAGGTTCAAAAATCTACTTATCATGTACTGTGGTTATTCCTTGTGTAATGGCATAGTCTGTACATCAAACCCTTGTGACATGCAGTTTACCTATGTAACAAACCTGCACATGTATCCCTGAACCTAGAAACAAAGTTAAAAAAATGTGATGAAAAAGGTGATATTATAGCTGATGCCACACAAATACAATGGTTTGCTATAGACTAATATGAGTAACTATATGCCAAAATATTGGGAAACAAAAAAGAAATGGATAAATTATAGACACATCCAACCTATCAAGTTTGAACAATGAAGAAATCCAAAATTTGGAAAGACTAATAACAAGTAATGTGATCAAAGCCATAATAAAAATTATCCCATCAAAGAAAAACTCAAGACCCAATGGCTTCACTGCCGTACTTTACCAAACATATAAGGATGAACTCATACCAATTGTGCTCAAACTATTCCAAAAATTAGAGGAGTAGGGAATACTTTCCATCTTATTCCATAGGCCAGGATTACTGTGATAGAAAAAAAAACAAAGACACATATTAACTACAGGTTAATATGTCTGATGAATATTGATGCAAAAACTCTCAACAAAATATCAGTAAACAAAATTTAACAGCATATTAAAAAGATCACTCATCATGACCATGTGAGATTTGTTTCAAGGATACAAGGATGGCTCAACTTATGCAAATTAATGTAATACATCATATCAACAGAATGAAGAACAAAAACCATATGATCATTTTAATAAATGCTGAAAAAGCCTATGATAAAATTCAACATCACTTCCTGATAATAACCCTAAAAAAACTGAGCATACAGGTATCATAAAACAACACAATAAAACCCATGTAAAATAGATCCACAGCTTGTATCATATTGAAAGGGAAACACTAAAAGCCTTTATTCTAAGATCTGGAACAGGACAATAATGCCCACTTTAAACACTGTCATTCAACATTGTACTTAATTTGTAGCTAGAGAAAACAGACAAAAAAAGAAATAAAGAGCATTCAAATTGTAAAAGAAGAACTCCAATTATCTTTGTTTGCAGGTGGTATGATTTTGTATTTGGTAAAACTTAAAGGCTCCATCACAACACTATAAGAATTGATAAACAAATTCACTGCAGCTAACAATATTCTGAAATAGAAATCAAGAGGTATTTCCATTTACAATTGCTACAAAAAAATAAAAAACCTAGGAGTAAACTTAACCAAAGAATAGAAAAATCTCTGCAATAAAAATTATAAAACTTTGATGAAAAAAATTGAAGAGGACACAAAAAATGGAAAGATATTCCATGTGCATGAATTGGAATACTAAATATTGCTAAAACGTCTATACTACCCAAAATATTCTACAGATTCAGTGCAATCCATATCAAATACCAATGACATTCTTCATAAAAGTAGAGAAAATAATCTTAAAATATATATGGAACCACAAAAGACCAAAGACAGCGAAAGCCATCCTGAGGAAAAAGAACAAAACCATAAGATTCACATTATTAGACTTTGAATTTTACTACAGAGGCATAGTAACCAAAGCAACATAAGACTGACACACAAACAGACACATAGACCAATGGAACAAAATATAGAACCCAGAAATAAATCAATACCTCTACAATAAATTCATTTTCAACAAATGTGTCAGGAACATACATTGGGAAAATGACCATCTCTTTAATAAATGAAACTTATTTAATAAATGAAACTGGTAACCATATGCAGAAAAATAAAATGAGACCACTATTTCTCATCATATACAAAAGTAAAATGAAAATTGATTAAAAACTTTAACCTAAAACATCAGACTATGAAAATACTAAAAGAAAACCTTTAGGATACTCTCCAGAACATTGGCATGGGTAGATTTCTTGAGTAATACCACGAAAAGCACAGCCAGCAAAAGCGAAAATAGGCAAATGAGATTACATCAAGTTAAAAAGCTTCTGCATAACAAAGAAAACAATCAGTGAAGTGCAGAGAAAACCCACAGAATGGGAGAAAATATTTGTAAACTATTCATCTCACTAGAGATTAATAACCAGAATGTACAAGCAGCACAAACCACTCTGTAGAAAAATATTTAATAATCGGATTCAGAAATGGATTAAAAATTTAAACTGATGTTCCTCTAAAGAAGACATACAAATGGCCAGCAGATGTTTAAAAAGGTGCCCAAAATATTGATCAGCAGAGAAATGCAAATCAAAACTACAATGAGATATCATCTCACCCCAGTTAAAATGGCTTATATCCAAAAGACAGGCAGTAAACAATACTAGTGAGGACGTACAGAAAGGGGAATCCTCATGCACCGTTGGTGAGAATATAAATTTGTAAAGCCAGTATAAACAAACATATGGAAGTTTCTCAAAATATAAAAATAGAATTACCATATGATTTAGCAATTCTACTTCTAGATTTGTACTCAAAAGAAAGGAAATCAGTAAATTGAAGAGTTATCTACACTCCCATGTTTATTGAAAGCCTATTCACAATAGCTAAGATTTGGAAGCAACCTAAGTGTCCATCAGCAGATGAATGGATAAGAAAAGTGTTGTACATATACACAACGGAGTACTATTTAGCCATAAAATATGAGAGCCTGTCATTTGCAACATAGATGGAGTTGGAGGTAACTATGTTAAGTTAAATAAGCCAGGCACATAAAGACATACTTTGCATGTTCTCACTTATTTGTGGGAGCTAAAAATTAAAACAAATGAACTAATGAAGATAGAGAATAGTATGCTGTTTACTAGAAGCTGATATAGATAGTATAGGAGGGAATTCGGGGATGGTTAATGGATACAAAATATAGCTAGATAGAATATATAAATTCTAGCATGTGATAGCACAACAGAGTGACTTCAGTCAATAATAACTTATTGTTCATTTAAAAATAACTAAAATGATATAATTTGAATGTTCATAACACAAAAATTATTAAATTTTGGAGGTGATGGATACCCCATTTACATTGATGTTATTCTTAAACATTGTATGTCTGTATCAACATATCTCATGAATTCCATAAATACATACACCTACTATGTTTCCATAAAAATTAAAAACAAAACAAATTAAAACAAAAACAAAAAACACAAATATTAAATAGAATGTTAAATACCTTACTCTGCTTTGTGCTATTTCAAAATTCCAGAGTGGGTAATTTATAAAGAAGATAAGTCTATATTCTCACACTTGTGGAGGCTAGGAATTTCAAGATCAAGCTATCGGTATTTGTAGATGGTCTTCTCACTGTGTCCTTCCATGGCAGAAGGTGGGAGGGCAAGAGGAAATGAATGCTGTGTCTTCACATGGCAGAGGAGCAGAAGAGAGCAAACTCACTCCTGCAAGCCCTTCTTATAATGGCATTAATCAATTCATGAGAGTAGGGGCCTCGTGACCTAAACATTTTCCAAATGTTCCCACCTCCCAACACCTCCACAGTAGAAATCATGTCTCAAACACATGCCTTCTGAGGGACACATTCAAACTACAGCATTTTGCCCCTGGCCCTCAAAATTTATGTCCTTCTCATCTGCAAAATATATTCATTTAATTTCAATTGTCCCAAATGTCTTAATTCATTCCAGCATCAACTTAAAATCTAAAGTTCAGAGTCACATCTAAATATCAAATATGGGTGAGACTCAAGACATGCTTCATCCTTAGGCAAATTTCCCTATAGCATTTTGCTTGCGAAATCAAACAAGTTGCCTACTTCCAAGAATACAATGATGGGGCAGGCACAAAACAGATATTTCTAATCCAAAAAGAAGAAACAGGAAAAAAAAAAAAAAAGAGAAACAGGTACCAAGCCCAAAACTCAACAGGGCAAACATTAAATCCTTTTTTTAAAGCTTTTATTTTAGGTTCAGGTGTACATGTGCAGGTTTGTTATATAGGTAAACTGCATGTCATGGGATTTTGGTATACAGAGGATTTTATCACCCAGGCCATACACATAATACATGATAGGTAGTTTTTTTTTTTAAATCCTCTCCCACCTTCCACCCTCCACCCTCAAGTAGGTCCTGGTGTCTGTTGTTCCTCTCTTTTGTGTCCATGTATTCTCGTTGTTAAGCTTCCACTTATAAGTGAAAACACACAGTATTTGATTTTCTGTTCCATTGTTAGTTTGCT
Source organism: Homo sapiens (assembly GCF_000001405.40). Classification (NCBI taxonomy): domain Eukaryota; kingdom Metazoa; phylum Chordata; class Mammalia; order Primates; family Hominidae; genus Homo; species Homo sapiens. The sequence goes on from NC_000023.11 coordinate 125,579,287, forward strand.
TAGGATAATACACTCCAGTTCCATCCATGTTGCTGCAAAGGACATGATCTTATTTTTTATGGCTATATAGTATTCTGTGATGTATATGTACCACATTTTTAAAAATTCAGTATACTATTGGTGGGCATTTACATTGATTCTGTCTTTGCTATTGTGAATAGTGCTGCAATGAACATACAGGTGCATGTGTCTTTACGGTAGAAAGATTTATATTCCTTTGGCTATATACCCAATATTGATATTGCTGGGTTGAATGATAATTCTGCTTTAAGTTCTTTGAGGACTTACCACACTGTTTTCCACAATGGCTGAACTAATTCACATCCCCACCAACAGTGTATAAGAATTCCGTTTTCTCTGTAACTTCCGAAGCATCTGTTATTTTTTGACGTTTTAATAACAGCCATTCTAACTACTGTGAGATGGTATCTCATTGTAGTTTTGATTTGCATTTCTCTAATGATTAGTAATGTTAAACAGTTTTTTCATGTGCTCATTGGCTGTGTGTATGTCTTTTTTTTCAAAAGTGTCTCTTATGTCCTTTGCCCTCCTTTTAATGAGATTTTTTTTTTGCTCATAAATTTGTTTAATTTCCTTATATAGCATGGATATTAGACCTTGGTTGGATGCCTAATTTGCAAATATTTTCTCCCATTCTGTAGGTTATCTGTTTAGTTTGTTGACTGTTTCTTTTGCTGTGCAGAAACTTTCATTTAATTAGTCCCCATTTATTAATTTTTGGTTTCGTTGTAATATATTAAATCTTAACGCTGAAGAATTTTTTGACTCTATGCCTAACCTCCTTTAGACACCTAGGTGTAAGGGTTGGGTCCTCAAGGCTTTTGGCAGCCCTGTCCCCATGGTTTCATCCCATGCTTTAGCACTCACATATTGAAGTCACATGCCTGAAAATTTCTCAGGCAGGCATTAAAAGCTGGTGGCTCTACAAGTTTGGGGTCTTGAAGCCAGCCCTGCCCCCATGGATACACTAACTATTGTTCTAGTGGGTGCTTTCTGCAGTGGCTCTCCCCCATAGCAGATCTCTGCCTGGGTACTAATTCTTTGAAATCCATGTGGAGGAAGCCATGCTTCTACAGCTTGTGTACTCTGTGCTCCTGTAGAATTAGCACCATATGGAGGCTGCCAATGTTCACTGCTGTGACACCTAGAGTTGCAGCCAGAGTCATATGTGAGTCAAAATAAGCCATAGCTGGGGTAGCCAAGGAGCACTGCACCATAATGTGGGGAGAAGAGACCCAAAACAGCCATGGGCAGGGAACACCTTCTGCCCCTAAGGCCCCAGCACTCTAGACCTGTAATGAATATGATAGTCCTGAAGATCTCTGAAAAGCCTTTGAAGTCATTCTCCCATTGAATTGATGAATGACATCTGGCTTCCTTCTGCCTGTACTAATCTCCTTATCAAGTGATTGATTGTCCTCACCCTTGGCTTTCTCTCCTAAACGCACTTTTTTATTCTTTCACTGCCAGGCTGAGAAATTTCCAAATCTGTATGTTCGGCTTCTCTCTTGATTATAAATTTATTCTCTAAATCATTTCCCTTTTCTTACATTTTACTTTAAGCAATTAAGAGAAGCCACACAGCACCCTGAGAACTTTGCTGCTTAGAGATTTCTTCTGCCATATATTTTAGCTCATCAATCTTAAGTTCTGTCTTTCACAGAATTTTAGAGCAGGAACACAACTCATCCAAATTCTTATGCCACCTTGTTACAAGGATGACCTTTCCTCAATTTTCAATAAGATATTCCTCATTTCTATCTAAGACCTCATAAGAATGGCCTTTATTGTCCGTATTTTTACCAACATTTTGTTAATAGCTATGTAAATAATTTCTAAGATTCAGGCTTTCTCTACAGCTTTCCCCTTCTTCTGAGCCCTCAATGGAATCACCCTTAATAGCTCCATTCAAGGAAATTCACGCTTTTTCTAGCTTGTTCCTCCAAATTCTTCCAGCCTCTGCCTGTTACCCAGTTCCAAAGCTTCTTCCACAATTTTAGGATTTGTTATAAGAACGCTCCACTTTTCCGGTACCTGTGAAAGTTATCTTATTTGGAAACAGGTAATTAAGGCTTTTAAGATGAGATCATGCTAGAGTTAGGATGTGCCCTATATCCAGCAGTGTCCCTATGTGAGACAGCAAAGAAGAAAACAGAGAGACGCAAATGGGGAAAGGTCATGTAAAGATGAAGGCAGAGATTGGAATAATTCATTGACAAATTGAGGAACATCAAGTATTGTCTGCATTCACTAGAAGCTGGAAGGAAAATTCAAGAAATAAATTGTCCTCTAGAGCCTTTGGAACAAGCATAGCTGTACCACACTTTGATTTCAGACTTCTAACCTCCAGAACCGTGATAAAATTGCTTTCTGTTGTTCTAAGCCACCTAGTTTGTGGAACTTTGTCAGAGCACCCTAGGAAACATACAGATTTTGGTTGTTGGATGTTGTGTGGTGCTGTAAAAAATACCTGAAAATGTGAAAGTGGCTTTGACATTGGATAATGGGTAGAGGCTAGAGAAATTTTGAGACACATAATACAATATGCCTAGATTACCTTGAAGAGATTTTTGGTACAATTATAGACATTAAAGAATATTCAAGTGAGGGGTCAGAAGGAAATGAGGAGGAGTATAGAGAAAGCTTCTATCATCTTAAAAAATGTATGTCATCACGAACCAAATGTTAGTATGAATGTTAAGAGTGCTTCTGGTGAGGTCTCAGAAGGAAATGAGGAATACATTATTGGAAACTGTAGGAAAGGTGATCCCTGTTATAAAGTGATACAAAGATGATTGGATTGTATTCTATTGATGGGTGGAAAGCAGAGCTTATAAGTGATGAACCTGGGTTTTTAGCTCAAGAGATTTTCAAGCAAAGTGTTTCACCAATTACCTGCTTTCTTCTTGCTGATTCTAGTGAAATGTGAGGAAAAAGAGACATAAATTGAGGAAGAAAGTGTTAAGAAAAAATAAACCAGCAGTTGACGTTTTGGGAAATTCATAGGCTATCCAGATTGCAAAAGTTGCTGATATGAAAGGATGTCAGCAAGATGGCAGAATAGAGTTTCTAGCCCTCAAATCCCCACAGGAACATTGATTTTAGACTCCCTGGTCAAGAAGCATGTGTTGGAAAGAAGGCCTAGAGTGTAGTTGAAACAGCTTTGCTTAGGAAATTATGTATATGATACATGCACCCAATCAATACTCTCAGTAGAAGCCAGGAAGAGTGACGGAGTTATCCAGGAAGGATCTATGAAGAACCATCTCATCTAATAGGGTATATCCACTTGACATCCATGGGAGAATAATGAGGTTTTTCAGAAGGTTGTATCAGCAAAAACTTTGCCAAATTGAACTAAACGAGAAAGAGAGAAAGAACTAAGTGAAAGAGGGCAACAGGACATCTAACCTTCCTCAAGAAGGAAATGGGCTGATATAGCTGCTCTTTAAGAAAAAGGAAAAAAATGACTGAGGAGAGCCACAGATGCAGAGACAGAGGACAAAGAGGCAAGTCCAAGGACAAGGCAGAGGCAGAGGCCGACTGAGCCCTTTCTGTGGGCCCAGAAGTAGGGGTCAAAAGTGAAGCCACCACTGGTTCAGAGAACAGTCATCCCAGGCCCAGATGGTCGAGGGTTGAGGCACAGGATTATTTTCAGGCCTTGAAACTTGACATAATTTACCTTGCTAGATTTCAAATTTTCCTGTGGCTAGTGACCTTTTTATTTGTTTTTATAACTTTCCATTTTGGAATGGGAATATCCTTATATCTGTTCCATCATTCCATCATTTTGTTCTGACAGTAAACAACTTGTTTTCAAGGTTCACAAGTCCACAGAGGGTGAGAAATTTTGAATGGCCAAATTCATACTCTCACCTATACCTGATACGGATGATGTAGAAGGTGATATTTGGGTGAGTTAGAATGTGATATTTAGACTCATTAAAATATTATCAGCTCAGCTATTAGCTGAGATATTTAGATAAGTTTCGACTTAGAGTGGGTGCTATAGATGAGTTAAGAATTTCCAACATCAGAATTGCGTGAACATATTTTGCATTTGCAATAAACATAAATTTTAGCGGACAAGGGGGTGGACTACAAGGGATTGAATAGTGACTTCCAAAAGATATGTTCAAGTCCTAATTCCTAGCACTTTTGAACACGACATTTTCTGGAAATAGACACTTTGCAGATGTGATGAAGTAAATGATCTCTCCATGAGACAATCCTGGATTTAGGATGAGCCCTATATCCAATCACAATGTCCCCATAAGAAACAGAAAAGTAGAAGACAGAGACAAACAAGATGGGGAAACCCATGTGAAGACAAAGGCAGAGACTGGAGTGGTGCGTCTATAAGCCAAGAAACACCAATGAGTGTTTGCATTATCAGAAGCTGAGTCAAGAACAGATTGTCTCTTAGATCTTTCAGATAAAGTGGATTCCTGCCAACATTTTGATTGTAAACTTCTGGCCTCCAGAACTCTAAGAAGATGAGTTTCTTTTGCTGTAAGCCACCTAGTTTTTGGTAAGAAACTAATTGCTATGGTTTGTATATTTGATTCCTCCAAATCTCATGTTGAAATTTGAACCCCAGTGTTGGCGGTTGGGCCTAATTAGAGGTGTTTGGGTCACAAGAGCACATGTGGCTTGGGTCTTCGCAGAAATGAATTTAGTTCTCGCTCTATCAGTTCCTGCAAGAACTGGTTGTTCAAAAGAGTCTGGCACCTCTCTCCCCTCTCTTACTTCCTGCGATGTGATCTTTCTGCAGCAGCTCCGCCCTGAGTGGAAGCACCTTGTGGCTCTCACCAGATGCAGGTGCCAGCACTGCGCTTATCTTACAGCCTGAAAAACCATGACCCAATGGAAACTTTTTCATTTCTAAATTGCCCAAACATAGGTATTCCTTTATAGCAACACAAATGGAGTAAGACACTAATAAAATATCTAATCAGCAGGGTTATTGTGGAGATTAAATGAGACAATATATGCAAAATACCTGTACAATAAGCATGTAATCAATAGCAGTGATTATTACTAGCATGGGAAAATTGATTAATAAACCAAATTATTTGTTTAAGTAAGACAATCAATATGATAATCATAAGAGTGCTAAAAGCATGAGATAAAAGTTATCACTTGCTGCCAATAAAAATGAATATACATTAAGGATACAATAAACTTTCTTTACATGGTAAAGAATAACTATTCCCAAAGAAGAGTAGTGATATACTTAATATTGCTTATTTCCTGTACAAATAAGAGACTTGACCAGTGAAAAATAGGAAGAAAATACTGTTATTTTAAAAAGTCATTTTCTGAAATATCTGAAATGCTTATTTCAGCAAGCCATGTTGTGTTATTTAACAAATAATTATACATGGGAAACATAGAACTTAAATATGAGGGATTAATTGGGTAATATCAATGATGGCAGTTCTGATACATTAGCATAATGCTTCTATCTGCATTGCACAGATGGATCTGCCAAGAGTTTCAAAAAATTGCTGTGAGAGTTTCAGGTCACTTTTTTGTAGCTTGGCATTATTTGTTAGTGATTTGTATAATTTTGGCCAATACAGTGAACCCCGAAGAAGTAAATACATGAAAAGGTATTTTAATAGAAGCAACTTGTATGTTCTTATTTGCTGATAGCTTGAATGAGTGACAGAATACCTAAAAGAATTATCTATAAAACTGTCACTTTGTTATATGGTAACATACATATTCAGAAAATACCAATAAATTCCAACAAAATTTGTTTTAAAACACAATAATATTCTTCTTTACATTAAGTTAAATATAAGCATGTGAGACTTTAAAAGTCAGAAAATACTACAGCAACAGGGGAAATCAACTGCAGCAGATGTTGGACTATAGAGGACTGTAGAAAATATATTAATAATTGCAGAGGAAAAGAGGTTGTGTTGTCCTAAAAATTGAACTGATTTTATATTGTTTAAATATGGATTAAAATAAGACATCTCAAAGTAATATAAAAATACACTATTTAACGAAGAGTTTTCAGATAATTGGATAGTATCTTTAAGAAAAAATTGATTTAAAAAATTATGTTTAGACACATATTTTATATCAAATCCAAATAAACTCAAGAAGAATTAAGTAATTACACATTATGTTATGCCATAGAAAAGCTAGCAGAAGACAGAATAAGTTATATATAAACTCCTTAGATGTCTAAAAACCTTCTACAATTCGAAGCAATGAGAAAAATTTACAAGGGAAGATTGACATATTCAATTTTATAAAATGTGAGACAGCTATTCAACAGAACATGAAATGAAAATAAAACAGAAAACTATATACTGGTATCAAGTATGACAGATCAAAGATTAACATTAGTAATGAACAAAAAGAGGATACTAATTCATAGGCATATAATTCAGATGCCAATGAATAAAGGAAATGAACAGACAGTAAAATAGAAAATAGTAAACAAAGAGAACATAAGAAAAATATTCAGCCTCACTAAAAATAAAGCAATGTAACTTGAAACAATAATGAGATGCCATTTATACCTATTAAATTAGAAAAATTGACTGTACTCAAGGAAGGTAAGCCTGTGATTAAATTAGTACACTAATGCCCTGGCACAGTGTAAACTGTTATAACAAGTAAAGCAATTTGGCAATATATATCAAGAGACACAAAATTTTGACCACTTATTTTACTCTTGGAAATGTAGCCTATGGAAATATTTGTTAGGGCATTATCTGTAATAGCAAAGATTGGGAACCGAGATACATGTCCAGAAATAGTTAAATAAGTAAATTACAGCATAGAAAGTAGGCATTAAATTATAATTGTAAATATAACAGTATGGAAAACATGTTTAAGGAATTACTAAGTAAAACTAAGATATCATTTAGAGAACAATAAATACATAAATAAAAATATGAGAGTGCATATGTGAATTTAACAATTATTTATTCTAACAATCTGAATTTGACTCTTGGGAGTTGTGCTTAGTATGCAACTACATATATTAACACTTGTAATCAAGGTATGAAACTAAACAACCAGCTTTGAGTTTTAAAAAACTAATTGCATTAAACAGAAGGATAACATATTATCTAACATATCTTCCCTGATATAAGCCACTATTACCTGTATGCCTAGGCAATGAACATTAGAAATATCTTGAAGAAAATATCTAATTCCTTTTAAGCATCAGTGAAAATATTTGTGTAATTGATTTTTCATCATCTTCAACTTAGTGCTTCAACATTTTGTTTACTTTAGTAGTATTAAAACATTATTTCTATGACTTGCAGAACGATTGTATAATCATTAATTGTTGATGTTAGCATGGTTTAACATAGTTGTTACAATTTGAAATATGCAGTTCATTTAAAATATGTAAATTAGTCTTCACTTTTCTGTCTTTGGAGTATTGATTTCTAGCTATGTGAATAAAGTTGGAAACTTAATCAATATGTGCAACAAAGAATTCCAGTTGGTGTAGATATAAACACTTAATCTCAAACCACAGTATTACCTATTTAAAAGGAGGCTGTCTTAATGTCTAGATATATGCTCTAAAATAGACAAAGCATTCAATTGATTGATATGTTTAAGCTTTCAAAGATTTTGATTTTCTTTATTTTTAAAATAGAACAACAACAAAAGTAGCCCATTTGTAGCTCTTGATCTATGACAACATTTGTGGCAGGTCTGTTACAGTTCTGTGTCCACTACCCTTAGCCTCACAATCTCAGTTGTCCTCAACTCTTATTGCTGCAAGTAAAGATGGTGGCAGAGAGGTACATGAAGTAGTTTCAAAGTAAGTCTCCTTCAGAGAATAAAGAAATAAGGAAGGAAGGAAGGAAGGAAAGAAAAAGAAGGAAAGAAGGTAGGAGCATGATATACTCATTAAAGTTATGGATTCTAAAACTACGTTGCTGTAGTGCGAATATTATTTATTTAATTTTGTAGTAATTTACCCTGAGCAAGTTACTGTTTGCACCAAATATTTTACAGATTCCATTAAAAAGGTTTCCTCTTTTGCTGGCTGCATCTTCTGCTGTTAGACCTCTTTCGTTTTTCTTCTATGTGAGCCTCAGTTACTTAATAAGCCATAAAAATATGTTTGCTACTATCATTAAGGAAAAGTAGCAATTCAGATGGATTCTACAGTTTTCATATAAATATTTTTCATTATACAGATATAATTATTTTTAAACTGCTTTTGTTGAGATACAATTGACATACAAAAAGTTATAGATATTTAATATATACAACTTGGTGAGTTTGGAGATAAGTACAAACCTATGATACCATCATCACAATCAATGCAAGAGCCTTATCCATCATTCCAAAAGTGCCCTCCCACATCTCTGTATTTTTTAGTTTAGCTTAGTTTAGTTTTTCCGTTTTGTGGTAAGACCACTTAAAATAAGATCTATCCTTTTAGCAAAATGTTAAGTACACCTTATAGTAATCTTAATCATAGGCCCTATGCTGTATAGTAGATCTCCAAAAATTATTTGTTTTGCATAATTGAAACTTTGTACCTTTTGACCAAGACCTTCCAATTTTTCCCAACCTCCAACTTCTGGACACCATTATTTTACTTTATGCTTCTATGAGTTTTGCTATTTTTAATTCCATATGTAAGTAAGTTCATGTGGTATTTGTTTTTCTGTGTCTTGCTTATTTCACTTAACATAATGTCTTCCAGGCCCATCTATGTTGTCCTAAATTATAGGATTTTCTTCTTTTTAAAGGCTGTTTTGTATTGTATGTATATATCATATATTTTATCCATTCATCTGTTGATGGATATTTAGGTTGTTTCCATATCTTGGCTATTGTGAATAATGCTGGAATCAAAAGGACTGCAGCTATCTCTATGAGATCCAGATTTCAATTCCTTTGTATATATACTGACAAGTAGCATTCCTGAATCAAATGGTAAGCAAACTGAATACAACAGCACATTAGGATCATACACTATGACCAAGTAGGATTTATTTTTGTGATGCAAGGATGGTTCAAGATATGTAAATTAATCAATGTGATAACACCACATTAAAAGAATAAAAGATTAAAATCACACAATCATATAAATAGAAGGCATTTGACAAAGTTCAATGCTCTTTCATACAAAAAATTCTCAACAACTTAGGTACAGAAGGAACTTCAATACAATAAAGACCACTTATGAAATCCTGCAGCAAGCATTTTAGTTAACAGTGAAAAGCTGAAAGCTTTCACTCTAAGATCTGGGAAAACACAAGTATGTCTTCTCTCACTTTTTCTATTCAATATACTACTGGGAGTTCTAGCTAGAGAAGTTAGGCAATAAAAAATAAAGGGAACTACATTATAAAAAGGGAAAACAATCTCTGCTTGAAGATGACATAATCTTATATGTAGAAAACCCTAAAAACTCCACAAAAGAAAAAAGCAGATAGAACTAATAAGCAAATTTAGTGAAGTCACAGGATACAAAAATCAACATACAAAAATGAGTTGTGTTTCTATACACTAACAATGACCTACTCAAAAAGAAAATTAAGAAAACAGTTTCATTTATAACAATATCAAAGAAGATAAGTTAATTAGGAATAAATTTAAGAAGTGAAAAACTGGTATACTGAGAACTATAACACTGATAAAAGAAATAAAGAAACAAATAAATGGAAGGACATCCCTTGGTAGAATAAGTATTGATAAAATGTCCATAAATCCCAAAGCAATCTACAGATTTAATGCAATTCTTATCAAAATCTCAATGGCATACTTTACAGAGATGGAAAAAACAATTCTAAAATATATATGTGACCACAAGAAAACCCCAGCAAGCCAAAGCAATTGTAAGCAAGAAGAACGAAACTGGAGGTATCAAACTCCCTGATTTCAAAACACGTTACAAAGCTATAGTAAGCAAAACAGTCTAATACTGGCATAAAAACAAATATGTAGACCAATGTAACAGAATACAGAGTCCAGAAATAAACCCACACATATATGGTCACCTGGTCTTCAACAAGGTTGTCAAGAATACACAATGGGAAAAAGCTTGTCTATTCAATAAATGGTGCTGGGAAATGGAATATCCACATTCAGAAGAAATAAATTGGACCCTTATCTCACAGCATGTGCAAAAATCAATTCAAAATGGATTAAAGACTTAAGCATAAAACTTGACACAATACAACTCTTAGAAGAAATCAAGGAAAATGCTGCTAGACTTTGTTCTTGGCAATGATTTTATCAATATGACACCAAAAGCACAGGCAGCAAAAGCAATAATAAACAAATGGGCATAGGTCAAACTATAAAGCTTCTGCAGAGCAAAAGGGGCTTTCAAAAAATAATAATAAATAGAAAAAAGTAAAGTCTTTGGTAGTTTCTACCCACTCAGATCCTGGAAGGCAGCAAGGTTTTGTGGATCTAGATTCATTAGGAATGTCTTCTTGTCAGCCAGGCCAGGATCCGGTCTTGCCAAGAGCAGAGGCCCTCCCAGCAACCAGGCTACCACCACTTTGAGGGCTTTCTGTACAGAGATCTGGGTCTGAAACCTCATAGCCTGCAGAAATCTGGGGCAGCCACCATCAGGAAGCCCCTCTCAGGGGTCAGAACTCCTTTGCTAGCGTGGATTTCTCAAGTCGGGACTGCATAATTAAAGCAGTTACAGTTTTATTTTTTTTACAGCTTTTTTCCCAAAAATGATTTGTAGTTGTGTGTGCGGCACTTTGCCCTGAAATGCATGCTCTACAATAAAAACCAAATCTAATATAAAGAAAGAAACAATTAAAAGAAAAAGGCAGTTTACCGTATGGGAGAAAATATTTGATGACCATATATCTGATAAGGGATTAATATCTAAAATATGTAAGGAACTCCTACAAGTCAATAGCAAAAAAAAAAAAAAAAAAAGAAAAAAGAAAAAGAAGAAAAAACAAAATAACCCATTTTAAAAAGGGGTGAAAGACTTGAATGGGCATTTTTCCAAAGAAGATACAACAATGGGCAACAGATACATGAAAACATTCTCAAGATCACTAATCATCAAGGAAATGTAAAGTAAATCCACAATGAGATATAATCACACACTTGTTAAAATGGCTATGATCAAAAAGACAAGAGATAAAAAGAGCTGGTGATGGTCTAGACCAAAGGGAACCCTTGTACAATTTTAGTGGAAATGTTATTTGGTACAGTTACAATTATTTTAAACTTCTTATTATAAATTCTTTTTTGACTTTTAGAATTTTAGCAATGTGTTTTTAAATGTCCAAATGTGTAGTGTTTTGATTATTTCATTGAGATTATAGAACATGATTGTATGATACAAATTATTTAAATGTTTTGAGATATGCTGTGTGAACTTCCATATGATCAATTTTCCCAAATATTTTATGCATATTTTAGAATATTATGTACTTGAAAACTGTTGGAGGCAGGATTTTATATATGTTCCTTCTTTTAAGTGTGTTAATTGTGTTATTCAAATCTATATAGTTACTATTTTAATTGTTTCTTGATTGAAGTCTATATTATTAGGCACTACAAGTTTATTTTTATATTTCTAACTTTAATTTATAATTGATACACTATAATTATACATATTTATGAGGTACGATGTGTTTTTTCAATGCATGTATAAGTTGTATAATGTCCAAATCAAGATAATTAGCATATAGATCACTTTAAACACCTATCATTTCTTTGTGGTGATAACATTCAAAATCCTCTCTTTCAGCTATCTTGAAATATATAATTCATTGTTATTAGCTATAGTCACCCTATAGTGTCACAAGTTTAGATTTGTGATACTTTCCTGGTAAATAATCCCTTTTATTATTAATGAATACTCATTAGCCCAAATTAGTTTTTCAACTTTCTATTTTTTGATATTAATATAGCTACCACAGCTCTCTTTTGGTTAATATTTCCTAGTATCAGCGTTTGCACCCACGGCATCCTCAGACTTCAAGTTCTGTTACTATTCATCTCTCAGATTTCAACTCACTGTTCTTTTATAGGTTGCTTGGTTGCTTGTTTTTGGGTTTGGCCCTTAGGGTTTCATTTAGTGGAGGTCCTAAAATCCATTTAAATAACTTGTGTTTTTATTTAATTATTATCTAAATATGGTGTTTAGAATATCGTGTCTGCCATTCTACCAAAGCAGAGTCCTTCGTAGACTTTTGATTCTATTATTGATCTATATAAGCTATCTTATTTAAATCATGTGACCATAGCAGGTATTTTAATCTAGTATGGTATGTGTTTCCCTTAAGGCTGAAAGCAGCCTAAAATTCCCTTCAGCGTATAAGTCCATCACCAATTAAATTTTTTATTGCATTCTGAAGTAGCCCATGGATTTCACGTGTGTTCTGCTTTCCCTTACTGTGTTCTATACCTTGTCTACAATATCCTATAACCTAGAGTGAAAGCAAAGGCCAAGAAAAATTGTATGGCACTCCTCTAAGAGAGCATGATCAAAGATATACTCCTTGAAAACTATAACATATTTGAATAATTTTTGAACATCCTTAAACAATACTATGTTTTAAATATTTAAGCTATTTATTTAACATGTTACTAAATGTCATAATTTGATGTTGGTGTAGATTTGTGCTGGCTAGTAGCCACTAGCCACTTGTGGTTATTGAACACTTGAAATGTGGCTAGTCTGAATTGACATGTGCTGTAATTATAAAATTTCTACCAGATTTTAAAGACTTACTACAATAAAAAGAATGTAAAATAGTTAGCATTAGTTATATTGATTAATATTTTAGATATACTGCATCAAATAAAATATATTATCAAAATTAATTTTATGTGTTTTATTTTACTCTTTGATGTGTCTACTTGATTTTAAAAAAATTTTACTTTAAGTTCTGGGACACAAGTGTAGAACGTGTAGGTGTGTTACATAGGTATACATGTGCCATGATAGTTTGCTGCACCTATCAACCCATCATCTAGGTTTTAATCCCCACATGCATTAGCTAAAATTACACGACTCACATTGTAGTTCACATTATACTTTTATTGAACAGTGCTGGGCTAGAGCAGAGATTCCCTATAAAATAATTAAAAAATTGTTAACAGTTTTGTTAAAATATAATTTATAACCATAACATTTACCTGTTGTAAGCATGCAATTCAGTTACTTTTAGAAATAATTATAGAGTCGTGAAACCATCACACAATTCAGGTTTATGACATTTCCTTCACCTAAAATTCTCCATGTGCCCATTTGCAAATCAATACCCTACTGCAAATGTTATTGATCTGGGGCTCTTCAATCAGAAATTCCTTGATTTGGATGGGAACAAAATTAGTTCTGTATTTTCATTTACTTCTAAGTGAAACTTAGCATTACAAATGTGGGCCATAAACTGCTATCGTATTAACAGAACCAGTGATGTTGAGCAATAAATTTAACGTCATTTCTACATCATATTATAGCTGTTACAAATATCTTCAAACATTTTTGTACTTATTATGAAATTGAAATTATGTCATTTATTATTCAAACTGCTAGATCTTATTATTTACTATATTAATGAATAAGTACATTGTATTAATGTATGACTCACAAATGTGAGCCACATTATATCTCAATTGGATAGAACCAAGCTAGAAAATCATAGTCAAAGGTAACTAGACTGTCTCTTACTTGGGATCAAAAAATGGACTTTGGGAAGTCTGTAACCTTCTTTGAAATTCTATGCAAAACTGTGTGAGGCTGTGCATATAATAATTTTTATTTCACCAAATATGCAAAGGATTTGAAGACCCACCATTCAACAACAGATTAAGAACAACTATCTTAGACAATACTTACTGATTTTGCATTGTCACATACTAAGTCATATAATGTTGAAGTTCAAAAATAAATCTTGAAAATTGGTTATAGGTTTAAAAAATTCATTTGTTGATTTAATTAACATTTATTGCATGTGTACTAGGGTGGCAATGATTATTGTTGCCACTCACTCTAGTAACATATGATTTCATGGCACAAAAAAAGAACAAGGGGATATAGAAATGAATGGTGGTCAGATTTTGTGTTGTAGTAATAATATGGATATTTTAAGTTTATATATTCACATAATTCATGTTGATATCATTCAGTCAAGCTAAAAAGTTATATAATATCCCAAAAAGAGAATTCTGCATTGGTCTGTCTGAGAAGGCCATGGTGCTCAGAGCCTCAGGAATAAGATTCTGAGTTGCACTACCAGATAAGCCACTGAGATCAGCAGGGGTGCTGGCTGAGGATGAGGGCCAGAGGTGTCCTGGAGCTCGCTCCCACCAGCAATTAAGAATTCAATTGTTAGTATCACTTCCCAACTCCTTATTCAGTGGTTTTAACTTTGTAGGTTGAATTAAGCCATGGTGGAAGCATTTGCACTACAAAAAATTAGAAAATGCTACAAACCAGGGTTATTAAAAAAATGGATGTTAAACATTGCCACTAAGATGTCCCTTAGTAGGTGAATGAATAAATAAACTGTAGTATATCCAGACAATGCAGTATTAATTGGTGCTAAAAGGAAATGAGCTATCCAGCCATGAAAAGGCATGCAGGAATTTTAAGTGCATACTGCTAAGTGACAGAAGCTAATCTAAAAAGGTTACACTGTGTGATTCAAACTATATGACATTTTGGAAAAGGGAAAACTATGAAGAGATTTAAAAAAAGTGGTTGTTAGGGGCTGGGGTTGGCAGGACGAATAGATTAGCAGAGGATTTTTAGGGCAGTGAAACTACTCTGTATAATACTATAATGGTGGATACATGTCATTTTACGTTTGTTCAAACTCATAGGATGTGCAACACCAAGAGTGAACCCTTAACGTTAACTGTGGTCAATGTAGGTTAATCAGTTGTAACAAATGTATGTCTCTAGTGGGGCAAATCATAATGGGGCAGGCTATGCATGTGTGGGGATAGGGGTGTAAGGGAAAACTCTATACCTTTCTCTCAATTTTATTATGAGCCTAAAACTACTTTTAAAAATATAGTATTTTAGAAAATTATCAGTATATCGCTGATGACAGAACTCTAAAATAGATGGTAGAAAAGGGTATTGTGTATCAATTTTGTCCCTGAAACCAACTGTAAGAAAGGGGACAATAGTTCATTGCACTAACTTTTCTTTAAGTTTGGAGGAAGTGATGCCCATAAGAATCCTAAAGGTGCTGCTTCAATATTTGACAAGGAAGAAAATCTGAGGGCTTCAGGGAATGGACTGTGGTGGACAATGTGACTCACCCCTCAGCATCCTCCTTAGAAATGAAGGACTTTTTACCCCAACTACTGAGAATGCTTCAAGCACACAGGCACCAGCTGTCATTCTCCATTTAAGATTTGTCTCAGCTGAAGACAGTTGCCTTAACTGAAGTCACGCGTAACCCACATTCAGTGACTGATTGATGCAAGGGTATAAAATCCTGGCCCTCTTATTCTAACTTTGATCAACCTTAAAGAGTCATCCTATCCTTAGATTTCCCTTTAGGGTCAGTTGAGGCTTTAGTTGAGGCTACATTATGGCTCGATCTCTCCCTCTGTTCAATCTTACTTCTTTCCTCTCTTTTCCATAGGTGGTTAATTCCAAGAGCACACCTTTAAAAATTTCCTTGGGTTACTTATCTGTCTCATAGTCTGCTTCCCAAGAATGTCAACCTGTGAGAGGAAGTTAAAGTAACTACAAATCAAGACATATAAAATAATATGCACTTCCATTTAAAAAGAAACTGCAGCAGAAAAAAAGCTAATACACTAAAACCTTTTTTATCAATTATCTCATGTAGTTTCTACAACCGTGTGAGATGATAAGAAAAATATATGTAAGTTTTATAGAAATTTTGAAGTTTAAGAAGTGAATTTGATGTTCAAATTACATGATTTATCACAGAGATGATCTGGGGTAAAAAAGCTGATGAGGAGCTGTTCTAGTCCAACACCACACTTAATGAGAAAAAGTTGAAAGCATTGCCTCTAAGAATTGGAACAAGACAAGGATGTCCACCTTCATCACTCTTATTCAATACATTGGAAGTCCTCATTGGAGCAATCAGGAAAGAGAAAAAGAATAAAAGGCACCCAATAGGAAAATAGGAAGTCAAATTATCCCTATTATCTGAGGATATGATCCTATATCTAGAAAACCCTAACCACTCCACCAAAAAGCTCTTAAATTTGATAAATGAATTCAGTAGTTTCAGGATGCAAAATTAACATACAGAAATCAATAGCTTTTCTGTACACCAATAAGGATCAAGCAGAGGACCAAATCAAGAAGGCAATCTCATTTAAAATAGATACAAAAAATGAAATACTAAGGAATGTATTTAACCAAGGAGGTGAAAGATGTCGATAAGGAGAACTACAAAACACTGATGAAAGAAATCATATATGACACAAGTAAATGGAAAAATATGCTTATAGACTGGGAGAATCAATATCATGAAAATGACCATAGTGCCCAGAGCAATTTATGGATTCAACACAATTCCTATCAAATTACCAATGTCACTTTTCATAGAGTTAAGAAAACTAATTTGAACATTCATATGGAATCAAAAAAGAGCCCAATAGACAAAGAAAACCTCAGCAGAAGGAACAAAGCTGGAATCATGGCATTACCTGACTTCGAACTATACCATAAGTCTACAGTAGCCAATATGGCATAGTACTGATACAAAAACAGACACATAGCCCAGTGGAACAGAACAGAGAACACAGAAATAAAGCAACATACCTACAACCAACTCATCTTTGACAAAGTACGCAAAAATATAAACTGAGAAAAAGGCACACTATTAAATAAGTGGTGCTGGGAAAACTGGCTAGCCATACACAGAAGAATGAAACGCGACACCTACCTCTCACCATATAAAAAAATCAGTTCAAGATGGATCAAAGACCTAAACATAAGACCTGAAACTATAAAATCTTAGAAGAAAACCTAGGAAACTCTCTTCTGGACATTGGATTAAGCAAACAATTTATGACCAAGTCCTCAACAGCAAATGCAACAAATACAAAAATAGACAAATGAGACAATTAAACTAAAAAGCTTCAGCACAACAAAAGAAACAATCAACAGAGCAAACACACAACTCACAGAATGGGAAGAATATTTGCAAACTATGTATCAGACAAAGGGCTAATATCCAGAATCTAGAAGGAACTCAGCTCAGCAAGAGAAAACAAATAATCCCGTTAAAAACTGGGGAAAGACACGAGCAGATATTTTTCCAAAGAAGATATACAAGCAGCCAACAAACATATGAAAAAATGCTCAACATCACTAATCATCAGATAAATGCAAATTATAACCACAATGAGATACAATCTCACAGCAGTCAGAATGACTATTATTAAAAAGTGAAAAAGCAACAGATGTTGGTGAGGTTGTGGAGAAAAGGGAACTCTTACACACTGTTGGTGAGAATGTAGATTAGTTTGACCCCTATGGAAAACTATGGATAATTCCAAAATAACTAAAAATAGAACTACTATTTTATCCAGCAATCCCACTCCTGTATATTCACCCCCCCCAAAAGAAAACATTATATTAAAAAAGACATTTGCATTCATATGTTTATCACAGCACTGTTCACAATAGTAAAGATTGGAATCAACCTGTGTCCATTGATGGAGGATTGGATAAACAAAATGTGGCATACATATATACCATGGAATACTACTCAGCCTTAACAAGGAATGCAATCATGTCTCTTGCAGCAACATGTATGAAACTGAAGGCCATTATTCTAAGTGAAATAACTCAGCAACAGAAACTCAGATACTACATGTTCTCACTTATAAGTGGGAGCTAAACAATGGGTACGAATGGACATATTGAGTGGAATAACAGACATTGGAGACTACAAAACATGGGAGGAGGTGAGGGTTGAAAAATGACCTGTTGGGTACAGTGTTCACCATTTGGACGATGGGTAAACTAAAAGCCCTGACTTCTCCACTAGGAAATATATGCATGTAAGAAATCTGCACTTGTACCTCCTAAATCTATAAAAATTTAAAAATTAAAAATTAAAAAATGAAAAAAAACCAGAAAGACTGCCCTCTAAATTTCTGATAAATTTTACAGAAGATTAACGTGACTTTCAATATTTTATAGATAAAGAAACAGACAGACAAAGAGAGTAAGCAACTTAGATAACTGGTGATGAAAGAGCAAACACCTAGTAAATTGTAGAGATAGAAATTAAATTCAGGATTGCTTGACTTTGATCCAGAGCTGTTTCCACTAGCCCACAATTAGCTGCTCTCTTTTTGAAAAGAAATGCCTTTGAATTTGTTGGCCTTTTAGTTTTATACATTGCTTGATTACAAATTCAATTAGCATTTTCAACGTGTGTAACATATGAGTTTCTCCTGGGATAACATTTCAACATTCATATTCAATACTATGACACAGTTTTGTGTTTGGTAAATTTAAAAGAACATTATTTTCATAAATGCTATAGAAAATAATGCTTGGCACAATTTGCTTGTCTCCTTCCCAGGAGACAAGCATGGAACATGGAAAAAAATACTGCAATGATTGTCTATATATGCATAAAGGGAATGGATATCAGAATTTTCTTTTTCTTTCTTTCTTTTTTTTTTTTTTTTGAGTCAGAGTCTCATTCTGTCACCCAGGCTGGAGTGCAGTGGCGCCATCTTGGCTCACTGCAACCTCTGCCTCCCAGGTTCAAGCAATTCTCCTGTCTCAGCCTCCAGAGTAGCTGCAACTACAGGGGCAGGCCACCACGCTTGGCTAATTTTTGTATTTTTGGTAGAGATGAGGTTTCACCATGTTGGCCAGGCTGGTCTTGAACTCTTGACCTCAGGTGATCCACCTGCCTTGGTCTCCCAAAGTGCTTGGACTACAGGCATGAGCCACAGCACCTAGCCCAGAATTTTCAAGCAAAGTCATGAAACCTTATGTTTATTAAGAGAGCAAATGGCTTTCAAAACATTAAGGGATACTGTTCCATTTTAAATAATCTGGCACATCTTACAAGAAAATTTTAAAAGATAAAATTAAATACTGTGTGGACAATTAGTCAAGGTTATAAAATTGCATCTTGTATAATGTGAATTGCATATCTCCTTTACATTCAGATATTAAATCACTCATTCATCAAATATTCATTTATTTAGGTGTCAGATCCTGGACTAAGTACTGGGGATGCATGAGTCAAGTGATCCATGGTTCATGTCATCAAGTCTTCCTTGCACTATATGACACCAATTGTGCCTTATATATAAAAATGTTTACAATTAACTTTGATTAGTTCAGGGCTATGCTTTTGTCTTCTCTCATATTATTCGTCTTGTAGTACAAAACCTTTAACCATTGCAAGTCTTGGAATTACTGTGCTCCATAATTTCTAGAGACAGGAAAGCAGGATTGATTAAGACCTGAAACTAGAAAACTAGTAGAAGAAAGCATAGGAGAAATGCTTCAGCATATTAGCATAGGCAAATATTTTATGGGTAAGAATTTAAAAGCACAGGCAACAAAAATAAAAATAGAAAAATGATAGTATATCAAAATAAAGAGCTTCTGTTGATTTGTTTAAGTTCCTTATAGATTCTGGGTATTAGTCCTTTGTAGGATGCATAGTGTGCAAATACTTTCCCTCATTCTGTATGTTTTCTGTTTACTCTGTTGATTGTTTCTTTTGCTGTGCAGAAGTTTTTAGCTTAATTAAACCTCTTTTATCCAATTTTTTATTGTTGCATTTGTCTTTAGGTCTTAGTCATAAATTCTTTGTCTATGCCAACGTCCAGAAGAGGTTTTCCTTTAGAATTTTTCTAGTGATTAGGTGCTACATTTAAGTCTTTAATCTACCTTGAGTTGAATGTTGTATATGGTGAGAAGTAGTGGTACAGTTTCATTCTTCTGCATATGGCTTGCCACTTTTCTCAGCACCATTTGTTGAATAGGGTGTCCTTTCCTTATTGTTTACTTTTGTTGACTTTGTTGAAGCTCAGTTGGGTGTAGGTATGTGGATTTATTTCTGGGCTCTCTAATCTGTTCCGTTAATCTATATGTTTATTTTGTACCAGTATCATGCTATTTTGGTTACTGATATAGTTTGGCTCTGTGTCCCCACTCAAATCTCATTTCAAATTGTAATCCCCATGTGTCAAGGGCAAGACCTGGTGGCAGGTGATTGGATCATGGAATCAGTTTCGCTGTTGCTGTTCTTGAGATAGTGAGTGAGTTCTCACCTGATCTGATGGTTTTATAACTGTTTGACAGTTCCTCCTAAACACACATTCTCTCTTGCCTGCCTCCATGTATGACATACTTGCTTTGCGTTCCACCACGATTTTAAGTTTCCTGAGGCATCCCCAGCCATGTGAAACTGTGAGTCAATTAAAGCTCTTTCCTTTATAAATTACCCAGTCTCAGTGGTATTGTTTATAGCAGTGTGAGAACAAACTAATACAGTAAATTGGTACCACAGAGAGTGGGGTACAGCTATGAAGATATTGGAAAATGTGGAAGTGACTTTGGAACTTGGTAACTGGCAGAGGTTGGAACAGATTGGAGGGCTCAGAAAAGGACAGGAAGATGTGGGAAAGTTTGGAGCATCCTAGAGACTTGTTGAATGGATTTGACCAAAATGCTGATAGCGATGTGAATAATAAAGTCTAGGCGGAGGTATTCTCAGATGAAGATGAGGAACTTATTGAGAACTGGGGTAAAGGTCACTCACGCCATGCTTTACCAAAGAGACTGGGGGCATTTTGCCCCTGCCCTAGAGATCTGTGGAACTTAGAACTTGAGAGACATGGTCTGAAATTGGAACTTATATTTAAAATGGAAAAGGAGTATAAAAGTTTGAAAAATTTGCAGCCTGGTGATGCCTTAGAAAAGAAAAACCCATTTGGGGGGAGATATTCAAGCCAGCTGCAGAAATCTGCCCAAGTAATGAAGAGCCAAATGTTAATTTGGCCAAGACAATGGGGAAAATGTCTCCCAGATATGTCAGAGTTTTTGACAGCAGCCCCTCCCATCACAGACCTAGGAGGAAAAAATGGTTTCATGGTCTGGGCCCAGGGCCTTGCTGTTTTGTGCAGTCTCAGGACTTGGTGCTTTGCATCCCAGCCATGGCTAAAAGTGGCCAATATACAGCTCAGGCCATTGCTTCAGAGGGTTCAAGCCCCAAGCCAGTCAAGAATTGAGGTTTGGAAACCTCCACCTAGATTTCAGAGGATGTATGAAATTGCCTGGATCTCCAGAGGGAAGTCTGCTTCAGGGGTGAAGCCCTGATGGAGAACCTCTGCTAGAGTGGTGCAAAGGGGAAATGCGGGGTTGGAGCCCCCACACAGAGTCCCCACTGTGGCACTGCCTAGTGGAGCTGTGAGAAGAGGGCCACTGTCCTCCAGACCCCAGAATGATAGTTCCACCAACAGCTTGCACCATGGACCTGAAAAAGCTGCAGACACTCAATGCCAGCCCACGAAAGTAGCCAGGATGGGGGCTGTACCCTGCAAAGCCATAGGGGCAGAGCTACCCAAGACCATAGGAGCCCACCCCTTTCATCGGAATTACCTGGATGTGAAACATGGAGTCAAAGGTGATTATTTAGGAGCTTTAAGGTTTAATGAGTACCCCACTGGCATTGGATTTTGAACTTGCATGGGGTCTGTAGCCCTTAAGTTTTGGCCAATTTCTTCCCTTTGGAATGGAAGCATTTATCCAATTTCTGTATCCCCATTGTATCTTGAAAGGAACTAACTCTTGTTTTATTATTTTACAGGCTCATAGGCGGAAGAGAGTTGCCTTGTCTCAGATGAACTTTTGGACTGTGGACATTTGAGTTAATGTTGAAATGAGCTAAGATGTTGGGAGACTGTTGAGAAGGCATGGTTCATTTTGAAATGTGAAAAAGATGAGATTTGGGAGGGGCCAGGGGCAGAATGATATGTTTTGCCTCTGTGTTTCCACCAAAATCTCATCTTGAATTGTAATCCCCATAATTCCCACCTGTTGAGGAAGGACCTTGTGGGATGTGATTTGATCATGGAGGCAGTTTTCCCCGTGCTATTCTCGTGATAGTGAGTGAGTCCTAATAAGATCTGATGGTTTTATAAGTGTTTGACAGTTTCTCCTACACATGCATTCCCTCTCTCACCTGCCACCATGTAAGACATGTCTGCTACACCTTCCACCATGATTGTAGTTTCCTGAGGCCTCCCTAGCCATGCAGAACTGTGGGTCAATTAAACTTCTTTCCTTTATAAATTACCCAGTCTTAGTAGTATTCTTTATAGCAGTGGGAGAACAGATTAATATAGTTACTATAGCCTTGTAATATAGTTTGAAGTCTGGCAATGTGATGCCTCCAGCTATTTTTCATTTTGCTTAGGATTACTTTGGTTATTTGGGCTTTTTTGTTCCATATGAATTTCAGAATTGTTTTCTCTAGTTCTGTGAAAAATGATGTTGGTAATTTGACAGAAAATATGTTTAATTTGTAGATTGTTTTGTGAGGTATGGTCATTTTTATTTTAACCCCATTAAAAAGTGATCAAAGAACATGAACAGACATTTCTCAAAGGAAGACATACAAGGAAGGCCAACAAACATATGAAAAAATGCTTAACATTACTAATCATCAGAGAAATGCAAATTGAAAGATACTATCTCACACCAGTCTGAATGGCTATTATTAAAAGGTCAAAAATAATAGATGTTGGCAAAGATGTGGAGAAAAGGAAATGCTTATTCATTTTTGGTGGGTATGTAAATTAATTCAACCCCTATGAAAAACAGTATCTAGATCTCTCAATGAACTAAAAATAGAACTATAATTCATCACAGCAATCCCACTACTGTGTATCTACCCCAAAGAAATCACTTTATCAGAAAGGCATCTGCACTTGTATGTTTATCACAACACTATTCACAATAGCAAAGTCATAGAATCAACCTGTGTCTCTCTAGGGTTGACTAAACAAAGAAAATGTAGCATATATTTACCTTGGAATACTATGCAGCCATAAGAGGAATGAAATTGAGATCATGTCCTTTGCAGCAACATGGATGGAGCTGGAGGCCATTATCCTGGTGAAATAACTCAGAAACAGAAAATCAAATACTTCATGTTCTCACTTAGAATTGGAGCTAAAAATGGGTACACATGGACATAAAGATGGAAATAATAAACACAAGGGCTCCAAAAGGGGAGAAGTTGGGAGTGAGGTGAAGTTGAAAAACTACTTATTGAGTACTATGTTCACTATTTGGGTAATAGCGTTCAGTAGTGTTCAATAGAAGCCCAAATCCTGGCATTACACAATGTAGCCACATAAGAAACTTGCACATGTATCCCCTGAATTTATAATAAAAATAAATTAAAAAAATTTCTGCACAGTAAAGGAAACAATCAACAGCCTGTAGAGACAAGTTGTACAATGGGAGGAAATATTTGCAAACTATTCATCTGACAAGGGACTAATATTCAAAATATACAACAAACTCAACCAACTCAACAGCAAAATCACCCAAATAATTTGATTTAAAATGGGCAGAAGATCTGAATATAAATTTATCAAAAGAATACATATAAATGGCCAATATGTATGTAAAAATGCTCAACATTACTACTCATCAGATAAATACAAATCAAAACCACAATGAGATATTTTGTCATCCCACTTAGAATGGTTATTATCAAAAAGACAAAAAATAACTGGTGAAGATGCAGAGACAAGGTAATCCATACATTGTTAGTGGGAATATAAATTAGTATAGCCACTATGAAAAGCAGTATATAGGTTTCTCTATAAACTGGAAATAGAACTACCATAAGACCCACCAATCCCACTACTGGGTATATATCCATGGGAAAGAAAATCAATATAGGAAGAGATATCTGCACTCCTATATTTATTATAGCCCTAGTCATAACAGCCAAGATATGGAATCAACCTAAATGCCCATCAATAAATGAATAGATAAAGAAAATGTTACACACACACACACACACACACACACACACGCACACACTAATACTATTCAGACATAAAAAGGATTTTATGTTAAGTAAAACAAGCACAGAAAGACAAATTACCACATGTTCTCACCCATATGCAGGATATAAAAAAACTGAGCTCATTGAAGTAGAGTGTAATATTATGGTTATTAGAGGCTGGAAAGCATAGGGGGAAGGGAGGATGGAGGAGATGGTTTAATGGACAAAATTCCTCTTAAATAGGAATAATAAGTTCTAGTGTTTTACAACTGTGTAGGATAAATATAGTTAACAATAATTTATTGTATATTGAACATATACAGGCTAGAAAAGAGGATTTTAGATGGTCCAAACACAAAGAAATTATCAGTTTGAGGTGATGCATACGCTAATTACCCTGATTTGATCATTACACATTTTATACATGTATCAAAATATCATTTTGTACCCCATAAATGTGTACAATTATTATGGGTCAATTGAAAATTAAAAAAAAGAAAAGCATAGTTAACCAAAATACAAGACAAAATTTTAAATTCTTTTTTGTCAGCTAAAAACCCAAGAAAACAATAAAGTCAAACAGCAATGTTCATGGACATCAAGGGGCTGATCTAGAAACAAATTGAAATAAATTACTGAGATTAACTGAAATGGGTAATTACACATCTCTTTTCTGAATTATACATGACCAGTGAAATTACTAGTTTGATATAACATGTTAGAAGGTGCTCCTTTTGCTACCAATTAGACTCTGAGAATTTTCTTGTATCTTTAAACAAAGATAGTTGTGCCTCCTGACACATAGGATTGCAGATAAGGCAGTAATTTAACTACAAAATTGCCTAGCTTCCTGTTTATTTTTGGAGTATTCAGAATACATATAATTAGATTTCTGAGCATAGAATTATGTCCAAGGAAGGATGGTAAAAAGATACCCTTCTGCTTTCAGTACATTTGAAGCAAGTATATACATATCGTCACAGAGTTGTGGAGTAGCTTCAAAACGGAAAATTATCTGACAAAACTGTGATTAGGCAGGTTGACTCCAGCCATGAATCTGCAGCAACTCGACAATCAGGTACAGCAGTCCTAAATTCAACTCGCAATTGTTCTTAGAGAAATTATTCCCTATGTCTCGTCATGAAAATCTTTGATTCATGCTGGCCTTCATGGCCTACTCTTCAATTAGACCATGTTCTAATATTTTTGCCCTCACAGAATATACATTAAGAGGCAATGAAAATTACTGTTATCCTGTTACTTCTTGAGTTTTCCTAACCTACATTCACTGCCTTTACACTCTTTGACCTTTTGCACATCCTTCCCACACATGGTCAGATGCAATGTTACCAAAGAAACAGAGTAACATAACTTCATTGTACACTGGGGTCAAAGTTCTAACTTTGTCAATATTAGCTAGTCAATTTTAATATTAAAATGAAGTTATATCTAATGTTGAATATGAGGAAAGGCATGCTCATTAACTGGCTCTAGAGAGGTATTGGCACTTTGGAAGACTTGGGGTTATATTGAATTTAATGATATTGTAAATGTTTATCATTCATCTAGTTTAAATGCACTTAGATTACATTTTAGGCTTCAATTGTAACTGATTCATACATACATATTTTATACATCTAAAGAGAGAAAGTATCATATACAATCAGTTGTATCATTTTCTGACTTTTTTTCCCTTGGGCTTTTTGTTTTCTGCTTATCTCAAATCAAAATTTTACACACTCCCAAAACTTTATTTTGAAAACACTCCACCCATTTATGAGTACAGTGCTGAATATTATCTTTATTTAAGGGAAGGGAACAGAAATAATCAAGAAACTTGAAAAAAATGGCATATAATGCCAAAGTATCAGTTGAAGAGATGGCAAACATTTGGGTAGGACTCTAGCTAGGATAGTGGCTAAATGCTATAAAATTATTGGAGTTCGAAGTTAGCTAAGGAGTCAAAAGTTCAGGTTTTCTGGCCAAAACACCAATGAGTAAATTTCTGGGTGTTTGGAACAGCCCAAAATGTTCAAAGACCAAAGTATCATATTTATTTGTTCATTTGTTTAATTATTATTTTAAATCTATGCCCTATAGCACACTTATCATGTGCCATGTGCTGTTTTGAGTGCTTTGCAAATATTAACTCGGCTAGTCTTCATACTAATCTTATGAGATAGATATTACTTCTCTAGGCACAGAGGTGGTAAGAAAATTGCTCAATTTCATATGCCTAATAAGTACAGGAGCCTGGATTTAATTTCATGCTAGAATCAGACTTTTCTGAATGTACTTATTTTTATTTTTTCTTTTTAATTTTGGCACATGTAAATGTTTTACATATTTAAACTTTAAAAATATGTATATATTTTCTACTTTTGTTTATTGAAGTAGTCTAAAACAATATAAAAATGTGGTCTAGAGGGAGACCTCAAAATATGATTTTCTTGGAGAAATAAGGACAGGAAATGTGTAAGAAGAGCCTGGGAAACTTTGTCATACCCCACAATTGGGGTGAGATGATATCTCATTGTAGTTTTCATTTGCATTTCCTTGCTGATCAATGATTTTGAGCACAGTTTTAAACACCTGTTGGCCATTTATATGTCTTCTTTAGAGGAATGTCAGTTCAATCTTTTTTTTTTTTTTTTTTTTTTTTGAGGCGGAGTGTCGTTCTGTCACCAAGCTGGAGTGCAGTCGCGATCTTGGCTCACTGCAACCTCTGATTCCCAGGTTCAAGCGATTCTCCTGCCTCAGCCTCCCGAGTAGCTGGGATTACAGGCGCCCACTACCACACCTGTCTAATTTCTGTATTTTTAGTAGAGACGGGGTTTCACCGTGTTGGCCAGGATGGTCTGAATCTCCTGACTTCGTGATCCGCCTGCCTCGGCCTCCCAAAGTGCTGGGAGTACAGGTGTGAGCCACCGTGCCTGGCCGTCAGTTCAAATCTTTAATCCATTTCTGAATCAGATTATTAGATGTTTTTCTACAGAGTGGTTTGTGCTCCTTGTATATTCTGGTTATTAATCCCTAGTCCGATGAATAGTTTACAGTTTATTTAAACAGATCCTATCTGTTGTCAGTAAATAATGAAGTATTTATAAATAAAGTGATGAGTCAAGCATTTGCTTTAAACACTTCAGAAATAAACAATCAAGCAAAAGAATAAGTGAATAAATAAATAGTAAAATTAAGTAAAAGTGGAAGAATGTAGAAGAAACAAAATGGACAAAATGTTGATAATTGTTAAACTGGGAAATGTACCTCAGGTTTTATTTTGCTCTTTCATTCACTTTCGTCTATTTGGAAATTCCCATGATAAAAATAATCTTCTAAATGTGCTATAAGAGTCAGCACTTGTTGATTTGCCACCCATAGGAATTTTATGCTAGAAAGCAAACATAAAGACTATTCCATTTTATCCTAATCCCACCCTCCATCTGGGCTCCCTTTCTGAAGAAGTGTGAAATCACAGATAATGAGGGGTAACGAGGAATGAGAAAACAAGAGAGACAAGACACAAACTCTTCTTCCATGGTGGGCTTCTAAACCTGAAAGATCAAGCTAGGGGAAGGAGAAATTTTTAATGTAGATGAAATGTGAAGTTCTGCTAACTCTTAACTAGAAAATTTAATTACTGAAATGAGACTTCCTGTTTGGAATGAAAGTGTCTGGAAAGGCTGTGGAATCTGCCCAACATTTCATTCATGAGTGTCTCAGGTAAGGTTCTCTGCAAAGCAGACTCTTTAGATTTATTGTAAAGTTCTCTTGGGCACAACATCTCCGAGGGGTGAGGAACAATAGAACAGTAGGTAGAGGAAGGACTCAAGTTGTAACGCAAGAGTAAGAAAGACTTTAGCTATTCTGACATAAATTTATGAAACTTGGATGGCCCTTGGAAATTGTCCCAAATTGAGACAAGGCAGCTAAGCCTTTGTAACCAAAGCATCACTGACCACTGGACTCAGCTGACCTTGGGAAATGAGTGTGGTTTTGTTCAAGGCAATTCCTTCATTGGTACTTATCTATGAGCCACCAACAGCCTACACTCCTGTCATCTAAAGGGATGAGTACCACCATCCAGAAGGGAGATTTGGAGAGTACATCACAACATTCCCCTCAAGGAGTCACGGGAAAAACAAGAACAAAACTACTTTTTGAAAGATTACAGAATTCAGCTTATTTAAGATAATGACTGCGTGAATGTACATACATACAATATATATTCATGCATATATTGCTACCTGAGTAGTGAGTATATAAAATAACCTAACCTGACTAAGCTTGGTTGGAATCCTGACTCCGTTTTAATTAGTTATGTGAGATTTTCAGTTTCCCATCCAGAAAATTGGAAAGGCACACAGTGGTTTTCCACAAAAGTAGTTTTCAAGCTTCAGGGTGCATCAAATTTATCAGCAAAGCTTGTCAAAACACAGATGTCTTATTTAGCATTTCTGGAGGTGGAGCCTGGAAGTCTGCATTTTTATCATGTATCTCAAGGAGATTTTGATTATATATATATATAAATATAAATATATATATAAATATATATAAATATATATAAATATAAATATATATATAAATATATATAAATATAAATATATATATAAATATATATAAATATAAATATATATATAAATATATATAAATATAAATATATATATAAATATATATAAATATAAATATATATATAAATATATATAAATATAAATATATATATAAATATATATAAATATAAATATATATATAAATATATATAAATATAAATATATATATAAATATATATAAATATAAATATATATATAAATATATATAAATATAAATATATATATAAATATAAATATATATATAAATATATATAAATATAAATATATATATATAAATATATATAAATATAAATATATATATAAATATATATTTCAGTTATATATTTCTGTTACTAATTTGGACCAATATTTAATATTCAGTGTTCTGGAAAACACTTTGTAAGTGGTTAACAGAATGTCATAGAACATACCTCTTCCATTTCCAATACATATTTAAACGTGTGTTTTTTTCTGTCAGTGGTGAAGATAATAAATTAGTCACCATAACATCTGACATAGCAGAATTAACTAAAATCATTTCCATAAGAGCATCAACATACTGAAATTAAAACCCTCATGATACAATAATAATTGTGATATTAGAGACAAAAACTCTTGAAGAGTATGTACATAACAGAAGATATACTTGAATTAAAAACAAATTATACATAATAAAAATAATACTGTTTCTAAAGATAAGAAAAAACGGATAACAAAGGAACATTTCTGGAAACTCTTTGCTGGATATGGGAAAATACTGAGACTGGGAAGAACAGAGTAAAAATATTAAAAGTCAAACTAGTGTCCAAAATATCAGGTTGACTTGTCACTCTTATGGGGGAAAAAATCTTACAATAAACCATAAAATCTCAACTGAAAAATGGGTAGCATATGTTTTCTATCTTAAAGTTATGGATGATTGTTCTAAAATAGAAAGTATGTAGCACTGAAACTGATTATGTGCATACACAAATTGCGCCAATAAGATATAATATTGCTATTTTTAAAGTGACCGATTTTTTTTTTCTTTTTTAAATTATTTATTTATTTATTTTTATTTTTTTATTATTATTAAACTTTAAGTTTTAGGGTACATGTGCACAACGTGCAGGTTAGTTACATATGTATACATGTGCCATGCTGGTGCGCTACACCCACTAACTCGTCATCTAGCATTAGGTATATCTCCCAATGCTATCCCTCCCCCCTCCCCCCACCCCACAACAGTCCCCAGAGTGTGATGTTCCCCTTCCTGTGTCCATGTGTTCTCATTGTTCAATTCCCACCTGTGAGTGAGAATATGTGGTGTTTGGTTTTTTGTTCTTGCAATAGTTTACTGAGAATGATAATTTCCAATTTCATCCATGTCCCTACAAAGGACATGAACTCATCATTTTTTATGGCTGCATAGTATTCCATGGTGTATATGTGCCACATTTTCTTAATGCAGTCTATCATTGTTGGACATTTGGGTTGGTTCCAAGTCTTTGCTATTGTGAATAATGCCACAGTAAACATACGTGTGCATGTGTCTTTATAGCAGCATGATTTATAGTCCTTTAGGTATATACCCAGTAATGGGATGGCTGGGTCAAATGGTATTTCTAGTTCTAGATCCCTGAGGAATCGCCACACTGACTTCCACAACGGTTGAAATAGTTTACAGTCCCACCAACAGTGTAAAAGTCTTCCTATTTCTCCCCATCCTCTCCAGCACCTGTTGTTTCCTGACTTTTTAATGATTGCCATTCTAACTGGTGTGAGATGGTATCTCATTGTGCTTTTGATTTGCATTTCTCTGATGGTGAGCATTTTTTCATGTGTTTTTTGGCTGCATAAATGTCTTGTTTTGAGAAGTGTCTGTTCATGTCCTTTGCCCACTTTTTGATGCGGTTGTTTCTTTTTTTCTTGTAAATTTGTTTGAGTTCATTGTAGATTCTGGATATTAGCCCTTTGTCAGATGAGTAGGTTGCAAAAATTTTCTCCCATTTTGTAGGTTGCCTGTTCACTCTGATGGTAGTTTCTTTTGCTGTGCAGAAGCTCTTTAGTTTAATTGGATCCCATTTGTCAATTTTGTCTTTTGTTGCCATTGCTTTTGGTGTTTTAGACATGAAGTCCTTGCCCATGCCTATGTCCTGAATGGTAATGCCTAGGTTTTCTTCTAGGGTTTTTATGGTTTTAGGTCTAACGTTTAAGTCTTTAATCCATCTTGAATTGATTTTTGTATAAGTTGTAAGGAAGGGATCCAGTTTCAGCTTTCTACATATGGCTAGCCAGTTTTCCCAGCATCATTTATTAAATAGGGAATCCTTTCCCCATTGCTTGTTTTTCTCAGGTTTGTCAAAGATCAGATAGTTGTAGATATGCGGCGTTATTTCTGAGGGCTCTGTTCTGTTCCATTGATCTATATCTCTGTTTTGGTACCAGTACCATGCTGTTTTGGTTACTGTAGCTTTGTAGAATAGTTTGAAGTCAGGTAGTGTGATGCCTCCAGCTTTGTTCTTTTGGCTTAGGATTGACTTGGCAATGCGGGCTCTTTTTTGGTTCCATATGAACTTTAAAGTAGTTTTTTCCAATTCTGTGAAGAAAGTCATTGGTAGCTTGATGGGGATGGCATTGAATCTGTAAATTACCTTGGGCAGTATGGCCATTTTCACGATATTGATTCTTCCTACCCATGAGCATGGAATGTTCTTCCATTTGTTTGTATCCTCTTTTATTTCCTTGAGCAGTGGTTTGTCGTTCTCCTTGAAGAGGTCCTTCACATCCCTTGTAAGTTGGATTCCTAGGTATTTTATTATCTTTGAAGCAATTGTGAATGGGAGTTCACTCATGATTTGGCTCTCTGTTTGTCTGTTATTGGTGTATAAGAATGCTTGTGATTTCTGTACATTGATTTTGTATCCTGAGACTTTGCTGAAGTTGCTTATCAGCTTAAGGAGATTTTGGGCTGAGACAATGGGGTTTTCTAGATATACAATCATGTCGTCTGCAAACAGGGAAAATTTGACTTCCTCTTTTCCTAATTGAATACCCTTTATTTCCTTCTCCTGCCTAATTGCCCTGGCCAGAACTTCCAACACTATGTTGAACAGGAGTGGTGAGAGAGGGCACCCCTGTCTTCTGCCAGTTTTCAAAGGGAATGCTTCCAGTTTTTGCCCATTCAGTATGATATTGGCTGTGGGTTTGTCATAGATAGCTCTTATTATTTTGAAATACGTCCCATCAATACCTAATTTATTGAGAGTTTTTAGCATGAAGGGTTGTTGAATTTTGTCAAAGGCTTTTTCTGCATCTATTGAGATAATCATGTGGTTTTTGTCTTTGGCTCTGTTTATATGCTGGATTACATTTATTGATTTGCATATATTGAACCAGCCTTGCATCCCAGGGATGAAGCCCACTTGATCATGGTGGATAAGCTTTTGGATGTGCTGCTGGATTCGGTTTGCCAGTATTTTATTGAGGATTTTTGCATCAATGTTCATCACGGATATTGGTCTAAAATTCTCTTTTTTGGTTGTGTCTCTGCCCGGCTTTGGTATCAGAATGATGCTGGCCTCATAAAATGAGTTAGGGAGGATTCCCTCTTTCTCTATTGATTGGAATAGTTTCAGAAGGAATGGTACCACTTCCTCCTTGTACCTCTGATAGAATTCGGCTGTGAATCCATCTGGTCCTGGACTCTTTTTGGTTGGTAAACTATTGATTATTGCCACAATTTCAGCTCCTGTTATTGGTCTATTCAGAGATTCAACTTCTTCCTGGTTTAGTCTTGGGAGAGTGTATGTGTCGAGGAATTT
This sequence comes from Homo sapiens, assembly GCF_000001405.40. Taxonomy (NCBI): domain Eukaryota; kingdom Metazoa; phylum Chordata; class Mammalia; order Primates; family Hominidae; genus Homo; species Homo sapiens. The sequence continues at coordinate 125,611,702 of NC_000023.11, forward strand.
ATCCATTTCTTCTAGATTTTCTAGTTTATTTGCGTAGAGGTGTTTGTAGTATTCTCTGATGGTAGTTTGTATTTCTGTGGGATCGGTGGTGATATCCCCTTTATCATTTTTTATTGTGTCTATTTGATTCTTCTCTCTTTTTTTCTTTATTAGTCTTGCTAGCGGTCTATCAATTTTGTTGATCCTTTCAAAAAACCAGCTCCTGGATTCATTAATTTTTTGAAGGGTTTTTTGTGTCTCTATTTCCCTCAGTTCTGCTCTGATTTTAGTTATTTCTTGCCTTCTGCTAGCTTTTGAATGTGTTTGCTCTTGCTTTTCTAGTTCTTTTAATTGTGATGTTAGGGTGTCAATTTTGGATCTTTCCTGCTTTCTCTTGTGGGCATTTAGTGCTATAAATTTCCCTCTACACACTGCTTTGAATGCGTCCCAGAGATTCTGGTATGTTGTGTCTTTGTTCTCATTGGTTTCAAAGAACATCTTTATTTCTGCCTTCATTTCGTTATGTATCCAGTAGTCATTCAGGAGCAGGTTGTTCAGTTTCCATGTAGTTGAGCGGTTTTGAGTGAGATTCTTCATCCTGAGTTCTAGTTTGATTGCACTGTGGTCTGAGAGATAGTTTGTTATAATCTCTGTTCTTTTACATTTGCTGAGGAGAGCTTTACTTCCAAGTATGTGGTCAATTTTGGAATAGGTGTGGTGTGGTGCTGAAAAAAATGTACATTCTGTTGATTTGGGGTGGAGAGTTCTGTAGATGTCTATTAGGTCTGCTTGGTGCAGAGCTGAGTTCAATTCCTGGGTATCCTTGTTGACTTTCTGTCTCGTTGATCTGTCTATGTTGACAGTGGGGTGTTAAAGTCTCCCATTATTAATGTGTGGGAGTCTAAGTCTCTTTGTAGGTCACTCAGGACTTGCTTTATGAATCTGGGTGCTCCTGTATTGGGTGCATATATATTTAGGATAGTTAGCTCTTCTTGTTGAATTGATCCCTTTACCATTATGTAATGGCCTTCTTTGTCTCTTTTGATCTTTGTTGGTTTAAAGTCTGTTTTATCAGAGACTAGGATTGCAACCCCTGCCTTTTTTTGTTTTCCATTTGCTTGGTAGATCTTCCTCCATCCTTTTATTTTGAGCCTATGTGTGTCTCTGCACGTAAGATGGGTTTCCTGAATACAGCACACTCATGGGTCTTGACTCTTTATCCAATTTGCCAGTCTGTGTCTTTCAATTGGAGCATTTAGTCCATTTACATTTAAAGTTAATATTGTTATGTGTGAATTTGATCCTGTCATTATGATGTTCGCTGGTGATTTTGCTCGTTAGTTGATGCAGTTTCTTCCTAGTCTTGATGGTCTTTACATTTTGGCATGATTTTGCAGCGGCTGGTACTGGTTGTTCCTTTCCATGTTTAGCGCTTCCTTTAGGAGCTCTTTTAGGGCAGGCCTGGTGGTGACAAAATCTCTCAGCATTTGCTTGTCTGTAAAGGATTTTATTTCTCCTTCACTTGTGAAGCTTAGTTTGGCTGGATATGAAATTCTGGGTTGAAAATTCTTTTCTTTAAGAATGTTGAATATTGGCCCCCACTCTCTTCTGGCTTGTAGGGTTTCTGCCGAGAGATCTGCTGTTAGTCTGATGGGCTTCCCTTTGAGGGTAACCCGACCTTTCTCTCTGGCTGCCCTTAACATTTTTTCCTTCATTTCCACTTTGGTGAATCTGACAATTATGTGTCTTGGAGTTGCTCTTCTCGAGGAGTATCTTTGTGGCATTCTCTGTATTTCCTGAATCTGAACATTGGCCTGCCTTGCTAGATTGGGGAAGTTCTCCTGGATAATATCCTGCAGAGTGTTTTCCAACTTGGTTCCATTCTCCCCATCACTTTCAGGTACACCAATCAGACGTAGATTTGGTCTTTTCACATAGTCCCATATTTCTTGGAGGCTTTGCTCATTTCTTTTTATTCTTTGTTCTCTAAACTTCCCTTCTCGCTTCATTTCATTCATTTCATCTTCCATTGCTGATACCCTTTCTTCCAGTTGATCGCATCGGCTCCTGAGGCTTCTGCATTCTTCACGTAGTTCTCCAGCCTTGGTTTTCAGCTCCATCAGCTCCTTTAAGCACTTCTCTGTATTGGTTATTCTAGTTATACATTCTTCTAAATTTTTTTCAAAGCTTTCAACTTCTTTGCCTTTGGTTTGAATGTCCTCCCGTAGCTCAGAGTAATTTGATCGTCTGAAGCCTTCTTCTCTCAGCTCGTCAAAGTCATTCTCCATCCAGCTTTGTTCCATTGCTGGTGAGGAGCTGCATTCCTTTGGAGGAGGAGGGGCGCTCTGCGTTTGGGAGTTTCCAGTTTTTGTGTTCTGTTTTTTCCCCATCTTTGTGGTTTTATCTACTTTTGGTCTTTGATGATGGTGATGTACAGATGGGTTTTTGGTGTGGATGTCCTTTCTGTTTGTTAGTTTTCCTTCTAACAGACAGGACCCTCTGCTGCAGGTCTGTTGGAATACCTGGCCGTGTGAGGTGTCAGTGTGCCCCTGCTGGGGGGTGCCTCCCAGTTAGGCTGCTCGGGGGTCAGGGACCCACTTGAGGAGGCAGTCTGCCCGTTCTCAGATCTCCAGCTGCGTGCTGGGAGAACCACTGCTCTCTTCAAAGCTGTCAGACAGGGGCATTTAAGTCTGCAGAGGTTACTGCTGTCTTTTTGTTTGTCTGTGCCCTGCCCCCAGAGGTGGAGCCTACAGAGGCAGGCAGGCCTCCTTGAGCTGTGGTGGGCTCCACCCAGTTCGAGCTTCCTGGCTGCTTTGTTTACCTAAGCGAGCCTGGGCAATGGCGGGCGCCCCTCCCCCAGCCTCGCTGCCGCCTTGCAGTTTGATCTCAGACTGCTGTGCTAGCAATCAGCGAGACTCCGTGGGCGTAGGACCCTCCGAGCCAGGTGCGGGATATAATCTTGTGGTGCGCCGTTTTTTAAGCCGGTCGGAAAAGCGCAATATTTGGGTGGGAGTGACCCGATTTTCCAGGTGCGTCTGTCACCCCTTTCTTTGACTTGGAAAGGGAACTCCCTGACCCCTTGCGCTTCCGAAGTGAGGCAATGCCTCGCCCTGCTTCGGCTCGCGCAGGGTGCGCGCACCCACTGACCTGTGCCCACTGTCTGGCACTCCCTAGTGAGATGAACCCGGTACCTCAGATGGAAATGCAGAAATCACCCGTCCTCTGCGTCGCTCACGCTGGGAGCTGTGGACCGGAGCTGTTCCTATTTGGCCACCTTGGCTCCTCCCCCATCATGGTAGGAGCATTGTAATTTTACTCTTTTCTTTATTTTGAAACATACAACAAATTATTGTTAACTCTAGTTATCCTGTTGTGAATTCAAATACTAGATCTTACTCTTTCTATCTAACTTTATTTTTGTACCCATTAGCCATCCCCACTTCACTCTTTCCTCTTCACTAACTTTCCCAGCCTTTGGTAACCATCGTTCTACAACCATTATCTGAATGATATAAATAAAACTGGAGGACATTATGGTAAGTCGAGTAAACCAAGCACAGAATGAAAAAAAAGCGCATGTTCTTGCTCATATGTGGAAGCTAATAAAAACAAATTGAGCTCATGGAGACAGAGAGTAGAAGGTTTATTGATTTTTTTTTCAAAGAACCAACTTTTGGTTTTATTGATTTTCTCTATTGTTTTTCTGTTCTCTATTTTCTTTATCTCTGTTATATTATGTATTATTTCTTTCCTTTTGCTAGTTTATCATTTTGTTTATTTTTCTTTTTCTAGTTTGTTAAATCACAAAGTTTGGTTGTTGATTTGAGATCTTTCTTGATTTTTTTTTTGAATGCAAACATGTATATCTTTTAATTTGCCCCTTACCACTGTATTTGCTGCTTCTTATAAGTGTTAGTACGTTGTGTTTTCATTTTTATTCATCTCTAAGTATTTTCTAGTTTCTCTTGTAATTTCTTCTTTAATTCACTGATTGTTTAACAGCATGTTGTTTAATTTCCACACATTTGTGATTTTCATTTTTTATTCTGTTACTGATGTTTAACTTCATCTCGTTGCAGTTGGAAGAGCTATTTTGTTGTTTCATATGTATTTAAAAAATTATCGAGACTTTATTTGTGACCTAACATATGGTGTATTCTCAAAAATGTCCCTGTGCACTTGATAAGAATGTCCTGTTGTTATTATTTTGTGTCCTGTATACCTGTTAGATTTAGCTGGTTTACTGTGTTGGCCAAGCTCTCTATTTTTAGATTTACCTTCTGTCTGTTTGTTCTTATTGACAGTGGGATATTGACCTTTCTGACTATAATTGTAGAAATTATTGACAGTGGGATTTTGACCTTTCTGACTATAACTGTAGAAATGTGTATTTCTCCCTCCAAGTCTGTGAATTTTTGCTTTATATATTTTGATGATCTGTTATTAAGTATGCAAGTGATTATAAGCTTTATATTTTTTGTGTTGAAACTGTTATTAATAGGTGATATCCTTCTTTGTTGCTTATATATATATTTTTTAATTTAAAGCCCATTTTATCTGATATTAGTACAGTCATCCCTGCTCTTTTTTGGTTACTCTTTGCCTGGAATATAATTTTCCATTTTTTTCACTTTCAACCTATTAGTGTCTTTGAATCTAAAGTGAGTTTCTTTGAATCTAAAATGAATTTCTTTTTCATATATATAAATTATGTTTTTATAATCCATTCTGCTAATCTCTGTTTTTATTTTAATGGAAAGTTTTAATCCATTTACATTTAAGTAATTACTAATAAGAAAGAGAGGGACATCCGTCATTTTGCTATTTGTTTCCTATATGCCTCATAGTTTTTCTGTCTCTAATTTCTTGCATTACTATTTCTTGTATAATTTGCTCATTTATTTATTTTGTGGATATTCTATAACTGTTTTCTTAGTAGTTACCATCAGGATTACACTTAATATTCTAAAGTTATAACACTCTAATTTGAATTTATATTAGCTTACTTTCAATAACTTACACAAACTTGGCTTATTTTCAGCACTATCTCAACCTGTTTTAGTTATTCATGGCACAAAATTATACATTTGTGCATCGTGAATTCAAAAACTTAAACCAGTAATTATTTTTAATGCATTGTTCTCTTTTTTTAGCATTAAAAAACAGATTCAGGGCTGGGTGCAGTGGCTCATACCTGTAATCCTAGAACTTTGGGAGGCTGAGGCGGGTGGATCACCTGAGGTCAGGAGTTCGAGACCAGCCTGGCCAACATGGGGAAACCCTGTTTCTACTAAAAATACAAAAAAAGTATCCGGGTGTGGTGGTGGGCGCATGTAGTCCCAGCTACTCGGGAGGCTGAGGCAGCAGAATGGCGTGAACCTGGGAGGCAGAGCTTGCAGTGAGCCAAGATCGTGCCACTGCACTCCAGCCTGGGCAACAGAGCAAGACTCCGTCTCAAAATAAAAAAAAAAAAACAACCAGATTCAGGAGTTACATGTGCTAGATTGTTACATGGGTATATTGTGAAAATAGTGAAAAAAAAAGAAAGAAATATAATTGAATCTCTAAATTGCTTTGGACAGTGTGGCCATTTTGACAATATTAATTTTCCCTCTCCATGAGCATAAAATGTATTTTTATTTGTTTGTGTCATCTCTGATTTCTTTACGCAGTGTTTTGTCATTCTCATTGTAGAGATTTTCCACCTCCTTGGTTAGCTGTATTCCTAGGGGTTTTATTCTTTTTGTGGCTATTGTGAATTGGATTGTGTTCTTGATTTGGCTCTTAGTTTGGCTGTTGTTGGTGTATAGGAATGGTACTGATTTTTGTACGTTGATTTTGTATCCTGAAACTTTAAATACAAAGTTGTATATCAGATCATGAAACCTTTGGGCAGAGAGTAGAGGGTTTTCCAAGTATAGAATCATATTGTCTGCCAAGAGGGATAGTTTGACTTCCTGTCTGCCTATTTGGATGCCTTTTATTTATTTCTCTTGACTGATTGTTCTGGCCACGATTTCCTTCCAGGGCTTCACTTTTATGTTGAATGAAAGTTGTGTGAGAGAGCATCCTTGTCTTGTTCCTGTTGTCAAGGGGAATGCTTCCAGCTTTTGCCTATTCAGTATTATTTTCGCTATGTATTTTTCATAGATGGCTTTTATTATTTTGAAGTATGTCCCTTCAATGCCTAGTTTGTTGAGAATTTTTAACATGAAGTTATATTGAATTTTATCAAAATACTTTTCTGCCTCTATCGAGATGATCATGTAGTTTGTGTTTTTAGTTCTGTTTATGTGATGAATCACATTTGTTGATTTGTGTATGTTGAATTAATTTTGCATCCCAGGGATAAAGCCTACTTGATTGTGGTGGATTATGTTTTTGATGTGCTGCTGGATTTTGTTTGCTTGTATTTTGTTGAGTATTTTTGGCATTTATATTCATCAAGAATATCGGCCTAAAGTTTTCTTTTTTGTTGGGTCTCTGCCAGGTTTTGATATCAGAAGGATTCTGGTCTCATTGAATGAGTTAGAAAGTAGTCTCTCCTCCTCAATTGTTTGCAATAGTTTCAAGAGAAATTGTACCAGCTTCTTTTTATATGTTTGGTAGAACTCAGCTGTCAATCTGTGTGGTCCTGGGATTTTTCTAGTTGGCTTTGGATTAATTATTTGATTTCAGAAATTGTTATTAGTCTGTTTGGGGATTCAATCTCTTTCTGGTTCAATCTTGGGAGGTTGTATGTTTCCAGGAATGTATCAATTTCTTCTAGGTTTTCTAGTTTGTGTTCATAGAGGTGTTCATAGTAGACCCTGAGGATTTTTGTATTTCTGTGGGGTCAGTGGTGATATCCCCTCTGTCATTTCTGATTGTGTTTATTTGGATCTTCTCTCTTTTTTACTTTATTAGTCTAGATAATGATCTATCTATTTCATTAATTCTTTCAAATAACCAGCTCCTGGTTTCATTGATCTTCATATGGTTTCTTGGATCTCAGTTTCCTTCAGTTCAGCTCTGATTTTGATTATTTCTTGTCTTCTGCTAGCTTTGGAGTTAGTTTGCTCTTGCTTCTGTATTTCCTCTAGATGTTATGTTAGGTTGTCAATTTGGGATCTTTCCAACTTTTTGATATATGAATTTGTGCTATAAACTTCCCTCTTAACATGTCTTTGGTTATGTCCCAGAGACTGTGAGATGTTGTATCTTTGTTGTCACTAGTTTCAAATAATTCATTGATTTTTGCCTTAATTTCAATATTTAACTAGATGTCATTCAGGAGCATGTTGTTTAATATTCATTTAATCATATGGTTTTGAGTGATTTTCTTAACAGAGATTTCAATTTTTATTCTATTGTGGTCCAAAGATGTGGTAGCTATAATTATATATTTTTTATATTTGCTGAGGGTTGTTTTACGACCAATTATATAGTCACTTTTAGAGTATGTGTCATGTGCAGATGAGAAGAATGAATGTTCTGTTGTTTTGGGGTGGAGGTTCTATAGATGTCTATTAGGTCCATTTCATCAAGTGTCGAGTTAAAGTCCTGAATATGTTATTTTAGTTTTTTGCCTCAATGATCTGTCTAATACTGTCACTGGGGTGTTAAAATCTCCTATTATTATTGTGCAGTTATCTAAATTTCTAGGTCTCTAAGAACTTGCTTTATGTATTGGGGTGCTTCTGTGTTGGGTGTGTATATACTTAGAATAGTTAGTTCTTCTTTGCGAATTGAGCCCTTTATCATTATGTAATGCTTTTCTTTGTCTTTTATGATCTTTGCTAGTTTAAAGTCTGTTTTCTCTGACATTAGAATTGCAACCCTTGCTGTTTTCTGTATTCTATTTGCTTGGTAGATTTCTCTCCATCTCTTTACATTGAGTCTATGTGTGTCATTGCATGTGAGATGGGTTTCTTGAAGATAACATATCATGGGGTTTGCTTCTTTATGCAGCTTGCCACTATATGCCTTTTAATTGGGGTATTTAGCCCATTTATATTCAAGGTTAGTATTCATATTTGTGTATTTGATCCTGTTATCATGATGTCAGCTGGTTACTATGCAGACTTGCTTATGTGGTTGCTTTATAGTGTCACTGATCTGTGTACTTACATGTGTTTTTGTAATGGCTGGTCATTAATGGTCTTTCTTTTCCATAATTAGCACTCCCTTCAGGGCCTCTTGTGAGGCAGGTCTGAGGTCCCATGGTGATGAATTCTTTTAGCATTCGTTTGTCTGAAAAGGATCTTATATTTCCTTTGCTTATAATGCTTAGTTTAGCCAGATATGAAATTCTTGGTTGAAAATTCTTTACTTTAACAATGCTGAATATAGGTCCCAAATCTCTTCTGGCTTGTAGGGTTTCTGCTGAAAGATCCACTGTTAGCCTAATGGGTTCCCCCTTGTAGGTGACCTGTCCCTTTTCTTTAGCTGCCTTTAAAATTTTTTCTTTCATTTCAACCTTGGAGAATCTAATGACTATGTGTTTTGGGAATTGTCTCCTTGTGTGGTATTTTTCAGGGGTACTCTACATTTCCTTAATTTGAATGGTGGCTTCGCTAGTGAGGTTGGGTAAATTTTTATGGACAATATCATGAAATATTTTTTCCAAGTTGCTTGATTTCTCTCCTTGTCTCTCAGGCACATCAATAAGTCATAGATTTGGTCTCTTTACATAATCCTATATATTTGGAGGTGTTGTTTATTCTTCTTTACAGTTTTTTATTTATTTTTCTCTGACTGAGTTATTTTAGAAAGCCAGTGTTCAAGCTCTGAGGTTCTTCCCTCAGATGGTCATTTGTGCTGCTCATACTTGCTATTGCATTATGAAATACTTGTAGAGTGTTTATCAGCTCTATCAGATAAGTTTTTTTTCTTATAATGGCCATTTGTCTATCCTCTCCTATTTGATTTTATTGGTAAGCCTTAGATTAGTCTTTTCTTATTATTTTTTATTTCTTTGTTTTTTACTGTAACTACTATTTCTTAGGTAATCCTTAGATTATTTGTATTGGGTTTCAACTATCTCCTGTATGTGAATGAACTTCATTCCTATCTGTATTCTGAATTCTATTTCTGTCACTTCATCCATCTCAGCCTGGTTAGAAACCATTGTTGGGAATTAGTACAGTTGTTTGGAGGTAAGAAGACACTGGCTTTTTGGGTTGCCAGAGTTCTTGCACTGGTTCTTTGTCATCGTTGTGGGCTGATATTCCTTTAATTACTGAAATTGCTGACGTTTGGAGTTTTAAAAATCCTCTTTGATGTCTTTGGGGTGTTAATGTGGTATGATGTGGGTTCAGTCAACTGGATTCACTTCTGGAGGATTTTAGGGGCCAAGGCTCAGCTAAGGATTCCTGGATTGTGTACTATTAATCTAGGGGACTGATATCAAGCCCTTGGCTTTGTTCTTTGGCCCCTGAAGGTTAGGAACCTACCATGCTGGAGGGGTTGAATTGTTCCTGTACTGCTGGTCACAACATTCCAATAGGTGGTGTCAGCTACAGTGCTTAGTAGGATGGTGGCCCTGGGATTCATAGATTCATCCTCATTTCCACATGATGGCAGCAGTGGCAGCATGATAGGGTGTGCAGTCATCAGTTACAGCAAGGTGCTGGCAGGTGCAGGCCTGCTGGCCTCTTTGCAGGCATTTGCATGGTGGTGGTGGCAGCATGGTATGGGGGGTAAGGGGCTCTGCCAGTATCCATGTGCATTTGTGCCAGTGGTGGTGTTAGCATGGTGACGGGGTGCGAGTGTGCGCAGACTGTGTGCATCCTTTGTGTGCATGTTCACATGGGCAGAAGCCGCCACTGGGGTGTAGGTGGGTCCACTTGTGTAGTTTTGGGCTGGCGGCAGTGTCAATGTTGGGGCAATGAGCTAGTGGACATGGGACTGATGGTGTTCATGCCTTTGAATGCTCTGACATCAATGGAACCAGAGGGGGGGATGATGGGGCAGTGTGCACTCATGTGGGGAGCTGTGAGGGCATGGGAGGTGCACACGCACATGTGCATTGTCAGGGAATAGGAGCCAAGTCCACCCGCAACCACACGTGAAGACAAAGTGATGTGGGGGTTGGTCATGGGTGAATGTGTGCAGACAAAGCAGCTCCAGGGAGGCTGCTGTGGGTGGAGGGCAAGAGTGGGCTGGTGCATATCCATGGGGGTGCTCAAGTATGATCTGTCAGTGCAGGAGCTATGATGTACCCTGCCTGGGCATCGAAGGGTACACTACAAGCAGGCACAGCTAGACTGGGGCCTTGGGAGAGGCCAGAAGACCAAGGGTTGCTTAGGTCAGACTGGCCCTCTCTCATGGGAAATACCACCCATCACTGTTCAGGTCCAGCAGTTTCACTAAGGCTAAAGTCTGCTAAGGGAGAAAGGTGAGCCTTGAGGGATAGGCATCCCTGGCTGTGCTCCATTACAGACCCCTCCACACCAAACCCCCTGGGCTTCGCACAGGCTGGAATTCTGCCCCTACCACTTCTCTAAGAAGCTCTCCCTGCCAGCTTGAGTATCCATGGGTGTTGTGGAGTCTACTGCTGGTAGGTTTCCATAGGCTCCTGGAGAGGTGAGTTGCTCTTTGCCTGCTCAACTCACCCATTCCCAAGGAGTCATTTGCATCTAAGAACAAGTCCTGGTGTGTGGTAGCCCCATGCAGGGTTCTCAGTGTCCTCCTCTTTCAGCCCACCATCTGTGTCTTGCCTCTGCCCACTCTCAGTGCCTTCGCTCTGAAGATGTGCTATGAGTGCACCAGTCTTCTCAATGTCCCGGTCCCTTGATGGCAGAAGTCCCTCCCAGCTGTGTCTAGTCAGCTATCTTGTCTCTGTTCTGATTCAATCTTGCTACTCATTATTGGTATGTTTGGTTTTCAATTTCTTCATGGTTCAATCTTGGGAGGTTGTATGTTTCCAGAAATTTACCCAGTTCCTCTAGGTTTTCTACTTTGTGAGCATATAGCTGTTCATAATAGTCTCTGATGATCTTTTGTATTTCTGTGTTCAGTTGCAATGTCTTCCTTTTCATTTCTAATTGAGCTAATTTTGACACATTTTCTATCAGATAAATGACTTTATGTAAACATTTTTAAATCTCTATTATAAAAAGTAGTGGTATAATTAAATGAGAAGGGTTTGCAAGTTGTAGATGTATTTAGACAAGGACATTTATATTAATTTTGATCATTATGTCAGTTAGTCTCCATAAAGGAGGTTGGAAGTGAGAGGCATGTTTCTCTTGTTTTAAGAGGGGTCCTCAAGTATTTCAAAAGTATCTGCTTTTTTCAAGCTATGCTTCCCTTGGATAGTCTGACACATACTTCTCCCCTTGTTACTATGGGAACACTGTTCCAGTTACTGATGGGAATAGATCTATCCCGCATATGTGTTGGAACAGAAAAAAAAAGGCTATGAGTCACTGACCTATGGTGATCACTTTTAAATGTTCTTTGGAAAGAAACAGATCTGTGTTTAAGTGATAACTGTGTTAAATGTTCTTTGGAAAGAAACAGATCTGTGTTTAAGTGATAACTGTGATGCTGTGGAAACTTAACTACATTACCTTCTCCAAAATTTGGTTTTCTTTTCTGTGAATGTAGTTTAATAATACTTACGTAATTTACAAGATTATTGTGATAATTGAACTTTAAGTGAAATATTTTACATATATTAAGTGCTAAATAAATGTAGTTTTTATCAACACCATCACCATCACTCAAGCTGCATTTCCTTATGAATGCTTGTTTAGAGCCCTCCCACCAATGAAGGGATGAAACTACAAATCAAATTGTTACATGGGAATGTTTACTACTAGTACAAATTCATATGGAGGTTTTTGTGTGAATTTAGTTTTTTATTCATTTGGGTGAACACCTAGGGTGATGTTTCTGGGTCTTGTGGTAAGCTCATGTTTAGCCATACAAGAAATTTCTACTAAAAAAATGTTTTGAGATGCATTTAATGCATGATCATTACAGTGGCTCCACATCCTTACATTTGATATTGTCAGATAATTTTTAAGCTATTATGTTATCATATGTGTGTAGTAATATCTCATTGTGGTTTTAATTTATATTTTCCTAATGGCTAATTATGTTAAACATAATTTTATATGTTTATTTTCCATATGCATATCTTATTTTGTAAAGTGTTTTTTTTTTTAATATCCTTTGCCCATTTTTGAAATTAGGATGTTGGGGTTTTTTGTACTATTCGATTTTAAGGATTCTTAATAAATTCTGCATACAAGTTCTTTGTCAGATTTATGACTTGAAAAGCATTTTCTCTTAGTCTGTGGCCTGTCTTTTTATTCTCCTAACATTATATTTTGAAAAGTGTGCATTGCTAATTTTGATAATGTCCAGTGTGTCATTTTTTTCTTTCAATGACTGAGCTATCAACGTTATATCTGATAAATTTTTGCCTAAGCCAAGTTCACAAAGGTTTCTCTTAGTTTTCTTCTAGAATTCTATGTTAAGTGTTTTTAATTAATTGGATTTTTTAAAAAATTGTGTATGTATATATATGCACACACATTATATATATGTGCATATACACACATATATGTATATACAGACACAAACACATATATAATAGGTATGTATGAGATGAATGTGGCCTGTGAGCTGCATTTAATTATCTGTGGTCTAGAGTCTAACCCAAAAACTATCAATAGAAAAAAGAACCCTCCTTATTCTAGAACAATCAAATGGCACCATGAAAGACAAGTAATTTAAAAGTAGCATAAGTTTTATTATTACAATGAACATTAAATATTTAACCACTAAAAGGATAGAATACGTACTTCTGTTTTACCGATTTGGCCATTAGAAAATAAACATTCAAAATCAGTAAATATAAACTAAGCTAATTAAATATCAGAAAGCAAATTTATTTCAAATGCAGCTTTCCACTTCAGTTATTTTTCAATACTGTTCAAGTTTTAGTTTTGAATTAGCATTTTAACATGGATTTTGGTAACTTTCTGTGTATTCTCCAAAAAAATTTAAAAATGCAACACAGCGGCTGGGCGTGGTGGCTCACGCCTGTAATCCCAGCACTTTGGGAGGCCGAGGCAGGCGGATCACGAGGTCAGGAGATAGAGACCATCTTAGCTAACACAGTGAAACCCTGTCTCTACTAAAAATACAAAAAAATTAGACGGGCGTGGTGGCGGGCACCTGTAGTCCCAACTACTTGGAAGACTGAAGCAGGAGAATGGCGGGAACCTGGGAGGCGGAGCTTGCAGTGAGCCAAGATCGCGCCACTGCACTCCAGCCTGGGTGACAGAGCCAGACTCCGTCTCAAAAAAAACAAAATGCAACACAGTGTACCCAATTTACATATGTAGGAATCTTCTTTTATAGAGCATAGATTTAAAAATAATTCACTGACGGTGTCAATCACTACAAAAGTACTGGAAAAATAACGTTTCTGATATTAGTTCTATACCTACATGTTAAACAGGAGAAAAAAGATTGTAACTACAATTAGGCAATAATTCCATTGTTCATGTTCCTTTCTATGGAGTTTATGACTAGCTTGAGGAGTCATGAAAAATGGAGAGTGAATGATGTTTAATGATCCAAGTTATTAAATGCCTAAAAAGGAACCACAATGTCAGGTATGATTGCCTTCATGAATGTCCACTGCTATAAGAATAACACTTGAAGTTTATTTTTTGCATACATTTCCAAATTAATGTACCTTATCCTGTGGGGAAAAAAATAAAAAATTAGTATTTTTGGAGTTCTGATCTGTCTGTTGGCATTTTTGTTCCTCACTTCTAATAAATGAACCAGTTTCACTATAATTAAAGTGTCATTTTAATAATTAATCTTTAGGTGACACAGCAAAATCAGTAATGAATTTGAGCTAGGAGAAACTCTACTTTCAAATATTAGAGGACTAATAATTAATTTTAAATATGTTCTAGAAATCTGAAAGATATATTTCATTTGAGAGGACAAATAATGAGACGTTTAAAGTGTAGACATCACAACATAGAGCGTAATGCATCAGATAGAGGTGGCCATCGAGTCATAATATATCAGTTCTTTTCCTTGTCCAACCTTAAATTTTAAGACAGCCTTTACCCCAGGGGAATGAAAGAAACAGCTCTGCCTCAATTTAGCCTAGATTTGGAAATGTATAAAAAAAGGTAGTCCAGTGTGTTTTGAATGTGACATAATGATAAATATTGTAGTTTATGGTTCCAAGAATGGAAAGCTGTGATCTAAATTAGAATCAATAACCTGCTATATTCATTAGATATCACCACTTATACATGAATATTGAAAAATGGCCATATCAAGCAATGGAGAAAGCACATTATATAAACTGTATGCTTATTGCTTCCTTAAAAATCACATCAACCATTGGTGTTATATTAGTTGGCATGGTATTCATTCATTTTATATAGCGCTCCTCTACTATTATCTTATTTTCTTTTATTATTAAGATTCCATCTGTTTAACTAAAACACCTATAATTTATAATATTTATTTGAAAAATGCAAGATAGATTTGGAGACAGATGGAGACTGTACAAAGAAAACTATAAGGAGAATACATAGTGGATGTGGATGAACTGACAAATAAGGACCATTCAAATTATTCAAATCAAGGCAAAGAATCAAAGGGATGAAAGTTTGAATTCTTCCTTTACTAAAATACCTGTATATAATTTAAACATGTTGGATTAAAAATGTAATCTTCTTCTTATTTTAAAAGTAGAGATTACAAAATAATAACAGACTGAGATAATTTATTTTATTAAGGCATTACCAATACACTAAAGTATTTAGATTTGTTATAAACCAAAATAAAGTTATCTCAGAGGCTAAAATATAAAGTTGTGAAAAGTTAAAACATTTAAATATTTCAGGGGCAATCTAAAAACAATTATGAATGGAAAGAGAGAAAACTTTAACAATTATTGTGTATTGAGCTCTGTTGTTTATTGGCACTCTATTTATTTGCACAACCTTTAATCCTACAGGTTTTATTATTCCATAATTTTTTTTAATATGAAGAAAGTGAGGCTAGAAATGCTAAACAAATTCCTCAAGAGATCCTCTGATGGAAGCATTGAGTTGCAGCCTATATTGTGAGCCAGGTTGAAAACTGCAAAGTCCCCAGAGTGTGAGAGGAGGATAAACTGTCTCCAGGATATATACTCCCACTGGGGAACCTGGAAATCCAGGCCACAGGGGAAGGCCTTAACCCTACCCAGTGCTGTAGCTGATTTAGTGAGTGGTGGGGAGTATATGAGAAGCAGTGTCAGGACGGACTTTACATGCATTCCCAGTCTCCATCAGGGATGGATGAAAGCCATTCCTGATCCTACCTTACAAGGACCTCATGGAAATCAGCGAGCTAACTTAGGTGGTGTTCATAGACAGAGAGAAGCTCCTAACTGAGATTTGTGATACGATCTCAAGTGGGGACAAACCTCCTTGGCCAGAACCAAGGGGAGAGTGGGAAGTATGCTGCAGCCGTGGGCACAGGAGCTGGATGTTCCTGCCTTGCAGACAGACCAGAAGGGTCATGACCTGAAAGCTGTGATGACTGTTTCCTCAGGGAAAGCTTATGGCCTGGTGCAGTTTTGAGTTCTGAGTGCAGACTGTCTGGAACCTAGCGAGCTGCTGCTAGTGGAATACTATGGGGGCAAAACCTGCCTTGCCAAGTGCATGGGAGCTATGTGGGTTTTACCGCCACCTGATGCTCCCCAATACCTGTACAGGCTCTTCTGTGCAGCAGAGGCAGCTTCAATCCTCCCTGGAACATTAGCCCTGTGGCAAGAGAATCACTCTCTCATCCACACCAGGGCTGCTGATTTTGCCCACTTGTGGAGAAAAGGATGGACTTGCCTGACACATCCCCCACCTGGATTTGCCCCTCCACACACAGCGAGTTAGCTCGCTGATTTCTATGAGGTCCCTGTAAGGTAGAATCAGAATGGCTTTCCTCCATCCCTGACAGAATCTGGGAATGCATGTGAAGTCCGTCCTGACACTGCTTCTCATGTACTCCCCACTACTCACGAAATCAGCTTAACACAAGGAAGCTTAACACAAATGACCGAAAATTTCAGAGCTCTATGACCCTCCTCATTGCCTGAATCACCAGAGTACCTCCCCTGGGTAACATAAGGGCAAGCACAAATCGTGCTGCTACCACTGCAGCTGGTGCTCTTTTGCAAGCACCACCTTCT
This sequence comes from Homo sapiens, assembly GCF_000001405.40. NCBI lineage: Eukaryota > Metazoa > Chordata > Mammalia > Primates > Hominidae > Homo > Homo sapiens. The sequence continues at coordinate 125,627,888 of NC_000023.11, forward strand.
GGCTGGAGCCCAACTGACATGGTCCATTATAGCATCTGCAAGCACGATAATAGCATGCAGGAAGGAGACAACTTGTGCATGACCTCAGCTATCACCGTTGCCTGCATCACTCTGGCTGACTATGAGGTCCTGAGTCTGTCCATGTGACCAGTTCATTACTACTACAACTAGCATTTGAGAAAGCCAACACATTAACGCTATTTATAACCAAATAATCCCACAGAATCCACATTGCTCCCCTGCCACCCCCATCAGAGCTGGTGTTGGTACCTGCTCTGAGGACAGATCACATCATTAGATTTCTTGCAAACATTCTCAAGCACCAGCCTGGAGTGAGGCAGCCCCACTGGGTAGCTAGACCCAGAGGAGCTGAAGCACCCATGGTGGTCTGTTGCTTAGGGACTTCTACTCCTAGGGGAAGGGAGAGTGCACCACATCAAGGGATCACCCCATGGGCCAAAAAATTTAGATGGCAGGCCTTGAGTCCCCCAAATTTCTTCTTCTGAGAAATTTTTTTCAGCAGAGGCACAGGTGCAAAGCTGTGCTCAGTAAGGTAAGTATGAAGCATCACCTCAGCAGTCAGGCAGTCTTGGAGCTTGTGAAGGCTCTTGGAGAGAGATTTCCTCTGCCCCTCATCCACCACTACAGACCCAGCTGGGGCTTCTCCCATGAGAGCTGAGCACAGGTGCACCTGGAGGTAGCCCTTCTGGAACACTTCAGGTTACTGCATTCCCACAGGACGAGTGCCCTCTAAGTTCAGGCTTGAAGGAGGAGTAGTCACAATCACTCTCTGCATAAAACATTAGCATTCCTGCAAATGAAAAGAGGTAGGTTGCTAATCTGAACAGCAATTACACTGGGTTAGGAGTGTGACTGGGAGGTGAATTGCTTTTCTGCTGTCCCAGCATGGGAGCTGAGGAGGCTCTCTAATTTTCCCCTGAAAAGATCTCAGTGTGTTTCACTGAAAGCTTCCCCAGCCACCTCTGTCACGGTGGGGACCTCTGCCCACCACTGGGTCCTAAATTTACCCACCTGCTTTAGCCACATCTCGTTTTTACTTATGGACACCTTCCTTACAGGTCTAAAGCCTGAATTGTTCAGCCCAGTAAATAAAATACTGGGAATAAATAAACAAATAAGTAAATAAATAAATAAATAAATTCATCTACTGAAGAATGAGATAAGCTTCAAGAGACCTCTGGCATTCCAACCACACATAAGACAGTGAACTTGCTCACACATCAAGCACGTTACTACTATAACCAACATCTGAGAAAGTCATCATACAAAGACTCTCTACAGCCAAGGAACTCATACAGAGTCCCACCCTTACAAGCACCAAGAGCAAAATTAGGCTACAATAAATGATACAAATTAAAGTCACATCCTTTGTTGGCAGGGGAGGGGGGGCAAATATACATTTAACAAAATTCAAAATAAAAAAATACATTTAAGAATAATTGGAAGAAAGAGTACCTAAATGAGAAGGAGCAAGAAAAATAATTCTGGCAATATGACAAAACAGGATTATATAACACCCCCAAAATATCACAGTAATATGCCTGCAATGGATCTAAAACAAGATGAAACATTTGAAATACCAGATTAAGGTTTCAAAAGGTTGATTATTAAGTTACTCAAGGAAATACAACGGAAAGGTGAAAACCAACATAAAGAAAAAAATTCAGGTTATAAATTTTAAAAAATTCTGAAGAAATAGAAATTTTAAAGAAAAACCAATTAGAACTTCTGGAAATAAAAGACACATTTAGGGAATTACAAAATGCAGTGGAAAGTCTAACAATACACAAGACCAAGTAGAAGAAAGATTTTGGGAGCTCAAAGACAGGCTTTTAAGTTAACCAAATCTGATAAAAATAAAGAAAAAAGAATTATAAGAAATAAATAAACAAAGTCTCCAAAGAATATGAGATTATGTCAAATGGCCAATCCTAAGAATCATTAGTATTCCTGAGAAAGAAGAAGAAGCAAAAAGTTTAGAAAACTAATAATTGAGGAACACTTGCCTGGCCTTGCTAAAGGTTTAGATGTCCAGATACAAGAAGCACAAAGAACCCTGAGGGATTCATTGCAAAAAGGAAACCCCCAAGGCACATGTATCAGGGTATCTAAAGTCAATGTGAAGGAAAAAATTCCAAGAGCAGTGAGATAAAAGTGTCAGGTAACCTATAATTGAAAAGCTGTCAGACTAATAGCAGAGTTCTCAGTAGAAACAATACAAGCCAGATAAAAATGGAGTCCTAGTCTTAGCCTCTTGCAACAGAATAAATTATGGCCAAGAATTTTGTATTCAGCAAAATTGCTTTATAAATGGAGAAAAATAGTTTTTTTAGACAAACAAATGAAATGCTAAGGGAATTTCTCAATACCAGATCATCCCTACAAGAAATGCTAAAAAGGAGTTCTAAAGCTTGAAACAAAAGGTTCATATGCACCAGAATAGAACTACTTTAAAGCATAAAACTCATAGATTTATAAAATAATAACACAATGAAGAAAACAAAATATCTAGGTAACAATCAACATGATGACTGCAACAGTACCTCACATCTCAATACTAACATTGAATGTAAATAGACTTAATGCTCCACTGAAAAGATACAGATTGGTGGAATGGATAAAATATCACAAACCAAATATCTACTGTTTTCAAGAGACTCAACTAATATGTAAGAATACTTATAATCTCAAGATCAAAGGGCATATAAAGATATTTCGTGCAAATGGAAACCAAAGCAAGCAGGAGTAGTTATTCTTATATCAGATAAAACAAACTTTAAAACAACAATAAAAAAAGACAAAGAAGGTCATTATATAATGATCGAAGGTGAATCCAACCAAGAAGACATTAAAATCCTAAATATATATGCAGCTAATTCTAGAGCTCCCAGATTTATAAAACAATACTAACTAGGTTTAAGAAAAGAGATAGACAGCAACACAATAATAGTGGAAAATTTCAACACTCCACTGATTGTATTAGACACATCATGGAGACAGAAAGTCAACAAAGAAACAGTAGATTTAAACTTCTCTCTAAAACAAAAGGACCTAACAGATATTTACAGAACATTCTACCCCAAAACTACAGAATATATATTCTTCTCATTAGCACATGGAACATTCTTTTAGATAGACTAAGTCATAGGCCACAAAATAAATCTGAATAAATTTAAATAAATCAAAATTATTAGGTATCTTCTAGGATCACAGTAGAATAAAACTATAAACCAACTCCAAAAGGAACTACAATAATACATGGAAATTAAACAATTTACTCGTGAATGCTTTTTGCATTAACAATGAAATCAAGATAGAAATTTAAAAAATTTTAAAGTATATGATTATAGTAACACAAGTTAGCAAAACCTATGGGATACAGCAAAAGCAGAGCTAGCAGGAACATTTATGGCACTAAATGCCTACATCAAGAAGTCTGAAAGATCACAAATTGACAACCTTACATAACACCTTAAGGAACTAGAGAAACAAGAACAAAAAAGCCCCAAAGCTAGAAGAAAAAAATAAATAACAAAGAACAGAGCAGAACTCAATGAAATTAAAACAACAAAAAACCAATACAAAAGAACAATGAAACAAAATCTTGGTTCTTTGAAAAGATCAATAAATTCGATAGATTTTTAGTTAGATTAACCAAGTAAAGAAGAGAGAAGATTCCAAGTAGCTCAATTAAAAATGAAAATGGAGACATTACAATCAACACTACAGATATACAAGAGATCATTTGAGACTACTATGAACACCACTATGCCAACAAATTAGAAGATCTAGAGGAACTGGATGAATTTCTAGAAACATACAAACCTCTTAGATTGAATCAGGAAGAAAAATAAATCCTGAACAGATCAAAAACAGGAAGTGAGATTGAATCAGTAACAAAAAAATTGCCAACAAACAAATGTCCCGGACCAGATGAATTCACAGCCAAATTCTACCATACATTCAAAGAATAATTGGTACCACTTCTAGTGAAATTATTAAAAAATATAGAGAAAGAGGAAATCTTCTGTAACTCATTCTATGAAGCCATTATTACTCTGATACCGAAACCAGGAAAGTACATAACAACAATAACAACAACCCTACAGACAGATATCCCTGATTAATATAGATCCAAAAATCCTTAACAAAACCCTAGCCAATCAAATCAATGAGCACATCTAAAAGATAATTTACTGTGATCAAGTTGATTTCCTCCTAGGGATGCAGGGATGGCTCAACATACAGAAGTGAGTAAATGTGACTCATCACATAAAAGGAATTAAAAATAAAAACCATATAATCATCTCAATAGAAGCAGAAAAAGCATTTGATAAAGTGCAGCATCATTTTATGATAAAATTTTCAACAAACTAGGCATGAAAGAAACATATCTAAAATATTAATAATAAAAGCTATCTATGACAAACCCACAGCCAACATCACACTGAATGGGGAAAAGTTGAAAGTATTCCCCCTAAGAACTGGAACAACACAAGGATGCCCACTTTCATCACTTCTATTCAACCCAGCACTGGAAGTCCTAGCCAGTGCAATCAGGCAAGAGAAAGAAATAAAGGACACTCACATTGTAAATGAGGAAGTTAAACTCTCTGTTTGCTAATGATATGATCCTATGACTAGAAAACTCTTAAGTCTCTACCAAAAGACTCCTAGATTTAATAAATGCATTCAGTAAGGTCTCAGGTTATAAATCAATATACACAAATCAGTAGTATTGTTATACACCAACAATGACCAAACTGAGAATCAAATAAAGATCTCAATTCCTTTTACAATAGTTATAAAATAATAAAATATCTAGGAGTATACTTAACAAAGGAGGTGAAAGATCTCTACAAGGAGAACTGCAAAACATTGATGAAAGAAATCATAGATAACACAAATGAATGGAAATACATTCTATGCTCATGAATTGGAAGAATCAATATTATGAAAATGACCATACTGCCCAAAACAATCTACAGATTTTATGCGATTCCATTCAAAGTACCAACATCATTTTTTTTCACAGAATTAGAAAAAAGCAATTCTAAAATTCATATGGAACAAAAAAGAGCTTGAATAGCCAGTGCTATCCTAAGCAAAAATACAAAATTTGGAGGCATCATATTATCTGATTTCGAATTACACTATGAAGCTTCAGTAACTAAAAGAGCATGGTAGTGTGAAAAAAATAGACATATAAATCAATGGAACAAATTAGAGAAACCAGAAATAAATCTACATGCCTACACCCAAATGAACTGCAACAAAGTTGACAAAAATAAACAATGGGAACAGGATACCCTATTCAATAAATCATGCTAGAAAAACTGGAGAGCCAGTAGGAGAATAAAACTGAATTCTTATGTTTTACCATCTAGTAAAATCAACTCAAGATGGATCAAACATTTAAGTCCAATGCCTGAAATCATAAACATTCTAGAGGAAAACCTAGGAAAAACATTTCTGAACATTAGCCTAAGCAAAAAATATATAACTAAGAGCCCAAAATCAAATGCAACAAAAATGAAAATAAATAGGACTTAATTAAACTAAAAGTCTTCTTCACAGCAAATAAATAATTGTCAGAATAAACAGACAACCCACAGAATGAGAGAAAATATTTGCAAACTATGCATCTGACAAGGGAGCAATATCCAGAATCTATAAGGAACCCAAACTAATCAGCAAGAAAAACCCAAATAATTCCATTAAAATGTGGGCAAATGACATAAATAGACACTTCTCAAAAGAAGATATACAAATGACCAACAAACATATGAAAAATGATTAACATCACTCATCATCAGGGAAATGCAAATTAAAACCACAATGAGGTACCACCTTACCCTAACCGGAATGGACATTATTAAAGAGTCGGAAAACAATAGATGTCGGTGTGGATGTGGTAAAAAGGGAATGCTTATCCACTGCTGATGGGAATATAAATTAGTACAACCTCGATGGAGAACAGTAGGGAGATTTCTCAAAAAAACTAAAAGTAGATCTACCATTCAATCTGGTAGTCCTAGTACTGGGTATCTAGTGAAGGGAAAAGAAGTCATTATATCAAAAAGACACCTACACAGGTAAATTTATCACACCATAATTCACAATTACAAAGATATGGAACTAACCTAAGCGCCCATCAACTTATGAGTGGATATAGAAAATGTGGTGTACATACACCATGGAATACTACTGAGCCATGAAAAAAAAGAAATATTGCCTTTTGCAGCCACTTGAATGCTGCTGGAGGCCATTATTCTAAGTGAAGTAAGTCAGAAATACAAACCCAAATATTATATGCTCTCACTTATAAGTGGAAGCTAAGCTATGGATAAACAAATGCATACAGAGTGATATAATAAACATTGTAGACTTAGAAGCAGGAAGGGCTGGAGGGAGTTAAGGGATAAAAAAAATTTGGGAACAATGTACACTACTCGGGTGATGGGTGCACTAAAGTCTTATCTTATGAATACCACTATACAATTTATCCATGTAAGCAAAAACCATTTGTACCCCAAAAGTTTTTGAAATAAAAATTTTAAAAATTGGAGTTGAGATGCTATGGCAGACATATTATTATTAGCAAGAAAAGTCTGTTGATAGGACGGAAGATAATAGGAAAATGGTACACATAAGGTTTCTAAAACCTCAGTAGTTTGAGGTTATTTAATATAAGGGCAAACACCTTTACATATCTCAATCGCTTCTAAATGCCACTTTATTAAAGAAGAACATGAAACTGATACTTATATTGATGTCTCTGAGTCATTAAGAAAGAGTAAAGACAATAAAAACTAATGTTTGTGAGACACTTAGTATATGCCAACTACTTTTCTAAGCCCTTTTCATTTATTGACTAAGTTTGAATCCATAATATCTTTTATTATATGTGTACTTCTATTATTGACATTTTACAAATGAGAAAAATGAACCTTAGAAGTGTTAAGTAACGTGTTGGAGGCCATGAGAACTGTAAGTGGAAAAATGAGGACTCAGGCCCAGTTTACTGCTCCCGTAACATATGCTCTTTAACCAAGATGACCGATGTAACGTAGTCTATTGTGTTTTATATTTTCTTTGTTAAAAATGAGGGATACAATACATTTTAGGAAGATTTTCATTTAAAATATAGCTTAAAATAACTTTTCTTCTTGTAGTTTAAAGGGGAAACAAATTCAGTTATTTGGAAAAGTCGTCTTATTTATTTTTTGATTGTGTATTAAATTTCAACAGCATTTTAGGCATTGGGATAAATATGAAGAATAAGATAGTGGCAAATCTTTTCAAATACTCATCATTAGTAGTGGCAACAGGCATATAGAAAAACACTTTGTATCATTCAACAAGTGCATTAAAAGTAGTAGACTTCAGTAAGGGCCCTCAGTCTCTGAATTCAAATCACATAATTGTGTGTGTGTGTGGGGGGGGTGCCTCTTACTCTCTTTGATCTTAAACCCTCACCACCATTACTAAATTGTGACTTTGGACCCAGGTCAAGAAGAAGAATGAAAAAAATGCAGGGGTTGAGGGAGGTTGGAGAAAGGGAGAAGACCAGTGGAAAAAGAGGAGACAAAGGAGGGAAAGGTGGCTATATAAGTTTGTGCTCAGGTAGAAGTTGAAAGTTGAGATTAAGTTAAAAGGAAAAATGAATGTCTGTTTGGTTCCTTGCTTCTGTTTATTTCTGTTTTTTTTATTTTAATTTTTTTAGAAGTAGTCAGTGGTTTTAGAAAAGCTGACTATTCATCGACCAAGAAAGAAGATCTAGTTTAAATAGTTTGTCACAATACTTATTCACTGTTGCCTGCTCTGTCAAATTGTTGGGCATTTTCTGAAGCAATGTGGCCACATAAAGTGTAAGAAATAACATTAACCCAGTGATATAGTTTGGCTGTGTCTTCACCCGAATCTCATCTTGAATTGTAGTTTCTATAATCCCCACGTGTTATGGGAGGGACCAGGTGGAGATAATTGAATCGTGGTGGTTTCCCCCAGCCTGTTCTCACAATAGTGAGTTAGTCTCAGGAGATCTGATGGTTTTACAAAGGGCAGTTCCCCTGCACACACTCTCTTGCCTGCCACCATGTAAGATATGCCTTTGCTCCTCCTTCACCTTTCACTATGATTGTGAGGCCTACCCAGTCATGTGTAACTGTGAGTCCATTAAACCTCTTTCTCTGGTATTCCACACATACTCTTTCTTTCCTCCAATGTGGAGTAGCAGACTGGTTTAATGTTGACAGTCTGGGTCAATTGCCCCAGCCAACACCATAACTCCCTGCTTAGACTGTCGTCTTAGAGGTAGGAGGAGCCTAAAGTGGCCAGGTGGCAATCTGAACTATCAGATCTGTGGAATCATTGTTGTGTCTCCTGGTGGCAGCATACCTCCCTTTGGAATTAAGACCTTAAGGCCAGCAGAACATAATGTCATGGGAACAAAGAAAAAATTTTGCTAATGGGTCACTAGGGGGAATGGTGATTGGTGCCACTTCCACATCCAGCCCTTGATTCCTGGACCCATGAATCCTGGCTATGGGAGAAACAGTATCATATATTAGATGCTGATTTAGAGCATACAAAGCCTTCTGGAGAACTTAGCATCCATCCCTGCAACATATTGTCACCTAGGAGGCATTGTAATTGTGACTTCAAAAGGTCATTCCACAGTTCCATCATTTCAGCTGCTTCAGGATGATGGGGAACATGGTAACCTCAGTGAATTCAATGAGCACGAGCCCACTACTTCACTTCTTTAGCTGTAAAGTGAGTGCCTTGGTCACAGGCAATGCTGTGTGGAATACAATGATGATGGATAAGGCATTCTGTGAGTCCACAGCTGGTGATCTTGGCAGGAGCATTGTGTGCAGGATAGGCAAACCCATATCCAGAGTAAGTGTCTATTCCAGTGAGGACAAACCACTGCCCTTTCCATGATGGACAATGTCAATATAATCAACCTGCACCAAGTAGCTGGCTGATCACCCCAAGGAATAGTGCCATATCGAGGGCTCAGTGTCAGTCTCTGCTGGGGGCAAATTGGGCACTCAGCAGTGGCCATAGCCCCGTCAACCTTGGTGAGTGGAAGTCCATGTTGCTGAGCCCATGCATGACCTGCATCCCTGCCACCATGGCCACTTTGTTCATAAACCCATTAGGTGATGGCAGGTGTCCCTGGGGAAAAAGGATGAGTGGTGGCCACAGAACGAGGCATCCTATACACTTGATTACTAAAATACTCCTCTGCCAAGGTCACCCTTTGCTGAGCATTGACGTGGAACACAAATATCATCAGAGGTTTTGACCACTCAAAGAGGTCCATCCACATACCTCTTCCTCGAGTTTATTTGTCACCAATTTTCCAATCATGCTTCTTTCAAATCCCTGACAATCCAGCCAAATCATTGGCTATAGCCCAGGAATAAGTGTCTAATTGCACATCTGGCCATGTTTTCCTTCCAAGTAAAGTGCAAAGCCAGGTGAACCATCCAAATTCTGCCCACTGGGAAGATTTCCCTTCACCACTGTCCTTCAGGAATGTCCTAGAAAGGGGCTGTAGTGCTGCAGCTGTCCACTTTCGGGTGGTGCCTGCATATCAATGCAGAACCTTCTGTAAAGCAGACCTTAGTATTCTTCCTCTGTCAATTGATCATGGGGAACTCCCCATGAGGCCATTGGTGTAGACAGAAAGAGAGAAGGCATAGTAGCAGGAGTGGGGACCACGGGCATTTGAGCCACTTTGTCATGTAGCTTACTTGTGCCTTCAGGGCCTCCTCAAGCCCAATCACATACATATCACTTCTATTTGATAATGGAATGCTGCTGTGCATGCCCAACCTTATGGCTAGATGGAACAGAGAGCACCCAGTTCATGATAGGCAGTTCAGGTGACATGGTAACTTGGTGACCCACAGTCAAATGTTCAGTTTCTATCAAGGCCCAGTAACAGGCCAAGAGCTGCCTCTCAGAAGGAGAGTAGTTACCTGCAGAAGATGGCAGGGCTTTGCTCCAAAATTCTAGAGGCCCCTGCTGTTATTCACCTATGGGGGCTTGCCAAAGGCTCCAAATGGCTTCACTATCTGCCACTGACACCTCAAGCACCACTGGAAATGCTGGGTCATATGACCCAAGTGGCAGAGCAGATTGCACAGCAGCCTGGACCTGTTGCAGAGTCCTCTCCTGTTCTGGATCCCACTCAAAACTGTCAGCCTTTTGGGTCACTAGATAAATGACCTGTTGTAGCACACCCAAATGAGGAATGTGTTGCCTCCAAAATCAAAATAGGCCCACTAGGTGATTTTCCTTTTTCTTGTTTTTAGAAGGGGTCAAATGCAACAACTTATTCACCTTAGAAGGTATATCTCGAAAGGCCCTACACCCCTAGAAATTTCACTGAGGTAGAAGGTCCCTGAATTTTAGTCAGATTTATTTTCTATCCCATGGCATGCAAATGTCTCACCAACAAGTCCAGTGTGTTTGCTACTTCTTGCTCACTGAGTCCAATCAACATAATGTCATAAATGTAATGGACCAGTGTCATATCTTGTGGAAGAGAAAAAGCAACCAAGACCTCTGTGAACAAGACATAAAGCCAGAGAGTTGATACACCTCTGAGGTGGGACAATGAAGGTATATTGATGGCCTTGCCAGCTGAAGGCAAGTTGCTTGGATGGGCCCTATAAACAAGAATGTAGAAAAAGGCATTTGCCAAATCAATGGCTGCATACCAGGTACCAGGAGACGTGTTAATTTGCTCAAGCAATGAAACCACATCTGGTACAGCAGCTGCAATTGGAGTCACAACTTGATTAAGCTTACCATAATCCACTGTCATTCTCCAAGACTCATCTGTCTTCTGCACAGGCCAAATAGGAGAGTGCACAATGGGGATGTGGTGGGAATCACTATCCCTGCATCTTTCAAGTCATTGATGGGAGCGATTATCTTTGCAATCCCTCCAGGGATGTAATTTGGTTTTGAGTTACTATTATTCTAGGTAGAGGCAGCTCTAATGACTTCCATTTGGCATTTCCCACCATAATAGCGCTCACTCTACCAGTCAGGGAGTCAATGTGAGGATTCTGCCAACTGCTAAGTATGTCTATTCTAATTACGCATTCTGGAACTGGAGATGTGACCACAGGATGAGTCCAGGGACCCACTGGACTCACTGTACATCAGATCTGAGCTAAAACTTCATAAATTAACTGACATTCATAAGCCTCTCCTCTGACTGGAGGGCCACAATGATGTTTTGGGTCCCCTGGAATTAATGTCAGTTTAGAGCCAGTGTCCAGTAGTCTCCTAAGGTCTGATCATTTCTTTTTCACCAATGCAATTATCCTGCTAAAAGGCCAGAGGTCTTCCTGTGGAAGGATGGGAGAAAAATTAACAGTATAAACTGTCAGTAATGTAGTGGGGTCCTTCCTCAAGGGGACTGGACTCTTCTTCATTCAAGGGGTTCTGGGTGTACAAACTGGTTCAAGTCTGGAAATTGATTGAGGGGCCATGATTCTCTGATTCTCTATTTTTATAATTCAAATTAGTCTTTTGTCCACTTGACCTGGAAGTTTCTGCTTATACAAATTAAGTGAGAATTTAGTAGGCTTCTTATCAATTTCACTTCTAGGAGTATCATGATTAATTAGCCAATTCCAGAGCTCTACATGAGTCAGACTTTTATGATTGGTGCTTTGCCTCTGCTGTTCATTATGGCAACTACACCCACCTTGCCTTTGATGGTTAAGTGCTGCCACTTGGCCCCTGCCACCTCAGGATCCAAATATTCCCATTGCATTTAAGTTTTCCAGTTGAATGACTGTGGTTCCCACTGTAAGATCTGACATACAGAGAAGAGCAATCATAGAACTATTCAAGGGTGCATATCTATTTTGAAAGGTATTTGTGAAGGGTGTGTCTTCTGGACCCTCCCAGTTGGGATCAGTAGGTCTAAAGTTACTAATCGACTGAAGTATTTCGATCTCCCTATGCCTCTGGATGCTTTCCTCTACATTAAACCAAGGGAGATCAAGAATTTTCAGCTCGCTCACAGTGGACCATCTTTTGATCCATGTATCAGCTAACCAAGCAAAAAAACTATAATAACTTTTTTTTAACTCCCCTAGTTTCAACATTTAAATGCAGAATCCCTGCTTAGTGGGCCCATATCAATAAATTCAGCCTGATCCAACTTTATGTTTCTTCTACCATTATCCTACACTCTTAATATTCATTCCCATACCTGTTCTTTAGATTTCTGCTTATATAAATTAGAAAACCCAAGCAGTTCTTTTGGAGTATAGCACATCTTCTCTTGGGTCACAATCTAAACTTCACCTCTAAAGGCCTACCAGGACTTTAATCTAATTATAGGCCTAGAAGCAAACACGGGTGATGGAGATGGGTCCTGAGGAGACTCAACATTGTCTTGACTGGCAATTGCCTCATGGGAGGCCATCACTGTTGCCTCAGGCAGTGCATGGTTAATTTACTCAGACAAAGGTAAAAAGGCGGATGGCGGAGTGGGTGGGAGAAGGGAGGTTGCCACCACTAGGGGAGGGGAGGCTGTTTCCTCTCTCAAAAAGGGCTCATCAGAATTTACAAGCTCAGTGTCCCCAACTTCATCAGGGTCCTCCCACACGTCCCGATTCCAAGTTGCAGGATCCCATCCTTTTCCAATCAATATCCTTATTCTAACAGTAGACACATGGTGAGACTGAGTGTGCACCTTTCGTTGCATGTCAGTCACTCCCACTATAAGAGCTTGTGTCTAATTTTCCGCAATTTCAGCCCTTTGTCTATAGGAGATAAGATTCTCACTCAGGGCAATCTTAGAAGATTTGCGGCTCAGTATGTGCTTCTGGAGCCAGGAGTTAGAATCCTTGAGCTCATCTTTTTCTTTCATTGCTTTGTCCAGCAAACTTAGGAGCAACTTACCAACTTCATTATATTCATTGTTTCTCTACATACAATCAAAGGTATTCTGTGTAGAGTCATTAAACTCTTTGCCTCTCAAGAGCTGTGAATTAGGAGTATCAGATGCATTTACTTTGCATAACTCTCAAAAGAGTATGTGCCAAGGACTGTCAGTGTTCTGCATACTATTAGTAGTGTTCTTAGCATTTTGGGGTCTAATCACATTAAGCAGCCAACTCCAGAAACCTCAAAATCAACTAAAGAAATCCGTCTTTAAAATTTTGTTCCTCTAGAACCACTCCTGTTACCGAAATCTGTATTAGCTAGGGTTCTCTAGAGGGATAGAACTAATAGAATATATCTATATATGAAAGGAATTTTATTAATAATTGAATCACACAATCACATGGTGAAGTCCCACGATAGGCCATCTGCAAGCTGAGGAGCAAGGGAACTAGTAGTAGCTTAGTCTGAGTCCAAAAACCTGAAAAATAGGGAAGCTGACGGTGTGGCCTTCAGTCTGTGGCTGAAGACTCGAGGGCCCCTGGCAAAACACTGGTGTAAGTACAAAACTCTAAAAGCCAAAGAACTTGAAGTCTGATGTTCAAGGGCAGAAAGCATCCAGCACAGGAGAATGATGAAGGCTGGAAGACTTAGCAAGGATGCTCTTCCATCTTCTTCTGCCTGCTTTAATTCTAGCTGTGCTGGCAGCTGATTGGATGGTGCCCAACCAGATTGAGGGTGAGTCTGCTTCTCGCAGTCCAGTGACTCAAATGTTAATCTTCTCTGGCAACACCCTCACAGACACACCCAGAAATAATACTTTGCATCCTTTAATTTAATCAAGTTGACACTTAATATTAACCATCACACCCCTCTTGTTTTCAGGCTCCTCCTTTATGCAAACAGTCCTCACTGGCAATGAAAGAGGAAGATATTTAAATTAAATGTGAGTTTACAGTTATAATGTGACCTGAACCAGACTTTTAATAACCACATACGACTGAGAGGTTATGTAATATACTCAAGGTGTCATTAAAGTACAGGAAAGAGAGATGCACCATAGCTCAAGTGCTGGCAGAGATTGGAGAAAAAACACAAAATCTTTTCACATTTTTACTCCACCACATTGAAACTATTGAATAAATTGATTACAATGGACGATAAACAATGCACCATTTCACTTCCTTTCTGTAACATAGCATAGTATTAGTCATATAGCAGGAGCCACAAATACCTGCTAATTTTACATGACCTAATTCAGAAAGGAAAATGGGTTATCACATATATTTTACCTTTAAATTAGAAAATGGCAGCTAGGCGCGGTGGCTCACCCCTGTAATCCCAGCACTTTGGGAGGCCGAGCAGGCAGATCACGAGGTCAGCAGATCGAGACCATCCCAGCTAACACGGTGAAACCCCATCTCTACTAAAAATACAAAAAATTAGCTGGGCGCGGTGGCGGGCGCCTGTAGTCCCAGCTACTCGGGAGGCTGAGGCAGGAGAATGGCGTGAACCCGGGAGGCGGAGCTTGCAGTGCAGCAAGATAGCGCCACTGCACTCCGGCCTTGGCGAAAGAGCGAGACTCTGTCTCAAAAAAAAAAAAAAGAAAAAGAAAAAAAGGAAAACAGAAAAAAGAAAATGGCAAGGTAGGTGAAGGGGGATACACTAAAATAGTCAAGGTATGTTATTCAGTAAGACCCTAATCCCCCAATCAGGCACAGAACAGAGTGATATGAGAAAGGAGCAAGCAAAAAAGAGCAGGGAAATGTACTCTTGACATTTTTGACCTTACTATAAAATGAGCATGAGAATAGAAAGACAAGATGAGACCTAGAAAAAAATCTTAAGGGACCACCATATCCAACACCCTGCCTTCAGTCAGGTGAGAATCTCCAGCATCCAAGAAAACATACAGTGTGTATATATATATATATATATACACACACATATATATACACACACACACACACATATATATTCACGCACATACACATACACACTAGCTGGGCATAGTGCCATGCACTTGTATTTCCAGCTACTTGAGAGGCTGAAGCAAGAAGGTTCCTCAGGAGTAGAAGCCCAGAAGTCCAAGACCAGTCTGGGCAATATAGTGAGATTCTCTCTCTCTCTCTCTCTCTCTCTCTGTCTCTCTCTCTGTGTGTGTGTGTGTGTGTGTGTGTGTATGAATTTCTCACTGCTTGGGGCATCTACTTGGTAAGTATTTTTTCTAAGTTTTTGATAGACAAAATTTTTTCTTATACCTATAATATTGCTGGTATTCACTTTCTCTAATTCAATTAATGTTCTTTTGAGAAATTTTTGTTACACTATATTATTATATATTTAAATGAAAAGACTTGTATTAACAGATCAAAAAGTACATATGGAAAGAAAACCATAGTGTTCATCAATCTTTACAATTTTAGTTCATACAATTGAATTAGGATAATTTTATGCCCTTGTCCTAGGTTAGGGCATGACAAAGATTTGCCTACTGCTCCTCCTCTGGCTGTGGTAAATGGTTTTCAAAAAGGGCCTGTGTCTATGCTATGCCAGTGAAAGATCTGATTAAGAAATAAGGTTCTCTTTGCTTTAGAATTGCTAATTGTAAAGATAATATATTTCTAAGGCTTTTGATATATATCTATGCTACTACATGGTGGGAACCTCACTAACAATAATGACAGCAGTGAAAAGTGGAGCAAAGGGATAGAGAGAAAGATTGAGTCCTGCTAATCTCATTTGATCCATGCCTTTTTCAGTCATGTAAGTCAATAATCCTGTGAGTATTTGTACTTGTGTGGGTGCTTGCTTAGACTATTTTGAATTGGCTTTGTCGACTGCAACCACAAGAACCCTGACAAGTACAATGAAATCTATTGTTTAACTATGTTCTAAACATCATACTAAGGCTTTTACATATACTAATTTCATAGTCCCAATGCCTTAGGAAGGTATTTCATTGTAAGTGTTAAGAACTTGGATCCTGGACTGGGACTGCTTGGATTCAAATCACACCTCTACCACTTTGTGGCTTGTATGAACTCAAGCAATTCACTATCTCTATGTGCCTCAGTTTGAGGGTGAAGGATAATAATAGTAATCATCTCAATTTTTTGTGACTTTTAAATGGCATCTATATATATACAATTTATATGTGTATATATTCAATTTATATGTATATATATTATATATGTAGTTATTTTAACAGTTTTTGTGTTTTTGTCTCATAGAAAAGATGAGCTATTATTGTTTTTCGCTTCACAAATGAGAAGACTCTAGGCCAGAGAGGTTAATTTATCTAAGATAATACATTCAGGAAGGTTTGGATCTGTGATTTGAATTTATGTCTGTCAGGTTGAATCCCAAATTCTTCTTCTCAACCACCATATTAAATTCTCAATAATAATAAATCATGAATGAATAACAACAAATATTATAATAATTATGATTGTCTTTTGGGGGAGAATGCCAGAATCTCTTTTTTTAAAAAAACTTTTAGGTTCAGGGTACATATGCAGGTTTGTTATACAGGCAAACTGCATGTCATGGGAGTTTGGTGTACAGATTACTTATTCGCCGAGATAATGACCGTAGTACCCAATAGGCAGTTTCTCAATCCTTACTCTCCTGTAATCCTCTATCCTCAAGTAGGCCTTGGTGTCTGGTGTTTCCTTGTGTTCATGTGTACTCAATGTTTACCTTCCACTTATAAAGTGAGAAAATGTGGTATTTGCTTTTCTGTTCCTGCCTTGGTTCACTTAGGATAATGACCTCCAGATCTATCCATGTTAGTGCAAAGACATAATCTCATTCATTTTTATGACTGTGTAATATTCCATGGCATATATGTACCACATTTTCTTTATCCAATCTATCACTTAGAGCCATTTAAGTTGATTCTCTCTTTGCTATTGTGAATAGTACTGTAATAAATATACATGTGTATGTGTCTTTATAATAAAATGATAAACATTTGGTTGGGTATATACCCAATAATGGGCTTGCTGGGTCAAATGTTAGTTCTAAGTTCTTTGAGAAATCATCAAATTGCTTTCCACAGTGGTGGAACTAATTTACAATCCCACCAGCAGTGTATAGCATTCTATTTTTTCAAAACCTCAGCAGTAACTTTTTTTTTTTTTTTTTTTACTTTTTGATAATAGCAATTCTGACTGGTGAAAATAGTATCTCATTGTGGTTTTGATTTGCATTTCTCAAATGATTAGTGATGAGGAGCCTTTTTTCATATACTTGTTGGCTGCATTTATGTTTTCTTTTGAGAAATGTCTGTTCATGTTCTTTGCCCACTTTTTAATTTTTTTTAATATTTTGCTTGTTAATTTGTTTAAATTCCTTATAGATTCTGGATATTAGACTTTTGTCAGATGCATAGTATGCAAATATATTCTTCCATTCTTTAGGTTGTCTGTTTACTCTGTTAATAGTTACTGTACAGAAAACTATTTAGTTTAATTAGATCTTATTTGTCAATTTTACTTTTGTTGCAATTACTTATGTTATTCTGTCATGAAATCTTTGCCCATTCCTCTCTATGTCCATATGTACATATTTTTTAGCTCCCACTTTTGAGTAAGAATATGTGAGATTTGTCCTTCTGTGTCCAAACTGTTTCACTTAAGATAATGACCCCCAATTTCATCCATTTTGTTGCAAAAGATATGATTTCACTCTTTATGCTTGAATAGTATTTCATTGTATATATACATCACTTTTTTTAACCGATCATCTGTTGATAGACACTGTATTAGTCTGTTCTCACATTGCTATAAAGACATACCTGAGACTGGATAATTTATGGAGAAAAAAGGTTTAATTGACTTATGGTTCCTCAGGCTGTACCGGAAGAATGGCTGGGGGGCCTCAGGAAACTTACAATCACAGCAGAAGGGCAAAGGTGAAACAAACACATCTTCACATGGTGGCAGGAGAGAGAGAAAAAAGGGGGAAGTGCCACACACTTTTACACAACCAGATCTTGCAAGAATTCACTCACTATCATGAGAACAGCAAAGGGGAAACACATCCCCATGATCCAATCACCTCCCACCAGGTTTCTCTCTCAACATTGGAAATTGCAATTCAACAGATTTGGGTGGGGACACAGAGCCAAACCATATCATTCCACCCCTGCCCCCCTCCCATAGCTTATGTCCTTCTCACATTTCAGAACACAAGCCTGCCTTCCCAACAGTCCCCAAAGTCTTAACTCATTCCAGCATTAACTCAAAAGTCCAAGTCCAAAATCTTATCTGAGACAAATTAAGTCCCTTCCGCCTATGAGCCCATAAAAATCAAAAACAAGTTAGTTACTTCCAAGATACAATGGGAGCATGGGTATTGGGTAAATACTTTCGTTACAAAATTGGGAAATTGGCCAAAACAAGGGGCTACAGGCCCCATGCAAGTCCTAAACCCAGCAGGGAAGTCATTATACCTTAAAGCTCCAAAATAATACCCTTTGACTCCATGTCTCACATCCAGGCCACACTGATGCAAGGGGTGGACTCTCAAGGCCTTGGACATCTGCACCCCTGTGGCTATGCAGGGTATAGCACTCTTGGCTGCTTTCACAGGCTGAAAAAGTTGAGTGTTTATGGCTTTTCCAGGTGCACGGTGCAAGCTGTCAGTGTATCTACCATTTTGTGGTCTGGAGGATGGTGGCCCTCTTCTCATAGACTCACTAGGCAATGCCCCAGTGGGGACTCTGTATGGGGGCTCCAACTTCACATTACTCCTCTGCACTGTGCTAGTAGAGGTTCTCCATGAGGCTTTTGCCCCTGAAACACACTTCTGCATGGATATCCAGGAGTTTCCATACATCCTGTTCAATCTAGGCAGAGGTTCCCATCCCTAACTCTTGCCTTCTGCACACCACCAGGCCCAACACCACGTGGAATAAACCAAGGCTTGGGGCTTGCACCCTCTTAGGTAATGTTCCAAGCTGTACCTTGGCCCCTTTTAGCTATGGCTGGAGCTGGATTGGCTGGAACGCAAAGTGCTGTGTCCCGGGGCAGCACAGGGCAGCAGGGCCATGAGTCTGGCCCACTAAACAATTTTTCTCTCCTAGGCCTTCAGAACCATGATGGGAGGAGCTATCATGAAGGTCTCTGAAATGCTCTGGAGGGATTTTCCCCATTCTCTTGGCTATTAACATTTGGCTCCACTTTACTTATGCAACTTTCTGCAGCCTTGAATTTCTCCCCAGAAAATGGTATTTTCTTTTCTATGACATTGTCAGGCTGCAAATTTTCCAAACTTTTATGCTCTGCCTCCCTTTTAAATATAAGCTCCAGTTTCAGACCATCTGATTGCAAAAGCATATGAGTGTACACTGTAAGAAGTAGCTAGGCAACACCTTGAATGCTTTACTCCTTAGAAATTTCTTCTGCCAGATACCCTAAAACATCTCTCTCAAGTTCAAAGTTCCACAGATCCCTAGAGCAGGGGCACAATGCCACTAGTCTCTTTGCTAAAACTTAGCAAGAATGACCCAGTTCCCAATAAGTTTCTCATCTCCACCTGAGACCACCTCAGCGAGTACTTCACTGTCCATATCACCATCAGCATTTTGGTCACAACCATTCAACAAGTCTCCAGGAAATCTGAAACTTACTCTCATCTTCCTGTCTTCTTCTGAGCCCTCCAAACTGTTCCAATCTCTGCCTGTTACCCAGTTTTAAAGTCGCTTCCACATTTTCAGATATCTTTATACCAATGCCCACCTTCCCTGGTACCAATTTTCTGTATTAGTTCATTCTCACATTGCTATAAAGACATATCTGAGGCTGGATAATTTATGGAGAATAAAAGGTTTCATTGACTCATAGTTCCACAGGCTGTACAGGAGGCATGGATGAGGAGGCCTCAGGAAAATTACAATTATGGCAGAAGGGTGAAGGAGAAGCAATGATGTCTTTGCATGGTGGCAGGAGAGAGAATAAAAGGGGAAGTGCTGCACACTTTTAAACAAGTAGATCTTATGAGAACTCATTCACTATCACAAGAACAGCAATTGGGGAAAACTGCCCCCATTATCCAAACACTTCCCACCGAGTTTCTTCCCCAACATTGGGAATTACAATTCAACATGAATGAGTAGGGACACAGAGCCCAATTATATCAGACACTTAGGTTGATTCCGTTTTTTTGCTATTGCAAATAGTGCTGCAGTAAACATATGGGTGCAGTATCTTTTTGATGTAATGATTTCCCATGAGTAGATAGGCAGTAATGAGATTGCTGGAGCAAATGGTAGTTCTATTTTTGGTTCTTTGAGAAATCTCCGTACTATTTACCATAAATGTTGTACTAATATACATTCCCACCAACGGTGTAAAAGCTTACCCTTTTCTCTACATCCTCACAAACATCTTTTCTGTTTTTTTATAGCAGCCATTAGAGCAGGGTGGGATGATATCTCTTTGTGAATTTCATTTGCATTTCCCAGACGATTAGTGATGGTGAGCATTTTTTTCACATACTTATTTGTCATATGTATGTCTTATTTTAAAAAAAATCTATTCATGTCCTTTGCCAACTTTTAATGGAATTATTATTTTTTGTTGAGTTATTTGCATATTCTGAATATTAGTATCTGGTTAGATGAATAATTTACAAATATATTTTTCAATTCTGCATGTTGTCTGTTCACTTTGTTGATTATTTCCTTTTCTTTGCAGAAGCTTTTTAGTTTAATTAAGTCTCATTTGTCTATTTGGGTTTTTTTTTGGTTGTGCTCTTGAGGTCTTAGCAGCAAATTATTTGCCTAGACCAATGTCCAGAATAGTATTGCCTAGGTTTTCTTGCAGGATTTTTATAGTCTCCGTTCTTATGTATAAATTTCTAATCCATCTTGGTTGATTTTTGTATATGGTGAGGGATAGAAGTCCAGTTTCATTTTTCTGCATATGGAAATCCAATTTTCCCAGCACAATTTGTTGAAAAGGGTGTCCTTTCCCCAATAAATGTTCTTGATAACTTTGTCAAAGATTAGTTGGCTGTTAATAAGTGGCTTCACTTCTGGTTCTCTATTCTGTTTTAATTATCTACATGTCTATTTTTAGACAAGAACCATGCTATTTTGTCTACTGTACAAAATGGTAGTGTAGATCTTTCTTTTAGATCCTGATTGCAATTCTTTTGTATATATACCCAGAAGTTGGATTTCTGGATTATATGGTAGTTCTAGTTTAAATATATTACCCTTTTAATATAACTTGAAGTCAGGTAATGTGATGCCTTTGGCTTTGCTCTTTTTGTGTAATATTGTTATGTTTATTCAGGTTCTTTTTTGGTTCTGTGTGTATGTTAGAACTGACTTTTTTATGGTGCTGTGGAAAATGATGTTATTTTGATAGAGATTGCATTGAATCTGTTGATTGCTTTTGGTGGTATGGTCATATTAACAATATTAATTTTTCTGATTCATGAGCATGTGATATTGTTTCATCTGTTTCTGTCATCTACAATTTTCTTTATCGGTGTTTTGTAGTGTTCCTCCTGGAGATTATTCATCTCTTTGGTTCAATTTATTCTTAGGTAATTTTGTTGTAGTTATTTTGATGCAATTGCCTTCTTGATTTGGTTCCAGGAAAATTATTATTGATATATAGAAATGCCATTAATTTTTGTATGTTGATTTTGTATCCTGAAACATTACTAAATTCATTTATCAAACGTAAGAGTTTTTGGTGGAGTTTTTAGGTTTTACCAGATATAAGATTGTGTCATCAGCAAACAGCTATAATTTGACGTCTCTTTTCCAGTTTCGATGCCTTTTATTTTTTTATCTTGCCTGACTGCTCTGGCTAGGGCTTTCAGTAGTATCTTGAGTAGGATTGGTGAAAATGGACATCCTTGTCTTGTTCCAGTTCCAGGGCTATTTGATGGCCCCTGAGGCCCAGTCCAGGCCTGGGGGCTTGGGCTCCTATCCTGACATGGGTTCTATCCCCCACTGACAGCAGCCAGCACTCAGGGTGGTCCTTGGCAAGCAAGGACATAGAGAAAAGACTTTCACCTTTTACCTATTCAGTGTAATGTTGGCTATGGGTTTGTCATATATGGCCTTTATTATTTTGACATGTGTTTCTTATATGCTGAGTTTGAGGAGGCTTTCTTAATGAGAGATGCTGAATTTTATCAAATTATTCTTGTGTGTTTATTGAGATGATCATATGGGTTTTGTCCTTAATTTTGTTTATATGGTAATCACATTTATTGATTTGCATATGTTAAACCATCGTTGAATCCCTGGAATAAAACCCATATGATCCAATCACCTCCCATCAGGCTCCTCCACTGACATGTGGAGAGTACAATTCGACACGAGATTTGGGTGGACACAGAGCCAAACACTATCACTCACTGGCTCCTGTATTGGAGATTCACTTTTGGTTCCTAGCTGGTCCCAGCCACATAAGTTGCACATTTTCCTTTTCCTTCTCCTTCCTAGATATTAGTGTTTTGTGTTGTTTTTCTGCTGATTTCCCATGTTTCCTTTTGATTAATGTATTAAAAGTGTGATTGTCTACATACTACTTTGGTCCTTCTAAATGGATGAGGTATTGCTAAAACGCTGTCACCAGCCATCTTAAAAAAAATCCCGTATTATTAACTATAAGCATTGTATTATACAGTAGAGCTCTAGAATTTCTTCATCTGATATAATCAAAACTGTATATCTTTTCAACAAGTTCTCATTCCCTGTTCACACCAACCACTGACCACTACCATTCTTTTTTCTGCTTCTGTAAGTTTGACTATTTTGGATGCTTCATATAAGTGGAATCATGTAGTATGTGTTCTTCTGTGATTGGCTTACCTCACTTAGCATGCTATTCTGAAGGTTCATCCGTGTTGTAGTGGGTGACAGAATTCCCTTTTTAAGGCTGAATAATATTCCGCTTATATATACACACATATATGCAAATTTATACATATACATTTATACAAATATAATACATATGTGTGTGCATATATATAACATTTTCTTTATTCATTCACCTGTCAACAAACATTTTTGTTGTTTCAATATCTTTGCTATTTTGACTAAAGCTGCCAGGAAGATGGAAGTGTAGATTTTTCTTTTAGATCCTGATGGCAATTCCTTTGTATATATACCCTGAAGTTGGATTTCTGGATTATATGCTAGTTCTATTTTAAATTTTTTGAAGAACCTTCATTGTGTTTTCTATTGTGGCTACACCATTTCACATTCTCACCAATGGTGTGCAATTTTTCTCTTTTTTCCACATCCTCACCAACATTTGTTATGTTTGGTTTTATTGAATAATAGACATTGTAACAGATGTGAGGTAATATCTTATTGTGGTTTTGATTTGCATTTACCTGATGAATCACGATGTTGGGCACTCTTTCATACACTTATGGGTCATTTGCAAATCTTCTTTCAAGAAAAGTCTATTCAAATTATCTGCCCATTTAAAAAATTTATGTTTGATACCCTATAATTGTACTGTTTAAGGGATATAACATGATGTTTTGATACACGTATGAGTTCTGTGATGAGCAAATTTGGGAAATTAACATATCCATTACCTTAAATATTTATCATTTCTTTGTGAGGAGAACATTTAAAAACCTCTCTTTTAGCTATTTTGAAATACACAATACATTATTATTAACACTAGTCATCCTACTATGCAATAGATCACAAGAACTTACTCCTTCTATCTAACCATAGCTTTGTATTTACTGACCAATCTTTCATCATCCTGCCCTTTCTCCTCCCCTCCCCATCCTCTGGTAACCACTATTCTACTGTTTTTCTATGAGAACGACTTGTAACATTTCATCTGAGTGAGATCATCACATGGTATTTGCAGTATTTCTGCTCCTGTCTTTCTCTCATTTTTAATAAGGTTATTTTTTAAAATTTGTTTTTGTTATTATGTTTTTCTTTATATATTTTGGAAATTAACCCCTTATCATATATGCAGTTTGCAAGTATTTTCTCCCATTTCCTATGTTGCTTTTCAGTTTGTTGATTGTTTCCTTTTCTGTGCAAGAAGCTTCTATTTAATATAATCTTACTGTTTATATTTGCTTTTGTCACCTGTGCTTTTAGTGTCAGATTCAATAAATAATTTCAAAAACCAATATCAAGAAGATATTTTTATATATTTTTCTCTAGGAATTTTACAGTTCCAAATCTTATATTTAAGTTTTTTATCTTTTTTGGGTTGATTTTTGTGTATGCTTTAAGTTAAAAAGTCCATTTTATTCTTTTGTGTGTGACTATCCAGTCTTTTCAACATCATTTATTGAAGAGACTATCCTTTTCCATTATGTATTCTTGATACCCTTGTCAAAGATTTGTTGACTATATGTGCATAGGTTTATTTCTGGTCTCCCTAATATGTTTCATTGATCTATATGTGTGTCTTTATGCTAGTATCATACTGTTTTAATTACTGTAATGTGTAATATATTTGAAATCAGGAAATTTAATGCCTCAGCTTTGTTCTACTTTCTCAAAATCACTTTGGCTATTCTACATATTTTGTTGTTCCATAGGAATTTTATATTATTTATATGTTTTCTCTATTTCTATAAGAAATGCCATTGGAGTTTTGATGAGGATAACATTGACTCCATAGATTGTTTTGGATAGTATAAACATTTAAAAAGTATTAATTCTTCCAACCCATGAAACAGGGATGTCTTTCCATTTATTTCTGTCTTTAATTTCTTTCATCAATGTCTTTTACTTTTTGGTGTACAACTCCTTTACCTTCTTGGTTAAGTTTATTCTTAGGTGTTTAATTTTCATTTTTGATACTATTGCAAATGAATCTGTTTTCTCAATCTCCTTTTAAGATAGTTCATTATTAATATATAGAAAGAACTTTTTGTACATTTATTTTGTACCCTGCAACTTTACTGACCTCATTTTTTAGTTCTAATTGTTGCTGTGTTTTTTGTGGAGTCTTTAGGATATGCTATTTATAAGATCATACCATCTGCATACAGAGATAATTTTAATTCTTCCTTTCCAATTTTGTTTTCTCTTTTCCTTGCCTAATTGCTCTGGTTAAGACTTCTGGTACTATTTTTGATGCAAGTGACAAGAGTTGCATTTTTTCTCTTGTTCCTGATCTTAGAGGAAAAGCCCTCATTGTTTCGCCATTGAATATAATGTTAGGTGTGGTCTTGTTGTATATGGTCTTTATTATGTTCAGGTAAATTTCTTTTATACCTAGTTTCTTGAGCATTTTTATCATAAAACATTGTTGAATTTGGTCACACGCTTTTTCTGCAAATATTAAGATGATCATGTGGTTTTTATTTTTAAATATGTTAATGTGATGCACCACATTTATTGATTTGCATATATTAGACTATTTTTGTAACCGGTGATAAATCTCACTTGGTCATGGTGTATGATCTTTTTAATATACTGCTGAACTCAGTTTGCTAGTAAGGATTTTTGCATGTATGATCATCAGGAATATTGGCCTGTAATAGGCTTTTTGTGTTTTGTCTTTGTCTGGCTTTGGTATCAGGGAAATGCTGGTCTCATACAATGAGTTTGGAAGTATTCCCTTCTTTTTAATTTTTTGGAAGAGTTTGTGAATGATTGGCATTATTTTTATTTAAATAATTGGTTACGTTCACCAGTGAAAGTGCCTGGTCCTGAGCTTTTCTTTGCTGGGAGGTTTTTGATTAGGGTTATTCAATATTCTTACTCATTATTGGTTAGTTCAGATTTTCTACTTTTTCATCATTCAGTCTTGCTAGTTCATATGTTTCCAGAAATGTTTTCATTTCTTGTAGGTTATCCAATTTTTTATGCATAATTGTTTATGGTAGTCTTGTATAAATTTTCTTTTATTTCTGTGGCATCAAGTGTAATGTTTTCTTTTTTATTTCTAATTGTATTTGAATCTTTTCACTTTTTATTATGTTAGCTAAAAGTGTGTCAGTATTGTTTATCTAAATGTTTAGTCTCTATTTCATTTATGTGTGCTTTTATCTTTGTTATTGCCTTCCTCCTGTTAACTTTGAGCTTAGTTTGTTCTTTTTGTCTAGTCCCTTAAATTGTAAAGTTCGCTTACTTTATTGTCTTTCGTATTTTTAAATGTAGGGTTTTTCTTTTTCTTTTCTTTTTTTCTTTCTTTCTTTTTTTTTTTTTTTTGACACAGGGTCTCACTCTGTCACTGTGTCACCCAGGTTGGACTGCCATGGCATGATCTTGGCTCACCGCAACCTCCGCCTCATGGGCTCAGGTGATCCTCCCACCTCAGCCTCCCTAGTAGCTGGGGCTACAGGTGCCTGCTACAACACCCAGCTAATTTTTTTTTGTATATTTTTGTAGAGACAGGGTTTCATCACGTTGCCCAGGCTGGTGTGCCACCATGTCAGGCTATTTATTTTGTATTTTTAGTAGAGACAGGGTTTTGCCATGTTGGCCAGGCTGGGAAACTCCTGGCCTCAAGTGATCCACCTGCCTCGACCTCCCAAAGCGCTGAGATTACAGGCATGAGCCACCGCGCCCGGCCTCTTTGTTGATATTCTTACTTCTTTCAATTTTCCTGATTTATTTAGTTGCCTATCTGTGTTCTCTTGTAGTTCACTGAGTTTCTTTAAGACTATTATTTTAAATTATTTGTTACAAAATTCATAGATCTCCATTTCTTTAGGATTAGTTCCTGGAGATTTTTTTTGATAGTGTGATATTTTCCTGATTCTCTGTACTCATTTGCTTTGGGCGTCTGAATATTTGAAGCATCAATCACCTCTTCTATTCTTTCCAGACTGGCTTCAGCATGCAAAGAACTTCACCAATTATCTCAGCTGGAGATTCAGAGTGTGTCTCTCAAACCTTTGTAATAAATGTGCACATTCCACTTCTTTCCATTCCTTTTTAGGAGAAGTTTCAGGACTTTATGCCTTCTCCCAGTCCCTTGGAGTTCTGCCTGGAACTTAGAATCACTCATCAGTTTTCCTTAGGGTAGTACACTGATATTTCTATGTCGAATATTATCTTTACTTCCCTTTCTTTCTCCTGAAGAAGAAAACTCTATATTGTGAACCTTCTTCCAATCCCATTGAGCTGTGTTGAATACTAAGAGCTGCTCTTTCATTTTAACGAGAGAAGTGCATTGGGTGACAGAACATTGCGAGTAAGTTCCATTTCTCTTTCCTCCTCTTGAAGGAGAAATCCCAGAATTGTGTGCCTTCTCTCAGTCCCGCAGAACTGGGGTAGCATTTGAGAAGTGCACCCTCTGCCAAGATTTGCACTGTCTGCTGAGATTCCTTGCCTTCTGCTGAGAACCACAACAGCTACTTTGACTTATGCTGGATGTTGGTGGTCATGTTAGCCGTTTGAGGCTGTCCTGGTTCCTGGGGGGCATGTAACTGCTGTCATCTGTGCCTGGCAGCTGAGATTAGCATTAGTATTTGCAATCTGCACTGGGTGTCCGGTGCTGTAGTTGCTGTGGTATACTATAAATTGCACAATAAATGTTAGCATGCAAATAATTAGAGGAACAAAATGAAAAAAAAAACAGTGACAGCTAATCTGTAAATGGAAGTAATGCAAATAATTAATCATGGGGTATATACTTAGTACTATATAAAGTTTAATTTGTCTAGACTTTCTACCATGGTTCCCTTTAAATATTCTGTCCTATTTGTCTTCATAAGTTGACTTTTACATCTCAGATCAGGTGTTTTTATCCTTGTCCCCAAAATACAACAATAAGTTAGGTATATTGTCGGATGCAGAATTTGGGTAGACATGTTTTTTAAGGTTTATGAAAATCTCTTTTATTCCCAGTTAAACATGTTCATCTAAGTATTATTTATGGAAGATGGTTCTATTTTGTGAAACTGCTTAGAAGTTAATTCTCCCATCTATTAGTTGGTCTTATTTTTATTTTTAATTTTAGATTCAAAGGGTTACATGTGCAGGTTTTTTACATGGAAACGTTGCATATGGTTAGGGTTTAGGAATCTATTCAAGCCATTATCCAAATATTAAACATAATACCTACTAGATAAATTTTCAATCCTCCCCCTTCTCCCTACCTTCTGCTTCTTGGAGTCCCCAGTGTCTATTACTTCCATATTTATGTCCACGTGTAGCCATTATTTAGCTCCCACTTATAAATGAGAATGTATATGGTACTTGATTTTCTGTTTCTGAGTTATTTCAATTAGCATAGTGGCCTTCAGCTCCTTTCATGTTGCTGCAAAGAACATGATTTCATTATTGTTTATGGCTGTGTAGTATTCCATAGTATGTATGTACCACATTCTTTATCCAATGAACCACGGTGAACAATTAGGTTGATTCCATGACTTTGGTATTGCAAACAGTGCTGTGATAAAGGTACAAGTGCAGGTGTCTTTTTAAAAATAATGAATTGTGTTTTTGTGGGTAGATACTCAGTAGTGAGATGGCTGGGTCAAATGGTAGTTCTACCTTTAGTTATTTGAGAAATCTCCATACTGCTTTCTGAAGGGGCTAAACTAATATGTATTACCACCAAGAGTATGTAAGTATTCCTTTTTCTCTGGATCTTCACTAACATTTATAATTTTTTGACTTTTTAATAATAGCCACTCTTAGTGGTGTGAAGTGGCATTTTATTGTGGTCTAATTTACATTTATCTGATGATAGTAATATCGGGTATCTTTCCAAATGTTCATTGGCCACTTGTATGTCTTCTTTTTAAGAAGTGTCTTTTCATCTTTTGCTCACATTTTAATGGAGTTATTCATTTTTTTGCTGGTTTATTTGTTTAAGATCTTTATATAATCTGAATATCAGTCCTTTGCATACCATTACTCAACTTTAAACTATACTACAAGGATATATAGCAGGCAAAACAGCATTGTACTAGTACAAAAATAGACACATAGATCAACTGAACAGAATAGAGAGCCCAGAAATAAAGCTATAGACCTACAACCAACTGAGCTTTGACAAAGTCAAAAAAATAAAAAATGGAGAAAGGACGTTCTATTCAATACATTCTACAGGGACGACTGGCTAGCTATATGCGGAAAAATGAAACTGGACTCCTACCACTCACCATATATAAAAATTAACTCCAATACCAAAGCCTGGCAGAGACACAACAAAAAAAGAGAATTTTAGACCAATATCCTTGATGAACATCGATGCAAAAATTCTCAATAAAATACTGGCAAACCGAATCCAGCAGCACATCAAAAAGCTTATCCAACATGATCTAGTGGGCTTCATCCCTGGGATGCAAGGCTGGTTCAACATACACAAATCAATAAACGTAATCCAGCATATAAACAGAACCAAAGACAAAAACCACACGATTATCTCAATAGATGCAGAAAAGGCCTTTGATAAAATTCAACAGCCCTTCATGCTAAAAACTCTCAATAAATTAGGTATTGATGGGTTTATCTCAAAATAGTAAGAGCTATTTATGACAAATCCACAGCAAATATCACACTGAATGGGCAAAAACTGGAAGCATTCCCTTTGAAAACTGGCACAAGACAGGGGTGCCCTCTCTCACCACTCCTATTCAACATAGTGTTGGAAGTTCTGGCCAGGGCAATCAGGCAGGAGAAAGAAATAAAGGGCATTCAATTAGGCAAAGAGGAAGTCAAATTGTCCCTGTTTGCAGATGACATGATTGTATATTTAGAAAACCCCATCGTCTCAGCCCAAAATCTCCTTAAGCTGATAAGCAAATTCAGCAAAGTCTCAGGATACAAAATCAATGTACAAAAATCACAAGCATTCTTATACACCAACAACAGACAAACAGAGAGCCAAGTCATGAGTGAACTCCCATTCACAATTGCTTCAAAGAGAATAAAATACCTAGGAATCCAACTTACAAGGGATGTGAAGGAACTCTACAAGGAGAACTACAAACCACTGCTCAACGAAATAAAGAGGATACAAACAAATGGAAGAACATTCCATGCTCATGGATAGGAAGAATCAATATCGTGAAAATGGCCATACTGCCCAAGGTAATTTATAGATTCAATGCCATCCCATCAAGCTACCAATGACTTTCTTCACAGAATTGGAAAAAACTACTTTAAAGTTCATATGGAACAAAAAAGCCTGCATTGCCAAGACAATCCTGAGCCAAAAGAACAAAACTGGAGGCTCATGCTACCTGACTTCAGACTATACTACAAGGCTACAGTAACCAAAACAGCATGGTACTGGTACCAAAACAGACATATAGACCAATGGAACAGAACAGAGCCCTCAGAAATAATACCACACATCTACAACCATCTGATCTTTGACAAACCTGACAAAAACAAGAAATGGGGAAAGGATTCCCTATTTAATAAATGCTGCTGGGAAAACTGGCTAGCCATATGCAGAAAGCTGAAACTGGATCCCTTCCTTACACCTTCTACAAAAATTAATTCAAGATGATTAAAGACTTAAATGTTAGACCTAAAACCATAAAAACCCTAGAAGAAAACCTAGGCAATACCATTCAGGACATAGGCATGGGCAAGGACTTCATGTCTAAAACACCAAAAGCAATGGCAACAAAAGCCAAAATTTACAAATGGGATATAAGTAAACTAAAGAGCTTCTGCACAGCAAAAGAAACTACCATCAGAGTGAACAGGCAACCTACAGAATGGGAGAAAATTTTTGCAATCTACTCATCTGACAAAGGGCTAATATCCAGAATCTACAATGAACTCAAATTTACAAGAAAAAAAACAAACAACCCCATCAAAAAGTGGGCAAAGGATATTAACAGACACTTCTCAAAAGAAGACATTTATGCAGCCAAAAGACACATGAAAAAAGCTCATCATCACTGGCCTTCAGAGAAATGCAAATCAAAACCACAATGAGATACCATCTCACACCAGTTAGAATGCCGATCATTAAAAAGTCAGGAAACAACAGGTGCTGGAGAGGATATGGAGAAATAGGAACACTTTTACACTGTTGGTGAGACTGTAAACTAGTTCAACCATTGTGGAAGACAGTGTGGCGATTCCTCAAGGATCTAGAACTAGAAATACCATTTGACCCAGCCATCCCATTACTGGGTATATACCCAAAGGATTATAAATCATGCTGCTATAAAGACACATGCACACGTATGTTTATTGTGGCACTATTCACAATAGCAAAGACTTGGAACCAACCCAAATGTCCAACAATGATAGACTGGATTAAGAAAATGTGGCACATATACACCATGGAATACTATGCAGCCATAAAAAAGGATGAGTTCATGTCCTTTGTAGGGACATGGATGAAGCTGGAAATCATCATTCTCAGCAAACTATCACAAGAACAAAAAACCAAACACCACATATTCTCACTCATAGGTGGGGATTGAACAAATGAGAACACTTGGACACAGGAAGGGGAATATCACACACTGGGGCCTGTCGTGGGGTAGGGGGAAGGGGGAGGGAAAGCAGTAGGAGATATACCTAATGTAAATGACGAGTTAATGGGTGCAGCACACCAACATGGTACATGTATACATATGCAACAAACCTGCACATTGTGCACATGTACCCTAGAACTTAAAGTATAATAAAAAAAAAAAGAAAAAGAAAAAAAATTAACTCCAGATGGACTAAAAAATTATATATATGTGAGACCTGAAACTAGAAATATCCCAGGAGAAAACAGAGAGAAAACTATTCTGGTATTGGCCTAGGCAAATAATTTATGACTATGACCTCAAAAGCAAATGCAACAAAAAGCACAAATTGACAATTGGGAACTAATTAAACTGAAGAACGTCTTTACAGCAAAGGAAACCATCGAAATATTAAACAGGTAACCTACAGAATGGGAGAAAATATTTGTTAGCTACTTTTTATGACCTTTGTTTTACCACCTGCTGTGGAATTTTAGTTTACAGGTTTATCTCTGGTAGCATTTTTGTCCGTTTTTAATTTTTCTTTTTTTTTTTTTGATGAGTGTGTTTTTTTTTCTCTGCTCTTGTCCCTTCATGTCTAGAATATTTTACACTTGTTTCTACCAAGATCACCAAGCTTCTCTGATCAAAACCAGGTCTCAACCTATTGGATGGATATCTCTCCTCCTGGAGGAAAACCAGAGAGCGTGTTCTAGAGCAGATGTTGTCTTGCTCTGTCGTGTCTCCTTTGTCAACAGATTGACAATGGCTATGGCCATTTGCAATGGCCTGCAAACTTTGTAGCAATATCATGGGAATGTGGGGGAGTTCATGCTGTTGAACTCAACCTCAATCCCTAATAGTCATAGAGAGGAGTCAGTCTTTATTAATTCATAGCAGTTGGTCTCTGCGCCACCTCTTTCTGCTTATAGCTTCTGATATCCATGGGTCCAGGTACTGAGTTTATAGATCTAGGTCCTCCTTATCAATGTGTGTTTCTGCTCCATTTCTGATCCATTGATGTTTATTTTACTTTTGATCATGACTGTCTTTTAAAAATGTTTTTTAATTGTCTACTAATATTGTTAGAAGTTTGGACAGAAGAGGTTTTTAAAGAGCATTTGTTTAGAATGTGCTTAGAAATATTTTTAAATATATGGTAAATTTGAAAAAAAAATAGTGTGCATATATGTATAGTTACCACCTAAATGCTACCATTACCATTTGACTAGTTTTATCACATATCTTCAACTCTCCATTCTTTTATTCATCCATCAATCTATCCTGTTGTTTTCTAGCATTTCATAGTTAGTTGAGGACATCAGTAAACTTCCTAGAAAGTGGTATTTTACATGAACTCACAGCACTAAATTAAATTGAAGTCTTGAAGTAAATAAAGACTTTTAATTTTCTTTAAACCAATATTTACTAAACTTATTTGGGATGGAACCCTTTGTTATACAACTTGCAGGAGTATTTACAAGATTACTATCCAGTAATACAGCTGTCTGCAACTGCACCAGGTACCAGTTTCATGGAAGACAATTTTCCCACAGACTGGGGTAGAAAGGGATGGTTTCAGGATAAAACTGTTCCACCTCAGATCATCAGGCATGAGATTCTCATAAGGGACATAACACCTAGATCCTTCACATGCACAGTTCATAACAGGGATCATGCTCCTATGAGAATCTAATGCTGCCAATGATCTGACAGGAGGTGGAACTCAGGCAGTAATGCTCACTTGCCCGTTGGTCACTTTCTGCTACGTAGCTTGGTTCCTAACGGGCCATGGACTCGTACTGGTCTTTGGCCTGGTGTTTGGGGACCCCTGCTGTAATGCAAGCTTGAGAAAATGGTATGCTATTCTTTGCCTAGAATTCTATTTTTTTAAATCAATTTCAATCCTAAATTTTTTATGTAACTTTGTAATGATCCTTCCAAATTTGTGTCATAAGAAATTTTAATTTTTAATTAGCCTGCTACCTATATCTTTTCTTAGCTACGTTCATCCTTTTAAAACATTTAGACACAACTGTTTAAAAATTATAGACCCAAAATTCTTAAATGTGTGTATATACATACATATATTTATATATAAATATATAACTTTGGTAAAGTTAATTAAATTATGTAAAACTCAGTTTTGTCATTATAAAATGGAGAAAGTAATACCCACTTTAATTATTTTTAGTGAGGATAAAATTACACAATTGATGAAAAATGCCTAGTTTCATGTAGGAACACTAACAAGAGTTTAATAAAAGATAGCTGCTGTGTATGTTATTTCTTCCAATGTAATTTTTATGAATGATAGAAAAATGTGTGAGTGGTATACGTGGATAGCCTTGCACAGAGAAATCTTAGCCTAATTTAATCAGAAAATTAAGGCAATGATTTAGAATTTTCTTGAGAAAGGAAGAAAGGAAAAAGAAAAGAAGAGAGGGAAGAAGAGAGGGAGATTTTGCTTCACACCTGTCATTATAACTGGTGTTATTTGTGAACTTTAGTTCAAACATAATCTGGGCCAGTTGGAATGAGTTAACCAATGTTCCACATAAAAATAATGCAATGGACTTGTTTATCTAATTTGTCAAATTTAGATAAGTTACTGTTATACAGATGCAAAAAATAAGTGATGAAGATAAGTAATGAAAGGGATATTTTATTAAAGAGATTTCTACCATTATATTATATAGCATATCACCTAATAGTAATCAAATTAAGGAAGGGGTGATGAAAATTAACATGTAATTGGCTCATACCATGAGCCAGGCGATGTAATAATAACTTAATCTTCTTGAACATCTTTTTTTTTTTTTTTAAACGAAGTTTTGCTCATGTTTCCCAGGCTGGAGTGCAATGGCGTGATCTCGGCTCACCACAACCTCCGCCTCCCAGGTTCAAGCAATTCTCCTGCCTCAGCCTCCCGAGTAGCTGGGATTATAGGCATGCACCACCATACCCGGCTAATTTTTGTATTTTTAATAGAGATGGGGTTTCTCCATGTTGGTCAGGCTGGTCTTGAGCTCCCGACCTCAGGTGATCCACCTGCCTTGGCCTCCCAAAGTGCTGGAATTACAGGCGTGAGCCACTACACCCAGCCTGAACATCCTTTTTTAACAAAAGAAGAGTCATAGTAACTTCTCTAATATCTCAGATCTTAAGTCATGATGCTCATTCTTTCATATATTAGCAAATCCCTAATTGTAAGTTTAAAAGTCATATCAAATACAACATATTCAAAAATCTATTCTCTAGCCAGCCCCCACTGTTCCTGTACAAATGTAATTCAGATTATGTCACTCTCCAAGATTCTTATCTTGACCTACACTGTTCTATATAATCTTGTCCCAGGTTATTTCTCTGATCTCATCTATTACCACTCTTCTTTTTACTCTTTGACCTCAAACAATGCAGATCTTGATGTCCCTTAAGTTCACCAAGTAGAACCCTATCATATATCTCAAGATTTTTAAATAGCAGTTTTCTCTGTCCAGAAATTTCTTCCCTAGATATTTGCATGGCTCACTCTCTCTTGTCATTTAGAACATTGCCTAAGAGATCTGACAACTTCTTAGAGGAGCTTTTTTGACCACTATCAATTCTTTTACTCTGAATTACTCTTTTTTGTAGCTTGTATTATAATAAACCTAAATAGTATTAGATTGGTGCAAAAGTAATTGTGGATTTTGCCATTGAAAATAATGGCAAAAACAATTACTTTCAGTGACATTGCCATTACTTTCAATGGCAAAAACTGCAATTACTTTTGCACCAACCTAATACTTGTTTTTATTATCTGTCTTATCCATTTGAATGTCAGCTCCATAAAGTCCAGCACTTCACTATAGTCATTGCTGTATCTTTAGCTCCTGGAACAGTACCTGATACATAATAAAAGCATAATAAATATTTGCTATATAGAATTCCATATGGCTTACTAGACACAGCCAGGAGGAACATCTCTCACAGAGAGACCAGGGCATTGAGAAGTCTGGCACACTCTAAGCAGATCTTTGAAGGGAAGAAATTGAGAGTAAATGGAGGGAGGCTGCAAAATGCTGAGCTAAAGGGGAAATCTGGGAACCCTACACAGGGTGGCTGAACATCAGGACTCACTCCTGGGCCCTAGCAACTCCTGAGGATGGGGTGAGTTGATCAGGCAAAGAGTAGACTTCTCTCACCACGTATCTTCAGAATCTGAGCAGCAGTAGACTCCACGAACCTCATGGACACCGGAGCTGGCAGTGAGCTGCTTAGAGAGGTAGCAGGAGAAAGACTTCAGCCTGTGTGGAGCACAAAGGGCTTAGTACATAAAGGGCTACAGTGGAGCTTGGCCAAGGACACCCATCCCCCAATGCTTGCTACACTCCTCTAGGAGACTTTAGCATTAGGGTGATGGTTGGACTGGGACAGAGCAGGAACTGTTCCCTGTGGGATGAGGACAGCTCAATCTGAGCAACCCCTGTTGAATGACCTATTCAGGAGCTCCATCCTGGCCACATTCATTGGCAGTGCAACCTCAGATACACAACCAGGGTGCTTCCCAGGGGCCCTCATCATAGCTCCTTCAACAGCAGAGTACACCTGACCATGGGAGAGCTCCAGCAGACTAGCCCCCACTGACATGCACCAGCTCACCCACAGCTTCCCCACACAGCAGCCTCCCCACATCATTTTGGTGGCATACACTTACCCATGGCCTCCCCATCGCTTTGCTAGTGCATGCATGCAGGAAGACCTCACCTCCTCTGCTGACATGCATGTGAGTGCACAGCTTACTGTGCCCCCACTGCCACCATGAGCACACCCTTCCACCTCACCCCACTGACACATGGGCATCCCACTACACCTCTGCCACTGGCTCAAAGACACAAAAGGGCGTTGGCAACCCCAGCTCCACCAGCATCCTGCCCCTGCCACCAGGGCTGCAACCTCCAGCATGAGTGCTAGTATAGACACCAACAAACCTGCTCCCCCCAGTTCCCCTCTCTGGCTAGCATGCATGTACTCTGTCACTCACCTGTGGCTTCTGTCATGTATACATGAGCATGGCTTCCATTGTTACCTCACCAAAGAATAAATTTGGCCAGAATCCTCCATTGAAGTGTTGTGGCCAGTGGACCAGGAACACCTCAGGCCATCCAGTGCAGCAGGTTCCTAACCTGCAGGGGTTAAAGAAGAAAGCCAGGTGCCTGGTACCTGCACCCCCAGAGTTACAACGTGCAGCAGCCCCCAGGTGTGCTGAGCTGAGCCTTGTCTACCTAAAAGCTTCCAGAAATGAAGCCAGTTGAATGAACCCAACTTATACCACAATTAAATCCCCAAGGTCATCAAAGAAGATAAAAGCAAAAACAAACAAACAAAAACATCTAAAGGACAGCAACTTCAAAGATTAAAGAAATTTCAGACCACACAGATGAGAAAACAAGCATAAGAACTGTGACAGCTCAAAAATCCAGAGTGTATTCTTACCTCCAAACAACCAAACTATTTTCCAAGCAATGGTTCTTAAGAGGGTAAAATGGCTGAAATGAAAGACATAGAATTTAGAATACAGATAGGAATGAATATCATCAAGTTCCAGTCCAAGGAATCTGAGAAATACAATAAAATGATACATGAGCTGAAACATGAAATGACCATTTTAAGAAAAAAAATCTGATCCGATAGGGCTAAAAAACTCATTTCAATAATTTCATAATACAATGGCAAAAATTAAAAGCAGAATAAACCAAAATGAGGAAATATTTTGAGAGATCAAAGGGCCTTTGAATTAACTCAGTCAGGCAAAAATAAAGAACAATGGAAAAAAAGCTCTGAGAATATGGGATTATATGAAGAGACCAAATCTATGACACATTGGTTTTCCTGAGCGAGAAGGAGAGAAAGCAAGTAGCTTGGCAAACATATTTGAGAATATTATTCATGAATGTTTCCCCGACCTCACTAGAGAAACCAACATTTAAATTCAGGAAGCACAGGGAACCCCTGTGAGATACTATACAAAATGAGCTTCACCAAGACACACAGTCATCAGATTCTCCAAGTTTGAAACAAACTACAAAATGTTAAAAGAAGATAGAGAGAAGCAGCAGGTCACCTACAAAGGTAACCCCCATAAGGCTAACAGCAGATCTTTCAGCAGAAATCCTACAAGCCAGAAGAGATTTGGGGCCTATATTCAGCATTCTTTTTTAAAAAAGGAATTTCAACCAAGAGTTTTATATCCAGCCAAACTAAGCTTCATTAGCAAAGGTGAGATAAAATTCTTTTCAGACGAGCAAATGCTGAGGAAATTTGAAACCATCAGACCTGCCTTACAAGAAGTCCTTAAGAGAGTGCTAAATAAGGAAAAAAAAAAAACCATTACCAGACACCACAACACACTGAAGTACATAGACCATTGAAATGATAAAGCAACTACACAATCAATTATGCATAATAGTCAGCTAACAAACATGATGCCAAGTTCAAGTTCACACATATCAATATTAAACTTGAATGTAAGTTGACTAAATGCCCCCAATTAAAAGGCACATAGTCACAAGTTGGATAAAGAAGTAAGACCTAAGTGTTATGCAGTCTTCAACAGACCCATCTCACAAGCAATGACACACATAGGCTCAAAGTAAAGAGATGGAGAAAAATCCACTAAGCAAATGGAAAATAGAATAAAAGGAGGGGTTGTTGTGCTAATTTCAAACCAGACATTAAACCAGCAATGATCAAAAAAGAAAAAAAGGCATTACATAATGGTTAAGGGTTCAATTCCACAGGAAGACCTAACTATCATAAATATATATGCACACAACACAGGAGTGTCCATATTCATAAAACAAGTTCTTAGAAAACTATGAAGAGACTTAGATAACCACACAATAATAGTGTTAGGCTTCAATATCCCACTGAGAGTATTAGACAGATCATTGAGGCAGAAAACTAACAGAACTATTTGGGAACTGAATTCAACCCTTGACCAAATGGACCTAGCAGGCATCTACAGAATTTCCACTCCAAAACAACACAATACACATAATTATTACCTGCATATGACAAATAATATAAAATTGAGCGAATAATAGGATATAGAACAATTCTCAGCAAATTCAAAAAACTGAAATGATACCAACCACACTACTGGATCAAATGCAATTAGAATAGAAATCAATACTAAGAGGATTGCTCAGAACTATACGATTACATTAATCAACCTGCTCCTGTATGGCTTTTAGGTAAACAATGAAATTAAGGCAGAAATCAAGAAAGTCTTTGAAACTAATGAGAACAATGATGCAACATGCCAGAACCTCTGGGACACTGCTTAATCAGTGTTAAAAGGAAGGTGTATAGTGCTAAATGCTGAAATAATAAAGCTAGAAAGATCATAAATGAAGCACCTAATATCATGCCTAGAGGAACTAGAAGAAGAAGAGAAAACCAACCACAAAGCTGGCAGAAGACAAGAAATTACCAAAATTAGAGCTGAACTGAATGAAAATGAGATATGGAAAACTATACAGTAAATCAGTGAATCACAGTGATGGTTGTTTGAAAGAATAAATAAAAAAAGATAGGCCAATAGCTAGACTAATAAAAAAGAGAGAAGAGCCAAATAAACTCAATCAGAAATTGCAAAGGGGGCATTACCACTGATACTCCAGAAACACATAAAGCTGTCAGAGACTATTATGTGCACAAACTAGAAAACTTAGAAGAAATGAATAATTACTGGAAACATGCAACCTCTTAAGGTTGAACCAGGAAGAAATTGAATCCCTGTAGAGACCAAAAATGAATTTTGAAATTGAATCAGTAATAAAAAGCTTACCAACCAGGAAAAGCCCAGGATGAGACAGATTCACTGATGAATTCTACCAGGTGTATAAAGAAGAGCTGGTATCAAACCTACAAAAACTATTCCAAAAAATGAGGAGGATGGACACCTGCATCACTCATTCTACAAGGCCAGCATCATTCCGGTACCAAACCTTGCAGAGACACAAGAAAAACAATAAAAGTTCCAGCAAATATTATTGAGGAACATAGACACAAAAATATTTAACAAAATACTAGCAAACCAAATCCAGCAGCACATCTAAAAGCTAATCAGCCAGTCAACTTGGCTTTATCCATGGGATTCAAGGTTGGTTCAACATACAGAAATCGATAAATGTGATTCATTACATGAACATAACCAAAAAGAAGAACCACATAATCATCTCAATAGATGCACAATAGGATTTTGAGAAAATTCAACATCACTTCACATTAAAAACCCTCAACAAACTAGGCATTAAAGGAACATACCTCAAAATAATAAGAGCCTTCTATGACAAACCTATAGCTAACATCATACTGAACAGACAAAAGCTGGAAGCATTCCCCTCGAGAATCAGATAAAGACAAAGATTCCCATTCTTATTATTCCTATTCAACATAGTATTGGAAGTCCTAGCCAGAGTAATCAGGCAAGAGAAATAAATAAATAGCATCCAAATAGGTAGAGAGGAAGTCAAACTATCACTCTTTGCAGATGATATGATTATATATCAAGAAAACTCCTATAATCTCTGCCCAGTATCTCCTAGATCTGATGAACAACTGCAGCAAAGTTTCAGGATACAAAATCAATGTACAGAAATCAGTACCATTTCTACACACAAACACTGACCAAGCTGATAGCCAAATCAAGAATGAAATCACATTCACAAAAGCCACAAAAAGAATAAAATATCTAGAAATGCAGCAAACAAAGGAGGTGAAAGACCTCTAGAATGAGAATTACAAAACAGTGTTGAAAGAAATCAAAGATCACACAAACAAATGGAAAATCATTCTATGCTCATGGATGGAAATAATTTGTCTTATTAAAATGGCCACACTGCCCAAAGCAATTTACAGATTCAATGTTATTCCAATCAAACCACCAATGACATGCTTCACAGAACTAGAAGAAAACTTGCAAAATTTATGTGGAACCATAAAGGCACCTGAATAACCAAAGCAATCCTGTGGAAAGAGAATAAAGTTGGTGATATCACACTACCTAATGTCAAACTATATTATAAGGCTACAGTAATGAAAAGAGCATGGTACTGGTACAAAAACAGACAGATCAATGGAACAGGTAAAAGATACTGGAAGTAAAGCCAGACACCTACAACCATCTGTTCTTTGGAAAAGAGGACAAAAACAAGCAATGTAAAAAGGAGTTTTTATTTAATAAATTGTGCTGGACTAACTGCCTAGCCATATGCAGCAGGCTGAAACCCCCTGCTTACACCATATACAAACATTAAGTCAAGGTGGATTAAACACTTGAGTGTAAAATGTAAATCTCTAAAATTCCTGAAAGATAACCTAGGAAAATCCGTTCTGGACATGGGTCCTTGCAAAGATTTAATGAAAAAGACCACAGGAGAAATTGCAACAAAACCAAAAATTGACAAGTGGCACCTAATTAAACTAAAGAGTTTCTGCACAGCAGGAGAAAATAGCAACAGAGTAAACAGACACCCTACAGAATGGGAGAAAGTATTTGCAAACTATGCAGCTGACAAAGGTCTACTATTCAAAATCTATAAGAAATTTCAACAAATTAACAAGCAAAAAACACACAAAAAAACCATTAAAATGGGCAAAGGACATGAACAGACACTTCTCAGAAGAAGACATACAACAAGCATATGAAAAATGCTCAACAGCACTAATCATTATAAAAATGTAAATCACAACAATGAGATACCATCTCACACCAGTCAGAATGGCTATTATTAAAAAG
Source organism: Homo sapiens (assembly GCF_000001405.40). Taxonomy (NCBI): domain Eukaryota; kingdom Metazoa; phylum Chordata; class Mammalia; order Primates; family Hominidae; genus Homo; species Homo sapiens. Next base: position 125,669,034 of record NC_000023.11, read on the forward strand.
GCAGAAAATAACAGAAGCTGGTGTTGTTATAGAGGAAAGGGAATGCTTATACACTGTTGGTGGGTATGTAAATTAGTTTAGCCATTGTGGAAAGCAGTGTGGTGATTTCTTAAAAAACTTAAAACAGAATTATCATTCGACTCAGCAATGCCATTACTTAGTATATAGCCAAAGGATTATAAATCATTCTACCATAAAGACACATGTATTTGTGTGCTCACTGCAGCACTATTCACAAAAGCAAGGACATAGAATCAACCTAAATGTTCATCAATAGCAGATTGGATAAATACACCACAGAATACTATGTAGCCATAAAAGAGAATGAGATCATTACCTTTGCAACAACATGCAAGAAGCTGGAGGCCATTATCCTAAGTGAAATAATGCAGGAAAAGAAAACTCAGTAGTGCATGTTCTCACTTATATGTGGGAGCTAAACCTTGAGTATATGTGGATACAAAGAAGAGAACAAGAGACACCAGGGCCTAGTTGAGAGTGGAGAGTGGGAACAGAGTGAGGACTGAAAAACTACCTATCAGGTACTATGCTTATTACCTGAGTGGTGAAATAATCTGTACACCAAACCCTCATGACGTACAATTTACCTGTATAACAAACCTGCACATGTACCCCTGAACCTATAGTAAAAGTATAAAAAATTGTTGAATGAATAATCAAACTTTAAATTTAACCCTCAACTACCATGTGAGGTCAGTGTGATTATTCCTAACATTTCATAATCAATAAAGATACTTAGATTCACTGAGTTTAAGTAACTCTCCTGAGGGTACATTGCTAATAAGCGACAAAGCCACATCCCTCTTATGTTGAATGTCTTCTCAGAAAACAAATGCCACTATAATTTGATTAAAAGTAATAGGATATGTTAGTTATCCACAATCACTTAATTTATGGTTTTCTCAAGATATGAATCAGTTTCTTGTCAACACTTCGCTTAAAAACATTTCAATAGTTTTCCATTGCACTTAGAATAAAATCCAAACTTTCAGCAGGTCCTTCAATACCTTGCATGATCTTTAACTTCATCTGGCGTCTCTTTTCTTTTTACTCACAACATTCTAGTCATACAGACTGTCTTTCTTTCTTTGTATCTCAAACACTAAATTACCCCTCCTCCCACCCCATCTTAGAGTTTTGCATTTGCCATTTTCTTCTTTTGAAAAACTTCCCTTTTTTCATGACTGGTCTCATATTCAGATCTCAGCTTAGAGAGGATTCTAAGGTCTGAATGTTGGTGGCCTCCAAAGTTCACTTGTTGGAACTTAATACCCAATGTGACAATAATAAGAAATGGGGCCTTTGGGAAATCATTGAGTTCACGAGGGCTCCATCCTCATGAATGAGATTAGTGCCCTTATCAAAGAGGATCCTGGGAGTTACCTTGCCTCTTCGGTTACCTGAGAAAACAGTTAACCATCTAGGAAGCAGAGAGCCAGCCCTTGCAAGACACCAAATGTACTTTTACCTTGATTTTGGACTACCCAGCCTCCAGGACTGTAAGCAATATATTTCTATTGTTTATAAATTACCTAGTTTAAGCTATTTTGTTAAAATAGCCTGAACTAAGACAGAAGACTTTCCTGATGATCTTAATCTTCCCATCGCCACACTTATTACTGTATCCCAGTATCCTGTTTTATTTTCCTTATGGCATTTAATGCTTTAGAATTACATTTTATTTTTATTCGTTTAGTTTCACCTTCACGTTCTATTTCCTCTACAATGTAAGCTCCACAAAGATGGGAACCTTATCTCTCTTGTGGTTGCTATACCTTAGCACCTAGAGTAGTGACTGGCACATAGAAGCCACCTGGAAATAATTATTGGATGATGATGATGTTGAATAAAATTATCATTTGTTGTGTTCTTATTATGTATCATGTACTGTGTTGTATTATTCCTCAAAAATCCAATGACAGATGTATAGTTTATAGGCCTATTTTACAAACAACGAAACTAAGAAACAGAGAAAATCAACAATTTACCTGTAACCACTGCTGCTAAGAAGGAATGTATTCATAATAAGTTCCAGGTGACTTAGTTTGAGTGGTAGTGTTCTTAACTCCAATTTTGAATGAAAGAAGAATAAATGATTTAGTTAATGAGTTTTCTACCCTAAATGGTCTCAGAACCATGATCTTGTCTTTATTTCATATTCCAACTTAAGTGGTGTAATATGCTTAACAATGGGTGGAATAAATCAGTTCTGAGAAGCACTAAGGAAAGCACAATGAAGGAACCTGCTGCAACTGAGCTTTTAATGTATCTGGATCCTATTACACTTGCTTATTGAAATTACCAAGATTCCACAATTTTCCACTTCCTAGATCAACCTTATCCTAAAAGGGGGAAATCAGGAACTCGGCTCTTTAGTACAGCAATCTACACATAAAATAGTTTTTCTGTAACTTATACTTCAGAGATTTCAGTTATACAATCCCACTTACAGCCATAGGTTTCTATTTTGACAACCCTTGATAAATCTAGATTTGATCTTCTCTTTTCTTGTTGCAACTTATTAAATACTGCATATAGAAAACATTCTTTTATTCTGAAGTTTATACCATTTTCTATTGAATCTTACATATGGAGTACAATTGGTTTCGTATCAAGAAGAAAGAGACAATTGTCTAAAATGCTTCTTTCCTAGCTCTTTACATAAATGGCTCACTTCCCAGCTAGAGAAGCAGGAGTTCTCACTATGCTTCACCTCATCTTGCTTCAAGTAATTCCACATGCTGGAAATTGCATCCTCATCCCTGATATCAATTATTCCATTAACTAAGATCCTTTGGTTGTAAGTAGCAAAAACCAAATCTAACTGGATTAGGCAAGAAAAAACGTAGAAATAGAATGTGAGGATAAGTAATTGCCTTACTGAGCTGAAGGGCAAGGGTTTACCCAGGACTCAGAAGGAGACTGGATCCAAAGCTGGAAAAGCCTTCAGTAAGTGTTAATCCAACTCTCTCATCTTTGCTTATATCTGCTCATCTATTTTGTTCTCTTTTTTCTCTTCAGTTAGGCATTTTCTGCTTGTCCTATTCAGGAAGCTATGGCTGCCCTTCAGCTCCTAATGTACATTTTATATTTCCAACTGGAGACTGACTAATGTTAAATCCTAATTCCAAATTCCCTGGGGAAATATTCTTATTTAAGTAATTGTGATCAAGCTTTCCCATCTGGTTCAATTAGCCATGATCTTGAGTGTGCAATCACAAAGTTAAAAAAATGACTTCTGGGAGCTCACTCCTATGTATTGGTAGCAGGAGTAGACATTAGCTATTTTCAGAGAAAGCTAGATGAACTGAACAGACACATCAATACCCCACTATTCTTGATTGTACTTTATGTAGGCAACATCCCTTTTTTTAAAAAAAAAAAAAGATCTCTAAACTAACAATACAGATAGGTTATAATTAAGCATAGGGAAGGGTTTTTTATAAATTATGAAACTATCCCAATACATTTCATATAACATATTTGCATACAACTCTTCAGAAATTCCTTTATTGCACAATATGGAATGTATCTTTATAGAGTTATACAAGGTGGTATTAATGGCCTGTTTTCTAAGGAGTGAGAAAATATTATTTTATACAATATTGCATCTCTAACTTTTCAAACATAGTTTTACTGTAGTTGAATGATAAAATATTTCAAACTTAAGTACTTTATTATTATTCTATTTATTTTTTACAAGTATAGGCAATATCCAGATTGGTGTGTAATTTGGGCAATTGTAGCAGGGATCAGAATACACCATTAGGCAGGTTGTTCTTGTTGATTTTGTTATGCCTATGTTATGCATCTATTTTTCTCCTCAGTTGTTTGAATAATTTTATGTTAATCAGAATTCTTTATTCATCCTCAAATTCTTCTTTTCAAGTCCATGTCTATATTGGAAGTCTTTAGCAGAAAGCTGAGATTAACACATGATTTCAGGAACTACCTAAATACAGATAATTCCTAGATATACATCTCTAATGCAAACCTCTCTCTCTGTTCTCTTTCACATTCTCAGTCACACATGGGACATTTTTCTTTTAAGTCTTAATGACATCTTAAATTTAATATACTTCTAATCTACCAAGTCACCCTTTATACATTTTTTCGTTACCATAATTGGCTTCACCAATCTTCTAGCTTCCCAAATTCTATCTTTCATCTTTCACACTATCAAGATCTGTCCATTTCCCACCCCTGCCAAATATATTTTTGCTTCTCTACTCTCATTCTACATTTTTGCCACCACTTTGGTCCTTATCATGGAAGTCACAGATTATAGCAATAGAGAAATCTCTAACATCTCTCCACTCCAAGGTATGGTATATAATTTTGAAAAAACATCTTTGGCAAATGAAATGTTTTTTAGCCACTCCAATTTTTGTTACTGTAAACATTACATTCAATAACAAGGAGAAGAATAATAATAAATGGCTAACACTTGCATAGTACTTAGCAATGTTCTGGCTCTATTTTAAGTACTTTACATATATTGATTCCTTTAATTTCCAACAACATAAAGGTAAATTGCCAATATTAGTTCAATTTACAGATGAAGAACCTGGCGGGTAGAGAAGTTAAACAACTTAAGATTTTATAGCTAATAAGGAAGGTTTTCTGAATTAACCTATCAGACTCTTCCACTTATTACTCTTAGCTACTTACCATACTTGTTCCCCATAGTACATCACTGATCTTATTTCTTCAGGAGTGACTGTAGGTCCCACTGAAACACTGTTCAAGTGAAAGGGCCCATCAGTAGAACCAGAGGCTGCACTTACTCTAAGGGCAGCAACATGTTTGTTTAGTTTCTAAATCAGCTGGATATGCCAATATGTTTTCAGTTATGGCCATGGTAACCCTATCCCTCACTTAAATGGAAGAGATAAGAATAGATTGCCACACAGATTTATAAACAGAGAGATTTACTTGGCAGATATTAATGTGGCCTTAACCTCTCCAGGTTTAGCAGCTGGACTCAGACACTATAATGGTTGTTGTGCCACTCTTCAGTGTGTGGCTAGTCCAAACTGCCTCCTGTTCTTGGGGGAATCCAGTCATCTGTATAGTAAGTGAGTTGTCATATGAATATTATGTTGCAAATTTCTCATTTGCAAAGATCTATCCTTGCCAGCTCACCTAAAGAAAGCTGTCAAAAGTCAAACTCTTACTCTAAAAACCCCAGAATCAGCACTGCCAGCACAGAAGAGTCCTTACTTAGCTCTCTGCATCTCCATTGTGCCTCCTGTCATTTCTAAGAAATGTTAGATTTCTTACCAAGCAGGAATAGAGGAGATTGGAGATTAAATTATCTGAGCTCGTGAAGAAAAGCAATATAACATAGTAGAGAGGATAAATAAAAAGCAGACAGGAACCAGGTAGAACTACATTTGATTTTAGGCTTTTCCATTTACTGTCTCTACAGCTAAGAACAAGCTGTATGACTTCCCTGAGCCTCATAAACTTATCTTCAAAATAATAGGTCCTAATTTATGAACTGCTGTGCAGATTAAATGGCATACCACACATAAAGTACCTTGCACAGTGCCTGGCCTTCGATAAATAAAGGATATTTAGAGTGATATTCAAAGTCTATCTGAAACAAGGCAAGTCTTTTCTGCCTATGAGCTGCTAAAATCAAACACAAGTTAGTTCCTTCCAAGATACAATGGGGATACCAACTTTGGGTAAATACATCCATTTAAAGTGAGAGAAATTGGCCGTAACAAAGGGACTACAGGCCCCATGGAAGTCCGAAATTCAACAGGGCAATTATTAAATCTTAAAGCTCCAAAATGATATCCTTTAACTCCATGTCTCACATCTAGTTCCCACTGATGCAAGAGGTGAGCTCCCAAGGACAGATCTGACTCTGTGGCTTTGCAGTATACAGCCCCCCTCTAGGCTGCTTTCATGGGCTAGCATTGAGTGGCTGCAGCTTTTCCAGGTACACAGTACAAGCTCTTGGTGAATCTGTCATTCTGGTTTCTGCTTATTATAGCTCCACTAGGCAGTGCTCCAGTGGGGCCTCTGTGTAGGGGCGCCAAACCAATATTTCCCTTCTGCACAGCCTTAGCAGAAGTTCTCCATGAGGGCTTCACACTTGCAGCAAAATTCTGCCTAGACATACAGGCATTTCCATACATTCTGTAAAATCTAGGCGGTGGGTCCCCAATCTCAGTTCTTGACTTCTGTGCACCTGCAGGTCCAACACCATGTGTAAGCTGTCAAGGCTTGGGGATTGCACCCTCTGAAGTAATGGCCTGAGCTGTATCTTGGACTCTTTTAGCCACAGCTGGAGCTGAAACAGCTGGGACACACAGCACCATGTCCTGAGGCTGCATAGAGCAGGTGAGCCCTGGGCCCAGCTCATGAAACCATCTTTCCCTTCTAGGCCTCTAGGCCTGTGATTGGTGGGGATGCTGTGAAGGTCTCTGACATGCCTTGAAGACATTTTCGCATTGTCTTGGTGATTAACATGTGGCTCCTTGTTACTTACGCAAATATCTGAAGCAGGCTTGAATTTCACCCCAGAAAATGGGTTTTTCTTTTCTATTGCATTGTTAGGTTTCATAGTTTCCAAAATTTTGTGCTCTGCTTCCTCTTGAATGCTTTGCTGCTTTACAATTTTTTTCTGCCAGATACCTAAATCATTTCTCACAAGTTCAAAGTTCCAAAGACCTCTAGGGCAGGGGCAAAATGCCACCAGTCTCTTTGCTAAAGCATAGCAAGAGTGACCCTTACTCCAGTTCCCAACAAGGTTCTTATCTCCATCTAAGACCACCTCAGCCTGGACTTCATTGTCCATATCACTATCAGCATTTAGATCAAAGCCATTCAACAAGTCTTTAGGAAGTTCCTAACTTATCTGTTGTGAGAAGTCAGGGATCCCGAACGGAGGGACCAGCTGAAGCTGCAGCAGAAGAACATAAATTGTGAAGATTTCATGGACATTTATCAGTTCCCAAAATTAATACTTTTATAATTTCTTATGCCTGTCTTTACTGCAATCTCTGAATATAAATTGTGAAGATTTCATGGACCTTTATCACTTCGCCAATCAATACTCTTATAATTTCCTATGCCTGTCTTTACTTTAATCTCTTAATCCCGTCATCTTCATAAGCTGAGGATGTATTGTCACCTCAGGATCCTGTGATTGTTTAACTGTACAAATTGTTTGTAAAACATGTGTGTTTGACCAATGTGAAATCAGGGCACCCTGAAAAGGAACAGAATAACAGCGATCTTCAGGGAACAAGGGAAGATAACCTTAAGGTCTGACTGCCTGCAGGGTCAGGCAGAATAGAGCCATATTTTTCTTCTTGCAGAAAGCGAGTAGGAGAAATATCGCTGAATTCTTTTCCCAGCAAGGAATAACCCTGGGGAAGGAATGCATTCCCAGGGGTAGGTTTATGAATGGCCATTCTGGGAGTGTCTGTCTTATGCGGTTGAAGATAAGGGATGAAATATGCCCTGGTCTCCTGCAGTGCCCTCGGGGTTACCAGGATTGGGAAATTCCAGCCTGGTGAATTCTTGTCAGACCGGCTGTGTGTTCTCGAACCCTGTTTCCTGGTAAGATGTTTATCAAGACAATGCATGCCCAGTGGGACATGGAACCTCATCAGTAATTCTAATTTCACCCTCTGCCTTGTGATCTTTTATTGCCCTCTGAAACATGTGATCTCTGTGACCCACTCCCTATTCGTACACCCCTCCCCTTTTGAAATCCCTAATAAAAACTTGCTGGTTTTGTGGCTCAGGTGGGCATCACAGAACCTGCTGATATGTGATGTCACCCCCGGAGGCTCAGCTGTAAAATTTCTCTTTGTACTCTTTCTCTTTATTTCTCAGACTAGCTGACACTTAGGGAAAATAGAAAAGAACCTATGCTGAAATATTGGGGGCTGGTTCCCCCAATACTTTTCCACATTTTCCTGTGTTCTGAGCCCTCTAAACCATTTCAACCTCTGCCTGTTACCCAGTTCCAAAGTCACTTCCACATTTTCAGGTATCTTTATAGCAGTAATCCACTATCTCAGTACCAAGTTACTGTATTAGTTCGTTCTCACACTGCTATGGAGAAATACTTGAGACTGGGTAATTTATCAAGAAAAGTGGTTTAATTGACTCACAGTTCCACATGGCTGAAGAGGCCTCAGGAAACTTAGAATCATAGCAGAAGGCACCTCTTCACAGGATGGCAGGAGAGAGAATGAGTACAAGCAGAGGAAATGCCAGATGCTTATAAAACAATCAGATTTTAAGAGACTCACTCATTATCATGAGAACAGCATGGGCAAACAGTTTCCATGATCCAATTACTTCCCACAAGTTTCCTCCCATGACACATGGGGATAATGGGAACTACAATTCAAGATGAGATTTGGGTGGGGATACAGCCAAATCCTATCAATATGTAAATTCTATTTCTAATTTTTTGAGAAATTCCCACTTTGTTTTTCCATGATGACTGTACTAATTTGCATTGCTACCAACAGTGTACAGAGTTTGCTTTTCCCCACATCCTTGCCAACACACTATCTTTTGTCATTGTGATAATAGTGACTCTAACAGGTGTGAGGTAATATCTCATTGTGGCTTTGATTTGCATTACCATGATGATTAGTAATGTTGAGCATTTTTTTCTAATGCCTGTTGGTAATTCATATGTTTTCTTTTGAGAAAAGTCTATTCAGATCATTCACTCATTTTTTAAAAAATTGGGTTATTTGTTTTCTTGCGATTGAGTTGAGTTTCTTAATGTTTTGAATATTAACCCCTGCAGATATATGGTCTGCAAATTTTATCCCATTTTGTTGGTTGTTTCTTCACTCTGTTGATTGTTTCCTTTGCTGTGCAGAAACATTTTAGTTTGATAAAATCCCATTTGTTTATTTTTGTTTTTGTTGCCTGTACTTTTAGTATTATATTCAAAAAATTTATTGCCTAGGCCAATGTCAAGATGCTTTTTTCTATATTTTTTTCTAGTAGTTTTACGTTTTCAAGTTTTAAGTTTTTAATAGCTTTAAGTTGATTTTTGTTCTTGTGGGAGATAAGGGTCTTATTTCTTTTTTCCCCATGTGGATATTCAGTTTCCTTGACACAATTTATTGAAAAGACTTCCCTTTCCTTATTATGTGTTTTGGCACCTTTATTAAAGATCAAGTGACCATAAATATGCAGATTTATTTCTGGGCTCTCTATTCTGCTTTATTGATCTTTATGTCTGCTGAGGCAGGCTGACCTGAAGCCTGGATCTGGATCCTGGGTCCATAGGTGCCAGCTTGGTGCTGCAGTCCGTTGGGGTAGGCCTAGATCCTGGGTTCATGGGGGATGATTCAGTGCCAGGGTCTGTAGAGTGGGCCTGGACCTTGGGTCTGCTGGTGTGCAACTGGATACTAGGTTTTCTGGAGCAGGCCTAGGCCCTCGATCTAATGGAGCTCAGAATCACAGAGACAGGCCTTGACATGGGGCCATGGGATTCAGCCTGGTGCTGAGGCAGGCTTGGAGCCAGGGTTTACTGGGGCAGACCTTGTGCTGAGGTTCATGATGAAGTCCGGTGCTCACTTCACTCTTCTTTCTCTTTATTGAGATATAATTCGTATGCCATAAATCCACCATTCTAAAGAGTACAACTCAGTCATTTTTAGTATATACACAAAGTTGTGCAGCCATAAATACTATCTGGTTTCAGAACATTATCATCGCTGTGAATGGAAACACTGTACCCATAGCAGTTACTCCTCATTAGCAGCTCTTACCATTTTTTCTTCTCTTTGTCTCTGAGAAAACACTAATCTACTTTCTCTGCATATAAATTAATCTATTCTGAACATTTCAGATAGTCTTTTGTGTCTGGATTTTTAAACTTTTATTACTTAGATAATACCTTTAGGGTTTATCCATCTTATAGTTCTGAAGAATAAAAGTGATGAAGGAAATAATAGTTAAACTCTTACTGACACTGTTATTTTGAGGCCAAATCTATTTTACAGTTTTAGTAGTGTCCTTTGTGGGTATGTTTATTGGGAGCTAGGATTCTTAAAGTCTAATTTTTAGCCCAGTTAACTTTCCCTTCATACCAGTTATAGATTTTATGCTCAATCTTTATCATGTGTTACTCATGGATTATATTTGCTTCATGGAGGGAAGTAAAAGGAATGAAATGGGAAAAACACTACCATTTATTGAGGACATATTATTTCCAAGGACTTGCACATACATGATAGTATTTAGTGCCGTAAAAATGTGAGATAGGTAGTAAGTGTATTTTTACTTTTATAAAACTATGCCCATTTTGCACAATAAGTAAATGGGGGTTTTAAATTCAAGTTTCCCAGAATACATGCTGCATTCACTATAGCACACTTTAATCAGAATTGTTTAAAAGGAACAATGGCATTACTGATAATAAGATTAAAATATAACAAACAGTAACATAAATATAACATAAATAACAATATCATTAATAATATAAAATTAATTCCTACATTTCTCAATGGTTTGCACTACTTAATTATGTATGCCAGTTATAAAATATTTATGCCTAATTCATTTAAATAATTATAATATTAAATTTACCTAAGGCATGTGCTCTTGTAAAATATTAGTAGTTAAATAAATCCTCTTATTCTTTGTATTCCTATAAAGGATTTACTGCAAACACTCACATTTCCCAATGTGACTCAGAAACTTAGATAAGACTTCTACATAATGCCCTTGCTTACCCAGGGCATGGCCAGATAGATCATCCAAATTCTCAATTTTGCCACATACATTATTTGCTGAACTGTTTGTCTCCACTGATCAATGGAAACAAAATAATTTTTAACTTGTCATGACCAAAATGTAAGCTTCTCTTCCCCTATAAGACTCTTAAGTTTGATGCATCCTTAGCCTAAGCCAACATTAAAATGTGAAATAGCTCCTTGTACTAGAGTTTTTCAGAGGAACAGAATAAATAGGATATTTGTATATATAGGAAAAAAAAAGATTTATTTTGAAGAATTGACTCATGCAATTATGGAAGCGGGAAAGTCCAAAATCTTCAGAGTGGGCCAGCAGACTGGAGATCTAGGGAAGAGCCAATGTTATAGTTCAAGCCCAAAGGCACTCAGGCTGAAGACCAAGGAGAGTCAATAGTGAAGTGCAAGTCCAAAAGCCCTTTGCTGGCAGAACTAGATCTTTCTTGTATGAGGTCAGTCTTTTATTCTATTCAGCCCTTCAACTGATGAGATAAACCCAGCCACATTATTAAAGGCAATCTACTCAAAGTCCAATGACTTAAATGTTAATATCATCCTTAAACATCCTCACAGAAACATCCAGATTAATCTTTGACATAATATTTGGGCACTATGGCCCAGCTGGAAGAAAAGAAAAAGCAGTCTGAGCAATGTGAGGTATTAAAAATTTATCAAGCCCAGGGAGACATGAGTATGGGACTTCAGTCACTCCCTAATCCCCCTACACAACCAAGCCCAGGGGCAATTGTTTGAAAGCATTTTGTTTCTGAGTAGCTGCCTAATCCATTATCTTCATGTTTCTGGAATTTGTGCAAAAAAGAACAATGTACTGCTAACCAATAGCTTATGTCACTTTAATGTGAATTATTGCTAAAGAACTTAGAAACTGCCTCTTCTTTTTTTCTTAAAAAAACACTTGTAACTGATGCTAATTGGAGTGTATATTTAGGGAATCTTGAATCTATGCTCCCAGGTGGCCATGCTCAAGCTTTGGGCTCACATAAACTCTGTACTTAATCATATTTTTGAATTTCATTATTTAGGATTGACATTTTGGTGATGCCTATGGGACCCAAAGTGGGGTTCCAGCAATCCCTATCACTTCACTGAAAATTGAAGCCTTGGTACCGTCATGAATGACTTTCATTGACCTGACCTCGCCAATGTCAACAGGGATCACTGGGCAGGCCCCTCTCAGGATCTGCATCTTTCTAGCTTGGCTGAGAATTCAGACTTTATTTGAGCCATACACATTCCTAACTTGACAAGTTTGGAATTGAAGTCTACTTTAAGGCATAAATTTTATTTGTTATTCTCTGGAGATTGCGGAGTTGTGATTTTCACTTTTCTCTGATGTTAAGGTTTTGTGTTGAATTACTCATTAGAGTTTTTATAACCTTTTCTCTCATTCAAATCTTGGTCAGGGAGAAAAATAGATTCTCTCCCTTAAAAGAGGAAGTGGATATTTGTGGCTTAAGCAAAATTTATAATCTTTAAAACTGGCCAGATTCTGAAACTTGAATCAAATGATGAATCTAAACTTTCTTTTGACTGACCACAATTCCTCACGCTAGGTCTTTTTGGCCATTCAAAGGAATAATCTAAATTATGGTGAGTCATACTTCTATAACTGGGACTTCTTTAAGAAGAGATCCAGGGACAGAGCAAGATGGCAGAATAGAAGCCTACACTCTTCATTTCCACCCCCATCACAGGAATACCAAATTTTAACAACTATCTGCACAAAGAAAAGCACTGTCACAAGAACCAAAATCAGGTGAGCCATCACAGTGCCTGGTTTTAACTTCATATTACTGAAAGAGGCATTGAAGAGAATAGTAGAGACAATCTTGAGTCAGTGATGCAAGCACTTCCCTATTCCCCAGCAGCAGCCTTGCAGCACAAAGAGAGCATCTGTGTACCTGGGGAAGTGAGAGTGCAATGACTGGAGGACTTTACTTTGAACTCAGGGCTGCCCTGTAACAGCAAATAGAAAACCTGTGCTGGGCTCAGCCAGTGCCTCCACAGGTAGGGAGTATTTGGACCAGCCCTAGCCAGAGGGGAATTTTCTATTGCAGTGGTCAGAACCTGAGTTTCTTGGTGAGTCTTGCCACTGCTGGACAAAGTGCTCTGGTGTCCTAGGTAAACTTGAAAGGCAGTCTAGGACACAAGGACGGCAATTCACAGGTAACTTGTAGTGCTGAGATGGGCTCGGAGCCAGCGGACTAGGGTGGTATGTGACCTACAGAGACATGAGACAGGGTGGCTAAGGGAGGGCTTGCACCACTCCTCCCACAACCCCAGGCTGCACAACTCACAGCAATGAAAGTAAATGCTTCCTTCTTAATGAGAAGAGAGTGAAACGTAAAGAGGACTTCGTCTTATATCTTGGAAACCAATGCGGCCACAGTAGAATAGGGCACCAGGCAGAGTTGTGAGGTCCACATTCCAGGCCCTAGCTCAGAGACATATCTAGACACACCTTCTGCCAAAAGGAAACCCTTGTTTTGAAGGGAAGGACCCAGTCCTGGCAGGATTTATCACCTGCTGACTAAAAAGCTCTTGGCCCCTGAATAACCAACAGCGATACCCAGGTAGTACACTATGGACCTTGGACTCTGAGACATACTGGCTTCAGAGAAAAACCAACACATTTCCAGCTGTGGTAGCTGTGGTGAAGGACTCCATCTGTTTGAGAAAAGTGGAGGGAAAACTAAAGGGGACTTTGTCTTGCACCTTAGGTATCAGCTTGGCCACAGTGAGGTAGAGCAACAAGAAGGCTCTTGGGGGGTCCCTGGTTCCAGGAAGTGGCTCTTGAACAGCATTTGGACCTCTTCCCTGGGCCAAAAGGAAGCCCACTGCCCTGAATAGTGTGTCCCACACCTGGTAGCCTTCATCACAAACTGACAGAAGAAAACTTGGGCTTTAAGTGAACATTGGCAATATCCTAGCAGAACCTTCTATGGGCCAGTGGTGGTGGTGGGCACAGGGAGAGTCTCCTCTGCCTGGGAAAAGGGGAGGGAAGAGCAAGAAGCACATTGTATTGTGGTTTGAGTGCCAGCCTAGCTAAAGTAGAATATAGCATCAGGCAAATTACTGAATTTAGCTCTAATCCTTTTCTCACAGACAGCGTCTCTGGACACACTTGGGGCTTGGGGGAACTTATCACTCTGAAGAGAAGGACACGAATATGGTGGCTTCATCACCTGCTGATTATAGTGCCAGGAGGCCTTGAATGAACATAGGTGGTCCAGAGGAATTAGACAAGAGAAAAAATAAAGGACATCTAAATCAGTAAAGAGGAAGTCAAACTGTCAGTGTTTGCTGATAATATGACTGCATACCTAGAAAACCCTGAAGACTCTTCCAAAAAGCTCCTAGAACTGATAAGTGAATTTGGCAAAATTTCAGGATACAGAGTTAATGTACACAAATCAGTAGCTCTGCTATACATCAACAGTGATCAACCTGATAATCAAATCAAGAACTCAACCCCTTTTACAATAGCTGCAAAAAAAATAAAAGGTAAAATACTTAGAAATATACCTAACCAAAGAGGTGAAAGACCTGCAGAAGGAAAACTACAAAACGCTGCTGATAGAAATCATAGACAACACAAACAAATGGAAACACATCCCATGCTCATGGATGGGTAGAATCAATATTGTGATAATAACCGTACTGCCAAAAGCAATCTACAAATTACATGCACTTTTCATCAAAATATCAACATCATCCATCACAGAACTAGACAAAACAATTCTAAAATTTATATGGAACAAAAAAAAGAGCCCGCATAGCCAAAGCAAGACTAAGCAAAAAGAACAAATCTGGAGGCATCGCATTACTTGACTTCAAACTATACTACCATGCTATAGTCACTAAAACTAGTATAAAATACTGGTATAAAAATATGCCCATGGATGAATATTTTTCCCAGAAATAAAGCCAACTGATCTTTGACAAAACTTACAGCCAACTGATCTTTGACAAAACAAACAAAAAAATAAAGTGGGGAAAGAACACCCTATTCAACAAATGGTGCTGGGATAATTAGCAAGCCACATGTAGAAAAATGGAAACTGGATCCTCATCTCTCATATTATACAAAAGTCAACTCAAGATGGATCAAAGACTTAAATCTAAGACCTGAAACCATGAGAAAATCAAAAAATGAAAATAAAAAATAATAGATGTTGGCATGGATGTGGTGGAAAGGGAAGACTTTTACTCTGCTGGTGGGAATGTAAACTAGTAGAACCACTATGGAAAACAGTGCGGAGATTTCTTAAAGAAGTAAATGTAGAACTACCATTTGATCCAGCAATTCCACAACTGGGTATTTATCCAGAGGAAAATAAGTCATTATACAAAAAGAAATGTGAACATGCACGTTTAGAGCAACACAATGCACAATTGCAAAAATATGGAACCAGCCCAAATACCCATCAATCAATGAGTGGATAAAGAAATTGTGGTATATATATACCATGGAACACTACTCAGCCCTAAAAAGGAATTAAATAATGGCATTTGCAGTGACCTGAACGATATTTGAGATCATTATTCTAAGTGAAGTAACTCAGGAATGGAAAACCAGATAGTGTATGTTATCACGTGGGAGCTAAGCTATGAGAATGCAAAGGCATATGAATAATACAATGGACTTCGAGGACTTGTGGAAATGGTGGGAGGGGGCTGAGGGATAAAAGACCATGAACTGGGTACAGTGTATACTACTCAGGCGATGGGTGCACCAAAATCTCAGAAATCACCGCTAAAGAACTTATTCATGTAACCAAACACCACCTGTTTCCCTAAAAACCTATTGAAATAAAATAAATAAATGAATAAGAAAGTTTATTTTGCCAAGTTTGACGATGTGCCCATGACACAGCCTCAGGACATCCTGAAGGCATGTGCTCAAGGTGGTCAGGACACAGTTTGGTTATATACATTTTAGGGAGACATGAAACATCAATCAATATATGTATAATGTACATTGGTTTGGTCCAGAAAGGTGGGACAACTCGAAGCAGAGAGAAGACTTCCAGGTCATAGGTAGATAAAAGGTAAAGTGTTACATTTTTTTTTTTAAGTTTCTAATCAGCCTTTCACTGAATGCACAATTTACAGGAATAGTCACATGTCTGGCTTAGTGAAACAATAGAGCAAAGAAAGCAGTCAGATGTGCATTTGTCTCCTGTGAGCAGAGAGATGACTTTGAGTTCTGCCTTTCCTTTGTCCACAGAGAATTTCCTTGTGGGCAAATTGTGAAAAAGGTAAGTAGCTTTTTTTTTTTTTTTTTTTTTTTTTTTAAATCTTTGTAGCTATCTTACTTAGGAATAGAATGGGAGGCAGGTTTGCTGGATACACTTCTCAGCTTCACTTTTCTCTTTGGCTTAGTGATTTTTGGGAGATGTATTTTCCTTTCACAAGTGGAATCCTTGATTTTTAAAGATCTAGATGTGTTGCCTTCCAGCTGTGCCTGCTTTTCACATATTAAATATTAGGCCCTGGCCCTGGACCATGAGAACGAGCTCTTTCCCCTATTCGTTAAAAGGCTCCACTCTGAAGTCAGTAAACTCATAAAAAAACAAGCTAAATTGAAAAGACCAACTGTCTACCCAGGTAAGTCTCCAAAATATGGCTTTTTGGCATTTAGCTGGCTGTTTTGAAACGCTTTGTAAAAGAAATGTATATCTATAAATTAAATCTCCATTTGTAAGGGCATCTCCCTTACTGTAACTAAACTGCTAGAAACATTTAAGTTGAGGAACACATTGCATAACAAACTTTACCTTTATTTAAGGTACTTTTCCTAGAATCTTGGCTTGACTAGGCCTTTACCTATGCCTTTCTTTGACTCAGCAAATAATATTGTATAGATCTAAGTTCTGTGCCTTTGGGATGTAAATTTTCACCTAACATTCATGTCTTCGGAGGGGTGAATTTATGGTCACCTAGCTAACAATTGTTTACGGCTTGGTAGTCTAAAGAGAGAAGAGAAACTCTTTGAAAACTGGCCAATGAAGTACCTTATAAAGCTATCAAATCTTCTGTCTGTGTATCTGTATGTCTACGTTGTCAATCAAGAATAATGACCCAGACGAGTCTCAATCATTTTAGGTTTATTTGCCAAAGTTGAAGATGCATGCCCAGGAGATAGGTCTATGCCTTTCTCCAAAGATGATTTTGAGGGTTTCTATATTTAAAGGGGAAAGTTTGGGATATTGAAAAGTACACAGTTTTCATGTGAGAGGGGGGTAGAAAAATTAGTCATTCATGCCTTTTTCTGGTTCAGTGAATCTGCATTTTTACACAACATAAGGAAGATAATAGGGCAGAGGAAACAATCAGATATGCATTTGTCTTGGGTGGTGGTATGACATTGAGTTCTGTCCTATGTCCCTGTACCTGTAAAGATAAGCTATTGATTTACATTGCCATGGTGAACTGTAACAGAAATGCTCTGTGGTAAAGATCTTGGGGCCCACAAAGAATTTCCTTGTGAGCAATATGTGAGGGAAATATGTAGCGTTTCATCTTTGTAGCCATCTTATTTGGGAGCCAAAATGGGAGGCAGGTTTCCATGACCCACTTCCCAGCTTGGTTTTTCCCTTTGGCTTAGTGAGTTTGGGGTCCCAAGGTTTATTTTCCTTTCACAATATGTTTATATGAATCATGTGTATATTATATGTAACTACCAAATTATATGAATCTAATTAACTGGCTTGAAGAAAAAGAAACCACATAAATCAAATATTTTATTAGAAAAACAGAAACTAACTCAAATGCCATTTAGTTCACATGACTTGGGTCATCTTTCATAAGTAAGACTTGTTTAATATTGCTGGTTTGATGAAAACAGTTGTGTATTCTGATCAGCAAAATACCCATGCATTTACCTATAGAGTTCTTGCTTAAATGGTAACTACCTATTAATAACATTCACATACTATTAAAATGACTATCAAAAAAACTTGAGATGAAGACTAGCTTAATTTAATGAGCAATTCAGGTATAATTGTTAAGAATGAATGAATTAAACAAATATAAATGGAATAAATGTTTATAAATAAAGTATCCATTGTTTAGAAATCATTCAGTAACTTAATATTAAAGTCATATTATGTTAAATTAAGTAATATGTAATCATAAAGTGTCTGAGTTGCTTATATGGTATAGAAAAGAGAAACATATTTATATTTCTTAATAAACCAAAAAAGAAACATTTTTCTAAAAATTTTGAAATGGTTTTTAACTACAAATACTCATATAAAACAGTTCCAAATTACTTATTTCCTAGATTTTTCCCAGAAAATTAGGGTTTATAATAGTTAAAATTATAGTTAATGTGAACCCCAAAAATCTGAGACAGGTCTCAATTTAGAAAGTTTATGTTGCTAAGGTTGAGGACATGTGCCTGTGACACAGCCTTAGGGAGTCCTGCCTACATGTGCCCAAAGTGAGGGGCACAGCTTGGTTTTATACATTTTAGGGAGATATGAGACATTAATCATTATGTGTAAGATGTACTTTGGCACAGTCTGGAAAGGTGGGACAACTCGAAGCAAGGAGGGAGCTTCCAGGTCATAGGTCGATGGGGTGGTTGCATTCTTTTGAGTTTCTGATTAGCCTCTCCAAATGAGGCAATCAGTTATGCATTTATCTCAGTGATCAGAGGGGTGGCTTTGAATAGAATGGGAGGCAGATTTGCCCTAAGCTGTTTCCAGCATGACTTTTCCTTTAGCTTAGTGATTTGGGGGCTCCAAGATTTATTTTCCTATCACATTTATATATGTAATTAAGACTAGTAGATATATGAGATACAACTCAATATACAAGGTATATGAAGAAAGTCAAATATATTTTTGGTAAAATAAGATGAAAGGAGATAGTGATATTTGTGTGTTTGCTTGGCAGAAGAAAGAACTTTGTGTGGTCAAAATGATAAGGGATAAAGGAAAGTACATTTTTATTCTATGATAGAATGGCAATATTTTTAAAAAGGTATAATAGGATAAAATTGGAGGTTAAAGCCAGTTATATAAGGTTTGTGGAAGATTAAGCTCATGAAAGGAATTTTGTCTGTGATTGAATTGGCTAAAATTAGAAGAAAATTATTTATAAGGTTTTTCTAAAAATTGAGCATTAATATAAAAAACACATTAATTTAAGGCCAGAGTCTGGGCTCCTGTGTCAGAACAACAATTTTCTCAGAGCATTGATCTGTTCCTTAATAGAAAATTGTAAGAGGTTATAAAACATTTATGGAAATCTTATCTTATATGGTCAAAGTTGACTGAGATTGGATGAATTTGGTATTAAGGTTTTATTAAAATTAGCTTTAGTAGTGGTAATACAGTAATATAAAAGTAAATTTTCTTTTTTTCCCTTTGAATAAGATTTTATGTAGTATTAATGAGAGATAAGATTTGTTTACCTCTTGAGTAAACTACAGAAAAAAAGGGAAGAGTTTATTTCATGCTGTCATTATTAGGTCTCTTGATTGGGAACTGGGTCTCCTCTCTATCAAAGAGTAAAATTTTTGCTGTTTGAAATCTTAATCTTTGAATTAGTATATTGGCTAAATAAATGACTGTTATTTTACAGTGACCTGCTGTGGCATGCCAGGTCTCACTAACAGCTGAACAGGCAGGCCTCCATGACAACTCTTTCAGCACTGATTGAATGGTTAAGTTAAATATTAGAAGCTGATAGAGCCAGTGCCCTTATACAAAGGCTGGAATGTAACAAAAGCCCACCAAGAGTTTTGCCTAGGCCTTTCCTCAGCCTTGAAGCATGACAAGATAATGAAGAAATTCTTAACAGGACCCGTTTAGGATTAAACAAGTATTATTGGGGGTCTGAAGAAATTCCCCAGACTTCTGCCAACAAATTTTATTGGGGGTGTAAAGGAACTCCCCAAATCTCCATGATTTAGCAGGAGACAAGATAGGGGTAATCATCCCTGGCACCTGGACCCATCTAGATTAAGTAAATTTACTGAGATGCCAGAGGAAGGTCTTCAGGACTCAGAACTTAGTTATAGATTAGAAGTTAATTACTTATGTGTTTAGATGAATGCACACTTACACTTAGACATATGGCTCCAAAGGTATATAAGCTCTGTACAACTTTGTAATTTTGAGCTGGTCTGGTGATATTTTCCTGGCCTTCTCCCTGTACCTGGTTACAGAAACAAACTCTCTTCTTTCCCAGTTCATCTGTTTCTCGTTATTTGGCAACGAGAATAAGCAGCAGGACCCTCACTTCAGTCTGAGAACACTGTGATCCTAATTTACTATGTGTTTTAAACCTTTTTAATTTTAATATTAAGGTTTTTAAACCTTTAATATTTGAGATTCTTAAAATTACATTTTAAATTCTGAAGTTATCTTTCTGACCCAAACTGATGAAGATAATTAATAAAAACTCTGGAAATCCAAGAGAGACATATTAAACTTCTTTCATACAGAAAGAAATGTCAAATAAGAAATTATGTTTAAGTTTCTTAGAGTTATATTTGTATAAATGTGTTATTAATGTGTGTTTCAAAATTGAAAAAGATGCCTAAAATTATATCTTGGAATACATTATCAGTCATAATTATGATTATGTTAAACTGTTGTATTACTACAAAAAATAGCCAATTTTCTGTCAATTGCATATTTAACCATGATATGGTTGGGATGTGTCCCCACCCAAATCTTATCCTGAATTATAGCTCCCATAATCCAGCCATGTCATGGGAGGGACCCAGCGGGAGGTAATTGAATCGTGGTGGTGGATCTTTCCCAGGCTGTTCTCATGATAGTGAATAAGTAGCAGGAGATCTGATGGTTTTACAAAGGGCAGTTCTCTTGCACATGCTCTTGCCTGCCACCATGTAAGACATGCCTTTGCTCCTCCTTCACCTTCAGCCATGATTGTGAGGCCTCCCTGTGTCCACAATTGGTGGGTTCTTGGTCTCACTGACTTCAAGAATGAAGCCGCGGACCCTCACGGTGAGTGTTACAGTTCTTAAAGGTGGCGTGTCTGGAGTTTGTTCCTTCTGATGTTCAGATGTGTTCGGAGTTTCTTCCTTCTGGTGGGGTTCATGGTCTCACTGGCTCAGGAGTGAAGCTGCGGACCTTCACGGTGTTACAGCTCTTAAGGTGGCGGGTCTGGAGTTGTTCGTTCCTCCCAGTGGGTTCGTGGTCTCGCTGGCTTCAGGAGTGAAGCTGCAGACCTTGGCAGTGAGTGTTACAGCTCATAAAGGCAGTGTGGACCCAAAGAGTGAGCAGCAGCACGATTTATTACAAAGAGCGAAAGAACAAAGCTTCCACAGTGTGGAAGGCGACCCCAGCAGGTTGCCACTGCTGGCTCTGGCAGCCTGCTTTTATTCTCTTATCCAGCCCCACCCACATCCTGCTGATTGGTCCATTTTACAGAGAGCAGAGTGGTCTGTTTTGACAGGGTGCTGATTCGTGCGTTTACAATCCCTGAGCTAGACACAAAGGTTCTCCACCCTTCCCCACTAGATTAGCTAGATACAGAGTGTTGAGGTGCATTCACAAACCCTGAGCCAGACACAGGGTGCTGATTGGTGTGTTTCCAAACCTTGAGCTAGATACAGAGTGTCGATTGGTGTATTTACAATCCCTGAGCTAGACATAAAGGTTCTCCAAGTCTCCACCAGAGTCAGGAGCCCAGCTGGCTTCACCCAGTGGATTTCGCACTGGGGCTGCTGGTGGAGCTGCCTGCCAGTCCGGCGCTGTGCGCCCACACTCCTCAGCCCTTTGGTGGTAGATGGGACTGGGCGCCCATGGAGCAGGGGGCGGCGCTCGTCGGGGAGGCTCCGTCTGCACAGGAGCCCACGGAGGCGGGGGGAGGCTCAGGCATGGCGGGCTGCAGGTCCTAAGCCCTGCCCCGCTGGAAGGCAGCTAAGGCCCGGCGAGAAATCGAGCGCAGCGCCGGTGGGCCGGCACTGCTGGGGGACCCAGCACACCCCTCCGCAGCCGCTGGCCCGGGTGCTAAGCTCCTCATTGCCCGGGGCGGCAGGGCCAGCCGGCCGCTCAGAGTGCGGGGCCCGCCAAGCCCACGCCCACCCGGAACTCCAGCTGGCCCGCAAGCGCCGCACGCAACCCCGGTTCCCGCTGGCGCCTCTCCCTCCACACCTCCCTGCAAGCTGAGGGAGCCGGCTCTGGCCTTGGCCAGCCCAGAAAGGGGCGCCCACAGTGCAGCGGCAGGCTGAAGGGTTCCTCAAGTGCTGCCAAAGTGGGAGCCCAGGCAGAGGAGGCGCGGAGAGCGAGCGAGGGCTGTAAGGGCTGCCAGCATGCTGTCACCTCTCATCCCCAGCTATGTGGAACTGTGAGTCAATTAAACCTTTTTTCTTTATAAAGTACCCAGTCTTGGATATTTCTTCATAGCAGTATGAAAACAGAGTAATATAAACCATGACAATTCAAAGTTTTTTGTCATTCATGGACAGTTATTGTTTTACTTTGATTCTTCTCAAAAAGTAGTTTATGATCAACTGCTGTCTAAAATTGGTTTCTTCTGAAAGGAAATTCATGGAAGAGGATCCTGACAAGTACTCTTCAGTACAGGTTTCTGATAACTTTAGAGATAATACCACTGAAGTAAGTAAAAACTTCTAGAACTCTAACAAAAACTGATGTAGTCATGAAGATTGCCAACCTAACATTTTTTTTTTCCAATTTTTGTTTTAAGTTCGGGGGTACATGTGCAGGATGTGCAAGTTTGTTACATAGGTAAACATGTGCCGCGTTGGTTTACTGTACAAATCATTCCATCACCCAGGTATTAAGCCCAGCATCCATTACCTATTCTTCCTGATGTTCTCCCTCCCCTCATACTCCTCCTCACAGGTGCCCAGTGTATGTTGTTTTCTCCCATGTATCCATGTATTCCCATAAATCAGCTCCCACTTATAAGTGAGAACATGCGGTGTTTGGTTTTTCGTTCCTGCAGCGAACCCAACGTTAAGCAGAAAAATAATTACTTACATGGGACTAAGCTGATAGAGAATTAAAATTATTTTTATGGCATTTTTGTTTGAACCATTGTTGATTCTTTCTAAATTTTGCTTTTCAGAGTCAAGAAAACAGTTTTTTTTAGCCATTTATAGCTTACAGCAATTGGGTATAGTATAATTTTGTGAACAAAACTGAAACAGTTACCCTTCCTTCTATGTGGTTTCTCCAAAATTTGAAAACTATTCATGAGCATTCTTATTTTATGGCAATATAATTTCATAATTTCAATAAAAAGATGCTTTCTTTTCCAACAGAACACATTGGAGACATTGGTAATTTTACCAATGTTTTGTCTGGAACAGTGTATTTTCAGATATAACCAGTCTGCTTTGAGAAATTAAAGCCACATGGAAAGAATGGCCTGGAACCTAGTTTAC
Organism: Homo sapiens; assembly: GCF_000001405.40. Classification (NCBI taxonomy): domain Eukaryota; kingdom Metazoa; phylum Chordata; class Mammalia; order Primates; family Hominidae; genus Homo; species Homo sapiens. The sequence goes on from NC_000023.11 coordinate 125,692,230, forward strand.
ACAGTTTCCTTACAAGGTTCCAGACCTTGTAGTAAATAATGAATATCACTTTCTGACAGGCTCAGGAAACTCAAGATATTTGGGGACTACAAGAAGAGAGAAATTCACTCAATTTGTACAGGTATTGTAAGTACCATTTTATGGTGACTCTTTGGCTTCGCTTCCTTGCCTAGAGATAATTTTAATAGTCTAATATGAATCTTCTAATGAAAAATTTCCAGCAAAGCCAACTTAAATTTCCAGCAAAGCCTGCAGGACCAGTCACTGTTCTTGTGAATGTTTATGCAATGACCAGGCCAAGTATAATACTAAAACTTATTTTGCAATTAAATTGGTCCTACTACTATTTATCTTTGGTAGAAATGGAAAATTGGAGAGAGAAAAGAATGTGTTTTAGAAGAAAACTGTAGCACACTTGTTATTAGATTACAGCCCTGACTATTATTTTTGAGTTTTTATTATTTTCCTACAACTCAGACTAAATTCTGAAGTATTTCCTGGCTACAAGACTCTAAAGAAAATCTGGGTGTTAATTTTTTTTTATTATGTTTTTAGTTGACTCCTCAATAGAACAGTTGTTTTGTTGTTGTTGCTCTGGTACACAATATTTTTGTTATAATCCTATGTGTGTTATAATTCTGCTATGTATCTCCTGTTGTTTGACTTCTTTTAAGAAAACTAAACACATGATATTCTAAAGACTAAAGATGATTCAACAAGTGATAGCAACTATGTAAATCAGTGACTTGACTGGTCTTATTTTTGTGAACCTATGAGGCCATTCCAATTTGTATTTTGAAGCTCTTAGAATTCCTCAATGAGACATGTCCTGTCCCCCCAACCATGTGAGATAGAGCCATCTGGGAATGAGCTTTACTAGCAATGCAGGACTAAGATTCTCAACATAAAAAGAGCCAAAAGCATTTGAGTTTATCTATGATGCTTTCTTCAAAAGATATTTATGAAAAGGGGGGAATGAGAAAAGAAAAATTGCTCAGGGCAGTGTGAGCTATGTAAGCTATGCAAAATTTATCAGGCCCAGGAATACATGAGTATGGGACTTCAGTCATGCCCACCTCTGCCTCCCCATACCCTGGGACAATTGTTTGCAGGTATTTTTGTTCCTGTCTTATTGCCTGGTCCATTATCTTCATGTTCCTGGAATGTGTGAGGCAAAGAACAATGTATGGCCAATCAGCACCTTATGTTATGTCATTGTAAATTCTTGGTAAAGAACTTAGTAACTGCCTCTTCTTTTTTTCTTAAAAACCCATTTGTAACTGCTGCTACTCAAGAGTGTATATTCAGGACAACTTCTTTAATTTATGCTCCTGTTTGACTATCCTCAAGCTTCAGGCTCAAGTAAGCTCTATGCGTAATAATATTTTCTGAATCTCATTATTTGTGGTTGACACAGACAAGTTGACACATAAAATCAACCATCACACCTCTCCTTAAGTACCCCTCCTAAAAATTATCTGGCCACAAAGAGAGATGTTCCCTGAACAACTATTGAATCTCACTTCTTTCTAGCCTCTTTTTTCTCCTCTTTAAATATCATTTTCTGTCTGATCTTTGAGAAGCTTGTAGATCTTATGGTCAGAGCATTTTCCTTCATTGTTACAATCCTCCTTTTCCTACAGCAAACGTGTTTTTGAGTAAAGTCTCTCCTTAGCTATGTCCAGATTTGTTTGACAGTTACATGTAGCACAGTAAAATTGTGAGTTTTAAATTAATAACATAATTGTGATTCTCTTTTACTTTGGTAATCTCTGAATATGCATCAAAAGTAGGTAGCTCTTTTATTGATTAAACACAATTGTAAAATAGTAGATGAGTGAGTAAAAGTCAAAAGTTGTAATGATTTTTTGAGCTAGGTTACAAATAACTTCTGACTAGACTTATGTACAATAAAGTTCTTTTTGAAATTCTGCAGATAGAAAATGAATATAAACTAGAGTTAGACAATTTTAAGGCCTCTGCTGAGATTTATTATTTGACAGTTGACAGGAATACTGAAAAATTAGCATTTTGGTAAAACCTTTATTTGTTTAAGATGCCATTTAGCCAAAGAGACTGTCTGTACAAAAGGATTAACCTATTGACAATAGCTTTCTAAATCCAAACCCATTGAATAACAAGTATTGAATGTGTTTACTCTTTTAATGCACCACAATTTACTATGTAGCTGGCTTTCTTGAAAAGGTCAAAATGTATGAAGGGCTGAATTTCAATCGGAAGGCATACAAAAATTTGAAGCTGAATAGAATCAGATTTGTTAAATACAAGTAGAAAGTAAATTATGTGAATGTGGTTTATCTAAATAAATGTCCCTCCCCTGCAAAAATAAAGAAGAACATGTCTTTTAGACTATTTTATTTATTTGGCAAGACATTTGTTCACTGTCAAGCTTCTGACTTATCCTTTCAAATAAAATTACTATATATTGTCTGAAAGACCTCAATAAATTTGTTGCTATTCTTGCAAACCAAGTTTTAAAACATCACTATGTGAAAAGACCAATAGACCCTTTATTTATTGGACATTTCCAGGTATATTCTGATATTCACTATAGAACAATACTACTTTTTAACAGGTAGGCCAAGAAAAATAAAGATTGATGAACTTGCAGAATTTGATTTTGGCTTTTTCCTGCACAACTCCTTTCCTTATCTGATTTCTGATGTTGAGCTAAAACTGATTTTTCAGTTTAGTTACAGACATACATTTTTGTTATAGTGCATTATGACTATTGATATAGTGCATACAAATAGATGTTTATGAAGACTGGTCACTTAGGCACATAGTGGACATTTTAAAACTAGGAAAAGTGGGCAACTTTAAATTTCTATAACCTGCTTCTGATACAAAAAGACTGGCTCTTCTTAGAAAAAAAAAGGCATTTCAGGAACTATAAACATGTCTTATTCCTGTGATGGTAAAAAAGGCCTTGTAGTGCTTTTCCAACTCAGTGGTAACAAACATAGTGCTTACACAATAAGATCCAGATTTCTGTCTTTGGATAATAATTCCTTAAAACTTCACAAAAATCAGACCCATTTTCCTCTCTTAATAGACTCAATTGTGAAACTATACTGTGGGTTGCATTATATATCTAGTTAATGCAATTCTTTCGTCTCTATTGGATGCCTCATTTTGGATAGCACAGAGCTTATGTTCTAATATATAAAATAAAAACAGTAGACCGGGCGTGGTGGCTCACGCCTGTAATCCCAGCACTTTGAGAGGCCGAGGCAGGCGGATCACGAGGTCAAGGGATCAAGACCATCCTGGCCAACATGGTGAAACTCCATCTCTACTAAAAATACAAAAAAAATTAGCTGGGCGTGATGGCACGCTCTTGTCATCCCAGCTACTCGGGAGGCTGAGGCAGGAGAATCGCTTGAACCCGGGAGGCAGAGGTTGCAGTGAGCCGAGATTGCACCACTGCACTGCAGCCTGGGTGACAGAGTGAGACTCTGTCTCAAAATAAATAAATAATGTTAATAATAAAAATAAAAACAGTAAAACTGAAGACAGTGAAGGTTATATGTCATATACTAATGAAGTTATATATACTGCCCGTCACATATAGAGATAGTATTACTGAACCCCCATCACTAAAGCATGCACTTTGAATTATTTTCCAAGTATGGAGATACACTTACACAGAGCCTTCCTTTGTGAACATAACACATGATTTTGAACCAGCTTGATAGTTTGAAGGGTGAAGTTTGTAATACTGGAACTGGAATTTCTTTTAATGTGAAAGCAAACCAGCTCACACAGAGAACAAGTGCAGAATCTTGGTTTATTTGACACTATGCTGGAGAAAGTTGAGTTAACTGTTTCAGACCATGATGATCAGGGACCAAAAAATCATCTTGTAGGCTTTTGTTTATGTGTTTGTATTTTAAAAAATAAACTGTTTTTCTAGGTATGCCTTACCAATATTCTATAGCTTTTTTTGCATTTTAATATTTTAAATGACATGACATCTTTTATAAATTATAAAATACTTATATGTGCCTTTCTAATTATTAAATCAGTCTTTCACACTTCACACAATCATGCAACTTCAGAATTATCAATTGAATTTCAATGATAAACCGTGTTTAAGATACGCAATAATACACTTACTCACAAACAAAACCCAGTGTCTTAGTTTTTTTACCTGGTAAAATTGGCTAGTGGAGAACTAATATAATTTCCTCACAAGTGTTCTAATGCATCCAACTCTAGCCAAATGTTTTGTCCGCATTGTGACCTATTGTGCTTAAAGGGGTAATAAATATGAAATAATACAGTGCCCAAAGTTGTCCTTCTGTGGCTCATATTCTATAGAAGAATATATAGCATTTCTTGCTACATTGTTGAAGTCAGTGGCAGTTTTGCTGAGGAATCATCAGACAACACCAGCCACTTATAAGTCTCTGCCAGTATATCAAACATACATGAAATACACTATGTCAGTAAAACTTTTGCAAAACATTAAATATTCTTCATTTTAGCAATAAAGAAATAGACATATGTCAGATAAAAATTGGCAGTCAAATTCCTTTTGACCTATTCATAATGACCTAAAAGTTATTTTTATACTTTCATGTATCCATACATAAATATATTTCTTAAATGAGATCACGTGGAACAATAATCGCAGTTCTTTTTTTATTTTGAGCATGTAAATTTTCTGTTCATCTTGGTATTTTCTTATTATGGGCCGAGCATGGTCACTCACGCCTGTAATCCCAGCACTTTGGGAGGCCGAGGTGGTTGGATCACTTGATGTCAGGAGTCTGAGACCAGCCTGGGCAACATGGTGAAACCCCGTCTCTACTAAAAATACAAAAATTACCTGGGTGTGGTGGCGCATACCTGTGGTCCCACCTACTCAGGAGGATGAGATGGGAGGATTGCTTGAACCTGGAAGGTGACACAGTTAGACTCTGTCTCAAAAAAAAAAAAAAGATATGTTCCTATTATGAAACACTGATTAGTCTGTCACATTGGTCTGGCTTATAATAGCTATATAAGTGCAAACATAGTATGAGGAAAAAAACACTAAAATGCATGCAGTAGAAAATTTTAAAATTATTCTTTAAAATGCTAGAACATATAGGTGTAATCATAAGTCCTTTCAGTCCTCTTAAAACACTAGGAATTGTTATATCAGAAATAAGAAAACGATGTGCCATAACACAAAATGTACTGAACTCCAGATGGTAGGTATTTCAAAGCAGAATGCCATAGTTACTGCCCATTAGTTTAAGAGAACTATCTTTATCATCATTCCAACCAACACATTTATTTTAGAGTACAAAATTGAGCTATTCAAGCTTAGTGGAAAAGGATTGGCACATGTGATTCCTTCAAGGTTAGATACTAAGACACAATCATCTCTAAATGAATATTATCATCACAGTTATTTTTAACCATAAACTATAGAATTTACCATTAGAGTCAAGACTATTTGTCGAATGACTTCTGTGGTTATGGGTCCAAATTTTGGCTAAGTTTTGGCAGTCAGTTACTTTAGAATCAACTCTGTAAAATTATTTTCTTGGAGGTAAATAATCTCTTTGTGATAACAAAATTACATAACAATTTTAAATTGAAAATTATTCATAGCTTAGCTGGTAACCTCTTGGCTCCAAGGTATAGCACACAAAAGGTGTAAAAAATGAATAAGAATTATTCTGTTATTAAATATCCAGTGTGATATTTAATAGCAGGTGTATAACATGCTCAAAGGGAATATCATTTTTCTGTGACGATTAAAAGGAAAGCTCATTGAGAGGCAGGGACCTCAGTCCTAGTCCTGTCCTACTTTGTCCAACCTCCCTGGGGATTTTGTACCAAATCACTTATGTCTTTATCTTAAGAGTGATTCAGAGGCTCTGGCCAGCATGCACTTTTATAATTGATTGTTTCCATGTTAAATTTAATTAGACCCGAAAAGAAGGGCTCTTTTGGATTACGTGATATTCCATGTGATGTTCCCTGTCTGAGGTACATTAGATAAGTTTTCTTAGAAAAATCCTCAAAAATAAAGTATAGCCTTTTCCTTTTTTTTCTCTTCCAAATTTATTTTAGTTTCAGGGGATACATGTGCAGGTTTGTAACATGGATAAATTGTGGGTCCCTTGGGTTTGGTGTACAAGAGATTTCATCACCTAGGTAGTAAGAATTGCACCCAATAGGTAGCTTTTTGACCCACATTTACCTTCCATGCTCTACCTTCAAGTAATCCCCAATGTCTATTATTCTCCTCTTGGCGTTCATGTGTACTCAATGTTTAGCTCACACTTATGAGTGAGAACACATGGTATATTAGTCCATTTTCATACTGCTATGAAGAAATACCTGAGACTAGGTAATTTATAAAGAAAAAGAGGTTTATTGGACTCAGTTCCACATGGCTAGGGAGGCCTCACAATCATGGCCTCAGGCAAAGGAGGAACAAAGGCACATCTTACATGCTGGCATGCAAGAGAGCGTGTGCAGGGGAACTCCCCTTTATGAAACCATCAGATCTCATTAGACTTATTCACTATCATGAGAACAGCATGGGAAAAACCTGCCCCCATGATTCAATTACCTCTAACTGGGTCTGTCCCATGACACGTGGAGATTATGGGAGCTACAATTCAAGATGAGATTTGAGTGAGGACACAGCCAAAGCATATCACACAGTATTTAGTTTTCTATTCCTGTGTTAATTTGCCTAGGATAATGGCCTCCAGCTCTATCAAAGTTACTGCAAAGGACATGACTTTTTTTCTTTTTTTAACTTTTATTTAAGTTCAGGGTTAAATGTGCAGGTTTGTTACAGATAAACTTGTGTCATGGGTGTTTGTTGTATAGATTATTTCGTCACCCAAGTATTAAGCCTAGCACCCGTTAGTTATTTTTCCTGACCCTTTCCCTCCTCCCACCATCCACTCTCTAATAGGCCCGAGTGTGTGTTGTTCCCCTCTGTGTGTCCACATGTTCTTATGGTTTAGCTCCCACTTATATGTGAGAATAAGAGGTATTTAATTTTCTTTTCCTGTGTTAGTTTGATAAGGATAATGTCGTCTAGCTCTATCCATATTCCTGCCAAGAACATGATCTCATTCTTTTCTATGGCTGCACAGTATTCCATGATGTACATGCACCACATTTTCATTATCCTGTTTACCATTGATGGGCATTTAGGTAATTCCATGTCTTTGCTATTGTGCATAGTGCTGCAATGAACATACACATGCTTGGGTCTTTATGATAGAATTATTTCTATTCCTCTGGATGTGTACTTAGTAATGGAATTGTTGTGGGGGGGCAAGTAATATTTCTGTCTTTAGATATTTGAGGAGTTGCCATACTGACTTCCACAATGGTTGAACTAATTTACACTCTCATCCACAGTGTGTGAGTGTTCCTTTTCTCTACAACCTTGCCATGATCTGTTATTTTTTGACTTATAATAATAGCTATTCTGACTAGTATGAGATAGTGTCTCATTGTGGTTTAGATTTGAATCTTAAAACCAATGAAACTATCAACAAAGTAAATGGACAACCTACAGAGTGGGAGAAAATATTTGCAAATTTTATTCAACAAAGATCTAATATCCAAAATCTATAAGGAACTGAAACAAGTTAACAAGCATAAAAGCAAATAACCCTATTAAAAATGGGCAAAGGTCATGAGTTTATATATAACAAACCTACACATGTACCCCTGAACTTAAGCATCAAAACTAATCATCACTAATGATCAGTGATGTTCAGGTTTTTTAAATACTTTTTGGCCACAAGAATATGATTTTATTTTCTTTATGGCTGTGTATATTCTATGGTATATATGTGCCACAATTTCTTCATCCAATCCACTGTTGATGGGCACCTAGGTTGATTCCATGTCTTTGCTATTGTGAAAAGTGCTGGAATGAACATATGTACATGTGTCTTTGTAGTGAAATGATGTATATTCCTTGGGGTATATACTCAGTAATGGGATTGCTGGGTCGAATGGTAGTTCTGTTTTAAGTTATTTGAGAAATCACCAAACTAATTTCCACAGTAGTTGAACTAATTTATGTTCCCAACAACAGTGTATAAGCATTTCCCTTTCTCATCAATATTGCTAGCATCTGTTATTTTTTTTACTTTTTACCAATAGCTATTATGACTGGTGTGAGAAGGTATTTCACTGTGGTTTTGATTTGCCTTTCTCTAATAATTAGTCATGTTGAGCATTTTTTTTCGTATGCTCATTGGCTGCATGTATATCTTATTTTGAGAAATGTCTGTTCATGTCTTTTGCCCATTTTTTAAAGGGGTCGTTTGCTTTTTTGCTTGTTGACTTGTTTCAGTTCTTTGTAGATTCTGGATATTACACCTTTGGTGAATGAAGTTTGCAAATATTCTCTTCTACTCTTTAGGTTGTCCATTTGTTCTGTTGATAGTTTCTTTGGCTGTGCAGAAAATATTTAGTTTAGTTTGGTCCCACTTGTCAGTTATGTTTCCAATTACTTTTAGAGTTTTCATCATGAAATCTTTGCCTTTGGAGTCTTCATCATGAAATCTTTGTCAATGCCTGTGTTGAGGATTGTATTCCCTAGGTTTTCTTCTAGGGTTTTTATAGTTTTAGGTTGTATGTTTAAGTATTTAATCAAACTTGAGTTGATTTTTGTGTATAGTGAAAGGAAGGAGTCCAGTTTCAATCTTCTGCATATGGCTGGCCAGTTATTCCAGCATCGTTTATTAAATAGGGAGTCCTTTCCTCATTGTTTGCCCTTGTTAACATTGCCAAAGACCAGATGGTTGTGAGTGTGCAGCTTTATTTCTGGGTTTGCTAACCTGTTCCATTGGTCTATGTGTGTCTTTTTGCACACTAGAACCATGTTGTTTTGGTTACTGTAGACTTGTAGTGTCCTGTGAAGTGGGGTAGTATGATGCCTTCAGCTTTGTTTCTTTTGCTTAGGATTTCATTGGTTAGGTGGGCTCTTTTTAGGTTCCATATGAATTTTAGAATAGCATTTTATAGTACTGTGGAAAGTGACATTGGTAGTTTGATAAGAATTATGCTTAATCTGTAAATTGCTTTTGGCAATATGATAATTTTGTGAATATTGATTCTTCCTATTCATAAGCAGGAACTGCCTTTCCATTTGTTTGTGTCATCTCTGATTTCTTTCAGCAGTGTTTTGTAATTCTCATTGAAGAGATATTTCACCTCCCTGATTAGCTGTCTTCCTAGGTATTTTATTTTTGTGGCTATTGTGAATAAAGTTGAGTTCTTGATTTGGTTATCAACTTGGACATTCTTGGTGTATAGAAATGCTACTAATTTTTCTACCTTCATTTGGTATCCTGAAACTTTGCAGAAGTTGTTTTCAGTCCTAGGAGCATTTGCACAGAGACTATGGGGATTTCTAGGTATAGAATCATATCATCTGTAAAGATATAATCTTACTTCCTCTCTTCCTATTTGGATATCTTTTATTTATTTCTCTTATGTGTTTGCTCTGGCTGGGATATCCAACACTATGTTGCGTAGAAGTGGTGAGAGTTGGCATCCTTGTATTTTAATGGTCCTTAAGTGGAATGCTTCCAGCCTTTGCCCATACAGTAGGTGGTTGTGCATTTTATATTTATGACTTTTATTATTTTGAGGTATAGTCCTTCAATGTCTAGTTTGAGGAGGGTTTTTAACATGCAGGTATGTTGAATTTTGTTGAAAGTCTTTTCTGTATCTATTGAGATGATCATGTAGTTTTCATTTTTAGTTCTGTTTATGTGATGAATCACATGTGTTGATTTGTGTTTGTTGAACCATCCTTGCATCCCAGGGATAAAGCCTACTTGATTGTGGTAGATTAGCTTTTCGATATGCTGCTGAATTCAATTTGCTAGTATTTTTTTTGAGAATTTTTTGCATCTAAATTCCTTAAGAATACTGGTCTGAAGTTTTCCTTTTTCATGTGTCTCTGCCAGATTTTGGTATCAGAATGATGCTGGCTACATAGAATGAGGCTTCAATTTTTTGAAATAGTTTCAATAGTATTGGAACCAGCTCTCCCTTTATACCTCTGGTAGAATTTGTTTGTAAATCCATCTGGTCCCAGTCTTTTACTGGTTGGTATGATTTTATATTACTGATTTCATTTTAGAACTTGTTATTGGCCTGTTCAGGGATATAATTTCTTCCTGATTCAATCTTGGGCAGTTTTATGTTTCTGGATTCATCCATTTTTTTTCTAGGTTTTCTAGTTTGCTTGCATAGAGGTGTTTCATAATAGTCTCTGTGGGTGTTTTTATTTCTGTGGGGATTATGGTAATATCATCTTTGCCATTTCTGCTTGTGCTTATTGAATCTTATTTTTTTCTTTATTAGTCTAGCCTGTGGTTTGTCAATCTTATTTATTCTTTCAAACAACAAACTTTTGGCTTAATTGATCTTTTGTATGGGTTTCTTTTGCCTCATTTTTGTTCAGTTCAGCTCTGATTTTGGTTATTTCTTCTCTTCTCCTAGGTTTGGTTTTGATTTGCTCTGATTTTTCTAGTTCCCATGTGCATGATGTTAGGTTGTTAATTTTAGTTCTTCCGATTTTTTGATGTTAGTGGTTAGCACTATAAACTTTCCTCTTAACACTGCCTTAGCTGTGTCTCAGATGTTTTGTTATGTTTTATCTTTGTTCTCATTAGTTTCAAAGAATTTCTTGATTTCGGCCTTAATTCATTGCTTCATCAAAAGTCACTCAAAATTAGGTTAATTTCCATGCATTTGTATGGCTTTGAGATCGTTTTTTGGTATTGAGTTGTGTTTTTTTGCACTGTTCTCTGAGAGTGTGCTTGGTATACTTTTGGTTTTTTTTTTAAATGTGTTGAGAATTGCTTTATGGTTAATTGTGGGGTCAATTCTAGATTATGTGCCATATGAAGATGAGATAAATGTATATTCTCTAGTTGCAGAATAGAACTTTCTATAGATCTCTGTTAGGTAAATTTTGTCAAGTGTCAAGTTTGGGTCCCAAATATCTTTGTTAGTTTTCTGCCTCGATGATCTGCTGAACATTGTCAGTGGGGTGTTGAAGTCTCTCACTATTATTGCGTGATTGTCTGAGTCTTTTCATAGGTCTCTAAGAACTTTTTTAAGTGATTCTTTGGGTCCTGCAGTGTTGGGTGCATATATATTTAAGATAGTTAAGACTTCGTGTTGAATTTAAGTCTTTATCATTATGTAATGGTCTTCTTTGTCCTTTTTGAATGGTGTTGCTTTAAAGTCTGTTTTGCCTGGAATAAGAAGAGTAACCTCTGATGTGTTTTGTTTTCCGTTTGCTTGATAGATCTTTCTCCATCCACTTACTTTGAGCCTATGGATGTCATTGCATGTGAGATGTGTCTCTTGAAGACAGCAAACAGTTGGGTCTTGCTCTTCATCTAACTTGTCACTCTGTGTGGCTTTTAGCCTGTTTAAGTTCAAGGTTAATATTGATATGTGAGGAATTGATCCTTTTATCATGTTGTTAGCTGGTTGTTAAGTAGAATTGATTGAATAGTTACTTTATAGCATCAGTGGGCTACGTATGCAAGTTTTTTTGTGTCGTGGCAGGTAACAGTCTTTTGTTTCCTTGTTTATCACTCCTTTAAAGACATCTTTGAAGGCTGTGGTAATTAATTCACTTAACGTTTTCCTGCCTAATAAGAATAATTTTTCTTCACTTATGAAGCTCAGTTTGACTTGATATGAAATTCTTTGTTTGAATTTTTTTATTTTTATTTTAGGATGCTGAATATGAGCCTCCATCTCTTCTGACCTATAAGGTTTCTGCTGAATGTATTATGTTAGTCAGATGTAGCTCCCTTTGTACATGGCTTGCCCCTTCTCTCTAGCTGCCTTTAATATTTTTTTCCTCAACAATAACTTTGGGGAATTTGATGACTGTGTGCCTTGGGTATGATCATCTTGTACAGTATCTTACAGTTATTCTTTAAATTTTCCTAATTTGCAGGTTGACCCCTCTAGCAAGTTTGGGGATATTTATGTGGACAGTATCCTGAAATATATTTTTCAAGTTGCTTCCCTTCTCTCACTGTCTTTCTGGGATACCAGTGCGTTATAGGTTTCCTCTCCTTACATAATCTAATATTTCTTGAAGGTTTAAACAATTTTTTCCCCTAATTTATTTGATGAATTTGATTTGAAAAAGTCATCTTCAAGCTCTGAGATTCTTTATTCCACTTGGTATATTCTGATATACTTCTGATTGTATTATGAAATTATTGTAGTGAGTTTTTGAGCTCTAACAGCTCAGTTTAGTTTTTTCTTAAAATGACTATTTTATTGTTCAGCTCTTGAATTGTTTGACTGGATCCCTTACATTCCTTGGATTCAGTTTCAACATTCTCCTGAATCCTGACGATTGTCATTGCCATCGAGATTCTGAATTGTGTGTCTGTTATTTTGGCCATTTCAGTCAGCTTACAAATCATTGCTAAAAAGCTATTGCAGTTGTTTGGAAGTAAGAAGACACTCTGACTGATAGTTTCCAGAGTTCTTGCACTGGTTCTTTCTCATCTGTGTTGGCTGATGTTTCTTTAATGTTTGAAGCTTCTATCCTTTTTGTTTGTTTGTTTGCTTTTATCCTCTTTGATGCCCTTGAAGGTTTTACTGTGGCATAAGATGAGCTTAGTCAATTGGGTTTCTTTCTGGATGATTTCAGGAGTTCAAGGTTCAGCTCAGCACTCCTGGGCTGTATTCACTAACTTTAAGGGCATGGGACCAGGCCCATGGCTTTTTCCTGTGACTGTTTGAGGTTAAGCACCTGCTGCCCTGGAGGGGCCAAGGTGTTTTTGGTCTGCTTGCAACAATACTCTTGATAGGGGGTGCCAGCATTAACACTTTGGCAGGGCAGCAGCAGGGCAGTGGACGGTCCCACACATGTGCATTTGCCAGTGAAGCAGTAAGGGGAGGCTGTAGGCAAGTGAACTCTGGTGGGGGAGGGGGTCTGGGCAGGTGCACACTGGCAGGAGCCTGCCTGCAATAGCTCTCCATCTGCTATTTTGGGTCTTGGCAAAAGAGACATGGTGGTGGCTGCTGACCAGCTCCTGTGCTGTGCAGCAGAGGCCACACTGCAAGTGGGTGCAGGCAGGCAGGGACGTTGGGATAGGCCAGCAGACAGGGACTCACTCATGTAATTCAGGCCCTGTCACCTGGGCAAGATATTCCTGCTCTGTCTGGGTGTGTCAGCCAACAAATTCTAAAGTTACGTAGAGGAGTATCTGAACCTTGGTAGATGGTCACTTAAGTGGGTATCTGAGCCTTAGGGGGTAGTTGCGCATGGCTGTGCTTCACTGCAGCCTTTACTGCTTCCAACCCTCTAGGCTCTATGCAAGCTGGTGTTCTGACTTTGCCAGCTTTTTTATGCAGTTCTCCCTGTCAGCTCAAATGTACCTGGGGATTCTGGGGTCTCCTGTAGCTATGATTCTGGAAGTCCATTGTTAAAGTGGGCCAATTCATGCCTATTTTACTCACCCCTTCCCCAAGAGTTGGTTGGGACCAGGAACAAGTCTTGGTGCTTGGCAACCACGTGCAGGGTTCCCAGCTTCCTCCTCTTTCAGTCCTGGGTCTGTGTCTTCCCTCTATCCACTCTCAATGCCTTATTTGTGAACATCTGTTTGGAAGTATGCCTGTCTCCTTGATGATCTGGTCTCTCAGTGGGAGAAGCTCTTCCTGTCTGCATCATCAGCCATCTTGGCTCCCTGTCCGTCCCCCCACAAATCCAGTATGACCTTTTCTACGTTTTTCCGAGACCATTCCTGTGAAAATCAAACTGACCACCTAAGGTTGGTCCCAGCCTGAAGTTAAGGCAGAAAAAGATAATTTTATTTCTTCTTGATATAGTTTTATTCTGACATATTTGCCAAAGGTTCACATAAAATAGCCAAAAGTTCAATTTCAGGACATGAACAAATCATATTTTACCATGATAAATTAAGCAGACAGTGACTATCTGAAATTTGCTTGTCATAGCAGATAATATGATAAATAAATAAAATTTATTGTTTGAAATATTCAACATCTATCTAACATATCCAGAAATAACCAAAACACAAAGCATGATTAACGTTTATACTCAGGCAAAAAAATAAGTTTGACTTAAAAAAGTAATTCCAGCATTAGAACTTTCATTCTGAGTTTTTACCCTGGTAGTAAAAATATGCAAAACACATTTTCACTCTTCCACCCATACTACCTTAGGACATCTCCATGCCATGCTCCTAATTCTCTTTTAATAACTCAATTTATGGAGTAGGTCTACCAAATGTTGTAAAGACATAATAGATACTATAGGGTATTAAAATAAAATTCAGTAGAAAATCTGATGTATATCTGTTTGGAAGCTTGCAATACAATCATTAGGACACAATAAAACAGATTCTCTCTCTCTCTCTCTCTCTCACACACACACACACACACACACATACACGGAAAAGACTCATAAAAATTGGTTACAGAGATGCAGACATGAGTCATATATGACACTTTGTCAACATTAAAGTATTCTGAGAAAATACCTGCAGGTAATCAATTGATCTAAATTTCTGCTAAAGTACTGTCATTAAGAAATGCCACTTGTGAGCTTACGTAAGACCTATCATATATTGGTAGCAGGTATTATTTTGTAAAACTATTGACTAATAGAAATGCAAATTGTGAAATTCTAACATTCTTGTGGAATTCAAACAGATTATCATTCACTAAAAGTCATTACTGAATGTAATAAAAAATGTTGAAACAAATAAATGATTTAAGTTGACAGAAAGGGTGAAAGCAAGGCCTTAATTGATGAATTTGATACTTGGTCTTTCCTACTTGGATTTTTGTCCACCCTGTCATGCATTTAAGTGGTGAGAGGTTATTGTTGTCATTGGTATGATTATAAGGTTTCATGAAGAGATTAAGTGTGATAATTATTTTTAAACAAGGAAGAAACATGGAAAAAGAGATATTATAATAGGTAGGGAAAAATGCTTCAGCTGGGGAGTCCATTTGTAATGTATAAGAGAAGAAAAGTAGTTTCATTTTATGCAGATAATATGAGCAAACAGATGCTAAAACAGGGTAACATTGACTATGTGCTATTTAAAATATTTTGCTTTATTTTAACTACATAATCCTTGCACACTCATTTTGATAATGAAAACCACACAGCTAACCACAATTAAAGAGAAGTATAATGGTTTCTTCTTACTCCAAGTATCCACCCCGCTGCCACTGTTCCAAGGTAACCAATGATAATGCATTTTGTATGACCTCTATCTTTTGTCCTGTGACAAAATACATATACACATTTTTAGTTTGTTTTTTAATACAATCAGACTATGTTATTTTGATACTTCCCTTTTTATTGACTCAAGATGTACTGGATATCACCTGGGAAAATTCTTACAGATATAGCTAAATCCATAGAATGGATATACTGTGCCTTTTTAATGTTATCACATTCTCTGGAAGAGTGTTAGGACTACTTAAGGTGGTGGTAGACGTTAATGTAGAATCTGGTTGAGATAATTTTGATGTTGGCAAAATAGATGATGGCTTTGCCAACAAAAATGCATCAGATGATAACAGATGCTTCAAGGTGATATTTGGCTTGTCACTGGTACTCCTGGTGTGGCAACATAGAAGTGATCATAATCTATGGTGTTTCCCCAACTAATTGTTGGCAAGATAGAGATTGCTATTTTTTATTTGAAGCTAAAACTCCAAGATGATATTGTAAGAAAATGTGTGAAGACTTTCAATGATGTGAAAATGGAATGGTCCAAATGGTCATAAAATATGAAAGCATTTCTTTGAATGAGAAAAATACCAAATAATGACACGATTTACTGAAAGGGTATCTGTGATTGCACATGAAATTCAAATCACTGAGGCTTAAAGATTCAGGAATTACAGGAATATAATTTGGAAAACAGAATGGAAGGCATTGGAAAGGGGCTAATACAATATGAATGCTATGTAGTTTACAATTGGTCTAATGTTGCTCTAAAAACTTCTACTAAATGAAACACTTTTTAGAAATTAAAGCTGATACAAAGAATGAAATTGTCTATGTGATTACAAATGATATAGTATTCTTATCTTTGACTTCTGAATGAATAGGAACTGATTATACCTATGGATTTCACTTTTAAGAATACTAGTGTTACTTTGCAATATTTGAATGGACTTCACTTTCAACCATATATAATTAAAAATGAAAATTGAATACTAAAAATAATAAAAATCACCAACTGACTTTACCAATGCAATAGAAAGAAAAGAAATATGCCTTTAAGTCTTTGATATAGCACATTTTCTTTATTAGTTCTAACAGAATTAAAGCTTTCTAACTGATTATTGGCAAACCAATTAAAAAACATTATGGGATCACAGTATTTAATATCTCCATTGCCAACAATAATACCCCAACTATCATGTTATTGTAAATAAACCACAAAACTCACAAATCCACAGAAAAATTACAGAAACAATTCAACTTTCATGAAGATAGGGAAATCACAGCTCCTGTAGTAAAGAGTGAAAATTACAAAAAATGAACTGTTTATTGATTCTATGAAGATCAAGCAGGAAAAAATATGACTATTTCAATGTCACTTTATACATTCACCAAACCCAGTAAGTAATGGATCACTGTCAGCTGATGTGAAAGATTTTTTAAAAATTTCTTACCTTCAAGAAGTTGCAGATTAGTATGCAAAAAATACATAAGAAAACATGCAATAAGTAAAATACGGTATAGAATGCAAGCACCATCAAGGCAGAGGATCAAATTAAATCCCAAGAGGAGGGACATAGTGATGGCAGCAGCAGCCCATCTGGAGTGGCTGCTGCAAAGTTACGGGCTGCAGTGGGGAGGTATGGCTGGGGCTGTGCCCCCACAAAGCAGGCAGCAGCCCCACCATCATGGGTGCAGCTGCAGCCTCCCAAACTGCAGCTGTGAGACTGGGCATCCCTATGCTCTTGGGGGCTGGGGGCAGGTGGGAGCCCCACCCTCCCGGGTGCAGATGCTGCCACTCAAGCCATGGCTGTGGGCCCAGGCATTTCTGCACTCTTGAGGGCCCAGGGAAGGCCCTCCTGCCCCCACAGGCTTGAAAATGCCTGCTCTCACTGCCTGGCCTCTCCTTGCTCCTGGAACCCACTCCACAGGCTCAGAAATGCCTGCTCCCACTGCCTGGCCCCTCTCAGCTCCCAGAACCCACTCTGATCTTGGAGCAAAGTTGAGACCGAGCCTGGGCATGTCAGCTCGAGGCAGAGCTGACACACCAGCACCCTGCTGCATGGCCCCCTCCTGACTTTGGATGCCAAAGAGCATGGGAGGGAGGCCAAGGGGGTGCTGAGGGCAGTTTGGCACTGGCCTGCAGGCACCCCTCAGCATGAACAGCCTGGGCACCATGAACAGCAGCAGAAGGCAGACAGGTTCCAGGGGGGAAAGGCGCGGGTCCCCAGTGAAGCCCCAACTTCAAGCCGTACTGGGGGCTGGGATGCCAGTCCTGTGGACCAGAGTGGGATATTATGGTGCTTTTTCTGTGCCCACCCATGGCCACCTATGGACCAATCAGCATGCACTTCCTCCCCTCTGAAGCCCAAAAAGCCGTGTGCTCAGCAAGACTCAAGGAGACAACAGGGTGACCAGCTTTGGGGAGTAGCGGCCCACTCCAGGGTTTCCTCTCTGCTGAGAGCTGAACACTCAACTAGACCACCTGCCCACGGAGAGGAGCTACCCAGCCCATGGTCTTCCCTCTGCTGAGAGCTGAAAAGAAGACAAGATGACCAGCTACAGAGAGGAGCTACCCACCCCAGGGTGCTTTCTGTGTTGAGAGCTGAACATTTGATGGATGACCAGCTGTGGAGAGGAATTACTCACTGCAGGGTTTCCTCTCTGCTGAAAAGTGAACACTTGACAGGACACCCTGCCTGTGGAGAGGAGCTACCCACTGCAGGTCTCCTCTGAGCTGTTCTGTCACTCAATAAAGCTCCTCTTTGCCTTGCTTACCTTCCACTTGTCCGTGTACCTCATTCTTCCTGGATATAGGCCAAGAACTCAAGACCCACCGAATGGTGTGGCTAAAAGAGCTGTCACAGAAACAAGGCTGAAACATGCCCCTTGCTCACCACATTGTGTGTGAAAAGTAGGAGAGGAGCGAGATAGAAGAGCTGCTGAATTTTGGGGAGCCCAGACCTATCAGTTCCCCAAGCCGGGGCTGTGACACCCTCTTTGGGGTTTTGCAGTTCCTGGCATCTCCAAGCTTCCAGGCATCACTGCATTCCTCCGTGCCAACTTTGGAAGCTGCTTGCGGTATGCCTGGTCTAGCCGCAGACTTGCAGGGAGCCGGTGCCTGTGCTGGTGCCTGGAGCTGCTCACCTTGCCACAGCTAGCTTGCCTGACTGTGCACAGTGGCCAGACCCCACACTCACTTGCTCACACACCTGCTCTGCATCTGGCTCACCCTTGGCAGGCATGGGATCCAGACCAGCAATGCAAGCTGAGCACAGCTTCCAGGCTGAGCGGGCAGAATGAGCCCAGCAGGCCCAGGCAAAACTCAGACAAAGGCGTCACTGGCCACAGAAGCTTCCAGCTGGATAAGCAACACACCAAGGATCCCATAACAATAGTACTTCCAGCTGATTGAACACTGGGTTCTTTGGAAAGCAGTCTCTGAGTCAAAGAATATTGTGCTATAATTCTATTAAGAGGATTTCTCAGGATTAAATCTGTTGAGAGAAAGGAAGGAAACAGGATTGGGCAGAGGAAGAAATTGAGCAGCAAAAGTTGCTGAGAACCAGAGCCTCAGCTGATCTCACCGTGGGCTCTGAAAGTGGGATGGCTCTTCAGAATTGTTCTGGGCTTTGATGTGGGGGCTGAGTACTTATATCTCTATATCTAGAAGTAATTGGATGCAGGGATATGGCCTTATGTGAAGAGACTCTTTTTGGTAAGAACAATTTTTGAATGAGAATGTCAGCCGGCAGTACTTGTGGCAGAGATGTGGGGTTGGGGGTGGATGTAGGAGCACAGTACAATGTCCACAACACAGCTGAAGAGGTCAAAGTATTCCACTTATAGGAATTTTGTTAATCATTGATTATCTCATCCAATCTAATTACTTTTACTTGATAAAACAGCAAAGTTAAATTCTTTTTCCAAGATCACAGAGCTAGAAATAAAATGTAAACTTGAGCTCACTTATTCTTGCCATTACTTATTTTATTACATCTAAAGCTCTCACTATGCAGAGTCAAAACCAGCAAAAGCAAACAGAAAACTAAAGCTGAGGTATTCAACTCATATACTATAAGGCTATAGTTACCAAAACAGCATCATACTGGCATAAAAATAGGCATGTAGACCAATGAAATAGAATAGAGAACCTAAAAATAAAGCCAAATACTTACAGCCAACTGATCTTTGACAAAGCCTATAAAAATATAAGTTAGGGAAAGGACACCCTATTTAATAAATGGTGTTGGGAAATCTAGAAAGCCACATGTAGAAGAATAAAACTGGACTCTTATCTCTCACCCTATAAAAAAATCAACTCAAGATGGATGAAAGACTTAAATCTGAGACATGAAACCATAAAAATTCTAGAAGATAACACTGGAAAAACTCTTCTAGACATTGGCTTAGGCAAAGAATTAATGACTATGACTCCAAAAGCAAATGCAACAAAAACAAAAATAAATAAATGTGACCTCATTAAACTAAAAAGCTTCCGAACAGCAAAAGAAATAATCAGCCAAGTAAACAGACAACACACAGAATGGGATAAAATATCCATAAACTATGCAGTAAATCCACAACTATGCAATAAAATATCCACAAACTTCCCAAGGGGGAAGACAAAGGAATAATATCCGGAATCTACAGGGATCTCAAACAAATTGGCAAGAAAAAACAAATAACTCAATCAAAAAGTGGGTAAAGTACATGAATAGACAATTCTCAAAAGATGTACAAACAGCCAATGAACATATGAAAAAATACTCAACATCACTAATTATTGGTGAAATGTGAATCCAAACCAGAATGAGATATCACCCCACTCCTGCAAGAATGGCCATAATTAAAAAGTCAAAAAATAGATGTTAGCATGCATGTGGTGAAAAGGGAACACTTTTACATTGCTGGTTGGAATGTAAAGTAGCACAACCACTATGAAGAACAGTAAGGAGATTCCTTAAAGAACTAAAAATAGAGCTATCATTCGATCCAGCTATCCCACTGCTGGGTATCTACCAAAGGGAAATAAGTCATTATATGAAAAAGACACATGCACACACATGTTTATAGCAGCACAATTCATAATTGCAAAGATATGCAACCAACATAAGTGCCCATTAATCACAAATGGATAAAAAAAGTGGTATATATACACCATGGAATGCTACTCAGCCATAAAAACTGATAAAATACTGTCTTTTGCAGCAAATTGGAGGGAGCTGAAGGCCATTATTCTAAATGAAATAACTCTGGAATGGAGAACCAAATATTATATGTTCTTACTTACAACTGGGATCTAAGCTATGAGGATGCAAAGGAATAAGAATGATATAACGAACTTTGGGGATTCTGGGAAAGGGTGGAAAGGGGTGAGGGATAAAAGACTACACATTGGGCACAGTGTGCACTGCTCAGATGATGTGTGCACCAAAATCTCAGAAATCACCACTAAATAAATTATTCTTGTAACCAAAAACCACCTGTACCCCAAAACTATTTAAATAAAAATAAAAATTTTGAAAAGAACAGAAAAACTATTTTTGAATTTAAGTAGCCAATTGCTTTTTAAGTAAATCCCTTGAAAATATGGCTTAAGTCTAAACAACTTTAAAAAATAAATGTATGTAACATTGGTTATATATGTCAAAAATAAGAAAGTTGGTGAATACAAAAATAATGCAATTAGGAAGGCAAGATGGATGACTAGACACAGCTAGGTGGAACAGCTGCCACTGAAGGACCCAGATGACTGGCACCCTCCTGATAGATATTCAGAGGGAAGACACTGAGAGGGGACAGAGGGAAGACACACAAGCTGAGCTGAAGTGGGAGGAAGCTGGGAACCCTGCATGTGGCTACATGCACCAGCACTCATTCTTGGTCTCCAGTGTCTCTGGGGGAACGGGTGAGTTGAACTGGCAAGGAGCAACTCACTCTCATATGGGCCTCTGGAATCCCCACAGGAGGCAACCCCTTGACCACGACAGACATTCTAGTAGGCAGGGAAATCTGCTTAGAGAAGTAGTGGGGCAGCAAGCCAGCTAATGTGGAGCCCAAAGGGATTGGCATAGGAGCATTTGTAGTGAAGCATGGCCAGGAGCAACCATCCCCCAAGGTTCAACTTGTTCCCATAGGAGCCTTTAGCCCTAGGCGAAATGTCAGACCTGAACTCTGCTGGGTGGTCTTGCCCATCAGACAGGGCAGGTTTGACCTGAGCACCCTTTGGTCTGCTGTCCTCTCTGGGGCCCCAGCCTGACCATGCCTTCTTGCAGGGCAGCCTCGAGTGCCTTGGGAGCACGTGTCATAGCTTCTGCACTGGTGGACTGTGCCTGACCAGAGGACCAGAGAAGGGCTCCAGTGGAGCAGCCCCCACAGCCATGCACAAGCCCACTTGCTCCCTTCCCACACTGCAGCTTCCCCTGGGCCCATGGCAACCCTTCACATCACTTTGATGACATGTGTGTGCATAGGTGGTTTATGCTTTCTTTGTCCCTACAGTGTGCATGTGTCAGTGAACCTTGCTGTGCCACTGCTGCAACAGGAGTACAGCCCACCCTTCCTCCCACTGCCAACTGCCATTGCAGTCAGAGCCTTGGTGGGCACAGAACCAGCCAGCCTCACCCCACCAGTGTCCTGCCCTTGCCACCTATTTTCTGGTCACTGGTTTAGAAATGCAAAGTTCACCTGGTTTCAGAGTTCGTGGTCCTGGCAGCTGTGGAAGATCTACAGAGTTTCTGGCCGAAATATTTAAGCCATGTAGTTTTCAATATGTGAAGATGACCAGCCAATCTGCAACCAAGCGAATGTTTAAATTCTGCCACCAGTGTATTCTCAACAAATTCTTTGAAGATGTGTCACATGTAATTGAGAGACTATTTAAAATGTGGAATTTAGGAATAGAAAGACAATGGTATCCAAGAACTTCCAGGTATTTTCCTATATAATTTGTGCCCAAATTTTATAAATCTGATCAGATGGATTCTGAAATCTGGCAGCACAGCTATCCCTCTTCTGCAACACTGTGTCTTTACCACTTCAAGTTGAATTGAATATCTTTCCATGTTTGATGATAATTTAAGCAACTATTTTTTTCACACACTTTTCTTGAAGAGCTATACACCATTAAAACCTGGTGCCATGAAAACTCACATTGTATTTTTACCATTGCCAAAAAAAAATTGTAATTTTTTCTACATATTTATAAATAATGTGGAACTTCTGGGAAGATGGTCAATGAACTGCTAACCATAAACTATAACCTTCCCTCAGATATCAACTAAAATGATCAAATAAAGCAACATAGTACACATCATTCCTAACCTAAACAAAACAAAACCCAGAAAGCTCCATGAAAATACCTATATTTTTGGCTCGAGAGGTAATAAAGAGAACAAGTAATAATCAGAGAGAGTGCCATAAGCTGATGTTTGTGTTACTTCTATTCATTGGTTTGATCCAACCCCAGGCAATCTCATAGAGGTTGCAAGAGAGACCCAGTGGAAACCCACGGGGTTCAAAACTGAGAGGGAAAGCCATTCTATTAAAATGTCCTGTTTCTCACTTATTGCCCTCTACTGTTTGGCCCTAGAAATGGGCAGCATTGTAAAGTGTGTGGCCCAGTAGGGTAAATAAAGCCCCAAGTTTTTGGATGCAGGGCCCAAATGGGAAGCCTCAGGAACGCATTGCATGCCAAGAATATTACAGAGAGGGAGAAACATGGAAAAGAGACCCCATAAAGATGTTCATCAAATCCCGGGCTCATCCCTGAGCTGCACATTAACTAGATCCCATTCAGAATATCAAAGACTTTGAGATTTTAAGTAACAAATAGAACACAACCCATGTCGCAGACTGACCGCTAAGTAGGTCACACATGGGACACATCCAAATAAATGGAAGAATCTTGACAAACTCCAAGCTGTGTCAAGTTAAAAGAGGCTTATCCCAGACATATTATAATTAGATTGCTGAAAACTAAGCAAAAAATATCTTGAAAGAAGCCAGATAAAACTGACCTAAATTGTGTTTCCCAAAAACCTACATGTTAAAACACTAACCACTAGTTCCTCAGAATGTGAATGTATTTGGAGACAGGGTCTTTAAAGAGGTAATTAAGTTAAAATGTGATAATTACAACGGGCTTTATTCCAATATAAGTGGTGTCCTTATGAGAAAAAGAGATATGGACACAGACACACACAGAGAAAAGACCATGTGAAAATACAGGAAGAGGATGACTATATTATGTTGTTTTTACATTTCTATAAAGAAATACCTGAGATTGGGTAATTTATTTAAAAAGAAATTTAATTTGCTTAATGTTCTGCAGGCTTTACAGAAAGTATTGTGCTAGCATCTGCTTGGCTTCTGGGGAGGCCTCAGGAAGCTTACAATTATGGTGGAAGATGAAAGAGCAACAGGCATATCACATAAGAGAAAGAGCAAGAGAAAGAGTGGAAAGAGCAGGTGCCACACGCTTTTAAATAACCAGATCTCATGAGAACTCACTTAGTATTGTAAGGACAGCACCAAGCCATGAGGGATCCATCCCCATGACTGACCTAGACACCTCCACCATGTTCCAGTTTCAACACTGGGGATTACATCTCAACTTGAGATTTAGAGCGGACATCCAAACTAAATCAATGACGTGTAAGCCAAAGAGACCTCAGAAGAATTTAACCCTGCCAACACCTTGATCTCAGACCTCTAGCCTATACAACTGTGAAAAAATAAGTTTCCGTTGTTTAATCCACCAAATCTGGAATATTTTCTTATGGCAGCCCCAGCAAACTAATTAAATGAATGATAATTTTAATAACTGTGGATTTCTTGTCAGAAACGTGGACACCAAAGAAAAGGGGCATAAAATTTTTCAAACTGCTAGAAGAAAAAAACTTTCAGATAGAATTCCATCTTTCAGGAATGAAGGTGAAATAAAGAACTACTAAGACAAAGAAAAAATAAGAAAATTCATTATCAGAAGCCTCTCTCTAGAAGATTTGCTAATGAAATATCTTCAGGCCAAAAGTACATGATACCAAATAAAACTTTGGAAAATCAGGAATGAAGGAAGAGCAATATAAATTGTAAATACAAGGGTAAATGTAATAGAGTACTTTTTGTCTTCTTGAGTTTTAAAAAATACATTTGACATTTGCAAGAAAATATATATTTCTGATGGTGTTTTTGATACATGTAGAAAAAATAAGTAAAGTGAAATATAATTGAGGAAGAGTAAAATAACAATCTATTTGATAAGATTTCTGTATTCTGATTGAAGTGGTAGAATATTAATTCTAAATAGTGGAAAGCTAAGTATGCACATTTTACTTTCTAGAACAATGACTAAAAAGCTATATAGTCAAAATTATAATTAATAAATTTTAAAAAATGCGAAAATATTCAAATAAAAAGACAGCAGGACAGGTATAAAAGAGGAAGGAAGAACAGGAGAACCAAATAGAAAAAGAACTATAACATGATAGCATATCAATAATAACATTAAATTTCTCAAAAAGCTAGACATGGTTTCCAAATAACCAAGCAATTCCATACTTGGGTATGTGCTGAAGACAATTGAAACCAGGCATTCAATCAACAACTTGTACATAAATATGCATAGCAACATTATGCATATTAGTCTAAAAGTGGAAACAACCCAAATGTCCATCACCTAATGAATGAATAAACAATATGTGGTATATCCATACAATGGAATACTATTCAGCAGTACAAAGGAATAAAGTACTGATATATGCTAAAACATAATGAACTTTGAAAACATTATGCTAATAGAAAGAATCCAGTCGCAAAAGCTTATACATTGTATGATACTACTTATGTAAATTGCACAAAATAGTCAAATCTATAGTGACAGAAAGTAGATTAATGGCTGCCTAACACTGGGGGAATTGAGAGGAGTTGAGGAAGTAACTACTAAAGGTACAGAATTCCTTTTTGTGTTTATGAAAATGGTCTAAAATTGATTTTGGGTGTTGCTGCACAATTTATTAAATATACAAAAAACCATTAACTTTTATATCTTAAATGGCATAATTGTGTGGTATACAAATATATAAATAAGAAAATTGCTTTAAAACAAATACATCAGTTAAAGTCTAGAGGTTGTTAAGATAATTTTTTTTTAAAAAAGCACAGCCTAATTTTATACCATCTACAAGAAGCTCACTTCAAATATAATGATATAGATTGATAGAAAGTAAATGGATGGAAGAGATAAACTAAGTAAACACCAAACAATAGAAATCAAGAATGGCTATGTTAGTATTAGACAAAGTAGAATTTGGCAGAAATAAAATTTTCTGGGGCAAATGATAACATTATCTAATAAGAATATGGTGAATTCACAAAGGCACAACAATTTTAAATATGTATATCCAACAACACACATTCAAAACAAATGAAGCAAAAGCTTACAGAACTGAAAGCTATAATGAAGAATCACAATTATAGTTAAAGATATCAATAGTCTCCTCAAAATAATAGATGGACTGGTAGACAGAAAATCAGCAATTATATAGAAGATTGAATAACAGCATCTTCAAATGGAATCAAATTGATATCTCTTGAACATTCTATATAATACAGCAGAATGCTCAGTTTTTTCAAGTGCATGTGGGACATTCAGCAAGACAGATCATATTCTTGGCCATTAAACAAATCACAAGTATAAATTAATCAAAATGATACATAGTATTTTCTTTGGTAGTAATGGAACTAAAATAGAAATGAATAGCAAAAAAAAAAAAAAAAAAACAAACCAGAAATACTTTTGAACACTTGGAAATTTATTTTTTTATTTTTTAAAATTTATTTATTTTTCTTTTTTTTATTATTATACTTTAAGTTTTAGGGTACATGTGCACAATGTGCAGGTTAGTTACATATGTATACATGTGCCATGCTGGTGCGCTGCACCCACTAACTCGTCATCTAGCATTAGGTATATCTCCCAATGCTATCCCTCCCCCCTCCCCCCACCCCACAACAGTCCCCAGAGTGTGATGTTCCCCTTCCTGTGTCCATGAAACACTTGGAAATTTAAAAACACACTTCTAAATACTGCCTAGGTCAGAGGAAAAGTCAAAGAAAAGTTTAAAAATCTTTTTCACCTGAACAAAACACACTTCTAAATACTGCCTAGGTCAAAGGAAAAGTCAAAGAAAAGTTTAAAAATCTTTTTCACCTGAACAAAACACACTTCTAAATACTGCCTAGGTCAAAGGAAAAGTCAAAGAAAAGTTTAAAAATCTTTTTCACCTGAACAAAATTGAAAATGCAGTGTATAAAAATTTGCAGGATGCTGCTAAAACAGTGCTTCCAGGAAAATTAATAACATTAATTATTTTTACTAGAAAAGAAGACTGGTCTCAAATAATAAATTTAAACTCCTATCTCAAGAAACTGCAAAAATAAGAGCAAAATAATTACAAAGCAAGCAGAAGGAAGGGAGTTATGAAGATAAGAGCAGAAAAGAACAAAATTGAAAGGAGAAAAACAATAGAGAAATTGAAACTAATAGCTGGTGCTTTGACAAGATCAATAAGTTTGAAAAATCTCTGACAATAGTGACAATGAATAAAAAAGAGTGATCATGGATTATCAATTTCAGAAATTACAGGGATTATCACTACAGACACTACAAATATTAAAAAGGTAATAATGAAATACTATGAATAATTATATGAATATCATTTAGTTATCTTGGAGAAAACACCCTAATTCCTCAAAAACAATAAAATATCAAAACTTGACCAATATGAAATAAGTAATCTGAATAGTCCTATAACCATTAAAGCAAGTGAATTTATAATTACAAACATTCTGGTAAAAAAATTCCCAGGCCCAGTTGATTTTACTGGACAGTATAAGGGAGGAGACATACTACAAACAAATATTTGTTATGTATAAAGACACAAAAATATTATAATAGCAAACCAAGTTCAACAACAGATATGAAAACAATGTACCATGTCCAAGTGTGGTTTTCCCTAGTATGCTGGGCTTTTTCAATATTAGAAATTCAGTCAATGCAACGAATCATATTAACAGACTAAAGATGAAAAACAATGCATTAACCACCATTATTGCATGAAATACTGACAAAATTCAACACATTTATGGATATTAATTATCTGCAACATCTAAACCATTTACACAAATCTTACTGAACATAATGCTCACTGAAAGAGTGAATGCTTTTCCCCACTTTTGAGAAGAAGGTAAGCGTGGCCATTCTCACCAGCCTTAGTCAACACTTTATTGGAGGGGCAATACAGCAAGAAAAATAAATAGGAGATATATAAATTGGAAAGAAATAAAATTGCTTCTGTTGCCAAATGATATGTTTGTCTATGTAGAAAAATTCTAAAGAATCTACAAAAAATCTTCTAGAACTAAGAGGTGTTATAGATTGAGAAAAAAAATATTTGCAAAGCACATACATGGGAAAGAATTTGCATTCAGGATATCAAACCTCACAAAACACAACAGTAATAAAATAAAGAACACCATTAAAGTGAGCAAAAAAAGTGAAGAGACATGTAAACATGATATAAGAATGACAAGTAATCAAGCACATGGATAGATGTTCAATATGATTAGCCATTATGCAAATGCAAATTAAAATTGTTAAGATATACCAGGACACATCTATTAGTATGGCTTATAAAAACTGACAGTACCAAATGCTGCAGAGGATATTCAGCTTTGGAAACACTCATACATGAGAATACAAAATGGCACAGTCAATGTAAAAACAGACAGTTTCTTATGTATTTAAAAATACATTTACTATGCAGGCCGATAATTAGATTCCTTAGTATTTACCCTTGAGAAATGAAAATTGATGTTCATATAAAAATATGTACGAAAATGCTTATAGCAGCTGTACTCATAATTGCCCAAATCTGGAAAAAATGAAAAAGTTTACCAATGTGTAAAAAAATTGTGGTACATCCATACAATGAAAGGCCACCGAGCAATATGAAAGAATAAACTACAGACATATGCAACAACTTGGATGGATCTCAAAAGCATTAAAGTGATTGAAAGAGGCCAGTCTGAAAAGGTTATACATGATTCCATTTATATGAGCTTCTCTAAAATACAGAGTTATAGTGCTGGGAATAGAACAGTGTTTGCTAGTGGTTAGGGGTGAGAGAATGTGTAACTATAAAGGGATATCATGAAAGAGTTTGGGGAGATGATGGAATGGTTCTGTATCTGATTGTGGCACTGATTTCACAAATCCATGCACATACACTGAAAAAGAGCAGGAATAGCTATACTTATATCAGACAGTAAATTTCAAGACAAAATATGCAAGAAGAGAAAAAGAGGGTCACTATATAATGATAAAGGGGTCAATTGAGCAGGGGGATATAACAATTATAAATATATATGTACTCAACATTGGAACACCCAGATACATAAAGCAAATATTATTTCAGCTAAAGGGAGAGAGAGACTATGATACAATGATAGCTAGAGATTTCAATAATCCACTTTCAGCATTGGACAAATCTTTATAGTTTCCATTGGTATGGAATTTTTTTTCCATCCCTGTTTTTCAGTGTATGTGCATTTTTATAGGTGAAGTGTGTATATTTGTAGGCAACAGATCAAGGAGTCTGGTTTTTTATCTATTCAGTCACTTTTTGTCTTTTTATTAGAGAGTTTAGTCAATTTACATTAAATGTTATCATTGATAAGAAAGAACTTATATCTGCCATTTTTTTATTTGTTTTTTTGGTTGTTTTGTGGTTTTCTCTTTCTTTTTTTCTTCCTGTATTAGTCTGTTCTCATGCTGCTCATAAAGACATACCCAAGACTGGGTAATTTATAAAGAAAAGGAGGTTTAATTGACTCACAGTTTCACATGGCTGGGGAAGCCTCACAATCATGGTGAAAGGCAGAGGAGGAGCAAAGGCATGTCTTATATGGTGGCAGGCAAGAGAGCTTGTGCAGGAGAACTGCACTTTATAAAACCATCAGATCTCGGGAGACTTATTCACTATCATGAGTACAGCACAGGAAAAACCTGCCCCCATGATTGAATTATCTTTACCTTGTCCCTCCCCTGACAGGTTGGGATTATGGGAATTACAATTCAAGATGAGATTTGGGTAGAGACACAGCCAAACCATATCATTCCATCCCTGCCCCTGCCAAATCTCATGTCCTCACAATTTCAAACACAATTATGTCCAGGCAGAAGTTTGCTGCAGGGGAGGGGTCTCATGTAGAACCTCTGCTTGGGCAGTGCAGAAGGGAAATGTGGGGTTGGAGCCCCCACACAGAGTCCCTACTGTGGCACTGCCCAGTGGAGCTGTGAGAAGAGGGCCACCATCCTCCAGACCCCAGAATGGTAGATCCACCAACAGCTTGCACTATGCACCTGAAAAAGCCACAGGCAATCAATGCTAGCCTGTGAAAGCAGCCAGGAGGCGGGCTATACCCTGCAAAGTCACAAGGGCAGAGCTTCCCAAGACTATGGGAACCTACCTCTTGCATCAGCGTGACCTGGATGTG
Organism: Homo sapiens; assembly: GCF_000001405.40. Classification (NCBI taxonomy): domain Eukaryota; kingdom Metazoa; phylum Chordata; class Mammalia; order Primates; family Hominidae; genus Homo; species Homo sapiens. The sequence continues at coordinate 125,722,063 of NC_000023.11, forward strand.
AGACATGGAGTCAAAGGAAATCATTTTGGAGCTTTGAGATTCGACTGCCTTGCTGGATTTTGGACTTGTATGGAGCCTGTAGCCCCTTTGTTCTGGCCAATTTCACCCATTTGAAATTGCTGTATTTACCCAATGCCTGTACCCTCATTGTATCTAGGAAGTAACTAACTTGCTTTTGATTTTACAGGCTCATAGATGGAAGGACTTGCCTTTTTTCAGATGAGACTTTAGACTATGGGCTTTATAGTTAATCCTGAAATAAGTTAAGACTTTGGGGGAGTCTTTGGGGGACTCTTAGGAAGGCATGATTGCTTTTGAAATGAGAGGGCATGAGGTATGGGAGGGCCCAGTGGCAGAATAATTTGGTTTGACTGTGTCCCCAGCCAAATCTCATCTTGAATTCCCACGTGTTGTGGGAGGGACCTGGTAGGAGGTAATTGAATCATGGAGGCAGATCTTCCCCATGCTGTTCTCATAATAGTCAATAAGTCTCATGAGATCTGGTGGGTTTATAAGGGGGAGTTTCCCTGCACAAGCACTCTCTCTTTGCCTGCTGCCATTTATGTTAGACGTGACTTGCTCCTCCTTGCCTTCCACCATGATTGTGAGGCTTCCCCAGCCACGTGGAACTGTAAGTCCAATTAAACATTTTTCTTTTGTAAATTTCTTAGTCTCAGGAATGTCTTTATCAGCAGCATGAAACCGGACTAATACACCAGGTCATATGGTAACTCTATGTATAACTTTTTGAGAAACTGCCAGACTGTTTTCCACAGTGGCTGTGCCATTTTACATTCCTGCCAGCAGTGTATGAAGATTCTGATTTCTCTACAGTTTTACCAATGCTTATCATCTTTTTGTTTTAATTATAGTGAATCTTGTGTGTGTGACATGGAATCTAATTGTGATATCTTTTTAAAATATTTGATAATGGCCACATATGTATTGTTAATGATAAAAGTCCTTATATTTATAAAAGCAAAACAATGTGACAGGGGTATCCTGGAACTTGAAATAAATGCTGACCTCTCTTTATACAGTGCCCTAAATCACATCTGAATAGGCAGACTTGAGCAGTCTTAAAGGGACGTATTTATAGTCACAGATATGCAAATATATGTGAGGGAAAATGACATTGTAAATTTCAATGATGTTCTCTGATGTTTTATTAAGTAAGTTGGCAGTCCTTAAATTAATTTTTCAGTGCCTCTATTAACACTTCACATTTCTATGCAATTTTAAAGTGCATTTTCAGAGATTAAGGATTATCCTAAAGAAATCTAATTTTAAATGATTTTTTGCCTCCAACCTTTGATTTTTATTTCTTTCTTTAATTCATTTCATGTTTAGCACCAAATTGTCTAACATTTTAAGCATACAAACCCACTATATCATGTTTCTTTAAATCAAGTATCATTGTCTTGCTTACCTTACCCCTAATTTACAGAAAGAGAACACAGTCAGGGGTTATATAATGCAGATTACACAAATATAGTAAATCGAAAGAAGTACTTGAATTGCTATCCAATTCAATATCTTGTAAAGAAATAGTTGATGCAATTATATTATCTATTTATCATTCTACCTATCGAATAGTCTATTGTCTAAAATTTCCAGGGACTATTGAGATCAGTGTATGCCAGATTTTATGTCAGTATAAAATTGTATTGATCAGTATTTTCTTGGTTATAGTATATACTGTCAATAAATTCATCGGAGAGTTTTGAAATATGAAAAAAAGAAGGAGGCACTTTAAAGTTACCATAGGCCTGTTTTATCTATTGGTGTTAGCAACTTCAAATGAACTTCAGTGAAAATAGTTTATTCTGTTTAGGAAGTATCCAAAGGGGCCTTTTAGTTATACATATATAAAGCAGGTGCAGTTTCAGACGTCCTTAAGGATACTGTAAAGTCTTGGTAACCTAAATGTAGATGGTGAATATTTGAACTTGGTTATGTAAGTTGCAGAATACGCTTAAAATTATGTAGAATTAAATGGCTTGCTTTTTGAAGAGATGATAGAAATGGGGAAAATAATTTTCTGTGTGCAGATAAATAACAAAGTGCTTTTATAGTTGTTTATTTTTATAGAGAGAATGGTACTTTGGGAGCACTGGGAGACAACACTCTGACATGGCCAATGGATTGGCCATAGTGTGTCCTTTCAGAAAAGCCTCAAGGTCTGAAAACATTGACTTGGGGGGAATTGGAGCAGACAAGGAAGTATATTGTAGGCACTCTTAAAGGGCAGACTGTGACATCTAGGTACCCTTTGGGGGACATGTGGAAATAATTAATACAGTAAGGGTGAAGTGACTGAAGTATTCCGACAAATATGATGGTATGGTTTAGAATTGTGTGGTCAAATACAAATCTTGTGATAATGAAAATATACTAAATTTGTGTTGTCCAATACAGTCTAGTAAGCACTAGACATAGTTGGCATTTGAACATTTAAAATGTGCCTGTCGTGATAAAGGAGGCTTTTTTTAAAGTTTGTGAGTACATAGCAAGTGTGCATATTAATTCGTTACATGAGATTTATTGATATAGTCATTCAATGCATAATAATTACATCAGGGAAAATGGGGTATCCATCACCTCAAGCATTTTTCCTTTCTTTATGTTGCAAATAATCCAATTACACAATTTTAGATATTTTAAAATATACAATAAATTATTGTTGACTGTAGTCACCCTGGTGTGCTATCAAATGCTAGATATATTCATTGTTTCTAACTATTATTTTGTACCTGTTAACCATCCTACTTCCCCCCTATACGACTATCTTTCCCAACCTCTGGTAACCATCATTCTACTCTATCTCTGTGAGTTCAAGTTTTTTAATTTTCACTCTCACAAATGAGTGAGAACATGCAAAGTTTGGTTTTCTGTGCCTGGCTTATTTTACTCAACATAATGTCTTCCAGTTCCATCCATGTTGTTGCAAATGACAGCATCTCATTCTATTTTATGATTGAATACTACTCCATGGATAGGTACCACATTTTGTTTATCCATCTGTCTGTTGATAGGCATTTAGGTTGCTTCCATCTCTTCTTGGCTATTGTGTAGAGTGATGCAATAAACACAAGAGTGCAGCTATATTTTGATATACTGATTTCCATTTTGGGAGATATATACCTAGCAGTTGGGTTGCAAGATAATATGGTAGCTCTAATTTTAGTTTCTGAGGAACCTCCAATCTGTTCTTTATAGTGGTTGTACTAATTTGCATTCCCCAAAACAGTGTATGAGGGGTCCCTTTTCTTCATATCCTTACCAGTATTTGTTATTCCCTGTCTTTGGATGTAAACCATTTTAACTGGGGTGATATGATATCTCATTGTAATTTTAATTTGCATTTCTCTAATGACCAAGGATGTTGTGCACCTAATCTTTTACCTGTTGGCCATTTTTGTGTCTTCTTGCCAATTTTTAAATCACAATTTTAGATTTTATCCTATCAAGTTGTTTGAGCTCATTATATATTCTGGTTATTAATCAGTTGTTAGATGAATAGTTTGCAAATATTTTTTCCCCATTCTGTGTGTTGCCTTTTCACTTTTTTGTTTTCTTTGCTGTGCAGGAGTTTTTAAATTTGACATACTCTTGTCTATTTTTACTTTGGTTGTCTGTGCTTGTAGGGTATTACTCAAGAAATCTTTGTACAGGCCAACGTATTGGAGACTTTCCCCAATGTTTCATTAGTAGTTTTATAATTTCAGGTCATAGATTTAAGTTTTTAACCTATTTTGAATTAATTTTTGTATATGGGGAAAGATAGGGGTCTACATTCATTTTTCTGCATATGGATATCCAGTTTTCCCAGCACCATATATTGAAGAGGTTGTTATTTCCCCAATACATGTTCTTGGCACCTTTGTTGAAAATGAGTTAACTGTAGGTATATGGATGTGTTTCTCAGTTTTCTGTTCTGTTCCGTTGTTCAAATTTCTGTTGTTTCTTGGTCAGTACCATGCCATTTTGGTTACTATAGCTTTATAGTTTAATTTGAAGTAATGTAATGTGATTCTTCATTTTATTTATTATTATTTTGCTCAGAATAAAGTTGGACATTCTGGGTCTTTTGTGATTCCATATAAATTTTAGAATTATTTTTCTGTTTCTGTGAAGAACTTCGCTGGTGTTTTTATAGGGATTGCACTGAATCTGTAGATTGCTTTGGGTAATATAGACATTTTAACGATATTGATTCTTCTAATCCATGAACACTGAGCATGTTTCAATTTTGTGATGTCCTCTTAAATTTCTTGCACAAATATTTTATAATTTTCATTGTAGAGATCTTTAACATTTTTGTTTAATTTCTATTTATTTAATTTTACTTGTAGCTATTGTAAGTGGGATCGCTTTTTAATTTAATTTTCAGATTGCTCACTATTGGCATATAAAAATGTTACTTATATTTTTTGTATTTATTTTATACCCTATAACTTGATTTAGTTTGTTCATTATTTCTCATAATTTTTAATAGTCTTTAGGTTTTTCCAAATATAAGATCTGCAAACAAAGATAATTTGATTCCATCATTCTATGAATCCAGCTACTTCAGGATCATGGGGAACTTTGTAAGACTAGTGAATTCCATGAGCATGAGCCAACTGCTGCACTTCTTTAGCCATAAAGTGAGTGCCTTGGTCAGAGGCAGTGCTGTGTGGAATACCATGATAATGGATAAGGCATTTTGTGAGCACATGGATGGTAGTCCTGGCAGAAGCATTGCATGCAAGATAGGCAAATCCATATCCAGAGTAAGTGTCTATTCCAGTGAGGACAAACTTTTTCCCTTTCCATGATAAAAGAGGTTCAATATAATCAACCTGCCATGAGGTAGCTGGCTGATTACTCCAAAGAATAGTGCCATATTGAGGACAGTGTTGGTCTCTGCTGCTGGCAAAATGGGCACTCAGCAGTGACAGTAGCCAGGTCAGCCTTGGTGAGTGGAAGTCCATGTTTTTGAGCCCATGCATAACCTCCATCCCTGCCACAATGTCCACTCTGTTCATGGGCCCATGAACAGATGACAGGGTGACGACAGGGGTAGGCTGGGGAAAGAGGCTGAGTGGTGTCCACAGAACAGGTCATCCTATCCATTTGATTATTAAAATCCTCCTCTGCTGAGGTCACCCATTGTTGAGCACTCACATGGGACACAAATACCTTTACAGTTTTTGACCACTCAAGAGAAGTCCATCTACATACCTCTTCCACAAATTACTTTGTCAGCAATTTTCCAATCATGCTTCTTCAGAGTCCCTGACCATCCAGCCAAACCATTGGCTACAGCCAAATAATCATAATACAGTCGCATATCTAGCCATTTTTCCTTTCATGAAAAGTGCACAACCAGGTGCACTGCATGATGTTCTGCCCACTGGGAAGGTTTCCCTTCACCGATGACCTTTAGGGATATCCTAGAAAGGGGCTGTAGTGCTTCAGCTGTCCACATTTGGTTGGTGCCTGCATATCTTGCAAAGCCATCTGTGAACCAGGCCCTAGTCTTCACTTCCTCTGTCAACTGATCATAGGGAACTCTCCATTAGGCCATCAATGCATGCTGGGGGAGAGAGGCAGGGTGGCAGGAGTGGAGACCATGGGCATTTGATCCACTTTTCTCATGTAACTTACTTCTGCCTTCAGGATCTGCTTGAGCACAATTCTGTATATACCACTTCCATTTGATGATGGAATGCTGCTGTGCACGACCTACTTTATGGCTAGATGGGTCAGAAAGCAGCCAGTTCATGATAGGCGATTCAGGTTGTATGGTGACTTGATAACCCATAGTCAATTGTTCAGTTTCCACCTAAGCCCAGTAACAGGCTAAGAGCTGTCTCTCAAAAGAGGAGTAGTTTTCTGCAGAAGATGGCAGGGCCTTGTGCCATAATCTCAGAGGCCTCCACTGTGATTCATTTATGGGGGCCTGCCAGAGGCTCCAGACAGAATACTTATCTGCCACTGATGCCTCAAACACCATTGGTTCTGCTGTTTCATCTGGCCCAAGTGGCAGAGCAGCTTGCACAGCCGCCTGGGCCTATTGCAGAGCCGTCTCCTGTTCTGGACCTCACTCAAAACTGGCAGCCTTTTGGGTCACTCAATAAATGGGCCAGAGTACACACCCAAATGAGGAATGTGTTGCCTCCAAAATCCAAATAGACCCACTAGGCATTGTGCCTCTTTCCTGGTTGTAGGAGGGGCCAAATGCAGCAACTTATGCTTCACCTTAGAAGGTATATCTCGACAGGCCCCACACCACTGGATCCCTAGAAATGTTACTGAGGTAGAAGGTCCCTAAATTTTTGTTGGATTTATTTCCCATCCTCTGGCACACAAATTTCTCACCAAGTTTGTTTGCTACTTCTTGCTCACTGGATCCAATCAGCATAATGTCATCAATGTAATGGACCCATGTGATATCTTACAGAAGTGAAAAGTGATGAAGGTCTCTCCAAATAAGATTATGACACAAAGCCGGAGAGTTGGTATACCCCTGAGGTAGGGCAGTAAAGGTATATTGCTAGCCTTGCCATCTAAAGTCAAATTGCTTCTGGTGGACCTTAGGGATAGGAATGGAGATAAAAGCATTTGCCAAGTCAGTGGTTGCATACCAGTTACCAGGAGATGTGCTAATTTGCTCATGCAATGAAACCACATCTGGTACAGCAGCTACAATTGGAGTCACCACTTGGTTAAGCTTACATTAATCCACTGTCATTCTCCAAGACTCATCTGTCTTCTGCACAGGCCAGATGGGAGAGTTGAATGGAGATGTGGTGGGAATCACCACCCCTGCCTCTTTCAAGTTCTTGATGGTGGCACTAATCTCAACAAGTTCTTATGGTTCTTATCAAGTTCTTATCTCATCCCTCCAGGGATGAGATATTGTTTTTGAGTTAATATTTTTCTAGGTAGAGGCAGCTCTAATGGCTTTCATCTTGCCTTTCTCATCATAATACCCCTTACGTTACCAGTCAGGAAACCAGTGTGGGGGTTCTGCCTGCTGCTAAATATGTCAATGCCAATTATGCATTCTGGCACTGGGGAAATGACCACAAGATGAGTCCTGACTCACATTGGACACACTGTAAGTCACACCTGAACTAAAACTAAATCAATTACCTAACCCCCATAAGACTCTATTTTAACTGGAGGACTACAATGATGTTTTGGGTCCCCTGGAATCAACGTCAGCTCAGAGCCAGTGTCCAGTAGTCCTATAAATGTCTGATCATTTCCCTTTTCCTAACGCACAGTTACCAGGGTAAAAGGATGCAGATTTCCTTGGGGAAGGATGGGAGAAAGATTCACTGCATAAACTGTCGGTAATGTAGTGGGGTCCTTCCTCAAGGGGACTCAGCCTCTTTTTCATTCAAGGTGTTCTAGGTCTGTAAACTGGCTCAAGTCTGGAAACTGATTGAGGGGCCGTGATTCTGTTCTTATAATTCAAATTAGTCTTTTGTCCACTCATCCTAGAAGTTTTCTGCTTCTGTAAATTAAGTAGGAATGCAGTAGTCTTCCTATGAATTTCACTTCTAGGAAGATCATGATTAATTAGCCAATGCCAGAGTTCTACATGAGTCAGACTATTCTGATTTCTGCTTTGTCTCTGATGTTCGTTGTGGTAGCTACTCCCACTTTGCCTTTTACAGTTGAGTGCCACCAGTTGGCCCCTGCCACTTCGGGACCCAATTATTCCCATTGTATTTAAATTTTGTATTTGAGTGACTGTGGTTCCCATTGTTAGATCTGACATACGGAGAAGAGCAATTACAGGGCTCTTCAAAGATGCAGGTGCTGCCCTCACAAATCTGTTTTGTAAGGCATTGGTCAAGGGTATATCTTCTGGACCCTCCCAGCTGGAATGAATAGGCCTAAAGTGACTAATCTACTCCACCATCCCAATCTCCCTAAGCCTTTGGATCCCTTCCTCCACATTAAACCGAGGGAGATCAGGCATTTCCAGCTTGCTCACAGTGGGCCATCTTTTAATCCGTATTTCAGCTAACCAAGCTGATAAACTATTAGAAACTTTTTTAACTCCCTGAGCTGCAACATTAATTCTGGGCCTACTTAGGGGGCCCAGATCAATAAATTCAGCCTGATCCAACTCTATGCTCCTTCCACAATTATCTCATACCATTAATATCCATTCCTATGCCTGTTCTCCAGATTTCTCTTTTTATAAATTAGAAACCCAAGCAATTCTTTTCAAGTGTAGAGAAACTCCTTATTGGTCACACTTTCAACCTCACTTCTAGAGAACCACTGGGACTTATCACTCACATGATAAGATTTTGTCTGATTTTCCAAAATTTTAGCTCTTTCTCTACAGGAGATAAGACTCTCACTTAGGGCAATTTTAGCAGATCTGAGGCTCAGTATCTGCTTCTGAAGCCAGGAGATAGAATCCCTGAGTTGATCATTTTCTTTCATCATTTTGTCCACTGAACTTAGGAGCAAACAACCAGCGTCATTATGTTCCTTGGTTCTCCACATACGGTCAAAGGTATTATGTATAGAGTCACTAAACTCCTTGCCTCTCATAAGTGGTTAACCAGGTGTGTCAAATGTATTTATTTTGCATAACTCTCTAAACAGTTCACACCATGACTATCGGTGTTCTCCATGCTATTAGTAGTAGAGTCCTTAGCATTTGGGGGTCCAATCATATTAAGCAGCCAACTCCAGAAATGCCAAAACCAATGAAAGAGCTCCATTCTTAATATTCTGTTTCTTTAGGACCATTTCTGGTATCAAAATCTGTATTAGTTTGGGTTCCCTAGAAAAACAGAACTAATAGGAGCTATTAGTTTATTAAGTATTAACTTACATAATAGCAAGTTCCCACAATAGGCTGTCTGCAAGCTTGAGGAGCAAAGAGAGCCAGTCCAAGTCTCAAAACTGAAGAACTTGGAGTCAGATGTTCAAGGGCAGGAAGCATCCAGCAAGGGAGAAAGATATTGGCTGAGAGACTAGGCCAGTCTCCCCTCTTCACATTTTTCTGCCTGCTTTATATTCGCTGGGAGCTGATTAGATTGTGTCCACCAGATTAAGGGTAGGTCTGCCTTCCACAGCCCAGTGACTCACATCTTAATCTCCTTTGGCAACACTCTCACAGACACAACCACGAGCAATACTTTACATCCTTCAATCCAGTCAAGTTGTCACTCAGTATTAACCATTACTGTCTGAATGCCCTTTATTTCTTTCTTTAGTCTGATTGATGTACCTAGGACTTCCAGTGCTATGTTGATTAACAGTGGTGAATGTAGGCATTCTTGTCATGGTCTGGATCTCAGAGGGAATGATTTCAGTTTTTCCCCATTCAGTATGGTACTAGCTTTGGACCTATATTATATGGCTTTATTAAGTTGAGGTAGGTTCCTTCTATACCCAGTTTTTTGAGGGTTATTATCATGAAGGGATATTAAATTTTATAAAATGCTGGGATTTTTTTTTGACAGAGTCTCACTTTGTAGCCCAGCCTGGAGTGCAGTGGCATGATCTTAGCTCACTGCAACCTCTGCCTCCCAGGTTCAAGTGATCCTCATGCCTCAGCCTCCTGAGAAGCTGGGATTACAGGCACCCACCACCACATCCAGCTATTTTTTTTTTTATTTTTTAGTAGAGATGGGGTTTCACCATGTTGGTAAGGTTGGTCTCAAACTCCTAACCTCAAGCAATCCACCTGACTCAGCCTCCCAAAGCGCTTCTTTCCAGGCGTGAGCCACTGTGCCTGGCCTAAAATGCTTTTTTTAAAGCATAAATTAAAAAGATCATGTGGGTTTTGTTCTTTATTTTGTTGATATGATACATCACATTGATTGATTCCCATATGTCAAACCATTCTTGCATCCCTGGGATAAATCCCACTTGATCATGATGAATGATCTTTTTATGTGTTATTGCATTAGGTTTGCTACTATTTTGATGAGTGTTTTTGCACCAATGTTCCTCATGGATATTGGCTTGTAGTTTTGTTGTTGTATTTGTTTTTAATTTGTCTTCGTGTGCTTTTGAGATCAGGGTAATGCTTGCTTCATAAGATGAGTTTGGAAGTACTCTCTTTTTCTCTATTTTTCAGAATATTTTGAGTAGCATTAGTATTAGTTCTTTATGTTTGGTATAACTAATCAGTGAAGTCATTGGATCCTGGGTTTTTCTTTGCTGGGAGGCTTTTTATTATGACTTCTATCTCATTTCTGTTCATGTTTTGGATTTCTTCGTGTTTCAATCTGTATTAGTCAGGGTTCTCTAGAGGAACAGAACTCATAGGATATATCTATATATCTATATCTATATCTTTATCTATCTGTCTATCTATCTATCTATCTATCTATCTATCTATCTATCTATCTATATCTGGCACTGGAGAAATGACCACAGGATGAGTCCAGGGACCCACTGGGCCCCGTGTAAGTCAGACCTGAGGTAAAACTATATCATTTACCTGGCCTCCATAAGACCCTATTTTAACTGGGGGACCGCAATGATGTTTTGGGTCCCCTGGAATCAACATCAGCTCAGAGCCAGTGTCCAGTAGTCCCAGAAATGTCTGATCATTTCCCTTTTCCCAATGCACAGTTACCCTGGTAAAACTATATATCTATATCTATATCTATCTATATATATATCTATATATAATTAAGTATTAACTCAAATGATCACAGCGTTCCACAATAGGCTGTCTGCAAGCTGAGGAGCAAGCAGAGCCAATCCAAGTCCCCAAACTGAAGAACTTGGAGTCTAATGTTCTAGGGCAGTAAGCATCCAGCACAGGAGAAAGATGTAGGTTGAAAGGGTAGGCCAGTCTCTCATTTTCATGTTTTTCTGCCTCTTTTATATTCCTTGGCAGCTGATTAGGTAGTGCCCACCCAAATGAAGGGTGTGTCTGCCTTTCCCAGCTCACTGACTCAAATGTTAATTTCCTTTGGCAACCCCTTCACAGACACACCCAGAACCAATACTTTTCATCCTTCAGTTAAATCAAGTTGATGCTCAGTATTAACCATCACACAATCTTAATAGGTATATGTGTCTAGGAATGTATCCAGTTATTTTAGGTTTTTCAATTTACTGTCATAGAGTTGCTTACAGTAACCTCTAATTATCCTTTGAATTTCTGTAGTATTCATTGTAATTTCTCCTTTTTCATCTCTATTTTACTTTATTTGGGTCTTGTCTCTCTCTCTTTTTTTTTTGATTAGTCCAACTAAATGTTTGTCAATTTGGTTTATCTTTTCAAAAAACTCAACTTTTGTTGATGTTTTGTGTTGCTTTATTTTCTTCAAGTTCATTTATTTCTGCTCTGATCTTTATTATTTCTTTACTTCTACTAGTTTTAATTTTGGATTGCTCTTGATTTTCTAGTTCCTTAAGAAACTAGAGGTTTCTTAAAGCTTAGTTAGGTAGTTTATTTGAGCTTTTTCTGCCTTTTTGATGCAGTGAGTTATAGCTATAAAATTCCCTTGAAGTACTTCTTTCACAGTATTCTATAGGTTTTGGTATGTTGTGTATCCATTTTCTATGGTTTCAGAAATTTAAAAAATGTCTTTCTTCATTTCTTCATTGAATCACTAGTCTTTCAAAAGGACATTATTTAATTTTCATGTATTTGCGTAGTTTCCAAAATTTCTTTTGTTATTGATTTCTGTTTTTTTTTTTTTTAGATTTTGGTCAGATTATTGATATTATTTTAAGTTTTTAAAATATTTTAAGGCTCGTTTTGTGGCCTAACATATAATCTATCTTTGAGAATGATCCATTTACTGAAGAGAAGAATGTGTAACTTGTAGCCCTTGGATGAAATGTTATATAAATATCAATTAGGTTCATTTGGGCTGTAGTGCAGATTATGCCCAGTGTTTTTTTTGTTGTTGTTGTTGTTAATTTTGTATCCCGATGGTGTGTCTAATGCAGAAAGCCAGATGTTAAAGTCTCCAACTATTATCGTACTGGTGTCTATTTCTCTCTTTAGCTCTAATAATATTTGCTTATATATCTGAGTGTTCCAGTGTTTGAATATATATTTATAATTATTATATCCTCTCTCTGAATTAACCACTTCATCATTATATAATGATTTTTTTTCATTTCTCTTTACAGCTTTTGTCATGAAATGCATTTTGTCTAATATAAGCTTAGCTACTCCTTCTCTTTTTTCGTTTCCACTTGCCTGGAATATCTTTTTCCTCCCTTTATTTTCAGTTTGTGTGTGTCTTTACAGGTGAAGTGTTTTTCTTGTTGGCAAGTGATCATTGGGTCTTTCTTTTTGTCCTTTCAACCACTCTATATCTTTTGATTGGATAATTTAGTCCATTTACATTAAATGTTACTATTGATATGTGAGGACTTATTCCTGCCATTTTCTTATTTGATTTCTGGTTATTTTGTGGTCTTCACTTCCTTCTTTCCTTGCTTCATTTTTTACTTTTAGCGATATTAATTTTTTTTTCTATTGGTATGTTTTAATTGCTTTCTTTTTAATATTTGTGTATGTGTTGTATGTTTTTTGATTTGCAATTACCATGAGGCTTACAAATAACAACTTATAACCCATTATGTTAAACTGATGACAAATCAACACATTGCATAAACAAACTAATAAACAAGCAAAGAGAAAAATAATAAAATAACTCTACACTTCAACTTCACACCCCCTCTTTTTAATTTTTTGTAGTTTTTATTTAAATTTATACTGTTTATGTCTTGAAAAATGACAATTACAATGTTATATAATTCTGTGTTTTTCTATGTAGTTACTATTACCAGTGACTTTTCTACCTTGAGGTGATTTCTTATTGCTTGTTAAGGTCATTTTCTTTCAGACTGAAGTACTTTTATCATTTCTTATAAGACATGCCTGCTGCTGACGAAATCCCTCAGCTTTTGTTTCTCTGGGAATGTGTTTATTTCTCATTTATGTTGGAAAGCAATTTTCACTGATTATACTATTATAGGGTAGAAGTTGTTTTCCTTCAACACTTTCAGTATGATGTGCCACTCTTTCCTAGCCTGTAAGATTTCTACTGAAAAGTTTTCTGCCAGATGTATTGTAGCTCCATTGTATGTTATTTATTTCTTATCTCTAGCTGCTTTTAGAATCTTCTTTTTATCCTTGACTTTTTGGAATTTTATTATTAAAGGTCTTGAGGTAATCTTATTCAGATTATGTCTGCCTGGTGTTTTGTAGCCTTCTTGGACTTGAATATTGATACATATTTCTAGGTTTGGGAAGATTTCTGTTATCCCCTTGGACAAATTTCTACCCTTATATATCTGTCTACCTCTTCTTGAAGGCCAATAACACTTTCATTTGCCCTTTTGAGGCTATTTTTTAGATATTGTAGGTGTGCTTTTTTATTCTTTTTTTTTCTGGTCTTTTCTGACTGTGTATTTTCAAATAGCCAGTCTTCAAGCATACTACTTTTTCCTTCTGCTTGATCAGTTCTGTTGGTAAAGGTCTCTGATGTATTCTTCATTATGCCAACTGAATTTTTCAAGTCTAGAATTTCTGCTTGATTCTTTTGGATTATTTCAATTTCTTTGTTACATTTATCTGATGGGACTCAGTTTCCTTCTTCACATTATCTTTAATTTTGTTGAGCTTCCTCAAAACAGCTATTTCAGTTCTCTGTCTGAAATGTCTTATATCTCTGTCTCTGTGACATTAGTCACTGGTGTCTTATTTAGTTCATTTAAAAAGGTAATGTTTTCCTGGACAGTCTGGATGTTTGTGGATGTTCATTGGTGTCTGGTCATTGAAGAGTTAAATGTTTATTGTAGTCCTTGCAGTCTGTGCTTGTTTGTACCCATCCTTCTTGTGAAAGCTAAGTATTTGAAAGGACTTGGGTTTTGTCATCTAAATCTTTGGTCACTGCAGTCATTTCTGCATTAGGAGATACCACAAACCCAGTGTTGTAAGATTCTTGTTCTAGTCCCTTACTTTTCTCCAAACAATTGGAATCTCTCTCTCTCTCTCTCTCTCTCCTGAGGTGCCTGAAGCAGTGGGATATGTGACAAAAAGATCACTGTAGTCTCCACCAGTGGAACTGTGCTCTATCAGACCCGATGCCAGCACAGCACTGCGTCTCACCCAAGGCATGTGGTAAGCACTGCCTGGCCACTGCCTATGTTTACTCAAGGTCCAGATGTTCTACAATCAGCGAGTGGTGAATCTAACTAAGCTTGTGTCCTTCCCTTTATGGCAGCTAGTTTCCCCTGGCATGAGGTGGGTCCAAAGGTGCTGTCCAGAAACCAGTGCCTGAAATTGGAAACTTTAGGAATCTACCTCCTACTCTATTCTACTGTGGCTGAGTTGGCATCTATGCCGAATGACAAATTCCTGCCCACTCTTCTTTCCTGTTTTGTCAAGCAGAGTAGTCTGGCCCCATAGCCACCACCGCTCCAGGCCTGTGGCTCGTACTGCCTGGCTACTGATGATGTTCATTCAAGGACCAATGACTCTTCAGTCAGCTTGTGGTGAATGCTGCCAGGTGTGAATCTCTCCCTTAGGGCAGTGCACTCCTCTCTGTCTCAGGGAAGGTCTAGAAATGACATCCAAGAGCCAAGCCCTGGCTTAGGGGACCCCAGGACCCTGCTTAATTCTCTACCTCAGTGTGGCCCAGCTGGTACCCAAGCTGCAAGACAAAGTCCCGTTACTTTCCCCTCTGTTTTCCTCAAGCAGAAGGAGTCTCTGTACTCCTTCTGTACCAAGTCTTCTGTATCAAGTTCAGAATATGTTGGGTTGCACCTGAAGCCAGCATAGCTCTTAGTCTCACCCAAGGCTCATGGTGAGTACTGCCTGGCTGGTACTGCTGATTATTCAGGGCCAAAGGACTCTTTAGGTAGCAAGTGATGAATCCTGCCAGGACTGGGTTCTTCCCTTTAAAACAGTGATTTCCTTTCTGGGCCAGAGTGTGTCTAGAAATGTCATCTGGGGGCTAGGGCCTGAAATGGGGTCCTTAGGACGCTACGTGTTGCCCTATCCCACTGCAGCTGAGCTTGTATCCAAGTTGCGAGACAGTGTCCTCCTTACTCTTCCCTCTACTCCCCTCAAGCAGAAGGAAAGAGTCCTTCCTAGAGCCGTGAACTGCAATGCCTGTGGTTGGAGGAGGTGTGAAACAAGCACTCTCTTGGCTGCCTAGGCTAGTGTCTCACTAGATCATTTGCATTACTCCACTGGCTTTGAACCCAGCACAACATGAGGACTTGCCTAGAAATTGCAGTTCTTGTGGCCTGGATTGCTTTTTAAGTTTATTTAGGATCCTAGAACACTTTAGCCTGTGGTGGTGAGGCTTGGTTTAACTCAGGTTCCAACTGCTAGGATAGACTATTTGCCTCTGGCTAAGGCTGGTCTAAATGCTCCCTCCATGGGTGCCAGATGAGTTCTGCCCCTTGTTGGTTTCCACTCTTACTGGGCGTCACTGAGTTCCAATGCAAAGTCCTACAATCAACTTAACTCTTCTTCCCCAAAGAACGTAGATTCTCCTTCCACGTCACTAGACTGCTGCTGGGATATGGGGCAGGGGTGGTGTAGGTGATTCCAGACTGTCTTTTCTACCCTCTTCCGTGCCTCTTTCCTTGATATGTTAAAACCAGGTACTGTGACTACTCACCTAATTTTTGATTCTTACAAAGGTACATTTTTTTGTGGCAAATTGTTCAATTTGGTGTTCTTGTGGTGGAGTGGAGTGGGGGACAGTTGCCGAAGGCTTCTATTCAGCCATCTTGTTGTGCTGTCTTCCTTGAGGAGCCAATTAAAAAAAATTGACTTAATTTAATTTAAATAGCCACATGTGACTAATTGCTACTGTTTTATACAGTGCAGGTCTAGGATATTAAAATAAATGTGACATAATATACTCAAAAGCAGTAGAAACATGAACATTTCAAGTTCATGTTTCATATTGAATAACGAATTGAAAATGTATTTTTATAGTATAGCAACTGGTAAACATTTTTTAAAAATTATGTAATTCTCCACTGCTTATGAAATAAAATTGAAAATATTTAGCTCAACATAATAGGCTTTCCAAAACTCATCTCATGTCACTTTTCTAACCTTAAGTCAAATAATCTTCTAATATAAATCCCCTGTTGCTGAAATCAAATGGGACTATTTGCCACTTCTGAAGGAATGAGGAAACAGGTCTAGAGAGGTTATATTAATTAGCGTCACGTCAAAGAGGTGGTAGATGTTCAAATATAGGCAGTGTAATTTCAGATTTCTCTTATCACTACACAAATTTTCTTATCTATAAAATAAACATAATAATGGTGCCTACTTCTTAAGGTCAATAATTAAATTAGTTAGTTATATGAAAAGCTTGACTTTTACCTGGTACAGAACAAGTGCTAACTGAAAATTAGCTATTGTTGATGCTGAATTGGCAAGGCAGCTTATAATACTTATTAATTTCAGTATAATAACTCAGATAGAAACAGGAAAAATGTTCATTTTGAAGACAAATGAACTATTTTTTGTGACATATATTGTCTTGACATAGTATTATGACATTTACAGAGATCTTAAATAAAAATGAGTTCATGGATTAGGTTTATACCACTCTGGAAAATCTCCATCATGCCAAAGCCACCTGAATTCTAAAGAAATAAAATGGTTTATCAAAGTGCCATGATACTGAAATAATGTTATTCAAAAAGTAAACTTGTACATAAACCAAAAAACAGAATAAACAAAGAACAGTCAGTCACTGAAAGGCATAGTGGACTATGAACAAAAATGATGTTCAAAAGAATCATTCCTCATACCTATTTATCATGGAAAAGACAAAATATAGAAAGGAGAAAATGAAATGTATTTGCAAGAAGCCAGACGGGTAAGGTGATTCAGCTTATATCTTTATCAGAAGTACAATAGCCTAACTATGCTCTGGCATATGCACAGTAAAGTTATTATTTTATTTCAGAATGGTATGTAGCACTGACCATAAGAAGCTGCAACATAAATATAGGCTTTTTTATGAACTATAATTTAGGAATATTATCTTTAGTTTGGATATGAAACATTATTTTTTTTCCTGCTAAAAAGAAAAGATTTAAGAAAAAAATAAAGTTGTTATTGTGAGTTTTTTTGTGCTCACACTATTTGGAGGGGAAGTTATTTATAAAACATGAAAACATAAAGAGAAATATTTAAAATCAATAGTTTCTAGTATTCACTAATTATTTTGAATGTTCCATATATGTCTTAGAAAACTGGGGCAATATTTATGGGATTGTGCTATACGAATATTTATTGTTCTAATAGTATAATACAAAATCTTAAGATGTTCAGTAAATAAGATCTAAAAAATAAATAAATGAAATCTAAAAACAACAGGCTTTGCATGTATATTATGACTTTTTTTCCACAGAGGTTTTCTTTTTCTTTACCAATCAGTATAAGGAATTTTATTTATCTCAGATTATTACAGAAAGTATTAATAAGGCTTTCAGAGCTAGACACAAAAGTCAATGAATTCATTTTAATCAAAGTTAAATAAAATGTCTTATGCTAATGTTAGTTTAATATTCTACATATTATAAAATAGTAATATTTTGTGACTCTGACTGCAGTAGATTTTTGAATAGATAACATCAGAGGAATTGTTTGACCTTTGCTTTGTTTTGCAAAATTATATTATGTAAGCGCTTGGATTAAATCAACACGATACTTTATGGATTATTAATTAGCTATCTTGAACTTTTACTTCTAATTTTTTTAGAGTAGAAACACTAGTTTATTTATTAGTATGGAATTATAAAGCAAAAAGAATGAAAAGAATTCTTCTTTGGGAGAATTTCTATTTCTATATATTATTTAAAAGCCTCAAGCTATATGACTTTTTTTATGATCTTATTTCTTTTTTTACAAAATCTTTCTTCAAGTCTTCCAGAAGCCTCTTAAAGATAAATCAAAGGATAATCTAAAGTTAGTCAGTCAGTGCTTTTGACCTTCTGACTACTGAAACTGCAAATATAAAAAATTTTTTACAATGATGCATTTAGATCAGGTAAAAAAAGGTAATGTGGTTGAATGTGTTTATTTTCCTTTGCAGTTGTGATATGGTTGAATGTTTTTCTTTATGCTCTCTTCTTTCACATCATATAGTTGAGAGGATTCAGAATTTTCAGGACTGAAGGTAGACACTACTGAGGACTGAAAACCTTCATTTCACTGAACAGAGAAAGGAGAAAATATCCAAGTTTAGTTCAGACATTTGTGACCTCACTGTAGATCCCATTTTTATGTTAAATTCAAATGTGATAAATCTAAAATCAAAGCAATATACTTTGTTCTGCTGTGGATTGACATAGGTTATGCTGGACCTGATTTGTAATAGATTTTAATATATGTCTTATATCAAGCTACTTTCTGCTAATAGTTAAGTGTCTATTGTTCTTTACCACTGCAACTAATAAACACTATTATTATAGGAAATATAGTCCTAATATAAGGCAAACTGACTTTCATGCTCATCATAAAAATTGTTTAATATGAGCCGGCTATGTCCACAATCAACCCTTCTATTCTAGGGAAAAAAAAGAAAGATGATAAATTGGTGCACAGAAGCCTTTGTGACACTAAATGACTCAAAGTAATGAGATATTATAATTCAAGGCACAATAGTAGCCTGTTTCAAATTTTGTATTATACTATATTAAATTTTTAGTTATCTGCTGTTGGTTTGGATATTATCTAAGATTCAGAGTTAGCAGTCATAAGAAAACACCCAAGCGTACAAATCTTAAAAAAAAAATTAGAACTGCAACAGTACAAGTTGATTTCCCAAGAATGCAAAGAGAATAATTTTGTACAGATGAAGCATACCTTTATGTGCTCTATTGAAAATTAGGCATAGTGTTATACATTCATGATACATCTTGTAGCTTCTCAAGTACAGAGTGGGTTAGAACCGAAGTGTAAATCATATGCTTGTTTTTGAATTGCTTTATCTAATCCTTTATACATATATTAGTCCTATTGTAAAATAGAGATGTGATTTTCCTTTCACAAGTCTAACTAAATCTTCACATTATGCAAATACACATCTGTTCAAACAACAAAGCTAAAGAAACAATCTACATTTACTACAAAACAACAAAGATTTCAAGGATATTGGAGTATAATTTTGTTCTTGCTTTATTTGTTTCAGCTGCATCGAGGTCTAATGGTGATGTACTGTTCTCCAAACAATAACAAATTTTCTTTAGAATATACTGACCATAATATAAGCAACATACTTAAAGATAGTTACTTTAAGCAAACAATCCTTCAAGGCAAACTAAGTATATTTTAAATACTGCTAACCTATGTAAAAGGAAGAGTTAATGAAAGAAAAAGAGATTGAAGTTTCACCCCTAGCCTAGTGATTTTAACAGTTCTTACTCCCATCAATAATGAGTTCAACGATTAATGCTGTTTATCAGTAGGACTATTTAAAATTAGGCCCTCAGAATATTCCACTGCAAGCTTGTTTTTGCCTTGGGTAGTGTTTAAACCCTTGCCTCCACGCCCTTCCTACTGTTATTAAAAATGTTAATTTTTAATTTGCATGTTTCATTTTTTTCACCTGAGTAATTTAGTTTAGTGGCAGGTACCTTGATTAATAAAACAATCAACATATATTTTTGTGCTTATTATGACTAAGGCACTATGTTCAAAGAAGACAAGGTAAATCATTGTATCAGAGTCCAAACTAAGAGAAAAAGGAAGATACATGGGGATTGAAATGCACCTGAAAAAGTAGTAAGAAGTGAACTTTGTAGTGAATGATCCTATTTCCTTGGAAAATGCTTGTATAATGAGGAAACATTGGGTTTTATTATCAAAAAGTAACTTCTTTATTATAGGATTACTTTTGTTCCTGGGAACAGTTAAGAAGGCAATGATATGGATCTGATCAATTGTGTTCTCTATCATTCATTCAACAAGTATTTATCAGATGCAGCACTGCACTAAACCTTAATTTTATCTTTCAAACTTTAAGACAATTTAGTCAATTTGCTATGAAATGTTGCTTAGCATACATAAATTGCGGATAAAGCTAGTCTAAAAAATGGATTCCCTGACAATGTGGCAAAAATTATTCTGCTTTTTGATTTTCCAAAATAAGTCAGAAATCTCAGTACATGCAGAATACTTCTACCAGATGGCCAAGAGAAGGTTTTAATAACAAAATTCTATTAAATATTCAACATCCAACTTTAAGAAGAACAAGAAAAACCCAGGCTTGTAAAATATTAGATGCTAATTGGGTATATTACAGAAGGGTGCTTCAACTTCACAAAATAATAAAGTGTAGAATTCACACAGACCATGCACTGAATGTGCATATTGTACCATTATCCTCCCTTTCAGTAGTAAAACTTCTATGTTAAGCAAGACACACCAGTATCTAACTTTTAATTTAGATGAAACCCAGACTAACTTCCTACGCTATGGAAGAAATATTGTTTAAGCGTTTCTGATAGTGTTAATTAACTTTAACGCTTAGTGCAAGAGAGCATGTTCTGTTTTAGTTTGATTTTGGTTTGTTTCAATTTCTTCATTCTAGTGAGCATCACATATATGTGTTACATAATTTGTCAGCTTTAAGGTAGAACAAAAAGATTGAGTCCTTTGAGAAACACCACTTAAATATATTTGCATCATTTTTGCTAATGGTATTTCCATGGACAGCAGCATCCTCTTCATTTCAAAACACAACATTTCTATTTTATACACACAGCAGTCCAATAAAAAGTATTCTAGTAGAGACATAGAAACACAAAAATTTGATGAGAATGTTGTTTCACCTGCTCATGAGTTAGAAATTACTACACCTACACCTACAGCTCTGATGCTTATGAGCCATGTGTGTCTGTGAGATTAAAACAGTCTTCTCTGATGACTAATTGCAAAAGTGACAGTAGCCAAGGTTGTCCAGTGTTTTGTTTGTTTGTTTCTTTTTTGTTTTTTGTTTTTTTTTTAATCCACTATTGGAACCACTAGGGGTCATGTCTGTCCCTTAATGTAAAGATCAACAATTGACCTTAGAGGCCAAGTAAATACAAATTTAATTTCAGTGAGACAGAAATTTCTATATTGTAATAGATTTATTTAGTCTAATTTATGTTAGATGCTTCCTGCTTCAAATGTTAGGCCAGGCATATTTCTATGCACAAAAAAAATGGGATAGATGAAAAAATAGTTTTCATCTTAACAGATTTCTTAGTAGTAGTTGCTCAGAAAAGACACACATTTTATCTAATATGGAAAGTACTTATTCAGCAGAATATTGCATTTTCTTTATTGTACCTAGACAAAATACGTGTATATTTTATAAGTACGGAAGACTAACTCTATTTGTTTTTCACTTTAGAGTGTTTGATTTGGAAAGAATAAGAACTATAAGTCATTTAACATTGTTTTAATTTTTTTGGAAATAAAACTAGCAAGATGAAGGTTGGTGCACATCCAAAATACAACAGTAGCAACCAAAAACAAAAGAACAACATTTAATCAAAATTTTACCAACCATTTGTTTGATATTTGTTGTTTCCTAATAATTTATACTGAGTACATTTTTCCTAATAATTCTTATCGAAATTATTTTATCATATTGTTTATTTCCTCTTTTTATAGGTGTGAATATTTTTAAGTAGTGTTCCTAATTCTTTGTACTTCAGATGCTCACAGATCCTTGGACCAAAAACAAAGAGGCCTCAAAAATAATGGCCTGGGGATGTGAGGCTGAAAGGGGGTAGAGTAAGAGAAATAGTGGGCTAAACTGCAGAAGTTGCTTTTTATATTAATCAATATATATATTGACTTGTACTTACAATTTGGGACTCTTTGACCTGTTTGCTATGAAATGTTTGTACATAATCTCTGATTGTCACTTTTGTACAAATGACTTGTAAAATCTTTGGAGTAAGTGATATAATTTATGGTGGCTGTTCAACCTCATTCCAGATTCTATGTTCTTTCATTTTACCTCAAGCTAACTGGCCAATATAAGTTAGAATTCATAATTTTGGCCTTATTAGTACCACCTTCCTAATATGTTAGACCCGTGATACTCAACTGTGGTCCAAAATTTGTAGTTATCAGCATCACCTCGGAGCTTGTTAGACATGCAAATTTTTGTACCCCACTCCAGATTTGCTGAATTAGAAACTTTATTTTAACAAGTTTGGCAGGTTATTTGTAAGCACATTAGAGTTTGACAAATGCTTTTTTTTTCCCATTTGCAACCATGATCATAATACTTTATTCAAGAGAGTGCTGTTTTATACAACTTGACTGGAAAAATCCATCCCTACTTGTTAAAAGTTTGTAAATATAATGCTGAGAACTCCTTTTCATGACCTTTTTAATTTACATATCTTTTACTTGGTGTTTAAAATAAAGTTGTGAAAGTATTATATATAATTCTAATATGATATTTCCATTTTAAAATTAGTTTAAAACACATCTCCACTATTTTGATTTCTATTATGTATTTTGTTTTTTATTATTAAAGCTATAAAGTAGAGAAAATGCACACTTCATTGCTTATCGAAGGTTATTTTATGTCCAGCATCTCATGAGGTCTAAGGGCACACTTAATGATTATATAGAATGAATAGTACGGAACTTCAACTACAATTTGCCTTGAGGGTTATTTTCATCTGTAAATCTATCTGTAATACTAATGGCAGTAGAATTATTTGTCTGTGCCATAAAATCAACCTAACAAACTCACAGACATATTAATTAATGCCATCTATATTAATGCTCATGGACTCCCCAGAAATTACACTTTTTTGGGAAAAACGTAAAAGGTCAAACTCCATTGTAATCACCACTGTATTTCAACTTTCGTTTTTGCTTCCCCAAACTTGATCTATTATTAACTTGCTAATCACCAGCTGTTACTTTTTTGTTACTTACAGTCTATTTCTAATTAAATAACACTATTAGTCTTTTTGTCAACCTAGAAAACTTTCTCCACTTCATATTTCTGACTATAAAATGGCATTTTAACTTTCCTATTTAAGGTGTTTTAAAGTATATCTCTTTATATAATTTTCTTAGTGGTTGCTCTAGGTATTACCACATATATACATGCTTTATCACAGTCTACTGGATTTGATGTCTTAACATTTCAAGTAAAGCGAAGAAACTTTACTTCCACTTAGATCTTTATAACTTCACTTTTTAAATATAATTGTCTTAAGTATTTCCTCTGTATACGTTGAGTACCACATAAGATGGTATGATCATTTTTGATTCAATCATGAAGAATAATAAAAGAGATTAATCAGGTGAAGTATAATCTCTTATGTTTACCTGTAGTTTTTACCCAGTCCATTGTTCATTCTTTTCTGAAAGATCAAATCTTCATCTATTATCATTATTTTTCTATTTAAAATTCTTTTAATCATTCTTCAAGGGTAGGTCTGATAGCAACAAATTGTTAGTTTTTCTTCAATTGAGGATGTCTTTATTTTCTCTTAATTCTTTAAGGGTACTTTTCACAGGATATATCGTTCACTGTTGACAGTTTTTTATTTCAGTGCTAAAAAAATTTGTTCTACTTCCTTGTTAACTATGATTTCAGATTTAAAAATTCCTTGTTATTCAAATTGTTTTCCCATTTAGGTATGCATTATTTCTCTCTGGATGCTTTCAAATATTTATTATTATTTTATTTTTAAAATTATTGTTAAAAATTAGATGAAATTAATGGAACATAAAATTAACTATTTTAAAGTGAACAATTCAGTGGCACTTAATACATTCATAATGTTGTGAAACTACCACCTCCATTTAATTCCAAAATATTTTCATCACATTAAAAAGAAACTTCATGCCCATAAGCAGCTACTCCCCGTTTTTTTCCTTCACCATAGCCCTTGGCAAACATAAATCTGCTTTGTGTTTGTATGGATTTACCTATTCTTGATATTTCATGTAAATAGAATGATAATATATGTGAGCTATTCTGTCTTATTTTATACATTGTTGGGAGACAATCTTCTATGCTGACAGGATTGTTATTTCCACAACTGCATACACCTATAACCTGGCTATGATTCCATGATTATTGAAATAAGACACACTTGACAGAATTTAGTCAAGGACAGTGCATTTCATCTCCAGGTGCTTAACTAGTTGACATTCCAAACCCATTGAATCCTCCTATTTGATCTCCTCCCTAAACTACAGCATTCCAAATTCCATCTACTGTATCATCTTGGCCTTCTGCTGGTGTGAATGAAAATACTCTGTAACAGCAAAATAATACTCCAGTAGATAAATGTAAAACAAAAATGCTACTGGCTAGAAGAAATATAATTTTGTATTCTCATTCAAATTAACAAAAGCTACTCTGCTTTTCTTGTTTTATTCACGCTACATGAAACAGACTAGTGTGTTCTTAGTAGTACTTTTAGCATTTGACTTCCCAGTCATGATTAAAAGTGGTAATACTTGGGTACTTGTGCCCTTCTGTAAGCATTGCAGTTCACGTCAAATTCTGCATAGGTTTTTATATTATGCAAGTGGATATTTATGCCATGATTCTACATCAGTTTCTAGAAAAATCACTTTGAATATTTAATATGCAAATTATTGACAGAGAAGTTGTTATATAAAATTTATATTTTGTAAATTAAGAAAATGTACAATTTGGTCTAATAATGTTAAGAAAAAGACAATTTATTTCAATAATGATTATATATAAAATATACCCATTCTTTTCACCTTTATTAACAAACTAGAATATAAAGAAAAGAAATATTTAAAATTAATTAAAAAGTTCATTAGCATCATCCCAATTTTTTTGCCAGTCACTTTTATGTTATAAAATCTGAATTTTAATTAAAGTAGTATTAGAGAATGCTCCAGGTTATGAAAATTGAAACAAATGGATTTTGTTATAAGAATAAGACAAATGCCCATTAAAGAAGATATGATGCACCCTAATGGCAAATGTCAATTTCCAGGGTCTTTTAAGTGACCATAAAATCAGTACCCATTTGACTTGAATTACTTGTAACTTTTTTGTTTTTGTTTTTGAGGCAGTGTCTCACTCTGTTGCCCAGGCTGGAGTGCAGTGGCATGATCTCGGCTCACTGCAACCTCCTTCTCCCAGGCTGAAGCATCCTCCCACCTCAGCCTCTCACGTAGCTGGGACTACAGACATGAGCCACCATGCCCGGCCAATTATTGTGTTTTTTGTAGAGACGGGGTTTCACCATGTTGCCCAGGCTGGTCATGAACTCCTGAGCTCAAGTTATTCACCTGCCTCGGCCTCCCAAAGTGCTGGGATTACAGGCGTGAGCCACCACACCCAGCCTACTTGTAAGTTCTATATGCATAGTACAGTC
Source organism: Homo sapiens (assembly GCF_000001405.40). Classification (NCBI taxonomy): domain Eukaryota; kingdom Metazoa; phylum Chordata; class Mammalia; order Primates; family Hominidae; genus Homo; species Homo sapiens. Next base: position 125,747,449 of record NC_000023.11, read on the forward strand.
AGAGTTTAATATTACAGTCAGTACTGTGAGGGATTGTGTGACTCTAAAGTGCCTTGTGAATCACGTTTAATTCATATTTGGTTTAGTATTAATCTTAAGCTTTCTAATCTTATTGATTATATACTTTTCTGGGAAAATAGTAGAATTGTGTAGGTGCCCAGAATCTCCTCTCTGAGTCTCATTTAAAAAACTGATGTGAAAAAATTTTATGTATTCTCACTGGGTTGAAAAAATTAGAAACTTATTTTTGATTCTGCCAAAAATTGATATAATCTTTTCTTCTGAAACATTGGATTAACTTTTTCCCCTCTGGATACTGTAGTCATTTCTTACAACTCCTGAAGTAATTCAGGTTTATACCCTGGACTACTTTATTGTCTATGATAATAGCACTTCAGTGACCAACAAAAAGCTATACTGTGAAGCTTGCATTGCCTCAGAATTTTTCAGACAGTATGGATAAACCCCTAATTACCACTCCTTTTTTACATAGAAAATGAGATTCTACTTATAAAGTATGTTTCCAATGGACCATATCCAAATGCACCTTTAAATTGCTTAGTGAATTTGAATACAGGCTCACGCCTACAGGAAATAACTAGCATTTGTTGAATTATTGCTATGCACCAATCTATATATGCTACAGGAAACCTGCCTTGATAGGAATAATTAGCGTGCTTGAAATTAGAGAAAATTGAATCAGTGATGCAAAGGATAAACTTTATAAGCAATAAAAGAATACATAGAAAATGAACAAAGGAGAAAAATGAAGAATAGATAAAGCATATAGAAGGTTGGTTATAGAGGTCCAACTGCCAGTTAATAGGTATTACTGGAGAAGAGAGAAAAATAGATAAAACCAAATAATTAGAACATAAAACTGTTATTGCCTATTTTCATACATAAGGTAAACAAAATTAATGAACAATAATCTATATTTTTAAGGTGTGTTTCCAGCATAATGTTGAAGAATAGTTCAGTAATGGACACAAAGTGTAGTAGAAACAAAGGAGAAACTAAGTGTGTGGAAAAGGGTAGATAGTAGGAAGGTAGTAGCATGGTTACAGTGGACTATGTGGACAGCGATTTTAAGGATGAAATCAGAGACCAAGTGTGTAGATGGAGATAAAGAATGTATATTGAGTTCAGCGTGGCTAAATATGGAGTCTAAGTGTGCATATAAGGAAGCACACAGCATGGAAAAATTACTATTTTAGGAATAAGGGAGTCCCAGATTTAAAATAATAAATAGCATACTTCACCTTCATTGGCTACCAATGAAACCTTAGAAGTTTACTTGACTTCTCTAGACTTCAGCCTAGACCTCTGATTATATATCTATAAAATGTAGAAAATAATGGGGTAGCAGCAATTTTGAAGATCAAAGTCAGCATTACAGGTGTGAGCACCTGGTTCTGCATGCAGCAGAGAGGACTTTTACCCAGGATCATGTTTGTCTGTTTTAACTTGTCTGGTGATTCCTTAAAGAATTGATGCAAGGCATCTGCCTTTGTTTCACCTAACTTGAAACTCTCTTTAGGCAGAAAAGTAGCTAAGAAGAGGACATTCCCTGAATGTGTTGAAAAGCACATGAACAATCAGCTGCCACTTTCGGCAAAAGACTACAGTAGTAGCAAATAACAGATATAATGAAAACCTAGTAGAAATACTTGGGGCAATAGTTGCTTTGAAGAATAAGGGCTTTGAAAAGTTCTTATGTGTAAGGGAACCTAGAAAGCCAATACAATGCCCAGGGAAGGAAGAATTGTCAGAGAAGAGCTGGGATGACTCTAAGCTTTCATTAATGGCTGATTTAGGCTCATCGCAAGCAAGAAGTGAAGGCTAATGAAGAGTTGTTTAAAAATATGGCTAAGCCTTGAAGGAGTGCTAAAAAAAAAAGAGGCATTCTGTGAAGGTCAGAAATTATTTCTTGTTTTTTGCTCCTCCTTTTTGTCTTTTTCCTTTTCTTCCTCCTTCCCTTTCTCCTTCTCTTCCTCGTTCTCCTCCTCCTTCTCCTTTATCTCTTTATTTAAGTAAATCTATTTTAAACCACTACCCAACCACAAGCTGAAGGGAAAAAGACTTCAAATATCAAACACAATAAGAATGCAGTATTTAAAATATAGTTTTAAAAGTTATTAAAGAAAGAACTACAAGTGACACCGAGCGACAACAAACACTAAGGAGGGGGAAGTTTCAAATTTCCAGAGGTAACAAATTATTCAAGTCTCTAGTTCCCAATAAAGTTATGAGATATGCAAAGAAACAAGATATTATACATTCTTTCGTAAACAACATTAAGGTTTGCTACAGTAGACCTGCTGTACCAGAAATACTAAGGGGAGTCTTTCCAGCTGAAATGAAAGGACACTAGACAGTAACTCAAAGCCATATGAAGAAATAAAGAATACTGGTAAACATAAAACAAGGATTATTGTACTTTTTGCTTGTAGTTCTTCCTTATTTCTTATGTGATTTGAAAAATAAATTCGTACAACTATAAATATACATAGATGCTAATGGTAATGTACAAAGATGTAATTTCTGACAATAACAATTTTAAGGTACAAGATACGTAGGAATATAATTTTGTGTACTATTAAAGCTAAGTTGGTATTAATTTAATAATTTGTTATAAGTTTAAGATGTTAATTATAATCTTAATGTATCAACTAGGAAAACAGCTAAAAATATAGACAAAATGAGAAGAGATTTAAAACATTACACTAAAACAATCAATTAAACACAAAAGGAGAGAAATGGAAAACTTGAGGAACAAAAGTGATGTGTGATGTAGAGAAAATGAGTAACAAAATGGCAAAATGGCAGAAGAATGTCTTTCTTTATCAGTAATTACTTTAAATATAACTGGATTAAATAAAAAATGAAATGTATTAATTAGCAGACTGAAATAAATAAACTTTAGATCCAAAGACACAAATAGCTTGAAAATGAAAGGATAGAAGAAGATATTCTATGCGCATAGTGACCAAAAAGGAGCTGGGGTATTTATACTAATACAAGACACAATTGACTTTAAGTGAAAGAAAAAGGTTATGAGGGACAAAAATGTACATTGCATATCAAGGGTCACGTCACCAATAATGTAAATATTTGTAAGCATATACACACCAAGCAACAGAGTCCCCAAATATATGAAACAAATATTGATAGAATTGACAGGAGAAAATAAAGGACTTGAACAACACTATAAATCAAGTAGACCTAATAGACATATGGAGAACACACTAACACAAATGAGCAGAATACACATTCTTCTTAAGTGCCTATGGAACATTCTGAAGAATAGACCATATGTTACGTCAAAAAACAAGTCTTAATAAATTTTAAGAGATTAAAATCATACCAATTATTTTCTTTAGCCACAAAGAAATCAGTCTATTAATCAATAACAAAAAAAAGGTAAAATCACAAAAAATGAAAATTAAACAATACATTCTTAAACAACCAAAGGATCAAAGAAGTGATCACATAGGAAATTTAAAAATACATAGAGAAAAAAAGAAAAGCACAACATACCAAAACTTATAGGAAATAACAAAAGCAGTTCTCAGAAAGAAATGTATTGTTACGAACATCCACATTAAAAGAGAAAAAAATCCGAATTAATAACTCTATACCTGAGGCACTAGAAAAATAAGAGTAGACTAAATCCAAGACTAACAGCAGGAAGGAAGTAACAATTAGCATGAAGATCAACAAAATAAAGAAATAATAAACAATAGAGTTTTATTTGATTAAATAAAAGGTGGTACTTTGAAAATATTAACCAAACTGACAAAAATTTAGCTAAAAGTAATGCGTTAAAAAAGAGAAGACATAAATAACTAGAATAAAGAAAAAAAGTGGGGCATTACTACTAACCTTATTGAAGTAACCTTATTGAAATAAAAACTGCAACTGTACACCAACAATTTAGATAAACAAATATGAAAATTAACAGCAAAAATAGAAGAGAAGGGAATACTTCATAACACATTCAATGAAGTAAACATTACACCAATACTCACAGCATGCAAAGACGTCACAAGAAAATAATTATATAGAACAAAATTCTTTATGAATATTGATGCAAAAAATTCCTCAAGAAATACTAGCAAAGCAAATCTGGAAGCATAATTGAATTATAAAATTTAGGATTCTATGTCATGTCCAGGTTGGATTTATCCGAGGAATGCAAGTGTGTTTCAACATAAGAAAATCAATTAATGGAATTTTCCACATTAACAGAATGAAGTAAAGAAAGCACATGATCATGTCAATTGATGCAAAAAGCATATTTAAAAAATGCAACATTTTATAAAAACACTCAACAAACTAGAAATAGAATAAAAGTTTCTCAAAGTGATGAAGTACATACTTTACAAACCCAGCACTAACATAAGACTTAATGGTGAAAGGCTGAAAACTTTCACCCTTGTATCTTGAAGAAGATAAGGATGGCAATTCTTACCACTTCTCTTCAACAGGTTATGAGAAGTTATAGCCAAAGCATTCAAACAAGAAAAAAAAGGTTAAAATCATTCAAATAGAAAAGGAAGAGTTAAGACTATCTCTATTCACCTCTATTCACAGATGACATGATCACTTATAGAAAGAATCTTGAAACACACACACACACACACACACACTATTAGCACCAATAAATTCCACAAAACTGCGGTGAACAAAATCAACACACAAAATGCAGTGGTAATTCTATAAACTAGCAATGAGAAATCCAAAAATAAAATTTAAAAGTCCATTTAGTATAGTATCAAAAATATAAAATACTCAATAAGAATAAATGTAACCAAGGAAGTGCAAGACTTATACATTTCAGACTACAAAACCCTGCTGAAATAAATTAAAGAATACCTAAATAAAAAAGAAGGCATCCCGTGTTTATGGAACGACAGACAATATCATAAAGATGGCATTACTCTCCAAAGCCACATATAGATTCAATGCTAACTTCTTCAAAATCACAAATGCCTTCTGACAAAAATAGAAAAGTTCATACTGAAGTTCACATAGATTTGCAAGGGATACTGACTAGCTGTATTAGTCCATTCTCATGCTGCTACAAGGACATACCGAAGACTACGTAATTTTTTATATAAAGAAAAGAGGTTTAATAGACACACAGTTCTGCGTGGCTGGGGAGACATCAGGAAACTTACAATCATGGTGTAAGGCGGCAGGCAAGAGAATTGAGTGCCATCCAGCGAAATGCCAGACACTTATAAAACTATCAGATCTTGTGAGAACTCACTCGCTATCATGAGAACAGCATGGGGGAAAACCGCCCTCATGATTTAATTACCTCCAACTGGGTCCCTCGATGCTCTGTGGGTATTATAGAAACTACAATACAAGATGAGATTTGGGTGGGGACACAGCTAAGCCATATTACTAGCCAACACAATTTTGAAAAAGAATAATGAACTTGGAGGACTCGCACTTCTGATTTTAAAGCTTATAAGCAAGATTCAATATTCAAAACAGTGCGGTTTTGGCATAAGTAAACACATATACACCCAGGGAATAGAATGGACAGTCAAGAAATAAACCTATGTGTCTAAGGCAAATTTATTTTAGAATAAGCCACCAAGATTGTGTCATGGGGAAAGGACATTATCTTCAATAAATAGTGCTAGGAGAACTGTATATCCAAATGTAAAATAATGAATCTGGATTCCTATCTCACAACATGTACAATATTAAAGTAAATCAAATAACTAAATGTAAGTGCTAAACCTCTAATGCTCTTAGAAGAAAATCTAGCACTAAATCTTCATAACCTTTTATTTGGTATTAATTCTCAGTATATGATACCAAAAACATAAGCAACAAAATAAAAAATAGAGAAATTAGACTTCATCAAAATAAAGAACTTTTGTGCATCAAGTGACACTATTAGAGAAATGAAAAGACAAATATTTTCTCCCATTCTGTAGGTTGTCTCTTCACTTTGTTGATTGTTTTCTTTGGTGTGCAGAAGCATTTTTAGCTTGATGTGATACCATTGGTCAATTTTGCTTCGATTGGCTGTACTCTGAGGTCTTACTCAATAAATCTTTGCACAGACCAGTGTTCTGGAGAGTTTCCTCAATGTTTTCTTCTAGTAGTTTCACAGTTTTAGGTCTTAAATTGGAGTCTTTAACCCATTTTCATTAGACTTTTATGTATGGTGAGAGATAGGCGTCTAGTTTCATTCTTCTGCTTATAGATATCCAGTTTTTCCACACCATGTATTGAAAAGACTGTTCCTTTTTCAATGTATGCTCGTGGTGTTTTTGTCAAAAAATGAATGGAATGTAATTGCATAAGCTTATTTCTGGGCTCTTTATGCTGTTCCATTGGTCTATGTGTCTGTTTTTATGCAAGTACCATGCAGTTTTGTTTTGCAAACTATTAAACTGACAAGGGATTAATGACCAGAGTATATAAGGAACTCAGATAGTAAAATTAAAAAAATCTGACTAAAAATGGACTAAAGATATGAAAAGACTTTTAAAAAAATAACTAGAAATGGAATGTTGGAATGTTCTCAGCACAAAGAAGTGATAATTATTTGAGGTGCTGGATATCCTAACTACCCAGGTTTGATAATTATGAATTGCATGCTTGTTTCAAAATCTCCCATGTACCCCATAAGTATGTACAACTGTTATGTATCTCTAAACATTAAAAATGAAAAAGTGAGCAAGACAATTTAATGGGAGAAAATAATTTCAAATCTTATATAGGATAAGTTTCTGGTGTCCAGAATATATAAAAGACTATTAAAACTCAACAATAAAAAGAGAAATAACCCAATTAAAAATAAGTAAAGTATGTGAATAAACATGTGTCTAAAGAAGATACACAAATGAACAACAAATACATGAAAAAATGTTCAACATCATCATTCATTCAGTTAATGCACGTCAAAACTACTTTGAGATTCAACTTCATACCTACTAGGATGCTGTAATCAAAAATATAGAAAATAATCATATGCTCTGGATGTGAAGAAGTTATAATTATTGGTGGGAATACAAAATGATTTAGCTAAAACTGACAACAATTGAGCTCTTCTTCAAAAAGTTAAACAGAATTACCATATGCCCAAGCATATGGTATACTCTTAAGTACATACCACATTCCTCCAAACTGAAAACAAGTACTCAAACAGATAAATGCCCACATGTGTCCTTAGCAGCACTATTCACAATAGCTACAAGGTGGAAACAGCTCAAATGTCCATCAATGAATGAATGGATATACAAATTTTAGCATATAGATTCAATAGAATACTATTCAGCCATGAAAACTAATGCAGTATTGATACATGTGAGGACATTGGTTTATCTTGTAAACTCTAGGCGAAGTGAAAGATTTCAGACAAAACAGGTTACATATTGTATGCTTTCATTTTTGTGAACTATCTAGAATAAGCACATTCATAATGACAGAGGGCGGATTAATGGTAGTCAAGGGTTTAAGGAGGAGAGAATTGGGAGTGACTGCTAATTGGAGTCTCTTTTGTGGGTAAAATATTATTTGGAAACTAGATAGAAGGGATCATTGGACAAAGTCGTGAATGTGCTAAATGCCACTGAGTTTATACTTTAAAATGGTCGATTTTATATTATGTAAATTTCACCTCAATAAAAATATGAGGATAACAATACTTATACTGAGTTGTGGTGTGAAAAAGTACGTAAATGATATAGCGTATACACATACTTAAATAAATACATAAATATAAGGTATTGATGATGAACATAAATATGATTTAAAGAGAAAATGAATGATTTGTAGGTTAAACTATACTTACACTTGGGACATTTCAGGACATCTACAAGAGTTGTGAAAAAGTAGAAGCAAAATATCCCTCGAAATTACAGCTTACAAGAATAAAAATAAGTAAAATTAAGTTATCTGGCTGATGTAAATGACAGAGATTCCAGTTCCTTCCTAAGCTTCTGCAGGAGTAGATTCTCAAATTCCTGGCACCCAAGATCCTTGGGCAGTAATGGGAGTTGATAAATTAACTGGTAATCCCAGAGATGTTGTCAAAGATGCTGCTATTAGAAAACCTACGGAGTTACTTGGCATTTTTGTATTTGGCTGAATATAGTTATGTTGATTTTAAAACATTGTTGGCTGGGAGTGATGGTTTTTGATATAATGCCTAACTGGCCCCCTTTGACCCTTGGAGAATAGCAGAATATCTTGAACATATCTAGATGCCCATTCCAAAATTCCTCGTTTGGACAAGGACTAAAAAGCGTCAAAACACTCTCTAGTAGAATGTTTACTTGTGAAGGAAAAATGAAGCCTCTAATAAGAAATTATGGAAGAAAAATAACTTATAATAAAGGAATAAAAATATAGTTAGCCTCTGGATTTAGTACTATAACTATAAATTCCAAGAGACCATCATAATGCCAGCAGTTTCTGCAGGAAAAGTATTAAATGGCCCATGTGGTCATTCACATGTGACTGAAAATAAAGGAAGGAAAGGAGAATGGAAATGGGGTATTTAGCGAGTAATTAGTATACATTGGGTAATGTGGTAGGCACCTTACATGTAACTCACAGTATCTTCCCAATAATACTGTAAGTTAGATCTTATCTCTACTTTGAAAGTGAAGAAACAAAAACTTGGATAATTTAAAAAAAGCATTCTCAAGGTTACCAGCTTATAACTAATTCTAAAATCAAACCTTCTTTCAGAGACTACTAACTAAATCGCCAAGGTCTGAGAAAATGCCCCACCACTTCCTGAAGATTAAAAAAAAAATAAGAATATAAAAATGTGCACTAGGTCACCAAGAGGCGAACCAAAATAAAATGTCAAAAGACGAAAGTATTGAACATTGAAATACACTGAAGATTACTAAACCACTGTACAAAAATACTCAAGTTCATGGAGCATATGTTCAAACTGGAATATCTAAATAAATAATGTGGTAACAAATAAAGTGGAAGGAAGAAAAAAAAGGAGAGGAATAGAGATTTTATTTTCCCTTTTTAATTATGGGGGTTTTCAACCAACTATTTGATAAAGATAAGAAAGAGGGTTGGGGTAGGAAGGGTCTGGAAAATGTTACAAATATTTTCTTTACCACAAGTGGGAAACAAATGTTATTCAATTTTGAAACTATATATATATGAAGGCTTAACAGTGTTTTTAAAAACTCAAGGTGACAACTCATAGAATTGTCATCGAAATGTCTACCTTGAATGCCATAGAGAGAGATAGAAACAAATAAAATGTAGGCTAACAAGAACTATCAAACTCAAAAGATAGCAAGGGCACGGAAAAAACAGAAAGCAAACAAGTGAATACAGATAATGGAAACCTAAAGAGGAATGCTTGATTTGAATTCAAAGATCTAATTCAGGTTTCTCAACTTTCACTGTTAGTACAAAATTTTGCACTAATGTCAGTCAAGAGCAAAATAAGGGAGAAGACTGAACTTCCTTAAAGTGGTGATTATTGCATCTCTCTCTCTTTTCTTGCCCTACAATTTTATTTGCAAGGAAAACATAAAGGAGACATGAAGTCCGAATGGATGAGGTCACACAAAAAGACATTTCCTGAAGTTTAACAAATTCCAAAGTGGACACAGTCTATGAAGTTGCTTTAGCTTGCGGCTATTTTCGTTGAATTTATTTAACTATATATATATATGATCTTATGAAGATATATATATATGATCTTATGAAGATATATATATATGATCTTATGAAGTTTTTATGCTATTTTGCTTAATTTTATAATAAACATCTGTGAGCTCATCAATTTCAAGAATAAAATATCACCAACTGCTTCTACATCTATGTTCCCTACCCTATCCTTCTGCTTTCTTTTCCATACTCAGTCACAGATAATCACCATTTCGAATTTTGAATTCATCTTTTAATTATTGTTTCTAAAATATATTTATCACATATGAAAGATTGACCTAAAATATATTACATAACTTAGCTTTCTTGAGAGCTATATAGCTCTCAAGTTATATAGCATTATCTAATTAGTTTGAACATTCACAACCCAATGGCCCATCAATTTCATTACTATTTAAACCATAAAATGTTTATGTATTACAAAAAGATTTATAGCAACATTGTTTCCAATAGCACAAAACTTGAAGAAACTGAAATGATTGTCAGCAGAAGAATGGATAAAAAAATATAGCATACTATAGCTATATAATGTAACATTATACACTAGTGATAAAATACAAACTACAATTACTGGCAACATGGATAAATTTTAGAAATACAGTATACTGGGTGAAAAAACCAAGTTCCCTTAAATTTTGTTCACTTATTGGATATGGTTATGACAGTTGAATTGATGGCCAGAATCGTGGTTAGTCATCTTCTGATTTGGGCTGTTTCTCCTCACATATGGGTCCTGTCTTCTCCTTCTGTAACAGACACTATTGATTGCTACTCAAAATTTGCACTCATACTCTTTTTTTACTGGCAGTGTCTCATATTGAGAAGAGTTAGCTAGCTTGCCTTAAATAGACAGCAAAGGAAGGGTCCCTGGAGAGCCACCGACCCATGGGTCAGTGCCTCATTCCCACACAACACAAAAAGCAGCATGGGGTAATAAAATCCAGCCCACTGAGATAAAAACTTGCACAAACCTCTGGCTCACTCAGATAAGGGAACAACACCTGACATAGAAATGCCTTTTTCCTTTGTATAATCAGCAGGCTCCCAGGAAAACGTTTCTTCTCCTTTTGGGGCATGAACCCGGTGGGTTCGAGTGGGTTCCTGTGGACACTTTCATTTCTTTTTTAGACTGTTAGCCCGGCCTCTATGAATCATCACTTCAGCCCCTGATTGGTCCCAGGCCAAGATCCCTGGCCAAGCTTTCATTTCGGCTTCTGATAGGTTCCAGGCCAAGCTGAGTAGCCCCTATGAATCATCACTTCAGCTCCTGATTGGTCCTGGGACAAGCTGAATCATGCTTTCTCCCAGACAGCCGACAGACTAAGCACATTCATTCCCCTTCCCCAGTCCATAAAAACCCCCAGACCCCAGCCTTATAGTGGGCAACCCATTAAGGCCCCATCTTCACTGGCAGAGAGCTTTCTTCTTTTGCTTATTAAACTTTTGCTTCAACCTCACCCTTTCGTATGAACTTTTTAATTCTCTTTGATGTGAGACAAAGAATTCTGGGTACTATCTCAGAGAATGAGAGACTGCTACATTTTGGTGCATTGGCCGAGACTACAAAAATTAACCTTCATCCACAGGGCCATGTATTTTCACTAAGCCAATTATAGTTAATTCAGTTCCATTACCAAAGATTCATTTGGGAATTAAGCATATCATACAATTCTGGCCAGTACTGTGTGAAGGGAAGTATACTGAGAATATGTGCAATTGGGAATTCTTGGGGAAAGAATCTGAAAGTGATCCAAGGGATAAAATAGCTACTCTGCTCAAGCCTTATGTTTTGATAAAATCCTGAAAGTATGAAAAGAGCTAGCCAAGGGACAAAGCCAATGCACTATAGATGACAGAAAAAGATGTAAAATAACTTGAATCAATGACGTAATCGAATTATGTCCTTTCCCCAATATACATTTTGGCACCATTGTTGAAAATGAGTTTACTGCATATATATGGATTTCTTCTGGGTTTGCTGTTCTGTTCCATTGTCAATGTTGAAGGTTGTATGCCAGTTTTATGCTGTTTTGGTTACTATAGCTCTGTAGCATAATTTGAAGTTGGGTAATGTGGTTCCTCCATTTTTGTTCTTTTTGCTCAGGACATCTTTGGCTATTCTGTTTTGTGTGTGTGTGTGTGTATGCGTGCGTGCGCGTGTGTGTGTGTCTCCATATAAATTTTAGGATTGCTTTTCTATTTATGTGAAGAGTGTCATTAATATTTCGACAAAATTGCATTAAATCTGTAGATTACTTTGGGTCAGATGGACATTTTAATACTATTGATTTCTGCAATCAATGAACTTGGAATTTTTTTCATTTTTTGGTTTCCTTTATATTTTTATTAATGAGTAAGTAATAGCTTTCATTGTTAAAGTCTTTTATGTCTTTGATTAATTCCTAAATATATGTATAATTTTGTTGCTCTGGTAAATAGGATTGATTTTATTTTATTTTTTCAGATTGTTCACTGTTGGCATATAGAAATGCTTCTGCTTTTTGTGTGTTAATTTTGTATCTTCCAACTTCATTGAATTTGTTTTTCAGTTCTCAGTTTTCTACTGGAGTCTTTAGGTTTTTCAAAATATGATATCATATCATCTGCAAACAAGGATAATTTGACTTCTTCCATTCCAATTTTGGCTGCCCTTTATTTCTTTCTCTTGTCTGATTGCTGTAGTGAGGACTTCCAGTACTGTATTGAAATACAGTGATAAAAGTGGGTATCTTTGTTTTGTTCTAGGTCTTAGATAAAATGTTTTCAGTTTTTGTCCATTTAGTCTGATACTCGCTGTGGATCTATAATATATGACTTTTGTTGTGTTCAGGTAAGTTCCTTCTATAACAAGTTTTTAAGGTATTTAATCATTAAGGGATGTTGAATTTTTTTTTTTTTTTTTTTTTTTTTTTTTGAGACGGAGTCTAGCTCTGTCACCCAGGCTGGAGTGCAGTGGCGCGATCTCGGCTCACTGCAATCTCCTCCTCCCAGGTTCACGCCATTCTCCTGCCTCAGCCTCCCCAGCAGCTGGGACTACAGGCACACGCTGCCACGCCTGGCTAATTTTTGTATTTTTAGTAAAGACGAGGTTTCACCGTGTTAGCCAGGATGGTCTCCATCTCCTGACCTTGTGATCCGCCCGCCTCGGCCTCCCAAAGTGCTGGGATTACAGGCGTGAGCCACCGTGCCCGGCCGGGATGTTGAATCTTATCTAAGGCTTTTTCGGTATCAATTGAAATGATCTTATGATCTTTCTCCTTCATTGTGTTGATATTATGTATCACATTGTTTGTTTTGTGTATTTTGAAACACATTTGCACGATGAATGACTTTTTAAAATGTGTTGTTGAATTTGGTTTGCTAGTATTTTGTTGAGAATTGATGAAGTTCATAAGGGATATTGACTGGTAGGTATTTTTTTCTTTTTGATGTGTCTTTTTCCGGTTTTGGTATCAGGGTAATACTTGCTTTATAGAATAAGTTTGGAAGTATTCCCTCCTCTATTGTTTGAAATACTTTGAGTAGGATTGGTGTTAATTCTTCTTAATGTTTGGTATAACTCAGCGGTGAAAACATCAGGTCCTGGGCTTTTCTTTACTTGGAAGCATTTTATTGTGGCTTTGATCGCATTACTTGTTATTGATCTGTTCATGTTTTGGATTTCTTAATGGTTCAATCGTGGTAGGTTGTATGGGTATAGGAATTTATCCATTTCTTTTTGGTTTTACCATTTATTGGCATATAGCTGTTCATAGTAGCCACTAATGATTCTTTGAATTTCTGTGGTATCATTTGTAATGTCTCCTTTTTTATCTCTAATTTTATTTATATGGGTCTTGTCTTTTTTTAATCTTTTACAAAAATCAACTTTTTGGTTTTCTTGATCTTTTGTATTGTTTCTCTGTTACAATTTTATTTATTTCTGCTATGATGTTTATTGTTTCTTCTGCTAATTTAGGATTTGGTTTGCTCTTGCTTTTCTCATACTTTATGATGCATTGATAATTTTTTATTTGAAGTTTATCTTTTTTTTGATGTAAGCATTTATATCTATAAGCTTTCCTATTAGTAATGTTTTTGTTGTATCCCATAGGTTTTGGTATGTTGTGTTTTCATTATTATTTCTTTCTAAAAAGTTTCAATTTTCTTCTTAACTTGTTCATTGGCCCACTGGTCATTCAGGAGCATATTGTTTAATTTCCATGTTTTTGCGTAGTTTCCAAAATTCCTTATGTTTTTGATTTCTAGTTTTATTCCACTGTGGTCAGAGAAGATACTTGATATAATTTTAATTTTTTGAATTTTTAACATGTTTTTTGCTCTAACATATGGTCTATCTTTGAGAATGATCCATGTGCTGTGAAGAATAGTTAATTTTCAGTTGTTGGATGAAATGTTCTAAAAATAGTTATTAAAAACCATAAAAACCCTAGAAGAAAACCTAGGCAATACCATTCAGGATATAGGCATGGGCAAAGACTTCATGACTAAAACACCAAAAGCAATGGCAGCAAAAGCCAAAATAGACAAATGGGATCTAATTAAACTAAAGAGCTTCTGCACAACAAAAGAACCTATCATCGGAGTGAACAGGCAACCTACAGAATGGGAGAAAATTTTAGCAATCTACCCATCTGACAAAGGGCTAATATCCAGAATCTACAAAGAACTCAAACAAATTTACAAGAAAAAAAAGACCCCATCAAAATGGGCAAAGGATATGAACAGACACTTCTCAAAAGAAGACATTTATGCAGCCAACAGAAATATGAAAAAAGGCTCATCATCACTGGTCATCAGAGAAGTGCAAATTGAAACCACAATGAGATACCATCTCATGCCAGTTAGAATGGCAATCATTAAAAAGTCAGGAAACAACGAATGCTGGAGAGGATGTGGAGAAATAGAAACACTTTTACACTGTTGGTGGGAGTGCAAATTAGTTCAACCATTGTGGAACACAGTATGGTGATTCCTCAGGGGTCTAGAACTAGAAATACCATTTGACTCAGTGATCCCATTACTGGGTGTATACCCAAAGGATCATAAATCATGCTACTATAAAGACACATGCACACGTATGTTTATTGCGGCACTATTCACAATAGCAAAGTCTTGGAACCAACCCAAATGTCCATCAATGATAGACTGGATTAAGAAATTGTGGCACATATACACCATGGAATACTATGCAGTCATAAAAAAGGATGTGTTCATGTCCTTTGTAGGGACATGGATGAAGCTGGAAACCATCCTTCTCAGCAAACTATCACAAGGACAGAAAGCCAAACACTGCATGTTCTCACTCATAGGTGGGAGTTGAACAATGAGAACACTTGGACACAGGGCGGGTAACCTCACACACCATGGCCTGTTGGGGGGTGGGGGGCAGTGGGAGAGAAATCATTAGGAGAAATACCTAATGTAAATGAAGAGTTGATGGATGCAGCAAACCAGCATGGCACATGTATACCTATTTAACAAACCTGCATGTTCTGCACATGTACCCTGTAACTTAAAGTATAATAAAAAATAAAAATAAAAAAAGGAAAACGGTACAAGAAGCAGGTGAAAAAATAGTTATTAGGTGTTTTTTGTCTATAAAAAACTCCAAAGTTTTTTGTTGATTTTCCTTCTGGATGGTCTGTTCAATGCTGAATGTTGGGTGTTGAAGTCTTCTGCTTTTATTGTATCAGGGCCTTTCTCTCTCTTTAAGACTTGTAATATGTGATTTATACATCTGGATGCCCCAATGTTGGGTGTAAATGTATTTAAAACTGTTATATCCTCTTGCTGAATTGACTGCTTTATCAATATACAATGACCTTATTTATCTCTTCTTATAGTTTTTGTCTTTATATCTATTTTGTCTGATATATCTACTCTTGCTCTTTTTTGGTTTTCATTTGTATGAAATATGCTTTTCCACCCTCGTATTTTCAGCCTGCATGTTTCTTCATATGTGAATTGTGTTTCTTGTAGGCAAGAAATCTTTCTTTTAAAATCTGTTCTGGCTCTCTATGTCTTTTGATTGGATAATTTAATCCATTTACATTTATTGTTACTATAGATAAGCAAGGACTTACTCCTATTATTTTTGTATTTATTTTCTGGTTGTTTTGTGGTCTTCTCTTCCTTTTTTTCTCTTTTCCTGTCTTCCTTTTAATGAAAATGATTTTCTCTGGTGATATGTTTTAATTTCTTGCTTTGTATTTTTTTTTCTGTATCTAATATATGTATGTTGATTTGAGGTTACCATGAGGCTTGCAAAAAATATTTTATAAGCCATTTCCTAAACTGATGAAAATTTTACACTGATTGTATAAACAAACAAATAGGCAAAGAGAAAATTTATTAAAACTTCCACTTAAAGTTACTTTCTCCTTTTTAATATTTTTTGTTCTATTTACATTTTATTGTACTATCCATGTCTTAAAATTTTTATGGTTTTTATTTTTTATTGGTTCATCTTTTAGATTTCTACTCAAGATATGAGTAGTTTACACACCATAGTTACAGTCATAGTATTCCATCTTTTCCTGTGTAGTTATTTGATCAGTGAGTTTTGGACCTTCAGGTGATTACTTCTTGCTAATTAACATCATTTTCTTTCAGACTGAAGAACTCTCTTTAGCATTTCTTGTAGTATGAATCTGGTGTTAGTGAAATCCCTCAGCTTTTGTTTTTCTGGGAAAGTCTTTATTGTTCCTTCCTGTTTGAAGGATATTTCAGCTGGATATATACTATTCTTGGATAAAAGTTTTTTCCTTCAGCATTTTAAATGTGATATGTTAGTATCTTTTGGTATGTAAGTTTTCCACTAAGAAGTCTGCAGCCAAATGTTTTGGAATGTACTTGTATGTTATTTGTTTCTTTTCTTTCACTCCCTTTCAATATTTTTTGTAAATTTTTGAGTTTTGTGTTTTATTATTAAATGGCTTGAAGTAGTCTTATTTGGCTTAAATCTGCTTGGTGTCTAAAACCTTCTTGTAGTTAAACATTGATATGTTCTTTAAGTTTGGGAAATTCCTAGTTATTATTCCTTTTATTAAACTTTATACCCCTCTCTCTCTCTTTTTCTATCTCTCTCTCTCTGCCTCCTCTTTAAGGCCACTACATCTTAGATGTGCCCTTTGACAATATTTTCTAGATCTCGTAGTCAAGCTTCATTCTCTTTTATACTTTTTTCTTTTATCTCCTCTGTGTTTTTTTTTCAAATAGCCTATCTTCAAATTCACTAATCTTTTCTTCTGCTTATTCAGTTCTGCTATTAAAAGACTCTGATGTACTCTTCAGTATGCCAATTGCATTTTTCACCTTCAGAATTTCTGCGTTATTCTTTTTTAATTATTTCAATCTCTTTGTTAAATTTACCTGATAGAATCCTGAATTCCTTCACTGTGCTATCTTGAATTTCTTTGTGTTTCCTCTAAACAGCTGTTTTTAATTCTCTGTCTAAAAATTTACATATCTCCATCTCTGCAGGGTTGGTTTCTGATGGATTATTTAGATCATTTAATGAGGTTGTGTTTTTTTGGATGGTGTTGTTGCTAGTAGATGTTCTTCAGTGTCTGGGCATTGAAGCATTAAGTATTTGTTGCAGTCTTCGTGGCCTGGGTTTGTTTATACCCATCCTTCTTGAGAAGGCTTTTTAATTATTTGAAGGGATCTCAGTGTTGTGATTTATGTTTTTGGTCACTGTGGCCATATCTGCATTATGGGGCATCATGAACCCAGAAACACCATGATTCTTGCAGACTTGTAGAAGTACCACCTTGGTTTTCTTAGATGAGATCTGGAAGAATTATCTGGATTACCAGGCAGATAACCTTGTTCTCTTTCCTTACTTTCTCCCCACAAAAGTGAGTCTTTCTCTCCCTCTATGATGAGCTTCCTGCAGCTGTGCTGAGTTGCATGGAGCACCCCTGTGTCCACCCCCACTGGGACTGTGCTGGGTCACACCTGAAGCTAGCACAGCACTGGGTCTTGCCCATGGTCCATGGTAGCCAATACCTTGCTGTCATCTATGTTTATTCATGGCCCTAGGGCTATGCAATCAGCAGGTAGTGAAGCTAGCCATGCTTGTATCCTTCTCTTCAGGGTGGTAAGTTAACCATAGTACCAGGTGAGTCAAGAAGTGCTGTGTTAGAGACAGGGCCTGGTGTTGGCAGCATTAATCATCTACTTAGTGCTTTATTCTACTGTGGCTGAGCTAGCATCCAAACCACAAGCCAAAGTCCTTCCCCTTTTTTCTTCCACTTTTCACAAGCAGAGGAATCTCTTCCAGTGGCTAACTCCACCACAGGCACAAGGCAATTACTACCTGACTACTGCTAATATTCTTTCATGAAGCAAGTACTCTTCAATCTACTTGTGGTAAATGTTCCCAGGCTGTGGACTTTCCCTTGAGGGCAGTGACCTTTCCTCTTGCCCAGGGCATGTCCAGAAATGCCATCCAAGAGCCAAGGCCTGGATTCAGTTACCCTAAGTTCTTGCTTGGTGCTTCCCCACTGTGGCCGAACTAGTACCTAGGCTTAGAGACGAAGCCCCTTTTACTCTTCCTTCTCCTTTTCTCAAGCAGGAGTCTCCCTGTAGGCACTACAGCTGGAAATGTGCAGGGTGACAACTGAAGCCAGCATATCTCTGAGTCTCACCCAGTTCCCATGGCAAGAACTGCTTGGCTACATTGCTACTACTTAGGGTCCAGTGACTCTTTAGTGAGCCATTGTTGAATCCTGCTAGGACTGGTTCTGTTCTTCAGGTTAGTGGGTTCCTCTCTGGCCCACGCCATTTCTAGAAATGCTTTCTTGGTGTTAAGGCCTGGAATGGGGCCCTCAGGACTCTGCCAGGTGCCTTATTCTACTGTGGCTATGCTGGCATTCAAGTTGCAAGACAAAGTCCTCTTTATTCTTCCCTCTCCTGTCCTCAAACAGAAGGAAGGAATCTTTCCTGGAGCTGTGAGCTGCACTGGTGTTGAGGGAAAGGTGACAAAATCACTCTTCTGGTCACCCTGACTAGTGTCTCACTGGGTTGCATGCCCCACAAGTCCACTGGCTCTGAGACCAACACCACCCCTGTAGTTGCCCAGGAATTGCAATTCTTGTGGCCTAAACTACTTTTCAAGTTTGTTCAGGACCCCATAGCACTTTCGCCTGAGGTGGCAAGGCTTGCCAGAACTCAGGTTCCAACCACTGGGCTGGGTGATTCTTTTTTGATTAGGGTTGGTCTAAATTTTCCCTCCATGGCTGCGCACTGAGTTCTGCCTGATTCTTTTTTCCACTGTGACAAGGCAAAACTGAGTTCCAATGCAATATCTCACAATCACTGATCTCTTCCTCCCTGAAGTGTACATATTCTCTCTCCATGCCACATGGCCACTGCTAGGGGATGTTGGATGGGTGACATCAGCAATTCAAGACTGTATTTTCTACCCTCTTCAGTGCCTCTTTCACCAATACGTGGCTGAAACCAGGTACTGTGATCACTTACCTAACATTTGCTTTTAAGAAGGTGCTTTTTTGTGTGGATGGTAGTTCAATTTGGTGTTCTTGTGAGGAGGATGTTCAGAGGAGGCTTCTATTTAACCATCTTGCTCAGCCTCCTCCAATTTTAACAAATTTTTATTTTTACCAAAGTATTACATGCTTGTAGTTTTAAAACATAATTTATACAGAAATGTTTATGATAAAAACCTGGAACAAATCCTCATATGTCTCAGTTATGCCTTCTACTGTATCTTATGGGATTAACTTTTACATTTATAAATGATATACTTTTCAAATATTTTAATTTCTCCATTATAGATATTACATGTTTTTTCATTTAAGATCATGAAGGCTTAGTACTGTTAAATTATTTCACCCTCTTTCTACCCTTTCTGTTCTACCCATTCTCCCAGTACATCACCTCTTTCTGTCATGTCATCATTCAATGTTTATATTTTATGCATATTTTAAAATAATTCACTCACTGCTGATCCAGACATTGTGCTATGATTTTAACTTTGTTGGAGCAACCTAAAAATATCACTGGATTTAAATATTGTCTTTTTTATTGCTAAATCATCTGCATACCTATCAGTTCTACTAAAATGCTTCAACAAAAATTTAAAGTTCCTGCCATGCCTAAAAAATAATCAATTTCATTACTTAATTTACCAATTTCATCTTTTTTTTTCTGAATACCTACCTTCCGAAGTCCTCTGTGTCTCTGTTCCAGTCTGAACTGTTTGCTATCTAAGACTCCTGCTTAGCTCTTGTACAGGAACCTCTATTTACCCTTGACTTGAAAATCATCTTTACTGCCCTAAAGGAACTACGCAGTTTGTGACAGCCAAATCTTTTGAAAATTGCTTTTCCGTTTTGATAGTTTCCCAAAGTTGCCTTTTACATTTAGAATTCAAACAAATTTTAGTTTCCCGTTTTTACCAGAGTATAGTCATGTGACTAGTTTCCACTGAGAAGGCACAGCTGAGTGATATTTGGAATGTGGAAGTAAACAGCTGAGGTTGTGTGGCTCTACTTACAGGCAGGGGCACCACAACCATCAACATTTTGCTAGATTTGGCAGCATGGGCCAACCTAGCAGTGACAAATAGTGGGAAAATGTCATTTCAATCTATTTCCATTATTTCCCATGGTAAATATTTCATGCTTTTTGAGACTCTTTATTTCTATTAAATTATGCTCCTACAGCATCTTGTCACACTCACATTTATGTATTTGTTACCATTCAAATTAAACATCACTTCTGTCCCTCTTCGTCCTGTTTTAAAATGTTCTTTATTGAGCAGTATCTGTAGTCTCCCGATGTAGAAATCTTTCAGAAGGGCTATACTTTGTTGACTGGAAAAGTAAAAGTTACACATCCTCGAAACGGTCATTTTATGTCATGGCTTTTGCATTCTACTTAATATATAACTTGCTTCAGAAATATTACTTCCATTTAGGAGAGTTACCCTTCATCTGTTTCTACATTGCTCTCTTCATGGTTTGCATTTCCTTTATCCCAAAATACTCAACTTTTTTTCTGGTTATTCCCAAGGAATTTTTGTCCAAGTAACAAATTTAGAAACACTTGTGTTGAACTGCTCTGGACATGTATGGTTATTGTTTACTTATTCTGTAAATTATTCAAGGAGTAAGAAGGAAGAAAAATAATAATCTGTAACAAACCATCCTAAATAAAATAATTCATAGAGAAATAGGTCAAAGATAGTTTGTTTCAGAAAGGTACTCAATTCTACCTACGCTATTCCTCAAACATACAATATATCTCGATTTGAAAGACCTTAGTTAAAGCTAAAACTCTGTCTCACTAAAGACAAGCATATTATTATCTTTAGAGAAATCTTTTGCAGTTATAATTATGAGGGTCTCTGACCCTTCACATAAGAGTATACTTTGTATATAAAGTGACAGCCTAGTTTGGCTAGAGTAAGTCTCTGTGTAAGCTAATTATATGTGATAATTTTGCCTGAAAGGAGACTGGCTTGAAAGTGAATCCAATTTAACGGTGAGGAGATTGTTATAAGAAACATTTCATTGTGGGCTTGGAAGCCACTTAAAGTGCTAATTTTTCACTTGAATAACTGTATTGCTATAGTGAAGGTTTTTCAAATTACTTAATATTTGTGAGATATTATTTGAACTAACGAAAAATAAAGGCAAATAGTGAAGATTTTTTATTTTATAGGAACAATTTAGGATTCTATTATTCATTCGCATTAAAATCAGCCCCTATTTCCCTCTTCCCACTTGTCCTTAAGATATGGTGGACCACCTTGCTCCATTGAAAAACAAAGTTAATTCCTGAATTATACATTTAAATAAGAAGTGGCAAATTTTGTCCAGTTTATCAGTCTTTCTGACTTCTGTTTTTAAAGAGTATAATCTCCTCTCTCAGGCATTTTTATAATTATATATCAGAAAATAATTACATGCAGCTAGCAGCCTTTGTGTGGTTAGTTGAAATATGGCAGCTACAAGAAGAAAAGGAAGAAAAAATGGTTTACGAGGAACCTAAAATATGGCTTTAAGCACTGTTATCTGGCTGTGGATAGCTAGGCAAAGGAGCCCTTTGGAGCACAGTAATCAAGACCAGGGCCTTTTTCCAGCAAACACTTCCAAGTCAAATCCAGTACAAAAGCCTGCAAATGAAACCTACAGGCTCACATTATACTTTACATAATGTTGGGGTTTGTACAGTTTACAAAGTTTGTGAATCACTGGTCAGCTTCAAACCTGAGCAGAATATTTCATCTTGTGTGAAAATCATCAAGTACACAGCCTGCTCTAAAATTCTTTTTACTTTCAACTTACCTCACTTCTCAAAATCACCATCATAAATTAGGCCATTATGTTAAATTTTAAAGCTTCCAGAATGTCCATGTAAAATTGCAAATATGTTTTGGGAAATTATAGTGAGTGCCGTAGCAAATTGCCCAGGTCT
This sequence comes from Homo sapiens, assembly GCF_000001405.40. Lineage (NCBI taxonomy): Eukaryota > Metazoa > Chordata > Mammalia > Primates > Hominidae > Homo > Homo sapiens. Next base: position 125,769,583 of record NC_000023.11, read on the forward strand.
CCCCTTCAGGAAGAGGCAGTTTGGACTCTGGCTGTATGGAGTGTTTGTGACTAATGAATCTCGCCTGAATTCCATTCTGCAAATTGCCCTCTAACAAAAGATAGCTGTCTTACTGAAATTCATATCACCTTCCTGGGGTCACCCAATATGCAATGACTGGTCAATAATGAAGCATAAAGGCGCAGACCTCTTGCCTTAAGGCAGGAGAACTCTGAAGAGCCATTGCATTCCATAGATCCCCATAGGATTAGCTGAGACCTCAGTTGCAACTTCCCAGCAGTCCTATTTCTCCCTCTGCCCAATCCTGCTTCCCTCCCTCCCCATGAGTATTGTTATCCAGTAAACCTCCTGCATGCAGCTCTGAGAGTCTCAGAATCTGGTTTTTGAGGAACACAACATACTACAGTTGGCAGTAGGAAGCTTCCTGGGAACAAATTCTAAAATGTGATGGATAACTGTTAGCAGATGAATAACTGACAGCCCCCCGGCTTGTGACTTTTGTATAATACTTAGCATTTTCATTAATAATGAACTTGGATAAAAGACTGAAGGAAGTGAATGCCCTGAAAGGTATATGTCAGGCAATTGAATGTTTTGTTTTTGGGGGGGCGGGATATAATGAGAGAGACTAATTCTAAGAACTTTTGAACCTGACGGCTGTGTTAGGGATAATTTATGCACTGGAAAAAGACAATGAAAGGCTGAGAGTGATTAATAAGCAATATAATTTGAATATGAAAGCCAGAAGGTTTCTTTGGCAGCATATAAAGATACTATCATCTCCTGAAGTTGGAGGATAGAAAATGGTGATAATCAGACCCTGTACTTAATTATAGGAGTATCAGCACTCCAGAGAAGGTTGAATTCTCATCCATGGCAAATCTGAAATGCCAAAGTCAGGGCCCTGATTGGAAAAGGCTGTGATTTCAGGACTTGGGATGGAGACATCTGCATTCATGCACTTGAAAATTCAATCTCTATGTTACCTTTAACCCTCTAGATCTACAAAAATAGCCCAGTCTTCCACTTAGAAGGCTATTTTGCCACCTTGCTTAAAGGCAACATAGAGAACTCTCCTTTCAAAAGCAATATCTGCCCCCTGTGGATCTACATTCATACTTCATGGCTAACAAATCAATAATTACACTCATGTTACAATATAAACCAGTCAAAGAAGTGCCGAGTCTTCTAAAGAAGAAAAGGAGCTATACACCAAAATTGCTGCAAGATCTAGCCAACATGTACCAGAAGGAACTCAGAATGTATATACATATATCATATCTGAGTCTGGATCCCATCGATGCTGTTTCAAACAACACAGAATATAAATTTAGATGAGGAAAATTAGTATAAGAACACTCACCTGGAATACAGAATTTAATACCTTAGAAAAGACTATTGGAGATAGTGTTAATACACTGCTAAGTTGTCTCTTGTAGGCTTGGAAAAAAGTAGTGGTTCTCACAAAGTGAAGTAGGAATGCCAGGACCTAACCTGGGATGGATGAAAAGAATCAAAGGCTCAGAGATGTGCAATCAAAAAGAAAATTGCCCAATGTACACAACAAAAAATAATCAACCATGGATGATTGTGAGCCTCAGGGAAGCAGTCTCAATAAAGTCGTGACCCCATGCCTAGTTTTGGAAAGAGCCAGTTCTTGGGCCCAAACCCATTGACTAAAGAGGATGCCAGGTATTCATGAGGAACAACTCTGAGACAGCATAGCAAGTGCTTGTTGTATTGATTCTCTAGTCCTTATACAAAGGGTCCTATGACCGTTGGCTTGTGTAGTTGTATATTGGGATAAGTGAAATATCAAACAATTCTAGGACCATTGGATTCAGGATATGAGTTGACATTTGTACTCGAGGATACAAGTATCATCATAGATTGCTGTTTAGAGTGAGGGATAGATAGAGGCCAGGTAATGATGAATTTCTATTTCATGTCTGGATCATAGTAAGTCTACTGGGTCCACATACTCACTTGGTGGTCATTTTTTGATCTTTAAATTTATTATTACAATGGACAAACATTGGAATTGTCAGAACCCTGACATTTGTTCCTTGGCTTGTGAAGTAAGGGCTAACATAGTTCTGATACAATATACTTTTACTGTTCTTAAGTTCCAGAAACATTTTGAGAACTTAATTACATAGAAAATGGACAATGAAAATGGAAATGGTAAGCATCATGGGCTAATGTTTTGTGTTAGAACAAGTGATTATCCTCTATATCCTTAATTCTAAGTTTAAAGATATGCCAAACCTATCCATGTCTTTTTAAACAAATTCATAACACACTAGGTATTACTTATCCAAGAACATATTTGTTAATTCTTTCTTTCACTGAACTAACTATTTACTGAGAACTCTTAGGTAGTGTGTTAGATGTTAGAAAAAATGGAGAATAAAAACATATCTAAACCCTTCTTTGGTTTGATTAGTTTGATTATAATTCCAGATAATATTGCATTTCTGGGTAAATTTATTTAAGTAACTCCTTCAAGCTTTAAAAGGGAACTTAAACATTTGGTACTCAGACTTTACAGGATCAAAAGAAGCTCACTGTATCCAAATATAATTTTAAAAAATTCCTTTCTGTAAATTATAAGAAAAAAAATTTGTTGTCATATTGTTGCAATAAAAGTCACATTAACTGTGTGTAAATATGTTGCTTTGCCTCTGCCTCTTCTGGAAATAGTGATCTGATAAGATGAAATTGATGAGTGGTCAGAAGGGGGCAAAAAAATCTACTTTTGGATTTACGAGGAAAATCATTTCACAAAATGATTAATTACAAACTAAAAACATTTGCAGAATAAAAACACAGCTGCTTCATTAGAATCAGCAACAATGTGTGCATTTATTTCCATGCAATCCTTCTCCTGTCCTATTCACAGTTAGTGGAATATCTCATTTGACTTTTATTATACAATTTACATGACCTTCTTTTACTAAGATCTTCTCATATGACAGAGTGAAACAATTTACAATTAGTAAGCATTAGAGTTATATAATTTGGTCATTTAACATGAAAAATATTTAAGTAGTTAGTATTTATATTATAAAATTGTTAATAACATTTAGTATATAGATTTATTTATATGTAATATATACCATATATTAAACTGTGCATTGGTAAATGAAGTCATCACTATTAGATGACTCCATTCTCATTTGCAGTCATAAAACTGAGTCATTTCAAGTAATTTTTCATCTAATTGAATGAAGGCTTCCCTATGTGTATTTAGCATTTAATGTCTAAGTGTGGTTCCCTTGTCTTAGAAACTGAAACATAGAGAGACATATCTTTCTTTGTTCTCAAAGAAAGCACAACCCATGCTAATTTAATTAAAGTAACAATATTTTTCTTATTAAATACTCACATACGACTGACAAAGACACATTTGTTTATGCACTTCCAAGCAGATCTAGCCACTTCTTCCTCAATGCCACCATGACAGATTCTCTGTTGGCATATTCTTCATGCACTTTCATAATTTCTGCTTGTTGCTGTTTCTCCCATGGGACTGTAAGCTTTTTTTGCAAGGGTAGAGTTCTCATAGTAGTCATCTTTGGTTCATTAGTATCTAGAATAAGAATTTCTCATTTTTAATTTAGTATTCCTTTACTGAATAAAATTTCATTCTAGATTTTAAACTGCCTTTCTATAAGCCACGTGATCGTTGCTTCAAAATTCTTACTAGCTTTTCAGTATAACCTATGCTTTGGGTAGAAAAGAACATTCTTAAAAAGAAATTTTACTACAGTTATAACAAATGAAAAGTACTCTGTAGGGAAAATAATTGATTTTGAACAAACATCAATTGAGAGCCCATTATGTTATTACATACCAACTTCTGTGCTAACTTTTCTGAATACAAAGCAAAATTTCATTCAGTTCTTGTCTTCAAGTAGTTCATGGTCTAGTGAGGAAACACAGAAGTAAGAAGAGAATAATGAAATTTATTTATTTGTTTTTATTATTGTTATTATTATTATTATTATTATTATTATTTTTTGCGACAGCGTCTCACTCTGTCTCCCAGGCTGGAGCACAGTGGCACAATCTTGGCTCACTGCAACCTCTGTCTTCCAGGTTCAAGCAATTCTCCTGCCTCAGCCTCCTGAGTAGCTGGGACTACAGGCATGTGCCACCATGCCCGGCTAATTTTTTTGTATTTTTAGTAGAGATGGGGTTTCACCATGTTGCTCAGGCTGGTCTTGAACTCCTGACCTCAAATGATCCGCCAGCCTCGGCCTCCCAAAGTGCTGGGATCACAGGCGTAAGCCACTGCACCTGGCCTGAAATTTATAATAAGAGATATGTTTGGTATTCGATAGTACCACAAATGTGTCTACAACTTAACTACTGTTCATACTTATTCTTAAATTACTTTGCATTATGTCATGATTTTTATGAGACTGCTGTTTTGCCAAATACATGTTATATTCAGTGAGGTTAAGGATTACATTATATACCGATAGTCCCCTACCTGTGCTAGTAGAGCCTAGTGTACAGAGCAAGTAAGTTGTGGGGCCTTTGATGTAGTAGCAATGTAGTGGACTTAGAAAGAGAAGATTAGAGTGCAAGTCCAACTCTACTTTCTTCAACTGGTTATATATTACTTTGATCATATTATGAGCATAATTTCTTAAAATGATGAAAAAAACAGGTTTCTTTCCAGGTCTTTATGGGCGCTAAATAAATATTTGGAAGTAGATAGTGGTTACTTATAAATACCCTTCTTTTAATAAGTATTAATTAAACACAATTAAGCTATGAACTTAGAAAAAAAACACAAAACAGCTAAAGTTACTTAAAATATGGTTGGCCATGGTTTTGACTGTCAAGAGTCAAAAAGTTTTGTCTTAGGATCATCTTCTCTAAACATTATACTATTTATTTTTCTCCTTTAGTCATCCAGTGTTTGTCTTCTCCTCATTGCTAGGTGAATACTTACTGTAGTTAGAAGAATTCTGAGATGACCCTTAACATTCCTGCCCTCTGGTAGACATGCCATGTATAATCCCCTTTCTTTGAGTTATAAAGGACTGGAAATATGATGGATTTTACTCGTGATTAAATCATGTTATATAATAAATGTGAAAGGATTTTGCTGATATAATTAATTCACCTAGTTAGTTGACTTTTTCATTAATCAAAAGGAAGAAAGGAAGATTTTCCTGATTGGCCCTGCCTCAATGAGATGAGGCTATAAAAGGGACTGTGCCCTTCTTGAAAGTAGATTTGAAGCATATGAGACTTTTTTTTTTTTTTTTTGCTGGCCTTGAGGAAATAAACCTCTGTTGTAGTCTGCTCCTTAGCTCAGCTAGGCCTGAGTTCTTGCCTTACAATCAGGAAGAATTAGGCACACGGACACAGGAGAGTGAGTGGAGAATAATTTATTAAGTGAAAGGAAAATTCTCAGCAAAGAGAGGATGTGGGGTTGGTCACCCTACCCAAAGTCAAGAAAGTTCTCCTATGAGGCTGAGTTTGGAGACTTTTATGGACTCAGAATGAGGAGTGTGTGCTGATGGGTTTGTGAATATGCAAAAAAGTTTAAAGCGAAGAAAACACTCAAAGGTGGGCACGGCAGAGTAGAAAATCAAGTAGGAAAGGGTAGGTATATGTAAAGTAGATGAAGGGTGGGGACCAATCAGAGGAAAGCATGCCAAACAAGAAGATAAGTTCTCAATCTGGTCAAAGGATTTAACTTGTAACTTGGCTTTCAGGCTTTAAACTGTCTTCAGCTTGGAGGTGGGGTTTCACCAGGGACTTGCCCCTATCTGCCTAGGCATGTAGCTGCCTCCTGCCACTCTCACTGATGTGTTGTGAAGACATCCATGTGGCAGAGAATGGCTGTGACTTTAAAGGATATAACAATGACCCCACTCCAGCTGACAACCAGAAAGAAAATTAGAATTTTAGTCTTAAAATCCCAAGGAACTAAATTCGTATAAAAGCCATGTGAGTTTGGAAGAGTACCTCAAGCTTCAGATGGGATTGCAGCCCTTTGCCAACATCTTGATTTAAGCCTGATGAGTCTATATGCAGAGCTAACCCAACTAATTCAGAATTCTGACTTATGGGAACTGTAAGATAATACATTTATATTGTTTTAAGCCAGGAAATTTGTGGTAATGTGTTATGCAACAGAAATGAATACATTTACTTAATCTGATGAGACTCCGATTTAGGATACTCATTAGTGATGATAGTTTTGTGTCACTCCTCCTAAGTAATGTATCTTAAGACAAGAAAAACAGAAAAGTGGGAATAACAGTTGGTAGAAAAGGTTTAAGGAGGCAACCTGTCAACACTTCTCATTATCTGGGAAATTGGAATACCAGATATTTCAATCCTCGAGGCTGAAAGAGTTTTTGTTTGTTTGTTTGAATTAGCATAGGTATCAAAGGTAGAAGAGAGATTTAACAGTTTGCAAAGAAACATAAAAATAGGGAAGACAGCTTGATACAGTGGACTGAGGGGCAGGAGATACAGGCGAGAGCCATGATATTATCTTTAACTTGCCATTAACTTGAGAAGATCTGTGAGATTCAGCCTTTTTCCTGGTAAATGCAAAGGATGGGACTACATGGTTTCTATATATTTTTCTGACAGAAAATGCTGTGAAACTTATGAATAATGAAATCTGCAGTAGGAGAAATTTGATTTAATTACAAAGAAAGTTTTTCAGAGCATAGGAGGTTGAGAAAGTTTGAGGGATGTTACATAGTGATAAATTGTACTGGAAGAGTAATATAGTTGAGATATGTAACAGGTATAATACACTTATATGTGTAATATAAAACCTTTATACATATAATTATATATATGTTACATATGCATGGGTAATATAACATAATATTAATTATAGTAATACCAAAAAAGATTTTATGTACCACAGAATTTCAGAGTAGGAAGCACTTAGAACCAACTCTCTCAGTTCTTTACCTATAAATTTTAATTATCTCAAATATATAAGCCCTGAAATTCCGTGATGTATAATATCTTTTTTAATTGAAACACAAGACTATCTGATTCAGCAGAGAATTCTCACAGCAGTGAATGTCCTACATCTTCCCCAAAGTGCCTTATAATCTGCTCTACCCTAGGAGATGTTTGTCCTCCTCTTACCAGCTGCTATTTTCTAATCTTCTGATATTTAAAGAGTGAATAAAAAATCTAGGGGCAGTTTATTTACGAAAATAAGCTAGTCCTTGTTACAGCAAAATGAGAACAAAATGATTATTTTCACCAGAAATAAAACACAATGAGACTTGAAACTAGGAACAATATTTAGTTTTGTTCAATAACACCTAATTACTGAGGTTTTGTTGACAGAATATAAATACACTTGACAGAATCATACATTAATTTTTTATACTCCATCCACTCTAATTTTAAGAGATAGTTATCTTAATTATAATTAACATACTAAAAGTACATTTAAAATGACATTATGCTAGAAACAAATCTGTGAAAGCAAATAAATTCAAGAATGAAGCTAATGTTTTATTCTTTAACTATATTGTTAAAGCTTAACTAATGGAGGCATTAGAACTGGTCATCTCCAATTAGGTCAGAAAGTCTTTTTCCCAAAACAGGAAAAGAAGTAAATGGTGGAATGCCATCTGTTATCCTCATACATAAAATAAAACAAGTGAACTATTCAAAGTTACTTTAAAGTATAGTATTCTAGTGAATAATCTGGGTTTCAATTATGGTAGGGCAGTTTGAAAAGTAATACACAGTTCAAAAAAGGTTATATGCTGAAAATATTACAAGTTTTTCCAAAGTCTGATCCTAGAAAATAATTATGAAATAAACCAAGTTGTCCACTCTGATTGCTTTTATCCTCCTTCTCCCTTTCTCCCTCCAGTATTCTATCCAAGTTTCTCTAATTGCTCTGTGGTTTTTATAAACAACTACTTGTCAATTTTAATAAAAAAACATAAGTTTTATTTTAATTTTAAATAGTCAAAATAAATTTAATTCATTCTTAGTCATATGAATTTGGTGAACGTAGAATAAATATGCATGTGTATATGTGCATATGTGCATAAGAAAGACCATTGCTTGGTGGATGGCACTCTTGGTTTAAACAGTTTTAATTGATCCTTGGACAGAGGATTTGCAAATTTAGGAAACTAGGTAATTTAGAAAACTTCATGGTTTCTTAGACTATCTGCAAGGACAGGATGTGTGATGGACTAACAATTTGTTTCTGGCTAATCAAAACTGACAGTAGTGATTTGCACCCTCAGGGCTGGAAGTGTGTTAATTATAACTTAAGTGTGTTCACCTTGAGTGTAAAGTGTTTGTATATTAGGCAAAATTTTACAAGGGAAGACATATCTTGTAAACAACATTTCTGAATTTTATAATTTTGAAAACATATTAATAAGAATAATATATTAATTGCAATATAACCATTTAATAAGATTTTTTTCTGAAGAAAAGTACAAATAAGATTAAATATACTTGGGTCTGGAAAGAGAACAGTATGTAACAGAATAGGAATTCATTTCTGAGTAAAAAATAATTTATTTAGAATGTATGCAGAATTTTGTTTCAGACAAGATGTTCCATTGAATTGAGTTTTTATATAAAATTTATTTGAAATATAATATAACACAATCAGGGAAATATCAGTCATAGTGTAAGTTATTATTAAATTTTCAAGTGTTATTATTTAAAAAATAGAGTTAAAAATCCAATGCCATTATAAATAGAAAATAACTGCAAAGTGAAAATGGAACAAGTTACTGAATAATGCATCAGTTAAAGAGGTTTTCGATGGAATGTTCACTGCCCATAAAGAGTGCAGACTGTATAAATAAATAAACTCCTAGGTGTGATTGTTCCCTTTACTTAGTGGCATGAAAAGTGAACGCACCCTGACTCACCCTGGTGAAAGGGTATGAAAGCAGTAAGGCATGTCTCTTCAGAAAAAAATCACATAGGGAGTGCAAATATTTCAGATGAGCAGGGATATTTTTGACCGGTTTTCAGTATCTTTGTCAAATATCCAAAAAAGGGTATTTAGTAGCATAAGTATTACAAGGATAGAAATTAACAAAAGCAAGTGTCATTTACTTCCAAACTTTATTTCTAGTTTGGGGTAATTTGGCATAATGAACTTCAATCATTTAGGTAAGCTTTCCCATCTCATATATATAGCATGTTTACCCAACTGCTATTAAGATGTTGTAAGCATATTTACAGTTACATGCTCTCTGGAGCACAATTAGCCACCGGTAATCTGCAATTAAAATGAGAAAATTTTCTTCAGTGTCCCTGATATGGTTTATTTTTATTTATTTTTAAACTAAAATTATTTTAAATTGACAAATCATAGTTGTATACATTCATAGGTATGATGTGATGTTTTCATATATGTATGTAATGTGAAATGATTAAATCAAGCTAAATAACATATCCAATGCCTCACTTACTTATTTTTTGTGGTGAGGCATTTGAGATTTACTCCTTGTTTTGAAATATACATTTTTATTGACAATAGTTGCTCTGTTGTGCAATACATCTCAAAACTTATTCCTCCGGTATAACTGAAACTTTATACCCTTTGGCCTACAATCCCCCAATTTATTCCCTCACCCTAGCCTCTGGTAACCACCATCCTACTCTCCACTCTTATGAGTTCAACTTTTTTAGATTTCACATATAAATGAGAGAACATGGTATTTGTCTTTCATTTCATATTCATATTTTCTTTATCCACTCATTGGTTGATGAGCATTTAGGCTAATTTCATATTTTTCATATTTTGCAATTGTGAATTTTGCTGCTATAAACATGCACGTGCAAGTGTCTTTTTCATATAATGACTTCTTTTCCTCTGGATAGATACCCAGTAATGGGATTGCTGGATCAAATGGTAGTTCTACTTTTAGCTCCTTGTGGGGAAAAGCAAGAGAGATCAGATTGTTACTGTGTCTGTGTAGAAAGAAGTAGACATAGGAGACTCCATTTTGTTATGTACTAAGAAAAATTCTTCTGCCTTGAGATTCTGTTAATCTATAACCTTACCCCCAACCCTGTGCTCTCTGAAACATGTGCTCTGTCAACTCAGAGTTAAATGGATTAAGGGCGGTGCAAGATGTGCTTTGTTAAACAGATGCTTGAAGGCAGCATGCTCCTTAAGAGTCATCACCACTCCCTAATCTCAAGTACCCAGGGACACAAAAACTGCGGAAGGCCGCAGGGACCTCTGCCTAGGAAAGCCAGGTATTGTCCAAGGTTTCTCCCCATGTGATAGTCTGAAATATGGCCTCGTGGGAAGGGAAAGACCTGACCGTCCCCCAGCCCGACACCCGTAAAGGGTCTGTGCTGAGGAGGATTAGTAAAAGAGGAAGGAACGCCTCTTGCAGTTGAGACAAGAGGAAGGCATCTGTCTCCTGCCTGTCCCTGGGCAATGGAATGTCTCGGTATAAAACCCGATTGTATGCTCCATCTACTGAGATAGGGAAAAACCGCCTTAGGGCTGGAGGTGGGACCTGCGGGCAGCAATACTGCTTTGTAAAGCATTGAGATGTTTATGTGTATGCATATCTAAAAGCACAGCACTTAATCCTTTACATTGTCTATGATGCAAAGACCTTTGTTCACGTGTTTGTCTGCTGACCCTCTCCCCACAATTGTCTTGTGACCCTGACACATCCCCCTCTTTGAGAAACACCCACAGATGATCAATAAATACTAAGGGAACTCAGAGGCTGGCGGGATCCTCCATATGCTGAACGCTGGTTCCCCGGGTCCCCTTATTTCTTTCTCTATACTTTGTCTCTGTGTCTTTTTCTTTTCCAAATCTCTCGTCCCACCTTACGAGAAACACCCACAGGTGTGTAGGGGCAACCCACCCCTACAGCTCCTTAAGGATTTTCCATATTGTTTTTTATGGTGATTCCACTAGTTTACATTACCACCAGCAGTGTAAAAGTGTTCCCTTTCACCACACCCACACCAACATCTATAATTTTTTGATTTTTTAAATTATGGACATTATTGCAAGAGTAAGGTGTTATCACATTGTGGTTTTGATTTGCATTTCCTGGATAATTAGTGATGTCGAGCATTTATTCATATGTTTGCTGGATATTTGTATATCTTCTTTTGAGAATTGTCTATTCATGTTCCTAGCCCACTTTTCTATGGAATTATTATTTTTTTTCCTTGCTAATTTGTTTGTGTTCCTTGTGGATTCTAGATGTTAGTCTTTTGTCCAATACATAGTTTGCAAAGATTTTTCTCCCACTCTGTGGGTTGTCTGTTTACTCTGCTGATTATTTCTTTTGCTGTACAGAAGCTGTTTAGTTTAAACTTATGCCTAGTGTTCTATTATTAGAACGTTAAACATCTGGGAGTTATTTATATTCTACTGATCAAGTTCATCGCCAAGGTCTGATAGCAAAAATTCAAAAAATTGCAACCTCAGGCATAAATGGATTAATAACATCCCATCTATTTATCTTTGTTTTTGTTGCATTTGCTTTTGCGTTCTTGGTCATGAACTCTTTGCCTAGGCCAATGTCTAGAAGAGTTTCTCCAATGTTATCTTCTAGAATTGTTATGGTCAGGTCTTAGATTTAAGTCTTTGTTCCATCTTGATTTGATTTTTGTATGAGGTGAGAGATGAGGATGCAGTTTCAGTTCTTCTACATGTGGCATGCCAATTATCCCAGCAATATTTGTTGAAGAGTTTGTCCTTTCCATGCTTTATGTTTTTGTTTGCTTCATTGATGATCAGCTGGATACAAGTATTTGGCCTTATTTCTGGGTTCTCTATTCTGTTCCATTGGTCTACATGCCTGTTTTTATACCAGTACTATGCTGTTTTGGTTATAGCCTTGTAGTATAGTTTGAAGTCAGGTAATGTGATACCTCCCAATTTGTTCTTTTTGCTTAGTCTTTCTTTGGCTATGTGAGCTCTTTTTATTGGTTCCATATGAATTTTGGGATTGCTTTTTCTAGTTCTGTGAAGAATGATGATGGTATTTTAATGGGAATTTCATTGAATTTGTAGATTGCTTTTGGTAGTATTGTTGCAGTCTCACCAATGCACCTTAATGTAGCAGTTTCTCATTGTCTGAACTAGTATCCCGGGTTCTTTGTCATATCCAAGAAAATTAAGGAATGCAGACACAAAGGTGGAGTTGGAGCAAAAGTTTAACAATTGAAAAAAAAAAGCACTCCACAGTAGAGAGGGGAGTCCGAGTGGATTGCCGGGTTACAGCTCAATTCAAAAGTTTTTATAAGAAACTCCTCTCATCTCTGTAGCAGTTTGAGTAATTTCTCTTATCAGTAAAGCTATCTGTGCAACTCCCCTTATCTCATGCAGCTGTGCGTATGTCTCTAGGCAAGCACAAAAAGCCATTTCTCTTGTTTATATAATGGTAGGTTGTTTTAGATAAGCCCCCCTCCTCTCTGTGTAAGTTCCCACCATATTTATGCCTGAAAAGGGGAGAAAACTTTTTCCTGGGAGCTCGCTAATTAGAAAAAGAGGAAAGAATGTCTGTGTTGGACCCTGTTTTGCTTATCCAGGTGCAGCCTGAGTTTTTTTTTTTTTTTTTTTTTCCCCAGGTTGTTTTATTTTTGCCTGTTGCCGTGACTTTTCAGACAGTCTGCTTCTGTAGTCTGAATTTTTCCCAAATGTTTTTTTTTTCCTTCCTTCTCCCTTATTCCCTACCTCAGGAGTGGAAACCCTAACTGTTGTTAGGGAGATAGGGCATTGATCTTTCTGTCTACTTCCTGCTGGAGAGGGGCATTGTGTGGGGAGCAGCAGCTAGGATTCCTCCAGGGGCTGGTTTAAGTGTCCTCAGTTGAAAGGCATGTCTATGCATGGTTCCATTTGCATTACCATTTGGAGCTTGATAGCTTTTAGGTGGAAAGAAACAATTTGGGTTATTAGTGATTATGTATTAAAACGAGACAAGGAGGAGGTAAGGACAACTTAAAAACCCTGAGTCTGCTGACATGCCCTGATAACTGGTGGCTATAGTTAGCCCGTTAAGATTTGGGTGCATGGGGCTTAGCTTTGTTTAGCTTCCTTGGTCTTACTTTCCCAAAAAGGTAACCTCAGGGTTATAGGTTACCTGGCAGGATATGTAGACTAGTTGCCCAGAACTAGAACATTGTACCAGATTTTTACATTACCCATCCCTTTCTGTTTCCTCTGAGCTGCAGCCAGAGATTACTGGTTGGCTTGTAGGAATAAGCAGGGTTAGTTTCAAATGTAGGCAAGAACTTAAAAACAACTAATAAGACTAGAAGTCAATGACAGATGTATGATAAGTTTGGAACATCGTTTCCCTCTTTTTAGTCCTCATTTCTGTTAAAAAATATGATAGGACTATTTTGTTTCCAAAATACACTTTAGTTTTAAACTTGGTCTGATTATTTGCATAAAGTGCAGCAAGAATAATTATTTTTACATAGGCCTTTTAGATTGGCTTTGATGGAACTTTATTCCACAAGGAATCTCAGATAGGACTTTTTAAAGCCGAGCCCAGACATGTTTTTATACCCTCAAATACTTGTGAGTTGGGTAAACTTCTTTCTTCTTGATGTTCCAGGAGCGTGGGTATCCTATGCCTGCTAGAAAGTGACATTCTTTAATCCCACAAGTCAGGAACCCTGTACAGGGGCTGTGTAGACAAAGTATGAGGCTAGTTTTTCCAAGGGGCTTTTATTGGCTCTGCAAGTCAATTTTGATTCTTCAAAGGGGAACACACCCTTTCAGTCAAAGACTTGGTAAAACAACCAATCTTTCCAATTATGTCCTGTTGCAAAATAAAATGGATTCGTATTGCACTGATGCAAACAACTATATTGTTATAAGCTAAGAATACTCACAACCAGTTTCTGAATTTTAGAGGAACCCGGCAGAGAGAAACAAACATGTTCCAAACCTTGCTTACAGGAGTGTACCTTACTCAGTTGTTAAAGGCTGTAGCTAGCTTAGGACAAGTTTCCTTGACTCAGACAGAGAAAATAAGAATCAGCAATGTTCCAACATAAGTTAAAAAAATTGCTTTAGTTTTCTATTAATTTAGTCTTTTCCATTAACTCTTGTTCTGCTTGATATTAGTAAACATTTCAGCTTTTTTGAGTCTTGTACGTTTTTCTGTTACCAGAAATCTGTATTTGAGAGCACCTGTTAAAGTTCCACAGCTGATTATAAACTATTTTTTTTAAGAAGAAGATTAAAACAAGACAACAATTGTCTGTAAATGACAAAATATACAGGATGGTTACAGGCAAAAACATGATTTACAAATTTGGTTATTTTCCTGGCTTACAATAACCCAATATAACAAGCTTAATTGTAATTAATAGCACATATTCATACACTAGAACCTTAGACATCCCATACAGTTTCGGAACATATGTTAATATTATTCCCTAAATTGTAACCTGAAGAGCATTAGACATCATTTTACCAATTCCATGTACCTAAACATGTTAAATAATCCTGTTTGCTTCTCTTCCGGATGTTCCAGGGGCCCTCTGTAGCACCCAAAAGCTAGGGGTCAGGAAAGACAGCCTTGAGACCAAAGTTTGATTTGGGGAAGTCTGTTAAACATGTTCAAAATTTAAAACACTTGATATTATGAAATATAATTTTAGATTATCGTAAGTTATTTGTTTTGCCAAAATGATGAGCCAAAAATTTGAAAAAGCGAAAAGCATTCATCAGCCTTTAATATGACATGAAAATCCTATTCAAGAGAGAAAGTTAAATTTCACCCTTGCATTAGCTTACTATTAATGTTAAACCCAATTTTTAATAAAACTTTATAGGCAATCCTATTTAATTTTACCAGTTTGACCATGAAGTAAGATTTTCACAAACCTTTTGTAACTCTCTAAAAATTTTGCTGAAGAGCAGATTGGCATCTTAAGAAAACCTGTGCTTTTATTTTAATTTTTAATTTAAAGAAAAAACATATAATACCCTTTTGAATGTAGTTAATATGTTTCCACACAGAGCTTCTTTTGCAAGATTAATTTTTACAGTCTTGTCACAATTTGCTTAAACCTTTTACTTTATTTTATTTAATGTAAGACAACTTTTTCTACCTAGGCAAAATGTACATTTCCATACCTTCTTATAATCTTTAATCAACACCTTTTAATGTTTTTACACACCTTGCATGCAAATCCATGTTCAGTAGTTTCAATTACATATTATAATGGTAACTCTTAGTAATGTTTAACTTTAATGTAAAACCTAGTAGGTTGTTTTGATTATGTGCTAGATGAAGATAAAATTTGACTCCTCTTAGCATAGTTGGGGATGTGGTTACTTTCATTTGTTCCCAGGCTTTACCAGTAGTGAAGCAGGCAAGGTAACAGTTTTTAAAGGCTAAAGAAGCAGTTTACAACCTTAAAACACTTAGCAAACCTATTGTCTGACCTGTGTAATTTCGATTGCATTTTTACATCTTGAAGACATTTGTATTTTACCAAGAACTCCTAAGACTGTTTATATTTTTAAAGATTAAAGTTACGTGAACTGAAAGGTACTACAGCTTTCACATTTTTCTTAAAAATATTTTATTTAAGTGCTTATTTTTATGCCAATTAATTAGTTTTTTATAGACAGCACATACATATCATATATAAGACTACACAGACAGACAAAAGAAGATCCAACAGCTCAGGATAGAGCCTTTTTTTTTTTTTTTGAGATGGAGTCTTGCTCTGTTGCCCAGGCTGGAGTGCAGTTGCACGATCTTGGCTCACTGCAAGCTCCGCCTCCTGGGTTCACGCCATTCTCCTGCCTCAGCCTCCCGAGTAGCTGGGACCACAGGTGCCCGCCACCACGCCCGGCTAATTTTCTGCATTTTTAGTAGAGACGGGGTTTCACAGTGTTAGCCAGGATGGTCTCGATCTCCTGTCCTCGTGATCCATCCACCTCAGCTTCCCAAAGTGCCGGATTACAGGCGTGAGCCACCGCGCCTGGCCAGGATAGAGCCCTTTTAAGAGCAGGGTGAAGAGAGACGGGGTTCCACAGTGTTAGCCAGGATGGTCTCGATCTCCTGTCCTCGTGATCCATCCACCTCAGCTTCCCAAAGTGCCGGATTACAGGCGTGAGCCACCGCGCCCGGCCAGGATAGAGCCCTTTTAAGAGCAGCGTGAAGAACAGAGTTCCCAGGGCCTAGTAAACAAGCATAGCTAGAAGACAAAGACAGATTTTGAGAGGGACTTATCCACCTGTAATTCTAGGGGTTCCATGAGGAAAACACAGATTTCTCCAAAACTGGGATCTGTGGTGCCTTGTCTGTTTTCCCAAGGAGTCCCAGGCCACCAGAAGTTATTCTACGTTCTTCCATGGATGCACCAACAATGGCAAGACACAGTGAATAAAGTAATTTAGTCAACTGAGAAAAAAAACAAAAACAAAAACCTTTTCCAGGGAAACAAGATCTATGAAGAGAAAAACATAAAGGGCTTTTAAATATACGTATAGCTTAGATATCCACTTTCAATTAAGCTGAGTGATCTTTAAGAAAATTATTTTTTATTAAAACTTTACAGAGAATGTAAACAGTGATTCTATTTCTTTTACCAATTTGCTTCACTACCTGTTCACAATTATGTTCAGGTTCTCCAGTTTCCTCTGGGAGAAAGTGGCTCAGGCAAGGGCGGGTTTTCAACTGGACTGCAGTTCCCTCTAGCAGCAAAGCTTGATACTTGAGGAGGCAATTGTTTGTTAGCCAGAGCCTTTCCTCAGAAGACAGCAGTCCTGCTGCACTGTGTGAGATGTAAACAGTTAAGTTATTCCCCGTGTTTAACCCAGTGGCCTCTGGCACCAGCAAAGCCAGAACTGCAGCTGCTTGGAGGCAGTATGACCATCCTTTAGCCACCAAGTTAAGTTCCTTGCTTAAATAACCCAGTGGCTGTGGAGCCAGACCTCAAGCCTTGGTTAAAACTTCCAGGGCCATTTCCTTCCTTTATGACACATACAGACTGGATGCTTTCCCGCTGGCAAGAATGAAGGCTGGTGTTTTAAGTAAGGCTTGCTTTAACTGGTTAAAGTCTTTTTCAGCCTCAAGTTCCCAAGGTGGGGGTGGTGAGTTTTAACTGTTTGAGTTTCTCTTATGAGGTGGTATAAAGAGTGAGACATTTTCCTGTACCCAGGTACTTACAGTCTACAAAATCCAGTAATGCCTAAGAATCCCCTCAACTGTTAAAGAAAATAGACTTAACCCCTTCCTCACCTGGTGCTCTAGTCCCTTCTGATAAGACCGAACCTAGGTACATTACTAAAGTTTGACAGAGCTGAGATTTAGATTTTGAGACCTTATATTCCCTTTCAGCTACGAAATTGAAGAAAGTCTTAGTGCCCTACTGAGACCTCCTTGGTTGGGGCACAGAGGATAGTATCCTTTATATGCTGCTAAGTTTCAACTTGAGAGTGAGAAAAACTAGAAAGATTTTTAGACAGGGCTTGTTTCAGCATCTTTCTTCCAATATTAGGGGCTGCCTGAGTAATGAACCTGTTCTTTATTGAATTGGGAGACAGAGAGGTGTGTTTTATTAAAGCTTCTCTTAGCCTTTTCAAAAAGGCAAGGACATTTTCATCTGGTTTCTGGTTTAACAAGGATAGTTTAGAGTAATTAAGAGGTTTGATTCTGGTTCTTTGCAAGCCTTTTATAATGCACATCAGAAAATGTTTTCTTTTCCACCCATTTATGGGATTACTAGGGCTCAAATTAGGATTTTTAAAGGGGCACTGTTTCTCTTTCTGTTGGCAATGGGGATTCTGTTTCTCTCTTACTTTTTTTTTCTTTAGACTTTTGCCTTTCAAGACTTTTAGACTGGCTATAGGAGAAATGTTGTTTATCTCCAAATGTTTCTGCTGGCTGTAAGGCTGCCTGTTTTGCTGTAACAGTTAGGGTTTGACTTAAGAATAGCACAGCATCTCTCCATGTAATATTAAACACTTGGATTACATTTTGGAAAGTCTCTATATATTTATCAGGGTTATCAGAGAACCTTCCCTTTTATTTATCTAAGGTCCTGCAATAATAAGAAGGGAACTTGAGGTGGTCCCAAATGGCGGGGATTCTCAGATGGTTCCTCTGGAAGTTGCTTTTCTAATTCTGGGGAATTATTCTCTATGGGCCTGCCTGATATGACTGATAAAAAAGCTGGGTTGACCTTACGATGCTTGAAAAGGTTTAGTAAAAATACCATGCCCACGTGCAAAAGAAAATGAGTTGCTTTTCTCTTTAAAGTCCTGTGGTCAAAGGAGTTCCAGTGTTGCAGGGTGCACTCCAGAAGGGTGCAAGCTGAAGTTGGTCTGTTATCTATCTAGAAAAAGAGACAGAAAAGAGGCATTCTTCAGTCTTCTTGTTCTTTTCCGTGTGACCCAGGGTGAAGGGAAAGACAGTGGGAGTGTCCCCTGAACTGTTCTCAGTCTTTGGTTCCTGGGTCCCAACACCGTATGTGCCACCCTATGGGTGCAGGCATGACCCTCAAACCATGGTACCAGAGGAGCTAAGCAATGGATCTAGTCATGCTTACCAATGTGACATTAGTCTGCTGCTTGGTAATTAGGTAATTACCCTTTGATTTCCTAGACATTTGTGGTCTGTGTGACTCCTTGATGGATGGATCTTGGGAGAGACTACGTAACAATTGCATTTAGGCAAGGCCTCTTAATGGAGGAAGTGTACTGGATTGAGCTTTATACTCTGCTATTATGGACTAGACTAGAGAATTTATTCTTAGGTGGTGGCTCTGGTTAACTTCCAGACATAAAATCCACTTTCTATTTAGATGCCATTCTAGTCATAGGCAGAATAGGTGTCTCAAGAAAACATAAGGGTCAAATGGTGGCCTTCCTGCTAATGGAGTAGTATTGAGATGAAAATTTGTTTTTGATGGACATTTTTCTCCTCACTGCGGAAAGCAGAATTCTCTTGCTTGCAGAGAGGGCATAAAGATTGGTTTCTAGCAGAGATATGTTAAAGGGAGAAGAACTGGAAAGCTAGAGGTTTTTGTCAAAGGGCAGACAAGATTCCCTATGGAGCAGATTCCGATTCCAGCAGGTGGTGGCGTAAGCCTTTAAATACCAGGCAGTGATGATGGGGTTTTCTAAATATATAATCATGTCATCTGCACATAGGGACAATTTGACTTCCTCTTTTCCTAATTGAATACCCTTTATTTCTTTCTCCTGTCTGATTGCTCTGGCCAGAACTTCCAACACTATGTTGAATAGGAGTGGTGAGAGAGGGCACCCCTGTCTTGTGACAGTTTTCAAAGGGAATGCTTCCAGTTTTTGCCCATTCAGTGTGATATTGGCTGTGGGTTTGTCATAAATAGCTCTTATTATTTTGAGATACGTCCCATCAATACCTAATTTATTGAAAGTTTTTAGCATGAAGGGCTGCTGAATTTTGTCAAAAGCCTTTTCTGCATCTATTGAGATAATCATGTGGTTTTTGTCTTTCGTTCTGTTTACATGCTGGATTACGTTTATTGATTTGCGTATGTTGAACCAGCCTTGCATCCCAGGGATGAAGCCCACTTGATCATGGTGGATAAGCTTTTTGACGTGCTGCTGGATTCGGTTTGCTGGTATTTTATTGAGGATTTTTGCATCAATGTTCATCAGGGATATTGGTCTAAAATTCTCTTTTTTTGTTGTGTCTCTGCCCGGCTTTGGTATCAGGATGATGCTGGCCTCATATTTAAAATGAGTTAGGGAGGATTCCCTCTTTTTCTATTGATTGGAATAGTTTCAGAAGGAATGGTACCAGCTCCTCCTTGTACCTCTGGTAGAATTCGGCTGTAAATCCATCTGGTCCTGAACTTTTTTGGTTGGTAGGCTATTAATTATTGCCTCAATTTCAGAGCCTGTTATTGGTCTATTCAGGGATTCAACTTCTTCCTGGTTTAGTCTTGGGAGGGTGTATGTGTTGAGGAATTTATCCATTTCTTGTAGATTTTCTAGTTTATTTGTGTAGAGGTGTTTGTAGTATTCTCTGACGGTAGTTTGTATTTCTGTGGGATCGGCGGTGATATTCCCTTTATCATTTTTTATTGCATCTATTTGTTTCTTCTCTCTTTTCTTCTTTATTAGTCTTGCTAGTGATCTACTTAAGCTGACAAGCAACTTCAGCAAAGTCTCAGGATACAAAATCAATGTGCAAAAATCACAAGCATTCTTATACACCAGTAACAGACAAACAGAGAGCCAAATCATGAGTGAACTCCCATTCACAATTGCTTCAAAGAGAATAAAATACCTAGGAATCCAACTTACAAGGGATGCGAAGGACCTCTTCAAGGAGAACTACAAACCATTGCTCAGTGAAATAAAAGAGGACACAAACAAATGGAAGAACATTCCATGCTCATGGATAGGAACAATCAATATCATGAAAATGGCCATACTGCCCAAGGTAATTTATAGATTCAGTGCCATCCCCATCAAGCTACCAATGACTTTCTTCACAGAATTGGAAAAAACTACTTTAAAGTTAATATGGAACCAAAAAGGAGCCTGCATTGCCAAGACAATCCTAAGCCAAAAGAACAAAGCTGGAGGCATCACGTTACCTGACTTCAAACTATACTACAAGGCTACAGTAACCAAAACAGCATGGTACTGGTACCAAAACAGAGATATAGACCAATGGAACAGAACAGAGCCCTCAGAAATAATACCACACATCTACAACTATCTGATCTTTGACAAACCTGACAAAAACAAGCAATGGGGAAAGGATTCCCTGTTTAATAAATGGTGCTGGGAAAACTGGCTAGCCATATGTAGAAAGCTGAAACTGGATCCCTTCCTTACATCTTATACAAAAATTAATTCTAGATGGATTAAAGACTTAAATGTTAGACCTAAAACCATAAAAACCCTACAAGAAAACCTAGGTAATACCATTCAGGCCATAGGCATGGGCAAGGACTTCATGTCTAAAACACCAAAAGCAATGGCAACAAAAGCCAAAATTGACAAATGGGATCTAATTAAACTAAAGAGCTTCTGCACAGCAAAAGAAACTACCATCAGAGTGAACAGGCAACCTACAGAATGGGAGAAAATTTTTGCAATCTACCCATTTGACAAAGGGCTAATATCCAGAATCTAAAAAGAACTCAAACAAATTTACAAGAAAAAAATAAACAATCCCATCAAAAAGTGGGCGAAGGATATGAACAGACACTTTGCAAAAGAAGACATTTATGCAGGCAACAGACACATGAAAAAATGCTCATCATCACTGGCCATCAGAGAAATGCAAATCAAAAGCGCAATGAGATACCATCTCACACCAGTTAGAATGGCAATCATTAAAAAGTCAGGAAACAACAGGTGCTGGAGAGGATGTGGAGAAATAGGAACACTTTTACACTGTTGGTGGGTCTGTAAACTAGTTCAACCATTGTGGAAGACAGTGTGGCAATTCCTCAAGGATCTAGAACTAGAAATACCATTTGACCCAGCCATCGCATTACTGGGTATATACCCAAAGGATTATAAATCATGCTGCTGTAAAGACACATGCACACGTATGTTTATTGCGGCTCTATTCACAATAGCAAAGACTTGGAACCAACCCAAATGTCCATCAACGATAGACTGGATTAAGAAAATGTGGCACATATACACCATGGAATACTATGCAGCCATAAAAAAGGATGAGTTCATGTCCTTTGTAGGGACTTGGATGAAACTGGAAACCATCATTCTCAGCAAACTATCGCAAGGACAAAAAATCAAACACCGCGTGTTCTCACTCATAGGTGGGAACTGAACAATGAGAATACATGGACACAGGAAGGGGAACATCACACACCAGGCCCTGTTGTGGGGTCGGGGGAGGGGGGGAAGGATAGCATTAGGAGATATACCTAATGTAAATGACGAGTTAATGGGTGCAGCACACCAACATGGCACATGTATACGTATGTAACAAACCTGCACATTGTGCACATGTACCCTAGAACTTAAAGTATAATAAAAAATAAATTAAAAATAAATGAATAAATACCAGGCAGTAACTTTGCTTCCATATCCTCTCTAAACAGAGGATGGACAGGGAAGTCTGACATGTGGCAAGCCGTCCCCACAGCATGCCTCCCAGCAGAAGGAAATTGACTTGTCTCATGAAGTAACTGTTTAAATTTATTGGGCAGTGCTGGGCTTTTACGTGGAGGGAAGAAACAACCCAAATGGAGAGGGAAACAATCCAAATAGAGAGGGAAGAGGATATTCACTTGGGGTGAAATATCCCCCTATGCAGTGCCATGAATGTCTATGATTGGGTACAAAAAGCCCTCACTAGGTGAAAATTTAGACTGAAATCCTGAAGTCCCCTCTCTCAAAGAAATCACAACGTCAGCAATTCTTTAAGTTACATTCCTGATTCCTAAGACACCAACTAACTCTAACCAGCAAGATTATATCTCCAGGTTGCAGAAACACCCACAACATTGTATATACAAAGAAGGGATAGGAGACGTGATAGCCAGAAGAGGAGAGAGGAAAATGCAGTAGGAAGGGACGGGAGGCTCTTGTGCCAACACCCTGATGAGCTGTTGGGGACTGGAGTCTAAGGTCCTTCAGATAACACTGGGGTGTAGCCCCAGCCAGAAATCTTCAGTTGTCCTAGGACCTCCTTCAAATCCCACACTATGGCTTAGAGCTTCTGTGAAAGGAAACTAGATTGTGATAGACTAGAAGTCTCAGAAATGAAAGTAAAGAGTTAAAGTAAAACATCTGCTCTTACTCACCTTTCTGATGAATTCTCTTTTTTCCAGCCAAATGCACCAAGTATATGTTGCAGTCTTACCAATGCACCGTAATGTAGCAGTTTCTCATTGTCCGAACTAGTACCACAGGTTCTTTGTCTTACATCCAAGAAAATTGAGGAACGCAGACACAAAGGTGTGGTTGAAGTGAAAGTTTAGTAAGTGAAATTAAAAAAGCTCTCTGCAGCAGAGAGGGGAGTCTGAGTGGATTGCCAGGTGTCATCTAAATTCAAAAGTTTTTATAAGAAACTCCTCTCATCTCTGTAGCAGTTTGAGTAACTTCTCTTATTAGTAAAGCTGCCTGTGCAACTCCCCTTACCTCATGCAAGCTGTGGATATGTCTCTAGGCAAGCACAAAGTGCCACTTCTCTTGTTTGCGTGGTGGGTTGTTTTTGATAAGCCCCACTCCTCCCTGAGCAAGTTCCCCCCACGTATATGACTGAAAAGGGGAGAAAACTCTTCCCTGGGAGCTCGCTAATTAGAAAAAGAAGAAAGAATGTCTGTGTTGGACCCTGTTTTGATTATCTGTCCAGGAGCAGCCTGAGTTTTCTTTTCCCCGGGTTGTTTTATTTTTGTCTGTTGCTGAGACTTTTCAGGCAGGCTGCTTCTGCAGACTGAATTTTCCCCCAAATGATTTTTTTCTTTCCTTCTCCCTCAGTATGATCATTTTCACAATATTTATTCTACCCATTCATGAGCATGGGATGCATTTCCATGTTTGTGTTATCTATGATTTCTATCAGCAGTGTTTTGTAGTTTTCTTTGTAGAGATCTCTCCTCTCTTTGGTTAGGTATATTCCTAAGTATTTCTTTTTTTGCAGCTATTGTAAAAGGGGTTGAGTTATTGGTTTGATTCTCAGCTTGGTTGCTGTTGGTGTATAGCAGTGCTACTTGTTTGTGTACATTGATTTTGTATCCTGAAACTTAACTAAATTTATTTATCAGATCAGGAGCTTTTTGGATGAGTGTTTAGGGTTTTCTATGTATGCAATTATATCATCAGCAAACAGTGACAGTTTGACTTCCTCATTACCAATTTGGATGCCTTTTACTTCTTTCTCTTGCCTGATTGCTCTGGCTAGGACTTCCAGTACTATCCTGAATAGAAGTGGTGAAAGTGGGCATCCTTGTCTTGTTCCAGTTCTCAGGGAAAAATGCTTTCAAGTTTTTCCTGTTCAGTATAATGTTGGCTGTGGGTTTGTCATAGATGGCTTTTATTACCTTAAGGTCTGTCTCTTTTATGACTCTTTTGCTGAAGGTTTTAATCATAAAGTGATGCTGGATTTTGTCAAGTGCTTTTTCTTCATAATTGAGATGAACATATGATTTTTTTGTTTTTTGAGACAGAGTTTTGCTCTTGTTGCCCTGGCTGGAATGCAATGGTGTGATCTTGGCTCATTGCAACCTCTGCCTCCTGGGTACAAGCTATTCTCCTGTCTCAGCCTCCCAAGTACCTGGGATTACAGGCACATGCCACCACACCCAGCTAATTTTTGTATTTTTAGTAGAGACGGGGTTTCATCGTATTGGTCAGGCTTGTCTCGAACTCCTGACCTCAGATGATCCGTCCACCTCAGCCTCCCAAAGTGCTGGGATTACAGGCGTCAGCCATTGCGCCTGGCTGATTTTTGTTTTAATTCTGTTTATGTGTTGTATCACATTTATTGACTTGCATATATACCAACTCTGCATTCCTGGTATGAAACCCACTCAATAATGGTGTATTTTCTTTTTGATATGCTGTTGAATTCAGTTAGCTAGGATTTTATTGAGGATTTTTGCATCTACGTTCATCAGGGATATTGGTCTATAGTTTTCTTTTTTTTTTTTAATGTCCTTTCCTGGTTTGGTATTAGGGGAATGCTGGCTTTGTATAATGATTTAGGAAGGATTCTCTATCTTTTGGAATAATTTCAGTAGGATTGATACCGGTTATTCTTTGCATACCTGATAGAATTCCACTGTGAATCTATCTGATATTGGACTTTTTTGGCATTTTTTTATTACTGTTTCAATCTTGCTACTTGTTTTTGGTCTTTTGAGAGTTTCTATTTCTTTCTGATTTAATCTAGGAGGGTAATACATTCATAGGAATTTATCCATCTCCTCCAGGTTTTCTAGTTTGTGTACACAAAGATGTTCATAGTATCCTTGAATGCTCTTCTGCATTTCTATGGTATCAGTTGTAATAACTCCCATTTCATTTCTAATTGAGCTTATTTAGATTTTCTCTCTTTTTTGTTGGTTAATCTTGTTAATGATCTATTGATTATATTTATCTTTTCAAAGAACCAGCTTTTTGTTTAATTTATCTTCTGTATTTTTTTGTTCTGATTTTATTTAGTTCTCCTCTGATCTTTGTTCCTGATATGGTTTAGATCTGTTTCCCTACCCAAATCTTATGTTGAATTGTAATCCCATTGTTGGAGGTGGGGCCTGGTGGGAGGTAACTGGATAATGGGGGCAATTTTTCATCAATGGTGTGGTACCATTTCTCTTGGTCATAAAAGTGAGTGAGTTCTTGTGAGATCTGGTTGTTTAAAAGTGTGTGGCGCCTCCTCACTCTCTCTCTCTCCTGCTTCTGGAAGTAAGATGAGGGAAAAAGTCTCTAACTTTGTAGAGACTTATTTAATGGTTGTGACCAAAATGCTGATAGTAATATGGGCAATGAAGTGCAGGCTGAAGAGGTCTCAGATGGAGATGAGGAAATTATTGGGAACTGGACTAAAGGTCACTTTTGCTATGGTTTAGCAAATAACCTGGCTGCATTGTGCCCCTGCTCTAGGGATCTGCGGAGCCTAGAACATGAAAGTGATGATTCAGGGTATCTGGCAGAAGAAATTTCTAAGCAGAAAAGTTTCCAAGATGTTGTCTGGTTTTTCCTAACAACCCATGCTCATAAGGATGAGTTAAGAAATGATCTGAAACTGGAGGTTATATTTAAAAGGGAAGCAGAGTGTAAAAGTTTCTAGGATTTGCAGCCTGATCATTTGGTAGAAAAGAAAAGCCCATTGGGTTGGTTGGTTAACATTAATTGTCAACTTTATTGGATTGAAGGATGCAAAGTATTGTTTCTGCATGTTTCTGGGAGGGTGTTGCTAGAGGAGATTAACATTTGAGTTAGTGGACTGGGAGAGGCAGACCCATCCTTTATCTGGGTGGGCACCATCCAGTCAGCTGCCAGCATGGCTAGAAAAAGCAGGCAAAAGAAGATGGAATGAGCAGACTTGCTGAGTCTTCTAGGCCTCATCTTTCTTCTGTGCTGGATGCTTCCTACCCTTGAACATCAGGCTCCAAATTATTTGGCTTTTGGACTTACACCAGTGGTGTGGAATGGGCTCTCAGGCCTTTGTCCGCAGACTGAAGGCTGCACTATCTGCTTCCTTACTTTTGAGGTTTTGGGACTCAGACTGAGGCACTGCTGGGTTCCTTGCTCCTCGGCTTTAAGACAGCCTATCATGAGACTTCACCTTGTGATCATGTGAGTCAATTCTCCTTAATAAACTCCTATTCATATATACATATATCCTGTCAGTTCTGCCCCTCTAGAGAACCCTGATTAATACACCCATTTTCAGGGGAGAAATTCAGCAGGCTGTAGAAATTTGCATAAGTAAAGAGAAGCTGAATGTTGATAACAAAAATAATGAGGAAAATGACTCAAAGGCATTTCAGAGACTTTTGTAGCAGCCTCTCTCATCACAGGCCAAGAGACCTAGGAGGAATTAATGGTTTTATGAGCCATAACCAGGGTCCCACTGCCCTGTGCAGCCTCAGGACACTGCTTTCTGCATCCCAGCCGACCCAACTTTAACCATAGCTGAAAGGGGCCCAGGTAGAGCTGGGACTGCTGCTTCACAGGACACAAGCTGTAAGCTTTGGCAGCTTCCAAATGACGTTAAGCCTGCAGGGGCACAGAGTGCAATAGTTGAGGCTTGGGAGCCTCCACCTAGATATCAGAGGATATATGGAGAAGCCTGGATGTTCCCACAGAAGCCTGCTACAGCAGTGGAACCCTCATTTAGAACCTCTACTAGGGCAATGCAGAGGGGAAATGTGAGGTTGGAGCCCCCACACGGAGTCCCCACTAGGACACTGCCTACTGGAGTGAGAACACGGGGGCCACCATCCTGCAAACCCCCGAATTTTAGATCCAATATCAGCTTGCATCCTCTGTGTGAAAAAGCTGCAGGCACTCAATGCTGGCCTGTGAGAGCAGACATAGGGGCTGACCCCTGCAAAGCCACAGTGGTGGAGCTTCCCAAGGCCTTGGGAGTCCACTCCTTGTACCAGTGTGCCTGGCTGTGGGACATGGAGTCAAAGGAGATTATTTTGGAGCCTTAAGATTTAATAACTGCACTGCTAGGATTTGGACTTGCAAGAGGCCTGTAGCCCCTTTCTTTTGGCCAATTTGTTCCTTTGAGAACACAAGTATTTACTCAATGTCTGTCACCACATTATATCTTGGAAGTAACTAACTTGTTCTTGATTTTACATGCTCATAAGCAGAAGGGATTAGCCTTGTCTCACCACTTATATTCTGTATGGTACTAGAAGTCCTAGCCAGAGCAGTTAGGCAAGAGAAATTAATAAAAGGCATCCAAATAGGAGAAGAAGCCAAACTATCATTCTTTTGTGACAATATGAGTCTATACTTAGAAAATCCTAAAGACTCTGCCAAAAGGCTCCTAGAAATGATCAGCTACTTCAGTAAAGTTTCAGGATATAAAATTATTGTACAAAAGTCAGTAGCACTTCTACACACCTATAATGTTCTAGCTGAGAACCAAATACATAACACAATTTCAGTTATAGTAGCCACACACACACAAATAAAATACTTAGGAATATATCAAATTAAAGAAGTTAAAGATCTCTACAAGGAGAACTACAAAACACTGCTGAAAAAAATTAGAGATGACACAAATAAATGGAAAAATATTCCATACACATGGATTGCAATCACTAATGTAGCTGAAATGGCCATCCTGCCCAAAGTGATTTACATATTTAATGTTATTTCAATAAAACTACCAATATCATTTTTATAGAGTTTTCACAGAGAAAGCTATACTAAGATTCATATGGAACCAAAAAGAGCCCAAATAGTCAAAGCAATCCTTAGCAAAAACAACAAAGCTGGAGGCATCACATTACTTGACTTCAAACTACACCACAAATACATAGTAACTAAAACAGCATGGTAGTAGTACAAAAACAGACTCATAGACCAATGGAACCGAAGAGAGCTCAGAATTAAAGCTGTACATTTACCACGCCCTGTTCTTTGACAAACTTGACCAAAAAAAGCAATGGGGAAAGGACTCCCTATTCAGTAAATAGTGAGGGGATAACTGGCTATTCAAATATAGAAGAATAAAACTGGACCCCCTACATATAACCATATACAAAAAATAAGGTGGATTATAGACTTAAATGTAAGACCTCAAACTATAAAAATTCCAGAAGAAAACCTAGGAAGTACCCTTCTCATTATCAAAGGAGGCAAATAATTTATGGCTAAGTCTCCAAAATCAATTGTGGCAAAATCCAATTTGCTAAATGAAATCTAATTAAATTAAAGAGCTTCTGCATAGCAAAAGAAACTATCAACAGAGCAACAAAAAACCTACAGAATGGGAGAAAATATTCACAAACTATGTATCCAACAAAAAAGTCTAATATCCAGAATCTACAAAGAAACTTAAATAATTCAACGAGCTAGTAGCAAATAACCCCATTAAAAAGTGGGCAAAAGATATGAACAAACACTTCTCAAAAGAAGACATACAAGTGGCTAACAAACACATGAAAGAAAGCTCTGTGTCACTAATCGTAAGGGAAATGCAAATGAAGCTCACAATGAGATACCATTGCATACCAGTCAGAATGACTTTTGTTAAAAAGTAAAAACAGGCTGGGCACGGTGGCTCACACCTGTAATCCCAGCACTTTGGGAGGCCAAGGCAGGCGGATCACAAGGTCAGGAGTTCGAGACCAGCCTGGCCAGCATGGTGAAACCCTGTCTCTACTAAAAACACAAAAAATTAGTTGAGCATGGTGGCACACGCCTGTAGTCCTAGCTACTTGGGAGGCTGAGGCAGGAGAATTGCTTGAACCCAGCAGGCGGAGGTTGCAGTGAGCTGAGATTGGGCCATTGCACTCCAGCCTGGGTGACAGAGCGAGAATTCATCTCAAAAAAAAAAAAAAAAGTAAAAAACAGGTGTTGGCAAGGCTGTGGAAAACGGGGGACACTTATACACTGTTGGACAGAATATAAATTAGTCCAGCCACTATGAAATGGAATTTTAAGATTTCTCAAAGAACTAAAAGTTGAACTACCATTTGGCCCAGTAATCTCATCATTGAGTATATATTCAAAAGAAAATAAATATTTCTACCAAAAGGACACATGCATGTTCATCACAGTGCTATTCACAATAGCAGAAACATGGAAACATCCCAGGTGCACATAAATGGTGGATTGGATATAGAAAATGTGGTACATATACAGATGAAATACTATGCAGCCATAAAAAAGAACAAAGTCATGTCCTCTGCAGCAACGTGGATGCGGCTGGAGGCCCTTATCCTAAGCAAACTAATGTAAAAACTGAAACAAGAAATACCGCATGTTGTCACTTATAAGAGGAAGCTAAACAATGGGTACCTGTGGGCATATGTATGGGAACAGTAAACATTAGGGACTACCAGAGAGGGGAGGTAGGGACAGGGAAAGGGTTGCAAAACTCTTGAGTACTATGCTCACTACCTGGATGATGGGTTCAATTGTACCCCAAACCTCAGCATCACACAATACAACTCTGTAACAATCCTGCACATGTACTTCTTCATTCTAAAATAAAAGTTGAAAAAGAAAAAAGTACATTTATATGATGAAAGACTGAACAATCTTAGTGTAAAATGTAAATAGAAAATATAAAAATAACAATATATAACACAAACAAAAAAGATTAATCTTTTTAAAAAGTATATCATTATGGAGTAAAAAAATGCTTGTTTAGAAGATCAATTTTCTTATTGGAAGAAACTCCTACAAAGAAAGGCTGGAAAAATTTTAACCGAAAACTTTCAACTGGTTTTAGGGTTATGAGAAAGGAAGTTATAAAGCAAGTCAGTTCCTGTCTATTGGTTTGGTAAATCTTCAGACTACCTATTCCACTGATGATCTTGGACCTATGGCTGTAACTTTTATTCAGAACCAGCAAAAGGTTTGCTTTCCAAATATCTTTAGTGTATGAAAGTAAGCTTTAAGTGCCCTGTGGACATCCAGAATTACAATCTGAATTCAGAGGAATACCAAGATATAGGCTGTAACACAGGTAAAGATATTTTCCAAATTACGTGGACGTTGGAAGCAAAGTTTGGCAAAAATCCCAGAACTATTTTTATTACTGTTTTGTTCAGGAAAAGATAAATTTGTATAAAGGCTATGAATATGAGAACATGAAGCTGAAAAATGCACTGAGCCAACTATGTAGAAGCTGGAAGACAAGAATAAGATTAAAAGACAAAGAGGCATGGTAACTGATGGCTGAAAAGAAGAGTCTGTCATCAAGTTTCAAACAGTATTTAGGTCTTCCAATGGAAGAAGTGTTTTTATATGGAGTCAAATGATGAACAGTCCTCCAGAAAATGACATTAAATCAAGATGAGGAAAAAGTTTTCTCTTAATGAATCACCAAACTACTGACATAGAGACGTACTTGCTTTTGAAAGGGTCCTAGTCACTTTTAGGTTAACTGTATAAGAGTAAAATATTATGAAATCTGGAACTTACTTTACAATAACCTTCTTTTTTCCACCTCCATGAATATCCATGCCCCAAACACCCTATATAGCTATTATTGGAATCTCTCTCTCTCTCTCTCTCTCTCTCTCATACACACACACACACACACATATCAGGATGGATATAGACATCCTGATAAAAATTACCTGTAT
Organism: Homo sapiens; assembly: GCF_000001405.40. Lineage (NCBI taxonomy): Eukaryota > Metazoa > Chordata > Mammalia > Primates > Hominidae > Homo > Homo sapiens. Next base: position 125,800,360 of record NC_000023.11, read on the forward strand.
ATGAATGATTGCTTCACACAGAAAGTTTATCTATATGTGAAGAACAATAAGATTATTTTACTGTTTATTTAAAAAGATCTATAATTTTAAGGAAAATATTGCATCATGATGTTAGCATAAAATGTAAATTGGTTTAGATAATACAAGAACTAATTAGTTACCAACAATTAGTATTAAGTAACTCAATCCTTACCTTCTCCTTCTTCCCCCAATGCTATACAAACACAATACATAAATTTTGATTAAATAGTTTATATAATTTAAGATTAAAAAATACTACCCTCAAGCTTATGCTCTTAAGATAAATAATATGGCTTTAAACATGCACACATTAGAAGATAGGAAACAATCATGATAAATTTTAATTTGAAAAGCTTCATGTTCTGAGGTAAAATTTGAATATACAGAGTGGGACTTCAATTGTTTTTGTTTATTTGCTTGTAACAGCATATTAAAAATATAAAGAAAATAATCTAAGATATTGCCAGTAGCAAAACTGTTAGTAATATTTATATTTTATGTGATTTCCAATTTTATATAATGAACACCTTTAGTGAAAAAAATACATTTAATTTTTGAAGTATATTTAAAATTTTTGATGTGATTCAAAAGTGCCATGTTTTGAGAAAGAAGAATGAGAGGTAAATAGTAGGAAATAAAAGAAAGAAACTAGAAAAAATATTGAACAAATAAGAAAGGGTGGATCCTATTGAAGAAGAAAAAAAAACAGTGATGGAATTTCAAGAATAAAAGTGCTAGCAGGTGTTAAATCCTCCACTAATCTCTGCAGGACAACAAGGGGACTCAGAGTCATTAAGAAAACTAGGGGGATCCTCTGTGCAGTAGACTAATTGTTCCTTTTAAGGGGCTTCCCATTCAGTTGGAGATGTACACTTGAGACTAAAGACTTATGACTAAACATTTACCAAACAACTGACCATTTTTAGTCCAAAAAGAAGACAGCGTAAAGTATGCCGATATTGAGAGAATACACAGGGAGGATGTAAAGAAAAATGACTAGAGGGTTAGGATATGGAGACAGATTTTTAAGGAAGGAAGGCACATAGATTGGTAGAGATGAAGAGTGAAGAAATTTTAACTGGAGAATAGAGCATAGAAAAACACAAATTTAGGAATAGATAAGATATGCTGGAGGTATAGTGAAATGGTAGTAGACGATGCAAGAACATTCTTACTTCCATATCTCTTACTTGAAGTTGCTGTGAGTGGTAATGGTGAAAAAGAGAGAGGTCCTATGAGTTGAATGATAGTGATTTCAAACAAAGATATTTACATGTGTTCATGTATTTACTCATTGAAGAAACATTTATTAACAGCCACTGTGTGCCAAACATCCTTGAAGGCATTGGGGTTAAAGGAATTAATAACAGAAAAATAAATTTGTGCCCTAGTTTGCTTAGGTTCTAAAGAGAGTAGACAAGCAAATATATAATTAAAATATATAGTATGTCAGATTTTTTAGCATCATTAAAAACAGGAACATAATCGTACCATGGGGTCTCATGTAATATGCTACCCATTGCTGCTTCTTGGTGGATAATATCAATTAAGAGATTTTAATAAAATATGTCACATATGAGCCTTGCCTTAAAATACTGGGTCTTAATGCCTTGTATTGTGTATAAGACAAGAACGACTCTTGTTACTAAGACGATCTGTTACTAATTGGAATAATGACACTAGAAATACGATTTACTTTTGTGTGTCAAAACAAAGGAAACAACATGATGTCAGAGATGTCAAAACAGCAAGACATTATTTATTCTTATTCTCTTTACATCTTTGGGTTGTTGAAATTGAGCTTTTCAAATTTGGGGAACTGAATACAGTTAATCTGTGGGCTTCCTGAAATTGTAGAAATGAATACCAATAATCTATAGAATTGCACTCCTCCCAGGAATACAGTTAAGGTGTTTGTTGGGGGTGGGAGCAGGCAATGATACAGAAAGGTGTTTGTGAATCACATTCAATCTGAGTGAAATTAGCCTGCTAGCATTTCAAATATCAGTTGCTATTAGCATTTCCATGTAGTTCTACGCACACATCTGGATATGAGTCTCTCAGGTTATACTCAGAAGTGAGTAACTGTATGGAGGGAAGTACACAACTCTTGTATGTAACCTACACAAAAATCAATTTCCATTAACAAGAGTCTTGTCTTCATGGACTATAGGGAGCGTGAAGTTGCTATATGGAAAATTTGTTCACTTTTTAAAACATTTCCAAGATACAACGAAAAATAGTATCACTAACATGACCAAAAGTAGAGGCATTCAGACAAAAATACCATCCTAATTTAAAAAATTGTTTTTCAAAACAAGATAGATGAAACACCATTTAGGCAGACTATTCAAGAAGACCTTGACAGTGGCAGCACGTGGAGGTTTATCTTTATAAAGAATAAATTGATTCTGAACAATTTTTCCTACAATCTAGACTAGGATGAAGCATCCTCTTCTTCAGCATTACCCATCCATGCTATTTTGTTCTCTTTAGACTTTTGGAAATAGAGGGATACACACAGGTACATAAACAAATGATATTTTTGTGTTTTGGAAAATCCTGGGGCACTTATTAGGCTGCCAAAGGAGAACCTGCTGAGTACTGATACACTTTTGTCTACTTCATCAACTCATCTGACAACACATTTTCATTTAGAACTCTTTTATGTTGACTTTCTTCACCCAAATTTTAAAGATCATTTTTTTAAGGATCCTGCTTATTGCCTATCATTGCTAATAAATAATTTTTTAAATCTCATTTTTGATCGGTTTTAGTGTTCCAATTCAGGATGCATTCTGTTTATTTCCAGTGTGTATTGTACAGGTTATAATCTAATTCTGAATTAGACTTAATGGTAAAATTAGCTGGTTTATTTCAACACATATTAGAGATGCCTATGTAATACTGACTGGTACATGATATACATGAAAATAATATGTGTTAAAGGAAGATGTACTTACCAAAAATAAATTTACAATATTATTACTAAATCAGAAGTATTAAAAAATTGTTAACTATTCATGTAGCAGATCTATTTAAGCACAGTTACCAAAAAAACTTTCTCTGTTTATTATATTGTATGCTGCATTAATAATTATGAGGTGAAAAAAACATTTGAAATAGAGGAAATTCTAGTTAAACTTATGTGCCTTTGAAATATTCATGGCTTTTTTTCTTCAATAGAATTTCCCTTCTAAACCATAGTTTGCTTAAGAGGCTATTAATTTTACTCACTGGAGCAAAGTAGCATTTGAATTCCCATTCATTAATTAATTTACTTCTTATTAGGCACCTAGTTTGTGCCAGGGCCCTTACTGTGTGCTGGGGATATAATATGAATAAAACAGTCTTTACACTTGTGATGCTCACATTCTAGTTGAGGTGACAGATATAAAAATAAATAACCAAACAATGCAGTAACTGATGTAATACAGGTACAAACGCTTCTTCTCCCGTCTCCCAACAAAAGAGACCATGGTATACAGTGGTAAATTCTTTAAGGTGGGTGGGAGTTGAGAAGGTTCTTCAGAGAACAAATTATATGAACTTTACCTTAAGTAATACATACACCTGCTAGTTTGAAAAGGAATTTATGAAAAATTGCTCTACATCACTAATCATTAGAGAAATGCAAATCAAAACGACAGTGAACTACCATCTTACACCAGTCAGAATGGTTATTATTAAAAGGTGAAAAAATAACAGATTTCTGGCAAAGTTGTGGAGAAAAGGGAACATTTATACCCTGCTGGTTATAATGTAGGTTAATTTAGCCATGTGGAAAGCAATGTGGCAATTTCTCAAAGAACGGAAATACTATTTGACCCAGTGATCCCATTATTGGATATATGCTAAAAGGAATATAAATTGTTCTACCATAAAGACATATAAATGCATATGTTTATGGCACTATTCTCAATAGCAGAGTCATGGAATCAACCCAAATGCCCATCAGTGGTAGACTGGATAAAGAAATTGTGCTATGTATATACTATGGAATACTATGCCGCCACAAATGAAAAATGAGATTATGTCATTTGCAGTGACATGGATGGAGCTGGAAGCCATAATCCTAAGTGAACTAACAGAAGAAACCAAGACAAAATACCACATGTTGTTACTTATAGGTGGAAGCTAAGCACTGAGTACAGATGGACACAAAGAAGAGAACAACAGACACCAGGGGCTACCTGAGGATGGAGAGTGAGAAGAGAGAGAGGATTGAAAAACTACCCTATGGAGTAATATGCTTACTATTTTGGTGGCAAAATAATATGCACACAAAACCCTCAGGACACACACTTTACTTATATAATGAACCTGTACATAACAAATCTGTACTCCTGAACCTAAAATAAAAGTTTAAAACAAAGAAAGAAAGAAAATTTCAACAAAGCATTCAGAATGTTACATAAACGTAGTTGATAAAGCAGCAGCATGGATTGAGAGGATTGTCTGCAATTTTGAAAGAAGTTCTATTGTGGGTAAATGCTATCAAACATCATCAAATGCTACAGAGAAATCTTTAGTAAAAGGTAGAGTCAATCGATGCAACAACCTTCATTGTTATCTTAAGAAATTGCCACAGCCACTCCAACCTTCAGTAATCACCACCCTGATCAGTCAGCAGCCATCAACTTTGAGGCAAGACCACCCTCCACCAGCAGAAAGATTAAGACTTAATGAAGACTCAGGTAATCATTAAATTTTTTTTTTAGCAATAAAGTATTTTTGAATTAAGGCATGTACTTTTTAAAGACATAATGCTATTGTACACTTAATGTACTATAATATAGTGTAAACATAACTCCCAAATCCCTGGGCTTACAGATATGAACCACTGAACCTGGCTTTGTCTGATTCACTTTATTGTGATATTTGCTTTATTGCTGTGGTCTGGAATGGAATTCACAATATGTTTGATATATGCTTGTATAAAATTTAATCTTGTACTCTCTCTTCTGTTTAGAATATTTTTAAAAAGTATTTCTGCATAGACTGGGTGCTGGACTGAAAGGTTGCCATGTTCATTTTAGCTCAAATGTCTGTAAGTCACAATATTTTATGCTACAAGCTGACTATAGCAAGCCCATCTATGAAAAGAACCAAGCAGTAAGGGCTGGTCAGAATTTCATTCTCAAAGTGTTGTTAGAAAGAATACAGGAATATATATTCATCCCTTCTGAGTACTGCAGTGAGCTAATAAAAGAGCTAATAAATGGACTATGGTAAACAAGAGGCCATGTTGCAATAATATCCCATTACCACCATTCCATAAAAGAGGAAGATATTGCCTAAAATGGGAGGTTAGTATGGAGATTGACAAATGTATTTGGTGGTTTAGAAAGTTAATTACAAACTATGCTTGGAGTGAGCTTCAGGTGAGTTGGACACTTACTTTTCTGCAAATCTTAAAGTAAAACAAGAAGGGGGTTCTCTTTCCTAGGATTCTTAGAACATTATCTAGAAAGAGAAGTGTAACAAGAAAATAGGAAGAGCTCATACACAAAGAAATAAAATTTCACATAATATAATTTATTTGCACATCATCTCTTTGTCTAAAAGCTTATTGTCATGTTTTCTTGGGACTGTATCATTCTCTTAAGGTAGAAGTAGTCCTCTGTTGTTGAACACATGGAAGCATAGTGTGGGGTGGTGGTTACCAGAGGCTGGGGGATGGGAGAACTGGGGAGATGTTGGTCAAAGGAAAAAAGCTTTCAGTTAGGTAAGAAGAATAAATTCAAGAGATCTATTGGATATCATGGTGATGATAGTTAAAATCTATATATTTTATACTTGAAAATTGTGAAAAGAGTAGATTTTATGTTCTCCCTACAAAAAAGATGAGATAATGTATATATTAATTATCTTGATGTAGTCATTTTACAATGTATACATGTATTAAAACATCATGTATACCATAAATATATACATTTTTATCTGTCAATTAAAATTTTTAAAAATAAAATAGATAATAAAAAAGAAGTTTAAAGTGATATGGGAGTTATTTCAAGTAGAGAAAATATAATAGAAGTATGAAAAGGGGTAGAACATTCAAAAATGGAGAGGAATATCAGAGAGAAGTAATATAATATAATAGTCTGAGCTGCAGGGAGAGGCCAACATGAAATATTGTTCTTGCAGTATGCACAGGAAGATATTTGAATCCTGATGTGTGTGTGTGTGTGTGTGTGTGTGTGTGTGTGTGTGTGTGTGTGTTTACCTACATGCATGCTGCATTTGTGAGACTTCATGAATAAGTAGAGGGTGATACATATGTAACTTAACCCTGTTTCATATGTTCTGTGTTATAGATGTATCCATGTTTTCTCTTTTATACTGAATTTATGCTCAGATATTAAAAGATACTATTACATGTGATTTGCTTTTTAAATGAAGACAAGCATTTAATAAAGTCACCCTTGGATATTCTAGAAATAGAAGGATGAAAATTATTTCATGGATGGACTTAATTTCATGCATGCACTTTTCCACTAGTGGAACCATCCACACTAGTTATGTTTCACTTTTATTTATTTATTTTTTGCTGAATTTTTATTTTATTTTATTATTATTACACTTTAAGTTTTAGGGTACATGTGCACAATGTGCAGGTTAGTTACATATGTATAAATGTGCCATGCTGGTGTGCTGCAATAAACTAGCAAACAATATATTCTAAAGTGTTCTGAAAAAGTAAATATGAACTCATATTATTGGGAGACTCTGGTATTTGGGTTAGACATTTAGAAATTTAAATGTATTTTCTGTTTTGGACTATGAAGGTGAATGCCATTGATATGAAGAATTATTCTCCCCCTACTGTTTCCATGTCTCCTATAAAATGCACTTTAGCCCTTGTACTGCTGAATGACAACATTTTACACTTCATAAGCTGTATCCTGAAAATTCAGGCTATGACATTTGTTATGATGTCACTAATGCCACAGATTGATATCTTGGGTTCTTTTCAACCGAGATTCCAATTGCTTGCAAGAGATGGGCCTAAATAATGCTTGCTCCTAAGTCAATTATTTGAAAGTAGAACCCATAATGTGAGATTTACTATGATACTCTTAACTTTGTAGTGAATTGAAGTGTTTGTAGCATCAGTAAAATTGACTGATAGTTTCTTATACCACCAGAACTTCTACAGAGAATAAGACATTTATGTTCAGAAAAGCAGCAAGGTCAAACAACTACAAAAGGTGGATGGGAAATGCTACTTTTGATTTTATAAAAATACTGAAAGTAGATTACACAAATGCTTTGCTTCAAGGAAGTGAATGTATGGGAAAGAAAATGCTGACAGAAAGGGAAGAAGATAAGGCAAAACAGATTCATGGGGCACTGGTTTGAAAAGTAAATAGATGAAAATTGGTTCAGATAATCTAGTTGATGTCTTATAATATTTTATTTGGGGGATGAATTTATTAGATATACTCCTTTTTGGAAGGTGCAAATACTACCATATGTAAGGAAGAAATCACACAGCCAACAATAGTCAAAGGGGGAAAAATAATACTCTTAATCTATTCAGTCTGTTCCTTCATTCTATAAAATGGACACCAAGTTGTCAAATTTGCATAAGGAAGTACTTCATGTGAGGACTGAAGAGTAGTTTCTTCCTCCTCCTACCACCATATATAAATTATTAGAGTAGTTTTCTCCCATGCATAACTTTGGTAGAGTGCATTATTTTCCCCTGTGAGAATGAAAGAGCTGAACCCTGCTATAGGCTTCTTTCTTCCAACACAGATATATATATTCTATAGTATCAAAGCCCAATGCTAACATGTAGCACAGTGATTTTATATTTTATGTGAGTTTGCTACTTTTCCAAAAAAAGTTCGAATTCATTCCCCTAAGCATGTCCTTTTTGTAAATAATTCCTCACTTTCTCTCTTTAGTTTTCAAAAGGCTTTAGGTGATCTAGTAACTCCTCCTTACTCATATTCTCCCTCAATCTTATCAGGTAGTCACTAATTATATAGAAGGCTATAATTCCTGACAGACAAATTTGTCCATTTACTTGGTTCTGATTCCTATGATATTCCAATAATTGCATTGCACATTAGTAAGATTCTAGGCAGGTCTGTGGGGCTCTTCTACTGAGAGTCTTAATTAAACTTGCTCTAAATTAAAACAGACTTTGCTAAGACTCTTGTCAGTCCAGCTTTACAGGCTTGCCTGAGACACAGGAGGCAATGCCACTATCAGTGGAAGCATGACAGGGATCAGGACCTATGCATTGGACTTGATGATTCACTGGGATATAATTTATTACACCTACTAGACCTGCTAATATGATGGAAGACAAGCAGGGGAGTAGGAAGATTAGGAAAGAATATATAATATTGGGACAAAGAATAAAATTATATAATCTCACAGTGCTACTACATGTTTTTCCCCAAAACAAAATGGAAACAAAAGCTTTATTTTATAGTATGAAGAAACTGGAAGAACAATTAAGCATCTAGTGAATCTCCTAGGTTTTAATTTATTGAGGTTAGCACTGGCCTTTGTCTTCAAAGCCCAATCAACATTTTACAAAATTATCTGTTGACCACTCATCATTTAATCATGCCAGTTAATGACCAAATTCCTTCTATAATTCAATGACCTCATGTTCTCTTCATTCAATACTTAGGAAAACTGTTCTCCGAAAACGATCTAATTAATTAATTTACACTAATGTATGAATATAATAAGGTTTAAATTATTATGTTTTCAGAGTTATTTATATTTTGACTGAAAGGAAAACCCCTGCTTAGTTTAATACCAAACTACAAATCTGGAAATATGAAATTTCAAATTTGGTATGCTTTATTGGAACAATGTTTTCTTCTGGAATATCTTGTTCTGGTTATGGATCAAATTTTTCATCATAGTAGCTCATGCCTATACATAAATTTTATTTAGTTGAAATCTACTAGATTATTTAACAGGCAGTCATATTCCTCTGAATTGTGTGAAGTTTTTGTATAGAAAAACAACAATGACAATAACAACAGCAACAATAATTAATTTTGCTTTTGCATTAGTTAAGGTTCTCTAGAGGGACAGAACTAATAGAATAACATATATATATATATATCTATATCTATATCTATATATAAAATACATATATATCCAAATATATATATAAAGGGGAGTTTATTAAGTAGTATTAACTCACATGATCACAAGGTCCCACAGTACTCCGTCTGCAAACTGAGGAGCAAGGAGGCCAGTCCAGAGTTGGAGTGTGATGTTTGAGGGCAGGAAGCATCAAAGCATCAAACCAGCATCAAACTAGCACAGGATAAAGATGTAGGCTGGGGGGTGGCTAAGCCAGTTTAGCCTTTTCATGTTTTTTCTCCCTGCTTTGTATTTTCTGGCAGTTGATTAGATGGTGCCCCCCCCAGATTAAGGGTGGGTCTGCCTTCCCCAGCCCACTGTCTCAAAAGTTAATCTCCTTTGGCAACACCCTCACAGACACACCCAGGATCAATAGTTTGCATCCTTCAATCCAATCAAGTTGACCCTAAGTATTAACCATCACAAGTCCAATCCTTGTCAACTTGAACTCATACACATCTCCTGAAATCATACATAATCTTCAAATAAAGACAATAATAAGGTCATAATTACACCTAACATAATACAACTATCCTTCATACAACTGTAAACTCACCAATCCCCAATACAAATGCTATTACATAAGTCAACAATATATAATGCTGGTATGAAGTCAATAACTCTTAAGTCACAAGATAGAGGAAAAAGGAAATAAAATGAAGATATTTTCTTAGTACAAATGTATACATGCACAAACGTTTTTAACAAAAGAAGTAGGAAATACTCATGACAATTACAGTTCTCATTTCTGCAACTGGTCACGCGGTCATAGCTGGTATTGATGACTACCTTCTTCCATTACCCATTCTGTATTCCCTTTGGTTATTTTCCTTGTGGTGTGACCCAAACCTTCATTACTAAGGAGTCTGAGCCATTTGCTGTCTTGCCTGGATTGAGCTATTGTAGTTTCCCACTGACCTTAATCACAGAGCATGGTAATACTAAGAGACACCCTAGTGGATCTCCTGTATTCCATTCATACTCTTCCTTACCTCCATTATGGAGTACTAGACTGATTTCATCTTGATAGTCCAGGTCAATCACCCCATCCAACACTGTAACTCCTTTCTTAGCCAGTTGACTTAAAGGTAAGAGGAGCCCAAAGTGTCCACTTCCTTATGTAACTTACTTGTGCCTTCAGCTTACTTCCAGTTTAATGGAATCATGCTTGTGTCTCCTGGTGGCAGTGTTCCTCCCTCTGGAACTAAGACCTATAGGCCAGCAGAAGGTAATGTTGCAGGAACAGGAAGCAAAAATTTTGCTACTTAGTCACTAGAGGTGATGGTGAGTGGCGGCACTTTCACTTCTCCCCCTTGATTCCTGGACCCATGAATCCTGGCTATGGGAGAAACAGTATTGGATGCTGATTCAGAGTACACATGGCCCTCTGGAGAACTTTTCCCCAGCTCTGCAAAGTATTGTCACCTAGTTTGCATTGTAATTGAGACTTCAAAAGGCCATTCCACCGTTATATCAATCCAGATGCTTCAGGATGATGGGAAACATGGTAAAACCAGTGAATTCCTTAAGCATGAGCCAACTACTGCATTTCTTTAGCTGTAAAGTGAGTGCCTTGGTCAGAGACAATGCTATGTGGAATACCATAACGATGATTAAGGCATTCTGTGAGTCCGTGAATGGTAGTCTTGGCAAAAGTTTTGCATGGAGGATACGCAAACCCATATCCAAAGTAAGTGTCTATCCCAGTGAGGACAAACCTCTGCCCTTTCTATGTTGTAAGAGGTCCAATATAATCAAACTGCCACCAGGTAGCTGGCTGATCACTCCAAGGAATGGTGCCATATTGCGGTCTCAGCATTGGTGTCTGCTGCTGGCAAACTGGGCACTCAGCAATGGCTGTAACCAGGTCAGCCTTGGTGAGTGGCTGTTACTGAGCCCATGTGTAACCTCCATCCCTGCCACCATGGCCACTTTGTTCATGGGCCCATTGGGCGATGACAGGGGTGGCTGAGAAAAGAGGCTGAGTCGTGTCCACGGAACAGGTCATTATATCAAGTTCATTATTAAAATCCTCCTCTACTGAGTTCACCTGTTGTTGAGTACTCACATGGGATATAAATATCTTCACAGTTTTTGATCACTTAGAGATGTCCATCCACAGACCTCTTCCCCAAGTGCCTTTGTCACCAATTTTTCAATCATGCTTCTTCCAAGTCCTAGACCATCCAGCCAAACCATTGGATACAGCCCATGAATTAGTATCTAATCACACATCTGGTCCTTTCTCCTTCCATGGAAAGTGCACAACAAGTTGCACTGCTCAAAGTTCTGCCCTGGGAAGATTTCCCTTCAGCCCTGTCCTTCAGAGATGTCCTAAAAAGGGGCTGTAGTGCTGCAGCTGTCCACTTTCGAGTGGTGCCTGCGTATCATGCAGAACCATCTGTGAACCAGGCCCTAATCTTCTATTTCTCTGTCAATTGATCATAGGGAATGTCCCATGAGACCATCAGCACAGGCTGGGGAAGACAAGGCAGAGTGGCAGGATTGGAGACCATGGGCATTTGAGCCACTTCCTTACGTAATTTACTTGTGCCTTCAGGACCTGCTCAAGCCCGATTACGTATATACCACTTCCATTTGGTGATGGAATGCTGCTGTGCACGACCCACTTTATGGATAGATAGTGTCAGAAAGCACCAAGTTCATGATAGGCAGCTCAGGGCGCATGGTGACTTGATGACCCCTAGTGAAACGTTCAGTTTCCATCAAAGCCTAGTAACAGGCCAAGAGCCGGTTCTCAAAAGGAGAGTAGATATCTGCAGTAGATTGCAGGGCCTTGCTCCCAAATCCTAGAGGCCTTCACTGTGATTCACCTATGGGGGCCTGCCAGAGGCTCCAAACAGCATCCATATCTGCCGCTGACACCTCAAGCACCATTTGATCTGCTAAGTCATATGGCACAAGTGGCAGAGTGTGATGGTTAATACTGAGTGCCAACTTGATTGGATTGAAGGATACAAAATATTGATCCTGCGTGTGTCTGTGAGGGTGTTGTCAAAAGAGATTAACATTTGAGTTGGTGGGCTGGGGAAGGCAGACCCACCCTTAATCTTGTGGGCACGATCTAATCAGCTGCCAGTAAATATAAAGCAGGCAGAAAAACGTGAAAAGGAGAGAATGGCCTAGGCTTCCAGCCTACATCTTTCTCCTGTGTGGGATGCTGCCTGCCTTCAAACATCAGACTTGAAGTTCTTCAGTTTTGGGACTCAGACTGGCTCTCCTTGCTCAGCAGCTTGCAGACACCCTGTTGTGAGACCTTGTGATCATGTAAGTTAATGCTTAGTAAACTCCCCTTTATATATATTTATATGTATATCCTATTAGTTCTGTTCCTCTGGAGAAATCTAACTAAAACACAGAGCAACTTGCACAGTAGCCTGGACCTATTGCAGAGCCTTCTCCTGTTCTGGACTCCACTAAAAAATGGTAGCCTTTTGGGTCACTTGATAAATTGACCAGATTAACACACCCAAATGTGGAATGTGTTGCCTCCAAAATCCAAATAGGCACACTAGGCCTTGTGTCTCTTTCTTGGTTGTAGGAAGGGCCAAATTCAGCAACTTATGCTTCACCTTAGAGGAAATACGTCGACAGTCCCCACACCACTGGACCCCTAGGAATTTTACTGAGGTAGAAATTCCCTGAATTTTAGTCAGGTTTATTTCCCATCCTCTGGCATGCAAATGTCACACAAATAATTACAGTGCGTTTGCTACTTCCTGCTCACTGGATCCAGTCAGCCCAATGTCATCTATGTAATGGACCAGGCTGATATCTTGTGGAAGCAGAAAGTGATCAAGGTATCTCCCAATAAGATTATGACACAAATCCAGAGAGTTGATATACCGCTGAGGTAGGACAGTAAAGGTATATTGATGGCCTTGCCAGCTGAAGACAAATTGCTTCTAGTGGGCCTTATGGACAGGAATGGAGGAAAATACATTTTCCAAGTCAATGGCTGCATGCCAGGTACCAGAAAATGTGTTAATTTGCTCAAGCAAAGAACCACATCTTTTACAGCAGCTGAAATTGGAGTCACCACTTGGTTAAGCTTACAACAATCCACTGTCATTTTCCAAGATCTGTTTCTCTTCTGCACAGGCCAAATGGGAGATTTGAATGGGGATGTGTTGTGAATCACCACCTCTGTGTCTTTCAAATCCTTGAGGGCGGGACTAATATTCACAATCCCTCCAGGGATGGAATATTGTTTTTGATTTACTATTTTTCTAGGTAGAGGCAGCTCTAATGGCTTCCATTTGGCCTTTCCCACCCTAATAGCCCTCACCCTACCAGACAGAGAGCCAATGAGGGTGTTCTGCCAATTATGCATTCTGACACTGAAGAAATGACCACAAGATGAGTATGGGGACACACTGGATCATCTCTGTGACATGAGCTAAAACTCTATTAATTACCTGACCTCTATAGCCCCTACTTTAACTGGAGGACCACTTTGACATTTTTTATCCCATGGAATCAACATTAGCTCAGAGCCAGCGTCCAGTAGTCCCAGAAACGTCTGATCATTTCCCCTTCCCCAATGCACAGTTACTCTGGTAAAAGGCCAGAGTTTTCTTTGGGGGAAGGATGGGAGAAACATTCACTGCATAAATTGTCGGTTACGTATTGTGGTCCTTTCTCAAGGGGACCCAGCCTCCCCTTCATTCAAGAGGTTCTGGGTTTATAAACTGGCTCAGGTCTGGAAATTGATTGAGGGGGCATGATTCTCTGTTTTTATAATTTAAATTAGTCTTTTGTCCATTCAACCTGGAAAGTTTTTGCTTGTGTAAATTAAGTAGAAATGCAGTAGGCTTTCTATTAATTTCACTTCTAGAAACACCGTGATTAGCTAGCCAATGCCAGAACTCTACAAAAGCCAGACTATTCTGATTGCCACTTTGCCTCTGATGTCCATTACCATAGCCATGCCCACTTTGCCTTTGACTATCAAGTGCTGCCGCTTGGTCCCTGCCACCCCGGGATCCAGTTACTCCCATTGTATTTAAATCTTGTAGTAGAGCCACTGCAGTGTCCACTGTTAGGTCTGACATACAGAGAAGAGCAATTACAGGGCTCTTCAAATACACAGGTGCTGCCTTCGCAAATCTCTTTCACAAGTGTTGTTCAAGGGTATATCTTCTGGACCCTCCCAGCTGGGATGAATCAGTGTAAAGTGACTAATCCACACCACCATCACAATCTCCTTCAGCTTTTGGATCCCTTCCTCTACATTAACCCATGGGAAATCAAGCATTTCCAGCTCACTCACAGTGGTCCATCTTTTAATCCACATCTTAGTGAACCAAGCAAATAAACTATTAGAACTTTTTTAAAATCCCTGAGCTGCAACATTGAATTCGGAATTCATACTAAGTGGGCCTGAATCAATAAATTCAGCCTGATCCAACTAAATGTTCTTTCCACCATTATGCCATACCCTTAATATCCATTCCCATGCCTATTCTCCAGATTTCTGTTTATGTAAATCAGAAAACTCAAGCAGTGCTTTTCAAGTGTGGTGCACCTCCTCATAGGTGACACTCAGATCTTCACCTCTAGGGGCCCACTGAGACTTTAGTCTAGTTATAGGTCTGGAAGCAAACAGAGGTGTTGGGGGTAGCTCCTGAGGAGAATCAACCTTATTTTGCCTGGCAACTGCCTCAGGGGAGGCCATCACTGTTGCTTCAGGCAGTGCAGAGTTTATCTCCTCAGACAAAGGTGGAAAGACTGATGGCAGCATGGGTCAGGAAGGGGATGTTGCCACTACTAGAATAAAGAAGCTGTTTTTTTTGTTTTTGTTTTTGTTTTTTATGGCAAGAAAAGTTCATCAGAGTTTACAAGCTCAGTGTCCCCAGCTTAATCAGAGTCCTTCCACATGTTCCTATTCCAAGTTGCAAGTTTACATTCTTTTTCAATCAATGTCCTCACTTTAACAGTAGATACCTGGCAAGGCTGGGTATGCACCTTTCATTGCAGGTAAGCCACTCGCATGATAAGAGCTTGTGTCTGATTTTCCACAATTTCATCTCTTTCTCTACAGGAGATAAGACTCTCACTCAGAGCAATCTTAGCAGATTTGAGGGAACACCCTCACAGATACACCCAGGATCAATATAATCAAGTTGACACTCAATATTAACCATCACAGCTTTTCATCCAGAACTGTATAAGTAAGAAAGAATGATATACTTCCATTAACAGGTAAAATATTTTTGAAATACCTCCTAAATTAAATTTATTTATTGGTAGGCCAATATCTCCCTTCAAACCTTTTCAATAAGTCATAGCCATCATATTGGTTTAGGAAAAAACAATATATAATGTTGAGCACATGCAAAACGTGAAACTTTTCCCATTTGGCCCAGGAATAATGGCAAAAAGTACTAGATAGACAGAAAGTAGAATTCCTCTTTTCACATCTGGGAGGATTCTGGAGAAAACAAGATAGAGCAATTTGAATAAAGTCAGATGTCAGGATTCTTATCCACATTCCCAACCCCCAACTCCAAATTGATTCGGAACTTCATGGTGTGTGAGTGTGTGTGTGTGTGTGTGTGTGTGTGTGTGTGTATTATGGTCGGTGTCTCTAGAGCTATCTAAGTATATATAGAAGAGATTTAAGATATTAAGCTTCGTGTCTCATTTTCTCAAGTATAGTAGGTAATATGGACTGAATTGTGTCTTGCCCAGATTTATTTATTGAAGCCCGCACCCCCAATGTGATTGTATTTGGAGATAAGATTTTCAAAAGGTTATTCAGATCAAATTAGGTCATAAATGTGAGATCCCCATCCCATAGAGCTGGTGACCTTATAAGAAGAGGAAGAGAAAGAGAAAGAAATTCATTTCCACCCCCAACCCCTGTACACAGAGAAAAAAGTCCATGTGAAGACACAGCTAAAAAGAAGCTGGTTTTCTGTTTGTTTGTTTGTTTTGAGACGGAGTCTCGCTCTGTCACCCAGGCTGGAGAGCAATGGCGCGATCTCGGCTCATTTCAACTTCTGCCTCCCAGGTTAGAGCTATTCTCCTGCCTCAGCCTCCTGAGTAGCTGGGATTACAAGTGTGTGCCCAGGTAATTTTTGTATTTTTAGTAGAGACGGGGTTTCACCATGTTGGTCAGGCTGGTCTCGAACTCCTGACCTCATGATCCACCCGCCTCGGCCTCCCAAAGTGCTGGAATTACAGGCATGAGCCACCACGCCCGGCCGAAAGCAGCTGGAAGCCAGGAAGAGAACACTCACCAGGTACCAAATAGGATGGAACTTGATCTTCGGTATCCAAGACTGCAGAACTGTAAGAAAATAAATATCTGCTGTTTATGCATCCTGGTCTGTGGTATTTTGTTGTGGCAACCTGCACTAACTGAGACAGTGGGGTAGGTTGGTAAGTCTCTAACAGCCCCATCCACTGTTGTTTTCAACATGGTAAGAGATAAATTGGTGGGTGCCACATATATAGATGAGCCTGAAGCAGTGTTCTTGGTTCCTCAAATGTACACAAATACAAAGGATTCAGAAGTTGTACTGTACTTCAGTAAGGTGCCTTGGAAGTGCTAAGAGTTTAGGTGGATAACCCAAGGAATGTATTCAGGAAAATGAGATTGTTTTTGATGATGACACTGAGTCTTTGAATAAGTGGCTGAACCATTAGCTGTCTAAATAAGACACAGCCCATCACTCCAAAAACCAAATATGATTTATCTTATTTTAGAACTCACCAGTACAGAGATCAAATAAGTCTAGCTGCTCTTCAGCAGGGATCTGCAAAGATCCAGAGACCAACCACCACAATTAATTAAATTGCATGAGCAGATTGTTCCTTGAACTATCAGGATTCCATCTTGTAAGAGATAATTGGAGGAAATCTTAGACTAAGAACTTACCTCAGTCTATTATTATAAAGTGAGTAATATCAAGTAAATGCTTAAATTATTGAATTGGTCTCACACTGAGTTTGGCAGAAAAATGATTTACTAGTTTTCTCTTCGTTTATGTCTGACCAAGTTGTCCAATGGATGGGAGTCTGTCAGAAATACTGGATTGTTAATTTCTGGAGAAAATGAAGAAGTTACATTGTATTTGCACACTTTAAAATACTGTGAATAAATTTTTAAATTGCAATACATTTTTTTCCTTGAGGTTTTCATTTCCCTGTGGTAAAACAAATAAATAAATAAAATGAAATTCCTATTAAGGATCCTAAGGATCACCTCTAAGCAATTGGTAGTTGCTGGTTGAAGTGTTGGGCTAAAAAAGATTCTATGGCTTCATCTTTGCTCAGAGGAAATAAATGCCATTGTTGATGACGGGTGTTTGCCCTAGAAATGGCATGGTGTAACAGAAGTGCACCTGCTTAGTAGTGACAATGGCTTTTGCTAATGTGATGTAGTTGGTCTCCACGTAGAAAGACTTTTCTCAACCTAACACTTGACATTTCTTTAAGGTGCTATTAGCTCCCTCGATATGAGTGAAACACTGTATCTACCTCTTTATTCTAGGTGGAAGACATACTGCACTTTCAGAGTTAACTGTTCTTTTATTTGGGAAAATGTCTTGATGCCACTTTATGAACATCTTGGATTGTTGAAGGACCTTATTTGCTCACAGTAGTGTTTAAGTCAGGTTAACAGGGGTTTTCAGGAAACATAAATAAATTCTGCATCAGAGGTGACCCAAACAGTTTCTTGCTTTTTTTTTATTGCTGTGTTTTTGCTTTTTTTTCGTGAGAATTATCCATTCTAGATACCAACTACCTCATTTTTTTGCTTTGTTTATTTTAAAGATTTCAACTTTTATTTTAGATATAGGGGGTACATGTGCAGAGTTGTTCATGGAAATGTTGCATGACGCTGAGATTTCTAGTGTGGATCCCATCACCCAAGTAGTGAGCATAGTACCTGATAGGTAGTTTTTTAACCCATCTCTCCTTCCACTCTCTAGTCATCCACAGTGTCTATTGTTCCCATATATGTGTCCACATGTGCCCACTGTGTAGCTCCCACTTATAAGTGAGAACATGTGGTATTTGGTTATCTGTTCCTGCATTAATTTGCATAGGAGTACGGTATCCAGCTTCATCCATGTTGCTGCAAATGTCCTTATTTCATTATTGTTAATAGCTATGTGGTAGTATTCAATGGTGTATATGTATCACATTTTCTTCACCCAGTTTACTATTGATGGGCACCTAGGATGATTCTATGTCTTAACTATTGTTAATAGCATGGCAATGAATATATGAGTGTGTGTGTCTTTTGGGTAGAATGACTTATGTTCCTTTGGGTATATACCCAGTAATGGGATTGCTTGGGGAATGGTAACTCTGTTTCAAGTTTTTTGAGAAATCTCCAGACTGCTTTCCACAATGGCTAGACTGATTTACTTTCCGACTAACAGTGTATAAGCAATTCCTTTTCTCTGTAGCCTCACCAGCATCTGCTGTTTTTTTGACTTTTTATTAATAGCTCTTCTGACTGCTGGGAGATGGTGTCTCATTGTGGTTTTAATTTGCATTTTTAAATGATTAATGATGGTGAGTATTTTGTATATGTTTTTGGGCACTTGTATGTCTTCCAGAAGGGTTCATGCCCTTTGCCCATTTTTTATGGGGTTGTTTCTTAGTTTGTTGATGTGTTTAAGTTCCCTATAGATTCTTGATATTAGGCCTTTGTCAGATACATAGTTTGCAAATATCTTCTCCCATTCTGTAGGTTGTTTCCTCTGTTGATAGTTTCTTTTGCTGTGCAGAAGCTGCTTAGTTTAATTAGGTTCCATTTGTCTATTTTTGTTTTAGTTGCAAATGCTTTGGGGGAGTTAACCAAAAATTCTTGGCCAAAGCTGATGTTGAGCAGGGTATTTCCTAGGTTGCCTTCTAGGACTTTTTACAGTTTAAGGTCTTACATTTAAATCTTTAATCTGTTTTGAGTTTATTTTTGTATATGGTGAAAGGTCACTGTCTGGTGTCAACCTTCGGGATATGGTTAGCCAGTTATCCCAGGACCATTTATTTAATACAGACTCCTTTTCCCATTGCTTGTTTTTGTTAACCATGTTTAAGATCAAATGGTTGTAAGTGTGCAGCTTTATTTCTGAGTTTTCTATTCTGTTCTATTAGTCTACATGTCTGTTTTTGTATCTGTATCATGCTGTTTTGTTTACTGTAGCTTTATAGTGTAGTTTGTAGTTGGGTAGCGTGGTGCCTCCAGCTTTTTTTTTTTTTTTTTTTTTTTTTTTTGCTTACAATTGCTCTGGCTATTTAGGCTCTTTTTGATTCCATATAAATTTTAGAATACTTTTTCTAATTCTGTGAAGAATGATATTGATAATTTGATAGAAATAGCATTGCATTTGTAAATTGCTTTGGCAGCATGGTCATTTCCATGATATTAATTCTTCTAATCAACGAGAATGGAGTGTTTTTCCATTTATTTGTGTTGTCTCTGATATCTTATGGTAAGGATTTGTAGTTTTCCTTGTAGAGATCTTTCACTTCCCTGATTAGTTGTATATCTAGGTATTTTATTCTTTTTGTGGCTATTGAAGTGGGATTGTGTTCTTTATTTCATTCTCATGTAGATATTGTTGGTATATAGAAATGCTACAGATTTTTGTACATAGATTTTGTATCCTGAAACTTTACTGAGAACATTTATCAATTCTAGGAGCCTTTAGGCAGAACCTTTAGGATTTTCGAGCTCTAGAATCCTATTGTCAGTAAAGAGAGAAGGAGTTTGACTTCATTTTTTTTTTCTATTTGGATGCCTTTTATTTCTTTCTTTTGTGCGATTGCTCTGTCTAGGACATCTAGTACTATGTTGAGTAGAGGTGGTGAGAGTGGGTATCCTTATCTTGTTGTACTTCTCAAAGGGAATGTTTTGAGGTTTTGCTCATTCAGTATGATGTTGGCTGTGGGTTTGTCATAGATGGCTCTTCTTATTTTTAGGTATGTTCCTGCATTAGTCTGTTTACATGCTGCTGATAAAGACATATCTGAGACTGGGTAATTTACACAGGAAATGGGGTTTAATGGACTTACATTTCTGCATGGCTGGGGAAGCCTCACAGTCATGGTGGAAGGTGAAAGGCACATCTTACATAGATGGCAGCAGGCAAAGGCAGAGTGAGCTTGTGCAGGGAAACTCCCGTTTATACAACCATGAGATCTTGTGAGACTTATTCACTATCATGATAATAGCACAGGAAAGACTTGCCCCCATGAGTCAATTACCTCTCACCAGGTTCCTCCCACAACATGTAGGAACTGTGGGAGTTACCATTCAATATGAGTTTTCTGTAGTGACACAGCCAAACCATATCATTCTGCCCCTGGCCCCTCCAAAATCTCATGTCCTCACATTTCAAAACCAATCATGCCCTCCAAACAGTGCCCCAAAGTCTCAATTCATTTCAACATGAACTCAAAAGTCCACAATCTAATGTCTTATCTGAGACAAGGCAAGTCCCTTCTGCCTGTGAGCCTGTAAAATCAAAAGCAAGTTAATTACTTCCTAGATACAATGGAGTACAGGCATTGGGTAAATACAACCTTTTCAAATGGGAGAAATTGGCCAAACAAAGGGGCTACAGGCCCCATGCCAGTCTGAAATCCAGCAGGGCAGTCAAATCTGAAAGCTCCAAAATTATCTTCTTTCACTCCATGTCTCACATCCAGGTCATGCTGATGCAAGAGGTGGGTTCTCATGGTATTGGGTAGCTCTGCCCATGTGGCTTTCCAGGGTACAGCCTGCCTCCTGGCTGCTTTCATAGACTGGCATTGGGTGTCTGAGGCTTTTCCAGGTGCATGATGCAAGCTGCCAGTGGATCTACTATTCTGGGGTCTGGAGGATGGTGGCCCTCTTCTCACAGCTCCACTAGGCAGTGCCCCAGTAGGGACTCTGTGTGGCAGCTCTGACCCCACATTTCCCTTCCACACTGCCCTAGCAGAAGTTCTCCATGAGAGCCCTATTTCTATAGCCAACTTCTCCCTGGATATCCAGGTGTTTCCATGCATCTTCTGAAATCTAGGCAGAGGTTTCCAAACCTCGGTTCTTGACTTCTATGCATCTGCAGGCTCAATACCACGTGAAGCTGCCAAGGCTTGGGGCTTCTGTCATCTGAAGCAACAGCCCAAGCTGGACCTTGGCCCCTTTTAGTCACAGCTAGAGCAGCTGGAACACAGGGCACTAAGTCTTTAGACTGCATATAACAGAGGGACCCAGAAAGCAGCCCACAAAACCATTATTTCCTCCTAAACCTCCTGACCTGTGATGGGAGGGGCTGCCATAAAGGTCTCTGACCTTCCCTAGAGACATCTTTCCCATTGTCTTGGTGATTAACATTTGGCTACTTGTTACTTATGCAAATTTCTGTAACCAGCTTGAATTTTTTCTCAGAAAATGGGATTTTCATTTTTTTTTTTTTTTTGAGACAGAGTCTTGCTTTGTCACCCAGGCTGGAGTGCAGTGGCACCATCTCAGCTCACTGCAACCTCCGCCTCCTGGGTTCAAGTGATTCTCCTGCCCCAGTCTCCTGGGTAGCTGGGACTACAGGTGTGTGCCCCCAAGCCTGGCTAATTTTTTGTATTTTTTAGTAGAGACGGTGTTTCACCATATTAGCCAGAATGGTCTCAATCTCCTGATCTTGTGATCCGCCCACCTCAGCCTCCCAAAGTGCTGGGATTACAGGTGTGAGCAACTGCACCTAGCCCGGGATTTTCTTTCCTATTGCATTGTCAACCTGCAAATTTTCCAAACTTTTATCCTCTGTTTTCCTTTTAAAACTGAATATTTTTAACAGCACCTAAGTCACCTCTTGAATGCTTTGCTTCTTAGAAGTTTCTTCTGCTAGATATCCTAAATCATCTCTCTCAAGTTCAAAGTTCCACAAATCTCTAGGGAAGGGGCAAAATGCCACCACTCTCTTTGCTAAGACATAAAAAGAGTCACCTTTGCTTCAGTTCCCAACAAGTTCCTCATTTCTATCTGAGACCTCCTCAGCCTGGACCTTATTGTCCATATCACTATCAGCATTTTGGGGAAAGCCATTCAACAAATCTCTAAAGAGTTGCAAACTTTCCCACATTTTCCTATGTTCTTCTGAGCCCCCCGAACTGTCCCAACCTCTGCCTGTTACCCAGTTCCAAAGTTGCTTCCACATTTCCGATATCTTTTCAGCAATGCCCAACTCTATTAGTACCAGTTTACTGTATTAGCCCATTTTCACATGGCTGATAAACACATACCTGAGACTGGGTAATTTATAAAGAAAAAAGTGTTTAATGGACTTACATTCTCACATTGCTGAGGGGAAGCCTAACAATCATGGTGAAAAGCAAAAGGCACATCTTACATGGATGGCAGCAAGCAAAGAGAGAAAGACAGCTTGTGCAGAGAAACTCTCAAAACCATCATATCTTGTGAGACTTATTCACTATCATGACAACAGCATGGGAAAGACCCACTCCCATGATTCAATTACCTCCCACCAGGTTCCTCACATGACACATGGCAATTGTGGGAGTTACAATTCAAGATGAGATTTAGGTGGGTCCACAACCAAACAATATTGGTTCATTTGATGCCTAGCCTGTTGAAGGTGTTTTTGTCACAAAGGGATGTTGGATTTTATAGAAAGCTTTATCTTTGTTTTTTTTCTTTTTGATGATCATATGGGTTTTGCTTTTGATTCTGTTTATGTGGTGAATCACATTTATTGATTTGCATATGTTGAACCATCCTCACATCCCACGAATAAAGCTTACTTGATCAAGCTGCATTATCTTTCGATGTGCTGCTATGTTTAATTTGCTAGTATTGTGTTGAAGAGTTTTGCATTTATGTTCATGAGGGATATTGATCTAAATTTTTTTTCTTGATTGTATCTCTGCCAGTTTGGGGTATCAGGCTGATGCTAGCTTCATTGAATAAATTATGGAAGAGCTCTTCCACCTCAAATTTTAGGAATATTTTCAGTACTACTGGTATCTGTTCTTCTTTGTATGTCTGGTAGAATTTAGCTGTGAGTGCATCTTGTCCAAGGCTTTTTGTGGGTGGCAGGTTTTCTATTACTAGTTCAATTTCAGAAGTTGATATTGGTCTATTCAGGTTTTCAATCTGTTCTGGATTCAGTCTTGTGAGATTGTTTGCTTCTAGAAATTTATACATTTTCTCTAGGTTTTCTATTTTTTGTGCATAAATTGTTCAGTGTTGTCTCTGAACATCTTTTGTATTTCTGTGGGATCAGTTGTAACAGAGCCTTTGTTGTTTCTGATTGTGATTATTTGGATCTTATCTTTCTTTGTTAATCTAGCTAGGGGGTCTATCAATCTTATTTATTTCTTGTTTTTGAAGAACCAATTTTTATTTCATTGATATTTTTCATGGATTTTTGTGTCTCAATTTCATTTTGTCATTTTCTAATTTTAGGTGTTTCATTTCTTCAGCTAGCTTTGGGCTTGTTCTTTTTTCTAGTTTCTTACAGTGAAAAGTTAGATTGTTAATTTGAGATCTTTCTAACTTCTTGATGAAAGCATGTAGAGATATAAACTTTCCTCTTAATACTGCATTGGCTGCATCCCAGAGATTTTAATAAGTTGTGTCCCTATTTACATAAATTTCCAAGAATTATTTGATTTCTGCCTTAATTCTGATGTTCACCCAGGAGTTATTCCGGAGTAAGTTGTTTAATTTCCATGTATTTGTGTAGTTTTGGGAGATCTTAGTATTGATTTCTATTCTTATTGCAATGTGGTCCAAGAGTGTACTTGGTATGACTCCAATTTTTTGAATTCACTGATGCCTGCTTTATGACCTAGCATGTGGTTGATCTTAGAATATGTTCCATGTGCAGAAGAGAAGAAGGGAGATTCTGTGGTTATTGAGTGGAATGTTCTGTATACATCTATTAAGTTCAGCTGATCAAGTGTTGACTTTAAGTCCAGAGTTGTTTTTTTAGAGTTTTGCCTGTCTAACTCTCAGTGGGGTGTTAAAGTTTGCCACTATTGTGTGGTTGTCTATTTCTTTTCATAGACCAAGAAGAACTTGTTTTATGCATGTGAGTGCTTCAATGTTGGGTGCATATATATTTAGGATAGTTAAGACTTCTGGTTGGATTGTATTGTTTTTCATTAAGCAATGCCTTTCATTTTCTTCTTAATTTTGTTGCTGTTGTTGTTTGTTTAAAGGCTGTCTTATCTGATATAAGAATAGTGACTTCTGGACATTTTTGTTATTTGTTTGGATGTTAGATCTTACTCCAGCCTTTTACTTTGAGCCTGTGGGTACCATTACATGTGAGATGCATCTCTTGAAGACAACAGAAATTGAGTCTTGTATTTTCATCTAACCTACCACTCTGTGTCTTTTAAGTGGGAGCATTTAGCCTATTTACATTATATGTTAATATTGATATGTGTGATTTTGATTTGGTCATCACTATCGTTTCATTAGCTGGTAGTTATATAGAGTTGATTACATAGTTGCTTTATAGTGCCTGTGGGCTATGTCCTTAAGTGTGCTTTTCTGGTACCAGGTATCATTCTTTTTAGTGCATATTTAGCACTCTGTTAAGGACATCTTGCAAGATTTGTCTTGTTAAAACATATTCCCTCAGCATTTTGCTTGTCAGAGAAGGATTTCATTTCTCCTTCACTCAAGAAGCTTAGTTTGGCAGAATATAACATTCTTGGTTGAAATTTATTTTCTTTAAGACACGGACAATAGGCCTCTAATCTCTTTGGGTTTGTAAGGCTTCTGCTGAGAGTTCTGCTGCTAGCCTGATGAGGTTCCCTCTGTAGGTTACCTGCCCCTTCTCTCTAGCTGCCTTTACGATTTTTTATTTTACATTGTCCTTGGTGAATTGATGACTATGTTCCTTGTAGATGATCATCTTGTATAGTATCTACCTGGGGTTCTCTGTAATTCTCCAATTTGCATGTCAACCTCTAGAGAGATTAGGAAAATTTTGGGGGACTATATCATCAAATATAATTTCCAAGTTGCTGTTATCTCTAATTATCTCTTAGGATTGTCAGTGAGTTATAAATTTGTTCTCTTTACATAATCCCACATTTCTCAAAAATTTTATTTTTCTTAATTATTTTTTGTTTGTTTGTCTGTTGTTATTTTTGTCTAACTGAGTTGATTTGAAGAACCAGTTTTGAATTCTGAGATTCTTTCCTCAGCTTGGTCTATTTTGCTGTTAACACTTTTGATCATATTATAAAATTCTTGTAGTGAATTTTTCAGCTCAAGAAGTTCAGTTTCAGTCTTTCTTAACATGACTATTTTGTCTTTCAGGTCTTGAATTGTTTTACTGGGTTGCTTGGCCTTTTTGAATTGAGTTTCAACATTC
Source organism: Homo sapiens (assembly GCF_000001405.40). NCBI lineage: Eukaryota > Metazoa > Chordata > Mammalia > Primates > Hominidae > Homo > Homo sapiens. The sequence continues at coordinate 125,825,877 of NC_000023.11, forward strand.
TCCTTGATCTCAATGAACTTCATTGATATCTCAGTTCTTAATTCCATGTCTGACATTTCAGAAAATTTAGACTCGTTAATAATTGTTGCTGGGGTGTTATATATTGGCTCATTTGGAGGTAAGGGGACACTCTCTGGCTTTTTGAATTGCCAGAATTCTTGTGCAGAATCTTTCTCATTCAGGAGGGCTGGTATTCCTTTAATTGTGATGTAAATTAAGTCCATTGTTTTAATTTCAGGATGATTTCAGAGAGCTAAGTCTCTGTACAGGGTCTTTGTTGTTGAATTCTTGCTCTTGGTTTTGCAGAATGAGGATAGAGGGAGGAATTAGTAAAGTGATTTTTGGTGTTGTAGTTTGGACTTCAATTCAGTAGATGGCACTTGAGAGCAATGGGCAGTGAATGGGACCTTAGCCTTTCAGTTTCTTTTTGTGTACTTGTGTTTGCAACTGTGTTTTGTGGTACAAGGGGGAGAGAGGTGACCCCCATAAAAGATCTGCTCATGGGCCTTAGGGAGCCACTTTCAATTAACGGCACTGTGCACACAATTTTTATTGTCGTCACTAGGTATTTCAGGCTGCAGGGGTCCTTTGGGGAGAGGTCTGGTAGGGAAATAGGACACACTCTTACCAGACCAGCACTGTGGAGGGAGGCATGTCTAGGTCCCACACCAGCCTGTGAACCTTTGTGATTTACCCCTCTCAATTTTCTGAAAGTGTGGGCTCCTTCCCCATTGAAGTGCTTATCACAGCTCACAGCACCCAGGTTGGCACTCCTGAGCTCCATGCCACAGCCCTGAGGTGCCAGAACCTGCTTGTGGCTCCCTATTCTGGATTCTCGGGGTGGTGGTTCTGGTGTGATAGAGTATCTGCAGGGCTCCCAGGCTTCTGTAGTTCACTCGGGTGGAACAACGCAGCCAGGCCTGGCATCCAGGGCTTCACTGTATACTTAATCCTATGAGGTAATATGAGGTGACCAAGCAGGGGTCCTGGGAAGGGCTGGCAGGCAGACAGACTTGCAGGACATATGTGCTCCAGTCCTGTGGCAGAAGCAGGCCCTGCTTTCTCCTCAGCAGGTAGCTGGGTGCAGAGCCTCTCAGAGGGAGATGGGCAGCCCTAGAGGGTAGGCACTGATGACCAGGATCCGCTGGAGCTGACTCGTGCTGAAAGGTCCCCAGCTCAGTGCCTGCTGCAGCTCTGTATTTAATCTCTATGGAGATTACCCCTGAGAGCTCACACTTCCTTGGGGTTCTGGGTTTCCCTGCAGCAGCTAGTGAGACAGCCAGCTGGGAAGGGGTCCCTGGAGACTCTAACCAGCCTGCCCACTGGGGTGGAGCCTGGGGAAGTTCATGCTATTTGCAGCAGGGAGGAACCTGGCTCCTCCTCTTCCTGTGTGGAACCTGGGATCCAAGCTGCCAGGCAGGAAGCACTCTAAGGGAGTGCTTTTCTGTTTGCCCCTTTGTTCCCTTTTCACCCAATAAAACCCTGCTTTACTCACCCTTTAAGCCATCTGCGAGCCTAAAGTTTTGTGGCTCTTGGACAGACAAGAACCCCGTCTTTAGCTGAACTAAGGAAAAGTCCTGCAACACTAGGATTCCACAGGTCTGTGGTGGGAGTGAGCAGTCTCCCAGTCCCTTCATTCACTCCTTCTCCAGGTGTTATTCATGGCTAGGAACCAGCCATAATGTTCAGGCACTATGTGTTGGGCCTCAGCTTTCTTTACCTTCAGCCTCAGCATTTAATTCTTTTCTCCATCTGCATTTGGCGTTTTTCTCTTGGAAGATCTAGTTAAATTATGTTGGTATAGTTCAAAACTATGGTCCCTTTCTGTAGAAATGGCACTTCCCAGCTGCATCTACTTGGCCATCTTGGAAGAAGTCCTAATCTGATTAAAAAATATGTGCCAAGATCATAAGGCATCCTCACAGAAACTTAGACTTCCACATAATAATTGTGGAAGTCTTCAACACTCCATTTATAGTATTAGACAGATCGTTGTGGCAAAAAGTTAACAAAATGCAGCAGGCCTTTAGCTGAGACGTTCTTATGTTGCCTAATTAACAGCCATTGATGGGACTTCTACTCACTGAAGATGATGACTAAAAGATAAATACTTAGTGCAAACAAATCACACTTAATGTACTTATAAAGACAGCTGTGCCTTTCTTACTGATTTCTTCAATGATTCTGAAAAAATAGTTCCATATTTATCTTCTTAATGTCATAATCAGTTGCCACAATTGGTGACTTGTTCAAAAATTGCTAAGAGATCTTATCATAAATAGTGCTATTATTCCTGTGATTATTATTTATAAATAGGACCTAACCAACATTATATAAAATGGACTCTTCACTCAATTTGTGATTGTTGTAAAGTAACTTAAATCAACAGGATTTTAAAAATCCTCTTAACATTGGGAAGAAAAATGTACACAACAGGCAATGCAGAACAAGTCAGGAAAACATAGAAGGATAAAGAAAAATAATGCAATTGTCTGGCTTTTATTATTTCTTCTTCAATAATTGTCTGGCTTTTATTATTTCTTCTTCAAGCAAGGTCGCTGTTTTAGATGAAAGTAAATGATTGCCTATTTCTTTGCACACAGTAGGTGTGATGGTTAATATTGAGTCTCAAGTTGATTGGATTGAAGGATGCAAGGTATTGTTCCTGGATATCTCTGTGAGGGTGTTGCCAAAGGAGATTAACATTTGAGTCAGTGGACTTGGAGAGGCAGACCCACCCTCAATCTGGGTGGGCACCACCTAATCAGCTGCCAGCACAGCTAGAATAAAGCAGGCAGAAGAACGTGGAAGGACTTGACTTGCTGAGTCTTGCGGCTTTCATTTTTCTCCCATGCTGGATGCTTCTTGTCCTCGAATATTGGACTCCAAGTTTTTCAGCTTTTGGACTCTTGGACTTACACCACTGGTTTGCCAGGGTCTCTGAGGCCTTTGGCCACATACTGAAATCTGCATTGTTGGCTTCCCTACTTTTGAGGTTTGGGGACTCGGACTGTTCTACCACTGGCTTCCTTGCTCCTCAACTTGCAGACGGCCTATCGTGGGACTTCACCTTGAGATAATGTAAGTCAATTCTCCTTAATAAACTCCCTTTCATATATGCATATATCCTATTACTTCTGTCCCTCTACAGAACCCTGACTAATGCAGGAGGCATTCAGTTCATTTAAAACATTCTCAGAGCACCTTGCAATGGGAGCAAAACAGTCTCATTCTATTTGACAATCTGATTCTTTGAAAATGAGTTTGATCATTCAGACACTTAAACCAAACAACAATAGGAACATATACTATATTGCCATGTTTTATACATACTCTATTATTATACATGTTAGAATATGATCAATACATACATATCTTTTTACCCTACCAGACCATGACTGCTTTGTAAGAGTCATTATTTTATTATCTCTCTGTCACCAACAGTTTCTTGTATAGAGTAGGTACTCAGCAAATATGTGTTGAACAAATAATAACTGTAATGACAGTAATTTTATTTTCATTTTTATAAAGATGAGAGTTGTTGTTCCTACAATTATGCATACTTCTGTAATCATGAAAGATAAAAGTAGAGCAGCCATCCATTAGAAACCTGATTATCTGTACATCAAGTAGCAGCATAATAATAATAATACTTTTATCTCCATCATTAAATTGTGTATAATTACTTTCAAGACTGCACATTTCTAATAAGATTCTCCTACTTAGGGGACCCTTAACTCTCCAGAATGTCATGAAAATAGATTCATACATGTTCTTTCCAGATTATTTCAACAAGTTATATATACAACTAGTGTTTCTCTTGTAATTGAAAAAATAATGTAACTACAATGACTATGAACTTACTAATCAACTTTTCAAATGTTTTACTCTTTATCGTAAATGAGACTTGCAAAATTTTATAAAAGAAAGCAACACAAGTAAATTAATAAGTAGTTACAGGATGCATAAACATTAGTAAATCGAACTGAGGTTCTATCACTTAAAGATGGTATTAACTTCATAAGAAAGGAGAAATAAAATATGTTTCAGACAAGCAAATGCCAAGGGAATTCTTTACCACCAGATTTGCCCTACAAGAGCTCCTGAAAGAAGCACTAAATATTTAGAGACTTTGACCAGGCACTACAAAAACATACTTTAGTACACCAACCAGTGTCACTATAAAGCTACCAGATGAACAAGTCTGCATAATAACCAGGTAACATCATGATTCCATGATCAAGTCCACACATTTCAATGCTAACCTTGAATATAAACAGGCTTAATGTCCCAATTAAAAGACACAGGGTGGCAAGCTGGAAAAGAAACAAACAAACAAACAAAACAAAACAAAAAAAAACACAAGACGCAATTGTATGCTGTCTTCAAGAGACTCATCTCACGTACAGTAACACCCATAGGCTCAAAATAAAGGAATGGTGGAAAATCTACCAAGCAAATGAAAAACAGGAAAAAGCAGGGGTTGCAATCCTAGTTTCTGACAAAACAGACTTTAAACCAACAACGATCAAAAAACACGAAGTAGTGCATTACATAAATGGTAAAGGGCTCCATTCAAAAAGAAGACATAACTGTCTTAAATATGTATGCACCCAACACACAAGCACCCAGATTCATAAATTAAGCTCTTCAAGACCTTCACAGAAATTTAGACTTCTACATCATAATCGTGGAAGTCTTCAACACCCAATTGACAGTATAAATAGATCATTGTGGCAAAAAATTGACAAAGATATTCAGGACCTGAACTCAGCTCTGGATCAAATGAACTTGATAGACATCTACAGAACTCTTCACCCCCAATACAACAGAATATACATTGTTCTCATTGACACATGGCACATACTCTAAAAGTGAACACATAATTGGACATAAAGAACTCCTCAGCAATTGTAAAAAACTGAAATCATAACAACCACTCTCTTGGATTGCAGCACAATTACAATAGAATTCAAGACTAAGAAAATGCTCAAAGCCATACAATTACATGAAAATTGAATAACCTGCTCCTAAATGACTTTGGGGGTAAATAATATAATTAAGGAAGATATCAATAAATTCTTTGAAACTAATGAGAATAAAGATACAATATACCAGAATTTCAGGGATACAGCTAAGACAGTGTTAAGAGGGAAATTTATAGCACTAAATGCCCACATCAGAAAGTTAGAAAGATATCCATTTAACAACCTAAAATTACAACTGAAAGAACTAGGGACCCAAGAGCAAACCAAGCCCAAGGCTAGAAAAGGCAAGAAATAACCAAAATCAAAGCTGACCGAAAAGAGATTGAGACACACACACACACACACACACACACACACACACACACAGACACACACACACACACACACAAAAATTTAAAAGAACAATGAATCCAGGAGTTGGCTTTCCAAAAAAAATCATAAAATAGATAGACCACTAGCTAGACTAAATAAGAAGAAAAGAGAGAAGATCCAAATAAGCACAATTAGAGAGGACAAAGGGGTTATTACCACTGATGGTACAGAAATACAAACAGACATCAGAGAATATTATACACGTGTATATGCACACAAACTAGCATATCTAGAAAAGCAGAATAAATTCCTGGACAAATACACTCTCTGAAGACTGAAACAGGAAGAGATTGTGTCTCTGAACAGACCAATAGTGAGTTCAGAAATTGAAAAAGTAATAAATAGCCAACAAACAAACACACAAACGAAAAAGCCCAGGACCAGATGGATTCACAGCCAAATTCTATCAGTTGTACAAAGAAGATCTGGTGTCATTCCTACTGAAACTATTCTAAACAATTGAGGAGGAGGAATTCCTCCATAACTTATTCCATGAGGCCAGCATCATCCTAATACCAAAACCCAGCAGAGACACAACATAAAAAAGAAAACTTCAGGCTGGTATCCTTGATGAACAATTGATGCAAAAATTCTCAACAAAATACTGGCAAACCAATTTCAGCAACACATCAAAAAGCGTATGCACCATGAACAAATATGCTTTATCCCTGTGATGCAAGGTTGGTTCAATATATGCAAATCAATAATGTGATTTATCACATAAGCAGAGCTAAAGACAACAAAATCACATATGATTATCTCAATGGATGCAAAGAAGGCTTTTGATAAAATTCAACACCCTGTCATGTTAAAAACTCTCAATAAACTATGTGTTGAATAAACAAACTTCAAAATAATAAGAGCCATCTATGACAAACCTATAGCCAACATCATATTGAATGTGCAATAGCTAGAAGCATTCCCTTTGACAACCAGCACACGACAAGGATGCTTTTATCTCACCACTCCTATTGAACATACTGTTGAAAGTCCTGGCCAGGGCAATCAGGCAAAAGAAATAAAGACATCCAAATAAAAAGAGAGAAACCCAAATTATTCCTGTTTGGAGATGACATGATTCTACATCTGCAAAACCCCATAGTCTTGATTCAAAAGCTCTTTAAGCTGATAAATAACATCAGCAAAGTCTCAGGATACAAAATCAGTGTACAAAAATCAGTAGCATTCCTATAAACCAACCACAGACAAGCCAAGAACCAAATGAGGAGTGCAATCTCATTCAAAATTGCCATATAAAAAATAAAATAACTAGGAATACAGACAACAAAGAGATGAAAAATCTCTACAATGGGAACTGCAAAGGACTGCTCAAATAACTCAGAGATGACACAAACAAATGGAAAAACATTCCATATTTTTGGATAGGAAGAATCAACATCGTTAAAATGGACATACTGTCCAAAACAATTTACAGAGTCAATGCTATTCCTAACAAACTACCAATGACATTTTTCAGAGAACTAGAAAAAAATCTATTTTAAAATTCACATGAAACAAAATAGAAGCCTGAATAGCCAAAACAATCCTAAGCCAAAGAACAGAGCTGGAGGCATCATGATACCCAACTTTTCAAACTATACTACGGGGCTGCAGTAACCAAAACAGCATCATAGTGGTACAAAAACAAACACATAGACCAATGGAACAGAATAGAGGTCGCAGAAAAAAGGCCACACATGACAATTATGTAATCTTTGAGAAAACGGACAAAAAATGCAATGGGGAAAGGACTCCGTATTTAACAAATGGTGTTGGGATAATTGGCTAGCCAAATGCAGAGGACTGAAACTGGACCCTGTATTTACGTCATACAAAAAAATTAATTCAAGATGGACTGGGGAGTTAAATGTAAAACCCAAAACTATAAACGCCCAGAAGGCAACCTAGGCAATACAATCCTGGACGTAGGAACAGACAAAGATTTCATGATGAAGATGCCAAAAGCAATTGCAACAAAAGCAAAAATTGACAAATGGGATCTAATTAAACTAGAGACATTCTGCACAGCAAGAGAAACTATAAGCGGGGAAAACAGACAACCTACAGAATGGGAGAAAATTTTTGCAAACTATTGATCTGACAAAGCTCTAATATCCAGAATCCATAAGGAACTTAAAGAAATTTACAAGAAAAAAGGCAAACAGTCTCCTTAAACAGTGAAAAAAGGACAATTATGAGAACACATGGACACATAGAGGGGAACAACAGACACTGGAACCTACCAGAGAGTGGATGTGGGAAGGAGGGAGTGGATCAGGAAAAATAACTGTTGGTTACTAAGCTTAATGTCTTGGGGACAAAATAATCTGTACAATAAACCCCCGTGACGTGAGTTTACCTATGTAACAAACCTGCACATGTACCCCTGTACCTAAAACAAAAGTTTAAAAAAATTAGGCCTACAATTCAAATTATATCATCATAATGGTTTTCTTTTTTTCTAAAATTTATTATTTTTATAATTATTTGTGCTTGTTCACATCACAACATGTACTTTCAGTTCTCTAGTTAGGTTTATAAAGAAAGCACTGTGTTTATTTTTCTGGATAGGGATAATTACACTTGTAGTCACAATAACTGTATAACTGTGAAACAGGAAAAAAACCAACAAACACAAATTATCACCACTTTACGGTGGCCTTTGGCATAACTACATCAGAAAAGTGCGCGAGGGTGTACTATGATAGAGCGCCAATATAATTTACATTAACAAATGCTGCATATAAAAATGATAATATCTTTTTGCCTGTATTCAATAATTATGTTACTTCAATGAAATCTTTGAACAGTTGTGAATATTATTTCTCAGGAGTCAATGGGCAATACTGAAGATGCTTAATAACATCAGAAAATATAGAGTTTTGGCTGAAAACCAATATGTAGAGTGTAAACAAATGATTATTTAAAAGCATAAAAATGTATATTACATTCAATTTGTTATAATAAAAGCTGGACAAACTGCTCATTTTCTTCTCAAAATTGAGAGAAACTGATGCAATCCTAATCATGAACATTTTATAGAAATACAATGCTTGGATGTAATAAAATGATTATCAGAAAGAATGCTGTCTTTGGCTTCAGAATGAAAAAAGTGTATATGACGGTAGAGGTTGATAGGTGATTAAATTAATCTCATCTCTTAGTTTCTGAACTAACATATTTTTTAACATTTATATTTATTCTGGCAAATATCTATACATACAGGAAAAACATGCCAAAATTATGAATTCATCAATATAATGAACATAGATATGTATAATTTCCACTTGACCTTTATGTAGCTGCAGGCCCAAATTGTAGCATCTTCCACATTGCCTAATCCATGCCTATTATTTCTTTGAACCAGAAAGCTTTCTCTAATAAAAGTTAATGCTCAAGGATTTGCTTTATATTTCCTCTCACTTATGAATACTTTGTTCTATTTTTTCATACGTTAAAATTATTTTTAAATGCGTATGCATTTTCACAGACAGATTATAAGAACTCTGTGAGAAGCAAATATCCAGTATGATGTGGCTGTATAAAACAGTAACTCAATAAATTCTTAATAAATAAGCATCTATTAATAGCCTTAAAGAACATGTGGTCGTTGTAATTTTCACTTTATGAGAAATATTGACTTTGAAAGATATCTATGCATTCTTAATTTCAATGTAAAGAAAATGCATTTTCTTTACATTGAAATATATAATTTCAGCAAACTTCACTAAACTTCAGGGTCAAAACTGAAGTTTTGATGAATAATATATAATGTTGAATGAATAATATATAATGAAGGATATAGCATAGTACACAGACTGGATTATGTAAAGTCTTATATTATTCACTTTAGCAGTAAAACCTTCTCCTCATAGAGAGTAAAACTTGTATGATCAACTAGTAAACCAAGGTGCTAATAAAGACAAGTTTTTTGATTCAGTACCCAACTGTGCAAGTTAATCATATAATAACATACATTTTTTTTTTGGTCACACATTATGCATTTCTTTTTATTCAGTTATTTTAAAAGTAGTCATGAAAGAGACTTAAAAAAAAGTTTGTGGATCGTTCACTGCAGTCCATTGTGAGCACTGATTATGACTCAGTTGCATCAGCAGAAATATGCAGGACTTGAGGGTGAAGACATCTCTTGAATTCATAAGGCATCTTTCCTTGAAGTAAACATAACATTCTTCCACTCTTGTAAAAACTCTGAGTTGTGTGTCTGTTTTATTTGTGACAATTTCATTCTGACTCATAATTCTTTGTGGTTAAATTTGACATTTTTAGCAAGAATCACAACATGAATGATCCCCATGTTCTCCATAGATTTTAATTTCACCCCATCAAGGAACTTGAAATAATTTAAAAATACTGTTCTTCAAAATGACTGATTTTATCAAACAAGTCTCAGTTGGTTTGCAACTTTCTTGATTCCTCAGCTCATCACTATTCAGCATATTCACTATATTGTCAGATCATCTCCCTATGATTAAGTGATCAAAAACAATGATAACCATAAAAGCATAAATTGCAAAAACTCCATTGCCTTTAGTATTTTTTTACAATGCACATTTTTTTGGACAAGTGAACATATGTGAAGTAATAAATCTACTAAAACTGTTTAAGAGGTATTGCAGAAATCAAATTGTAAGTTGCGATTTATGTGTATAATGATCAATGTTCACTAAAGTTTTACTTTGTTTTGTTTTCTTTTGGGGGTGGTGGTATTTTTAATTTTTTTTGTTTTGATTTATATTTTAAAAAGACAAAAAACAGGTTTCTTGGTTAGAGGTTTGCTTTTGGTGCAGGAAAATACTAACATTAACACTGGGGTTAGATTAATCCCCAATAACTGACCATGAAATGGAATGTTTTGGAGAGCTGAGTAGGCAACTGACACCACTAGAGAAATTAGAGTTGTGGGGATTGAATTAAGTTCCTAGAGATAAATGAATACATTATATTTAAAAATGTGTTATCCAATATGGTAACAATTGGCAACATGTTGGTATTGAATACTAGAGTTGTACCTATTCCAAACCAAGATATTCTGTCCGAGTGAAGTACACAGATTTAAATATTTAGTATGAGGAAAATAATGTAAAATATCTCATAATAGGCATATAATAGGTTATGGTTGAGACTGCAAATTGTTCACTCAATATCTATTCTCTCATTTCTCTGTAATAATAAAAGCTTAGCTGGGTAGCTAAATGTTGCCATGCAGCCTGGTTCCTACCGATGTAATGTAAATGGAAATGATATATTCAACCCCATTAAAATAAAATAAAAATGTCCTCTACTTATCTCTCTTTCTTCCTGCAAGCAAGAATTTTGACAAGTGGTGACAATGTGATAGCCATCTTAGGCCACAAGCTAGAAGATACATTTTCAGGGTGGCAAAGTAAAATGATAGAATGAGCCTGAGTCCTGAAAACCATGGAGTTATGTCAGCTTTCGAACACTTATTCTAGGACCATTTTGTGACAGTTAAGGTAAATTCTACCTTATCTAATTTATTTTAAATTACTGCATAATACTCTGTGATGAATGTGCAACTACCATAAGTTTTATATCCACTTTTGGAGTAATGGACACTCAGGTTGATTCCTGCTCACTACCATCACATGTAACACTGCAATGATATCCCCACATGGATCTATGTGAAGATTTCTTCGGGAATTACCCATAAAAAGGATTGGTTCTAAATAGAGTCTGCATATATTTCATTTGTCTAAGTAGTGTAATTTTTTTTACAATAGTTGTGCCGATTTGTATTCCATCAAACAAGTACTTTTGGGCTAGAGCAGGTGGTGAGACACCATTGCCATCAACAGTGATATACTACATTTGGGTGGCCAGAACTGAAAAGGGAAAAATCAGCCTCACAAAAGCTCCATGAGGGAAGAAATGGTGCCTATTTTTTTCTCAGTTATAGACCCAGTAAGTGGCACATAATTGTAGCTGTATAAGTTGTTGTTAAAGAAAAATGATAATATATGGGCCCTACAAGAATAAAGTTGTAAATTCACTGAAAAAAAAATCAGACCTTGTGGACTTGTATCACACTTATTAGAGAAAGCCTGATGCGGTACACATTTCTGCTTCAAACACATTTCTCTCAGGTCTTTGCATTGCTTGCTCCTCATTCAGGTCTCTGCTCCAGTGTTTTGTTTTCAGGGAAGACATTTCTGATTATCCTATCTAGAAGAGCACTTCAGCCCCTGCGTTGATTATACTAAATTCCCTTCCATTGTCCCATTTTCATTCAAGTACTAAAACTATATAAATTATATATATATATATGTGTGTGTGTGTGTGTACACACATATGCATACATACATGCGCACACACCCATATGTTCTGTCTTCCCTATTTGGAATACGTTCCATGAGGGTACGGGCTATATTCTCAGTTCCTAGAATAGTAGAGTAAATGACATAGAGTGAGTACTCAATATATTTGCCATAGGAATGAAAGAACTATCCTTTAATCAATCACAATCAATATGTATTGAATTACTCCATGTAGGGTAACCATGCTAGGCACTGTGAAAAAACTAAGAAGTATCAGACAAATCTATGCTTTCAAACTGCTTGAAGTCTGGTGAAGCAGAAAAAGGCAATGCCTACAAAAAGCTTACTAATGATACCAAACCGTTTGATACTTCTACTAATAAGTAGGAGTAGCTTAACTAATAAGTAGGTCATAGAAGCTCATAGTCTGGAAAAACTATATGTTGGTTTCACTGAGAAGAGGTACTTGAGTTAGTACTTAAGTAGGCAAAATGGGAGGTATAGGGTCTCTAGAGGAAAGGACCTGCATGAGCTTAAATATAACTGGGCTTAAAATAAGAACCACAAAGAAAATATTTCCTCAAACCTGCATACAGCTTTCTAGGTCACAAAGCACTTCTATGCATATTTTATCATTTAGTCCTCACAATCATTTTTGAGGTTGGTAGAGAGGAGATTGATGTCCAAATTTATTTTTGAGGAAATTCTGTTTTTGAGGCTCAGGTGCTATTTGCTTAAGGCTACTTGGTTAGAGACAGAAGCCAAATTCAAGTTTTATCATTCTTAATCCAGAGCTCTGTCCTCAATAGATGACATCAAGGGGCAGAACTATTATACAGCTGGGATCTTGTCTATAAATATAATTACAAGGTGTACTCCTGGATGTGTTTGGATAACTGTGACTGATTTTGTTATCACTACCTGTGTTTATTTGTATTTGACTTATCTCCCCATTAGATTAAGTACATCCACAAGAGTTGGGTTGTGACCTCTACTTATTTTGTAATTTCCCCAGAATATCCTACAATTGAGAGGTGTGGATTGGCCTTTATCTATTGTATGCAATCTTACGAGAAAGGAAAACAAAACAATTTTCTTAAAAAATGTGTTATAAATTAAAATACTTGTAGATTAAACTACAGAGATGTATACAAATAGAAACACATAGCGTACATAATTTCATCAAGAGGAGATGATTGTCTACTTCCAGTGCCTAACTCAGATCCTTAAATACATCTATTTACAAATTATCCTCCTCAAAGATTAAAGGTCAGGGAAACTCTCTCAGTTGCAGATTTTTATAAACCAAAAAGAATCGATTGGCTGGAGCCAAGATGGCCAAATAAGAACAGCTCTGGTCTACAGCTCCCAGCGTGAGCGACACAGAAGACGGGTGATTTCTACATTTCCATCTGAGGTACCGGGTTCATCTCACTAGGGAGTGCCAGACAGTGGGCGCAGGACAGTGGGTGCAGCGCACCGTGTGCAAGCCGAAGCAGGGCGAGGCATTGCCTCACTCGGGAAGCGCAAGGGGTCAGGGAGTTCCCTTTTCTAGTCAAAGAAAGGGGTGACAGACGGCACCTGGAAAATTGGGTCACTCCCACCCCGATACTGCGCTTTTCTGATGGGCTTAAAAAACGGTGCACCAGGAGATTATATCCCGCACATGGCTCAGAGGGTCCTATGCCCACAGAGTCTCGCTGATTGCTAGCACAGCAGTCTGAGATCAAACTGCAAGGCGGCAGCGAGGCTGGGGGAGGGGTGCCCACCATTGCCCAGGCTTGCTTAGGTAAACAAAGCAGCTGGGAAGCTCGAACTGGGTGGAGCCCACCACAGCTCAAGGAGGCCTGCCTGCCTCTGTAGGCTCCATCTCTGGGGGCAGGGCACAGACTAACAAAAAGACAGCAGTAACCTCTGCAGACTTAAATGTCCCTGTCTGACAGCTTTGAAGAGACCAGTGGTTCTCCCAGCACGCAGCTGGAGATCTGAGAACAGGCAGACTGCCTCCTCAAGTGGGTCCCTGACCCCCTGACCCCCGAGCAGCCTAACTGGGAGGCACCCCCAAGTAGGGGCAGACTGACACCTCACACGGCCAGGTACTCTTCTGAGACAAAACTTAGAGAGGAACGATCAGACAGCAGCATTCATGGTTCACGAAAATCCGCTGTTCTGCAGCCACCGCTGCTGGTACCCAGGCAAACAGGGTCTGGAGTAGACCTCTAGCAAACTCCAACAGACCTGCAGCTGAGGGTCCTGTGTGTTAGAAGAAAAACTAACAGACAGAAAGGACATCCACACCAAAAACCCATCTGTACATCATCATCATCAAAGACCAAAAGTAGATAAAACCACAAAGATGGGGAAAAAACAGAGCAGAAAAACTGGAAACTGTAAAAAGCAGAGCGCCTCTCCTCCTCCAAAGGAACACAGCTCCTAACCAGCAACGGAACAAAGCTGGGCGGAGAATGACTTTGACGAGTTGAGAGAAGAAGGCTTCAGACGATCAAACTACTCCGAGCTACAGGAGGAAATTCAAACCAAAGGCAAAGAAGTTGAAAACTTTGAAAAAAATTTAGATGAGTGTGTAACTAGAATAACCAATACAGAGAAGTGCTTAAAGACGCTGATGGAGCTGAAAGCCAAGGCTCAAGAACTACGTGAAGAATGCAGAAGCCTCAGGAGCTGATGCGATCAACTAGAAGAAAGGGTATCAGCAATGGAAGATGAAATGAATGAAATGAAGCAAGAAGGGAAGTTTAGAGAAAAAAGAATAAAAAGAAACGAACAAAGTCTCCAAGAAATATGGGACTATGTGAAAAGACCAAATCTACGTCTGATTGGTGTACCTGAAAGTGACGGGAAGAATGGAACCAAGTTGGAAAACACTCTGCAGGATATTATCCAGGAGAACTTCCCCAATCTAGCAAGGCAGGCCAACATTCAGATTCAGGAAATATAGAGAATGGCACAAAGATACTCCTCGAGAAGAGCAACTCCAAGACACATAATTGTCAGATTCACCAAAGTGGAAATGAAGGAAAAAATGTTAAGGGCAGCCAGAGAGAAAGGTCGGGTTACCCACAAAGGGAAGCCCATCAGACTAACAGCAGATCTCTCGGCAGAAACTCTACAAGCCAGAAGAGAGTGGGAGCCAATATTCAACATTCTTAAAGAAAAGAATTTTCAACCCAGAATTTCATATCCAGCCAAACTAAGCTTCATAAGTGAAGGAGAAATAAAATACTTTACAGACAAGCAAATGCTGAGAGATTTTGTCACCACCAGGCCTGCCCTAAAAGAGCTCCTGAAGGAAGCACTAAACATGGAATGGAACAACCAGTACCAGCCACTGCAAAATCATGTCAAATTGTAAAGACCATCGAGACTAGGAAGAAACTGCATCAACTAACGAGCAAAATCACCAGCTAACATCATAATGACAGGATCAAATTCACACATAACAATATTAACTTTAAATATAAATGGACTAAATGCTCCAATTAAAAGACACAGACTGGCAAATTGGATAAAGAGTCAAGACCCATCAGTGTGCTGTATTCAGGAAACCCATCTCACGTGCAGAGACACATATAGGCTCAAAATAAAAGGATGGAGGAAGATCTACCAAGCAAATGGAAAACAAAAAAAGGCAGGAGTTGCAATCCTAGTCTCAAATAAAACAGACTTTAAACCAACAAAGATCAAAAGAGACAAAGAAGGCCATTACATAATGGTAAAGGGATCAATTCAACAAGAAGAGCTAACTATCCTAAATATATATGCACCAAATACAGGAGCACTCAGATTCATAAAGCAAGTCCTGAGTGACCTACAAAGAGACTTAGACTCCCACACAATAATAATGGGAGACTTTAACACCCCACTGTCAACATTAGACAGATCAACGAGACAGAAAGTCAACAAGGATACCCAGGAATTGAACTCAGCTCTGCACCAAGCAGACCTAATAGACATCTACAGAACTCTCCACCCCAAATCAACAGAATATACATTTTTTTCAGCACCACACCACACCTGCTCCAAAACTGACCACATAGTTGGAAGTAAGCTCTCCTCAGCAAATGTAAAAGAACAGAAATTATAACAGACTGTCTCTCAGACCACAGTGCAATCAAACTAGAACTCAGGATTAAGAATCTCACTCAAAACCGCTCAACTACATGGAAACTGAACAACCTGCTCCTGAATGACTACTGGGTACATAACGAAATGAAGGCAGAAATAAAGATGTTCTTTGAAACCAATGAGAAAAAAGACACAACATACCAGAATCTCTGGGAAACATTCAAAGCAGTGTTTAGAGGGAAATTTATAGCACTAAATGCCCACAAGAGAAAGCAGGAAAGATCCAAAATTGACACCCTAACATCATAATTAAAACAACTAGAAAAGCAAGAGCAAACACATTCAAAAGCTAGCAGAAGGCAAGAAATAACTAAAATCAGAGCAGAACTGAAGGAAATAGAGACACAAAAAACCCTTCAAAAAATTAATGAATCCAGGAGCTGGTTTTTTGAAAGGATCAACAAAATTGATAGACCGCTAGCAAGACTAATAAAGAAGAAAAGAGAGAAGAATCAAATAGACGCAATAAAAAATGATAAAGGGGATATCACTACCAGTCCCACAGAAATACAAACAACCATCAGAGAATACTACAAACACCTCTACGCAAATAAACTAGAAGATCTAGAAGAACTGGATAAATTCCTCGAAACATACACCCTCCCAAGACTAAACCAGGAAGAAGGTGACTCTCTGAATAGACCAATAACAGGATCTGAAATTGTGGCAATAATCAATAGCTTGCCAACCAAAAAGAGTCCAGGACCAGATGGATTCACAGCCGAATTCTACCAGAGGTACAAGGAGGAACTGGTACCATTCCTTCTGAAACGATTCCAATCAATAGAAAAAGAGGGAATCCTCCCTAACTCATTTTATGAGGCCAACATCATCCTGATACCAAAGTCGGCCAGAGACACAACCAAAAAAGATAATTTTAGGCCAATATCCTTGATGAACCTTGATGCAAAAGCCTCAATAAAATACTGGCAAACCGAATCCAGCAGCATATCAAAAAGCTTATCCACCATGATCAAGTGGGCTTCATCCCTGGGATGCAAGGCTGGTTCAATATACGCAAATCAATAAATGTAATCCAGCATATAAACAGAACCAAAGACAAAAACCACATGATTATCTCAATAGATGCAGAAAAGTCCTTTGACAAAATTCAACAACACTTCATGTTAAAAAACTCTCAATAAATTAGGTATTGATGGGACGTATTTCAAAATAATAAGAGCTATCTATGACAAACCCACAGCCAATATCATACTGAATGGGCAAAAACTGGAAGCATTCCCTTTGAAAGCTGGCACAAGACAGGGATGCCCTCTCTCACCACTCCTATTCAACATAGTGTTGGAAGTTCTGGCCAGGGCAATTAGGCAGGAGAAGGAAATAAAGGGTATTCAATTAGGAAAAGAGGAAGTCAAATTGTCCCTGTTTGCAGATGACATGATTGTATATCTAGAAAACCCCATTGTCTCAGCCCAAAATCTCCTTAAGCTGATAAGCAACTTCAGCAAAGTCTCAGGATACAAAATCAATGTACAGAAATCACAAGCATTCTTATACACCAATAACAGACAAACAGAGAGCCAAATCATGAGTGAACTCCCATTCACAATTGCTTCAAAGAGAATAAAATACCTAGGAATCCAACTTACAAGGGATGTGAAGGACCTCTTCAAGGAGAACTACAAACCACTGCTCAATGAAATAAAAGAGGATACAAACAAATGGAAGAACATTCCATGCTCATGGGTAGGAAGAATCAATATCGTGAAAATGGCCATACTGCCCAAGGTAATTTATAGATTCAATGCCATCCCCATCAAGCTACCAATGACTTTCTTCACAGAATTGGAAAAAACTACTTTAAAGTTCATATGGAACCAAAAAAGATCCTGCATCGCCAAGTCAATCCTAAGCCAAAAGAACAAAGCTGGAGGCATCACACTACCTGACTTCAAACTATACTACAAGGCTACAGTAACCAAAACAGCATGGTACTGGTACCAAAACGGAGATATAGATCAATGGAACAGAACAGAGCCCTCAGAAATAACGCCGCACATCTACAACTATCTGATCTTTGACAAACCTGAGAAAAACAAGCAATGGGGAAAGGATTCCCTATTTAATAAATGGTGCTGTGAAAACTGGCTAGCCATATATAGAAAGCTGAAACTGGATCCCTTCTTTACACCTTATACAAAAATCAATTCAAGATGGACTAAAGACTTAAATGTTAGACCTAAAACCATAAAAACCCTAGAAGAAAACCTAGGCATTACCATTCAGGACATAGGCATGGGCAAGGACTTCATGTCTAAAACACCAAAAGCAACGGCAGCAAAAGCCCAAATTGACAAATGGGATCTAATTAAACTAAAGAGCTTCTGCACAGCAAAAGAAACTACCATCAGAGTGAATAGGCAACCTACAAAATGGGAGGAAATTTTCGCAACCTACTCATCTGACAAAGGGCTGATATCCAGAATCTACAATGAACTCAAACAAATTTACAAGAAAAAAACAAACAACCCCATCAAAAAGTGGGCAAAGGACATGAACAGACACTTCTCAAAACAAGACATTTATGCAGCCAAAAAACACATGAAAAAATGCTCATCATCACTGGCCATCAGAGAATGCAAATCAAAACCACAATGAGATACCATCTCACACCAGTTAGAATGGCAATCATTAAAAAGTCAGGAAACAACAGGTGCTGGAGAGGATGTGGAGAAATAGGAACAGGTTTACATTGTTGATGGGACTGTTAACTCGTTCAACCGTTCTGGAAGTCAGTGTGGCAATTCCTCAGGGATCTAGAACTAGAAATACCATTTGACCCAGCCATCCCATTACTGGGTATATACCCAAAGGACTATAAATCATGCTGCTATAAAGACACATGCACACGTATGTTTATTGCGGCACTATTTACTATAGCAAAGACTTGGAACCAACCCAAATGTCCAACAATGATAGACTGGATTAAGAAAATGTGGCACATATACACCATGGAATACTATGCAGCCATAAAAAATGATGAGTTCTTGTCCTTTGTAGGGACATGGATGAAATTGGAAATCATCATTCTCAGTAAACTATCGCAAGAACAAAAACCCAAACACCGCATATTCTCACTCATAGGTGGGAATTGAACAATGAGAACACATGGACACAGGAAGGAGAACATCACACTCTGGGGACTGTTGTGGGGTGGGGGGAGGGGGGAGGGATTGCTTTAGGAGATATACCTAATACTAAATGACGAGTTAATGGGTGCAGCACACCAGCATGGCACATGTATACATATGTAACTAACCTGCACATTGTGCACATGTACCCTAAAACTTAAAGTATAATAATAATAAAATAAAAAAAGAATCTACTGTTTTTATTATATTAATCAGACACTAAATTACTTAGTGCCCCTCTAAACAGAAAATGAATTATTTTAGAAAAGCAGAACACATTGTTTTTATATAACATTTTGCTTAAGATACTGCTATATAAGTAACTAGGCCCTACCACACTTGAAAACAAAGAAGAGAAACAAGTGTTTTTGTTTCAATCCACGTCTAGAATGCTTCTCCTATTTCTCCCTTTCCTTTTCTTTTGGCAGATTAGTGACATAAATTATTCCTATATTTTATACATTATAATAAGTGTTATGGTCATATTATGTAATATTTTAAAATTATGAATAAAATAAAATTGAAATATGATTTAAAAGTAATATAAAAATATAAGCCACACCATGGATAGAACTGTAACATTAATATTTAATTACACATTTATCAACTACTCTAGAACAGTTTTTGAAGCTTGAATTAAGAAAAAAAATGCCTATAGCTGTTGTTAGGAAACTAGAAATTACTTCTATATTAGATTTTCTTTATATATTTTTCTTTTCCTTTCTTCAGAAATTTTACGCACAGAGAATTGAGGTATTCATGGCACACTCTCATCATCAATCTATATACAAAGCAGCTTGGCAATTCTGTTTTTTATTTCCCTTATTCATTTTTGATCTCCATTTTTATTACCCTCAAAAGCTTCCGCTCTAATTTGTTTGATACATACCTTTGAATATGTGTGTAATTTTCTAAAATATTAGCATCCTTATTGTCTGTGTGTGTTTAATATAGATAAATAGTACTATGTTATAGAGCTCATTTTATTTCTTAATTTTTAAAATTCACCCATTCTTTCTAGTTTTGTGAGATACATAGTATCCTCTTATTTTTCAACCTTTAAATTATTATATTGAAATTATTTCAACATTTTCTTATTGCTGTTACTTTATTACAAATAATTAGAAATACATTAGTAATTTTCAATCATACATCAATTAAGTTTTAGAGTGAACACTTGCATACACACAACCTAGATTTCACCAGTAATATTTTATTATAATTGGTTTATCACGTCTATCTATCTTTTCAAACTATATCATGTATTATCATCTATTATGCATCCATTGTACTTTTGGAATATTTTTAAATAACATAGACATTAGTACACTTCACTTGAATATTTCAGGATGCATATCAGCTAGGGATGAATATTTATTAACATATTTTCCATTTAAAATTTATACAAAATGCATACAAATAAAATGCCCAAACCTTAAATGTATGTTTTATGAGTTAAGAAAAATTTATACACCTTTGTAATCCAGCCCCATTCAAAATACAGAACATTACCACTACCCTGAATTTTCCCTCATGCCCTTTGCACATAAATCTCTACTCCCAATGCCTAAGACTATAATTACTCTTATTTTTTGAAATGCAAATTGTTTAGCCTGTTGTATAACTTCATATAAATTGAATCACATATTATGTAGTCTTGTCTGAGGCTTATTCATTTCTTTTGAAAAATAGCTAGGAGCAGAATAAATGAATCATAATGTAAATGTGTGTGTAGAAGAAACAACCAGGCCTGTTTCCAAAGTGGCTGTATGATTTTACATTCCCACTAAAAAGCCTGAGAAATCAACTTGGTTCCACATCACCGACAGCTAGTGATGTCAGTCATTTTAACAATAGCCAGATTTGAGAGTTAGTAGTAGTATTTTGTGGCTTTTATTTGAATTTTCCTAATGGCAAGTGATGTGATTAATAACCATCCATATAATTTCTGTTGTCAAGTATATATATGAAGTTTTGTCCATTTTTTTACTGGAGTGTTTTCTTTTTATTATTGACTTGTAACATGTCTTTATTTATCCTGCATACTAGCTCTTTTTCAAATATATGGTTTGTGACTTTTTTCTCCCATATTGTGACTTATTTATTTATTTTTAGTTGTGTCTTTTTGAGGAACAGAAGTTTTATGTTTTGGCAAATCCTATGTTATTACTTTTTAAATATATGGTTATTATTTTCTGTATGATTCCTACTACTATTACTACTACTAGTGCTAGTAGTATGGAGCATGAGGTAGGTGTCAATGTTCATTTTTTCTATGTAAATGTCCAGTTATTTCAATTTAATTTGCGGAAAACTTTTCTTTGTTCCATTGGATTGCCTTTGACAAAAATCAAATGATTATAAATGTGTGTGTCTATTTCCAAGCTTTCTATTTTATTCCAGTGATCTATTTGTTGATCCGTATGGCAAAACCACATTTTGAGTATTGTAGCTTTACACTAAATCTTGAAATAGTAACTAAACCTTTCAGCTGTATCATTGTTAATCAAGATTGCCTTAGATTTGCATATCCATATAAAATTTAGAATCTACTTGTTACTTTCTGCAAATAATCTGCTTGGATTTTTATTGAGATTGTGTTTAATCTATAGATAAATTTGAAAAGAATTGACAACTTATCACTCTTTGTTCTTAAGTCCATAAATATATGATATTGCACCACTTATTTATGCCTTCTTTATCTCAGCTATTACATTTTCTTATTTTTTAGTGATGAAATCTTTTAAAAGTTTTTGTTACATTTTTCTAAATACCTTATGCATTCTGATGCTATTGCAAGCAAAATTTCTTTTTTCATTATCATTTTCCAATTGTTTGCTATGAATAAATAAAATACAATTAATATTTGTGTATTGAATTGGTATTCCAAAACTTTGCTAAATTTAGCTATTGTTCTTAGTATCTGTTTTGTGGATTTATTAAGATTTCTTATATAAAACAATCTGTGAATAGAGACAGTTTTACTCCTTCCTTTCTAAACTTAGTCTTTAATTTTTAGTTTTTTTGCATTGGCTAAAATACACAGTTCAATGTTGATCAAAATTAGTGACGGAAGGCATCCTTTTATTGTCCCAAATTAAAGGCAACAAATTCAATTTTGCACCATTTTGTAAGACATAAAATGTAGATTTTGCATAGTGCTCTTTATCAAGTTGAAGATGTTACCTCCTACTTAAAGGTTGTTGAGGGTTTTTATCATGCATGGTTGTCGACTTTTGTCAAATGTTTTTTCTGCATTTGTAGAGATGATTGTACTTTTTCTCTTTATTCTATTTATATGGTGAACTGCACTAGTGTATCTTCTAATAAAAAACATGACTAAGTAGTATTTGTTCTAGGAACACTACTAGAACAAATACTACTTAGTCATGAAGATATATTGCTGGATTTAATTTGTTAATATTTTAAATATTTTTCACCTATGTTAATGAGGGATGATGTTTCTTATTATTTTGCAATGTCTTTGTCAGGTTTTGGTATCAATGTGTCTGGCCTCCTCCATATAATAATAGATATGTGGCTATTAAGCTATTTGTTTTAATTTATGTCAACTTTGATACATTGTATGTTTCAAATAATGTGTTCATTTTACCTGAATTGTCAGATTTATTGGCATAAATTTGATAACATTATCTTATTATCCTTTTAATTTCTGTAATATCTTTAGTGATGTTCCCTCTTACATTTATGATATTGGCAATTTGGTTTTTCTGTTTGTTCCTGGACAATCTAGCCATAGGTTTATTAAATTTCTTGCTATTTTCAGAGAAATAACTTTAGACTTTGCTATTATTCTCTATTTTAAACAATTTATATTTCCTTAATATCTGCTCTAATTTTCCAATTTTTTTTTTTTTTTGAGACACGGTCTCAGTCTGTCTCCCAGGCGCGAGTCCACTGCAACCTCAGCCTTCCGGGTTCAAGCGATTCTCCTGCCTCAGCCACCCGATTAGGTGGGATTACAGGCATGCACAACCACGGCCTGGCTAATTTTTGAATTTTTAGTAGAGTCGGGTTTTGCCATGTTGATCAGGCTGGTCCTGAACTCCTGACCTCAATTGATCTGCCCACCTTGGACTCCCAAAGTGCTGGGATTACAGGCATGAGCCACCGCGCCCCACCGGCTCCTATTTTTATGACTTTCTTCTACTTAATTTGCTTAATTCTTGTTTTTCTAACTTCTTATGTGGAATCTTAGGTCACTGATTTTAAAACTTTCTTTTCATTCTAACATATAAGTTTAGAGTTATAAATTTTTCTCTAAGCACTCCTTTAGCTGCAACAAATCATTATTATATTTTTATTATTATTTGTTTCAAAATATTTTCTAATTTCCCATGGGATTTTTAATTTGACTTATGGATTACTTAGAATTATTTTGTTTAATACACAGTTTTTAGGGGTTTTTCTAGATACATTAATTTTATTTCCAATTTAATTCCTTTTTTTGCATCATACATGGTACTCTGTATAATTTCACTCATTTTAAATTCATTGAGAAATTTTTTAATGTACCTATGTAGGATATATCTTGGCGAGCATGCATGTTTCTTTAAAACAATCTGTGATCAGTAGTTGTGGAGTAATGCTCTATTAATATCAATTGGGTCAAGATAGTTGGTAGTGTTGTTAAGATAATCTATATTTCTGTCTAATTATTCTACTGGGTGCTAAGAATAGTATTTAAACTTTCAACTATTCTCATCAATTCTGTCAATTTCTGCCTTATGTATTTTGCAGATTTGTCATTAAGTACATGCATTATTATGACTATTATGCCGTTCTGATGAACTGACCTTTATTATCTCTGGTAGTGATTTTTTTACTTGAAGATTTTTTTGTCTGATTTTATTTTGAACAGTTCAGCTTTCTGATGTTTATAGTTTGCAAGATATATCTGTTCCATCTATTTACTTTATTTATGTGTTTATGTATAAAGTGTGTTTCTCATAGACCACATATAGTTTGGTCTTATTATTTTATTCCATTTGAAAATCTCTTTTAATTGGATTATTTCATTAAAATTTAATATAATTATTGATATTATTGGATTTATGTCTACAGTTTCATTGGTTTTGTGTTTACCCATTTTTTGTTTGTTTCTTGGGTCCTCATTACCAGATTTTGGTTGAATTATTTGTATTTGTATTTTTTTTTTGTTCCAAATCTATTTTAATTTATCTCTTGGCTTTTAGGTAGACTGCCAATTTTTTTGTGTGTGTATGTGATTGTTCTGTGGATTACAATACACATCCTAAATGTTTCGGTCTTCTTAAATTCAGTATCATATTACATCACATAAAATAAAGAACTTTGCAAACTATGGGCCCATATACACTCTTTTATTCTTTGTGATATAATGTGTTGTCTCTTGAAAATATATAAACCTTTATATTATAATTAATGTTTGCACCAAATAATCTTATGCATTTTTTTATGAAAAAAATAGCCCTTTATATTTACTGAGTTATTTCTCATATCCAATGCTTTTATGAAGATATGAGTTTCCATCTGTTATCATTCTCTTCTGCCTAAATAAATTTATTTAACATTTGTATAGTACAGGTCTGTTTGTGGAAAATTATCTTGGTTTTCTTTTGTCTGAACATTTTTATTTAATTTATATTCTTGAAGGATATAATCTTTCAATATAAAATCCTGGATTAACAGTATTTATTTTGTTACATGTTTTAAAGATGTTGATCTACTTTATTCTGTCTTCCATAGTTTCTAAGAAGTCATTCAAATTGTTGTTCAGTTGAAATTAATAAATAACTTTTTTCCAGCTACTTTTAGTACTTCCTCTTTCATTTTAGGCAGCTTGGTTATGCGAGGTTTCTTTATATAAATCTTTCTTGAGATCACTGAATTTGGTGGTCCTGTTTTTAGGAATTATTCTGCTTTGGGCTCTTACAGCTTTTTGAATTACTAAATTTATGTCTTTTGCAAAATTTGCAAAATTTTAAGCCATTATATTTTCCAATACATTTTTCACAGTCTGTCTCTACTCTCCTTTCAGGACTCTAATTACACATGTGCTTGATATGGATCTACAAATCCCTGTGAGTATTTTAATTTGGATGTTTCACTTTCTTTTCCTTTTCTCCATTATGGAGAATAACTTCTATTGATATACCTTCACATTATCTGCTTTTTCCTTAGTCATGACCATTCTTTTGAGCCCATTCTTTAAAGTAACTTCTGAAACTGTAATTTTCAGTTGTAGAATTTCTATTTGGTTATATTTTTCTCAAATTTTCTGTCCTTTAATTTATAGTACTTATATTTTCCAATTACTCAATAAGCATAGCTAAAATGCCTTTTTTAAGTCCTTGTTTGCTAACTCAAATATCTGGGTTATCTTAGGATTGGTCTCTAATGACTGTCCTTTTTCTTGAGGCTTGATGGAGTAATTTTAGCTTGTATTCTCAACATTGTGAATGCTATACTGAAGAGACTCTGGATGCTGTTTTATAACTCTGAGGAATTGATGTCTTATCAAACAATTAACTTGGTTGAACTCAAGTAGCAAACTTTGTCTCTTGGTTGTGAGCTCAAATTTCAGTTCTTTCTTTGATCTTTATCTGGGCTACTCATAGTCTGCTCTGTACATGCATAATTCTGGGACCAATCAGAGATTTGGGAAGAATTTATACATAGAATATGGGGCTCCCTTTCTATGTTTATTTATTTTATAGATTTTCCCCATTACTTTCTAGTGGTTGTGGTTGCCCCAAACTCTGTCCTCTGGGTCATCAAGCAAGGAAAACAATAGGCTTCTTAGCACAGTTTTAACTACTAAGGATGTAATGATAAATATTTAATAATTTGATGTCTGAAAAAATAAAAATGAAACAATATTGGCATTTTTGATTACCATGATGTAAATACTCACACCATAGCCAACTTTAAGCTGCATGTGTTATTGAAAATTGAGTTGAGAAGTGACACCCACAAACAGCTGTCCTGAGCCAATGTGAATTGGCTCCAGTACATCATTGTAAACACCTCACAGGGTGTTTATATCTCTGTTATAAAATAAATTATTCTAAGGATAAAATCCATAAAAATAAGATACTCATGCTTAGGGCCCTTTTTCCAAGTGTCAACTCACTTTCAAACTTCAGAATCTGACTGTTTTTATTACTTTCTATACATATGTTTTGTTAGTTTTTCTTGATGCTTTGTTGTTTTTATTCCTGTGCTATTTTGTGTTTTTTAAAAATATTTTGTTTATAACTGTAATTGTTATTTATGGGAGGGTAGGTTCCAGGAAGAAGGATATCATTTGATTGTGCCATAAGTGAAAATCTAACATGCTTTTTGAGATCTAAGCTTATTTCTTAACCTGTATCTGGTTCATTGCTGTAACTACTACTTAGTAGTCCAAGTATGTATTTAACATATTTAACTCCATTCCTCTTGTGATTATTCCAGGGCTGCCTGTAAAGCCCCAAATCCACAAATAATGCTATAAATATATCATAATCGTTATACATGTATTCTTATGGACTTATTTGAAGCTTTCTCTGGGGTCCACACTAAAAAGTGGGCCATGTTGTACATATTCCTAGTTTCACAAAGTCCTATCTAATTGTTCTCAAGAATGGCTGTCTTATTTTCATTTCCACCAGCTGTGCATTAGGTGTACCAGTTCCTCACATCTTTTCCAATCCTTGTTATATCAAAGTGATACATTTTTGTTGATCATAAATTGGCATGAATTAATTACTTTAATTCACGTTTCTCTAATTAACAATAAGTAAAAACATCTCAGTATATATTTACAATCAATCAAGCTTCTCCTTCCATCTATTAGATATAACTATTCTTTGTTCATTTCGCTATAGTATTTTTCCTTTTTTTTGTTGAAAGAGAAAAATTTCTTGTATATTCTAGATATTAATTACTTGCCTTTTCTAGATGTTGAACACATTTTATTACTATCTGACTCCTGATATTTACTTTTGAATACAAATTCTTAAGGATTATATAAATAAATCCATCAGTTGTTGTGTCTTGTTATTTTTGCTTTATGAGTCTCATTATGCACCCCTTTTCAACTTAAGGCCACAAAAGTTTTCTGCCAAATTATCTTCTTTTAGCATTATAATGTTACCAGTTGTTTCCATGCTTGATAAATAATATAAATAGAAAAATATTATAAAATAATTAAGAAGCTCAAAAATTCCTGGGCTTTATCCTAGACGTAATTCATCAGAACCACTAGGGCTGAAACCTTGGAATTTGCATTTTTATAAGCACCGCTAATACAGTCAGTTCTTTGAGGTATTTGGGAACCCCTAAGTTGTATGATATTCATAGTTATTTGCAAATTTGGAATTCCTGAATAGTCTATAAACATTTAGGTTTTTGGTTTAATTTTTAATACAAATAATTATAGTATATATCTCTGGTGTACAATGTGGTATTGTAATGCATGTATATACTGTGGAATGATCAAATAGGATAGTTAGCATATCCATCACCTAAAATATTTATCATTTCTTTGTGCTGAGAATATTTTTGTTAATTATACTCACCATGCTGTGCAATAGAACATTGAAGCTTATTCCCCCTTTCTAACTGTACCTTTGTACCAAATGACCAATATCTCCCCTTTCCCCATCCACAACCCACCTTTCATGACCAGCCTCTGGTAATCACTATTTAACTGTCTAGGGTTTCTTTTTAGTTTCTATGAGTGCTTATTTCATTTAGCGTAACGTCCTCCAGGTTCATCCATGTTGTCACAATGGCAGAACTTCCTGTTTCCTAAATGGCTGTATAGTATCCTATTTTGTACATATACAACATTTTAAAAATCCATTCATCCATTGGTGGGAACTTTGGTTATTTTCATATCTTAGTTATTGTGAATAATGACATAATCAACATGGGAGTGCAGATATCTCTTTGATATACTAATATCAATTTCTTTAAATATATACACTGTGCTAAGTGCGGTGGCTCACCACTGTAATCCCAGCACTTTGGGAGGCGAAGGTGGGTGGATCACCTGAGTTCAGGAGTTCGAGACCAGCCTGGCCAACATGGTGAAACCCTTTCTCTACTAAAAATACAACAATTAGCCAGGCGTGGTGGCATGTGACTGTAATCCCAGCTAGTTAGGAGGCTGAGGCAGGAGAATTGCTTGAACCCAAGACGTGGAGGTTGCAGTGAGCCATGATCATGCCACTGCACTCCAGCCTGGGTGACAGAGTGATACTCCTTCACAAAAAATAAATAAATAAAATAAAATGAATAAATAAATACACAGGCATGCAATTTCTGGATCATATGCTAATTCAACTCTTAGTTTTTTAAGAAAACTTCATACTCTTTTTCAAAATGGCTGCACTAATTTACAATAACAACACTGTACAAGAGTTCCATTTTCTGCATATCCTCTCCAACATTTGTTATTTTTTGTCTTTTTGATAATAGCCCATCTTACACCTGTGAAGTGATATATCATTGTGGCTATAATTTGCATTTATCTGATGATATGTTCAGCTTTTTTCAAATACTTGTTGGCCATTTGTATATCTTCTTTTGAGAAATCTCCATTCTTGTCTTTTGTTTGTTTGTTTGTTTTTGAGTAGTTTAAGTTCTTTGTATATTTTGTATATTAGCCTCTCAAACAATGTACGATTTGTAAATATTTTCTCCAAATCTATAAGTTGCCTCCTCATCCTATTGTTTCCTTTGCTGTGAGAAGCTTTTCAGTTTGATGGGATCCCATTTGTCTAATTTGCTTTTGTTTCCTGTGCTTGTGGGGTCATATCCAGGATATCACCACTGCCCACATCAGTGTCATGGAGATTTTCCCTCTATTTTATCCCAGTAGTTTTACAGTTTCAGATCTTATGTTTAAGATTGAAATGGTTGATTTAATCAACCATTTTGAGTTGATTCTTTTATAAGGAGTGAGATAAACATCAATTTTCATTTTTCCACATGTGGATATCCAGTTCTTTTAACATCGTTTATTGAAGAGACTGTCCTTTTCTTATTGGGTGTTCTTGGTAACTTTGTTGCAAATCAATTAACTGTAGATGTGTGGATTTATTTCTGAGCTCTTTTTCCTATTCCATTGATTAATGTGTCTGTTTTTATGCCAGTACCATGCTGTTTTAATTACTGCAGCTTTGCAGTAAATTTTGAAATCCAGTAGTGTGATGCCTCCAGCTTTATCTTTTTTGATCAAGATTGCTTTGACTATCTGTGGTCTTTTATACTTCTCTAAAAAATTTAACATTTTTTTATATTTCTATGAAAAATGACATTGAATTTTGATAGGGATTGCATTGAATCTGTAGATTTGGTTATTATGGCCATTTTAACAATAGAAATTCTTCCAGTCCATGACCATGGAATAACTTTCTATTTATGTATGTCATCTTTAATTTCTTTAATCAATATTTTATTCTTTCCAATGTATAGATCTTTCACTTCTTTGGTTACTTTCACCCTAAGTATTTTACTTTACTGGATGCTATTATAAATGAGACTGTTTTCTTAATTTCTTTTTAAGATAGTTCATGGTTAACCGATACGAACACTACTGATTTTTGTATGTTGATGCCAATGCTCACCAATTCTTTTTAACATAGTACTGGAATTCCTAGGCAATTAGACAAGAAAAGGAATTAAGTGCATTCTAATAGGGAAGGAAGAAGTGAAATTGTCTGTTTGCTGATAATGTCTTATACATAGAAAACAATAAAGACCCCCCCATGGTTATAATTGACAAACTAATTCAGTAAAGTTGCAGGACACAATAATCAAAATTTAGTTTAAAAAAACGAAGTGTCTTTAATATATGACACTAATATAGTTTGGATTTGTGTCCCTGCCCAAATCTCATGTCAAATTGTAATCCATAATATTGGAGGAGGGGCCTGGTGGGAGGTGATTTGATCATGGGGGCAGATTTCTCCCTTACTGTTCTCATGATAGAGTGAGTTCTCACAAGATCTGGTTTTTAAAAGTTTGTAGTACTCCCTTTGCTCTCTCTCTCCTGTTGGCCATGTGAAAATGTGCTTGCTTCCCCTTCTGCCATGATTGTAAGTTTCCTGAAGCCTCCCCAGCCATGCTTTCTGTACAGCCTGCAGAATCATAAGCCAATGAAACCTCTTTTCTTTATAAATTACCCCATCTCATTATTTATTTATTTATTTATTTATTTATTTATTTATTTATTTATTTTTGAGACGGAGTTTTGCTCTTGTTGCCCAGGCTGGAGTGCAATGGTGCTATCTCAGCTCACTGCAGCCTCTGCCTCCCGGGTTCAAGCTATTCTCCTCCCTCAGCCTCCCGAGTAGCTGGGATTACAGGCATGTGCCACCACGCCTGGCTAATTTTGTATTTTTAGTACAGACGGGGTTTCTCCATGTTGGTCAGGCTGGTCTCGAACTCTCCACCTCAGGTGATCCACCTGCCTAAGCCTCCCAAAGTGCTGGAATTACAGGCATGAGCCACCACACCTCACCTGGCCTCGTGTTTTTTTGTTTGTTTGTTTTGTTTTGTTTTTTCTATAGCAATGTGAGAACAGACTGATACACTTTACTGTTCTGCAAGAACATCCAGCTCAGTTTTCTTATTTCAACCCCAGAAGTTGCAAAGGTTTAGAAATAACATGGGGAATGAAATATCTCCTTTTAATGAAATTATTTGAATTTAATTTATTCAACAAACATTTATGAAATATCTACTGGGTGCCAGATAGCTAGACTAATATAATAAAGTCTACCCTTCATCTCTACCTATTAATAGTAGTATTCATATAGAGAAAGTATATTTTCTGGATCTTTTGGCACTGCTTATAAGATGGCTTCCTTGTGTCCTTTGAAGGCTGAGGTAAAAAAACTGGCATGAAAAACCTTTACAGAGGAACGATACAAGCCACCTGGCAACCAGACATGTCTTTGCATACCTAACTACAACTCACGTAGGGGTGAATGTCAAAACATAACAATGCCTGTTATCACATATTAATGTGAATAGCCTTCCAAAGTATGCTGATTTATAAAATTAGAGATTAAATAATTTTATATTGCCCTAGAACTTCATTTTTTAATTAATCTATTCATATAATTGTGAGAGAAATGCATTGTAGAGATTCTTCTCATTCTATTTGAATGCAGTCTTCTTTTGATCCTGAACTTAGTGAAGAACTAAGAATATAATGCAGTCACCATTTCTCCTTCCAAATTTCAATATTTTCTAAAACTTTTTATGAGGAAGACTACCATGTGGTGTTATCTAAGAAAAAGCAGGTCAAAATGACTCTCTGAAATGATTTCTAAATAAAGAATTTGCCTCATTTTATTTTCTTTTTCTCTGCTCATCATCATTGCTTGTAAGGAATTCTTTCAAGAAATATACAGCAATCTTATTATTCTGATGTAAATGAAGCCATGTCAAACCATCAAGGATTTCTTGTCATGAAATTTCACTTAAACAGTTTCTAACTTCAACTGGTAATTCTCTTATCTTATTCCAAAATATAAGTCCTTGTTCAGTCATCCTGGGGAACCTATAACAGATATATGTAGGCTTGGATCTTGCCATAAGCACTATATTTCATAATAGCTCTTCTCTTTAGCTTTAAACTGAAAAGGCACCTCACTACAAAATTTGTCACTGAAAATCTATTGTATTTAGAGAAAGTTTATTGACTCTTGAAGTTTTACTAAGAATGTGATTTTTCTTTTCCCTGTTCCTCCTGTGTTATGTAAAATTTAGTTAAAATGGTGCTAAATATTTGACAACCTCTAACCAAGTGAACTTCACTTGCATAAATTTACTTCTAGGAGTCTGACATTAGTATTCATCTCCCATAACAATAAGATTTGTCTATATAGCATTGTTTGTACATATATAAAATCTGTGTACAACATATGCAGACAGAGTTTATGTGTGTACAAATATTTTATCAGGTTTTAAATACAGTTTTTTCTTAGCACTAGATGCCCCAGATCCCCGGGAAGTGTAAGTGAGCAAACAGCACCCATGATGGAATCTGGTTGATCAAAAGAGTGAAGCTCGAATATATGAGAGGGGAAGAGAGTCGCTCATGGGGATTCTCCTTTCCTCTAAGGGATCCATGAAACTAAGGCCAAGGGAGAGCACTTTGTTTCTTCTAAACCCTGGAGCTAATTTTGGGAGAGGCTTGGAGACTCTGAGAGGTAAAGATATTAGACAAAGTTGCTGGCATTTTCCCAGACCCGAGACCAAGCTGAGGAAACAATTTTCAATCCAGGCTTTTACAAAGTCAGCACTAGTTTTACAAAGTTAGCACTAGTTTGAAGAAAATGTAGTTCAAATTTCCCATTGCACTTATGTTTCTCACTGAATATCAAACAAAATATACATTTCCCCTTTCTCTTTAAGTCAGCCCACATTTGGGGTAAATGATTTTTTTCCCCTTTGGTTTACTGTGAATGAAATACAACCTTTCCAATCCTTAACGTGGATAAATACATTCTACTTATAAATTGTAGTGATTTTAGAGACAAAAACTAGAGAGAAAAAACCAACCAGCATGTTTTACAGTTTTGAATGTCTACATATTCAGTGTCTTCCTGACTTAAATATTTCTCTCTCTCTGACTTGCCTCCACTATCTAAAATTATCTGATTCTCTGACTAGTCTTAATTTCTTCTTCTTTTTAGACAGAGTCTCGCTCTTTCATGGAGGCTGGTGTGCAGTGGTGCAATCTCAACTCACTGTAACCTTCACCTCCCGGACTTAAGAGATTCTCTTACCTCGCTTTGCCATGTAGTTGGGATTACATGTGTGTGCCATCACACTTGGCTACATTTTTTTCTTTGTTGGTAGAGATAGGGTCTCACCATATTGCCCAGGCTCGTCTCTAAGTCCTGGGCTCAAGCAATCCACTCATCTCAGCCTCCCAAAATGCTAGGATTACAGGCCTGAGCCTCCAGGCCCAAACTTAGTCTCAATTTCTTGCTTGTTAAGGTGGTATATGGTACCCAGAAGTTTGAATAATACCTTGAATTTTCACAAATGTAGGATCAGGGGTCATAGAAGAATTCCTCTTAAAAGTACATCTTGGAATTAGCATAACAGGTTGATAAAGAGCATAGGCTTTCTAAGCCTCATAGACTAGGGTTTGAAGCCTGACTCTGTCACTTAATAATAGCAGTGACCTTGGGCAAGTCACTTAACTATTTGAGTCTCAGTCTCTTCATGAATAAAATGATGATAGTAATATTTGCCTCTCAAGTATATTTTAATAACAAAATGTAATAATATGTATATTAAATGTAAAGTATAGTGCCTTGCATATAATAAGCAGTTAATCATTGTTTTACACATTGGGTGGGATTATAGTAATCCTTCATTACATATGACTTGTGTTCAGTTCAGCTTAGTTCACCAAACATTAAGTATGTACAAAGCAACAGACTCCTGCTAAGTTAACCCTAGTGATAAAAATATAAGTAAGACATGATTTCTGTCTTCAAACATCTCACAGTCTATAATAATACAGACAAATAAATAGACAATTCTAACACATAAGGATGTATGCAATGGCAGAGATATACATATTTTATAGGATCAGAGAAGAAGTGGTAGATTGAGGAAGGCAAAGGAGGACTTCTGGGTAGAGCAAGAACACCCTAACAGAATCTTAACTATTTAAGCTCTGGAGGGTGATGAGACTAATCTAGAGCTGTAAAGTAACTGTTCCTGACAGAATGTAACCTAGCAGATAAGCATACTGTCTCCGAAGCCAGACTATCTGGGTTCCATTCCACCGCTTAGGGCAAATCACTGAACCTCCTTGTCCCTCACTTTATCCATCAATAAAATGAAGATAACAACAGTTCCAAACTCACAGGGTTGGAAGTATTAAGAGTGCTTTAAAAACACCTTGATAAATAGTAAGCATTGTACAAGGGTTATCTTAGCTCTTTCTGCTATAATATTTTTTAAAGACGAAATAACAAAAATGTAATCATTCA
Source organism: Homo sapiens (assembly GCF_000001405.40). Lineage (NCBI taxonomy): Eukaryota > Metazoa > Chordata > Mammalia > Primates > Hominidae > Homo > Homo sapiens. The sequence continues at coordinate 125,859,851 of NC_000023.11, forward strand.
AATTTACATATATCTGGGCTGACAGAAATAAAAGTGGATTGAAAATTGCCTACTATATTAGCATGCAATTATATCTAATTTACTAGTGATACATTATGTCAGCAATCAGGACACAGTTGCATGTAGTACTTGATTCTAAAAAATAAAAAGGACTTTAAAAATGAGAAATACCAGTGTTAAAGAAGAGAGCTAAAATATCTGTTTTTATGTATGTTGTCAAAGTACTGATTATAACTTAACCTCATTATAAAAGCCAAACTATATAACCTAAACATAATTTTAGTACAAATGTACCTTTTTAACCAGTGATTCTTAAACTGTACTCAGATTCTTTGGTAATGCCTCAGAAGTACTGCAACAAATAAGCACTTTCTGCCAAATACTGAATTTGTATTGCCCATTCATTGCTTTACCCTAAATGATAAATAAGGGAGTTTTTAGAAACCCATTTAGGATTTTATTTCAAAACTTTAAAAATAATATTTTCATCATTTAAACATTTCATAATCACTTAATACTTTTAGATATCAATTTTATTGCCCTTAAACCTTGCTATCGATTGCATCATTGTATAAAATATATCAAGTGACTTACATTAACAACAGGATAATACTTTTTCTGCACTCCTTTCTACTGATTAAAACAAAACATAAAGTGAACCTTCTATCAAGACTTGTATGATTTTTTTTTCTTCCAAGATGACAGATTAGAGGCTTTTAGCAAATATCAGTCACTTAGAAATGGAAAAGTAGTGCATGAAGATCAACTCTGTGAGCTTTAATTCAAGAAGGAAAATGGGAATCCACTGGAATAGTGAAGGATGCCCCAGATCCCCGGGAAGTGTAAGTGAGCAAACAGCACCCATGATGGAATCTGGTTGATCAAAAGAGTGAAGCTCGAATATATGAGAGGGGAAGAGAGTCGCTCATGGGGATTCTCCTTTCCTCTAAGGGATCCATGAAACTAAGGCCAAGGGAGAGCACTTTGTTTCTTCTAAACCCTGGAGCTAATTTTGGGAGAGGCTTGGAGACTCTGAGAGGTAAAGATATTAGACAAAGTTGCCGGCATTTTCCCAGACCCGAGACCAAGCTGAGGAAACAATTTTCAATCCAGGCTTTTACAAAGTCAGTCATTCTTCAGTGACCCATCAGTTTGGCCATGCAGACATTTCTGTCTCAGGCTACAGATTGGAGTGCGTGCTCTGGAGTTGTGTAAGGGTTTCCAAAGCCAGAATTGAATGACAAGTGTGGAAAGCACCCCCACGGTAGGTGCTGGAATTGTTCTCTCCCCCAATACAGGTCTGGAGTCAAATGAGAGTTTCTGCAGCCATGGTTTCTCCTGGACAGTGAGACTTGCAGCCAGAGCCAGTTTGGCAATTTGGAAAACGTCTGCATGTGTCATTCCTGGGTGCCTTAGCTTCCTCTCTTGAGATTGTGGTGCAGCAGGCCACTCTCTGTTTCACCCCCAGGCATATCTTCAGACATTCGGAGCGCCAAATCACGAGTTAGCAGCCTGAGCCCCCCTAACCTTCCTGAGCAGAGACCTTTCTGTATTGGGACCCTTTCCACTCCATACCAGGCATAACTCCCAGCATTTGGAGCACTGCTTCCTTGGATTAGCAACTTAAATTACCTCACCATTCCTGTTTAGAGATACTAGTGTGTGTCGGTGCCATCTTTGCTTCACACCCAGGCATATCTCCATACATTGGGAGCAACTGCTCACTGGGATGAGCAGCCTGAGCCACACCACTATTCCTGTACAGAGAATGTGGTGCAGCAGGGAAATGACAGATATAGAATTCAGAGTTTAGTAGACAAAAAAAAAAAACTCAATGAGATCTAAGAGAAAGTTCAAATTTAACACAAAGAAAACAGAAAAATAGCCCAAGATTTGAAAGATTGCATAGCTGTGTTAATAATGAACCGAAAAGAACTGCTGGAATTGAAAATATCACTATAAGAATTTCAAAATATACGTGGAAGTCTTAACAACAGACTAAATCAAGCAGAAGAAAGAATTTTAGAGCTTAAAAATGGTCATTCAAATCAAACCAGTCAGACAAAAAGAAAGAAAAGAGAATTTAGAAAAATGAACAAAGGCTTTAAGAAATATGTGATTTTGTAAAGCCAACAAATATATGACTTATTGGCATTCTTCAGAGAGAAATAGAGAAAGTAAGCAACTCAGAAACTATATTTGAGGAAGAAATCCGGAAAACTCTCTTGAGATTTGGTGCAAGATGATCATCCTCAAGGCACACAGATGTCAGACTATCAATGTAAAAAAAAAAAAATCTTAAAGGCTTTTATAATAACTGTAAAGGGAAACCCATCAAACTAACAGCAGACTTTTCAGCAGAAACCTTATGAGCCAGAAAAGATTGGGGGTCCATTTTTAGCACTGGTAAGTAAAAGAAATGCTAGCCAAGAATTTCATATCCTATCAAACTAAGCTTCATAAACAATGGAGAAATAGTCTTTCTTAGACAATAAATCTCTAAGGGAATTCATCACCACCAGACTGCACCTACAAGAGATGCATAAGTGATTTCTAACCATGGAAACAAAAGATCAACACTTACTACCACAAAACACACACAAGCACATAGCCCACAGACCTTATAATGCAAATACACAATCAAAACTACAAAACAACTTGCTAACAACAATATGACAGGAATAAAACCTCACATATCAATATTAACCTTAAACCAAAATGGCCTAAATGCCCCATTTAGAAGACATGGAGTGGCAAATTAGATTAAAAAAAATAAAAACAAGACCCATCTTTTTTCTTTCAACAAGAGACCCATCTCTCGTGTAATGACATTCATAAGCTCAAAGTAAAGAAATGGAGAGAGATCTATTTTGCAATGGAAAACAAAGAGAGCAAGAGTCACTATTCTTGCATTAGATAAAATAAAGTTTAAACCAACAAAATTAAAAAAGGACCAAGAAGGGCATTACATAATAATAAATGGGTTAATTCAATAAGAAGATTTAACTCTTCTAAATATGTATACACCTAAGATTGGAGCATCCAGATTTATGAAACAATTACTTCTAGACATAAGTAAAGAATTTCAACAGCCACACAACTATAGTGGAGGACTTCAATGCCCCACTGACAGCATTAGCCAAATCACTGAGGCAGGAAACTAACAAAAAATGCTGGACTTAAATTCAACACTTGACCAATTGTACCTAAAAGACATCTCCATAATATTTCACCTAACAAGCGAAGAATATACGTTCTCCTCATCTGCACATGGACTATACTTGAAGACTGACCACGTGTTCAGTCAGAAAAAAAGTCTCAACAAATTCAAAAAGTCTAAATCACACCAGACATATTTTCACACCATAATGGAATAAAAATAGGAATCAAGAGGAACTCTCAAAACCACACAAATACATTAAAACCAAAAAACTTACTCCTGAATGACTTTTGGGGAAACAATGAAATTAAGACAGATATGAAAAAGTTATTTGAAATATACAAAAAATAGAGACATGACATACCCAAACCTCTGGAATACAGCAAAAGTAGTATTAAGAGGAAAGTTTATAGCACTGAATGCCTACACCAAGAAGACAGATCTCAAATTAATAACCTAACATTGCACCTCAAGGAACTGGACAAACAAGAACAAAAAATCCCCCAAAGCTAGCAAAGGAAAATAAATAACTAAATTAGCGCTGAATTAAGTAAAATCGAGACCCCCAGAATCATACAGAGGATCACTGGAACAAAAACGTGTTTTTTTTTTTGAAATGATAAACAAGATTGATACACTATTAGCTAGATTAACAAAGTAAAAAAGAGAGAAAATCCAAATAAGCACTATCAGATATAACAAAGATTATATCACAACAGATCCTGCAGAAATGCATAAGATCTTCAGACTACTGTGAATTTCTCTATGCATACAAATCAGAAAATCTAGAAGAAATTGATACAATCCTGGAAAAAAAACAACCTCCCAATATTGAACCAGACATGAACAGATATCCTAAATATACCAATAAAGAGTAATGAAATTGAATCAGTAATAAAAACTTACCTATCACCAAAAGCACTGGACCAGATAGATTCACAACTGAATTCTATCAGACATACAATATAAGCTGTATACAATATAATATACAATATAAGCTTATACAATATAAGCTGTTACAATCTTGCCGAAACTGTTCAAAAATTCAAGGAGGAGGAAATTCTCCCTCCCTTATTCTGTGAAAGCAGTATGATCTTGATACCAAAATCTGGCAGAGACACAACAAAAAAAGAAAACTACAGGCCAATATCCTTGATGATTATACATGTGAAAATCCTCAAAAAAATACTAGCCAACCAAATCTGGCAACACATCAGATAGTTAATTCACTACAATTAAGGGGGCTTTATTGTTGAGATGCAAATATAGTTAAACATATATAAATCAATGAATGTGATTCACCAGATAAACAAAAGACCTAGGATCATATCAATAGATGCAGAAAAAGCATTCGATAAAACCTAACCTGCCTGTGTGATCAAAACCCTCAACGAACTAGGCATTAAAGGAACATACCTCAAAATAATAAGAGCCATTTATGACAGACCTCCAGCAAACATCTTACTGAATAGGCAAAAGCTGGAAGCACGGTCTTTAAGAACTGTAATAAGACAAGACTTTCCACTCTCACCACTCTTATTCAACATAGTAATGGAAGTTCTAGCCAGACCAATCAAGCAAGATAAAGAAATAGAAGACATCCAAATAGTAAAAGAGTAATTCAAATTATCTGTTTTTACTGATGATACAACTCTTTACCTAGAAAACCCTGAAGATTCCACCAAAAGACTCCTAGATCTGGTAAATGACTTCAGCAAAGTTTCTAGATGCAAAATCAATTTACAAAAATAATTTGGATTTCTATACACCAATAACATTCCGACTGCGAACAAAATGAAGAACTAAATCTTATTTACAATAGACACAAAAATTATAAAATACCTAGGAATATATCTAACAAAGAAGGTGAAAGATCTCTATGAGGAGAACTAAAAAACTCTGCTTAAAGAAATCATAGATGAAAAAATAAATAAAAAAGCATTCCGTATTCATGGCTTAGAAGAATCAGTATTGTTAAAGTATTTATACAGCCCAAAGCAATCTACAGATTTAATGAATCTATCAATTTCATTTTCACAGAATTACAAAAAAATTTTAAAATTTATATGTAATTGAAAAAGAGTTCAAGGGCTTTTTAGTCAGAGGTGATGAATCCTGCCAGGACTGGGTCCTTCCCTTCAAGGCCAGGAAGGGTAGTGGTGGGTGAGATGCAGAGCAAGAGAGGATGGTTTATGGCTACCAAAACATTAGTTAGAATGAATGAATAAGTTCTAGCATTTGATAGTCCAACAGGGTGACTATATTCAATAATAATTTTATTGTACATTTTAAAATAACTAAAATAGTATATTTCCATTGTTTGTAATGCAAAGGATAAAAGCTTGAGATGGATATTTCATTTACCCTGATGTAATTGTTACCCGTTGTATGCCTGTTTCAAAATATCCCATATACACCACAAATATATACCCCTATTATGTACCCACAAAAATTAAAAATAAGACATTTAAAAAGTGTCCAAATTGCCAAAGCAATCTGCATAAAAAGAAAAAAGCTGGAGGCATCACATTACCTGACTTCAAATTATACTACAAGGTTACAGTAACCAAAACATTATGGTATTGGTACAAAAATAGACACATAGACAAGTGAACAGAATAGAGACCTCTGAGATAAAGCTGCACAACTATAACTAACTAATATTCAACAAAGTCCACAAAAATAAACATTTCAATAAACTATTCAATAAAATATGCTGGGAAAACTGGCTAACCTAATGCAAAAGAATGAAACTGGACCTCTACCTTTCAGTATATACAAAACATTAATTAAAATGTGTTAAAGACTTAAATAAAGTCTTTATAAAAATTCTAAACAAAAACCCAGGAAAAATTCTAAACAAAAAACCTAGACATTTGCCTTGACGAAGAATTTATGTAGGTCCCAAAGGGATATTCAACAAAATAAACACTAGACAAATGAGACCTAATTAAACTAAAGAGATTCTGCACAAAATATAAAACTCTCAAAAAAGTAAACAACCTACAGAATGGGAGAAAATATTTGAAAACTATTCATCCAACAAAGGACTGATACCCATAATCTATATAGAATGTAAATGAATCATCGAGAAAAAAAAAATCCTATTAAAAAGTGGGCAAAAGACATGAATAGATGCTTCTCCATAGAAGACGTACAAGCAGCCGAGGAACACATGAAAAATGCTCAGTGCTACTAATTATCAGAGAAATGCAAATCAAAACCACAGTGGTTTACCACTGCACATCAATCAGAATGGCTACTATTAGCATGTAAAAAAAATAACGGATGCTGGTGAGGTTGTGGAGAAACGGAATGCTTATACACTGTGGGTTGGAATGAAAGTAGTTTAGCCACTGTGGAAAGCAGTAGGGTGATTCCTCAAAGAACTTAAAACAGAGCTATCATTCAACCCAGGAATCCTATTACTGGGTATGTACACAAAGGACAATAAATAATTCTACCAAAAAGGTACATGAACTTGTTTGTTCATTGCAGGACTGTTCACAATAGCAACGACATGTAATCAACCTAGATACTCATCAGTGATGTATTGGATAAAGATAATGTGGTACATATACACCATGAAATACCACAGAGCAATAAAAAACAAAATCACGTCCTTTGCAGCATCATGGATGTAGCTGGTGGCCACTATCCTAAGCAAACTAACGCAGGAATAGAAAAGCAAATATTGTATGTTCTCGCTTATAAGTAAGAGCTAAATCATCAGTTCATATGAACATAAAGATGGGAATGATAGACACTGGGGGCTGTATAAGGAGGGAAGAATGGGGACAAGGACTGAAACACTTCCTTTTGGGTACCATGTTCTCACTATCTTGGGAGTACAATAAAACTTTCTTTGAGAGTGCTTTTGATGCCTTCTATTTTTCTAGTTCAGTGAAAAAGCTGGAGTAAAATGAATATTATTATTAAGACTCCATTATCTAGTAGAGCCAACCCAAAATTTCTGTAATGATGCTATCATTCAATATTTATTAGTACACAAAGTATGGTTAACTAATAAAAAAGAATTTGCAACATTGTGTTCATTGTTCTCACCAAGTTTAACTAGAAGATACTTAATGGTCTTAGAAAGTTCAGTTCTTCAACACAAATAGAACAGTATAACCTTCCAGTGCTACTCAAGCACTTTTTGCTTTAAGGCCTATAATGTATACGCTATGGAAAAGAATATTGTAGCAACTAGGTTGGCTTGCTACTAATAGCATGTGGCCAATTTATAGCAAAGAAATGAAAATCAATGCTAAATTCAAATCACAACTGTTAGCTACTATCGTTTTCTGTTGTAGATGAATATCACTGGGCTTAGCATGGCTCATTTATTTTCAGTACTCCCTGTCCTCTTGTCATGAGGTCTGTTTTATATTGTTCTGTTTTCTTAGTCCTCAAGTACATAACTGTTCTGAATTAGGGGTTGTGGCAGATAATTATTTAAATTATTCACTTCGTAAAGCAATCATATGACAGATCTAGAACATAGTTGATATTTTATGTTGAGGAATTTTATTAAGTTTTGTTTGAAAGCGTTCTATTATGCCATATATTCAGGTATGTTACAGGTCAATGTATTGCTTGTGTGCACATAATGGTGTGTGAGAACATATTCCTTTATTACAAAGTTATGTCCCTGACACTAGAAGTTATAATGAGAATCAGTGTCTGAAATTGACCAGTGTAATAAGGAAATTGGGGTTATTAATGAACACGTTTAAAGGAGGGTTAAACAATTCTTTTAACCCTTGTTGAAAAACAGTTTAAATATTAGTTTAATTCTATACCTTTGAAGTTAAACAACCATAATGGAATTGCTGATTTACAGCCTTGCAAGGGCTCAAAGGTCATTATTGTTTTTAACAAGAATGATCACTATACAAGACAGTGGAGCTAGATATATAACAATGGAAAGACACTGGGTGACTTTTAGATGAACCAGAACCTACATGCACAGTTCTTTGAATAGGTCTGTTAGCAAACAGACAGAGACTTACACTGCTCTTACTTTTTAAAACTATAAACTAATTACAGGTACACTTCAAATCTGCAGAGCACACATGTAAGTATGAATATAACTCATGTTTCTTTTGTTGGCATGGAGGGAAGTTTCTTTAATAAAATAAATCATCATTAAATATCATTTATTTAGGGCTTTCAGACTACTGTCATCTCCATTCTAATAGCCAGATAAGAGGAAGCCTGATAGACAGTATAGTGCATAATCTAACTTCTTGTTTTAGTTATAAAGGAAAAAATTGGCTTGTGGAAAAATACAGGAGCATTTGACAAATCAATGGCCCACTGGAGAACACTTAGGGCCTACTTCATAGCAGCAGAACTCCCTGCAGAATAAATCATAATAAATCTTTTTAAATGTAAGCCAAGAAGAGGTCATGCAGTAACTTTAGCAAATGAAAAATAGTATAAGTAGATAAAAATTTAAAGCACAAGAATGCTACATTAACATCAAATATTATGAATGTCATGGAAAAATAATATACTTGGGAGACTCAGAATAAATCAAGTGATACCTTAAGGAGTTAAGAAAAAATGCATAAGAGACTAGATCACCTGACTTTTCTCCCTGCCACAAGGCAAAGGTATCAGATGCTTCATACACCTGTGGAAGAAGACAACAGTGTTATCTATACTATCATTTCCCTTATAGTTAAGTGTATTCAAAATGTAAGTTTCACTATGCAAGAAACAACTGAATACCTGATCAACATCTTTTTCATTATTCCCCTCTGTGGCCTCAGAAAAAGCTATTATATACTTCAATAAGTCCGGAAATGAACAAGAATTATTTTGACAAAACTATTCCACTTTGCTATGGTTGGATATGGTTTGTCCCCAAAAAACTCGTGTTGAAATTTGATCCTCAATGAAGCAGTATTGGGAGGTGGGACCTAATGGGAGGTGTTAGGTGAAGGCAGATCCTTCATAAATGGCTTGGTGCCATTTTCATGGTACTGACTAAGTTCTCACTCTAGCAAGACTGGAATAGTTTTCACAGGAATGGATTATTTCCCATGAGAGTGTGTTGTTATAAAGTCAAGATATCTCTCCGGTTTTGCTTTTGTGCACATGTCTGCTTCCTGTTTGACCTTCTGCCATGTTGTGACAGAGAATGAAAGACAACCAGAAGCTGAACAGATGCTGACACCATGCTTCTTGAACTTTTCAGTCAGCAGAATCATGAGCTAAATAAACATATTTTTTTTTCAAAATACCCATCCTACAGTATTCTGTTACAGTAACACTATACAGATTAAGAGATTATACCATATCTCAGGGAATCATACCAGTATGACTTTATATAACAGAAAACTGCCTATGTTAGAGACCTATGAAGCATCTTAGAGTTATTCATCTTTAGTCAGTGATAGAAATCTATTTATTCCTTCTTTTTCTAACAATAGTTGCCTACTGTCTTACCTCTCTGATTACTCTGCTGTTTTTTTCATATAGACATACATTTTATATTAATATTGGATTTATTCAATAATAATTAGATTTATTTTTCTAGAGCTTTGGCTCTTCTGACTCCGTGCTCATTTTGTCCTTATTTGTTCCTACGACATCAATTAACATTTATGTGCTAATGCCTCCAAAGTCTATATATTCAGCCCAAACCTCTGGAGTTCTATGCATCCGCATCCAACTGCCTATTGAACATATCCACCTGGATGTCTCACAGGAATAGCAAACTGATCATGTCAAGAACTGAATCCAACTCTGACTTTAAATGTTTCTCTTCCAATTTTCCTGGCTTCAGTGAGTGGAAAAACTATCATTCATCTGAGCCAAACGCTGGAGATCATTTTAAACAAAATTTTGTCAACCATGTCATAAGAAAAAATAATAAACTATGAGATAAGCACTTTAAAATACAGGATATATTTTGTCATTCAATAATCTACCTCTAGGTAATCTACCCCTAAGTACTACCTAAGAATGAATGATGGCTAAATGTAATTATAGTCACTCTGCACGTGAACTCATAGATACTCTTTTTTCTAACCTTCATATTAATGTGTTTGTCTCTTTGATGGAGGCTTATCCATAATACATAGATAGTCTTGATTTTCTTTATTTTTGAAGGAAGTTATGCTAGAAGTCTTATTTGATATTTTCTTCTTTTCATCAGTTCGAATATGTCATCTCATTGTTTTCTGGACAATTTGTTTTCTAATATTTCATTTGTAAATTTTATTAAGGGTTTCTTTTATGTGGTAAGTTGCTACTCCACTGCTGCGTTCAAGATTATCTGTCTTTTGACAGTTGATTATGATATATCTAGGGTAGAACTTTTTGAAATTGTCTTAATTGAAATTCATTGAATTTCTTGGATATGTAGATTAATGTTTCTAATCAAGTTTGGGAAGATTTTAAACATTATTATTTCAAATATTATTTCTCTTTTTCCTATAATTCTGTGACCCTCATTATACATATGTTAGTATTCTTGAGGATGTTCCACAGGGCTTTGAGGTTCTGTTTATTTTTATTCAATTTAAAAATTTTTCTCTTCCTCAGACTGGATAATCTCAATTGACTTATCTTTATGTGAACTCATTTGTCTATCTGCTCAAATCTGTCCTTGAACCACTGTGTTGAAAATTTTCATTTCATTGCACTTTTTAATTTCAGAATTTCTATTTGATTTTATATTTCTATTGACATTCTATTTTTATGATATAGTACTCTCATAACTTCCTTTGGTTTTTTAGATATAACTTCATTTAGTTTTTCAAGATATTTAAAATACCAAATTTAAAGTAGTTGCTAACTTAAGTCCAACATCTGGAATTACTGAGAAAGTTTCTGTTTAATTCTTTGTCCCCTGTGTAATGGTCATGCATTATTGTTTATTTGTATGCCTCATAATTTTTTGTTGTTGAACACTACACGTTTTATATAATATAATATGACAACTCTACAAGTGAGATTCTCATTCATCCAAGAATTTGTTGCTGCTGTTGCTTGTTATAATTGTTGTTTTTGCTAGTGAGTTTTCTGAATACATTATTAAAAGTCTGTATTCTTTATTGTGCGTGGCCACTGAAGACAATACTAATGCAGCTTACTGGACATCTAATGATTTGACAGAAATTATCTTAGACAGATAGGACCAATACTTCTCCCAGTCCTTGTCAAGGGGCTCTGTATATTTTGTTAAATGCCTTCAACACTCTACCAGTTAGTTGACAATTCTGATGTAGCCTTCCCTTTCCACTAGCACAGAGATTCAAGGTCAGTGAGCAGTAAGAGGTTAAGACTCCTCAATACATTCTGGAGTAGGTGCACAATCTTAGCCATTTGCACAACAACTGGCATGCATGTCACTTTCATGATTCCCGGAAATATGTTGGAGCTGTACTTTTTAAAATTTTATTTTAAATTATTGTGGGTACATATTAGGTGTCTATATTTATGGGGTACATGAGATGTTTTAATACAGACATGCAAAGTGTAATCATCACATTTTGAAAAATAAGGTATCTAGTTCTTCAAGCATTTATCCTTTTTGTTACAATCTGATTATACTCTCTTAGTTATTGTATAATGTACAATTAAATTATTGTTGACTGTAGTCACCCTGTTGTGCTATCAAATCCTAATTCTTTTTCATTATTTCCATGTATTGTACGCATCAACCATGCCCACCTCTCCCCCCCACCCCCATTACTCATCACAGCCTCTGGTAAAGATTCTTTTGCTCTCTATCTCCATGAGTTCAATTGTTTTCATCTTTAGTTCCCAAAAATAAGTGAAAACATGTGACGTTTGTCTTTTTGTGCCTGGCTTATTTAACTTAGCATAATGATCTCCAGTTCTAACCACATTGTTGCAAATTACAGGATCTCATTCTTTTTATGGCTGAATAGTATTCCACTGTGTACAATTACTACCTTTTTTTATGCATTCATCTGTTGATGGACACTTATGGTGCTTCCACATTTTGGCTATTGTGAACAGTGCTGCAAAAAACATGGGAGTGCATATATTTCTTTGACATGCTGGTTTCCTTTGAGTTTATAGCCAGCAGTGGGATTGCTAGATCATATGGTCCCTCTATTTTTAGTTTTTTTTGTGGAACCTCTAAACCGTTCTTCATAGTGGTTGTACTAATTTACATTCCCACCAACAGTTTAGGAGGGTTCTGTTTTCTCCACAACCTTGTCAGCATTTATAGTTGCCTGTCTTTTGGATATATGCCCTTTTAACTGGAATGAGATGGTATTTCATAGTAGTTTTGATTTGCATTTATCTGATAATCAGTGATATTGAGAACCATTTTATATGCCTGTTTACCATTTGTATGTCTTTTGAGAAATGCCTATTCATATCGTTTGCTTATTTTTGATCAGATTATTAGATTTTTCCCTATAGAGTTGTTTGAGCTCCTTATATATTCTGGTTATTAAACACTTGTCATATGTGTTATTTGCAAATATTTTCTCCCATTCTGTGGGTTGTCTCTTCATATTGTTGTTTGTTTCCTTTGCTGTGCAGAAGCTTTTTAACTCGATATGATCCCATTTGTCCATTTTTGCTTTGGTTGCTTGTTCTTGTGGGGTACTACTCAAGAAATTTTTGCCCAGGCCATTGCCCTGGAGAGTTTCTCCAGTGTATTCTTGCAGTAGTTTCACAATTTGAGGTCTTATATTTAAGAATTTACTCCACTTTTATTTGATTTTTGTATATGGTTAGAGACAGTGGTCTAGTTTTGTTTTTCTGCTTATGGATATCTGTTTTTCCCAGCATCATTTATTGAAGAGACTGTCGTTTCCCAGTGTATGTTCTTGCCCCTTTTGTAGAAAATGAGTGCAGTGTAGGTGTGTGGATTTGTTTATTGGTTCTCTATTCTGTTCTATTGGTCTGTGTGTCTGTTTTAATGCCGGTACCATGCTTTTTTTTTTGTTACTACAGATCTGTAGTATAATTTGAAGTCAGGCAATGTGATTCCACTAGTAATATTCTTTTTGTTTAGACCACCTTTGGTTATTTTGAGTCTTTGCTATTCCATATAAATTCTATGACTGTTTTTTCTATTTCTATGAAGAGTGTCATTGATGTTTTGAGAAGAATTGCATTAATTCTGTAGATTGCTTTGGGTATATGAACATTTTAACAATATTGATTCTTCCAATCCAAAAACATGGAATACCTTTCCATTTTCTTGTATCTTCTTCAGTTTCTCTAATCAGTGTTTATAGTTTTCATTACAGAAATCGTTCACTTATTTGGCTGTTAAATCTTAGGTATTTAATTTTATTTGTGGCTGTTGTAAATGGGATAACATTTTTATTTCTTTTTCAAAATTTTTATTATTGGCTTGTAGAAATACTACTAGTTCTTGTATGTTGATTTTCTATCCTGCAACTTAATTAAATTTGTTTATCAGTTTTAGTAGTATTTTGGTGGAGTCTTCAGGTTTTTCCAAATAAATAATCACATCATCTGCAAACAATGATAATTGAACTTCTTCCTTTCCAATATGGATGCCCTTTGTTTCTTTCACTGTTCTGACTGCTCTAGCTAGGACTTTTAGTACTATGTTGAATAACAGTGGAGAAAGTAGCCATCCTTGTCATATTCCAGATTTCAGAGGAAGGCTTTCAGTTTTTTTTCCCATTCATTATGATATTAGCTGTAGGTCTTGTCATATATGGCTTTTATTATTTTGAGATCTGTTCCTTTTACACACAGTGTTTTAAGGGTTTTTGTCATGATGTTGAATTTTATCTAATGCTTTCTCAGCATCAGTTGAAATAATCATATGGTTTTTGCCCTTTATTCTGTTGATATGATGTATCACACTGATTGATTTGCATATGATGAACCATTCTTGCATCCCTAGGATAAACCTTGCTTGGTCATGATGCATGATCTCTTTAAAGTATTGTCGAATTTGGTTTGCTAGTTCATTTTTTCTTGTTTGTTTGTTTGTTTGTTTGTTTTGTTTTGAGACAGAGTTTCACTCTTGTTGCCCAGGCTAGAGTGTAATGGCACAATCTCAGCTCACTGCAAACTCCGCCTCCTGGATTCAAGTGATTCTCGTGCCTCAGCCTCTCGAGTAGGTGGGATTACAGGTGCCCACCACCACACCTGGCTAACTTTTGTATTTTTAGTAGAGACAGGGTTTCACCATGTTGTCCATGCTGGTCTCAAACTCCTGACCTCAGGTGATCCACCCGCCTCGACCTACCAAAGTGCTGGGATTACAGGCGTGAGCCACTGCGCCCAGCTGGCTGGCTGGTATTTTGATGAGAATTTTTGCATCAATATCCATCATTGATACTGGCCTATAGGTTTTTTTATGTTGCTATATATGTTTTTTGTATGAGGATAACACTGGCCTCATACAATGAGTTTGAAAATATTCCCTCCTCTACTTTTTGTAATGTTTTCTTTTTCGTCTCTAATGTTATTTATTTGAACTACGTATTGTTTTCTTCATTTCAATGTCTTTTATTTGTAGTCTGGTTTTTCTTCTACTAATTTTGGATTTAGTTTGTTGTTGCTTTTCTATTTCTTTAAGATGAATTGTTTGGTAGTTTATTTGAAGTTTTTCTTATTTTTTGATGTAGGCATGTATAGCTATAAACTTCCTTCTTACTGCTGCTTTGGCTGTATACCATAGGTTTTGGTATGTTGTATTTTCTTTATAATTTGTTTCAAGACATTTTTTAATTTCCTTCTTAAATTTTTCATTGCTCCATGGTCATTCGGTAGCATATTGTCTAATTTCCATGTATTTGTATAGTTTCCAAAATTCCTCTTGTTATTGATTTCTAATTTTTTTCCATTGTGGTCAGGGAAGATGCTTGATATTATTTCAATTTTTTGAAAGTTTTACAACTTGTTTTGTGACCTAATACATGGTCTATCTTTGACAATAATCCATATGCTGAAGAGAAGGATGTGTATTCTTTGGCAGTGGGATGAAATGTTCTGTCAATGTGTATTAGGTCCATTTGGTCTATACTTCAGGTTGATTTGATGTTTATTTGCTGACATTTTCTCCAGATGATATCCCTAATGCTAAAAGTGGAGTACTGAAGTCTCCAGCTATTATTGTATTTGGGTCTATCTCTATCTTTAGTCTTTAGCTTTAATAATATTTGCTTTACATATCTGCATGCTTCAGTTTTGGGAGCATATATACTTACAATTGTTATATCCTCTTGCTGGAAACCTTTATCATTATATAGTAACCTTCTTTGTCTCTTCTTACAGAATTTGTACTGAAATCTACCTTTTCTGATGTAAGTATATGTATTCCTGCTCTTTTTGGTTTCCATTGGCATAGAATATGTTTTTCCATCCCCCCTTTTTTTAGCCTATGTGTGTCTTTATAGGTGAATCATGTTTCTTGTAACAGATCACTAGGTCTTCTTTTTTTTTTTATCCATTCAGTAACTCTATGTCTTTTGATAAAAGAGTTTAGTCCATTTACATGCAATGTTATTATTGATAAGTGCGGTCTTACTCTTGCCATTTTTTTATTGTTTTTTGGTCCTCTCTTCCATCTTAATTTTCTTTTTTTCTTTATTCTTTGAAAGTGATTTTCTCTCATGACAAAATTTCTTTTCTTGCTTTTCTTTGTGTATTCATTGTATTTTTTTTTTGTTTCAGGTTACCATGAGGCTTGCAAATACTCTTATAGTCCATTATTTTAACCTGATAACAGCTTAACTCTGTGTGCATAAAAAACAAACAAGCAAAAGAATTCTAATAAAAACTCTACATCTAATTTCATACTCTTGCTTTTTAACTTTTTGTTGTTTCTCTTTATATCTTATTAAATTCTATGTTTTGCAAAATAGCTGTGGTTATTATTCTTAATTGGCTCATCATTTAGTCTTTCTACATAAGAGTAGTTAAAACATCATGGTTACTGTGTTATAATATTCTGTGTATCCTGTGTTTTTCTTTGTACTTATTATTACCAGTGAGTTTTCTACTGTCAGATATTTTTTATTGCTTATTAATGTCCTTTTCCTTCTGATTGAATTACTCTCTTTAGCATTTCTTGTAGGACAGTTCTAGAGTTGATAAAAGGACAGTTCTGGAGTTGATAAAGGATTTTGTTTGTCTGGGAAGTCTATTACTCCTTCATGTTGGAAAGATATTTTTGCTGGATATACTATTCAAGGTTAACCTTTTTTTTTTCTTCAGTACTTTAAATAAGTCATGCCATTCTCTCCTGGTCTGTAAGGTTTCCACTAAAACGTCAGCTGCAAGATGTGTTGGAGCTTCATTGTATGTTACTGTTTTATTTTCTCTTGCTGCTTTTAGGAACCTTTATTTATCTTTAACCTTTGCAAGTTTAATTATTAAGTGCCTTGAGGTAGTCTTCTTTGGATTAAATCTGGTTGGTGTTCTATATCCTTTTTGTACATGGATATTGATATTTTTGTTATTTTTCTCTAGGTTTGAGAAGTTATTTTTTAGTATAATTTTGAGTAAACTTTCTACCCCTGTTTCTCTATATCCTCTTAAGACAAATAACTCTCAGATTTCTCTCTGAAGGCTATTTTCTTGATCTTGTAGGTGTGCTTCATTCTTTTTATTCTGTTTTTTCTCGTGTCTCCTCTATGTATTTTCAAATAGCGTGTCTTTAAGCTCACTAATACTTTCTTCTGTTTGATCAATTCCACAGTTAAAATACTCTGATGAATTCTTCAGTATTCCAATTACATTATTCAACTCCAGAGTTTCTGCTTCATTCTTTTTAACTATTTTAATCTCTTTGTTAAATTTATGTAATAGAATTTTGTATCTCTTTCCTGTGCTATATTAAAATTTTTTGAGTTCTCTCAACACAACTGTTTTGAATTCTGTATCTGAAAGTTCACATATTTAGTTCATTTAGTAAGGATATGATTGTTCATCTTGATATTTATAGATATTCATCTGTGTCTGTGCATTTAAAGAGTTAGGTATTTATTATAGTCTTCACAGTCTTGGATTATTTGTCCTTCTCCTTGTGAAGCCTTTTCAGGTATTTGAAATTACTTGAGTGTTGTGCTCCAGCTGTATCTGTTTTAGAAGGCACCCCAAGCCCAGTAATGCTATGGTTCTTGCAAACTCATAGATATACCACCTTGATCGTCTTGGATAAGATCCAGAAGAATTCTTTGGATTATTAAACAGAGACTCTTGTTCTCTTCCCTTACTTTCTCCCAAACATATGCAGTCTTCCTATTATGAGCCACCTGAATCTGGTGGTGGGGTGATGCAAGCTCCCTTGTTGCCACCAACACTAGGATAGGACTGCACTGGCCCAGACTTGATGCCAGTACTGCACTGGATCTTGCCCAAAGCCTACTGTAACCACTCCCGGGCTACTGTCTATGTTCATTCAAGGCCCTGCGGTTTTACAATCAGCAGGATGCGAAGCCAGCCAGGCCTTTGTTTTTCCCTTCAGGATGCTGAGTTTCCCTAGGCACCAGGCAGGTTCAGAGGTGCCATCTGAAAGCTAGGAACTATAGTAAAAACCACAGAAGTATATACCTGGTGCTCTAATATACTGTGGCTTAGCTGGCACTCAAAATGCAAGATACAGTCCTTTCCACTCTCTCTCCCCTTTACAAATGTAGAGAAAGCTTACCTCATGGCCACCTCAACATAGGCCCATGGAGAGTACTGCCAGACTACCTCTAATGTTTTCTTAAAGGCCCAAGAGCTCTTCAGTCACTTGTGGTGAATGCTGCCTGGTCTTGGACTCACCCTTCAAGACAATGGGTCCCCCTCTGGCCCAAGGAAGGTCCAGAAATGCCATCCAGAAGCCAAGTCCTGGAAGCAAGGATCCAAAGAACCATGGTGCTCTATTCTACTGTGGCTGAGCTGGTACCTAGTGTGCAGCTCAAAGTCCCCTTCATTTTTCTCTCCACTTTTTTCAATCAAAAAGAGTCTTGTCCCATAGCCACCACAGCTGGTAATGTGCTGAGTCTCAGCTGAAACAATCAAGTCTTAGAGTCTAACCCAAGGTCCTTGGTGTTGTATCTGGATATTTCAGGGGCCAAGGACTCTGTAGTTAGCAGGTGACTAATTCTGCCAAGACTAAGTCCTTCCTTTCAAGAAAGCGGGCTTCTTTCTGGCCCAGGGTGTGTCTAGAAATGTCCTCCCCAAGCTAGGTCCTGGAATAGGGGCCCCACAACTGTGACCAATGCCCTGTCTTGTGTGGATAAGCTGGCATCTAGAATGCAAGACAAAGCCCTCCCCACTCTTTCCTCTCGTCTCCTCAAGCCGAAGAAAGGGCTCTCTTTTGGTGTCACAATTTGTGCAACCTTGGGTTAGGTGAGGGGGAATGCCAGCCCTTATTTAGCCACCCCAGCTGGTGTCCCAGTAGATTGCATACCCCCCATCCCAGTCTTCTGGCTCTTGGCCCAGTCTAGCAGTAGGTCATTCCTATGAAATGTAGTGTTTGTGGCCTAGACTGCCTTTCAAGTTTATTAAGTGCTCCAGAGCTTTTTAGCTCAATGTGGTAAGGCTTCCAGGAACTCAGTTTATGACTGCTGCTATTGACAATTCCACTCTGGCTAAGGCTGGTTTATATGCTCCCTCTGTGGATGCGTGTCAACTGGTTTTGGTCCAGTTTTTCTTTCTGCTGTAACAGGGCAGTAGTTGTTTCAATGCCTCACAATTGTTATGCTCTCCTCCCCAGAGCACAGGAATGCCCTCTGTGGCATGCCACTGCTGCCAGAGGATGGGGAGGAGTGGCGTCCTATTCAAGAGTGTCTCTTCTATTCTTTACAGAGCCTTTTTCAGTGATAAGAAGTTAAATCCAGGTACTGTGAGTGCTCACTTGATATTTGGTTCCCATGAAGGTGCTTTTTTTGTGCAGATACTTGTTAAATTGGTGTCTTTGCAGGGTAGGAGACATGATCTGTGGAGTCTTCTATTTTGTCATCTTGTACCACCCATCCTCTGATGAAGCTTTTTAAAGCCTTATGAACATCCTTTTTCTTAGCTTCTCCTTTTAATATCCTTTACTAGTCCATTTTTTTTTTGCCTCAACAGCTAACCATTGTCTAAAGAAGTAGTGAAGTTGAAATATTTGCTCATAATTGTTTTAAACACTTCTCCATGGAAAGGCTTTTTGCACTGGCTGAATCTAAGTCAGGTGAAATAATACAAACTTTTCAAGTGTAGTCTTCCTGGGGAACACCAGATAGGCCAAAAAAATAATAATTATCTATAAATGAGGCGTTGAAAGACCTCCAACCCTGTTTTGATCCCTCACATTGCTGTCAGGATGGTCATTTTTACCCTGAGCTTTTGATTTTCAAGGCTATTGCAGACTTGAGAATGAGAGTAAACATTTAAAAAATAATAAAATTCAAAGTTTACTGTTATCAGTGATATTCAGCCATTTATTTTTTAAAAAAATGAATGCACAAAAAATGCAAAACCTGTCCTTTATTTAGAGAGTTCTGAAAAAAGTTGTTTTACCAGTTTTTCTTTTTCCTTTTTTTTTGCTTTTGTAGATGAAAGAATTTCTAAGACCTCTTCTCTCACATTTACAGGGATGTCCTACCCAATATCTCATATTTCCATGCTCTTCTCCTATTTGGAATTTTCTTTATTTCTTCCCCACATAGCTAATTTATGTTATTTCCTTCAATATGATTCAACTCAAGAAAGTCTTTCTATGTCCTTAAAAAAGGGTACATAACTTAGCTGGGTTATGTGCCCAGTTTTATTATACCATATCACCTAAAATACTAACATTTCAACATGACTTATATGTTTGTCTCCCACTAGGCTGCAAGCTACTACAAACTTCATATATATTTTTTAATTCTCATTTTTTAAAATAACAGAAACAATTAATGTATCATATATATTGTGTGTGTATATATATATATGTAACATTTTCACCCTTTTAATGATTATGTTGTGGTTTGAAACTCCTCACAGTAGATAACAGACACTCAAAACAATTAAAAAAGTATATAAATAAATTTATATGTATAACATATGTATGATGAGAGAGCTCTTTAAGTAGACTATATATGTATTGCTTTTGAATGTTTCAAACAAAAAGAAATGATAAATATTTGAGATGATGGATATGCTAATTACTCTAATCTAATTATATATTACACGTGTCATGACATCATTATGTACCCCATGAATATGTACAATTATTATGTCAATTCTAAAAAAATTAAAAAATAATGAAAATAAATAAGTTATGCTTTAGAAGAGTTTTATACTCACAGAAAAATTTATCAGAAAGTAAAAAGAGTTCCTATGTATAACCTCAACCCATACATTCACAGCTTCCCCTACTATCAAAATCCCCCTCCAGAGTAGTACATTATGGTTGATGAACCTACATTGGCACATGATAATCACCCAAAGTCCATCATTATCACCCAAAGCCTATAGTTTACATTAGGGTTGTCTTGGTGTCATATATTATATAGAATAGACACATTGTATAATGGCACACATCCACCATTAAAGTATCATGCAGAGTATTGTCACTGCTTAAAAAATCCTCTGTTCTCTGCCTATTCATCCATCTATGCCCCAAAAATAGGATATCTATGGATTCTCTTTTTTACTATTTCCATAGTTTTGCATTTTCCAGAATGCTATACAGTTGATATCATGCAGTATGTGTTCTTTTCAGATTGCCTCTTTCACCTAGTAATATGCATTTAAGTTTCCTCTAAGTCTTTTCATGGTGTGATAGCTTATTATTTAGTGATGAATAATATTTCATTGTCTGAATTTGCCACTGTTTATTTAGCTATTCATGTACTGAAGGGCGTCTTGATTGTTCTCAAGTTTTGTTTATTACGAGTGATTCTGCTAGAAACATTTGTGTGCAGCTTTTTGTATATGCATGAGTTTTCAACTTATGTGGGTAAATACCAAGGAGCGTGATTGCTGGATTGTATAGTAAGAATATGGTTAATTTTGTAAGAAACTGATAAACCGCCCAAGTGGCTGAAGTGGCTGTACCATCTTGCACTGCCATCAGCCATGAGAAAGAGTTGCTGTTGCTCCACACCCCCACCAGCATTTGGTTTGTCAGTGATTTTGATTTCTGCCATTCTAATATGACTGTAGTGGAATCTCATTATTTTAGTTTGCAATTTTTTAAGGACATATGATGTCGAGCAGCATTTTATATAGTTATTTGCAATTTACATATCTTCTTTGGTGAAATTGCCTACTTTTTAATCAGGTCATTTATTTTCTTATTATATTTTCTTTGTAAATTTTGGAAAACAGTTCCTTATCAGATATGCCTTTTGCATATATGGTCTTCATATCTGTTTCTTTTATTATCATTTTCCTGAGATCCATGTTTTTTTAATTTGATAATGCAGAATTATATATGGTTTGAGATGGAAAGAATAGTAAGATACATAAAATATTATAGGTGGTTTGCTAGTAAATCTTTATTCCATTGACACTTGAGCATAATCATCATTTCGCCTTATCTATTCATTTTTGTTAAATATACTCAATTATTTTATTTTATTGTTACCTTATAAGGCCCAATTTTCATCCCTTTAATGATTATGTTGCTGCTTGAAACTCCTCACAGTAGATAATAGAGACATTCAAAACAATTGAAAAGTTATATAAATCAGAGAGTAATGCTTAATTATTTTTGAACACTTACTATGTGATAGCATTGTTGTAAGAACTTCATAGGTATTAACTCATTTAATTATCACAATTATTATGTGGATATTATTATTATGTCCCTTACAAGTGAGGAAACTGAATACAGAGAGATTAAATAACTAACTCATAATTATGCAGCTATTTAATGCTAGATGTCTGATCTGAAGAAAGGTCACATGATTCTAGGACCTATGTTTTTTAAGGCAAAATAAAATCTTTTACTTATTGCTTAACTGAATTAAAATATCACTGTTTGCTTAAAGTAATTATAATAACGTGTAAGGTGATTATAATATACAGATATATAAAATGAAAGACAGCATGTCATAAGGGATAGGAGAGAGGAATTGGGAATACTGTTATAAGGTAGCCACACTATATGTGAGGCAGTACAGTGTTATATGAAGGTGAACTTGAATTAGTTAAAAATATACATTGCAACTATAGGGTATCCACTAATTATTTTTAAATTTTTTTATTATACTTTAGGTTCTGGGATACATGTGCAGAACACGCAGATTCTTAATACATATGCCTAAACCACTTTTTTTTTAAATAATGATACAATTAAGTATGGATTCTGTGAAAAAATGGAAGTGTGTTCTGCTCTGATTCTGATTCTATACCTTGAGCAAATTACTTAACTTTGCTGAACTTCAGTTTCCTCATGTGTAAAATGGAAATCATAACACTAAGGAAATAGATTTTATTGATATGGTTAGGCTTTGTGTCCCCACCCAAATCTCATATTTAATTGTAATCTCCAGGTGTTGAAGGAAGGACCTGGTGAGAGGTGACTGGATCATGGGAACTATTTCCCCCATGCTGTTCTCATGATAGTGAGTGAGCTCTCATGAGATCTGATGGTTTTATAAAGGGATCTTCCCCACTTTACTCACTCTCTTGCCTTTTGCCATATAAGATGTGTCGGCTTCCCCTTCTACCATGATTGTAAGTTTCCTGAGGCCTCCCCAGTCATGTGGAACTGTGAGTCAATTAAATCTATTTTCTTTATAAATTACGCAGTCTCTGGCAGTTGTTTATAGTATGGTGAAAATTGACTAATGCAGACAATTGGTACAGGTAGAGTGGGGTACTACCATAGAGATAACCTGAAAATGTGTAATCAACTTTGGAACTAAGTAACAGGCAGAGGCTGGAAGAGTTTAAAGGGCTCAGAAGAAGATAGAAAAATGTGGGGAAGTTTAGAACTTCCTAGAGACTTGTTGAATGGTTCTGACCAAAATGCAGACAGTAATATGGGCAATGAAGTACAGTCTGAGGTGGTCTCAGATGGAGATAAGAAACTCATTGGAAACTGCAGCAAAGGTCACTCTTGTTATGCTTAACAAAGAGACTGGTAGAATTTTGCCCCTGGCCTAGGGATCTGTGAAATTTAAACTTGAGATATATGGTCTGAAATTGGAACTTATGTTTAAAGGGCAGCAGAGCATAAAAGTTTGGAAAATTTGCAGCCTGACCATGTGGAAGAAAAGAAAACCCTATTTTCTGGGGAGAATTCAAGCTTGCTGCAGGAATTTTCATGACTAATTAAGAGGCAAATGTTAATAGCCAAGAAAATTGAGAAACTGTTTCCAGGGCATGTCAGAGACCTTCATGGCAGCTTCCATCACAGGCCCAGAGGGCTAGGAGGAAAAAATGGTTTTGTGGTTTGTGGGCCAGGGCCCCACTCCCTTGTGCAGCCTCAGGACTTTGTGCCCACTCCAGCCATGGCTAAAATGGGACAAGGTACAGCTCAAGCCATTGTTTCAGAGCGTGTAAGCCCCAAGCCTTGGCAGCTTCCGTGTGGTGTTGGGCCTGCAGGTACACAGAAGTCAAAAATTGAGGTTTGGGAACCTCCAACTAGACTTCAGAGAATGTATAGAAATTCCTGGATGTCCAGGCAGAAGTCTGCTGCAGGGGTGGAGCCGTGATGGAGAAACTCTACTAGGGCAGTGTGGAAGGGAAATGTGGGGATGGAGCTCCATACAGAGAGTCCCTACTGAAGCACTGCCTAGTGAAACTGTGATAAGAAGGCCACCCTCCTCCAGACCCTAGAATGGTAGATCCACCAACAGCTTGCTTTGTGCTTCTAGAAAAGCCACAAGCTCTCAACAGCAGACTGTAAAGGAGCTTCCCCAGGCTGTGGGAGGCCACCCCTTGCATCGGTGTTCCCTGAATTTGAGACATGAAGTCAAAGGAGATAATGTCAGAGCTTTAAGCTTTTTATGTCATTTTTAGATGGAGTCTTGTTCTGTCACCCACACTGGAGTGCAGTGGCATGATCTTGTCTCACTGCAACCTCCACCTCCCAGGTTCAAGTGATTCTCTCGCCTCAGCCTCCCGAATAGCTGGAATTACAGCCATGTGTCACTATGCCCAATAATTTTTGTGTTTTTAGTAGAGACAGGCTTTCACCACATTGGCTAGGCTGGTCTCAAACTCCTGACCTCAAGTGATCCACCCATCTCAGGCTCCCAAAGTGCTGGGATTACAGGCATTAGCCACCGCACCCAGCCACAGAGCTTTAAGATTTAATGAGTGCCCTGTTGGCTTTTGGACTTCATGGAGCCTGTGGCCCCTTTGTTTTGGCCAATTTCTTGCGTTTGGAATGGGAACATTTACCCAATGCCTGTACCCCCATTGCATCTTGAAAGCAACTAATTTGCTTTTGATTTTACAGGCTCATAGGTGGAAGGTACTTGCCTTATCTCAGATGAGAGTTTGGACTGGAACATTTGGGTTAATGCTTAAATGGATTAAGACTTTAGGGGACTCTTGGGAAAGCATAATAGGTTTTGAAATGTGAAAGGGACATGGGATAT
The DNA here is from genome assembly GCF_000001405.40 of Homo sapiens. Classification (NCBI taxonomy): domain Eukaryota; kingdom Metazoa; phylum Chordata; class Mammalia; order Primates; family Hominidae; genus Homo; species Homo sapiens. Next base: position 125,884,523 of record NC_000023.11, read on the forward strand.
GGGAGGGGCAAGGGGCAGAATGATATGGTTAGACCTCGTGTTGCCACCCAGTTCTCATCTTAAATTGTAATCTTCAGGTGTTGAGAAAGGGACCTGGTGGGAGGTGACTAGATCATGTATATTTCTTCCCCCATGCTGTTCTCATGATAATGAGTGAGGTCTGACAATATCTGATGGTTTTATAAGAGAATCTTCCCCCTTCACTTGCTCTGTCACCTGCCACCATGTAAGATGTCCCTGCTTCCCCACTCTGCCATTATTGTAAGTTTTCTGAGGCCTTCATAGCCATGCAGAACTGTGAGTCAATTAAACCTCATTTCTTTATAAATTACTCAGTCTCGGGCAGTTCTTTACAGCAGTATGAAAATGGACGAATACAATCATCTGAGAAAGAGTGTTCAGATAGAAGAGCAGAATGCTGCGGACTTAGCTCTTGTGTATTCTTACATTTAGTATAGGGGGAAGAGCCATAAAATAAGCAGTGGGGGGTAAAATGACAGAGGAACAAAAAGTATCCATTGGGTTTGGGAAGATGTAAATGGTTGGCAACTTTAATAGAAACATCTCAGTAGAAAGATGAGACAAAACCAGATAGTAGCACATAGAAAAGTACATGGAAAGTGAGTGTAGTATAATATGTTTTTTGAGAAATCTTGTTGTGAAGCAGAGCAGAGAGAAGAGGAATTGGCTAGATGCGTGGTCAAAGGAAAGCTCATTTTGGGATGTGAGATTCCAGGACATGCAGACATGAAGAGATTAGTGATGCATGACAGAAATGATAACTAAAGTAGCAAACTCCTTGAGAAGGTAAGAGGAGATAGTGAAACTTTCAAGCTACTTCAGCTGTTCTTAAAAGGGTCTCAGAGACTTTGTCTTTATTAATGCAAATAAGGTTGACTAGTTTACAAAGAGGCATAAATGAATTCTGAATATCAGTTTTTGCTTGTAGGCTATATATAATTCATATTTTTTTCTTATCTTCTAAAAACTGCCTACTGAAGCCATATTGAATGTTAGACCACAAAAGACATTAAATATTATCCATGTAGATGTAGATTACTCTCAGTTTGTAGTATTCTAAAGCTCAGAGAGGTGGAAGGAGTTACCTGCAGAATATTAGTACCTTTTTAAATCCTAGGACATTTCCAGATTTCTACCCAAGTTTAAATAGAATTTAGCAAATTAAATGATTGATTTTGAACAATAACCTCTATGTGTTATTTAAGTAATTCTCCATAATGAAAAGGCAGATGATCTTTAAGCTTATAGAATGTATTGTTGTAATACTGTGAACTCTCAGCTTTCTTAATTATTAACCGTATGCTGAATTAAGATTTAAAGCTGTAGGGACATCTAGATCCATTTTCCTACTATACTAACTAATTCACAGATAATGAAAGCTTAGCTTCAGGGTTAGTGCTTCCCAAGAGACATTTTATTTTAGAGAAAAAAGTTTTATATTCTAATAGAAGCCTGCATGTCTTTTCAGCCCATGATATTCTATAAAATTACTAGCTACATAGCCAATATTTATGCCATTTAACACTTTAATATAATATTTATCTTACATGAGTAATTTAAGATTCTGTGACGAGTAAAAGCAACCCAAAGATTTCTTGCTTACTTTTTCTTTGTAACTTTTATTTTAGGTGTGAGGAATACATATGCAGGTTTGTCACATGAGTAAATTGCATCTCATGGGAATTTTGTATACAGACAATTTTGTCACCCACATTATCAGCATAATACCAAATGGGTTTTAAACACTGAAATATTTTAAGTTAATTCAGAGTATAGATTTCTCTGGTCCTTTCTCAAACAGTATCATTGAAGTAGATTTTACTATAAATGTTATTAAGCCCATGCCAGAATATATTCTTTAAAAACATTCTACTTTTATTTTAGATAAAGGAGATATGTGCAGGTTTGTTACATGGGAATATTGTGTGATGCTGAAGTTTGAGTTATGGATCCCATCACCCAGGTAGAAAGCATAGTACCCAACAGGTAGTTTTTCAACCCACAGCTTTCTTCCTTCCTCCCTGGTCTAGTAGTCTTCAGTGTCTGTTTTTCCCATATTTATGTCTACGTGTGGTCAATATTAACCTCCCACCTATAAAAGATAATATGTGGTATTTGGTTTTCAGTTCCTGAGTTAATTTGTTCAGGGTTATGGCCTCCAACTGCATCTATTTTGCAGCAAAGAACATGATTTCATTATTTTTATGACTATATAGTATTCTGTGGTATATATATATATGCCACATTTTCTTTACCAATCTACTATTGATGGGCACCTGGGTGAGTTCCATATCTTTTATATTGTGAATAGTGCAGAGATGAACTTGTAAGTCTATTTTTTTAAGAATGATTTATTTTCCTTTGGATATAAACCCAATAATGGGATTGCTAGACCTAATGGTCACTCTAAGTTCTTTGATAAGTACCCAGACTGCTTTCCACAGTGGCTGGACTAATTTACATTCATATGAATAACATATAAACATTCCCTTTTCTCAACAGCCTTGGAAGCATCTGTTTTTGTTTGTTTGTTTTTTGCTTTTTATCAACACCTATTCTGACTGATGTGAGATGGTATCTCATTATGATTTTGATTTGTAATTCTCTGATGATTAATGATGTTCAGAATTTTTTTATATGTTTGTTGGTCACTTACATTTCTTCTCTTCAGAAGGATTCATTCATGTACTTTTGTCACTTTTTAATGAGGTTGTTTATTTTAGTTCTAGTTGATTTGTTTCCTATATATTCTTCAATATCAGACTTTTATTGGATCCACAGTTTGTGAATGAATATCTTCTCCAGTTCTGTAGATTGTCTGTTTTTCTGTAAATATCTTTTGCTGTGATGAAGCTCTTTAGTGTAACTAGTTCACACTTGCCTATTTTTTTCCTTCAAATTTCTGTTGGTGACTAAGCCAAAAACTTTTTATCCAAGGCTGATGTCAAGAAAAGTATTTCCTAGGTTGTCATCTATGATTTTAATAGTTTGAGGTATTACACTTAAATCTTTAATTCATTTTGAGTTAATTTTTGTATATGGTGAAAGGTAAGGGTCCACCTCCAATCTTCTATGCCTGGTCAGTAAGTTATTCGAACATCATTTATTGAGTAGAGAATCCTTTGTCTAATGCTTGTTTTTGTTGGCCTTGTCAAAAATCAAATAGTTGTAGGCATGTAGATTTATATCTGAGTTTTTTATTATATTCCATTGGTTTATGTGTCTGTTTTTGTACTAGTACCATGCTATTTTGGTTACTGTAGCTTTACATTATAGTTTGAAGTCCAACAGTGTGATAATTTTGGCTTTATTCTCTTTTCTTAGGATATCTCTGGCTATTCAGGCTTCTTTTTGGTTCTACATGAATTTTAGAATACGTTTTTCTAATTCTGTGAAAAATGATGTTTGTAGTTTGATATAAATAGCATTGAATCTGTAAATAGATTTGTGCAGTACAGCCATTTTTATGATATTGATTCTTTCATTCCATAAGCATGGATTTTTTTTGTATTTGGGTAATCTCTGATTTACTTAAGCAGTGTTTTGTAGTTCTCCTTGTGGATATGTTTCACCTCTTTGGTTAGGTGTATTCCTAGTTATTTTATTTTCTTCATGGCTATTGTAAGTGGGATTACGTTCTTAATTTCAATTTCAGCCTAAACATTGTTGCTTATTAGAAATGCTACTGATTTTTATGCACTAATTTTGTATCTGAAAACTTTTTTAAATTAAAGTCATTTATCAATTCTAGAAGTCTTCACGTAGTCTTTAGGATTTTCTAGCTATAACATCATATTTTGAGTGAAGAGAGATAGTTTGACTTCTTTTTATTCTACATGGATGTGATTTTTTACTTTATCTTGCCTGATTTCTCTGGCTAGGACTTCCAGTACTATATTGAAAAGGAGATTGAAGAACGGACATCATTGTCTTTTTTTCATTCTCAAGGGGAATGATTTGAACTTTTTCCCATATGATATGATCTTGGCTGTGGATTTGTCATAGATGGTGTTTACTATGCCTAGTCTGTTAAGTATTCTTATTAAGAAGGTATTTTGAATTTTAATGAAATATTTTTCTACATCTATTAAGATGAACATATGGTTATTCTTTTAATTCTGTTTATATAGTGAATGATATTTATTGATTTAAATATGTTCAACCATCCTTCCATCCCAGGAATAAAGCCTACTTGCTCTTGGTATATTAAATTTTTGATGTGCTGCTGGATTTTATTTGCTAATATTTTGTTGAGGATTTTTTCATCTATGTTTATGAGTGACATTGGTCTGAAGTTTTTATTTTTCCTTGTGTCTCTGCCAGATTTTAGTATCAGGTTGATGCTGGATTCATTGAATAAGTTAGGGAGGAGTTCCTTCACTTTGATTTTTAAAAATAGTTGCAGTACTATTGGTATCTGCTTTTCTTTGTATGTATGGTAGAATTTAGCTGTGAATCCAACTGGTCCAAGGCTGTTTATGGCTAGTAGGTTCTTTATTACTGATTCAATTTCAAAAGTTGATATTGGTTTATTCAGATTTTTAATTTCTGCCAAATTCAATCTTGTGAGATTGTATGCCTCCAGGAATTTCTCCATTTTCTTTAGCTTTTCTAATTTGTGTGCATAGATTTGTTCAATGTAGTCTCTGAGAATCTTTTGTATTTCTGTGGGATCAGTTATAATATAGCATTTGTTGTTTCTGATTGTAATTATTTGGATCTTATTTTTCTTCATTAATCTAGCTAGGGAATCTATCAATCTTACTTATTTTTTTTGACGAACAAATTCTGATTGTACTTATATGAATCTTGACTTTTTTTTTTCTTTGTTAATCTAGCTAGTGGTCAATCTTATTTGATTTTTAGAACTACCAACATGCAATTCATCACACAATTTGTTTTTCATATGAATTTTAACATCACAAATTCATTACATTCTTCTGTAATTTTAGTTATTTCTTTTCTTCTGCCAAATTTGAGGTTGGTATATTCTTTTCTCTAGTTGCTTTATGTGCAAAGTTAGATTGCTAATTTGAGACCTTTCTAACTTCTTTTTTTTTAATTTTTTACTTTTTATTTCAATAGGTTTTCAGGGAACAGGTTATGTTTGGTTACATAAATAAGTTCTTTAGTGGTGATTTCTGATATTTTGGTGCACCTGTCATCCAAGCAGTGTACACAGTACCCAGTGTGTAGTCTTTTATCCCTTGCTACCTGCCACCCTTTCCCCTGAGTCCCCAAAGTCCAATGTATCATTCTTATACCTTTGTGTCCTCATAGCTTAGCTCCCACATATGAGTGAGAACATACTATGTTTGGTTTTCCATTCCTGAGTGACTTCACTTAGAACAATAGTCTCCAATCATATCCAGGTTGCGGAAAATGCCATTATTTTGTTGCTTTTTACAGCTGAGTACTCTTCCATTGTGTGTGTGTATGTACCTGTGTGTGTGTGTGTATATGTGTATATAGGCATTTGGGCTGCTTCCATATTTTTGCAATTGCAAATTGTGCTGCTATAAACATGCATGTGCAAGTATCTTTTTGGTATAATGACTTCTTTTCCTCTGGGTAGATAACTAGAAGTAGGATCGCTGGATCAAATGGCAGATCTACTTTTAGTTCTTTAACGAAGCTCCACACTGTTTTCCATAATGGTTTTACTGGTTTACATTCCCACCAAAAGTGTAAAACTGTTCCCTTTTCACCACATCCCTGCCAACATCTATTATTTTTAATTTTTTGATTACAGCCATTCTTGCAGGAGTAAGGTGGTATTGCATTGTGGTTTTGATTTTCATTTTCCTGATAATTAGTGATGTTGAGCATTTTTCAATCTGTTTGTTGGCCATTTGCATATCTTCATTTGAGAATTGCCTATTCATATCCTTAGCCTACTTTTTCATGGGATTTTTTTTTTCCTTGCTAGTTTGTTTGAGTTCTTTGTAGATTCAATATATTAGTCCTTTGTCAGGAGCATAGACTATAAAGATTTTCTTCCACTCTGTGGGTTGTCTGTTAACTCTGCTGATTATTATTACTATTTTTATTTTGCTGTGCAGAAAAATTAAGTCCCATCTATTTATCTTTGTTTCTGTTGCATTAGCTTTTGGATTCTTGGTCAAGAACTCTGTGCCTAAGCCAATATCTAGAAGAGTTTTTCCGATGGTATCTTACAGAGTTTTCATGGTTCCAGGTCTTAGATTTAAGTCTTTGATCCATCTTGAGTTGATTTTTGTATAGGGTGAGAGATGAAGATACAATTTCATTCTACATGTGGTTTGCCAATTATCCCAGCACCATTTGTTGAATAGGGTGTCCTTTTCCCCATTTTATGTTTTTGTTTGCTTTGTCAAAAATCCATTGTCTGTAAGTATTTCGCTTTATTTCTGGGTTCTCTATTCTGTTCACTTGGTCTATGAGCCTATTTTTATACCAGTACCATGCTATTTTGATGACTGTCACCTTATAGTATAGTTTGAAGTCAGGTAATGTGATGCCTCCAGATTTGTTCTTTATGTTCTTTTTGCTTAGTCTTGCTTTGGCTATGTGGGCCCCTTTTTGGTTACATATGTATTTTAGGATTGTTTTTTTCTGGTTCTGTGATGAATGATGGTTATATTTTGATGGTGACTGCATTAAATTTGTAGATTGCTTTTGGCAGTATGGTCATTTTCACAATATTGATTCTACCCACCCATGAGCATCGGATGTGTTTCCATTTTTTTGTGTCAACTATAATTTCTTTCAGCAATGTTTTGTAGTTTTCCTTGTAAAGGTCTTTCATGTCCTTGGTTAGGTATATTCCTAAGAATTTTTTTAAAAATTTTTTATTGCTATTGTGAAAAGGGTTGAGTTCTTTATTTGATTCTCAGCTTGGTCACAGTTGGTGTATAGCAGAGCTACTAATTTGTGTAAATTAATTTTGTATCCTGAAATTTTGCTGAATTCATTTACCAGTTTTAGGAGCGTTTTGCATGAGTCCTTAGGATTTTCTAGGTATACAATCATATCATCAGCAAACAGTGACATTTTGACTTCCTGTTTACCTGTTGGGAGGCCATTTATTTATTTATCTTGTCCAATTGCTCTGGCAAGGACTTCCAGTGCTCTGTTGAATAGAAGTGGTAACATTTGGCATCCTTTTCTTGTTCCGGTTCTCAGAGGGGAATGCTTTCAACTTTTCCCCATTCAGTATAATGTTGGCTGTTGATTTGTCATACCTGAAGGTATGTCCCTTCTATGCTAATTTTGCTGAGGGTTTTATTCATAAAGGGATTCTGGATTTTGTTAAATGCTTTTTTTGCATGTATTGGGATAATCATGTAGTTTTTGTTTTTAATTCTTGTTATGTGGTGTATCATATTTGTTGATTTACATATGTAAAACTATCCCTGCATCTCTGGTATGAAACACACTTGATCATAGTGGATTATCTTTTTGACATGCTGTTGGATTGGGTCTGCTACTATTTGGTTGAGGATTTTTGCATCTATGTTCATCAGGGATATTGGTCTGTAGTTTTCTTTTTTTGTTATGTCCTTTTCTGGCTTTGGTATTAGTGTGATACTGGCTTCGGTATTAGTGTGATACTGGCTTCATATAATTATTTAGAGAGCATTTCCTCTTTCTCTATCTTGTGGAATATTGTCAATAGGATTGGTAACAATCCTTCTTTGAATATCTGATAGAATTCAGCTGTGAATGCATCTCATCCTGAACTTTTAGCATTTTTTTATTATCATTATAATCTCACTTCTTGTTATTGGTCTGTTCAGAGATTCTATATCTTCCTGGTTTAATTTAGGAGGGTTGTATATTTCCGGGAATTTATCCATCTCCTGTAGGTTTTTTAGTTTATGCACATAAAGGTGTTAGTAGTAGTCTTGTATGATCTTTTGTATTTCTGTGATATCAGTTGTTATATCTCCCATTTCATTTCTAATTGAAGTTATTTAAATCTCTTTTTGATTAATCTTGCTAATAGTATATCAATTCTATCTTTACAAAAAAACAGCTTTCTGTTTTATCTTTTGTATTTTTTTTGTTTTAATTTTATTTAGTCCTGCTTTTATATTATTTATTTCTTTTCTTCTGCTGAATTTGGGTTTGGATTGTTCTAGTTTCTCTAGTTCTCTGGGGTGTGACCTTAGATTTTCCATTTGTGCTCTTTCAGGCTTTTTTGATGTAAGCATTTAATGCTATGAACTTTCCTCTTAGCACCACTTTTGTTGTATTCCAAAGGTTTTAATAGGTTGTGTCACATTTATCATTCAGTTCAAAGAATTTTTTAATTTCCTTCTTGATTTCATTGTCGACTGAAGGATCATTCGGGAATAGGTTATTTAATTTCCATGTATTTGCGTGGCTTTCAGGGTTCGTTTTGGAGTTGACTTTCTATTTTATTCCACTGTAGTCTGAGGGAGTACTTGATGTAATTTTGATTTTCTTAAATTTACTGAGACTTGTTTTGTGGGCATTCATATGGTCTATCTTGGAGAATGCTCCATGTGCTGATGAATAGAATGTACATTCTGCAGTTGTTGGGTAGAATGTTTTGTAAGTATATGTTAAGTTTACTTGTCGTAGGGTGTAGTTTAAGTTCTTTGTTTCTTTGTTGACTTTCTGTCTTGATGTTTTGTCTAGTGCTGTCAGTGGAGTATTAAAGCACCCCACTATTATTGTGCTGCCATGTATCCCATCTCTTAGGTCTAGTAGTAATTGTTTTATACATTTTGAAGCTTCTGTGTTAGGTGCATATGTATTTAGAATTGTGATATTTTCCTGTTGGACTAGTCCTTTTATCATGATATAATATACCTTTTTGTCTTTTTAACTGCTGTTGCTTTAAAGTTTGTTTTGTCTGATATAAGAATAGGTACTCCTGCCCACTTTTGGTTTGCATGGGATATATTTTTCCACCCCTTTATTTTAAGTTTATGTGAGTCCTTAAGTGTTAGGTGAGTCTTCTGAAGACAGCAGAAACTTGTTTTGTGAATTCGTATCCTTTCTGCCATTCTGTATCTTTTAAGTGGAGCTTTTAGGCCATTTACACTCAATGTTAGTATTGAGATGTGAGGTACTATTCTATTCATTATGCTGCTTGTTGCCCAGATGCCTTTCTTTTTGTCATTGTGTTATTGTTATATAGTTTCTGTGAGATTTATGCTTTAAGGGGGTTTTATTTTGGTTTCTTTCAAGGATTTGTTTCAAGATTTAGAGCTTCCTTTTAGCAGTTCTTGTAGTGCTGGCTTGATAGTGGCAAATTCTTGCAGTGTTTGTCTGGAAAACAAAACTTTATCTTTCCTTCATTTATGAAGCTTAGTTTTGCTGGATGCAAAATTCTTGGCTGATAGTTGTTTTGTTTAAGGAGGGTAAATATAGGACCCCATTCTCTTGTAGCTTGTAGGGTTTCTGCTGAGAAATCTGCTGTTAATCTGACAATTTTTTCTTTATAGATTGGCCCCTGAGGCTTTAGTCTCACAGTTCTTCATCTTGACTTTATATAACCTGGTGACTGTGTACCTAGGTGATGATTTTTTTACAATGAATTTCCCTGGTGTTCTTTGACCTTCTTGTATTTGGATGTCTAGATCGCTAGCAAGGCCAGAGAAGTTTTCCTCGATTATTCCCTCAAATATGTTTTCCAAACTTTTAGATTTCTTTTCTTCCTTGGGAACACCAATTACTTTTTTTGTTTGTTTGTTTGAGATGGAGTCTCACTCTGTCACCCAGGCTGGAGTGCAGTGGTGCGATCTCAGCTCACTGCAACCTCTGCCTCCCAGGTTCAAGCAATTCTCCTGCTTCAGCCTCCCGAGTAGCTGGGATTACAGGCGCCCACCACCACACCTTGCTAATTTTTGTATTTTTAGTAGAGATGGAGTTTCACCATGTTGGCCAGGCTGGTCTCAAACTCCTGACCTCAGGTGATTCACCCACCTCGGCCTCCCAAAGTGCTGGGATTACAGGCATGAGCCACTGTGCCTGGCCCCAATTATTCTTAAGTTTGGATGTTTAACATTGTCCTATACTTTTTAAGGCTTTATTTTTTAAAATTATTTTTCCTTTGTCTTTGTCAGATTGGCTTAATTAGAAAACCTTGTCTTCAAGCTCTAAGGTTCTTTCTTTTCCTTGTTTGATTCTATTGCTAAGACTTTCCAGTGCATTTTGCATTTCTCTGTTTTTCAGTTTTACTTGTTTTTTATTTATGCTCTCTATTTCACTGAAGAATTTTCCTTTCATATCCTGTATCATGTTTTCAATTTTTTTAGGTTGGACTTCACCTTTCTCTGGTTCCTCCTTGATTAGTTTAATAATTAACCTTCCAAATTCTTTTTCTGGCAATTCAGAGATTTTATCTTGGTTTGTATCCATTGCTGGTGAGATGATATAATCTTTTGGAGATGTTTAAAAAAACCCTTGTTTTGTCATACTACCAGAATTGTTTTTCTGGTCCCTTCTTATTTGGATAGACTATGTCAGAGGGAAGATCTGAAATTCAAGGGCTGCTGTTTAGATTCTTTTGTCCCACGAGGTGCTCCCTTGATGTGATGTTCTCCCCCTTCCCCTAGGAATGTGGCTTCCTGAGAGCGGAACTGTGGTGATTGTTTTTGCTCTTCCGGGTCTAGCCACCAGCGAAGCTACTACTCTCCTGGCTGGTACTGGGGAGTGTCTGCAAAGAGTCCTGTGATGTGATCTGTCTTCAGGTTTTGCAGCCATGGATACTAGCATCTAGCATCTACTCTGGTTGGGGTATTAGGGGAGTGAAGTGGACCCTGTGAGGATCCTTGGTTGTGTTTTGTTTAGTGCACTGGTTTTGTATTGGTTGGCCTCCTGCCAGGAGGTGGTGCTTTCAAGAGTGCATCAACTGCAGTGCTATAAGGAGGATGCAAACTTGCTCTAGGGACAGCTGGTTAAGCATTCAGGTTTCTCACGTGGTGGGCAGGGCCATAGAGCTTCCAAGAGATTATGACCTTTGTCTTCAGCTACCAGGGTGGGTAGAGAAAGGTAGGAGCAGGGATAGGCATGTCTGAGCTCAATCTCTCCTTTGGCAGGACTTGCTTCAGCTGCTGTGGGGGCTGGGGATGTGGTTTCTAGTCCAAAAGAGTTCTATTCCTAGGGGTATTATGGCTGCCTTCTCTGAGTCATATAGGCCATCAGAGAAGTGGGGGAAAGCCAGCAGTAACAAGCCTCATGCTGCTCCCACACAGCCTACTGTCCTAAAGGCCAGTCTCACTAGCACTGTGTGCCTGCCATAGCACCAAGTCTATTTCCAGGCAGCCAGTGACCAGGGCTGAGAACTTGTCCGAGACCACGAGCCTCCTCATTGAGAAAGCAAGCTGACTCACAGTTTTTCGGCATCTCAGAGAGCCTGCAGGGGTAGTCCAGTTCAAAGGCTCTGTGGATTCTCTCAGCTTTCCTGGTATGTTCCTGTTGTAATTCTTGGAGCAAAAGTTCATCATTTGAGTCTCCACATGCTGCTTTCTCCATTTGAGCAGTAGCTGCAGCTTGTCCTGCCTCCTATCCACCATCCTAATCTTCACAGACCTTTCTACCTTGATGATGAAAGTTATTTTAACACTGCTTTTGCTGCATCCTAGAAATTTTGGTACGTTGTGTTTCTATTTTCATAAATTTCAAAGAATTGTTTTGTTTCTGCCTTAATTTTAAGGCTCACCCAGGAGTCACTTAGGAAGTGGTTTAATTTCCATGTATTTGTGTAGTTTTGAGATATCTTTTTTTGTATTTATTTTTATTGCAATGTGGTCCAAGAGTATACTTTGTATAATTACAATTTTTTAAAATTTATTCAAGCTTTCTTGCTTTATGACCAAGCGTGTGTTCAATCTTAGAATATGTTCCATGTGCCAATGAGAAGAATGTATATTCTGCTGTATTTGAGTGGAGTGTTCTGTAGAGTTCCAATTGGTAATGTGTTGAGTTTAAGTCCGGAGGATTTTTTTTTTGGTATGTTTTTTGTTTGTTTGTTTAACTTTTTGCCCTGATGGTCTGTCTAACGCTGTCAGTGTGGTACTGAAGTCTGCCACTCCTGTTACATGGTTCTCTAAGTCATTTCATAAGCCAAGAACTTTTTATGAATCTGGGTTCTCTAATCTTTGATACATATATATTTAGGATAGTTAAGGCTTTCTTGTTGAATTGTACCCTTTATTATTATGTAATCCCCTTTTTTGTTGTTCTTAATTTTTATTGGTTTACAGGCTGTTTTATCAATATCAGAATAGTGACTACTGTTCTTTTTAGCTTTCCTTTGTATGGTAGATTTTACTCAACTCTTTTACTTGAGCCTGTGGGTTTTGTTACATGGGATATGGGTCTCTTGAGGACCAAATATGGCTGAATCATGCTTTTTTATCCAACTTGCTACTTTGTGTCTTAAGTGGGGGTGTTTATAGAGTTCATTACATAGTTGCTTTATAGTGCCTATGGGCTATGTCCTTAAGTGTGCTTTTCTGGTATCAGGTGTCATCCTTTTGTGTCTATGTTTAGCAGTCCCTTAAGGACTTCTTGCAAGATTTGTCTTGTTAAAACATATTCCCTCAGTATATTGCTTGTCAGAGAAGGATTTTATTTCTCCTTCACTCTTGAAACTTAGTTTGGCAGAATATAAAATTCTTGGTTGGAATTTGTTTTCTTTAAAGACACTGACTATAGGCATCCAATCTTTTTGGGCTTGTAAGGTTTCTGCTGAGATGTCTGCTACTAGCCTGATGGGGTTCCCTCTGTAGGTGACCTGCCCCTTCTCTCTAGCTGCCTTTAAGATTTTTTCTTTTGCATTTTTCTTGGGGAATTGATGACTATGTTCCTTGTGGATGGTCATCTTGCATAGTATCTGTCTGGGGTTTTCTGTAATTTTCCAATTTGCATGTAAGCCTCTGGAGAGATTAGAAAACTTTGGGGGGACTATATCATCAAATATGTTTTCCAAGTTGCTATCATCTCTTTTCTCTTAGGACTGTCAATGAGTTGTAAATTTGGTCTCTTCACATAATCCCATATTTCTCAAAGATTTTGCTCACTTTTCATATTCTTAATTTTTTTGGTTATTTTTGTGTGACTGACTTAATTTGCAGAACCAGTTTTGAGCTCTGAGATTCTTTCCTGAGCTTTGTCTATTTTGCTATTAATACTTTTGATTGTATTATGAAATTCTTGTAATGAATTTTTCAGCTCAAGAAGTTCAGTTTCAGTCTTTCTTAACATGACTATTTTGTCTTTAAGATCTTGAATTTTTTTACTGGGTTGCTTGGCTTTTTTGAATTGCGTAGTTGCTTTATAGAGAATTTAGGTTATGTTCTTAAATGTGCTTTTGTGGTAACAGGTGTTGTTCTTTCCAGTAAATTTTTAACACTCTTATAAGCACCTCTTGTAAGGCTTGTCTAATTTAAACATATTCCCTCAGCAGTTGCTTTTCAGAGAAAGATTCTATTTCTTCTTTTCTGTGTTTTATAGTGTGAGGCGGAGAGAGATGACCCCCTCAAAAGGTCCATTCCTGGGCCTTAGAAAAGCTACCTCCAATCACTTGCACTGTACTCACAAATTTTTTGCCAGATGACCACTGTGAAAGAAGGCACACCTACATGCAACACCAACCCACAAACCTGTGTGATTCACCCCTCTCATTTTGCTGAAAGTGTGGGCTCCTACCCTACTCAAGTGCCAAGCACAGATTTTGGCTCAGCACTCACAGTCTTTGGGCAACAGCCCATCAGGATTTGATCACACAGCTACTTCCTCCAGACCCTTGGGATTGGGTTCCAAGTGTGGTGGGGGATCTGAAGGGCTCCCAGGCTGCCAGACTGCACTCAGGTATACCAAAGAACACAGACAGTGAAGCACATGCTTCACTTTGCACACACTCCTATGAGGCAGCCAGGCAGGGGCCCTGGAAGGGACAGATGTGCAGGGGGGCATGCAAGTCAGATGTGCCCCAGTTCTGTGGGGCAGCTAACTCTGCTTTCTCCCCAGTGGTTACCTAAGTCCCCTCAAAGGGAGATGGAGAGCCCTGGGAGATGGGGGCTTATGGCTGGGATCTGACAGAGCTGTCTCAAGCACAATGGTCCCTGGCTCTGTGCCGGCCACAACTCCATCTTTGTTTAATTTCCAAGGAAATCCACCCATCAGCTCAAACATTTGTGAGGGATGTGGGTTCCCCTGCAGCTGGGATTCCAGAGGTCCAAAGTGAGAAGGGGCAGTTCCCCAGTCCTTTCTCTTTTCCTTTCCCCAGGAGCCATTTGGGGCCAAGAACCAATTGAAGCATTCAGTCATCCCAGGCAGAGTTCCCAGCTTCCTCGCTTTTCAGTCTCTGTGTCTGCATTTTTTCTTCATCTGTATTTAATGTTTCCTCTCCAAAGATCTGTTCAAATTTAGTTGATTTTTAAATTCCAGCTCTGTCCATGGTAGCAGCATTTTCACTGCATCTTGGCAGCCATTCTGAGACCTGTCTCCAGAGTATTTTCTGGGTGATATGAGCCCCATGAGATATTTTTAAAAGGCAAAATAATGTAGTCTATAGTAAGAAAGGGTAAAAGTAGAGACATTTTACATTTAACTGTACATCACAATTAAAGTTGACTATACCTATAATTTTTATATAATATATACTGAAATTTATATAATACATTATTTGAACAGTTTACTATGAATGTCCATCATATTTCCAAAAAGTGGTTTAAAGAGGCACACAAACATTACATATGCTATTGAATAAAACCAGAAACTTGTGGATGTCAGAGTTAAGAAAAACTAATAGGAGAGAAATATAAACCAGACAAAGTAAATAAAAGAAAAGAAGGAATAGCTGTATTAATATAGGTAAGTACATTTCAACTGTGAATGCTTTAAGCAGGACAAAAGGATTTTAGGTAATATTAAAACATACAACCTACAAAGTAAATATGTACCAGACTTTCATGCAATAAATAATGTAGCAGTGAAGATTATAAAGCAAATGTCTTAGCAATCTAGGGAGAAATATTTTTTTAAATATGCTATGTTGTGAAATACATCACTCTATCATTTTCAGAATTTGACAAGAGAAAACCAATGAGAAATAAGAAATAGTATAGAGGATTAATATTCCAATGAATAAGTAGAAATTAACTGATACATATTTATAATTATAAATCCTATGAACAGATAACATATTCTTTTTTTAGATGCATGAAGACTTTACAAACAAAAAAATCAGTTGTACATATAACAAAGAAAATCTTAATAAACCAAAAAGTAGAGGTATGTAGAAATTATATTATCTGATTTTTGTCTTAAAAACAGAAAACCAGAAATTAGCAATAAAAATGTACAAAATTAAGAAACAGTAGGAGGAATACAAAGGGAAATTTTTAAAATAATTCCAACTTTAGTTTAATTCTGGAGGGGAAACGTGCAGATTTGTTATATGGGTGTATTTTGTGATGCTGAGGTTTGGGGTATGAGTGATCCTGTCACCCAAGTAGGGACCATAGTATCCAATAGTTTTTCCACCTTTGCCTCTCTCTCTAGTTCCTCCTCTAGTACTCACCAGTGTCTACTGTTGTCACTTTTATGTATATGACCCAATATTTAGCTCCTACTCATAAGAACCTTAATTTACTTAGGATAATTGCCTCCAACTGCATCCATGTTGCTGCAAAGAACATAATTTCATTATTTTCAATTGCTGTGGAGTATATGTACCACATTTTCTTTATCCAGTTCACTGTTGATGGGCATCTAAGTTGATTTTCTCCCTTTGCTATTGTGAACATTACTGCAATGAACAAATGAGTACGTGGAGTACATGTGTTTTGGTAAGAAGGATTTATATTCTTATGAATATATATCTAGTAATGGAATTGCTGGGTTGAATAATAATTCTATTATTAATTATTTAATAAATCTCCAAACTGCTTTTCACAGAGGTTGAATTGACTTGCATTTCCACCGACATTGTAAGAAATTCCTTTTATTCCACAACTTTGGCAACGCCAGTTATTTTCTCACTTTTTAACAATAGCCATTCTGACTGGTGTTAGATGATATCCCATTGTGGTTTTTCTTTGTATTTCCATGAAGATTAATGATATTGATCATTTTTTCATATGTTTGTAGGACACTTGTATGTCTGCTTTTACGAAGTGTTTGTACATGTCTTTTGCCAGTTTTTAATGGGACAATTAGGGGTTTTTTTGCTGAATTATTAACTTCTTTATAGATCCTGGATATTCAGTCTTTGCTCAGATGCATAGTTTGCTTATCTTTCCCATTGCGTAGTTTCTTTATTTCTTTACTTACTTTGTTGATAGTTTCTTTTCCTGTGCAGAAGCTCTTTAGTTTAATTAGATCCCACCTGTCAACTTTTGTTTTTGTGACAATTGCTTTTGAGGACTTAGTCATAAATTATTTCCCAAGGCCAATGTCCAAAATTATATTTCCTATGATTTCTTCTAGGATTCTTATAGTTTGAGGACTTACATTTAAGTTTTTAATCCATCTTGTGTTAACTTTTGTATATTGTGAAAACTACAGGTTCAGATTCATTCTTCTGCATATGGCTAGCCAGCTATCCCAGCACTATTTATTGAATAGGGAGTCCTTTCTCCATTGCTAATTTTTGTCAGCTTAACATTTTTTGAATTTATTGAGATTTGCTTCACGGCCTAATGTGTTGTTGGTGTTAGAGTATGTTCCCAGTTGAGATGAGAAAAATGTATATTTTGTTTGATGGGTGGATTATGTTGTAGATGTCTATTAGGTCTTATTGGTCAGGTGTTGTATTTAAGTCTAGAATTTTTTACTAATTAATTCATTTTTTCTGCTTCAATAATCTCTCTAATACCATCAGTGGGGTATTGAAGTACCCCACCATTATTGGGTGGCTGTCTATGTCTTTTTGTAGGTCTAGATATACTAGTTTTATAAATCTGGGTGCTTCAATATTGGAATTCTTAAGTCTTCTTGATGAATTGAATTGAATCCTTTTTCATTATGTAATGCCCTTCTTTGTCATTTCTTACTGTTTTTGGTTTACAGTCCATTTTATCTGATATAAGAATAGTGACTCCTGAACATCTTAGTGTGATAGATCTTTCTCCAATCCTTTACTTTCAGCCTATATATGTCATTACATGTGAGATAGGTCTCTTGGAAAGAACAGACTGATGACTATTTTTATTCACCTTCTCACTCTATGCCTTTTCAGGTGGTCATTTAGACTATTTATATTGAAGGTTAATATTGATATGTGGGATTTTTAACACACTGAAGGTTTTAGCTGGTTACTTTGTAGTTTCTATTGTATGGTTGCTTTATACTGTCTGTGGGCTATGTCCTTCAAAATGTTTTTTGGTAGCAGTTAGAATTCATTTGATTCCATGTTTAGAATTCCCATAAAGATCTCTTGTAATGTTCATCTACTGGTAATAAATTCCCTTAGCACTTGGTTGTCTGAAAAATATTTTTATTTCTCCTTCACTTGTGAAGCTTAGTTCGATGGAATATAAAATTTTTGGTTGGAATTTATTTATTTATTTATTTATTTATTTATTTATTTATTTATTTTTGAGAATGCCAAAAATAGGTCTCTCCTGGCTTGTAAGATTTCTGCTCAGAAGCCCACGGTTAGCCTGAGGGGTTTCTCTTGTGGGTGACCTGACCTTTTTCTGTAGGTGTCTTTAAGACTTTTTTGTTTTGTGTCAACCTTGAGAATATAATGACTATATGCTTTGGTAATTGACTTTTTATAGTATTTTGAAGGTGTTCTCTGAATTTTTTTTGTATCTAAATGTCTACCTCTCTAGCAAGATTAGAAAACATTTCTTGAATTATTTCCTCAAAGATGTATTCTAGGTTGTTTATTTTTTATTCTTCTATCTCAAGAATGCCCAAAATTCATACATTTGGTTGGTTGCTTTACATAATCCGGTATTTTTGAAACATTTTCCATTTTATAACATTCTGCTTTTGTGTTTATTGTTGTCTGACTGTGCTAGTCTAATGAGCAATTTTCAATCTCTGAAACTCTTTCTTCTGCTCTGTCTAGTTTATTAATAAAGGTTTCAATTGCATATTTAAATTCCTTAAGTAAGTTTTCATTTCCAGAGTATCTGAAAGATTTCTTTTTAAGATATTTGTCTTTTCCTTTATTTTCTGGATTGCTTTATAAGTTTCTTTGTGTTTATTTTCCACCTTGTCTTTAATCTCATGGAGCTTCTTTGAAATTCATGCTTTGAATTCTTTATCTTTTATTTCTGAGTTTGCATTTTGGTTAAAAACCTTAGCTGCAGAGCTAGTGTGATCCTTTGGTGCTGTCAATACATTTAGATTTTTGATAGTGTCCAAATTTTTGTGCTGGTTTCTTCTCATCTGGAGATACTGTTGCTTCTAATTTTTGTAATTATTTTCATGCAGGTAATATTTTTTCTTTCCCTATATACATATATATATATATACACACACACATATATATATATATATATATATATATATATATATATATATATATATATATATAAATTTTATTTCATCCCCCTACCTATGGTGTGTGGCTGTAGAGAATGCTGGGTAAGGTCTTTTGTCTTTGCTTTTATATCCCTATGCACTTATGTCAGCTGGTTTTCTATTGGGCTGTGTGGTTCATCCTGTAAACCATTAAATGGTGCTTATGGGTAAGAGCTGGCTACAGCCAACATGAAGGTATAGCTCTCTGTTGCATTAGTCATGGAGCTGATGCCTGGAGTCCACAATTGTCTGAGCTTCCTGCTCAGCCCCAGGTGGGTGGTGGGAGGCTATATGGGCAGGGCTGGACTAAGCAGGCCCACCTATAGTTCCCTCAATGTCAGGCAGAAGCACCAGCATTGATGAGGAATCCAGTGAGCAGCCACTAAGCACCAGAGTTGTGCCTAGATGTGGACCTGGAGAACCTCCTTGGCCCTAAGTTCTCTGTGAGGCAGGGAGAGCAGCAGTGGCCTAAACCTCTAATCTAGGAGAGTGGGTTATCTGGATGCCTGAAGATCTGCCTGTGTCTGGAGTGTACAGAATGCCACTTGACCACAGTCTTTGTGCAGAATGGGTGAGGAAGCTCAGCCTGCTAATCTGGGCAAGTGGGTGCTCCCAATGCCTGGAGATCTGTATTGGTAATGGACTGGAGAGGGCCTCACTTTACCATAATCTCTGCACAGATGCACAGGAAGGGTGAGAATTAAAATAATTTTAAGAAAATCTTCTTTGATATGGCAGAATATATTTTGGTACATATATTAATCAGAGTTTTTCAGGGAAACAAAACCAATAGGATATTTGTATTTGTGTGTGTGTGTGTGTGTGTGTGTGTGTGTGTGTGTGTGTGTACACAGTGATAAAAGAGAGATAGAGATTTACAGAGAAAGACTTATTTTAAGAAATTTGCTCATGTAGTTGTAGATTTTGGCAAGTCTAATATCTACAAGCCAGGCCAACTAGAAATTACCACAGGAGTTGATGCTGCAGTCTTGAGTTTTAAGGTAGTCTGGAGGTAGAATTCTTTCCTGGAGACCTCAGTCTTTTCTCTTAAGGTCGTCAACTGATTAGATAACACCCATGCACATTATGGAAAATAATCTACTTTACACAATGTCTACTGATTTAGTGGCTAATTACTTATAAGATAGATCTTCATAGGGACATCTAGATAGATGTTTCACTAAACAATGGGGTATCATACACTAGCCTTGTTTGTACCCCAAATTTACCATCACATCTGTTCTACAAAATTATATGAAACCATATAAAATGTAGCAGATCAATCTAATATGCACTTTCTTGGATAAAAATCTATGATATATTTCTATTTGAGAAAAGGAAGTCATCCAACTATATTGTATTATATCATTTATATACCCTATGTGTATAAATATATGCACCATTGTTAATGCATATGTATCTGTTTTCTCATTCTCTTTGAATATATAATTTTATAAATGTATAGAAAAAAATTCGTGGTAGTCTGAGGAGGGCATAAAGGAGGACTTCTACTTATTTCCCTTCATGTTTCTGTACTTTTCTGGTGTAGCTCTTTGTCTTTCAGATCACAAACTAAGTTCATTAGAGTACGTCTAAGTCTTCAAAATAGGGTAGTAGGTCAGCTTTCTGGAGGAAGTTGAGAAAAGAGTCTCAAAAATTGTCATTGAGGTAAATGGATGGGTGTAGCTCATAAGATTGTTATGGATAATAGTACTTTGTAAGGCTAGATAAGAGGTATAACTTCAGTATGATTATAGTTTATTTAGTGCCATCATGGGAGGAAGTTTATCTCAACTTGGATCCTATAAGGAAATTTAGGAAGAAAGATAACTACATAAAATCTTAGACTCTGCTCTTATGAATCTTCATAAACTCCAACCTTCATAGTACAGCATATTGTTTTTTTAGGGCCTGAATGAGTGGAAAGGCTGACCTGATTTACTTTCTGCCACTTTATAACTTTCTCAGAGGATATCTTGAAGTTTCATGGTTGTTGAGATAGGTCTTTCTTAGTCTTGCCCTTCTGTGTTAACTCAGATTATCCAGTAACTGTCTTCATAAATTGAGTCACTCTGCAGAAATACAGATTACATTTCCTCCTCCCCATAGTTCTAATTCTGTCATTCCTTTATCCTCAAAAAGAATATATAGGTTCCAGCAGAGGCAGTACACAATAGTAAATTATACTAACTGCTTAATATGACAGCTGTTCTGATAGTACTCAAGCCTGATTGATGAATGCCCTATACTATTTTGTTAAATATTTTGAATATCAGCTTTGCTGTGAGCCTGATGAAAAGTGAGATCAACCAAATGGGAATATATTAAAATTAGGGCAAGTTATGTATTACTATTTTTCATAAATATGATGGAAATAGTATTTGGCATTTAACATTATCTGTTTCCCTTTTAAAGTGAAGCCTGAGCTCCCATGTATTCAAGGAATAAATTAGAGACTATGAGTTTTGTTACAAAATGTTCCTCATATAAAGCCTGGATAGTTTGAGTTTTTAGGATGTAGTGTGGTTTTCTTGCTATGTAAACAGAGAGAAAGTAATTGCCCTGGAGTAGGTCAACTAGTAGGTCTCTGTATTCATCATGGTGACATTTTTTATGAGTAATATTTAAAGGCTAAATAAGTTGTTCATTTTGGGACTCAGAGCAGTTTTTGCTGAGGCAGTTTAGAGGAAGGAAATTTTTTCCTGTTTATGATGTGGCCTATCCCTATGAATCTTACCTCTATGGTCTCAGATTTTATTTATTATAAAATCAAATAATAATAAGGATAAATCAGAAAGTAAACATAAACAAAAGGATATTATTAAAATAAAATAATTAAAATTAAAAAATTAAGAACACAATAAAACTTTTAAAATATTAAATATTGCAAACATTTTGTTTTTCTTCTCCCTCAGAAACATCTATGATTCTTAGGTTTGGCTGTTTTATATAAGACCATACTTCTTTGAGACTTTTTTCATTTTCTTTAATTCTTTTTTCTTAGTTTTTGTCTGATTGGGTGAATTCAAAAGCCTTGTCTTCAAGCTCTGTATTTTTCTCTTTTACTTGGTGTAGTCTATTCTTAAAACTGCCCACTGCATTTTGTAATTCCCTAAATGTGTCTTTCATTTCCAGAAGTTCTGATTGGTTTTACTTTTATATATATATATATATATATAATATACATATATAATATATGTACACATATATACATATATATGTACACATATATACATATATAATATATATAAAATATATACATATATACATATAATATACATATATATTACATATGTGTGTGTGTGTCTTTAGAACATTTTTCATTCATATATTGAATTATTTTTAAAATTTATTTATGTTGGTTTTCACCTTTCTCATGTGTCTCCTTGAGTAATTTAATACATTAGCCTTTTGGATACTTTATTTGGTATTTGAAAGATTTTATCTTCATTTAGATTAATTGCTGAAGAGTTAGTGTGCTA
Organism: Homo sapiens; assembly: GCF_000001405.40. Lineage (NCBI taxonomy): Eukaryota > Metazoa > Chordata > Mammalia > Primates > Hominidae > Homo > Homo sapiens. The sequence goes on from NC_000023.11 coordinate 125,906,527, forward strand.
TTTTAGGGGTTTTATAGAACCCCATTTTTTCATATTGCCAGAATTATTTTTCTGGTTTCTTCTCATTTGGATAGACTATTTCTTCTAATTATTTCATAATTTATTTTTGATTTGACTGTTTTTTTCCCCCTTGAGAATGTGACATAAATGTTTTATTGTAACCTAGTTTCAGCTCTGGGTACTTTCAGCAGTGAAGACTCTGTATGAGTTCCTTGGTTATAGAGTATTTTTGTGTGTTGGCTTTCTCAGATGCTGGTGGTAGAGGCAATATGCTGGGTTTGTGAGCAAGTTCATTGTCTCCTGTGGGGCCAGAATGGCAGAGGTTTCATGAAGCTTATCCTCATTCCCCAGTGGTGTGCACTTTTTAATTTTTCCCCCAGTATTTTATTCACCTTTAATAGTTCGGGCTTCAGCTTATTAGGAGCTGCTCACAGGTAAAAACAAATTGTGGCTAAAGCAGATGGGTAAATGCAAAGGTCCCAGCTTTGGTAGTTGTGCCTTGGGGAGGTCTCAGTGAAATGCACTGAGGTCTTTTCAGGGGGAAGGTAGGGAGCCACTTTAGCTCCTCTACCAGGCCAGCAGGAAAGCAATCCACTGCCAGTCAGTTCTGACCCAGTGTTCCAGCTACTCAGATCAGACAGGCACCTATTTTCATCAGCAGAAATGCTGATTTTCCATATAGAGAAGTATTGTGGTTATACCCCTTGTGCAAGCCTGAACCTGGAGGGCATTCCTACTGTAGGGATGCAATCACCCTGAGGTGTTCCACCATAAAGGAAGCCTCAGTTGTGTCCACAGTCGTGGGTGAGAGAGAGAATTCCTGTTTTCCAGGACTCTTCATGATCACCAGAACTTCCTGACTGTTAGGGTAGAGCTGCAGATTTTCCAAACTGAGCCCAGCACTATACCTGTGCCTCTGCTGAAACAGAAAGTTCTAAAACTCAAGGCCTGTAGTTTGTTTTATTTTGTCCCACAGGTTGCTCCATTGATGGGGTGCACTTCCCCTTTTCCTAGGAGTAGGAGTCCCTGAGGACCGGACTATTGTGAATTCTGGTGCTGCTCTGGGTCTAGCTGCCCAATCGGTCTGCCAAACTCCAGGCTTGCCCTAGGGAATGTCTGCAAGGTATTCAGTGATGTGACCTTTCTCTTGTTTCCTAGCAATTGGTACCAGCATGAGCTCTTATGGTAGTGGCAGGGGAGTGACATAGACACTGAGATTTCCTTGGTTATAAATAGCCTTAGTATGTTGGATTTCTCAAACGTCAGCTGTGGTAGTAATGTACTGGTCATGTGGACAGACTCACGACCTACTGGTTAGCCAGGGTGATGCTAAACTAGATAAATAAGAACAAATGAAATTCAAAGCTAGCAGAAGAAAACAAATAACCAAAATCAGAACAGAAAAAAATGAAATTAAAAAAATATAAAATATAATGAATTAAAAAGTTAGTTCCTTAAAAGGATAAACAAAACTGATAGACTAGCAAGATTAGCTGAGAAGAGAGAAGATTTAAATAAGGTCAATAAGAAATGAAAATGGAGACATTACAACCAACACCATAGAAATACAAAAGATCATTTGAGATTTCTATGAACATCTCTATGCACACAAACTAGAAAATCTAGGGGAAATGGATAAATTCCTGGAAACATACAATCTCCTAGCTTGAATTGGGAAAAAATAGAAACCTTAAATAACCACAAACAAGCACCAAAATTGAATCAGTAATTTTTTTAAATGCCAGTAAAAAAAAAGAAAAGAAAAAAAAAAGGCCAGGACCAGATGGACTCACAGCCAAATTCTACCAGACATTCCAAGAAAAATTGTTACCAATACTACTGAAACTATTCTAAAAGGTTAAGAAAGAGGGAATCCTCCCTAACTCATTCTATGAAGCCAATATCACCCCAATAATGAAGCTAGGAAAGACCATAACCAAAAAAGAAAGAAAGAAAGAAAGAGAGAGAGAGAGAGAGAAAGAAAAGGAAGGAAGGAAGGAAGGAAGGAAGAAAGAAAGAAAGAAAGAAAGAAAGAAAGAAAGAAAGAAAGAAAACTACAGATCATTATCATTGATGAACATAGATGCAAAAATCCTCAACAAAATGCTGGCAAACTGAATCCAACAGCACATTTTAAAAAAAAAATCACCATTATCAAGTGTGTTTCATCCCAGGGATGAAGGGATGTTTCAACATATGCAAGACAATAAATTTGATATATCACATAAACAGAATTAAAAACAAAAAAAGATTAGCTCAATGGATGCCAAAAAAAGCATTTGATAAAACCCAGAGTCACTTTTTAATGAAACCTCTCAACTAGGCATAGAAGGGACATATCTCCAAATAATAAAATCCATGTATGAGAAACCCACAACCAAGATCATACTGAATGGGAAGTGTTGAAAACAGTTTACCTGTTAACTGTAACAAGACAAGGATACCCACTTTCACCACTTTTATTCAACATAATACTAAAAATCATAGCCAGAGAATCAGGCAAACTAAAGAAATAAAGGGCATCTAAATGGGAAAAGAGGAAGTCAAACTATCTCTGTTTTCTAATGATATTCTCTCATACCTAGAAAATTGTACAGGCTCCTCCAAAAAAAAAAAAAAAACCTAGACTTGATAACTGAATTTAGTAAATCTCAGGTTAAAAAAATCAATATACACAAATCAGTACAGTGCTATATTCTAAGAGCAACCAAGCTGAGAAAACAATAATTTAATCATTTTTACAATAGCTACAAAAAAATAAAATACCTATGAATATATGTAACCAAGAAGGTGAAAGATCTCTAAAAGGAGAACTACAGAACACTGCTGAAATAAATCATAAATGACACAAGTAAATGGAAATATATCCCATGCTCATGGATTCAAAGAATCAATATTATGAAAATGACTATACTGCCCAAAGCAATCTACAGATTCAATGCAATTCTTATCAAAATACCAACATTATTTTTCACATAATTACAAACAACAATCCTAAAATTTATACAGAACCAAAAAAAGAGTCTGAATCCCACTATTCTGTGAATTTTATTTTTCTGAGCTCATGCAAAATCCTTCAGCAGTATGATTTTCAGAATTACATGCAAAGCCAAGTATAAGTAGACAGTTCTCCCTTTGTCATTTAACTCCCAAGATGGCCTGAGACAATGTCATTTTTAGCTTCCCTTCAATAGGGGATGTACTTGGAACTGTAGCAGAAAATTCATCAGATATACTTGAAGTTTACTTTTAACTTGCATCTATTTGAGAATAATATCAGAAAAGTTGCTATTTTTAGTCTGTCACATACACAAATATGGCTATTCAAAGTCTCTGTATTTTCACTTGCCACTTTAAAAATCAGAATTTTTAGATATTACCTCTCACATAGTAGAGATGGATTCAGCTGATAATTCCATGTATGAAAACAAAACTGAAATGTTTCCTATTTTTTCTTACTAAAACTCATATTTTTGTCATATGCCAATCTTGATCCTTATTTTAAATATTATGCTAAGTCTATATCTTGCTCCATTAGTTTTGCAATGGCTATTGATAAAAAGCAATAAAATTCTGACTTAACACATAACAATTTCTTTAGCATACAAGGAAACTTTACTTGGATAGTGCCTCTATATATAATATTCTAATTTATTCAGGCTGCTATAACAAAATACCCTAGTCTGGGTTTGTGAAACACACTCACTCGTCCAAACCCAAAGAATGGACTCAGAGACATGGAGAACAGCGGAAGCAAGACTTTTAATGACAGTCTTGCAAGATTGGGTGTCTGGTGAGTAGGCACACCCAGTACGGTTACAACAAGCAATTTATCCCCTAGTAAGCAAGTCCCTCCCCCAGTTTCTCATAGGCTGAGTACTGTAGGGTTACAATCTTCCCAGACTTTGCATAAGTTTCTTTTCTTTGTCCTTACTGGTCATTGAGTTGGGGCATTAAGTATCTTCTTTAGGGTCTTGTCACTGCATTTTGTTGCAGCCCATAATGCATTGTAACTATAGTCAGCTTGGGGACTCTTCCATTATTTGATCTATGACTCAGGTGGTTAGGAAAGCTATTAAGAATAGAGAAGGTGAGCTATTTTGCAAGCTAGTAAACTTTCATTCTATGCTAAACCCTTTGGTTTGGGTGAGGGTAACTAAAGGGCCCCAACTAGCAGACACTGGCTATTAAGGCAGGGGCCTGGTGTATCCTGTTCTTCCTTAGCTCATAGGCCCAAGCCTATTCGAGGCACTTTGTCTTGAAAATGGACCACCATCTATGTTATTTTTCTACATGGGTAATTTATAAACAACAGAAACCTATTGTTCACAGTCCTGGAGGCTGAGGAGTTCAAACATGGTGCCTTGATCATGGACTTCTCAGTCTCAAATTTGGCATCTGGTGAGGGCCCACTTCCTCATAGATGACACCTTCTATATGCCCTCACATGGTAGAAGGGGTGAGTAAACTCCCTCAGGCCTCATTTATAAAGGCACTAATCTCATTCATAAGGACAGAGTCCTCATGACCTAATCACTTTCCAATATCCCCACCTCTTAATACCACCAGATTAGGGATTAAGTTTCAACATATGAATTGGAGAGGGGCAAGCATTCAGACCATAGCAATAGTACATTTGCTATGAATTTTAGCTCTTATGTTGTTCTCAAAATCTGCAGAAAACCTCAGTCTCTCAGAGTCTCACTTGGCTAGGTTGGGCTGAGTGCTCTCAGTTCTCTCAGGCTCTCCATCAGAAAAAGACTGACGGATGGCAATAGCACCCAGGAGCAGAGAAGATCAAAGTACTTATGAAAAACAGATGATGTTTGAGAGTAAGTTAGCCCTAACAATATTATCTGAAATAGGTATATATAAAGTAGTTTGAAGAGAAACATACAATCAATGAAATATTTTAATATGATGACATCTGATGATTAAAATGAAAATGAAAGGTAGCCCTTAATAATCAAGAAATGTGGTTAGAAAATCCACCAATATCACAGATTGGAGAATTTTGGAAAAAGTGTTTACATCACTAATTTATAGGAAAAGAAGAATAATTTTTCTTCAACCCTCAGAGATTCTCACTTGAAATGGATCACTGTAACAAAAGACATGTTAACAATAGAAAAACAAAGTTTATTAACATGTATATTTCATATATACATACATGGTAGATACCCAGGAAATGAATAGTTCTCGAATAAGTGGTTTTGAATTCCAGCTAGTATAGCATCTTTGACAAAAATGTACCTTTTTAAAGAAGTGATAATATAGTAGAAAAAAATACCTTGAGTCTCTTGGGGAGGCAACTTGTGAGAAGGCAAATAAATAGCAGATAAATGCTAGTTAGAAATGTTTGTTAATGTAAATTACTCTGGTATAATCTCTAGATGATAAGGGTATAAAGTTTTCCTCAATCTCTAACCTTTGTTCTTCCTGGTAGAAGGGAGGGAAATGTATATCTTATCTTTGTAAACCTAAGCCCTTCTTTTAGAAAAACTGGGGGAGGGCAGAGAGCTTTCCTGAACCTCCTTCCTAATTGCCTTCAACTCAACAATTCTTCATAGTTGATGTATTCTGGTCTCCCACAAAGTCATTAATACTTAATTTCTATATCAATCCATAGGGGCTTACAAATGGACATATTGAAATAATGTGACTTCTTATTCAATATTTCTGGATATATATACACTTTTTAAGACAGAATCTCACTCTGTGGCCCAGGCTGGAGTGCAGTGGTGCAATCTTGGCTCACTGCAACCGCTGCCTCACAGGTTCAAGCAATTCTTCTGACTCAGGCTCCCAAATAGCTGGGATTACAGGCGCTCGCCACCACAGGCAGCTAATTTTTGTTTTTTTTTTTGTATTTTTTAGTAGAGACGGGGTTTCACCATGTTGGCCAGGCTGGTCTTGAACTCCTGACCTCAGGTGATCTACTTGCCTTGGCTCCCAAAGTGTTAGGATGACAGGCGTGAGCCACTGCGCCTGGCTGGATATTTTTATAAAATTATATTTTCCCTCATTTGCTATTTGGTCATCCAGTAGTACAGTACATAAAGGAAAGACAGGTACAATGCTTGATTCTTTCCCTTTATCAGTTTTTGAGCTAATAAATTCTTTCCCTGTTATTTTATAAAGGTGACCTATTCTTTTAAATGCCAGTATAATGCGTGAATTTAAGCATATTTCATGGAATTCAATCATTTGTAATTGTTATTGTCAAAGTCCACATGTTTTGGCCAATGAGGGTCTCTTCAAGTTGGCTCTTACATCCTTTTAAAATGACCCTAGTATTGTTTAGCAGCTTCTATGCTATCTGGAATTAAAAGACTTTTCACCCTCACTTTATATATATATACATATATATATATGTATGTATATATACATATGTATATACATATTTTGCCCTAAATCTGGAATCAGCCATTTCCTCAAAATATTCTGTTAGAGAAAAATAATATTTCAAGACTACAATCTAGGCACTAGGCTTGTTAATTACTACTGAGTTGGGATTACAACTAAATTTATTATTCAACAAAACTAGGAGATTCTAGGGGATATATATAATTGAAACCCTGAATATGATAGAAATATCAACATGAATTATTGAGAATCAAGACAATGTATACATATGTATATATTTATATATTGTAGTATATATTCATATATTACATACATTACATTTATATATTGTATATCACATATATTACATTTATATATTATAGTATATATTTATGTATTACATTTATGTTAGTTATATATTACATATATACTACATTTATATATTACATATATATTACAGACATATACTATTCCCATTATATACTATTACTTTATATACATTATATACATATACTATTCACAGACTATTCACATTAAAGCTTACTGTTTTGATTAACTTATTTTCTACTTATTTATTAACAAATTTCTTTTAGAGATGGAGATCTAACTCTATTGCTAGAGTGCAGTGTTGCTGGAGGCTGGAGTGCAGTGGTGCAAACATGACTTACTGGAACCTCTAATGCCTGGGCTCAAGCTATCCTCCCACCTCAGCCTCTTAAGTACCTGGGCAGGTGCATGCCACCAGGCCTAGCTAATTTATATTTTATTTTTTAGTGATGGGGGTCTCACTGTGTTGCTCAGGCTTGTCTCCATCTCTTGGCCTCAAGGAATCTTCCTGCCTTGACCTCCCAAAATACTGAGATTACAGGTGAGAGCCACTAAGCCAGACCTTAACTCCTTTTCTATAATATTTATATCTCCTTTCTTCCACACTGAAAATCCTGCTTCTTAAGGACATAGGAATGATTAAGTTTGAATATGCTATAATTATTCATTACATACACACTAGGCTCAAAATAACAATATTATTACTATCTCTAATATGATTTCTGAAGACATTAAAATATTTTATATATATTCCCTATTTTCCATCCATTTTAAAAATAGTTGGATGTAAACATTGTCAAAGCATATAGCCATCACATAATAATATCTCCCACCTTTGTATTCACTTAACCTTAGATCTGCTGGTAACTAAATATTTAATGCTCACAACCTATTGTTTCGGTGAAGTTCCTCTAGTTATGTTGGTTGTATGAAATTTGTTCTCTATTATGACTCCTTAGGAAGAATTCATGGGAACAATGTTACATGAGTTTTTGTATTTTGATAAAAACTTATGACCTTTATACATGAAAGTTAGTTTCAATTGATATAAAACCCTTGGCATGCATTTATTTTTCTGAGTATTTAAAAATGTTATTACAGGGTTTTTTGTTGTTGTTGTGAAGCGTTGCTGTCACAGAAGTCTGGTGATACTAATTTTCTTTCCTTCACAAGTCTTCCCTTTGTAAGTGTTTTTCTTGCCAGTTGTACAAAGGATATTTCTTTTCTTTAAAGTTCTGTAATTATACCAGAATATATTTCAGTATTTGTAGCTCTGTGTCAGTATTCTTACATATGCAGTGTGCTCATTCAATATGTAGTTTAAAATCATTTTTAGAAAATTTTGTTGAATTAAGATTTTTAGTATTTGTTCTGTTCCCTTACCTTGCTTTCCTTTATTGAGAATTTCTAATATCTGTATGTTGATTAATTTCTTATCTATTTAAATTTTTTTCCTTTCTATGTTTTTTTCATTTATTTCTGTGTTTATTTTATTCATTTTTTCTTTTTTACTAGGAAAAGGACATGAACAATAATTCTAAAAGAAGAAACATAAGCAGCGAGCAAACACATGAAAAAATGCTCAACATCACAAATCATCACAGAAATGCAAATTAAAAGCACACCAAGATGTCATCTTATACCAGTCAGAATGGCTTTTATTACAAAGTCAAAAATCAATAGATGTTTGGCATGGATCCAGAGAAAAGGGAAGGCTTATATACATTGTTGATGGGAACGTAAATTAGTTCAACCACTATGGAAAACCTCATCTCCATTCCATTCTCCCCAGTTTGGAGTCCCCAGAGTCTATTTTCTGTATCTTTGAATATGGAGATATATTTGTAATAGAACGACTATTTAAGCTAACAATTTCACTACTGGGTATCTACACAAAGGAAAAGAAATCATATGAAAAACACATCTGCACTCATATGTTTATTGCAGCACCATTCCCAATAGCAAAGTTATGGACCCAACCTAAGTGTCCATAAACAATTTATTGAATAGAGAAAATGTAGTATGTATACACCATGGAATACTATGCAGCAATATAAAAGAAGAAAATCATGTTCTTTGCAGCAATATGGATGGAGCTGGAAGCTATTATCCAAATGAACTAACACAGAAGCAGAAAATCAAATACTGCCTGTTCTCACTTTTAAGTGGGAGCTAAATAAAGGGTATACATGGACATAAGGATACAGAAAATAGACTGTGGGGACTCCAAATTGGGGAAGATGGAATGGAGGTGAGGGTTGAAAATTACCTACTGGGTACAATGTCCATTATTTGGGTTATGAGTACACTAGAAGCCAAACCCCTACCATTACATATGTAATAGCCATGTATCAAACAAGCACAATGTACCCCCTAAATTTAAAATAAAAGTTAAAAAATTTAAGAAAAATTTTCTTTCATCTTCTTCTTTTAACTTTTATTTTTAGTTTACGGGTACATGTGCAGGTTTGTTACATAGGGAAACTTGTGTCAAGGGAGTTTCTTGTACAGATTATGTCATCACCCAGGTATTAGGCTTAGTACTCATTAGTTGTTTTTCCTGATCCTCTCCCTCCTTCCCCCCTCTACCCTCCAATAGGCACGAGTATGTGTTGTTCCCCTCTATGAGTCTATGCGTTCTAATCATGTAGCTTCCAATTATAAGTGAGAACACGTGGTATTTGTTTTCTGTTTCTGCATTAGTTTGCTAAGGATAATGGTTTATGATCTTATTCATTTTTATGGCTGTGTAGTATTCTACGGTGTGTATGTACCACATTTTCTATATCCAGTTTATCATTGATGGGCATTTAGATTGATTACATGTCTTTGCAATTGTGAATAGTACTGCAATGAAAATATGCATGCATGTGTCTTTAATAGAACAATTTATATTTTGAGCAGTATATACCCAGTAGTGGGATTCCTAGGTTGAATGGTATTTCTGTTTTTAGGCCTTTGAGGAATCACTACATTGTCTTACACAATGGTTGAACTAATTTGCACTCCCATCAACAGTGTGTAAGTGTTCATTTTTTGATACAACCTCACCAGCATCTGTTATTTGTTGACTTTTTAAATAAAAGCCCTTCCAACTGGTGTGAGATGTTATCTCATTGTGGTTTTGATTTCCATTTTTCTAGTGATCAATGATGTTGAGCTTTTTTTCATAAAATTATTGATCACATGAAAGTCTTCTTTTGAAAAGTATCTGTTCATGTCATTTGTCCATTTTATAATGGGGTTGTTTGTTTGTTTTATTGTACATTTGTTTAAGTTCCTTATAGATACTGAATATTGGACCTTTGTCAGATGCATAGTTTGCAAAAATTTTCTCCCATTCTGTAGGTTGCCTATTTAATCTGTTGATAGTTTCTTCTGCTTTGCAGAAGCTCTTTAATTTAATCAGATCACATTTGTCAGTTTTTGCAATTGTTGCAATTGCTTTGTCACATTTATCATTAAATCTTTGCACGTGCTAATGATATTACCTAGATAATCTTCCAGGATTTTTATGGTTTGGGGGTTTATATTTAAGTCTTTAATCCATCATGAGTTAATTTTTGTATATCATGTAAGGAAAAGTTCCAGTTTTAATCTTCTGCATATGGCTTGCCAGTTATCTGAGCACCATTTATTGAATAGAGAATCCATACCCCATTGCTTTTTTTTTTTTTTTTTTGTCATGTTTGTCAAAGATTTGATAGTTGTAGGTGTGCGGTCTTATTTCCAGGTTCTCTATTCTGTTTTCTTGTTCTATGTGTCTGTTTTTATGCCAGTACCATGTTGTTTTGGTTACTGTAGACCTGTAGTACAGTTTGATGTCAGGTAGTGTGATGCTTTCAGCTTTGTTTCTTTTGCTTAGGATTTCCTTGGCTATTCGGGCTCTTTTTTGGTTCCATAAGAATTTAAAAATAGTTTTTTTTTGCCATTGTTATGGAGCATCTCAATGATAGTTTAATAGGAACAGCTTTGAATTTATACATTGCTTTAGGCACTATGGCCATTTAACTATATTTATTCTTTCTATTCGTGAGCATGGAATATTTTTCCATTAGTTTGTGTCTTCTGTGATTTCTTTGAACAGTAAATTGTAGTTCTCCTTGTAGATATCTTTCACCTCCCTAGTTAGCTGTATTCCTATGTATTTTATTCTTTTTTTATTATTATACTTTAAGTTCTGGGATACATGTGCAGAACATACGGGTTTGTTACATAGGTGTACATGTGCCATGGTGGTTTTGCTGTACCCATCAACCTGTCACCTAGGTTTTAAGCCCCACATGCATTAGCTATTTGTCCTGATGCTCTCCTTCCCCTCACCCTCACCTCCCGACAGGCTCCAGAGTGTGTTGTTCCTTTCCCTGTCTCCATATGTTCTCATTGTTCAACTCCCACTTATGAGTGAGAACATGTGGTGTTTGGTTTTCTGTTCCTGTGTTAGTTTGCCAAGAATTATGTTTTCCAGCATCAACTATGTCCCTGCAAAGGACATGAGTTCATCCTTTTTTATGGCTGCAAAGTATTCCATGGGGTATAAGTGCCGTGTTTTCTTTATCCAGTCTATTATTGATGGTCATTTGAGTGGGTTTCAAGTCTTTGCTATTGTAAATAGTGCTGCAATAAACATACGTGTGCATGTGTCTTTATAGTAGAATGATTTATAATCCTTTAGGTATATATCCGGTAATGGGATTGCTGGGTCAAATGGTACTTCTGGTTCTAGATCCTTGAGGAATCACCACACTGTCTTCCACAATGGTTGAACTAATTTACACTCCCACCAACACTGTAAAAGTGTTCCTATTTCTTTGCATCCTGGCCAGCATCTGTTGTTTCCAGACTTTTTAATGATCGCCATCCTAACTGGTGTGAAATGGTATCTCATTGTGGTTTTGATTTGCATTTCTCTAATGACCAGTGATGATGAGCTTTTTTCACATGTTTGTTGTCTGCATAAATGTCTTCCTTTGATAAGTGTCTGTTCATATCCTTTGCCCACTTTTTGATGGGATTGTTTGTTTTTTTCTTGTAGATTTGTTTAAGTTCCTTGTAGATTCTGTATATTAGACCTTTTTCAGATGGATAGATTGCTAAAATTTTCCTCCATTCTGTAGGTTGCCTGTTTACTCTGATGATAGTTTATTTTGCTGTGCAGAAGCTCTTTAGTTTAATTAGATCCCATTTGTCAATTTTGGCTTTTATTGCAATTGCTTTTGATGTTTTAGTCATGAAGGCTTTGCCCATGCCTATGTCCTGAGTGGTATTGCCTAGGTTTTCTTCTAGAGTTTTTATGGTTTTAGGTCTTACATTTAAGTCTTTAATTCATCTTGAGTTAGTTTTTGTATAAGGTGTAAGGAAGGGGTGCAGTTTCTGTTTTCTGCATATGGCTGGCCAGTTCTCCCAGCATCATTTATTAAATAGGGAATCCTTTCCCCATTGCTTGTTTTTGTCAGGTTTGTGAAAGATCAGATGGTTGTAGATGTGTGGCATTATTTCGGAGGCCTCTGTTCTGTTCCATTGGTCTATATATCTGTTTACTGTAGCATTGCCATATAGTTTGAAGTCAGGTAGCGTGATGCCTCCAGCTTTGTACTTTTGGCTTGGTATTGTCTTGGCTATATGGGCTCTTTTTTGTTCCATATGAAATTTAAAGTAGTTTTTCTAGTTCTGTAAATAAAGTCAATGGTAGCTTGATGGGAATAGAATTGAATCTACAAATTACTGCGGGCAGTATGGCCATTTTCAAGATATTGATTCTTTCTATTCATGAGCATGGAATTTTTTTCCCATTTGTTTATGTCATCTCTGATTTCCTTGAGCAGTGGTTTGTAGTTCTCCTTGAAAAGGTCCTTCACATCCCTTGTAAGTTGTATTCTTAGGTATTTTACTCTCTTTCTAGCAATTGCGAATGGGCGTTCACTCATTATTTGGCTCTCTGTTTGTCTATTATTGGTGTATAGGAATGCTTGTGATTTTTGCACATTGATTTTGTATCCTGAGACTTTGCTGAAGTTGCTTATCAGCTTAAGGAGCTTTTGCGCTGAGACAATGGGGTTTTCTAAATATACAATCATGCCATCTGCAAACAGAGTCAATTTGACTTCTCTCTTCCTATTTGAATATCCTTTATCTCTTTCTCTTGCCTGATTGCCCTGGCCAGAAATTCTAATGCTATGTTGAATAGGAGTGGTGAGAGAGGGCATGCTTATCTTGTGCCAGTTTTCAAAGGGAATAATTCCAGCTTTTGCCCATTGAGTATGATATTGACTATTAATTTGTCATAAATAGCTCTTATTATTTTGAGAGATGTTGCATCAATACCTAGTTTATTGAGTGTTTATAGCATGAGGGGCTGTTGCATTTTATCAAAGGCCTTTTCTGCATCTATTGAGATAATCATGTGTTTTTTGTCCTTGGTTCTGTTTATGTGATGGATTACCTTTATTAATTTGTGTATGTTGAACCAGCCTTGCATCCCAGAGATGAAGCTGCCTTGATCGCAGTGGATAAGCTTTTTGATGTGCTGCTGGATTCAGTTTGCCAGTATTTTATTGAGGATTTTCACATCAATGTTCATCCAGGATATTGGCCTGAAATTTTCTTTTTCTGTTGTGTCTGTGAGATTTTGGTATCAGGATGATGCTGGCCTCATAAAACAAGTTAGGGAGATATCCCTCTTTTTCTACTGTTTGGAATAGTTTCAGAAGGAATGGTACCATCTTCTTTTTGTACCTCTGGTAGAATTGGGCTGTGAATCCGTCTGGTCCTGGGCTTTTTTTGTTTGGTAGGATTTTAATTACTGCCCTCAATTTCAGAACTTGTTATTGGTCTATTCAGGGATTTGACTTCTTCCTGGTTTAGTCTTGGGAGGATGTATGTGTCCAGGAATTTATCCATTTCTTCTAGATTTTCTAGTTTATTTGTGCAGAGATGTTTATAGTATTCTCTGATGGTAGTTTGTATTTCTGTGGGATTAGTGGTTATATCCCCTTTATCAATTTTTACTATTTGATTCTTCTCTCTTCTTTATTAGTCTGGCTAGTGGTTTATCTATTTTGTTAATCTTTTCAAAAACCAGCTCCTGTATTCATTGATTTTTTTTGAAGAGCTTTTGTATCTCTAACTGTTTCAGTTCTGGTCTGATTTTAATTATTTTGTGTCTTCTGGTAGTTTTTGAATTTGTTTGCTCTTGTTTCTCTAGTTCTTTTAATTGTGATGTTAGGGTGTCAATTTTAGATCTTTCCCACTTTCTGTTGTGGACATTTAGGGCTATAAATTCCCCTCTAAACACTGCTTTAGCTTTGTCCCAGAGATTCTGGTACGTTGTATCTTTGTTCTGATTGGTTTCAAAGAACTTCTTTCTTTCTGCCTTAGTTTTGTTATCTACCCAGTAGTCATTCAGGAGCAAGTTGTTCAGTTTCCATGTAGTTGTGTGGATTTGAGTGAGTTTCTTAATTCTGAATTCTAATTTGATTGCACTGTGGTCTGAGAGACTGTTATGATTTCCATTCTTTTGCATTTGCTGAGAAGTGTTTTACTTCCAATTATGTGGTCGATTTTAGAATAAGTCCTATGTGGTGCTGAGAAGAATGTATATTCTGTTGATTTGGGGTGGAGAGTTCTGCAGATGTCTATTAGGTCTGCTTGGCCCAGAGCTGAGTTCAAGTCCTGAATATCCTTGTTAATTTTCTGTCTCGTTGATGTGTCTAATATTGACAGTGGGGTGTTAAAGTCTCCCACTATTATTGTGTGGCAGTCTAGGTCCCTTTGTAGGTCTCTAAGAACTTGCTTTGTGAGTCTAGGTGCTCTTGTATTGAGTGCATATATATTTAGGATAGTTAGCTCTCCTGTTGCATTGATCCCTTTACCATTATGTAATGCTCTTCTTTGTCTTTTTTGATCTTTGTTGGTTTAAAGACTGTTTTATCAAAGACAAGGATTGCAACCACTGCTTCTTATTTTTTTTTTTTTTGCTTACCATTTGCTTGGTATATCTTCCTCCATCCCTTTATTTTGAGCCTATGTGTGTCTTTGCATGTGAGATGGGTCTCCTGAATACAGCACACTGATGGGTCTTGACTCTATCCAGTTTGCCAGTCTGTGTCTTTTAATTGGAGCATTTAGCACATTTACATTTAAGATTAATATTATTATGTGTGAATTTGATCCTGTCCTCATGATGCTAGCTGTTTATTTTGCACATTAGTTGATGCAGTTTCTCCGTAGTGTTATTGGTCTTTATATTTTGATATGTTTTTGCAGTGGCTAGAACAGTTTTTCCTTTCCATATTTAGTGCTTCCTTCAGGAGTTCCTATAAAGCAGGCCTGGTGGTGACAAAATCCCTCAGCATTCATTTGACTGTAAAATATTTTATTTCTCCTTCACTTATGAAGCTTAGCTAGTCTGATATGAAATTCTGGGTTGAAAATTCTTTTCTTCAAGAATGTTGAATATTGGCCCCCACTGTCTTCTGGCTTGTAGGGTTTCTGCAGAAAGATATGCTGTTAGTTTGATGGGCTTCCTTTTATAGGTAACCTGACCTTTCTCTCTGGCTCCCATTAACATTTTTTCCTTCATTTCAACCTTGGTGAATCTGACTATTACGTGTCTTGGGGTTGCTCTTCTCAAGGAGTATTTTAGTGGTGTTCTCTGTATTTCCTGAATTTGAATGTTGGCCTGTGTTGGTAGGTTGGGGAAGTTGTCCTGGATAATATCCTGAAGTGTGTTTTCCAACTTGGTTCCATTGTCCCTATCACTTTCCGGTACACCAGTCAATCGTAGATTTGGTCTTTTCACATAGTCTCATATTTCTTGAAGGCTTTGTTTGTTCCTTTTTATTCTTTTTTCTCTAATCTTATCTTCATGCTTTATCTCATTAAGTTGATCTTCAATCTCTGATATCCTTACTTTTGCTTGATTGATTTGGCTATTGATATTTGTGTACGCTTCATGAAGTTCTCGTGCTGTGTTTTTCAGCTCCATCAGGTTATTTATGTTCTTCTCTAAGCTGGTTATTCTAGTTAGCAGTTTCTGTAACCTTTTATCAAGGTTATTGGCTTTCTTGCATTGGGTTAGAACATGCTCCTTTAGCTCAGGGGAGTTTGTTATTACCCACCTTCTGAAGCCTACTTCTGTCAATTCATCAAACTCATTCACCTTCCAGTTTGGTGCCCTTGCTGGAGAGGAGTTGTGATCATTGGGAGGAGAAGAGTCATTCTGGTTTTTGGAATTCTCAGCATTTTTGCACTGGTTATTCCTCATCTTTGTGGATTTATCTCCCTTTGATCTTTGATGTTGACGACCTTTAGATGGGGTTTTGGGTGGATGTCCTTTTTGTTGATGTTATTGGTTTCTGTTTGTTATTTTTCCTTCTAACAGTAAGGCCCCTCTTCTCAGGTCTGGTGGAGTTTGCTGGAGGTCTACTTCAGACCCTATTTGCCTGGGTATCACCAGCGGAGGCTTCAGAACAGCAAAGATTGCTGCCTGCTTCTTCCTCTGGAAGCTTTGTCCCAGAAAATCACCCAACTGATGCCAGCTGAAGCTCTTCTGTATGAGGTGGTCTGTCAACCACTGCTGGGAGGTATCTCCCAGTCAGGAGGCATGGGGGTGAGGGACCCACTTGAGGAAGCAGTCTGTCCCTTAGCAGAGCTTGAGCACTGTGCTGGGAGATGTGCTGCTCTCTTCAGAGCTGGCAGGCAGGAACGTTTAAGTCTGCTGAAGATTCGCCCAGAGCTGCCCCTTCCCCCAGGTGCTCTCTCCCAGGGAGATGGGAGTTTTATCTATAAGCCCCTGACTGGGGCTGCTGCCTTTCTTTCAGAGATGCCCTGCCCAGTGAGAAGAAATCTGGAGAGGCAGTCTGGCCACAGCCACTTTGCAGTGCTATGGTGAGTCCCACAGAGTTTGAACTTCCCTGTGGCTTCCTTAATACTGTGAGGGGAAAACCGCCTACTCAAGCCTCAGTGATCGCGGACGCCCCTACCCCAACCAAACTCAATCATCCCAGGTCTACTTCAGACTGTTCTGCTGGCAGCAAGAATTTCAAGCCAGTGGTTCTTAGCTTGCTGGGCTCTGTAGGAGTGGGACCTGCTGAGTGAGACCACTTGGCTCCCTGGCTTCAGCCCCCTTTCCAGGGGAGTGAACGGTTCTGTCTTGCTGGTATTCCAGGCGCCAATGGGGGTGGGGAGCAGGAAACTTCTGCTGCTAGCTTGGTGTCTGCCCAAACAGCTGCCCAATTTTGTGCTTGAAACCAAGGGTCCTGGTAATGTAGGCACACAAGGAAATCTTCTGGTCTACAGGTTGCAAAAACTGAAAAACCGTGGGAAAAGCATGGTATCTGGGCTGGTTAGCACAGTCCCTCAAGGCTTCCCTTGGCTAAGGGAGGGAGGTCCCTGGCCCCTTGCGCTTCCTGAGTGAGGTGACATCCCACCCTGCTTCTGCTCGCCCTCTGTGGGCTGCACCCACTATCTAACCAATTCCACTGAGATGAACCGGGTACCTCAGTTGGAAATGCAGAAATCTCCCACCTTCTGCATTGGTGTCCTGGGAGCTGCAGACTGGAGCTGTTCCTATTTGATCATCTTGCCAGATCCCTCTGTATTTTATTCATTTTGTGGCAATTGTGAATGGGAGTTCATTCCTGATTTGGCTCTCAGCTTGACTGTTGTTGGTGTATAGGAATGCTAGTAATTTTTGCACATTGATTATCTATCCTGAGACTTTGCTGAAGTTGTTTATCAGCTTAAGAAGCTTTTGGTCTGAGGTCATGGAGTTTTCTAGACATAAGATCATGGCATCTGCAAACAGGGATAGTTTGACTTTCTTGTTTCCTATTTGGATAGCATTTTTTTTTTCCGTTGCCTGATTGCCCTAGATAGGACTTTCAATCCTATGTTGAATAGGAGTGGTGAGAGAAGGTATACTTGTGCTGGTTTTCAAGAGAAATGCTTCCAGCTTTTGCCTGTTCAGTATGATGTTGGCTGTGGGTTTGTTGTATATGACTCAATATTTTGAGGTGTGTTCCTTCAATACCTAGTTTATTGAGAGTTTTTAAGATGAAGGGATGTTGAAATTTATTAAGCATTTTCTGCATCTATTGAGATAATCATGTAGTTTTTGTCTTTAGTTCTGCATATGTGATGAATCACATTTGTTGATTTGCATATGTGGAACCAAACTTGCATCCCAGGTGTAAAGCCTACTTGATTGTGGGGTATAAGCTTTTCGATGTGCTGCTGGATTAGGTTCGTCAGTATTTAATTGAGGATTTTTGAATCAATATTCATCAAGGATATGGGTCTAAAGTTTTCTATTTTTGTTGTATCTTTGCCAGTTTTTGGTATCAGGATAATGCTGGTCTCATAGAATGATTTAGGGAGGAGCTTCTCCTTTATTTCTTGGAATAGCTTCAGTAGGAATGGCACCAGCTCCTCCTTTTATATCTGATATAATTCAGCTATGAATCTATCTGATGTTGGGTTTTTTTTTTTAATTATTGGTAGGCTATTTATTACTTCCTCAAATTCAGAGCTCATTATTGTTCTGTTCAGGGATTCAATTTCTATTTGTTTCAGTCTTGGGAGGGTGTATGTGTTCAAAAATCTATTCATTTACTCTAGATTTTTTATTTTATGTGCATAAAGTTGTTCATAATGTTCTTTTATATTTGGTTGTACTTCTTTGTGTCAGTGGTTAATATTCCCATTGTTTCTGATTGTGTTTGTATCTTCTCTCTTTTCTTCTTATTAGTCTAGCTAGTGGCCTATTTATTTTGTTAATTTTGCAAAAAAAAAAAAAAACAGCTTCTGGATTCATGAATATTTTCAATGGTTTTTTGTGTCTCAGTCAGTTACATTTCAGCTCTGATTTTGGTTATTTCTTGTCTTTTGTTAGCTTTAGAATTTGTTTGCTCTTGGTTCTCTAGTTCCTTTAGTTGGGATGATAGCTGTTAACTTGAGATCTTTCTTTTTTATTTGGGTGTTTAGTTCTGTACATTTCCCTCTCATCATTGCCTTAGCTGTGTCCCAGAAATTCTGGTATGGTTTGTCTTTGCTCTTATTACTTTCAAATAACTTCTTGAGTTCTCCCTTAATTTTAGTATTTACCCAAACGTCGTTCAGGAGCAGCTTATTCAACTTCCATGTAATTGTATTGTTTTGTGTGAGTTTCTTAGCTTTGATTTCTCTAATATGATTGTGCTATGGTCTGAAAGACTGTTTTCTTATGATTTCAGTTTTTTTTTGCATATCTTGAGGAGTGTTTTACTTCTGATTATGTGATTGATTTTAAAATAAGTACCATGTTGAAATGAGAATAATGTACATTCTCTTGTTTTGGCATAGAGAGTTCTTTAAATCTCTATCAGGCCCATTTGATCCAGAGCTGAATTCAGGTCCTGAATATTTCGTTAATTTTCTGTCCTGATGATCTATCTAATATTGTCAGTAGGATGTTAAAATTGCCACTTTAATTGTGTCTAAGTCCCTTCGAAGCCTCTAAGAACTTCTTTATAAATCTGGGTGCTCCTTTGTTGGGTTTATATGTATTTAGGAAAGTTAGATCTTCTTGTTGAATTGAAGCTTTTGCCATTATGTAATGCCCTTCTTTGACTTTTTTGATCTTTGTTAACTTAAAGTCTGTTTTGTTAGAAACTAGGATTGCAACTCCTTCTTTTTTCTATTTTTCCATTTGCTTGGTAGATTTTTCTTCATTTCTTTACTTTGATCGTTTGTGTGTCTTTGCACATGAGATGGGTCTTTTGAAGACAGCATACCTATGGGTCTTGGTTCTTTATTCAGCTTGCCATTCTATTTCTTTTAATTGGGGCATTTAGCTCATTTACATTTAAGGTTAATATTGCTATGTGTGAATTTGATCATGTCATTATGATGCTAGCTGGTTATTTTTCAGACTGGTTTATGTGGTTGCTTTATAGTGTCACTTGTCTGTTTAATTCAGTGTGTTTTGTAGTGACTGGGAATGGTTTTTCCTTTCCATATTTAGTGCTTCCTTCAGGAGCTTTGACAAGTCATGTCTGGTAGTGACAAAGCTTCTTCTTTCAAGTTGGCATAGTGCATTTTTCAATAAATACCTGTTGGTTATTTCAGAGTTTTCCCTTCTCAGATTCATTGGACACCACCCTTATTGCTTTCTTCTTCATCCAGCATGCACATGGATACCATACAGGTAATCCGATTCTAATCTATTTTAAATGTTGGCAATAGGTATTTACTTTTGCTATATAGCTTCTCTGTCTCTTTTTATATAAAAATGTGGATACATTAAAATATTTTTCTGTTCCTATTGCGCAATCTTCCAAGGCTCTGATAAAATATATCTTAATTCTAGTCTTCGTATTAGAGCAATAATTTTAACGACTCAGCAGTAGAACCTTTCTTTCAAATTAAATGTTACAATGACCCTCAAAGTACAATATATATATACAAATACAATATATATGCTATATATATACATATATATAGTACTTTGAAGGTCATTGTAACATTTAATGTATATATGCATATTTTAATATATGTGCATATTCATAAACAATTGTGAATAAAATATGAAATATATAAATATACATTTATTATTATATATTTCTTATAACACTAACTGTAACTCTATTTGATGAGAACAATCAGGCTATTTTCATGCCTCCACATCCAATTTAACTCTGTATGTGTCTTGGTTAAAAATAGAGTGAATTCTGATTTACTCAGATAAGTATTTGCAAATGATAAAAGCTTTTGAAAAAACAGAGCAAATTGTTGGTATTAGTTTTAACAGTTGATTTGATTTCTTGTCATAAGCATTTAAATTGAATAAGAAAGAACTAACATTTTCAATAAAATCTAAATCCAATACAATGCCCTACTTCTTTCTTTTCTGACTACTCAAATTATTATTGAGTAAATTATGTGCTAAGGAGATATTCTTGTGCCATGCTGGGCATTTAATTGAATGTGGCTTGGATGCACTATAGCCATAGATTGGCTTATAGAATTTACTTTCATAATCATGGATAGGCCATTTTTTTCAATACCATGTTAGCAGTGCAAACTTAATCAATAGTATACTTGCAAAATTTTCGAGTACATTCTACAGATGTCATGGACTGCCTTATTCCCATGTCTGCAGAAAAAGTTGTTTTTTTATTATTTTTTATTTTATTTTATTATTATACTTTAAGTTTTAGGGTACATGTGCACAATGTGCAGGTTAGTTACATATGTATACCTGTGCCATGCTGGTGCGCTGCACCCACTAACTCGTCATCTAGCATTAGGTATATCTCCCAGTGCTATCCCTCCCCTCCCCCGTCCCACCCCACAACAGTCCCCAGAGTGTGATATTCCCCTTCCTGTGTCCATGTGTTCTCATTATTCAATTCCCACCTATGAGTGAGAATATGCAGTGGTTGGTTCTTTGTTCTTGCGATAGTTTACTGAGAATAATGATTTCCAATTTCATCCATGTCCCTACAAAGGACATGAACTCATCATTTTTTATGGCTGCATAGTATTCCATGGTGTATATGTGCCACTTTTTCTTAATCCAGTTTATCATTGTTGGACATTTGGGTTGGTTCCAAGTCTTTGCTATTGTGAATAGTGCCGCAGTAAACATATGTGTGCATGTGTCTTTATAGCAGCATGATTTATAATCCTTTGGGTATATACCCAGTAATGGGATGGCTGGGTCAAATGGTATTTCTAGTTCTAGATCCCTGAGGAATCGCCACACTGACTTTCAGAATGGTTGAACTAGTTTACAGTCCCACCAACAGTGTAAAAGTGTTCCTATTTCTCCACATCCTCTCCAGCACCTGTTGTTTCCTGACTTTTTAATGATTGCCATTCTAACTGGTGTGAGATGGTATCTCATTGTGGTTTTGATTTGCATTTCTCTGATGGCCAGTGATGATGAGCATTTTTTCATGTGTTTTTTGGCTGCATAAATGTCTTCTTTTAAGAAGTGTCTGTTCATGTCCTTCACCCACTTTTTGATGGGGTTGTTTGTTTTTTTCTTGTAAATTTGTTTGAGTTCATTGTAGATTCTGGATATTAGCCCTTTGTCAGATGAGTAGGTTGCGAAAATTTTCTCCCATTTTGTGGGTTGCCTGTTCACTCTGGTGGTAGTTTCTTTTGCTGTGCAGAAGCTCTTTAGTTTAATTAGATCCCATTTGTCAATGTTGGCTTTTGTTGCCATTGCTTTTTGTGTTTTAGACATGAAGTCCTTGCCCATGCCTATGTCCTGAATGGTAATGCCTAGGTTTTCTTGTAGGGTTTTTATGGTTTTAGGTCTAACATTTAAGTCTTTAATCCATCTTGAATTGATTTTTGTATAAGATGTAAGGAAAGGATCCAGTTTCAGCTTTCTACATATGGCTAGCCACATTTCCCAGCACCATTTATTAAATAGGGAATCCTTTTCCCATTGCTTGTTTTTCTCAGGTTTGTCAAAGATCAGATAGTTGTAGATATACGGCGTTATTTCTGATGGCTCTGTTCTGTTCCATTGATCTATATCTCCGTTTTGGTACCAGTACCATGCTGTTTTGGTTACTGTAGTCTTGTAGTATAGTTTGAAGTCAGGTAGTGTGATGCCTCCAGCTTTGTTCTTTTGGCTTAGGATTGACTTGGCAATGCAGGCTCTTTTTTGGTTCCATATGAACTTTAAAGTAGTTTTTTCCAATTCTGTGAAGAAAGGCATTGGTAGCTTGATGGGGATGGCATTGAATCTGTAAATTACCTTGGGCAGTATAGCCATTTTCACAATATTGATTCTTCCTACCCATGAGCATGGAATGTTCTTCCATTTGTTTGTATCCTCTTTTATTTCATTGAGCAGTGGTTTGTAGTTCTCCTTGAAGAGGTCCTTCACATCCCTTGTAAGTTGGATTCCTAGGTATTTTATTCTCTTTGAAGCAATTGTGAATGGGAGTTCACTCATGATTTGGCTCTCTGTTGTCTGTTATTGGTGTATAAGAATGCTTGTGATTTTTGTACATTGATTTTGTATCCTGAGACTTTGCTGAAGTTGCTTATCAGCTTAAGGAGATTTTGGGCTGAGACAACGGGGTTTTCTAGATATACAATCATGTCGTCTGCAAACCGGGACAATTTGACTTCCTCTTTTCCTAATTGAATGCCCTTTATTTCCTTCTCCTGCCTAATTGCCCTGGCCAGAACTTCCAACACTATGTTGAATAGGAGTGGTGAGAGAGGGCATCCCTGTCTTGTGCCAGTTTTCAAAGGGAATGCTTCCAGTTTGAAAAAGCTGTTAAATTGACAACTCAAATCAACAGGATTGACGTCTCAACAAAAAGCTAAACTTTGGTATGTGACATATTTGAATGTACATTTAACCAATTGGTTAATTCATTAGGACAAATGTTTAAAAAATAAAATTTATGGCAAACATTCATGGATCACCTAGGCACTATTAACCATAGTTTGAAAACTACTGAATTATAATATATTTTTATTTTAGAAATCTTATAGTTTGGAATCTATAACTCAATCAGTGTGTTTAGCTTAGCTATTCACTTTAACCCAGATGTAACCCACATGGTTGTAAGTGGTGGTGAAATTATCCAAGTCACCACCAGGGAATTTGTACAAGTCTGCAGCAATCTTCATTCTTGCCTCCTCAGAAGAAAGAATTTGACTGAGGGCAATAAAGCAGAAGGAGAGACTGAGGCAAGTTTTAGAGCAGGAGCTAATGTTTATTAAAAAGCTTTAGAACAGGAATGAGATGCAGTGTGACAACTGCCTGACCATCACCTGATGATTGCCTGACATTCCTGGTGGGGCTTTCTTATGGATGTAGAATGCATACTGAATGATTGTCCGCAAATTAGATCTGTATTGCTCATTTACTATCCTAGCATTACTCATTTACTATCCTATTATTTTATATGATAGTAAAAGAAGAACAATAGTTAAGCAAGTCATTTTACTAATAGGAGCATTTTATTTTTAATGAAGCCACTACAGTATGTTTTTTAAAGTAGTTTTGAAATAGGATCTCAACAATGTCCATTGGATAACTAAATGCCTATTGGGTAAAGGGGGATGGATGGCTGCTAATTACTTCAATAATGCTAGAATGAAGCTGAATCAGGACAATAGCAGAGGAAAACAACTGATATTTCTAGGACTTTTAACCTAAAATTGAAATGAAGAGACTTCAAATTCATTAAAACTAATCAAAGTATTTTATAGGCTTTGAAACTTTGGGAAATCAATTATATTCTATCAACATAGATCAATTCATCCTTGTAGGTAATGATTAAAAAGGAATACTATGTAGCAATGATGTGAAGACAATAGTGTGATATCTGTTGTCATTGAAATAGATTGGCTTTGCACTCTATGCTCCCCAGAAGCTCATTATTTTGTGTTTAAACACTGAACTCAAAGGAATGGATATTGCCAATCTTTCACTACCAGTTACATTCGCCACCAGTTACATTTCCACTGAGGTCAGTAGTCGTAGTCCAGGAATGGAAACTAATTTTTTAGAGGTATGAAATCCAATCTTGCTAACTAGACCTTTTCTCTGAGACATATAACTATGCTTAATAAAAATGGATAGGCATAGGTATATACTTAAGAATTTTTTTAAATAGAGTGCCTATGCAAAGATATGGGTCATCTTACAAAACTGTTATCAATTGGGTTTCTGAGGGAATCCTTCAACTTTGAAAATGTCTCTCCACAGTCATAATTATGCATTAAACATCAGTCCTAACTTTTTTTTTGTTTTGTTGATTGAGTTGTAATCTTCTCTTTACATAGTCAGGAATTTGACCAGTTCAATCTGGCCTTCTCCAATGAGACTTTACTACACACAAACTACACACACACACACACACACACAGTGTCAGCCAATTTGCCCTTTTAGTCTGACTGTAATTTGAAGATCATGTGATTTTGAGCAAGTTGAATAACTTCTCTATGTCTCACATACTTCATCTGCAACAAGGGAATAATTATAATACTATTGTGAAAATTAAAGTGGTTAACATATGCAAAATGTATGTTACACATAGCTTGATATATACCAAAGTTTATATGTAAGTATTTAATTTTATTGTTTTCCACATATTTTGAATATAACACTTTCTATAATTTTTTTTCATGTTTGAAGGTATTTCAACACAGATCTTGAAGAGACTGCAAACTTCATAGGTGATGGCTGTTTCCTGCATTCAGCTATGTAATGAATTATCTTTGCTGAGGTCTTTGTTTAAACATCTGCAGTGGTATGGCTTTATGACTTCAGATGGCAGAACCTGGGATTTGCAATTCCTAATACAGGACTTCTTATACAGCAGGATTTTTTTTTGGTCATTTTGCCAACCAAGGACCTCCATGGCTGGTGATGCCCCCATGCCAGCCTGCACCTCACTTGGCCCTGGGCCTGCTGCTGGAGTGCCCCAAGTACTTGGACCACCTGTGTTATAGCTTGTACCCATGTTCAGTGGTTCCCAAACTCTTGTTGACGTCCAAGAAGAAAGAGGATACCCTGACAATTCAAAGGGTGAGGAGGATAGAGAGGAATTTTGTTGAGTGATAGAACAGCTATCAGCAGAAAGGCTATGTGGGGGTGGTCCCCCACCCTGCAATCAGGTGGTTTATCTCTCAGTGTGGCTGAGTCTGGGGGTTTTATGGAGTCAGAATAGGGAAGTGAATGCTGATCGGTTTGTGAGTATGCAAAGAAAGGCTAAAGCAAAGACACCATTCAAAGGTGGGCATGGCAGTGTAGAAAACCAATTAGGAAAGGATAGGTATATGTAAAATAGGTGAAGGATGGGAAACAATCAGAGGAATACATGCTGGGAAGGAAGACAGGTTCCCAATCTGTTCCCTGGATTTGACTTGTAGCTTGGCTTTCAAACTTTAGAATGTCTTCTGCTTGGCAGTGGGGTTTCACTGAGGACTTCTCCCTATCTGCTTAGGCATTTGTCTGACTCCTACTGCTATCACTTGCATACTGCAAGAAGGGAGAGTGTAATCTAGTTTGCACTACATGCCCAGCTGGGAAACAATTCTGCAGATTCAAAGTACAACCAGAGCAATGAAAATGGCAGATTTTTTTCATAATCATTAGAGGTGACCATTCAAGCATCCAAATGGGCAGACAGGTTCTCAATCTGGTCCATGGATTTAACTTGTAGCTTGGCTTTCAGGCTTTAAACTGTCTTTGACTTGGAGGTGGGGTTTCACCAGGGACATACCCTTATCTGGCTAGGAGTTTGTCTGCCTCCTGAACCTACCAATTTTCCCTTATGAAGAGGTACATCTAACTGCTGTTAGGAGGAGTATGTTGACAATCTTAACTGCTTTCTGCTGACAAGAGGCTCTGTTTTGGGAAAAGAGCAGCCAAATCTGTCTCAGAGGCTTATGTAAGGGTACCCAGTAAATAGGAGCCATTGTCTGAGGCTCTGGTTGCATGACCGTTTGGAGTTTGATGGCCTGAAGGTGAGAAGAGACAAACTAGGTTATTAGAAGACATGTATCAGAACTGGGTGTAAGGACAGCTTAAAAATCCTGAGGCTGCCAACACACTCAGATAACTAGTGGCTATAGTTATGCCTGCCAAGGTTTGGGTACTTGGGGCTTGGCTTTATTTAGCTCCCTTGGTCTTATTTTCCCAAAGAAACCTCCAGGTTACAGATACCCTATTTACTTCTATCACCTGGCAGGATTTGCAGGATATTTGCCCAGAACTAGAATATTAATCCAGATTTTCATATTACCCATCCCTCTGTTTCTCCTGAGCTGCAGCAAGAGATCACTGGTTGGTTCACAGGAACAAGCACAGTTAGTCTAAAATGCAGACAAAAACTTAAAAACAACTAATGAAATTAGAATTTAATAACAAGTGTATGATAATTTTGAAACATAATCTTTCTTACTCCAGTCCTCATTTTTGTTAAAAACAAATCACTATAAGACTGAGTTGTTCACAAAATAAACTTTAGTCTTATACTTGGCCTGATTATTTGCATAAAGTGCAGCAAGAATAATGATCTTTCACATAGGTTTTTAAGTTGGCTTTGATGGAACTCTGTTCCACAAAAAATCTCAGATAAGACTTTAAAGCTAAGCCCAGCCATGAGTTTGTACCTTCAAATACCTATGAATTGGGTAAAATTCTCTTCCTGAGGTCCCAAGATAAATTGGGGCTTCTGAGATTGTTAGAAATTGACATTCTTCGTTATGAACCCTGCACAGGGGCTGTGTAGGGAAGGTATGAGGCCAGTTTCCCCTAGGAGCTTTTATTGGCTCTGCAAGGCAAGCTTGGCTCCTTAAGGGGAAGCACACTCCTCCAGTCAAATCCTTGCTAAAACCACCAGTTTCTCCAATTGCATCCTGTTGCAAAAGAAAATGGATTTTTATTGTACTTATGCAAATAAGTATATTTCCATATGTTAAGAGTGCTCACAAATAGTTTCCAAATTCTGGAGAAAGCAGGCAGAGAGAAACAAATATGCTCCAAATTTTGTTCATAAGTATTTACCTTACTCAATTGTTAAAAGCTGTAAATAGCTCCAAATAAAAGTTGTCCTGACTTTGAAAAACAAAGAATCAGCAACGTTTTAAGCAAAAAGTTAAAAAGGATTACTTCAGCTTTTTATTAGTTTAGTGCATTTCATTAACTCTTGTTTTGCTTGATATTCATGAACATTTCAGCTCTTCATGAGTCCTGTAAGTTTTTCTTCCATTCCAATGTCACAATCAACAAAATTATCAGAAACCTGAATTTGAGAGCATCTGTTAAAGTACTATAGCTGATTATAAACCATCTTTCGAAGAGGATCAAAACAAGACAACAATAGTCTGTGAATGACAAAATGTCTTCAGGTAGTCACAGTCCAAAACATGATTGGCAAAGAAATGTGGTTATTTCTGTGGTTAACAATAACTTAACATAATAACCTGAATTATGATTGATAGCATATACTCAGACATTAGCATTTAAAAATCCCATACAATTTTGGAACATATATTAATATTATCCACTAAAATACAACCTGAAGAAGATTAAATGGTATATTTA
This sequence comes from Homo sapiens, assembly GCF_000001405.40. Classification (NCBI taxonomy): domain Eukaryota; kingdom Metazoa; phylum Chordata; class Mammalia; order Primates; family Hominidae; genus Homo; species Homo sapiens. Next base: position 125,934,272 of record NC_000023.11, read on the forward strand.
TTTTGGTAATTCCATGTAACTACATATGTCAAATAATCCTGTTTGCCTCTCTTTTGGATGCTCCGGAGGTCCTCTCTAGCATCCAAAAGCTAGGGGTCAGAAAATATAATTTTTGAAGATGAAATTTGATTTTGGGAAGCCTGTTATATATGTTAGAGGTTTACAATGCTTGATATTATGAAATAGAATTTCAGATTACTATAAGTTATTTATTTAGACAAAATGATGACTGAAAAACTTTTTAAAAAGACAAAAATCTTTTACTCATTAAGAGAGAAGACTTAGCTTTCCAAACAATCAGTCCTCTGTCTTTCCCTCCATTTTTTTGGTAGTTTATTAGCAAGGCAAACAAAAATCTTTTGTTATCCTTTAATATTACATGAAAATCTTGATCAAGAGAGAGAAAGCCAAATTTCACCCATACATTAGTCTACTATTAATGTCAACCTCACATTTAAAAAATGAAACCTTATAAATAATTCTATCCCATCTTAACAAGTTTGACCATGTGATGAGATTCTTATAAACCTTTTATAACTCTTTACAAATTTTTGTTAAAGAGCAGATCAGTGCTTTAAGAAAACTTTGTTGTGCTTTTATTTCAATGCTCAACTTATGAAAAACATATAATCCCCTTTTGAACTTAGTCATTATGTTCACACATAGAATTTCTTTTACAAAATTAATTTTTACAAACCTTCCAAAACTGTTTTAAATTTTTAGCTTTATCTTATTCAATTTAAAACAATTCTTTAACCCTCTAAACTAGGCAAAAATTTAAATTCCCATACCATCTTATAATCTTTTACTAAAAATACATTTTATTTTTCTTACACACCTTGCATGTAAATCTATTTTTAGTAGTCTCAGTTACATGGTATAATGGTAACTATCGGTAATTTTTTTCTGGGATACATGTGCAAAAGGTGCAGTTTTTTACATAGGTAAATGTGTACTATGGTTCTTTGCTGTACCTATCAACCCATTATCTAGGTATTAAGCCCCACATGCATTAGGTATTTATCTTGATGGTCTCCCTCCCTCCACCCCGCCAACAGGCCCCAGTTTGTGTTGTTCCCTTCCCTGTGTCCATGTGTTCTCATTGTTCAGCTCCCACTTATGAGTGAGAACATGCGGTGTTCACTTTTCTGTTTCTGTGTTAGTTTGCTGAATATGATGACTTACAGCTACATCCATGTCCCTGAAAAACACATGATCTTATTCCTTTGTATGGCTGCATAGAAGAAAGAAAGCATACCACATTTTCTTTATCCAGTCTATCATTGGTGGGCATTTGGGTTGATTCCGTGTCGTTGCTGTTGTGAATAGTTCTGCAATAAACATATGTGTGCATGTATCTTTGTAATAGAATGATTTATATTCCTTTGAGTATATACGCAGTAATGGGATTGCTGGGACAAATGGTAGTTATTGTTCTAGGTCTTTGAGGAATAGCCACAGTGTCTCCCACAATGGTTGAACTAATTTACATTTCCATGAAACATGTAAAACTTTCCTGTTTCTCCACAGCCTTGCCAGCATCTGTTTTCTCTCGACTTTTAAATAATCACCATTCTGACAGGCATGAGATGATATCTCATTGTGGTTTGGCTTTGCATTTCTCTAATGACTGGTGATCATGAGTATTTTTTTCATATGTTTGTTGGCTGCATAAATGTCTTCTTTTGAGAAGTGTCTGTTAATGTCATTTGCCCACTTTTTTTTTCTTATTCTTTATTTTTTTTCTTTTTTTTTCCCCTCCCCCCGCCCCACCCCACAACAGTCTCAGGAGTGTGATGTTCCCCTTCCCGTGTCCATGTGTTCTCATTGTTCATTTCCCACCTATGAGTGAGAACATGCAGTGCTTGGTTTTTTGTCCTTGCAATAGTTTGCTGAGAATGATGGTTTCCAGTTTCATCCATGTCCCTACAAAGGACATGCATGTGTCTTTATAGCAGCATGATTTATAATCCTTTGGGTATATACCCAGTAATGGGATGGCTGGGTCAAATGATATTTCTAGTTCTAGATCCCTGAGGAATCACCACACTGACTTCCAGAATGGTTGAACTAGTTTACAGTCCCACCAACAGTGTAAAAGTGTTCCTATTTCTCCACATCCTCTCCAACACCTGTTGTTTCCTGACTTTTTAATGATTGCCATTCTAACTGGTGTGAGATGGTATCTCATTGTGGTTTTGATTTGCATTTCTCTGATTGCCAGTGATGATGAGCATTTTTTCATGTGTTTTTTGGCTGCATAAATGTCTTCTTTTGAGAAGTGTCTGTTCATATCCTTCGCCCACTTTTTGATGGGGTTGTTTGTTTTTTTCTTGTAAATTTGTTTGAGTTCATTGTAGATTCTGGATATTAGCCCTTTGTCAGATGAGTAGGTTGCGAAAATTTTCTCCCATTTTGTGGGTTGCCTGTTCACTCTGATGGTAGTTTCTTTTGCTGTGCAGAAGCTCTTTAGTTTAATTAGATCCCATTTGTCAAGTTTGGCTTTTGTTGCCATTGCTTTTGGTGTTTTAGACATGAAGTCCTTGCCCATGCCTACGTCCTGGGTGGTATTGCCTAGGTTTTCTTCTAGGGTTTTCATGGTTTTAGATCTAACATGTAAGTCTTTAATCCATCTTGAATTGATTTTTGTATAAGGTGTAAGGAAGGGATCCAGTTTCAGCTTTCTACATATGGCTAGCCAGTTTTCCTAGCACCATTTATTAAATAGGGAATCCTTTCCCCATTGCTTGTTTTTCTCAGGTTTGTCAAAGATCAGATAGTTGTAGATATGCGGCATTATTTCTGAGGGCTCTGTTCTGTTCCATTGATCTATATCTCTGTTTTGGTACCAGTACCATGCTATTTTGTTACTGTAGCCTTGTAGTATAGATTGAAGTCAGGTAACGTGATGCCTCTGGCTTTGTTCTTTTGGCTTAGGATTGACTTGGCGATGCGGGCTCTTCTTTGGTTCCATATGAGCTTTAAAGTAGTTTTTTCCAATTCTGTGAAGAAAGTCATTGGTAGCTTGATGTGGATGGCATTGAATCTATAAATTACCTTGGGCAGTATGGCCATTTTCACGATAGTGATTCTTCCTACCCATGAGCATGGAATGTTCTTCCATTTGTTTGTATCTTCTTTTATTTCATTGAGCATTGGTTTGTAGTTCTCCTTGAAGAGGTCCTTCACATCCCTTGTAAGTTGGATTCCTAGGTATTTTATTATCTTTGAAGCAATTGTGAATTTGCCCACTTTTTGACGGGGTCGTTTGTTTTTTTTCTTGGGAATTTTTTTAACTTCCTTGTAAGTTCTGGAATTAGACCTTTGTCAGATGGGTAGAAGCAATTTTTAATTTTAATTTAAAATCTGATAAGTTATTTTAATTATGTACTAGGCACAGATAAGGTCTGACTCTTTCCAGCATAGTTAGGGGTGTGGTAATCACCATATGCCCCCACGTCTTACCAAACTGTAAAGCAGGCAAGTTGAACAATTTTCAAAAGCCAAAGAAGCAATCGATGACCTTAAAGCATTTAGGAAACCTAGTATCTGACCTGCATAATTTAGACCCATATTTATATTTTGAAGGCATTTTTGTTTTACCAATAATCTTTAAAAATGTATTTATTTCTCAAAGATTAAAGTCACATGGAAATTCAAAAAATATTTGATCTTAATGCTTATTTTCTTTAAGACAATTAATTAGAGCTGTTTAAAATGTAAACATCATACACATAACACATATATAACTACACAGACAGGCAGAATTAGATCCAGTATTTGTAAGATTTTTTATTTGCCAAACTCCTAATTGGATTATTGGCCTCAGAGTGGAGTCCTCCAAGAAACAGGGATAAGATAACATGCAGTTTCTAGAACCTGATAGACAGATATAGCTGGAGGACAAAAACAGATTTTGAGAGGAATTTATCTGCTTTTAATTTCTGGGATTCCATGAGCAAAACAGGTTTTTCTCAAAACGGGATTAGTGGCATCTTCTCTGCTTTTTCCAAGCAGTTCCAGGCTATCAGAAGTTATCTAAGAGTCTCTCATGCATGCATTAAGAGTGGAGGAAAGTAGTTCATTTGACTGAGGAGAAAAAAATTTCCAGCAAATGAAGATTCAAGAAGAGAAAAAAAAATAAAGACCTTTTAAATATACATCTAGCTTGGATATCCACTTTTAATTAAGCTGACTTTTAATCATAATGCTCTTTGAGAAGATTATTTTAAATCCCTTATTACCCAATTTTGGCCAAACCAAGCAGCCAATATTTCTGGCTTTTGAACTTTACCAAAGGTAACATCACAGGTGAAACCAACAAGCCTCAACTAAGGTTATGAGTGTATGAGGTATTTTCAAAGAGGTGGTAAGCAGTTTTTACAAAATCTAGAATCTTCAAAGGTAGCTTAGAGAAAGGAAGATTTAAGTAAGGAAACTGGAAGTTGTTCATGGAGGGGAAGAAAATCAGCAAATGTTAAAAGTCACACAGATATTAACCAGAAAGTACTCATTCCCCAAGCCTGGATTGAACCCAGGCTGCCATTGTAAAGTGGCTGAGACCAAAAGAAAGTACTGCCATGTGGTTACAATATTAAGCTCAAAAAGATATAAAACAAGATGAAGACCTCTTCCAATTTTTTTTAGAGACCTATAGAAAATTTTGTTACTGACCAGATTGCCAAGCTGGCTTGAACAGTGGGCTTATGAGGTTCCAGACCCACATTTTATCCTAAGGTACCCCTCTTGCTGATAGAAAGATACAGAATGACAAATTCTTAGCCCAAAGTATAACAGATTTGCTACAGCTTAAGACTAGCCTTACAAATTCTTTTCCAGTATAAAAACTTTGCAGAGGATATAAACAGTGTTTTTTGCCATTCATTCCATCAGTTTGCAGAGAGAGAGAGAAAAGCTGGAAGTCTGACTGGTAAAAAAGAAACAAACAAACAAAACCTTTTACCCTTTTGCCAACATTTCAGCCTTCTGGGTCCCCCATCCTTAAGCTATAGAGGCCTTTGGAGCCTGGAGTCCTGTAAAGGGGGAGCAGACAAAGAGGTTATTTGTATACTGTAAAACTTGTCCGTCTTCAAGAGATTACTTGGCCAAGCTCAGTGGCTCACACCTGTAATCCCAGCTCTTTGGGAGGCCGAGGTGAGTGGATCATGAGGTCAGCAGATCGAGACCATCCTGGCTGACATGGTGAAACCCTGTCTCTACTAAAATACAAAAAATTAGCCAGGCATGGTGGTGCGCACCTATAGTCCCAGCTACTTGGGAGGCTAAGGCAGGGAAATCACTTGAACCTGGGAGTCGGAGGTTGTAGTTAGCTGAGATTGCACCACTGCACTCCAGCCTGGCAACAGAGCAAGACTCTGTTTCAACAACAACAAAAAAGAGATCATTCAGTTAGAATTATAATTTCTTCCCAGTTCATTTTTGTTTTATGCCAAGCAGTTTAAGGTTTGGGCAAATTAAACTTTTCCCAGAGGTGAATGTCTTGTGATTACCCATCTGCAAAGAGAGTACAGAGGAGGAAATAGAAAAAAAAAGCTTATTAATTTTTTTTCTCAAAAGAGTCTCAGTCATTCAGGATGTATTCACTGACTGATGATGATTGGTTACCCATCTGGAAAGAGGAAAAAAAATTACTCCTTCAGTTCCTTTCTCTTCCTATTGAATAGCTGGGGCACCTGAGGAAGAGAAAAAAAAAGGTGTTATCTTTTTTCCTTCTGTCCTTGTATTCGCAAGTCCCAGTAACCTAGGCAGGTGCTGCCCATAGGTGCCAATACAGGTTTGACCCATGAAACAGGAAGACCTACAGGGTAGGAATTATCCACACTCACCTATGTGCTGGCCTATCCTCCCTGCTATCTGTAACCTCATCCATTCCATGGATATGGGCATGACCTTCATCCATGAAATGAGGGGACGGATGCTAATCAGCTGGAATTAATCATGCTCACCTGGACTGTGCCCCCTGGCTTCTGTTGTTGTCTGCCTCTAGATCCCTCAGATCCAGTTTTTTTTTTTTCCTAAGGTTTCAACCCAAAGCTTGGAATTGAGTTTGGGACAAAAAGATGCTTCAGGAGGGTGCATGAACTCATTAAGTTAAATCCCAGGTGGCATTCCTTATCATAAGCTGAATGCTAAGGTGAAGCTGTGGAACTGGGTCCTCCTCAAACAAGGGAGAGAAAAGGGTGTTTCATGAATTGGAGTCCTGGCCAAGTAAGATGCCTTCCAAAAGAAAAAAAAAAAAAAACTCTCACATTGAAAAACTCCTTGTATTTGCAGGGCTGTACTAACTCCTGACATGGTGGAGAAAAGAAAAAAAAAATGGCTTAAGTGCAGGGAGGGTAAGGTGCTCTTATGCAAATGGGTTCCTTCAACAAGGAAAGAAACTCTTAATCCCTGTTTCTTCCCTACTTCTAAGAATTGACAGAAACCACATTGTCCTAAATTACATTTTTCATGACTGGGCCAAGTGCCCATTCTTCTCAGTAATACCTCTGTAGTTGGCAACAACATGCTCAACATTGTAAAAGAAGAGGTGGGCTCCATGATAGCCCCAAGAGAAAGAAGAAACAGTCCATAGAATAGACTGTATTGGAATGACATTCCTTTCCCCTTAGAATGTTGAGGAGAGTCCTCTTCAGCACCCTGTCCTCTGTAGTTGTGCAATTCACTCTTAATTAGCTAATCAGAGGTTTGGTGCTTCATCTGCTTTCAGAAAAATAGTCTGAGGACAAGAAGCCTTGAAACAAAAGTAAAGAGTCATAGATTTGCATTTACTCACCCTTCTGATGAATACTGCATGAGCCCCCAGATATTTCTCGGCCACTTTGTCAACTGGAGACCTCCACAGCCAGTGACACCCCACCCCCAGAAATGGGCCTTGCTCTCCCACAGGCCTGCTGCTGGAGGCACCCTGCCCACTTGACCTGCCCTTGTTACAGCTTGTACCCATGTTCAGTGGTTCCCAAGCTCTTGTCTCATGTCCAAGAAGAATGAACATATGCTGACAATTTAAAGAGAGAGGAGGGTGGAGAAGAATTGTGTTGAATGATAAAACAGCTCTCAGCAGAGAGAGGATGTGGGGGTGGTTTTTCTCTCAGTGTGACTGAGCCCAGGGCTTTTATGAGCTCAGAATAGGGGAGTGTGTGCTGATTTGTTTGTGACTATGCAAAGAAAGACTAAAGCAAGGCACCACTCAAAAGTGGGCATGGCAGTGTAGAAAACCAATTAGAAAAGTGTAGGGATATGTAAAATAGGTGAAGGGTGCATGGTACAATCCGAGGAAAGCACACCAAACAGAAAGACAGGTTCTCAATCCAGTCCATGGACTTGATTTGTAGCTTGGCTTTCAGGCTTTAAACTGTCTTCAGCTTGGAGGTTGGTGTCACCAGGGACCCATCCCTATCTGCCTAGGCATTTGTCTACTTCCTGCCACTATCACTTATATACTGCAAGAATAGAGAGCTTAATCTGGTTTTCAATAAATGCCCACCTGGGAAACAATCCTGCAGATTCAAAGTAAAACCAGAGCAATAAAAATGGTAGATTTTTTTCATAATTATTAGAGGTGACCGTTCAAGCATAAAAGTAGATTCTTGCTACTACAACAGCTTTGGGTCTTGTTTCTCATTATAAAACTAATTAAAAGCCACAAAAGGCTGAATCAGGTTTTTAAGGGGGAGGATGAGGGAGGTAAATAAAATTTGGTTATTTTGAGTACCTATGAATTCTGAAACATGCTCCATTCTATTTTACTGTCAACTGATGGATAAATATTTTATATATTGTCTAAACCAAAGTGGTAGACTTCACTGAAATAGGCATCTTCCTTGTTAATATAGTTTCTTTTCTAATTCCATAACACTTCTAAATCCATTTGTTTTTATTCTTTTATTATCATACCTGCATAGTGCTTGACTGACATTTTTTTAAAATAAAGAAAATGTAATATAGACTATGCCATTATGCTTCTATAAGCTACAAAGGACCAATATTGCAGAAGATGGCCCCTACTCTTTTGAGAAATGGTACCTCAAGGAAACTTTCTAAAGTATGCACCTGTCTTAGGTAAATATAACAGAATTATGTTGCTATAATAGAATACTTGCACCTGGGTAATTTATAAAGAAAAGAGGCCGGGTGCAGTGGCTCATGCCTGTAATCCCAGCACTTTGGGAAACCAAGGAAGGCAGATCGCCTGAGGTCAGGAGTTTGCAACCAGTCTAGCCAACATGGTGAAACCCTGTGTCTACTAGAAATACAAAAATTAGCCAGGCATGGTGGCAGGTGCCTGTAATCCCAGCTACTAGGGAGGCTGAGGCAGGAGAATTGCTTGAACCCAGGAGGCAGAGGTTGCAGTGAGCCGAGATCATTCCATTGCACTCCAGCCTGGGCAACAAGAGTGAAACTCCATCTCAAAAAAAAAAAAAAGAAAGAAAGAAAGAAAGAAAAGAGATTTATTTTGCTCACTGTTCTGTAGGCTAGGAAGTTCAAGAAGCATGGCTCTAGCATCTTCCTGGCTTCTTTTGAGGGCCTCATACTACTTCAACTCACGATGGAAAGGAGAAGAGAAGTAGGCATGTGCAAAGAGATCACATGGCAAAGGAGGAAGTAAAAGAGAAAAACTGGGAAGCCAGACTCCTTTTAACCACCTGCTTTTGTGAGAACTATTTTACTCCAGCAACAGACAGAACCTACTCATTCTCAGGAGAGGGCATTAATCTATTTATGAGGGATGTGTTCTTATGACCTAAACACCTTTCACTAGGGCTCACCTTCAAACACCACCAAAAGGGGATCAAATTTCAACATGAATTTTGATGGGGATGAAACATATTCAATACATAGTACCACTTGTGGATAAAACTGTAACCAGAAATGCTAATGGACTCTATTACATTAAGAAGTCTCCAATCAAACAAAGGACGTGTCCTTATAGACATCTGTTTACATTTTTTCTCTTAGTTTAACTCTGTGCTACTCAGAGAATATCCTAGGTAACACAACACAGTATGTGATTGTTTATCTTTGTTTTCTCACTCTACTTTCAGAGAACTATTAACTTTTTAATGTACTCCTTGACTAGAGTGTCATGGTCCTGATATGAAAAAAAGAACCAAATATGCCTAAATCAATGAAGCCTTATTATATTATGCATCATCTCTCCTCAGTGTATGTGCTGTATGTAAATATCTCATATACTGATGGCAATGCTTAACTGAATATCTAATATTTTAAAGTGATATTGTTTTGGGTCTTATAATAAAAGTGCAATTTAATATACTAGTATTATTAGACAAGTAGGTTAAGAAGATGCCATAGACATAATGAATCGGGGTTTCAACCACATTTTGAAAAGAAACCTTACAAGGTATCTTGGCATAAAATTCTGGCCTTCATAGTGTTTTAAAAATAATAGTTGTTCAATAACGTTTTATTGCATAGAAATTGAACGTTATTGAACAACTATTATTTTTAAAACACTATGAAGGCCAGAATTTTATGCCAAGGGGTCGGGGGAGGGGGGAGGGATAGCATTGGGAGATATACCTAATGCTAGATGACACATTAGTGGGTGCAGCGCACCAGCATGGCACATGTATACATATGTAACTAACCTGCACAATGTGCACATGTACCCTAAAACTTAGAGTATAATAAAAAAAAAAAAAAAAAAAAAGAAATTGAATGAAATTACAATGTGGAGAAACGTGAGGTTAGAGAGATGTGAGTTAGAAAACTTCAAAACATACATGAAGAGTATTGGTTAAATAGATGAAATTTATGTCTGAAGAGTCTTTATGGGGAGCTATATAGCTCATTTATTGGGCTTAATGACTTACATTTTTATCAACAAATTTAGTTTAGACAAAGAACATAAATAAGTTTATCAGGTTTGTGGAAGACGTAGCGTGGCAAAATACCTAATATAGAATCACGATTTAATGAGAACAATCTGAGAGGCTGTAATGATTAGTAAAAGCTACAGTGATGGACTCTACTAAGTCATAAAAAATTAACTGCAAATGTGTAAGGGTAAAACTTCCTAAGATCTGCTCCTGTAAAACAGATATTTTCATTGACTCAGGGTCAGTGTAGGAAATGTGGTATTATTGCTACAAAAATAGTGAAATCTCAGTCTGCATTCACATAAGTGTAAGGTTCACAATAAAATATTTTGTCTTCTTCCATTGGCCAGGCTATACTATGAAAGTTATTTTTAGTTGAGGAGAATGCCTTTTTAGAGTAACATGGGTAAAATAGTCTTTTGAGAGGACAGAGACCTAGAAAATAGAAGGTCTGGAAATGATATAGAAAGCATGATAGAGGAAACTGGAAATTTTTGAACAGAGAAAGGAGATTTATTGTTATGTCCACATATATGAAGAACTCTCAGGCTCTTAAATATAGATGCTGTCAATTGATTTTTCTTTCATTTGTTCATTCAACAAATATGTGAGTGCTCTTCATATCCCAGACTCTGTTCTAAGCTCTGTAGATACAGAATTGAACAAGTCAGTGTTCCTGATGCATGGAATTTACTTTCTAATTTATTTCATCCTTTGCACTTGTCCCATTCTGTGCATTAGATTTAGTTAATTCCATCCACTCTTGTGGCTTTGTTTTATCTCCTTTCTATCAGCAATTATGTTGATACCCACTACTGCTCTATCTTTAAGCATACATCTCCCCTGAAACTCGACTTAGACTTATTCATTTAAGAATAATTTATCTGTATCAGGCACTGTTCTATGTACTGCAGACACTGAAGGATAAGACAGACACATTACTTGTATTCTCATGGATTCTATGTGTAGTTGGAGAGACATATGTTAAATATTCACAAAACAACTACACATTAAAAATTATGAGTTTAAGAATGAAAACTAGAGAATGTTATGAGAGTATATAAACGGGAAAGGGGAGTTAACCTCCCTGAGCAAAAATCTTTAAGGTAAGACTTAAAAGATAATTAACAACCACACAGATTAAGGAATGAATGCTCAGAGTGAGGAAACAGTGTATGTGAAGATATTGAGATGCTGTATTTGTCCTTTCTTACATTGCTCAAAAGAAATAACTGAGACTGAGTAATTTATAAAGAAAAGAGGTTTAATTGGCTCATGGTTCTGCAGGCTGTACAGGAAGCATAGCGGGTCTGCTTTTGAGAAAGCCTCAGGAAGCTTCCAAACATGGCACAAGGCAAAGGGGGAGCAAGAGTCTTACATGTTGTAAGCAGGAGCAAGAGGGAGAGTGGGGAGGTGCTACACACTTTTGAACAGTCAGCTCTTATGATAACTCACTCACTATCATGAGGACAGTACCAAGGGAATGGTACTAAGCCATTCATAAGAAATCCATCCTTATCATCCATTCACCTCCCACCAGGCCCCGCCTCCAACATTGGGTATTACAATTCAACATAAGATTTGGTAGAGACACAGATCCAAACCATATCAGATGCTATCTTCTACCGTCTCCTTAATGATAGTTCATAGACAGGTCAAATTTAACATGCTGAAAACAGAACTATTTTTTTTCTCCCACACTGTACCTTCTCTTGTAGTCATCCTCAAGTGCTTCCTCTTTCTCATACCTTACATCCAGTCTATTCTGTCCCTTCTGTTCTTGCTTGTGCCTTATCTCAGTTCTTCCCCTTCTTTGCAATCTCCATTGCATCAATCTCAGTGCACAGGCTTATCACGTTTCAGCTAGGTTCTTGAAACACTCTTGGTTTTGTTACTGAACAATTTTACTTGTCTTACCTTCCTCCTTACCATAGAAAGAATTAAAATGTTCAAAAAGTATTATCTTTTTCTGATGACTAAAATTTTTCACTAGCTTTATATCACCCGTAGAATAAAACTGAACACCCTGAATAGAGTACCTAAAGCCCTCCATGATCTTCTATGTCTACCTCTCTAGCTTCATGTCTCATTACTCCTTCCCTTACACCCCTAGATGCAGTCACTGTCCAAGGAAATACTTGTAACTTCCTATTACAACATGTTTTATTCTTAAATGCCTTCTAACATTTCATTCCTTCCTTTTATTTTTGCATTTTTCTATTGTTTAGGATAATAGCAAGTCTTCAGCAAATGTTGGAAGGCAGGGATATGGGAATAAAAAGGGATAGAAGGAAGGAAGAGTGTAATGAAGAAGAAAAGGAAGGAGAAGAAAAGAAGGAAGGGAGAATGAAGAAGAAACAAAGGAAAGAAGGAGAGACAAAACAAAAGGAAATAAATTAAGGATGGTTTAAAATGAATATTTAATGACAGGTTCATAATAGATTGCTAGTAGAAAAAAATAGTAGTCAGTATATAATGTGTTGAAGTTCTTATCACGCAGTATAGGAAAGAAATGTATCTTTTGGCAATGTTAGAGAATTAATGCAGAGATTTTTGGTGTAATCCAGTGTGTCATTCTGTATATTTTACCAATTATTTGGATTTGCATAGTGTTTTTGTGAGAAAAACAAACAACAATAATAATTTTAGTTCATATCTTCTTATAACTGCAGGGCAAATTCAAAAGGGCAATTGTGTATTGTCTATGTTTCAAAGACAAATAAACTGAGAAACAGAGCATAAGTGAGTTTTTCCAAGGTCACACAGCTATGTGGCATCGAAGGTAGAGCAAAACACCAGATTCTTGTGTTCAAGCACTGCATTTTTTTTTTCTCACCAAATCCTTGTGTCAAAATGGTCTGTTATCTTAAACATCTGTTTTTTCGAGTTACTGTAGAAGTTTTTCTAATTCAATGGCTGTTTTAACCTGATTTCAAGATGAGTCTAGCAATCACTTGAAAGGTCAAAATCTGGAAATTCAATGCAAAGGAAATAACATATTTTCTTAGTGACAGATGTTTCAGCTATAGAAAGGGTGAAGTAATGGAGAAAAGACAAATGAAGGAATTGTTTTTCATTTCAGTAGGCATTTATGTAATCTCTTAACATATACAACTTACTAAATATTTCTATTAACTTATAATAACCCTTTACTGTTAATGACCATTTGAGGTTATATTGTATTTGTAAATAGTTTGGCTTCCTCTCAATGCATAAAGTTTAGTAAAGGAGAAATTCCACGCTATGTTTGTTATTTTTTTAACCAGTTTAAGAAGAGAGGAATTATTTTCCAAAATAAATGAAGACTTAGCATATGTATTTTATGGAGTGTAATGGAAGTGCTTTTTGCGTCTCTGGGGGTGATTTTCTAATAAACAAAAGCCAGGTCCATTTTTGACATTTTTTGTTAAAGGAAATAACACAAAAATATTTTTACAAGAAGATTTCAGTTTATTACATTGCAACTTCCTGTACTTTCTGCTCACTATGATTCTGGAATAATGGGCAGCTATCACACATTCCTTTTCCATGATGTATCATTGATTCAAAATGCTAATGTCTTAGCTCTAACCAGGACCAAAATTGGCAAGGGTGGTTTCCTGCTTCTCTCTTCCTATGGGAATATCATTGTCAAGACTCTTATAATCCGTAACATTCTAACTGGAGCCTGGGGAAATACTCACAGGTAACTGTGTAAGCCTGCTACTATTCCATGGGAGACATATGCCTGTTAAGAAAATGTAAAATTAATTTTTAATCAATGTGTCTGCAGAAGAGATTTTGGTGTACTTAGTGCTCTGCTAAAAAAAAAAAAAAGAGAGATTTAAATTGTCCTGAAGATAATCCCTACTAACAACAACAATAAATACAAACATCAACAAATACAAACATCACCACCAGCAAAACCAAAACAGTAGAAATACTATTATCAGGCTTCAGGACTATGTTTTCAAATACTTCTCATTTATATTACACCTATAAGGCTAATGCCACCCTAGGTGCCTTACACATAAAAACACAATTTAAAATCAATAATCGAAGTAAAAAGTCTTCAGAACTATGATTATGTTACTTCTTTCAGAATTCTCAGACTTTCTCCTAACTTTCCAGCTGTATGAAAACAATGGAGAATATTTTCCTCCTCAAAACACAGACATATTTTCCAGAAAGCCTTGAATATTGGAATTGATGGCAGTAAAGAGATTTAAAATTGCCAGTTTCTCTCCTACATAGGCAGTAAGAACTTTGAAATTAGTAAGTAAAGCCAAGTTGATATTTAGTTTCTTCATTCTTTGAATTACAAAACTATTGTTTTCTAAACTATAGTTGATACCTTTTCATGAACAAATAATAATGTATTGAAGTCTGAATCTATATTAGCCCTCAGAACACCATAAATTATCTGCCTTATAAGTATATAAGGCAAGCAAACAGGAATTACAAGAGGATGTAAATGCTTATGGAGTTATGGGGGTGTCACAGGAAACTGAGAAGGCACTGAGATTTTCTAACCCATATTTGGATGAGGTAATGCTTTTAAAATTTCTGTAGATTTCAAGTTGAAGCCTTTGCTGAGAATGGGCAAAAAGAGCCTCTTACCCAGGTGTCAGGGCCCTTCCCTGGACCTACTTTAGCTATATCTCTCCCCACGGGGTGAGAGGTCTGCAAGACCAGCAGTTTTGTTCCTACCTGGAATATGTGCCCTCTCCTTGTAGATGATGTTCCAATTACCCAGGACTCTGGAATGACTTGGTCAAATGACACTCAACCTGCTTCCACAATCTAATCAGGCCACCTTTATTGTGTCTTCCTAAGGCCCAAAAGATGGTCACTGGGTCATCATTTATGGGAAGTATGGATACATCATTGTTTCCCAGGCTGGATTGTCCACATTTTATACACACTTAAACACAAACAAATGAATATAATCCAAATAAGAAAAAATAGAGGCTTTTAGTACTTGCTACAGCAAGGGAGTCAGCCACCATCCCTTATTTAACAGAGGCTAAAAGGTAAGCAGAAATGTGGGAAAGCATTATAGCAAAAAAAAAAAAAAAGTAGCAGTAGATTTTAGATGTGCTCAGACAGGAGGTTGTTGGTATGGGGAAGCTGTTAGATGTGTTAACTAGAAGCAGACACTCCTATATGTTTTGTTTGGGGAAGAAATTTATCTTTTTTCTGGTGGTCCTGAATAGGAAGCGGGGGCAAAACTTAGGAAAACTGGCAGTCACTAATCAAGTATTCAACATTCTGAGATGATTGTTGTAGAGGTTGTGGTTTGGTTTTCCAGGCTGGTTGCTGCAGAAGTTGTGGATTAGTGTTCTATTGTCATATATGGCCTGACCATTGATTATCTGTATATTCGGTTTCTCACATACCAGTCCCCTCAAGTGCTGAATGTAGCTGGTGATGGGAATATGAGCTTAAAGTTTGCTCACTGACACTGCCACATAAGTGTATAATACTCTGAGAGGTCAAAAATTGTCAGTTTGAACCTGGTTTTCTGAGTCTTTATGCAGGTGTATCTGTCAACATAGGAAGATAGAACACATTGTATTTAATAATTAATATTTTGGTATCTTTATGCATTTAAATATTTATACATATGTTATATTGGTTTTCATTCTGACCTTTGCTTTTGGCCTCACAAATATTAGACGTAGACCTAGCAAATTTACTAGTTGACTCAATTGCATTTGCTACTTTTGAAGGTTTCTGATTTACATGAATTCTGGCACTTAATGCAATCTACAGAGGGTAATGATAAAGGAAGGGTTGAAGGTGCTGGTTCAAAAGCTTCAGGCACAGCTTTCCAATAACTGACAAATATGACATTTCTGTGGATAGTTGGGAAACCACAGCTATAAACTAACAATCCAGTTAGGGACAAACTTGACCCCATTATTATTCAATTCATTGTTCCAATAGCGTGAGTGCATTCATTTTATTAATTTAATTTTTATTAGGGATTGTAAGAGTAATTGATATAGTTTGGATGTTTGTCCTCTCCAGGTCTTATGTTGAAATGTAATTCCCACTGCTGGAAGTGGGGCCTGGTGGAAGGTGTTTGGGTCATAGGGGCAGATTCACCATGTATGTTTTGTGCTTTCCCAGAGGTAATAAGTTAATGCAAGGGCTGGTTGTTTAAAAAATCTTGGACCTGTTCTACTCTTTCTTGCTCCTTCCCTTGCCATATATGTCTGCTCCCTCTTCGCCTTCTTCCATAAGTGTAAGTTTCCTGATGCCTTCACCAGAAGCAGATTCCAGCACTATGTGTCTTATATAGCCTGCAGAACCATGAGCCAAATAAATCTCTTTTCTTTATAAATTGCCCAGCCTCAGGTATTCCTTTATAGCAATACAAAACAGACTAATACACTAATCATATCATTTTCTTTTCTGAAAAACACCTGCTCGGTTCCATGTGTCCTGCAAGATGAAGTCAGTCTCCTGCACATTCAAAGACTGTCATTATTTGACCCCAGTTCACCTTGCACAATTCATCTGGGTCCACGTTTTTTCTGTGCATGCAACAGGCAAGATATACTAAATATCTCACTATTTTTCTGGCATTCTTGGTCCTTCACAACTCTTGGCTGGGTATGTGGTACACTCTCTCTTTCAGAGGCTTGTTTGTCACTCTGCATGACAAGCTACCTTTCATTCATCTTTAGTTTCTTACTGTCATCCTGTAAACCAAAAAGGGTTTTATCTTTGCTATGAAAGAAAAAAAATGAAACAAAAGCTCCCTAATCTAAGTAAAATGTTACCTAATTTGTGAAGGTTTCTTGTTCGCCAAAGGCAACATCAGCCAATTCTTCTAACGTGCTTCTATAATAATCTGTTCTGTCACAGCATTTAAACACCACTTTTGTAGTCACCTGCCAATATGCCAGCATTTCAACTTTATTCTAAACCCTGAAAATGTGGAAAATCGACTTTATTTAACTCTCCTAAAACATAGTAGACATTAGGTAAGTATTTGATAAATTAAATAAAAATAAAAGGTGAGTTACAATTCATTTAGTTTTGTATCATACCTGTGACATTACACCAGGGAAAATTTTTCAGAAAATTAATATACTAATTCTATATGACCATCAATAGATCAATCTCAAGATTACAGGAATGCAAGAATCCTCCCTTATTGACACAAACAAATTTATTATCTGTAGCTATATTAAAAGCCCAAGAAAAATGTCATAAAGTGTTTTAAATATTTTAAAACTAAAAATGAGCTTTAATATCTTTAATTTCTTTCTTCATTCTTCATATTCCCTTCAGAGAGAACCCCTGAAAATACAGTCATGTTCACAACTCTCTCCTAAATGTCTTATTTTTTCTTGACTCCATGTTTCTTCTAAAGATATGCTGTTTACCTGGGACACCACTCCCTAAATTCTCTACGTATATTTCCAGGCCAGCACAAAAGTCGCCTCCTTTATAAAGCTCTTCCAGATTTTCCAAATAAGAATTAATCAATTCTGCTTCCCTGGAGTCACTGAGATAACATATAAGCTGCCTAAAATGTAATTAGGCAGTCAATAAAAGATTTTTATACTGAATGCTCTGATAACTCAAACCGTTTCCTCTCTACTTGTAGTCTTCCATGATCAGTCCAGGGACAACACAAAACATTAGAAACAGAGATCTTCACACCTCTAAAAAGCTTTTGTTCACCTTTGGGGAAGATTTTTACCCATAATCAACCCAACCTATGATTTATGAGCTACGCAGGTTTGTTAACTATTTGCATGTTATTGTCTCACTTGAAAGATACAACTCCCTAATTGAGAGTTACTGTCTTGACCCTCACTATACACGTTCTATTGTTCACTTATATGACCATCTCATCTTATTTATGTCAGTTACCTCATCTGACCTTGATGATCAGCCATTGTTTCCAAATACAGCCAGCTAATTTATGGTTGACATTCACTGCTCTGGGCAAATTGAGAGCTGGGAATTGAATGATTTTCATTAATTTATATAGCTTGCAGCATAAAGATATAAAAATCTAAGATAAAAATCTTAGTACAAAACTTAAACCTTAAAAACATAATTTAGCCTTGTCTTCTAAAACCCAGTTCTATTACCTGACTCTCCATAGCTCATTCCATATCTTGCGAGAACTTGTTTTATTAAAAGTATAAAATCAGTGTGTATAAACCTGAAGGGAAGAAGAGTGTAGACAACAGGAAACTCCCAGATTTGGGAAACGTCAACCATTATTTCCTCAAAATGTTTTCTGTGCATTAACTTCTTGCCAGCTTCCTTCAGAAACTTCAAAGACACAAATGTTAGGCATTTTGTTATTACGCCACAGGTCCCTGAGTTTCTGTTTGCTTTTTAAATCCTTTTTCTCCTTGTTTTTCCAGATTTCTGGTGGTCTATTTCCAAGTTTATTGACTACTTTCTTTCATTTCCATCTTGCCGTTGAGCCTATTCAGTGAAATATTTATTAAAATATTATGTTTTTCAGTTCTAAAATTTGTATTTGGCAAGAGTGTAGAGAAAAAGGAACTCTTGTGCATTGTTGGTGGGGATGTAAATTAATACAGCCATTATGGAAAGCAGTATTGTGGTTCCTCACAAAACTAAAAATACATTTCCCATATAATCCAGCAATCCTACTTCTGGGTATATATCCAAAGGAAATGAAAAAGATATTTAAACTACCATGTTTATTTCAGCATTATTAACAATAGCAAAGATATGGAAGTAAGCTAACTGTCCATCATTGAATGAATGGCGACATATATAAACAATAGAATACCTTCAGCCTTAGAAAGAGATAAATCTTGTCATTCAAAACAACATGGATGACCCTGTAGGACATTATGCTAATTGAAATAATCCAGGCACAGAAAGACAAATATTGCACTCACTTATATGAGGAATGTAAAAAGTTGAAATTATAGAAGTGGAGAGTAGAAGAGTGGTTACCACAGGCTGGAGGATGGGGTTGAATGGTAAAAGCAGAGGTGTTGATCAACGGGTACAGAATTTCAGTTAAATGTGATGAATAAGCTTTTTTGATCATGAGCACAGATGCTGACTATGATAAATAATAATGCATTGCATATTTCAAAATTATTGAAAGATTAAATAAGTATGTGAGATGATGGATTTGTTAATTAGCTTGATTTAATCATTCCACAATGTCAACATAAATCAAAACATCACATTGAACCCTGTAAATATATAATATGTACAATTATTATTTGTCAATTAATAATAAAATAAGAAACAAAATACAAATTATATTTAGTTCTCTTTAAAATAATTTCTATATCTCTGATGAAAATGTCACTTTCCAATTATTTCAAGAGTGTTATATTTATCTTATGAAAGATGTCTATAATAGTTGCTTTAATGTCTTTGTCTGATAATTCCAATATCGTAGTCATCTTGATATTAGAGAGGTTGGCCTCTGTCTTTTTCCATGAGAACTGGGTACATTTTCTTGGTTCTTTGTATCTTGAGTAAATTTTGGATTGGATCTTGAACATTTTTGAAAATTATGTTGTGAGACACTGCTGTGTTAAAATCCTTTGGACAATGTTGACATTTTGTTTCAGCAGACAGCCAATCCATTTAATTTGAGATCAGAATTTTACCTGTCTTGACCTCAGAGTGTAGTAGCTTTATTATCATTTTAATGTACAAGCTTTTCCATACTCTTTGGATCAGTCTTTAGCAAGAGCCACTCAGAGGTTCATCTGAGATTTAAGTGGTAATGTATATTGTATTTTAATCATCAAAGGCATTCTTTATTTCTTTGGGCTCCTTTCACACATGCACAGCTTGTGAATCAGCCTGGGACGTGTGTTGACTTGTATATAAAATTAAGGAAACATTTATCCATCTGTCTCCTTCCAAGAATTTTCCTTATATTCTCTGGTCTCCAGGGAATCCTTTTGTTTGCTCTCTGGTTAGAAATCTGGGACTTTTTCCAGAAGTTTAGTCCCCCGTCTTGCCATGCATTTCTGAAAGACTAAGCCTGTTTGGGGAGTGAAGCAGTGAGAAAAACAAAGCTACTAAATTATAGTTTTCCTTAACATTCACCAAACAGGGGCCCCTTTCTAAGTTTCACTATCCAAAGAAATGGGTTTTCTCTCAGCCTGAGGTGTCATGTGCCACCAGTTCAGCTGTCTCAGGGCAAAGGATAGGAGAAATAAAAAAATGAGAAATTCTCACGTACTCTCTAGATTACAGGGAGCCCTTTCCCTAGTCCTCTTAAGAAGGATAAATTTTCTCTCCTAGTTTTTACCGTCCATGACTGCTGCACATTTCCCAAGAAGGCCTGCCCTCATTCTACAGCTGGAAGATAAATAAGGAGAAAAAACTTAGAAAACACAGAGGCTGAAAGTTCAAATACTTCTTTGGACGTTGCTCTCTAATCTGCTTGCTTTTTTTGTTTTGTTTTGTTTTGCTTTTACTCTTCACAGGGTTTGAGTAGTTTCTGCATGTTTTTATTTCCCCAGAGTTTTTACTTGTAATCAGTGAGAAAGAAAGACTGTAGTGGGTTTATTCTATCTAGTCCAAAACTAGAAGTTGTAGATTTATTTTTAATGTATTAATCTCAAGGAATATCTCTTAAATTTCTACTATGAGGATGTTTTTCATAAGAATTACCTATAATATTACTGGCATTAATACACAATATATGGCTAAAGAAAATGAACAGTAACTTTTTTAAAAAAAAGCTCAAGTCCAGAGAATCAAGAGCATAGACTCAGGAGTCAGATTGTCTTTTTTGGAACATGGTTTGAAACTTGGCTTTTCTACTAGCTGGATGGGAAAAGTTATGCCTGTTACTTAAGCTCACTAAGCCTCAGTTTTCTCATACATATAATTTTCTCGAGATAATTTAATAAAATAATGTAGATTAAAGCTCTGGAAGAATAGAAAATTTCATCTGCTTCTTTCATTACTCTGTCCTTAGTTGTTTGATTAGTGGCTAGTACATGATAGGCATTTTAAATATTAATAAATATCTATAAAATGCCTGACATTTAGAAGGTTTTCAATAAATGTTAGCTATCATTATATGGTAGAAACTATCAATGAACATCTATTGGCAAAACTGCATAATGCATTTATACATATATCCCAACCAAAATATTTGCTATTGATAGCAAACACATTATCCTTGAGCTATTAAGGCATAAACACAAAATTAAATTATGAATATAATATTAGGGTGGCATCAACTTATTAAAAACCTACTTAAATTTCTATCCTTCACTGCTTAACAGTGTAACAATTTTTATGTTTACTGCCAATTGGGTAGGGTGAAATTTTATTTTATTGGAAATTAAATTAAATTCTTCAAGCATCAGGGGTTTGGGGAAGTACAAAGGGGCTGAAATGCATGCTCTGATATTTGGTGACTATGCCATGTTCTCTCTGTCCATGGCTTTTGGATACATGAAACTGTATTATCAGTTGATTTAAATCTCCACATATAGAGTTTATTTTCATAGCATGGACATCAAGATGGTACTGTCATAAGATGGTACTGTCATAGTCGACTGATCCACCTCAAGCCTCTTGGTACAATCATTATTCAAACATACCAATTCAACCACTGACATCAGTAATTTTGTCTATTCAGAAAGCACAGTAAAGTGTGGCTTCTGCTTCACAAGTAGAGTTACTTTTGAAATATCTAGTAAGGATTACACAAAAAAGTATGTGCCTTGGCAACATTGCTTAATCCATGAATCAGTTTGACTAATTGAGTTGTACAGTAGTACGATTCTCATTTCCTTCAAGACATTAGTAATATCAAATTGATGAACAATTTCCCTGAGAAGTCATAGTGTTTCCCTCCTTTGCATTCTCATCTCCCTCTAATTCCAAATATATTTCACTTCTCAACAGGCCAACTAAAAAAAGTGGTGTGTGTGCGTGTGTGTGTGTGTGTGTGTGTGTGTGTGTGTGTGCATGCTCAGGTGTTTCACCGTGGACAGGCCTATGCAAACCTACCTCAAAGACTGAGGAAGTTGAGAGGCTGAAGAGAGAGTCTGACAGATACAGTTTCACAGAAAGAAACACGTAATAGGGACTTATGAACAGAAGCCATGTCTATGTCTTGGGCAACAACAAGACAAGATGGTGGGTTTCCACACAATTAGCCCTCAGATCCAGAGCTTATATAGCATTTGGGAGGGGTGGTTCAGAAGAGATGTGTAGGATAATTGAATTATTATATCATTAAAGTTGTTGGACCTAAGCGCATTATTTATGGTAAGTATCTGCTGTTATGCAAGGTACAATAAATAAACTGGAAATTTTAGAGGGCTTCCTAGAACTGGGGTCAATCAGAAACCAACATGGCAGATCAGCTTCCAGAATGGAATTACAGTAGCTTCCACAGCAGGCATAAAGGTGTCTGTGTGTGTTTTAGATCTTCCATAAGTCTGGACAAGCAATGTAGAAATGGATGTAATTGGCAGTTATAATAAACAGCAATTTTGCAACTTTTACTTGTATCCTTGTACCTCTTCATTTGTGACAATAAAACCTTTCTATGTGAAATATTCCTTTTAACCTGAAAAAGTAAAAGTAATGAGGGTATTTGGCTGCTTGGCTCTTTCAGGATAGATAGCTATCAGCATTTTAATCTCTATAGTTGATTTAAAAATACAGAATCTTAGTTCTTCAGTTATCATAAAAATAAATAGAAATAAAAAAATACATGTTTACTGAAAAGTGAATCTCAACTAAACAAATAGTTGAGTTTCTTTCAGGTTCTAGCTATTGCTGGTGATATAAAAATGAATGAGAATTATCCTCTATATGGCATTCAGGATTTAACAACAACATCACTTGTATGGCACTTAATATGTGCTACATACTGATTTAATGCATATTATGTAAATTAGTTATACATTTCTTACAAGAATTCTACAAAGTAGGTACTATTATTATTACTATTTTCCACATATATTAACAGAGACACAATGAGGTTAATTAACTTGCCCAAAATGACATAGTTGTTAATTAGTAAAGACAGTTTTTAAATACAAGCAGTCAAGATACATCTGAAAGACAGAAGAAAAAATGTTAAATTATTAAAGAAATATAATATTATTTAGTGGGACAGGGCCATCTTGCAATAAAATTTTTTATCTACATAGAAAAATGTGGATTTCAAATTTTTGATTAAGTTTCACAATTTTCTAGGCTCCTGTTCTGCTCTGTAGGCATATTAACAAAACTCTGATAATGTCAAATAAAATGACAGAATATGGATCTCCAAAAATTCCTCCATAAGAACAATGAAATAAAACTGGCATAAATTGCCAGAATTCACATTTCAGAACTCTGTAATTTGACCAAAGTTTACAGCAATCTAGGAAGCATTTATAAAAACAAACAAACAAAACAAAACACAGTAGAATCTCAGTAGAAACAGTAAGTTTTGTGGTATTTTAAGTTACTCTATTCACATACTCCTCCATCCAGCTCAGTGGTAGCCTTAAAAACCAACAGCTTGATATTATACTGAAACCCAGTAGACTGGCAGCCACCACAATAGGCAGAACCAGCAGAGTGGCAGCCACCAGAGTAGGCAGAAGCCATTTGGATCTTTTTCATATCACCATCCCAGGAGAATTGGCATTATTGACTTGTCTGGCAGGTGGAGGTCCCTGGAGGACCCACTAGCAAAGCTATCTTTCTTCTACTTTACTTTGAGATCACCCTGAAGGGAAAGCCTTATACTGGGGGCATTTGTATAGTTTGGAGGCAATTGTTTGAATTCACAGTAGCCTGAGGCAGTGGATAACAGTTGGGAAATATCAATAGGGTAACCAAATAGTTTTAAGGAGAAACTAGAAAATAAAGTATTTTAAGGAGCTTTAAAAAGCTCCAACGTATTCCCAGGAGTCTACAAGGTAATGTAAAAGTGTAGGGTTGTGAGAAATCTCAGGGCTGTACTCAATTTCAAGAAAAACTCTAGAAGGCCCTCATTTCTTATATTTGGTTTAACTTCAGTCTCTGCATGAGGCAAAAGAGAATGCTAAGAGTTGTCAGTGCCTGGATAAGTATCAAATGCATGATCCAACACACACAGAAATCTCCTTGACAAAGACTGGGTGACTTACAGATTCAATGCATTTAAGAAAATCCCTTTCAAATTATTACTTGACCACTCAGAATGGGGAGAAGGTTCTTCAGTGGCCACACATTACAAAGGTAACAGACCTAGAAAAATTATTTAGAAAAGTAACTAAACAAACAACAACAAAAAGCCAAAACAACAAAGTCTAGAAGAGAGGAAAACCCAATTTTCAGATTTTCAAATTACATTATTTTGCTTTTTACCCAAAAATGTATGAGACATAAAAAGAAACAAGAAAGTATGGCCAATATATAGGAAGAAAAAGCAAACAATTAGTGGCAAGTTTTCCTGAAAAAGACCATATATTGGACTTAATAAACAGTTTAATGCAGCTATTTTAAATACGTCAAAAACTACACATATTCATGTGTAAAGAAGTTAAGAAAAGTATGAGAACAAAGACTCACCAAATAGAGAATATTAATAAAAGGTTAGATTTTTTAAAATTTCAAAGTTGTAAAGAAAAATAACTGAAATGAAAAGTTTATTAGAGGGGTACAGCAGGAGACTTGAGAAGGTAAAAGATGGAATCAGTGAACTTAAAGATAAGACAATTAATATTACTTAATCTGAGAAAAATAAAAGAAATAGAGTGGAGGAAAATGAACAGATATTCAAACATTTGTATCAAGGAGACAAATACATTTATAATGAGGAGAATAAAAGTGGCAGAATAAATATTTAAAGAAATAATTGTAGAAAAATTCCCAGATTTGTGTAAAACCATTAACTTTCATATTAAAAAAGCTATATTACATTGAAATAGAAAAACTTCAATGAGATTCACATATACAAATATGATAATCAATCTGCTAGAAAAATAAGCAATTAAAAGACAAAGACAAAGATAGATCCTCAAAAGCAGCACAAAAACAGCAACACCTCATGTACAAGGGATCCTCAAAAAGATTGTCAACAGACTTTTCAACAAAATCCTTGGAGGCCATAAGGCAGTAGGATGATATATTTGAAATGCTGAAAGAACAAAAAACTTTCAGCCAAGAACTTTGTAACTAGCAAAAATGTCTTTAGAAAATGAGGAAGAAATAAAGACATTCCTGAATTTTAAAATTGGGAGAGCTAATTACTGTTAAATCTGATGTAAAAAAATATGAAAACAAGTTCTTCAGATGGAAATAAAAGGAAGCTAGGCATTAACTCCAAACCATATGAATATATGGAGATCTCCAGTAAAATAAATACAAAGACAAGTATAAACACCAATATTCTTGTCATTTGGTTTACAGCACCACATTTTATCTTTCAAAGGGCATAAAAGACAAATGAATGTAACTAATTATAAATCTGTTACCAAGCTCATTGTATTTAAGGATGCTCTTTGTGACATCAATAATATAAAATGGGAGTGGCAGAGATGTGTAAGAGGACACTCTTATGTACTATCGAAGTTAAGTTGGTGTGAATTCAAATTAGATTGTCATAACTTTAAGATATTATAGGTAATTCTCATGATAACCTGAAAGGAAAATTTTGGGTTCACAATAACTATGAAGAAAATATATTTCAAATATACACAAAAGGAAGTAACAAGATAACCACGAAAAGAAATCTTAACACAAAAGAAGGCAGTAATGGAGGAAATGAGGGAAAAAGAAAGTTGCATGGCATAAGAGAAAACATAACAAAATGGGAAAATTATTTTTTATTATAATTAAATATAAATGCATTGCAGTTGAAAGTTTTAACAATAGACAAGACTAAGTGGAAGAAATTCAGAGCTCAAAGAAAAGGCTTTTAAATTAAACCAATGAGACAAAAGTAAAGAAAAAAGAATCAAAATAAATGAACAAAGTTTCCAAGAAATATAGGATTATGTAAAATGGCCAAACTTAAGAATCATTGGTGTTCCTGAGGGATAAAAGAAGGTAAACCATTCTGAAAACTTATTTGAGGGAATAATTGAGCAAATCTTCCCTAGCATTCATAGAGATTAATATGTCCAAGTATAAGGAGTTCAAAGAACTCCTGGGAGATTCAATGCAAAAAGAACATCATAAAGGCATGTAGTCATCAGGCTATCTAAAGTCAACTTGAAGCTCTTTAGTTTAATTAGATCCCATTTGTCAATTTTGGCTTTTGTTGCCATTGCTTTTGGTGTTTTAGACATGAAGTCCTTGCCCATGCCTATGTCCTGAATGGTATTGCCTAGGTTTTCTTCTAGGGTTTTTATGGTTTTAGGTCTAACATTTAAGTCTTTAATCCATCTTGAATTAATTTTTGTATAAGATGTAAGGAAGGGATCCAGTTTCAGCTTTCTACATATGGCTAGCCAGTTTTCCTAGCACCATTTATTAAATAGGGAATCTTTTCCTCATTTCTTGTTTTTCTCAGGTTTGTCAAAGATCAGATGGTTGTAGATGTGTGGTATTATTTCTGAGGGTTCTGTTCTGTTCTGTTGGTCTGTATCTCTCTTTTGGTACCAGTACCATGCTGTTTTGGTTACTGTAGCCTTGTAGTACAGTTTGAAGTCAGGTAGTGTGATGCCTCCAGCTTTGTTCTTTTGGCTTAGGATTGTCTTGGCAATGTGGGCTCTTTTTTGGTTCCATATGAACTTTAAAGTAGTTTTTTCCAGTTCCGTGAAGAAAGTCATTGGTAGCTTGATGGGGATGGCATTGAATCTATAAATTACCTTGGGCAGTATGGCCATTTTCACGACATTGATTCTTCCTATCCATAAGCATGGAATGTTCTTCCATTTGTTGAAAGAAATAATTCTCAGAGCCATGAGACAAAAGCATCTGGTAGCCTATAAAGAAGAACCTATCATATTAACAGCAGACTTCTCAGCAGAAACCTTACAATCTAGGAGGGACTTGAGTCCTATCTTTAGCTGACTTAAACAGAATGAAAGTTAGCCAAGAATTTTGTGTCTAGCAAAATTAAGTTTTATGAATAAAGGAGAAATAAAATTATTTTTCTGACAAACAAATGCTGAGGAGATTTGTCACTATTAGTCCAGCCCTAGAAGAAATGCGAAAATGAGTTCTAAATCATGAAACAAAAAGGAAATATGCACCACAATAGGACCTTTTGAAAGCATAAAACTCACAGAGCCCATAAAACAATAACAGTGAAGAAAACAAAGTATCTACATAACACTTAACATGATGACTGAAATAGTATTATATTTCACATCTCATTTGAATTTAAATGGCCTAAATGCTCCACTTAAAAAATACAGGTTGGCTGAACACATTTTTAAAAATCACAAACCAAACATCTGCCATCTTCAAGAGACTTGCCAGACATGGAAGGATTCATACAAACTCAAGGTAAAAGAATAGAAGAAGGTAATCCATAGAAATGGAAACCAAAAATGAGCAGGAATAGCTATTCTTGTACAGATAGAACAGATGCTAAAGCAACAAGATTTAAAAAAGACAAAGAAAGTCATTATATACTAATAAAAAAATCACTCCAATAAGATGTTACAATCTTAAATTTAAATGCAGCTAACTCTGGAGATTCCAGATTGATAAAACAACTACTGTATCCAGAATTGGTTCCTTCTGGTGGGTTCTTGGTCTCACTAACTTCAAGAATGAAGCTGCAGACCCTTGCAGTGAGTGTTACAGTTCTTAAGGATGGTGTGTCCAGAGTTTGTTCCTTCAGATGTTCAGATGTGTCAGAGTCTCTTCCTTCTGGTGGGTTCGTGGTCTCACTGACTTCAGGAGTGAAGCCGCAGACCTTCACAGTGAGTGTTACAGCTCTTAAAGGTGGTGCATCCAGAGTTGTTTCTTCCTTCTGGTGGGTTTGTGGTCTTGCTGACTTCACGAATAAAGCTGCAGGCCCTCGTGGTGAGTGTTACAGCTCATAAAGGTAGTGCAGACCCAAAGAGTGAGCAGCAGCAAGACTGATTGTGAAGAGCGAAAGAACAAAGCTTCCACAGCATGGAGGGGGACCTAAGCGGGTTGCCACTGCTGGATCGGGTGGCCAGCTTTTATTCCCTTATTTGGCCTCACCCACGTCCTGCTGATTGGTCCATTTTACAGAGTGCTGATTGGTCCATTTTACAGAGTGCTGATTGGTCCATTTTTACAGAGTGCTGATTGGTGCATTTACAAACCTTTAGCTAGACACAGAGCACTGATTGGTGCGTTTTTGCAGAGTGCTGATTGATGTGTTTACAAACCTTTAGTTAGACACAGAGTGCTGATTGGTGTGTTTTTACAGAGTGCTGATTGGTGCATATGCAAACCTTTAGCTAGACACAGAGCACTGATTGGTGCATTTTTATAGAGTGCTGATTGATGCATTTACAAACCTTTAGCTAGACACAGCACTGATTGGTGCATTTTTATAGAGTGCTGATTGGTGCATTTACAAATCTTTAGCTAGACACAGAGCACTGATTGGTGTGTTTTTACAGAGTGCTGATTAATGCGTTTACAAACCTTTAGCTAGACACAGAGCACTGAATGGTGTGTTTACAATCCTTTAGCTAGACAGAAAAGTTATCCAAGTCCCCACTTGACCCAGGACGTCCAGCTGGCTTCACCTCTCACTACTACTAGTTCTAAGAAATGAGATAAGCAGCAATACAATAATAGTGGAGGATTTCATCACTCCACTGACAGCACTAGACATATTATCAAGTTAAAAAATTCAACAAGGAAAAAATGGGCTTAAACTACACTCTAAAACAAATGGACCTAACAGATATTTACAAAATATTCCACCCAAAAACTGCAGAATGTATATTCTTATTAGCAGCACAAGGAACATTCTCCAAGATAGACCATATGAAAGGGACATAAAACAAGTCTCAATACAATTTAAAAATTGAAATAATATCAAATATCTTCTCAGGCCACAGTGGAATAAAACTAGAAACCAACTCCAAAGTGAACCTCCAAACTATACATGGAGATTAAAAAATCTACTCCTGAATAATTGGGTTAAAATGATATCAAGATGGAAATTAAATAATTCTTTGAAAAGATGATAACAGTGACAAAAGTTATAAAAACCTCAGGGATAAAGCAAAAGCAGTGCTAAGAGTAAAGTTTGGAGTCCTAAACGCATCTATTGAAAAGTCTGAAAGATAAGAAATTGACAACCTAATGTCTCATTTCAAGAAACTAGAGAAACAAGAACAAACCAAAAGCAAAGGTAGCGGGAGAAAATAAATAAGATCAGAGCAGAGCTAAATAAAATTGAAATAAAAAGCAATAAAATAAATCAGTGAATCAAAAGGTTCTTTGAAAATATAAAATTGATAATTAGCTATATTAAGCAAGAAAACAAGAGAGAAATTTCAAATAAGCTCAATTAGAAATGAAAATGGATACATTACAACCAACATCACAGACATCAACAATTCATTCAAGACTATTAAGGACACCTCTATGCATATGAACTAGAAAATCTAGGGGAACTGGATGAATTCCTGGAAATATACAACAGTTCTAGATTAAATCAGAAGAAAATAGAAACACTAAACAGACAAATAGTCAGCAGTGAGGTAGAATCAGTAATAAAAAAAATTTCAACCAAAAAGAAAACCCAGGGCCAGATGGATTCACAGCTGAAGTCTACCAGACATTCAAACAAGAATTGGTACCAATTCTACTGGAACTATTCCAGAATGATTAAGAAAGAAGGAATCCTTCTTAACTCATTATATGAAGCCAGAATCACCATGATACAAAAGCCAGGAAAGGTTATAACAAGAAGAAAGAAGGAAAGAAGGAAAGAAAAGAAAGAAAGAAAAAGAAAGAAGGAAAGAAAGAGAAAGAGAAAGAAAGAGAAAGAAAGAAACAAAGAAAGAGGGAGGGAGGGAAGGGGAGGGAGGGAAGGAGGGAAGGAAGGAAGGAAGGAAAGAAGGAAGGAAAGAAAGAAGGAAAGAAGGAAAGAGAAAGAAAGAAGGAAGGAAGGAAGGAGAACTACAGACCAATATCCCTGATGAACATAGATGCAAAAATTCTCAACAAAATACTAACTAGCTGAATCCAACACCACATCAAATAAATAATACACCATGAACAAGTGCATTTCATTCCAGGGATGTAGGAATTTTACAATGTATGCAAGTCAATAAATGTGATATATCACATAGGCAGAATAAAAAAAAACATATGGTCATCTCAATAAATGTAGAAAAAGCATTCAATAATGAGTGAGGCCACAGTGAAAAGGCATCATCTGTGAAAAAGAAAGCAAGCCCTCATGGGAGACTGAATATATCCCAGTGCCATGATCATACAGTTCTCAGTCTCCTGAACTGTAAGAAATAAATTTCTCATTTTTTTATAATCTACCTAGTTCATGGCATTTTGTTATAGTAGCAGGAATGTATCAAAACAGCCATATATTTTATTTTTCTTTTTTTTCCTTTTTTTAAAAAAAATTGCTTTAAGTTCTGTGATAGAAGTGCAGAACGTGTAGGTTTGTTACATAAGTATACATCTGCCTTAATGGCTTGCTGAACCTGTCAACCCGCCATCTAGGTTTTAAGCTCCGCATGCATTACCTATTTGTCCTAATGCTCTCTTTCCCCTCACCCGCCATTCCCCGATTGGCCCCAGTGTATGTTGTTTCCCTCCTTGTGTCTATGTGTTCTTATTGTTCACCTTCCACTTATGAGTGAGAACATGCAGTGTTTGGTTTTCTGTTCCTGTGTTAGTTTGCTGAGGATGATGAAAACAGCTTTAAATTTTAAAACTCAAGGCCAACATCATACACAGTGTCAATGAATAAAAGCTTTTCTCCTAAGATCAGGAATGAGATAGATGCCCAGTATTTCCACTTGTGTTTAACATAGTATTGGAGGCTTTATTTAGAGCAATTAGAGAAGAAAAATAAATCAGTAGCATTCAAATTGGAAAGAAACAATTACAATAATTGCATTTCACAGATGTCACGATTTTCATATATGTGTGGTGTCTGCTAGGATTCTCCACTGTAAACCATGGTTTATCTTTTTTGTAATTACTAAATGTCTTGGGAGACATACTTTGAAATTATACAAATATCTTCTTTCTGTTTAAACTTTTGCCCACTAAATACAGCAGTCACCAGTGTGTATTGCCTACAACAATTATTTCTATGATAGTTTAATGGTGTTATTTCTATTCCTCTAACTCTTTCTACATTTATTAAGTGAAATTATTCTGTAAGAAAGATTTATCTGTTCTCCCATTTGATTTTTCTTTGTGAAAGATGTAAGGTCTGTGTATAGATTTATTATATTAAATGGGATAATCCAGCACCATTTGCTGAAAGACCACCCTTTCTCCACTGAATGGCCTTTGATTCTTTGTCAAAGACCACTTGCCCATGTTTGTGTGGGTCTATTTCTAGATTTCCTACTGTGTTCCATTTGCCTACTTGTGTAGTCCTTCAAAAATAGTACACTGTTTTGATTGTTGTAGCTTTAAGATATATTAATTGACAAAGATGAAATATATGCAAGATGTAAAACCTGATGATTTGTTACATGTATACCTTGTGTAATAATTACTACAATTAAATTCATTAACAAGTCCATCAACACCCATGCTTTACATTAGAACCTTACAACTTGTTTATTTTATAACTTAAATGTATACCTGTTAATCAGCATCTCCCCATTTTGACCACCCCTCAGGCCCTGGCAACCACCATTCTACTCTCTGCTTTTATGTGTTCAACTTTTTAACACCCACATATAAGTTGGATCATGTGGTATTTTTATTTCTGTATATTTCTTATTTTACTTAGCCTAATGTCTTCTAGGTTCATTTATGTTGTCACAAATGGCAGAATTTCCTTCCTTTTGTGGTGGAATAATATTCCGTTATATATATGTGCCACAATTTCTTTATCCATTCATCCATTGATGAACACTAAGGCTATTCCCATGTCTTGGCTATTGTATATAATGCTGCAATGGACAAATGAATGCAGATATCTCTTAGAAATACTGGTTCTATTTTCTTTGGATATATACCACAAAGCGGGATTTCATGGATCATATGATAGTTCGATTTTTAATTTTTTGAGGCAATGTCATACTGTTTTCATAGTGACTATACCAAGTTACATCCCCAGCAACGGCGCAAAAGGGTTCCCTTTTCTCCACATCTTTGCCAACATCTGTTATCTCCTGTCTTTTTGATAATAGCAAACCTAACAGGTGTAAATTGATATCTCATTGTGGTTTTCATTTTCACTTCTCTGAAGATCAGTGATATTGAGAACTTTTTCATATATTTGTTGGCCATTTGTATGTCTTTTTTTTTTTTTTTTTTTTTTGAGACAGAGTCTCGCTCTGTCGCCCAGGCTGGAGTGCAGTGGCACCATCTCGGCTCACTGCAAGCTCCACCTCCCGGGTTCACACCATTCTCCTGCCTCAGCCTCCTGAGTAGCTGGGACTACAGGTGTCCGCCACCACGCCCAGCTAATTTTTCGTATTTTTAGTAGAGATGGGGTTTCACCGTGTTAGCCAGGATGGTCTCAATCTCCTGACCTCGTGATCCCCCCGCCTCAGCCTCCCAAAGTGTTGGGATTACAGGCGTGAGCCACCATGCCCGGCCTGTATGTCTTCTTTTGAGAAATGTCTAGTCAGGTTTCTTGTTGATTTTAATTGGATTATTAGGTGCTTTTTTTGCTATTGAGTTGTGTAGTTTTTTACTTACTTTGGATATTAGCACCTTATAAGATATATGGTCTGCAAATATTTTTTCTATTTTAGATTGCTTTTCACTTTGTTAATTGTTTCCTTTGCTGTGCAGAAGCTTTCTAGTTTGATATAATCCTGCTATTTTTGCTTTTGTTGCCTGTGCTTTTGGTGTTATATCTAAAAGACTATCACCAATAACAATGCCAAAGAGCTTTTTTATCTTGTATTTTCTTCTAGGAGTTTTATAGCTTCTGACCTTATATTAATATCTTTAGTCCACTTCTAGTTAATTTTTGTATATGGTATAAAACAGTCATCCAATTTTATTATTTAAATGTGAATACCAGTTTTCCCAGCATCATTTATTGAAGATACTGTCCTTTCTCCATTGTATATACTTGGCACTGTTTTCAAAGACCAGCTGACTATGCATGTATTTATTTCTGGTCTCTCTCTTCCATTTCATTTGTCTATGCATCTCTCTTAATATAAGTACCATATTGCTTTGATTACTGTGGCTTTGTAATATAGCTTGAAATCAGGTATTGTGAGACTTTTAGCTTTGTTCTTTTTTCACAAAATTGGTTCGGCTATGCAATGATTTTGTGGTTCCATATTAATTTTAGGAGTTTTTTTTTATATTTCTGTGAAATTGTCTGCAGATGACATTATCTTATGTAGAAAAAACCCTGAAGACTCCATCAAAACACTGATAAAATGAACAAATTCAGTAAATTTGCAAGATAAAATATCACCTAGCATAGTGCATTTTAATACACTGATAGCAAACTGACAAAAATTAAGAAAGTGATTACATTTAAAATAGCATCAAAACATAAAATACTTAAGAATAAACTTAACAAAGAAGCTGAAAGTTATGTATACTAGAAACTATAAGAAAATAAAAGAAATTTAAAAAGACACAAAAAATTGCAAAGATATTCTGTGTTCATTGGTTGGAAGAGTTAATATTGTTAAAATGTCCATACTACCCAAAGCATTCTACATGTTCAGTGCAATCCCTGTAAAAATTCCAATGTTGATTTCCATGGATATGGACAGAAACAATTCTAAAATTTATATAGACTACTGAAGCTTTAGAGTAACTCTTGATGTAAGGTAGAGTCAGTAATCTCACTTTGTTCATTTCCTGTAGCACTTGCAATAAAATACTTGTCTTCATTTCTGTGATTGATAATTTTTCTTTCTTTCTCTCTCTATCTTTCTCTCTGTCTTTACATCAGCTGTGTTTGGTTTCTATCAATTTTGTTAATCCTTACCTGTGACCCTATTTTGGCTTTGTTAATATTGTTTGCTTTCTATTTCATTGATATCCGCTATCATTTTTTATCCCCTTCCTTTCAAATTTTTTCGTCTAATTTTGTTTGTTTTAAAAGAGAGAATTATATCATTGCTTTCCAGCATGTTTTTCTTTTATATGGTAAGCATTTAAATAAAACAATTTTCTGTTTACTCCTTTAGCTTCATGTCACAAAGTTTGACATGTTAGATTTCAAAGCAATTTAAATATCTTATAATTTCTCTTATTTTCTAATGAAGTTTTTGTAAACATTTTCCTCAATTTTTAAATATTATTGTTGGATTCCAATTTAATCTTTTTGTATAGATATAAAATAATATTTATATTCTCAATACTTTACAACTTATTTACATTTGTTTTATGACCTAGCATATGGCCTAGCTTAGTAAATGTATCATGTGTACTTAGAATGTCTATTTTTCAGGTGTAGGTTATAGTTTTATATAAATGTCAGTAAGGTAGATTAGGTTAATATTACTGTTAAAATGCTCTGGATATTTACAGATGATATTTTGCTTTCTCAATTACTTTTGATTATTTCGTGGTTTTTATGTATTTCTATATCTAATTCTGACAATTTTGCTCCATGTAATTTGAAATTCAGATATTATATGAATAACCATTTAGGATTTTTATGTTTTCTTTATGAATTTATACTATTATTACAAAAAACTATTATTATCTAATAATACATTTAGTCTTGAAATCTTTTTCTTATGTAAATATAACTGTGCCTGTATTATTTCACTAAAGTATTGCATGGCATATTTTTTCACTATGTTAATTTTATACCTATTCATATTTTGCATTTAAAGTATATTTATTTAAAGTTGCATATAATGCTTTTTTATCTAGTTTGATTTTTTTTATTTTAATTGAAGTGTAGTGGGTTTATATTTAATGTAAATTATATAGTTATGTTTATCTCTTCCTGTATTAGTCAGGGTTCTCTAGAGGGATAGAAGTAATAGGATAGATGTACACATAAAGGGAAGTTTATTAAGGAGTATTGACTCACACAATCACAGAAGGAAGTCCTACAATAGGCCGTCTGCAAGTTGAGGAGCAAGGAAGCGAGTGGTGGATCAATCCCAGTCCCAAAACCTCAAAAGTAGGGAAGCCGACAGTGCAGCCTTCAATCCATGGCCAAAGGCCTGAGAACCCTGGCAAACCAGTGGTGTAAGTCCAAGAGTCCAAAAGCTGAAGAACTTGGAGTTCAATGTTCAAGGGCAGAAAGCATCCAGCACGGGAGAAGAATAAAGGCCGGAAGACTCAGCAAGTCTGATCTTCCATCTTCCCTTGCTTGTTTTATTCTAGCCGCACTGGCAGCTGATTAGATGATGCCCACCGAGATTGAGGTTGGTCTGCCTCTCTCAGTTCACTGACCCAAATGTTAATCCCCTTTGGTCACACCCTCACAGACACATCCAGGTACAATACTTTGCATCCTTCAATCCAGTAAAGTTGACAATATTAACTATCAACTTCCCCCTTACTATTTTTAAAATATTCATCATATCTAATCTTTGTGCTTTTTATTTGTCTCTTATCTTCCTTTGTGCTGGGTATTTTTAGCATTCCATTTTCTCTCTTCTGTGGCCTTTTATTTATTTATTTATTTTGAGATGGAGTTTCGCTGTTGTTGCTCAGGCTGGAGTGCAATGGCGTGATCTCGGCTCACTGCAGCTTCCGCCTCCAGGGTTCAAGCGATTCTCCTAGGCCTTTTATTATTTTGTTTGTTGCTCTATGGATTTATTTCTCTTATAAAATGTCATTATTTTTTATTCTGTTTCCTCTACATGTAATGGCCTTACTTAGGTTCATTTAAAATTTTTTTTTTTTTTTTGAGACGGAGTCTCGCTCTGTCGCCCAGGCAGGAGTGCAGTGGCGGGATCTCGGCTCACTGCAAGCTCCGCCTCCCGGGTTCACACCATTCTCCTGCCTCAGCCTCCCCAGTAGCTGGGACTACAGGTGCCCGCCAACACGCCCTGCTAAGTTTTTGTATTTTTAGTAGAGACAGGGTCTCACCGTGTTAGCCAGGATGGTCTCCATCTCCTCACCTCATGATCCGCCTGCCTCGGCCTCCCAAAGTGCTGGGATTACAGGCGTGAGCCACCGCGCCCGGCAGGTTCATTTAAATATTTTATCTTTATTTTTCATTATCAATAGTTTGTGATTGCCCAAGCTGTAGCTTTTTCTTCTTCTTTCTTTGTAGTCCTTCTTGATGTTCACTGACGTAGATTTCTGTATTGAAGTTTTTCATCTATTTTTGAAAAAAAAACTCAGCTTAAAAAAATATTTTCTGCTGTATTCTCTCTCTCCTCTCATTGGGACTTTAGTTACACATAAATTAGAATTCTTGACGTTGTCCCACGGGTCATTTATGTTATTTTTTAAATGTTTTTTTTTTTTCTGTTCTTCAGGTTGGATGATTTCCATTGTCCTCTCTCCATTCAGTTATCCTTTCTTTTACAGTACACAATTTCCTGTTATGCTTTTTCAGTATATTTTTTGATTCCTGATACTAAATTTTTCAGTTCTAAGATTTTCAGTTGGTTCTTTCTTAAAGTTTTTATCCCTAAAATTCCGATTTGTTTTCTCATTATATCTATCTCCTTTTTTGTAAATTATTTAGCATGTTTGTAATTGTTATTTCTCAACGAACTGTTTGATTATTCCAACATTTGGTCACATATGAATATATTTGTATAGAGTATTTTTTTGACTTGGTTATGGGTCATATGTGCTTGTTTCTTTGAAAGACTAGCATTTTTTATTGTATCCTGAATATTTGCAATAATGTGTTAAAGAAACTCTCGACTTTCTTTATTCCCAAGAAAAGTTGTGAGTTTGCATTTTACACAGAGTTAAATTATTAGGAAATTGCCTTCATCACATGCAGGCTTTAATTTACACTTTGTTTGGAAATGTGTATTTTGATTTTGTTCTCAGTCCTAGGGCATAATCTTTAGCCCTGTAATGTAATCTTTGCTTCTAAAGTGTATCCCTTCTGAAGTCTTAATGGAATTTTTAATGAAAATTATTTCAAGCACCTCTGCTTTCACCGGGCTTCAACTCTGAACTCTTACTGGCACCATATAGCTAGTTAAATTTCAGAGAACTTTTTTTTTTTTTTTTAGCTTTTCAGATGTAGCCTATGTCTACACTGTGGCTTGCCTTTTGATCTTTAATTAAGATAATTTATTACCTTAATATCATCAAATTTATCAATCCTTTATGTTTAGTTATTTTTGTGTTATTTTCATATACATATTCATCTTTATATGTATATACATATGTCAGTACATATGTGTATATAAATTGAAAATATTACTCTATCTCAAAACCTAAAGATATTTTATCTTTTTGTCTTCTAGAATTTTCTTGTTTGCCTTTCTCATTTATATGTACAATCCATTTATTATTGAGTTTTGTCCACAGTTTGAGTATTGGAGGTCAAATTTTATATGTTCATATGTTTATCTCATTAAATAATACTTCAAATATTTAAAATATTTTCTCAGATTTGTTGATCCTTTGGATTTTTTTAAATTTTTCTATATCCTTCAGTACAGCTCTGATTTTCATTATTTCTTGTCTTTGCTATTTTTTGGGAATTGTTTGCTTTTTGTTCTCTAGCTGTTTTAATTGTTATTTTAGGTTGTTAAATTGACATCTTTCTAACTTTTTGATGTGGGCATTTAGTGCTATAAATTTCCCTCTTAACACTCTCTTAGCTGTGTCCCAGATATTTTGGTACATCATATTTTTGTTCTTATTAGTTTTGAACAACTTCTTGATTTCTGCCTTAATTTCATTATTTACCCAAAAGTCATTTAGGAGCAGCTTATTCAATTTTCTTGTAATTGTATGATTTTGAGTACATTTTTTACTCTTGATTTCTAATTTGATTGTGTTATGGTCTGAGACACTGTTTTTTATAGTTTCAGTTCTTTTGCATTTGCTGAGGAGTGCTTCATTTTAGATTTTGTGATTGATGTTAGGGTAAGTGCAAAGTGACAATGAGAAGAATATATATTCTGCTGTGTTTGAGTGGAGAGTTCTGTATATATCTATCCGTTCTATTTGATCCAGGGCTCAGTTCAGGTCCTGAATATATTTGGTAATTTTCTGTCTCAATGATCTCTCTAATATTGTCAGTTCAGAGTTAACATCTCCCACTATTGTTGTGTGGGAGTCTAAGTCTCTTTGAGGGTATTTAAGAATTTGCTTTATGAATCTGGGCACTCCTGTGTTGGTTGCATATATATTTAGAATAGTTAGATCTTCTTGCTGAATTGACTCCTTTAACATTATGTAATGCTCTTCTTTGTCTTGTTTTTGTTTTTGTTGTTTTAAATTCTGTTTTGTCAGAAACCAGAATTGCAACCCCTGCTTTTTGCTGTTTTCTATTTGCTTGCCAGATTTTTCTCCATCCTTTTATTTTGAGCCTATATGTGTCACTGCATGTGAGATGGATCTGTTGAATACAGCATACAAATGGGTCTCAGTTCTTTATTTAGCTTCCACTCTGTGTCTTTTAATTGGGACATTTAGCCCATTTATATTTAAGGTTAGTATTGATATGTGTCAGTGAATCCAGGAGCTGCTTTTTTGAAAAAGTTAATAAAATAGATAGATCACTAGCTAGAGTAATAAAGAAGAAAAGAGAGAAGATACAAATACACAAAATCAGAAACAACAAGGGGGATATTGCCACTGAGAAAACAGAAATACAAACAACCATCAGAGAATATTATGAACACCTCTATGCACATAAACTAGATAATCTAGAAGAAATGAATAAATTTCTGGGCACATAACCCTCCCAAGACTGAACCAAAAAGAAATTGATTCCCTGAACAAACATATAATGAGTTCTGAAATTGAGGCAGTGATAAATAGCCTAGTAACCAAAAAGAGCCCAGGACCAGATGAATTCACAGCTTAATTCTACCAGATGTAGAGAGAAAAGCTGGCACCATTCCTACTAAAAGTAGTCCAAATAACTCCTCCCTAACTCATTCTATGAGGCCAGCATCATTCTGATACCAAAACCTGGCACAGATACAGTAACAACAAAAAAACTTCAGGCCAATAACATTGATGAACATCAGTGCAAAAATCCTCAACAAAATATTGGCAAACCAAATTCAGCAGCACATCAAAAAGATAATCCACCACAATCAAGTAGGCTTTATCCCTGGGATGCAAGGTTGGGTCAACATATTCAAATCAATAAGTGTGATTCATCACATAAACAGAACTAAAGACAAAAACCACATGATTATCTCAATAAATGCAGAAAAGTATTCTGTTAAAATTCAACATTCATTCAGGTTAAAAACTCTCAATAAACTAGGTATTAAAGGATCATACCTCAAAATAATAAGAATCATATATGACAAAACCACAGCTAACATCATACTGAATGGGCAAAAGGTGGAAGCATTTCCCTTGAAAACTGGCACTAGACAAGAATGCCTTCTCTCACCACTCCTATTTAACGTAGTATTGGAAGTTCTAGCCAGGGCAGTTAAGCAAGAGAAAGACATAAAGAACATTTAAATGGGAAGAGAGAAAGTTAAACTATTCCTGTTTGTAGATGCCATGATCCAATATCTAGAAAACCCCATAGTCTCAGCCCAAAAGCTTCTTAAGCTGATAAGCAACTTCACCAAGGACACCAATTTAACAACTATATACGCAAAAAGGAAACCTTCACAAGAACCAAAAATCAGGTCAGCACTCATAGTACATGGTTTTAAATTTATATCACTGAATCGGGCACTGAAGGGGTAGAAAAAACAGTCTCGAATCTAAGACACCACCCCTCCCAATCCCCCTGTAGCAGCAGCATGGTGTGGAGAGCCTTCCATGTGCTTGGAAGAGGGAGAGCTAGAAACTGTGAGGTATTAAACTCAGGGATTTCCTGTTATAGCATGGAAAAAAAAGAGACAAAAGAGCAGGGAGCATTTAAACCAGCCCTAGCCTGAGGTGAATCACTGCAGTGGTCAGAACTTAAGTTCCCAGAAACATTGCAAATGCAGGCTCCAGTTCTCAGGGGCTCTAGATACATGTGAAAGGCAGTCTTGGCAACAATAACTTCAACTCTTAGGTGGATTCTGGTGCTGAATTGGAACCAGACTGGGGAGCGGGGGGCATGTGACCTACAGCGACACCAGCACAGGTTGCAAAGGGAGTGTTGGCATCACCTCTCCTCTGAAGCCAGGCTGCACAGATCACAGCTCCAAAAGAGACCCCTTCCTTTTGCCTGAGGTGCGGGGAGGGAGGAGTGGAAAGGGCTTTGTCTAGCATTTTAGATACCAGCTCAGCCACAGTAGGATAGGGCACCAGTCAGAGTGGTGAGGGCCCATATCCAGGATCCCTGACTACCTTTCTAGTCATTCCCTGGACCAGAAGGAAACCCGCTGCCTTGAAGGGAAAAATAAATTCCTGGCAGGATTAATTACTTGCTAACTGAAGAGCCCTTGGGATTTGAACAACTAGCAACAATACCCAGGTATAAAGTTGAGGGCCTTGGGATATACTCTGAGACTTGCTGGCTTCAAGTAACAGCTTAGCCCCAGGTGGGTGCAGCGCACCAAGCAGACCCTTGGGGTCCCAAGTTCTAGAATTTGGCTTTTAGATGACATTTCTGGTCCTGTCCTGGGCCAGTGGGGGAGTGCACTGCACTGAAGGGTGAGTCCCCAGCCAGGTAGTCTTCACCACAAGTTGACTGAAAATGCCTTAGGC
This sequence comes from Homo sapiens, assembly GCF_000001405.40. Lineage (NCBI taxonomy): Eukaryota > Metazoa > Chordata > Mammalia > Primates > Hominidae > Homo > Homo sapiens. Next base: position 125,974,969 of record NC_000023.11, read on the forward strand.
CTTAAGGGCACAACAGTAATAGTCTGGAAGTATTGACTATGAGCCTGTTGTGGTATTGGTCACAGGGTGAGGCTCTTCTGCCACTGAAAAGGGGAGGGAAGAGTGGGCAAGATTTTATCTTGTGGTTTGAGTGGCAGCTCAGCTACAGTACAATAGAACATCAGGTAGACTACTATGCTTTTTGACTCCAGGCTCTGGCTCTCAATTGGCAACTGTGGACGCACCAAGGGCCTAGGGGACCCTGCCATCCTGTAGTGAAGGACACAGGCTTGGTTGTCTTTGACATTTGCTGATTATAGAGCCCCAGAGCTTTGAGCAAACATAGTCAGTAGCTGCAGAGTGATTACAGCAGGCCCTGGATGAGACCCAGTGATATGCTGTATTCAGGTCTGACCCAGCAGATTTTTAAATTTTTTCAAAGAAACAACTTTTGGCTATCACTATTTCAACCTTTGGTTGATGATCTCTATTTTATATTTGTTTTCTATTTCAACTTTTTTTGTAATATATTATTTCATTATGATTTCCTTTGGTTTAATTTGTTGCTATTTTTAATTTTTGTGATAATATCTGAGTTGTTGTCAGTCTTTAAAATCTCTAAAATATAACTGAAAACTATATAGTTCACTTTAGGCAGGGATTTAGATAGATCCTGCATGTTTTATTCTGTAATATGTTCATTTGCATTTCGTCTAAAATATTTTCTAATACCTACTGTGATTTCTTCTTTGATTAAGGAGTTATTTTGAAATGTGATTTCCTTTTTTGACACAGGGGTTATTTTGAAATGAATTTCATAACTTTTACACCTATAAGAATTTCTGGATCTTGCTATTTGATTTCCAGCTTAATTTCACAATAGACAATATGTTCTGTTGAAATTTGAAATTTGTTGATGCCCCAATGAATGTTAAATTTTGAAAAATATTTCAAGAATTTTTGAAAAGAAAACATATTCCGTAGTTGAGTAGTGTCCTACATATGACATTAATGTAGTTTCTTAATAATGTTCAAAACTTCCATATCCAATCTAATTTTAAAAATAATTTGACTTTAAAATATAATTAGGTTATGATCTTCTACTCAAATTGTAGATTTTTCTATTTCTGATTTAGGTTCTGTGAACATTTTTTAATAGGGTCATGTGTTACATACAGATATAGAATTGTTTTACCTTTCTTGTGAGTGATCTTGTTTGCAAAGTGGCTCCACCAGTTTGCATCGCCATCAGCACTGTATGAAAGTTCTATTCACTGAACACACTTGTCAACATTTATTATTGTCAGTCTTCTCGATTTTAGCCATTCCAGGGTATGATTGTTGAAAGTGGATTTTAATTTTAATTTATGTAGTGACTAATGATATTGATCATATATTATAAGTTTATTACCTAACTGTTTATACTGAAAAAATAACAAAGGAAAAGAAATGAAGATTCTTCAAAGTATAGTTCCTTTTTCTGTTAGCCTTTCCTTACTCATCAGTAATCTGAAAGTAGAGTGTTGGAATAACAGGGACGTATCAATCAGTATAAAAGATCTCTTATTTTATGCAATATTTCTACTGTTCTGGTAAGAAAAATATATATGTGTGTGTATATATACATACACTAGCTACAAAATATCAGTGATTCCACATATAGTATAAACATTTTTATGTTTGCAGTTAAAACTGGCATTGGAAAATATACAGATTAATGATAAAAATCATTATTATAATTTAAAATTTTAATTTTTATAATTAGAAGCACAATTGTTCCTATTATATTTCACAAGTAATAAAATGTCTTTAAAGGATCTTTATATATTTATACTTTTAATGTCCTATTTCATTTGCTTTTTGATAAAGGATCTCACATTTCTATTTTCCACTTGAACTCACAATTATGTAACTGGCTTTGCATAGATGTATGTCCTTTATCAGATATGCTTTACACATATTTTCTCCCAGTCTGTGTCTTATCTCTTCAGTTTTAGCCATGTAGAACAAAAATTAAAATTTTTAATGAAAACCAGTTTATCATGTTTTTGTCTTTTTTGTTGTTTATGTTTTAGTATCCTGTCTACTAAATATTTGCCTAACCCAAAGTCACAAGAATATTCCCTTTAATTTTATTTGAGAATATGGCACAATATGGCCATGTAGAATGCTCCAGTGATTGTCCTCACCCTACAAAGACACCAAATTGAACAAATATCCACACACGTAAGCATCTTTATAAGGACCAAAAGTCAGGTGAGTGATCACAATACCTGGTTTTAACATCATATCAAGGAAAGAAGCACAGAAGAGGATAAAAAGACAATCTTGAATTGCGTACATCACACGTTCTCCATCTCCCTATAGTGCCATGTGGTGTGGTGAGAGAGAATCTGTGTGCTTGGGGGAGGGAAAGCAAAGTGATTGTGGGACTTTTGCATTGGAGCTCAGTGCAGCCCTGTCAGAGCAGAAAGCAACACAGAGCAGAATTCAGCTATCACTCATCGATGGAGCATTTAGATGAACCAGAGGGGAATTATCCATCCCAACAGTGGGAATCTGAGTTCTGGCTAGTCCCATCACCATGGGCTAAAGAGCTGTGGGGTTCTAAATAAACGTGAAAGGAAGTCTAGACCACAAGGACTGAAACTCTGTGAAAATTCTGGTGCTGTGTTGGCCTCAGAGCCAGCATAATTGGGGTGCATGGAACCCAGTGAGATACTGGCTAGGAGAGCCAAGGGTGTACTTGCATTACTCAAGCCCCAACTTCAGGCAGGTCAGCTTGAAACTCCAGAGAGACACCTGCTTGAGAAAAGGGCGGGCGGAGGGTCAGGGGGGAATAGAAAAGGCTTTCTTTGAAATTGGGAACCAAGTCACAGTAAAAGTTTTTAAAAAATAAAGCTAATTCCTAAAGTCTACGATTCCAGGCTCCAGATCTTGGACAGTATTTCTAGAAAGGACCTATGCCTGAAAGAAACTTGCTGCCCTGAAAGGAAAGACATAATCCTAACAGGATTCATCTCCTGGTGATTAAAGAGCCCTTAGGCCTTGAATAAACATCAGTGGTAGTCAGTTAGTAGTTGCCACAGCCTTGGGCAAGACCTAGTACTGTGCTGGCTTTGGTGTGACTCAGTGCATTCTCGGCTGTGGTGACCATGAGGAGATACTTCTTTTGCTTGAGAAAAAAAAAAAAAAAAAGAGCAAAGTGTAAAAAAGACCTTGTCTTGCAACTTGGCAACTTAGGCACAGTAAAATGCAGCATGAAGCTGATTTATAAAGCCCTTAATTTCAGGCCCTAGCTCCTGTGCATCATTTTAGGACCCACTCTGGGCCTGAAGAGAACCTGCTTTCCTAAAGGAAAACACACAGTTCTGACAAGATCCACCATCTATTGCCTAAAGAGCCATTGAGCCTCAAATAACATCAGTGTTAGGCAACGCAGGCTGTGAACAAGGCCCAGTATTGTGCTGGCTTAAAGAGTGACCAAGCACCTACCCAGTGGTAGTAGTGACAGGAGTGTTTACATCACCCCACACCCAACTCCAGGCAGCTCAGCATGGAGAGAGATGGTCCATATGTTTGCAGAAGAGTAAGAAAAGACAACAGGAGTCTCTGCCTGGTAATCAGAATACTTCTCTGAGCTCTTAAACAAGATAATAAGACAATTCCTCTGTGAGTCTTCAAGAGTCACTGTGATACCAGGCTTGGGGTGCTCCATAATGCAAATATGGCTAAAGTGACCAAAGACTTACATCATAGCACCCTTAGAATACTTGTAAAGCTTTCTCAAGAATCATAAGTACAAAGAAGAGCAGACTGCAAAAATGAGAATAAATATCTGATTCTTCAATGCTCAGACATCATCAAACACTGACAAACAACAAGTCTATCCAATGAATTTAATAAAAGAATTGAAATAATTTCTAAAAATTAAATAGAAATTCTGGAGCTGAAAAATTAAATTGACAAACTGAAGAATGCATCAAAGTCTCTTAACATCAGAACTGACTAAACAGAAGAAAGATTTACTGAGCTTGCAGACAGGCTATTTGAAGATACAGTCAGAGGAGACAAAAGAAAGAGAATAAGAAAGAATGAAGCACACCTACAAGAGCTAGAGAATAGCTCCTTTGACTCCATGTCTCACATCCAGGTCACGCTGATGCAAGAGGTAGGTTCCCATGGTCTTGGGCAGCTCTGCCCCTGTGGCTTTGCAGGATATAGCCCCTCTCCTGGGTGCTTTCATGGGCTGGCATTGAGTGTCTGTGGCTTTTCCAGGCTCACTGTGCAAGCTGTTGGTGGAGCTACCATTCTGGGGTCTGGAGGGCGGTGGCCTTCTTCTCACAGCTCCACTAGTTGGTGCCCTAGTAGGGACTCTGTGCAGGGGCTCTGACCCCACATTTCCCTTCTGCACTGCCTTAGCAGAGGTTATCCCTGCAGCAAACTTTTGCCTGAGCACCCAGACATTTCCCTACATCTTCTGAAATCTAGGTGGAGGTACCCAAACCTCAATTCTTGACTTCTGTGTACCTGCAGGCTCAACACCATGTGGAAGCTGCCAAGGCTTGGGGCTTTCACCCTCTGAAGTCACAGCCCGAGCTCTACATTGGCCCCTTTCAGCCATGGCTGGAGTGGCTGGGACACAGGGCACCAAGTCCCTAGGCTGCACACAGCACTGGGACTCTGCACCCACCCCATGAAACAATTTTTTGCTCCTAGGCCTCTGAGCCTTTGATGGGAGGGGCTGCCATGAAGGTATCTGACATGGCCTAGAGACCTTTTCCCTATTATCTTGGGGATTAACGTTAGGCTCCCTGCTGCTTATGTAAGTCTGCAGCTTTGCCTTGAATTTCTCCCCAGAAAATGTTATTTTCTTTTTTATTGCATAGTCAGGCTACAAATTTTCCAAACTTTTATGCTCTGCTTCCCTTATAAAACTGAATGCCTTTAACAGTACCCAAGTCACCTCTTGAATGCTTTGCTGCTTAGAAATTTCTTCCTCCAGATACCCTAAGTTATCTTTCGCAAGTTCAAAGTTCCACAGATCTCTAGGGCAGGGGCAAAATGCCACCAGTATCTTTGCTAAAACATAACAAAAGTCACCTTTACTCCAGTTCCCTACAAGTTCCTCATCTTCACCTTAGACCACATTAGCCTGGACCTTATTGTTCATATCGCTATCAGCATTTTGGACAAAGCTATTCAACAAGTCTCTAGGAAGTTCCAAACTTTCCCACATTTTCCTGTCTTCTTCTGAGCCCTCCAAACTGTTCCACCCTCTGCCTGTTACCCAGTTCCAAAGTTGCTTCCACATTTTGAGGTATCTTTTCAGCAGTGCCCCACTCTACTGGTACCAATTTACTGTATTGGTCTGTTTTCACACTGCTGATGAAGACATACCCAAAACTGGTAACAAAAAGAGGTTTAATTGAACTTACAGTTCCACATGGCTGGGGAGGCCTCAGAATCATGGCGGGAGGTGAAAGGCATTTCTTACGTTGGCGGCAAGAAAAAATGACAAAGAAGCAAAAGTGGAAACCTCTGATAAGCCCATCAGATCTCATGAGACTTAATCACTGTCACAAGAATAGCACGGAAAAGACTGGCCCCCATGATTCAATTACCTCTGCCTGAGTCCCTCCCTCAACATGTGGGAATTCTGGGAGATACAATTCAAGTTGAGATTTGGATGGGGACACAACCAAGCCATATCAGATAATAAGAGGAAAGTTTAAACCTATAAGCGCCTACATAAAAAGTGGAAAAACTTCAAATAAATCATCTAATAATGCATTTTAAAGAACTAGAAAAGCAAGAGCAAACCAAAAATTCATAGAATGGAAATAATAAAGATCAGAGCATAAGTAAATTAAATTGAAAGCAAAATAAAACATAATACAAAAGATCAAGCAAACATAAATTTGGGTTTTGAAAAGATTTAAAAAATTACATTTCTTTAGCCATGCTAACTAAGGAAATAAAAAAAGAAGACCCAAATAAATAAAATCGGAGATAAAAAGAGAGAGAGAATTGAAGTAGCCAGCATGTCTGCTGACTAGTGTGTGTGTGTCTCTCACAGAGAGAAACAGGAGAGTTGAGTAAATACAGCACCTTCAACTTAAACAGCCAAGTACTCACATTGGGAATAATCAAGGAAGCAACTTAACCCATGGTGGATGGAAAAAAGCAAGGCAGGAAGATGGTTCATCCAGGAGCAACAAAGAACTCTTAAAACCCACTGGCTTGGAACTTCAGTTAGCCACTGGTAGCAGCATTACACCTCCCTGAGATGGAGCTCCTAGCAGGAGGGGCAGAGCATCATTTTTGCTGTTTGGGCAAATTAGCCATTCCAACCTTTGAATTTTGGAGAGTCCAAGCTGACCAGGGGTGGAAAGGATCCCTCAGCAGTGCACAGCTGCTCTATGAAAATGTGGCCAGACTGATTTTTAAAGCAGGTCGTTGATCTCATTTCTTCTCACTGGACAGGACCTCTCAACTGGGGACTCCAGCCACTCTCACCTGTGTTCTCTGGCTGACAGAGATTTCAAAACTCCCAGGACAGAGTTCCCAGAGTGACGGGCGGGCTGCCATCTTTTCTGTTTGGATGACTAAGCCATTCCAACCTTCAGGCTTTGGAGGGTCCAAGGCAACTTGAGCAGGAGTGGTTCCCCAGTCCAGCACAGCTGCTCTGCGAAAACATGGCCAGACTGCTTTTTAAAGCAAGTCCCTGAACCTGTTCCTCTCCACTGGGCAGAACTTCCCAACCAGGGTCTCCAGCCACCCCTGCTAGTATTCTCTGGCTGACAGAGTTTTGAAACTTCCCTGGAATGGAGCACCCACAAGGAGGGGTGGGCCACTATTTTTGCCATTGGGGTAACAGCCATTCCAGCCTTTAGGCTTTGGAGAGTCCAAGCTTACCAGGGATGAAAGCAATACCCTAGCACATCACAGCTGCCCTATGAAAACGTGACAAAACTTCTTTTTACATCAGGTTCACGATCCTGTTTCATATCACTGGATAATTTTATTTTGTCCGGGCATCAGAATATTTATTAATTTTTAAATTTTAAAATGCTGTTTATTAACAATTATATAGCTTGACTAACTCAAAATACACTACAAATGTCCTCTTTCATGAAAGTTAATTTTACACTTGAAAGTTTATTTGAAGATATTTACATCACTCTTTGGTGTGTAATATTTAGACAAGTATTGAGAAGAAGACACTCAAAAGCAAAAAGTTTAGTTTCACTTCCCTGATAGCTGATGATAGAGTTTATCCAAGAGATGTGCTTTTTCCTTTCCTAATAGAGGTACTACATAATGTAACAATCAAAATTATCATACTGTTATTTTATGTGGAAAAAAACATTTACCAGGCAGAGTGATATTTTCTAAAGTATCTTAAATAATTATTGTGCTTAAATGTTCATCTTAATTAATGTCACATTTTCAGGGACTAAACTAAAAATTTTCATCACTATTAATTTCTCTTTTTAGAAAATTTTACATGACAATATTGTTGAATATTTTAAATTATTAAAATATATTATCTCATATCTTAATCCCCTTACACATTCTTGTATTTTCTTCTATTGTTTGATTTTTTTCCTCTTTGAAGAATTATATCGCTCAAGTTATTGGTGTACAGCCACCATTTCCTTGTCTTCTAGATAATGATTATTATTTTTAATGATTATTTTCAGTTCTCTTTGCTTATCTAGACATACAGAAGACTGTATTTCCCACCCTTGCAAGTTGAATGGGGCCATGTGACTAATTCTGGTTAATCGACTGTAATTGGTAGTGATAAATATCACTTTGGGGTTGAAACACTCATGAGTCAGTGTGTCATGCTCTCTTTAACCTGACAAAATGGACCCCACACCATCATGTTGAAGTGAATGTGTCATGAAATAGAAGTATTTTGAAATATTTAGCCACTCCATGCCCTGAAGAGTCACCTGGAGCTACAAGAGACTTTTTATGAGCAAGAAAAAAACTTGTTTATTGTTAAGAAACTAAGATTGTGGCATTTGGCTACAGCAGAACCTAGAATATTCTTACTACTATACAACTTAAATAATTAAGGCATAGGTAGGAGGTGGAATGGAAGTGGGGAGGGCTTTTTGACATGTCATTGTGCTTCACTCTTTATAATTAATATTTTGTTGAATCCTGTCAATAGTTTTTATAATGTGACTTTCCTTTTCCATCTTTATATTCAGTTCCAAACCCTCTAAATTTTGTCTCAAATTATGTACAGAAGTACAAATGCATTATGTGAGGAGACCAGGGTGACACATACTGTTGTAGAGATGGAAATAGAACAAAGCTCTCAAACCCAGATTGTTTTCTGCTCTAAATACAGTTCTGCTGTCACCTCAGAAGCTGAAATTGTATGCTTTATATCTCTTAGGATTCATAAATATAAAAATGATTATACTATACATCATATGTAATTATGCATGCTACAAAACCTTCATTCTAGGAATTTCACTAATTTGTAAATTAGTGCTTTGGAAAATCAAAAAATATTAACAATTTGGTTGTTCATCTTGAGCCATTGACAGGGTCATCTGAGAAATATTGTAACTATCCACATTTTAATATAAAAACAGAAAAGATAGAAGGATAATGTCAGCAAGAAAACTGAATAGGAAATCTTAGCCCTTGTATCCCACCCCCAACAAAAACACAGAATTGTGCCAAAATATCTTTATGAGAACTCCAGAATTCAGTTAAATTGTAATACCTCAGATGAGCACAAAACTGAGAAAAACAGCTTTAATATGGGTGAGAGGATTAGTTTCATTTTAACTGAGTCAACCATCTCCCAAGCTGGCACAGACCAGCACCTAAAGAAATCCACTTATCCTGTGATTTCTTCCTTAGGGGACAGAGTGAGTGTAACATGCACGAGACATTCACAGCCTTTTGGGGTGCTGCCTACTTCTGTCTCACCTCACTGAGAGGAATGAGGCAACTAACAGCATACCTGCAGGGGTAACTAAAAACAAAGGAAAGGGTTGGGGGCTCCCAGCAGCTTGCAGGGCATTACAGAATTGGGAGGAAGCGCATAACCCTGAGACTTCTCCTTCAAGAAAAAGGGAGGGAAGTGGAAATTGCACCCCACCTCAGGCATTCCAGGGCACTCCTCAAGGTAAAGGGGTGGATAACTCCCTGCAGTTGTCACAACTCTGCAGGATTGATGAGAAGCACACAATCTTGAGACTTCTTTACAAATAAGGGAGAGAAATGAAGGTTGACCCAACATCGTGGAATTTCATTGCATTGTCCTAGAGAAAAAGGGTGAGAGGTTTATAGCGGCCTGCATGGTTCTATGAGACTGGGAGAAGGCACACACACTTGAATTTTTTTTTTCTACCAGGAGGGATGAAGAGGAGTGGAATACATCCATCCATAGAAAATGTTTGATGGGCTCCTTGAATCTCTAGCTGGTTTGATTAGGGAAGATCTTTTCATGCAAAAGCCAGCCTGAAATGACTGAAAGAGGAGGCTAGTTCTTTAAATATGCAAACACTAATGCAAAGCTATAAGAAGCATGAAGAATCAGGAAAATATAATAGTACCAAAGGAGCAAAAACAAAATCTCTAGTAACAAATCCTAAAGAAATAATGATTTATGAATCACTTGACAAATAATTCAAAATAGTCATTTTAAAGAAGCTCAGTGAACTACAAGGAAAAACAGACAAAGAAATCAACAAAACAATATATGAACAAAATTAGAATATCACTAAAAATATAGAAATCTTAAAGATCTAAACAAAAGCTCTAGGGCTGAAAATTGTAACCAATTTTTTAAAATTTAATACAATGCTTCAACAGAAAACTCAATCAAGCTTAGAAAGAATGAGCAAATCAAAGATCAGCCATTTAAAATTATCCAGTCAGAGGAGTAAATAAAAAAAGAAATAAAGAGAATGAAGAAAGCTCATGGGACTGATGGGATTTCATCATGTGAACCAATATACACACCATGGAAATCAAAAAAGAAGAGAGAGAGAATGAACCAGAAAGCTTAAGCAAGAGCCTGCCACATAATAAATTAAATGGAGAAGATATAGTTTCTTAACACCTTATATATTTCTTAATGTCTCTGCAAATATGTTTGCATAAACATATTTATTTTATTTTATTTACACAAATCCCTTTTGCTTCTACTTCTTTTAATTATTATTAGGATTTTTTTTATTAAAAACTATTATATATCTTATTTTATGAGTAAGCGGTCCAAGCAAGGAATATAGAAAATAAATGTTAGCCTTGGGTTTTATACATCGATATTAATAATCTCTCATTTGATATTTAAAAAACGACTTCATTATTATTTCCAAAACATTTATTAGACACTTGCAAAAAATTATTCAAAGATTGTCTGTGAGCTGTAGACACTTGTAATTTTAAATATGCAAAATGAATACATGCATTTCTTTGCCACCTTGCATACAGCTGTTAAGACACTAAACAGATAATGTGATGCTGTTTCTTCTTTATTCTCAAACTTTGTTTGCCGCACTCTTATGATATTTATCTTACTGGCCTTTATTTTGTAGTTATTTGTGTGCTTTTTCTTGTATCCTCTACTAATCTTTGATCCTTCTAGAAGTTATATTCAGTATACCTAGAATATAAAAAGAATTCCATAAATAGCAAATATTAGGTATAAATACAATATTTTACCTTTGTGTAAAATATAAACCAAGACATTAGAATGGCTAGAGCTTTTTATTTATTCCTAATTTCACATAGTTTTAATTATTGACCCTGGATATGTATGATTCGCAAATAACCATTTTAAGGAAGAAAATATAACTATATATGTATATTTTTCTTAAACTATGTGAAAAAGTACAAAACCTAAATAATTTATTGGATAGTTTTATAATTCATAATTAAATGACAGTTTGTGAATTCAATACATCAGAATTTATCAGGACATCATTCTGGTCCACACACTGAAACCAATTATCCCACTATGCGCACTAGAAGAAAGAAATTTGAATGTCTTTATATTGTTTTTAAAATTCTTTCTGTCCATACTCATGTTTCTTTCTTTGGTGAAAGGGTTTACAGTTCCATAAAATTCTCAAAGGATCTATGAGTCTCCAATACTCTAGTTGTAAAGCTAGAAATATGGTAGTCAGTCTTGACCTCTTTCTCACCTTTACTTCTCACATTTCTATTCATCTAGTCTTATCATCACCTCATCAACATATCATTTAGAACTAACTCTCTTTCTGACCTCATTGCCATACCTCAGATTCTCATCATATCTCTTAACTCATCTCTCTGCCTTCCAGTCTTATACCCCTCCAACTCATTTTCCTCATTCCTTCTGGAATGATATATATAAAAACCAATTTTGATCAGATGGTTTAACTTCTTAAAATTCTTCATGGATAATACTTATGTAAGATAAAATTCAAATATTTCAGTATTCTGTGATGGGAACCACACTAGACAGGGAACGAGCTTTTTCAAGTTCCATTCTGTGAAGTGGTCTGTTTCTCTGTTCTGTCTATTGTATCGAACAAGACCATTGCCCAAAAAATTAGCTTATCTCTTTAGATCAGGTATCTCTTCTTAGAAATCTCTTAAGGATTCTGTTAGCTCCAAATATTATCAAGATAATAAATTATAATACAGTAGAAATGAACTGATATCAAACATACATAGTTTAGTTGATTGTTTTAGATATGTGGACATACACATATGTGGAAATCTCTCTGTCTCTCTCACATACACACCTGCAAACACATACATTTTAGGTACAGTGAATTTGAACTAGTAATGTATCTATAGTCAAAGCTACTTTTTGAATAGTGGGGTTATGCTGAGTACAGTATGAAAACTTTCACTTGGATTCATTTTGGCTTGAGTTCCTAGTTTGTATTTACATCTGAGTTCTGTGGGATACAGTTTACCTGTATGAAAACTCTGAAAGAGCTGTTTCACTAAACTCTTAACAACTGGGGCCACAAGCTGCATTCTTAGACTCTTCAGTGATTTTTACAAAACAAAGGAAGAATGCCCATTGATTTCTTCAGACAGAAGGGACATTGAAGAAAATAAATATTTTATGGTAAATCTTAAGGGCCTGATAAACATGTGAGATGGAAACCCACTTCTGTATTTCAAATGAAATAATCAGTAAAATCTACAATGATCAAGAGGCTTTGGTGTTAACGCTTTCTTAGGGAACACTCAAAGAGATATTGAAATCTATATCTAGGTTCAAATAGTAGGAATGGAGTTTTGGGGTTACAAATGCACTAATTCAGAATTGGCAATGTGCTGAGATAGTGTTATGCCATAAAAGGGGGGACAAATTGCTGTAACTGTCTGACATGAGGCTCAGAAGAGCAGAATTTTTACAATAGGGTAGAAAAATAATGCTCTCTAAATATCACTGGAAGGAAAAGTCAATGATGAGTCTTAGCACCATGAGGTGTGGGAATATGAGTAGCTTTGACCTAACAGAGATTCAGGAAAAAATGAGGATCTCAGGGGAGAACTAAATTACATTTACAGAAAAAAGTGATAGGGACTCTAAAATTAGAGGCATTTTTAAATCTTGAAACAGTGAAAACTTTAGGTGAGATTGGAAGCACTAGAAAGTTGGGGCTAGGGAAAGAAAATATTGCCATAGAAATGAGAATGCCAAAGAGAAGAGATAACAAAAGCTTTTCAATTCTTGTATCATGATCATGAACAACAGAGAAATGAAGCCTGATAGGTGTAGATAGTTGCAAAGTTACTAAAAGAATGAAACATTTATCCCTTTCTCCCACCTCTCCCCTCAACAGAATTAGTTGCTGTCCTATTCTTACAGAACTATAAATTATAACAATTTCTAAACTGAATGGAAAATTATTTATTATTAATTTGTTTTTCCACTGTATTGTGGTCTCTTCCAGAATATTAATGATTTATTTACCATATTACTTGGCCCTTTACTTAGAGTATAAACACTTTATGAAGGAAGAGACCAAGTATCCCTTATTTACTATTCTATACTGAATGCCCAAGATAATGCTTAGCATATAATTCACATTCAATAAATGTTTGCTGAATGAATGAATAAAACAGTAAATAAATGAACATTTGTAACTTAAGTGTCTATAAAAGTACCTGGCACATAGTAGAATCTCAATAAGTATACAGCCAATGGCTAAATAGATGAATGGATTCAATAGATTTAGAGTTTTTCGGGTCCCTCTAGAATTCAACAAATGGAAGTAAGGGGAAGGATGAAATTGAAAGAGGGACGTTGTTACAGCATTTCGAATCTCTACTGTTTAGAAATTGTTAGAGTGAGGCACATAATTTATTTTAGTAATGTTATGAATGCACCCAATCTAATGGATTCCCATTCTTTGGAGGTATAAGAAGGAGAAGCTGAAAGGTGATTTTTTTTTTTGAAACAGCTAAAGATTGCTTAATGTGGTAATGCAAACTATTAGCTATTTTTGCAGAAATATTAGCAGGAAGAGGTTAATGATTGGTGAACTTTCTCAAAAAAACATTATTCCTCCGACGCCAGCGGATCACGAGGTCAGGAGATCGAGACCATCCTGGCTAACACCGTGAAACCCCGTATCTACTAAAAAAAAATACAAAAAGTAAGCCAGGAGTGGTGGCGGGCGCTTGTAGTCCCAGCTACGCGGGAGGCTGAGGCAGGAGAATGGCATGAACCCGGGAAGGTGGAGCTTGCAGTGAGCGGAGATGCGCCACTGCACTCCAGCCTGGGAGACAGAGCGAGACTCCGTCTCAAAAAAAAAAAAAAAAAAAAAAAATTCTTCTTGCTCCATTAATAATTATAAACACCATGGTAACCTAGGGAGTTCTCTAAGAAGAAATTCAGTTCCTTAATCAGAATTAAAAATTCCTGTAACTCATGACAGAAATTTTACATAAAAAGAATATCAATCAAACTGGATTTTATTATAGTAAATTTAATCCTAGAGACAAATAAATTGAATAAATTTTGGTAATTTTGAGGCAATGATAGTGCTTTATAAAGATTTTCCCATATTATTATATAAAAGATTTTGGCTAGAATGTAAATTCTTATACATATCACCTGTAGCTTATTCTTAGCATATTGTCAAATTCCAATAAGTATGCATTAACTGACATCGTTTTTTAAATACGTTTTCATTCACAGCATACATTTTTTATACTTTCTATTCATAGCATAGATTTATTATGTAAAGTGCATTAACTTTAACAATTAAGCTGTATTTTATATATATACGCATACATGTATATATAGACATATGTGTGTGTGTATATATACATACACGTATATATACACACACACACATATACCCATGAAACCACTCCTAGATCAAATTATAAAATATTCTCAGAACCCCAAACCTCAAACCCTAAGTTTTCTCATGCCCTTCAGAGTCAATATCCTACTAGAGATAAACATTGTTTTGAATTTTATCAAATCAAATTGTTTGCTTGTTCTTAATATTTATATAAATAATATCACATGGAATGTGTTCTTTTGGTATAGGCTCCTTTAGCTTATCAATATGTCTGAAACATTCACTCAGATTGATGTACATATCCATACTTTGCTCTTTTCTTTATTTTGTGTCTTATTCCATTGTATGAATTCTTTTGCATTAATAAACCACAATTAACATATTCACTCATGACTTGGCATTAGGCAATAGATTTTTAGATGTAACATCAATGCATAACGTAACAAAAGGAAAACAATAGATAATTTGGACTTCATCAAAATTAAAACATTTTGTATTTCAAAGACAGTATCCAAAAGGTGAAAGGGCAACTCACAGAATATGATCAAATATTTACAAAATATATCTTATAATAGACTTGTATCTAGAATATATAAAATAGCTTACAACTCAATAAATTTAAATAATACAATTAAGACTTAGTAAAGGATCTGAATAGACATTTCTGTGAAGAAAATATACAATTAGACTAAGCATATGAAAATATGCTCTATAAAAGTAGTCATCAAGGGAATGTAAATCAATTACACTGTACTCCCACTAGGATGACTACAACAAAAATGTCAGATAATAACAAGTGTTGATGCTGATGTAGAGATATTGGAACCCTCATACACTTCTGGTGTGTTTGTAAATTGGTACAATCACTTTTGGATTGTACCAAAATCCCAGTGCAGTTTGAAAGTTTCTGAAATGGTTAAACAGAGAGTAACCACATGACCAAACAATTATACTCCTAAGTATAATATATATCCAAAGAAGTGTAAACATGTGTAAAAATATTATTTTCCATGCATATTCATAGCAGCATTATTGATCATAGCTAAAAGGAGTACTATGGTTCAAATGTGTCCCCCCGAATTAATGTGTTGTAAACTTCATCCCCAGTGCAACAGTGTTGGGAAGTGGGGCTTAATGGGAGATGTTTAGCAAAAATTGACAAGTTGATTTTAAATTGTAGATATAATTGTATATCTCTTTCCAGATTCTGATATAAGCTCAATACGCATACATATCAAATTGGATCGCTCAATGAAGCTCAAACTCATCATGCCTAAGGCAAAAGTCACTATTTATCTCCGCAAATCTGTTCTTTTCTTCAGTGTTCCCTCCATCCAGTTGCACAGACCAGAAAACTAGACTTTGATACCTCCTGTTGCCTTACTTTCCGTACTTAATCCATCATCAAATTCAGCTGATTTTAATCCCTAAGACTTTCTTGATACCATCCACTTTTTTCTATTTCCTCCATTGTAGTCCAAGATACCACTCTGGTTCAAGATACCTGTCATACTGTAATAGTTTACTAAATGGTCTCTCATTTTTATTCTGCACCGCTCCATTCAAGTAGCCAGAATGACATTTCAAAACACAAATGAAGTGAATGTCATTTCAGAGCACAAATATAATCATATAATCCTTTGACAGACACTATTAGTTACATAAACAAAAGTCATTTTTTCTTTTTCTCTCCTTTTTTTTTCTTTTTTCTTTTGCTACATAGATATGAATATTGTTCAAACTCTTTTAAAAGATGGCATCCTTCTCGCCTGGTGAGGTGGCTCAGGCCAGCACTTTGGGAAGCTGAGGTGGGCCGATCACTTGAGGTCAGGAACTCGAGACCAGCCTGGCCAACATGGTGAAAACCCGTCTCTACTAAAAATACAAAAATTAGCTGGGCATGGTGGTGGGCGACTGTAATCCTAGTTACTCAGGAGGCTGAGGCAGGAGAATTGCTTAAACCCGGGAGACAGAGGTTGCAGTGAGCCAAGATCGTGCCCCTGCGCTCCAGCCTGGGCGACAGAGCAGGACTCCGTCTCAAAAAAAAAAAAAATAGATTATGTCCTTCTGAAAAAGCTTGGCCCGTTTACTCATAGAGCTGGTGATTCTTCATTGATCTAACTCAATTATTCTGATTTATTTTCTTTGCCAAGTAACTGTTTTAGCAATAGGCACGTGATATAATTCTATGCAATAACATATGAGAGACAACAAACTGAGAATTCTCTGGAAAGGTTTCGCTCAATCTTGAAAAGGATCCTGAGACAGGGATAGCCATCGCACTTCCTCTGAATATTGACATTGGCAAATGATGCCTAGAACTATGCCAGCACTTTAGGACCATAGGAGGATTCATTCTAAAAGGGCAAGCCAATATAGGAGGGATAAACTAAAAAACAGAAGGGATCTTTGTTCTTAATGACTTTGTTAAGCCAGTGAATGAACTAATCCTGGAATCTCCCTATTTCTGGAATTTTTATATGAGAATAAATATCTTTATAATATGTTCTGGATTTTCCTCTACTTATGGCTAAAATTTACTAACAGTTATACAAGATCAACTTGCTTAAGAACTAATCATACTGACTGGTATACATATATCCACTTGCTTAAAAACTATCCGTGGCTTCTGGATTACTCTGAAGACAACATCTATATTATTATTGTGGCCCATAAAGTCCGGCACAGTCTGGTTGCCACCTTGTTCCACAGATGAATCTAATACAATTCTTTTGCAATTTGTCAAATTCCCTGTGTTCTCCTGCCATAGTGTCTACTTTAGGCTGCTAGGTTTGCTATAGCAAATATTGCAAACCGGGTCACTTAAACCAGTGGTCCCCAACCTTTTGAAACCAGGGATAGGTTTTGTGGAAGACAATTTTTCCACGGACCTGAAGGCTGGGAGGGAGGCATTAGATCATTAGATTCTCATAAGGAGTGCACAACACAGATCTCTCCCATGAGCCGTTCACAATAGGGTTCACACTCTTATGAGAAGCTAATGCTGCTGCTGATCTGAAAGGAGGCAGAGCTCAGGAAGTGATGCTCACTCACCCACTGGTCAACTCTTGCTGTTTGGCCCAGTTCTTAACAGGCCACAGACCAGTACCACCTGCAGGTCAGGGCTTGGGGATCCCTGGCTTGAACAACAGAACTGTATTCTCACAGTTCTGGAGGCTGTATGTCCAAGATCAAGTTATAAGAAGGTTTGGTTTTCCCTGATATGCTTCTCCTTGGCTTGCAGATACCTGCCTTCTTGCTGTGTCTTCAGATGGTATTTCCTCATGTATGCATATGCCTCATATCTCTCCTGTGTCCTAATCTGCTCTTTATAAGGACACTAGTCATATTGAACCAGAGCACATCCTATTTTTAATTTAATTACCTTTTAAAGTCACAACCTCCAAATATATTCATATTCTGAAGTACTAGGGTTTAGAGTTTCAGCATACGAATTTTGAGGTATGCACAATTTAGATTATAACAAAGCCGTTGCAAATGCTAATCCCTCTGGAACATTATTTCCACCTCCACATACCCTGCCTCTTCCCACTCACACACACTCAATTTTCTGTTTTCTAGTACTCATGTTTTATGTCCAAAATTAAATAATTTTCTATGAGGATCTTTCTCTAATATCCAATTTCCCAGTGCAGTTTGTATTATACATTCATTACTGTAATTATTTGTCATTATATGTGTATGCTACTCAATGATCAGTAAGATGAAAACAACAGCCATGTTCACTTTGGCTCATCAAAGTACTTGTGTTTCTCAAGGGAACATTTATACACTGTTGGTGAGAATGTAAATTAGTACAACCTCTATGAAAAACACAGTAAGGAGGTTTCTCAAAGAAATAAAAACAGAACTTCTATTTGATCCATTAATCCCACTACTGGGTGTCTACCCTCACAAAATGAAGTAATTTTATCGAAAAGATACCTGTACTCCTATGTTAATCACTGCACTATTCGCCATAACAAAGATATGGAATCAACCCAAGTGTTCATCAGTGGATGTACAGATAGAGAAAATGTGGCATATATACATGATAGAATACTATTCAGTCATTAAAATATGAAATTATGTCTTTTGCAGCAACATGGGTGGAACTGGAGGCCATTATCTCTAGTGAAATAACTCGGAAACAGTCAAATACCTCATGTTCTCCTTTATAAGCGGAGGCTAAATAATGAGTAAAAATGGAATAATAGACATTGGAGATCAAGAAGGGTGGAAGAGAGATGAGAAATTATTTAATGAGTACAATGTATATTATTCAAGTGATAGTTACATGAGAAGCCCAGGCTTCACCACTACTCAATACATCTTTTTAACAAAACTCCACTTGTACCCCTCACATTTATACAAATAAAAAATAGAAAGGACAAAAAAAAAACCCCAAAGTACCTTTTTATCATAATACCTAGAATACAATACATACTCAATATGTAATTTTTAACAAATATATGCCTGGATGAATACTATATCACATAATTGGCAAATGTATTACTTTCCAGTGACAGTTTTTTATTCATATTTTTATCCTCATTATCTAGAACAGTGATTAGAATATAGTAGATTCTCAAATTAGGTTTTCTCTAAAGAAATGAATGAATGTGTAAACAAATGTCTTTCTTGTACTTTGGGTAAATATAATATAGCATGATTGGTTGACTGAAAGCATACAAACCTTTGGTACCCAAATTAAATCTCTAGATTTATTTAGTTCTTCTTCTCCCTTGTTTTCTACAGTATTTATTGCTTTTTCCACCCAGTACTGGATGCTTCTTTTTAACCTTCATATCATTTCATATCTATATTATGACTCATTGTCTACGTAGACTCTGAATTTGATACCTTTATTTGGTACTGACTACACATCAATATTCGGTAGTTTTCAAAGACACACTTATTTTCCTACTTCTAATTTCTTGCACAACTAAGGATGGGGGTGAGCTTTACACCCATCAAGTGTAACTTCTACAGCCACGTGATTCCTCAAACTCAGCCATTTCTGACCTAGGAGGAATATTGAACAAACTGAAGATGCTTTATTACCTAAAACATATAGAAATCAAGCATTTATTTACATGAATAGTAAATGTTTTAGATTTTCAAAAAAATTTATTGATGTGTGTGTGGAGACAGGATAGAGAGCTCTGTGGTAAATATATTTACCAATGATGATTCCTATTTGCTTGAAATATAAAATGAACCTGTAATTCACATATGCTACCCCAAATTAACAGAAAGGTTTCAACATCCTCTTATAAATACATGTGAGGAAATAATGAAAATATAGCTCTACAAATTAATAATAATTAACAGAAATTCCTGAACACATTTTAAATATTCTGCTATACACACACATATATGCATATACATTATATCATATATATATATGATAAAGACAAATGATGGGCACTTTTAATTCAGCAAGTCAACCTTAGCCTGTTTCATGCTACTATGACAGAATACCTGAGATTAGGTAATTTATAATGAATAGGAATTCAATTGACTCACAGTTCTGGAGGCTGGGAAGTCCAAGATCTATGGGTTAGCATCTTGTGAGGACTTTCTTGCTGCATCATCCTGTGGTGGAAGGTGGAAGGTCAAGAGAGTATGCAAGAGAGAGTGAGGGAAGGGGACTGAACTCATGCTTTCATCATGAGCCCAATTAACTAACCCACTTTCTTGATAATAGCATTAATCCATTCATGAGGGAAGAGCCCTCATGATCTAGCCACATCTTAAATGTCCACCTTTCAACCGTGTTGCATTTGGGATTAAGTTTTCAACACAAACTGTGGGCAACACATTTAAACCATAGTACAACCTGAAATTATATCAATATTATTCAGACACGAGTGTAAATCTTATTTAAAAAAAACATTTAAAATGAATCTGATGATATATGCAAAGGAAGAGAACATTGTTTTCTTTAAAAGTCTGAATGGGTGCTTAGTGCAGATTTCTGTGTTATTTTCTGGCATATAGTCACAGCTTTCAATCATGTCTCTTTCTGATTTGTTATAAAATACAAGTGTCCTCCAAATGAAAAATAAAGTACACTTTTTAAAACTATAGACTGACTATTACTCTCATATTAAGATCCTAATGGTGCTGGGTCAAATCTCGCCCACATATTTATGACGTAGAAATGTGGAGTTCTAGGCAATACTGTAAGATGAATTTGGTTTAACTAGGAGAGATTCAACATTGGGAGAAGGGAGGAGGAAATAAATTACTGTATTTGTTACCTAATGCTATATAACAGAATAATTTAAGCCAAATTAGTGGCTTAAAACAGCATTTATATTTCTCAGTTTCTGTGGGTCAAGTACAGTTTAGCTGGTTTGTACAGCTCAGGGCACTTCATAAAGCTGTAATCAAGATATCTGCCGGGGCTGCAGTTATCTCAAGGCTCTCAGGGGGTCAGGATTCACTTAACGGGCTCAATCTCTCTCATATGGCTGTTGGCAGGTCTCAGATCCTATCTGTTGACCAGAAATATCAGCTCTGGCCCATGTGGGTATGTGTGTCTTTCAAGGGGCAGGGGTGAGATACTAAGTCTGAAGCCACAGTTTTTATAACCCAATTGATATAGTTTA
Organism: Homo sapiens; assembly: GCF_000001405.40. Classification (NCBI taxonomy): domain Eukaryota; kingdom Metazoa; phylum Chordata; class Mammalia; order Primates; family Hominidae; genus Homo; species Homo sapiens. The sequence continues at coordinate 125,995,871 of NC_000023.11, forward strand.
TTCCATTTGTGTCCCCACCCAAAAAAAGTGAGTCTCTTCTAGACATCATAGTTTTGTTTTGGTATTTTATCCATTTTGCTAATGTCTTTGTGTTAGATGAAGAATTTAATTCATTTATTGTTAGAGTATTTCCTGGTAAAAAATGACTTTTGTGATTTTGCTAATTAATTTCTACATTTCATACCTTTTCTGTTCCTCAATTCTTTTATTACCACCTTATTTTGCGAATATTTATTTTCTAGTGTGTTGCTTGTATTGTCTTCTCATTTCTTTTACTGTATAATTTATGGGTTTTTTTGGTGATTGCCCCGGAGATGATAATTTATATTTTAATTTGTAACAATCTAGTTTGGACTATTATCAACTTAGTTTTAATACTATATAAAAGCTCTACTTCTGTAAGACTGTATGTTTCATTATCTTGTTATTATTACAAATTTTACCTTTATGCAACATGTGTCCATCAACATGGAGCTCCAATTATTGTTTTATGCAATTGGCTTTTAAATGATAAAAAAAGGAATCACAATCCAAAAATACACTGATATTGATGTTTATATTTAACTATAGAATTAACTCTACCAGTGTTCTTTATTTTCTCTTGTAGTTTTAGTCACCATGTAGTGTCCTTTTATCTCAGCCTGAAGATTTCTGTTTGTTTGTTTGTTTTTTGAGACTGAGTCTCACTCTATTGTCCAGGCTGGAGTGCAGTAGCACAGTCTCGGCTCACTGCAATTCCCACCTCCCAGGTTCAAGGAATTCTCATGCCTCAGCCTCCCGAAGAGCTGGGATTACAGGTGCCCACCACCACGCCCGACTAAATTTTGTATTTTTAGTAGAGGCGGGATTTCACCATGTTGGCCAGGCTGGTCTCGAACTCCTGACCTCAAATGATCTGCCCACCTCAGCCTCTCAAAATGCTAGGATTACAGGTGTGAGCCACTGTGCCTGACCTGAAGGTCTTTTTCTTTTCCTCTTCTTCTTTTTTTTTTTTTTTTTTTTTTGCATTTCTTTGTAATGCAGGTCTACTAGCAATAAACTATCCTAGTAATTGTTTATCTAGGAATGTCTTATTTCTCCTTTATTTTTGGAAAATATTCTTGCAGGATATAGTATTCTGGAGTAACAGCATTTTGTTTTTCCTTTCATAACATTGAATATATCATCTCACTGCCTTCTGATTTCAAAAGTTGCTGATGAGAAGTCAGTTGTTAATCTTACCGAAGATCCCTTGTACTTGATGAGTTGCTTTTCTCTTGCTTCTTTTTTTTTTTTGCTATGGATCAAACGTAACAAAAATGGTATAATAGGTACAATTCCAAGTCTTTCACATGTGTCCACATTACGTCAAAAATCTACAGAATTATAGATTAAGGAGGAATTAGATTCTTATTCAATATAGAAAATGTAAAATGTATGAATCATCAGAGCTATATAAACCCTCAAGAGTTGCTGGGATCATTGTTATCAAAGGTATCCAGATGAAGGCTAAATATGCTGTCACTTTCTGAGAAGAAAGTAGTTGGGATTCATGCCTCAGACTGGAGTAGTATAAAATGATCTGTGAGAGACATTCTGGTAATTGGTAGTCTCTGATACTTAGATGATGTAACTAGCAGTATGGAGGAGCTGAGTAATTGAGTAAAAGAGCTGACTATATTCGTCACTGTAAGCTATATTTTACTGCAATGAGAAACACACTCAAAATTTTAGTGTCTTACAATAGCAGATTCATTTCTCACCCACTTTCCAAACCTTCTGTTGGCAAGTTTTGGCTCTACTCTATGGCTTATTTTATTCAGTCTCACGTTGAAAGAGCAACCCTTATCTGAGGTATGAACAGATTTTTTCACGACAAAAAGAACAATGGTACGAATGCACCTCACCTCTTAACACTTCTACTTGGATGGGACATATGTCCCTTCCACTCACATGCCATTAGCCTAAAGTCACATGAATTAGTCTGACAGGAATATGGTAGGGATGATACTCTTTCCATTAGTATATGCCCCAGGGAAATAAACAAGGACTTGGTAGAGTGGGCAGAAAATATTTTGAACAAATAATACAAACTACCACAGTGACATACAACAATTTCACCAAGGATTGATTTTGTTATATGTGATATGCTTTTGTAATGTAAGCCCTTTTTCTAAATATCTCTCTTTAGAGTATCAGTGATTCTACCTTCAAGTGAATTAATTTGAGTTCCTCTGAAACATCAATGGCACAGAAGAAATTACAATTTTAACTGAGGCAAGAAGGTTAGAGAAAGCTGTTAGCTTCCAGTTTCAACCCCAGATTCAACAGAATAAGAATGTTTTAAAAACACTGTGAAGCAAATTTATTGCCCTGAGCTATCACAAGTCTTAGATAATTAGATTTTTAATTTTCCAAACAGCATTGTTATTGATTAACAACTTCAAGCCCCTTTTTTTCTGGTTTAAACTAGGTTTTATACCACAATTTTTGTTTTATTCAATCTTGGTCTTTGTCCTGTGGCGGGCTGGCTCTTTATTTAGTTCTGCCTGTTTAGCACTTGATTTTCTTTCTGTTTTGTCGCTAATACTCTTTACTCAAACATATTTCTAGTACGGCTTTATAGTCAACATTGCCTAGAATCAACACATGCTTTCAACTTAGGTTACCCAACTCCTACTTTATTCTGATTGAATAATCTACTTACCTCTAGTCATCAACGAAACCCCTTAATTTCTCAGCTACCAGTTTAGTCACTAGGTGGTGCTATGCCTTTATTGCTGGCCTAGGTTTAATTCTTTGGAATCATGTCACTGATTCTGCCACATTGGATGATTCTGGAAAATACAGTCTACCAGGAGAAGGAGGAAGGCTTGGAAACCAGGGAGTAGTTGGGAATAATGTGAAGATGTAGAAAAAAAATTGTGTTATTTATACAACAAGACCCTGGGAGAGGCTATGGTTGAGGGAATCCACTGTAAATGTTGAAGTGTCATTTTTGGAAAGAATAAAGGAAAACTGTGAAAGAGGAAGAAATTAGAAAGGAATGAGTGCTCTTGACGCAAATGTATCATGTGTAGTATAATAGTTGAAGGAGTTCATTCATAATGGCCTCACTTTTATCTGTGAATAAGGCTGAGAGTGAGAGGTTGATGGAGAACAAAAAACTTAGCTAAATGAACATTATTTGGAATATCCATTTCAAGACTTAAGAAGCTATTTAAAATAAAATAGATAGATAGATAGAATACAGAGCATTTAAAGCTGTTTAAAATAAGATATATATATATATGGAATATAGAGCACTAACCGGGGATTAACTGATATTTCAAGATCAAGAAATAAATCACAGAAATCAGAAAGGATATATCATCAATGCATACAATACTTTTCTGTAGAATGAAACCTAACATGTAGCTATGGGTTTATTTGGGGTATTTTAAGTTTACCTAATGTTAATATTATAATGTTTCTTGGTTTAACCATTTATTTTTAAACACTGGTAGTGCAAGGAAATAGAAATATAAAAGCTATGTCTTTAGCATTTTTACATCCCAAATCGAAAGAGAATCAATATAATCCACATTTAAATGAGTGGAAAGGGTACAACTTCACAAATATAAACTGGATTTGACAGTGAATGCCAGTGATATATTATTTCCTGTGGAGGATATTACAAAGTAATACTGTAGTGGTCTAAACGTGTGTTACTTTGTAACGCACTGTACTGGCTTCATTTATCTGTGTAATGAATAGAAAATCTACTTAAGCCACAGTGCCAAGATATGCTGTTTCTTTTATCTCAAATGCATTTTTTTATATAGCCTTCGTGATAATGTGGACAAACGTATTATAAACAAAAAGAATGTCTTTTATCCCAGAAAACACTTAGTCCATGCAGTGAAGCTACTAGCTGAGGTTTCTGTTTAGTTTTAAGAAGTTGAATATTTAAAATTCATGTCAACAATGAGGCAGTTAGACAAGTGATTTATAATCCCAGTAAGTAAATCCATACCCAGTGTAGTTTTATATGAAATATGAAAATGTAGAGGAATATGGAAAATTGTTTGATATATTACGTTCATAAGTAAGGTACTTCAGTGCGATGGCAAATTTTGTAATAAACTTTGGTCTTCTCGGATTTATGATGCAAAATCTTTTGTTTGAAATTTAGTTTTATTTTCAAATATCTATTATCCTCTTAGAATTTATTGGGATATTATTTTCTAAAAGGTGCTTGAAATCAAAGTAAAAATATAATAAGATAATGGGTCTAAAAACTGGGAATATAAAAATATAAAGATGTGCTAATTTAGATCATCGATTGGGAGAGAGCGGTGAGGGAATAAGCACTGTTAAAGTATTAATGTCAGCATAATATCTGATTCTTATACAATGTATCATGTTTATTCATGTCTTGTCAGATGCATTATGTGATTCAACGACTTGTGTGCATCAAGATTATATGACATCAAATAATAAAGCAGAAGGAGATGACCAATTGCATATTATATTCAGCACTATATATGCTTTCTTTTCAACATCGGGGCACCTCATAATCCAAAAGATGGACAGGGCATAAAATTCTAAAAGCAAGCAAATGCCCAGGAAGAAATTAGAACCTATAGATTTTTGCTGAAACTGATAAAATTTTTATTTAATTAGTGCTTGATATGGTTTGGCTGTGTCCCGACCCAAATCTCAACTTGAATTGTGTGCTTCTTCCTCATTTTCTCCTGCTTCCACCTACGTAAAAAGTACCTTTCGCCTCCCGGCATGATTCTGAGGCCTCCCTAGCCATGTGGAACTGTAAGTCCAATTAAAGCTCTTTTTCTTCCCAGTCTCCAGTATGTCTTTATCAGCAGCATGAAAACGGACTAATACAGTGCTGTTTCAAACTACCTTGGTTACATGCATAAATACAGTTAAAAAAAGTTCTATATTTAAAAGCCTGTCCTTTATGTTCAGAGAAAAAAATAATATGCTCGTAAACACATCTAGTCATGGGGCTAGATCTACACTGCAAATTTTACTTTTACATACTTGGCTTTGATTGATGACCCTAGAATTTCATCCTATTTAAACACACATGCACTCACACATTCAACTCAAATCTTGGGTATGAATTGATTAGTCATTGACTTTGCTCAGTAAATAGGTACTTATGCATTGCTTCAGCTTTTCAGCTAAGATCTAGTGTAGAAAATAAGGTAATTACAAAGCACTAGGTCACAACTACCAGATTACTGATATTAGCATTTTGTGAGTCAAGGAGAATAATATAAATATTTTAAGTTTATATATTTATAAAATGGAAAAAATATCTACTTCCTGTAAAAGTCACAAGTAAAGGGGACAGATAATAACACATATATGAAATATATTGGCTGGGTGTGGTGGCTTATGCCTGTAATCTCAGCACTTTGGGAGGCTGAGGCGGGCAGATAACTTGAGGTCATACGTTCAAGACTAGCCTAGCCAACATGGTGAAGCCCCTGTCTCTATTAAAAAAATACAAAAATTATCCCAGTGTGGTGACACATGCCTGTAGTCCCAGCTACTCCAGAGGCTGAGGCATGAGAATTGCTTCAACCCGGGAGGCGGAGGTTGCAGTGAGCCAAGATCATACCACTGCACTCCAGCATGGGCGACAGAGCAAAACTCCATCACAGAAACATACATACACACACACACACACACACACACACACACACAGAGAGAAATATATTAAGCAGAGAAAGACTTCAGTAAATTATAAGAATAATAACAATTTTATAGGTGGGCACCCTTTAAGTGGAAATGTACTCTTGAAAAGTGATTTAAAAGTTTTTCAAATATCTTTAGGGTACTATTGGAAATAAAGGGGTAAAAGGGGATTGGAGAGATGAAAATATTTTGAAAGTGGAACACCTTGGAATGTAAAATCTTCCTCTTTTACATAAAGCTTTAAAAATTGTTTCTACAATTTCTATTAAAGTATGGGTCTTTCATGATGTTAAATTAACATTGGGAAAAGGGCTTTGTTCAAAAGGGAAAAATAATAACAAGGCCGGGGTAGTCAAAGGTTCATAGTTTTCTAATTAGATTATATTATAATAAATAACACACCAATCATGCTTTTGCCTTACAACCTTTACACTCACTCATTCCACTGCTAAAAAATTATCTTCTCTGATATTTATATGATGCATTCCCTCATTTTATTCATGTCTCTGCTCAATGTCCCCCATTTTCTTATTGGAGTTTTACAGTGTTAGTTCATCTATTTAGTTCTTTAATTCATTTTAAGTGAATTTTTGTATATGGTGTAAGACACGTGTTCAACTTCATTCTTTTAGATGTGGATATCCAGTTTTCCAAGCATCATTTGTTACAGATGATGATAGGTAGATAAATAGATAGACAGAAAGATATTTATACACACACACACATATACGCATAGATACAAAGATATTTATACACACATATATGCATATATATGCACACATATATAATAAGTAATATACCTACACTTCTCTATTCTTTACATACAAATATCTACCTGTTTTACATTTCTCCGTTGTATTTATTACTATCCAACAAAATAAATGTTTTGGTGTTTCTTGTTTGACCCAACCCAACAAGAATGTAAGCTCTAAGAGAACAAGAAAATATGTGTATGCATAATAACCAATGTGTATCATATCTATATTTCAGGCTCTATCTAGCTGTCTATATAGCTATCTATAATCATCTAACATCTCTCACTCTCTCTGTTCCTATTAATATCTTTGTCTCTATTTCAGTAGTACAATATTAATTTTAGATTCATCTTGCTTATTGTAACTTTTTTCTCTGGCTCTCATGATCTACAATATATGTTCAATTTGCTTATCACTAGTAATGTTGTAAAAAGTTCCACAATCTGTCAGTGGTATTCCTTTGGGAAAAGAAATAGACAACTAAAGTACATCATGTTTACAGGTCCTTTTGTCTTTATTTAGCCTTTACAGTATTCAATCAAACAGAAGGGTCCATTTTTCTCCCCAAATTTCTTTCTTCAATTCTTCGTAGTTAGCTGCTCCTCCAACCACAAACAATGGTTACCACCGATCTGTGCTCCATAACTACAGTTTTAATTTTTTGAAAATGTCATACAAGTAAAATCATGTGATATGCAGTCTTTTGATTGGCTTCTGTATTAGTCCGTTTTCACACTGCTATAAAGAACTTTCCTGAGACTGGGTAACTTATAAAGGAAAGAGGTTTAATTGACTCATAGTTCCATATGGCTGGGGAGGCCTCAGGAAACTTACAATCATGGTGGAAGGCAAAGGAAAAACAGGTACATTTTTCACAAGGTGGCAGGAGAGACAGAGAAGGAGAAACTGCCAAACACTTGTAAAACCATCAGATCTCATGAGAACTCAGTATCACAAGAACAGCATGGGGGAAACCTCCTGCCAGTTCCCTACCTCAACACCTGGGGATTACAATTCAAGATGAGATTTGTTTGAGGACACAAAGCCGAAGTATATCAGCTTCTTTCACTAAGCAAAGAGCATTTTAAAGTCACTGATCTTGTCGCATGTATCAATAGTTCATTCTTGATTATTGTTTGAGTAGTATTGCATTGCATGGGTGTCTGACAATTTGGACATGTGTTTAGAGTTTGAAGGACATTTGACTTGTTTACAGTTTTTGGCAAATATAAGTAAACCTGATATAAACAAATATATTTGATTTTGTGTAATCAAATGTTTCATTTCTGTTGGGTAAATACTAAAGAGTGTGATGGACGGGCCATATGACAAGTGTATGATTACCTTGAAAAAAAACTGAAAAACTACTTTTCAAGATGGTTGTACCTAGAGTCTTTGTGATAGACCTTTTGGGGATATTCTATATAAGCAATTATGCCATCTGCAAATATGGACAATTTTTTTCTGTCCATTTTGCATGTTTTTCCTTCCTTTTCTTACTTTATTGCATTGCAAGCCCTATTAATATGATGTTGACTAGCAGTGGGAAGACTGAACATCCTTACCTTGTTCACAACACTACATGGAAACCAGATTTTCAACATTAAATATGATGTCACCTATCAGTATTTTTTTGTGCCACTTAGGTTAATCAATTTCCCTCTGTTCCTTGTTTGAAAAGATTTTTGTTAGGTTAGGAAAGTATTTTGGATTTTGTCAAATGCTTTTTTCCCTTTGCATCTTCTGAAATAATCATATTATTCTTTTTTAGGCTGTTGAGATTGTGATTGACATTGATTGACTTTAAGTACCGAACCAACTTTACATTTTCATGATTTATTATCTTTTTTGCATATTGCTAGATTTACATTTCTAATATTAAGTTTAAGATGTTTCCTTCTATGTTTTTATGATGGATATGAGTGGGTATGTTTTTTCTTTTCTTGTAGTATCTATGCTTGCTTTGCTACCAAGATAATGCTGATCTCAAAAAATGAGTAGGAAAGTAGTGCTTCCTCTTATATTGTCTGGAAAGAATCATGTAGAGTTGATATTTTTTCCTTAAATATTTGGTAGAATTCAACTAGGCCCAGAGTTTTCTTTCTTTTTTAATTATAATATTAATTTTTGTGGGTACATAGTAGGTTTATATACTTATGGTGTACATGAGATGTTTTAATACAGACATGCAATGCACAGTCATATTATGTAAAATGGGGCATCCATATCCTCAAGCATTCATCATTTGTATTAAAAACAATCCAATTATAATATTTTAGTTATTTTAAAATATACAATTAATTTATTTTGACTGTAGTCACTCTGTTGTGCTATCAAATACAAGGTCTAATTCATTTTTTCTAACTATTTTTTGTACCCATTAAGCATTCCCATTCTATTACCAACCCCAATTCTCCTTCCCAGCCTCTGATACCCATCCTTCTACTCCCTATCTCCATATGTTCAATTGTTTTCATTTTTAGCTCCCACAAATAAGTGAGAACATGTGATGTTTGTCTTTCTGTGTCTAATTTATTTCACTTAACATAATGACCTCCAATTCCATCCATGTTGTTGAAAATGATAAGATTTTGGAGATGGGGATGTTTGGTGAAGATCGTCTACTAGAAGCAGCTAGGGTGTGCCTCTCTCATGGAGAGGAAAGGGAGGGGTGAGTAAATACAGCAGCTTCAACTAAAACATCCAGATACACACATTGGGACTAATCAAGGAAACAATTAAACCCGTTGAAAACGGAGAAAAGCAAGGCAGGAAGGAAGCTGCCCACTTGGGAGCAACACAGAGCCAGGGGAACCTCCCCATTCCAGGGAAGCAGTAAGTGAGTGAGCAACCTGGGAACCCACACTTCTCTCGCAGATCTTTGCAACCTTCAGGTCAGGATATCTCCTCATAATCCACTCTACCAGGGCCTTCAGTCTGACATGGAGAGCTACATGGAGTCTTGGCAGAGCAGCCATTCAGGCATAGGCAGAACCCGGTGGGGCTCAGATACCCAGACTTTCTGGCAAAAGCAGCGGCAACTTCAGCAAAACGAGAAGTTAAAGCCCTGTACATACCCCTAAAAAATAAGATAAATCCAGGGAGCTAAACAGCAGTGATCTGAAAACTCCACTTCCATGGCACCTTGCAGGATAAATCCACTGGCTTAGAATTCCAGACAGCCACCATTAGCAGTGTTACACCTCTCTGAAAAAAAAACTCTCAGGGGAAGGGGCAGGCCACCATCTTTGCTGTTTCACATCCTTAGTTATTGTTGCCTTAGGACTCTAGAAATTTGGAGGCAACCAGGGACTGGAGAGGACGCCAAGCACAGCCCAGCAGTTCTATGAAGAAGTGGTCAGACTGCTTATTTATGGAGATCCATAATCTTGTTTTCCTGCACAGGGCAGCATCTCCTGACCAGGGTCTCCAGTCACCTCGCCAGTGTTTTCTGGCCAGCAGTAGTACCAAACCTCCCTGGGATGAAGCTCTCAGAGGCAGGGGTGGGCCACCATCTTTGCTCTTTAGCCATTCTTTCCTTTGGGCTTTAGAGAGTCAAAGTGACTGGGGCTGGAGCGGATCCCAAGCACAGCAGAGCTGCTCTACAAAAAAAAGCAGCCAGACTTTTTAAATGGGTCCCTGATTCCCATTTCTCTTCCCAGGGTGGGTTCTCCTGACTAGGGTTTCCTGCCACATATGTAGGTGCATTCCTGCCAGTAACAGGTTTATGCCTCCCTGAGACTGAGCTTCCAGAGGGAGGGGTAAGCCACCATCTTTACTGTTTTTCAGCCTTCACTGTTGATATTTTCGGGTACTAGAAAATCCAAGGTAACTAGAGACTGGAGAGGACCCCCAGGATACCACAGCAGCCCTGTGGAAAATTAACCAGACTGTTATGTGGTGCCTGTTCCCATATCTCCTCACCAGGCATGTGTATCCTCCAGGTCTGGGCCTCCAACCACCCCCTACTGGGGCTATGGAGCCAATAACAGCTCTGCAACTCCCTGGACAGAGCTCCCAGTGGGAGGTGTGAGTTGCTATCTTTGTTGCTTTGCATCCCTTTCTGTTGCTATCTCCAGGCTCTGGAGCGTCTGGAGGGAGCAGGGGCTAGTTCAGACCCCAGCACAGTGTAACCATCTCACATGAAAGTGGACAGACTGTTCTCCACGCAGATTCTGGTCCTTACTTCTCACTGGACAGGGCTGCCCAACGTGGGACTCCAGCACAACCACCCTGCCACCACCTGTTCACTACAATCAGAGGCATCTCAGAATTTCTCAGAGGAGAAAATCCCAGAGTAAACCCACAACCCCTCTGCCACTATAGTCGCAGTGGTACAGCCCTAACAGCCCTTGGGCTGGGGAAGGAATAAAGGCTCTAGTCATTATGCTGGCACCTCCAGCATACCATAGCCACTATCTGGAGAGGAGTCTAGCACCCTTTCCCTGGAAACCCCTATCCCCCACTATTCACCAGGCAGGGCCTCCAGCCCATGACTGCAGGACATGCTCCCACCCATGGCTGAACATACCCACATGTAGTGGCCCAGAGTTTTCCTGGGGAGAGGCTACCAGAGGCATATGACAGCCTCTCTGCCACTGCCACAACAACAGTTCTATCCCAGCTGCCCATTGTCTGGGAAAGAAACAAAGAGCCTGAAGGTTACACCCAACCTTACAACATGTCACAGTTACCATATGAAGAGGAGACCAATCTCTCCTCCCTGTGAGATTTCAACCCCCTGCTCCACAATAAGCAGAAAACCAAGCTTTTGCCAGCACTGCAGCTACCCCACCCCACTGGCTGAGCACTCCCGGTAACAGTGGCTCTGTGTTTCTCAGAGGTGGAGCATCCAGGGGTAAACAAAGCCTCTCTGCTGCTGTCTCTGCAATGGAACTGTCTTTGATATCCTCAGACTAACAAAGGAGGAAAGACACTAAGTGCCTTATCCACACCTCCAACAAGCTGCAGTTGACCCAAGGAGAGGAGACCAGTCTGGTCCTACCAGTCTCCAGTCTCATGATCCTACCCCATCCCCACTGACTCTGCTTGTCACCACGTAGGAAATCCCTGGCTTGGGTCCACAACACAGACCCTCCATCCTGGACTGACAGCACGGAGCAATTGCTGACCTGCATCTCTCTGGGGTGGAGCCCCCAGGAGATAAACAAAAGACCCTTGGCCACAACCAATACAAAGATTCCTTCTTCTGCGGCCTTCACGCTGGGGAGGGAACGTAAATCCTGAGATTTCCCCGGAGCTGTTGTGGGCAGGCTGGAAGTTCTAAGCAATGATTTACTGCCAGCATTTAAGTGCGAGAGGAGTGCACACTTTCATAGCATCGAGAGGGAACATGGCTGCAACAGTGAGGAAATACAAGGGAGCCACAGGAATGAGCAAGAGCCCACCAACTGACCACTGTAGTAAGCATCATTTACTGGATACCATCCTAAAGCTTCAAGACCAAAAGTACTTCACAAACATAGCCCCCTGTGAAACAAAACACATTAAGTCAGCTACAAAAAAGGACCTGCCCAAAGCTTTGGCCCTGTGAAAACATCCAAAAAGGAAGTCTATTGATTGTATTCAATGCACACTGCAATTAAAGGAAAACCCATAAAGAGAGATGAGAAAGAACCAACACAAGAACTTCAGTAACTCAAATGGTCAGAGTGTCTTATGTCCTCCAAACGGTCTCACTAGTTTTCCAACAAAGGTTCTTAACTAGGCTGAGTTGGCTGAATGACAGAAATATAATTCAGAATATGGACAGGAATTAAGATTATTAAGATTCAGAAGAATGGCATAACCCAATTCAGGGAAACTAAGAATCACAAAATCATGATAAAATGAAACAGGAGCTGAAAGACAAAATAGGCAGAAAAAAGAAAAACAAAACAAATACATCTGATAGAGATGAAAAACACACTACAAGAATTTCACAATGCAATCACAAGTTTTAACAGCAGAATAGATCAAACTGAGGAAAGAATCTCAGAAATTGACAACTGGCTCTCTGAAATAAGACAGTCAGACAATCACAAAGAAACAAGAATGAAAATGAATGAACAAAACCTTCAAGAAATATGGGATTATGAAGAGGCCAAATGTATGAACGACTGGCATCACTGAAAGGATGGAGAGAAAGAAAACAACTTGGAAAACGTATTTCAGGATATTGTCTATAAAAACTTCTGCAACCTTGCTAGAAAGGCCATAAGTCAAACTCAGAAAATATGGAAAACTGCAAGATTCTACACAAGAAAATCATCATCAAGACACATAGTCATCAGATATTTCAAGGTAGACATGAAAGAAATAATGTTAAAGGCAGCTAGAAAGAAAAGACATTTCACCCGCAATGGGAATGTCTTCAGGCTAACAGTGGGACTCTCAGCAGAAACTCTACAAGCCAGAAAAGATTGGGAACTTATATTCGACATTCTTAAAGAAATAAAATCTTCAACTCATAATTTCAAATGCAGCTAAACTAAGCTTCCGAAGTGAAGGAGAAATAAGGTCCTTTTCAGATAAACAAATGTTGAGGGAATTTATTACACCAGACCTGCCTTACAAGAGATCTTTAAAGTAGCAATATACACAAAAATGGTTGACCATGACCAGCCAACCCAAACACACACTTAAATACACAGACCAGTGACACTATAAAGTAACAACACAAACAAATGGCATAATTATCAGCTAACAACAGAATGACAGGATCAAATCCACAAATGTCAATACTAACCTTGAATATAAATGAACTAAATGTCCCACTTAAAATGCACAGAGTGACAAGCTGCATAAAGAACCAAGACCCATTGTATGCTGTCTTTAAGAAACCCATCTCCCATGTAATAACACCTATAGGCTCAAAATAACAATATGGAGGAAAATTTACCAAGCAAATGGAGATCAGACAAAAGCAAGGATTTGATCCTAATTTCAGACAAAACAGTCTTTAAACTAACAAAATTAAAAATAGGCAAATAAGAACGTTACATAATGGTAAAGGTCTCAATTCAAAGAGAAGACCTAACTATCCTATATATATATGCACTCAACACAGGAGCACACAGATTCACAAAGCAAATTCTTAGAGACCTTTAAAAAGATTTAGACTCCTACGCAATAATAGCATTATATTTTGACACTCCACTGACAGTGTTAAACAGATTACTAAGACAGAAAGTTTACAAGGATATTTAGAACTTGAACACAACTTTGGACCAAGTGGGTCTGATAGACCCCTACCTAACTCTTCACCAGGAAAACAACAGAATATACATTCTTCTCATAGCCACATGTCACACACTCTAAAATTGACCACATAATTGTACATAAAACAATTCTCAACAAATACAATAGAACTAAAAGCATATTAAACACTCTTAGAAAACAATGCAGTAAAAATAGAAGACTAAAAAAAAATCACTGAAAACCATACAATCACAGAAATTAAACAACTTGCTCCTAAATGGCTTCCAGGTAAATAATGAAATTGAGGCAGAAAGCAAAAAGTATTTTGAAACTAATGAGAATACAGACACAACATACTTGAATCTCTGGGACACAGCTACAGCAGTGATAAGAAGAAAATTCATAGCACTAAATGCCCTCATCAAAAAGTTGGAAAGATCTTAACTTAAGAACCTAACACCACAACTGAAATAATTAGAGAAGCAAGAGCAAACCAACCCTAAAGCTATCAGAAGACCAAAACCAAAAATCAGAGCTGAACTGAAGGAGATTGAGACACAAGAATATATTCAAAACATCAATGAAGACAAGAGTTAATTTTTTGAAAAGATTCATAAGATAAACCACTATCTACACTAGTAAAGAATAAGCCAAGAGTTAATTTTTTGAAAAGATTAATAAGATAAACCACTACCTAGACTAGTAAATAAGAAAAGATAGAAGATACAAATAAACATAATTAGAAATGACAGATAAGATGTTACCACTGACCACACAAAAATACAAATAACCATCAGAAACTACTAAGAAATCACTATGCACACAAACTGGAAAACCTGGAAAGGGTGTATAAATTCCTAGACACACTCTCAAAGACTGAACTAGGAAGAAATTGATTCCCTGTACAGACCAATAGTGACCTCTGAAATTGAATAAATAATAAATAGCCTACCAACCAATAAAAAAGCCCAGGACCAGATGGATTCACAGACAAATTTTACCAGATGTAAAAAAGAAGAGCTGCTACCATTCCTACTGAAAGTATTTAAAAAAATCGAGAAGAGATTCCTCCCCAATTCATTTTATAAGGCCAGCATCATCCTGATACAAAAACCTGGCAGAGACACAACAAAAAAATAGAAAACTTCAGGCCAATATCTTTGATGAACATCAATGCAACAATCCTGAACAAAATAGTGGCAAAATGAATCTAGTAGCACATCAAAAAACTAATCCACTACAATCAAATAGGCTTTACCCCTGGAATGGAAGGTTCATTCAACATACAAAAATCAATAAATGTGACTCATCATATAAACAGAACTAAAGAAAAAACTCAATTGATTATCTAAACAAATGCAAAAAAGGCATTTGACAAAATTCAACACTTCTCTTAAAAACTCTCAATAAATGAGGTATTGAAGGAATGTACCTACCTCACAATAATAAGAGTAATATATGACAAATGCACAGGTAACATCATACTGAATGGGAAAATGTGGGAAACATTCCCCTTGAAAACTGGCACAGGACAAGGATGCCATCTCTCACCACTACTATTCAACATAACATTGGAAGCCCTGCCCGGAGCAATTAAGCAAGAGAAAGAAATAAAGCGCATGCAAATAGAAAGAGAGGAAGTTGAACTATCCCTGTTTGCAGATGACATAATTTTATCTCTAGAAAACAGGGTAGTCTCAGCCCAAAAGCTACTGAAGCTGATAAACAACTTCAGCAAAGTTTCCAGATAAAAAAATGAATATCCAAAAATTATAGCATTCCTATACATCAACAAAAGTGAAGCCGAGAACATAGTAATAGAATCCAATTCAGAATGGCCACAAGAAGAATAAAATACCTAGGAATTCAACTAACTGAGGTGAAAGACCTCTCAAATGAGAAGTACAAAACACTGCTCAAAGAAATCGGAGATGACACAAACAAATGGAAAGCCATTTTATGCTCATAGATAGGAATAGTCAATGTTATTAAAATGGCCATACTGCCAAAAGCAATTTACAGATTCAATGCTATTCCTATCAAACTACCAATGACACTCATCACAAAACTAGAAAAAAAAACTATTTTAAAACTCATATGGAACCAAAAAAGAGCCTGAATAGCCAAAGCAACCCTAGGCAAAAAGAACCAAGCTGGAGGCATCATACTACCCTATTTCAAACTACACTACAGGGCTACAGTAACTAGAACAGCATGGGACTGGTATTAAAAACAGACACAGATAACAACTGGACAGAATAGAGAGCACGGAAATAAGGCCACAGACCTACAACCATCTGATCTTTAACAAAGCCGAGAAAAAAGCAATGTGGAAAGGACTCCCTATTCAATAAATGGTGCTGAGATAACTGGCTAGCAATATGTGGAAGACTGAATGTAGACTCCTTCCTTAAACCATATACAAAAATCAACTTAAGATATATTAAAGACTTATGTATAAAGCCCAAAACTATAAGAACCCTGGAAATCAATCTAGGCAATATTATTCTAGACATAGGAATGAGCAAAGATTTCATGACACGGATGCCAAAAGCAATTGCAACAAAAGCAAACATTGACAAATAAGATTTAATTCAACTAAAGAGCTTCAGCACAGCAAAAGAAGCCATCTACAGAGTAAACAGACAACCTACACAATGAGAGAAA
The DNA here is from genome assembly GCF_000001405.40 of Homo sapiens. Lineage (NCBI taxonomy): Eukaryota > Metazoa > Chordata > Mammalia > Primates > Hominidae > Homo > Homo sapiens. The sequence goes on from NC_000023.11 coordinate 126,012,178, forward strand.
ATATTGGCAAACTATACATCTGTTAAAGGTTTAATTTCCAGCATTTATAAGTAATTTAAACAAATTTCCAAAAAAAAAACCCAAACAACCCCATTACAAAGTGAACAAAAGAACATGAACTGACACTTTTCAAAAGAAGACATACATGAGGCCAACAATCATATGAAATGAAAGCTCAATATTACTAATCATTAATGAGCTACTATCCTACACCATTGAGAATGGCTATTATTAAAAAGTCAAAAATAACAGATGCTGGCAAGGTTGCAGAGAAAAGGGAACACTTATTCACTGTTGTTGGGAGTGTAAATTAGTTAAACCATTGTGGAAATCAGTGTGGCAATTTCTCAAAGAGCTAAAAACAGAACTACAATTCAACCCAGCAGTCCCATTACTGGTTATACACCTGGGGAATATAAATTATTCTACTGTAAAGATACATGCATGATAATTTTTATTTTAACACTATTCACAATAGCAAAGATATGAAATGAACGTAAGTGCCCATCAATAACAGATTGGATTAAAAAACTGGTACATATACACCATGGAATACTGTGCAGCTATAAAAAGAATTATATTATATCTTTCATGAGAACATGGATGGAACTGGAGGCCATTATCCTTAACAAACTAATGCAGCAACAGAAAACCAAATACTACATGGTCTCACTTACAAGTAGGAGCAAAATCATGAGAACTCATGGACACAAAGAAAGAAAAAACAGACACTGTGACCTAGTAGAGGGTAGAGAATGGAAAGAGGGAGATGCACAGAAAAAAAAGCTATTGGGTACTAGGCTTAGTACCTGGGTGACAAAATAATTTGTACACTCCCGTGACATGAGTTTACCTAGAGCAATTCTGCACATGTACCTCTGAACCAAATATAAAATTTTTTAAAAAGCAAAATCAGTTTACAGGAATAAAAAATAAGAAATAAAAAGAAAAAAATGGTAGGATCCCTTTTTTTCATGGCTGAAGGGTACTCCACTGTGTGTGTGTGTGTGTGTGTGTGTGTGTGTGTGTGTGTGTGTGTGTATATAAATTTTCTTTATCCATTCATCTGTTGATCAACACTTGGGTTACATCCAAATCTTGGCTATTGTGAATAGCACTGTAATAAACATGGGCATGCAGACATCTCTTCAATATACACATTTCCTTTCTTCTTGGTACATACCTAGCAGTGAGATTGCTAAATCCTATAGGATCTCTATTTTTAATATTTTGATCAACTGTTCTCCATAGTGGTTGTAGTAATTTACATTCCCACCAATAGCGTTGAAGGTTCCCCTTTCTTCACATCTTCACCAGCACTGTTAATTGCCTGTCTTGGATAAAAGCCGTTTTACCTGGGGTGAGATGATATCTCATTTCAGTTTTTATTTGCATTCTCTGATGATCAATAATGTTGATAACTTTTTTATATATCTGTTTGCCATTTTTATGTCATCTTTTGAGAAATGTCTATTCAGATCTTTTGCCAATTTTAAAATCTGATTATTAGATATTTTCTTGTAGAGTTGTTTGAGCTACTTATATCTTCTGGTTGTTAATCCTATATCAGATGGGTAGATTACAAAGATTTTCTCCAATTCTGTAAGTTGTCTCTTTACTTTGTTGATTGTTTTTGTTGTTGTGCAGAGGCTTTCTAACTTGATGTTTTCCATTTGTTCATTTTTGTTTTGGTTGCCTGTGCTTGTGGGATATTACTCAAAAAATATTTTCCCAGATGGATATCCTGGAGCTTTTTCAAGATGTTTTCTTATAGTAGTTTAATAGTTTCAAGTATTAAATTTAAATCTTTAATACATTTTGATTTGATTTTTTATATGGTGAGAGATAAGGGCCTACCTTTATCCTTTTTCATGTGGATATCTAGTTTCCCAGCATTATTTATTTAAGAGACAGTCTTTCCCCTTAAGTATGTTCTTGGAAGCTTTGTCAAAAATGAGTTAACTGTAGATGTATGGATTTTTTTCATGGGTTTTGTATTCTGTTTCATTCGTCTATATGTGTGTTTTTATACAGGTACCATGCGGTTTTTATTGCTATAGCTCTGTAGTATAATTTGAAGACAGGTAATGTGATTCCTCCAGTTTTATTCTTTTTGCTCAGGATAGCTTTGGCTATTCTGGTCTTTTGTGATTCCATATAAATTTTAGGATAGTTTTTTCTATTTCTGTGAAGGATGTCATTGGTATTTTGGTGGGTATTTCATTGAATCTGTAGATTGCTTTGTGTTGTATGGATATTTTAATGATATGGCCTCTTCCAATCCATGAACATGAAATATATTTCCATTTTTTGCCTCCTTCAATTTTTTTTATCAGTGTTTTATAGTTTTTAATATACAGACCTTTTAATTCTTTGATTATATTAATTCCTAGGTATTAAATTTTATTCATGGCTATTGTAAATGGAAATTTTTAGATTTCTCTTTCAGATTTTTTAGTGTTGGCATGTAGAAATGCTATTGATTTTCGTACCTTGGTATTGTATACTGAAACTTTACTGAATTTGTTTATCAGTTCCAATAGCTTTCTTGTGGAGTCTTTAAATTTTTTCAAATATAAGGTCATATCATCTGCAAGCAAAGATAATTGGATTTCTTCGTTTCCAGTTTTGATGCCCTTTATTTCTCTTGTCTGATTGCTCTAGCTAGGACTTCTAATATTGTGTTAAATAACAGTGGTGAAAGTGGGAATCTTTGTCTTGTTCCATATGATAAAGAAAAGGCTTCAGTTTTTCCCAATTCACTATGATACTATCTGTGGGTCTGTTATATATGGTCTTTATTATGTTGAGATGTATTGCTTTTATACCCAGTTTTTTAGGGTTTTTCATAAAAGCATTCTGAATTTTTTTCAAGTGCTTTTTCAGTATCAATTGAAATGAGCATATGGTTTTTGTACTTCATTCTGTTGACATGATGTGTCACATTGATCGAATTGCATATGTTGAACCATCCTTGTATTTCTGAAATGAATACCACATCATCATGATGATTGATACTTATAATGTGTTGTTGAATTTGCTTTGCTAATATTTTGCTGAGGATTATTACCCCAATATCGATCAGTTGTATTGGTCTTTATTTTTTATTTATTTATTTTTTGATGTGTCTTTTTCTGCTTTTGGTATCAGGTTAACACTGGCCTCATAGAATAAGTTTGGAAGTAGTCCTTCTTCCCCTATTTTTGTAATAGTTTGAGTAGAACTGGTATTATTTCTTCCTTAAATGTTTGGCAAAATTCAGCAGTGACATTTGGTCCTGGGCTTTTACTGGGAGAGTTTACTGAGAAAAGTTTTATTACAGCTTTGATTTCATTACTTGTTATTGTTCTGCTCATGGTTTGGATTTCTTCATGATTCAATCTTGGTAGGTTGTGTGTGTGAGGAATGTATCCCTTTTCTCTAGATTTTTCCAACACATTGGCATATATTTGTTCATAGTAGCCACAAATTATGCTTTGAATTTCTACAGTATCAGTTGTAATGTCTACTTTTTCATCTCAGATTTTATTTATTTGGATCTTCTCTCTTTTTTTATTAATCTGGCTAAAGGCTTAGTTTGCCAATTGTACTTACCTTTTCCAAAGGGCAACTTTTCATTTAGTTGATTTTTTATATTGTTTTCTTCATGTCAGTTTTATTTATTTATGCTCTGATATTTGTTATATTGTTTCTTGTACTAATTTTGGGTTTGGTGTGCTCTAGCTTTTGTAATTCTTTAAGAAGATGCATTATTAGGTGATTTATTTGAAATTTTTAAATGCAGGCACTTTGAGCTATAAATTTTCCTCTTAGTAGTGCTTTTGCCTTATCATATAGCTTTTGATATGCTGTATTTCCATTATCAATTGTTTCAAAAATTTTTTCAACTTCCCTCTTAATTTATTCATTGACCCACTGGTATTCCAGAAACACATTTATAAATTTCCATGTATTTGTACGGTTTCCAAAATTCTTGTTATTGATTTCTAATTTGTAGTCAAAGAAGATGCCTGACACTATTTCAATGTTTTGAATGTTTTATTACTTGTTTTGTGACTTAACATATGGACTATTTATGAGAATGATTATATGTTACTGTACTGAGGAGACGAATGTGTATTCCACAGTCATTGGATAACATGTTCTGTAAATATCTGTTAAGTCCATTTCATCTGTAGTAGAGATAAAGTCTGATGTTTCTTTGTTGATTTTCTGCCTGAAAAATCTTTCCAATGCTGAAAGTAGAATGTTGAAATCTCCAGCCATTATTCTTCTGAGGTGTATCTATGTCTTTAACTCCAATAATATTTGTTTTATATATCTGAGTGCTCCAGTATTGGGTGCATATATATTTATATTTGTTATATTATTTTCCTGAATTGATACCTTGATCATTCTATGATGACCTTCTTAGTCTCTTCTTACACTTTTTGTCTTGAAATCTATTTTACATGATATAAGAATAGGTCCTACTGCTCTTTGTTGGTTTTCATTGGCATGGAATAACTTTATTCATCCCTTTAGTTTTAGACTATGTGTGTCTTTATAGGTACAGTGTGCTTATTGTAGGCAAGATATTTTTGGGTCTTAGTTTTTAATTCATTCAGCTAATCTATATCTTGTTATTGGAGAGTTTAGTCCATTTACCTTCAATGTTATTATTGATAAATAAAGACTTACTGCTGTCATTTTGTTATTTGTTTTCTGGTTGTTTTGTGGTCTTCTCTTACTTCTTTTCTTCCTTCCTGTCTTCCTTTCAGTGAAGGTGATTTTTTCTGTTAGTATAATTTAATTTCTTGTTTTGTATTTTTTGTGCATTTGTTGTAAGATTTTTTTATTTGAGGTTACTATGAGGAATAAAAATGCTATCTTATAACCCAATATTTTAAACTGATGACAATAACACATCTTGCATGAACAAACAAAAACAGAAAAAATAAAACCTCTACACTTTAACTTTATCCTCCCACTTTTTAACATTTGTTGTTTTCTTTATGTTTTAGTGTACTGTCTATGTCTTGAAAAGTTGTAGTTATTATTTTTGATTGGTTAGTATCTAGTTTTGGTAATTAAAATAAGAGTAGCTTACACACCACAATTAGAGTGCTATAATATGCAGTGTTTTTTTGTGTGTTAATTATTACCAATGTCTTTTGTACCTTACAAAGATTTCTTTTTTTTTAACTTTTATTTTTAGTTCAGGGGTACATGTGCAGGATGTGAAGGTTTGTTACATAGGTAAACGTGTGTCATGGGGGTTGGTTGTACAGGTTAATTCATCACCCAGGTATTAGACTTAGTAGCCATTGTTATTTTTCCTACTTCTCTTCCTCCTTCCACCCTCCACATTCCGATAGGCTCCAGTGTGTGTTGTTCCCCTCTATTTGGCAAATACTGCATGTTCTCACTTATAAGTTGGAGATAAATGCTCAAATGATTTCTTATTGCTCATTACCACCTTTTATTTTTCAGAATGAAGATCTTCTTTTAGCATTTCTTAAATAACAGGTCTGGTGTTGATGAAATCTCTCAGATTTTATTTGTCTTGGAAAGTCTTTCTTTATCTTTTATGCATGTAGGATATTTTTGCTGGATATACTATCCTAGGGCAAAAGATTTTTGTTGTTGTTGTTGTTGTTGTTGTTGTTGTTGTTTCCATCAGCACTTTAAGGATGTCATGCCACTCTTCTTCTGGCCTGTAAGGTTTTCACTGAAATGGCTGCTGCTAGACATATTAGAACCTTCTCATATGTTATTTTTTTTCCTCTTGCTGCTTTTAGGATCTTTCTTTATCCTTGAAATTTGGGAGTTGTATTATTAGATGCCTGAGGTAGTCTTATTTGGGTTAAATTTGCTTGGTGTTCTATAAGCTTTGTGTACTTGGATATTAATATCTTTTTCTAAGTTTGGGAAGTTCTCTGACATTATTAATTAGAATAATCTTTCGACCTCTATCTTTTTATCTACTTCCTCTTTAAGGTCAGTAACTCTTAGATTTGTTTTTTGAAGCTGTTTTTCTGGCGCGATTCATTCTTTTATTTTCTATTTTATTTTGTTTCCTCTGACTGTGTATTTTCAAATAGCCTGTCTTCAAGCTCACTAATTCTATCTTCTGCTTGATCAATTATGCTATTAAGAGACTGTGATTTATTCTTCAATGTGTCAATTGCATTATTCATTTCTGGAATTTCCACTTGATTTTGTTTAATTGTTTCAGTCTCTGTAAATTTTATCTAATAAAATTCTGAATTCCTTTTCTGCGTTATCTTCAATTTCTTTGAGCTTCTTCAAAACAGTTATTTTGAAGTATCTGTCTTAAAGAGTATATGTCTGGGTTTCTCCAGTATTGGTGCTGGTGCCTTATTTAGTTTGTTTGGTGAAGTAATCCTTACCTGACTGGCCTTGATGCTTGTAGATGTTTGTCAGTGTCTGAGCATTGAAGAGTTAGGTATTTATTGTTGTTTTTACTATCTGGGTTTTTCTTGTGCCCATCCTTCTTAGGAAGGTTTTCTAGGTGTTTGAAGGGACTTGGGCCCCAATCCCATTAGTGCTGTGGTTCTTGCAGACTTGTAGAGGTACTGCCTTGGTGGTCTTTGATAAGATCTTAAAGAACTATCTGGATTGCCAGCAGAGACTCTTGTTCTCTTCCCTTACTTTCTCCCAAACAAATAAATCCCCTCTCTCTGTGCTGAGCCACCTGGATCTGAGGGTGGTTAACCCAAGCACTTTTGTTTTCACCACCAGTAGAACTGCCTCTCATAAGATCTGAAACCAGCACAGCATTGGGTCTCATTTTGTCAACAATTTATAACACGTTTTTCAAATTTTGAGATACATTTGGATTTACAGAAAATTAGAAAAATCCACTTCATCTCTCTTTACCTCTTTTTTCTTAGATTTCAAATTATTTGGTTGTCTTGTGACCTCAGCTTTCTGACAGGTTCAAAAAATTGGAAATTTCATATATGTCTGGCTTTGTTTCTGTTGTTATTATTGTAAAGGTAGCAGTGATGCTCTTTCCAGCCTTGTACATAACAAGTGTAAATCAGAAGTAAATAAATGTTTCTTAACTGAATAAATAAATGAATGAATGCTCTGTTACCAATAGGTAAATTTAATATATACGGGGGAAAATAGAATGGTCATTTAAATATTAATATGCATAATGCAGATTAAATATTTTCTAATTTTCCATGTTTATGTGTTAACCTAGTAACCCGTTTAGGAGTTATTCATAGGCTAGACTTAAATGTAATATTTAGAAATACCTTACACAATTTTTTTTTGCATTGTGGGTAAAAATCTACTAAAAAGATACTTTTTTTTTTCCAAATTTGAGATTACATTTTTGTGTGTATATTCATCTATAGAGTGAAAATATGTAAAGCAATGGCGCTATGTCCTTAAGCTCTAACTTGGGAACCTTGTGAAAAAAAATATATATATGCTTAAAGACAGTCATAGTCTTTAACCTGAAAAGATTTTCTTCTTCCACAGTCACTAATTATGTATGAGGAAACTGTGATAATGTACTGATAAATTGACCTTGTCACTTGTCAGTCTGATGCAACTACAATATCCAGTTTTGTTGAGTCTTTTTGTTTCAGTGAATCAAAGTGCATGTTTTAAGATATTCAGACACTTAGATTTATCATTGTTATCACTTAGAACATTTGGTGGTATAACTGTGGAATAGATGGACTATGTTTCTGGAGACTGAAAAAATTGTACCCAAGTTAAACACCTCCCATTATAGAAACTACCATTCTTTTAGAAAATTTTATAATTTTCACAAATGAAGGGGATTTTAGAGAGTATTTAACTCAATACTGAGAGAACGGTGGCCCAAAAAAATAAAGTAGCATGAAATACTACAGATCCAGTTATGAAAGAATGTGTTCAAATTTGAATCTTCTCACTTTTTGTTCAAGGTACTTACAACATATGGCATTTCTTTTTTGAGTGTTTGCCTTTAAAAAGTCTATCAGAATTTTATATAAAAACATTTTAAACACATTTTGGAAGGGTCTTCAGACTTAACTTAGAAGTTGCAAAAGAAAATAAGACTAATTACTGTAAAGTCAAGCCTCATACACTTAAATTGTTTTATAAAAGTATAAAGAAGGATTTATATTAGTCAAATATTCCTTCCACCTCTTTTTATCATTGGCACAAATGAAAAGCACAAACAGTGCATAGTAATTTTGCATTCCTTAATATTCTTTGCTCATTAGATTTAAAGGGTATGGTAATTGCCACTTAATCTGCACTTTGTTTTGAAGGAATAAAATGAACATATATTTATTTTGCAAATACAGCAGTGGCCAAAACTGAACTTATTTCATAAGATTTTTTCTTTGTCTTAATGCAAACACTGACACATTATAATATAACTAAAAATATCTCATATAGCTTAGGATTGACTTGACAATGCAGGCTCTTTTTTGGTTCCATATGAACTTTAAAGCAGTTTTTCCAATTCTGTGAAGAAAGTCATTGGTAGCTTGATGGGGATGGCATCAAATCTATAAATTACCTTGGGCAGTATGGCCATTTTTACGATATTGATTTTTCCTATGCATGAGCATGGAATGTTCTTCCATTTGTTTGTGTCCTCTTTTATTTCATTGAGCAGTGGTTTGTAGTTCTCCTTGAAGAAGTCCTTCACATCCCTTGTAAGTTGGATTCCTAGGTATTTTATTCTCTTTGAAGCAATTGTGAATGGGAGTTCACTCACGATTTGGCTCTCTGTTTGTCTGTTATTGGTGTACAAGAATGCTTGTGATTTTTGCACATTTTGTATCCTGAGACTTTGTTGAAGTTGCTTATCAGCTTAAGGAGATTTTCGGCTGAGGCGATGGGGTTTTCTAGATATACAATCATGTCATCTGCAAACAGGGACAACTTGACTTCCTCTTTTCCTAATTGAATACCCTTTATTTATTTCTCCTGCCTCATTGCCCTGGCCAGAACTTCCAACATTATGTTGAGTAGGAGTGGTGAGAGAGGGCATCCCTGTCTTGTGCCAGTTTTCAAAGGGAATGCTTCCAGTCATGCTATCTGACTTCAAACTATACTACAAGGCTACACTAACCAAAACAGCATGGTACTGGTACCAAAACAGCATGGTACTGGTACCAAAACAGAGATATAGACCAATGGAACAGAACAGAGCCCTCAGAAATAATGCCACACATCTAAAACCATCTGATCTTTGACAACCTGACAAAAACAAGAAATGGGGAAAGGATTCCCTATTTAATAAATGGTGCTGGGAAATCTGGCTAGCCATATGTAGAAAGCTGAAACTGGATCCCTTCCTTACATCTTATACAAAAATTAATTCAAGATGGAGTAAAGACTTAAATGTTAGACCTAAAACCATAAAAACCCTAGAAGAAAACCTAGGCAATACCATTCAGGACATAGGCATGGGCAAGGACTTCATGTCTAAAACACCAAAAGCAATGGCAATAAAAGCCAAAATTGACAAATGGGATCTAATTAAACTAAAGAGCTCCTGCACAGCAAAAGAAACTACCATCAGAGTGAACAGGCAACCTACAGAATGGGAGAAAATTTTTGCAGTCTACTCATCTGACAAAGGACTAATATCCAGAATCTACAATGAACTCAAACAAATTTACAAGAAAAAACAACCCCATCAAAAAGTGGGTGAAGGATATGAACAGACGCTTCTCGAAAGAAGACATTTATGCAGCCAACAGACACATGAAAAAATGCTCATCATCACTGGCCATCAGAGAAATGCAAATCAAAACCACAATGCAATACCATCTCACACCAGTTAGAATGGCGATCATTAAAAAGTCAGGAAACAACAGGTGCTGGAGAGGATGTGGAGAAATAGGAACACTTTTACACTGTTGGTGGGACTGTAAACTAGTTCAACCATTATGGAAGACAGTGTGGCCATTCCTCGAGGATCTAGAACTAGAAATACCATTTGACCCAGCCATCCCATTACTGGGTATACACCCAAAGGATTATAAATCATGGTGCTATAAAGACACATGCACATGTATGTTTATTGCGGCACTATTCACAACAGCAAAGACTTGGAACCAACACAAATGTCCAACAATGATAGACTAGATTAAGAAAATGTGGCACATATACACCATGGAATACTATGCAGCCATAAAAAAGGATGAGTCCATGTCCTTTGTGGGGACATGGATGAAGCTGGAAACCATCATTCAGAGCAAACTATCGCAAGGACAGAAAACCAAACACTGCATGTTCTCACTCATAGGTGGGAATTGAACAATGAGAACACTTGGACACAGGAAGGGGAACATCACACACTGGGGCCTGTTGTGAGGTGGGGGGAGCAGGGAGGGATAGCGTTAGGAGATATACCTAAAGTAAATCATGAGTTAATGGGTGCAGCACACCAACATGGCACAGGTATACATATGTAACAAACCTACATGTTGTGCACATGTACCCTAGAACTTAAAGTATAATAATAAAAGAAAATCTCATATAAAAGATATATTATACAGCGACATTCCCTCTCTTTTATTTAAACGAAAATATTTCTATTCTGTATGACATATTAGGCATCAGAAAAAGTAATAACTTTAAGATATCTAGTTTTTTTTTGGTGAAAACATACTTTCTTCTATGTGTTCACAAATGAAATACAAAGCCCCAGTTGCTTCTTATGATGTAATGTTTCCAATTTTAAGAAACAAATATTTACTTCATGCCTACTAGTCTAAGTACTGGGATTATAATAGTAAAAACAAGACAAAATTTTGTTCCATCATGCAGCTTACATTTTAATGGAGGAAGCAACAAATAAAATAAATATAATACATATTACGTTAAATGATAGTCAGTGATAAGGAAAATGTATATAAGGCAGGGGAACCTGATATTAAGTGCTGGGATGCCTAAAATTATAAATGTAGGGCTTGGGTAAGGTTTATTAAGAATGAGGCTTTCGAGTAAAGACCTGAAGAAATGGAGAGTCATAATTATATCTGAGGAAATTGTCTTCTACAGAAGAAAACAACATGTACCAAGACCTCAAAGCTAAAACATAGCAGTTTTCAAGAACAGTAAGAAGAAACTTTAGTGGCTAGATAGAGGTTAGTAAGAAAGGGTGAGGGATGGGCGTACCAGAAAATGAGGTTAGAAGGGTAACAGAGAGTTAGCACATGTAAAGCCTTAAAGACTAACGTGAGGAACATGCCTCACTATTCCCACAGGATGAGAAGCCATTACAAGATTGCTTATGGTGAGGAAAGGTACAGTTAAACTTGTGTTTTCATCTAGAAGGAGACAAACACTATGGGAAAAATAAATAGAACAAAGTAAGGGAGATTAGAAGTTGTGACAGCGAAGCCATATTTTAATTATAAATTGAGCGTTTAGGGTAAACATGTTTGAGAAGATAATATTTGAATAAAACTTTTCAGAGGTGAAGAAATTAAACAAATATCTACAGGAAGAGTATTTCAGAAATATAAAATAACTAGTGCAAAGACAATTAGTTGAAATGGTCAAACGCATGTCTGAGGGACATCTGGGGTACCAATGTAACTAGAAAGAGTAGAACAAGAGGGACACTAGTAGCGGATACAGTCCTAGAGATAATGGGAGTAGAAATCACACATAGTAAGACATTTACCATCTTATCTATTTTCAAGTTTACAGTCCAGTATTGTTAAGTATATTCACATTGCTGTGAAACAGATTTTCTCAGCTTTCTCATCTTGCAAATCTGAAACTCTATACCCATTAAACCACTCCTGTTTTCTATCTCCTGCCAGCCCATGGTAATCATTCTACTTTCTGTATCTATAAATTTCACTGCTGTAGATACCTCACATAAGTAGAATCATACAGTATTTGTCTTTTTGTGACTGTCTTACACCACTTAACATAATGTGCTCAAGGTTCATCCATGTTATATCATGTGACAAGATTTTTTTCCTTTTTAATACTGAATAATATTCCATGTGTGACTATCCATCCATCAATAGACATTTGCAGTGATTCCAAATCTGTGCTATTGTTAATAGTGCTGCAATGAACATAGGTGTGTAAATATCTCTTTGAGGACCTGCTTTCAATAATTTTGGGTACATATTCAGAAGAGGGATTGCAGGATTACAAAATAGTTTCATTTTTACTTTTTCTGTGGGCCCTTCATACTGTTTATGATAGCGTTTGCACAATTTTACAATCTTACCAACATTACACAAGCATTCTTATTTCCTCACGTTTTCCAACACTTGCTATTTTCTGTGTTTTTTAAATAATAACCTTCCTAATGAATGTGAGGTAATATCTCATTGTGGTTTTGGTTTATATTTCTTTGATGATTGGTGATATATCAAGCATCTTTACATATGCTTGTCCACTTATGTATCATCTTTGTAGAATCATTTGTTAACATCTCTATTAACATTGTCTATTTTAAAATTGAGTTATTTGACTTTTGTTGTTCATTTGTATGAATTCTTTATGTATTCTAGATATTAACTCCTTATCAGATATATAATTTGAAAATATTTTCTCCCATTTTTTATGTTGCCATTTCATTCTATTGGTTTTGTTCTTTGATGCATTGAAGTTTGTAAGTTTGAAGTAGTCTGTTTGTCTTTTTTTTTTTTTTTTGCATTTGCTGCCTATGCTTTTGGTGTCATATCCAAGAAATCATTGCCAAGTCCGATGTTGAAGCTTTACCCCTAGTTTTCTTCTAAGAGTTTTATAGTTTTAGGTCTTACATTTAGTTCTTTAATGCATTTTGAGTTAATTTTTGTACATGGTGTAAGATAAGGATCCAACTTCATTCTTTTGAATGTGGATATCTAGTTTTCCCAGCATCATTGGTTGAAGATTCTGTCCTTTCCCCCACTGAATTGTCTTAGCACTCATGTTGAAGATTATTTGACCATATACATGAGAGTTTATTTCAAAGTTTTCTATTCTACTCCATTAACATACTGATCTGTCTTTATGCCAGTACCATGCTATTTTGTTTACTGAAACTTTGTAATATGTTTCAGGAAATCAAGAAAAAAAAGTGAGTCCTCTAACCCTGTTCTTTTTAGAAAATAAACATTTTGGCTGGTGGCTGGCAAAATGGCTGAATAGACAGCTCTGGTCTGCAGCTCCTAGCGAGATCATTGCAGCGGGTGGGTGATTTCTGCATTTCCAACTGAGGTACCCAGCTCATTTCACTGGGACTGATTAGACAGTGGATGCAGCCCACAGAGGGTGAGCCAAAGCAGGGTGTGGTGTCACCTCACCCAGGAAGCACAACGGGTCAGAAAACTCCCTACCCCTAGCCAAGGGAAGCAAGCCATGAGGGACTCTGCAGTGAGGAACGGTGCACTCTGGCCCAGATACTACACTTTTCCCACGGTCTTTGCAACCCACAAGGCAGGAGATTCCCTTGGGTGCCTACACCACCAGGGCCCTGGGTTTCAAGCACAAAACTGGGCTGCTGTTTGGGCAGACACCAAGCTAGCTGTAGTTTTCTTTTCTTTTCTTTACTTTCTTTTCTTTACTTTTCTTTTCTTTTCCTTTCTTTTCCCTTCCTTCCTTCTTTCTTTCTTTCTTTCTTTCTTTCTTTCTTTCTTTCTTTCTTTCTTTCTTTCTTTCTTTCTCTTTCTTTTTTTTTATTTTTTCAGTGGCTGGTATGAGTGTTTCTTTTCTGTATTTATTACCTCTTACAGGAGCTATTGCAGGGCAGGCCTGGTGGTAACAAAATTCCTCAGCATTTCCTTTTCTGGGAAGGATTTTATTTCTCCTTTGCTTATGAAGCTTACTTTGGTTGCACATGAAATTCTGGACAGAAAACTCTTTTCTTTAAGAATGTCGAATATTGTTCCCCAATCTCTTCTGGCTTGTATCATTTCTGCTGGGAGGTCCACTGTCAGTCTGATGGGATTCCTTTTGTAGGTAACCTGGCCTTTCTCTGGCTGCCCTTAACAGTTTTTTCTTCATTTTGACCTTAGAGAATCTGATGATTATGGGTCTTGGGGTTGATCTTCTCTTGGAGTATCTTAATTGTATTCTCTGTATTTCCTGAATTTGCATGTTGGCCTGTCCTTGCTAGGTTGGAGAAGTTCTCCCGGATAATATTCTGAGGTGCATTTTCCAGCTCATTTCCATTCTCCCTGTCTCCTGGTATTCTGATCAATTGTATGTTCAGTCTTTTTATGCAGTCCCATATTTCTTGGAGGCTTTGTTCATTCATTTTCATTCTTTTTTCTCTGTTTTTGACTGCAGGTCATATTTCAGTAGGGTGGTCTTCAAACTCTGATATCCTTTCTTCCGCTTGGTCAATTTGGCTATTGATACTTGTGTATTCTTCATGAAGTTCTTGTGCTATGTTTTTCAGCTCCCTCAGGTCATTTATGTTCCTCTCTAAACTGGTTATTCTAGTTAGCAATTCCTCTAACTTTTTATCAAGATTCTTAGCTCATTTGCCTTGGGTTAGAACACGTTCCTTTAGCTCATCATAGTTTTTTATTGCCCATCTTCTGAAGCCTATTTCTGTCAATTCATCCATCTAATCCTCCATCCAGTTATGTTCCCTTGATGGAGAGAAGTTGCAATTATTTGAAGGACAAGAGGAACTCTGGCCTTTTGGGTTTTGAGCATGTTTTCATTGATTCTTTCTCATCTTCATGAGTTTTTCTAGTTATAATATTTGAGGCTGCTGACCCTTGTATCAGATTTTTGTGAGGGCCTTTTTGTTGTTGTTGATGCTGTTTTTGTCACTTTCTGCTTATTTATTTTTCTTTCAATAATCAGGTCCCTCTTCTGTAGGGCTGCTGCAGTTTGCTGGGGGTTTGCTTCAAGCCTTATTCATCTGATTTGCTCCTGTGCCTGGATATGTCACTCAGGAAGCCTGGAGAGCAGCAAAGATGGGTGCCTGCTCCTTCTTCTGGGACCTCTGACCTCGAGGGGCACCAGCCTGATGCCAGTAGAATTGCTCCTGTTTAGGATGTCTGACAATCCCTGTTGGAGGGTCTTGCCCAGTTGGGTGGCATGGGGAGCAGGACTCATCTAATGAGGCACTTTGTCCCTTGGTGTATAGGGTGTGTTTTGCTGGGGGGAGCCCACTTGTCTGGATTTTCTGGATTCCTCAGACTACCAGGAGGAGAGGCTAAGTCTGCTGGTCTGCAGAGACTGTGGCCAGCCCTCCCCCTAGGGGCTCAGATCCAGGGAGATCTGAATTCTGTCCCTGAGACTCTGGCTGGAGTTACCTGAGATCCTGCAGGGAAGCCCCACCCACTGAAGAAGAATGTGTCAGGGTTAGACCTAAAGAGGCACTCTGGCAACTGACTGCCACAGTCAGCGTGTCGGGCAGTTGGGGACAAGTCTTGGTACCAAGACATCCAGCCTCCCTGGCTCCACCAGGGAAAAAGCGCAGCCTGAAGCTATAGAATGTGTGCTGCCCTTCCCCAACCCAGGGAACTTAGCGTGTTAGCCATTTGCCAGTCCCAGTGTTGTCTGCTGCCCCTCCACCAAGGAGCTCAAATGGTTTAGACAGCAGGCAGTGGCAGCTGGTGTTGGTCACCCCTCCCCCGAGAGTTTGGTAGGCTTAAGCAGATTCCAGCTGAAAGGCTGTAAGATTCTGGTTTGGGACCCTAGGTCCTGGTTGCGTGGGTCCGCAAGTGGGATCTTCCAATCTGTGGGTTGCAAAGTTACGTGGAAAAAGCACAGTTTTCCCAGCAGGGTGGCTGGGGGGTGGTATTTCCTCTTCCCCGTGTGGCTCTCAGGTGGGCCGCCTCACCACACTGCTCTTCCTTCTCTCCGTGGGTCACTCTATCCTTCTAGTCAATTTTGATGAGAGAACCTGGATACCTTGGTTGCCAGTAAAGGATTCACATCCTTCTCGTGGATTTTTTGATGGGAGCCTCTGAACACAGCTGTTTCTAGTTGGCCATCTTGGCCCTGCCCCTATGTTATTGCTTTATAGTTCACAAGTCTGTGTATTTGAGTGTGTGTTTGTAGTGGCTGGTAATGGTCTTTTCTGTATTTAGTGCTTCCTTCAGCAGCTCTTGTAAGGCATGCCTGGTAGTGATGAATTCCCTCAGCATTTGCTTGTCTGAAGAGGGTCTTATTTTTCCTTTGCTCGTAAAGCTTAGTTTGCTGGATATGAAATTCCGGATTGAAATTTATTTTCTTTAACGATGTTGAATATTGGCCCCCAATCTCTTCTGTTTTGTAAGGTTTCTGCTGAGAGGTCTGCTGTTAGTCTGATGGGCTTCCCTTTGTAGATTACCTGACCTTTCTCTCTGGCTGCCTTTAAGATGTGTTGTTTCATTTTTACCTTGGAGAATCTGATGATTATGTTTTTTGTGGACAGTCTTCTTTTGAAGTATCTTACTACGGTTCTCTGCATTTCTACAATTTGAATGTTAGCCTCTCTAGCTGGGTTGGGGAAGTTCTTATGGAGGATGTCCTGAAATATGTTTTTCCAAGTTGGTTCCATTCTCCCCATCTTTTTTAGGGACACCAACGTGTCATAGATTTCATCTCTTTACATAACTTCATATTTCTCGGAAGTGTTTGTTCCTTTTATTCTTTTATCACTATTATTCTCTGGCCGTCTTATCTCAGAAAGTCAATCTTCAAGCTGTGAGATTCTTTTCTCCACTTGGTCTATTTTGCTATTAATACTTGTGATTACATTATGAAATTATTGTAGGGTTTTTTTTTTCAGCTCTATCAGGATTGTTACTTTTTTTTCTATATTGGCTATTTTGTCTGCCAGCTCCTGCAATTTTATCGTCATTCTTAACTTCCTTAGAATGGGCTTCAATATATTCCTGTAGCTCACTGATCTTTGGTCCTGTCTATATGCTGAAATTTATTTCTGTCACTTCATCCATCTCAGCTTAGTTCAAAACCCTTGCTGGAGAGGTGATGTGGTTGTATGGAGGAAAGAAGGTACTCTGGCTTTTTGTCAGGGTTCTTGTGCTGGAACTTTCTTATTTTTGTGGGCTTGTGTTCCTTCATTTTTTGAGGTTGCTGACCTTTGAATGGGTCTCTTTTCTTTTCTTATTTGATGAACTTGAGGATTTGATTGTGGTATAAGATATTCAGCTGACTGGCTTTCTTTCTGGAAGATTTTAGAGGGCCAATGCTTAGCTCCCAAGTCCTGGACTGTGCAGTCTAATTCTAAGGAACTTGTATTGGGCCCCAACTTTGTTCTCTGCAGCTCCTTGAGATAGGAATCCTCTGTGCTGGGGTTGCAGGGTAGGTGGGCAATGTGCTCCCAAACCCGCTGGTCACTAAACATCAAGGAGTGGTGTCAGCGAAAGCTTTTTATAGTGCGGTGACAGCAGGATTCAGCATTGTTTACACATGTCAGCAGCAGTGGTAGCAACAGTACAGTGGGGTGCATACTCATCAGCTGCATCAGGGTGTTAGTGGGTGCCAGGGTGCCTGTCACCCTGTGAGTGTTCACCACAGTGGTGGAGGTAACACAGCTCAAGGGGTATCAGGGTCCCCTGCTGGTGACTGTGTTTGTGTGTTCACACTGGTGGTGGTGTTGGTTCGGGGATGGGGTGCTGGTGGGTGCAGGTCTTTGTGTCTTCTCTGTGCACCACAAGCAGGAGTGTTGCTTAGGGCTGCTCTTCTCCACATCTAGTTTCACTCCCATGGCAGTGTTGGCACAAGGGTGGGGTGCTGGTGGGGTTGAGTCTGGCTGGCTCTATGTTCACCAGTGCACCCTCTGCATTGGTAATCAGTGGGAGGATGGGAGGTGGAATATGCTCCCACCACAGCAGTAGCAGGGCAGGGTGCATGCACACTCTTGTGCTGGCAGGGCAAGGAAAACAACACCAGCCCACACAGACACTTGCCAGCAAAGTGAGTTGTCATGGGCCATGGGGAAGCTGCAATTTGTGGAGGAAGTGTACTGGCTGGTGCGTAGCCATGGGGGCCACCCTGCTGGAACTCTGCCATTCAGGTGGTCCACCAGCACAGAGGCTGTACTATAGGCACCTGAGGCTGCCTTGCAAGAAGGTGTGGTCAGGCTGGGGCCCCAGGAGAGGCTAGCAGACCAAGGGGTATTCCGGTCAGACTGGCCCCATCTGATGGGGAAGATAACCCTGCAGAGTTCAGGACCAACAGTTCCTCTAGAGCTAAAGTCTCCTATGGGAGCAAGTTGAGCCTAGGGCGATGGCTGTCCTTGGCTGTGCTCCACTACGGCCACTCCCCTGGTCTCCACATCAACTGGCTTGCTTCCCCTATCAGTTCTCTAAGTAGCTCTTACTACAAATTTGAGTAAAGGATAGAACTCAACTGGAGGTGGACAGGTCTTGTCCTGCGGAGGTTCCAGTGGCCTGTGGCGAGAACAGGTTATTTTTTGCCGGTTCAACTCACCCATTCTCCTGGAGCTGTTGGGAGCCAGAAATGAGTCCAGATGCACAGTAGCCCCCATGTAGGGTTTTCAACTTTCTCCCGCTTCAGCCCAGCTTCTGTGTCTTACCTCCATCCACTTGCAGTGACTTCCCTCTGAACTCATTGATTTTCCTATTGTTTTTCTATTCTCTATTTTGTTTATCTCTGCTCTAATATTTATTATTCTCTTTCCTCTATTAACTTTGTGTTTAGTTTGTTCTTTCTGTAGCTTCTTGAGGTATAAAGTTAGGTTGTTGATTTGGGATTCTTTTTAACGTATAAATTTACAGTTATAAATCTCCCAATTAGCACTGTTTCCCTGCATTATATAAGTTTAGATGTGTTGTGTTTTCATTTTTGTTAGTCTCAAAATATTGTCTGATTTCCCTTCTGACTTCTTTTTAGATTCATTGATGGTTGAAAATTGTCTTGTTAATTTCTCCATATTTGTGGATTTTCTAGGTTTTCTTGTGCTAATCATTTCTATTTTTATCACATTCTGATAAAAAAAATACTTCGCATGATTTAACCCATTTTCTCTTTCCCCCTAGAATACTCCTCAGCAGCGTCTGTGGCTGCAGCATTTACCCTTGGATAACTTTGTCATAAAATATATTACTTTAATTATTATTTTTTCAGCGCTCTAGTATAGCAGCTTTGGAGACAAAATACATCATTCTATTTATAGCATTCTGTTTTTAGTAGTGGTATTTTCATTTACAAAATAAACTAATTCTTGATTGCTAAAAATATCAAATGCTCCAAAACATAACATTTCTACACATGATGTTAACATTTTTCTTGAACAGTTGTTGGACAAAGATTCGTTTAATGAATCTGATTTTTCCAAAATAGGCAATTCTGATGATTCGGATGATTCTGATGTTAGTTCTGTTTGGAAATAAATCCAAGAGCAGTTTTTTATATTTTATTTTCACAGTAAAAATCAGTCACATTTTCCTTCAGCCTGAAAGTGTGTTCATGTAAAATTAAATGAGTACTGGCAGTGAGCTGCACTTTTTTTTTCTATCTCTTATTGAAAGTGAGGTATTGAATTCTGTTTTTATGCTTTTGTTTATTTCTCACTTCAATTCTAAAAAAAATTGCTTCATACATTTGAAGCTCTGAACTTTGGATAACTATTATATCTTTGTTAATTGACCCTTTTAGCATTACATAATGCTTCTTTGTCTCTCGTAACCATTTTTGATTGGTCTATTTGTCTACTATTTGAATAGCTATTCCTGCTTTTTCTTGTTTACCATTTTCATGGAACATCTTTTTTCCTTATTTCACGTTCAGCTTGTGTGTCCTTAGATCTAAAGTGTGTCTCTTGTTCACAACGTATAGTTGGATCTTATTTTCTAATCCACTCAGCCAATCTGTCTTTTGATTAGGGAGTTTAATCTGTTTACTTCTGAAGTATTTCTCTATAAGGAAGAAGTTACTATTGTAATTTTGTTCATTGTTTTCTGTATATTTGTAGCCTTTTTGTTTCTTCTATCCAATATTACTGACTTCCTTTGTGTTTGTAAAATTTTTTTCTTTATGTGATTTGATTCTCTTCTCATTTCCTTCTGTATATATTTTATAAATAATTGCATCATTGTTACTATAAAATGGCAAAAAGCATCTTAAAATTATAGCATTCTATTTTAAATTGGCAAGAACTTAACTTCAATTCAATATAAAAAGTCTACTCTTTACAACCTCACCCACACCCTCAGTTTATGTTGTTGCTGTCACAACTTATATCTTTATATATTGTACAGTCATGGACATAGATTTATTGTTATTCTTGCTTTTGGCATTTACATTCTATATACCAAAATTACAGTAGCATGTTTTATTATATTTATCCACATATTAACCTTTACTGGAGGTAAACAGTTTTTTTTTATTGTTATTATACTTTAAGTTTTAGGGTACATGTGCACAATGTGGCGGTTAGTTACATATGTATACATGTGCCATGCTGGTGTGCTGCACCCATTAACTCATCATTTAGCATTAGGTATAAACAGTTTTTTGAACAGCTTTATGTTGCTGTCAATTTACTTTCATTTCCACTTGAAAGATACCTTTTAGCATTTTGTGTGTGTGTGTGTGTGTGTGTGTGTGTGTGTGTGTGTGTAGAACAAGTCTAGTGGTGATGAACTCCCTTAGCTTTTGCTTATCTAACAATGTCTTAATTTCTCATTTTAGGATAGTTTGGTCAGATACAAAATTCTTTGTTGAGAGTTTTATTTTTCCTTCAGCACTTTGAATATATTATCACCCTTCTGGACTGCAATATTTCTCCTGAGAAATCCACTGATAATGTAACAGAAGCTCCCTTATATGTGTTAAATCACTTTTTTCTTGCTGCTTGTGCAGTTGTTTCTTTATTTTTTATTTTAGATATGTTAATTATAATATGTTTTGCTGTGGTACTCTCTTGATTTATTTCAGTTGAACTTCTTGAATCTGTATGTTCAATTCTTTCCTCAGTTTTAATGAGTTCTTGGCCATTTTTTTAAAAAAATATACTCTCTGTTTCTTTATTTTCCCTTTGGTCTTCTCATATTACATCTGTTACATGTTTTTTAATTATTCCACAATCCCTGAATATTCTGTTCTGTTTTTTTTTTCAGTCTTTTTTATTCCTCTGGATTTTCAATTTGGAAGGTATTAATTGTAAAATCCTTACGCTCAGAGTTTTTTTCCCAGCCATGTTCAGTCTATTCATGAGCCCATCAAATGCACTATTTCTTTTCATTGCAGTGTTTTTTAATCTTAGTCTCTATCTTTTTTTTTAGCTATTCCTTAAAATTTCCATCTCTTTGCTTACGTATCCATCTGATCTTATGTGTTGTCTACCTTTTTCATTAAATCTTTTACCATATTAATGGTAGATTATTATAAGTTCCTGGGTTGAACCTTTCAACTTTTTCAACATTCCTAATTAATCTTAGTCTACTTGGACTGCTATAACAAAATACCATAAACTGATACCTTTTAAACTACAGACATTTATTTCTTACAGCTCTAGGGGCTTAGACGTCCATGATCAAGGTGCTGGCACATGCAGTGAATGATAAAGGCCCCTTTCCTGGTTTTATACATGGCCATCTTCTTGTCTTAATCTCACATGATGAAACAGATAGAGGATATTCTTCCCCCATGTTGGTTATGTTCTCTGAAACCTCTTATATAAGGGCACTGATCCCATTCATGAGGGCTTATTCACATGACAGCACTGCCATATCTGACTCTGGTCTTGATGGCTTCTTCCATTTTTTCAAACTGTTTTTTTTTTTTTTGCTTGTTTGTTTTGTTTTTACATTTTAGTGTGCTTTGTAATTTTCTGTTAAAATGTGGTTCATGATGTACTGGGTAAAATGAACTACTGGCCAGTCATGGTGGCTGATGTCTGTAATCCCAGCACTTTGGAATGTCAAGACAGGAGAATCACTTGAACCTAGGAGTTTGAGAGCAGCTTGGGCAACCTTGTGATAACCTTTTTCTAATAAAAACAATAATAAAATGAATAATAATGCAAATGAACTTCTGTAAATAAGCTTTTTGTAAAGTAGTGGTAAGGAGTGAGGGAAAAGGAACCACTCTAGAGTCCTATGATTTTCAGTTTTGGGGTAAACTTGGACTGTAAATTTCACCAGTTCTTCTCAGCCTTAGGTGGAATAGGACGGCTAGAGGGGCTTTGAGTTGGGTATTACACTTTCCCCAGGTTGGTTATGTTGTGATAAAACTCTAGCATTTTAAGCTCTTTTAAATAGTTCATGTTGAAGGCAAACCTTTTTAAGAATAACAGAACACTGTGGTATGTTTCAGAATCGTTCATTTTCCTCTCCTCTTGAAAGGAGCACAAGGAAGTTTTTTTTGTTTGTTTGTTTTGTTTTTCGTTGTTGTTGTTGTTGTTTTTTCCTGATATTTACTGTAGTGACCTGGTAGAGCTCCTGGGAGAAAAACTCACAAAAATGTGGGGCTCCACCTTAGACTGGGCTCTCTTAGAGGTTTTAACTCTCAGACTTGCCCACATTATGCCTCCATTAATTATTCAATTACAGTTCAGGTTTTTCTATCCTGTTCCCACAGAGGTTTCTGCTTTGTATGTCATGATTCCTCATATATGCCCATATGTCTGTCCAATTTTGGGGACAGTGGTTTGTCATGTGGTCTTACCTCTCTTATATGCCTAAAAAGAGTGTTTTTTTTTTATTTCAGTGTGTTCAGCTTTGATCTTGTTAGAATGGAGTGGCAAAATTTGAATCATTTTATATGCTCAATCAGAAACTGGAAGACTCCATATGCTTATTATTTACAAATTCTTATTCTAGGCCAAAATTCTCATCTTACTCATTGTGATGGTTAATACTGAGTGTCAACTTGATTGGATTAATGAATACAAAGTATTAATCCTAGGTGTGTCTGTGAGGGTGTTGCCAAAGGAGATTAACATTTGAGTCGGTGGTCTGGAGAAGGCAGACTCACCCTTAGTTGGGTGGGTACCATCTAATCAGCTGCCAGTGAATATAAAGCAGGCAGAAAAACATGAAAAGGAGAGACTGGCCTAGCCTCCCAGCCTACATCTTTCTCCCATGCTGGATGCTTCCTGCCCTCAAATATCAGACTGCAAGTTCTTCATCTTTGGGACTTGAACTGGCTCTCCTTGCTCCTCAGCTTGCAGACAGCCTATGGTGGGGCCTTGTGGTCATGTAAGTTAATACGTAATAAACTCTCATATATATAATATATCCTATTTGTGTATATATATATATACTTATATGTCTATCTTCTATTTATATATATATATATCCCCTTTATATATATATGTTCTATATTTATATAGATGTCTCTATATATATATGTAAAGGTATGTGTGTGTATGTGTGTGTGTATGTGTGTATATATATACACATATATATATGGTATGGGATAATGTTGGAAAGAATATGGAGTTGGATAAGGCTGAATCATATATATATATTTATATATGTATATATATTTATATATGTATATATATTTATATATGTATATATATTTATATATGTATATATATTTATATATGTATATATATTTATATATGTATATATATTTATATATGTATATATATTTATATATAAATATGTATATATGTATATTTATATATATACATATGTATATATATAAATATGTGTATATATACATATGTGTGTATATATACATATATATTTATATATTTATATATATATATTTTATATATATATAATATATATATATTATATATATTATATATATATTTTATATATATATAGCTCTTTCCCTCTAGAGAACCCTGACTAATACAGATTTAGGTAACAGGAGTGTTTCTAAAGGAACAGAATATTAAAGATGCCATTCTTTCATTGGTTTTGGGGTTTCTGGAGTTGGCTGCTTAATATGATTAGACCCAAAAATTCTAAGGAATCTACTTCCAATAGTATGGAGAACACTGATAGTCCTTGGCATGAACTGTTTAGAGAGTTATGCAAAATAAATGCATTTGACACTCCTGATTTGCTCATGAGAGACAAGGAGTTTAGTGACTATATACGTAATAACTTTGATCACATGTGGAGAACCAAAAAATGTAATGAAGCTGGATGGGTGCCCCTAAGTTCAGTGGACAAAATGATGAAAGAAAATAATGAACTCAGGAATTCTGTCTCCCAGCTTCAGAAGCAGATACTGAGTCTCAAATCTGCTAAGACTGCCCTGAGTGAGAGTCTTATCTCCTGTAGAGAAATGGCTGAAATTGTGGAAAAACAGACACAAGCTGTTATCATGCCAGTGGCTGACCTGCAGTGAAAGACACATGCACAGCCTCACCAGGTGTCTATTGTTAAAGTGAGGGCATTGATTGAAAAACAATAGGACCCTGCAACTTGGAATGGTGACGTGTGGGAGCACCCTGATGAAGCTGGGGACACTGAGTTTTTAAACTCTGATGAACCTTTCTTGCCAGAAGAAAAAACTTTCCCATCCCCAGTAGTGGCAACATCACCTCCCCAACCCATGCTGCCATCAGCCTTTCAACCTTTGTCTGAGGAGATAAACCCTACGCTGCCTGAGGCAACAATGATGGCCTCCCTTGTGGCAGTTGCCAGGCAAGATAATGTTGATTCTCCTCAGGCGCCACCCCCAACATCTCTGTTTGCTTCTAGACCTATAACTAGACTAAGTCCTCACCGAGAGGTGAGGTTGACAGTGTGGCCCATGAGGAGGTGTGCTACACTCAAAGAGAACTGTTTGATTTCTCTAATTTATGTAAACAGAAATCTGGAGAACAGGCATGGGAATGATTATTAAGGGTATAGGATAATGTTGGAAGGAACATAGAGTTGGATAAGGCTGAATTCATGGATTTGGGCCCACTAAGTAGGGACTCATTTTTAATGTTGCAGTTCAGGGAGTTAAAAAAGTTTCTCATAGTTTATTTGCTTGATTAGCTGAAATATGGATTAAAAGATGGCCCACTGTGAGTGAGCTGGAAATGCCTGATCTGCCTTGGTTTAATGTAGAGGAAGGGATCCAAAGGCTTAGGGAAATTGGGTTGGTGTAGTAGATTTGTCACTTTAGATCAACTCATCTCAGCTGAGAGGGTCCGGAAGACATACCCTTGACCAATGCCTTGTGAAATAGATCGGTGAGGGCAGCACCTGCATCTTTGAAGATCCCTGTAATGGTTCTTCTCTTTATGTCAGATCTAACTGTGGGAACTGCAGTCACTCAACTACAAAATGTAAATACAGTGGAAATACTTGGTTCCTGAGGTTGCAGGGGCAAAGTGACAGCACTCAACAGTCAAAGGCATTGTGGGCGTAGCTACTGTAATGAACGGTAGATGCAAAGTGGCTATCAGAATAGTCTGACTCGTGTAGAGCTCTGGCATTGGCTAATTAATCACTATGTTCCTAGAAGTAAAACTGATAGGAAGCCTATTGCATTTCTACTTAATTTATACAAGCAGAGAACTTCTATGTCGAATGGACAAAAGACTAATTTGTATTCGAGTTATAAAAACAGAGAATCACAGCCCCTCAATCAATTTCCAGACTTGAGCCAGTTTACAGACCCAGACCAGAACCCCTTGAATGAAAGGGAGGTCGGTTCCCCTAGAGGAAGGACCCCACTACATTAACAAAAATTTATGCAGTGAATCTTTCTCCCATCTTTCACCAAAAAAGACCTCTGGCCTTTTACCAGGGTAAATGTGTACTGGGGAAAGTAAAATAATCAGATATTTCAGGGACTGCTGGACATTGGCTCTGAAATGACGTTATTACCAGGGGACCCAAAACGTCATTGTGGTCCCCCACTTAAAGTAGGGGTTTATGGGGATCAGGTAGTTATTGGAGTTTTAGCTCAGGTCTGACTTACAGTGGATCCAGTGGGTCCCCAGACTCCTCTTATGGTCATTTCCCCAGTGCCAGAATGCATAATTGGCATAGAAATACTTAGCAGCTAGCAGAACCCCCCCATTGGCTCCCTGACTGGTAGGGTGAGGGCTACTCTGGTGAGAAAGGCCAAATGGAAGCCATCAGAACTTCCTCTACCTAGAAAAATAGTAAATCAAAGCAATATCACATCCGTGGAGGAATTGCGGAGATTAGTGCCACCATCAAGGACTCGAAAGACACAGGGGTGGTGATTCCCACCACATCCCCATTCAACTCTCCCATTTGGCCTGTTTGGAAGACAGATGGATCTTGGACAATAACAGTGGATTATCATAAGCTTGACCAAGTGGTGACTCCAATTGCAGCTGCTGTACCAGATGTGGTTTCATTGCTTGAGCAAATTAACACATCTCCTGGTACCTGTTATGCAGCCATTAACTTGGAAAATGCCTTTTTCTCCATTCCTGTCCATAAGGCCAACCAGAGCAATTTGCCTTCAGCTGGCAAGGCCAGCAATATACCATTGCTGTCCTACCACAGGGGTATATCACCTCTCGGTTTTGTGTTATAATTTTATTCGGAGAGATCTTGATTGCTTTTTGCATCCACAAGGTATCAAACTGGTCCATTACATTGATGACATTATGCTGATTGGATACAGTGAGCAAGAAATAGCAAACACACTGGACCTATAGGTGAGACATTTGCATGTCAGAGGTTGGGAAATAAATCTGACTAAAATTCAGGGACCTTCTACCTCAGTAAAATTTCTAGGGATCCATTGTTTTGTGGCCTGTCAAGATATTCCTTCTAAGATAAAGGATAAGTTGCTACATTTGGCCCCTCCTACAAACAAGAAAGAGGCACAATGCCTGGTCGGCCTATTTGGATTCTGGAGGCAACACATTCCTCATTTGCGTGTGTTACTCCAGCCCATTTATCAAGTGACCCTAAAGGCTGCCATTTTTGAGTGGGGTCCAGAACAGGAGAAGGCTCTGCAACAGGTCCAGGCTGCTGTGCAAGCTGCTCTGCCACTTGGACCATATGACCCAACAGATCCAATGGTGCTTGAGGTGTCAGTCGCAGACAGGGATACTCTTTGGAGCCTTTGGCAGGCCCACATAGGTGAATCACAGTGGAGGCCTCTAACATTTTGGAGCAAGGCTCTGCCATCTTTTGCACATAACTGCTCTCCTTTTGAGAGACAGCTCTTGGCCTGTTACTGAGCTTTGGTGGAAACTAAATGTTTGACTATGTGTCATTAAGTCACCATGCAACCTGAACAGCCTATCATGAACTGGGTGCTTTCTGACTCATCTAGCCATAAAGTGGGTCGTGCATAGCAGTGTTTTCCGTAATCAAATGGAAGTGGTGTATCCGTGATCAGGCTTGAGCATGTCCTGAAGGCACAAGTACGTTACATGAGGAAGTGTCTCAAAAGCCCATGTTCTCCACTCCTGCCACCCTGCCTTGTCTTTACCAGTCTGCACTGATAACCTCATGGGACGTTCCCTATTATCAGTTGACAGGGAAAGAGAAGACTAGTGCCGGGTTCACAGATGGTTCTGCACGATACGCAGGCACCACTCAAAAGTGGAAAATTGGTGACAAAGAAATTGATATTTGTATCCTATGTGCCTGCTCACCAACAGGTGACCTTAGCAGAAGAGGATTTTAATAATCAAGTGGATAGGATGACCCATTCTGTGGACAGCACTCAGCCTCTTTCCCCATCCACCCCTGTCATCACCCAATGGACCCTTGAAGAAAGTGGCCATGGTGGCAGGGATGGAGGTTATGCATGGGCTCAGCAACATGGACTTCCACTCACCAAGGCTGACCTCTCTACAGCCACTGCTGAGTGCCCAATTTTCCAGCTGCAGAGACTAACACCGAGCACTAGATATGGCACCATTCCTTGGGGTGATCACCCAGCTACCTGGTGGCAGGTTGATTTTATTGGATCTCTTTTATCATGGAGAGGGCAGACGTTTGTCCTCACTGGAGTAGACAGTTACTGGATATGGGTTTGTGTATCCTGCATGCAATGGTTCTGCCAAGATTATCATCTATGGACTCATGGAATGTCTTATTCATTGTCATGGTATTCCACACAACATTGCCTCTGACCAAGTCACTCACTTTATGGCTAAAGAACATGGCATTTTCTTTATCCAGTCTATCAGTGATGGGCATTTGGGTTGGTTCCAAGTATTTGCTATTGTGAACAGTGCTGCAATAAACATATGTGTGCATGTGTCTTTATAGTAGAATGATTTGTAATCCTTTGGGTATCTACCCAGTAATGGGATTGCTGAGTCAAATGGTATTTCTGGTTGTAGGTACTTCAGGAATTGCCACGCTGTCTTCCACAATGGTTGAACTAATTTACACTCTCACCAACAGTGTAAAAGCATTCCTATTTCTCCACATCCTCTCCAGCACCTGTTGTTTCCTGACTTTTTAACGATCGCCATTCTAACCGGTGTGAGATGGTATCTCATTGTGGTTTTTATTTGCATTTCTCTAATGACTAGTGATGATGAGCTTCTCTTGATATGTTTGTTGGCTGCATAAATGTCTTCTTTTGAGAACTGTCTGTTCATATCCTTCACCCACTTTTTGATGGGATTGTTTGTTTTTTTTCTTGTAAATTTGTTCAAGTTTTTTCTAGATTCTGGATATTTGCCCTTTGTCAGATTAATAGATTGAAAAAATTTTCTCCCATTCTGTGGGTTGCCTGTTCACTCTCATGATAGTTTCTTTTGCTGTGTAGAAGCTCTTTAGTCTAATTATATCCCATTTGTTAATTGTGGCTTTTGTTGCATTGCTTTTGGTGTTTTAGTCATGAAGTCTTTGCCCATGCCTGTGTCCTGAATGGTATTGCCTAGGTTTTCTTCTACGGTTTTTATGGTTTTAGGTCTTACGTTTAAGTCTTTAATCTATCTTGAGTTAGTTTTTGTATAAGGTGTAAGGAAGGGGTCCAGTTTCAGTTTTCTGCCTACGGATAGCCAGTTTTCTCAACACCATTTATTAAATAGGGACTCCTACACCATGGAATACTATGCATCTATAAAAAAGGATGAGTTCACATCCTTTGCAGGGACATGGATGAAGCTGGAAACCATCATTCTCAGCAAACTAACACAGGAACAGAAAACCAAACACCGCATGTTCTCACTCATAAGTGGGAGTTCAACAATGAGAACATATGGACACAGGGAGGGGACCATCACACACCGGGGCCTGTCAGGGGGTGGGGGGCTAGGGGAGGGATAGCCTTAGGAGAAATACCTAAAGTAGATCTCGAGTTGATGGGTGCAGCAAACCACCATGGCATGTGTATACCTATGTAACAAAACTGCACGTTCTGCACATGTATCCCAGAACTTAAAGTATAATTTTTTTTAAAAAAAGCATGGCAGTGGGCTTATGCTCATGGAATTCACTGATCTTACCATGTTGCCCATCATCCTGAAGAAGCTGTATGGTTAGAATGGTAGAATGGCCTTTTGAAATCACAATTACAATGCCAACTAGGCAACAATACTTAGCTGGGCTGGTGAAAAGTTCTCCAGAAAGTCATGTATGCTCTGAATCAGCATCCAATATATGGTGCTGTTTCTCCTATAGCTAGGATACACAGGTCCAGGATTCAAGAAGTGGAAGTGGAAATGGCACCACTCACCATCACCCCTAACCACTGGAAAAATTCTTGCTTCCCGTTCCTGTGACATTACGTTCTGCTGGCCTACAGTTCTTAGTTCCAGAGGGAGGAACTCTGCCACCAGGAGACACAACAACAATTCCACTAAACTGGAAGTTAAGATTGCCACCTGGACACTTTGGGCACCTCCTACCTTTAAGTTAACAGGCTAAGAATGGAGTTACAGTGTTGGCTGGGGTGATTGACCCAGACTATCAAGATGAAATCAGTCTACTACTTCACAACGGAGGTAAGGAAGAGTATGCATGGAATACAAGAGATCCATTAGGGCATCGCTTAGTATTACCATGCCCTGTGATTAAGGTCAATGGGAAACTACAACAGCCCAATCCAGACAGGACTACAAATGGCCCAGACCCTTCAGGAATGAAGGCTTGGGTCACTCTACCCAGAATAAAACCAGGACCTGTTGAGGTGTTTGCTGAATGCAAAGGGAATACAGAATGGGTAGTAGAAGAAGGTGGTCATCAATACCAGCTACAACCACGTGACTAGTTGCAGAAATGGGGACTGTAATTGTCATGAGTATTTCTTCCTTCTTTTGTTAAAAACATGTTTGTGCATGTATCCACTTGTACTAAGAAAATATCTTCATTTTATTTACTTTTTCCTTTATCATGTGACACAAGATTTATTGACTTCATATCGACATTTAAGTATCGTTAACTTTATGTAATAGTATTTGGGTTGGGGATTGGTGCATTTCTCATTGCACAAAGGATAGTTGTATTATGTTAGGCATAATTATGACATTATTGTCTTTATTTGAAGATCATGGATGATCTCAGGAGATGTGTATGGGTTCAAGTTGACAAGGAGTGGACTTATGATGGTTAATACTGAATGTCAACTTGATTGTATTTAAGGATACAAAATATTGATCCGTGGGTGTGTCTATGAGAGTGTTGCCAAAAGAGATTAACATTTGAGTCAGTGGGCTGGGAAAGGCAGACCTATCCTTAATCAGGTGGGCACCATCTAATCAGCTGCCAGCAAATGTAAAGCAGGCAGAAAAATGTGAAAATGAGAGACTGGTGTAGCCTCTCAGACTACATCTTTCTGCCATGCTGGATGCTTCCTGCCCTTGGAAACAGACTCCAAGTTCTTCAGTTTTGGGAGTTAGACTGGCTCTCCTTGCTCCTCAGCTTGCAGACAGCCTATTGTGGGACCTTGTGATCACGTATGTTAATACTTAATAAACTCTCCATCCTATTAGTTCTGTCCCTCTAGAAAACCCTGACTAATACACTCATATTGTTAACAGTTATTTTAATGTTTGTGACCGGTAATCTCAACATCTACAGATCCTTTACATCTATTTCTGTCATATAGTTTTTTATTGATATTGGTTGCCTGGTATTATCTCCCAGTATATATATTCTTTTTATTACATACCAGACATTTCATATTAAATATTGTAGAGATATTTGAAGATTCAGAATTGTAATCCTCCCTCAAAGAGGATTTATGTTAGCTTCTTTCTTGCAATTATAATATGGGCGGGCATGTCACATCTATACAATTAGTGATTGATCTGATTAGCAGCTGGCTTTAATCTTTTGAATGGTCTTTTCTGTATCAAGTTATTCCTTTAATTTAGAGTGTAGCCCTCGAATGCATGCAATGAAAGCCTGGGGTGGTTAAAAGAGACTCTTCTTTTTGTTGGGTCTTGAATTCCAGTTGCCTTTCCCAGCTTTATAAAACTGGTATAAATTAAGATGGGTTTTCAGCCTCCCGAAATCTGGTAATGGTTGATTAATGCATTGAGAGGAAAAGTAAAGTGAAATGCCCCGCTTACCATTCAATTTTTTCCCTTTGCTTCTGAATATTGTATCTTCATATTCTTGCTGCTTTATTAGCTCATTCATACCTTACAATATATTAAAAATATTTTTTGTACAGCTTTTCTAATTGTTTTCCTGCAGAGTGTTTTTTCTGAATCAACCTGAGTTATCACTGCTGGAAATAAAATTCTCCTTTGTGCATTTTGATATGCTATTTCTTACATAATGTTTTATCATTGAATCCTTTAACTATATTTGCTTTCTTCCTTTGTTGGAGGAGTTATTTGTACTGAGACTCGGGGTGGGAAGGAATGTATTCTCTGGGTGCTTTGTGGAATATTTTGCATTTAAAAAAGCCTAAATTATGGTGATATTTTAACATGGTAATAGATTTTTATATATATTTTAACATTTCACCTTGTTTCAGCTACATTTCCCGTTTACTCAATAAAACATTAATTTAGATGCTGCTGTGAAGTCGTTTTGCTAATGTAAAGTCCCTAATCAGTTGAATTTAAGTAAAGGAGATTGCTCTGGATAATCTGGGTGGGCCTGATTAATTCCATTGGGAGGCCTTAAAAACAAGCAGGAGGTTTTGCAGAGATCAAAAGAGAGAGAGAAAGACAGGGAAAGTGATTAAGAATGAGAGACAAAGTGAGAGAAAGAATGAGAAAATAAATTCTGTCTGTGGCCCGTGCATGTGAGATCTAGCTTGCCTTCACTGTCTCCCTGACTTACGGATTTTGAACTTTCTAAGGTAGCCCCACAATCATGTAAGCCACTTCCTATAACAAATCTTAGAACTTATTCAAATTTATTGAGAAAGAATCTGAAGCTTATATATATATATGGTATATTTTATATATACTTTATATATATTATATATTGTATATGTTATGCAAATATAAAAATATATATATCTTCTATTGGTTTTGCTTCTTACATATATAATATCTGCAGTATTATATTTAAATATATATCTATGCTATTATATTTAAATAGGTCTTTTTGTCCTGTTGCTGGCACAAATGAATATAATATGCATAATTAAGTCAAATTAGTATAATTAGTTTGGGAATATAAATGGAAGGAGAAATACAATAATGAGTATGCTAATTTCCCTTCTGCTATAACATTAGGGGATAGTTGATCTTTATCCATGGCTTATAAATGCATACCAGATTAAACTAATGATTCCCATAAATATTTTCTTCATTTATAAGTGCAAAACGTAAAAATGATGTTTCAAGAGAAACTTTAAACAATAGGAGAAAAACATCAATAATTTATCCTTCAGCTTAATTAAATGGAAAATATTATGAGAAAATATTGACTAAGTACCATAAGTCTGTATTGATCTTACAAAAGACTAGGCAGCTAATTGAGAATAGAATCCCACCACTCTCTATTAGTTCAGACTGTTTTTCTTTTTTACAAATAAGCTAACATTACCCTAATAGGTATGTAAAACATCATAAATAACTAACTGTGTATGCAAGAATACATTACTTCTGCTCCAAGAAACTATAACCAGAGGAAACAAATATTCTTCCGGATTTGAAGAAAGCAAAGCTCTGTAGCAAAATAAAACATTAATTCCTTGGAAAGAATCTAAAGTTTGCTTTTTGTTGTGGTTTCCTTCAGAAGATTTTATAAATCTAGTTTTAAGTAAATTGTTTTTAAATAAACCAATCAGCAGTTATCTAAAACCTTTGTTTATAACTCAGTTAAAATAAAATTCTGTGTTCGTTAGTTGTTCAAATTGGCAGTTTTTGAAAAAGTAGGCTACTATTGTTTTTAAGTATATGCAAAAGACATCATTATTCATCTACTAAAATGTATAAATAATATATTCAAATCATATTTAAATAGTAGTTTTAACACAGACTGGGTTAAGCTTAGGCCCCAGGTTTTGTTAAGTCTTATAGTTCCAACTAAAATTTTCTTTTGACCTTCAGGTGTTTTATGCTAACCTATACCTCTTTTGATCTACATTTGTAAAAGTAAAACATAGTCTCATAATATTTAAAGCTGTGGAGATTGGCTTAACAACCTTATATTGAATAAACCACAAGAATAAAAACTCCAAAGCAAAGTAGAAAAAAAATGTAATCGTATGCCAACCAATAGTGCACAGTGTTTTCTTTTATCTGGAGTCAACTTTAATAGGACTTGAAGTATTATAACTTTGATGATTGCCATTATCATCATTTGCCTCATACAGTAGGAGGCCATGCACTGTAAAATAGGAATTATTAAGAAAATACACTTCCAAATATACTGCACAAATTTGTTTTTAACAGCATGGAACAAATGCCAGCTTCTATTTTACTGTGACTGGGGTTTATTAACAACCACTAGTGAGACAGAGGCTTCTTTGAAAATGCAAATCCTACCATACATAGTTCAATTTTTCAGCTCCAGGTTTTAATATTTTTAATGACTTAAATAGAGAATTCCATACAAAAGGAAATTTTAAATTACTTTTTACTTTCTAAACTATCTCTTGAAAAAAAGTACCTATTTGACATAGGAGAGATATTCCTTATATTAAATAAGTTGGATTGTCTCCCACAAGCATTTATCTTCAGAACTTACCGTTCTTTTTACTTATTTTAAATGAAGATCGATTCTTGATTTGTTTTCTATATTTAATTTTATTCTGGATTGTGTTTGATGAAAAATGCAAAAAAAAAAAAAAAGCCTGAAGAAGATACAACATGCTATCTCATGATGCTCCTGCATCATTTTCCTAATTGAGGGGGACCAACTCTGTAGATTCCTAATAACACTTAGGACATTCTTTCTAAAGCATACTGATTCGTTCATCTAACAAAAGCAGCAATGTCTACATAAA
Source organism: Homo sapiens (assembly GCF_000001405.40). Classification (NCBI taxonomy): domain Eukaryota; kingdom Metazoa; phylum Chordata; class Mammalia; order Primates; family Hominidae; genus Homo; species Homo sapiens. Next base: position 126,046,369 of record NC_000023.11, read on the forward strand.
TATTAGTATTTTGAAAATCTAAGAAATTAAGAGGACCAGTTTCTTATTTCCTATGTATATAGCATGCCTTATTCCCCTTTAGATTTTATAAAAGTTGTCAATCTCAAAGGTTAACCATTTCCAATAGACACTTTCTCCTCTCTCATACATATGTACACTCAAAAGTCTTCTATGCAAAGGCAAAGGCTTAAAATTGAGAAAGAGACTGATATTGAAGAACATCAAGGAAGGCTGTAGCTAGAAGAAATAGAATAAAGGAAAAGAGTAGTTGAACATGATGTCAGAGGAGTAAGGAAGGAGATTTTTCTAGTTTTTAGGTCATTGTAAGGATATCTATTTACACTCTAAGTGAGATTGAGAGACATTGTAATGACAAGATCTGACTTAGATGTAATTGGATCTCTTTTTTTGCCCTGTGAATACTAGACTGTATGTGTAGGCAGAGGTGGGGATTGGGCACTGGTGAGAGTAGATAGATCAGCTAATAGGTTATAAGTCAATCAAGAAGGATGGTCTCTTGCATCATGGTGTGCTATGGTCTGAGCGTTTGTGCCTCCCAAATGTATACATTATAACTTAATCACCAATGTGATGATATTAGGAGGTGGGGCCTTTCGGAGGTGATTAAACCATGAAGAAGGAGTCCTTATGAATAAAAATAATGTCCTTATAAAAGAAATCTCAGAGAGCTAGCTCACCCCTTCCACCATGTGAAGACACAGCAAGAAGGTGCTACTATGAAAAAGAAAGTGGGCCTTTACGAGAGACTGAATCTTCTGGTGGCTTGACCTTGGAATTCCCAGCCTCCAGAACTGTAAGAAATAAGTTTATGTTGTTTATACACCATCTAGTTTATGGTATTTTGTTACAGCAGCTCAAACAAATTAAGACATGTTATAGTAGTGGAAGTTGTAAGTAGAGAAGCTGTTGCATTTTAAATATAGAATATATATATATATATATATATATACACACACACACATATAAGTAGAGTATATATATACACACACACATATATATATATATATATATATATATATATATATATATATAGAGAGAGAGAGAGAGAGAGAGAGAGAGAGAGAGAGAGAAGGTAAATCCAAAAGAATTTGTTAATGGACAGGATGATGTAGGGAGTGAGAAAGAGTTACTATTAATTGAACATTAATTGAAATAGAAAAAGACTGTAGGTGGAACTTTCATTGGCAGGGAGGAAAGATATGGCATTTGATTTTGGATATATTTAATTTGATGTGCCCATTAGTACCTTACAGCTAGTAGGGAGAAACAAGTCTAAGATGTACCTATAACATCTACAGCTTTTGTGTTTTCTGATACATTACTATATATATATATATATATATATATATATATATATATATATATATATATGTCAAGATTGTATTGATAGTATTATGAATATTGAATATCTTGATAGTCATTATATGGTAGCATTATATATGCTGTCTTATTGGGAAATATGAATCTTACTTCTATAAAAAGAAGTATCTTCTTGCTATCATAGCACTGACAAGAAGTGACAAGTGTTTTCTCCAACTTTAGAAGCTAGTTCAATAACCAGAAAAAGATAGGTGGAAATATTTCTATCACAGACATGTATCTCATCTTTCAAGTGGAGGCTTAGAAACTCAAATATAAAATTTTAAAATGTAAAAAACTCACATGCCCATCCATATTAAAGTACTGAAGGATGCAAACCGTTTGTAATATCCTGTCGTCTAGCCTTATCCCTACCTCCCCAAACTTACAAAAAGAACGTTGCTATTTGCTAGTGAGTGACACTAAATCTACTATACCATGACAGGCATAATCCTCTGATAAAATAGGCTTTTTTAATTTGTAATGTTATCATCTGTCAACCAAAGTGATGTGATGTCATATCAAGGACAGTATATAATATGATTTGAGTATGGATACACTAAGTTTGCTTTTGCATGAAATAATCTGATTTAGAGATATCTGACAAGTACTGTAATTATTTAAAGTACTTATGACAAAGTAGCATAATTTGTCAATATTGCAAACATAATTGCAATGCAAGTAGTCAAAATAATTGTCATTAAACCACTCTTTAGATACTGTTTGGAAAAGGATAACATGAGAATGACAAGAAACTGTGGTTACTGACATTTAGAACTCAGGGAGAATTTTCAACCTATCTATAGGGATTGCTTTCATAAAAAAATGTTTTGCAGTTCTGAACGTGATGTTACAAAGGTATATGATAGCGGTCATGCATTTATATAGGGTTGTCAAATAAATTCTGTCTTTTACATGATGTGGCATACAGTGTGTAATTACCATTTCATCATGATATATCACTCTAGAAGAACTACAGTCATCCTCAGAGTACCTCTTTTTATTTTGCTTTAAGAAACCTAGACTAAAGGGCAATTTTTTGCACATATTTATGTTAATCTTTGAGTCTACTTATTGATATTTATTTCTAATCATTTTATTTATACAACTGAACACTTTTATTTCATATCAATATCACATTCTCATTGCATATTTGCTATATGTGCTTTATCTACAACATTCTATCAACTATGCATCTATATTTACTTTGATTGTCTTGATTGTTGTAAACATACAGTTTTGTTTAGACACATGGTTTGAATTATTCCTCTTTCTTGCCTTTAATTTGTAAGGGGTATCATACTATATAGGATTCAAACTCATAAATACTGATTCATGAGCCCATGACCAAGTACCTACAAAGTCACATAGTCTCCAAAAGAACACTATAAATCTTGCCCTAGGAGACTAAACAATTAAAATCATTTGAAATCACTTGGACACGTAATGGCAGAATCATCTCCTTCTGATGCCACAAGAAAGTTGGGCATAATCATCATTGTGGACACATGATTCCGAATATAAACTTTGATAAAAGATCAGATCTCAAACTGCCCACCACCGTCCATGTAATCTTCTTTCAGGTAAAATGTATAATTTTACTATATAAATTGAATGTGTCCTTTTTGAGTGCCCTAAATTCGGAATATACCTCACTGTGCCTCAGAGGGGAAATAATTCATGAACCAGCCATCATAACTAATCAGAAAATCTTACTCAGGATCTCTTCTTTCTCAGAATACTTGAATTTCTAACGTCTGATATGCATTCACCTAAAGTTGTTTTCTAGATCATTGATCTGACACCTCTGTACTTTATAATCCTTGGTGTTTTCAATCAGCACCATGCATTGTACTTAACTGACACTTTTATATTTTCACACTTCCTCTGCAACAATGCCAAAAACTTAAATCATTGAACTCAGTGTTTTAAATTACATGGAACAATTGAATGACACCGTATAGGATATTTGAAAATAAACAAAACAATTCACAATCATATCTCCAATTCCAAACCTGATTAGACATAGGGCTAAAATCTATGGGAGCTCCAGTTATGCCTAAAATTACATTTTTTTATGGATGAAAAAGCAACATTTTCTATTGAAATCTTTATCTTCAGTAATATATGTGCATAATGGCAGCTTTAAAACTGGCTGAATGTATTATTTGCATGAAGCATACTCCTTTTTTCATATTACTAATAACACTAATAGGTAAGATGATATTCTTATGGCATCTTAGTAGACATCCTTGTAAAATATAATAGACTAACACTATTTGGGGCATTGGTTTCAGTTGTACCCATTAGATCTAATTTAATTTAAAAATTGAACTTAAATAAATTACAGCATATTTCTTCTATCTGACTATTCTACTCTTCATGGAAAATCAATAAACTAGACTTGGAAAATGAGAAGATGAAATTCTCAGATACTTTTATTTTGGAAATTTATTCCTGTGCCAACTTAAAAATGTGTACAAGAACAGGGTTTTAATTTAAAGCTATACTTGATGTCATTGAGTACATTTTGTATCATGATGTTCTGATATTATTTCTGTGGGATAATAAGGAATAGAAATTGGGACTGTGCAATGATATTGTTGAATTCCAGGTTACCCTTGCAACATCCCCAACATTAGAACGACGAATTCATTTGCAGTCTACTTGCTCATTCAATTGTGGGTATATGTTCAGTTATCAATACTCCCTGGATTTTAGGACTAAATTACTTTACTTTTACCACTAGAAAGTGGAAATAACTTGCTGGATATGGTGATAAAATATAAGGCTCTCCATAGTTCAGAGGAAGAGCTTGCATAATACCATATTTCTTACCTGCTTCTCAAAGTAGAAATTACAATGAAATGGGAGATTATGATTAAGAAACAAATTGACCTCTAGATATCCATTGAGCACATGAAAGTAGCACTCTCAGACCACCTGAGTTGAGCTGATTCAGATTAAATCTGATCCCCAAAATGGTTTTGATAGAAAGGTAGTCTCATCAAATAACAATTTTCAAATCAGTACATTCAACTCTCTGGAAAAAGCCAAATCATTTTCATCTGAATTTGATAACAAGCTTGGATAGTCCTTTATAACTGTCATCTGGTAATTAAATTAGTAATAATAATCAGTGTATAACTTTCCAAGTTGATTATATCAAGTGGTACCACATGTAGCTGGCTGCATAATATCTAGATATTTGCTAAAGGTAAGTCTTATTACTCCAGTTATATCTATATCTTCAGTAGTTAAGCCTAAAAGATTATTTCCATGGAAGAACTGAGTAATTTCCTTACTTCCTGAATTGTAGAAATAATCATCGTTTCTATTCATTGTATTAGTATGTATTGCTATAATGCTAATTTTTTGGTTGATACAAAAAATGAAGCCAACAATGTATTTTCAAACTAGGACAACTAGTTAAAATGATTTCTCTCATTCTCCTAAATTATAACAGTTCAGTTTCATAAGCCCAATATATCATTTTAAATGACAGTAACGAAAGCCTCTGTGAACTACGTATCACTCTCAAACATGTTGAACCTGTATAGGAAAAAGACATTTTTCAACAGTGCATAATTTAGGTTATAAGCATTTAAAATATCTCACAATCTTTAGTTTTAGATAATTATATATATATATATTTTGTATGTCTGAACTTTATTTTCTTTTCCTTATTTTATTTTATTTTATTATTATTATACTTTAAGTTTTAGGGTACACGTGCACAATGTGCAGGTTTGTTACATATGTATACATGTGTCATGCTGGTGTGCTGCACCCACCAACTCGTCATTTAGCATTAGGTATATCTCCTAACGCTATCCCTCCCCCCTCCCCCCACCCCACAACAGTCCCCAGAGTGTGATGTTCCCCTTCCTGTGTCCATGTGTTCTCATTGTTCAATTCCCACCTATGAGCGAGAACATGTGGTGTTTGGTTTTTTGTCCTTGCCATAGTTTACTGAGAATGATGATTTCCAATTTCATCCATGTCCCTACAAAGGACATGAACTCATCATTTTTTATGGCTGCATAGTATTCCATGGCGTATATGTGCCACATTTTCTTAATTCAGTCTATCATTGTTGGACATTTGGGTTGGTTCCAAGTCTTTGCTATTGTGAACAGTGCCACAATAAACATACATGTGCATGTGTCTTTATAGCAGCATGATTTATAGTCCTTTGGGTATATACCCAGTAATGGGATGGCTGGGTCAAATGGTATTTCTAGTTCTAGATCCCTGAGGAATCGCCACACTGACTTCCACAATGGTTGAACTAGTTTACAGTCCCACCAACAGTGTAAAAGTGTTCCTATTTCTCCACATCCTCTCCAGCACCTGTTGTTTCCTGACTTTTTAATGATTGCCATTCTAACTGGTGTGAGATGGTATCTCATTGTGGTTTTGATTTGCATTTCTCTGATGGCCAGTGATGGTGAGCATTTTTTCATGTTTTTTGGCTGCATAAATGTCTTCTTTTGAGAAGTGTCTGTTCATGTCCTTCGTCCACTTTTTGATGGGGTTGTTTGTTTTTTTCTTGTAAATTTGCTTGAGTTCATTGTAGATTCTGGATATTATATATTTTTTCAAAACACTAATCCAGTCCCACTTTAGAACACAGTAGTCTTTTTTGAAGACAATCCTAACAACCTTAATAATAATTGTTATAATGAGTATTTTAATCCATTTTACATGAATTGGCCTTGTAGTACTCAAGCTATTTTCCAGTTACTTCCCTCAATATATTGTAACTGTATTTTCTACTACTGCTACATTGTGTTTCTTTAAACAGGCAAGGTGTAAAAACAGCATTCAGTAGTATCCTCAGGCGGGAAGTCAGAAGGTTTAGAGACAACTGACAAGGGATACATGCTGTGTGCTATATAGTTTAAAAATATGTTTATTTAGAATGTTGAAGTAATGTTACTAATGTAGTTCATATAAGAGAACATGATGTGTGTTTTAGGAGATGTTTATAGAACTTTGTGATCTTTGAAATAGAAAGTCTGCCTCACTCTTACTGAAAAGTAAATCTTGGTCTCAATATCTTACTAAATTAAAAGAACTATACGTTACAAACTTGAATTATCAAAGAATAAAAGTTAGTTTAATATTGGACTTTTTAATGTTTTCAAAATCACAAAAAGAAAATTTCAGCTTTATATTTTAAAATGTGAAGAATAAGTCATTTTACTAAACCACAGTCACTATTTTAAAAAAGCATATACTTTGGACTCAGAAAATCTAAGTTGAACTTGAGCTTTACAATTGATTACCTGTGTGAGTTGGAGCAAATTGATCAATTTCTCTAAGCTTTATGTTTCTAATCTGTAAATTAGTCATAAGAAAAATTACCTCTCAGTGTTCTATTGAGGATTAAGTGAAATAGTGAACACAGAATACCTTTAACCCTCCATATTTATTATAATATATTACATCTTATTAATATAAATGTTTTGCTAATTTATTTTATGAAGTTTTAATAAGACTGGATGTCTGATAAAGTCCTAGCCAATTCAAATTTCTTGTTCTTGCCCTGTTGCCTGCCCTTGCCAGATTTCAACCTGGCAGCCTAATTTAACATTTAAAGGGCATATTTTTTTACAGTGTAGTTTTGAACTTATGAAAATTTGCTTTAGAATTGAGTTTTCTTTCCAAAATATCCAAACACTTTCATGGATCTGAATTATTTTCTTCATCCTAAAGCAGAAATCAATGTTGATTTAAGGTATGTATACTTTAGAGAATCCAAAGTAAATACATTTAGCCATCTATGGTATGTTAAAATATTGGTTGTTGAGCATCAGGTAATGAGCAGAAAAAACAACAAACCGGAAAGAATTTTTTGTCTTTTAATAAAGACTCTGGTAAAAAAAAAAAAAACCCATAAAGTAGTTGATATCATGATATCATAGACAACTGACTTAATGTGCCTCCTGAAAGCTAAAGAGTTAAACATGCAGGGATGAGGCAAGGGTGCAACTAAATTAGTTGGGCTCAGAAGAATCAGTAAAACAAATATTGTAAATCAGAAAGTAGAAAATAAAGGATAGTAATTGAAAAGTTTATAAAGTAGTCTCATGGGTAAGGATAGACAGGCCGATACAGCATGACCCAGCAGTGATCACTTCAGAATGGAGAGGCAGTTCATAGCATTCCCTTGCTCCATCAAAAATGTGAAGCTTCTGATCTCTTTTTCAAAATGTATTAGGCTCAGACAATTGTATTTTACCCTGGTGCAATCCAGTTACATAATTTTGATATTACGGGTCTTTGCTAGTTTCTAAACAGGATCCCTCTTTCTCAGTTTTGATATTTTCAGATTAAAGATATTGTCTCTGCAAAAGATTTTTATAAATCCTTAATACTCCGTAAATATTTTGTATTCATGTATACAATATGTATGTATTCAATTTTATTTAAGTGCTTCTCCTTTTATTTAAATGTTGATCCCCCACCCCATCTATTTTCTGGTTTGTGCAAGAACTTGGTTATTATCTTGCTAGGAAGACTTTATTTTGAATTGTGAGTGGAAGTCATTAATGCTTTCGCCAAATATTCTAGTTCCCTTCTTACTGGCACAAGGCAGGATTGCATTTCCTGTACCACCTTCTTGTGGTTGGATGGGGCCATAACTACTTCTGGTGTATGAATTGTGAGCCATTTACTTGACTGGTATTGTTCAAACTAGTGATATATCTGCCTGGGTTTCAGGGTATGGTGACACATAGAAGAACCCCTAGACAGCCAACAATAGACTACTGCCATGTGTGAGAAAAATGTCTGAGTTGTTCTAAGGCATAAGTATTTTGGAGCTGTTTGTCACTGCAGTATAACTTATTGTGATAAAATTGTGAAATGTTGAGCATTACATGTAAGCATCAGGGGTATACAATCATAGTTATTCTAGGAAATAAATCAATTCTGCGGCCCTCAGTGATAAAATCTTTTCACACTTTCCCCTAGTTTGTATTCCTTCAGACAGGAGGAAGGCTTCATGCATGAAAATGTTTTAGTTATGCTTAGAATTTTTTTAGTGCTTAACAGTGTATCGGAAGAATACACAAGTTAATTAAGAAAATATAGATATATAGTTTGGTGATAAACTTAAGGTATGATATTGTCTGACATTATGTGTGTTTCTTTGGCTGTACAAAAGTTATATCTTCCAAATAACTGCCTTCATTTTCTTTTAAATTACCCAAGAACCCCAAAAGTTCACAAAAACAGAAAGAGTTTCCAGGCACATAAGGTATCTAATGGTTCTTAAGAGTATGGTTTCTTTCTCTCAGTCGTGAGGAAGGAACTCCTCAATGCTGTTCCAATATGAAACGGTTCCAATATGAGACATCACATTATCACACAAACCCACAAATTCTTTACAGAGCCCAGAAAAGTGGCATTAACTGCTATGACTTCTTTTCTTCTCAATTTTCATCCCTTGTCTCTGTCTTTACACATCTTATTGACATTGGCATTCATTGCCTACCACGGCTTTTTCTGTTTCTCTTCATTTTTATTATGTATTATAAATATAAACTATTTTGTGCATTTCTTGAAACGGAAAGTAACACAGGAAAAGTAATATTAAATTACTTGACTTTATGTGAGTTTTAAATTCCTGGCTTAAAAGGGACCCATGGAAAAAATTAACTTAGACATATTTTTTCCTTTATTTGTACGTCTAATTGGAGTTGACATGCTCTTTATATAAGATTATTTGACATATCTATAGATGGCTCTCCTCAATATCTGTTTGATATTTTGTCAAAGGAGAATTAACAAACAAATTGGCAATACTCTCTGGAATAATTTTTTTTAAGTCTATGAAAGACTGAGTGGGAACATTTTAAACTGCCTAAAATTCCCACTGCATTCACAAAACAAGGAGACAATTAGAGAAAAGCACTGTAGAGAAGACAGACTTTCTGAAAGGGATTTCAGCTTCATGAGTTAAAAAAGACAATGAAAATATGTAGAAATAGTTCAGACTTTTTGGGTAATTAGATTTATTATGTAAATATCATTTAATTTGTGAAAAACAATAGAAGAATCTTGATATTTTACTCTTTTTTAACGAAATCTTTTGAAGTTACATTATTACAAAATGTGGATCACTCCATAACATAAATAGTACTGCAGACTACCTTTCCCCACTGTTCTTTTCCACCAAACCTCACCAACAAACTTTGAAAACAGATCTTCATTTAGAGGTAAGTATTCTAAAGGCTAAAGAATCATGGATGAGGAAAGTCTTTACTGTATTTAGGGAAAGCTTTGAAGAGGAGGTGGCATTTGAATCATAATATGTAGTAGTTCTTCGTATGGTGTGAAGTTTAACAGGCAAAGGCAATAATAATATAAACCAAGACATAGGCATTAAAATATATGATGTGTTTAAGAACGTGTGCTATGGTTAGAGACACATTCATAAGGAGTTAAAGAAAATAAGTTTTGGAAGGAAAGCTGAGCCAAGCTGAAAAGCACCTTGTATATCACTGTGTCAGTCAGGGTATAAAGTAGGAAGTACACTGTTTGTTATATTTTAAGTAACTTTTCCAAGATCACACAATTAGTAGTTAACAGAAATGGGATTTGAATGTAGGCAGCCTGGTCTCCTGACTGAGTCTGTGCTATTAGCCACTATGCTGTAGATAGATGTACAGGTAATAGCAAAGACATTTTTGTGAATAAACTACAAGCTAAGGGTCAGAAAGCAAGGAATAATTGTGTGAGGTAACATTTAATATGATTTTCTTAGGCAAAATGAACTTTGAATTAATACTTAAAGGATGTTATTTTCATGGTAAGGAGAGAAGAAACACAAAGTAGCCAAAGGAAGAGCAAATGCACTCCTAATACATTCCAATTTTTTGCAGTAAATTTTCATTTTTTCTCTTATCTTCTCCTGTCCTCACCACTCTCCACCCTCACATCTCTCTCAGCTCAAGGGGCTGGAATGGAGAGGTTAAGATTCAAGTCACGAGACTATTCTCTTTGTTTATAGTTTGAAGCAAGTAGTAGTTTCTGAGGTATATTTTATAGTTAATGAGCAAATAGAAACATACATATATTTCCATATCATATTTGCAAACTACAAATATATGAGACCATATTTCTCTTTAGATCTGTCACTACAGTGTTTTTATAACACATTGTAGATCTGCATTTCGATTGCATTAACGAAGAACTTCTTCACCGTATCAACTTATTACTCCCAATTATAAAACCTGAGATGCTTGGCTAAGGTATTCATTAACCTTTTCAGAGTGTATAATAGGAAATCTAATCACATGGATGTGGTAGACTGCATCTTGAAAATGAGCCCAGTTGTCATGTACAGTAAATTGTAATACCCAAATTCTTTGTAAATTGGGCAGTTTCAAGAAATTGAATGAGGAGGCCCTAATTTAATCAGCTTATAAGTATGAACTTTGAAATAATTTGCAATGTAAAAATAATGACTATATCTGATGTAAATGTGAAAAGAACATTTTTACTTTTATTCTAATTAAAGTTCTTGCATTTATTAATTTTATTTATCTCTATGTGCTTTAAGGGTTTTAAATTGTGACAGAAATTATTATTCAGTAATAAACATTATTAATTTGTATCTCTCATTCCAAAATTTTCTTAAAACACATAAATAAAAGTAAGCATTTTATTTTTAATAAACAAGTTTACCTGAAGTTTCATATTACTTCTGTAGAATATAATACAGTCCAGTCTTGGTGATTTACCATGTATAGGGTACCTTTAATTCAAATTACTTTTAAAATTGTGAGCATTTCTCAAATTGACAATACTATACTATATAAACTTCCTTATGGCAGAATAATTTAAAAATTGCATTTAACTTCAATCTTCTGTTTTATGTTTCCGTAGCATTTGGCATTGTTAATAAGTCTCAACTCATAGAACTTTCCCTTTCACTGCTTTTATAACTCTCTCTTTATTCCCTTTCTGCCTCTTTGAACATCTTTTATTTGCCCCATCACTTACCTATTCACTTAAATTCTGGGCTTCCTTGGCCTCTATGCATATCCATTTTTGTATTCTTGTTCTGACAATCCTTTTAGGAAAACATAGTTTCTTCCCTTGCCTTCAATTGTTTCTATATGCTAAGCAGTTTGTTAATTTTTTTTCATTTATTTCTTCACTTATCTGTTTATCTAAGAAATATTCTTGAGTACCTACTATGTATTAATTATTCTGATAGTCTACTGGTGTAACAATTAAACATAGTGCCTGTCTTCTAGGAACTTATAGACTAGTGAAGGACTTAGATAAATAAAATGTGGGCCCTTTAGTCCAAGGTAAAGGCTTTAGTAGGGACTTTTGTGGTTTGATCAGAGTGTGTCAGAATGGAGGTGGTGAGTTATGAGCTATAAAATTTTAAAAAATATTTCAACAATTATTTTCAGCCAGGAGTTTTTTAATTAAAATTATATTTAAATGGGATGTAAATATACATATAAATATTTTGTGATAGTGACAGTAGTATCATCAATATTAATGTCAATTATTCATTTTTAACAATCTCTGATGAAAACCAAGTTTTATAGTGCCTTATTAATAAATTCCAGGATATTTAATGTAGACATAAGATTTTATGTAAGAAAGTTCTTAAAGGTGATAGACATTAACAGATATAGATATTGATTATCAGAGTTGCTCTGTTAAACTGTTTTAAACATGTGCATTGGTGATAGGTATAATATTTACTTATCCACCTGGATGTTTACCTATATTCTTGTTATACCCACTAAAACTAATTGTATAATTAAATATTTAGAAAAAGTTTTCTCATATAGAGATGAAGTTTTTGGTTTAGCAATCATTTGAGCAAAATGTTGGCATAGGAAATACCTCACTAATATGATCTTGCAATAAAATATATTGTTAAATGCCTGAAGCTATTAGCAATGAGTTCTAAGGGCCAATATGTGAAGGGTAGGGACAACCATTAGCACATTTATATATTCTTATTTTTTAATGACATTGCAAGGGAATTTAAAAGTCAATCATCACATGATGCTGTGACTCATATAAGCCATTTCTTCTCTAAATTACATGAAAATTGAAGTAGTTAGAGATGTGGATAACTTATGAATTTTAGTGTAACCTGCAAATGCAGTCATTATGTTTGTAATTGTATTCTGTTTTACCTGTAGTTGACTAATGAAAGAATCCAGATAACCATGGGATTTCTTGTTAAGAGCAGACGAGCAAGCCTATCTTTAAGACATCAAGAAATATAAGTGCTGAATCAATTGAGTTTTTAGCCCTAGATGTTAATAAATGCTCTTAGAGTAAATTTATTTCATTATAATATTGAAAAAAAGAGAAAATGCTGTTGAGAAGCTTTTGAGAAGCATAATGGTGAAGAGAACAGACTCAGAAGCTAGACCATATTTATTCAAATTTTAGCTGTATTATAGAGTGGCTGTGTTATCTTGAGCAAGTTATTTAACCTTTCAATGGCTGAATTCAGTCATTTACAAATTGGGGACAATAATAATAATACCCACTTCATAGAGTTATTGTGAAGATTTAACAACAATTAATGTATGTAACGCACTGAAAACACTGGTATGTGCTTGCTATTAACTTTTTGGAGACCAATGCAGAATAATGCAAAATGTTAAAGAAAAAACTTAATTATTATAATTTATGTAAAAATTACTTAGAAACTATAAACATGATAAAAGTAAAAGTTTTAATTTACATATTCCAATAGTAATGAATAAAACAGACTTTCAGATTAAGACGATGGAATGGTAAAGTAACTTGAATAATCATCACCAATAATACTAATGCTATCACATGATAATGCAGATATAGATTCTCACAATCACTAACACTGGCCAATATTAGTATTGGGAAAAGTCTTTTCGGAACATGGCAGAAAAAAAAGCTTAAGTTCAAACAAATTCATAAGGCAAAAAGGTAGAGTCCATATGGAGAATAAGACAGCAAAATCAACTAGATTTAAGTAATGTACACCCAGTAAAGCTTTTCTTACCTTAGCAAGTTTGAAATGTTGATCAAGTCAGCCTGCTTCTCATTTCTCACCTTGAAATAGAAGTCTTTCTTTCCACAGGCTGGAATGTGTCACAGTGAGTCCTTTCTTTAAGAGAAAAAAAATATTAGTGGAAAAACATACCTGTAACTTCTAAAGCAATCAGAAAGGGCAACATGGTGCTACAGTATGGTATGGCATACTATAATCTGAATCCATTCCCCCAAATTTCATACATTGAAATCTAATCCCTAATGTGATAGTACTAAAAGGTGGGTCCTTTGGGTGGTGATTAAGTCATTATGGCAGAGCCCACATGACTGTATTAGTTGCCTTTATAAAAGAAACCCCAGGGAGCTAGCTAACCTTTTCCACCATGTTAGTATGCAACAAGAAGGCACCATCTATGAACAAGAATGTGAGTCTTCACAAGAAACTAACTCTGCTGGCCCCTTAATCTTGGACTTACCAGCCTCAAAGCTATGGACAATAAATTTCTGTTGTTTAAAATCCACTCAGTTTATGGCATTTAATTATGCCCACCCAGACAGAACAAGAGAGTGACCAGCATATTGTTTGATTGACAAAAATGAACAGAAAACTAGAAATCTAAAGATCATGCACAGATAAAATTAACGCAGAAACATTGGACATAATCTGCATGATAGACCAAATGGACCTAATATGTATTTTAAAAACGCATTATCCAATAGCTGCATTTCTTCTAAGCACACGGATCATTCTCAAAGATAGACAACATGTTAGGCCAGAAAACGAGCATTTAAAAAAAATCAAAATATCAAGTACCTTCTCTGACCACAATGGAGTAAAACTAACAATCAATAAGAAGAGAAATTTTTGAAGCTATACAAACAAATGGAAATTAAATAATATTCTCCTGAATGACCAGTGGGGTCAATGAATAAACTAAGAAGAAAATTGAAAAACTTCTTGAAACAAATGGAAATGGAGCTACAACATACCAAAACCTTTGGGATACAACCAAAGCAGTACTAAGAAGAAAGTTTATAGCAATAAGCGCCTACATCAAAAAAGCAGAAACACTTAAAACAAGCAAGTGAATGAGGCATATTAAAATTTAGAAAAGCAAAAGCAAAACAAACCCAACATTATCAGTAGAAGAGAAAACATAATAAAATCAGAGCACAAATAAATGAAATTGAAATGAAGAAAATAATGCAAAATGAAAAGACGTGTTTTTGTAAGAATAAACAAAATTGACAAACCTTTAGCCAGACTATTTAAGATACAAAGAAAGAAGATCCAAATAAATACAATGAGATGAAAAAAGAGACATTATAACTGATGCCACACAAATCCAATGGGTTGGTAGACACTAATATGATTAACTATATGCCAATAAATTAGAAAATTTAGAAGAAATGGATAATTATCTTGACACAATACAACCTACCAAGAATGTATCATGAAGAAATCCAAAACCAGAACAGACCAATAACAAGTAATTAGAATGGAGCCATAATACAAAGTTTCCCAGCCAAGAAAAGCTTGGGACTTGATGGCTTCACTGCTGAATTTTACAAAATATTTGGGAAGAACTAATACCAATTCCACTCAAACTATTCTGAAAAATACTGGAGGAGGGCATACATTCAATCTCATTCTATGAGGCCTATGAGGCAACATTACCCTGATACCCAAACCAGACAATGAGTCATAAAAAAAAAAAAACCTACTTGCCAATATCCTTGAAGAACATCAATGCAAAACTCTTCAACAGAGTGCTGGCAAACTGAATTCAATAACAGATTAAAAAGATCATTTATCATAGCCAAGTGGAATTTGTCCAAGGGATGCAGGGATGGTTCAACATATGTAAATCAATCAGTGTGATATATTATGTAACAGAATGAAAGACAATTAACATATGATTATTTCAATTGATGGTGAAAAGGCATTTGGTGAAATTAAACATCCCTTCATGTTAAAAACTAAAATATTGTAGAGAAGGAACATACCTCGAAACACTAAAAGACATATATGACAGACCTTGTATCATACTCAATGGGGAAAAGCAGAAAGCCTATTTCTCTGAGATCTGAAACAACATGAGGATGCCCACTTTCACCACTGTTATTTGAGATTGTACAGGAAGTCCTAGCTAGAGTAATTAGACCAGAGAAATAAATAAAGTGCATCCAAGTTGGAAAGGAAGAAGTAAAGTTATCCTTGTTTGCAGATGATATGATCTTATATTTGGATACACTTAAGACTACACCAAAAAACTATTAGAACGTAGAAACAAATTCTGTCAAGTTGCAGGATACAAAATCAACACAGAAAACTCAGTAGCATTTCTATATGCCAGGAACAGACAATCTGAAAAAGAAATTAAGAAAGTAACCCCATTTGCAGTGGCTATAAATAAAGAAAAATACCTAGGAATTAACCAAGGAAATGAAAGATCTCTGCAATAAAAACTGTAAAACACTGATGCAAGAAATTGAAGAGGACACCAAAAAATAGAAAGATATTCCCTGTTCATAGATTGGAATGAAGATTTTAAAAATATCCATAATACTCAAAGCAATGTACAGATTCAATGCAATTTATATCAAAATACTAATGATATTTCTCACAGAAGAGAGAAAAAATGTCTAAAATGTATGTGGAATTACAAAAGACTCAATAGCCAAAGCTATTCTGAGCAAAAAGAATAAAATTGGAGAAATCGTATTACCTGACTTCAAATGATACACAGTAATAGTGGGAGATGTTACCACCCCACTGACAGTATTAGAAAGATCACTGAGGCAGAAAATAGATATATTCAGGACCTGAACTAAACACTGGACCAAATGGATCAGACAGACATCTACAGAACTCTCCACCCCAGAACAACAGAATATGCATTCTCCTCATCTGCACATGGCACATACTCTAAAATCAACTACACATTCAGAAATAAAGTATTCCTAAGTAAATACAAAAGGTCCAAAATCATACCAACCTCTGTCTCAGACCACAGCACAATAAAAATAGAATTCAAGACAGAGAAAAACACTTCAAACCATACAATTACATGGAAATGAAACAATCTGCTCCCAAGTGACTTTTGGGTAAATAATGAACTTAAGACAGAAATCAAGAAGTTATTTGTAACTAATAGGAACAAAGATAAAACATACCAGAATCTCTGGGACAGAGCTAAGGCAGTGTCAAGAGGAAAATTTATAGCACTAAATGCCCATATCAAGAAGTTAGAAAGATCTCAAATTAACAATCTAACATCACAACTAAAAAAAACTGGAGAAGAAAGAGCAAACAAATCCCAAATCTAGAAGAGGACAAGAAACAACCAAAATGAGAGCTGAACTGAAGGAGATTGAGACCCAAAAAGCCATTCAGTAGGTCAATGGAGCCAGTAGTAGCTTTTTTTTGAAATGATTAAAAATAATAGACCATTAGCTAAACTAATAAAGAAGAAAAGAGAGAATATTCAATTAAATACAATCAGAAATGTCAAAGGGGATATTACCAATGATACCATATAAATACAAATACACATCACAGACTATTATGAAAACCTCTATGCACACAAACTAGAAAATCTAGAAGAAATAGATAAATTCCAGAATACATACACCCTTCCAAGACTGAACTAGGAAGAAATTGAACCCCTGAACAGACCAGTAATGAGCTCCAAAATTGAATCAGTAATAAATAACCTAACAACCAAGAAAAGCCCAGGACCAGACCAATTCACAGCCTAATTCTACAAGATGTACAAAGAAGAGCTGGCATCAATTCTACTGAAATTATTCCAAAAAATTGAGGAGAAAGAACTCCTCCCAAACTCATTATATGAGGCCACCATCATCCTGATAGCAAAATCTGGCAGAAACACAACAAAAAAAGAACACTTCAGGCCAATATCCTTGATAAACATTGATACAAAAATATTCAACAAAATACTTGCAAACTGAATCCAGCAGCACATCAAAAAGCTAATCCACCATGATCAAGTAGGCTATTATCCCTGGGATGCAAGGTTGTTTCAACATATGTAAATCAATAAATGTGATTCATCATATAAACAGAACTAAAGACAAAACCACATGATTATCTCAATAGATGCATAAAATGCTTTTCATAAAATTCAACCTCCCTTCTTGATAAAAACTCTCAGTAACTAGGCATTGAAGGAACATGCATCACAATAATAAGAGCCATATAAGACAGACAGGCAGACAACATTATACTGATTGTGGGAAACCCGGATGTATTCCCCTTGAAAACCAGACAAGACAAGGTTACTCTCTTGCACCCGTGCTATTCAACATAGTATTGGAAGTCTGGGCCAGAGCAATCAGTCAAGAGAAAGAAATAAAGAGCTTCCAAATAGCAAGAGAGGAAGTGAAACTATCCCTCTTTGCAAATGACATGCCTCTGTAATGTGAGAAATCCCATAGTCTTGGCCCCAAAGTTCCTGAATCTGATAAAAAACTTCAGCAAAGTTTCAGGATACAAAATCAACATACAAAAATTACTAGCGTTTCTATACATCAACAACAGCCAATCTAAGCGCCAAATCAGGAATATCACTCACAATGGCCATATAAAGAATAAGATACCTAGGAATTTAGGTAACCAGGGAGGAGAAAGATTTCTAAAAGGAGAATTACACAACACTGTTCAAAGAAATCAGAGATGACGCAAACAAATGGAAAACCATTCCATGCTCATGGATGGGAAGAATCAATGTCATTAAAATGGCCATACCGCCCAAAGCAATTTGCAGATTCAATGCAATTCCTATCAAACTACAAATGACACTCTTCACAGAACTTGAAAAAAACTATTTTAAAATTCATGTGGAACAAAAAAAAAGCCTGAATAGCCAAAGCCATTCTAAGCAAAAAGAAAAAGCAGGAAGCATCACTCTAATGCTAACTGACTTCAAACAATACTACAGGGCTACAGTAACCAAAATAGCATGGGACTAGTACCATAACACACATATAGACCAATGGAAGAGAATAGAGAGGCCAGAAATAAAACAGCACATTCATAACCATCTGATTTCCCACAAAGATGACAAAAACAAGCAATAGGGAAAGGACCCCCTATTCAATAAATGGTGCTATTGATGGTGGTGGCAGCCAATCTGAAGCAGCAGCTACAAGGATGTCAGCTGCAGCGTGGGAGGTGTAGCCAGAGCTGCGTGCTCCATGGAACCAGTGGGGGACAGGAACAGGTGATCCCAGCAGGAGCCCCATGCCCTACCGAGTTGGCAGGGCAGGAGCTCATACTCCCAGGCACAACTGCAGCTGCCCAGCCATGGCTCTGGACCCAGGCATCCCTGCATTCCTGGGGGCCTGGAAAGCCCCCTACCTCCACAGCCTCAAAGTGCCTACTCCTGCTCCCTGACCTCTCCCCAATCCTGGTGCCTGCTCCAGTGCAGAGCAAAGTTGTGACCGAGCCTGGGCACTGTCATAACTTACCCAGGTGTGTGCTTGCTCTGGGCGGCAGTGACACACCAGCACCCTGCCACATCTGGACTGGCTGAGAGTGGCTTGGCGTGGGCCTGCGAGTGACCCTTGGTGCAGATTGCCTGGGCGCCACAGATAGCAGGTTGATGGCACTGGGAGGCAGACAGGTTCCTAGGTGGGAAGGGCTAGGTCCTGGGGGAAACCCCACCTTCAAGCCAGGTACAGCCCGAAGCCTGGGGCTGGGCTGCCAGTTCCAGGTGGAGTTCTGGACTGGGAGTGAGAACTTCCTTGATGCCTTTTGGCCAATCGGATGGTGCTTTTTCCAGGCCCACCCATGGCCACCCGTGGACCAATCAGCATGCGCTTCCTCTATTCTGAGCCCATAACTTCCTCTATTCTGAGCCCATAAACACCATCCCCCCACCCCCACTCAGCCAGACTCACACACTTGTCAGAACAACCTGCCTGTGGATAAGAGCTGCCCACTTCAGGTCTCCTCTCTGCTGAAAACTGTCCAGTCACCCAATGAAGCTCCTCCCTGTCTTGGTTACCCTCCGGTTGCCCGTGTAATCTAATTCTTTACGGATGCAAGACAAGAACTCACGATCCACCAAACGGTGGGAATGAAAGGAACTATAACAAGTTCTTGGCTGGCTCACAGAGCTGCAGGTGGTGACATGCTTCCAGACTGTGAGAGTGAAGAGTGGTGACCCTCCTGGGGCCCCAGACCTAGGGATTCTCCAAACAAGAGCTTCTGTAACACTATAGCCCTCCCATGCTCCACTGGCACTGGGCAGCCACCTCACACGGTGGGAAGCAGTGGTAGGGACGGGCCAGCCCACTAGCTGCGCGCCAGAGTGGGGCAGCGGGACTAAAAAAAGGGTGAAGCGTGCCCCCCGCCTCAAAACACGCCCCCAACCCTGCTAGCTGTGCTACGGGCGACAAGGAGAGAATACCTGTGACCCTTCTGGGAGCCCAGACATCGGGGGTCATCAAGCCAGGGCTGTGACACGTTGTAAAACCCACTTTGGGGCTCTGCAGTTCCTAGTGTCTCCAAGCTCTTGAGTGCCACCACGTTCCCCTTGTCCAGATGCCAGTGCCCACAGTGGAAGCCGCTTGCTGTACATCTGGCCCAGCCACAGCCTTGCACAGAGCTAGCAATTGTGCTGGCGCTTGGAGCTGCCTGCCCCACTGCAGCAGCCAGGATGCCTGGCTGTACTCAGTGGCTGGACCCAGCACTTGCTCACGCACACACCCCTCACAGGTCTGTGTCTGGCTCACTCTTGGCAGTCAAGGAGTCCGGGCAGGTAGCATGAGCTGAGTGCAACCTGCCAGGCTGAGTGGGCAAAATGAGCTCAATGGGTGAGAGCAAAACTTAAGCAGAGGCATCACCAGTCCCATAAGTTTTCAGCTGGCGAAGCAACACCCAAAGGATACTGTGACACAGATAACTGGCTAGCCATATGCAGAAGCTTGAAGCCCTTAAACCGTGTACAAAAATTACCTCAAGATGGATTAAAGACTTAAATGTAAAACACAAAAACTATAAAAATACTAGGCAATACCATTCTGGACATAGGAATGGGCAAAGATTTTATGATGCAGACACCAAAAGCAATTGCAACAAAAGCAAAAATTGACAAATGGGATCTAATAAAACTAAAGAGCTTCTGCACAGCAAAAGAAACTATCAGCAGAGTAAACAGACAACCTACAAAATGGGAGAAAATTTTTGCAAACTGTGCATCTGACAAAGGTTTAATATCCAGCATCTATAAGGAACTTAAACAAATTTACAAGAAAATAACAAACAACCCCATTAAAAAATAGGCAAAGGACATGAACAGACACTTTTCAAAGGAAGACATACATGTGGCCAACAATCATATGAATAGAAGCTCAATGTTACTGATCAGTAGAGAAACACACATCAAAACGTCAATAAGAACATCTCACGCAAGTCAGAATGGCTGTTATTAAAGTCAAAAAATAACAGATGCTAGTGGGGCTGTGGAGAAAAGTGAATGCTTATACACAGCTGGTAGGAGTGTAAACTAATTCAACCACTGTGGAAAGCAATGTGGGGATTCCTCAGAGAGCTAAAAGCAGAACCACCTTTTGACTCAGCAATCCCATCACTGTATATATAACCCCAATGTAATATAAATGATTGTATCATAAATTTACATACACCTGTATGTTCACTGCAGCACTATTCACAATAGCAACGACATGGAATATACCTAAATGTATATCAATGGAAGACTGGATACAGAAAATATGGCACATATACACCATGGAATATTATGAAGCCATAAAAAAGAATGAGATCATGTCCTTTGCAGGAACACAGACGGAGCTGGAGGCCATTATCCTTAGCAAGCTAATGCAATACCCCACAAGTATAGGCAACCAAATCCCTGTGATGCAAATTTACATATATAACAAACCTGCTCATGGACTCTTGAACCTAAAATTAAAGTTTAAAATAAAAAATCACAATACAAATTATACTACAGAGCCCTGGTAACCAAAACAGCATAGTACTTGCATAATGACAAATACATAGTTCAGTGAAACAGAATAGATAACTCAAAGATTTATCCACACATATACAGTGAACTCATTTTTGACAAAGTTTCCAAGGACATACATTGGAGAAAGTACAGTCTCTTCAATAAATGGTGTTGGCAAAACTGGATATCCATGTGGAGAAGAATGAAACTAGACCCCTATTTCTTGCCACATACAAAAATCAAATAAAAACAAATTAAAGACTTTTAAATCTAAAACCTGAAACTGTGAAATTACTACAAGAAAACATTGGGGAAAATTTCTAGGACATTGGTCTGGGCAAAAATTTCTTGAGCAATACCCCACAAGTATAGGCAACCAAAGCAAAAAAATGGGCAAATGGGATCACATCAAGTTAAAAAAGCTCACGCACAGCAAAGGAAACAATGAAGTGAATAGACAATGCGCAGAATGTTAGAAAATATTTGCAAACTACCCATCTGACAAGAGATTAATAACCAGAATATATAAGGAGCTTAAGTCACTCAATAGGAAAAAAATCTAATGATCCAATTAAAAATGGGCAAAATATCTGAATACACATCTCTCAAAAGAAACCATACATATGGCAAACAGGTATATGAAAAGTCCTCAACATCAATGATCATTAGAGAAATGAAAATCAAAACTACAATGAGACATCTTCTCAACCCAGTTAAAATGGCTTTTATCTAATAGACAGCAATATTCGGTGCTGGTTAGGATGTGGAGAAAAGGGAACCCTTGTACCCTGGTGGTGGCAATGTGAGTTAGTACAGCCACTCTGGAGTTTGCTTAAAAAAATAAAAATAGAGCTACCATACAATCCAGCAATCCCAATGCTCAATATATACACAAAAGAAAGGAAATCAGTATATGGAAGGGGCATCTGCACTCCCATGTTTATTACAGCACTCTTCACAATAGCCAAAATTTGGAAGCAACTTAAATGTCCATCAACATATTAATAGATAAAGAGAATGTGGTACATATATACAATAGAGTATTATTTAGCCATAAAAAAAGAATGAGATCTAGTCATTTACAAAAACATGAATAAAACTGGAGATCATTATGTCAAATGAAATGAACCAGACACAGAAATACAAACTCCCCATGTTCTCACTTATTTGTCAGAGGTATAAAAAGTAAAACCTGGGAGGTGGAGGTTGCAGTGAGCCAAGATCTCATCACTGCACTCCAGCCTGGCGACAGAGAGAGACTCTGTCTCAAAAAACAAACAAATGAACAAACAAAATGTAAAATGATTTAACTCATGTAGATCAATTAGGCCAGGCACAGTGGCTCATGCCTGTAACCCCAGAACTTTGGGAGGTCGAAGCGGGCGGTTCACAAGGTCAAGAGATCGAGACCATCCTGGCCAACATGGTAAAACCCCGTCTCTACTAAAAATACAAAAATTAGCTGGGCGTGGTGGTGAGCGCCTTTAGTCCCAGCTACTCGGGGGGCAGAGGCAGGAGAATCACTTGAACCTGGGAGGCGGAGATTGTAGTGAGCCAAGATTGCACCACTGCACTAGAGCCTGGTGACAGAGTGAGACTCCATCTCAAAAAAAAAAAAAAAAAAAAAAAGAGAAAAAAAGACAAAGTAAAACAATTTAACGCATGAAGATAGATTATCATTGATTGTAACAAGAGAACAAGAGATAGGAAGAGGAGTTGGGGTGTGGGGAGAGGGAACAGTCAATAGGAATAAAAATACAGTTAGATATACTGAATAAGATCTATTGTTTTATAGCACGCCTGGGTGACTACAGTAAATAATAATTTAATTTATTGTATGTCTAAAATAACTAAAATAGTATAATTCAATAGTTTGGAACACAAAGAAATGATAAATGCTTGAGATGATGGATAACTCATTTGCCCTGATATTATTGTGCATTGTATGCCTGTATCAATATAGCTCATGTACTCCATAAATACATACAGGTACAATGTACCCACAAACATAAAAAAATAAAAATTTTAAAAAATATACTGAGGAATGGTTCCAAGTCTTTGCTATTGTGAACAGTGCCACAATAAACATACGTGTGCATGTGTCTTTATAGCAGCATGATTTATAATCCTTTGGGTATATACCCAGTAATGGGATGGCTGGGTCAAATGGTATTTCTAGTTCTAGATCCCTGAGGAATCGCCACACTGACTTCCACAATGGTTGAACTAGTTTACAGTCCCACCAACAGTGTAAAAGTGTTCCTATTTCTCCACATCCTCTCCAGCACCTGTTGTTTCCTGACTTTTTAATGATCACCATTCTAATTGGTGTGAGATGATATCTCACTGTGGTTTTGATTTGCATTTCTCTGATGGCCAGTGATGATGAGCATTTTTTCATGTGTTTTTTGGCTGCATAAATGTCTTCTTTTGAGAAGTGTCTGTTCATATCCTTTGCCCACTTTTTGATGGGGTTGTTTGTTTTTTTCTTGTAAATTTGTTGGAGTTCATTGTAGATTCTGGATATTAGCCCTTTGTCAGATGAGTAAGTTGTGAAAATTTTCTCCCATTTTGTGGGTTGCCTGTTCACTCTGATGGTAGTTTCTTTTGCTGTGCAGAAGCTCTTTAGTTTAATTAGATCCCATTTGTCAAGTTTGGCTTTTGTTGCCATTGCTTTTGGTGTTTTAGACATGAAGTCCTTGCCCATGCCTATGTCCTGAATGGTATTGCCTAGGTTTTCCTTGGAACCAACCCAAATGTCCAACAACGATAGACTGGATTAAGAAAATGTGGCACATATACACCATGGAATACTATGCAGCCATAAAAAATGATGAGTTCATGTCCTTTGTAGGGACATGGATGAAGCTGGAAACCATCATTCTCAGCAAACTATTGCAAGGACAAAAAACCAAACACTGCATGTTCTCACTCATAGGTGGGAATTGAACAATGAGAACACATGGACACAGGAAGGGGAACATCACACTCTAGGGACTGTTGTGGGGTGGGGGGAGGGGTGAGGGATAGCATTAGGAGATATATCTAATGCTAAATGAGGAGTTAATGGGTGCAGCATACCAACATGGCACATGTATACATACGTAACAAACCTGCACATTGTGCACATGTACCATAAAACTTAAAGTATAATAATAATAAAATTTTTTAAAAAAGTACATATTCAATAATCTCTTCTAAAATCACAAAAAGACTAATTTTAAAGTGATTATACGGTAAAAAATCATAGCTATAACTAGTGTAAACTTCATTTTTAGGAAATTGCTATTTATGATTTCATATTTTCCTGCTAAAATTCAGAA
Source organism: Homo sapiens (assembly GCF_000001405.40). Taxonomy (NCBI): domain Eukaryota; kingdom Metazoa; phylum Chordata; class Mammalia; order Primates; family Hominidae; genus Homo; species Homo sapiens. The sequence goes on from NC_000023.11 coordinate 126,071,099, forward strand.
TAAAATAAAATAAAAAATAATTTTTGAACTTGAAAAAAAATATATACTGAGGAGTGGGAAGAAGGGAGGAATATCTACAAACAAATGGTAAAATGACCTGAAATTTTAGTAAGTTATTCTGGTCAAATCAATTATTCTATCTGTAACTTCTGACTTCCTACTGGTTGTTTGTAAGTACCCATTATCTCATCACATTAAAATATATCCCTTATATAGCTTTCCTCCAGTTTCACTGAATCTTTGGTTCAGAATATGTGACATTTTGAGTTTTTTTTCCCTGAAAATATAGTGATGTCTAATTCATCACCCTCAAAGCTATATTCATTGGCAGTACACACACACACACACACACACACACACACACATACAAACATGCACACACACTCATATTTAACTTTCTTCGATGGTACAAGCCAACTGACCTTCACATATAATTGGAAATGGCAGTAAATTCATGTATAAAATCCTTGCATAGTGTTTGCAAGAATGATTTGGACAAGGACATGTTTATTTCAAGGTAATTTTTAAATTTTGGCTCCAAAGATATACATATATTTACAAAGATGGAATCCTACATAATCTAACAAAGATCTGAATTCCAAGGTCCCAAGAAGAGGTAGAAAAATGTCCATTAAAAGAATGGTAGAACTTTTTTTCTGTCCCATCTTTTGGTTCTTATTTTCTTTTCAGATAGCATTGAAAAATCAGTTCTAGTGTCAAATGCAAATGTAGTATTTGGATGCAGGTTTTTTTTGTTTGTGTTGTTCGTTTGGTAATATACATATTTGACTTGTTAGCATTTTCTGAATGATAATCTCTTCACTACATATAATATCATCTCTTATACTAGCAAAGGATTAGAATAGAAAATGAAAAGAAATAGAAATTGAGGAAAATGGTTAAGAGTGGAGCTGGAGTTATTGGCTTTGTATCATGGTGTGAATATGGTGTGATTTAAATCCAGGAGACGGTTAAAATATAAGGATGAGGGTTTGAATATTTAATATGTTTGAATAAAGAGGTTATTAAGAATGATGATTTAGAAAAGAGGTGATCACCAAACAAGGTTATCATAGCTCTGTATCTAGTTTCCAGGAAAGTTCTTTGTACATGAGAGTTGTTCAACAATTATTTATTGAACAAATAAATAAATAATATTTTATATCTGGGTCATCAATATTGACATCAATGTAATTATTATGTAGGCTGAAGTCAAAGTGGAAGATTCTGAATTTAGAGTTTTTGTCTTTTTTTTAAAAACTAGATTTTATACTGCCACGCCAATGAGGAGATATTTTGGTGTTTAGGATTCATCTTAAGATTTTCCAGCCACCCTTGTAACTCTATCAATTGCTGTATGCATTATCAGTATCCCATCTGAGTTTAGATGTGGTAAATCACAAAGCACAAACCTATACAGCAATTAATCAAGATGGTCAGTGAGTTTTAAAGATTCTGTAAACTATTAGTCATCTTTCTTCATCATAAATGTTTTATTATATTTATTCCTTTAAGCAGATATGATTTTGTGGAGAAGAGAAATTATTCAGTAATTATCCTGGAACAATACTCTGAAACAGTTAACTATGTAAATTGTTTATATATTGCTAACAAGTGCTGGAACAGTACATCACCAATAACTGTTGTAAAAGTTGTCATTAAAAATGACAAGAGATTCCATCTCAACTGTGAGATAAAAGACGTGTAAAAAACACGTTTCCTGGTAATAGAAAAAAGAGTGAAATCAAAGAATAGTTTCTTATGGTAGTGCTATAAATTCAGGGTTCACCTCTAGTTTCCATAAACCACCTAAAACTTATAATCTCAGTGTGATTCCCAAAGTGATATTCAAATTGAGTAAAGAAAATTCTGCTAGTCTCATAATACCATTATTTTCACACTGTTGACTTTTAAAAAAATTATCCCTCAATTGGCTTAATTAAGCCCCAATATAACTTATTGAAAAGTCTATGTGGGTAGTATATTTTCTGAGCCCTTCTATATCTGAAGATTTACTTCTATTGCCTTCACAAGTGGAAGTCATCATGACTGAATGTAAAAGACCTGCCAAATCCTTTTCCCATCAGAGCTCTTATATTCCCATCAGATGCTGTTATATGCCCTCCAGGACTAAGATATTATAGATAAATCTGGAGCCAGGCTGTATTCTTAAAATTATCTTTATTATTTCCCACTTCTTAAATGCCTGCAGAACTTTCAAATTTATCCTAATGATGAAATAATTTAAGGATATGTATTTATTTTCATTATTTTTGCTTGGAATTGGTAATCCCTTTCAATATGCATATTTCTTCACCTCTGGAAAGTTGTCTTCTAGCATATTTTTTATTACAACTTTTGGTAAATTTGTTCCTCAGGTATGACAATTATTTATAAATTAGATCTCCATTTTATTTTTTCCATACCTACAATTTTCTGTCCCATTTTTATCCCTTTTTACTGCCTCTGGATTCCAACAAAAAATTGTAAGTTTTCAGTCTACATTACTAATTTTATATTCTACAGTATATTTTTCTCTTCAGTAACTCCAATGTGTACTTTAATTTTCTTATCTTTTATTGCATTTGCGGTACACTGAAACTCTTCCTTGTCTTGCTTATTTTCATTTATATCTATTTTTGTTGCCTATACCTCTCAGTCTGTTATCCATATGCCCTTGTGCTCTTGTATCTCAAGACATGGGTTTCCCCCACTATGTTTAGGATGTCAAAGAATTTTTACATATTTTCTTCTGGCTCTTGCAGAGTCTCATTTGCAGTGATATTCTCTTCTTTTGAATTTTCGGTGATGCTCCATTGCTGTGATTTTTTTCCTCTTTAATCATTTTCAAAGGAGGCAAATGCTCTTCAAACAAAATATTTGGCAACAGAACCAGTGAACTGTTTGTTTCCAATCTCTGCCAACTCAAATAATGGTTAGATAGCTTTTCTAGTCCCTAAAGAACAGTTGATGCGTACATGTTTTAATCCTATTTCCAGGTTTTTTATACGCTTTTTTTCTGAACCCAACTTGTTCCGTCATGTACAATAAAAATTTGTAATTTCTCTCTCTCTCTCTCTCTCACTCTCTCTTTTTGGCCGGGCGCCATGGCTCACACCTGTAATCCCAGCACTTTGGGAGGCCAAGGAGGGTGGGTCACTTGAGGGCAGGAGTTCAAGACCAGCCTGGCCAACATGGTGAAACCCCATCTCTACTAAAAACACAAAAATTATCTACTCTGGAGGATGAAGCACAAGAATCGCTTGAACTGAGGAGGCGGAGTTTGCAGTGAGCTGAGATCGTACCACTACACTTCATATTCACGAGATAAAATGTGCAACTACCAATTGCCTGTCCAGTAATTTTTCTGAGAGTTGCTATCTCTCAATGAACGTAGAAAGATGGATGAGTTTAGGAATATTCTGTTTGCCTCACAAAATAGCACCTTCACAGTAGAGACATGGTTGTCCAGAATTCTGGTTAGTATAGATTCTAGGATTCTGAATGGGCCAAAGTTGAGTTGGTTAACCTCACTTCTACTCACCAATGATCTTACTTTCTTAAGGTAGACTTTTTCTAGTTTCTTAATCTAGTCTCATTAGCCCATATATTGGCCTTCATTTTATCTTTTTTAAAATTTTTATCTCTTTTAAATTTTTTTTTTGCTCTGCATGTTCTTGACTTTTTCTACAGATTTATAATATTTTATAGGATATCTGGAGATATTTTGTCAGAAACAAATGATCAGATATATTTTAAACTAGAAATTTCCAATTAATTATTCAACATAGCATATATTACATGTGTATAAAAGTGGTATCCATCAACAAATAAATGGATAAAGAACAGTGATTCCCAGGGGCTGGGGCTGATGGAAACAAGGAGATGTTAGGCAATGGGTAAAAACTTTCAGTTACAAGATGAATAAGTTATTGGGGGTAGCATGGTGATTACAGTTAATAATATATTATTATACTTGAAATTTGCAGAGAGTAGATTGTGTTTTCACCACAAACACAAACACACACACACACACCACACACACATACCAGTGACAACTAATTGTGTTGATGGATGTGTCAGTTGAATTGATTCTGGTAATCATTTCACAATGGATACATATATAAAATAATCATGTTGTATACCTTGAATATATATGTAATTTTTGATCTGTCTATTATGCCTTAATAAAGCTGGAAAAAATAAAGTGTACAGTTTTAAGAAATAGTTTGACAGGATTGATGTAAATTCATCATAGCTACTGGGGAAAACATTTCAATGCTCTATTGCTTTGTAATTTCACTATCCTCTTAGATTGATAAAACATCACACACACACAAGATACTTTGATCAATAAATGAAAAACAGTGGTTCCTTTCGATCAGTATCAAAGGAAAAATTCAGCTTAGAGAAAACACTACAGTTATTTCAAGTAGTATGAATTCTTGATTTCTTAACATAAAAAATAAAATCCATAATTGGAGTCAATTTTCTTAACTCATGAAGATTGTAATAAAGTTTAAAATTTAAATATATTATATAGTAATCAATTTATAAAATCATATTTTACACCAACAACATAAAATTAGTACTAAGTTTGTTACAAACATTACCCATCAAACATAAGGGCTTAGTTAACCAAAAACATCAAACGCTTTGCTTACATTAGCTGCCTTTACCATACCATGCGTATACAGGAATATCACTTTACTATCTTCCATATAGCTTATCCTCACCACACTGTTTTCTAAATCCAACTTGGCATCATCATCAGAAAGGAGTAGACTCCTTCAGTGCCTTCTTTGTGTTTTATGTTAGCCAAAAGCTCTTTTTCTTTGCCTAATTCACCAAGTTCATCTGCCATTAGCTTCTCCAACTCATTATGGCATCTGCCAGGGACTGACCTATCGTTCCCTCTGGTCTGGACGCCATATTGTATGTGTCTGGAGTCTTCAAATATTCCCTACTTCCAGAATATAGAGAAATGGCTCATGCTGACATTTCAAATCTAGCTAGAGCTGAAGCAAAAAGAACTGCTAATGTGAAGCATTCCAATTATTCAACACAATAAGTATTTTCCCAAAATAGCAGTGGCAGAGTTTGGTTTTTACTGTAGAATAAGATGGTCAGGATTTTTTTTTCTAAGAAATACTGAGTAAATGGGAGGCAAAAACTGGTTTATACTCAATGACTTTTCTGAGTAAACATGAGAGCAGTTTTGAAAGGGGTGTACATTTATAGGCTTTAAGTTAAAATTCAGCCTTCTAAATACAGTGTTTACTGGGAGACATCACAGAGTAGAAAAGAAAACATAGGCTTTGCGGTAGGAAGGCAGGTGTGGAATCTCATTTCTCTCTTATTAGATTTTGTACCTTGAGCAGTGTTTTTAGCCTTTCTGAGTTTCAGTTCATTTATTTGCAAAATAAGGATAAAACCTACCTCATATTATTACTGCAGGAATTAACTGAAGTTGTGTACCCTGACACATTATATTAATTTTAATACACTTAAAGCCATTCAGTTTCTACTTGATTGATTTAGGGAGGTTCATGGTTAGAAATGTTAACTGCCCTCATCCAAATAACTAGTTACTGAAGAGTAGCTCGGACACTGGTGAAAGGGCTCCCTACATTAAAAATGAGCTTCCATTCATTTTTCACACTGAGTTCTGGCATTTAAGTGGAGGTTAGGAAATAAAGTACAGTGGCATCCCACCAACACCATAAAAGCTCTATATATTGACAGAAGTCTGTTTTGTGGACATTGGCATTTCTAGCTCAATTTACAGTTTGCATTTATTCATTTCTGATGAGTGAAAGAAAAAGAACCTCTAAATTGAGTGAGAGATCATTGACAGCTCTATTAAAAATAGCAGAAATCTTCAAACCAAAACAGACATAGACATACATATTTAAATGAGAAAATATACCAGAATATTATTTTCAAATGCCAGTTTATTAAAAAAAGACATTCATTATTTAAATGCCATAAAAAGGAATTCAATGAAGCTGTGATGAACAAACTGTCACCTTGTTATACCAACATTCACTGAATAAAATATTAAAGATGCCTAAATCATCTACTGCAACAAAAGCTATTGAGGTGAAAAATGTGTACAAAATTTTGTTTTTATATTGCAGTGGGGGACCATTTTCCTGATATGTAGAATGGCAATTGTGGTATTTTAATAAAATCATTAGGCAAATAACATATTTTAATAACTTGCATGCTAAACATTCTAGCAAAGGTAAAATGAATATATATGTTTAATACCTATATATAGACATAAACATTTATATATAAATATTTACAGACAAAATATTATACTATTTTGTTGATTTTTTTAAAATTTCCTTTTATTTGAGCAATTAAAATATTCAGTGTAATGTATACAGATAACAGGAGTAGTACTCAACTTAAAATGAACAACCAACAACTATCGCTAGATAGTCTACCACAGCTAGAGTTCTTAAAGATACTACACTGGATTATTCCTAAAAAAAAATAGAAAACATTAGTTTGTGAATGCCAGAAATAGAACAAGAACAAATGGCGAAAATTTAATGCCAGTGTTATAGATGGCTAGCCTATTTGTGATGATATGTGCATGTCTTAAATCACTCTTCCCTACGTCCTTACATAATACCAGGATGTTTTGCTATATAGCTTGAAAATATTAAACATCTTTATGAAATATTTAATTCATATTGCTTTCTTAAAATGTCTTAGCTAAGATTTGTTACAATAGAGGATGAAAATATTTCAGTACGAGAGTTTTGGGTGGAAGATAGAAACTATTGATTAAAACTTTAATAAGACTTTTCTGTTTTTAATTATTTTATAATGTCTATATAGAGAAATAGATATAGATCTACCTATAGATAGGTGTATAAAATATTATCATATGTGTATATATAGAGAGAACTACATTTAATTTATCCAGAATGTCTCATGTATAGTCTTAAGGTACTTTATAACTAAGCTATATTTTCTTTCATTCAATAAAAAATATTTGTTGAGCACCTACAAAATGTCAGATACTATGCTTGGTGCTAGAAATACAAGAGTTAAAAAAATGCTCATGGGCCCTGTCTTCTTGGAGCTTGTAGAATTACTGGGTCCCCCCTAAAGTTTACAGAAATTAAAGATTAGTGCAATTTAAAAAGTACATCAGACTTTTCTGAATAATTGACCCCAGAATATAGGGCCACTTGGTTTCCAGTTGACTATGTGTTTAACAACATTCTCGGAACACTTCATTGGGTTCTCATACCTGACTATTTTTATACAATTTGTCTCTTTTCATATCAGAGTCAATGTGAATGAACAGATGCGACTTTATATATAAAACCCTAAGGGTTTATATTTGTCATCTGTCATTCTCAGTGTTAAGGAGGAACAATATAAAGTATTTTTGAGTTAGTAGCTATCTTTGTACCTGTCACTCAATATAAACATAGATGTCACCTCCGTTTTAATGTTCTATTTCCTAGAATCTCCAGGGTAGAAGGCACCTTGAAATATTCTGATTCCATAATAAATGAGCCCACGTTTTGTGAAATTTTAAAAGGCTTTTTATCTTCCCTTTACAGTATCTTAGATCCTCATACTTAATAATGTATATGTATTTGAAGCTTCAGGTTAATTATTGATTCATTGGTATTTTGTCTATTGTAGCATATTATGATTCAGTATGAAGGAACATACTAAAAAATAGACATCTATTTAAATTTAACCCTATTAAGGACCTTCTAGACAGTGTCTATTTTTAATCTCTCACAGATACTCATGACTGAGACAATATTTTAAACAAGTATAAACAATCACAGAATAAGTACATAAAACATCATCTCCAATTACATAGCATTCACTGAATGGTTTTCCAATTCTCACTTTTAAATGATGTAGTATGATATATAGATTTCTGCAAATATATTGAAATTTTTAATATAAATAAAATTTTGAAACTGGTCAAACTTTTATTTAATGAAATTATGATGTATTTATTTCACAATTACCTTAAAAGTTAGATAAAAGATATAAAAATATGACTAGTCATTTTTATAATATATGTCTAGACATGAAGCAATATAAAAAATCTAATCATGATATATTATTTATTTAAAAAGCAAGGTAAAACAATATATTAGGTATAAGATTGATATATAATAACTGTACACATAGAAATATATTTCATTGTAAAGAGGCTGAAATCATGCTGAAATATTAACAGTGATTGTGTTTAAATTTTAGAAACATAGATGTTTTTGTTTTCTTCTTCATAGATTTCTCTATTGCCTCAATATTATACCATGATCATGTTTTATTTTATAACCTAAAACATGTCAAACTTGATTTGTAAAGAGGTGGTAAAATGTTATGTAGATTTTATGATTCTTCTTAACAAGTGGTTATAATTAAACATTTTGGTGTTTTAAATGGTTGCAGTCATCTGCAAAATCTGCTTAGGTTAAATGACTCATTCTCTACAAAGCCACAATGAAAGAGACAATTGTAGATTCAGAATTGAAGTTCAGATTACCATATCCAAAATGGTTCTAGTCACATAATCATGCTGTGGTGTATGGGAGCAGTGTATAAGCAAAGCATCCCATTAAATATTCCTATCGAAATATAAGGGGCTACCAAATGAGACAAAAGCTGCAAAAACATTCTGTAAACTAAAGAGTGCTATACAATTGTTGGTAATTATTAATTATTTTGGCATCTAAATGTTCATTTAAATAAATAAATTTATTTGACAAAACACACTTTTAAAATGGCATTTTTATGCAGAGTAGTTCTGTATGGCTTGTTTTATGTTTTACCTCCCTCTATATTCTCATGGTTGGATACTTCTCACTCCAATTTTAAGAGTTTCTTCATAAAGCTTAAAAACTGATTGGAGGATGGAAGGAACAGACAAGAGAGTGACCGTCCATCAAATAAGTCAGAGATTACTACTTTCTCAGCACTGTGACATTTGCCAGTTTATTTTAAAATACTGAAATATAACAATAGCCATAATATGTGAATACTTATAATCTATAAAACATAATGTGGTTATGTACGCACTCACGAAAATAGTCCTCCATGATACCATAGGCTTTAAAATTTAAAAAAGAGCAAGTAAATAGAGTACCAATCAACCACCTTCCCATTGTGTGATCCTTAGACTAGCATTTTGCAGTCAGACAAGCCAATAATAAATTTATTTGAAAAGAGTTGTAAACAGTTCTCCTAAGGCATCAGAAGTCCCATGCCAACAGGTATAATGTAACATGACTTTCAAATATTTTAGGAATAAAAAATAATAAATAAAATGTAAAGTCCACACCAGCATATATTAGAGGAAAGGAAAAATGTATATATATGCACACACACGTATATATATATAGTGTTTGTGTGTATATATGTATGTATATATACATATGTATATATATACACACATATACATATATACACGTATACATATATGTATATATACGTACATATATAATATACGTATATATGTATACGTATATACATATATGTATATATGTATATATACGTACATATATAATATACGTATATACGTATACATATATACATATATGTATATATGTATATGTGTATACACTATATATGTATATATGTATATACATATACATATATACATGTATATGTACGTATATATACGTATGTGCGTGTATATGTACGTATATATACGTATGTGCGTGTATATGTACGTATATATACGTATGTGCGTATATATGTACGTATATATACGTATGTGCGTATATATGTACGTATATATACGTATGTGCGTATATACACATATATACACACACACATATATGGTTACCTTATTACATACTTTTTCCCCACAGGTAACCATCACTTACATATCGAAGAAGTCATTTTTTACTTGACATCTGTCACTTTGTTGCTTTGTATTTTTGCATTTTTATTGAAGTATTATTTCTAAATATAGTAATAACGAATTTTATTGCACTTTGATTTATTGCACTTTGCAAAACCTGTGCTTTTTATAAATTGAAGGTTTGTGGCAACCTTGGGTTGAGCAAGTGTATTGGCACCATTTTCCCAACAGCATGTGCTCACTTTGTGTCTCTGTGTCACATTTTGGTAATTCTCGCAATATTTCAAATTTTTCATTTTTATATTTGTCATGGTGATCTGTGATCACTGTAATTTGCATTTTCTTGATGACTAGTGATGTCAAGCATTTTTGATGTTATTATTTGGGCATCATAAACTGCACTTATATAAGACAGTGAACTTAACTGATAAACGTGTGTGTTCTGATTGCTCCACCTGCCAGCCATTCCCCTGTCTCTCTCCCTCTCCTTGGGCCTCACTATTCCTTGATACAACATAATATTGAAATTACACCAATTACTAACCCTATAATGATGGCTAAGTGTTCAAGTGAAAGGAAGAGCTGCCTATCTCTCACTTTAAATCAAAAGCCAGAAATATTAAGCTTTGTGAGGAAGGTCTGTTGAAAGTCAAGATAGGCCAAAAGCAGGGCCTCTTCTGCCAAACCGTTGGCCAAATTGTGAATGCAAAGAAAACGATCTTGAAGGAAATTGAAATTGCTACTGCAGGGTACAAATTAATAATAAAAAGTAAACAGCCTTATTGCAGATATGGAGAAAGTTTTAATGGTCTGAATAGAAGATCAAACCAGCCACGACATTATCTTAAGCCAAAGCCTAATCCAGAGCAAAGCCCTAACTCTCTTCAATTCTATGAAAACTGAGAGAGGTGAGGAAGCTGCAGAACAAAAAGTTTGAGGTAGCAGAGGTTGTTTCAAGTTTAACGAAATAAGCAGTCTCCATAACATGAAAATGATATCTCATTGTGGTTTTGATTTACATTTCCCTGATGATTAGTTATGGCAAGTATTTTTTTATATGTCTGTTGGCCATTTGTATATCTTCTTTTGAGAAATGTCTATTGAGGTCATTCTCCCATTTATTTATTTATTCATATATCTATATTTAACTTTTATTTTAATTTCAGGGGTACACGAGCAGGTTTGTTTTATAGGTAAATGGCATGTCACGGAGATTTGGTGTACAGATTATTTAATCACCCAGATAATGATCATCTCCCTCATCCTGACTTCCACCCTTAAGTAGGCCCTGGGGTGTATTGTTCCCTTTTTAGTGTCCATGTGTACTCAATATTTAGCTCCTACTTATAAGTGACAACAGGTTGTATTTGGTTTTCTCTTTCTGTGTTAGTTCACTTAGAATGATGTCTTCTAGCTCCATCCATGTTACTGCAAAAGGACATGATCTCATTATTTTTTTATGACTGCATACATGGTGTGTACATACGACATTTTCTATATCCAGTGTACCATTGATGGGCATTTAAGTTAATTTCATGACTTTTCTATTATGAATAATGCTGCAGTTAACATATGTGTGCATGTGTTTTTATGGTAGAAGGATTTATATTCCTTTGCGTATATACCCAACAATAGGATTGCTGGGTCAAATGGTAGTTTTGTTGTAAGTACTATAAGAAATTGTCAAACTCATTTTCACAATGTCTGAACTAATTTATATACCCACCAGCAGTGCATAAGCATTCCCTTTTCTCCACAACCTCACTAGCATCTCTTATTATTAGACATTTTAACAATAGCCATTCTACCTGGTGTGAGATGGTATCTCATTGCGGTTTTGATTTGCATTACTCTAATAATTAGTGATGTTTAGCATTTTAAAAATGTACGCGTTGGCTGTGTGTATGTCTTCTTTTGCAAACTGTCTCTTCATATCCTTTGCCCACCTTTTAATGGAGTTGTGTTTTTCTTGTATATTTAAGTTCCTTATAGATGCTGGATATTAGACCTTTGTCACATGCATATTTTGCAAATATTTTCTCTCATTCTGTAGGTTGTCTGTTTATTCCGTTGATAGTTTCTTTTGCTATGCAGAAGCTCTTTAATTTAATTAGATCCCATTTGCCAATTTTTGTTTTTGTTGCAATTGCTTTTGGTGTCTTTTTAATAAAATCTTCTCCAGTTCCTATGTTCAGGATGGTATTGCCTAGGCTGTCTTCCAGGGTTTTTATAGTTTTTGGTTTTACATTTAGGTCTTTAATCCATTTTTTTTTGCTCATTTTTAATTTTTTTCCTATTGAGATGCTTGAGGTTTTTGTATATTTCTCTTATTAATCTTTTTTCAGATAGATAGTTTGCAAACAATTTTTCCTATTCTTATTTGTCTCATCATTCTATTGTTTACTTTGCAGAAGCTTTTTAATTTTATGTAATTCTATTTGTCTACTTTTGCTTTTGTTGCCTTTGCATTTGAGGTCTTATCCTAAAATCCTTTGCCCAGTCCAATGTCCTGAAACATGTCCTCAATGTTTTCTTCTATTAGTTTTATAGTTTTAGGCCTTATAGTTAAGACTTTAATCCACTTTGATTTGATTTTTGTATATGGTGAGTTTTTAATTAAGGCATGAACATTTTTTAGACATAATGCTTGCGAACATTTAATAGACTACAGTGTGCTGTAAACATTAATTTTTTATGTACTGGAAAATTAAAAAGTTTGTGTGACCCACTTTGTTACACTAGTCTGGAACTGAACCTGCAATATCTTCAAGGTATGCCTGTAATAAAATGCACACTTCATGAAGAAATTCTACCCATGTATACTATCTTGTTACACGTTTCTAGAGCAATATTACATTTTCATCACCCTCCGAGCTGCTGCTTCTGAGTCAACACCTTTCTCAGTCAATACTTCTCCAAAGTTAACCATTATTCTGATTTATAATACAATAATTAGATTTTTTACCTGAACATTATATAATTTGAATCATACAACTTAAAATCTTTTGTGTATGGCTTCTTTTTGTTCAATATACTGCTTTTAAGATTTATCCATGATACTCCAAGTATCAGTAGTCCATACGGTTTATTTCTGTGTAGCATTCCATGTTGCTAATATAGGAAAATTTCTTTATCTGTTCCAGATTGAGGAATATGTGTGTTGTTTTTATTAATATTTTGTTGGTTGTTTTGGCTACTTTTAATATGTAATTTTAATACAGTTTCTAAGACCATGCTTGTACAAATATTTTCTTGAACACATGCATTCATTTTTATTCAGTATATATTTAGTAATGAATTGTTGGGTCATGGAGTAGACATATTTTTAATCTATGAGACTGTGAAATAAATTTCCAAAGTGATTGTATGACCACTTTACACTTCCACCAACAATATATGAGTTCTACCTTTTTGTTTTTAATTTGGTTAGTAAGTTTTTCCACTAAAAGTACTAAAGAAAGCATCCCATTTTAAAGTAGCATTTGTTCACATATTTTGGTTAGCATGTTTCTCTTCGTAAGTAAGATAGGATATGAATAATAAGTAAATTCATGTAGAAGAATTGAAGCTTCTTGGCAATTGACAGTTTGTTACATGTGTCCACTTTCTGAGCTCTTATATTACCTTCTCTGTACATTCTTTAAAGTACGTATCATTTTCTAACTTTCTTCAGAGTTTATGAAGTCTAGACTAAATATCTGAATATGCCTATCTGTCTACTGGGATCAACTTGGGTGAGGCAACATGGGGAAGTAATCTCTTACTAAATCCCTAGGAATGTAGGTTTGATTTTAGGTAGATAAAAGAAATCAGATAATGTAGATAACTGCTAAATTGGGTTGCTAACAGAAGACAGCCTATATAGCACACATGCAGTAGAGTAAATCTGCAAAAGGCAACAAGATTGTGTCAGCTATTGATCAGAAACAAGATACTTCCATAGCAGCAGTATTAATATGACAGTATAGGCTATACTAATGTTGTTAAACCTTCCATTTTTGAGTGCTTATAATGTGTTTATCTAATCTGATCTAATCCTGACATTTAGTGTTCAGATTAAAGTTATGAAGCAACTACTGCTATTGCTCCATTTTAGATAGGGAGAAGTGAAAGCTCAGAAATGTTAGATAAATTATCCAAAGTCATACAACTAGTAAGTGTTGGCGTCAGGAATAAGCCCCAGGCTATGACGTCAGGGCCAGTGCTTTCCCTCCAATACAATGTGGTCTCAAGGTGAGCATCTGCTGGATTGATGTACCCTAGACTTCCAATTTTGTTTTGTTTTGTTTTGAGATGGAGTTTTATTCTTTTTGCCCAGGCTGGAGTGTAGTGGTTCACTGCAACCTCTGGCTCCTGGGTGCAAGCGATTCTCCTACCTCAGCTTCCGAGTAGCTGGGACTACAGGTGCCCACCACCATGCCCAGCTAATTTTTGTATTTTTAATAGAGACAGGATTTCATCATGTTGGCTAAGCTGGTCTCGAACTCCTGACCTCAGGTGATCTACCTTCCTCAGCCTCCATAAGTGCTGGGATTACAGGCATGAGCCACCAAGCCTGGCAGAATTCCAGTTTTTAAAGACATATGAACCAGATAAAATCTGGCCATAGTGAAATATTTTCTTTGCTGTTGAAAGGAATTCTTTTATGACAGTGGAAGAAAGTTGAGAAGGAAACAGAAAATGACAGAGTTCAGGTAATAACCAGAGTTAGAGCTACCATCCCTTGAAAAAATTCAAGGCCTTTTCATCAGAGGGCACAAACAGAGGAAGATTCAGAGGATTTATGTTCAGAATATCTTGGTAAAAGTCTTGCATTACTACATATTTGATTCAGGTTGATTCACTTGGCAGAGAACCAAAGGAGACTTGGTAAGGACTAGAATTATTGAAACAAATAATACTCAAATTTGATATTTACCATTAATGTCCCAAACACAATGTATACATCAATTCACACTTAATCTCTCCTATTAAACTGTGAAGTTCCTGGGCGCATGATACATTTCTTGGTTTATTGGAGAATACTGTTTACAGAGTTCCAGAGGGTGCTTCATATATGTTAGTGAAGTGAGAGAGTAAATTAGCTAATTGATTTAGGCATAAGTAATTTTAGAAAACTTCAAATTAAAGAACCACAGTTTCTCCTTGTACAGAATGTAATTTTAAAATGCCCTTTTAAAATTCTATGCTGAGTAGGAAAGTTGAGAGAAGGCATCTTTGTCTTGTGCCGGTTTTCAAGGGGAATGCTTCTAGCTTTTGCCCATTCAGTGTGATGTTGGCTGTCGGTTTGTCATAGATGGCTTTTATATTTTGAGGCATATTCCTTCAATACCTAGTTTTTTGAGAGTTTTATCAAGAAGGAGTGTTGAATTTTATCAAGAGCCTTTTCTGCGTCTATTGAGATAATCATGTGGTTTTGTCTTTAGTTCTGTTTATGTGATGAATCACATTTATTGATTTGTATATGTTGAACCAATCTTGATTCTTGGGGATAAAGTCTACTTGATCATGGTGGATGAGCTTTTTGATGTGCTGCTAGATTCAGTTTCCCAGAATTTTCTTGAGGAATTTTGCACTGATGTTCATCAAGGATTTTGGTCTGAAGTTTTCTTTTTTGGTTGTCTCTCTGCTAGGCTTTGCTATCAGGATGATGCTAGCCTCATAGACTGAAATAAGGAGGAGTTCTTCCTCCTCACTTTTTTGGAATAATTTCAGTAGGAATCGTACCAGCTCTTCTTTGTACATCTGGTGGAATGTGGTTGTGAATCCGTCTGGTTATGGGCTTTGCTTGGATGGTGGGCTATTTATTATGATTCAATTTTGGAGCTCATTATTGGTATGTTCAGGGATTCAATTTCTTTCTGGATCTGTTCTGGAGGGTGTATGTGCCCAGAGATTGATCCATTTCCTCTAGATTTTCTAGCCTGTGTGGCTAGAGGTGTTCATAATAGTCTCTGATGGTTATTTGTGTATCCTTAGGGTCAGTGGTTATAGCCTCTTAGTCATTTCCAGTTGTTTTTATTTGAATCTTCTCTCTTTCCTTCTTTTTAGCCTATTTAACAGTCTGTATTATTAATTTTTTCATGAAGGACATCCAAATAGGAGCAGAGGAAGTCAAACTATCCCTGTTTGCAGAACGCATGACCTTATATCTAGAAAACCCCATAGTCTTGGCCTCAAAACTCCATAAGCTGATAAAAATTTCTGCAAAATCTCAGGATACAAAAATCAATGTAGCAAATTAACTAGCTTTCCTATACACCAACAATAGCAAAGCCAAGAGCCAATAAGGAATGAAACCTCATTCACAATTATGACAAAAAGAATAAAATACCTAAGAATTCAGATATCCAGGGAGATCAAAATCTGTATGATGAGAACTACAAAACACTGCTCAAAGAGATCAGAAATTACAGAAACAAATGGAAAAATATTCTATGCTCATAGATAGGAAGAATCAATATAATTAAAATGGCCACACTGCCCAAAGCAATTTATAGATTTAATGCAATTCCTATCAAGCTACCAATAACATTCTGTACAGAACTAAAGAAAACGGTTTTAAAATTCATATGGAACCAAAAAGAGCCCCAATAGCCAAGGCAATCCTAAACAAAAAACAAAGCTGGAGCCATCATGCCACCAGCCTCACACTATAACAAAGGGCTACAGTAACCAAAACAGCATGGTACTGATACAAAGACAGACACACAGACCAATGGAACCAAATCGAGAATTCAGAAATAAGATTGCACACCCACAACCATCTGATCTTTGATAAAGATGACCAAAAATACAATGGGGTAACTACTTCTTATTGAATCAATGGTGCTGGGATTACTGGCTGCCATATGCATTTACCCCATACACAAAAAATTAAATGGATTAAGGACTTTAATGTAAAACACAAAACTATGAAAACCCTGGAAGACAACCTCGGCAATACAATTCAGGAGATAGGCATGGCAAAGAGTTTGTGACAAAGATGGCAAAAGCAACTGCAGCAAAACAAGGATTGACAAATGGGATCTAATTAAATGAAAGAGCTTCTGCACAGCAAAATAAACTAACAACAGAATAAACAGGCAGTCTACAAAATGGAACAACATTTTTGCAAACTATACATATGACAAAGGTCTAATAGCCAGCATCTATAAGGAACTTAAACAAAAAAAGAAAAAGACAAACAATCCCATAATAAAAGTGTGCAAAGGACATGAACAGAAACATTTTAAAATAAGACATATATGCGGCCAACAAGCATGTGAAAAGAAGTTCAACATTCATGATTATTAGACAAATGCAAGTCAAAACCACAATGAGATACCATCGCATGCCAACCCGAATGGCGATTATTAAAAATTCCAAATCAACAAATGCTGGTGAGGCTGCAGCAAAACAGAAACACTTTTACACAGCTGGTGAGAATGTAAATTAGTTTAATCATTGTGGAAGACAGTGTGGTGATTCCTCAAAGGTCTAGAACCAGAAACACCATTTGACCCAGCAATTCCGTTACTGGGTATATACCCAAAGGAATATAACTCATTCTATCATAAAAACTTGTGCATATGTATATTAATTGCAGCACGATTCATAACAGCTAAGACATGGAATCAACACAAATGCTTATCAATGGATAAAGAAAATGTGGTACACATATGCCTTGGAATACTATGCGGCCATAAAAAAGAATGAAGTCATATCCTTTTAAGGAACATGGATAGAGCTGGAGACCATTATCCTTAGCCAACTAATGCAGGATCAGAAAATGAAATACCGCCCGCTCTCACTTACAAGTGGGATCTAAATGATGAGAATACATGGACACATAGAGGGGAACAATAGAAACTGGGGCATACCTGAGAGTGGAGAGTGGGAGGAGGGAGAGGATCAGGAAAAATAACTAATGGGTACTAGGCTTAACACCTGGGTGATATAATAATTTGCATATCAAACCTCCGTGACATGAGTTTACCTTTATAACAAGCTTGCACATGCACCCCGTAATATAAAATTAAAGTTAAAGAAAAAAAAAACACAAAATGCCCTTCTGATTATATATTTTTCTTGTACCCCAAATTTGATTAAATGACTTAATAAGAAAAATTGGAATTATTTCTATAAGTCTTTTTCCCCCCTAACATCCAGCCTATGCTGATTTATTATTCTAATGATTGAAGATTCTCTAGTGTCTTAACATAACTATTATCATAATCTGGGGCTCTGATGAAGAGGGTGTATGTTATGAAATTATGGGATCACATCCCTCATTAACTTATATTTTTGTTAAATCTTTAAATATCTTTAAAACTCAATAATCCCAACAACCAGGATTTTTTCATGCCTAACCCATGACAAAGTACTCACTAAATTGTGAAAAATAAAAATGTATACATGCTATTTATTAATAATATTCTATTATTATTGTTAAAATAAAGATAGCCATAGGAGGTATAAGAGACCTTACCCCAACATAAGTCTTGTCTTAAAAAGCAAAAGCTATGGTATCATCTAGGACTCTTAAAAATATTTATCCTAAAAACTGAGTATGCAGTTGAAGTTTGAGTAGGATGGTTAATGAAACCATCTAGTTACATGTGTTTTGGCTTATATTTTCTTGCATGGCAACCACATCAAATTATATAGGATCTCACCAATATCTAGAATAGTTTTATTTATAACATTATTACATTATAGCTGCTTTTAGCAGAGCAAATTATATAGCATCCCACTAATATCAAAAATAGTTTTACTTATAACATTATTGTATTATAACTGTTTTATAATAGAAAACATTATAATTAAAGTTCATTAATTCATCAACAATAATTATTCAATAACCATTCTAAATCTAAATTAATTCCATAGTTGGTACTGTGAAAAAAAAAGTTTGAGAAAGAAATATCTGTTTTTCTTACAAAATTATGACCTAATTAGCCAAGACAGACAAATGTGAAAATTACATGAATAATGACCAAAATAAAGAACATGCCTCGACATAATAAAAGCCATATATGACAGACCCACAGCTAGTATTATACTGAATGGGGAAAATCTGAAAGCCTTTTATTTAAGATGTGGATCATGACAAGGATGCCCTCTTTCACCATTGTTATTTGACAGAGTACTGGGAGTTGTAGATAGAGCAATTAGACAAGAGAAATAAATAAAGGACATCCACATTAGAAAGGAAGAAATCAAATTATCCTTGTTTGCAAATAATAAGATCTTATATTTGGATAATCCTGAAGACTCCACAATAAAGTTATTAGAACTGATAAACAAATGCAGTCAAGTTGCAGGATAAATAATTAACACAAAACATTCAGTAGCATTTCTATATGTCAAGAGTGAACATGGGGGAAATCACAAAATTAATCCTATTTACAATAGCCACAAATAAATTAAATACCTAGTAATTAACCAAAGAAGTGAAAGTTCTCTACAATAAAAACTATAAAACACTGATGAAAAATTGAAGAGGACACAAAAATGGAAAGAGATCCCATGTTCATGGATTGAAAAAATCAATACTGTTAAATTATCCATACTACCAAAAGCAATCATCTACAGATTTAATGCAATCCCTACCAAAATGCCAATGACATTCTTCACAGAAATAGAAAAAAAACTATCCTAAAATTTATATAAAATCACAAATGACCCAAAATAGTCAAAGCTATCCTAAGCAAAAAGAACAAAAGCGGAGGACTCACATTACCTGACTGCAAATTATACTACAGAGCTATAGCAACCAAAAATAGTATGAGACTGTTAATGAAAACAGACACATAGACCAATGGAACAGAATAAATAACCCAAAAATAAATGCACAAACCAACAGTAACACATTTCCACAATGGTGCCAAGAACATACACTGGGGAAAAGACAGTCTTTTCAATAAATGGTGCTGGGGAAGCTGGATATCCATATGCAGAAGAATGAAGCTAGATCCCTGTTTTTTGCCGTATACAAAAATCAAATTAAAATAAATTAAATACTTAAATCTAAGTGCTGATCATATGAAACTACTATGAGAAAACACTGAAGAAAATCCACAGGACATTGATCTGTGCAAAATTTTTGTGTGTGTGTAATACCCCACAAGCACAGGCAACTACAACAAAAATGGACAAATGGGATCACATCAAGTTAAAAAGCTTATGCACAGCAAAGAAAACAATCATCAAAGTGAAGGGACAACCCATAGAATGGGAGAAAATTTTTGCAGACATCCCATCTGATAAGAGATTAATAATCAGAATATATAAGGAGCTAAAATTACTCAGTAAGAAAAAAAATCTGATAATATAATTTAAAATGGGCAAAATATCTAAATACACATTTCTCAAAAGAAGGCATGCAAATGACAAACAGGCATATGAATAGGTGCTCAACATCATTGATCATCAGAGAAATGCAAATCAAAACTGCAATGAGGTATCTTCTCAATCCAGTTAAAATGGCTTTTATCCAATAGACAGGCAATATTTGATGCTGGTGAGGATGTAGAGAAAATGAAACCATGTTACACTGTTGGTGGCAATGTGAATTAGTACAACCACTATGGAGAACAGTTTTTGGAGGTTCCTCAGACAACTAAAAATAGAGCTACCATATAATCCTGCAATCCCAGTGCTACATATATACCCAAAAGAAAGAAACTCATTTTATGGAAGAGATATCTGCACTCCTATGCTTATTGCAGCACTGTTTACAATAGCTAAGATTTGGAAGCAACCTAAGTGTTCATCAACAGATGAACAGATAAAGAAAATATGGCACATATACACAATGGAGTGCAATTCAGCCATGCAAATGAATGATATCCTGTTGTTTTCAACAACATGGATGAAACGGGAGGTCATTATTTTAAGTGAAATAAGTCAGGCACAGAAAGACAAATATTGCATGTCCTCATTTATCTGTAGGAATTAAAATTCAAAACAATTGATCTCATGGAAATGGAGAGTAGAAGGATAATTACCAGAGGCTGGAAAAAGCAGTGAGGGGTTAGGGGGAAGGTGGGAATGGTGAATGTGTACAAAAAGTAATTACTATAAATACGACCTAGTATTCCATAGCACAACAGGGTGACTATAGTGAACATAAATTAATTGTATATTTTACAATAACTCAGAGTATAATTGAATTGTTTTTAACACAAAGGATAAATGGTTAAAAGGATGGATACTCCATTTTCCATGATGTGATTATTAGGCTATGCATGCCTTTATCAAAATAGCTCATGTATCCCATAAATATATACACCTACTGTGTACCCACAAAAATTAAAATTAAAGATTAAAAAACAAAGAAAAATAATCATGTCCAAAATAAGTTTGTAGTACCAATTATGAAGATCAAGCTGTATAAATAATGTTAAAAGATACAGGATATATGCATATGATTTGTACTAATTAAAGAAAAATCTCTGTGCCAGAATACTTTTTTCAATCAACATTTTGAAAGAAATCTAGTATAAGTATAGCTAGGAAGAGTGATCTCTGAAAGACTGTTAACTTGTGGAGACAGACGGAAAGTAAAAATGTTACATTGGGAATGTAAAGTTAGTTTTCCTAGCTGAAGAGCAAACCATGATAGAGAGTAGCTAAAAATAAAGTTGGTGAATTGTGGCATAATGAGATGGGGAAGGTGAGAGCTGATAAGAGGTCATAGAAACCCATAAGATAAATTTTGCAAAATTAGTGATAAGAAACTGCAGGACTTTGAAAAGTGAAATGACATGGTCAAATGTTTTTAAAGTAAAATGATTATTGTTTCCCTGAGTATGAGAGTTTTATAAAAGGCTGAGGACAAGTAAACCAGCTACACATATTTTTTACAAAATTGTCTGAAGTTTTAATATGCATTAATTCATCTATCAGTATATTTCCTACTGTGAAATATACCCTCATTACAAAATAATCTAATGAAACCAAAAGTATATGAATGCCTAATTTTTATCACAAATAGATAAAAGTCTTGGCACATGAAAGACAATATTCTTATTATCTTTTTCTGCTTTATATATTTACCCAATCCATACTAAGAAAGCTAAATTTAAAAAGAATTTGAAAATTTTAACTCAGAAAGATTTTGAATATTTTTTACACATTTTCCTTAGAAACCTATATATGTTATGAAGTTACATTTATCTTTTTAAAAAATTTATATGTGGCTTATACGGAGGCTACAATTTAAAAAATTAGATGAATGATGCTATGCTAAAAATGATAAAGAAATTATATTGGTATCTTGGAAATATAACTCATCTTTTCCTAAAAAAATTACAATTTATAGTACTATCTGGATTAATATCTTTCTATATTTAAACAATACCCACTTATATTTCAGTAGCAAATCAGAGGCAGTGCATAAATAGCTGATACTATAGCAAAGCAATGTTTTCATTTGGAACTGATGCTTTTTTTTGGAAAAGACGCTTCTAAAGTCATAGATAACTTCAATGATGAAAAAATAGTTAACGGCATACAAGTCAGTGCCAAGTACATTTTATGCTATATGTATTTTAAATCTTCCACTTATGAACTTGAAGGAAAATGCAATAATGAAGCAGCTTGATTTGATAGGCAACAAGGGTCAGGTAAGGGCTGCATAGAAAAATATTTATCTTGATGTATTAGTCAGGATTCTCTAGAGGGACAGAACTAATAGGATTTATATATATATATATATCCTATTATATTAAATCCAATACTGTTCATATATACATATATGAAAGTTTATTAAATATTAACTCACATGATCACAAGGTCCCACATTAAGCTGTCTGAAAGCTGAGCTGTAAAGAGAGCCAGTTCAAGTCCCAAAACAGAAGAACATGGAGTCTGATATTAGAGGGCAGGGAGCACCCAGCTCGGGAGAAAAAGGTAGGCTAGGGGTTAGGCCATTCTCGTCTTTTATACATTTATCTGCCTGCTTTTTTATTCTAGCCACATTGGCCACTGATCAGATGGTTTCCACTCAGATTAAAGGTGGGTCTGCCTTTCCCAGCCCGCTGAGTCAAATGTTAATCTCTTTTGGCAACACCCTCACAGACACACCCAGGATCAATATTTTGTATCCTTCAATCCAATCAAGTTGACACTGAGTATTAACCATCACAAGTTCACCGCTTGTCAACTTGAGTCCATACACATCTCCAGAGATCATACATAATCTTCAAATAAAGACAAAAATAAGGTCATAGTTATGCCGGACATAATACAATTATCCTTCATACAACTGCAAATGCACCAATCCCCAACGCAAATACTATTACATAAATACTATTACATAAAGTTAATGATACTTAAATGTTGAAGTGAAGTCAATAAATCTTATGTCACATGATAAAGGAAAAGTAAAATAAAATGAAGCTATTTTCTTGGTACAAGTTTAGACATGCAAAACATGTTTTAACAAAAGAAGGAGGAAATACTCATGACAATTACAGTGCCCATTTCTGCAGTTGATCACATGGTTGTAGCTCGTATTGATGACTACCTTTTTCTACTACCCATTCTGTATTCCATTTGCCTTCAGCAAGCACCTCAGCAGGTCATGGTTCTTTTTTTTTTTTTTTTTTTTTTCCTGGTGGAGTGATCCAAATCTTCATTCCTGAAGCTTTTGGACAATTTGTAGTCTTGTCTAGATTGGGCTGTTGTAGTTTCCCATTGACCTTAATCACAAGGCATGGTGATACTAAGAGATGCCCTAATGGATATCCTGTATTCCACGCATAGTCTTCCTTACCTCCACTGTGGAGTAGTAGACTGATAATCTACTCATCTTGATAGTCTGGGTCAACCACCCCAGCCAAGACTGTAACTCCCTTAGTCTGTTGACTTAAAGGTAAGAGGAGCCCAAAGTGTCCAGGTGGCAATCTTAACTTCCAGTTTAATGAAATTGTTGTTGTATCTCCTGGTGGCAGAATTACTTCCTCTGGAACTTAGACCTCTAGGCCAGCAGAATGTAATGTTATGGCAAAAGGAAGCAAAAATTTTGCTAGTGGATCACTAGGGGTGATTCTTCCACCCCATTAATTCCTGGACCCATGAATGCTGGCTATGAGAGTAACAATACAATATATTGGACTCTGATTTAGAGTATACATGGCCTTCTGAAGAACTTTGCCCTAGCCCTGCAAAGTATTGTCACTTAGTTGGCATTGTAATTGTGACTTAAAAAGGCCATTCTCCCGTTCTATCAATACAGCTGCTTCAGGATAATGGGGAACATGATAAGAACAGTGAATTCCATGAGCATGAGCCCTCTGCCTCTCTACTTTAGCCATAAAGTGAGTGCCTTAATCAGAGGCAATGCTGTGTGTAAACCATGACAGTAGATAAGGCATTCCATTAGTACACAGATGATAGTATTGGCAGAAGCATTGTGTGCAGAATAGGCAAGCCCATATCTGGAGTAAGTATCTATTCCAGTGAAGACAAACCTCTGCCCTTTCCATGATAGAAGAGGTTCAATATAATTAAGCCGCCACCAGCTAGCTGGCTGATCACCCCAAGGAACGGTGCCATATCGAGGACAGTGTTGGTCTCTGCTGCTGGCAAATTGGGCCCTCACCAGTGGCCATAGCCAGGTCATCCTTGGTGAGTAGAAGTCCATGTTGCTAAGCCCATGTGTAACCTCCATCCCTGCTACCATGGCCACTTTTTTCATGGGCCCATTGGGCAATGACAGGGGTGGCTGAGGAAAGAGGCTTAGTGGTGTCCAGAGAACGGGTCATCCTAGCCACTTGATTATTAAAATCCTCCTCTGCTGAGGTCACCCGTTGGTGAGCACTCATATGGGAAACAAATATCTTCACAGTTTTTGACCACTCAGAGAGATCCATCCACATACCTCTTCCCCAAATTTATGTGTCACTAATTTTCCAGCCATGCTTCTTCTTCCAAGTCCCTGACCATACAGACAAACCATTGGCTACAGCCCATGGATCAGTATATAATCACACATCTGGCCATTTTACCTTCCATGCAAAGTGCATATCCAGGTGCACTGCTTGAACTTCTGCCCACTGGGAAAATTTCCCTTCACTGCTGTCCTTGAGGAATGTCCTAGAAAGGGGCTGTAGTGCTGCAGCTGTACACTTTTGAGTGGTGCCTGAATATCATTCACAACCATCTGTGAACCAGTCCCTAATCTTCTCTTCCTCTGTCAACTAATCATAGGGAACTCCCCATGAGCCCACCAGTGCAGGCTAGGGGAGAGAAGGCAGGGTGGCAGGAGTGTAGACCACGGGCATTTATGCCACTTCCTCAAGTAACTTACTTGTGCCTTCAGGACCTGCTCGATCCCAATGACATTTATACCACTTCCATTATGGCTTGATGAGTCAGAAAGAACGTAGTTCATGATAAACAGTTCAGGTCACATGGTGACTTGATGACCCATAGTCAAACGTTCAATTTCCACCAAAGCTCAGTAACAGGCAATGAGCTGTCTCTCAAAAGGAGAGTAGTTATATGCAGAAGATGGCAGGACCTTGCTCTAAAATCCTAGAGGCCTGTTCTGTGATTCACCTAAGGGGGCCTACCAAAGGCTCCAAACAGCATCCCAATCTGCCACTGACACCTCAAGCACCATTGGATCTGCTGGGTCATGTGGCCCAAGTGGTAGTGCAGCTTACACAGCAATCTGGACCTGTTGCAGAGCCTTTTCCTGTTCTGGACCCCAGTCAAAAATGGTAGCCTTTCAGGTCACTCAAAAGACAGGCTGGAGTAATACACTCAGATGAGGAATGTGTTGCCTCTGAAATCCAAGTAGGCCCACTAGGCATTGTGCCTTTTTCTTGGCTGTAGGGAGGGCTAAATGTAGCAACTTATCCTTCACCTTAGTAGGATTATCTTGACAGGCCCCACACCACTGGACCCCTAGAAATTTTACTGAGGTAGATTGTCCCTGAATTTTAGTCAGATTTATTTCCCATCTTCTGGCATGCAAATGTCTTACCAATAAGTCCAGTGTGTTTGCTACTTCTTGCTCACTGGATCCAATCAGCATAATGTCATTGATGTAATGAACCAGTGTGATGTCATATGGAAGCAAAAAGCAATCAAGGTCTCTCAGAATAAAATTATGACACAAAGGCAAGAGTTGATATACTCCTAAGCTCAGACAGTAAAGATATATTGTTGGACTTGCCAGCTGAATACAGATTGCTTCTGGCGGGCTGTATGGACAGGAATGGAGAAAAAGCACTTGCCAATTCAATGGCTGCATACCAGGTACCAAGCTATATGTTAATTTGCTTAAGCCATGAAACCACATCTGGTACATGAGCTGCAGTTGGAGTCACCACTTGGTTAAGCTTAGGATAATCCACTGTCCTTCTCCAAGAAAGGTCTGTTTTCTGCACAGGCCCTTATTCAAGAGGCTCTTGGTCTGTAAACTGGCTCAAGTCTGGAAATTGATTGAGGGGCCATGATTCTCTGTTTTTATGATTCAAATTTGTCTTTTGTCCATTCGACCTGAAAGTTTTCTGCTTATATAAATTAAGAATGATTTAGACTTCCTATCAATTTCATTTCCAGGAACATAGTGATTAATTAGCCAATTCCAGAGCTCTACACGGGTCAGACTATTCTGATTGCTCTTTTTCTTCTGCTGTCCATTACAGTAGCTATGCCCACCTTACCTTTGAGAGTTGAGTGCTGCCACTTGGCATCTGCCGCCTTGAGATCTAATTCTTTCCCATTGTATTTAAGTTTTGTAGTTGAGTTACTGTCATTCTCACTGTTAAAACTGACATACATAGTAGAGACATTACATTGCTCTTCAAAGATGCAGGTGCTGCCCTCACACATATATTTCACAAGGCATTGGTCAAGGGTATATCTTATGGACCCTCCCAATTGGAATGATTAAGTCTAATGGGACTAATCCACTCCCCCATCCCAATCTCCCTAAGCCTTTGGGTCTTTTCCTCTACATTAAACCAAGGGAGATTAGGCATTTCTAGCTCACTCACATTGGGCCATCTTTTAATCCATATTCCAGCTAACAAAGCAAATAACCATTAGAACCTTTTTAACTCCTCGATCTTCAACATTAAATGCAGAGTCTTTACTTAGTGAGCCCAAATCAATAAATTCAGCCTGATCTGACTCTGTGTTCCTTCCACCATTATCCCACACCCTTAATATCCATTCCCATACTTGTTCTCCAGGTTGCTGTTTATATAAATTAGAAAACTCCAGCAGTTCTTTTCGAGTGTAGCACACGTCCTCATGAGTCACACTGTCAACCTCACCTCTAGGGGTCCACTGGGGCTTTGGTCTAGTTATAGGCCTGGAATCAAACAGGGGTTTTGTGGGTGGCTTCTGAGGAGAATCAACATTATCTTGCCTGGCAACTGCCTCAGGGGAGGCCATCACTGTTGCCTGAGGTAGTGCAGGGTTTATCTCCTCAGACAAAGGTGGAAAGACTGATGGCATCATGCGTTCTGAAGATGTTGCCACTACTGGGGATAAGGAAGCTGTTTCCTCTTGCAAAAAAAAGGTTTATCAGAGTTTACAAACTCTGTATCCCCAGCCTTATCAGGGTCCTCCCACACATCCACATTCTAAGTTGCAGAGTTCAGTTCTTTTCCTATCAATGCTCTCACTTTAACAGTAGACACCTGGTGAGGTTGTGCATGCACCCTTTGTTGCAGGATAGCTACTCACATGATAAGATCTGGTGTCTATTTTTCCACAATTTTAGCTATTTCTCTACATGATATAAGACTCGCACTCAGGGCAAAGTTAGCCGATTTGAGGTCCAGTATCTGCTTCTGAAGCGAGGAGATAGTGTCCCTGAGTTAATCATTTTCTTTCATCACTCTGTCCACTAAACTTAGGAGCAACCAACCAGCTTCCTTATATTCTTTGGTTCTCCATATATGGTCAAAGGTATTATGTATAGAGTCACTAAACTCCTTGCCTCTCATGAGTGGCAAATCAGAAGTGTCAAATGCATTTATTTTGCATAACTCTTTAAACAGTTCATGCCAAGGACTATCAGTGTTCTCCATACTATTACAAGTAGAGTCCTTAGCAGTTTGGAGTCTAATCATATTAAGCAGCCAACTCCAGAAGCGCCCAAACCAATTAAAGGACTGCATATTTAATATTCTGTTCCTCTAGAACCACTCCTGGTACCAAAATCTGTATGAATCAGAGTTCTGTAGAGGGACAGAACTAATAGTACATATGTACATATATAGGGGAGTTTATCAAGCATTAACTTAAACAATCAGAAGTTCCCACAATAGGTTGCTGCAAGCTGAGGGGTAGAGAGAGTTAGTCCAAGTCCCAACACTGAAGAACTTGGGATCCGATATTCAAGGGCAGGAAGCCTCCAGCAAGGGAGAAAGATGTAGGCTGGGAGGCTAGGTCAGTCCCATCTTTTTTTCATTTTTCTGCCTGCTTTTTATATTCCAGCTATACTGGCAGCTGATCATATGGTGCCCACCCAGATTAATTGTTGTTCTGCCTTTCCCAGCCCAGTGAGTCAAACGTTAATCTCTTTTGGCAACACCCTCACAGACACACCCATGATCAATATTTTGTATCTTTTAATCCAATCAAGTTGACACTCAGTATTAACCATCACACTTGCCATTTATTTTGCAGCCGGCATATGGAAAACACAGATTACTAGAAAATACTACTTTTATTTTCTCACGTTCATTAATTTTATAAAAAGCAATATAGATATTTTCAAAATTGCTCATAAGTCAAACTTTTAAGACTCTGTTACCAATAATGTAGAATTGAGGATACTCTTGCCTCTGATTATTCATTCTCTGACTTTTTTCCTTCCTCTTTGTACTAAATGAAGCTCTGTTGCTTTTTATTACTTTACTCACCATTCCTCTACTGAGCACTTCAAATATGCCAGACATTATGCTAAGTACCATGACTACAAATATGAAGAAGACCCTGGCCTATTTTCCAACATTTTTCTTTCTTTTCTCTTTCTTCCTTAAGCAATGCCACTGACCTTTCTCCCAAATTCCAGTCCTATATTTCCAATTTCCTGATGAATAATTTTCTCAGTGTGTCATTGATACCACAAATTATGCATATTCCAAGCTGAATTCATCATCTATTTTATCATACTTTTTAACTTGTATTAGTCATTTACTTAATTTCTGTCATTTCTTTTCTTCAGCCGTCTACCAATCCTACATGTTCAATTATTACTGCTACAAAAATACAACCCATACTACAAACACATTGCAAATCATGGATAGGAAATTTCACTTCTCCCCATAATTCCCTCCCTAATTTAACAGTGAGAAATCAAAGACAGTAAGAGTTATTATCACTATATTACATATGTTTAAGAAAGTAGAGAAAAAACTAAGCATGTTAAGTAGAGACATGGAAGATCTAAAGATCCAAATGAAATCCTAAACTTGAAAAATAAAACATTTGAGATAAAATACAATGGATAAGATTAAAATAGATTAGACACTGAGAGAAACTATTAGTGAACTTGTAACGTGGAAAGATTCCAAAATGAAGCAGAGAGATAAAATAGTGGGAAAAATATGAAACAGCACTAGGGAGTTCTTAGATGACTTCAATAAGCCTAATATAAATGTTATTGAAGTCCTCCAATGAGTCGAGAAAAAGAGAGCAGAAAATATATTTGAAGAAATCATGGCTAAAAATATCCAAATTTGATGAAAGCTATAAATGCACTGGTTCAGAATTTCAAACAAAATGAAACATATGACATAAAATAATCCATTAAATAAAAATAAGAAATTCATATTGATAACAATTAAGAATCTTGCTTTTAAACTGAAATATTAATAGAATGAAAATACAGGTTACAGACTGGGAGAAAATATTTGTAAATCTCATATTTGATGCAGGACTTGTATGCAGAGTATGAAAGAAATCTCTCAGAATGAAATAGTATGAATGCAAACAACCCAATAAAATGGGTTACAGATTTGAACAAACTTTTCACCAAATAAGATATACAGGTTGTAAATAAGCACTTGAAAATATGTTCAGCAACATTAATCATTAATGAAATGAAAGTTAAAATGACAGTGAGATAAGATTACGCTCCAACCAGTATTTATAAAGTTGAAAAGACTGACCATATCATGCGCTGGTAAGAATATGGAGTAATATGAACCCTTAAACACTACTGGTGGCAATATAAAATGTCACAACTGCTTTCAAAAAATGTTTTACAGTTTCCTAGCAGTCACAATTAGCCTACCAATGGATGTATACATTCTACTCCCAAGTATATGTCCAAGAGAGATGAAAGCAAATGTGCATACAAATACTTGTATGAGAATGTTCACAATGCTTTTATTAGAAATAACCAAGAACTGAAAACAATCCCAAATGTACATCAATATTAGAATGCATACATAAAGTGTGGTATATCCAGATGATGGAGTTCTATGAAGAAATAAAAATTAATTATTGTTAGATATACAAAGGTGGGTTAATTTCAAAATAATTAGCCTTCATCAAAGAAATCAGTCAAAAAAACTACATATGGCATGATCTTATTTATTTAAAATTCTAGAAAATGCAAACTAATCTATCATGACAGCAGATGAGATAATTGCCCTAAAAGTTTTCTAATGCCACTTTATGAATGTAGAACCTAAGAAAAAAATAACCTAAAATAAAAGGCAACAATGAGGATAACAGAAGAGATCCATGTAATAGAAAACAAACAAATAATAGAGGAAACCAAAAGCTGGTTCTTATGAAAATTCAAATATCAATAAAATTGTTAAATATCTAGCTAAATAGTTTAAGAAATAAAGAAATAAAATACAAATTAGCAGTATCAGGAATGGAGAGGAGAAACTCATTAGAGATTCAACCGGTTTTAAACGGATAAGAGAGTATTCCGAACAAATAAAATGTTTTTGCCAATATATTTGATAACTTAGATGAAATGGACAAATTACTTGAAAAAGACAAATTATAAAAACTGATTCAACAAAAAATTGAGAATCCAAATCACCCTATATCCATTACAGAACTGAAATGTGTAATGACATACTTTCCCACAAAGAAATGGGCCTAGATGGTGGCTTCAATGGTGAATTTTATTAAACAATAAGGAAGAAACAATATCAAATCCATACACAATCTATCAGAAACAGACGAAGAAACACATCCCTAATATTTTTTACAGGCCAGAATTAACCTTAACAAATATTTTTAAAAGACAAAAATATTATGAAAAGCAACTATATTACAAAAATAAAAATATAGGCAATTATTCTTCATGAATACAGACAAATGTTTTAAAAAAATTCCAGCAAATCAAATATGAGAGGAAATAAAAAGTATAATGCGTTGTGTCCAAATGAAGTGCATCCTGAGAATGTATGCTGGCTTAAAATTTGAAAATGAATCAATGTAATTCATCACAGTAACAGAAGAAAGAAACAAAACTAACATGACCATTTCAATAAATACAGAAAGAGCATTTGACAAATTTAGCATCCATTCAGTATAAAAAGTCTATAAAGACTAGAAAAGTAAATTTCTGAGCCTAAGAAAAGACATCTACAAAATTCCTATAAATAACATTGTATTTAATAAAATAAAAACTAAATGATTTTTTGTAGAAATTGGAAATCAGCCAAAATGCTAGTTTGCACTACTTATATTCATCACAGTACTGGAAATTTTAGATAGTGAAGTAAGGCAAGAATAAATAATTAATTAAAATAATGCAAATCAGAAATGATAATATAAAATCATATTTTTTAACAACATGATCATGTGTTTTGGTCCATTTTTTGCTGCTATATCAGAATACTTGAGACTGGGTAACTTACAATGAAGAGAAATTTGTTAGCCCATAGCTCTTGGGTCTGAGAAGTCCAATATCAAGTTTCTAATATCTGGCAAGAACCTCTGGCTATGCTTTGATATAGCCATTAGTCCATTAATAAAGTTGGGGCCCTCATGACCTAAACACCTCTTAAAGCTCTCATCTCCTAAGACTCACAATAGTAATTAAATTTCAGCATGAGTTTGGAGGAGACAAACATATAAGCCATAGCATCATGCATGGAGAATGTAACAATGAATCTACATAAAAGCTAGTAGAATTTATAGATAAGTTTAGCAAGGTCAATGCACAAAAATAAATTATATATCTAGATAGAAAAAAGGAGCAATTAGAAAATTTGATATTAAAATAGCATTTGCCATAGCATTTAATATCAAAAAATAGTTAGAGATAAATTTTACAACATATGGGCAAAACCTCCACATGATTTTTTTTAATTGTGGAGAAAAATTAAGACTAAATGGAGAAGTATATAACATTGATAATTTGAAAGGCACTAATAATGATGCTAATTATCCCCAAATTTATTTGTGGATTCAATTCAATTCAGATTGTTTTGACAAGATGATACTAAAATTCATATGGAAATGCAAGTGACCTCAAATAACAGAAGCAATTTTGGAAAAGGGGAACAAATTTGGAGGACTGAACTACCGAATATAATGAATTACCATAAATCTGCAATAATTAAGACAGTATTTATTTGGCATGAGATTATACATAAAAATCCATGGAGCAAAATAGGGAGTGCGAAAAAGAACCACACATATCAGAATAATTGATTATATAAAGATACCAAGGCAATTTGAAAGGGAAGAGTGGTAGGCAGGATTTTGGCCCTCATTATATTTGCTTCTTGGTGTTACTCCTGTGTATATTATGTCACTGGGCAAAGGGACTTTACAGATGGAATTAAGGTAATAGGCCTTAAATATGGAGATCATTCTGAGTAATCCCCATGGGCCCAGTGTAATCATATGGGTTCCTAAAAGTGGAAGAAGGCAGAAGAGCCATCGAGGTAGCCCTGTCAGAGAAAGGACAGGAGACGTTTAAAATGTGAGTAATAGTTGACCAACCATTGCTGGCAATGAGAATGAAAGCAGGGGTAGCATTTAGAAGCAAGTATAGCCCTCAGCTGACATCTGGTAAGGAAACAAGGACCTCACTCCTACATTCACAAGAAACTGAGTTCTACCAATTATTTGAGTGAACAGGGAAATGGATTCTTCCTTAGAGTCTCCAGAAAGGTATATGGCCCTGAGAACCCACTTGAATTTAGTCTGGTAAGTTCTTTTTTTTTTTTTCTTTTATTATTATACTTTAAGTTTTAGGGTACATGTGCACATTGTGCAGGTTAGTTACATGTGTATACACGTGCCATGCTGTTGCGCTGCACCCACTAACTCGTCATCTAGCATTAGGTATATCTCCCAATGCTATCCCTCCCCCTTTCCCCCACCTCACAACAGTCCCCAGAGTGTGATGTTCCCCTTCCTGTGTCCATGTGATCTCATTGTTCAATTCCCACCTATGAGTGAGAATATGCGGTGTTTGGTTTTTTGTTCTTGCTATAGTTTACTGAGAATGATGATTTCCAATTTCATCCATGTCCCTACAAAGGACAGGAACTCATCATTTTTTATGGCTGCATAGTATTCCATGGTGTATATGTGCCACATTTTCTTAATCCAGTCTATCATTGTTGGACATTTGGGTTGGTTCCAAATCTTTGCTATTGTGAATAGTGCCACAATAAACATATGTGTGCATGTGTCTTTATAGCAGCATGATTTATAGTCCTTTGGGTATATACCCAGTAATGGTATGGCTGGGTCAAATGGTATTTCTTGTTCTAGATCCCTGAGGAATCACCACACTGACTTCCAGAATGGTTGAACTAGTTTACAGTCCCACCAACAGTGTAAAAGTGTTCCTATTTCTCCACATCCTCTCCAGCACCTGTTGTTTCCTGACTTTTTAATGATTGCCATTCTAACTGGTGTGAGATAGTGTCTCATTGTGGTTTTGATTTGCATTTCTCTGATGGCCAGTGATGATGAGCATTTTTTCATGTGTTTTTTGGCTGCATAAATGTCTTGTTTTGAGAAGTGTCTGTTCATGTCCTTCGCCCACTTTTTGATGGGGTTGTTTGTTTTTTACTTGTAAATTTGTTTGAGTTCATTGTAGATTCTGGATATTAGCCCTTTGTCAGATGAGTAGGTTGCAAAAATTTTCTCCCATTTTGTAAGTTTCCTGTTCACTCTGATGGTAGTTTCTTTTGCTGTGCAGAAGCTCTTTAGTTTAATTAGATCCCATTTGTCAATTTTGTCTTTTGTTGCCATTGCTTTTGGTGTTTTAGACATGAAGTCCTTGCCCATGCCTATGTCCTGAATGGTATTGCCTAGGTTTTCTTCTAGGGTTTTTATGGTTTTAGGTCTAATGTTTAAGTGTTTAATCCATCTTGAATTGATTTTTGTATAAGGTGTAAGGAAGGGATCCAGTTTCAGCTTTCTACTTATGGCTAGCCAGTTTTCCCAGCACCATTTATTAAATAGGGAATCCTTTCCCCATTGCTTGTTTTTCTCAGGTTTGTCAAAGATCAGATGGTTGTAGATATGCGGCATTACTTCTGAGGGCTCTGTTCTGTTCCATTGATCTATATCTCTGTTTTGGTACCAGTACCATGCTGTTTTGGTTACTGTAGTCTTGTAGTATAGTTTGAAGTCAGGTAGTGTGATGCCTCCAGCTTTGTTCTTTTGGCTTAGGATTGACTTGGCGATGCAGGCTCTTTTTTGGTTCCATATGAACTTTAAAGTAGTTTTTTCCAATTCTGTGAAGAAAGGCATTGGTAGCTTGATGGGGATGGCATTGAATCTGTAAATTACCTTGGGCAGTATAGCCATTTTCACAATATTGATTCTTCCTACCCATGAGCATGGAATGTTCTTCCATTTGTTTGTATCCTCTTTTATTTCATTGAGCAGTGGTTTGTAGTTCTCCTTGAAGAGGTCCTTCACATCCCTTGTAAGTTGGATTCCTAGGTATTTTATTCTCTTTGAAGCAATTGTGAATGGGAGTTCACTCATGATTTGGCTCTCTGTCTGTTGTTGGTGTATAAGAATGCTTGTGATTTTTGTACATTGATTTTGTATCCTGAGACTTTGCTGAAGTTGCTTATCAGCTTAAGGAGATTTTGGGCTGAGACAATGGGGTTTTCTAGATATAAAATCATGTCGTCTGCAAAGAGGGACAATTTGACTTCCTCTTTTCCTAATTGAATACCCTTTATTTCCTTCTCCTGCCTAATTGCCCTGGCCAGAACTTCCAACACTATGTCGAAGAGGAGTGGTGAGAAAGGGCATCCCTGTCTTGTGCCAGTTTTCAAAGGGAATGCTTCCAGTTTTTGCCCATTCAGTATGATATTGGCTGTGGGTTTGTCATAGATAGCTCTTATTATTTTGAAATACGTCCCATCAATACCTAATTTATTGAGAGTTTTTAGCATGAAGGGTTGTTGAATTTTGTCAAAGGCCTTTTCTGCTTCTATTGAGATAACCATGTGGTTTTTGTCTTTGGCTTTGTTTATATACTGGATTACATTTATTGATTTGCATATATTGAACCAGCCTTGCATCCCAGGGATGAAGCCCACTTGATCACGGTGGATAAGCTTTTTGATGTGCTGCTGGATTCGTTTTGCCAGTATTTTATTGAGGATTTTTGCATCAATGTTCATCAAGGATATTGGTCTAAAATTATCTTTTTTGGTTGTGTCTCTGCCAGGCTTTGGTATCAGGATGATGCTGGCCTCATAAAATGAGTTAGTGAGGATTCCCTCTTTTTCTATTGATTGGAATAGTTTCAGAAGGAATGGTACCAGTTCCTCCTTGTACCTCTGGTAGAATTCGGCTGTGAATCCATCTGGTCCTGGACTCTTTTTGGTTGGTAAGCTATTGATTATTGCCACAATTTCAGATCCTGTTATTGGTCTATTCAGAGATTCAACTTCTTCCTGGTTTAGTCTTGGGAGAGTGTATGTGTCCAGGAATTTATCCATTTCTTCTAGATTTTCTAGTTTATTTGCATAGAGGTGTTTGAAGTGTTCTCTGATGGTAGTTTGTATTTCTGTGGGATCAGTGGTGATATCCCCTTTATCATTTTTTATTGCATCTATTTGATTCTTCTCTCTTTTTTTCTTTATTAGTCTTGCTAGTGGTCTATCTATTTTGTTGATCCTTTCCAAAAACCAGCTCCTGGATTCATTAATTTTTTGAAGGGTTTTTTGTGTCTCTATTTCCTTCAGTTCTGCTCTCATTTTAGTTATTTCTTGCCTTCTGCTAGCTTTTGAATGTGTTTGCTCTTGCTTTTCTAGTTCTTTTAATTGTGATGTTAGGGTGTCAATTTTGGATCTTTCCTGCTTTCTCTTGTGGGCATTTAGTGCTATAAATTTCCCTCTACACACTGCTTTGAATGCGTCCCAGAGATTCTGGTATGTTGTGTCTTTGTTCTCGTTGGTTTCAAAGAACATCTTTATTTCTGCCTTCATTTCGTTATGTATCCAGTAGTCATTCAGGAGCAGGTTGTTCAGTTTCCATGTAGTTGAGTGGTTTTGAGTGAGATTCTTCATCCTGAGTTCTAGTTTGATTGCACTGTGGTCTGAGAGATAGTTTGTTATAATTTCTGTTCTTTTACATTTGCTGAGGAGAGCTTTACTTCCAAGTATGTGGTCAATTTTGGAATAGGTGTGGTGTGGTGCTGAAAAAAATGCATATTCTGTTGATTTGGGGTGGAGAGTTCTGTAGATGTCTATTAGGTCCGCTTGGTGCAGAGCTGAGTTCAATTCCTGGGTATCCTTGTTGACTTTCTGTCTCGTTGATCTGTCTAATGTTGACAGTGGGGTGTTAAAGTCTCCCATTATTAATGTGTGGGAGTCTAAGTCTCTTTGTAGGTCACTCAGGACTTGCTTTATGAATCTGGGTGCTCCTGTATTGGGTGCATATATATTTAGGATAGTTAGCTCTTCTTCTTGAATTGATCCCTTTACCATTATGTAATGGCCTTCTTTGTCTCTTTTGATCTTTGTTGGTTTAAAGTCTGTCTTATCAGAGACTAGGATTGCAACCCCTGCCTTTTTTTGTTTTCCATTTGCTTGGTAGATCTTCCTCCATCCTTTTATTTTGAGCCTATGTGTGTCTCTGTACGTGAGATGGGTTTCCTGAATACAGCACACTGATGGGTCTTGACTCTTTATCCAATTTGCCAGTCTGTGTCTTTTAATTGGAGCACTTAGTCCATTTACATTTAAAGTTAATATTGTTATGTGTGAATTTGATCCTGTCATGAAGATGTTAGCTGGTTATTTTGCTCGTTAGTTGATGCAGTTTCTTCCTAGCCTCGATGGTCTTTACATTTTGGCATGATTTTGCAGCGGCTGGTACCGGTTGTTCCTTTCCATTTTTAGCACTTCCTTCAGGAGCTCTTTTAGGGCAGGCGTGGTGGTGACAAAATCTCTCAGCACTTGCTTGTCTGTAAAGTATTTTATTTCTCCTTCACTTATGAAGCTTAGTTTGGCTGGATATGAAATTCTGGGTTGAAAATTCTTTTCTTTAAGAATGTTGAATATTGGCCCCCACTCTCTTCTGGCTTGTAGGGTTTCTGCCGAGAGATCCACTGTTAGTCTGATGGGCTTCCCTTTGAGGGTAACCCGACCTTTCTCTCTGGCTGCCCTTAACATTTTTTCCTTCATTTCAACTTTGGTGAATCTGACAATTATGTGTCTTGGAGTTGCTCTTCTCGAGGAGTATCTTTGTGGCGTTCTCTGTATTTCCTGAATCTGAACGTTGGCCTGCCTTGCTAGATTGGGGAAGTTCTCCTGGATAATATCCTGCAGAGTGTTTTCCAACTTGGTTCCATTCTCCCCATCACTTTCAGGTACACCAATCAGACGTAGATTTGGTCTTTTCACATAGTCCCACATTTCTTGGAGGCTTTGCTCATTTCTTTTTATTCTTTTTTGTCTAAACTTCCCTTCTCGCTTCATTTCATTCATTTCATCTTCCATTGCTGATACCCTTTCTTCCAGTTGATCGCATCGGCTCCTGAGGCTTCTGCATTCTTCACGTAGTTCTCGAGCCTTGGTTTTCAGCTCCATCAGCTCCTTTAAGCACTTCTCTGTATTGGTTATTCTAGTTATATATTCTTCTAAATTTTTTTGAAAGTTTTCAACTTCTTTGCCTTTGGTTTGAATGTCCTCCCGTAGCTCAGAGTAATTTGATCGTCTGAAGCCTTCTCTCAGCTCGTCAAAGTCGTTCTCCGTCCAGCTTTGTTCCGTTGCTGGTGAGGAACTGCGTTCCTTTGGAGGAGGAGAGGTGCTCTGCTTTTTAGAGTTTCCAGTTTTTCTGTTCTGTTTTTTCCCCATCTTTGTGGTTTTATCTACTTTTGGTCTTTGATGATGGTGATGTACAGATGGGTTTTTGGTGTGGATGTCCTTTCTGTTTGTTAGTTTTCCTTCTAACAGAGAGGACCCTCAGCTGCAGGTCTGTTGGAATACCCTGCCGTGTGAGGTGTCAGTGTGCCCCTGCTGGCGGGTGCCTCCCAGTTAGGCTGCTCAGGGGTCAGGGGTCAGGGACCCACTTGAGGAGGCAGTCTGCCCGTTCTCAGATCTCCAGCTGCGTGCTGGGAGAACTACTGCTCTCTTCAAAGCTGTCAGACAGGGACATTTAAGTCTGCAGAGGTTACTGCTGTCTTTTTGTTTGTCTGTGCCCTGCCCCCAGAGGTGGAGCCTACGGAGGCAGGCAGGCCTCCTTGAGCTGTGGTGGGCTCCACCCAGTTCGAGCTTCCTGGCTGCTTTGTTTACCTAAGCAAGCCTGGGCAATGGCGGGCGCCCCTCCCCCAGCCTCGCTGCCGCCTTGCAGTTTGATCTCAGACTGCTGTGCTAGCAATCAGCGAGACTCCGTGGGCGTAGGACCCTCCGAGCCAGGTGCGGGATATATTCTCCCGGTGTGCCGTTTTTTAAGCCTGTCGGAAAAGCGCAGTATTCGGGTGGGAGTGACCCGATTTTGCGGTCTGTCACCCCTTTCTTTGACTAGGAAAGGGAACTCCCTGACCCCTTGCGCTTCCCGAGTGAGGCAATGCCTCACCCTGCTTCCACACGGTGCGCGCACCCACTGACCTGCGCCCACTGTCTGGCACTCCCTAGTGAGATGAACCCAGTACCTCAGATGGAAATGCAGAAATCACCTGTCTTCTGCGTGGCTCACGCTGGGAGCTGTAGACCTGAGCTGTTCCTATTCGGCCATCTTGGCTCCTCCCCACCCTAGTCTGGTAAGTTCTATGTCATATTTCTAAACTACAGAAGAGTAAGAGAATACATTTGCCTTGTTTTAAGTTGCTATGTGTGGGAATTTGTTACAGCATCAATAAAAAACTAATACAGAAAACAACTGAATTTTCAACAAACCACACTGAAATGAGTTGATAACTTATGTAAAAAAATTAACCTTGACTTACCCCATGCCATAGACAAAAAAAAAAGATGTCAAATGTGTCAAATACCTAATGATAAAAGACAAAACTATAATA
This sequence comes from Homo sapiens, assembly GCF_000001405.40. Lineage (NCBI taxonomy): Eukaryota > Metazoa > Chordata > Mammalia > Primates > Hominidae > Homo > Homo sapiens. The sequence continues at coordinate 126,110,407 of NC_000023.11, forward strand.
TTTATGAAAAAAAATAATATCCTGTCATGAAATGCTTCAGTAAATTCCTAAATCTTTGAAGTAGACAAAGATTTTTTAAGTAGGAGACAAAAAGGAATTATAAAGCAAAAAAATGATAAATTGACTTTATTATTTTTTTAAAATTCAGTTTTGAAAGACATTATTAATAAAATTAAAAGACGAAATATAGATTGGGAAAAATACTATTAGTAGAACATGTATCTAACCACGGACTTATATCCAAACCATGTAACAGATTCTTACAAAGCAAAACAAATAAATAAATAGCTTCATAAAAATTGGCAAATTGTGAACATTATCTCACAAATGAAGAGTAAAAATGCTTAATAAGCACAACAATAAATGCTCAACATTATTAATCATGAGAGAAATAAAAATTAACATCCTAATTAGAGACTACAATATACTCATTGGAAAAGCTACAGTTCACAAGACTGATAGTACTAAGGGCTAGCAAGGATGTGGAGCAACTGGATCTCTCATATACTGCTTGTGGGAATCTAACATGATACACTCCATCTAAGAGTCATCTTGACAGTTACATATGAATTTAAAATACAGTTTCTATATGACCCATCAATTTTACTCCTAGGTATTTACCCAAGCGACACAAGAATATATGTCAATAGAAAGGCTTTTACACAAATATTCTTAGAAGCTCTATTCATAGTAGTCAATATCTGGAGACAAACTAAATCTCCCTCAACCAGTGAACAGATATTGAAATTGTGACATATCTATACAATCGGATACTATTTATGAATAAAAAGGGATTATCTGCTGATTTGCACTACATAAATTGGATTAATATTCAAAATGTTAAGTTGAGTGAATGAGGCCATTAAGAAAAGAGTACATAATAGTATTATTTTATTATTAATTTCTGTATTAGTTAAAATAATTTATAGGGACAGAAAGCAGAGTAGAGGTTGCCTGTATATGGCAGAAAAACTTTGGATTAAGTGTACAAGGCCATAAAAAGTGATGTGAATGTTTCTTGTCTTTATTGAATTGGTGATTACACAGTTGTATACATTTGTCAAAACATATCAAATTGTACTTCTAAAATAATGGATTCTATGTACAAGTTAGTACTAAATAAAGTTGACTTAAGATATGATTTATATAGGAAACAAACAACTAACAACAAAAGATACTTAGATGATATTCTGAAGTTTAGCAAATTACAAATATCTAATTTTGACTTTCAAATCTGCCCAATTTGCACCAAACCCACATTTCCACACTTCTTTTCTGCCACTGATCTGCATACAACAAAAATGAATTCCAAATTTTCTATCAAACATGATTATTTTTTGTTCCGTTTGTTGTCCTGATATTTCTATCTTCCCTTTATTCCCAGATTCTGTTTTTTTGCATATTATATTCTTTGTCTTAACTCCACTTTTTCAAATATTACTCCTCAAGCTATATACTCCACTTAAATATTAACTTCCCTATGATACCTTTCTTGAATCCTCCCCTTTTGATGCAGGCAAACCCCAAAGTTGAGCCATAGCCTGGGAGAGTTCATGTATTTGGCTTCACCCAGGAGATAATTCAAGAGTGAGCCAACAGAGTTAAGTGAAACTAAAACAAATTTATTAGAGCAACTGAGTACAGGAAAATGGCTGTTCCATAGACAGAGCAGGGCTACCCCATAGACAGAGCAGCACTTGTGGATTGCTGGCTAGCTAAACAAGGGACAGGTTATTCATAAATATTCTAGAAAAGGGATGCGGAGTTCACAGAACCCAGGATTCCTCCCCTTTTATATAATGTAAAGTTATTTGTAGGCATTGTCATGGCATGTAAACTGTCATGGCTCTGGTAGAAGTATCTTTTAGCATGAAAATTAATTATAATTAGCATTTAATGAGCAGTGAGGGAAACTAGAAGTTGCTTTCATCAACATCTTGGTTTTACCTGGTTTTGGATGGCTTCTTTACTGCATTCTGTTTTGACCAGATCCTGTTTTGATCAGTGGGGTAGTGACCAGTGCTTGGAAAACAAGTTCTGCTGATCTTCTACCTCACTTTCATTTGTGCTTCTATTTATTTACCCAAAACTTCCCGTTTTGTATTAAAGAACTAAGATACATATTTTGGTATCCACCACAGCAACTTGCTCATTTTATTCCTTATAATACTCCTTATACAAATCACTGATGCAAAAACCAATGATTGAATGAATGCATGGATATGAAGACATAAAAGGCAAAAAAATTGTGGACAGAAGTGTTCACTGTGTGAACAAAAATTTGCAATTATATGGAATTTATCTATTGTATTTTTGTTGCAATTTGCAAGATGTGACTACAAAAATTGCCCAAGCATTTATGAACATAGGAAGTACAAATTGCTGATTGTCACAATCCAAAAGAAAAGCTTTCAAATAATGGGCAGATTCCCTGGAAAACATGGTGGCAAACTGACAACTGTCTTACTTGGAGAATTAATTGGTCCTCTAAATTTCCAAAATTTTGATCTATTTTATGATGAAATAAAGACAATTGCATGGTGGTATCATATGTAATTATATTTTGGTCATTTTCTACTTTCGAGACTCAAATATCATTACTATACATATTCTGCTCTCCTTTACCTCCAGCTCTTTACAAATATGTTACATTTGGAAGTTTTTGATATTTTATATAAGCCTTTTGCAAAGCTGAATGTTTAAATTACTTTCTTGTTGCCATTGATAAAGTATATTTTCTATTTTATTAAAAAATTAAAGGAAGACCTGTGGGGTCTAAAAAATAGATTTCTGTGATTTCTCTTTGCTTTTGAGAATGACTTATGAAGTCCAGACGTTCATAAACTGAGATTCCATACCTTAGAGAAAATAAGCTAGAATTTATTTCATAATTAGTGGTTTGCATTATGAAATGGTCTCTACCAAATTCACATGGTGAATTTAAGTCATATTTAACCATGCAATGTCATTCCAGATGATGAAAAATGGGTAAGAGCAAACTTCCATTTTTCATCCAGATAAAAAACCTCAAAGGAGTTTGGAATCATGTGTCTATTTTACATGGCTGAATCTAAAAATGTATCACCATAACTGAGTTCAGTTCATTAAAGGGTATTTATTTAGAGGAACAGTATTCTTCCTGCTGTATTTTTATATGACTTGAGCTATTTATTAAAGTTATGTTTTCACGAAATGGCACAGAATTTATCAGCATTGCAGAATTGAGGATTTTTAAAGAAAAATCTGTATTTATTATTCTAATTAGAAAAAGTACATTCTTTCTAAAAAGAAAAGAATTCTTTTTAAAAATTTTCTTTTTTTTATTATTATTGTACTTTAAGTTTTAGGGTACATGTGCACAATGTGCAGGTTAGTTACATATGTATATAAAAATTTTCAAACATATGTTTGATAAGTTTATGGTCATCCTGTCCTTGAATTTTCCATTGAATACCTCATGATGGTTTACTAAATATTGCAGCAGAGTAAGCATGCCTTTCACATCATCCAGAATTAATTCAGCAATAATCTGAAATAGCTGGCACAACACTCACTGTGATTACCAAAAATTTAGAGAAAACCTTCAATAAGAGCAGGGATCATGGAACAAATTGGTGCAATTAGCAGCATGACCAGCCTAAGGGGGCAATGCATTTGAATAAAATGAATTTTCCATCCACCTTCTATTAAGTGGCCTTGTTCAAGGTCACTCTCTAAAATTAAAATGTTGGCTCGTTGTTAGCTATAAGTAGGGTTTGCTTGGGGTAATTCCAGTTTATACATGTAGCATCACCATGAATAATTCCACCTTTCACTCTCAAAAGTGTTCCAATTTAGATAATATATTATATGGTTATCCTATCCATAGAATAGAATCACTGGCACAATTTATGAGGTTCTTTGTAGTCTGCCCTAAGGCTATATTTCAGACACTGTCTCTTCTATTTGTACCTTATCCTTTAGATACGTGAAACTATTATTTTCTAAAAGCCTCATGCATTGCTGTACCTTTATATTACTGTACATATGGTTCTTTCTGCCTGAATTGTCTTCCTCTGCTTTTTCACAAAGTGATTTTTTATTCATTTTTAGAGGCACAAACATCGAGTCCTCTGGAATGACTTCTCTAAATCCTTTGGCATAAGATTGGAAAAGCAGTTTCAGCTTCTTTAGTTACAAATGGATTGCTAAGCCATATTTCAGTTTAGTGATAAAGTGCCTAGGGCCATTAGCAAAGGAATTATGCCACAGGCAGGGGAGTAGAGTGTGGCAGGTGAGTCTGCTACTTTACCATTCCTGCCCTTAGCAGTGTTTGATGCCTTTCACTCTGTAGTTCTGAACATTTAATTTATTTATATCCTTTATACCACTGTAGTACATAGAATTCTAAGACCCTAACATTTCTACCCTCTGGTATATATATGCCCTGAATAATCCTTTTCACTTCAATGTGGACAGGGCCTGTGAATGTGTTGATGTATCACTCCTGTTATTAGGTTACCAGTCAATTGACTGTGAGTTAATCAAAAGAGAGATTATCCTGGGTGGATTGAATGAATCATATGAGCCTTTAAAAGGGACTGGTCTGTTCCTGAAGTCAGAGGTCTGAGTGTGAGTGAGAGCAGGTGTATAAAAGAGCAATGTTGCAAAGACCCTAGAGTGGCCTCTACTAGCTGAGAGTAATCCCTGGCTCACAACCTGCCAGAAAAATTGACCTTAGTACTACAACTGTCAGAGATTTTAAGTTGCCCCAAAACCTCAATGATCTTTGAATAGGATCTTTATCTCCAAATAGAAACAGAGGTCAACCCACACCTTGATTTCAACTTGGCAAAACCTTAAGCAGAGGACTCAGCGAACATGTGCTTGGACTTCTGAACTACAGAACTGTGAGATAATAAATTGGTGTAATTATAAGTTGCTAAATTTGTAGTCATATATTATCTGAAATAGAAAACAAGTGCAATCATTTAGCACATTAATAAGTATTTACTTTTATTCAGGAATTATGTAACTTTATTTAGTATTTGCTTAGTAATAATTATTGTGAGTTTTTGAGCATGGGAACTATGTCTTATTATCTTTTTTATGCTCAATCCCTATCAGAAGTTGTGTATTAAATAAATATTTGTCAAACAAATAAACAAATGGTGCCTAGTTTCCTCTTGTTGCTTAGGGTCCCATAATAGAACTAACTACATAAGTCCAATTTCCCCAGGTAATGTCCCAAGTCCTGAATCTCTCCATCCTGCTTTTTAACCTATCCAAATTTACCTGCTGGCTGATTTTGGTTATTAGATACCAATTTTGTGCGTTTCATATTAATATCTGCTGTTCTTTCTTAATTAGAAACTGGAAAGAGAATTAAACACTAATGCCCTAAGACATCTCTTTCATGTAATAAAACAACTTATATTCTGTGCATCTATAATGGTTCTAGTTCCTTACCAACTTTGAAAAGATTGAGAAAAAATCCACTCAAATTCTTTTTAGTCTTCTGTGTTTTAGATGAGGATAGGATCATCCTAAACGCGAATGGCTTCATGTGCCATATTTTTCAGTACCAGGTGATATGGTTAGGCTTTATGTCCCCACCCAAACCTCATCTTGAATTGTAATTCCCATAATCCGTACTTGTCTAGGGAGATACCTGGTGGGAGGTGATTGGATCATGGGGGCTGTTTTCCCCATGCTGTTCTCATGATAGTAAGTGAGTTCTCACAAGATCTGATGGTTTTATAAGGGGCTCTTCCCACTTCACTTCTCACTCTTCTCTCCCCTGCCACCTTATGAAGAACAGCATGTTTCCTTCCACTTCTGCCATGATTGTAAGTTTCCTGAGGCCTCCCCAGTCATGTGGAACTGTGAGTCAATTAAATCTTTTTCCTTTATAAATTAGCCAGCCTCAGATATTTATTTATTTATTTATTTATTTATTTATTTATTTATTTATTTATTTGAGACGGAGTCTCGCTCTGTCTCCCAGGCTGGAGTGCAGTGGTGCGATCTCGGCTCACTTCAAGCTCCACCTCCTGGGTTCACGCCATTCTCCTGCCTCAGCCTCCCGAGTAACTGGGACTACAAGCGCCCACCACCATACCCGGCTAATTTTTTTGTATTTTTAGTAGAGACAGGGTTTCACCGTGTTAGCCAGGATGGTCTCTATCTCCTGACCTCGTGATACGCCCGTCTCGGCCTCCCAAAGTGCTGGGATTACAGGCGTGAGCCACTGCGCCCAGCCAGGTATTTCTTTATAGCAGTATGAAAACAGACTAATACACCAAGTTTTAAAAATTCAAGGATATATTGAAGATTCTACTACAAATGGAATTAAAATTTTGAATCATTTCAAATACCATGCAATGTTAACTGTAATTTATTTTTAAGTATTTTCATAATTTTAAAATAAATGTACTATGTTCATTTCTAGGGCCAGAAGAAAAATTTACTCTTTTTATCCAAAAGAGCCCTTTCCACGTTGTGAGTGCTGATATTTGTACTTAAGTTCTGCACAATTATTTGCCTATTTTATGTTTTTTGATTTTAGTTTTAAATTTTGTGCATACATAGTAGGTGTATATATTTATGGGGTATAGGAGATGTTTTTATACAGGCATGCAATGAGCAACAATTACATCATGGAGAATGGGGTATCCAGCCCCTCAAGTATCTATCCTTTGTGTTATAAACAGTCCAGTTACACTCTGTTACCTGAAAGTGCACAATTATTATTAACTATAGTCACTCTGTTGTGCTGTCAAATAAACTTACTCATTCTTTCTACTTTTTCACACAATAACCATCCCCACCTCTCTCCCCAAACCCAGTACCCTTTCCAGCATTTGGAAGCCATCCTTCTACTTTCTATGTCCATGAGTTCAATTGTTTAGATTTTTAGATACCACAAATAGGTGAGAAAATGTGACGTTTGTCTTTCTGTGCTTGCCTTACTTCACGTAACATAATGATCTTCAGCTCCATTCATGTTGTTGCAAATGACAGGATCTCATTATTTTATTGTTGAATAGTATTCCATTGTGTATATGTATTACATTTTTTATTCAATTATATGTTAATGGACACTTGGGTTGCTTCCAAATCTTAGCTATTGTGAACCTTGCTGAAGGAAACATGACAGTGCAGATATCACTTTGATATACTGATTTCCTTTTCTTTGTGTATGTACTCAGAAGAGGGATGGTTGGATTATTTGGTAGCTATATTTTTTTTTAGTTTTTTGAGGAATCACCAAACTGTTCTCCATAGCGGATATACTAATTTACATTCCCACAAACAGTGTACAAGGGTTCTCTTATCTCTAAATCCTTGCCAGCATTTGTTACTGCTTCTTTTTTTGATATTAGCCATTTTAACTGGGGTGAGATGACACCTCATTGTAGTTTTGATTTTTAATTCCCTAATGATCAGTGATGTTGAGCACCTTTTCATATGCCTGTTTTCTAACTGTATGTCTTCTTCTGAGAAATATCTATTCACATCTTTGCCCTTTTTAAATTAGATTATCAATTTTTTCCTTATAGAATTCTATGAGATGCTTAATTAGTCTGGTTAGCAATCTCATTTCAGATGGGTAGTTTGCAAATTTTTTTCCCATTCTGTGAGTATTCTCTTCACTTTCTTGAATTTTTGCTGTGCAGAAGCTTTTTAACATGATATAATCTTATATGTCCATTTTTATTTCATTGCCTATGCTTGTGGGGTTTTACTCAAGAAATTTTTTACAGACACCAAAGTCCTGGAGAGTTTCCCCAATGTTTTCTTCTAGTATTTTCATAGTTTCAGGTCTTAGATTTAATAAATACTGATTTATTTTGATTGTGAGAGTTATGGGTCAAGTTTCATTATTCTGCATATCCATATCCAGTTTTCCCAGCACCATTTATTGAAGAGACTGTTTTTTCCCTAGTGTTTATTTTTGGCATCTTTGTGGAAAATAGTTTATTGTTGGTGTGTGCATTTGTTTCTGGGTTTTATGCTTTGTTCCCTTGCTCTATGTGTCTGACTTTATGCCAGTACCATGCTGTTTGGCTTACTACAGCTCTTGGTATGGTTTGGCTCTGTGTCTCCAACCTAATCTCACCTTGAATTGTTATAATCCCCATGTGTCAAGAGTGGGACCAGGTAGAGATAACCGAATCATAGAGGTTGTTTCCCCCCATGCTGTTGTTGTGATAGTGAGTGAGTTCTCATGAGATCTGATGGTTTTATAAGGGGCTTCCCCTTTTCTTGACTATCATTCTCTCTCCTGCTACCCTGTGGAGAGGTGCCTTCCACCATGATAGTAAGTTTCCTGAGGCCTCTCCAGCCATGCTGAACTGTGAGTCAATTAAATCTCCTTCCTTTATAAATTACCTAGTTTCGGGTATGTCTTTATTAGCAGTATGAGAGTGGGCTAATATGGTAAATTGGTACCAGGAATACGGTGCTGAAGTAAAGATACCCAAAAATGTGAAAATAACATTGGAACTGGATAGCAGGCAGAGGTTGGCACAGTTTGGAGGGCTCAGAAGAAGACAAGAAAATGTGGCAAAGTTTGGAACTTCCTAGAGACTTGTTAAATTATTTTGACCAAAATGCTGATAGTGATATGCACAATGAAGTCCAGGCTGAGGTGGTCTTATATGGAGATGAGGAACTTCTTGGAAACTGGTGCAAAGGTGACTTTCGGTATGCTTTAGCAAAAAGACTGGTGGCATTTTGCCCCTGACCTAGATATCTGTGGAAATTTGAACTTGAAGGAGATAATTTAGGGTATCTGGTGGAAGAAATTTCTAAGCAGCAAAGTGTTCAAGAGTAAGCAGAGCATAAAAGTTTGTAAAATCTGCAGCCTGATGATGTGATTTTTAAAAAATCTATTTTCTTGAGAGAAATTCAAGAAATTTGCATAAGTAATGAGGATCCAAATTCTAATTACCAAGACAACAGGGTAAATGTCTCCAGGACATGTCAGAGATCTCGGTAACAGCCCTTCCCATCACAAGCCTGGAGGCACAGGGGGTCAAATGGTTTCTGTGGGCCAGGTGCAGAGCCCTCCTGCTCTACACAGCCTTGCGATATGGTGCCCTGCTTGCCAGCTGCTTTAGCTTCATTTGTGCCTAAAAGGGGCCAACATATAGCTTGGGCTGTTACTTCAGAGAGTGCAAGGCCCAAGCCTTCGTGGCTTACATGTGGTGTTGGTCCTGTGGGTGCACAAAGTCAAGAATTGAGGTTTGGGAAACTCCAGCTGGATGCCAGAGGATGTATGGAAATGCCTGGATGTCCAAAAAAGAAGTCTGCTGCATGGGCAAAGCCCTCATAGAGAACCTCCGCTAGGGCAGTGTGAAAGGGAAATGTGAGGTTGCAGCCCCCATATGGAGTCCTCACTGGGAAACTGCCTAGTGGAGTTATGAGAAGAGGGCCACTGTCCTCCAGATTCCAGAATGATAGATCCACTGATGATTTGCAACATTTGCCTAGAAAAGGCACAGATGCTCAACGCCAGTCTATGAAAGCAGCCTGGAGGGGGTTGTACTTTTCAAATTTGTCCCCTACCTTTTTAAATTTTTGATGTTTCTATTTCTATGCAGATTTAAATTTTTCCTCTTGAGGCTATTTTCTAGATCTTATAGGTGTGCTTCGTTTTATTATTATTATTATTATTCTGTCTCCTCTGACTGTATTTTCAAATAGCATATCTTCAAGCTCACTAATTCTTTCTTCTGCTTGATCAATTTGGCTATTAATACACTTTAATGTATTTTTCAGTATGCCAATTGTGTTTTCAGCATCAGAAATTCTACTTGGGTCTTTTTAATTATTTCATTTTCTTTGTTAAATTTATCTGATAGAATTCTGAATTTCTTCTCTATGTTATCTTGAATTTCTTTGTGTTTCCTCCAGCTATTTTGAATTATCTGTCTCCAAGTTCACATATTTCAGTTTCTCCAGGATTGGTCCCTGGTGCATTATTTAGTTTATTTTATGAAATCATGTTTTCTTGGACGGTCTTGATGCTAGCAGATGTTCTTCACTGTCTTGGTATTCAAGAGTTAGGTATTTATTGTAGTCTTCACTGTCTGCACTTGTTTGTACCTATCCTTCTTGGGAAGGCTTTCCAAATATTTGAAAGGACTTGAGTGCTGTAGTCTAAGCTATATGTGTTTTAGGGGGCACCACAAGCTCAGCAATGCTGTGGTTTTTGCAGACCCATAGAGGTACTACCTTGATGGTCTTGAACAAAATCAAGGAGAATTCTGTGGATTTATAGGTAGAGACTCTTGCTCTTTTCCCTTACCTTCTCCTAGAGTCTCTCTTCTCTCTCTCTCTCTCTCTCCCTCTTTCTCCTGAGTCACTTGAAGCTAGGGATGGTGTGAGACAAGCACCCCTGTTGCCATCACCGCTATGACTGCTTTGGGTAAGACCTGAAGCTATCACAGCACTGGGTCTCACCCAAGGCCAGCTGTAACCATTTCCTGGCTGCTGACTATGTTTGCTCGAGGCCCTCAGCCCTCAAGCTGTACAATCAATAGAGGGCAAAGCCAGAAACACCCATGGCTTCCCTTCAGGGCAGTGAGTTCTCCCAGGCCCCAGGTGGATCCAAACATGCTGTCTGAAAGTCAATGTCTAGAGTCAAAAGCCTTAGACATAATATCTACCTGGTTTTCTATTGTATTGTGGTTGAGTTGGCACTCAAACCACAAGATGCAGTTCTTTCCATTCTTTCATTTCCTTTCCAAGAGCAGAAGAGACTCACCCATAGCCGTCACCACTACGGGCCATGGAGAGTAGTGCTAGACTACTGCCAATGTTCCCTTCAGGCCAAGGGGCTTTTAAGTCACCTTGCGGTGAATGTTGCCTGGCCTTGGACTCACTCTTAAGGGTATCAGGCTTTCCTCTGACCCGGGGCAGATCCAGAAATGCTACCCAAGAGTCAAGTTCCAGAATAAGAATCCCCTGTGGCCAAGCTAGTAAATTAAGTGCCAAACAAAGTCCTCTTTACTTACTTTACTGTAGCCTAAGAATATACTTGATATAATTTTTGTTAAAAATTATTTCATAGGCTACCATTTGATCTGTCTTGGAGAATGTTCTGTGTGCTGATTAAAGGAATGTATATTCTATACTTTTTGGATAGAATATTCTATAAATGCCTGTGAAGTCTGTTAAGTCCATTTGGTCTAAAGTCCTATTTAAGCCCAATGTTTATTTGTTAATTTTATGTCTCAGTGATCTGTCTAGTGCTGTCAGAGGGGCATTGAAGGCCCATATTAGTCTTATATTACTGTGTATCACTTTCTTTAGGCCTAGTAATATTTGTTTTGTGAAATTTGGGTGTTTCAATATTAGGTTCATATGTATTTAAAATTGTTATCACCTCTAATTTGATTGATTGCTGTATCATTGTATAATGACCTTCTTTGTCTTTTTGTGGTATTTTTTAGTTACAGTGCGTTTTACGTGATATAAGTGTAGCTACTCCTGCCTGCTTTTGGTTTTCATTTGCATGGAATATCTTTTTCTAGCCTTTACTTCATTCTATATATATGACTTTAGAGGAAAGGTGAGTTTTATCTAAACAGCATATAGTTGGATCACGTGTTTTAAATCCATTCTGCAAATTTATATCTTTCAAGCGTGGTATTTTATCTACTTATATTCAAGTTTAATATTAATATGTGAGGCTTTGTTCCTGTAATATTACTGGTTGTGTTCAATTGTTTTGTAAATTATTTGTTTATTTTTCTCTTTTTGTCTTTGTGATTTGATCATATCTTGTAATGTTACCATTTGATTTCTTTCTCTTCCTTTTTGGTTACTGTTTTACAAAACCTGTGAGTTTTATGTTTCTTTGTGTTTCGTGATGGTGAATATCAACCTTTCATTTTAATGTTGAAGACCCCTTTGATCATTTTCTTAATGTTGGCTTAATGGTGACAGTTTCCCTCAGCATTTTGTTGCCTGGGAAAGACTATTTTTCCTCCATTTGTGAAGCTTATTCTGGCAGGACTTAAAATTCATGTTTGACAGTTTTTTTTTTTTTTCCTTTTAGCACTTCAAAGTGTAATGCTATTCTCTTTTGACCTTTAAAGTTTCTGCTGAAAAGTCTGCTGTTAGTCTAATGGAGCTTCCCTTATATGTTACCAGACACTTTTCTCTTGCTAATCTTAAAATTATTTATTTTACTTTGACTTTAGACATTCTGAATATAATATGCCAAGTTTAAGACCTTTTTACAGTGTATTTTATTGCAGATCATTGGGCCTTCTGTATCTGGATGTCTAACTCTCTTGCTGGGCTTAGAAAGCTTTTGTTGATTATTTCCTCAGATTTTCTAAACTTTTTGATCACTCTGCTCCCACAGAAATACCAATATTTTGCAAATTTGGTCACTTTATTGAGTCATAAATTTCTTGAAGGCTTTGTTTATTTATTTTTATTGACTTTAAAAAAATTCTGACTGACTCATCTTCAAGTTCTGAGATTCTTCTGCTTTCTCTATTCTATTACAAAAGCTTTCTAATGTATTTTGTATGTCCTTCAACTCAATGATTTTTTTTTATTTTTAGAAATTCTGTTTTATAAGATATCTCCTTGGTAAATTTCTCATTTATATTTTGAATTAATTTTCTGGGTTTTTTTTTGTATTTTTTTCATGTTTCTCTTACATCTTATTGAACTCCTTAAAATCAATATTTTGTATTTATATCTGGCATTTTGAGGAATTCTTGATTAGGATCTATTGCTGGACACTTGTTGTGATACTTTAGTGGTGTCATAATGCCCTGCTTTTACATGTTTCCTGTGTTCTTTCATTAACATTTGCACATCAGTAGTAGCTATTGTTTGTTCCAATTCTTTAAAATTGCTTTTCTTGGAGAGAATTTTTTCTGAAAATGTATATAATTATTGGTTGAATAGGACACTTTGGCTTTGATTATGGGTTCCTGCAGTAATGTGATCTTTGTATGACTTCTTTAGCAGTACATGGGGTCAGTGGTGTGTGTGATTTTTTTTCAGCAGCTAACAGTACATTTATTTGATACTGTGGTAAAGATTTGATGGGAACTTGAATGCCCACTGAGCCAGTTCTTGCGCCCTGGTAGTGGCAGCAGAAAGCTAACTGTGCCTGTTTTTAAGACCAAAAACAGCTTATGCTGGCTCTGATGTTAGTGGGTCCTGGAGGGCTGATTATTGGGCCCCGAGATTGCTTGCTTAGACATTTAGTTGTGGGAGTGGTGGGCTGGCGTGTGGGCAATATGTCAGGTCCCTGAGTAGGTGGTGTGGTGTGGGTAATGGCAGTAACAGTGGTGGAGCAATCCACTGGAATGCAAGCAACCTGTGCTGGTGTTGCTGATAGCTGTGATATGTTGGTCAGACTTGTCCCCAGTCCCACACATGCCTGTAGTAAGGCAGTGGGTACTGTCCTCAGTATCCTTAGGAGAGCTTACCATCTACTGTCTCTCCCCCAGTTGGGTGGTGCTTACAGCCATATCACCTCAAAGTCAGCCCAAGGGAGGGACACAGCTCAGCAATAAACTCTCCAATTGGTGTCGTCTTTGGGCCTGTGACCATAGATAGCGTGTCTCTTCAGGTGATCAGCAAGGGCAAGAAGCTTTGGGGAGTGCAGTATGCTTCTATGTCAGTCTCACAGCAGTCTGTTGCAGGGTAGTGGGTATTGTCTTAGATATGTGGTTAAAAAAAACAAAAACTAAAAAAAACCCAAAAAACCTGGTTTTCCTGTTTTGCAACAGCTAGGCAGCAGCTACAGTCATATCGACTTGAACTTGGACTGATGGTGGGCTCAGCCCAGTATTAAACTATCAAAATGGTGCTTTGGGCCTGCAACAAGGAGTGTGGGGCCCCTGCTAGGCAGGCAGAATGAGCAAGAAGCCATGGAGAGTATGGTTTGCTTGTGTCTTTGTCTCACAGAAGCCCATTGAAGGCAGTGAGTGTTGTCATAAATATGTGTAGGAGAGCCAGGTTTCCTTGTCCCTCCTTGGCCATGTGGTGGCTACAGGTGTGTCTGCCCAAACAATCCTGAGGGTAGGGCACAACCCAACATCAAACTCTCAAAATGATGCCTTGGGCCTGGGACCAAAGGAGGTGAGTCCCCTCCCAGACAAGCAACTTGGGCAGGAAACTGGAAAATGCAGTCCACTCATGTCTCAGTCTCAACAGCAGCAAAGTAGTAGGAATTATCTCAGGGGTCTATGGGAGCACCCAGTCTTCCCACTCCCTCCTTGGAGCAGTGCAGTGGCAGCACCCATGTCTATGGCTAGGATCTCAAAATGGCACCAATCTGAAGCTGCTCTAGGTTTTGGTGCCTGTAGGATTCTGTTTGGGTTCTTTTACTAGAGATATGTCTCTGTGCAAGATTTAGGCAGCTCCGTATGTCAGTCATGGGGCCCTAGTGGATCAAGGAAAGTTTCTCCTATAGCCAAGACTGTAAAAGCCCGTTTTGGAGTGTGGATCCCTGGAGAGTCCTCTCTTACTGTTTTCCTGAATCCAAGAGCCTCTCCTGGCTCTCAGCCATTCCCTGACCTGGCAAGCTGCCTCAAACCTTCTCTTTACTTCTGGCATTTCCTGTCACTTCTCTGATAAATTCTGGCATTCTCTTCTACACAATCTATTTGAAATATACCTCCTTACTATTCAGTTTCTTTTTCATTGAGGAGGCACATGCTATATCAAAAAATCTTAATCCAAAAGAGTATATTTCAAACATTCTTATCACAAAAAAGTAACAAGCAGGAGAGGTGATTTATATGCTAATTAGCCTGATTTAACGTTTCTGCAATGTATACATATATTAAAACATCACATATGCCACATAAATATATGCAATCATTTGTCAGTTGAAAAATAATGATGCTTGTATAGCATGTAACCCTTGAGTTAAGCACTATTTTAAAATATATGTAATTAAACATTTAGTTTTAACGTAAATGTAGATTCACATACAGATTTAAGAGACAATTCAGAGAGATTCCATGTATCCTTTACCAAGTTTTTCCCAATGGTAACATCTTGCAAATCTACCGTATTACAACTATGATATAGACATGAATACAGTCAACATACAGAATAGTTCCATCACCATAAGAATCCCTCATATTGCCATTTTGTAGCCACGCCCTGTGTGAATACAGTGTGATGTTTTAATAGTTGTATAAATTGTATTTAATGTATTTTATACATTGTATTTAATATTTTATACATTTTATACATTGTATAATGATCAAATCAGGGTATTTAGCATATCAATCACCTCAAATATTTATCATTTCTTTGTGGTGACAACATTCAAAATCCTCTCTTGTAACTATTTTGAAATCTACAATATAGTATTGTTAATTATACTCACCATATTGTACAATGGAACCTGAAAACTTATTTCTTATATCTAACTGTAACATTGTACCCATTGACCAGTCTCTCCACCCCTATTACCCTTTCCCTCTGCAGCCTCTGGTAACCACTATTCTACTCTCTACTTCTATGAGATCAAATATTGTAGATATCACAAATCAGTGATATCATGCAGTATTTGTCTTTCTGATCAGTGGAACAGAACAGGGAACCTAGCCATCTAATTTTTTTTTTTTTTTTACAAACACACCAATAACTTACATTGGGGAAAGGACAGTCTCATCAATTAAAGATGCCAGAAAAACTGAATAACTATATGCAGAAGAAGCAAACCAGATTCCTATGTCTTGCCATACAAAAAATCAACTCAAATTGGATTGAATACTTAAATCTAAGACTGCAAACTATGAAACTATTAGAAAAATAGGAGAAATGTTACAGGACATTGATTTATGAATAAAGATTTATTGAGGAAGACCTCAAAAGCACAGGCAACAAAAGAAAGATTGAACAAATGAAATGACTTCAAGCTAAATAGCATCTGACGGGCAAAGGAAACTATCAACGGTGTGAAAAGACAACCTATAGAATGGGAGAGAATACAGTTGATCCTTGAACAATGCAGCAATTAGGGGTGCCAGACTCCCACCTCCTGTGCAGTTGAAAATCTGCAATTGACTTTTGACTCCCCTAAAACTTAAATATTGATAGCCTACTGTTGACCAGAAGCCTTACTGATAACATAAACAGTCAATCAACACATAGTTCGTATGATATATGTATTATATACTGCACCCTTAAAACAAGATTAGCTAGAGAAAAGAAAATTTTATTTAAACAGTTATAAGAAAGAGAAAATATATTTACAATACTGTATTGTATGTATAGATACTGCAAGTTTACATTTTCTGTTTTTACAAGATGAATCATCTGTGTGAAATGGTGGGCAACCATAGCTGCAGATCTCAATCTGCTGTGTACATCAAGTAAATCAACTTTGTCTTACAATGACGTGACTTTTCTCTGATCCTTGAGAACACTTCCAGCATCACGAATTGCACTTCATATGGGTCTCCCATGGTGATATTCAAGGTTTATAGCGTTGCACTAAACATGATTAGAAAAAAGATGTGAAAACAATAAGAGATCACTTTTTACTGCTATACACAATTTACTGGAGAGATGAACTACTCATATGCAGATGATTAGAATCACACTGCATTTTAAGGGGATTATCACAAAACTTGAGGTCACCATGGTAGCAACAGGAGGTGACTACAAAATTAATACAATAGTACAGTAAGTACTACAGTAGTTTTATGTAGTTATAACTTAACGCTGCATCTTTATGCTTGTTTACATTTCTCTCAACTGCAAATTATGTTGTTTATAGTATGTTAATGTTTGTGTGCCTAAGTTTTGATAAATTTTAACTTTTATAATAGATTTGTGTATATTTTATACTAGTGCATGATAAACTAGATTAATGTCTACATATATTTTATGCATTCATGACATAACTTTCTACTTTCTGCAGTTTGACTGAGATTTTTTTTTCAAATTGTTTCAAGCCTCCAAAAGAGTGTCCAATATATTTATTTTTTAAAAATCTGCATATAAGTAGACCTGTGCAGTTCAAACCCATGCTAGTCAAGAATTAACTGTATTTATGTATTGTGCATCTGACAGGGGATTAATATTCAGTATGTGTAAAAAGCTAAAAAATTCAATAACAAAAATAAATAATTTGATTAAAAAATAGGCAAATGACTTGAATATACATTTCTCAAAAGAAGGCAGGTTTAATTTTGTAAGAAATTGCCGAACTTTTTTCCAAAGTGACTGTAACATTTTTATTCCCAATAGCAGTTGGGATGAGTGATTCAGTTTCTCTGCATCCTTGCCAGCATTTGATGTTGTCACGATTTTTTATTATAGTCATTATGTTAGGTGTGTTTCATGATATCTCATGTGTTTTTAAACTGCATTTCCCTGATGGTTAATGGTGTTGTACAGCTCTTCATATGATTATTTACCATCTGTATATCTGCAGTAAAATGCATCTTCATGACTTTTGCCTATATTCTACTTGAATTGTTTACATTTTCATGTTTGAGTTTTGAGGGTTCTTTAAATATTCTAGATAGTAGTCCACTGTCATATATGTGCTTTACTAGTATTTTCCCCAGTCTTTTAGCTTGTCTTTTCAGTCTCTTAACAGAGTCTTTCACAAAGCAAAAGTTTTAATTTTCATAAAGACCAATTTACCAATTTTTCATGGAGTGTGTTTTTGGAACATAATTAAAAAACTCTTTGCCTAGCCCTAGATTCAAAAAATTTTTTCATATGCATTTTGATAAATGTTTTATAGTTTTACATTTTATATTTAAGTCCATGATCCATTTTTGAGTTCATTTTTATATAAGGTATGAGACAGGTAGAGTTTCATTTCCTTTTTTGGCCTATGAATGTCCAGTTTCTCCAGCACCATATGTTGAAAAGAATACCCTCCTTCCATTGAATTGATTTTGCACTTCTGTGAAAAATCAAATGAGTATGTTAATCCAGATTTGTTTCAGGGTTCGCTATTGTGTTTTACTGATATGTGCCAAATTCACAACCAATAGCACAGACTCTATCACCATATATAATAAGCCTTGAAGTCAAGAACACTGGTTCTTCTCACTGTATTCTTTTTCAAATAGTTTTATCTATTCTAGATCTTTTTCCTTTTCATATTCAATTTAGAATAATCTTGTTTATACTTATGAGAAAACATTTTGGGGTTTTTATAATAATTATATTTAACCTACATAAAATTCGGGGTAGAGTGGACATCTTTATTATGTTTGAGTCTAACCATCATTGGGCATATGTGTTATGGTTTGAGTATTTTTCGTCTTCGAAAATTCTTGTTGAAATTTGATCCCCAATGTAATGTTGTTGAGAGATGTGGCCTTTGGGAGGCAATTGAGTAATGATGGCTTCATATTCATGAATGGGATGAGGTGCTCTTCTCATAAAAGGGCTTTATGGAGGACATTCACCCTTTTTGGCCCTTCTGTTCCTTCCACCATGTGAGGACATGACACCATCTTGGAAATAGAAACACTGGGCCCTTAACATCTGATGCCTTCATTTTGGACTCCACAGCCTCCAGGACTGTGACAAATTTCTGTTATGTATAAATTACCTAGTCCGTGATACTTTGTTATAGCAGCACAACCAGACTGAGTGAGACATATGTCTCTCCATTTATTTAGACAGTTTTTATTTCTGTCTTCTCCATTGTGTACATTTCCATATACAAATTCTGTACTTGCTTTGTAAGACTTATATCTAAGTATTTCACTTTTTTAGCAACTGTAAGTGATATTGTATTTTCGATTTTACTGTCTACATGCTCATTGCTAGCATGTAGAAATACAATTGATTTTTGCTTTTACTTATATCCTACAATCCTGTTGAAATTACTTATACATTCTATGAGGGTTTTTTTGTAGATTACTTGGAGTATTATATATAGACAATAATGCCGTCCCAAATAAGGATAGCTTTATTTCTTCTTTTTTGATTTATATGTCCTTTATTTTCTTTACTTGCCTCACTGCACTGTCTAGGACTCTTATTACTATGTTGAATGAGAATTGTTAAAGTGGACAACCTTGCATCATCCATAATCTTACTAGAAAACATTTAGTAATAGGCCATTAATAATAATGTTAGAGGTAATTTTGTGTTGATAATTTTAAAGTAAGTTAAATGTGATATTTTCTCGTTCTGTTTTCCTGAGAGTATCATGAATGGCATTGAATTTTGTCAGATGCTTTTTTCTTCATTGATTGATATGTTTGTGTGATCTTTTCTCTTTAGGCTTTTAATATGATGGATTACATTAATTGATTTTTTCATACTGCACCAGGCTTGCATACCTAGATCAAACTTCTTTTGCTCATGGTGAATAATTCACTTTTCTATATCGCTGAATTCTGTTTGCTAATATACGTTAAGGATGTTTACATCTGTATTCATGAAGGAGATTGAGCTATAGTTTTCTTATGTTTGTTGTTTTTTGTTTCAGGATAATATTTGCTTCCTAAAATATATAGAAAAGATTTAATTTTTCTGTACATGTTTAATAGCTTGCTCCAATAAAATGATCTTTACTTGATTTTCATGAGGATATTTAAAATACCAATTAAAGTTCATTAATAAACTAATTGAAATATTAAAATTATATTATTTCAAATTGAGTAAGTTGTGGTAGTTTTGTTTCTCAAAGAATGGATACTTTTTACCTAATTATTCAAATTTATGTGTTTAGTTATGTTTATAGATTCCCCTTATTTTGATGTCTTCAGGGTCTATATTGAAATCTTCTCTTTTATTCATTATATATATATATATTTCTTTATCATTCTTGCTAGAGATTGGACAATTTTATTACTTTTTTGGAAAATCAAATCTTTTTTTATATTGTTTTTCTGTTTTCAATTCTGTATTTTTCTCCCTTTTGATTTCTTTGGGTTGATTTTTGTCCTTTTTTCTAGTTTCATGATGTGGAAGCTAAGATTATTGATTCTTCTATTTGTCTATGTGTCTATCTTTATGTCTATGTGTCTATTTTTATGCTAGAACCATGCTGTTTGGAATACATTGCTTAATAGTAGATTTTGAAGTCAGATAGTGTGATGTCTCAAAGTTTGTTCATTTTGCTCAGGATTGTTTTGTCTATTCAAGTTCTATTGTGGTTCCATATAAATTTTAAGATTTTTTTTCAATTTCTGTGAAGAATGTCATTGGTATTTAATAGGGATTGTATTAAGCCCATAGATTGTGTTAGATAGTGTGGCCATTTACAAAATATTAATTCTTCCATTCAATGAACACAGGCTATTATTTCATTTATATCCTCTTCAATAAATTTTATCTAAGTTTTATAGTTTTCATTGAAGCTATTTTTCACCTACTTGGTTAAGTTTATTCCTAGGTATCTTTTATTTTTACCTGTTATAATTGAAATGTTTGCTTGCCTTCTTTTTCATGTAGTTAACTATTATTATATAGAAATGTTTCTGATTTTTGTATGTTGAAATGCTTCTGATTTTTATATATATCCTGCAACTTTATTTAATTTATTAGTTCTAACAGATTTTTGGTGGTGTCTTTAGGGTTTCTATATATAAGAACATGTCCTCTGCAAAATATATATATATATACAATTTGACTTGCTCCTTTTCAATTCAGATGTCTTTTATTTCTCTCTCTTGCCTAATTGCTATGGCTAGGACTGTCAATAGTATGTTGAATGGAAATGGTGGAAGTTCACATCCTAGTCTTGTTCATAACCTTGGAGGAAGAGTTTTCAGCTTTTCTTCATTCACTATGGTATTAGCTGTGGGTTTGCCAGTTATGGTCTTTATTCTGCTGGCGTATACAAATTTTATACCTAATTTGTGAGATATTTTACCATCGATTAATGTTGAATTTTTCAATTGCTTTTTCTGCATATATTGAAATAATCACATGCTTTTTGTCTTTCTGTTAATGTGTTATATTGCATTTAATAATTTGCCATCCCTACATCCCTGTGGTGAATCCCAATTTGTCAGAGGGAATGATCTTTTCAATTTGATTTTGAATTTTGTTTGCTAATATCTTGAGGGATACTGGTTGTAGTTTTCTGGGGTTGTTTTTCTTTTTTTTTTTTTTTTTTTTTTTTTTGGTGTCCCTGTCAGTCTGAAATCAGGCTAATAATGCTTGTATCTTAAAAGGAGTTTGGAAGTTTTCCCTCCCCTTCAACTCTCTAATTAGTTTAAAGAGACTTGATATTCTTTATATGTTCAGTAGAATTCAGAAGTGAAGTCATTAGGCCTTGGGATTTGCTTTGATAAATGGCTTTTTATTACTATTTCAATTTTCTGAGTCATTATTGGTCCATTCATATTTTCTATTTCCTCATATTTTAATATTGGTATATTGTATGTGCCCAGGAATTTATCCATTTCTTCTGTTGCCAATTTTGTTGGCATATAATTGTTCACTATCGTCTCTTAAAATTCTTTGTATTTGTTATTAATTGTAATACCTATGTTTTATCTATGATTTTATTATTTGAATCTTCTGTTTTTTTAGTGTAGCTAATAGTTCATCGATTTTATCTTTTCAAAAAGCCCATTCTATAATTTGTTGATCTCATCTATTATTTTTCTAGTATCTGTTTTATGTATTTCTATGTGGAAATTTGTTTTCTTCTTTCTATCAATTTTGCATTAAGCTTCTTTTTGTTTTTTCTAGTTCCTTGATGTGTATCATCAGGTTGTTAGAAATATTTCTTCTTTTCTGTTGTAAATGTTTATTGCTATAATTTTTTCTCTACATACTGCTTTTCCTGTGTCCCGTAGGAACAACCAATGGTTGCTGAAACAATGGTTCTTAAAGCACATTGCTTAATTTCCATGTATTTTATAAAGTTTTCAAAGGTTTTCTTGCTGTTAATTTCTAATTTTATAACATTGTGGTCAAAACAATAAATAATATGGTTCCAACATTCTTAAATATGTTAAGACTTGTTTTGTAGCCTAACACTTGATCTATCCTGAAGAATGTTTCGTGTAAAATTGAGAATAATGTATATTTGGTAGCTGTTGGGTGAAACGTTCTGTAAATATTTGTTAAGTTTATTTGCTCTGTGGTGCAGTTTAAGTCTGATGTTTATTTGCTGATATTTAGAGTAGATGATTTATTCATTGTTGAATGTAGTGTGTTGTAACAGCTATTACTATTGCAGTGTATCTCTCTTTTTAATTCTAATATTTGCTTTATGATTCTGGGTGCTCCAGTTTTTGGTGCATATATGTATTTAATTATTTTATCCTCTGTTGAATTGATCCCTTGATTATTATAATTTGAATTTCTTTGTACCTTTTCATAGTTTTTGACTTAAAGTTATTTTATCTGATATTAGTATAGGTACTCCTGCTTGCTTTTGATTTCTATTTTTTCTATCTGCATATAATATGTTTTTTATTCCTTCACTTTCAATCTATGTGCATTTAACAGTGAGGTGAGTCTCTTGTGGGCAGTAGGGTTTTATATATTCAGCCACTTTGTATATTTTAATTATTGAATTTAATCCATTTGAAGTCAAGTTTATTATTGATCAATAAGAGCTTACTCCTGCCATTTTGTTGTTTTCTGGCTGTTTTGTAGAATCTTTGTTCTTTTCTTCCTGTCTTGTTGTTTACCTCTGTGGTTTGGTGGTTTCAGTGGTTTTTAAGCTGTTTCCCATTGCCCTTTTTTGTTTGTGTATCTGCTTTTTAAAAAATTTTTTTATAGTTAACATGGAGCAAACTTAAAGAATATTGTAGTGATAGTAAGCTTTCTGAAGCTGATAGCCACAGAACTTTGGTAACATGTAAACATTCTAGACTTTTCCTCTATCCCCTACAATTTATATTTTTGTTGCCTTAATTTACCTCTTTATCTATTGTGGGTTTCTTAGGTACTAATTGCAGCTGTTGTTGTTTTTGATCATTTTTACTTTAAACCCTTATACTAAAGAATTCAGAGATTTACGTGGCACCATTACATCATTGGGGTATTCTAAGCTTGATTTACAAATTTATCTCTACTGGTGAGTTTTAAGCTTTCATGTGTTTTCATGATACTCACTATGATAATTTCATTATCAGTTGTTGTAGTTCAGTAAGCATTTCTTGTAAGGTCAGTCTAGTGGTGACGAATTCCTTCAGCATTTACTTGTCTGGGAAGGTCTTTATTATTACTTCATTTCTGAAAAATAGCTTTGTGCAAACATAGTATTCTTGGATAACAGGTTTTTTCTCCTGTTCTTTGAATATATCATTCTGTTTTCTCCTAGCCTTCAAGGTTTCTGCTGAGAATTCTAGTAGCTCAATTCATATTCCCTTATATGTTGGCTTTCTGCTTTTCTCCTGCAGCTTTTAGAAATCTCTCTTTGCCTTTGTCTCTTGAACATTTAATTATAATGCCCCCTGAAGAGAGTATGTTTGGATTGAATCTAATTGGGAATTTTTGAGCTTCCTGAATCTGGATGTCCACATATCTCCCAGTACTCAGAGTATTTTCTGCTATTATTTTTAAAAAATAGGGGTTCTGTGCTTTTCTCCATCATTTTCCTTCTGGAAATCCAGTAGTTCAAGAATTTGTTTAATTAATGTTATCCCTGTAAGTCCTTTAGGCTTTCTTTATTCTTATTTATTTTTTATCACACTGGATTATTGCAGAAGACCTGTCCTTGGGTATAGAAATTTTTTCTTCTGCTTGCTCTATTCTCTTATTGAAGCTTTCTGTTTATTTATTCAACTTTTTAGCTCAAATATTTAAGTTTGTTTTGTTAATCTATCTCTTTGTTGATTTTCTTATTGAGATTATTTTTTTTCTAATTTCATTGAAATATTTGTGTTCTCTCCTATTTCACTGAATTGCGTTATATAATTATATTGAATTCCTTTTGAGGCATGTTATAAATGTTTTTTTTTTTCCTTTGGGATCTTTTAAGGAAAATATTTTAAAAGTTTTAAATTCTTATTTTAGATTCAGGTGGTACATGTGCATTTTTGTTACAAGGGTATATTGTGTTGCTGAGGTGTAGCCTTCTATTGATCCTGTCACTCGGATAGTTAATATAGTACCCAATAAGTACTATATTAAACTTAATATAATAAAAACTTCATAAGAAGTTTTTCAGGCCTTGCCCTCATCCATCCCTCCTTTCTTTTGGAGTCCCCGGTGTCTACTGTTCCCGTCTTTATGTTCAGGTGAACCCATTTTAGCTCCCACTTATAAATGAGAGTATGTAATATACGATTTTCTGTTTCTATGTTAGTTTGCCAACTGCATCCATATTGATGCAAAAAAAGTAACTTTGTTTTTTATGGCTGCACAGTATTCTATGGTGTATATCAACCACATTTTACGTATACAATCCACTATTGATTGGCACCTAGGTTGATTACAAGCCTTTGCTATTGTGTACAATGCTGTCAACATACATGGGCATGTGACTTTTTGGTAGAACTATTTATTTTCTCATGGATATATACCTAGTAATGGGATTATTGGGCCAAATTGTAGTTCTACTTTACATTCTTTGAGAAATCTTTAAACCACTTTCCACAGGAGCTGAGAAACTTTACGTTATGACAAATTATGTATGAGCATTTTCTATCTGTTGCAACCCCACCATTTGTTATTTTTTGTCTTTTTAATAATAGCTGTTCTGACTGGTGTGAGATAGTATCTCATTGTGCTTTTTATTTAAATCTCTGTGATTAGTGAAGTTAGTCATTTTCTCATGTGTTTACTGGTCACTTGTATGTATTTTCTTTTTTTTGAGAAGTGTGTGCTCATCTCCATTGCACACTTTTTAATGGAATTGGGATTTTTTTCTTATTGATTTGTATGTCTGCCAGATTTTGGTATCAGGATGATACTAGTTTATAAAATGAATTATGGAGGAGTCTCTCCTCCTTGATTTTTAGGAATAGTTTCAATAGGATTAGTACCAGCTTTTCTCTGTATATTTGCTGGAATTTGGCTGTGAATCCATCTGATTCAAGGCATTTTTTTCAGTTAAAAGCATTTTCTTACTGATTCAGTTGTATTACTTGTAATTTGTCTCCTCGGTATTGCTGTTTCTTTTTGGTTCAATCTTGGTAGGTTGCATGTTTCCAGGAATTTATTGATTTCCTCTAGATTTTATAATTTGTGTGCATAGAGATTTTCATAGTAGTCTCTGAGGAACTTTTTTATTTTTGTGCGATCAGTTGTAATGTCTCCTTTGTTATTTCTGATTGTGCTTATTTGAACCTTCTCTCTTTTATTTTGTTAATCTAGCTAGTAGTCTATCAACCTTGTTTAGCCTTTCAAAAAACTAACCTTTTGTTTTATAGTTCTTTGCATGGTTTTGGGGGGGCCACAACTTCATTTAGTTTTGCTCTGCTTTTAGTTATTCCTTTGATTTTGCTAGCTTTGGATTCAGTTTTTTCATATTTTTCTAGTTCCTTTATGTGCAATCTTAGGTTATTAACTTGAGGTCTTTCTATCTTTTTCATGTAGGCATTTATTGCTATAAACTTCTCTGCTAAAACTAATTTCACCATATTCCAGGGGATGTTGTGTGTTGTGTCTCTGTTTTTGTTTGTTTCAAGAAACTTTTTGATTTTTGCCTCATTTTTGTTTTTTAACCCAAAGCCATTCAGGAGTAAGTTGTTTAGTTTTCACAAATTTGTATAGCTTTGAGATTCCTCTTGGTGTTAATTTCCATTTTCAATCCAGTGTGATCTATGAAGATGCTTATTATGATTTCTATTTTTTGAATTTACCGAGAATTACTTTATGACCAAGCACATGGTCAGTCTTCAAGTTTCATGTGCAGATGAGAGGAATGTATATTCTGGGATTGTTGGGTGGAGTATTCCTTAGATGTCTATTAGGTCTAATTGTTAAAATGTCAAATTTAATTCCAGAATGTTTTGGTTAGTTTTCTGTCTCAATGATCTGTCTCCTATGGTCATTATGTTATTTAAGTCTTCCACAATTATTATGTGGCCATCAGTGTCTTTTATTAGGTCTAGATCTAATTGTTTTATAAATTTGGGTGCTCCAACATTGGATGCATATACATTTAGAGTAGACACATCTTTTTGAATTGAACTCTTTGTCATTATTTTATCTGATACAAGAATAGGAAGCCCTGCTCTTTTTTGTTTTCCACTTGCATTATAGTTTTTTCTCCATCCCATTACTTTGAACTTATAGGTGTCATTACATGAGAGATAGATCTCTTGCAGACAGAATAAGAATGCATTTTTAAAATTCAACTTGCCATTCTATTTCTTTTAAATGGGGGCATTTATTCTGTTTATGTTCTAAGTTAATATTGATATGTGAGGTTTTATTCCTGGCATAGTGTTGTTAGCTAATTACTTTGTAGTCTCAATTTGTAGTTGCCTTATAGGGTGCTTGGTATACGTGCTTATGTGTGTCTTTGTGGTAGGAAGTATCATTATTTTGTTTCCATGTTTAGAACTCCCCTAAGCAATGCTCGTAAGTCTGGTCTGGTGGTGACAAATTCTCTTAGTGATTGCTTATCTGAGAAAGACTTTATTTCACCTTCATTGATGAAGCTTATTTTTGCAGGATATGAAATTTTTGACTGGTATTGCTTTTTTTTAAGGATGCTAAAGATGGGCTTCCATTCTTGTCTATCACATAAGGTTACTGCTCGGTAACTTTAAAATTTATTTTTTTTTTGCATGAACCTTGGATAGTCTGGTGAATATATGTCTTGGGGATGGTCATCTCGTATAGTATCTCAGAGTAGTTCTCTGGATTTCTTGTATCTGCTCCTTGACCTTTCTAGCAAGACAGGGGACATTTTCCTGAATTATATACTCAAATATATTCTTCAAGTTTCTTAATTTATCTTCTTCTCTCTCAAGAATGCCAATAAATAATATATTTTATTGCTTCACATAATCCCATAAATCTTGAAAGCGTTATTTTTAAAATTCCTTTTTTAAAATTTTTGTCCTACTGGGTTGATTCAAAGTCTCAAATCAAGAATAAGATTTGTATATTCTAAATGTGTATGCACCCAACATGCATATACAGAGTGTGTGATCTCTGAAATTATTTTTTCTGCTTGTTCTGTTCTGTTGTTAAAGCTTCCTAAAGTATTTCAAAATTCCTGTAGTGAAATTTTCAATTCTAGAAGTTCTGTTTATTTATTTCTTTATATAGCTATGTTGTGTTTCAGATCTTGGATCATTTATTTTTCTTTGTGTTTGGCTTCACCTTTCTCTTGGATCTAATTTAATTTCCTTGCCATCTATATTTTGAATTTTAAATCTGCCATTTCAGCCATTTCGTTCTGGTTAATATTTATTGCTTTGAAGCTAGTTGGATCCTTTGAAGGTGATAAAACATTCTGGATTTTTGTATTTCCAGAGTTCTTGCAGTGGCTCCTTCTGACCTGAGAAAGTTGAAGCTTCCAAATAATAATAATAATAATAATAATAATTAAAAAAACATTATCATATAGATGGGGCTTCCTGAATTTTTATTCTTTTTACCCTTGGGGATGTGACTATGATGTATATTGTGTATGATTAATTGGCTCTATTTCTGTGTGCTTTCAGGGTTCCAAGGTTTCATACTGATTTCTTGATTGTAGGTAAGTTCATGCAGTGGCTTTCTCAGATGTTGCTTGTTGTAACAATGTAATCATGTTTAATTGTGTAGGTTAGGCTGCAGTCCAGTAGGTGGCACTTAAGAGCAAGAGCCAGCAGGTAGAAATGGGTGCAGAGGCAATGGAGAGGTGTGAAAAGCTCCATTCCCCAGTGTGCATTAGCCTTCAGTGAGACCACTATAGAAACCTGAGAATGGGTCTCTTTTCAGTCCATGCGCCCTGGGCCCTGACAGGAAGAGCTGCTGCCAAATCCACAACAGTGCACTGAAGAGGGGGCAAGGGCAAGAGTTGACTTCCTCTCCACATCTGTTCCTGGGCCATGGTGGTGCGAACTTCAGCAGCCAGGTTCCCACATTTCCTTTGACTCAAGGGGGGCTTTGGCAAGCTGAATTACTCCCCTCACTTAGGGGCAGACCAGGCCAAGGGTTAGATCTCTGTTTCTGGATATTTTCAGTGGCAAAGAGTATGTATAAGTTTCTTGGTTATAGATAGCCTTTGTATGGAGGCTTTCTCAAATGCTGGTTGTAGTAGCAATGTCCTGGGTGTGTAAGCAGACTGAATACCTCCTGCGGGCCTGAGGTGAACCTCAGGAAGGCACCTTTTTCCTGTGAGCCTCAGGAAGCTCATCTGGCTCCCACTGCTGTATGCTTATGTCAGGGGATTTCCCATTGTGTCCCACTATTCAACCTCTATACCAGTAGGTGGGTCTCATGGGTAATAGCGAGCTGTGGCCAATGAAGATGGGTATTTACTTGATTCTTGTTTACTGGGAGAAGCTCACTGTTGCCTCAGGCAATGGGCTGATTCATGGAGTTCACAGTGGTCTGAGGTCCCTGCACAGGCCTGGATGGGCAACCAGGATGCGGGGGGTGGTGGGGGTGGTGACCAGCCTGGACAGGTCTGCCTGCAAATCCCACAATGGCAGAAACAAAAACCACTTCCAGAGATGTGGGCAGTCAACTGGTGGCCAGCAAGCACCCAGAAGTGTGCCTATGTGTGAAACTGATAACCTTTCTCTGCCCAAATGCTTGGTGCAGGAAGGGGGTCAGCCTAAACTAATACAGAAGAGGTGGTGTTCTAGATGCCTGGAAATCTGCCTGGACATTGATCATGGAGGGACCTGCTTCACCACAGTCTCTGCACAGGAAGGGTGAGGTGCCTCAGGCTACTGATCCAAGTAGGGGGGTGCTCCAAATGCCTGGAGATAAGCCTGGGCATGGAGCAGAGAGGACCCCACTTCACCACAATCTCTGCACAGAGAGAGTGGGATGGCTCAGCTGCTGATTTAGGTGAGCAGGTGCTTCAAATGCCTGAATATTTGCTTGTACATGAAGTAGAAGAGGGCCCTGATGCACCATTATCTATGCATAGGAAGGGTGGGGTGACTCAGGAGGCTTTTCTGGTCAATAGGGTGCTCAAAATTGCTGAAGATATTCTTGGAGTGGAGAAGAGAGGGCCCCTTTGCACCATAATGTCAGTAAGACACCCAACAATGACACATGCAGACAAGTCCCAGGCTGCCAAGCTGGCTTTGGCTGAGAGTCTTATTGCCAAGGAGAAACCACAGCTGCAGCAACTCTCTCCCCTCTCAAGACCTCTGATGGGGAAAAACGCAATTCCAGTACCTACTGCTGGGCAGTTTTCCATACTTGCCACCCAATTCTGGATATGGGGGCCCTTACCATGCTTCAGAGTGAGCACTGTAATTTCTGGCATAAGACTGAAATGACTGCACAGCCACGTCGCTGGGTAGCCAAGGAATTACTCTCTTTGTATGAGCCTGGATTAAAAATGGCGTCCTCCTCTCAGTCCCAGTTTCTTCCCTTCTCAGCATCTCAAAGCCTTCCCCAAGTTAGCTCCAGGGCTTGGGAGAAAGTGTTTCCCTTCAACAGGCCCTGGTGTGTGATGTTCCCTACCCTGTGTTTGGGGGCGAGGGGAGGGAACTTAGAGGATGCGTCAATAGGTGCAGCAAACCACCATGGCACATGTATACCTATGTAATAAGCCTGCACGTTCTACACATGTATCCTAGAACTTAAAGTAAAATTTAAAAAATTAAAAATAAAAATAAAAAAATAAAAAGTTATAGCCCAAGTTACATCTCCAGATAGGTCGCAGATGGAATATGGAGATAAACATAAAAATAAAATGTTAGAAGGAATAATAAAATGTTTTATTATTGTAAGTGAAAAAGAACACAAAACTCAGAAGTCATGTATAGAAACTGATTAATTTGACTGTACCAATTTTTTAAACTTTTAAATGACAAAATATATCAAAGAAACCTAGATAAAACTTTTGTCACATTTATAATAATGTTCAGTGTTCCTAAAAATCAATAATTAAAAGACAACCCAAAAGAAAAAAAAGTGGGAAAAGAAAATAAGCCAGCAACTCCTAGGAAAAATACAAACAGCCAAGAATCAATGGAAAGAAGCTCAATGTCCCAGTTAACCAGGAGATACAAATTAAGTGAACAAGAAAATTGTCGTTTTTTTTTTTTTAAAGGACTTCCCTTAGCCTGGATTGCACAGATCACTAGTGGAAAGGTAAGTCATAGAGGAAGACACTCTGCCCCTCTCACTAACAAGGGGATCACTCACTTTTATCAGCTGAACACTGTCATGGGGGTTGTTTGTCCACTTTTTCCTCCCCAGAATCTGTGGTGTCCTTTGCTATGCCAGTGGATTCTCACTTTCTTTTTTGAATTAAAGCTTACAGAACTGATCTTTACGTAGTATTCTGCTATTTCCAAGCAGCTGAGGCACACTAAAAGCTTTTAATCTGCTATCTTAAAAAAATACTGGAGACTTTTAGTTATCCTTGTGGAGTGTCATGTTTTCTTGCATTTTCATGTTTCTTCCCTCTTTATATTGGTATCTCTACAACTAGTAGAATATTTGCTTTTTCCAGTTTAATGTAGTATATTTGTAGGGAGAGACTTTTTCCCATACATGGGTCCTGAGTTGTTGGTTGGTTAGGTTGCATTGACTTTATTTCTGGGTTGACTCAGCAGTGTTGTCTCTGTGCAATTTCTTCAGCTGTAATCCCGATCAACAAAGTCTGCAATTGCCTCAGTTGCCTATGTTATGGTAGTTGGTGAAGGCAATGGCTAGTTTTGCTGTGGGTAGGGGCACCAGACTGGTTGTTGGGCCAGGTAGGTGCAGGCAGAGAGGGCAAAAGGGCCAGCTGTTTTTTGGGGAGGTAGGACTGCCCTCTTCTGGGACTCTGATGACATGAAAGTTATATTTTTTGTCATAGTCTCAAAAGTTCCTGAGAGTGTTCATTTTTTAATGTTTATTTTCTTGTTGCTGTTCATATTTATAATTTCTCTTGTTATTTTTTTCGAAATCACTATTTCCTCAAACTCATCCATTATGCAGCTGAGCTCAGCTACTGAAATATTCATTTTACTTATTGTGTTTCTCAGTTCTAAAATTTCCACTTGTTTCTACTTTATATTTTCTACTTTTTGAAACTTTCTGATTTTTTTCTGAGAATTCCTATTTCATCATTTATTTCAATCATGCTCACAATAACTCATTGCAGCATTTTTGTGGTTGCTTTAAAATTTTTGTCCGATAATTCTAACATCTCTGTCATCTTGATGTTGGCATTTATTGATTTTAGTTTTTCATTTAATTTGAGATCATCCTGGTTCTTGATATAATGAGTGATTATTTGATTGACGCTTATACATTTTAATATTTTGTTATGAGATACTGGATCTTATTTAGACCTTCTATTTAGCTGGGATTTTCTGACACCACTACAGCAGGAAAAGAGGGGAGCACTTTTCATTACTAAAAAGTAGAGATACAGATTTAGGTTCCCCACTTGGCTTCTACTGATACTTGAGTGGAGGGCTCCACATTACTACCTGGGGCACAGGTATTCTGGCTCCCCATACGATGTCCACTGACATTATGGAGGGATGCCCTCATTGCTGGCCAAATCAGAAATGCAATCCCATTCACAATTGACACAACAAATGGAAAACCATTCCATGCTCATGGATGGGAAGAATCATTATATCTGAAATCTAGGCAGAGGTTCCCAAACCTCAATTCTTGACTTCTGTGCACCTGCTGGCCCAATGCCACGTGGAAGCTGCCAAGGCTTGGGGCTTTCAACCTCTGAAACAACAGCCCAGGGTGTACCTTGGCCCCTTTTAGTCATGGCTGGAGTGGCTGGGACACAGGGCATCAAGTACCTAGACTGCACACAGGACAAGGACCCTGGGCTTGACCCATGAAACAATTTTCTCCTAGGCGTTTGGGCTTCTGATGGGAAGGGTTGCGTGAAGACCTCTGACATGCCCTGGAGACATTTTCCCTGTTGCCTTGGGGGTTAACATTCGGCTTCTCATTACTTATGCAAATTTCTGCAGCCAGCTTGAATTTCTCCTCAGAAAATGGATTTTTCTTTTCTATCATGCTGTAAGGCTGCAAATTTTTCAAACTTTTATGCTCTGCTGCCCTTATAAAACCAAATGCCTTAAACAGGACCCAGGTCACATTTTTAATGCTTTGCTGCTTAAAAATTTCTTCTGTCAGATACCCTAAGTCATCCCTCTCAAGTTCTAAGTTCTACAAATCTCTAGGGCAGGGGCAAAATGCCTCCAGTCTCTTTGCTAAAACATAACAAGAGTCACCATTGCTCCGGTTCCCAACAAGTTCCTCATCTCCATCTGAGACCACCTCAGCCTGGACTTTATTGTCCATATCATTCTGAGGCTTTTGGTCAAAGTCATTCAACAAGTCTCTAGGAAGTTCCAAACTTTCCCACATTTTTCTGTCTTTTTTTCTGAGCCCTTCAAATTGTTCCAATCTCTGCCTATTACTTAGTTCCAAAATCTCTTTCACATTTTTTGGTATGGCAGTGCCCCACTCTACTGGTACCAATTTACTGTATTCTTCCATTTTCATGCTGCTGATAAAGACATAACCCAAGACTAGGCAATTTACAACAGAAAGAGGTTTAATTGGACTTACAGTTCCATGTGGCTGGGGAAGTCTCACAATCATGATGGAAGGCGAGGAGGAACAAGACACGTCTTACATGGATGGCAGCTAGCAAAGACAGCTTGTGCAGAACTGCTCCCCCGTGACCCCCACCATAAGAACCATTAAATCTCATGAGACGTACTCACTATCATGAGAACAGCACAGGAAAGACCTGCCCCCATGATTCAATTACCTCCAACCTACTCCCTCCCACAACACATGAGAATTCAAGATGAGATTTGGGTGAGGACACAGCCAAACCATATCAGCAATTTATAGATTCAATACTATTCCTATAAAACTACTATTGACATTCTTCACAGAACTAGAGAAAAACTGTTTTAAAATTCATGTGGAACCATAAAAGAGCCCGAATAGCCAGAGCAATCCTAAGCAAAAAGAACAAAGTAGGAGGCACCACACTACCCGGCTTCAAACTATACTACAGGGCTACAGTAACCAAACAGCATAATACTGGTACAAAAATAGACACATACACCAATGAAACAGAGCAGAGAACCCAGAAATAAGACTGCACATGTACAACTATCTGATCTTCAACAAACCTACAAAAAACAAGCAATAGGGAAAGGATTCCCTATTCAATAAAAGGTGCTGGGAGAACTGGCTAGCCATATGGAGATGATTGAAACTGGACCCCTTCCTTACACTATATACAAAAATCAACTAAAAGTGGATTAAATACTTTAACGTAGAGCTCAAAACTGTAAAAACCCTGGAAGACAACCTAGGCAATACCATTTAGGACATAGGCACAGGCAAATATTTCATGACCAAGCACCAAAAGCAATTGCAACACAAGCAAAAATTGAGAAATGAAATCTAATTAAATTAAAGAGCTTCCGCACTGCAAAAGAAAGTATTAACAGAGTAAACAGACAACCTACAGAATAAGAGAAAATTTTTGCTCCTGGATTCATTGATTTTTTGAATGAACTTTTGTGTTTCTCTCTTCTTCAGTTTAGATCGAATAAGCTTGTTTCTTAATGGATACCAACATATGGAGGTTCCTTTTAATCTCTGCTAATAGTCAACTAGTTAAAATATGGGAATCGTTCACAAAAGTATACTCACCACAGGTTTGAACATGTTAATAGTCACCATTATAAATATAATATCTGTAATTCTTGTTATACTGCTTAATAAAAATGTCAATATTTATTTCATGTAGAAAAATACACTTAACACATGATGCTAGTGCTATTGTTGTATTGAAGAAATAACCAATGGAACATGTGACTTTTACTTCAGCAGGCAAATTTGTAATCTACAAGTTCCTCCTGTCGTTATTTTCCAAAGACGTACATTCTTCTATTATATATTTGGAAAGCATAGCAAATATATAATTGTGTATCAAGCACAATTGGGTAGCAATTACATATTAGCCACTCTTAATATAGTATTGAATTCACAGTGCATATGTATTATTGCAGGTTCTATTATTCTTTCATTTAATTGTTAATGGAAATGGAATTAAGAAATAATGCATGCTTGTTTTGACAGTGGCAGCTGTGATGATTAGTAAAATTGTAGTCAAGATAGATTTTATGGAAAAGCAATGAAATACACAATTACCTATTTCCTCAACTCAACCATTTTTTTTCTCGGATTGTTCTTCAGTGCTAGAATATCTTTACAGTGAAGTAGTGAAAATTGATGTAGATATAAAACATTTTGCATCAGGCCATTTTTGCATTGCTATAAAGAAGTACCTGATACTGGCTGATTTATAAGAAAACAGGTTTAATTGGCTCACAGTTCTGCAGGCTGTACAGGAAGTGTAATGTCATCTGCTTCTTGAGAGGTCTCAGTGAGATTTTACTCATAGTGGAAGGTGAAACAGGAGCAGGCACCTCAATGGCCAAAGCAGAAACAAGCGAAAGAGAGTGCACGAGGTGCCACACACTTTTTTTGTTTTATTTTTATTAAAATTATATTTTATTTTAAGTTCTGGGCACATGTGCAGGATGTGCAGGTTTGTTACATAGGTAACCGAGTGCTATGGTGGTTTGCTGCACCCATCAACCCATCACCTAGGTATTAAGCCCAGCATGCATTAGCTATTTTTCCTAATGCTCTCCCTGCCCCCACCACCCCCAAACAGGCCCCAGTGTGTGTTTTTTCCCCTCCCTGAGTCCATGTGTTCTCATTGTTCAGCTCTGTAAGTGAGAACAGTGTTTTGTTTTCCATTCCTGTGTTAGTTTGCTGAGGGTAATGGCTTCCGGCTCCATCCATGTCCCTGCAAAGGACATGATCTCAATCCTCTTTTTGGCTGCATAGTATTCCATGGTGTATATGTACCACATTTTCTTTATCCAGTCAATCATCGATGGGCTTTTGGGTTGATTTCATGTCTTTGTTATTGTCAATAGTGCTGCAATGTACATATGTGCATGTATGTACATATGTGCATGTATCTTTGTAATAGAATGATTTATATTCCTCTGGGTATATACACAGTAATGGGATTGCTGGGTCAAATGGTATTTCTGGTTCAATTGCCACACTGTCTTCCACAATGATAAAACTAATTTACATTCCCACCAACAGAGTAAAAGCACTCGTATTTCTCTGCAGCTTCACTGTCATCTGTTGTTTCTTGACATTTTAATAATCGCCATTCAGATTGGTGTGAGATGGTATCTCACTGTTGTTTTGATTTGCATTTCTCTAATAATCAGTGATATTGAGCTTTTTTTCATATGTTTGTTGGTGAGATAAATGTCTTCTTTTGAGAAGTGTCTGTTCATGTCCTTTGCCCACTTTTTAATGGGGTTGTTTGTTTTTCACTTGTAAATTGGTTAAGTCCTGTGTAGATACTGGATATTAGACCTTTGTCAGATGGATAGATTGAAAAAAATTTCTGTTTGCTCTGATGAGAGTTTCTTTTGCTGTGCAGAAGCCCTTTAGTTTAATGAGAACCCATTTGTTGATTTTTGCTTTTGTTGTAATTGCTTTGACATTTTTATCATGAAACCTTTGCCCGTGACTATGTCCTGACTGGTATTGCCTAGATTTTCTTTTAGGGATTTTATAGTTTAGGGTTTTACATTTAATTCTGTAATCCATCTTAATTATTGTGTAAGGTGTAAGACAGGGGTCCAGTTTTAATTTTATTCAGATACCTAGCCAGATCTCCCAGCACCATTTATTAAACAGGGATTCCTTTCCCCATTGTTTGTTTTTGTCAGGTTTGTCAAAGATCACACAGTTGTAGTTGTGTGGTCTTATTTCTGAGTTCTCTATTGTGTTCCATTAGTCTATGTTTCTCTTTCTGTACCAGTACCATGCTATTTTGATTACTGTAGCCTTGTAGTTTAGTTTAAAACCAGGTAGTGTGATGCCTCCAGCTTTGTTCTTTTTGCTTTGGATTATCTTGGCTATACAAGCTCTTTTTTGGTTCCGTATGAATTTTAAAATAATTTCTTCTAATTCTGTGAAGAATGCCAATGGTGGTTTAATGAGAATAGCATTGAATCTATACATTACTTTGGGTAGTATGGCCATTTTCACGACATTACTTCTTCCTATCCATGAGCATGGAATGTTTTTCCATTTGTTTGTGTCCTCTCTGATTTCCTTGAGCAGTGGTTTGTAGTTCTCCTGGAAGAGGTTCTTCACTTCCCTTGTTGGCTGTATTCCTAGGTATTTTATTGTCTTTGTAGCAATTGTCAATGGGAATTTATACAACATTTGGCACTCTGCTTATCTGTTGTTGGTGTATAGGAATGCTTTGCACTTTGATTTTGTATCCTGAGACATTGCTGAAGTTGCTTATCAACTTAAGAAGCTTTTGAATGAGATGGTGAGGTTTTCTAGACATAGGATCATGTCATCTGCAAACAAAGACAATTTGACTTTCTCTCTTCCTGTTTGAATACCCTTTATTTCTTTCTCTTGCCTGTTTGCCTTGGCCAGAACTCCCAAAACTATGTTGAATATGAGTGGTGAGCGAGGGCATCCTTTTCTTGTGCTAGTTTTCAAGGGAGATGTTTCCAGGTTTTGCATATTTCAGTATGATATTGGCTGTGGGTTTGCCATAAATGGCTCTTATTATTTTGAGGTATGCTCCTTCAATACCTAGGTTATTGAGAGTTTTTAACATTAAGGGTGGTTGAAATGTATTGAAGGCCTTTTCTGTGTCTGTGGAGATAAACATATGATTTCTGTCTTTAGTTCTGTTTATGTGATGAATTACATTTATTGGTTTGCATATGTTGAACTAGCCTTGCATCCCTGGGAAGAAGCCGACTTGATTGTGGTGGATAAGCCTTTTGATATGCTGCTGGGTTTGGTTCGCCAGTATTTTATTGAAGATTTTTGCATTGATGTTCATCAGGGATATTGGCCTGAAGTTTTTGTTGTTGTCGTAACTCTGCCAGGTTTTGGTATCAGGATGATGTTGAGCTCATAAAATGAGTTAGGGAGAAGTCCTTCCTTTTCAGTTGCTTGAAATAGTTTCAGAAGAAAGAGTATCAGCTCCTCTTTGTTCCTCTGGTAGACTACAGCTGTAAATCTGTCTGGTCCTAAGCATTCTTTTTTTGGTAGGCTTTTTACTACTGTCTCAATTTCAGAACTTGTTATTGGTCTGTTCAGAGATTCAATTTATTCCTGGTTCAGCCTTGGGAGGGTGTATGTGTCCAGGAATGTATTATTTCTTTTAGGTTTTCTAGTTTGTGTGCATAGATGTGTTTATAGTATTCTCTGATGGTAGTTTTTATTTATGTGGGGTCAGTGGTGATATCCCCTTTATCATTTTTTATTGTATCTATTTGATTCTTCTCTCTTTTCTTTTTCATTTTTCTAGCTAGTGATCTATGTATTTTATTATTTAAAGAAAAACAGCTCCTGGATTCTTTGATTTTTTGAAGGGTTTTTTTGTGTCTCTATTTCCTTCAGTTCTAATCTGTTATTGGTTATTTCCTGTCTTTTGCTAGCTTTGGGGTTTGTTTGCTCTTGGATCTGTAGCTTCTTTAGTTGTGATGTTAGGGTGTCAATTTGAGATATTTCTAGCTTTTTCATGTTAGCATTTAGTGTTATAAATTTCCCTCTTAACACTGCTTTAGCTGCATCCTAGAGATTCTGGTACATTGTCGCTTTGCTGTCATTAGTCTCAAAGAACTTTTTGATATCTGCTTGAATTTCATTATTTACACAGGAGTCATTCAAGAGCAGGTTGTTCAATTTCCATGTAGTTGTGTGGTTTTGAGTAAGTTTCCTAATCTTGAGTGCTAATTTGATTGTGATGTGTTCTGAGAGACTGTTTGTTATGATTTCAGTTCTTTTGCACTTGCTGAGGAGTGATTTACTTCCAATTATGTGATCAATTTTAGAGTAAGTGTCATGTGACACTGAGAATGTATATTCTGTTGTTTATAGGTGGAGAGTTTTGTAGAGACTTATTTAGGTCCACTTGATCCAGAGCTGAGTTCAAGTCCTGAATATCTTTGTTAATTTTCTGTCTTGATGATCTAATATTGATAGTAGGGTGTTAAAGTCACCCACTATTATTGTGTCAAGTCTAAGTCTCTTTGTAGGTCTCTAAGAACTTGTTTGATAAATTTGGGTGTTCCTTTATTGGGTGTGCTTATATTTAGGATAATTAGCTTTTCTTGTTGAATTGACCCCTTTACCATTATGCAATGACCTTCTTTGTCTTTTCTGATCTTTGTTGGTTTAAAGTCTGATATTTCAGAAACTATAATTGCTTCCCGTGCTTTTTTCTGTTTTCCATTTTTTTGGTAAATTTTCCTCCATCTCTCTATTTTGAGTTTATGTGTGTCTTTGTATGTTAGATGGGTCTCTTGAATACAACACAGTGATGGCTCTTGACTCTTTATCCAGCTTGCCATTCTGTGTCTTTTATTTGGGGTATTTAGCCTATTTAAATTTAAGGTTAATATTGTTATGTGTGAATTTGATCCTGTCATCTTAATGCTAGCTGGTTATTTTGCAGACTTGTTAATGTAGTTGCTTCATGGTGTCACTGGTCTATGTACTTCAGTGTGCTTTTCTAGTGGCTGATAATGGTTTTTCCTTTCCAATTTAGTGCTTCCTTCTGGGTCTCTTGCAAGGTAGGCCTGGTGGTGGCAAATTCCCTCAGCATTTTCTTGTCTGAAATAGGCTTTATTTCTCCTTTACTTATGAAGCTTAGTTTGGCTGAATATGAAATTCTGGGTTAGAAATTCTTTTCTTTAAGAATGTTGAATACTGGCCCCCAATCTCTTCTGGCTTGTAAAGTTTCCACTTAGATGTCTGCTGTAAGTCTGATAGATTTCCCTTTGTAGGTGGCCTGGCCTTTCTCTCTGGCTGCCTTTAAAATTTTTGCCTACATTTCTACCTTGGATAATCTAATAATTATGTGTCTTGGGGTTGATATTCTCATGTAGTATCTTAATGGGGTTCTCTGGATTTCTTGAATTTGAATATTGGCCTGTCTTGTTAGTTTGGGGGATTTCTCCTGGATTATATCCTGAAGTGTGTTTTCCAACTTGATTCTATTCTCCCTGTTTCTTTCAGGTACCTCAATCAGTTGTAGGTTCAGCCTTTTTACGTAATCTCATAATTCTTGAGGTTTGGTTTCTTTTCATTCTTTTATCTCTAATTTTGTATGCATGCCTTATTTCAGCCACATAGTCTTCAAACTCTGATATTCTTTTTTTCTGCTTGGTCTATTCAGCTATTGATACTTATGTTTGCATTGTGAAGTTCTCATGTTGTGGTTTTCAGCTAGACCAGGTCATTTATTTTCCTCCCTAAACTGTTTATTCTGGTTAACAGCTCCTGTAATGTTTTATTACAGTTCTTAGCTTCTTTGCAATTGGTTAGAATATTCTGCTTTAGCTCAGCAAAGTTTATTACCCATCTTCTGAAGCCTACTTCTGTTGATTCATCCATATCAGCCTTATACCAGTTCTGTGCCCTTGCTGGAGACATGTTGCCGTAATTTGAAGGAGAAGAGGCACTCTGGCTTTTTGAGTTTTCAGTGTTTTTGTGTTGATTCTTTTTCATCTTTATGGGTTTATCTACCTTTGATCTTTGAGGATGCTGACCTTTGGATGGGGTTTCATGGGGTCTTTTTCATTAACGTTGTTGTTGCTTTTTTTTTTTTTCAGCTAGGCCCCTCTTCTGTAGGGCTGCTACAGTTTGCTGGGGGCCCACTCCAGATCCTATTTGCCTGGGTGCCTTCCACCCCTGGAGGTATCACCAGTGGAGGCTGCAGAATAGCAAAGTTTGAAGCTTGCTCCTTACTCTGAGAGCTCTTTCACTGAGGGGTACCGATCTGATGCTGGCTGGAACACTCCTGTATGAGGTGTCTGGAGAACCCTGTTGGAGGGTCTTACCCAGTCAGGAGGGACGGGATCAAGGACCCACTTAAATAAGCAGCCTGATTGTCACTTGTCAGAGTGGGTGTGCTGCAATGGGGAGAGTCCTCCTTGTCTTGTCTGCCCTAACTCTTCAGAGCTGGCAGGCAGAAAAGACTAAGACTGCTCATCCATGATACTCTGGCTGCCCCTCCTCCTAGGGGTTTCCCTCAGGGAAATCAGAGACCTGTCCCTAAACTCCAGGCTGGGGATGCTGACAATCCCACAGGGAGCCTCTGCCCAGTGAGAAGGAATGGGTCAGGGTCCCGCTTAAAGAAGCAGTCTGGCCACAAACTGTCACAGCTGCTATTTTGCACTGTGCGGAATTGATCCTGGTCCAAACCACCCAGTCTCACTGGCACCAGCAGCAGGGGAAAGCTGCTGACTGGAATGGCTGTGATGGCAGCTGCCCCTGCCCCCAACGCCCCCCACCCCAGAACTGGGTCTTCTTAGGCAGTCTCCAGCATGCTGCACTGGCCAGTGGGGATTCCAAGCCAGTGGGTTTTAGCTTGTGGGTTCCGCGGGAGTGGGGCCTGCTGAGAGAAATTGCTTGGCTCCCTGGCTTCAGCCCCCTTCCCACGGATCTCCTGCCTCACCAGAGTTCTAGGTGCTGGAGTATGCAAAAAGTCCTGTATCTCAGTGCCTGCCCCAGCTGCTGCCCACCCAAGTAGCTGTGGTGACTCTGCACAGCTCTGTGCTTGGGACCCAAGGCCCTGGTGGCGTGGGCTCACTAGGGGACCTCCTGATCCACTGGTTGCAGAGATCAGTGGGCAAAGCATGGTTTTCAGGACATGGTAGCACAATCCCCCATCTCCTCCCTTGGCTGTGGGAGGGAGCTTCCTTTGCCCCATGCGGCTCCTGGGCTGGTCCTTGCTCCACCCTGTTTTTCCTTGCTCTCTGTGGGTGGTGCCAAC
This sequence comes from Homo sapiens, assembly GCF_000001405.40. NCBI lineage: Eukaryota > Metazoa > Chordata > Mammalia > Primates > Hominidae > Homo > Homo sapiens. The sequence continues at coordinate 126,151,316 of NC_000023.11, forward strand.
TGCCTAGTCAGTCCTGATGAGAGAACCTGGGTACCTCAATGGAAGATGCAGAATTCACTGGCTGTTTTTGTTATTCTAGGTGGTAGCCCGCAGACTGGAGCTACTTCTACTCAGTTATCTTGGCTGCTCCTCCCACACATTTTTAAACAACCAGATCTGGCAAAAATTAACTCACTATCAATACGACAGCACCAAGAGGATGGTGCTAATCCATTCATGACAAATCCACCCCCCTGATCCAATCACCTCTCTCCAGGCCCCACCTCCAACAATGGAGATTACAATTTCAATGTGAGATTTGGGTAAGGACAAATATCCATACTATATAACATGTATTCCCTTTATATTAATTGAATGGTTATGGCATAAATATTGTTCCAGTAGGTTTTAAGACCAATGACATAACATTTCATTAAGTCCAGCGTCAGAATTCTACCACCACAGCAAGGTTTGAATTCATTTTTGGCAACATGAAGCAAATTGAAAAATGTACACAGTCTATAAAAGAGCAAGCTAACTTCTATATTTAAAAAAATATAGAGTACTTACCACATGTGCATCACAAAATATTTTTTACAAGTGTATGTATTATAATATTTTTTGTTATACAAAATTTTTTCTAAGAACCTAATTGTTAAATTGGTAGAATACTGTCTTGGTCCATTTTTGCTACCATCATGAAATACCACAGACTGGGTAATTTATAAAGAACAGAAATTTATTTTATCACAGTTTTGGAGGCTAGGAAGCCCAAAGTCAAGGTGTTGGCAGGTTTGGCTGTCTGGTGAGGACTGTACACTTCTTCCAAGTTGGTGCCTTGTTGTCAGATCCTCTGGGAGGGGAGGAACACTGAGTATTTACATGACGGGAGACAAAAGAGAAAGTGAGTTGCATGAAGCCTCTTTTATAAGGGCCTTAATCCCATTTGCAAGGGAGGAACTCTTATGGCCTATAACCTCTTAAAGGCTCCATCCGTTAATACCTGAATTTTGGAAGGCACACATTTAAACCATAGCAAATACATACGTTGTGATATATTCATATAATAGATGATCTAGTGATTAAAATGAACTGCACAAATGCATACACATCATCAAGAATAGATCTCAAATGCACGAAAAAAGAACAAATTACTGAACAAGTTCAGCATATCATTTGTATAATTTTTTTAAGTGTACAACATTAATAAAAATCATTCTATATGTTATAGATGGAGACATACATGTGTACAACTGGACTCCAGATGCAACTCTGCATCATATTAGCTCTGTGTCCTTGGGCAAGTTGTTTACTCCTTTGTAGAATAGTCATTTGCAAAATGTAGGCTACTATGAGGATTAAATAAGTAAATGTTTGGAAAATGTTAATAACTATGCCAGGCACATGGTAAACACTATAAAAGTTTTGTTAAGAAACTATAAATATATAACAGTATAAAACTTGAAATAGACAGATACTCGCTGAAGTCTTAATGGTGACTGCTTGCCTCAAGACAGGTGAGAAGGAAACTTATGATGCTGAAAGGGGGCTTTAACTTTATACATGATTTTAGTTTCTTTCTTCATATAAAAAAGACTAAGTAATAGTTAATTCTAGATGGTAGAAACATGAGTTTTTGTTAAATTGCATGCATATTTTGTTATTTTAAATATTTCAAATGTCAGGAGCCACACTTACAGTTACGACTATAAAATATCTTCATCCTTAAAACTAAGTGTTAGACTAGATGACTTTTAAAGGGTTTTATAGATATACACAATTTCCTCATTTATTAGTCCTGCTCTTGGCCATATATTCTATGACACAAGCTAACAATAAAAGATAAACAAATTGTCAGATTGATGTACCATTTTTTTTCTCTAAAAGAAGTTTAATTGGCAGTCCAAATTCTGAAGAGTAGTTACTTATCCCATCTGACTTACCATAAGCCCTATGTAATGCACAGTATAGACATTGTACCATGATGGTTGACATTTACAATGCCAGACTAATTGCTTTCATCCGAGAAGCAACCCAAAATCTTGAGATAAAATGAAGGCTTGGTTTTTACATGGCTTTGAGTTTGTAAATTTTTAATTGTTTATTTATTTCTTTATTTTATTATTATTATACTTTAAGTTTTAGGGTACATGTGCACAATGTGCAGGTTAGTTACATATGTATACATGTGCCATGCTGGTGTGCTGCACCCATTAACTTGTCATTTAGCATTAGGTATATCTCCTAAAGCTATCCCTCCCCCCCCCCCACCCCACAACAGTCCCCAGAGTGTGATGTTCCCCTTCCTGTGTCCATGTGTTCTCATTGTTCAATTCCCACCTATGAGCAAGAATATGCGGTGTTTGGGTTTTTGTTCTTGCGACAGTTTACTGAGAATGATGATTTCCAATTTCATCCATGTCCCTACAAAGGACATGAACTCATCATTTTTTATGGCTGCATAGTATTCCATGGTGTATATGTGCCACATTTTCTTAATCCAGTCTATCATTGTTGGACATTTGCGTTGGTTCCAAGTCTTTGCTATTGTGAATAGTGCCGCAATAAACATACGTGTGCATGTGTCTTTATAGCAGCATGATGTATAGTCCTTTGGGTATATACCCAGTAATGGGATGGCTGGGTCAAATGGTATTTCTAGTTCTAGATCCCTGAGGAATCGCCACACTGACTTCCAGAATGGTTGAACTAGTTTACAGTCCCACCAACACTGTAAAAGTGTTCCTATTTCTCCACATCCTCTCCAGCACCTGTTGTTTCCTGACTTTTTAATGATTGCCATTCTAACTGGTGTGAGATGGTATCTCATTGTGGTTTTGATTTGCATTTCTCTGATGTCCAGTGATGGTGAGCATTTTTTCATGTGTTTTTTGGCTGCATAAATGTCTTCTTTTGAGAAGTGTCTGTTCATGTCCTTCGCCCACTTTTTGATGGGGTTGTTTTTTTTTCTTGTAAATTTGCTTGAGTTCATTGTAGATTCTGGATATTAGCCCTTTGTCAGATGAGTAGGTTGCGAAAATTTTCTCCCATTTTGTAGGTTGCCTGTTCACTCTGATGGTAGTTTCTTTTGCTGTGCAGAAGCTCTTCAGTTTAATTAGATCCCATTTGTCAATTTTGGCTTTCGTTGCCAACATTCAGATTCAGGAAATACAGAGAACGCCACAAAGATACTCCTCGAGAAGAGCAACTCCAAGACACATAATTGTCAGATTCACCAAAGTTGAAATGAAGGAAAAAATGTTAAGGGCAGCCAGAGAGAACGGTCGGGTTACCCACAAAGGGAAGCCCATCAGACTAACAGCGGATCTCTCAGCGGAAACGCTACAAGCCAGAAGAGAGTGGGGGCCTATATTCAACATTCTTAAAGAAAAGAATTTTCAACCCAGAATTTCATATCCAGCCAAACTAAGCTTCATAAGTGAAGGAGAAATAAAATACTTTACAGACAAGCAAGTGCTGAGAGATTTTGTCACCACCAGGCCTGCCCTAAAAGAGCTCCTGAAGGAAGGACTAAACATGGAAAGGAACAACCAGTACCAGCCACTGCAAAATCATGCCAAAATGTAAAGACCATCGAGACTAGGAAGAAACTGCATCAACTAACGAGTAAAATAACCAGCTAAAATCATAATGACAGGATTAAATTCACACATAACAATATTAACTTTAAATGTGAATGGACTAAATGCTCCAATTAAAAGACCCAGACTGGCAAATTGGATAAAGAGTCAAGACCCATCAGTGTGCTGTATTCAGGAAACCCATCTCACGTGCAGAGACACACATAGGCTCAAAATAAAAGGATGGAGGAAGATCTACCAAGCAAATGGAAAACAAAAAAAGGCAGGGGTTGCAATCCTAGTCTCTGATAAAACAGACTTTAAACCAACAAAGATCAAAAGAGACAAAGAAGATCATTACGTAACGGTAAAGGGATCAATTCAACAAGAAGAGCTAACTATCCTAAATATATATGCACCCAATACAGGAGCACCCAGATTCATAAAGCAAGTCCTGAGTGACCTACAAAGAGACTTAGACTCCCACACAATAATAATGGGAGACTTTAACACCCCACTCTCAACATTAGACAGATCAACGAGACAGAAGGCCAACAAGGATACCCAGGAATTGAACTCAGCTCTGCACCAAGCGGACCTAATAGACATCTACAGAACTCTCCACCCCAAATCAACAGAATATACATTTTTTTCAGCACCACACCACACCTATTCCAAAATTGACCACATACTGGGAAGTAAAGCTCTCCTCAGCAAATGTAAAAGAACAGAAATTATAACAAACTATCTCTCAGACCACAGTGCAATCACACTAGAATTCAGGATTAAGAATCTCACTCAAAACCGCTCAACTACGTGGAAACTGAACAACCTGGTCCTGAATGACTACTGGGTACATAACGAAATGAAGGCAGAAATAAAGATGTTCTTTGAAACCAACGAGAACAAAGACACAACATACCAGAATCTCTGGGACACATTCAAAGCAGTGTGTAGAGGGAAATTTATAGCACTAAATGCCCACAAGAATTTTTAATTGTTTAAATACACTTATTCATTACTCAATACTCAGCTCAGCAAATTGCAAAAAATACAACAATAACAGATGCACTAGGTGACTGTAGTACTTTGCCATTAGTTTGACTTGTGTTTTTCATTTTGAGATTGGGTAAGTCACCCACAGAATGTTATAAAGTAAAACCAAGAAGATTCAAGATTTTAATAAGACATTACCTTGAACTCCCTACATTGAAGATCATTTATCTCTGTCTAGATGCATGTGTTTATATATGTGAGCACTCATATAAAGATAGAGATCCCAGTAAGGAGGCATAAAATAAAATTGCTTTGTAGGTGAAGATAAAACACCAGCTACTACTACTACTGCTACACACACATACACCCACACACACATATGTATGAATGACACATTTATCATTATTAAATTGAGATTTTGAAAGTCAAATATGTATCTTTTTCTAATGTCCCTTCTAAGCAGAAGTTTCTGATGCTGTTATCATGTCTCTGCTCCAATGCTTATGGAATTGCCTTTTACAAAGGAGATTATTTCATCAATGATCTCAGTCTTTTATCTGATTCTATAAGAAATATATATTTGGCTTTCCAGAACAATATTATATTTTCGGTTTGCAAAGTCAGAACAGCTTGATGGGTTGAGGGCGGGAGTTTATTCTGTTACTTAATTGGTGATGCTGTCCACATGAGTCTAAATCACTGGTTTGAATGATTCTTTCTCAATGAATTGACTCATCTACTTCCAGCTACATCAACCAGCTATTATGGTGTGTGTCAATATTATGATTAATTACTGGATAAAACTAGTGAAAAGCAAGACAAATGAGCAATTTTAGGTGTTAAATCTATTTAGTTTTATATTCCAACTGTTTGAATATTTGTGACATTTAGTTGAAGACTCATACATTGATTTTAATCCTTTGTAAATGATAGTATCTAGCTTAAATAACTCCTCTGTATAACACTAGGGACGTATGGGCAGCAAATTTGCTTCCATGTACTAACAGTGCTCAAATTTTAATATTGACAACAGAAGAATTTATAAAGTATGTTTTCCACTCTCTGTTCCTACACACCCAAATATACATTTGCAGAGTTCTGAGTTATTATTTTTCTCTTTGTCTCCTATATATTATAAAACTAAGAGTCCCATTTTTTTCAAAGATTATATTAATATAGTGTTGGACTGGCTTTATTGTCAGCTCAGGACCTCAGAGATGGGAATGGATTTATGTGTTATAGCAATGACTGACTAAGAATACACCTTGGCCTATTTTACAACTAATACTGTCTCCCTCTCCACCTCTAGAATTATAGCGGGAATTTTGGAGTAGATAAGTTTAATGGACATTTTGGTGTCAAAACTCAAAATTATGTTAATATAATAAGCTTCAGGGAAGATGAATATCAAAAAAGGTGGAATTCTCTAGTGTTACCGGTTTTTCAAATTAGTTTCTGGCTGTGAATTGCTGGAGATATGTATCAGGAAATCTTAAAGAACAACATGGATTATTGAAATTGGTAGGTGTAGGTTCATGTCTTCTCTTTGCTCCACATTTGATTCAGGAAAATTTATTTCATTATAGTGCAGACCCTGTGATGCAGGACTTATATAGCTCTCACACTATTTCTCCAAAATCGACTTGTTTGAGTTGAGAAGAAAGAAAATCACAGACCTGTCAGATGTTCATGGGAAAAAGGGTTCCATGGTCAATCTTGAGAAACACTGTATTATTTATCCCCTTTTGGGGAGAAACAATGCAGCTGATCACAATTGCGATTACTCTGGCAAAAGACCTCCATGAACTTCCATATTGCATAAAGATAACATTTTCTCAGTTTTAGTCTATTTCAGCTCCATGCTACATTCAACACAATAAATCACACCTTTCTTCTCCCTCGTCTCTTTCCCATCCCAACCAGCCTTTTAAAATGTGTCTTCCCTGTTTCTCTTTTTCTTTTGTTTACTAAGGAAATGCATGTTATTTAGACTGTTTAAACATTATATAAATAGATTGAATATTAAGAAAGTCCACTGTTACTTTATCCCTTAGGGAAACATACTAATAATACTTTTGCATATATTCGTACATATGCTGTATGCTTCTTCCTCTCCTTCTTCTAGTATCTTAAACAAAAATGGAATTATAATATGCTTTTGGTTTGCAATATGCTTCTTTCACGTGACAGTAATATCAAGGACACTTCTAGTCAGTACATGAAGAACTAGCACCAGTATTTTAATAACTGTATAATAGTATTCCATTGTTTGGGTAAGTAGCCAACTAACCAAGCCCATTCATGGGCAGTCCTCTAGTGGTGCTTTCCACTTCAAAAACCACTTCTGGTATCAATTTTTGCTAAATCATAGCTTGGAGCCAGTGGGAGAAGTTCTCTATGAAGACTCGCTCCCATCTAAAAGGCAGCATTCTCACAGTCGTTTCTTAGGCTTGTGGTAACTCTACTAAGTTTTTTTTTTTAACATTTTACTTTTTATTTTATGTTTGGGGTACATATGTAGGTTTTTTTATACAGGCAGACAAGTTACTCGGGGGTTTGGTTTGCTGTACAGATTACTTCCTCGCCCAAGTACTAAACATAGTACTCTACTTTTATTTTTTTCTGAATCTCTTTCTTCTGCCACCCTCCACCTTCAAGTAGACCTCAGTGTCTGTTGTTCCTCTCTTTTTGTCCATGGGTCTTCATTATTTAGATCTAGCAATTCCACTACTGGGTATTTAGCCAAACGAATATAAGTTGTTCTATCATAAAGACACATGAATGCATATGTTCATTGCAGCACTATTCACAATAGTAAAGACATGGAATCAGTTTGAATGTCCATCAATGGTAGACTGAATAAATAAAATGTAGTACATGTACACTATGGAATACTATGAAACCATAAAAAGGAATGAGATCTACTCAGCTTTATCTGTCAAAGAGATCCTATCTACTTTCTGGTTTTCTAGAATGTTGTCATAATTTCTGATCTGATTATGGCACTTTTTCTTATTTATAGCACTGAAATGGAGTTTTTCAATTTAATTATTCTGTACTGTCATTTCCATAAGATTGTAAGAAGGAGATGTCTGCCATTTTGAACTACAAGATCCACGGACATTTTAAACTGACTAGTTTTGCATATAGCCACTGTCACCTTTGAGCTGGATTATTGCAGTAACCTACTAATGAACCCCGCTCTTTCTCTGTCTTTTCTCCTCTACAGTCTACAGTATGATATCTACAGAGCAACCAGATTTCCTTTTAACAATAAATTGCTTCTCAAAAACCCTCATTGGACTTTCAACTCATTCAGATTAAAATCCAAGGTTCTTATAACTGTCTACAGAGCTCTATATGATGTGGTCACCCATTATCTCTCTGACCCTACTCCTTTCTTTATTCATTTTATTCCAGCCATACTTATCTCCTTTCTGCTCCTGAAACATGCTAAGCATGATTCCACCTCAGGCCTCCGCACTTCTTTCTGATCACCTGGAACGCTCTTTTCTGATGTAGGTGCATGGCTTACTATGTCACTTGATCTCGGCTCAAATGTCAACTTATTAAACAGACTTTCACTAACCACTTTATTTAAAATTTCATCTCCCCCTGATTTTCTACCCCCTATTCTCTTTCGACTGATTTATTTATTAACATTGATAACCATCTTACATCCTATATACTTGTTGGTTTATCTGTTTATTGTCCCTCTCCTCAATGGACTGTAAGCCTTATGAGGACATGGCTTGCTTGTGTTGGTCGATGCAGCATTTTTATCTAGCAGCTAGAATAATGCGTGATATATGGTAAGCATTCAATAAATATTTGCTGAATGAGCAAAGAAGTGAAAATAGAAAAGCATTGATTTTTTAATATATTAATCTCAAAACTGAACATTGTACTACTATTTTATTTTTCCTAACCTTTTCCAGTTGCTTCTTCTAGAATTTATCATTTTTGCCATCATCTTTCATCTTCAAATAAATATAACTGTTTTCTATTTTCTAATATTTATATCTAATATTTTCTACTTTTTCTAATTGCTGTATCTGGAAATTTATAACAACATTAAATACTGGCGGTGATTTTAGGAGTCCTTGTTTGTTTCTTACCTTCACAGGAGTTTCTTTGATGTTAAGGATTCTGGTTGAAGTTTGAAACACAAAACACACACACACAAATGCACACATACACACACTTACCATATGAAGAATGTTTTCCCACATAGTTTACTAAGAATTTTACCAAAACAATAGAAGACTTTTATTAAATCATTTATTATAATTTAGTGATATGAGCATGTGTGTCTTCTCATTTGATTTATTATAATACATGGAAATAATAGATTTTTCAATAGTGAAGACTCCTTGAATTCAAGGAACTAGCTTTACTTTGTCATAGTATTTTGTGAACTAATGAATTTGATGGACTAATTTGGTGAACTAATGGATTTGGTGAACTAATGGATTACCTTCAGTGTTTTTAAAGGATAAGTTGCATTGATTTATACATGTGTGTCAAATCAGTCCCTTTTTATTTTCTGCAATTTTACTCAAATTTGTTAATATTTTGCTGGCCTACTATAAAGAAGGGTAAATTATTTTCTCTTTATGCTCGGAGGCACCTCACACTTAGATATTCCTTGACAATGTGAAATAATTTACTTATAAAATGATCAAATCTGTGTGTCTCTTATCTGTTTATGTGCGTGATATTCTTGGATTAAAAAGATAGACTTTAAAAAACTAATATTCACATTTCTAGAGTTAATGGTCTGATCTGGTTCCTTATTTCTTATTTGGAAGTTTAGTTATTTATATTTTCTGATGAGTTATTTCACTCAGATTTTACATTTACCTGTCTAATAAATCTGTGCTTGTAATTATTTCTTCTCTCTCACTTCTAATAATTTGCATTTGTGCTCTTTTATTGTAATCCTGTGGAAAGCAGTATCCTCCTCTGGACACCTCCTTTGCTTTTTGCAAGACTGGGAAAGTTGGCAGAGACCTACACTTGTGGTATTGAAGTGAGAACTTAAACAGGGGCTCGCAGCAGCTGCTGATGAGGTGATATTCCACTGCTGTGAGACTGTCAAGGATGCTGGTGCCAGCTGGGTGTTGGGAATACTGGATATGTCTCAGAACAGGAGAATAAGTGGTCCAGAAATAATTAACTCTGAAGCCCTGCTTTGTGAGCTAGGTCTGACTTTTCATTCTCCAAGATAAAACCAGCAGTTGAGCAATTCAAAAGCCTAATTAGTGGACCAATGTGGACAGTCTTAAGGAGTCGTAGGTAAATATTTAGGAAGATTATCTGGGAGAAAAGCTGTCCTTTACGGCTTTTAGGTGGAGACTCAAAATCGTTATAATTTTAGTATTAAAAGATATATTGTTGTCTCACGCTAAGGTCACAAAATTTGTGTAGAATAAGCCTCTATCATTCTCTACCATTTTCTTCCCCATCCCAGCTTTTTTTTTAAATTTCCTTTTATTTACTTATTTGTTTGTTTATTTATTTATTGAGACAGGGTCTCACTCTGTCACCCAGGCTGGGGTGCAGTGGCATGATCTCTACTCACTGCAACTTTAACCTCCTGGGCTCAAGTGATCCTCCCACTTCAGCCTCCCGAGGAGCTGAAACTACAGGCGCGTACCACTACACCCGGCCAAATTTTGTATTTTATGTAGAGATGAGGTTTCACCATTTTCCCCATCTTGCTCTGGAACTCCCGGGCTCGAGCAATCTGCCTACCTTAGCCTCCCAAAGTGCTAGGATTACAGGTGTGAGCCACTGAGGCAGGCTTTCTCTCTTTTCATTGTTTTAAAGATCCTTCATATGCTTTTCTCTTCTACTTTCCCCTGAAAGGACAAGATTTCCAGTGTTTCATAGCACTCACCTTCCCAGAAGTGAGAAATTGCATCCTGGGGTACACAGCCAATTCTTCACTGGGTATGTTCTCCTGATGTCACAGAGGCACCTCAAATTCAGTAAGTCCCAAGTTAAACTGATCATCCTCCCCCATACTATCTATGCCTATTTTCTTTATTTTTATTTGCTGTCAATATTCATTCACATTCAAGTCAGAGCCTGAGAGTCCACCTAATTTTTTTGGTTTTCCTCATCTTTCACATGAAATACTGTTTGTTCCTTTTATTTCCCCTCATTGTTTTGAATAACTTTCTCCCTCTCCACACTTACCCCACTATCCTAGTTCAGATTTTCGTGGTCTCCTTCTTGGATTTTCTTCAGTGACATCTCATACGTTGGGTATAACTTAAACTGGGTGCAACAGACCAGGGAAACCTACTAGGTCCAGCTAAGTATATAAGGAAAGTAGCTGTGTGTAATCCATTTCCAGGTACATGAGCCTGAATGGTGGGTACTCTCTTCCTTTAGCGTGGCAGCATTTTTACTGCTTGCCTTCATTTTCTTGTTCTTTGTTTCAGAACCCACTTGGTACTCTGACAACAAATTGAATTAACTCAGCCACAGTGGCTTAGAAAGAAAGGATCAAGATCAAGTAGATGTAAGATTGGCAAAGAGCACAGTTTGGTGACACACTGTTGGCATGGGTGTGGTAAAGCAGGTGTGCATCCATTACTTGTAGGAGGTTAAGGTGGTGAGAACTCCTTGGAAGATGATTTAGCAATGGCTATTAATATAAAATGAACTTACTCATTGAACCAGTAATTTCATTTCTCGGAATTATCCTGCAGATATATTTATGCTTGTACACAAAGATGTATACACTTAAGTAATCACTGCAGAATAGTTTACAGTAACAGAAAACCAGAACCAACATAAATGATCATCAAAGGTGTAATGAATAAGTCAAGTGTATTCCAATCACACAATAGAACAGCATGCAATAAAATTAAGTAGATAAGTATAAGAAAAAATCACTAAGATTTTGTGATTAAAAAGGCACAGATACATACAGTATGTTATTATTTGTATAAAAATTCCATACACACATACATGTGTTCTTGTATATATATAGACTAAATCTAAATATGTATATGCAAAAAATATACTAGTGCTAATCTATGGGCTGGAAACTAGAGACCCCGGGGTTTGAGATTTACTTTTAACTGTATACTTTTTATACTGTATGGTTTTTTGATCATGTGCTTGTATTAAAATTATTTTAAATTGGCATAAAACAAAACACAAATAAAGACCAAGTGGTAAGTCTTAATATGTGTAGTTCAATATATAAGAAATAGCTGCACATATAAAATGATATATATCTATGCTTTCTTCTCACATGGGAAGTAACATATACAAACAGATATACAAATATATTATATATGTAAGTAGTTATAAGTACATGTATATTTGTATAAATGAAAAATGGTTTGTTCAGTCAACTTTAAAAAACACTTAGCCATCCTAACTTACACCAAGTATATTTTCATAACGTATTCAAGATGTTGTTTAATCTTTTAACTTATAAGTTTCATTTTCAAAAAGAGATGTACAAAGTAATGTCTGCATAGCTAATGCTTCAGATTCAGCTTCTGTCCTGGAAAGTTTTGACTTTGATAAATACGTTCTCAGAAAGACAAATGAAAAAAGAAAGCATATATTTAAGTATTAAGAACTTAAGTCTGCCACTTAATTGCTAAGATGATGAACACATTTTATTTATTTTTCTGCAACACATCACATACTGGATCCAGAATTATCCATGTATACAGTAATAAAAAATCAACACCTACTCTGAGCACAACTGCCACAACTGGCTTTTCACTGTAAATAGCTACCTGAATTTAAAGAGATGTGTACCCCATATACCCCCAAAAATACCTCCCTGATTGCACTACCACATATATAGACCAGAATTGAGTAGTTCTGAAAATCTGTAGCATAGAAAAGCAGGCCATAATACAGCGGCTTTAAATAAGAACACGGAGGGCCTGAGGATAGTAAAGTTTTACTGAATAACCAAAAATGTTGATTAATAGTATGAACAACATTGTAAGATTTCTAACTAACAGAACATATTTTTAAAGCATTTTACACATCAACACTATACAAACAACAGACATTGAGTTTCCAACATCCAAATGAATCACGCCCTAGAATGGTGTGTGCCACACTCTAGAATGGTGGCAATCTAGAACCTGAACTGCATTTTGTAATTAGAGTAAGGCTATAAATGATGGGTAGTTCCTCAAAACAACCCCAAAGATGCTTTGTAGCTCACATTTCCCCAAAACACCACACATCTAACATGTGTAAAAGATCTGAACACTATTGCAATATTGATAAAACTAACGTACTGAATAGTAGTGAAGACTATGACTACATCAACCTAAAGAAGGAGGGTATGTGAATCACTGAAAGACAGAACACAATTAAGGTTTAGCCAAAACTCTTTGAATGAGAAGGCAAAAATATACTGCTGTTGGGAAACGTGAATGAGAGTTTTAAAGCCAAAGTTTTGACTGCCGAAAGGACCACTTGTGCTCTCTCGCTCCCGCTCTCTCTCTTTCTTTCTCTGCCTAATACATTAAGCACACGTAAGTTGGACTGGTTCCACCTGGAAGACAAAAGCCACACAAAGTTAAAAGCACAAATGCAGCATGAAGAAGGAAAGTCAGGCGGAACTGAAAGGTAAACCTGTGCACTTTGAGAACAAGGCGTCCATCCTTAACTCCAGAGGCCTGCGTAGTTCCCATGGAGGCCTGAAGGGAGAGGCCCCCCAGCCACAAAGAGCTTCATCTCCGGCCAGTTGTAGCAGTGGGTGTAGAGCGCATTGGGGAACTCTCCCATGCCACCAAAGTAGTTCACCCAGACGTCATCTTGGTTGAGCCAGCCTCTGCCGCAGGCAAGCTTGAGCTTCCTCCCTGCGGGCCCCGGCATGGAGTCCAGGCTGGAAGAGGCCCTCTCCTCCAGGAACTTCTGGGCGCGGATGTCATAGAAGAGCAGGGAACCATGGCCGGTGCCCACAGTGATGATGTGCTGGTAGAAGCTCAGCGACCGCACGCCTGTGCCACCCTCTCGAGAGCACAGGGGCCGGATGTTCTGCTGGCGCTGGCGCGGATCCAGGAAGGAGACGTGGGACTGAGAGCCCACAGCGTACAGGGACAACTCATCACAGTAGGTCAGGCACACATTCTCTCGGCAGTAGGGCAGCCTGATGGACAGGAGCCTGGATAGTGTGCTCCGGGCTTTCCACAGGTGGAAGTAGCCGTCCAAGGACACCGCTCCCAGCTCCTGGTTCTTGCCGCTGAAGGCCAGGGCCCGTACCTTGCGGTTGCTGGGGTTGGTGCTGGCCCTGGGGATGGCCTCCACATCCCTCGGACGGATGTGGGCATATACTGGGAGACCCACCTCGCTGTGCCAGGCAATGCTGCCATTAAACATGTCTGGGTCCATCCGCCACAGAGCCACGGTGCCGTCGCGGGAGCCGCTCACAGCTACGGTGTCACTCAGCCAGGCGACTGCGAAGATCCAGTCCTTGTGGCCATGGCGGTCGCCCAGGCACAGGGGGTCCAGGGTGGGCAGCTGGTAGATGGCCAGGCTGTTGGGGTTTTCGCCGCCGGTGGCCAGAAGCGTCTTGGAGGGATTCAGCTCGATGGCATGGATGCCGCAGCCCTGGTGGGCCTGGGCCAGCCCGGCCTCCTTGTCCCGCATGAGGGGGATGCGCGTGATGTGGCCTGACTGCACGTCCACCACAAACAGCGTATTACACTTGGTGCCGCACACCACCTGCCTGGCGTTCAGCCACTGTGACGCGAACACCTTGTTGAGGGTGCCCAGGTCCAGCTGGCGCTCCGTCAGCAGCTCGGGCAGCCTCTGGACGGCGTAGCCCCGCAGCTCGCCCTCGAAGCCCTGGAGCCCGGCTGGGCCCCGCGCTCCTACCTCCCGGCCCTTCAGATAGTGCACCAGCCTGCGACGCGTCGCCGGCCGCTTCTGCTTCTTGGGTAGCAGAGGCCCCTCTCCGTCCGCCGCCGCTAAACCCTGCGACGACGAGCTCCCGGCTCCCGCCTCGACCGCGGGCGCTTTCCGTTTCCTGCTACCTGTTTGCTGCTGGGCCATGGTGGGCGGCGGGCGATCTGCAGCAGCGGCGGCGGCGGCGGCGGCGGCGGCGGCGGCCCGGCGGCGGTGGCGGCGCGTGGCACCCGTGTTGGCCGTGGCGGCGGTGGTGGGGATGGCTGCGCTTCCGCGTCAGCCGAGAGCTCAGGATCTCTAAGACCAAGAAGCTGGTGCGATCGCGGGCGCCCAGACTTCAGTCTGAGGCTCGGCGGCGGCGGCGGCGGCAGCGGTCGTCCTGGCCAGAGATGCGCGGCCTGACGTAGCAGAGCCGGGGCGAAGCGCGGCGGCAAGGGCGGCAGTGGCGGTGCAGACCTAGGCGAGAGCGGGAAGAGTGTCTGTCTGGATGGCTGCGGGAGCGAAGTCAGTGTGGGGGGAGGACGACGCTGGGGCCCGAGTGTGAAGGGCGGAGGCAGTGGGAGGAGCTGCTGGGCTGGCGTGGGGTGCCTGCCGGGTAGCGGAGGCCGCGCGGGGTGGAGGCTGGAAGGGGGCGGAGGGGAGAAGGGGGTAGCGGAGCTGCAGGGGCAGAGTCGCGGAGGGCCAGCACCCTAGGTCCCCAGTATCAGACATGCGTTGTTTCGCTACCCTCAGGACAACAGCTAACTACCCTTCTTAAAATCCGTACTTCAGTAAAATCTGAAACCTAAGATATAATCAAGCACGGGGCTAGAAGGAGGCCGAGCCACGGTCTGCCTGGAGAAACCAGTGTGCGCTTGGTGTAATCTTGGGACACCCTTCGCTTAGATTATACATTGAATTTGGCAAGGGATCGGGTGCGGGGGTGGGGGGGTGTGGGGTTCAGCAGCGTCAGGGAGACCTCTACCCTCGTGTCAGACCTGCAGCTTCTCCAGTTTCAGCTCCTGGGTTGATGTCTTAAACAGTTTCCACCAAATAATTTTTTTCCCCTTCTCAAACTGAAGTCTTTGAGCACCTGAATCCCTGAGCATTTGAACTGCGTTCCAAATGCAGTTCCCTAGGCCCTGCTTTCCACCCGGGTGGTATCAGGGACCCTTTAGTCAGAAAGCAGCCTCAGGAGCATCCAGGGCTGCAGTGATGATAGGGGTGGAGACATGGGGGTGAGGGGTGAAGAGAAGGGTTTTTCTGTAAGGCATTGAGTTCTTTCGAACTCAGCCCAGGGCGGGTGGAGTGAAGGGGAAGAGGTCCAGGAGAGGGGTACCTCCCTCTCTCTCCTGGGACGGAAAGGTCAGCCCAAACTTTCAGTCATAGG
This sequence comes from Homo sapiens, assembly GCF_000001405.40. NCBI lineage: Eukaryota > Metazoa > Chordata > Mammalia > Primates > Hominidae > Homo > Homo sapiens. The sequence continues at coordinate 126,167,147 of NC_000023.11, forward strand.
AATCTTGGCAGAGCCCTCTCTTGGTGTGGGGGCCCCCTTGGGCATTGGTACAGTACTCAGAGGAATGCACAGGATTTCCACAGGCACAGATGATAAAGAACTTTGCAAAGTGACTAAATGGCAAAATGGTGAGAGTGTGGATATTCAAAGCATGAGTTTGGCAGTCTGAGAAGTTACATGATCCACACCTGCTCTAAAGCTTTAGGGCAGTCAATCCTAAAGCAAGCCCCCAATTCCACAGTAATACCTTGCACTGAAATGCTGGTGGCTGATACCAGGTCTGCACAGGCCCCAATCGTCCTCCACAAAAAAAGTCTTTGTTAAGCGTGTTTGCAGAAGTCAGGTGGTGAGTTAACTGTCCTTGATCAGAGATCATGAAAATACTTTGTTGCTGTTTCCCCCCAATTCTCCCTGCTCTTTTTACAAACTTATCTCAAACCCAGAAACTCCAAGTGCACCATGGATCCTTCACATCACTCCAGTCCAACTGTTGCACCTTAGTGCCCATCCTCCCCTTCTCTGCCTCAATATTCCTACCCATGTTTAGTGCTGTATCAAGAGGAGGGTGAGGGTGACGGATTGGGAGTAATCTGACAATGAAAAAAATGCTGACGATTTCATAATTGGAAGTGACATTACTAGAGAAAAACTGATCACAAATTTCTTTAACCTAACCTATCTTAAGGCTTTCTTTTCTTTTCTAAAAAATCTTGACTTAGAAAACTTGATATTATATAAGACTTCATGGCATATTTTTTACTGTTGCGGTAAATAAAATAGGCTCAAAATCTTAGGCTATTATCAGACTAGTTGGTCATATATAACATATGTATAACAAATTGGCTGAAATATGTATGTGTGTATATATATGGTTTATATATATTACATATATATGTGTATGTATATATGGGTTTTTCTCCACATAAACTTTTTTTAATTTGTGCAAATATATGGAGTACATGAGGAATTTTGTTACATGTATATATGCCTAGCGATCAGGTCAGAGTATTTAGGGTGTCCATCACCAGTGTACAATACATTTCTGTTAAGTATAGTCACCCTTTCCTGCTATCCAACATTGAGTTTATTCCTTCAGTCTTATTGTATGCCTGTACCCTTTAACCCTTTCTCTTCATCCTCCCCTCTCCCCACTACCCTTCCCAGTTTCCATTATCTATCTTTCCACTTTCTACCTGCATATGATCACATTTTTTAGCTCCCATATATAAGTGAAAATATGGAATATTTGTCTTTTTGTGCCTAGCTTATTTCACTTCAGATAATGATTTACAGTTTCATCCATGTTGCTGCAAATGACATGATTTCTTTCTTTTATGGTTGAGTAGTATTACATTGTGCATAAATACCACATTTGTAAAAGTAAATAATGCTTATAACAGCTATTATCTATTGAAAACTTATTCATATCATGGGCTGGAGGGATGTGTTAAATGCTTCAAATGCTAAATACTTTATGTACATTTGGCATCACAATAACTTTATAAGGTAGGTTCTATTTTTATTGCCCTGTTTTAAAATGAGGGAAATTGAGGCTCAGTAAAGGTAGTGACTCCCCCATTGTCACACAGCTAGTAAGTGATAAAGTCAAGATGTGAATCTCTGTGTGACTCTAATACTTTCATAACTTAAGACTACTTTATATTATTCAACAAACTTTTTTTGTTTCCTTCTCTTAAAAACCATGTAAACTACCTCTATTGTTGAAATTTTATACGCAATGTCTTCTGTGCTTCTTAAAGATAACCGGAAGTGATAAATAAATAAATACTGAATGCAAATGATGTACAACATTGTCCATATGATATTTAAAGGCAAATATATCATCTCTGGGACCTATTTTTTACACATTTCTTTTAATTAATACTTATGAGGTGCAGTAATATGTATTCACAAGTTTTTTTATGTTTGGTGAAAACATCCACATAAATCTCCACTTTTTGTTAATGTAAATATGTAATATTTAAATATAATAATATGTTTGTAGGGAGTGGTCAGATTACTATCATGTATTGATAAATGAGTTAGGTTAACTTCCTCTGGAATATTATACCTGAAACACATTTCTTTTACGCTAGGCTTTCAAATTTCTCTAAGCTCTTTAAAGCTGTACAAACAACTTCCAGACCAAAGGCAAGATATATTGAGAGATGTACAGTTTTGTATATGAACTTGCAATTTTGAACTTCCTTTGCATCTGGTTACTTCCATGTTCAGGAAAATACAATATCTGCTAATATATAACATCATAAATAGTGCATTTATTGTTGAAACAGTAGCTGCAATGGCATGTGATAAAAATGTCAGGTATCTGCATAGTTTTCTGAGTGTTGGGATCCCAATAAGGTACTTCTGTTACCTCTGAGGGCTGCTGTCTATGTGAGTGTGAATATTTTGTCAGTCCTTACCGAGATATTTCTGTGTTTATTATAGGTTTTTGCTTTGTATTAGACTAGCCTGTCTCCCTACCCTAGATTCCCCGCCATTGAATAGGGTCTTATATGAATGGCTTCAGGGCACTGTCTCATGCTGTTCTCTAATTACTTAATGTGTTTAAATTTTGTTATCCCAATCAGATTGTAAGCTCCTCAAAAGGTTACATGTTTCCTACTTATTTTGTACCATCACACCGTCCTAGGTAAGTAGTCAATGGTTTATGAAAACTTGGGATTTACTTGTTGATAAGTAAAGAGAACTAAAAGAGAGAAAAGAAATTGAAATATCCAACAAGTAGAAGATATTTTGAAATTAAATTACTTGAAATGGAGAAAGTGAGGGACTTGAATTGTAATAATGCCACATAACTTGTTTGAATTTACATAGATATCTATGCAGACCTATTTTGACCTACATATCTATATATACATAATTTCAAACAAGTTGTTGTATTATTAGCTATGCTTATTTATTTACATTTATATTTATATTTACATATGTTTCCTTGAACCATTGGATGATTTCATCAACTGTGTCTGTCCACTTTTCTAATCTATGAATGAAAAAATGAGATGTCTAGCCAATAACCAAAATAGATTAACAATTAAAAATTAAGGCAGAATATTTGTTACTTCCCTGTGGTATCATGAATATAAACTTGTTTCTAAATGTGTTTTAAATTATTTTTAAAGTGTTAGATTTTATGTCCAAAACTAAAATAATCTCAGGAAAAAGATACTGAAAGTTGAGAAAAAGGTGGGGCAATAGTAAGACGGGTGGATCAGTAACAAGTCTGTTTGAATAAATTCTAAAAGTGGCTTTCATATAATCAACAGAAAAATAGATGTTACAAATAAGGCCTTACAAATTGCAGCATATTTTCAGATATAGAGGCATTTGTGTTCAGAAATGTGATCATATAGTAATTTCCAATATGTTGTATATAGATATGAAACAAAGATGCCCTTAAAAGTATATTGTGACATCTTTCTTACATTTGTATGTATAGCATTTGCATTTTCTTTATCAGCAAGTATAAATATAAGACACTGAAAAAAGAAATATAGTTAATTAAGCTTGTTTTAAAATAACATCTGATAATGATATGGTTACTTATACCAGACACAAGACAAAATATTCTTGAATTATTAAATTGAATAAATTTTCCCTTAATCTCTAATTATAACACAGTCATAACATTTTCAAGTTGTGACCTTCTCAAGTCTCTTAAGATAAGCAGCTATGAACCTGGTTTGTGGTCAGATTATTCTTCCAAACTTCATGACGCAGAAAGTGATATAGATGACTCAGCAAGTTGTTTCGCCCTATGATGGCACAACTAAAGGCATATGCTGTCAGATGGGGTAAGATAGGAAAGATTTATCACATTATTACATTTACTATAAACAGAATTAGAGGAAAGGAGGCAATTTTGACCACATGACCTCTTCTATGCCCTACTCCTCTCCATATTTTCTAAGAGGAAGGAGTGTGTCAGAGTCCAAGCTTGGGCTTTGTTTTGTGAGAGGGTAGATTCAATGCTAGTTATATGTTTTGTGGGAGACACTACAGGCTAGTGGTTATGTGAATCGGCTCTGGAGCCAGATAACATATTTTGAATTCTGGTTCTAGGGCTTGCTGGCCTTGAAACTGGGCCAGTTATAATATTCCCTTTGCAATTATCCCCAGATTTTTTAAATGGGGATAATAATAGCACTTATTCCATGGGGTTTTGTTTTGATGGCTAAATGAGTTAATACATATATAACAATAAGAATAGTGCCTGGCAGATTATAAAGCACTTAATACATTTCTTAAAACTACCTTCCCTCCTTTCCACTACTTAACTTTACAAAGACAACTTGGTAGCAATGCTAATAGGGTTTTGTGAGTGTCCGCTGTATTGTGAAACACATATAAACACCATTATGAAAACTGGCACACATGGGGATAAATTATTTGTAGTAAGAGCTACTTGTCTGTTCACATACAGCTCATCAATGTCTATTTTGTTGCCAACCTAAAGATGAATATTAGTATGGGAAGAATGTATTGTAAGAATAACTTTACCGCATGCTAGTAGATCACCAAGTGGAAGTTGTAAGGTTTATTTTTTGAAGCAGCCAGACTTGGGTTCCTTTTGCAAATAATTGTCAATATAAATATCGACAAAGAACAAAGAACTGATCTTTTCTTAGATTTAGAGCATTTCTTATCAGTTGATAGTTGTGAAATTGGATAGACTGAAAATAGGCCATAGATAATGCTCCGATATTAGCTAGGTACATAAAAGAAGACCTGGAGGGAGATTATGTCCATAAAATTGATTGAGAAATCATTCTATTCCATGCTCTGAAATGTTTTAACCAGATATATATGCCTAGTTGCTATTTTCCCAACTTTCAATACCATCTTACTCCTAGCTTTAAATGCATAATATATGCCAAGCCATCTCAATTTTGTATCTCTATCCCAAACCTGTTTGTTCAACTTCCTGCTTGACATCTTGGCTACCAAAACAGAACTTCAAATTCAGACTGTATGAGCTCAAGTTATTGATTTCAGTCCCCATATACTTGAGCTTATATAGTTCCCTGTTTTAATGAATAGTATCGCCATCCATCCAGCTGTACAAACTGAAGTCCTAGCAACTATCCTTGACACACATTTTTTGTCTTCAGGTTCAATATTCCATCTTCTACCATTTCTCAAATTCATTTAATTCTCAGTATTTCCACAGCTACCATCCTTTCCCAAGCCACCTTCATAAGTGATTTTCCTAAAACTACGCTTTTCCTCCTCCATTCAATTATCCAGGCTGTACCCAGAGTAATGCTCGCAAAATACAGATCTGCCCATGTCACTAAAATGTTTTTAAAAAGATAATGTTTTCCTGTTGTCTTATGATAAAGACCAAAATCCTCAATGCAGCCTACCAGGCCCAGCATGATATGTGACTTATGTTCTACAGCCACATGTCAATTTTTTCTCATTACTTTTTTGATCCAGCCACACTGGCCCTTTTTCATTTCCTCACTGATGTGAAATAACTTCATGCCTCAAATCCCTTTTGCATGCTGTTCTCTCTGCATGAAATGCTTTCTCCCTGTAGGTCTTTCCACCTTTTGCCCCCACAACCTCCCGCCGCCCACAGATATCTTAGCTTGTTAACTCCTCATCCTTCAGATTTTAGGTCAAGTATCACTTTCTTAGGGAAACACTTCTTGACCACCCAGAATACATCAGATCTCTGTTCCCCCTATTATACATGGGAGGATTCTCATAATGTTATTTAATGGCATTTATCAGAAAGGAAATTTCGTAGTTATTCCTGTGATTCTTGGTTTAATGTCTATATCCACCAAACGTTTGAACAAACACTCCCCAAGGGCAAAAGTGATGTCCATTGTGCCCACTACTTATCTCCAGTGTCTAGAATGCCATAGAAATACTCAATTGATATTTGCTGAATAATTACTGAATGAAATTTTAAGGACCCTGATATTTTGTTCAAGTGGTACATCAAAACTCTTTACACTATTTGACAAACAACCTCTTAATTTAACACCGGTTGAAAAGGATAATTTTGCTCCCTTACATTTTAAAGTTTGTTAAATTGTTTACTCTTCAATTGTGATTTTCGTTGGATATATTCAAAATATAATATGCTCCATTTTTCCAAAAGGTTAACCCTGTATTCCTGCAAAAGTATGGATTGATTGATATGACAGACAGCTCCAGAAAAGATTTTGCAATTAGATTACAAGTACAATACTCTACTAATCAACCACTGCTGTGTTATCTTTTAGCTATGGAAACATCTGCTCCAAATGACAGAAATTTGCTTCCAGCTTTGGTCTATCATTGTTCTAAGGAAAAGCATCAGCCAAGACAGGGTAATATACGTTTAAAGTAGAACCTCAGCATTTAATGCTTATCTAAAATGGGCATTTTGATTTCATGTAATAATGAGAAGACTGCAACAGTCCCCCCCAAAAAACATTGTTTCAAGTAGCATCAAATAGTTATATGTTAGCTGTCCTTGTCTTTAATATAAAACTTAATGGTCTGATATTACTTTCTGATAGATTGAATCTTCCTGTGCTGTTACTATGTACAAAAAGTTTAGTGGCTATGCATATGTTGATGGCATGGTTTTACTGTCAAGAGCTAGAGTAGCTTCATTAACAAACTAGTGTCAAGAATGGCTCAATATTTTTATGTGAAATCCTGAAGTCATTGTTTTCGCCAATTATCTTCCAAAATTCAGCTGGCCAATTCTAAATTACTTCTAGCTACATGGTAACTTACTTAGTTATTTTCACAGGGTGAGAACATTTTGTAACTAATGCATCACAGGAAAAACAGTGGGAATCTACTGTTTTGTATCAAACTTCACATGGGTTTTCTACCTTCATGGAATGATCGATGATCATTTTGGGGGGCCAAATTCATCTATCCCATATTCTGTAAGAACTCAGGGGCCTGAGGGGAGCATTTGTCCAAGTACACAACAAGTAATCTAAATATGCTTCTTAAACCACAACTGGTTTTGCCTGCAGGTATTACCACATACTACACTGGTGAGAAAGCAGGATGCCGTTTCATCTGGATGAGAATAATGGTCAAGCTTCCAAGCTTTCATAATGTAGAACCTTACCACATTATAGAACAGTAGTTGATAATGTGAGCTTTAAAAATAAATAAATAAGTATGCGTTCTCAGTTCTCAGGCAATCTTTGTCTCACTTAACCTACTGAAAAATTAGCTTTTTAATCTATTAAAATTTTATACAAGCTTAGTAAATGATAGCTATTATTAGTATCTGGATTTTCCAAGCCTATGGACCTGCTCATAATTAACAATGTAGACTACCCTTCATTCTCATCAGAGAATGTAACCAAAATGCCTCTATCTGGGCATCCCTTTCCCCAGATTGTCCACCATCTCCTTGTTTGCCCAGCAAAGACATCCTCATCCTTCAAGTCTTATCTCAAACACTGCCTCCACTATGATAACTTATTTGACTCTGTCAGATAGGTTTAAGGGCATCTTCTTTTGTACAGTCTGTATATACTTCCCTTATAGCAATTAATATGCTTCATTACAGTCACTGGCTTGTCTTATTTTAAACTAACTGCAAGCCCTTTTGAGGTAGAAATATTTTAAAAAATATATTTGGATCCTCAGACCTAGCACAGTGCCTGACATACACATAGCCCATACACATTGAGTGAATGAACACTCAATGAATGAATAAATGAATTTGGCTTCTATCAAAACCCCTGTTAATAAAATATAATATTTAGCATTTTGAAAGTGAATTCACATACTCTCAGTTTTATTATTGAATCACCTGAGGTCACCAGAAGACTTGATCGTAGGATCAGATAATATTAGGACTTGCTGAATCAGTTTCACTCACTTGCACTTTCATTTTATGCTTTAAGCAGTTATCAAAGGTCATTAAAAATACCCCAGCAGCTATATGAATATTTCTTTTGCATTTATTGTAAATGTGTTATGAAGGGCACTGATCATCATATTGCTCAATGTCCCTTTTATACAATGTCACTCAGCAAATTAATTTTATAATCTAATTCCAAAAAGCTTTTCTCCCTTGTAATTATTATATTTCCTCCTTTCTGACTATGAGCTCTATATAGAAGTGCAGGCTATGAAGTCAGAAAGTCCTTGATTTGAACTTTGGCTCCACTTAGAGCTTCAGTTTTGTGACCCTGGACAAGACATTTTTTGAAACCTCAGTAACTTCATCTGTAAAATGAGGATTATAACTCCTACTCTCCATGGATGTATTGAAGATAGATATAATATCGAAGTGATCACAGAGTTCTGGCACATAATATATGCTGAGTATATAGTAAAAATAATTTCTTTTTTCGACCTGGCTGCTGGGAAGCACAAAGACAAATATAATAATAATAGCAACTACGTGAACTTTAACAGTTTTTCTCTTTCTTCATTCTAGTTTTCATTATTTTGAATTTTATTCTTAAAAGCCTCTTTAAGTAGTTGTGGAAATAAGGCATATAAAATTTGCAAATAGATTATTATCTGTGAAATCTCTACAAAAATGATCACCTTAGAAAGCCTGAAGTCCTAATTATCCTATGCAGGTGTAAAGTAGTAGGGAATATTGAGATGTAAGGCACAGAGAAAAACATGTAATATTTCAGTAAGTTTATCTCTCTTTTGTCCCATAATATCATAAATACCACCATTAGAGATCGTTGTAGGGATTCCTCTCCCATCTGGATTATTGGGGTGTAAACACACAGATATATATTAAAATATTATGTTAACTTTTTATCATCAAAATAAATGGGATCAAAGATAGGAAATGTTTCCTAGAGGACAAAGACCTGAAGAAGAGAGTAAAAGAAGGGAAGAAAATAGTTAAAATATTTTAGAAGGAAAATGGGGAGGAACAGAGAACACTGACTTTGCCTATATCTCAGTTTGTTTTAGGGAGACTTTATCATACTGTTCTCTGAAATGTAACTTAAAGAAGAAACAGCTGCTTTACAATATGTGCTCTAACTAAAAAGACCAACTATGGAACATGTATTTGAATTGCTCACTGATATGATTACAAACAAAATGAAGAAAGGTGGGCTAGATGCTAAGACAAGTAGGTAGATGAGAATTCAGATGATTAATGATTTTATTTTCTCAACAAAGACTTATTAAATGCCTGTGATGTGTTATGTAGGCATTAGAAAAAAGGAAATACAAAGATTAATATATTTAAAGTCTTTGCCTTCAATGAATTGTCATTCTCTTATGACAAAAAGACAAAATGGAAAGACCTAGAGAGTAGGCCAAACTTATTCACCACACACTTATTAAATACGTTCTATATGTCAGGACCTTTGCTAGCACCTGTGGGCATATTACATGATTATGTATTTTCTAAGTACATACTACATTATATATTATGCACATATAGTTGCATATATTTATGTTTATTATATATGTACATTTTATATTTTTGGTTATAACCTCCATTTGTTGATAACTTGTGCTGTGCTACAGGTTTTACATATAGTATCTCTACTCTAAACAATAAACCTCCATAATAGAGGGCATTCTTTTAACTTTACAGATTAAAACATTGAGATTTAATAAACTGAAATGTTTAATGAGTGGCAGGGCTAATATTCAAACCCAGGCCAGTGCCCTTTCCCCCATGACACTGTATCCACTACAATATTTTTTTCTCAGACTTTTGCCAATACTTAGATAGGGGATGAGCAGGACATGAGGATGGGATCAAATAAGCCAATATGCTATAGTCTCAATGCCTGACCACTGAATGATTTGAATAGCTCCCCCAAATCTGAATGGGTGAATGGAAACCTCAGCCAAGACATGGTTTCCAGCCTTGTCCTGCCAGCATCTTGCTAGATGTGGTAGGCAGCCTCTACGATGGTCTCCAATGATCCCTGCCTTCTGGTGTTAATGCCCTTCTTTAATCTCCTTCCCTTTTGTGTAGGTTAGACCAGTGACTTTATTCTAATCAATAGGATATGAAAAAAGTGATGGGATGTTACTTCTATGAGTAGGTTACAAAAGACTGTGACATCCATCGTGCTTTCTCTTGTTTTCTCACTGGCTTACTCTGAGATAAACCACCTTCCATGTTATAAGTTGCCTTACGTAGAGACTCAGATGGTAAAGAAATGATGTCAGCCAGTAGTCAGCAAGGACCCCAGGCCTGCCTGTGGTCACATCAGTGAGCTTGGAAGCCCCAGCTGACATCTTGGTTGCAGCCTGATGAAAGACCTTGAGCCACATTTTCCCATATAAGCTGTGCCCCAATTTTCTGATCAACAAAACTGTGATATAATAAATATTTGTTTTTGTCAGCCACTATCTTTTGGGGGTAATTTGCTCCACAACAATAAATAACATATACACCAGGAAAAAAATGTTTCCCAGATTTGTACAGAGTTGATTGTACCAAAATGATGACTAGAATGATGATGTAACACAGAGCAACAGCTACATGGATTGAGCTCTTGAGACATAAAACATTTACAGAGCATTTAATCAAGCACCAGACCTGGTGCCTTTAATCAAGCACCATCCATGACAATTTACAAGTTTTCGCAGCCAGTGAAGTAGCAAAATTTTGATTTGAACTCAACGGTGTGACTCTAGAGTGAACATTCTAAAACAGCTGTGTCTCTACTGTGCTATACAGTCTCAGTTTATTGCCTATAGGTTTGATAAGGGATTCTCTCTTAGTGTTTTAAAAATTGGGTTATTAAAATAATTTTTATCAAGTTTATAGATAAAATTAAACTGTGAATTATAATGAATATGAAACATAACAAAAATATCAATAGATTGGGGCAATGTTCAAAATTTAGCATGGTTACATTTAATGCAAATATGTGTTGTATCTGCATATTTAAAACATTTAGGAATAAAATAGAAGTGACATGGCTTTGCACTTAGAAACCCAAGTGGTCAAGTACTATGTGCTTGAATGGCTGGTATATATGAGGTATTCGATGAATATATGTTGAGTAAATGAATAAATCTCACATAGGAGATTCAAACATCAAATGGGTCATTTGAGTTATATAAATCGTAAAGCTCTTTTTTACTCTGAAAGTCTGTGATTAAGAGTGTAACTGAAAAATGCAGGTATGTTACATATAATTGTAAATCCTGCATTTAAGAATGTGAAGGCTACATTTGTAGCAGTAAAAATAAAAAGGCATACCTTATCTAACAATTACCATATTACAAAACAAATGATGACTATTAATCAACACAGTATACAGAATCAAAAATCATCAAAGTATGTTTTAATAAAGCATAAATTATTAGCTCAATTTTGGTAGTTTTGCAAATGGGGAGGCTATATAAAATAAGGAAACATTTTTTTTCTGTTAAATAAAATGATAGAAGAAGGTATAGATGAAAAGTTTTCTTATTTTTACTGGGTAGATGGTCTAGAAGCAGCAAGAAAAAAATCAGAATGAGATTTAACTTATTTAACTCTCATGAGTAAATATTGATGAACTCTGTCAAGATATTCAGAATCTATTAAGTGTGTAATAATATGCTAATTGTGTAGAGCATGTGAAAGAGTAACAAATAATGGCCTATGCTGTCAAAGAGCTTCTAATTATATCAGGATGATATGATGAAGTATGTTAACATTAAAAATAATTTTTAAAATGTATGATTATAATATTAAGTGCCAAATGGTATTTCTAGTTCTAGATCCCTGAGGAATCGCCACACTGACTTCCAGAATGGTTGAACTAGTTTACAGTCCCACCAACAGTGTAAAAGTCTTCCTATTTCTCCACATCCTCTCCAGCACCTGTTGTTTCCTGACTTTTTAATGATTGCCATTCTAACTGGTGTGAGATGGTATCTCATTGTGGTTTTGATTTGCATTTCTCTGATGGCCAGTGATGGTGAGCATTTTTTCATGTGTTTTTTGGCTACATAAATTTCTTCTTTTGAGAAGTGTCTGTTCATGTACTTCACCCACTTTTTGATGGGGTTGTTTTTTTCTTGTAAATTTGCTAGAAATACCATTTGACCCAGCCATCCCATTACCGGGTATATACCCAAAGGACTATAAATCATGCTGCTATAAAGACACATGCACACGTATGTTTATTGTGGCACTATTCACAATAGCGAAGACTTGGAACCAACCCAAATGCCCAACAATGATAGACTGGATTAAGAACATGTGGCACATATACACCATGGAATACTATGTAGCCATAAAAAATGATGAGTTCATGTCCTTTGTAGGGACATGGATGAAATTGGAAATCATCATTCTCAGTAAACTATGGCAAGGACAAAAAACCAAACACCGCATGTTCTCACTCATAGGTGGGAATTGAACAATGAGAACACATGGACACAGGAAGGGGAACATCACACTCTGGGGACTGTTGTGGGGTGGGGGGAGGGGAGCGGGATAGCATTAGGAGATATACCTAATGTTAAATGACGAGTTAATGGGTGCAGCGCACCAGCATGGCACATGTATACATATGTAACTAACCTGCACATTGTGCACATGTACCCTAAAACTTAAAGTATAATAATGATAAAATAAAAAAGAAAGTGCCAATATGTGGAGATATAAAGGAGACATAAAGTGTCTTATATGTGTAGGAGAGTTGGGAAGGTGATTACTTACTGCAGCCTGTGGCGTGGAGAGAAGAATTCATTGAGGATATGTGACCTTTTTGAACTTTGAAGTTTATTTGGATAATATGGGAAGCACAGTGGAGGAAAATATTCTAATTGAAGCAGAGTAATTGTGTTGTGGAAAAGTAGAAAATTGACTTGAAACTCAGTAAATGTAAACGATAATACTAACGATTTACTAACATTTAAAATTTTTCAACCTATTGAGTTGGTAAGTATTAATAACTAAAGCCTTATTCTGTGGTTGTAAAAAGATTTCCTAGGCAACTAGACTGACAGCTCTGACAGATTATACTGGTTATTTCAAAACCTTAACACCCTGCCTCTTTTTTGAACTGTGTATAAAGTTCTAGTTCACACAGTGAATTGGAAAAGAACTATTAAGTGTTTAAAATTTGGTTCTGCCTCTTCTCTTTGTACAAATTGGCATGTAGAAGAATAGAAAAAATGAACAAGGTAATAGTTGGAAACATATCATTGGTAACAAGAGACAAATCGAATTTTTTAGTTTAAAATACTCTAAACTTTGAAACTGCAAAATCTTTTGCACTTAAGTGAGCTATTTTTGCTCTCTGGCATACAATTTCCCTCTTCTGTTCCTGCTGAGCTTCAGAGACAGGTCAAAATAAATTTACAGTGATAAAATTAAGGGCTTAAACATGCTGTTCTTGTGTATGTTCATAAAGGCTTTTCTTCTACCTACTTTATTTGCTATGGAGTTTCTAATACTCTTGACTTGGTTGGTAGCAAAGCCATTCTATCACATAAGGTACAAAATTGTCACTTTGAAAGCCTAATAACTTTCTAAAGTATTACATCACAGACGATAGAGAATGAAATACTTTGTGGTTGTTAATGTCACTGAACATATGGAGTTAACCTATGCAAATGGAAACAACCCTCCTTTCTTCTTTAACTTTCCAGTCAAATAAAAACTTTTGCAAATTTTAGATGAAATCATGTTCTGAAATTTAAATCATGTGCTTTCATTGGCATGGGAAAAACTACTGACCTCCTTTAAGTACATAAAGAAGGGTGCCTCATGTTATTTGAAGATATTTTGGGTTTGGTTTTTAATGTGAGCCCTATGTGAACAAGGAACCTCGCCTGAGTGTGTTTTGAAAGTGGAGAGGGGTGCCAGATTCCAATTCTCCATTGGAGAGCTGGCAGGTTGCCCAACTCAATATCCTTCCACTGAGCAGAAAAATATTGATGTTCACAGAAGAAAAGAAATATGCATTTTAAGGTGTAAATAAAATGTGTCACTTTGTAAGCATTTAAGGAGTAAGAGGAATGAGATATTCCAGCTTATATTGACACATTGACACCAGCCATGGTCAAAAAGAAGATAGAATGTCGTAAGGTTTACTTACCGTGTTTCGAATGTTATTACTGGAAGTATATAAAGACAAGCATTATTTAATTTTGCAAACAAAAGTGTATCTACCAACAAAACAGTCAAGTAAGGTTAAAATATTTTATATTTACATTATATATATACATATTATGTGTATATTATATTGTATATGTGTGTGAATATATATGAGAGAGAGAAGACTTATTTGTCTTTTTTAGCTTTGTATTTTTTTATTATGGATTAATTTCATCCCCTCTGAAGTACTGACTCAGTGATTTGCAAAACTCAGAAAATAAAGGTAGGCAATTTCACAGAGTATTTTGTTTGCCTGACCAGATACACAGAGATGATTGGAACAAGTTAAAACTGTTGCATACATATACTATCATAAGTCTCAATTATATTTCCTGCAATGTGTAAATTAGCCCAAGATGCCACATTGAAGTTCAACTATCCACAAACCCTTTAGACCTTGGCAATTAACAGTCTTGACAACACTGTGTCATTAAGCAAAACTGGGGCAGGTGGTGACTCTCAGTATACATTCAATATGCAGCATGAATGAGTGAAAATATTGTAGCTCTTTGGGAGCATCTTTTACAGTCATATTGAGCTTTACTTGTCCATGAAGTTATTGCTTTTTCTTTTCATTTAATATTTTTAATTGATGTGTAATAATTGTACATATTTATGGGGTACAAAGTGATATTTTAATATGTATACAATGTATATGATCAATTTAGGGTAATTAACATATCCATCATCTCGAACATTTATCATTTCTCTGTGTTGAGCACATTTCAAATCCTCTCTTTTAGATGTTTAAAAATATACAATAAATTATTTTTAACTATAGTCAGTGTTATAGAATACTTAACTTACTTCTACTATCTAAACTATAATTTAATATTTGTTAACCAGCCTCTCAATATTTCCCCTTTCCATTCCCCTTTCCATCTTTTAACAACCAGTACTCTACTCGCTACATCTATAGGCACTTTTTTTTTTTTTGCTACTACCTATAAATGCATGTCTTTCTGTGCCTGGCTTATTTCATTCAACATAATGTCCTCCAGGCTTATCAATGTTTGCCCCAAATATCATTGTATTTGTATATCTTCTTTTGAGAAATGTCTCTTCAGATCATTTGCTCATTTTAAATCAGATTATTATTATTATTTTTTTTGCTGTTGAGTTCCTTGTATATTCTGTATATTAAACCTTTGTCAGATATATAGTTTGTAGATATTTTCTTCCATTCTGTGGGTTGTCTCCTCACTCTGTTGATTTGAGAGCATTGAAAAGTGATTCTATTAACAAATATTTTTAAGTTGATATGGAACTTTAAAAATGATGCAGTGATTAGAGAATCCATAAAGTAAGTCCCTTCTCCTGTCTTATGAATGATTGAGCTAATTCAGCATGCATATGCCTTTTTTTCTATGTGCCCACCATTCTATTTGATGCTCAATAAATACTTCTTGAATAAAGAATGAATGGATATTCTATTAGCTTCTTAAAGGAAGGAACCATGTCTTAAACATCTTTTGATCCTCAGAGACCAGAAGAATATTTGATACAAAGTAGACCATCAGCAAATGTTTAATCCACATGTATTCCAAAATAGAGAATAAATGTAAGAATATAACTTAAGCTTATCCTCCCTTATAAGCAAACCTCACACTGCAAAATACCTATTATCTTGAATTCTCAAATATCTGAGAAACTTCGGTTAGAGTTTAGCTATATGGTTAACATAACATTTCTATGTGAAATACAAAAATAGTAACAAAGGAAGCTTATAATACCCGAATAGCTTATTTATTTATCTATCTATTTTTTACGTAGCTAGGGAAAAAGCGAAGCCTTGGAGGGCAAGTAGACATTGGTTTAAATCCTGGCTACATCCACCAAGCCATAAACTGCAATCTGAGGTAAATTATTAAACTTTTCTGAATCTCTTTCCTTACATATAAAATGTGGCTAATAATATCCATCTCAGAAAATTAAATAAAAGATATAAAATTTCATTGTGTTATAAACAATTGGATAGAAAGCAGATAAAACAGAGTTTCTCAAATATTTTTTCTGAGTACTTTGCTTGATACTATCCATAATTTTGTGAGTATTGCTAAGATGTGCTTAACTAAAATTCAATTATCATCTGGAAAATGGATTTTGCTTTTCTGTAAGAATGCCTATACCATTGTCTAGAGACAAATTATAAGTTCAGGGATGGCACTATGTTTTAGTATTAAGATTATTGTGTTTGGAGGCAAAAGATCCATGTTAGAATCCTGGTTCATCTACATCCTAGCTCTGTGACTTTGGATAAGTAACTTCATCTCTCTGAGTTTTACATTCCACACCTTTAAAATAAGGATAATAAAACCTGCCTTACCTGCTTGTAAGGTTGATCTGAGAAACAAATGAGATAATGGATGTGAAAATACTTTGTAAAGTGCAAGCAGCATGAGTCTGCTAAGTATTTTTATTATTGCTTTCTCTATGTTAGATTTGTCTTGGTAGTTATGTTAATTGATTTGTCAGAACTATTAGTGGTTAAGATAATTTATTGAGAATAATGACAAAAATTGCTTAGTAAACACATCATCAACAATGATAAATTTTTATTTCAGTCTCTACTACAGAAATGATACATGCCCTTAAAAATTATATATATTTTTTATTTCCAAAGTCTCAAGATAGGAACAAAAACAACTTCAATTAGTGCAGGTTAATATGCATACTGCAAGGGTGGTAACACATAGTGAGATACTGGATTAAGAGAAATACTGTAACTGCAAATGTATCAGAGTGTTTCCCATTGACAATAAGGATTTTTCACGATCTCATCTGTTTCTTAGGCTAAGAAAGGCACTGAGTCAGATTTTCCCCTGCCATTAAACTTCCGTGTTAATATTTTATTAAATGGAATTGTAGTAGTTCCAAAATGTCAATATAAATAGCTTACTCTCAGGGAGTAGACTTTCTACTGGGAGAATCTGGCTAGTTCATTCACAATAAGAATACTTCAAGAATTAACCATTAAAATGTTTCATGAAGCATTTATGCACATGTATAACCATTGAGAAATGTCATACATAATGTCTTCAAACTTCAGCAATTTGTAAAAAAATCGAAGTATTAGTTCAAAATAGTTGTCGAACCAAAGAACCTTAATTTTGCGTATTGTTTGGCATAAATTGCTAGCACAAAGCCTCAGTTCATACTAAAATTTGAAATGATGTTTTGTTGCCAAGTAACATTATTTTTCTGATGACAGTTGCGTAAATGGTGGTTGTGGGGAGAAATGGAGTTTACAAAGGGATGGAACATGGTTAGTAATAGAGACATTTAATCAGTAAACTCTTACAACGAATAATTGAAAAATAAATCCTTATCTGTTGTAATAAGACTCTATATGTAGATGTGGGATTTGTGTGGGTGACAGAAAGATTGAAATCACTGGAAGCTTTCAGCCATGAAGGAGTTGTACATTGTGAACATTCAAATCAAGATCTTTCATCCACAGCAGAATGGCTTGTTACTTTGCACAAAGAACAATAAACTGGCACATAAGCAAAGTGAGTAATTTTTTTAAAGCACACTACTGCATGTATAACAATCATCACAACATATCTGTCAAGCACATCATGTATAAATACAAAGGGGATTTTAAAATAAATCTTTAAGCCAGAAAAGCAGGCTATGATGGTGATTCAGTGGTCTTTGCCTTATACTTGGGAAGTCAAATGGGTCCAAGAAATAGGTAATAAGAAAGACTGAAAAAATTACCTTGTACAAATTACTGTCCTTGTGGTGAACATGCAAAATGAAAAATATTACTGAAAGATGACTGCGTTTATTTACTGGGAGGAACAAAAGATTTGGGAGTTAGAATTTTTGAAAATCATTTTTCATCTTAATGAAGAGGCCTTGCTGATAATCAGTATGTGACACGCATACATTTTATTTTCTGTGGCTCTAAATGACTTACAGCTAATGGTACAAACAAAAATATATTTGATAAAACATGATAATTTTCTTTTTTTTGTTATACTTTAAGTTTTAGGGTACATGTGCACATTGTGCAGGTTAGTTACATATGTATACATGTGCCATGCTGGTGCGCTGCACCCACTAACTCGTCATCTAGCATTAGGTATATCTCCCAGTGCTATCCCTCCCCCCTCCCCCCACCCCACAACAGTCCCCAGAGTGTGATATTCCCCTTCCTGTGTCCATGTGATCTCATTGTTCAATTCCCACCTATGAGTGAGAATATGCGGCGTTTGGTTTTTTGTTCTTGTGATAGTTTACTGAGAATGATGATTTCCAATTTCATCCATGTCCCTACAAAGGACATGAACTCATCATTTTTTATGGCTGCATACTATTCCATGGTGTATATGTGCCACATTTTCTTAATCCAGTCTATCACTGATGGATATTTGGGTTGGTTCCAAGTCTTTGCTATTGTGAATAGTGCCGCAATAAACATACGTGTGCATGTGTCTTTATAGCAGCATGATTTATAGTCCTTTGGGTATATACCCAGTAATGGGATGGCTGGGTCAAATGGTATTTCCAGTTCTAGATCCCTGAGGAATCGCCACACTGACTTCCAGAATGGTTGAACTAGTTTACAGTCCCACCAACAGTGTAAAAGTGTTCCTATTTCTCCACATCCTCTCCAGCACCCATTGTTTCCTGACTTTTTAATGATTGCCATTCTAACTGGTGTGAGATGGTATCTCATTATGGTTTTGATTTGCATTTCTCTGATGGCCAGTGATGATGAGCATTTTTTCATGTGTTTTTTGGCTGCATAAATGTCTTCTTTTGAGAAGTGTCTGTTCATGTACTTCACCCACTTTTTGATGGGGTTGTTTGTTGTTTTTTTTTGTAAATTTGTTGGAGTTCATTGTAGATGCTGGATATTAGCCCTTTGTCAGATGAGTAGGTTGCGAAAATTTTCTCCCATTTTGTAGGTTGCCTGTTCACTCTGATGGTAGTTTCTTTTGCTGTGCAGAAGCTCTTTAGTTTAATTAGATCCCATTTGTCAATTTTGTCTTTTCTTGCCATTGCTTTTGGTGTTTTAGACATGAAGTCCTTGCCCATGCCTATGTCCTGAATGGTAATGCCTAGGTTTTCTTCCAGGGTTTTTATGGTTTTAGGTCTAACGTTTAAGTCTTTAATCCATCTTGAATTGATTTTTGTATAAGGTGTAAGGAAGGGATCCAGTTTCAGCTTTCTACATATGGCTAGCCAGTTTTCCCAGCACCATTTATTAAATAGGGAATCCTTTCCCCATTGCTTGTTTTTCTCAGGTTTGTCAAAGATCAGATAGTTGTAGATATGCGGCGTTATTTCTGAGGGCTCTGTTCTGTTCCATTGATCAATATCTCTGTTTTGCTACCAGTACCATGCTGTTTTGGTTACTGTAGCCTTGTAGTGTAGTTTGAAGTCAGGTAGTGTGATATCACCAGCTTTGTTCTTTTGGCTTAGGATTGACTTGGCGATGCGGGCTCTTTTTTGGTTCCATATGAACTTTAAAGTAGTTTTTTCCAATTCTGTGAAGAAAGTCATTGGTAGCTTGATGGGGATGGCATTGAATCTGTAAATTACCTTGGGCAGTATGGCCATTTTCACGATATTGATTCTTCCTACCCATGAGCATGGAATGTTCTTCCATTTGTTTGTATCCTCTTTTATTTCCTTGAGCAGTGGTTTGTAGTTCTCCTTGAAGAGGTCCTTCACATCCCTTGTAAGTTGGATTCCTAGGTATTTTATTCTCTTTGAAGCAATAGTGAATGGGAGTTCACTCATGATTTGGCTCTCTGTTTGTCTGTTGTTAGTGTATAAGAATGCTTGTGATTTTTGGACATTGATTTTGTATCCTGAGACTTTGCTGAAGTTGCTTATCAGCTTAAGGAGATTTTGGGCTGAGACAATGGGGTTTTCTAGATATACAATCATGTCGTCTGCAAACAGGGACAATTTGACTTCCTCTTTTCCTAATTGAATACCCTTTATTTCCTTCTCCTGCCTAATTGCCCTGGCCAGAACTTCCAACACTATGTTGAACAGGAGTGGTGAGAGAGGGCATCCCTGTCTTGTGCCTGTTTTCAAAGGGAACGCTTCCAGTTTTTGCCCATTCAGTATGATATAGGCTGTGGGTTTGTCATAGATAGCTCTTATTATTTTGAAATACGTCCCATCAATACCTAATTTATTGAGAGTTTTTAGCATGAAGCGTGGTTGAATTTTGTCAAAGGCTTTTTCTGCATCTATTGAGATAATCATGTGGTTTTTGTCTTTGGCTCTGTTTATATGCTGGATTACCTTTCTTGATTTGCATATATTGAACCAGCCTTGCATCCCAGGGATGAAGCCCACTTGATCATGGTGGATAAGCTTTTGGATGTGCTGCTGGATTCGTTTTGCCAGTATTTTATTGAGGATTTTTGCATCAATGTTCATCAAGGATATTGGTCTAAAATTCTCTTTTTTGGTTGTGTCTCTGCCAGGCTTTGTATCAGAATGATGCTGGCCTCATAAAATGAGTTAGGGAGGATTCCCTCTTTTTCTATTGATTGGAATAGTTTCAGAAGGAATGGTACCAGTTCCTCCTTGTACTTCTTGTAGAATTCAGCTGTGAATCCGTCTGGTCCTGGACTCTTTTTGGTTGGTAAGCTATTGATTATTGCCACAATTTCAGCTCCTGTTATTGGTCTATTCAGAGATTCAACTTCTTCCTGGTTTCGTCTTGGGAGAGTGTATGTGTCCAGGAATTTATCCATTTCTTCTAGATTTTCTAGTTTATTTGCGTAGAGGTGTTTGTAGTATTCTCTGATGGTAGTTTGTATTTCTGTGGGATCGGTGGTGATATCCCCTTTATCATTTTTTATTGCATCTGTTTGATTCATCTCTCTTTTTTTCTTTATTAGTCTTGCTAGCGGTCTATCAATTTTGTTGATCCTTTCAAAAAACCAGCTCCTGGATTCATTAATTTTTTGAAGGGTTTTTTGTGTCTCTATTTCCTTCAGTTCTGCTCTGATTTTAGTTATTTCTTGCCTTCTGCTAGCTTTTGAATGTGTTTGCTCTTGCTTTTCTAGTTCTTTTAATTGTGATGTTAGGGTGTCAATTTTGGATCTTTCCTGCTTTCTCTTGTGGGCATTTAGTGCTATAAATTTCCCTCTACACACTGCTTTGAATGCGTCCCAGAGATTCTGGTATGTTGTGTCTTTGTTCTCGTTGGTTTCAAAGAACATCTTTATTTCTGCCTTCATTTCGTTATGTACCCAGTAGTCATTCAGGAGCAGGTTGTTCAGTTTCCATGTAGTTGAGTGGTTTTGAGTGAGATTCTTAATCCTGAATTCTAGTGTGATTGCACCGTGGTCTGAGAGATAGTTTGTTATAATTTCTGTTCTTTTACATTTGCTGAGGAGAGCTTTACTTCCCAGTATGTGGTCAATTTTGGAATAGGTGTGGTGTGGTGCTGAAAAAAATGTATATTCTGTTGATTTGGGGTGGAGAGTTCTGTAGATGTCTATTAGGTCCGCTTGGTGCAGAGCGAGTTCAATTCCTGGGTATCCTTGTTGACTTTCTGTCTCGTTGATCTGTCTAATGTTGACAGTGGGGTGTTAAAGTCTCCCATTATTAATGTGTGGGAGTCTAAGTCTCTTTGTAGGTCACTCAGGACTTGCTTTCTGAACCTGGGTGCTCCTGTGCTGGGTGCATATATATTTAGGATAGTTAGCTCTTCTTTTTGAATTGATCCCTTTACCATTATGTAATGACCTTCTTTGTCTCTTTTGATCTTTGTTGGTTTAAAGTCTGTTTTATCAGAGAGTAGGATTGCAACCCCTGCCTTTTTTTGTTTTCCATTGGCTTGGTAGATCTTCCTCCATCCTTTTATTTTGAGCCTATGTGTGTCTCTGTACATGAGATGGGTTTCCTGAATACAGCACACTGATGGGTCTTGACTCTTTATCCAATTTGCCAGTCTGTGTCTTTTAATTGGAGCATTTAGTCCATTGACATTTAACGTTAATATTGTTATGTGTGAATTTGATCCTGTCATTATGATGTTAGCTGGTTATTTTGCTCGTTAGTTGATGCAGTTTCTTCCTAGTCTCAATGGTCTTTACATTTTGGCATGATTTTGCAGCAGCAGGTACCGGTTGTTCCTTTCCATGTTTAGTGCTTCCTTCAGGAGCTCTTGTAAGGCAGGCCTGGTGGTGACAAAATCTCTCAGCATTTGCTTGTCTGTAAATTATTTTATTTCTCCTTCACTTATGAAGCTGAGTTTGGCTGGATATGAAATTCTGGGTTGAATATTCTTTTCTTTAAGAATGTTGAATATTGGCCCCCACTCTCTTCTGGCTTGTAGGGTTTCTGCCGAGAGATCTGCTGTTAGTCTGATGGGCTTCCCTTTGAGGGTAACCCGACCTTTCTCTCTGGCTGCCCTTAACATTTTTTCCTTCATTTCAACTTTGGTGAATCTGACAATTATGTGTCTTGGAGTTGCTCTTCTTGAGGAGTATCTTTGTGGCGTTCTCTGTATTTCCTGAATCTGAATGTTGGCCTGCCTTGCTAGATTGGGGAAGTTCTCCTGGATAATATCCTGCAGAGTGTTTTCCAACTTGGTTCCATTCTCCCCGTCACTTTCAGGTACACCAAACAGACGTAGATTTGGTCTTTTCACATAGTCCCATATTTCTTGGAGGCTTTGCTCATTTCTTTTTATTCTTTTTTCTCTAAACTTCCCTTCTCGCTTCATTTCATTCATTTCATCTTCCATTGCTGATACCCTTTCTTCCAGTTGATCGCATCGGCTCCTGAGGCTTCTGCATTCTTCACATAGTTCTCGAGCCTTGGTTTTCAGCTCCATCAGCTCCTTTAAGCACTTCTCTGTATTAGTTATTGTAGTTATACATTCTTCTAAATTTTTTTGAAAGTTTTCAACTTCTTTGCCTTTGGTTTGAATGTCCTCCCGTATCTCAGAGTAATTTGATCGTCTGACGACTTCTTCTCTCAGCTCGTCAAAGTCATTCTCCATCCAGCTTTGTTCCGTTGCTGGTGAGGAACCGTGTTCCTTTGGAGGAGGAGAGGCGCTCTGCTTTTTAGAGTTTCCAGTTTTTCTGTTCTGTTTTTTCCCCATCTTTGTGGTTTTATCTACTTTTGGTCTTTGATGATGGTGATGTACAGATGGGTTTTTGGTGTGGATGTCCTTTCTGTTTGTTAGTTTTTCTTCTAACAGAGAGGACCCTCAGCTGCAGGTCTGTTGGAATACCCTGCCGTGTGAGGTGTCAGTGTGCCCCTGCTGGGGGGTGCCTCCGAATTAGGCTGCTTGGGGGTCAGGGGTCAGGGACCCACTTGAGGAGGCAGTCTGCCCATTCTCAGATCTCCAGCTGCGTGCTGGGAGAACCACTGCTCTCTTCAAAGCTGTCAGACAGGGACATTTAAGTCTGCAGAGGTTACTGCTGTCTTTTTGTTTGTCTGTGCCCTGCCCCCAGAGGTGGAGCCTACAGAGGCAGGCAGGCCTCCTTGAGCTGTGGTGGGCTCCACCAAGTTCCAGCTTCCCGGCTGCTTTGTTTACCTAATCAAGCCTGGGCAATGGCGGGCGCCCCTCCCCCAGCCTCGCTGCCACCCTGCAGTTTGATCTCAGACTGCTGTGCTAGCAATCAGCAAGACTCCGTGGGCGTAGGACCCTCCGAGCCAGGTGCGGGATATAATCTCCTGGTGCTCCGTTTTTTAAGCCGGTCTGAAAAGCGCAGTATTCGGGTGGGAGTGACCCAATTTTCCAGGTGCCATCAGTCACCCCTTTCTTTGACTCAGAAAGGGAACTCCCTGACCCCTTGCGCTTCCCGAGTGAGGCAATGCCTCGCCCTGCTTCGGCTCGGGCAAGGTGCGCGCACCCACTGACCTGCGCCCATTGTCTGGCACTCCCTAGTGAGATGAACCCGGTACCTCAGCTGGAAATGTAGAAATCACCTGTCTTCTGCGTCGCTCACGCTGGGAGCTGTAGACCGGAGCTGTAGACCGGAGCTGTTCCTATTCGGCCATCTTAAATGTTCCAACATGAGAATTTTCTTACCACAATTTTGAATGCACCTATATCTTTAGTTTTCCAATAAAAGGAAGTTAATGTTTTTTTGCCTTTGCTAGGATGCTGCAGAAGAATGTTTAGCTAAGTCAAAATGATGATGACAATAATAATAATATAATGGAGGCCCAAAGAAGGGTTTTTAATGGAATGAAAGGTCAGGATTTACAAAAATGGACTTGTGCTTTTAAAGACTCAAATATTTTTTATGTAAATTATATCAAAGACAGTTGCCAAAAGTTTTTCATATTTGAGGAATTCAATTATTCTTGAAAGAAACTAAACCTTTAATAGGTCAGTATATTTAATGTTTAATGGGTACGAAAGAAAATTTACTAGATAAATTTATTCAAACCTGGCCTCAAATTAAAATTTAACAAAGTCTCATTAAATTATTCCTGGGAAATCATGCTCACAATGAACAATTTTCATATAGTTTTAGTATACCTCACTTTCTTGAATTCTCTTTTTAATGAAAGTTATCGTGAATGTGCTCTCTCTCTCTCCACTGTCAAGCATGCTGACATACACACATTCACTCATACACATAGGTACAATAAACACAGTCAGGGACTCACACAGACACAATACACACACATGCCCCCCACACACATCTGGTGTCAAGAAAACCAATTACTGTGAGGATAATGCTTATAGCCTACATAATCCTTTTTCTATCCCAGTTCAAAAAGTTTCATATGCAAATTTAATAATCAGTGGCAGAATAACTTAGGAGGGTTATTATAAAATGATACATAAGAAAATTAAATAATCATAAATAGTAAACAGAAAATTAGATGTCAGTAAACTGCTTTTAAATTGATGACTGACTTCTGATATGAAAAGGCACATTTAAAATGCTTAAAAATAAAACACTTTGAGCATAAAGGACATAGTAAAAGTTCAATTAATAAGAACACTTGGGGAAAGAGGTAGTAATGAAGGTTTTGGGTTTTGTTTGTTGCTGTTTTTTGGGTTTTTTTGGTAGTTTGCTTTATTTTGTCTTGATTAGAATAAACTTCTTGTTTCAATCTCAGATGTTGAAGACTTTTCTAAATTCAATTGTCTATGTTCTTGTCTTGGTAAGGTATTATGGGCATAAAGTCATAAAATAATCATGTCATAAATGTAAATTTTTGCCTGATTATGTAATTATTTCATTATATAGAGAAGTATATTTTATGTCTTAGTTCTCATAGTACAAGAGTGTGGAGAAAATATAGTTTTCTATATTAGTTTTAAATTACTTTTACATATTAGTTTTATATAAAACAATAGATTTGTATATTCGTTCTCATAGAATAGTGTGGATAGAGAAAACATACTTCACAGAACTCTGGCTGGCACTTGAAAGCAGGTTTCTAAAACAAATTTCGATAGTGACTGGTTTCCTTTTCAATTCATTCTAAAAGAAAAAAAAAGAAAAGAAAATGCAAAGGAATTGACAAATTCTGATCCCTAAAGAACATAATCTAATATTATGGCTTAGGATTGACATCGCAATGCGGGCTCGTTTTTGGTTCCATATGAACTTTAAAGTAGTTTTTTCCAATTCTGTGAAGAAAGTCATTGATAGCTTAATGGGGATGGCATTGAATCTATAAATTACCTTGGGAAGTATGGCCATTTTCACGATATTGATTCTTCCTGCCCGTGAGCATGGAATGTTCTCCCATTTGTTTGTATCCTCTTTTATTTCATTGAGCAGTGGTTTGTAGTTCTCCTTGAAGAGCTCCTTCATGTCCCTTGTAAGTTGGATTCCTAGGTATTTAATCTCTTTGAAGCAATTGTGAATGGGAGTTCACTCATGATTTGGCTCTCTGTTTGTCTGTTATTGGTGTATAAGAATGCTTGTGATTTTTGCACATTGATTTTGTATCCTGAGACTTTGCTGAAGTTGCCTATCAGCTTAAGGAGATTTTGGGCTGAGATGATGGGGTTTTCTAGGTATACAATCATGTCATCTGCAAACAGGGACAAAGCTGGAGGCATCACGCTACCTGACTTCAAACTATACTACAAAGCTACAGTAACCAAAACAGCATGGTACTGGTACCAAAACAGAGATGTAGACCAATGGAACAGAACAGAGCCCTCTGAAATAATGCTGCATATCTACAACCATCTGATCTTTGACAAACCTGAGAAAAACAAGCAATGGGGAAAGGATTCCCTATTTAATAAATGGTGCTGGGAAAACTGGCTAGCCATATGTAGAAAGCTGAAACTGGATCCCTTCCTTACACCTTATACAAAAATTAATTCAAGATGGATTAAAGACTTACATGTTAGACCTAAAACCATAAAAACCCTACAAGAAAACCTAGGCAATACTATTCAGGACATAGGCATGGGCAAGGACTTCATGTCTAAAGCACCAAAAGCAATGGCAACAAAAGCCAAAATTGACAAATGGGATCTAATTAAACTAAAGAGCTTCTGCACAGCAAAAGAAACTACCATCAGAGTGAACAGACAACCCACAAAATGGGAGAACATTTTTGCAATATACTTATCTGACAAAGGGCTAATATCCAGAATCTACAATGAACTCAAACAAATTTACAAGAAAAAAACAACCCCATCAAAAAGTGGGCGAAGGATATGAACAGACACTTCTCAAAAGAAGACATTTATGCAGCCAAAAGACACATGAATAAATGCTCATCATCACTGGCCATCAGAGAAATGCAAATCAAAACCACAATGAGATACCATCTCACACCAGTTAGAATGGCGATCTTTAAAAAGTCAGGAAACAACAGGTGCTGGAGAGGATGTGGAGAAATAGGAAGACTTTTACACTGTTGGTGGGACTGTAAACTAGTTCAACCATTGTGGAAGTCAGTGTGGCGATTCCTCAGGGATCTAGAACTAGAAATACCATTTGACCCAGCCATCCCATTACCAGGTATATACCCAAAGGATTATAAATCATGCTGCTATAAAGACACATGCACACGTATGTTTATTGCGGCACTATTCACAATAGCAAAGACTTGGAACCAACCCAAATATCCATCAGTGATAGACTGGATTAAGAAAATGTGGCACATATACACCATGGAATACTATGCAGCCATAAAAAATGATGAGTTCATGTCCTTCGTCGGGACATAGATGAAGCCGGAAACCATCATTCTCAGCAAACTATCACAAGGACAAAAAACCAAACACCGCATGTTCTCACTCATAGGTGGGAATTGAACAATGAGAACACATGGGCACAGGAAGGGGAACATCACATACCAGGGCCTGTTGTGGGGTTGGGGGAGGGGGGCGGGATTGCATTAGGAGATATACCTAATGTTACATGACGAGTTACTGGGTTCAGCACACTAGCATGGCACATGTATACATATGTAACTAACCTGCACGTTGTGCACATGTACCCTAAAACTTAAAGTATAATAAAAAAAAAAAAGGTGTCCTTAAAGTTTGTTTTATCAAATGAACAAAGCTCATCATCCATTTGACATGTAGGGTAGTACTGATACTTGTTTCCAAGAGTAAAATAATTATGTCACTTTGCTTTCAGATTTAATTTGTTGTGGTGTTTGCATAATAGGGTTTTTGGAACATAAGACTGGGATCTGATACAATGTCACACAGCCATTTCTATATCCTTATACAATAAACAGATGTTTTTGGGCAATTTTGCTTAAAGTAGTAATTTTTTTACATTTAAAAGTATTAGGTAGATTTCCAATTCTTAATCTAGTATCCCTTAGCTAGTATTTCATATTACTTAATTTGTAAAAATTTACTGTTTTCCATTAATGATGACAATTAAGAAATAATATAATTTTGATACTGTGCATGTGGCAGTTCTAAAACATTATAGACCTTTGTTGGATGCATAGTTTGTGAATATTTTCTCTCATTCTTCAAGTTGTTTGTTTACTCTGTTGAAAGTTTATTTGGCTGTGCACAAGCTCTTTAGGGTGTAACTAGGTCTCACTCGTCAATTTTTGTTTTTGTTGCAATTGCTTTTGGGGTCTTAGCCAAAATTTCTTTGCCAAGGCCGATGTTAACAAAGGTATATCCTAGGCTTTCTTCTACAGCTTTTTAAAGTTTAAAATCATATATTTAAATCTTTAATGCATTTTGAGTTAATTTTTGCATATGGTGAAAAGTAAGGGTCCAGTTTCATTGCTTTCATCATTGCTTGTTTTTGTCGACTTCATTGAAGATCAGATGGTTGTAGTTGTGCAGCTTTATTTCTGAATGTTTTATTCTGTTCCATTGGTCTATGTGTCTGTTTTGTACCAGTACCATGCTACTTTGGTCACTATCACCTTACAGTATAGCTTGAAGTTGGGTAATGTGATGTCTCTGGCTTTTTTTCTTTTAGTTTAAGATTGCTTTGGTTATTCAGGGTCTTTTGGGGTTACATATGAATTTTAGAATAGTTTTTTTCTAATTCTGTGAAGAATGACATTGGCAGTTTGATAGGAATAAAATTGAATCTTTAAATTTCTTTGTGCAGTATGGCCATTTTAATGATATTGATTTTTCTAATCCATGAGCACGGAATGTTTTTCTATTTATTTGTGTCATATCCGATTTCTTTCAGCCGTGTTTTGTAATTCTCATTGTAGAGATCTTTCACCTCCTTGGTTAGCTGTATTCCTAGTTATTACATTTTTTGTGGATATTGTAAATGGGATTATGTAATATGCAGAATCAATAAGAAACTTACACAAATCAACAAGCAAAAACCAAAGAACCACAATAAAAAATGGGCAAAGGACATGAACAGACACTTCCCAAAAGAAGACAACAAACATATGAAAAGAAGATCACCATCCTAATCATCAGAGTAATGCAAATAAAAACCACAATGAGATGCCATCTCACACCAGTCACAAGGGCTATTATTAAAAAGTCAAAAAATACAACAGATGTCGACACGTTGCAGAGAAAAGGGAATGCTTATATAATGTTGGAGGCAATGTAAATTAGTTTAGCCACTGTGGAAAATAGTTTGGAGATTTCTCAAAGAACTTAAAACACAGCTACTATTTGACCTGGCAATCCTATTAGTAGTCATACTCCCAAAAGGAGAGAGATAATTATACCAAAAAGACACATGCATGTTCATGGCAGCACTATTCACAATGACAAAGATGTGCAATCAGTCTAGGTGCCCAACAATGATAGATTGGATAAATAAAATGTGGTTCATACACACGATGGAATACAAAAAGTAATGAAATCTTTTCCTTTGCAGCAACATGGATGGAACTGGAGGCCATAATCCTAAACAAATAAATGTAGAAACAGAAAATCAAATACTGCATGTTCTCACTTAAAAGTGGGAGCTGAACATTGAGCACGTGGCAACATAAACATGGGAACAATAGGCACCGCAGACTACTAGTGAGGGAAGTTAGGGAAGGGGGTGTGGGTTGAAAAACTACCTATTGGTTTCTATGTTGATATGGTTTGGATGTCCCACCCAAATATCATGTCGAAATGTAATCCCCAGTGTTGGAGGCGGGGCCTGTTGAGAGATGATTGGATCATGGAGGAGGATTTCTCATGAATAGCTTAGCATCATTCATTTAGCAACAGCACCCTAATGGTACTGTATTCATGATAGTGAGTGAGTTCTCATGAGATCTGGTCCTTTAAAAGAATATAGCACCTCCCTCCACTCTCTCCTGCTCCTGCTCTAGCCATGTGACATGCCTGTTCCCCCTTTGCCTTCTACCATAATTGTAAGTTTTTTTAAATACCTCCTCAGAAGCTGAGCAGATGCCATCATGCTTCCTGTGCAGCCTGCCTACAGAACCATGAGCCAATTAAACCCCTTTCCTTTATAAATTACCCACTCTCGGGTATTTATTTATAGCAATGTCAGAATGGACTAATACATATGCTCACTAGATCGGTGAAATATACCCATATAACAACCCTGCACATGTACCCCTGTATCTAAAATGAAAGTGGAAATTAAGAAAAAAAATAAATCAAAAAGGTTTTGATTAAATTGGCAATGTGGTAGTCATTTTAACATATTCTAAAAAAATTGGATAGTGGACTCATTTGCAAGATTATCCACACCATAATCTATGCACATGTTAATATTTGACTACCTAAATACAGATAATAATAGCACACTTATATAATGCTTACTATGTGCTAAGCATTGATCTAAGCACTTTACATTATTAAGTATCGCTTTGTGGATGAGGAATCTGAAGCAAAAACATTATATCACTTGCCTAAAGTCACTTGGCACCTAAGTGGTGAAAAGCAGATATTTCAACTTTAGAACCAGCACTGTTAACCAGTATACTGTACTGCTCTAATGGCTATCCACTTGAATTGAGGGAAGGAATATTAAAATGCTTCAGTTTTCAAGTATTCCAGCTGATACAAAGGATATTGGATCTTATCAAGGCTCTACAAATAACAAATGGCTTACCCTTGAACAAGTTGCATCAACCCTTTGAGCTTCAGTTTCATCATCCAGAAAATGGGGATATGAATATGGTAGTAAGTAAATTTCCTTCACTTTTACAATTTTATGTTTCTATGACTTTCCCAGAGTATAAAGAAGTGGGAATAAATGCATCATCTACTTACAATGTAGAGAAAAGAAAAAAAGACCATTGATTCTTAAATTCATTTTGATTTATGCCTTGCAAATGGATGTCCAGCAAGGTTATAAACAAACACTAGTTTCAAATGTTATGTTTTCCACTTAGAAAACATTCTGTCCTACATCTTTATTTGGATCACTCATACTGATGCTTTAAGACTTCTATCAACTTTTAACTCATTCAGGAAACCTTCCTTTTTCTTCAGGAAATATTCTTGTTTTATTGCCATATCACACACCAAGGGAGATGACCTTCATTTTAATTATATCTGTGCCTTTGTACTCTTCTTCCTGCTGTTCTATAAAACTCTGCATCTTTTTTTTTTTTTTTTTGCCTGGCTGTTTTCCACTCATTTTTTGATAGCTTAGGCATTATCTTTTCAAGTGTCTTTTCATTGGCTTAACCTCCCTGCCAAGGTGGGTTGAATCTCCCTCTTTAAGTTTCCAATACCATGTTGCAAAGATCTCTTTCAGAATGCTCAACAGATCGTATTCAAATGATATACATGCTTGGCTTCCTCAATAATTGTATGATCCAAGATGATAAAAGTCATGTTTTATTCATCCTATATCCCCAAACCTAGAGGCATTGCCTAGAATGAAATAAGTAATCAACACAAATTTGATAAACTTAACTTAAATGGTGATCTGTGGAAGACATAGACTCGGCGTTGTTCTTTACTTCATCCTAAAGAGAGGACAATGACATTGTATTTGTTTTTACCTTATAGAAAAATATGAGAATTAGTAAGACAAAGTACTAGTTTGAAGTCTTAAGACTAGGTGATATACAAAGAAGCAACACATAAACCAGCTACCATTATACCTCATAAACATCTGAGCAGTGATAACATTTCTGATAATAGTAAATTATATCGTATGAAGATGGATTTATTTTATGATAGAACAACTAAAAAGGTTACAGTGAACTTACAAGGTGAATCTCATTTAAGTTAACTTTTCAAAATAGAATAAAATAAATATTTATTTAAATAGAAAGTAGCATGGAATGCTGTTTGTTAAACTTTTCCCATTGGTGCTCTCAGCAGCTGTGATCTGGGGCTTAAATGAGAGTTAAATACACG
The DNA here is from genome assembly GCF_000001405.40 of Homo sapiens. Taxonomy (NCBI): domain Eukaryota; kingdom Metazoa; phylum Chordata; class Mammalia; order Primates; family Hominidae; genus Homo; species Homo sapiens. Next base: position 126,198,985 of record NC_000023.11, read on the forward strand.
AAAGAAGATGCTGATAAATTAATGATGAACATGGGCATAGCTCATTAACAGCCTCTTAAGTGGAAACTAGCATAAGAAAGAAAATTTAAACTTGAAAACATTTTATTGAAATCCTTAATTCCTATAAATATACAGTAAATCTTTTTTAAAAAGGACAATGGAACATTTCCTTGGCCCCTGTGAAGCATAATTATTCTCTCCCTTGCTCTCTCACTCCCTCCTTTCTATCATTTAAGAAGCACAGGCACTTTGATAGACCCTAAAGGGAGGGTTAAGATATAGAAATGAATAATATATAGTCTTTAAATCTTCTTGCACATGATGGGACTTATAGAGAGATCCAAAAGTATAGTTCAGTCTAAAACTAACAGGTTCAAAAAAATTCATAACGTTACCATTACTATAGACAAAGCTGTACTTGTTTATACATTGACAATTCAGAATTAATAAGGTATTTTTATTCTTTCATAAGTCAGTCCTAGTTGGTATGAATATAAGCATTTCATATCAGTTCATTTGGGAGTGATCTTTTGTTGCAAATAATTATGTATTCAAGTTTTTACTTTAATGAAAATATTATTAGAGACTACAAGGTAAAAGCATAGATACTTTTATGCTTTCCTTTCAAATGTGTATGTTTCATTGTGTTTGGATTTACAGACTGATACTGTATCTGTAAATGACATCTCTGATTATATCATTCCTCTGATATAGGCAGTTTTACTTAGTGAGACACAACACTGGAAAGAACTGTCAGACTAAGTATTTCAAAAAGGATGGATTAACAACAAGAGAGTTAAAGGACATTGTGATGGATTGGACAGAAAGCTGTTAAGTATGATCCCATGGTATAAGCAAATGTGGACATGGTGTTTTATGAGAATAACAATAAAATTGTGCACATTTTTAAAGAATAGCATTTTAGAATGTTGATTATACTCATCATTTCAGCACCAGAGCATCACAGAATCTCCATTAGTTAAAGAAGAAGATTCATTTTGTAATTCACATTACTATTTGAGGTATATCAGTAACATCAGTAATAGTTACCTTAGGCTACTGCAACAGCAAAGAAGGAAAAAAAAAGCCTACGTGGTTCATTTCATAAGAGAAGACATAGAGTCCTTGGAATTGAGATGCCACACTTGAACACATTTAGTGTTCAGCAAATAATTTCTGAATGTCACTGATCCTAGATCGTTTTTAAAAAGCTACTTCCCTTTACTTTGAATGATTTGTTATGCTGCATTTCATTACTTTTCTCCTTACTTTGTTCTTCTTTTGTTTTAAAATAAGTGACGAGATTTTCGGTGAAGATTAAGCACTAGCAGGCAGTAATGCAATGGCCCAAACACAGTTTTAATTGGAACCTCAAATCCTGTGAAAAAATAAGAAATTAAATCATTAATAAAATGCATTTCCCAGATGACACTATGTTGATATATGTTAAGAAACCTCCATTATTTTCTCCCATGAGATTCCTATAGCCATAATTGCAAAATGTAAAATTCACTAGTTGTGCCATATTAAGGTTATTTAATGAAATTCAGGCCCTTATAAAGTTTCAAGTATCAAACAATTAATAAAAAATCTATAGGAATTTTCCTTTTACAAAACATTAGCATTGTTATGTCAACATTAATCCTCATGTTTCCTTACAATGTTAACAGTACATATTTAGTATGTTGCTTAATGCAATCCTGGAAGTACTACAGAGATATTTCAATATGACCCAAGCAAAACTAAGGCACAATGTTAAATGATTCAAGCTGCCACATAGCTCAAAGTTTAGAAAGAAATGTCATATCTCTGGAAACTTGAAAAACTCTAATTACAAATGCTACGATTAAAGAAAATCATGAACACAACCTTCTAGTGAGTTATAGGCTATACCAGGCACATGACTACAGTGCACTATAAAACAAACGGAAGACACATTGAGGGGGATAAAAGATTTATGATCCTATCTAAAAGACCACTTCATTGTGCATTTGGTCAACTAACAATTATTAAGCAGCTCTGGACCCAGTTTTGCTTAAGAGTAATGCAAAAGTAGTATCTTGAAGAGCTTAAATCTAGTGGTGGGGATCAACTGCAAATTTAACAACTACGAATGGATCCATACATATTAATGAAGCTAGCAATGATTAACTGAGAAAGTAGCATTTTATTTTACTTTATAATTGCTTTACAATTGCAATTTCATATGTACTAAAGTATGCATATATTAGATACATATATTTCATGACATGTTATATAAATACATGCCACTTTTATGCGTCTCTTTTTACTATTCTGTAGCGAACATAAACAATGAAAAATGATATAGAGTATAAACCTTAAAAATTGTCTTTATTTCCCCTTGCCACACTGATTTAAAATGGTTATTTACTGGTAAACATTTAAGCAGAGAAATCTAAAGCCTGTACTAGTGGCATTTAAAAGGTTACATATTTCTTCAAGTGTATTCTATCAATTATAACCTGCTGTTGTATTGCATATATTCTGTCATATGTGAATGAGTAGATGTATCTAAAAGATTATCAACATGATTGCAACTCTCCTCTGCTTCTAGCTGTTATCTCTAACATATTATCTTAATATTATAACAGTATTTTGCATTTTGATAAACACATTCAGATTTACTTTCAACCAATACTTATTGATCATTCAAAATATTATAGGTGTCATGTAAAATAAAAATAAAAACATAAAATCAGACATGAATTCTCCCTTCAAGGTGCTTACAGTCAAGCAAGGGAGATGGCAATTCATTACTAAAAGAGAAGGTAGAATATGATGAGTATAATAAGAAGCATAGTGAGGAAAACGTTACAATAGAAGAAAAAAAGTTTGCTTTCACCTGTGAGGATCAAGGAAGGTTCTGTGAAAGATGTAGAATTTCTGCAGGTCTTTAAAGCTTTGAGCAATTAAAGACCAAACGACATATTTGGCAGACAGAAAACTGCATGGGAAAAGATGAAAAGGTACAGGAATAAAGGAAAGTGCAGGGCATATTTGGAAACTAGTAGGCAGCATTATTTAGCTAAATTATTTGATACATGTATTGTTGTAGTTGAGGTAGGTCCTGAAGGATAGACAGTGGAGACCTTTAAGTATAAGCCTTAGGAAGTAGAACTCCTTACTCTAGGTAATAAGACTCACTGAAGTTTTCCAGCAGGGAGTGATGTGATAGCATTTTGCTTTAGAAAAATTAATCTTTCAGAAGTATAAATGATAGATTTGAGAGTTTGAAATAGAAGCAGAAGGGAGGGTGTGGCGGCAATTAGGGAGCTTTTGTGATGGTCCATATGAGAGATATTACGGGTGTGAATTCAAGCAAAAGCAACACAAATGAAAAAGATAGAACAAATGTGAAAAATGCTTTCTGTAGGTACATCATGCAGACAACATGCTTCTAAAATGCTGAACCTGGAGAACTGGGAGTATAGCAGTATCATTAATAGTGATGGAAAATACAAAAATAAACTAGTAGTTTTGGTAAATAAGAGAATAGGAGGTAAATTTGGTTTATTTTAAATTTGTAGTGCTGGCAAAAGATGACCTGAAGCATGTGGAAAGGTATAACTGGTGTCCAGAGAGTTTTAGGCTGCATAAATAGATGTCAAAAGCATCTGCATTTATTCACACAATTAACATTTAATGAATACCTAATATATATGGGGTATTGAAAGTATAAAGGTAAATACTATACAGTCTCCTGCCTCAGGTAATTTTCTTATAGGAGAGAGAGACTAATCAAGAATTATAATTAAATATGGAAAGTTCAATAATTGTAGTTTGTATTAATGTAATTATACAAACAGGGAACCTGATATATCTTGACAGAGTCAAAGAACAAGTCTGAAAAGAAGCTGACACATGGCCTGAGTTTTAAAGGATGAGGAAATATTTGCCAGATGGAGGCGCAATATTTTAAATGGAAGTAACAAAAAGAGAAAAGATATGAAGGCAGTTAACAGTGTGGTGTGTGTGAAAATCTTACCAGTGTTTGCTGGAACAAAAAGGAAAATGTGGGAGGTGCAAAACCAAATGTAGTTTAGGATTAATAAGTACACATTTTTGAAAACCAAAATAAGACACGGATTTATTTAGAAGTCAATGGAAAACAAATGAAAGCTTTTGTATACAAGGGTGATTTGATTAGATTTGTTTTAAAATATTAATACTGTAGAGGAATGTAGGATTAATTAGAGTGGGGGGAGATTGTAGATGGAGAAAATAGGAATCTACTTCTAAATTCCAAATAAAAATGAGGAGGACCTTAAACGAAGATATTAATGGTATAAATAATGAAAATAGGGGACAGGTCAAAATTATATTATAGAGGGGGGATTGACTAGAGTTGATTGCTATGATGTGGTGGGAAATCACAATCATACAGTTTATAACCACATTGTTTAAATTACTTTTTTCTATACATCTTCCATGTAGGTTACACAACACATCTGACTACCAATTGACCTGAATCAGCCTCTCTTGCTAAACAAATACTGTATTAGGTCTAAAAATAATTCCTCACCATAGTTATTGTCGACATGTGTATAGCTGTGACAGAATCATAGTTTACTTAGAATTCATGAAGAAATGTTTGTAAGTACAAAGTACTTTTTTCTTTCTTATTTCTTCTTTTGGTTTACTGTCATTTGCAGAACTTAGGAGAGTTGGCTTTAAGCAACATTGTGCTTAATTCCCCTATTGTTCCATAGACTGAGTCTAAATGGAATTCACTTTCAAATTTACTTGTTTTATCCAAGTCATAATTGCTTGACCTGTGAATCAAAAAAGTTGGCTATGATATACAATTAATGATTTCGTCTTGTATTTATGTGTATTTCTTTCGAAAGACCATTTAAAATAGTAAAATAGTGTACATGATCATTCAATCTCCATCCCCCTCTCAATATGTACATATATAATGAATAATAGACTCACAGTAGCACACAATTTATCCATATTTATTGGGAATCACTGGAAATTAAGGCATTTTTCCATGTTGAAGTTTTCCATGTTTTCTCTCTTTTTTAAAAAATGAATTGGTACATAATAATTGCGCATATATATGGGGTAGAGTGTAATGTTGCAATACATGTGTAAACTCTGTAATAATAAAATGAGGATAATTAGCATATTTATATCCTTAAACATTATTTCTTTGTGTTGGGAATATCCCATATCTTCTCTTCTAGCTATTTAAAAATATAAACTACATTATAGTTAACTATATTCATCTGACTGTTTCATGCAATGAAACTCCAGAATTTATTCTTCCTATCTAACTGTGACATCGTGCTCATTGACCAGCCTTTCCCCATCCTTCTCCCTATGATATGGTTTGGCTCTGTGTCCCCATCCAAATCTCACGTCGAATTGTAATCCCCACGTGTTGGGGGACAGGCCCAGTGGGAGGTGATTAATCATAGGGGCGGTTCCCCCTAGCTGTTTTCGTGATAGTGAATGAGTTCTCATGAGATCTGGTTGTTTAAAAGTGTGTAGCAGTTCCCCCTTTGCTCTCTCCTGCTCCGTCATGGTAAGACGTGTTTGCTTCAGTTTCTCCTTCTGCCATGATTGTAAGTTTCCTGAGGTCTCCCAGCCATGCTTCACATACAGCCTGTGGAATTGTGAGTCAATGAAATCTTTTTCTTCATAAATTACCCAGTGTCATGTATGTCATAGCAGTGCGAGTACAGACTAATACACCCTACCTTCTCTAACCACTATTCTAATTTCTATTTGTATAAGATAAACTTTTTAAGATTCTACATATGAATGAGATCATGTGGTATTTGTCCTCCTGTGCAAGATTTATTCCACTTAACATAATGTTCTCCAGGTTTAGCCATGTTGTTACAAATGACAGGATTTTGTTCTTTTGTATAGCTGAATAGTATTCTAATATATATATTATATATTACATATATATAATATATATATCACATTTTCTTTGTCCATTTATATGTTGATGGACACTTAGGTTGGTTCCATATCTTAGCTATGTGAATAGTGCTGCAATAAACATAGCCTCACCACAGTTAGAATAGTTATTATCAGAAAGTCAGAAAATAATAAATGCTGGCAAGGATGTGAAGAAGGGGGAACTCTTACACACTGTTGGTGGGAAGGTAAATTAGTACAGCCACTATGGAGAACAATATGAAAGTTCCTCAGAAAACTACAAATTGAACTCCCATATGATCCAGCAATCCCACTAGTGAATATATATCCAAAGCAAAAGAAATTAGTATGTTGATAATATACCCAAGTGAATTTTATCTTTTATAGCTGAAGCACTCTTTCAGTTTGGCTTATTTACTTTAACCATTTGGGGCTTCTTAAACCTATTTTATGCTCTTGGGCTTGCTGTATAGAGGAAAAAAGGTACATAATTCAGTGCTTTCCTAATAGCCTCAAATTATTGCTTTAACATTAATTATTACAGTATTTATGAGACTCAAAGGAACTACTGAAAAATGAGATATTTGTTGGAGCTGGACCTTATTAAATGGATAAATTTTTAAAACGATACATTTGATTTAGTTTTAGTTTTTCTGGTTTCCTTTCCTAACAAGGTGTTAATCATTATTTATCCATTTAATAAGGTCCAGCTTTACATTTAACTCTTTAATCCATCTTGAGCTACTTCTTGTTTATGGTATAAGAAAGGGGTCTGGTTTCAATTTCCTTCATATGGCTAGCCAGTTATCTCAGAGCCACTTATCAAATAGAGAATCCTTTCACTATTGCTTGTTTTTGTCAGGTTTGTTGAGGATCAGATGGTTGGAGATGTGCGATCTTATTTCTGGGTTATCTATTCTGCTCCGTCGGTTTGTATGTCTGTTTTTGTACCAGTACCATGTTGTTTTGGTTACCGTGTCCTGTAGTATAAAGTCAGGTACTGTGATGTCTCCAGCTTTGTTCTTTTTGCTTAGGATTGCCTTGGCTATTCTGGCTCTTCTTTGCTTCCATATGAACTTTGAATTTTTTTTTCTAGTTCTGTGAAGAATGTCAATGGTAGTTTCATAGGAATAGCATTGAATCTATAAATTGCTTTGGGCAGTATGGCCATTTTAACGATATTGATTCTTCCTGTCCATGAGCATGGAATGTCTTTCCATTTGTTTGTGTCATCTCTGATTTCTTGAGCAGTTGTTTGTAGTTCTTCCCATTTTAGCTGTATTCCTATGTATTTTATTATTTCTGTGGCAAATGTGAATGGAAGTTTGTTTCTGATTTGGCTCATGGTTTGACTGTCGTTAGTGTATAGGAATCCTAGTGATTTTTCTACATTGATTTTTTATCCTGAGACTTTGCCGAAGTTGTTTATTAGCTTAAGAAGCTTTTGGACTGAGACTATGGGGTTTTCTAGATATAGGATCATGTTGTCTGCAGACAGGGATAGTTTGACTTCCTCTCTTCCTATTTGAATGCCCTTTATTTCATTGTCTCCCCGGATTGCCCAGGCCAAAAAATTCAACCCTATTTTGAATATGAGTGGTGAGAGAGGGCATCCTTGTCTTGTGCCAGTTTTTAAGGAGAATGCTTCCAGCTTTTTTCAGTATGATGTTGGCTGTGGGTTTGTCTTACATGGCTTTTATTATTTTTTGTTTTCATTCAATGCTTAGTATATTGAGAGTTTTTTTTAACATGAATAGATGTTGAATTTTATCAATAGCCTTTTCTACCTCTATTGAGATAATTATGTGGTTTTTGTCTTTAGTTCTGTTTATGTGATGAGTCACATTTTTTTGATCTGCATATGTTGGACCAACCTTGCATCCTAGAGACAAAGCCTAGTTGACCATGATGGATAAGCTTTTTGATGTGCTGCTGGATTTGGTGTGCTAGTATTTTGTTGAGTATTTTTGCACCGATATTCATCAAGGATATTGGCCCAAAGTTTTTTTGTTGTTGTTGTTGGATGTCTGCCAGGTATTGGTATCAGAATGATGCTGACCTCATAGAATGATTTAGGGAGGAGTCCCTCTTCCTCTATTTTTGGAATAGTTTCAGTAGGAATGGTAAGAGCTCTTCTTTGTACATCTGGTAGAATTCGTCTATGAATCTGTCTGGTCCTGGGCTTGTTTTCATTAATAGGCTATTTATTAATTACTGCCTCAATTTCAGATCTTATTTTTGGTCTGTTCAGGGATTTAATTTCTTCCTGGTTCAGTCTTGGAAGAGTGTATATGTTCAGGAATTTACCCATTTCCTCTAGAATTTCTAGTTTATGTGCATAGAGATGTTCATAAGATTTTCCAATGGAACTCTATTAAAAACTGAGCAAAGGACATTAGTAGACACTTTTCAAAAGAAGACATACACGTGGCCAATGATCATATGTAAAAAAGCTCAACATCACTGATCACAAGAGAAATGCAAATCAAAACCACAGTGACATATCATCTCACACCAGTCAGAATGGCTATGATTAAAAAGTAAAATAATAATAATAATAATAATAGATGCTGGTGAGGTTGTGGGATAGAAAGAATGCATATAGCCTGTTAGTGGAAGTGTAAATTTGTTCAACCATTGTGGAAGACAGCGTGGCGATTCCTCAAAGACCTAAAGACAGAAATACTAATCGACCCAGAAATCCCATTACTGGGTGTATACCCAAAGGAATATAAATATTTCTATTATAAAGACACTTGCACACATATGTTCATTGTAGGACTATTCACAATAGCAAAGACATGGAATCAACCTATATGTCCATCAATGATAGGCTAGATAAAGGAAATGTGGTACATATACACCATGGAATACTATGCAGCCATAAAAAGGAATGAGATAATGTCCTTTGCAGGGAAACTTATTGAGCTGGAGAACATTACCCCAAGCAAACTAAAGCAGGAACAGAAAACTAAATATCACATGTTCTCACTTGTATATGGGAGCTAAATGATGAGAATACATGGACACATAGAGAGGAGAAACACACACTGGACCTATAGGAGGGAGAAGGCTCCGAGGAGGGAGGGGATCAGGACAAATAACTAATGGGTGCTGGGCTTAATACCTGGGTGATGAAATAAACAGTATAACAAACTCCAGTGACACAGCTTTACCTATGTAACAAACCTGCACATGTACCCCTGAACTTAAAATAAAAGTTAAAAACAAAAACAAATACCTTTGCTTTGTGTCTAAAGTGAAAGTTAATCTGATCCAAGTAAGGGCCAAAAGGGCTTGCTTATATGTAAAGCACAATAATCATAGTGCTTGGATTCTGGCTTATGTGCACTAGTGGGCCCACACCTAGACTAGATGGGTGCAGAATGAGGTTTCAGTCCTTCTGTGGTGTACTGGAGCTGAAGCTTCTGTTATTCTAACCCCGTTAGTGATATAATTATAAAAACGTCAAGACTGAGACTGAGGGATCTAATACAGAGACCCTCATTGCATTAGGAGCCAACTGATTTAGGCACTAGATTATTTGTTATTCTATATTTCTAACCCCATTGGTGATATAATTATAAAAACGTCAAGTCTAGGAATGAAGGATCTAATACAGAGACCCTCATTGCATTGTGAGCCAATGGATTTAGGCACTAGATAGTCATAAGCCTTTTATAAATCTATAAAATAATTATGAAGACAAAACAGACACACCTGTGCACACCCTCACACATGAATGTTTTCCAGGTTCTTAATAAAAGTACTAATAAAAGGTAGAGATTTAAAATAATTGGGACTTAAGAGACATAGATTTTTCTCTAGACCTTTTTCTTGTCCTCCGTAGATCTCAATATTGCAAAATATAAATAAGAGGGTTAGGCTAGATAAGCCCTAAGTTGCTTCTGGCTCTAACATTCTGAGTGTCTGTAGTTGTATAAAGACTTATAGAAATGCGCAATCCTTTTTTTTTTTTTTTCTGCGACAGAGTCTTACTCTGTTGCCCCAGGCTGGGGTGCAGTGGCGTGATCTCTGCTCACTGCAACCTTGACTTCCTGGGCTGCAGAGATCCTCCTGCCTCAGCCTCCTGAATAGCTGGGACTACAGGTGTGCACCACTACCCCTGGCTAATTTTTGTATTTTTTGTAGAAACTGGGTTTCACCATGTTTCCCAGGCTGGTATTTGACTCCTGGGATCAGGCAATCGCCTACCTTGGCCTTCTAAAGCATTAGGATTACAGGAATGAGCCACCATGCCTGGTCATAAATGCCCAATCTTTGAACCCAAAACACATTTTGCATTATCAAGTTTGATGTTTTGATTTGAATTTTTCTCCTTTTAAACTGAATGACTAAAACATAAAAAGAAAACCTTTCAGAAACCAGCTTTAGATCAGTGTGGCTTAATTAACCTATCAAAGAAACTTGTCCATTACTTTAATTTGCTTTGAAGGCCAAAGGTACTAACTAGACTGATTGTGGAAAACATTTGAGTGGAACCAATGAATAATGTGGTGCAGTTTGATTGGCAGTAAAACAAAATTCATATGGTGGCCTGCAAAATTGAGATATTTGGTCAAATGTCTTATTTGCATTATAAGCAACTGGAGGATAAGGCAATTGTAATTTTATAAATGATATACCATGTATCAAAGAAAACACTAGAAGAAAAACCTAGTAAAATAGAAGCCTTTGCAGTTTTTCAATATTCCTTGGATTGAAAACGTTTCTAAAATAACTCTAAAGAAATCTGACCAAATGATTTTGAAAATATATGTTCTCCATTCTCTGGGCAGAACTAAAACTCAAATTAAGATAATGCATCATTTAGTCTCAAGTGATTGCAAAATAACTACAAATAGTGGTTAGTATTTATTGAGCACTTACGATTCATTGGTTATTGTCCTAAGTGCTTCAAATCTATTTATTTATCCTAATGGCCCAGTATGGAAGGTGGTAGTATTTTCCTGACTTTAGAAGTAAGGCAATGGAGGCACAATAAGGTCAGTAAATTGCCCAAGATCAAATGCCTAGTAAGTGGTAAAGGCAACACTTGAGCTCTTCAATATTTCTTACTGAGAAAGCTGATGCTTTTATTTATCACTCTACACTGTCATAGTTAGATTAACTAAATTTAACATTGTGTTTAGATAATTAATATTCTGTTTTAGCAAACTAGAAGTGTAAATGAGACAGAAAGAAGAATATTTATCTTACTTAAAAGTAAGCTGTCCAAGTGTTCTCATTGTTCAATTCCCACATATGAGTGAGAACATGCGGTGTTTGGTTTTTTGTTCTTGCAATAGTTTGCTGAGAATGATGGTTTCCAGCTTCATCCATGTCCCTACAAAGGACATGAATTCATCCTTTTTTATGGCTGCATAGTATTCCATGGTGTATATGTGCCACATTTTCTTAATCCAGTCTATCATTGATGGGGGGAGGGGGGAGGGAAAGCATTAGGAGATATACCTAATGTAAATGACAAGTTAATGGGTGCAGCACACCAACATGGCACATGTATACATATGTAACAAACCTGCACATTGTGCATATGTACCCTAGAACTTAAAGTATAATAATAATAATAATAAAAAGAAAAAAATAAAAAATAAATAAAAAGTGAAAAAAAGTAAGCTGTCTTAAATGCATCATTTATTTGCAAGTCACCAATTAGGTCAATCATAACTGTCTTATCTGTTTCTTGAACTAGGATTTTGTAGAACTTATACATAAAATTTTTAAATAAAAATGCAATTATGTGTATATATATATACACATATATATCGGAAAGCTATCTGCATATAACTATGTCTTTCTATTTATCTATCTACCTAGCTATCTGTTTCATTTCAAATTGCTATAATTTAGTCTTTCTTGCTAATTCAAATTGGTTTTAGCTTGGTACCCAGCATTGGTAGTTTCTAATATGCATTATCCTTTATTAAAATGGGATATTTTTCTTATTGAGAATATTTTTCCTTCCACTCCGTTGAAGCAAATTTGGATACAATAAATTCATCTATTTTATGAATACAGTTAGAATTCAGGCAGAGTAAATTATTGGCAATATTTTAGCACCAAAACAGGATACAGTCAGGAGCCCTTCTTACTAATAAATAAAATTGTGTTTCTATTATTTATACATCAATAAAAACTATCAATCACACAATAATGACCAACAATTTCAAGGATCTCTAGTCTCCACAAGAGATGATCTTGTTCAAATTTTGTGGTGCTATGCTCTGGATAGAGTATATGCAGGATCCTTCCAGAAGAGAAGAGGGATCACTAGTGTATCACAAGAGCCTCAGTGTCTGACATATAATAGGCTTTCAATAAGAAGTAGTTCTTGGATGAATTAATGGAATGAGTTATTAATAATAAAAATAATGTTAAAAAACAGTGTATAAACAAATAGACACATTTCTGCAGAAGGGTTTTTGAGAATGAAGCCCAATGACTAGAGATTAATGATAGATTTTCCATAAAAGTTACCTGCAGAGGCATCTAAATTGGAAAGGAACAAGTAAAATTATCTCTGTTTGCAGATGACATTATTTTATATATAGAAAACTATAAAGATTCTACCCTGAAAAAACTGGTAAAACTAATACAAATTCAACAAAATAGCAGGATATAAATATAGCACCCAGAAATCAGTTCCATTTTGGTACACTAACAATGAGCAATTCAAATCTGAGTTAAAGAAGTAATTCCATTTAAAATATCATCAAAAATAATAACATACTTAAGAATAAACTTAACCAAGAAATCAAAATCTTATAAACTGAAAACTACAAAACATTGCCAAAATAAATTGTAAAATACAGAAATAATGGAAAAAAATATGTATTAATGGGTTGCAAGACTTAATATTGTTGATATGTCAATACTACCCAAAGCTATTTACAGATTTAATCCAATTCCTATCAATGTCTCAATGAGGTTTTTTGAATAAATACGAAAATCCATCCTAAAAATCAAACAAAATCTCAAGGGATTCCAAATAACCAAGAAATCTTGAGAAAGAACAAAGTTGGATGTTTCACATTTTCTGATTTAAAAACATACATCATAGCTATAGTAATCAAAATAGTGTACTACCAGTATAGAGACACACATAGACGAATTGAATAGAATAGAGAGTCCAGAAATACACCCTTGCATATATGTTCAAATGATTTTTTTAAAAATCATGTTTGAGACTATCAAAAAGATAGTCTCTTCAACAAATGGTGTTGGGAAAACTGTTATACACAACAGAATACCATTCAGCAATAAAAAGAAATCCTTCCATTCATGGCATCACCGATGGTCTGGAGTACGTTAGGTTAAGTTAAATAAGACAGTAACAGAAAGTTAAACACTATGTATGTTCTTATATCTGAAAGCTAAAAAAAAGTTGATCTCAGAGATGTAAACAGTAGAAAAGAGTTAACTAGAGGCTGGTACCTCCTAGAGGTAGGAGGATATTGAATGTTTCCAACACAAAGAAATGATAAATGTTTGAGATGATGGATATGCTAATTACTCAGATTGTTCACTATACATTATATGTATCAAAACATCACTGTGTACCTCATAAATATGCACAATTATTAGATGTCAGTTAAAAATAAAATAAAGATTATGAACATATTCAAGGCCCCCAAGAAGTTTCCTCATGCCCCTTTATAATAAATTATTTGTTTATTACCCTTTCTCCCATCACTCTATCCCTAGGTAACTCATAATCTGCTTTCTGTCAACATGAGTTAGTATGCATTTTCTAGAATTTGTTATGAATGTAATCATATAGTATGTATTTCTTTTGTCTGGCTTCCTTTTCTCAGAACAGTTGTTTTACAATTCATTCATTTCATTGAGTGAATCAATATTTTATTCCTTCTTTACTGCTGAGAGAATTTCGTTGAATGGAAATGCCCCAATTTATTTATCCATTAACTTGCTGATGGACATTTGGATTGTTTTCAATTTTCATCCATTACAAATAAAGCTGCTATGAACATTTGTGTACAAGTGTTTGTATGAGCATATATTTTTATTTATCTTGGGTAACTATAATAAATACCTAGGAGTGGAATGGCTGGGTTATAGAGTAGGCACATGTTTATCATTTTAAGAAACCATATAACTGTTTTCAAACTGTTTCATTTCACATTACTGTCTTCACTAATAAAATGACTTTTTTAAATGTAAAAAGGAATGAAGTTGGAACCTCATCTTACACCATATACAAAAATTAGCTGAAGCTGGATCAAAGACCTAAATGTAAGAGCTGAAATTATAAAACTGTTTAAATAAAACATAGTGTGAATGTTTTATGACATTGGGTTTGGTAATAACTCCTTGGATATATCAAAAGATGCACAAACAACAAAAGGAAAAATAAAGGAGCTGGACCTCATCAAAATTAAAACTTTTTGCATAAAATGGAACTATCACCAGAATGAAACAGCAATTCATGGGATCAGAGAAAATATTTTCAAATCATATATCTGAAAAGGGATTGATATCCAGAATACATGAAGAATGCCTATAACTCAGCAACAAGAAAACAATCCTATTGAAAAATAGACAAAATAATTGAATAGACATTTGTCCAAATACTGTATACAAATGGAGAATGAACTCATGAAAAAAATGTTTAATATCATTAATCATTAGAGAAATGTAAAATAAAACCTCATTAGTAATTTACAACCATTAGAATGGCTATTATAACAATTAATAAATCAATAACAGAAAATACAAAGTATTGGCAAGAATGTGGAGAAATTGGAATCCTTGTGCATTGCTGGCAGGAATGTAAAATGATGCTACTGCTGTGAAAAACAGCATGGCTATTCCTCAAAAAATTAAACATAAATTACCATATGATGTAGCAATTTATCTTTTGAGTATATGTCCAAAAGAAATGGAAGCAGAAACTCAAATACATACTTATATGCCTGTGTTCATAAGAGCATTATTCACAATAGCAAAAAATGGAAGCAATCCAAGTTTCTATACAAGAATGAACAGACTAAGATGTGGTATATATAATATCCACATCTTAACATATGTAATATATATGAATATTATATATATTATATATATGAATATTATTCAACCTTATAAGGGAAGGAAATCCTCACAGATACTACAAAATGGATGAGGCTGAAAGACAGTATACTAAGTGAAATCAGATAGTCACATAACAACTGGCAGTATTCTCCAAGTCAATATAGAAGTACATACATATATGTGTTTGTTATCTATATGGATATGGAGATATATATGTGTGTGTGTGTGTGTGTGTATATATATATATATATATATAGATAGAGAGAGAGAGAGAGAGAGAGAGAGATGTGTAATATCATTTTATCTTATGTGAACTCCCCATTCTACCCTCACTCCATTCCCTGGCAACCACCATTCTACTGTCTCTATGAATTAAAGAGTAGTGTTGAACAGGTATAGAGTTTCAGTCAGGAAAGATGAAAAGGTTCTGGAGTTGGATGATGGTGATGGTTGCATAACAGTGTGAATGTACTTAATGGGCCATAGAATCGAAGTCTTAAAATGATAAATTTTATGTTACATATATTTTATCACTTTAAAAAATATATTTTTAAAAAGTTACCTGAAGACAAGCAGAGAGTGGCACAGAAATCAGTTCCAAGCTCTGTAACCTATAAACCTATATGATCACAGCTCAAGCACTTACTATCCTTTGTAAAGCCTTATTTTGTTGGTGCTTTGCATTTTGATGTTGCTTTCAGCTTTGTGTGACATCCTGAAGCTGGGTGAAAATTCTCATACTAACAATCTCCAGTCGTAACAAATGCTCCTACCTGAGTTTGTATGACTGCGTTTTTTAACAGCATTTTCATTGTACCCCGATTTGTTTTATTTTTGACCTCCTACAAAGTCCCCAGAAGATAATTTGTCAATACCCACTGCTTTCTATTTGTGATGACAATCAAACTAGCCTAAGAAACACAATTTGTGACTTAGTAAATGATCCATGATGTACTTAAGATGTAGTCTGCCACTTTGTACAAAAAATGGTCCAATTTTTGTGAAGAGGAACATAAGCTAACATGATATTATACATCTCTCCATATATATATATATATATAGACTCGGAGAATACTGCCAGAACTTTAGAGCATTCATGAAAAACTATCACTGACTTTGTTTATATAATTTTTACTGTGATATTATCCACAGGCATATTAACTGTTACCACTTTTAAATGTCCAAAATTTATATTTTAGACATAACAAAGATAAAAAAATACCTGTTCAGAAAAAGAAAAAACCTATGTGATCTTAGGCAATTCACTTTCACTAGCTATTTTATCTCTCTGAATTTATTTCATTATTTTTGAAATTAGAATCATTTTAGCACCTAATTTATACACTGTTTTGAGAATTAAATGAAATAATACAAGTGTTTAGCACAATATTTGGCACATGGATGCTTGATAATGTGGGTTTTTCTTCTTCTTGTCATTGCTGTTGATGGTGTTATCAAGGGCAAGAGGGATTCCTACCATATGTATACTTCCCTAAGACTGTTTTGAGGGGAATGGAATATTCTTCAATATTTGGAACATTAAAAATACTTTAGTCAATGTATTCTGAAGACCCTAAGTTGTCTTTTGCCAATAGCCGGAGGAAAAAATTGTCGGGTTTTGTTGACTAAATGTATATTGGAAGTATTAAAGAGATGATGCCTACATCTGTTGTTGAAGAAAATGCTAAATTTTGATTAAAGATCGGTGAAAATAAATACTTACTATTTCCCTTTCTGTGGCCATAGGCTCTTTGATTTCAGGTTAAGAACCCTCAGGTGAAATAAAGAAACAATGATGTCTAGATATAGAAAGTAGAAAAAATAAAATAAGCTAAAATAATTTGAAGCTTTGTTCCTTAGTACTTAGCAGATTTAGTTAGTTCTATGTAGACAGAGATATAGATTTTTTAGGAGGACTGTTAAATGTGGGGGTTAAAAGATAATACATGAAAACTTCCCATGGGACAGAAATATGAAACTGTAGTACTTGGAAAAGACACGTTAGAGATGAAGGTCATAAAGTAATTTTCATATATATCTATATGTAAATTGGAGAATCTGAATGGTTAACATCCATTCACAAAGAAGGAGTAGAGTTGTGCAGCATAATTTAGTTTAGAATCTGCAATAAAGGAAATAGTTTCTGCTATTTGACAGCTGGAAAAGTTATTTCTCTGTTATAAGGAGATTGGAGAAGATGAACTCTTAAGTTTTCTACCATATTTTATTTTATAATATTATGAGTTTTAAAGAAAATTGAGGATGGAACTCGTCAATACTCATATTTGGGGGTGTAAAGAGAAATAACAGGCAACAAGGCAAACATGAATGATGTGGTCAAAGAGTGGGAAGACATTCAAAATAGTTTACGGTTTAAGAAGAAAGAAGGGAGAGAATTTGATGGAGGGTATGGTTAGCTGTAAATAATTCAAGAAAAGACAGAAGATATTATATAATATTCAATAACACATATCCAGCAGAGTTGTAAGGGGCAAGGGACAGTTTGTAAGCAATTAAGAAGCTATAATGTGGCGAATATAATGAGGCAAGAAATGTAGATTATTTTTAACAAGTTTGCTGTCTGTAATACTAACAAATATCTGGCTCTTGACCGTCTCCCCAGTCTTAGTTTTTGTTTATCTTACCCTCTCTTCACATATTAAAAGCTGCTTCCTTGCTGTATTTTACAATATTTTGTTCATAGTTACCATGCTACTTTTGTTTTTTCTTACAATAAGGAGGTCCAAAACAGGTAACACAGTGAATGGAACATATAGATGCTTTATAGATGTTTGTGGGATGGATACAGTGATAAATGGGTAATAATAGAGTAAGATGAATTTGTACTGCTCCTCAAAATTGCTGATCAAGGGATCAGTGGCGATCTATGGGGAGATCTCCTGATATGTTGTCTGGTTCTGGATTTGGACCTATCCTGATCAACATTTGTATCAATAATGTAAATAAGCACAAAATTTCCAGGTTATCTAATCTGCAGGTTATACAAAGCTGGAGTGGTAACTAGATGTTAGACCATAGAGTCAACATTTACAAATCTCTAGCCTCTCTGATTAGGAGACGAAAGCACATACTTTTATATGCAAAATATTTGCATATAATTTCAGGGGCTAGAGTGATGGACTAAAAATTGAAGACTAAAAAGTAGTAATAAAAGGGAATTTGGCAGGTAAAAGGTAAAATCATATGTTTATATTAAAATATTCAACATTATGTATTTTGCTTGGGGGTGACCTGGCTTTACAGTAAAGTCTGTGCAAAAGGCCTGGGGTTCAAGACCATAAACTGATAAAGAGAAAATTCAGTGCCACTCTTGGTTCTACTGAGGAATATTTAGTGTCCAAAGTAAAGATAAGAGGTATCAGTCCACTGTCTTCTGCATGAGTTGGACTTCACTTAAAGTGGCTTGTTCAGTCACAGAGACACCATGCTCTAGGAGGATCATTTGATAAGGGTGGCTAGGATGGTGAAGAGGACAGGATCATACCATTTATTATGGGTTGAATTGTGTCCCCCCTCAAACAAAAGAAATATGTTGAAGTCTAACCTCTAGTACCTCAGAATGTGACCTTATTTAAATATAGAGTCTTTACAGAGCCAATCAAGTTAAAATGAGGTAATTAGGGTGGGTCTTACTCCAATATTACTGACGTCCTTATTTAAAAAAAATAAAAGGAAATTTGGACACAGGCATGAGTAGAGGAAAGATGATGTGAAGAGGTGCAGGGAGAATGTCATGTGACGATGAAGGCAAAGGTTGAAATTATGCTGCCACTAGCCAAGGGAAGTCTGGGGCTACCAGAAGCTGGAAGAAGAAAGGAGGATCCTTTGTCTACAGAATTTAGAAGAAGCATGGTTCTACTGACACGTTGATTTCAAACTTCTAGCCTCCAGATTTACAAAATAGTAAACTTCTGTCTTTATAAGCCACATAGTCTTGTCATACTTTGTTATAGCAAGGCTAGCAAACTAATAAACCACTGAAGAGCAGTCAAGGAACCAAGGGAAGAGTAGCTTAGTGGACAGGCTGGTTATGATGGTTAATTTTCCATGTTTTTATTCAATGATTCTTAGTGGTAGTTCTGGCCCAGAAAAAAAATTACAGCTTCAGAAAAACCAAGAAAACAGTCAAATCTTTAGCTTCCTGCACTTGGAGTTGTTTTTGGCTCGAGGGAACAAGAAGAATTGAATTTAAGAACTGATTGCCAGTAAGCAAAAATAATGATTAATTTGTTTTTAATCTTCACCCACTTTTCTGTATACTTTTTTTTATTAGATGTCCTGTATTTGTACCACTGACATGTTAATATTAACATATATATATGCACCATAATAATTTTAAGAAATATTTTACATTCTTTCCCAGAGGTTGATGTATTTATTTTCTACTTCTATAATAAAAATGTAAACATATTCTCACAGTTTTGATTTTAGAGAACAACACACAAACAAAAGTTTCTCTGTACATAGCTGGAAACCTGTGGCAGCATTAAACATGTCCAGTAGTTCTACACATTTTAGTAGTTACAACTTAGGTCTGTTTAGCTCTGTCTGATGGATTTTTGAAAAAACTTCCTAGGTGAATAACGAATCCAAGGGGAAAGCAGGCAGGCAGCCAGTCAGCAAGCCAGTGACATCTATGAAATATTTGTTCATCTTGGCAGCCATCCTGGCACTGTGTTTGTCTTCTTGGAATAAGTATCTGATTGACAGATACTTTTTAAATGTGACCAGTGGATAAGATGCCTTTGGTAGCCACTAAGCCATTAGTTCTTGACTAATTAATATACTCAACCAATTACTGAGCCCTGTGAGAAAATATATGCTCTATAGATATGGAGGTAGAATAGGTAGAAATAATATAATTAGTATAGTTTTCTTAGAGAACCCTCCAGAATTCAAACACAGAAGTAGTTGTTAACCCATTCAGAATAGTTAACATGGAAGACTAACCTAAATATTTCACATAAAAATATCCGTATATTTTTTGGAGATTGACAAGGTAAGACAAAAGGAAACAAATCCTGTGAAGAACAATTCCAGTATACAACCTATTTTAGAAGACCTGAGAGATGCAAATTACAATTGTTTTGCCTCAGTGCCTTTCTAGGGCCACAGTCTGGTAAAAAACTGAACGTCTTCTAACAGAAATAGTCTCTAAAGTGGTTTGTAGGCATTTGAAGTCCTAGTCAAGAAGATCCATCAAAGTGTGGGAATAAAATATTAGAATTTATCTTTAATTTTTGTATTCCCCTCTTTTGATTAATATTTTTGTTGGGTTTTATGATGCACTTAATAATTAGTATACTAGTACATGCATATAATTTATAAATGAATAAAATGTATCTGTTTAGATACATGCTCATTTTTTAAATGTGGAAAATATTAGTACCTAATTCCTAGGATTGTGCCAAGATTAAATGAGTTAGTATATGTCACATACTTATAACATCATCTGGAAAATAGAGAGCACTATATAAGGGTCAGTTGTTACTATTACAGTGTACAGTTGTAGGAGATTTAATGAACTCCCCTCCTAGGAATATACGTGGAGAGTGGTACTCAATAAGTGTTAGCTATTATTATTAAAATGGTAGCTAAATATTCTATATACCCAAATCTCACCAAAATGATAGCATAAATAGAAAAAAATATGTATAGATCAGTAACAATCTTGGAAAATTGAGTAGGTGACATTAGTGAGTCAGGAACTATGAGAAATATCTACATATTATCATGTAAATGAGACCAGTATGACATGAAAACCCACAGGACTGAGAAACCACAGTGCAATACAGGTGGAAAAAGACACTGAAGGAAACTGAGTTTTCACATGAAATCATGGAGAAACCCCAACATTAGAAACGTAAGAGATTAGGCATAGATAGGTAGCTGATGGGGATGGCCAAAGGGATAATTAATTTTAAAATAGGGTATCTTACCTACAGAATATGTCACCATGGGCACAGAAACATGATACCCTTGGGGCAAGGTCTTTGGCACACTAAAGGCCTGCACAGCTGTCTATTCCTTTAGCATCAGTCCAATTCACTACCAGTGAAAGAATTAATATCAAAAATACTAGAAAAACTCACCCCACCTCCTAATTCTGATTAATAAGGCCCTCATTTGTGAAAATTTTCAGAAAACCAAGATTCATTAGACTTTTGAAGGAACACAATGGAAAGCATACATTGATCAGTGAAATCAGTCCCTAAGCAAAACACATTAATGGTTCCCCAGTAATTTGTTTTCTAACTTATGAGAACTTATAGAACCATTTCATCTATACTTAAAGTCAAGAGGGCATTGTGACTTTAAAAACAAAAATTGGCTTCTACGATAAAGAAACAAGCAGAAAGCTCTAATTATGGGAGATTAAAACATGATAGCTGGTATTTTAAATAAATCAGTAGGAAGGGCTGAAATGGTAGAATTGGCATACCTAACTACAAAATTTTATGATTTAGAAGACTATAGAAAAGGATTCTATTGAAATACATTGCAAAAAGATAACAACGAAAACTATAAGAGAACACTTTTAAAACATGGAAAATGCATATTAGACCAAAAACAATCAATAAGAAGAAAATGGAGATGAGAGAAGAAACAAGCTTTTTTTTTTTTTTGAAAGACTTTCTTCTCTTGGTTTCTGAGAAATACTGTTTCCTGGATTTGCACTTACTTTAATGGCTATTCCTCTTCCTCCTGAGCTAGGCACTCATTCTCTTTCTAAACCTTGGCTATTAGAGTATCCCAGGGCTCAATTCTCAATCTTCTTTTCTCCATTTAAACTCATTACTTAGATGACTTTATTCAGTTGCAAGAATTTAAATACCATATATATGTGGATAATTTCAAAATTTATATATCAACTCCCATTTGTTACCTGAACTCACATACAGTCATGTGTCATTTTATGACAAGGATATATTTTGAGAAATGCATTAAGTTATTTTGTCTTTGTGTGAACCTCATAAAGTGTACTTACACAAAACTAGATAGTGTAGCCTACTACACAGCTAGGCTATATGGTATAGCCTATTGCTCTTAGGCTACAAATCTGTACAGCATGTTACTATACTGAATATGGGAGGTAATTGTAACACAAAGGTGAGTATTTATATATCTAAACATAGAAAAGGTACAGTAAAATTAGAGTGTAAAATATCAAAAACATTAAAGCTACATAGGGCCCTTTCTATGAATTGAGCACACAGGGCTGGAAGTTGCTCTGGGTGTCAGTGAGTGAGTGGTAAGGGAATGTGCAGTCCCAAGACATTACTGTGCACTACTGTACACTTTGTAAACACTATATACTTAGGCTGTATTAAACTTATGAAAATATATTTTTTCTTTATTCCACGATAAATTAACCTTATCTTAAGGTAACTTTTTTACTTTACAAACCTTCAACTTGTTTTTAACTTTCTGACTCTTCAGTAATAACACTTAAACCACAAAACACTGTACAGTTATACAGAAGTATTCTCTGTTTATATCCCTTTTCAACAGGCTCTTTTCTATTTTTAAAATTTTCTATATTTTTTATTTTTTAAACATTTTGGTTAAAAACTAAGACACAAACACATGTATTAGCCTAGGCCTACCCAAGGTCAAGATGGTCAATATCACTATCTGCTACCTCCACATCTTATCCTACTGGAAAGTCTTCAGGGGCAATAACACGTGGAGCTATTATCTCTCATAACAGTGCCTTCTTCTGGAATATCTTCTGAAGGACCCACCTGTGGCTGTTTTACAGTCAATTTTTTTTTCATATAATTAGAAGGAGTACACTCTAATGTAATGATAAAAAGTATAGCAAATAGATACACCAATAACATCGCTTTTTATTACCATTATCAAGTATTGTGTACTATACATAATCATATGTGCTACACATTTTTATTTTATTTTTGAGACAGAGTTTCACTGTTTTTGCCCAGGCTAGAGTGCAATGGCACGATCTTGGCTCACTGCAACCTCCGCCTCCTGGGTTCAAGTGATTCTACTGCCTCAGCCTCCCAAGTAGCTGGGATTACAGGCACCCACCACCACGCTCAACTAATTTTTGTATTTTTAGTAGAGACGGGGTTTCACCATGTTGGCCAGCCTGGTCTCAAACTCCTGACCTCAGGTGATCCGCCCAACTCAGCCTTCCAAAGTGCTGGGATTACAGGTGTGATGCACTGCACCTGGCCTGTATGTGCTGTACTTTTATATGACTGGCAATGCATTAGGTTTGTCTACACCAGCATCACCACAAACACATGAGTCATGTGTTGTGCTATGATATTTATGATGGTTTCCACATTACTGGGCTATAAGAATTTTTCAGTTCCATTACGATCTTATGGAACCACCACCATATTTGTGGTCCTTCATTTATGGAAACATTGTTATGTGATGCATGACGGAATTTAATTTCCCACACATCATGCATACATGAAGATATAATTGGCATATAATATTAATGTGACCAAACTAAATGTTTGTATTCCCCAACCCAATATGCTCCTCTTGCAGTGTTCCTTAAACTCAGTAAATGCCCAAACCTGAAGTCATTATTGACTTTTTTTTTACCTCCTCCAAACTAAACTTTCTGTAAATCTAGTGAACTCAAGCTTCAAAACATATCCAGAACCGTATAGTTTCTCTGCCTCAAACCTGGATCCAAACATTTCTTCAGGAAATCCTGCTTCCTTTTAGTGGAGAATATGTTAGGCACTAAGATCTTGTTACTAGATATACTGATTGCTACTGGGGTGTCATTGATATTAGACTTCTTCAGTGGTCAGTGCTAAAGCTACCACAGGGTTCTTCCTAACCTGCCCCCATTCAATATTTGTATTTCCTTTATTCCACTGTGAGAACCCTGCCTTCAAATAATATTCATATTTATTCTATCCTAGAATATACAATTTCAGAATATGAAGCCAATATGAGTTCCAAAAGACAAACATGACGAGTAAAGTTCAAGATTTCTTTCTGTTTTATGTGTATTTAGACTATATCCTTGCCAGAGTACAATTTCAAATGTTACTTGAATTCAGTTTTTTTTTCTCCATATGCTTAAGTTATTTACTTGAGAACTGTTATGACCTTTGGTTTTGTTTTTAATTTTAGAGTCTCATTTATTAATCTTCTTGATTTATTTTATTGCTTGAATTAAAAAATTTATATGGTGCAAAAATCAAAACTTTTATACTCAGAAAATTTTCCTTTCCATTCCTCCACTCTTCACCCTAATCCTATAGGTTACCATTTTAATTGGTTTCTGGTTTATCCTTTCTGTTTCTTTTTTGGGAAAAACAAAAAACAAAACAAGACAAACAAAATAAAAACCTTGTAACCAAAAGTAAGTACTGAAAACCTAAGGGTGTCGTGCCAAATGGACATAGGAGCCAGTTTGAGGTGGTTCCCACAGGTTACAGTTGAGATAATTTGGGCATAAAAAAAGAATAACAATGACAATAAATTGAATTTTTTAATAATGAGTTCCTAGTGAATGCTATGTGGATATTTTTTCCAATAACTCTTTAGAGTTCCATATTTCTAAAACATAGAATAAAATTATATATCCAGAATCAAAGAACTCTCACTGCCTCCACTGCCATCATCTTAGTCCAAGCCACAATCTTTCAGCATATAGATTATTGCAATAGCCTCCTAACTAGTCCCTCTGCTTCCACCTAACCTTCTCCAGAGAGGACTCATTAGTGGTCCACTCAAAATGTAAGTCACATAATGTGAATGTGCTGCTCAAAACCCTCCAGTGGCTTTCCAGGAATAAGCGTCAACGTCATTAAAATACACCCCCTAGTACTTTCTGTATTTTTAAAATAATGTTCCTGCAATAGACTGAATGTTTGTCTTCCCTCCAGATTGACATGTTGAAATCCCAACCCCTATGTGGTTATGTTATGATGGTATTAGAAGGTAATGCCTTAGGAAGTGATTGGGTCATAGGATGAATGGGATTAATGCCCTTACATAAAGGACTGAAGAAGTTCCTCACCACTTTTTCCATGTGAGGATAAAATGAGAAGATAGCCATCTTCAAAACTGGAAGACTGACCTCGCCAGAACCTAGTCATTGTGACATCATGATCTTGAGCTTCCAGACTCCCCAGAACAGTGAAAAATAAAATTCTGTTGTTTATAATCCACCCACTTTATGCTATTTTGTTATAGAAGCCTAAATATTGGGATAACTTTAAACATCACTTTGTTTTATGTGTGTGTGTGTGTGTTTATATTGATGATGCAGAGATGTGCTACGTAAATCCACAACTTTTTGATAAGATCCACAGTAATTTTAGCACAATTTAGGCGAAGGCAGGGGCAATGTGAAAGCAGCCATCTATAAATTTCCAGAATGACAAGCGATGACCATGTTATTTCTGATTTCCAAATGGTGAGCCGACTGATTTGAACTTAGTAATCTTCATTGAGAATTATAGATTATAAAGGCAGAGATAAACTGATTAGCAGCATGCCTACACTCTCCTTAATTCTTCTTCCAACCACAAAATATCATTTCCACTTTCAGACCTCCGAAAGAATCATGAGTAGAGATGGGAATGTTGTATGGAAGCTATTAAAAGCAATTCCCTCTTCCTCCTCACCAAGGCCCAGTTTACTTTAGGTACATTCCACCAATTTTCCCTTTATTTAGCCTCAGAGTTATTACACAGCTGTTATAGGTTATCAAACTTTCCCCTTATCTAAAATACATTTGTGCAACAGTGCTAGTGGTCACACAGAATTTTCTGGCTAATAAATATTGTTCATCATCTCCTTTTTCATTAAGAAACCTAACTTCTAGAATCAGATACACCTGATTACAGCTATTACTTAAGAGTTGGCTTTGTAGAGTCTTTGTCTACAAAAAGGAATTAATATATTACTTACTTAGTAGTCTTCTTGGGTTGTATTCCAGCCCCACCATTTTACCATCTATCAGCTATGCCATCTTTGAAGTTACTTGCTCTCTCTGTGTAGTAGTTTTCCTATAAAATGGAATAAGACTTACTTCATAAGATTTTATGATTATTAACTATTAATAAATAAATAATAAAATACAGAAGTTATTTATTGGGATCTCACTACAAGTTAGATTCTGCGCTAAGGGCTTTACATATATTAACATATTAAATATCATAGACAAAGGCCTAGGTTGGTATATTAGAGAAAATTTTAAAATGCTAGCGTGGCTGTGGCTGCTGTGTAGTGAATAAGGGAGAAAGTGGCACAAGATTAGGTGTTTAACGTAAGAAAGAGCTACATCATGCCCTTTATAGGCTATGTAAACGATTTTGAATGTTATTTTAAACATCATGTAAGGCTTTTGAATTATATTAAGCCAGAAATACAGTAAGTTTCTAGAGTGTATCTAATCATGTGAAAGGCTTAAACAGATCTCATTGTGAGAACTTAAAAAAATACATTAAATTTGTCTAATATGGTGGCAATAGTTGATCTTGACAAGAGTAGTTTTATGAGGATTTGTGTAGTGAAACTCCAGTGTATTGTTTGCATCTGTGTCCCCATCCAAATCACATGTGGATTTGTAATCCCCAATGTTGGAGGTGGGGCCTGGTGGGAGGTGATTGGATCATGAGGGTGAATTTCTCATGAATAGTTTAGCACCATCCTTTTTGTGCTGTACTCCTGCTAGTGAGTGATTTCTCATGAGATCTGGTAGTTTAAAAGTGTGTAGCACCTCCCACCCTTGATCCTGCTCCTGCCATGTAAGATGTGCCTGCTCCCACGTCAAGTTCTGCCATGATTGTAAGTTTCCTGAGGCCTCTCCAGAAGTCCAGCAGATGCCAGCATTATGCTTCCTGTACAAACTGCAGAATTGGGAGCCAATTAAACCTCTTTTCTTTATAAATTATCCAGTCTCAGGTATTTCTTTATAGCAATGCAAGAATGGACTCATACACACTAGTGTATCTCTGATTGTAATGTCTGTAGTAACACCTAAAAAAATTAAATTGTTTGGGTTGTTTTTGATGTTGTACACTCCAGAAAGGCAATGCATTATATGACTTCTATAAATCCCTTATAGTTCTCCGATTCCAAGATGTTCACTCTTTTCTGCATGGAATTTCTTAAACGAAAGTGAAATCTGAATCATAGACAACATTGCTATTGTTGGTTTTAAAGCAAGTATTATTTCCACTTACCAACATGTACCTGGATATCTGATGAAAATTTTGTCAATTCTTTTCTTGTATATTTGTATTTCAGAGAACTGATAGAACCAAACTCGTAGCATATCAAGTTTTTTTCCACATAACACCCATCCAAATAATAATAATTCTGTTATCTAGCTTCCATTTTTTTTTGTAATTTATCCATGACTTATTTTTCTATTCTGCTACTGTTAACTCTTCAACAATTTTGCTGTTCATTAGCACATCTCTCAGACAGTGAACAAGGAAAGCAACAAAAATAAGTTGAATCAAATCAGGTTGTTTTATTATTCATCACCAGATCTCAAAAAGAAGCTGTAGGAAGAGAATGCAAATTAATTTCTGAATGGATATTTTGGATTATCTCAGTCTTAGCTAGTGCCCATGTATCAGAAAAATAATCAGCTTCATTATTGACAAAACTAAATCTAGTGTTTTTGATTTTATATAATTGCTAGATGGCTCTTACAATAATACAAATAACAGAAAATTCACAGACGGTTCTGCACGATATTCAGGCACCATTCAAAAGTGAAAAGATGCAGAACTACAACCCCTTTCTAGGACATCCCTGAAGGAGAGCGGTGAAGGGGAATCTTCCCAGTGAGCAGAACTTCGAGGAGTGCACATAGTTGTGCACTTTGCATGGAAGGAGAAATGGCCAGATGTGCGATTAGATACTGATTCATGGGCTGTAGCCACTGGTTTGACTGGATGGTCAGGGATGTGGAAGAAGCCTGATTGGAAAATTAGTAACAAAGAAATTTGGGGAAGAGATCTCTGGATGGACCTCTCTGAGTGGTCAAACATTGTGAAGATATTTATTTCCAATGTGAGTGCTCACCAACTGGTGACCTCAGCAAAGGAGGATATTAAAAATCATGTGGATAAGATGACCATTCTGTGGACACCATGCAGCCTCTTTCCTCAGCCACCCCTGTCATCGCCCAATGGGCCCATGAAAAAAGTGGCCATAGTGGCAGGGATGGAGGTTACGCATGGGCTCAGCAACACAGACTTCCATTCACCAAGGCTGACCTGGCTATAACCAGTGCTGAGTGCCCAATTTGCCAGCAGCAGAGACCAACACTGAGCTCTTGATATGGCACCATTCTTCAGGGTGATCAGCCTGCTGCCTGGTGGCAGGTTGATTATATTGGACCTCTTTTATCATGGAAAAGGCAGAGGTTTGTCCTTGCTGGAATAGACACTTACTGTGGATATGGGTTTACCTATCCTGCACACTATGCTTCTGCCATGACTACAATCTGTGGCTCACGGAATGCCTTATCCTCCGCCCTGGTACTCCACACAGCATTGTCTCTGACCAAGGCACCCCCTTTATGGTTACAGAAGTGTGGCAGTGGGCTCATGCTCATGGAAATCACTGGTTTTACTATGTTCCCCATCATCCTGAAGTAGCTGGATTGATAGAATAGTGAAATGGCCTCTTGAAGTCACAATTACAATGCCGTCTAGGCAACAATACTTTGCAGGGCTGCAGCAAAGTTCTCCAGAAGGCCCTGTATGCTCTGAGTCAGCATCCAATATATGGTACTGTTTCTCCCATAGCCAGGTTTCACGGGTCCAGAAATCAAGAGGTGGAAGTGGAAGTGGCACCACTCACCATCCCCCCTAGTGATCCACTAGTAAAATTTTTGCTTCCTGTTCCCACAACAATATATGCTGCTGGCATAGAGGTCTTAGTTCCAGAGCAAGGAACGCTCCCACCAGGAGACACAACAATGATTCCATTAAACTGGAAGTTAAGATTGCCACCTGGACACTTTGGGCTCCTCCTACCTTTAAGTCAACAGGCTAAGAAGGGAGTTACAGTGTTGACTGGGATGATAGACCCAGATTATCAAGATGAAATCAGTCTACTGCTCCACAACGGAGGTAAGGAAGTATATATATATGGAATGCAGGAGATCCATTAGAGTGTCTCTTAGTATTACCATGACCTGTGATTAAGGTCACTGGGAAACTACAGCAGCCAAATCCAGGCAGGACTACAAATGACTCAGACCCTTCAGGAATGAAGGTTTGGGTCACTCCACCAGGAAAAAAACAGACAAACAAACAAACAACAACAACAAAAAACAACGTGCTGAAGTGCTTGCTGAAGGCAAAGGGCATACAGAATGGGTAGTAGAAGTAGGTAGTCATCAATACCAGCTATGACCACGTGACCAGCTGCAGAAACAAGGACTGTAATTGTCATGAGTATTTCCTCCTTCTATTGGTAAAAACATGTATGTGTATGTATACACTTGTACCAAGGAAATATCTTCATTTTATATCCTTTCTACTTTAACATGTGACATAAGATTTATTGACTTCACATCAACATTTAAGTGTTGTTAACTTTATGTAATAGTATTTGGGTTGGGGATTGGTGCATTTCTAGTTGTATGAAGGACAGTTGTATTATGTTACATGTAATTATAACCTTATTATTTTCTTTATTGAAGATTATGTATGATTTCATAAGATGTGTATGGGTCCACGTTGACAAGCATGGACTGGTGATGGTTAATACTGTGTGTCAACTTGATTGGGTTGAAGGATACAAAGTATTGATCCTGGTGGTGTCTGTGAGGGTGTTGCCAAAGGAGGTTAACATTCGAGTCAGTGGGCTGGGAAAGGCAGACCCACCTTTAATCTGGGTGGGTACACTCTAGTCAGCTGCCAGCCCAGCTAGAATATGAGCAGGCAGATAAATGTAAAAAGAGAGACTGGCCTATCCTCCCAGCCTACATCTTTCTTCTGTGCTGGATGCTTCCTGCCCTCAAACATCGGACTCCAAGTTCTTCAGTTTTGGAAGTCGGACTGGCTCTCCTTGCTCCTCAGACTGCAGATGACCCATTGTGGTACCTTGTGATCATGTGAGTTAATACTTAATAAATGTCCTGTTATATAAATATAAATATATATATATATATTTCCATTAATTCTGTCCCTATAGAGAACCCTAATACATCTAGCTTACACACTTAAAAGAGATGATAAGATAAAACAGTAAACCATTGTTTAACATGTGTACTAATCTGTACGAATAAGTAATTGTGTAGAAATAAAGGAAATAAGAACATATGAAAGACTTCTTTGACACAATATATATCTGTATTCTGAAATTAGTCATTATGGTACTTCTATTCCAATGATGAGTCCATTAATAACAGACTAAATTGATTAGAGATGGTTTCTTTGTCTTTATTAAGGATGGAGTTAACTGAGGCTTAACAAAATGGTTCAAGTTATTTTTTAAAATATTATTATACTTTAAGTTTTAGGGTACCTGTGCACATTGTGCAGGTTAGTTACATATGTATACATGTGCCATGCTGGTGCGCTGCACCCACTACCTAGTCAACTAGCATTAGGTATATCTCCCAATGCTATCCCTCCCCCCTCCCCCCACCCCACAACAGTCCCCAGAGTGTGATGTTCCCCTTCCTGTGTCCATGTGATCTCATTGTTCAATTCCCACCTACGAGTGAGAATATGCGGTGTTTGGTTTTTTGTTCTTGCGATAGTTTACTGAGAATGATGATTTCCAATTTCATCCATGTCCCTACAAAGGACATGAACTCATCATTTTTTATGGCTGCATAGTATTCCATGGTGTATATGTGCGACATTTTTTTAATCCAGTCTATCATTGTTGGACATTTGGGTTGGTTCCAAGTCTTTGCTATTGTGAATAATGCCGCAATAAACATACGTGTGCATGTGTCTTTATAGCAGCATGATTTATAATCCTTTGGGTATATACCCAGTAATGGGATGGCTGGGTCAAATGGTATTTCTAGTTCTAGATCCCTGAGGAATCACCACACTGACTTCCACAAGGGTTGAACTAGTTTACAGTCCCACCAACAGTGTAAAAGTGTTCCTATTTCTCCACATCCTCTCCAGCACCTGTTGTTTCCTGACTTTTTAATGATTGCCATTCTAACTGGTGTGAGATGGTATCTCATTGTGGTTTTGATTTGCATTTCTCTGATGTCCAGTGATGGTGAGCATTTTTTCATGTGTTTTTTGGCTGCATAAATGTCTTCTTTTGAGAAGTGTCTGTTCATGTACTTCGCCCACTTTTTGATGGGGTTGTTTGTTTTTTTCTTGTAAATTTGTTGGAGTTCATTGTAGATGCTGGATATTAGCCCTTTGTCAGATGAGTAGGTTGCGAAAATTTTCTCCCATTTTCTAGGTTGCCTGTTCACTCTGATGGTAGTTTCTTTTGCTGTGCAGAAGCTCTTTAGTTTAATTAGATCCCATTTGTCAATTTTGTCTTTTGTTGCCATTGCTTTTGGTGTTTTAGACATGAAGTCCTTGCCCATGCGTATGTCCTGAATGGTATTGCCTAGGTTTTCTTGTAGGGTTTTTATGGTTTTAGGTCTAACGTTTAAGTCTTTAATCCATCTTGAATTGATTTTTGTATAAGTTGTAACGAAGGGATCCAGTTTCAGCTTTCTACATATAGCTAGCCAGTTTTCCCAGCACCATTTATTAAATAGGGAATCATTTCCCCATTGCTTGTTTTTCTCAGGTTTGTCAAAGATCAGATAGTTGTAGATATGCGGCGTTATTTCTGAGGGCTCTGTTCTGTTCCATTGATCAATATCTCTGTTTTGCTACCAGTACCATGCTGTTTTGGTTACTGTAGCCTTGTAGTGTAGTTTGAAGTCAGGTAGTGTGATGCCACCAGCTTTGTTCTTTTGGCTGAGGATTGACTTGGCGATGCGGGCTCTTTTTTGGTTCCATATGAACTTTAAAGTAGTTTTTTCCAGTTCCGTGAAGAAAGTCATTGGTAGCTTGATGGGGATGGCATTGAATCTGTAAATTACCTTGGGCAGTATGGCCATTTTCACGATATTGATTCTTCCTACCCATGAGCATGGAATGTTCTTCCATTTGTTTGTATCCTCTTTTATTTCCTTGAGCAGTGGTTTGTAGTTCTCCTTGAAGAGGTCCTTCACATCCCTTGTAAGTTGGATTCCTAGGTATTTTATTCTCTTTGAAGCAATTGTGAATGGGAGTTCACTCATAATTTGTCTCTCTGTTTGTCTGTTGTTGGTGTATAAGAATGCTTGTGATTTTTGCACATTGATTTTGTATCCTGAGACATTGCTGAAGTTGCTTATCAGCTTAAGGAGATTTTGGGCTGAGACAGTGGGGTTTTCTAGATATACAATCATGTCGTCTGCAAACCGGGACAATTTGACTTCCTCTTTTCCTAATTGAATACCCTTTATTTCCTTCTCCTGCCTAATTGCCCTGGCCAGAACTTCCAACACTATGTTGAATAGGAGTGGTGAGAGAGGGCATCCCTGTCTTGTGCCAGTTTTCAAAGGGAATGCTTCCAGTTTTTGCCCATTCAGTATGATATTGGCTGCGGGTTTGTCGTAGATAGCTCTTATTATTTTGAAATATGTCCCATCAATACCTAATTTATTGAGAGTTTTTAGCATGAAGCCTTGTTGAATTTTGTCAAAGGCCTTTTCTGCATCTATTGAGATAATCATGTGGTTTTTGTCTTTGGCTCTGTTTATATGCTGGATTACATTTATTGATTTGCGTATATTGAACCAGCCTTGCATCCCAGGGATGAAGCCCACTTGGTCATGGTGGATAAGCTTTTTGATGTGCTGCTGGATTCGTTTTGCCAGTATTTTATTGAGGATTTTTGCATCAATGTTCATCAAGGATATTGGTCTAAAATTCTCTTTTTTGGTTGTGTCTCTGCCCGGCTTTGGTATCAGGATGATGCTGGCCTCATAAAATGAGTTAGGGAGGATTCCCTCTTTTTCTATTGATTGGAATAGTTTCAGAAGGAATGGTACCAGTTCCTCCTTGTACCTCTGGTAGAATTCGGCTGTGAATCCATCTGGTCCTGGACTCTTTTTGGTTGGTAAGCTATTGATTATTGCCACAATTTCAGGTCCTGTTATTGGTCTATTCAGAGATTCAACTTCTTCCTGGTTTAGTCTTGGGAGAGTGAATGTGTCGAGGAATTTATCCATTTCTTCTAGATTTTCTAGTTTATTTGCGTAGAGGTGTTTGTAGTATTCTCTGATGGTAGTTTGTATTTCTGTGGGATTGGTGGTGATATCCCCTTTATCATTTTTATTGCGTCTATTTGATTCTTCTCTCTTTTTTTCTTTATTAGTCTTGCTAGCGGTCTATCTGTTTTGTTGATCCTTTCAAAAAACCAGCTCCTGGATTCATTAATTTTTGAAGGGTTTTTTGTGTCTCTATTTCCTTCAGTTCTGCTCTGATTTTACTTATTTCTTGCCTTCTGCTAGCTTTTGAATGTGTTTGCTCTTGCTTTTCTAGTTCTTTTAATTGTGATGTTAGGGTGTCAATTTTGGATCTTTCCTGCTTTCTCTTGTGGGCATTTAGTGCTATAAATTTCCCTCTACACACTGCTTTGAATGCGTCCCAGAGATTCTGGTATGTTGTGTCTTTGTTCTCGTTGGTTTCAAAGAACACCTTTATTTCTGCCTTCATTTCGTTATGTACCCAGTAGTCATTCAGGAGCAGGTTGTTCAGTTTCCATGTAGTTGAGCGGTTTTGAGTGAGATTCTTAATCCTGAATTCTAGTGTGATTGCACCGTGGTCTGAGAGATAGTTTGTTATAATTTCTGTTCTTTTACATTTGCTGAGGAGAGCTTTACTTCCAAGTATGTGGTCAATTTTGGAATAGGTGTGGTGTGGTGCTGAAAAAAATGTATATTCTGTTGATTTGGGGTGGAGGGTTCTGTAGATGTCTATTAGGTCTGCTTGGTGCAGAGCTGAGTTCAATTCCTGGGTATCCTTGTTGACTTTCTGTCTCGTTGATCTGTCTAATGTTGACAGTGGGGTGTTAAAGTCTCCCATTATTAATGTGTGGGAGTCTAAGTCTCTTTGTAGGTCACTCAGGACTTGCTTTATGAATCTGGGTGCTCCTGTATTGGGTGCATATATATTTAGGATAGTTAGCTCTTCTTGTTGAATTGATCCCTTTACCGTTACGTAATGACCTTCTTTGTCTCTTTTGATCTTTGTTGGTTTAAAGTCTGTTTTATCAGAGACTAGGATTGCAACCCCTGCCTTTTTTTGTTTTCCATTTGCTTGGTAGATCTTCCTCCACCCTTTTGTTTTGAGCCTATGTGTGTCTCTGTACGTGAGATGGGTTTTCTGAATACAGCACACTGATGGGTCTTGACTCTTTATCCAATTTGCCAGTCTGTGTCTTTTAATTGGAGCATTTAGTCCATTTACATTTAAAGTTAATATTGTTATGTGTGAATTTGATCCTGTCATTATGATGTTAGCTGGTTATTTTGCTCGTTAGTTGATGCAGTTTCTTCCTAGTCTTGACGGTCTTTACATTTTGGCATGATTTTGCAGCAGCTGGTACTGATTGTTCCTTTCCATGTTTAGTGCTTCCTTCAGGAGCTCTTTTAGGGCAGGTCCGGTGGTGACAAAATCTCTCAGCATTTGCTTGTCTGTAAAGTATTTTATTTCTCCTTCACTTATGAAGCTTAGTTTGGCTGGATATGAAATTCTTGGTTGAAAATTCTTTTCCTTAAGAATGTTGAATATTGGCCCCCACTCTCTTCTGGCTTGTAGGGTTTCTGCCGAGAGATCCGCTGTTAGTCTGATGGGCTTCCCTTTGAGGGTAACCCGACCTTTCTCTCTGGCTGCCCTTAACATTTTTTCCTTCATTTCAACTTTGGTGAATCTGACAATTATGTGTCTTGGAGTTGCTCTTCTTGAGGAGTATCTTTGTGGCGTTCTCTGTATTTCCTGAATCTGAACGTTGGCCTGCCTTGCTAGATTGGGGAAGTTCTCCTGGATAATATCCTGCAGAGTGTTTTCCAACTTGGTTCCATTCTCCCCATCACTTTCAGGTACACCAAACAGACGTAGATTTGGTCTTTTCACATAGTCCCATATTTCTTGGAGGCTTTGCTCATTTCTTTTTATTCTTTTTTCTCTAAACTTCCCTTCTCGCTCCATTTCATTCATTTCATCTTCCATTGCTGATACCCTTTCTTCCAGTTGATCGCATCAGTTCCTGAGGCTTCTGCATTCTTCACGTAGTTCTCGAGCCTTGGTTTTCAGCTCCATCAGCTCCTTTAAGCACTTCTCTATATTGGTTATTCTAGTTATACATTCTTCCAAATTTTTTTGAAAGTTTTCAACTTCTTTGCCTTTGGTTTGAATGTCCTCCCGTAGCTCAGAGTAATTTGATCGTCTGAAGTCTTCTTCTCTCAGCTCGTCAAAGTCATTCTCAGTCCAGCTTTGTTCTGTTGCTGGTGAGGAACTGCGTTCCTTTGGAGGAGGACAGGCGCTCTGCTTTTTAGAGTTTCCAGTTTTTCTGTTCTGTTTTTTCCCCATCTTTGTGGTTTTATCTACTCTTGGTCTTTGATCATGGTGATGTACAGATGGGTTTTTGGTGTGGATGTCCTTTCTGCTTTTAGTTTTCCTTCTAACAGACAGGACCCTCAGCTGCAGGTCTGTTGGAGTACCCTGCTGTGTGAGGTGTCAGTGTGCCCCTGCTGGCGGGTGCCTCCCAGTTAGGCTGCTCGGGGGTCAGGGGTCAGGGACCCACTTGAGGAGGCAGTCTGCCCGTTCTCAGATCTCCAGCTGCGTGCTGGGAGAACTACTGCTCTCTTCAAAGCTGTCAGACAGGGACATTTAAGTCTGCAGAGGTTACTGCTGTCTTTTTGTCTGTGCCCTGCCCCCAGAGGTGGAGCCTACAGAGGCAGGCAGTCCTCCTTGAGCTGTGGTGGGCTCCACCCAGTTGGAGCTTCCCGGCTGCTTTGTTTACCTAAGCAACCCTGGGCAATGGTGGGCGCCACTCCCCAAGCCTCGCTGCTGCCTTGCAGTTTGATCTCAGACTGCTGTGCTAGCAATCAGTGAGAGTCCATGGGTGTAGGACCCTCTGAGCCAGGTGCGGGATATAATCTCGTGGTGCGCCGTTTTTTAAGCCCATTGGAAAAGCGCAGTATTCGGGTGGGAGTGACCCGATTTTCCAGGTGCCTTCCGTCACCCCTTTCTTTGACTAGGAAAGGGAACTCCCTGACCCCTTGAGCTTCCTGAGTGAGGCAATGCCTCGCCCTGCTTAGGCCCGCGCATGGTGCATGCACCCACTGACCTGCGCCCACTGTCTGGCACTCCCTAGTGAGATGAACCCGGTACCTCAGATGGAAATGCAGAAATCACCCGTCTTCTGCGTCTCTCCTCAAATCATTTTTTATTATAGAAAATATCATTGGTTTGACAGGCTTAGATATGTTTAGGTTTTTAATGGAATTAGGTGCTCTGATCTATTTTTTCCTCTGAGACAGAAATCTCTTTAAACAAAACAAGAACAAATAAAGCATCACTAATATGCCCCCAAATATTTATTTTCCTTTGAATTTTTCTTTTCTTGACTATAACATTTTTATCTGGCTTGGGGCAAGGTCCCTTCATTGGGCCTCTATCAGTATGTTGGTGGAATATGATTTACATTAATTTTTTTGATAAATTATTTGGTTAATAGGTCACATTACTTTGACAAAATTTTGAATAGTTAATAAATTTAGCAAGTGTTTAGCATATGCCTTCTATAAGAAACAGATTCTGTGTATTGCATACACTTCCCATTTCTCCTCTTTTCAATGGAAACAGACTAATCTGAAAGTAATACAATTTTCTGTGAGAAAGCAATGAGGAAATGCCCAGTATTTATAAAACATTATAGCAAAATTATAATTACATATCAAATACAAAAATTTCATATGCTGTCTAATGTCAGACATATCTGAATTTTGACACACATAATTGCATCTTATTTTTTAAGGTTGATTTTGTCCCTTTTACTGGAAGTGTTTATATAAGATGATAATGGGGTTCAAGTGATCAATTCTGTCCAAGTATTTGGTTGTCACAAAGGAAGGCATCTGAATACCTAAAAGAATATAATTTTCTGCTTTTTAACATTCCTTAGGAAGTATGAACAAGTTGGTTGAAATTCTTTCCAACCCCTTCCTCCAGGAAAAAGAAGTCATGTTTCATGGCATTGCCAATATTAAAAATAAAACTTAAAAAAACAGATAAAATATTAGCAAAACAATAATCACTTATCTATTATTATTTATATTATGTAATTTCCTTTAATTTTCTATTAAATCACTGGTTAGTTTAAATGATCATGCTTCACATCACTCAACTAAAAACAAAACAAAAATATGTTTTGTACTGCTTCTAAGTAAGTCTATGCAAAGTCTACACAACTCACAGCAAAAATGAAAAAGTTCAATCAACCCTCTGTTTAGGCTACATGATGCCAAATTATCAGTTTGATTTTTCCCCATTGGATTGGCCAGATGTTTTAGCATTTTGCACACACAGCCTAAGAATGTATTCAACTACTTACTATCAAATGATTGTATCAGAGGATGGAAATTCATATGCCTACCCGCACCCAGACTGGCAGGAATATACCCTTTGCATAAAGTGAAGCACAGTTGTATAATTTTATGCTGGTGTGTCAGTAGCAATATTTTATCTTGCATGGGAATTATGAGGACATACTGCAGCTACATAAAACAGAAACTTGTTTTATCTAACCTCTGATAAATTAAGGTAATTTATTGTGCATAGTTTTTGCATGTGTTTAAAATGTCTAGAGCAGGTAATTATATATGCTTTTTTGAATATATTGTAATATAAAGATTTTCTTCAATGATAGAATTGTGAGCTCTAGGCCGAAATTTTAAAAGTAAATATGATGGTAGATTTACAATTCAAAGGAACATAAATGAACAGACATACTCTTAAAAAAACAGCTGTCTACCTGACTGATCCAAGAAAATGAATATTGAAAACAAACATCTGCCCTGTGGTAGACAATGTGGTAAAACTAATCGCACTGAGCATAATGAATTTATTTTCTTTTCTGCTTACTATAAACTTGGCAAACTTTTTCTGGTATAAATATTTAAATGTAACAACAAGGTGAAACAACAGTGCTCCAACATCCAAGATAGAGCCAGGAACATTTCTGGGAATTTTGAGGCCTCTGAGAAAGCTTACTCGCAATCCTTTCAGAATTAGGCACCTCTTTGTCCTTAAGTTTCTAATGAGCCTAATTGAGTAATATAAGTGATGACAGTGGTGGGCCGCCTGATGCAGCTGCTGCCATCACTCTGGCCACTGCAGGGAGGGTGCAGGGAGGAGGCAGCCCCTCCTACAGCCTTCTGTCCTGGGGGCTGCCATGATGAGGCCAGGCCACGTCGCCCACTGGTGGGAGAGCAGTGCATCAGGGAGCAGCCATTGAGCAGAGAGGGGCGCCAATGCGGACCTGGGATCATGCTTGGGGGGCTGGGGTGGGAAGAAGGAGAGGTGCCCTGGCCAGCAGGGAAGCCATTGTGCCCACTCCGCCTAGGGTGCCGGATTCCCGAGCCTCAGGAGGAGGCTCTGCACAGGGTCACTTGGGGCTTCATCCCCGGGGTCTGCCCCATGTCGTGGTGACCACCAAACCTGCCACTTCCAATGGCAGGGCTGGGGCCATGATTTGCACCATCCTGGGCTGCCCCTGAGCACTGGGGCAACAGAGGTAGCTCGTGGCATGTTGTCCTTGCCCTGCGTGCCGGCCTGGGTCCAGCGAAGATCACCAGACTCTGCTCCAGGCTGTGAGGGGGCACAGCCAGAGCTGCATGCTCCACAAAGCAGTGGCAGCCAGGAGAAGGCAGCAGCCCCACCCCCTCGGGCACAGCTGAAGCCACCCAACTCTGGATGGTAGACTCGGGCCTCCCTGTGCTCTTGGGGGCTGGGAGCAGGCAGGAGCTCTATCCCCCAGGCATAGCTGCAGCCATCCAAGTAGGGGTGGTAGACTCGGGCCACCCTGTTCTCTTGGGGACCAGGAGTGGGCAGGAACCATGCCCTCCTTCCCCCATGCAACTGCAGTGCCCAAGTCAGGGTTGTATAACCGGGCCTCCATGTGCTCTTGGGGGCCCTTACCCTTGTAGGTTCGGAGGTGCCTTGTCCTGCTGCATGACCTCTGCCCACTCCTAGTGCCTGCTCCAATCTCAGAACAGGGTTGGAGCCTAGCCTGGGCACTGTCACAGCCCAGCCAGTAATGCCCATGCTCAGGCCCTACCCCCTCTAGGCATTGGGAGCCTGACAAGCACGGGGGGAAGCGAGGGTTGCTGAGGGCAGTTTGATGCTGGTCTGCAGGTGCCCCTTGGCATGAGTGGCCTGCACACCATGGTAGGTGGCAGGAGGCAGGCAGGCTCCTGGGTGGAAGGGTGTGGGTCCCCAGTAAAGGCCCCATCTTTAGGCCATGGGACTGGGTTGCCAGACCTGCCAACCAGAGTGGGGACTTGTGGTGCCTTTTCTAATCTGCCCATGGTCTCCCATGGACCTATTGGCACACACTTCCTCTCCTCTGAGAAGCTACCCTCTCCAAGGCCTCCTCTCTGCTGAGAGCTGCAGTTGGTAGAATGACCAGCTGCAGAGAGGAGCTATCCTCTCTGCTGAAAGCTGAACACTTGTTCAGACCACCTGCCTGCAGAGAGGATCCACCCTCTCCAAAGCCTCCTCTCTCCTAAGAGCTGAACACTTGATGGGACGACCTGCCTACAGAGAGGAGCTACCCACTGCAGGTCTCCTCTGAGCTGTTGTAACCCTCAAAAAGGCTTCTCTTCATGTTGCTCACCCTCCATTTGTCTGTGTACCTCATTTTTCCTGGATACAGGACAAGAACTCGGGCAAAGACACCACTGGCCACAGAGGTTTCCAGCCAGAAAAGCAACACCCCAAAGATCCTGTAACATAATATTATTATGGAGTATAAAGGAAAAAAGAGGAGACAAACAAGAATCATAAAGGAACAAGAGAAAAATGGTGATGGGGAAAAAGTGAGAAGAGAGGACAGGAGAAGAGAGGAAGGAAAGGCATTAGCATGGGCTGGTAGAGTAGCATTGACATTCTTGAAGTGTGGTGTAACAAGTGGTTATGGTCTAAGCTGTCAAATGAAATCCCCATTATCCTTGTCAAGACAGTTAAGGAGTATTGGATATAAAGCAAGATTAAATGACTTCCTGTGATTCCACATGCAAAGGTACTCAACTTGCCAATATTCCTTCTTGAATTTACCACTGATTCCCAAAGCTATCTTGATTACATACATGCTAGCACCATAATATACTAAAGGCAATTTCTTTAAGTAAGTTTTAAAGTTCTATTTTTTAAGAGCAAAAGAAATTAGGGTACAATTAAACATGTGAGTGTTCTACAAGACTCTGGTATCAGAAAATTTCATTAGGGCATCTGTTTATAAGCAGCCTATATGGAAAATGAGTGAAGCATTAAAAAGTCAATATTGGGGCGTGAATTTACAGAGAAAATTTTAGCTAGCGAGGTTTGTGGTGCTTAGGAGTACCAATGCATTACATTTATATTTTGTTACTGTCATATTTTCTTTGAAAAATAGTTTTTAGCTAGCTGACTTTTAACAAGAGTTATAGATGTATTAAAATTATTAAAGCAGGGGAAATACACAACAGCCAATAATAGATGGGGGTTAGTATGGAGGTAGCAGAGAGGTATTTAGCTTACTGGCAATTAAAGAAATAAAAATAATAATGCATTAACTCTAATTTTCTAATAAAAGAAGCAGAACAGGTTTTCAGATAAGGCAACCTCTCTGACTAGGTCCTTATCTTTGAGATAAATATTAGTGTAATACTTCAT
This sequence comes from Homo sapiens, assembly GCF_000001405.40. Classification (NCBI taxonomy): domain Eukaryota; kingdom Metazoa; phylum Chordata; class Mammalia; order Primates; family Hominidae; genus Homo; species Homo sapiens. Next base: position 126,239,928 of record NC_000023.11, read on the forward strand.
ATAAGAAGTATTAGGCACCAGGCATGATGGCTCATGCCTGTAATTTCAGCACTTTGGGAGACCAAGGCGGGTGGATCATTTGAGGCCAGGAGTTTGAGACCAGCCTGGCCAACATGGTGAAACCCCATCTCTCCTAAAATTTAAAAAAACTAGCTAGATGCATGGTGGCACACGACTATAATCCTAGCTACTCAGGAGGTTGAGGCACAAGAATCTCTTGAATCCAGAAGGTGGATGTTACAGTGAGCCAAGATTGCACCACTGCACTCCAACCTGGGTGACAGAGTGAGACTCTGTCTCAAGAAACAAACAAACAAAAAAGAAGTATTAGGCAACAAATTACTGTGTTGGATAATTTTACCAAATAAAGACGTAAGGGCAGAATTTATAAACTTTTCAACTAATAGTGACCATGGAAAAAAGTAGATAGAAAGTATGAAACTTTGCATTTATCTAGGAATTTCTACAGGGGAACTATAATATTATTTAAATATGCAGCGGTCTGACAACCTGATTTGATAAGAGCACTATAGCACAGACATTCTGTATGTCTCTTATTTCAGTGACTTCTAACCAAGCCAATCATCAAAATAATCAGGAGGTCTTTAAAAATACATATGCCCCATTCTGATTCTTCAATATACTGTTTCAATATGTTTGGGATGGGGCTAGGGAATCCATATTTTTAAAAATCCTTTTGCGTTCTTTTGATTATTTGACATCCTTGCTTGCTTTTTCCTCAGATTGCAACCAGTATGTTTGCTCCTGATGAAATTATTATGTTTACCTGATATTATTTTATCTTTTTTTCTGGATTTCAAGATGTATTATAGATATATTTTTTCCAGATGACCTATAGGAATCCTAATTTCATAAATTTTAAAATGTGAAACAGTAGATCTACCACTGGCCTGAGTTCTTGGAAACTCTACATGGTGGCATGGCTTAAAAAAAATTGTCTGAACTGTCAAGTACACCACTTAAAGAAGGAAGAATAAAATAAATTCTAGTACATTGAATGGCTGAGTAGCCAGAAATTTACCAAGATTTTGTATCACTTTATATATTATATATTATCTCATTTAACCACCAGAGCAATTCAGAGATAGTTATTACTCCCATTTTACATATGAGAAAACTCAAACTTATAGTGGTTAAGCCTTGCTCAAAGTCACACAGCTTATTAGTGGAGCTGAGATCCAACTGTCTTTAAAACCAATGGCTGTTCCATGATTTATAATCTTTTGGGTATATACCCAGCAATGGGATGGCTGGGTCAAATGGTATTTCTAGTTCTGGATCCTTGAGGAATCACCACACTGTCTTCCACAATGGTTGAACTAGTTTACAGTCCCACCAACAGTGTAAAAGTGTTCCTATTTCTCCACATCCTCTCCAGCACCTGTTGTTTCCTGACTTTTTAATGATTGCCATTCTAACTGGTGTGAGATGGTATCTCATTGTGGTTTTGATTTGCATTTATCTGATGGCCAGTGATGATGAGCATTTCTTCAATAAAGACACATGCACACATATGTTTATTGCAGCACTATTCACAATAGCAAAGACTTGGAACCAAGCCAAATGTTCATCAATGATAGACTGGATTAAGAAAATGTGGCACATATACACCATGGAATACTATGCGGCCATAAAAAAGGATGAGTTCATGTCCTTTGTAGGGACATGGATGAAGCTGGAAACCGTCATTCTCAGCAAACTATGGCAAGGACAAAAAACCAAACACCACATGTTCTCACTCATAGGTGGGAATTGAACAATGAGAACACATGGACACAGGGAGGGGAACATCACACACTGGAGCCTGTTGTGGGATGGCGGAAGGGGGGAGGGATAGCATTAGGAGATATACCTAATGTAAATGACGAGTTAATGGGTACAGCACACCAACATGGCACATGTATACATATGTAACAAACCTGCACGTTGTGCACATGTACCCTAGAACTTAATGTATAATTAAAAAAAAAAGAAAAGAAAAGAATAAAACCAATGGCTGTTCCACTATCCCATGGCAGTTTGTGGTAGATAATGTGGTTTGCTACATACTGCGAGTTCAATGATGACAAGTGATAGCATGGTTTAAAATTAGAGCAAAACAGGGTGACTATAGTCAGTACTAATTGAATTGTACATTTTTAAATAACTAAGAGTATACTTAGATTGTAACACAAGGGATAAACTCTTGAAGTTATGGATACCCCATTTACCTTGATGTGGTTATTATGTATCATATGCATGTATCACAATATCTCATATACCCCATAAATATATACACCTACTATGCACTCATAAAAATTAAAAATAAAAAAAAATAGTACACTTAGATTGTAACGCAAGGGATACCCTCTTGAAGTAATGGATACCCCATTTATCTACCTGTGGTTATTACACATTGTATGCCTGTATCAAAATATCTCATATACCCCATAAATATATATACCTATTACACACTCACAAAAATTAAATATAAATAAATAAATAAAAAGTATATGATGCTCCTATATGTTAAACAAAACCTAACATAATTTTTGAACATTAAGTTTATTTATGAATAACTTGCTTTTCAAACCTATTGTAACTAACCTAGTTTCTCTATAATTGTTCTGCTACAAAGACCTTAGGAAAGATTATCCTTTGATCATTTTACAAGGGTAATTATTGCCTTCCTGCCATTGAGAAATGGATCAAACAGATAATATCCGGGCATTAAAAATAAAAACACACAGCAAATAACAACCCCGCTTGAAAAAAAATTAAATTAAAAAAAGTAATCTCAAAATCCCATTAATAAACAATTACAAAAGAGCCAAAATTTAGATTGATCTTGTTAATTGTGTTTATCTCAGTGTGAAGCCATGTCAGCAAGCCTAAAGCCAATGTATTTTGTTAAAAGTACTATTGGCACAGCGGGCCCTGAACATTAAAGAGGATGCTTATTATTATGGGGCTGCAAGTGTGAGAGGACACTAACAATAGACTGAATAATTAATATTGTATCTTAATCTAGAAATGCTGCATTATAAAGCTCCTTATATCCAACAAAATTCCTTAACACCATGTATGTTTCTTAATACTACTTGAATTCAGCATTTATAATCTCTTTAAAATAAAAAATGTCACAATTTAGCGACATTGCCTACTAGTTGTATTCAAGGTTATAACACTAGCGTATTTATCTTTATTAATTAATATAAAAATGATTTTCCCTTTGGATACATCACTGAATGCCTATAGTCTAACAATACAAATGGAGCCCTCTAATCTGAGAAGAATGAAAATACTTGATAGAGTTTCTGGTTCAAGATGACAGACAGCACATATTTATATGTCTTTTTTCTTTTCTTTTCTTTTTTTTTTTTTTTTTGCAAAACCCCTCTGAATAATAATAATGAAGTACTAAAGACATTAAGTCCATAAATTTACTGAATGACATCACTGAATGCCCAATGAGAGGCATCAGAAGACCAGAGCCTTGACATATTTCTGGAACATGGAGAAAGGTGGGACCATATTGATGGACAATATAGAATGGAGAGAGCCACATCTCAGGACATGCACAGTGTGCTGCAGAAGAGGTAAGAGTTGCTTATCATCAGATAAGTGGAAAGGAAATAGAATTATAAAACAACATGATTGATGGCCTACAGCATTGGTCTCCAAGGTTGTGTGTGATCATCCCAGGCAATCCATATTTCATATGGCACAAAAAAACATATTAAAATGTCCAGTTTTACTTTTTTATATCAAAAATAAGAAATATATTATGTTTATCAATATTTTATAAACAGATGTACAGTAATCTATGTATGTGATATATATAATAAAATACTATAAAAAAGAATATAGTAAAATCATTGATTTTTTTTTTGAGACTGGTAGCTTCTGTAAAATGGCTATGGCCATGTAGGTCAGCATCACCTCTATATATGCAGTAGCAGCAGGTTGAGGCTGAAGTGCCATTTTCCAAAGAAATGAGAAACCTGCCAGGAAGAGTTTAGTGCTTTTATTATGGTAGCTGATATTCCAGAGAAGAGCCATCCTCATTTGTTTTCTGCCATAAAAACTAAAACATAACCCACTAGTTTGAAGTTATATGTGACTTCCTTTCAGGATGGAAGCCTGTGAGAAAAGACTACCTCAATAATGTCAGAAAAATTGCTTGGTAGCTACCAGTAATAATGCATCAAGTGCATCTCTTATGAGTATGAGTGGAAAACCAAGCATCATCAGACATTTGAGAAAAACTAGAAGCACACGCAAAAAAATAACTAATCTGGACATTACTTGGAAGAAAATAACTTTTAAAATTTATTCTAATTAATATTCTTGGGAGAATCAAAATGATCCCTACATTCACAAAGAATAGGTTGCTGTAAGAAAAGAGTAATTGGAAAGCAGGAAATAGAAGTTTAAATTTTATTAAAATTAGAATATCAATAGAATAAATTAGAATTAAATGGAAAATAAGTTGCAAAAATATCGGACATCACGATGAAAGTTTTATTGGAAAATAGCAAGAATCACGTGACAGTCATTAGTCAATGAGTATCTGTTAAAATTGAAGAAAAATAAATAAATATAATGCATGATAGGCGTTTTACAAGAGGATAATTTATGTATCAAATTATTAGGTAGATGTTTTGAGAAACAGATGAAGCCTTCATAACTATTTTTGCAAAATTGCCTTTTTTTATTTTTGTGCCATGGAATTTAAATGTATAATGAGGAATATAGTAGAATATCATCTTATAATTTGGTTGGGAAAATTCTGCACCAATCTCTCCTTATAAATCAATGCATTTTCATTCATTTTTTGTTTGAAAAAATTAATTTGGAGAAGGTGGCACACTCTTGTAGTCCCAGCTACGCAGGAGGCTGAGTTGGGAGAATCACCTGCGTCCAGAAAGTCGAAGCAACAGTGAGCCATGTTCCCCAGCCTGGGTGACAGGAGTGAGACCCTGTCTCAAAAAATATGCATATTTAAAATTAAAGCATAAATTGTGTTCAATACAAGATTAAATAAAAAAAGTTTTAGATTTCTTTTCCAAAACAAAATCTCAGTAAAACCTTTTCCATTTTTATCATGACTATAAAATTTTGGTTCATGTTTTAAGTGTTTTCAGTGTAAGCAAACTTTATTTTAAAATATGGATAAAGAAGTCTTATAATAGTATGATTTAAGAATTTGCATAATCTTAGTCATTAGGCAAATAAGGCATATATTTATTATGTCAACAACCCAAAAGGAAGAGAAAATCTGGTCTTCTACGACATAAAAAAAAGAACCTCTACAAAAATGTAATAATCCAAATATGAAGCCAACTAAAATGTGGCATGATTCTGACCCTTAAACGGGGTGTAAAATAAAAGAATTCATTTGACTTTGATACTTGAAGCATCCGCTTTTAGGAAGCTATATCCAATTTCTGTGGAACCAGTCACGTTACTTGGCTCTATTGGGAATAATATTTACACAATTATAATATGGAAAAGTGTAAATATACATATTTATATAATTTTCACAATCTATAGGTAAATATGGACATTTTAACTATATTTAAATTGCAGGATTAATAGGTTATAAATCAACAATTTATTTAAAAAGTTCACATCGACTCAAATAGAGATGTAAAAGGCGGGATAAAGATTGTACTGACTTTCTCATCCGATTTATTAGGGAGTCAATGATTATCATTTAAAATTAGCAAATTAAGAAGTAGGGCTTTATAAAGATAACCAGCAGAAGAATGATAAAACTGATAGGTAGTTAACAGATACTGGAAGATGGAAAGACTTCAGTACGCCACTTAAGCTCAATCGTTCATACTAAAATACAAGTTTAGGAATATTATTTATAGTTATTGTGAAAATCGCCGGCAACAAAAAAGAAAATCACTGGCAACAGAAAACTTATTAAGTAATAAGACTGGTGATGTGAGAAGGGGGTGAATTTTTTAAAACTTTTAATTTAATACATTTTGTACTTTCAAAAATGTATTTCCATGGGCATCTGTTGTTTTCTTTTCTTTATCACCTTTTAATTCCATCCTCCCAAAAGTAACCAATTACAGAATATAAGTAACTAATTATGAAAATGTAATGGTATCCATTCATATCCTTTTTCTACTAATTCTCTCTCTTTCTCTCTCTCTCTCTCTCTCACACACACAAACACACACACACAAATACACCTGATCACAAAAGTTGTTCTTGCTGCTTTATTTTAAATTCAAATAGGAATATACTATTCTCATTACTCTGCAATTTGATTTTTTAGTCATATAATTTTTGACATATATCCAGATCAACATATACATACAGCTCACTGTTTTTATTAGCTGCACAATATTCTATTCAATAGAAAGCCTCAAGGTTAATATTCTGTATCTGTTGAGACTTATCAATACCTGTGTTATACTGATTGCTAAATATTTTGAATATTACCACCAAATAAACTACAGTTTATTCCACTAATTCACTATTGTACATTCGGGCTACCAAAATGCTGAAAAAAATTACACACACACACACACACACACATGCATGCATATCTATATCTATATGTACATACATACTAGTACTTTTATTTTTCTTGTAGGCAAAATTCTTAAAAGAGTGATTGCTGGGCCAAACAATATGTATATATTTCTTTTATTAGTTATTGCAAGATTTTCTAAGTCATGCATTTCTCAATGTCACCAGCAAAAATGGTTAATTTTTACCATTGGGTAGGTTTAAACAAAAATTACATTGCTTTAATTTAATTTTCCCTGACCACTCATGATATTGGATATTTTTTTCAAATAAATGTTTGCATTTTTTATTTTCTTCTCTGAATTGGCTGTTCATAATCTTTATGCATTTTTCTGTTTGGTAATTAGTTGTTTTCTTATTAATAAGCACAAGATCTTTTGGCTAGTCATATTAACTAATTAACACCAAACTTAGAAAATAATTGAGACATACTTTAAAAAACATTTGTTGTTTGTCTAAAATTCAAATTAAACTGGGATTCCTCAAGACTACTCAGTTTGTTGTTTGAATTTTATGATATTCTTTCCCAAACTATTAGGGAATTGAATTTGTTAATCATTTTAATGGCTTTTATTTTTCTGTCTTGTTTAAGTAGCTTTTACCCTTTCCATAGTCTGAGCATTTCCTAAGTTTTGAGAAATATTTTAATTATTTTACTTGTTACATTTAGTTATCTGTAATTAGTTTTTTGATTATGTCAAGTAGTGTACTTTTTTCTCAAATGAATAGTCAATTTTTCCAGCACCATTAAGTAAATTATGCTCTGTCAACTGAATTGAAATGTCAAATTTGTCACATTTTAATTTTCAATATTTCTTAGATATATTTTTACACTATTATGTTCCACAACTAATCTGTCTATTCTTATCCACCTAACTTATGAGTAACTTAGCTATCTGATATAGAAGGTCTTAAATCAGTAATTCTATTTTGTTAATTTTAATATAATTTTATTGGCATTTAATGATATTTATTGTTCCATGTAAAATTTATATTATTTCATTCAATTTTAAAACATTAGAATGAAAAAAATGTGTATATTTAATGTGGAAAAAAATCAAGGTTTTCATGACATTAACGATCCCTCTGAAGAAAAATGCTATATATTATCATTAATTCTGGTGTTTTTAATGTTGTCCTGCAAGATCTGATTATTTAATCATGTAATGTTTTCTGATATATTTTCACATATCTTAAAATTTACCCCTTTACAGTGTTCTATCCAGAAGTTTTAGTATATTCACAAAGATATACAACCATAACCACTAATTAAAAAATAATTTTTTCACCCCAAGAAAAACACCATACCCATTAGCAGCTATTAATTATCCATTCCTCTCTGCCCTCAGTCCTTTACAACCACTAGTCTAATTTCTGTCTCTATGGATTTGCCTATTCTGGATATTTTATGTAAATTGAATCACATAATATGTGGTATTTTGCTAATGGTTTCCTTCACTTAGCATGTTTTTAAAGTCCATCTTTGTTGCAATATGTATAAGTACTCGATTTCTGTTTATTGCTGACTAGTATTACACTTCATGACTATATCAAATTTTATTTATTCTTTCCTCAGTTGCTGAGCATTTGGGTTCATTCAATTTTTGGATATTATGAATTATATCGCTATGAACATTAATGTACAGGTTTCTGTGTGGACATTTGTTTTCATTCGTTTTGGGTAGCAGTGGAATTGCCAGGCCATAGGTAAGTCAATGCTTACATTTTAAGGAATGTATTTGTTGTCCTGTATTTACTCATTAAAGAACATAATAGTTAAACAAAAAGGAAAGGAGGGAATTCGTTTTTCCTCTGAGACTAATGCCATGCCTTTAACAGTTAATCCCATCATTGTGTTACGGCCTAATTATTTTGATTAGTTCTATGATTAATTTCAGCCATTTTAGACACAACTATCATATATTTTATGTGGCTATGATTAAGATGAAAAATACGATGTGAGCATATATTTTAAAATGTCATTCACATGCATTTAGAGTAAAATTAATGTAAAATAAGGTGAATTAGCTACTAACATAATTTTTTGTTAATGAATCTCTGATACTCAGTCTAGAACTTGGAGAGGTTTTACGTGTTGCTATTGTTGCTGCTCTTTTATTTTGAAATAATTTTAGACTTAGAGAAAACTAATAAAATCATTAAGAGTTCCTTAATTTCCCTCAGCCAGCTTCCCCTACAATTAGCACAACACATAGCAATAGTAAAATGATCAAAACCAATAAATTAACGTTGGTACAATGCTATTAATAAAGTGCAGAACTTACTTCTATTGTACTCGTGTTTTAACTAATGTGTTTTTTCTCTTCCAAGATTCCTTCTTCTGCTTCATTACCCTCAGCCTGTCAGACTTCGTCAATCTTTCTATGCCTTCCATGACATTGACTCTTTTTAAGAACACTGATCAGTTATTTTGACATATATGTATTTGTTTTTTCTCTTGTAAGTTACAAAACAAAGTTACAAAACAAACCTGATGTCACTTGTACTAGGCAAAGCAATACCTTTCATGCATACAGAGAGTTGCAAAAACAAATGATGAAGATCATAAGTCTAAAGAGTATTTATATCTGGAAGTTCTTCCTTCAGAGTGGAGAAAGACAGAAAGCAATTAAAAATACAGTGTGCTCCCTAATATTTATTCTTGTGCACTCTTCAGAAAATTCAGCCAGAGTATCAGAAACTTATTTATTTTATGCATCTGAATTGAACAACTCATGATGGATCTGAATGGATAATGAATAATATTCTCTAAAGATTGAAATATAGTAATTAAACTGATTAAAGAATAATTCTTACATTTGAAAAGGAGTAAGAAGTGAATATGAAAATAACCATGTTTGCATTTTCAGAGAATGACTCCTCTTGTTAGATTTATTTCTCCAAAATAAATTGTAAAGTTAAAGACCTTCAGAGCTCTTTTTAAATGAAATGCCTGTTCCCCGTGAGAAAAATCTTGAGCCACTACTCTGGGCACTGGGCCAGGTAGTAGCCTCTGATATTTTTGACCTTCCTTTCTTGGAATGGAAATTCTGCCCTACAGGTAAAGCTGGACAAAGGATGACTGGGGCCTCAGTATTCTCTTCCTACTACACATTGAGTAGAGCCTCTGTCCTATGGAGAAGGGTTAAGAAAGGGAAACCCTGAACTCTCAGCTGTACTCACCAGGAATTTAGCTTCTTCAAGTTGGACTTTTAGGGAATCAGAAATGCTGATAGACTACCCCTCTCAGTGATATATGGGGGATGCTCTTTATTGGGTGCTCAGAGGAGAATGAGCCCTGCCTTCCTGGTCCCATCTTCCCAGAATGGTAGTTTAATCAACTTGAGCTGGAGGGTGTGGTGGATCATGACTCAAATGCCACAGACCTCCTCTTTTCATAACTTATTTTAGTACTATTTTCCTTGGGCGGCTGTAACAAAGTACCACGAAGTATTGCTGACTGAATGCCTTAGAAGAAATGTATTGTCTCACAGGTCTGGAGACTAGATGTCTGAAATCAAGATGTCAGCAGGGTTATTTCCTTCTGAAAGTTGTGAGAAATAATCAGTTCCATGCCTTTTCTCTCATATTTTGTTTGCTGAAATCATTGGCATTCGTTGCCATATGGAAGCTTCATCTCAATCTCTGCCTTAGACGTTTTTTGTTTGTTTGTTTTTTGTTTTTGAGACAGTGTCTCACTCTGCTACCCAGGCTGCAGTGCAGTGGTGCAATCTCGGCTTACTACAGCATTGACCTCCCAGATTTAAGCAATCCTCCCACTTCAGCCTCATAAATAGTTTGGGCTACAGGTGAGTGCCACTATGCTCAGCTAATTTTTGTTATGTTTGTAAAGATGGGGTTTCACCATGTTGCCCGGGCTGGTCTTGAACTCCTGCGTTCAAGTGATCCACCCCCCTTAGCCTCCTAAATTGCTGGTAGTGTTTACATGTGTTCTTGTCTGTGTACAAAATCACAATCATTCTTTCAGCAGAGACACAAATCATTCTGGATTAGGGGCTGCCCTAATGAATGCATCTTAAGTAATTGCATCTTCAACAACCTTATTCCCAAATACGGTCACATTCTGACGTATGGGTGTTGTCTTACACCTATGAATTTTAGGAGAAGACAATTTAATCTATAACAATATATTTTCACGAATTAATGCTTCCTCATTTGCTGTATACTTTTATGACAATTTCTAGAAAGTTGAAATTGTTATTTATTTTCATAATTTTCAGCAGCCTTGTTTGTTTCACAGGGGAATGCATCCACAGAGCTCCACATGCTACCTCCCTGGAAATAAAGTTCTGTGGAACAAAATTTTAGGGAGAAAACATGACTTACACAATTTAGAAAAAATAATTAATACTTCAAGATTTAACAAAAAAGACATTTGGGAAATATTTCATTAATAAGGAAATGTTTCACCACACTCTTTGATCATTACAGTTAATTAAGGTTTTGTTGTATCCATCTAAACATTTCTACAAACATCAAACATGAAAGGCATCTATTTGATGAGCCTTTTCAGTTGGGCTTATTGATAGAGTTATGTGGTTAAGAGGTAGAACAGAACATTCCATCCAACCGACCGTCACAATTATCAGAAACTAAATCTGCCCTCTTAAGTTTCCACGGTTAATGCGTATTTTTATTCACCATGCTGTGCTACATGACATGATTGAATTATTCTTCACTCACAGAATTAGTCTTCATTTAACAATAAAGTTAATCTATTGTCTACTGTTAATGTTCAACAATAGCTTAGATTTCTTTATATTAAATCATAATTGTGTCTCCAAGATGAGCTTTTCAGAAGAAAACATGTATTACAAATTCCATAGAACATGGTAAATTACTGTAATGACCCCAAATCAATTATAACAAAGCTACGTATATGTTTATCATCTTTTTGAGACACAGCCACTATATATTTGCTTTATTTCTGTAAACTATTGTAAGATTTTTGATATTTGTCAAGATAAATTAATACAATGATTCTAATTTTAAAAAAACAGTACATCAGGGGAAAAGTATCACCATCCAGCATTGCATAGTTGCTTTAAAATATTTGATAAAACATGTTAAAATAATATTCAAGACTGACCTATATGTGGGCATTGTAAATATAAATGACTACATTTGGCAATATTGTAAAGCCTCTTACTCTAAAGTGTTTTCAAATATATTTTCTTTTACATAATTTCACTGTAATTGATGGCTCTGTGGTACATTGCAGTAATAGCAACAAAAATGTTACAGCTTCTTAAGTCAAGTGGTAGGGACTATTTTTCAATCCTTTGAATAAAGGATGGTCATGTGCCTTCTACGATCCCAGAAAACATTAGCAAATACAACATAAGCAGAAAGTTAAAAAGCATTGTCACATTAGGTCTTGTTTTCTTGCTGTATTTGGAATCCTGAGACTTCCATATGAAGAAGCTAGAACTAGGAAACTATACATACATACATACATATACACACACACACACACACACACACTTCAGTAAACAGTCTGTCAGCTACCACACATGCGAGTGAGATCATTTATTTTTATTTTTTAATTTTTATTTTAGATTCAGTGCACATGTGCAGGATTGTTATATAGGTAAATTGCCTGTCACAGAGTTTTGGTGTAAAGATTATTTGTCACCCAAAGAGTAGGCATAATAACTCATAGGTAGTTTTCCAATCCTCTACCCTCAAGTAGGCCCCAATGTCTGTTGTTCCATTCTTTGTGTCCATGTGTACCCAATGTTTAGTTTCTACTTATAAGTGAGAACATCCAGTATTTGGTTTTCTGTTCTTGCATTAGTTCTCTTAGGATAATGGCTCCCGGCTCCATCCATGTTGCTGCAATGGACATGATCTCATTTTTTATGGCTTCATAGTATTCCCTGGTATATATGTACTACATTTTCTTTATCTAGTCTACCATTGATGGGCATTTAGGTTGATTTAGTGTCCTTGCTGTTGAGAATAGTGCTGTAATAAACATACGTGTGCGTGTGTCTTTATGGTAGAACGATTTATATTGCTTTGGGTATATACCCAGTAATGGAATTGTTTCATCAAATGGTAATTCTGTTTTAAGTACTTTGAGAAAGTTCCAAGTTGCTTTCCACAATGGCTGAACTAATTTACATTCTCACTGGCAGTGTATTAACGTTCCCTTTTCTCTGCAACATCACCAGCATCTGTTATTGCTCGAATTTTTAATAACAGCCATTCTCAATGATGTGAGATGGAATCTCACTATGGTTTTAATTTGCATTTTTCTTATGATTAGTGATGTTGAGCATTTTTTCCTATGCTTGTTGACTGAGCGTATGTCTTCTTTTGAAAAGTGAGTGTTCATGTCCTTTGTCTGCTTTGTAATGGGGTTGTTTGCTTTTTGCTTGTGACACTGTTTAAGTTCCTTATACATTCTGGATATTAGATACTTGTTGGATGCAGTTTGCAAATATTTTCTCCCATTCTGTAGGTTGTCTGTTTACTTGTTGATAGCTTATTTTGCTGTGCAGAAGCTCTTTAGTTTAATTAAGTCCCATTTGTCAATGTTGCTTTTGTTGAAATTGTTTTGGGCATCTTTGTCATGAAATGGATGCCAGGGCCTATTTACACAATAGTACTTCCTAGATTAGCTTCCAGGATTTTTATATTTTTAGGCTTTACATTTAAGTCTTTAATCCATCTTGAGGTGATTTTTGTGTACGGTTTAAGGAAGGGGTCCAATTTCAATCTTCTGCAAATGGCGAGCCACTAATCCCAGCACCATTCACTGACTAGAGAGTTCTTTCCCCATTGTTTGTTTTTGTCGACTTTGTCAAAGATCAGGTGGTTGTATGTGTGAGGCATTATTTCTGGGCTCTCCATTCTGTTCCACTGGTCTACGTGTTTGTTTTTGTGCCAGTACCATGGTGTTTTGTTTACTGTAGCCTTGTAGTACAGTTTGAAGTCAGGTAATGTGTTGTGTCTGGCTTTATTATTTTTGCTTAGGATTGCCTTAGCTATTCAGGCTCTTTTTTGGTTCCATATGAATTTTAAAATTTTTTTTAATTGCGTGAAGAATGTCATCAGTACTTTGATAGGAATATCATTGGATCTGCTTTGAGTCGTATGGCTATTTTAATGATATAGATTCTTCCCATCAATGAGCATGGAATATTTTTCCATTTGTTTGTTTCATCTCTGATTTTCTTCGGCAATATTTTTTAATTCTCATAGTGGAGATCTTTTTCCTCCCTTGTTACCTGTATTGCTAGGTATTTTATTCTTTTGTGACAACTGTGAATAGGAATGCATTCTTTATTTGCCTCTCAGCTTGGATGTTGTGGATGTACAGAAATGCTACTCATTTTTGTACATTGATTTTGTATCTTAAAACTTTGCTGAAGTTGTTTATCAAATCTAGGAGCATTTGGTCAGAGACTATGAGGTTTTCTAGATATAGATTTATACAGTCTGCAAAGAGAGAGAGTTTGGCTTTCTCACTTCCTATATGGATGCATTTTATTTCTTTCTCTTGTCTGATTGCTCCAACTAGGACATCTAGTACTCTGTTGAATAGAAGTGGTGAGAGTGAGCATTATTGTATTAATCTGGTTCTCAAGGGGAATGCTTCCAGCTTTTGCCCATTCAGTATGATGTGGCTATGGATTGGTCATAGATAGCTCTATTTATTTTGAGGTATGTTCCTCCAATTCCTAGTTTGTTGAGGGTTTTTAACATGAAGGGATGTTGAATTTTATAGAAAGCATTTTCTGCATCTATGGAGATGATTGGGTGGTTTTTGTTTTTAGTTCTGTTTATGTGATGAATCACATTTATTGATTTGTGTATGTTGAACTAACCTTGAATTTCAGGAATAAATCCTACTTGATAGTGGTAAATTAGCTTTTTGATATGCTGCTGGATTTGGTTTGCTAGAATTTTATTGGGGAATTTTGCATCTATGTTCATCAAAGATATTTGTTGTGTTTCTACAAGGTTTGGAATAGGTATGATGCTGGCCTCCTCCTTCTCTGTGATTTTTTGGAATAGTTTCATTAGGAACAGTACCAGCTCTTCTTTACACATCTGGTAGAATTTGGCTATGTATCCTTCTGGTCCTGGGGTTTTTCTGGTAGGGAGGCTTTTTTATTACTGATTCAATTTCAGAACTCATTATTGGTCTGTTCAGGGATTCAATTTTTCCTGGTTCAATCTCGGGAGGTTTTATGCTTTCAGAAATTAATCAATTTTTTCTAGGTTTTCTAGTTTGTGTGCATAGAGGTGTTCATAATAGTCTCTGAGTTTTTTTATTTTTATTTTTTTGCATTTGTGTGTGGTCAGTGGTGATGTCCCCTTTGTCATTTCTCATTGTGTTTATTTGGATTGTCTATTTTTATTAGTCTAACTAGCTGTCAATCTCATTTATTATTTATTTAAAAACACCTCATGGATTTGTTGATCTTTTGTATGGTTTTTCATGTCTCAATTTCCTTCAGTTCAGCTATAATTTGGATGTTTCTTGTCTTCTGCTATCTTTGGGGTTGGTTTGCTCTTGTTTCCCTATTTTCTCTAGGGGTAATGTTAGGTGGTTAATTTGAAATCTTTAAATGCGTGTGTGTGTGTGTGTGTGTGTGTGTGTGTGTGTGTGTGTGTGTGTTTGTGGGCATTTAGCACTATAAAATCCCCTTTTAATACTGCTTTAGATGTGTCCTAGAAATTCTGGTATGTTGTATATTTTTTCTTACTAGTTTCAAATAATTTCTTGATTTCTGCCTTCATTTTATCATTTTCATAAAAGTCATTCAGAAGCAGTTTGTTTAATTTCCATGCAATTATATGCT
The DNA here is from genome assembly GCF_000001405.40 of Homo sapiens. Classification (NCBI taxonomy): domain Eukaryota; kingdom Metazoa; phylum Chordata; class Mammalia; order Primates; family Hominidae; genus Homo; species Homo sapiens. The sequence goes on from NC_000023.11 coordinate 126,255,323, forward strand.
TTTGAGGGATTTTCTCAGTTTTGATTTATACTTTTTAAACATGTTTAAATATTCAATGTATTGGTTTTAAGTACATTTATATTGTTTTGCAACCTTCATCACCATCCATCACCACTACTTTCTTATTTTTGAAAATTGAAACAATGTTCCCATTAGACAGTAACTCCTCATTCCCCTCTTCCAGCCCTTGGCAACTACCATTCTACATTTTCTCTTTATGAAATTTGACTACTTTAGATATCTAATCCATATTGTAGCATGTGTCAGAATGTCCTTTTTTTTTTATTTTACTTTACGTTCCGGGATACATGTGCAGAACAAACAAGTTTGTTACATAGGTATACATGCGCCATGGTGGTTTATCGCACCTATCAACTCGTCATCTAGGTTTTACGTCCTGCATTTATTAGGTGTTTTTCCTAATGCTCTCCCTAAACAGGCCCTGGTGTGTGTTATTCTCCTCTCTGTGTCCATGTGTTCTCATTGTTCAACTCCCACTTATGAGTGAGAACATGCGGTGTTGTTTTCTGTTCCTGTGTTAGTTTGCTGAGGATGATGGTTTCCAGCTTCATCCATGTTCCTGCAAAGGACATGATCTCATTCTTTTTTATGGCTGAATAGTATTCCATGGTGTTTACATACCACATTTTCTTTATCCGGTCTTTCATTGATGGGCATTTCGGTTATTTCCATGTCTTTGCTATTGTGAATAGTGCTGCAATAAACATACTTGTGCATGTGTGTCTATAGTAGAAGGATTTATATTTCTTTGGGTATATACCCAGTAATGGGATTGTGGGGTGAAATGGTATTTCTGATTCTAGATACTTGAGGAATAGCCACACTTTCTTCCACAATGGTTGAACTAATTTACATTCCCGCCAATAGTGTAAAAGTGTTCCTATTTCTCCACAGCCTTGCCAGCATCTATTGTTTTCTGACTTTCTAATAATTGCCATTCTGACTAGCGTGAGATGGTATCGCATGGTGATTTTGAGTTGCATTTCTCTAACGATCAGTGATGATGAACTTTTTTCATATGTTTGTTGGCCACATAAATGCCTTCTTTTGAGAAGTGTCTGTTCATATTCTTTGCCCACTTTTTCTGATTTCCGTATTTATTGCACCATGGTCTGAGATTATGTTTGATATGAATTTTTTATTTGCTGAAAATTGTTTTGTCTGATTGTGTTGTTGATTTTATAGTATGTGCCATTCGAATATGAGATGTATGCATGTTTTGAATGGAGAGTTCTTTAGATGCCTGCTAGCTCCATTAGGTCAAATGTCAAGTTTAGGTCTCGAATATCTTTGCTAGTTTTCTATTTCGATTATCTCTCTAATAGTGTCAGTGGGGTGTTGAAGTCTCACACTATTATTGTGTGGTTATGTAAGTCTCTTCATAGGTCTCTAAAAACTTGCTTTATAAATCTGAGTGCTCCTGTATTGGTGCATATATTTTTAGGATAGTTAAGTCTTCTTGTTGAATTGAATACTTTATCATCATATAATGACCTTCTATGTCTTTTTGATCATTATTGGTTTAATGACTGTTTTGTCTGAAATTAGAATAGCAACCCCTACTTTTTTTCTGTTTTTTTGTTTGCTCGGCATATGTTTCTCTTTCGCTTTATGTTCAGCCTATCTGTGTCATTGGATGTGAGATGGGTTTCTTAAAGACAGTATACAGTTGGATCTTGACTCTTTATCCAACTTGCCACTCTAAGCCTTTTAATTGGGGCATTTAGTCCATTTACATTCAAAGTTAATATGATTTGTATGGGTTTGATTGTGTCATCATGTTCTTAACTGGTTATTATGCAGACTTGATTGTGTGCTTGCTTTATAGTGTCAATGGTCTATGTACTTAATTCTGTAATTGTGTAGCGTTCTTCAAGTGAGATTTTTTAGCTCTATCAGATCAGTTTGGTTCTTTCCTAAAAATGATCATTTCGTGTTTCATCTCCTGTACTGTTTTATTGTATTCCTTGGATTGGGTTTTGACTTTCTCCTGAATTTCAGTGTTCTTCATTCCTCTCCATATTCTGAATTCTCTTCTGTCATTTTAGTCATTTTAGCCTGGTTAAAACCATTGCTGGGGAACTATTGCAATCATTTGAAGGTGAGAAGACATTCCAGCTTTTTCAGTTTCCAGAGTGAGTTCTTATGCTAATTCTTTCTTATCTGTGCAGGCTAATGTTCCTTCACTCTGGGAAGTTGCTATCCTTTGATTTTTTTTTTTTTTTTGCTTTTATCTTATTTTAGGCCCTTGCGGGTTTGATTGTGGTGTAGGGTGGGTTCAGTTGACTAGCTTCGTGCCTGGAAGATATTTAAGGGTTCAAGGCTCAGCTCAGGGTTCCAGGACTGCATGCTATAATTCTGGGGTCTGGTATCAGGCCCCCAGCTTTGTTCTCTGACCCCTCAAAATTAAGAACCTGCTGTGCTAGAGGGGCCAAAGTCTTCCCAGTCCACTTATCGCAACACTCTGGTGGGTGGTGCCAACCAAAGTGCTTTGTTGGGGCAGTGGCAATGGGAGCCATGCTTGCTCACATGTGTCAGCCACCGCAGAAGTGAGGCAAGGTACATGCATGTTGACAGTAGTAGGGTCCAGGTAGGAGCAGGGCTGAGGCATTCCTGTGTGTTCCTGTGCCGGTGGTAGCAGGGTCATAATGGCATAAGTGGAACACTTTTGTGGAAAGTATTGATGGTGTCTGTGTTTGCATTTGTGCTGGTGGCAGTGGCAGCAGGTGCAGGACACTGGCAAGTGCCAAGCTGCTGGCCTCTGTGTGTGCATTTGCACCAGTGGCAGTGGCAGTGTGAAGGGGCAGGGTCACTGGCATTAGTGTTTTCTTTGCGCTGCCAATCACAGCAGAGCCTAGATACCTACCTGCATGTCAGTGGGGGATGGTGTAGTGGGATGTGCTCACACAGGCAGTAGTGATATGGCAGACTGGGCATGCACATGTACACTGGCCAGGGATTGGAGGTGAGGTCTGCCTATGTGCACTGGGAAACCAGTGGGTGAGGTGTCTGTGGATGAGTGTGTGCTGGCTAAGTGGTGTGGCAGAAGCTACAGTGAGGGAAGCGTGTGTGGATCGGCTGGTGTGTGTTGGCTGGGGTCTTTCTGCTGGAGCTCTCCAACAGTCAGGCATGGTCTGCTGGTAAAGCAGCTATACTGAAGGCTCTTGGGAAGCACCCTGGTTGGGCATCCGGGTTTGTGCTGCAAGCAGACACGGCCAGGCTGGGATCTGAAGAGAGGCTAGCGAACATGGAGACAATGAGTTAAGACTGGGCCTGTCTCGCGGGCAGGAACACTCTGCTCTTTCCAGGTCCAACAGTTACCCTAAGGCTAGCATCTCCTAAAGGAGCATGACAAGCCTTGGGGGATGAAGGTCCCTCGCTGTGCTCCACTGCAGATGTTTCTACACCAAACCATCTGGACTCTACACAGGCTGGAGTCCTGCCCCTATCACCTGTCTAAGCAACTCTCCCTGTCAGCTCAACTGTCCATGGGGGTTGTGCAGTTTCCTGCTGCTAGGATTCTGGAGATACATGGGGAGAGGGTGGCACTCCTCCCCGTTCAACTCACCCTTTTCCCAGGAGCTGCAGGGGCCAGGAACAAGTCCTGGTGCTCAGCAGCACCATGCAGGCTTCCCAGTGTCCTCTCCCTTCAGCCCAGCGTCTGCACCCTCCCTCTGTCCACTCTCAATTCCTCTGAAGATCTGCTTGGAATGTGCCAGTCTTCTCAATGTCCCAGTGTCTCAGTGACAGATGTTCCTCCTGGCTGCATCTAGTTGGCCATTTTTTTTCTTAATATTGGGGTCATTTTAGATCAAACAGTAATTAGTTTGACAACCACCTGATCATCGCTATGTGATAGAGTCTATCAGAGATAAGAAAAGATATTCTAGACATGAAAAATTTCTCAACAGACCAACAGAATCTAGGGCTAAATAAAATGGCTGTTGTTTTAATCCACTAAATTTTGGGCTAGTTTGTTATGCTGCACAATCTAACTGATGCAAACTGGAAAAGAGACAACAGATACCTGGAGATTAGAAATGGGACAAAATTTGATAGGTCTCATAATCTGCATAGACCACAAACATAGTCTATGGTAACACCCCAAAATGATAGTGCACATAGTGAAGCACAGAAGCAGATAATTTCTTTATGTCCAAGGGATTATAGAGGTCTTGGACAATATAGATGATAACCAAACTTACAAGGAATTAAATTCTAGTCCCCCCCACCCCGGCTTTTCTAGCATTATGCATCTGAATGCTGGTATAACTCTAGGGGTAGTGTAAAATATCCAATTATTAGTGAAATTGATTTTCTCACTACTTTGGTGGAATCTTTGATATAAACTCAAATATAGATTTGAGTTTATTAAAAAATTTTTAACTTCTGATTTTGCACAAGGATTGCATTGAATTATAGAGGGTTATCATTACAAACTTACTTAGCAAATTACCATCTTCTTTCCCAAGAAGGGAGTAATGCTAAAACATATTTTGTTATATATTATCTTCTGTTTACTTGGGTCATGCATTTTTCTAATCAATCCAAATATAAAACTTTGCAGGTCCAGTGCCTTGCTGATAGCAGTAATGACATTTATAGCACCTAGTTAATGGAATTATAAAGAGAACTCTGTTATACCATAATGATTCAGATGTCTGGAGGGTTTTATATTTTTTAAAAAAACTTCCTTTGAGAATTACAACCCATTCCATTTAATTTTCTATACATCATCCATCTAGAATCCATGATACTTGGCTGCTTCTTTATGCGTGTCCATAAGTTTCAAATGATAAAAATAGAATAATTATGTGTCAGAAACATTTTACCTGAAAACGTACATCTGATGGAAAGCATAGTGATTAAGAGTGTAAAGGGTAGAGTCAGGCTGCCTATGTCAGAACTAAGGCCCCAAGACTCAGTTCTGGTGACCTTAGGAAAGTCACTTAACTCTCTATATCAGTATCCTTATCTATAAGTAGGGATATCTGTAGTCCTACCTTATAAACTTGTTGTGATAACTAAGCCTTTATATGAAAAAAGCATTTAAAATATTATCTAATAGTAAGCATTGTAGAAGTGTTGCTTACTATTATTGTCATATAATTCCCTAGTTCTTATATGATCTTTAATGCAAGAAAATCTTCATTTGAGTACTAGAAAATAATTGACCAATTTATAATTATAAATTATCAAATCAAGATATTCCAAATAACTATTATGGGCCTAGGAGTATGATAAGAATTAGCGGGAGTGCTTGTGCCTAAAATACGGTTTTTGCTGTCAAGAAGCTAAGATCAGAGAAATGACATAATTAAACATTTTCCACTCCTAATATAGACAACTAAGCTCTGGTGATGTAGAGAGGGAAAATATGTGATACTTATCCTGATGGAGAATCTAAATAAAAAGATAAACCCATAAGATATATGTTAAATTTCTAATAAGCTGTAAAAAACTAGGTAATATAGAGTTACAGAAAGTGAGTGTGGTGAAGAAAATTTTACAAAATAAGTACAACTCATGACAAGTTAAAGAATATATTACATATAAGTACTAAATGAGTGGTAGCAACAGTAAGAGATTATTAGACTACCAGCAGCCTGAAGATTGCATTGCAGAGGATTCTGTGAGGACAGGTATGGTGGTTTCTCACACATAAGGTCAAGAAGAGTTTGGTCTTCTGGTGTTGTACATAGAAATAAATACGAAGGGAAGATAAAAAATATTTCAAAGAAGCGTCTTCCATGGTATCATATATGATTCTAAAATTTCAAGACTAAGAAACTGAGAGAATACTTACCCTGTTCATTATATGTTTCTTTCAGTTAAGTAGGACTAAATAGATACATGTCAAAATGTTAATATTTGGGTGTGTGTGTGTGTGTGTGTGTGTGTGCATGTGTGTGAGCTTTTTAACATTTGCCTTTTTTTTTCCAAGGAGGACCCATATTACTTTCATGAGCAAAAATTATTTTACTAAGAAGTAATTGATTAACATTTTATTTTTTGCACAAGATGGTAGACAATCACAAATGACACTTGATACACATTAGTTTTATTGTATTTCATTTAAATATGTCCAATACTTCTGTTATTCTAAGTAAAGCTGACATGCCAAATAGTTGAAATAAAACAGAAAAGTCTTTTTTTCTAAATCTTGTTTGTTGACCACATGATCACTGCTGGAGATATCTCATAATCATGTAGTCTGATGCCACATACATCCAGATTCTTTAATCTCAACTGATTCTCCAGTGCCTATAACTCCCCTATGCATCTCTACTCAGTTCTTTCATATTCATCATAGCAGTGATTTAAACCTTTACCAGTCGCTTCAACTTCCTACTCCTTTCCTTTCTCCCTTACAATAGTGAGAAAGACCTCACTTTCTTTCTGCAAACAAACTTACATCTTTGTCTGCATCCATATGTGTATCTTCTTCTGTCACATTGTAAGGGGTTTCTTTCTTCTTCTGTAAGGCTAATACCTTTCTCAAGTATAAGCCAGGTATTATTCTCTTCTGCTTTCACGATAACATTTTTTTTTTTTTTTTGAGATGGAGTCTCACTCTGTTAACCAGGCTGGAGTGCAGTGGCCCCATCTTGGCTCACTGTAACCACCTCCACCTCTTGGGTTTAGTAGAGACGGCGTTTCACCATGTTGGCCAGGCTGGTCTCGAACTCCCGACCTCAAGTGATCTGCCTGCCTCAGCCTCCCAAAGTGCTAGGATTACAGGCATGAGCCACCACGCCTGGCCCTCAGATAACTTTTTAAAGATCATCCCCTCCCCCGTCTTTACCTTCAATACTTTATTTTCTAAAGCATCCCTCTCTAATGCTTTTGTGTGTGTGTGTGTGTGTGCAACTGGGTCTCACTCTGTCACCCAGGCTACAATGCAGTGACACCATCATGGCTCACTGCAGCCGCAATCTCCTGGCCTCAAGACATCCTCCTGCCTTAGGCTCCTTAGTAGCTGGGATTACAGGTGTGTGTGAGCCACTGTGCCCGGCCCCCTCATGGCTTTTAATATGCTCAACTTTCACCTCATCAAAAATAACTTATCCTCTAGTTGCTAACCTTTCTCCTTTATATAGCTAAACTTTTGAAAGTTATTTCTTTACTTACTATATCCACATTCTTTCAGCTATTCAAATCTGCCTGTCTCTTTAGAGATACCACTGAAACTACTCTGATAAATACCCCCCCAATATTTGTATTATTACATACACAAAATACTTAAAATACTTAAAAGATATTGCGAGTTCCATTTCAGATCACGGCGACAACGCCAATATAGCAATCAAGTGAATCACAGACAGTTTTTGGTTTTCTAGTATATGTAATAGTTATGTTCACATTCTACTGTAATCTATTGAGGTTGGGTTGGCTGTGGCAATTTCTTCAAATAGAAAACAATGAAGTTTACCACATTGAGTGACTCCTCCTGTCAAGAAATATCTCTCTGTAGCATGTGATGCTGTTTGATACCATTTGATCCATAGTAGAACTTCTTTCAAAACTAATTAATCCTCTCAAACCCTGCTACTGGTATATCAATTAAGTTTATGAAATATTCTATATCCTTTGTCGTCATTTCAACAATGTTCACAATATCTTCACCAGGAGTTGATTCCATCTCAATAAATCACTTTATTTGCTCATCTATAAGAAGCAACTCTTCATCCATTCACATTTTACCATGAGATTGCAGAAATTCAGTCCCATCTTCAGGCCATACTTCTAATTCCAGTTCTCCTGCTGTTTCCACCATATCTGCAGTTATTTCCTCCAGCGAAATCTTGAAACCCTCAAAATCATCCATGAGGGTTGAACCAACGCCTTCCAAATCCTGTTAATGTTGCTATTTTGACCTTCTCCTGTGAATCACATATGTTTTCAATGACATCTAAATTGGTGAATCTTTTGTATTCCTTACGTAACAAGGCTGGAAAGTTGAAACTACTCTTTGATCCAGGGGCTGCAGATTAGATGTTGTGCTAGCATGCATAAAAACAACATTAATTTCCTTATTAATCTCCGTTAGAGTTCTTGGGTGACCATGTGCATTGTCAATGAGTAAAAATATTTTGAGAGGAATCTTTTTTTCTGAGCAGTAGGTTTCAACAGTGGGCTTAAAATATTCATTAAACCTTGCTGTAAACAAATGTACTGTCATCCTGGCTTTGTTGTTTCATTTATAGAGCACAGGCAGAGTAGATTTTGATAATTCTTACAGGCCCTAGGATTTTCAGAATGGTAAAGGAACATTGGCTTCAACTGGAAGTCATCATCTGCATTTGCCCCTAAAAAGGGAGTCAGCATATCCTTTGAAGCTTTAAGCTAGGCGTCAACTTCCTCTCTCTAGCTATTAAACTCCTAAATGGCATCTTCTTCAATATAAGCCTGTTTCATCTTCATCAATGGTCTTAGCCTGATCCTCTGGCCAAATTGCTGCAGCTTTTACATCAGCACTTGCTACACTACTTCACCTTACACTTTTTTTTTTTTTTTTTTTTTTTTTTTTTTTTTGAGACGGAGTCTCGCTCTGTCGCCCAGGCCGGACTGCGGACTGCAGTGGCGCAATCTCGGCTCACTGCAAGCTCCGCTTCCCGGGTTCACGCCATTCTCCTGCCTCAGCCTCCCGAGTAGCTGGGACTACAGGCGCCCGCCACCGCGCCCGGCTAATTTTTTGTATTTTTAGTAGAGACGGGGTTTCACCTTGTTAGCCAGGATGGTCTCGATCTCCTGACCTCATGATCCACCCACCTCGGCCTCCCAAAGTGCTGGGATTACAGGCGTGAGCCACCGCGCCCAGCCCACCTTGCACTTTTTAAGTTATAGAGATAGCTTCTTTCCTTAAGCCTCGCGAACCAACATCTTCTAGCTTCAAATTTTCTTCTGCAGCTTCTCACCTCTTTCAGCCTCCAAAATATTGAAGAGAGTTTGAAACTTGCTCTGAATTAGATTTTGGCTTAAGGGAATATTGTGGCTGGTTTGATCTTCTATCTAGATCACTAAAACTTTCTCAATATCCACAATAAGGCTGTTTCACTTTCTTATGTGTGTTTTCACTGGAGTAGCACTTTTAAATTAATTCAATAAATTTTCCTTTCATTTACAACTTGCTCTCTCAGCTTTTGACATGCTTTCCTCACTGAGCTTAATCATTCCTGGCTTTTGATTTAAAGTGAAAGATGTGTGACTCTTCCTTTCACTTGAAAACTTAGAGGTCATTGTAGGGTTATTAATTGGCCTAATTTCAATATTGTTGTGTCTCAGGGAATAGGGAGGACCATGGAGAGGGACAAAGATGGGGAAATGGCTGGCAGTTGGAATAGTCAGAACACGCACAATATTTAGTGATTAATTTTGTCATCCTGTGTAGGTGTGGTTTGTGGTGTGTCAGGAAAAATATCAATAGTAACATCAAAGATCACTGATCAAAGATCACCATCACAGACACAAGAATAAAGAAAAAGTTTGAAATACTCTGAGAATTAGCAAAATGTGACATCAAGACACAAAGTGAGCACTTGCTTTTGGAAAAATGGTGCCTGTAGACTTGCTGGACACCGAGTTGCTACAAACCTTTAATTTGTAATATGCTATATCTGTGAAGTGCAATAAAGGTGGGGGGGAAGCACAATAACACCAGGTATACCTATAATAATCACTTTCTAATTTCTGTATTTCTGTTTTTAATTTTAATTTCCGGGTATATGTGCAGGATGTGCAGCTTTGTTACATAGGTAAATGTGTGCCATGGTGGTTTGCTGCACTTACCACCCCATCACCTAGATATTAAGCCCAACATTCATTAGCTATTTTCCCCGATGTTCTCCTGCCCCCTGATCCCCTTGATAGGCCTCAGTGTGTGTTGTTCTCCTCCTTGTGTCCATGTGTTCTCATTCAGCTCCCACTTATGAGTGAGAACATGCAGCATTTGGTTTTCTGTTCCAGCATTAGTTTGCTGAGGATAATGGCTTCCAGATGCATTCATTTCCCTACAAAGGACATGATCTCATTCCTTTATACGCAATCCCAGCCTTGCATCCCGGGGATGAAGCTGACCTGATCATGGCATAGTATTTCATGGTGTATATCTACCAGATTTTCTTTATCAAGTCTATCATTGATGGACATTTGGGCTGATTCCATGTCTTTGCTATTGTGAATAGTGCTGCAGTGAGCATGCACGTGGATGTATCTTTATAATAGAATGATTTATATGCCTTTGGGTACATATCCAGTAATGGAATTGCTGGGTCAAGTGGTATTTCTGGTTCTAAGTCTTTGAGGAATCACCACACGTCTTCCATGATGGTTGAACTAATTTACATTCCCACCAACAGTGTAAAAGCATTTCTACGTCTCTGCAGCCTTGCCAGCATCTGTTGTTTCTTGACTTTTTAATACTCGCCATTCTGACAGGCATAAGATGGTATTTCATTGTGGTTTTGATTTTCATTTATCTAATAATCAGTGATGTTGAGTTTTTTCTTCATATGTTTGTTGGCTGCATAACAGTCTTCTTTTGAGACGTGTCTCTTTCTATTCTTTGCCCACTTTTTAATGGGGTTGTTTGTTTCTAACTTGTAAATGTGTTTAAGTTCCTTTTAAATTCTGGATATTAGACTTTTGTCAGATGGATAGATGATTGTAAAAATTGTCTCCCATTTTCTAGGTTGTCTGATCACTCCAGTGACAGTTTCTTTTGCTGTGAAGAAGCTCTTTAGTTTAATTGGATCCCATTTGTTAGTTTTTGTTTTTGTTGCAATTGCTTTTGAAATTTTTGTCATGAAATTTTTCATGTGCCTATATCCTGAATGGTATTGCCTAGGTTTTTTTCTAGGGTTTTATAGTTTAGCGTTTTACATTTAAGTCTTTACTCCATCTTGATTTTTGTATAAGGCTTAAGGGAGGGGTCCAGTTTTAATTTTCTGCATATGGTTAACCAGTTCTCCCAGCACCATTTATTAAATAGAGAATCCTTTCCCCATTGCTTGTTTTTGTCAGGTTTGTCAAAGATCAGATGGTTGTAGATGTGCAGTCTTATTTCTGAGTTCTCTATTGTGTTCCATTGGTCTATATTTCTGTTTTTGTACCAGTACCATGCTGTTTTGGTTACTATACCCTTTTAGTATAGTTTTATTTTATTTTATTTTTATTTATTATGCTTTAAGTTCTAGGGTACATGTGCACAACGTGCAGGTTTGTTACACATGTATACATGTGCACAATGTGCAGGTTTGTTACACATGTATACATGTGCCATGTTGGTGTGCTGCACCCATTAACTCGTCACTTACATTAGGTATATCTCCTAATGCTTTCCCTCACCCCTTCCCCCACTCCACAACAGGCTCCAGTGTGTGATGTTCCCCTTCCTGTGTCCAAGTGTTCTCATTGTTCAATTCCCACCTATGAGTGAGAACATGCAGTGTTTGTTTTGTTCTTGTGATAGTTTGCTGAAAATGATGGTTTCCAGCTTCATCCATGTCCCTACAAAGCACGTGAACTCATCCTTTTTTATGGCTGCATAGTATTCCATGGTGTACATGTGCCACATTTTCTTAATCCAGTCTATCATTGATGGACATTTGGGTTGGTTCCAAGTCTTCGCTATTATGAATAGTGCTTCAATAAACATATGTGTGCACGTGCCTTTATAGCAGCATGATTTATAATCATTGGGGTATATACCCAGTAACGGGATGGCTGGGTCAAATGGTATTTCTAGTTCTAGATCCCTGAGGAATCATCACACTGACTTCCACAATGGTTGAACTAGTTTACAGTCCCACCAACGGTGTAAAAGCTTTCCTATTTCTCCACAACCTCTCCAGCACCTGTTGTTTCCTGACTTTCTAATGATCACCATTCTAACTAACTGGTGTGAGATGGTATCTCATTGTGGTTTTGATTTGCATTTCTCCGATGGCCAGTGATGATGAGCATTTTTTCATGTGTCTGTTGGCTGCATAAATGTCTTCTTTTGAGAAAAGTGTCTGCTCATATCCTTCGCCTGCTTGTTAATGGGATTGTTTGTTTTTTCCTTGTAAATTTGTTTGACTTCTTTGTAGATTCTGGATATTAGCCCTTTGTCAGATGAGTAGATTGCAAAAGTTTTCTCCCATTCTGTAGGTTGCCTGTTCACTCTGATGGTAGTTTGTTTTGCTGTGCAGAAGCTCCTTAGTTTAATTAGATCCCATTTGTCAATTTTGGCTTTTGTTGCCATTGCTTTTGGTGTTTTAGACATGAAGTCCTTGCCCATGCCTATGTCCTGAATGGTATTGCCTAGGTTTTCTTGTAGGGTTTTTATGGTTTTAGGTCTAACATGTAAGTCTTTAATCCATCTTGAATTAATTTTTGTATAAGGTGTAAGGAAGGGATCCAGTTTCAGCTTTCCACATATGGCTAGCCAGTTTTCCCAGCACCATTTATTAAATAGGAAATCCTTTCCCCATTTCTTGTTTTTGTCAGGTTTGTCAAAGATCAGATGGTTGTAGATATGTGGTATTATTTCTGAGGGCTCCTTTCTGTTCCATTGGTCTATATCTCTGTTTTGGTACCAGTACCATGCTGTTTTGGTTACTGTAGCCTTGTGGTATAGTTTGAAGTCAGGTAGCATGATGCCTCCAGCTTTGTTCTTTTGGCTTAGGATTGTCTTGGAAATGCAGGCTCTTTTTTGATTCCATATGAACTTTAAAGTAGTTTTTTCCAATTCTGTGAAGAAAGTCATTGGTAGCTTGATGGGGATGGCACTGAATCTATAAATTACCTTGGGCAGTATGGCCATTTTCATGATATTGATTCTTCCTATCCATGAGCATGGAATGTTCTTCCATTTGTTTGTGTCCTCTTTTATTTCGTTGAGCAGTGGCTTGTAGTTCTCCTTGAAGAGGTCCTTCACATCCCTTGTAAGTTGGGTTCCTAGGTATTTTATTCTCTTTGAAGCAATTGTGAATGGGAGTTCACTCACGATTTGGCTCTCTGTTTGTCTGTTATTGGTGTATAAGAATGCTTGTGATTGTTGCACATTGATTTTGTATCCTGAGACTTTGCTGAAGTTGCTTATCAGCTTAAGGAGATTTTGGGCTGAGATGATGGGGTTTTCTAAATATACAATCAATCATGTCATCTGCAAACAGGGACAGTTTGATTTCCTCTTTACCTAATTGAATATCCTTTATTTCTTTCTCCTGCCTGATTGCCCTGGCCAGAACTTCTAACAAACACTACGTTGAATAGGAGTGGTGACAGAGGGCATCCCTGTCTTGTGCCAGTTTCCAAAGGGAATGCTTCCAGTTTTTGCCCATTCAGTATGATATTGGCATAGGCTTGTCATAAATAGCTCTTATTATTTTGAGATATGTCCCATCAATACCTAATTTATATATAGCATGATGCCTGCAGCTTTGTTCTTTTTGCTTTGGATTGTTGTGGCTATACAAGTTGTTTTTTGTTTCCATATGAATTTTAAAATAGTATTTTCTAATTCTGTGAAGAATATCAATGGTAGTTTAATGGGAATACCATTGAATCTCAAAATTACTTTGGGCAGTATGGCTATTTTCACCATATTGATTCTTTCTATCCACGAGCATGGAATGTTTGTTTTTCCATTTGTTTGTGTCTCCTCTGATTTCCTCGAGCAGTGGTTTGTAGTTCTCCTTGAAGAGGTTCTTCACTTCCCTTGTTAGCTGTATACTTAGGTATTTTATTCCCTTTGCTGCAATTGTGAATGGGAGTTCATTCATGATTTGGCTTTCTGCTTGTCTGTTGTTGGTGTATAGGAATGATTGTGATTTTTGCACATTTATTTTGTATCCTGAAACTTTGCTGAAGTTGCTTATCAGTTAAGAATCTTTGGGCTGAGATGATAGGTTTTTCTAGATATTGGATCACGTCATCTGCAAACAGAGACAATTTAACTTTCTCTTTCTGTTTGAATATGCTTTATTTCTTTCTCTTACCTGATTGCCCTGGCCAGAACTTCTAATACTATGTTGAATAGGAGTGGTGGGAGAGGGCATTCCTGTGTTGTTATGGCTTTCAAGGGGAATGTTTCCAGCTTTTTCCCATTAAGTATGATATTGGCTGTAGGTTTGTCATAAATGGTTCTTATTATACTGAAGTATGTCCCTTCCATACCTAGTTTATTGAGAGTTTTTAATATGAAGGGATGTTGAATTTTATTAAGGACCTTTTCTGCATATATTGAGATAATCATGTGGTTTTTGTCTTTAGTTGTGTTTATGTGATTAATTATGTTTATTGATTTGTGTATGTTGAACCAGTCTTGCATCCTGGGGATGCAGCTGACTTGATGATGGTAGATAAACTTTTGATGTGTTATTGGATTCAGTCTGCCAATATCTTGTTGAGGATTTTTACATCAATGTTCATCAGAAATATTGGCCTGAAGTTTTCCTTTTCTGTTGCATCTCTTCCAGGTTTTTGTATCAGGATGATCCTGGCCTCATAATGAGGTACAGAGAAGTCACTCCTTTTCTTGTTTGGAATAGTTTCAGGAGAAAAAGTAGCAGCTACTATTTGTACCTCTTGTAGAATTCAGCTGTAAATTTGTTTGGTCCTGTGTTTTTTTGTTGTTGTTTGGTAGGCTATTTATTATTGCCTCAATTTTAGAGCTCATTATTGGTCTTTTCAGGGATTCGAATTCTTCCTGGTTCAAACTTGGGAGGGTATGTGTCCAGGTATTTATTCATTTCTTCTAGATTTTCTAGTTTATGTGCATTGAAGTGTTTATAGTATTCTCTGATCGTTGTTTGTATTCCTGTGGGGTCAGTGGTGATATACACTTTATCATTTTTTTATTGTGTCTAATTTCTTCTTTTTTTTTCTTCTTTATTAATCTAGCTAGCAGTGTATCTATTTTATTATTTTTTTCATAAAATCAGCTCCTGGATTTGTTGATTTTTTTGAAGGATTTTTCATGTTTTATCTCCTTCATTTTCACTCTGATCTTGGTTATTTATTGTCTTCTGCTAGCTTTGGGGTTTGTTTGCTCTTGATTCTCTACTTCTTTTAGTTTGGTATCAGGCTCTGGGGTCAGCATGATGCTGGCCTCATAACATGAATTAGGGAGAAATTATGTTAGGATGTTGATCTGAGATATTTCTAACTTTTTGCTGTGGGCATTTAGTGCTACAAATGTATCTCTTAACACTGCTTTAGCTGCGTCATACAGATTCTGGTACAATGTCTCTATGTTCTCATTAGTCTCAAGGAACTTCTTGATTTCTGCCTTAATTTCATTATTTACCTAGGAGTCATTCAGGAGCAGGTTGTTCAATTTCCATGTAGTTGTGTGGTTTTGAGTGAGTTTCTTAATCTTGAATTCTAATTGGATTGTGTTGCGGTCTGAGAGACTGCTTGGTATTATTTCAGTTCTTTTTCATTTGCTGAAGAGTATTTTACTTCAAATTATATGATAAATGTTAGAGTTAAGTGTCTCACGGTGCTGAGAAGAATGTATATTCTGTTGTTTTTGGGTGGAGAGTTTTGTAGATATCCGTCAGGTCCACTTGATCCACAGCTGAGTTCAAGTCCTGAATATCTTTTTTAATTTTCTGTCTTGATGATATGTCTAATATTGACAGTAGGGTGTTAAAGTCTCCAACTTTATTTGTGTAGGAATCTAAGTATTTTTGTAGGTCTCTAAGAACTTGTTTTATGAATCTGGATGCTCCTGTATTAGGTCCATGTATATTTAGATTAGTTAGCTCTTCTTGTTGAATTGAATCCTTTACCACTATATATTGCCTGTCTTTGTCTTTTTTGATCTTTGTTCATTTAGAGTCTGTTTTGTGAGAAACTAGGATTGCAACCCCTGCTTCTTTATGCTTTCAATTTGCTTGATAGATTTTCCTCCATCCCTTTATTTTGAATCTAAGTGTGTCTTTGCACATGAGAAGGGTCTCATGAAGACAGCACAACAATGGGTCTTGACTCTTTATTCAGCTTACCATTCTGTGTCTTTTATTTGGGTCATTTAGCCCATTTATATTTGAGGTTAATATTGTTATATTTTAATGTGACCCATCCTATCATTATGATGCTAGCTGGTTATTTTTAAGACTTGACTTGTTAATGTAGTTGCTTCATAGTGTCATTGGTCTGTGTACTTCAGTGTGTTTTTATAGTGGCTGGTAATGGTTTTTCTTTCCATATTTAGCGCTTCCTTCAACAGCTCTTGTAAGGCAGGCCTGGTGGTGATTATTTCCCTCACCAATAGATTGTCTGAAAAGAATCTTATTTCTCCTTTACTTATGAAGCTTAGTGTGGCCAATATGAAATTCTGGGTTGGAAATTCTTTTCTTTAAGAATGTTGAATATGGGACCCAATCTCTTCTGGCTTACAGGGTTTTTGCTGAGAAGCCTGCTGTTATTCTGATGAGATTCCCTTTGTAGGTGAACTGGCCATTTTCTCTGGCTGCCCTTAACATTTTTTCCTTCATTCCGACTTTTGAGAATCTGATAATTAGCTGTATTGAGGTTGATCTTGTCATGGCATATCTTACAGGGATTCTCTGGATTTCCTGAATTTGAATGTTGGCCTGTCTTGCTAGTTTGGGGAAGTTCTCCTGGATGATAACCTGAAGTATGTTTTCCAATTTGGTTCCATTCTCTCTGTGTCTTTCAAGTACACCAGTCAGTCATAGGTTCAGTCTTTTTACATAATTTCATAGTTCTCAGAGGTTTTGTGTATTAACCTTTAATTCTTTCTTTTTTTCTCTATTCTTGTCTGTTTGTCTTATGCCAGCAAGATATTCTTCAAGCTCTGAAATTTTTTCCTCCACCTGGTCTATTTGGCTATTGATACTTGTTATTGCATTATGAAGTTCTTGTGTTATATTTTTCAGCTCCATTAGGTCATGTATGTTCCTCTCTAAACTGGTTATTTTGGTTAACAATTCCTGTAATGTTTTATCATGGTTCTCAACTTCTTCGCATTGGTTTAGAACATACTCCTTTAGCTAAGCAAAGTTTGTTATTACCCAACTTCTAAAGCCTACTTCTGCCATTTCATTTATCTCAGCCTTAGTCCAGTTCTGTGCTCTTGTTGGAGAGGTGTTGTGATCATTTGGAGAAGAGGCATTCTGGTTTTTTTGGTTTTCAGCGTTTTTGCATTGGTTCTTTCTCATCTTTGTGAGCTTATCCACCTTCAATCTTTGAGGCTGCTGATCTTTGGATGGGGTCTTTGTGGGGGTCTCTTTTTGTTGATGTTGTTGTTGCTTTCTGTTTGTTTGTTTTTTCTTTTAACAACAGCCAGGCCCCTCTTCCATAGCGATTCTGCAGTTTTATGGGGGTCTGCTGGAGACCCTATTCTCCTGGGGCCCTCCTCCTTCCTCTGGGAACTCCATCCCAGAGGGGCAGTGACCTAATGCCAGTGGGAACACTCCTGTATGAAGTGTCTCGCGACGCCAGTTGGGGGTCTCACCTAATCGGGAGGCACAGGATCACAGACTCACTTAACACAGCACTCTGGCTGCCCCTTGGTGGAGCGGGTGCACTGTGATGGGGGAAATCCACCTCCTCCTGACTTCCCGGCCTCTTCAGAGCCAGCAGGCAGCAGAGACTAAAGTCCACTGAACCACGGAGACCACGGACACTTCCCCCCAGGGGCTCCATCAGAGGTAGATCAGAGTTCTGTCCATAAACCCCAGGCTGAAGTTGCTGAAATTCCCGCAGGGAGGCGCTGCCTGGTGAGAAAGAATGGATCCAAATAAGCAGTCTGGCCATGATCTGCTACAGCCACTGTGCTGCTCTGTGGGGAATTCCTCTTAGTTCAAATCGCCCAATCTCCCTGGCACCAGCAGGGGAAAACGACCAACTGGAGCTTCAGTGATGACAGCTGCCTGTCCCCCCAGGAACTCGAAGGTCTTAGGCAGTCTCCAGCCTCCTGCTGCTGGTTGCAACCCAAGCGGCTGCCGAGCAGCTGCACAGCTCTGAGCTTGGAACCCAAGGCCCTGGCGGCATGGGCTCACTAGGGTACCTCCTGATTCGCAGGTTGCAGATATCCGTGGGAAAAGCATGGTTTCCTGGGTGGGGTAGCACAATCACTCACCACCTCCCTTGGCTGGGGGTGGGAGCTCTGCTTGCCCCATGTGGCTCCTGGGTGTGCCATCACTCCACCCTGCTTTTCCTCACTCTCCGTGGGTTAAGCCAACTGCCTAGTCAGTCCCACTGAGAGAACCTGGATACCTTAGCTGAAGGTGCAGGATTCACTCACCGCTTTTGTTCTTCTTGGTGGGAGTTGCTGATGGCAGTTGCTTCTAGTGGGCCATCTTGGCACCTTAACTTGTATTTCTTGATGTCTAACAGCATTTGAGTATTGTCTATTCTTGTTTTACATTGTTTTCTATAAAACTCTTCTGTCTTTCATCTTATTTATATGGATATTCATATCTGCCTTACTTATTCTCAATTTTCTTTGCTGGCTTATCTTTCTCTATATATAAAATTATTTCTTAGGTCCACAGTTTATTTCACTTTGGGTACTCTTTCCTAGTTTCAGGCTTCAGTTACCCAATTCTATATCTCCAGCCCGGAACTTTATTCTCCTGAGTTCCAGATCTATGTATTTTTCTACTTAATGTCCTCTTCACCTGGGTGTTGCTCAGTCACCTATACCTCAAAATTTATCTGTCACTTTTATACGCCTATTTTTATGGGATCAGACAAGAGTAGTATGGAAAATAGATAATTAATTTTTAAGGCAGTTTTAAAAACGATAATTTTATATTTTAAATATTTACTTAAGAGAGTTTGTGCAAATTTCCAAAAACATTAAAAATATCAGTGAAAAGTTAGTTAGTTTCTCTCTTTTTTTCTGTAACTACTTAGTTTTTCACTCTAGGGATAATCATTTGACTAATTTGCTACAAATCCTTACAGAGATATCCAATGCATATGCAAACATTTTAATTAAAGAGGTTGATCTGCTCCCCACCACAATTATTCAGCTATTCTTACTGAGTTGGTGTTATGAGCTCTTTGGGGTCATGATAAATGACTTCACGATCTTCATATCCCAAATTCCTGGCACAGTGTATGGCACATAATAGGAACTCCATAAATACTAATTAAATAAAGGATAAATTGTGCACTCTGCTAAAATCTGACAGTACACCAATAATCAGACAGATTAAGCAGTGATTACATTAATGCATAGTGAGTTTTCAGGAACAACTTGCCAATTATAATTGTATTGATTTTAATTTAGCTGGGAATACGTTATTCAGTCTTACCCCAAGCTGTATATAATTTCGTCCATTGTACACTTTAATGTTTATAAGTATTAATAGTAACATTCAATCAAATTACTGTTATTTGAAATAAGCATATAAAGAGTAATGCTATAATCATTAATTAAGGTCACCAAGTTTATAGGAAATATAGCTGTTCAGATGGCAAGCTCCCCTGAATTTTAGTTTTAGTAGCTAGGGGGATAAAATAACAGTTTCCGGAGTACACTGGCCTTGAAAACTAAAACCAATAAAGTGGTGACAAATATCAATTGTCTTAAGATGATGATCTGAACCAGCCTAGTTAGAATATGTTGTGGTGTTCACTGAAGACATCTGATTAAACTTGCCTTTCTCCTTTATTTTTTATGTATAATTTAATTTGTTCTTATATTTACAAATCTGAAGAAAAAGTCCTTTAGTATTCACCTGATTTTTTTAGGTCACTAGGAGAATATAAAGCTATAATGTGCTCTTAAAAAATCACAGATAGTAAACTCCAAGAGCACGAGTTTTTGTAGGCAGTTAACCCTTCATTCTTCATCCTCCCCAACTCCTCATAAATTATTTACTTTACTTTAAAAAAATATTCATCATGCAAGAAACATAAGGAGAGAGGGCAGCAGCGTATTATGAAGGAGGAAAATATTGTTATTTGAGGACAGATATCACTTGGAAATGTAAAATGTACAGCTGTCCCTGATGTAAAAAGTATGTAGAAGTTGTGTTAAATGAAGCTTCCAAAGTTCCATGGAGACCTGGTCTCTGAAGTCTAGACATTCCATTATGTCACCCAACATAGCACAACTTGACCTTGTTCTTCATTATAGAGCATGTGACTTTTGAAATGCAGTCTCAATTAGTTTAGGGGACAAAAATACTAATTTCTAATTTAGCTCATTATACAGGGCCATCAGATTCCATCAATTATTTTCCAAATAATTTGTTCCCTTTTGTCAGATCCTTTTCTTCAACTTGACTTTCCTCTATCCAAATTGATTTATAAAGGAATAAAAAATAACAAAAACACACAAAAAAAATCCTTTGGGGCAGAAAATTTTTACATCAATTCTACATAAAGTTATTATTTTTTCTTTAATTTTAAAATACTGACATGAAATATTTTCCAGTGCCTCTGAGTTTTGTGAATTAAAGGATAAGGGATTCAGTACATATACTTGTGTGTGCATGTGTGTGTGTGTGCATTTGTGTGTATGCACATGTACCATATCTGTTCCTTTTTATCTATTCCAAAAAGAATTCAGTTTAAAAAATAGAAGTATACTGAATTATGGTTGTATCCAATATGACCACAATTGAAGAGTGGTGTCATCTGCTCCAGTAGTCATGAGAAGTTCATATTTTCCTACTAATTTTTCCTGGTATTTAATCTGTATCATATACCTGGTATTGCCTCTCTTAATAAAAAATTTTATTCTAGCTAAGAAAATACGCTGGATTATTTCGAAGAAACAGTATATTTAAATTCCCTGTGTACTGTACAGTGTTAATTCTCATCTAGGAAGAGGCCAGATTTGCACAAAGTGGTTCGGTTCAGAGTTACCATTCTCTAAGTTAGTGTGCATATGCATGTATGTGTGCATGAATTTGTGCCTGCTTTTTCAAAAGGATCCCCAAGAGAGTCTAACAGAGTTCCTGTACCACTACCCTCATCTAACGATATGCTGTTATTCAAGTTTGAAACAGTGCCTTGGAAACAATGTAGTTGGTCATCTCTACAGGTAAACAGAGGAAAACAAGAGGTGTCTTTGTGTTATCTAGACTTGCCCTGGCATAGACCAAACTCAGAGCTGGGCATGTTATACATACTACCAGCTCTGAAAATGTTTGAGAAAGAGAATGAAAGACAACTAAAGAGAAAGACAATTCCAATGATGTTTTCTTAGGTAAGGAAGCAGATCACTGTTGAAATTTAAATTTTTAAAATATATGCCAATATTTCAAGTTTCCATTAAAAGAATTAGGGTGGGCATTAAGTTGAGAGGCTACTGAAGTAATATGGATGCAAAATGACTGTGTCTTTGACCATGGTAGTAACAGGGGAAGTAGTGAGAAATGGTCATATTCTGAACATAATATGAACATAGAACCAAAAGGATTTGCTGTGATATCTTATATGGCATATGAAATGGATAAAAGAAACCAAGACAACTTCAAGTTTTGGTACTAAGGGACACAATGGAGTTATTGGGTTATATGGTAGTTGTAATTTTAATTTTTTAGGAACCTCCAAACTGTTTTTCTAATGTCTGTACTCATTTACATTCCCACCAGCGGTGTACAAGTGTTCCCTTTTCTTCACATCCTCGCCATCACTTGTTATTTCTTATATTTTGATGATAGCCATCCTACCAAGTAGGAGGTGATATCTCACAGTAGTTTTAATTTGGATTTCCATACTCAAAGCAAATGAAATCAGCACTGTGTAGGGTTATCTGTGCTTCCATGTTCATTGCAGCATTATTCATAATAGCAAAGATATGAAAAACCTGTGTTCATTGATGGATGAAGGATAACAAAAATGTGTTATATTGTACAATAGAATGTTTGTTATTTAGCCTTAAAAAGAAGATCCTGCCATTTTCAGCAACATGGACATTACACTAAGGAAAATGAACCAGATGCAAAAAAGAAAATTCTGCATGTTCTCACTTATATGTGGAATTTTTTTAAAAAGTCAAATACATAGACATAGAGAGTGGAATAGAGGTTACCAGGATAGAGAGGAGGATGGAAATGGGGAGATGGGAATCAAAGGGTATAAAGTTACAGTTATGCAGGATGAGTCTAGAGAGCTAATATGCCACATGAGGAGTAAAGTTAATAATATTGTGTTGTATACCAAAAATTTGCTAAAAGAGTAGAATTTAGGTTTCCTTATAAAAAAAAATAAGTAACAGTATGAGATTATAGACATGTTAATTTGCTTGATTGTAGTATTATTTCACTATTTATGTATATCATTATCTTGCACACCTTAAAATGTACAATAAAAAGTATAGAATAGCATGACCATTAACCGAGTTAGGGAAGCCTAGTGGAGGAGCAGGCTTTTGATTTAATAGCTTTCACCACATTAAGTTTGAAAAGAGTTTGAAGTTAATCTAAATAACTTAAGTCTATTCTTTTTATGTGCATAACAACCAATCCCCAAAAGTAGCTTTTTAAAAATAACAACAAATTAATTACATTTTATGATTTTTTAGGACAGAAATTTAAACAAGACTTGATGGGGTGATTTTTGTCATTCATGTGGCATTGATGAAGGTCACTTATTGGTATTCATCTGGCAGATAGGCTGCTTAGAGGTTCCAGGAAAGCATCATTTACATATTTGGCATCTTGGCAGGAATAGGTAGAAGGGAGGACTGAGGTGAAATTGTCAATCATAATACTCAAAGCTAGCCTCTCCAGCATAACAAACTCAGGGCAGCGGATTTCTTATATGGTGACTCAGTGCTGTGAGAGAGCATTCCAGTGAACAAGGCGAAAGCTGCATGATCTTTTAAGATCTACCTTTCGAAGACACATAGCATCATTTCTGCAGTTCTCGATTAGTCAAATGAGACACAAGGCAACTTAAGGTGAAAGGACATATTTTACATAATTTGATGGGAGAAGTGTCAAATAATTTGCAGTATGTTTAAAGAAGTTTCCATTAAATTCACTGGTAACTTGAGTTGAGTAGAGAATTGGCCCAAGGTGTCTTAGGTTTAAGAGGATAATTATGAATGATCTCTGGAAAGCAGACTAAAATGGGGAAAAAAATAGAAGCATGCACAGCAATTAGAAGACTATTACAATAATTAAGGTGATAGATGATGGCTTTGGCCAGAATGGTAACAGTGCAACGGTTAAGAAGCTTTTGAATTTTGGATACAGTTCGGAGATAGAAGTGATGAGAATTGAATGGGAAAGTAGAGAATAGCAAAGTAGAGAAGAATCAAGGTTGACTTCTCGGTTTTAGCGTAAGCAACTGAATGCATTTAACTTAGACATAGACTATTGCAAGACTAATAAGTTTCAAAATGGGAAAGTGAACATCAGCAGCTCAGTTTTTCTTCATGTATGGATTGAGATCCCAAGTAGATATCAAAATAGTAACTGGTTATGAGTCTGGATTAAAATGCAATGCTCAGGGCTAATTATATAAAAGGTCAAAATATAGGTAACTTTTAGCATGAGACTGAGATTATCAAGGAATTCAGTCTAAATAGAGAAAGTAAGAGGATACATAAAGATTGATTTGCAAAGAATTCCAAGAAGAAGTGAATCAAGCAAAAATATTGAAAAGGAGTAGCCAGTGAGGAAAGAGAAAAACAGTGTTGTATCCTCGAATCCTAATGAAGAAAGTGGAGCCATGGTCCCGGGTGTCAAATATTACTAATAGATCTAGTGAAATGTAGATTAAGAGTTGAGGGTCGTGCACGGTGGCTCACGCCTGTAATCCCAGCATTTTGGGAGGCTGAGGTGGGTGGATCATGAGGTCAGGAGATCAAGACCATCCTGGCCAACATGGTGAAACCCCATCTCTACTAAAAATACAAAAATTAGCCAGGCGTGGTGGCGTGTGCCTGTAATCCCAGCTACTGGGGATGCTGAGGCGGGAGAATCGCTTGAACCAGGGAGTTGGAAGTTGCAGTGAGCCAAGATCACACCACTGGACACCAGCCTGGTGACAGAGTGAGACTCCATCTCAATAGTAATAATAATAATAATAATAATATTAATAATTGACTGAAGTCTTTGGCAATTTGGAGGTCAATGTTAACATTGAAAATAATAGCTTTAGGGTATGGATGGGAATGGAAATCTGTTACTGGGAAACTCTATCATGAATTTGAGGAAAAAGATAACATGAATGCGTAACTCTTTGGAAGAGTTTTCTGTGAAAAAAAGAAATAATACGGAGATAGCTGAGGATTGGTAAATCATTTTTAAACGTGGGAGATACACTACTTCTTTGTGATCACAGCAAGAAAGAATAAATTTGGGCTAAATCAATTCATGTAATGTTATTTTTAACCTTTTAAGTGAATATTTTAAAGGTATATTTGAATTTAATACATATTATTGAGTTGACAATGCAGTCGACATAGACCTGTGGCCTTGCATTTGCCAAAACCCATCAAAAAATGAGCTCACGTTGACTGGGCGTAACCATGAATATTCAGTGAAGGAGATATGTTCCACTGAAATATGCTTTTGTCAGAAAACTTATTGTAAATACACAATCTTAGAAAAGAGGAGTTAAGAAATATGATAGTGATTAGTGACAACAAATTAAGCTTTCTCTTGCCTCATATCTAGTCATCAAATTTTCTCAATGTTCTCCATAAAATATCTCTATCTTTTTTTAATTGCAATTCCCACTTTTATCGCCCAATTCTGACACTCTTTCTCCTTTTCCTGAATTATTACAGGAGATTTACCATCTCCCTGCAAGTTGATTCCTGTACCTACTTTCTAGTGCTCTGCTCTGAATGTATCTTACTTAGAAAAGTTCTAACTGACTGTTTCAAGCCTATCACCATATAACCTAAGTGAGCTTTTAGCTGTATGTTTGACTAGTCTTCTGCTCTTCTACACAATGACCTTTATACTCCAGCTAAAAGTAACCAGTCATTCCCCAAATCTGCCTCGAATTTCCCTGATTATGTGGCTTTCCTCATGACTACTGTCTAAGTACATTGAAACAGTGTTATGAGAAGTAGTACAGGGAAGTGAGAAAGAAGGAATTGGAGGAGGAAGGTGATCAGTGTAGTCATTTGTTAAATGCTAGATTTTCCACTTTCAGGTGTGCTGCCATGGGCAGGGTTTTTGATCCCTGGGAGCCCCTTTTCCTAAAGCATAACATAACTTGTTAGTATTATTGTGAAGATATAAGCGGTATGTATGAAGAATCTTGCAAGTATCTAACAAACTCAACATGTTCAACAAGTCATAGCTGTTACTATTTCTATAGACATGATTTAAATTAAGCTTCCCCTAAGAAATCTTCCCAGGTCCCTTTGCTGTTTTTCCACAGTCTTTTGTTGGAATATTTATTATAGATCTTTCATAATCTCACCTGAGCTGTAGTTACTTGTGCATGAATTTTTTTTTCTAATGCTAGGATGTATAGTGTTATTGATAACAGCTCTGACTCTGGAATCAGAGAGATCCGAATGAAAACACTAGCTCCTCTACTTACCACTTATGAGACATTGAAAGATAATCCTTTTTGTCTCAGTTTCTTCATCTATAAAATGCAAGTAATAATAGCAGCTAACCATGTGAATTTTTGTAATATATGTAAATGCTAGGTACAGTGTGTGAAATACAGTAAAAGTTGAATAAATGTTAAATATACTTGATTGAAAGCCCTTAAAGGATGGAAAATATACTTTGTCACCTTTGTTCTTTCCTTACTATGCCTAACACAATGTGTTGTACATTCTAGGTGTTCAAAATGCTTGTTGAAGGCTGGACATGGTGGCTCACGCCTGTAATTCCAGCGCTTTGGTAGGCTGAGGCAGGTGGATCACCTGAGCTCAGGAGTTCAAAATCAGCCCAGGAAACATGGCTAATCCGACTCTACAAAAAATACAAAAAATATCTGGGCATGGTGATACTTGCCTGTAGTCCCAACTACTCAGGAGGCTGAGGCAGAACAATCACTTGAGCTGGGGAGGTGAAAGTTGCAGTGAACTGAGATTGTGCCATGGCACTCCAGCCTGGGGAATAGAGTGAGTGAGACCCTGTCTGGAAAAAAAAAAAGTAAAAAATTAAATAACACCAAATATTTGTTGAATTTCAATAATATTGATTAAAACAACACTGAATATGCCAATATTATTCATCTTTTGACTTCGAGGCAAAGAGAAGAATGATTGAATTAGGGCTTGAAACAAGAACCTGACCTATGCATACAGTATTAGGGAAGTTCTTTATGCCTCACAATGTGGTCCTGGCTCAGTAACATATAGTTGCTAAATGCTGAACAGATAGATAGTGAATGAATGAATGTTCTCTATTTTTCAGATAAAGTGGCATTCTTGGTTGTTGTTTAGTTCTAAACAACAGAAATTTATTTTTCAAGAAAAGTGAGTTTGGAACCAACATGCCTCAAGAAAGGAAAAAATAAAACAAGCCAAAATAAAACTTTTCACAGAATCTTTATGGCTTTGTAAATCAGACAACATACCTGCCACATTTGACATAATTTAACCTGAGTTTATAACAAAAAGGTTAACTTTTAAGAAAAGTCTGTTGATCTTTTAGACAGTATATTTGTAATTTTTATATTTGCCAGGTAAGCATGAAGTAATACCCAGACATAGCAGAAAAGCTTTCCTGGGTGTGGCAAACAGAGAGGAGTGAAAATGACACAAGGGTCTGTAAGTTGTATGGTTTCATCAAGGTATCTGTGGGAGGAACTGTAAAAGAAAGAACATCACAAATGTGTGTTTGTGTAAGTGAATGTAGTCTGTGTTCATACAACAGTATATGAATTAAGAGGATTCCATCTTTGTGTGGGCCTAAGTAAAGAAATATGACATGGACAATGTTTAAAAAGTAGGAAATTCCAATCCACTTCTCAAGCAAACTTTGACACATCCTGAAAAACGACTGCAATATTCAATTTCTTAAAGTACAATTATGATCATAATGATACCATTCATTCATACAAGCCTTCAAAAAATTGGCTTAAACATATACCATTCACAGGGCTGCAGAAGCCCTGGGGATTTAAAAAATGTTTAACACTCATAGAGCTCATAGCTTAGTGAGGAAGACAGATATGTAAACTACCTAAGGGATTTTAAGATCTAAAACTCAGGAGAATTCTGGGTGGGAGATGGATACTGGGAAACCCTAAAGATAGTGATGGGAAGTGTAGAAAAAGAAGTAGGTAAGATTCTCTAGGAAGAATATGAAGAAACAACAACACTTAAGGGAGAAATGGGTGAGAGTTTGAGAAGACTAAGAAAGAACAGCCACAAATGTAAGAATAAAACTAGGACATAATGGTCAGGACTGAATTTCAAGAAGGAGCCTATGTCATTATCAAAGGCAGCAGAGATGAAAACAACAACTACAAATGTTCAGAAAACATTAATGGCTCTCTCATTGTTATTAAAACACATATAAACTCACCAGTGGTGCACTAAGAAAAAGTCCATACAGTACTCCCAATCTAATTTTTCAATAATATTTTCCCTATTAGTCTCTGTATTAGTCCATTTTCACATTGCTATAAAGACATACCTGAGACTGGGTAATTTATAAAGAAATTGACTTGAGGTTCTTCAGGCTGTACAGGAAGTATAGTGGCTTCTGCTTCGTGGGAGGCCTCAGAAAGCTTCTAATCATAGCTGAAGGCAAAGAGGAAACAAGACATCTTACATGGTGGGAGCAGGAGCAAGAGAGAGATGGACGTGGGGAGGTGCCACATGCTTTTAAACAGCCAGATCTCACTGGAAGTTACTCACTATTGTGAGGACCGTCCTAAGCGGCATGGTGCTAAGCCATTCATAAAGGATCCACCCCCATTACCCAATCACCTCCCACCAGACCCTATCTCCAACATTGGGGATTACAATTCAACATGAGATTTGGGTGAGGACACAGACCCAAAGCATATCAATCTCCTTCACTTCTTTCTTTCTGTCATTGTTAATAAGCTTTGTTAATACTTGAACATTTGAGGTGGGGGAGAGTGGGAGGAACAGAGAGAGGTCAAAGATAATTCCAAGGCTGTATTCCTTAAATACAGATGTTCCATGATGGACATATTTTTTTTTTTGTCTCTCCGATATCTGTTTCTTATTCTGAAAATGGCATCTTCCCCATACCCTTCGTTTTCTTTTCTTTTTTTTTAACTTATATTTTAGGTTCAGGGATACATGTGCAGGTTTGTTATAAACGCGTGTCATGGGGGTTTTTTTTGTACAGATTATTTTGTCACCAAGGTACCAACCCTAGTACCCAATAGTTAATTTTTCCAATTCTCTTCCTCCTCCCATCCTCTACCCTCCAGTAAGCCCTAGTGTCTATTGGTCCTGTCTTTGTGTCCATGAGTTCTCATCATTTAGCTCCCACTTATAAGTCAGAAAAAAAAAGAGTGCTCACTTTGGCAGCACATATACTAAAATTGGAATGATGCAGTGTCCTCCACTTCTATTGACTTGGAATATTCATTACACCATGAGCATGCCTAGAACTTTACTGCTTCTGTTACTTGGTTTGTGTTGTACCTTCAAATACATTGTACTCCTCTGGATTCGCCACACCTGTCCACATTCTAGCCATACTTCTGGCCCACATCTTCTATGAAAGCTCTCTTTGTACTCTTTCCACTTTAAAACTCTTTTTTGTATACCTTGCTTGAAACTTATGTATTACATATTGAATTATAGATATATATATTCTATACACTTTTCCTATTCTCTGTACACTTTTTCATAGAAGAGTCGGTGTCATATTTATATTTAAAACCTCAGTATAGTGCCTAATATAAATGTTCAATAAATATTTGCTGAATGCTGAATGTATAGATGCTTGATATCACTAGAAACCGGCACTGTGAATGATATATTACATTCTCAATATTTGTTGTAATAAAAAATGGGCAAAACAATTCTCTGTCATTTAGCCCTGAAATTCTCTTTCTGATTTTATTTCAAGCCTGAAGTATGTATTATCCTGATATGCAGCAACTTTATGAGAAAATTTTAGGCCAGTATGAGATACCCAGGGTTACATTTGTGTACTAACCACAATAAATATTCAAAATTGATTGAATGATTAATCTTCATTATGTGGTAACTCTGATATAAGGGACAACTACTTCATTATAGTGAAAGTGTTCATTGCAAAAATTATCAAAGATAGAATATAGTGCTCAGTAAACCAGTGGTCTGACTTGGTATGTGATGTCTTTGTACAAAGCTTGTATCTCAGACTCAGAGAAAATTTGTCAGGAAGGGTGGCTGGTTATTTTTGGTTAAAGAATTAAGAATTCTATAAATGATTTTTTTTTTTGCCCATTTAAATTGAACTCTATTTTTTCTTCAAGAAGTAGAATTTAGTATTTTATGCCCTAACAATAATCATTTGATTTATTTCTATAAAGGAAATTTGCTTGAAGAAACAGTATGAGCAGACACATAATGCCATAGGAAAAAAAAATTTGGAAGTTGTTACAGAATTTATTTTTATTATGAGATAAATGTGAAATGTGAGGTTAAAGTTTATTTCATGTTTATTTTTATGGAGATTCTTTGAATTTTTATTTTAAAAAATTATTTACAAGAACGATGCTGTAATAGTATCATAAAAATGATCCTTCTCAGAAAGAATAAAAGATAATCTTTCGTACTATTAAAAATGACTTTGGTAGATGAACATAGAGTTCTTATGGGGATGGATGTACCAAACATTTAGATTATAAACAGCTTAAAAATATCTCAAATTTCTTTTTAAAGATGTACTTAAGATGCATTATGAAAGGTGAAATAAATCACAATTTTTTCAAACCTTTTCCAAATATTTATTTAACTAAAACAGGCACAGAAGTCTGTAACTAGATATATGCATTGACATTTTCTTGACAGAGTCATAAACCTGTGGTTTTCAAAACTTTAATGTTCAATAACATTTCATTGGTATACTCCAATGTATTTATTACTATGCATTATTAAAACATTTTTGTGCCTAGGAGATGTACAGTTTGTAATTATTTTTCCTTTAAAAACATAATAGCTTCACACTGGGCTTATTGCAGCTACAATATTTCATCTCTGAATTCTCTTTCAGACTTTCTGGGGCTGTGACAGAAATTTGTATTTGAACAGAAAAGCTGTCAAGGAGGTGCTATGGTATTATTCATCACATTTTTAATCTTGACCATACTTAGATGCTAGTGAGTCTGGCTGTCCAAGACACTAAACAAAGATTGAAATTATGCCTTCTGTTCTTACACATCAAAGTAGCACCATTATACCAAATACAATAGACGTGTATTACACTCTATTAATTTCCTATTAGTTCTCAGGTATGCAAAATCTAACCATGGTGTCACTATAGTTTAGACATGCAACCTTGATTCCAGCATCAAAAAAAAAAAAAAATGGAACCTGTCACTTCTAATAATTTTACAGGAGATTCTACAAATGTAAATCTTTTTTCATCTTGTCATTCTTTCATGTCTTTAATGAGTTTGCTCACTAACAGTGTAGAATCTTAATTTAACTTTCAGAAATATTAACAGCTATTATAATTAAGCATCTCCCAGAATATACTAATTAACATGTAATAAAGAGTAATTTATAATACCTGAAACATTTATCTTTATAAAATTTCATCAATATTTAACTGTATTTCAGAAAGAAAAAACCAAGGACAATAGTGAACTCGGGATTCCTAATAAAATTTCATGTTTTGAGGGAAAACATCATCTAGCATAATTGGATGATCTACAAGTAAAACTCAACCACTTGCAAAAACAAGCAAACACTTTGTACTTGAAGGGAAAATTACCCAGGGATTACCATGTGAAAATTACATCACAGAAAATAGTTAACTCTTGGTAATAGGTCCCATGATCAGTCGGACAAGTACTTTACATGAAATATTAGTATATTTTTTAAAGAAGTTTATGTTTTATTTAGATGTGTTGAATTTTCACCACAACTGCTGACCTTTAAATCTAATTAAAGTATCTTAGAATCCAGATCCACACCCTGTTATCTCTCCTGACAGATTTTTATTTGAAGGTCTGTAATAAAGCCACTAAAATTCAGACTGTATTTGTAGTGAAAATAGTGTTTACTGTGCTAAGGTTTCAGATGTAACCTTAAGTTGAAAGAAATGAAGGACTCAAAATTTTCCACTTTGAATTACAAACTGTTGTATCATCTTTTTTTTTTTTTTTTTTTTTTTTTTTGAGACGGAGTCTCGCTCTGTCACCCAGGCTGGAGTGCAGTGGCGGGATCTCGGCTCACTGCAAGCTCCGCCTCCTGGGTTCACGCCATTCTCCTGCCTCAGCCTCCCAAGTAGCTGGGACTACAGGCGCCCGCCACTACGCCCGGCTAATTTTTTGTATTTTTAGTAGAGACGGGGTTTCACCGTTTTAGCCGGGATGGTCTCGATCTCCTGACCTCATGATCCGCCCGCCTCGGCCTCCCAAAGTGCTGGGATTACAGGCGTGAGCCACCGCGCCCGGCCGTATCATCTTTTCTAAAGATTAAATAGAGTGGGTTTCATAGTGAAATCATACTAATATTTTCCTTTATCTATTTCTCCTGTTTTACTGAAGTTGAATTATTTGTAGGCAATATTACAATATTAACTTTTTATAGAGAGTCAATGAGATTTATTTTGTGTTCTGAAGCCTTAGGTGTTTGGTCGGGGAAGTAATGCTATACAAGTCTGCCAAACCACAATTGTTCCATTATTCCAAGTCTTGGAATTCAGATTCAAGTGTGAATTTCAACAGCTTGAATCTGTATTTCCTCATGACACACCAAAATTTTGTCTATATGCATTGGACACATTGTACTTTATCCTTTTCAATATTTTCTGTCTATTCTCATTTTAGAGGAGATGAGTTGTTGAAAGTCTGCTATTATCTCAGCATTAACTGCCAAGGTAACTGAATTTCATCGTAAGTCGTGATATGCAGTAATTTCAAGTTAACACATATCTTGTTACTCAATAAATATGTATTTTACTATTTCTCAACATAAAACTTTTTATCTATAATATTGAACCCCTATCACTTAGCCTTTTGCTTAGAGTTTTTATTTATTTATTTATTTATTTATTTATTTTTAATTTTTTTATTATACTTTAAGTTTTAGGGTACATGTGCACATTGTGCAGGTTAGTTACATACGTATACATGTGCCATGCTGGTGTGCTGCACCCACTAACTCGTCATCTAGCATTAGGTATATCTCCCAGTGGGGAAAGGATTCCCTATTTAATAAATGGTGCTGGGAAAACTGGCTAGCCATATGTAGAAAGCTGAAACTGGATCCCTTCCTTACACCTTATACAAAAATCAATTCAAGATGGATTAAAGACTTAAACGTTAGACCTAAAACCATAAAAACCCTAGAAGAAAACCTAGGCATTACCATTCAGGACATAGGCATGGGCAAGGACTTCATGTCTAAAACACCAAAAGCAATGGCAACAAAAGACAAAATTGACAAATGGGATCTAATTAAACTAAAGAGCTTCTACACAGCAAAAGAAACTACCATCAGAGTGAACAGGCAACCTACAAAATGGGAGAAAATTTTCGCAACCTACTCATCTGACAAAGGGCTAATATCCAGAATCTACAATGAACTCAAACAAATTTACAAGAAAAAAACAAACAATCCCATCAAAAAGTGGGTGAAGGACATGAACAGACACTTCTCAAAAGAAGACATTTATGCAGCCAAAAAACACATGAAAAAATGCTCACCATCACTGGACATCAGAGAAATGCAAATCAAAACCACAATGAGATACCATCTCACACCAGTTAGAATGGCGATCTTTAAAAAGTCAGGAAACAACAGGTGCTGGAGAGGATGTGGAGAAATAGGAACACTTTTACACTGTTGGTGGGACTGTAAACTAGTTCAACCATTGTGGAAGTCAGTGTGGCAATTCCTCAGGGATCTAGAACTAGAAATACCATTTGACCCAGCCATCCCATTACTGGGTATATACCCAAAGGACTATAAATCATGCTGCTATAAAGACACATGCACACGTATGTTTATTGCGGCATTATTCACAATAGCAAAGACTTGGAACCAACCCAAATGTCCAACAATGATAGACTGGATTAAGAAAAGGTGGCACATATACACCGTGGAATACTATGCAGCCATAAAAAATGATGAGTTCATGTCCTTTGTAGGGACATGGATGAAATTGGAAATCATCATTCTCAGTAAACTATCGCAAGAACAAAAAACCAAACACCGCATATTCTCACTCATAGGTGGGAATTGAACAATGAGATCATATGGACACAGGAAGGGGAACATCACACTCTGGGGACTGTTGTGGGGTGGGGGGAGGGGGGAGGGATAGCATTGGGAGAGTTTTTACAGGTAGAAAATGCAATAATTGCAAGTAGCTATCAAGCATTTATATCTCAGGTCCTGAGTTAAATTCTTTATGTGTATTGTCTCATTTAATTCTTGTAATAACCCAATTATTACCTCCATATAACATATAAGAAAATTGATGCATAGAATATTTAATAACTTGTCCAAGACCTTATAACTTGTAAGTGTTATACTTAAGAATTTTTTTTTTGTCTTAACTACAATTACTACTGCCTCCCTATAATAACTGAAAGGATAAAATAAAACATTTTAAGGAAAACCTATTACTGGAGACTTCACAGTAAGGACATCCATGACATTGGTGAACAATTGTGAAAACATCAATCAGAACACTTAACACCTGTGAATTGTATCATTTATGTGTTACATATTAATAAAGTGTAAGTCAAATTTCCTTCAAAATTTAACGCGATCTCTAAATTAACCAAATATATGTTAGAGAGTAAAAAAAGAAATCTTTCTCAGATAATATTCCACCCCTTCCTACTTATGTGTGGGAACAGAATTAATTCAAGTAAGATTCATCTACATTAGAAAGTAAAAAAGGAAATTATGACAAAGCATATTCTTTCTTCACAAAGGAAGCCTCTTTGTAGGCATCACCTAATAATTTTCCAGCAACACATCAAGTATAAACAACTTTATAAAATTCACATAGAAACAAATCAATATTTGCATAAAAGTCCACTTTATAAAAGAATATATTGCAGAGTCACATTTAAGTAGTGCTTTCTTCTTAAAAGCTTTCACATATCATTTATTTTATAAAAGTTAAATTTACATATAGTGGTTCAGGAATACAATTATTAAGTAAATTGTGGTATAACTGAAGTTTTTTTATAGTTTATTTTTTCTCCTTGAAGACATTCATATGTATTGGTTTCATTATGTATCACATTTGATGAATTTGAAAATTACATACATTATCTTTTTGTCTTTTTTTGATGTACTTTTTCTTTATAACAGTGTCACA
Source organism: Homo sapiens (assembly GCF_000001405.40). NCBI lineage: Eukaryota > Metazoa > Chordata > Mammalia > Primates > Hominidae > Homo > Homo sapiens. Next base: position 126,289,735 of record NC_000023.11, read on the forward strand.
TTTAAGATCACCACTTAGTCAAGTAGTTCCTGAAGGAGGAAGGTGGAAAGTAATTTTTAGAAATGGTGTAACTGAGAGGTAAATGATTGGGGGCAGCAGAGAGAAAAGACAGAGCTTTTTGTGAGCAGCTGGAACCAGGAGTATTGATGTTCATATAAATTGGAAAGATTTAATATAGGGTAAAACTTCTTAAGATATTGAAAACTAGATAAATCTTCTGACATATAGCTCATGTGAAGATGGGGATATCATGCATACACCTGTGAATTTCCGGGGTATAAAGGCTCCTCTGTATGTAGCCAGATAGAAAAAAATGCTCTTTAGAAAACAAAATGTCTGCTTTGCTGCTGTACTCTAGGGGAAAAGCAACAATTTCCTCAATGGTAAATATTGTCTTTTCCCCCCCCTCAGAAAAATACCCAACATGTACTTTGATGAGCCTTTTTGTTTGAAAAAATTAGAACCTGGAGCACCAAAGATTTAACTTGTTCGTTCTACCTAAGACTGTAAAAGATATTTTGAGTTCACGCAAGCAGCCTGAAAGAGAAGGTAAAGGACATCAGTGTGGAGATGGGCATGAAGGAAGTGGAACTTTGGAGATAAACAAAAGGAAATTTTAAAAATGACAGCCAAAAGAAGGGTTATCCCCACCAAGAAACACTTAGAGGTGAGAAAGGCCTGGTAAATTTTTAGGATAGTGATATTTGATGCTAAATTTTAAGTTGTTTTCTGTTGTCCTGTAGTCCCACTATATTATACCAAAACTTCAGTATAAATCTGATATATTTAAAGCACTTGTTAAGTAGTTTTTGTAGGAATTAAGGAATAGCGATTGTAGAATAAGTGGTACCCAGGAAAAAGCATCTGCCTTCCACCCCCAGCCCATTTAAACAAATGGAGAGACATAGGGAGTAGTATTGTGATTCAACTGCTATATTGTAACAGTAAGGAGTGAATCCAAAGTCTAGAGGTCTAAGGGACACATACTTATTAAATACACACAAATTAGTTGCATGTGTGAAAAGTGTTCACCCACAAAGCACACTGTTATTAGTAAAACTTCCTATGTGTTCAGTGTGATTCTTTCCAGCTGATACTGAGTAATATCAGAAAGCATCAAATAGTTGAATGCCTGAAGCACTTTTGGCCACTAAATACAACACTAATAAGTACAGAAAAATTGGTATTAAAGCAAAGTATGGATGTAACAAATAGCATATAATATATTTGGAGATAGGCTTAGTATAGGTTTTGTGAAAAATAAATAAATCAAAGAAGCAACCACAGTTGGATGCTTGAAATCACATTTTTTTGTGAAAGGGGATATGTTGTTCAATATTTTAGAAGTTTTAGGTTAAATGTTAAACAGCTGTTAATATGTCCCTATTGCAAAGAAAAGAACAACACAATGACACATATTGTAATGTAGGTTGTTTTGCACATAACGTCTGAGTCAACTCACTTTAGAAATCTGATAAAGAGGACAATAGCTTAAGAATGTGGACTATATATTCCTATAAAGTCAAAAAAATAGATCCTGGTAATGGCGTATGCTCAAATTATGAGTCCCTAAGTAGGAATATTAGAACAGACTTCAATTCCATTTTCCAGCTGCAAAATAATCACTGCTTTAGGGGACAGTAGTGTTTGGCTGCCATAATTTCCATTGCCATAATTCAGGTGAATTAGAAAGAATTACTTTGTGACCTTCAGACAGCAGACTATACCTACATGTTGAAATATGTATATACACCTCAGGCCTTCTATAGTAGGACATCAGACTGTCTTAATCAACTATTTAAAATATAACGAATTTCAAGGTGCAAGAAATATGGAAATCAATTATTGGTCCTTAGCTGCACTTTGGAATCGACTTTTATCTAATGATAGGGCTGACTCTTTGACTTCCAATATGTCATTCTTTTAGAATGGTTTGTTCCAGTTTCATAATTTATTGGAACATCAAATTATCTGCTTTTCTGGATTCCATTTTTTAAAGTCTATCCCTCAGTACCCTAAAATCTGAGATATATTTTATTATCTGTCTTATGTGTTGCCGTGGCTTACTCAAACACTTCCCTCTTTGACTATATGTAGGCCTTGCTTGAACTGCTGACCTTTCTTTTCACTTAAATAAATCAATATTTATCAAATCCCCCTTTGCAGTTTCTTTCTTTTTTCAATTTCTTATGTATACATTCTCCCAACTGTCTTGGTGTCTGTCAACAAACTCTGAGAATTTCATGTAAGTAATATTTTTATCACATTATTGTGAATAGTGGAAAAGGATCTTAATTGAACTATACATGGCTCAGGACAGGTTGCACCAAAAAGGGCAGGCTTCTTTCATGTTCTGCTTCCTCTTCCTTTCTCATCTCCATAAATATACAATTCTAAAAATATAAAGTAATATAACAAAATAAACCTATAATTATTAAATGTCTTAAATTAGTATAAGTTTCCTGAAAAATAAATTACAAAAGCATTCAACTGTGGATGTTTAAATTATAGACGACTGAAGATTAAATTTACAAGAGGACCTTAGAAATCTTCTATTCTAATCATCTCATTTTATATTTGAATAGTATGAGACTCAAAGGATTGCATCCAATTGCCAATGTTATCATTAATGAGTGGAAACTTCAGGTCTCACACCCCAGTCTCCTGACACCTAGTTTAATTTTCTCAATATTATATCACAGTGCTATAAGAAACTTGAAAATAAAACTCTTAAAAAAGAGAATGATTGCAAGTCAACAAGCTAACTTTCTAACTTAAAGAATCTGAAAATGAAGAACAAATTATACCCAAAGCTAGCAGAAGGAAATAATAAAGATTAGAGAGGAAATAAACAAAATGGAGGATAGAAAATTTTTAAAAAATCAGTGAAACCAAATGTTGGCTCTTTGAAAATGTAAGAAAAAAACTTGACAAACCTTTAGCTAGACTGAGAAAAAAATAAAGCAGATACAAGCTACTGCCATCAGAAATGAAAGTAGGGACTTTATTAATGATCTTGCAGAAATAAGAAGGCTTATAAAATAATACTAGGAATAATTTTACACCAAAGAATTAGATAGTTCAGATGAAATGAAAAAAATTTAAGAAAACAAAAACTACTAAGCTGAGGGAAAAAAAAAGAAGAAGAAGAAAGAAAATCTGAATAGACCTGAGGACAAGTAAAGACATGGAATACTTATTCAAAATCCTTCGAAGAAAAGGCCAGGAGAAAATGGCTTCCTTGGTGAATTCTACCAAACTCTTAAGTAAAAAATTATAACAATTCTTCTCAAATTCTTCAAAAAAAAAATGAAAGGAACACTTTCTATCTCATGTATGAAGCCAGAATTACTCTTCTTTAAGGAAAAATGACAAAGACATCACAGTAATCAAAGTTAGAGACTAAAATCCATTATAAATATAGATAAAAAATATTCAAAATATTATGCAATATAATAAAGTGGAATATACCCCAGGAATGTATTTATTTCAACACACAAGTCTATCAATGTAATATCACAAAAAATTCTAAATAGCCAAAACAATATTTTAAAAAAAGACTGGAAGACTCACACTTTCCACTTTCAAACCTTACTAAAAAGTGATAGTCAACAAGACAATGTAATAGCATGAGGATATATATATTGATCAATGGAATATAACTCAGAGTCCAAAAATAAACCCACATATCTATTGTCAATTGACTTTTGGGAAAAATGCCCAGACCACTCGATGGGGAAAAAAATAGTCTTTTCCACAAATGGCTGGAGACAACTAGATATTCACATGGAAAAGGATGAAATCAGATCCTCACATCACACCATATACAAAACCAAACTCAGAATGCATCAACAACCTTTATAATAACTAAAACTATAAAACTATTTGAAGAAAGCATAGGAATAAATCTGTATGTATTTGGATTTGTCAACTATTTCTTATGTAACACTAGTAACAGAAGCAGCAAAAGAAAACAGATAAATTGGACTTTCTAAAAAATAAAACTTTTGTGCATCAATGGACACCATTAAGAAAGTGAAAATAAAATTCACAGCATGGGAGAAAATATGTGTAAATCATATCTGATAAGACTTTAGTATCCAGAATATGTAATGAACTCTTATGACTCAACAACAAAAAGACAACCTAATGAAACAAATAGGCAATAGACTTGAATAGGCATTTCTCAAAAAAAGATATACGAATGGCCAAAAAGCATGTGAAAAGATGCTCAACAGCATTAGTCATTAGAAAAATGCAAATGAAAACCACACTGTGCTACCACTGGACATTCAGATATAATAATAAAAAATAGCAAATATTTTGTGAAGACGTGCAAAAATCTGAAGACTCTTGAATAGTTGGAAGGAATGTAAAATGGTGCAGCTGTTGTGGAAAAAAGTTTGGAGTTTCCACTATATGTTAAACCTAGCATTACCATGTGATGGCACAATTCCACTCTTGGGTATACCCTCAAAAAAATTGAAAACAGGTGTTCCAACAAAAACTTGAAGAAAATTCGTAGCAGCCCTTTTCACAATAGTCAAAGGATGGAAGCAACCCAAATACCCATTAACTGATGAATGAATTAACAAAAGTGGTATATCTACACAATGGTATACTATTCAGCCATAGAAAGTAATGAAGTATTGTTACATGGTACAGCATAGATTAACCTTGAAACATTATTATAAGTATGTGAAAGCCGACACAAATGGTCACATATTTTATTACTTCATTTATTTGAAATATACAGAATAGGTGAATTCGTAGAGAAAGAATACAGATGAACGGTTGCCAGTGGGTTAGGAGGAGGAGAAATGAAGAGCGTCTCTTGAGTTTCCTTTTGGGGTGATGTATAGGAAAAAAAATTAACTGTTTTCTTCTATACTCTCATTCACAAAACAAAATACGAACAGAAAAACACAGAACATTTCCCTTCTGACACCAGATGTGTGTGGGTTTTTCCCACACCAACCAATTCTCTGACACCAGGTGGATGTCCTGAAATTTAACACAATCCTGACACAGTTGCAGGACTTTTCCTTAGTTCAGCTAAAGGTGGGGCTTTTTGTCCTGCACCCACGAAAATTCAGGCTTGCAGACAATTTGAATGGCGAGTAAGACATGGTTTTATTGTGTGATAAGGAAGAAAAGGGGGAAACAGGGACTCTCACATGCCAGAATCCTGCTAGAGCACTTCCCTTCTGGCCATTCAAATCCCAGGTTTCACACAGGAAGAGGAGGGGCCAGGCTCCTCCCCACTGCAAAGGGCACAAACTTCTGTGTTTCCACTCTAGTGCACATTCCCAGTGAGAAGGCTGGTTGGAGATTCCCCCAGGACCCCATCCTATCTGTCTGTCTCAACACCATCTCCAGGTAGTTTCAAGGCTCAGTCCTATAAAACTGCCTGCACTATAGATGACAATTGCAAGTAGTAAGTTACCCACAAATTCTGTCTGACATGGCTACAAATCGAAGATTCCCACAATCCCCTTCTCGATGAATATGTTACAGAAGCTCACAGAACTTCAGTACACATATTTACATCTACTGGTTTATTATATTGATAAAACATGTGTTGGGGGATACAGATGAAAAGTCAGATGAAGAGGTACATAGGGTGAAGAAGCTTCTTTCTCCGTGGACTTAAGGTATGCCATCCTCATGTCATGTGGACATGTTCACCAACCCAGAAGCTCTTCAAACCTTCTACTTAAGGATTGTCACATAGGCCTGGTTGATTATTAAATCAATTGCTAGCTCCTCCTCTTTCCCCAGATAATGGTAGTTGGGCTGAAAGTTCCAAGTTTCTAATCATGGCTTGGTCTTTTAGGTTACCAGACCTCAATCAGGAACCCACCAAGAGCTGTCTCAATACAACAAAAGACACCCTTATCATTCATGAAATTTCAAGAGGTCTGTGTCAGGTACTGGGGTCAAAGGTAAATATTAGAACAAAAAAAATGCTCCTAGCACCCCTATTGCATAGTCATTCTAAGGGTTTTAGGAATTCTGTGCCAGAAACTGGAGTGAAGACCAAATATGTATTTCTTATCATACTGTACTAGTCGGGGTTCTCTAGAGAGACAGAATTAATGGAATACGTATACATACATGGACCACACATGAAAGTGGCAGCTTTTTGGGTCACTCAATCAATGGGCCAGAGTAACACACCCAAATGAGTAATGTGTTGCCTCCAAAATCCAAATAGGCCCACTAAGCATGGTGCCTCTTTCTTGATTGTAGGAAGGGCTAAATGCAGCAACTTTTCCTTCACCATAGAAGGAATATCTTGACAGGTCTGACACCACTGGACTCCTACAAATTTTACTGAGGTAGAAGGTCCCTGAATTTTAGTCAGATTTATTTCCCAACCTCTGGCACAGAAACATATTAACAATAAGTCCAGTGTGTTTGCTACTTTTTGCTCGCTAGATCTAAGCAGTGTAATATAATCAATGTAATGGGCCAGTGTTATATCTTGCAGAAGCGAAAAGCGATCAAGGTCTCTTTGAATACGATTATGACATAAAGCCGGATAGTGGATATAACCCTGAAGTAGGACAGTAAAGGTATACTGCGGCTTTGCCAGCTGAAGGAAAATAGCTTCTGGTGGGCCTTATGGACAGAAATGGAGAAAAAAAGCATTTGCCAAGTCAATGGCTGCATACCTGGTACCGGGAGATCTGCTAATTTGCTCAAGCAATGAAACCACATCTGGTACAGCAACTACAATTGGAGTCACCACTTGGTTAAGCTTACATTAATCCACTGTCATTTTCCAAGATCCATCTATTTTCTGCACAGTCCAAATGGGAGAGTTGAACGGGGATGTGTTGGGAGTCACCACCCCTGCATCTTTCAAGTCATTGATGGTGGCACTAATCTCTGTAATCCCTCCAGGGATGTGGTATTGTGTTTGATTTACTATTTTTCTAGGTAGAAGCAGATCGAATAGCTCCCATTTGGCCTTTCCCACCATAATAGCCCCCACCCTACCAGTCAGGGAGCAAATGTGGGGGTTCCGCCAGCTGCTAAGTATCTTTATGCCAATTATGCATTATTAAACTGGGGAAATGACTACAGAATGAATCCAGGGACCCACCGGACCCATTGTAAGTTGGACGTGAGCTAAAACTCCATTAATTACCTGACCTCCATAAGCCCCTACTTTAACTGGAGGACAACAATGACGTTTTGGGTCCCCTGGAATCAACATCAGCTCCGAGCCAGTGTCCAGTAATCCCCAAAATGTCTGACCATTTCCCTTTCCCCAATGCACAGTTACCCTGATAAAAGGCCGGAGGTCTCCTTGCGAGAAAGATTAACAGCATAAATTGTCAGTAGTGTAGTGGGGTCCTTCTTCAAGGGGACCTGGCCTCCCCTTCATTCAACGGGTTCTGGATCTGTAAACTGGCTCAAGTCTGGAAATTGATTGAGGGGCCGTGATTCTCTGTTTTTATAATTCAAATTTATCTTTTGTCCATTCGACCTAGAAGTTTTCTGCTTATGTAAATTAATAGGAATGTAGTAGGCTTCCTATCTATTTCACTTCTAGGAACACCATGATTAATTAACCATTGCCAGAGCTCTACACAAGTCACATTATTCTGATTGCCATGTTGCCTCTGCTGTCCATTATGGTAGCTATGCCCACCTTGCCTTTGACAGTTGAGTGCTGTCACTTGGACTCTGACACCTTGGGATCCAATTATTCTCATTGTATTTAAATTATGTAGTTGAGTGACTGCAGTTCCCACTGTTAGATCTGACATACAGAGAAGAACAATTACAGGAACCTTTAAAAATGAAGGTGCTACCCTAACAGATCTAATTCACAAGGCATTGGTCAGTGGGATATCTTCTGGACCCTCTTAGCTGGGATGAATAGGTGTAAAGTGACTAACCCACTCCACTATCCCAATCTCCATAAGCCTTTGGATCCCTTCCTCTACATTAAACCAAGGGATATCAGGCATTTCCAGCTTGCTCACAGTGCATCATCTTTTAATTCATATTTCAGCTAACCAAGCAAATAAACTATTAGAACCTTTTTTTAGATCCCTGAGCTGCAACGTTAAATGCAACGTCTCTACTTAGTGGACCCAAATCAATAAATTCAGCCTGATCCAACTCTATGATCCTTCCACCATTATCACACGCCCTTACTATCCATTCCCATGCCTGTTCTCCAGATTTCTGTTTACATAAATTAGAAAACTCAAGCAGTTCTTTTCGAGTGTAGCACACCTCCTCGTGGGTCACACTCTCAACCTCACCTCTAGGGTCCTGCCAGGACATTAGTCTAGTTATAGGTCTAGAATCAAACAGGGGTATTGAGGGTGGCTCCTGAGGAGAATTAACATTATCTTGCCTTGCAACTGCCTCAGGGGAGGCCATAACTGTTGCCTCAGGCAACACAGGGTTTTATATCCTCAGACAAGGGTAGAAAGGCTGATGGCAGCATGGGTTGGGGAGGGGATGTTGCCAATACTGGGGATGGGGAAGCTGTTTTCTCTGGCAAAAAAAGGTTCATCAGAGTTTACAACCTCAGTGTTCCTAGCTTCATCAGGGTCCTCCCACACGTCCCCATTCCAAGTTGCACGGTCCCATTCTTTTCCAATCAATGCCCTCACTTTAACAGTAGACATCTGGTGAGGCTGTGCATGCACCTTTCGTTGCAGGCCAACCACTCACATGATAAGAGCTTGTGTCTGTTTTTCCACAATTTCAACTCTTTCTCTACAAGAGATGAGACTCTCACTCAGGGCAATCTTAGCAGATTTGAGGCTCAGTATCTGCTTCTGAAGCTGGAAGATAAAATCCCTGAGTTCATCATTTTCTTTCATCACTTTGTCCACTGAACTTAGGAGCAACCAATCAGCTTCATTATGATCCTTGTTTCTCCACATATGGAAAAGTTATTATGTACAGGGTCACTAAACACCTTGCCTCGCATAAGTGATGAATCAGGAGCATCAAATGCATTTATTTTGCATAACTCCCTAGACAGTTCACACCAAGGACTATCGATGCTCTGCATACTCTTAGAAGTAAAGTCATTAGCATTTTGGAGTCTAATCATATTAAGCAGCCAACCCCAGAAACCCCAAAACCAATGAAGGAACTCCATCCTTAATATTCTGTTCCTCTAGAAGCACTCCTGGTAGCAAAATCTGTATTAGTCAGGGTTCTCTAGAGAGATGGTATTAATGGAATATATATATATATATATTATATTTGTGTATATAGGAGTTTATTAACTCACACGATCACAAGGTCCCACAATAGGCCGTTTGCAGGCTGGGGAGCAAGAAGAGCCAATCCAAGTTCCAAAAGTGAAGAACTTGGGGTTCAATGTTTGAGGGCAGGAAGCATCCATTATGGGAGAAAGATGTAGGCTGGAAGGCTAGGCCAGTCTCTCTTTTTACATTTTTCTGCCTGCTAATATTCTAGCTGTGCTGACAGCTGATTAGACTGTGCCCAACCAGATGCTGGCAGCTGATTAGACTGTGCCCACTCAGATTAAGAGTGGGTCTGGGCCAGGCGTGGTGGCTCACGCCTGTAATCCCAGCACTTTGGGAGGCCGAGGCAGGTGGATCACCTGAGGTCGGGAGTTCGAGACCAGCCTGTCCAACATGGAGAAACCCCATCTCTACTAAAAATACAAAATTAGACGGGCATAGTGGTGCATGGCTGTAATCCCAGCTACTCAGGAGACTGAGGCAGGAGAATTGCTTGAAACCGGGAGGTGGAGGTTGCCGTGAGCCGAAATCATGCCATTGCAATCCAGCCTGGGCAACAAGAGTGAAACTCCGTCTCAAAAAAAAAAAAAAAAAAAGAATCTTCATTTCCCAGCCTACTGACTCAAATGTTAATCTCATTTTGCAATACCCTCACAGACACACCCAGGATCAATACTTTGTAACCTTCAATACAATCAAGTTGACACTCAGTATTAACCATCACACATACATGTATTTCTTATTACATATCATAGTATCAGAGGTAATGAAAAAAATTTGGAACCAGATAGTGATGATTACACACTACTGAGAATGCACAAAAAGCCACTAAAGTTTACACTCTAAAATGGTTGAAATAGTAAATTTTATGTTATGTGCATTTTACCACAATAAAACAAAACAAGAACAACAAAAGAAACGAAGTACTGATGCATAGTACAACATGAACTTTGAAAACATTATGCAAAGTGAAACGAGTAAGATTCAAAAGGCCGTTTGTTGCATAATTCCAGTTATGTAAAATATCAAGCATAGCCAAATCCATAGATATACTATGTAAATTATTCATAGTCAGGTCTTGATGGAAAAGAGAAATGTGGATAATGGGTATGTGATATTTTGGGGGGTAATAAAAATATTCTGAAATGAGTGCTAATAGTAACATAAATCTGTGAATATATCAAAGCCACCAAATTGTACACTTTAAAAGGGTGAAATTTCAGATGTGTGAATTATATCTCAATACATTTGTCATAAAAATTGTAATTAAACTTAGTGAACATTATTTTGAGTATGTCTTTAATGAGAGAGTATAGTACAGAGGTTAAGCTCAAGGGCTTGGGGTCAGATTTTAGTTTGAACCTGGCCTTCAAAACTTAAAATCTGATCTTGGTGAATTTATTTTCTTCGTCTAAGCTTCTTTTTCCTGTGTAAAATTGAGATTACTGTAAGGGCTATCTGGGTTGTTTGAGGATTAAATATTATAATCCATTTAAAGCACTTAAAATGAAGTCTCTGGTGTACTCAGGGTTTACATAAATAGCTGCTATTGTTGTTATAATCATCGTTATCATTATTTCACACACAGGCATAGATAAATGACTGGCAGGAAATACATATTGCTGACTCAACAAGTTATCTCTAGATGGTAAGATAAGGGGTGATTGATATTTTCTTCAAAGTTTTGTTTATTTTAAAAATATTATACAATAGTTATTTTAATTTTATAACAAAATAAACTGTTTATCATTTGAAAATTTGAAATATTTTGGCTTAAAAAAGCAGCACTATTCTGAACCCCAGAAAATTCTACTTGATGGTCTGCCATGAGGATTTTCCTTATTTTATTGGATCAACATCTCCAATGTAAAATCATGATTTGCTGCTGGTGGAACAGGTGGTATTACAGCTAACTGAATGGCCATAACAGAAGTAACAGATCTGAGGCTACTGTATCAGGCAGGTTTCCAAATTGTTAATATCGGTTATGTGATGGAAAAATGTCTCAGCGTGTCAGACCTACAGATTTAGTGGTCAACTGTCCTTGATGGTTGGTTAAGTGACCATTTAATTGTAACCTAAATAGCCAGGAGTTTTTATTTATGGAAGATTTCTAGGACTGCAATCCTTCACGTGCGACCTTATAGTACTGTCTACTTTACGGCACTGCATCACTGTACGATTTCTGGCTTTCTTTGGAAGCAATTGTAAATCTTGTGTTGCAAAGTTACTGATCTACAGAATTCCAGTTTGATGATTAAAAGAAAAGCCTCCTGGTGTTTGCCAATACATATATTCTGGTTTTATGACTTGAAGTCATACAATATTTGTAGAAGAAGGAAAGTATAAATACATTTAATTTTACGGTTCACAGGATAGTACCATGATTGCAAAGATGAAACTATTCTTGTGTAATACCTGAAAAACAGTGTGAAAGTTTCTTATTTTCACCAAATATATCATGTGTGTCTTATCTTCCCTAATGTATATTTTTTCTTCTGTCATGTCAAAAAGCAAAATTTCAATGAGTGGTGTTTCAAGACCATTTGTTAGTGATTCATGAATTTAATAAAATCCCATCTATAAGATAAAAATCACTCTGATGATTTAAGTGAAGGACATAAGCTTTACTATCAGAAAAAACTGAAGAAAGCAGAAACAAGGAACAAAAAGTAGATTAGTCATTTTAACATTACTGTCCTTAAAGGGTTAAAGCAGAGGGGACTTCCTTGTCATGATGACTCAGGTTGATTGAGCCTCTTCTGATTAGTTGTTGTGAATCTCTAGTTCTTTATTTTTAATTTAACTCACCTGTTTGAAACTTAAGTTTGACTACATGAAACCTAGCATGAGTGACTCAATTTTGACTTGGTCTGGTCTGTTGGGGCCTAGTGCAGGAGCTGAGTTCAAAACAATAACCTCCCATACATTTTATTTAAGTCTTAAACTTCTTAACCTAAAAATTAATCTATAGAAATATTTTAGATTATTACTATACTGCATAGTGAAGAAGTATATATTTAATTGTTATTTTGGAGTTTTACTTGTAGAATCCTTGATTTAAATGATTTACTTATAATCGGAACAAGAACGTCTTGTAGATTCCTACATGCCTAGTTCAACTCTAATACTAAAGGAAAATCCCATCATCCCATGAAAAGAAAAATCTTCTCCCCTTTTCTACCTTCCAATTTTCACATCATTGCTTCCTTCTAGCATTTTCAGGCCCCACCTATCAAAGTATTTAATCACTAGAAACAGTGATTGCTTTAGAGATAGGTCAGTTATCTAGACCATGCTAATCTAGACCCAACCACAGTGATTTGCTCAAGACTCTAGGGCCAAGTCAGTCTTTAAAAAATTCCTGTGCCTTCTTCAGGTACTACCAAAATCACAGAAGCCTGAAGTTCCAGTTGACCACCACAAGGAAAGAACCACACTGCAGTAAATTCAATACAGAGGTAAACAATTTTACTTGGCCTTGGCAACGTTGAGTCCCTGATTTAAACTGTGTCTGAAAATAACAATCATCCACCTTTTTTCTTTCACTCAAACCAGGGTTGGATTTTCTCTCATTTGATACAGAAATAATCCAAAGTCATAAAAGTATATGTAAAGTGAGAAAGGAACAAAAATCAATTAATGACTGAAAATTTTCACAGGGAAAGTATTACTTATATTTAAATGTTGTGCTAAAGGACAAATATGTTTTCACCTGTAAGAAAAAAGAGCAGAAAAATATCCTGCATAAGAAATAGCATGTGCAAAAGCATGACGGTATTAATGTGCATAGTGTATTCAGAGAATAGCAAGTCAGTGTCATACCAAAAAAAAGATAAAATACTATAATAACCTTAAATTATTGACAGGATTTAATAACCCAATAGAGTCCTGGTAATCTAAGTTTTTTTTTCAAAATATCAAATGGAGGAGATGGATAAATGTTTCCTTTATAAAGTTAACAAAGAGAAGAGGAGAGAATAAAGGAAAAGAAAAAAAAGAAAACCAAGATTGCTCCTAGGAGGCAAGAAAAGAATATTTTTTACCTTTATCTCTGTGAGTTTAGGTGTAGTTTTGTAGATCATTTCATCAATATTTGTCAGTTAAGATAGGTTGTTTTGATCTCACTTAATGAACTGTTACATCTGAGGATATTTGTAATAAAACTAGATTTCCATTTTGATGTGGTTTGACAGGACCATCTTTAAATATTTAGTTATGCTTTTCATTCAAAGGATTAAGAACAAAAAAATTGTATTCTTTGTCTCTTAAAAGACAAATTTCAACTGAACTAAATTCAAACTATGAAATCTGATGCAGGGTGATAAATGGCTTCAATTTTCAGGAAATGGAAATTTATTTTCTGTAAAGAAACGAATCAACTATTAAATTAATAAAGAAGAGAAGTAGAATGGGGAGTTCAATGAAAATTCAACATTAATATATAATTTAAGAAAGCCTAAGAGAGAAGCCTCTGTTTTTTTCTGATTATAATAATAAAAGCTCATTTTAAAAATTTGGAAAATAAAAAAACATTTATAAAGATAAATATTAAATGAGCATAGGTTTGTGATGCTGAGAGAAGTATTGATATATTCTTTTCAATTATTTTTCATACAAATTTTATCAGGCACCACTATTTCTGTTTAATAACATTGTGTTATCGTTTTGTATTCTTCTCTCTATAACCCAAATTAATTCATACACATGCATTATTCCATTAAATAATTTTTAATTATACATTGTTTATAATGTTATATAGTAGTCTACTAACAAATGTGGTATAATATTCTACTATTATTGGTAATTCAGATAATTTCTAATTTTTCACTGATACATGTAAATATTTAATAAGTGTCTTTTAGACCAATAAAATTGATGGCATCTCTATCTGCTTAATATTGTTTGGCTGTGTCCCCACCCATATCTCATCTTGAATTATAACTCCATAATTCCCATTTGTTGTGGGAGGGACCCATTGGTAGGTAATTGAATCATGGGGTTGGGACTTTCCCATGCTGTACTCATGATAGTAAGTCTCACAAGATCTGATGGTTTTACAAAGGGGAGTTCCCTTACACAAGTTCTCTTACCTGCCGCCATATAAGACGTGACTTTGCTCCTCATTGCCCTCTGCCATGATTGTGAGGCCTCACCAGCCATGTGGAATTGTGAGTCAATTAAGCCTCTTTCCTTTTTAAGTCACCCAGTCTCAGGTATGTCTTTATTAGCAGCTTGAGAACAGACTATTACAGTAAATTGGCACTGGTAGAGTGCGGTACTGTTGTAAAGAGATCTGAGCACGTGGAAGCGACTTTGGAACTGTGTAACAGGCAGAGGTTGAAACAGTTTGTAGAGCTCAGAAAACAGGAAGATATGGGAAAGTTTGGAACTTCCTAGAGACTTGTTGAATGGCTTTGACTAAAATGCTGATAGTGATATGGAAAATAAAGACCAGGCTGAGGTGGCCTCAGATGGAGATGAGGAACTTGTTGGCAACTGAAGCAAAGGGGAGTCTAACTGTGTTTTCGCAAAGAGACTGGTGGCATTTTGCTCCTGCCCAAGAGATTTGTGAAACTTTGAACTTGAGAGAGATAATTTAGGGCATCTGGCAGAAGAAATTTCTAAGCAGCACACCATTCAAGATATGACTTGGGTGCTGTTAAAAGCATTCAGTTTTACATATTCACAAAGATATGGTTTGGAATTGGAACGTATGTTTAAAAGGGAAGCAGAGCATAAAAGTTCAGAAAATTTGCAGCCTGACAATACGATAAAAAAGAAAAACCCATTATCTGAGGAGAAATTCAAACATAACTTATGCGGATATTTGCATAAGCAATGAGGAACCAAATATTAATCACCAAAACAATGGGGAAAATGTCTCCAGGGCATGTCAGAGGTCTTCAGAGCAGCCCCTCCCATCACAAGCTGGAAGACCTGGGAGGAAAAAATGATTTCCTGCCCCAGGGCCTTGCTGCTTTGTGCAGTCTCAGGACTTGTTGCCCTGTGTCCCAATCACTCCAGCTGTGGCTTAAAGGGGCCAACATACAGCTCAGACTATTGCTTCAGAGGATGCAAGCCCCAAGCCTTGGTGGCTGCCACGTGGTGTTGGGCCTGCAGGTGTACAGATGTCAAGAATTGAGGTATGGGAACCTCTCCCTAGATTTCAGAGGTTGTATGTAAATGCCTGGATGTCCAGGCAGAGGTATGCTGCAGGGACAGGGCCATCATGGAGAACCTCTACTAGGGCAGTGCAGAATGGAAATGTGGGGAGCAAGACCCCACACAGAGTCCCCACTAGGGCACTAACTAGTGGAGCTGTGAGAAGAGAGCTACCATATTCCAGACCCCAGAATGGTAGACTTACTAACAGTTTGTACTGTGCACCTGGAAAAGCCACAGACACTCAACGTCAGCCCATGAAAGCAGCCAGGAAGTGGACTGTACCCTGAAAAGCCACGGGATTGGGGGCTGCCCAAGACCATGCGAACTCACTTCTTATGTCAGCATGACCTGGATGTGAGACATGGAGTCAAAGGAGATCATTTTGGAGTTTTAAAATTTGACTACTCTGCTGGATTTTGGACTTGCATGGGACCTGTAGCTCCTTCATTTTGGCCAATTTTTCCCATTTGGAACAGGTGTATTTACCCAATGTCTGTACCCCCATTGTATCTAGGAAGTAACTAACTTGCTTTTGATTTTACAGGCTAATAGACAGAAGAGACTTGCCTTGTTTCAGATGACATTTTGGACTGCAGACTTTTGAGTTAATGCTGAAATGAATTAAAACTTTGGGAGACTGTTGGAAAGGCATGACTGGTTTTGAAATGTGATGAGATTTGGGAGGGGCTGAGGTGGAATGATATGGTTTGCCTATGTCCCCACCCAAATCTCATATTGAATTGTAGCTCCCTAATTCCCATGTGTCGTGGGAGAAACCCAGTGGGAGGTAATTGAATCATGGGGATGGGTCTTTCCCATGCTGTTCTCATTACAGTAAATAAGTCTCATGATATTTGATGGTTTTATAAAGGGAAGTTCCCCCACTAAAGTTCCCTTGCCTGTCGCCATATGAGATATGACTTTTCTCCTCATAGGCCTTCCATCATGATTGTGAGACCTCCCCAGCCATGTGGAACTGTGAGTCAATTAAACCTCTTTCCTTTTTAAATTACCCAGTCTCAGATATGTCTTTATTAGCAGCATGAAAACAGACTAATACACTGCTTAAAATACATATCCTCTCCCACTCAGAAACAGTAAGAATAATTTGATCAAATAGAATGATTCATCAATATATTTTGTGCAAACTGTCAAAGTACCCTTCCAAAAATTTTACCAGATTATACTTTGATTAGCAGATTATGAAAGTGTTTCATTACACATCCAAAGCACAACTTCATATAATAAGGAAAGAATTTTCAATGTAAACAATATCAATATAGTATCTTACTGCTGTTTTAATTATAATTTCTTACTTTATTTGAAAGGTCAAACTGCTCCAGCTTATTAGTGTTTTTGTGTCTTTTATTCTATGAATAATTTGGTGCTATTATTGATCTTTACATGGTAAGACACTACTTTTGTGTGAATGTTATTCTTTGACTGTTTGTTTCCTTTTAATTTCTTTAATATATATATGACAAACAGAAATTTACATTTTGCATTTTTACATAATCAAGTATTTCCCTCTATTTTTTTCCTTTAGAATCTAGAAAATTTTCTCTGGGCCCTGCATCTGAGATCTGATAAATATTGCATCTCCTTTCTCTGCTGCCAATCATTTTATTTTAATATTTTGCAATCAATTCCTCAAATACCTGTAATTAATTTTGGTGCAAAATACAAATATGCTTGGATTTTCTTATTAATAATTGAAAAATTATTCCATAACCTATATTAAACATCCCTTTCTTTCCTCGGTAATTTATTATACATTCTTTATCACATTATAATTTTAAAATATATTATGGTCTATATAAAAGTTTTTGCTTTTCAGTAATATTTTTCATGCTATGAAGAGAAGGTAGTCACTGTAGGAAAATAAATCAATAGATAAAAGTATAAAGAAAATATCTCACTTATAATTCTACCAATTCATGTTAAATTTTCCTTTGAAGTACAGTTAAACCTTGAACAACACTGGGGCTAGGGGCATTGACCCCGCCATGGAGTTGAAATTTCATGTGTAACTTTTAAATTTCCAAAACCTTACTACTAATAGCCTACTGTTGACCAGAAGCCTAACCAATAACATAAACAGTTGATTAACACATATTTTGTAAGTTATGGGTATCATATACTATATTCTTTCAATGAAGTAAGCTAGAGAAGAAAAAATGTTATCAAGAAAATCATAAGAAAGAGAAAACATACTATTCATTGAGAAGAATTATATCATCATAAAGGTCTTCATCCTTGTCTTCATATTGAATAGGCTGAGGAAGAGGAGAAAAAGGAGGATTTGGTCTTTCTATCTTATGCATGGCAGAGGTGGAAGAAAATTTGACTTTTAGTGGACCTGTAAGTTTCAAAGCCATGTTGTTCAACGGTCAACTGTATATCCATATGTTTCTTAGTCCATTCAAGCTGCTATAACAAAAATACCATAAACTGGGCGGCTTATAAAATAGAAACTTATTTCTTACAATTCAAGAGGCTGGGAAAGTCCACAATCAAGATGCCTGCAGATTCCATGTTTGCTGAGGGCCTCCTTCCTTGTACATAGACAGAGGTCTTGCTGAGTCTGCAATAGGTAGAAAAGGCTAGGGAGCTCTCTGGGGTCAGTTTAATAGGGCTAAACCAGGGCTTTGTCCTCATGACCTGTATTAGTAATGGTTTTCTACAGCAGCAGAACTAACAGAATATATGTATATATGAAAGGGAGTTTATTAGGAGGAATTGACTCACATGATCACAAGGCAAAATCTCATGATAGGCCTTCTGGAAGTGGAGAAGCAAGGAAACTACTAGTGTCTTTGCTCGAGTCCAAAAGCCTCAAAAGCAGGGAAGCCAACAGTGCCACCTTTAGTTTGTGGCCAAAGGCTGGAGAGCCCCTGCCAAATCACTGGTGTAAGTCCAAGAGTCCAGAGGCCAAAGAACCTGGAGTCTCATGTCCAATGGAAGAAGGAGCAGAAGGAAGCACCGAGAACAGGAGAAAGATGAAAACGAGAAGACTCAGCAAGCCAGCTTATCCCACCTACTTCCACCTGCTTTGTTCTAGCTATGCCGGCAGCCAATTGGATGGTGCCCACCCATATTGAGAGTAGGTCTTCTTCTCCTAGTCCACCGACTCAAATGTGAATCTCCTTTGGCAATACCCTCACAGACACACCTAGAAACAATACTTTACCAGATATCAAGGCATCTTTCAATCCAATCAAGTTGACACCCAATATTAACTATCACACGACCTAATCACCTTCCAAAGCTTCACTTCCAAACATCATTATATTGGAAGTTAGGACTTCAACATATGAATGTTCTGGGACAAGAAACAATCTATACTTAGTACATAGGTGTGTTTGGACATATGTATGCATGCTGGGTGTCATTTTTTCTTATTTTAGAAAACTGAGATAAATCCATACTGTTTTAATGTCATTATGTCACAAACCATACTGGCTTGTCTCGACTTTACAAAATAAAATGCCTTGCTGTGTCACATTATTAGATCCTGGTTTTGAAAATGATATCAATTTTTCTCATATCATAAAATTCAAAATTACAAATGTAAACATATTTACAGCATTCTATCACAGATTTTCACCATAATGTATTTATCCATTCCCATAATTTAGGGTGTTATATTTATATAATTACATAATATTTAAAAGCATTTTTTAGCAGCTGCATAACACCTCAACAACAAAGGTTATTTTTTATTTTATTTAACAATGTCCATAATTTTTTTAATGTTTGAGGGTAAAGTGTTTGGTATTATGAATAAAACTGCAACAAAAAACTTTTCTTATAATAAATTGCCGATGACATTTTATCACATCTCTGGAATAAATCCATAGATGTGTAATTGATAGGTTGAAGTATATGTACTCTTGGCTAGCTATTCTATTTTAATGCTTTATCTGTTGAATCTGTGCCAGTGCCAAATCGTTTTACCTAGTGTCAATGTGCAGTATTTTACATATATATAAGGCGAGTTCCCCTTAAATCTCTTATTTATGCAATTTTCTTAGTTTTTCTTACTCCATTTTTCTCATAAAATGATTTTAAAATTATTTGTTATCTTAAAATGTTATTGAAATTTTTATTGGAATTGCTTTAAATTTGTATTTTAATTTGTGAAGAAATGACATATTTACAATTCTGCCTCTTGCTATTCAGATATACAATATCTTTTTTGATTCATTCAAATTTTATTTTGTCACTCAACAATGTTTTATATATTTTAATTTTTATATAGATCCAATGTATTTCTTCATAAATAATTATTCTTAGGTATTTTATACTTTTTTGTTTTTTAGATTATATTCTCCTTTCTGTAATGATTTTCATGTAATTTTATGCCTGCTATATCAGAATTCTAATCTGATTTTTAACTGCTAGCTCTTTGATCTTTCCTTTTAATACAAATGAATATTCTATTGATAGTAATATAACAAGTAAATAATAAAATGGTCCTTTTTTATTATTATTATACTTTAAGTTTTAGGGTACATGTGCACAATGTGCAGGTTAGTTACATATGTATACATGTGCCATGCTGGTGCGCTGCACCCACTAACTCATCATCTAGCATTAGGTATATCTCCCAATGCTATCCCTCCCCCCTCCCCCCACCCCACAACAGTCCCCAGAGTGTGATGTTCCCCTTCCTGTGTCCATGTATTCTCATTGTTCAATTCCCACCTATGAGTGAGAATATGCGGTATTTGGTTTAAAGTAATTATTCCTTTTATTTTTGCATAATATGTTATAACATTGAGAACTGTTAAGTAACTTGCAAGAAGTCACACAGCAAAGGCAAGAGTTGTGATTAAGAACCTGAAAGTCAAATTCATAGTCCATGGTTCTAATCACTTTATCTCCTCTCTGTAGATTTTCTAAAACAAATCTACCTTTGTATTTGTATTTCCTGGATAAACTACTGAATCATGGTTTATTATCGTACCAAAATATTGACAGATTTAGTTTTCCATAATAATGTCTAGAATTGTCTTATCTATATTATTATGCAAGATGAGCCAAAGTTGTTTTTCATAAATTTTCTTCCGTTGTTCCTCATATATCTCAGAAATTTTACTCAGATTTTTATAACTTCGTGAAAGAATTAGAAATATTTCCTCATCTGTAAGCAATTTGTAATCAGTTAAATACAAGTACCATCCTTAGGATTTTGAAATAGTTGTAGATAAAAATTGGGCTCATAAACTTCTGAAAAACTATTTTGTACATTTGTTTAATGGTTATTGTTCCTTTCAAATTTTTCATTTCATCTAGTCTCAATCTAAAATTTTCAAAAATGACGGGATACATATGTAGTTTAAAATGTATCCCAGAGTACTTTATAATATTTATTTATTTTCCACATTCCAGAACACTACTAGAAAAGGCTTGGGTTTTATTAATTTGTATGAGAGTTACAAATCCATGAGTAAATTTTATTTTTGACAGAGAAATGTTCAAAACAAAGGGAGAAACACTCTCTCCAGTGATACATGGCTGAAAAGAAGTGTAGGGAATTGCATTGTTAAAAGAATTTTATATTTTATAAATGATACAAAGTAAGTAGCATGATTTGGGAAATTAGCTTTGCCCAAAAAAGAAATTATGCCCTAAAATAAGGTCCATTTTGGTGTTGGCAGAACAATTTTAGAAAGAAACATGTGCAAGTATAAGTGAATATGACAGAGGTCACTTTTCTGAATTATAGTTGTATAGGTTTGGCTTTCCTGGTGTTAATCATATGCTTTATGTAGCATTTCACAAAAAGAGAATGGATAAAAACATCAACATACTGAGCAGCATGAAGAACAGTTATATGGCTGCATTTTGTGAATGATCTTGTACTTCACTATGCCCTTGGAAAGTAAGAACACACAGAATCGGAAGTTGTTCTAGATCCTTGAAGAATCACCATACTGTTTTCCACAATGGTTGAACTAATTTACACTCCCACCAACAGTGTGAAAGTGTTCCTATTTCTCCACATCCTCTCCAGCATCTGTTGTTTCCTGACTTTTTAATAATAGCCATTCTAACTGGCTTGAGATCGTATCTCATTGTGGTTTTGATTTTCATTACTCTAATGACCTGTGATGATGAGCTTTTTTTTCATGTTTGTCAGCCACATAAATGTTTTCTTTTGAGAAGTGTCTGTTCACATCCTTTGCCCACTTTTTGATAGGGTTGTTTGTTTTCATGTAAATTTGTTTAAGTTCCTTGTAGATTCTGGATATTAGCCCTTTGTCAGATAGATAGATTGCAGAAATTTTCTCCCACTCTGTAGGCTGCCTGTTCACTTTGTTGATAGTTTCTTTTGCTGAGCAGAAGCTCTTCAGTTTAATTAGATCCCATTTGTCAATTTTTGCTTTGGTTGAAATTGCTTTTGGTGTTTTAGTCATGAAGTCTTTGCCCATGCCTATGTCCTGAATGGTATTGCCTAGGTTTTCTTCTAGGGTTTTTATGGTTTTAGATTTTACATTTAAGTCTTTAATCCATCTTTAGTTAATTTTTGTATAAGGTGTAAGGAAGAGGTCCAGTTTCTGTTTTGTGCATATGGCTAGTTAGTTTTCCCAGCACCATTTATTAAATAGGGAATCCTTTCTTCATTGCTCATTTTAGTCAGGTTGGTCGAAAATCAGATTGTTGTAGATGTGCGGTTTTATTTCTGGGGTCTCTGTTCTGTTCCATTGGTCTATATATTTGTTTTGGTACCAGCACCATGCTGTTTTGGTAACTGTAGCCTTGCAGAATAGTTTGAAGTCAGGTAGCATGACACCTCCAGGTTTGTTCTTTCTGGTTAGGATTGTCTTGGATATACAGGCTCTTTTTTGGTTCCATATGAAATTTAAAGTCTTTTTTTTTTTTTTTCTGAGTCTGTAAAGAAAGTCAATGGTAACTTGATGGGAATAGCATTGAATCTATAAATTACTTTGGGCAGTATGGCCATTTTTACTATGTTGATTCTTCCTGTCCATGAGCATGGAATGTTCATACTACCACCCAAAAAAAGCAATTCAATTATGTAAAACCAGAGATGAGATAATGAATTAGGATTCAAATATATTCTCCTTTTTGGCTGAGTGTTGTTTAGTTTAACTTAACTTGCTCTGGGTTATTATCTTGATTTCCTTCAGATTAATAAATTTTCTCTCTAAAGCCTACCATGGCATCCTCATGGCCATAATAATAATTATTTTTTTGAGACAGAGTCTCTCTTTGTCACCCATGCTAGAGCGCAGTGGCATGAACAAGACTGACTTCAGCCTCGACCTCCCAGGTTCAAGCAATTCTCCCACCTCAGTCTCCTGAATAGCTTGAGACTACAGGCATGCCCCACGACATCTGGCTTATTTATTTATTTATTTATTTATTTTGTATTTTGTAGAGACTGGGTTACACCATGTTACACCATGTTGTCCAGGCTGGTCTCGAAGTCCTGAGCCTAAGCCATCCCCCTGCCTTGGCCTCCCAAAGTGCTAGGATTACAAGTATGAGCCACCACAGCTGGCCTACTCCTAGCCATTATTTACATTTTTATTATATTGTCACTGTGTGTTAACCATACATGCCTCCCTACAAACCTGATGAGCTTTTGGAAGGCAAAGATCCTGTCTTAATTATATTGGTACTACTAAGTCATTTTGTAGAAGAACACATTTGTTCCAGCACCCAGCTGATTGACAAGCAATACATATTTTTTGTAAGATGTGGCACACTGTGCCTGCATCAGGGAGTGACTTGAGATAAGACAAACCGTGAAATAATAATAAACAACTTATAAGAATAAGTGGACCAAGATAATTTTAAGTTCTATTGAAGAATTAACAACTTTTCAATTCTTTAAAATTCAGGTTCTGTGAAATACTGGGTTCATTAAGATTTTCTCCTTCCCTTCGACCCTTCCTATCAAAAGATGATTGATATAATGATTTCTTTATATGAAAGATATACCTGCACTCATATGTTTATTGCAGCACTATTTACAATAGCAAAAATATGGAATCAACTGAAGTGTCCATCATTGGATGAATGGATAAAGAATCTGGGTCGGGCACGGTGGCTCACGCCTGTAATCCCAGCACTCTGGGAGGCCGAGGTGGGCGGATCACGAGGCCAGGAGATAGAGACCGTCCTGGCTAACACGGTGAAACCCTGTCTCTACTAAAAATACAAAAAATTAGCCGGGCGTGGTGGCGGGCGCCTGTAGTCCCAGCTACTCAGGAGGCTGAGGCAGGAGAATGGCGTGAACCCTGGAGGTGGAGCTTGCAGTGAGCCCAGTTGAGCCCAGATTGTGGCACTGCACTCCAGCCTGGGCAACAGAGTGAGACTCCGTCTCAAAAAAAAAAAAAAAAACAAACTCTGGTATACACTCAATGGAATTACTATTCAGCCATAAACACAAATGAAATAATGTCTTCTGCAGCAACATGGATGAAACTGGAGGCGATTATCTTAAGTGAAACAACAAAGACACAGAAATAAAAATATATTCTCAGTTATAAGTTGGAGCTAAATAATGTGTACACGTGGACATAGAATGTGGACTGATATACAACAGTCTGGGAACGATGTGAGGGGTGGGAGGGAGGTGGATGATGAGAAATTACTTAATAGGCACAATCTATGTTATTCAGGTGATGGACCCTCTAAAAGCCCTGACTTAATCACTATGCAATCTATGCATGTAACAAATTTACACTTGTACCTTATAAATTTATACAAATAAAAGATTACTGATACATTGAAAAACAAATCTAGCCATACTATGTTTGTTAGGTGTAGAACTCACACTCTCAATAACTAGTGTGAAGAAGAACCACCCAGAATCCCAGAGCTGGTAAGACTGTTTTAAGCTGAAGACATTTGAGAATCAGTGCAAGCAAAAGGGAACCTTCTCTAAATTGTCTTTATCTAACTAAAACCAGAAACTTCGGGGAAACGAGGCTGCCATAAATTCCCCCTTCAGGGTGGGTCTACTCTCAGGAAACATACCAGTAGTAAACCTACCATAAATACCTTCTCTGGGATAGTTTCATGGCCATAAAGAAAACTGAAAGACCACTCACTGGAACCTGTACAAACCAACATTATCACAAAATTTCTTAAAATCCCATTTGTCTTTCAGAAACAAATATGTTCCTTTTAGTCAAAGAAGCTTTTCTCTCCCCTCCCTTTTTTCTAAATTAAGTATGTAAGTCTTCAACTGTAGCCATTTATTGAGTTAGTTACTTCTTCTGTAGCTCCAATGTGCATACAAATAAACCTTTTTTCTCTTGTTAATATGTTGTTTGTCTGTTGAATTTGCAGGACAGAAAAAGTTTTTCTTCCCCAACACAGTTTTAACTAGGACACTTGGGTAGTCAAAAATTTACATAGTGAGAGTGAGATTATACATGAATGAAACAGAGTGCACACTGACATACGACAAATCTAAATTGCATAAATTTCCCATTTCCTGAAGTATTATGTAAAATCACCCCCTGAAGGAAAGATTGATTTTGGTCATCATGTTTTGTATTGATAACTGTTTTGAGGACATAGCTAACTGCAGTGCAAATCTGATTCGAGACTGAGTGTAAATTCATATCCAAATTGGAAATTGGGAGGCTGTCTTTTACCAGTTTTCAAATCTACTGTCAACTTGAATTTTATAAAGCCCAGAATATCTTTCCATAATAACTCAGATCTTATTAGTGAGGAAGCTAGCTCCTAGATTAAGAAAAACATGCACATGTATACATATGTAACTAGCCTGCACAATGTGCACATGTACCTTAAAACTTAAAGTATAATAATAAAATAAAATAAAATAAAATAAAATAAAATAAAATAAAATAAAAAAAGAAAAACAAGTGTGGTGGCTCACGCCTGTAATCCCAGCACTTTGGGAGGCCAAGGCAGGCAGATGGTTTAAGCCCAGGAGTTCGAGACCAGCGTGGACAACATAGTAAAACTCCATCTCTACAGGAAATATGAAAATTAGCTTGGTGTGCTGGCACACGTCTGAAATCCCAACTAATTGGGTGGCTAAGGTGGGAGGATTGCATGAGCTCTGGAGGCTGAGGTTGCAGTGAGCTGAGATTGCAACACCACACTCTAGCCCGGGCAACATAGCAAGACCCTGTCTCAAAAAAGGCACTTTGGGGGTGAATATGACAACATAGATCAAATGACATTTTGGTTAGTACACATTGATCTATTTTTTCCACTGTAGTTAAGAATTATCTTATACATGGAAGCTCACTACTTATTAGAAAGGTATTCAGTAAGTAAGATCATGTTTCTAGGATCTCTCAGTGGTTTTATTATAAACATTATTATTGCTATTCTCATTTCTAAACTGACACTAATATTACATGTTGAGACATCGTTAGGTTTAATTACTTTTCATAGTATTATTGAAGATGAAATGCTAATTACATGAATAAACCTTACAGTGCTGAAGTTACTATTTGTTGTATTAGATTTGGTATAATGCCTTAGATGAGAAAAGAAGCAAGTTAGAAAATTAACTGACCTCATTATAAAATTTAATTTATTTGTGTCAGTAAACTGGAGAGAGAAAAGTTTGGCCTTCCAGCAAAATCGCATCCAAACCTCTTGCTGAAGGAATGGAATTTGATCGGTAACTATAAGCCACTAGAAGACGACTTAAAAAATGTATAAAATCAATACAAAGGCTCTTAGGCTAATGACATCCTGAGGCTAGGAAACCATTTCAGCCATCTTGACTTCATTTCTTCAACAGGCATTCTATTTGACTCACATTTATTTGAATTGCATTTAGGTCTGGTAATGATTTCACACATTTAAAGTTACTATTTTAAAGAAGTTTGTTTTGAGAATAATTATGTTGAGGAAAATGTATTTAAAAGCATTCAGAATTTAAAAATCAAGCAACAAAAACCTTTACCTGAACCTTACTACCTTTTCCATGTAATCCTTTAATCATTCTGGCAACAATTATATATTTAATCATATATGATGTTTGAGGGTAGCTTAATACTTTAATTTGCTATTTACACATGGAAAAATTACAGAACTAATTAAGGATATTCAGATTAATTAAAAGCATTAAGAGGTATTACATATGAAAGGAAAATTTTAATTAAATATTTCAAGTTTTTTATTTCAAAAAACTCTTGTATTGAAAAATACAATGTAGTAACAATTTTATCTGAATTGGCTACACTAGAAATAGGACAAGTTGAGTTTTAGATATTTTTTAAAGTGATCTGGTCATAATCTTTTGGATTCAATTAAAGTTTTGTTTTATTCCTTACTTATTAAAAATGTTTTAATTAGATGAGTCTTCACTGCTCTTAATAAGTGTTTTACTAGCAATGGAAGGAAGCAGTTAGAGGCCCAAAGCTTAGGTTTAAAAATCTCCAGAGGAAAAACATCTTCAGGAAAGATGATACTGAATAAGTTGGCCAGAGTATCAGTTTTCTTTTTTAAGTAAAACTGGAAAATTCCATATATATAGGGCTGCAAAGAAGATGACCAGGAGACAGGAGCTGTAGTATTAAAAGCAGCTGCCAAAAACTAATAGAAAAGCCAGAATTGCAGGTCGAAGGAAGATTTACATGAAAGAAGGAAAATTTCACTCTCCTCCTAGCAAGATAAAGCAGATAGAAAAGGATGGTTGTGAGGCTGTTGGAGAAAATGACCCTTTAGGGTTCAATTCTCACAATTTCCTCAACTGCATTTGTAAACGATGGAGTGGTAAATTTAACTGACAACAAATCTAAACTGACAACACTTTTTTTCTTCTTTTATTAAACTAAAGTTTGGAGTATGTTGCCTTTACAAAAATAAAAACAAAGCAAAAAAACAAGATTATCTTCTTTTGGATAAAGGAATTCAGGATTTGAGAGATGAACATGATCCCCATGAAAAGGACTATTCTGTCAAATCTGTTGTTCTTGAAAAAGATGAATACTAAAATTAGATAGTGATTCGTGATCAACTATTCTTTCACTCCACTACGTAACAAATTTTATTAATATCCTTCAAATGTATGAGATTTCATTGTTGCCCAATATTCCACAGTAGGAATATACTGTAATTTACATAACCATTTCAGTATTATTGGGCATTTGGGTTTTTTCATACTTTGCTATTCATTTAATATCACTATGGTGAACATTTTTTGTGCACAAATCTTTGTCCACATGCCTAATAATTTATTGAAAGTTGATTTCCAAAATATTAGTTGTTTGATAAAGGCAGGTCTAGAGGAGGAAAAGAATGTCATTTTCTTCTACCCATCTTAGATTCTTTGGTTGGGGCCCTGCAATTTAGACTCCTAAAAGACAGATTAACACGAGAAAAAAATAACAGAAGTTTATTTATGCATGCATTGCACCTACACATGGAAATACTCAGTGATTTGTAACTTAAAGGGGTGGTTAGAAATTGGGCTTATATAGAATCTTAATGAAGAACAATAAAATTTTGTAGAGAAGTGGTAAGACAAAGGAAAGGGGGTGTGTGCTCATAGGTCCAGCAAACTGGGGAGGTAAATATATGAGGTAAACGGTGGAGTCCTAATTTAAAAAAAAGAGTCAGGCTGGTGGGCACAGGGGAAAGCAGAAATGTTGTAAGTCTGCCTTTCTTCATGGTCCAGGACACATAGTCCTCCTGCACAAATAACTCAGTATCTTCCTGTGCCCGACTTATCACCAGTTCTTTGGCTGATTAAAAAAAAAAAAATGCAAGTTAGCACACGGCGACCTTGGCACTATCAGTACTGCTTGTAGCTTTCTGTAATGCACATGAACCACACTATAATATCCCCAGAAAGCCTTTGTCTCTTTGCAGTTAGCTCTTCTTTTGCTGATCTGTCTGTTGCTTTCTTGCAACATATTTTCATACTTTCTCTAATAAACCTGCCTTTCTTTACCTACAACTGTCTTGCTAAATAATTTTTACCACCCACGTGACACCAGCCCCAGATAGTTGCTACATACGACATAAACTAATGGAAGATAAAGGAGAGTTAGTAAGGTTTATGTAGACTCTTTTCCAGTGCCATTTTCTATCTGGTGATAAGGTCCTCATACAGGAAATGGCACATTTTCACAAAGGAAATTCATGTTGTGTTTTCAGGTAAACAGGGGAAGGAAAGTGGAGCCCATCCCGTGTCTACCTCTTCTCAATTGCCTTCAACTCAAAATAACCTTTATACCAGAGTGCATATATTGGGATTGTATAATCTGAACTCTTTCATGGACAATAACTAAAAATTCTTGAAGGGTTTGCTAACTTACTTTTGGACCAACATAGCATTACACTGTTCAGTTATTCGACCCAACACTGCATATGATTCTCTCTTATCTTTGCTAATTTAACAGGTAAAAATGTATTCCTATTTGTGTTTGTTTGACTATTGGGAGGGCAAAGAAAGAGAACTGAGAGAAAATGAAGACCAAGATTTCTCATATAAACCATTGATTGATGCTTTTATTAAGAGAAATAAACAATACAAGAGGAATCATGGATTTGTCAGATGTACACCTCTGATAGAGGTTTGAGCTTTATATTAAAATATAACAGAATAAAATATAAGACAAGTGCATATGTTGTTTCAGCTCTGTTACTTCATCTTTGATTTATTAAGTAATACTGAGCTCCTTCTATATCACTGTTTTGGATCTTAAATCAGTAAATATGAATCCTACTAAGAATTTTTAGTAAACTCATAGTCTACTTTTAGAGACAGGTATAAAAACAAAATGTATAGCATATTGAGATAACTTCCAATATATGTAGAAATTTTGTTGAGAACACAGAGGAAGTAAATAATAATTGGGGCTAGAAGGTGGGGAGACTATACTTCTTGTAATATGTATCACAACTTGATTACTTATTAGTTTATCATTAGATTCTAACATCTTGGAGGGCAGGGACTGTTTCTGTCAAATTCATTGTTATATCTCCAATTCTTTGCACAGTGTCTGATACATATTAATATTTTTGAATGAATAAATGAACGCATGAGTGAATGGATGTCATAATGTAGGCATCAATAATTTATTATGGCAACAATTTATTAATGTAAATGAATGACTATATATAAAATTATTTATATAGAATGTGACCTTATTTGAAATAGGGTTTTGGATATGTAATTAGTTTAGGATTTCAAAATGAGACCATCCTAGGTTTAGGGTGGGATCTACATTCAAGAACAGGTGCTCTTATAAGAGAAAAGACAGGGACACTCGAGACATGGACACACAGAGGGAAAGACCATGTGAAGTTGGAGACAGATCAGAGTTATGCTACTGCTAACCAAGGGACTACTAGAACCACCAGAGGCTGGAATAGGCAAAGAAGTATTAACCCTCACAGACTTCAAAGGGAGTGCAGCCCACTTATCACCTCCAGAACTGTAAGATAATAAATTTCTGTGGTTGTAAGTCACTCATTTGTGGTAATTTGTTATGGCAGGCCTAGCAAACTAATACAAATATATAATATTACTTATTTAATTTTATATATATATATATATATATAAAATCAGTGATGGAAAAGTGAGGAACAGACTAAAAAATACCAAAAGACACAATAAGAATTAAGGAGGGCTGGCCAGGTGTGGTGGTGTACTCCTGTAATCCCAGCACTTTGGGAGGCTGAGGCAGGAGGATTGCTTGAGCTCAAGAGTTTGAGACCAGCTTGGGCAACACAGGGACACTCCGTCTCCACAAAAATCATAGAAAAAATTTTTAAAAAGCTGGGCATGGTGGTGCTTGCCTGTAGTCCCAGCTCCTCGAGAGGCTGTGGTGGGAGGATCGCTTGAGCCTGGGAGGTCGAGGCTACACTGAGCATTGACTGCACCACTGAACTCCAGCCTGAGTGATAGACAAAGACCCTATCTCAAAGAAACAAATATTAAGGAGAATACTTATTGTCAGTGGACCCCGATTAGTGATTGAAGATTAAAAAGAGTCTGTAGCAAGGGAAAATATCTTATACATTCAGAAGAGAGAAGTTATTGATATATTGGATTTGGAGGGGGGGAGGAAATAAGTAACAGAAATAAAATAAACATGAGTCCCAGATATCCCACACAAACAATTTGTTGACAGATGATTTTGTTAACAGAAATGAAGACTACAAGAGGAATCATGGATTTGGCAGATATGCACTTCAGAAGGTTTAATCTTTAGGTTAAATTTGGAAATCAAATTATTATATGCAGTATTTCAAGCCAGGAAAGCATATGTGAGAGTGTGTACAGTGAGAAGAAAGGAAAGCTGAGGATATAAAAGTAGGAACTGGTGATTTTCCGTGAAATTATAGAACATAAATCATTAAGAAAAATAGAAAAATAGTTATGTTAACAGTAAAATGGAAAGTAGGATTGAGTCCTATAAAGAAAATCAAGAGATGAATGGGTTTTGAAGACAGTAGAAGGATAAAAGTTTTCCAGTTCAGCATCATGCCAAATAGGATACAAAAGGCCGACAAAAATTTATCAAATTTTTTAGAATCTGTGTGTGGTGGCTCATGCCTGTCAGTCAGCACTTTGAGAGGCCAAGGCAGGGTAATCATGTGAGGCAAAGAGTTTGGGACCAGCTGGTTAGCAGAGCAAGGCCCAATCTCTATTAAAAAAATGGAAATAAAACATTTATCAATTAGAAGTTTGTTATGGTGAATAGTTTCTATAGAGTTTACTGATTAAAAGTCAGTGTAGCATTCAATGAAACTTTGAAAATGTAAAAAGTGTAGAAGAATGTTTTCAAAATGTGGCTATATTTGGCAAAGGCAGAAACAGTGGAGGGTAGAGGAAGTAGATGCTTAGAGAGGGCTTTTTATTTTATTTAGTCGATTGGAATTTGCACATGTTCAAAGTGTGAAGGAAAACAGCAAATGGAGGGAGTTTAAGCAAAAGGAAGAATGATAATTGGCAGAGCAAAGCCAATAAGAAAGCAGCAGGTTATGGAACTGGAATTTTAAAAGTGCAGGTGGCAAGAATAGCATTATAGAGATGCAGGGAAATGCATCTCTCCTAAGATAGTAAGAGGGGATAGTTAGATTTGAAGACGAGGTAGTTACAAGTTAAAGGATTTCTCTCCTGATTACCTGTTTTTCTTATAGTGTGGGAAGCATGAAATGATTTCCTAGGAACTGGGCAGAGTATCTGTCCTCACTTATGATTCTAGAAAAGATATGTTGACTTTAATGGATATTTTCTTCTAGCTACCCATCACATAACTTATTCCAACCATTCCGACACCCAGTCTCAGTCACTTTGTTTTGTTTCATTTTATGCCCAAAGACACCATATTGTACATTATACCTCCCACTATTACCCTGCCTTTTAAAACAATAAATTGTTAGTAAAATATAAAAAACAACAACTAGCCAGCTTAGTTCTTCAATAGAGAAGTTTACTTTGATTTCATCTGATCTCTTCAGAGTGTTCACTTGAACTCATTGCCATACATAAGTACGTGCTGATGAAGTCAAATAAAAAATACTAATTGAAGGCCTGCTGAGTAATACAAAATGTGATAAATTATTTGAGAAATATAAACATAAGAAATATTTCTGTTCTTAACCTTATATAATTTATAAGTATTTTAAAGTACCTCAGATACAAAACATCCATGATTTGGGATACTATACTTCTTAGTGGAAGAAACTGCTGATTTCCTATTCATTTTTAATATGATATGTGGCATACTAGATGACCGACAAGTTTTTTTATATGTGTGCAAGGGAGGGCCACATACATATTTGGGTAAAATAATTAGCAATTCTTCTGTAACATAGAAAAGAGACATTTTGACACAAAGACAAAAATTATTAAGAAATTTTTACTCTCTTTGAGGTGATTGAGAATGATGGATAATGTTGAGGCAATTAAATCTTTGCATCACAAATGATGTGGATGAGTCACTAAATTTAACGTGTAATAAATCTGATATGTTTGTGAAATTATATTAAAACATGCATCTTTTCATATACATTTTCAAACTGGATATTAAGAGCTATTTTAGGTAAAATATATGCAGGAGAAGATGTTTGTATTTTATTTTGATTGAGATACAAATTACATAGGAATCACTGCTTTAAAGTATACAATTCAGTGGTTTTTAGTACATTAACAAAGTTGTGCAAACATCACCACTATATAATCCAGACGTTTTACATCACCCTAAATGAAACCCCATTCCTCTTAGCGGTCACTGTCCAATCCCAGTCCCTGCATCCTCAAACACTCACTAAACTTCATTCAGTCTTCATGGATTTGCTTATTCTGGACATATAAAATAAATAGAATCAGACAATATGTAGCCTTTTATGACTAGATTTTTTCAGTTAGAATAATGTTTTCAAAGTTCATACGTGTTACAGCATGTAAGAATGTTTTTTCATGGCTGAATAACATTCAATTGAATGGATTTGTAACATTGTGTTTATTAATTCACCAGTTAATGAATATTTGGATTATTTCTATTTTTTTGGATATTAGGTATTATGCTGCTATGATTATTAATGTACAGCATTTTGTGAGGACATATGTTTTCACATCTTTTGGGTATGTACCTATGAATGAAGTTGATGGGTGGTCATATGCTAATTACAAGTTTAACATTTTGAAGAAGTGCCAATCTTTTTGCTTATGTGTTGCCCGATTTTACATTCTCACCAGAAATATTTTGTGTTGCCAATTTATCCACATCATTGCCAACACTCGTTATTTTATATTATTATTACTATTACCATTCAAGTGGTTATAAAGTGGTATTTTGGCAGAGCAGCCACTCAGATACACACAGAGACCCAGGAGTTTTACATACTCTGGCCGCATGATCCCTGGAAAGGTGGGAAATCTGTCCGTAAACATCCCTAGGAAAGGGGCTGAATCCAGGGAGCCAAGCAGCCTCATTCTGTGAGCCCCACTTCCACAGCACCTCATAAGTTAAGACCCACTGGCTTGGAATTCGAGCCAGCCAATGGCAACACACTGAAATCTGCCCGAGACGGGTCTGAGTTCCCAGGAGGGGAGGGGCAGACACCATCTCTGCAGTTTGGTAGACTCAGCTGTTTTAGCCTGCTGACTTTGGAGAATACAAACAATCTGGATGAAGAAGGTTCCCCCACAACACCTGGCTTGCCAGATAATGGCCAGACTGCTTCTTTAAGCGGGACCCCTATCCTTTCCTCCTTACTGGGTGGGACCTCCCTGCAGGGGCTTCAGCCACTCCAGCCAGAGTTCTACAGATAGAGCTCTGATCTCTCCCTGGGAGAGAGCTCCTGGGGGAGGGGTAACTACCATCTTGGTGATTTGGTTGACTCATCTGCTCCACCCTGATAGCTTTGGAGAATATAGGTGGTCCAGATGAGGAAGTCATGCCTTCCCACCAATGCAGCATACCTGCTATATCAAAAAACAGCCAGACTGCTTATTTAAGCAGGACACTGTTCATGCTGACTGGGTGAGAACCCCCCAGTAGGGGTCTCCAGCCACCTCCTACAGGTGCATTTGAGCAAGCAACAGGTCACTACCACCCTGGGACAAAGCATCCAGAGGAAGGAGCTGGCTGCCATATTTACTGCTTCATAGCCGTTACTGGTGATACCTCCAGGAATGGGAAAAAACTGAGGCAACTAGAGTCTGCAGTGGCCCCCCAGCAAAATGCAGCAGCCCTAAGGTAGAGTGGTCAGACTGTTAAAAGAAAAATAAACAAGTAGAAAACAACAACAACATCAACAAAAAAGACCCCACACAAACCTCATTCAAAGGTCAGCAACCTCAAAGATCAAAGGTAGGTAAGTCCACAAAGATGAGAAAGAATCAATGCAAAAACACTGAAAACTCAAAAAGCCAGAGTGTCTCTTCTCCAGATGACTACAACACATCTCCCACAAGGGCACAGAACTGGACTGAGGAAGAGATGGCTGAAGTGAAAGAAGGTGGGTAATAACAAAGTTCACTGAGCTAAAGGATCATGCAACCCAATGAAATGAAGCTAAGTATCATGACAAAATGATATAGGAGCTGACAGCCACAATAGCCAATTTAGAGAGGAACTTAAGTGACCTGGATCTGAGAAACATAACACAAGAAATTTACAATGCAATCACAAGTATCAATAGCCAAATAGACTAACCAGAGAAAAGAATCTCAGAGCTTGAAGACTATCTTTCTGAAATAAGACAGGTAGACAAGAATAGAGAAAAAAGAATGAAAAAAAAAATGAACAAAATCTCTGAGAAATATGGGATTATGTAAAGAGACTGAACCTATGGCTGATTGATGTACCTCAAAGAGATGGGGCCAATGGTACCAAGATGGAAAACATACTTCAGGATATCATCCAGGAGAACTTCCCCAATCTCACAAGACAGGCCAACATTCAAATTCAGGAAATGCAGAGAACCCCAGTAAGATAATCTACATGAATATCAACCCCAAGACATAACCTTCAGATTCTCCAAGGTCAAAATGAAATAGAAAATGTTAAGGGCAGCCAGAGAAAAAGGCCAGGTCACCTACAAAGGAACCTCTCAAATTAACAGCAAACATCTCAATGGAAACCTTACAAGTGAGAAGAGATTGGGGGGCAATATTGAACATGCTTAAAGAAAATAATTTCCAACCCAGAATTTTATATCTGGCCAAACTAAGCTTCATAAGCAAAGGAGAAATACAATCCTTTTCAGACAAGCAAATGTTGAGGGAATTAGTCATCAGCAGGCATGCGTTGCAAGAGCTCCTGAAGGAATCACAACATAAGGAAAGGAAAAAGTGTTACCAGCCACTAAAAAAAACACTGATGTACATAGACCAGTGACACTATGAAGCAACCAAATAAACAAGCAAAATAACCAGCAGGCATCATGATGACAGGATCAAACTTATACATAACAATATTAACCTTAAATGTAAATGTAAATGAACTCAATGGTCCAATTAAAAGACACAGAACGGCAAGCTGGATAAAGAGCCAAGACCCATCAGTATGCTGTCTTCAAGAGCCCTATCTCAAGTACAAAGACACACATAGGCTCAAAATAAAGGGATGAAGAAAAACTTACTGAGCAAAGGGAAATCAGAAAAAAGCAGAGGGTGCAATTCCAGTTTCTGTCAAAACAGACTTTCAACCAAAAACGATCAAAAGATCAAAAAAGACAAAGCAGGGCATTACATAATGATAAAGGGTTCAATTCAACAAGAAGAGCTAATTATCCTAAATATATATGCACCCAATACATAAGCACCCAGATTCATAAAGCAAGCTCATAGAGACCTACAAATAGATAAAGAGACTACAAAGAGACTCTCACACAATAGTAGGAGACTTTAACATCCACTGACAATATTAGACAGATCATTGAGACAAACAATTAACAAAGATATTCAGGCCCTGAACTCAGCTCTGGATAAAGTGAACCTGATAGGTATCTACAGAACTCTCCACCCAAAAACAACAGAGTATACATTCTTCTCATCACCATATGACACTTAGTCTAAAATTGATCACATAATCAGAAGTAAAACATTCCTCAGCAAATGCAAAAGAACTGAAATCATAACAGTCTCTCAGATCACAGTGCAATCAAGTTAGAATTCAAGATTAAGAAATTCACTAAAAACCACACAATTACATGGAAATTGCACAACCCACACCTGAATGACTTTTGGGTAAATAATAAAATTAAGGCAGAAATCAACAAGCTATTTGAAGCTAATGAGAACAAACTGACAATGTTCCAGAATCTCTGGGATGCAGCTAAAGCAGTGTTAAGAGGGAAATTTATAGCTCTAAATGCCCCACTAGAAAGAATTCAAGTTAACAACCTAACATCTCAACTAAATGAACTAGAGAACCCAGAGCAATCAAACACCAAAGACAGCAGAAGACAAAAAATAACTAAGCTCAGAGCTTAACTGAAAGAGTTAGAGACACAAAAAACTCTTTAAAAATCAATGAATCCAGGAGCTGGTTTTTGGAAGAAAATCAGCAAAATTGATAGACCACTTGCTAGACTAATAAAGAAGAAAAGAGAGAAGAATGAAATAAATACAATCAGAAATGATAAGAGGCATATCACCACTAACCACACGGAAAAACAAACAACCATCAGAGAATACTATAAACACCTCTATGCACATAAACAAGAAAATGTAGAAGAAATGAATACATTCCTGGACACATTCACCCTCCTGGGGCTGAACCAGAAAAAAAAAAAATAGAATCCCCCAATAGACCAATAATGAGTTCCGAAATTGAGGCCACCTACCAACCAAAAAAAGCCCAGAACAAAATGGATTCACAGCTAAATTTTACCAGAGTTACAAATAAAAGCTGGTACCATTTCTACTGAAACTATTTCAAAAAAATGAAAAGGAAGAACTCCTCTCTAACTCATTCTATGAGGTCAGCATCATCCTGATACCAAAACCTGGCAGAGACACAACAAAAAAAGAAAACTTCAGGCCAATATCTCTGATGAACTTCAATGTAAACGTTCTTAATAAAATACTAGCAAACCGAATCCAGAAGCACTTCAAAATTTTACCCACCATGATCCAGTTGGCTTCATCCCTGTGATGCAAAGTTGGTTCAACTTATGCAAATCAACAAGTGTGATTAATCACATAAACAGAACTAAAGACAAAAGCCACTTGATTATCTCAATAGATGCAGAAAAGGCCTTCATAAAATTCAACATCCCTTCATGTTAAAGGCTCTCAATAAACTAGGTATTGAAGAAGCATACCTTAATATAATAAGAGTCATCTATCACAAATCTACAGCCAATATCATACTCAGTGGGCAAAAGCTGGAAGCATTTCCCTTGAAATCCAGCACGAGACAAAGATGTCCTCTCTGTCCACTCCTATTCAACATAGTATTGGAAGTTCTGGCCAGGACAATCAGGCAAGAGAAAGAAATAAAGGGTATTCAAATAAAAATGGAAAAAGTCAATTTGTCTCTGTTTGCAGATGACATGCTCCTATATCTAGAAAATCCTGTCATCACAGCCCAACGACTACTTAACCTGATAAGCAACTTCAGCAAAGTCTCAAGACACAAAATCAATGTGCTAAATCATAAGCATTCCTATACACCAACAACAGACAAGCAGAGAGCCAAATCATGAATGAACTCCCATTCATAATTGCTACAAAGATAATAAAATACCTAGGAATACAGCTAACAAGGTAAATGAAGGATGTCTTCAAGGAGACCTACAAACGACTGTTTCAGGAAATCATAGATGACATAAATGGAAAAAAAAAATTTCCATGCTCATGGATAGAAAGAATCGATATTGTGCAAATGGTCATATGGCCCAAAGTAATTTAAAGGTTCTATGCTATTCCCATTAAACTACCATTGACATTCTTCATAAATTAGAAAAGAACTATTTTAAAATTTTTATGGATCCAAGAAAGAGCCCAAATAGCCAATACAATCCTAAGTAAAAAGAACAAAGCTGGAGGCATCGCACTACCTGACTTCAAACTCTACTACAAGGCTACGCTAACCAAAACAGCATGGTGCTGGTACAAAAACAGACACGTAGACCAATGGAACAGAATAGAGAACTCTTAAATTAGACAGCACACTTACAAACCATCTATTTTCGACAAACCTGACAAAAACAAGCAATGGGGAAAGAACTCCCTATTAAATAAATGGTGCTGGGAAAGCTGGCTAACCATATGCAGAAAATTGAAACTGGACTCCTTCCTTATACCATATACAAAAATTAATTCAGTACGGATTGAGGACTTAAATGTAAAAACCCAAACTATAAAAACCCTGGAAGAAAATCTAGGCAATACCTTACAGGCCATAGGCATGAGCAAATATTTCATGATGGAAACACCAAAAGCAATTGTGAGAAAAACAAAAGCTTTGACATGGGGGAACTAATTAAGCTAAGGAGCTTCTGCAAAACAAGAGAAAGTATCATCAGAGTGAACAGACAACCAACAGAGTGGGAGAAAATTTTTGCAATTTATCCATCTGACAAAGATCGACTATCCTGTCTACAAGGAATTTAAACAAATATACAAGAAAAACAAACAACCTCACTAAAAGTGAGCAAACGATATTAATAGACACTTCTCAAAGACAAACATGTGGTCAAAAAATATGGAAAAAGAGCTTAACATCACTGACTATTAGAGAAATGCAAATTAAAACCACAATTAGATGCTCTGCCACTCCAGTCAGAATGGCTATTATCAAAAAGTCAGAAAACAACAGACACTGGTGACATTGCAGAGAAAAAAGAACACTTTTACACTGTTGGTACGAGTGTAAATTAGTTCAACTATTGTGGAAGATGGTGTGGTGATTCCTCAAAGACCTAGAGGCAGAAATACCATTCAACCCAACAATCTAATTAATGGGCATATACTCAAAGGAATATAAAGTATTCTATTATAAAGATATATGCATATGTATGTTCACTGAAGCACTATTCACAATAGTGAGACAGGAAATCAACCTAAATGCCCATCAATGATAGACTGGATAAAGAAAATATGGTATATATACACCATGGAAAACTATGCAGCCATAAAAAGAAATGAGATCACGTCCTTTGCAGGGACATGGATGGAGTTGGAAGCCAATAACCTCAGCAAACTAATACAGGAACAGGAAACCAAACACCTCATGTTCTTACATGTAAGTGGGAGCTTAATAATGAGAACTCATTGGCACGTGGTAGGAAACAACACACACTGGGGCCTGATGGATTGGGACTGTGGGGAGAGCAAGATCATCAGGGAGAAAAGCTAATACATGCTGGGCTTAATACTTAGGTGATGTGATGATCTGTGCAGCAAACCACCAGGACACACATTTACCTATGTAACAAACCTGTACCTCCTTCACATGTACCCCTGAACTTAAAACAAAAATTTAAAAAAAAGAAAAAAGAAAAGCTTTCTACCCTTGTTAAACTCCAAGCTATGTCAAATAGGATGCAAGTAAGGTCTTCCATGGAAACATCACACAGGTTAAATAATGTACATTCCTTGGTAATGAGGCTCTGAAAGAGCTCCAAATATGTTCTGCTCTTTCTAGTGACTTCATAGCTGCTAGTTTTCATGGGAATTGTTGACTGTTGCTTCTTACGTTTACTAAGAATCTAAAGGGGGATGGCAATAGGGCAAGTTTAAATGCTATAAAGTTTTCTGTTCTTACTGAGATTTATCTGTTTTTCTTAAATACACTCTCCTGATTGCTGCAAAATCTTAGTCAATCTCTGGATTTCTGAAAAAGTTGTTTCTGAAAAATTTTGCCAGTTTTCCATTGTTCTTAGGAAGAAGATAATTTGATAAGGCCTTTACTTGATCATTTTTGCTGACATTATTCTATGCTAGTTTTATCTCTACATTTGTGTTTGATTATATTTTTCACCATTTACAGTGAGTCCCAATTTTTACTTTTATTTTTATTATTACTTACGTAATATGGTGCTAAGTAATATGGCCAAAGATTTTTAAGGTCCAAGTCTCTTCTCTTGGAAAAGATTTGGAATATAAACATCCCTTTAGTTTACTTCAGCAGTGACCCTGCTCCTCTTTAGATCTTCATTAGGTATATATGTCAAAATCAATCTTTAAAATTGCTTTATATGTAAAACTTCTGAAAGTTGCTTGATTGTATATAGCAGCAGTTGAGTGGCATTTTAGCTATTGTTCTTAAGTATATCAATGAAATCCTCACAATAGTTTTTCTTTTGAACAAAACCCAATTTTGTCCATTCTCTCTAAAAGAATTCCATCACTGGATAAAAGAATTACTAAGATCACTAGCGGAGCAAAATCACAGAGTAACTATGACAAGAAATAATATAAAATGCCCTATGTCAACATCGTAGAAAAAAGCAAGTTAAAATTACTTACATTTTTAACATAGCTGTTTATTTTTTATTAAACGGCACTTCTATAGTGAATAATAAATAGGTTTTCCTATATATTTTGGTCTTTTAAGAAACAGAAATAAGTAAGTTAATCAATATAATGGAGCTAAAATTAAGGTAAATAATTGATTTTATTTGTGTGTAAATAATTTATAGAAGGCTTTTGTTTCCTTGTATTTCTTTTCCATGTCTCTTTTATTTTTCTCTTTAGTTACAAACACTAGGGAGTGAATTACTGGGTAGAATGTGTAAATATAGCATTCCAATGACATCCTAAAGTCAAATATAATTGAATTCGGATTAACTGTTACTCTACAATACTATGTAATTTACCTCCCATTGAAATATTTGTACATTGTGTGTATGGAAACAAAAACATAATTTCAAAAACAACATTTTATTGTTAAATTTTATTTTAATACTTAATATTACTCAGCTAGCTTTAAAATCATAGATATTTATTCAAGTAATAAACTCTTGAGATGAAATCTACATATTTTTAGCCCTGTCTCCATTGGTCAATGCTTACATTATTTTGCCATTAAGAGTAATGGCGAAAAGCACAATTACTTTTGCACCAACCTAATATCTTCAACATTTTCTCTGGGGATCTCTCTTGTCTGCTTTAATATAAATGTGATTTCCCCTAAAGATACCACTTCTCTGGTATTCTTGTCAAATGATGGATATTTATTATTTCACATGCCACATGTTTTGGAGTTAGGAGTTAGTGTCCTATTTCCTCCACTTTAAAATGATTATTATTATTATCATATCCTCTTGTTTAAAAAAACTGAAGCAAAAGGCACACAAAACTGAGGATGTGTCCTACTTAAAAGTCTAGGTTTATGCTATAGTCTTTTTTTTCTTTTTATGTACTTATATGCTTTTCTTTTTTCCATTTTTAT
Organism: Homo sapiens; assembly: GCF_000001405.40. Lineage (NCBI taxonomy): Eukaryota > Metazoa > Chordata > Mammalia > Primates > Hominidae > Homo > Homo sapiens. Next base: position 126,330,995 of record NC_000023.11, read on the forward strand.
CTTAGAATCAGAGGGTACATGTGCAGATTTCTTACAAAGGTATATTGTTTGATGCTAAGGTTGGGAGTATGAATGAATCAATCACCTAGGTAGTGAACATACCAAATAGGTATTTTTTTAACCCTTATCACCCTTTCTCTCTTAACTCTCCTATTCCCCAATGTCTATTGTTCACATTTTTATAACCATGTGTACCCAATGTTTAGCTCCCACTTATAAATGAGAACATGTGATATTTGGTTTTCCATTTCTGCATTAGTTTGCTTAGGTTAATGGTTTTAAGCTGCATTCATGTTGCTGTGAAGAGCAGGAGTTCATTATTTTTTATGACTGTGTAGTGTTTCATTGTGTATATGTACTATATTTTGTTTATCTAGTCCAAAATTGATGGGCATCTGGGTTGACTACATGTCTTTGGTTTTGTGAATAGCACTGCAATGAACATATGTGTATATGTGTCTTTTTGGTAGAATAGTTTATTTTCCTTTGAGTATATACCCAGCAATGGGATTGCTGGGTTGATTGGTAGTTCAACTCCCTGTTCTTTGAGAAATCTCCAAACTGCTCTCCACAGTGGCTGAACTAATTTACATTCCCACCAACAGGGTATAAGTGTTCCCTTTCTTCCACAGTCTCACCAACATTTTTCTTTTTTTGACTTTTTAATAATCACCTTTCTGACTGATATGAGAAGGTACCTCATTGTAGTTTTGACATGCATTTCTTTGACGATGTGTGATAATGAGCATTTTTTCATGTTTTTGTCATACCATGTGTGTATCTTTTGAGAAGTGTCTATTAATGTCATTTGCCCACTTTTAATGAGGTTGTTTTTTGCTCTTTGATTTGCTTAAGTTCCACATAGAATCTGGATAATAGACCTGTGTTGGATGGATGAATATTTTGCAAATATTTTCTCTCATTTTGTAGGTTCTTTATTCATTCCCTTGATAGTTTCTCTCGCTATGCAGAAGCTCCTTAGTTTAATTAAGTCCAATTTGTCAACTTTTGTTATCGTTGCAATTGCTTTTGAGGACTCAGCCATAAATTATTTGCCAAGGTTCATATTGAGCAGAGCATTTGCTAGATTTTCTTCAGGATTGTTATAGTTTGAAGACTTACATTTCAGTCTTTAATTGACCTTGAGTTAATTTTCATATATAGTGTTAGTTATGGGTCAAGTTTCACTTTTCTGCATATGGCAAGCAAGTTATTCCAGTGCTATTTATTGAATAGGAAGTCTTTTCTCCATTGTTTTTGTTGTCTTTGTTAAAGATCAAATGGCTGTAGGTGTGCTGCTTTATTTATGCATTCTCTATTCTGTTCCATTGGTCTATGTGTCTGTCTGCCTTGTAGCATATTTTCAAGTTGAGTAATGTGATGCTTCTGGCTTTGTTCTTTTGGCTTAGGATTGCTATGTTTATTTGGGCTCTTTTTTGGTTCTATATGAATTTTAGAATTTTTTTTAATTCTGTGAAAAATGATATTGGTAGTTTGATAGGAATAGTGTTGAATCTGTTCATTGCTTTGGGAAGTACGGCCATTTCAATGATGTTGATTCTTCCAATCCATGACAATGGAATGTTTTTCCATCATTTGTGTCATCTTTGACTTTGTTCAGCAGTGTTTTCTCCTTGTAGTGATTGTTCAACTTTTTGGTTTGCTGTAGCCGTAGGTATCTTATTCTTTTTGTGGCTGTAGTAAATGGGATCACTTTCTTGCTTTGGCTCTTATATGCTGGAGTTTACATTTCTGCTTTGCCTCATCTTGTCTGTGTCTAAAATCTAATTCCTCAGTTCTGAAAACGCTGGCTATTTATTCATGAAGCTCCAGCTTCACGGTATGAACAGCCCAAGTTTCACTTACCATTATTATTTCAACTCTTTGTTTAATTTTTATGGCCCTTGGCCATTTCATTTCCTTTCTTAAGGAATCATGAATGTACTTAAAAGTTGACTTTTAATACTTTATGCAACATTTGTATGTTTTTCTCTGGGGGTTTTCCTTTCTTATCTTCAGAATATCTTGTTCACTGTTCTGTAGTAAGCATGAATGAGGAATTTTATCTGTAATTTTAATTTAATGCTGCAATGTATTATTTGAATTTTTGGTACCTAGTGCCATTCTATTTTGTTATATATGTGTATATACAGATATGTATATAAATGCATATTATTGCATAACATGAAAAGCAATCCAAATTTTTCTATGAAGATTTTGTGACTCTGACATCAAAATTTTGATAGCTATGGCTACTTCAAATGAAAGCATGTATGTTTGCGACATACACACATAAACATACACGCCAGGAAAAACTCAGATTATTGGTGAAACACTAGAGATATTCACTTCGAATCAGCAACATTTGTCTATTATAGTTATTTAGTAATGTTTCAAACAATGTTACAATAATTTTTTAGACTTTCTACAAATCAGGCATATATTGTAGCAGAATTTAAATTTTACCTGTTCAGCTTCAAGATAAACCTTGATTAATTAATTTGTGCTATTTGATCATTTAACATTGTCTTACTTTAACGCTCCCTGTGTCTCAAATAACTACAGTGAGCATGGTATGATCATTTTCTACTCTTTGTTACCATAATAGGAGAGTCTCAGTAACATATTACTGAGGGCCACTGTGTACAAATTGGTGCTTGAATGCCTCAGTGATATTATAGAAAATATTTCCACATCAAGTAATACACAATATTTTATTTTTAAATTTAATCTTAACTCAAAAATGATGCCGTTTAGTCAATGTTATTGTTGATTTTTAATTTGTCATTCTAAAAATCCTAAATTTTGCAGCTATGGTGAAAGTCATCATGTTGGCAATTTTATTGGTGAGGGCATAATATAATGTAATATTTTGTTAAAATATTATTGCATCTATTAAAAACCTTTTAACTAAATTTCATGGTTGTTTATTAATGTCCCTGTTGACCAATCCTACCACCTCCTTATTGAGGTGTCAATGCTCTATAACATTGATCCTTTGCCACGAAGATTGTAGTTTCTCTATACTATATATAAACCTTTGTAACACATTTTTAAATGATGTGAATGAACTGGAGATTTTTCAGAAAATAACAGAAATAATTGGTATTATCAGCAATCAATTAGAAATTTTAAAGGAATTGATCTTGTTTAGCTTAAGGAATTAATGGTTAAAGGCTGATTAGATTATATGATACTCCCAGCACTTTGGGAGGCTGAGATGGGGAGATCACTTGAGGCCAGGAGTTTGAGACATGGTGAAACATGTGAAACACCATCTCTACAAAAATTAGCTGGGCGTGGTGGCAGGTGCCTGTACAGCTACTCAGGAGGCTGAGATACCAGAATCACTTGAACCTGGGAGGCAGAGGTTGCAGTGAGCCTTGATCGGCCACTGCACTCAAGCCTGGATGACAGAGCAAGACCCTGACTCAAAAAAAATTCAAAATTTATAAGAAGTAAATATTGAAGAATAATACATATATATGTATTATCAAACAAGAAGAAATTAAGTGAAAATGAGAAATACGATTTTTAATCAAACAGAAAAGATCTGTAAGACATAAATTAATTATATGCCTCTTGAGATCTTCAGGAGATTAGGCAATCAACCCTCCTGAGTTGTTTACTCAAAAGGGAGCAGTACAGAGCCAGATAATGGCACAGTTTATGTCTCATTTTGTAAATTTCTACATAACTGACCTCTTCAATAGGTAATTCTAGCAGTTGGAAAAGGCATCTTTTGGTACTCATTGGAATTTGTTGGCTTGGGATGAGATGCTGTCACCTTCTCAAACGATAGGTAATTCTAATTCACTAAGAATAAAAAAAAATCATCCTCAAGAAAGGCATATTCCATCCTTCCTCTTTCCGTTTCAGTTTTACTTGTAACAACTTCACCATTAAACTGGATTAGCAATGAAACAACTACCTGATCTTTGTTAGACATTTGACCAACACTGATATAACCAATGATATATACATGAAATAAATATCCACTACAAGCTTACAGAATATTTCCCTGCCTATAATATGCCCCAGCTGTTGGATGGTAAAGCTCTTGTTCACTAATACACAAAATACGCCAGAGACTAAAGTCTGTAAATATCGAATTGACTATAATTCGAAAGCATATTCCATACAATGTAATACCCATGTCCCTGCCTCTACCTTACATCCCCCTAACTGCACAGCTGAGAAAAGCTCCATTTAAACACAATTTCATAATGAGGTAATTAAAACTCACAAATTTATGGGCAAATGTTTTCATCAGCACACATATTTAAATATACAATAAAATTGTTCATAGATTTCAATGACTTTTCTGACAGACTGTAGTGCTAGTTATTGTTTTGTTCCATGCTTATTTTTGTGATCTTTAGTATATAAATACTTTTTATATTCCTGGGCAGTACAATTTACTTCATGTATCTCAATTTGGTGTCTAAAATACTATTTTTAAAAGTCATGCTTACACACTAAGGCATGCCAATCTAGATTTTCTATCAAAGGCAAAATTGATATGTTTTAACTATGCAAAATAAGAAAAGGATGATATTGATAGCTTTGAGTACAATATTTAGGAAAATTTAAAAGAGTTGTAATGGAAGTATATGGGAAAGTGGTATTTAATAAAATATTTTTAACCTTCAATCCCCATTTTTTTTCTCACAAAATGTGGGTTCTGGCATATTAAAATTAATGAGAAAAACATATACATGTGAAGGACTAAATGTCCTACATATATATTACAAGTAAAAATCTTTGACACTATAGGTGTTTCTATTTTTATGAGTAAACATTTTAAAATAACAGTTTATAAAATGTATAAGTTGGTGGGTAAATACGTAAGTATTTGCTTCAAAGCTCCCTTTCATTAGTGAGAAAAATTTGTATAAGGCATTGCTTTGATACACACTTATAGCTGAATAGTTAAGATCAACAGTTCATTTAAGAGTCTTCTGATACAAAAATAAGTTGTACAAAATTCTAAAGTAAGATATGAGAAAACGATATTGAATTTTTTCAGAAAGGCAGGTTTTTCAGAATATAGATATGCTGTGCAGAAGGTGGTAGTTTATTCAGTAGCTATATATGTTGAGAATTTAGAATCATGTGAAATAGTATAAGTTCTAGGAACTTTATTAGCTTAGTAATCACAGGAGTCAGAGAATGAGACTTTTTGAAACGACATAACAATTTGGGAGAATATAAGAAAGGAGTGACTAGGAGAAACAACTGGGTATCAGAAGTTTTCAACTTATTAAATTGGTGCCTGGCAAAACATTGACAGACAGAACATTGATAACTGCCAGACTCAAATATCCAACTTTCTGTCTCTGTTTCTTAAATTTAACTTTTTCATATTGTAGTAAAGATAGCCCTTTGAAACATTATTCACATCAGATTACATTTGCTTAAACATCTACAGATGAACCTCATGCTGAATTTCTCTTTTGTCTTGTTTCCCCTTTACATCATATCTCATTACTTCAATTTCTTTTGATTCTGCACATCAACCATGTACAAATATTGCACCCTCTTACACAAACCTGCTTCTTCCATGACGACATTATAATCTGCCTTCATCACATTTGCTGTGAATATTTGTCACGACTTTTGGTTGCCTATCATCTGAGCTCCCATTATTTGGTTAGTGCTTTACATTATGAATTTTATAGGACAGAAAACCCACTTCCCACTATACACAATAAAAGATTCCAGAGCTCTAATTGTCTTTTTAGCATGTAACTAGGCTTGTCACCCGTGTAAAATTTTGAATTTGGTGTTACTGACACTGCCTTTGCGCTAACCACGAATGTTTTCTTCAGTATGCCCTTCTTCCTTTATTCCTGCTCATTTTCTGAGCCTGGCTTTTCGGTATTCTTGATGATTTCAGAGCTACCAAATAACATTTTAATAAAATGCATTTTTATTGAAGATTTCTAACGTAGTCTTGGTTTCCTGAAAGTAAGAACACTAACTAAATCATCTCTTATATCTGATCTTGTTTTTTTAATTGTTGTTTTTATTTTATAAAGAAAAATGTCTACAGCCCAGAAAAGTAGTATCCTAATAGCAGGCATTAAAGTATTATATGAAAGTTTGTGGAAAAAATAATTTGAGGCAGAAGGGCATTTCCACATTACTTTCAAATCACAATTAGAAGGTAGCTTATTTCCCACACAGCCACATCTAGACATAGCAGATATTATAACATACAAAAAGTTTCACAATCCTTGGGATTGCTATACATATTTTTTCTTAAATATGTTTAACTTATTTACAAATTATAAATGTATAATATCCTGAAATAAATGAAGAAAGCACATGAGACCTTCTCCTCATGTATTTGAAAATATTTTTTATTATATTTTCTTATGAAGTGTATAAGGATGAGATCATGCAGTAGATTCAATTTTTTATATTTTTTATCTTTACTTAAAATTGTAGGCAAAACATTTCTCAATAAAAGTTATAAGTAGGAAAAGAGAGAATCAGAATTACTAATAACATAATCCACTCTATTTTCGTTTACTACAACTATCTAAACAGGAAACTCAGACTTTATTTACTCTATAAGAGAGAAAACTAACTTGGTAAAAGTTATCTAAAATGAAAAAAATAGCAAACTGGGCCAGAATAATGCTTCAAACAACCCAATAAAATAAGAGGAGCATGAATGACCCTTGGGCAATCATAGAGAACCAAGTCGTTTCCTTGGCTGTTTTTCATAGAAAATAGATAGATGGATAGATGATAAATAGATAGATAGATGATAGATAGATAGATAGATAGATAGATAGATAGATAGATAGATAGATGATAGATAGATAGAGAAATAGGTATAGATATAGATATTTTATCTAGGTACGTGAAAATTTGGAAATATTACCAGGATGCCACGAAGGCTTAGGCCTTTTCATTCCCAGAACATAACTCATTTATGTTATAAATAAGGGCTGTAAGAAAGCATGGGGTATTCTTTAGTCTTTTTCTTGTTGTTAAAATATAACTATTTATTTATATTCTAAATTGTACGAATGTATAGGGTATATTTGCAATTTTGTTTATAACTTGCATTATGCCATGAGAAGTTTTACATGCATGGTAATTTGTAAACATCTGAAAGTTGTAAGTTGATATCTTCACTGATGGTCAATTTAAGCATAAAATAATCAGGTAGGTTTTATCAAAAGACAGTAGAGAACAAGCCATGCACATAATGACTGCTCATGGGCAAACTATTTTATTCTGTCCCTCTTAGACAGAGAACTGTTTTTATTCTCAACTTGGACATTTGAAAAAGTTAAACATATTGGAGAGAAACTTCATCACCTGAGGGCTGAGAAACAAGGATGAGTAAAATCTAATTGTTACTTATTATATTAAGTAGAAAATAAGCATGAAAATCACTTTTAACCAATGTTCTTCTCTGACAATTCTGAAACTCTCATTTACTGCCTTATAAAAATAATTTGTTTATATAATTGAAGCCAGCTGTAGAAAGAAAAATACTTTTTCCCTGATAGTTTGGGAAAAATTTACTCAAAAACAATTTTAAAAATATTTACCTCAAAAGCCTTGGGATATCTTTCCCAATATCCTTAATTTATATTTTAAAGTCTACTATAGCTACATCACACTCATAATTATGCCCTTTATAACTTTCTTTTAATTATCAAAAAGACAATAGGGAAGCAGAGGTTGCAGTGAGCCGAGATCACGCCATTGCACTCCAGCCTGGATGACAAGGGCGAAACTCCATCTCAAAAAAAAAGAAAAAAAAAAAAGAAAAGAAAAAATTACCTACTTTGTAATTAAAACATAGCCCATTGTTCTATAAAACAAGAATCTAGAAAATAACAATTCACTGGAAAGTTTAAAGTTGTTCTTCTACAACACCATCTATTCTGTGATCATTTCACTTTCTCCTACTGCATTCTATGCCTTTCTTGTGATCTAGTGACTGTAATTGCATGCAATATTCCAGGTACATATGTTCTGTAGATCAGCAACACGGGATATGTGTTGGTCTCCTTTGTGTAAGAAACAGTTAACAATGACTTCCAAATCCCCATTCTGAGGTTTGATGGCTAGTTCAGAGCCAATCATTTAAATGTGGTTTAGATTAATTTTCCCTACATGCATACGAGCCATTTGGAATCCAAAGGAAGTTGAGCAATTTTATGAAACTTGCTCCATAATATTTACCTGCCAAGTGGTTAGTCATGTTAAATCAATATTTTGGCATTAAGCTGAACTGTGATTTTTAAGTTAGTTCTTAAGGCAGAAAATGTAAACACATAAAAAAAAGCAAGCAAAAAAAGAGGAAGAAGTTTATGAGTATCATGACATTTTGTAGTTTCATATGTTTATACGGCAATCAGTACTAATTGTACAGAAATAGCTTCTGTGAGCCAAATAAATCTGGAGTCATGCAGCATCAGAAAAGCACAATTTTCTGCTTATTTGTGAGAAAATATTTAAATAGTGGAACACTAAGTTGGCTGATCCATAGTAACTTTAATTAGAGTCTGAGAGGGTCTTTCCTTGGAATTTTTTCTTCTTTCTTTGATGCAAGATCCAGCTACAATTTAATATATAATCTAGCAAAATATAAGACTAAACTAAGAAGCTAGGGAGATAAAATGTTATCTAGGTAGATACTTAATTAGCTGATTCAAAACTCCTCTATATGTTTATCTGCATTATAGGTTAATGAAACATACTCCAAATATTACAGTCAAAACATTAGAGTGATTACGGTGAACATATTATTTTAAAACACTTGACTAGTACCTGGATGTATATTCTATTTTAATATATTTATAATAATTCTACTTTAGATAGATTAAAAATCATAGACTTTGCCTTATTTTACTTTCTTTGACTTTTCCTGGGTCTAACTGAAAGTGTAATTTATATTCCGCACAGTTATACAATCGTATTTCATTAAAATGTGATTAAGACACACACTGATTTACATAATAAGAACTTATGTTACAATAGTTTCCCCTTATCTCTGGTTTCACTTTCCATGGCTTCAGTGACATTCAGTCAACCATGGTCCAAAAATATAAAATGGGAAATTCCAGAAATAAACAGTTCATACATTTTCAGTTGCATGTTCACTCTGAATATTGAAATCTTATGCTGTCCAGCTCTGCCTTGCCCAGGGCATGAATCATCCCTTTGTCTAGCATATTCATACTGTATATGCTTTCTGCCTGTTATTCACTTAGTACTCTTCTCAGTTATCAGATCGACTGTCATGGTATCATAGCGATTGTGTTGAAGTCACCCTTATTTTACTTAATAATGTCCCTAAAGCACAAGAGGAGAAATGCCAGCGATTTGGATATGACCAAGAGAAGCTGTAAAGTGCTTCCTTTAAGTGAAAAAGTGAAATGTCTATTTAATAAGGAAAGAAAATCAATAAAATTGTGACGAAGAAAAAAGAAATTTCGGCTAGTTTTTTTGTTGCACCTCAAAATGCTAAAGTTATGGCTGCAGTGCATGGTAAATGCTTAGCTAAGAAGGAAAAGGCATTAAATTTGTCAGTAGAAGTTATAAACAGAAAACTCAATTTGAAAGAGGGATAGTGTATCCATATAAATTTTACTATAGTATATTGTTATACTTGTTCTATTTTATTATTGTTGTTGTTAATCCCTTATTGTGCCTAATTTGTAAATTAAACTCTATAATAGCTATGTATAAATAAGAAAAAATACATAGTAGATATAGGGTTTATTGCTGTCAGCAGTTTCAGGGATGTACTAGGCGTCTTGGAATGCATCCTCTGCTGATAAGGAAGGAATACTGTATTTAAGATTTTATCATTTACAAAACAGCTTCCAAATTCTTAGGGCATTTAACATTTAAAAATAGCTTATGAATTAAGCAGGGTAAGAATAATTTTCACTTAGAATTGAGGAAACTGAGACTCCTTATGCTTCAATAACATATTCAAAGGTAAAAACCACATAGAAAGAAGGCCTAAAATGAGGGATCTTTTAATTCTGAATTATTTTTCTAACACACAGTATCTTGACTACTTACATATATGGCTTCCATGATAATTTATTCTTCAGCTGTTTTGTTTCTTATTTCAATAAGAACAAAAACTGAATGGTAACTTTACAGAGTACAAAAAAATCTAATTTCTTACAATTTACTAATCTGATTTCAGAGAGAACCAAATTTAAAGAATTCCAGATTAATGGAAAATTTTGCTGTTTTTTGACTGCATTGAGAATGCTTGACAGCTAAATTCCAGCATTTACACACACCTCATCATCAAGAAATAATCTCTCTTACCAAACTTCCCATTCCATAAGCTGAAAATTAAACCCTTCTCCCCCAGTAATAATCATGTACATGCCACCCTGTTTGCATATATTTGAAAAACATATGGAGTTTAGCTAGTTAAGGCTTCCTAAAATCTTAGTGACATTGATGGTGGGGGCAGAGCAAGATGCTGGAATAGAAGGCTCCACTGATCATCCCTCCCCCAAGGACAACAATTTAACAACTCTCTACACACAAAAAAAAGCAACTTCATAAGAAGGAAAAATCAGATGAGCACTCAGTACCTTGTTTTAAATACATATTCCTGAAAAAGGCACTGAAGAAGTAGGAAAAACAGTCTTGAATTGCCAATGCCACCCCTCTTCTATCCCCTGGCAGTGGTGGCTTGGTGCAGAGAGCAGTTTTGTGCTCTAGGGTGAGTGAGAGCCAGCAATTGTTAGGCATTCAACTTAGTGCTGTCCTTGTTATAACAAAAAGCAAAACCAGACCAAACTCAGCTGACGCCCACCAACAGAGGGAGGAGCATTTAAACCAGCCCTTGTCAGAGGGGAATTGCTGAACTCAGTGGTCCAAAACTGAGTTCCTATAAGCCTCGCCACCACAGGCTACAGTGCTCTGGGGCCCTAAATAAAATTGAAAGGCAGTCTAGGCTACAAGTACTGCAACTCTTAAGTGAGCCTTAGTGCTGAACTGGGCCCAGAGACAGCAGACCGGGAAACATAGGACCTACTAAGACACCAGTCTGGGTGATTAAGGAAGTGCTGGCATCACCCTTCCCCTAAACCCATGCTGCCCAGCTCATGGCTCAGAAAGAGAAATCTTCCCTCCACTTGAGGATATGAGAGGAAAGAGTGGGGAAAACATTGTCAGGTATTTTGGATATCAGTTCAGCCACAGCAGAATAAGGCAACTGTCAGAGTTATGAGGCCCCCTTTCCAGGCCCTATCTCCTCAATGAGATTTCTAGATATACCCTGGGCCATCAGTGAACCTGCTGCCTTGAAGGGAAGAACTCAACCTTGCAGGATTCATCACCTGCTAACTGAAGAGCCCTTGGGACCTGAAAAACTAACAGCGACACCTATGTACTAGGTCAAGGGCCTTGGGTGAGATTATAAATCTTGATTTCAAGTGAGACTTAGGACATTTCCAGCTGTGGTGGCTACCAGGTAAGGCTCATTCTTCTTGAGAAAAGCAGAGGGAAAAGTAACGGGTACTTCATCTTGCACCTTATGTACCAGCACAGCCATAGGGAGGTGGAACACTAAGCAGGCTCTTAGGGTCCTTGATTCCAGAAACTTGCTCTTGAATGGCATTTTAGACCTGCTCTCAGCCAGAGGGGAGCCCACTGCCTTGAAGGGTGAGTCCCAGGCCAGGCAGAATTTGTAACAGGCTGACTTAAGAGCCATTGGGCCTTAACAGAACATTGGTGGTAGTCTGGCAGTACTCTCCATGGGCCTGTGGTAGCAGTGGCCTCAATGTGAGGCTCCTCTGCTTTTGGAAAGGGGAAGAAAGAGTGGAAAAGACTGCATCTTGTGGTTTGAGTGTCAGCTCAGCTGCAACACAATAGAATACCAGGCAAATTTCTAAGGTTTTTGACTCTAGTGCCTGACTCCTGGATAACAATTCTGGACCCACCAGGTGCCTGGGGGATCTTGCTGCCCTAAAGAGAAGAACACAGGCCTGGCTGGCTCTGTCACCTGCTGATTGTAGAGCCCAAGGACCTTGAGCAAACATGGGAAGCAGCCAGGGAGTGGTTACAACAGGCCTTGGCTATGACCCAGTGCTGTGCTTGCTTTAAGTTTGACCCAGCAGAGTCCTAGTGGTAGTGCCCACAAGGATACTTGTATCACCCTATCTCTAGCTCCAGGTGGCTGAGAACAGAGCAAGACAGGCTCCATTTGGAAAAAAAGTAAAGGAAGAGAAAAATAGACTATGCCAAGTAATGCAAAGAACTCTCCTGGATCTTATCTAAGACCATCAATGCAGTACCATCACAAGTCTGCAGAAACAACAGCATTACTAAACATGGGGTGCCCTTGAAGCCAATACAGCTTACACCACAACACTGAAGTACTTCTGAATATCTGGGAAGCCTCCTCAAAAAGTATAGGTAAAAACAAGCACAGACTGTAAAGAAAAATAAACACTTAACTCGTCAATTTCCAGTCACAGATGAACATCTAAAAGTATAAACACCATCCAGGAAAACATGAACTTATCAAATGAACTAAATAAGGCACCAGAGACAAATCCTGGAGAAACAGAGATATGAGACCTTTCAGACAGAGAACTCAATATGGCTGCATTGAGGAAACTCAAAGAAATTCAAGGTAATATGGTGAAGGAATTCAAAATTCCATCAGACAAATTTAACAGAGAGACTGAAATAAGTAAAAAAAAAATCAAATAGAATTTTTCTGGAGCTGAATAATGCAATTGCCGTAATGAAGTCTTTTAATAGCAGAATTGATCAAGCCAAAGAAAGAATTAGTGAGCTTGAAGACAGGCTATTTGAAAATACACAGTCGGAGGAGACAAAAGAAAAGAAAAGAGCAACAATGAAGCATACCTAAAACATCTAAAAAATACCCTCAAAACGGAAAAGCTAAGAGTTATTGGCCTTAAAGAGGAGGTAGAGAAAAAGATAGGAGTAGAAAGTTTATTCAAAGGGATAATAAAAAAGAATATCTCAAGCCTAAATAAAGATATTAATATCCAAATACGAGAAGGATATAGAACACCAAACAGATTTAACCCAAAGAAGAATACCTAAAGATATTTACTAGTAATCAAACTCCCATAGATCAAGGATAAGGAGAGGATTCTAATGGCAGCAAGAGAAAGAAAACGAGTAAAATAAATTGCAGTTCCAATACATCTGGCAGAAGACTTTCCAGTGGAACCCTTAAAGTCCAGAAGAGACTGACATGATATATTTAATGTGCTGACAGAGAAAAGCTTTTAACTTACAGTAGTATATCTGGTGAAAATATCCTTCAAACGTGAAGCAGAAAGAAAGACATTCCCAGACAAACAAAAGCTGAAGGATTTCATCAACACCAGATTTGTCCTGTAAGAAATGCTAAAGGGAGTACTTTAATAAGAAAACAAAAGAATGTCAAGTATCTATAAATAATAATCTGAAGGTATAAAATTCACTAGTAAGAGAAAGTACACAGGAAAGCAGAGAATATTATAAAAATGTGTGTCAACTAATTTCTTCTTAAGTAGAAAGACTAAATCATGAACCAATCAATAATAATAGCTAAAACAACGGTTTTCCAAGATGTAAACCTTACAATATGATAATAAATAAAACCAACAAAAAGTTTAAAAGCAGGAGGAAAAAGTGAACACATAAAATTGTTATTAATTATTTTTGCTGATTTTTTTGCTCATTTGTTTATGCAAAGAGTGTTATGTTGATATCAGCTTAAAATAATTGCTTATAAGATAATATTTGCAAGCCTCCTGGTAACTCAAACCAGAAAACATACAACAGATACACAAAAAATAAAAAGCAAGAAACTAAATCATATCATCAGAGAAAATCACCTTCACTAAAAGGAAGACAGAAAGAAAAGAAGGGAGGATTAGAAGACCACAAAACACCAGAAAAACAAATAACAAAGTGGCATGAATAAGTCATTATTTATGCATAATAACATTGAATGTAAATGGACTAAACTCTCTAATCAAAAGATGTAATGTGGCAGAATAAACAAAAATAGATCCAATGATATGTTGCCTTCAAGAAACACACTTTCTTGACACACAAAGACTGAAAAAAATGAGATGAAAAAAAGATATTCCATGTCAATGGAAAACAAAAAAGAGTAGAAGTAGCTATACTTATTTCAGACAAAATAGATTTCAAGAATTAAACCCATAAGAAGAGATAAGTTTGGTCACTATATAATGATAAAGGAGCTCAATTCAGCAAGAGGATTTAACAATTTTAGGTGTATACTCACTGAACACTGGAGTGCCCAGATATATAATATAAATATTATTAGAGCTAAAGAGAGAGATACATACCAATACAATAAGAGCAGGAGACTTTAACACCACACTTTCAGCATTGGACAGATCTTCCAGACAGAATATCAACAAAGAAACATCAAACTTAATCAGCACTATAGACCAAATGTAACTAATAGATATTTAGAGACACTTCATCCAATGACTACAAAATGCACATTCTGTTCCTGAGCACATGGATCTTTCTCAAGGATAGATCATATGTTAGATCACAAAACAAGTCATAAAACATTCAAAACATTTGAAATAATATCAAGCATCTTGTCTGACTACAGTGGAATAAAACTAGATATCAATAACAATAGGAATTTTGGAAACTGTACAAATACATGGAAATCAAACAATGTGCTTGTGAATGACAGTATTCCCAATGATGATATTTGAAGGAAATTGAAAATTAAGGAGATTGAAAAATGTCTTAAAACAAATGATAATGGAAGCATAACATACCAAAACCTATGGAATAGAGAAAACGCAATACTGAGAGGGAAGTTTATAGCTATAAGTGCCTACATCAAAAAGTAAAATAAACTTCAAATATACAATCTACTGATGCATCTTAAAGAAATAGAAAAGAAAGAGCAAACTAAACTCAAAATTAGTAGTAAAAATGAAATAATAGAGACCAGAGTACAAATAAATGCAATTGAAATGAAGAAAACAATACAAAAGATCAATGAAACAAAAAGTTAATTTTATGAAAAGTTAAACATAATGGGCAAATCTTTAGCCAGACTAAGAAAAAAATAGAGAAGATCTAAATAAATAAAAGAAGAAATGAAAAGGAGACATTACTACAGATACTGCAGTAATTCAAAGTATTATTATTGGCTACCATGAGCAATTATATGGCAATCGATTGGAAAATCCAGAAGAAATGGAAAAATTCTTAGCCATAGACAATCTATGAGGTTTGAACAATGAACAAATCCAAATCCTGAAAAGACTAATAACAAATAATGAGATTGAAGCAACAATAAAAAGTCTTCCAGTAAACAAAAGCTTGGGACACAGCATTTTAAATGCTGAATTTGAAAAAAACAATTAATAAAGAACTAATGCCAATCCTACTCAAGCTATTCTGAAAAATAGAGGAGTGAATACTTCCAAACTCATTCTACAAGGACAGTATTACCCTAATACCGAAATCAGAGAAAGACACATCAAAAATATATAGGCCAATATCTCTGATGAATGTTGATGCAAAAATCCTCAACAAAATACTAGCAAACTGAATTCAACAAAGCATATAAAAGGTCATTTATCATGATCAAGTCAGATTTATCCCTAGGATGCAGGGATGGCTCAACATATGCAAACCAATCAATGTCATACATCATATCAACTGAATGAAGGATAACAATCAAATGATTATTTCAACTAATGCTGGAAAAGTATTTTATAAAATTCAACATCCTTTCATGGAAAAACCCTCAAAATCTGTGGATAGAAGAAGCATACCTAAACATAACAAAGCAATATATGACAGACTGGCAGCTAATCTCTTACTGAGTGGGGAAAAATTGAAAGCCTTTCCTCTAAGATCTGACACACGACAAAGATGACCACATTCACCATTGTTATTCAACATAGTACTGGAAGTCCTTGCTAAAGCAATCAGACAAAAGAAAGAAATAAATGGCATCCAAATTGGAAAGGAAGAATTCAAATTACCTTTGTCTGCAGATGATAGGATCTTATATTTAGAGACAAAACCCTGAAGAATCCCCTCAATGATCTAGAAATAGAAATACCATTTGACCCAGCCATCCCATTACTGGGTATATACCCAAAGGATTATAAATCATGCTGCTATAAAGACACATGCATACGTATGTTTACTGTGGCACTATTCACAATAGCAAAGACTTGGAACCAACCCAAATGTCCATCAATGATAGACTGGATTAAGAAAATGTGGCACATATACACCATGGAATACTATGCAGCCATAAAAAATGATGAGTTCATGTCCTTTGTAGGGACATGGATGAAGCTGGAAACCATCATTCTCAGCAAACTATCGCAAGGACAAAAAACCAAACACCGCATGTTCTCACTCATAGGTGGGAAGTGAACAATGAGAACACATGGACACAGGAAGGGGAACATCACACACTGGGGACTGTTGTAGGATGGGGGGAGGGATAGCATTAGGAGATATACCTAATGCTAAATGAGGAGTTAATGGGTGCAGCACACCAATATGGCACATGTATACATATGTAACAAACCTGCACGTTGTGCACATGTACCCTGAAACTTAAAGTATAATAATAATAATAATAAGAAGAAGAAATAAAACCCTGAAGAATCCACAACAAAAACCGATTGCTCATGATAAACAAACTTAGTAAAGTTTTAGGATACAAAATCAACTTACAAAAATTAGTAGCATTTCTACATGCCAACAGTGAACAATTTGGAAAAGAAATAAAAATGGAATCCCATTTACAACAGCCACAAATAAAATTAAATACCTAGGAATTAACCAAATAAGTGAAAGACTTATATAATAAAAACTATAAAACACTGGTAAATGAAATTGTAGAGGACACCAAAAAATGGAAACATATTCCATGTTAATGGATTGGAAGAATCAATATTGTTAAAATGTCCACACTACCAAAGCAATATACAGATTCAATTCAATCCCTATCAAAATACCAATGGAATGTTTCACAGAAATAGAAAAAAAAAGTCCTAAAATTTATATAGGACCACAAAAGACCCAGAATAGCCAAATCTATAATAACCAAAAATAACAAAATTGAAGGAATCACATTACCTGACTTCAAGTTATCATTCAGAGACATAGTACTCAAAACAGCATAGTACTGGCAAAAAAGCACACATATAGACCAAAGGAACAGAATAGATAAACCAAAACCAAATCCACTCATCTACAGTAAATTCATTGTTGACCATTGTGCCAAGTACATAAACTGGGGAAAAGATAATCTCTTCAAGAAATGGTGCTGGGAAAACTAGATATCCATATGCAGAAGAATGAATCTAGACCCCCCATATCCCTCTCCACATTAAAAAATATAATTAAAATAGATTAAAGACCTCTAACTGTAAAACAACTACAAGAAATCATTGGAGGAAATCTCCAAGATATTGGTCTGGGCAAAAAATTCTTAAGCAATACCCCACAAGCACAGGCAACCAAAGCAAAAATGAACAAAAGGCATCACATCAAGTTAAAAGCTTCTCCTCAGCAAAGGAAACAATCAACAAAGTGAAGTGGCAACCCACAGAAAGGGAGAAAATATATGCAGACTAACATTCTGACAAAGGATTAATAACCAGAATACATAAGAAGCTGAAACACCTCTATAGGGAAACAATCTAATGATACCATTAAAATATGCAAAAGATTTGAATAGACATTTCTTAAAAGAAGACACACAAATAGCAGAAAGGCACGTGAAAAGGTGCTCAACATCACCAATCATCAGAGAAATGCAATTTAAAGCAACAATAAAATATAATCTTACCCCAGTTAAAATGGTTATATTCAAAAATAGGCAATAACAAATGTTGGCAAGGATGTGAAGAAAAAAGAATCCTTGTACACTGTTGGTGGGCAGATGAATTAATATAACCACTATGGAGAACAGTTTGGATGTTACTCATAAAACTAGAAATAGAGTATTATAAGATCCAGCAATCCTACTGTTGGGCATATACCCCCAAAAAAGGAAATCAGTATATAAAAGAGATATCTGCATGCCCATGTTTGTTGCAGCTGTTTACAATAGCTAAGATTTGGGATCAATCAAGTGTTCATCAACAGATGAGTGGATTCTTTTTAAATGTGGTATACATACACAACAGAGTACTATTCAGCCATAAAAAGAATGAGATCCTGTTATTTGAAACATCATGGATAGAAGTTAAATTCATTAAGCTAAGTGAAATAAGCCAGGCACAGAAAGACAAACATCAAATATTCACTCACTTATTTGTGGTATCTAAAAATCAAAACAATTAAACTCATGAACATGGAGAGTAGATGTATGGTTACCAGGGGCTGGGAAGGGTAGTGGCGGATTTGGGGGAAGGTGAGGATAGTGAATGTGTACAAAAAAATATAGGGAGAAAGAATGAATAAGGCCTACTATTTGATAGCACAACAAGGTGACTATAGTTAATAACAATTTTGTTGTACATTTTGAAATAACTAAAGAGTATAATTGGATTTTTTAACACAAAAGATAAATACTTAAAAGTATGGATACCTCATTCTTCACGATGCGATTATTAAACATTTTGTGCCTGTATCAAAACGTCTCATGCGCAATCAATATTTATATATATGTACCAACTATGTACCCACAGTAATTAAAACTAAAAGTCACAATAAAGCATAATGGCATTCACTTACAGCAAACTTTAATATCTTATATAGTGTTGAGCATATTAGAAATTCAGTCAAAACTAGGACATTTTTAATTAATGTATGGATTGAGAGCTAGAGAAAATTTAAAAATTGTTTCAGTAGTATCTGGATTAATGGAATTTGTTTCATAAGTAATATTCACTTAATAGGAAATTTAAAGTAGTATTTACTAAAACGCTCTGCCAATGATGCTCTAGAATTGACTTTTATAAATAGAGGATAGGTCATGTCTGACTACACAGTGTTTTTCTGGAAGTACGGCTATACAGTCAAGTCATGAAGATGACACTCAGAAACGTGATATAAACTGTATGGTCACCAGAGCTGATTCCTTTGCTCAATCAATAATTCCTTTACAATGTTCCTGCAAATTTCTCCATCCAGGTGCCATCAGTTCTATCCATTAAAAAAGTCATTTTGTAATGCAATTCTTTGGTCAAGGGATTGAAACTATGATCTTCAAATCTAAGACAGAATGATGTATCTTGGTTGTATGACAGCAGTGTTAATGTAGTCAACAATGGTATATTTGAAATAGAAATGAATGACTAGCTTTCAAATATGAGTTTTAAATAAATTAATGAGCTATTTGCCTGGACCACTCCAGTCCTTGGATGGTTACTTAGATGTGTTTGGGCAATTGGACTTTAAACACCCAGTTTTACCCAGCCACATATCATCAAGCTGCCTAGTTCATCATTGCCTGGTAATTTCTGATAAGTGATTATACCTACCTTGCCCAATAACAGTGTATAAGTGTTTAGGGATGGAGGCAGCATTTAGGGTAAGTCAGCTGAGGAATCTCTTTGAGACTGCTCTAGGCAATAGCACAGAAATTTCATCCAGAATAGCTGAAGATGTTGTAGTTATGGGACCCTCTCATTTAAGTGTTGTTACTCTTCTAGACTTTCTTAAGTACTTGCCTGAAAATGTATGAAACTCTTAACTCTTAATTCGCCTCCTTAAATATAACTCTTCTTTCTTCCTTGTTATGCCTTTGGAGAAACATGTGGCTGAATTGAAAACGATTTTTGTTTTAAATATTATTTCATGAGTCTTTGTCTCTCTATAAGGGTCCATTCATTGTTCTTTATATCTCCTTTGAACCAGAAAATTAGTCATTCATCAGACTAATAACTGCTATTGGAGTGTGACTGTTTTCATGTAAGTCATCAATGAACTCTCTGCCTGTTAGATCTACAGAGTTATTTTCTCTGTTCTTATTCTCTATGATCTCTCTGTTATATATGACTCTAATAATGAATTCCTCCTTGAAACACTTTTCTCTTCTTCAGTTTGTATAACTAGACTCAATACTGATTTCTGTCTTTGACTCTTGCTTCTCCAGTCATTTGGGAAATAAATATTAAAAAACAAGGGAGTGAAAGAAAGCTCAAGAAGGGAGAGAGAGGAAAAAAGAGAGAGAGAGGTGGAGAGAAAAGGAGGAGGGGAGGAGGGTGAGGAAGACAAGTACGACGAGTGGGAGGAGGAGAATGGCTTGTTAATGGTGGAAATTATCATAATACCTGTGTCAATGTTTGCCTCGTGTCACTTGTTACCAGTACAACCAAAGTATAGATTGCACAGGATTGGACGTATAACAATAAGTTACCACTCCAGCACTTACTATGTTTCAGACACCGAGGGATAAATTTAACATGTTGTTTAGTCTTCAAATCAGCCTTCAAAGTAAGTAACAATATTCTTATTTTATAAATGCAGCAAGTAAAACAGAAAATTTAGATAAATTGTGCGTAATCATACATTTACTAAGTGATAAAGCCAAGATTTGGACCCAGTTCTGTCTCCAGAGCTTAAGCTCTATTGATGATATTATACTGTCTAAGGAAGTCAGGCACCAATTTTAATCATAAACATTTAAGAAATGGTATGCTTCAATGACTTATATTTATAAAGATTTATAATTAAAATAAAACTAATTGGTCTGTCTGTTCATTTTCTGGACTATTAATTTAGAGTGTGTTTTTCTTTATACCTTAAATTACTTTAAATGTCTAGTGTAAAGTTTGCTTAGATTATACCTTGTTGTTTAAGATCATATTCCCCTGAGTAGCAAGAAAACGGTAAACGCTAGTTCTTCACAGTAATTAATTATGGATTCTGTAATACAATGGGACAAGTTACTCTAAAAAAATTCTATTGAAAGCCAGTTACCTGTGTCATTACTGAGAAATCTGTACCTTTTCAGCTGCCAGTGCTCACATATCCATTTTCCCATTTCTCTATAAAATGAGCATCTCTAAGAATTCTAAAGAGCTTCTTCATGTTCAACTTACAGTGATATTTTAATAAGGCTTCTGTGCACTTGATATCATAAAAATTCATGTAAAACTCAAAGGCCAATAATTCCAGTAATTTATGTATTTTGGTCAGTGTTTCATACTTTTGAAAAAAATATATATCATTTTGCAAATGGTTAGGCTTTGTGTCCCCACTCAAATCTCCTCTTAAATTGTAATCCCCATAATCCCCATGTGTCGAGGGAGAGATCTAGTTGGAGGTGGTTAGATCACGGGGGCAGTGTCCCCAGTGTTGTTCTCCTGGTAGTGAAGGAGTTCTCATGAGATCTGATCATTTTATAAGTCTCTGACAGATCCTTCTTCACATACTTGCTCTCTCTCACCTGTCGACATGTGAGATGTGCCTTTTCCCCTTCTGCCATGATTGTAAGTTTCCTGAGGCCTCCCCAGCCATGTGGAACTGTGAGTCAATTAAACTTCTTTTCTTTATAAATGACCCAGTCTTGGGCAGTTCTTTATAGCAGTGTGAAAACAGACTAATACAGGCTGGATCAAGGTTAATAAGTCAACCTTGAGATTCTACAATATTTATAAATGTAGAAAACCAAATAGCAAAAACAAAGAGCTATCAAAGCCATGAAACATAGGTCTCTCTCTTATGATAGTCTACCTATGTATCTTTTGAGGTAGGCAAAATTCTAAAAATGCCCTTATCCCAAGATTTATGTGACATGGTTATTCAATCATATATATTAATACTATTGAAAAAGTGACTTGCTGATATAATTAAGATTGCTAATAAGCTGACTTTAAGACAGGGAGATTATCATGGATCCTGGAATATTTTGGTGGGCTCTTAAAGCAAAAGAAGAGGACATAAGATTCATTCAGAAAGATGAGGCAGAACTTGAATTCAGAAAGTCTGAAGAAGCACTTAATTCACCATTGATGGAGGGCAGCCACATAGAAAGCAATAGAAAACTAATACACACTTATTTGGTACATAAATAACTACCTTTGGCCTGTATTGATTTCCTGTCATTCAGGCATACACCTTTGTGTACATGCACAAATACTAACTGTAAAAACCTTTAAGAAAATATCCAAAGCTTAAAGTATAGGAAATACTACATCATAAAGATGCATGCCAAAAAGAAAGAGAAAAATAGTTCATCCAATCTTAGGTAAAACTGTGAGTCAGCATGGTCTCTTCCCACTTCTTTCTTAATTCCCATTTTCCCAGACTTTATTTGAGTGACCCTACTTTTTTTGTTTTTCTGTGGCTTAAGCCATTCAGGGCTCTTTTGCTACTCCATGGCAAGAACTCTCTCACTAGATTTGCACTAAATGTGTTTTTGCTTATAATATTATAGGATTTGTATTAATAGTCTCTTAGTAAAACTATTGGGTGTAGTGTCCCCAGTGTTATCCCCAATGTTAATAAAACTATTAAGGGACTATTACAGTATAAGGGACTATAAGAGTAGAGAAAATTCCTTTGTGTAATTCCTCCTATTGTTAAATAACAACAGAAACACTTATATTTTGTGGGAAACATCAGAGGAGAGGCTGTATCTCATTTATTTTTATTGAATTAAAAAAAGAGTATAGTGTCTGATAATTCCTAAATTGGCCATGTTACCAAGATAATTTATTGCCACATATTGCAGACTTTCTTTTTTTGAAAAACTGAACAGTACATATTGTACATATGTAACACATTTTCTTTATCCATCCATCTGGCAATGGACATTTAGGTTGTTTCCACTTTCTGGCTATTGTGCACAGTGCTGCAATGAGCATAGGAGTGTTAAGATCTCTTCAAGACTCTGATTTACATTCTTTTGGATAAAGATATCCAGTTAAAAGGCAATCCGTGTAATAGGAGAAAATATTCGTAAACCACATATATGATCAAGGGTTAATTTCCAAAATATATAATGAGCTTCTGCAACTAAATGGCCAAAACCTAATAATATAACTGAAAAGTTTGCAAAGGGCCCGAATCAACATTTTTCCAAAGAAGACATACAGACTGCCAGTGGGTATATGAAAAGGTGCTCAACATCGCTAATCATCAGAGAAATGCAAGTCAAAACCACAGAGAAATACCTGCTCACACCTGTCAGGTCTGCTACTATCAAAAAACAAAACAAAACAAACAAAAAACCCACAAGGGATGGTAAGAACGTAGAGAAATTTGAATCTTTGTGCACTGTTGATGGGAAGGCAAAATGGTGTAGTTTCTTGGGAGAGCAGTATGAAGATTTGTTAAATAATTAAAAATAGAACTACCAATTCATCCAGCAATACTTCTTAAAATTTAGAGAAGAAGGCTGAATTGCTTAAAAATGAGCCAAAGAACATTGAAGGGCACATAACACACTAGTACCATCTAATATCTGTGCATTCCCAGCATCTAGACCTACAATTAGACTTGAGGGGAAGTATGATAACTTACAGTGAGAGTTCACTAGAAGTCAAAAGCCAGTGCTACAGGCCGCATAACTAAGAAAGAAGCTTAAGACTGCCAAGAATTGTTCTTGGTACAGGAAAGTAGTTTATTGTGCACTTGCTCTTGGGTTTGTTTGCATTGCATTTGTTCTTGAAAATGAAGTCATAGCACAGTAGCCTTTCTTCCTTGGTCTGTTTAGTGCTCTGGATTTTTTCTTAATCCCTCCAAACTACTAAGTCACTGACTAACAGTGTCGATTTAAAATTTTGCCTTCTCTGCATCTAGATCTGAAAGATTAATGCAAAGACTTATACCAGTTTCTTATAGAACTTATCTCAATTCCTACTTAACTATGGAAAAATAATAAGCAATCATAAATATTCTGATGCCAGAATTTCTAAAAAGAAAAATGAAAATAACCAAATATGTGAAAATACACTGCAATTCAAAAGAAAGTATCATTAAGAATCAGAAGAGGCAGGGTGCGGTGGCTCACGCCTGTAATCCCAGCACTTTGGGAGGCCAAGGCGGGTGGATCACGAGGTCAGGAGTTCGAGACCAGCCTGGCCAAGACGGTGAAACCCCGTCTCTACTAAAAATACAAAAATTAGCTGGGCGCGGTGGCGGGCACCTGTAATCCCAGCTACTCGGGAGGCTGGGACAGGAGAATCACTTGAACTTGGGAAGTGGAGGTTGCGTGGAGCCAAGATCATGCCACTGCACTCCAGCCTGGGCAACAGAGAAAGACTCTGAAAAAAAAAAAAGAATCAGAAGAGATACCTCATTGGGAAATATAATAATTCTAAGTAACAGAATAATACTAGAAATGTTTTCTTATTTTTTCCTCAATGAGATTTAAGAATATAATTGGTCAAAAAATAAATAAATAAAACAATAGTAGAATAAGCAATTTTAAAGAGATGAATTGAAGCTACAGACCTACACACACACACATAAAGAATTTTTTTCAAGTAGTATTGTTAAATTTAAAGCTTCAAAGGGAATACCATATAATAAGGTAATATTTGAATTTAAAAGGTAGTATATAGATTCAAAACATTCATCCAGGACCCAGGAAGTAGTAACGTGATAAAAACAAACAAACAAAACAACAGTAGAAGAAGGTATGAAAAACTTGGTGTATGTATCAGGGTTCTCCACAGAAATAGAACTAATAGGATATATAGAGATTTATAAGAGAAGATTTATTATAAGAATTGGTTTACGCAACTATAAAGGAAAATGAGCTCTGCGGTCTGTCACCTATAAGCGGAAGAACCAGTGGTGTAAGTCAGTTAAAGTCTGAGGGCCTCAGAACCTTGGGGAATTGACAGGGGTAATAATGTAACTCCCAGTCCAAGGCCAAAGGTCTGAGAACTAGCAGAGTTATTTCTGAAAGTCCTGGAGTCTGAAGGCCCAAGAACCAGGATTTCTAATGTCTCAGTTCAAAAGAAGATCAATGTTCCAGCTCTAGAAGAGAGAGAGTTTGTTTTTTCTCTGCCTTTTTTTTCCTCTCTGGGCCCTCAATGGGTTAACTGAAGTAAACTTAATTACTCAGTGTACTGATTGAAATGCTAATCTCTTCTGAAAACAGCTTCACAAACATACATGGAAATAATGCTTTATGATCTTCTGAGCAGCCCTTAGCCTAGACAAGGTGACACACAAAATTAACCATCAAAGTGGACAAATCTAAGGAATCCCAATACACACAAAAGAGAAATTTTAGATGAGTCAGACACAATGTAATAAAAGGGAAAACCAAAGAACAGTGGAGAGAAAATTTTCTGAGCTGAACAAACATTTAACCTTGTAGTTTAAAAGAAATTACTAATAGTCATATATAATGTGAACTATGTCTATGTATGTGTGTATGTGTCTGTGTGTGTATGTGTGTATGTGTGTATGTGTGTGTGTGTGTGAGAGAGAGAGAAAGACAGAGAGAGAAAGAGAGAGAGAGAGAAAGAGAGAGAAAGAAAGAGAGAAAGATGAGACTGGCAAGGAGACATAACACCTAGGAATATTATATATTATTTTGGTAAAAGTTTTAAATTTCAAAGACAATAATTACATTAAATCAGGAAAATTTAAATTTTATTCATACAAATTGACAGTAACTTTGAATGTACAAAGCTCAATTATTTAAATAAAATAACATTTAAATAATTATTTAAATAACATATTTAAATAATTATTTAAATAAAATAACATTGCAGTATATATTTTTAAAAATAAGTAGAGCTATAAGAAGAATCAGGAGAAAGACATTTATAACAGGGAACTATGAAAAGGCCCGCAAATATTTTATATATCAAACAAAGCAGAAAAAAATAATAAATAGAAATATAGAAAAATTTTGTTATAATTAATAGGTGGTCTTGCAGGAAAGACAACACAGCCAATGTCTTAACCCCTTTTCCAAAATCCAATTGAAAGAAAATAAACACAAAATGGAGGATATACAAATAGGAACAGAGGAAGTCAAATTGTGTCTGTTTGCAGATGACATGATTGTATATTTAGAAAACACCATCATCTCAGCCCCAAAACACCTTAAGCTGATAAGCAGCTTCAACAAAGTCTCAGGATACAAAATCAATGTGAAAAAAATCACAAGCATTCCTATACACCAATAATAGAAAAAGACAGAGTCAAATCATGAGTGAATTCCCATTCACAATTCTCTCTTCACAAAGAGAATAAAATACCTAGAAATATAACTTACAAGGGATGCAAAGGACCTCTTTAAGAAGAAGTAAAAACCACTGCTCAAGGAAATCAGAGAAGACAAAAACAAATTGAAAAACATTCCATGCTCATGGATAGGAAGAAGTAATATCATGAAAATGACCATACTGCCCAAAGTAATTCAGAGATTCAATGCTATTCCTATCAAAATACAATTTACTTTCTTCGCAGAATTATAAAAACTACTTTAAATTTCATACGAAACCAAAAAAGAGCCCGTATAGCCAAGATAATCATAAGCAAAAAGAACAAAGCTGGAGGTGTCATGCTACGTGATTTCAAACTATACTACAAGGCTACACTACAAAAACAGCATGGTACTGGTACCAAAACAGATATATAGACCAATGGAACAGAACAGAGGCTTCGGAAATAACACCACACATCTACAACCATCTGATCTTTGACAAACCTGACAAAAACAAGCAATGGGGAAAGGATTCCCTATTTAATAAATGGTGTTGGGAAAACTGTCTAGCCATATGCAGAAAACTGAAGCTGGACCCCTTCCTTACATATTATACAAAAATTAACTCAAGAAGGATTAAAGACTTAAATGTATAACCTAAAACCATATAAACTCTAGAAGAAAACCTAGGCAATACCATTCGGGACATACACATGGGCAAAGACTTCATGACTAAAACACCAAAAGCAATGGCAACAAAAGCCAAATTTGACAAATGAGATCTAATTAAACTAAAGAGCTTCTGCACAGTAAAAGAAACTATCATCAGAGTGAACAGGCAACCTACAGAATGGGAGAAAATTTTTGCAATTTATCCATCTGACAAAGGGCTAAAATCCACAGTCTACAAAGAACAAACAAAATTACAAGAAAAAAAACAACCCCATCAAAATTGGGCAAAGGATATGAACAGAAACTTCTCAAAAGAAGACATTTATGCAGCCAACAAACATATGAAAGAAAGCTCATCACTGGTCATTAGAGAAATGCAAATCAAAATCACAATGAGATACCATCTCATTCCAGTTAGAATGGCGATCATTAAAAAGTCAGGAAACAACAGATGCTGGAGAGGATGTGGAGAAACAGGAATGCTTTTACACTGTTGGTGGGAGTGTAAATTAGTTCAATCATTGTGGAAGACAATGTGGCGATTCCTGAAGGATGCTTCAGGAATCAGAAATACCATTTGACCCAGCAATCCCATTACTGGGTATATACCCAACGGATTATAAATCATTCTACTATAAAGACACAGGGACATGTGTGTTTCTTGTGGCACTGTTCACAATAGCGAAGACTTGGAACCAACCCAAATGCCCATCAATGATAGACTGGATAAAGAAAATGTGGCACATATACACTATGGAATACTAAGGAGCCATAAAAAGGATGAGTTCATGTCCTTTGCAGGGACATGGATGAAGCTGGAAACCATCATTCTCAGCAAACTAACACAAGAACAGGAAACCAAACACCGCATGTTCTCACACATAAGTGGGAGTTGAACAATGAGAACACATGGACACTGGGAGGGGCACATCACACACTGGGCCTGTTGGGGGGTGGGGGGCTAGGGGAGGGATAGCATTAGGAGAAATACCTAATGTAGATGACGGGCTGATGGGTTCAGCAAACCACCATGGCACGTGTATACCTATGTAACAAACCTGCACGTTCTACACATGTACCCCAGAACTTAAAGTATATTAAAAAAAAAAATCAGGAAACCAGGAAACAACAGATGCTGGAGAGGATGTGGAGAAATAAAAATGCTTTTACACTGTTGATGGGAGTGTAAATTAGTTCAACCATTGTGTAAGAAAGTGTGGTTATTGCTGAAGGATCTGGAACCAGAAATACCATTTGGCCCAGCAATCCCATTACTGGGTATATACCCAAAGGATTATAAATCATTCTTCTATAAAGACACATGCACACGTATGTTTATTACTGCACTATTCACAGTAGCAAAGACTTGGAACCAATCCAAATGCCCATCAATGTTAAACTGGATAAAGAAAATGTGGCACATATACACCATGGAATACTATGTAGCCATAAAAAAAGAATGAGTTCATGTCCTTTGCAGGGACATGGATGAAGCTGGAAACCATCATTCTCAGCAAACTAACACAGGAACAGAAAACCAAACACTGCATGTTCTCACTCATAAGTGGGAGTTGAACAATGAGAACACATGGACACAGGGAGGGGAACATCACACACCGGGCCCTGTCTGGGGGTGAGGGACAAGGGGAGGGATAGCATTAGGAGAAATACTTAATGTAGATAACGTGTTGATGGGTTCAGCAAACCACCATTGCACATGTATATATACGTAACAAACCTGCACGATCTGCACATGTATCCCAGAACTTAAACTATAATAAATAAATTAAAAATATATATTCTGTTTTTTAAAAAGTCATATAAAAGGAACACGTTGTGTGTACTGGTAGAGATTTGCTACTTTGGACTGCAAGTATGAAGGTAAACATGACCAAAACGAGTATGTGTATAGGTAGGAGATAGAAATGAGGGTGCAAGAGCGAGATAATAAAGAACTTTATGTTCTAAGCTAAAGAATTTGCATTTTATTACATTAGGTAATGGGACAGTCATTGCAGATTTTTTAAATATCAAAAGTAATGCAAACTCACCTTGAACATTCAAACAATATAGAAGTGTACAGAGTAAAAAGTAAGATTCTTATTTTTAATTTCATATATTTAAGGTGTACAATATGATGCTTTGATATATTAATACATATACATAAAGAGGTGATTATGACAGTAAAGGAAATTAAGATAACCATCACCTCACATAGTTACCTTTTATCTGTGTGTTTTGTAAGAGCACCTAAAATCTGCTCTCTTAGGAAATGTTCAGTATACAATACAATATTATTAATCATACTGCTCATGCTGTGCGTTAGATCTCTAGAGTTATTCATCCTACGTAACTGCAACTTTCTACCCTTTCACCTACATTTTCCCATTTCCCTCATTTCATAAATTTATTAGTATGACTGATGAGCATGCTTTTAAAGATATTTCAACTTGTTTTATTAAAGTTAAAGTGTATTTATTTTAAAATGTGAAGGATAGGGTAGGACTTAAATAAAGGTTAAAAATGCACCCACTTTCCAAACTTCTACCTCCAATTCCACTTGTTAGGGGCAAAACTATGAATAATATCTGGCTTATACTTTTGAAAACTTTCTTTTTTTAACTGAAAATAATAATAATAATAATAATCTCTTTTGTGAGGAAACACCATCAAAAAGATGAGGTATAATGATAATATCAATGCAGAAAATTGTCAGGTTCCCTATCTTTTAAAAAATTCACCAAGAAGAGTTTACAGGGTGAATTATGTTAGCACTATAAGCAAAATATAATTCCAGTGTTACTCCTGTTAGATTTTAGCTTTAAAGTTTGATATTTGGTCCATCATTTAATTTTGTTCATGGATTTTTATTTTTAATAATGTTGCATTAACATATTATCGACCTTGAATTTTTGTGCCCTCTTATATTTGCACCTGAGTAACGTACCTGACTTTTAACTTTATTAAATTGCCCCAAAGAGTAAGAAAAAAGCATTCTTATTTATTTCTTGTTAAAAATCACACATTAAAAAAAGCTCAGTAAATGAAACTACATCTACATCTGACTTATGAATATTAAAGAAAAAATGTTAACTAAAAATCAAATAAACTGTATAATGAATTAGTCACTCATTAATTTAAAGTTTATTTCTGAGAATGCAAGAGTGGCTCAGTAAAAGGAAACATGTAACCTAATTTTCTATAAACATAAATAGTATATTGAAAATATAGAGGTGCGGTTGGAGCTTACGGTTCTTGGGGAGATAGGAGATGATAAGATGGACAAGATAGACCTAGCATTGTATAACAAAAGAGTTTATGATGGTTTCCAGCTTCATCCATGTCCCTGCAAAGGACATGAATTCATCCTTTTTTATGACTACTTAGTATTCAATGGTGTATATGTGCCACATTTTCTTTATCCAGTCTATTATCCATGGACATTTGGGTTGGTTTCAAGTCTTTGCTATTGTGAACAGTGCTTCAAGAAACATACGTGTGCATGTGTCTTTATAGTAGAATGATTTATAATCCTTCGGATATATACCCAGTAATGGGATTGCTGGGTCAAATGGTATTTCTGGTTCTAGATCCTTCAGGAATCAACACACTGTCTTCCACAATGCTTGAACTAATTTACACTCCCACCAACAGTGTAAAAGCATTCCTATTTCTCCACATCCTCTCCAGCATCTTTTGTTTCCTGACTTTTTAATGATCATCATTCTAACTGGCTTGAGATGGTATCTCATTGTGGTTTTGATTTGCATTTCTCTAATGACCAGTGATGATGAGATTTTTTTCATATTTCTTGGCCATATAAATGTCTTCTTTGGGAAATGTCTGTTCATATCCTTTGCCCACTTTTTGATGGGGTTGTTTTTTTCTGTAATTTTATTTAAGTTCTTTGTAGATTCTGGATATTAGCCCTTTGTCAGTTGGATAGATTGCAAAAATTTTCTCTCATTCTGTAGGTTGACTGTTCACTCTGATGATAGTTGCTTTTGCTGTGCAGAAGCTCTTTACTTTAATTAGATTCCATTTGTCAATTTTGGCTTTTGTTGCCATTGCTTTTGGTGTTTTAGTCATGAAGTCTTTGCCCATGTGTATATCCTGAATGATATTGCCCATGTTTTCTTCTAGGATTTTTATGGCTTTAGGTCTTACGTTTAAGTCTTTAATCCATCCTGAATTAATTTTTGTATAAGGTGTATATGCAGTGCCTAAAATAACTGTGACTCTAGTCAACAGTGAAGGCAAGATAAAGGTATTTGATTTTGACTGGATGCAACAGCTCATGCCTATTAATTTCAGCATATCGCGAGGTTGAGGTGAAAGGATTGCTTGAGTCCAGGAGTTCCAGACAAAGCTGGGAAAAATAGCAAGACCCCACCTCCACAAAAAAAAAAAAATTAAAAAATTAGCTGGACCTGGTGGCATGTGCCTGTACAGCTGCTCAGAAGGCTGAGGTGAACGCTGCAAATGGGCCCAGGAGGTCGAGGCTGCAGCGAGTCATGATTGTGCCACTGCACTTAATCCTGGGTCACAGAATGAGACCATGTCTCAAAATTAAAATATTTTATTTCACTCTTAATTTTATTCACTAAGAAGGAATAAAATCTTATTTACTTTGGTAAAATACTTATTTACCTAGCTTACTTTTCATAAGCATCAAAGCATCATTAGTGGTATATACACATATATAACATAATTATATAATATATAAACATTTTAGAAGTATACAGAATAAACATATATGCTGTATCTAAGATGCATTTTTTATTTTTATGCAATAAATTACATCATTATTTCTTTTTTGGATTAATGTCATATTTCATATCAAAATCCAAATACAAAAATAAATGTAGTCATATTAGTATAAAAATTATATTCCTTTGGGTATATACCCAGTAATAGGATTGCTGGGTCAAATGGTATTTCTGGTTCTAGATCCTTAAGGAATAGCCACACTGTCTTCCACAATGGTTGAACGAATTTACATTCCCACCATTCCTATTTTTGTGTGAAAGCATTCCTATGTTTTTCACAGCCTCGCCAGCATCTACTGTTTCTTGACTTTTTAATAATCGCCATTGTGACTGGCATGACATGGCATCTCATTATGGTTTTGATTTGCATTTCTCTGATGATCAGTGATGTTGAGCTTTTTTTCATATGTTTGTTGGCCACGTAAATGGCTTCTTTTGAGAAGTGCCTGTTCATATCCTTTGCCCACTTTTTGATGAGTTTGTTTGTTTTTATCTTGTAAATTTGCTTAAGTTCCTTGTAAATTCTGGATATTAGACCTTGTCAGATGGGTAGATTGCAAAAATGTTCTCCCATTCTTTAGGTTGCCTGTTCACTCTGATTATAGTTTTTTCTGCTGTGCAGAAGCTCTTTAGTTCAATT
Source organism: Homo sapiens (assembly GCF_000001405.40). NCBI lineage: Eukaryota > Metazoa > Chordata > Mammalia > Primates > Hominidae > Homo > Homo sapiens. Next base: position 126,363,213 of record NC_000023.11, read on the forward strand.
AGATCCCATTTGTCAACTTTGGCTTTTGTTACAATTGCTTTTGGCATTTTAGTCATGAAGTCTTTGCCCATGCCTATGTCCTGAATGGTATTGCCTAGCTTTTCTTCTAGGGTTTTTATGGTTTTGGGTTTTACATTTAAGTCTTTAATCCATCTTGAGTTAATTTTTGTATATGGTGTAAGGAAGGGGTCCAGTTTCAGTTTTCTGCATATAACTATCCAGTTTTCCCAGCACCATTTACTGAATAGGAGATCCTTTCCTCATTGCTTGTTTTTGTCAGGTTTGTTGAAGGTCTGATGGTTGCAGATATGTGGTGTTATTTCTGAGGTCTCTGTTCTGTTCCATTTGTCTATATGCCTGTTTTGGTACCAGTATCATGCTGTTTTGGTTACTGTAGCCTTCTGGAATAGTTTGAAATCAGTTAGCATGACACCTCCAGCTTTGTTCTTTTTGCTTAGGATTGTTTTAGATATACAGGGTCTTCTTTGATTCCATATGAAATTTAAAATAGTTTTTTTTCTAATTCCGTGAAGAATGTCAATGGTAGTTTGATGGGGATAGCACTGAATCTATAAATTACTTTGGGCAGTATGGCCATTTTCATGATATCAGTTCTTCCTATCCATGAAGATGCAATGTTTTACCATTTGTTTGTGTCCTCTCTTATTTCCTTTAGCAGTGCTTTGTAGTTTTCCTTGCACATGTATGTTTATTGCAGCATTATTTACAATAGCAAACATATGGAACCAACCCAAATGCCCATCAATGATAGACTAGAAAAGAAAATGTGGTACATATACACCATGGAATACTATGCAGCCATAAAAAAGGAATGAGATAATGTCCTTTGCAGGGACATGGATGAAGCTGGAAGCCATCATCCTCAGTAAACTAACACAGGAACAGAAAACCAAACACTGAGCGTTCTCACTCATAAGTGAGAGTTGAAAAATGAGAACACATGGATGCAGAGAGGGGAACAACGCACATCAAGGGCTGTTGGGGGGTGGTGGGTGATGGGAGGGAACTTAGAGGATGGGCCAACAGGTGCAGCAAACCACCATGGCACTCATATACCTATGTAACAAACCTGCATGTTCTGCACATATATCCCTTTTTAAAAAAATAAATAAAAATATTATACTAAGTAATAGCAAACATTTATTATGTTCCCTGTGTGCTAGGAAAAGTATATGCATATATACCCGTGCACACACACGTGTATATATTCAAATAAAAAATAATATATAACTAAGCCTCACAAGAGTCTGAGTTAGTCATATTATTCTTCTATTGAAAATAAAGAAACAAAAGCCCACAGGTTTGATACTAAAATCTGTATATTTAATCCACCACACTCTGTTTTCTCAACATAGTATATTGTAGAGAAAACGAAAGAATAGAGAAAGATAATATCTATGAACATTCTGGTGAATGTGAATCTTTTAGTAGGGATGAAAAGTTGCCCAGGAATAATCTGTAAAAGGAAACAAATATGTAAATAATGCAAGCATTCAAAAACTATCAGTTCTATCTAAAGAATAAATACCAGTTCAGCTTAAATGATAGTAATAATTGCAAATAATAAAATAACTTCTTTTAGACTTTTATCCTCCTAGTAGATCATTTGTTTTGAGTTAACCTTCATACTTGAGTTGAAGTTGTCATAACATGAACAAGTTCAGAATGTGCAGTTCTGTCTTTTTTTTTCCAGGGAGCATGCAAGTTACTCTTCTATATTTTAAAACTTCTACAAGATGTGTCATGAACTTAACCACTGCATAACAGTTGAGTAATATGCACTGGATAATGCAAGAGTCTTACAATAAGTAAAGACTAATGAAGAAGTACAATGTAACTAATGTAGCTTCCAGTATAGACTGTTCACTATTGCAGTATAGTGCTACTGTCATGCTCTGGTTAATATGTGAACTGGGATAATGCATAACTTTTTAGGAAAGCTTGCAAATAAATAGCCAAATTAACATTCTACTCCTAATAATCTGTATTTTAACACATATGGTCTAATTTTAGTTTTATTGGCTTATTAGATGCCAAGATATTGATTATTACTGGTTCTTTAAGGTAAAAAGCATTGTAAATTAAATATGCTAATAAAAGTGGCACCATTACATATATTAATGATAACCAGTCATACATTTAGAGATATTTAATTAGCTTTTGAATTCAAAGCATAAGCTGAAGAATAATTCATAGATTTTGAAAATGTATTTGATGATAGCAAACTATGCCATCTATTTTAAACTAGTATATATTTTATGTTTGTTCTGTATGCACACATGCATGTGTATGTTTTTGTGTATGTGCATACATATGGTTTTTTGAAAGGTATGGTTTAAAAGAGAAGTGACAAAATCCCTCTCAACATTCTATATGTATTGAATCCCAGGAGTCATTCTATACTCACTGTCTGATAAGATTTGACAGTACAAAATTCAGTTGCAAAGCTACATATAATGCAAGCAGTCTGCAGCATTGCACTATCTTGCTGGAGGCTAATCACTTTATAATGAGTTTAGTGAAAAGTACCTATGCAATAAGTCGTAGTTGACAGCAGCCCGAGGGAACCTCTAAGTGCTAAAAATTAGCAGCTGAGAGATGTTGGATAGCATCCTTTTGAAGACAGAAAACAGATTCCTTTCTAAAATACAAGCAGTTTAAATTTGACATAAATCACACAGATGTTAAAATAAATATCTTGTTGCTATGGGCTTTATCGTGTTTTTCTTCTCACTGTTTTATGAAGCAAAATAAGAAAAAAAATCGGCCTTCTAGTGTTCTAGTTTGAGGAAACAATATCTTAACAGCAGAAAGAAATGATTTTTTTTCACTGCAGTATTGTATATTTGACAGTTCATGAAAAATTTTACACCAAACTATATTTAAAGAAAATGGTGAACGTGCATTGAACAGTCAGCTTACTTTTAAATGATTCGCTTTCATTGTGGATTTTGGATATTATATAATCAATCTAGACTGGAGAAATTGTAATAAAACACAATCACTACTATTTATAAGACTGTTGCAGAGCTGGGTTGCTATAAAGACCACTGTACATTAGAGGAAGAATAACTTTGGTTAGACCATACTGATACTATTGATGAGCATCGAAATCCATGCTAATTTTGCCTGCAAGAACGATGCAGCACAAGCCATAAAGAAAGAAGGTTATGACACTTCTTGCTAGGTAGAAATCTATAAAATAATATTTTAGCTTTCCAACCTGGCAGTAGAAAAGATGGATAACGAAACAGAAAAAAAAGATACATTTGATACACTGCCATGAAAGGCATTTGCATTTGACACAGTGCCATGAGAAACACTTCTAAACTTCAGTATGTTTCCTTGAATCAAAGGGCATTCACTGATCAGGGCTTTAGAGGTCAAAATAATCAACAGTATGATAGTCATAATTGATAGATACAGTCTCTAAACTATTTTATGTTTCATTAGTAAGTACTTGAAGTGAAATGATGTATTAAGTATCATACAAAGTTTCACAAATGTGCCAGGTAGGAAAATGTAATTTTATAGTATGATTTGAAAGACTAACCTACAGCTGCTAAAAAGGTTACTTGGACAAGAACACTATGTAGGGGTGAAAGCAGATAAGTCTTCACAGTGTCATTGTGATTTCAGTGGGGGTTGTAGGATACAGGTTAAATAAGCAAAGAGAACAGAGAAGAGAATTCCTGCAAAGCAGAAAAATATAATTGCGATTTTAACCAGATTGTAGAGAACATTAAATTTGAAATGGAGGAATTACAGGTTTGTTTGGTAGGTGATTAGGGTCTACTGATGGATTTCAGCAGATGATAATGTCTACAAAATGAAATTTTATGAAGATGTGTTGATCAGCAAATGGGGAAAGAGTAAATTAAGGCAAGGAAACTCGTTAAGAGACCTTGGCAACCACCTGAGGAAACAGTGATGAGGGTTTGAACAAAGCTTGTAACAGGAACAATGAAAGGGATGGCTATTACAACAGAAAAAATGCACTACACGTGGTGATTGATGGGTTGGGAAAGAGAGAGGGGAGAATAACCATTTGTGATGAGTGGGGTAATGAATTTCATAAAGTCTATTTTAAGTTTCTCCAGAAAGAAAAGAATCAAGAATTATTTGAATATTTAAGCCTGAGGACAAATAGAAAGATCAGTACATTGAAATAAATATGTCCAGAGGGGAAATTGATTTTGAAGAAACAGTTAAATTTATTATATTTTCTAAGTATTATTATGCAGGTATTTTGTAAAATGCTGTTGGTATTGTGTTGATACTTTAAAAAAATTGAAAGTATTTCAGCCTATGGTTTATTATTTTATGTTATTTATATATATATATATATAAAACATTTGACAAATTGTTTTGTCATGTGGTATTATAATTAATGTAGCCACAACCTTGATTGCTAAGTCTGATCTTTATAACTATTTAAAATTAGGAATAATACATAAATAAATATATACTATACACTTATATATAAAATTATATAAATATATACTTATATATAAAACTATATAAATATATACTTATATATAAAATTATATAAATATATACTTATATATAAAATTATATAAATATATACTTATAAAATTATATAAATATATACTTATAAAATTATATAAATATATACTTATATATAAAATTATATTAATATATACTTATAAAATTATATAAATATATACTTATATATAAAATTATATAAATATATACTTGTATATAAAATTATATAAATATATACTTGCATATAAAATTATATAAATATATACTTATATATAAAATTATATAAATATATACTTATAAAATTATATAAATATATACTTATATATAAAATTATATAAATATATACTTGTATATAAAATTATATAAATATATACTTGTATATAAAATTATATAAATATATACTGATATATAAAATTATATAAATATATACTGATATATAAAATTATATAAATATATACTTATATATAAAATTATATAAATATATACTTATGTATAAAATTATATATATACTTATATATAATTATATAAACATATAATTATATATAAGTATATCATATATGTTTTTTAAAAATAAATCAATAATGTTTATTGTCAAAATCTTGTATTATTAGGAACATCTCCTTAATGTCTGTCACTTAGTAAACCTGATCTACGCATGTTCTACTATAAAATGGAAACAAACCAAACCATAATGATTACAAACTGATGTAAAACAACATTTTTATATATCAAAATTATTTTTAAAATATCAACCTGAAGCAGTTACTGACAAAATAACATCAATGTAAAAAAAGAATTAAAATATATATCATAAGCCTTTTGCATGTTCTATTAATAATACGTTTTTATCAACAGGCAATACATATTCAAGTCAACATGCTTGGCATATTCATCTCCTGAGAACCATACATTCATGTTTCTATTTGCTTCAACTTCTCGTTAGATATTTCAGGTCATGAGCAAACCATTAGAAATGCAGTAAGTATAATAAATGTTTTTATGTAAAATGTTTAAGCAGAGTTGTTCTCATTTAAAATAAAGTCAAAACATTATGGCACATTTTAGTTTGTCTTAGGTATGACATTTGCCGATATTTTTTCTACCCCATTTTATTAACTTGCTGCTTCTCTTTACCTCTACTCATGAATCAAAAACTTAATCTTAAGTGCCCTTATAGAAGTTTCAGTTTCCAAAAAGGATGCACCTTTTAGCTAAATGTTCTGACACTGTTTTTCTCTAAAACCAGCCTTTCAATAATGGTCTTATTTTGTTTTAAAGGTGAAGAAGCAACTATATCATGTCTTCAATAGAAAATGCACGTCTATTCCTTGATAGAGGTTCTATCCTATACCTATTTCCAATCTTTTCTTAACAAAGCCTGCTCTCACTAAAGAATCAGATCAAAGAAAGGATCAATGAAATGGAAAGGTGATTCTTTTAAAGGAAAAACAAACTTGGCAGTCCACTAGCTAGATTAAACAAGAAAAAAGGGAAAAGATTCAAATAAGCATAATCAGATGTGATAAATGTGATGTTCTAACTAATAATACAGAAATACAGAAGATCATCAGAGACTAATAGGAACACCTTTATATACACAAACTAGAAAACCTAGAGGAAATGGATACATTCCTGGAAACATACAACCTCCCAAGACTGAACTAGAAAGAAATAGAAATCTGGAACAGACCAGTAATAACTAATGACATTGAATTTGTAGTAAAAAATCTTCCAACAGAAAAAGCTTAGGACCAAACAGACTTATAGCTGACTTTTGTCAGATGTACAACAAATAGCTGATACCAATCTTACTGAAACTATTCTAAAAAATCAAGGAGGAAGTATCTCATTCTATGAATCCAGTATTTTTTCCTGTTGTAATGCCTACAGGACATAGCTGAATGTCTACCATGTCCTAATCCTGCATATCTTCAAGAAGCAGAACATCTGTGATAAAAGGTTCCTTTTGTAACCTGACCAACTGAGACTGATTAGAGCCAAGATAGTCAACCAAAAAACTTCAAAAGGACCCCAGGTTTCATTATAATCTTATTTCATGCTAAATGAAGCTCCCACCAGCGCCAGAAAAATTGACAATGTTCATGACAATGGCTAGAAGAAGCCATAAAAGAACAAGACAGAAGAGAGCATTCCTATTCTGGGAAGTTCACTGCCCATTTGCAGAAAAGACATGAATATTGCTCTGCTCGCTTTTAATGTCCAATGTATTCATTACAGAAACCTTATATTTTAACCACGTCACCTCTTGTCAAAAAGTTGATTTGTGAGCCATGCTCCCACTTTTCAATTCCATGGACATTGAATAAAGCATGCACTGCTTGACACTCACTTTTGGTTTTGTGTATTGGCTTTGTGACACCAAACAGGGAAAGACCCCAGCATTTGGGGGACTGGCTTTTTCAATAACAGTATCATCCAGGTACCAAAAATCAGGCAAAGATGGAACAAAAAGAAGAAAACTACAGGCTGATATCACTGATGATCATGCATGTAAAAATCTTCCACAAAATGCTAAAACTAAATTCAATAGTGCATCAAAAAGATAATTCATAATGATCAAGTGGGCTTTATTCTAGGGATGCAAGTATAGTGTAACATATGAAAATCAGTAAATGTTATTCACCATCATATAAGCAGAACCAAGAACAAAAGTCATCTGATCATCTCGATAGATGCAGAAAAAACATTTAATAAAGTCCAACATCCCGTCATGGTATAAACACTACACAAACTAGGAATCAAAGGAAAATACATCAAAATAATAAACCATATATAAAATACCCACAGCCCCGGCTGGGCGCGGTGGCTCACGCCTGTAATCCCAGCACTTTGGGAGGCTGAGGTGGGCAGATCACGAGGTCAGGAGATCAAGACCATCCTGGCTAACACAGTGAAACCCCATCTCTACTAAAAATACAAAAAAGTAGCCAGGCGTGGTGGTGGGCGCCTGTAGTCCCAGCTCCTCGGGAGGCTGAGGCAGGAGAATGGCGTGAACCCAGGAGGCAGAGCTTGCAGTGAGCCGAGATCCTGCCACTGCACTCCAGCCTGAGCGACAGAGCAAGACTCCGTCAAAAAACAAACAAACAAACAAAAATCCCACAGCTAATATCATACTGAATGGGCAAAAGTTGAAAGTATTTCCCCTAAGAACTAGAAAAAGACAAGGGTATTCATTCTCACTACTCCTATTCAACATAGTATTGGAAGTCCTAGCCAGAGCAATCAGGCAACAAAAAGAAGTAAAAGGCATCCAAATTGAAAAAGAGGATGTCAAATTATCTCTGTTCACTGATAACATGATTGTATACCTAGAAAACTCTAAAGATTTATCCAAAAGGCACCTAGATTTATAAAGAGCTTTAGTAAATCTCATGATACAAAATTGACATACAAAAATTAGTGGCATTTCTGTATACCAATAACGTTCAAACTGAGAACCAAGTCAAAATCTCAGTCCCGTTTACAGTAGCCACGCACATGCATACATAAATACCTAGGAATACATTTAACTACAGAGTTGAGACAGGTCTACATGGAGAACTGAAAAACACTGATGAAAGAAATTGTAGACAACAAAAACAAAGGGAAAAACATCCCATGCTCATGTACTGGAAGAGTCAATATCATTAAAATGATCATATTGCCCAAAGCAATCTACAGTTTCAACGTAATTTCTATCAAATTACTAACATCACTTTGGAAAGAATTAGAAAAAAAAATCTAAGTTTATATAGAGCCAAATAAAAAGCCTGAATAGCCAAAGCCATCTTAAGTAGGAAGAACAAGTCCAAAGGCATCATATTACCTGACGTCAAATTATACTACAAGGCTATAATAACTAAAACAGCATGGTACTGGTACAAAAATAGACACATGGATCAATGGAACAGAAAAAAGAAGGAAAGCCACATACCTAAAAACAACTGATCTTCAACAAAGTCAACAAAGATATACAGTGAGGAAAAGGTACGCTTTTCAATAAATAGTGTTGGGAAACTTGGGTAATCACAGGCAGAATGAAACTGGAAAGCTATCCCTTCAAACCACAAAAATTAACTCAAGATTGATTAAAGACCTAAATTTAATACCTGAAACTATAAAAATTCTAGAAGAAAACCTAGGAAAAACTCTTCTGGATATCAGCCTAGACAAATAACTTATGAAAAAAAAATGGACACATGAGATTTAAAGTAAAAATTTCCTGCATAGTAAAAGAAATAATCAACAGAGTAAACAGACAACCTACAGCATAGGATAAAATATTTGAAAATTATACCTCTGATGAAAGCCTAATATGCATAATTTACAAGGAACTCAAACAACAAGAATAAAACAAACAATAACTCAATTAAAAACTGGACAAAAGACATGAACAGATATTTTTCAAAAACTACAAGTGGCCAAGAAAAACTGAAAAAATTATCAACATCAATAATTTTCAGAGAAATGCAAATTAAAACAACACTGAGTTATCATCATACACCAGTCAGATTGGCTATTATTAAAATGTCAAAAAACATCATATGTTGGCATGGATGCATTGAAAAGGAGACGTTTATACACTGTTGGTGGGAATGTAAATTAGTTCAACATCTATGGAAAACAGTATGGAGATAGCACAAAGAAGTAAAACTAGAGCTACAATTCAACCCAGAAATCCCACTACTGTCATCTATCCAAAGGAAAAAAATACATAAAAAGGCACCTGAAACTCTATGTTTATCATAAAAATATTCACAGTTGCAAAGTCATGAAATCAACCTAAAACCAACCTAAATGTCCATCAATGGTTGACTGAATTCCATTGGTATGTATCTATATCTATATCTATGTCTATAGATATAGATATATGTATACACATACATTGCTATGTATATGTGTGTGTGTGTGTACACACACAGTGGAATACTATGCAGCCATAAAAAATAATGAAATAATGTCCTTTGTAACAAAATGGATGGAGTTGGAGGCCATTTTCATAAGTGAACTAACTCAGAAGCAGAAAATCAAATATTGCAGGTTGTCACTTATAAATGGGAGCTAAACAATGGATACATATGGACATAAAAATGGAAATAGTAGTCAATGGGGACTCTAAAAGGGGGCATGGTGGTAGGGGGTGAGGGTTGTAAAATTACCTATTAGGTACAACTCAATATTTGGATGATGGGTGCACCAGAAACCTAATCCCCACCATTATGCAATATACCCATGTAACAAACGTGTACATATACCACCAAATCTAAAATAAAAATTAAAAAAGAATCAGATCAATAATATATATTAAGATGTAAAAGATAAAAAGAATATAGTAAAGGTATACATTTATGAAACTAAATAGCTAAAATTTGATAATAATTTCTACAACCAACTTTGGTTTAGGCACCATGATATACATTTTTTAGCTAGTGATCTCTTGACATTCACAACAATTTCATTGAATAAATATATATATAAATATATATGACACCTTTTCTTTATCCAATGAACTGTTTGTGATTATATATTTTATGAAATATATATATTTATATCTGTAAATGAAATATGTATTTATGATGAAATATTTATATTTATATATAAATATAATTTATAAAAATATATAGCATATATTATATAGTTATATATAAGTAGAAATGTATATACTTTAAATTATATATAATATGAAAGCATATATAATATATATTAGGTTGGTGCAAAAGTAATTGTGGGTTTGTCATTACTTTTAATGGCAAAAACCACAATTACTTTTGCACCAACCTAATATATATTATATATTTTTATATATGAATTTATTTAAGAATTGTAATTTAAGAATTATATACATACACACACAGATATATATGTATATCTATATACACACACACACACATATGTCTTGCTTGCCAGGCATATGTAATGTTACACTTAGTAGTAGTGAGGTTTCATGAGAAACAAGCATATCCAAAATGCACAAATATTCACTAATGAACTAACATTAAAAAAAAGCCATTTTATTCTCCTAAAATGCCCATCAACCAACAAGTAGATAAAGAAAATGTGGTATATATACACCATGGAATACTATTCAGCCATAAAGTGGAAACAAATTATGACCTTTCCAGCAACTTGGATGGAGTTGGAGGCCATTATTCTAAGTGAAGTAACTTGGGAATGGAAAATCAAATATGTTCTCACTTACAAGTGGGAGCTAACCTATGTGAATGTGAAGGCATAAAGATGATATAATGGACTTTGGGGACTCAGAGGGGAGGGTGGGAAGGGGTGAGGGATAAAAGACTACATATTTGGTATAGTGTACACTGCTCTGGTGATGAGTGCACCAAAATCCCAGAAATCACTACTAAATAATTTATCTGTGAATCCAAAAACCACCTGTACTTCCAAAACTATTAAAACAATAAAAAATACCCCACTTAATTATCCATCCATTATAAATTCTAGCATCCCTCTCATTCCTACCCACAATCTGGTATTTTAATGCTGATGTATTCAAAATTATCACAAGGTAAAATTATAAATTTTACATATGACGAAGAATTTCATGAGATAAATGAAAATGATATAGGAAATCACAAATGAGAATAACAATAACAAATGAGAATCTGACAGAGACAGAGCAAGTAAGTTGAATACAAGAACATTGGCCAGAATAACAAAGATTGTGTCTTTTGGAAAACTAAAGAAGCCCCTGAATATTTTTTCCAGGAATGACCCCGTTAATGAATATGCACAAAAAATAAAAACTGTGCAATGCATAATACTATTTTATGCATTTTTTCAGAGAAAAATATATATGCATAAAAGTAGAAATCAACATCAAATCAACCTTCATTCTGAGAAGTACAGCATAGTTTTGAATACAAATACAATTTTGTTAAATGTATGACATTTATAAATTTTTATAAATTTATGATTTTTATAAATGATTTTAATAATTTTTTTCAAATTATACTCCCAGTCAAACCTTTTGTCACAATTTGCGATGCATTTTCAGTTGCATCAAACTAAAATGATTTTTATACTTTTTTTTCAAATTATACTTCCAGTCAAACCTTTTGTCACAATTTATGATGCATTTTCAGTTACATCAAACTTAAAAGCTTCTCTATGGCTAAGGAAACAATAAACAGAGTGAAGAGACAAGCTACAGTGTGGGAGAAAATGCTTGCAAACTATATACATTACTAGGGGCTAATATCAAAAATATATAAGAAATTCAACTCAATGCTAAAAAAAAGACAATAATCTGATTAAAAATGGACAAATGGCCTAAATAGATATTTCTTAAAAGAAGGCATACAAATGGACGATATATGTGTGAGAAAAATGTTCAACAAGACTAATTAACAGGGAAATGCAAATCAAAACCACAGTGAAATATTACCTCACCCCGGTTAGTATGGCTACTATCAAAGAGACAAAAGTTAAAAAGTGTTGGCAAGGGTGTGGAGAAAAGGGAATCCTTTTACACTATTGGTGAGAACATAAAATAGTATATCTACTATGAAAAACATTATGGTGGTTCCTCTGAAAATTAAAAATATAACTTCCATGTAATCCAGCAATCTCAGTTCTCCTTTAAAGTGCATTCCAATTAAATTGTTTTTTATGGTGCCTATTATTCTTGGATTATGAGGCATTCTTGCACTATTGTCCCTATGTTTAAGATGAGGAAACTGAACTTCAAGAATATATGATAGCTTGCTAGAACAGTTATTATTCAGTTCAGGGACAAAAACTACACTAGTTATTTGAGTAGAGAGAATTAAATATAAATAATTGTTAACTAAGTATAAAAGTTGTTAATAACTTAAAAGGTAATAAGAAAACACCAAGCTATCAAGTTAGTAACTACAGGAAGAAGTTACCTACCACACCTAAGGATGGACAAATAAAGAGAAGAGGGTAGGATTAATAAAAGTACACATTTAGAGAAGGTGTCTCAGTGATGCTGAATCTCAGACCTCTCAACAGGAGCACCTGTAACTCAGGGTGTATTAGTCCGTTTTCATGCTGCTGATAAAGACATACACGAGAGTGGGAAGAAAAAGAAGTTTAATTGGACTTACAGTTTCACATGGCTGGAGAAGCCTCAGAATCATGAAGGGATATGAAAGGCACTTCTTACATGGCTGCAGGCAAGAGAAAATGAGAAAGAAGCAAAAGTGGAAACCCCTGTTAAACCCATCAGATCTTGTGAGACTTATTCGCTATCACAAAAATGGCATGGGAAAGACTGGCACCCATGATTCAATTCCCTGGGTCTCTCCCACAAGACCTGGGAATGTTGGGAGATGCAATTCAAGTTGAGATTTGGCTGGGGACACAGCAAAACCATATCATTCTGTCCCCAGCCCCTCCTCACATTTCAAAACCAATCATGCCTTCCCAACTGGCCCCAAAGTCCTAACTCATTTCAGCATTAACCCAAAATTCCACAGTCCAAAGCCTCAATTGAGACAAGGCAAGTTCCTTACACCTATGAGCCTGTAAAATCAAAAGCAAGCTAGTTACTTCCTAGATACATTGGGGGTCCAGGTATCGGGTAAATACAGCCATTCCAAATGAGAGACATTGGCCAAAACAAAAAGGTTACAGGGCCCATGCAAGTCCAAAATATGGCGGGGCAGTCAAATTTTAAAGCTGCAAAATGATCTCCTTTGATTCCAGGTCTCACATCCAGGTCATGCTGATGCAAGAGACGGGTTCCCATGGTCTTGGGCGGCCCTGCCCCTGTGGCTTTGCAGGGTACAGACTCCCTCCGAGATGCTTTCACGGACTGATGTTGACTGCCTGCAGCTTTTCCAGGCAAATGGTGCAAGCTGTTTGTGGATCTACCATTCTGGGGTCTGGAGGACAGTGGCCCTCATCTCACAGCTCCACTAGGTGGTGCACCAGTAGGGGCTGTGTGGAGATGCTAACCCCACATTTCCTTTCTGCACTGCTCTAGCAGAGGTTCTGTATGAGGGCTTCACTCCTGCAGCAACCTTTTGCCTGGGCATCCAGGCATTGCCATACATCTTTTGAAATTTAGTCAAAGGTTCCCAAACCTCAGTACTTGACTTCTGTGCACCCACAGGCTTAACACCATATGGAAGCTGCCAAGGCGTGGGGCTCCCACTCTCTGAAGCCACAGCTTGAGCTCTATATTGCCCCCTTTCAGCCATGGTTGGAGCAGCTGGGACACAGGGCACCAAGTCTCTATGCTTCAAACAGCACGGGGACCCTGGGCCTGGCCCACAAAACTACTTTTTTTCTCCTGGGCCTCTCAGTCTGTGATGGGAAGGAGCTGCCATGAAGGTCTCTGACATGGCCTGCAGACATTTTTCCAATGGTTTTTGTAATTAACATTAGGCTCCTTGCTACTTCTGCAAATTTCTGCAGCCAGCTAAAATTTCTTCCCAGAAAATGGGTTTTTCTTTACTATCACATAGTCAGGCTGCAAATTTTCCAAATGTTTATGCTCTGCTTCCTTTATAAAACTGAATGCTTTTAACAGCACCCATGTCACCTTTTGAATGCCTTTGCTGCTTAAACATTTCTTCCACCAGATACCCTAAATCATCTTTCTCAAGTTCAAAGTTCCACAAACCTCTAGGGCAGGGACAAAATACTGCCAGTCTTTGCTGAAACATAACAAGAGTTGCCTTTACTCCAGTTCCCAACGAGTTCCTCATCTTCACCTGAGACCACCTCAGCCTGGACTTTATTGTCCATTGCTATCAGCATTTTGGGCAAAGCCATTCAACAAGTCTCTGGGAAGTACCAAAGCTTCCCACATTTTCCTGTCTTCTTCTGAACCTTCCAAATTGTTCCAACCTCTGCCTGTTACCCAGTTCTGAAGTTGCTTCTACATTTTCGGGTATCTTTTCAGCAACGCCCCACTCTACTGGTACCAATTTACTGTATTAGTCCATTTCATGCTGCTGATAAAGACATATCTGAGATGTGGAAGAAAAAGAGGTTTAATTGGACTTACAGTTCCACATGGCTGGGAGGCCTCAGCATCATGGTGGGAGGCGAAGGGCACTTCTTATATAGTGGCAGGCAAGAGAAAGAAGTAAAAGTGGAAACCCCTGATAAACCTATCACATCTCATGAGACGTATTCACTATCATGAGAATAGCATGGGAAAGACCAGGCCCCATGATTCAATAATCTCCCCCTGGGTCCTTCCGACAACATGTGGAAATTCTGGGAGATACAACTCAAGTTGAGATTTGGGTAGGGACACAGCCAAACCATATCATTGGGGGTAGGGGGAATAGGCAGAATGAGCCTGGTTCTATAAATATTGAAATGATATCATACTGGATTCAACCACTACTATGAGAAACACCTACTACTTCCAGGGTGAAGAAGCTGGATGAAGTAAGGCATGATAACAAATGAACAGGAAATCAACCTGAAGCTAACAGAGAACAAGCAGGTAGGAACATGTCCCTTCTTCCTCCTCTAGCCTGGCTATAATCTTCCAATCATGCCCTGTATTGGCACAGCTGAACACAGAGCCAGCTGAAAAAGCAGGAATGTGGTTTGCAGAGTCCTGGCACCAGCATCACAAAGAGTAGAAAAGAGTACTTTAAAGATAAGAGATAATAGCTTAATAACTGTTATAGCCTACCCTCTTACCTACCCAGAATCTATATACACCCTTCAATACATATTTGAACTGCTGTACAATGAAAACAACTCTATGTTCCCAACACTAACATGATGCAACTATCCTTCAAAAAAACAGATGTGCTTATTTCTAACTGTAATTTTATAATCTCATCTGTATCTTCCTCCCTCACCCCACCCTCCACACGTTTAGGAAATGACAAGTAACAGTAGCCATTGCATCCAACTTTGGGAGGCAGTCACACTACCCACTTCTGGATCATTTACCTAAGTAAACACAGCTGGTGATGATGGAAACAAGATTGAAGCCCAAATTGTCTGTCTCAAAGTCTGAAGCCTATTCCAATACATCAAATGGTTTCACAATACAATTTGCTAGAATAAATAAGACCTAGTGTTTTGTTTTTTGTTGTTTTGTTTTTTGTTTTTTTTGGTATTTCCTTCTTTTTTTATTATTCTTTTTATTTTTATTATACTTTAAGTTTTAGGGTACATGTGCAGGTTTGTTACATATGTATACATGTGCCATGTTGGTGTTACATAGATCAGTAGGGTGACTATAATATACAGTAATCTATTTCAGTGGTCCTCAGCCCCATGGCTGTAGACCAGTACAAGTTGGTGGCCTGTTCGGAACCAGACCACACTGCAGGAGGTGAGTGTGTGTGGGCCAGCGAGCATTACTGCCTGAGCTCTGCCTCCTGTCAGACCAGCAGCGGCATTATATTCTCATAAGAGTGTGAACCCTATTGTGAACTGCACATGCAAGGGATCTAGCTTGTGGGCTCCTTATGAGAATCTAATGCCCGATTGTCTGAGGTGCAACAGTTTCATCGCAAAACCATTCCCCACCCCTATCCTGGTTTGTGGAGAAATTGTCTTCCACAAAACTGGTCACTGGTGCCAAAAAGGTTGGGGATCGCTGATGTATTCTATCTTTCGAAGTAGCTAGAAAAGAGTAATTTGAATGGTCTAACATAAAGAAAAGGCAAATATTTAAGGTGATGGATATCCCAAGTATACATATTTGGTCTTTAAAAATTACATTAATGTATTATATTATCATATGGACTTGAAAACTATGTATATCTATTTACATCAATATAAAAAATTCCTCAGTCATATCAGTTTAGACACTGCTTCAGTGTAATATGAGGTGGCTGTACCGAAACAACATTAAAACTTATGACAAATTTAAAAACAGTAAGCTAGAGAAAAGAGGCAAAATAATCCAGTTCTTACTATGGTGTTATATTAGCAGATCTAGCACCAATTAAAGTTTGAGAAGTAAATATTATAACAAAATGGTCCTACATTATCTAGGGATTTGGTGTAATCCTCACTTCTACAGTCCTTCATCACATTACCTAAATACTTAATGTAGTTATTACCTCTGACAGTTCATTTTGATCTTGTCTGTTGAATTAGCCATAATATTGGGGAGAAAGAGAGCAGGAGTGAGAGTAAGAGCAATAGAGAAAAAAGAGAATCATTCTTTGAACATTCACATACAGGAGAGAAAGATTAATATATGACTTTGGTTATTCAGTACCATGACAATACATTTGTTGTTGGAATACTTCTGAATAAATTTAACAGTTTTATGTTCCCTATATGATAATAAAACACATTATGGCCCACTGCCACTGATGAGATTTTCCACCTACAGCCAGGTGTGTGCAAATGAGAGTTTTCAACTAATAGCGTTCAGCTTTTTTTTCTTTGTTACTCATAAGTGATTTAGGAATATAAAAAAAACAGTTATGAAAAATGGTTCATGGTTTTTATGGAGGTAAAAAAGTTCATAATTTTACTCTAGTGAGAATGAAATGCAGTAAGAGGAACATGCATGTTGGAAAGTTAGACTTCTGTTTTCATAAAGTAGAATACTCCAATTATTTATAGCTGCAAATAAGGCTTAAAGGCCAAGACAAATGTTTAAAGAAATTGAGGAAAGAAGCATAAGGAAAAGAAGATGAGAAGTCGACTCAAAGCCACTGCATGCATATTGGTTGGTTGTCTGTGTTTTGCTGTGAAGAACATTTATGAAGTCCTATGTCAGTGATATGAACTGAAGGGCTTTCTGCCCTTAGGCTTTCCATGTGGGATTATCATCAGATTTTAGGGATTCTCATCTCATATTTTAAGAAAGTTTCCCTACAATGACAAGGATTTTTTGTTGTTGTTGTTGTTTTTAAGCGTTTCTAATTTATTTGAAGGATATTGTCTTGTATTTGTTTAGTTTTAACCACATATTTATGTCTTTATTTCGACTGCATATTTTTTACTGCTTTATGTTATAGTTGAGCAGTATTTTAGGACATGTTACTTTTTTTCTAGAAGCACCTATCACATGGTAAGTGTCCATTACATAATTTGTGACTGAACAAAATAATGAATGAATGGTAAATGACAGAATAAACTAAACCTTTTGGTGAGTGTGACTGCATTTTATTTATCCATGTACCCTCTGAGCTTAGCACAGTGTCTATCACACTGTTGGTGTTCAGTAAATAAATAAAGGGGAAGAAGGGATTTAAGGGATGATTATGAAGAAAAAGGCATGAGAAAGAATACTAATTTGGGATTCAGGCAGTTCTGAGTTTCAAAAAAATGTTTCTACCACATTGTGTAATTTTAAATGAGTTACTTAACTTCTTTGAGCTTTAGTCTCTATTTATGATAAGAATACATTCTTCACAGGATTGGTATGAGAAGTAAATGATAATGAATGTGAAATTCCTAGCATCATACAATATAGTTTTTCATGGATTTGAATGACAAAGTACCTATAAACATCTAAGAGACAGGAATTCAACTACCTTATTAGATAACTGAAAGAAAAGTTGTTACTTTTAATATGACAGGTTTCCATACCACAGTCAAGCAGAATCAAAGTGAATGGGCAAAAAGGATGTTCTTGGAAGGATTCTGGCATGAAAAGAAGATTATATATAGGCTATATCATGATTCCTAGAAAATACTGAGGAATGTTTATGATAATTCATTTGTTTCAATATTTTCTCTTCTACGACACTGATGAACTACTGAATCAGTGTAGCAAATACATTTGTCTTGCAGTGCAGTTGTACCTCAGTAAAGATAATGTGGAAGTATCAATACAACAGACAGCTTTTAAAACTTGTTAAAATATACAAATAATATCATAGAAGGTTTAACAAGAAATGAGGAGAAATATTATTAGCTACAAGTCCAGAACCCTAAAGAAGTCATTATAATTTGGGGGTATTCCATTCAAGTTTTCATAAGAATATGTATTGGCCTGACAGTAAACACTGTAGTCAGGAAATATTCCATATTTCTTTTCAATAGTTTTCTCCATCATTAAAGAGTAATCATATTATTTTAATGATTACATCACATATGTGTAATATCACTTAACCATTCCTGTAATATTGAATATTTATATTACTTTTTCATAATTATAAATAAGAATGCTATGAGCATCTTTGTGCATCTGTGAAACATTTCCCTGCAGTAAATTTCTGGAAGTGAGATTACTGATTTCAACATTTTGTGGCTTTGCCAAATGTCTTTACAAAAGGATTACCAGCTCGCTATATATAAGAATGTTTAAAGGCCCCATATTCTTTTCTCTTTTTAGGTGTTCGATGTCTCTAGTCATAATATTGTGGATTTTGCATTTGCTCATTGGTGCCTCTCAAAGTATTCAGTTTCTGTTTTGTGGCAGAAAATTATTGTTGTGAACTCTAACTTTCACCTTGTTTTTCATATCTGTTTCAGATCCTAGGCTAGTAGCCTTACCCTTGTTATTCTTTTATGTAAGTATTCAGTCTGAATGGTACCAAACTTCCGACTTATTCTGCCTTAGAAGCTCAGCTGGTAGCTTTAAATTTCTTTCCCAACAATATGAAGATGAATCCTTGAGTTCTATCAGTTGAGATAGGTTGCATAGGCTTAATTATAATTTGCTGCTCTTTATAATGACAAGACACATAACTGGGCTCAGTAGTACATTAAAAAATGATTTTCCCAAGATAAATAGGGCCATGTGAGAATTACACCTGCCACCTTGACCTCACCTACAATTTATTCTAACCAAAATTAACTAAGGTTAGCAAATTGTGGTACAAAACCTTCCACAAAAGTTTGCAGAAACAGTTACAAGTACCCATTAGTTTATGATATAAAATGGCCAGGGGGTTCTTTGGGATTGTGAGGAAAGAAAAGGATTATGCATCTCTTCAGTTAATGTTGAAGCTCTGCAAGAATGGTAGAGAATGAAACTTGGAGCCCAGGATGAATGAGATTGGTAATGGATAGCAGAGGTACAAAGCTTACTGTCAAGTGTTAAGGATAAATTTAGTCATCACAAGTGAACAGTGGCACTTAGTCAACATATAGTGTGATTTCCAGGTAAACGTAAGTAATTCAAGCTAGAATGAATGAATATAGAAACTAGGGAAGATGCAAGAGTGAAGGTCAGGTAATAATGAGAGAATCAACAGGCAAAGACCCAAAGAAATGTTGTTAATATAAGAGCCCATTATTTCAATTGTCCTTTATTCTATATCACATTTCTATAATGTCTCCTTTCCAAGGCCACTAAGAGACTATATAGATTATGACAAAAGTTTCTATTTTATATAATATAAGACTTGGTTTACTCAAAATAAAAATCCACAGGGACAAAATGAAAATTTTCATTGACAGATGGGTTTTAAATACAGTAATCCAGGATCTTGTTAAATTAGAAGTTTTCAAAATAAATGAATAACAAGTTTTGGTGGAGCCAAGATGGCCAAATAGGAACAGCTCCAGTCTACAGCTCCCAGCGTGAGCGACGCAGAAGATGAATCATTTCTGCATTTCCAAATGAGGTACTGGGTTCATCTCACTGGGGAATGTCAGACAGTGGGTGCAGGACAGTGGGTGCAGCGCACTGAGCATGAGCCAAAGCATGGCGAGGTGTCGCCTCACCTGAGAAGCACAAGGGGTCAGGGAATTCCCTTTCCTAGCCATGGAAAGGGGTGACAGACGGCACCTGGAAAATTGGGTCACTCCTACCCTAATACTGCACTTTTCCAACAGCCTTAGCAAACGGCACACCAGGAGATTGTATCCTGCACCTGGCTCGGAGGGTCCTATGCCCACAGAGCCTCACTCATTGCTAGCACAGCAGTCTAAGTTCAAACTGCAAGGTGGCAGCCAGGCTAGGGGAGGGGCGCCCAACATTGCCAAGGCTTGAGTAGGTAAAGAAAGCGGACAGGAAGCTCGAACTGGGTAGAGCCCAGCGCAGCTCAAGGAGGCCTGCCTTCCTCTGTAGACTCCACCTCTGGGGGCAGGGCATAGCCAAACAAAAGGCAACAGAAACCTCTGCAGTCTTAAATGTCCCTGTCTGACAGCTTTGAAGAGAGTATTGGTTCTCCCAGCATGCAGCTGGAGAGCTGAGAACGGACAGACTGCCTCCTCAAATGGGTCCCTGACCCCCGAGTAGCCTAACTGGGAGGCACCCCCCAGTAGGGGCAGACTGACACCTCATACAGCCAGGTACTCCTCTGAGACAAAACTTCCAGAGGAATGATCAGGCAGCAACATTTGCTGTTGACCAATATCCGCTGTTCTGCAGCCTCCACTGCTGATACTCAGGCAAACAATGTCTGGAGTGGACCACCAGCAAACTCCAACAGTCCTGCAGCTGAGGGCTCTGACTGTTAGAAGGAAAACTAACAAACAGAAAGGACATCCACACCAAAACCCCATCCGTATGTCACCATCATCAAAGACCAAAGGTAGATAAAACCACAAAGATGGGGAAAAAACAGAGCAGAAAAACTGAAAATTCTAAAAATCAGAGTGCCTCTCCTCCTCCAAAGGAATGCAGCTCCTCACCAGCAATGGAACAAAGCTGGACAGAGAATGGCTTTGACGAGTTGAGAGAAGGCTTCAGATGATCAAACTACTCCGAGCTAAAGGAGGAAGTTTGAACCCATGGCAAAGAAGTTAAAAACCTTGAAAAAAGATTAGACGAATGGCTAACTAGAATAACCAATGCAGAGAAGTCCTTAAAGGACCTGATGGAGCTGAAAACCATGGCACGAGAACTACGTTACAAATGCAAAAGCCTCAGGAGCCGATTCGATCAACTGGAAGAAAGGGTATCAGTGAAGGAAGATCAACTGAATGAAATGAAGCGAAAAGAGAAGTTTAGAGAAAAAAGAATAAAAAGAAACGAACAAAGCCTCCAAGAAATATGGGACTATGTGAAGAGACCAAATCTACGTCTGATTGGTGTACCTGAAAGTGATGGGGAGAATGCAACCAAGTTGTAAAACACTCTCCAGGATATTATCCGGGAGAACATCCCCAGTCTAGCAAGGGAGGCCAACGTTCAGATTCAGGAAATACAGAGAATGCCACAAAGATACTCCTCGAGAAGAGCAACTCCAAGACACATAATTGTCAGATTCACCAAAGTGGAAATGAAGGAAAAAATGTTAAGGGCAGCCAGAGAGAAAGGTCGGGTTACCCACAAAGGGAAGCCCATCAGACTAACAGCTGATCTCTCGGCAGAAACTCTACAAGCCAGAAGAGAGTGGGGAGCCAATATTCAACATTCTTAAAGAAAAGAATTTTCAACCCAGAATTTCAAATCCAGCCAAACTAAGCTTCATAAGTGAAGGAGAAATAAAATACTTTACAGACTAGCAAATGCTGAGAGATTTTGTCACCACCAGGCCAGCCCTAAAAGAGTTCCTGAAGGAAGCACTAAACATGGAAAGGAACAACCAGTACCAGCCACTGCAAAAACATGCCAAATTGTAAAGACCATCGAGGCAAGGAAGAAACTGCATCAACTAAAGAGCAAAATAACCAGCTAACATCATAATGACAGGATCACATTCACACATAACAATATTAACCTTAAATGTAAATGGGCTAAATGCTCCAATTAAAAGACACAGACTGACAAATTGGATAAAGAGCCAAGACTCATCAGCGAGCTGTATTCAGGAAACCCATCTCATGTACAGAGACGCACATAGGCTCAAAACAAAAGGGTGAAGGAAGATCTACCAAGCAAATGGAAAACAAAAAAAGGCAGGGGTTGCAATCCTAGTCTCTGATAAAACAGACTTTAAACCAACAAAGATCAAAAGAGACAAAGAAGGTCATTACATAATGCTTAAGGGATCAATTCAACAAGAAGAGCTAACTATCCTAAATATATATGCACCAAATACAGGAGCACCCAGATTCATAAAGCAAGTCCTTAGAGACATAGAAAGAGACTTAGACCCCCACACAATAATAATGGGAGACTTTAACACCCCACTGTCAACATTAGACAGATCAACGAGACAGAAAGTTAACAAGAATATCCAGGAATTGAACTCAGCTCTACACCAAGCTGACCTACTAGACATCTACAGAACTCTCCACCCCAAATCAACAGAATATACATTCTTTTCAGCACCACACCACACCTATTCCAAAATTGACCACATAGTTGGAAGTAAAGCACTCCTCAGCAAATGTAAAAGAACAGAAATTATAACAAACTGTCTCTCAGACCACAGTGCAATCAAACTAGAACTCAGGATTAAGAAACTCACTCAAAACCCATCAACTACATGGAAACTGAACAACCTGCTCCTGAACGACTACTGGGTACATAATAAATGAAGGCAGAAATAAAGATATTCTTTGAAACCAACGAGAACAAAGACACAACATACCAGAATCTCTGGGATACATTCAAAGCAGTGTGTAGAGGGGAAATTTATAGCACTAAATGCCCACAAGAGAAAGCAGGAAAGATCTAAAATTGACAGCCCAACATCACAATTAAAAGAACTAGAAAAGCAAGAGCAAACACATTCAAAAGCTAGGAGAAGGCAAGAAATAACTAAGATCAGAGCAGAACTGAAGGAGATAGAGACACAAAAAAACCTTCAAAAAATCAATGAATGCAGGAGCGGATTTTTTGAAAAGATCAACAAAATTGATAGACCACTAGCAAGATTAATAAAGAAGAAAAGAGAGAAGAATCAAATAGATGCAATAAAAAATGATAAAGGGGATATCACCACCGATCCCACAGAAATACAAACTACCATCAGAGAATACTACAAACACCTCTACGCAAATAAACTAGAAAATCTAGAAGAAATGGATAAATTCCTCAACACATACACCCTCCCAAGACTAAACCAGGAAGAAGTTGAATCTCTGAATAGACCAATAACAGGCTCTGAAATTGAGGCAATAATTAATAGCTTACCAACCAAAAAAAAGTCCAGGACCAGATGGATTCACAGCCGAATTCTACCAGAGGTACAAGGAGGAGCTGGTACTATTCCTTCTGAAACTATTCCAATCAATAGAAAAAGAGGGAATCCTCCCTAACTCATTTTATGAGGCCAGCATCATCCTGATACCAAAGCCTGGCAAAGACACAACAAAAAAAGAAAATTTTAGAACAATATCCCTGATGAACATTGATGCAAAAATCTTCAATAAAATACTAGCAAACCGAATCCAGCAGCACACCAAAAACTTATCTACCATGATGAAGTGGGCTTCATCCCTGGGATGCAAGGCTGGTTCAACATACACAAATCAATAAATGTAATCCAGCATATAAACAGAACCAAAGACAAAAACCACATGATTATCTCAATAGATGCAGAAAAGGCCTTTGACAAAATTCAACAACCCTTCATGCTAAAATCTCTCAATAAATTAGGTATTGATGGGACATATCTCAAAATAATAAGAGCTATTTAAGACAAACCCACAGCCAATATCATACTGAATGTGCAAAAACTGGAAGCATTCCCTTTGAAAACTGGCGCAAGAGAGGGATGCCCTCTCTCGCCACTCCTATTCAACATAGTGTTGGAAGTTCTGGCCAGGGCAATCAGGCAGGAAAAAGAAATAAAGGGCATTCAATTAGGAAAAGAGGAAGTCAAATTGTTCCTGTTTGCAGATGACATGATTGTATATCTAGAAAACCCCATTGTCTCAGCCCAAAATCTCCTTAAGCTGATAAGCAACTTCAGCAAAGTCTCAGGATACAAAATCAATGTGCAAAAATCACAAGCATTCTTATACACCAATAACAGACAAACAGAGAGCCAAATCATGAATGAACTCCCATTCACAATTCCTTCAAAGAGAATAAAATATCTATGAATCCAACTTACAAGGGATGTGAAGGACCTCTTCAAGGAGAAGTACAAACCACTGCTCCATGAAATAAAGAGGATACAAACAAATGGAAGAACATTACATGCTCATGGGTAGGAAGAATCAATATCGTGAAAATGGCCATACTGCCCAAGGTAATTTATAGATTCAATGCCATCCCCATCAAGTTACCAATGACTTTCTTCATAGAATCGGAAAAAACTAAAGTTCATATGGAACCATAAAAGAGCCCACATTGCCAAGTGAATCCTAAGCCAAAAGAACAAAGCTGGAGGCATCACACTACCTGACTTCAAACTATACTACAAGGCTACAGTAACCAAAACAGCATGGTACTGGTACCAAAACAGAGATATAGACCAATGGAACATAACAGAGCCCTCAGAAATAATGCTATATATCTACAACTATCTGATCTTTGACAAACCGGAGAAAAACAAGCAATGGGGAAAGGATTCCCTATTTAATAAATGGTGCTGGGAAAACTGGCTAGCCATATGTAGAAAGCTGAAACTGTCTTATACAAAAATTAATTCAACATGGATTAAAGACTTACATGTTAGACCTAAAACCATAAAAACCCTACAAGAAAACCTAGGCAATACCATTCAGTACATAGGCATGGGCAAGGACTTCATGTCTGAAACACCAAAAGCAATGGCAACAAAAGCCAAAATTGACAAATGGGATCTAATTAAACTAAAGAGCTTCTGCACAGCAAAAGAAACTACCATCGGAGTGAACAGGCAACCTACAGAATGGGAGAAAATTTTTGCAATCTACTCATCTGACAAAGGACTAATATCCAGAATTTACAATGAACACTAACAAATTTACAAGAAAAAAACAAACAACCTCATCAAAAAGTGAGCGAAGGACATGAACAGACACTTCTCAAAAGAAGACATTTATGCAGCCAAAAGACACATGAAAAAATGCTCATCATCACGGCCATCAGAGAAATGCAAATCAAAACCACAATGAGATACCATCTCACACCAGTTAGAATGGCAATCATTAAAAAGTCAGGAAACAACAGGTGCTGGAGAGGATGTGGAGAAATAGGAACACTTTTACACTGTTGGTGGGACTGTAAACTTGTTCAACCATTGTGGAAGTCCATGTAGCAATTCCTCAGGGATCTAGAACTAGAAATACCATTTGACCCAGCCATCCCATTACTGGGTATATACCCAAAGGATTATAAATCATGCTGCTATAAAGACACATGCACACGTATGTTTATTGCAGCACTATTCACAATAGCAAAGACTAGGAACCAACCCAAATGTCCATCAATGATAGACTGGATTAAGAAAATGTGGCACATATACACCATGGAATACTATGCAGCCACAAAAATGATGAGTTCATGTCCTTTGTAGGGACATGGATGCAGCTGGAAACCATCATTCTCAGCAAACTATCGCAAGAACAAAAAACCAAACACTGCATATTCTCACTCATAGGTAGGAATTGAACAAGGAGAACACATGGACACAGGAAGGGGAACATCACACACCGGGGCCTGTTGTGGGGTGGGGGGAGTGGGGAGGGATAGCATTAGGAGATATACCTAATGTTAAATGATGAGTTAATGGGTGCAGCACACCAACATGGCACATGTATACATATGTAACAAACCTGCACGTTGTGCATATGTACCCTAAAACTAAAAGTACAACAATAAAAAAAAAATTTGAAAATGATTGCTAAAGTTTGACTTGGTATTCTAGATTGTTCAAAGCTTATTTTAGTAAGGTAATTTGTTTTTAATGTTGGCTTAGTAATTATTTGCACTGTTTTTTATATTTAATAAAATAATGTTAATCTGGAAAATGATGATGAGGAATTAAATGACTCATCTAAGATATTTTTTATAAAATTGAAACATTGCTAATCATTATGTGCATAGTTTATGTTCGTAAATTAGTACTTCAACTTTAGTGAACAGTAATTTAACAGAACATTTAAAAAGTATGGCTCTTAATCTAAAACATTAGATGCGTTGATAAAAAATAGCAATGTGAGGGCAAGTAACTAAATCTAAGAAAATAGTTGTTCTTCATTGTCTTTACTAATTTGTTGGACAAAATTTTGGCACTTCTTTGTATGGCATAATGGTAGAACAGGTGGATCAGAAGTCCTAAGCTCTGTCATTACCTTGTCAGGTAGTCTTAGGCTTTTCTTTCTTCTTTCATCTTTGACATATCGAAGGAACATGTGCCCTAACTATTCCACAGTGTTGTTATGAGCACAAGTGGATAATGGATATGAAAACACTTTGACAACTTTAAAGTAGTATATTTCTACAATGGCTTCCAAAATCTGGCACACTAATGCATTTGATATAAGTTACCATTCCCCAAAGAAGAATATTTATATAGCAAGAAAAATACAAGTAAATTAATGCAGAAGATATAAAGATTTCATAATACATTATTTTGTAATCATAAAAATGTATAATTTGATATTATCAAGATAAAAATGAAAAATTTCAACTGAATTACTTTTATGAGAGAAAACACCTATTTATAAAAGGCAAAGAAATATACATTTCAAAAATTCATGTTCACACAATTTTGGTATATGCATACTCTAAATTGCATTTCACAAATTTCAGTAAAAATGTGCATTTTAAAATAATAAAACACATTTTATTTGATTTTAGGAAAACCTTTACAATTCTGTTAAGATCATCTTAACTAAATGTAATATACTGGCATTAGCCCAAAATTAACTGAGCTTGTTTTGTATAAACTGAAAACTCTAGCTAGACTAGGATTTTTAAAAGAAAAAAGTATAGGGAGTGATTGCAATTTTCAATGAAAGAGAATAAAAAGGGGTGATCTATTTTTAGTTACAATAGGTGGGAACAAATTAACTCCAATGAAAGGTTATAAAAATTAAAAATGGCTATCACACGTTTATTTGGGAATATTTAATTGAAGCACACAGTGCTGGCACAATTTCAAGCTGTTCATCACTGATTTCTAAATGCATATTAGCTAATGGATGTATAAAATTGCGTCTTGTCTTAGATAAATGTCTAATAAAAGTCATTTTGGGGGAAAATCTTCCCATCATTAAAGAAAAAAAATAACATTATGTGAAGCTATATGTAACTTTAGAGAGAAATTAAGGTATTTTTCCCCACAATAGAGTACTATGCTGGCAATTTTATATCTGGATTTGTCAGACCAGCTGAGAAGTGTAGGTTTTTAGACACACAGACCTATGGAAAAGAACAAAGAACCCAGAAATAATTCTGCACACCTACGAAGATCTGATCTTTGACAAACCTGACAAAAAAAAAAAAAGCAATGGGGAAAGGACTCTCTATTCAATGAATGGTACTGGGATAACTGGCTAGCCATATGTAGAAGATTTAAACTGGACTTCTTCCTTAAACCATGTTCAAAAATTAAATCAACATAGAATAAAGACTTAAATGTAAAACACAAAATTATTAAAACCCTGAAAGACAACCTAGGCAATACCATTGAGGACACAGGCATGGGCAAAAATTTCATGCTAAAAAAGCCAAAAGCAATTGCAACGAAATCAAAAATTGACAAGTGGGATCTAATTAAAGATCTTCTGCACAGCAAAACATATGATCAACAGAGTAAACAGATGACCTACAATAAGGGAGAATAGGAGAAAATTTTTGCAAACTATGCTTCTAACAAAGGTCTGATATCCAGCATCCATAAGGAATTTAAGCAAATATAAAAGAAACCACCAACCTCATAAAAAAGTGGGCAAAGTATGTGAACAGACACTTTTCAAAAGAAGACATATGTGGCCAAAAATCATGTGAAAAAAAACTCAACATCACTTATCATTAGAGGAATGCAACTCAAAACCACGATGATATGCCATCTAATACCAGTCAGAATGACTATGATTAAAATGCCAAAAAATAACAGATGCTGGCGAGGTTGTAGAGATAAAAGAATGATTATACACTGTTGGTGGGGGTGTAGGTTCAGCCATTGTAGAAAATAGTGTGGAAATTCCTCAAAGACCCAGAGACAGAAAAACCATTTGACCCAGCAATCCCACTACTGAGTATATACTCAAATAACAGAAATTATTATATTATAAAGACAAGTGCACATGTATGTTCATTGCAGCACTCTTCACAAAGACATGGAATCAACCTAAATGCCCATCAATGATAGCCTGCATAACGAAAATGTGGTATATATACACCATGAATACTATGCAGCCATAGAAAGGAATGAGATTATGTCCTTAGCAGGGACATGGATGGAGCTGGAAGCTTTTATACTCAGCAAACTAACGCGGGAACAGGAAACCAAACACCGCATGTTCTCACTTATACGTGGGAGCTGAACAAGGTGAACACATAGACAGGGAGGAGAACAACACACACTGGGGCCTGTCAGGGTGTGGGGTGGGGGGAGGGAGAGCATTATGAAAAATAACCAATGGGCACTAGACTTAATACCTGGGTGATGAAATATTCTGTACAAAAAAAAAAAAAAACCCATGACACAAGTTTACCTATGTAACAAACCTGCATCCCCTGAACTTAAAATAAAAGTTAGAGTTATAGGTATTTAAAATAATGCTTTTGCCTCACAAAGGGTACTGCAGTTGATTTTCAGAGATCAATTTTGTTTATTCAGATTTATATATAAGCTTACTAAAGCGTGAGGCGATTAAATACATTTTCTCATACAGTGATTTTCTATATTCGCAGTAGAAATCATAAGCATGAGGCAAATTTCAGAATATTCTGGGACTTAGATTAATTCAAATGAGACGCTCAAAGGAACTTCTATTCAAAGTTATACTGCATGTACAAATCTTAACTGAGATTTTTAAAGACAAGTTTAGAAAATATGAGCCCTACAGCATCTAAATTTAACACTTTGTTTATGTCAGCTTAAAATGAAGATACCTAAAATCACCTCTTCAGTAGCAAAGACAAGCATTTTTTTTAAAGAGAAAATGCAGTACATTTGTTTCAGATCCTGTTAGGCTCCAGGAACTCAGGTTTTAGTAACGTAGATAATCCAGTTTCATCAAACTTACCAAAGGTTTGTTAGACTTGTTGTAATAGAAATGTCTGTATATATCTATATATAGATAAATATATACACCCCACTTTAAGGAAACGTAGAGTACACAACTCCAGTTTTAAAACAGGTAAATTAGGAAAAGTTGCTTATTTGTAAAAAGATCTATAGTGTTGCAAAAGATTTGCAACATCTTTAAAGTAATCCCACTTACTCAACTTATTGTTTTTAAATGTATTCGATGAAATTCACTTACACGTAATGTTTAGGAAGACATTAATGGGATAAAGCAGGTACCCAGGTATTCACTTAGAATGTAATGCTACGAAGGCAATAATATATAGATGTTCCATCTCCTTCCATAAACATAGGTAAATTTATTTTTTAAAGTGTGTAAATTAATTGCATATCATTTAAATGATGTTTTGACTAATGAAACACTACAGCAGTCTTAACAGATACATTAAAAGTCAAATAACTTAGGTTCCTGGCAATGTTTTACTTGTTAACCCAAGTGGGTTACATGGGTGTTCACTTAGGTGGTAAGTAATTCACTGAACTGTACAATAATGTTTTGTGTACATTTCTATAAGTCTGACACACTTCATTCCGAAAATTAAGTCAACTAGTAAGATTGGAATGGTGTGTAAGTATAAATTTATATTTTTGGAGAATCTTTCAAGGCCTGTTCCTCAATTTTAGCAGGCAGAAAATAGTCATCCAAAAATTACAAGCGAAAAAGAATCCTCTTTTTATAGAATGGGTCAGGAATATTCATTTGGCGAAATGATTTTCCATATAAACAAGAGTTATAGTTTTCTGCCAAGAAAATGTACTCTAAAAGTTGGAAAGAAACTCAATGATTCTTATATTTCCCTATGGGCTGATTTTGGGTCCACAGAAGAAGGAGGAAGGAGGAGGCTGGAATGGGGAGGGAGAGGAAGAGGTTGAGAAGTAAACTACATTTTATGAGGATGTAAAAATCAAAGGCGATTTCCCCAGAACTTTAACTTAAGGTGAGGACAGAAAGATAGTTGGTGAGATTATTAAATAAGAAACTCATAATTTAGTGGCATTTTATGGATTAAAATATGTTTGAATTAACTAATTTTACATAAACACTGAGTATTGCTGTGACTTCTCATTTGAAATTCACAAAAACAACATTTTCACTAACTTGATAAATTGTTTTTTAAAACCTGTGAATTTGATGAATTTTATTCTGCTGACATTTTAAAGGTATATTCTGTCTCTCTAAGAGCAAATGGGAAAGTCATTCAAAAGACCTACGTTCAAACGCTAGTTGCTGTTACTGACAAACTGTGAGATCTTGTCTCCAGGACTGTATAACTGAGATAGTAGCACCTAAGTTTGATGCAAAAGTACCTGATACACATGTTTTTTGATCAAATGTTATCTGATTACTTCTTTTTAAAAAGAGAGTGAGAAGATTTCTTGTGCTTGCTGAAGTGAAGTAAGCCTGTTACCATTTAATTCTGATATAATTCTGATTACAACTAAAATTGATTATGGAAAAATTATGGAAAAGAATATGGAGACCTCGAAATGTAAATAATAGCAGACAGTTTGGGAAAGGAAGCCAAAATCTAAAGAAAGACTAGTAAATTATCTTTTTTTCTCCTGTAGCAGTACACTTGACCAGCAGACAGAACATATTGGGGAATTGTGCAGTGGGCAGAGACAACCAAAACCTCAAGAGGAATTTATCCTTGTGACCACAATACAAGCAAAAGGGTCCCCTTAAGCCCCAGAGTAGAAGGGAAATATGGGGTGGGAGGATGGAATCCTATTTTCTTCTTTTTCTTTCCTACCCTTCCTGGATCCAGCACTAGCGCTAAATTTCACTGCTGCAATTCAGAGGTACCTAAGCCCCAAGAGAAACCTCATGCCTTTGGATAAGGGCTCAGGAAAAGGAGCCTCTGTTCTGCAAAGAGTTTTGGGGGACTCTCCATGTTTTTTTCTCTTTATTCTCATTCTGCCTATTTAAACTAAACTGTGAACATGTGCAGATAACTAAAACACTGAGAGAATTCCATATTTCTGGCCAGAGAAACAATTAACAAGCCCCTGAGATCTGCAGTGCATAAGGAAAATCCCAAAGATGAGAGAGTTGGAGAAGTATACCCCTAAATCTGTGTTTGAACTGACTGAAATCCCAGGCTCACCCCAAGGCTGCAGATGTGTGGAACACACCCAAAGAAGCATAGCAAAGGTTTTGACATTGTTTGTATAACTATAAACTACTGCCCCCGTCCCAAATTAACTCTGAAAGTGGCGCATGAGAGAGGTACAACCAAAGGGCATAGCAAAGGTCATTTGTAATATCATCTGCAGAAAGAAAGAACTTGTGGTATAAACCTAACTTTGGCAATTTCATACTAAAAGAACAGACAATTTTCCCTAGAGGATTTTTAACTGGACTCAGAGTCCCACAACATAAATAAAAAATGCTCATCACAGAAAGAAAAATACTAGATAAAAATAAAACAAAGCAAGAAAATATGACCACTTCTCAAGGAAAAAAGAAAGAACAACAAACAGATGGTGACCCCAACATGTTACAATTATCAGACAAAAACATTAAATAAGCTGATATAATCACCCTCTGATGAAGTAAACAGCTTTGAAATTAATGCTAAGATAGATATTCTTAGCATAAAATACAAATTACCAAAAAATTGGAAATTTTATAATGAAAAGATTCCATATCTGAAATATAAACATTAGTTGGATGGGGTAATTATCAGAATGGAGATGACAGATAAAATGGTAAGTAGAAAACAGACCAATAGAAATGCTAACTACATGTGAGACAGTCCCAATAATTTCCAGAAATTCTTAAAGGACTCTTTAAAGAAGTCTGAGATACTGTAAGCAGGTGGAGACAAAAGCCAGTGGATTTGAATGATTACATTATGTGTGACCCCATATATTCTCAGAAACTGGTGAGGCCTATGAAAATTCAAACTACATTTGAAAGTCTGACTATGTGTGATTTTTGCATGTATGACATTTCAGAGTAGGCTTCTAGACCCAGTCAAATCCTGATGCAAGTCAAAATTACATATGTAAGTTGACAATCGTTATCTTTCATGTAGAAACATAAACATGATACTATCTTGTTATTTTTCCTTTCAAGCATTAATTAAATTTGTCTATATTAATTGGGTACAAACATATGCTTATTTGGAGTGTCATAATTTATGCATGTACTCTCCTGATCCTGGTGATTTCTTCAGATATCTCAAAGATTTTCAATGAGAAATCTCATCCATTGCTATGGAATGGATTTCTATGACTTCAATAATGACATGAGAACATAGCTAGGTTTTCTTTCAAGATCTAGGCCTTGGCTTTAATGATACTATCAATATAAAAGCTGTGGGCTGGAGCCAGTGCTCCAATTCCAAGGTAGCTCAATTATATTTTCCAAGGCCAGGTCCCACATGCACTCTCTGGGGATGATTTATAGCTGTAGTTGTCAACTTCTTTTCACTGTGTTTTACAAGATGGATAAAGATTGCATACAAAACACATTCTTTTAGACAGGTTTCAATTTTAGTCATGGGATATGGAATACATTAAATAGTCTGTTGGTCATGTGATGTTCCTAGTGAATTCTATGTGTTTCTCTTCTACTAAAGAAGAAATAAAGGAATATATGCCAATAAGGATAATATACGAATGAATAAGCTACATAAGATAAAATATTGGTAAACTTTGTATTTTAACTTTGCACAGTAGCAAATTACTGGCAACACATGACTATGTCATGATGTCATGATATGCAGGTTGAGAACTGCTAATCTGAACCATGTTTCCTGTGGCCTCTAGCTTGCATAGAGGGTGGCAATGCAAAAACCTGGCCCTTATTTTTCCACCGTTATTGAAAGATAATCAACCAATAAAAGTAGATATTTAAAATATATAACGTGATGTTTTGATATATGTATACATTGTGAAATTACTACTACAATCAAGCTAATTAACATATTCATCATCACATAGTTATCTTTGCATATACGTGTGTTCATGGTGCAAAAAATTGAGATCTACTCTCAGCAAATTTCATGTATATAATACATTATTATTAACTATGGTCAGCATGCTGCACTTTTGGTCTCCAGAATTTACTAATTTTATAACTGAACGTTTTTACTCTTTAACCATTATCTCCCTTTGTCTCCCACCCCCATTCCTTTGTAACTATCATTCTAGTCTCTGCTTCTGTGAGTTTGACATTTTAGATTCCTAATACAAGTTACATTGTGTGGTATTTGTTTTTCTGTGTCTGGCTTATTTTACTTAGTATAATGTTCTCCAGGTTTACTCATGTTGTTGCAAATGGTAGG
Organism: Homo sapiens; assembly: GCF_000001405.40. Classification (NCBI taxonomy): domain Eukaryota; kingdom Metazoa; phylum Chordata; class Mammalia; order Primates; family Hominidae; genus Homo; species Homo sapiens. Next base: position 126,397,003 of record NC_000023.11, read on the forward strand.
ATTTCCTTCTTTGTAAAGGCTGAATGATATTTGGTTTTGTGTTGCCTTTTATTTATTTTTCTTGGCTAATTGATCGGTCTGAAACTTTCAGTGTTTGTTGAGTAGAAGGGATGAGAGTGGGCATCCTTGTTTGTTACTGATGTTAGAGAAAAAGCTTCCAGATTTTCACCTTTGTGTATGATTTTATCTGTAATCTTGTCATTTATGGCCTTTATTATGTTGTGATGTATTCCTTCTATACCTAATTTATTGAGAGTTTTATCATGAAAGGGTGTTGAATTTTGTTAAATGCTTTTTTTTGCATCTATTTAGATGGCCATGTGATTTTTGTCCTTTACTTTATTAAGGTAGTATATCATATTGATTTATTTGTGCATATTGAATAATTCTTGTATCCCAGAAATAAATCCCACTTGATGATGGTGTATGCTGTTTTGAGTGTACTGTTAAATTTGGCTTGCTGGCATTTTTGTTGAAAATTTGCATCTACTTTCATCAAGGATATTGGCCAGTAATTTTGTTTCCTTGTAATGTCTTTGTCTGGCTTTGGTAATGGGGTTATACTGGCTTTATACAAATGAGTTTGGAAGTGATATCGCCTCGTTAGTTTTTTGAAAGAGTTTTAGAAGAATTGTCACTAATTCTTTAAGTATTTGGTAGAATCCACCAGTTAAGACATCTGGTACCGAACTTTTCATTGTTGATATACTTTAGATTACAGATTCAATCTCATTACTTACTGGTCTATTCAGATTTTCTATTTTTTATGATTCACTCTTAGTAGGTTTTATGTTTCCTGGAATTTATTTCTTCTACATTATCCAATTGTTGAGATGTCATTGTTCATATTAGTCTCTTAGGACCTTTTGTACTCAGGAGGTATCACTTCTAATGTCTCTTCTTTTTTCTATTTCATTTATTTGAGTCTTCTCTATTTTTCTTGGTTAGTTTATATAAAAATTCATCCATTTGGCTTATATTAACAAACAACTCACAATTTTGTTGATCTTTTCTATGACGGTCCTAGTCTTCATTTCATTTATTACTGACCTGATCTTTGTTATTTCCTTCCTTCTGCTATATTTGGGCTTCTCTTAATCCAAAATAAAAGCTAAAATTATATAAAAAAACACAGAGGATAAGAAAAAAATAGGAATTTCTAAGGAGCTCTGAGTTTGTTTTTTCAGAAAGTCTTTTCTATATAATTAATTTAGTAATTGTTGATTGGGCACAGTGGCTCACACCTGTAATCCCAGGACTTTGGGAGGCCGAGATAGGTGGATCATTTAAAGTCAGGAGTTTGAGATCAGCCTGGCCAAGATGGTGAACCACCGTCTCTACTAAAAATACAAAAATTCGCCGGGCCTGGTGGCAGGCGCCTGCAATCTCATCTGTTAGTGAGGCTGAGGCAGGAGAATCCCTCGAACCCAGGAAAGCGAAGGCTGCAGTAAACTGAGATCATGCCACTGCACTCCAGCCTGGGTGACAGAGTGAGACGCTGTCTCAGAAAAAAAAAAAAAAAAAAGTGATTGTCTTCTATTTGAGAGTAGGGGAGATGCATTTTACTAGCTCTGTAACCTTTGGCAAGTAACTTAATCCTTTTGTCCTCAGTTCTATCATCTGTAAACTAGGGGTCATAATGGTAATTATTTCGTAGGGCTGTTGTGATAATTGAGTGTGTTAATATGTGTAGTTAGCTTTGAACATTGGTTGGGACAAAAGACACCCTATGCATTCACTGTTTTTTATGTTTCTTTGACTATCCTCACAGAAATAAAAGCTCATGAGAACAAGAAAAAAAATTGGGCTTAGTTGGTTCTTGTTTAGTTCCTTGAGGTGTAAACTTAGGATATTTATTGGAGATATTTCTCCTTTTATCATGTAGGTATTTATCACTATAAACTTCTTAGAACTGTTTTGCTGCATTCCATAAGTTCTGGTATGTTGTGCTTCCATTTTCATTTGTCTCAAAACATTTTTTATATTCCTTTTTATTTACTTTTTCAGTCACTAGCTATTCAGGAGGATGTTGTTTAATTTCCACATACTTGTGAATTTTCCAGTTTTTCTCCTGTTATTGATTTCTAGTTTATAGCATTGGGGTCAGAAAAGATGCTTGTTAAGATTTCCAAGACTTAAATTTGTTAAGACTTGATTTATACACCATTATTGCAGTATTAATGTATTCTGAATTTGACTATATATTTACCTTTTCCAATGAGGTTTACACTTTCATCTGTTTTCATGTTACTAATTGCAGCTGTGTGCATTCATGTTCCCACGCAAATGCCTACAGCTGGCCTTTGCAACTATGTTTGGCAGTTTTTCTCATTCAGCACTTCTAATATATCATCCCACTCTCTCCTGGCCTGCAAGGTTTCTGCTGAGACATCTGCCACTAGCTTAATTGAAACTCACTTGTGTATAATACGCTTCTTTTTGTTGTTGCTTTCAGGATACTCTCTGTGATTTTTTGACTGTTTCATTATACTAGGTCTTGGTGAAATATTCTTTTAATTGAAACTACATGAAGAATTCAGAGCTTCGTGTAACTGAATGTCCATATTTCTGCATAGATTTGGGAAATATTTAATGACTAATTCTCTAAACAAGCTTTTGGCCCCCTGTTCTTTCTCTTCTCCTTCAGAATTTCATAATGCAAACAATATTTTCTCTATCAATAGCATCCCATTCATCCCTTAAGCCTCCTTCATTCCTTTTCATTCTTTGTAAACTTTTTTTTTCTCTGACAATAATTTCAAATGGCTTATTTTTGAGTTTGTTGATTCTCTCTTCTATTTCAATGAACCTGTTGTTGATGCTTTCTACTGCGTTTATTAGTTCAATCATTGTATTCTCAGCCCTAAAATTTCTGTTTGGTTCTTTTATATGCTTACTCTTTATTGAGCCTCTCATTTTGTTTTTGTAATGCTTTCCTGGTTAGTTAAGCTGTTTATCTGTGTTTCCTTGTAGTTTTCTGTCCTTTTTAGAACAATTTCTTTGAATTTTTTTCCTCAGGAAATTTTTAGATTTCCATTTCTTTGGGATTGGTTATTGGAAGTAAATTGGTTCCTCTGGTGAAATCACAATTCCCTTGATTCTTCTTGATTCTTGCAGCCTTGCATAGGTGTCTGCACATCTGAAACATCAGTCAACACTTACAGGCTTAAATGGCTGCCTTTGGTAAGGAAAGACCTTCCCTTTGATGGAAGATAACACTGTAGTGCACTATGGCACTAGGCACTAACTGTAGGGCATGTAGCATCTCTGGGTCCAAGGAGGTGTGGTTTTTCATTGACTCAGGTTGCTGGGGTCTGTGACATTGGAAACTGCATGGGCCTTGGTGGTAAGAGCTATGGGGCCTCCACAGTGGGTGTCAGAGCTGTTGAGGTCTCTAGTGGTTCCTCTGGTTCCAGTGGCAAAAATCTGGGGCCACCAGCAGTGGGGCTGGAGACATCAATCACCAGTGTGTACATGCTATGTCCAGCTGCAGGTACATGCATTGCTACAGGGATCAGGGCTGGCTGCCTACATGCACATAGCTGCAGAAGCCAGCTCTGGGTATATGCATGGGAGTGCTAGCAACATGAGTGAACACGTCGGCAAGGACCAGAACTGGTAGTGTACATGCACACAACTGTAGAAACAAGCTTCTCACACAAGTGTGGCAATTGGAGCCAGGAATGGGTATTGGGGATGGCTGCATGTGCTTGTGTTGCTATGGGGGCTAAGGCTGTGACATGCACATATGTAACTTAGGCATTGTGAATAAGAAATGGGAGTTGAGGCTTGCTGCATGTATGTGAACTGCTGCAGGATCTGGGCCTAGCAATGTACATACACATAGCTTTAGGGGCCAGTTACAGGTGTTTTCATGGTGGTGAGGGCTGGCAGCAGGGTTGCGGTGGCTACCTGCATGACCACGGCTGAAGGATCAGCTAAGATTTGCATGCATCATTGGGAGCCAGTGCCAATTGCAGAGGACCTAGCTGTTTGCAGGCACTCATGCATTGGCTGTGCTGGGTCCTAGCACCAGGGCTTCTGCAGTGGCTGTGGCTGGGGTGGTTCTTGGTAAGGGAGAAGAAAAAGGGAGGTGGGTCAGACAACTGGAATCCGTGAAGGTAAAACCAGTAGCCCTTGGCAGCAAAACGTGCAGCGTTCGTGTGGTGGCTGTGCTAGCTGTTGGTTTCCTTAGCAGGAAAATCTACTTAGATCCTCTGCAGAACAGGCCACTAGGATTTGCAATGATGAACGCTGTGGGGTCTTCAATGGTGAAACCTGCAGGAAGTACAAGGTGGTCATGAGGCTCTTAAGGTTCTCAGCAGCAGATTGCTGGTGCCCCCTACAGAGCAAGATATTTGGGATCATTTTGGCACCTACCACATGGCTGATTCTGATATTCTCTACTGTTTGTTACAGTAGTTTCTAGTAATAGAGACATTCTGGTCTCCTCAGTGATCTGAGTAGAGGAAACCATAGCAGGACCTTGGGGGCAGTGTCCGCAGTCTAGAGAAGCTACTCATTTACCCTGCTCTCCTTCCCCCTATGAAGGAATATAACAAGCTGGGGATTTTTCTCTCAACACTGAGCACTGCTGGGCCAGAAGATGGGATGATGCAGGCAAAATTAAACTGTTCTTCCTACACTTTTTGTGTGACCATCTTTTTTTTTTTTTTTCCTTTTTGCTCCGGTGTGCTGCTGAAGTTGTTAAAATGAACTCCTGACTTCTCCAGAGCTGTTTACATTCACAGACAGCTGTCCAGTTGTTATTCTTTATGGAGTGGTAAAAACTGGGATCTCCTACTCCATACTCTTGCTGATGTCACTACCCTCAATATATTCATAAGAAATTGTATCCAATAAATTTGCATAACTCATGAGCTAAATTATAGAATTTAAACATGGTTAGCTTCTAAAAAGATATTAACAGCAATATATCAGGAAATAATAATTTTTATTCATCTTATAGTAGTAAAACTGCAATTAAAACTGACTTAATTTTTTATCAATATATATAAAAAAGTCCCTTTTGTGTTATCAATTGGCTATGGTTTTAGAAGTTTCCCCTTGATCAATTTGTAGACTAAACTTTCTTCCTTAATTCCACAATGCAATTAGATTTTTATTTGCATTTCTCATATATACAAACACACTCATAAAAGTCTCAAAAATACACATGTATAGCTCAATTAATGATCACAAAGTGAATCCATCATGTAACTACCATCCAGAGTAAGGAATAAAAACATTCTCAGCATCTCATCCTCTTCTCCCAAGTGTCTCCCAATAATTATACCTCCTTCCTATCAGATAAAATATTATTTCACTTCTTTGAATGTGCTCTGTATTTCAATAAAGGAAATATTATTTCTAAAAATGTTTGTATTCAACTTTATAACCTATCAGTAAAAGTTTTAGAGAACCGTAAGATGCCCATTTTGCGATGATTTCTTAGAGAAGAAACGTGAATTAAGGAATTCTTTCTATACCAACAAACTTCACTTATTCAGGATACCAAGTTTTCAGACCTCTCACCAGCAAAGCTTTGCCTTCCCCTCTTGAGGACAAAGTGTCAACTAAATTTTCATACTCATTTGAAGTAATTTTCTGGTTTGGGAGACACTCAAGAAAAAAAAAGTAAATAATTACTCTTATTATTCAATTATTTCACAATATGCTTTATTTTTAACATATCTTGGAAAAGAATGAGACAGCATTAAATTGATAAAGTAAAGATAGTTTGGAGGAATTATTAATGAATTCATCACCTTATAACGCCTAGAGCCCATTGTCCACTGCCTTTAGAAAAACACACAAGAAATGTATACAAAATAGCTGAAGGGATTAAAAGTAAAAAGTCAGATAAATCAGTCACAAACCACAATTGATATAGCAGCTTAACTGACAAGCCTGGCAGAAAAAAATTCCATACAGAATGCTGTGCCAATGGCAATTGTTTTGTTCTCAATGTTTTTGTCTTGTTCTCAGTACAGCTCTGACTGTTGGTATTTGAGGAAAATGCCAAACCCTTCCTTTCCTCCTTTTCTGACATGTATACTGGATACCCACCATATATTCACTGAATTATGTGGCCCCTCTCAGAAATATTGAAGCCCCCAGAGTGTCATTAACCATGATCTATGGAGGCTCTTGTCAGAATTAGACAAAAAGTAAAATTATAGCTGTGTGTTGGTGCCAGTCTAGTTAAAGGTCTGTCATCTCTGCCATTATAAACCTCTATTTCCTGTGCTTTACAACTCAGCTGAGAGAATTTGCCTTCCAGTCATTAGAGTAGCTGAGAGAGTGTCAATGTTTCAAATATATATTTTTTTAATCTGGAAGACAATAAATAAAATCTATTCAGCTATTATTCTGTACTAAAATAATATGTGTGTGTGTGTGTGTGTGTGTGAGAGAGAGAGAGAGAGAGAGACAGAGAGTGTATGTGCATGGGGAAGTGTGATTTTATCATATAGGACTTACTTTGAAGCAGAAGAACAAAATCAGTGTTTTTTTTCAATAGGAATGTTTAGGAAGCAAAGGAGAAAATGTAGAAAATATACAATCCAATAATAATGGAATCATAGCTTTATAATTATCAGCACTTTCCTTGCCTTTTACCCAACTCTGCTCATCTCTGTTCCCAGATAATTTAATTATTATTACTATATTTGATAAACTTCATATTGCTATTTAGGCAAGCAAAAGAGAGAAATGGATTCTAAACTGACTATATTCTGAGTGGCAGTGAATTTTTTACCAGGTATATAAAATAGTTTGTTACCTCTTTGCTTATGTTAAGAACATATACCCCTTTTGAATAGAGTCTATGCATTGAAAACCTGTTGTCTACAATCATCATCTACAATAGATCCCACACAATTTTTACAATGTTGTTACATACTTGTTAAATAGGTTTTTCACTTCAGAGTTTTTCAGAAATCAGAAATAAAGGCAGTGAATTATGAGGGCCTACTTTGTGTAAGCTGCTTACTACGTGTTTTATATTTTAAACATAATAGCACTTTGAGCTTGGTAATTTTGTTCTCATTTTATATATTAAGAGCCACAGCAAAGAGAAATTAAGGACTACACAGGGCTGCACAGCAGGCAAGCATGTGAGTAGAGATTAAAATCAAATTTGCTGTGATTCCCATATCTGTAAAATTTTCCATCACAATTACTTGGAATCAAAGTTTAATTTCCTTGAGAGGGAAGGAAACCAGTGTTTGGTGAATACCTACTCTGTGCCAAGCAATTTTAAAGTGCTATTGTAAATTTAATTTTTATGACAAGTTGAAAATTAAATAGTATTATTTACTATTAAGAGATAAACTAAGGCTTAGGATGATTAATCATTAACAATTTGTCAGAGGTACCTAGCTGTAGAGTGAGGCTTGTGTATGTCTAACTGCAAATCCGATCCTTTCTTTTTAACTATAACATTGGAATTTGACTTCTAAAATGTAGTGCTCTAATCAGTAAAGAGTAATTATAGGATTACAGTCACGTATTCCCCTTTCCATTTATTCCATGAATATTTACAAACACATATTGTGTATATAAAACACTGTGCTAGGCAATAAGTTATTCCTGGAATGCTTGTTGGTTGCTTATATACAGTTTTATCTTTCTGCTCTCTTACGTTCACCTGTTTTCACTTTTAGCTTTCTTTCAACTATGCAAAAACCAGTATTTCGCAAAGAACAATTCGTGGCCCAGTTCTTAAAAACAAAGTCCGTGAAACGAAGTGTTCTAAAATAAAATAAGTCTGAGAAATGCTGTATGGTATACCAGATTATTAAAAATTCACAATGAATATTAGCATACTAAAGCTTTGAACAACCTTGCAGGAATAAAACCTGTTTAAAACAGAAGATAAACTTGTAGAACTATATTTTTTTCATGTAACACCTATTAGCATTCCATAAAATTAGTGATCCAGGCAGCCTACTTTAAGAAATGCTGCTCATTGAATAGTACTGCCTATCCTAGAACTGCACTATTTGCCAAAACATTTTCGGTAATATGGAACTCATTTTTAATAATGTAATTAATTTGGTATTTGTAATGTCATCACTTTATAATGTCAACCAAATTAATGAAAAATAAAACATTTATGGAGTTTGATTAATTTTATATGTCTTGGATTTTGTGTAAATATTACTTTTCTTGTAGGAAATATATTATTCTGAAAAGGGCACATTTTCATAATTATGTATTATTAGCTTGTACTACATGGAGGTCATCAAAATGAGAAGTAATGTTCACACTGACACAATTCAACTTTTTCCAGCAGAAGACCAAAAATGAATCTTTAAATGAAGACAGTGAAAAGAATAACGATACATAGCTTAATTCAGAAAACTGCACATGTGAGATGTGCAAAGTTTTAGTCTTTTAAATTTTGGGGTAATAAAAGTTACAAACAAGATAATTTATAATTTTAGTTTTCCTGAGTAAATTGATAGACCATTCCTTTAAACAAGTCTAATAAAGGTATATATGTTCAAGGAAGTTTCACATTTAAAAGGTTCCACTTTGTAAAGTATATACTTTTTAAACACATGATTATTAGAATATTCAGTGTTTCAGGTAAGTTAAATATGCAGCTCATTCAATTGCCTGAGAAGGGTCTTTTTAAGAACACATGGTTTGCATAGAGAATGCCTTGTAAGTTATTCTGCCACTGAATTGTACGTGTGAAAATTATTTATATCTCTATTTTTCTGTAAAGCAATAGAATGAGGTTGGGGAAGAGAACGGAATTAACATGTCATTTGGGTATAGTCAAGAGCCAAGAGAGGAGGTACAGCTTACTGGTTATAATTGGGTGGAAACAACTGGCCACTCAGAACCAAGAGAGTAAATACTAAAAATATCAATTAACAGGCAGAAACATTGCCAAGAGGAGCTATTAAAAACTATACAAAAACACCTGAGGGAGTTAATGATGATAAATTAGTGGAGACTGCAAGTTGATGTTTAATTGCATCCCTGCTATAGCTTTCACCTTCATCTTCATATTCTACAATTTATCAGGCTTTTCTCAGGAGCACAGCCTATCTAGAGACAAACCAAGATGTGACAGGAGGTCACCAGGCCAGGAACAGTAAGTGTAGTGCACTGGGGTCTCTGGGCTGAAAACCGTAAGTCACTACCATGTTAAGGACATTATATATGATGCATTGTCTCATTAATCATCTCTGCAATCATAATAAGTGAATATTTGATCATCCCATTTTATAGACCAGGTAAACTTATACTACATGGCATTGCACACTGAATCATCCATAAGGAGATAATATGTTTTGTCATGTCACATTTCTGAATTCTAGGCTCTCTTTTGCCACTTTTTGTGGCTGCGTGCGTGTGTGTGTGTGTGTGTGTGTGTGTATAAATATTTTGGAAACACAGATTATTAATCTGTGAAATAGAGATAGATATAGATATATTACAGGGTTATTATGAGTAAAGGAGATGATGCATGTAGCACACTGAATATAGCACCTTCCTTACAGTAAATGCTGAATGTATATTAGATCATATATTCAAAAATAGACAGAATCTCGCTCTGTTGCCAGGCTGGAGTGCAGTGGCACCATCTTGGCTCACTGCAACCTCCGCCTCCCGGGTTCAAGCGATTCTCCTGCCTCAGCCTCCCAAGTAGCTGGGACTACAGGCGCACGCCACCACGCCCAGCTAAATTTTGTATTTTTAGTAGAGATGATTTCACTATGTTGGCCAGGATGGTCTCGATCTCTTGACCTCGTGATCCACCCACCTCGGTCCCCCAAAGGAAAAATTATGTATTTTTATACACTTACCAAAACTTGAATGTTTAGAGTGATGTCAGCAAGATGGCAGAATAGAAAGGCTTGCATGTTCCTTCCCCTCACAAACACACTGATTTAACAACAAAACACATAAATTTCATTTGTGAATAATTCAGAAAATATTTGAGAGGCTTCTGTACCATGAGTGAGCACAAAACCAGAAATGTCAAAGCCAATAAAGATATTTAAAATACCCTCTCACATCCTGGCACAGCACCCTATGATCTAGACAAAACCCCCAACATTCCAGCTTCTCCCTAAGAATGGAAAAGTTGGAACATGAATCCAACACTCAAACATTTTTGAGAGCTTCGCAGGAGACTTGCTTCTCTCTTGACTGTTTCAGAGTGCTAATGGGACCAGAATACTGCAGTTACGTTGGCACCAGTGGGAATAAAGATGACAATTTGGGAAAGCAGTCAACATAGCCCATCTTTCTGCCTCACAAAAGAGTGAACAGAAAAAAATAACCCAGCTCCCATTTTCTCCCTGGAAAGAGAAAAATTGGGCTGTGCTTGCGGTGTTTCCAACTTTTCAAGGAGCTGCCCAAAAGTCTGCCTTCTGTCTTACTTATTCTGGAGTACTAACAGGACCAAGCATACGCTTGCTGCCTAAGATCAGGTGAAAAAAATAAAAAAGACATTGGTTTGAACTAGCAGTCATTATAGACCCTCTATCTGACTCAGCGTAAAGTAGAAAGGTGCAAACACCAAGACCCCAGCTTCCTCCAGAGAGAGAAAGAATTGGGCAGAGTGTTCAATGATCCAACTTTTCCAGAAGCTACCCAAGAAATGAGCTTCAGTTTCACTTTTCTGAGTACTGATGGAACATAGCATACTCTTGACATGCAGGGGCTGCTAAAAACAAAGAAAGCAGATGAGATCATCATGAAAGGTTGAACAGATCCCAAAATCTCTGACTGGGGTGATTGGTGAAGTTCTTCCTCAATATGAGCCCAGGCAATAAAGATTGAGTTCTTTAAGTTGAAAATTAAAAATAATAAAAGTAATATTAAAGCATATTAGAGAAAACAACTCTCTGATAAAGGTAATATATTGAAAATACAGAATAATATATTATTGTAATGGTGACAAAAATTATTAATTCTGGTATAAAAGTTAAAAGACAAAAGTATTAAAATATATAAATACAGAAATAAGTTAATGAATATACAATATACAAAGAAATAAATTATGGCCTCAATAAAAAAGTGTGAAGTTGGGAAAATTAAAGAGTTTTTGGCCGGGTGCGGTGGCTCACGCCTGTAATCCCAGCATTTTGAGAGGCCAAGGCGAGCGGATCACGAGGTCAGGAGATCAAGACCATCTTGGCTAACACAGTGAAACCCCATCTCTACTAAAAATATAAAAAAATAGCTGGGCGTGGTGGCTGGCGCCTGTAGTCCCCGCTACATTGGGAGGGTGAGGCAGGAGAATGGCATGAATCCGGGAGGCGGAGCTTGCAGTGAGCGGAGATCTTGCCACTGCACTCCAGCCTGGGCGACAGAGCGGGAATCCGTCTCAAAAAAAGAAAAAGAATTTTTGTATGCAAGTGAAGTTAAATTGAATTGTTATCTGCTTAAAACGGATTATCATAACTGTAAGGTTTTTTTTTTTTTGTAATCCTCATGGTAACCAGAAGAAAATACCTATAAGAGAAACAGGAAAGAAAAAGAAAAAGAAATCTAAGTATACCAATTCAAAAAAATTAAATAAACGCGAAGGAAAACAACGAGAGAGGAAAATAGGGAAAAAATAACTACAAGAGAAACAGAAAATAATCGAAAAAAGGGTAATAGTAAGTATTTCCCTTTCAATCATCATTTTAAACATAATTGTGTTAAACTTCGCACCTAAGATATCTAGAGCTGAATAACTAAAATGTAAGATCCAACTACATGCAGTCTACAAGATGGTCACTTTGGCTTTAAGAACATACATAGGCTATAATTGATGAAATGAAAAAAGATATAACATACAAGTGGTAACCAAAAGAGGGCAGGAGTAGCTATATTCACTTCAGACAACATACATTTTGAGTCGAAAACTGTTACAAGAGACAAAGAAAGTCATTATATAATAATAAAAGGATAAATTCACCAAGAATATATAACAATTATAAACATATGTGCACCCAGCATTAGAGCAGCTGAATATATAAAGCAAACATTGACAGAACTGAAGAAAAATAGATAGTATTATTATATTAGCAGGATAATTCAATATCCTACTTTAAATAATTTATATAACATCCATAAAACAATCAATGAGGAAATATTAGACTTGTACAACCATGCAGATCAAATGGATCTAACAGGCATATACAGAACATTCAACCCAACAGCAACAGAATATACGTTCTTCTCAAGCACATATGCAATGTTATTCAGGATATATGATATGTTAGGTCTCAAAGAGTATCTTGACAAATTTAAGATTGAAATCATACTAAATATCATTTTTAATCACAATGAAATGAAACTAGAAATCTATAACAGAAGGAAAACTGGAGAATTCACAAATATGTGGAAATTAAACAACACACCTCTGAACAATCAATGACTCAATAATAAATAAAAATAAAAAGTAGAAAATATCTTGAGACCTAGATAAATTAAAAGATAATGCAATAAAAACTATGGGATGCAACAAAAGCTGTGCTAAGAGAAAAGTTTATGATGATAAGTATCTATACTAAAATAAGAAGAGAGAATTTCAGTAAACCTTCTAAATTTACACCTCAAAGAACTAGAAAAACAAGAACAAACTAAGCTCAAAGTTAGTTAGCACAATAAAAGAAATATTATAGATTAGAGAAAAAATAAAAGGAATAGCTGGGTGCGGTGGCTCATGCCTGTAATCCCAGCACTTTTTGGGAGGCCGAGGTGGGCGGATCATGATGTCAGGAGATTGAGGCCGTCCTCGCTAACACAGTGAAACACCATCTCTACTAAAAATACAAAAAATTAGCCAGGCGTGGTGGCACGCACCTGTACTCCCAGCTACTCGGGAGACTGAGGCAGGAGAATCGCTTGAACCCAGGAGGCAGAGGTTGCAATGAGCCGAGATTGTGCCACTGCACTCCAGTCTGGTGACAGAGCAAGACTCCGTCTCAAATAAAATAAAAGAAAAGAAAAAGAAAAAAGAATAGAAAAAAATCAACAATACTAAGAACTGGTTTTGAAAAATCTAAAGAACATTGATAAATTATGGCTAGATTCCCTTAGAAAACAAAAGGGAGGAGACACAAATAAATTAAATCAGAAATAAAAGAGGATAAATTACAACTGGTTTCACAAAAATCAAAAGGATCAAAGGAGACCATTATGAACAATTACATACCAACAAATTGATTAAACTAGAAGTGTTGGACGAGAGGTCCCCAGATGACCCTGGCTTGGCTAACCCAGCTCTTCCCCATCCTTCTTGTAGCTCTGAGGATAACTATAGGAAGTGCTAGAATGCAGTGGCCATAGATAAGAATAAATTGACAGAACACTCGTGGCACTGAACTGGTCTCTACTAAAACAAGATTTTATACAACACTTGTATTCCACATGCTCAGTAGTGTTAGAGGTAAAAAGCCAGATTGGAGTGCTTTTGGGTTTCTGCAGTTGTGGTGCAAAGTGGGGAACAGGCAGAAAAGATTCTCTCTGCCCTGAGCATTATTTCTTTCTTTTTTCAGAGAGGGTACCATTCTGTAACCCAGGTTAGAGTGCAATGGCGCAATCTTGGCTCACTTCAACCTCTGCCTCCTGGGCTCAAGAGATCCTCCTGCCTCAGCCTCCCAAGTAGCTGGGACTACAGGCAAGCACCACCATGCCTGGCTAATTGTTGTATTTTTTGTACAGACTGGGTTTCATCATGTTGCCCAGGCTGGTCTTGAACTCCTAGACTCAAGCAATCCACCCACCTTGGCCTCCCAAAATACTGGGATTACAGGCATGAGCCACCATGCCTGGCCACTGCCCTGAGCACTTTTTCTGAGCCTTGGAGTACTAGCTTGCCATGAAAATTAGGTTTCTGTTGATTTTTGCTTCCTATTTGTGAATAATAAAGTTGCTTTACCTGACTCTAATACTGTAATTGTGGTGTGTAATCCACTCATATCTCTAGTAGAAAGACTAAAAGACAAATCTATAAAAATTAATAATAACAACAGCATGTTAAGACGTAGGCAATATACAAAGTTGTAAATTGGGACAATGACAATAAACACACAAAAATTAAACATTTAAAAAAGGTCAAAATCACAGATGGAGTTAAAGTATAGATTTTTTTTTCTAGTTTTTGCCTTTGTGATCAAAGTTAAGTATTCGTTTATTTAAAATAACTTGTTGTATCAATAAGATATTTTTGTAAACATCATGGTAACCACACAACACATACCTGTAGTAGTAAACTAAAATTGAAAAGCAACAAATCAAAACATACTGCCAGAGAAAATTACTAAGCCACACAAGAAAACATTAAGAAAGAAAGATAAGAGATACAGAATCACTAGAAAACGAGAAACAAAATGGCAATAGTAAGTCTTTTCCTGTAAATAATAACATTAAATGTAAATGGACTAAATTCTCCAATTAACAGACATAGAGTGGCTCAATGAATAAAATTACAAGACCTAAAATTTTTGCTCCCTACAAGAAACTCACTTCATCTATAAAGAGACACATAAACTGAAAGTTAAGGCATGGAAGATAATCCTGTGCAAACGGAAACCAAAAAAGAACAAGAGAAACTATACCTATATTATTTAGATGAAACAGACTTCAAGTCAAAGACAGTAAAAGAGATAAAGAAAGTCACTATATAATGATGAAGGGTCCAATTAAGCAGAAAGATATATACATATATATATATATATATATATATATATATATATATATATGCACCCAACACATAGGCACTCAAATATATAAAGCAAATATTAATACATATTAAAGAAGAGATTGACTCAAATTTAATAATAGCAGAAGACAGACTCATCCCACTCTCAGTAATGGACATATCATCCAGACAGGGAATTGACAAAGAAACATTGGACTTAAACTACACTCTAGAACAAATGAATGTAATTGACATTTATAAAACATTTCATCCAACTGTTGCAAAATACACATTATCCTCATCAACACATGGGATTTTCTCCAGAGTAGACCATATACTTACTAGGGCATAGCAAAGTCTCCACAAATACAAAATATTTAAATCATATTAACTTTCCTTTCTTACCACAATGGAATAACAAGAAGAACATTGGAAAATATAGAAACATATGAAAATTAAACATATGCTCCCAAAGGATCAATGGGTCAACTCAAAATGTTATGATATAATAAAGAATGCCTGTAATATACTATTAATTGGGGATACTGTAATTGAAATAAAAGCAATCAATTCCCTTACACTATGGACTAAAATTCTTTAAATTTATAGACATAACACACAGATTATTTTATCTCTTTTATAGTTCATTTCGTACCTAATTCTACAAGTTAAATATTATAGGCATAAATCTTACCAATGTATTTAAGATTAACTTAGAATAAATGCATAAGGCTTTGCAAAAAATAATTCATGCATGTATTAGCCATGGTTCTCCAGAAACAAAGCCAATAAAAGATGATAGATATAGATAGATGATAGATAGATAGATAGATAGATAGATAGATAGATAGATACATAGATACATAGATACATAGATAGATTTATTATGAGAAATTGGATCACATGATTACGGAGGTTGAGAAGTCCAATAATCTGTTAGTGACATAATTTAGTCTGAGTCTGAAGGACTGAAAGCCTATGAACTTGATGATGTAAATTCTAATCAGAGGGCAGGAGAAAATGAGATGAGACATTCCAACTCAAGCAGTAAGGCATAAATAAAGGAGCAAATTCCTCATTCTTCTGCCTTTTGTTCTACTCAGGCCATTACTGGATTTTATGATGCCCAACAAGATTGAGGAGGGAAATCTACCTTATTGAGTCCACCGATGCAAATGTTAATCTCACCTGGAAACACACAGACACATCCAGAAAAAATGTTTAATCTGAGCTCTCCATGACCCACTCAGTTTCCTTCAAACACAGAGAGTGGCTGTCATTTCTCAGACATTTTTTTCTGGATGCTGAGAATTTAACAACACAACAAATATAGCAAAATCTTTTCCTTGTGAAAACTTCTGCAGTATGGAAGACAGACAAATAAACAGACCATTTGTATTCAAAGTATTATTAATACTGATAGATATGTGCACTAGTAGCATTAGCAACAAATGAGACTAATCCAGCTTTTGTATTAGGAAATTTTAAAATGGCAGAGATGAAGTAAAGTCTGTTATAAATAACAGTTAGATGTCTTCTTTTGAAAAGTGTCTGCTCATGTCCGTCACTCACTGTTTGGTGGGGTTGTTTGTCTTTTTCTTGTGAATTTGTTTAAGTTCCTTGTAGATTCTGGATATTAGCCCTTTGTCAGATGGATAGATTGCAAAAATTTTCTCCCATTCTGTAGGTTGCCTGTTCACTCTGATGATAATTTATTTTGCTATGCAGAAGCTCTTTAGTTTAATTAGATCCCATTTGTCAATTTTGGCTTTTGTTGCAATTGCTTTTGGTGTTTTAGTCATGAAATCTTTGCCCATGCCAACAAACATATGAAAAAAAGCTCGTCATCACTGGTCATTAGAGAAATGCAAATCAAAACCGCAATGAGATACCATCTCATGCCAGTTAGAATGGGGATCATTAAAAAGTCAGGAAACAGCAGATGCTGGAGAGGATGTGGAGAAATAGGAAAGCTTTTACACTGTTGCTGGGAGTATAAATTAGTTCAAGCATTGTGGAAGACAGTGTGGCAATTCCTCAAGGATCTAGAACTAGAAATACCATTTGAACCAGCAATCCCATTAGTAGGTACATACCCAAAGGATTATAAATCATTCTACTATAAAGACACATGCACACATATGTTTATTGCAGCACTATTCACAATAGCAAAGACTGGGAGCCAACCCAAATGCCCATCAATAATAGACTGGATAAAGAAAATGTGGCATATATACACTATGGAATACTATGCGGCCATAAAAAAGAATGAGTTCATGTCCCCTGCAGGGACATGGATGTAGCTGGAAACCATCATTCTCAGCAAACTAACACAGGAACAGAAAACCAAACACTGCATGTTCTCAATCATATGTGGGAGTTGAGCAATGAGAACACATGGGCACAGGGAAGGGAACATCACACCTGTAGGGGGTGGGGGGCAAGGGGAGGGATAGCATTAGGAGAAATACCTAATGTAGATGATGGGTTGATGGGTTCAGCAAACCACCATGGCATATGTATACCTATGTAACAAATCTGCATGTTCTGCACATGTATCCCAGAACTTAAAGTATAATAAAAAAAAAATAAATAGCAGTTAGATTTTTAGGTTGTCTGTTTACGTAACTGATGTAAAATAACTATGGTTAGCTATATTTGTATTCAAAAATTAGACAGTAGATATATAATACCTATATTTAGAAAAAAAGAATATTCAGTGGTTTAACATATCATTCATTACTTGAAAGAAAGGGAACCAAAACACATGAAAAATGAATAAACAAAACATTATTCTTCTATGTATTGAGTAATAGCATCATTAAACTACTGAAGATAGAAATGAAATTAAATTTCTGCATTCCAGGGATTCAAAGGAAGAAGCATATGCATATTTCTGTGGGATATATGATGAAAATGATGAGAACTGTAATTAGTAAAACTGAATTGTCATTTTCAAAATGTAAGGTTAATAGAATAAACACACCTGAGTTAACTCGAGAATAAAAAGTAACATTTTATCAGCAAATCCTTGATTTATTGACAGAACTTGTTACATTTTATTGGTACAGTTGCAGATTAGGCTTTCTGCAACAGTACTTTTAATTTAAACCTCTTCTATTATAATACTAATAACCGAACATAGTGGTTTGTATACAAAAGTTTTCATTGTTTTTGTTGATTTTTTTTTTTTTGCAGAGTGTTAAAACTTTTACTGTTAATATATCCATTAGTTTTAAAGTCCAATGGCTGTGGGGATAAGGAGAAAATATATTTTTAATGGAGCATAACTTCCTGGGGAATGGTTGTACCCATCATAATGTCAAGAGTATTCACTGGTTGAATGTAGTCATTTTTGGCCAGGTTAATGTCTTGGAATTATTCCTTCAAAACTGAGTGTATAAATTTCCATTCCATTTCAATACTTTACATGAACATGAAAGCCTAATGCAAAGTCTAACTGTTAAAAAAGAAAACTGTAATACTCTGCATATTATAGGGATTAAAACAAATTTGGCAGAAGGTTTTCAGGCATTAATTTTAAATATTTTTGTGAATGTTATCTATAAAAGCATACTTTCCAAATCCCTCCTGGGTGATTATCAGTGAATTGTTTAAAATTTCCATTGTACTCTCCTTTCAGATCAGCTAACTGTCCATTCAGTAATTTTTAGCCTGAGTCCCTGGGCCAATGTTAAATTATAATTCATTTAACTATCCCTGGCACTCTTAGAGCCAGACTTTCACTGTAGTTCAATGAAGTCTTCTGCTGTTATGTGATAACCAAGTTAAATTGTGATAATAAATGAACAGTGGGATATAATTAACTGGTAGTAGAAGTAGTTATGAACATTGGAAAGGGAAGGTAGATAGCAAAAAATATGATTCATGTTCATGTTCTAATGTATTTCCACAAACATTATTTTTATGTATCACGTTGTGTTACCTGTTGTTAGAGAAGTATTTCAATGGCAATAAGGCCAAACCAAAGGACAATCTTTCATGCATGCGTCTATCCATCCAACATTTATTGAGCACTTACTGTGTGTCAGTGTATTAAGCATAAGTAGATAAAAAATATTGACAAATAGGTGTGATTCAATACAATAATTTTACAGTGGTGCAATGACCCACTTTCTATGAAAATATAGAGGAGAAAATAAAATGATATTGGGTGAGAAGCTAGCAGGTATAACACATAGTTTTGGAGAGATAAATTGGAACTTATTGAGAAAGTCCTTGCTAATTGCATTGAGGAGTTTGAAATCTGCACTGTAGGAAATAAGTATCTGTAAGTGGCAGTTAGCTAGGGTTTCATTGCTAAAGTATACTAACAATACCCAATATGGCAATGCTTGCAAATGTATGGTTTATTGAAGAAATACAAAATAATATAATGACCATGTTAAAGTTAATAAATGAATCACTGTCAAAGGCTGTCTCACAGCATCGGATCCAGGAAGGCTAGACACAAGTTTCATTTGTGCTCGAATGTAAGGTCCATTCTTGCAATGTAAACAGCTCCAACGGCAGAGACCCCAGGGACCTCAATGAGACCGTGTGCAAGTCATCAATTTCACTGTTAATAAAAAACAATGCTGAAAAGCAGATACAAAACTCCCTAAACCTCCTTTTCCCTACCATGGCAAAGAAATACATGCTTTGATCAGGGATCAGTAACAGACAGGTACATTTTTTATTTAGGCAAGACAGCCCAGGCCAATACTAAGTCTGCTGGAATTAACTCACACAGCACAGTATGCAATGGAGAATTCTAAGCACAGTATATATTCCCTGACTATGCATTATGTTTTTAATGCAAATTTAAATGGGGAAATGAGAATTTCCCAGGGACCTTTATTTCATGCAAATGTTTCTAGGAGTGAAAAAAAGAGAAATACATATAAAAAGTCTCTGATTTGAAATAGATTTTAAATCTGTATTATGATGGACACATAATTAGAAATATCATTTTTGAATTGAAATATTAGAATTGTTTAGAATTTTAAAATTTAAATGGGGACTTAACTATAATTAAAAGGAATTAATAAATTGTAATAGTATGAAATGCCTTATCCATCTCTATGTCACTACTTTCTTTTGTACTTATCCTGTTCTTAGATAAACCCAAATGATTTTTATATGATTTTCAAGATCCAATATGGTCTGAATCTGACTTACCTATACGAATCTCATTGTACCCAGTGACCTCTTTTATAACTTTGCTTGCTTATATCTCTGATAGGAGTCCCAAGCACAATATAACAAATAAAATGACAGTGGACACCTTGTTTTGCTCCTGATTATAGAAACATTCAATCATTGATTGAAGGATTAAATGATTCAATGATGAAAACATTCAACCATTTACAATTAAATCATTTTTCTTAGTTGGCTTTTAACAGTTGAGGAATTTCGTTCTATTCCTGGCTCACTGAGTATTATTATTATGAAAGGATGCTGGGTCACATCAATGGATCTTTCTGTATCCATAGAGATGCTCATGAAGAATTTTTCCCTCATTCTGTTAATGTGATATTTGTATTGATAGACTTTTATGCTGACTCAAATTTACATTCTCCTATGATAAATACTTACTGATCATGGTGTAAAATCCTATTTATATGTTGCTGGAATTAGTTTACTAATAGTTTGTTGAGAATTTTTATAACTATATTACTAAGGGATAATAATATGTAGTTTTCATGTTATGGCTGTCTAGTGTTGGTATCACTTTAATACTGAATTCATAGTATGAGTTGGGAAGTATGACTTCTTATTCTCCTTTTTGTAGAAGATCTTGTGAAAATTGCTGTTACTTCTTCAACTGCTTTCCAGAATTTGCCTGTAAACCCATTTAGTCCAAGAATAGGCTCAGGACAATTGCTAAAATTTTACTTTGCTTTATTTTTAAGTTACTAATTATATCCCCTTACTTGTAAGCCTATTCTGATTCTCTATTTCTCCTTAAGTCAGTCTCAGTAGTTTATGCCATTCGAGAAAGATGCTCATTGCATCTGGGTTTTCTAATAATTTGGCATTCAATTGTTCACAATATTCATGTAAAATCATTTTTTTATTTCTGTAAGGTGTGTAGTGGTGTTCATTTCCGATGCTTGATTGAAGTAATCTGAAATTACTCTCCTACTTTTGCAGTCATTATAGTTAAGGGATCATTAAATTTGTTGCTCTATTCAAAGAACTGACTTTTGTTTACATTGGTTTCTATTATTTATCTGCTTTCTATTTTATTAATTTCAGATATCATTTTATTTTTTTCATTTTTAATTTCTGTGGGTACACAGTAGATGCATATATTTATGGAGAACATTAGATGTTTTGATATAGGTGTGTATCATAACCACATCATGAAGAATGGGGTATCAATCTCCTGACGCATTTATCTTTTGTGTTAATAAACAATCCAATTATACTCATTTAGTTATTTTAAAATATACAACTAAATTATTAATGACTATAGTCACCCAGTTGTGCTGTCAAATAGTAGGTCATATTCATTTTTCTAACTATTTTTTGCACCTCTTAACCACCCACAACTCCCCCTCACAGCCTACTACCTTTCCCAGCCACTGGTAACCATCCTTCTACTCTCTATCTCCATGAATTCAATTGTTTTGATTCTTACAGGCCACAAATAAGTGAGAACATGCAATATTAGTCTTTATATGCTTGGCTTATTTCAAATAACATAATGATCTATAGTTCCATCTTTTTTTTTTTTTTTTTGCAAATAACAGGATCTCATTTATTTTTTATGGCTGAATAGTGGTCCATTGTGTGTATGTACCACATTTTCTTGATCCATTTATCTGTTGAAACCCTTAGATTGTTTCTAAATTTTGGCTGTTGTGAACAGTGTGACAACGAATATGGGAGTGCAGAAGTTTCTTTGATATACTGATTTCCTTTCTTTTGAGTATACACCCATCAGGGGGATTCCTAAATCATACGATAGCTCTATTTTTAGTTTTTTGAGGAACCTCAAATCTGTAGTAATTGTACTAATTTACATTCCCACCAACAGTGTGCAAGGGCATCCTTTTCTCCAAATCCTTGCCGGCATTTGTTATTGCCTGTCTTTTGGATGTAAGCCATTTAACCTGTGATGAGATGACAGCTCATTGTGGTTTTGATTTCCATTGCTCTGATGACAAATAATGTTGAGCAGCTTTTCATATGCCTGTTTGCCATTCATATGTCTTCTTTCGAGAAATGTCTATTCAAATCTTGTGTCCATTTTTAAAGTCAGATTATTAGATTTTTTTTTCCTATAGATTAGTTGGAGCCCTTTATATATTATGGTTAATAGTTCCTTATCAGATGGGTAGTTTGTAAATATTTTCTCCCATTCTCTCTCTTTACTTTGTTGGTTGTTTCTGTTGTGGTACAGAAGCCTTTCAACTTGAAGTGATCACATTTGTTCATTTTTGCTTGGTGGCCCCTGTTTCTTGGGTATTACTCAAACAATTTTTGCCCAAACCAATGTCCTGGAAATTTTCCCTAATGTTTTCTTGTGGTAGTTTCATAGTTTAAGGTCTTAGGTTTAAATCTTTAATCCATTTTGTTTGATTTTTTTTATGTGACGAGAAGAGTCTAGTTTCATTCTGCATATGAATGTCCAGTTTTCCCAGCACCATTTATTGAAGAGACTGTCTTTACACCTTGGCACCTTTGTCGAAAATGAGTTCACTGTAGGTATGTGGATTCCTTTCAGCATTCTTTATTCTTCTTTATTGTTTTATGTGTCTGTTTTCATGAGAATACTATGCTGTTTTGGTTACTATAGCTCTGTAGTATAACTGGAAGTTAGATAGTTTGATTCCTCCAGTTTGGTAACTTCTTCCCCAGGATAACTATGGCTATTCTGGGTCTTTTTTAATTGCATACAAATTTTAAGATTGTTTTTTGTATTTCTGTTAAGAATGTCATTGGTATTTTGATAGGAATTGAATCTGTAGATGGTTTTGGATAGTATGGACATTTCAACAATATTCGTTCTTCTAATTCATGACACTGGAATCATTCCACTTTTGAGTGTCCACTTTAATTTCATTTATCAATGTTTTATAGTTTTCATTATAGAGATATTTTATTTCTTCAGTTAATTCCTAGACATTTAATTTTATTTGTGGCTACTGTGAATAAGATGATGATGATTATTATTATTATTAATATTTTGAGATGGAGTCTCACTCTGTTGCCCAGGCTGGAGTGCAGTGGCACAATCGCGGCTCACCACAATCTCTGCTTCCCAGGTACAAGCGATTCTCATGCCGCAGCCTCCCAAGTAGCTGGAATTACAGATGTGTACCACCACACCCAGCTAATTTTTGTATTTTTTAGTAGAGACGGGGTTTTGTCATGTTGGCTAGGCTAGCCTCGAACTCCTGACCTCAGGTGATCCTCCTGCCTCCAGGTGATCCTCCTGCCTCAGCCTCCCAAAGTGCTGGGATTACAGGCATGAGCCACTGCACTCAGCCAGATTATTTTTTTAAATTTGCATTTCTGATGGCTCACTGTTGACATAGACAAATGCTACTGGTATTTGTATGTTGATTTTGTATCTTGCAACATTATTGAATTTGTTTATCAGTTCTAATAGCATTTTGGTGGTCTTTAGGTATCTTTCAAGTAATAATCTTTCAAATAAGAGATCATATCATCTGTAAACAAGGATAATTTGACATTTTCCTTTCCAATTTGGATACTCTTTATTTCTTTCTATTGCGTGATTACTCTACCTGGGCCTTCCAGTACTGTGCTAAATAATAGTGGTGAAAATGTCATCTTGGTCATGTTCCAGGTCTTAAAGGAAAGGCTTTCAGTTTTTCCCCATTCAATCTGATACTAACTCTGGGTCTGTGGTATATAGCTTTTATTATATTGAGGTATATTCCTTCTATCTTCAGTTTTTGAAGGTTTTTATCATAAAAGGATTCTAAAGTCCATCAAGTGGTTTTTCATCAATTGTATTGATCATATGGCTTTTGTCCTTCATTCTGTGGATATTGAAAGGAGTTAGCCAGCTTGCTTTAGGCAGACAGCAAGGGAAGGGTCCCCAGAGAACTTCCGACCTGTGTTTTGTGTAAATAGGGATCCTTGCACAGGGAAGTTGCCTAAACATGCTCGCAGTGGACTAAGAGCCTGCACGTGCACTCAGAAATGGGGTGGAGCCACCAGGAATTTGTACCTTATACAAATAGGGAACCCAGCCCGATCAGCTTGTATGTAAAAGCCCCCTGTGAAGGGGGCAATTAGGAACCTGCTTTCAGGACCCCTCTCTTTCCCGAGAGCTTTCCTTTTGCTTAATAAATTCTACTGCACTCTTTCTTTGAGTGTCCACGTGCCTAATTTTTCCTGATAGTAAGATAAGAACCCGGACTTAGCTGATCTAAGGAGAAAAAAGTCCTGCATCAGTATGATGTATCATATTGATTGATTTGCATATGCTGAACCATCCTTGCATCCCATGGATAAATCCCACTTGGTAATGAGGAAGGATCCTTTTAATATACTGTTGAATTTGATCTACTGGTATTTTGTTGATGATTTTTACATCAATATTCATCAGAGATATTGGCCTGTAGTTTTGTTCTGTTTTTTGATGTGTCTTTGTCTGGTTTTGGTATTAAATTAACACTGCCCTTTTGGAATGAGTTTGGATGTGTTCCCTCTTTCTCTATTATTTCAGACTATTTTAAGCAGGATTGGTATTACTCCTTCTTTAAATTTTTGGTAGAATTCAGCAGTGAAGCCATCAGGTCCTGAGATTTTCTTTACTGGGAATTTTTTTTTTTGTTCCAATCATGTTACTTGGTATTATCATCTTCAGGTTTTGAATATATTCCTGATTCAATCTAGGTAGGTGGTAGGTGTCTAGTTGTTTTTCCATTTCTTCTAGATTTTTCAATTTATTGATAGATAGTTGCTCACGGTAGCCACTGAAGATTCTTCAAATATCTGCAATGTGACTTGTAATGTTTCCTTTTTCATATCTGATTTTATTTATTTGTATCTTATCTTGATTTTTCCTAGTGAATCTGGTTAAAGATTTGTCAATATGATTTAGCGTTTTGAAAAAACAACATTTTGTTTCACTGATCTTTTGTATTTTTTTATTTCAATTGCATTTCTTTCTTACTATTTCTTTTCTGTTACTAATTTTGGCTTTGGTATGCTCATGCTTTTCTATTTCTTTAGGATGCATAGTTAGGTTGTTTATTTGAAGTTTTTCCTCCTTCGTGATGTAGAAACTTTTAGCTCTAAATATTCCTATTAATGCTACTTTTGCTGTATCCCATAGGTTTGGTGTGTTTTGTTTCAATTATCATTTGTTTCAAGAATTTTTCCTCTTTTTGTAATTTCTTCATTGACCCACTTGTCATTCAGAAGGATATTGTTTGATTTCCATGCATTTGTACTTTTTCAAAATTTCTCTTTTTATTAATTTCTAGTTCTGTTTCATTGTAGTCAGAAAAGATGCTTGATATTCTTTCAAATTTTTGCATGTTTTGTGACTTGTTTTGTGACCTAACATTCGGTCTATTATTGAGAATGATCCCTGTGCTGAGGAAAAGAATATATATTCTGCAGCTGTTGGGTGAAATGTTCTGTAAATATCTATCAGATCCATTTGTTTTACAGTACAGATTAAGTTCAATGTTTCTTTATTGCTTTTCTGTATGGAAGATCTGTCCAATGCTGAAAGTGGGGTGTTGAAGTCACCAACTCTTATTGTATTGGGGCCTATCTCTCTCTTCAGCTCTAATAATATTTCTTTTATATATCTTGTGCTCCAGTGTTGGGTGCATATATATTGAAAATTGTTATATCCGCTTGTTGGATTAATCCACTTATCATTATACAGTGACCTACTTTGCCACGTCTCATATTTTTTGTCTTCAAATCTATTTTATAAGTACTCTTGTGCTTTTTGGTTTCCATAGGCATGGAATATCTTTTTCCATCCTCTTTTTTTTTTTTTTTAGTCTATGTGTGTCTCTATACGTGTGTTACTTGTAGGCAACAGATCAGTAGGTCTTGGGTTTTATCCATTCAGGCACTCTATTTTTTTGATTGGAGAGTTTAGACCATTTACACTCAATGATATTATTGATAAATAAGGAGTTACTCTTGCCATTTAGTTATTTGTTTCTCATTGTTTTGTGGTCTACCCATCCTTCTTTCCTTCCTTCTTATCTTCCTTTTAATGAAGGTGATTGTATCTGGTGACATGATTTAGCTTCTTGCTTTTTATTTTTTGTGTATTTGTTTTATGTCTTCTGATTTGTGGTTACCACGAGTATTGCAACAAACAAACAAACAAATAAGCAAAAAGGAAAC
This sequence comes from Homo sapiens, assembly GCF_000001405.40. Classification (NCBI taxonomy): domain Eukaryota; kingdom Metazoa; phylum Chordata; class Mammalia; order Primates; family Hominidae; genus Homo; species Homo sapiens. The sequence continues at coordinate 126,423,032 of NC_000023.11, forward strand.
TAATAAAAACTCTACGCCTTAACTTTAACCCCCTGCTTTTAAAATTTTGTTGTTTCTATTTATCCCTTATTGTAATGTCTCTGTACTAAAAAAGTTTTAATTATTATTTTTGATTGATTCATCACTTAAACTCTGTATTTAGGATAAGAGCAGTTTACACACAACAGTGACAGTGTTATAATATTTTGTGTTTTCCTGTGTACTTACTATTACCAGTGAGTTTTATACCTTCGGGTGATTACTTCTCTCTAATGACCTTTTCTTTCTGATTGAAATACTTCCTTTAGCATTTCTTTCAGGACAATTCTGATGTTGATGAAATCCTTCAGCTTTTGTTTGGGAAATTTTTTATTTCTCCTTTATGTTTGAAGGATATTTTCACTGGTTTTCTATTCTAGGGTAAAAGGTTTTTTTCTTTCAGCACTTTAAATAGCTCATGCCACTCTCTCCTCACCTGCAAAGTTTGCACTGAAATGTCTGCTGTCAGATATATTAGAGCTCCATTGTATGTTACTTCTTTCTTTTCTTTTGCTGCTTTCAAGATCTTTTCTTTATTCTAGATCTTTGAGAGTTTAACTATTGGATACCTTGAGTTAGTTGTATTTGTGTTAAATTGCCTTGGTACTGCATAACCTTCTTATATAAGGATATTGCTGCCTTTCTCTAGGATTTGAAAATTCTGTTATTTTCCCTTTGAATAAACTTTCTACACCTGTCTCTTTCTCTGCCTCCTCTTTACAGACAATAATTCTGACATTTACACTTTTGAGGCTATTTTCCAGATCCTTTAGGTGTGCTTTATTGTTTTGTATTATTTTTTTCTTTTGTCTCTTCTGACTGTGTATTTTCAAATAGCTTCTATTCAAGTGCACTAATTCTTTCTTCTGCTTGATCAATTCTGCTATTAAAAGACTGGTCCATTCTTCAGTAAGTCAATTGTATTTTTCAACTCCAGAATTTCTATTTGATTATTTTAAACTATATAAACATCTTTCATGCATTTCTCTGATAGAACTCAGAATTTTTTTTCTGGGTTCTTTTGAATTTCTTTGAGTTTCCTCAACTCAGCTATTTTTAATTATCTTTCCGAAAGTTTACCTGTCTCTGTTTCTGCAGGATAAGTTTCTCATGCCTTATTTAGTTTATTTCATGAGGTAATGTTTTCCTGGATCATCTTGATACTTGCAAATGTTCTTTATTGTCTGGCCATTGAAGATTTAGGTACTTAATTTGTCTGCACAGTCTGGGCTTCTTTGTACCCCTCCTTCTTGGGTAGGCTTTCCAGAAATTTGAAAAGACTTGGCTGTTGTAATCTAAGCTGTATTTGCTTTAGGGTCACTCCAAGCTCAGTAACACTGTTGTTCTTACAGACTCTTAGAGGTACTGCCTTAATGGTCTTGGACAATATCCAGGCAAATGCTATGGATTACCAGGCAGAGACTTTTGTTCTCTCCCCTTAATTTCTGTCAAACAGGGTCTGTCTTGCTCTGTCCTCAGTCAACTGAAGCTGGGGTTGTAGTGACACCACTATTACTTCAGGATTGCTAAGTCAATTCTGAAGCCAGCATAGCACTCAGTCTCACCCAAGGCCTGCTGTAACCACTTCCTAGTTCCCTCTTATGTTTGTTCAAGGCCTTGGGGCTCTGCATACAGCTTTTTGCAATGCCAGCCAAGTCTGTGTCCTTCCCTTCAAGGCTGAAAGTTCAACCAGTCCACCAAGTAGACTTCTAAGGATTTTTACTCTAGTCCATGTCATCTGAAAGCCATGGACTACAGTAATAAACCATGGAAGTCTACCTGGTGTTCCACTGTACTTCAGCTAAGCTAGTGCTCAAACAACAAGAAATAGTCTTCTCCCACTCTTCTTTCCTAAGGCAGAGAAGCCTCAACCCATGGCCACTGCCACCACAGGCCACTGTTGAGTACTTCCAGACTACTTCTGATGTACCCTTATGGCCTAAGGGCTCTTCATTTAGCTTGCTGTAAATGCTGCGTGACCTGAGACCACAAGTCAGGGCAATGGGCTCTCCTCTGGCCCAGGGCAGGTCCAGAATTGCTATCCAAAAGCCAAGTCTTGGTATCAGGAACCCCAAGAGCCTATTTGATGCTCTACCTTTCTGTGGCCAAGCTGGTACTTAAGATGCAAGATGAAGTTCCTTTAACTTTTCCTTACGCTTCTGTCAAGTAGACAGGTTTTTACACCAAACCCAGAATAGTTGGGAATGTGCTGGGTCTCACCTGAAGCCAGAATGTCTCAGGGTCTTACTCAAACCCTTGACATAGTATCTGGGTATCACTGCTTGGCATTCAGGGCCCAAGGTATGTTAGGTTAGCAAGTGATGAATGCTGCCAGGACTAGGTCCTTCCCTTCAAGACAGAAGGTTCCCTTTGGCTCAGGTTGCATCTATAAATGCCCAGGATCTAGGGTCTGGAAAGAGGGCCTTATGGCTCTGACTGGTACCTTATCCTTCTGTGGCTGAGCTGGTATCTGATGCAAGACAAAGTCCTCCCGACTCTTCTGTCTCTTCTCCTCAGTTAAAAAGAAGCGTTCTCTTTTGGATCCAGAAGCCGTGCTGTCTGGAGTTAAAGAAGGAGTGATGCCATTACTCCTTTAGCCGTCCCAGTTGGTGCCTCAGTAGGTCATGTGCCCCGCCACCCCATTCAAGGTCTATGCACCCAGTTCAGCCCTAGGACTAACCTTGGTGTTACAATCCTTGTGGCTTAAACTTCCTTTCAAGCTAATTTAGAGACCCAGGGCACCTTAGCCCATGGTTGTCAAGGCTTGCACGAACTCAAGTTCTGGCCCTTGGGATCTGCTATTCCTCTCTGGTCAGGGTTGGTTTAAATGCTCCCTTCATGGGTTGGCATCAGCTGAGTTTGGTCCAGTTTTTTTTTCTTCCGTAACAGGACAGCACTGAGTTTAATGCCCCATAATTGCTGTTTTCTCCCTCCTCAACCACCCAGAGATCCTCTCTGCACCAAGCCACTGCTGCTGGGGTGTGGGGGAGGGGTGGCATCTGTGATTAAAAAGTCTTTTGTTTTCTTTTGTTTTTTTTACCTCTTCAGTGCCTCTTTCAGTGATAAGAAATTGAAACCTGGTACTATGTATGCTCAACTGATCTTTAGTTCTTACGAAGGTGTGTTTTGCGTGTAGATTGTTGTTAAATTGGTGTCCTTGTTGGGGAGACAATATGTGGAACCTTGTATTCTGTCATCTTGCTCTGCCTTCAATGCTATCTTTATTATTTCCTTCCTTCCTCTTGCTTGGCTTTAGTTTACTTTATTGTAATTTAGTGTCATAACATGAGCATTTAAGTTATTGAATTGATACCTTTCACCATTTTAACATTAGAGTTTATAGTTATAATTTTTCCCATAAGCATTGCTTTTGCTATATCTTATGATTTTTGGTAGGTTGTGCTTCATTTTATCCCAGATAATTTTCCATTTCACTTGTGATGTCAAGGATGTATTGTTTGTTTGGGATATATTGTACTGTTTAATTTTCACATACTGTGTATTATCAGAATTCCTTCGGTTATTGATTTCTAATTTCATTCCATGTAATCAGAGTGTCTTAAACTGTTTGGGCTGCTATAATAAAATATCATAGACAAGTAGCTTATAAACAACAGAAATTTATTTTTCGGTTTTGGAGTTTGAGAAGTCCAAGGTCAGGACACCAGCAGATTTGATGTCTGATGAAGGCCTGCTTTCTCATATTCATCCTTCTTGCTATTTCCACACATGGTAGAAAGGAATAGCTAGCTCTGTGAAGTCTCTTTTATAAGGGTGTTTGTCCCAATCATGTGGGCTTTTCCCTCATAATTTAATCACCTCCCAAAGGTCCTACCTCCTAATACCATCACCTTAGAGGCTAGATTTCAACATATGAATTTTGAGAGAAATAAGGCTTCAGTTCATAGCACAGAGAATATAGCTATTATGTTCTTATCCTTTAAAATTTATCAAGGCTTATTTTATAACCTAAAATATGGTTAATCCAGGAAAATGTACCATATGCACTTAAGAAGGAAGTGTTCTTCTTTTGTTGAGTGACATATCCTATAGATGTTTGTTAGGGTTAGTTGGTCTGTAATATTGTTCAAGGCTTCTATTTCCCTTGTTGTTATTCTGCCTAGTTGTTTTGTTATTGAAAATGGAGTACTAAATTTTCCAACTATTATGGTTAAATGGTGTATTTCTCTATTTAATTCTGTCAGATTCGTTTCACATATTTTGAAGATTTTTTAAGTGAATATAAGCCTATTGCTATTATAGATTCTTGATGGATTTACCCTTTTATCATCATACAATTTACTTAATATCTAGTGATAATTCTAACTTTGTTGTCTATTTTGCCTTTTATTAGTAGATCCACACTAGTTTTTATGGATTAGCGTTTGTGTGCTAATTCTTCTCTTTTTATATTCTTTTACTGTCTTTTTATTATTATTATTATTATTATTATTATACTTTAAGTTTTAGGGTACATGTGCACATTGTGCAGGTTAGTTACATATGTATACATGTGCCATGCTGGTGTGCTGCACCCACTAACTCGTCATCTAGCATTAGGTATATCTCCCAATGCTATCCCTCCCCCCTCCCCCCACCCCACCACAGTCCCCAGAGTGTGATGTTCCCCTTCCCGTGTCCATGTGATCTCATTGTTCAATTCCCACCTATGAGTGAGAATATGCGGTGTTTAGTTTTTTGTTCTTGCGACAGTTTACTGAGAATGATGATTTCCGACTTCATCCATGTCCCTACAAAGGACATGAACTCATCATTTTTTATGGCTGCATAGTATTCCATGGTGTATATGTGCCACATTTTCTTAATCCAGTCTATCGTTGTTGGACATTTGGGTTGGTTCCAAGTCTTTGCTATTGTGAATGGTGCTGCAATAAACATATGTGTGCATGTGTCTTTATAGCAGCATGATTTATAGTCATTTGGGTATATACCCAGTAATGGGATGGCTGGGTCAAATGGTATTTCTAGTTCTAGATCCCTGAGGAATCGCCACACTGACTTCCACAACGGTTGAACTAGTTTACCGTCCCACCAACAGTGTAAACGTGTTCCTATTTATATTCTTTTACTTTCAAACGATTTGTCTCCTAATATATCTTACGTTTTTGCTCTTGTATCTCTCTATTACTGACTTCTTTTGTGTTAAACATATATGACATAGCATACCATTTCAACTCTTGTAGTCTTTATTTTAACATATTTTGTGGAATTGCTTTCTTTCTGGTTACCCTGGGATTACAACTATTATCTTAAATTAAACAAATCTAGTTTGAATTAATAGCAATTTAATTTAAATATTATAAAAACCTTTCATAATATATAGCTCTATTTCATCCCTTCTTTTTGGTATTATTGGCATTCAAATTATATCATTATACATTTTAAATCCATCAGCACAGCTTCACAATTTTTTTGCATTTGGCTTTTACAGCATATTTTAGAAAGCTTATAAAGAAAAATAAATTGATAATATATTTTATATGTCTCCTGAAGTAATATTGTAGCTACCTTTATTGCTGTTGTTTATTTCCTTGTGTGAGTTTGAGTACTTTCCTATCTATAGTCTTTCATTACACCCTAAAAGATTCCCTTTAGTATTTCTGGTAGGGCAGGTTTGTGGGCAACAGATTTCTTCCAGTTTGGGTTTGTTGGGGAATGAATTAATATTTCTTTTATTTTTGATGGCTAATTTTCTGGATATAGAATCCATGAGGGATAGTATTTCTTTCAGCATTTTCATTATGTCATCTCACTTCCTTCTGGTCTCCATGATTTCTGAAGAGAAGCCTGCTGTTAATGTTATTGAAAATTTCTTTTACATGATGAGTTGCTTTTCTCTTGCTGTTCTAGAGATTCTCTCTCTGTCTTTGTCTTTTGACAGTTTGCCTATGATGTGCTCAGTTGTGCATCTTTAGAGTTATCCTAGTTGGAATTTATTGGTCTTAATGGATAAGTAGATTTTTAAATCAAATTTGGCAAGTTTTCAACCATTATTTATTTAAATGTTGTTTGTGCTAATCCTTCTGGAACTCCTTTTATGTCTATGTTGGTATGCTTGATGGCGTCCTACAGGTCTCTTAGACTCTGTACATTTTTCTTCTTTCTGCTATCCTTCTGTTCCTCAGACTAAAAAATTTTATTTGACCTATCTCAATTTCACTTGTTTGTTCTTCTGGCTGCTCTTGTCTGCAGTTAAGCCCCTCTAGTGTTTTTTTCATTTCAGTTGTAATTTTTCGTTCAATAATTTTATTTATTTATATATATTTCCTATGACTTTATTGACATTTTCTAGTTGGTAAGACATTGCCATGGTTTGAATGTCTAAAAATCATGTCTTGGAAAATTAATCTCTTAATGGGGACTTAAGAGAGGTGATTAGTCCATGAGGGCAGAGAGGATGGATTAAAGCTGCTATCACAGGAGTTAGTTTGTTATCGTGGAAGAGGGTTACTCAGAATACAGTGAGTTTCGCTCCTTTTTGTCTCTTTTTCTCTTACCCTCTCTTTGTCCTTGCAACTTGTACCATGTAATAATGCAGCAAGAAGGCCCTTGCCAGATACTGGGTTTTTGATTTTTAACTTCTCCAACTCACAAAGACCGAGAAAATAAAATGTTATTTATTACACATTACCCAGTCTCAGGTATTATCTTATAGAATAACAAATGGACTAGGAAATAAAACTGGTACTGTAGAGTGAGTGTTTCTATAACAACCTGAAATGTGGAATCAGTTTTGGAACTAGGTAATGAGCGGAGGCTAAAAGAATTGGAAGGATCAGAGTACGAAAAGCCTGTATTGCCATGACCAACATGTTAAGGACAACTCTGGTGAGGGCTCAGAAGAAGAGAAGAGCTGTAGGAAATGTCTGAAACTTCTTAGAGATTATGTGGTAATTACCGGAATGCTATTAGAAATATGGACAGTAAAGACCACTTTAATGAGGTCTCAGACACAAATGAGGAATATCTGATTGGAAACTGGAGTAATGGTCATCCTTGTGATTGATTAAGGGCCAAAAAGAAAACTTGATTGAATTGTGTCCATGCCTGGGAGCTTTGTGAAAGGTGGAATTTAAGAGAGATGAACTAGGATATCTGGAAGAAGAAACATTAAACAAGCTATTTGGTTTATTTTAACTATATATAGTAAAATGCAAAAGAGAGAAATAATATAATGAGGCAATTTATAATGTAAAGGAAAGGAGAACTTAAAACTTTGAAACATCCCACAGCCTGGCCATGTAAAGCATGATGAAGCTTGTTTGGGAGAGAATAACAAGGATGTGCCAAGTGACTCTTTGACAAAAATATTAGTATGAGTAAAAGAAAGCCAGGTGCTATTCAACAATACAATGGGAAAATGACCCTGAAGGCACTTGGGAGATCTTCAAGACTGCCCCTTACATCATAGGCCCTGAGCTCCAGGAGGGCCAAATGGTTTGGGGGAAAGGCCTGTGGTGCTCCTCAAGGATGCCTTCAGATTCTGCTTCCTAATTTCCAGCACAGTGTTCCTTGGTCACGCAAATTGTGGCTCAGGTAGATCTAAGTGCAGCCAAACCCACTGTTCCAAAAGGTACAAGCCATGAACCCCAGAAGTGTCTATCTGGTGCTAATTCTGCAGATTTGAAGTATGGAAGAGCTGTGGGGGCATGGATTCCTCCACCTAAATTTCAAAGAATGTATTTGACTGCCTGGGAGTCCAGATGGAAACCTGCTGCTGCAGGGGTATATCCACTGCAGAGAATTCCCACTAGGACAATGTCTAGTGGAACCATAGGTGTAGAACCTCCTCCAAATCCCCGGACCTATAGAACCACCTGTGATTGCAGCCCCATACTGCAGGCATGAGACCTGCAGGCATGAGATTTCAACCCATGAGAGCAGCTGCATGAGCTGAGCCCAGCAAAGCCATGGAGGCAGGGCTGCCCAAGGCATTGGGAGCCCAACACCAACCCCAGCGTGCTCAAGAGGTGGGAAACAATGTCAAGGTAGATTATTCCTGAGCTTTAAGATTTAAAGTTGCTATCCTGTTGGTTTTGGACTTATTTGGGACAAGTTGCCCCTTTCTTTTACCCATTTCTCCCTTTTGGTATGGAAATGGCTATGCTTGCTCTATCATTACATTTTAGAAGTAAATACCTTGTTTAATATCACAGGCTCATGCCTGGAGAATATTTTGCCCCAGGATGAATTGTGTCATGAGTCTCATCCATATCTAATTTAGATGAAATGTTGAACTTTAGACTTTTGAGTTGTTGCTGAAAGGACTTAAGACTTTGGGGCTATTGAAACAGAATTAATGTACTTTGCATTAATGTAGTTTGAGAAGGCCATTAATTTGGGGTGGGCAGGCATACAATGCTATGGTTTAAATGTGTTCCTCAAAAAGTGTGTGTTAGAATCTTAATCCCTACTGCAACATTGTGGGGAGGTAGGGCCTAATAAGAGGTGATGAGGCCATGAAGACAATGTGAATGAATTAATGCTGTTATCATGAGAGGATTTTTATTATCATGGAGTGGGTTTCTCATAATAGGATGAATTTGACCCCCTTCAGCTTTTCTTTTTGTCTTGTCCTTATTTTGTCCTTTTGCCTTCTGCCATGCGATGATGTAGCAAGAAGACATTTGCAAGATGCTGGCCTCTCAATTTTGGACTTCCCAGGCCCCAGAAATGTTAAAAAATATATTTTTTGTTAATTATAAATTACCCAGTCTCAGGTATTCTGTTATAGCAGCATAAATGGACTAAGAAATATATTTTTCTCATAATGTCTTTTATTTATCTAGGCAATTATCTTTAGTTTTTGAACATATTTATAATAACTAATTCATACTATAAAATTACGTTTTTTAAAAGGTTTTTGGTTAGCCTCTAGTTAGCCACAAATTGTATGCTACACTGTTGTTTCTGGTTGTTTTCAACATCCTATAGATAGGGTTCATGCAGAGTGAGCTCTGAGCCAGGTGAAATAAAAGCAAGCACTGAGAATGGAGCTTCTTAGGAAGCTGCCAAAGAGGTTCAATAGCAACAATTCCTTGTGGATGGGATTTGGGGACATGTCCAATGTTTATGGGCCCTTCATTCATTATGGGCTAATCTCCCAGTTTCCAAAGCTACACTCATTCTAATGGTGTTGCTTTTCAAGTATATCATACAGCTAGAGAGAGGGGTATAGAAATAGGGCAAGTTAAAATGCAAAAATGCTCGTTGTTACTGAAATTCAGGCATTTAAAAAATAAATTATCAGATTATACAAATATTTTGGTTAATTTCCAAAGTTCAGGAAGAAAAATGACTTTTATAGTGTTTTTGCTGAATTTTTTGGAGATCATTAGCACCATGGAAATGATTGTTGCATAAAACATAATTTGAAAGCCTATGTCCATACTCAAAGAACAGCCCCAAAACATATACAGCAGGAAGTGAAAGAAACCAAGACAGAAATAAAAAATTCAACAACAATACTTGGAAACCTCAATGCTTCACTCTCATTAATGGATAGAACAACTAGACAGAATATCAGTAAGGTTATAGGAGACTTAAACAACAATGTGAAATAACTTGACCTAATATTAAAACCATCAAGAACAGCAGACTATACATTATTCACAATAACACATTGAACAATGTTCAGGAAAACCTATATGCCAATTTATAAAGAAAAGTCTCCACAAATTCAAAAGAATTGAAGTCACATAAAGCACACTTTTTGACCAAATAAGTTAAACTATATTAGAACTCAATAACAGAAATAAATTGGAGAAATTCACAAATAATTGGAAATTAAGTACTTCTAAATAACCAGTGGGCCAATGAACAAATCATGGGAAACATTAGCAATTATTTTGAACTGAATGAAAATTAAACCACATCATATCAAAATTAATGAGATACACTTAAGTAGTGCTTAACAGAAATTTATAGTTTTAAACATCAGTTTTAACATAGAAGCATGCTCTCAAATAACCTAAGAGTTTACCATAAGCAACTAAAATAAAAACAAAATATATACCCAAAAAAGCGGAAGGGAAGGAGCAATAAAGATCAAGTCTGAATAAATGAAATAGAAAATGGAAAATTGATACAAAAATTAGTGAAATTAAGAATTAGTTCATTTAGGCTGGGCACGGTGGCTCATGCCTGTAATCCCAGCACTTTGGGAGGCCAAGGTGGGCGGATCACGAGGTCAGGAAATCGAGACCATCCTGGCTAACACGGTGAAACCCCTTCTCTACTAAAAATACAAAAAAAAAAAAAAATTAGCCGGGCATGGTGGCGGGCGCCTGTAGTCCCAGCTACTCAGGAGGTTGAGGCAGCAGAATGGCGTGAACCTGGGAGTCCCAGCTTGCAGTGAGCCAAGATTGCGCCACTGCACTCCAGCCTGGGTGACAGAGCGAGACTCCGTCTCAAAAATAAATAAATAAATAAATAACTAAATAAATAAATAAATAAATAAATAAAATAAAAAATAAAATAAAAATAAAAATTAGTTCACCTAAGAATCAATAATACTGACAAACCTTTAGCTAGACTGATCAACAGTTTAAAAAGATTACTAAAATTACTAAAATTCACAATAAAGGAGGAATAATTATTATTGACCTAACAGAAAAAAATGTCTGAGAATACCATGAACAACTGTGTGCCAATAAACTAGATAATTTACATGAAATGGACAATTTTCCAAGAAAATACAAGTTACCAAAATTAACTCGAGATAGAAAATTTACAAGATTGATGACAAGTAAAGGGATTCAATTAGTTACTTTAAAATTTCCTACAAATCAAATATTAGTCCCATATACCTTAACAAATAAATTTAACCAAACATTTAAATAATAAATAATTATAATTTTTGTGAAACATTTTTAGAAAACTGAGGAGATAACACTGCCTAACTTATTCTATAAGGCAAATATTACTCTTTAACCAGACCTAAGAAAAGATATCACAAGAAATTAAAAGTAAAGTTCAATACCTTCTATGATTATAGAAAAAAAATTCTTAGCAAAATATTACAAACTTAAATCCAGTGACATATACAAATTTTTGTAATGACTGAGTGGGATTTCTTCTAGGAAAGCAAAGTTGGTTTAACATATGCTTGGATGCCTCCAAAATCATGTGTTGGAATGCCAGCCCCCAAGGTGAATGTATAGATGGTGGAGCCTTTGAGAGATGATTGAGTCATAAAGGCAAAACCTTCATGAATGAGATTCGTGTCTTTATAAAACAGGCCCAAGAGAGAGACTTGCCCCTTTCACCATGTGTGGACACAATAAGAAGGTGTCATCTATGAACCAGAAAATGGGGCCTCACCAAACACTTAATCTGTTGGTGTCTTGATCTTTCCCTTTCTAGCTTCTAGAACAGTGAGAAATAAATCTGTCATTCATAAGTCACTCAGTTCATGGTACTTTGTTTATAGCAGACCAAATGGACTCAGATAACATGCAAAAATCAATTACTGTAATATACCATATTTACAAAAGAACAAAAAGCACATAATAATTTCAAGAGATAAACGAAGTAATTTGACAAAATCTGGCACTCCTCATAATTTAAAGAAAAAAAGAAAAAGAAAAAGAGAAAGAAAGAGAAAGAAAAAGAAAGAAATAAAGAGAAAGAAAAAAGGAAGGAAGGAGAAAGAAACAAAGGAAGAAAGAAAGAAGGAAGGAAAGAAAGAAAGAAAGAAAAAGAAAGAAGAAAGAAAGAAAAAGAAAGAAAGAAAAAGAAAGAAGAAAAGAAAAAAGAAAAGGAGGAGGAGGAGATAGAGGAGGGGGAAGGAGGAAGGAAGGAAAGAAAGAAGGAAAGAAGGAAGGAAGGAAGGAAACTCTCAACAAATGAAATAAAAAAGAACTTCCTCAATCTGATAAAGGGCATCTGTGGGAAATACACAGCTAAAATCAGACTTAATGGTGAAAGATTGAATCAATGCTAATGAGACTAAGATGTCTACTATCATTAGCTTCTATTTAACATTACAGTGGGGGCTCTGGCCAGTAGAGTCAGACAAGAAAATTTAAAAAAATATTTAAAATGGAAATCTGATAAAGTAAAATGTCTTAATTCCTGCTTAAGAGCATGAACATTTATGTAGGAAGTATTAAGACGTTATCTTCTTCTCTCATTCTCCTTTTATGTGTCTCTCTTTGTCCTCTCCCTCTCCACAAGAACGAATGTCTTCAGGAAATTCACAGGGTAAAAGATAAATATAGAAAAGTCTATTGTATTTTTACAGCCTAACAATGAACTATCACAAATGAAATTAAGAAAACTACCTCATTCACAATAATATCAAAAATAACAAAATACTTTAAAATTAATAAAGATGCATACATTTTGACATTGAACAATACAAACCATTACCAAAAATTTAAAGAATATATAAATAAATGGAAAGATATGCCATGTTCATTAACTGGGAGACTCTATGATATCAATAGCAATATTCCCAAATAGATGTATTCAACAACAACCCTATCAAAATCCTAGCTCCCTTCTTTTAGAAACATAATAGCTAACTCTAATGTTTACATAGAAATTCAAGGGACCCAGAATAAGCAAAACAATCTTGACAAAGAATGAGAATGTTGGAGGGCATGTACTTCTTTTCAAAATATACTGCAAGGCTACAGTAGTGAATATGATATAGCGCTGGCATAAATGTTGACATCAATCAATGGAATACTTTTTAGAGTCCAAAATGAAACGCTTACATTTTTGGTCAACTGATTTTGACAAAGATTCCAATCAACACAACTAGCAATGCATAGTAACCTCAACAAATATTGCTGACACAACTGGATATCTATATGCAAAGAATAAATTTAGACGAATACCTCATCATACACAAAAATAATTCAAAACGAATAATAAACATAAAGTTATTCATAAAAACTGAAGAATTTTTAGAAGAAGAATATGAGTAAATTTTTTTTATCTTAAGTCAGCTGAAGATTTCTCAGATCTGAAACCAAGGGCACAAGAAATAGAAGAAAACTTTTATAAAGTAGCCTTCATAAAAAATTTTAAAAATTGCTTCAAAATACTCCATGAAGAAAGTGAAAATACAAACGATAGATTTGAAGAAAATATTTATACCTCATATGTCTGAGAAATGACTTAAAAGTATAGAATACATAAAGAATGCTTACAATTCAATAATAAGGGGAAAAATCCCCAAATAAGTAACGGACCAAAGATTTCAGTGGAAATTTCATTAAATAAGTATATCTGTATGGTGAATAAGTACATGAAAAGGTGCTCAACATAATTACTCATTAGGTAAATGCAAATCAAAACCACAATTAGATACCATTACCTATCAACCAGAGAAGCAATATTCAAAATATTGACCAAAACAGGTGTTGGTGATGATGTGGAGAAACTGTAACCCTAATGCACTGCTGGTGATAATGTAAAATTGTGCAGCAACTTTTGAAAACATTTTGGCAATTTTTAAAGAAGTTAAACATAAATGTACATAAAACACAGTAATTGTATGCTTAGGTTTCTACCAAAGAGCAAGTAGTACCTGCTCTGTTTCCACACAAAGAATCATACAAGAATGTTCACAGCAGCATTATTCATAACAGTCAAAAAATGGAAACATTTCAAATGTCCATCAGTGCAAGAATGGTTAAACTGAATGTGTTAAATACATGCAATGGAATCTGTTTGACAATAAAAAGGAAAAAATCCTGATACACGCCACAACGTGGATAAACCTCACAAACCTTATGCTAACACAAAGAAGCCAGATGAAAAATATCCCACATACTGTATCATACCAGTTTATGAAATGTCCAGGAAGGGCAAGTCTATAGAAACAGAAAGTAAGTTAGTGGTTACCTGGCTACAGGGGAGGAAAGCAGGAATTGTCTGCAAATAGTGATGATTGGACATCTTTAAGATGACGGAAATGTTGAAAAATCTGGATTGCTGTGATATTTGCACAACTCTTTAAAGTACTAAAAATCACTGTGTTATGTACTTAAACAAGTGTATTGCATGGTATGTAAATTATACATCAATGAGGTTTTTAAAAATGGATCAGGAAACAACAGGTGCTGGAGAGGATGTGGAGAAATAGGAACACTTTTACACTGTTGGTGGGACTGTAAACTAGTTCAACCATTGTGGAAGTCAGTGTGGCGATTCCTCAGAGATCTAGAACTAGAAATACCATTTGACCCAGCCATCCCATTACTGGGTATATACCCAAATGACTATAAATCATGCTGCTATAAAGACACATGCACACGTACGTTTATTGCGGCATTATTCACAATAGCAAAGACTTGGAATCAACCCAAATGTCCAACAATGATAGACTGGATTAAGAAAATGTGGCACATATACACCATGGAATACTATGCAGCCATAAAAAAATGATGAGTTCATGTCCTTTGTAGGGACATGGATGAAATTGGAAATCATCATTCTCAGTAAACTATCGCAAGAACAAAAAACCAAACACCGCATATTCTCACTCATAGGTGGGAGGTGAACAATGAGATCACATGGACACAGGAAGGGGAATATCACACTCTGGGGACTGTGGTGGGGTGGGGGGAGGGGGGAGGGATAGCACTGGGAGATATACCTAATGCTAGATGACGAGTTAGTGGGTGCAGCGCACCAGCATGGCACATGTATACATATGTAACTAACCTGCACAATGTGCACATGTACCCTAAAACTTAAAGTATAATAAAAATAAATAAATAAAAATAAAAAAAATTAAAAAAAAATGGATCAGGCCAGGCACAGTGGCTCACGCCTGTAATCCCAGCACTTTGGGAGGCCAAGACGGGATAGTCACTTGAGGCCAGGAGTTCAAGACCAGCCTGGCCAAAATGGCAAAACCCCATCTTTACTAAAAATACAAGAATTAGACGGGCGTTGTGGCTCAGACCTGTAGTCCCAGATATTCAGGAGGCTGAGACAGGAGAATCGCTTGGACCCCAGAGGCAGAGGTTGCATTGAGCCAAGATTGCACCACTGCACTCCAACCTGGGTGATGGAGCAAGTCTCTGTCTCAAAAAAAAAAAAAAAAAGGATCAATTAACCAATTTGCCTAAGGTGATAGAACTAGAAAGTTTAAGAAACATAAGTTTAAGAAACATAATTTCACTCTGCAATGTTGCCTTAAACTTTATTATTTGATATTGAGGAAAAATATTGAATTTCTTCAACTTGAACATTTGGAGTAATTCTATGAACTACAATGTATCCGATGAACCTGAACATGTGCTTTGTTCTAAGAGACAAAATTAGTCTATAAAGTTAAAAGCTGGGATAGCGGTTATTTTTGGAGGAATAGCCAGTGGAAAGGAGCCTGCAAGAAGGCTTCTGAATACTGGGGTTCTGTTTCTTTGTCTGAGTACTAATAATATAAGTATGTTCAGTTTGTGAAAATAATTCAAGCTGTACAGTTATGTGCCATTTTACACACATGCACACACACATATATATAATATTAACGTTTTGAACAATATTTTCAAAATTTTCCAAGAACATTTGCAGGTAAGCAAAAAATTATATTTTAAATTGTACAAAATTTAATATCTATGCAGGAGAGTACTTTGAGTAACAGGGCCACTCATTTGAAAAACAAAATAACTGAAAGTTTTGTCTATCAATTATTTTATTTAGAGTTGTTCTGTTTTTCTATCAACTGCTATATATTGTTTCTATCTGGTTGAGTCTTGGCAAGTTAAAATTAAGAATCCTTTCGGCTGTACTTCTATCAAAAAATTCTAATTCAGATATTTGGGGAAATATTACTGGTATTTAACTAAAAGATCACAACAAACTATCTGTGAAGATAAAGTTTGATTTACGTAAACCAAATGACAAAACCTTTTGTGACATACCTATATTTGAAAAAATATATGGCCTGAATTAGAAAAGTGTTAGGTCAATTAGCAGTTGAATAACTTCATATCAAAGATATAAAATAATGAACCAGTGTTAACTTGGATGGTACCAGATAGCAGAGTGAGTTAAAACTCTATCCTTAATCCTATCTGATCCTATACATAGTGACCAATATCTTAAATGGAGCTTTAGAATTTCCCCTTATCAAATATTCCGATAATTCAAAGCTAGGAGAGAAATCAAACATGCTGGATTCCAGTTGAAATTAAACATTATCTTGGCTAACTGAAACTTGCTGGTGAATCCAGTGATATAAATTTAAATTGAATTAGTTACACAATTAAACAATTGGGGAGAATTCCTGTGAAAGAGATACAATTTTAGTTACAGTAAAGCTTCAGAAATGTAATATTGGCCAATTCCTATATATATGTATAACATGTCAGTTGGAATTTTTAAAAATGTGCCTTGTAGGATGTCAATAAGTGTCTAATGAAGGAAGTTATAATTGAGAATGGTGAGCTTAACAAATAATCAATTTTTTGTTACTGCAGGACTTCTAAGACTCTTTAATAAACAGCAAAAAACTATTTTCCCCATGGAGATCTTTGAGAGACGAGTGTTTCAGAGAATGTTTTCAGTGCAAAACTGACATAGATCAACTAACACATGCTTTCGCCTTTTCCTTGGGACAGATTATTAACATGTGCTATGATTGCCACACACAGCCAGTCTTCATGATTAATTGAGGATCTTTAAAAATAATAATAAGATATTCCAGGACTCAACCCCAGAATAAAGTGAGGGAAAAACTGCAAGTACAATGTCTTTAAGGTCTGAAACTAAGACTTACTACTATCAAAATAATTATCTATCTTTCATCTCTACTTCCCTCCCTCTGTTTGGCTTCACTGTTTGGCTTCATTTTATAGACAGGCTCTCTGCATATAGCAGGGAACATAGCCACCAATAGCTTTATATTCATATTTTGCCAACTTTGTAACCCCAGTGGAAAGGAGTTTCTTTATTGTGAAGTCATGTTATAAATTCGAGAAAAGGACTCTGGGTAATGTAACCAACTTATGAACCAATTGCTGTTATTTGTGAGATTTCATATATTGATAAGCTAGGATTTAATGAAAGGTTGATACCTGAAACACACAAACAAAAAACCTTGATATCATAAATGATAGATCTATAAGATACAAATAAAATGGGAAAGAATTTATTTCAAAAAATATTACTGAGGACACAAAAACAATACACAACTACTAAAAGACTCCTGTGTTATATACAATAAAGAAGAAAATATTTTAAAATATTTTGAGTTACAAATGTAATACAGATTGAATGAAGAAAGCTTGGGAAAGTACAAAAAGGCAGAAGGGAGATTTTAAGAAGTGGATTGAACCTCTTCACTCAAAGGAACCACTATCAATATTTAAGGGTGTTATTATAGTAATAAAGAATTTTAGAAGCTGACTTTGTTTTCAAAGCTAGTTTCACTAAGTATTATGTTGCTACGTCACTTTAGGTAAGTTTTTTAATCTCTGCATTTCAATTTTTCATCTGTTTTGTGGGGAGACAAATAGCATTGAAATCATCGTGATGATTAAATAAGATAATTTATATAATGTTGCTAGCAGAGTATCTGACAGATATTAGTTACTAAATACATGGTATTTTTATTTGTTGTTATTACTGTTGTTGTTTTGGGATATTTCTTATGATTGTTTTACATGAGCTATATAAGTTATTCAAAAAGAGCTAACTTTGACTAGGAAATGTATAAGGGAAGAGAATGCCAGCTACCAGTTTTGATAATGACAGAGAATCTTTACAGTTCCTAAAAAATGTTGGATTAAGTCCATCGAGAGAAATTAGCTGCAAATATATATCCCTAGATAGGCTATTTTGTTTATTTAAAACAATATAATAGTGTTTATTTTGACATTGGATGCCTTATGTCATCACCATAGAAGATATTTTAGATATTTTAGGCTTGGTCATGCATGCATTCAATTCACCTCAAAAGTAAAAGTGCATCCAGGTAATATTCTCTCTCTTTCTTTCACACACACACACACACACACACACACACACACACACAATGTACACGGATTTATTGTTTTATTCTATATCTTGGCTATTGTGAATAGTGCTTCAATACTCATGGGAGTGAAGATTTCCTTTTGATATACTGATTTTAATTTCTGTGGATATATACCCCGAAGTCAGATTGGTGCATCACATGGTAGTTCTATTTTTAGTTTTTTGAGGAGCCTCCATACTGTTTTTCATAATGGCTGTACCAATTAACCTCTCACCAACAATGTGCAAGGGTTCATTTTTCTCCACATCCTTGCTAACAATCAACTTGTCTTTTTTAGAATAGCCATTCTAACAGAAGTGAGGTGATACTGTGGTTTTGATTTGTATTGCCTTGACAATTTGTAATTCTGAGTATTTTTTTCATACACCTGTTGACAATTTGTATGTCTTCTTTTTAGAAACGTCTATCCAAGTATTTATGCCATTTAGCAATTGGGTTGTTTGTCTTCTTGCTATTAAGTTGTTTGAGGTTTTAAAATATATTTTATATATTAAACCCGTGTCAGATGTATGGTTTCTAATATTTTCTCTCATATGGTAGGCTGTTTCTTCACTTTGTTGATTGCTTCCTTTGTTGTGCAGAAGCCTCTCAGTTTAACGAATTCTCATTTGCGTATTTTTCCTTTTCTTTCTTGCGCTCTGGAGGATATATCCAGAAAACAATTCTCCAGACGCTTTTGTCCTATATTTACTTCCAGTAGTTTCAGTGTTTCAGATCTTACATTTAAAGATTTAATCCACTTTCTGATAATTTTTGAATATCATGAGAGATGAGTCTAATTTTGTTATTCTTTCGCATATGCATATTCAGTATTCCCACCACCTACTGAAGCGACTGTCCTTTCCACAATATATGTTCTTGGAACCTTTATAAAAAAATCTGTTCGCTGTAAATGCCACAGTTATTTCTGGGATCTCTATTCTGTTCCATTAGTCTAGATGCCTGTTTTTATGCCAGTATCATACTGTTTTGCTTGCTATAGGTTTGTAGAATATTTTGATGTCAGATTGTGTAATGTCTCCAGTTTTCTTCTTTTTGCTCAGGATTGATTTGGCTATTTAGGGTCTTTTGTAGCTCCATATGAATTTTACGATTATATTTTTTCTCTCTCTGGAAAATGTCATTGGTATTTTGATAGCGATTGCATTGAATATGTAGATTATTTTAAGTGGTTTAGATATTTTGACAGTAATAATTGTTCCAGTCCATGAACACTGCATATCTTTCCATTTATTTGTGTCTTCTTTAATGTATTTCATCAATATCTTATAGTTTCTATTGTAGAAATATTTCACCTCATTGGTTAAATTTATTTGATTATTTTATTTGTCATGGCTTTTGTAAATGGAATTGTTTTCTTGATTTCCTTTTCAGATAGTTCACTCTTAGTGTATAGACACACTACTAATTTTTGCATGATTATTGTATATTGTGCCATTTTAATGAATTTGTTTATTAGATCTAGCAGGTTTTTGTTGGAGTCTTGGGGTTTTCTATATTTAAGATCATGTCACCTTTGAAAAGGGACAACTTACCTTCTATCTTTCCAATATGGATGCTTTTTATTTCTTTCTCTTGCCTAATTACTCTGGCTAGGACATCCAGTATTACGTTGAACTAGCAAGAGTGGGAATTCTTATCTTGTTGCAGATCTCAGAGGAAATGCTTTCACCACTTTCCCATTCAGTGTGATATTAGCTGGAACTTGTCATATATGGCCTTTATGGTGTTGAGGTTCATCCCTTGCATGCCTGATTTGTTGGGAGTTTTCATTATGAAGGAATGTTGAATTCTGTCAAATGCTTTTCCTTCATCTATTAAAAGAATTACATAAACTTTGTCTTTCACTCTATTCATGCAACTTGTCACTTTTACTGTTTTGTTTATGTTAATCCATCCTTGCATCCTTGGGATGAATACCACTTGAGCAAGTTGAATTATTTTTTTTAGTGTGCTATTGAATTCTCTTTGCTAATATTTTTTTGAGAAATTTTACATACGTGTTCATCAGGAACATTGGCATGGAGTTTTCCTTTTTATTGCTGTTGTGTCTATATCTGGGATTGATATCTGGGTAATTCTGGCCTTATAAATTGAGTTTGGAAATATTATTTCCTCTTTAATTTTTTACGAGTTTGAGAAGGAGCGGTATTAGTTTTTTTTTAATGTTTAGTAGAATTCAGCAGTGAAGCCATGAGGTCCTGTGCTTTTCTTTGATACGAAAGTTTTTATTACGAATTGTATCTCCTTACACATTATTGGTCTGTTCGGATTTCTATTTCTTCATAATTCAGTCTTGGTAGGATTTATGTGTCCAGGAATTTATGTGTTTCTTCTAGGTTATCCAATTTGTTGTTGTATAACTTTCCATAATTTTCTTTAATTATCCTTTTTTATTTCTGTTATATCAGTTGTAATGTCTTTTTAATTGTTGTTTTATTTATTTCAGCCTTCTCTCTTTTTTCTTAGTCTAGCTAAAGATTTGTTGATTTTATTCATCTTTTCCGAAAAAACGCATAATTTCTTTCATATTTTCTATTATTTTAGTCTCTTTTTTATTTATTTCTGCTCTGCTCTTTATCATTTTTTTCTAATAATTTTGAGCATAGTTTGTTCTTTTTTTTGTAGTTTCTTGAGGTGCAAGATGAGATTTTTATTTGAACTCTTTCATCTTTTCTTTTTTTCGATATAGGCATTTATTGCTATGAAATTCCCTCTTAGAACTTCTGTTGCTGTATAACATAAGTTTTTGTATACGATGCTTCCATTTTTATTTGTCTCAAGAAAATTTTTCCATTTCCATTTTCATTTCTTCATAGACCTATTGGTTGTCCAGAAGTATATTTTTAAATTTTCACATATGTATGAAATTTCCAAAGTTCCTCCTGTTACTGAGTTTTGTTTTGCTTTGTTTTTACCATTGTGGTTAAAGTAAATACCTGATACGTTTTCAATCTTCTTAAATTTGCTAAAATCCGTTTTGTAGCCTAACATATGTTTGAGCTTGGAGAATGTTCCATGTGCAGTTGAGAAGAATGTACATTCTCATATTGTCAGATGGAATGTTCTGTGTATGTCTATACATCCATTTGGTCCAGAGTGCAGATTAATTATGATATTTCCTTCTTGATTTTCTGTCTGGATGATATATCCATTGCTGGAAGTAGAGTGTTGAATTTCAATACTATTATTGTGTTGAAGTTTATATCTCCCTTTACAACTATCAATATTTGCTTTATATATTTATGTGCTCCCATGTTATGTAAATGTATTATTATATAAAATATCTTCCTCAATCTCTTCATTTTTAGTCTATGTGTGTCCTTACAGGGGAAAGGAGTTTCTTGAAGACATCATATAACTAGATCTTATAATTTCAGCCATTCAGCCACTCTATAACTTTTGACTAAAGGATTTGATCAATTTACATACAAGGTAATTATCAATGCATAAAGACTTGCTACTGGCATTTTGTTCTTTTTAGTTGCTTTGTAAGTCTACTATTACTCTCTTATTATCTTCCATTGTGGTTAATTGATTTTTCTGTAATAGCATGCTTTGATTCCTTGCTTTTAATATTTTTGTATTATAGATGTTTCCTTGTGGTTACACTGAGGTTTCAAGAATACTGTATCATTATAACAGGGTATTTTAAGCTGATAAAAACTTAATTGGTCACTCACATAAAAATAAAACTCCACAGATTACTTCATTTTCTCCTCCACATTTAAAATTTTTGATGCCATAAATTATATCTTCTTATATTGCATATCTCTTAACACATTTTTAAGTTATTATAATTTTTAAAACTTTAATATTTTGACCTTCACACCAAAGATACAAGCGATTTACACATCATCATTATAGTACAAAAGTATTCTAAATGTGACAAAGTGCTTACTATTACCAGTGACTTTCATGCATTCAGGTCTCTTTATGTTACTCATTAGCATAATTTTCATTCATCTAGAAGAACTCCCTTTAGAATTTCTTGTACAACAGTTCTAGTGATGACTTCCTCAGTTTTGGTATGTCTGGATAATTTTATTTGTTTATGTACTTTTAACCTTTATTTCATGTTTGGGGGTACATGCGACAGTTTGTTACATAGGTAAACACGTGTCATGGGGGTTTGTTGTACATATTATTTCATCACCCAGGTATTAAGCCCAGTACTCAAAAGTTATCTTTTCTGTTCCCCTCCCTCCTCCTAACCTTCCCTCTCAAGTAGACTCCAGTGTCTGTTGTCTCCTTCTTTGTGTTAGTAAGTTCTTATCATTTAGCTCCCCCTTATAAGTGAGAACATGTGGTATATGGTTTTCAGTTCCTGTATTTGTTTGCTAAGGATAGTGGCATCCAGCACCATCTATGTTCCTGCAAAAGACATGATCTCATTCTTTTTTATGTCTGCATAGTATTCCATGGTGCACCTAGAATACTATGTGTCTCATTTCCTTTATCCAGTCTGTCACTGATGGGCATTTGGGTTGACTCCATGTCTTTGCTATTGTGAACAGTGCTGCAATGAACATTTGCGTGCATGAGTCTTTACGGTAGAATGATTTATACTCGTCTGGGTATATAACAAGCAATGGGATTGCTAGGTCGAATGGAATTTCTGTCTTTAGGTCTTTGGGAAATCACCACACTGTCTTCCACAATGGTTGAATGGACTTACGCACCCACCAGCAGTGTATAGGTGTTTCCTTTCCTCCACAACTTTGCCAGCATCTGTTATTTTTTGACGTTTTAATAATAGCCATCCTGACTTGTGTAAGATGGTATCTTACTGTGTTTTAATTTGCATTTCTCTAATCAATGATATTGAGTTTTTTTATATGCTTGTTGGCCACATGCATGTCTTCTTTTGAGAAGTGTCTGTCCATGTCCTTTGCCCACTTTTTAATGGGGTTGTTTGTTTTTCTCTTGTAAACTTGTTTAAGTTTTTTATAGATGCTGAATATTAGACCTTTGTTAGGTACATAGTTTGCAAAATTTTTTTCCTATTCCATAGGTTGTCTTTTACCCTATTGATAGTTTCTTTTGCTGTGCAGAAGCTGTTAACTTTAAGTAGATCCCACTTGTCGATTTTTGCTTTTGTTGCAATTGCTTTTGATGTTTTTATCACTAAATTTTTGCCCTTTCCTATCTCCAAGATGGTATTCACTAGGTTGTCTTCTAGGGTTTTTTATAGTTTTGGGTTTTACATTTAAGTCTTTAATTCACCTTGAGTTGATTTTTTATTATAGTGTTACAAGGATGCCCTCTCTCACCACTTCTATTCTACATAATATTGGAAGTTCTAGGCAGAGCAATCAAGCAAGAGAAAGAAATAAAGCACATCCAAATAGGAAGAGAGAAATTCAAACCATCTCTGTTTTCTGAAGACATGATTTTATATCCAGAAAACTCCATAGTCTCAGCCCCAAAGCTCAGTCCAGCTGATAAACAATGTCAGCAAATTTGCAGGATACAAAATCAATGTAAAAAATCATTCTTATACACCAACAGCATTCTTATACACCAACAGCAAAACAGAAAGCCAAATCAGAAAGGCAATCTGATTCAAAATTGCCACACAAAAAATAAAATAAAACAAAATACAATAAAATAAAATACCTAGGAATAAAGCTAACCTGGGAGGTAAAAGATCTCTAAAATGAGAATTATTAAACACTCCTCAAAGAAATCAGGGAAGACACAAACAAATGAAAAAAAAAAACTCCCATGCTCATGGATAGTAAGAATCAATATCATTAACATGGCTATACTGCCCAAAGCACTTTACAGATTCAATGCTATTCCTATCAAACTACCAGTTACATTCTCCACAGAATGAGAATAAACTATCTTAAAATTCTTATGAAACCAAAAAAGAGCCTGAATAGCCAAGGCAATCCTAAGCAAAAAGGACAAAGCTGGAAGCATCATGCTGCTTGACTTCAAACTATGCTACGGGAATACAGTAACCAAAACAGCATGGTACTTGTACAAAAGAAGTCATGTAGATCAGTGAAACAGAATACAGAGCCCAGAAATAAGACTACATATCTACGACCATCTGATCTTTGACAAAACTGACATAAACAAGCTATGGGGAAAAAAAATTGTATTTAAGAATAAGAATTGTGCTGGGATAACTGGCTAGCCATATGCAGGAAATTGAAGCTGGAACCCTTCCTTACACCATATACAAAAATGTGCAGGTTTGTTATATAAGTAAACTTGTGTTACAAGGGTTTGTTTAACAGATTATTTCATCATCCAGGTACGAAGCCTAATACCTAATAGTTACTTTCTCTGATCCTCTTTTGCCTCCCACCCTCAACCCTCAGGTAGACCCCAGTGTCTATTGTTCCCCTCTTTGTGTCCATTTGTTCCCATCATTTAGCTCCCACTTATAAAAGTGAACACGCAGTATTTGGTTTTCTGTTCTTGTGTTAGTTTCCTAAGGATAATGGCTTCCAGCTTCATCCATGTTCCTGCAAAGGACATGATCTCATTCTTTTATACAACTCATTCCTTTATATAGTATTCCATGGTGTATATGTACTATATTTTCTTTATCCAGTTTACCATTTATGGGCATTTTGGTTGATTCCATGTCTCTGCTATTGTGAACAGTGGTGCAATGAACATATGTGTAAAGAAAAATTCTTTATCTCTCCTCCATTTTGGAGGAATGACTTCTTTGCTGTCTATGGTATTTTTAGTTGGTAGTTTTTTTAATTTCTTCCTTTAGGATTCTAAATATATCACCTCACTTCTTCCTGGTCTGTAAGGTTTCTGCTGAGGAGTCTGCAGCTGAGCATATTAAAACTCCCTTATGTTATTTGCTTATTTTCCCTTAACACAATCAGGATCTCCTCTTTGTCTGGGATCTTTCAGAGTTTGTAATACTTCTTAGAGTAGCCTTATTTGGACTGAATCTGACTGTTGACCTCTGACCTTGCTGTTTCTGGATATTTATGCCTTTCTCCAGGTTTGGATAATTTTCTGCTCATATTTTTAAAATAAACTTTCTACCCCTTTGTTTTTTTGCTATTCCTTCTTGAACTCCAATAACTTGAACATTTCTTCTTTTGATGTGAATGTATCCATTCCATAGGCTTTCTTTATTCCTTTTCATTATTTTCTCTCCTTTGACTGTATATTTTCAAATAATCTGTCTTTGAGTTCACAGATTCTTTCACATGACCAATTCTGCTGTTGATCCTCTCTATTGCACTTTTTATTTTGTTCATTCTATTTTCTAGCTGTAGGCTTCTGTTTGATTTTTTAAGTAATTTTAATCTTTATGTTAAGTTTCCCATTCTCTTGACTTATTGTTATCCTCATTTTGTTATATTGTCTCTTTGTAGTTACTAGAAGTTTTCTGAGCTTCCTCAAAACTGTTATTTTGAATTCATTGCCTGGCATTCCATACATCTCCATATTTTTGGGTTGGTCATTGGCACTGTTTTTATTTTGTTCATTGTATGATGCCATCTTTCCCTGATTGTTTTTGATCCTTATGGTTTTGTATCAGTTTCTACTCAGTAAAAAAGTAAGTGCTTATTTCAGTCTTCATAGTCTGGCTTCATCTTGGAATGCCCTTCAACTGTAAGCCTGTCTAGAGAGTCTGGGCAAGTCATCTTGCATGGTTTCTAATTCCACGATTACTGCAGCTGCTGCAGTGCTAGAGGATGCTCTAAGTCCAAGACTGCCACGGACAGCTAATTGCTAAGTTGAAATTATTTGCCTGCCCATGCTGGCAAAGCACTCAGGCATATCTAAACCTCAGAGCCACTGACACTAGCACAACAGTGGGGCCTGATTGACACCAACAGCTGCTGAAGCTTGCCTATATCCAGAACACTAGGCCACTATAGTTAGCTGGCAGTGATATTGACCAGATATTAAATCCATCTCTCAGGGGCTGCAGGTTTCTGCCTGGTATTGTGGCAGGTCAGGAGGCTCAACCCTTCGATGCTGGCCAGGATGGATGGACCACAAGGGTCTGCCTGGCACTGGGTTTAACTGTCGTGAGCCTAGTGTTAGGGACCAAGGATAAGTCCTGTGCTTACTTCCCTCTTTTCCCTCTTTTTCCCCTAAGTAGATGATATCTCTTCATGCCATGCTGCCTGGGATTGCGGAAGGTTTGATGCAGGTAATAGAAAACTGTACATTGTAAGCTCTTTAATGCATCTTTACTTATTATTATCTTATATCAGGTACTGTAATCTGTCACCTGGTTTTCTTAGCTCTTTTGAAGGTATTTTTAAATGTTTATACTTGTTCAAATTGATGTTTCTATCAAGGAGAGGACAATCCCTACAGAGTTTTATTTTACCATCTTTCTCAACTTTCTTAGCTCCCTATGTGCATTTTTAAAAGGACAGCAAAGATTCAAAAAACAATTACATTGCAGCAAACTATTTTGACTAGGCTTCTCCAGACAGACAACTAAGGGATGTGAACCTACTTCTCTGATGTTACCTGTGCTTGAGAAGAAACTTTTATAAGCAATGTGTCAAGTCTTGGTTTTAGAGACAATGTTAACACATAATGAATATAGTACTGAGAAAAATCAATAGAAGATATGAACCTAATATCTGGCAAAATAACAATCAACTTATAAGGATAATAGTAAATGTCTATTTATTATGAAAGTTACTTGATTTAGCCTATTAAAATGATGTGTCTGTCTTATAATTTAAATGAGTTAATTAATAAAAATAAGATATTAGTACTTTGATCATGTGAGTTTCTATGAAAAACAATAGTTTCGTTAAACTATTATATTTGTCATCAAAGACTGCAAACTAAAATTATTTTCCTATACATGCTTTACAAAATACAGAGAAACACATGAAAAACCCCAAATACCCATTTATCACAAATGGCATAATCTATATATGCCAAGTATGCTTGGATTTAAGTGATTATTCCTGAGATACGATTTTTAAAACACTTTCTGATAGTTTGATCCCATTACATGATGTCATATGATTTCCAATTTCCTTTAAACGTAAAAAGTCTAATAAGAGTAATTACAATTGTCTTTCAGATAATTAAACTTTACTTAAAGGGCACTTTTCATGTTATTTATATTAAAATGCCCATTTAATTACACAACAAGGAATAATGTGATATAACTTTTTCAGTTAATCATCTAAACTTTAACCTGGTTTGATTACTTATTACTGCAGTGATATGAGTATATGTGTGAGACTGTTTAAGGAAAGATAGTGAATGCATTTTTATTTTTGTAAATAAAAAATCTTTTAATTCTTTCTGTTTACATTATATTGTATTTTTCCATTGTCATATTTTTTCCAATGAGAGATAGTCCTAGGTAGGTTTAGTGAACCACATATTCTTCAGTATTATCAGAAACGTCCATAAAAACACCAGAATTAAAAAGAAAATTATTTGATTATCTTTACTTGCCTTTAAGAGAGGTGCACTTGTTTTGTTTCACCTGTATATAAAAGATTAATATGGCATAGTTGTTTCAAAAAATTGGTTAAAGTGAAATATTTATTTTACTTTTTTGATCATTCCTTTAAGAATTCCCCATTGTAAGTCAAAATATTTAAATTTAAGGATTGATAAAAAAGTAAATAGAATTTAGATATCAAAAATTCTTAAGGTACTGTTTTATTCAGTATATTTTAAATGTAAGAATCAATGTTTTAGCTACTGGAAATGACTGTGATTAAAATATATTATACAAAGTCTTCTTAATTATTAATTGAAGCATATTATTTTAATCATTCCCTTTGAATTACTTTCATGAACAAAATAATTTTTAAAATTTGAGTTTATTAAATATTAAAAGACAAATTATATACTCTAAAGCAAATCTGAAACTTTTACCATTACTTCAGAAATGCTCATTCAATTAACTAATTGTATTATTTTGGAAGGGTATTCAAGTCTAGAATATTAGATCATCTTATTCCGCAAAACAGCATACATTGAAATAGGGAAAGAGTTTCTAATGCCTAGAGAATTCAAATATACAGTAAAATTGACTAAATCAGTATGTCAGACAGCATAATGTGAAATTGCAACCATAACCCCACCCCCTCTAAAGAATCATTTTAAAAACTTAAGTATGTATTTTTCTAGTATTTTGTTCATTTATAAACATATATATATATATATATGTAGTTTATGCAGGTGAAAATATATCACAATAGCTCTTTTTCAATGTACTCATTTTATTTTATATATTTACTTGTTTCCTTAGTAATTAATTTGTATATGTTATGAAGGCACTTATGCAAAATCTACTAAGTAAATCTGGAAGTTCTAAAATGTCAAGATGACTACTTACAGCAGCTTTTTATAAATTCTTCCATAAATATATGAATGTATATATATATATTCTTATAAAATATATTTAGTTCATTGTGAACATGTTTTCATATCAGTGTATATTTGCATTATTCCCAAGTGTGTAGTTGCATTATTCTTTTAGATTTTTAGTGTCCTGTATACTATATTGCATTTATTTAACTCCCTATTTAGAAATATTTAGATTCCTATCAATGTTTAACAAAGCTGGATTTAATATCTGGATAAATAAGGATATAAAAATATTAATTTCAGTGTTATTATGTGTGTATGTTTGCAACCCTTGCACAGCTATATGAGTGCCAAGGAGAGTGAATTAAATACTACTACTTCTGTAAGCCAAAACCTTGGCTATTTGCCGTGTATCAATGCTCCTTTTTTATGTGAACAAATGGACCTAGTACACGGACAGCAGATCTTACTGATATGGTTTGGCTGTGTCCCCACTCAAATCTCACCTTGAATTGTAACTCCCACAATTCCCATGTGTCACAGGAGAAACTCAGTGGGAGGGTCATTTAATTATGGGGCGGGTCTTTCCTGCACTGTTCTTGTGATAGCAAACGGGTCTCACAAGATCTGATGGTTTTAAAAATGGAAGTTTCCCTGCACAAGTATCTCTTTGCCTGCTACCATCCATGTAAGATGTGACTTGCTCCTCCTGGCCTTTCTCCATGATTGTGAGGCCTCCCCAGCCATGTGGAACTGAAAGTCCAATAAACTCTTTCTTTTGTAAATTGCCCAGTCTCAGGTATGCTTTTATCAGCAGCCTAAAAAAGACTAATACAGTAAACTGGTAGCAGTAGATTGGGGTGCTGCTGAAAAGATACCTGAAAATGTGGAAGTGACTTTGGAACTGGGAAGTAGGCAGAGGTTGGAACAGTGTGGAGGACTCAGAAGAAGACAGGAAAATGTGGAAAAGTTTGAAACTTCCTAGAGACATGTTGAATGGATTTGCCCAAAATACGAATAGTGATATGGACAATAAAGTCCAGGCTCAGGTAGTCTCAGATAGAAATAAGGAACTTGTTGGGAACTGGAGCAAAGGTGACTCTTGTTGTGTTTTAGCAAAGAGACTCGCAGCATTTTGCCCCTGCCCTAGAGATTTGTGAAACTCTGAACTTGAGAGAGATGATTTAGGGTGTCTGACAGAAGAAATTTCTAAGCAGCAAAGCATTCGAGGTGTGACTTGGGTGCTGTTAAAAGCATTCAGTTATATAAGGGAAGCAGAGCATAAAAGTTCAGAAAATTTGCAGCCTGACAATGCAATAGAAAAGAAAATCCCATTTTCTGAGGAGAAGTTCAAGCCAGCTGCAGAAATTTGCATAAGTAATGAGGAGCAGAATGTTAATCCCCAAGACAATGGAGAAAATGTCTCCAGGGCATGTCTGAGGTCTTCACAGCAGCCCCTCACATCACAGGCCTGGAGGCCTAGGTGGGGAAAAATAGTTTCATGGGCTGGGCCCAGGGTGCCCATGCTGTGTGCAGCCTAGAGACTTTATGCCCTGTGTCCTAGCTGCTCCAGCCATGACTGAAAGGGGCCAATGTAGAGCTGGGGCCTTTGCTTCACAGGGTTAAACCTCAAGCCTTGGCAGCTTCCAGGTGGTGTTGAGCTTGTGAGTGCACAGAAGTCAAGAATTGAGGTTTGGCAACCTCTGCCAAGATTTCAGAGGATATATGGAAACACTTGGATGTCTAAGCAGAAGTGTGCTTCAGGGGCAGGGCCCTCATGGAGAACCTCTGCTAGTACAGTGTAGAAGGGAAATGTGGGGTCAAAACCCCCATACAGAGTCTCCACTGGGCCACCATCTAGGTATCTATCATGTGTGTGTGTGTGTGTGTGTGTGTGTGTGTGTGCGTATAATGTATATATATGAATATTACATACAGAGAGAGAGAGAGAGAGAGAGAGAGAGAGAAATTTTAAAGAATTGGCCCACAATTGAGAGGGCTGGCAAGTCAAATCTGTACAGGCATCTGGCAGGCTGAACATTCAGGGAACAGTTCATGGTGCAGTATTGAGTCCAAAATCCACAGGGCAGGCCATCAGCCTTGAAACTCAAGCTGGGTTACTATGTTGGAAGCTTGAGGCTGAGTTTATGGAGTATACTGATTTAAATGTAATCTCTTCTAAAAAAATCCTTCTATAATAAAATCTAAACTGGTGTTTGACTAAATAACTGGGCATTAATAATTGCCTAGTTAAGTTGACATATCAAATTAGCAATAACAAATACTAATGTATTAAATAAAACAGTAAAATAAGTGGTATCAAAATATTGTGGTCTGGCACAGAAATAGATGAAAAGAACAGAGAGAATTGTGCAGGCATTAACTATTTGCTTAAATATCATCTCACACTTAAACCAAAATTTTTCACAAGTGATAAAATATTTAAATATGGATGATAAAAAGATACGGAAATATGGCTGGATATGTTCATATATTTATAATCTTGGATTGTAGAAAGCTTTTAAGCAGAACATAAATATTACAGATCAAAAAGACTGATACATTTGACAACGTAAAAAATAATCTGTCTGTTCAACACCGTACAATTTTTGAGTAATAAATGAGATCCTGAGAACAATACTTAAAATAAATAACAGGAAAATGCTTTACGTAAAATTAACAAAAAGCACTCCAATAAGGGTAAACAAGAGATACAGATTTAAAATACACAAAAAGGAACATAAACTAGTAGTATTAAACATATGACCTCATTAATAATAAAATAAATAATAGTACAGACAATTAAATATAATTTCCCTAAAATAGCACTTAAAATAAGAAATATTGAAAAGACACAGTGATATCAATAATGAAAAATTAACTGATTGTTATACTGTAAACAGGAATGTAAATTGTCAAAATAAATCTAGAATGGAGTATGGCAATCATATATCAAAATGTGAAATGTTCATA
Source organism: Homo sapiens (assembly GCF_000001405.40). Taxonomy (NCBI): domain Eukaryota; kingdom Metazoa; phylum Chordata; class Mammalia; order Primates; family Hominidae; genus Homo; species Homo sapiens. The sequence continues at coordinate 126,454,341 of NC_000023.11, forward strand.
TTATTAAATTTTAGCCATTGAAGGATAAGGAAATATGCATACATAAGGCTATAGAATTTTTTTAAAAAAAGATTAAATATCAATAAAAATATCTGTATGAGGACTGTTGGTAAAGAAAATTATGTTATATGCATATATCATGCAAATCATAGACTCCCTCAAAAATGTTAAAGAAAACATACTGAAGATATGTATGGGCTTACAAAAATATTAAGGTCATATTGTTACATGTTAAAAATAGATTAGAAAAAGAAACAGCATGCTTACAAACCCATTCATTTGATGTGTGTGTGTGTGTGTGTGTGTGTGTGTGTGTGTGTGATGAAATGTAAGAGTTTATGCACCATTATAACTAGATATTAATAAGCATGTTTAATGTTTATTATATCTGGGTGTTGAAAGATAAGTTGATTGTTATTCTCTTTCTATAATTTTGTATTTGTTGTACAATAAACATTTAAATACTTATAGGAAGATTTCAATCATGAGAATAATATTACTAGTACAACTCTGTGGCAAAATTATACATAAAATGAGTAATTTTCTTTGAAAAATTCATATATATTAGATCAGTAACCAGGGTGAATAAGTCAATAATTATAAAAAGATGCAAACCTCTAATAAAAGAGCTGAGTCCAACAATTTTGTGATCTAAATATCTTCAAAGAACAGATAAACTCACAGTTATTCAAATACTGAGGAGGGATGAATCAAAACAGCAGAATAGAAAGCTCTACATATTGTCTCCCCCAACAAGGATATCAATTTAACAACTATCTACATTAAAATAAAAACACTTTCATAAGAACCAAAACTCAGGTGATCACTCATAATATCTGGCTTTATTTCTGTATCCCTGAAAGAGGCACTGAAGACATTCTTGAATCTCTGAAGCCAGCCCTCTCCCAACCCAGCACTGGCTGCATGGTGCTGAGACCATCTCTGTTTGCTAGGAGGAGAGAACATCAGTTGTGAGGCACTGAGCACAGTGCTGTCCTGCTAGAACAGAAAGGAAAACCAAACTAAACACAGCTGATGCCCACCCATGGAGGGAGCATTTAAAACAAACCTAACCAGAGGGATATAAATCACTGATCCCCACACTCAGAACTGGAGTGCCTGAAAACCTGGCTGCTGAGGGCTAAATTGCTCTGGGTCTCTCGGAGAACTTGAAAGGCAGTCTAGGCTATAAGGACTGCAACTCTTAGTGAGTCCTGGTGCTGGACTGGGCCCAGAGACAGTGGATTCGGAGCAGGGGGTGGGGCACATGACCTACTGAAACATCAAATGGGTTGGGTAAGGGGCGTGGGCATCACACCTCCCCTAACCCCAAGCTGTATAGCTCATAGCTCCAAAAAAGGCATTTTCCTTCTGCTTGAAGAGAGGAGAGGAAAGAGTCTTGCATCTTGGATACCTACTCAGCCACAGCAGGATAGAGCATGCCTCAGATTCATGAGGCCCCTGTTCCAGGTCCTATCTCCCAGAGGACATTTCTAGACACACCCTGGGCCAGAAAGGAACCTACTGCCTTGAACGAAGGACCCAGTCCTGACCGCAGTCATCGTCTGTAAACTGAAGTGCCCTTGGACCCTGAAAAATCAGCAGTGATATGAGGTACTATGTCAAAGAACTTGGGTCAGCCTCTGAGACTTGCCAGCTTCAGGTGAGATACAGTACACTACCAGCTATGCTGAATACAAGGCAAAAATCTTTCTGCTTCAGAAAAGCAGAAGGAATAGTAAATGGGACTTTGTCTTGCACCTTACATACCAGCACAGCCACATATGGGTCGAGCATCATGTAGGCTCTTGGGGTCCCTAATTCTAGGACTTTACTCTTGGATGTCATTTCTGGACTTGCTCTGGGCCAGAAGACAACCCACTACCCTGAAGGGTGAGTCCCAAGCCTTTACCACAAGCTGACATAATAGCCTTGAGCCTTGAATGAAAATCTATGGTAGTCTAGCAGTACTCCTCATGGCCTCTGGTGGTAGTGGCTATGAGGTGAGCCTCCTCTGCATTTGGAAAGAGGAGGGAAGAGTGGGAAGGACTCTGTCTTGTGGTTTGAGTGCCAGCTCAACTGCAGTACAATAGAACACCAGGTAGACTTCTAAGGTTTTTCACTCTATTCCCTGACTCCCAGAATGACCTGGGGACATTCGCCATCTGAAAGGGAAAAACATAGGCCAGGCTGGCTTTGCCAATTGCTGAGTTTGGAGACCCAGGTCCTTGAACAAACGTTGGCAGTAGCCAGGTAGTGGTTACAGCAGACCTTGGGTGAGACTCAGTGCTATGCTGGCCTCAGGTCTAACTGGGCACAATCATAGTGGTGCTGGCCACAGGGATACTTCTGTCACTCCACCCCCAGTTTCAGGTGACTGAGAAACTGAGAGAGACACTTCCCTTCTTTGGGAGAAAGTAAGAGAAGAGGGAAGGAGCACCAGGGACTAATCCTGGAGAAAAAGAGACAAGTTACCTTTCAGAGATAGAATTCAACATAGTTGTTTTTAGTAAACTCAAAGAAATTCATGTTAGCACAGAGAAGGTATTCAGAATTATTTTGGATAAATTTGACAAAGAAATTGAAATAATTAAAAATAGTCAACCAGAAATTCCAGAGTGAGAAATGTAACTGGCATACTGAAGAACAAATCAGAGGCCTTTAAACAGAAGAATTGATCAAGAAGGTGAAAGAATTAGTGAGATTGAAAACAATGTTGTTTGAAAATATACAATCAGAAGCAACAAAACAAAAAAGAAGAAAGAAACAATGAAGCACACCTACAGGATCTAGAAAATAGCCTCAAAAGTGCAAACAAAGCGTTAGTGCTCTTATAGAGGAGGTAGAGAGAGAGATAGAAAGAATATTCAAAAAGACAATAACAGGGAAGTTTCCAAACCTAGAGGAAGATATAAATAATCAAGTTTAAGAAGGATATAGATCACCAAGCAGATTTAACTCAAAGACTACCTCAAGGCATTTAATAATCAAACTCCCAAAAACCAAGGATAAAAAATGATGCTAAAAGCATCAAGCAAAAGTAACAAATAACATACAATAGAACTTTAGGCTGGGTGCAGCAGCTCACACCTGTAATCCCAGCTCTTTGGGAGGCTGAGGTGGGTGGATCATGGGGTCAAGAGATCAAGACCATCCTGGCCAACATGGTGAAATCCCTTCTCTACTAAAAAATACAAAAATTAGCTGGGTGTGGTGGCATACACCTGTAGTCCCAGCTCCTCAGGAGGCTGAGGCAGGAGAATCGCTTGAACCCGGGAGGAGGAGGTTGCAGTGAGCCAAGATCGCAGCACTGCACTCCAGCCTGGCTGAGACAGCAAGACGCCATCAAAAAAACAAACAAACAAACAAAAAAAAACAAAAAACAAAAAACAAACACCTCTAATATGACTGGCGGCCGAGTTTTTAGTGGAAACCTTACAGGCCAGGAGAGAGTGGCATGACATATTTAAAGTGCTGAAGGAAAAAATATATCCACCTTAGAATAGTATAACCAGTGAAAATATTATTCAATCATGAAAGAGGAATAAACACTTTCACAAACAAAGAAAACATGAGGTATTTCATCAACACCAGACCTGTCCTACCAGAAATGCTAAAGGGATTTTCTTTCAATCAGAAGGAAATGAGTGTTAATGAGCACTAATTACCTAAAGATACAAAACTCACTGATTACAGTAAGTACACAGAATATTATAACAGTATTATTGTGGTGTGGTAACTACTCTTATCCTAAGTAGAATAACTAAATGATGAACCAATCAAAAATAATAACTAAAACAAGTTTTCAAGATATAGGCAATACAATAAGATATAAATAGAAACAACAAAAACATAAAAAGCAGAGGGACGAAGTTAAGGCATTTGCAAACCTCATGGTAGCCTGAAACCAATAAACATACAATGCATACGCAAAAAATAGAAAGCAAGAAATTAAATAATATCACCAGAAAAAAAAAACCTTCACTGAAGGAAGACAGACAGGAAAGAAAGAAGACTAGAAAACAGCACAATGGCAGGTGTGAGTCCTGACCTATGAATAATTACATTGGATGTAAATAGCCTAAACTCTTCAATCAAAAGACAGAGTGGCTGAATGAATGAGAAAACAAGATCCCCATTGACATGTTGCCAAAAAGAAACACACTTCATGTATAAAGACACACATAGACTAAAACTAAAAGGATAGAAAAATATATTCCATGCCAATGGAAACCGTAAAACAACAGGAGTAGCTACACTTATATCAGCTAAAATAGATTTCAAGACAGAAATTGTAAGAGACAAACAATGTCACTATATAGTGATAAATGGGACAATTCAGCAAGAAGATATAACAATTATAAATATATACACACCCAACACTGGAACAGTCAAATATATATAGCAAATATTACTGGAGGTAAAGAGAGAGGCCACAATACAATAATAGTGGGAGACTTCAATACCCCCACTTTAAGAAGTGGATAGATCTTACAGACAGAAAATCAAAAAAGTTATTGGACTTAATCTGCACTACAGGCCAAATGCATATAATAGATGTTTACAGAATATTTCACCCAATGGCTGCAGAATACACATTCCTTTCCTTGGCACCTGGATTATTCTCAAGGATAGACCATATGTTAGGTCACAAAACAAGTCTTAAAATGTTCAAAAAAATTGAAATAATATCAAGCAGCTTCTCTGAACACAATGGAATAAAACCAAAAATTAATAATGAGGAATTTTGAAAGTTATACTAATACATGAAAATTAAAGACTATGTTTCTTAATGATCATCAGGTCAATGAAGAAATTCAGAATGAAATTTAAAAATTTATGGAGACAAATAATAATGCAAATACAACATACCAAAACCTATGGGATATAGCAAAAGCAGTATTAAGAGGAAAATTTATAGCTATAAGTGCCTACATTGAAAAAGAGAAAAAACTTCAAATAAACAACCTAATAATGCATCTTAAAAAAATGATAGAAGAGCATACCAAATCCAAAATTATTAGAAGAAAATAAATAATAAAATCAAAGGAGAAATAAGTGAAATTGAAATGAAAAAACAATACAAAGGATCAATGAAATAAAAAAGTTAGTTTTTTGAAAAGGCAACCAAAATTAACAAAATTTTGGCCAGACTAAGAACAAAATAGAGACGATGCAAATAAAAAAATCAGAGTTGGAAAAGGAGACATTACAACTGAGACTGCAAAAATTCAAGGGATCACAAACACAGGCAAGCAAAAGCAAAATGGTCAAATGGGATCACACAAAGTTAAAAACCTTATGCGCAGCAAAGGAAAGAACCAAAAAAGAGAAGCAACATTCCACAGACTGGGAGAAAATCACTGCAAACTACACGTCTGACCCCAGATTAATAACCACAATATATAAGGAGCTCAAACAACCCTATAGGAAAAATTCTGATCCAATCAAAAGATGGGCAAAATATTTGAATTGGTATTTCTCAAAAGAAAACATACAAATGGCACAGATATATGAAAAGGTGCTTAACATAATTATCAGAGAAATGCTAATCAACACTATAATGAGATATTACCACATCCCAGTTAAAATGGCTTACCTGCAAGGTGGAGACAAGATGGCCGAATAGGAACAGCTCCGGTCTACAGCTCCCAGCGTGAGCCACGCAGAAGACAGGTGATTTCTGCATTTCCATCTGAGGTACCGGGTTCATCTCACTAGGGAGTGCCAGAAAGTGCGTGCAGGACAGTGGGTGCAGCACACCGTGCGCGAGCCGAAGCAGGGTGAGGCATTGCCTCCCTCGGTAAGCGCAAGGGGTCAGGGAGTTCCCTTTCCTAGTCAAAGAAAGGGGTGACAGACAGCACCTGGAAAATCGGGTCTCTCCCACCCTAACACTGCGCTTTTCCGATAGGCTTGAAAAACGGCGCACCGGGAGAATATATCCCGCACCTGGCTCGGAAGGTCCTAGGCCCACGGAGTCTCGCTGATTGCTAGCACAACAGTCTGAGATCAAACAGCAAGGCGGCAGCCAGGCTGGGGGAGGGGCGCCTGCCATTGCCCAGGCTTGATTAGGTAAACAAAGCAGCCGGGAAGCTCGAACTGGGTGGAGCCCACCACAGCTCAAGGAGGCCTACCTGCCTCTGTAGGCTCCACCTCTGGGGGCAGGGCACAGACAAACAAAAAGACAGCAGTAACCTCTGCAGACTTAAATGTCCCTGTCTGACAGCTTTGAAGAGAGTGGTGGTTCTTCTAGCACGCAGCTGGAGATCTGAGAACAGGCAGACTGCCTCCTCAAGCAGGTCCTTGACACTCGAGTAGCCTAACTGGGAGAATGGAACCAAGTTGGAAAACACTCTGCAGGATATTATCCAGGAGAACTTCCCCAATCTAGCAAGGAGGGCCAACATTCAGATTCAGGAAATACAGAGAATGCCACAAAGATACTCCTCGAGAAGAGCAACTCCAATACACATAATTGTCAGATTCACCAAAGTGGAAAGGAAGGAAAAAATGTTAAGGGCAGCCAGAGAGAAAGGTTGGGCTGCCCACAAACGGAAGCCGATCAGACTAACAGCGGATCTCTCGGCAGAAACTCTACAAGCCAGAAGAGAGTGGGGGCCAATATTCAATATTCTTAAAGAAAAGAATTTTCAACCCAGAATTTCATATCCAGCCAAACTAAGCTTCATAAGTGAAGGAGAAATAAAATACTTTACAGACAAGCAAATGCTGGGAGATTTTGTCACCACCAGGCCTGCCCTAAAAGAACTCCTGAAGGAAGCACTAAACATGGAAAGGAACAACCGGTAGCAGCCACTGCAAAAACATGCCAAATTGTAAAGACCATCGAGGCTAGGAAAAAACTGCATCAAATAATGAGCAAAATAACCAGCTAACATCATAATGACAGGACAAAATACACACATAACAATATTAACTTTAAATGTAAATGGGCTAAATGCTCCAATTAAAAGACACAGACTGGCAAATTGGATAAAGAGTCAAGACCCATCAGTGTGCTGTATTCAGGAAACCCATCTCACGTGCAGAGACACACATAGGCTCAAAATAAGGGGATGGAGGAAGACCTACCAAGCAAATGGAAAACAAAAAAAGGCAGGAGTTGCAATCCTAGTCTCTGATAAAACAGACTTTAAACCAACAAAGATCAAAAGAGACAAAGAAGGCCATTACATAATGGTAAAAGGATCAATTCAACAAGAAGTGCTAACTATCCTAAATATATATGCACCCAATACAGGAGCACCCAGATTCATAAAGCAAGTCCTTAGTGACCTATGAAGAGACTTAGACTCCCACACAATAATAATGGGAGACTTGAACACCCCACTGTCAACATTGGACAGATCAATGAGACACAAAGTTAACAAGGATACCCAGGAATTGAACTCAGCTCTGCACCAAGCAGACCTAATAGACATCTACAGAACTCTCCAGCCCAAATCAACAGAATATATATTTTTTTCAGCACCACATCACACCTATTCCAAAATTGACCACATAGTTGGAAGTAAAGCACTCCTCAGCAAATGTAAAAGAACAGAAATTATAACAAACTGTCTCTCAGACCACAGTGCAATCAAACTAGAACTCAGGATTAAGAAACTCACTCAAAACCACTCAACTACATGGAAACTGAACAACCTGCTCCTGAATGACTACTGGGTACATAACGAAATGAAGGCAGAAATAAAGATGTTCTTTGAAACCAATGAGAACAAAGACACAACATACCAGAATCTTTAGGACACATTCAAAGCAATGTGTAGAGGGAAATTTATAACACTAAATGCCCACAAGAGAAAGCAGGAAAGATCCAAAACTGACACCCTAACATCACAATTAAAAGAACTAGAAAAGCAAGAGCAAACATATTCAAAAGCTAGCAGAAGGCAAGAAATAAGTAAAATCAGAGCAGAACTGAAGGAAATAGAGACACAAAAAACCCTTCAAAAAATTAATGAATCCAGGAGCTGGTTTTTTGAAAAGATCAACAAAATCGATAGACCGCTAGCAAGACTAATAAAGAAGAAAAGAGAGAAGAATCACATAGATGCAATAAAAAATGATAAAGGGGATATCACCACCGATCCCACAGAAATACAAACTACCATCAGAGAATACTACAAACACATCTACGCAAATAAACTAGAAAATCTAGAAGAAATGGATAAATTCCTGGACACATACACCCTCCCGAGACTAAACCAGGAAGAAGTTGAATCTCTGAATAGACCAATAACAGGCTCTGAAATTGTGGCAATAATCAATAGCTTACCAACCAAAAAAAGTCGAGGACCAGATGGATTCACGGCTGAATTCTACCAGAGGTACAAGGAGGAGCTGGTACCATTCCTTCTGAAACTATTCCAATCAATAGAAAAAGAGGGAATCCTCCCTAATTCATTTTATGAGGCCAGCATCATCCTGATACCAAAGCCTGGCAGAGACACAACAAAAAAAGAGAATTTTAGACCAATATCCTTGATGAACATTGATGCAAAAATCCTCAGTAAAATACTGGCAAACTGAATCCAGCAGCACATCAAAAAGTTTATCCACCATGATCAAGTGGGCTTCATCTCTGGGAAGCAAGGCTGGTTCAACATATGCAAATCAATAAATGTAATCCAGCATATAAACAGAACCAAAGACAAAAACCACATGATTATCTCAATAGATGCAGAAAAGGCCTCTGACAAAATTCAACAATGCTTCATGCTAAAGACTCTCAAGAAATTAGGTATTGATGGGATGTATCTCAAAATCATAAGAGCTATCTATGACAAACCCACAGCCAATATCATACTGAATGGACAAAAACTGGAAGCATTCCCTTTGAAAACTGGCACAAGACAGGGATGCCCTCTCTCACCACTCCTATTGCACATAGTGTTGGAAGTTCTGGCCAGGGCAATTAGGCAGAAGAAGGAAATAAAGGGTATTCAATTAGGAAAAGAGGAAGTCAAATTGTCCCTGTTTGCAGATGACATGATTGTATATCTAGAAAACCCCATTGTCTCAGCCCAAAATCTCCTTAAGCTGATAAGCAACTTCAGCAAAGTCTCAGGATACAAAATCAACGTACAAAAATCACAAGCATTCTTATACACCAATAACAGACAAACAGAGAGCCAAATTATGAGTGAACTCCCATTCACAATTCCTTCAAAGATAATAAAATACCTAGGAATCCAACTTACAAGGGACGTGAAGGACCTCTTCAAGGAGAACTACAAACCACTGCTCAATGAAATAAAAGAGGATACAAACAAATGGAAGAACATTCCATGCTCATGGGTAGGAAGAATCAATATCGTGGAAATGGCCATACTGCCCAAGGTAATTTATAGATTCAATGCCATCCCCATCAAGCTACCAATAACTTTCTTCACAGAATTGGAAAAAACTACTTTAAAGTTCATATGGAACCAACAAAGAGCCCGCATCGCCAAGTCAATCCTAAGCCAAAAGAACAAAGCCAAAGGCATCACACTACCTGACTTCAAACTATACTACAAGGCTACAGTAACCAAAACAGCATGGTACTGGTACCAAAACAGAGATATAGATCAATGGAACAGAACAGAGCCCTCAGAAATAATGCCACACATCTACAACTGTCTGATCTTTGACAAACCTGACAAAAACAATAAATGGGGAAAGGATTTCCTATTTAATAAGTGGTGCTGGGAAAACTGGCTAGCCATATGTAGAACGCTGAAACTGGATCCCTTCCTTACACCTTATACAAAAATTAATTCAAGATGGATTAAACACTTACATGATAGACCTAAAACCATAAAAACCCTAGAAGAAAACCTAGGCAATACCATTCAGGACATAGGCATGGGCAAGGACTTCATGTCTAAAACATCAAAAGCAATGGCAACAAAAGCCAAAATTGACAAATGGGATCTAATTAAACTAAAGAGCTTCTGCACAGCAAAAGAAACTACCATCAGAGTGAACAGGCAACCTACAAAATGGGAGAAAATTTTCGCAACCTACTCATCTGACAAAGGGCTAATATCCAGAATCTACAATGAACTCCAACAAATTTACAAGAAAAAAACAAACAACCCCATCAAAAAGTGGGCAAAGGATATGAACAGACACTTCTCAAAAGAAGACATTTATGCAGCCAAAAAAACACATGAAAAATTGCTCACCATCACTGGCCATCAGAGAAATGCAAATCAACCACAATGAGATACCATCTCACACCAGTTAGAATGGCGATCATTAAAAAGTCAGGAAACAACAGGTGCTGGAGAGGATGTGGAGAAACAGGAACACTTTTACACTGTTGGTGGGACTGTAAACTAGTTCAACCATTGTGGAAGTCAGTGTGGCGATTCCTCAGGGATCTAGAACTAGAAATACCATTTGACCCAGCCATCCCATTACTGGGTATATACCCAAAGGATTATAAATCATGCTGCTATAAAGACACATGCACACGTATGTTTATTGTGGCACTATTCACAATAGCAAAGACTTGGAACCAACCCAAATGTCCAACAACGATAGACTGGATTAAGAAAATGTGGCACATATACACCATGGAATACTATGCAGCCATAAAAAATGAACAGTTCATTTCCTTTGTAGGGACATGGATGAAACTGGAAACCATCATTCTCAGCAAACTATCACAAGGACAAAAAACCAAACACTGCACGTTCTCACTCATAGGTGGGAATTGAACAATGAGAACACGTGGACACAGGAAGGGGTACATCACACTCCGGGGACTGTTGTGGGTTGAGGGGAGGGGGGAGGGATAGCATTAGGAGATATACCTAATGTTAAATGAAGAGTTAATGGGTGCAGCACACCAGCATGGCACATGTATACATATGTAACAAACCTGCACATTGTGCACATGTACCCTAAAACTTAAAGTATAATAATAAAGTAAAAAAAAAAAAGAAAAAAAAATGGCTTACATCCAAAAGATAGATAATAACAAATGCTAGCAAAGATGTGGAGAAAAGAGAACCTTTTTACACTGTTTGTGGGAATGTAAATTAGTAAAACCACTAACAGAGAACAGTTTGGAAGGTCCTCAAAAAGCTAAAAATAGAGCTACTGTATGATACATCAATCCCACTGCTGAATATATACCCAACAGAAAGGAAATAAGTATATTTAAAGAGATATCTGCACTCTGCGCTCCAATGTTTGTTGCAGCATTGTTTACAATAGCTAAGATTTAAAAGCAACCTAAGTGTTCATCAACAGATGAATGGATAAAGAAAATATAGTGTATATACACCATATGGAGTACTACTCAGCCAAAAAAAAAAGAGAGAGAGAGAGAGATCCTGTCATTTGCAACAACATAGGAATGGAGATCATTATGCAAGTGAAGTAAGCCAGGCACAGAAAGACAAACATTGAATGTTCTTACTCATTTCTGGGGCCTAAAAGTCAAAACAGTTGAACTCATGTGGATAGAGAATAGAAAGATGGTTCCCAGAGGTTGGGAAGTATAGTGGGGGGTTGGGGGGAGGATCATTACTGGGTACAAAAAAACAGTTAGATAGAATGAAAAAGAACCTACCATTTGATAGCATAACAGGGTAACTATAGTCAATAAGAACTCTACACTTTAAAATAACTAAAAAAGTGTAATTGGATTTCTTGTAACACAAAAGATAAATGCTTAAGGGGATGGATACCCCCCATTCTCCATTATGTGCTTATTTCATATTGCATGCCTTGCATCAAAACATCTCATGTACCCCATAAATATGTACACCCACTATGTACCCACAAAAAATTAAAAATAATAAAATTTAAAAAGTAAATATTTCTGACACAAAGAAAAATGTGCAATTCTTGTCAAAAATTTACAATGCTATCAATATCCATTCACTAAAAGAAAAATTACAATCAAACTTGCAGTAGAAAAGAAGTAGGTTAAATTGATAATTAAGTATCTACCAAAACCAAAATGTACAATATCTATAAAATGGAATACTATTGTTCTATATGATAATAAAAGTAAATGAATAATTGAAATATGGGGATGGGATAGGAATGGTGAGTGACTGAAAATAAACATTAGGGTTCTTTTGGGGGTGATGAAAACATTTTAAAATTGGATTGTGTTGACAGTTGCACAACTCTACACATTTATTAAGTAGCGTTGAATTGTACAATTAAAGTAATTGAACATGATTTCAATTGTATCTGAAATAACAGCTTAAAACACTATGACAAACGTCATATAGCATATAACAGTGAAATGTTAGAAATACTTCCTATAAAATTAAGAACAAGATGTGGATGGCAGCCATCACCACCTTTTCTCAGCATAATGCTATAGAAGTTGATGTGTAATACTAAAATTTTAACAAGATATACAAATTGAAAAGTTAAAACACATATTCTATTGACAATAGCAACAATAATATAAATATAAAATATCTAGGAACAATTTTAACTAAATGTACCTATAACATATTTGTAGAAACTTACAAATAGTTTTACTATAGAATAGACAAAAAATCATGTAAATAAATTGAGAGAAAAGTAGTAAGTGGATGTTGTAGAAACACAAATTCTCCTCAAAATTCTACATTTAATAAAAGTCCACTCAAAATCCTATCCTTTCTTCCTTCCCTCTTAAAAAAATAGTAAAGTGATGCCATCATTTACCTAAAGGAATCAATAAGCAAAAAAGCACAAGAATGTTTAGTAAAAAAGGTAAAGTTATGATTAGACTTTTGCCATTAATTAATAAAATTCAGATACAATCATTACAATGAAATAGTGTTAAAGTAAAAGGATATCAATGCAGGAAAGGTTGATATATTTGACAACATGAAAATTGTAACATTCTGCATTTTGACACAAGACCCACCATTATTAAATGATGTGAGACAATAACTCGGTGGTACTAGTAGAGAGAAATTATAAAAATATTTTCCCCACAATACTATTTTATACTTATTCAATCAATATTAAACACACTACTGTTATTTTGAAATAAAATAATGGAATTTAAGTTAAGGAAATAATTCAAAAGATAGAAATAGATCTACAAAGATGGACACTATTGCATTTTTATAAAAGTGAATATGTGAAATTAGCCTTAGAATGGTGCAACATTAAGGAGAAAGTTTAGTAAATTATAGTATCTTTACTTGAATATTATGATTATGCAATAATAAAAATGTTCATGATAACAATTAACATGCTGAAAATATAACAAATGTTTAATAAGATGTTATTTTACCATGACATGAATATATGTATGGATAGAACACAAAAACCTAACAGCTGATGCTTTAGGATATGGAGATTATAATAATTTGCTGCCTCTTACTTTTCAATGCCCTGTATTTTTTTATTCTGTTATTTGTGGCTATGTTTTTTAGACAAATATAGAGGAAGGGATGCCTGGATGTTCTTCCAATTGCATAACTAGTGTAAATTTGAAGAAGGTAAATGCTGGCTGAAACACAAGTAGGATTATAAAAAAGATATAACTATTTCTGATTAGCTTTGCTTTTCTGCAGAGTATAGATATTAAAACACATAGGATTCAATGTATTAGTTACAGTGTCAAAGACAGAAATAATTTATTTTAATGGTTCACAGTTGATGACATTTTGATGAAATTGCCCATCCCCTCTTTCCAGCATCACCACCGTTTTTTCCTCTAAGTGGTCATTTTGGTCAGACTCTGGGAGGTAGAAGGAAGTCAGCTCCTAGACCTTCATCTTTTCCAGAAGTCTCACTCAAGTTTGAAAACTTTTAAATTTATATCATTTCATTCCCTAATATTTTCTACTGCTCCTATTTGTATATTATGTGAAGTTCTGGTGTAATTTCCTACCTCACTGTTAGCTTTGCACACATTTTTTTTTTTCAGACAGGGTTTCACTCCAATGCTCAGGCTGGTGTGCAGTGGCGCACTCTCAGCTCACCACAACCTCTGCCTCCCGGGCTCAAGTGATCCTTCTGCCTCAGTCTCCCAAGTAGTTGGGACTACGGGCCACACCACCACACCCAGCTAATTTCTGTATTTTTAGTAGAGACAGGGTTTCACCTTGTTGGCCAGGATAGTCTTGAACTCCTGACCTCAAGTGATCCACCTACCTCGGCCTCCCAAAGTGCTGGATTTACAGGTGTGAGCCATCACACTTGGTCTGCACACATTCTTTAAACATTACTATGCTCCCATTGAAATCTGAATTTATTATAATATTAATGAATCAATTGACTATGGGAAAATAGCATAGGTGATGTCTGAGCTGTGTCTTAAATGATATATGTGACTTTTATAGGCAGAGAAAGCAGGGAAATAAAAATAAAACAGTCCAAATTCAGACCAAAAAGTTAGTACAGGTAGGAAATGACACCAGAAATTAATATTAAATACAATTGAGAACAGTAGAAAACATTAGGAAATATCATTATGTCAATTTGAAAGTTTTCAAACATAAATGAGACTTCTGGGAAATATGAAGTTGTAAGAGCTTGCTTCCACCCACCTCCCAGGAACTGACCAAAATTACCACTTAGATGAAAAAATGGTGGTGTTGGAGGATAAGGATGGGCAATTTCATCACCAATGAAAAAGAATGAGAGTTGTGTTTTAGTTTGTTATATGTTTGTTCAATTTTACCAACATTTTAAAGTCATCACCAACTGAGGATGCAATCTTGTTACTCAGAGGGCTTCCTTCACAATGAGACAGATCAGGAGACAAGAAGACACTCCTCCAATTCACAAGATGAAAAGTGGGAGAAAAGATAAAGCAGAGTCAGCTTCTATACCTGGAATACAGATCAGGTAGACTCTCTCATCAGATGTGAAAATATGGCCCCAATACAACACATAAAATGAGTGGGAATGGGAGGGAAGAAAGGAGAGGAGGAAGGAATGATAGCTAAAATATTATATAAATGAAAGTGCCAATATTAAAAATCTATCCCCTGCACTCATCATACCCAGGTCATTGTTTATATTATAAGATAAATGTTCATCAGCCTGCAAAGGAGAAGTAATAGATTAACATATAATTACATACACAGAGGAAATGTAAATTAAGAATACAATTATGCTAATTAAACTGAAAATGTGGATACTTTTTTAAGGAAAAGATAAATGAGCAAAAATGGGAAAACTTGGAATATGGAAGTGCCATTTCAGAGTTCATCCATAACAAAAAATGTATGAGGTTCTTCCAGTTAAAAAAAAAAAAAATCTGCCCATAAAAAAGTAATGCGAGAAACGTTGTCTTTATTTTTACAAAACTAGTGTAATGACAGCAGTACAGTACTGTTGCCAGAACATATATATTCATAGAATGGAATAAAAAACCTTGAGACAAACCCCAGTATATATAAATATTTAGTTTCAGCTGGCACTTAAAATCAGTTAGGAAAGAAAGATTATTAATGCTGTTGCAGCTACCTAATGATTTGGACAAAAATAAACATACATTTGTCTCATACAAAAATAAATTCCTGTTGATTCTAACCCACGGAAACACCAGAAGATTAAAATTGAGTATTTTATAATATTTGAACGAAGAAAGCCTTCCTAAGCCTGACAACAAAACTAAAAATGATAAGAGTATAGATGAACAGAAGTGATCATATAACAAACAAACAAACAAAAAAAAAAACTTCTGAGGCAGAGTAAGATGGCTAAATAGAGACTTCTACCTATTGCTGTACCTGCAGGAACACCAAATTTACAAACTATCTACACAAGTAAGCCCCTTCATAAGAAACAAAACTCAAGTGAGTGATCACAATAACTGGATTTAACTTCATATAACTGAAAGAGGCACTGAAGAGGGTAGTTTCCTACCCTCTTTAATTGTCGATGCCACCCCCCCCACCCCACATCCTGCAGCATCAGCCATGGCATGGAGAATCTGTGTACTTGGAAGAGGGAAAGCATAGTGATTGTGGGTCTTTATATTGGAAATCAGTGCTGCCCTGTTTACTGTGGAAAGCAACACCAGGCAGAACTCAGCTGGCACCCACAGAAGGAGCATTTAGACCAGCTCTAACCAGAGGGGAATCATCCATCCCAGGGGTCAGAGCTTGAGTTCTAGCAAACCTCACCACCATAGGCTACAGTGATCTGAGGTCCTAAACAAAATTGAAAGTCAGTCTAGGCCACAAAGATGGCAATTTCCAGTGCTTTGTAGAGTCTGAGCCAGTGGACTGGGGGGCACACGACCTAGTGAGACACCAGCTGGATCTGCCAAGAAAGTGCTTGCATTACCCCTCCCCCAAACCCAGGCAGCACAGCTCACAGCTGTGAAAGAGACTCCTTCCTTCCACTTGAGGGGAAGAAAGGGAAGAGTAAAGAGGACTTTGTCTTGCATCTTGGGCAGCAGCTCACCCACAATAGGACAGAGCATTGGGCCAAGTCCTGAGGACCCCGTTCCAGGCACTAGCTCTGGATGACATTTCTAGACATTCCTGGACCAGAAACGAACCCACTTCCTTGAAAGGAAGGACGCAGTCCTGGCAGGATTCATAATCTGCTGCCTAAAGAGTTTTTGGGCTCTGAATAATCAGCAACAGTAGTTTGGTAGTATACACCATGGGCCTTGGGTGAGACTCAGAGCTATGCTGGCTTCAGGTGTAACTCAGCATATTCCCACTTGTGGTGGCTATAGGGAGAGACAACTTCTGTTTGAGAAAATCAGAGAGAAGAGGAAAGGGAACTTTGTCTTGCAGCTTAGGTACCAACTGTAGTTCAACTACAGTGGGGTAGAGTCTCAAGAAGGTGCTTGGGTTCCCTAATTCCAGGTATTGACTCTCAGACAACATTTCTGGACCTGCCATGGGCCACAGGGAAGACCACTGTCCTGAAGGGTGAGTCCCAGGCCTGGCAGCATTCACTACAACCTCACTGAAAAGCCCGTGGGCCTTGAGTAAACTTCAGTGATAACCTGGCACTAGTCCTTTGGACCTGTGGTGGTGGCCATGAGAGTGGGGAGGGAATGTGGCTAACTCACCCACAGTAGAAAAGAACGCCAGGTAGATTCCTGAGGTATCCAACTCCAGGCCCTGGCTTCCAGGCAGCATCTCAGGATGTGTTCAGGGGTAGGGGAACTCATGGCCCTGAAAGGAATGACACAAGCCTGGCTGACTTCACCATCTACTGATTGTATAGACCTAGTGCCTTCAGTGAACATAGGTGGTAGCCAGGAAGTGGTTACAGGAGGGTTTTGACGAGTCCCAGTGCCATGCGGCTTCAAGTCTGACTCAGTGAAGGCACAGTTGTGGTGGCGACCGGGGTGTTTGTGTCACCCCTACCCCAGCTCCAGGAAGCTCAGCAGAGAGAGGGAGAGACTTCCACCTTCTTCGACCCAGCCGGGGGAGGGGACCCTATTCTATACCAACACCTATTCTGATTTTTTGGCCACCCCGAAGTTTATATTCTTATCCTGCCAGGCTTCGGAATAATTTCCCATATTGTAACTTACTACTCCGGAAAAAAAGAACCATTCGGATATATAGGTATGGTCTGAGCTATAATATCAATTGGTTTCTTAGGGTTTATTGTGTGAGCACACCATATATTTACAGTAGGAATGGACGTAGACACACGAGCCTATTTCACCTCCGCTACCATAATCATCGCTATTCCCACCAGCGTCAAAGTATTTAGCTGACTCGCTACACTCTACGGAAGCAATATGAAGTGATCTGCTGCAGTACTCTGAGCCCTAGGGTTCATTTTTCTCTTCACTGTAGGTGGCCTAACCGGCATTGTACTAGCAAACTCATCATTAGACATCGTACTACACGACACATACTACGTCGTAGCTCACTTCCATTACGTCCTATCAATAGGAGCTGTATTCGCCATCACAGGAGGTTTCATTCACTGATTTCCCCTGTTCTCAGGCTATACCCTAGACCAAACCTACGCCAAATCCATTTTGCTATCATATTCATTGGCGTAAACCTAACCTTCTTCCCACAACACTTTCTTGGCCTATCTGGAATACCCCGACGTTACTCGGACTACCCCGATGCATACACCACATGAAATATCCTATCATCTGTAGGCTCATTCATTTCCCTAACAGCAGTAATATATTGAGGGGAATTAATCTAAAACACTCTTTACGCCGGTTTCTATTGACTTGGGTTAATCGTGTGACCGCGGTGGCTGGCACGAAATTGACCAACCCTGGAGTTAGTATAGCTTAGTTAAACTTTCGTTTATTGCTAAAGGTTTATCACTGCTGTCTCCCATGGGGGTGTGGCTAGGCTAAGCGTTTTGAGCTGCATTGCTGCGTGCTTGATACTTGTTCCTTTTGATCGTGGTGATTTAGAGGGTGACTCACCGGGACGGGGATGCTTGCATGTGTAATCATAACCCTCAACACCCACTCCCTCTTAGCCAATATTGTACCTATCACCATACTAGTCTTTGCTGCCTGCAAGGCAGCAGTAGGCCTAGCCCTACTAGTCTCAATCTCTAACACATATGGCCTAGACTACGTACATAACCTAAGCCTACTCCAATGCTAAAACTAATCATCCCAACAATCATATTACTACCACTAACATGATTCTCCAAAAAACATATAATTTGAATCAACACAACCACTCACAGCCTAATTATTAGCACCATCCCCCTACTATTTTTTAACCAAATCAACAACAACCTATTTAGCTGCTCCCTATCCTTCTCCTCCGACCCCCTAACGACCCCCCTCCTAATACTAACTACCTGACTTCTACCCCTCACAATCATGGCAAGCCAGCGCCACCTATCCAACGAACCACTATCACGAAAAAAACTCTACCTCTCTATGCTAATCTCCCTCCAAATCTCCTTAATTATAACATTCACAGCCACGGAGCTAATCATATTTTATATCTTCTTCGAAACCACACTTATCCCCACCCTAGCTATCATCATTTGTTAGGAAAAAGTAAGGGAAGAGAACAAGAATCTCTGCCTTGTAATCCAGATAATTGTTCCAGGTCTTACCCAAGACCACCAAGCCAGGACCTGTATGTGTCTGCAAGAGCCACAGTGTTACTGAGCTTTGGGTGCTACCTAATGCAGACAAGGCCATAGTGACCAAAACCTTTTTTTTCCCTTGAGACAAGGTCTTGCTCTATTGCCCAGGCTGGAGTGCAGTGGTGCAATCACAGTGCACTGCAGCCTCAACCCCTCAGGCTCAAGCGATACTCCTGCCTCAGCTTCCTGAGTAGCTGGAAATTACCTTCACTCAAAAGAAGACGGGACTATAGAAAGATGTCACCATGCTGGGATATTTTTTTAAAAAAAATTTTTGTAGAGATGAGGTCTCACTATGTTGCCCAGGCTGGTCTCAAACTCTTGTCCTTAAACAATCCACTTGAGCGAGCCTCCCAAATTGCTGAGATTACAGGTGTGAGCACCACTGCACCCAGACTGAACAAAAACTTAGATGACAACACCCAAGTCCCTTTGAATACTGGGAAACCCTTCCCAAGAGGGATGGGTACAAAGAAGTCCAGTCTATGTAGACTACAATAAATACCTAAATGTCCATACACTGACAGACATTGAAAAACATCAAGATCAACCAGGAAAACTGAACCTCACTAAACGAACTAAAGAAGGCACCAAGGACTAATACTGGAGAAACAGATATGTGATCTTTCTGAAACAGAATTCAAAATAACAGTTTTGAGGAATCTCAAAGAAACTCAAAATAACACAGAAGGAATTCAACATCCTATCAGATAAATTTAACAAATAAATTGAAATAGTGAAAAAGAATCAAGCAGAAATTCTGGAGCTGAAATATGTAAAAGAACTACAGAATAATGCATCACAGTTTTTTAACAGCAGGAATGATCAAGCAGTAAAAAGAATTAGAGAGCTTAAAGAGAGCTATATTGGTCTATTCTCACATCACTATTAGAAAACTACCTAAGACTGGGTAATTTATAAAGAAAAGCGGTTTAATTCACTCACAGTCTAAAATGCTGTACAGGAGGCATGGCTTGGGAGGCCTCAGGAAACTTACAATCATGGAATAAGGGTGAGGAGAAGCAAGCACATCTTCGCATGTGGCAGGAGAAAGAGAGAGAGTGAAGGGGGAAGTGCCACACACTTCTAAACCATCAGATCATCAGATGGCATGAGATCTCACTTGCCATCACCAGAAATGCAAAGGGGAAATCCTCCTCCATTATCCAATCACCTCCCAACAGGTCCCTCCCCCAACACTGGGAATTACAATTCAACATATAATATGGGTGGGGACACAGAGCCAAACCACATTGATAAAGTTTGGTTGTTTCCCCACCCAAAATTTCATTGTGAATTGTAATCCCCATAATCCTCAGGTGTCAAGGGAGAGACCAGGTGGAGTTAATTGAATCATGGGGGTGGTTCCCTCATGCTGTTCTCATAATAGTGAATGAGTTCTCGTGAAATCCGATGGTTTCATAAGGGGTTTGCCTCCCTTTGCTTGGCACTTCTTCTTGCCACTTTGTGAAGAAGATGCCTTGCTTCCCCTTCACCTTCTGCCATGATTGTAAGTTTCCTGAGGCCTGCTCAGCCTTGCTGAACTGTGAGTCAATTAAAACTCTTTCCTTTATAAATCATCCAGTTTCAGGAAGCTCTTTATAGCAGTATGAAAATGGACTAAGCATTGGCCAGGTGCGGTGGCTCACGCCTGTAATCCCAGCACTTTGGGAGGCCGAGGCAGGAGGATCATGAGGTCAGGAGTTCGAGACCAGCCAGAACAACATGGTGAAACCCCATTTCTACTAAAAATACAAAAATTAGCTGGGCGTGATGGCGGGTGCCTGTAGTCCCAGCTACTCGGGAGGCTGAGACAGGAGAATCGCTTGAACCCGGGAGGCAGAGGTTGCAGTAAGCCGAGATCGCGCCACTGCACTCCAGCCTGGGTGACAGAGTGAGACTCCATCTCAAAAAAAAAAAAAAATGGACTCATACACACATCTTCCACCCATGGTCTCTCCCAAATCTCATGTCCCTCTCAAATTTCAAAACACAATCATGCCTTCCCAACAGACACCCAAAGTCTTTACTTATTCCAGCATTAACTCAAAAGGCCAAGTTTAAAGTCTCATCTGAGCCAAGGCAACTCCCTTCTGTCTATGAGTTTGTAAAATGTAAAAAAATTTAGTTACCTCCAATATACAAAGGGAGTACAGGCATTGGGTAACTAATCCCATTCCAAATGGGAGAAATTGTCCAAAACAAAAGAGCTACAGACAGCATGCACGTCCAAAACCCAGCAAGGCAGTCATTAAATCTTAAAGCTCCAAAGTAATTTCCTTTTACTCCGTGTCTCACCTCCAGGGCATACTGATGCAAGGGGTGGGATCCCAAGGTCTTAGGCAGTTCTTCCCCTATGGCTTTGCAGGATATAGCCCCAGCAGCTACTTTCACAGGCTGTTGTTGTGTGCCTGCATCTTTTCCAGACACACAGTACAAACTATTGGTGGAACTATCATTCTGGGGTCTGGATGACAGTGGCCCCCTTCTCACAGCTCCACTAGGCAGTGCCCTAGTGGGGGCTCCAACCCCACATTTTCCCTTTGCACTTCCCTAGTAGAGATTCTCCATGAGGGCTCTGCCCCTGCAGCAGACTTCTGCCTGGAAAACCAGGCATTTCTATACATCCTCTAAAATCTAGGCAGAGCCTCCCAAACCTCAACTGTTGCCTTCTGCACACCCACAGTCACAACACCACATGGAAACCACCAAGGCTTGGGGTTTGCATTCTCAGAAGCAATGGCCTGAGCTGTACCTTGGCCCCTTTAGCCATGACTGGAGCTGGAGTAAATGGGACAGAGGGCACTAAGTCCCAAGGCTGCACAGAGAAGCAGGACCCTGGGCCTGGCCCACAAAACCATATTTCCCTCCTAGGACTCCAGGCCTGTTATGGGAGGGGCTGCCACAAATGTCTCTGAAATGGCTTGGAGGCACTATCCCCATTATCTTGGCTACTGGCATTCAGCTCTTCATTATTTATGCAAACTTCTGCAGCCTTGAATTTCTCCCTAGAAAACGGGGTGTCCTTTTCTACTGCATGGTCAGACTGCAAATTTTCTAAACTTTTATGCCCTGCTTCCCTTTTAAATACAAGTTCTAGTTTCAGGACATTTCTTTTATATACAAATGAGTGTAGGTTTTTAGAAGCAGCCAGGTAACCTCTTGAATGCTTTGCTGCTGATAAGTTTCTTCCACCAGATACCCTAAATCATCTCTCTCAAGTTCAAAGTTCCACAGATCCCTAGAGCAGAGACACAATGACACCAGTCTCTTTGCTAAATCATAGCAAGAGTGACCTTTACTCCAGGTCCAGATAAGTTCCTCATCTCCATCTGAGACCACCTCAGGCTGGACTTCACTGTCCATATCACTATCAGCACTTTCGTCACAACCATTCAAAAAGTCTTTAGGAGGTTCCAAAATTTCCCTTATATTTCTGTATTCTTCTGAGCTCTGCAAACTGTTCCAACCTGTGCCTGTCACCTAGTTCCAAAGTCTCTTCCAAATTTTCAGGTATCTTTATAGCAGCGCCCTACTCTACTGGTACCAATTTACTGTATTAGTCGGTTTTCATGCTGCTGATAAAAACATATGCAAGACTGGGTAATTTATAAATAAAAGAGGCTTAAATTACTCACAGTTCCACAGGCTGCACAGGAGGCATGGCTGAGGAAGCCTCAGGAAACTTACAATCACAGCAGAAGGGTAAAGGAGAAGCAAGTACATTTTCATATGGCAGCTGGAGAAAGAGAAGGTGAAGGGGAAAGTGTCACAAACTTCTAAACCATAAGATCTTATCATAAGTCACTCACCATCATGAAAACAGCAAGTGGAAAATCTGTCCCTATCATCCAATCGCCTCCAACTGGGTATCTCCCCCAACATAAGGAGTTACAATTTGCCATGAGATTTGGGTGGGGACACAAAGTTAAACCATATCAACAGCCTATTTGAAAATACACAGTGGCTGGGCGCGGTGGTTCACGCCTGTAGTGCCAGCACTTTGGGAGGCCAAGGCAGGCGGATCACGAGGTCAGGAGATCAAGACCATCCTGGCTAACATGGTGAAACCCATCTCTACTAAAAATACAAAAAATTAGCAGGGTGTGGTGGTGGGTGCCTGTAGTCCCAGCTACTCGGGAGCCTGAGGCAGGAGAATGGCATGAACCCGTGAGGCAGAGCTTGCAGTGAGCTGAGATCACGCCACTGCACTCCAGCCTGGGGGACAGAGCAAGACTCCATCTCACAAAAAAAAAAAAAAAAAAAGAGAAAATACACAGTAAGAGTAGACAAAAGAAAAAAGAATAAAAAACAATAAAGCATACCTACAGAATCTAGAAAATAGCCTCAATAGAGAAAATCTAAGAGTTATTGGCCTTTAAGAGGAGAGAGAGGGAGAGATGCAGTTAAAAAGTTTATTTGAATGGATAATAGCAGAGAAATTCCCCATCTTAGGGAAATATATCAATATTCAAGTACAACAAAGTTATAGAACACCAAGTATATTAAAATCAAGAAAGAGTACCTTGCGACATTTAAAAATTAAACTCCCAAAAGTCAAGGATAAAGAATTTCTAAAAAAACATGAGAAAAGGAACAAATAATACACAATGGAGCTCAAATACATCTGGCAGCAGACTTTTCAGTGGAAACCTTACAGGGCAAGAGAGAGTGGATGACATATTTAAAGTGCTAAAAGGATAAAATTTTAACTCTAGAATAGTATATCCCATGAAATTATCATTCAAACATGAAGGATAAACCAAAACTATTGCAGACAATTAGAGGCTGAGGAATTTTATCAACACCAGACCAGTACTACAAGAAATGCTAACAGAAGTTCTTCAGTGTGAAAGAAAAAAACATGTTAATGGGCAATAAGAAATTATCTGCAGGCATAAAACTCACTGGAACTAGCAAGGACTCAGAAAAACTATATATATAGTTTTTTATATATAGTTATATATATATATATATATATATAACATTGTAATTGAGGTTTTTAAATTACTCATATCTTGAATAGAAATACTAAAAGATAAGCTGAACAAAAATAAAAACCACAACAACTTTGCAAGAAACAGACAGTACAAAAGGATATAAATAGAAAAAACAAAATGTAAAAAATGGGGGATAATGTTAAAATGCAAATTTTATTAATTTTCTTTTTTCCAGTTGATTAGTTTGTTTATGCAAATAATGTTACCTTGTCAGCAGTTTAAAATAATTGGTTAAAGGTTATTGTTTGCAAACCTCTTGGTAACCTCAAGTCAAACAAAATACAAGGGTCACACAAAAAATAAAAGTAAAGAAAATCATATCACCTTACAAAGTCACCTTTACTCAAAAGAAGACAGGAAGGAAGGACAGTAGGAAGAGGAGACCACAAAATAATCAGAAAACAAATAACAAAATTGCAAGAGTAATTTTGTACTTATCAACAATAACATTGAATACAAGTGGGCTAAACTCTCTAAGCAAAAGACATAGAGTAACAGAATGGTTTAGGAAAACAAGAACCAATGATCTGCCTTCAGGAAACACACTTTCTCAAAAAAAGACACAAACAGAATAAAAAGAAAGGCATAAAAAATTCCATGCAAATGGGAACCAGAAAAGATCAAAAGCAGCAATACTTAGACACAATAGATTTCAAGACAAAAACTGTAAAAAAGACAAATGACATCATTTTATGATGATAAAGGGGTCATAATTTTATCAAGAGGATATAGCAATTTTAAATACAAATGCACCCAGCACTGGAGCACATAGACATATAAAGCAAACATTATTGGAGCTAAAGAGAGATAGACTCCCAGACAATATAGCTGAAGACTTCAACGCTTCAGTTTCAGCATTGGACAGATAAACTAGACAGAAAATCAACAAAAAGACAGTTGACTTAATCTGCAAGATAAACCAAATGAACCTAATAAATATTTATGTTATATTTAATCCAATGGCTGCAAAATACGCATTCTTCTCCTCAGCACATGGATCATTGTCAAAGGTAGACTATATTTTAGGATACAAAACAAGACTTTAAAAAATCAAAACATTAAAATAATATCAAGTATTTTCTCTGAACTCAATAGAATAAAAATATAAATCAACAATGAGAAGAATTTTGAAAACTATAGAAACACATGGAATTTAAAGAATATGTTCCCGAATGTCAAATGCATCAATTAAGAAATTAAGAAGAAAGTTTTTAAAATTTGTGAAGCAAATGATGATGGAAAAACAATATACAAAAAGGTATGGGATACAGCAAAAGCAGTACTAAGAGGGAAATTTATGGCTACAATCACCTATATCAAAAAAGTATTAAAAAAACCTTCAAATAAACAACTTAATGATGCATCTTAAAAAAACTACAAAAGCAAGAATAAACCAAACCAAAATTAGCAGGAAAGAAATAATAAAGATCAGAGCAGAATCAAATTTATTGAAATAAAGAAAATAATACAAACAATGAAATGAAAATCTGTTTTTTTGAAAAGATAAACACAATTCACAAACTTTAGTCAGACTAGCAACAACAAACAGGACAAGACTCAAATAAATAAAATCAGAGATGAAACAGGATACATTACAAATGATACTACAGGAATTAAAAGATGATTTAAAGGCTACTATGAGCAACTACATGGCAATAAATTTGAAAACATAAACAAAATGGATAAATTCTTAGACACATGCAACCCACCGTGATTGAACCAGGAAGAAATCCAACATCTGAGCAGACCAATAACAAGCAATGACATCAAAGCCATTATAAAATGTTTCCCAGCAAAGAAAAGCCCATAACCTGATTGCTTCACTGCTGAATTTTACCAAACATTTTAAGAAAAAACAATAGCAATCCTATCCAAATTATTCTGAAAAATATAGGAGGAGGGAATACTTCCAAACAAATCACCAAGAACAGTATTAACAGCACTGAGTTCAAAACCAGACAAAGACACATTAAAAAAACACTACAGGCTAATATCAGTATCAATCAAGATTGATGTAAAAATCCTCAACAAAATACAATAAACTGAATTCAAGAACACATGAAAAATATCATTAATCGTGACCACATAGGATTTATTCCTGGGATGCAAGGATGGTTTAACATATGCAAATCAATCAGTGTCATACATCATATCAGTAGGCGAAGAATAAAAATGGTATGATCATTTCAGTTGATTCTGAGAAAGCATCCGATAAAATTCAACATCCCTTCGTGATAAAAATTGTCAAAAAACTGGGTGTGGAAAGAGCATACCTCAACATACTAAAAGTCACGTATGTCAGAACCACAGCTAGCATCATATTGAATGAGGCAAAACTGAAACCCTTTCCGCTAAGCTCTGGAACACAATAAGGAGCCCCACTTTTAACACTGTTATTTAGCATAGTATTGGAAGTCCTAGCTAGAGCAATGTGACAAGTAAAATAAATAAGGGGCATCCAAATTGAAAAGGAAGAAATCAAATTATCCTTGATTGCAGATGATATGATCTTAGATTTGGAAAAACCTGAAAACGTCATCAGGAGACTATTAGAACTGATAAACAAATTTAGTAACGTTTCTGGATATTAGATCAACATACAAAAATAAGTAGCATTTCTATATGCCAACAGTGAACAATCTGAAAAATAAATAAAAACTAATAATCCCATGAAACAGTAGCCACACAGTAAATTAAATACCTAAAAATTAAATTAACCAAGATGTGAAGGATTTCTATAAGAAACACTGCAAAACACTGATGAAAAAAGTTGAAGAGGACCCCAATAAACAAATATATATTCCATTTTATGGACTGGAAGAAAAAAGTGTTGTTTAGATGTCAATATTACCAAAAGCATTCTATACATTCAATGCAGTCCCTATTAAAATACGAATTACATTATTCTCATAAATGGAAAAAAATTCAAAACCTATATGGATCCCCAAAAAGACCCAGAATAGCCAAAGCTATGCTAAGCAAAAAGAACAAAACTGGAAAAATTCACATTACCTTACCTCAAGTTGTACTACTATGGTAAACAAAATAGCATGGTACTAGCATAAAACGAGACACATAGACCGATGAAACAGAATAGAGAACCCAGAAACAAATGCAAACACCTACAGTGAACTCAAGTTTTGACAAAGATGCCAAGAACATACAGTGGGGGAAATATAGTCTCTTCAATAAATGGTGCTGGGAAAACTGGATATCCATATACAGAAGAATGAAACCAGACCCCCATCTCTTGCCATACACAAAAATCAAATCAAAATGGATTAAAGACTAAAATCTAAGACCTCAAACTATGAAACCAGAATATACAAGGATCTCAAACTACTCTATAGGGAAAAAAAATCTAATGAGCCAATGAAAAATTAAAAGTAGGCGAAATTAAAAATAGGCAAAACAATGAATAGATATTTCTCAAAAGAAGACATACAAATTGGCAAACAGGCATGTGAAAATGTGCTCAACATCTGTGATCATCAGAGAAATGCAAATCAACTACAATGATATATCATCTCACCCCAGTCAAAATGGCTTATATCCAAAAGACAGGCAATGACAAATGCTGGCAAGGATGTGGAGAAAAGGGAACCCTCATACACTGTTGGTGGGAATGAAAGTTAGTACAACCAATCTGGAGAATAGTTTGGAGGTTCCTCAAAAAACTAAAAATGGAGGTACCATATGGTCCATCAAACCCACTGCTGGGTATGTGCCCAAAAGAAAGAAAATCAGTATAGCAAAAAGCTATCTGCACTCCCATGTTTGTTGCAGCACAGTTCTCAAAAGCCAAGATTAAGGAGCAACCTAGCCAAGATTAAGAAACAACCTAAGTGTCCATCAACAGACAAATGGATGATGTAAATGTGGTACTTTTACGCAATGCAGTACAATTCAGCCATCAAAAAGAATGAGATCCTGTCATTTCCACGAACATGGATGGAACTGAATGTCATGATGTTAAGGGAAATATGCCAGGCACAGAAAGATAAACATTGCATGATCTCACTTATTTCTGGGACCTAAAAATCAAAACAATTAACTCATGGAGACAGAGAGTAGAAGGCTCATTACCAGAGGCTGGGAAGTGTAGTGAGTTGGTTGGAGGGAAAGGGGGATGCTTAATGGGTATAAATACTATTTATAAAGAATTAATAAGACCGAGTATTTGATAGGACAACAGGGTGACTACAGTCAATGATAATTTTATTGTACATTTTAAAAATAACTAAAAAAGTGTTATTGGAATATTTGTAAGACAAAGGATACTGGAGGGGATGGATACTCCATTTACCCTAATGTGATTATTACACATTATATGCCTGTATCAAAATATCTCATCTACCTCATAAGCATATATCCCTACCTTGTAGGCATATATTAAATAAAAACAAATTACATAAATAAGATTAAATAAAAACAAATTACAAAATTCCTATATACCTAAAAAAACCAAGAACAAAGTTTAAAGAAAAACAACAACTAGGCTAATGTATATAACCTATGACAGTTTAAAGATAAATTATTTTAATGCATGCAGAAAGCCTACAAAACAATGAGAAAAATGAGAAAGAAACAGGGAAATGGGAAAGAAAAAAATGGGAAAGAAAAAAATGGGAAGAGAAACATTTCAGACAAAAATGCAAATGGTCACTAAACATATGAAAAAAGTTTCACTTCACTATAAATTAAAAATATAAGATGCCTTTTAAAAATCTATTGCACTTTCAAAGCATTTAAAAATTGATCAAATAATATATATTGTCAAGTGTGGAAAGAAGCAGAAATTCATTGTTGGTGGGAGAGCAAATTGGTAAGAGTTTTAGGGAGAGCGATTATCTTAATCTACATTTATTATATCATCTTAAATTAATAGTTGTACATGTTAACACAGTAGGATATTTATTTTATTGCAATTTATAAAATATAGAAAATAAACTCTTTCAATGGCAGTAAGTTTTGTAAATTGTAGCATGGATATAAAATTAAAAAATCCAGATATTCAAAATATTTATGTAACTCTTCATTTTCACACTAGAGATAGCTATATATACACACATACGTAATAAGAGAATGTGACAAGATGTTAACAATGTTTATCTCTTTCATTGACTGACTTTTTAAAACAATGATAACATATTACTTTCATCAGAAATAAAGCTATTTCTATTTCAAAATATAATTTATGTTTTTCAAACCAACTGATCTTTAATAATACTGTTTATGCAGCAGTGTTGAAGGAGCTTTCATACACAAGTCATTTTTGCTTCATAGTTGTTCCATAAGTTGACTCTGGCAGGAATGATCGTTAGTCTCATTTTACAGAAGGAATCATTTCCCAGGGAAATCATTCTATTTGACTTTTATGTGAACCACACTGTGACAAGAGAAAAGATAGGTAAATACATGACATTATGGTTGAATTTTCTTCTTTGATGCTTGAGATGAGATGTTAGGGATGTTTAGCAAATAACACAGTCTTCTATGTAGTAATCAGGAGTTTTCACTCTGGCAGAATTCAACTCCCATTTGACCAAGGCACTCTTTTATTCTAATATTAAACTTGTGTTTATTTAAAGTAAAATCTGACATCGAAGTTTGAGTAAATTTCCATGAATTCATCCAAACATTAGTTGAAAGCTACACTATAATACAAATATGCACTTTCTCCATCATCTTGGTATATTGATTTAAGTACTCAATAAATATGCATAATTTACATTTCTAAAGCTTAATAAATTTAGTTAAAATCAGAATGATTTGAGGTAAATGTAATTTCCATTTCTTATTGTTAGTTCCATGTCAGGTCACACATTAATTCAGTAAAATGGTCAGTGAGCAGAAAATTTATCATCCAGACTGTCTAAAATATGCTATTTATATTAATGACTTAATAATATTTAATTAAGTCTTCTCATGCCCCAGACAAAAGTCAAGTTCCATTTTAAAAAGATTAAAAAATTGAAAATTACCAGAGAAAGTAAATAGGAAATTGAAAATATACTAAATTTAAACCAATATAAAATTTACTTTAATCTGAAATGTAAAAGAAAGCCACCACACCACAGCTAAATCACACAAGAACACAAAGGCAAATGAGTGATCAGAATAAAATTTCACATAGATATGTGTCTAATTTTTTCTTTCCTATCTACAACCTACTTTAATAGGTATTTTACATTTTAAAATTATGTAAAATGTTCAATGAAGTATATTTCAAGGTAAACTTTTACTATTTTTGTAGAAAAATAGTGATAGAACTACTCTTCCTTCTGTATATATTATGTACTTTCCCCCTTTTTTTATTTTTTGGTCTCAAAGAAACACTAATACTGAAAAAGATCACAGGTGTTAAAAGACTAGACCTAGTCACATCCCAAAGGCCCCATCTCCAAATACAATCACAGTGGGGATGAAGTTTCAACATATTACTTTTGGGGAGAAACAAATATTCAGTCTATAACATTCCACACCTGACTTCCAAAAATTTATGTACTTCTTGAACGCAAAATATATTCATTTCATTTCAATAGCCCCAAAGTTCTTAACTTGCTCCAGCACCAGCTTTAAGGTCTAATGTCAAAGTTTCATTTAAATCTAGATAAAACTCAAGGTAATATTCCTCCTGAGGCAAAATTCTGCTCCAGTTGTGAACCTGTGAAATAAAATGAGACATGTGCTTCCAAAAATACATGGTGGTGCAGGCATAGGATAGCCATTTTCATTCCAAACAGGCGAAACAGGAAATAAGGAAGGAGTGACAAATCCTGAGCAAGTCCAAAACCCAATAGGGCAAATTCCACTGGACCTTAAGATTTGAAAATAATTATCTTTGACTTGATGTTCTGCCCTTCGGGCCCACTGGGACATAGGTCCCAATTTTCAGACACCCTGAAGGGACAGACCTGAAATAATAACTTCCATATCTACTGGGGTAGTGGTTCTTTTGCCACAGCTTTGCTGGGCCTCCAAGGTTCTGAGCTACCCTGTCTCCAAGGCTTTGGGTAGCTCCATCCCACAGCTTGTCTAAATGGCCCCACAGAAGCTGTCTGTCTCAGCTCTGTTCCAACAGCTCTGCAGGAATTTGGTTCTATACTTTGAAATCTAGTTGGAGGCGGCTTGCCTCATGACTCATGGATTCTGCATGCTGATGGAGATAGCATCATGTGGACACAGCCAAAGCTGGCTGCCTGTGTCCCCATCAGGGGAGGCCACTGCAGCCCACAATGCACAGCAGGCCCCTGTAACAACAGCAGGGGCAGCCAAAGAGTGTGGCACCAGAGGATGTGAAGCAGAGCCTATGATGAGAGGCAGCACTGGGCAGCTGGGCAGCACATGCACACCAAGGTCCCACAGGCACCAGCAGCCCCTCCTTTGCATTCATCCATTACCTTGATGAATAGCTCTTGGATTCTGTTGAGATAAGTGACTAATCTCAAACAAATAAAAAATAATATTAATAAAATCTCAAATAATAAAATCTCAATAATAATAAATCTGAATAAAGTCTAAATGATAAATGATAATAAATACTAAAATCTCAATAAGCAAATCTCAATGAAGTAAAAAAATAAAATCAAACGGGTGTTTGCCACACTCTGAGCGTTTTCTCCTAAACAGGATTTCCTATTCTTTAAAATATGCATAAGCTAATTTTCCCCAAAATCTTTAATTTCTATTTCTTTTCTGATTAACAGTTCTGTCTTTAAATTATTTCTATCTCACATTTTACTACAAGCAGTATGGAGAGAAACGAGGCTCCTTCTTCTACACTTTGCTTAAAAATTGTTTTAGCTAAATATCCAATTGCATTACTCACAAGTTCAACTTTCCACAAACCACTAAGATACATACACAGTCTAGGCAAGTTCTTTATAAAAACGATTGTATTTCCTCCATTTCACAATAACATGTTCCTCATTTCCATCTGAACTTTCACCAGAATTTATCTTACTGTTTCATTCATAGTAATGTAGTCTCTTTCTAGCATGTACCTCAAAACTCTGCCAGGATCTATTCATTGCTCAATTCTAAAGCTGCTCTCACATTTGTAGGTAATTGCTATAACAGCATTCTCATTACCAATTTTCTGTCTTAGTCTATTTGGACAGCTATAACAAAAATACTAGACTAGGTGACTTATAAAAAAACATAAATTTATTTCTCATAGTTATGGAGATTGGGATGTCCAAGATCGAGGCATTAGTATATGAACATTAATCCCATTCATGAGAGCTCTTCCTGCATGTGCTAATCGCCTTCCAAAAGCAGCACCTCCAAATACCATCACATTGGACATTAGGTTTCAACATATGAATTTTGAGGGGAACACAAATATTCAGTCTATAGTAGGATTAGAGGAATTAAAATGTCACTACTCAAATTTCAATGCTTAACTGGAAGTTTTCATTTGAATTTTAGAACAGTAATATATTATGACCAGTATGTATCTCTCCATCTTTACCTTTCCAATGTGTACTCTGACAAAAGTTCATTCGTTGAATTAATTGTTGAGTTTGGAATAATTTTGATTGATTGATTGATTGATTGCATGTTGTCAAATTATGCATGAAACATCTAAAACTATCATTTCTAGTGATATCAAAATATGTCAGTTTTTAATGACTTCAATTTATTATTTATATTTTATTAAGACAGAATTAAGAAACCTACAAACCCAACATTTCTGTCTCTTCAAGTGTATTTAAATGTATGTGTAGTTCAATCTTCCTATACATCTATGATTGATAACATCATTTTAAAGATTAACCTTTATTTTATTACTTAATTATTCAATATACTAAATGTCCTTAAAATTAACAGCATATCCAATACTGAACTAAAAAGAAATTATATAATCTGACAACAAAGAACTAGAGAAGATTTTGATTTATTATGTTTATCTGCATTTTCACTTTGACTCTTCCTAAATATTCTGTCTTAATATACCATACAAAGGTGTAGAGCAACTTAGCATAACTTAAAAAAGAACTTGTATTTCACTGTGCTCTATACCTATTACTACATGCTCATTTTAGTTTTCTTTCATAAGCCATATTTTTAAAAGTTAGGACCTGTATTTCAAAATAAACTTAATCATATCAGAAGGTATTCAATATTTCAAAATGGTCACTTGTTTCCTTTTATTCTGAAATCTTTGGAATGCACACTGTTCATTGATGTAATTTTATATTGATTTTTGTAACAAAATAATTTTAGGGCTGGGTGTGATGGCTCATGCCTGTAATCCCAGTGCTTTGGGAGATCGAGGCAGGTGGATTACCTGAGGTCAGGAGTTCAAGAGCAGCCTGGCCAACATAGTGAAACCTCGTCTCTACTAAAAATACAAAAATTAGCCAGGTGGGGTGGTGGATGCCTGCAATCGCAGCTACTCGGGAGGCTGAGGCAGGAAAATCGCTTGAGCCCAGGAGGCAGAGTTTGCAGTGAGCCAAGATCGTGCCATTGCACTCCAGCTTGGGCGACAGAGCAAGACTCCATCTCAAAAAATATAATTAATTAATTAATTAATTAATTTTAGGTACTATTATCTCCTGACTGTATACCACCCCCTGAAATGCCTATGTTGAAGCCCTGACCCACAATGTGACCATAACTGGAGACAGAATTTTTAAGAAGGTCATTAAAATTACACAAGATTATAGGCGTGGGCCCTAAATCCAACAGCACTGGAGAAAGAGACAATAAAACAATCTCTCCAAGCACACACCTGGAAGGCATCCTGAACGCTAGGAAGAGAATGCTAACCCCAATAAAATGTACTGACACATGGCTCTTGGACATAAAGTCCCCAGAACTGTGAGAGAATAAATTTCTGTAGGTTAAGCCATCTAATCTGTGATATCCTGTTACCCCAGTCCAAGCTATTACAAGTATTGATTATCAATATCCTGGGAATTTTGTACAAACCAGACATTTAAAATGTTTCCTGCACAGCATGTGTTCTATGTATACAAGTTACTTATTACACAACAAATTTTGTAAATTTCTGTACAAGATTATATGATTATACTACATGGGTTTATGCAGCATAATATAAATAAATCTTATGTTACCAGTTCAAATGTACAGAACCAAAGAATATGATTTACATAGCTTTTGATGAAGAAAAATCACTCTTCCTTCAGAATGAATTTGGTAATAAAAATGAAATAATATTCCACTAAGCATTTACACTAAAACAAAAAATAAAAAGGAGATATTATAATCAATTTTTGGATAAACTAAATATTTTTTCATTGATTCTAATCTGCAGATGCTTTAATTTCTGACTGTTAGTAACTCAAGCAAGATTGTCTCAATTAATATTTCATCAACTTACTATAATAGTGTGGTTACCTTGGTAATTTACTCAAATTCTCTTTCTTCAGTTTCCTCATCTGCAAAATCAGAATAATAATAATTTCTATCTCATAGGGTTGTTATAATGAGTAAATGAGTATATATAAAACATTATAAGAATCCCCATTACATAGTTAACGCTAACATTGTTATAATTGTTTTGATGATTATTATTATTCAAATGATAATACATTTATGGAAATAAGGATAAAGAACTACAGTGTATGAAAGTGCGACACACAAACAGAAATAAAGCAAGCTTTTGTAGTGTCTTATATATAATGGTCATTCAGTAAAGTCTGTGAAGCTAAAGAATACTAGGAGATTGGAGTATAAGCCTGTGAGCTGCCTGGTTAGGGAAAATTTTTAGGTAAATTAGAGGTAATCAGGTGTGGAGAAACTACTCTTCAATGAATATTAATCACACATTGTGAAGTCAGATTGATTCATACATGTTTTAGATGAGTGGTTTCCAACTCTTGCTATACAAGGAAGTAACCTGGAGAGCTTAAAACATACTGGAGCCTGGGTTTTACCCTTTGATTTTCTGGTCATGTATAAACCTCAAGCACTATTTTTCTTTTCTAGATCCACTACGTGATTATAATAAGCTGCCAGGATGAAAATCCACTCTTTTAATGGCAGTGGTTTTTGAACTGTAGTTCCCAGACCAGCAGCATCAGAATAATCTGGGAACCTGTTTGAAATGCAAATTATTGGGCCTCACTCCAGAACTGCTGAATCAGTAACTCTGGGTGTTGGGTCACTGACATGTGGTTTACCGAGTGCTCCTGGTGCTTCTGGTACACACTAACATCTCATAACCACTCTTTTAGCATTAAAAAGTAAAATGCTTGGCCTCTTTAAGAAGAAATTGGCCTAAAAACACATAAATTTAAGTGTAAGCCTGATAATAAAAGATAAATAAAGCAAGCATGAAAAATCAGTAAAGATATAAAATTCAAAATTCAGTAAACAAGCATAATCAGCTTAATCTAATATTTATACATTCCAGAAAAGAATAGCCGTTATTTACAAGTACATATACATACACCATTTTTAAATGCAATTTTCGAAAGTTTCCAAAAAAAAAATTACACAGATTACATTATCTGACCACATCTTAACAAATTAGAAATCAAAAACTAAAAGATAACAATAATGATGACTCCAATTTTCTTGTCTTAATATTATAAAATTTAGACTTTTTAGTAAAATGCATCATTTTAGAATTGTATAGTTTATAATATTTATTTTTATGTTATATGTATTATAATATAGTTTTATGTATATAATAGAGTTGTAAGTCATATATGATACAGTTATAGGAAATGCTTAGCAATTAAATTATATCTAGAGCTTATTTTTAAAGGAATTAAAGAGCAATATTAAAATATTCTGTTAAGTTTCTAAGAACACATTGAATATGGCAAGATATTCCATTTCAATGACTTTTCTTCTTATTAGCTAAAATGAAATATTATTTAGAGATTAGCAAAATGTATTTTAGAAAGAATGCATTATATGTATAGTTAGGAAAAACCTTGTGGCATATAAGCAGTGTCTTAGCATAAATAAATGACAGATTTTGCTGTACTAAAGTTTATAGTATTTTAGCATATGCTTTAATTCTCTACTAGTTTAGAATGCAAAGGGTTCATGTTTTCTGAATGGTACTTTGAAATGAGCAGTATTCAAAGTATTCAAGGGCTAGGACTTGTGGCTAAAGACATCAGTAATGAATGTTAATACTATGATTATCAATTTAAAAGTGTTTATTTTTTAATAATAAGAATTATACTTATTTTTCCTTAGGAATAAAACTGACATATTCTTTGCTACTCAAGACTGCACATCCAATAAAGCTCAAATTCATTAATTCAACAAGCATTTATTGAGCACTTACTCTGTGCCAAGCACTCTTATAGGCACTGTTGGTACAGCAGTGAGCAAGCCAGATTGGCTTTCCAGAAACTTACATTCTAGTGGAAAAGACCAACATTATGCAAGTAATTAAATGAATACATTAATTACAGTGTGATAATGTACTCCAAAGGATATGAACAGAGTTCTATGATAAAGAGATTTAGGGTCAGGTGATGGTGTTTTCTGGAGAGGATTGTTAAAGCAGGCATCTGTGGGTAGGTGGTATTTGAACTGAGAAGTGAATAGAAGTTCAATCATGTAAAGCTATAAGAAAATTGTTTCAGGCTGAGGAAAGAGCATTTGCTAAGACTATAAGCACTTAGCCTATTATGTTTAAGGAACTGAAAGAGGCATATGTATCAGAAACAGGGAGAATGATAGAAGTAGAAGACTGGGGGACAGTTCCTCTAGGAATTTATAGGCTATGATAAAGAATTAAGGTTTTATTCTAAATGCAATGGAATGCAGAGGAGTGACATTTATTCCTTTTTTCCTCAGATACTGTAATGAAATGACATTTCAAATATAAATCAGATAAAGGGGACCAGCATGTTAAGCACAGACCAACTAGAAGATTACTGTTGTAGTCTAGATGAGAAATGAGAATGTATTGGTCCGGACAATAATTTACACATTTGTTAATATAGTATCTAAGGTAGAACAAAACTTATAAAATAAATCTTGTATTTATAAATATTTAACTAAAAGAGGAGACAAATGCCCAGATGATTCAGAGACCTCCCAAAATCAACCCAGAAAGTGAATGGCTGATTTAAGACTAAAGTCCACATACCGTGGATGTTTTAACAATTGTATTCTCTTTTTATATTCTCTTTACAAATCACAACAATTCCTAAGTGAGTGAACACATAATTTCAGTACAATCATATTTTAGCATGTGGACTTTATGAATGTACAGAAAAAATGTTACCTATTAAACATATTTAATACATTCAGTAATCTAGACTGTAAGCAAGTGAAAGGGAATAGTCCTTTTTCCCTTTTTCATATATATTATATATAGAAAAATAAATCAAATTTTCAATGGAAGTCATTACTGTGTAATTCAGTACTTTTGCTACCTTACCTGAAATATCAGCAACAGTTAGTTCAGAATTAGTGCGGTTGGTTCTATTCACATTGAAGAGAGCCAGTATACTTGAAAATTAATTGTAACTCAAAAAGAAGATACTGAGTTCTTATTATTAAATCATATCCTCCCCATAATCTAGTCAGAGAAAATAGAACTTAGTATTTTATGACTTGAATTAAAAGAATAAAAGCAATGTGACAATGAAATAATATTTGGACACTATTATATAATAGACCACTAAGCTATTATTTATTTTACATGCAAATAATCTTTGTTCTTATCACTCAAGAGTATATATATTCTCCAAAATAAAATCATTATTTTTCAATTTTTTTCATAAAGACAGTTTAAAACAAAAATAATTAACATTGCAAAGAAGATTTTCATTACCACTTCTCAACTCTGTAATCTGCTTATTTGTGTATTGATAAATTATTTCATTTGTCTTTAAAAAATCTAATATCTTTAGAAGCTTCTTCCTTAAATTTTTAATTTTTATGGGCACATAGTAGGTGTATATATTGTGTCACAAACAATCCAATTTTACTCTTTTAATTATTTTAAAATGTACAATTAAATTACTATTGACTATAGTCAACTTGTTGTTCTATTAAATAGTAGGTACTATTTATTCTTTCTATTTTTTTTCTACCATTAGCCATCCCCACCTCCCCCAACTTCACCCCCACTACCCTTCCCAGCCTCTGGTAACCATACTTATACTCTGTATGTCAAAACAACTTACTTATTTATTGAGACCTTCACCTCTCACCAGGGAAGTGAGAAATAAAAACAACAAACTGTGAGTTAGAGTCTGTTTGCAGGTATACAGATCAATCCTTTTCAGTAGCATGAGTGATCATCCATGGCCAGGTGCTTGCCATGCAAGGCCACTTACCCAAATAATTATTCCATGAGATCAAGAATTATTAATACAGCCAAGAATGAGCTAGTCAATCATTTAAATTTTCAGAGTCAAAATTATCTTTTATTATGTATTGTTAAAATGCATTTTAAAATGATGTAGAATTTGCAGAAGATAAAAATAAGACATCTTCATTGATGAGTAAACTCTACATCATTATTCTACACAACATATACATTTCTATGCAGAACTGGTTCTACTGGCAGAGTATTCAAACAAATGAAATGTTATCACCTAACTTTTGAAGTATTCCCATTTCACTCTGAAGGTGCTCTGCTAGCCCTATCCAAACCCATCCTTATGAATTAACTACAAATATATTTGTGTAAAGAGATATTTTATAATGTTTACAAATGACTAGTATCAAATTATAACTTTTAGTATTAAAACCATTTTCAATAATTAAAAAATAAAACTGCATTTCTTATTTCTAAAAAAAAAAATCAAACCATAGATTTCTTAGTATCGCCTCACTAAGATATCTTTAAAAAAAATCACGTTGTCAAATTTTTGTTTAAGTGCTGATATTGTTTGGGTGTGTCCCTACCCAAATCTCACCATAAATTGTAATAATCCCCATGTGTCAAGGGCAGGGCCAGTTGGAGATAATTGAATCATTGGGAGTGTTTTCCCCCATACTGTTCTCTTGGCAGTAAATAAGTCTCACAAGATCTGATGGTTTTATAAGTGGGAGTTCCCTGCACAAGCTCTCTTGCCTGCTGCCATGTAAGACATCCCTTTGCTCTACCTTATTCTTCTGTCATGATTGTGAGGTTTCCCCAGCCATGTGGAATTGTGAGTAGATTAACCCTCTTTCCTTTATAAATTATCAAGTCTCAGCTATGACCTTATTAGCAGCATGAGAAGAGACTAATACAGCAAATTGGTGCCAGGTAGTGGGGCACTGCTCTAAAGATACCTGAAATGTGGAAGCAACTTTGGAACAGGGTAACAGCCAGAGGTTGGAAATGTTGGGAGGGCTCAGAAGAAGACAGGAAAATGTGGGAAAGTTTGGAACTTCCTAGAAACTTGTTGAATGGCTTTGACCAAAACGCTGATAGTGATATGGACAATGAAGTCCAGGCTGAGATGGTCTCAGATGGAGATGAAGAACTTGTTGGGAACTGGAGTAAATGTGACTCTTGCTATGCAAACAGACTTGTGGACTTTAGCCCATGCCCTAGAGATCTGTGGAATTTTGAACTTAAGAGAGATGATTTAGGGTACCTAGTGCAAGAAATTTCTAAGCAGCAAATATTCAAGAGGTGACAGAGCATAAAAGTTTGGAAAATTTACACCCTGATGATGCAGTAGAAAAGAAAACCCATTTTCTGGGAAGAAATTCAAGCCAGCTGCAGAAATTCACAGAAGTAATAAGGAGCCAAATGCTAATCATCAAAACAATGGGGAAAACCTTTACAGGGCATGTCAGAGACCTTCACAGCAGTCCCTCCTTTCACAGGCCTGGAGCCCTAGGAGGAAAAAATGGTTTCCTGAGCAAGGCCCAGGGCCCTCTGCTCTATTCAGCCTCAGGACATGGTGCCCTGTGTCCCAGCTACTTCAGCTACAGCCGTGGCTAAAAGGGGTCACCATACAGCTCAAGCCATTGCTTCAGAGGGTGCGTGCCCCAAGCCTTGACAGCTTACACATGGTTTTGCACTTGTGGGTGCAGAGAAGTCAAGAATTGAGGTTTGGAAACATTCGCCTAGATTTCAGAGGATGTATGGAAATGCCTGGATGTCCAGGCAGAAGTTTGCTGCAGGGGCAGAGCCCTCAGGCAGAACCTCTGCTAGGGCAGTGTGGAAGGAAAATGTGGAGTTGGAGCCCCCACACAGATTTTCCACTGCCTAGTGGAGCTGTGAGAAGAGGGCCACCATCCTCCAGACCA
Organism: Homo sapiens; assembly: GCF_000001405.40. Taxonomy (NCBI): domain Eukaryota; kingdom Metazoa; phylum Chordata; class Mammalia; order Primates; family Hominidae; genus Homo; species Homo sapiens. Next base: position 126,494,594 of record NC_000023.11, read on the forward strand.
CAGAATGGTAGATCCACTGACAGCTTGCACCATGCATCTGGAACAGCCACAGACACTCAATGTCAGCCCGTGAAAGCAGCCAGAAGGAGGGATGTACCCTGCAAAGCCACAGAGGTAGAGTTAACCAAGGCTGTGGGAACCCATCTCTTGCATCAGCATGCCCTGGACATGAGGTATGGAGTCAAAGGAGAACATTTTGGAGCTTTAAGATTTGACTGCCCCACTGGATTTTGGACTTGCATGAGGCATGTATCCCTTCGTTTTGTCCAATTTCTCCCATTTGGAACAGGTGTATTTACCCAATACCTGTATCCTCATTGTATCTAGGAAGTAACTAACTTGCTTTCGATTTTACAGGTTCATAGGCAGAAGGGACTTGCCTTGTCTCAGATGAGACTTTGAATTGTGGAATTTTGAGTTAATGCTGAAATGAGTTAAGACTTTGGGGGACTGTTGGGAAGGCATGATTGATTTTGAAATGTGAGGACATGAAATTTAGGAGGGGCCAGGGGAGAATGATATAGTTTGGCTGTGTCCCCACCCAAATTTCACCTTGAATTGCAATAATCCCCATGTGTCAAGGGTGGGGCCAGGTAGAGATAATTGAATCACAGGGGTGGTTTCCCCCATACTGTTCTCATGTTAGTGAATAAATCTCACAAGATCTGATGGTTTTATAAATGGAAGGTCCCCTGCACAAGCTCTCTCGCCAGCCACTGTGTAAGAGGCCCCTTTGCTCTTCCTTTGTCTTCCACAATGATTGTGAGGTGTCCCCAGCCATGTGGACCTGTGAGTCCATTAAGTCTCTTTCCTTTATAAATTACCCAGTCTCAGGTATGTCTTTATTAGCATGAGAACTAATACAAGTGCTAAATAAAATGCCATTTCAGTTTCCATCTAAACTAAACATTTTTTTACACTAATGAGTATCTTGATTTTTTTATGTTTTTATTGAGACAGAGTCTCACTCTGTTGCCCAGCCTGCAGTGCAGTGGTGCGATCTTGGCTCACTGAAACCTAAGCCACCTGGGTTTAAGCAATTCTCCTGCCTCAGCCTCCCAAGTAGCTGGGATTACAGGCATGCACCACTACACCTGGCTAATTTTTCTATTTTTTTTTTAGTAGAGACAGGGTTTCACCATGTTGGCCAGTATGGTCTCGAACTCCTGACCTCAAGTGACCCACCCTCCTCGGCCTCCCAAAGTGCTGGGATTACAGGCGTGAGCCATCACGTCTGGCTGTAACTTTATTTTTCTTGCCACATTACAATCTCTTCAGGGATTTTTAAAATTGGTGCTTTTAAGAAGCATATCCCAGGTTTTTATTAACTTCAGTGATGCCCTTACAGAAACTCTTAAATTTATTTGCGTGTATATATGTATTTTTTTTCTTATGCATCATTCATGCATTTTTGTCCTGAGAGAAACGTTCTTTACAGAAACTATCCATGTGTAAAAAGAATATTGGCTTAAAATGGCCACTGTGATGGGAACAGTGTCTTAGGGAGATGCAGCTTGGACTTGCAATAAATTTAATACTTTAAAAACCATTGTTTTGAGTTTGCTTTCATGCTATTATAAATAAAAGGTCACATGATTGCAACAATTTTATATTAATTATGGTTTTCTCAATAAATAAATTTACATTGTTGAATATTTTTAAAATCTAGATTTTAAAAATAAATATAATTTAAAAGACCACTAAATTATGTGTATACAGTTGACCCTTGAACAACATGAGTTTGAATTGTGCGGTTCCACTTATATGTGAATTTTTTTCAATAAAGGTTACCACGAATGTGCCTGCCTCTCCTCCTTCTCCTTCCACCTCCTTCGCCTCTTCTGCTTCTCCCTTCCTCGAGACAGCAAAACCAACCCTCTTCTTTTCTTCCTCAGCTTTCTCAACGTGAAGATGATGAGGATGAAGACCTTTATGATGATCCGCTTCCAATAAATAAATAGTAAATATATTTTCTCTGCCTTATAATTTTCATAATAACATTTTATTTTCTCTGGCTTAGTTTATTGTAAGAATACAGTACACAATACATACAACATACAAAATATATGTTAATAAACTCTTTATTTTAGCTGTAAAGCTTCCAGTCAACAGGTCATCAGCGGGCTCTTATTTGTTAAGCTTTTGGGGAGCCAAAAGTATGCATGGATTTTTGACTGTGTGGAGAGTTGGTGCCACTAACTTTTGCATTAAGTGTCAACTGTGTAGGAATACATATTGTTCTTTGAAACAAGTAATTTCCTGTGTCTTGGGTGTAACGTATACCCATTGTGAGTATAATCAAAATATCTCTGGAGTTATCATAAGAACCTAAACTCCGAATGCACAAGGGCATATTTTATTTAGTTCCTGCCAATGGACACTTGTATCTGAAGCTAGAGAAACTTAACTAAAACAGAGGTAAACTTTAATCTTTGCACGTGCTCTTTTGGGAATCTCTCTCAGTTTAAAGATCAAGAAAAATAAGATACTCATCATTTCAGAGTTTTTCTGGAAATAAATAAAAATTCAATAATCAAAACTTTATAAGATAATTTTACTCCCATTAACTTCATCCTTTCTAATAAACAAAAAAATTTAAAATTCCTCACTATGAGTAACAACATGGAAAACATTAGTATACAAGTCTTAACTATTAGTAAAGATAGATATTTAACTAATCTCTGGATTGGGAAAGACTTTCTAGGCAGAGAAATAGTACATAAAATTATAAAGTAATAGCTGATGAGAGAATATTTACAACCTTTTTGAAAAGTATCATATTTGCTAATAATTTCACCCACTTGTAGGAATCTATCCTAAAGCAACAGATTGAAGTATAGCAAAGATTTAAGCACAAGGTGGCCAATTGCAGTAATATTTATGATCAAAAACAGATCTGCAATAACCATCAATATTGGAACCTTATATATTTATCTATAAAAATACATTAAAAAGAAATTTTTATTTGTATTAATAATATTTTTGATTTCATGTACAAATCAAGTCTTAAACCAATAGCCATCACTTAAAATTGACACTCAACATATGTGCTTCCTGCTGGACTTTGTTTAGACTTACAGTGCTTTTGATATAACCGACATCATAAAATAAACAATGTATTTTTAAGTTTTAACATAACTTTTTACTCTAGAAAATACTTAGTCTTATAGAAAATTGACAAAGATAGTACAGAGTTCCCTGTACTATCACAGAGTGCAACCAGTTTCTACTATTATTAATATTTCACATTGATATGACATGTTTATCACAATTAATAAGTAAATAATGGTACATTTTTATTAACTGAATTCCATATTTTATTCAAGTTTCTTTGGCTTTTACCTATTGGCTTTTTCTATTTTACATCCCATCCAAGATACCATACTATATTTAGTCATCACTTAATGTTTTAGGCTTCTCTCGACTATGACAGTTTTCAGACTGCTTACTGTTTATGACATTGACAGTTTTTAGGAATACTGGCCAAGAATTTTTTTATAATGCTCATCACTTGAAGTTTGTTTGATATTTTCTCTCATGGTTAGTATGGGGACAGGATAATAGCCCTAAAATATTCACGTCCTAACTCTTGGAACCTTCAAAGATACCCTCATATGGCAAAAGTAAATTTGCAGTAGCGATTAATAATTTTGAGATGGGGACATTTTCCTGGCTTATTCAGGTGGGCCCTAAATGTAATCACAAGTGCCCCTATAAGAGGGAAGCAGAGAATTATTTGACTACAGAAGGGAAGGCATTGTGACAACAGGAAGAGACACTTGACTACTAGAACTGCAAAAGAATATGTCTCTTGTTTTTAGCCACTATGTGTGCTAATTTGTTACAGTACAAAAGGAGAATCAATATGATTAGACTGTAGTTATATACTCTTGGTAGGAAGACTTTAGAGATAAAGTGCCACTTTTATCACAGAATATCAAGGAACTATGCCATCAATATGACTTATTATTATTGGTGTTAATCTTGATCACCTGGCAGAGGTAGTTTTTGTCATGGTTCTCCACTGTAAAGGTACTCTTTTAACCCTCTTTCCGTAGTGAATTCTTTGGAAGGAAGTCACTATCTACAACTTACATTTGAGTTAGCAACTGTTCTATCTTCCTTAGGGGATAGTATCTATGTAAATTATGTGGAATTCTTCTACAGGAAAGATTTGTCTTTTCTCTACCATTTATTTCTCTAATCCTTTAATTTTATCAGCTTGAGCTTGTTGCTGTTTTATATTTTGGGTCATAATTCAACACTAATCTATTCTGTTGCTCAAATTGATCCAGCTTTGGCCATTGGGAGCCCTTTCAGATGGTTACTCTATCTGTTTGATATACCCTCATCATTTTAAAATTTTCCCTTTTTTTAAGTACTTTCTTCCCTCCTTTCCATCACTACAAGATGCTCCGGCTCATGTTACATATTTCCTGCCTGGGTCCTAGTGTCAGAAATTTCCTCAAAGAGCACTGGAAGTTTTATATTCCTTAGTGTAACCATCTGTAACCATAGTAAGCTAAACATGGGTTATACAGATGTCCCTGACTCTAGTGCATATCATACATATCATTCTAGCCTACTCCCTTGCTTATCTGTACTCTCTCATTCCAACTGTAAGAAACCTGGCTCCCACCATCCAACATCCATTTGCTTAATTGTTAAATTTAAGTATACATATTTAGTGGTATAAGAACTTTTAACCCATACCCCTGTGGGAAAAAATATTACTAGCTGAAGTACAATACTTGAACATTTCCTTTTACCTTTAGTCTTACTGACTTCAATTATTTCCAAAATTATTTAGGTCAGCACTTTTTCTCCCCACTCACTTCAGTGAATTAAGTTTCATACATTTGTTATAAACTTATTTTGTCACATTTTACATTTAGTCCTGGAATCTCCTAACTGCTAATTTTTTAAAAATTTACGTATGTAAAGGTTCACACTTTTTGTGGTAATGCTCTATGAGCTTTGAAAAATGCAATAGTGTCATGTATTCGCCATTACTATATTTTACGGAATAGTTTTGCCACCCCAAAATTGTGTTGGGCTTCATTCATTAAAATCCTGCCACCCCAACCATGGCAATTGCTGATTTTTTAATGTCTCTATAACTTTGCCTTTTCCTAAATGTCATGTAATTGAAGTCAGACAGCATGGTGTTTTCCAACTGGCTTCTTTTATTTAGAAATATGCAATTAAAATCCATCCATGTCCTTTCATGCCTTCCTCACTCATTTACTTTTATTGCTGAATAATATTTCATTGTATGGATGTACTAATGTTTGTTTATCCATTTGCCTGAGGAAAAGCATCTTGATTTGTCAATTATAAATATATATGCATATAAGAGCATCTTGATTACTTCAATTATACATATATATGTACACAAACAAAATATTGTACACATTGTATACAAAAAGTGTATACATACAAAATATGTATAAAAACACAAATTATATATAATAGTTAAGTTGATGTCTGTGTGTGCATAAGCTTTCAGATCAGGTAGATAAATAACTCACAGTGTGATTAGTAGATCATATAAGATTATATTTAGTTTTTTGAGAAACTAACAAACTATCTTCTAGTCGGGCAGTACCATTTTCCCTTCACACCAGCAATAAGTGAGAGTTCTCATTGCTCTGAGTCCTCTTGATGGAATTGGTATTTTCAGTTATATAGAAGATATCCATTCTAATAGGTATGTAGTTCTACCTCCTTTTTGCTTTAATTTATAGCTCCCTAATGAAAAAAAATCTTGAGTTTTTTTAAGAGATTTATTTTATTTCAATAGTTTTTGGGAAACAGGTGTTTTTCGGTTGCATGGATAAGTTCTTTAGTGGTGATTTGTGAAATTTTGGTGCACCCGTAATCACATATACACCCATAGCAAGCAGTGTACATGCTACCTGATGTGTAGCCTTTTATCCCTCACCCCCCTCCCATCCTTCCCCACGAGTCCCTAAAGTCCATTATATCTTTCTTATGCCTTCGCATCCTCATAGCTTAGCTCCTACTTATAAGTGAGAGCATACTATATTTGGTTTTCCATTCCTGAGTTACTTCACTTATAATAATGGTCTCCAACTCTATCCAGGTTGCTGCAAATGCCATTATTTCATCCCTTTTTATGGCTCAGTAGTTTTCCATGGTGTATATATATCATATTTTCTTTATCCACTCATTGATTGATGGTCATTTAGGTTCGTCCCATATTTTTTCAATTACAAAATGTCCTGCTAAAAATATGTGTGTGTAAGTGTCTTTTTTATATAATGACTTCTTTTCCTTTGGGTAGATACCCAGTAGTGCGATAGCTGGAATGAGTGGCAGTTCGACTTTTAGTTCTTTAAGGAATCTCCATACTGTTTTCCATAGTAGTTGTACTAGTTTACATTCCTATCAGCAGTGCAAAAGTGTTACCTTTTCACCACATCCACACCAGCATCTATTCTTTTTTGATTTTTTAATTGTGGTCATTCTTGTGGGAGTAAGGTGGTCCTACATTGTGGTTTTAATTTTCATTCCCTGATAATTATTGATGTTGAGCATTTTCTCATATGTACATTTGCCATTTGTGTATCTTCTTTTGAGAATTGTCTATTTATGTCCCTTGTCCACTTTTTGATGGGATTATTAAGAGGGTTTTTTTAAAATAATTTGTTTGAGTTCCTTGCAGATTCTGGATATTAGTCCTTTGTTGGATGCATAGTTTGCAAATATTTTCTCCCACTCTGTGGGTTGTCTGTCTACTCTGCTAGTTATTTATTTTGTTGTTCAGAAGTTTCTTAGTTTATTTATGTACCATTTACTTATGTTTGCTTTTGTTGCATTTGCTTTTGTGTTCTTGGTCATGAATTATTTGCCTAAGCCAATGTCTAGAAGAGTTTTTCTGATGTTATCTTTTACATTTTTTATGGTTTCAGGTCTTAGATTTAAGTCTTTGATCTCTCTCGAGTTGATTTTTGTACAAGGTGGGAGAAGAGGATCCGGTTTCATTCTTCTAAGTGTGGCTTACCAATTATTCCAGCACCCTATTTGTTGAATAGGGTGTTGTTTCCCCAATTTACACTTTTGTGTACTTTGTCTAAGATAAGTTGGCCATAACTATTTGGCTTCATTTTTGGATTCTCTATTCTGTTCCATTGGTCTATGTCCCTACCTTTATACCAGTACCATGCTGCTTTGGTAACTATAGCCTTGTATTATAGTTCAAAGTCAGGTAATGTGATGACTCCACATTTGTTCTTTTTGTTTAGTATTGCTTTGGCTATGTAAGCTGCTTTTTGTTTTCATGTGGCACAATCTCGGCTCACTGCAAGCTCCGCCTTCCAGGTTCATGCCATTCTCCTGCCTCAGCCTCCTGAGTAGCTGGGACTACAGGCACCCGCTACCATGCCCGGCTAATTTTTTGTATTTTTAGTAGAGACGGGGTTTCACCGTGTTAGCCAGGATGGTCTTGATCTCCTGACCTTGTGATCCGCCCGCCTTGGCCTTCCGAAGTGCTGGGATTACAGGCATGAGCCACCGCGCCCGGCCAAAGATTAACATTTTTTAAACTCATGGATCATGCTTCTGGCATTGTATCTAAAAACACCATGTCTAATCAAAGGTCAATAGATTCTCACCTATGCTTTCTCCTAGAAGTTTTATGATTTTGTATTTGAATTTAGAATTATATTTTGAGTTAATTTCATGAAAGGTATAAGGCCTCAGTCTAGGTTCAATTTTTGTTTGTTTTGTGTGTGGGGTTTTTTTTTTTTTTTGCTTATTTTTTTGAAAAACTATCAGTTCTCCATTGAATTGCTCTTGCTCTTTTGTCAAAATAAGGTGGCTATGTATGTGTACTCCTATATCTGGGTTCTCTATTCTGTTCTATTAATTTATGTGACTATTCTTTTATTAATAAAAAACTGTCTTGATTACTGTGTTTTTATATTAAGTCTTGGTATACAGTAGTATGTCCTCCAATTTTTGATGTTATTATAGCATTTTATTTAAAAAATAACCAAAATTTCAAGAGTAAAATATGATTAGGCAGATTATACTGTTCTCTGTAAGAATATCAATTCTTAGTATGACAGATTTACATTTCCCATGATGGTAACAGAAATGGCCTTATACTCTACAGATGAAGCAGTAGCAGGTTGAGGATGGTAGATTATGCATCTGTTCTGGATATGTTAAATTTGAAGTGCCCAAGGGGAGATAGGCCAATGCGCAGTAGGAGTTACAGCTTTAAAGCTCCAGAAAAAGATGTGATTAAGAAAAGCTGGAATAAGTTCTCTTTTCATGCAAATTTCAAAGTGCTACCTTTATGTCTTTGTTCTGTAATATGTAGGTGGCAGGCTTCAAGACAGGGTTGACAACAAAGTCAACAATGAACATATTTTTATCAAGTGATGGTGGCAAAGTAGGCCAAACATAGAGAACTACGCATGGAGTGAAAAATAGAGAAACAACAGGGATGAAAATGAACAAAATGATAAGAGCACTGGATAAGTTTCCTGAAGAATGTTTTTAAATGTTAACTAAAATGAATGTGACCATTATCATGAAGTGATGGTTTGGAGAAATAATAAATGCAAACTTCTATCCAACTATGCAGGCAAGTATTTCTTATTGTGGTAACAACACTAAACATAAGATTTATGCTCTTAACAAATTATTCATTGCACAATACAGTATAGTTAAGTATAGGCAGTATGTGGCACAGGAGATCCCTAGAACTTATTTGTTTTGCATAATTGAAACTTTATACCCATTGAACAACTTCCCATTTTCCTTTCTCAACAGCACTGGCAACTAACTTTTTCTCTCTGCTTCCATAAATTTGACCCTTTTAAATACCTCATATAAGTGGAAATCATGTAATATTTGTCCATTTGTGACTAGCTTATTTCTTTGGTATAATTTTCTCAAGGTTTATTCCCCCTGTTGCATATGACAATGTTTCCTTTATTTAATGTGGAATAACATTCCATTGTAGTTGTTTTAGTCTGTTGCCTGTTGCTACAACAGAATACCTGTGAGTGGATAACTTATTTTAAAAAGGTATTTATTACAATTAGAGGCTGGCATGACCAAAAGCATGGCACTAGCATCTGATGATGGCCTTCTGCAGCATCATAACATGGTGAAAGACATGACATTGTGAGAAGGCAAGAGTATGCCAGTTCAGGTCTCTCTCCCACTTCTTATAAAGCCAACAGCCCCATCATGGGGGCCTCACACCAATGACCCTATCTCATCATAATTAACTCTCAAAGGCCCCACCTCTACTCAACATGTTAATTTGGGGATTGAGCTTATAACACATGAAATTTGGGGACACATTCAGACCATAGCAGTATGTATGTACCATATTTTCTTTATTCATTCATCTATTGATTGATATATAGTTTAGATATTTTAACTACTATGAATAATGCTGCAATGAAGATGGAAGTTGAGCTCTTTTCAACATCCTAATTTTTAATTATTTTTACCAGTATTGAAATGACTGAAACATAGAGTTGTTTTATTTTAGTGTTTTGAGTTACCTCCACAATGTTTTCCTAGCAGTTTCTTCATTTTCCATTCCCACCAACAGTGCATAAGTGTTCCAGTTTATTAACACATTATTTTCTGGTTTCGTTTTGATTTTATTGTTTTTAAATTATGGCCATTCTAACAAGTGAGAGGTGGTACCTCGTTGTGGTTTTGGTTTGTATTTCCGTGATAGTTATTAATGTTAAACATCTTTTCATATATATATTGGCCATTTGTATGTCTTCATTGGAGAAATGTATATTTAAGTTATTTATTCATGTTTTAATCATGTCAGTTTTTTAGCTACTTAGTTGTAGGGGTTTCAAAAAATATTTTAAAAATTAAAACCTTAATATATATATATAATTTACAAATATTTTATCACTTTTCATAGGTTGCTATTTCACTCTGTTGATTTTATTCTTTGCTGCATAGAAGCTTTTTAAATTGATATAGTCCCACTTGTCTATTTTTTTTTTGTTGCTTGTATTTTTGGTGTCATGGTCAAGAAATCATTGCCAAGACCAATGTCACAAAGATCTTCTCTTATGTTTTCTACTAGGAATTTTACAGTTTCAGGACTTACATTTAATTCTTTAATACATTCTGGGTTGATTTTTATGTATGGAGTAAGATAATGGTTCAATTTCATTCTTTTCTATGTGGATACCCAGCTATCCCAGCAATATTTGAAAAGACTATACTTTCTCTATTTTGTGTTCTTGTCACCATTGTCAAAGGTCAGTTAATCCTATGTGAGTAGGTTTATTTCTGGGATTTATATTCTGTTCCATTATTCCATATGTGTTTTTGTGTCAGTGAAATATTGCTATAATTATCATAGCTTTGTAATATATTTTGACATCAAAGCATGCTGCCTCTGGCTTTGTTCCTCATCTCCTAATTTCTTTGGCTGTTTGGAGTGTTTGTAGTTCCATATGAATTTTGGGCTTCATTTTCTATTTCTGTAAAATAAAATCTACTAGGATCTGGTAGGGATTACATTGAATCTAGAGATCACTTGGGGTGTATGGACATTTTAATAATACTAACTCTTCCCACCCATGTACATGAATATCTTTACATTTACTTGTTCATTCTTTAATTTCTTTGAGCAATGTTTTGTAATTTCATTTTACAAGTGTTTACATTTTACAAATTTCTGTTTTACATTTTACAAATTTATTCTTAATTATGTTTCATGCTATTGTAAATGTGACTGTTAATTTACTTTTCAGATAGTTCACTGTTAGCATGTAGAAATACAACTGATTTTTGTATGTTGATGTATTATCCTGCAATTTGCTGAATTTGTTTATTAGATCTAATAGTTTTTTGTGGAGTATTTAGGGTTTTATGCGTTTAAGACCATATACTCTGTGAAAAGGGACAACTTAACTTCTCCCTTTCCATTTCGCATGCCTTTTATTTTATTTTCTTGCCCATTTATTCTGGCTACAACTTCCAGTATGATATTCAATAGAAGTGGTGTGAATTTGTGTCTTTGTTCCTGATCTTAGACCAAAAAAAAAAAAAAAACTTTTAGTTTTTGAATACTATGTGTGTTGTTAGATGTAAGATTATAGGTTGTGGCAATTTTTTTTTCTATAAATAGTTTGTTGAGAGATTTTTGTAATGAAAAGGTTATTGAATTTTATCACATGCTTTTTCTGTATCTATGGAGATGATCCTGTGGTATTTTTATCTTTACTTTTGTTAATGGGTTGTATCACATTAATTGCTTAGATATTTTTTGAAACATCATTTTATCTCAGAATTAAATCACACTTTGTCTGATCCATGATCTTTTCAATGGGCTATTCAATTTGGAGTACTAGCATTGTGTCAAGAATTTTTGCATCTATCTACATCAAGAATATCGGCCCTGTAATTTTTTTTCTCATATTTATGTGTTTGGCTTTGGTCTCAGAGTAATCCTGGCCTTATAAAATGAGGTTGGAAGTGCTCTTTTTGCTTCATTTGGTTTTGGAAGAGTTTAAGATAAATTAGTGTTAATTCCTCTTTAAATGTTTGGTAGAATTCACCAGTGAAGCCATCTAGTCCTGGGCTCTTTTTGTTGTCGGGGGTTTTCTGATTGATAACTCAAAATGTTATCTGTTATTGATTTGTTCATGTTTTTCATTTCTTCATGATTAAGTTTTGGTAACATGTATGTTTATAGGAAATCGTTGATTTTGTCTAGCTTATGCAGTTTGTTGGCATAGAGTTTATAGTAGTCTCTTGTAATCATTTTTCATCTGATTTCATTTATTTGATTCTTTTTTTTTAGTACACCTAGCTAAGTGTTTATAAATTTTGTTTACTTTTTCAAAAAAACTTTTCATTTTGTTGAAAATGGAGGATGGAGGGATGGGAAAGTTAAAAGCTACCTATTGGGTACTGTGCTGACTACCTTGGTGATGGGATCCGCACTCTGAACCTCAGCATCCTGCAATACTCCCATGTAACATATTTTGTACATGTATGCCCTGTATCTAAACTAAAAACTGAAATTAAAACAAGTCCACTCAAACTTTTAAAATTACTTTTTAGAGTGTACTGAAGTCTCCTGTATCCATTAGGAAAATAATATGACTAATTATTTTGCACTGATTATAATTCAATCAAACAGATATGCCTTGATTCCTTGTCATCTTTTGCTCTCACCAAAATGTAAGCCCCTTCAACCACCTACACTTTTTGCTGTTTCTTCTCCCCTCACCCTAATGCCCACTGATTCTCTCCATTCCGAAATATTTCACACTGTCTTGTGGTGCCTCATTTCTTGGTTAAAAATGCAAATAATCATTAACTAATCACTGGACATGGTCTCCAACTGTTCTCTTAAATACAGCTTGGCAGTCCCTTGTAGATACAGCTGTCCCAGAACTCTTTCTGGTGGTGGTTGTTCCTTCTCCTAATTCCACAAACACCATGATCACAAGGTGTTTTTGGTCACATTTTTTTTCTCAGTGCTTCATTTGAATATAAGTCCATCTCCGTGTTTAAAAACTCCTCTTTCTTTGAAGTTTCTATCATTTGGTAAGCTGTACTCTTGCTTAATTGTTCATATTTAGCAACAACTTGGTCCCTTTTCTTCAGTCACTGAAGACTGTGGTAGCTAGCTCAGTCCTATTGCCCAGCCAACATCAATGGCGACTTCATTATTTATGTGGAAAGTTATTTTAATACCTCACAATCTTGGTTCTTGGACCTCCTCAACTTCAGTGATTTTCATTTACCACTCATATGGTTATAGAATACAACTTGGCTTTTCAACCTTTGTTTTAAGCTATAGGTCATTATCTCTTGTCTGTCATTGCCTTCTTGTACTTGCCTCCTTTCTATCCAGTATAGACTACTTAAAGCGTAACTGCAATCATACCCTTACCAATACTTTCAACTTTCCAGCCACTTTATTCTAAGTCTCTGGCAAAAATAAAAACCCAGATAAATACACTGTCTGTCTTTTTTTATTATAATATCCACACTAATGAACCCCACTGGAAATTCTCAAATAAGATGTAGTCTTGGTCTTTAACCACAGCTGGCCCTATGAACTGGCTTGCAAACTTGCTTCCTTAGCTAAGCTGTAATATCCTTCATTTTAGGCCTCTGATGTTGTTGGGTATTAACTTAAAATCCATTCATCCTTTCTCATAGTCTCCTTTATATAAATACACAGTCCCCAAAAGAGATGCTACTGTAACTGGTCACATTTGAGGTCATTAACTGGGCCATTTTCTTTTTGTGTGTGAAAAACATTTATTCTGAGAATCTAAAATCTGGACAAAGAGTATTGGACTTTAGAAAAAGGCTGAACCCATGTATTCTTTCTACTGAGGACACAGTGCCACAAACAAGTCTCCTGTTTAGCATTTTGTTTTGTTTTGTTTTTGGTTGTTTGTTTTTCTGACACCATCTTAGTCAGTTCAGGCTGCCATGACAGAATACCATAGATTGAGTGGCTTAAACAACAAATATTTATTTTTCAGAGTCCTGAAGCTAGAAGTCTGAGATCAAGGTGCCACCATTGTCAGGTTCTTGGTGAGGGTTCTCCCTTTTATAACAGACAGTTGCCTTCTCACTGTATCCTTACATGTCGAAGAGAGAAACCTCTGGTCCCTTCATTTCTTTAAAAGAGCACTAATCTACTCAGGGGACATCCACCCTCACGACATAGTCAAACCCTAATTACTATCAAAGGTCCTGCCTCCAAAGACCATTACTTTGGGGATTACGGTTTCAGCATATAAATTTTGAGAGGACACAAAGACTCAGTCCATAGCAGACACCGCATACATTGTCATTCTAAAAATTATCAATTCTTTGACCCTAATTAATTGGGTGTCCCAAAATTCAAATGAATTATGACACTAAGCACTCAGAGTTTATACAGACCCCACAAGTTACGGACAAAGTCTTTTGATTCTGATAGCAACTACTTAAACGCAGAACCCACAAGGAAAGGGTTCAGTCCCAGAGGATTGCCCTTACTTCTGATGCCCGTCACAAGTCTTCGGGGCCACCTAGACTTCTAGATCAATCAACTTGAAATTTAAGAATTCCTGGAACCCACTCCTCCACTTTGATAATTTACTAGAATAATTCAGGAACTCAGAATAATAGTATAATACTACTATACTTATGATTATAGTAATATCATCAAGGATAAAACTCAGAAACAGCCAAATGGAAAAGATGCATAGGGCAAAGTATGGAGGGGTAGGGCTAAAAGGGTACAGAGCTTCCATGCTGTCTCCAGGCATACCACCTTCCCAGGACATTGATGTGCTCACCAACCCAGAAGCTCTCCAAACTTTACTGTTCAAGAATATTTAATGAAGTATGTAGGCATGATTGATTAAATCATTGGCGATTGGTGACTGAACTCAATCATCAGGTCCCCTCCACCCCAGATGTTGGGGGTACAATGAGTCTAAAAGTTCCAACTCTCCAATCATGTGCTTGGTTCCAATGGCAAGCAGCCCTATTCTGAAGCTACCTAGAAGCCACTGAGAGTGACCTTATTTGCGTAAACTCAGGTTTAACGGAAGTCCTTCCTATCACTCAGGAAATTCCAAGGGTTTGAAGAGCTCAGGAACCAGGATCAAAGACCAAGTGTGCATTTTTTATTATAGCACAGGCAACACCCTGGCCTGTGACCACAGATGCCTTATGAGAAAAGATTTATAAACATCAAAAATTACTGGCACATTAGGAGTCTATTCCATCATTAATAATTAGACCAATCCATCTTAATATTGTATAAAATTGCCTACTAGGGCAGGGAATTCAAGTTTGCGGGCTTTCATTTGATATTGAGAGATTCAAAAAGCAGAAGTAGTCTCAGTGATATATGGCTTCACCCTTTCAGGCATCTGGTATAAATGAGCTAAGAGACAGTATCATCTTTTGCTTTGTGCCTTTTTCAAAGTGTTAATCTAATATTGAATTTATTTTATCACACATCCCATTTATTTATTCACTTACCCTCAGCTACTGTTCTTCCTTTTCTCCATTTGTACCCAGAATTTTCTACCTTTGGAAGGGATACTACGTTTGATCACTGTGCTGGTCTTGATTGCCAGCAGCAATACTATTCTAAGCAAGTACCTTCCCATCAATCCACTCCCACTTCAATAGGTTACATTTATATTGGGATAGAGCTAGTATTAAAAACCACAGGATTCTAGGCTCCCCATATAATGGAAATTAACACAGGGCCAAGCAGTTTTCCCAGACAAGGCTTCTGGGTTTTGTGCTTGAGGGCAAGGGAAACAGAGGGGGTGCAAAGATTCCCCAGTTGGTTCTCTGAAACGAGCCTATAGGGATTTTTTTTTATTAGGAAAAGAAAGGAATTTATATCAAGGATAGGGTATGCAGGCTAGGCTGGGCAAAGCACATAAGAGAAAGGGTATGTGGGTCAGCATATCCTGTTGTGATGGTTATCTTGAGTAACGGGCCACCTAATGGTGTGGCTAGTGGCAACAAGGTTGTAAATCAATTGTTCAGCATTCCTACCAGAGGTGGGGCACTCTGCAATCTTAGTTGGATATTTGGATCCCCTAAGGCCAGTTTCTGAAACTTTTTCAGTAAAAGGCATGGCTAAATACTATGAGAGCACAAAAGAATGTTTATTTTATTTGTATGACTAAAGCCTCCAGGATAGCGGGTATAGTATCAGAGAGGTAATGACATGGGTTTTGTGATCAGTGGGACAAAAGAAAAAGAAATTTGAAAAAGGAGCCAAATCCCACTCCTATACTGTCCCACTCGTAGGCTATTTTTATCACTAGGCAATATACCTGCACTCACTGTAACAGGTGTCCCCAACCCCTTGACCATGGACCCAGTAGAGGTCCAGCCTGTTAGGAACCAGGCCATGCAGCAGAAGGTGAGTGGAGGGCCAGCATTTCTGCCTGAGCTCCACCTCCTGTCAGATCAGTGGTAACATTAGATTCTCACAGGAGCATGAACCCTATTATGAACTGCACACATGAGGGATCTAGATTGTGTGCTCCTGTGAGAATCTAACTAATGGCTGATTGTCTGAGGTAGAACAGCTTCATCTTAAAACCATGTCCCCCACCTCAGTCCATGGAAAAATTTTATTCCACAAAACTGGTCCCTGGTGCCAAAAGGTTGGGGACTGCTGCACTATAAATCCCAATTTTGCCAGAAGGGGTCAAAGCATAAGCTGCCCCATAAGGCCCTTAGGAATTCTGACATAAATTGTTTAAAAATAAATAGGTAAAACAGAAACAATAACCACTTTATATAAATCCTGTTCAAACATATTGTATTAGTCTGTTTTCACACTGCTGAAAAAGACATACCCAAAACTGGGTAATTTATAAAGAAAAAGATGTTTAATGGACTCACAGTTCCACGTGGCTGGAGAGGCCTCACAATCATGACAGAAGGTGAAAGGCATGTCTTACATGGTGGCAGACAAGAGACAGTGAGAGCCAAGCAAAAGGGGAAAGCCCTTATAAAACCATCAGATCTCATGATACCTATTGACTACCACAAGAAGAGTATGGGGGAAACTGGCCCCATGATTCTATTATCTCCCACTGGGTCCTTCCCACAGCATGTGGGAAATATGAGCAGTCTTATTCAAGATGAGATTTGGGTAGGGACACAGCCAAACCATATCATTTCATCCTTGGCCCCTCCAAAATCTCATATCCTCACATTTCAAAACCAATCATGCCTTCCCAGCAGTCTCCCAAAGTTTTAACTCATTTCAGCATTAATTCAAAAGTCCATAGTCCAAAGTCTCATCTGAGAGAAAGCAAGTCCCTTTTGCCTATGAGCCCATAAAATCAAAAGCATGCTAGTTACTTCCTAGATACTTTGGGGGTCCAGGTATTGGGTAAATACACCCATTCCAAATGGGAGAAATTGGTCAAATCCAAGGGGCTAAAGGTCCCATGAAAGTCCAAAATCTAGTAGGGCAGTCAAATCTTAAAGCTCCAAAATGATCTCCTTTGACTCCATGTCTTACATTCACATCACACTGATGCAATAAGTGGGTTCCCAAGGTCTTGGGCAGCTCTGTCCCATGGCTTTGCAGGGTACGGCCAGCCCTCCCAGCTGTTTTCACAGGCTGGTGTTGTCTGTGGCCCTTTTCTCACAGCTCCACTAGGCAGTGCACGAGTGGGGACTCTATGTGGGGACTTGTATTTCACATTTTCCTTCCACACTGCCATAGCAGAGGTTCTTCATGAGGGCCCTTCCCCTGCAGCAAACTTTGGCCTGGATGCCCAGCCATTTCCATACATCCTCTGAAATCGAGGTGGAGGTTGCCTAACCTCAATTCTTGACTTCTGTGCACCCCCAGGCTCAACACCATGTGTAAGCTGGCAAAACTTGGGGCTTGCAACCTCTGAAGCCATGGCCCAAGCTGTACTTTGGCCCCTTTTAGCCATGGTTAGAGTGGCTCAGACATAGGGCACCAAGTCTCTAGGCTGCACATAGCAGGGGAACCCTGGGCCCAGTCCAGGAAGCCATTTTTTTCTCCTAGGCCTCCAGACCTGTGATGGGAGGGGCTGCTGCAAGGAGCCCCTTGACATACCTTGGAGACATTTCCCCCCTTGTCTTGGGGATTAACATTTGGCTCCTTGTTACTTATGCAAATTTCTGCAGCTGGCTTGAATTTCTCCTCAGAAAATGGGTTTTTCTTTTCCTCACATTGTCAGGCTGCAAATTTTCCAAACTTTTATGCTCTGTTTCCCTTTTAAAACTGAATGATTTTAACAGCATCCAAGTCACCTCTTGAATGCTTTGCTGCTTAGAAATTTCTTCCACCAGATACCCTAAATCATCTCCCTCAAGTTTAAAGTTCCACAAATCTCTAGGGCAGGGGCAAAATGCTGCCAGTCTCTTTGCTAAAACATAGCAAGGGTCACCTTCACTCCATTTTCCAACAAGTTTCTTATCTCCATCTGAGACCACCTCAGCTTGGATTTTGTTGTTCATATCACTATCAGCATTTTGGTCAAAACTATTCAACAAGTCTCTAGGAAGTTCCAAACTTTCCCACATTTTCTTGTCTTCTTCTGAACCCTCCAAACTGTTCCAACCTCTGTCTCTTACCTAGTGCCAAAGTCACTTCCACATTTTCGGGTATCTTTATGGCAGCACCCCACTCTACCAGTACCAATTTACTGTATTAGTCTGTTTTCATGCTGCTGATAAAGACATACTTAAGACTGGGCAATTTATAAAGAAAAAAAAGGTCTAATGGACTCACACTTCCATGTGGCTGGGGAGACCTCACAATCATGGTATAAGTCAAAGGCACATCTTACATGGCGGCAGAAAAGAGAGATTGAGAGCCAAGTGAAAGGGGAAACCCCCTATAAAACCATCAGGTCTCATGAGACTTATTCACTATCACGAGAACAGTATGGGGGGAACTGCCCCCATAATTCAATTATCTCCCACCAGGTCATATTCATCAACTGGGTCCCTCCCACAACTTGTGGGAATTATGAGAGATACAACTCAAGATGAGATTTGGCTGGGGACAAAACCAAACCATATCACATATCAATTTTCAACTAAACTTTCACTTTAATTCCATCAACACATACATCCCTAACTTGAGTCTCCATTAAGGCTTTATCAAACAGGTTTCAGTTTCATAGTATAAGGTAGAGGAAGTGTTTCTCAGTCACACATAATAGCTATTCCCATAAAACATTCAAGTAAAGGAAATACGACTCCTTCACATAAAGTCATGTTAACCATTGTTCAACTTAACCAATGGATTTTGGTACCAGGGTATATGAGGTTCCCATGTCCCAGAATAACAAAATTTTCTCTTTTCCACTTTCTTACCATTTTACTTACTCATGTACATAAGGCTTTGGGGACCTCACCGAGAGGTCAAGCCAAGGGACTCTGGCCCTTTAGTCAATCTTTACCTTTAATCTGCCTGACTGTTGCCTCTGGCAATTTCAGGATGGGTTTTTCCTTATAATCTTTGCCTTCCAGATTTTTTAATTCCTCCAAACTGAGGTAAATAAAGCAGAATTGTTTGGGGTCCTTTAATGTTGGGCTCCCATTAGTCCACTCAGTCTTCTACAGTGCTGTGTTAAGATTTTTGTTTCAATCCTATCAATGTCCTTCTTATTCATCCCATTTATTAATAATCATCTAAAAATTTCCATCCCGCTGGAATGAGTCCCTTGACTCTTTCCTCTGCTTACCTCCATTCTGTCCTTAATTAATATATTTTTATTAGTATCTGTCAGACCCATAAGCAAAACTTGAAATGGAAAATGCAACAAGGCTTCCCAGAATGTTGCTCAGTTTTGCAGCAGTAAGATTACATGGGGTTTTCAGACAAAAGGGACCCTCATAATCACAGCATTTTTCATGATCTGGGTAACAAGAATATCCAGTGGACGAATATCCCTATTATCATAAAGCCAGTCTTACATGGCTTTCATATCAGCTGCTTTATCTGGAATGTTCCACTTGGAATTTATAGTGGGAATCAGACAGCCCCTTTCTCAGGGTAAACAGGATTTACAGTGGCTTTTATACAGTCCATAAGACTTACTGCTCCCTCAAGAATAACCTGCTGTATTAGTTTGCTAGTGTTGCCATAACAAAATAACACAGAAAAGGTGATTTATACGCAGAAATTTATTATTGCACTGATCTAGAGACTGTAATTTCAAGATCAAGGTACTAGCCAAGTTTGATTTCTTCTGAGGCCTCTCTCCTTGGCTTGTATATGGTTGCCTCCTCATTGTGTCCTCACATGGTCTTTTCTCTTCCTTGGTACATTTGATGTCTTTCTTTGCCTAAATTTTCTCTTCTTATGCCACTCATTTTGGATTGAGGCCCATGCGTATGATCTCATTTAACCTCAATTATCTCTTTAATGGCTCCACCTCCAAATACAGTCACATTCTGAAGTATTGGGGGGTTAGGGCTTCAACATTTTAGTTTTGTGTGAAAACAATTCAGCCTATAGCACTCTGCCCTTTGGGCCCTCCAAATTCATGTCTTTCTCACATGCAAAATACATTTGCACCCTCTCCCCTCATCTCAATAGCCAAAAAGTCTTAATTCATTCCAAGATCAAAGGTTCCTCATCCTTTCTTGTCTCAAACCATGTTTCCATGGGTCAGGCCCCTTTTAGCAATCTGAGGTTTTCTAGCAATGAATGGTTTTTTTTTTCCTGACACCAAATATGTTGTTATTCAAACAAAATTTTCAATTCTCTGACACCACCTGGCTTTCCCAGAATTCAGTTGAATTCTGACACTAACTACCTAGAGTTACCATAGACCCTACAACTCAAGGCTTCAGTGCTTCAAGACTGGCCTTATTTCAAATGCCAATTGCAAGTCCCAGGGGCCACCTTACTTCAGACCAAACAGACTATAAATGTAGGGGTTCCTTTCACCCCTTCATATTTGATAATCTGCTAGAATGACTCACAAAACAATGAAAAGTGCTATACTTATGATTAAAGTATTATTATTATGGCTGCAACTCAAGAATCACCAAATAGAAGAAATGCATTGAGCTAGTATGGAGGAGTAGAGGTGTGAAGAGTTTCCATGCCCTCTCTTAGACGTGCCACCATCTCAGCACATCATTATGTTCACCAACCCAAAAGCTTGCCAAATTTTGCTGTTCAAGAGTATTTAAGAAGGTTTTATTATGTAGGCATGATTGATTAAATCATTGGCCACTGGTGATTGAACAAAATCTCCAGCCTTTTTTTCTTCCCTGGACAGGGTATGGATGGTGAGGCTGAAAGTTTCCATTTCTAATCATGTGTTTGGTTCCTCTGGCAACCAGCTACTATCTTGAAGCTATCTTAGGACCACTAGGAGTCACTTCTTTTGCATAAACTCAGGTATGGTAAAAAGGTGTTTGTGGTAAATAACAAAAGACATTTGTATCACTCAGGATATTCCAATATTTTGAGGAATTCTGTGGTAAGAACTAGTGAAAATGACTAAATATGTATATATATATCTCTATATAATATAACCTATTTATTATCTACGTATATTTATTATATATCATAATATGTATGATATATACATAACATACATATATATTTATTTATTATATGGCAAGTGTAATTAGACATGTTGAAGGATTGGACCCCAGATTTGAAGTGTTGTCTCAGTGCTTTACATACGTGTACCCTAAGTAGGCAAGTCCCATAACCCCAATTGTATTTAAAAATATAACTGTGGCAATAATTGGGAAAAAGTTAAAGAAAATACCATATATTTGTAAGAGAACCAATAATGAGGGTATTTTCATAAATAGTTCAGTGGAGAAATGGTAAGATACTAAAAGTAGGAATGGACAGGATAAAAATATTTAAAAGATATTTTGGAGGCATAATTTATCTAGATGAGGTACTAGATGTGGATATTGAAGGGTAGTGAAGAGTCAATGTTAACTCTAGGAGCTCGAGAGGGGAAGAAATAGATGTAATTCAACAAGATGCAGAATGCAGGAGTAAAAATGGATTTTGATTTAAGAGTAAATATAATGTGCTTAATTTAAGGTATGCTATGCTTGAAGTACCTCATGAATACTTCTAGTAAATTTGTGTAAGTATATGTATAAAATACAGATCAAGCTGAAAGACACAGATTGCGAAGTTATCTCTGCATAGATTGTATATAAAATCATTTGCATGGTTTAATTTACTTGGAAAAACACAGAGAACAAAAAGAGATGGCCAAACATAAGAATTTTGGGAAACATTAGCATGTAACGGTTGGAGAAAAAGAGGTCAGCAAAGAAGATTGGGAAGGTGGAATAGTAGGAGAGTGAAGTTGAAAGTGGCAACCTGAAAAAAAATGTATGAGAGATGGGACTTTCTGATAGAAATAGTTTTTTAATCAACTGCTCAAGATAGAAGTAGGGAAGTTACTTGAGGAGCCAATTGATTTAGCAATTGAGAGGTCATTGGTTTAAAACCAAACAACAAAAAAAGGAAGTTAAGGATGACTTTAACAGTCTCTGTAAAGTAATTGGAACAAAAAGTACTGTAGTGGATTGGGGAATAAAATAGGGTTGTTAGCTAGAACTGAATGAATACTTTTGAAAAAAATTAGTGATGAGAGAAAAGAGGATCCTAGGGCAGTATATTAAAGAAATTGCTAGTTTAAGGGAATTAGTAATTTGAGAGAAGCCTTTTCTAAATGGGCAGTCCTGTGTTTTTCTATATGCCAAAGAGAGGAAATCAGTTGAAAGGAGGAAATTGAAAGTAAGAAGGCACGACAGTTTAGCAAAAGTTCTGGAGTAGGCTAGAGGGAATCAGAAAAAACATGTTAGGAATAACTGTGAAAAGACAGCATTTCTTTCTCACTCCAGATGAAAATAAAGACATTTAAAGAATTTATTACACTTAGTCCATTATATCATGTTATTACTGACAATTTTCAATTATCTGTTACAGAAAAGAGAAAAGTAAGGGGAATCCAAATTTTAATATAAACATCTGTCTTCCTCATGGTCAACAACAGGTTGAGAAGATGGGCATACAAGAATGGTGGTAAAGATAATCCATAGGGTGGAAAAAATTGTAACCTTTATTAATCAAAGCAGACTTTTAAAAGAAATGAAAGAGAATTGATTGTTTTGAATTAAGAAACTTAGAATAAGAAACAAACCATATGCAGAAGTCAACCTTTTTGAAAAGCCATTCAGAAGTGTTAAAGTTACATGTGTGCAGTAGTATTCCAACTTCTAATACATTCCTGTTTTCATAGGTAAAAATCATGTAAAAACGTCTTCAAATAATAAATGAGGCTAATTGTGTTTTATCCTTATCTGGTTGTTTCCTTCGAAATCCTCAAAATCAAAGAAAGTCCTTAATGTAATTTCTAGAACTGTTAAAGTCCTGCATTAAGTACTTTATATTGAACCGCCAGTGATACACCTGCACTGAATTACAGGACTGATAGAATCTGGGAGAATGAATCTATGGTACACTGCTATGTCAGCAAACTTGCCATTTGCTGAATAAGAGCCGATAAACAGCAAAATCAATTTAAACAATCATAACAGTTAATCCATTCTAGGGGTATTACCAACCCTAGAGAGTGGGTAATGTTAGATATTAAAATAAGTGTTAAAGGCTAGAATGAGAATAGTTACAAACATCTTCCTTGCTTGAACATGTTTCAGGTAGTTTATTTATTTTATTTTTACTGAATTCAGACATTTAAAATAATTATTGATAATGTGTTTAGTATCCCTGGTGGAAATCATTGTTATCTTATCTCATACCTATAAGGTATTTCTGATAAGGATTGCAATATAAAGCATGACAAGTCTAACTAAGACATTTCATTTTGATTTAAATGCTCCTTTAATTACAACTTCCTCCTGCTCAATTCCAATATAATTTTCATATTAAAGTTTAAAAATACTCTTCAATAACTCAAATATTTTTGATTCTTAAATATTTTTAATGTTTACATTTCCTTTAAATCAAGGTTACACAAAAAATAATATCTATTACAGAACAAGCATTTTTGTAGTATGAAAGGTGTAAGCAAATGGTTGGGTTTAAAAACAAGCCAGTTCTGAGATGTATAACACATTATTAGGTTTATTTAAAGAGTTTCTTTTTTAAAAAAAAACACAGATAATGTCATGCTTGTATTTGAAATCATGTCATATTATAAATATTGCATAGCTGGAAAACATTACCCACCTTTTCTTTAAATGGAATACAGCTACACTAAGTGTTAACAAAAGTAGCTCAATGCAGTATATCCTCTTTGAGAGAAGTTAGAAGCAGAATATCTATTCTTTATAAATTGGCAGGAAATAATAAAACCAAAAAAATACATTACACTGTTGAGAATAACCTGTTTTATAGGTTTAATATCAATAATTCAACTTGGCATTGGTATTTTTATGTATGTGCATATATTTTTTTTCAATTATGAAAGTCAGGATTCCATGGACATTTCAACAATCATGAGTCCAGTAAAACACATGGGAACACCATTCTGTGAGAAATGTAGGAATTTGTCTCAACATACCAGTCCACTCAGCTGAAGAACTAAGCCAATAGCAGATTGACTATTCCACATGGAATATACAACTATGAGTTATTCTGCTTTGTTCACATTATTTCTAATTCATCCCTCAGCACACAAAAACTCCTTCTTTCTTGTTTATGGCTCCTGTTAACTTCAGAAATACCAAATCATGAAACAGATTAAATGCTATGAAAATTTATTGTCTTGGAATATTAAGTTCAGCCTTTTGCTCTCACTCTTTGCTCTTTTAGATCTATGGTGTATGTTTGCATCTTTACCTTACAGATGCTGGACACGGTGTGCTTCTGTTCATACAGAGCTCAAGTATAATCTGGACACGTATGAATTAATCAACTATCACCAGGGTAATTGGTAAAAGAACAGTGCCATGGTAAGTGATATAAAAAGGTGTGACATTGGACTGGAAATCAGTATTATTGCAGTAAACATGGCACATAAGGAAAAGTTTAAAAAGATCTAGAAGTGGTAGAAGGAGAAAGAAAGCCTGATTTTAAATAAATATGGCATCAGAGAGAAATGACGATCTGCCTTCTAGCATGTGTGCAATAAGCTTGTTTCACCAAGTGAAAATATATTCTTTGAAAACGCTATCGAATATGACTCTAAAACCTTCCTAGGTAATAACAGCACCATTTAGCCACCTTTATCATCTGAAAAGTACTTGTTCACCAAACTCTCACTCTGTGGTATCTTATCTTAGTTCTTGACACATAACAGATGCTCAGTATATAATTATCAAAATAATCTTCTTATGTTTTCCTAAAAGAAACATTAGCTTTAACACATAGTCAATCCATGGTCTCACTATGTCCCTTGGCCACTGTTATGGGCTCAACTGTGTCTCCTTACGCCACACACACACACACACAAAAATCAAAGATTGATGTCCTGACCCTCAGTACCACAGATTGTGACCATATTTGCAGATACGGACTATAAAATGGAAATCAGGTCAAAGTGTGGTCATTAGGATGGGATGTAATCCAATATGACAGGTGTCCTTATAGGAAAGATATTATGACACAGACACTTAGAGAGGGAAGGATATTTAAAGTCATAGGAAGAAGATGGCCATCAACCAGCCGAGAAGACAGACCTCAGAGGAAACCAACACTGTGGCCGCCTTTATCTTGGACAATTTGCCTCTAGTAAGGTGAAAAAATAAATATCTGTTCTATAAGCCACTCAGACTGAGGTACTTTGTTATAGCAGCCATGGCAAACTGATTCAGATTTTTTTCAGCTGTGCATAAATTACCAGAAATTCCCTATTTTCAAATATTTTGTTATAAGGGATAATCATATTTAGGTAAAATTAAGAAATATGACCGAACAGGAACTGACACATACCTGTAGATTATTTTTTACCACCCTTTTTGCTACACTCATCCTGATCTCCTTCTCTGTCCAGACTCACAGATGCTCGTGTACTCACAATAGACTTGGAAACATTGGTGAGAGTTAAGGCAAAAAGTTGCTAAAACCTACAAAAGAGGCCTCCCAGAAATTAAAAAGAATGAATTAGCTGTGTACATAGCAAGACACAAGAATTTTCAAGACAGTGTTTAGTAAAAAATTAAAAAAATACAGTGATATTGCATAGCAAGAGACAGTTTGACTAGTGATTAAAAGTGTGGATTCCAAAGCCAGATGTACGGGTTTTTATCTCAGCTTTTTCACATTCTAGCTGTGCGGCACAGGCCAATTTGTGCTTTAGTTTCCTCTTCTAAAGTTTCAGTTATCAAATGAGTTAGTCCTGAAAATCTAATGAACACCATGATAACTATAGTTATTAATAATATATACTTAAAATTTGCTAAGAGAGTATATCTTAAATGTCCTCAACCTCACCTCTGTAAAATAACTGTGAGGTGATGGATAGTTTGATTAACGTGATTGAGGGAATCATTTCACAAGGTAAAAGTATATAAAAATATCACATTATACACCTTAAAATCATATATTTATATGATATCATACCCTAATAAAGCTAGAAAAACAAATAATAATAAAAAATAGTGAATTTACTTAAGGGAAGAACTCTTAAAGACATAGTTATTGTTTGAAAACAAATTAATCCTGCTAATCAGATGTAGATTTATTTGGTCCTAAACACAACCATTATCTTGAAAGATTCTCCTAAGGTTGTCTACATTACTTTATGTAATGTGAAAATAGTAAAAATGCCTTTAAAAAAGAAAAAAACGTACCCATATCATTAGGTTATTGCAAAGATTAAATAAGTCAGTACATAAAAAGGTGTTTAGAACAGTGTCTGGCTTATAGAAAGTACTATGTCAGTAATACCTACAATTACTATTTATGCCATTTATATAAATTACAAAGACATAACCCAAAATAACAACATACATGTTCAAAGCATGCCCTCAAATTAAAAAAATACACTATGTATACATAATGTAATGATTGCCTATGAATAAAGGGGAATGGAAGTAGAAAAGATAAAAAGAAATGGATGGATGGATGGAATTACAAACAGAAGAGGGGCTTTACATCAGTTGGTGATTAATAATGTGCTATGAACTGAGGACTATGATTAAATGGATATTCTTTATCTGAGTTACAAAAGGAAAAGAAAGGAAAAAAGTCAAGAAGAAAGAAAGGAAGAAAGGATTGGAGAAAGGAAGAGAAGTTTTTCAGTTCCAGTCTACATAAACCGAAGCCCTCAGGTTTAAAAATATGCAGCTCAAAGATGTCATTTAGAGTTCTGAAGTCTGTGGAACGCACGACTTAAGCTGACAAAGAAAATCAGGTTCAGTACCTTCATATCTGTTTATATAAATCATCCTTCCTGAGTAATTAAAAGAACTGTTGGAGATATTAGGCTAAGGTCCTTCAATAACACCCTGGAAAGGAAAAAAGTCAGTGTATAATTACTTTAACAAGGAAGCAATAAACACTCATATTTGTTTCTAATAAAAAAACATATTTTAGAACTTTAAAAATTTAAAAACAAACCATTTTCTTCTTCTCCTCTCCTCGCAAAATAATGCCTTAGGATTACTGACAAATAGATACATTTAGTGATTTTCTCTATTATTACAGACTGTTGCTAAAGCCGTTTTTTAAAGGCCCCTGTTAAAAATAAAGACCTGGCCAAAAATAGGCAGTGTGTATGCTTAAAATCTTGTGCATTAGGTTGTTTCATGGCAATTCACAGTTATTTTTTGTCAGTTTAAACACCAGGAATTTTAAAAGGCTTAATTGTCAAATACGGAAGAAGAAGAAAGTAAACAAAGGAATGATTTATTAGTCTTTCTGTTATAACCAATTCTACCATAGTTTACGATAAGGTTCTTTTCATTATACTCTTCTGATGTCTTCTCTCTGAGCTCAAATTCCTTTCCAAAAGTTACTTAGTATATCTTTACAATGTCCCCTTACAGGAAGACACTAGGTTATCATCACCATTTCTATGAAAGGAAGAACAGTGGGGAAAAGTGATGGTTAATAGAGGAAATCATAAAGCTTTGTAAACTTCCATAGGATCATCTGTACTATATTACCTCATATACATATCACACCTTGTTGCCTGGCCTTTTTTGTGAATATACATATTGTCTTCCCAGCTAGCGCATAAGCTCCTCCAGTTTAGGCAGGCGTATGTTGTGTTTTCTCCTGCTTTAAGCTTTTCACCGAGCCAAGTATATAGAGCTAAGCAATGACAGGTAGCTAATAAATGTCTACTGATGAATATTTATTTGGGAAGTGTCATTGTGTTCTGCCTCTTAAATTACTGACATGCAAGTTGGGCAGCCCCAGAACTTCACTGCCACAAATCACCCTTTATTTCCATCACTGATCAAAACAACACCCTTAGACTAAGGCTCTTTAGTTTTTAAATCCTGTGATATGCAATATTGCTTCAATATTTAGATTATTAACTGGGGAATGACTTTATAAGAGCACATGAATAATGTCATATAACATAGAATATTGGAATGTAGCTTGACAGCACTCTAGACTTGAAACCTAGGAAAATTAGAAGAATTCTTTTTGAGTCTGAAGGAAAGACACTATGGTATCCTAATTATGCATCTTCATTCTCGAGTTCCCAACTTTTGAAGTTGACAGAATATTTCAATCTTTTTTCCCTTTCAATATTTAACTCACTTTGTGACTGCAAGAAGTCGATATCAAGGATATTGTACAATAATCATCAAGGATGTGAAGACTCACAGAAAATATCAAGTTAGAATTGACTACCCATTTTTGCTGAGGTGGAAAAGATGTTGTTGTTCACATATTTGTTTAGCAAACCTTACCCTAGAAATATGAGTTCTGATGTCACTCCTTCCATGCCAGCCACGATGATTAAAAACTTGCTCTTTTCAGATCAATCCTTGAAAAGTAATGTTAAATTCAATCTACAATTAAACATGTAGAAGGGCTTGCTATTTGGTTTCCCCTAAAATTTCAAAAGTCTATACACAAAGTACCTGTTGACTAAGAATATTAACATTCTTTAGGGAATATGGCTGGAAGCTAAATTATCCCTCATTAGCTCTTTATTACTCTAGTATTAAACTCATTTGAATGGCATATAATTCCTCTGTAGTAGTGTGCCATAAACTTCCTCATTCCTATTTCTCTCTGTCTCCTCATTAGAGCCTGACCTGAATGCCAATTGCTACTTTTTCTCATTTCTATGCACTTCTATGTTGTGTTCATTATGCCTAGAATTCCCTTCCTATATTGTCTGAGATATTCTTGCTAGAACCATCTCAATTACCCCTCTTCATGAAAGTCTTATTTAATATCTGTGTTCCCCTAAGCTTCGGCAAAAGCAGTTATTCCTTCTCATCACATACTCCAAAAATAAATGAATATTCTATGCTTTGCATCACCACCATTCAAGCCACAATCCAAATATGTGTCTACAGGTAGGTTGCTCTGCAATATTATGGATTTCTGTGAGGCATAAAGGCAGAAAGTGTATCTGACACATAGCTACATACATACTGAGTACAATTTTCTGCATGAAAATGAACATTCCATGCTCGTGGATAGGAAGAATCAATATCGTGAAAATGGCCACACTGCCCAAGGTAATTTACAGATTCAATGCCATCCCCATCAAGCTACCAATGACTTTCTTCACAGAATTGGAAAAAAACTACTTTAAAGTTCATATGGAACCAAAAAAGAGCACACATTGCCAAGTCAATCCTAAGCCAAAAGAACAAAGCTGGAGGCATCATGCTGCCTGACTTCAAACCATACTACAAGGCTACAGTAACCAAAACAGCCTGATACTGGTACCAAAACAGAGATGTAGATCAATGGAACAGAACAGAGCCCTCAGAAATAATGCCACACATCTACAACCGTCTGATCTTTGACAAACCTGACAAAAACAATAAATGGGGAAAGGATTTCCTATTTAATAAGTGGTGCTGGGAAAACTGGCTAGCCATATGTAGAACGCTGAAACTGGATCCCTTCCTTACACCTTATACAAAAATTAATTCAAGATGGATTAAAGACTTACATGTTAGACCAAAAACCATAAAAACCCTAGAAGAAAACCTAGGCAATACCATTCAGGACATAGGCATGGGCAAGGACTTCATGCCTAAAACACCAAAAGCAATGGCAACAAAAGCCAAAATTGACAAATGGGATCTAATTAAACTAAAGAGCTTCTGCACAGCAAAAGAAACTATCATCAGAATGAACAGCCAACCTACAGACTGGGAGAAAATTTTTGCAATCTACTCATCTGACAAAGGGCTAATATCCAGAATCTACAAAGAACTCAAACAAATTTACAAGAAAAAAAACAAACAACCCCATCAACAAGTGGGCGAAGGATATGAACAGACACTTCTCAAAAGAAGACATTTATGCAGCCAAAAGACACATGAAAAAATGTTCATCATCACTGGTCATCAGAGAAATGCAAATCAAAACCACAATAAGATACCATCTCACACCAGTTAGAATGGTGATCATTAAAAAGTCAGGAAACAACAGGTGCTGGAGAGGATGTGGAGAAACAGGAACACTTTTACACTGTTGATGGGACTGTAAACTAGTTCAACCATTGTGGAAGTCAGTGTGGCGATTCCTCAGGGATCTAGAACTAGAAATACCATTTGACCCAGCCATCCCATTACTGGGTATATACCCAACGGATTATAAGTCATGCTGCTATAAAGACACATGCACATGTATGTTTATTGCGGCACTATTCACAATAGCAAAGGCTTGGAACCAACCCAAATGTCCAACAATGATAGACTGGATTAAGAAAATGTGGCACATATACACCATGGAATACTATGCAGCCATAAAAAATGATGAGTTCATGTCCTTTCTAGGGACATGGATGAAGCTGGAAATCATCATTCTCAGTAAACTATTGCAAGGACAGAAAACCAAACACCACGTTCTCACTCATAGGTGGGAATTGAACAATGAGAACACTTGGACACAGGAAGGGGAACATCACACACTGGGGACTGTTGTGGGGTGGGGGGAGGGGGGAGGGATAGCTTTAGGAGATATACCTAATGTAAATGACGAGTTAATGGGTACAGCACACCAACATGGCGCATGTATACATGTGTAACAAACCTGCACATTGTGCACATGTACCCTAAAACTTAAAGTATAATAAAAAAAGAAAATGAACATTCAATAATAAGATTCATCTCAAATTTAAACAATGATGGCTTCACCTTTTATATTTTTTGCTTCAACTTGTGAAACACCCTTAATTTTTTTCACTAAATATGGAAAAAATTGTTTACAAATAGATAAACTCTGCAAAGTTCTTTTGGCAGTATGACCATGAATTATGATTTATATTGTCACTCCTTCAGAGCTAGATGACAATATTGAGGGGCTTTTGTATATACATTAACAACAAATTAAGTGTGCCTCAATTTCTACAGTATACCAAACACTTAAATTCCAAACAAATGTATTAGACAGTTTAAATTCATAAAGAAATCTGCATTCTAGTTTTTAAAATGTAGAAATGTTATACCTTTAATATAGCTGCTATTAGAAGAATATCCTGGAGATAATGTGGGTTCAGTTCCAGACCACTGCCATAAAATAAATATCACAATAAAGCAAGTAACACTTTTTTTTTTTTTTTGGTTTTCCAGTGCACATAAAGGTTATGTTGCTGTGAAGAGCAGTGGCTCTTGCCTTTAACCCCAGCACTTTGGGAGGCCAAGATGAATGGGTTGTTTGAGCCCAGGAGTTTAAGGCCAGCCTGGGCAACACAGGGAGACCATATCTCTACAAAAACATCTGAAAAACAATAGCCAGGCACCATACTGCATGCCTGTATTCCCAGCTACTCAGGAGGCTGAGGTAGGAAGATGGCTTGGGCCCAGGAGGTCAATGCCGCAGTGAGACATGATTGCGACACTGCACTCCAGCCTGGGTGACAGAGAGAGACCAGGTCTCCAAAAAAAAGTTATGTATACACTATACTGTAGTTTATTAAGTGTATGATAGCATTATGTCTAAAACAACAATGCACATACCTCAGTTAAAATCCTTTATTGTTAAAAATCCTAAAAATAAACCGAGCCTTCAGCGATTCATATGCTTTTTTCTAGTGGAGGGTTTTGCCTCAATGCTGGTGGCTGCTGACTGATCAGAGTGGTGGTTGCTGAAGGTTGGGGTGGCTGTGGCAATTTCTTAAAATAAGACAACAATGAAGTTTGTTGCATTGATTGATTCTTTCACAAAATATTTCTCTACAGCATATGATACGTTTGATAGCATTTTAAAGACAGTAGAACTTCTTTTATAATTGGAATCAATCCTCTCAAATGCTTTTGCTTCTTTATAAACTGAGATTATGTAATATTCCAAATTGTTTGTTTACATTTCAACAATTTTCACAGCATCTTCATCAGGAGCAAATTCCATCTCAAGAAACCACTTTCTTTGATCATCTATAAAAAGCATTTCCTCATATGTTCAA
This sequence comes from Homo sapiens, assembly GCF_000001405.40. Taxonomy (NCBI): domain Eukaryota; kingdom Metazoa; phylum Chordata; class Mammalia; order Primates; family Hominidae; genus Homo; species Homo sapiens. Next base: position 126,526,684 of record NC_000023.11, read on the forward strand.
GTTTTATCACGAGATTGCAGGGATTCATTCACATATTCAGGGTTCACTTCTAATTCCAGTTATCTTGCTATTTTCACCACATCTGCAGGTTTCTTACTCCAATGAAGTCTTGAAACCTTCAAGTCATCCATGAGAGTTGGAATCAACTTCTTCCAAACTCCTATCAAAATGTTGATATTTTGACCTCCTTCCATGAATTACAAATGTTCTTAATGGCATCTTGAATGGCAAATCCTTTCTGCAAGGTTTTCAGTTTACTTTTCCTACATATCTCACAGGAATCACCATTTCAGCTACGGTCTTATTAAATGTATTTCTTAAACAATAACACTTGAAAATCAAAATGACTTCTGGATCCATGGACTGTGTAATAAATGTTATATCAGCAATCATGAAAACAACATTAATCTTCTTATTTGTCACCATTAGAGCTATTGGGTGACCAGGTGTATTGTAAATGAACAGTGATATTTGAAAGGAACTGTTTTTGTTTTTGTTTTTCCCTGAGCAGTAGATTTCAACTGTGGGCTTAAAATATTCAGTAAACCATGAAGTAAATAAATGTGCTGCCATCCAGGCTTTGTTGTTTCTTTTATAGAGCATAGGCAGAGTAGATTTAGCATAATTCTTAAGGCCGTAGGATTTTCAGAATGGTAAATGAACATTGGCTTCAACTTAAAGTCACCAACAGCATTAGCCCCTGACAAGAGAGTCAGCCTGCCCTTTCAAGCTTTGAAGCCAGGTATGGACTTCTCCTTTCTAGATATGAAAGTCCTAGATGGCATCTTTTTCCAGTATCAAGCTATTTCATCCACACGGAAAATATGTTATTTAGTGTAGCCACCTTCATCAGTTATCTAACTAGTTAATAAGGATAACTTGCTGAATTTTCACATCAGCACTTGCCACTTAACCTTGAACTTTTAATTTTGGAGACGGTTTCTTTCCTTAAACCTTGTGAATCAACCTCTGCTACCTTCAAGCTTTTCTTCTGCAGCCCCCTCACCTCTCTCAGCCTTCATAGAATTGAAGAGAGTTAAGACGTTGCTCTGGATTAGGCTTTGGCTTAAGAGAGTAATGTAGCTGGTTTGATCTTTTATCTAGACCATTAAAACTTTCTCCATATCAGCAATAAAGCTGCTTTGCTTTTTTATCATTCTTGTGTTCAGTGGTGTAGCACGTTTAATTTCCTTTGAGAACTTTTCCTTTGCATGCACAACTTGGCTAACTGCCATAAGTGCCTTAGCTTTTGGCCTATCTTGGCTTTTGATGGGCCTTTGTGACTAAACTTAATTATTTCTAGGTTTTGATTTAAAGTGAGTGTTGTACAGATTATTTCTTTCACTTGAACACTTAGAGCCCATTGTATATTTATTAATTGGCCTAACTTCAATATTGTTGCCTCTGATGGAATAGGGAGCCCCAAGAAAACAGAGAGACAGGGAAAGGGCCAATTGGTGAGGCAGTGAGGACATACATAACATTCATTAAGTTCACCATCTTATATGGGTGTGGTTCGTGGTGCCCTAAAACAATTACAAGAGTAACATCAAAGATTACTGTTTACAGATCACTATTACAGACATAATAGTAATAAAAATTTTGAAATACTGTGAGAATTACCAAAATGTGACACAGAAACACGAAATGAACACATACTGATGAAAAAAAATGGTGCTGATAGACTTGCTGGATGCAGAGCTGCCACAAACCTTCAATTTAAAAACAAAACAAAACAATAAACAACCCCCCCAAAAAAACACTGCAATATCTGCAAAACACAAAGACAAAGCACAATAAAACAAGGTATGCCTGTATTCAAAAATGTACTAAAGTAAAATGATTGTTAATAATGGATTTTTGTTGTCAAAGGAATGGAATTACTTGTGTAGATTTTTTTTTCTAAGTTTATATATCAACCTGATACCACCATAGCAATCATGTAAAGCCAGGTGAGATTGTTTTAAAGAATGCATTTCTTTTGAATTTAACATCTACTTATTTGGAAAGCAGTTTCTCCTTTCTGTTATATCAGCTAACAAGATAATTTCAAAAAGCATTACCAAAATACATATAAATAATGAGTCATCATCTTACAGACATGAAGTATACACATACTGAATAAAAATAAACTTCTGCAATGACTATTTTATATCACAATATCACAGGACATCTTTACATGGCACATATTATTCATTTTTATCAACAAACTTAGATTCAGGCCGGGCACGGTGACTCATGCCTGTAATCCCAGCAATTTGGGAGGTTGAAATGGGTGGATTGCTTGAGCTCAGGAGTTCGAGACCAGCCTGGGCAACATGGTGAAACCCCACCTCTACCAAAAAATATAAAAATTACCCAGGCATGGTGGCGTGCACCTGTAGTCCCAGCTACTCAGGAGGCTGAGGTGGGAGGATAGCTTGAACCCAGAAGGTGGAGGTTGTAGTGAGCCACGATCATGCCACTGCACTCCAGCCTGTGCAACAGAGTGAGACCCTGCCAAAAAAAAAAAAGTAGAAAAATTGAGATTTCATTCTTATTTAGCAATCTAGACACTAAACATATTTTTTCAACAAAAATCAGTGTTATCAAAAACAAGTAAGTTAGGGGCTGTGTGTGTTCTTTTACAATTTCATTTTCACATTCCCTGTAGGTATTTATAGTAAATGGCTCTTTCATATTTTAATTATGTCAGAAGTAGAAGTGTTTATAGATAGATTGAATTAGCCTCAGGTAATAAAAAATGTATTTTCAGTGGTAAATCTACTTTCATCTATGGATGATGCCTTTTGAATGCAGTTAAAGTTAAAAGTTTAATTTCACTTTACATTATTCATTTAAACTGGATTATGTGGAATAAAATGGTAAATATGCTTATATGGGTTTGGACTACAGAGTTTGTAGCGTTTCATGTTCTTTCAGCAGTCAATAAATGAGTAACAATGACAACACTAAGGTTATGAATAATGGTTAATAATCTTGGCAAAGTTATAACAATAGCTCCTGAATGTAATCATAATAAAATCAGGAAATATATGTTATAAAAAATCTACTTATTAGGGAAATCATTACCAAAAATTAATATCATTTCAAGTAGTTATCAATCCTCTTTGCTGAAAAGATTAATGTTAATAATTATTTTTCAATACAAATACACTGCATTCGTGTAAAGGAAGGCGATATATTGAAGAATGCTTGCTCACCCTGTATTCCATGATTTTTTTTACATAACACCAAAACACAAGCAACAGAAGGCAAAATAAGCAAGTAAGACTATATCAAACTAAAAAGTTTGAGTATAACACTGGGAAAACATCATCAAAATGAGAAAGAAAGCTATGAAATGTGAAAGCATGTATGGAACCAGACATCTGTTAGGAGATGAATATTCAAAATATATAAGGAACTCATACAACTCAATAGTAATATATATATATATATATATATATATATATATATATAACATTGAATAATCCATATAAAAATGGGCAAAGGATCTGAATGGACATTTTTCCATAAAAAACATACAACAGGTACAGTCATATGCTGTTTAACAAAGGAGATACCTCTGAGAAATATGTCTTTAGGCATTTTTGTCATTGTGCAAACATCATAGAGTGTACTTACACAAACCTAAATGATATAGTCTACTACACACCTAAGTTACATGGTATGACCTATTGCTCCTATGCTACAAAGCTATACAGCATGACACAGTACCAAATACTATAGGCAATGATAACACAATGCTAAGCATTTGTGTATCAAAATATATCTCACCATAGAAAATATACAGTAAAACACAGTATAAAAGATAAAAAATATGTACACCTGCAAGGGCACTTACTATGAATGGAGTTTGCAAGACTAGAAGTTTCTCTGGGTGGATCAATGAGTGAGTGGTAAGTGAATGTGAAGGCCCAGGACATTATGATATATGACTGTAGACTTTACAACATTGTACTTAGGCTACACTAAATTTATAATACATATTTTTGTTTCTTCCATAAAAACTTAACCTTTGCTTCCTGTAACTTTTTTACTTTACAAGTTTTGTAAGCTTTTGGCTCTTGTAATAGTTTAAAACACAAGCACATTATACAGCTATAAAGTATTTTATTTCTTTATATTCATATTCTATATGCTTTTTTCTACTTTTAAAGTTTTACCTTTTTTTAAGTTTTTAAACTTTTGTGTTATAAAATAAGACATAATCACACACATTAGTGTAGACCTACACAGGGTCAGGGTCATTCATATCACTGTCTTCCACCTCCACATTTTGTCCCACTGGTAGGTCTTCAGGGGCACTCACACACATGGAGCTGTCATCTCCTATGATAACAATGCCTTCTTCTGGAATACCTCTTGAAGGACCTGCCTGAGGATATTTTACACCTAAAAGTTTTTTTTTTCCATAAGTAGGAGAAGCACACTGTAAAATAATGATAATATGTATAGTATAGTAAATAAATAAACCAGTAACATAGTCATGCATTATCATTATCAAGTGTTATGTACTGTACATAACTGTATATTTTAGACTATTATACGACTCCAGGTGCAGTTTGTTTACACTAGCATCATCACAAAGATGAGCAATGAGTTGCACTATGATGGCCATACTGTCATTAGGCAACAGGAGTTTTTCAGCTCTATTATAACCTTATGGGTCTGTTGTGGCCTGAAACATTACACAGTTCATAACTGTATATGAAAAGCTTTTTGATATGACTAATCATTAGGAATATGTAAATCAAAATGACAGTGAAATATCATCTCACAAGTTTTAGGATGGCTATTATGAAAAGGACAAGAGATGATAATTGTTTAGAGAGGATGTAGAGTAAAGAGAACCCTTGCACCCAGTGAAAATGTAAATTGGTATCTCCATTACGGAAAACAATATGGAGATTACCCAAAAAATCAAAAATAGAATTTCACTATAATCCAGTAATACCACATCTATCTGTGTATCCAAATGACATTGAATCAATATCTCAAAGAGATAACTGCACCTCTATTCTTATTGCAGCATTATTCACAATAGCCAAGACACAAGCCAAACTGAGTGTCCCTCAACTGATAAATAGATTAAGAAATTGTGATATATTTTCCTATGTGAATATATATAATAAAATATTATTCAGCCAAAAAAGGAGGAAATTCTACCACATTCACAACATGTGTGAATGTGGCAGACATTATGTTAAGTGAAATAAGCCAGGAACATAAAGACAAATACTGTATGATCTCACTTATATGTGGGATCTAAAAAGTTGAAGTTACAGAAGCAGAAAGTAGAATAATGGTTACTAGGGGATAGGGAATAGGGAAAATGAGATGTTGATGAAAGATACAAACTTTTAGTTATAAGATGAACAAGTTCTGGGGATCTAATGTATGGCCTGGATGGTGATATATGTGTTAATATATTTTCTTGGGGTCATCTTTATACAATGTACATGTATATCAAATAAACACATTTTATATCTTAAATCTATTTAATATATGTTTGTCAAATAAGTATTTCAAAATTTAAAAATACTAAAAATTTAAAACTAAAAATAAATAAGAGGCCAGTTTATTGAAGAACTTCTACCTACCCTGGATGTAAATAAAACCATATTTTTTAGATTTATTAAGCACTACTGTGACAGTAAGCAAATATAAATTACTACTTATATTGCAACTTCCAAAAAAATGCTTTCTGTTAATTTCAGTGTATAATTAATTGTGTTCCTTGCCACTATAATTCATTGCTCTTTTAAATGGTAGTTTTTTTGTTTTCATTGAGCTTTTCCTTAAAATTTTGGTCAAACTGATATGTTCTTATATTGGCAATTATTGAACAATGCTATCTTTATTATCTAAAATTGAATGAAAATGATAACTGGGATATGACAGAACACAGACACTTAGTAAGGATTCTTAAGAAAACGTTTTTTGTTCCCCTTTGTTCCTTTTCTTTCCCCTGTTGCTGAAAGACTTTCTGATACTACAGCTATTTAACCCTTTTCCCATTTACAAAAAAAGTGCAGCTCGTTGCCAGTGCTCATTTATTTTTACATAAACATGCTGTTTGAGGCTGAAGCAAATCTGATATTTAATGTGAAAATAAAATATTAAAACTACTTTTTGGAGTTATTTCTAAAGAGAACTAACATCAGAATCATCTATTTCAGAAAAGTCACATTCATCAAATGCATCTTCAGCAAACAACTGTTCGAGAATGATGTTTACATCACGTGTAGGAATGCTACCTTTTCCAGGATTTTTACTCTTGTTTCCAAAGTCGATATACTAGAATGATGTGAAAATAATAAAAGCAATATATTCCACGGCAAAGTTACCTTGAGGTAAAAGCTGCAGTCGGAAGCACCGCTGGCGAGTATTCTCAGGGCAAATGGGAAAAGGGTTAAAGAGTAAGGCATATTATATTATGTACCTTTTCAGGAGCAAATTTTATTTGAAAAAGAAAATAATTTCCAGTTTGTCTTTATGCACATGCAAGCAAGCATCATATAAATCTTTAAAATTATTTTAAGTATGCTTCAAATACATTAATTCTACTTGAACATTTTTTAAAGAGTTAATGTTGACTCTGTTTTTTAAACAGTACAATATGGACACAGGAAAATCAATGAGCTCCACCAGGATCCATGTTCTAAAGTCCCTGACCTATGTTTATCCAGATAATGAGTTACCCTATGAGACCTGGGTTGAGATTCTCTCTCTCTCTCTCTCTCTCTCTTTAATATACACACAAACACACTACAAGAAGAGAAGCAATCAGAGGCATGGATATACATAGGGCAAGCAAATATCTGACTACAAAGCCTACTAAATGAACTATAAGATCTGATGGCAAATAAAGATCTAAGCAGGCAAGGAGATAGAATCAGGGTTGGGGTAGTGTCTTATGGAAGTAATTTAACACAAAGAAATATAAACACTGTGACAGATCAGAAAATAAAACACAGTAGAAATTAACAAGTGTTTACGGAACGAGGCTTAGTGTCCGATTTTAGGATAGTAGTATTTATTTCCTCTGTGCCCTGATTAAATGGGTACTTTTTCCTGTATTGGAGTGGCTCTGAGCAAAAAGTGTTCAGAGATTTTCAGGTAAATTATTCTGAATTTGGCAGCATTTTATTCCAAATTTGAACTGATATAAATGTACAATGAAAAGCTATTCGACTATGGGTAAATTAATTAGTGGCATATCTGAGTGTATCATGGAACATAACAAAAGTTTGTTTAAACTGAAGTTCTCTTATTTTATTATAGACATTATCTACTGGTGTGGTAATGTATATATACGCTTATAGTAAGTATGCAGGCTTATTTTTCTAGCTTGAACCCTCCATTAGTAATGTTTTTCATCGAATTAATATACTTACCAAGGTATAAACACTTACTTAAGAAGTAAGAAATAATTTTGATGGAACTGTAAACAGGATACTAACAAATGAGTCATAACTAGTTCTTCCCTATCAATGTCTCATGTTCCTTCTATAGACTTGTAATTTTGAGTTATGCACACAATTATACATGTCATAAATATTCTTACAGTATACTTATTTTGACAAAACCAAACATATTATATTTAGCATAAATAGATCAACAGGAAAATAAAGGCAGTTCACTTAGGAGAAAGAAAATATACTAACAAATTTTAAAAACCGTAGTAAGCTACTCCTGATTTTCAGATTGCCTACCATTAAAGGATCAGACAACTTGTTTCATTGCAATGAAAATGGCATAATATTAAATATTATTGCAGGTAAGTGAGCGTTTGTTTGAATGAGCTAATATTTTGTAATATACTATTTAATGTGTTTGAAAAATAACTATTTTGTTTCAGATTAATTTATCTTAAGATTTTCCATTACAACAAGGCCCAATCTTAATGTACTTAGAAGCTTGGAGTATCAAAAAGAACTGCAGACATTATTTTGAACACTTTTCCTATAATTATACAACTTCCTATTCTTACAATTTCCCTGCAGTTAATAAATAATACATGATTTACCAAGAGTAAAATCATCACTCTATTCCTATGAACTTCACTGAAAATAATCTTAGATAAGTGATAGCAGACAGCAACTCAGTATTGATTTTCTTTCTCAGTAGTGATTTTCTACTCAGTATTGATTTTCTTTTTCTGGGTGGTCTGGACCTCACCCAGTCCCTGCAGACCACAGGGACTGCAGAATCCCTGGGTTCTGAGATCACGTGAAATATAAATTATACACTGGGTAGAAATTTGGGGAACATCACATAGGGATACCATTCTGTGCAAATGATTTGTTATTCATGCAAGACAAGTTTAGAGAGCAACCCTTTGGAAACATGGTAAATAGTTTCAAATTATTTCTAGTCACATGATGAAAGACCTCATATCAGTTTATTTAATACGTGGCCAATTACCATTAACTTATGTAAAGCTCTCATCTGGAGACACTTCCTCTAAAATTAGATGACTATTACATTCACTGATGCCCCATGGGCCACTCTCAGCATTGCAAGGTGTACTGAATTCTTCCACATAGGAGACAATTATTAGACATCATTTCCAATGTTTCACAAAATACTAATCTAATAAGCTTATCTATAAAATAAAAAGTTGGGGGAGGGGTTCAGTATGGCTAATTAGAGCCATCTCCTACTCTCCTTCTCCACTAAGAAGAATCACATAGTGGGTAGATAATCACATTTTGAATAGACAAACTACTTAGAAAATGCCATTAAGTAAAATTGATATGAGAAGAACTAGAAAATCTTCATCATCTTAGATTAATTAAATAAATTTAATTTGTTGTGATAAACCTTTCTAGAAAATACTCTGTGCCAGAGAGCTTTGCTGATAAATGCTTCCAAGTACTTAAGGCAGAAAAAAAATCACATATACATATCCAAATTTTCTGAAACAATCTCATAGAATAATAAGAAGGGAGTACTTTCTCACTTTTTAAGAGGCCAGTGTAGACTGATACTCAAACTGGAAATTAATAATAATAATAATATAAATAACACAGACCTGTATCTCTTGATAATATAGATGTAAAAATCCTAAATTAAATAGTAATAAATCCAACCAAGTAATATGTGAAAAGATAATCCAGAAAGACCGAGTGCATATTATTTCAGGAAAGCAAAATTCCTTTAATATTAACAATAAATAATTTCATGTAACAGACCATATTAACAGAATAAAGATAGAAATTACTTGATTATTTCAATATAGATACAAACAATAGCATTTAATAAAATCTGACACCAAAAGAACACAACACTAACTTAAAGAAATTGAAGACAAAGAAGCTCACATTGCCCCATTTTTTAAATCAAATTCCAAAACATATAAAACTAATTTATGGTGTTAGAAGTCATCATGACAGTTACCTTTCTCTCATAAAGAGAAGGCATGGCAGAGGCAGTGCTGACATGCCAATACTGTCCTACTTTTACATCTGGTCATTGGTTATATGGGTATAATACATTTGTAAGAAATCCTTGATCTTGTGATTTGTGAACTTTTCTATTTGTGTGTATTTCAATAAAAACATTTTAAGTAGCTCATAAAGCTAAAGGAAAACATAACGTTTTGAGATGGTTCTAGATTAAAAGCAGGATAGTGTAGGTATCCTATATTGAAAATAATTCTCATATTGTTGTATATCCTAGCTGTAGCCTTTGAAGCATATTAGGAAGATAAAAGGTGCATACCAATTTGTCAATCATAAAGTACTAGTTATGGAAACATACTCTTACTCCACTGGTAGTATAAAGCGATTGGGGAATTTTTCTAATACATCTTTCACAGACGTTAGGATGCTTTTCTGTTTTCAAGGTGCCTATGATGTTTCTGGGAATATACATTTAAAGTGCATATCACCGGACGATATAAATAACTGTATAAAATGTTTTACAGTTTCTAAAATACAAAGTTGGCTTTAAAAGGAAACACAATTGTTTTAATAAATTCAAATGAAAGTAAAACAAAGCAACATTAAAAACTTATGTGTAAATGCATGTCATATTACTTTATAAATCAATTCCGATACACACAAAGAGGAAAAAATGTGAGATACTAAGATTTTACATTATTGAGGAAAAAGTAATACTCATCAAATAAAGTAACCTTTTTTTATAGTGATGGGGGTCCTGCTATGTTGACCAGGCTGGACTTGAACTCCTAGCCTTTAGCAGTCCTCACATCTTGGCCTCTCAAAGTGCTGAGATTACAGGCGTGAGCCACCATGCCCAGCCTCATAAAATAACATTTGTCAGTGAAGTCTAATATACAGTGTGATGAGCCATATTCGATTATTTACATTTTAGGAGAATGCAATTCATTGTTTACGTTATGAGTTTTCTTATTTCAGTTAAAATTCATTGAACATACAATATGCTGTGTATGCTTTTCAAGTGGCTGAGGATGCATAGACAAATTTAACAGGGATGAAGTTCCAACTCTCACACTACCAAGAATAAAAGCATCACAGCCAAAATTTGAGTCTAAAATGATGTCATGCATCTAAATCATACCTGGCTCTAGTCCATGCAATTCACTGAACTCTAAGAGAGAGCAGATAATTGGAGACTCAACCACTAAATGAGCTGTTTCCAAATTTAAAAGGGCATCAAAATTACCAGGGCCACTGTTCAAATTAGTTTTTCTGGGCTAGCCAGGAATCTGCATTTTGTTTGACTTGATGTGGTTTGGTGAGATTTCAGGTGACTGTGGTATAGCTAGTTCTAGGACCATACATTAGGAAATACCTATCCAAAGGAATCAGGTATCCAAACACTGACCAAAAGTTAAGTTCAGTTTTCTCCTTTATCCTCTTAAGTCCTAATTTATACAAAAATATAAGTGATTTGAACTTTTGTAGCTTTTGTCTCTATTTGCACTTGAAAACTCAAAAGGAACAAATAACTTTCTCATGTGATAGAATCATAGGCAATATTATTAAGATATTCTCATAAAATAAAGTGAAGATAAATAAAATGTAGTTTGTCTATTTGCCTGGGGCATGGTTTTTATTATGATACTTAAAAAATAATCTTCATTCACCACCTTAAGAGAAGCTAAACACAGATACAGAGAAGGCATGTCTGGGAAAAAAGTCATGACTAGCAATTACCTGTTGGAAAATGATAAACATTTAAAATTACCACCATATTTTAACAAGTTTTCTATATCTCTGAATTCATGGAACCATGACTGATATTTTATGCTTAGAAAACATACTTCCATGAAGTATTTTAATAATTCTATGCTGAAATCTGATCATAATATTTGCTCAATGAATGATCATTCCTTTTGAAACTATTATTTTCTTGCTGTAGTTCTCATCTTTTGAATTTTGTGGTTGTTGAGAAGAGAAATAGATTAATCGAGTATGTTGGTACGTATTTTTTTCTTGCCCTGCTTTAGTACATAACTATTTTCTATATAGATTCTAACTCTTATAATTTTAAGAGTTTATAAAATGTGTCTACTTTGTGCATTATAATTAAAGATCAATATAAAAACCAATGAAAACATTTTAGGTAATCATCGCGTCTAAGTACAGCTGTATACTTAAGCATTCACATTCTACATTAACTTCTGGCTCCCATTCACAAGAGTGATTTTTTCTCATTGTAATAACTGTATATGTCATTTTAAAAACTATATATAATTTTTAAAAATTATAATTACTTTTTAGAAAATATGATTTCAGGAAGCTGAAAGATACAGGATCATCTGTATTTCAAAGCAATCACAATTAATACTGAAAGAATAAACTAATCCTTGATCAGAGCTGGTGCAATTATTCATAATGATTTTCAATTTATAGAAATTAAAAAAGGCAAGTGACGCTAATGAAAATACTACTTTTCTTTTTTTATAATTTCAACTTTTACTTTTGATTCAAGGTGTACATATGCAGGTTTGTTACATGGGTGTATTTTGTGATGCTGAGGTTTGAGGTGCGAATGATCCCATCACCCAGATAGTGGCCATAGTACTCCATAGTTAGTTTTTCAACCCTTGCCCCCCTCTTGCTTTCCCCTCTCAAGTAGTCCCCAGTGTCTATTGTTCCCATCTTTATGTCCATCCATACTCAATGTTTAGCTCCCACTTATAAGTGAGAACATGTGGTATTTGGCTTTCTGTTCCTGTGTTTCTTTATTCACTTAAGATAATGGGCTTCAGTTTCATCCATGTTGCTGCAAAAGACATGATTTTGTTTTCTCTTATGGCTGTGTCATAATACATTTTGTATATGTACCACAGAAAATGCCACTTTTCAAATGCCATAATAGTTTGGGTTTAATATAGATTTTTCTCCTAAGGATTCAGTCATTTAAAGGATTCAGTCATTTAATGGTTGCCTCATATTTGAACAAAAAACAAAACAAAACAAAAAAACATAGCAACTAACTTGTGCAAAATAAAAAGACTTAAGCCAATGGTATTTTAATTCTCTGAATTAATTTCTAAAAAAACTTTTCTCAAAACTGAGCCAAAAATGGTGGGAAAGATAAAGCATCCTTTTAATAAATGGATATCATTGCTCTTCTCAGTACTACACATAATAAGATGCTGAAAAACTATCTGGAAGTGAAGATGATGAGTAACTAATAGTACTGTACTAATATTACTAGAAGTGAATGGAAATGTGTGTAATATTACAAGAATTTTTGGAGCAGATACCATCTTAGTAGCCCATATAAATTGGAGAATACTAAATAGAGTCCCAATATACAAACTGTGGAAGGTGAAAAGAATGTTAATATGACTATCTATTAATAGAAGTATGTATAGTAAAATTATCTGATATCATTGAATATATAGAGATGTCGTAATTCTCATTTATAATGAAGCGATATGCTCCTAAGCAACAAGAAAGTCAAATCAAAGAAATTTTATTTTTATTTACAAAGTAAGAAAATCAATTTGTTCAAAATATGAGTTTTTTAGGCATGTATTGTGCTATGCATTTTATTGAGGGGTGCAAAGTAAAAAAATATTGAAAGGTGCTTCTAATACAAGAATATATTAATAAATCACTAATGACAGTAAAGTGTCACGGAAATATGAGTTCGGAAGTTCATACTTTATTCACAATTGGATATAAAGAGATCTTTACAAAAGACAAAAATAAAAATGCTAGTCATTATAAAATGTTGCAACATTTGTAATTATAGATGGTATATAAAAAAGTTTAAAAATGATTTGGCATCCTACTTTTATATTCCTATATATCTATGCTGATTATCAATACTCCAAAAATTTTTAAGGGTCTGAAATGAGACTAGATATTTCTAGTTACAAATAATATTGTTACAAATAATATTAAGATGGCTATTTTAGAATATTTTCCTTTCTGAAATTGTTTAGAAGTTAAATAGTTACTTGTTGTTATGTAATTTGATCTATAAAATAGAGTAGATAGCAAGAAGTAGTTTGTCTCATCCACTATTTAAAACAGATTTTGTCTAAAGTATAATAAAAAAACAGATTTTGTCACAGTATACTCTAATATTAAGCTTAAAATTAGTTTCATGTGTTCAAAGTTTCTATGATGCTTTGATCTATCAATTGCCACTGAAAGTGACATAGACTCTACTTACAACAAATCTTTTTTATTAATGTATTCCTAAGAAATTTCAAGCAAAGTTCAATTGTAAGAAATGTATACCCTGTAGAATACAAAATCAACATTCAAAAATCAGTAGTGTTTGTATGCACTAACAGTGAACTATCCAGAAATCAAGAAAATAATTCCATTTACAATAGTTAAGAAAAAAGGGTAAGTGTAAATTTAACCAAGGACGTGAAAGACATATACACTAAAAACTATAAACATCAACGAAATATATTGAAGAAGACACAAACATATAGGAAGATATCCCATGTTCATGGATTGAAAAGTCCATATTAACCAAAGTGATTTACAGATTCAATGCAATCTCTATCAAAGTTCCAATGCCATTTCTTACAGAAATAGAAAAAACAATCCTAAAACTAATATGGAACCACAAAAATCCACAAATAGCCAAAGTGATCCTCAGCAAAAATAACAAAGCTAGAAGCATCGTACTATCTGATGTTAAAATTTACTACAAAGCTACAGTAATCAAAATAGCATTGCACTGGAAAAACATACACATGGAACAATAGAACAAGATAAAGAGCTCAGAAGAAAACCCATAAATTTATAGCCAATTGATTTTTGAGAAAGAGGCCAAAAACACAGAATGGAGAAAGGACAGTCTCCAAAAACTGGTGTCAGGAAAACTGTATATCCATATGCAGAAGGATGAATTTGAATCTTTCTTTCATAACATATGACTTAAACATAAGACCTGAAACTCTAAAACTGCTAGAGGAAAACATACAGGAAAATTATCTTGACGTTGGTTTGGGCAAAGATTTTTTTTGGATATGACCCTGAAAGCACAAGCAATAAAAAGCAAAAATAGACAATGAAATTTTATCAGATGAAAAAGCTTCTTCACAGCAAAAGAAAAAACAGAGTGAAAACACAACCCACATAGTAGAAGAAAATATTTGCAAGCCATACATCTGATAAGAGGTTAATATCCAAAATATATAAGGAACTCAAACGACTTAATAACAAGAAAACAAATAACCAGATCAGAAAACGAACAAAAAACCTGAAGAGACATGTATCATAATAAGACATGCAAATGATCCACAGGTTCATGAAAAATTCTCGATATAAGTAAACATTAGAGGAATGCAAATTAAACCCACCATGAGATATAACTTCACACCTGTGAGAATAGCTACAATCAAAAAGGAAATATATGTGTTTCAGAATGTAGAGAAAAGGGAACTCTTGTTTATTGCTGGTGGAAATATAAATTAGTACAGCCATTATGAATAATGGTCTGGAGGTTCCATAAAAGACGAAAAATAGAACTATCACATGATTTGGCAATTTCACTATGGGGTATATATCTAAAAATTTGAAATCAATAAGTCAAAGAGATATATGCACTCCACTGTTTATTGCAGCACTATTCACAATAGCAAAGATATGGAATCAACCTAAGTGTCTATCAATGGATGAATGGATGAAGAAAATGTGGTGTGTAAACAATGAAATGCTATTCAGTCTTAAAAAGAAGGAAATTCTGTCATTTGCAGCAACCTGATGAACTTGGAGGACATTATGTTACATAACATAAGCCAGGCACAGAAAGACAAGTATGGCATATCTTATATGTGGAATGTAAAAATGTCAACTCATAGTAGAGGAGAATGGTGGTTACCAGAGGCCGGAGCCAGGGGAAAGGGAGGAAATAGAGACATGTTCATCAAAGGGTATAAAGTTTCAGTTACACAAGAGGAATCGGATTTTGAGATCTATTGCACAGCAGGATGACGATAATCAAAAACAATGTATGTTCCAAAATAACTGAGTGTAAATTTGCCAACATCTCATCACAAACTAAGTGAGATGAAGTGTGTTAATTAGCTTGATTTAATCATTCCGCATTATATGCATATATGAAAACATCACATTGAAAACCACAAATGTATCCAAATATCATTTGCTAATTAAAATAGTATTAATTAAGTAATAAATTAAAACAAGTTTAAAAATAGCCCTGGATACCTCATACCCATTAGGATGGCTACTATCAAAATAGAAAACATTACAGAAAATAACAAGTGTTGGTGAGGATGTGGAAAAATTTGAACTCTTGTTCACTGTTGGTAGGGATGTAAAATGGTGCAGCCACTATGAAAAACAGAATGGCAGTTCTTCAAACATTGAAAATTAAATTGCCATATGATCCAGCAATTCCATTTCTGTGTATATATGCAAAATAAGTGAAATCAGGGAATGAAAGAGATATTTGCATATTTGTGATCATAGCAGCATTATTTACAGTAGCTAAGAGATAGATGCACCCTAAGCGTCTATCTACAGATCAGTGGATAAACAAAATGTGGTGTATACATGCAATGGAACATTGTTCAGCCTTAGAAAGGAAGGAAATTTTGACACAGGCTACAACAGGGATGAACCTTGAGGGCGTTATGTTAAGTGAATTAATCTAGTCATCAAACCACACAAAAAGACAAATACTGTATTATTCTATTGATATGAGATACCTCCAGTAGTCAAAGCCATAGAAACAGAAAACAAAATGGTGGTTGAAATTTTTATGTAAATGTATTTTACCAGATTTAAAAATTTTTTAAAAAGCCCCTGATTTTTAAGAAAGCAATTAAACCCATCTATGCCTAGTGTTCCAGTACTGGAACACTAAGTATGTGGGAGTTATTTATACCCTACTGCTCAAGGTCATCGCCAAGGTCTGATTGCAAAAATTCAAAAAACTGCAATCTCAGGCATATATGGGTTAAGGAAAAGTTTGCATTCTTGTTATTTCTGGCGCCACACTTCCATCTAGCATGATGATGCCTAAACAGCCTTTTTAAAACTGATGTAAATATCCAAAGTTTTACAGATTAAAATAGTGAGGAAAAACAAATAATTATTATCATTCCCAGGAAATATCCATAAGCCAAAAGCCTTTGCTTAGGGGAATCTTCTTAAAGAAAGACCTGAGGAAAAGAAAAAATCGAATTCCTTAAGCAGGACATTTAGGATTTGTTCTGGCTTGTGATAAATATATAGAGAGCAAGTCCAATTGCGTGATGCCCTATTTTAAGAAATTTCATTTTTTATACAAATGAATTAGTTTAATTTATCATATTCTGAAAGTATCCTTTAGTATCCTTTGAAATTAGAGATTCCATTATATCACTTATCTTTTGCTTGAAGACTAAAGCACATGTCTCAGAAGTGGAGGCAGTGGTAACATGTTAGAAATCACTGTCCATTGGAAATCAATCTGTAATAAAGGTGGCACTTCTAAAATTATAATGTAAGTCAATAGGGAAATATAGATTCCATTTTCAAAAATGTGCTTCACGTACAAATGTCAAGGAATGCAACTATTTGTAAAATAAGGTCTAGTTTTAGTCATATAAGGCATGATTCAAAAAAAACCACACTCAACTCAGTATATCCTAGGTGAGTAAAGAAAGAGAAACAGAAATGAGCCATTTCTGAGGTGCTGGGGGATGTTATTTGATAAATTTACTAAGAGCCTAGAGAAAACTGAAGTTGCTGCCCTCTGACTACAACATTCAAGTTTATCATTTGTGTGTAACATAAAAGGGCAATTTAGATGTTAAAATTTAATCAACATGAAACATTAATGCCTTAGGTTGAAACAGAGAATGGCACAATGATGGCATTAGAAAGGGTGAAAATAGCACCATTACTCTCATTGACATCATCAACGTGTTTGCTTCAGTGAACTGTACCTCCAAAATGGAAAAACAAGAGGGTTATTTGTAAGGAAGTTATCATCAATATTTAGCTTTCTTCTTGCCCGACTCTAGAATGACCTATATTCTATAAAAGATGAAAAAATACATCTAACCAAAACATAGATTTCTTTATTCATAAAACACAGCAACATTTGGCAGATTTCCTTTATCATCTTTGGATTAATGTGATTGCATTAGGGAAATTAAAAAGTTGATCATTAAATGATAAAAATACGAAATATTGCTTCCTGGGGGCAATAAGTACTGTTTAGTATCAATAAAACAAACATTTATTTGGCTATCAATCTACAAGTCATTAGTTACCTACTATGTCCCAGACATATAATAATGCATAAATATATACATATATAACCTCTCTTAGGAGTGCCAAATCCGTATTTCTAACTGCCAAACAGAAGTTTCCATCAGGAAATCCTACAGGCACTTCAAAGTCCACAAGGCCAAAATGCAACAGCCCTGTAGGTATGCATTATTATATGTGTAGACCTATATACGTCCACACATATATATGTGCACTATATATATATGTGTAGAACTATTTAAAGATATATGAATTTTCAAATGAGAGCCAGAAGACTTAGATTCTGCGACACTACACACTACACCCCTCCTTGCCTCTCCCAAATACTATTTCTATAGTGATAATCTTCACACTTGTGTTTCCAGCCCTAACCTCTCTTATGAGGACCAAATCCATATGTCTAACTGCAAAACAGACATTTCCATCAGGAAATCCCACAGGCACTTCAAAGTCCACAAGGCCAAATTGCAACAGCCCTGTACATATGCATGTGCCCATACGATTCAGACATTCACAAGGTCCTTTGAAGTCAATATTGGCTCTTCTTCTTCATTCTTATTTTACTTTCCAGACCCAGATCAACTACTGCCTTTTTTGGGAGCCCTCCGTAACCTTCCCAGGCAGAATTGATTGCTATTTTCTCCATATTCTCATTATTTTTAGTATATATCCTTAATACTATACTTACTTTTTTGTCATGATTAGTGAAGTAACTATCTTTCTCTTCTACTACCCCATAAACCTCTAAGGCAGACGACGTTTTTATTACTGTCTTGTTTTGGTTTTGAATGGATTAATCTGAAAACACTCAAATGAAATGATGTTTTTACAAGAAAATTCTGTTACAGTAGGTATGAGTTGAAACATCTCTTACTTTCAACATATGTTCAAGTGACTCTAATGTGTTCTAAAGTCTGAAAATCACTGAATTACGCAAATAGCTAGACAGAGAGTACTGCTATAAATGTTTAAAATAACTCTTAAGGTGTAAGTATGTATACCCTCTTATATTTGGTTAAATATCTGATGTGTCACTAATGATTTCTGGTGATGGCAACAATTTTCTAAGTAGTGAGCCTGTACACAGCTTTTTTTTTTTTTTTTTTTTTTTTTGAGACGGAGTCTCGCTGTCGCCCCGGCTGGAGTGCAGTGGCAGGATCTCCGCTCACTGCAAGCTCCACCTCACCGGTTCACGCCATTCTCCTGCCCCAGCCTCCCGAGTAGTCGGGACTACAGGCGCCCGCCACCACGCCCGGCTAATTTTTTTTTTTTTTTTTTGTATTTTTAGTAGAGACGGGGTTTCACCGTGATAGCCAGGGTGGTCTCGATCTCCTGACCTCGTGATCCGCCCGCCTCGGCCTCCCAAAGTGCTGGGATTAAAGGCGTGAGCCACCGCGCCCAGCCCCCTCTTTTTTTGTTGTTCGGTTTTGTTTTGACGGAGTTTCGCCCTTGTTGCCCAGGCTGGAGTGCAATGGCGCCATCTTGGCTCGCTGCAACCCTCGCCTCCCGAGTTCAAGCGATCCTCCTGCCTCAGCCTCTTGAGTAGCTGGGATTACAGGTGTGCGCCAGCATGCCCAGCTAATTTTTTGTATTTTTAGTAGAGACGGGGTTTCATCATGTTGGCCAGGCTAGTCTCGAACTCCTGACCTCAGGTAATTCACCCGCCTCGGCCTCCCAAAGTGCTGGGATTACAGGCGTGAGCCACCATGCCCGACCCAGCCTGTACACATTTAAAACACCCTGAATGTTAGGTAAGATAAATATTGTGACGAAAACATGGAGACATTAACTGAAAAAAAGTAGGTTGCAAAACAACCTTAACAAAATGTTCATATTTTAGAAGCAACTGCATGGATGGTACATATATGTACAAAAAAGTCATGAAAGATGTACACTAACTTGCTGACAGTAGTAATCTTCAGCTGCTGGAAATGTGGTGGTTTTTAAAAATATTTTACTTTATGTGTCTGACTTTCTGCAAGGCACATAAACTGTTTTTATAATAATCAAATAAAAAAATACATATGCCTTCTATCAGAATTGATAGGACTCTAGAGGGGAAAATAATATCAATTGAATGCCTTATGCATCAGGCAGTATGCTAGATGCTGGGGATAGAACAATTAGTAATGTAAGGACAGGTTTAGAGAAGTTAAACAGCATATCCATGGCTTATTATAAACAAATAATAGAATTGGGATTCAAATCCAGGTATTTATGATTCTGAAATAATACTTATTCCATTTCATCTTGGTACTCCAGGTCCAATATCATTCCTGGGCAAAACGTAATTTAAGTTTCTGCTGCTCTACCCACATTATTTCATGCCATGAATCACCATGGTCATTACCATGGGGCCTGTTTCAGGATACTCTTCATTCATCAACTTAATCTTTATCATCTTCCCTAATGTTTTGGTCAACTAATCTGATAAAGTAATTTATGAAAAAGTATTGATGTATTAGTCATTGTACTGAACACCTAAGTGCCATGTATGTGCAGCCTATTATGCTAGGTTTGGGGTGACAGAGCTCATATTCAAGTGGAGGGGCAGGGAAGCTAAACACTCACATAGCTGACTGCATCACAATCTGCTAAATGCTATAATAAAGAAAACAACAAAACTGTCACTGTGAGCATGGAGAAGTTAAGTGCTTAATTCTGTATTGGAAGTCACAGAGAGTTTAATAGAAAAGTAGGCAAAGGGCATATGGAGCAAAGACCAATACCTGTGCAAACTAAATATGTATCAGCGAAAGAACCCTCCTTCCTAAGGATCAGTCTGACCATTTTATGGCAACCTCCTGCAAACACATTGCCCTTACATTGATGCCAAATTCCAATGCTAGGTGTCTCTGCGTCTGCAGCAGACTGGTGGTGTGAAATACTTTTAGGCAACCCTTTCTTGAGCAGATCTCACAATAACATATCTTAAAGCAAACACCTGTGGCTTATGCAGCCTCTCTTTCATATTAGTACATGACATTCTCACTGAACTGCATCCCTGAGCAGCTCACATAGTGACATGTTGAATGTAGCTGGGTTACCTAATAATACTTGGAGAAATTAGGAAGCTGTCAGTAAAACATCCAAGAGGGCTTTGTGAATTGCTTTCTAAAATCAATCTAAATTAGCAATTAATGAAAAAATTTTGACAAATTGTTCAACACTGAGTACAAGTGGATAAAAATCAAACTCTGGAAAATTCAATTTTGTTTATCATTAATGCTAGAGTGTATTTAACAAATGAATTTTTTCCAGAGTAGTCACCTCAATTTATTCCAGTAGATATCCTTGATAAGTAAATTATTTCACCCCTTTTTAAAAGAAAATAGAAATTAACTCATTCCAAAGAGTAAAGGAGAGGAACATAAACTTTTGGATCAGAAGTATGCTTGGCGAGAAATATGTGAATAGGTAGTTAGAGATAAAGATAATTCACATTTTATGGCGATCATTAAAAAGTCAGGAAACAACAGGTGCTGGAGAGGATGTGGAGAAATAGGAACACTTTTACACTGTTGGTGGGACTGTAAACTAGTTCGACCCTTGTGGAAGGCACTGTGGCGATTCCTCAGGGATCTAGAACTAGAAATACCATCTGACCCAGCCATCCCATTACTGGGTATATACCCAAAGGATTATAAATCATGCTGCTATAAAGACACATGCACACGTATGTTTATTGTGGCACTATTCACAATAGCAAAGACTTGGAACCAACCCAAATGTCCAACAACGATAGACTGGATTAAGAAAATGTGGCACATATACACCATGGAATACTATGCAGCCATAAAAAATGATAAGTTCATGTCCTTTGTAGGGACATGGATGAAACTGGAAACCATCATTCTCAGCAAACTATCGCAAGGAAAAAAACCAAACACCGCATGTTCTCACTCATAGGTGGGAATTGAACAATGAGAACACCTGGACACAGGAAGGGTAACATCACACTCCGGGGACTGTTGTGGGGTGGGGGGAGGGGGGAGGGATAGTATTAGGAGATATACCTAATGCTAAATGACGAGTTAATGGGTGCAGCACACCAACATGGCACATGTATACATATGTAACTAACCTGCACATTGTGCACATGTACCCTAAAACTCAAAGTATGATAATAATAAAAAAAGAAAATAAAAAAAAAATAATTCACCTTTTTATGCATAGCTATAAGTAACTGAGGCCTTTCAGGCATCAGTGATAGGTAATTTATACATAAATATTTGCACTTCCTTATGTACTTTAAGCGAGTTGTATTCATGGACTTTCTGGAGGGCTGGCGTTTTTTTTTTCAATTATTTCACAGTCACAGGTTACATAATTAATCATAGTTCTATAGATCACTGTGTCAGAATTAGAAAATATTTCAAAATAACTAGATGGTTACAAAATAGAAATATACACATAGGATATTTAGTTTTTAAAAAGTTAAGCCATGTGATTTGGCATTAAAAAGATATAGCCTAAAATACGAAAAAGTTAAGAGTGAGTCGGTGATGAAATTAAGGACCAAGACAGAGAAGAAATCAGACATGCCTTCTATTTCTTCTCTAAAATCCCACCCCAGGTAGAAAGTGTTATTTCCTCTAAAAATGTTTTCCACATTATTTCCAAAATAATTGCAAGAATACCATAAAAATTCCCCATTGCCTACAAGAAGATAGGCAGCGAATACTTTGAAGTTATTGGGTAACACTTAAGGAAATTTTTAGCAAATATGTTTTTAAAGTTAAAAGACAAACTACAAAGGATATTCCAAAACTAATTTCTGAAAAAAAAACAAAAATATTTTAAATAAATCTTCAAACCTAAATGGTTGCAGGTGAAAAGATTAATTTCCAGTGTCAACTAAGATTTATACATGTTCTTTCCTCTGCTAGTATCACATATGGGTAAGTTTATGAATGGATAAGCACAATAGCCTGACCTGGAAATAAATCAGGGCAAAGTTTACCAAAAAAGGGGGGAAAACACAACAGGATTCTATATTATTTAAGAGTAAATATTTATTTATTTATTGACTTAAAACTTTAAACTCTAGGTCTCCAGAGGCATTCAACCAGTACATATTTACTTATTGCCTTTTATTTGCTAAGTATTAGTGGAGAAATGAGGCAATATAAAGATGACAATTGTATTCTCTGTTCTCAAGACATTTACAACTGACTTGGAGACGCATGCACACAAATATATCTTACTGCTATATAACAACAATTATATTAGCCTTTATAACAATGGTTAGAAACAAAAGCTTACTTTTTGGTATTTCTTAAATGACTTTTAGTACAATTTATTATATTAAGTTGTTCGGATTTGTGACTGAACAGCAATGTTGTGTGTGTGCACCAAGATAGCATCTGAGTGCCCAAACATCTAAGGGAAAACAGACATAACAAATTACTAATCCTGGGTCAGCACAGCCTGGCCAGTTTTAGAAATGACAAATATTGCTTCTCACTTCCAGTAGTCTCACATATGGAGAAGTACAACCTGTTTTCATAGCAGTCCACAATTTATATTTATCTGCGCTCCAATATACTTTTCTTCAACCTCATCCTATTTATTTTAAATCTCACCTATCTTGAAACGAACTTCCTGTGTTCTTGATATTGCATACTATTACATTGAGAGTTATAACACCACTACTTTTTAACAACACGTTATACTTTAGGAAAGAATCTTTGAACTTCACAAAATAAAATCTTATTAAGAATCTTTTTTTCAGAATGTGCTATTTTTGGTCTTTGTTTTTTTTATTGTGAATTACCTCTTAAGCAGAATTGGAAAATGTTAAATATCCTCAAATATAACATTTTATAATAAAAACAGCAACAGCAAAAATATCTAGTCTATACCCTGGATCAGTATACATTCTGCCCAGCCTGCCATACATTCCACGTTTACATTTCCTGCTTTTCATGATGGCTCCAATGCCCTGTGCAAGTTTTTCAAACAACATACATTCAAATATATTCACAAGTCTTGATAGTACTAAGGCAACAAGTGAAAAAATACACATTCTTTTATCTATTTAAGGACAGGTGATAACAACTTAAATAAGTTTTGAAATAAAAAAAAATGGTTGTTTCAACTTTCAGGTTAATTCTGAAAATGCAATGAAGCAGAACCCCTGCACTCCTAAAGTGTTCCGACCAATTAGGAGTTTGATACAAGCACAAGATTCTATGATAACTTATTTTGAAAGAGAATAAACTTCAAAAAAGCACTTTAGCACCAACAACGTAAAAACTATATACACTAAGATCACAATTTGTAAATTAAGTGTTTCCAAACGTAGGTAATCTAGAACTTGGAATGTACTTTTCCAATTGAACAATGCTATAAAACTATGGTAAGCTCTCCAGAAAAGATGTAGGAACACCTTGCTTACTAGAAAATTTTCTCTTCGTATCTGCAATGAAAAATAACTGAAAACAATGCTGTTGTAATATTGGTAACGAGGAAAAACAAGGAAAACAAATATACATAACTGAAAGACCATGACTGCATCTTCTTAAAGAAACAGAATGTATGAATCACTCAAAGAGAGAATGCAACTAAAGATTAACGATTAACCAAATTTCTTTGTATGAAAATTCCAAAAGATGGTGTTGGAAAGGAGTCAAAAAGTCTTAAAGCCAAGTTTTCATTGACCAAAGGACCACTCACTCTCTCTGCTTGGAGGAGTACAAATTAAGCTGGGCTGGTTCCACCTGGAAAACAAAAGACGCACAGAGTTAAAAGCAAAAAAATGCAGCATGAAGGGCAGTCGGGCGGAACTGAAAGGTAAATCTGTGTACCTGGAGTACAAGGCGGTCATCCTTAGCTCCAGAGGCCTGCATAGTTCCCATGGAGGCCTGCAGGGAGAGGCCCCCCAGCCACAAAGAGCTTCATCTCAGGCCAGTTGTAGCAGTGGGTGTAGAGCGCATTGG
The DNA here is from genome assembly GCF_000001405.40 of Homo sapiens. Taxonomy (NCBI): domain Eukaryota; kingdom Metazoa; phylum Chordata; class Mammalia; order Primates; family Hominidae; genus Homo; species Homo sapiens. The sequence goes on from NC_000023.11 coordinate 126,551,327, forward strand.
GAAACACTTCCATGCCACCAAAGTAATTCACCCAGAAATCATTGTGGTTGAGCCAGCCTCTGCCACAGGCAAGCCTGAGCTTCCTCCTTGCAGGTCCCGAAGAGGACTCCAGGGTGGCGGAGGCTCTTTCCTCCAGGAATTTCTGGGCCCGGACGTCATAGAAGAGCAGGGAGCCCTGACCGGTGCCCACAGTGATGATGTGGCGGTAGAAGCTCAGCGACCGCACGCCTGTGCCACCCTCTCGAGAACACAGGGGCCGGATGTTCTGCTGGTCCTGGCGCAGATCCAGGAAAGAGACGTGGGAATGGGAGCCCACGGCGTACACAGACATATCATCACAGTAGGTCAGGCACACATTATCCCGGAAGTAGGGCAGCCTGATGGACAGCAGCCTGGATAGTGCGCTCCCGGCTTTCCACAGGTGGAAGTAGCCGTCCAAGGACACCGCTCCCAGTTCCTGGTTCTTGCCGCCGCAGGCCAGGGCCCGCACCTTGCGGTTACTGGGGTTGATGATGGCCCTGGGGATGGCCTCCACATCCCTCGGACGGATGTGGGCATATACGGGGAGACCCACCTCGCTATGCCAGGCAACAGTGTCATCGAACTTGTCCGGGTCCATCCGCCACAGCGCCACAGTGCCGTCGCGGGAGCCGCTCACGGCTACGGTGTCACTCAGCCAGGCGACGGCGAAGATCCAGTCCTTGTGGCCATGGCGGTCGCCCAGGCACAGGGGATCCAGGGAGGGCAGCTGGTAGATGGCCAGGCTGTTGGGGTTTTCGCCGCCGGTGGCCAGAAGCGTCTTGGAGGGATTCAGCTCGATGGCATGGATGCCGCAGCCCTGTTGGTCCTGGGCCAGCCTGGCCTCACTGTCCCGCAAGAGGGGAATGCGCGCGATGTGGCCTGACTCCACGTCCACCACGAAAAGCGTGTTACACTTGGTGCCGCACACCACCTGCCTGGAGTTCAGCCACTGTGACGCGAACACCTTGTTGACCGTGCCCAGCTCCAGTTGGCGCTCCGTCAGCAGCTCGGGCAGCCTCTGTACCGCGTAGCCCCGCAGCTCGCCATCGAAGCCCTGGAGCCTGGCGGGGCCCCACCCGCCTACCTCCCGAACCTTCAGATAGTGCGCCATCGAGCGATACGTCGCCGGCCGCCTCTGCCTCTTGAGTAGCAGCGGCCCCTCACCGTCCGCTGCCGCCAAGCCCTGCGACGGCGAGCTCTCGGCGTCCGCCTCGACCGCGGGCGCTTTCCGTTTCCTGCTACCTGTTTGCTGCTGGGCCATGGTGGGCGGCGGGCGAGCGGCGGCGGCAAGGCGTTGGTGGCGGTTGCAGCGCGTGGCTCCGGAGTCGGTCGTGGCGGCGGCGTGGATGGCTGCGCTGGAACCGAGCCTTCGGATTCTGAGGCGCGGCAGTGGCGGACCGGGTGAGGGACGCGCGGGAGAGGGCGGCGGTGGCGGTGCAGACCTAGGCGAAGGCGGGAAGTGCGTCTGGCCGGGCAGTGAGAGCAAAGTCAGCGTGCGGCGAGATCGACGCGGGGGGCCGAGTGGGAGGGGCGGAGGCAGTGGGAGGAGCAGGCGGTCGGGCAGGCGGTTGTGAGCGCGTGGGGTGCCTGAGGAGTAGCTGAGGCCGGGCGGGGTGAAGGCTGGGAGGGACAGGGAGGGGAGGGGGTAGCGGAGCTGCAAGGGCAGAGTCTAGGAGGGCCCGCAAGCCAGGATCCCAAGTATCAGACACGCGGCATTTCGCTACCCTCAGGACAACAGCTAACTACCCTTCTTAAAATCCCTACTTCAATAAAATCTGAAACCTACGATATAGTCAAGCACGGGGCTAGAAGGAGCCCAGGCCACGATCTGTCTGGAGAAACCAGTGTGCACTTGGTGTAATCCTGGGACACCCTTCGCTAAGATTAGACATTAAACTTGGCAAGGGATGGGGGATTCGGCAGCGCAGGGAGACCTTTACCCATATGTCAGACCTGCAACCCCTCAAGTTTCAGCCCCTCAGTTGATGTCTTAAACAGTTTCAAACAAATATTTTTTCCCTCCTCAAATTGAGGTCTCTGAGCTACTGCCACAGTCCCTTGAGGAGTACAATCCAAATGCAAATCCCTGGGACCCACATTTGGCCCATGGTGATATCAGCGAACACTTGGTTTGGTGCAGCCTTGAGAAAATGGTAGGCTGTACTAATGGGGGAGGAATCCTGAGGGGCTTTTTGGAGGTGTTTGCTTCCTTTGAGCCTCAGAGCCCTAAGGAGAGGGAGTGGAAGGATCCTGAGAGGGGGACCTCTTCCCCACTCCTGAGAAGCAAAGTTAATATCCCTGTTGTCAGTCCCAGAGGCGCCCAAGCAGAGTCCCTGGGACCTTGGGACAGGGTCTAGAGGCAGAGGATTTTCACGTGCAGAGAACATAACGTTCCAGAAGAAGGCAACAACGTGGATACAATGATGCAAGTTTAGAGGTTCTGTGCATGAATAACTTCTCAGAGTTCATAAAGTTCTTATCCAGTTCTGCTGCTTCAGAGCAGCCAGTCAGGTGGCAGGCGCAAACGGGGCATACTCAGTTACCCAGTGATTTCAGTTACACAGTGATACATTGGGGAGAGAGGGCAGTGAGAACAAAGTCAGTGTGTGGACAGATCCACGAGGAAAGCCAAGCGGGAGGGGCTGAGGCAGTGGGAAGAGCAGGCGAGTGGGCAGGCCGGCCTGAGGGTGTGGGGTGCTGACACCTGCGGTGATTAATTTACTTCCTGATCAGGGAAAACCATAAGAGTTATTTTGTTGCTGCTTCTCCCCAACCCCCTCTTTATTTTTCTGGTTTTCTGTCCCCTTCCCCCATCCCTTTTTGCAACTTCGCCTCAAGTGCACAAATTCCAAGTAAAAGCCATAGGTCCTTCTCACCACTCCAATCCAGCAGCTGCCTTCCAGTGTACCCCAACACTCCCTTGCACCTCACTTTTGATTCCTCCCCATATCATTCATCCTATAGCAATAGAAAGGCTGCATCTGCTGGTGGTAATAGTGAACATGAAATCAGGGACAGGTACATAGAGGAAGCTGCATTTTGTTTCCACACGTGGACACAAATGGGATGAATGGACATTTTAGAAAGAGGCAACCATATGTGAAAAGGCACAGATAGTGCAAAGGATTGTTTCGTGAATTTTAGTGTACATTAACATCTCAGGAGCAGCTTAATAGATGTGCATATCCTTTGATTCTATCCCTAAAGATTTGATGCAAATGATCAGTGGACAATTATTTGAGAAACACTGGTCTACACTCCTCTCACTCAGGTGGGAACAGGATGTGTTGCAGGTAGGAGGAGATAAATATCTTCATGTACTTCAGGGTTACCCTGAAAATGGGCCTTATCCAGGTGAATATTGTGCAAGAATTGGGAATTAAAAAGATTATGATGATGTAGATGTCAGAGCAAAGAGTGGCCCAGGGAGGAAAATTGTACCTATTATGCATGTAGAACTTAACTATTCTTTACTATTGCCTTACACCTTTACTATATTGTTATATTAACAGGCATTGCTGCAAGTGAGGCAGGAGAATAGGGTCTGGAGGCAGGGAACCTAAGGCCCTTTCACGCTGACTTCCTGGAATTAAACTGAAAAGAAACCCTAACTTTCCACGCCTAAATAACAAAAGGACCAGAGGCTACTCCCTTTACATACCCCCACTTTTTCTGCGTCCTCAGATGGGAAATTAAAAGTACCTCTGATTGGTTGCTTTTTGCAACCAGTCAGATGTTTGCATAGGAGTGTATCGATGTAACTTCACTTCAGCCTCTGATTGGTTACTTTCTGCAACTAATCAGACTGATTGTGGGTCATCCCTTCATTTACATGAGGTGAGTGCCAAGTAGCCATTGGGAAACCTCCAGAGCATATTTGGACACGAGGAGATTCTGTATCCGGGGCCCTTGAGTCGCTGCTGGGGCCCGCTCCCACACTGTAGAATGTACTTTCATCTTCAATAAATCCCTGCTTTCGTTCTTTCATTGCTTCATTCTTTCCTTGCTTTGCTATGTGTTTTGTCCAATTATTTGTTCAGAATGCCAAGAGCCTGGGCAAGTTGCAGTCAAGACCCTCTACTGGTAACACAAGAACAAATATTGTCTCATTTAATCCAACCTTATAATAGTGGTAACCACTAATATTATTAGCCCCATATGAGGACATTGAGGCTTGGAGAGGTTATGATTTTGTCCAAAGTAAATGAATTATTAAGTCATCCCAAGTAGCTTGATTCCATATTCCATGTTCTTATTCACTTCCCAGAGACTGGAGAAATTCCAGGGATTGAGTAAAAGACTCTGCTAGTGATTGATACGCCTCACTTCCTTGCAGCACAGATGATGGGATATGACTATGGAACATCTGTTGAAGTTGGGTACTAGGAGTAAAAACACTAAGCCAGCTGTCAGGGGTTTGGAGATTCATTTTGTGATTAGTGTCAAGTCCTGCTGAAAAGAACTGCTCCACAGGAGCAGGAAGGACCAGTGTAGGTCATCTTGATGTCATCTTGCAGCAGATGAACAGTAAGGGTATCCATAACAAACAAGAAGAACTAAGGACCACAATCAACTTATTTTTCCTGGGACCAAGTAAGCATCACAAGTCTAATAGGATCCCATAGAAAAAGGAAGGAACTTTTGAAATTTTACTGATATTGGCCTTTCTACCAGCCAAGTGTGTGTAGCTTGAACTCAAATGCCATTCGACTTAGGAAAGTAAAGAAATGTGCTATATATTCCTCTTATTTTTCATGAAACACGATAATATCCATTACCCAAGGCTTACAAAAGGAGAGGGATTTCTATGCTCTGGGGGATGAGGTACCACAGATAGTAGAGTGGAAACCCCTTAGAAACTTAACACTGTCCCCAAGTCATAATGCAGTGCTCTTCTGTTTGTAGTGGTGGAGGGTGGATATTATAAATGTCTAAATCATGGAGATAGAAGAAAAGAGATTTCCAGTTCTGGCCAAGACAGAGTAAACCCATTCTTTCAAGGTCCTCCCTCTTCAAACTGAAAAAATTCTGGACATAGCACAACTTTAAGAAGTCTCTGAAAGTTGAAAGTAAGCTGGATGAACAAAGGACCACAGAATTTGAGGAAATTCGGGGTAGTGAGTTCCCTGGGTGTCTTTATTGTGTCCCTTATATATTGGCCAGAAAGTTGCAGGAGGCTCTAACCCAGAACCATGAATAGGCAAAGATAATAAAAGCTCCAACAATAGCCTGTTGTCCATAGGCAAAGGATCTGGAAAACAGAGGCCTAATTGCAGAAAAGCATTTTTTTTTTTTTGGCAATACCCATCCTACTGCAGCTAAACATCAACAGAAAAACTACCCTACCTCACTCTACCACAGACTGTTTCAGTGTGTGGCCAAGTAGGGAGCTGGTCTTCCATTCTCTCCATGGCAGAAGTAGGTGTTATACTCCTTGCAGGGGTAGTGTCAGTGTGGTCCAGTAGTAAACTCAGCCTCCACTCACATCTGGTCAGCAAGGAGAAGGTTTGAGAAGTGGCTCATCACCACTATGCTTCACACCCCTCCTCTTCGCCAATTTCAGTAAGGCTCAGTGACAAGCTGAGCTTCCATTCACATTTAGTATCAATGAGTCTGAATAAAGCAGTGAGATTCAGAGCTAGTCAGTTCTCCACCATCCTTGACTCCTGGTGTCAGCGGTAACTGAACCTCTACACACACTCAGCAGGAAAAAGGACTGAATAAGGAGGTGGGAAGTAGGGCTAAGTCTTGCTCCGAAGAAATAATGAAATACATACACCTACAGATTCAAGAAACTAAGTGAACACATATAGTATAAGCCCAAATAAATCCACACCAAGACACAGTATAATTAAATCTCTGAAAAAAAATCATAAAATAAAACAGACAAATGGCACATTAACTACAGGGCAAAACCAGATCAAATGACGCCAGATTTCTTATCTGAAACCACAAGGCCAGAAGGAAGTGCTGAAATAAAACATGCCAACCACACATTCCACATGTAGCAAAATTATTCAGGAATGGGGTGAAATAAAGACATTCTCAGATGAAGGAAAACAAAGAATTTGTTGCTAAAAAAAAATACACAACCCTTGAAAAATGGCTAAAGGAAGTTGTCTAAGCAGAAAGGTATTCATAAAAGAAAACTTGGAATTTTAAAAGGAAAAGAAGAATATCAAATGGGTAAAAACATAATTAAACATAATAGGCTTTTCTACTTCTCATGAGTTTCTTAAATCATATTTGATGATTGAAGGAAAACTTATGACACTATCTGATATAGCACTCAATGTATGTAGAAGGAATATTTAAGAAAATGATATTTTAAAGTATGGGAAATAAAAGGACTTTATAGAAAGTAAGGTCTATACACCTCATTCAAAGTGCTAAAACACTGATAACAGTATACTATGATAAATTACATGTGTCTATATTGTTACCTAGAGCAATAACAAAAATACAAACTGATATACTCAAAAATGCTGTAAAAATGAAGATAGAACCCAAGAAAAAGGGGGATTTCAAATAACCCACAGGAAGGTGAGAAAGAAGAGATAGAGAAAAAAGAAAGAGAAAACAGAAAACAAATTAGTGGCAGACTTAAGCCCAAACATATCAAAACTTACCATAAGTATAAATTGTCTAAGTATGCTAATCAAAAGACAGAAATTGGCAGAGTAGATTAAAAAGCAAACATAATCCAAAAATATGCTGTCAATAAGTAACCTCCAAAAATATGACATTGATAGGCTAAAAGTAAAAGGATAGAAAAACATGTGATGCATGCATTAATCACAGAAAGCAGGAAAGGCTATAGAAATATCAGATAAAATGGACTTCAAAGTGAAGAAAATTACTAGAGTCAAAGAGGTTCATTACGTAATTTTAGAAGAATCAATCCTTAAGGAAGACATAACAATCCTAAATGTTTATGTTCCAAACTGAAGAGACTTCTGAATAAATGAAATAAAAATGAGTAGAATTAAAAGGAGAAATAGACAAATCAAGATCCTACTCTCAGTAACTGATAGAACTACTAACCAGAAAATAAGCATGCATACAGAAGAACTTAATAATCCAATCAACTGGATCTAGTTGACATATATAATACACTCTACTCAACAATAGCAGAACACGCATTATTTTTTTAAGCACGCATGGAACATTCACAAAGATAGACCATATTCTAAGCCTTAAAACAACCTTAACAAATTTTAAGTATTGAAACCACAGTGTAAGTTCTTTGCTCATAATGTAATCAAATAGAAAAACAATAAATCTCTAAGGACTAAACAAGATGCTTCTAAATAATCCATGGGTCAAAGAGGAAAGTCTCGATGGAAATGAAATAATGTATAGAATTCAGTGAAAGTAAAAGTACAATATATGAAAATATATACCACACAGTGCTGAAAGGGAAATTTGTAACATTAAATGCTTACAGTAGAAACAAAGGTCTCACGAAATATAAGTTCTCATTTCAAGAAACTAAAGCAGATCCAAGACAAGCAGGAGGAGGGAATTAATAAAGATATAAGCAGAAATGAATTTAATTGAAAACAAAAAACAATGGGGATAATCAATGAACCTAAGAGTTGATTCTTCAAAAAAATAATATTAATAGCCACCTAGTAAGACTGACAGAATGGAAGAAAGAAAACACAAATTACTGGCATCAGGAATGAAATAGAAGGCATCACTATAGGCCCTGCAGACATGAAGGGATAATAAGGTAATATTAGGAGCAACTTTTACCTACATTAATGTAAGTTAGAAAAAAAATGGACCAAATTCCTCAAAAAGTACAAACTACTACAACTTATTGAATTTTAAGTAGAAAATGTAGATAGCACTATTACTATTAAAGAAATTGAATTAATACTTTAAAGTCTCCCCATAAAAAGTCACCTCCATACACAAATACTTTGGAGAAATCTACCAAACTTTTAGAGGAGACTTAACACCAAATTTACACAACCTCTCCCAGAAAAATATAAAAGGAGACGTCTTAGTCTGTTCAGGCTGCCGTAACAAAAGAACATAGACTGGGTGGCCTAAACAACATAATTGTTTCATATTTCTGGAGGCTAGAAGGTGCCAGAAAGGTAGGTTTAATTCTGAGGTCCCTTTTCTTGGCTTGTATATAGCTGCCTTCTCACAGCATGCTCACATGACCTCTTTTTTGTTTGAGGGCTGAGAGAGAGAGAGAGGCATCTCTTCGTCTTCTTATACAGCCACCAATACTGTCATATTAGGAGTTCATCCTAATGACCTCATTTAACTTTATTTACTTTCTTAAGGGTTCCTTCTCCAAATACAGTCACATTGGGTATTAGGGCTTTAACATAATGAATCGTAGAGAGACACAATTCAGTCCATACGGAGGGAATATTTTCCAATGAATTTTATGTAGCTAGTAATTCTCAACAAAATATTAGCAAACTGAATCCAGCAAGCTATAAAAGGAATTATACAGCATGACCAATTTGGATTTATTCCATGTATGCAAGTCTGGTTCAACATTAGAAAATCAAACAGTGTAAACTACCATCTCAACAATGTTTTGTAAATAATATGATCATATCAACTGACACAGGAATAGCATTTGACAAAATCCAACCCCCATTTGTAATTTAGAACTTTCAGCAAACTGGGAACAAAGGAGAACGTCATCAACTTTGTAAAGAACATGTACAAAAATTTACATCAAATATCATATTTAAAGGTGAGGAATTATATTCCTTATGTCTAAGATCAGAAACGAGACAAGGTTTTTTTGCTTTCACCACTTTTACCCAACTGTAACTGGAATTTTTACCCAGTATAATATGGCAAGAAAAAGAAATAAAAGCTGTACGGATAGGAAAGAAAGACATGAAACTGTCTCTACTTGCAGATGTAATGATTGCCTATGTAGAAAATCCCAAGAAATCTGAAAAAGAAAAACAAAATTTTTAGAACTAATAAGTGAGTTCGATAAGTTCATAGGATGCAAACTGAATGCGCAGAAATCAGCTTCATTTCTATATACCGACAATGAACAAATAGAGAATGACATTAAAAACAAAATACCATTTAAATCACATAAATAAAATGAAATAATTACATGTAAATTTACCAAAATATGTACAGGATCTGTATGGCAAAAAGTACAAAATAATAATGAAATCAATTAAGACCTAAATACATGCCATGTTTATGCATTGGAAGACACAACATATTAAATATGTCAACATTCCTGACTGATTTATAGTTTTGGAGCAATTCCTACCAAAATCTCAGCAGGGTATTTTTGGAGCTTGTTCTAAAATTGATATCGAAAGGCACAGGCCCTAGAATAGCTAAAGCAATCTTGAATAAGGTGAAATCACTCTATGCCACATTAAGTCCTACTACATAGCCACAATAATCAAGACAGTGTGATATTAGCAGATAGATACATCCAAAAATTGAATAAATAACCCAGAAGTAGACACACAGTAATGCACCTAGCTGACTTTTGACAAAGGTACAAAGGCAATTTCAATAAACAGCTGGAGAAACTGAACATCTATCGGCAAAAAAAAAAAAAAAATGAACCTTGACCCAAACCTCACTTCTTAAACAAATTCAGTAAAGTTGCAGGATACAAGATCGACATACAAAAATCAGGAGCATTTCTATATGCCAACAGTGGACAATTCAGGGTAATTTTTATATATCAGTTCTAATAGATTTTTGTTGGAGGCCAAATATAAGATCATATAATCTGCAAACAAATTTGACTTCCTCCTTTCCGATTTGGATGCCCTTTATTTCTTTCTCTTGTCTGATTCCTCTAGCTAGGAATAGATTGCACACAGATTTAAAACATAAAATCATAAATCTCTTTTTAAAAAAGCACAGATTAAAATCTTTGGGATATAGGCAATCTTTGTGCTAGGCAAAGAGTCCGTAGACTTACAAACAAAAGAGTCATCCTTAAAAGGAAAAACTGATAGATTGAACTTCATCAAAATTATAAGTTTTCTCTCTGTGAAAAACCCTGTTAAGGACACTAAAGCACAAGCTATGGCCTGGGAGAAAATGTATGAAAACTGCATACTGAACAAGGGACTCATGTCTTGAATATATAAGTACTCTTAAAACTCTCAAAACATCAAGCCTGTAATCCCAGCACTTTGGGAGGCTGAAGCGAGCAGATCGCCTGAGGTCAGGAGTTCGAGACCAGCCTGGCCAACATGGTGAAACCCCATCTCTACTAAAAATACAACATTAGCCAGGCGTAGTGGCGGGCGCCTGTAATCCCAGTTACTCGGGAGGCTGAGGCAGAAAAATTGCTTGAGCCCGGGAGGCAGAGGTTGCAGTGAGCCAAGGTCGAGCCACTGCACTCCAGCCCAGGCAACAAAGCAAGACACCCTCAAAAAAAAAATCAATTAGAAAATGGGTAAATGACAAAAACAGACATTTAATTAAAGAGGAGTTTCAAGAGTTCTTATATAGTCAGACTCTACTATGTTGTTGAGGATACAGTTTTCATACATTTCCTCCCAGTCTATAGCTTGATCTGTCTTAAATAAATTATAACATCTTCATACAAAATCCCACACATGGATGTTTATAGCAGCTCTATTTGTAATAGCCAAAATCTAGAAACAACCTTGGTATCCTTCAATGGATGAATAATTAAATAAATTTTGCTTTATCCATATATTGTCTACTGCTCAGCAGTCAAAAAGGAGCACATGGTCAATGCATGCTACCACTAAGATGAATCTCAACGGAACTATGTTGATTTAAAAAATGCCAATATCAGAAGGTTACACACAGTATGATTCCATTAATATAACATTCTGGAAATGACAAATTTATAGAACTAGAGAACAAATTATTGGTTACAGGGGTTAAGGAGGGGAGTGGGAGTGAGAGGGAAGTGGGTTTATCTATAAAAGGCCATAGTATCACTGTAGTGATGGAAATGTTCTACATCTTAACTTTATCAATGCCAGTATTCTGATGGTGATATTTTAATATAGCTTCTTTTTGTTTTGTTTTGTTTTGTTTTTTCAGATGGAATCTCGCTCTGTTACCCAGGCTGGAGTGCGGTGGCGCGATCTTGGCTCACTGCAAGCTCCACCTCCTGGGTTCACACCATTCTCCTGCCTCAGCCTCCCAAGTAGCTGGGACTACAGGCGCCCGCCACCATGCCCGGCTAATTTTTTGTGTTTTTAGTAGAGACGGGGTTTCACCGTGTTAGCCAGGATAGTCTCAATCTCCTGACCTCGTGATCCACCCGCCTCGAGCTCCCAAATATATAGCTATTTTTTAATTGTGGAAAACTGGGTAAAGTGTATACTGGATCTCTATATTATTTCTAAACATTGTATATGAATACATTTTTTTCAAAATTTAAAAAATTGTTTGAAAACCATTAAGAAAGAAACCATGTTTTCTTCTAGGCTTTTTATGGTTTTAGGTCTAACATTTATGTCTTTAATCCATCTTGAATTAATTTTTGTATAAGGTGTAAGGAAGGGATCCAGTTTCAGCTTTCTACATATGGCTAGCCAGTTTTCCCAGCACCATTTATTAAACAGGCAATCCTTTCCCCATTTCTTGTTTTTGTCAGGTTTGTCAAAGATTGGATGGTTGCAGATGTGTGGTATTATTTCTGAGGGCTCTGTTCTGCTCCATTGGTCTATATCTCTGTTTTGGTACCACTACCATGCTGTTTTGGTTACTGTAGCCTTGTAGTATAGTTTGAAGTCAGGTAGCATGATGCCTCCAGTTTTGTTCTCTTGGCTTAGGATTGTCTTGGCAATGCGGGCTCTTTTTTGGTTCCATATGAACTTTAAAGTAGTTTTTTCCAATTCTGTGAAGAAAGTCATTGGTAGCTTGATGGGGGTGGCATTGAATCTATAAATTAACTTGGGCAGTGTGGCCATTTTCACAATATTGATTCTTCCTATTCATGAGCATGGAATGTTCTTCCATTTGTTTGTGTCCTCTTTCATTTCGTTGAGCAGTGGTTTGTAGTTCTCCTTGAAGAGGTCCTTCACATCCCTTGTAAGTTGGATTCCTAGGTATTTCATTCTCTTTAAAGCAATTGTGAATGGGAGTTCACTCATGATTTGGCTCTCTGTTTGTCTGTTATTGGTGTATAGGAATGTTTGTGATTTTTGCACATTGATTTTGTATCCTGAGACTTTGCTGGGGAAGTTGCTTATCAGCTTAAGGAGATTTGGGGCTTACATGATGGGGTTTTCTAAATATACAATCATGTCATCTGCAAACAGGGACAATTTGACTTCCTCTTTTCCTAATTGAATACCCTTTATTTCTTTCTCCTGCCTGATTGCCCTGGCCAGAACTTCCAACACTATGTTGAATAGGAATGGTGAGAGAGGGCATCCCTGTCTTGTGCCCAGTTTTCAAAGGGAATGCTTCCAGCTTTTTCCCATTCAGTATGATATTGGCTGTGGGTTTGCCATAAATAGCTCTTATTATTTTGAGATACGTCCCATCAGTACCTAGTTTATTGAGAGTTTTTAGCATGAAGGGTTGTTGAATTTTGTCAAAGGCCTTTTCTGCATCTATTGAGATAATCATGTGGTTTTTGTCTTTGGTTCTGTTTATATGCTGGATTACGTTTATTGATTTGTGTATGTTGAACCAGCCTTGCTTCCTAGGGATGAAGCCCACTTGATCATGGTGGATAAGCTTTTTGATGGGCTGCTGGATTCGATTTGCCAGTATTTTATTGAGAATTTTTGCATTGATGTTCATCGGGGATACTGTTCTAAAATTCTCTTTTTTGTTGTTGTGTCTCTGCCAGGCTTTAGTATTAGGATGATGCTGGCCTCATAAAATGAGTTAGTGGGGATTCCCTCTTTTTCTATTGATTGAAATAGTTGCAGAAGGAATGATACCAGCTCCTCTTTGTACCTCTGGTAGAATTCGGCTGTGAATCCGTCTGGTCCTGGGCTTTTTTTGGTTGGTAGGCTATTAATTATTGCCTCAATTTCAGAGTCTGTTTCAGAGATTCAACTTCTTCCTGGTTTAGTCTTGGGAGGGTGTATGTGTCCAGGTATTTATCCATTTCTTCTAGACTTTCTAGTTTATTTGCGTAGAGGTGTTTACAGTATTCTCTGACGGTAGTTTGTATTTCTGTGGGACTGGTGGTAATATCCCCTTTATTATTTTTTATTGCATCTATTTGAATCTTCTCTCTTTTCTTCTTTATTAGTCTTGCTAGTGGTCTGTCAATTTTGTTGGTCTTTTCAAAAAACCAGCTCCTGGATTCATTGATACTTTGAAGGGTTTTTTGTGTCTCTGTCTCCTTCAGTTCTGCTCTGATCTTAGTTATTTCTTGCCTTCTGCTAGCTTTTGAATGTGTTTGCTCTTGCTTCTCTAGTTCTTTTAATTGTGATGTTAGGGTGTCAATTTTAGATCTTTCCTGCTCTCTCTTGTGGGCATTTAGTGCTATAAATTTCCCTCTACACACTGCTTTAAATGTGTCCCAGAGATTCTGGTATGTTGTGTCTTTGTTCTCATTGGTTTCAAAGAACATCTTTATTTCTGCCTTCATTTCCTTATATACCCAGTAGTCATTCAGGAGGAGGTTGTTCAGTTTCCATGTAGTTGAGCGGTTTTGAGTGAGTTTCTTAATCCTGAGTTCTAGTTTGATTGCACTGTGGTCTGAGAGACAGTTTGTTATAATTTCTGTTCTTTTACATTTGCTGAGGAGTGCTTTACTTTCAACTAGGCAATACCATTCAGGACATAGGCACGGACAAGGACTTCATGAATAAAACACCAAAAGCAATGGCAACAAAAGCCAAAATTGACAAATGGGATCTAATTAAACTCAAGAGCTTCTGCACAGCAAAAGAAACTACCATCAGAGTGAACAGGCAACCTACAGAATGGGAAAAAATTTTTACAATCTACCCATCTGATAAAGGGCTAATATCCAGAGTCTACAAGGAACTTCATCAAATTTACAAAAAAAAATCAAACAACTCCATCAAAAAGTGGGTAAAGGATATGAACAGACACTTCTCAAAAGAAGACATTTATGCAGCCAAAAGACACGTGAAAAAATGCTCATCATCACTGGCCATCAGAGAAATGCAAATCAAAACCACAATGAGATACCATCTCACACCAGTTAGAATGGTGATCATTAAAATTCAGGAAACAACAGGTGCTGGAGAGGATGTGGAGAAATAAGAACACTTTTACACTGTTTGTGGGACTGTAAACTAGTTCAACCATTGCGGAAGACAGTTTGGTGATTCCTCAAGGATCTAGAACTAGAAATACCATTTGACCCAGCCATCCCATTACTGGGTATAAACCCAAAGAATTATAAATCATGTTGCTATAAAGACACATGCACACGTATGTTTATTGTGGCACTATTCACAATAGCAAAGACTTGGAACCAACACAAATGTCCATCAATGATAGACTGGATTAAGAAAATGTGGCACATATACACCATGGAATACTATGCAGCTATAAAAAGGATGAGTTCATGTCCATTGTAAGGACATGGATGAAGCTGGAAACCATCATTCTCAGCAAAGTATCGCAAAGACAGAAAACCAAACACCGCATGTTCTCACTCATAGGTGGGAACTGAACAATGAGAACACTTGGACACAGGGTGGGGAACAGCATACACTGGGCCCTGTCATGGGGTGAGGGGAGGGGGACGGGATAGCATTAGGAGATATTCCTAATGTAAATGATGAGTTAATGGGTGCAGCACACCAACATGGCACATGTATACATATGTAACAAACCTGCACGTTGTGCACATGTACCCTAGAACTTAAAGTATAAAAAAAGGAAGAAACCATGTAATATACATACATATCCAGTTATATATGTTATCAAGACAGAAAATTAAAAAACGCAAACTATAAGCACCCTTCTGTCAGTAGGCATAACGTTAACATATAAGACTCTGTGCCTTCAATTGTGAGGCCTCATTTTTTGACTTGGCAGAGGCCATTAGCACATTTGAGTGCTAGAAACGGAAAAATATAGTGCAGTGCCATCCTACTTCCTTTGCATTCTTCACTCCACCATATACAACTGCCAGGTACTGAATATAAATTAGCAGAAGCAGCCT
This sequence comes from Homo sapiens, assembly GCF_000001405.40. Lineage (NCBI taxonomy): Eukaryota > Metazoa > Chordata > Mammalia > Primates > Hominidae > Homo > Homo sapiens. Next base: position 126,566,472 of record NC_000023.11, read on the forward strand.
GTTTAGCATTACAGACACCTCATAAGTACACCTAAGGAGGTTGCAAGCTAATAACTTCAGTGAGGTGCTGGAATCATGATTCTTTAGACCAGGAGTAATCAAATTTAATAAATATCATTGAAAATTACACTCTTAAAATGTATGGTTTAAGAAATGTCTTTGAGCTAAATAAACATTTTTTTGTTTCAATATACTTCATTATTATTTTAAAATTTGGTTATTATTGGTGATGCAGCCATTCAAATATTTGGTTTTATGTTCAGTTTTTACAATGTTTATTACTTTTCCCATGTCTGGATTAAGTGGCTTTCATAGCTGAAAAAGACACTTCATGAAGTTACATAGGTTTAATTAGAAGAAGGGTATTATTGACTGAGTTTAGTAAATCATTATTCACATTTTAATCCCACCTACCAGTTATGCATACACTTTGAAAAGAAACACTGGTAATAAAGTTTCAACTTCTTTGAAGCCCAATAGTTGTTCCTGCCAATTTATGGGTCAGCATTGCAATTTGTACTTTTATAAAAGATTTGACATTTGCTGGGCATAGTGGCTCACTCCTGTAATCCCAGCACTTTGGGAGGTGGAGGCAGGCGGATCGCTTGAGGCCAGGAGTTTGAGACCAGCCTGGGAAATATGGTGAAACCCTGCCTCTACTAAAAATACAAAAATTAGCAGGCCTTCGTGGTGCACGACTGTAGTCCCAGCTACTCCAGAGTCTGAGGTGGGAGGATCACTTGAGTCCAGGAGACAGAGGTTGCGGTGAGCGGAGATTGTGCCACTGCACTCCAGACTGGGTGACAGAGTGAAACTCTGTCTCCAAAAAAAAAAAAAAAAAAAATTGATATCTACTACAGCTCTTCATTTGGAATATTTTATAAACTGTTTAGAAACACTGTTTCTAAAGGATGAGTTCATGTCCTTTGCAGGGACATGGATGAAGCTGGAAACCATCTTTCTCAGCAAACTAACACAAGAACAGAAAACCAAACACCACATGTTCTCACTCATAAGTGGGAGTTGAACAATGAGAACACATGGACACAGGGAGGGGAACATCACATGCCCGGGCCTGTCAGGGGGTGGGGGCTAGGGGAAGGATAGCATTAGGAGACATACCTAATGTAGATGACTGGTTGATGGGTGCAGCAAAACACCATGGCACGTGTACACCTATGTAAGAAGACTGCATGTTCTGCACATGTATCTCAGAACTTAAAGTATAATAATAATAAGAAGAAGAATTGCTTGAACCTGGGAGGCTGAGGTTGCAGTGAGCTGGCATTGTGCCACTGCATTCCAGCCTGGGCAACAGAATAAGATTCTGTCTCAAAGAAAAAGAAACCAAGATCTGGGGTTGCATGATATCTTATGTTCTTTTCCTAATGTTACTTCATAATAAAAAGTTAAAAAACAAAAAAAAATGTGTCTTATTTAGCTCCATCCCTCTGAAATTGCTCTCAGTAACACTGGAAAACCAATACTTATGTCCTCTTACCCAACTCCTTCATCTATGCCTGCTGCAGTCACCCTGGGTTTAATGTTACGCATCACCACCTGTTTGCTGTGTGATCTCTTCAAAACACTCAACTACTGGAAAAAAAAAAAAAAAAAAAGAAACACTGTTTCCAAAGTTGTTTTTTAACATGCTCATAATGATAGGTTTTTTTTTTTAAGTTATACACTTCAGTTGTACTCAGGAGAAAAATCATATAAAGATAAAAACATTTTAAATATTTATTTTCAAAATTCCCTCTTTATAACAAAACGTTTTGTTCAAAATCAGAATTTACTCTTTGGTAAATTATCCATGTCTAGAAGGGTCAGATTAAGTGGTTTCTTTTTATTTGGTTTTGTTTTCAAAAAATCTATTAACGTGATATTGAAAACCAGTTGTCATTAAAGAAAAAGTCAACAAATTTGATACAATTGGTTTTTTAATAAAATACAAATATATAATACATCTTTAAGTTACTGTAAATCTATTATCATGGAAAAATCTTCATCAGTGATATTCAGTACAGTAGCCCCAACTTATCAGAGGGAGATCTGTTCTAAGACACACAGTGAGCGGATGCCTGAAACTGTGCATAGGACCAAACCATATTGTCCCTCAGTTTCTCAGGGGGATTGGTTACAGAACCCGGTGGGGATACCAAAATGTGAGCATGTTCAAGTACGTTACATAAAATAGTGTAGTATTTGCATTTGACATGTACACATCCTCTCATATACTTTGAGTCCTGCATAGATTACTTATAATATCTAATGTAATGTAAATGCTATGTAAAAAAAGTTGTTTTACTGAATTATTTAAGGAATAATGACAAGAAAAAAAATCTGTACATGTTCAGTACAGATAGAATTTTTTTGTGAATATTTTCAATCCAAGGTTGGCTGAATCCCTGGATGTGGAACCCATAGATATGGAGGGCTGACTGTATTTACAATTTTTAAAAATCTGATAACTGAGAAGGCTACTAAATGACTAACAGGTGAGTAGCATAGAAAGTGTGGATACATCAAACCAAGGGATGATTCACTTTCAGGGCAAGATGTAGTGGGAAGGGGCAAGATTTCATCACACTACTCAGAATGGAATGTAATTTAAAACTTTTGCATCACTTACTTCTGGAATTTTCCATTTAATATTTTTGGGCCACACTTGACCATGGGTAACCGAAACCATGGAAAATGAAAATGTGGATAAGGGGGGTCTACTCTCTTACATAAACTGCATATATCAAAATGGGCTTAAAGTGCTACCATCTAATCTTCTGACTCAGGGCTGCTTCACTAGCCCTTTATATAACAGACTAACAGATGGATCTAGTGAGATTACCTATCTGTATATTAAATAGTGAAGCTTAATTTCATTTTCTAATGTATAAAAAGTTGAATATAGTCACCAGTGAGCAGTAACTTAAGTTGAGTTCTGGAGAAGCAGGGCCTGAGATGAGAATTTTTGTGCAAGTGAAATAAGGTTGCTAGCTAAAATACAAGGTGCCCAGTTAAATTTGAATTTCAAATAAACAGTGATTAATTTTACAGTACGTATACATCCCAAATATTTCATGTGACATACTTATACTAAAAACCATTCCTTCTTTGCTAGAAACTAAAATTTTAATGAGTGTGTAGTATTTTTATTTGCTAACTATGACAACACTATATGTGATTTATTAAGAAAGTGCTCTTAGGTAAGACATATAAAGGCATAAGGGAAACAGGATAGGGCAGAGGAAGAAGCTCTGCACAAATGTGAGTTCATTCACCCTGTCTTCGATTCCATAGGGAGATTTAGAATGAATGGTACCACCAAAGTTGTCTTGTTGAGGACATGACAATCCAGTCATTTTCAGTGAGGTGGCCCCGCTAAGCCCAGGGAAATTCTCAAGAGAAAGTTGCAGTTGTGAGCAATTGACATAGTAACAGCCAGATAACTGGGGGATGAGTGAACCAGCTTCCTAAAGGGGAACTTGGCAGGGCACTAAGAGTATCTATTAGAAGAGGACTCTGGAAACATGGCAACCTGAATATGGTTCCCTTCACCTGACCTCCAAAGTATGTCTGAGTCAGATGTCTACTGGAGTCTATAGGCAGCTATACTCTTTGAGAGTCTCACCAGAGAGAACTGGTATCTTCATAAGCCACTGTTTTTTCTTATTGTTTTTACAGCAACATATAATGTCAGCTGACACAGATATAAAAATAAAACAAAATCTTGAAAGTCTAATAGAGTAGATATGGAATCACATTCAATCTAAGGGGTCGAGAGTAACCTTCACTATATACATTCAACAATACAAAAGCTGAAAAATAAATTTCATATAATAAAACCACTAGACAAATGATAGTTTTGGAAAACATTGTACTAAATACATCAAACGAAAAGTTAAAGTCTATAATACGTAAGTGTGTCTTAACACACTGACAAGAAAAAGACCAAACAACCAAAGAGTAAAAAAGGACAAAGGATATAAATAGTCAGCCAACAAATACATGAAAAGATGTTCACATTCACAAATAGCAATATTCAAAGTAAATTCAAAGTAAAGTACCACTTCATCTATAAGACATATACAAATTTATAAAGAATAATAACATCTGTTGCTACCAAGGATGCAAAAAAATTTCTCTGATATATTGCTGGTGGAAATATAAGATATTATAATCTTTTTAGGGGACATAATCTAGTCCATCTACTGAAATTAAAAATACATATCGTCTTCTACCCAGTAATCTCACTTCTAGGAATTTACCCAATAAAATAAAACCTCCATTACATAGAAAACTGTATCAGCCAAAATGATGACTGCAGAACTTTTCAAAAGTGGTAAAACAAAAAACAAACAAACAAAAAACTTCTGGAAGCAAAGTGAATTTCCCTCAGGGGAGAAGTGATTGAATGTATGACACTATAGTCACAACATGGAATATTATACAGCCAATAAAAATATGTATTTGAGCTATGGCAGTTGACCCAGATAAATTTTCAGTACACATTGTTGAGTGAGAAAAGCAAGATGCTATACATATATATATACATATATACACATATATATACATATATACACATATATACACATATATACACATATATACATATATACACATATATACATATATACATATATACACATATATACACATATACTATATACACATATATACATATATACATATATACACATATATACATATATACACATATACATATATACATATATACACACATATATACATATATACATATATACACATATATACATATATACATATATACACATATATACACATATACTATATACACATATATACATATATACATATATACACATATATACATATATACACATATACATATATACATATATACACACATATATACATATATACATATATACACATATATACATATATACATATATACACATATATACATATATACACACATATACATATATACATATATACATATATACATGTAGTATATATAGTATATATATGTATATATATATATAGTGTTAATGTAGTTTTAAACTAAAAGAAAGTAATATTACAAATTAAATGCTTAGTGTTTTATTTGGTACCTCAGTGGATTGTCTTGCAACACTGCTTTGGAGATGTGGTCTAATGCAGGGTTCCCCAACTCCTGGACTGCTGACTAGTACCGGTTAATGGCCTATTAGGAACCAGGCCACACAGCAGGAGGTGAGCGAGTCAGTGGGCAAGCCAGCACTACGGCTTGACCTCCAGCCCCTGCCAGAGCAGCGGAGGCATTGGATTCTCTTTTTTTTTTTTTTTTTTTTTTTTTTTAAGACGGAGTTTCTCTTTTGTCGCCCAAGCTGGAGTGCAATGGCACGATCTTGGCTCACTGCAACCTCCACGTCCCATGTTCAAGTGATTCTCCTCCTGCCTCAGCCTCCCAAGTAGCTGGGATTACAGGCACCCACCACCACGCCCAGCAAATTTTTGCATTTTTAGTAGAGATGGAGTTTCACCATGTTGGCCAGGCTGATCTTGAACTCCTGACCTCAGGTGATCCGCCTACCTCGGCCTCCCAATGTGCTGGGATTACAAGTGTGAGCCACCATGCTCGGTCAGCATTGAATGCTCATAGGAGCAAGAACCCTATTGTGAACTGTGCATGCAAGGGATCTAGGGTGCACACTCCTTATGAGAATCCACTGCCTGATCTAAGGTGGAACAGTTTCATGAAGAAACCATTCCCTTCCATGGTCCATGGAAAAAATTGTCTTCTGTGAAACCGGTCCCTGGTGTCAAAAAGGTTGGAGACCGCTGGTCTAATGGACTATTATTTATTGAGTGCTTATTAATAAGCCATGTATTGTGCCAAGTCTTTTACATAAAGTATTTCATTTAATACCTACACAACAACTGGAGACATGTATTTTTATTCCCATTAAATGTATTAGGAAAAGGAAGTATAGTAAGTTGAAGACAACTCAGCAAATTTGCACAGCTCCTAGGTGAGAGAGCTGGGATTTAAATGTACCTTGTCTTGCTTCCTAAGACTGCACAACCTATACTTTGTATTTTGTGTTGAATTTTTGCTTATAAAACAAGTGATATAGTGAGGTATTGTTTTATTTTTATTTTTTGAAGAACTGCTTTCATTTTTAAGTTAGAACATAAGAATACAATGCTAAATGTACAACTCAGCTAAAAAACTTGAACAAAGTGCTGAAAACTATTAGGATAAAATTAAAATATATTGAAATCTTATCCAAGTGTCCAGTTGTACTTGCTGAGAATTTTCTTGGACCCATCAAATCAGTCTTGATTATTTCAAACATTTGAAATATAGTATAATGCAGTTTCAAATATGTAAGAAGCAAGATAAAATATGTAATATCTTCAGTATCAGTTTTCTTATACCTTCCCTAATTCTTAACTCATAGAATTATAAGACCAATACACATCAACAAGGAATCTATTCCCTTCATTCCTTGTTGATGACCACTAAGTTATTCTGAACAAAGGTGTAGAGAATGTACATGGCACCTGCCTTCCCACATCACCTTTGATGGCCACCTGCTTCACTCATAACTATTGTTCTACAAGAAGCCTTTTGTTGGTCTTGCTTTATATCACATGGCTCTGTGCTCCTAGTCCCAGATGATTGGACCAGATGTAGGCATAGGATGCCTATAAATCAACATATACATATACAGGTGACTGTATAATAGGTCAAAAACTGAGCTGAGACAAGATTTTCAGTATCAGTAATTCTATGTAATGAATACCAATTGCCATGAACTTATCATGAGTTTGCTGCATGTACACTAGGATGGAATTCTGAAAACCCTAGTTTTGGAAAAAAAAAAGTAGCGATGGAGTTGAATTAAGCAACACTGCAGAGTACTGCAATAATAGTACCAAAATGAACTCAGAATATGACTGGTTGGTGAATGAACGATGCTATTCTTGGTTACTATATTTTTTTCTAAAAGCTTGACATTTATTTACAAGTTCTGTAATCTCCATTGGTGTATTTTAGAGGAATATGCTGGCATTTAGTGTGTGTTGCAATTTAGTCCATTAAAATTTCATGTGAATACATGTACATTCTTCCATTATCACTTAACGAAATAAGCATTATTAGCATTATTACTCCACTATAAAATTAAAGCAGAACTGATCAGAAGTATTTTCCCACATTAACTTCTTATTTTAAGAGAACTTAATCACCTTTATAGCAGAATGCACTCCTATGGAGAAATCAAATGAAAATAGGAAGCAGATTTCTCTCCCTCTCTCTGTGTGTGTGTGTGTGTGTGTGTGTATATATATATATAGATATATATAATTTTTTTATATATGCATTATTTCATATATACGTAAATAGTGATAATTCAAAAAGGCATTGAGAGAGAGCACATGCAAATGTGGAAAATATAATAAGGAAAAAAGCACAACATACTCAGTGCCTTTCAATACATATATTGCCTACAAATGAAAACATAAAATGTGCTGTGTGGTAAGTTATAAGGTCTCTGGGGGCAAGAAGCCTTATCCAATTTAATAATTAAAAAAAATTATACCATAGCTAGCACAAATGATTTTAAGTTAGTAAGTTAAAAATGCTTACAAGTTAGTAAGACTAGATTTTTTTTAAAAAATCATTTTTAAAAGGATGGTATGTTGTAGTATAAATATTAAATCATGATTTTATCACTCTATCTCATGTCAAAACAATTCAGAATATATGTATTTATTTCTTAGAGTTAAGATCCTAGGATAAATCCTCACGTAGACATTCCAAAGCAAATATGCAAAATGATTTAGTTATCCATATCTGAAGACACTTTCTTATGAAACAAAATGATTGACCAGACATGAATACATTTCTCCAGCAAAAATGGTAAATTGGGTTCTGAGAATTATTTTTAACTAGACAAGAAGTAAGTTATTGTGAGAGCTACCTTGAGATGCTATGGGTATAAAAATTATACTTACAATCCAGAATATGGGAGTTCAGTGCATGAAAATTTCTTGGTGTGTTGGAGCTCGATGGAGTGCCTACCTAATGCATCTAACATATTACTTGACCCAGTTAAGCCTGCTGAGCTGCAAAAGTTAGTAGAAAATCAGTAAGCTCAGAAGAGCAAACTTTCACCTAGGCTTATCAGTAGGTATTGATCTTACTCAAACAGCTGATTTATTATTAATACTACCCTGTAAACTCCAAGATTAACTATCCTGGACCTAGTTTTAACAGCCACAATTTATGGATAATTGCCCTCTCTAAAAAGATTCACAGGAATATTATATTTTGACCAGAATTTTGCAGTTTGAGCAGCCAAATTTATAATTTTCCAAATTTTCAATTCACTTTAAAATTTGAGCCTGAGTGGAAGAAACCTAGAGTAATAGGGAATAATAATAAACATAATAACAGCTGTCATTTACTTGTAGCTTACTATAAGCCATGTACATACAATCATCACAATAATCCTGCAAGTTATTAGTATCCCTACTCTACTGATGAGTGATGGACTTAGAGGTAGTGTTAGACTTCTAGTAAGTTTCAAAGATGAAGAGTAAATTCAGTTTGGGCCCAAATTCCTCAACAATATTATCTTAGTTGGGCTCTCATAACAAAATATTTGGATGTCTTAACCAACAAAAATGTATTTCTGACAATATCGGAAGCTGGAAGTTCAAGAATAGGGTGCCAGTATAGTCATGTTCTCAAGAGTGGCCTCCTCTTAGCTTGCAGGGTGCCCCTTCTCTATGTCTTCTCGTGGTAGAGCGAGGAAGTTTTGGTTTATCTTCTTCTTATTATAAGAGCGCTAATCCTATCATGGGAGCTCCACACTCATGACCTCATCCAAAACTAATTACCTCACAAAGGCCCCACCTAGTACCATCACATTGGGAGTTAGGGATTCAGGATTTAAATTTGTGGGAGACACAAACTTTCAGTCCATAACATGCACTTGAAAGAACATTACAATTTATCTTTGCAATAGTTTCTAAAATATGTTATGAAGAATTATTTGTGTAGTGCTTTACAAAAAGGGTATGCATGTTCTCTTCAGAGAAATTTGAAATGCAACTTATCTGAGACGTTTGCAGAAAAAAAAAACTGTTTTATTTCAGTTAGTGTTTTCCAAACTTGTGGTAATATTAAACAACTTTCCACTGAACACGCTCTGAGAAATGTTACATTTCTGTCAGTCATGCTCTTTTCTCTCTAAATGCTTCCTGAATGGGATTATGACTCTAGGTTTTGGAAATCTAGGTAACATATAACATGTTACTAGGCCAACAGAAATGAACATAAAGAAAAATCCTAATTGCATTTCATTTTTGATTCTGGTCAGTGGATGAAACAGCTAAGGCAGGAGTCAGTGGTAGTATTGAAATGTCGTATTATGTTTAAATGTTATATACTTAATGTTCAACATCTTGCAAGATAAATAATAGTCGTGATGGTTATTATAGCCATTATTTATTATTATTATAATATGAAGCACAAAGGCAAGTTAATTGAAATACAAGTCCCTCATCATAGGGGGCTTTTAAATATCTAGAAAACTGACTACTGTACACAATGAACATTATTGTATCACTGCAGCACATGACAGTCATTATGTCTGTTGCTAAAGAACTTTGTTGAAGGCACTCACTCTTTAAAACAAACCTACATGTGAAAAGCAACTGCAAGAGAGTCATATGACTAAAGCTTCTACACAAAGTTTCAGAGTAGAAATGAGTAAATTAAAAAAACACACACACTTAAGCCTTCAAAGTCTGAAATAAATTTCCACAACTCCATTTATAAATGTCATGATAGACCTCAAAACAATTAAGTGAATATAACTAATTAAAACCAAATTACTAAATCAATAGTGTAATTTAGCCCAACTAAAATTCACTCTAGCTGACTTGAAATATTTAGATTTGACAAGCTGAGTACAGGATCTCAATTAGACAATATGATGCTATTGGTGAGGAAACTTGCAGAAAAATCTTTATTCTTACATTTGAGATTAATAATTAAGAAAAACAGAATGTTTCAAAGCATGTGAAGTATTCCAATATCCAAATATTCATAGCATTAGCTTATTAGTATGATTATACAAAGGTTGGCTAGCCACATTCCATAGATCAGGAAAGAAACACTATTAAGTTGGTACCTATATTTAAGATAGAGCTCAAATTAATTTTAAATGACTTAATTTATATGCCCAAATTTTATTTTATGTTATTTTTTATAGTGTCCAATCTCTAGACTAAATTGCCCCTGATGAAATCTACAGATAGAACTTGAGAGCTGGACATATAAAATTCTATATAAAATTTAGGAGGTAGTATAAGATCCTGAGGTCCTTGGAGACATTCCAAAGGAGGAAAAATTGAGTATGGAAAAAGTCATTTATAGAAAATAGGTGAAAATATGAAGAGAAGCAATACTCATTCTTGCATATGAGCCTGGATTGTTGAAATAATGCTACAGATATGTTGATAATTGGTAGAGTTCAGATAGTAAATTGATTTAGTGTATCTGATTATATGATAAACCCTGGAAGATATGGAGAAATGTGGTAGAATGATTTGGACAATAGCTGTAATTCCCCTGAGTGTGATTGAGTGAGAAATATTAACTTTCATAAAACCATAATTTGATCAATAATTTTCTTTTCTTTTGTATATTAGAAAAGCATACAATTGATGAGCCAGCTCATGGGCTGATGAGGTTGTGGGTTTTAGTATGTAAGCCTTGAATAACAACTTATATGGTGTGAATTAATCTGTCTCTTTCACAAACTCACCAATATTTGCTGTTCTTTTAATGAGGAAAAAACCTTTTTTCAACAACTAGAGAATAATCTTAAATTAACAAAGAGATATAAATGGCTGATATTAGACTCATTCTTGAATATTTTATTGGGGTGATTGGGAAAAAATATGAAAATGGTAGAAGGGACACAATAGCATAAAATGAGTCTGACCTATCAATGAGCCTACTGATGTTGATAGTGGATGATGTTGATACCAATGCCTCTCAGGTTAAGCAAGATCCATTAGCATCTTTTGAATAAATAAAGAATAATCAAATCATAACCAATACAGTAAAGCTTTTAATTGTATTGAGTCTGTTTAAAAATTAGCAATTTATTGTATAATTATACCATACATTTTGTCTATTAATCCATTGATGGATATTTAGGTTGATTTCATATCTTGGCTATTGTGAAGAGTACTGCAGTGAACATGGGAATGCAGCTATTTGTTCAGCATACTAATGTCATTTCATTTGGTTATATACCCAATAGTGAGATTCTTGTATCATATGGTAGTTCAGATTTTAATTTTTTGATCAACCTTCATACTGTTTTCCATAATGGCTGTACCAATTTTCATTCCCACCAGTTACATACAAGTGTTCCCTTTTCTCCACATTACTGCTAGCATTTTTTAATTTTTTGTCTAATAGGCATCCTAATGGGTGAGATGATAGCTTACTGTGGTTTTGATTTTTTACCATGATTACTAGTTATGTTGAAGATCTTTTTCATATATCTGTTAACCATTTGTATGTCTTTTTTGAGAAATGTCTATCCATATATTTTGCCCATTTTTAAATTAGGTTATTTGTTGTTGGTTTTTGTTTGTTTTTTTTTTTTTTTTTTTTTTTGGTTTGCTACTGAGTTATTTGAGTTCCTTATATATTTTGGATATTATTATTCAATCATAAAAAATAATGATATCCTATCATTTGCATCAACATGGACACACTTAAAGGATATTATGTCAAGTGAAATAAACCAAGCACAGAAGAACAAATACCACATGATCTCATTCGTAGGAATCTAAAACAAAGTTAATCTTATGGAATTAGAAAGTAGAACAGGGTTTACCAGATGTTAGGGAGAGTAGAGGGGATGGGAGTATGGGGAGGGGTTGATCAATGGGTACAAAGTTACACAGAAGGAATAAGTTCTGGTGTTCTATTGCACAGCCGGGCAACTATAGTTAACGATAATATATAATTCAAAATAGCTAGAAGAGAGGGGTTTGAATCTTCTCACTACAAAGAAATGACAAGCGTTTGAAGTAATGGACATGCTAATTACCCTGATTTGATTATTACACAACGTATATATGTATTGAAACATCACACTGTATCCCATAAACATGTACAATTATTGTGGCTCCATTAAAAAATAAAACTTAAAAAATTAATGATTTTGAAGTGACATCAGCCAAACAGTGAACTAGGAAGCTTTAGGTATCTGTTTCCCCCATGGAAACATTAAAACAAGCAAACAAAAAAGTAGAGACTGGCCAAACGTACTTATAGGAGTTCTGGAAAACAGCCAAAAGTGTACAGCAACCACGCAAATGCCCAATCAAGAAAAAGCAGAATTCAAATAGCAGGAAATTTCCTCATTTTTTTTTTTATTAACTGTCACCTTCATATACCCAGTATTGCACAGTCTTGGTTTAGAGGAGGCAGCTTCCCTGTTTCCAGTTCCCTCCCTCAAAGCAGAGAGAGCATAACAATGTTTTAACTTGTCTGTGGGCTGCCTGAGCGACTAGTATCTGTTTCATCTGACTTGGAGTTCGGTCAGGGAAAAGTACTTTGATGGTCTTTGGTAAAGCTGCTGGAAAACTGTCACCCACAGATACCTGAGGCCAGAAATTTAAGGTGAAGATATTCAATTGACCTTCTAAGGCAGCAGTCCATTTCTCAGTTCTCTCCTTTAAACTGGAGGGAGCAGAGCAGACCTTATTTGCAAGATTCTAATATATCTGGGAGATTCCTAAAGGACTAGTCTCTGTTATGTGTAACTCAAATCTCAGCCTGGAAAAGTGAAAGAGAGCAGCAAGTACTGCTCATAAAAATTGAAGGGGGACTACAGACCTGTAGAAGCCTGGAGTTTCTCACACCACACACCTGTGAGGATAGCTAATTGCAACAAAACAAAACAGAATGTCAGCATGTCTTGGTATGGATGAAGACAAATTGGAACACATGTACATTGTTGGAGGAACTTAAAATGGTGCAACTACTGGCCGGGTGCGGTGGCTCACGCCTGTAATCCCAGCACTTTGGGAGGCCGAGACGGGCCCATCATGAGGTCAGTTGATAGAAACCATCTTGGCTAACACGGTGAAACTCCATCTCTACTAAAAATACAAAAAAATTAGCCGGGCCTGGTGGCGGGCGCCTGTAGTTCCAGCTACTGGGGAGGCTGAAGCAGGAGAATGGCATGAACCCGGGAGGCGGAGCTTGCAGTGAGCCGAGATCAGGCCACTGCATTCCAGCCTGGGCAACAGAGCGAGACTCCGTCAAAAAAAAAAAAAAAAGTGTAAAAGCACAACTGCTATGGAAAATAGTATGGAAGTTACTCAGTTCTCCTTGAAGAGGTCCTTCACATCCCTTGTAAGTTGGATTCCTAGGTATTTTATTCTTTTTGAAGCAATTGTGAATGGGAGTTCACTCATGATTTGGGTCTCTGTCTGTTATTGGTGTATAAGTATGCTTGTGATTTTTGCACACTGAGTTTGTATCCTGAGACTTTGCTGAAGTTGCTTATCAGCTTAAGGAGATTTTGGGCTGAGACAATGGGGTTTTCTAGATATACAATCATGTCATCTGCAAACAGGGACAATTTGACTTCCTCTTTTCCTAATTGAATGCCCTTTATTTCCTTCTCCTGCCTGATTGTCCTGGCCAGAACTTCCAACACTATGTTGAATAGGAATGGTGAGAGAGGGCATCCCTGTCTTGTGCCAGTTTTCAAAGGGAATGCTTCCAGTTTTTGTCCATTCAGCATGATATTGGCTGTGGGTTTGTCATAGATAACTCTTATTATTTTGAGATACGTCCCATCAATACCTAATTTCTTGAGAGTTTTTAGCATGAAGGGTTGTTGAATTTTGTCAGAGGCCTTTTCTGCATCTATTGAGATAATCATGTGGTTTTTGTCTTTGGTTCTGTTTATATGCTGGATTACGTTTATTGATTTGCATATGTTGAACCAGCCTTGCATCCCAGGGATGAAGTCCACTTGATCATGGTGGATAAGCTTTTTGATGTGTTGCTGAATTCGGTTTGCCAGTATTTTATTGAGGATTTTTGCATCAATGTTCATCAAGGATATTGGTCTAAAATTCTCCTTTTTTGTTGTGTCTCTGCCAGGCTTTGGTATCAGGATGATGCTGGCCTCATCAAATGAGTTAGGGAGGATTCCCTCTTTTTCTATTGATTGGAATAGTTTCAGAAGGAATGGTACCAGCTCCTCCTTGTACCTCTGGTAGAATTCGGCTGTGAATCCATCTGGTCCTGGACTTTTTTTGGTTGGTAAGCTATTAATTATTGCCTCAATTTCAGAGCCTGTTATTGGTCTATTCAGAGATTCAACTTGCTGGTCTACCTGGGACAGGGTGAGCCGCCAGCTAAGTCTCACGCCCTCCGGCGGCAGCTGGTCGACCTGGGAGGCCAGACCGAGAAGCGGTGGCGAGCGGAGGTTGGCGGGGTGTGGGGATGCCCTGGGCCTTGCCACCCCCTTTCACACCCCTTCCCCACGCCCCACCAGCGGTCTGCTGGTCGACCCGTGCGGAGGAAAGAGGAGGAAGGATGCGCGAGGGCCGGAACGCCGGGTGGCCGCCCCCGGGCCCGCGGGGCCACCCCTGGGATAGGGGCCGGCGGGGCACGGACCCCGCTCAGCGCACCCGCCTCCGCGGTTCCCACCCACGCTCCCCGGACCCCGTCCCAGCCTGGAGGGGCGAGTCCCCCCCCCGGCGGTGAACGGGGAGGAGGCGGGAACCCAAGAAGCGGGGCGCGCCGAGCAGGGATGCGCCCCCCCGCCCCCCCAACCCCGGAAAATACATAGATTTACCATATAACACAATTCCTCTTGTGGGTATATATCCAAATGAATTGAAATCAATAATTTGAACAGATATTTGTATGCCCATTTTCACAGCAGCAATAAATGAAAGATGGAAACCAACTCATATGTCCATCAACGGATAACTGGATAAAACGTGGTATATACACACAATGGAATATTTTTCAGCCTTATAAAGAAATGAAATTCTGACATGTTACAACATGGATAAGCCCTGAAGACATTATTCTAAGTGAAATAAGCAGACACAGGAAGACAAATATTGTATGATTGCACTTATATGAGGTACTCAGAGCAGTCAAGTTGATAGAGACTGAAAGTAGAATGGTGACTGTCAGATGCTGGGGGAGAGGGCTGTGAGGAGTTATTGTTTATTTGGTACAGAGTTTTCATTTAAAGAGATAACAAAAGATCTGGAAATAAATGGTGATAATTGTTGCACAATGTTAAGGTATTTAATGCCACTGAAGTGCATATTTAAAAATGGTTAAAATTTGCAATCTCATGTTATGTGGGTTTACCACAATGAAAAATAAAAATAAAGAATATTTGATGTTCTATTTATATTATTGACATATTTACATTATTAAAAACGTTATTAAATACATGGCAATTGTCTTTTAACCAAAATATTTGATTAATCTAATTATTGCAGAGATGGGCTTCTATTAACATGCCAGATAAAATAAAGTGTACTGTATTTTCTTTATGAGAATGATGGTGGCAGTCTTTTTTAAGAAAAGAACAGACAGGGATTTTTCTCAACATATTATCTATGTTGAGTATCTATTAGAATTGGCTGAATATTTATATAACCTGTAACAGCAGAATTGATCATACAGGAAAAAAAAAATCAGCAAAAATGACAGCAGGTCATTTGAAATTAACCAGTTAGAGGAACAAAAAAGAGGAAAAGGAATAAAAAGCATGAGGACACTAAATAGGACCTATGGAACACCATCAAGTGAAAAAATATACACAATATGGTATTCTTAGGAATAGTAGAGAAGAAAAAGGGGGAAAAGACCTATTTAAAGAAATAATGGTTTAAAACTTTCCAAATCGTGGGAAGGATAAGAACATCTAACTACATGATACTTGAAGGATCCCAAGCTGGATCAATCCAAAGAAAATTATGAGTCACATAATAAAATGTAGAGAGGAGAAACAGAATTTTACAGTTTTTTTATGGAATTGAAGTTGTTATTAACTTTAAATAGATTGTTATAAGATGTTTTATGAAAGCCTTATAGTAACCACAAAGAAAACACCTGCAGTAGATTACAAGAAAGAAGAAAGAAAAAAATTATAGCCACTAATACAGAAAACATCAAATTACAAAGGAAGATAGCAAGAGAGGAAGTAAGAAACAAAGGAACTAAAAAACCTAGTCAAAATTCAATTAACTAAACGACCACAGCAAATGCTTCCCTATTAACAATTACTTAAATTTAAATGAATTAAATATTCTAATAAGAAAGACACAGAGTGGCTGAATGGATGAAAAACAAGATCCAACTAGATATTGCCATCAAGAGACTCACTTTTGTTTTAAGGACACATATAGGCTGAATGTAAAGGGATGAAAAATGTTATTCCATGCTAGTGGTAACCAAAAGAGCAGGAGTGGAGATGTTTACATGAGACAAAATAGACTTTAAGTCAAAATCTCTCACAAGAGACAAAGATCACTATATAATGATAAAAGAGTCAATTCATTAAGAGGATATAATAATTATTAGTATTTATGCACCTAATATTGGATCACCAAATTATATAAAGCAAATATTAATAAATCTGAGGGGAGAAATAGATTGTAATACAATAATGGTAGGGAACTTCAACACTCCACTTCCAATATCCAGATGAAAATTCAATAAGGGATCATTGGATGTGAACTACACTTTAGAACAAATGGACCCAATAGACATATACAGAGAACATTCAACCCAAAAGAAGAATATACATTCTTCTCAAACACACATAGAACATTCTCTAAGATAGATCTTATGTTGGGCTGCATAACAAGTCTTAACAAACTTAAGAAGATTGAAATTATATGAAGTATCTTTTTTTGACCACAATAATATGAAACTAGAAATTAATAACAGGAGGAAAATTGGAAAATTCACAATTATGTGAAAATTAAACAACACACTCCTGAACAACTAATGGGCCAAAGAAAAAATCAAAAGGGAAATGGAAAATTATATTGTGATAAATGAACATAGAAACATGCTAAAGCAGTTCTGAGAGGAAGTATATAATAATAAATGCCTAGATTAAGAAAAAAAAATTATCCCAACTGAACAACCTAACTTTACACCTCAAAGGACTTAAGAAAGAAGAAAAAATTAAGCTGAGATGTAGCAGAAGGAAAACAATTATAAAGATTAGAGCAGAAATAAATGAAGTAAAGACTAGGGAGACAACACAAAAGATCAACAAAACTAAGAGTTGATTTTTTGAAAGGGAAAAAAATGTCTACAAACCTTTAGATAGACAAAGAAACTAGAGAGAGAACTCAAGTGAATAAAACTATAAATTAAAGAAGAATGCTATGATTTTGATACCTTTTGTTTGTCCCCACCAAAACTCATGTTGAAATTTAATCCCCAATGTGGAGATCCTGGGAAGTGAAGGGCCGTAGTAGGAGGTGTTTGGGTTGTGAAGGCGGATCCCTCATGAGTGGCTTGATGTTGTTCTCATGGTAGTGAGTCCTCACTCTTTTGAGACTAATAGCTGTCATGGGAATTAATTAGTTCCACAAAGAGTGGGTTGTTATAAAGCCAGAATGTCCCTAATGTTTTTCTCTCTTCACATATGTCCACTTCCCCTTTGATCTTTTCCATGTCGTGATGCAGAACAAAAGCCCTCACCAGAAGCCAGAGCCATGTCCTTTAACTTCTCAGTCTATACAACCATGAGCTAAATACAACTATTTTCTTTATGAATTACTCAATGTCAGTATTCTTTTATAGCAATAAAAAAGAATAAAAGCAGGAGACAAATCAAGTCAAATTCACAGAAGCAGAGAACAGAATGGTGGTTACTAAGACCTGGGGATTGGGAGGAATAAAGAGATTTTGGTCAAAGGGTATAACCTTTCAGTTATAAGAGAAATAAGTTCTGAGGATCTAATATACAGTATGGTGACTATAGTTATTAATACTGTATTTTATAATTAAAATTTGCTGAGAGTAATCTTAAATATTCTCACCACACCCACAAACACACACACACACACACACACACACACACAATTGGTAACTATGTGAAGTGATGGATGTGTTAATTAACTTGATCGCGGTAATCACTTTACTATATATTTATCAAATTTTCTTATTGTACATGCTAAATATATATATTTTTTGTTTTCAACTATATCTCAATAAATCTGGAAAAAATAAATATCTCAGGGAAACATCCCAAGTATCCATCAGCAGAGAATGGGTAAAAACTTATTTATTCATGCAATAGCATACAGAAAAGAATGTCACTGACGTTATGCTGAAGAAAGGAAGCTGAACACATAAAGAGCATATTGTATGATTTGTTTGCATAAAGTTGTAAAAGAACAAGAATAATCTACGGTGAAAAAAGAAAAGCTGCTTTCTATCTTTTGTGGGGTGGGATTGACTAGGAAGGGGCATGAGGGAACTTTCATGAGGGAAATGTTCCCACATTGTTGTCATAATGTGAGTTTCTTGGGTGTAAGCATTTGTCAACACTCAGTGTATCCTTTGACCAACACCTCCCTGATCCTTCCCTGCAACCACTCCAGTCCACGGTAACCACATTCTACCCTATTCCTTTGAGATCAAACCTTTTAGATTCCACATATGAGTGAGATCATGCAGTATTTGTTTTTCTGTGCATTGTACACTTAGAATGTTTGCGTTTATCTGCAACTAAATTTTACCTAAGATAATAAATCTGTAAACAGAATTAATTAATAATGAGATCAGTGAATGCAAGATTCTTTTAGTTTCTTAAAAATGATGTTCCCTTTGACCCCAAAATTCTATTTATAACAAAGTGTTCTAAGGAGATATGTGAATGGTTTTTCAGACTTGAATCAATTTCTTTTTCTTTCTTTCTTTCATTATATTTAACGTTTTAAGGTGTTTTTTAATACATTCTAAAAGGAGGAACAATTTGAAAATTTTTCATTTGGGAAACATTTGAATAAAATGTGATATGGCAATACAAAGAAAAAGTATAAAGCCATTTAAAACTAGATTGTAGATCTACGTTTATTAACATGAAAAAATGTCCATGACATTTTCACTGAAAATAAATATATATATGAAAATAGCAAATGTAGGTCAGGTGTGGTGGCTCATGCCTGTAATCCCAGCACTTTGGGAGGCCGAGGCAGGTGGATCACCTGAGGAGTTCGAGACCAGCCTGATCCAACATGGTGAAATCCCGTCTCTACTAAAAATACAAAAATAACCGAGTGTAGTGGTGGGTGCCTGTAATCCCAGGTACTCAGGAGGCTAAGGCAGGAGAATTACTTGAACCTGGGAGTTGGAGGTTGCAGTGAGCCGAGATCGCACCACTGCACTCCAGCCTGGGCAACAGAGCGAGACTCCATCTCAGAAAAAAATAATAATAATAACAAAAATAGCAAATGTAACATGACTCATTATATATGAATATTATTTATGTAGAGGTAAGTAGTAGATAGATACATAAATAGAGCATATTGATAAAAAGATAGGTACAACATAATTAACACTTTGTTTTAGGAGTTAGAATTCAAAGTAAATTTTACTTTTCTATTCATACGCTTTCTACAACAATTTTTATAATATAAATATATGATTTATATAAACAGAAAATATAAAGCTCTTTCATTTTGGAAAATAGAATATGCTATTTTCAAAACCAATTTTTTTAAATTAATGTGAAGAAATAATACCTAATTTCTTATACCAAGTAATTAAACAACACTAAAGATAATTAAATATGTAGAAAAATAGATTGACTACTATTTATGTATTTTCTATCATTTATTTTCCATCAGTAACAAGATTGTGTTTTCCATTTCTAAGGTTAACAGACAATTCTCAAAACATACAAAGAAAATAAGTGTATTCTAATTCTTGTCTTTTCACAGTTTGTGTGTACATGTGTATACAATTTTAATTTTAAATATTATTTTCTTACATTTATTGCTCATATACGCAAGGCAGATGGTTGTCAAAGAGACAAGATAAGACGAGACATGTTTGTCTAACCTTTCAAGAGTAAAGACTTCTAATTAATTTTGCTTTTACTTTACAGATGTCACTTGAGGTAAGCTATTAACTCTCCAACTGGCAGGCTAGCTGATGAAAATTCAACTAACATTTTCAATTCTTTTTGGCATATTCATAAGTTGCTTGATGTTATAATAAGCAGGAAAAGATATTTAAAGATTGATTAAATCCTTATTGGAAATGTGAAATGCCCATCATCAAGAGCCTTTTTTTAAAATATAAGAACATTTATTCTAAACCCTTTTATTCCTATGTGTTTAAGGGTAATGAATAATGGGAATTATAAATTATGAATAGAGGTAGAGATACTATGTAATATCATAGAAAATTACTTCTTGATAAATCATGTTTAATTACTGTAGGAAATATATAATAATTGAAAATGAATGTTTTTAGCCTATTTGGAGAAATCTAAGCTTACTCTTATATACATGCAAATGCATCCACAGGTTTCAATAGGTACTTGGGCATGTACAACAACACAAAAAAATCACTTCATTTACAAATAGTGTTAGGCATGTTATGTAGAACATCTCTTCACAATGTTCAACCATTTTTTATCAGGTACTTATAAGGAGTAGCTATTTCCCTTTTGTTAACAAAATGGGTTTTTAATTTTTAAATTTATTTCATATATATACATATATGATATATATATATATGATGGGAGTCTCACTTTGCTGCTCAGGTTGGAGAGTAGTGACTATTCACAGGCATGATCATATAACTCTACAGCCTTGAAGGCCTGTGCTCAATCAGCCCTCCTACTTCAGCCTCCTGAGTGGCTGGGACTATATGCACATACCATGGCACATGGCTAGAAATAGCTATTTCTTACAGTGGCTGAGAAAATCTAAGCATCTTTCACCTAGTATTAAGCATCTTAATTTTCCAAAATAAAATGGATTTTTGTTGATAAATTATTTTCAGATTATAAAAGTCATATTTTGAGTCCCTAAGAGATAAACTCTGAGACGCAGGTGACTTATTGGGAAGTGCTCTCAGAAATACCATCTATGAGTGAGTGAAGAAAGAAGATTGGACAGAGGGAAAACTTGAACTCTTGTGAATTTACACCAGAGGGCTCAACTGATCTCACAGAGAACCCTGGAGTTGGAATGGTCTTAACATGTTTCCCAAACGGAAGCAAGGTTGTCCAGTCTTTGTCACTCCTTCATCAACCAGTCACTGGATGCAAGATGACTCCAGGGAATGAGTGTAACCTTTAGTAAAGGAACGCTTTAAGATGACTACAATTCTTGAGAAGGGAATAAGCTGTGTCCTCATCTACCAACATTTCTAGTAGTTGGACGAGTGAATGCCCCACACACAAGTGGGTGTTTCAGCTAGGATCCACTACAACTAGTAAAAAAAATACATACAACACTAGAAGGTGCAAAGCAAAAAGGAAAAATATCTCTTATCTCCATAAACCATACATAACAAAGTAAAATTTTGTTTGGTCTTTGTGTATCACTGAGGCCTACAAACCCACAAATCATTCTTGAATGCACACTTTCCCTCTCCCTCACTCCCCATCCAATCAGCTAGCACCTCTTGACAGCTTTATACACTAACCTTTAATTAAGTCCATTGCTTCTTCCAATTTTATTCCCATCCCCATGGTCCTAATTCAGGCTCTCATCATCTTTTCTTCATTTATAATATTTGCAGTTTAACTGATTCCCCTGCTCCTTGACTATAATTTCACTCTTCCTTGCCTTAGGCCTTCCAGACAGACCTGTTTTTTTCCAACATACATCACAGATTTTATGATTTAATGAGTGTGCTTTATTATATTCCCTTTCCCAGAAATGTTATTTCTGTGCCTAGCATGCCAGTGTCTTCTGCCAGTCCTTTACAAAATACCTACCCCAACTCCATTCCCTACACCTTGGCTCAATGAGTGACCTGTTTAACCCCTCATCATCTTTCCAGGCTCGGTTTTCTCTTCCAGGTTCCCCAACTCCTATTCTAGGTTATATTCTCAAATCAAACCCCAGATACCTCTGTTAGTTCATTTACTATGTTATACTCAAAGACTTTCAGTGACTTACAATTACCTTAGAATAAAATCCAATCTTTTTACATTGGTTTACAAAGCTTTACACAATCTGACCTTTGCATACTTCTTCAGAATCTATCATAGTCTACTAATGCTTGCCTTCTTTATATTATTTACTTGTGTATCCAGCAAGGCTATTCATGCATTGGGAGCTTATCACTTTAGCTCTTCCCTGTGCCAGGAATGATATTTTTTCTGTTCTTTACATTGCCCACTCCTTCTTGTCATTAAGGCTTACAATTAAATGTCACCTTCTGAAAGAGTCCTCTTTTAATAACTCCAGTTTAAATACTTACCCAGTCATTACCACATCTCTTTCATTTTCTTCATAACACTCAACACAAGGGATAACTAATTAGGCTATTGTTTGCCTCACTCCATTAAAGCATAACCCTCAAACAACAGGGAAACTATGCTTGTCTCATCTATCACTGTTTCCTCAGGATCTGGAAAATTTCCTGACAAATAGTAGCCTATTAGTAAATATTTGGTGAATGAATAAATGAATAAATGTCTTTGTCTCTGATATGGTTATACATTTCTCAAAACTAGAGCTTGTGCCTTAATCTGAGATCCCTCTGTTTATCACTACCTCCAAACTAAAGTGCCCCCAATAGTGAATAGGTTCAAAAATATTCTATGATTTGACTGCTCTATTTTTAATTTTTTTTAATTTTTAATTTTTCTGAATATGTAGGTGTATATGTTTATGAGGTATATGCGATGTTTTGACACAGTCATGCAATGCATAATAATCATATCATGGAGAATGGGAATCTATCCCCTCAAGCATTTATCTTTTCTGTGACAAACAATCCAAATATAATATTTTAGCTATTTTAAAATGTACAACTAAGTTATTATTGACTATAGTCACCCTGCTGTGTTATCAAATATTAGGTCTTATTCATTCTTTCTAACTAATTTTCATACCCACTAACCATCCCCACTTCCACCCAACTACCCACTATCCTTCCCAACCTCTGGAAACCATCCTTCTACTCTCTGCGACCATGAATTCAATCGTTTTGATTTTTAGATCCCACGAACAAATGAGAACATTAGATGTTTGTCATTATGTGCCTGGCTTATTTCACGTAACATAATGATCTTCACTTCTGTTAATGCTGTTGCAAATCACAAGATCTCATTTTCTTTTATGGTTGAATAGTACTTCATTGTGTATATGCACCAAATTTTCTTTATCCATTCATCTGTTGATGAACACTTAGGTTGCTTTCATATGTTAGCTATTGTGAAAAGTGATGCAGTAAACATGGGAGTGCAGATATCTCTTTGATATGCAGGTCTTCTTTGTTTTGATATATACCCAGGAGAGTATATTCAATCGCCAGAGGGATTGCTGGATCATACAGTAGCTCTGTTTTTAGTTTTTTGAGGAATCTCCAAACTGTTCTCCATAGTGGTTGTACTAATATACATTCCCCCCAGCACTGTATGAGAATTCCCTTTTCTCCATATCCTCATCAGCATTTCTTACTCCCTGTATTTTAAATATAAACCATTTTAACTGGGGTGCGATGATATCTCAGTGTCGTCTTGATTTGCATCACTCTGATGATCAATGATGTTGAGAACCTTTTCATATGCCTATTTGCTATTTGCATGTCTTCTTTTGAAAAGTATCTCTTAAAATCTTTTGCCTTTTTATATTGAATTATTATATTTTTTTTCCCTACACAGTTGTTTGAACTCCTTATTCTGGTTATTAATCCCTTGTGAGATGGTAAGTTTGTAAATATTTTCTCTCATTCTTTGGGTTGTCTCTTCACTTTACCGATGCTTTCCTTAGATGTGCAGAAGTTTTTAACTTGATGTGATCACATTTGTCTACTTTTGCTTTGGTTATCTGTGCTTGTGGGGTATTGCTCAAGAAATTTTGCCCAGACCAATGTCCTAGACATTTTCCCCAATGATTACTTGTAGTAGTTTCATTGTTGGAGGCCTTAGATTTAAGTCTTTAATATATTTTTATTTGATTTTTTGTGTATAGTGAGATACAGGGGCCTAGTTTCATTATTCTACATATGGATGTAGTTATTCCAGCACCATTTATTGAAGAGATTGTCTTTTCCCCAGTGTACATTCTTGACACCTTTGTCAGAAATGAGTTCTCTGTAAGTGTGTGGATTTCTTTCTGAGTTATCTATTCTGTTTCATTTGTCTGTGTGTCTGTTTTTATGCCAGTAACATGTTATTTTGGATACTATAGCTCTGTAGTATAATTTATATAACAGGTAATGTGATAGTATGGTATAAAAGGTAAGGTGACTCCTATATTCTTTTTGCTTGGAATAGCTTTAGCTATTCTGGGTCTTTTGTGGTTCCATATAAAATTTAGAACTTTTTGTTTCCTATTTCTGTGAAGAATGTCATTGGTATTTTGATAGGGATTGCATTAAATTTGTAGATTGCTTTGGGGAGTATGGACATTTTAACAATATTGGAATATTTATCCAATTTTTTGTGTTTTCTTCAATTTCTTTTATCAGTGTTTTATACTTTTTATTATAGAGATCTTTCATTTATTTTGTTAATTCCTAGGTATTTAATTTTATGTGTAATTATTATAGATAAGAATAGTTTTTAATTTCTTTTTCACATTGTTTACTGTTGGCATATAGAAATGCTACTGACTTTTGTATTTTCATTTTGTATCCTGAAACTTTACAGAGTTCATTTATCACTTCTAATTGTGTGTGTGTGTGTGTGTGTGTGTGTGTGTAGTCTTTAGGTTTTTCCAAATATAAGATTGTATCATCTGCAAATGAGGATAATTGAGTTATTTAATTCCATTTTGGATGCCATTTAATTCTTTCTCTTGTCTGATTGCTCTAGCTAGGAATTCTAGTACTGTGTTGAATGACAGTGGTCAAAGTGGGCATTCTTGCCACGTGCCAGATTCTAGAGGAAAAGCTTTCAGTTTTTCTCCATTCAGTATGATTTTGTTTCCTGCTTTTAATTTTTTGTGTAAACGTTGCATGCTCTTTGGTTTGCGTTTACCATAAAACTTTCAAATATTTTCTTATGACCCGTTATTTTATTCTGATAACAACTTTACACAGTTTGCACAAAAATAAAACAAGTAAAATGATAACTGATAAAAACTCTACACCTTAACTTTGTTCACCTGCTTTTTAACTTTTTGCTTTTTCTGTTTATGTCTTACTGTACTGTTTATTTCTTGAAAAGTTGTTGTAGTTATTATTTTCAATTGGTTCATTGTTTAGTCTTTCTACTTAGGATAAGAGTAGTTTAAACATCACATTACAGTATCATAATATTCTTTATTTATCTGTGTACTCACGATTGCCAGTGAGGTTTGTACCATCAGATGATTTTTTGTTGCTCATTAATGTCCTTTTCATTCTGATTGAAGTACTCTCTTTAGCATTTCTTGTAGGACAGGTCTGGTGTTGATAAAAATTCCCTCAGCCTTTGTTTGACTGTGATAGCCTTTATTTCTCCTTCATGTTTGAAGGACATTTTGCTGGTTATGTTGTTCTTGAATAAAAATTGTTTTGTTTTTATTTTTCCCTTCAGCACTTTAAATTTATCATGCCACTCTCTGCTGACCTGTAAGGTTTCTTTCTTGTTTGTTTGTTTTGTTTTGTTTTTATTATACTTTAAGTTCTGGGGTACATATGCAGAATGTGCAGTTTTGTTACATAGGTATACATGTGCCATGGTGGTTTGCTGCACCCATCAACCTGTCATCTACATTAGGTATTTCTGCTGATGCTATCCCTCCCCTTTCCCCCCACCCCTGACAGGCCCTGGTGTGTGATGTTCCCCTCCCTGGGTCCATGTGTTCTCATTGTTCAACTCCCATTTATGAGTGAGAACATGCGGTGTTTGGTTTTCTGTTCTTGTGATAATTTGCTGAGAGTTATGGTTTCCAGCTTCATCCAAGTCCCTGCAAAGGACATGAACTCATCCTTTGTTATGGCTGCATAGTATTCCATGGTGTATGTGTGCCACATTTTCTCTATCCAGTCTATCATTGATGGGCATTTGGGTTGGTTCCAAGTCTTTGCTATTGTGAATAGTGCTGCAATAAACATACGTGTGCATGTGTCTTTATAGTAGAATGATTTATAATCCTTTGCATATATACCCAGTAATGGGATTGCTGGGTCATATGGTATTTCTAGTTCTAGATTTCTATTGAAAAGTTTTCTGCCAGATGTATTGGAGCTGTATTGTATGTTGTCTCTTCTCTATTGCTGCTTTTAGGATACTTTCTTTATCCTTGATCTTTGGGAGTCTGATTATTAAATGGCTTTAGGTAGTCTTCTTTTAGTTAAATCTGCTTGGTTTTCTATCACTTTCTTGTATTTAGGTATTGTGTCCTTGTCATTGTCTGGGAGGGTCTCTGTTATTACCCCTTTGAATGAACTTTCTACTCCTATATATTTCTCTACTTCCTGTTTAAGGTCAATAACGCCTAGGTTTTCCCTTTTGAAGCTATTTTCTGGATTCCGTAGGCATGCTTCATTTTTTTTTATTCTCTTTACTTTTGTCTTCTTTGATTGTAGATTTTCAAATAGTCTGTCTTCAAGTTCACTGATTTTTATACTGCTTGATTGATTCCACTATTAAAAAGCTCTGATGCATTCTTCAGTATGCCAAATGTGTTTTTCATCGTCAGAATTTCTGCTTGATATTTTTAAATTATTCAATCTCTGTGTTATATTTATCTGATATAATTCTGATTTCCTTGTGTGTTATCTTGAATTTCTTTGAGTTTCCTCAAAATAGGAATTTGAATTCTCGGCTGAAATTCATATATCTCTGTTTCTCTAGGATTGGTCCCTGGTGTGTGTTCATTTGGTGAGATATTCCTGGAGAGTGTTGATGCTAATAGATGTTCTTTGGTGTCTGGGCATTGAAGAGTTATGTATTTAATGTAGTCTTCACTGTCTGGGATTGTTTGTACCCATCCTTCTTGGGAAGCCTTTCCCGATATTTGAAAGTACTTTGATGTTGTGATCTAAGCTGTATCTACTTTTACTTTAGGGGGTACCCCAAACCCAGTAACACTGTGGTTCTTGCAGACTCATGGAGATACTGCCTTGATGGTCTTGCATAAGATCCAGGAGAATTCTGTGGATTACCAAGTGAAGACAAGACTGTTGTTCTCTTAACTCACTTTCTCTCAAAAAAAAAAAAAAAAAAAAACAGTCTCTCTCTCTGTTCTGAACCATTTAAAGATTGGATTGGAGTGACACAAGCACCCCTGTGGCCATCACCACTATGAATATGCTGGATCAGACCAGAAACCAGCCCATCCGTGAGTCTCCTCCAAGGCCTACTGTAACCACTTCATAACTACTGCCTATGTTTGCTGAAGTATATGGGTCTCTACAATCAGCAGATAACAAAGCCAGCCATGTCTGTATCCTTCTCTTATGAGCAGTGAGTTCCCCTATGCCCTGGGTGGGTCCAGGGTTGCCATCTGGGAGTCAGGGACAAGAGTCAAAAACCTTAGAATTCTACATAGTATTCTATTGTATAGTAACTCAGTTGTCACCCAAACCACAAGATGCAGTCCTTCTCAATCTTCCCTCCCCTTCCCAAAGGCAGAGGAGCCTCACTTGTTATCCCTGACACTCCAGGCCATGGAGAGTACTTCCAGACTACCACTGATGTTCCCTTAAATCCCAAGGACCACTAAGTCAGCTTGTGCTGAATGCTGCCTGGCCTGGGGGTCACTCTTTGAGGTAGTGGGCTCCCCTCTGACTCAGGACAGGTTGCGAAATGCCTTGCAAGAGTCAAGTACTGGAATTGGGGGCCCCAAGAGCCTGTTTGCTATTCTACCCCACTGTGGCTGTGCTGGCACCTGAAGCCAGCAAGTCTCACAAGTCTCAGAGGCTCACCCAAGGCCTTCAAGCAAACCTTGGTTGATATTACTCATGGTTATTCAGAACCCAAGGGCTCTTCAGTTAGCAGGTGGTGAATGATGACAGAACTGGGTCCTTCCTTTCAAAGCAGCACGTTCCCTTCTGGCTCAGGATGTGTCTAGAAATTTGTGGCCTAGGCTGTCAAGTTCTCTGAGAGATCTGGAGCAGTTTATCCCTAGGTGTTGTGGTTCGCAGGAACTCAAGTTCTGAGCACTGGGATTGAAGATTCCCCTCTGACTAGGGCTGGTTTAAATGCTCCCTCCATGAGCAGGTGTCAGCTGAGTTTGGACTGGTTTTCTTTTCTACTATAACAGAACAGTATGGAGTTCAATGCCTCACAATTGCTGTGCTCTCTCTCCTTCCCCCAGCACCCAGAAATGCTCTTGGCACCATGCTGCTGTTGCTGGGGTTGGGGCTTTCGAGAGGAGTGACATCTGCCATTCAATACTGTTTTTGCTATGTCTTCAGTGCCTTTCAGTGATACAAAATTAAAACAAGGACTATGAGGGCTCACCTGATTTTTGGTTCTTATAAAGGTGTTTTTTATTGTGTAGATAGCTGTTAAATTGGTGTCCTGGCAGAGGGAATGATTAGTGGAGCCATCTCCTCTACCATTTTGCTCTGCCTCTCTCTCTTAACTGCTCTATTTCGATAATTTTGGGTAATGGATTGTGCGTACCTAAGATCACATCCATTTGACTAGCTTTGTGATTGTTTGTCTCATATTACTTAAAATCTTAAAGCAATATCTTTGGTTTATGAGTCTATTATCTCCTACTTAAAAATACCTATACCCTGATTTTCTTCCTTTATTTCTATCTGAAAAAAAAATCCAAAACTTTTACATGACGAAGGCATGTCCAGTGAGGTTAGCACTGTTTTGGACCACTCAAGGAAATGGGATTGTGACTTTGCAGAGCCAAAAGATTGGTTTCATATAGGTGGACTAGAACAATATGTACCTATATAGAAGATAACAGTACTCAGATTTCTCAGTGTCAGAGAAGGGAGTTATAATATATGAAAATATGACAAGAGTGAGACTAGGAATAAACACTGTAGTTAGGTTTTAGAATGAGAAGTATTGGTGATACTCATAGTTTTAAATATAATATAATAATATATATATATATATATATATATATAATTTTATCCAAAGAGTAATCCTGAGAGCAATGACCTTATCCATAGCCCATATCTTGGCTTGTAATGCCACTCAATACTCTCCAATAAAAGGAACCAAGGAGATAGAGCTCCTTGGAGAAATGGAAGAGTGGATAGGGCAGAAAAAGTATAAGATGAACCTGGGACATCTTGCTGTGCCAGAAAATAAGAAAATGCTCAAAGATTGATAATGTCATCTCAAAAAGACACAGGAGCCATCTTGAAGGGACCGTCACTGGACAGAGATGTGACAACCTGAGTTTCAAAATTTGCAATAATTAATAAATATATAGATAAAATAAAATAGATGAAATATTCAATCCGTGATACATATTGACATAGAAAAGAAGAAACAAAATAAGAAAACAGGAAAGCAAGAAGAAGAGTAAGGGGGGAAAGAAGGAAGTAAATAAGGAAGAAAGAAGATTAAAATGGAAGGAAAGGAAGAAGGAAGGATAGTAAAAAGCACTATCACAGAAAATAATGCCAACTAATAAATATAGAAGCAAGGATGTGATTAGAAAGTCCATACGGCAATCTTTAGAGTAATAATTCAGACAAGAAACATCAGTGAATGCTAAAACGATTAGGTGAATATTTGATGAGAAGAGAAATATGTACATAATATTAAAGTATTGCTTCAAAAATATACATTAAATACAGTAAGAGCAAGTAATTTTACAATGGAGAACTCTGGCAGACTCTACTTTAATGAAGTTATCTAATTAACATCACCAGTAAAGGCATAAATTAAAATCTTACACTATCTTATAAAATATGATAAGATATACTGAGAAAAACACAGCTTCTTTTCTATTTTATTAATGGCAAAAAGGTGAAACATGAATCTAACCACAAGGAGGCATGAGACAAACCCAAACTGAGGTATAGTCTATCAAATAAATAGTCTGTAATTTTCAAAACTGTCAAAGTCAAGAAAAGACTGAGGAATTATCCCAGTCTCAGAAAGAGACTGGAATATAAAGAAAATCACATCTTTAATGCAATGAGCTATCCCAATTTGGATCCTTTATCTATGAAGGATAT
The DNA here is from genome assembly GCF_000001405.40 of Homo sapiens. NCBI lineage: Eukaryota > Metazoa > Chordata > Mammalia > Primates > Hominidae > Homo > Homo sapiens. Next base: position 126,596,836 of record NC_000023.11, read on the forward strand.
TATTGAAACAATTGATGGCATTTTAATGTGGTACATGGGTGAGCTTTAATCTATTAATGTCTTTGCAGTGATTTTGATGTTTCTATTATTATGGCTATATAATAGAGTGTCTTTGTTTATAGTAAATAAGTATCAATGGATTCCTGTGTAACGTGGTATCAATGTACTCTCAATTGATTAAGGAAAAGAATATTTATAATTCCTTTGCTATTTTTCGTAAGTCTGAAGTTATTTATAAAATTAAGAACATTTTCAATAAAATTATGGATCATTCACTTAATAATGACTATCTACTATCATCTGAAAGCACCTAGATTTAATCCCTCCCTGATTCTTTAGTAACCTTGCTGAATCGAATTTGAAGCTGAATTCAACTTCTTCTTAGGAAGTTTTTTCTCCATAATAATTAAGCACATTTGAGGCTCTCTAATCTTAAATAAACATGCAACCAACTAAAATTTCCCTAGCTCTACATATTTCTTATTATTCCTATTTTTAACAGCCAGCCTTCTTGAAATATTACTCTCTTTTTTCCTCCTCTTTCCTCAAACGACTTCAAATGAGCTTCCCATCCTACCATTACACGGAAACAACTCTTTATTTGTTAAAGTAGCCAATGACCTTCCAGATGCCAAATCCAATGGTGGCTTTCCAGTCTTGTCCCATTTAAAACTACCCATGGTGTGGTAACTAGAGTGATATTTCTAATATCCAAATATGATCAAATTAATACGCTTCTTAATAATATCCCATAGCATTTAAAATGAAATCCAAACTCTTGAGCATGGCTTAGAGGATACTTCAATAACTGACACCTGTCTAACTTATCCAGTTTCCTCTCTTGTTATTCCCTCCTTTCCAACCAGCCCTGCTAAGATTCAAACAGATCATCCTATATTGATAGTCTCTCAGCACTGATCTAATTTGCTGGCATATATGAGGTTTCAAGCAAATATTTAATTAATGTCTACTATGTGCCCGTGACTATTCTCTGTGTTTGGAAAATTCATAGAGATAGTCAAATTAATGCTTATTCAATAACCTAATTTAATTAGGAATCATTTTCGAGTAAAAAATTATGGAAATTTTTTCCTAGTATCACCAAGTTTATTATGGCAAAATGACTTTTTAAAAGTTAGTATGTTTAAAAAGTCAATATGTTAACATACAAATGACTAAGAGACTCATGCAGCTGTTAAATCACATAAATAGACTCTACTTCGTATACTATAACAAGCAGCTATAGACAAAATTCCGTGTTGGTGTTTAATGTAAATGTAGTTAATTATCAAGTAACTCTTTTAAATGAGAATTTGAAACTTATTGTACAATAAAGAATTTTTTGCCTCTTTTCTAGAAACCATACCAAAACTAAAAGGAAAATAACAGCAACAAAAATGACCAGAAACACAATATTCAATAAATCTAGAAGAACTAAGCATGAACCACATTAAAAATAAAATTGAGAAAGTATTAAAGGTAGCAATGAGGAAGGCGGACAAAGCTAAGTTTCATAATTGGATGGGAAATGGGGGGAAACTAATATGAAGTGATTTTCCACAGAACCTCAGGAAGACTCAGGCATTAGAATCCCAAATACTTCAGAATGTGTGAGTGATTCCGTGAAGGCAAAATATAAAAACACTATTTGAATGTCAGAAAAAAAGGATAATTTAGATTTTCACCATATCCAGATGTCCTCTCTCACTGCCAATAATAAAACCTCTCTATCCTTAACCCCATGACAGATAAAATTTATTCTCTGGTATGTGTGAGATACTATATGGAAAACAGGGAATGAAGTAAAAGTCTGCATATGGAAAGATGGCACTCTTAGTTCCTACCACATCCAGCTGCAAAATGCCACAAGCCAGGTTAATAAGCACAGCCAGATACTGGAAGATTGTTCTCTGAAGCTACACACCTACTGCCAAGATAATATACAGGCAGTGCCACTTACAGGTACCAAAGTACAAAAAAGTCAGCTTACCAGATGATGGTCATAGCAAACCCCATGATGCAATAAAACACAAAAGCTTAATAGAATTCACTTTTAGACATGAATTCACAACAAAACACTAGACATTTCCAGAAAGAATCCAACATGAAAGAAAGAAACAAAAAAAGGAAGAGAAAAAAAAAGCCCAGAGGAAATATAGGCAATTTAAGGAGGAGAAAAAAATTATTGAGACAATATGTTTAGTAGCATTAATATGTTTAGTGGCATTACAAATACTGCATGCAAAAGACAAGAACAGGATAGTTTCAAAAGGAATCATGTAAGAACAAGCATGGGTTTTTGGAAATTAATGCTATGATAGTTGAAATAAAACATCCAACAGAATAATCTGAATATTAAAATGATGGAATATTCTAAAGATAGTAAGAAAATTATGGTTAGAGCAACTGAAGTGAACAGATAATAAAATTATTTATTTGAGGACCAGCTTACAAATAATTGGCATCCCAGAAAATTAAAATCATGTAGGGAGACAATTATTAAAGAAATAATCAAGAACATTTATCAGAAGTGGAAGATATTAATATCCAGATAGAAATAGCCCTCAGAACAAAATCACATTATTGTGAAATTCAGTACCCTAAGGATTTTTGGAAAAGACTCTAAAAGGTTGAAAGAAGGTGTAGGTCATTTAAAAGGAGCCAAGATTAAAGATTTTAACAGACTTTCCAAGAGCAACATTGCATTTAGGAAACAATGGGGCAATGCCTTCATATGTCTGGATAAAAATAATTTTAACAAGGAATTCTAGATTCAGCCACACTACCAATCAAAGATTATTGTAGTGTGGTTACTAGCAGAGAGAGATTTGTTAGACAGACAGATTGGGATATACATGAAAGAGTACATTTAAATATACCATCCCATATCTTTTCAGTTAGTTTCCTGGTTCTGAAACTAGATCAGTTCAGTTAAACAGCTGTTTTCTGTAACAGGAGGTGGCATGCAGATAGGCTATGTCTCTTTAGTTATAGAGGAGGAAGGTGGTGGCAATCTGACACATTTTTGCCACCTATATTATAAGGAATAAACTTAAGCTTGCTGGGCCTCAGTTAACAGGTAGTAGCAATTTCATTGAGTGCAAGACAGAAAAGTGGAGGGAAAATCTGAAAGCATTAGTTTTGGGACTTGTAGCCCACAAAAAATTCATGATTTAGTTCAAACTGTAGAAAATAATAAAAACTCAAGAACAACTAAAAAAAAAGGATGATTGCAGAATAGACATTTTTAAATACACAATTATTCAAAAAATATTTATTCTCCATGTATTCCTTATCAGGAAGCTATTGGATTATGTGTGTCAACAAGTAGAATAAAATAACACAAAAAGAATAAGACCTGATATTATGTTAACAGGGAATGTAGCACAGAAGATAAATAGTTCCCAAGATGAGGGTGAAAGGAAGTCCTATGATGTCAAGTGTGCAGCAGTACTAGAGGGCACCCAATAACAAGTAGATCAGTAAGGCTGGTGTCTCTAGGAGGAATGTATCCATGAAGAAAAATAGAACTGACATTTTTTTTTGCATATCAAACTGTATGAAAAAATATGTCGAATGGCATCTTACAGAGCTATCTTATTACATGGAAAGACTTTCTGATAAAAATTCAGAAAAATTCAGAAATTATAACAAAAATGTTGTCTAAGAAAAGAAATACTGCTTAGTACACTATTTGGCTCAGAAGTGAACAATCCTTGCACGGTCATAAGAAGGAAAATATAAGTATTTAACTGAAATTAAGGAATAATTACAGTCATTGGACAGAGTAAGGAAACTGTTAATAAAATATTCATTTGCCATAACAGGAAGTTGATGGATACTTTCCAGAATTGAAGACTAAAGAGAGAAAAGTATATACCCATTAATTAGAAATACAGAGATAGGCAGGGCGTGGTGGCTCATGCCTGTAATCCCAGTACTTTGGGAGCCCGAGGCGGGAGAATCACGAGGTCAGGAGATCGAGACCATCCTGGCCAACGTGGTGAAACCCCGTCTCTACAAAAAATACAAAAATTAGCCGGGTGTGATGGCGCGCGCCTGTAGTCCCAGCTACTCGGGAGGCTGAGGCAGGAGAATCGCTTGTACCTGGGAGGCGGAGGTTGCAGGGAGCTGAGATCACATTCCAACCTGAGTGACAGAGCAAGACTCCATCTTGAAAAAAAAATAATAATAATACAGAGATAAATGCCTAAAGAAACAGCTAAAATAACTGAAAGCGGTAATATTTGGGGAGTGGAATGTGGTAAGGGGAAGAAAGTTAAAGGAAATGGTGCTTTTTGTTATAAATCTTTAGCATCATTTGACTTTAAAAACTTTTCTGACATAAAATTGTTTATTAAAATTTTAAAAATGTAAAAGGTCGCTACTATTTGAAAATGTTGTACAGAAATAGATTGATTTGATATAACAGAGGGATATGGAAGAAGTGAGGGAAATATGAACTAAGAAAATGATATCTGGGGAAAGCATTATTCTTTTAGAGAGAAGAAAATATTAATAAGAAGAGGAATTAAATTTATCAAGACAATAACTACTGAGGAGCAGATTGAATGGAAGAGGAATTATCCCCTATTTTCAATACTTAAGAGAGACCTTTCAGAGACAAGAGTATCCAATCTCAAATTAATATCACCTAGCTATTTAGTGTTTAAAATATTTTTTTCGTTATTTATTCTCATTCATTTAAATCATTTGGCATATATTGTTTTACCAGATCTTAGGTGATAGAAACCATTATAGATACCGAAGACATAGTAGAGAGCAAATATACGCCCAGGCTTTCCCTGCATTAACCTTATGATTTAGCAGGAAAGGCAGACATTAATTAAATAGTCAACCAAACAAATGTAAAGTTGCAAAATAAGAGAAGTATAATGAAGAAAAACTTGGTTCTTGGTTTTATATTTTCACACAACAAAGGACCAAACCTAAACTGGTCTTCTGTATATACAATCTGGAACTTTTAATTTGGTGTGGTCACTGTAACTAGAGGCTTTTCATAACACAAATCTGTCTATTCTCCCATCTCAGGGCCTTGGTTCATGACATTACCTCTCTGGGGAATCCTCCACTCCTCCTCAACTAGTTAAATACTGTTTATCTTTTAAATGCCAGATTATGGGGTATATTCTCAAAAAGAAAACATATTTTGACTGACTACTATCCTTACCCCTGTGTAGTTGTCCAGGTAATAGACTTGAATGGTTCAAATTTATTCAATATGAATTAAATGTTTATGTTTTCCCCAAATTCATATGCTAAAAATAATAACCCTTAATTTCATGGTATTAAAAAGTATTAGGAGACCTTTGGGAGGTGATTAGGTCATGAGGGTAGAGCCCTCATGAATGGGATCAGTGACCTTATAAGAAAAGACAGGAGAGTTTCCTCTCCCTTTTGTCATGGGAGGATACAATGAGAAGAAAGGAAGAAAAGAAAGCATGTTTTTCTTTTGGAACTCAAAAAAGTAATTCTAATCTAAATCTGGAAAATGGAAAAGGGTGTAAAGACATTAAGAAAATGAATAGTATAGTGAGTTACATCAGCAAAATAGCAGGGTAAAAATGTATGTATAGAATACTCCACTGAACAACAAGAGAATACACATTTGGCTCCAGTACACATGTCATATTCTCTGTGATAGATCACAGATTATGCCACAAAACAGGTCTCAATGAATTTTAAAATATTGAAATCATATAAAGTATCTTTTCTGACTAAAATGAAATAAAGTTGGACACCAATAAAAGAATGAAAACTGAAAAATTCACAAATATATTTAAATAAAACCATAGACTCTTAAAGATCCAATGAGTCAAACAAGAGATCATCAAGTTAGAAATTACTTAGAGATGAATGACAACAAACATGCAACATACCACAATTTACGAATGCAATGAAGATAATATTCAGGAAGAAATTTATACCTGCAATGCTTACTTTAAAAATTACAGATCTCAAATCAATAACTTATATTTATATTTTGAGAAACTAGAAAAAGAAGACAAAACTAAATCCAAAGCTAGCAGAAGGAAAAATAATTAAAAATTTCATAATTAATATTTTAAAATATAATCAGTATAATATTAACAGTATTATAAATAAAAATAGATAAATAGAATGACAAAGGAAAAAAGAGAAGACTCAAATAACTAAAATCACAAAAAAGTGGGGACATTACTACCATCCTTACAGAAAGAGAAAATATATCCCAGAATACTATGAACAATTGTATACCAACAAATTACATACTCTATGTGAAATTAAAGTCCTAGAAACACACTAATTACTAAAATTGACTCAATTTCAAATAGAAAAATCTCAACAAACCTATAACAAATATGAGACTGAATCAGTAATCAAATACTTCCTAATGAATAAGATCCTAGGCCAGGTGGCTTTTCTGGTGAATTATTCCAAATACTTAAATAAGAGGTAATATCAGTCCATCTTAAGCTATTACAAAAAATTGAATAAGATGGAACACTTTTTAACTCATTCTATAAGACCAGCATTATTCTGATACAAGAGCTAAAGACATCACAAGAAAATAAAATTATAAAAATTTATTATTAATATTAATGCAAAAACCCTCAACATTATACTAGCAGACCCAATCCAACCTCACATTAAAAACCTTATTTACCATGACAAAGTGATACTTATTCCAGGAATGTGAGGGTGGTTCAACATAAGAAATCAATCAACATAGTATTAGTATATTACTTTGATAGAATAATAACAACAACAAAAATCATTATCTCAACTGATGCAGAAAAGACATTTGACATAGCAAACACCTTTTCATGGTAAAAACACTCAGAAAAAAATAAGAATAGAAGGGAACTTCCTCAAATTGATAAAGTGCATTTATGAAAAATCCACTGCTAAGAACATACTCAGTAGTAAAAGAATGAAAACATTCCCTTTAAGATCAGAAATAAGACAAGGATGCTTGTTTCACCACTGCTATTCAACATTATACTGTAAGTTGTAGCCAGGACCATAAAAAGAAATAAAAGGCATCCAAGTTATAAAAGAGGAATTATAACTATATAATCTCACAGATGATACGGTCCTATTTATGGTCATATATACAGAAAATCCCCCAAAATCCACAAGAAAGATATGAAGGCTAATAAATGAATTCATGAATGTTACAGGAAACAGGATAAACACTTTAAGATCATTTTTTTTAATACACCAGCAATGAGCCATCTGGAAAGGAAACTCAGAAAGCAATTCCACTTTCAATAGCATCTAGAAGAATAAAATACCAAGGAATAAATAAAACCATGGTGTGAAATGAGTTATACACTGTAAACTACAAAACTTGGAGAAACGAGTTATACACTGTAAACTACAAAACTTGGCTGAAAGAAATTGAAGAATTGAATAAATTAAGACATCCTGTGTTCATGTATAAGACTTGATATTGCTAAGCTGTCAGTACTATACAAAGTATTCTAGAGATTCAGTACATGTCCACCAAAATTCCAGAAGCCTTTTTTCTACAGAATTGGAAAAGCTGAAAATTCTGAAATTCATATGGAATTGCAAGGGGCCCTAACTTGAAAAACTAACTTTTAAAAAAGAAAAGTTGGAGGATCAACACTTCACAATTTCAAAACATTCTATAAAACTATCATAATAAAGACAATACTTGCATAAGGATGTACATATAGACCAATGTAATAGAATTGAGATTCCAGAAATAAATCCATAAGTTCATGGCCAGTTGACTTTTTACAAGCATGTCAAGCACATTCAATGTGGAGATATGGTTTCTTTAATAAATATTTCTGAGACAACTGAATATCCACATGCAACAGATTTAAGTTGGACTACTACCTCGCAACATATACAATCCTTAAATGAAAGTGCATCAACATCTTAAATATAGGAACTAAAATCATAATACTCTTAGATTTTCATGATTTTGGATTTGGCAATATATTCTTAGATATGACACCAAAAGCATGAGAAATAAAAAATAAATAGATTAGAATCCAGCAAAATTAAAAACATTTTTGTCTTAAAGGACTTTATCAAGGAAGTAAAAAGACTTAAAGAATGAGAGAATGGGCCGGGCCCAGTGGCTCATGCCTTTAATCCCAGTACTTTGGGAGGCTGAGGTGGGCGGATCACGAGGTCAGGAGTTCGAGACCAGCCTGGCCAATATGGTGAAACCTCGTCTCTACTAAAAATACAAAAATTAGCTGGGCATGGTAGTGCGCACCTGTAGTCCCAGCTACTCAGGAGGCTGAGGCAGGAGGATCACTTGAACCCGGGAGTTGGAGGTTACAGAGAGCCGAGATCACACCACTGCACTCCAGCCTGGGCGACAGAGTGAGACGCTGTCTCAAAAAAAACAAAAAAAAAAAAAAAAAAAGAGAGAGAGAGAGAGAGAATGGGAGAAAATATTTACAAACCATATATCTTATAAGTGTTCAATATCCACAATGTAGAAAGAACTACAACTCAACAACAACAAAAAGCAGGAACTGAACTTAAAAATGGGCAAAGGACTTAAATTGAACTCTTTCTAAATAATATATACAAATAATCACTAAGCACATGAAAAGATACTCACCATCATTAGTCATTAGGAAAATGCAAACCAAATCCATGAGGATATATCCATTCATAGGCACTAGCATGATTATAATGAAAAAAACCAGGTGTTGGTGGGGATGCAGATAAATTAAAATTCTCATATATTGCTGGTGGGAAGGTAGAATGGTGCTGCTGCTGTAGAGAACAGTTTGGCATTTTTTTAAAAAACTAAAGATAGAATGACTACATGATCCAGCATTTTCATTCATTGGTATATACCCATTAAAATCATAATGACTCAAAGAGATATTTGTATACCAATGTTTATTGCAGTATTATTCACAATAGCCACACATTGTAAAGAACCCAAGAGTACATCAACACATCAATGAAGAAACATAAGCTGGTATATACATACAATGTTATATTATTCAGTCACCAAAAGGAATGGCATTCTGATACATGTGACAACATGGATGGACCTTGAAAATATGTGCTAAGGAAAGAAGCCAGATATAAAGAGACAAATATTTTATGATTTCAGTTATATGAAATATCTAGAATAGGCAAATTCATAGAGATAGGAAGTAGATTAGTGGTTTACCAGAAGCTGAGTGAAGAAAGGAATGGGAAGTTATTGCTTAGTGGTTACAGAGTTTCTGTTTGGGATGAAAATGTTTTGGAAATAGATAGTGGTGATGGTAATACAGCATTGTGAATGTGATTAGTGCCACTAAAAATGACTAAAATAGCATATATAAATATTTTCTGTAATAAAAAACATATATATAAATTTCTACGTATATATATATAGTGACCATATATATATACAGTAATAAAAATTAATTAGAGTTATGGAGGACTAAAGGACATTAGGTAAAAACTAAGGACATCTGAAGAAAATATGGACATTGGTTAATAATAACGTATCAATATTGGTTCATTAATTGTGACAAATGAGCCTACAAATGTTAGATGATGCTAATAAAGGTAATTAGATGTGCTGTATGGGAACTCTCTGTACCATCTTTGCGATTTTTCTGAAAATCTAAAATTATTGTAAAATAAAATTTTTAAAATAATAGTACAATGGGGAGAGTGTGGAAAATTTAAAACAAAATAATTTTTTTCCAGTATAGACACAGAAATACAGATATGCAAAACATAAAGCCCATAAATATAACAGTTTTCAAATAGCATGATGCATCTCATAATAAAAACAACCATTTCCTGAGTATCTTTTTTGTCAGAAATTTTATTTACATAATTCTCAGTCCTCTCAATGATCTTGCAAATCAAATATTATATGTCCAAAATTTATAGACAAGTAAGTGAGTGAAATTAAATAACCTAGCCAACACGGCACAGTTTGTTGTAACAGAACACGGATCTGAAACCAAGTTTATGCAATTGTAAAAGCTGTGAACTATAAGAACTATTAGAATTACTAGTAGGCAGCCATATAACCTATATATTCTTTGTAGTTGCAATAACACACATGGAATAGAAACAGTTCATCAAATTATAGAAAATCAAAGAAAACGAATTAGAAAATGTATCCTATTTGTGCAGACACATTTTATCTTTGAAGCAATAGAAATTTAAAAGCATAAAATTGTCATATTTGAATATAAAAATTAAATTTTTTAATAAGACTTAATAGAAAACTAAACTAGAAATTGTGAAAAGTATTTGCACTTCTTATAACACAAGATTTGTATCCATAATATATAAAGAATCTATTCAAATTTATAGAAAAAATATCAAGATCTCAATAGAAAAATGGAAAAGAATTTGAAGAGATATGTATCATAATGGAAAATTAGTAATCAAACATGTTGGAAAATGTGAATTCTCACAAAATGTAGTCAGACTGGACTCACTTTGATATTTTTATGAAAGCACAAACATATTTATAATAATAATAGCCAGTAATGGTAAAGTGTTAATATATTTCAAATAAAGTGGTAATACAAATTGCAAGAACCCTTTTAAAAAGCAATATGGCAATATGAACCATACACCAAAAAGTATATACACGTTTTGACCCAGTAACTCCACTGCTAGGTATTTCTCTTAAGAAAATAATTTAACAGTAGAAAATAAAAAATGTGCAGTAAAACATGCATTGAAATATTATCCATAGAGGAAAATACTGGAAATAATTTAATTGTGTACCTTTCATAAAAGGATTTAATAAATTTTGGTATGTCAGCATATCAAAAAAGATAGTACATTAAAATACTAATCATCAAGACTGTAAAAGTATGCAAATAATCATGACATAATTGTAAGGGAAAATAATAGAACATAAACTGATATATAAACTCTGAGAGCAATGATGTGAAAATGTGCTCTGTGAAAGACAATCAGCCTTAACGAAAACAGTTGCTGTCTTAGAGTGTTAGGATTGTGTGTTCTTTGTTTTTTTTTAATTTGTCTTGAAAGCTAATTTTGGTGGAGCTGAATCTTTATGCTCTTTCAATTATTCCCAATTCAGGTAAGATAGTAAACTTGCGGTTATAGGTTTAGGGTGCACAACTAAGGGTATAGGAAGGACAAGGAATCTCAGAATCACCTAGAATCTGATAATAGGAGTCTGGTTTTTCATTAGGGGAAGGGGTATGGTGGACTGAGGAAAATTGAGATTTGGGGCAAAGAATTTCTGAAAGAAAGTTAAAGGAAGAACAAAACTGTCAACATGATAGAGAACCCCTAAGTCAATTTTAGGGGTTCTCTATTAAAGTACATTTTAAGGTTTCTCTACAATTGACTCTTGCATAATTTTTAAATTGTCCTTTGCTTGTTTTCAGAAAATAATTCTGAATGAGTGGAAAAACTATGAAGAATATAACTTGTGCTTATTGGTCCTAAAACATCAACTTAGGAAAATAAAAGTCATGAGGTTAGTTATATTTGCTTATCATAGATCTAGATGTGTATGAATTAACCCTTTAAAATGTGAGGGTCTGAGTGAAAATGTCTAATAAACTTCTGGTGGCTAGAGTTTATACTTTATTGTGATTCCTTGTTATCTTGTGTTTGGTTTGGCTTGAGTTTTACTTTTAAGGTTTTTTGGTAGGCAGTCTACATTCTGAATTGAGTTTCAATGCATTGGTGCACATATCAGTTTATCCATTGATGGACACTGAGGTTAATTCTATACCTTGGCTATTGTGAATAATGCTGCAATGAACATGACAGTGCAGATATCGCTTCAAGATACTGATATGTCTTCAAGATACTGATTTCATTTCCTTTGGATATATGCCCAGAATTTGGATTGTTGGACCATATGGTAGTTCTATTTCAGATTCTAAGGAACTACCATACTGTTTTCCATAATGACTGTACCAATTTACATTCCCACCAACAGTGTACAAGGGTTGCCTTTTCTCCACATCTTCCACAACACTTAATATATTTCATCTTTTTGATAATGACCATTAAATAGCATCTTAATGTAAGTTATTTACGGCTTATAAAAACATAGAAAGTGTGTTTAAGGAATGGAAGTTTCACATTTTTCAAATCAGATAAGTTAGTTACTTTTGATTTATATTTTTAAAACTGTTAGCAAGACACAGAATGACATGAAGTCCTTCCTTTGGGAATTAGAAACAAACCATGTTCCTGTACTCTTCAGAAATTATCATCTCCCAAATTAAAGGAAGCATTTCAGTCCTGCATGTTTGCAAAATAAAACTTCTATAATAATGCTGCTATGATCACACCTTTGAATCAGGACAAATGTTTGAGTCTGACTATTAGCTATGGCGTTCTGATAATACAAAGGTTATAAAGACAGAATTTTACAACCCTGGTCTTCAGGTTTCTTTTGTAATCTTTGTACATTCTTACATTATTATTTCTAATCATTCTACTTCAGCTGTGCACCCCAGCATTCAAGACATTCAGTGCTAAAGTGTATAGTCATCCCAACATGTAAAGCAAAACTCAGAAATGGAGAAAATCTTAACAGAAACAGTGATGATTCAAATTCTAAAATATATGACGTTATCCATTTATCCAGCTTTGAAAAAGTATGGTTTTCATTATTAGGTTACAAAAGATCAAGATTTGTGTTCATACTAATGTTGCCCTCATTTCCATTTATATTAAACTGGTATTTGTTTTTTAAAGGAGGCACATGAATGAACAGAGCCTTTCCCAATCTCTGTTTGTTCAGCTTGTAACATGCACAGTAGCAAATTCAATCTTGTTAAGAGGCTTACTTCTCCATTGTAGAACTTACTTGAGCTGCAAGAAAGTTTATTTTGGTGGGTTTATATGTTTGTGTGGGAGAATGAATTGAAGCTTTTTAAGAACTTTTTTCAATTGTCAATAATAAATTCCTTATGACTACTTGATTTCAAATAGATTTTGCCCATGTCATTACTCGGATGTGGAAAAAAAAATCCTCATTTCAACAATAGAACAGTGAAGTTCATCTGAAAAAAATAACACCTGAAATGTCAATTAAATCACATTGCTTAAAACTCACAAGAACAATTTCGCATTCATGCAAGTTTAAAACAAATAGTGGTTTTCTTTGACAATGGATAATTTTGTTTAAATCAGGTGGGAAGACAATAGATGCAGAGTCGTATCATTCCATTTGTTTGGACAAACATAAAGTTATTTTATCGTAGATATTTTCCCCTAAAAATTCATTATAATCAAAGAATTGGAAGCTAGCCAATTCAATGTTCATCAGCCAACGTATGAAAAGAATTCGAAGTAAATTTTGTTCATATTGCAATTGCAAGCATGCAGGTCACTTTGTTAACTTATAGTCAAATGTGGACTGTTGGGTGATGATCTTTACTACATATAATTAGGTGATGTGATAAGATACAACAGCTTCTATTGGTCATGTAGGTGAGAAACTTATGGAACAACCACATGCAAACAGGCACACATACATACACAGATACACACAGACACAACAATAGAACAAAGGGATATATTTTCTTAGAAAAATAGCATTTGAAGATGGGTCAAATAATAATTTAACTTTGGCCCTAGCACTACTCGATTGTGATCTTGGGCAAGTCATGTCACCTCTCTGCTGAGCTTAAGTTTCTGCCTTTACAAAAAATGAGAAAACTATCCCAAATGATTATTCCATATTAAAGGATACTAAAGAAGCATGTAATACAACTAAATGTTATTCATAATCTTGTATAGGGTCCTGGATAGTAGGAGGACAAGAACTGAATAAGGTTAGTGTTAATTTTCAGAATGTTATCATTGCACCCTGGTTTTGTAAGACAATGTCTTTGTTATGGAGGTTGGAAGGAGTTACTACTGAAGCATTTAGTGTTAAAGAGACATCATGTATTCAATTTACCCTGAAATGTCTAGAAAGAAGGAGAGGAGAGAGATTCAGTAACTAAGTATGGTAAAACATTCACACTTGGAAAATTTGGGTGAATGTTATAATCCTTTTTCCTATTTAATAAATTTGTTGTTCTTTTTGAGTTATTTAAAGTGGAAACTGGAGTCATCAATTTGAGACCTTTCTGCTACAAATTTCCCTCTATCTTCCTTTAGCTGCATCCTGTAAATTTAAATATTTCGCATTTTCATTTTTATTCAGTTAAAAATGATTTGTAATTATTTTACTATTTCCTCTCTGATCCGTGGGTTATTTAGAAGTGTGTAATTTAATTTACAGACAACTGAAAAATCGTGGGAAAAACTTGCTCCATTAGCACATCTGCCAAACATTTAAAGAAGAAATTGTACCAATTTTACATATAATTTTTCTGAAGATTGAATAAGAAGAAACATTTCCCAACGTATTTTATGAAGTCAGTATTACTTTGATACCCAAATTGTACACATTATGTGAGAAATAGCACAAAACAATATTTCTCATGAATGTCAACACAAAATTTACCAACAAATTTTTAGCAAGTTATATCCATAAACACATAAAAGGATGAATATATCATGATGAAGTTGGGCTTATCACAGAATTGCAAGATTAATCTAACATTTGTAAATCAATGTAACAAATTTAAAAAAGATTTAAAAAGAAGAAAAAATGGTCATCTCAATAGATGCAGAAAAAAATACTTGACAAAAATCGTCACCTACTCATGACAAAAATTCTCAGTGAAATAGGAGTAGACGGGAACTTCTTTGATCTTACACAGTACTTCGACGGAAAACCCTACAGCTAACAGCACACTTAATTATAAAATATTGAATGCTTTTCTCCTAAGATCACCTAACAAAGAATGTGCACTCTCACCACCTCAGTTCATATTGCACTGGAAGTTCTAGTCAGTGAAACAAGGCATAAAAAAGAAATAAATGCATGCATATTGAGAAGAAAGAAGTAAAACAGTCTATTTGTCACACATGTTTAACTACATATAAAATCCTAAAGAATCTACAAAAATGCAAAAAATAACAAGAGAGTTAAGCAAATTGCATGATAAAAGATCTACAAAAAATTATTTCTATACATTAGCAACGAACAATCAGAAATTGAAAAAATACTAATTACAATAGAATAAAAATATGACAGTGATAAATTTGACAATATATTTGCAGGAACTGTACATAGAAAACTATATAACAGTATAAAGAGAAATATTTAGAAGACCTTAATAAGCTAAAAATATAATCTTCATGGATTGGAAGACTCAATTATTGTTTAAAATATTAATCCCCCCAATTTGATCTATAGATTTAACACCATCCCAAAATTCCAGGACATTTGTTTTAAAAATATGATTATATTTCAATACATAAATTCTGTACAACCAAAAAACAAAATATTACAGTAAAATAAATGGGAAAATATGGTATTTCATTTGTAATGTATGACAAAAATGTTAACATCCTTAATGTTTTTAGAAATCAGTAACAAAAAGACTAATATTACAAGGGAAGTGAAAAAATTAAAGGAACAGAGGGTAAACGAAGTAACCAAAATCCACAAATTGATTATAAACGTAAAATTAAGAGTTAAAACTGTAAGATTGCTATATATAAACATAGGAGAATATCTTAGTAATCTCGAGTTTCTTAGTTATAACACAAATTAAGTATAAAAGAAAAAACTCAAAAATTTTGATTTCACAATTAACAATGATTACTCCTTAGAGGACTCTATTAAAAATAGAAAAACAAGCCACAGAATGAGAAAACATATTATATATGTATATATAATACATATATAATAAATATATAAAGGTTATATATATAAACAAAGGTCTTGCATCTAGAATATATAAAGAACTACGATGACTCAAAAAGAAAACAAACACCTCATTTAAAAGGGGGCAGCAAATATTTTGAACAGAAAATTAACTGAAATGCATGTACAGATGGCAAATAAGTACATAAACTAGTCATCAGGGAAATGCAAAATAAAACCACAATTAACTCTACAGACTTATTCGAATGGCTAAATTTAGAAACACTCACTATATCAAGTATTGCTGAGGATGTAGAAGAATGGGAAGACTCCTAGCAGGGGTTTAAAATAGCACAGCCTCTGGAAAACAGTTTCACAGTTTCTTATAATTTTAAGCATACTTCCACTCCTAGGTATTTATACCAGAGAAATTAAAACATACGTCCAGATAACAAATTGTAGATTTTTTTGTGGCTTCAATTGTAATGGCCCAAAACTACACGTAATCCAAATGTCTATGAACAATGAATTGATAAATTGTGGTACGTACATACAATAGAATGCTACTGAGCAATAAAAAGCGATGAGCTATATATACAAAAAAAAGTACAAATGAATTTCAAAATTATGCTGTTTGAAAATAACTAGACCAAAAATTTTTTCCATTTATATAAAATTCTAGAAAGGCAAATTATGTATATTGACAGGAAGTAAATTAGCAGTTTCCTGGTGACAGGAGTTGGAGGTTTGGCTGGAGGTAGAAATTACAAATAGTTAAGTGGAAGCTTTTGTGGATGGTAGACACGTTCATTGTCTTGATTGTGATGATGGTTCCGTGGGTGTATTCCTATGTCAAAATCTATCAAAATGTTATACTGTAACTATGTACAGTTTATCTTTTCCCAATTATACATGAAGAATGATACCAAAAATGTCAAAACAGAACATATATGATAATAGGACATGTATCACAAGATCTTTGAAAAAATGAGATCATGTTACCTAATGGAGTTATCTGAAGCTCAAAGATTTAGTGTACTACATGGAAAAAAAAGGTACAATTTTATGCAATACAGTTATGTAATGCAATTTCATTTTTATTATATAAAATAACTAATAATTACACAACTAATAATAATTACAATCAGAAATGAAGAATGCTAATGGGAATGCATATTGTTCATTGTTTCCTGCATTCCACAGTGAAGTTGATGGAAAAGTTATTCCAAACATAAATCATCAAGAAAAATATCCAGCTAATCTTAGAAAAAAATAAATTGTTTTTAACATGCCCCAAATCTAAATCATCTCTCTCTTCATAATAGGGTTGAAATGACCACAGAACATTTTAAAAGACAGAATATAGTATAAAAGTTATTTTCAAAATATGAAGTATCATACACTTGAAAGATATTATTGTAGTGACAGTGTTGCCTCATGCAATGTTTACTAAACTATGGTGAAAACACTCTTGTTGGAAATGTTATCAGAAGTGGCACAGGAAAAAAACATTTCTGTAGTAGGTAAAATATGGAAAATGCTGTACTACATTCCCCTTATTGAAGATTTACAAAACCTGTTAACATATTAAAGTCCTTGAGTAGTTCTACAGAAAAGGAAACATTTAAATATTTCACCCAGCTTTTTCATACCTACTGATGTTCAGTAGACTATAAGGGGAAATACTAGTGCTGGAGAAAGGACACTGGATTTGAGGATAGATAATATATGTTCTAGCTCTATGGACTTTGACATGCCACATGACCTCTTTGAGAATTAGTTTCTTAGCATGAAAGCAAGGGTTAATGATACCTGCCTTAGTAAAAGACTACTCTGCAGTCTTACTATTGTAAAGTAGGACTAAAGTACATATGTGCAATTACTTTATAAGTTATAAACCAAAATAAAAGGAGAGTGATTTTTATCATAATGAATTATATATGTATACATGTGTATATATATATATATGTGCGTATACCCATATAATATGTAAGTATGTATATATAATTATATGTAGATAAATATATATATGCAGATATCTTTTAATACATAAGCAGTCTTTTGAAGAAGAAAGATAATGATGTATTAGAAAAAACAATTTGATTATTTGGATGTCAATTTCTCTGTGTTTTTTTTTCTCAAATATTTCATTTGTTCATGTTGAAAAATGTGGACAGTCATAAAATTTCATGCACTGAATATCAAAATCTTGCATGTTATATAGAAACAAAAGAAAAAACAAATAGTACTTTTGTATAAAAAGAGTAAGAAAGAACAAAAGAAGTAGAAGAAGGAATCCAGGACAGACAGGTGGAAAGAAGGAAGGAGAGAGAAATTCCATGAGGCTTATTTACCAGGCAATTATAGATTTGCTATATTTAATTTAAATAGATAGTATTGAAAAATAAGAACTGGAAAATTTGACCTTTTCCTCAACTTAATTTTTAGAAAAAAATGAGGAATATATCCCCGAAAAGCCACCTGCAAAACAAACATATAAAATGATATCCTGTCATAGCAAAATGCCACTCTATAATTCCATGTGCTTAAGAGTTAATGTACATCATGGATTGTCTAACCTGCTTCCTATACTAGTAACTTACCCAAATGGCAGGATAGGTTGAATATGATGGAATAGTAATGTAATATAAATAACCTTTCCATATCAATTAGAAATCTTTTCCTTCCTTTTTTCTGTGTTTTACTAACACAGTCATGATTATCTTTCTCATCCTGAAGAGAACACACACTTCTTCAGTGTGAAATTTTAAAAAATCAGAGAATAAGTTCATATTTAAAAGGGAAACTCTCATTTCTTTAGAAAATAAAATAATGATTAGATGTATTAATTCAAAAGAAACTGGAAGTGGCTCATATCTAAATCTTAGTAATGACGTAGGGGTTTAACTAGAGACAGCTGTTGTAGTCAGAAATTCTAGTTTGTTAATTCAGTAGGACCCAGGATAACATTTAAAAATTTTGAGCTCATACAAATTTATAAAAACTCCAAGCTCACTGAGCGACAAATTGCCTTTCTTTGTAAAGCCAGAATTTTTATATCCATTCATACAGAAAGAAATACCTAATTAAGTTTCCATTTGAGTACAATAAGATATAATATTTTTTCACCCACCATATATGTCACCAAAGTTGGCAGAGCAGCAAAACTTTTAGATCTGACTACATGAAGACTCTTGAAATTGGGGAAAAAATGTCTTATCAATGCATACAAATTATGAGTATGAAAACTAGGCAAGAGTTTCTATTTTCTTACTTTCATACACAATCATATTATAAAGCAGCTGCCTTATGTAGAATACATTGTTGAGCAAATCTTTAAAAAGACGATGAGAACACTTGGACACAGGGTGGGGAACATCATACACCGGGCCCTGTTGTGGAGTTGGGGGAGGGGGGACGGATAGGATTAGGAGATATTCCTAATGCAAATGACGAGTTAATGGGTGAAGCACACCAACATGGCACATGTATACATATGTAACAAACCTGCACGTTGTGCACGTGTACCCTAGAACTTAAAGTATAATAATAAAAAATAAAAATAAAAAAGTTAAAAAAATATGCATTCTAAAAACTTCACATAAAATAATTTAACCTCCCAACAAAACTATGAAGGAAATACAATTATTATCATCCCTATATTACAAATAAGGAAACAGGGGCACTAATGATGGTAGTGACTAGTTTAATGTCACACAGCTAGTTGATAATGGAACTAGGATTTAAATCCAGGAAATATGGCCCTAGAATCTATCTTCTGAACCCCTATACTATAGCATTTATTAGCATAATAAGAGAATACAGTAATGAGGCCTCATGTAATAAAATATATCAATACTTTCCCTGTACTGAGAAATAACCAATTAAAATTAACAATTAGCAATTACCAAATGAAAACTGAAATGAAAAATAATAATTTAGAAGCAAAAATTATGAAATGTATGCTTAATAAGAAATTAAAAAGACCTATGTAAAGAAAACTACATGAAGACAAAGGTAAGTAAAAACATCTTCCACATAATGTATGGTAAGACTGGCTATTGTAAAGATGACAGTTCCTTCCAATAAAAATTTAATCAACATCCACACTCTTAGGTTAAAGTTTTTTTTGAAACTCAAATAAATGACCCTCAACTTCAACTGAAAGAATACGTATATAAGACTAACCATTTTTAAATGAATAGTATGAATGGAGGCTGTTCACCCTATCAGGTAATTTTTTCAAATGCTATAAATCTTTAAATACAATGTTTTCTAAAAACAGATGGAAAAAGATATATATATATATATATATAGATAGATATCTGTTTCTAATTTATATATATATATATATATCTTAGAAACAGATTTCAGTGTATAATAAAAGCAACATCACAAAACAGCAGTAAAAAAATTTAGTCAGTACAAAATGTTGGGACAGTTAACAGATTGTTTGAAAAAGAATGTAACAGAACTTTTTGATAATCATTTACTTAGGGCTTTATTATCTTCCACAACATTTGCAAACCAGAAGCTACAAAATATCAAAAGCACAGGAACTTGACAACATAGAACACAATTAGCTTCTCGGTCTTCCTCTAATCAGGGTAATCTTTAAATATCACAATAGATTTTGCCAAATACCACATTAATCATCAAAGTTACTATTCATCTTACACCTTCTTAAGCTACAGAAATAATTGAATTTAAGTGTGAAAATACCACCTCCTTTACCACCACTACTAAATGCAAAAAGAAAGAGAAAATGAATAAAGTGTATGAATCAATTCAGCTATTAATAAGCATTCTTAAGACACCAAAAGGGCTTTATAGGGATGACATATATCACAGGTCTTTGATGGTTCATTCCTTCTTGTCTATTTTAAATATCAGTTTTATTGCACGTGTTGAATGTGCAGTCACATAAAAATTAATGTCTATAGAATGTGATTATTTTCTGCACACCCTGTTTGTTGACACATAAGTTAACTTCAAATGATTATTCGGTAAGCTAGCATTAGGTCATAGGTACTTGAAAATTACTTCTGGAGCTAGTCCAATTCTGAGGAAAAGTTGATTAGAGGAAAAGGCCTACCATTATCTAGCTAAAAGTTGGCTCTTTATAATGAGACCTATAGGTCCCAAAACATGCTTCTGGTGATTGGCTAAAGTAGACTAATTCTCCAAGGATAACAATGCCAGCTAACTATAGTGTTTGCTGTATGCTAGGTTACCTAGTGCTGTAGGTTCTATGCATTAGTTTCAGCTTGTCAGTTTCTACAAAAATGCCTGCTGCTGTGAATTGGCTATTTTGCTTAATTTATAGATCAACTTGTGCAAAATTGCCTTCTGACAATGTTGAGTCTTCCAGTCCAGGAACCTGAAATGTTCATGCTGAATTTATGCCTGAGTATTTTATTCTTTTGATGCTATTGTAAATTGAAAGGTTTTATTAATTTGATTTGAAGACTGCTGCTAATATATAGAAATACAATTGAATGTATATATTTTTATTTTATCTTGTGACCTCACTGAACTTGTCTATTAGTCATAGTACTTTTTGTGGGATACTTTGGGATTTTCCATATACAGAATAAAGACTGTTTTCGACTGTTTTAGTACTTCTTTTCTTTTAATATCTTTTCTTTTCTCTGTCGAGTACAGTGGCATGATCATGGCTCACTGCAGCCTTGGCCTACCCGGGCTCAGCCTATCTCAGCCTTCCAAGCAGCTGGGAATACAGGTGTGTGCCATCACGCCTGGTTAATTTTTTTTTCTGGATTTTTTTGTAGAGACAGGTTTTGCCATGTTGCTCAGGATGGTCTTGAACTACTGGCTACTTATTTTCTTATGTGGGTGCCTTTATTTTTCCAGCCTTATTTTACTGGAAGGATCTCCAGTATAATTTAGACTAGATCTGTCAAAAGAAGATATCTTTTCTTGTTTCAGTTGTAGGGGAAATCATTCCATCTTTCACAATAAGCTAAAATGCTAGCTGTGAGTTTCAATAGTTATTCATTATCAAGTTGAGGAAGTATTCTTCTATTCTTAGCTGTTTAAATGTTTTCATTAAGAAAGTGTGCTGAATTGTGTTACATAATTTTTCTGTACCTATTGAGATGGTAATGTGATTTTTCACTCTTTTTTCTACTAGTATAGTGTATTACATGCATTCATTTTCATATGTTAAATTAACTTTGCCTTTCTAGTAATTCTACTTGATCATAGTGTGTATACTTTTTAAAAAATCCACTACTGACTTTGGATTGCTAAAATTTTCTTAAAGACTTTTGTATCTAGGAAATGAGTTATGGAGTGCTTCCTCCTCTTCTATTTCCTAAGTTTACGGAAAATTGATATTATTTTAACTTTAATTGAAAGAATTCACCAGTGAAGCCATCTCGACTTGGACTTTAACTTTGGGAAAGATTTGTAATCACTAATTCAATTTCTTTATGTGTTATAAGTTTGTTCGTATTTTCTACTTATTCTTGAGTCAGTTATTATCATGTGTCTTTCTAGGAATTTGTTCATTTCATCTATTAGTATAATTTACGGGAATGAAAGTTTTCATAATTCTTCTATCCTCTGGGGACTCATATTTGGTACAGTTGACGTGTACCACAGGTATCAGAGGCTCTATGTTTTGGAATAATTTTTCTCTGTTTTTAAGATTGGATAATTTCTATTGATCTATCCTCAGGCTCATTGAATTTTCTGTTACCTCTATTCTAATGTTGACGTCTTCTAATTAATTTTGCATTTCAATTTTTATACTTTTTGATTTTACGATATTATTTTACTCTTTTTATATAATTTACTTATGATAGATATAATTCTTATATTCTTAAATATAAGAATTTATATTTGTTGAATCATTGTTGTCATAGTTTCCTTTAATTATTTAAGTATGCTGTTTAAAAATGTTGTAACATATTGATAATTGCTGCCTTGAAGTCTTTGTCTGGTAAATACAATATTCTAGTATGCTGAGAGATAGTTTTCTATTGACATTTCTTCCCGTCTATGGGGCACAATATCTGTTTTCCTGCATGCCTTTCAATTCTTTGTGGAAAAATAATATTTTAGGTAATATAGCAAATTTGTTATTAATTTTGTTCCTAGAGGTTTCTGTTGTTGCTCTTTATTTGTTTAGTGACCCACCTGAGCTAATTCTGTGAAATCTGTCTTCCTTGCCACACATAGCTGCTGTTGTCTCAGCTCAGTTTTAAATGAATTAATTTCTTTGTTTATTTACTTACTTATACTCTCATTTATAATTTTAAACCCGACTTTCTAGGGGTTTCCTCTGTGTCTGAATCATTTAATGATCAGACAATAATTCTACAGAGCTCGTATGTGACAATCTTGAGACAGTAACCCTTTGGTCTTCTGCAAATCAATCTGTACAAGGGTAGGGGAGCACATTCAAAGCTCAGATGATTTGCAAGCCTGCTTCATCTTTTATTTTCCATGGAGCCTTTCTTGATATCTGATGTGCAGCCTCAGGTTTGTCCAGGATTATGTGGTGGCCCCCTCTGGCCTTCACTTCACATGCACATGGCTTCAGCCAGGAATATGTTGTATCCCACATACTATAGTAACCTCAATACTAGCGCCATTGGGCCTTCCCTCCTCCCTTGCCTTGGGAAACCTTGTTTCCACCTTGTCTATCTCAGAAAAGAACATGCTGTTCCTTAGAAACTGCCCCGTCTTGGCAGAATTCTTATTTCAACTGGACTCAAGAGTGGACCAGAACAGCACAGATTCTTACTGTTCTTACTCAAATTTCATCAGTTTTTCCAACACAAGTGCTTCTGAGATTGTTGAAAACCATTTTACAAAGATTTACAAAGCATTGAAATGGTTATTTCTATCAATTTTTCCAGCTCTATAGTTGGTTCTGGAGAAGAGGATTTGCCAGTCTTTTGCTAGGAGTAAGTACAAGTCCCATCTTTTTTACAAAGTGCAATTAGTGGTGAGAGAAAAAAAAGCTTCATTTATTTTGTGATAAAATCAGTTTTATTGCTATTTAAGAACTCTTGCCCTATTTTCAGATTTCCTGCATATGTTAATAATATGTTACTAGTTTTTAAAGTAGATGTTTTATTCTCAGAATACCAAGTATATTTTAAATAATGAAAATATATTATCCACTCAAAATTGTCTGAATTACTTTGGTGTATAATAAAAGAATAGTGAAGAAACCAACACTCATATACACATAACCCAATTTAAGAAATAGAACATTTCTAGTACTGGTGCCAGCCAGGTGAGCTCAAAAGTGGGGCTTAACCCATGAGGGTTCTTAGTTTTGCCCAGGAAGTAATTGAAGGGCAAATTGGTAGTAGGGTAGAAGAAAACAGCTTTATTGAAGCAGCAGTGTTACCGCTCTGGTGGTGGTACAGCTCTGGGACTGCTCCTGCAGAGCAGGGCTACCCCATAGGCAGTGTGCTAAGAGTAGCAGCTCAGGGGCCAGAGGCAGTGGCTCACGCCTGTAATCTCAGCACTTTGGGAGGCCGATGCGGGCAGATCACGAGGTCAGGAGATGAAGACTATCCTGGCTAACACGGTGAAAACCCGTCTCTACTAAAAATACAAAAAATTAGCCGGGCGTGGTGGCACGTGCCTGTAGTCCCAGCTACTCAAGAGGCTGAGGCAGGAGAATCACTTGAACCTGGGAGGCGGAGGTTGCAGTGAGCTGAGATCGTGCCCCTGCACTCCAGCCTGGGCAACAGAGCAAGATTGTCTAAAAAAAAAAAAAAAAAAAAAAAAAAAAAAAAAAGAGTAGCAGCTCAGGGCATGAGTACTAACTTTAGGGTTATCAGGTCACTGAAATGGAAAGGGGCAGTAATGCCTGGGTATTGCCACGGCAAGGGTAAACTGACATGGCATACTGGGGCATATCTTATGAAAAGCTGCTTCCACTCTGTCCTTCTTTTAGCTAGTCCTCAATTTCGTCTGGTGTTCAAACTCCACCTCTGGAGACATGTCCTGCCTTCTACTTCAGTACCTTTGAAGCCCTTTTATAATCTATGACTAACTATATCTATTTTCCTCTCCTCTGTGGAAATTTTGTATTGATCATCTTTCTTTTTTTAATAATTTCACTACCAATGCATGTATCACCCAAACAATATATTGTTTAACATAGCCAGTTGTGGTTTTTAAATTTTGTTTTGCTTATTTTCACATTGAAAAGCTCCACATAAATTTGTTGTACAGGCAAAGTAGAGAACCATTTCTCTAGAGGCAGGTATCCACCATACTGTTTGGAGCACTACCCATCATGACCATTTTAAACAAAATTTTCAGCTTGGGGGATTTTTGTGCCATGCAGATAATGTGGATTTTGCTTCCAGACTCACATTAGGTTGGGCTTGAGCTTAGGAATTCTGAGGAGAATATTTTTCTTTTCTTTTCTTTTTTGCATTTCTACATAACTAAGGCTGCTAGTTCAATACCCCCATAATATCTCTCTTCAAATTGGATTTTATTTTGTAGCTCAACACCTGAGGATGTTTTCTTTGAGGGATATTTTGGCCTTTTAAAGAGAGTCTTCAATTTAAAACTTCTTCCATCTTTTACACATCTCAGTGTTTGTCTGCTTTCCTCTTGGAAGAGCTCATTAAAATTTAAAGCTTAATTTTAAGGGAAAACACCTGCTTACCTCTCAGCATTAACACTATCTCATAGTTTCTGGTCTCAAATCTGTCTCTTGTCTTCCCACGAGCTCAGTCACAGTTACACATTTTATTTTATTTTTTAAGCAGCTTCACTGAAGTATAATTGATACACAAAGAACTGCACATATTTAATGTGTGCAATTTCAGGAGTTTGAACATAGGCAGCACCGTGATACCATCATCATATTTAAACTGATAGACATATTTAACATATCCTAAAGTTTTCTTGTGCCCCCCCCCTTTTTTGTTGTATGTGTGTCCATGTGTGTGCATGGCAAGAACACATAAAATAAGATCCACCCTCTTAACGAACTTTGATATTCACAATATTATATTGTTAACTGTAGGCACTATGTTTTACACCAGATTTCTAGAAATTATTCCTCCAGCAAAACTGATGAGGCTTTATATCCATTGAGCAATAACTCCTCATTTTAAAGACATTTTAAATATTTTATTCAGCACGTTTTGGCCTTCTGTGTCAGATGTCTTTCCCTGCACCCAGTTCAATGTATTACATGAAACAGAAACCCAAATAATTTATATGGAATGAGTAGTATGACGTGCATTCCAAAGGAAATTCTGAATTGATTTTCCAACAGAGACACTTATCAACTAAGAAAAAAAGAGGTGATAATATATTAAAACAATGGATACTTTTGATAACATAGTCCATAAAATCTATGACTTGCAGTTAGCCCAGTGTGCTTCTCAATAAAATCAGTGACACCTTTAGTGGGAATTTTGGAAAGCATTATGAGAACCTTTGATTGTCATAATAATGAGAGAGCTTTTGGAATTTGGTTAGAGGTAAGGAGTGATAGATTACATGCAAGCCTAGGGAAAATGCTGAATATTGACTTTGAATGCCTTTTGAATGTCCCATCACATATTCATGTAGGTGAAAACTCTGTCTATAAGTTATGTCAGTCTAGAACCTGACTCCCTGTTACACTAAAACTTAATGTAATTCAGCAAAATTTTAATACCCTGAATTTCTTTTCTTTTCTTTGTTGTTGTTTTTGTTTGTTTGTTTGTTTGTTTTTTTAGAGACATGGTCTTGCTCTGTTGCCCAAGCTGGAGTAAAGTGGCATGATCATAGCTCACTGCAACCTCTAACTCCTGGGCTCAAGTTATCCTCCCGCCACAGCCTTCCAAAGTGCTGGAATTACAGGTATGAGCCATCACGTTTGGCCATAAATTTCAACAAAAGCAATTATGAAGTAGGTCAAGTATCTGGTTTTGTATGTAATTTTATGTTTATTTATAATTTTGAAAAACTATTTCACCGATGTTAACCTTAATTTGTGATATATGAGTGGCTACCAGAGGATACCTGTACCAACCTGTACTTGTAGCTGTCATTCTTACAGTGACTTATATATTTCTGTATTTTAACCCTGATTTTAAATGATCAAATGTAAGGAACAAAAATAAAACAAAAATGCCTAAATATTTGATATTTGGTTGTATAGCTTCAACAAAATATTTCTAATAATGTCTAGTCTACCTTTGTTCCCTAAGTGAGTTATAAAGTCAACAAGATTAAGTGAATATTTTATTTTAGAAAGCGTGCTGATAATGTTGGCAAAGACATGTCAAAATTCTTAGAAAAAAAAGGAAAAGTTTGAAAGGTGTACTACTTTAACTGGAATTTTAAAATTTTCTAATCAAAAGAGTAAAGTTCTCATTGTTTTTATAGAATACGCAGATAACTGTAAAGTGTGGGAAGACACACAATATTGGTGAAAAAAATGTATCTTACCAAGTCTATGAGAGGTTACTAGTAGAATGATCATCTGTGTGAAATCTTGCTAAAATATTTCTTATAGTCTACTGAGAATTTTTTACTGCTTTGAGAAGAATTGATTAGTTGATTAAAATACTGAAAATGGGCTATGTAATAAACTATAGTAAACAAATTTTATTACAAATAAGTGAAAGCTTCCTGCACAAATAATTAAGCTGTACTGTTCACCACAGAGATTCGTAAGGGATAAAATGATTAAAGAAGAATTTATTTTAAATTAGAGACAATGGATGCCAAGGGATTGCCAACATTTTAAATTCTTAACAAATTCTGTGGAAAAAAAATGCTTTTCAATTTTCATTGCTCATACAACAGCTGGTGCACCAAACATGGCTGGTAGGCCACATAGGTATATAGTAAACCAAAATAATAGTACAAGGTGTTTCAGTTACACAGCCTATTATTCACTGTCTACAATTAGGCATAAGCATATTGGTGAAAGTGGTACAAATCAAAAAATGCTATCAGTGCTGTTAATTAAACTAAGAGAAAACCCGTATATTATTACTTCATAAATTGCACAATAGCAGTGAAGAAAAATTGGAATGCTGTAGCTTAATTTACAAGCAAGATAATTTTCCAAAGAAAATTGTTTGCAAAGACTGTGTTTACTATTAGATACAGTACTTTGGAATTTATAAAATTTAGTTATCATGAAATTAAACATTGAAATTAAAATGTTCAAAGATGATGTGATGTATCTTTGAATTATATTAAGTTAAACCATGAGAAATTGCGTATATCCAATTTCTCATCTGCTCAATCCAAAATTACATGTGATTCATATTAATATTTGTAAAAGAAAATGAAGTCTTCTTAAATGTCAAAGAAATTACATTTTATTATTGGAAGGAAAATATAAGATTATAGAAAAATTTACATTATTTAAAAATAATATTGTGTGCTAAGGATTTCAGATTTCATCTTTGCTTCAATTAAATAAGAATGGGTTTAAAATATTGATTTGGTAATACATTGTTGTCATTTCCATGCTATTAAAATATATGATGAGTAGACTTAAATATCTATGTGAAATTAAGATGCCAGTTTAAGTGATCATCCCTTTTAAATTCATATACAACATATGAGTATTTATTTGCAGAGTTAACTGCTCTTTAAAAAATGAGTTGAGGAAAAAGTTTAATCTGTATATTTACAAAGAACTTTTTATGCTCTTAAAATTTCATAGCCATTGTTGAAAGAAATTATGTACTATATCATTTTCAACCTCATATTTAGTTGAAAAAAATTCTGGGAAGTGGTATAGCAACTGAAAAAGAAGTTAAGTGAGTTGCAACTCTGTAAGGGAGATTTTTAAAAAAGTAAACTTAAGACCAAATATGTTTAAAAGAACAGATACCCAGCTATATCCTTAAATTTCACTAACTGAAATTTGTTTTAAAATTCACGTTATTGACATCTCTCTAAATTTATTTTTGAAAATATTTTGTACTGATGAGATTTCTATTTTATTCTTTTTATAGCTGTCTGTTTTTGTAATCAGTAGACTTTATTGTTGAGCAGTTTTAGCTTTATAGAAAAATTGTGTAAGAAATCCAGAAAGTAGGGCCAGGCGCAGTGGCTCATGCCTGTAATCCCAGCACTCTGGGAGGCCGAGGCAGTTAGATCACCTGAGGCTGGGAGTTTGAGACCAGCCTAACCAACATGGAGAAACCCCGTCTCTACTAAAAATACAAAATTAGCCGGGCATGGTGGCAGGTGCCTGTAATCCCAGCTACTCGGGAGGCTGAAGCAGGAGAATTGCTTGAATCTGGGAGGTGGGGGTTGCTGTGAGCTGAGATTGTGCCATTGCACTCCAGCCTGGGTAACAAGAGTGAAATTCCGTCTCAAAAAAAAAAATAATAATAATAATAATAAAGAAAAGAAAAGAAAAAAAATCCAGAAAGTAACCATATATTCCCTCACCCCCGACCCCACAAGCAGTTTCTCATATTATTAACACCTTGATTAGTATGGTACATTTGTTATGGTTGATGAGCATGTATTTATACATTTTTATTAAGTAAGTCCATAGTTTACATTAGGATTGACTCTTTCTGTTGTACATTCCATGCAGTTTGAGAAATGTATGATACCTATTTGCCATTAGTTTCGCAGCCCTAAAAATCCCAGTGATCCACCTATGCATTCCTCTCTCCCTTACTCGGAATCCCTATCAATTATGGAATTTTTTTTTTACTGTCTCCATAGTTTTGCCTTTTCCAGAATGTAATATAGGTGAAATCATACAGGATGTAGCCTTTTCAGATTGACTAAATTTACATGTAAGTATGCATTTAAAGTTTCAATATGCCATTTCCTGGCCTGATGCCTCATTTCTTTACCTTACTGAATAATATTCCATTGTATGGATATATCACAGTTTATTTATCCATTCATGGATTGAAGAGCATCATGACTGCTTACAAGTTTTTACAATTATGAATAAATCTGTTATAAACATTCATGATCAGGTTCTTGTGGGGATGTAAGTTTTAATTCCTCTGAGTAAATACCAAGAAGCATGAAAGTTGGATCCTATGGTAAAAGTATGTTTAGTATTATAAGAAATTGTGAAACTGTCTCCCAGAGTAGCTATAACATTTTGTATTCCCATCAGCAATGAATGAAAGTTCCAGTTGCTCTTCATCTTTACTAGCATTTGGTGGTGTCAGTATTTTGGATTTTAGCTGTTCTAATAGTTGTATAGTGCTATCTCACTGTTTCAATTTGCAATTCCCTAATGGCACATGAGCATCTTTTCATAAGGTCATTGGTCATCTGTTTATCTTCTTTAGTAAAATGTCTTTTCAGATCTTTTGCCCCTCTTTTAGTCGGCTTTTTTGTGTTTACTTATTGTTGAGTTATAAGAGGTCTTTTCTATACCAATTCTTTATCAGATACATATTTTGCAAAAGTTTTCTCACAGTCTGTGGATTGTCTTTTCATTACCTTAATTCCTTTTGAAGTGCAGGTTTTAATTTTAATAAAGTCCAACTATTTATCTATTTATTTATTTCATGGAACACATTTTTTGTGCTATATCTAAAACATCATTGACAAGCCCAAGGTTACTGAGATTTTCACCTGTTATCTTCTAGGAGTTTTACAGCTTTGTGTTTTGCGTTTAGGTCTCGTGGCCCATTTTTATTTTTTGTGGGCACTTCAGTTAATTACGTAAAGGTGTAATATCTGTGTCTAGAACTAATATTTTTTGTATGTGGATGTCCAGTCTTTTTAGCACCATTGTTGAAAAGACTACGTTTTTCTTATTGAATCATTTTTCCTCCATTGTCAAAGATCACTTGATTATATTTGGGTCTATTTATGGACTTTCAATTCTGTTCTGTTGGTCTATTTGTCTATTCTTTCACCAAAATCACAGTCTTGAAACTAGCTTTATAGTAAGGCATGAAGTCAGGTAGTGTCAGTCCTCTGAATTTGTTCTCTTTCAATATTGTAGTGGTTATTCTGGGTCTTTTATTGTCCATATAAACTTTAAAATCAGATTGTTGATATCCACTAAAAATCATACCAGGGTTTTTATTAAGACTCCATTGAAATTAGACCAATTTGAAAAGAGCTGACATCTTGAAAACGTTGAACCTTCCCATGCATGTAAGTGAAATATCTCTCCATTCATTTAGATATTCTTTGACTCCTTTCATCAGTGATCATAGTTTTCCTCAAATACATCTTTTATCTATTTTGGTAGGTTCATACCTAATTATTTCATCTTTTGGCACCATTGTAAATGGCACTGTATTTTTAAGTTTATATTTTATTTGTCCATTGTTGGTATATAAGAATACAATTTTTTCTATGTCTTGGCTATTGTGAATAATGCTGTAATGGACCTGTAAATGCAGATATATCTTCAAAATACTAATTTAAATTCCTTTGGATATAAAACCGAAAGGGGAACTGCTATATCATAGGGTAGTTTTATTTATTTATTTTTTTCAGAATCCTTCATACTGTTTTCCATAATGGCTGTATCAACTTACAAACCCACCAACTCTGTTCTCTATATGGAGAAAATGGATATGTTCCCTTTTCTCCATATCCTCACCAATGCTTACGATCATTTAACTTTTTGATAATAGCCACCAGTATTAGTCCCTTCTTGCACTGCTATGAAGAAGTACCCAAGACTAGGTAATTTTTAAAGGAAAGAGGTTTAATTGACTCACATTTCCACATGGCTGGGAAGGTCTCAGGAAACTTACAATCTTAGTGGAAAAGGAAGCAAATACATCCTTCTTCACAATGGGGCAGGAGAGAGAAATGCTCAGCAAAGGGGGGGAAGCCCCTTATAAAACTGTCAGATCTCATGATAACTCACTCACTATCATGAGAACAGCATGAAGGTAACCAGCCCCATGATTCAATTACCTCCCACAAAGTCCCTCCCAGCACACGTGGAGATTATGGGAACCACAATTCAAGATGATATTTAGCTGGGGACACAGCCAAACCATATAATTCTGCCCGTGGTCCCTCCCAAATCTCATGTCCTCACATATCAAAACAAAATCATGTCCTTCCACCAGTCCCTCAAAGTCTTAACTCATTGCAGCATTAACTCAAAATTCCAAGTCCAAAGATGCATCTGGGACAAGCCAAGTACCCACTGCCTATAAGCCTGTAAAATCAAAAGCAAGTTAGTTACTTCCTAGATACAATGGAGGTATAGGAATTGAGTAAATACAGCCATTTCAAATGGGATAAATTGGCCAAAACAAAGGGGCTACAGGCCCCATGCAAGTCCGAAATCCAATATGGCAGTCATTAAACCTTAAAGTTCCAAAATGATCTCCTTTGACTCCATATCTCACATCCAGGGCATGCTGATAAAAATGGTGGGCTCCCATGGCCTTGGGCAGCTCTGCTCCTGTGGCTTTGCAGGGTACAGCTCCACTCCTGGCTGCTTTCACAGGCTGGCATTGAGTGTCTGTGGTTTTTCCAGGCACATAGTGCAAGCAGTTGGTAGATCTACCATTCTGGGGTCTGGAGGACGGTGGCCCTCTTCTCACAGCTCCACTAGGTAGTGTTCCAGTGGGGGGGACTCTATGTGGGGGTTCCAACCTCACATTTCCCTTCCACACTGCTCTAACAGAATTTCTCCATGAGGATTCTGTCCCTGCAGCAAACTTCTGCCTGGACATCCAGGTGTTTCCATAAATCCTTTGAAATCTAGGCCAAGGTTCTCAAACCTCAGTTCTTAACTTCTGTGCACCTACAGGCCCAACACCACGTGTAAGCCGGCAAGGCTTAGGGCTTGCACTCACTGAAGCAATGGACTGAGCTATACATGGCCCGTTTTAGCCATGGCTGGAGCTGAAGCAGCTGGGATGCAGGGTACCATGTCCTGGGGCTGCATAGAGAAGAGGGTTCCTGGGCCCAGCCCAGAAAACCGTTTTTCCCTTCTAGGCCTCTGGGCCTATGATGAAAGAGACTGCTGTGAAAGTCTCTGACAAGCCCTGGAGACATTTTCCCCATTTGCTTGGTGATTAATATTTGTGTCCTCATTACTTATGAAAATTTCTGCAGCCAGCTTGAATTTCTTCGCAGAAAATGGGGTTTTATTTTCTATTGCATTGTCAGACCGCACATTTTCATACTTTTATGCTCTGCTTCCTCTTGAAAGCTTTGCTGCTTAGAAATTTCTTCTGCCAGATACACTAAATCATCTCTCTCAAGTTCAAAGTTGCATAGATCTCTAGGGCAGGGGCAAAATGCCACCAGTCACTCTGCATAGCAAGAGCGACCTTTACTCCAGTTTCCAAGAAGTTCCTCATCTCCATCTGAGACCACTTCAACCTGGACTCCATTGTGCATGTCACTATTAGCATTCTGGTCAAAGCCATTCAACAAGTTTCTAGGAAGTTCCAAAGATTCCCACATCTTTCTGTCATCTGAGCCTTCCAAGTCTCTAGAAGTTCCAAACCTTCCCACATTTTCCTCTCTTCTGAGACCTCCATCTGTTCCAATCTCTGCCTGTTTCCCAGTTCCAAAATCACTTTCACATTTTCAGGTATCTTTACAGCAGCACCCCACTCTCTGTGGTACCAATTTACTTATTAGTTCCTTCTCACACTGCTATGGAGAAATACCTGAGACTAGGTAATTTATAAAGGGAAGAGGTTTAATTGACTCACAGTTCTGCATAGCTGGGAGGGCCTCAGGAAACTTACAATCATGGCAGAAGGGGAAGCAAACACATCCTTCTTCACAAGGTGGCAGGGGTGAGAAGTTCCAAGCAAAGGGGAAAAGCCCCTTTTAAAATCATCAGATCTTGTGAGAACTCACTCATTAACAGGAGAAACGCATAAAGGTAACTGCCCCCCTGATTCAATTAACACCCACCTGGTCTCTCCCATGACACGTGGGGGTTATGGGAACTACAATTCAAGAAGAGATGTCGGTTGGAACACAGGCAAACCATATCACCATCCTAACAGGAATAAAGTGATATCTCATTGTGCTTTTTACTTGTATTTCTCTGATAGTTAGTGATGTTGAGTACCTTTTCATGTACTGGCTGGCCATTTGTATAACTTCTTTAGAAAAATGTCTATTCAGTTCCTTTGTCCGTTATTCAAATTAGGTTATTTGCTGTTGTTGCTGTTGTCTTACTATTGATTTGGATGAGTTTCTTATATATTTTGGATATTAACACCTTATCTTATATATAGTTTGCAAATATTTTCTTCCATTTGTAAGTTGCCTTTTTATTTTTTTGAGTTTTTTCTTCGCTGTGCAGAAAAATTTTGGTTGAATATGGCACCACTTCTTTATTTTTGCTTTTGTTGTCTCTGCTTTTGCAGTCATATTCATCAAATCTTTGCTTATATATGTGTATATATGCATATGTGTGTATATATACACACATATATACACACATATATATACATACACATTTATGCAATATATATACATATGTATATATGCAATGTGTGTGTGTGTGTATATATACATATCTCAGTCAGCTCTAAATAAGAAGGAAAACCTCCCTTTTGGGACAACATGGATGAACCTGGAGGATATCATACAAAGTGAAATAAGCCAGACACAGAAAGACAAATACTGAATAATCTCACTTATGTGTGGAATCTACAGAAGTCAAACTCATAGGAAAAGAAAGCAGAAATGTGATTGCTAGGTGTTATGTGGTGGGGAAATGGAAAGATTTTTGTCAATGGGTAAAGCACCTCAGTTATAAAATAAATAACTTCTGAAGACCTAATGTGCAACATGGAAACCTAGAGTTAATAATAATGTATTGTATACTTGAAATTTGCTTAGTGTGTAGATTTTAAATGTTCTCACCACAAAAAATGGTAAGTATATGAGGTAATTGTTGTATTAATTACCTTAATTGTGGTACTCACTTCACTGTATACATATATAAAAACATTATGTTGTATACCTCAAATATATGCAATTTTATTTCTCATTTATACTTCAATAAACCTGGGGGAAAACAGAAAATATTCATACTATTTTACACCGTTCTTTTTTCATGTTTCCCCATGTACAGTGCAAGCTCCTCAAAGGTAATAATTATATCTCAATAAGTTATTTTATGCTTTAAAAATAAGCAAAAAAATACAATTGACTTTATATTAACCTTGCATACTGTAACCTTGCTATAATCACTAAGTAGTTCCAGGATGCTTTTGCTGATTATCTGGAATTTTCTACATAGATAATACTGTCAGCTCTGAACAAGGACAGATTTATTTATTCCTTCTTGATCTATATAAATTTGATTTACTTTTCTTGTCTTACTGTCTTAGCCAGGACTTAACTAAAATGTTGAATAAAAGTAGTGAGAGCAAACAACCTTTCTTTTTTCATGTTCTTGGTGGGATGACACTATTTCTCGTCATTATGATGTTAGTTGCCAATTTTTTAATTGTTTATCAAGTTGAGGAAGTTTCCCTAATTACTAGTTTGATTAAAGTTATCGTAAATGGATGTTGGATTTTGTAAAATACTTTTTAAAATCGATTGATATTATTGTATAATGTTTCTTCTTTAGACTGCTGATGTGATATATTACATTATTTGAATGATGAACCACACTGGCATACCTGAAATAAATCCCACGTTGTGGTATTTAATTATTTTTATACATTGTTGGATTTTGGTTTCTACTATGAGTATTTTGTTCAGGATTTTTGCATCTATGCCCATGAAAGACATTGACCCATAACTTTCTCTTCCTGTAGTATCTTTACTTTTGGTTTTAAAGTAATTTTGACTTCACAGAATAATGTACAAAGTGTTCCCACTGCTTTTATTCATGCATGGTTTTTAATTTAAAACTTTGGGGGTACACAGTAGGTGTGCATGTGTGTGTGTATATATATATATATATGTATATATATAAGTATATATATGTGTGTGTGTCTATATATATATATTAAATATAAGACGTTTTGATACAGGCATGCAATATGAAATAAGTACATCATGGAGAATGGGGATTCCATCCCCTCAAGCATTTATCCTTTGAGTTACAAACAATCCAATTATAATCTTTTAGTTATTTTAAAATGCGCAATTAAGTTATTATTGACCATAATCACCTTATTGTGCTATCAAGAATTAGTCATTGTTCATTTGTTCCTTTTTTTTTTTTTTTTTGCATCCCTTAACCATCTGCAAATACCCTCAGCAGCCCACTATGCTTCCCAGGCTGTGATAACCATCCTTCTTCTCTCCATCTCCATGAATTCAATTGTTATGATACTTAGATTCCACAAGTAAGTGAGAACATGTGATGTTTGTCTTTCTGTACCTGGCTTATTTTGGTTAACATAATGATCTCCAGTTCCATTAATGTTGTTGCAAATGACTGCATCTCATTGATTTTTATGGCTGAATAGTATTCCATTGTGTACATGTACCACATTTTCTTTATCTATTCACCTGTTGATGGACATTTAGGTTGCTTCCGCATCTTAGCTATTGTGAAAAGTGCTACAACAAACATAGGAGTGCAGATATCTCTTCTATGTACTGATTTCCTTTCTTTGGGGTATATACTCAGCAGTGGGATTGCTGGATCATATGGTAGTTCAGTTTTTAGTTTTGGGGGAGTTTCTAAACTGTTCTCCATAGCGGTTGTACTAATTTACATTCCCACCAACAATATACAAGGGTTCCCTTTTCTCCACATCCTCACCAGCATTTGTAATTACCTGTCTTTTGGATATAAGCCATTTTAACTGCGGTGAGATGATATCTCCAGTGATATCAGTGGTGACATGAATAACAGTGGTGACAATGCACATTCTTGTCATTTTCCAGATCTCAAAGGAAAGGCTTTTAGTTTTTCCCAATTTAGTGTGATACTACCTGTAGGACTGTCATATGTGCTTTTATTGTGTTGAAGTATGTTTCTTCTGTACCCAGTTTTTTTAGGGTTTGTATAATGAAAGGATGTTGAATATTATCAAATGCTTTTTCAGCATCTATTAAAATGATCATAGGTTTTTTTATCTTTATTTTATTAATATGATGCATCACATTGATTTGCATATGTTGAACAATCCTTGCATCCCAGGAATGAATGCTTCTTGATCATGATGAATGATCGTTCCAATGTATTGTTGAATTCTGTGTGCTAGTATTTCTTGAGGATTTTTGCATCAATAATCATCAGAGGCTGGGCTTGGTGGCTCATACCTATAATCCCAGCTCTTTGGGAGGTCGAGACAGGTGGATCACTTGAGGCCAAGAGTTTGAGACAAGCCTGCCAACATGGCGAAAACCCATCTCTACAAAAAATACAAAAATTAGCTGGGCATGGTGGTGTGCACCTGTAGTCCCAGCTACTCAGGAGGCTAAGACATGAGAATCATTTGAACCCGGTAGGTAGAGGTTGTAGCGAGCTGAAATTGTGCCACTGCACTACAGCCTCGGCAATAGAGCAAAACTCTGTCTCAGAAAAAAAAAAAAAAAAAATCATTAGAGATATTGGCTTGCAGTTTTCTTTTTTTGATGTTTCCTTGACTGCTTTTAATATCAGGGTAATACTGGCATTGTAGAAAGAGTTTAGAACTATTCCCTCCTCCTCTACTTTTTGGAATACTTTGAGTAGGATTAGTATGAGTTATGCGTTATATGTTTTGAAGAAATAAGCAGTGAAACCATCAGGTCAAGGGCTTTTCTTTACTGGAAGGTTTTTTAAATTACAGCTTCCATTTCATTACTTGTTATTGGTCTGCTCAGATTTTGGGTTTCTTCATGGCTCAATCTTGGTAAGTTATATGTGACTAGGAATTTGTCAATTTATTCTGTATTATCCAATTTATTGGCATATAGTTGCTCACAGTAGTTGCTAACGATCCTTTGAATTTCTGCAGTATATGCTGTAATGACTCCTTTTTCACTTCTGATTTTATTATTTGTATCTTGTCTTTTATTCTCAGTTAGTCTGGCTATAGGTTTGTCTGTTTTGTTTAACTTTTCAAAAAACCATCTTTTGTTTAATTAATCTTCTGTTTTGTTTTTCTAATTTCAATTTTATTTATTCCTATTCTGATCTTTAATGTTTCTTTTCTTCTACAAATTTTATGTTTAGTTTGCTGTTGCTTTTCTCATTCTTCAAGATGCATTGTTAGATTGTTTAAAGTTTGTCCGCTTTTTTTGATGTAGACACAGCTAAGAACTTTCCTCTTAGTACTGCTTTTGCTGTATCCAATAGGTTTTGGTATGTTATTATTTCATCCTCGTTTTTTTTTCGAGAAATTTTTAAATTTCCTTCTTAACTTCTTCGCTGACTCACTGGTCATTCAGAAGCATAGTGTTTAATTTCCATGTATTTGTATAGTTTCCAAAATTCCTCTTGTTATTAATTTCTGGTGTTTTTCCATAGTGATCAGAAAAAAATGCCTGATATTATTTCAATTTTTTGCATATTTTAAGACTTGTTTTGTGACCTAACATATGTCTATCCTTGAGAATGATCCATGTGCTGAGGAATAGAATGTGTATTCTGCAGCCGTTGGATGAAGTGTTCTGTAAACATCTATCCTATCCATTTGTTCTACAGTGCAGATTAAGTCTTAGGTTTCTTTGTTGATTTTCTGTCTGGAAGATCTGTTCAATGTTGAAAGTGGGGTGTTGAAGTCTCCAGCTATTACTATATTGGAACTTATCTTTCTCTTTAATTCTAATAATATTTTCTTTATATATCTGAGTGCTTCAGTGTTGGGTGCATATATATTTACAATTTTTATATCCTCTTGCTAAATTGACCCTTTTATCATTTTATGGTGACTTTCTTTGACTCTTCTTATACTTTTTGTCTTGAAACCTATTTTGTCTGATATTAGTACAGCTACTCCTACTTTTGGGGGGTTTCCGTTGGCATGGGATATACGTTTTCATTCCTTTATTTTCAGCTTACATGTGTCTTTATAGGTGAAGTGTGTTTCTTGTAGGTAACAGATCAGTGGGTGTTGTTTTTTCATACATTCAGCCACCCTATGTATTTGGATTGGAGAGTTCAGTCCATTTATATTCAATGGTATTATTGATAAGTAAGGACTTACTCCTGTCATTTTCCTGTTTGTTTTCTGGTTGTTTTATTGTCTTCTATTCCTTCTTTCTTTCCTTTCTGTCTTCCGTTAGTGAAGGTAGTTTTCTCTGGTGATATGATTTAGTTTTTGGTTTTTTATCTTTTGTGTATCCATTGTATTTTTTTTTTTTTTTTTGGTTTAAGGTTACCATGAACCTTGCAAATACTATCATATAACCCATTATTTTGATATAATAACAAATTAACACTGTTTGCATAAACAAACAAGCAAAAATTGAACTAAGAAAAGCTCTATGCCTGAACTTTATCCCCCTGCTTTTTTATATTTTTGTTGTTTATATTTATATCTTATTGTACTATGTCTTGAAAAGATGTTTAACTTATTATTAGTAGTAGTTCATTGTTTATTCTTTCTAGTAAAGATAACAGTAATTGACACACCACAGTTACAGCATTATAATAATCTGGGTTTCTCTGTGTAGCTACCATTACAAGTGAGTTTTGTACCTTCAGGTGATTATTGCTTATTAATGTCCTTTTTTTTCCTAAATAAAGTACTTTCTTAACATTTCTTGTAGGATAGTTGTGGTATTGACAAAATCCCTCAACATTTGTATTTTTCTTGGAAATTCTTCATTTCTTCTTCATGTTGGAAGTACCACCACCAGGAATGTCAGGCTACCATCAGGTGATGGTCATGTGGTTTTAAAGTGACTTTCTAAAATAATAATTGGTTGCAGCCAGATCCAGGGAAAGACAGTCTCCCAAGAGATAGAAAGCACCTAAAGCTGGTGATAAGCAGCTTCCCGATCAGATCTAAGGGTTTGGGCAAGTGGGCTCACACATGCACACTAACAGGCAAAATTGCAGAGTTTAACTGGTATATAACCATCCTCCAGGAACACTTGACTGGTAAGAGAAAAACACCTCAAATGAGCATGCACAAAACTTCAGTAAACACACTGCGAACGTGGCCCTTCCTAAGCACTGACAGGCCACAGTGCATGTGGACAGCCCATCCTAAAGGAAGAGTCAGGGAAGAATAACTGCAAATCCCATAATGATGGCAATGTATAAAACCCCAAGCCAAGGGTTAGATAGTGCACTTGGACATTTCAAGTTGCCTGCTTGGCCCTCTTCCAATTATACTTTACTTCCTTTTGTTCCTACTTTAAAACTTTTTAATACACTTTCATTCCTGCTCTAAAACTTGCCTCAGTCTCTCCCTCTCACTTATGCCCCTCGATCGAATTCTTTCTCCCAAGGAGGCAAGAATCAAGTTGCCACAGACTGGTATGAATTCACTGCTACTAACATATTGACAACCAATGCTCTATCAAATAATACTATACTACTTCATGGGTATTGAATATACCTCATAACAGGTTATTCCAAAATATTGTCTCCCATCATGTATTACATTATTCACTTTCATTTTACTTATCCAGAAACCATAATCTTCAAATACATTTTACTCTCATTATTTTGAACAAGTGTTATATGTTAGATCAATTAAGAATGAGGAAAATAAAATATTTTATTTTGTCTTCATTTATTACTTCTCTATCTTTATGTAGATCCAAGTTTCTGACTTATTTTCTTTCTGAAGAATTTCTTTTAACTTTTCTTACAAGGAAAGTGTACTGGTTACAAATTACCTCAATTTTTGTTTGACTAAGAATGTGTTTCTCTTTAAATTTTGAAAGATAATTTAATTGGATACAGAGTTCTTGATTGGCATTTTTTTTTCTTTCAGCACTTAAAATATTTCACTCCACTCTCCATGCTAGTGTGGCTTTTGAAAAGATGTATGATATAACTTGTACACTTGCTCCCCTACAGGTAAGTTATGCTGGTTAACTTTATTTGTCAATTTGGCTGGTTCCTGGTGCCCAGATATTCTGTCAAACATTATTCTGGATGTTTCTGTAAGGGTGTTTCTGAATAAGAGGTACAAATAAAATAAATTGGTGGACTTTGATTAAAGAAGATTGCCTTCCATATTGTGTGCAGGTCTCATCCCATCACTTGAAGGCCTAAATAGAACAAAACACTGACCTCCTTTGAGCAAGGGGCAATTCTGTCAGTAACAGACCTTCAGATTTCAACTGCAACATTTTCTCTTCTGGCCTTCACCTTGACTGCCTTTGGACTGGAACTGCAACTCTTTCTGGAGTTGCCGGCCTAATGGTTTCCCAAATAAGATTTTGGACTCACCAAATCTCCACAATCACATGAGACAATTATTTAAAACAAATATCTCCATGTGTATGTATTCTATTGGTTCTGTTTCTCTAGTAAACCTCAACTAGCACATAAGGTATTTCCCTCAACCCCTTCCTCCACCCCAGTGAGAGAGAAGGAAGACAAAAGTGAACTAGGCACATAGGGCAAAGTCATTGACAGAACTTTTCTTCTCCTTGACAGAACTTTTCTTCTAACAGTTAGCAGCCTGAGAGATCAAGCTGCAAGCACAGATAAGGAGATCAGCTCCAGCACAAAAAAAAAAAAAAAAAAAAAAAAAAAAAGGTGCCTTCTGTGCAATCGGCAAGTTTCACATACACCTTTGAAATTGTTCCACAGTTCTTAGATATTCCTTTCTGGTTTTTTTTATTAATTTTTCTCTTTGATTTTCCGTTTTGTATGTTTCTATCGACCTTTTTTCAAGGACACTCATTCATGCATTATTGCTTTCTCCCTTCAATCTGTGTGTGTGTGTTTTTTTGTCTTTTAGTATTCCTCGTAATTATAATATTTTGTTGAAAGATGGATATGGTGTACTAGGTAAAAGAAATTGGAATAAATAGGCCTTTAGTGTGAGATTTTATGTTTATCTGGCTAAGGGTTAGGCTGAATTTACTATTTGGTGTAGCTATAAGAGCCAGAGACTAAAATTTCTTCTGGTGTTTCGGTTTTCTTCTTCCCTGCTGTGTTTTAGTCTCTTTAGAGACATCTTAAATAGGATCTGAGATATGCAATTCTTTCTATTGCATTTCCCTATAATTAATAGGAGCCCTATTAATATGTTGGTTAGATTTTCATGAGAGGAAGCATGCTATAGTTGTATGATTAGGTCTCAGTCATTTAGTTCAGCGGTCCCCAAACTTTTG
Organism: Homo sapiens; assembly: GCF_000001405.40. Classification (NCBI taxonomy): domain Eukaryota; kingdom Metazoa; phylum Chordata; class Mammalia; order Primates; family Hominidae; genus Homo; species Homo sapiens. The sequence goes on from NC_000023.11 coordinate 126,638,732, forward strand.
GGCACCAGGGATCAGTTTCATGGAAGATTTTTCCCTTTCTGTAATTGTGCCCTGTTATTGCTCTGTTATCATAAAGTTAACACTGGTTTGTAATTTAGCATCTATACAAATCTGTCAGTTTCTGTAATTTTTATATAGACTGACTTCCTCTGACCACACTTAAAATCAAATGTATTCCTTATATGTTCATGCAAGTGTTAAATCAAGTTTAGCCTAAAGTTGTCTCCTTATATATTTTAAGTTTGGCCTAAAGGTTTCTCTGTACATCATGAATTATAACCTAAATGGAGTTGTATACAGACTGTAGCCTCCTCTTGTGCCAATCACCAAGTTTTGGCCAATCAAAGGTGGCCAACTTTTCAAACCATTTTTAAATAAGCCTCTTCCATTTTCTGTACATCACTTTCCTTTTTCTGTCCATAAATTTTCTTCCATTACATGGCTGCACTGGAGTCTCTGAACCTACTCTAGCTTAGGAGGCTGCACAATTCGCAAATCATTCTTTGCTCAATTAAACTCTTTTAAATTTAACTCAACTAAAGTTTTCCTTTTAATACAAGTATCTTACTCCTCCATTAAACCTTCTATGTAGTCAAGCCTGGGCATTTACATGCCTATTATATTTTCAAAAATGTTATGTTATGAATTCCTTTTAAGGATAGTAAAAGGGTTGCTATAAAAAAATGTTAGTTATAGGATTTGTTGGCTCTGATAGGACTGAGAATCACTGACATGGTGAATTCAACGGCACATTTCTTTTTGTAGCTTAATTATCCTAACTTCTTTTGAGGCAGTAAAAATATTGGATGAATAAATCAACTGCTTTCTTAAAGGAACTGCTATTAAAGAATAAATCTTGTTGTATTTAATACTTGTCTATTTTTTTTCTTATGGCTAACAGATTGTTTTGACCAAATTGTATTATTTACATGGATGAAAGACAGAGACCATTGATTACCTAACCTACAGCCATTTTTTACTTTCCTTTTTGCTAACCGGAACCCAAATTTGAGTTCTAATGACTATTGCCTTCAGTGAAGCTGACTGTCTTGCTCTCAGCAAGACCCATGGGGGATGATGAATATATTAATGTAAATTTTTATTGAAGTGTAATGTATATGCAGCAGAGTGCAAATCATAAATGTATAGTTCTTTAGATTTTTCACAAAGTTAACACATTTTTATAAGTACCATTTCAACCAAGAAATAATTTTTTCCAGAAGCTAGGAAACCCACTCTTGCCCTCTTCCAGCCAACCCATATGTTCAGAGGGAGCCTGAATCTTGATTTGTCTAAATTACTCCAAGACCTATGCCAATTATTAATATAGAAATAATACTGTGTCACAATGATGGCCAATGAGATATGGGTGAAATCTGGTAGGGAATTTTGGACATGTTTTCTTCACTCTTAAAAACAGTACACAAGAAGACATGTGTCCTCTTCCTCCTGGCTTTTGGATATTGTCCCAGTGTGGGAGAATATGATGTTTAGTTCTATCACAAATATATTGTAGCTATGAGGGAACAGAACCTAAGGGCAAAAGTCAACAGAGTGAGGATGTTAGAACATAATTATGGAAAGAAGATGGGTGCATGATAATGTCTTTATTTTTCTGGAAATGTTCTATTTTAGATCTTCTTGTTACGTATTAGAATACATTTATGACACTTTTGGTTTGGTTACTTGCTACTTAAGTCCAAGGATATTTTAATGCCCTGTAAATTTTTAGTAAAATATTCACTTTCCATTAATTCTCTCCCACTAAATTCTGGGTGCTATGCCCACTGTCCCATTGAAACCACTCTCAACAATATCACTAGAACTAGAAATACCATTTGACCCAGCCATCCCATTACTGGGTATATACCCAAAGGACTATAAATCATGCTGCTATAAAGACACATGCACATGTATGTTTATTGCGGCACTATTCACAATAGCAAAGACTTGGAACCAACCCAAATGTCCAACAATGATAGACTGGATTAAGAAAATGTGGCTCCCCCTCCCCCTCCCCCTCCCTCTCCCTCTCCCTCTCCCTCTCTTTCCAGGTCTCCCTCTGATGCCGAGCGGAAGCTGGACTGTACTGCTGCCATCTCGGCTCACTGCAACCTCCCTGCCTGATTCTCCTGCCTCAGCCTGCCGACTGCCTGCGATTGCAGGCGCGCGCTGCCACGCCTGACTGGTTTTCGTATTTTTTTGGTGGAGACGGGGTTTCGCTGTGTTGGCCGGGCTGGTCTCCAGCTCCTAACCGCGAGTGATCCGCCAGCCTCGGCCTCCCGAGGTGCCGGGATTGCAGACGGAGTCTCGTTCACTCAGTGCTCAATGGTGCCCAGGCTGGAGTGCAGTGGTGTGATCTCGGCTCGCTACAACCTCCACCTCCCAGCCGCCTGCCTTGGCCTCCCAAAGTGCCGAGATTGCAGCCTCTGCCCGGCCGCCACCCCGTCTGGGAAGTGAGGAGCATCTCTGCCCGGCCACCATCCCATCGAGGAAGTGAGGAGCACCTCTTCCCGGCCGCCATCCCATCTAGGAAGTGAGGAGAGTCTCTGCCCGGCCACCCATCGTCTGAGATGTGGGGAGCGCCTCTGCCCCGCCGCCCCGTCTGGGATGTGAGGAGCGCCTCTGCCCGGCGGCAACCCCGTCTGGGAGGTGAGGAGCATCTCTGCCCGGCCGCCCCGTCTGAGAAGTGAGGAGACCCTCTGCCTGGCAACCGCCCCGTCTGAGAAGTGAGGAGCCCCTCCGCCCGGCAGCCGCCCCGTCTGAGAAGTGAGGAGCCCCTCCGCCCGGCAGCCACCCCGTCTGGGAAGTGAGGAGCGTCTCCGCCCGGCAGCCACCCCGTCCGAGAGGGAGGTGGGGGTCAGCCCCCGCCAGGCCAGCCACCCCGTCCGGGAGGTGAGGGGCGCCTCTGCCTGGCCGCCCCTACTGGGAAGTGAGGAGCCCCTCTGCCCGGCCAGCCGCCCCGTCCGGGAGGGAGGTAGGGGGGTCAGCCCCCCGCCCGGCCAGCCGCCCCATCCGGGAGGTGAGCGGTGCCTCTGCCCGGCCGCCCCTACTGGGAAGTGAGGAGCCCCTCTGCCCGGCCACCACCCCGTCTGGGAGGTGTACCCAACAGCTCATTGAGAATGGGCCATGATGACAATGGCGGTTTTGTGGAATAGAAAGGGGGGAAAGGTGGGGAAAAGATTGAGAAATCGGATGGTTGCCGTGTCTGTGTAGAAAGAAGTTGACATGGGAGACTTTAAAAAAAAAAAAAAAAGAAAATGTGGCACATATACACCATGGAATACTATGCAGCCATAAAAAATGATGAGTTCATGTCCTTTGTAGGGACATGGATGAAATTGGAAATCATCATTCTCAGTAAACTATTGCAAGAACAAAAAACCAAACACCGCATATTCTCACTCATAGGTGGGAATTGAACAATGAGAACACATGGACGCAGGAAGGGGAACATCACACTCTGGGGACTGTTGTGGGGTGGGGGGAGGGGGGAGGGATAGCTTTAGGAGATATACCTAATGCTAAATGACGAGTTAATGGGTGCAGTACACCAGCATGGCACATGTATACATATGTAACTAACCTGCACATTGTGCACATGTACCCTAAAACTTAAAGTATAATAATAATAAAATAAAAAAATATCACTAATGATTTCTTATTTGCTAAATTTCATAGACACTTTTTAATTCTTAAATTTCTTGACCTTTCCTACCTCTTTCTTATCTCTTGACTTTCACTCCTCTTCTTTTCCAAATGCCATGGGTTACTTTATAAAATACTTCAATTATTTCTTATCATCCCTATCTCTTTAAATAAAAAATAAATAACTAACGTGAGTTGGAATTTTCCTAAGCCACTTATCATTTTTTAACCTCTCACTATGTAATCATTCCCACTTCCATGGTTTTAACTGTCGCTGATAATATGACACCCAAGTCTTATATCTCTGCATCTAACTTCTCCAGTGACCTCCAAACTCTTAAAGTCGATGGTCTATTTCCTACATTCACTTGAATATTCATATGCACTTTAAAGTCAATTATCTGAAGTGGAACTTATTATTTTCTCAAGCCTATCTTTCCTTATGTATATCATTCCTCAGTCACTGGCCCCACCAATTACCCCTATCATTCAGGAGAAAGAATCAAAGTAATCCTTAGAACAAATCTAGCTTTTACTCCTCAATGCATCTAATAAATTAAAACTTTTTGTTAATTTCCCGCTAGATATTTCTCAAATCTCTCCTCTCCTTCTCATTCTCACTATAATACAATTAATTCACAATTTAATCATTTCTTTCATACTGTAAAAATTCTCCTAATCAATCTTCTTCCATCTAATTTCAACTCTTTGCAATTTCTCCTCCACATTATGGCCAGAGCATTCTTTAGACATTCAAAATCTGTAGGTCTAGAAATACTTGTTTTGTGAACCTGGGTGCTCCAATGTTGGGTGCATATTTATTTATAATAATTAAGTCTTCTTGTTGAATTAAACTCTTTATTTTTATGTAATTCTTTCTTTGTCCCTGTTCACTGGTTTTGTTTGTTTGTTTGTTTAAAGTCTATTTATCTAAGAATAGCCACCCTTGCTCTTTTTTTTTTTCCATTTGGGTTTATCTAACCCTTTACTTTGAGCCAAACAGTGTTGTCACATGTGACATGGGTCTCTTCAAGACAGCTGAAAGATGTGTCTTTTTTTATTCAACTTGCCACTCTGTGCCTTTTAAGTGGAGCACTTAGACCAGTTAACATTCAAAATTACTATTGATATGTGAGGTTTTGATCTTATTATGAGGTTGTTAGCTGATTGTTTTGTAGCTTCTATTGTGTATTTGCTTTATATGGTCAGTGGGCTATGTACTTCAGGGTGTTTTTGTGGTAGCAGGTATTGTTTTTTTGTTTCCATGCTTAGAACTCCCTTAAGGATACCTTGTAAGGCTAGTCTACTAATAACAAATTCCCTTAGTGATTGCTTGTTTGGAAAATGTTTTATTTCTAAAATGAAATTAGAAAAAACTATTCTAAAATTCATATGGATCCAAAAGAGAGCCTGAATATCCAGTGTAATCCTACACAAAAAGAATAAAGCTGGAGGCATTTACCCAATCTAAAACTATACTATATGAACTTACCCAGCTTTATACTATAAGGCTAGAGTAACCAAAATAGCATGATACTGGTACAAAAACAGATACATAAACCAATGGAACAGAATGGAGAACCCAGAAATAAAGCTACACACGTACAACCATCTGATCTTTGACAAAGTCAACAAAAACTAGCAATGGGAAAAGATCTCCCTATTCAATAAGTGATGCTAGGATAAGTGGCTAGCCATATGCAGAAGAATGAAACTGGACAGATATCATTCACCATAGACAAAAATCAACACAAGATGGATTAAAGATTTAAAGGTAAGCCCTCAAACTATAAAAATCCTAGACGCAAACCTAGGAAATATGATTCTGAACATGGGCATTGGGAAAGAATTTATGGCTAAGTCCTCAAAAGCAGTTGCAAAGGAATAAAAATTGACAAGTGGGATCTAAATAAACTAAAGAGCTTCTGCACAGGAAAACAAAACATCAACAAAGTGAACAGACAACCTACATAATGGGAGACAATATTCACAAACTATGCATCTGACAAATATCTAATATCCAGATCCTATGAGGAACTTAACCAATTCAATAAGGAAAAATGAAATGACCCCATTAAAAAGTAGGCAAAGAACATGAAAAGACACTTCTCAAAAGAAGTCATGCAACCAATAAAAATACTAACAAATGCTCAACATCAATACTCATCAGCAAAATGCAAATCAAAGCCACATTAAGATACCATCTCACACCAATCAGAGTATCTATTGTTAAAAAGTCAAAAGCAACAGATGCTGACAAGGCTGTGGAGAAAGGGGAATGCTTATACACTGTTGGTGGGAATGTAAATTAGTTCAGCCACTGTGGGAAACAATTTGGAAATTTCTCAAAAAACTTAAAACAGAACTACCATTTAGACCAGCAATCACATTACTGGATGCATACCCAAAGGACAATAAATCATTCTACCAAAAAGACACATGAACTTGTATGTTCACTTCAGCACTATTCACAATATCAAAGACATGGAATCAACCTAGGTGACCACCAACAATGAACTGGATAAAGAAAATGTGGTACATATTACACAGTGGAATACTATGCAGGCATATAAAAAGAACAAAATTATGTCCTTTGCAGCAGGCAGCGGTATGATTGCAGCTGGAGGACATTATCCTGAGCAAATTAATTCAGGAACAAAAAAACCAAATACCGTATGTTCTCACTTGTAAGTGGGAGCTAAACACTGGGCACACGTGGACATAAAGATGGGAAAAATAGACACTGGGGACTACTAGGGAGGAGAAATGGAAAGGGAGGCAAGGGCTGAAAAACTATTGAGTATTATGCTCACTACCTGGGTAATGGGATCATTCATACCCCAAACTCAGCATCACATGATATATCCATGTAACGAACCTGCACATGTACTCCCTGAGTCTAAAATAAAAGTTGAAATTTTAAATAAAGAAAATTCAACAAATCCATTTACTCCTTTTAAAAGTTTTAGTGGACTTAATTCCTCAAACTTCTCACTGAATAAGTAGTAAAAGCATATTAAGTGGTGCAAAATATTAACAACTATGAAATAGTGGCCAAAGTTCTAGCAGACAATAGGAGTAGTTTCTATTACAGAAAGTTAAAACAATGCCCTGAAATAATGATGGAAATTTAACTGATCTTAAGAAAATAAACCACCTTCTACCTCTCAGTCTTTCTAGGGAGGTCAGGGATATTTTATCAAACAACAACCATTCTCCATTATTATTTGCGTTGAACTCTAATTCTCAGATATGCTATGTGATCTTAGTAAAGGAGATAGGAAGTGGAGCTCTGTAACTTAGAATGTTAAATAAGCATAGGTGAATACTAAGCATAAAAGAGCTATGGGAATACTCTATCTTGAATGTTATAGTTATTAAGTTGTTTCTAACAAGTTGACACCTATAGACTGATCCAGAGTATTTATATGTGACCAAACACTATTTTTGAAGTTATAACAGTTTTTTTTTCTAGTATTTTATCCCTTTTCCTTTCATTACCTCCCCCCACCCAATTCAGGCCTATATTTATGGTTTCACTGCTTCAGGGAACAAGAGATAATTAAATTATTCAATAAATAAATGTGTGTGTGTATCATGCAGTGTTCTAGGTCCTGGAAATATAGCTATTAAAAAGAAGAAAAATTGGGAAAGAAGAATAAATACATTAATAGATAATAGAAATTCAGGCAATAAGTGCTATGGAAAAATAATAAAATGAGGTAAGGAGATGGAGAATGATAGTTATAACTCTAAATAGATGTGTTAGAGAAGATCTCCCTGAGGAAGTGATATTTAAGTGGAGATATGAATGAAGTGAGGGAGTGAACATGCAATTATCTGGGGAACCAGTTTTCTGGAAGAATGAATAACAAGTTTACTATGATTGCTTGACCACTGTGACCTTAACACATTTGGTTCAAAGGTTCCGTTATGGTCATCCAGAGGTGTTCCTTTCCTAATTCAACATCAGCCAGCCTCCCATCCAATGACTTTGAAAAGCTTAGCAGACACAGCTTGAAATCACCCTCCATAAGTTGGGACAATGAAATGGATTATTCCACATCTCATAATAAGAACACCAAGCAACAAATTTGGGAGATTCTTCCTCACTAAATTTACTCCTGTTTTGTACTTCGGGCTTGTTGCTTCTGTTTTCTGAAATTCTATAAAGCATGGACCATATATAAGAATAAATAAAACTGAGTTAGTTTGAAGTGAAAATGGAGCTGTTTAAGAGGAAGAAGTAACTTTTAAATGCTGGGTGAAATAAACAATCAGAAAAATGGTGAAGAAAGCTTTAAGATATTTCTGAAGGCAACAGAAAAGTTACATATAAAACACTTAGCATATAAATAACATCAATAAATCATATATCATTTATGGCATTAATTATTAAGTAATGATAGATTCAGGTATATTTAATCATGATTAATATTTACCATGAATACAAATAAAAACAAAATGCATATTTTCCAGAAAACAAAGGAATCAAATATAAATAAATATTTTCTACTAAAAAAGAAAATAGGTATGAAAGAAATCATAAAACATGATGATAAAATAAGAACAAACTTACTATTTCCAAAAATAATTTTAAAGTTAGTTGCTCTCTCTTAAAAAAAAAAGGCTCTGTGATTGGATTTAGAGATAAATTTATCTATAGGATATTACAAGATATATTTCTAAAGTTAATGAAATACGAAGATTAAAATTACATATTAGGAACAGATATATCAGCCAGATATGTTCACAAGAAAGGAGATTCAGACTATTAATATTTTATAAAATAAATTCGTGGTAAAAGGATGAATTGGGACAACTTTTTAACTTTTGGACAAATAATACAACACACAATGCAGCTATAATTGTCATCATAACCATAAGTGTTCATTCTTTAAATAACATTCTATAAAATATAAAAATAAAATGTTCTTTGAAATACAACTTAGCTGAGACTGCTTCAAAGGGGTAGTGAAGTAAGAAAGCAGCATTCAAATCTTTAGGCATATCCCAATGCTTCAGGGAAAGAACTGGTAAAAAGGATGTGTTCTTCCATTCTTTTTCACAAGTTACACAAAACCTAGAAAACTCTAAAGCTAAGGAAAAACAAGGTTTCAAGGAATAGATGACAGAGGACATATTCATCATTTCTCAGCCCATGAGAATACAGGTTTGGAAGCATCAACAGGAGCATTTATCTGAAAAGTCCTGCAGGAGATTTTCCACTGAGAGAAATATCTGGAAGTGGAGAAAGACTCGTCTAGAATATAGAATAAATAAACCTAAGCAATCTCATAACAGAAAGTAGAAGCACTAGCTAATGTGACACGGGACTAAAAATGCCCTGACAGGCTAATGAAGATGGAAAAATATAGAGAAAAGAAGAGAGTTTTTTTTTTTTTAAACGGGGAAAGCAAGGCAAGACTCTTTAGAATATTGCCATATCCCTTATTTCACAAAATGATGATATACTTCTTTGGATTACATATCACCATTAGTAACAAAAACCTAGAAAATAATGGTTTAACAAATGAGTAATTTTCTCACATGAGAATTCCTGCATTGGGTAATCCAAAGGTGATAAGGTGGCTCCACAAAGCCATTAGGACCCCAGGCTCCTTTTCCTATTCTCCTCTGACTTCCTTAGCATATAACCTCTATCCTTATAGTCATTGCAAGGTCATAAGATGGCTGCTTTACTTCCAGCTTCATGTCCAGGTATGGAAAAAAGGAGGAATCAACAAGGAAGAAGTAGTGGCATTTATATCAAGAATGCAAAACCCTTCCAGATGTCCTAGCAGAATTCCCCTCATGTCTCATCGCCCAAAACTACATCTTATGGTTATTTCTAGGTACAAGGGAGACTAGAAAATGTAGTAAATGTAATATTTTAGTTGGGCATGTTGCTTTCATGAACAAAATTGAGGTTCTATAAGTTAATAAGAAGGAATATCAATATTGGTTAGGCCAACAGCAGTTATCTACCTTAGATAATGATGTTAATTGTTACATTTTTATGCATTTATTTGTGGAGTTTTATTATAACTTTACCTGGTGAAATAAGAAGTTGGAAGCACACATTAGCCTATGACACTATTTTTTTTCTAATTTTACTGGTTCTTGAAACCTAAAAGTCTTAGAATCACTGATTTAATTACCTTTCTCAAGGTTATTTATACTATGTTATCAGAGTCAAGATTTTAACCCATATCTAACTCCAAAGCCCAAGGTCTTTCCAAGAAGTGAACTGCCTCTCATAGATTACTGAAAGTTAACTCAACTACTCCTCTTCCTGGAAAATTTTAATGTCCCTCCAAGCAGGTTGCTTACTCATCTGCCAATATATATCCCAAATTTGTTTGTTTGTTTGTTTGTTTGTTTGTTTGTTTTTCCACTGCACTGCTCAAATGAAATAACACAGCACAACACAAGTTCCACATTCAAGAAAGCAAATTATTTGAAAAGCTCAATAAGATAAATAGTCTCTTCTATAGCTGTTTAAATAAAATGGCATCTGATAATAAGTTACTGTTTTGACCTTTATTATATGTGTAAATACAGATCTGTGCCATGTGTTTGAAAAATCAAAAGGCTTAACTTTCATGGTTTTAGCATTGGGAGACATAGAATTTCTCTTCATGTTTGACACAAAGATATGTTTAATTTTTTGATTCTCTTTAAAAATAGAGTCACTTTTTCACTTTGAAACTGGCTAATAAATGGAATTGAGCTCAGGGAATCATCTCACTTTCTCTTTTGGCCACCAACCTGCTGTGCTAGCTGCCAGTACCTTTTCAATCTCTGTGTAAGTCAATTGTTTCCATTTGTAAAACAGGGAGAATTATAGTTAGGAAACAAAGAGAAGAACAGTGAAGCGTAGCATGAAAATTTCAGAGTTTTCAAATAAAAAAGCCAAAAAGGATATAAATAACCTATCTTTTCAAGGCAATTAAATAACTTTGAATTAAACATTTCTTAAACATAACATACTGCCTTAGGATATAAGCAGCCGTATATTTATCACACCCGAGCCGATATGCCACAGAAAATGTAACAGCTAAATTGATTTGATTTGGAACTCATCATTTGGTTCAGAAAAGAAAGAGAATGGAGTGCCTATTGTCTAAATCTTTGCTCTCTTACTCACTCTTTCACCCAATGCAATCAGTTAAGGGTTAAATACACCACCTGGAATTAAGGTGGCCAGTCAAATTCACAGGATATTGGATTTCCAGGGTACTTAACCATGACTACTCATGTTATAAAACAAACAAAAACATAACAAGGACATACTACTTGAGTAGTTATCAGGCAAATGAAGATATTAGTCACATTAGAGAGCAACATCATATCCTCAAAACCTGCACGGTGTTCAGTTATCAATATATCAAAATACAATTATGATTGGGGAGTAATCTTTCATGAGTTCACAGTTTACCATTAGATACCCATTTTGCTAATAGGAAAAACAAAAGCCAAAAAAGAAACTCACCAAAGTGTTCTCTGGAATTGAGGGTTGTGATTACTCACTTTCTGATCTTCCACAAACACCCCAATCTGTCTTGCTATGGCTCTTTTGCTTCAGCCACCAAAATTGAGCTCAGTCTAAAATGCAGTATCAACCAATTTATTTGACTTTCTGTAAATATCTATAGACTTAACTTCCTCCTCTTCTTTTTCTTTCTCCACCTGAATCAGTTTAATCTACAAAAAATAGTAGTAAAATTCTTAAGAGGATTCTCAAATGTTCATGAAACCTGAAGCTGTATTCTACAGTGCAGTTTTCTGCAGTATTCCATAATAACATCCACCATATTGTTGCATATTAACAGATCTTTTTCCATCATTTCTGCTGGGTCGTCAAAAAAGTAATAAACATTTCCTTGAAGTTATCTGCACTGCCAAAGACTTATTCTAAAGCAACAAAACAAGTCACCAAAAGTACAGTCGTCCTCTCTCATCAATGGCTTTGCTTTCCATGGTTTCAGTTAGCTACTGTCAGCAGAAGTAAAAAAATATTAAATAGAAAACTCCAGAAATAAATAATGTATAAATTTTAAATTGTGCTTTTTTTCTGAGTAGGGTAATGAAATCCCTGGCTGTTTCATTCTGTCCTGCACAGGATATGAATTATTTCTTTGTCCAGAGTACCCACCACTGTCTATGCTAACTGCTTTACTGGTCATCAAAATAGTCATGGCTTGATGATCCAGGATTACCTGAAGCAGATAATTCTCCTGACGTATTGTCAGTTCAACAGTAGCCTAATGCTACGTCACAATACCTTCATCATTCACCTCACTTCTTCTCATCACCTAGGCATTTTATCATGTTACATCATCACAAGAAAGGTGAGTACAACACATAAGATATTGAGAGAGGGAAAGGGAGAGACCACCTAACTTTTATTACAGTATATTTCTATAATTGTTCTAATTTATTAGTCATTGTTTATCTCTTACTGTGCCTAATTTATAAATTAAATTTTATCATAGATATGTATGTGTAGGAAAAAAGAAAACTTAGTATGCATATGGTTCAGTACGATATATACTAAGAAATCCAAGGTTTCAGGTACCCACTGGTAGCCTTGGAATATATTTCTTGTGGGTAAAGAGAAACTACTGTGTAAGTTTAGAACTTTTAAATCTTTTACATGAATACATTATAGAAGGTATAATATTTCAAGCACTGTGTGACCCTTTTTCATTTCTCAAGTTGTGAAGAATTCCATTCCTGGCATACTTCTTTAATATAATCAAACCATAGTTGAAATTCCTGTGGAAATAGTTTCCACCTTCTATATCTAGCGGTTTTGTTTTATTGTCTTTTCCTGCTGTACATCCAACAACATCAGTCCAAGATCCAGAGGCAGCCACCAGCTTCTTAGTGCTTGCTCAGATTGTGTAAATTTTTTTTTAGTTTCTTAATCGATAAATAATATTTGTACATATTTATGGTATACAAGTGTACAGTGTGTAATGATCACATCAGGGTATTTAGGCTACACATCACCTCAAATATTTATAGTTTTCTGTGTTTGAAACATTTTATATCTTCTCTTCTGGCTATTTGAATGTATTAAAACAAAAATGAAAAATGGTTGCTAAAAGAGTAGATTTTAAATGTTATTATTACAAAAAAGATAAGTACGTGAGGTGATAGATATGTCAATTAGCTCAATACAGTCATCCCATGATGTATACATATATCAAAACATCTCACTGTACCCCACAACTATATACAATTATTACTTGCCAATTAAAGATAAAAACTAAAACAAGCAACCCAAACTCCTTGTCAGAATACGAAAAATTACAAATGTCTATGGTCCATCCCCACCAGAAAACAATAAGGGAAAAGTATGTGATACTGTAAAATCCCAGACTTCTACATACAATATTTATTCCCAGATGGCACAACTCAGTGCCCCAGTTGAACTGCCAATGTGAGGATTCCCTTTACCACATTCCTCTTGCTATGAGAGATTAATATAAGCACTATATTGTTTTGGCTGGGCCCATTTTGTCTTCTGTCATCTTTCTGAAAACTGTTTAGTGGCTAGGGTGGGGGACACTGCTAGCTCTGTTTTAGAATATAGTTTGAAGCAGATTTATCCAGATAATGTGCCAGAGATCACAGAAAGCACAAGAGCTACCACGAATTTAAAACAATGTGATAGGCACTTCTCTTTTATCACCTAAGGTGTCTCCATCTATCCTCTAAAGTTGGGAGGGTGCCTGTTCTCTAATCAGGATATTGTTTAGGGGCAGATACACTCATCACCCTCCAGTTTACCATGATGCTGTTTCTGATACTGTCGGATGACGATGCCAGAGAGGGATCAAGGTATAGGTTGGAACAGTAGGCTATTTTGCTCATTTTTCTAAATACACACAAACTTGATTTAAGAAAAAAGTAAGGTTATATTCAAACATACAGAGAAAGGGTGGTGAAAATGTGAGAATCATATATTTGGTCTAGCTTACACTTCCCATTTTACCATGCAAAAATGCTTGCGATCTTATTGCCTGTATATTCAGTGTATCACTCATGGCCACTCCCTCCTTCCTTATGTTATCCTTTCTTCTTTCTTCCTGCAGTTCCTGCTTTGATAAATGTCTTTCCTGAAGAAGTCCTTTCTCCTACCTTTTCCCATTAAAATATGCTACTTCGTCTTCAAGAAACAAATTCAAAGTATCCTCACATGCTTTATAAAAGGCACATATTCAGGTACTACATTGTTGTCTCCTCAACACATTTCCTGCCACCAGCTAAAAGAAGAGGGTGAACCTTGGTAGAAATGTCAGGCCTCACATTTCAAATTGCAATTTGCATTTCCTTAAATATCTAAAAACTTAGACACATTTCACATTGTGAAGATTAGTTTTCTGCCAAAATCCTTCAATAGATCTGCATAAGAGGCATAATCTCTGATTAGCTTAACTTCAATCTTATAATGTCAGAGACACATTTTTCTCTTTCATGACGGGGTTGCATTACAAAGCCATCTTCCATTATCTTGGTCTTGAAAGACACTGAGCCCATCTGATCTTCCCTAATTTCTGGATGTTTTTTCCCCACTGGAGATTATGAATGTGTCCTAGTATTAACAGAAAGCTGCAAACTCCTTGTCAAGTATGATTCTTTTTAACCCAGCAAAGCCTTCCATGGTGTTCCACCACTCCTGTTTATATTCCTTGCATTCCAAAAAACTTGATAGCTTTTATTATCTCAAATGTTACCTTTGCCTTTTTGTTTTTCCTACTTTGCTCATGCCATGCTGTCTGCTATTCTTTGTATTTCCTTCTCTGTCCAAAAATCTTACCTACTCTTCAAGTTCCGCCTTTCAAACTATTTTTTCATGAAGACTTCCCTGATCAGCACAATTACCAATCATCTTTATCTACTAAGCTTCAGTAGCACTTTATAATCATCTTATATCATCTTTATTGTAGCAGTTTAGTATAACAAACTTGGATTTCAGATTAAGAATTAATTAGAATTAGATTCTAACTCATATTTTCTAGCTGTGTGAAATTGGACAAGACATTTAACTTCTATGAGCCTTAGCTTTCACATTTGTAAAATTTGGGGAAACAAGATTATTATTAAACTTATGTAAGATTGTATGCAAAAGACATTTAGCAAACTGGTTGTCACACAGTAGATATTCAATAAATATAATTTACCTTCCCATTTTGAAATTCTGTTTGGAGTATTTTGTTATATATTAAAATACTTGAGATTGTTGTTTAGTGACTTCCTATATACTCACTTTCTCCCTCCCAACTTGATTGTAATCTCAAGGTTAAAAAACATTTATTTCGTTTTTCTCTACATTGAATCTAATATTGTATTACACACACAATAGACACTTAAGAAATGCTTATTAATGTTATGCATTCCAGAACTCATCTGGTACATATATTCAAAACCATTGAATGTGTACTTCAAATGGGTGAAATTTATGGTGTGCAAATTATACCTCAAATCTCTTTAAAAATAAAAAGAACTCATTCTACACTACTATATGATCCAGCAATGAGAAAAGATCTTGAGATTAATAAATTTTGGGGGTAGACATTTATATTATTTACCAATATTTAGTTCTCTAGTTCTCGTCTACTTCTAGGTATGTGATGTTAAAGAAAAATGATATTAGACATACTTGTTAAAATGGTTAGGTCGAGTTCATTCAGGGGAATTACTACAATGGGGCTTTAGAATAGGAGAGAGAGATTGGACTCAACTCCAAATACAACAAAGAAAAGTTAGGGATTTATGGTCAAGGAGCACAGGAGTTTGGGTGGTGGTGGATGGAAAATTACATACTAAGAGTGTAGGGTAAATCTTTGTTAAACTGACCTAACAAGATTCTTGCTGAAGGCAGGCCACAGTGATCAGATATCACCTGGGGCTGGTGCAGGATAAGAAAGCCAATCAGATATCAAAGTCTATAAGATATTAACGTTGAGGAATTCAGAGTAAACCAATTTCACCATATTCTTGCTAAAATCTGGTGATGCAAAGATGAGCATGAATATCTGAATGTCGAGGTCTAGTCTGGAAGATAATTCAGAAGAACCTGACTAGAATTTGGTCAAAGATACACTCTTTATCAGTGAGAAGATTTTATTTTCCTGCTCCCTTAAAGGAAGGCATAGATATTTGACTGTCCTTGGCTAATGAAATATGATTGGAACTGGCATATCACTTCAGTCTGGAAATATTTAATTCCTGGTTATGATCTCTTTAGTGCTTCTTTCCCTACCAAGGCAGTTGAGGAAGAAGTCTCATGTAGATATAACAGTAGAAAAGATTAAAGTAGCCAGAATTACTAAGTAGGAAGGATAGCTGCCCTGAAGAGTCACACATACCTGCAGTAGATTTTGATTAAGCTGGAAATCAATATTTGTCACAATAAGCTTCATTTAGCAGAATTCTAAACTGGCTCCTAGTAGCCTTGCTCTCTAGTGTACATCGTCTGTCTAATCATATCTCTTGGAGTGTGAAAGGACCCATGACTATGATGGCATAGTCACTTCCATGGTTAGTTACTTTATATGGCAAAGGTGATGGGATAGTTACATTTTTTACATTAGACAGACTCCTCTGTAGCAGACTAAGTGAGACTTTCCTGCTGGCATTGAAGAAATAAGCTGCCATATTGTAAGACAGCCACATGGTATGACCTGAGGACAACATGTAGGAATTCAGAGTGACTAACTGGCAGCCAGCAAGAAAACTGAGACCTCAGTCCACAACTTCTAGGAACTGAATTCTTTCAATAATTTGAAAGAGCTTGGAAAGGAACCTCAAGCCTAAGATGAGATCACAGACCCAGCTGACAGTTGGATTTCAACCTGGTGATACCCTGAGTAAAGAAACTAGGTACACTGTGTCAGGACCTATGACTCATATGAACTTACTCATAGAAACTGTCAGATAATAAATAGGAATCGTTTAAGTTGCCAAGAATTTTTGTTATGCAGCAATAGAAAACTAATATATAAGCCAGTTAGATCCTTGTGTTACTTGTTTTGCATAGCCTAGCCTACGCTGACTGATGTAGCATCCTAAGCACATACTTTTATGAGCCATCTCATAAGAAGGGAATAAAAAAAGACCCTTTCTTAATGGCTAGCCCTACATTTGTAAATGAAGGTACACTGCTGAATTATAAAGACTATGTGTATTTCCATCCTAATTATTTGCTTTGCATTTTACTGCACTGTAACAATGGAACAATCACAAAAATAATCTATAAGGAATATGCTGAGTGGAATGATTTTTCATCAGTAAAGCAGAAGACCATTCTTAAAGTACTAAAAGTATATTGAGTATTTTTGCATTTACACATTGAAACAAAATGGTATCATTGGGTTTTCTCTTTAAGTTAGCAGGGCTAGTACTATTGCATTTTGACTCCCGGGCTTGATCTTAATTTTATGCCATATAAATTCTGTAATAAAGTTCTTTTCTAATACGTAAACACATAATCTTTCATTCAGTGACCAATGACTCTGAAGCACCAACAACATGAAATATTGAGATGAAAAATTTACTGAATTTATAATTTCTACAAATAAAGTACACTAGAATATCATTACAGTATAGCTTAATTATTATAAAAATTTATATAAGTTAGGGGACAAATTGGTCAAAATAGTGGAAACTGTATCACAGCACTATGTAAGAGGTAAAATCTGCACTATGAAGTATTATTCCACTACATGGCTAGGCTTACTCATTGGAGAATGGTGCACTGCTTCATGATAAGATTAATAGTCTCCCAGAAGTCTTCTCACTCCAATGATGCACCTCGCTCACCTGTCCCAGATGCCCATATCTACTATTAGAGATGAATTTACTTAGATACATATTCCTTGTCCTTTGCTATTTAGCAACTATCTCTAGGAGTGATATCATTTTAATTTTCATTATACATTTATATTTTGAGTATAGATGCTCTATCATGCCCTTTCAAGAAAACATTATTTTGATAGGAAAATAAGTAGAGATTCTCGATTCCTGAAGGAAAGTGCCAAGATGTTGTAGAGATGGGTTGAGAGAAGCATCAGAAGGAAACTGCTGGGCGCAGTGGCTCATGCCTGTAATCCTAGCACTTTGGGAGGCTGAGGTGGGTGGATCACTTGAGGTCAGGAGTTCAAAACCAGCCTGACCAAAATGGTGAAACTCCCATCTCTACTAAAAATACAAACAAATTAGACAGGTGTAGAGACGGGTGCCTGTAATCTCAGTTACTCAGGAGGCTGAGGAGAATTACTTGAACCCAGGAGGCAGAGGTTGCAGTGAGCTGAAATTTTGCCACTGCACTACAGCTTGTGTGACAGAGCATGAGAGTCTGTCAAAAAAAAAAAAAAAGTCAGAAAAGAGAAGCCATGGTTTCCAGGAAAACTGCACTAATTTTAAGTTTTTTCTATGTTTGGCACAATTCCACTGCATTTCAAAATTTACTTTTTAAGGTTAGGTTAGTTATGAAAAATAGAAATGAGTAGTGGAAGTATGTTTCAAAATTGCACAAACCCAGAGTGGTTAACTACTTTCCATGGATGAATTTTTAGTATCACTAAAACTCCTGAAATTGTATGCAAATGTTTTGCAGTTAGGTGCATTTTGCTGGGGGCGGGGGAGATAATCTATAGCTTTCAACCGATTATCAAATAGGTTCATGACCAAAAAAATCATAAGAACCACTGGCACATAGAATGAAAATGTTTCTTATATAAGCAGCTAAAGCCTGCAACAGCACAAGTAGCACTTTGCCTATCAGTGAAGCTACCCATGTTACAGAGAGCCCATTGCTTATCTAGCGCAAGCCAGTATCTTAACCTGTTACTGGCTGCCATTTTCTACTTACGCCATTAGTTGAAAACAAAGACAGAACGAAAAGGGAGCTAAGAAAGAGCTTCTTTTCCATTCTACAAAAGGTTTCATAATGTAAAATAAATGTTTCTCTAATGAAGGATCAGTAACTTGGACAAATGCTGACTTTCACCAGATAAATATATGCATATCACCAAAAGAAAAAAGGGAAAATATTTACATACATAAATTACAGAGGAAGACAAAATGAAATTTATCTCAGTGATCTTATTTTTTTTAAATCCATTACATAAAAACAATTGTGATACGGAACAATGTCATATTCCACCAAAAATAATGAATGTCAGTTGCATTTTTAAAACTCATGTCTTTAACACACCAGAAGAGCTCATTAAAGGAAAATAAAAATATTTTAGTTAAAAATAATGCGCGTGAAAAAATAATTCAAAACATAATAACAACTTTAAAATACACACTATTTCTTCATTTGTATTTTTAGTAAAATTCAAAGTAACAGTCACCGAAATAAGATAGAAGACTATTTCCTTATTTTGTAAACTAAGTCTGAAGGTTAGTAATTCAGACTTAGTTAGGATACTTCTACATTTTCAAGGACCTAGGCTCTTTCTATCTGATTTTTCTGTCATCTGTGACTTCCACCCCCAAGTCATCTAGATCTGTAGCCATTACATTTACATTCTCTCCCACAGAAAGGAGGGAACGCTGAAGAAAAGCATTTATCTCCCCTCCTTGTTTAAAGACATCTCTCAGAAGTCACCTGTTACGGATTCAATTATGTGTCCTCAAAATTCCAGTACCTCAGAATGTGACCTCACTTGGAAACAGGATCATTGCAAATGTAATTAGTCAATACGAGATTGTTAGGGTGGGCCCTAAACCAATATTGCTGGTGTTTACATAAAAATGGGAAATGTGGACACAAGCAGATGTGCACACAGGGAGAACACAGCCATCTATAAGCCAAGGAGAAAGGCTTGGTACAGATCGTTCTCTTGCAGCTTTCAGAATGAACCAACCCTTCTGAAACCTTGACTATGGATCTCTCGCCTCCAGAATTGTAAAACAATAAATTTCTACTGTTAAAACCATACAGTTTGTGGTACTTTGTTAAGGCAGCCCTAAAATATTAATATATCATACAAAAACTTTTCTTCTTACATCACACAAGCTAGATAATACTCAATTCCATGGGCAAATCTAGCTTCAATAAAGCTAAGAATATAAGTCTTTTTTTCTGAACAGCCATCTGTTCAGCTAATGTTTTCCACAAAATGAAAAGTGTCTCCAGCCCTCACCACAGTTCCTCTCTCTCGTGTATAAGCACAGTATACTATTTCTTTTGTAGACTTCCAGATATTTTATGGTTTTTTCGCACATAGTTTGGAAGTATTCCAAGTGATTCACCATGCACTCACCACTCCTGCTTTCAACACGATTGATCAAAACCAACTTCATATTATACAGTAGAGTTAAAACCTATGCACTTCTGGGGCTAGTAGAGTTCAATGATCATTTAGCATATAAGGTATTTAGCACAACTTCTGGCATATAATATGTTTTAAATATAAGTTAGTAGCTTCTATAAAACAGGCAGCTTTACATGCCTATACTTTTTTATCATCTGATTTAAACTGCATTTTCTCTGTAAAGTGTACATGTCCTCTTCTAGACCAAATTAATCACTTTTCTTTTCTCACTGAACTTATACATAACTCTATCAAAAACACTAAAATGGACTAACACTTGAGGACTGTTGATATGGTTTGGCTTTGTGTCCTCACCCAAATCTCATCTTGATTTGTACTCCCATCATTCCTACATGTTGTGGGAGAAACGTGGTGGGAGATAATTTGAATCACGGGGGTGGTTTCCCCCATACTGTTCTCGTGGTAGTGATTAAGTCTCATGAGATCTGATGGTTTTATCAGGGGTTTCCGCTTTTGCATCTTCCTCATTTTCTCTTGCTGCTGCCATGTAAGAAACGCCTTTTGCCTCCTGCCTTGACTCTGAGGCCTCCCCAGCCATGTCGAACTGTAAGTCCAATTAAACCTCTTTTTCTTCCCAGTCTTGGGTATTTCTCTATCTGCAGCATGAAAATGGACTAATACAACTATTTAAGTTTATAAAGACTTTATACATTATCTCAGCTAAGGCTTATATTCCCAACTCCTGGATACAGATGAGAGAAACTAACACTTAGCTCACTGGTAAGCATGATGAAGCTGAGATTTGAATACAACCCTTTTTATGAAAATTCTATGCCAATTCACTAAATATTATTTATTGTAATTCTCACAGTGGTAGGCAGAATTTTGGCCACCATGACCTCTACTCCCTGGTGTTACTCTCCTGGATGTGTTAAGTTACATGGCAAAAGAGATTTTGCAGATAGAATTATTTTTACTAACTAGCTGACCTTAGAATAGGCAGATTATCCTGGATTATCAGGGTGGGTCCACTATATTGACATTAGCTCTTAAAAACAAAAGAGAAAGGCAGACATGGAGGTCATAGAGATCCCAAGCATGAGAAGGGCTCAACACATCATTGTTGGTTTAAAGATAGAAAGGGCCACATGAGTAGGAATACAGGCATGTTCTAGTAGCAGCGAGTAGCTCCCAGGCAGCCAGCCAGCAAAGAAACAGATACCTCATTTCTACAGCCTCAAGGAAATGAATTCTGCCAACAACTTGAAGCAGCTTGAAGGCAGATCTTTCTCACAGCTTCCAGCTAAAAGCTTCGCCAGGCCTGCCACCTTGACTTTGTCCTTGTGAGACCCTAAGCAAAAAACTCAGCTGAGCCCTATTGTGCATGGACTTCTAACTCATGGAAACTATGAGAAAACTGATGCATGTTGTTTTAAGTTGCCAAATATGTGGCAATTTGTTATGGCAGCAATAAATAAATAATTCATCAATTTACTTGTCTGTGGCCTGAACTAAATTATGGGTTGCTAAAGAGCTGCTATTCATTTTAACCAACCCACCCCAACCGAACCACCGCATACAGCCTATATTCATAATTGTCAGTAGTAGTAGTCAATAAATTACTGACTAGTGTTTATTGAGCATTTTTGTGTCAGATATTATCACATGTAAGAATACACTTAATTTGCACATTATGAAGTAGGTGGACTGCTAGTCCTATTTTATAGAGGAGGAAACAGGTTTAAGTATCACAGACAAAGTCAAACAGCTAGTAAATAGCAGTGTCAGATTTTGAATCCAGGTGGTCTGGTTCCAGAGTCTGTTCAACACTAAGAACCACTATGCTATATGGTCCATTGAATAAACACTCACTGAATGTATATTAAATTGTTTGTGGAACATCATAGGAAGTACTTCCTGTTTTAGGAGGAAAAACAGGTATTTAAAGAAAAGGTCTGTTTTGGCAATTGTTTTAACAGAGTTTCTCAAATTTGCTCCAGTCTCTTTACCTAGATATTTGCATTCAGTAGGTTTGGTATGTGGCCAGGAAATCTGCCTTTTTCAAAGCCCCAGGTGATTTTTATGCTAGGGTCAGGCTGGGAAACACTGGCATATATCATCCAAGTGTTGATTTAGTAAATAATTGAAAACTTTGGTTTTAATAATATTCTAAACAAGTTAACAAAGTAAATAAGTCACATAGTAAAGTCCAAGGCATTATTTCTCCTTTTAGGTTCCTCCAAAATAGGATAAAATGTTATGGAAGCTCTGAATTTTAAAGGACGGCTGTTTGTGAGAAGAGCCACCGCAGCCCAATTAATTTAAGTATCAGATTCAGGAATACATTGGAGACTTGAAAACTTTTCATATTTTTAAAATGCAAGCTTTTCCGGCCTTTTGAATTAAAAAATAGATCAGGATAAAAGTATAAGTATTTAAACTCAGTTCTCTCTATATTTATTTTAATCAGTATCGGCAATTTACGTGACTTGTTATTAAAGTAAAGGGGCCTTTTAAACAGTGCTAAGGTATATTTATGTATGTTTTACACGGAATATTTTATCACAAGCTTTGAATGAATTGTTTTATTGTACTGAATTTATCATAACAAGTTATTTATTACATGTTCTCTTATTCGTGTTGTTATCCTGCTCAGTGAAAAATAATTTATATTTTCATGACATTTACTTGTTGATAGTAGTTTTTATAACCTCGAATTTTGGTTCTACTATTCATTTTTATCCATGAGGATTTGTGATTTAAAGATTTTACAACAGTCTCCTGAGTTTTATGCATAGTGAATCATGATACTGGAAAACTTTCTCCTGTGTATGAGGTCAATAGTAGAATGTTATTATTATATTTTACAATTAAGTATAAGCGATAAAAAGTTTAGCCAAATTTTAATTTAGTAAGGAATACTGTATACCTAACCATTTGCATAGAAATTATATTTTCATTGTTTCATATTTATACCAAAGACAGATACCCAGTATTCAGATGAAAAGTTATGACAGATTATTCTTGATAATCCATTTTGTTCCTATTTGTTATTTAATTTTGTTCCTATTTATTTGGTTACATATCATAAAACAAATGCAATTGTCCAAACTGAGAAAATCCAACTGGAATGCTCTAGTTATGGGAGAACTTATATTCATAATTATAGGCTGAAAGATACGTACCATACTGAAGTGTTTCTGTGACCAACAAGGAAAGATTAAATTATGCCTAGCACATAGTTTGTATTCAATCTATTTTATTTGTATTCTAATTCTATGAGTAATATTATATATATTGTTTATAATAAATATCCACTAAATAGGCTATTAAATTCCTCAAAATACTTCATTTCTTTACATTGTTGGATAACAATTTGTCATACTACATCTTTAGACATTCTTTTACTTGTTTTTTTTAAATTAAGGCTCGTTATTAGTTGCAGCTGTCAGATGTTCATTCTGAAAGGTGTAGCAGAGAAGTTGAGGAATCTTGAAGTGCCTTGACAAGCCCTGATGAGCCTCGTTATTTCTGCAAGATGGGTGCAGAGAAGAGGGAAAGGATGCCAATTCAGTAGGTAAGGGACTCCAGTTTCCCCTCCGGACTTTTCCCAAACTAAAAATGCCATCAATTAGTGCTCCATTTATGTTAAACGATCTATTGTTATAAAAGGCAGACAAACTTATGAGGTTTAATTTTTATGCTTTTTCTTTTTCATTCCTTTATGCTTATCTGTTGTTACTGAGCTGCTAAGGAATGTTTGCTATCACATGAGAACTTACAACGTAGAATTCTATATTTGGCTATCTCTAGCTGCTCCCTTTTCACTGCTGAATCTATCAACTTTTGCTAATATACCTTACCTTAGCTGTATCTTCAAATATGCTATAGTATGAGCTGTTATAAAGCAGTTAACAAAAATCACTAAATCAGCAAATGTACTTTTAAAAATAAAGCTAAGTCAGTTGGTTGCCTCATTATGACTTGAGAGAGGTACTTTGGATGAAGCTTCTGAGCATTTTCACTGCTCAGTGGAATGTTTTGTTTATTTTGATTCTGTGAAACTCATAGCTGAAATGTGAAAACTGATGAATGGAAGTATTAACTATACTAATTATGTTTGGGCTATCAGGATAATAAGTCAACCACACAATCTTAATATTGGAGATTTTATGCCATTTTGATTTTCCACAGATATAAAAATATATATTCCATCACCGCTTCCACCACTGACAGTACAAAGCCAAATATAATAATAGGCTACTATTGTTTTCAGAGTATAACGGTAAACAATGCTGAAGGTATAACCCATACATAAAACAGTATGTTTGTATATTGCACAATAATAGTAATAACCTAAGTCATGAATCAGCATCAATATGTAAGTTTTTACTCTCTCTTCCTTGATTATGGGTTTTTTGATGATGTAAATGCTATCATGTTCAATTTTCCATCCTTTCATCCCCAACCTTATGCAGTGCATTTTCTCTAATATACTAGGCACCAATTAATATTTTCTGAATAAATGACAATCCAGATTATCCACAACTTTTCCAATAATATAGCTATGTTATCAGTAATAGAGCTATTTAGAAAATTATACTGTCTTTGAAGACAGAGGCCTTGTCTAATTCATCTCTATATTTTTCTTATCTCCTCACATAGTTCAGTGAACAAGAATGCATCAATAAAACAATTTTTAATTTAACTGAATAGAACTAAGTGAGTAGAGAAAGGGACTAATGTGACTAAGACCATGCAGTTTGAATTCACACATAGTATATTCATAGGCTGTTTCTCTAAACCTAATTTATGTCAACCCTCGTAAATGTGTGCTATTGATCTTAAAATGAATGTACCAGAAAAATGTTCATAATTTAAAGTAGTGTTTGTCAATCTGCACTTGGAAAAACCTGGGGTTACACAGAGTGTCCTCAAGGAGAAAAATAAAAGTGGAAAGTGGGATTTCTTGACCCCTTCTGAAATGATTGGCTTTTTATAGCTAAACATATTATACTTCTAAGTTTTCATGTCTATAAAGTGCTCCTGGGATTTAAAAAATTGAAAACCACTTGTCTAGAGCAACCTATCCTTATTATTGAATAAACAACAGGAATTGAAGCCCTCCCAAGAATAACAGAATAAACTAGAGTTTGCCATTTAAGGGTAAGTGCATAGAAACTCAAAAGGGGACTTCTCTTTGATTTTTTTGGTCCTTTCACTATGGTAAAAAATTCATTTCACTTTCACCAGACGAATATGGAAAGTAAAAATGTGGATTTCTTACGGATTTTTAAAACAGTCCTAAAAAGTACATCCTATTAAAGTATTGAAACTTTAGGAGCTAGAACTATCATGCCAAAAACATTTGGATCAATAAGATTGAGGTCATAATTAGTGCTCTATCATATTATGTAAATGATATTAAAATTAAAGACTATTTGATTCCACCAAACAAATATGTTTTTCTGTTACATTGAGAATCTCAATGAGTAAGAAGATCAAAACAGCAAATTTTTCTCAAAGATGAAAATCAACTTAAAGAAAAAAAAGTAAACTTTTCTAATATATTTTCTTGATATCTATTGGAGTTAATATATAATACTTGAAAGTGTTTATTTTTTCCACGGATAGTAATACATCAGAAAGAAATGAGCAGTCTTTGGTAAAGCATCTTATTATTGCAAAAGGTATTAAATGGTGTTCTCTGGAGCTCTTGTGCTACTGTCTTAACAAGGTCATTAATGGTCACACATGGATATTGAGCAATTGAAATATGGCTTGTCCAAACTGACACATGCTATAATTCAAAATATACATTATATTTTGAAGATTTAGCACCAAAATGTAAGCATATAATGACTAAATTTTATAGTGATTAAATATTAAAATGACAATATTTTAGATAATCAGGTTAATTAAATCACTAATATTAACTGCACTTATTTTTTCTTAATTTTTAATGTGGCTACTAGAAAATTTACAATCACATGCACAACTAACACTTTTGGCTCACATTACTTTTTTTTCTTTTCTTTTTTTTTTTTTTTTTGGAGACAGGGTCTCTCTCTGTAGCCCAGGCTGGAGTGCAGTGCATGATCTTGGCTCACTGCAGCCTCAAACGTCTGGGCTCAAGCCATCCTCCTGTCTCGGCCTCCCGAGTAGCTGGGACCACAGGCTAATGGGAGTGGGTGTGGGTGCCATCACGCCCAGCTAATTTTTTTTTTTTTTTTTTTTTTTTTTTTTGCAGAGATAAGGTCTCCCTATGTTGCCCAGGCTGGTCTCCAACTCCTAGGCTCAAACCATCCTCCTGCCTTGGCCTCCCAAAGTGGTGGGATTATAGGCATGAGCCACCATGCCCAACCTCACATTACATTTTCATGGGAGAATGAGTGTTGCTCTAAAGGTTCCTTCAAAGTAGGGGATAAGTTGTTAAGAGAAGACCAAAAGGCAAGTGTTTGAGTTGTGCTCTCATGTTTCAACCAGGGCAGCTCTGATTTAATTTGTTCCATATAATTGACTTCTGCTCAAGAATTTGATAAAACAAGATTGCTAAGAAAATAAAGCCTTAATATTAATTGCTTCAAATTTTGTATATTTATAAGCAAGATAAACTAAATAAACATTTCTTATAAATCACTTATGGTCCTCTCCTTTTTTTTTCTGAGACCTCTAAGATCTGATTAAATGACCACACATCCTGATTTGCCTGGAAGAGTTTATAAACATGTTGTCTCATTTTAATAATTAACATTGTCCCCTGTCACTGTCACAAGTGTTCCATTTGGGCTATAGGTTATATGATCACTCTAGTTCTGACCAACTTTTCACAAGTACAACCTCAGAGTCCCTAGTATTCTTCCCTCAGAACATGTCTCTTGCCTCCGGCCCAAGGGTTTTCTGTTGACACGGCCATAAATGAGATCAGTGCCCTTGCCCATATGGGAGCAACCTAGAAATATAGAAGAAATAAAGCCAAATGAGTCAACCTTTGAGCAACGGAAGATAGGAGTCAGGGAAGAAATTATTTCTTCTGTTTTCTCCCACATCTTTCCTTTCTTGGGACCGATTATAAATAGTATGTATAACATGGAGGATGGGAGTGTAAGTAATCAGTTCCAAGCATCAGGCATTCAGTCACATTTAGCAGTGGCCAGCTCAATAACACATCTTCATATTAACTCTTTCTCTATTCCTGATTTTCTCTTCTTGTCCCTCATCCTTGCTCCTTGCGATAGGACTCCCTAACAAAACAATAGCACAGATGCCCTCTGCAGGGGGTTTACTTTCTGTTGAATACAGGCCAAAATAATACCTTAACATAGAAAGCTTAAATATGTCAGGCTCTGCCAGATTACTTGTATCAATAACCATCATAATAATATCTTTTCAGGTAAAGCTACTTGTACCCCACTGAAAGCTAATCAATATGGAACCAATCTTTAATTTAAGTAAGGGAGATTTAGGGAACTCTATTTAAGCATGAATCATCATGTGATCCTATCCTAAATCAAGCATATTTTTTTCATAACTTGGCTTTTGCCTTTAGAATATCTTTAAGATACAGTCATCACCGTATACCTCATTTCTAGGAACCAGCTATGTTGTCACGCACCTTTTGCTTATGCTCCAGATTATCCATCAGAACAAATGCTTATACCAATTATTTTGTATTCTGTGTGCAGATCAATTTTTAGGTCCTGTCATTTTTCTTCTGAAATTTTCAGCTCATCCCATTTCAATCTATGTCATAAGAAATAGCAAATAATCTGTTCCAAGACCACAAATGAGAAAAATCAAGGCATGATCACAAGTAAAATCCATTCTCCTGGGTCCAAGCTCATTGCTCTTTCTACTTAAAATAGCTAGGAAATACCACATATACAAATGCAGAACTAAATTTTCAGTAAATCACTGTGGTGTGAAGCTACTGAGGGTATCAAAACACAAAATGTATATATCTAAAGAAATTTAAAAGAAAAAATCTCTATTAGTAAGTAATTTGACTGTGAATGGAAAAATAAACAGTAGCCTCCACTGTTCAATGTGTTCTTTCAGCCAAGAAATGCTAAACTTTCAAAGTTTTTGACATAAAATTCTTTCAGACCATGGGGTTATCCAACTTTAGTGTACATAATACACATTTGCAGGTTCTGGTAAAATGCAGATTTTCCAAATTTCATTCAACACAGATCCAGATTCCATAGGTCTTAGATAAGGCCCAGAAATCTGCAGTAACACTGAATACAAAAATATCAACTCTGACACAAAAATATCTATAAAACTACATGTGGGCTTGAGGGGAATATAAATTAAAATAACACCAAAAGTAGGCTGAAACTTAGCCCAATTTTAGAATTTGGAAGTCCATTTCACAAACAATGAAGTCTACGGAGCTGAATTAAGAATGTAATTGATAGCCCATATATACTTTGACATTTGAAAGGGAACAAATCTATCAGGTGGAAAGAAGGTAGAAAATATGTTACGACTTCTCTCAGAGTCCATACAAACAGAAAACTGGGCAACATTTTTTCTACTACCGATATAATAGAGATACTGATTTTTAGAAGAGCCACAATTACTGTACTCCCCATACCCACCATCAATATATACCCCAACTATAGCTGTTTGGAGACTTTGACTCCCCAAAAATGACTAGGTAAGAAATATGGTGAAGTTGTCTCTGGTGAGCTTTTTTTATGTGTAGGAGTCAGGATAATTAAGGAAGGAAGTGTATTTCCATAATAAAAGCCTGCAGCTCAGGGCAGAGTTGGAAAGACCACAAATAGCATATTAAGCTGGATTGTAATTGTGTGTGTGTGTGCACTGGCACATGTGCATATGCAAAATTCACTGGTTTGGGACAGTGATTCTTAAACTTTATTGTATATCAGAATCACCTGGGGGGCTTGTTAAGCCACAGATGGCCATACGATTTCTAATTTAGTAGGTCTGAGGTGGAGACTGATAATTGGCATTTCTAACAAGTCTACAAGTGATGCTGATACTATATGTTCAGAGCCACACTTTGAATATCATTAGTTTATAATGCCAAAGTGTCATGAAATTGGAAATAATCTTAATTGAGAAAAGCAAAAATCCACAAAATGAAAGCATGTTAGTCACTAAAAGTTAGATTAGGCTCTACACCATTCTACTTCCAGTAAGACATCTGAGAAGTGATTCCACCTGTCCTGAGATGGAAAGGGCAACCCATACGTGCTGCCTGGAGTCAAACACTGTGTTTGGGTAATCTTTCCTGACACTAACACTGAAAAAATAGTAAAAAGTCAATTTGGAAATTATTAAAAAATAATTTAGGTCGTATAAAATGTTACATCATTCGAGTTGCAGAAAAGCATACCTCTGAAAAAGAAACCAGAAAAAATGTTAGAAAATTGTTTGGTGTCATCAACAGGTTAATATGGTACATAAGAATGAGCTATAAAGAATCACAAGGGAGCATAAGAATGTAATTTTTTAAAGGGCTGCAGAGACAAGTATATAGATGTAAAAAATGCTGGACAAAATAAAGAAGTGTTTTAGAAAATTACAGTTGCAATAGCAGAATTAAAAACTACATAGCAGAGAATAACAGGCTTCCACTGTATGCTGTAGCACCTAAAATATTCTACTGGTTAAAGAATGAATATGCAGACAATGGAAATAGATTAGAAGCAGATACAGTATAGTCAAATACTGACATCTGATAAAGGTACCATTTCCAACCAGAGAGTAAAAGATATATTATTCAACAAATGCAATTGGTTAACTATTGGAAGAAAAATTAGCTCATTTTCTCACATCATATGCCAAAATAAATTCCTCACTTAAGAAAATGAAAAAATTAAACTACACAAAGAGAAAGAAATATAAGTGAAAGATTTGATCTTGGTGTGGAGGAAGTTGTTCCAGGTATGGTAGCAAAGGGATAGGTAATTGCTCAAAGATAAGAATGAAGCAATAGTTTTGAATACACTTACATGTTAAAAATAAAACTTCTGCATGTGAAAATACACAATAGAAAGGAAAAAAATGTAAACCATTAAATTGGATCAAAACTTTCAATATACTTTAATATCCACTATGTCTAAAATGCCTATATATTAATATAAAAATGGAAAAACTCTATATAAAACTGATATTCAAAAAATGCAAACAGATAATGCATATAAAAATGTATTTACTCTTAAAGGGATTTTAATTTAATTTATTATTATTATTATTCTCATTTTTGAGACAGAGTCTTGCTCTGTTTCCCATGCTGGAGTGTATTTGTGCAATCTCAACTCACTGCAACCTCTGCCTCCAGGGATTCAAGTGATACTCATGCCTCAGCCTCTTAAGTAGCTGGGATTACAGGTGCCTGCTACCATGCCCAGCTAATTTTTGTATTTTTAGTAGAGATGTGTTTCACCATTTTGGCCCAGCTGGTTTCAAAATCCTGGCCTCAAGTGATCCACCCACCTCTGCCTCCCAAAATGCTGGGGTTACAGGCATGAGGCATCACGCCCGACCTTAAAGGGAATTTTACAGTAAAATTAAAACAAAAGTACAATATCAGTTTTTGACTGTCAACTAGTCAAGGATTAAAAACACCACCAATAATAATAATAATGATAATAATACTCAGATCTGGAAGTAGTAAAGGGAAAAGCCAATACAATGCTTATAAGAATATAAATTAGCATTACCTTCCTGGAGAAAAATTTGAAAATATACATCAAGGGCCTTAAAAGTTTTCATAATTGTGGCTCAGTATTTTCAATTCTAGAAATTTATTCTAAGTAAATAATGAACTGGGCAAAAAGATTTATGTATCAACAGAGTAATAAATAACAGTATTATTTATAATAGTAAAAGTGAAAAAATTCCCTTAATGTTAAAGCAATAGTAAACTACTTAAAAGAATTGTGGTTTCCTGAAGCACTATAATAATAAATAGTCATATAAAATATATAGAAAAATATTTGATGAAAAAACATGTTTATTTAGTAGTCTTAAATGAAAAGAACAAGTTACAATATTTTCTTTAAAATATGTTTATATATCTATATATGTTTGTTGATTTGGTGGGCTGTGTTTTTAGTTTGTTTGTTCATTTTGCATGGTCTTTAGATCAACTGCAAAAAGATTTTTAAAAATGTATGATTATGGAGCAGCACTGAAGATAGCCAATTAGAAGCAGCTGCAGTCCACAGCACTCACAGAGAGGAATGAAAAGGGGCAAGTGAATTCAGCACCTTCAACTGAAATATCTAGGTTCTTGTATTGGGAACAACTAGGCTATCAACTGGACCCACAGAAAACAAAGAAAAGCAGGATGGGGCGACAGCTGACCAAGGAGCAGCATGGAGCCAAAGGACTCCCCACCTCTAGCTAAGGGAAGCAGTGAGTTATTGTGCAACCCTGCCCAGGAAACCATTCTTCACCCAGGGTTCTTTGCAACTTGGGATCCGGAGATCCCCTCCTGAGCCCAGGCAACCAGGGCCTTGGGTCTGAAGCACAGAGCTGTGTGGAGTCTCAGAAGAGCAGCTGCTCAGGCACACACAGAGACCCAGAAGTTTTACATACTCTGGCCCCAGGATTCCCAGCAAGGTGGCAGATCCATCCATAGATTCCCCGAAGAAGGGGGCTGAATTCAGGGAGGGCCAAAAAGCATCATTCTGTGCGTCCCACTTCCACAGCACCTCACAAGACCTACTGGCTTGAAATTCCAGCCAGCCAACAGCAACAGACTGAGCCTGCTAGAGACAGGAGAGAGCTGGGGGAGCAGGGCGACGTGGGTGGGTAGGTGGGGAGGGAGGGGCAGCCGCTGCCATTTTTGCAGTTCAGTCAACTCAGCCTTCCAGCCAGGCTGGCTCCAGAGAGTCCAGGCGGCCCCATGAGGAGAGGTTCCAAGCAATGGAGCACACCTGCTTTGCCAGATCATGCCCAAAATGTATTTACTCTTAAAGGAAATTTTATTTTATTTTTTATTATTTTATTTCTTCATCTTTCTTTCTTTATTTCTTCTCCCCACTTCTTTAAGCAGGACCTCTTTCCATTCCTCCTCTTTGGACAGAAGGCCTTTAGTGACTCCAGCCATGCCTATATGGACAGAACTCTGACCTCTTCCAGGGATAGAACACCCAGGGGGAGGAGCAGCTGCCGTCACTGTGGTTAGTGGACTCAGCTCTTCCAGCCTGCTGGCTCTGGAGAGTATGGGAGCCCTGGACAAGGAAGGGTCCCCCCCAGTGCAGCACACCTTCTCTGCCAAAAGCAGCCAGACTGCTTCTGTAAGTGGGTCCCTAATCCCGTTCCTCCTGACTGGGTGAGACCTCCCAACAGGGGTCTCTGGACACCTCAAACAGGAGCATTCAGGTCAGCAACAGGTCAGTAATCCCCTGGGATGGAATGTCCAGAGGAAAGAGTTGGCTGCCATCATTGCTGTTTTGCAGCCCTCACTGGTGATACCTTCAGGTATGGGAAAAACTGAGGCAACTAAGGTCTGTAGTGTATCCCAAGAAAACTGCAGTAGCCTTATGGTTGCTAACCATCAGTGGCCTGACTGTAAAAGAAAAACAAACAGAAAACAACAACAAAAAGACACCATAAAAGCCCCATTCAAATGTGAGCAACCTCAAAGATAAAAGGTAAATAAGCCCACAAAGATGAGAAAAAAAAATGCAAAAACACTGAAGACTCCAAAAGCCAGAATGCCTCTTCTCCTCCAAATGACTGCTAAAGCTCTCCAGCTAAGGCACAGAACTGGGCTGAGGCTGAGATGGCTGAATTCACAGATGTAGGCTCCAGAAGGTGGGTAATAAAGAACTTCACTGAACTAAAGGAGCATGTTGTAACCCAGTGCAAAGAAGCTAAGAATCATGATAAAAAAAAAAAAAAACACAGGAGCAGATATCCAGAATAGCCAGTTTAGAGAGGAACATAACCAACTTATGGAGCTGAAAATCACAACACAAGAACTTCACAGTGTAATCACAAGTATCAATAGCAGAATAGACCAAATGGAGGGAGAATCTCAGAGCTTAAAGACTATCTTTCTGAAATAAGACCGGCAGACAAGAATAGAGAAAAAAGAATAAAAACAAATGAAAAAAACAAACCTCCAAGAAATATGGGATTATGTAAAAAGATCGAACTTATGACTGAGTGGGGTACCTGAAAAAGGCAGGGAGAATGGAACCAAGTTGGAAAATATACTTCAGGATATCATCCAGGAGAACTTTCCCAACCTAGCAAAAAAGACCAACACTCAAATTCAGGAAATACAGAGAACCCCAGGAAGACAGTCTTATACAAGAAGATAAACCCCAAGACACAAAGTTATCAGATTCTCCAAGGTCGAAATGAAAGAAAAAACTTCTAAGGGCAGCCAGAGAGAAAGGCCAAGTCACCTACAAAGGGAAGCCCAACAGACTAACAGTGGACCTCTTAGCAAAAACCCTAAAAGAAGAGACTGGGGACCAACATTCAACATTCATAAAGAAAAGAATTTCCAACCCAGAATTTCATATCCAGCCAAACTAAGCTTCATAGGTGAAGGAGAACTAAGATCCTTGTCAAACAAGCAAATGCTAAGGGAATACATCACCAGCTGGCCTGCCTTTTAAGACTTCATGAAGGAAGTACTAAATATGGAAAGGAAAAACTGTTACCAGCCACTGCAAAAACGAAATTAAGTACATAGACCAGTGACACTATCAAGCAACCACGTAAACAATATGCAAAATAACCAGCTAGCATCATAATGACAGGATCAAATTCACACATAACAATACTAACCTTAAATGTAAATGGTCTAAATACCCCATTAAAAGACACAGACTGGCAAGCTGGATAAAGAGCCAAGACCCATCCATATACTGTCTTCAAGAGACCCATCTCACATGCAAAGACACACATAGGCTCAAAATAAAGGGATGGAGGAAAATTTACCAAGCAAATGGAAAACAGAAAAAAAAAAGAGGGAATTGCAATCCTAGTTTCTGACAAAACAGACTTTAAACCAACACAGATCAAAAAAGACAAAGAAGAGCATTACATAATGGTAAAGGGTTCAATTCAACAAGAAGAGCTAACTATCCTGAATATATATGCACCCAATACAGGAAAACCCAGATTCATAAAGCAAGTTCTTAGAGATCTATGAGGAGACTTAGAATCCCACACAATAATAGTGGGAGACTTTAACACCACACTGTCAATGTTAGACAGATCATCAAGACAGAACATTAACAAAGATATTCAGGGTCTGTACTCAGCTCTGAATCAAGTGAAACTGATAGATGTCTACCGAACTCTCTACCCCCAAACAACACAATATCCATTCTTCTCATTGCCACATGGAGTGTACTCTAAAATTGATCACATAATTGGAAATGAAACACTCCTCAGCAAATGCGAAAGAAGTGAAGTTATAATAAACAGTCTCTCAGACCACAGTGCAATCAAATTAGAACTGAGCATCAAGAAACTCACTCAAGCTCTCCCTCTCCCTCTCCCTCTCCCTTTCCCTCTCCCTCGTCTCCCTCTCCCCACGGTCTCTCTCTCCCTCTCTTTCCACGGTCTCCCTCTGATGCCGAGCCGATGCTGGACTGTACTGCCGCCATCTCTGCTCACTGCAACCTCCCTGCCTGATTCTCCTGCCTGAACCTGCCGAGTGCCTGCAATTGCAGGCACGCGCCACCACGCCTGACTGGTTTTCATATTTTTTTGGTGGAGACGGGGTTTCGCTGTGTTGGCCGGGCTGGTCTCCAGCTCCTAACCGGGAGTGATCTGCCAGCCTCGGCGTCCCGAGGTGCCGGGATTGCAGATGGAGTCTCGTTCACTCAGTGCTCAATGTTGCCCAGGCTGGAGTGCAGTGGCGTGATCTCGGCTGGCTACAACCTCCACCTCCCAGCCGCCTGCCTTGGACTCCCAAAGTGCCGAGATTGCAGCCAATGCCCGGCCGCCACCCCGTCTGGGAAGTGAGGAGCGTCTCTGCCTGGCTGCCCATCGTCTGGGATGTGAGGAGCCCCTCTGCCCGGCTGCCCAGTCTGGGAAGTGAGGAGCACCTCTTCCCGGCTGCCATCCCATCTAGGAAGTGAGGAGCGTCTCTGCCCGGCCGCCCATCATCTGAGATGTGGGGAGCACCTCTGCCCCGCCGCCCCGTCTGGGATGTGAGGAGCGCCTCTGCCCGGCTGCGACCCCGTCTGGGAGGTGAGGAGCGTCCCTGCCCGGCCGCCCCATCTGAGAAGTGAGGAGCCCCTCCGCCCGACAGCCGCCCCGTCTGGGAAGTGAGGAGCGTCTCCACCCGGCAGCCGCCCCATCTCAGAAGTGCGGAGCCCCTCCGGCCGGCAGCCGCCCCGTCTGGGAAGTGAGGAGCCCCTCCGCCCGGCAGCCGCCCCGTCTGGGAAGTGAGGAGCATCTCCGCCCGGCAGCCGCCCCGTCCGGGAGGTGGGGGGGCAGCCCCCGCCCGGCCAGCCACCCCGTCTGGGAGGGAGGTGGGGGGTCAGCCCCCAGCCGGCCAGCCGCCCCGTCCGGGAGGGAGGTGGGGGGTCAGCCCCCGCCCGGCCAGCCGCCCCGTCCAGGAGGGAGGTGGGGGGTCAGCCCCCGCCTGGCCAGCCGCCCCATCCAGGAGGTGGGGGGTGCCTCCGCCCGGCCGCCGCCCCGTCTGGGAGGTGGGGGGCGCCTCTGCCTGGCCGCCCCTTCTGGAAAGTGAGGAGCCCCTCTGCCCAGCCGCCACCCCGTCTGGGAGGTGTACCCAACAGCTCATTGAGAATGGGTCATGATGACGATGGCGGTTTTGTCGAATAGAAAAGGGGGAAATGTGGGGAAAAGATAGAGAAATCAAATTGTTGCTGTGTCTGTGTAGAAAGAAGTAGACATAGGAGACTCCATTTTGTTCTGTACTAAGAAAAATTCTTCTGCCTTGGGATGCTGTTGATCTATGACCTTACCCCCAACCCAGTGCTCTCTGAAACATGTGCTGTGTCCACTCAGGGTTAAATGGATTAAGGGCGGTGCAAGATGTGCTTTGTTAAACAGATGCTTGAAGGCAGCATGCTCCTTAAGAGTCATCACCACTCACTAATCTCAAGTACCCAGGGACACAAACACTGCGGAAGGCCCCAGGGTCCTCTGCCTAGGAAAACCAGAGACCTTTGTTCACTTGTTTATCTGCTGACCTTCCCTCCACTATTGTCCTATGACCCTGCCAAATCCCCCTCTGCCAGAAACACCCAAGAATGAGCAATAAAAAAAAAAAAGAAAAAGAAACTCACTCAAAACCACACAGCTACATGGAAATTGAACAACCTGCACCTGAATGACTCCTGGGTAAATAATGAAATTAAAGCAGAAGTCAAGAAGTTATTTGAAACTAATGATAACAAAGAGACAATGTCCAAGAATGTCTGGGATGCAGCTAAAGCAGTGTTAAGAGGGAAATTTATAGCAGTAAATGCCCACATCAAGAAGCTAGAAAGATCTCAAGTTAGCAACCTAACATCACAACTAAAAGAACTAGAGAACAAAGAGCAAACAAACCCCAAAGCTAGCAGAAGACAAGAAATAACCAAGATCAGAGCAGAACTGAAGGATATAGAGACACAAAAAGCCCTTCAAAAAATCAATCAATCCAGGAGCTGGATTTTGGAAAAAATTAATAAAAAAGATCACTAGCTAGACTAATAAAGAAGAAAAGAGAGAAGAATCAAATAAACACAATCATAAATGATAAGGGGGATATCACCACTGACCCCACAGAAATACAAACAACCATTAGAGAATACTATAAACACTTCTATGCACATAAACTAGAAAGTCTAGGAAAAAATTGATAAATTCATGGACACATACACCCTCCCATGACTGAACCAGGAAGAAGTTGAATCCCTGAATAGACCAATAATGAATTCTGAAATTGAAGCAGTAATAAATAGCCTACCAACCCAAAAAAGCCCAGGGCCAGATGGATGTATAGCTGAATTCTACCAGAGGTGCAAAGAAGAGCTACTGGTATTTCTACTGAAACTATTCCAAACAATTGAAAAGGAGGGCCTCCTCCCTAACTCATTTTATGAGGCAAACATCATCCTGATACCCAAACCTGACAGAGATACAATAAAAGAAAAAAGAAAACTTCAGGCCAATATCCCCGATGCACATTGATGTAAAAATCCTAAAAAATACTGGCAAACCAAATCTAGCAGCAAATCAAAAAGCTTATCCAGCACAATTAAGCTGGCTTCATCACTGGGATGCAAGGTTGGCTCAACATATGCAAATCAATTAATGGGATTCATCACATAAACAGAAGTAAAAACAAAAACCATATGATTAACTCAATCAATGCAGAAAAAGCCTTAAATAAATTCAACATCCCTTCATGTTAAAAGCTCTCAATAAATTAGGTATTGAAGCAACACAACTCAAAATAATAAGGGTCATCTATGACAAACCCACAGCCAATATACTGAATGGGCAAAAGTGGGAAGCATTCCCCTTGAAAACTGGCAAGAGACAAAGATGCCCTCTCCCATCACTCCTATTAAACATAGTATTGGAAATTCTGGCCAGGGCCAACAGTCAAGAGAAAGAAATAAAGGGTATTCAAATAAGAAAATTGGATGTAAAATTATCTTTGTTTGCAAATGACATGATCCTATATTTAGAAAATCCCATTGCCTCAGCCCAAAAGCTTTTTAAGCTAATAAGCAACTTGAGAAAAGTCTCAGGATACAAAATCAATGTGCAAAAATCGCTGGCATTCCTATAGACCAACAACAGACAAGCAGAGAGCCAAGTCAAGAATGAACTCCCATTCAAGATTGCTACAAAAATAATTAGATACCTAGGAATACAGCTAACAAAGGACATGAAGGACTTCTTCAAGGAGAGCTATAAACCACTGCTCAAAGAAATCAGAGAGGACACAAACAAATGGAAAAACATTCCATGTTCATGGATAGGAAAAACTGATATTGCAAAAATAACCATATTGCCCAAAGTAATTTATACATTCAATGCTATTCCCATTAAACTACCATTAACATTCTTCACAGAATTAGAAAAAAAGCCAATGTGGAATTCATGTAGAACCAAAAAGGAGCATGAATAGCCAAGACAATCCTAAGCAGAAAGAACAAAGCTGGAGACATCATGCTATCCAATTTCTAACTATACTACAAGGCTACAGTAACCAAAACAGCATGATACTGGTACCAAAACAGACACATAGACAAATGGAACCGAATAGAGAAGTCAGAAATAAGATTGCATGTCTACAACCATCTGATCTTCAATAAACCTGACAAAAACAAGCAATGAGGAAAGGATTTCCTATTTAATAAGTGGTGGTTGGAGTGCTGGCTAGCCATATGCAGAAAATTGAAGTTGGACTGCTTCCTTACACCTCCTACAAAAATTAACTCAAGATGGATTAAAGACTTTAATGTAAAACCCAAAACTATAAAAACCCTAGATGAAAAATCTAGGCAATACAATTGAGGACATAGGCACAGGCAAAGATTTCATGAGGAAAATGCCAAAAACAATTGCAATAAAAGCCAAACTTGACAAATGGGGTCTCATTAAACTAAAGAGCTTCTGCACAGCAAAGGAAGCTATCATCAGAGTGAGCAGACAACCTGAATAATGGGAGAAAGTTTTTGTAAACCTATCCATCTGTAAAAGGTCTAATATCCAGTCTACCAGAAACTTAAATTTACAAGAAAAAAGCAAACAACCCCATTAAAAGTTGGGTAAAGAACATGAATAGACACCTCTCAAAAAAATACATACATGTGGCCAACAAACATGAAAAAAAGCTCAACATCACTGATCATTAGAAAAATGCAAATCAAAACCACAATTAGATACCATCTCATGCCAGTCAGAATGGCGATTATTAAAAAGTCAAAGTCAAAATTAACAGATGCTGGTGAGATTGTGTAGAAAAAGGAAGGCTTTTACACTGTTGGGAGTGTAAATTAGTTCAACCGTTGTGGAAGACAGTGTGGCAATTTCTCAAAGGCAGAAATACCATTTGACTTGGCAATCTCATTACTGGGTATATACTGAAAGAATATAAATCATTCTATTATAAAGATACATGCTTGCATATGTTCATTGCAGCACTATTCACAATAGCAAAGATATTGTATCAAGCCAAATGCCCATAAATAATAGACTGGATAAAGAAAATGTGGTACATATATATAATGGAATACTATGCAGCCATAAAAAAGAACAAGATCATGTCCTTTGCAGGGACATTGATGGAGTCAGAAGCCATTATCATTAGCAAACTAAAAGGAACAGAAATCAAAACACCACATGTTTTCTCTTATAAATCAAGCTGAACAATGAGAACACATGGACACATTCGTGGGGAACAACATACACTGGAGCCTGTCAGGGGTGGGAGTAGTGGGAGGGAGGGCATCAGGAAGAATAGGTAATGGACGCTGGGCTTAATACCTAGGTGATAGGATGGTCTGTGCAGCAAACCACCATGGCACACATTTACCTATGTAACAAACCTGCACATCCTGTACATGTACCCCTGAACTTAAAATAAAAGTTGAGGATTAAAAAATGCATGATTACAGAGTATTTATAAAAATAATTTTCATTTGCAGATTGCCAGTTTTGTTGGTTGTAGAGAGAGTGAGCTTATCAAAGACATCTGGAAATCCATTTCAATTGAAATATAGCCTCCTTCTATCCCCCTCATTCCTAATCCCTTTGAAAATTACTACTCTAGTGTGCTATGCCAGTATTACTGGCGGGCCTAAGCCATATCCTTTAGTGTGTTGAAGATTAGGAGAAAACATGTTTGTAATCAATGAATTAGAAAATTAAGACAAGAGGAACAGTGCATATCAAAAGTTATAAGATGTGGTTAAAAAATGTTCTTGGGAAAAATGTTCTTGGAAGTAACCTGCAAATACTTTAATTACTTACTAAGGAAAATGAAAATTAATAAGCTAAGCATTCAACTAAATTAGCAAAGTGAACAAAAAATCCAAATACAAAAGGAAAAGCAAGTGAAAGGAACAATTAAGACAAAAGTAGAAACCAATGTGAGGATCAATTGCACTGCTAAATATAAGTTATTTTTTGAAAAAAAAAAGAAAATAAAACATCTTCTCTAAACACAGGCATACCTCAGAGATATTGTAGGCTTGGTTCCAGACAATAAAGCAAGTCACTTGAATTTTTTGGTTTCCCAGTGAATATAAAAGTTATTGTTACACTATACTATAGTTTATTAAGTGTGAAATGGCATTATGTCTAATATAGCAACGTACCTACTTTAATTAAAAATAATTTATTGCTAAATAATGGTAACAACCATTTGAGATTTTAGCTAGTCATCAACCTTTCACAGATAAAATGTCTTGCTTCCATGCTGCTGGCTCCTAACTGGGCAGTCAGTTGGTTGTTGAAGTTTACAGTGTCTGTGGCAATTTCTTAAAATAAGACAACAATGAAGAATGCCACATTGACTGACTCTTCCTTCCACCAAAGATTTTCCTGTAGCATGAGATGCGGTTTGATGGCATTTTACCCACAGTAGAAATTCTTTCAAAACTGGAATCAATTTCCTCAAACTCTGTCATTGCTTCATCAACTAGGTTTATGGAATATTCTAAACCTTGTGTTGTTATTTCAACAATGTTCAGAACATCATCAACAGGAGTAGATGCTATCTCAAGTAACCACTTTCTTTGCTCATCTGTAAGAAGCAATTCCTCATCTGTTTAAGTTTTATCATGAGATTGCAGCAATGTGGTCACATCTTCAGGCCCCACTTCTAATCCTATTTCTTTTTCTGTTTCCACCCCATCTGCAGTAACCTCCACTGAAGTCTTGAACCCCTCAAAGTCATTCATGAGGGTTGGAATCAACTTCCTCCAAATGCTTATTAAAATGGTGATATTTTGACCTCCTTCCATGAATCACAGGTATCCTTAATGGCATCTGAAATAACAAATTATTTCCAAATGGTTTTCAATTTACCTGTCTCAGATCTATCAGAGGAATCACTATGGCAGCTATAGCCTTACAATATGAATTTTTTAAATCAAAAGACTTGAAAGTAGAGATTACTGCTTGATCCATGGGCTGCAAAATGGATGTTGTTAGCAGGCATGAAAAGAATATTCATCTCCTATTACACCTCCATAAGGGTTCTTAAGAGACTAGGTGCCTTGCCAATGAGCAGTAATATTTTGAAAGAAATCTTTTTTTTTTTTTCTTAGCATTAGGTCTCAACAGTGGGCTTAAAAATATCCAGTAAACCATGCTGTAAATAGATATGCTGTATCCAGGCTTTGCTATTCCATTTACAGAGCACAGGCATAATAGATTTAGCATATTCTTAAGGGCCATAGAATTTTCAAAATGGTAAATGAGCATTGGCTTCAACTGGAAGTCATCAGCTGCAAGAGCAAATAAGGGAGTAAGCTTGTTCTTTGAAGTTTTGAAGTCAGGCATTAACTTCTCTCTAGTTATGAAACTTATAGATGGCATCTTCTTACAATAGAAGGTTGTTTAGTTCACATAGAAAATCTGTTGTTTAGGGTAGCAACCTTCATCAATGATCGTAGCTAGATCTTCTGTCTAAATTGCTGCATCTTCTACATAACTACTTGCTGCTTCATCTTGCACTTTTTTGTTGTTCTTGTTACGGGATGGCTTTTTTTTACTTAAACCTCATGAACCAACCTCTGCTAGCTTCAAACTTTCCTTCTGCAGCTTCCCCACCTCTCTCGGCCTTCATAGAATTAAAAAGAGTTAGGGCCTTGCTCTGGATTTGGGAATGTTGTGGCTGGTTTGATCTTCTATCCAGACCACAAAAACTCTCTCCACATCAACAATAAGGCTGTTTTGTTTTCTTGTCATTAATCTGTTAACTGGAATACCACATTTAGTTTCCATCAAGAATGTTTTCCTTGCATTCACAGCTTCGTTATGTATTTCACATTGGAGGAATGGCTTTCAGCCTCTCTCAGCCATTGACATGCCTTCCTCACTAAGCTTAATCATTTCCAGCTTTTGATTCAAAATGAGAGATTCATAACTTTCTCCTACTTGAACCATTAGAGGCCATTGTAGGTTTATTAAATGACCTAATTTCAATAGTATTGTGTCTCAAGAAATAAGGAAGCCCAAAGAGAGAGAGACAGGAGATGAGATGAGAGAATGGCCAGTGGGAACAATGAGAAGACACAAAATTCATCAATTGAGTTTACTGTGCCAAATGGTTAGAATTCATGGTTTCCCAAAAAATTTACAATAGTAATATCAAAGATCACTGATCAGTGATCACCATAACAGATATAACAATAATGAAAAAGTTTGACATATTGCAAGAATTACCAAAATGTGACACACAGAGACAAAATGAGCATATGCTATTTAAAAAATGGCACTGATAGCCTTCCTGGACACAGGATTGCCACAAACCCTCAATTTGTAAAAAAAAAATGCAATTATCTACAGAATGCAATAAAGTGAAGCACAGTAAAAGGAGGTATACCTGTATAACAAAGAAATAGAAAAACCCTACAAATACGCAATAGCAAAATGACAAAATTTATCTAAGTAAATGTCAGGATGACTTAAGAGTAAGCAAGGCATTAATATACTACCTAGAGGTCTAATACCAAGCCATATGGTGACCTCAATATATGCTGAGAAGACAATTCAATACAATTTAGCATGTGTTTTTGATTTAATTATGTTCTTAGTAAAGTATGAATAGAAGGATATAGTCTTACTTTGATAGTTTTTATTTATATCTCCAAATCCAGTGCTCTTCCCAGTGGCTATCATTATTTTACCAAAAAAGTAGCAGGGTGTTGCACAGAGGAAATAATATATAATGAAAACATAAAATTTTCCTGGTGAGTGTGGTTGGGATTTTCAAGTATCCATTCTAATTCTAAAAGATTGCTCTATGTTAGTTGGGGTAATCCCATTTTCCTCACGAATGTTTGATTTAAAAATGGACATGCAACTCAACTGTATCCAGTAAAATATAAGGGAAATTATGTTGGGACACTTGCATAAAAAGTGTGCTCCCTCCTAAGAAAGAGACTTGAGATATTACAATCGTTTTCTCTTCTAGCTATTTCAGTGTCTGGATGTGACCGTCTGAACTGCTGTAGTCACACAGTAGTTATGAAGCCAAGTTCAATGGCTATACCAGAAAGATTGGTCTTTGAGTTATTGTTGCACCATGGCTGGATCCTGCCTGCCCTAGTTGTCATTTTTCATGTATGTAAGATAAAAAGTAAACTAATTATTTAAACCAGTTGGAGCTGAATTTTTTTTATCACTTGCTTTCTAAATGATACATCTGTGATAAACTAAATGCCAAAACTATACTTAATAATGAAACAAGAAACAAATTCCCATTAAAACCAGCTTTCCTATATACTAGCAATAGAGATGTCCTCTATCACTACTATTATTTGACATGATTTTAGGAAGTTCTAGCTAAAAATTGAAAGACAACTTTTGGATATTAGGTAACAAGTACGTAATTTTTTACAGATGAAATAATTGTAGGAATTGAAAACCAACATGATAATTAATAAATATGGAATTGTGGTTGCTCTAACATGGGGCCAGAAAGAACTGATAAATTTATAAAAATTATTATAATTAATGCATGCCAACAATAAGCAATTAGAAGCCATAATGGAGAAAAAGTACCATTACTAATAACAAAAATATTAAATTCAGTTTTAAAACCCTACTATGAAATGTGTGGAAGTATATAAAAGGCAAACATAAAAACATGTATAAAATATTAAAGAATAATTTTAATAGCACTTTCCCCATAACTTCTGTAGAGAAATACTTTCTTAATAGTTGATCAGGTGCATGGACTTTATTAGAGAAAAATGCTGGAAATTGGAGCTTTAGGTAAAATGAATAAACAGATTACAAGCTCAAGCTTCTGTATAGCATGTTTTATATTACATTATTTTTTATTTAGATTCCTATTTTCTTGTTTTTCTTTATTTCTTCTAAAAAATAGAAAAAGGGGATACATGTGCAGAACGTGCATGTTTGTTACATAGGCATACGTGTGCCATGGTGGTTTGCTGCACCTATTGACCTATCCTCCAAGTTCCTTCCCTTCACCCCGCACCTCCCAACAGGCCCTGGTGTGTGCTGTTCCCCTTTCTGGGTCCATGTGTTCTCAATGTTCAACTCCCACTTATAAGTGAGAACATGTGGTGTTTGGTTTTCTGTTCCTGCGTTAGTTCGCAAAAATCACAAGCATTCCTTTACACCAACAATAGGCAAGCAGAGACCCAAATCATGAATGAACTCCCATTTACAATCACTACAAAGAGAACAAAATACCTAGGAACACAGCTAACAAGGGATGTGAAGGACCTCTTCAAGGAGAACTACAGGCCACTGCTCAAGGAAATAAGAGAGGAAACAAACAAATGGAAAAACATTTCATCCTCATGGATAGGAATAATC
Organism: Homo sapiens; assembly: GCF_000001405.40. Taxonomy (NCBI): domain Eukaryota; kingdom Metazoa; phylum Chordata; class Mammalia; order Primates; family Hominidae; genus Homo; species Homo sapiens. The sequence continues at coordinate 126,683,182 of NC_000023.11, forward strand.
AATATCGTGAAAATGGCCACACTGCCCAAAGTAATTTATAGATTCAATGCTATTCCCACCAAACTACCATTGACATTGTTCACAGAATTAGAAAAAACTATTTTAAATTTCATATGGAATCAAAGAAGACCCCATATAGCCAAGACAATCCTAAGCAAAAAGAACAAAGCTGGAGGCATCACGCTACCTGACTTCAAACTATACTACTAGGTTCCTATTTTCAAGTCATGCTCTATGCGCTACCACAGTGAATCAGGCCCAAGGCTCCTGTGTGTGGTGCTACTGCACCTTCCCTGGAAAGGCCAAACTGAAACCAGGATGAGTTCCAGGGGATAGGAGGCATTTTCTAAGACACTTGGTACCTCTCTGTCTAGGAAAAGGAGCCGTCAACAGGTATCATTTGTTGCAACTCACTACATCCCTGGGAGATATGTAGGGAAAAAGAGCCACAGAACCAGAGCAAATTTAATCATTAAGCTATACTAATTATTATCATTTCTCCCTTCCTGAGCCTTGGGTCTGTTTCTCTATATTGGCTGCAGACATTGTGGACAGCTAGTAAAAATTTCATGTACAATACTGTGACCTTGAACAAAACAGGAAAATTCCAATCTTGGACACATACCAATGTGATATTTTGTGTTTGTGTAGTTGGTCACGGGAGCAGTACCACAACCAGGTGACTGGAAAACTTTTCTTCTAAAGAGGACTGACTAATCCTAGATAATAAAATAAAATAGGCCTTTTCAACTGATTGTAGGGACCTAACTCCATCTCAGAATCTAGACTCCAGTGTACACATATGAGCTTCCTCAACTACATGCAATCACAGAAGATATAAATGTCATCCCTGGACACACATGTTTTGATATGAGTTTCAGTGGAAGTAACAGAACTAGTGGCAGAAACAAAAGTGTAAGAAAGTGGACAGTTTGGAGAGCAGCCAATAGGCAATATGTTGGCAGCAGTTATGAAGAATTCTAGCTTCAAGAATCTATATCTGAATTCTGACCATACTGGCAAGCTGTAATAGATAACAGAGCTTACACCAAACATGAAGTTAAATATGTCCCTTCCATGAAGCTGATGTGGGCATTAGTAGCCGTCACTTGTAAAGATATCTGTGTCCTGTAAAATATAGATCTTTGGCACTCAGACCAGTAGAAGCATAAGGAAAGGGGAGGATGAGAGGGCCAGGGCAGAAAGACCTGAGCAACATATTCTGGAGTACATGGGTGTAAACTCTTATCAGTAAGTGGTTTGGGGCGGTGGGGTTGGGAGTGCTAATGACTGAGCAGTGACTCACAAAAATCCATATATTCAAGCCCTAACCTCCAATGTTACTGTATTTGGAAAAAGGGCCTATAAGGAGGTAATTAAGGTTAAATAAGTTCATATAGTAGAATTCTGATGTCTTTTTAAGAAAGGACACCAGAACGTACTCTCTCTCTCTTACTCTCTCATTCTCTCACTCTGTCTGTCTTTCTTTGTCTTTCTCTCTGCCACGTGAGGACACAGCAAGAAGGTGGCAATCTATACGCCAGGAAAAGAGCCCTCACCAGAAACTGAATTGTCTGGCACCTTGATCTTAGATTAGCAACTGCATTTCTATTTAAGCTACCCAGGCTGTGGTGTTTTGTTAGAGCAGCCCTAACAGACTAACACATAGAGGATGGAATGCATGTAGAATGGTTAGTACTACCAGTTCCTTTGAAATTGTGATACATAAAAATTCAGATTTAAACCACAATTAACATTCAATGAATGCAATAGAGGGAATATAAGCACAAGACTCTGAGATTTAGGGTGCAATGTTTTGCCTGGAAAAAAATGTGTGTGTTTCTATACTGGGGAATAATTTATTTTAGAGTCACTATTTTAAACTGAAATCACATTTTAAAGGTGCTATTGGTAACTTCTCACACAGAGCCAAAAGATCTGATATTAATAAAGATAGTCCACGGCAAACTCATTTGTGACTTCAAACTATTAGTGAAGTTGCATTTTTGTAGACAAAGTCCCATATGGGGATCAAGGCTCCTGCACTATGAAAACATTTTTGACTAGTGCTTCTTGTTGGTGAAACTGCAGTTTCCGGAAGAATGTATATCATGGTGAATGACCCTCGAAAGGCAAAAGCTAGTGAAGCATCAGCAGAGGGATAGCACAGGGCTAATGAAAGCCTTGGGATTTCTATAGGATGACAAAAATACAGAGAGAAGAGCAGAGAATTGGAAACTGGGAATTCGCAGCCATGAACTTTTTGCCTTTTACAAATGTTAGACACTCTTATTGTAATACAGTAATGTAGTATATACACTTTTTGAAAAAAAGAAAAGTTTTCTTTTGAGTTTTTAAACCTTGAATATTACAGTCTGTTTCTGTGCTCTCCATATATACATTGGTATATACATTGGAGCTTAGAAAATGTAGGCTTCTTGAGATATTTATTATTTTATGTCAGCTTTGGGAGTAAGAAAATGGAAGCCAATTCTAGTACCAATCTTCAGAAAATGAGCACAGATAAGGAAAGGGATCAAAATATCGACAATGTCTGTAGACATTGGGATCATGAGTGGCAGCATAGTGGTTAGAAGTGTAGGCTCTCAAGCTAGTCTGCTTGTTTTGAATCTTGACTTTCACACTTACTGGTGTGAAATACTAGGAAAAATACTTAAGTTCACTATGTCTCCATTTCTTCATTTGTAAAAATAAAATAACAATAACATTGTATACCTCTGGTTTCCATGAGTATTGAACAAAATGATGCATGGATGACAAATAGTAGAATATTTAAGCCATTGTAAGTGCCCAGTCACTGTTAGCTATTATTTTCTTCAAAAATTTTTCAATTTCTTACAATAAGCATATGTTCCTTTACTATCAGAAGAATATTATATTACAAAGATATAACTTTATAACTTTACTGACATCTTTGATATATACATTCTTTCATTTTGTGGATTTTGTAATTTGGGTTTGGATAAGGTTTGAGACAAGAACATGTTATTAGCCATTTAATAGTAATCCAGTGAAACCAATCTGCATTCTGGCAAAGAATGTGAATACAATCTACATTTTAGTATCCACAACTTTTGCATTCTATTTCTGACAGTGACTAACTGTGAGACTTCGTACAAGTTATTTAACTGCCTGTACAAAATGAGGATAATAATACCATGCTTGTATGGTGGTGGTGGTGAACAGGTTAGACAAATAAGAAAGACTCCTGCACAAGGTTGACACAAACAGGAACTCCATCAATATTAGTTACTAAGACATCCCACCCACATTTAGCAGTTTAGACCAGGTATTCTGGTGTGTACTACATGCCAGTACAATTGTTTTTAAATATAGGAATACAATACAGACTGCTGGATTCATCTTTTTGCTATTGTTTTCATATAGACAATTTACAGACATACTAAGTTTATGTGGCCAAAACACAACTGTGTCAACTATTTTTTTTTTTTGCAATAGCCATGTGACCAACTATAAGATACAACTTTAATGTCAGGAAGTTCCTCTAAGGGACACCTACTCCTTAATTAAATTAAAACCATGCCTAATATGAAATTCCATTATCTGTGCAATTTGATCAGTCTAAAGGTGTAAGTCAGGAAGATCTTTCAACATCAACACTTCTATAGAAGTGACATATAATCATCTGAAGTATGCAGTGGTAGACTCTTTTGCCTAAAACACTCGGGTATTGCCATTATGGTGGCATAATTGACATTGCATATTTACTCTATAAAGAATATCCAAAGAGCCTTATGATTATTATAAAATGTGAACACACAGCCATTGATGAAATTACAGAATGTCTCGAGATTTACAATGATAGAAATGACTTATTTTATCAATTTCTATTTATTTCTATTTTGTGCATGACATTAACCTTGAGTAGCTAGAAATACATACTTCAACGTCATCTTGTATTTTGTTGATAGACACATCTCCAAAAGCATAAAGTGGAATATCAATTGCAAAAACCAGAGATTTATGTTCTCTATAGTATACTAGCACAAGTTCAAAAGTCAATAACTGTTGACTAGTCCCCAGAAAAACCTAACACTGGAAATTCAATACCATAGAATATCAGGCAACACCACTCCTATAACCCAAGTAGTCTGTAGCTCAACAGAAGCTGACTTTAATAAAATAAAATTGATATATTGAATAGTGATAGCACTCTCTTGAAGCCCATCTATTTTTAAAGACAGCTTAAAGATCCATTTATTTTGGAATAGATACATTATAAATTTTGTTACGTGAACGTGAGTAGCACTGATTCAATAGACTAAAGTAATTCAAATTATCAGTATTTCCCCCCAAAACCTAAATTACTGATATGTGGTGATTAAAGATAGGAATTTTTGATGTCAGAGAGATCTTTGTTTGAATTGTCCTTCCACCAATTTATTGTGACATTTAGCAAATAATCTCTCTGAGCCTCAATTTTTTCATGTTATTAATAAATAGTAATAATCCTCAGGTTTATTTTAAGGTTTGAGTTCACATTACCTTCTACAATTCACTGGTTTATATATTCCAATATTCTGAATCCATAACTCCTATAAAACAGCTATTGTCCAGGTGTCAAGAACATACATTGGGGAAAGGACAGTCTCTCCAAAAAATGGTGTTGGGAAAACTGGATATCCATATACAAAAGAATGAAACGGCACCCCATCTCTCTCTATGTAAAAATCAAATCAAAATGGATTAAAGACCTAAATCTAAAACCTCAAGCTGTAAAACTCCCAAAATAAAACATTGGAGAAACTCTCCAGGACATTTGTGGGCAAAGATTTCTTAACACCCTACACGCACAGGCAACCAAAGCAAAAGTGGACAAATGGAATCATATCAAGTTAAAGAGCTTTTTCACAGCAAATGAAAAAATCAACAAAGTGAAGAGACAACTCACAGAATGGGAGAAAATATTTGCAAACTATGTATCTGACAAGGGATTCATAACCAGAATATATAAGGAGCTCAAATAACTCTATAGGAAAAAAAATCTATCAATATGATTAAAAATGGGCAAAATATCAGAATATAAATTTCACAAAAGAAGACATATAAATGGAAAACATCTATAGGAAAAGTTGTTCAATATCATTGATCATAAGATAAATGGAAATAAATAGTACAATGAGGTATCATCTCACTCCGGTTAGAATGGCTTTTATCCAAAATTCAGGCAATAACAAATGCTGGCGGGGATGTAGAGAAAAGGGAATCCTTGCACACTGTTGGTGGGAATGTAAATTAGTACAGACACTATAGAGAACTGTTTATAGGTTCCTCAAAAAATGAAAAATAGAGCTGACATTGATCTAGCAACCCAACTCCTAGGTATACACTCAAAAGAAGGGAAATCAGTATCTCAAAAAGATATCTGCATTCCCATGTTTATCACTATTTACAACAGCTAAGATTTGTAAGCAAACTAGGTGTCTATCAATAGATAAGTGTATAAGGAAAATGTGATACATTTACACAATGAAGTACCATTCAGCCATAAAAAGAATGAGATCCTGTCATTTCTAACAACATATATAGAATTGTACTTCATCATATTAAGTGAAATGAATCAGGCACAGAAAGACTAACTTTGTATGTTTTCACTTATTTGTGGGAGCTAAAAATTAAAATAATCGAAGTTATAGAAAAAAAAGAGTGGAAAAGTGGTTACCAGAGGCTGAGAAGAGTAGTGGGGGGGCTTCGGAGGAAGTGGAAATGGTTAATAGGTACAAAACAAGTAGAAAGAATGAATAAAATCTAGTATTTGCTAGCACAACAGAATGACTACAGTAAATAAATAATTTATTTGTATTTAAAATAACTAAAAGAGTGCATTAGTCAAGGTTTTCTAGAGGGACAGAACTAATAGCATAGATGTATATATAAAGGGGAGTTTATTAAGGAGTATTAACTCACACAATCATGAGGTGAGGTCCCGCAATAGACCGTCTGCAAGCCGAGGAGCAAGGAAGCCAGTCTGAGTCCCAAAACCTCAAAAGCAGGGAAGCTGACAGTTGCTGCCTTCAGTCTGTGGTCGAAGGTCCAAGAGTCACAGTGCTGAAGAACTTGGAGTCCAATGTTTGAGGGCAGAAACCATCCAGCATGGGAGAAAGATGTAGGCCAGGAGACTAAGCCAGTCTAGTCTTTTCAGCTGATTACATTGTGCCCACCCAGACTGAGGGTGGGTCTGCCTTTCCCAGTTCACTGACTCAAATGTTAATCTTCTTTGGCAACACCCTCACAGACACAGCCAGGAACAATACTTTGCATCCTTCAATCCAATCAAGTTGACATTCAACATTAATCATCACCAAGAGTATAATTCGATTGTTTGTAACACAAATAATAAGTGCTTGGGGTGGTGGATACTCCATTTACTCTATTGTGATTTTTACATATTGCATGCCTGTATCAAAATATCTCATGTAACTCATAAATATATACACCTACTATGTGCCCAAAAAAGATAAAAAAGTAAAAATAAATAAATAAATATTGTCAAGGTTATTAATGATCTCCATATTGCCTTCTCAGCAACATTCAACCCAACTAACAGTGTCTTCCTGAAGCATTCTCCTCTCTTTACTTTTGAGACACTAAATTTGCCTGTATACCATTTCATGATACTTCTCAGCCACATCTGAGAGCTCACCCTTCTCTGTGCAGTATTGAATCCTTGTATTCAAGATTGACTGAAGGCACAATCTTGAGATCCTAGTTTTTCCTTCTCCCCTCTCTTCTTCTTTTGTCATCTATAATCACTTTCTAGGTAATTCAATTCTAGCATCATAACCTTAAATGCCATTTATATTTTGATAATTCTAAAATATTTACTGAAACCCCAGACCTATAGTCTGAGTCTAGATTTGTATGTTACAGTTTCTTTGATATCACATTTCACAGGCATCCTAAAGTTAATATGCAAAAGAAAAAGAGCCCTTGATTTTCAACTAACAACAACAAAAAACTTGTTGCTTACTAAATTGTCCTCAGTTTACTAACTGTGCCACTGTAAACCCAGTTTTTCAAACTGAAAGCCTACAGTTTATAATTGATTACTTGCTTTCCTCCATTTCCCAAGCCCATGCATCACCAAATCCTGTGGATTTATCTCCAAAACAAGTTCCCAGTTTACTTCTATCTCCAATACTATCGTCATTATCCAATCCTACATCTATTGTCACCTGGGACTGATTCAAACGCCTCCTAATAGGCTCCGTTAATGCCATTGTTTACTCTCACTATCCATTCTCCCTGCAGTAGATACAAGAAAATTTTTATAATGCAAATCAGGTCATTTATTGTCCCTGCTTAGAACACTTCAAGGGAGTCTTGTTGTTCTTAGGATAAAATCCATGTTCCTCACCTTGGACTTTAGGGTTTCTGAATGATCTAGTTCCTGGCTACCTCTCTATCCTCATCTCATGTCATTTTCCTCCTTTCTCACTGAACTTTAGCCAAACAGGCCCCCTTTTCTGCTCCAACATCTGAAACTCCTTTCTAACGTATTATTGGAATGGTTTGACCCCAGATCCTTTCATGGCTGGCTCCTTTTCATCTCAGTCCAAATGTCATCTCCTCAGATGCCTTTCTTAACTCTTCCTCTCTAGTTATACTATCTCATTATCCTGTTGATGTCCTTTAGAGTAGCTAATGTAATGTAGTTGTCATTCATTTATGTGTTTGCTATCTGTTTCCTTGAGTAAAATATAAGCTAATGTAAGCTGTGTGTAAGCAAGGATGTTGTTTCTTTTATTTATTGCAATATCACAAGAGTCCTAGAAAAGTTTTGTGTTTTAGGAGTGCTCTATACATATTTATGGAATGAATAAATAATAGATACAAGCACTTAGAATAATGATTATGCTCAATAAATTGTAGCTATAAGTTTTATTAAATTAAGAACATGAAGAAGGAGAAGGGAAGACGAAGAGGAGAAGAAAAGAGGGAAAAAGTAAAATAGGAGGAGGTTGGAGAAAGAGAATGAGGAACTTCCTAAGTCTTCCTATAAATTTATACTTTGTTGATGCAGTGATCAGGATACCATGCATAGAATTCTAAAAGAACTATTTTCATTAAGCTGTGGAAAACTATTGAGAATAAATCTGGAAGTGACAGACAACAGCAAATAGGCCCGTCCTACTGTGAGGGATGTTTGGATTCATTTGTATCATAATTTCTCATTTTGTTAACAGGGCACTGACATTTTTCCATCAAATATTGCATAATCAGTAAGCTTTCATGTAAGGTCTTATTTGGTTTCTTCAAGCACTTCCAATTTTTTTTTCTCTTTTGAAGAAAAAGTTATATCTTTTGTTTACAAGTGAATGGATAAATTCAGGTGGAATGATGCTAATTCTGCCCTATAAGTTCTCCATTTTCAAAAATTACCTTGGAAACCTGTAATCGTGTATTTTTAAATGAATTTATTACAATATGATTCCAACAGTTGTGCTTTTCTTCCTTTATATATTCAGGTGTGGAAATCTGCTACATATGAAGTATCATCCTATAAATTATTCCTAATATTAAGTGTTGAGGAAAACAGCATAGTCCCAAACCATTAAGAGAAGCACCTTCCTTTGTGTTAGTTAACATCTCTGAAAAACGGCTGATGATATGTAGGAAAAAAAAAAACTCAACACTTTCATCAATTATTTTAATTTATTAGCACCCAGGAAGTAGTTATGGCTGTATTTTTTGGTTCCAAGATAAAATTAAAGCCACATAGTGTATTAGTCCTGCTAGGCAGATTGCCTGACATCAAAATCTTCACTGTGCCAAGAACAAGTAATTTTAAATACTCTGTGAGCTCAGTTTCATGAAGGGCTCCATATTCAACTTTTTGTTGGGAGTATTGAGAATAGACATACATTGTCTTTTGTACTCCTACTTTCTTTCTTTTTTTTTTTTTTTTTTTTGAGATGGAATTCCATTTTGTTGCCCAGGCTGGAGTGCAGTGGTGCAATCCCCGCTCACTGCAAGCTCCGCCTCCCAGGTTTGAGCAATTCTCCTGCCTCAGCCTCCCAAGTAGCTGGGATTACAGGCACGCGCCACCACGGCCGGCTAATTTTTTTTTGTATTTAGTAGAGATGGGGTTTTGTCATTTTGGTCAGGCTGGTCTCGAACTCCTGACCTCAAATGATCCACCTGCCTCGGCCTCCCAACGTGCTGGGATTACAGGCATGTGCCATTGCTCCCAGCCTATCCTACATTCTTGTTAATAAAATCCTATACTTCTTACCATAAATCAAGAACAATAATGTAACTTAACATTACTTTCTTTCAGTAGCACACTACTCTGTGTTAAGCCTACTTGAAACCATAGTAGGATACAACTATAGGTATCCAAAGAAAATAAAGCATTAACCAACACTCAAGGACAAGAAAAATATAGATGTTTAAGCACAGTTCCCTTTGTTACAAAAAACAGATTTAAAAATACAATCTCTACATAAATATTGTCTATCTTCCTCCTCCTACAGTTTTTCATTTTTATGGGCTTTTAATCTGGATATTTCTAAATTGCTAGTCAGATGATACTAGACATCCAGAATCTTTGGAAATAAATCCCACCAGGGAGCCATCATATTTTGTAGATCTGAGAACTTTAATCATTTTACTTCCAATTCTTCTTCAGGAGCTTTTAAATAGCCTGAATACAGTAAGAATGTTATACCTGCTAGCCATAAAATGAGCAAAGCAAAAGACAATATATTAACTTTCAGGTGGGAATTAAAGTATTTTGCACATTGTGTTTCTTAATGAAATGTTTCAGATTAAAGACTATCATATAGCTAGTGAATATTTTAGGCAGGTTGCTTTTTTCTATCATTTTTACAAGGCCATGTTTCCCAAAATATTTTCCTGTGGATCACTTGTTCTGTGAGATGCTATGTAGGAAAAAAAAAAAAAAGTCCACTTGTCGAATTCTATTTGCAAGGGATCCTGAGTTGGACATTCTTCTCTAGAAGATTCGCATTGATACTAGTGTATTAATGACAAACCCAAGAACAGCAATAATAAAACATCTAACCTCACTGATCCCAGAGATCATCAAATGTGTTTGTCTAACATAAAATTCCTCTCACCCCCACCATGTGACTTTTATTTATTAGTCCTGAAGAACTCATTAGGAAAAATGTTGATGGAAACAGTTATTTTTTTCCTAAACCAAAATAGGAGGCCAATGTTCATTTTAAAAACTGAGTTTTTTCCCTATCTCCAAACCAATGTATTATTCATGAACTTTTTCTTTAGAAAAGTGATGTTATAAAAAATGCTATTTCCCCTCAAAACGTAATACTTTCATGTTGATGCAAGAAAACATAAAGGGATACTAAAACAGGCAACAACTGCCTCCATCACCCCAGCTTGCCAATTTAATAATACAGTTTCTCATTTATTCTGAAATCCCTTTGTTTGTCCCTGTTTACACTCTCAAGACAAGGTTCTATCTCTCATTTTCATTTCACTGCCAAAGTGTCAACTGGCTGATAATCCCATCAAGCCTATTTTAGATAGTTTACTTATATCTCCTTACAAATTTTCACACATCTGTGCCTCCATTTCTTCTGTTCCTTCTAGAAAGAACTCATCTTCTCCTCATTTTTCACCTTTTGAATTAACATAACACTTATTTTTCAGATTGCTTCATATATAACATCTCCTCTTGAATGTATTTCCTAATTTCTATTTTTTTAATGCATCCCTCACTTATTTGCATTTTCATAGAATATTGCTTATACATCTATAATAGTTCCGCTTAAACCCATGTTTAACTTTAACTTTTATTAAGATTGTTTTTCCTGTGTTTATAGACCATAAACCTCTTGAGAATAGGAGAACATGAATTACTCTCTATACTGTGTAGAGCAGTTCCTTCTACAAACTGGATATTAAATATTCATTTGTTGATGGATTGAGCAAATGTCAATAAATTTAAATTTGAAGTGAGATCTATTTACTCCCATGGAGAAAGACACACACTTAATTTCTAAATTTTTGGAGTAACAAAATCCTAAATTTATTTCAACCTGTATTGCTCTGTCTTTAGGTTGCATACCCTTTCTTTATTTAAGCTGTATATCTTCACAACCCTGAGTTGTTATTCTAGAAAAAGATAATGCATTTTCTTTCCAAATATTCCCTCAATGATCCTTTAATTGAATTATATTTTGAATTAAATAGCACCAGATTCTTCTTGTCTGTGTTTTATGGATAGTTTCTGTGCTTGCACTATCATATTAAATGAATACTGGCATGAAATAGGTAGGATAAATAAGAGATTAATGCAAAAATTAAAACCTTGACCCATAATGATCAACAATAGAAATCACATCCTCTTAATGTCTCTCTCCCCTTCTTTTTCCTCAGCTCATAATTCTGCATGATTAAAATGTAGTATCAGAAGATAACAATATAAATTCAAATACTCAAGTAAAGTCCTACTACACATTATCTTTCTTATTTTCTCAAAAGAATGAACATCAAAAACAATAACATCAACAAGCCACAAACAATGGGTTAAAGGCAGTGCTGACAGTAATGAGAATAAAGAACACAATATTCAGGGAAATGTATTAATGACCTCAGGTATCTAAGAGTTTGGTAGTGAAGAAAAAGGATCAATGCAATATTTCTAGAGGTATAAGGGATCTAAGGACAAGGTTTTCCTGAGTCACTGTTCCCTTGTTTCACCTGTGCCATGAACTGAAGTCAATTATAAGTATAAAGCATAATGAAACATAGTTATCCCCTCGACTCTGAAAATAATCCATTTAGAAAATACACTGTAAAATATAAATGCCAAATTTTGAATACATACCACAGTCTCCGAAAGCCATTAGTAAAAAAGATACTAAATATTTTATATACTTATCAGACATTGAATTTACATAAAACCAAAACAAATTATTCATAGAGATATTTAACAAAAAGGCACTTTATTCACTTTGATTTTGCGCTCCCAAAATATGCTTCTCAGAGTTATTGCAAGGTCCATGCATCATAAGCTCATTTTCCCTTATAACTCTGTACAAAACCCTCAAGCCAGAGAAATGCATAACAGTTCCAAAACTTCAAGATACCAAAACTAAAATAAAAAACAAACAATAATAACAACAACAAAAATCCTGTAAGATTCTATTGTGAAGAAAAAAGCATATCTCCCAAGATGACAAATATGTCCCAGTCAGTATACAAACACTGGTCCCAAAGCACCAAATGCTGAAATACTGGGGAGGAGGGCCAGGCAGCAAAATAAAATCTCTCATCTCCCTGTGGGTCACAGAACATAAATAACACTAACAGAGAGCTAATAAGTGGACTCATATTACCCTTTGCTGTGGCTTTCAGGAAACCTTTCATCAAATTTATTGCCAGAGTTGCTGCACATTATTGTGTCCTTTATTAGGCATTCTTCTCCCTGAAGATTAATTCAGGGCTTTATGAAGCTATGTGTTCCAGAGTAATAGATAATTGCAAGTACGTTAAGAGATGTCACATTCACATCACTATAGACACACCGAATTGTGGTCAAATATCTGATGACATTCTTGATACAGTATATTGACTCAGATTCCCCATGACAACTCTCCCTTTAGAGTACTGCTAAAATAGGAATCTTTAAGTGACATTCAGATTTAAGGAAGACAGAAAATGCAGGGTAAGAACAGCTGTAGTATGTTTGATGAACTACATCTAAAATATGGCAATATAACGTTTCAGAAAGTGAAATATTCTGTCAAATCACAGTCTTGTTTCTTATCCCCTTGATGTCATCTGTGCCAAAAACCTGGATTGAACTCATAAAAATCTACCAGATGTTTTACATATTTGTCATATACCTAACTTTTAGGAGGATGAATTAGCACTGGTTTAATATGTACTTTAAAGACAATTTTAAATTTACAATAGCATGTTGACTTAAGTAAAATTTGAATGTTTCTCCATGATTTCTAATCCTATTCATCTTTCCATCCATCTATTCAATAACTGTTGAGCGCATGCTATCTGTTAATAACTCCTCTAGGTACCAGGGTAACAGCTTTTACAATTGGAAAAACAGCTAAGTTGATGTTTTAAGTTCTATGTAATGGATAAATGGACAGAACTGTGTCTAAATAACAAAGCACAATGTTGGATGGATATTTGGTAAATCTTTTTTTTTTTTTTTTTTTTTTGAGAAGGAGTCTCACTCTGTCACCCAGGCTGGAGTGCAGTGGCATGATCTCAGCTCACTGCAAGCTCTGCCTCCCGGGTTCACGCCATTCTCCTGCCTCAGCCTCCTGAGTAGCTGGGACTACAGGCGCCCCCCGCCATGCCTGGCTAATTTTTTTGTATTTTTAGTAGAGACGGGGTTTCACCATGTGAGCCAGGATGGTCTCGATCTCCTGACCTCATGATCCGCTCGCTTCGGCCTCCCAAAGTGCTGGGATTACAGGCGTGAGCCACCGCGCCCGGCCAATATTTGGTAAATTTTAATTCATATATTCAACACAGAGAGCTCATCTGTGTTGCCTATGCCTTAAAGTAGACTTTTGATTATGTGGCTTGGTCAAATTTACTGAAAATCCAAATTGCCTGTTTAGTTTAAAAAATGCTTCCTATATCTGAGTTTAATGTCGACATAGTATTTACATATTTTAACTAAGAGTCATATTTGCAAAACATGCTTTCACCTCTAGTGCAAATAGCATCATATTGAAGGAACTGTTTGACAAAGACAATGCATCCTATAGGCACTTAGCATGTGCCAGAAACTCTCTTAAGTGCATTACATATATTAGCAATGACTCTATCAGTTAGGTTCTATTATCCTCATTTTACAGATAAGAAAAACTGAGACAGAAGTTCCCACAGCTGGTGAGAAGGAAAGTCGGGATTACAATGTAGGCAGTGGCTAAATTGTTAGTCCCTATGTTATCCTACAGAGAGAGAGAGAGAGAGACAGAGAGATAAGCAAGAAGAAGAAGAAGGAGGAGGAGGAAGAGGAGGAGAAGGAAGAGGAGGGGGTAGGGGAAGGGGGAGGGGGAGGAGGAAAATTTCTATGTTCTAGCTTGATAATTTTGAATTATGAAGCTTATAAAGTGCCAGAAATATCTATAGTCATAATTGCCTGATATATTATTCAAGGTGCTATATACGATTAAAAGGCAGTCACTTGGAATGAAAATAGAAATCTCATTTGTACCATTCTCCTAACAAAATATTATTTTACAATTATCAGTTGTGTAAGACATAAAGTTTTCCATATGGTAGCTTTCCTAACTAGATGGACAGAGGGGTTCCGCTGTAATTCTAAAGTTCAATGATTCATTTATTCACAATTAGAAAAGTAGCACCCACAAGTAAAAATTATAGTCACATTAATAATATGGAATATAAAAAGAACTAAGGGGCACAGAAATGGACTGCTATTAATTAGTCCAAATTAAAATCCACATGATCTTTCTTGATTGGCTTCACCAGTTTTGTCAGGCAATACAAACTGAGGTTGACTGTGTTTTTCTTTTTACAACTATTATTTTAAAAATTATTTTCTGTGAGGCATTTTCCACTGCAAACAATATTTCAATAATTCTAGAGCAGTTCTTCACTGCACAACAGAAGTAATAAGTGTAGACTTTCAAGGTTAAAGAATCCAACTGTATATAACTAGGCTATTTCTATGTGGAAATAACCTGAAGCAGTATCTGAAGAGTTTAAATAATTCTAGTCTTTTAATCTTTGCTTCTAGCCATTACCATCTTTGTGTGGAAAGTTATCTACAATAAGACCTTGTAGTTCATGTTTAGCAAGTTAGAAAGTCTTAACTAACAGAAGTAACTTGTTAAGCTTTAAATACAGTAGGATCCTTTTTAGCTTTATATAAGTATTATTATTTAGTTGGCATTTTAAGTCATTTATAGATAAAAGTGGTAAAATTTAGCAAAACTTAAAAACCTTGCATTTTTTAGACCTGACTAAATATTTGTATATTCTTAGAACATCAGATATTTCCTCAAGCCTGCAGCAATACAGCAGAAATCAAAACAAACAAACAAAATCTTAGAAATCCTGGGAAATGAGGCATACTTTTATAAAGTCCTAAATGTCATATTTGTTGAAAAAAAAATCTCCTTTGAATATAAGATATTAAGGGTCTAAAATGTGTGAAATGGTAAGATGATTTTAGAAATTCCTGTATAGAAATGGGGAATATAAAAATCAGTTGTTAAACTAACCCTTAATTCCTATGACAAATGATTCCATTAAACTATGTCCACTCATTTGAAATATACATTTGATAATAACTCATCATTTTGTCCTTCAAAAGAGCAGGAGGACATGATGCTACTTAACTTTTGGAATGGCAAAGTAAGGAACTCAGCAAAAAGAAATGATACGGGCCGGGCACGGTGGCTCACGCCTGTAATCCCAGCACTTTGGCAGGCCGAGGAGGGCGAATCACGAGGTCTGGAGATTGAGACGATCCTGGCTAAGGTGGTGAAACCCCGTCTCTACTAAAAATACAAAAAATTAGCTTGGCGTGGTGGAGGGCGCCTGTAGTCCCAGGAGGCGGAGCTTGCAGTGAGCCGAGATCACGACACTGCACTCCAGCCTGGGTGACAGAGCGAGACTCCGTCTCAAAAAAAAAAAAAAAAAAAAAAAAAAAGATACAACTGGTTCAATTTATCAAAAAGAAATATTTCAAGATTGGAAATCAGCCAAAGGCCTACAACAAATTGACAAAAAGTATTCAAGAAAAAAACCTTAGCAAGGACAATGGGAATGTGTGGCAGTTTAACATGAGGTAACTCTCATTCTCAAGTCCAACCTCCATGTTGTGGTAGCTCTACCAGTATAAGGCAGAGTGAACTAACACTTGGTAGTCACACGGCTGGAAGGGGTCTGTCTGGATTTAGAACAAGGAAAACAAAAACTCATGGTCAGAGACACTGTGAAAACAAATAGTAGTTTTGGTTTTTTGGGTTTTTTTGTTTTTTGTTTTTTTTTTTGAGACAGAGTCTTGCTCTGTCTTCCAGGCTGGAGTGCAATGGTGCGATCTTGGCTCACTCCAACCTCCTCCTCCTGGGTTCAAGCGATTCTCCTGCTTCAGACTCCCGAGTAGCTGGGATTACAGGTGCCCGCCACCACACCCGGCTAATTTTTGGTATTTTTTGTAGAGATGGGGTTTCACTATGTTGGCCAGGCTGGTCTTCAAGTCCTGACCTCGTGATCCACCCGCCTCGGCCTCCCAAAGTGCTGGGATTACAGGCGTGAGCCACCACACCCGGCCCGAGTAGTCTTGCTGACAAACATTCAGGAAAGGCCTCTCATCTTTTGCTGAATATGAGGACTTTGTGCATCCAGAAAGAAATATCCATGAAAAACTTCCACTGAGTGATTTGAATATGTACCCCAATCCACACACAGATCCATTAACAAAGAGTGGAAACCTTATTCACTTTAAGAGTTTATGTGCAAACTTTGATCAATGACTGGTTTACTACTAAGTTATACTGACCCTGAAGTAAACCCTATGAAGCCAGTCTTAACAATATAAACAATAAAATTATCTTTTAAAAAAGATAAAAATGCAGAGACATCAATGGCCATACACTGCATGGGAGACAGACTCTACAGAATTAGTATAGGTAAGACCAAACAAATAAGCCAAACAAAAACACAATAGTAACGAAACAATCCATAGAAGGAAATCCAGATCCATAGACACTAAACTAAATTATTTAAGATGATCATTAAAAAAATGATATTCAAGAAACAGGAATATGTGACCCATACATAAGTAAAAGAAAAAGGAAGTCAAGAGGAACTGTCTCTAATGGTGTCCAGGTGTTGGACTTAGTAGAAAAAGACTTCAAAGTATTCATTTTAAATGTGCTCAAAGAAATAATGAAAACAGTGCATAAAGAATTAAAGGTGCATGTGTTGAAAATGACTCACTTAATAGAGAGTATCAATATAGAGACTTAATTTATTTAATAAACAACACTAAATAGAAATTTTGTAGTTGAAAGAAACAATAAATGAAATAAGAAATTCACTAGACTCATGCAGATTTTATCTGACAGAGGAAAACATCAATGAAGTTGAAGATAAAACAATAAAGATTACAAAATCAGAAGAATAAGTAAAACAAAAGAGAAATAAACAGAGTTTCAGTGACCTGGGGACAACATGAACCACAGCATCAGTATCATGCATTTTGGAATTCCTAAAATGTGAACAGTGACAGAGAGGGGCAGAAAGAATATTCGAAGAAATCATGGCCGAAGAAAGCATTACCAAACTTGAAGAAAAATGTTAATCTGAATATCTGAGAAGCTCAATGAAATCAAAGTAGGATAAACATAAAAAGACCCATGTCGAGACACATCATAAACAAGTAGTTGAAAGACAAAGACACAGAGAAAATCTTAAGGCACCAAGAGAAAAACAACTCATTACATAAAATGGAAATAAAGGAGGATTACAGTTGACTTCTAATCAGGAACAACAGACACCAGAGGGCCTATTATTATTCTACAATGTCATATTCAACGTGTAAGAGAAAATAAAAGTCTATCTTCATATAGAAAAGCAACATTACAAGAACCAAAAATCAGGTGAGTGATTATAGTACTTGATTTTAACTTTATATCATGAAAAGACGCATTGAGGAAAGTAGGAGAGAAGGTTTTGAATCAGCAACAGCAATCCTTTTCCATCCCCTGGCAGTGGCCATGAGGTCCCGAGAGAGAATCTCTGCACTTTGGGAAGGGAGAGCACAGTGACTGGGGGACTTTACATTGAATGCAGTGTTGCCATGTCACAACTGAGAATAAAGACATTCTGGGATCACAAAGGGAATAATTGGACCAGCCCTAGCCATAGGGAAGTCATCCATCCCAGCAGTCAGAACATGAGTTTCAGCCACTGCAGACTGAAGTGATCTGAGGTCCTAGGTAAATTTGAAAAGCAGTCTAGGTACAAGGACTATGATTTCTAGGAAACTCTTACTGCTAGTCTGGGCTTAGAGCCAGTGAACTAAGGTGGCATGTGACCTATGGAAACAACAGCTGGTGTGGCTAAAGGAGTGCTAGATTGATACCTGCCTCCAACCTCAAACAGTGCAGCTCATAGCAACAAAAGTGACTCTTTCCTTCTACTTAATCAGAGGAGAGCAAAGACTAAAATGACCTTGTCTTGAATCATGGATAACAACTCAGCCACAGTATGACAAGGCACTGGGCAGAGTTGTGAGGCCCTACCTTCCAGACAACATTTATAGACGCACTTGGTCCAAAAGGGACACCAGTACTTTGAAAGGAAGGAACTAGTCCTGGCAGGATTAATCACCTGCTGACTAAAGAACCTTTGAGCCTTGAATAACCACCAGCAGTATCCAGGATGTATGCCATGGTCCTTTGGCTCTGAGATGTGCTGCCTTCAGGGGTGACTCAGCATATTCCCAGCTGTGGTGGCTACGGTCAAAGACTCCTTCTGTTTGAGAAAAGGAGAGGGAAAAGTAAAGGGGAGTTTATCTTGAACTCTAAGTACCAGCTTAGCCACAGGGGGGTAGAGACACAAACAGACTCTTGGGGTCCTTGAATATAGGGATAGGCTCTTGGATTATATTTTTGGGCCTGGCCTGGGACAGACAGAAGCCTACTGTCCTAAAGGGTGAGTTTCAGGCCTGGCATTATTCACTACAAGCTGAATGAAGAGCCCTTGGGCTTTAAGTGAACATTGGTGGTGGTCTGGTAGAACTCCCCATGAACCAGTGGTGATGGTAGCCACAGCAAGAGGCTCCTCTGCCTGTTGAAAGGGGAGGAAAGAGTGAGAAGAACTTTGTATTATGATTTGAGTGCAACCACAGCCACAGTAGAATAGCACATTAGGTAAATTGAGCACATTAGGTAAATTGTTACTCCAATCCGTGGCTCCCAGAGAGCATCTCGAGACCCACCTGGGGCCTAGGGAACCTCAACATACTGAACGGGAGGGCCTTGAACAAGGCCCAGTGCTGTGCTTGCTTGAGGTCTGACCCAGCAGAGTCCCACTGGTGGTGGTCACAGGCGTGCTTGCATTACCACACCCCCAGTTCCAGGTAGCTCAGCACAGAGACAGAGACTCCATTTGATTGGGAGAATGCAAGGGAAAAGAACAAGATTCTCTTCCTGCTAATTCAAATATTTCTTCTGGATCTTATCCAAGACCACCAAGGTGGAACCACTATGAGGCTGCAAAAACCACAGTGCTTTTGGGCTTAGGGCCCAAGTCCCTTTTAATACCTGGAAAGTCTTCCTAAGAAGGATAGGCACAAACAAGCCCAGACTATGAAAACTACAGTGAATACCAAACTCTTCAATGCCCAGATACTAATGGACATCTGCAAGCATCAACCCCATCCAGGAAAATATGATCTCATCAAATGAACTAAATAAGGCACCATTGACAAATACTGGAAAACAGAGATATATGAATATTCAGACAGATAATTCAAAATAGCTGTTATGAGGAAACTCAAAGAAATTTAAGACAACACAGAGAAGGAATTCAGAATTCTATCAGTAAATTTAATAAAGAGATTGAAATAGTTTTTAAAAAGCTGAAATTCTAGAGTCGAAAAGTGTAACTGACATGCTGAAGAATGCATCAGAGTTGCTCAACAGCAAAACTGATGAATCAGAAGAAAAAATTAGTGACCTTGAAGACAGGCTATTTGAAAATACACAGTTACAGGAGATGAAAGAAAAAAATAATAAAAAACAATGAAGTATGCCTATAAGACCTAGAAAATACCCTCAAAGAGCAAATCTAAGAGTTATTATCCTTAAAGAGGAGTTAGAGAAAGAGATAGGAGTAGAAAGGTTATTCAAATGGATAACAGGGAACTTCCCAAACATAGCGAAAGATAACATCATTCAAGTTCAAGAAGTTGTAGAACACCAAGCGGATTTAACCCAAAGCAGACTACCTGAAGACATTTAATAATCAAACTCCCAAAGATCAAGGTTATAAAGAGAATCATAAAAATGGCAAGAGATAAGAAATGAATGACATTATGTAATGGAGCTCCAATATGTCTGGCAGCAGACTTTTCAGTGGAAACCTTATAGCCAGGAGAGAGTGGCATGACATATTAAAGTGCTGAAGGAAAAAAACTTTTGCCCTTGAATAGTGTATCTTGTGAAAATATTGTTCAAGCATGAAGGAACAATAAGGACCCTCCCAGACAAATCAAATCTGAGGAAATTCACCAACAGCAGCCCTGTCCTGTAAGAAACGTTAAAGGGAGCTCTTCAATCTAAAAGAAAAGGATGTTATGAGCAAGAAGAAATCATATGAATGTACAAAACTCAATGGTTATAGCAAGCACACAGAAAAGCACAGGGTATTATTACACTGTAACTGTGGCGTGTAAGCTTCAATTCAAAGCTTAAGTAGAAAGAATGAGGAAGGAATAAAAAAAATGACAACATTTTAAAACAGGTGGTACAATAAGACAGAAAGAGAAACAACAAAAAGTTAAAAGGTGGGAAGATGAAGTTAAAGTATAGAGTTTTTATTAGCTTTCTTTACATGTGTTTGTTAGTTTTTTATGCAAACAGTGTTAAATTATCATTAGTTCAATACAACGGTTTATAAGATAGTATCTGCCATGTTGGTGTGCTGCAACAAACCTGCATGTTGTGCATATGTATCCTAGAACTTAAAGTATAATAAAAAATATATATACAAATAAAATAAATAAATACACATACAATAAAAAATAAGATAATATCTGTAAGCCTTGTGGTAATCTTAAATAGAAAAACTTAGAATGGATACACAAAAAAATGAAAAGCAAGAAATTAAAGCAAACCACCAGAGAAACTCACCTTTACTAAAATAAGACAGATAGGAAAGAAAGAAAGAAGACTGAAAAACAACCAGAAGATAAGTTTTCTTGATAAGTAAGTCCTTACTAATCAGTAATAACATTGAATGTAAATGGACTAAACTCTCCAAGAAACATAGAGTGGATGAATGTATGAAAAACAAGACTCAAAGATCTGATGCCTACAAGAAACATGCTTCACCTATAAAGATACATATATGCTGAAAATCAATATACAGAAAAAGATATTAGATACCAAAGGAAATCAAAATAGAGCAGGAGAATCTTTACTTATGTTAGACAAAATAGATTTAAAGACAAAAACTATAAGAGACTAAGAAGGTTACCATATAAAAATGAAGGAGTCAATTCAGCAAGAGGATATAATGATTTTATATATATATATATATATATATATATACACACACACACACACACACACATACATACATACACACATATATATGCACCAAACATTGAAACACCCAGATAAATAAAACAAATATTATTAGAGCTAAAGAGAGAGATATGACCCAATACAACAGTAGCTGGAGACTTCAACACTCAATTTTCAGCATTGGACAGATCTCACAGACGGATAATCAGCAGAGAAAAATCAGACATAATCTGCACTATATAACAATTGGACCTAATAGATATTTACAGAACATTTCATCTAATGGTGGCAGAATACACATTCTTCTCACCAGCACATGGATCGTACTCAAGGATAGACCATAGATTAGGTAACAAAACAAGTCTTAAACATTAAAAACAATTAAAATAATATCAAGCACTATCTCTGACTAAAATGGAAGAAAATTACAAATTAATAACAAGAGAAGTTTTGGAAACTAAACAAACATATAGGAATTAAAATGCTCCTAAAAGACCAGTGGGTCAATAAACAAATTAAAAATATAATTGAAAAAATTATTGAAACAAATGACAATAGAAACACAACTTACTAAAGCCTGTGGAATAGAGGGAAAGCAGTTCAAAGAGAGAAATTTATAGCTATTAGTACCTACATCAAAAAAGAAAAAATCTAAATAAATAATCTAATAATGTATCTTAAAGGACTAGAAAGAAAGAGTAAATTGAACCAAAAATTAGTAGAAGAAATAATAAAGATCACAGTACAAATAAATGAATTTGAAATTAAGAAAACAATACAAAAGATGAATGAAAAAAATTCTTTCTTGAAACGATAAAGAAAATCGACAGACTTTTAACCAGACTAGTTCAGGGAAAAAAAGAAAAAAAAAAGAGAAGACCCAAATAA
The DNA here is from genome assembly GCF_000001405.40 of Homo sapiens. Classification (NCBI taxonomy): domain Eukaryota; kingdom Metazoa; phylum Chordata; class Mammalia; order Primates; family Hominidae; genus Homo; species Homo sapiens. The sequence continues at coordinate 126,705,369 of NC_000023.11, forward strand.
ATAAAATCAGAAGTCAAAAGATACATTATAACTGATGTCACAGAGATTCAATGTATCATTACTGGCTAGTATGAGCAACTATATGCCCATTATTAGGAAAAGCAAAAATAAATATATAAATTCCTAGACATATACAACCTACCAAGACTGAACCATGAAGAAATCTAAAACCTAAATAGACCAATAACAAATAATGAAATAGAATATGTCATAAAAAGTCTCCCTGTAAAGAAAAGCCCAGATTGTGCTGGCTTCACTGCTGAGTTCCACCAAAATTTAAAGAACATATACTAATTCTACTCAAACTGTTTTGAAAAATAGAGGAAGAGGTAGTACTTCCAAACTAACTATATGAAGTCAGTATTACACTGACACCAAAACCAGACAAAGAAACATAAAAAAAAAAATGGAAGAAAGCTACAGGCCAATACCTCTGATGGATACTGATGGAAAATTTTCAATAAAATACTGTTGATAGCAAACAGAAATCAATAATACATTTAAAAGATTATTCATCATTACCAAGTGGGATTTATCCAAGGGATGCAAGGATGGTTCAACATATGCAAATCAATCAATGTGACACATCGTATCAACAGAATGAAGAAGAGAAACCATATGATCATCTCAATTGATGCTGAAACAGCATTTGATAAAGTTCAATATTGCTTCACAATAAAAAACCCTCACAAAATTGGGTATAGAAGGAACATACCATAGCATAGTAAAAGACATATATGCCAGACTCACAGCTAGTATCATACTGAAGGAGAAAAAACAGAAATCCCTCCCCTTTAGATCTGGAACACAACAAGGGTGCCCTCTTACACAACTGTTATTCAACATAATACTGTAAGTTTTACCTAGAGAAATCAGAAAATAGAAAGAAATAATGGGCCTTCAAATTAAAAAGGAATAAATTAAATTATTATTATTATTTTGGAGATGGAGTCTTGCTCTGTCGCCCAGGCTGGAGACCAGTGGTGTGATCTTGGCTTACTGCAACCTTTGCCTCCCGGATTCAAGTGATTTTCCTGCCTCAGCCTCCCGAGCAGCTAGGATTACAGGAGTGCACCATCACGCCTGGCTAATTTTTGTATTTTTAGTAGAGATGGGGTTTCACCATGTTGGTCAGGCTGGTCTTGAACTCCTGACCTCGTGATCTGCCCGCCTTGGCGTCCCAAAGTGCTGGGATTACAGGCGTGAGCCACTGTGCCCAGCCATTAAAATATTCTTGTTTGTAGATGATATGATCTTATATTTGGGAAAACCTATAGACTCCACCAAAAAACTATTAGAACCGATAAATTCAGTAAAGCTTCAGGATACAAAATCAACATTTGAAAATCAGCAACATTTCTATATGCCAACTGTGAACAATCTGAAATACAAATCAAACAATTAATTCCTTTTATAATAGCTGTAAATAAAATTAAATTAAATACCAAGGAATTAACCAAATAAGTAAAAGATCTCTAAAATAAAATCTATAAAACACTGATGAAAGAAATTGAGGAGGCCATCAAAAACATGGAGTATCTACTCCATGTTCATGTATTGGAAGTATCAATATTGTTAAAATGTCCATATTACCAAAAGCAATCTACATATTTAATCCCTATCAAAATACTAATGACATTTTTCACTTGTCATGGCCAGAGGTCATGGTGGCCATGAGGTGAGGCTTCTCTGCCTTTGGAAAGGGGAGGGAAGAGTAGGAAAAGCTGCATCTTGTGATTTGTGCCAGGTGAGTGGCAATGCAGTAGAATACCAGGTAGACTTCTAAGGATTTTGACTCTAGTCCCTGACTCCTGAATGGCACTTCTGGACCCACACGAGATATAGGGAGCCTTGCTGACCTGAAGGGATGGACACATGTCTGGCTGGCTTTGCCACCTGCTGATTGTAGAACCCCAAGGCCTTGAGTAAACATAGGCAGTAGTCAGGGAATAGTTACAGCAGGCCTTGGGCAAGACCCAGTGCAGTGCTGGCTTCAAGTCTGACTCAGCACAGTCATAGTGGTGGTGGTTACAGGGGTGCTTTTGTCACTCCATCTCTAGCTTTAGGCAGCTAAGAACACAGAGAGATACTCTGTATGTTTAGGAGAAAGTAAGGGAAGAGAACAAGAGTCTCTGCCTGGTAATCCAGAGAATTCTCCCTGATCTTGTCCAAAATAATCAAGATGTTCCCTCTACAAGTCTACATAAATCACAGCATTACTAGGCTTGTGGGTGGGGGTGGAGAGGAGTTGAAAGCAGAACTAGCTTAAATCACAACATCTAAGTCTTTTCAAATGTCTGGAAACCCTTACCCAAAAAAAGATGGCTATAAATGTCTATAAAGACAGCAAAGACTATATTAAACACCTAATTCTTCAATGCTCAGACATTGGAGAACATCTATGAGCATCAACACCATCCAGCAAAAAAGACCCTCATCAAATGAACTAAATAAGGCATCAGGGACTGATCCTGGAGAAACAGAGATATGTGATCTTTCAGATAGAAAACTCAAAATAGCTGTGTTGAGGAAACTCAAAGAAATTCAAGGTAACACAAAGAAATAATTCAGAATTCTATCAAATAAATCTAAAACATTGAAATAATTAAGAATAAAGCAGAAATTCTAAAATGAAATTGGCATACTGAAGAATGCATCAGAGTTCTTTAATAGCAGCATTGAACAAGCAGAAGAAAGAATTAGTGAGCTTGAAGACAGGCTATTTGACAATACAGGAAACAATGAAGGTTTCTTCTCTGGAAACTTTAGATGGAGCATGGCTTTACTGTCACCTTAATTTTGAACTTCTAGCCTCCAGAATGTAAGAGAACACATTTCTGTTGTTTTAAGACACCACGTATATGGTAATTTTTTTACTGCCTTTCTGAGCAACTAATTCAGTTACATATCCATATAATTATTATACCTTTTTCAGAAATAAAGAGGAATAAAATATTGATACATGCTACAACATGGGAGAGCCTCATAAAGAGTATGCTAAGTTTTAAAAGTTGTATCTAAGACTACATGTTTTAGAATCTACTTATATGAAATATCCAGAAACAGAAAATCTATGGAGACGGGAAGCATATCAGTGGTTACCTAGAAGTGAGCACAGGGATTGACTGCAACGGGTATGACTGATTTTTATTGTGGTGAAAGATGTATTTTAAAAACTGAATTGTTTTCATATGTTTGTAAAGTTGCTATACCTTATTGAATTGTACACTTAAAAGGTGAATTTTTGGCATATAATTATTCCTAAATAATGATGTTTCAGATAAAAAGAAATAACAAGACTCATGTATTCCATTTTCTAGCCACTATCACTTTGTAGGTATTCCCCTAATGAACCTTTCCAATCAATCTAAGAGGCATAATTTTAACTATCTCCTGCAGTCACATATTTTTTAGAAAGACATACATAAACATATGCCAATCCTGTAACAGCATCAAATGTTATTCCTCAATATTAGTCCTAGAGATTTTTTTAATTCATATTAAAAGCTTGAAACACCTTAATGTAATCTCAAAATAGCTACTAATACTGGAAATAATTTATGAAAGAAGATGCAAGTAGGGAAATAAAATCAAGCATATACAACAAACATTTTACTATTTGTTAACTTGTGAAAATAAATGCTGTGCTATTGATTCGGGAAATTCAGTATATGATCACAATCAGCAATCCCCAATCTTTTTGACACCAGGGACTGGTTTAATGCAAGACAAACTGTGGCATGGGGGTGAATAGTTTTGGGATGATTCAAGCATATTACATTTACGGTGCACTTCATTTCTATTATTATTACATTGCAATATATGTTGAAATAATTATATAACTCACCATAATGTAGAATCAAGTGGGAGCCCTGAGGTTGTTTTCCTGAACCTAGATGGTCCCATCTGGGGGTGATGGGAGGCAGTGACAGATCATCAGGCATTAGATTTTCATAAGGAGTGCACAACCTAGATCCCTCCCATGCTCAGTTCACAATAGAGTTTGCATTCCTTTGAGAACCTAACGCCCCTGCTGATCTAACAGGAGGCGGAGCTCAGGTGGTAATGTGAGTGATGGGGAGTGGCTGTAAACATAGATGAAGCTTCCATTGCTTACTGACTGCTCACATCCTGTTGTACAGCTGGATTCCTAAGCTGTCCCTGGCCCAGGAGTTTGGAACCCCCGATCATAGTTATACTCAAGGCATGAGAGAATTTGTAGTTCTTATTAAAATAAAATCTCAAACATTGTTGTAACAGAGACTAAAGAATACTAAAATCACATTGACAACATCAACAATTAACGAATCTTACCTCTACAGTTTACTTGGATGTGCAGTAGAAATAGTCAAAACTTTGCAGTCAGGAAGAAAGAAACAAAAGTGGAAAGAGGCAAAATGCAACACTTATTGAATATCTACTATGTGCTAGACTATTGCAAATACATTATCTTATTTGATCCTTGCATTTCCTTGCAAGTTTGGTGTTATTATCCCTATTTGAGAGCTGAGGAAACTTGCCATAATAAAACAGAGACTAGGATTTGAACTTGCCATAATAAAACAGAGACTAGGATTTGAACCCAGGTGTGTCTGATCCCATTTACTATGCTGCTTAAGTGCTTTTGGAAAAACTGACTTAATTTATTGAAACAGGAGATAGTAATAAAAATATCATGCCAAACTTGCATCAGGATTTTTTGAGGAATGAATTCAGGCATTAGAATTTTTTAAAGTGCCAAAAGTGATTCCAGGGTGTAGCCAGAATTGAGAATGACTAAAAAGGGAAATGAGATTCTCCAAGTGGAAATATATTGGTCTGGGAGACCTTACTTTAGTTCTCTATTAGTTTTTCCTGTGACATCTGCAAGCCATCCAGCCACTCTGGTTTTCTTATCTCTTTTGTATGTAAATTTCAAAATTTACCCCATTTACATATACCTGAGGTTTACCACACCTGAGTTCAAACTGGGAAACAGTTATTTATTATTCATTCAACTAATAAATACTGTTTCCTTGCTATGTGTAAGGCACTATTCCAGATACTTGAGATACATCAGCAAATAAAAAAGATTCATGTTGCCATGGAGCTTACATACTAAAGAGGAGACAAAGGCAATAAAAATTAGAAATGTAATTGATACAGTATGTTAAAAGATGGTCAGTGAAAACATAAGAATTAGGGGACTCAAGGCATAGAATAGGGAAAGGAAAAGGTGAGAAGAGTTTTAATTTAAATAGGGGATTATAAAGATCTCATAAACAAGGTGAATATATATAAAAGTATTGTAAAAACATGAGAATAATATATGAACCTAAGATGATGCTATAGTACAGTTCTAGACTCCTGATCTAAGAAGATAAATTAAAGCCATATGCTAATATCTACACTGGTGGATAAGTATTTTCATTAAAATATATTAGCTATTATAGAAGACAATATTTTGGTTATAACTTCACACTATCAATTAGACTTTTAAAAATCATTTTCTTGACCAATTTTCACCAATTGTTTGAACCTGGCTTGATTAATAGTGCTATAATGCTCTGTCATGTACCTGAAATCCAAACTATTAGTTAATATAGTCTATTCAGTCTCCACTTAAGACAAAAATTGTACAAAGTTAATTATTTGATTATGTTTTAAAATGGTAAATTCAGTATCCCTCTATGGCTATACCATATATTCAGCTGACATTTTGTGCTGTCTTCTGGCTTTACAGCTTCTGACCATGTCCATATGCCATTGCACTCACATAACATTGTGAGATAATAAAGATGTGTCAGCTGCCAGTTTTGTCAATGTGGTTTTACTATTCATTAAGTCTCCTTTGTGGGCTATTCCATGTTTTTGTACTTTAATAGAACTATCAATTTCCATATATCTTCTAGATAATTATGACCATATTGTGAGATTTCTGAATTAATAACACAGCATTTGTTGTCATGTACTTAAAAAGCAGAAAAAAATTCTTTTAAAAAAAGTTTGTCTTGTTTTCAGAATTCAAACTTTTGTCCATTTATCTCCTTCTTGTAAATCTTATGCCATTTATGTTAGCCATCTGGGTTCCCTGGTGTTCCCAATCTACTCAGCGACCTTCAGAGAGGCCAAGAAGCCATAGTTATGCAGTTAATACTTGACATGGATTTAGCTACATACTCGGATTCTGTGTGGCATTTAACGATGGCTGTCTCACTCCAGAAGTGAAATAATACTGGTGATGGAGAGCCATCTGTTACCCTTGAGTATTTTGCGTATTGTTTCTCTAACCTTAATTCCCTTCCTTCACTCATTTTGCTCACTCTGCTCTTGCCACTTGCTGTTCCTTAAACAAATCAAATATGCTCCAAGCTCAGGACATTTGCATTTGCTGTTCCTGATGCTCAGGAAATTTCCCCAGCTACCCACATGGCAAACTTCCTCACTTCTTTTAACTCTCATGTCACCACAGAGGTGTACATATATATCCTATGGAAACTATTTCTACCCTACTGTTTCAACTCTATCCCTTAACCAGAGCTGTAACATTGGGAATTATATGCTGAATTATCATACATATATATATATATATAAAATACACATACATACTATACACATATGTATGTATGTGTATAGTAAAAAACTATGTACTATATACATACATATACGTACTATATACATAGTACATACTATATACATAGTACATACTATATACATAGTACATACTATATACATACATACTATGTGTATAGTAAAAATACACACACACACACACACACACACACACACACACACACACATATATATATATATATATACATATAAAAATGTATGGGCACCAGCAAAATAGGGTCACCAAAACATTTTTAAAAAGTAATTTGATGTCATCAAAGTAGTCACCATGAGACTTTCTTAAACTTATTTTATTTGATTTAATTTTTATTTTATTTTAAGTTCCAGGATATATGTGCAGGTTTGTTACATGGGCAAATGTGTGCCGCGGTGGTTTGCTGCACCTAGGAATGGAAGTGGGAACTATTGTGTTTTTATTGATTTAGATCTCTAAAGGTGTTACTCCTGCCCTAAAACTGTCATCATTCTTTTAAAAAGCATGTTCCATGTTAAGTGCATAGAGGTATACAACATGCATTTTATTTAGCCATTTAAAATGAATATTGCTGATTTCATTATCTTACAAGACAAGGACCCTCAAATACATTTTCCCCCTCACTTCCTTGTTTTAAAGTATCATATTCAGGACCTTGTTTTATGTTTTTAAATTGGTGGTAACCACAGATACTAATCAGACTGTAGTTAATCTTATTCTAGATTTAAAGGTGACTCCATAGGACATAAAATGTACTGAATCTGAACTATAAGAGAAGCTACTAGTCTCTATCATCTGTCTTTCTTTAGTGTATTTGTGTGTCCTACTATTCTAAAGGCTGCTGTTTAAAGATGAAAGGAAGAGGAACTGTGCAATTTAGTGTTGAATGAACAATATGGCTGGACCAGACATATAATTAAAGACTTCATGAGGTGCCTGCTTCTTATACATATATATTTTTCTATCCCAAGTCATTGTTGATCCCATACAACTCAGTCCCTTTCATTTCCACTTTTCCTTCATCAGCATATTAATGCTGTTCATCACCATTCTTTAGAAATGTGTCACATATTGCATTCTCCATCCTTTGAAACATATCGTCTCATCTGGAACTATTCAATAGCTGCAATTTGATGATTCTGGGCTGCTGAGCACAACTGATCAGCACATTAAACTGCTAGGAGACTCTTCTCTGGAGTAGACAGAATTCTTTCCAATGTAGTCCTAAGGGGCCCTCCGGTAATGAAAAATAGAAATTTGAAGTCCTTTCTACCTATCTGTTGCGAGGCAGCTCTAAATGGAGTCCCAATAGTTTTTCTTTTCCCATAACCCATATTAAAGCAAATCAAGTATAAGGCAGTAGAAGTTGGAGCTTGACTAGCGATTCTGCCATTATCAATTTAAGAAGTATTTTAAAGTCTATTCATTTTCAGATATAATGCAATAAAGAAATTTGATGTATGCAAGAATGTTATGTATTCTTAAACTGCTATAACTAACCTAACTCAGTTAAAAACAAAATTGTCCACACAGACATTCACATATATAATATTAAAAGAAAAAAACTTACCCTTTTACAAACTTAAAAAGTATTCTTGAACTTAAAGGAACCTTTTATGTTTCCCCACCCGCACTGTATCAAGCCTAACCTGAACACATTTTGAAGATAAGACAGCTCTAGCGGCCAGGCGTGGTGGCTCACGCCTGTAATCCCAGCACTTTGGGAGGCCAAGGTGGGCAGATCACGAGGTAAGGAGATCAAGACCATCCTGGCTAACATAGTGAAACCTCGTCCTTACTAAAAATACAAAAATTAGCCGGGCGTGGTGGTGCATGCCTGTAGTCCCAGCTACTCAGGAGGCTGAGGCAGGAGAATCGCTTGAACCAAGGACACGGAGGTTGTAGTGAGCCAAGATCATGCCAGTGCACTCCAGCCTGGGCAACAGAGTGAGACTCCATCTCAAAAACAAAAACAAAAACAAAAACAAAAACAAAAACAAAAAAAGAAAGCTCTAGCAAGTTAAAACAAAATGACACTCAATTTAAAATTATTGGTTTGAAGACAGATATTTCTGATTTTATATATATTTTCCATGATAGAATCTTTAAAATTAATGAGTTGTTAGGATGAATAAATCTGCAGTTGAATTGTAAGTATTTCAATGGCAATATTTTTAGAGACGAAACAAAATGATGATGAATTTGGTTGTGTGCGACAATTGAAAATTAGTGTGCTCTAATTGCCTATGGTATTCTTTTATTGCCTCTGACTAATTATTGTATAGAGTTACTTTATGCAGCTTCAGTTCTCCCAAATTTTATCCTAGAGATAGCTGCATGCTGCACTGGCAAATGATTGATGTATTTGTTTGTAAACACAAGGAAATTATAAGGCATTATTGTCTGGAAACACCTATGAAGATACAGTACAGTTAATTTTTTTAATGGTTTAGTATCTTGTTAGCTCACATGTTATTTCCTTCAATTTCTTTTATACTATTCTATCTTAACCAATATTATTTTTTGCATTAAACTAAAATGGATCTTCTGAGATAATTGTGTTGCTTTAGAAGTTCTTTAATGGAAGACAAAAGCCGAGATATTTTTGATTAATAGTATTCCTTCACATTTCTTATGCCCTTACGTTGGTAAAGATTATACCAATTATTTTGGTAAAATGTAAAATGCCTTTTTTAGTTTTGCATCCTGAGAGTGACCTCATTGCCAAAACAACAATTTCTTAAAGATCCAATTGTGACTCTGTTTAACATACTTTTTACTTTGGAGGCTTGCCAAAAGAATTGCAAATTAGTGAGCCATCTTTAAATGAAAGTTCTACACAGCCTCACAACCATAAGTTAGAAATTGTAGAGAAAACAACAGCCTCTGAGGTATTGTATTAGCAGTATATGACAGGTACTCATAGCATACCACTCATCCAAAACAGACAACCTGAACAGCAAGATAAAAAATGTATGCATGGATTACTAAAAGAAGTTTCTCTAAATTTCAAGAATAAAATTCCATGTTAATTTTATTTTCTATTACCTGCTTGTCACTCGAATTCAACATTCTATGTTGGTGGCAAGAAAAAACTTAAAAACTAGAGTATTTTGCACTTTCTGGAGTTTGGCAATTAACTTTGTTTTCAAACTGCACCTGAGGAAAAAAAAATTATTTTTAATCTTCAAATGGTTGCATCTAAGTCATAAGCACTAGGTTTACTTTTCAAACCAAAGGTATGATGGCAATAATATGTTTAATAAGATTAAGCTATTACATAGGTCCTTCTATTCATAAGCCCACATTACTGGTATACCCTGAGCCCCATAATGTAAGTTACTTTATAATTTCAACTGAGTTCTAATTACTATACTTAGATTTTAATTTGTGAATGAATAAAGTGACATTGTCATTTAAAAGAACTTTCTTGGATGTAGAGCAAAGGGAACTCTCAAACACTGTTGGTGGAGATGTAAATTGTTACAACCTCTGTGGAAAACATTATGGAGATTTCTCAAATAACTAAATATAGAACTACCATTCAACCCAAGAATCCCACTAATGGGTTTCTACCCAAAATAAAATATATCATTATATCAAAAAGATACCTGCACTCATATGTTTATTGCAGTACTATTCACAATAACAAAGTTATGTAATCAACCTGAATATCCATCAGTGGACAACTGGGTAAAGAAAATGTGGTACACATACACTGTGGAATACTACTCAGCCATAAAGAAGAATGAAATTATGTCCTTTGCAAAAACATAGATGAACCTGGAGTCCATTATTCCAAGTGAAAACTCAGAAACAGAAAGTAAAATATCGTATGTTCTCACTTATAAATGGGGGCTAAACAATGTGTATACCTGAACATAGAGGATGGAATCATACACACTGGAGACTTCAAATAGTGGTAGGATGGAAGGCAGGTGAGGGATGAAAAATTACCTATTGGGTACAAAGTATACAATTCAGTTTACCCAAAACCTTCTCTCATAACTTCCGTTTACATACACTTTGATTATGCATGAAAATTATCGTTTTTGTACTATGCCATCTTCTTTGAGGTTACCTCTACACGCCATCATTGAAAACTACGCCAGCAGCAGGCTGATTCCTCATAGGTTATGGTGAATAAGCTGTAGGGAGGAAGGCAGATCTGAGGAAATCTACTCTAAAGATTGGCATACTTCTTTACGGAGTGAGTGCTCTGTTACTTGCACTGTGGTGGGTAACAAGATGAATGAGAAAAAGATACTGCATTCAAATGCTCCTATTATCCAGTAGAAGTGATGAAAAAGCTGCATGAACATATCGTGCATAATAAAAGGGGAATATTCTAAAGGACATTTTCAATCCGATGTTTTAAATGCCAAAGCAATAGCAACAAGACAAAGGAAAACACCTTGCTGCACACCCCCACACACACCTTATAGTATACACACATATATAAATGAAATACTGCTTCCTGTCTTCCTTCCTCATTGTTATTCCTTTCCATAATATCTAAAACCGACCTTCTTACATGTAAAAAGTCTATTCCATACTATCACAAAATATGTTTCTTATTCATCAACTTTTTTTTAGCAACCGCTATGTGCTAGGCTTTGAGCTAGTGTTTGGTGATCCAGAAGTGAGTACCTACATGGTAGCTTTTGAGGATACCTAAGGAGCTTACATTCTAGCGCTGTGCTGTTCAGTGTTGTAGCCATTAGCCAGTTGTGGCTATTTAGCAACTGAAATGTGACTAATCCAAATTTAGATGTTCTATAAGTATGAAAATACATACCAGATTTTGAACATTTATTACGAAAGATATATAAAACAGCTCATTACTAATTTTCTATATTGATGAAAAGTTAAAAAAATAAGATTTTGGATTAAATAGTTAAATAACATATATTAACATTAATTTATTTCACCAGGTTTCCCTTTTTACTTTTTCAATGTCAGTTTACTCATTTGTGAAGTGGTTAAATTAATATTCACCATGAAAGGTTGTTGAAAGAATGAAAGTAGAGACATGTATATGGCAAGAAACATAATACCTAAAATTTCATGATTGTTCAATAAATCTTACTTCAATTTCTCTATTTTCTCTAATTTCTCAAAATGTCATACTTACTTTGTGCAAGGTGAACATTTCAAGCAATCTGAATTCTTCAAATTGAAAGCAAAAATACCTCTTTCTCTCCCCTAATCTCACTTTTAAGTCTCCAATATAGCATATGAATATATATCCTATAAGAATGCATTTGCATCCATTTAAAACAAACAAGATAATTCAATTTCACTAGTGCACTTTGGATTTTTAAATTAATATATTTTGACCTTTCATATCAGCACAGATAGATTTAACATTCTTTTGAAAGCAAATGTAGATATAACACATTTTTAAAACAATGTTACAGTATCCATTGTGTGGATGTACCATAAGCATTTAGGTTCTCATTCACTTATTAAGGGGCATGTTGTTTGTTTTCATTTAGAAACAAAGACTTATTCACTCTTTCTATTTTTTTGGTACCCATTAATTTGATAGCACAATAGAGGGACTACAGTCAATAATAACTTAATTGTACATTTTAAGATAATTTGAAGAGTGTAATTGGATTGTTTGTATCTCAAAGGATAAATACTTGAGGTGATGGATACCTCATTATTCATGATGTGCTTAATTTCACATTGCATGCCTGTATCAAAACATCTCATGTATTTTATAAATATATACACCTACTATGTACTCACAAAAATTAAAAAATTAAAAAATACAAAGACATATATTTTTAAATGTCTATCTTTTCAAGCTTGTGCAAATACATTGGTAGGATATATTCCTAGAGCAAACTTAGCTGAATCAAATAGTAGGGGTATAAACACAGATATTGCCAAATAGCTCTCCAACTCCATTTTGAGCATTTTATATTTTTAGACTTTCTCACATTTGTCAATCTGATAGGTAAAAATGTGTGGTTTTGTTTTAATATTCAATTTTTTAAATTATTTGTGAAGTTCTATATTTTTCTCATTTATTAATATTAAGCTTCTGTGAGCTGTATGATAATATTCATTGGCAATTAATAAACCTCATTTATCTATTACTTAGACATTTGTAGAAAATCTTATCATGTTATAAACATTATGGGTTTTTTTCTGTTAAGTGCTTTAAAAAATGAATGGATGAATGAACAAGTTTCTACTATTTTCTAAATTTGTTATTTTAGTGTATTTGACTTTGTTTATATGTTGACATGCAAAATTTGTCAGTATTTATCTGTAAATGTTTGTTAAACAAATGATGAATTCTTGATTAAGCTGAACTAATACTAAACTAAATCCTCATGAGGTCTTCTGGCCAATGATTATTTTACTTCTCTTAAAGACCTTTAATACTAAACCCTAAAAGAAACCTTGCAGAGTTCTTCAGAGGCTGCATTTCACAGACTTGAAGGAAATATAAAGCAAAATGAAGTTTTCTTGTTACTATTTTCTATAGAAATAGTCATTATTAGCTGACATCAAGTTGAAACCAATTATTTATTGGTGATCCTTTTCTTCTTAGACCTCATTCAGACTTGATAGAGACAATCTGTGAAATCCCTTCTTTTATGATGACTAAACACTAAAATTCCTCTGGTGGTTCTGTGTGATTTATGTATGGCTATAAACATAAGTCATGTAAGACAATAAAGTCTAAACCACTTATAACAATGACTCATAGGCTGCCATACTGTATGTGAGATTTAGAAAGAGCATACAACTATTTTGTCACCTTATTCCTAAACACATAAACGAATTGCAGATTACACTTATCTAAGATAAAATAGAGAGGCTAACATTAGCCAAGACTACCACTTTATAGATGAAAACCATGCATGAAGAGACCTTAACACAAAATCTTTCTCAACTGTAGAAACAGTTTTATTAAGGCAGACAATTAGATCATCCCAAAAAGAGATAAAACTCACAAGTGTCTTGATTTGTAGGAGAATGAAAACCCAAACAGGACACATACATATTTAAAAAATATATGACTAAGTACAGTTGACCCTTGGACAACACAAACTTGAACTGTGTAGGTCAATTTATATGTGAATATTTTTCCACCTCCGCCATCCCTGAGATGGCAAGACCAACCCCTCCTCTTGTTCTTACTCAGTCTACTCAACTTGAAGACAAAGATGAAGACATTTATGATGACCTACTTCTACTTAAGGAATAATGAATATATTTTCTCATTCTTATGATTTTCTTAATTACATTTTATTTAGCTTACTTTAAGAATACAGTATATAATATCTATAACACAAAAATATATGCTAATCGATGGTTTATGGTATCAGTAAGACTTGTGGTCAACAGTAGGCTATTAGTAGTTAAGTTTTTGGAAAGTCAAAAGTTATATGTGGATTTTCAACTGTGTGTGGGTCAATGCCCCTAAGCCCTGTATTGTGCAAGAGTCAACTGTATTAGTGCCAGACTGGGTTTGGAGGTAGAGAGATTATTACAAAATTAGACACCTTTATACAAGAATGCATGTTATCTCCTAGGTAATAATGATATATAGTTTGTGTATTTTGATACTGAATTTGTAAAATCCTTCACATTAGATGGAAGTAAGGCTTATTATATAGGTTGATGCAAAAGTAATTGTGTTTTTTTGCCATTACAGGTAATCCTCATGAGATCTTCTGGCCAATGATTATTTAATTTCTCTAAAGTAAAGACCTTTAATACTAAACCCTAAGAGAAAGCTTGCAGAGTTATTTTGTCATTAAAGGTAATGGCAAAAACCGCAATTACTTTTGCACCAATCTAATATATAATTGAATTCTTTCATGAGAACAGTAAAGCTCAGATATGACCATTTTTAAGGGGCTTACTGTGGAGAAAATGGGTAACAAAAGGAAAGATAAATATATCATTTTTAAAAAATTCACTGAACTCTAATCTTCTTGAAGTTAGAGTGCCCAGTTATTGCTGGATTCTGTGAAAGTCCTCCCCACATATTAGTAACATGAATACTGATTTGGGAATGTTTTAAGAACATCGTAACACTCCCTGATGACACTGAAGACGTCTACAGATATTGCAAAGACAGGTTTAGGAATCCGTACATTACCTACTGAGCCATCAGTAGAATAATCTTTGCCTTTTAGGCCTGGTAGCTCTATTATTTCTCCAAATATGGGGCCAAAAATAAAACAAAAATTATTTCCCTTTAATGTCATTTCTCTGGGGTTAGTGTATAGTAATTTCTAGAATCACATTTGTCACACTGGCAGCTACTCCTATTACAAACCTAATTAGCCGCCTGCATCCCCATTTCCCTTTAACTATTTAGGAATTCAGCATTGGTCAGAGAGAAGTTTGCTACCAAGGCTAAGGAATTGCAACATTGGCTTTTCCTGAAAAGCCCACCTTCTGAGTGTATGTCTCATTGCATTTTCAATTTGTATCTTCCTTTTGGTTTCAGTGGGGTGATTGTCAGCGTCAGATAAGAGATACAGAGATTAGGGGTGTTCATCATTTAAGAATCACTGTGAAAAGTCAGAGCAGAGGAGGATATTTTTGTAACACAGATGAAGCTTTGGGAAGGATGAAGAAGAGACACAACCCAGTTCTCTGGTATTAGCGTGTAGTAACTTCACAGAACGACATTTCTTACACTGTCAGCTACTCCTATTGCAAACATCATTAGCCACTGCCATCCCAGTTTCTCTATAATTATATCAGAATTCAGCGTTAATCGGAGAGATGTTTGCCACCAAGAAGACACAAAGCCCTGTGGACCTATTAGATCAAATTTTCAATGAAGAAAAATAAGTTTTATATCATCACTCACTAAAAGAATTCAATTACAGACACACTTTGTAATGAAATTTATTTTGGGAGAAGAAAAAAAGAAAAATGAGAGAAGCTATTTTTCATATTCTAGCTGATGTCTCTGACTGGAAAAGACTCACATTAAATATAAAAACCTATCTTTAAACAATATCAAGGATGTCAAACTGCCAAAAGCAAGATGTATATAGTTAAAATGAAAACTGCAGACACTTTTTAAAATAAAATAAGCTGAAACATCTTCTTCTGATATAGTCTCATTAAGAGAACTCTGCATTTAGATCTCTCTCTCTCTCTCTCTCTCTCTTTAATAGGACCACTGACCTTCTCTACTTGAATAATTATATATCACATTGTAAAGAAAAACTCCGGGAGCATCCATACTGGTGGGAGGCTAGATACTTCATACTCTCACTTTCCAAATTAAAAAAATAAATACAAAAATCCCATCCAAGAGAGAACTGGGTGTCTCAATTTGGAAATTTTCACAGCGTGAGAAGAAATGAATAGCTACGTGTCTACTTTCAAGTCATTCTAAACATAACCTCAGCAGTTCAAGTATCAGAAAATAAATAAATTAACAAGTGACATACTGATGAATTTCAAAGGAGGCAATCAGGAAGGTTTCAAATGTAACTATCACAAGACACTAATGCCTAAGGCACAATATTAAAAAGCAAGAAGGACCTCACAGAACCATACAATCTTGGTGACCCATCCAGAGGTTGCCTGACAATTGGCTTCAGTTTAGGAGCAAAGAGAGACAGCAAGATCAAGGCAGGAATATGAAAATAAAATAGCAACAGAGAGAATTTTTAAATGCCCCAAATTAAACAGAAAGCCAGAAACAAATTATCCAGCAGTTTTCTGTGACATTGGACCTTTGTGGATCAGCAGAATAACACAGGCAGCTGGATTACAGAGGTGCCAAATCCACCACTACTGCCTTGCACATCCCAGCCATGAACTAAAACCCATCTGTGTGATGCTGGGCTGGAAAATCTCAGCATCTAAGTAGCTTCTTTGGTGTACTTCTTGCTACAACAGAAATTTGAAAGGAGAAAGGACTGGTCTATAATTAATCATTAATCACTTAGTATGAAGAGTTTTATGGACATCTGTACTTTAGTATGTTTTATGTCATTCACTGGTCAGTCAACAATCAATGCCCTGTATGAATGAAGTATAAAATAGGAATAGGTTTATATTATCTAAACCTAGATGATCATATCCAACCCCAAGTTATAAAATAGAGTCTATACATCAATGACCTTCCAAGTCTCTGTCTTTAGATTTGAAATTGCTCCTGAGCCCCAGATTTATATACACAATTGTCTTTTCCTTATTTGACAACTCTAGTTGGATCTAAAATTTAATATCTCCACTATCTTCCCACTTATTCAGACTAAATAATCCAGGAAATATTCTTGATTATTGTATTTCACTAATGTCCAAACTTTCTAGTCCATCATCAAATGCTGTTGGTTCTTCTAAAGTATATCACAAATGTATCTACTATTTGTACTCCCACTCTTACCAACCTCATCCAAGCCATGGTCATATTTTACCCATAGAACTGCAATAGTCTCCTAATGTATTCCCCTGCTCCCATTGGAAAATCTTTTACATTTTCCACCCAGTATCCAGAGTAATTTTTTAAAAGTAAAATAGTTCCTTTGCTCCTAGGCTGTCAAGTCTTCCAATGACTATTACAAGGATAAATTCTAAACTGTAAATCATGCCTGGCAAAGCCTTTGTTTAATCTACCCTGCTTTTCTTTATTTCATTAAATATGTAAATCTCATTTCCAATTAAGGGCCTATGCACTCGGCCATCTCTCTTCCTGTAATATTTAGGTATTTTCAAGGACAGCTCCTTGTCTGTAAGATCTCAGGTAACCAACCTCTAATTAGAGAGTAATTTCCTGGCCACCTAATTTAAATAGTCCCCAGTCATTTTTCATCTCATTCCCACTCTTTATAACATGTATTACTATCCTTCCAAAAAATGCTTATTCCTTTATTCGTTTTAATGTTTGCCTCAAGATGAGAATGTAATCTCCATGAGAGCAAGAATGTTGTTTGCCAAATTCACTGCTGTATCTCCGTAACTAGACCAGTACTTTGCACGATGTAATAAACATCCAATGATTGAATGAAATATAATAACATATACATTTACCATCTGACTTAATATTATCCTTGCTCAGATCATTCCCTATCCTGTCAACTTCTTTTATTTTTCTTCATAACACTTATCACTTTACAGCATTTATCATTGACCATAATTATCACATTCACTTGTTGGTTTTCTTTTTTTTTTTTTTTTTAATTTTGTAACTTCCCTCAACTGAAATGTAAAATCCATGAGAACAAGGGCCTTGTCCGTTTTGTTCACCATTAAACATTCAGTTCTTAAACCTAAATGAGTGCTTGGCACAAAGTTAGAGTTCAATAGATAACTGGTGGTTAAATGAATGCATTGTGATGAAAAACTTGCAGCAAGAAAAGATGGATATTCTGATTCAGTCTCTCAAATAGATTTGTCCCTGTAATTAAGGTTCTGGTAAGGGAGTAGGCATTTGGATACTGTAAAAAGAACAGTTCAAATTTATGGAGAACATAATTATAGAAGACACTGTTGTAAATGTTTTACATATATTTACTTAATGCCACAATAACTCTATGAGGGAGGTTTTGATATGGAAGAGAAGCAGGAAAGTGCTGCGAGGAGAACGATGGGTCCCTGGCGAGGGCTCCACCTCTGGGCCTGTGCCCACGGCCTGGCGCCGTAATCCCAGCACTTTGGGAGTCCGAGGCGGGCAGATCATGAGGTCAGGAAATCGAGACCATCCTGTTAGCTAACACGGTGAAACCCCGTCTCTACTAAAAAAAAAAAAAAATTAGCTGGGCGTGATGGCGAAAGCCTGTACTCCCAGCTACTCCGGAGGCTGAGGCAGGAGAACGGCGTGAACCCGGGAAGCGGAGCGTGCAGTGAGCCGAGAGCTCACCATTCCACTGCAGCCTGGGTGACAGAGCGAGCGAGACTCCGTCTCAAAAAAAAAAAGAAAAGAAAAGAAAAGAAAAAAGAAAAAAAAGAAACCCGAGACCCAAGCGGGAAGAGACACAAGCAGCTGGATGTCAACAGGAACAAGTTCTCGGAATAAGACACAAGCAGCCAGACGTCCGGAGGACGTGGAAGGGAGCACGCCCAGGAAGAGCACATCAACAGACGCCTGCATGCCTGCAGGCCATCGACTGGCGGAACAATGCAGAGTTTGGCCAGGAAGGTTGCAGAAGAGCCCGGGCCGCCAAGCGACCTGACTCCAGGGTAAAACCATTTCCCTTCTGGGTCCGCCATCTGCTGAGTGCTTCTTCCACTCAATAAAACCTTGCACTCATTCTCCAAGCCCAGGTGTGATCCGATTCTTCCAGTACACCAAGCCAAGAACCCCCAGGGTACAGAAAGCCCTCTATCCTTACAATAAGGCAGGGAGTGTAATTGAGCTGACAAGTTTAACAGAAGCCGCTTAATGGACGGCTAAACTGAAAAAAGCACCCTGTAACAGACGCCCATTGGGGCTTCAACTGTAAACATTCACCCCTAGACACTGCTGTGGGGGTCAGAGCCCCACAACCTGCCCGTCTGCATGACGGCCATACTACCCCTAGGGGTTTTGAGCAGCGGGAACCGCCCTGTGAGGTTGATAAGGGAGCTTTTCCCGTTTCAGTATTACTATAACTCTGTTTTAAAGACTAGGAAGTAGAGGCAAAAAGACGTAGAATAACATGTTCAAAATTGATTTCCTATTATTATTATTTCTATTCAGTTTTGTCCCCCCAACTAGTAGACCAGTATTCAAAGCTAGACTATCTATCTTGAAAGCTCACCCTCTCAAACAATACGCTACAAGGCTTTTAACATGAGATTTGGAATAAGTAAGTTTTTTAACATAAAAAATATGTTGATAAATGAGTGGTTTCACTGCTCAGGGTTGTGTTAGTGTAAGTGTGGCTTACTCCAGACCCATGAGAGAGGGAAAACGTTGGTCTTCAACATCTCTAGGTCTCCTTGAGACCTGAGGGCTCTCATGGAAAATGTTTTTGTTAATCTCATTTGTTCCACTCTAGACCACAGTATGCACTTTACTCAGACCATCGATGAAAAGCAATTTGAGATACTGTTAATGAAAATAATTTATAAAGTCATTGTATTCTCAGAATTGTCAATGTTTTCTATATCACTTATGTATGTGTGTGTGTCTCTATCACACGCACAGAAGTGATATAGAAAGCATTTCCTATTCCTAAATGTGTGTGTGTATATATGTATGTGTGTGTACATATGTGTATATATATATGTATAAATATATACACACAAATCCCTTTCTTCTAGCACCGCCTACTTCAGCTTCTTTTCTGTATGATTTCAGAGGGAATTCTTCCTTGAAGCAAGTAATCTCTGTATCATTAGCACAAAGTCATCCTTAGTATAATTGGCTTTAATTGCCTTTAATTATTTTATATCTAAATTAACGTACACTGCAGGACATTTAGAACTGTAATAATGAAATATCTTATTATAGTGGTTTATTGAAGTACTATGCTCAGCTTTAACTTTTGGGAATCACTCTGAGGTCTAACAGTGCCCATAAATCATTCTAATGGCAGAGGTTGAAGGTGCAATGGGACCCTGAGTAGGAAATGAAATACATAAACTTTTAAATTAACTCCTAGTAAGGCCTAGGGCTTTATTGTTACTCTCATACTGCTAGAATTATGACAAAATTCAAATAGCCAATCCATTCACCAGCCACATAGTAAACTACCTTTAAAATTAATATATAAGTTAATATTTTTATATTTCCAGCATTGAAATAAGTATATTTATATCCTAAAGTATCTTAGAAGCTAGTTAAGCTAAAGAGATATCAGCTTCATTATTATTAATCCCTAAGTATTAGGTGAACTAGTGATCTCAATGCCATGGATATTAGATGAAGAATTTTTTTTAAACTCAAGGCAAGAAACTAACTTCCTATAGCCTATATCTCAGTATAATGCTCATTATAAATGAGTGTTATCAGATATTGTGAGCATGGTGAAAGGATAACGTCAGCTCTGTTACCTAGGTGGAAGGGATAGTTTTTTTTTTTTTATCACATTCCAATATTACCAATAGTTGCCTGCATTGCATATCATAATATATTGTATACATTTACGTAGACACATGCAATATTTACAATAATCTTATTGAATGGGGGGAAATCTATGTAACTAGACAAACCAGTTTCACCAGATGGGAAAAACAGAATAAGGACTTGTTTTGGAGCTTGCTTCCTAAATGTGTAACAGTTGGTTATAATCTTTCAGAAACCTGCTCCTGGACTGTGTTACCTTCCTGTGGTGAAAGAGCCCTTGAAGGAAGTAGCATCCACAAAAATCAAAGTTTGATCCAACAACACAGAAAAGCAGCTGTATATCATTTTTTAAAAAAATCTCTTTGTAAAATGCCACATTTTGTAAGTCAGGGAGGCTGAACTTAAAACCTCATTTTAGGAATTAATTTATTCAAATAGTTGGGGCCCATAAAAGAGCATATTAATAAAAAATAAACTAAAATTTACCACCCTGAACTACTTTATAAGTGTTAGATTATGCTTCCATTTGACTGCTCTGTCAATGTGGTTTTTCTAAGTGTTCTGCACCTGACTTGAGCCAAGTTACCACTAGGCCACATTTTTGTTACACTTTTCCTTCTATTCATCCAGCATGTGATTTGTCTCTTCAAGGTCAGTGCAATGTCAGCTCAATAAAGAGCTAATACACTTAGCAGATAATAACAAAAGATACCACATCAAGGAAACACTTGAGAGAGGTTTCCAATGACATATACCTCCCCAGTCCCCACCCTCAAGCTGACTTGAGATTTACTATGTTTACCCAAAATCCTGTTGTGGATTATTTTGTCTCTTTGTGTTTTTGCTATTGTTGGAGTTAAAATACTCTAATTATTTCTTGCATATTGCTATGTCCTACTACATTTAGATGTTGGAAACTTAATCTCCAATGCAGTACTGTTGAGAGGTGGAAACTTTAAGAGATGACTAGATCATAAGGGCTACTCTTCTGAATGGCTTAATGCTGTTATCACAGCAGTGAATTTGTTATCTTGAGAGTGCACTCCTGATAGAAGAATGAATTTGGCGCAGTTTCTTCTTTCTTTTTTCCCCTTGTGCTTCTTTGCCTTGTGATGCTTTCCACCATGGGAAGATACTCACCAGATGCTGTCACTTAGCTCTTGGACTTCCCAGCCTCTAGAACCATGAGCTAAATAAACTTCCGTTGTTTAGAAATTACCCAGTCAGTGGTAATATGTTATGGGAGCAGAAAATGGGATAAGATGAATATAGCAAGAAAATCTGAGCCTAAAGCTCTCAGATAATGATATGAGAATCCTATTCTGTTCTGATAAGCTCATAGAAATAATGGTGAAGTTATAAAGTAATTATATTGTTAGAGTTTATTAACCATCAATCACCCTATTGCATATATTTAATATATTTTTCCATTTAATGTACATAAAAGGTTATCATTTGGTTGTCATCACCCTTCCCATTTTAAGGAAGAGAAAATATGCTTAGAAATGGAAATTATTGTCCAAAGTCAAACAGTTAGAAAATATATCATCTGAGATTTGAACAAAAGTCTAAGCTCAAACCCAGAAGACTTTCCATTTAACCCCTAGCTTGTCACAATATCTTTCTGTAAATAGCTTCTCTGATGCCTTGAAAATGTAAAGCACTAGCACATCAAAATCAAATAATCACACATGCTTTTTGTATTTAATGTTTTTGAAATACACATAGCTATACAAAAAAAAACTAACTTTAAATGTATACTAATTTAGATGCTAATAAGCGTACTTTTTAAGGCCAAAAAACCCACCAAAAACATATTTACATCAAATGTGAAAAATAGTTTGGCCCTGCATCTATGGTTACTATCTGTCCTAGATAGAAAAGTTTTAATATAAGTATTTCTAATATACATTAACTGTCACAAAATTGCAATATTTCAAAGCCAACCAACCATTAGCTAGAGTAATTAGGAATAAAAAGAGAAGACTCAAATAAATAAAATCAGAAATGAAAGAAGAGACTTCGAAAATGATACCACAAAAATACAAAAGATCATTAAAAACTGCTATAAACAATTATATGTCAACAATTTGGATAAATTAGAAGAAATGAATAAATTCCTAGAAATATACAACCTACCAGTACTGGATCATGAAGAAACAGAAAATCTGAACAGGCTAATAATGAGTAAGGAGATTCAATCCATAATAAAACTCTCCCATCAAAGAAAAGCCCAGGACCAGAAAACTTCACTACTGAATTCTAAAAAAAAAAATTTAAAAAAGAACTAATAACAATTCTTCTCAAACTCTTTCACAAAAAACTGAAGTAGAAATAATTCTTCAAAACTCATTTTATGAGGCCAGTATTACTCTGCTACCAAAGCAATACAGGTACACTACAAGAAATGAAAATCACAGACCAAAATCCCTGATGAATCTAAGTGCAAAAATATTTTACAAAATATTAGCAAGCTGAATTCAAGCACCCATTAAAAGAATCATACAAGTGGAATTTATCCCTGGGATGCAAGGATGTTTCAGCAAATGCAAATCATTAAATGTGACACATCACATTAAACAGAAATAAAGACAAAAGCCATAAAATCATCTCAATATATAGAGAAAAATCATTTGACAAAATTCAGTATCTTTTCATGATTAAAAATTTTCAACGGATTAGGTATAGAGGGAATGTATCTCAACATCTAAAATTGTCATATATGACAAACCCATAGCTAACATCATACTCAATGGAGAAAAATTGAAAACTTTTTGTCTAAGATAAGAAACAAGACAAGCATGCCCTCTCATCACTGTTTTTTTTTTTTTTTAGCATAGTAATGGAAGTTGTAGCCAGAGCAATTAGGCATGAGAAAGAAATTTAAAAAGCATCCTAATATGAAAGGAAGAAGCAAAATTGCCTCAGTTTGCCCATTACATAATCTTAGTTTAGAAAGCAAAGTAACTTCTTACCTTATAACCTTCATCCCATCTTTAAAAAAGGGACAACCAAAAAACAGAGGACTAATGTTTAAAAGTGGAAAAAAAGTGTATGCCAAGAAAGTCTTTGTTAGTATTAAAATTTTAATCTATCACATGGACTACAACCATGACTAATGATATGAAAAACCATCGTTGTACTTCAAGAACACCAATGACCAATACCCGCAAAACACACCCACTAATAAAAATTATTAACTACTCATTCATTGATCTTCCCACACCATCTAACATTTCTATATGATGAAACTTCAGCTCACTTCTTGGTGCCTACCTAATTCCTCAGATCATCACAGGATTATTTTTGGCCATACACTATACATCAGACACCTTACCTGCCTTCTCTTTAGTCACTCATATGAGCTGAGATGTAAACTACGACTGAATGGTCCACTATTTTTATGCTAATGGTGCCTCAATATTTTTCATCTGCCTCTTCTTACACATTGGCCAAGGCTTATACTATGGGTCATTCCTATTTCTAGAAACCTGAAATATTGGCATTATCCTCCTACTTAACAACTATAGCAACAGCATTCATAGGCTACGTGCTCCCATGAGGCCAAATATCATTCTGAGGTGCTACAGTAATTACAAATCTACTATTAGCCATCCCATATATTGGAGCCGACCTTGTACAATGAATCCTATGAAGATTCTCAGTTGACAAAGCCACCCTCATACGATTTTATGCCTTCCATTTCATCTTACCCTTCATCATTACAGCTCTAGCAACTGTTCACCTTTTATTCTTACATGAAACAGGATCTAACAACCGTCGTTTCATCAGACTCCGACAAAATCACTTTCCACCCCTACTATACAACCAAAGATATTCTAGGTTTAATTTTTCTCCTCATCCTTCTAATAACTCTAGTACTATTTTCACCTGACCTCCTGAGCGACACTTTAGCCAACCTCCTCAATACCCCACCCCACATTAAGCCAGAATGGTACTTTCTGTTTGCATACACAATTTTACCATCTATCCCTAACAAATTAGGAGGCGTGCTAGCCCTCATATCTTCCATTCTCATTCTACAAGTTATTCTTGTACTTCACGTGTCTAAACAACAAAGCATAATATTCCGGCCATTAAGCCAATGCCTATTCTGAGTCCTAGCGGCTGACCTGCTTACACTCACATGAATCAGAGGGCAGCCAGTCGAATACCCTTTTATTGCCATCAGACAGACAGCATCTATTATGTACTTTTCTACCATCCTCACCCTTATACCATGCACTACCCTAATTGAAAATAAATTACTTAAATGAAAATGTCCTTGTAGTATAATTCAATACTCTGGCCTTGTAAACCAGAAATGGAGAATCCCCTCCCCAGGACAACTCAGGGAAAAAAGCATGCCCACTTCACCGTCAACACCCAAAGCTGAAATTCTAATTAATCTACTCCCTGAATTTTTCTCAGCACATACTTTAACAACTATGTCAGTATTAATCAATTAGCACTAATACATTAGTGCTCTTATGTACTTCGTGCATTACCGCTAGTCCCCATGAATAATATATAGTACTATAAGTGTTTATTCGTACGTAGTACATTCATACATGAAAATACATTACAAATCTAGTCCACATACATATAAGCACATATTAACAATTCTTTAATCAACTATTGCACATCTACTATTATTGACCGTACAACACAGACTTAATCCATACAAATATTGATCCATACTATAAATCCTTAATATCGCATAGTACATATATTCGTTCACTGGACATAGCACATTTTAGTTCAAAAATCCCTTGTCAACATGGATACCCCCTACCAAATTTTGGTCTCTTAATCTACCAACTTCCGGGAAATCATCATCCCGCTTGGGAGTGCTACCCTCCTCGCTGTGGGCCCATAAAACTTGGGGATGACTATCCTGAAACTATACCGGGCATCTAGTTCTTACTTCAGGGCCATAAAACTAAGACAGCCCACACGTTCCCCTTAAATAAGACATCTCGATGGACTAATGACTACCACCCTATTAATCAGTCACGAGAGTACTGTCATGCATTTGGTATTTTTAACTTTGGGGGATGCTATCACTTACCATCGCGGAAGGCCTGGTCCCTTCCGAATCTGCTGTAGACGAACTCGGATTTGATTCCTGCCAAATCAATTGTAGAAGCTGAGCTTATATTGAATATTTTAGGCTAGTATAATAAGCATAATGTGTTAATTAAGCCATGCTTGAAGGACATAACAATTAATCAATAGGCACGTACGCTCACGCACGTACCCTCACGCACGTACGCTCACGCACGTACGCTCACTTTCAAGAACTATTTCCGATTAAATCCGCAACCTCCCCACCCCCATCTCTGACTTTACCATCAACCTAGGTAAATGTACTCTTGCCAAACCCCAAAAACAAGAGACTAAAATGCAACCCAGAGCCCAGAAATCATATTTTAAACATGAATGCCCCAACAGCTACCCCTCGATTGATGTAATTTTTCAAAAAATCTTAAGACCCTTCTACTAAATTAAACCTCCATTTTATATAGTAAATACAATAACTAAACTTCCACCCTAATACTAATATAACATGTTGAGCATATCCCTCTGAAAGCACTACCCCATATATTATATCCTAAATAAATTATACTCTAATTAGAAGTAATTCTCTCAACCCAACCTCTGCCAATTCAGCTTTAAAACCCTGAATTCCCAGAACTGTAAAAGACTATTTATATTTACTTATTTCTTTCTTTCTTTGTCATATTTTAATTCTACATTTAAATATTTATACAGTTAATGTAGCTTAATTATTTCAAAGCAAGACACTGAAAGTGTCTAGACGGGTCTGCACAACATCATAAACAAATAGGCTTGGTCCTGGCCTTTCTATTAGCTCTTAGTAAGATTACACATGCAAGCACGTAGAGATGATGTTAGTTTAAAAACTACATGTTTTGTGGTGGAATGAGGGCACAGATCAAGAAAAAGGGTAGATAGTCTTTAAGATACTTACATACTTGTTCTATTAGAACTAATTATGACAGAATTTAATTCAGAAAAATAATGAGGCGGTTGATATCTTCTCCATCAGAAAATCTGTTAATTTGCTAAATATGGCTACTTGTTCTAAATTATATTCTGCATTCTGATTTTAAAGTCATAAATCTGTAGAACACAGTAACCATTTATGAGAAACTATTTTTCTTATTAGGATGTTCACCCAAATTGTCTCTTAGGAGCATTTACTTTTTTAGTGGTATAATCCTTCATATTTGACAGTGAGTCCTAAGATTTTGTGATTTGGAGGTAACTACATTAGGAAATGTTTAAATGCAATGTTCCTGGGAGAAGGAATGCAGTAACCTATCACTTATACTAGCAATCTGTGCACAATTTATAGTATTGATTTCTAATGGACTAATTCACATAATCTGTGGCAATGAGTGGGGAGAGCAGGGAGTTGTAGGAATAGTAAATTATGATTGGAGAGTGTAGCAGAAGAGGGATTATATTAGGTTGGTGCAAAAGTAATTGCGGTTTTTGCCATTCCTGCCAATGGCAAAAACCACAATTACTTTTGTATCAACCTAAGAGTAACATGGGTACAGCCAAGAAATGGCAAATCTGGGAAAGACATTTAATTGATAAGGATTGAGGAGTGGGATGGTTGAGAAGAGGAACACTGAAAATTAATATAGGAATAAATTAAATTAAAATAGGCCAGCTATATGCCAGTTGTTGAAGTATGACCTTGTAAACAAACTTCACATCGTTTAGCTGTGCCTCAGAAGAAAGAAGTGCTGCCTTTCCAGCTGCAAATGACTCCATCTAAGTTGCTTCTATAACTTCAGGAAGTGAAAATACATATTAATAAGTCTGAATAAAAATATATTACTCAAAATAAAGATGAAAAACAGCTGAGATCTCATTCACAACAATCATTAGACTTCACAGACAGATGGGAACAGAGATGGAATGATGGACAATCAAATGTGCTATTAGCTCTGGCAGGTTTTAAATATTGGCTGACTTTTGAAGCCCATGTGAAAAACAACTCAATAGAAACACTACACATATTCAATGTATATTTATGTATAATTAGCAAAAGAATTTACCTTTGTTCTCCTTGAGCTTCCCCTTATTTTCCTTAGATTACTTTTAGTAAGTCTGTTATCTCTATGCCATGTAAAAATGAATGATTTGAAAAGGAAAGACATGGAAATATTTTTTTAAAGTAAAAATTATGTAATTTCTTTTCAACGAGCAACCAGTGGAAAAGTTCAGATTTGATGCTAATAAAAAACTGATGTGTTATTTCACTTAAATGATTAACTGGATTGTATTTTGCTTGCCTGCTATATAAAAGATAAGTACCTGTCGTATCCAGGAAGAGCGCAAGTAATTCATGTATATAGTCTAATTAGTTTGAGTGGTTTTCTTTTGTAAGTTTTTTGAGGAAGTATCATTTCAATTAAATCCCAACACTATCATCCACAGTCTACCACCTATTACTGGCACACGTGTTTTTCTGTCATGTTGTGAAATCTTTCGAAATAATAGTTTAAAATGTCTTCTGTGTCTTGCTTCCAGCAGCTAATAAGTGTGAACAAAAGTCAGGAAAGCTCTGTGTTACCGAAGATTAGAACCACCAAAATGTAAGGTTCTGCCAGTCAAAACTCCAGGTGTGTGAGTAAAGCAGTTACAGCAACTGATTCTTTTAAGCCAGATAGAATTATTTGTCTTCAATCACGCTTATGCATAATTTTAATTTATTCTTTATATATTATAGAAAAGGATACTTTCTTACTTCATTTCCTGTGGGATAGTGTCATATCACACTGTAGGGTATATTTTCTAGAAGCTGTTGTATTATGTATGGAGGCATAAGAAGAAGGAAAGGAGATTACTACATACCGTAAATTAAATATGGACTATTTGAATGCACAGGAAGGTGCCTTTAAAACATGGTGATACATTTTTTTTTCCATATGCCATGTGCCTTCAAATTCAGGAACATATATAGTGATTTGTAAGCAATGTGTTTCCTTTGACCAAACAGGCACCTCCTTATTTGCGTAGAGTTGGTGTTGAAAATGCCAATGAAACGTTCCAAAA
Organism: Homo sapiens; assembly: GCF_000001405.40. Classification (NCBI taxonomy): domain Eukaryota; kingdom Metazoa; phylum Chordata; class Mammalia; order Primates; family Hominidae; genus Homo; species Homo sapiens. The sequence continues at coordinate 126,734,045 of NC_000023.11, forward strand.
TACATCTTTGTCACCTCATTCACTGTGCTGAATCAGCACTCTCTGAGCACAGAGTTTTCTTGAAAGTTTCTTCAAAATATTACACACTGGAGGGGATATGTTCACAAAGCCTGATTCAGCATGTGAAGTAAGAGGGGAAGTGAGAGATTTATAGGGTTCCTTCAGTACTGGATAGAGCCATGCTGATGAATAAAAGGTTGATTATGCAAGTTAGCCTATGTGTGTTGAGCTTCCAGAGAATGAATCTCAGTCTCTTCACTTTGTTTGAGATTAACACTTTCAGTACCCCAGTTATATGCTCTGCTACACATAACACACACCCTCCATCACACTTGTATTTGAATAATACTTTTAAAAATTTTTTCCCATTTGCCATTTCATTTATTCTTCTCCATACAATGATTAGGTATGCCGGACATGTATGATTAGCCAAATTTGAAGATAAACAACATAAGGCAAAGAGAGATTAAGTAACTTATCTAAAATCCTATAGTTAATTATTGATAGAGTTGAGGCTAGAAGAATATCAAGGTTTCTTGACTTCCATTCTATGAAATTTTCAATGCACATATTGTCTACATGTGTGATAGGCTCTTTTTGCATTGTTACAAAGAAATACCTAGTCAATATGCCCAGATTATATTTAGAGTAATTCAAATTTAAGTAAAATCAAAAAGGAATATCAGACAGGCTAAAATTAAAAAATCCCTTGGGTCTTAATAAGCCCACAGTATGTGAACTGCCTCTAATTATATTCAGGAATAGACTCCTTTTGAAACCAACCAACAGAAAACACTTATTCAGAAGATGTCAATAAAAAATTAATAAAAAAATGGAAATATCTGAAGCTGGGTAATTTATAAAGAAAAGGAGTTTAATTGGTTCACGGGTCAGCAGGTTTTACATGAAGCATAGTACCAGCATCTGCTTCTGATGAGGGCCTCAAGAAGCTTAAAATCATAGCAGTAGGCAAAAGGGGGCAGGTATATTCACAGGGCAAGAGCAGAAACAAGGGGAGGTGTCACACTCTTTCAAACTACCACATCTTGCGTAAACTCAGAGTGAGAAGTCACTTATCACCAAGGGAATGATGCTAAACCATTCATGAGGAATCCACCCCCATGATCCAATCACCTCCCACCAGGCCCCACCTCCAACACTGGAAATCACATTTCAATATGAGATTTGGAGGGAATAAACACTAAACCGTATCATTCCATCCCAGCCCCCAAATCTCACGTCCTTCTCACATTTCAAAATACAGTCATGCCTTGGCAATAGTCCCTCAAAATCTTAACTGGTTTCAGCATTAACTGAAAAGTCTTAAGTCTCAAGTCTGAAGTCCAAAGTCTCATGTAGAGATGAGTTCCTTCCATCTATAAGCCAATGAGATCAAAAATAAGTTATTAATTTCCAAGACACAATGGTGGGACGGGCATTGGGTAGACATTCCCATTACAAAAGGATTAAATCAGCCAAAAGAAAGGGGCAATAGGCCCCATACAAGTCTGAAACCCAGCAATGCAATCATTACATCTTAAAGTTCCAGAATAATCTTGATTCCATGTCCCAAATCTAGGGTACACTGGTTCAAGTGGTGGGCTTCCAAGGCCTTGGGGAGCTACATTCTTGTGACTTTGCAGATTGCAGCCTCCATGGCTGCTTTCACAAGTTCGAGCTGAGTGCCGGTGGATTTTCCAGGCTGAGGATGGAAGCTGCCTGTGACTCTACCATTCTGGAGTCTGGAGAGCAGTGGCCCCCTTCCCAAAGCTCCACTAGGCAGTGTTCTGTTGGAGACTTTCTGTGGAGGCTCTAACCCCACATTTCCCCCTCTACACTGCCCTAGTAGAAGTTCCCTGTGAGGACTCCACCCTTGCAACAGGCTTTTACCTGGGCACCCAGGCTTTCTGATACGTCCTCTAAAATCTAGGAGGAAGCTGCCATGACTTCTTCATGCTTGTATTCTGTGTGCCTGTAGACTTAACACCACATGGATGCCTCCAAGGCTTATGGCTTGTACCCTCCAGTGCAGTGGCATGAGCTCTACCTGGGGCCCCTTGAGCTGAGGCTGGAGCTGGAGCTGCTAGGATGCAGGGAACAGTGTCCTGAGGTGGCCCAGGGCATTGGTGCCCTGGGCTTGGTCCTCAAAAGCATTATTTCCTCGTAGGACTCTGGGCCTGTGAAGGGGGGGACTGTCTCCAAGATCTCTGAAATGCCTCTGAGACCTTTTTCCTATTCTCTTGGCTATTAGCACTTGGCTGCCTTTTAGTCATGCTATTCTGTCTAGTAAGTGGCTGCTCCACAGCTTGGTTGTATTGTTCTCCCAAATAAAGTTTACTCTTTCTCTGCCAAATGGACAGGACACAGATTTTCCAAACTTTTATGCTCTGCTTCCCTATTAAACATAAGTTCCAAATTTACATCATTCTTTTGCTCCTATATCTTATTGCTCCTATGTCTTATTGTAGGCTGTTAGAAGCAACCACACAGATTTTTAAACAAATTTCTGCTTAGAAATTTCTTCTCCCAGATACCCTAGGTAATCACTCTTAAGTTTAAACTTTCACAGATCCCTAGGACTTGGGCATTTTGCAGCCAAGCTCTTTACTAAGGTGTAACACAGGTGACCTTTGATCCAGTTTTCAATCTCTTCCTCATTTCCATATGAGATCTCATCAGCCACAACTTCATTGTGTATATTTCTGCAAGGATTTTGGTCACAACCACTTAACAAGTCTCTAAGATATTCCACTTTTCCTTGTTTTCCTGTATTCTCCTGAGCCCTCTAAACTCTTCCGACCTCTGCCCATTACCAAGCTCCAAAGCCACGTCCACATCTTCAGGAATCTTTATAGCCATGCATGCTCCGCTCCTTGGAACCAATTTTCCATGTTAGGCCATTTTCGCATTGCTATAAAGAAATATCTGGGGCTGCATAACTTATACATAAAAGAGTTTTTTAACTGGCTCAGGGTTCTGCTAGCTTTATATGAAGCAGAGTGTCAGCATCTGCTTCTGGGGAAGGTCTCCGGAACTATAAAATCATGGTGAAAGGTGAAGGGGGAGTCAGCACATCACATGGTGAGAGCTAGAGCAAGAGAGAGAGAGTGGGGAGATGCCATGCTCTTTTAAACAACCAGATCTCATGTGAACTTGGAGCAAGAACTCACTTATCACCAAAGGGATGGTTCTAAGCCATTTATGAGGAATCCACCCTCATAATCCAGTCACCTGTTACCAGACCCACCTTCAATATTGAGAAACACATTTTGACATGAGATTTGGAGGGGATAAACATCCAAATCATATCAATGTATCTAATTCCATATGTACAGAGAGATAGAGACAGATGAAGATGCAGAAATACACATGAAGGGGGTCAGTTATTATAGGCCAGGAACTTTGAAATTTGCTTTAGCTATCTTTATGAATAAATCATTCTCTGTCCTCAAAGAAGTATGGGAAAAGACAGTCTGATTTTTAAATTTGAATTTAGGCGTTTCTTTTTGTTGTGATGCCAGCTCATTTTTAGAGTCACTAAAAAATATTTCACTATCTGTCTCTAATTTCTAATAGTGTTTTTACTAAGAAATTGAGATTCCAAACACTGACATAAAATTCTTAAAAGTAGAGGACTGTGGCTGTTAATTTTAGGGTTTAAACTGACTGGATTGAAGAATACCTAGAGAGTTGGTAAAGCATTATTTCTGGGTGTGTCTGTGAGAGTGTTTCTGTAGGAAATTGGCATGTGAGTCAGTGGGCTGAGTGGGGAAGATTCACCCTCACCCAATGTGAATGGCATCATCTAATCAGCTGAAGGCCTAGATAGAATCAAAAGATAAAGGAAAAAGCAAACTCTCTCTCTCTCTCTCTTTTTCTGCCTCCTTCCTTCCCTCCCTCCCTCTCCTGGAGCTGAAACACTTTTCTCTTCCTGACCTTGGACGTTAGAACTCCAAGCTCTCTTGACTTTAGACTCCAAGACATACACCAGCAGCTCCCTAAGTTTTCAGACCCACAGCCTCAGACTGAGAGAGACACCAGCAACTTCCCTGATTCTGATGCCTTCTTACTTGAACTGAGCTATGCTATAGACATTCCAGAGTCCCCAACTTGCACATGTTCTGTCGTGGGACTCCTCAGCCTCCATAATTGTGTGAGCCAATTCTCCTAACAATTACCCTTTCATATATCTATGTATATATCTATATCTATCTATCTATATGTATCCTATTGGTTATGTCTCTCTGAAGACCCCTGAATAATATAAGGGCTATATTTCTGGAATTACTCGGTTCTTGGATTTACAAAATCAAATACTGATTTGATGCTTCTCATATAGCACAGACCAGAATAGTAAGTCACAGGATAAGAAACTTACCTTGAAGTATAAATTAAACATGGGAATCTGATTAATTCTGCCCCCAACAAGTAAAGAAACTTCCATTCTTAGCTAGCTCTTAATTTCACAAGTGAAACTTTTAAATATATGTATATTGAGTTTTCTTAAAGCATTTGTCTTTAGATATAACATAATCTAGTTAGGTAAAACTGAAATTTATTGATTTTTCCACCAAATTATTATTATGCACCAACTATGAGCCAGGAACTATGCCATGTGCTCAGGTCCCTGCTGTTATACGCTTATAGTTAAAGTGAAAGAAGGAAGGTACTAATAAAATAATTGCATAAACATAAATGGCAATTTATAAGTTGCAACACTTCCATGTGCTATGGAAAAAAATTATGTGTCGAGTTTATAATAGATGTATTTGATATAGTCATGTGAATCAAAGAAGGTTTCTCTATTTATTGAACCAAGGGATGTAGAGTGAGAAGGAGTTAAATAGGCAAAGAGTTTAGGGTACAGAATTCCAGGCACAAGGAGCAGTCTGTATGAAGACAATAAAAGAGGACACATTTGCAGATTGAATTAACATCACTTAGGCTGGGTTAAGATAGCAAAGTCACCCAGGAAAAATTAATCTTTATTTGAGTAAAGATTAGAGTTTATGTTGATAATCCCAATCTTCTTTTGGACAATGTTTACCCTATAACAACCTCTATTTTTCTGAAAAGCTGTGATTCCAATTCCTCATTTTAATAATTTATTTCATTGTCCAAAGACAATGACACAAATGAGAATAGAAAATATCCCCATTTATACATTGGGGTTTATCCATGCTACCCCAATCTCTTTGGCCTCTGGATATTGTTTTTGATGACTGACAGATGTAAAGCATTTTTTGTTCTCTAATCAAGACAGAAGTCAAATAGGGAGTTAGTTTCTTTACAACTAGTGAAATATCTCACCTTATTCTGGAAAATCTGTATAATTCATCTTGGCAATCTGAGCTAGTCATCGTACAATAAAACTAGACCCATGCTAAGCATAGCCCTATAAGGCATCAAAGCAATTTAAAAGATCAGTTTGATGTTTGACACAGAGTCAATATATATCTTTATGTTTTGTGGTGACATGCTGAAGTAGCAGTTTACTCAGCTTTGAGCCTATGCAGCAGTCTCAAAAAAATCAGTAAAATCAAATGGAAAAACGATAAGAGTCTAACAATGAAAGCCACACCAAAAATCTGAAAATAAGTGGGTAAAGTGAGAAAATAAGTCTCTGGATGCATAATGATGTAGTGAAAAGACCAGTGTGAGAGAGACTTGCCTGCCCCTTATCAGCCCAGCTAAGCTTTTTAGATGGCCTCCTCTTGTTTCCTTTGATTCCCAAGCCACAGCCTTCACCAGTCATTTACACTTCACTTATTAAACCTTACTTATTTTTTATCACTTCAATGTCATCTTTCCCCTATAAGATTGTAAAATCATTGAGGATAAAACCTATGCCTTCCTTCTTTTCTCCTTGTTTTCTCAGACATTTTCCTTACTTTTATCTATATTCAACAAGATACTAAATGTTAGATGTGCTAGGTGAAGGAATGTGTAATATATATATATAAACATATATATATATATACACATATATATAAACATATATATATATATACACATATATATAAACATATATATATATACACATATATATAAACATATATATATATACACACATATATATATACATATATATATATATATATATATATATATATGTATATATATATCCTCTCAGGCTCAAGCAATCCTCCTACCTCAGCCTCCTGAGAAGCTGGGATTACTGGTGAGTGTCACCATGCCTGGCTATATGTTTTAGTAGAGATCTGGTTTTGCTATGTTACCCAGGCTGATCTTGAACTCCTGTCCTCAAGCAATTCTCCCGCCTCAGCCTCCTAAAGTTTTGGGATTACAAGCGTGAGTCACTGAGCCTGGCCAAAATATGCATTATATGAAAGACCATCCTATAGATTTGACCAAAGTAAAATGGTTAGTAACTGATGAAGCCTGTATTTGTACCTTATCTGCCTGGCTCCAGTTTGCTCTGGTCAGACAAACCCTGCTTCAAATCTTGGCTCCACTATGTATTTAGTCTTATGAATGTACGAAAAACATAAAGTCATTAATAAAGTACATACTAAAAGCCAAGTGCTATGCTAAATTCCTATTATTATTCAGTCTTCTTAATAATTTTGAGAGGAAGGTGCTATTATTATTCCCACATCACAGAAGAGTATACCAAGAGACAGACAGATTTAGTAAACTGTCAAAATTCACCTAGTTAGTAAGCAGCAGAGCTGAGATACAAAACTAAGGGATTTAACTCCAAGCTCGTCTGTGTAGATGTTACCTCCCTAATTTTAGTCAATATTAATTGAACCCGAGCTAGATCTAATATCATGCATCCTTGAAGTCCCCTGGAAAGTTTCACTTTGTGGACTTGCACATTTATCCATTCAGTTTGCTTTTGTTAAATTCTCAAAGCTGTCCAAGACTCAAAAAAATTAAAAGAATACTTATGAGAATGAGATGGGGAGGAGGATGGAATATAAAGTAGTGTAGCACATGCTTTCTGCACTCCAGAAGTTCACAATTCACATGAGGATCTAAGATGGTCAAAGTAGTAAGTATGGTATGAGACACAAGACATAGTTGATTCTAAACAAGTGATTTAGAGCGGGGTACTTCTGGCTGAAGCAGTAAGAAAAGGCATCACAGAAGAGAGCGGATTTTAGTTGGGTATTGAAGAATGGGCATAATTTTGAGAGGTAGAAAAGTGTAAGGCAAGCCTTTCAGGCTGCAGGGATGGGGGACGGGGTGTAAGTAACAACAATGCCACCCTCTGGCGTTGATACAATGTTTGGAGCATCCATCATTTCTCCTTACTATTACAGAATAGCTGTGAACTCTCCAGTTTATACTTTTTTCTGTTGGTGTCTTGCTGACTTAGGGAGGCTTGGCAGAAAGTTTTGCAGAGCACCTGTTTTAAGCTAGTGGTTTTCACAACCTTGCATTCAACCATCCCAAAGCCAAAGTGAAATTAAATTAATTTGACCCTTAAAAATTACATTTGTAATAAGGAGAACTAAAGACCATAAAATGAAGATAGCACAACAAAACAGAAATCAAATTAAGAGGCTGTCCTGAAGACCTTTAAGGTGAGGAGGACGTTTTAAGCATTGGATGTTGTTAAATCATTCAGTTCATTTCACAGTGACTTGCTTTTGATGCAGCCTAGGATAAAATGTACTTCATTGATCTCGTGCATAATTAATATGATTCTGTAGTCTTCATCAGATAGGTCACCTGTGAATGTAAAGCAATTGTGTTTTTCCTGAATTTCTTCTCATAATAAATCCTCAAAACATAGATGAAGGGCCACAGATAAGTTTGTGAAGGACTGCAATTGTTGTCCTTTAGTGAACTTGACTTTACTATCTGCCATTTATTCACTAATGCATTTATTTATTTATTCATGCATTGATTCCTGTATCCATTCATTCATTCAATCAATATCTATTCATCTTTTTATTCAGGTGCTTGAGTGTCCATTACTATCAGGCACTGTGCTTAGGCACTGTGGATATGAAGACCAATCAGACAGGTTCTGTCCTTAAGTTGCTCATAGTGAAGTTGGAAAACCTAGCACATTAACAAATAAACTACAGTGTAATAGATGTGGTACATAAATAGGATTTTCATTTTTAAAGAGTACAATAATTTCCATTTTAAAAAGCTTATTATTAAAAATAAAATAGTGCATGCAATTAAATAAATCCAGGTAGTACAAAAAGCATTATGAAAAAGAAAATGAGACTACCACTCCAAATGCTCAGTTGCCCTCCTTAAAGGCAAATGCTATTTACAGTTTCTTATATTTCTTTCCAGAAATTTTCTTCACAGATATGTAAATGGTCACACATTGCACCCTTTTATCTACATCTTGCTTTTGTCACTGGCTATATTTTGGATATTTTTTTCCATATCAGTATTCACTCTTCATTGTCTTTAAAAACTAAGTGACATTTTATTGTATGGATGTAGCCACACTTACTTAACCAGCCTCCTCATGCGCATTTTGGTGGTTTCCAGGAAATTGCTATTGCAAAGCAAACAAAGAATATTCTAATTTTTAAAAAACTGTGTATTCATCATTGTGCACATAGCTTCCTAGTGGTGGAAGTTTTGTATCACAGGTTATGCCAATTTAACAGTTTGAAAAATATTTCCCAAATGTCTTTTAAAAACAGTTTGTTTTAATTTTATTGTACTATGGTGAAAGCCTGGAAGTGGGAGACATTAATTCTGCTTGGAATAATAGGGCAGATTTTTCAAAGGACCGGAATTTCAGTAGGGTATTAAGGAATGAGTTTACCAGGTGGAGAAAATGCACATGGATGTACTAGGTTCAGGTAATTTTTTCATCTTGCCTAACACCTGTGGTCACCAATGGTCCAAGACCAATGCATGAAGGTGCTGGAATAGTATCCACTCACTATTCTAGAGTGTAGCCTTCTAGGATCCCAAGATAGAGTAGGGTTTTTTAAATTAGGGTAACAGTTGTGAATAAGTCCCGATTGGCAAAAATATTTCCTTACTGATTAATTGTAACAGCTTTCTAACTAGTACTCTTGTCCCCTTTTCCCAGCCATTTTAAACATTGTTGTCTGAGCAACCTTTCAAATACAACTGGATCTTGCCTCCTGCTTAAAAATATCCAAAGCTTCCCTTCACCTATAGGAAAAATGTTAAACTTCTTAACAAAGTCAGTCATTATCTGGCTCCAACATGCCTTTCCAATCTCACCTCATGCTTATACCTTTTAATTACCATGCTCCACATTAAGAGGAAACTTGTCATCCTTCTCTCAACACACTGTTTTATTGTACGAAGAGACCACCATTTGTATTTGTGTTTGTGTGTGTGTCTGTGTGTGTGTGTTTGTGTGTTTGTCATAGAGTGTTTCTCTTGGCATTCTGCTACATGATTCCTAGTTAAAATGTAGGAGAGTTTCTCCAGGGAAGGAATATATCAAGGGGTGGAATCATTAGGTTGCAGGATATGTCCATCTTGGTAATGTCAAATTATTTCCCAGCGTTGGTATAACAATATACATTCCCACAGTGGAAAGGAATTCCAGTTTCTCAACATCATCACTATTTTTGCTGGATTTTAAACTTTATTTCCATTTGGTTGATATAGAAAAAATATTTTATTAAGGAACCAAATAATGTATTTTGCAACAACTTGGAGCTGGAGGCTATGATTCTAAGTGAAGCAACTCAGGAATGGAAAAGCAAATATCATATGTTCTCACTTATAAGTGGGTGCTAAACTATGAAGATGCAAAAGTATAAGAACGATATAATAATCTTTAGGGACTCGGGGGAAAGGTTGGGGGTGAGGGATAAAACACTACACACTGGGTACAGTGTACACTGCTCAGGTGATGGGTTCACTGAAATGTCAGAAAGCACTGCGAAAGAACTCATCCATGCAACCAAAAACCACCTGTACCCCAAAAACTATTGGAATATTTTTTAAAAAGTGGTAATCCAAAGAGTTTAGGATACATTTACATTAATTTTTCTGTAAACATTGAAGGTAATAAGAAGCATTAAATATATAGATTTATAATAAAGAGATATATGGTATCATAAAAAAACTGTATTTTATTGTGGTTTTATTCTGAATTTCTCAGTTAAACATTTTCAGGATTATGGACGCTGTGCTTTCTGTTCTGTGAAATGCTTATTTTGTCCTTCAAATATTTATTTTAAAACTTGAGATTTTTGTCGGTTCTTTTTGAATCATAGTTCTTTATATATTTTGACTTCTGATTGTAGTCTGCTGGGATGACTGTGCTTCAATAAAATTTTATCTACGAGATTATTGTATTTACTTAATCTTGAGAGGTTGGGAGGTGGTCAAACATAGAGATTTTTTTTTGATCCTTTTTTTTTACTTTTTATTTTTATTTTATATACATATATTTTTTACTATACTTTAAGTTCTAGGGTACATGTGCACAACGTGCAGGTTTGTTACATATGTATACATGTGCCATGTTGGTGTGCTGCACCCATTAACTTGTCATTTACATTAACACGTTCAGGGAATTTTTTTATGCACTCCGAGTTGAGAAACACGGCTAGATGTATTCAAAGAAAATTGTTAAATTTAAGACTCTGAGTTCTCTACCTTTAATGCCTTTAAATAAAATTTTTATCATTTTACACACTAAGGACATGTATATATTTGTTATCTTTGTTCCTAGGCTTTAGTAATGTTATTGAAAATGAAAATAGTATCTTTCAAAATGGCATTTTCTATTTGTTGATAATGTATATAAATGCAATAGAATTTTTTACAGCGATCTTATATCTGGTTTCTTGCTAGAAATTTCTATACATTTTTCTTTTGCCATAGCATTTTTGAAATTCATAGACTTTATTTTGTAGAGTATTTACTGATTTTCAGGAAAATTGAGCAGAAGTTAGAGTTTTCAGGTTACCCACACACAGACACATATACACAAAGTTTCCTCTACTGTTAACATCTTGCACTAATTGATGAATTTTTTACAATTGATGAGTGAATATTAATATATTATCATAAACTAAAATCTATAGTTTACATCAGGATTCAGTATTTGTGTTGTACATTCTATGAGTTTTGACATATATATATAATGGCATGTATCCACCATTGCAGAACAGTTTCATTGCCTTAAAATCCCCTAGGCTTCACCTATACTTCCCTCTTTGCTGTCCCCCACCCCAGCCCTCAAGCTCTGGTGATCACTGACTTTTTTACTCTCCCGTTGGTTCTGTCTTTTCCAGAATGTCATATAATCAGAATCATACAGTAGGTAGCCTTTCCAGATTCACTTCTTTTACTTAGCAATATGTATTTCAGATTTCCCCATTTTTTTATGGCTTGAGAGCTCATCTATTTTTATTGGTGAATGATATATCCCATTTAATGGAAATATCACATTTGTCCGTCCATTCACCAATTAGAGAACATCTTTGTTTCTTCCAAGTTTTGGTAATTATGAATAAACTTGACATAAACATTAATGGATTAATGGGCAGGTTTTCGTGTGGACATAAACTTTCAATTCATTACAGTAAATACCAAGGAGCACGACTGTCGGGTTATATAAGACTACATTAAGCTTTGTAAGAAATTGCCAGTCTGTCATCTGAAACTGACGGTACCATTTTGCGTCCCCACCTGAAACGAATGTGAGCTCCTGTTATTCCACATCCTTAATAACATTGGTGATGTGTTTGGAATTTTAGCTATTCTAATAGGTAGGTAATCGTATCTTATTGTTTTAATTTGCAATTCCTTAATGTTATATGAGGTTGAGAACATTGTTTTATATGCTTGTTTGACATTTGTATATCTTTGGGGTGGGAAGATTTCTGTTCAAATCTTGTGATCAATTTTAAATTGTTTTTCATTTCGTCATTTTGTTTTTATTGTTAAATTTTAAGAATTATCGGCCAGGCGTAGTGGCTCATGTCTGTAATCCCAGCACTTTGAGAGGCTGAGGCCGGCGGATCACCTGAGGTCAGGAGTTCCAGACCAGCCTGGCCATCATGGTGAAACCCCGTCTCTACTAAAAATATAAAAATTAGCTGGATGTGGTGGCATGTGCCTGTAATCCCAGCTATGCAGGAGGCTGACGCAGGAGAATCGCTTTAGCCCAGGAGGTGGAGGTTGCAGTGAGCTAACATCACACCACTGCACTCCAGCCTGGGCAACAGAGCATGGCTATTTCAAAAAAAAAATTGTACATTTTGAATACTATTTCTTTATCTAATGTGTCTTTTGCTCCTAGTCTATGGCTCATCTTTTTTATAACTTTTTTAACATAAAAATTATTTTTTGCAGAGCAGAATTGTGAATTTTAATGAATCTAATTTTTTAATTTTTTCTTTCACAAATTGTGCTTTTGACTTTGTATCTAAAAAGTCATCAATAAACCCAAGAACACCTAGATTTTCTCCTACATTACTTTCTAGAGTTTTATAGTTTTGCTTTTCATACTTGTCTATAATTCATCTTGAGTTAATTTTTATAAAGCTGTAAGTTTTGTCTTTAGATCTTTCTTTTGCATGTGGATAGCCAGTTGTCCCAGCACCATTTGGTGAAAACCTTTCTGCATATATTAACAATTTTTCAGCTTATTCTTTTGAATATTTTGAGTTTTCTATACGGACAGTCATGTTGTCAAGCAATAACAAGAGTTTGTTTCTCCTCTTTTAACTTTATATGTTCTTTCTATATGTTTTCTACATACACTGGCTAGGACCTCCAGTATTTTGTTGGATTGATGTGAGAGGATGCATCCTATGTTATTCCTGAATACTTTTAACATTTCACCATTGAATATATTTAAATTAGGTTTAAAAATACAATATAGCTATACAATTCATATGCCATAAAACTCACCATTTTAAAGTGTACAATTCAACAATTTCTAGCATATTCATAAAGTTGTGCAACCATCATCACAATCTAATTCAAGAATATTTTTGTCACCCCCAAAATAAACTATTTACCCATTAGCACTCACTACTCATTTTCCCCATTCTTATCCCCTGGCAACCAGTAATCTACTTTCTGTCTGTATAGATTTGTCTATTCTGGACATCCCATACAAATTGAATCACACAATAGCCAGAGGCCTTTTGTGTCTGGCTTCTTTCACGTAGCATAAGGTTTTCAAGATTCATCCATGTTGTAGGAACTATCAGTACTTCATTAGTTTTTATTGCTGAATAATACTTGGTTGTATGAATATACCACTTTAAAAAATAAATTCAACAGTTGATGGCCAATTTGGTTGTTTCTACTTTTTGGCTATTTTGAAAAATACTGCTTTAAATATTCTCATAGAAATTTTGTGTTTTCAATTTTTTCAGTTGTATATCTAGGTCACATGACAACTCGATATTTAACATTTTGAGGAACTGCCAAACTGTTTTCCAAAGCAGCTGCACTGTAGTTTTGTAAGTAGCTTTTACTAAGTTAAATAAGTTTCTTTCCACTTCTAGTTTTGCTCATTAATATTAAAATTACGAATGCATGTTGGATTTTACCACTTTTCCGTGTTTATGGCATAATCATATGTGTTTTTTTCTCCTCAATTTTTTAATGTGGTAAATTTCATCAGCAGATTTCTTATACTGAATCAAGCCATCATTCCTGGGATAAATACAACTAGACTATTATGGTTTGACATATTTATGCATGTCCAAAATTCAGTTTGTAAATATCTTAGTTGGAATTTTTACATTAATGTTAATGAATAAGGTATCCTATACCTTCTCATTTCATTTTTTTCTTGTGTTGGTAATAAAGTTATACTAGCTTCAAAAATTAGTTTGAAATATTTCTTCTTTTTCTATTCCTTTAAAGGTTAGACTATCCTATTTTTTGATATTTGATATAACACATTCTTAAAACTGCCTGGGTTTAATAGTTTTTCTGTGTAGAAATTTTAAATACCAATTTAATTCCATTAATAATTTTAGAAGACAAATAAGATGTATTTTCTTGCATCAGTTTCATTTGATTTCTTTCTTCCATTTCAAATGTTTTCAAAATTATTAGGATAATATAATTCATGATATTTTTCGTTTATCTTTTAATATCTGCTGGATTCATATTTATGTCTCTTCTTATTTTCTAATAATATATCTCTGATCCAGGAATACTTGTTTCCAGTGTACATCTAGGTAAAGCTCTGTCCTAGACTGCAGTTATGTTGGAAATTGAGGAAGAAGTGAATTATTAGAAAGTCTGGTGCAACCTCACTCTCTTCTGATTCCAAAAATAAATTATTTTTGTTTAAATAAGTGATGTAAAGATACATAATTTTAAATGTTCTAATTTCTTACTATCTTTGCCCTAGGTTTAACCACTGTTAATAATATGCAATATATTCTTCCCAAATATTATTTGTGTATTTATTTCTCTAGAAATATAGCATAGCGAATACACTCTTTGAAAACTTTTCTTATATAATACATCTTAGACATCTTTTTATGTTCTAAATTATATAATTTAAGACTATTTGTGATACATTGCACATTAGAAGGCCAATCTATTTTAATTTCCACTATAAATCTCTCTTGAATACTCCAGCTCACGGTTACCTCTTGCTTCTTTGACATCCTTTAACATTGGTCTTATTATTAAATCCCTCTACAATTTAGCATTTGACTGACATACCAGTTTCTATTTTACTTGACACATTGGTCTCTTATTATTTCATATAAACTATTCTTGTTTTCTTAATAAGACCAAGTATTTTTTTTTAAATCTTATCATTATACTATGAACACAGGGGGTGCTCACTTACTTGTTAACTTCATTTTATCTTATAAAGGTGGGCTTCTTGAATTCAGCAGGCAAAGGCATACAAGTGATGTACGCATCAACCTCTCTTTAACCAGAGGATAGCTTTTAACCATGTTTTGCTCACTTTCCACAAGCTGCCAGCACATTGTCCAATTTCAATTAATGCTAACCAAGAAAAACTGAGCTATATTAAGCATTGTCCTGCAGTTCATTTCATCTGCAGATGTCAGTATTTATTCTAATCAAAGCTTTCTCTGGCCTACAGTTGATTGTCATAAAGACATTCAGCTGTTCATCTGTCCCCTTATTTTAGGCCAAATGTGTTCTCAGGCAGAGGCGGAGCCAAGGAAAGGACAAATTTGATATTACTAAACATTGTATTTGTTTGTTAACAAACAGAAGTATTCTTACACCCAATTTTTTAAAAAACTTTTTTCATAGTTGATGAACTTGTGCTATAGATAGATGATAGACATATGAATAGATACATACATACATAATTAAAACATACATACATTAAAAGATGGATATTATAGGCTGGGCGCGGTGTTTCATACCTATAATCCCAGCACTTTGAGAGGCTGAGGCATGCAGATCACTTGAGGTCAGGAGTTCGAGACCAGCCTGCCCAAACCCCGTCTCTACCAAAAATATTTTTTAAAAATAGCCTGATGTGGTGGTGCCCACATGTAATCCTGGCTACTCGGGAGGCTGAGGCAGGAGAATCACTTGAACCCAGGAGGTGAAAGTTGCAGTGAGCCAAGATCATACCACTCCACTCCAGCCTGGGTGACAGAGTGAGACTCTGTCTCAAAAAAAAAAAGATGGATATTATATATTATATTATTATACTTAATGTTGGTAACTGCCACTCACACCTTTTTTTGACATCCTCTGGAAGTAGTCTTCTTTCTGCACTTATAAGAATGCCCTAAAGCTTGAAGTATCCTGTTTGGAAGAATGCTTCTTCATTGTTTCCCTACCTGTGGGCTACTAAACTGCCTGTGTCTTATTAACGTCTTTGTGATTTCATTATCCTTTGAAAAGCTCCATAGTAAAATATCTCTCCTATTGGTGAGAAGCAAATATTTTCTGTCACAAGAACTGGGTTCCGAATGTGCCATCTTCCCAGCTGGAATGCCAAATGTATCTATGGCTTCCTCTCCGATTATGTATACAGAGCCCTAACAGGATTGTGTCCAGATTGTTTTTGCTGGGGTGAAGAGTGAATATCTTCTAGGGAAAGGATTTACAGTTTGATATAGCCAGGAACCTTCATGGTAAACTATGTATTCCATCATTTCTAGGTGAAAGCTTTGAAACCAAACCCCTCATACAGAGCAGTGTTTAGAATAAATACCAATAAATGTTGATTCTTAAGTTCCTCTGGCTAGTTAAGGTATACATTACCATAGTGAAATGCTAAAGTAAATCTTAGTATCTGAAACCCTTCAGGTGAGGCTCCCTTCATCAAGCATCTGCAATTCTACTTTAGAAATGTCAAACATTTTAAAAACAGATCATAGCCTGGTCTACATGGCACCTGTTTCTTATAGGTTCTAAAATGAAATCATTTAAGTCAGCAGTACCTTCTCTGGTAGTCTTGTTTTTGGAAAATAATGAAGAGAAGATGCACCCATTGCATACATTAGAGGGATATGATGCTTTTTGTTTAAAGAAAACATAAAGAATACTGAAATTATGGCGAAAGTGAAATAACTTTATTTTTTAAGTTTTCAAAGATTTATATTTTTTTCTTAAAACAGCTAAGGGGCAATACTTGTGCTTAAAAAAGGAAAAATAAATATGATGATGACTTCTCATTAAGCATGGAAGATTGAAGGTGTGCACTGAAGGTGTACCTTTGGTCCCTTCAATAATTCTTTGAAAAATCATGAAAATTAGATAAAAATCATGTGATTGAAAAAAATGGAAGAAAAAAAACAGATGAGGCATGCAAATAAGATGGGAGGGTAGTGACAGTAGAACTTAGAAAGTTGAAAGCTAAACGCCTGAGAGTGTTCCTGGATCAAACCAAGAGTCGGGCTGCTTATTCGCAGGGCCCAATAACGAGATGCAGATGAACTGGGAAATAAGATAATTTATTTCTGTAACTGGGTACAGGGAGAAGGCCAGGAAAATATCACCAGATCAACTCAAAATTAAAAAGTTTGTCAGAGCTTATATACCTTCTAAGCCATACGACTATGTGTAAGTGTGCATTCATCTAAGGACATAGGTGATTAACTTCTTCTAATCTATAACTAATGTCAGAGTCTTGAAGACCTTCCTCTGGAGCCTCAGTAAATTTACTAAATCTAAATGGGTCCAGGTGCTGGGGTGATTACATTTATCTTGTCTCCTGCTAAATCATGGAGGCTTGGGGAGTTCCTTTAGACCCCCAATAAAACTTGCTTGTGGAAGGCTGGAGAGTTTTTTCAGACCCCCAATAAAACTTGCTTAATCCTTAACGGGTCCTGTTAAGAATTCCTTCGTTATCTTTTCATGCTTCAAGGCCCAGGAAAGTCCTAGGCAAAACTCGTGGTGGGCTTTTCTTACATTCCAGCCTTGATATAAAGGCACTGTCTGTATCAGCTTTTAATATTTAACTTAACCATCCAATCAGTGCTGAACCAGTTTTCATAGAGGCCTGCCTGTTCAGCTGTTAGTGAGACCTGGCCTGCCACATAGAGGAATATGAGAATGAGATGGAGGATAACAATGAAGCAAGCACATGTTTGTTTCTAGGACCTAGAGAATTGTCAGAAATAACAACTACCAAGTAGCTCTAAAAGTCTGGATGTGGGCATGGTTGAAGAAAACAAACACACAAACAAGAAGATTGTTTAACAGTCTGTGTAGGAGTAGTTAGACCTCCAGATGCACTATAAAATGGCAGAGATTAGGCCAGGCGTGGTGGCTCACGCCTGTAATCCCAGCACTTTGGGAGGCCAAGGCAGACAGATCACGAGTGCAAGAGATCGAGACCATGCTGGCCAACATGGTGAAACCCCGTCTCTACTAAAAATACAAAAATTAGTTGAGTGTGGTGGCATGCACCTATAGTCCCAGCTACTCGGGAGGCTGAGGCAGGAGGATTGCTTGAACCTGGGAGGCAGAGGTTGCAGTGAGCTGAGATCACACCACTGCACTCCAGCCTGGCAACAGAGCAAGACTCTGTCTCAAAAAAGAAAAAATGGCAAAGATTAAAATGAGGGGATTCTGGACCTGGGGATTACTGCACAATTTAGAATGAGGATTTCACAACTAAAACTAAGATATGATCTGAGAATCTACATGCTGAGTGATAAAATACTCTCAGCTCTTTCTGTCTTTCAATTTCTAGAGCACTGGCAATCAAGATTAAAAATCCCAGGAAAGTGATTGGTGGATACATTTCTACCTGGGAAGATTGGCTAACCTAGAAAAGATAATGCACATGCAGAGATGGTAATCAGCAATTCAACCTCACCCCTGAATATGAAGAAACAACCAAGAATAAGTTTGTGAAAAACTTCTAAAACGAAAAATAGACCAAAATAGACAAAAAGGGAAATTTAGAGGAAACAGAGACAGTACAAGGAGCAAGAGAGAATGTCATCATCATCATCATCATCATCTTCATCATGGTCATCATGATCACATCATAATAAAATAGATCAATAGAATGTTTCGAAGAATAAGTTGATAAAACTACACAGAAAATAGATAAAATATCTAACCTGGAAACAATAGAAGAGTTAACAAAGCAAATCAGTTCAGAAGGTCCTACTCCATCAGAATATATTTTCTGGAAAAGCATGACAATAAATCACAGAGGAGGAAATTATCAATAAAATCATAAAATCGAATGTCTCATAAATGAAGGACTTGAGCTTCCCAAATGAAGAAAACCTACACAATGTCACATTATTGTGAAATTTCAGAGAACTGGGGCAAAAAGAAGATTCTAAAAGCTTCCCTAGAGAAAATAAAACAAACAAACCAAGTGTCATACAAAGGATCAAAAACAACAATGACATTTGATTTATCAACAGGAACACTGGAAGGTAGACGGTATTTGAAAACTACCTTCAAAATTCAAAGAAATAATTGAATAATTGTTTGCAACCTAAAAATTTATATCTAGCTAAAGAATAAAAAAATGAAAGTAAATGCCTTTTCAGACATGAAAAATCTAAAAAAAAAATGCAGGTTCTCTCAAGGAGCTACTTGAATATGTATTCCATGGAATCGAGAGAGAATGCAGATCCAGGAAATAGAGGAATGAGGCAAACACAAGCCTAAAAATGATGCTTAAGAAAATTTCTTATGTCTCAAACTAAAAAGTCAGGACATAATATGTAAAACTAAAAACTAAGAAATAAAAATATAAGTATGTTATTTCAAAGTAACAAAATAAATATCAAAAGAAATAACTAAAAGAGTTGAAAGCAATTAGCCTGGGGAATTGTACTGAGCATTGAGATAGGGTACAGAAGTAGACTACTGCTTTTCTTTCTTTGACTTTTAAAGCAGTGGTCATGTGTTATTCATAAAAATAAAAACTACATAAAAAGAAATATGATGACTTCAAAGGGATTTACTTTTGAATCTCAACACCAACTTATCCCAGTTTTAAGGTAACTATACCATTGGTATGAAGAAGCTAGTCACCTTTTACTAAGATAATATAAACTGTTGCAGAATAATCTAGCAAGGTTTTAAAATATTTTGCTCACTAAAGTGAGACTTTAAGCTAGTAAAATACCAGTGATAGAGAAGGCTGTTAAATAATTTTGAATTGCCAAAGTAAACACTGGACTTTTAGCTTCAGCAATGTCCTTTTGAGGAATTTTTCTATTGTGGCACCCATAAAACTCACTGCTCTTTGTTGGCCCAAGTAGATGGGTGACACCTCTATTATCTAAAATTCTTACCACTCTTCCTATGAAGAACACTAGTCTAATAAAAAATACTAACTATAAACCAGCTTTCATTAAACTATTACACAGAGAGAAGAGTTGGGATTTCATGTGTGATAATTTGGGTACTTCATGTGTATATCCTGTGGGAGAGGATGGTATAAAAAACAGCCTAGAGTGAGGAAACTCTGGCATCCTTTGGGGGCCATTGTAGTGCTCCATATTCATTTTAGCAAGATTCCTTTTGCAGTGTTTCAGCAGTAAGTGTAGTAGACAAAGCACAAGCTTTGGTATCATACTAGACCTTGGATTCAATCCAACTTGGTCATGAAAAAAACTACGATCTTGGGTAAATCATTTAACCTAAGCTTCAGTGTCATCCATATAATGTGGGATAAAAGCCTGTGGGAGGGAATAATACCTACATTAGAGTTAATGTGAGTATTAAATGAGATAACATATGCAAGGTGCTCAATATACTACACATTAGAGACCACCCAATGTTATATCATAGTTACTTCTTAAAATCACTCCAATTTGAATTTTATTCTTATGAATGAATTATTCACTATGTTGTTTCAGCCTCTAGTTACTACAGGAATGGTATTTTCTAAATCTTATTTCTCTCCTTTAACAGTTTAGGGAAATGCTGTTGATACTTACTATAGTGTATTTAAATAGCTTCCATCATAGTGATTGAAATCCTCAAGTGTTTAACATTACCAAAGAGTATATCAGAGAATAAATATATAGCATTGCATGTGCAGCATATCATGACATGTATCCATTATTTTTAGGAACCTAAAAAATGACTTTTAGGGACTGTAATCTTAGGCTGCTGCTTTTTCCCTAAATTTGGCCTAGATTTCAAAGTGAGTCATAGTACCTGAAATCCTCCAGGTGAGAGTCCTTTCATCAAGTGTCTCCAATCTTACCATAGAACTGTGAAACATTTAAAAAATCATTATGTCTAGAGTTGTTAGGCCTTTTATAAGAATTCTGGAGAATAATGTAGATATAATATAAAAGCCATGCATTCACAAAACCTTGCTTTCATCCACATATAACATTAGATATTTTTCTATGTAGACAGGGACTCTTCTATGTTTTCTTGTTTCTACCTTATAATCCCCTCTCTGATGCATTTAATCTCTCTCCTCCCCTCTTTTGTATATGAAATTTGCATTTGCTGATGAAATAGGCAATTTTTCCTGACCCCTTCATGGTCCTCATGACAAGGGTGCCTTGCTTACTCAGCCCATAGATCTTAACCCCTCGTGGGAGGGGGAGCACGCAGGTGAGCAGGTGCAGGAGCCGATACGAGTACTTCTGGGTGCTGGTAGGAGCAGAACTCCATGCAGCCCCACAGTAGTGTCTATGGCAGGGTACCCACGGTCCCTGGAGCCCCAGATGGCATGTGTTACTCTTTTAGCTTTGCCATCTGTGATTAGCTTAAGTGTTAAACAGCTCAAGCATCTACACCCATGGCTCCCAAGCTCTTGTTCCTCGTCCAGGAAGAATCAGGTCACACTAAGGAATTGGAGGGTGATGAATATGGAGATTTTTGGTGCCAATTAAAGTGGCTTTCAGTGGGAAGGGGAGCTAGAAAGGGGATGGAGTTGGAAAGTGGTCTTCCCCTGGAATCTGGCCATCCCCAGCCAGGCTCTTCTCCGAAGACCCACCGTCAAGCCATCCCTCTGAAGTCAAGCTGCTTCCCTCTGACGTCCAGCTGCTTCTTACCTTCTCTCCTTCTCTGCTGCTCCTCTGTCAGCGTAGTCTGGGGTTTTTATGGGTACAGGATGGGGGGCGGAGTGGGCCAGGGTGGTTTTGGAAAAGGCAACATTCAAGTGGGAAAATGGGGATGTTCTCACTTTGGGCAGTTTTTCTAGGCTTGATGGTGGGGCTTTGCCAGGGACCCCACCTTTTTCCGCCTAGAATTTCTCTGCCTCCTGTCCCTATCACTAAGATCTCTGTTGATCCAATTTGACATTTATTTATTGTCATATACCTGAAATCTGGAACCATATTAGATGAAAGAAAAAATGGTTGATTTTAAAGGACCTACACACAAAAAATAAACTGTTATTTGTAGAATTCGAAAAAGATTTTCCTGTAAGATAGACCAGTGAGAAAACATACATCCTAGTGCCTAGCTTAGTATGTGCTCAATAAAATTTACCTGTTGTTCCTTCCCATTGTAATTAATTCCACATTCTCTGTTCTCTTTACTATTATCAATATTTAGTTTATTTTTCTTATTTGGTTTGCTGTTTGTTTTCATCACCCTTTAAGTTTGTTAAGCACACATCCCCCAAAGGAACTCATTCCAATGAAACTCTACAGAACACTACATAAAGTGATCTTCCCATAGTAAGTTCTTAAACTGTGCTGCTGTGCGTGATTGTAAAGGTATTCTTAAGTATCTTTCTGCTCATGATGTAATAATATCCTGGTTTACTTCATGCATTTCCAATTCCTCAGTCAATTTTTTAGGTTTTTTTTTTTTATCTGAGTGTTGCTCTTAGTGAGCTACCATATTAAGTGACGATATATGTTAGTCACTTTGTTAGTTTTTTTTAAATGTGAGTTTTTTTAAAAAAAAATTAATCTGAGACTGGCTCTTACAGAAGTAGCACAGTAAGTGACAAATGTTACACAAATGTTAAACATTTGAGAGTCTTAGAAAGGTGTTTACCCCTCTCATATACTATTCCTCTTATTTTCCTGGCACACTTTAGTTCATATAGAAATATCATGCTGATTTTCTCAACTGGTTACTGCAAAGTAGAATCCCCTTTTACAAATAAGAAACTAAGTTTCAAAATTCAAATGGTTTGACCAAAGACATTCAGCTAGTAAGTGTTGAAACTGGGATTAAAGCTCCAACCCCAAAACAGGATTCTTGCTCTTAGTATAGTGTAAATTTTAAGAAACGTATGTTATTCAAAAAAAGAGGTGGTCTATTTTCTAAGTTTCCCTCCGAAATAAAAAACCGTAGCGATAATAGCTTCATATGAGGGCTATACTACTAAATATTTAATATAAGACTGAAGTCTCTGTTTCTCAGTAAAATTTCCAGCTAGCTCAGGATTCCACATCCATGGTTTGTGTTAGGAATGTTAAACATGGGCCAGAACCTTAAGCACTAGCATGTTAGAAATTCATACATAAAGACAACTCACCTGCCCCCACCCTATTATATACGTCTTGATGTTCATGGCAGTGTAAATACTAGGGCAACTAGATTGGTAAATTGAGCCCATCTCCTTGGTAACTCAGAAGAGTTTTTTCTTTTGTAATCTATCATTTCCTTCTGAGTAAGATGGCACTTTTCCCTCGACCCCCTGCCCCATTCCATTTTTTCTTTAATTTTTCAAGTCCACCTCATTTGTTCAGGGAGGGAAAATGACTAGATCTCAAGGGCTGAATCTTTACACTCCATTTTTAAAATTTCAGACTGCGAAAGAGTGATAGAAAAGCCTTAGGTTGATTTTTCAATTAAGAATACAGCAAACTGGCTGGGCGTGGTCACTCACACCTGTAATCCCAGCATTTGGGAGGCCGAGGTGGGTGGATCACGAGGTCAGGAGATCAAGGCCATCCTGACTAACATGGTGAAACCCCGTCTCTACTAAAAATACAAAAAATTATCCAGGTGTGGTGGCGGGCGCCTGTAGTCCCAGCTACTCGGGAGGCTGAGGCAGGAGAATGGCATGAACCCAGGAGGCGGAGCTTGCAGTGAGCCAAGATCACACCACTGCACTCCAGCCTGGGCAACAGAGTGAGACTCTATCTCAAAAAATAAATAAAATAAAATAAAATAAAATGATAGAGCAAAGTAAAAAGACCATTCCAATAAATATTTAATTTAGGTAAGACTCACATCAGACTAGTTTCAGTCTTGGGAAAAGTCAGAAGACTTCTGTCCTCAGCTTGCATCTAGTTCTCTCTGGGGTACTGTTATAATTGACATTAATGTTCATACTCTCACTCTTTACATCTGCACAACACAGAGGAACATTGTCCAGCTACTTCTTCTGTGGAGATGCATAGATATTGGTCAGTAATTCCCTTGGTTGGCCTTATGTAAACCATTGAGACATATTTCCTTTTATAAGGTTTAAAAACAGCTAAGTCTGAAAATTTCCAAAACGAAACACTTCATAGTAGATTTTCCCTGGAAGCAGAATATTAGTAAAGAAAGCAAGGTGTAAGCCTCTTGGACAGTGCATATTAGTACAGCCCCAAATTATCTACAGAAGAGTTTCCTGGTGGAATGAGGTTCTTTTAGCAGGTAGAATGCAATTTGAAAGTGCTAGTAGTAGAGAAGGGAAAGGTGGAATGTGTGGTAATTGGATAAAAGCATTTGTACTGTCCTGATGGTTAACTGGTAGGTTTTATTTTAACAAAGCATATCTAAGAAAGCTTTCATGATCATAATGGGACCTTCAAATACTTCATGTAAAAATTGTCTTTGCATTGTAGCACCTATTTTAATTTAAATGGTTCAAAAATTAGCTTTAGCTTATTAGAAATTCTGTAGGTAGGGGACGCAAGTCCCTGGACTTGCATTTGAAAATAGTTCAGTGAACAGATTCTGAAGAAACCTGTTACATGGCTAGAGCTATGTAATAATATCAGTAGCAATTTATGGGAAAATGGAATGGGTCACAAAGAATTTGTAGCATCTAGAATAGAAATAAACAGCGAGAGGTGAAGCTGATCTTTGTATTTTAGAATTACAGAACTACGCCTGTAATCCCGGCACTTTGGGAGGCTGAGACGGGCGAATGACCTGAGGTCAGGAATTAGAGAACGGCCTGGCCAACATGGTGAAACTCTGTCTCTACTAAAAATACAAAAATTAGTCTGGCATGGTGGCAGGCACCTGTAATCTGAGCTACTAGGGAGGCGGAGGCAGGAGAATAGCTTGAACCCAGGAGGCGGAAGTTGCAGTGAGCTGAGACCACGCCATTGCACTCCAACCTAGACGACAAGAGTGAAAACTCCATCTCAAAAAA
The DNA here is from genome assembly GCF_000001405.40 of Homo sapiens. Classification (NCBI taxonomy): domain Eukaryota; kingdom Metazoa; phylum Chordata; class Mammalia; order Primates; family Hominidae; genus Homo; species Homo sapiens. Next base: position 126,758,745 of record NC_000023.11, read on the forward strand.
AAAAATTTACAGAACTAATCGCATCCTACTTTCTATGGTGTGCCAATAAAAGTAACAACTAAGCAAATCTACATAACATCTACCTTAAGGCTAGATTCTTGTGATTTTTTTTTTTTTTTACTTTTTAGTGCCTTTCTAAAATCCCCATTCAATCCATTATCCCATCATTTCGTTTACCCAAAAAATAACTGTAACTCAGACCTCAGTAGTTATATTAAAAATGTTTGTGAAGCTAAGTTTTACCTAGTATTAATGAATTACACAGCAAAACAAAAGCCAGCCATGCATTGGAGAAAATTGCACTGAACTATAAATCAGGACTTTATGTTTTGGTCCTTCCTCTGCCATTAACTACATGTGTGACCTTCAGCAATTCTCTCACTCACTCACTCTCTCTCTCTCTTTCTCTTTCTCTTTCTCCTTCCTCCCTCTCTCCCTCCCTTCTCTCTCTCTCTCAGTCACAGTTTCCCCTCTTGGTCTCAGATTCACCTTTTGTGAAATAAAGTGAATCAATTAGATGATCTATATGGTCTTTCTAGATACAAAGTTCTATGATCTTTTGACCCTGTTAAAAATAATAGCAAAGGCCATGCTATAGTTAAAGAAATAGCCTGGAGAAGGAACAACTCCTATTAGAAGCAAAACAAACAACAAAACATTGGTAAGAAACTAGAATAAAATGGAATTTTTGAAGAAGCAATTAGCTCATCATAGGAAATAGAATAGTAATTCTGTACTATTAATATTTTACAAAAAATAACTCTCTGCTCTTCCCTGCAATAAAAAGCACTGCAGATTGCTCTATTGTAGTCAGTTGATAACTGGGTAATCATAATTAATGGAAAGAGTTTCAATAATTCAGTGAAGCAAGATGAAGATTGGAAGGTCATACATACAAACAGAAGAGGATGCACTGAAATAGAAGAAATATTTGGCTATGTAAGAATTTCTGCCTTATTAGGACTGTGTGTTTGCTGATCTTGGCACTAGGGCTCTGAACAGAAAAAACTTTTAAGGCCAACTTTTTTTAAAAAACACGCACTCATTGCATGTACTAGTGGCCTCAATCAGGGTAGATGATCTTTTTAAATCAAGTTAGATTTGAAAACAGAAATCTAGGAAAAAACCATGGACTTGTTCTTTGTTCTTGTATTATTGCAACTATTAATTAGTTTCAGTCTTAAGCTGTTAAACAACCAAGTAACACAGCATCTGTGGCCAGAGGGAGATTACAATGAACTTTGTGTTTAGAGAAGCTTTGTTTGTTGGTTCTCACTTTTGGGCCACAAGCTCCTTGAGTCTAGGGGCTATGTCTTCTTTGCCTTTGTATCATCCACAGCCTCTTACAGAGTACCTAGCTTGGTCTCATGAACTGCAGGCATTAAAGTTGTCATGTTAATCAATAAAGAAGTACTTGCATTGTCAGGAATAAAAGCTAGTAAAAATTTGGCTATTACATACTGTGTGAGATTTTAGTGAATACATAAGAACTGTTTGTAATTAACATGTTAGATGTTCAAAAGCATACTGACATACCTAAGAACCTTTGGAAATCTTCTTGACTATTTTAAACAAACTCGAATAATCCAGTTTATATAATTTACTTAGGAAATATTTTTCTACACAGGTAGTTAAAAAGGTAATCTTCTCTCTAACCTATGTGTGGGTTATTAATAACTCAGAGGTGTAGAGCTAGTGAGACTCTACACATATTTGATACCAAAACATCCATGCTAAGAGAAGGTAGTGATGATGAGATAATACTGACGCAAACAAAAATGGTTACTATGAGGATTTCAAAAGTCAAATATCACTATCTGTATGGAAATCCTCCTATGGCAAAATAAATATAAATTAATTTCTTAAGGATTCATGTAAGTGAACTAAAAACAGTATGGATAGTTAAAAGCTTTAGTTAAAATGTGTTTAATAATTGATTATAAAAGGTTTGAACAACAATTTGTAAGTAATGCTCTTAGAAGTCCAAAAATTTTAAAGGACCTGAGAAGCCACTAGATTAGAACAAATCTCCCTTTGCCAAACCCAAACACCTACTCAGGATTTCTGAACATGTAGTAAATATTTCTTTCTTTAGAAAAATTCCATGAGGCTGCCGGGCGTGGTGGCTCACGCCTGTAATCCCAGCACTTTGGGAGGCCGAGGCAGGCCGATCACGAGGTCAGGAGATCGAGACCATCCTGACTAACACGGTGAAACCTCGTCTCTACTAAAAATACAAAAAATTAACCGGGTGTGGTGGCGGGCGCCTGTAGTCCCAGCCACTCGGGAAGCTGAGGCAGGAGAATGGCGTGAACCCAGGAGGTGGAGCTTGCAGTGAGTGGAGATTGCGCCACTGCACTCCAGCCTGGGCAACAGAGAGAGACTCTGTCTAGAAAAAAAAAAAATTCCATGAGGTAACTGTAAGACCCCGTTGATTAGTGAGTTCATACTCTATTTCCTGTTTGCTATTATTTAAGTTCATTAGACAATTTTTGATTGAGAAAGTTTGACTTCTTTGCAATGCTATCTTTGTCCCTTGTCCTTTGTAAAATGTATCATCTTGGACCCTAAATTAATAAAACTACCAATAACGGTATGCTAAGTTTAACTTTCAGTGAAAAGTCACACAGTGAAATGCTTTTTTAGGACATTCAAGCAATAACAAGTATATAAGTTCTTGTAGTAATAATATAGTGATTCAGAGCTTGCTGTAAGATGGAGCAGGGCTTTCACATCGTGTCAGCCACTCCAGTGGTACAAGCTTTTCAAATATCTTTCATGGATATTCCCACATTTCCACATCTGTCCCTTAATTTTATCTCTTCCCTTGTAGAATATTTATGGGAGATGGGGAGGTCAGAAAGAAGAGTGGAAGTAGGGCTAAAGAGTCCAGACACGGTGGCTCACGCCTGTAATCCCAGCACTTTGGGAGGCCGAGGTGGGCAGATCAGTTGAGGTCAGGAGTTCAAGACCAGCCTGATCAACATGGAGAAACCCCATCTCTACTAAAAATACAAAATTATCCGATCGTGTCAGCACATGCCTGTAATCCCAGCTACTCGGGGGGCTGAGGCAGGAGAATAGCTTGAATCCGGGAGGCGGAGGTTGCAGTGAGCTGAGATTGCGCCATTGCACTCCAGCCTAGGCAACAAGAGCAAAACTCCATCTGAAAAAAATAAAAAAATAAAGTCCGCATTTGTAAGGTAAGGACATTTTATCATTGCTAATTTAAACATATTGGTATGATAATGCATTTGCAAAATCCACACATTTTGCTAGCAGTCTTGTGAACAATTTGCATATTGAAAAGTTAGTCTCTGAGACTGATAGTGTTCATTTTAAGATGACTGTATTGAAGCTAGTATGCATACAGCCAGGTGAGCAATGTGAATGATGTGGGGGCACCTCATAAGCAAATATTCATTTAAAAACCATATGGACCAGGTGCGGTGTCTCATGCCTGTATTCCCAACACTTTGGGCAGCCAAGGTGGGCAGATCACCTGAGGTCAGGAGTTTGAGACCAGCCTGGAGAACATGGTGAAAACCTGTGTCTACCAAAAATACCAAAAAAAAAAAAAAAAAAAAAAAAAAATTGCCGGGCCTGGTGGCAGGCGCCTGTAATCCCAGCTACTCAGGAGGCTGAGGCAGAAGAATCCCTTGAACCCGGGAGGTGGAGGTTGCAGTGAGCAGAGATCATGCCACTGTACTTCAGCCTGGGGCGACAAGAGCGAGACTCCATCTCAAATATATATATATATGAATTGACAACATGCTTTGTCTAACAAATGTGAAGCTATACTTCTAATAAACACAACAAACAAAGTACTGAAATCCATTAGAAAGTACTTGTGAAACAGTCAGTCTTTGGGGACTCGGTTTTGATTATTTAAAAGGCAAAGGAAGAGAGAAAAACTAATTTCCACTTGGACAGGGGTTTGTTTTCCTTGTTCATTTGAAATCAGAGCCAACAGTAATAATGGTTTTCTATGACCCTAAAGCTCTCTCTTCATTAAGAGCAGACTGATTGGTCTTCATTAGACCAGATTCTGAACAAACAGTTCATTTTCTATAGAAGAGCTATTATACATGTGCTTCCTATTGCCAGATTTGAAACCTCCGTATATTTTAGCTGAATGTCAACCCTTTGCATGTTGACTACACAGGCACATTTTATGATCATGGGTTAGGGCTGGTGATTACTGAAAATGATTACTTATTATAATTAATAACAACATAGCAGGGATTTCAGTCTGCTTTGTTTGGCATAAAAGGTTTGAAAGACACTCGTTTTTCTTAGCCCTGCACCTCAGAATGAAATACTTGCTGCCTTGTTTTCCAGTACTGCATATGATACAGGAGATAAAACAATTTGCTGAATGTAAAACAGAACAAAAGTTGAGCAGGAAAAGTATTGGGAGTAAAACTTCAAGCTTAATAATAATTAGGCACCTAGTTTCATTGCCAAGCTTCCTCACGCATAGTACTGCCTTGGCTCATACTGGGTGCACTACCATTTCCTCTTCATTTTCTATAACACTTATTTGTCCTGGACCTTACAAGAAGCAACACCACACAGTGACAAATATGGCACTATCTTAACAGGAATTTCAACAAAACAGAGCTTAGTTGGGATTCAAACATACAGAAGAATGAGTCAAGCTCTGCAACATATCATTTAATCATTATTTTTAAAATCTACCTCAAAAAATCAAATATCATATTTATCTTGGAAAATCAAATCCTATACTAGCAAATGATCAATTTGTTGCCCAATGGTTATAAGACAATAAAGTAAAAGGCCAAACACAAAAGAAGCTCATAGAAACTTATGATAATTTTGATCGTGGATAGAAATATTTTTCAATTGTTTTGACAGATGTTATAATTGAAATCTAATTTTTGGAGAAATGTAATAAATTGAGGTCACTAGTAATTTCAATATATTAAAATCATCTATGTAGATGGTCTGAATGCTAAGATAATATAGCATTAAACATTTATTAGCATTACAGTGGTTCAACATGTTATGTGTTATAATTTATTCTTTCTCTAGCATTATTAATAATTAGATTATAATTACTGGTTCTAAGGTATAAGTATTGATATGTTAAGGGATTCTCAGTTTTGCATTCCCACTACCTTTTTAATCTGCATGCTAATCAATAGAATAAGTAATGCCAACTTAGAAACCAGACCTATTCTAAGACTACAGTACTGTGTTTTCCTGAGAAAATGTTTTTACCTGCTTTGCCTAATCCAATTTAAAATACTCTAATTTTAAATAGCTCAAAGAACAGCACATATAGCTCTTACATTTATATAACTGATTCTATCCTTAATTACATTTTAAGACAGCCCAGATCTGAAAAGCAATCTATTATTCCCCTGTCAGACTCAGAGAAGACTGATATGTCCAAGTGCATGCTTCCTGGTTTATACCAAATTGATGGCTATGTCTACAGGAAACCAATATACTGGATGATTGAAACTGTTCAATAAATTCAGAAAAAGTAAAATAAAAGTATCTATCTGATTATTTTGGCTAGAATCGCCAAATGTTTGTTATTTAAAATGGGTTTCATCCTATATTTTATAGATATCTCGTGCACCAAAGCATAAAGTTGTCATATTCCTTTCACATTATTTGACTCAACATAATATTCACCTTCTTTGGCAATTTAGATTTTGCTTCAGTGATGGCAGTAGATACTGGTACTTTATTATTTCACTTCAGATAATAATTGCATTTCTATTTCTTTTTTATTACAAATCAATAATGCAATTAACATAACAAGATCCCGAGAGCTATTTCTGTAATTACTGCACTTATAAGGAAAAGAATCTCTGCATAAGATGTAAAACAGCTTGAAACAAAGTCATAAAGCTGGTTCCAGAAAGCCACCCCTGAGAAAAAGAAAATAGTATACTTTTTATGTGATCTTTTTCCTTTTTTAAAGATTTTGCAAGGACTAAAGAAAGAATATCACCAATCAAATATGGAACTCACTCTATTCACTGCAAGAAACAACATATTCCAGTCTTGGCTCCTAAAAAAATGTGCTGTCCTTCAGTTATGTTGATACTATTTAATATCATTATTTCCTTTATTTTTTAACTTGTTGACAAACAACTTTAGTGCCGGAATAAGAAACTAAGAAATCTGACCATGCATATATGCTACTTACTGTTGTAATCAAATAACACTTATAACCCAGTTAATCTGATGTATATAATAGCAGTCATGAATTGTTTGCAGGATAATTAGGCAAAAATGTAAGTAGTTAGCATACATAGTGCTAATTGATTACTATTAATATTTACAAGGACATATCCTGCTCTCTGTCTCTCTCACACACACAAGCACATACGTTCTTCTTGTCTCCCATTTTTAGGTCTCCCATTTTTCAGCCAATTATATCAGCATTTGAATTTCACAGACTGTGAATATTAATGACAGTAAGAGGCAGCGGCAGGGATTCTTATTAAGATAGATCACATACTTAGACAGTTAACATTGGTAGATGCAAGCATCAGGAGTCAGAGCAAGGTTCATTAAGGTGGATAGTTAGTGTTGAAAGGTCTTGGCATATGAGTAGACAATGAAATTCAATAAGATATGGTATACAGAAGTGGAGCTCTAAGGCCCCACTTAGCATCTCAGATCTGAGGTGTCACAAAGTCCATGATTAATGCATAGTGGCAACTGGAGGGTGATAGAGCAGCAGGGGGCAGTCTCACATCTGAAGAGGGACTATGCCTTTAGTCAGGTCAGAGAGGACTCTAATGGCAAAGATTAAATGGCTTCCGGTCCAGGTAACATGAGGATTATTATTTCTAAAGTAATACTTGAAAACTCATCAGAATGTATGCCTTATGTCAAAAATCAGCCAGAGTGAGCATTGTAAATGGAAATCAAGGCATTTCACTCCCCTACTGAACACTTCCAGTTATATTCCTTCATACCTAGAATGAAATCTAAACTCCTTATCATGGCTTACAAGGTTTACTATAACTAACCTCATCCTTAAACTGCCTTTTGCATTTTCCCTGGGATATGTTAAGGTCAGTGTCATCTCCGGGCCTTCATACTTTCCTCTTTGCCTGCAATTATGGCTCATTCCTTTAATTCATTAAAGTATTAAACTCTCTGTTCAAACGTCACCTTCTCAGAGATAACCTCTCTGAAACCCTATCAAAGACAGCACCCCCTTCATTCTACAGCACCTTATCACTTTTTTTCTTTGTATAAGGCATTATTGAATATATTTATCTTACTAGAACAGCAGCTCCATGAAGACAGAACTTTCTGTCTGTTGTGTCAACTTGTATCACTAACATCAGATTTGGAATTACTGCCATGAAGCTAATGAAACTTACATTCCAGGGACTCTCACTTGTATAGTCCCCTTTCAAGGCCTTGCGTGCAATATTGTATTTATAATTTGCAGTTTACTTTTCTAAGTGGGTCTATCGACTTTGTATAAGCTTTAGACTTCACTAAACCCCAGCTTAGCATCTAGTGCCTGGTACCTTATGAGCCCTCAATAAATATTTTTTAATGAAATAATTTAAAAATGAATAAACACCTTAAATACCTTAGGATAAAAATATTTGTTAGATTTTTACTTAATAGCAAGTTTTGATAAGGATTGGGCTTAAGTTTAAATGCTTAAGGATGTTGGCTATACTTTGAGAATATGGGAAAGGGGCTATTCTGAAGTATCTGGAAGTGATACTAGAAAAGGATGCCGCAGGCTCTAAAGACAATCTTTGCTTACTTCATAATTTTTCTTAGTGGTAGGACACCAAATTAGGACAGAGGTATACATTATGATTTACTCCCCTAATAAATGATGTTCCAGTTATAATTACATTCCTTGCAACACAGCTCTCTTTCTCTTAACGTTTCTTAAGATATGAGCTATTCCTTCTGGTATATCCAGGGAGTATCTATATTTTAAGGAAATCACTGGAGCATGACTGCCTCCTTATTACTATACTGGATATTTTTTTTCATTTTCTCCACATTGTTTTTACAGTCCCCAAGGCTTTTAAGAAAGTTTATGGATTCAATCAGGGTTGTGCCATAAAGTGGCATTTGACTGGTGGAAAAATAGACACTTGCTGTATGCATACCTTGTAAATATAGTTAAATAAACACATATGTGTATATTTATATATACACATACACACATATCTCACACACATAGACAGAGAGAGAGAGAGAGAGTGAGTGAGTTAGCAAATAAACCTTAGGATTTATTTTCACTTGTTAGTAGTAACTCCTCCATAGTATCATCCAGCTCTTCCTGAACCATTAATAAGGAATTCATAAAAATGAGCCATTAATAAAAAGAGCTTAGTTAAATAATACATTACACTTTAAATTATGGTCAAAACTAGTTACAATGCAAACTATCTATGAATTGATCACTCTCAATTTATAGACGCCCATCTGCCTTGCTTTTTAATCTACTCAAAGTATTTTTTGGCCACTAGCACTGCCTAAGGCAAATTTATATCAACCTGACAAAAAGCAATAGAAGGTCTTGCTTCAGAGGTTCTCATTGCTTAAAGCTACGATACCTCTTTAAAAGCTCCAAGGTATTACAATTAAAAATGTATCAACTGCTTAACTTGTCAACTAAAGGCAGTTATTGTAAGGCACTATTTCCCCTCAGTTAGACTCTCATTGCTCATGTGTGATTGCATTTCTATAAAAGAAATATAATTAAAGTGCAAATGTAACTTCTGGGAAGGAAACCTTATCAAAGCATCACTAAAACCTTCTGGAATCTGTCCACTTTCTGGGAAGCTGTACATATTATTTCTATTCACATTTAAAGAGAAACATGTGCAAACATAATTAACATTCAGATTTTTTAGGGTGGCTTTAGAGGAGGGGTAAAAACACTGTTTCCGGAAATGCTAATTTGATTTTAGTAACAGAATGGCAATTGAAATTGTAGTCAAAGATATTTCTGTTTAGTGATTTCTTTTTTATTTTATCCTCCCCTTGCCCCATTTTTTCCTCAACGAATGCAGAATGCAATTTGTAGCATAATGATTAAAGAAATAGTTTCTGCAGGCTCACATCATGATTATTTAGGGAAATGTTATGCTTTTACTACCATGTCAGTTAGCAAATTCTCTCTTACAAAAAAGGTCATGAAGCAAAATTACCCTATCTTCCCCTGATTCCATGAGAAAAAAAAACAATAAAAATATTTAAAACTACAAAAAATAAAAATAAAACGCATAAAATTGCTTATCCATAAATTGTAATTCAAGAATAAGTTCTAGTCTGCTGTGTTTGTGCAAACAAGTTGCTCCTCTTGGATAACTTTTATTTTAATTAAATAACAGACTCAACCCACTGCAAATAATTGTGTTGTTAATCTTATTACATTACTTTGAACTGAAAGAGAGGAAAAACTGGTCAATGTCAATCAATTGCCTTGGAGGAACAGAGAGCTCTTTTGACAGAATTGTTTAATGGATGAAGCATAAAATGAGATAATTGGAAGATGTTTGTCCTAGAAAGTGCTAAGTTCAAAATTAGAAGGAAAAAATATTTTATATGCTAATATTATCCTTTGTAAATACACACATTCTGTCTTTACTTGACTACATCAATATATTTTTCCAAACCAATAATGTTCTGTTCATCTGCAACTTGTCCTGAGGTTGGAAAACTAATGGAAGAATGTAAGCTATGAAGACTACTCATATTTCTTGTCTAATGTGCATGCTATTACATGATCATTCAAAAGTAGCTCCTTAACAAGAAAGAGGAAGCCTTTATTGAATATATGACTCCAGGGTGGTTGTTGGGAAAAAAATCTTTGAACACTCTATTCCAAAATTTTAAACCTGCCTTGTTTCAGGATTATGTTTTATACACTAAATAATCCCCAGGTAAATGTCTAAATATTAGGATGCTAGAAAATTCACAGAGAGATATAGAATTTTTCAGAGGTTATTTATATCAAACGGTGATAGCTCAACAATTTGTTTCTTACAAGAAAATCAAAGCATTTTGTTGAGAGATTTTGTGTTCCGTCATACAGTTAGGGCATAGTCCCTTTACTCATAATACGTGGATTACTAATATATTGCATTATATTTCTTTACAGCTTATGAAACACTTTCTTCCTTACCACAATGTTGTGAAGTAGGCAAAGCTCATTTTGTCTTCTCTGTTTCCACTTTACAGATGAGAAAATTTGAGCCTAGTGAGTAGGTGGCAGAAAGAAAATTTGAATTCAGGTCTTCTGACTCCAAGACTACTGATTCTTTCCTATATACTGTTAAGAAATAATAATTTAACAAGCTGAAGAATAAGAGTGAGAGGGCTTAAAACCTTGAAATTGATGCCAATTCTCTTTTACAGGCCAGTCAAGGATATATTACTAGCCTTATCCCTTTGACAAATTTCACAGTGCTAATGATGCATGTAATGAAGCCCAAATGAGTGACTGGTCCATACAGATTATACAGAATTTCCCATTTAATTTTATCTCTTTGCCAAGACATATCAGCCTGTTGTTGTTGTTGTTGTTGTTGTTGTTTTTAACACTAGGCAGAGTTTCAAGGTGCGTATTTAACATTAGGGTTGGAAGAGGATTTAATCAGTGTCTAGAAATAAAGAAGATGAGGTACATAGGTGCTGTGACTTGCCCAAGTTCACACAGTTAGTAGTATAGCTGGAAATACAATTCTGCTATTTTATATGCCAATCAAGTCTCTTTCCATCAGATCATCCAAATCTTTCCTCATGCTATTGCAACATGTAGGTTTGAACAAAAAATATGTATTAATATTAAATATTAGATTAATGATGGCTGAAAAATGTCAGTACCCAAATAGAGTGATTAAATGAATTCAGAGTCCTTTTCACTAGTATAAAAAAAAACACATTATTTTTATTGTAAATTACATTCTTATGTTTTCTAATTCTGTCACTATCAAGTTGATGCTCTTAATGTCAAAGCATTAGGGATTCATTTGATGCATTTGTGATTATCAGAACATGTCAGTATGAACTATTTCTCAATAATTATATGAATAGCAACCTTGTGTACATATGACCTATAAATTTAATATTTAAAACTCTTACCCTTTTAAGATGAAACGTTCAACTCTAAATAAAGACCCCAATTTCTGATTGGGTAGATTACGTTCATCTATTCTTAGAGCAATCAAGATGATTTAACTTACTTTGCATTATCTAAAATCGTTTTATGTTATGGAATACAACCAAGTAAAAATAACTAAAACGAATTGTCACATACTTTGCATCTGTTCATAACCAGAAACATCCATGCTTCAGACGTTTAACATGAGGTATAATAGCTAGATAATATTAAAAATTTTCCCAAGGTTCTTGCTCCTGTTCTCACATTTTTTCACTGTAATTGCAATAGTTTTATAACCAATCTCACTGCCTCTAATTTCTTTTTATTTCTGAATTCAGCTGTCAGATTCATCTTCCTAAAACCCAGTTCTTGGGATACTACTTTTAATTTTTCCTCCGTATCTAAATTCAAATGCCTCTACAATTTGCCCCTCTCTGTCCTCTGGCTTTTCTCTTGCTTGAGCACCATAAAGTCTAGTGCATTTCCATTACTGTCCAGGAGAGGGTATCCTTACCCGCAAATGAAGCTATCTTGGCTAACCCTGAAGTGACACGAGGACCTCAGGCTATCTCAGGTAGCTAACAGAAACCGTTAAGAACATTCAAGGAATACCTTTAGTTTTTACTATTTCTAATACAACACAAGACGCTGAGTGACAGCACTGTGAATTTCTCTGTTGAAGTAAACATCTATAGTATTCACCTTAGACTTCAATGATCTCACTTTACTCTTCCTTCTTATATATACTACACTCACCCTAAAATATTTATCTTCCTCAACAATTATAAATATGCTACTTAAACTCTCTGTACCTCAGTTTTCTCATCTGTAAAATGAGTATGACCATAACGATACCTATTCCATACAGTTGACATTAGGATTAAGTATAAATCACATTGGGGTAGGAAAAATGGTGGATAGGAGGCAGGACTAAATTGCAGCTTCCACTTGGACGGACAGAGCAATGTGTGGAGACTCACATAGTGAACTTTTGCTCTGAGAACTACTACAGGAACATACCAGGAAAGCAGAGAGAATCCACAGACCCCCTGAAGGAAGCAGATTGCTTCTGCAGGACCTGGGAGACATCCCAAATACTGTGAGTGCCCCAAGTGTGAAAGTGGGAAAGGGAGGTTGTCCACCTCCAAAGACACACCCTCACTGGGGGACCTGAAGGTCCAGATCACGGAAGGAGGATTAGACTTTACCTGGAGAGGAGATAATTTAAAGAGCTAAGCGAAATACAGGTGTAGAGGGAGCAGCAGCAAGAGCCCTGTGGGCTCTCTGGGTCCCGAGGGAAGCCATTTCTGACTTTGCCTTACAGGAATCCTTAGGGAGAGCTGCCAGAGGAACTGGGAAAAGATCACAGGGAAAGGAAACTTCTACCTGAACTTTGTAACAATTCCAACTGAACATGAAGTTTCTTGGACAGAACTCAGGGGAGGGAGTGAATCCAGAGTGCAGACGCAGGCAGATGTGGAGGCGCAAATCCTAAAATCCCTGCTTGCTTTTTCAGCCAGGAGGCTGGTAGTGTGGGACAAGTTCTCAGCCCTGCTCGCCCACTGCCTGGAAATAAACTTGAGGTTGTTGGTAGGGGAGCATGGTGGGAGTGAGACTGGCCTTTTGGGTTGCATGGGAGCTGGGTGAGGCCTGTAACTGCCAGCTTTCCCCCACTTCCCTGGCGACCTGCATGACACAGCAGAGGCAACCCTAATCCTCCTAGGAAAGTAACTCAATTGAACTGGGAACCACAACCTCATCCTTCACAGCAGCCACAGCAAGCCCCACCCTAGGAGAATCTGAGCTCAGACATGCCTAATCCTGTCCCCTCCTGATGGTCTTTCTCTACACAGCCTAGTAGCTGAAGACAAAGGTCATATTTTCTTGGAAGTTCCAGGGCTCTGCCCACTGCCTCATTCTCCCCATACTACCACAGCTGATGCTCTCTTGAAAGTGCCACCTCCTGGCAGGTGGCCAACCAGCACAAAACTTAGTGCAATAAACAACAAGAATACAATGAAGGACCCTCAGAGAGTCCATTTCACTCCCCTGTCACCTCTACCAGAGCAGGTGCTGCTATCTATGACTGAGAGACTGGAAGATTGTTCACATCACAGAACTCTGTGCAAACTTTTCCCAGTATCAGCCCAGAACCCAGTAGTCCCACTGGGTGGCTAAACCCAGAAGAGAAATAACAATCACTACAGTTTGGCCCTCAGGAAGCCACATCCCTAGGAAAAAGGCAAGAGTAATACATCAAAGGAAGACCCCATGGGACAAAAGAATCTGAACAGCGGCCTTTGAGCACCAAATCTTCTCTCTGACATAGCCCACCCAAATGAGAAGGAACCAGAAAAACAATTCTGGTAATATGACAAAACAAGGTTCTTTAACAACCTCAAAAAATCAAACTAGCTCACTAGCAATGGAACCAAACCATGAAGAAATCCCTGATTTGCCAGAAAAAAAAAATTCAGAAGGCAAATTATTAAGCTAATCAAGGAGGCACCAGAGGTAGGTAAAGTTGAATTCAACGAAATAAAAAAAGATACAAGATATGAGATGAGAAATCTTCGGTGAAATAGATAGCATAAATAAAATCCATCAGAACTTCTGGAAATCAATGACACACTTATAGAAATTCAAAATGCACTGGAAAATCGCAGCAATATAATTGAACAAACAGAAGAAAGAACTTCAGAGCTCGAAGACAGGTTTTCTAAGTAACCCAATCCAACAAGACAAAGACAAAAGAATTTTTAAAAAGTGAACAAATCCTCCAACAAGTTTGGGATTATATTAAATGACCAAACCAAAGAATAATTGGCATTCCTGGGGAAGAAGAAAAATCTAAAATTGTGGAAAACATATTTGGGGGAATCATCAAGGAAAACTTTCCAGGCCTTGCTAGAGATCTAGACACTGAAATATAAGAAGCTCAAAGAACACCTGGGAAATGCATCCCAGAAACATCATCACCTAGGCACATAGTCATCAGGTTATCCCAAGTCAAGATGAAGAAAAGAATATCACAACCTGTGAGGCAAAAGCACCAGGTAACCTATAAAGGAAAACCTATCAGATTAACAGCAGATTTCTCAGCAGAAATCCTACATGCTGGAAGGGATTAGGGCCCTATCTTCAGCCTCCTTAAACAAAACAATTATCAACCAAGAATTTTATATCCAGAGAAACTAAGCTTCATAAATAAAGGAAAGATACAGTCTTTTTTCAACAAACAAATGCTAAGAGAATATGCCACTACCAAGCCAGCACTAAAAGAACTGCTAAAAGGAACTCTAAATCTTGAAACAAATCCTTAAAATACATTAAAACAGAACCTCCTTAAAGCATAAACCTCACAGGACCTATAAAACAACAACACAATATATTTTTTAAAAAAACAAGGTATTCAGCCAACAAACAGCATGATTAATAGAATAGTACCTCACATCTCAATACTAACGTTTAATGTAAATGGCCCAAATGCTCCACTTAAAAGACACATAATGGCAGAATGGTTAAGAGTTTACCAACCAAGTATCTGCTGCCTTCAAGAGACTTACCTAACACATAAGAACTCACATAAACTTAAGGTAATGGGGTGGAAAATAAAATTCCCTGCAAATGGACACCAAGAGCAAGCAGGAGTAGCTATCCTTATGTCAGACAAAACAAACTTCAAAGCAACAGCAATTAAAAAATATGAAGAGGGACATAATATAATGATAAAAGATCTTGTCTAACAGGAAAAATCACAATCCTAAATATATACACATCTGGAGCTCCAAAATTTATAAAACAGTTACTGGTAGACCTAAGAAATGAGATAGACAGCAACACAATAATACTGAGGGACTTCAGTACTCCACCAACGTCACTAGACAGGTCATCAAGACAGAAATTCAACAAAGAAACAATGGATTTAGACTATATACTAGAACAAATGGAATTAACAGATATTTACAGAACTATCTACCCAACAACTTCAAAATATATATTCTACTCATCAGCACATGGAATATTCTCCAAGATAGACCATATGATAGGCCACAAAACATGTCTCAATAAATTTAAGAAAACTGAAGTTATATCAAGTACTCTCTCTGACCACAGTGGAACAAAATTGGAAATAAACTTCAAAAGGGACCCTCAAAACTATGTAACTACATGGAAATTAAATAACCTGCTCCTGAATGATCGTTGTGTCAACAACGAAATCACGATGCAAATAAAAAATTATTTAAACTGAAATCAATTAATAGTGACACAACCTATCAAAATCTCTGGGATACAGACAAGGTAGTGTGAAGAAGAAAGTTTATAGCCTTAAATGCCAACATCAAAAAGTCTAAAAGCACAAAGAGACAATCTAAGGTCACACCTCAAAGAACTAGAGAAACAAGAACAAACTAAACACAAACCCAGCAGAAGAAAAGAAATAATGAAGATCAGAACATAATTAAATAAAATTGAAACAAACAAATAAGTAAATACAAAAGAGAAGTGGTAATAAAAAAAATTGTCAACAAAGAAAAGTCCAGTACCAGATGGATTCACAGCTAAATTATATTAGACATTCAAAGAATTGGTTCAATTCCTATTGACACTATTCCACATGATAGAGAAAGAGGAAATCCTTCCTAAATCATTCTGTGAAGCCAGCATCACCATAAGACCAAAACCAGGAAAGGACATAACACAAAAAGAAAACTACAGGCTAATATCAGTGATGAATATCATTGCAAAAATCCCTAACAAAACACTAGCTAACCGAATCCAACAGCATATCAAAAAGATAATCCACCATGATCAAGTGAGTTTCATACAGGGATGCAAGGATTGCTTAACATGAAAGTCAATAAATCTGATATACTACATAAACAGAATTTTTAGAAATTTATTATTTCAATAGATGCAGAAAAAGCATTTGACAAAATCCAGCATCCCTTTATGATGAAAACCCTCAGCAAAATTGGCATACAAGGGACACACCTCAATGTAATAAAAACCATCAATGATAAACCAACAGCCAACATAATACTAAAGGGGGAAAAGTGGAAAGTATTCCCTCTTAGAACTGGAACAAGACAAGGATGCCCACTCTCACCAGTTCTATTAAAAATAGTACTGAAAGTCCTATCCAGAGCAATCAGACAAGAGAAAAAAATAAAAGGCATCCAAATCAGTAAAGAGGAAGTCAAAATGTTGCTGTTTGCTGATGATATGATTGCAAACCTAGAAAATCCTAAAGACCCTTCTGAAAAGCTCTTAGAACTGATAAATGAGTTCATCAAAGTTTCAGCATACAAAATCAATGTACACAAATCAGTAGCTCTTCTATACAGCAACAGTGACCAAGTTGAGAATCAAATCAGGAACTCAATCCCTTTTACAATAGCTGCAAAAAAAAAAAAAAAACTCAAAAAAACGAAAAAACAAAACAAAAAAAACCCCGAATATACCTAAGGAGGTGAAAGACCTCTACAAGGAAAACTACAAAACACTGCTGAAAGAAATCATAGACAACATAAACAAATGGAAACACTTCTCATGCTCATGGGTAGGTAGAATCAATATTGTAAAAATGACCATATGCCAAAAGGAATCTACAAATTCAATGCAATTTCCATCAAAATACTGTCATCGTTCTTCACAGAACTAAAAAAGACAATCCTAAAATTCTTGTGGAACCAAAAACAAGCCTGTATAGCCAAACTACGGCTAAGCAAAAAGAACAAATGTGGAGGCATCACATTACCTGACTTCAAACTATACTATAAGGCCATAGTCACCAAAACAGCATGGTACTGGTATAACAATAGGCACATAGACCAATGGAACAGAATAGAGAACCCAGAAATAAAGCAAAATACTTAGGGCCAACTGATCTTTGTCAAAGCAAACAAAAACATAAAGTAGAGAAAGAATACTGTATTCAACAAATGGTGATGGGATAATTGGCAAGCCACATGTAGAAGAATAAAACTGGATCCTCGTTTCTCACCTTATACAAAAATCAACACAAGATGGATCAAAGACTTAAATCTAAGACCTGAAACCATAAAAATTCTAGAAGATAACATTGAAAAAACCCTTCTAGACAAAGGTTTAGGCAAAGAATTCATATCCAAGTACCCAAAAACAAATGCAACAAAAAAAATAATAAATAGGTGTGACTTAATTAAACTAAAAGTTTCTGTACATCAAAAGAAACAATCAGTGGAGTAAACAGAAAACCCACAGAGTGAGAGAAAATGTTCACAATCTATACATCCAATAATGGACTAAAATCCAGAATCTACAAGGAACTCAAACAAATTAGCAAGAAAAGGAAACAAGCTCATCAAAAACTGGGCTAAGGACAGGAACAGACAATTCTCAAAAGAAGATATACAAATTGCCAACAAATATATGAAAGAATGCTCAACATCACTAATGATCAAGGATATGCAAAGCAAAACCACAATGTGATTCGACCTTACTCCTGCAAGAATGGACATAATAAAAAAATCAAAAAATAATAGATGTTGGCGGGGATGAGGTGAAAAGGAAACACTTTTACACTGCTGGTGGGAATGTAAACTAGTAAAACCACTATAGAGAACAATGTGGAGATTCCTTAAAGAACTAAAAGTACAACTACCATTTGATCCAGCAATCCCATTACTGGATATCTACCCAGAGGAAAAGAAGTCAATTTACAAAAAAAGATACTTGTACACTCATGCTTACAGCAGCACAATTTGCAATTGTGAAAATATGGAACCAGCCCAAATGCTCATCAATCATTGAGTGGATAAAGAAATTGTGATATACATATTATATATCATATAAATAATAATTATGTTACTAATGATAATATTATACTAATAACAGTTGACATTTATGGAAAACCTATTACATGAAAGGTGTTGTTCAATGTGATTTTTTAATTTTCATATGTTTTTGGAGAACAGGTGGTGTTTCGTTACATGAGCAAGTTCTTTAGTGGTGATTTGTGAGATTTTGGTGCACCCATAACCCAAGCAGTATACACTGCACCAAATTTGTAGTCTTTAATCCCTCACACCTCTCCGATCCTGTTCCCCAAGTCCGCAAACTCCATTGTATCATTCTTATGCCTTTGCATCCTCATACCTTAGCTTCCACATTTGAGTAAGAATATACCATACTTGGTTTTCCATTCTTGAGTTACTTCACTTAGAATAATGGTATCCAATTCCATCTAGGTTGCTGCAAATGTCATTATTTTGTTCCTCATTGTGGCTGAATAGTATTTAATGGTATATATACACATACACCTATGTGTATATATATCAAATATATTATATATAATATAGAATACATATATTTTACATTATATATTATATTACAATATATAATATATGTATTCTATATTATATATTATATATTCTAATATATTATATATATTCTATATGTATATAGAATATATATTATGTATTATAATACATATTATATTATAATACATAATATATTATATAATTATATTTATATATATATAAATATATAATATATTATATATTATAATTATATATTATATATTATAATATAATTATGTAATATATATTACATATAATATATTATATATATTATATATTAAATTATGTTATATATAATATATATTATATAATATATATAATATATATAATATATTATATATATTATATAATATTATAGATATTATAAATATTATATATATTATATAATTATGTAATATATTATATATATTATATAATTATATAATATATTATATAATTAATTATAATTACATAATTATAATATATTATATAATATAATTATAATATATTATATATTAGAATTTTATATTATATATGTACATACAATATGTATTATATTATAATACATACTATATTACATATATATAATATAATATATATTGTATTACATATATTATATATGTAATATATTACTACATATTATATGTAATATAATATGTAGTAATATATTCCTATATATTATATATGTAATATAATATATAGTAATATATTACTACATATTATATGTGTCTATATAATATATAGTAATATATTACATATATTATATATGTCTATATAATATATTACATATATATGTCTATATAATATATTACATATATATGTCTATATATTACATATATATGTCTATATAATATATTACATATATATGTCTATATAATATATTACATATATATGTCTATATAATATATTACATATATTATATATGTCTATATAATATATTACATATATTAGATATGTCTATATAATATATTACATATATTATATATGTCTACAAATATATTACATATATTATATATGTCTACAAATATATTACATATATTATATATGTCTACACAATATATTACACATATTATATATGTCTACATAATATATTACACATATTATATATGTCTACATAATATATTACACATATTATATATGTCTACATAATATATTACATATATTATATATGTCTATATAATATATTACATATATTATATATGTCTATATAATATATTACATATATTATATATGTCTATATAATATTTGTAATATTATACTATATAATATGTTATATATTATATAGGTATATATTATATATTATATATATTATATATATTACATACATTATATGTAATACATGTATATATATTATATATATAACATATGTATATATTATATATATTATATATATTATATATCTTATATATGTATATATTATCTATATTATATATAATTATATAGAATATATTATATATGTATATATAATATATTTATATACTATATAGAATATGTTGTATATGTATATATATTATATATAATATATGAATATATTATATATGTATATATACTATATATAATATATGAATATATTATATATGTATATATACATATATAATATATGAATATATTATATATGTATATATACCATATATAATATATGAATATATTATATATTATATATACTATATATAATATATTCATATATTATATATGTATATATTATATATATATGATATATTATATATGTCTACAGAATATATGATATATTATATATGTCTACAGAATATATGATATATATGTTTACAGAATATATGATATATATGTCTACAGAATATATGATATATATTATATATGTATATAGAATACAGTAAATATTATATATGTATATAGAATATATTAAATATTATATATGTATATAGAATATATTAAATATTATATATGTATATAGAATATATTAAATATTATATATGTATATAGAATATATTAAATATTATATATGTATATAGAATATATTATATATTATATATGTATATAGAATATATTAAATATTATATATGTATATAGAATATATTATATATTATATATGTATATAGAATATATTATATATTATATATGTATATATACCATTAAAAACTATTCATATGTATGTATATATACCATTAAATACTATTATATATTATACATATAATATAAATACATATATACATATATGTATATATTATATTTTATAAATACCTGTATACATATATGTATAGATTATATGTATAGATTATATTTTATATACACTTATATTATATATCATATAATATATACTTATATATAATATATACTTATATTATATATAATATAATATATACATATATTATATATAATTAAATATATACATATATATTTAAATACTATTCAGCCACAATAAGGAACAAAATAATGACATTTGCAGCAACCTAGACGGAATTGGATACCATTATTCTAAGTGAAGTAACTCGAGAAAGGAAAACCAAGTATGGTATGTTCTTACTCAAATGTGGGAGCTAAGCTATGAGAATGCAAAGGCATAAGAATGATACCATGGAGTTTGCGGACTTGGGGAAAACTATCGGACGGGTGTGAGGGATTAAAGACTACAAATTAGGTGCAGCGTATACTGCTTGGGTTATGGGTGCACCAAAATCTCACAAATCACCACTAAAGAACTTGCTCTTGTAACCAAACACCACCTTTTCTCCAAAAACATATGGAAATTAAAAAAAATCACATTGAAGAACACCTTTCATGTAATAGGGTTTCCATAAATGTTAACTGTTATTAGTATAATATTGTTAGTAACATAATTATTATTTGCCATTAATCCCTAAATCAGCATGATATATAACAAAAAATCGAGATTTTTATTTTACCCATTACATCTAAGTGCAGATTTCTATTTTTTACTTTAGAACTCCATATGTTAAGTCCATAATATGTAGTTAAGAAAGTGAACACAACATTAAATTAATGAGTCCATGTAACGATTTGTTTTTCTCTTGCAATCAATAATCTTTAAAGGGAGAAATGGGGATAGAGAAAGTCTCTACTCCTGCTCAAGTTGGTAAGATAAACATTTTAGGAAGAAAAGGGAGAAAAGAAGAAGTGAAAGGAGGAGGAAGAAAACACTTTCACAACCTAGCAGCAAAGAGACATGACATTCAAAAAGTTTTATCTGTCTAGAGTTTGTGAGGGCAGAAACATTTTCTCCCATTTATTTATTTATTTATTCATTTGTTTATTTATTTTTACACAGAACCAATGTGCTGTAAGTGTTGGATTGGTGTCTTCTCTTTTGAATATCTCCAGCATCTAGATAATGCTATTCACTTAATAAACATATGTCGAGTGCCTATTCTCTGCCAGACACCGTATGAAATAGAATCTCAAAAAAGGTTATGCAATTAATAGGTGTTTGAATGCAGTCTTTTTTTCTTTTTTTTCTTTTTTATTTGACACAGAGTCTCACTCTGTCACACAGGCTGGAGTGGAGTGCAGTGGCATGATTTCAGCTCACTGCAACCTCCACCCCCCAGTTTCAAGCAATTCTCCTGCCTCATCCTCCCAAGTAGCTGGGGTTACAGGAGCCTGCCACCCCACCCAGCTAAACTTTTTTTTTGCATTTTTGTAGGGACGGGGTTTTGCCATGTTGGCCAGTCTTGTCTTGAACTCCTGATCGCAATTGATCCACCCACCTCGGCCTCCCATAGTGTTGGGATTACAGGTGTGAGCCACAGCACCGGGCCTGAATGGAGTCTTAATAAGAAGAAACTGATACTGAAGAACAAGAAAAATAAAAACTGTGTTTTCACATGCCCTAGTTTGCCTAAATTATATTCTTATTTATTGCATATTCTTATTTATGCCCTACTTTGCCTTAATTATATTCTTATTTATTGCCCTCCTTATGTGCGCTTATTATACAAATATATATTCTTTCCAGTTAGATTGCAAGGTGTTTGAGGGTAGAGATAATGCCTACCATAAATGTTATGGAACTGTTTAGTAACTGTTTTCTATTGATTTAAAAGGTCTAGGAATTTGCTGAAATTAAGAGGTTAGTATATGGTTGCACATTTACCCCAAAGCATAAAGGTCGAACAGAGTGCTCTTTTCTGAGATGTCTGTGTCTTATTTCCTCAAGTGACTATGATGCACCTTCTGGAAACTACTTTTCAACTAACTGGTATTATCAACAACTGCCTCTCAATCTACAGTGTCTAGCCATGAGTGAATCCATGTTTTCCGTCTGTCTCCTACTTGTTTCTTAAACCCTGGTAAGATGAAAAGCACTATAAACAGCTTACCCTCCCTTTTTTTCTCATTACATGTGTTGCATAGAGATCTGTTTTGTTCTGTGTTTAAGGAGAGTGTCTGCAAAATCATCAAGGTTTTATGTCCTCCATTATAGATTATAGACCTGTGATTAGAATATTTCAATTTCCTATGAAAGGAAATATCAAGATACCATGATTTTTGTTACACACCTTACTTAGCCGGCATTAACAACGTTAGTATTGAAACGTGGGCACAATGTTTTTCCTCCTATGAGCCATAAAATTTTAGAGCTGGAGAAAAACAGAACTCAGAAGGTCTGTGCAGGAAAGTCATTGTTAATAATTACAATGTTTCTTATTTAGAAAAAAGAATCTTCTCTTTGAGGGGAGAAAAGTGGTTTTCACCTACTTTTAATTTAACGACTTTCTGTCACAGCTATTAAATTTTAAATGAAAAATTTTGTCCTTCAGTTTTCGCACTGGATAAAGGGATTTGACACTCAGCATATCTGTAACTCAACCAAATTTTAGTGATAAATATTTGATACTTCACATAACATACTTGATGAGTTCATGAATGTTCAAACTGTGCCATTTTTTCATTTATGTCTATAGTTTATTACCCATTGAAAACTCTGAACACCTTTCCCCTTCTTTCTTTGCTGTCCTGTCCTTTCCCTCACTCTGGCAGCCTTTTAGTGAAGGTGCACATCTGCTGCCATAAACACACAAATTAGCACATCAATGTTTCCGATGAAAAAAAAATTCAGTGCAATAAGAGAATTTTTGAAAGCAAGCCAGTTTGTCAGTAAATTATAAGCTTCATTACCATAAAACTCTAACAAATAGAACCCATATCTCATTAACTGAAAGCACAATATGACTGCAGCAATATTCATCTCCCCAAAGAGTGCTTATTCATAGGAAAAAAAGATAAAAGTTTTGCTTAGAGCTGCCACTAATGATAGCATTAACTTTATTTATTAAAGAATGTCTAAGCATTTTGCAAAATATACATTTTACTCCTCCCTCATCTTTTTTATCTGATTAATTGCAGTGGCAGGTTATATACTATAAGTGTTATACAATGCTTAACGTCATTCCTCTTTACCATCAGTCTAATGATTCTCTAGTATCACTAAACTAACGGTGGAGACAATTTTTCCAGGCCACACTTCTACTTTCTGTTGCTGGTAAAATTCTCCCACATTATATTTAAGGCCAAAATTTTATATACCATTTATTTTTCTGATGAGTTTATTTCTGTAAAGAGAAAAGGTAAGGAATCCACTTCATCACTTTTTGAAAGGTGGAAACCTGTTTTCAAACTTAGATTGTTCAATAACTTTTGCAAGAACAGAGGTAGCCCAAAACCAACTTCTATATAAGTTGTCTTGTCATAATTTGGGAAAAACAATTATTCAGTAACTATGTTATAGTTTGTGCGTGATATGGTTTGGTTGTGTCCCCACACAAACCTCATCTTGAGTTGTAGTTCCCATAATCCCCACGTGTCGTGGGAGGGACCCAATGGGGAGGTAATTGAATCCTGCCCCCATGCTGTTGTTCTCATGATAGTGAGTGAGTTCTCATGAGATCCAATTGTTTTATAAGGGGCTTTTCTCCCTTTTTCTTGGCATTTCTCCTTCCTGCCATCATGTGAGAAAGGATGTGTTTACTTCCCCTTTTGCCATGATTGTAAGTTTCCTGAAGCCTCCCCAGACATGGCCAACAGTGAGTCAATTAGACCTCTTTCCTTTATAAATTACTCAATCTCAGGCAGTCCTTTATAGCAGCATGACAATGGACTAACACAGTAAATTGGTACCAGGTAGTGAGGCGCTGCAGTAAAGATTCCAAAAAATGCGAAAGTGACTTTGGAACTGGGTAACAGGCAGAGGTTGGAACAGTTTGGAGGACTCAGAAGAAGACAGGGAGATGTGGGAAAGTTTGGAACTTCCTAAAGACTTATTGAATAGTTTGACCAAAATGCTGACGGTGATATGGACAATTAAGTCCAGGCTGAGGTGGTCTCAGATGGAGATGAGGAACTTGTTGGGAACTGGAATAAAGATGACTCTTATAGGAAATACACTGGTGGCAATTTGCCACTGCCCTAGAGATTTGTGAAACTTTGAACTTAATAGGAATGATTTAGGGTATCTGGAGGAAGGAATTTCTAAGCAGCAAAGCATACAAAATGTGATTTGTGTGCTACTAAAAGCATTCAGTTTTATTTATTCACAAAGATATTGTCTGGAATTGGAACTCATGTTTAAAAGGCAGCCTGACAATGTGATAGAAAAGAAAAACCCATTTTCTGAGAAGAAACTCAAGCTGGCTGCAGAAATTTGCATAAGTAATGAGCAGCCAAATGTTGACCCCCAAGAAAATGAGAAAAATGTCTCTAGGGCATGTCAGAGGTCTTCATGGCAGCCCCTCCCATCACAGGGTCAGAGGCCTAGGAGGAAAAAAATGGTTTCATAAGCTGGGCCAGGGCCTTGCTGCTTTGTGCAGTCTTGGGACTTGGTGCCCTGCATTCCAGCTATGGCTAAAAGGGGCCAAGGTGCAGCTCAGGCCATGGCTTTAGAGGGTGCAAGACCCAAGTCTTGGCAGCATCCACATGGTGTTGGGCCTGTGGGTGCACAGAAGCCAAGAATTGAGGTTTGGGAACCTCTTCCTAGATTTCAGAGGATGTATGGAAATGCCTGGATATCCAGGCAAAAGTCTGCTTCAGGGTTGATGCCCTTGTGGAGAGCCTCTGCTATGGCAGTGCAGAAGGGAAATGTGGGTTCGATCCCCCACTCAGAGTCCCCACTGGGGCACTGCCTAGTGGAGCTGTGAGAAGAGAGCCACCATCCTCCAGACCCCAGAATGGTATATCCACCAACAGCTTGCACCGTGCACCCGGTGCACACACTCAATGCCAGCCCATGAAGGAAGCTGGCGGGTGAGGGGGGGGGGGCGTTGTACCCTGCAAAGCCACAGGGGCAGAGCTGCCCAAGGCCATGGGAGCCCACCTCTTGCATCAGCATGACTTGAATGTAAGACATGGAGTCAAAGGAGATCATTATGGAACTTTAAGGTTTAATGACGGCCCTATTGGATTTCGGACTTGCATGGGGCCTTTAACCTCTTTGTTTTAGCCAATTTCTCTCATTTGAAATAGGTGTATTTACTCTATGCCTGTACCCCCAACTGTATCTAGGAAATAATTAACTTGCTTTTGATTTTACAGGCTCACAGGTGGAAGGGATTTGCCCTGTCTCAGATGACACTTTGGACTAGGACTTTTGGGTTAATGCTGGAATGAGTGAAGACTTTGGGAGACTGTTGAAAAGGCATGGTTGTGTTTTGAAATGTGAGTACATGAGATTGGGGGAGGGGCAAGGTCTGAATGATATGGTTTGGCTATGTCCACACACAAATCTCATCTTGAATTGTAGTTCTCATAATCCCCACGTGTCATGGGAGGGTCCTGGTGGGGAGGTACTTGAATCATGGGGGTGGTTACCCTTATGCTGCTCTTCTCATGACAGTGAGTGAGCTCTCATGAGGTCTGATGGTTTTATAAGGGGCTTTTCCCCCTTTTTCTCGGCCAACATGTGAAGAAAGATGTGTTTGCTTCCCCTTTCACTATGATTGTAAATTTCCCAAGGCCTCATCAGCCCTGTGGAAATGTGAGTCAATTAAACCTCTTTCCTTTATACATTACCCAGTCTCAGGCAGTCCTTTATAATAATGAGACAACGAATTAGTACAGTGTGGTTTTATATGTTTAATTTTATTATAATTTTAAAAAGTAAAGCAACCTATAGTAAAGTCTTTGTAGTAGTTTAGATAGTTGAAACTGCTACGGTGTACTGGTTTCAGAAAACAACAAATTCCAAATTAATGAAGTCATTAGGCTGACAGAAGGGAAAATGACGTAACAGGGAGTAAAGAAGTTGTTAGTATAAGGTGAATATGGATGGTAGTTTAGTCAACTATTTCATTATGAACCAAGTTTGGGAAAATGATAGGGTAAGAGTTTAAATAACATGATGTATTGGACTTGCTTTAAAGTACTCTAGAAAAAAAAAATAGAAGGATGGTGGACACATAAAACAAAATTGACAAAACATGTTGATAATTGTTGAGACCAGGTGATGAATACATGGGAATGCTCTACACTATTCTCTTTACCTATGTGAATGTTACTGGTAAAGGGTCCCGATCCACATACCAAGAGAGAGTAATTGGATCTTGCGCAAGAAAGACTTTGAGGCAAGTCCATAGAGTAAAAGTGAAAGCAAGTTTATTATAGAAGTAAAGGAATAAAAAATGGCTATTTAATAGGCAGAGCAGCAGCATGGGCCACTCAGCTGCTTATACTTGTTACTTTTTGATTATATGCCAAACAAAGGGTGGACTATTCATGAGTTTTCTGGGATAGGGGTGGGCAATTCCTGGAAGTGAGGGTTCCACCCCTTTTTAGACCATATATGATAACTTCCTGATGTTGCCATGGAATTTCTTAACTGTCGTGGCACTGGTGGAAGTGTGTTTTAGGATGCTAATGCATTATAATTAGTGTATAATGAGCAGTGAGGATGACCAAAGGTCACTTTTGTCACCATCTTGGTATTCCTGGGTTTTGGATGACTTCTTTACCATGGTCTATTTAATCAGCAAGGTCTTTATGACCTATATCTTATGCCAACCTCTTATCTCATCCAGACTTAGAAAGCCTAACCTCCTGGGGATGAAGCCCAGTAGGTCTCAGCCTCATTTTACCCAGCCCCTATTCAAGATGAAGTTGCTCTTGTTCAAACACTTCTGTCATGAATGCTTGAAAATTTTCATAATTTAAAGTTTTAAGCAAAAAAAAAATACTTTAAAATACGTGGTATAAGCAGCTCTAACCTTTCTTCTCACCTGTTTTCTATTCTGCAATAAGAAACAGAAAAGGCTGAGAGACAGCATTGTGTAGGGAAAGATGGATTGTGTTTCATACCAGAGCAGAAGCTGGATTTTAAATGGGCCAGCCATTAGCTTTATGGCCTCTTAGGAATCTCTGAGATTATTTTTTCATTTGTTAAATGGGGATGGGTATTTGTACATCATAGGGCTGCTCTAAGGATTAAATAGAAGATTTGTGAAAGTGGGACTAGTATATAAGTGCTGCGTAAATGCTCCTTTACTTTACCTTGAAGTGAAGTTGTCTGATTTAGTCAAAAATTTAAAATAATTAAAAATCCATGGAAAAGCAAAACAAAATACTTGGTTTAATTTGAGTTTCAGGTAAATTATTTAATTTTTAGTACAAGTTTGTCCCCTATAATATTTGGGGCAGAAGGAGGGCAAATTTATCTGGAAATCAAATATAACTGGCTGTTCTGTATTTTATCTGGCAACCTTACTTCAAAGGGTTACTTTGGTAAGTAAAGTAGTCTAGCAAAGCCTTGCAATAAGAAGCATAATACAGTTCCAAATTAGGATTAATACTTAATTGAAAATTTGGCATTGAAAGAACAGGAAGATACTAATGAGGGAGATTTCAGCAGAGATAACAAACCCAGAAGTATGCTCAATTCCAAATCTCTAAAGAATAAATACTGCTTGCAGTTATCTATGAATAAAGGGCAGGATCAAAAGGAAGGAACATTTGGAAACCTGGGCCCCCAAAGAGGCGACAACACAAGAGGTTTCTGATGTGAATGGAAAGGAAACTTGTATTTAAATTAAATGCAGTCTCTGTCTCTGTCTGTCTCTCTGATTGTCATTCTCTCTCTTTCTGTCTTATCTCTCTCTCTCTCTCTCAATGTATATATATATATACACACACACACATATTTCTGTTCTTTCTAGTGTTTACTTGCACATTGTTTAATATTTTACTTGATTTTCTACAACCATTCTGCTGAAAATATGTCAATTAATGTTCTTAATATTCTGTTGGAATTTTAACAGTAATTTATTTTTTAAAAAATCACAGCCTAAGAACTGTAAAATGGTTGTAACTGAAATTCTTAGTAGGTGTATGCAATGTCCAAAAATGTCTTGTATTCAAGGTCCTGCATAGGAAATAAAGGAATATCAGTCTCAAGTGAAGCTAATAGACTATTTCTTCACTCTTTGTGTAGTATAGCAGTTTCTCATGGAATCATACTTAAACAATTCAACTCTACCTATAGCAAATCAAAGCTGTACATACATTAATTTTTAAAAAGCAAATGAACCTGAAGCTTTCCTAAAACAAGAAATTCACTTGAAGTTCCATACTCATTCATAAGCTGATTTATAAATAAAATACACACAATTATAAGCTGATAGACAAATTTCAAATCCCCATTTACTCACTGAGTCTCTGTTCTCAAGCTCTGTTGTTTGAAGTTTTAGTTTTCCTGTATACAGATGTAAATTTGCTATTGTTCTGCATGTTTTATACAATATTTAGATGTTTCTTCCTAGATGCTTTATGTTTCATATGTATGCTTTGTTCCTCTAAAAGTACACTCTGTGAAGGAACATATATTTTCTTCCTTTTATAGCACTTCAGAAGCATTTAGTAGAATATTGTACAAAACATTCACAAGAATGACCACAAACTGGCTTAGAAATATTGAACCATGTAATATTTTTTCTCTTAAGTTGTCAGATAATATCTAGCACAAAGAGGAAGACTCTTTAAATCCGACCAGGCATAGAGAGAGGAAAAGGAGGTGTGTAAGGTGCAAATTTAAGAAGACCCTGATTCTGAGAGCAAGCACTTTCTTCACTTTTGTATGCAAGTTGCCTCACTTGCCTCACCCTAGTCTAGGCTTTGTCTTTAAAAGTGGTGACATGTCTCCAACAGCACTTGTGTGTTTAAAATGACACTGTTTTGCAGGAAGGAAATAGACGTCCTTTTAACACTTTAAGCAGAATGCATCAAATAACTATTCTTGAATAAGCTATAGTATTCTCCAGCAGGTGTAACAGTCATTGCTTAATAACTGCTCACCTTTGCCATCTGCTTTTAGCTTCTTGATGTATGACATTTTCCTGATTACCACTTGGTTGTGCGACTCGTGCTTTAAGCCATGTTATCCTTTATGTATTCTTGCTGCTCTTCTGGGACCAAGAGTAAGCTGGAAGAGAGTCTTTGCATTCTTCAGACATTGTATTTGGATATATTTTGAGCATTTTATCTTTTCTCAGATTTTCTCTTCATAGTCATTATCTTTCCCTCCCTCCCTCCCGCCCTCCCTCTCTCTCTCTCTCTTTCTCTTTCTTTCTTCCTTTCTTCCTTTCTTTCTTTCCTTCCTTCCTTCCTTCCTTCCTTCCTTCCTTCCTTCCTTCCTTCCTTTCTTTCTTCCTTTCTTTCTTTCTTTTTTGACGAAGTCTTGCCCTGTCACCAGGGCTGTAGTGCAGTGGTGCAATCTCAGCTCATTGCAACTTCTTCTTCCCGGGTTCAAGCAATTCTCCTGCCTCAGCCTCCTGAGTAGCTGGGATTGTAGGTGTGCACCACTACACTCGACTAATTTTTTTTTTTTTTGGTATTTTTACTAGAGACGGGGTCTCACCATGTTGGCCAGGCTGGTCTCAAACTCCTGGCATCAAGTGATCCCCCCGCCTTGGACTCCCAAATTGCTGGGATTACAGGCTTGAGCCACTGCTCCCAGCCACTCATTATGTTACATATCCAAAACTAAAACATTTAATAATATTTATTCACAAATGCTAAAGTGAAGATAATAATGCAATAATAATTAGCATGTTATTAAACCCTCAATATTAATTCACAAAATATTAATGCACAAAATTCATTTTTCTAAGCACAGATGGAAAGAAGGTTATAACATGCTTCTTTCTTAATGCTCTCTTTATGCAATAGAGAATTGCTCAGGAAAATAATAAAACTAATTGTTGCAAAGTGTGACTGAAACTGTGATCTTACTATTATCACGATAAAAAATGCAAGCTGTCATGATGGCATTATGTC
Organism: Homo sapiens; assembly: GCF_000001405.40. Classification (NCBI taxonomy): domain Eukaryota; kingdom Metazoa; phylum Chordata; class Mammalia; order Primates; family Hominidae; genus Homo; species Homo sapiens. Next base: position 126,789,456 of record NC_000023.11, read on the forward strand.
ATATTTTTATATAACAAAATAATATTGGAGTTATATTATTTATATGTGATGATTTTAAAAATAGTGCAAGGCAGCCAAAGAAGAGTGTACACTTCTTTTGTAGGAATAGTGTAGAGGTAAAGCAACATATTCATCATATTATATCATATGTGAGGGCATATACTATCAATATGACTGTTTCCTATTGATTTTTACCTTGATCTCTGGGCTGAAGTGAAGATTTCTCCACTGTAAAGTACACTTTCCCCTCCTTTCTACACTTTAGTCTTCAGAAGGAAGTTACTATGCTCAACTCACACACAAAAAATGAGAAGTTTTGCTACCCACCTCAGGGTAGAATAGCTGTGTAAATTATGTGGAATTTGTGTGCAAGGAAGATTTGTCTTTAGTCCTATCTTATTTGTTTATATAACCTTTTATTTATATCATTATAAACTCATTGATATTTAATTTACACTTTGGATTATAATTCAATACTATTTTTATTAATTTGTACAAATTGTTCCAACTTTGGCATTGGCAACTGTTTTTCTTGAGTATTGTGTCCCTTTGGCATGACTATATTATAATGTGCTTTCCTTTTTTTGTTTTTTTCTTCTTTCTGGCACTTTTTTTTTTCTGGCAGGTGCTACAGTCTCATCTTGTGTTTTCCTGTCTGTCTTGACTCAGCAAGAGAATAACTCCAAGGAACCCTGGTTGCTTCACTGGAGAATGATACTAGAAAGCAAGAGCTGGACACTACGTTTGCTCATTGCTGTGGGGTGTTGTTTCTTCTTCCCCAGCTTGGCTGACAAAGGAAGGATAGATGTGTGCATAATAACCCTTGCAGATATCTAAATATTTCTATATGTAACAATCAGTATTTCTATTAAGCTAAAAATAAGTTCATAGTGTTGCCCATCTAACTCATTATTCTAGTCTCCTCCCCTTGCTTAACTGTAAACTCCCCCTCCAACAGTGACAAACCTGACTCTCATCATATGTCATCTATTTACTGAATTGTCCAATTCTGATATACATGTGTGAAAATATTACAATTGTTAACCCATATGACCATGGTAAAGAACTTTATCAACTAAAGCATAATGCTTCTGTGCAGTTCCTTTTGTCTTTAGTCTTACAAACTCCATTCACTGCCAAAGTTACTTAGGTCTGCTACTTATTCCCCCACCTTCTTCAGTGAGATTGTTTCATACATTTTTTAATATAGTTAGATGGTCTTGTTACATTCTGCAGTCCATCCTGTGATTCCCCTGACCTCATAAATGATGTCTTCAAATTTGCATTATTTGAGACGAATTTCTTGTGCTATAACATTCACTGGATTTTGAAAAAAAAGAATAGTGTCATGTATCCACAATTACAGTATCATGTCTATTAGATTTTGGGTGCTAAACAATTCCCTGTGCTTTATTCCACTCTCTTCATCGCCTTGCAATCCTCTGGTAACTACTTATTTGTTTACTGTCTCTATAGTTTTGCCTTTTATACAATATCATATATTTATAGCCTTCTCAGACTAGTTTCTTTAATTTACAAATATGCATTTAGGGTTCATCCATGTCTTTTTATGGCATAATAGCTAATTTCTCTTTTTTTGCTGTATAATATTTCAATGTATGTATATACCATAGTTTGTCCATTCACCTATTGCATGACATTTTGGCTGCTTCTAGTTTGGATGGTTATGAATAAAGCTGCTATAAACATGCACTTGCAAATTTTTATGTGGACATCAATTTTCAAGTCATTTGTGTAAATAACTAGGAACGTAATTGCTGGATCATATGCTAGGACTATGTTCAGCTTTATAAGAAACTTCAAACTGTCTTCCAGAGTGACTATACCATTTTGTATTCCCACCAGTCATGAATGAAAATTTCTGTTGTTTCACATCCTTGCCAGCTTTTGGAGTTTTTGTTGTTGTTTAGGTGTTTAGCCATTTTAATAGAAGTGTAGTGGTATTATATTGTTGTTAGATTTTGAAGTTATCTAATGAGAAGTTATACTCAGCATCTTCTATATTTATTTGCCATCTGTATATCTTCTCTGGTGAGGGGTCTGTTGAGATCTCGTGTCTATTTACTAACTGGACTGTTTATTTTCTTATGTTTGAGTTGTAAGGATTTTTGTGTGGAGTTAAAAATATGCCATTCTGGAACATTGACTATTATTTAAGTTAAAGGCACTTGAAAAACAGCAGGTGTAAAAAAGATTACTTTCTCCTTTGTGTTGTTTCCTAAAAACAGAAGATGAAATTCTTATGTGAAAGACATCCCCTCCATACCAAAAGTAATAATATCATTATCTTTGAGGACAAGGAATTTAGACCAAAATAATTTTACGCAGGCCTCTTTAAAATAACTCTTATCTTTTAACCATACTTACATAATTTAGTTTCTTCTTCACAACTTTCTATTCTTTTTCCAAATCAGGATATAAGTAACTAACTCTAACTGCTTCTTTAGGTCAATTTGGAAGATCTACAGATGTCCTTATGAGGGCTCCTCTGCCACCTACAGTTTGTGTTAAATAAACTTGTATGTTTTTTCTTCTGTTACTCTATGTTACGTCAACTTAATTCTCAGACTCAACCTGGAACCTAAGAGGATGGCAGTGGAGTTTTACTGCCCCTACAGTTTCTGCCAATGAAGATGGGATTCTTAAAGGCTGTGATGCCCTACTCCCTCTGAACCCTGCAAATGGGATCCTACAAGACCCGACGAAAGCCAGCAGAAAGTAGAAATTCTTGTGGAAGTCCACTCTCCTGCAGGTCTGTATGCAGTGTCTCATTGAGAAAAGAAGGTAAATAATTTTTCTTGACATTTGCTTCCAAATTTAGATTGGCAGGAGTAAAACATTTATCAGATTTAGTTATTTGAATTATGACTCTTATGAATTTGGTTACTGATCCACAGTGTCCCATAAATATTCCTGTCTTCCTTATCTCTATTTTTCATGTGGTTTGGCATAAGGAAGAAAATTATAATAAGATTCCTCTTTCATTTTATTTTATGTCTTAGGAGCTGTGTTTTGTGACCAGTGAGGAGATTGTTTCTGGTGTCCATCGGCAAGGGACTTCAAGTTGTAAGATTTGCATCAGCTGACTAGCCGGCTGGATAGAAATCCAAAACACAAAATGTCTCTTGTTCTGATTGTTCCAACTTTCAAGGAAGTTTATCTTAATTGCCCCAATCTTCATTGCCTTGTTAGCAATTAGGATTTTTACTTTCTTAGGCTAACTTTGGAAGAATCTATAGATCTTCAGGGAGACTGTGTCTTTAGGACCCTCTTTAGGCACGCTTCGTGCATCCATGGTTAAGCCACAAAAGACTTATTAGTTTTAAGCCATAAAAATGACGTATTGGTTTTGAGTCACAACTGAAGTAGGTAAACCTCTGAAAATTTGGACTTTTGTATCTAAAAGTATTTTTTAAAGAGCTTTCATCCTAAGCAACTGTCTTATTGGTCGTATGAGAATATTTAACCTTAAAAAAAGAAAATAAGCACTTATAAAAATTAAGTGTTATTTCAGAAAAATCAAAACTAATTTAAATGTTACTCAAGTTATTCAAATGATCTAGGAAAATCATTGGTAAATAAAAAGCAAGTTTAAGTTTGTTGGTTTAGTTAAAGTAGGCATATCTTCAGAGTTGTAATTATTATCTATACTGTGGACATACAACTTGTTCTACCTGGGTTTACTAATCAAAAACCTTATGTATGTTTAAGTTTATAAAATTATAAGTTCAACCTAAGAACAAAATGTACAATAAAAATAAATTACTTGGTGTGTTAAACATGATGATGGAAAGTTAAGAGTTATTTTAACAGGGTCTATATAGAATTCTTTTGGTCTCAACTTCTTGAAGATAATGATGTTATTTCTTTTGGTATAGGAAGGGTGTTTTTCACAAGATAATTTCATCTGTTTTTAGGAACAGCATTAAGGTAAGAGTGATCTTTTTGCATCTACTGTTTTTCAAGTGCCTTTAACTTAAATAGTCAATAGGCCCAATGGTATAGTTTTAACTCCTTCAATTGTGTGTTTTTGATGCAAGCTCTTTACCAGACATGTTTTCCAAATGTGGTAATGCTGGCCTCATAGAATGAGTTAGAAAATATCTCCTCTGCTTCTATTTACTTGAAGAAGTCGTGGAGAATTTATGTATCTCTTTCGTGATACTTGGTAGAATTTCTCAGTGAAACCATCTGAACTAAGACTTTCCTCTTTGAAATTTATAAATAATTGATTGAACTTTTAAAAATAGATATGTACCTGTTTAAATTATTTGTTTTTTCCTTGTGCGTGTTGCCAGTTTATTTATTTCAAGGAATAGGTTAATTTCATCATATCATAAAATTTGTGGGCACAGAGTTGTTCATAGAACTTTTTGTTATAATTTTAAGGTCCTTTCATCAGTAGTAATGACTCTGCTTTTTGATACTAGTATTTGTAACTTCTCTTTTTCTCTCTCTTTCTCTCTCTCACTCTCTTTCTCTCTCTCATTTCTCCTGGTTAGGCAGGCTACTGGCTTATCAACTGTATTGATATTTCCAAAAGACTAGCATTTGGTTTTCTTGATTTCTTACATCATTTTCCTGCTTTCAATTTCATTGATTTCTACTCTAATTTTTATTAAATTTTTTCTTCTGGTTACTTTAGTCCTAAGTTGCTCTTATTTCTCTTGTTTCCTAAGGTGGAAGCTAAGGTTATTGATCTCAGATCTTTCTTATTTTCTAATACATGTATTCAATGCTATAAATTTATCTCTAAACATTGTTATTACTATATTCCACATGTTTTGATAAATTTTATTTTGATTTAATTCAGATAGTTTTAATTTCTTTTGAGAAATATTTGACCCATGTGTTATTTAATTAATTACTTTTCTTGAAATAATTAATGTGTTACATAATTTCCAAGTATTTGGCAATATTCCTTTTGTCTTTCTGTAATTGATTAATAGTTTAATTCAATTGTGTTTTGAGAACTTTGTATGATTTCTATTTTTTTAAATTTCATAATGTGAACATTATGGCCAAATATGTGATCTGTCATGGTGAATGTTCAGTGTGAGCTGGAAAAGAATATGTATTTTGCCATTGTTGGATGGAGTATTCTATAAATATCGCTAAGATCAAGTTCACTGATAGTGGTGTTCTAGTCAAACGTGTTTACTTATGTTCTGCCTGCTTGATTTATCAGTAACTGAATTAATGTTGTTGAAGTCCCTAAGTATAATAATGGATTTGTCTATTTTTTTTTTCTTACAGTTCTACTAGATTTTTCTTCACATATTTTCATGCTCTCTTGTTAGGTGCAGACATGTTAAAGATTGTTATGTTTCAGCAAATTGACATTTTATTATTATGTATTTTTTTCTTTATCTCTGGTAATTTTCTTCTTTCTAATGTCTTCTTTGTCCAAAATGAATATAAGTAGACCTACTTTCTTTGTATTATTGTTAGTGTTACACGTGGTATCGGTCATACTTCCTCCTCATCCGGCAGCAGTTTCAGGACTTCTAAAACAAATGCATACACATATGTACATACACAAGCTTGGTACAACAGTCTTTCATACACATTTGTAAATAATAACCCAAACTAAAAGCAATTTAAAAGTCTAACAGCAAGAGACTGGATAAACAAACAGTGCTACTTTCATAAAATGGAGTACTATTCAGCAATAAAAAGGAATGAATAACTGAAATAGCACCAACTACATTGGTTCTGCTTCCTGTAAATAATCATCCATTTTCATGAATTGGCAGCTTCATGAGGGTAGGGAGTTTGTCAGACTTCTCCACCATCCAGTCTCAGGAAAAATGACAGGTTCATACCCTGTCTTCAATAAACATTTGATGAATAAACAAATGTGGAAAAACACCCATGTTAGTATGCCTCCAATCAAGAAATCATCTTGAGCATAGCACTTTAATTCTCATAACTGTGGAAACATTTATGAATTACTAAGAAATACGCTCCCTTTGACAATATTACTATTTCTATGCCAACTGTGAGAATGCCCTACATTCTATTATTCATATTCATATAAACAACAGAATAAACATTTTTTGAATTTGCCCTGTAACCACTATTAGTTTTTTGTCTTCCTCAAAATTTTTAGACAAATTAAGTATCTGCCATTTTTTCTCTTCTGAGCAGGCTCTGTTTTTCTCTGCACTTTTTCTTACCATATTCACTTCCTGTCTTCTAGGTCCTACCTGATTCACACATACCAAAGAGAAAACAGTAGGTACATATTTAGAACAGGATTGGTACAAAGCAGGAGCTTTTACACTGACTACCACTTTCAACATCAGCAGCTCATTTCCTTCTCTCTCACTTGTTCTTAAAGTAATGTGTGATATTTAAAAGGTCAGTAGCCCGGTTTTTAAAATAACTTCCAATAGTTTGTTTGTGTGTGGTGTTGGTGGTGAGGGTGGGAGGGGGCCAGCAATTTCCAAGACTTAGGTTAAAAATAAATTTTCATCAGAAATGACAATAACAGTTTATTCCTTGATTTGGAAGCATGTAAGTTATTTATCCGCACACCTTGCAACTCTCAAGACTTCCGTTATATTACTAGTCACGGTATAACATACATTATTTTACATTCTCCAAAGGAAAAAATCTTAGGATGCTTATTGTTTAGTTCTATAATAATCTTGGAAAGATCTCTTTTAATATGTTTAGCTTTCTACACACCAGGTGTTTGTATATTTTTTTCATATCACTGCTTCCAGGTTCTAAAGTTTAGATATAACATGTATATAAAGTGTTTTTGGACATCTACCAAAAATTCAAACAATGAGATAGTACTCAAGATAATATTTTGATATTTGAAAGATATATGGACTATGTTTATGCCTGTATTCATGCAAATATTAAGCTTACAGGAGTGAAATATGATGGCACATTTGCTTAATAAGTTATCTGTGTCCCTTTAAGTTTCAAAGACTCTATAGCATCAATTTTCTTTTTATTGTAATTTCTTGAGTATTGTAGCGGTGTATTCCAATATGTTGTCAAGTAATGGCCTTGAAATACATTTTTAGTTAAACTACATTACACTATCATGAATCTTGAAGTTAATTTGTACTGAAATATTGTTAAAACAAAAAGGGAAATAGCATCTCCTGTGAATTCACCTAAGCCATTGGAAGAAAAATGAGTAAGCAGATCTATTGCTTCTTAGTTTGGGTTTAGAAGGTAGTAGAATCTAAAATGTAGCCTTTGATCAAATAATACACTGTGTGAGATAATGAATATTGAGCACTTTATATTGGCTCTTCCAAACCCCTTTCCTGTGAGTGATCCAAAGCACAAGGCTCAACAAACATAATTAGATTTTGCTGTGTAAAGTTATTATTTGTTTAAATGTTGTAATCCTCTTACTAAATATAAGTTGAAATTTAATTTGGTGGCAAGCAGTAAATATTGAAAACCAGTCTGAGCTTTCATCAAATCCAGCTGGTATGGACCCTCCTTTGATAAATTTTATATTTGCATAACTAAAAATTTATTTTCCTATTGTTTCCTTAAGTCCAGTGAAATCAAGGTGGAAATTTCCCATAAATACAAGGGTTATGGGACAGAAAATAAAAATTGTTGTTGTTATAATCTTATGGAAACTTCATGGTTGTGCAATGCCATGCACAGTAAACACAGCGAAGCAGTATATTTCTAACTGGATAGCCAGAGAGCCTTAAGAAAGTCCTCTTTCAGGACCTTTCTTAACAAAGCTGAAGGAATCCAGATATAGTAATAAGGGTGATTTTTTTCCCCATTACAAAAATAAAGTGTGATAAATTTTGCAAAAACAGGAATTACAGCTTTCATTTACTCTAATATTAAGGATCGTTGTGAGGAAAATTTAAAGCAAATTGCAAATAAGTATCATCATTAAATAGAGAAAAGACATTCATTCCTTTTCTGGAGCAATTGGCAAAGCATCCAATAGCTCAGGAAAGAGCTCAGCTCCAGCAATCCAACAACTGGGCATAAGTAAGGCTATCTGAAGCTCTCTAGACAGTGCTTGAATCTTAGCAGATGACCATCAGTGCAAAATAATCTGGCTAGATAAAAATATATAAAAGAGAGAAAAAATCCAAACAACAATAAAAATACCCATAGGGTATGAAAATGAGGTGGCCACACAAAGTTAAAAACAGAGGCAAAGGCTAACTTCAAAGCCATGCTTTCTTGAAAATTCTCTATACAATGCTAGTCAAAGGCTACAGGTGAAAACAAAAGCCCATGACTATTATCTGAATTAATTATATTGGAAAATCTATCTCTCCTTAAATTGTAAGAACCTGAGTCAAATTTTGAGCTTGTTTTAGCCACAAATTATCTGGTTATTACTTTAGGTCACTGTATTAATCTGTTCTCACACTGCTAATAAAGACATACCCAAGACTGGGTAATTTATAAAGGAAAGAGGTTTAATGGACTCACATTTCTGCATGGTTGGGGAGGCCTCAGGAAACTTGCAGTCATGGCAGAAGGGGAAGCAAACACATCCTTATTCACATGGCAGCAAGAAAGAGAAGTGCAGAGCAAAGAAGGGAAAAGCCCCTTATAAAACCATCAGATCTTGTGAGAACTCACTATCATAAGAACAGCATGGGGGAACTGCCTTCATGATCCAATCACCTCCCACCAGGTCCTTCCTGCAATATGTGGGGATTACAATTTGGATTACAATTCAGAATGAGATTTGGGTGGGGACACAGAGTCAGACCATATCAGTCACTAATATAACATATTTTTATTTTAAAATTATGCTATTTTTCTAAAATAATATATGCTCACCGTAAAAATAAATCAATCCATATAGAAAGATACAAGAACAAAAATAAAAATTCCCTGAAATTCTATATTGAATACTGTTTTTATTTTAATTTAAAAGTTTGTGTGTAGCAGAGGCAGAGCAAGATGACGGAACAGAAAGTTCTACCAATCCTGCCCTGTAGGAAGGACACTAAGTTTAAAAATATCTACACAGAAAACAACAACAACAAAAACAAAACAAAAACAGCTTCATAAGAAAAAATATCAGGTGAGCACTTACAGTTCCTGGTTTTAACTTCATATTGCTGAAAGAGGCACTGAAGAGAAAGAAAACAGGCCTGAATCACAGAGGCCACCCATCCCCCTCCCCTGGCAGCAGAGCCCTAGTATGTAGAAAATCTCTGGGTGCTGGGTGAAGAAGAACACAGCAATTGTGAGGCACTGAACTCAGTTTTGTCCTGTAAGAGCAGAAAGGAAAACCCAACCGAATGGAGCTGACACCCTCACACTGAGGGAGCTTTTAAAGGATCCCTAGCCAGAAGAGAATCACCAATTCCAGGAACTTAAGTTCCTGCAAATTTCACCACCAAGGGCTATAGTGCTCCAGATCTCTAAATGAACTTGAAAGGCAGTCTAGGCTATAATGACTGCAACATTTATATAAGTTCTAGTGCTGAAATAGGCCCAGAGACAGTGGACAGGGGTTATGAAACATACTGAGACACCAGCTGGGGCAGCCAGGGAAGTGCTAACATCAACCCTCCCCTAACACCAGGTGGCATAGCTCATGGCTCCAAAAGATATCCCCTCCATCTGCTTGAGGAAAGGAGAAGAAAGAGTGGGGAGGATTTTGTCTCACATCTTGAATACCAGTTCAGTCACAGCAGAACAGGGCACCAGTCAGAGTTGTGAGGCCCTGGTTCTAGGCCACAGTGCCTAGATGACATTCCTAAACACAACCTGGGCCAGAAGGTGACTCACTGCCTTGAAGAAAATTACTCAATCCTGATAGCATTCATCATCTGCTAACTGAAGAGCCCTTGGGCCCTGAGTAATCTGTGCAATACTCAGATCTACATTGAGAACCCTGGGTGAGACTCTGAGACTTGCTGGCTTCAGGTGAGACTCAGAAAATTATCAGTTGTGGTGGCTACAGGACAAAACTTCTGTTTGAGAGAAGCAGGGGGAAAAGTAAATACGACATTGTCTTGCACATCAGGTACCAGCAAAGCCACAGAGGGGTAAAGCGCCAAGAGGGCTTTGGGGGTTCCTGTTTCCAGGACTTCACACTTGGATGAGATGTCTGGACCTGCCCTGGGCCAGAGGGGAGCCCACTGCCCTGAAGAGTGAATCCTGGGCCAAGCAGCATTCACAACAAGGTGACACAAGAGACTTTGGGCCTTAAGGGAACATTGGTGGTAGTCTGGCAAGAGAAGAAGTGCATCTTGGGGTTTGAGTGCCAGCTCAGCCACAATACAATAGAAAACCAGGTAGAGTTATAAGGTTTTTGTTCTAGCCCCTGACTCCTGATTAGCACTTCTGGACCCACCCAAAGCCTGAGAGACCTTGCTGCCCTGAAGGGAAGGGCATAGGCCTAGCTGGCTTTGCCACCTGATTATTGTAGAGCCCCAGGACCTTGACCAAACATAGGCAGTAGACAGGAAGTAGTTTAGCCTGACTAAGAAAAAAATAGAAAAAAATTCAAATAACTAAATCAGAAATGCAAAAAGAGACATAATAATTACAACTGATACTGTAGAAATTCAAAGGATCATTAGAGACTACTATGAGCAACTATATACCAATAAATTGAAAAATCTTGAAAAAAATTAATTCCTAGATACATACAACCTATCAGAATTTAACTGTAAAGAAATCCAAAATCTGAACTGACCAATGACAAGTAATTAAATGGAAGTCATAATAAACAGTCTCCCACTTAAGAAAAGTCTGGGACCCTATGGCTTCACTACTGAATTCTACCAAACATATAAAGAAGAACTAATACCAATCCTACTTAAACTATTCCTAGAAATAGAGGAGGAGGGAATACTTTCCAACTCACTCTATGAGGCCAGTATTATCCTGAAAACAAAGCCAGACAAACACACATTTAAAAAAAAAGAGTCTACAGCCCAATATATCTGATAAATATTGAGGCAAAAATCTTCAACAAAATTTCAGTGAACCAAATTTAACAATACATTAGAACGATCATTCATCATGACCAAGTGGAGTTTATCCCTGTGATGCAAGGATGGTTCGACATACACAAATCAATCAGTGAAAAACATCATATCAACAAAATGAAGGACAAAAACAATATGATAATTTTAATTGATGCTGAAAATTCATTTGATAAAATTAAGCATTCATGCCTGATAAAAACCCTTAAAAAATGGCATATAGAAAGAACATACCTAAACACGATACAAACCATATACAATACACCTACAGCTAGTAGTGTCATGCTAATTGGGGAAAAACTGAAATATTTTCCTCTAAGATAGGGAACATGACAAGAATGTTCACTGTCACCACTCATTCAACATAGTACTGGAAATCATAGCTGGATTATTCAGACAAGAGAAAGATAAAAATGTCAACCAAATTAGAAAGAAAGACATCAAATTATCTTTGTTTGCAGATGATGTGATTTTATATTTGAAAAAAACTAATGAATCCACAAAAACCTATAAGAACTGATAAAAAAATTGAGTAAAATTGCAAGATACAAAAACTACATACAAAAATCACTAGCATTTCTATATGCCAAAAGGAAATCGTGTGAAAAAGAAACAAAAAGGAATCCCATTTATAAATGCCACACATAAAACTAAATACCTAGGCATTAACTTAACCAAAAAAGTGAAAGGACTTGTATCACAAAAACTCTAAAATACTAATGAACGTAAGTAAAGAGGACAACAAAAAAATGAAAAACTATTTTATGTTCAGGGATTGAAAGAATCAGTATTGTTAAAATATCCACACTACTTAAAGCTATATACAGATTCAATGCACACTCTATCAAAATACTAATGACATTCTTCACATAAACAGAAAAAAAACAACCCTAAAGTCTATATAGAAGCATAAAGGACCCAGAATAGCCAAAGCTATTTTAAGCATAAAGAATACTGTAGCCCTGCAGTATAGTTTGAAGTCAGGTAGCATGATGCCTCCAGCTTTATTCTTTTGGCTTAGGATTGTCTTGGCAATGCGGGCTGTTTTGTGGTTCCATATGAGCTTTAAAGTAGTCTTTTCCAATTCTGTGAAGAAAGTCCTTGGTAGCTGGATGGGGATGGCACTGAATCTATAAATTACCTTGGGCAGTATGGCCATTTTCATAGTGATTCTTCCTATCCATGAGCATGGAATGTTCTTCCATTTGTTTGTGTCCTCTTTTATTTCGTTGACAAGTGGTTTGTAGCTCTCCTTGAAGAGGTCCTTCACATCCCTTGTAAGTTGGATTCCTAGGTATGTTATTCTCTTTGAAGCAATTGTGAATGGGAGTTCACTCATGATTTGGCTCTCTGTTTGTCTGTTACTGCTGTATAGGAATGCTTGTGATTTTTGCACATTGATTTTGTATCTTGAGACTTTGCTGAAGTTGCTTATCAGCTTAAGGAGATTTAGGGCTGAGACGATGGGGTTTTCTAGATATAAAATCATGTCATCTGCAAACAGGGACAATTTGACTTCCTCTTTTCCTAATTGAATACCCTTTATTTCTTTCTCCTGCCTGATTGCCCTGGCCAGAACTTCCAACACTATGTTGAATACGAGTGGTGAGAGAGGACATCCTTGTCTTGTGCCAGTTTTCAAAGGGAATGCTTCCAGTGTTTGCCCATTTAGTATGATATTGGCTGTGGGTTTGTCATAAATAGCTCTTATTATCTTGAGATGCGTCCCATTAATACCTAGTTTATTGAGAGTTTTTAGCATGAAGGGCTGTTGAATTTTGTCAAAGGCCTTTTCTGCATCTATTGAGATAATCATGTGGTTTTTGTCTTTGGTTCTGTTTATGTGATGGATTTTGTTTATTGATTTGCATATGTTGAACAAGCCTTGCATCCTAGGGATGAAGTCAACTTGATCGTGGTGGATAGGCTTTTTGATGTGCTGCTGGATTCAGTTTGCCAGTATTTTATTGAGGATTTTTGCATCGATGTTCCTCAGGGATATTGGTCTAAAATACTCTTTTTTTTTTACTGTGTCTCTGCCAGGCTTTGGTATCAGGATGATGCTGGCCTCATAAAATGAGTTAGGGAGGATTTCCTCTTTTTGTATTGATTGGAATAGTTTCAGAAGGAATGGTACTAGCTCCTCTTTGAACCTCTGGTAGAATTCAGCTGTGATTCCATCTGGTCCTGGACTTTTTTTGGTTGGTAGGCTATTAATTATTGCCTCAACTTCAGAGCCTGTTATTGGCCTAATCAGGTATTCAACTTCTTCCAGGTTTAGTCTTGGGAGGGTGTATGTGTCCAGGAATTTATCCATTTCTTCTAGATTTTCTAGTTTATTTGCGTAGAGGTGTTTATAGTATTCTCTGATGGTAGTCTGTATTTCTGTGGGATTGATGGTGATATCCCCTTTATCATTTTTTATTGCTTCTATTTGATTATTCTCTCTTTTCTTCTTTATTAGTCTTGGTAGTGGTCTATCAACTTTGCAGATCTTTTCAAAAAACCAGCTCCTGGATTCATTGATATTTTGAAGGGTTTTTTTGTGTCTGTATCTCCTTCAGTTCTGCTCTGATCTTAGTTATTTCTTGCCTTCTGCTAGCTTTTGAATGTGTTTGCTCTTGCTTCTCTAGTTCTTTTAATTGTGATGTTAGGGTGTCAATTTTAGATCTTTCCTGATTTTTCTTGTGGGCATTTAGTGCTATAAATTTCCCTCTACACACTGCTTTACATGTGTCTCAGAGGTTCTGGTATGTTGTATCTTTGTTCTCATTGGTTTCAAAGACCATCATTATTTCTGCCTTCATTTCGTTATGTACCCAGTAGCCATTCAAGAGCAGGTTTTTCAGTTTCCATGTAGTTGAGCGGTTTTGAGTGAGTTTCTTAATCCTGAGTTCTAGTTTGATTGCAATTTGGCATGTTTTTGCAGTGGCTGGTACCGGTTGTTCTTTTCCATGTTTAGTGCTTCCTTCAAGAGCTCTTGTAAGGCAGGCCTGGTGGTAACAAAATCTCTCAGCATTTGCTTGTCTGTAAAGGATTTTATTTCTCCTTCACTTATGAAGCTTAGTTTGGCTGGATATGAAATTCTGGGTTGAAATTCTTTTAAGAATGCTGAATATTGGCACCCACTCTCTTCTGGCTTGTAGAATTTCTGCTGAGAGATCCGCTCTTATTCTGATGGGCTTCCCTTTGTGTGCAAGGTACTGGTACCAAAACAGAGATATAGACCAATGGAACAGAACAGAGCCCTCAGAAATAATACCACACATCTACAACCATCTGATCTTTGACAAACCTGACAAAAACAAGAAATGAGGAAAGGATTCCCTATTTAATAAATGGTGCTGGGAAATCTGGCTAGCCGTATGTAGAAAGCTGAAACTGGGCCATGTGCAGTGGCTCACGCCTGTAATCCCAGCACTTTGGGAGGCCAAGGTGGGTGGATCACGAGTTCAGGAGATCGAGACCATTCTGGCTAACACGGTGAAACCCCGTCTCCACGAAAAAATACAAAAAAATTAGCCAGGCACGGTGGCGGGTGCCTGTAGTCCCAGCTACTCAGGAGACTGAGTCAGGAGAAATGGCATGAGCCTGGGAGGCAGAGCCTGCAGTGAGCTGAGATCGCACCACTGCACTCCAGTCTGGGTGACAGAGCGAGACTCCGTCTCAAAAAAAAAAAAAAAAAAAAAAAAGAAAAAAAAGCTGAAACTGGATCCCTTCCTTACACCTTATACAAAAATTCATTCAAGAGGGATTAAAGACTTAAATGTTAGACCTAAAACCATAAAAACCCTTCAAGAAAACCTAGGCATTACCATTCAGGACATAGGCATGGGCAAGGACTTCATGACTAAAACACCAAAAGCAATGGCAACAAAAGCCAAAATTGACAAATGGGATCCAATTAAACTAAGGAGCTTCTGCACAGCAAAAGAAACTACCATCAGAGTGAACAGGCAACCTACAGAATGGGAGAAAATTTTTGCAATCTACCCATCTGACAAAGGGCTAACATCCAAAATCTACAAAGAAGTTAAACAAATTTACAAGAAAAAAATCAAACAACCCCATCAAAAATTGGGCAAAGGTATGAACAGACATTTCTCAAAAGAAGACATTTATGCAGCCAACAGACACATGAAAAAATGTTCATCATCACTGGCCATCAGAGAAATGCAAATCAAAACCACAATGAGATACCATCTCACACCAGTTAGAATGGCAATCATTAAAAAGTCAGGAAACAACAGGTGCTGGAGAGGATGTGGAGGAATAGGAACACTTTTACCCTGTTGGTGGGAGTGTAAACTAGTTCATCTATTGTGGAAGACAGTGTGGCAATTCCTCAAGGATCTAGAACTAGAAATACCATTTGACCCAGCCATCCCATTATTGGGTATATACCCAAAGGACTATAAATCATGCTGCTATAAAGACACATGCACATGTATGTTTCTTTTGGCACTATTCACAACAGCAAAGACTTGGAACCAACCCAAATGTCCATCAATGATAGACTGGATTAAGAAAATGTGGCACATATACACCATGGGATACCATGCAGCCATAAAAAGGGTGAGTTCATGTCCTTTGTAGGGACATGGATGAAGCTGCAAACCATCATTCTCTGCAAAATATCACAAGGACAGAAAACCAAACACCGCATGTTCTCACTCATAGGTGGGAATTTAACAAAGAGAACACTTGGACACAGGATGGGGAATATCACACACCGGGCCCTGTCATGGGGTGTGGGGAGTGGGGAGGGATAGCATTAGGAGATATACCTAATGTAAATGATGAGTTAATGGGTGCAGCACACCAACATGGCACATGTATACATATGCAACAAACCTGCATGTTGTGCACATGTACCCTAGAACTTGAAGTATAATGAAAAAAAAAAAGCATAAAGTATAACTGGAGGAATCACATTACCTGACTTCAAATTATACAGAGTTATAGTAACTAAAACAACATGGTACTGGCATAAAAACAGACATATAGACCAATGAAACAGAATAGAGAATCCAGAAACAAATCCACACACCTACAGTAAACTCGTTTTTGACAAAGATTACCAAGAACCTACACTGGAGAATCACAATCTCTTCAACAAATGGTGCTGGTAAAATTGAATATCCATATGCAAAAGAATGAAATTAGACCCCTATCTCTCACTGTATACAAAAATCAAAACATAATGGATTAAAGACTTCAATCTAAAACCTCCAAGTCTGATTCTTCTGCAAGAAAACATTGGGGAAATCTACAGGACGTTGAACTGGGGAAAAATTTCTTGAGCAATACCCCCACAAGCAAAGCCACTGAAGCAAATATGGACAAATGAGATCACGACAAGTTAAAAAGATTCTGCACACAAAAGTATACAATCAACAAAGTGAATAGACAACTTAAAAATGTGATAAAATATTTGCAAAATATCTATATGATAAGAGATTAGTAATCAGAATGTAAAAGGAGCTTAAATACTATGATATGGTGTGGCTGTGTCCCCCCCAAATCTCATCTTGAATTGTATCTCCCACAATTCCCACATGTAATGGGAGGGATTCAGTGGGTGGCAATTGAATCATGGGGGCTGGTCTTTCCCATGCTGTTCTCATAATAGTGAATAAGTCTCACAAGATCTGATGGTTTTATAAAGAGGAGTTCCCCTGCACAAGTTCTCTCTCTTTGCCTGTCACCATCCGTGTAAGATGTGACTTTCTCCTCCTTCTGCCATGATTGTAAGGCCTCCCCAGTCATGTGGAACTGTGAGTTGATTAAACCTCTTTTTCTTTTTAAATTACCCAGTCTCACATATATTTTTATCAGCAGTGTGAAAACAGACTAAAACAGTAAATTGGTACAAGTAGAGTGGGGTGCTGCTCCAAAGTTACTCCAAAATGTGGAAGTGACTTTGGAACTGGGTAACAGGCAGAGGTTGGAACCATTTGGAGGGCTCAAAAGAAGACAGGGAAATGTGGGAAAGTTGGGAACTTCCTAGAGACTTGTTGAAAGGCTTTGACCAAAATGCTGATAATGATATGGACAATGAAATTCAGGCTGAGGTGTTCTCAGATGGAGATGAGGAACTTGTTGGTAACTGGAGTAAAGGTGACTCTTGCTATGCTTTAGCAAAAAAAAAAACTGGTGGCATTTTGCCCCTGCCCTAGAGATTTGTGGAACTTTGAACTTGAGCGAGATGATTTAGGGTCTCTGGCAGAAGAAATTTCTAATCAGCAGAGAATTCAAGAGATGACTTGGGTGCTGTTAAAAGCATTCAGTTTTAAAAGGGAAACAGCATAAAAGTTTGGAAAATTTGCAACCTGACAATGCGCTAGAAAAGAAAAACCCATTTTCTGAGGAGAAATTCAACCAGGCTATAGAAATTTGCATAAGTAACAAGAAGCCAAATGTTAATTGCCAAGACAATGGAGAAAATGTCTCCAAGGCATGTCAGAGGTCTTCATGGCAGCCCCTTCCATCACAGGCCTGGAGACCCAGGAGGAAACAATGGTATCTTGGGCTGGGCCCACGGCATCCTTGCTCTCTGCAGCCTAGGGACTTGGTGCCCTCTGTCCCAGATGCGCCAGCCATGCCTCAAAGGGGCCAAGATACAGCTCAAGCTGCTGCTTCAGAGGGTGGAAGCCCCAAGCCTTGGCAGCTTCCACATGGTGTTGAGCCTGTGGGTGTCCAGAAGCTAAGAGTTGAGGTTGGAGAACCTCTGCCTAGATTTCAGAGGATGTACAGAAATTCCTAGATGACCAGGCAGAAGTTTGCTGCAGGGATGGGGTCCTAATAAAGAACCTCTGATAGGGCGGAACAGATGGAAAATGTGGGGTCAGAGCCCCCACCCAGAAATCCTACTGGGGCACTGCCTTGTAGAGCTGTGAGAAGAGGGCCACCATCCTCTAGACCCTAGAATGGCAGATCCACCGATGGCTTGCACCATTCACCTGGAAAAGCAGCAAACACTCAATGCCAGTCCATAAAAGCAGCTAGGATGGGGGAGATACCCTGCAAAGCCACAGAGGTGGAGCTTCCCAAGGCTGTGGGAGCCTATCTCTTGCATCAGCATGACCTAGGTGTGAGACATAGAGTCAAAGGAGATCATTTTGGAACTTTATGATTTTACTGCCCCAATGGATTTCAGACTTGCATAAGGCCTTTAGCCCCTTCGTTTCAGCCAATTTCTCCCATTTGGAATTTCTGTATTTATCCAATGCCTATATCCTCATCATATTTAGGAAGTAAGTAACTTGCTTTTGATTTTACAGGCTCAGAGGCAGAAGGGACTTGCCTTGTCTCAGAGGAGACTTTGGACTTTGACTTTTGAGTTAATGCTGAAATTAGTTAAGACTTTGAGGAGCTGTTGGGAAGGCATGATTGATTTTGAAATGTGAGGACATGAGATTTGGGAGGGGTCAGGGGTCAAATATTATGGTTTGGCTGTGTCTCCATCCAAATCTCATCTTGAATTGTAGCTCCCACAATTCCCATGTGTCATGGGAGGGACCCAGTGAGAGGTAATTGAATCATGGGGATGGGTCTTTCCCATGTTGCTCTCATGATAGTGAATAAGTGTCATGAGATCTGATGGTTTCATAAAGAGGAGTTCCCCTGCACAAGTTCTCTCCCTTTGCCTGCCAACATTAATGTTAGACATGACTTTCTCCTTATTCCACCATAATTGTGAGGCCTCCTCAGCCATTTGGAACTGTGAGCCCATTAAACCTCTTTTCCTTTGTAAATAACCCAGCCTCAGGTGTGCATTTATTAGCAGCATAAAAAGACTAATACACAATTGTATAGGGAAAAAAACCCTAATAATTTGATTGAAAAATGGGCAAAATATTTGAATAGGCATTTCTCAAAAGAAGACATACATGTGACAAACATGCATATGAAAAGAAGCTCAACTTCCTTGATCTTCAGAGAAATACAAATCAAAACTACAGTGAGATATCATCTCACCCAGTAAAAATGACTTTTATCCAAAAGATAGGCAGTAATAAATACTGGCGAGGATGTGAAGAAATTGGAACCCTCGCACACTGTGGGAATGTAGATTGTACAACCACTACTGAGAGCAGTTTGAAGGTTCCTCAAGAAACTAAAAATAGAGCTACAATATTACCCGGCAATCCCACAACTTGGTATATACAACCATAGGAAAGGAAATCAGTATATTGAAGAGGTATCTATGCTATGCTCCTATCTTTGTTTCAGCACTGTTCACAATAGCCAAGATTTGGAAGCAACCTAAGTGTTCATCAACAGATAAATAGATAATGTGGGATTGCTGGATCATGTGGTAGCTCTATTTTTAGTTTTATGAGGACCCTCCAAATTTTTCTCCATAGTGGTTGTACTAATTTAGATTCCCACCAACAGTGTATAAGGCTTCTGTTTTTTTCACATCCTCAACAGCATTTGTTATTATCTGTCTTTTGGAGATAAGCCATTTTAACTGTGGTGAGATGATATTTCATTGTAGTTTTTATACGCATTTCTTGGATGATCAATGATGTTGAGCATCTTTTCTTACATCTGTTTGCCATTTGTATTTCTTCTTCTGAGACATATCTATTCAGATCTTTTCCTCATTTTTAATTGTACTATTAGATTTCTTCCTATGGAGTTGTTTGAGCTCCTTATATATTCTGCTTATTAATCCTTTGTCAGATGGATAGTTTGTAAATATTTTCTCCCATTCTGTGGGTTGCCTCTTTACTTTGTTGGTTATATCCTTTGCTGTCCAAAAGATTTTTATCCTGAAGTAGTCCCATTTGTTTATTTCTTTTTTTGTTGACTGTGCTTTTGATGTATTACTCAAGAAATCTTTTCCAAGTCCGATGTCTTGGACAGTTACCCCAGTGTTACCCTTAGAACTTTCATAGTTGGAGTGCTAATATTTAAGTCTTTAATTCATTTTGATTTGATTTTTGTATCTGGTGAAAGATAAGAATCTACTTTCATTCTTCCACCTAAAGACATCCAATTTTCTTAGCATTTATTAAAAGACTGTCCTTTTCCCAACGTATGTTTTTGACATCTTTGTCAAAAATGAGCTCACTGCAGATGTCTGGATATGTTTCTGAGTTATCTATCCTTTTCCATTAGTCTATGTGTCTATTTTTATTGAGTACCATGTTGTTTTGGTTACTATAACTCTGTAGGTCAATTTGAGATCAGGTACCATAATTCTTCCAGTTTTGTACTTTCTGCTCAGTATAGCTTTGGTTATCTGTGTCTTTTGTGGTTGCATCTAAATTTTAGGATTGCTTTATTTCTGTGAAGAATGTCATTAATATTTTAATAAAAATTACATTGACTCTGTAGATTCCTTTGAGACGTATGAATATTTTAACAATATTTATTCTTCCAATTTATGAACATAGAATATTTTTTCATATTTTTTCTCTTCAATATCTTACTACTTTGTTTTATGGTTTTCATTTTAGAGATTTTTCACTTCTTTGGTTAATTTCTAGGTATGTAATTTTATTTACAGCTATTAAAATAAGATTACTTTTTATTTCTATTTCAGATTGTTCACTGTTGACATATAGAAAAGCTAGTGATTTTTGTATGTTGCTTTTGTGTTCTTCCATTTTACTGGATTTGTTGATCAGTTCTAATTGTTTTTTTTTGGTGGAATCTTTAAGTTTTTTCCAAATATAAGATCATATTATCTGTAAACAAGGACAAGTTGTTTACTTCCTTTTAAATTTGGGTGTACTATATTGCTTTCTCTCATCTGATTGCTCTAGCTAGGACTTCCAGTACTATGTTGAATAACAGTTGTGATAGTGGGCATCCTTGTCATGCTCCAGATCTTAGAGAAAAGGCTTTAATTTGTCCCCATTTAGTATAATACTAGCTGTGGGTCTGTCATATATGGCTTCTATTATGTTGAGGAATGTCCCTTCTATCCCAGTTTTTTAGAGTTTCCATCATGAAGTGTTGTTGAATTTTATCAAATGCTATTTCAGCATCAATTGAAATGATCATGATTTTTATCTTTCTTGACATGATGCATCACATTAATTTGCATATATTGAGCCATCCTTGCATTGCTGGAATTAAACACATTTGGTGATGATGAATGATCTTTTACATGTAAATTTACATTCTGTTTAGTAATATTTTGTTGAGGATTTTTACATCAATATTCATCAGATATATTGGCCTGTAATTTCTTTCTTTCTTTATTTGTATTTTTGTGGTTTTTGTATCAGTGTAATACTGAACTCTTAGAACTAGTTTGGAAGTATTCCCTCTGCCTGTATTTTTTACAATAGTTTAAGTGGGATGCACATTACTTTTTCTCTATATGCTTGGTAGACTTCAGTAGTAAAGCCATCAGGACCAGTCCTTTTTTTTTTTTTCTGAAATACTTTTTATTATGGCTTTGATCTCATTACTTGTTATTTATGTTTATGTTTTCAATTTATTCATGGTTCAATCTTGGTAAGCTATATGTCCCTAGGAATGTATTCATTTATTCTATATTTTCCAATTCATTGGCATATAGTTGCTCATAGCAGGTACTAATGATCCTTTGGATTTCTGCAGTACTGGTTGTAATGTCTCCCTTTTCATCTCTATTTTAGTTATTTGGGCATTTTGTCTTCTTAGTCTGGCTAAAGTTTTGTATATTTTGTTTACCTTTTCAAAATACCAGCTTTTTGTTTTATTGGTCTTTTGTATTATTTTCTTCATTTCAATTTTATTTATTTTCACACTTACTTTAGTATTTATTGTCTTCTACTAATTTTGGGTTCAATTTGTTCTTCTTTTCCTACTTATTTAAGATGCATGATTAGGTTATGTATTTCAGCTTTTCTTCTTTTTTGATGTAGACACTTTTGGCTATAAACTACCATATTAGTACTGCCTTCACTGTATCTCATAGCTTTCAGAATGTTGTGTTTGTATCATAATTTGTTTCAAGAAATTTTTAAATTTACCTCTTAATCTTTTCATTGACCACTGATCATTCAAGAGCATATTTTTTAATTTCCATGTGTTACTATAGTTTCCAAAATTCCTGTTGCTATGGATTTCTGATTTTAGTTAATGTTGTTAAGAGAAGATGCTTCGTATTATTTTATTTCTTAAAATGTATTGTGGCCTAACATATGGTCTACTTTTGAGAATCATCCATGTGCTTAGGAGAATGTATATTCCACACTCGTTGAAGGAAATGTTCTGTCAAATATCTATTAGGTCCATTTGGTCCTATATATTCACTTTACATACCAGGGTACTCCAGTGATGGGTGCATTATATTTACAGGTGTTACATTCTCTTGCAGAATTGACCCTATATCACTATATAATGACCTTCTTTGTCTCTATAGTTTTTCAGACAAAATATATTTTGCCTAATTTAAGTATAGCTCCTCCTGCTCTTTCTTATTTTTCATTTTCATAGAATATCTTTTTTAATTCCTTAAATATGTCATGCCACTTTCTCCTGACTTGTAAGGTTTCTACTGCAATGTCTGCTGCCAAATATATTGCAGCCCCATCATATGATATTTGTTCTTTTCTCTTGCTGCTTTTAGAATCCTTTCTTTATCTTTAACCTTTTGGCATTTGATTTTTAAATTCCTTCAGGTAGTCTTCTTTGGGCTAAATCTGCTTGGTGTTCTATATCCTTTTTGTATTTGATTATTTATCTCTTTCTCTAGGTTTGCAAAGTTCTGTTATTATTCCTTTGAATAAACTTTCCATCCCTCTCTCTCTCTAACTCTTTATGGCCAGTAACTTAAATATGCGGTTTTAAGTTACTAGGTTTTAAATTTACTAGATCTTGCAGTCATGATTCTTTTTCTTTTTCTCTTCTAACTTTGTATTTTCAAATAGCCTGTCTTGAATCTCACTAATTCTTCTTCCTGCTTTGAAGAGGGACCCTAGTTTGTATGGCTAGCCTTGGAGAAGACTAGGACTGAGAGACAGGAGAACAGGGGAAGATCAGAGAAAATCTTTTTCTTCTGAAGCTACTTCTGAGGACTTAATTTGGGGTTATTGTTTTCTGAGCCCAACACCATATTAGAAATTAAATCTGGGAAAATTTTAAAACACAGGAATATATAAGCACGTATTCCATTAATCATTAGAGCAATGACACCACATATCATGTAGCCTGAGAAAAACTCCCACTGCACCCTCAGGAGAGAATTAGACTGAATAAGTGAAATAATATAATCATATAATAATGAAAATATTTTGACTCTGTGGGCCCTTTGAAAGGGTATGGGGAGGGTGGCATTTTTCCCTAAACCAAATTTTAGAACTACTACTCTTAATGAACTAAATGTTACCTATCTTTTAAAAAACTAAACATGATGTTTGGAGGTCTGTGGAACAAAATGGAACTGGAGTGTGGCATGCAGTCAAAAAGATTTTATGTTCTATTGTCCCTCTATCTAGTCAGTGGTTTAGAGCTAATGAAAAAATAGTGCCCACTAGAATTCCGGGCCTAACCCCTCAAGCCTAGACTACAAGGCTACATCACCTTGTCAGTATTTCTCTAATGTGGTCAGAAGATCACCTCATTAGAATCAGTAAATAAACTAAAGATAACTGGGCCCCAGTACAGATCAATTGAATCAGAATCTAAGGGATGGAGCCAAGGAATCTGCTATTTTAATAAGATACCCAGGTCAGTCTGTTGCTCAATAATACCTAGAAACCACAGAAATAACCAAGTGTTCAGTTCACCCTGAAGTGGTGCAATGCTCCATACCTTTATTTGCTCTCATTTGACCATGTGCCAAAAGACCCAGTACCTCTATAAAGGTTCATCAGTTTGGCTCAGATCTTATTATAGGGCTGTTGAAACTTCACTACCTGAATGATATTCCTTTAGAAATTTCCTGTAGAAATTTTCTAAGAGTCCCTCTCTTATTGCCTTGCCCTCATCAATCTGATCTTTTATTCTGTTGAACTCCCACACTAAGTAAACACACATATCAATTCATCACTCTAAGAACTAGAGATAGAAGATCTTAAATAGTTCAAAAATAAAGGCAAACTATCCAGGACCTTTAAACAAACACTTATGTCAGCAGCATGGGCATACGGCATAATTCAGGCAAGAATTAAGAATGGTCTCTCTGGATAGGCTTTATTATTATTTTAATTTTGAGTTTCATCAGCAAATTTTCCTGCACATTGAATTATAGTCAGTCTATAAAAGTGTTACACTTCCTCCAACAAGCTATTTATTTGACCACTTGAGAGGGATGTAGGGAAGGCTTCTGGGTGGGAAAATTTTTTTTCCCTCTAAAGTAACAAATCATTTGGAGAATCAATCAATCAAATCTTCACTATCAGGAAACCATGCAACATTCTTTTTTCCCCAGGCCTTCCTCTTTAATCATCACACGCTTTCAGTGATTCCTGTTGTGAAACACAAGTTTCTAAAGCCCAATTAAATATGTGGTCAAATACAAAAATGCCCTCTTTATTCGAACACAGCTACTACATTAAATATAACAATGGGTGATTTTATGTAGTGCCAATTGAAAAGTTTAAAGCATTATACACCATGGGGTTTTTTTAATAGTGTGGTTAATCCTCACCACCTTAATGATTTAGGAAAAGAAAAAAGGCCTTATATGTAAGAGGGATAGGTGGCCACCTACACAATGCTAATTAAATTGTGCCAAGAAGTCTTCTTGCTCTAGAAATATCACCTATGGTTATATGAACCTAACGTGTGAAGTGACTTACAGTTTGCAGAACAATTTCAAATAACTATATTTAATTTTCTCAACAGTTCTGAAATAGGAAAGGCATTATCATCTCTATTTTACATAAAAACACTGAGTCTAATATGTACAAGGAAATTATTATATTTAAGCCACCTAGTATGTGACAGTCATTATTCATACACTACTTAACATAACTCTCTCTCTAACCCCATTTTACAGGTAAGGAGAATGAGGTTTAGAGAAGTTAAGAAACCTATCCAAGATAACACAGTTGATAAGTGGTAAAGCTGAGATTAAACCCAGATTTGTGCCCTTATGATTCCAGAGTCAAAGCTCATAACAATTTTGAAAAACAGATTCATTTTTAATAAACTGATAAAAGGTTTCCAACATGAATTTCCAGTGTCTTGTTTATAAGCAAGATGAAATTAATCTAAAATATATTTTGTTTTTCAAACCAAGTACTCAAGAAATTAAGCATGCCCTCAACTCCTGGGCCCAGCAATTAAATCTGACATGGCAAATACATGTATTACACCATTATAAACTTATGGCCTGATGCTTTCTGTAAACTTTAACCTGTTTTCATTAACTGTTCTAATTTTATTAGTCCATGTTTGCATCTTAATTTATATTATATGCCCTATATGAACATAAACATATTGCTTTTATGTTTTAATTTATATATTTATCTAATTCAGAAGGGTATTCTCTAGGGTTATCATTAATACCTCACTTGGATGACTCAAGCTCGGCCCCCATTTCACCACACACACACACACACACACACACACACACACACACACACACTACCATGGAAATAATATGAGGAACCCTATATCTTCTATATGTGCAGCTCAAGAGCTCAACATTAATTAAATCTTAATATTGATAATGCTGGGCTCATATTGCCATTAGCTCCTCAGTAATGGTCACTTGATGCTGTCCTATAACCAATTCCTATTATCTGTCACCCACCCCAATTGCTCCAAGACAGTGTTTTCAGTCATCACCACCTTGCTACATTATTAACTAACACTTCAATCACTTGCTGCATCCCTGCAGAGGCAGACTTTCTGGGATGTGAGCATTATAGCCTGGATGATTTCTTCATTGCAGAACTACCTCTGGATGAGGGTCAATGGGTCCATGCATTACAAAAAACCTAAACTCAGATTTGGTACACACGTTTTTATCTGATCCACTTTTGTGATTGACCTAGAACTATAATTTAGAGGCCACGTGATTAAATGAATGAAATATTGGCTTTGGTGTCAAATTGGCTGTATCTGAATATTGTTTGCCATTTACTAGCTTTGGGACCATGGGAAACTTCTACTTATTTTCTCTGACTCTCTTTTTCCTCATTTATAAAATGAGTATAATAATAATAGCTGCCTTAAAAGTTTGCTGTGACCATTAAATGAGACAATGTATATCAAATGTCTGGTGTACAGTAAGTGGTAAAAAAAAATAGATTTTCTTTTACTTCTTCCTTTTTTTATTCTCATCTCACTTGCCCTGGTGCTACTTAATTTCTGGTTCCGACCCCCATGAGAGCAAGAAAAATGAGTGATATATGTTGAGGAAACTTCTGATAGCTTCTGATTTGTACAAAGAGATAACCTGTTTGGAAGTAATTGCCATGTTACCCATCTTAAAACAAATATGTAAATATTTAAATCTGAAACAAAAAACTCTATAAAAGCAATAATAGTCTATTGAATTTCATACAGCTAGATCCAGCAGTGAGGCACATGTTGTTAGTTGCTTTTGCCAATACTGGTGGTGATATAGCCACACTCTCACCTGTTTGTTCTCATCAATTACCACACAGAGTTTGCAGGACAGCTGGTGGCAGAGAAGACAGGACTACTGCCTATAGCTGTGTAATAGAATAATGCTGCCTGGCCCATTTTGGGAAAGTATCATGCTTTCACGATTCTCATGCTTTAATACATGGAATAAATGACTACAGACTCCTCAAAAACCTGGTATATCTTCCAGAAGCACTTTTTGGACATCATAAACTTAGAGAGTTTTTCACATGCATAGCCAAATTACATTTGGAAAGTGAGCAAATGGGTAGGATTTTCTGATGACTGTCTCCCCAGAGGTCAACATGACAATTTCCTTATAAGCTAGATGGAAACAGAGAAAAATCATCTTTATGTCTTTATATCCTGAATTCTTATTTGAAGCAAAAGAGAAAGGGTGTATTTTAAATGATACTTTGCCTTCATTTACACATCTGCAAAATTTCTTTAAAAAAAACCCCACAGCAACACAATTTTGGTAGATCAACCACACTTTTTTAAAAGTTTCAGATGGGGTTTCATTATATTTCCCAGGCTGGTCTCCAACCACTGGGCTCAATCCATCCTCCTGCCTCAGCCTCCTGAGTAGCTGGGATTACATGTGCATGCCACCATTCCCAGAAATCATATTTATATTAAAGTCATAATTGCTGTGCAAAAGTAAATATATCTTTCTACAGACCTTACTTAGCATTTCAATACTGTCATCAAAATTTTTTGAGAGGTAAATAAATGATATCTGGAACTGTGTCATGAATAAAGAGGCTATGGGTAATGAAAGGCATTTATACCTTAGCTACTTCTTAGGCCCCCTTCAAAACTCATGTTGAAATTTAATTGCCATTGTGACAGATTAAGAGGTGAGACCATTAAGATTAATTAGACCATGAGGTCTCCACTCTCATGAATAGACTAATGTTGATAAGGCAGTAGTGAGTTTGGTATTGCTAGAGTGGGTTGGTATGAAAGTGAGTTTGGCCCTCTCTTCCTTGCTGTCTCTCACTCCCTTGTGCTTCCACCTTTTGTCATGGGATGCCACAGCAAGAAGGCTCTTGCCAGAAGTCAGTTCCTTGATATTGGACTTTCCATCCTCCAAAACTGTGATAAATACATTTCTTTTGTTTATAGATTACCCAGTCTCAAGTATTATGTTATAGCAGCAGAAAATGGACTCAAACAGCTGCCTTGCTAACTAGGCTACTTTTTGGTGAAACTTCAACCTTCATTACCCATGTTTCTCTCCCCAAAACTGTTATTTAAGTGAAGTAAAGAAAAAGGCATATACTTTATTACTGAATTTTCAATGCTCAGTGGATGATTGAGTTACCCTGATAGCTTTTTGCGAAAAGGTAGGTTTTGAGATAGCTGTATTTAACTTTGAAATTTGAATGTATTCAAATATTTATTTATGGGTAAAATTTATGGGTAAAACTTCATGAATTATCTGGTTGATCGCTATCTCTAAGGGGTCTAATTGGTACTTTATATTTCTATTTCTGCCAAATATGAGCCCTAGTTTTGATTTAAAATATGAACTACAAAATGCCATTTTTTTCTTTATTTCTACTTCTATAACTGTTCTTCCCATAGCATGACATCTCCTTTTCTGCCCATGTATATCAATTTTTCAAAACACAGCAGAAGTTTTAATCCCACATAAACTGTGTCACAACTACTTTAACCCACAATTATAGTTCCTTCTTCTGAATTTCCATTGCAGTCTTAGCTTATACCATGCAGCTAATGGTCTGTGGCTATTTTTTATGCCATTCTTCAATAATTTTATAGATGTTATTTTGCCTCCCAAGAAAATTAGAACATTCCCTGAAGTCAATATGGATTGCATATTTAACTTTTTTGGTAAAATCAACACTTAACACAATAGTGAATGCACGCAGTAGACATTCAATAAATATGGACTATTTGCACAAAGGAAAACAAGT
Source organism: Homo sapiens (assembly GCF_000001405.40). Lineage (NCBI taxonomy): Eukaryota > Metazoa > Chordata > Mammalia > Primates > Hominidae > Homo > Homo sapiens. The sequence continues at coordinate 126,817,936 of NC_000023.11, forward strand.
TACAAACAAAATATGAGGTAATATCCATAAATTATACACTTCATGGCTTTGGAAAATTCTTGGTGCCATGGTCATTGTCATTGTTCCCAGCAATTTGGTTCCTATATTACACCATACTGTTATGTAATCCAACTAAGATGATATCTTACCAAACAGGTATTTCTAGGTAAAATTGTTTATTATTATAGTAATTTGATAAGAACAAAAGGCATTCCTCAGGCTTTGTTGCTATTATCAGGAAAAAAATATGCAACCTATTATACTGAAACTATTTATCTAAATGTGATTCACCAACTATTAGCAGGCATTAACCCAAGTTGCAATTTCCTCTCTGATACGACAAGAAGTAAAAGAGCTTTAACACCCCACAACAATAATACTGCTAATAATACTATTATTTTTACATAAGGACAAGGTGCGTAATAAACTGAAGCAAGAATAGAAACAGAATCTGGGGAATCAAGAGATTACTTAATAGTGAACCATGCTAGGCAAGTGAACAGATTCTTCTGGAAAATATGTTGGAAACATGCCACTTTCTTGTATAGATGGAGACAACACACTCTGGCAGGAAGATGTGGACTTGCAGACCCCAAAGGTTACTTCTATATGAGTTGTGTTGATTTGCAGTAGTGACCATTCCTTTACATTAGTACTTTGTACTTATGCATTATTCTGTCTCTCTCACACACACACAGATACACAGACACCATATATCTAAAAATTGAAGCACATGGTATTTGAGTCTGTTATCTTTCCTTAAGAGAAAAGAAATATACATTACTGTTGAACTGTAGCAACATATACTAATATTGAAAATAAGGAAGACACAATCTCCCAGGTCTAGCCTGCACAGCACAAATTTTATGTAAATTTAGGCAGGTTTGCCAAGTTTATGGCTTTGTCCTAGAGCAACAGTAATTGTCTTGGATGATGGAATGGTTGTTGTAATTTCGGAGCAATTAATCTGTAGATCAATGGCAGAAAAGAAAGCTGGGAAAGTAAACTTGCTTAAAATGAAATTTAGGCTGGACAAACAGAAAGTTCCCTATGCAAAAATGTTGCATGGCCAAACCTAAGCTAATATTTATAAATTTATGATACCTGTTATGCCATTTATTCTGACCCTCCCAACTTGAGAGAAACTTCCAGAGCTCTATTACAGGAAATACACACACGTACACACACACACACACACACGCGCGTGCACACAGACATAGACAGAGACAGAGAGAGAGAGAGAGAGCTTATAAACTAACAGACAAGATGAAGGATATAACTGCAACGTGAGGGGCTAAAAAATAATGTCACAATGATTCTTAGAGGAGTTCTTGTTTCATCTTCACAGATAGAAAAGCAATTTAGCCCCCAAACCTCTGTTCTCCACCAAGTTAATAATATGCATCCCCAAACTGGAAGTTTAAGTTACAATATTAGGCACAATACTCTGCTCAATGTGTTTCCAAATTTGAGGAGACTTGACAACTACCTTGTAGAAACTAAAACTTCATAAATAACTCTTTAAAAAATATCATGCTTCCATGATTCTTCTAAATCCTTCTTGAAATGATTTGTCTTTCCAACTGCCCTGCATCAGAATTAATGTAGTGAATGCCTTTACCATCCATCTACTACTGTGCAAACACCAGTCCCACATTTAAGTTCAAAGGAGTGTCACAGATTCATCCCCACCCACCCCCCTCCCCACTCCTTTTCTCCCTCCCTTCCTTAGCAACTGGTAACCCCAGAAAGAGAACTCCAAATCTAGAAAGAAGCAGTTGGTCCCTGGCTTCATTCTAGTTGCCAAGCCTCTAAAGCAGAAGCAGGAGTCATTTCTCCAGACCTAGCTGGCCTGTTCAGTGGGTTATCTCCACCACCTCAGGAAAGCTATTCTGATCAAATTTCTTCATGGCTTGTATTGAAAACGTGTAAGTACAAAACCGAGTACAACTGTTTAATTTTGAAGGCAAAGTCAGTTTGAATTGCTTTATTGTGTAACTGGGACAGGGATGAATGGGTTGGAGGAGATGTGGGAGGAAATTACAGACAAAAACTTGAAGGACATAAATTTAGTTACTAAGAATACCGGATTTAAGAGTGGCAACTTTGAAGTGTAATTTTGAAAGAAAATTTACAAATCCCTAGTCTAAACAGTGGGGTTTAAACATGAGGAAATTCTTACTCTAGGGTGTGGTGGTGGTTGAATGAAAGAATTTTTAACAAAATTTGGTGTGAGTGTTGAATGATACCTCAAGAAGAGAAACTTGTGTGTTTGTTAACATAACTAACTTTTCTTTGACTTCTGTGAAGAAAAAGATATTTTACTTCGGAAGACATACCAGAACAATCTTGCCAGAATCTGAATGCCAGGATTAGTGAATCATAGATCCTAGAGAGAATTGAAAAAGCTGGTATTTTCTATTATATGCTTACTATTAAGTTATGTGCATCTTCTAAGCTTCCTTGCTGCCTTGTGGAGGTGGGGAAATGAGGAATGAAATAGGCCACTGAGTAGTCATGAAGGGTAATCATGTAGCCTAGTACTAAAGAAGCCACCTGGGAAGGGGCCAGAGCGCTGAGCAAGTATTTGGCTACATATAGGGGAGAGGGCACTCCTTTTTTCCCTGGTATATTTCAGTGAGCTCAGTCAATTACATATTGTAGCTATTTTCTGGTCAGTGCATTTCCATTTTTATTAGCTGTTTGATTTCTGTTTTTGCAAGCCTTGGAGGGCACGCCCCTTCACCCTTGGTAGTATCTGTGGACAAAAATGGGAACCAGGAGCTGCACCACGACATGCCCCTGCAATGTCTGAGTTCCAAGCCAGAGGATGACGCAGAGCCCTGGGGTCAACCTCAAGTACCGCTGAGACCTTCCGTCAATGTGCTGACTGATCTGGATAGCAAGCAACTGGAGTGGCCCTCTGAAAGAACAGGATCCTGCATTCCTCTTCATAGCTTGAGAGCTCATAGACACCCCTACGGGCCACCACCTGCTGTTGCAGAAGAGTCCCTAGCAACAGCAGAAGTAAACAGCTCTGATGCACTGGCAGGCTGGAGGCAGGAGGGACAGGATGCTATTAATGTGTCCTGGGAAGTCTCTGGCGGCCCTCCTGCACTGATAGTAGGGGGCACAAAGGTCAACAATGGGGGCACTGAGAGAGGCAGTAATAACGCAAGGTTGCATGTAGCTTTGCCACAAGGTAAAGGGTTCTTTCCACCCAGGGGCCCACAAGTGAGAGGCCCTTCACATATTCCCACCCTTAGATCAGGGATAGTAATGGAGGTGCCGCCCGGAAATACACGAATAGCCTGCAGAGGAAAGCTGGCTCATGTTTCTTTCCCACTCAGGGGCCCATGCCACCCCATGCATAATTGGCCAAGGCCTATCCCGTTGTCTTCCAGTACTCCAGGTTTACCTTCTTGCTCTACTGTTCATTGTTTCATCCCTCCTCGACCTCCGATTTTCAATCCCTTTCTCACTATGCCTCTTCCTTTTGCTCCTCCTCCGATATTTGGTCCTCCACTGCCTTCTTATTTTGCCCATTTCCATTCTGGGGGAATGCCAGCTCCTGCATCACCCAACAGAGAGCACAGCTGATGGCAAAAAGGAAGGATGAAAAAAGGGTTGTGGAAAGAGGTGAAAGTTATTCATTTATGCTTTTATATTTGAAACCTTGTACCCTCCCACACTCTGTTTAGCACTAATGTGCCCTACTTGAAACCACGTACCCTCCCACACTCTGTTTAGCACTAATGTGCCCTATTTGAAACCTTGTACCCTACCACACTCTGTTTAGCACAAATGTGCCCTACATACTGGAGATTAAATAAAGATTGTGAAGTCTGAAATGCTGTAAATTATTTTTCAAAATGACACCCCAGGAACCAAAGCCTTGGATTTTGTGTTCTATCTTTAAGGTAATTAAAGCAGAAACAAACCTGTCAGTGTTTTCTAAATGGCTTAGTTAAATGACTGTTACTATTTTCTATTGAGTTGTCTTGCAGTGTGACTGGGGAAGGGTGGTTAGGTTCTTCCTAGGCCAAGGCTAGATTGGGGAATCTCTATCTACCCAAGGCTATAAGGGGTGCTTAGAGCTGGATGGCTGAATTAAGAAAAGTTCCATAAAGGCAGCCTAAAGTTCAGATAATAGAGAAAAATGAACAAACAGTAAAAGAAGCCAGATGAGATTGAGGTGAGAGTAATAGAGCTAACATTTAGCAGTCATAGGCAGAACCAAGTTGAAAAGTCAGGAAAGAAGGAGGAGGGAAGATGGAAGAGTATTCTTAGACCACTGCTTCAACACGAACTGGTGTTTGTGTTTCAACTTTTCCTTGTTGCTAATTACATAGTATATATAGCTCTGGCTCAATAAGAGTCCAAAATCAAGGTGGAACAGGACTGATCCTTTCACCCTTTGTCTCAACAAAGAGCTTACTATATGTATTAGATCCATTCCCACACTGCTAATAAAGACATACTCAAGACTGGGCAATTTATAAAGGAAAGAGGTCTAATTGACTTACAATTCCACATGGCTGGGGAGGCCTCAGGAAAATTACAATTAGGGCAGAAAGGGAAGCAAACACGTACTTCTTTACATGGCAACCAGAGAGAAAAGTGCAGAGTGAAGGTCGGGGAGGCACTTATAAAACTGACAGATCCTGTGAGAACTCACTCATTATCACGAGAACAGCATAAAGATAACTGCCCCCATGATTCAATTACCTCCCCGTGGATCTCTCCCAAGACAGACACAGGGGGATTATGGGAACTGCTGTTCAAGATGAGATTTGGGTGAGAACACAGCCAAACCATATCACTATATGCTCAGAACATTGAAGTGCAAATGAAAATACTTTACTCACATGGAAATGTTTTTCTCAGATACTGCTGTGTTTGTATTCCTCATAATTTGCTACAGCACCCCATTATAATGATGGTTCTGAGAGATTATCAAAATGTTCAGATGGGAGCTTTTAAAATTTCAAGTAACAAAAATAAGGATGCAGCATGCAGTGTGAAAGGATGTACATTTTGACAGCTGTATAACAATTCACTATATAGTAAAATGACCTAAAATATAGTGCCATTGTACATGAACAACCAATCAACTAGAAACGTCTAAAGAGGATGTTTCTTCAAATAAGAATTTTTAATATTCAGTGCTGATAGTGTAGGTGATATAACCAGTTAGACAGAGGCTGAAAAAGCCTGCCAGAGACAAAAAACAATAAAGAATTTTTAGCACCAAGAAAGAGTCATTTGCTACTCTGGTGAGGACACATAGATTGATTAAGTTTCTTTTATTTGTTTCATAACAAGTCATTCTAAATGTACAGGTGGTATTCTAAGGTTTAGCAGGAATATCTGGATAGTGACTGATAGAATTCCTCTCACCCCATGTATGTCCTGAAACTGGCATGATTCCATCAATTCACTCTGGTGGATTGAACACAAGTATTCAGCACATCTTTGTACAGCTGCTCGTGATAAGGTAGCTTAGTCCTAGTGTACTAAATATCTGTTGAATTTTAATCCTTATGAACAGAGAAATTGGGCATGCTTATAGTCATCAAAAATATCTTTTGAGCCAGATGTTGAAAGATATTTTGAGAAGAAATCAAGCCATCATGTCAATGGTAGTGCTACGTCTCTAGAGAGTTGCCAAAAGGTGTGGTAAGTGACGGCAGGACAGGATTCGTTTTCCTTCTCACAGGAAGTAAGTAGGTCAGATCTATGCTCAGAAAAACTTAACTTACAATTAATTAAAGAAATCCATGACAAATTGACTAGAACAAGCAAGTGACATCAATACAATTGGCTCCTTTTCAGCTCTCTTTTCTCTTTCCTCACCCTGTGTGTGTGTTTTTTTTCTATGTCATGTCTAGACACTGAACACCAATAGTAAGCAATAATGAATACCTATTAGCAAATTGAGACACTAAAGTTGTATTTATACCTCTGAGGTGCAGGGTAAATATGTTTTCTTTAGTTTATGAAGAGTTCTGGGCCTATATAACCAATTTCAATGAATGCAAGTATCAAATAAGCCTGGAATCCTGCTGTTAAATGCAAATATTTTTGTTTATACATGGCTTCTGCATGGAAATACGGTATTACTTTGTTATCACACATGACAGTGTCCTGAATGACAGCAAAACATCTGTTTTTAAACAAACAAGTCACATTAAAGTTGTTATTTTAAAATTATTATGGTAGAATGTGATCCATATTAATCCTAAACCATAACATGATATTCATTTTGGAAAGCGCTCATAAAGCAATGTATTCAACACTCTTGAATATATATTATTTATTTTTATTCTCTGTGGCTTAAATAGATTCTAGCCACAAAAGGGAAAGATGAACATCAGCATAGCAGTCCTTTCTTCTGGTAATAATGACAATGGGTTAAGTATTTCCTATTTGAAGCTATAATCATTGTCACAAGAAGATTCATTTTATACTGTTTATTATTTATAGTTCTCATTATATTCCTTGTCACAAGACTGTAGCATCAGAATTTTAATGTCCTATATATTCTCTAGAAGATAATAATAAACTCTGTAACACTGACCTTTTACATGTCTACAGTATGATTCATTAGCCATTTCTATTTTTTACTGTTTACAACTTCTGTAGCATGAGTGCAAAAGGTACACATACAGCCAATGAAAGTGCAGAATACTGAAAAGGTTGAAGTTCAAAGTTATGAAATATTTAAAGTTTATAGTCTTTCATAAACTAGAATGCCATTAACATTATGCCTCATTCTTCTGAGAATTATTACAACAAAAACACTAAACAGGAACAAATGATTTATTTTCACTGGAGTCTTAAGGTTGAAATCACAGTGCTATCTTTCTCCACCATGAAACAAGAGGCTCATTGTGAGGTCGTCACTAAATAACTGGGTAGCACATATATAACGGGAGAGAAGAAAATCATTCCATAACTATTACATAGTACTATAACAATGGCTTTGCATTATTCATTGTTACTGAGAGATAATTTTTAAAGTCCCTAAATAAAGGGCTATGTAAAATGACCCTATTTCAAGACAAATGGGCCAAAGCCAGAGCCAAAATACATTTTATAGAGGTAAAAAACATAATGGCAGGTCATAGGCTAATTTCATAGCTACCACAAAACCTTGAATGTCTTCTTTATAATGAGGTGGATTGAGTGATATTCCCATAGAAAGATAAAGTGATAAGACTGAATTAAGTAAAATAACTCATCTATTTCTCTTTGGTGATATTACTTGTTTTTTATAATAATAATGTATAGCATTTATCAAATCAAGTCACGATTTGAGAAGTTAGAGAAATTGTGCTTCATCATGCAATCTTTTTCTTAAGTGCTTGAGAAGGTGCTACTCTTGCTAAACAATGATTAAATAAATGCACTTTCTCACCCACCTTTGAGGACTTTACTGTCATTCTGAAAAACTTTCCAGTGTTTGCATTTCTCAAAAAATAAAAAAACTCTCAGTTAAGCTTATTTTTATGAAAGTGACTTGCCTATTTCTTTTTGGGAATGAAAGGGTATGCTGTATTATTTTATATAGGTAAGCTATATTTTTCCTCAATTCTGAAAGTTCCTCATGTAAAATAAAACAATATAAATAAAGCCCATAAATTCATCAATCCTGCAACAAAGGACTTTATCCATCTAATCATGTTTGATCATAAAATTTGCTGGGAAGATTATAACTGATTTATCAAACATCACGATTATAAAAGCTGTGACTCAGAGGCAAAGCAACACAGGGAGTATGGGGGAATTGATGGATGGTGTTTGCACATGTGACAAAGAGAAGAACAGATGGAGAAAGACTGAGGATTAAAAATAGAGAGGGGTAGGGACACAGTCAGTTGAGAAGAGATGAAATTCTTTAGAACAGGAAGCAGCTGCAAATTGGAAATACTATGGGAATAATAATAAATTTGGATGTGGGAGGACATAATCCAGAGAAAACAGGGTGAGGTGGTCTGAAAAAAATAGTGTTATGAATTAAGGGTTTCATGACAGAAAAATCTATGTGCAGAAGCCACACATTTGAGGGGGTGGGGATGAGGTGATTAGAGAAATACTATCTAGTCTGCCTAAAAGTGAATCCATCTCCACTGCTCCATTCCTTCCTATAAATATCTCTCCTTAGACAGCAGCCAATCTCACATTCCCTATGCCAAACTGGAAACACTTTCTGGTTTAGGTTTCATTAATCCACCAAACTGGCCTAGACAAACAAACACATCATCATCAAGGTGAACTTCATTAGTGATGTGGGTATGCAATGAATTGGATTCAAACAAGAACATTTTTTCCTTAAAGTTCTCAAATATACCAGATCTTCATTTTTTAAATTTAAACTTTAATAATTTTTCCCTAGTGAGGTACACTGATGATTTTCTAATTTTGTCTTTTATTCCTCCCCGCAAAATTATAATTTCTTAGGTGGAATTACTGACATTATTTAAGCACACTACATCCAGAAACCAAGTAGTCTATTATGTTCACCAGGGGAATATTTATACCTACTTTAGGTAAAAAAATTGTGTGCATTGTGTTAATCCTCATTGATACTTGACAGCTAATTAGCAATGCATTCTATAATAAATAGGTGAAGGACAGTGTTTAATGCCACAAATAAAAGGTTGATTATCTATAAATAGAGCAATTTAAAAAACATATTAGTAATTAGTCACATCTGGAGAAAAATAGTCAAACATAATGTTTCATAGTTTAAAACTACCTATGAGATAGTCCATAAAGATCATCAGTAAAACCATGGATAATTCCACGTCTAGAAAACATGAGTTAAAAAATAATCTCCTCAGAGTTTATATGAGCTGTTACAGCTTCAGTACTAGATATTTTCACAAATCAATTGCAATCTATATTCATCCCAAAGTGTCCAAGTTTATAATTAGTTAATATTGCTAACCTTACGAGTAGAATGAAACCATGAACATGTCATTTCAAAACAGTGTAAAAGCTCATTTCTCCTTTATTCATTGTATATGAAGTGAAGTTATATAAGGAAAGTGGTAATTACAATGCCTAAATGTTGTTCTCTGTACTTTACTTGATGTTATTCTTTTAACATGGCCAGCAATGGAGGCTGCAAAGGAAAATCAACCCTTGACTGAAAGCTGGTAAAAAGTCATTCAGTTTTGGGTCTTAGGCTTTTCTAGCCAAAACAAACAAGCAAACATAACAAAGTATAAAGCAAGGAATCCATGGGCTTTAAAATTATTAATCTGCCTTTATTAAATGTAAAATATATTCAATAAATACTCTCCCTAGGGCGCAATAGAAAATTAAAATGAAATAGACAACTACGGGTGTAACTGATTACTAACAGAAAATTAATTTTTTACCAGTAACAGAAGGTATGCTCTTTATGGTTCAGTGGGTTCTCATATGCTCATGAGTCTTTATTTAGAATTTCTACCTCTTCTGTTGGTCTGATGGCTCCTCAATTTACAAATAGAAAAACTGAGACTTCAAAGATTTAGTGATTTGACTAAAAACAAGATGTTACTATGTGGTGGAGTCAGAATCTTCTTGTTAAACTACATTTTAAAATGTATTTTAAATATATTAAATATATATGTACATGGTAAGAGGAAACTCTCCATAAACACAAGAAGACAATGTAAGAACTAGATAAATATTGATGTAGTCTTGACCTTTCTTTTTACAAAAATAAATCATGTAAGAACATACTAAAGTATTTTCTAAAATTGTGCCAAAATTGCCATAAGCAGATTGAAGAGCAAATGGCAAACTGAGGGAAAAGTTGCAATGTATTTAGAAAAAGGTTTAAATATTCTTAATATATAAATTATTTACATGAGTCAATAAGAAAAGTTGCATATATCTATAGAAAAATGAATACATAACACAAAAAGATAATTTACAAAAGAAATAACCAATAAACATATAAGTTGATAAATGAAAATTAAATTAATAAATACAATTTATTATCTATCAAAATGGAAAAGTTTATTTCATGTAATTATGTTTATTGTTAGAAAAGATTTAGGCAAATGAGTGCTCTTATATACTATCTGTGAGAGAAAAAATAGAACTTTTATTGAGAGCAAATTGAAATAGTAAACAAATACCTTAAAATTGGAATGTTTTCTGATCTAAAAGTTCCACTTGTTGGAGTTTAGTCTGAGGAAATAATCATAGATATCAATAGAGGTTTAGATACAATATGTTAATCTTAGCTTACAATATGCCTATTATGACAGCAAAAAGATCAGGAGTAAACTAAATATTCCAAAACAGATAATTGTCTAATTAAAATTATGGTAAAATCAGATGATAGAATACCTAATGTCACTATCAGAACAATAACAGATAACTACAATTTTAAAAATGAAAACTTCTACATACATTTTAAGTAAAAAAAATAGTTTTAAAAGAGTTTGGAAATATCCAGTTTTCTTCTTTTTATTGTCTATATTTTTAAATTTTTATAATAATAATTTTTACTATTTCAATTAAATTTTAGAGTTGTGATAAAAAGGAGATAATAATGTATAGTTTCTAATGTATCTTTCAGCTTTACATTTTAATGATTTCAATATTTCAAATAGAAACAATTATATTACAATAGAAAAAAATGTTATAGATATTTTATATCCATAATTATAAATAAATGAGCACCCAGAGAAAGTGAAAATAAATCAAGTGTGATGAGAGTAGCTACAGCAGTCTATGTCAAAAAGTTTATGTAAGACAAACTGAGGAGCATCATGCTATTGCAAAGTTTTATTTCTTTATGCTTGGCAAAATGAGGCCAACGACTTGATATTTAGTTTTAGACTTGTTTTCACAGGCATTGAGCATCAGTAGATTACGGCTGGCCAGGATGGGCTAGGAACCAGGAATCTGAGCAAAAAAATAGAATCTGGGCTGTACCACAGCGGTTGCATAGTTTGTACTCTGCACAGTGTTGCCTAGAGGTACAAGTGGGGGTTGAAATTAAGCTTATACTCTGCTTGCTAAGCAGGATACCCGAGGGAGGGCAACTTTTTCTAATTTATCTGCCCAGAGAGTGTGCCTTTTTCTAATTTGTCCACAGAGGCAGTAGATACTAGTTTTCTCTCAGGTTAATAACCAATGACTCCAAACACCTTTATATCCAATAAGACTGTAAAATTGTTAAAAATTATAATGCTAGTTTAAAAAAAAAACATTTTTCAATGTTTATAGAATTAAAGCATAATTGCCATTCAACAGGCCCAGCAAATGATCAAAGACTAGCAGGCTCTCACCTGTAAATTACCTGCTAAAAGCGACCATTAGACATGGAAAATGGATTCATATGAAAAAGTAAATTAAAAATAAAATTGATAAGAGGCAGTTGCTTTTATGGTATTTCTACAAAGGAAAAAACCCATAAAAGCATCTCTCCTGCACCTGTATAACAAACACTTTAATAGAAATAATATAAAAGTATAGCCAGAACCCTGAAACCCAAGCACCACGGTAGCATTTTAAATATACTTTGGAAAATTACTGCTATAACTTATACTATTAAAATATTAAAAGTGATAACAATGAAATTTACAGTACGCTTTCAATATAATAAGCCTGCAAATATAGAGTAAGTATAATTCCTATAAAATCTACCCTTTAAAACATATGTTGAAATCAGATGTAATTGTATTAATGAGGCACGTCCCATGAGCAAAATAATTTTGTTCCCTGAATACATTAATATGCCCTTTTTTTTCCTGTATTTATTTCTCTTTATTCTTTAAGGGTGAGATAGAACTGGAGTCCTTAAATGGAAATTTATCATGCAACTCAGCTGTATTCACATTTCTAGTGAGGAAGCTTATTTAACAATTTCTTAGAAGATGTCTCTTGGGTTTAGCTGTAGGCAGGAAATGATGTATAATTAGTGCTTTTATGTGGAATTAACAAACAATCTTGTTAGTTCATTACTTTTTAATATTTGCGTCAGTCTTCTAAAGCAGATTAAGAGCAACTGTAATTTCCATATGCAAGATTTGGTAACTATAAAGCTCAGAAAATGTTCACTTAAATCAAAACCATGCTACAGTACTGTGTCTTCAATTTATTTTCTCCTCACATTCCCTTTGAGTCTACCCACACCCTCGACAACATAGATTTTGGCAAATTTTATTTTAAATGAACGAAACTGGCAATTTGATTTGGCCTACCCTGCTCACTAATAAAATGGAACAAAATTTAATCAATATTTTGTCTTGTCACTGATTCTCATGGAAAATAAATATTCATGATTTCTTATTTTTTCTAACATAATGAAAGAATGTTATAAATAAGACCTTTTAAAGTTAAAATTGGTTAGTTCCAAAATACTGGCTTCGAGGAAGCTATGGTAAAAGATGATGATAACAACTATGGAAATAGCTAACTTAAACAACACGGATATATTGTATTTACATTTTTAAAAATATTTCCTAGACAAAACTACCCGCATGCTACTTAAGTTGCATTTTCTACACACCCTTGCTACATAGTACATGTATTTTTAAACTGTTTTGGGTCTATTAGATGAATCTTAGTATACACACAGATGCATTCAAAGAACAGAAGAAAAACACTGGCTAAGGGATTGGGGGAAAAAAAGAACAACATATAGTAAGGTAGGAAAGATAGGCTAGTTCAGACTGTTGAAAGACTTGTGGGCATACAAACGGGATTTCATTCTAAGTGCAATTCCAAAGGTATAGTTGTAGGAACAGCCTTTACTTACCTTATTATTTAGAACCAAGCCTGAGTGATGTCCCTATGTGTGAATAGTAAAGCCATGTGAATTCTCTTCTAAGTCTCCACGTACAGCCCACATTATAAACACGGTACAGTGTGGCTTTCTAGTCTTATATATTATTTGACCACTAAATGGAAACTACCCAATACATTTTATTTGAAATGTTACAACAAATATATAAATTCTAAAAATTGAATATACTAATATTGTTCATTGTACCCTTACAAATACTAAAAACAAACATTTATTTGATCATTACAATTGTTTCTCTCTGAAATAGGACACTAAAAACATAAAAAATATATATATACTGAAACTCAGAGAGACTCTCTGGATTCATAATCAAGCATCTCCAGTATCTGTATAGACTATCCACCCATCCGTCACCAGATTGTTCGGCTACCAACATAAAATCACATCTTAGGTTGAGATCATTGTAAAATGAAGCATGTAGGCCTTATTTAATTTCGAGATGCTAGAAAGCAAAATTTTCCCTTGCTCTATGTATTTTATTCTTCAAAATTATACATGCAGGTGGCCTAATATTTCTCTCATTAAATACTCTTTTGTTGATTTTAGCCCATTATTACAGTCAATGCTACTTGAAAAATGTTCACTCCAAGGAAGTAACATACTTTTATCCTTATATCAAGTTAAGGCATGAAGTTTAAATATTTTTTGAAAATCACTGATAACAGGAAATGTGGAATTGGTTTAATGCAGAGCCCTAACACATTCTCCTAGAGAAATTCTTCAATTAATCAGTATTATCAGTATCTGGCCATTTAATTGGCTATGAATGCACTCAATTGCACAATAGTTATTTTCCCATAAATGGGTCATGAAATATCTTGCTCAAATACATTTATTATTCATCCTATGAATATGGCATTTCCTCTTTAAAAAATTGTATTTAAATTTTCACTCAGAATAATGATTAATGTCTTGCAGAGGAGAAGGAAAAGCCTTCATATTTCTATAATTATCTCCTTAGGCTACGTACATGCCTGTGTATTACAGAAGAGGAAAGTGCATACATTAAAATTGCAATATTAATTGACAAGGTCTTATGTGAGCAGAAAGTAAGCATGAATATAAAATGTTAGGCACTAAGAAATAAACTAGTCCAAATAACTTGTGTTGTATTTGAGGAAAGTAATGTTTACACAGGTCAGGAACTCAGGCTTTCAGGCTTTCTAACTCACATTCCAGAGTCCTTTCACCTCAGGATGATTTCAGAGAAGAGAAAAGGTAAGATATCCTAGGGTATCAATGCAGACACTATCACCTGCCCACTGCTGAACTAGATGCTAAAGAAGATAGAACATTATAAGAAAGAATACTTGCCTCAAAAAAGTTTACAATACAGCTGTTGACAAAAAAAGACAAACTCTGTAAAACGTTTCAAGAGATTTATTCTGAGCCAAATGTGAGGACCATGACCAGTGACACATCCCCAGGAGGTCCTAAGAACATGTTCCCAAGGTGACTGGGTTACAGCTTAGTTTCATACATCTTAGGAAGACATAAAGCATCAATCAGTACATGTGAGATATACATTGGTTTGATCCCAAGAGGTGAGACAACTCAAAGCAGGGGATCAAAGGTCATAGGTGGATTCAAAGATTCCCTGATTGGCAATTGGTTGAAAGAGATAAATTATTATCTAAAGATCTGCAATCAATAGAAAGAAGAGTCTGGGTTAAGATACCATATGGGTTGTACAGACCAAGGTTCTTATTATGTAGATGAAGTGTCATACGCGGCCACCCTTAGAGACAATAGATGGCAAATGTTTCCCATTGAGACCTTTAAAAAGTGTGACTCTCAGCTAGTCTCTTCAGGCTCAGAAAGACCTGGAAATGGAAGAAGATTCTCTATATAATGTAAATTCTTCCCCCAAAAGAAACACCTCTGCCGGGTTATTTCAAAGTATGTCAAAAATATATTTTATGGTAAAATACTTCAATTTCCCTCACGGCCTGCTATATGTCATGTGATGCTATACTAGAGTCAAATTGGTATTTGGTATCTTATTGCTACAAAGAGTCTATTCTATCAGTCTTAAGATCTCTGTTTTAATGTTAATGCTGGTCAGTTGTGCCTGAATTCTAAAGGGAGGAGAATATAATGAGGCATGTTCAACCTCCACTTCCCATCATGGCCTGAACTAGTTTTTCAGGTTTTATTGGAATCCCTGGGTGAGACGAAGGATTAATACAGTCAGTTGGAGGGCTTAGAATTTTATTTCTGGTTTACACCATGCTATTGCAACACAATAGAAAACAGTGACAATGCTGTGTCTATAATAGTACTAACACTGATGTCATTATTTTTTTCAAAGTACATTTTTCTGTTGAGAAAAGTGCAGGTTTTAAAGTCATACACCACAATCTGCATAGCAATAAGTCAACTTATATTTAAGTGTACTCAACTACATATTGTCTTAACAAACTGGATTCACAAGGCTATGCCCTTCAGAATTTAGAGTAGAATATTCTAATCATACAGAGTAAGAGAGAGTGAAAGAGTACCAGGGTATAGATGAAGTACACACTCTTTGACCTCGGGGTCTTTTACATGTCTTTATTTTCTTCTATAGCTTTTATTAGACAATTTAAAGTATAATGCAAAAATTGTTCCCTCTCCTCTGCCAGTGTGCCCTTAAATATTCATATTTCCCATTCTGTCAATAAAGGTGATGGACAATGTGACCACCTGCTCAAGAGATGTAATGAAAAGTTGAAATGATATCTTTATACCTTAACTTACAGACATCTTTAATAACAAATGGACCAAATATTTCTCCAAATTAACTTTCTCTAGGGAAACAGAAATCTTCACAAACTAAATATTCCTTCAATGAATGATCCTGTCCACTGAACCAATCCATCTTATGGTATTTTCTTTCCTCTGCCTTTTTTTTATCACTTCCTGCAATTTAAACATTTCTAACCTTTCTCTGAGCAGCACATACATTATTTATGTTCACGTAGGACAGCTGCTTTCCTAAATATACATAAGTTCTGTTGTAATTTCTGAGAAGTGCTACTATCCTCCACATTTTCTGAAGAGATGTATCAGAGCATGTGACCATTGCTACTCAGGGATTGTGAGTTTCCAATATTTTGCCAGTAGCTGATACACTTATCCCAGAATTTCTGAGAATCTTGTATACTGGAAAGTTTGGAAACTTCAAGCACCTGAGTCTTGAAATTATTAGAATTCAGGTTTCACTATCTTCAATAACTATCAAGCAAAGATCCACTAGTATAAGAAACAGAGGATTTATGAGCGAGAAATCAACAATGCAAAGGAGACTATTTGCTTTCCTTTTCCTGGATGAGACTTTAGAATTGAGAAATCATTACAACTAGAATTATTAATGCTACCTTCAGAAACACATTATTATTGGGAGACACTTCCTACTAATATTAGAACCAACCATATGAAATTGTTGATTCAGTCATTTTGACAGATAAAAATGGCAATTTCACATGGCTGAACACAATAAGTTTTTAAAAAGTGTCACGTTTTACTTTTTAAATTGAGATACGATTCATATACCATAAAAATGCCCCCTTGTAACTCATATTACTCAGTAATTTTTAATACATTCACAAGATTGCGTGGTCATCACTACCGTCTAATTTTATAACATTTTAATTGTCCCCAAATGCAACCCATACCCATTAGTACCCCACACCTTCATTGATTTTTGCATTTGTTTATGAAAAGTTCTTGAGTGCAATACAGGTGAGGTAGCAGAAATACTTAGAATATAAGGAAGTATATAGTAAATTATGTAAGATGATCAGACAGTTATGAGAGTTAAATGTATGCCAAACCAATTTTAATGTACTTACCAATTCTAGTATAGGTAGTCAGAAAAGAATTTGTGGAAATGACTTATGTTTAAATAGGACATTGAAATATCAGTAGAATTTCACCAGATGGAGATAAGGATTTGCTAAAGTAAAGAATACATGGAATTTACCATCAGACAGTTCAGAGTTTATGCTTGATCATTTGCTAGTTGTGCGACTTTACATAATGTTCTTAATCTCAATTGTTTATATTTTTACTGAAAGAAAAAGCATGATCAAAACTGGTATATATCAAAATAGTATGAAAACACCACCATCTAGCCCTCTGAGTCATGGATTCCTCTCTCTATCCTTGTACATTACAGTCTGGCAAATTTTAATAACCAGATTGGGGTTTGAGGATTGGTAGAGGGAGTAACCTTGATATGTAGCATTTGGCAATTCTTGTGTTACAAATCATAGTCCCATTATAGCCTACTTTAAACAACTGTTTAACAACTGGCTTATATATTTTTTGTAATTTAAAAAGTCAGTTCTTATGAGCCAAGCCAATGTGAACTGCTCCAATACACTACTTGCAGTGCAAAAGAGACTAGTACCTTCATTGTGGACTAATTGAAAAATTGAGCCAGGTATGGTGGCTCATGCCTGTAATCTCAACATTTTGGAAGGCCAAGGCAGGAGGATTGCTGGAGCCCAGGAGTTCAAGACCAGCCTGGATAACAAAGAAAGACCCTGTCTCTACAAAAAATAAAGTTAAAAAAAACTTAGCTGGGCATGGTAGCATGTACCTGTAGTCCCAGCTAATTGGGAAGCTGAGGTGGGAAGATCGCTTGAGCATGGGAGGTTGAGGCTGCCATGAGCCATGATCATGCCAAGGCACTCCAGCTTGGGCAACAAAGTGAGACCCTGTCTCAAAAAAATTATTTTTTTAACTGGTCTTTTAAATGTTTTATATTACGATAAAATTCTCAGTGAATTATTGTATCTGTATTTAAAACTGACTTAGTGATATTTTAGAAATATTATGTTACTAGATGAGTTGGGAACACATTATTATTTGTCTTATTACAAATAATGAAATACAGCATTCAACTTTTAAAAAATTTACTCTCCACTGTACTTGCAGAAGAGTTCAGTTTCAGCTAATTAAGAATACCTACAGTGTAAAAATAAGCTTGAATCTGAGTCACAGAGTGTCATCCCTGCGTGGGTCACAAGATCATCTAATATAGTGGTTTCAAACTATGATGAGTCTTATACAATATACAATGTAAATACACTTCTTACTGTGGGTCTCAGTCAAAAACAATTTGAAGAATCACTGATCTAAATCAAATAAGGGGATGGACACTTGGAGAGAAGAAGTGATTAGCCAAAGCTTTCACAGCAGTTAGGGGCAGAGCTGGCGTTAAAACCCTCAGTAATTTTTTGTTCACACCTCTTTCCCATACACTATTATTTAACATCTCATGTATCATATCAGTTTGTGAAATATGTGAAAAAAAAGCACAAATGTGAGCTACTCAGTTAAAATAACATTTCAGTGAAATATTTATTTTTACATTATTTTCTTCTCTTTTTTTCCCTGCTCTCTATTATTAGATTTCACTTTAGTGTATTTCAATTCATGTTCGTACGGTTTCCATGATGAAAATCATCACTGATCTATGTTGAGATAAGGTTATTTTTGGGATAGAAAGCATTTTCAATCAATATTGAGCCATTCATTTGGTTCCTATTGAATGTACTCCTTTCTGTTTTCAGTAATTTTTTGCTCTAGAAGCTGGGAGACTGGACTGCTTTCATGACTGTGGTTCTGAGGACTTGAGTACAGCTAGTTCCATGACTGGAATACTAACGGAAATACTCTTAAGCCTAGGCTACATGCCAGTTTTTTGTTTTTTTTTTAAAGGGCCAGCTGCACCATTTTTTATCTATTTCACACTGGATAACATTGTGTCATATTAAAACAAATCACACATTAAAATGTAAATAAAATAATTTCACTATAATCTCTATGCTTTTTTGCTCTGCGAAAATCTCAATAGTAGGGATTTCCTCCGCTTTTGATTTTGTCTTCCCCTTTTATACATTTTTGTCTATCTCATTTTCTCTTTGTTTTTGAAGTACACACACAGAAACACACGTTTTTGTATATGCAATTCGTACTGAATAATTTATTGTGAGTTTTTAATATGCAGCTTATCCATCCTTTGTCTTTCTCCCTCAAAGTATATGAAGGTTTAGGCTGTCAGATACTGATTTTATTCTAGTTTTGTATATATCTAAAATACTACAGGAGAATAAGACCATTTTGACAACTTTGTCTATCAGGGTTACAACAACTTACAAAGACAGAATTTTTTAAAAGGCATTAAAACTAGGAACAGAGAGGGCAGAGGAAGATAGTGGGATAGAAGGCTCCACCAAGCATCACCCTCACCCCACAGGAACACAGAAAAACACCTTCACAAAAGCCAAATACTAAGTGAGCACTCACAGTACCTGGTTTTAACTTCATATTGCTGAAAGAGGCACTGAAGTTAATAGGAAAGAGTTTTGAATCATCAATGCGACCTCTCCTCCCTCCCCTGGCAGCAGGCATGTGGCACCAAGAGAGAGTCTGTATTTGGGGAAAGGAAAGCACAGTGATTGGGGTACTTTGCATTGAACTCAGTACTTCTGTGTCACAGTGAAGGCAAAACACTGCTCAACTCAGCTGGTGCCTGCCCACAGAGAGAGCATTTGTACCAGCCCTAGCCACAGAGGAATTGCCCATGCCAGTGGCTTGAACTTGAGTTTCTCAAAGACTCACCACCATGGGCTAAAGTGCTCTAAGATCCTAGGTAAACTTGAAGGGCAGTCTAAGCCACAAAGACTGCAATTCATAGGCAAGTCCTGATTCTGTGCTAGACTTAGACCTAGTGGACTGAGGCAGCATGTGACCTAGTGAGGCACCAACTGGGGACCTTGGGGAATGCTTGTGTGAACCGTCCCCCAATCCCAGGCAGTGCAACTCACAGCAACTAAAGTGACTTGCCTTCTGCTCAGGGAGAGAAAAGAGAAGGGTAAAGAGGACTTTGTCTTGCAATTTGAATACCAGCTCAGCCACAATAGGATAGAGCACCAGGCAGAGTTGTGAGGCACCCATCCGAGGTCCCGGCTCCTGTATGATATTTCTAGACATACCCTGGGCCAGAAGGGAATCTGATGCCTTGAAAGGAAGGACCCCCGTCCTGGCACAATACATCACCTGCTGACTAAAAATCCCTTGGGACCTGAATAACAAGCAGTAATACCCAGATAGCGTGCCATGGGCCTTGGGTGAGACCCCGAGACATGCTGGCTTCAGATACCAGTTTAGCCACAGAAGGGTAGAGTACCATGCAAGCTCCACTCCTCGGGTTTCTAAGTCCAGGCCTAGACTCTTGAACGGCATTTTTGGACCTGACCTGGGTCAGAGGGGAGCCAACTTCCCTGAAAGGTGAGTTCCAACCCTGGCAGCATTCACAACAAGCTGGCAGAATAGCCCTTAGGCCTTAAGTGAACATAGGTTGTGGCCTGGCTTGTTTGTTAGTTTGCTTGTTTATGCAACGTTTTAAGTTGTTATCAGTTTAAAATAGAGAATTATAAGATAATATTTGCAAAACTCATGGTAATCTCAAATAAATAAAACATAAAAAAGACATGCACAAAAAAGCAATAAATTAAATTCTATCACCAGAGAAAGTCACCTTCACTAAAAGGAAGAGAAGAAAAAATAAAGAGAAGGTAACAAAACAACAACAAAATAACAAAATGACAGGAGTAAATCTTTACTTATCAATAGTAACATTGAATGAAAATAGACTAAACCATACAATGAAAAGACATAGAGTGGCTGAATGGACCCCCCCCAAAAAACAAAAAACACTCAATTATCCGGTGCCTTCAAGAAATGCATTTCACTTATAAACATACACAGAGACTAAAAATAAAAGGATAGAAGAACATATTGCATACAAATGAAAAACAAAAAAGATCAGGAGTACTTTTACTTATATTAACCAAAATAGATTTCAAGATAAAATGACAAGGATGTAAGAAAATATGAAGATGGTCATCATATAATGAAAAAAGGGTAAATTTAGCAAGAGGGTATGATAACTGTAAATACACATAACCCTAACATTAGAGCACTTATAATATATAAACCAATTATTATTAGAGAAAAGTGAAAGATAGATGTTAATAGAATAATAGAGACTTCAAAAACTCACTTTCAGCATTGGGCAGATCTTCCAGACAGAAGAGCAACAAACATTAGACATAATCTGTACTATAGAATAGGTGGAACTAATAGATATTTACAGAAAATTTCATCCAACAGTAGCAGAATACAAATTATTTTCCCAAACACATGGATCATTCTCAAGGACAAGCCATATGTTAGGTCACAAAACAAGTCCAAAACATTTAAAACATTGAAATAATATCAAGCATCTTCTCTGATGGCAATGTGATAAAACTAGAAATCAATAAAAGGAAGAACTTAGGAAACTATACAAACACATAGATATTTGTAAATATGCTCCTGAATTACCAGTGGGTCAGTGAAGAAGTTAAGAAGGAAATTGAAAAATTTATTTAAGCAAATAGTAATGAAAACAGAACATATCAAAACCTATGGGATACAGCAAAGACAGTACTAAAAGGGAAATTTATAGCTATAAGTGCCTACATCAAACACTAGAAAAATTCTAATAAATAACCTGACAATGGATCTTCAAGAACTAGATAAGCAGAAGCAAACCAAACCAAAAACTAGTAGAAGAAAAGAAATAATAAAGATCAGAGCACAAAGAAAGAAAATTGAAATGAAGAAAACAATACAAACAATCAACCAAAGAAAAAGTTGTTTTTTGAAAAGACAAACAAGATTGACAAATCTTTAGCCAGACTAAGAATAAAAGAGAGACTTTGGGAGGCCAAGGTGGGTGGATCACGAGGTCAGGAGTTCGAGACCAGCCTGGCCAAGATGGTGAAACCTCGTCTCCACTAAAAATACAAAAATTAGCTGGGCGCGGTGGCAGGCGCCTGTAATCCCAGCTACTTGGGAGGCTGAGGTAGGAGAATCGCTTGAACCCATGAGGTGGAGGTTGCAGTGAGCTGAGATTACGCCACTGCACACTAGCCAGGATGACAGAGCAAGATGCTTGTCTCAAAATAAATAAATAAATAAAGAGAGAAGAACCAAATAAATAAAATCAGAGATGAAGAAGGAGACATTGTAATTGATACCACAGAAAGTCAAAGGATCATTAGTGGCTACTATGAATAACTATATGCTAATAAATTGGAAAAGCTACAGGAAATCAATAAATTCCTAGGAACAGACAACCTACCAATATTGAATCATGATGAAATAAAAAACTTGAATATACCAATAACAAGTAACAAGATTGAAGCTGTAATAAAAAGCTCCCCAGCAAAGGAAAGCTCAAATCCTGATGGCTTCACTGCTGAATTATAACAAACATTTAAAGAAGGACTAATACAAATTATATACAATCTATTCTGAAAGCTACAGCAGGAAGGAATACTGCCAAATACATTATGTGAGGCCAGTATTAACTTGATAACAAAACCAAAGACCCATCAAAAAAAGAAAACTACAGGGCAATACATTAGAAAGACCATTTATCATGACTAAGTTGTATTTATCCCAGAGATGCAAGGATGGTTAGATATATGCAAATCAATCAATGTGATATATCATATCAACAGAATGGTGGGCAAAAACCATATGATCATTTCAATTGATGCTGATAAAGCAATTGAAAAAATTCAGTGGCCCTTTGTGATTAAAAAAAAACCTTCAAAAAATGGGTATAGAGGGAACATGACTCAACATAATAAAAGTCATAGGCAACAGACCCACAGTTAGTATCCCATTGAATAAGGAATAACTGAAAGCCCTTCCTCAAAGATCTGGAACAAGACAAGGATGCACACTTTCACCACTGTTATTCAACATAGTACTGGAAGTCCTAGCTAGAGCAATCAGATGAGAGAAAGCAATAAAGTACACCCAAATTAAAAAGGAAGAAACCAACTTGTCCTTGTTTGCGGATAATATGATCTTACATTTGGAAAAAAACTAAAGACTACACAAGAAAAATGTGAGAACTGATAAACAGATTAATTCATATTGCAGGATACAAAGTCAACATACAAAAATCAGTAGCATGTCTATATGCCAACAGTGAACAATGTGAAAAAGAGATAAAAAGTAATCCCATTTACAATAGCCACACAGAAAATTAACTAACTAGGAAATAACTACAGAAGTAAAAGATCACTATGATAAAATCCATAAAGCACTAATGAAAGAAATTGAAGAGGACACCAAAAAATAAAAAAAATCATTTTTATGAATTGGAAAGATCAATGTTGTTCAACATACATACTATCCAAAGCAGTCTACAGATTCAATAAAATCCCTATCAAAATACAAATTACATTCTTCATAAAAACAGAGAAAGCAATTCTAAAATTTATATGGAGACACAAAAGACCTAGAATAACCAAAGCAATCCTAAGCAAAAAGAACAAAATGGGAGGAATTATATTACCTGACTTCAAATTGTACTACAGAGCCATAGTCACCACAAGAGCATGGTGCTGGCATAAAACAGACACATAGGTAAATGGAACAAAATATATAACCCAGAAAGAAATCCACTTCCCTAAAGTGAACTCATTTTTGATAAAGGTGCCAAGGACGCACACTGGGGGGAAGGGCAATCTCTTCAATAAATGGTGCTGGGAAAACTGGATATTCATATGCAGAAGGATGAACTTTGCCATATGGAAAAACTAAACTAAAATGGATTAAAGGCTTAAATATAGGCCCTCAAACCATGAAATTACTACAAGAAAACATTAAGAAAAATCTTCAGGACATTGGTCTGGGCAAAAACTTATTGAGCAATACCCCACAAGTGCAGACAATGAAAACAAAAATGAAGAAATGGGATTGCATCAAGTTAAAGAGTTTCTGAACAGAAAAGGATACAATCAAAATAAAGGATAACCTACAGAATGGGAGAAAATGTTTGCAAACTACCCATCTGACAAAGGATTAATAACCAGAATATATAAGGAGCACAAACAACCCTATAGGAAAAAATCTAATAATCTGATCTAAAGATGGCCCAAAGATTTGAATAGTCATTTCTAAAAAGAAGACATACAAAAAACAAACAGACATAAGAAAAGGTGATCAACATCAATGATCATCAGAGAAATACAAATGAAAACTAAAATGTGACATCATCTCATCCCAGTTAAAGTGGCTTATACCCAAGAGACAAGTAATAACAAATGCTGGTGAGGAAGTGGAGAAAAGGAAACCCTTGTACATTGTTGGTGGGAATGTAAATTACTGCCATCATTATGGAGAAGAGTTTGGAGGTTTATCAAAAAACTTAAAATAGAGGTACCATATTATCCAGCAATCTCACTGCTATGTATATCCCCCAAAGAAAAAGAAAAAACAGTATATCAAAGGGATATCTGCACTTCTATGTTTCTGGAAGCACCATTTACAATAGCTAAGGTTTGGAGGCAGCCTAAATGTCCATCAACAGCTGAATGCATAAAGAATATGTGGTACATACATCCAATGGAGTATTATTATCAGCCATACCTAATAATGAGATCCAGTCATTTGCAACAACATGAATGGAACTGGAGATTATTATATTAAGTGATGTAAGCCACAAACAAAAAGTAAAGCATTGCATGTTCTCACTTATTTGTAGGATCTAAAAATCAAAACAATTGAACTGATGGATATGGAGAGTAGAAGGGTGGTTATCAGAAGTTGGGAAGGGCAGCAGCGGCTGGGTGGGAGGTGGGGATAGTTAACGTGTATGAAATAGAAAGAATGAATAAGACCTACTATTTGAAAGCACAAAAAGATAACTATAGTCAATAATTGTACATTTTAAAATAATAGAGTGTAATTGGATTGTTTTCAATTCAATAGTTAAGTGCTTGAGGGGATGAATACCCTATTCTTCATGATGTGATTATTTCACAGTACATGCCTGCATCAAAACTTTGCAGGTACTCTGTAAATATTTAAACCTACTATGTACCTACAAAAATTAAAAATAAAAAAACTGACACTTTGATTTCGGCCTTTGTGAGAACCTGAGAAAAGGGAGCCATCTAAGCCATGCCCCAAATTCTGAACTCCAGAACTATGTGATAATAAGGAAATGCGTTTTAAGCCACTATGTTTGTCATAATTTCTTATGTAGAAATAAAATGCTAATACAACAAGATCAGGTATTTTGAAGTCTCAGTTTTCTCTCAAGTCTCTTGAGGCCACTTACAATGCAGTTCAACTTACCTGAATCTGTATATATATATATATACACATATATATACACACACACATGCACACACTAGCCTCAGTGTGTATGTTGATATAATTTACATAGACTGCTTTAAAATGAAAACTGCTTCCTGCCTATATTCAAAGTTTTTGTTGTTTTTAAAGATGAGGCCGGTCTATCCTGGCTAATACCAGATGTGATAAGATAATTGTGAAATTTTCTCTGTTCATTGGGTAACTAGGAAAAATATACACATATAAAAATATTTAAAGAGAATGTACAAAAAATATTAGTAGTAACTGCATTTGGATAATGGGATAGTGTCTGACTGCTTTCTTCTTTCTGTTTATGCTAATATTTTAATAATAAGTGATTCTTTTATGATAAAAAGCATTATTTAAACTACAAAGACAACTAAAAAGAGTCTTAATCATTGACTTTCATAAACATCATTACTTCTTAATGTTGTTTAGATGCAACATGTCCATTATTGGATGGTTATATTATTCTTATGTTACATGACAGAATATTTAGGTGAAATTGAGGCTTCAAATCCCAATATAGTGTTTTTAAATTCGCAATCTTAGATTGTTTTTTGGAACATATTTTTTCCTATGCCTAAATTTTTCATACTTCCTCAACTTTATCATCGAATATTAAAAGATATTTTTTCATGAAAGTAGACATACAAATGTCCACCAGAAATATAAAAAATAACATCACTAACCGTTAGGAAAATGCAAATTAAAACCACAATGAGATATTACCTCACACATGTCAGAATGGCTACGAAAAAGATGAATGATAAGTGTTGGTGAGTATGTAGAGAAGAGGGAACACTTAAACACTGCTAGCTAATGGGAATGTAAATTAATACAGCCATTATAGAAAAGCATACAGAGCTTCCCCAAAAGCCTAAAAATAGAGTTATACAATCTCACAATCCCAATTCCAGGCATACATTGAAATCTTTTGAAATCAGTTTGCCAAAGAGATATC
This sequence comes from Homo sapiens, assembly GCF_000001405.40. Classification (NCBI taxonomy): domain Eukaryota; kingdom Metazoa; phylum Chordata; class Mammalia; order Primates; family Hominidae; genus Homo; species Homo sapiens. Next base: position 126,843,939 of record NC_000023.11, read on the forward strand.
TACATTTTCATATTCATTGCAGCATTATTCACAATAGCTAAGTTATAGAATCAACCTAATTGTCCATTGATAAATGAATGGATAAAAACGATGTGATATGGAGTACACAATGGAGTACTACTCAGCCTGAAAAAAGAAGAAAATTCTGTCATTTGAAAAAGCATGGATGACCCTAGAGGACATTACGCTAAGTGAAATAAGCCGGGCACAGAAAGACAAATACCACATTTTCTCACTTATATGTGGAATCTAATACAATTAAACTCATAGAAGCAGAGAGTAGGACTGTTACCAGAGGCTAGGGCATTAGTGAAATGAGGAGATATTAGTTAGACAGTAAAAAGTTTCAGTTAGACAGAGGAAATAAATGATGAGCATTTGAGGTGACAAATATGTTAATTAGCTTTATTCCATCATTCCACATTATATACATATATCGTAACCTCATTTTACCCCATAAATACATACAATTATAATTTGTCAATTCATTATATTATAAAAATATTCAAAAATTTTTCTAAATATTCTTTAGGAAATTGATTTATACCAAAAATATATTTTAAATAAACTGCCATGACCCTTAATTGTATTTTAAGTCTAGATGAGGGTAAAAGAGGAAAGTTATGACTACAAATTTCAATAAAAAGCTAGTTGTTGCGTGTGATAAGTTGCACTGGTCATGCAATATACATCTACATAAAAGTAATCCTAAAAATTAGTACATTTAATTTAGTGGGGAGGAGCAATATATGATATGATGGAATATCACTGGGTCATTATGCTAAATTTAAATTGTCTTATTCTAAAACTATTGATAAGGCTATAGAAGGGGAAAAAAGATAGACTGAATTCTTTTTGATTCCACACCATTCTTCTGGAAGCATTTTGTGGATAAACCCCTATAATTAGCATATTTTAAAATGTGTCCGTTTCTGCAAAAATTGAAGAATCACTAGGGGGATGTTTTATTGAGGGATCTGGTTATGTGGGTTTCCAATTATTTTAGCTGTTTCTGCATTGGAATATTTATTTTTTAGGTTTGTGATTCCAAACACAAATTTTTATTTATTTCGTTAAGATGGTATTTCAGCTGGAACAGGAATGTTCTGAATACAGAGGGCATCCTTTTCAATTTTCATTGCAACAACTGTGTATCTACTCATTCATTTTCTACATATTTTGTACTTTACCCAGCAAATTATATTTTGCGTCCTATAATGACCAGTGATACTTTTAAAATATGTATAATTTTCAGGTTTGCTATCAGTATATTATATTGTATTTTATAGTTCAAAATGTCTGTATACAGAAGAGTTTCACATGGAGTCACATTTTAAAAAGCTCTATGATGAGAAAAATGTTGAAAGTAGATGAATCTCATACTTGAGACAGAATAATTCATGAACAGATAGTTTTTAAAAACCTAAACATATTTTGAGAAATTCTATGTGTGGGTATTAGTAGATATTATCAGAGATTTTCTCAAATCAACTAGCAGACATAATCACTACTTCTCTAGGTATTAGCCTTTATAGAAAGACTAGAGGGTACAACATCAAATACGCAACAGAAACTTTATGTTAAGTAATTTTACATTTTTGCTACTACATGTAACTTATCACATGTGGCAATTTTTTGTTCCTTAACTAGATGGTCTGTTATGTAAGTAGCTGTGAATGAGGAAACTTCATATGCATGAATCATGTCGAGCTTATACATCATAGTATAGTACTAAGTACAGTTTTTTTGTACATAATAAAGAGATAAATATGTTTTTATTGATTGAAAAAACCACTTATTGGTTCTATCTGATCCTTCTGATTATATGTAAAGTATAAAAAAGTGTGTGTTATTTTTGACACCTGCTTACAGTACTAAAGGTACTGAAGCAGACTGTAATATCAATAGTGAGATCTATGGACAATGTAATGTTAAAATAGGTACTCATTCTATACAATAAGATTTTACTTAATGGTTTTATTTCTTTTTATAATGTGCTTTGATTAATGTTAACTGGCGACTTACTAGCTATAGATTGGGATTTGTCAAATTTAGGTTATTTTTCGTAAATAAATCTTCTTTATGTCAATGGTTAACAGAACTGGATTAAACAAAAATAGGAATAAAGAAAAATTAAAATAAGCATAATGATTATGACTATGATATGTGCTGCTAGAAAACACAAATAGTTGTAACAGCCATAGACAATCCTAATTTTTGTATGCATGGCAGAAATGCTGAATAGAGAGCTTATTTACTCAGCAAGGTTTTGGACTATAAAAATAATAGTTATAAGTAGCCCTACTAACATATATTAGCATAGCATTTGTACTAAAAATAGCCAGAGAAAATGGTTATGTTTGAAAATCTATTGTGAAATCAATAAAACTACTGGCTTTTTTTCTGGAGTTAGAGGGGGTGGAAAGCAAGAAGGGGAGCTTGCCTGATCTGCCGATACTGAAACTCAATCTACCTTATCTCTTGTAACAATAATTTATTTGATTTGGGGCTAGAGAATATCACTTAATGAGATGAGAACACAGAATAGAGTAAATTTAATTGCTGTGTATGCCACAACTGTGCTGTGTAAATAAGGAAATAAAATTCAACATCATAAAAAAAGCCACTCCAATCCCTTCAGATTAAGTAATAAATTTAAAAAGTACTTAAGTAATGCCCAAATTTCATGTTATCCTCACAGTGCCAAGCCAGACATTGCCATGTTAGCCAAATTTGTGTATAATAGAAGAAGTCTTAACACTGTCATTATGAAAGGATAGATTACATTTTTACTATCACCTCTAATTAGTTTTGTAGTTGTTCAGAGCCAATTTAATCTCTTTGATCCTCCTTAGGCAACAGGTAAACAGACTGATTTGAAAGTGGATTAGAATTAGAATCCTTTTCTCTCTTGATTTAGCAAAGTATTTTACTAAATTACATTTAGAATTATCCCCCCAAGGTAGATGGATTTCTGTGTGTAAATTAATAGCAGGAATCAAACTGAAAATTTTAGCCAAACTTAAGTACGATGAATTGAAAGAGGGAAAATATTACAAGTATTACTTTAAAAATACATTCATTTATTCATTCATTCATCAAGTATTTACAAAGTACTACTATAAGCTAGATGTTAGACATAATGGTAAACACTTCTGATAAAGTTGCTGCCTCCACAGAGATTGCATATTTAATATAAGTAAATATATATTTAACCAATAATATAACTTCAGGTAGTGTCAAGTGTAATGAACAGTCTTATTCTGTTTTGTGTTTCTATAAAAGAATATATGAGACTAGGTACTTTATAGAGAAAATAAGGCTTATTTAGATTATGTTTCTTCAGGCTGAGAAGGTCAAGGGCATGACTTGACTCTGGTTTCTGGTGAGGGCTCTCATGTATGTCACAACATAGTAGAAAAAGTCAAAGGGGAAGTGAGCACTTGTGAAGAGAGGAAAATCTAAGAGGCTTTGTAATTCCAGGCTTTGTAATAACCCACTCAATCAAGAATAAATGACGAGTTAATGGGTGCAACACACCAACATGGTACATGTATACATATGTAACTAACCTGCACGTTATGCACATGTACCCTAAAACGTAAAGTATAATTAAAAAAAAAGAAAATACTTTGACAGTTTCCATTTTTATGAAATTGATGGGGGCTGAAGGTACACACATATGCAAATGATTTAATAAAGTTTGTGGAGAAGTCTATAAAAAAAAAGAACTAATTCATTCCCATGAAGACTAGTTCAGACTTGCAAGAGAAAGAATTATTACTGGGATAACAACATCAACCATTCATGGGGGGTCTGCCGCCATAACCCAAACACCTCCCCTTAGGTTCCACCTTCCAACAGTCCCATGCTGGGGATCAAATTCCAACATGAGCTTTGATGGAGACAAGCCATACCCAAATCATAGCATTATGTCCTTTGCCCCCCAAATCTCATGTCCTTCTTACATTCAACATACAACCATTCCATCCTAATAGTCACAAAAGTATTAAATTGTTCTAGCATCAACTTAAAATTCCAAAGCCTCATCTGAGAGTCAAGGCAAGTTTCTTCCAGCTATGAGGCTGTAAAATCGAAACAAGTTACTCACTTTTAAGATATAATGGTTGTACAGGGATTGGGTATACATTTCTATTCCAAAAGGGAGAAATTGGCCAAAACAAAAGGGTAACAGGACCTATATATTTCCAAGACCCAACAAGGCAGACATTAAAGCTTAAAGCTCCAAAGTGAGAGGCTGAGCAATATGGCAACATAAAAGGCTACACTGATGGTTCCCCCGCTACAAGAACACACCAGTTTAACAACTATCTACATGGATAAAAACACCTTTATAAGAAGCAAAAATTAGGTGAGCCATCATAGCACCTGGCTTAATCTTCATATGATTGAAAGGGGCGTGGAAGAGATAGAAAAAAAAAAAAAAGGCCTGAATTGCTGATGCCACTCCTCCCCCAGTACAGGCAACAGCTGAATGGTACACAGGGCTTCTCTGGGTGCTGGGAGAGGAAAAACACAGCAATTGTGAGGCACTGAACTCAGCGCTGTCCTGTTAGAGCAGAAAGGGAAACCCAGCCAAACTCAGCTGATGTCCATCCACTAAGGGAGCATTTAAACCAATGCTAGCCAGCATAGAATCGCTGACCCCAGTGGTCAGAACTTATGTTCCTGCAAAACTTGCCACCCTGGGCTATGGTGCTTCTTGTCTCTAAATGAACTTGAAAGGTAGTCTAGGCCATAAGGACTTCAACACTTAGGTGAGTCCTAGTGCTGAACTAGGCCCAGAGACAATAGACAGGGACAGCATGTGACACATTGAGACACCAGTCAGGGCAGCGAAGGGAGTGCTGGCATCACTCCTCTCCTAACCCTACGCTGCACAGCTCATGGCTTGAAAAGAAACCCATCCCTTTAGGTTGCAAAGAGGAGAGAAAAGAGTGAGAAGGGCGTTTTTAAAATTATTTAAATTTTTGGTTCTGTTTATATGCTGGATTACGTTTATTGATTTGCATATGTTGAACCAGCCTTGCATCCCAGGGATGAAGCCCACTTGATCATGGCGGATAAGCTTTTTGATGTGCTGCTGGATTCCATTTGCCGGTATTTTACTGAGGATTTTTGCATCGATATTCATCAGGGATATTGATCTAAAATTCTCTTTTTTTATTGTGTCTCTGCCAGGCTTTGGTATGAGGATGATGCTGGCCTCAAAAAATGAGTTAGGGAGGATTCCCTCTTTTTCTATTGATTGGAATAGTTTCAGAAGGAATGGTACCAGCTCCTCCTTGTACCTCTGGTAGAACTCGGCTGTGAATCTGTCTGGTCCTGGACTTTTTTTGGTTGGTATTATCTCAATAGATGCAGAAAAGGCCTTCGACAAAATTCAACAGTCGTTCATGCTAAAAACTCTCAATAAATTAGGTACTGATGGGATGTATCTAAAAATAATAAGAGCTATTTATGACAAACCCACAGCCAAAATCATACTGAATGGACAAAAATTGGAAGCATTCCCTTTGAAAACTGGCACAAGACAGGGATGCCCTCTCTCACCACTCCTATTCAACATAGTGTTGGAAGTTCTGGCCAGGGCAATCAGGCAGGACAAAGGAGTAAAGGGTATTCAGTTAGGAAAAGAGGAAGTCAAATTGTCCCTGTTTGCAGATGACATGATTGTATATTTAGAAAACCCCATTGTCTCAGCCCAAAATCTCCTTAAGCTGATAAGCAACTTCAGCAAAGTCTCAGGATACAAAATCAATGTGCAAAAATCTCAAGCATTCTTATACACCAATAACAGATAAACAGAGACCCAAATCATGAGTGAACTCCCATTCACAATTGCTTCAAAGAGAATAAAATACCTAGGAATCCAACTTACAAGGGATGTGAAGGACCTCTTCAAGGAGAGCTACAAACCACTACTCAAGGAAATAAAAGAGGACACAAACAAATGGAAGAACATTCCATGCTCATGGATAGGAAGAATAAATATCGTGAAAATGGCCATACTACCCAAGGTAATTTATAGATTCAATGCCATCCCCATCAAGCTACCAATGACTTTCTTCACAGAATTGGAAAAAACTACTTTAAAGTTCATATGGAACCAAAAAAGAGCCTGCATTGCTAAGTGAATCCTAAGGCAAAAGAACAAAGCTGGAGGCATCATGCTACCTGACTTCAAACTATACTACAAGGCTACAGTAACCAAAACAGCATGGTACTGGTACCAAAACAGAGATATGGACCAATGGAACAGAACAGAGCCCTCAGAAACAATACCACACATCTACAACCATCTGATCTTTGACAAACCTGATGAAAATAAGAAATGGGGAAAGGATTCCCTATTTAACAAATGGTGCTGGGAAAACTGGCTAGCCATATGTAGAAAGCTGAAACTGGATCCCTTCCTTACACTTTATACAAAAATAAATTCAAGATAGATTAAAGACTTAAATGTTAGACCTAAAACCATAAAAACCCTAGAAGAAAACCTAGGCAATACCATTCAGGACATAGGCATGGGCAAGGACTTCACGTCTAAAACACCAAAAGCAATGGCAACAAAAGCCAAAATTGACAAATGGGATCTAATTAAACTAAAGAGCTTCTGCACAATAAAAGAAACTACCATCAGAGTGAGCAGGCAACCTACAGAATGGGAGAAAATTTTCGCAACCTACTCATCTGACAAAGGGCTAATATCCAGAATCTACAAAGAACTCAAACAAAGTTACAAGAAAAAAACAAACAACCCCATCAAAAAGTGGGTGAAGGATATGAACAGACACTTCTCAAGACATTTATTCAGCCAACAAACACATGAAAAAATGCTCATCATCACTGGCCATCAAAGAAATGCAAATCAAAACCACAATGAGATACCAGCTCACAGCAGTTAGAATGGCGATCATTAAAAAGTCAGGAAACAACAAGTGCTGGAGAGGATGTGGAGAAATAGGAACACTTTTACACTGTTGGTGGGACTGTAAACTAGTTCAACCATTGTGGAAGACAGTGTGGTGATTCCTCAGGGATCTAGAACTAGAAATACCATTTGACCCAGCCATCCCATTACTGGGTATATACCCAGAGGAATATAAATTACACTGCTATAAAGACACATGCGCATGTGTGTTTATTGCGGCACTACTCACAATAGTGAAGACTTGGAACCAACCCAAATGTCCAACAATGATAGACTGGATTAAGAAAATGTGGCACATATACACCATGGAATACTATGCAGCCATAAAAAAGGATGAGTTCATGTCTTTTGTAGGGACATGGATGAAGCTGGAAACCATAATTCTCAGCAAACTATTGCAAGGACAAAAAACCAAACACCGCATGTTCTCACTCATAGGTGGGAATTGAACAATGAGACCCCTTGAACATGGGGCGGGGAACATCACACACTGGGGCCTATTGTGAGATGGGGGGAGGGGGGAGGGATAGCATTAGGAGATATACCTAATGTAAATGACGAGTTATTGGGTGCAGCACACCAACATGGCACATGTATACATAAGTAACAAACCTGCACGTTGTGGACATGTACCCTAGAACTTAAAGTATAATTAAAAAAGTATATATATAAAGAAAAGAAATAAAAACAAAAAACAAAACAAAAATAAATTATTTAAATTTTTGTGTACATAGTAGGTGTAAATATGTATGGGAAACATGACACGTTTTTATGCAGGCATGAAATGTGAAGTAAGTAAATCATGGGTAATGGGGTATTCATCCCCTCAAGCATTTATCCTTTGAGTTACAAACATTCCAATTATGCTCTTTAAGTTATTTTAAAATGTGCAATTAAGTTATTATTAACTATAAGCACCCTATTATGGTATCAAATAGTAGGTCTATAAAATAATAGGTATTATTCAGGCTAACTAATTTTTGTACCCGTTAACCATGCCCACCTCCCCCTAGAGACCCCAACGACCCTTCTCAGCCTCCAACAGTTTTTAATAATGATTGTACTAATTTACATTCCCACCAACAGTGTACAATGGTTCCCTTTTATCCACATCCTCTCCAGCATTTGTTATTGGCTGTCTTTTAAATATAAGCCATTTTAACTGGGGTAAGATGATATCTCATTGTAGTTTTGATTTGCAATTCTTTGATAATCAATAATGTTGAGCACATTTTCATATGCCTGTGTGCTGTCTTCTTTTGAGCAATGTCTATTCAAATCGTTGACCATTTTTTGACTGAATTATTAGATACTTTTCTATGGAGTTGTTTGAGCTCCTTATATATTCTGGTTATTAATTGCTTGTCAAAGGTATAGTTTGCAAATATTTTATCTCATGTTGTGGGTTGTCTCTTCACTTTATTGATCATAGCATTTGCTGTACAGAAGCTTTCTAAATTGATGTGATTGATTTGTCCATTTTTGTTTTGGTTGCCTGCCCTTGTGGGGTACTGCTTAAGATATCATTGCCCAGGCCAATTTCCTGGATATTTTCCCTAATGTTTTCTTGTAGTAGATTCATAGTTTGAGGTCTTAGATTGAAGTCTTTAATCCATTTTGATTTAATTTTATATATAGTGATAGATAGGGGCCTAGTTTCATTCTTCTGTATATGGATATTTAGTTTTTCCAGCACCATTTATTGAAGAGACACTATTTTCCTCAGTGTGTGTTCTTGGCACCTTTGTGGAAAGTGAGTTCACTGCAAGTGTGTGGATTTGTTTCTGGGTACTCTCTTCTGTTCCATTGGTTTATGTGTCTGTTTTCATGCCAGTACCATGCTGTTGTGGTAACTATACCTCTTAGTATAATTTCAAGTCAGGTAATGTGATTCATCCAGTTTTGTTCATTTTGCTTAGGATAACTTTGACTATTCTGGGTCTTTTTTTGGTTTCATATTAATTTGTTTTTTCTATTTCTGTGAATAATGTCATTGATATTTTGATAAGCAGTACATTGAGTCTCTAGATTGCTTTGGGTAGTACGGACATATTAACAATATAACTTCTTCCAATGCATGGAAATATTATTTTTCCTTTCTATTTTTTGGGAGACAGGGTCTCACTTTGTTACCTAGGCTGGAGTGCAGGGGTGGGAACATGGCTCACTGTGAGTGCAGTGGTGGGAACATGGCTCACTGCAGCCTTGACCTTCCAGGCTCAAGTGATCCTCCCACTTCAGTCCCCCATGTAGCTGGGACCACAGATGTGTGCCACCAGGCCTGGCTAATTTTTGTATTTTTCGTAGAGACGAGGTTTCACCATGTTGCCCAGGCTGTTCTTGAACTCCTGGGCTCAAGCAATCTGCCCACCTCAGCCTCCCAGAGTGCTGGAATTACAGGCCTGAGCCACCGCAACCGGGCTCCTCTTCAATTTCTTTCATTGGTGTTTTACAGTTTTCATTATAGAGATCTTTCACTTCTTAGGTTAATTTCTAGGTATTTAATTTTTAATTTTATGTGTGGCCATTGTAAATGGGATAACTTTTTTTTTCCACACTGTTAACTCTAAGCATATAGAAATGCTAGTGATTTTTGTATGTTGATTTTGTATCCTGCAACTTTACTGAATTTATCAGTTCTAATAATTTTCCTGTGGAGTCTTTAAGCTTTTTCCAAATATGAGATCATATCATCTGCAAACAAGGATAGTTTGACTGCTTCATTTTCAATTAGGATGTCTTTATATCTTTCTTTTCTCTGATTGCTCTAGCTAGAATTTCAGTACTATGTTGAATAACAGTGGTAACCGTGGGCATATTTGTCATGTTCCAGATCTTAGAGAAAAAGCATGCAGTTTTTCCCCAATCAGCTGTTATTTTGTTGAGGATTGTTGCATCAATAAGAGATATTGGCCTGCAGTTTTTTATTTACTTTTTTTTTGGTGTGTTTTTGTCTAGTTTTGGTATCAGCATAATACTGACCTTTCAGAATCAGTTTGGAAGCACTCTCTTCTCCTCTATTTTGCTGAGTAGTTTGAGTAGGATTAATATTAATTCTTCAAGTGTTTGGTAAAATTCAGCAGTGAAGCCATTAAGTGTTAGTCTTTTCTTTATGGGAGACTTTTTATTACGGCTTCAGTCTCGTTACTTGTTATTGGTCTGTCCAGGATTTGGATTTCTTCCTGGTTCAACCTTGCTAGGTGATCTATGTCTCGAAATCTGTCTATTTCTTCTAGGTTTTCCAAGTGATTGAAATGGCTGCTCATATTAGCCACTAATGATCTTTTGAATTTCCGCAGTATTAGGTGTAATGTCTCCTTTTTCACTTTTCATTTTGTTTACTTGGATCTTCTCTCTTTTTTCTTACTTACTCTGGCTGAAGTTTAGTCAATTTTACTTAACTTGTCAAAAAAAATTTGTTTCGTTGACCTTTTGTATTTTTTTTCATTTCAATTTCACTTATTTCTGCGCTGATCTTTATTACTTCTTTTCTTCAACTATTTTTTGGGTTTGATCTTGCTTTTCTAGTTCTTTAGATTGCATCATTAAATTGTTCATTTGACATTTTTCCTCCTTTTTGATGTAGGCACTTATAGCTACAAACTTCTTAATACTGCTTTTTGCTGTATCCCATAGGTTTTGATATGTTGTGTTTTTTATTATCATTGGTTTCAAGACACTTTTCAATTTTCTTCTAATTTCTTCATTGACCCGCTAGTCATTCAGGAGCATGTGTTTAATTTCTATGCATTTGTATAGTTTCCAAAATTCCTCTTGTTATTAATTTCTAGTTTTATTGCATTGTGGTCAGAGAAGATGCCTGATATTATTTCATTTTTTTGAATTGTTTTAAGACTTGTTTTTTGACCTAACAGATGTTTTATTATTGAGGATGATTGATATGTTGAGAAAAAATGTGTCATGTATTCTATAGCTGTTGGATGAAATATTCTATAATTATCTATTAGATTCTCTTTGTCTAGAATGCAGATTAGGTCTGATGTTTCTTTGTTGATTTTCTGCCAGGAAGAGTTATCCAATGCTGAAGGTGGGGTGTTGAAGCCTCCAGTTATTATTGTACTGGGGCCTCTCTCTCTTTACCTCTAATAATATTTCCTTTATATGTCTGGGTACTCCAATGTTGGGTGCATATATATTTAAAATTGTTGTATCCTCTTGCTGAATTGACCCCTTTATTATTCATATCTGGGTCAGACCTGAAGCCAGCACAGCACTGGGTCTTCACCAAAGCCTGCTGTAACCACTGCCTAGCTACCGCCTATGTTCAAGACCCTGGTTTTCTATGATCAGCCATTGGCTAAGTTAGCATGTCCTGTGTCCTTCCCTTCAGGGCGGTAAGGTTTCCCAGGCCCTGCGTGGGTTCAAAAGTACAATCCTGAAGTCAGGGACTAGAGTCAAAAACCTTAGAGGTCTACCTGGTGTTCCATTGTATTGGCTCAGCTGGCACTCAAACCACAAGACCCATTCCTTAAAGAGTGTGGAACTTTTTCCTTTTATTTTGTATACTAGCTCCATCACAGAAGAATAGGGCATGAGTCAGAGTCTTGAGGCCTTGTTCCAGGCCCTACCACCCAGATGACATTTTTAGACATACCCTGGGTCAAAAGGGAACTCATTGTTTTGAAGGAAAGGACCCAGTTTTTCAACATTTATTATTTGCTAACTGAAGAATCTTTGGGTGCTGAATAACCAGCAGTGATACACAGGTACTACATAGAGAACTTTGGGTCAGCCTTTGAGACTCTGTGGCTTCAGATGAGAATCAACATTATAAGCTGTGGTGGCTATGGGGAAAAAAATCTTTCTGCTTTGGAAAACCAGAGGGAAGAGCAAAGGGGACTTTGTCTTGCACCTTAGGTCCAGCAAGGCCACAGGGGAGTAGAGCACCATGCAGGCTCTTGAGGTCCCCGAATCCATGACTCGACTTTTGAATGGCATTACTGGACTTGTCTGGGTCAGAGGGGATCCCACTTCCCTGAAGGGTTAGTCCCAGGCCAGGCAACATTCACTGAAAGATGACTGAAAAGACCTTGGGTCATAAGGAAACATCAGAGCTAGGTTGGTAGCACTCCTCATGGCTTGGGTTGGTGGTGGCTATGGGGTGAGAATCCTCTGCTTTTAGAAAGAAGAAGAAAGAGTGAGAAGGACTGCATCTTGTGGTTTCAGTTCCAGTTCAGCCACAGTACAATAGAACACCAGGTAGACTTTTAAGTTTTTTGACTCTAGCCTCTGTCACCTAGAGAGCACCTCTGCACCCACACAGGGTCTGGGGAACCTTGCCACCCTGAAGGGAAGAACACAGGCCTGGATGGCTTTGAAACTGGCTGATTCTAGAGCCCTAGGGGCTTATGCAATAACAGGGAGTGGTTAGAGAAGGCATTGGGTACGCTTGAGGTATTGTGCTGGCTTGAGGTCTGACATAGCAGAGTCATAGTGCTGGTAGCCACGGTGATGCTTACGTCGCTCCACTCCAAGCTTTATGTGATTAGTACAGAGTGAGAAACTCTGCATGTTTAGAAGAATGTAACGGAAGAGAACAAGAGTCTCTGCCTGGTAAACCAGAAAATTCTTCTGGATCTTGTCTGAGACCATCAATGTGGTACATCTAAGAATCTACAGAACCACAGTATTACTGGGCTTGGGGTACCCCCTAAGGTAGATACAACTTAGACCACAACACCCAAATCTTTTCAATTATCTGGAAAGTCTTCCCAAGGACAGTTATGAATAAGCCCAGAGAGTGAAGACTACAATAAATACCTAATTCTTCAATGCCCAGACACTAAGAATATCTACTAACATCAACACTATCCAAGTAAACATTACCTCACCAAATGAACTAAATAAGGTGCCAGGGACCAATCTTGGAGAAGCAGAGATATGTGACATTTCAGACAGAGAGTTCAAAATAGCTGTGTTGAGGAAACAAAGACATTCAGATAACACAGAGAAGAAATTCAGAATTCTATTTGATAAATTTAATGAGAAGATTAAAATAATTATAAAGAATCAAGCAGAAATTTTGGAGCTGAAAGATGCAAATTTCATATAGAAGAATGCATCAGAGTCCTTTAATAGCAGAACTGATCAATCAGAATACATAGTGTACTTGAAGACAGGCTATTTGAAAATACACAGTCAGAGGACACAAAAGAAAAAAGGATAAAAAACATTAAACCATGCCTACAGGTACTAGAAAATAACTTCAAAAGGGCAAAAATAGGAGTTATTTGCCTTAAAGAGGAAGTAGAGAAAAAGATGGAGTAGAAATTTTATTCAGAAAAATAATAACAAAGGAATTTCCAAACCTAGAGAAAGATACCAATATCCAAGTACAAGAAAGATATAGAACACCAAGCAGATTTAACCCAAAGAAGACTACCTCGAAGTCTTTAATAATCTAACTCCCTGAAGTCAAGGATAAAGAAAGGATCCTAAAAGTAGCAATATAGAAAAAAAAAAAACAAATAACATACAATGGAGCTCCAATACACCAATACACTTGGCAGCAGACTTTTCAGTGGAAACCTTATAGGACAAAAGAGAGTGCCATGACATTTTTAAAGTGCTGAAGAAAAAAAAAACTTTTACACTAGAATAATAAAAGCAGGGGGACAAATTTAAGATGTTATCTTGTTGTTTGTTGGTATATACTATTAAGTTGTTAACAGGTTAAAATAATGAGTTGCGAAATGGTATTTGCAAGCCTCCTGGTAACCTCAGTCCAAAAAACATGAAATGGATACACAGACAATAAAAAGCAAAAAACTAAATTACATTGCCAGAGAAAATCAACTTCACTAGAGAAAGATAGAGAGGAAAAAAAAAAAGGAAAGACAATAAAACAACAAGAAAGCAAATAACAAAATGACAGGAGTAAGTCCTTGCTTTTCGATAATAACGTTGAATGTAAATGGATTAACCCTCCAATCAAAAAACATAGAGTGGCTAAGTGGATGAAAAAAGAAGATTGATTGATTTGTTGCCCACAAGAAACACACTCCACCTATAAAGATACATATATGGACTGAAAATAAAGAAATAGAAAAATACACTCCTTGCCAATGGAAAACAAAAATGAGCAGCAATCACTATACATACATCAGAGAAAATAATTTTCAAAACCAAAACTATAAAGAGATAAATAAGGTCACTATAAAATGTCGAAGGGGTCAATTCAGCAAGATAATATAACAATTTTAAATATATATGCAAACAACACTGAAGAACTCAGATATATAAAACAAATATAAAAGCTAAAGAGACAGGTTGCAAATACAAAAATATCTGGAGACTTCAACACCTTACTTTTAGCATTGGATGGATCTTCCAGACAGAAAATCAACACAGAAATATCAGACTTAATCTGTATTATAGACAAAGTGGATCTAATAGATATTCACAGAATATTTCACCCAATGACTGCAGAGTACATTCTTTTTCTCAGCATATGAATTATTCTCAGAAATAGACCATGTTAGCTCACAAACCAAGTCTTAATCCATTAGAAAGTACTGAAATAATGCCAAGCAGCCTGTCTGACCACAATAGAATAAAACTAGAAATTAATAACAAGAGGAATTTTGAAACTATACAAATACATATAAATTAAACAACATGCTCCTGAATGACTAGTGGGTCAAGGAAGAAATGAAAACAAAAATTGAAAAATTTATTGAAACAAATGGTGATATAAACACAACATAACTAAACCTATGGGATACAGGAAAAGCAGTATTAAGCAGCAAGTTTATAGCTAAAAATGCCTACATCAGAAAGAGGAATAATATCAATCAAACAATCTAATTATGAAACTTAAGAAACTAGAAAAGCAACAGCAAACCAAACTCAAAACAATTAATAGTAGAAGAAAAGAAATAATAAAGACTAGAGCAGAAATAAATAAAATAGAAATGAAAGAAAACAATACAAAAGATTGATAACAGAAAAAGTTGATTTTCTGAAAACTTAAACAAAACTAGTAAACCTTTAACCAGAAAAAAAAAAACTAAGAAAGAAGAAACATAAATGGAATCAAAATTGAAAAAGAAGACATTAAAACTGATACTGCAGAAATTCAAAGGATCATTAGTGGCTACTATGAGCAACTATATGCCAATAAAATAGAAAATCTAGAAGAAATTAACAAATTCCCAGAAACTAAACAACCTTCCAAGACTGAGCCAGAAAGAAATAAAAAACCTGAACAGACCAATCACAATCAATGGGTTCAAAGTCATAAAAAACAGCCTTCCAGTAAAGTAAGGCCTGAGACCTGATGGCTTTAGTGCTGAAATCTGCCAAACATTTAAGGAAGAATTAATACCTTCCTGCTCAAATTATTCTGAAAAAGAGAGGAGGAAGGAATACTTCCAAACTTGTTCTACAAGGCCAGTATTATCCTGATATGAAAACCAAACAAAGACAGATTAAAAAAAAAAGACAAACTGCAGGCCAATATCTCTGATGAATATTGGTAAAAAACATCCTCAGCAAAAACAAAAAATAAAATACAACAATACATTAGAAAGATCATTCATCACGACCAAGTGAAGTTTATCCTTGGACTACAAGAGTGGTTCAACATATGCAAATCAATTAATGTGCTACATTATATCAACAGAATGAAGGATAAAAAGCATATGATAATTTTAATTAATGCTTAAAAATCATTTGCTAAAATGTAACATTTCTCCATAAAAAAAATCCTCTCAAAAAACTGGGAATAGAAGAAACATACTTCAACATAATAAAAGTCATATACAACAAACCTACAGCTAGTATCATAATGAATGGGGGAAAACTGAAAGACTTTTCTCTGTGATCTGGAACATGACAAGAATGCCCAATGTCACCACTGCTATTCAACATAGTATGGTAAGTCCCAGGTAGAGAAATCAGACAAGAGAAAGAAATAAAGAGTAAGCAAATTGGAAGGAAAGAAATCAGATTATCATTTTTTGCAGATGATAGAATCTTATATTTGGGAAAACCTAGAGACACCAGAAAAGAACTATGAGAACTGATACACAAACTCAGTAAAGTTGCAGGATACAAAAATTAACAAATAAAAATCACTAACATTTCTATATGTGTACAGTGAACAATGTGAAAAATAAAAAAGTAATCCCATTTATCATAGCCAAAAATAAATACATAAGTATTACCTTAACCAAAGAAATGGAAGATCTCTCTAATAAAAACTATAAAACATTGATGAAGGAAATTGAAATGGATATCAAACAAATTTTAAAAATCATGTTCATGTAGTGGAAGAATCAATATTGTAAAAGGCCCATACTAGTCAAAGCAATCTACAGATTCAATGCAATCCCTATCAACATACTAATTATATTATTCACAAAACTAGAAAAAAACTATCCTAAAATTTGTATGGAATCACAAAAGACCCAGAATAGCCAGAGCTACCTTTAGTAAAAAGAACGAAACTTTAGGATTCACATTACCTAACTTTAAATCATACTTCAGAGCTTTAGTAACCAAAACAGCATGGTACTGGCATAAAAAAAGATTCATAGACCAATGGAACAGAGTAGAGAACCCAGTAACAATTCCACGTACTTATAGCAAACTCATTTTCGACAAAGATGCCAAAAATTTACATTAGGAAAAAGACAGTCTCTTCAATAAATGGTCCTGGGAAAACTGAACATCCATATGCAGAAGTATTAAACTAGACACCTGTCTTTTGCCATATCAAAAAAATGGATTAAGACTTAAATCTAAGACCTCAAACTATGAATCTTCTATAAGAAAACATTGGGGGAAATTTCCAGGACATTGAACTGTGCAAAAATCTCTTGAGAACTACCCAGGAAGCACAGGCAACCAAAGCAAAATTAGAAAAATGAGATCACGTTGAGTTAGAAAGCTTCTGCACAGCAAAGGGTACAATCAACAAAGCAAAGAGACAACCCACAGAATGGGAAAAAATATTTTCAAACTATCCACCTGGCAAGGCATTAATAACTGGAATGTAGAATAAGCTAAAAAAATTCAATAGGAAATAATCAAATAATATGATCAAAAATTGGCACAAAATTTGAATACACATTTCTCAAAAAAAGATACACAAATGGCAGTCAGGCATATAAAAAGGTGCTCAACATTATGGATCACCAGAGTAATGGAAATGAAAATAACAATGAAGTCGCATCTCACCAAAAGACAGGCAATAACAATTGCTGACAAGGATGTGGAGAAAAGGGAACGCTTGTACACTGTTTTTGGGAATGTAAATTAGTACATCCAGTATGAACAACAATTTGGAAGTTCCTGAAAACACTAAAAATTGAGCTGCCATATCATCCAGTAATCCCACTGCTGGGCATATACCCCAAAGGAAATCAGTATATCAAAGAGATTCCTGCACTCCTAAGTTTGTTACAGCACTGTTTACAATATCTAAGATTTAGAAGCAACCAAAGTGTTCATCAACAGATGAACGTGTGTAGTTAGATAGACTTGAGCAGGGCAGGAGAGGGCTCACCCCCCACCCTCTAGGAATGTCAGGTGATGGTTCAGCAATTATCACACTTCCTCTCTAAAAATGATAATTCAGCAGCTGGTCCCAGGGTGCCAGAGAGAGACAATCTCCTGATGATTCACAGCTATTAACATCAAGGTGTTAATTGAATGCAGATTCCAGGGAGAAGCAACTTCCTGAGCATGCACACTAAGAGACAAAATGGTGAAGTATGACCTTCCAGGAACTCACCTTCAGAAAAATTAAAAAAGTCTCACATGGGCATGCATACAACTTCCTAAACACACTGCACTCAGTACCCAAGGGTAAGGAGGGCACTGTGCATTCAGGAAGCCCACCCTAAGGGAAGAACCATGGGAAAGAGGAGAGCCTATAAAGCCCTAGGATCAAGGTTAAATGCTCCTTTTGACCTTCAGGCATCTTCTTGGGTCCCTTCCAAGTGAACTTTCCTTTCTTTCCTGTTCTAAAGCCTTTTGAAATAAACATCTACTTCTGCTCTGAAACTTGCCTCAGTCCTTTTTCTACTTTATGCCCCTCAGTCAATTTTTTTTTTCTGAGGAGGCAAGAATTGAAATTACTGCAGAACTGAACATATATGGCACTGGTAACTCAGGGAAACTTGGGTACCTGCCACTGGTAACGAATTGATAAAGAAATTGTGGGCCAGGCACAGTGGCTCATGCCTGTAATCCCAGCACTTTGTGAGGCTGAGGTGGGTGGATCACGAGGTCAGGATTTGAAGACCAGCCTGACCAATATGGTGAAACGCCATCTCTACCAAAAATACAAAAATTAGCCAGGCGTGGTGGTGCGCACCTGTAGTCCCAGCTACTCAGGAGGCTGAGGCAGGAGAATCACTTGAACCCGAGAGGTAGAAGTTGCAGTGAGCTGAGATTACACCAATGCACTCCAGCCCAGGCGACAGAGCAAGACTCTGTCTCAAAAAAAAAAAAAAAAAAAAAGAAAGAAAAAAAGAAATTGTGGTACATACACAATGGAGTACTAGTCAGCCATAAAAAAGAATGAGATTCTGTCATTTGCAACAACATGAATGGAATTGGAGATCATTATGTTAAGTGAAATAAGCCAGGCACAGAAAAACAAACATTACATGTTCTCACTTATTTGTGGGATCTAAAAATCTAAATAATTGAACTCATGGACATAGAGAGTAGAAGGATAGTTACAAGTGACTGGGAAGTATAATGAGGGGTTGGAGGGGTGGTTGAGATGGTTAATGGTACTATAAAAATAGAATAAATAAGACCTATTTGATAGCAAAACAGGGTAACTATAGTCAATAATAAATTAATTGTACATTTGAAAATAACTTAACATGATAATTGGATTTCTTGTTCTGAAATGCCTTTGTAAGTGTAGGGTCTCATGTACCACATAAATATATGCATCTACTATGGACCCACAAAATTTTTTTTAAAAAATCTCTAAGCTAACCTTTTACTCAGTGTGTCACCTTCTGAGCACACTGGCACACTGGATTAAAGATTGGGTTCCAAAGGCCATGGGAAGCCCAACTTCCATAGTTTTGTTTAGTCTAGCCCATGTGGCTGTGCTCGTGGGTTGTAGCACAATGCTTTTGTTTTTTTCAAAGCTAAGATGCACACTGTCAGGCCTCTGAGCCCAAGCTAAGCCATCATATCCCCTGTGACCTGCACGTACACATGCAGATGGCCGGTTCCTGCCTTAACTGATGACATTCCACCACAAAAGAAATGAAAATGGTCTGTTCCTGCCTTAACTGATGACATTCCACCACAAAAGAAATGAAAATGGTCTGTTCCTGCCTTAACTGATGACATTATCTTGTGAAATTCCTTCTCTTGGCTCATCCTGGCTCAAAAGCTCCACTACTGAGCATCTTGTGACCCCCACTCCTGCCCACCAGAAAACAACCACCCTTTGACTGTAATTTTCCTTTACCTACCCAAATCTTATAAAACGGCCCCACGCCTATCTCCCTTCGCTGACTTTCTTTTCAGACTCAGCCCACCTGCACCCAGGTGAAATAAACAGCCTTACTGCTCACACAAAGCCTGTTTGGTGGTCTCTTCACACGGATGCGCATGAAATTTGGTGCCGTGACTTGGATCAGGGGACCTCCCTTGGGAGATCAATCCCCTGTCCTCCTGCTCTTTGCTCCAGGAAAAAGATCCACCTACAACCTGGGGACCTCAGACCCACCAGCCCAAGGAACATCTCACCAATTTTAAATCAGGTAAGTGGCCTCTTCTTACCCTCTTCTCCAACCTCTCTCACTATCCCTCAACCACTTTCTCCTTTCAATCTTGGTGCCACCCTTCAATCTCTCCCTTCTTTTAATTTCAATTCCTTTCATTTTCTGGTAGAGACAAAGGAGACACGTTTTATCTGTGGACCCAAAACTCCGGCACCGGTCACGGACTTGGGAAGACAGCCTTCCCTTGGTGTTTAATCATTGCAGGGACGCCTCTCTGATTATTCACCCACGTTTCAGAGGTGTCTGACCACACAGGGATGCCTGCCTTGGTCCTTCACCCTTAGCTGCAAGTCCCACTTTTCTGGGGGAGGGGCAAGAACCGTAACCCCTTCTCTCCCTGTCTCTACCCCTTCTCTGCTTTTCTGGGAGGCAAGAACCCCCCAATCCCTTATTTCTGTGCCCCGACCTCTTATCTCTGCACCCCGATCCCTTATTTCTGTGCCCCGATCTCTTATCTCTGTGCCCCGATCCCTTATTTCCACGCCCTGACCTCTTATCTCTGTGCCCTGATCCCTTATTTCCATGCCCCGACCTCTTATCTCTGCACTTCAACCCCTTATTTCCATGCCCCAACCCCTTTCCCACTTTTATGGAAGGTAAGAACCCCCGAACCCCTTCTCTCCGTGTCTCTACTCTCTCTTTTCTCTGGGCTTGCCTCCTTCACTATGGGCAACCTTCCACCCTCCATTCCCCCTTCTTCTCCCTTAGCCTGTGTTCTTAAAAACCTAAAAACCTCTTCAACTCACACCTGACCTAAAACCTAAATGCCTTATTTTCTTCTACAATGTTGCTTGACCCCAATACAAACTCGACAGTGGTTCCAAATAGCCAGAAAACAGCACTTTCATTTTTTCCATCCTACAAGATCTAAATAATTCTTGTCGTAAAATGGGCAAATGGTCTGAGGTGCCTGATGTCCAGGCATTCTTTTACACATCAGCCCCTCCCTAGTCTCTATTCCCAATGCAACTCATCCCAAATCTTCCTTCTTTCCCTCCCGCCTGTCCCCTCAGTCCCAAGCCCAAGCATTGCTGAGTCTTTCTAATCTTCCTTTTCTACAGACCCATCTGACCTCTCCCCTCCTCGCCAGGCTGAGTTAGGTTCCAATTCTTCCTCAGCCTCTGCTCCTCCACCCTATAATCCTTTTATCACCTCCCCTCCTCACACCCGGTCTGGCTTACAGTTTCATTCTGTGAGTAGCCCTCTCCCACCTGCCCAGCAATTTCCTCTTAAAAAGGTGGTTGCAGCTAAAGGCACAGTCAAGGTTAATGCTCCTTTTTCTTTGTCCCAAATCGGAGAGTGTTTAGGCTCTTTTTAATCAAATATAAAAACCCAGCCCAGTTCATGGCTCGTTTGGCAGCAACCCTGAGACTCTTTACAGCTCTGGACCCTAAAAGGTCAAAAGGCCGTCTTATTCTCAATATACATTTTATTACCCAATCCGCTCCTGACATTAAATAAAACTCCAAAAATTAAATTCCGGCCCTCAAACCCCACCACAGGACTTAATTAACCTCGCCTTCAAGGTGTACAATAATAGAGTAGAGGCAGCCAAGTAGCAACATATTTCTGAGTTGCAATTCCTTGCCTCCACTGTGAGACAAACCCCAGCCACATCTCCAGCACACAAGAACTCCAAACGCCTAAACCACAGTGGCCAGGCATTCCTCCAGGCCTGCCTCCCCAGGAGCTTGCTACAAGTGCCAGCAATCTGGCCACTGGGCCAAGGAATTCCCACAGCCCAGGATGCCTCCTAAGCCATGTCCCATCTGTGCAGGACCCCACTGAAAATCGGACTGCTCAACTCACCTGGCAGCCACTTCCAGAGCCCCTGGAACTCTGGCCCAAGGGTGTCTGACTCCTTCCCAGATCCTCTTGGCTTAGCAGCTGAAGACTGACACTGCCCAATTGCCTCGGAAGCCTACAAGACCATCACAGATGCTCTGGGTAACTCCCACAGTGGAGGGTAAGTCCGTCCCCTTCTTAATCAATAGGGAGGTTACCCACTCCACATTACCTTCTTTCCAAGGGCCTGTTTCCCTTGCCTCCATAACTGTTGTAGGTATTGACAGCCAGGTTCTAAAGCCCTTAAAACTCCGCAACTCTGGTGCCAACTTAGACAATACTCCTTTAAGCACTCCTTTTACTTATCCCCCCGTGCCCAGTTCCCTTATTAGGCCGAGATATTTTAACTAAATTATCTGCTTCCCTGACTATTCCTGGGCTACAGCCACGCCTCATTGCCGCCTTTTCCCCCAGTTCAAAGCCTCCTTCACATCCTCCCCTTGTATCTCCCCACCTTAGCCCACAAGCATAGAATACCTCTACTCCCTCCTTGGTGACTGATCATGCACCCCTTACCATCTCATTAAAACCTAATCATCCTTACCCTGCTCAATGCCAATATCCCATCCCGCAGCTTGCTTTAAAAGGATTAAAGCCTGTTATCACTCACCTGCTACAGCATGGCCTTTTAAAGCCTATAAACTCTCCTTACAATTCCCCCATTTTACCTTTCCTAAAGCCAGACAAGCCTTACAGGTTAGTTCAGCATCTGTGCCTTATCAACCAAATTGTTTTGCCTATCCACCCCGTGATGCCAAACCCATATACTCTCCTATCCTCAATACCTTCCTTCACAACCCATTATTCTGTTCTGGATCTCAAACATGCCTTCTTTACTATTCCTTTGCACCCTTCATCCCAGCCTCTCTTTGCTGGACTTGGACTGACCCTGACACCCATTAGGCTCAGCAAATTACCTAGGCTGTACTGCCGCAAGGCTTCACAGACAGCTCCCATTACTTCAGTCAAGCCCAAATTTCTTCCTCATCTGTTACCTATCTGGGCACAATTCTCATAAAAACGCCCGTGCCCTCCCTGCTGATTGTGTCTGGCTGATCTCTCAAACCCCAACACCATCTATGTCCTAGGCATGGTTAGGTATTTTCGACTTTAGATACCTGGTTTTGACATCTTAACAAAACCATTATATAAACTCACAAAAAGAAACTTAGCTGACCCCATAGATCCTAAATCCTTTCCCCACTCCTTTTTCAGTTCCTTGAAGACAGCTTTAGAGACTGCCCCCGCCCTAGCTCTCCCTGAGTCATCCCAGCCCTTTTAATTACCCACAGCCGAAGTGCAGGGCTGTGCATTTGGAATTCTTACACAAGAACCGGGACTGCACCCTGTAGCCTTTTTATCCAAACAACTTGACCTTACTGTTTTAGCCTAGCCCTCAAGTCTGTGTGCAGCGGCTACCGCTGCCCTAATACTTTTAGAAGCCCTTAAAATCACAAACTATGCTCAACTCACTCTCTACAGGTCTCATAACTTCCAAAATCTATTTTCTTCCTCACACCTGACACATATACGCTCTGCTCCCCAGCTCCTTCAGCTGTACTCACTCTTTGATGAGTCCCACAATTACCATTGTTCCTGACCCGGACTTCAATCCGGCCTCCCACATTATTCCTGATACCACACCTGACCCCCATGACTGTATCTCTCTGATCCAACTGACATTCACCCCATTTCCCCATATTTCCTTCTTCCCTGTTCCTCACCCTGATCACGCTTGATTTATTGATGGCAGTTCTACCAGGCCTAATCGCCACACACCAGCAAAGGCAGGCTATGCTATAGTACAAGCCACTAGCCCGCCTCTTAGAACCTCTCATTTCCTTTCCATCGTAGAAATCTATCCTCAAGGAAATAACTTCTCAGTGTTCCATCTGCTATTCTACTACTCCTCAGGGATTATTCAGGCCCCCTCCCTTCCCTACACATCAAGCTCAGAGATTTACCCCCACCCAGGACTGGCAAATTGGCTTTACTCAACATGCCCCAAGTCAGAAAACTAAAATACCTCTTAGTCTCGGTAGTAACTCACTGGATAGGTAGAGGCCTTTCCCTCAGGGTCTGAGAAGGTCACCACGGTCATTTCTTCCCTTCTGTCAGACATAATTCCTCGGTTTGTCCTTCTCACCTCTATACAGTCCGATAGCAGACAGGCCTTTATTAGTCAAATCAGCCAAGCAGTTTTTCAGGCTCTTAGTATCCAGTGAAACCTTTATATCCCTTATGGTCCTCAGTCTTCAGGAAAAGTAGAACTGACTAAAGGTCTTTTAAAAACACACCTCACCAAGCTCAGCCACCAACTTAAAAGGGACTGGACAATACTTTTACCTCTTTCCCTTCTCAGAATTCAGGCCTGTCCTCGGAATGCTACAGGGTACAGCCCATTTAAGCTCCTGTATAGACGCTCCTTTTTATTAGGCCCCAGTCTCATTCCAGACACCAGACTAACTTAGACTGTGCCCCAAAAAACTTCTCATCCCTACTATCTTCTCTCTAGTCATACTCCTATTCACCGTTCTCAACTACTCACACATGCCCTGCTCTTGATTACACTGCCAGTTTACACTGCTTTTCCAAGCCATCACAGCTGATATCTCCTGGTGCTATCGCCAAACTGCCACTCTTAACTCTTAAAGTAAATAAATAATCTTTGCTGGCAGAGCTATGCTGAATCTCCTTAGGCACTCTCTAATTAGATGTCCTAGGTCCTCCCAATTCTTAGACCTTTAATACCTGTTTTTCTCCTTTTCTTATTCCATTTAGTTTTTCAATTCATACAAAACCGTATCCAGGCCATCACCAATAATTCTACATGACAAATGTTTCTTCTAACAACCCCACAATATTACCCCTTACCACAAAATCTTCCTTCAGCTTAATCTTTCCCACTCTAGGTTCCCACGCTGCCCCAATCCCGCTCGAAGCAGCCCTGAGAAACATTGCCCATTATCTCTCCATACCATCCCCCAAAATTTTCGCCATCCCAACACTTTACCACTATTTCATTTTATTTTTCTTATTAATATAAGAAGACAGGAATGTCAGGCCTCTGAGCCCAAGCTAAGCCATCATATCCCCTGTGACCTGCACGTACACATGCAGATGGCCGGTTCCTGCCTTAACTGATGACATTCCACCACAAAAGAAATGAAAATGGTCTGTTCCTGCCTTAACTGATGACATTATCTTGTGAAATTCCTTCTCCTGGCTCATCCTGGCTCAAAAGCTCCACTACTGAGCACCTTGTGACCCCCATTCCTGCCCACCAGAGAACAACCCCCCTTTGACTGTAATTTTCCTTTACCTACCCAAATCTTATAAAACGGCCCCACCCCTATCTCCCTTCGCTGACTTTCTTTTCGGACTCAGCCTGCCTGCACCCAGGTGAAATAAACAGCCTTATTGCTCACACAAAGCCTGTTTGGTGGTCTCTTCACATGGACATGCATGAAACACACTCCTGGCGCCTCTATAATCCTGGGATCTCTGAGGCAGACCTACTCCTGTGGCTCCACTAGGCATTGCCTTCATGGGTACTTTGAATGGTGCCTCTATCCCTTTGGCAATTTTCTGCCTGTGTTTCTAGGCTCTTCTCTATGTCATCTGAAATCCGAGTGGAAATTGCTAAGCCTCCAAGGCTTTTGCCTTCTGCATGCCTGCAGACCTAATTCCATATGTAATCTGCCAAGGCTTACCACCTGTGCTTTCCAGAGCAGCAGCCTGAGCAGTATCTGGGGCCATTTGAGTTGTATTTGGAGGCTGAACAGCTGGGATGTAAGGAGTAACATCTCAAGGCAGCAGCTTCCCAGAGCCCATCCTCAAAACTATTCAGCTCTCTTAGGTCTCTGGGCTTGTGATGGGAGGGGCAACCTCATAGATCTCCGAAATGCCTTTGAGGTCTTTTCCCCATGGTCTTGACTATTAACATATGGCTCTGTTTTCTTTTATCTGTACTAATTACTTTTTAGCAAGCAACTGCTGTGCAGCTCCCTTGAATTCTCCTGAAAATGCTCTTTCATTCTCCAACACATGGCCAGGCTGCAAATTTTATATATTTTTACACTCTGTTTCCCTTCAAATTATAATGCTGCCCTAAATAATTTCTTTGCTGCTGTAACTGAGCATACACTGCCATTAGCAATCACTTAACTTCTTGAGTACTTTGCTGCTTAGAATCTTTTTTTTAACCAGATACCTGAGGCCATCACTCCTAAGTTCAGCCTTCCAGAAATTTTTAGGTTATGGAAACAATGCCATCAATGTCTTTGCTACGGTGTAATATAGGTGACCTCTGCTCCACTTCCCAATGAATTCCTCCTCATTTACGTATGAGACCTCATCAGAATAATCTTTACTGTCTACATTTGTATCAGCATTTTAGTCACAACCATTTAACCAGTCTCAAGAGATTCCAAACTTTCCCTTTTCTTTTTGTCTTCTTCTGACTTCTCCAAACTCTTTCAACCTCTCCCATTACCCATTTCTAAAGCCACTTCCACATTTTTAGTTATTTGTTATCAGCATAACCCCACTTCTTGATACCAATTTCTGTTTTAGTCCATTTTGTATTGCTATAAAAGGATACTGGAGACTGAGTAATTTACAAAGAAACGAAGCATATTTTGCTGATCATTCTGCAGGCTAGGAAATTGAAGGGAATGGCCTTGGCTTCTAGTGAGGGGTTGTATGTATGTCACAACATGGTGGAGAAGGTTAAAGGGGAAGCAGACACTTGTGAACAGGGAAGAAATTCTGAGGGTTTTTCTGGTTTATAAAAACCTACGCTCTTGGGAACCAATTTAGTCCTGTGATAAATAATCCAGTTGCAAAAGTAAAACTCCACTCACTATAGCGAAAATGACACCAAATCATTGAGGAGGGATTTGCCCCCACAACCCAAACATATCCTGCTAGGTCCCAACTCTGAACACTACCAAACTGGAGATCAAATTTCAGCATAAG
Source organism: Homo sapiens (assembly GCF_000001405.40). Lineage (NCBI taxonomy): Eukaryota > Metazoa > Chordata > Mammalia > Primates > Hominidae > Homo > Homo sapiens. The sequence goes on from NC_000023.11 coordinate 126,870,504, forward strand.
CTTTGGTGGGAACAAACAAACCATATCCAAACTATCACAAAAATACCTAAAACAGGATGATATAATCGTGACTGGCAGTTACTTTCTCAGATTATTGTGGCATCTAATTTACATTGAGTGGTGATGCAAGGAGATGAGGTTGTAATACTTGAGTCATTATCATCTCAATAATGAGGAGACAGTGTGAGACAAAGAGAATTCCTGACAGAGAAAACATACAATGCATTAATACTGAGGTGGCAATGATTTTGTCCTTAAATATTTGAAGAAAACACACATTATGGTTGGAATTTATGGCCCAAGAAAAAGAGTAATCTCAGATGTGTTGGAAAGGTAGGTAGGGCTTAATCTTGTAGTACCTGAAGACCATTGTAAGCAGTTCCATTTTATTCTCCATGCGATGGGAAACCAAGATGATTTGAGGCTAGTCAAGGGACCAACATGACCAGAGTATTCTTACCCTTAGTATTGTGTAGAAAATGTGAAAGGGTGAGGAGAGCCTGACCAAATGAAGATTGAAAGGTTATGAGAGCACTGTAGAAAACCCAAGAAAGGATAGCAATATCTTAAAACTAAAGTACTTGCAGTGAATGATGCTAATGTAGATTCTATCTTATGCTATAACATGTACAATGTACTGTATTATATATATATTATATATGTGTATATATATATATAATTTCAAAAATTTTCATGGAAAAGATGGTTTTTGGTTACATGAGTAAGATGGATAAATTCTTTAGTGGTGACTTCTGAGATTGTGCTGTGTGCATCACCCAAGCAGTGTACACTGTACCCAGTGTGTACACTTTTATTCCCTCACCCCACTCCTGCCCTGATCCCTGAGGCCCAAAAGTCCATTATATCATTCATATGCCTTTGCATACTTATAGCTTTAGCTCCCAGTTATAAGTGAGAAATATGATATTTGTTTTTTTATTCCTGAGTTACTTCGCTTAGAATAATGGTCTCCAATTCCATCCAGGTTGCTGTAAATAACGTTATCTCATTCTTTTTATAGCTGAATAGTATTCCATGGTGTATATATACCACATTTTCTTTATCCATTTGTTGCCTGATGGACATTTAGGCTGGCTCGATATTTTTGCAATTGCAAATTGTGCATCTATCAACATGCATGTACAAGTGTCTTTTTCATATAATGACTTCCCTTCCTTTGGGTAGATAGTCAGTAGTGGGATTGCTTTATTGAATGGTAGTTCTACTTTAGTTTTTTAGGAAGCTCCACACTGTTTTCCATAGTGGTTGTACTAGTTTACATTCCCACCAGCAGTGTAAAAGTGTTCTCTTTTTACCACATATATGCCAATATCTATTATTTTTTGATTTTTTAAATTATGGCCATTCTTGCAGGAGTAAGGTGATATCTCCTTGTAGTTTTAATTTGCATTTCCATGATGATTAGTGATGTTGAGTATGCCCACATCTATTATTTTTTGATTCTATAAATTATGGCCATTCTTGCAGGAGTAAGGTAGTATCTCCTTGTAATTTTAATTTGCATTTCCATGATGATTAGTGATGTTGAGTATTTTACTGTATGTTTGTTGACCATTTGTATATCTTCTGAGAATTGTCTATGCATGTCGTTTGCCTCCTTTTTGATGAGATTATCTGTTTCTTTCTTGCTGATTTGTTTGAGTTCCTTTTAAATTCTGGATATGAGTCCTCTGTTGAATGCACAGTTTGTGAATATTTTCTCCATTCTGTGGGATGTCTGTTTACTCTGCTGATTATTTCTTTTGCTGTGCAGAAGCTCTTGTTTTAAGTTTTGTTGTTATTGTTTAGTTTAATTAGGTCCCATCTGTTTATTTTTGTTTTCGTTGCATTTGCTTTTGGGTTTTTGGTCACAAAATATTTGCCTAAGTCAACATCTAGAAGAGTTTTTCTAATGTTATCTTCTATAATTTTTAGAATTTCAGGTCTTAGATTTAAGTATTTGATCCATCTTCAGTTGATTTTTTCATAAAGTGAGTGATGAGGATCCAGTTTCATTCTTCTACATGTGGCATGCCAATTATACCAGCAACATTTATTGAATAGGGTGTCATTTTCCCACTTTATGTTTTGTATGCTTTGTCAAAGATCAGTTGGCTATAACTATTTCATTTTATTTTTGGGTTCTCTATTCTGTTACATTGGTCTATGCACCTATTTTTATATCAGTACTATGCCGTTTTGGTAAATACAGCCTTGTAGTATAGCTTGACGTCAGGTAATGTGATGCCTCCAGATTTATTCTTCTTACTAAGTCTTGCTTTGGCTATCTGAGCTATTTTTTGGTTCCATATTGTATTAGTCCATTCTCATGCTGCTAAAAAGGACATACCCCAGACTTGGTAGTTTATAAAAGAAAGAGGTTTAATTGACTCACAGTTCAGCATGGCTGTGGAGGTCTTGGGAAACTTACATTTGGGGTGGAAGAGGAAGCAAACACTTCCTTCTTCACATGGAGGCAGGCAGAAGAAGAATGAGAACTGAGTGAAGGGAAAAGTTCCCTATTAAGTCATCAGATCTTGTGAGAACTTACTCACTATTATGAGAATAGCATGGATGAAATTGCACCCAGGATTCAATTACCTCCCTTCAGGTCCCTCCATGACATGTGGGAATTATGAGAACTACAATTAAAGATGATATTTTAGTGAGGACAGATCCAAACCATATCACATATAAGTTTTAAGATTGTTTTTTCTAGTTCTGTGAAGAAAGATGATAATACTTCGATGGGAATTGCATCAAATCTGTAGGGTCCTTTTGGCAGAATGGTCATTTTTGCAATATCGATTCTATCCAACCATGAGCATGGGATGTGTTTCCATTTGTTTTTGTCATTGATGATTTCTTTCAGCAGTGTTGTGTACTTTTACTTGTAGAGATCTTTCACCTCCTTGGTTAGGTATATTTCTAAGTATTTTATTTATTTATTCATTCATTCATTCATTCATTTATTTTGCATCTGCTGTAAAAGAGATTGAGTTCTTGATTTGATTCTCAGCTTGGTAATTGTTGGTGTTTAGCAGTGCTACTAATTTGTGTACATTGATTTTGTATCCTGAAACTACAATACATTGATTTATCAGATCTAGGAGCTTTTTGGATGAATCTTTAGGGTTTTCTAGGTATGACGTTATATCATTGGTGAACAGTGACAGTTTGAATTTCTCTTTAGAGATTTGGATGCCCTTTAACTTTCAGTACTATGTTAAACAGCAGTGGTGAAAACGGACATTCCTGTCTTTTTCCAGTTCTCAGGGGGAATGCTTTCAACTTTTGTACATTCAATATAAATGTTGGCTGTTGATTTGTCATAGATGCCTTTTATTACTTTAAAGTATGTCCCTTTTATGCCAATTTTGACAAGGTTTTTAATCATAAGGATGCTATATTTTTTCAAATGCTTTTTCTGCATCTATTGAGATGATCTTATGATTTTTGTTTTTAATATAGTTTATGTGATGTATCACATAAACTTGCGTTTATTAAACCATCTCTGCATCCCTGGTATGAAACCCACTTGATCATGACGTATTATCTTTCTGATATGGTGTTGGATTCACTTAGCTAGTATTTTCTTAAGGATTTTTGCATTTATGTTCATTAGGGGTATTGGTCTGTAGTTTTCTTTTTTTGTCATGTCCTTTTCTGGTTTTGGTATTAAGGTGATACTGGCTTCACAAAACGATTTAGGGAGGATTCCCTCTTTCTGTATTTTTTAGAATAGTTTCAGTAAGATTGGTGCCAATTCTTTGAATGTCTGATAGAATTTACCTGCAAATTCATCTGGTCCTGAAATTTTTTGGTTGGCGATTTTAAAAAATTACTGTTTCAATATCACTACTGTTATTGGTCTGTTCAGAGTTTCTATTTCTTTATGATGTAGTCTAGGAGAGTTGTATATTTCTAGGAATTTATCCATCTTCTCTACATTTTCCAGTTGGTAAAAGTAAAGGTGTTTACAGTAGCCTTGAATGATATTTTCTATTTCTGTGGCATCAGTTGTAATATCTCTCATTTCATTCTAATTGAGCTTATTTGGATCTTCTCTCTTCTTTTATTGGTTAATCAATCTAATGGTCTATCAATTTTGTTTATCTTTTCAAGGAACGAGTTTTTACTTCATTTATCTTAGGTATTTTTTGTTTATTTGTTTCAGTTTTACTTAGTTCTGCTCTGATCTTTGTTATTTCTTTTCTTCTGCAGTGTTTGACTTTGGTTTGTTATTGTTTCTCTCGTTCCTTGAGGTGTAACATTAGATTGTCTATCTGTGCTCTTTCAGACTTTTTGATGTAGGCATCTAATGTTATGAACTTTCCTCCTAGCATCGCTTTTGCTTTATCCCAGAGGTTTTGATAAGTTTTGTCACTATTACCATTCAGGTTAAGTAAATTTTTAATTTCCATCTTGATTTCATTGTTGACCCAAAGATCATTCATGGGCAAATTATTTAATGTCCATGTTTTTCTATAGTTTTGAGAGTTCCTTTTTGAGTTAACTTTCAGTTTTATTCTACTATAGTCTGAGAGGATTATTGATATAATTTCTATTTTCTTAAATTTATTCAGACTTTTTTTGTGACCTATCATGTGGTCTATCTTGGAGAATGTTCCATGTGCTGATAAAAACAGTGTATACTCTGCAGTTGTTGATAAGAATGTTCTGTAAATATCTTTTAACTCCATTTGTTCTTGTGCATAGTTTAAGTCCATCATTTCTTTATTGACTCTCTGTTTTTATTATTAGTCTAGTGCTGTCAGTGGAGTGTTGAAGTCCCCCACTATTACTGTACTGCCACCTATCTCATTGCTTAGGTCTGGTAATAATTGTTTTATAAATTTGGGAGCTCCAGTGTTAGGTGCATATGTATTTAATATTGTGATATTTTCCCATTGGACTAATGCTTTTATCATTATACAATGTCTCTCTTTATTTTGTTTTTACTGTTGTTTCTTTAAAGTCTGTTTTGTCTGATATAAGAGTAGCTACTCCCGCTTGCTTTTGGTTTCCATTTGCATGGAATATCTTATTCCATCCCTTTACCTTAAGTTTATGTAAATTCTTATGTGGTAGGTAAGTCTCTTGATGACAGCAGATACTTGGTTGGTGGATTTTTGTCTATTTTGTTATTCCATATCATTTAAATGGAGCATTTAAGTTATTTGCATTCAATATTAGTATTCAGATATGAGGTATTTTTCTATTTATAATGCTAGTTGTTGCCTTAATACCTTGGGTTTCTTTTTTTTTCATTCTTTTATTGTTTTATAGGCACTGTGAGATTTTATGTTTTAAAGAGGTTCTATTTTAGTGTACTTCAAGATTTTGTTTCAAGATTTAGAAAGCATTTTAGCATTTCTTGTAGTGCTGGCTTAGTAGTGGCAAATTCTCTCAACATTTGTTTGTCTGAAAAAGACTTTCTCTCTTCTTCATTTATGAAGCTTAGTTTTCCTGGATACAAAAATATTGGCTGACAATTATATTGTTTCAGGAGGCTAACGATGAGACCCCAATCTTTTCTGACTTGTAAAGTTACTGCTGAGAAATCTGCTGTTAATTGATAGTTTTCCCTTTTCCCTTTGCTTTTGCCTCACAGCTCTTAAGATTCTTTCCTTTGTCTTGATTTTAGATAACCTGATGACAATGCGCTTATGTGATGATCTTTTTGGTGATGAATTTCACATCCCAGGTGTTCTTTGCACTTCTTGAATTTGGATTTCTAGATCTCTAGCAAGGCCAGGAAAGTTTTCCTCAATTATTCCCCCAAATAAATTTTTCAAACTCAGATTTCTCTTCTTCCTCAGGAATAACAAGTATTCCTAGTTTTTGGCATTAACATAATTCCAAATTTCTCGGAGGGTTTGTGCATCTTTAAAACCCTTTTTTCTTTGTCTTTGTTAATTGGGTTAATTCAAAAGCCTTGTCTTTGAGCTCTGAAGTTCTTTCTTGTACTTGTTCTGGTCTATTGTTGAAGCTTTCCATTGCATTTTGTATTTCTGTAAGTTTATCTTTTATTTCCAGAAGTTGTGATTGTTTTTTCTTTATGATATCTGTTTCTCTGGAAAACTTTTCATCCATATCGTGTACTTTTTAAAATTTCTTTAAGTTGTTTTTCATCTTTCTCTGATATCTCAAGTAGCTTAATAATCAACCTTCTGAATTTTTATTTGGCATTTTGTAGATTTCTTGTTGGTTCGGATCCATTGCTGGGGAGTTGATGTGATATTTTGGGGGTGTTATAGAGCCCTGTGTTTTCATTGTAGCAGAATTACTTTTCTGGTTCCTTCTCACTTGGGTAGACTATTTCAGTGGAGATGTCTGGAACTCAAGGCCTGCCGTTCAGATTCTTTTGACCCAGGGGATGGTCCCTTGATGTGATGCTCTCCCCCTTCCCCAAGGGATAGGACTTTCTGAGAGCTGGACTGCAGTGATTGTTATTGTTCTTCTTGGCCTAACCACCTTGTGGAGCTGCCAAGCGGGTGCTAGGGAATGTCTGCAAAGAGTCCCTGTGATGTGATCCATCTTTAGGTCTCCAAGACATTGATACTAGCACCTGCTCTGGTGGAGGTGTCAAGGGAGTGAAGCAGACTCTGTGAGAGTCTTTGGTTTTAGATATGTTTAGTGTGCTGGCTTTCTTTTTTTTTTTTTTTTTTTTTTGAGACGGAGTCTCGCTCTGTCGCCCAGGCTGGAGTGCAGTGGCGGGATCTCGGCTCACTGCAAGCTCCGCCTCCCGGGTTCATGCCATTCTCCTGCCTCAGCCTCCCATGTGCTGGCTTTCTTAAATGCTGGTTATGCTAGCAGTAAAATTGTCACGTGGACACACTCAGGACCTCTGGTTAGCCAGGATGTTGCAGGCAGTGGAATAATTCGTTGTCTTCTTCTTACTGGAATCAGGGTTATTCTGCCATGAGTTGCTGTAATGGGCTGAATTGGTTGGCCTCCAGCCAGGAGGTGGTGCTTTCAAGAGAGCACCAGCTGCATTAGTAGTAGGGGGCTCTAAGCTTGCCCTAAGTTGGCCAGAGTAAGTATTTTGGTTTCTCAGGTGGTAGGTAGGGCCATAAAACTCCTAAGAGTTTCTGTCTGTTGTGGTTGGCTACCAGTGTCGGTAGAGAAATACTATCAGGTAGGAGCAGTGTTAGGCAGGTCTGGGCTGAGACACTCCTGGGGCAGAGCTTGCTGGTTGGAGAATGGGGGTCTGGTTCTCAGACAAATGAGATTATGTTCCTGAGGGGGATCTTGGCTGCCTCCTCTGTTTCATAAAATTTGCCAGAGAAGTGTTGGATAGTTGGTAGCAAGAGACCTCACCCAGCTCCCACACACTTGGTGAGGTTGGTCTCACTATCATAGTGCTCCACTCAAACCTTGCCCCAGGCTGTGAGCTTCCCCTCTGAGAAAGCAAGCATGGCTTTTGGACCTTGCTCTTCCCTGTCTGCTCATTCCTTTGACAGGAGCTCCTGCAGCAGCTCCCTCTCATCCCCTGGACTCCACTCATGAAAATTTGTGTCCGGTTGAAACCACTACCAGTTTCAGTTTTAAGCTTTTTTCACCGTGCAACCCCTTCCAAATTCTGCTGGCTGCCTTTCTCAAGGGCCCCTGTGAGATATAGTCAAAGATGTTGTCCTTGAGCTCAAGGTGGAGGCTGGGAGTGCCTACAAGACACTTCCCACTGCTGCTTCCACTTTAATATTTTGACTCCCTGAATCCATTTCAGCTCTAGGTAAGGTTAAATCCTTCTCCTGTGATCTTGATTTTCAGATTCTCTAGTGGGGATATGTGTTCAGAAGCAGGTTTTCTCCCTCTCATATTTTGGGAACTCAGAGGGTTTTTTTTTGCCAATTTTTTGGAATTTGCAGTGGCATGCCACTGCTTTCAAAGGATCTGTGAATTCTTTCAGTAATTTTTTTTTTTGGCTTATTCTTCTGGTGGTTCTAGGAGCAGAAAGTAACGGTGTGAGTTTCTACATGCTGTTTTGTTCATCCAAGTAAGAGCTGCACATTAACCCTGTGTCCTCTCTACCATATTATCCTCTAATCTCTTAATTAAGTATATTTCTCTGTTTTTGATAACCATGTTTTCATCCATAAGGAAAATTTATTATTTCACAATGGAAGTTATGCAGTCTGCTACATATCGCAAATTTCTGTTTGTTTGTTTTTTTTTTTTTTTTTTTTTTTTTTTTTTTTTTTTTTTTTTTACAGAGTCTCTTTCTGTCACCCAGGCTAGAGTGCAGTGGTGCAACCTTGGCTCACTGCAACCTCCACCTCCTGGGTTCAAGTGATTCTCCTGCCTTAATCTCCCAAGTAGCTGGGACTACAGCTGTGCACCACCACGTCTGGCTAATTTTTTGTATTTTTAGTAGAGATGGGGTTTCACCATGTTGGCCATGCTGGTTTTGAACTTCTGACCTCAAGTGATCCATCTGCCTCAGTCTCCCAAAGTGCTGGGATTACAGGCATGAGCCACTGCTCTTGGCCCATATTTTACTTGATTTTTTTGAGTTATTTTCAATAAGAGAAATAGTATAAGATGGAAATAATTTTACTATAAGGACCAAAGTAGACAAATTCCTGAGAAAAATTCCCTATCTCCTCAGCTTTTCTGTTATCCAGCCAAGTGGTTGTCACTCAGGGGTAATTTTTTCCCCCAAGAGATATTTGATAATGTCAGAAAGACATATATTGTCACAATCGGGGAAGACATATTGCTACAGGCATCTAATGGGTAGACACCAGGGATATTTTTAAACAACCTACAACACATAAAATAGCCTATTCCAAGAAAAATAAGTATTCAGCCCAAAATGTCAATACTGCTGACCTGAGAAACCTGGATCTATCTTTACCTTTGTGCTTCTATTTGATTCCCACTCTCTGAGGACATAGTCTTCCCTTCAACTCTCCTAAGTGGTGTTTTTTTATTTTCTCAAAAACCATGCACATTATTCGACCTGCAGAGTGAGTTAAATGTCATAGTTTTTCCTCATTGCTACTTTCAGAATATTCTCTCCCCTCCCCATTTAAAAAATATTCCAGTTTTAAATTTCATGTTGTCATTAGTTTTAGATGACTGGATTACTTGCCACAGTCTGTCTTCCAATAAATTATTTTGAAGATTTTAGTTCCTGGCTCACTGAAATGCTTTCTAATATCACTCCTGTAATTGTTCTTGGCAATTGCAATATATCAGTATATGACTATTCCAAAATCATAGCCTCTACATTCCTAAAATTTCTGTCCAATGAACTTAATATTGACCCTACCTCACCAACAACTTATTCTCTTGGTCCTATCATATTCTGTATAATTACCAGGAACTGCTACCCTTCCGTCATTTCAGTTTAATACAAATTACTCTCTTAGCAGTCTTTCCTAAATTTTCAGCCTACTATTCCTTGTACTGTATCTGCAGCAATCCTTTGATAGCATCAGGACCTCAAATCATTAACTTTCAAATGTGTCTTTATCCCTCGTATTTCCAGTTTTCTTTCACACAGCTTAAATTTCATGATAAGCCATAATAATCACATTCTTGTATTGACTCTGTTCTTTTCCATTTCTCACTTCACTGTACTCAATTGGCAAAATAAAAACCTGCAAAATTAAAAATTTCCACCTAATTTGTGACAGTACTCGTGGCCGAATACAGTTAGAGGAAAACCCACAACTGTTCCTTTCTTACATTTATTATTTTTAACTTTAATTGGGCCTTGCTTGATTGTTGGCAACCATCCTTCATTTCTCTAGGATATTCACTCTCTTCTAAACTATACTATGATAGTAAAATGGCTACTAGCAGCTCTATTTGGATGTCTGATGAGCATACCAAATTTAACAAAATTAAAACTAAGCTCTTGATCTCATGCTCTCAGACATAGTCTTCCTGCAGAATTTCCATTTCAATTAATGGCAATTGAATCATTTCAGTTGTTGGAAACTGTCGGTTTCTTTTGGAATAATAAATCAGTGAGATTCTGTGGGCAGAAAACTGGAATGCGGTTGGCTTGAAGGCATGGAAATGTGCCTGTGGGGTTAGCTTATACCAATATTGAAACACATAGCAATGTTAGCATTTCTAAATTTAACTATGATGCTAATTGGTAAACTCTTTAATTAAATCCCCACTCTTAATGGTTAATAGATTCCATATTATTATTGGAAAAAAAGGCACACCAAGGTAATGTAATTAAAACTATTATACATTTAATTTAAAAACAAATTCTTTTTGGTAAAAAATATAACACTTTGTATAAAATCTTTTGAATAGTATCAATAGATGTCATATTTTAATAGGACTTATCACACCATTTCAGGCAAAGGTAATAGGAAATACTATTTAAAAATTTTCTATTCAAGACAGAGGATTAGAGACTTTTAGGATACATTCGCCACTTGAAAACAGCAAAATAGTGCATAAGCATAAACTCTGTGAGCTTTAGTTCAAGAAAATAAATGGGAACACACACGAATCATGAAGGACACCTCTGATCCCAGAGAGGAGAACATGAGAAAACAGCCTCCATGATGGTGTCCAGCTGATAAAAGTGAGTGAGCCCCAGTATGTGAGAAAGACAGAGAGCTTCCCTCCATAACTCATCTTTCCATTGGGGAGTCAAGCAATCCAAGCCAAAGAATAGTACTTTGTTTCTCTTAAGTCCTGGAGCTAACTTGGAGCAAGGCTTTGAGACACTATATGGGAAAGACACTGACAAAAGCTGCAAGCATTTTCCCATACATGGAACCAAGAGTAGGATGCCATTTTTAAGCTGGGTGATATGATTTAAATATTTGTCTCCTCCAAATCTCATTTTGAAATGTGATTTTTAAAATTGGAGCCTGCTGGGAGGTGATTGGATCATGAAGGCAGATCTCTCATGAATGATTTAGAACCATCTTTTTAGTGGTAAGTGAGTTTTTGTTCAGTTAGTCCATGTGAAATCTGGTTGTTCAAAATAATCTGAGACCTCCCCCTCCTGTATCCCTTTGCTCCTGATCTCGGCATGTCTCATGATGGTTCCCTTTTGCTTTCTGCCGTGATTATATGCTTCCTGGGTCTTCACCAGAAACAAAGCAAGCACCATTCTTCCTGTAAAGCGTGCAGAACCATAAGTCAATTTAACCATATTTGTTTATAATTACCCAGTTTCAGGTATTTGTAGCAATGTAAGAATGGACTAACAGAAAATTGGTATTGGGGACTGGGGCATTCTGTACAGGTATTGGAAAATGTTGAATGCAGCTTTGGAGCTGTGTAATGAGCAGAGGTTGGAAAAGTCTGGAGGGCTCAGAATAAGGAAGATGAGGAAAAGTTTGGAACTCCTCAGAGACTGATTAAATGGTCGTGACCAAAATGTTGGTACACATATTGACAGTTAAGACCAGGCTGATGAGGTCTCAGGTGGGAAAAAAAAATAATTTATTGGGACTATGAGCAAAGTCCATCCATGTTACGTTGTAACAAAGAACTTGGATGCATTGTGTCCACATTCTAGGGTTTTGTGGAATGTTGAAATTAAGAGTGATGACTTAGGGTATATCTAGTGGAAGAAATTTCTCAGCAGCAAAGTTTCCAAGATGTGGCCTGGCTGCTTCTAACATCCTATATTCAGATACAAATCAAATTAATGACTTAACATTGAAACTTATATTTAAAAGGTTAGCATAGCATAAAAGTTTGGAAAGTTTGCAGCCTGTCCATGTGATAGAGAAAGAAAAAGCATTTTCATGAGAGTAGTACAAGTTAGTTATGAAGCAATTACCCCTAAAGAGATTAGGATGACTAAACGGGAGCCAAAGGTTAATATCTAAGAAAATGGGAAAAAGGCCTCAAAGACATTTCAGATATCTCTGAGGCGGTGCTTTCCATTACAGGTCCATGGTCTATGAGGAAAGAATTCTTTCAGGGCCAGGCTCAAGGCAGTGTTTCTCTGTGCAGCCTCAGGACACTGCTTCCTACATCCCAGTTGCTACAGCTTCAGCCATAACTCAAGAGACCCCAGGTCCCTTGACTGGTCCCTTGGCTGCTGCTTCAGAGAGCTCAAGTCTCTGTAAGTCTTGGCAGCTCCCAAGTGATGGTAAGCCTACAGGTACACAGAATGCAAGAGTAAAGGAGGCTTGGCAACTCCTACCCAGATTCCAGAGGATGCATGGGAAAGCTTGGTTGTTCAGGCAAAAATCTGCCACAGTGGTGGAACCCCTATAGAACCACTCTACCAGGGCAGTGCCTAGGGGAAATGTGGAGTTGGAGCCCCCACACAAACTGTTCCCACTAGGGCACTGCCTAGGGAGTTGTGGGAAGGGGGCCACCACCTTCAGACCCCAGAATGGTAAATCCACTGGCAACTTGCAACCTCAGTATATAAAAGCTGCAGGCACTCATCTCTAACCCATGAGAGCAGCCACAAGGAGCTTCAAGGGAAGAACTGCCCAAGGTCTTGGGAGCCTACCTCTCACACCAGTGTGCCCAGGATGTGGAGCATGGTGTCAAAGAAGATTGTTTTGGAGCTTTAAGATTTAATGACTGCCTTGTTGGGTTTCAAACTTGTCTGGGGACTATTGCCCCTTTATTTTCACTGATTTATTCCTTTTGTAATGGCAGGGTGTACCCAAGGTCTGTACCACCATTGTGTCTTGAAATAAACAATTTGTTTTTTATCTCATAAGCTTATGGGTGGAAGAATCTCATCTCCAGACGAGGCTTTGGACTAGGGACTTAGAACTTTTGAGTTAATGCTGGAAGAAGTTAAGGCTTTTGGAGTCAATTGTGAAGGCATGATTGTTTTGTGAAGTGTGACAAGGACATGAGATTTTGGGGAACAAGAGCAGAATAATAGTGTTTGGTATTTGTCCCCTCTAAATCTCATGTAGAAATGTGATTCCCAATGTTGGAGGTGGCACCTGGTGGGAGGTGATTGGATCCCAGTGGCAGATCCCTCATGAATGGCTTAGTATCATCCCCTTGGTGATAAGTGAGTTCTCACTCAGTCCATGTGACATCTAGTTGTTTAAAAGAGTCTGAGACCTCTCCTTTCTTTCTTTCTTTGCTTTCCTCTTCAGCATGTGACATGCTGGTTCCCTGTCACTTTCTGCCATGATTGTATGCTCAGGCATATCTTCAGGCATTTGGAACAACCCCTCATCTGGATTGTTATCCTGGCCCTGCATCTTGAGCCCCACCCCCGCCCCCTTTTTCTTGTACAAAGATCCTGGTACAGCAGGGCCCTCTATGCTTCATCCACAGGCAGATCTCCAGGCATTCAGAGCACCCAGTTGCCTGATTCAGCAGCCTGAGTTGCCCTACCCCTCATGTGCAGAGATTGTGGTGGAGGGGAACATTCTACACTCCAAACCCAGGCAGATCTCCATGTCTCTGGTGCACACACTCTCTTTAATTAGGAGTTTAGGCCACTCCCCCTCCTTTTGAAGAGAAATTGGAGCTAAAGAGTTTTTTCCAGCTCCAAGCCTAGGCACACCTCTGGGTGCTTGCTGGCTGCCCACTGGATTCCCCATTTGTGCTGGTACTTGTGCTTGCCATTAGGAGACCTGTAGATAGAAATGCCTGGTACAGCTCCATTCATCTGGACCCCTGTCCCCCAGGGCTGAGCAAGGATCTCAAACCAGTGTGCACTCCATGGATCAGCCCACTGCCTGAGGCAACAAATAACCTCTTCCAGTAAATAAGGATCAAATATATACCCAGCCACTTTGCGCTTACGCATAAGTGCCATCTACTGGGTTGTCAGTCAAACTGTACAACCCAATAGAAAATCTGCTGACAGAAGTGCACAGAGCTGTAAAGTAAAGCCAAAATACCCTACCCCACATTCTCTACAGTAACACCCCTTATGGTTAAGGGGAAAGAAAAGGAAAATAATAAATACATCAATATTATCAGAAAATAAATAGAAAAATTCTACCTGCACAAAAGGTACAAAAATATAAGTACTTGTGTCCTCAGATGAGAAGGACCCAGAGCAAGGATTCTGATGACATGAAAAATCTGAATGTAGTGACACCATCAAAGAATTGCAGTAGCTCCCCAGCAATAATTTCTTACCAAAAATGGAAACTTAGAAATTACATATAAAAAATTCAAAGCATGGATTAAAAAGAAGTTCAACAAAATAAAAGATTGAAAATCAATATGAAGAAACCTCTAAAGTAATCCAGAAAATAAAGGAAGAGAAATTATTCAGAGCTTCTGGAATTGAACAACTCACTTAGGGAATGTCAAAATACAAATGAAAGCTTTATCACTAGACTACACCAAGAAGAAGATAGAATTTCAGAGTTAAAAGACCCATTTTTTGAACTAACCCAGTCAGACAAAAATAAAGAAAAAACAATTTATAAAATGAACCAAGTATTTGAGAAATATGAGATTATGTTAGGTGACCAAACCTACAAGTTTTTGGCATCCTGAAAGAATAAGTAAACAACCTGGATAACATATTTAAAGAAATAATTTAAGAAAAATTCCTTAATTTTGCTAGAGAGGTACATATCCAGATACAAGAAATCCATAACACCTATGAGATACTTTAGAAAATGAACATTACCAAGGCATCTGGTCACTAGACTGTCCAAGTCAACACTGAAGAAAAGATCTTAAGGCCAGCTAGAGGAAAGGGTCAGATAATGTACAAAGGGAACACCACCTGGCTAACAGCAGACTTCTCAGCAGAAACCTTACAATGCAAGAGAGTCTGAGGCTCTATTTTCAGAATTCTTACAGAAGTAAAATTCCAACTAATTTCATATTCTGCAAACTAAGCTTCATGAGTGAAGGAGAAAAAAATATTTTCTAGACGAGCAAGTGCTAGGAGAATTTTCTACATCTGGACCAGTCTTAGATTCTTAAGGGAATTCTAAACATGGAGATAGAAGAATGATACCTGCTACTACAAAATACAATTATATACATTGCCCATAGACCATATGAAGGAAACACACACTATAAACTACAAAGCAACCAGCTAACAACTTCACAATGAATTAAAACCTCAGATATCATTGCCAGCCTTGAAAGTAACTGGTAAAAATGACCGTGTAAAACACACATAAGAAAAGACTTATCTTTCTGCTGTTTTAAAAAAACCCATCTCACATATAACAACATAAGAGTAAAGGGATGGAGAAAAATCTATCATGAAAAAGGAAAACAACAACAGGAGATGCTATTCTTATATCAGATACTGACTTTGTAATGATCGCCATTCTAACTGGTGTGAGATGGTATATAAAGAAAAGAAGTTTCAACCGAGAATTTCATATGCAGCCAAACTAAGCTTCATAAGCGAAGGAGAAATAAAATTCTTTACAGACAAGCAAATGCTGAGAGATTTTGTCACCACCATTTTATGTCAATAAAATCAACACCCCTTCATGCTGAAAACTCTCAAAAACTAGGTATTGATGGAACATATCTAAAAATAAGAAAAGCTATTTATGACAGACCCACATATAATATAATACTGAATGGGCAAAAGCTGGAAGCATTCCCTAAGAGGAAATTTTATAGCAATTAATGCCTACCCTAAGACATTGAAAAGATCTCAAATTAACAACTTAACATCACATCTAGAGGAACTAGAAAAATAAGACCAAACTAACATCAAAACTAGCAGAAGAAAAGAAGTAACTAAAATCAGAGCAGAACTGAAAAAATAAGGGCCCAAAATACACACAAACCATCAATGAAACAAAAACGTGGTTCATTTTTGAAAAGATAAACAAGAACAATAAACCACCAGGATGATTAACAAACAAAAACGTGGAAAGATTCAAATAAGTACAATCAGAAATGCCAAAGGTGACATTACAACCAATCTCACAGAAATATGAAATATCTTTGGTCTATTATGAATACCCTGTATGCACAAAAAGTAGAAAATTTAAAGAAAATGGATAAATTCCTGGAAATACACAACCTCCCAAATTTAAATCAGGAAGACTTTGAAACTCTGACAAAACAAATATTGAATTCTGAAATTGAATTAGCAATGAAATACCGAACAACCAAGAGTCCTTGACTAACAGCTAAGTTCTACCAGACATATAAGGAAAAGCTGGTACCAATTCTAATAAAACTAGCCCAAAAAAACAGTGGAGGAGAGACTCATTCCTAACTCATTCTACAAAGCCATTGTCACCCTGATAACAAAACCTGATAAAGAACAAAGAAAAAGGAAAGTTGCATGTCAATATCCCTGATGAACATAGGTGCAAAAATCTTGAACAAAATACTAGCAAACTGAATCCATTAGTACATAAAAAAAGTTCATTCACCACAACCAAGTAGTCTTCATTCCTGGGATGCAAGTTTGGTTTAATATACACAAATGAATAAATGTGATATAATACATGAGCAGAATTAGAAACAAAAATTATATGATCATCTCAATAGATGTAGATAAAGCTTTCAATGAAATCCAACATGTATCCATAATAAAAATACTTAACAGACTAGGCATAGAAAGAACATACCTCAAAATATTAAGACCCATCTATGACAAATCCACAGCCAACATTATACTGAATGGGAAAAAGATGTGGAAGCATTCCCCTTCAGAATTAGAACAAGACAAGGATGCCCACTTTAACCACTTCTATTCAACACAGTACTGAAAGTCCTAGCGGAGCAATCAGAAAAAATAAATAAATAAATAAATAAATAAATAAATAAATAAATAAATAAAAAGCATCCAATTAGGAAAAGAAGCAGTCAAATTATCTATCTCTTTTCACTGATGATATAATTCTATACTGAGAAAACCCTAAAAACATGGCCCAAATGCTGCTGGAACTGATAACTACTTCAATAAGTTTCAGAATACAAAATCAATCACTACAGAGTACAAAATCACTAGCATTTCTACATAACAATAATGTTCAAGCTAAGAGCAAAATCAAAAGTGCAATCTCATTTAAGATAGCCACAAAAGATAAACGATAAAATACCTAAGAGTACATCTAACCATGGAGATGAAAGATCTACAAGGGGAGCTCTAAAACAACACAAAAAAAATGATAGATGACATAAACAAGTGAAAAAACATTTCATGTTTATAAATGTGAATAATCAATACTGTTGACAAGGTCATACTGCTCAAAGTAAAACACATATTCAATGTTATTCTTATAAAACTACAAACACCATTTTTCACAGAATTAGAAGAAAACTGTTCTAAAATTCACATAACCCCACAAAAGAACCCAAATAGCCAAAGCAATCCTATGCGAAAAGAACACAG
Organism: Homo sapiens; assembly: GCF_000001405.40. Taxonomy (NCBI): domain Eukaryota; kingdom Metazoa; phylum Chordata; class Mammalia; order Primates; family Hominidae; genus Homo; species Homo sapiens. The sequence continues at coordinate 126,887,770 of NC_000023.11, forward strand.
TCATAAGCATCATGTTACCTGACTTCAAACTATATTAGAAGGCTATGGTAACCAAAACACACAGTACTAACCTGATAAAAGACACATAGACTAATGGAATAGAATTGAGAACTCAGAAATAAAACCACATACCTACAGCCATCTGATGTTCGACAAAGATGACAAAAATAAGCAACAAGGAAAGGACTCCTTATTTATTAAATGCTGCTTGGATAGCTGGCTAGCCATATGCAGAAGATTGAAACTGAACCCCCACCTTTCACTAATTACAAAAATTATTCTGAGATGAATTAAAGATTTTATTGTAAGACCTCAAACTATAAGAATCTTAGAAGAAAACCTAGGAAATACCCTTCTCAACATCAACCTTGGAAAGAGTTTATGGCTAAATCAATTTAAAAGTGGGTAAAAGACATGTACAGACAGTTCTCAAAAGGAGACATATAAGTAGCCAACAAACATATGAAAAAAATGCTATTACTAATCATCAGAGAAATTCAAGCTCAAACCAAAAGGAGATAACATATCACACTAGTCAAAATGGCTATTATTAAACAAAAAAAAACAACGGACGCTGATGAGGCTGTGGGGAAAAGCAATTGCTTGTTTACTGTTTGTAGGAATGCAAATTAGTTCAGCCATTGTGGAAAGAAGTTTGGAGATTTCTCAAAGAACATAAAACAGAACTACCATTCAACCCAGCAATCTCATTGCTGGGGATATACACAAGAAAAAATAAATTGTTCTACCAAAAAGGCATGTATAACTCGTATGGTCACTGCAGCACTTACTCACACTAGCAAAGACATGAACTCAACCTCGGTGCCCATCAATGGTTGATTTGATAAAGAAAATGCACTACATATACGTATGGAATACTAAGCAGCCATAAAAAAGTATAAAATCATATACTATTTAGGATTTATAGATGTAACGGGAGGCCATTATGCTACATGAATTAATGCTGGAAGAGAAAACCAAATACCACATGTTCTCACTTATAAGTGGGAGCTAAATATTGTGTACACAAGGACATAAAGATTACAACAATAGACACTGGGGACAACTAGAGAGAAAAGGGAGCTAAGGGAGCAAGGGTTGAAAAGTAACTAGTGGAGACTATGCTTCCTAACTACCTGGGTGACAGGATCATTCATAACCCAAACCTCAGCATTATGTAATATACTCATGTAATACAACTGCACACGTATCCCACCTAATCTGAAATAAAAATTAAAATTATATTAAAAAAACTAAAAAATAAATACATTGTGGTATACTCACATATTGAAATATTATAAAATGATTGAAAAAAACTATAGAAATGAACATTAACTACTGGCTCTATCACCACCAACAATTACTATTGTGTAACAGAAAGTTCTTTTCCTTGAACTTAGTAGTTTAGGTTCTTCTGAAATAACTAAATAATTAATTTTAATCTATTCTTACTCTAGTTTCAGGCATCTCTGTCAGATTGTAAGAAACCTGAGATTTGAAACAGTATCTTATTCATGTCTTTATCTCCAGCATTTAGCATAATGCCTAACCCATAATATATACTCAATAAATGTTGATGGCTGAGTTTTATATATTTTCTTTGTTAATCTATAATCCATTTATTACCTGTATATAATGGTTTATTCTCTTTTCCAATGGCATCTGCTTCTTTGCTTGATCTTCATAGACAAACTTTTGACCATAATCTTTCTTGGGGTTAAATGGTTCCAATGAAATGTATCCTCATTGCAGAAACCTGTCTGTCCCTTCTTTAATAACAGCTCTCAAAGGCTTATTTCTTGTTTCAAAGTGCCCATTGTTCATACAGAACTTTCCAATATATTATTATTTCATATATGGTCTAAATCAAAGTAAATATGCAAAAATTAATGAAAATTCAGGACATTCTCAGTTCAGGCAATCAGCTCTTTTTACTTTGTAATGTTCACTATGATGTCTCAGTAAGATGTCTGTCTATGAAGGTCTTTTAAATTTATTTTACATTGTGTATATTTATATAAAGCCTACAACATTGATTAGAGGATTTGTATTAGTTCATTCTTACATTGCTATAAAGAAATACCTGAGACTGGGTAATTTATAAAGAAAAGAGGTTTAATTGGCTCACAGTTGTGCAGGCTGTACAGGAGGCATAGTTGCTTGTGCTTCTGGGGAGGCCTAAGGAAGATTCCAATCATGGTGGAAGGCAAAATGGGAGTGAAGCATCTCACATGGCAGGAGCAGGAGCAAGAGAAAGTGCGGGGGGGAGGTGGCACACACTTTCAATCAACCAGATCTTGTGAGAACTTACTATTACAAGAACAGCACCAAGAGGATGGTGCTAAACCATTTATGTGAAATTCAGCCTCATAATCCAATAACCTACCACTAAGTGCCACCTCCAACATTGGTTATTACAGTTTGACATGATATTTGGGCAGGGACAAAGATCCAAATCACATCATTCCTCCCCTGCCCTTCCCAAATCTCATGATCTTCTCACATTGCAAAATACAATCATGTCTTTCTAATAATACCCAAAGTCTGAACTTATTCCAGCATTAACTCAAAAATCCAAATTCTAATCTGATACAAGGCAACTCTCTCGCACCTATGAACCTGTAAAATCATAAACAAGTTAGTTACTCCCAAGATACAATGGGGGAATAGTTATTGAATAAATACTTTCATTCTAAAAGGGAAAAGTAGGCCAAAAGAAAGGGGCTGCAAGCCCCATATAAGTCTAAAACCCAGCAGGGAAGTAGTTAAGTCTTAAAGGTCAAAAATAATCTCCTTTAATTTCATGTCCCAAATTCAGGGCCCACTGATGCAAGGGGTGGGCTGCCAAGGCCTTGGGCAGCTCCACACCTGTGGCTTTTCAGGAATCACACACACAGTTGATCTCAAGGTCTGATATTGTGTGCCTGCAGCTCTTCCAGGTGAGAGTGCAAGTTGTTAATGGATCTGTAATTCTGGGGTTTGGAAGACAGTGCCCTCCTCACAGCTCCACTATACAGTACCCCAGTGGGGACTATGTGTTGGCCTCCAACCCCACATTTCCCATCTGCAGTACCCTAGTAGAAGTTATCCTTGAGGACTCTGCCCCTGCAGCAGGCTTCTTCTGCGTGAGCACTCAGCCTTTTTCACACATCTGAAATCTAGGCAGAGATGCCCAAGCTTCAACTCTTGTGCTCTGTGCACCTATAGGCTTAACACCATGTTGAGGCACCAAGACATACGGATTGCACTCTCTGAAGCAGTGGTCCAAGCTGTACCTGGGCCCCTTGGAGCCATACCTAAAGCTGGAGCAGCTGGGAAGCAGGGAGCAGTGTCTTGAGGCTGCACAGTGCATAGGGGCTCTGGTCTTGACCCAGGAAACCATTCAGTCATCATAGACCTCTGTGCCTGTGATGGGACAGGATGCCATGGAAATGTCTTCTGGGCTTTTTCCCCACTGTCTTGGCTATCTGCACTTGCCTCCTTTTCAGCTATTCAAATTTCTGTGGCCTTCTTGAATCCCACCCCAGAAAATTGTTTTTTCTTATCTACCACAAAGCCAGGCTGCAAATTGTTCAAACTTTATGCTCTGCCTCCCTTTTAAATATAAATTCCAGCTTTAGGTCATTTATTTGCTCACACATATGAGAACATAGGTTGGTAGAAGCAGCCAGATCACATATTAAATGCTTTGGTGCTTAGGAATTTCTTCTGACAGATAACCTAAATCATCTTTCTCAAGTTTAAAGTTTCACAGATCCCTAGGTAAGGGGCACACTGCAGCCAAGTTCTTTGCTAAGGCAAAATAAAACTGACCTTTGCTCCGGTTCCAAGTAAGTTCCTCATTTCCATCTGAAACCTCATCAGCCTGGGCTTCACTGTCTATATCTCTATCAGCATTTTGATCACAGCCATTCAACCAGTCTCTAGGAAGTTGCAAACTTGCCCTCATTTTCCTGTCTTCTTCTGAGCCCTCCAAACTCTTCCATCCTCTATCCATTACCCAGTTCCATAATTGCTTCCACATTTTCAGGTATATTTATAGCAATGCCCACCCATTGGTGCTATTTTCTTGTATTTGTTCATTCTTACATCACTATAAAGAAATACCTGGGACTGGGTAATTTATAAAGAAAAGAAGCTTAATTGGCTCATGGTTCTTCAGGAAGCATAGAAACTTCTGCTTCTCGGGAGACCTCAGGAAGCTTACAATCATGGCATAAGGAAAAGGAGAAAGTCTTCACAAATGGTGGGAGCAGGAGCAAATGAGAGAAGGGGTAAGGTACCAAACACTTTCAAACAACCAGATCTCCTGAGAACTCACTATCACAAGAAAAGCACCAAAGGAATGATGTTAAACCATTCATAAAAATCCACTTCCATGATCCAATCATCTCCTACCAGGCCCCACCTTCAACATTGGGGATCAAAATTTAACAGGGACAAAGATTCAGACCATATTAGGGGGAAATATATAATCTATAGCTTGAAATAAAAAGAAGGGACTTTGTTTCATAATTTAATGTGAAAATATTTTCCCTCCCAAGTTAAGAAGGTATATGTTTATGTTATAAAGTTTACATTGACTCCGAAGTAATTAAGATATGGTAGGATCTGGGTTGGGAATTTCATCAATTCTATCAAAAACAGAAAAAAAAGAGTGAATTGATTTCACTTGATTTCACAAACTCCATTCTCTATCTCAGTGAAACCCTGTACAATTACAAACATGATATGTGAAAATTACAAGTGGTGACAATTGCAATGAAAGAATAGAAGAGTTTAGGTTAACATGAGAGGTAGAGTCTGGAGGTTCTGAAATTTGAATAAAGACACTTAGACTTTCCAATTTTTTGTGTGGCAGGTAAAAAACTTTGAATCCAGTTCTCCCATTTACATCATAAGAAAAAAGGTGAACAGACTAAAAATCAACTCTTCTTGGACTTATCATAGAAATAAAGTTATAGAAACAACTACTAACGACCAAATTTAAGAATCAGGCAGGCAAATAGTCACAACTTACCTAAACAGTAAACAAGAATAGAAACCCCATGGGAACCAGTACCAGAGGAAAATAAACCTAAACTGTAATTGACAAATTGCTGAAGTCTCGAAGTGAACAAATTTGAGAGTTAAACACTCCAGGTAAGCATGTCTTAGGGAGGACCTTGTACTTCAGTAAGTTTGAGCTTCATAAGTCCTACCAGGTTCTCACAGTGAAGATGGATGAAAAATCCCTCTTACTTCTGGCAAGGAGTAGGGGGGAATATAGCCACCTTTAATAATCACCAGAGTATTCTGTATTCTTTTCTTCTTAACAAGGCTTGTACCCAAGGGAAACTATTTTAGAAGAGCCCATCTTAGTATGATTTTAACAGAGCCTAACCAATCTAGAGGAGTGAAAATGCCCAATTTTAGATCACTCGAGCTTTGCAATTTTACCCTAAGGGATAAACCAAAATGAAACTGACAGGCCCTTGTGAAGGCCATAGCCTTGGAACAGAGGCTAACTGAAGCATTGACTAATCTCAATTATTTTGGATGCTAAACAGTTTCAGATATATGATTTACAAATAATCTCTCCAAATCTATTGCCTGCCATTTCTTTTTATTCCTTTGCTGTGCAGAAGCTTTTTACTTTCATGTAGTCCCACTTGTTTATTTTTGCTTTTGTTGCCTGTACTTTTAGTGTGATACCCAGGAGTATTTCTTCAATGTCTTTCTCTAGCAGAATTATGGTCTCAGGTTTTATGTATAGTTCTTTATTCTACTTTTAGTTGATTTTTGCATATGGTGTAAGAGTTATTCTTTTACATGTGAATATCCAATTTCCACAGGCCATTTATTAAAGAGAATATCCTTTCCTCATTTTGTCTTCTTGGTACTCTTGTCAAAAATTAATTGCGTATATATGCTTGGATATACTCCTGAGTTCTGTATTGTGTTTCACTGGCCTATGTGTCTGTTTTTATGTCAGTACCATATTACTTTGATTACTATAGCTTTGTTATACAATTTGACATCAGAAAGTGTAGTGCCTCCATGTTTGTTTGTTTTTTCCTCAAGATGGCTTTGGTTATTCAGAGTCTTTTATGATTGAATTTTAGAATTTTTAAATTTATTCCTGTGATGAATGCCAGAAAATGAAATTCAGCACCTCACACAGATATTTACATTCCCATTTTTATTACAGCATTATTCACAGTAGCCAAGATACAGAAACAACCTAAGTGTCCATCAATGGATGGATGGATAAAGCCATTGTGGTATACAGTAATACCGTGTTATATTGTGCTGTTTTATTGCACTTCACAGTTATTTTGTTTTTCACAAATTGAAGTTTTTTGGCAACACTGCATCAAACAAGATTATTGGCATTATTTCTCCAACAGCATGTTGTCACTTAATGTGTCTGTGTCACATTTTGAAAATTCTCACAATATTTCAAAATTTTTATTTTTATGTCTTTAACGGTGATCTCTGATTGATGAACTTTGATTTTACTTTTGTAATTATTTGGGGTTCCACAAACCACACCCATATAAGACTGCAAATTAGATTGATAAATATTGTGTGTGTCCTGACTGCTCCACTCACTGGCCATTTTTCCATCTCTCTCTCTCTGCAGACAGGCCTCCCTGTCCCCTAAAACACAACAATGTTGAAATTATGCCAGTCAATAACCCTGCAATGACCCCTAAGTGTTAAAGTGAAAGGAAGAGTTGTACATCTCTCATTTTCAATCAAAAGCTTAAAATAATTAAGCTTAGTAAGGAAAGGATGTCAAAAGCCACAATAGGCTGAAAGTTAGGCCTCTTATGTCAGACATCCCAGTTGTGAATGCAAAAGAAAAGTTATCGAAAGAAATAAAGTGTGTTATTCCAGTGGACATATTAATGGCAGGAAAGCAAAACAGGATTATTGCTGATATTGAGAAAGTTTTAATGGTCTCGATCAGTGGTCCCCAACCTTTTTGGCATCAGGGACTGGTTTTGTGGAAGACAATTTTTCCATGGATGGGGGTGAGGCAATGGTTTCAGGATGAAACTGTTCCACATCAGATCATCAGGCATTAGATTCTCATAAGGAGCACACAACCTAGATCCCTCACATGTACACTTCACGATTGGGTTCACACTCCTGTGAGAATCTAATGCCAATGCTGATCTGACATGAGGCAGAGCTCAGGCAGTAATGCTTGCTGGCCCACAGCACACTTCTTGCTGTGCAGCCCAATTCCTAACAGGTCGCAGACCAGTACCGTTCTGTGGCCAGGGAGTTGGGGACCCCTTATCTAGATAAAATATCATAGTAGCCACAACAATTTCCTTAACTCAAAGCCTAATTCAAAGGAAGGCCGTAACTCTCTTCAATTCTGTGAAGGCAGAGAGACATGAGAAAGCTGTAGCCGAAGAGTTTGAAGCCAGCATAGGTTGGCACATGAGGTTTAAGTAAAGAATCCCCCTTCATAACATAAAAGGGCAAGGCAAAGCAGCAAATGCTGATGTAGAAGCCGTAGCAAGTTATCCAGAAGACCTAGGTAAGATCATTGATGCATGTGGCTACACTAAACAATATATTTTCAGTGTAGACAAAATACCTTTCCACTGGAAGAAGATACCACCTAGGATTGTTATAGCTAAAGAGGAGAAGACAGTGCCTGGCTTCAAAGCTTCAACAACCAGGCTGATTCTGTGTTTAGAGGCCAATGCACCTGGTGATTTTCAGTTGAAGCCAATGCTCATTTATCATTCTGAAAATCCTAAAGACCATAAGAATTATGCTAAATCTACTCTGCCTGTGCTCTATAAGTGGAACAGGAAAGCCTGAATGACAGCACATTTGTTTAAAGCATGGTTTAATGAACATTTTAAGCCCACTGTTGAAACCTATTGCTCAGAAAAAAACATTCCTTTGAAAATATGATTGCTTACTGGCAATGCACCTGACCACTCAATAGCTCTGATGGTGATATACAATGAGACTAATGTTGTTTCAAGCCTGTTAGCACAACATCTATTCTACAACCTATGGATCAAAGAATTATTCCAACTTTCAAGTCTTATTATTTAATAAATATATTTTATAACTCTATAGCTACCATGAATAGTGATTCCTATGATGGATTTGGGCAAAGTAAATGGAAAACCATCAGAGAAATGCAAATCAAAACTACAATGAGATATCATTTCACCTCAGTTAAAATGGCTTTTGTCCAAAAGACAGGCAGTAACAAATGCTGGCTAGGATGTGAAGAAAAGGGAATCCTCATACACTGTTGGTGGGAATGTAAATTAGTACAACCACATTAACGACAATTTGGAGGTTCTAAAAAAAACTAAAAATAGACCTACCATATGATCCAGCAGTCCCACTGCTATGTATACACACAAAGGAAAAGAAATCAGTATATCGAAGAGATATCTGCACTCCCATATTTATTTCAGCACTATTCACAATAGCCAAGATTTGGAAGAACCTTAGTGTCCCTTAACAGATGAACAGATAAAAAAAAATATGGTACATACACACAATGAAGTACTATCCAGCCATAAAAAATAATGAGATCCAGTCATCTGCAATAACATGTATGGAACTGGAAATTATTATGTTAAGCGAAATTAACCAGGCATAGAAAGGCAAACTTTCCATGTTCTCACTCATTTGTGGGAGCCAAAAATTAAAACAATTGAACTGATGGAGACCATGAGTAGAATGATGTTAACGAAAGACTGGGAAGGGTAATAAAGGGGTAGTGAAAGTGTGGATTGTTAATAAGTACAAAAACAAATAGAAAGAGTAAATAAAATCTAGTGTTTGATAGCAGAACAGTCTGACTATAAGCAATAATAATTTGATTGTACATTTACAAATAATTAAGAGTGTAATTGGATTGTTTTAAACACAAAGGATAAATGCTTGAGGTGATGGAGACCCCATTTACCCTAATGTGATTATTATGAATTGTATTCCTGTATCTATTGGGGGAAATTCACCCCTGATATTTCACGTAGGTTCTTTTCTATTTTCCCTAAGTGTCAGCAGGTCTGAGAAATAAAAGGAAAGAATACAAAAGAGAGAAATTTTAAAGCTGGGTGTCCGGGGGAGACATCACATGTCGGCAGGTTCCGTGGTGCCCCCCAAGCCGCAAAACCAGCAAGTTTTTATTAGTGATTTTCAAAAGGGGAGGGAGTGTACGAATAGGGTGTGGGTCACAGAGATCACATGCTTCACAAGGTAATAAAATATCACAAGGCAAATGGAGTCAGGGCGAGATCACAGGACCACAGGACTGGGGCAAAATTAAAATTGCTAGTGAAGTTTTGGGCACACATTGTCATTGATAACATCTTATCAGGAGACAGTGTTTGAGAGCAGACAACCGGTCTGACCAAAATTTATTAGGCAGGAATTTCCTTGTCCTAATAAGCCTGAGAGCGCTACGGGAGACTGGGGCTTATTTCATCCCACCGCTGCAACCATAAAAGACAGCCGTTCCCAAAGCGGCCATTTCAGAGGCCTCCCCTTAGGGATGCATTCTCTTTCTCAGGGATGTTCCTTGCTGAGAAAAAGAATTCAGCAATATTTCTCCTATTTGCTTTTGAAAGAAGAGAAATATGGCTCTGTTCTGCCCGGCCCACAGGCAGCCAGAGTTTAAGGTTATCTCCCTTGTTCCTTGAACATTGCTGTTATCCTGTTCTTTTTTCAAGTTGCCCAGATTTCATATTATTTAAACAATTTGTGCAGTTAACGCAATTAGCACAGGGTCCTGAGGCGACATTCATCCTCAGCTTACGAAGATGACGGGATTAAGAGATTAAAGTAAAGACAGGCATAGGAAATCACAAGGGTAGTGATTGGGGAAGTGATAACTGTCCATGAAATCTTCACAATTTATGTTCAGAGATTGCAGTAAAGACAGGCATAAGAAATTATAAAAGTATTAATTTGGGGAACTAATAAATGTCCATGAAATCGTCACAATTTATGTTTTTCTGCCATGGCTTCAGCCAGTCCCTCCGTTTGGGGTCCCTGATTTCCTGCAACATGTATCAAAATATCTCATGTACTCATTAATATATACACCTACTACATACCCATAAAAATTAAAAATAAAAAAATTAGACCAAAAGAAAACTTTTGGGAAGCATTCACTACTCTGGATGCCATTAGGAACATTCAGAACTCATGGGAGAAGGTCAAAATATTAATGTTAAGAGTAGTTTGAAAAAAAAGTTGATTCCAACTCTCATGGATGACTTTGAGGGGTTCAAGATGTCAGTGGAGAAGGTAACTCTAGATAGTGTGGAAATAAAATAAGAGCTAGAATTAGAAGTGTAGCCTGAAAATATGATTGCATTGCTGCAATATCATGATATCAATATCATGCTTAGGTATCTGATCATCTGTTCAAGTTTTATCATGATATTGCTGCAAATAAAGTGGTGACTTGAGATGTCATCTACTCCTGGTGAAGGTACTGTGAACACTGTTTAAATGGCATCATAGGATTTAGTATTTTCTTTGAATTTAATGGGTAAAGCATTGACAGGTTTTGAGAGGATTAACTCCAATTTTGATAGAAGTTCTACTATGGGTAAAATGTTATAAAACAGCATCTCATGCTACAGAGAAACTGCAGTGAAAGGAAAAGTCAATCAATGTGGCAAACTTATTGTTTTCTTATTTTGCCACAGACATCCTAGCCTTCAGCAACCACCATCCTGATCAGTAAGCAACCAGCAACATCAAAGCAATACTCTCCACCAGTAAAAAGATTTTGATTCATTAAAAGCTCAAGTGATTATTAAAATTATTTAGCAGCAAAATAATTTTTATGTAAGGTATATACCTTGTATGTTTAAACATAATGGTATTGTGCACTTAATAGACTACAGTATACGTAAACATAACTTTTATATGCACTGGGAAAACAAAATGTTTTTGTTCTTTATCATAATATTTACTTCATTGTGGTGGTCTGGAATAAAGCCTGAAATATCTCCAAGGTATTCCTATTTATATAATGGAATATTATTCAACCTTAATAAAGGAGTTTCTGCCTTTTGCAACAACATAGATAAAGCCAAAGGACATTATTCTAAGTGAAATAGAAAAACCTGGAAGGACAAATACTGCAAATACTGCACAATCTCATTTATATGTGAAATCTAATAAAAGAAAATACACAGAAAACGATAGTGAAACAGTGGTTACTGGGGGAAGGGAGGAGGAGGAAACAGGGAAATGTAAGTCAAAGACCATGAAGTTTTATTTATGGAGACAGATAATCTAGAGATTTAATGTGCAGCATGAGAACTATAGTTAAAAATATGGTATTGTATGGTGGAGGTTTGCTAAGATACTAAAATTTCAGTGCTTGAACCACCAAAAAGATGACAAAATATGTGAGATAATGGGTATATTAATTTGCTTGACTGTAGTAACCATTTCACTACATATAGGTGTATGAAAACATCATGTGTGTACCTTAAATTTATATGCTAAAATAAATGTCACCTAATAAACTGAGCATTAGATAATAGCAAAAAAGTCTGACTAATTGTATGACTATAAAAAATTTTACTTCTTCCAACACTTTAGCACTACACACATAGGCTCCTGATTAATAGTTGTGGAATACAATAGGAAAAAAAAACTGTGCCTTGCTGACAATATTTAAGAAGACTCTAGAGAAACCAACAGATAATAAGAAAGGCAAAACAAGGAGATCAGAGGAAATTTTAGCCTCTGAGACCTACAGCTAGAGTAAACAGTAAACATTAACTTAATAAACATAAAATGTTGCACTGGAGACCTATTTATTTTCCTTAGTACATCGTGTCCAGCTTGTAACAACAATTACAGGGCAAGTTAAGCGATTTAAAAAAGCACACACAGTTAAAAGAGACAAAGCAAACATCAGAATCAGACTCAGATATGGCAGATATTTTGGAAATGTCAGACTGAAAAATTAAGAAAAGAAAATATCAGATGAAATATCAGACCTATAATTAATATGCTAAGGGTGCTAGTGTAAAAGTGGACAACAGGCATAGAGGATGAGTAACATAAACGAAGAGATGCAAACTCGAAGAAAGGACCCAAAGGAAATGCTAGGAATAATAAACACCATAACAGAAATGAAGAATGTTTTAGGTACACTCGTCAATGGACCGGATGCAGTGGAGAAAACCATAAGTGAGCTTTAAAAACTATCAATAGAAACTCCCAAAACTGAAATGTGAGGAGAAAAATAAATGGAAAAGAGTATTCAAGGACTGCCAGATGGTGATACAAAGTATAACATATACGTACAGAGAATATCAGAAGAAAGAGAGAAACAAAATATTTGAAGCAACAATAACTGAAAATGTGCCAAAATTAATAATGGACTCTAAACTAGAGGTCCAAGAAATTTCAGAGAGCATCAAGCAAGATAAGTACACAAAACAAAACAATGATGCCTAAGCAGGTTAAATAAAAACTGCAGAAAATCAAAGATGAGGAAAAAATTTGAAAGAAAACAGAGGGAAAACAAACTAGTCATGTAGCTTAAAGAACTAGAAAAACAAGGACAAGCTAAACCTAGAATTGATAGAAGAAAGTAAATAATAAATCTCTGAGCAGAAAAAAAATAGAAACTGGAAACAATTAAAGAATCAATAAAATGTAAAGTTGACTTTTTTGAAAAATAAACAAAATTGAAAAACTACTCACTAGACTAAAACAAAAAAGAGAAAAGACCCAAATAAATACAATCAGAGATGAAAAAAGAGACACTACCACTGATACCACACAAATACAGAGGATCAAAGGAGACTATTATGAATAACTATGCCAACAAATTTGAGAATATAGAAGAAATGGATAAATTCCTGGATACATACAAATTACTGTGATTAAATTGTGAAGTAATAGAAAACCTGCACAGACTAATAATGAGTGAGGAAATTGAGCTAATAATCAAAAGTCTTCCATCAAAAAAAAAAAAAAACAAACAAGTCCCGATGACTTTTTGAATGTTTTTGATCCACAGTTCGTTGAATACATGGACGTGAAACTTATTGAAGTGGAGGACTGACTGTACTCAATTACAACCAAAAACAAGCAAAAAACAAACAAAACCACAGAAACAAAGTGGAAGACTGAAAAGTAGACCCACCCTCAACCTGAACATCGACCACCACTCACAAACATGTACAGAGGGTGCAAATACTGCCAATGGCATGAAAACATGCAAAGTAATTATCGGGGAGCCCCATCTCCCTGAGCCATGATGTCAACTACAGCTACCACTGTGAAAAGGCCAGCCACTGCTGTGAAGGAAGCTGGCACCCTGTCACCACTAGCTGGCACATAGAGGCTGGCACCCTGGCAGCTACTAGCACCCTGCCTCAGCCAACAAGCATTACCACACCATGCTGCAGCTGCAGTTGCTACTAGCATGCAGGAACAAGGACAGGTCCCACTTCCAGAGCATTGTGAACAGCAATCCAAGAGAGCAGCAGGTTTATAACCTCAAGGGGCCAGAACAAAGCAGGGGCGTAATACCAGTTTCCCAGAGTTAGAGCATGCAGTTCAAAAGTCCTGAGTTAAACGTTGCCCCCTAAAATCTTCCAGAAATGAAGCAAGTCAATTGAACCCATCTTATACCACAATCAAACCCCAAGGTCATCAAATAGGATAAAACAAAAAAAAAAAACACATCCAAAGGACAGAAAATTCAAAGATTGAAGGAACATCAGCCCACAAAGATTAGAAAGAGCCAGTGCAAGAACCCTGACAAGTAAAAAAGCCAGAGTGTCTTCTTTCCTCCAAATGACAGCACTGGTTCTCCAGCAAGAGTTCTTAGCTGAGATGGCTAAAATAACAGAAATAAAATTAAAAATATGGATAGGAACAAAGATCATCAAGATCCAGGACAACACTGAAACCCAATCTAAGGAAGCTAAGAGTCAAAATAAAAAGATACAGGAGCTGATAGATGAAATCACCAGTCTAAAAAAAAAATGTAACTGAACTGATAGAGTTGAAATACACACTACAAGAATTTCATAATGCAATCACAATGATTAACAGCAGAACAGACCAAGCTGAGGAAAGAATCTCAAAGCTTGGAGACGGGCTTTCTGAAATACAACATCAAGAAAAGAATAAAGAAAAAAGAACAAAATGGAACGAACAGAACCTCTGTGAAATATGTGATTATGTAAAGGAACCAAATCTATGACTCATAAGCATCCCTGAAAGAGATGAGGAGGATGGAAGTAACTTGAAAACATATTACAGAATATAATCCATGAGAAAATCCCAAACATAGCTATAGAGGACAACTTCAAATTCAGGAAATGCAGAGTACCCCAGTAAAGTACTTCACACACAAAAAAATCATCCCCAAGACACATAATCGTCAGATATTTCTAGGTCAAGATGAATTTAAAAATGTTGAAAGCAACTAGAGAGAAAGGACAAGTTCACCTACAAATGGATCCCCATCAGTCTAACAGTGGACGTCTCACAAAAACCCCTACAAGTCAAAAGAGATTAGGGGCCAATGTTCAACATTCTTAAAGAAAGAAATTCCAAGAAAGAATGCAATATCTGGCAAAATTAAGCTTTATAAGCAAAAGAGAAATAAGAGCCTTTCCAAACAAGCAAATGCTGAGGAAATGTGTTACCACCAGACCTCCCTTACAAGAGGTCCTGAACAAAGCACTAAATATGGACAAGAGAGACTGTTACCAGCCTCTACAAAAGCACACCTGAGTACACATGCCAGTGACACTATAAAGCATATGCACAAACAGTTTGCATAATAACCAGCTGACATCATGATGATGGGGTCATATTCACATATATCAATACTAACCTTGAATATAAATAGGCTAAATGCCCCAGTTGAAAGACACAGAGTGGCAAACTGAATAAAAAAACAAAGACTCATTGCTATGCTGTCTTTAACATACCCGTATCACATGCAATGACACCCAAAGGCTCAAAATGAGGGGATGGAGAAAAATCTACCAGGTAAATGGAAAACAGAAAAAATGAGGGGTTGCTGTCTTAATTTCAGGAAAAAAAAACAAAACAGACTTATAACCAACAAAGATCAAAAAAGAAAAAAAAAGGCATTATATAATGGTAAATGGTTTGATTCAACAAGAAGAGTTAATTATCCCAAATATATATGTGCACCAACACAGGAGCACCCAGATTCATTAAGCAAGTTCTTAGAGACCTTCTAAGAGACTTAGACTCACACGATGACAGTGGGAGACCTCAACACCCCACTGACAGTATTAGACAGATCGCTAAGGCAGAAAATTAACAAAAATATTCAGGTCCTAAACTTAGCATTGGGTCAAATGAACCTGATAGACATATACAGAAATCTCCACCCAGATATAAGAGCATATACATTATTTTCATCACCACATGGCACATACTCTAAAATAGACCACACAATCAGACATAAAACAATCCTCTGCAAATTCAAAAAGATCAAAATTATACCAACTATTCTCTTGGACCACAGTGCAATAATATTAGTAATCAAGATTATCAAAATTGTTTTAAACCATACAATTACATGGAAATTAAATCCCCTGTTTCTGAATGACTTTTATGTAAATAACGAAATTAAGGCCAAAATCAAGAAATTCTTTGAAAACAATGAGAACAAAGATACAACATACTAGAATCTTTGGGGCACAGCAAAGGCAGTGTTAAAAAAGAAATTTATAACACTAAATGCCCACAATAAAAAATTAGAAAGATTTCAAATTAACAACCTAACATCACAACTAAAAGAACTAGAGAAGCAAGAGCACACTAACACCAAAGCTTGCCAAACTCAGAGCTAAAATGAACGAGACTGAGACCATTTAAATGATCGATACATCTAGTAGCTTCTTTTTTGAAAAAAATAATAGGATAGATTAAAAAAAATTAATGCTAGCTAGATTAAGAAGAAAAGAGAGAGACTCCAAATAAACACAATCAGAAATGACAAAAGGTATATTACCACTAACCCAACAGAAATAAAAATAACCATCAGTGATTATTATGAATACCTCTATGCACACAAACTAGAAAATCTAGAAGAAATGAACAAGTTCCTGGACACATACACTCTCCTAAGTCTAAGCCAGGAAGAAACTGAATCCTTGAAAAGGCCATTAATGAGCTCCAAAACTAAATCAGTAATAAATTGCCTACCAACCCCCAAAAGCCCAGGACCAGGTGGATTCACAGCCAAATTCTATCAGATGTACAAAGAAGAGCTGGTACCATTCCTACTGAAACTATTTCATAAAATTGAGGAGGGACTCCTCTCCTACTTATTTTGTGAAGCCAGCATAATCTTGATACCAAAACCTGGCAGAGCCACAGCAAAAAAGAAAACTTCGGGCCAATAACCTTGATAAACATTGATTCAAAAATCCTCAACAAAATACTGGCAAACAAAATGCAGCAACACATCAAAAACTAATTCACCATAATCAAGTAGGGTTTATCCCTGGGATGCAAGGCTGGTTCAATATAAGCAAATCAATAATTGTGATTCATCACATAAACAGAACAAAAGAAAACAGAAACACATGATCATCTCAATATATGCAGCAAAGACTTTCAATAAAATTCAACATTGATTCATGTTAAAAACTCTCAATAAACTAGGTATTAAAGAAACATACCTCAAAAAAATAAGACCCATCTGTTACAGACACAGAGCTAACTTCACACTGAATGGGCAAAAGATGGAATCATTCCCCTTAAAAACTGGCACAAAACAAAGATAATCTCTCTCATTACTCCTATTTAACATAATATTGGAAGTCCTGTCCAGAGTAATCAGGAAAGAGAAATAAACAAATGGCATCCAAATAGGAAGAGAGGAAGTCAAGCTATCCCTGTTTACAGATAATATGGTTCTATATTCCCCAAACCCCATAATCTCTGCCCAAAAGCTCCTAGAGCTGATAAGCAACTTCAGTAAAGTTTTGAATTACAGAATCAATGTGCAAAAATCAGTAGCATTCCTATACACTTACAACCAAGCAGAGAGCCAAATTAAGAACACAATCCCATTCACAATTGCCACAAAAAGAATAAAAACCTAAGAATACAGCTAAGCGGGGAGGTGAACGATCCCTACAATGAGAATTACAAAAAAATTGCTAAAAGAAATAATCAGAGATAACACAAATAAATGGAAAAATGTTCCATACTCGTGTATAGGAAGAAACAATATTATTAAAATGGCCTTCCTGCTCAAAGCAATGTATAGGTTCAATGCTATTTCTATCAACGTATCAATGATATCTTCACAGAACTGGAAAAAAAAACTATTTTAAAATTCATACGGAACCAAAAAGCCAGAAGAGCCAGGGAAATCCCATGCAAAAAGAACAACACTGAAGACATTAGGCTACCCAACTTCAAACTATAATAAATGAATATAGCAACCAAAACAGCATGGTACTGGTACGAAAACAAACACGTAGACCGAAGGAACAGAATAAAGAACTTATAAACAAGACTGCACACCTACAACTGTCTGATCTTTGATAAAGTTTACAAAAGCAAGCAATGGGAAAATAATTCCCTGTTCAATAAATAGTGCTGGGATAACTGGATAGTCACTTGCAGAAGATTGAAAACTAGACCCCTTTTTTATATCATATACAAAATCTGCCTGAAATGGATTAAAGACTTAAATGTAAAACTCGGAACTATAAAAACCATGGAAGATTACCTAGGCAATATTATTCTGGACATAGGAACAGACAAAGATTTCATGACGAAGATACCAAAAGCAATTGCAAAAAAAGTAAAAAATTGACAAATGGGATCTAATTATACTGAAGAGCTTCTGCACAGAAAAACAAACTATCAACAGAGTAAGCACACAACATACAGAATGAGAGAAAATGTTTGCAAACTATGCATCTGACAACGGTCTAATATCTAGCATCTATAAGGCACTTAAACAAATGTACAAGAAGAAAAACAAGCAACCTATTAAAAACTGGACAAAGGACATCGACACTTTTTTAAAAGAAGACATACATGTAGCCAAAAGGCATACGGTGAGAAACTCAACATCACTGATCATTAGAGAAATGCAAATCAAAACCACAATGAGATACCATCTCACACCAGTCAGAGTGGCTAAAATTGATAAGTAAAAAAATAGGCTGGGTGCCGTGGCTCACGCCTGTAATCCCAACACTTTGGGAGGCCAAGGAGGGCGGATCATGAGGTCAGGAGATGGAGACCATCCTGGCTAGCACAATGAAACCCCGTCTCTACTAAAAATACAAAAAATTAGCCAGGCATTGTGGCGTGCACCTGTGGTCCCAGCTGCTCCGGAGGCTGAGGCAGGAGAATGGCCTGAACCTGGGAGGCGGAGCTTGCAGTGAGCCGAGATTGCACCACTGCACTCCAGCCTGGGCAACAGAGCGAGACTCCATCTTAAATAAATAAATAACAGATGCTGAAAAGGTTGTAGAGAAAAGGGAACATTTACACACTTTTGGTAGGAGTGTAAACTGGTGCAACTATTGTGGAAAGCAATGTGGCCATTCCTCAAAGACTTGAAAACAGAACTACTGTTCGACCCAGCAATCTCATTTCTGGGTATACACCCAAAGGAATATAAATCATTCTATCATAAAGACACATGTACACATATGTTCATTGCAGCAATATTCATAATAGCAAAGAAACGGAATCAACCTAAATACCCATCAAAGGTAGACTGGATAAAAAAAAATATGGTACATAAAAACCATGACATACTATGCAGCAATACAAAATAATGAGATCATGACCTTTGCAGGAACATGGATGGAGTTGGAAGGCATTACTTTTAGCAAACTACCAAAGTAATAGAAAGCCAAATATCGCATGTTCTCACTTATATGTGGAGCTAAATGATGAGAATACATGGACACAAAGAGGGGAACAACAGACACTGGAGCCTACCTGAGGGTGGAGGGTGGGAGGAAGTAGAGGAGCAGAAAAAGTGTCTATTGAGTACTATGATTAGTACTTTGTTCACAAAATAATCTGCACAGCAAAACCCTGTAACATGAGTTTACCTATATTACAAACCTGCACTTGTATCCCTGAACTTAAAATAAAAGTTTCTTTAAAAAGTAAAAGACAAAAAACAACAAATCACAAGAAAACAAATAGAAAATTGGAAGAAATATGATAGATATTAATACAAATATGTCAACAATCACTTCAAATGTCAATGATGTATGTGTATATATATATATATATATATACACACATTATTGACAATTATATCATTAAAATGTATATCATATATATTGATAAATATACCAATTAACAACCAGAAACTGTCATTATGGATCAACCAAAGACATCTCAATTATATGTTATCTACAAGAAACTCACTTTAAATATAAAGACACAAGGGAAACAGTAATTGATTTAGAAAGAAGTATCCTGCTGAGACTAATCAAAAGAAATCTGGAGTAGCTATATTAATTTTAGACAATGCCAACTTTAGAACAAGAAAAATTATTAGGGATAAAGGGGACATTACAAAAATAATGACAGGGTAAATTCTTCAAAAAGACATAACAACCATTAATGTCTGTGTACCTAACAACAGAGAATCAAAATTTATAATGCAAAAACTGGTAGAAGTTAAATAAATACATTCCCTATTACAGCTGCAGATTTCATACTCCTCAATCAGTACTTGGCAGATCCAGCAAGCAGAAAATCAGTAAGGATAGGGTTGAACTGAACAGTAGCATCAAATAACTGGTTATACTAGAAAACTATAGGACACTATATCCTGAATCAGCAGAATAAATATTCTACCCAAGCTCATGTGGAACAGTCACCAAGACAAGACAAATTCAGAACATAAAACATACTTTAACGCATTTGAAAGTGTAGGAATCATTAAAAAATGGTGTTAGACCACAATGGAATTAAGCAAGAAATCAAAAGCCAAAAGATAACTAGAAAACCAGAAAATACTGGCAGATTAAACACACACTTCTAAATAACACAAAGGTCAAGAAGAAATCTCAAGAGAAATTTCATAAATAGTTTAAACTAAATGAATATGAAAATAAAACCTATCAAAATTTGTGGGATGAAGCAAAAGCAGTGCCTAGATGGAAATATATAGCACTGAAACAATGTTTTATAAAAGGGAAAAGTCTAAACTCAATAATTTAAGATTCTACTATAGAAACTTAGAAAGAACAAATTATACCCAAAGTAAACAAAATAAAATAATTATTAAAAATAAAATAATCAATAAGATTCGAAATAGGAAATCAATAGAGAAAAACAAGAGAAGTAAAATCTGTTTTTTTGAAAAGTTCAATAGAATTAACAAGACTCCAGCTAGCCTAAGAAGAAAGGAGAAGACACAAATTAATAATATCAGAAATGAAACAGGAGCTATCACTACTGATCCTATGAACATTATTAGAAGGATAATGAAGGAATACTATGAAAAACTCTATGGCCACAAATTTCATAGCCTAGGTGAAATAGATAAATTTCTTAATAGACACACTCTACCAAAACTCACAGGAGAAAAGCAATATGAGCAGCCCCAAATTTATTAAATATATTGAAGCAAAAATTGATAAAACGCAAAAACAGAAAGCAGCAAATGCAAACGTGTTAAATTCTACCAAATATTTAAGGTAAAAATTATACTGATTCTTTACCATCTTTTTCAGAAAATAGAAGCAGAGAGACTACTTCCTAATTCTATGAGGCCATGATTATCCTAATACCAAAGTCAAATATTACCCTAATACCAAAGCCAGCTGAAGACATTAAAAAAGGAAAACCAAATACCAATATATCTCATAATTATAAATGCAAAAATCCTTAACAAAATATTGGCAAATAAAATATAACAATATATAAAAAAATTACATGCCACAGTCAATGTGATTTACTCCAGGTATGAATGGCTAGTTCAACCTTCAAAATTCAACTAATGTAATCCATCATATCAGTTACCCTAAAAAGGAAAATTATACAATAATATCAATAGATGCAGAAAAAGCATTTGACAGAATCCAACACCATTTATGATAAAAAAAATTTGGCAAACTAGAAATATAGGAAAATTTATTCAACATGATGAAGAATATCTACAGAAAATAAAACTAGCACCAACATCATAATTAATAGTAAAAAATTAGATGCTTTCCTGCCATATCAGGAACAAATCAAAGATGTTCACTCTCTCCTCTCCATTCAACATGCACTGGAAGTCTTAGCTCATGCAATAAGTGAAGAAAAGGACTTAAAAATGTATAAAGATTGAGAAGGAATGGAAATGAAAACACATTCCATGTTCATGAATAGGAAGAATCAGTATTGTAAAAATGGCCATACTGCCCAAAGCAATTTATAAATTCAATGTTATTCCCATTAAATTACCATTGAGGTTCTTCACAGAATTATAAAAAACTATTTTAAAATTTATATGAAACCAAAAAAGACCCCAAACAGCCAAGACTATCATAAGCAAAAGAAAATAAAGCTGGAGACATCATGCTATCTGACTTCAAACTACACTACAAGGCTACAGTAACCAAAACAGCACGGTACTGGTACCAAAACAGACATCTAGACCAATGGAACAGAATAGATACCTCAGAAATAAGACCACACATCTACAACTATCTGATCTTCGACAAACCTGACAAAAACAAGCAATGGAGAAAGGATTCCCTATTTAATAAATGGTGTTGGGAAAACTGGCTAACCATATGCAGAAAAGTGAAGCTGGACCCCTTCTTTACAATTTATACAAAAATTAAGTCAAGATGGATTAAAGACTTAAATGTAAAACCCCAAACCATAAAAACTCTAGAAGAAAATGTAGGCAATACCATTCAGGACATAGGCATGGGCAAAGATTTTATGATGAAATCACCAAAAGCAATTGCAATAAAACCTAAAATTGACAAATGGGATCTAATTAAACTAAAGAGCTTCTGCACAGCAAAAGAAACTATCTTCAGAGTGAATAGGCCACCTACAGAAAGTGAGAAAATTTTTGCAATCTACCCATGAGGCAAAGGTATAATATCCAGAATTTACAAGAAACTTAAACAAATTTACAAGAAAAAACAAACAACCCCATCAAAAAGTGGTTAAAGGACATGAACAGAACAGACATTTGTCAAAAGAAGACACTTATGCAGCCAAGAAAAATGAATAAAAAGCTCAACATCACTGATTATTAGAGAAATTCAAATCAAAACTACAATGAGATACCATCTCACTCCAGTCAGAATGGTGACTATCAAAAAGAAAAAAAAAACAGATGCTGGTGAGGCTCCAGAAAAATCAGAATGCTTTTAACCTGTTGGATAAACAAAATGTGGTACATATACACCATGGAATACTATGCAACCATAAAAAGGAATGAGATCATGTCGTTTGCAGGGACATGGATGAAGCTGGAAGCCATCATCCTCAGCAAACTAACACAGGAACAAAAAAACCAAATACTGCATGTTCTCGCTCATAAGTGGGAGCTGAACCATGAGAACACATGGACACAGGGAGGGGAACAACACACACTGGGGCCTGTTGGTTGGGGACCTAGGAGGGAGAGAGCATCAGGACAAATAGCTAATGCATGGGGGGCTTAATACCTAATACCTAGGTGATGGGTTGTTAGGTGCAGCAAACAATCATGGCACACATTTACCTATGTAACAAACTTTCACATTCGGCACATGTATCCCAGAAGTTAAATTTTTTTTTTTTTAAAAGTAACTCAAAACAGACCGTAGACTTAAATATAAAATGAAAAACTATAATACACCTAGAAGTTAATACAGGAGAAAATCTAGGTAACTTTGGGTTTGGCAATGACTTCTTGGATATAACACCAAAACCGTAATTAAAAAAATATTGAGAAATCGATCTTCATAAAAATTGAATCTTCTGCTCTGCAAAGACACTGTTAAGAGAATGAAAATACAAGCTGCAGACTGATAAAAATCTTTGAAAAATATATATCTGATAAAGGACTTACATAGAAAATATTTAAAGAACTCTTAAAACCCAGTAATAGGAAATCAAACACCCAATTTGAAAATGGCCAAAAGGCCTGAAGAGATACCTCCTCAAAGATGATATATGAATAAAATAATCATATGAAAAGATGTCAAAAATCATATGGCATGAAAGAATCATAAAATAAAACAACAATGAGATATTAGTACAAACCTATTAGAATGGTGAAAATGTAGAACACTTTCAACAGCAAATGCTGGTGAGGATATATCCTATTTTATCCTACTGTAGAGCAATAGGGACACTCAATCATTGTTTGTGGGAATGCAAAATGGTTCACACAAAAGTCTGCACATGCATTTTTCTAGTAGCTTTATTAATAATTGCTTAAACTTGGAAGCAACCAAGATGTCTTTTAATAGGTGAATAGAAAATTAAATTATGGTACTTTCATTCAATGGAATGTAATGTGGAATATCAAGCCACAAAAAGACATGGAAATTTAAATGCATCTTGCTAAGTGAGAGAAGGTACTTTGAAAAAGCTACATGATATTAAATATATGTATGATATTAATTATATGACATTCTGGAAAAGGTAAACCTATGGAGATAGTTAAAAGATCAGAGGTAACCAGGGGTTCTGTGGGAAGGAGAAAATAATAGCTACTTCCTATGATACCGTAATGGTGGATACACATCATTTATACATTTGTCAAAACTCATAGAATACACAACACAAAGAGTGAACCCTAGTGTGAGTTATGAAGCATCTTTAAAAATAATGTATCAGTATTGAATCAGTTATAACAAATGTACTACACGAATGCAAGATATTAATAAGGGGGAAATTGGCAGAAGGTGGTAAAGGGTGAGATGGAGGGGTTAGGTGGTACATGATAACTGCACTTTTTGCTCAATTTTTCTGTAAACTTAAAATCCCAAAACAGAAAGCAAGTCTATTATTTCTTTTTTAAAAGAGGACTCTGGATTTCAGTAGTGTGAGTAGTCGAAGGTTAAATAGTTGAAACAAATAAAGATTAGTCAATATAGCACACAACAAATAGAAAAAATAATCTGAGTCATTAACAAGTAGATCTCAAATCATTTTTATTCATTACTAACTCCTTATTTTACCCCATTCACTAACCCGTAATGAGGAAGTTTACAAAAAGTCATAAAAATCAAACTTATAATTTTTCCTTTTAAGTTCAATAATTTATAGATATCCCAAATTATGTAACACTTGGCCTGATACATTTTTACACAAATATTCTTATTTATATAGATCATGGAATATAGTTAAGTTGGTCAATATTCCCTTTTCTCTAATATTCTGGACAATAAGTAAAGTTTGAGAAGCTATTCTTGCTTCGAAATTATTTAAATTCAACTAAGAGAAAAAATTATAAAACAAATATACATTTGAACTTCTTGGATAATGAAAATTCTTTGAGAGTTTTAGTGTCCTTTCGCATTCAAGCCTTGTAAATTTATTGTAGTTAAGAACTCCACTCACTAGAAGTCTTGATGTGTTGATGCTATAAAGCCTATACTGGATGAATATTTATGATGCTCATCTGCCTAAACTAGTTTAGAGAGAGTCTCACCTGAAGGCAAGGGTTCGACCATAAAGGCTATCAAAACAGCTCAGAATCCCAAATCCATATTGTTCCAATACAACAGATATTGATCTGAATTTGTGGTTTTTGTGGGTTAGAGCAGAGGAAGAAACAACATTGTTGTGTCAATTTAAAAAATAAAAATTTGTTTCGACAGGTCTACTTTCCTTTCATTTATTTCTTTTCCTCCAGACACTTTCTTATTTCCTTTATTGAGTTTGTATGTGTAGCCCATGGGATAGAACTCCTTCCATCTGAAACTTCTTTAAAGGAAGACTTCGATGTCTCAGAAGCTCAATTAGATTTAAATTAATTTCTGAAAGTTGCTTGAGCATGTCAGAGCTCCCTAAACATCTTTTTAAATTAATTATTTGGTTATTTAAGCCAGGAGACAGAAAACAAAATGAATAGGAAAAAGAATACAACATTCTAAAAAAGAAATCTAACCTCATAAGATTACAAATAGTTTTTAGTGTCAATTCTTTATAAAAATTTGATATGAATCTCATATTATGCTTCTAACCTATGGCAGAAATGACAGGAACTTTTGTCTGTCTACTTAGAATCACATTGATTGTATTTATAATCTGTTATCATATGGTTTTAACCTTTGTATAATGCCATGACATAGTTATATCCACAAGAACTTATTATAAATTGCAATTCCTACTAGCTATCTAGAATTGCTAAAGAAGTGTGTTTTGTTTCTTTGATTATACTTAGTTTATACATTACTCTTTATTTAGCACTAATTCTTTCAAGACAGAAAAATCACATGTTGTCTCAGTAATGTAATGCCAGATGATAAGTATACATTGCATCTAACTCTGATTTCTCTTCTAGAACTGAAACCAGTCTGTTCTTCATACAGTTTTTCCATCCAGATTTGTCAGTTTTTTAAAGAAAAAGAATGCCACATACAAAATTTATATTTTAAAAGGATGGCTGGAATTTTATATGGTTTTAGACTTCAAGCAAAAAATTTCCTTTTAAACTGATTATAATCCAATACTGATTTCCCTTTATTCAAAGACATGGATTATTTTCCAACCTTTCCTAAAGATAACATTAACAACAGTAGCAAAAGATAAATACACATACACACACAATAATTTTTGTTTTGTGTTGTGTTTCCTCTATTCATTAATAAGATATATACTTCATTTCCATATATTTACAATTCTTTTTTCAATAAATTCACTTATTAGGGGGAAAATAAGTTAAAACATACAAAAATCCCAAGGGAATTGACACATTTCATAGATAAAATAAATATAAAAATGTAAAAAATATGGTATAGAGAGCTCATCACAATAAAGCAAAAATTTAAAAATAGGTAGCACTTAATTGAAAAATAAATAAATTGGAAGCTGAAATAATGACTAGACACAGAAATATAGTAAGTAATGTTGGGTATCTTAACTAGCCCTGTGGCTCCAGACTTAGTTGGTTTCTTTTTTTTAAAATTTATTTATTTTTTTTTATTATTTTATTTTTTATTATACTTTAAGTTTTAGGGTACATGTGCACATTGTGCAGGTTAGTTACATATGTATACATGTGCCATGCTGGTGCGCTGCACCCACTAACTCATCATCTAGCATTAGGTATATCTCCCAATGCTATCCCTCCCCCTCCCCCCACCCCACCACAGTCCCCAGAGTGTGATATTCCCCTTCCTGTGTCCATGTGATCTCATTGTTCAATTCCCACCTATGAGTGAGAATATGTAGTGTTTGGTTTTTTGTTCTTGCGACAGTTTGCTGAGAATGATGATTTCCAATTTCATCCATGTCCCTACAAAGGACATGAACTCATCATTTTTTATGGCTGCATAGTATTCCATGGTGTATATGTGCCACATTTTCTTAATCCAGTCTATCATTGTTGGACATTTGGGTTGGTTCCAAGTCTTTGCTATTGTGAATAATGCTGCAATAAACATACGTGTGCATGTGTCTTTATAGCAACATGATTTATAGTCATTTGGGTATATACCCAGTAATGGGATGGCTGGGTCAAATGGTATTTCTAGTTCTAGATCCCTGAGGAATCGCCACACTGACTTCCACAATGGTTGAACTAGTTTACAGTCCCACCAACAGTGTAAAAGTGTTCCTATTTCTCCACATCCTCTCCAGCACCTGTTGTTTCCTGACTTTTTAATGATTGCCATTCTAACTGGTGTGAGATGGTATCTCATAGTGGTTTTGATTTGCATTTCTCTGATGGCCAGTGATGATGAGCATTTTTTCATGTGTTTTTTGGCTGCATAAATGTCTTCTTTTGAGAAGTGTCTGTTCATGTCCTTTGCCCACTTTTTGATGGGGTTGTTTCTTTTTTTCTTGTAAATTTGTTGGAGTTCATTGTAGATTCTGGATATTAGCCCTTTGTCAGATGAGTAGGTTGTGAAAATTTTCTCCCATTTTGTAAGTTGCCTGTTCACTCTGATGGTAGTTTCTTTTGCTGTGCAGAAGCTCTTGAGTTTAATTAGATCCCATTTGTCAATGTTGGCTTTTGTTGCCATTGCTTTTGGTGTTTTGGACATGAAGTCCTTGCCCATGCCTATGTCCTGAATGGTATTGCCTAGGTTTTCTTCTAGGGTTTTTATGGTTTTAGGTCTAACGTTTAAATCTTTAATCCATCTTGAATTGATTTTTGTATAAGGTGTAAGGAAGGGATCCAGTTTCAGCTTTCTACATATGGCTAGCCAGTTTTCCCAGCACCATTTATTAAATAGGGAATCCTTTCCCCATTTCTTGTTTTTCTCAGGTTTGTCAAAGATCAGACAGTTGTAGGTATGCGGCGTTATTTCTGAGGGCTCTGTTCTGTTCCATTGATCTATATCTCTGTTTTGGTACCAGTACCATGTTGTTTTGGTTACTGTAGCCTTGTAGTATAGTTTGAAGTCAGGTAGTGTGATGCCTCCAGCTTTGTTCTTTTGGCTTAGGATTGACTTGGCGATGAGGGCTCTTTTTTGGTTCCATATGAACTTTAAAGTAGTTTTTTCCAATTCTGTGAAGAAAGTCATTGGTAGCTTGATGGGGATGGCATTGAATCTGTAAATTACCTTGGGCAGTATGGCCATTTTCACGATATTGATTCTTCCTACCCATGAGCATGGAATGTTCTTCCATTTGTTTGTATCATCTTTTATTTCCTTGAGCAGTGGTTTGTAGTTCTCCTTGAAGAGGTCCTTCACATCCCTTGTAAGTTGGATTCCTAGGTATTTTATTCTCTTTGAAGCAATTGTGAATGGGAGTTCACTCAAGATTTGGCTCTCTGTTTATCTGTTATTGGTGTATAAGAATGCTTGTGATTTTTGTACATTGATTTTGTATCCTGAGACTTTGCTGAAGTTGCTTATCAGCTTAAGGAGATTTTGGGCTGAGACAATGGGGTTTTCTAGATATACAATCGTGTCGTCTGCAAACAGGGACAATTTGACTTCCTCTTTTCCTAATTGAATACCCTTTATTTCCTTCTCCTGCCTAATTGCCCTGGCTAGAACTTCCAACAGGCTCCTCCTCCTGGTTTCTTATTTAAAAAAAAATTCCATTTAGATCCTCTCGGACCATACATTCATATATTGTCTGTTCAATTTAACAAGTATTTTTGAATATTCACTGTTCTGCAGATTCTGTGCTAGATAACAGAAACAAAAAGGCAAATTAGTATGTTAAAAAGTAAGAGGAGGCAGAATTAATACATTATTGTCAATATCTCCGTAATCGTGTGCTTTTCATTCATTTTCATGTTTCATCTTCACAATCTTATAAGGTAGTTATATTTATTAAGTCTGTTTTACAGATGAGGATGCTGAAACTTAGAGAAATCAATAAAATTGTCAAGGTAACAAATAGCCTAAAACTCGATCAGTATGAATCCATGTTTAATTTGACTGAGTATAGTGCCTAGCACATGAAGAATGTTCTCTAAGTCTTAACATTTTTATCATGTTTATTATTATTACTATTGTTGTTTTATCATATAAATATTATAACATTGTTATGCCTTTATAACAATAAATAATGTACATATAGATTTCTGCACAATATGCCTTGGTACAATATTGATTTCTGATTTTTACTACTCATCTATAAATTACTAAAGAGACCTACAGAGTAAAATATTAAAATAAAACCTGAAATATTTCATAGACTGCATGGGACCTAAAATCTGGTAGAAAGTAACAATTATGTTAGTCTACTACCCAGCTTGGAAAGTTTAAAAAAGTATTATCAGTATTGCCAATATTAATCTCATTTTATAATTTGAAATTACAAGGTATTTTGATACTCTGTAGCTTTCCTTTACACTTAGAAAAGTGTAAAGACAAAGGCTAGTATAATCAGTATGCCAGTTTATTAAGTTCTGAGGGTTTATTTGCACACTTATTGAAAATTAAAACAAAGACACATTATAACGGTAACACAAAGTATAAGGTAAACTGCTCTCTATTTAAATCTTAGAGACCTTATATATTGTATTAGTAGAATAATAGGGAAAGTAACAAATGTGTTTATGTAAAGTAGAAAATTATTGATAGAAGACAAAAGTTAGTATTTGTAGAGAAAAAGTACTGAAAAACAATTCACTGTTTAGATTTTATGATGAAATTATCATTATTATTATTTCAACTTGGAGAATTTCACATGCATACTATTGCTTCAATGGTTCTATATATTTCCTCATTGCTGACATATTTCTGAGTTTCATTCCATCTTATTAAGGGGAATTTAGAAATTTAATCCTTTTGACCTTTAAGAGTGCTCTTAACCAACTTTTGAAGGCCACTTGTTCATTAATGATAAACTCTCCTACATCAAGGTACAGAATAAGAAATCATTGGCATTGACAACACTGCACTGAGTCATTTGAAATGATTGCCTTCCAGTTCAACTAGTATGATTAATTAACCCATCACCAAGCTCAGCTTTCTGATGAAGAAAAGTAGCTGTGTAGCACTGAATCTCAAGGAGAACTTGAAATTTGCAAGGATCTTGAACTGAAATTTCTTCTCAGATAAGTGGCTCAATTGAATTTCAATGAATGGGAAATCAAAGCTTTCTAGAATTTTAATTTCTGAAAGTACAATTTTCTTTTTAAAATATTTTCCTTTTAAGTATTATAAGTGTGTATAAGATCATATACTTTGAAACCCTTAAACATCAAATTACCAAACATAGAATAAAATTAGTTGCTTTATATTTAATCAACTTTATTGATGAAGATTACTTATACCTTTATTAGTAATTGTGACTTATTCTTACTTGTAGTTTACCACATTAAAATAATAGAAATGATATGTTTAAAAGGTGTACAATATTAGGGTGTGCTCTTGTTATATTATTAAACATTAGTCTGAAAAGCAATGCATAGAACTTATCTGGGGACTTGCTGACGATACAAATATGTTGATGCCGCCCCAAGAGATTTTAATTCAGCCAGAGTCAGGTAGAACCATGAAGTTTGTTTTGAAAATCATATCAGGGAATTCTAAATAATAGCCAGATTTATAAGCATAAGGAACTTTAATGATGGGTTATGTATTTTTTGAACAATGTCGTATTCTGATGTAAGATCTATTTTCATATATTGTCTATACTTTTAATAAAAATTTATTGAAACTTCAATAATTTGTCTTAGAAGTAGCATCTGATTTTGCAATTATAATTGAAGTAACACTAACATTGCAACATTTCTAGGGAAGTTACTAAGTCAACACCATGATGCTTCATCTATTTGTAAAGCAAATACCTTATTTAAAGCATTTCATACTATGAGTCTTTTAAAACTTAGTTTAAATGCAAGAACAAAAATATATTGTGGAAGACAGTGTGGAAATTCCTCAAAGACCTAAAAACAGATGTACCATTCAACCCAGAAATTCCATTACTTGGGTATGTATTCCATATACCCAAGGTAATGTAAATCATTCTATTATAAAGACACACGCATGCCTATGTTCATGGCAGACTATTTACAATAGAAAAGACATGGAATCAATCTAAATGTTCATCAATCATAAATTGGATAAAGAAAATGTGATACATACACACCATGGAATACTATACAGCCATAAAAAGAATGAGATTATGTACTTTTCAGGGACATGAACGGAGTTAAAGGCCATTATTCTTAGCAAACTAACACAGGAACAGGAAACCAAATACTGCATGTTTTAACTTATAAGTGGGAGCTGAATGATGAGATCACATGGACACATACAGGTGGAAAACACACACTGGTGCCTATCAGAGGGTGGAGGGTGAGAGGAGAGAGAGGTTCAGGAAAAAATAACTAATGAGTAATGGGTTTAATACCTGGGTGATGAAATACTCTGTATAACATCCTCCCATGACACAAGTTTACCTATGTAAGAACCCTGCATATGTACCCATAAACTTAAAAGTTAAAAAACTAACTAAATAAATAAATAATAAATTCTACATTGTATGAAGACAATATTCTCTCTAACACAGTACCTCTCTTATATTTCATCCAAAAGTCATCTAATGTGAGAATATAGCAGCTGTATCTATAGTATAAACCATATTGAAACAGCAGGTCCAATAGTACATAATTTCACTTAGCAACATAGGGTTGAAGATTTCCATTAAAAATATTATTAGGTATAAACATGCAGTTTGAAGAAATGAGACCCAGTGTCTGGCCAATTAAACATGTGTCAAAGAGTGGTGAAAAACAATTATACACTTCCCTGAAGAATCTAAGCTAGCAAGAATAAAAAGAAGGACATATCACAATTTATCTTCATAACTCATGATATCTATGGACAATATCTTCCTTTTCCTAAGTTTCTTGTGCTCTAATTTTATTCCATCTTCCTCTCTTTGTTCAGTCTTCAGAACAAGTAATATATGATCAGCAGAATTTATATTTTTCAAGCTATTTATTGGAGTTGTGTCCACTGGATATTAATTAGTGAACTGAATAAAAATAAAATGAACATGATTTCTTTTCTTTATTTTTGATATTATGTAAATATGTATTTAAGTGACTATTTCATTTTTCAACACATTGTTTTAACACCATGGAATTTATTTTGACACACATAAAAGTTAGATGAGCTAAATAATATGGATGGGGTCCCTGAGGGATTGTCAAATTGATCAGATAAGGATCATTTGTAATCGACATATTAATTTTTTGCATGAAAGTAGGTAGTGACAAAATGCTGAAGCCACCTAAGGAGGTAAAGTTTGCTTACTAAAGGATTAATTGTATGATTAAGTGTTTAAAGGAGGAAACTAACAATGATCCATAATTGTAGTACTAGATACTTTCTCACATAAGTAATGCTGAAAAGAGTAGGCTCTATTAATAACATTTTAGTGTGGCTTTGAATGGCCATGGTACACACTAAATGCCACATAATCATTAAGTGAAAGAGCCCAGTTTTAGGTTCTATTTGATGTCAGAGTCTGTGCTGTTTTCACAGATGTTTGGAAGTTTTCTTTTTCACCTGTTGTCAGACTTTATTTTTTAACATCTAGAAAATCCCAAACTTTAACTTTTGAGGGTCCAAATTAGCATTCACCTATGACAGTTGTTGACACATAAGTGATGATCAAAAATAAATATTTGCTAAAATGAAATGAATTTATTAAATTATGCAACTATTATACGCAAGCATGCATTTAGTAGTCATGCCCACTTTAGAAACTCTAAAATTTAGTAATCATCTCCATGGTAAAGCTTGTACATTGCCCATTTTTTTTTGTAAAATAATTATAATGGTTAAGAGCATGGGCTCTGTGGTCAACATAGCAGATATAAAAGTTTGATTCTGTCTCTTACTAGCTCTGTAACTTGAACAAGCAATTTAACCTTTTGTGTTTAATTTCCTCAACTTTGAAATGCTGTAATAATAAAACTTACTGTTGATTTATTGTTCTTTTCTCCTATCTGGGCAGGCCAGACTCTAGGAAATGATTAAATGAGTAACAAACTCACCTAAACCACAGGCTTAAATGACCCTATAAAAAGGCAAGAGGAGATTGAGCATCTGCCTTTTCTCAGTCCTTGGCTTCATTTCTGGAGTTATATCAACTGGTTGGTAGAACAGGTGAGGCAATGTGACTATATAACTATCAGTTTTTAAACATACACTCTTTTGACCAGGGTTGTGATTGGGGGCAGCAATAAGTCTGCAGTTCCTTAGATGTCTTCTAGAGTGTGGCAAGAGAGCAAGGAACAAGGGGTCAAGAAACAATTCCTGGATATTTAGATAAGTTTTGAGTAAACGGTATCTTTAAGCTAGACAAAAAAGAAGAAAAACACATTTCAAGTAAGGGGGATATGATATGTAAAAATATGTAGTCATAAGCCAGCACAATAACACTTTTGAGGAAGTGCAAGTAACTATGAGTGGATAGGGCAAAAATTATAATATGAAGGAGTTGAAGGTAGAGAGAGGTGTAAGGACCAGACCACTAAGGGTTTTGATGTCAAACTGAGGAATTTATTCTTTGTACTTAAAGTGACTGGAATAGAGCCAGAGTAGAGCCAGACAGACCATTTAAGAAACAATTATGAAAGGGCAAAATATGATGGACACAGTGAAAAATATCGTTATTTATGTTTATGTATTTGAATGTTTCTAAGGAAAATGGAGAAAAAGAATGGAAGAAGACACCAGACTGTCAATGTTAGTTAATTCTAAGAAATAGAGTTCATGGGGAGAGGGATATAATTTGTGTTATTTGATTTGTTACAGCAGGCATGTTTTACTTTTCTAAATTTTATTTAAAAGTCATTAAAAGTCCATTTATTAATTTTGCTGCTTAAAAATATGTACGTTATCTCACACTGAATTTGTACATATACCAAATGGAAGGCATTGCATACTTCAACACTTCCAGAAATAAAGACTAGAATTCTTTGTTTAAAAAAAAAGAAAAATTTATTTTAAATTTAAAGGCTGGTTACTGAAATTATATACATAATAGGTAGTATCAGAGAATAATTTCAATCACATCTGTTTGGTTTGAATAAAATCTGGATGTTATAAAGCATATATTTTCCTGTTTCCACTTCTTCTGTCATTCTAGAGAAATACCTTACAAAGAAAACAATATCATTCAAAACTTAACATCTCTGATATTTTAAAACGGAACAAACTACAAATAGAGACTACCCACTTTAAGCAGAAACTAGATGCCTTAAAATAAGCTATTCATAACCATGAATATATATTGGATAAACATGATATATGCAACAAATAGACAGAATATTGTCTTCTTTCATATGCATAAAATTAACAAGATTCTTAAAGGCAAAGATTCAAAAAATGCTACAGTTAGATAAAATATACATTAATCCATGTGCTTCGATATCTCTTCTTTATATGAATTACATTAATCATTTAAAACAAAAGGGCTCAGATTTTTAGAGAATCAAGTATTAAAAATGCATTCGCTTATCAAATTTAAAATGAATAATTGCTTTTGTTCTTAAGGAAGATAAATTAACCTGTATGAGAGAATTAAAAACAGGATAATAATATATTATACTTATCATTTATCCAGATTTCTATCACTAATATCCCATTCCTATTTCAAATATGTACGTGATTGGCATGCTTGTTATATTTCAAAGTAACAAAAAAGTGAGGAAAAACCTCTTTAGATAGTGTTAAGAGCAGAAGCACCATTTTGTTCTATTTTCTTATAAAAATAGATGAAACTGTATCTTCATGCACAAATGACTCAATAATTTTTTTAAGTTTTATAAATTTTTATTTTTTAAAATTTAGGGGGTACACAATAGGTGTATATGCTTATGTGGTGTATAAGATATTTTGATACAGGCATGCAATATGAAATAAGCACATCATGGAAAATAGGATATCCATCCCCTCAAACATTTTTCCTTTGAAATATAAACAATCAAATTACATTCTTTAAGTTATTTAAAACTATAATTAAATTATTGACTATACTTACCCCATTGTGCTATCCAACAATAGGTCTTATTTATTGTTTCTATATTTTTTTACCCATTAAGCAGCTCTCTCCCAACCCCTAACTATGGTAACCAGTCTCTGGTAACCATCTGTATACTCTCTATGTCCATGAGATCAATTGACTTGATTTTTGGATCCCACAAATAAGGGAGAACATGTGATGTTTGTCTTTCTGTGCCTGGCTTATCTCACGTAAGATAATGTCTCCAGTTCCATCCATGTTGTTTCAAATGACTGGATCTCATTCCTTTTTGTGGCTGAATAGTACTCCAGTGTGTATATGTACTACATTTTCTTTATTCATCTGTTAATGGACACCTAGGTTGCTTCCAAATTATAGCTATTGTAGACAGTGCTGCAACAAATGAGTCTAGATATCTGTTCCATATACAGATTTCCTTTCTTTTGGGTATAAACCCAGCAGTGGGATAGCTGGATCATATGGTAGCTCAATTTCTAGTTTCGTTATTGAATATTTTATATTCCCATAGTTTATTGGGAAACAAGTAGTGTTTGGTTACATGAGTAAGTTCTTTGGCGGTGATTTGTGAGATTTTGGTGCAACCATCTCCTAAGCAGTATACACTGTACCCTATTTGTAGTCTTTTATCCCTCACCCCCTTTCCACTCTTTCCCCATGAGTCCTCAAAGTCCATTGTATCATTCTTATGCCTTTGTGTCCTCATAGCTTAGTTCCCACATATCAGTTAGAACATACAATGTTTGGGTTTGCATTCCTGAGTTACTTCACTTAAAATAATAATCTCCAGGCTGGGCATGGTGGCTCACACCTGTAATCCCAGCACTTCAGAAGGCCAAGGCGGGCAGATCACGAGGTCAAGAGATCGAGACCATCCTGGCCAACATGGTGAAACCCTGTCTCTACTAAATATACAAAAATTAGCTGGGCGTGGTGGCACGTGCCTGTAGTCCTAGATACTCGGGAGGCTGAGGCAGGTGAATCGCTTGAACCCGGGAGGGGGAAGTTGCAGTGATGCAGTGAGCTGAGATCGTGCCACTGCAAATGCCATTAATTTATTTCTCTTCATGACTGAGTAGTATGCCATCATATATATATACATATATATATGTGTATATATATATATGTGTATATATATATGTGTATATATATATATATATACATATATATATACATATATATATATATACACCACAGTTTCTTTATCCACTTGTTTATTGATGTGCATTTGGGTTGGTTCCATGTTTTTGCAATTGTGAATTGTGCTGCTATAAACACACGTTTGCAAGTATCTTTTCCATAAAATGACCTATTTTCCTCTGGGTAGACACTCAGTAGTGGGATTGCTGGATCAAATATAAGTTCTACTTTTAGTTCTTTAAAGAATCTCCACACTTTTTTTTCATAGTTGTACTAGTTTACATTCCCACCAGCAGTGTAGAAGTGTTGCCTGTTCACTGCATCCACACCAACATCTACTGGTTTTTTTTGATTTTTTGATACAAAAATTAGCTGGGCGTGGTGGCACATGCCTGTAGTCCTAGATACTCGGGAGGCTGAGGCAGGTGAATCACTTGAACCCGGGAGGGGGAGGTTGCAGTGATGCAGTGAGCCGAGATCGTGCCACTGCAAATGCCATTAATTTATTTCTTTTCATGACTGAGTAGTATTCCATCATATATATATATATATATATATATATATATATATATATATACACGTATATATACACACATGTATATATATATACACGTATATATATATACGTGTATATATATACACGTATATATATACGTGTATATATATACGTGTGTATATATACACGTATATATATACGTGTGTGTATATATACGTGTATATATACACACGTATATATATATACACACACACATATATATACATACATATATATATACACACACACACACATATATATATACGTATATATATATATACCACAGTTTCTTTATCCACTTGTTTATTGATGTGCATTTGGGTTGGTTCCATGTTTTTGCAATTGTGAATTGTGCTGCTATAAACACACGTTTGCAAGTATCTTTTCCATAAAATGACCTATTTTCCTCTGGGTAGACACTCAGTAGTGGGATTGCTGGATCAAATATAAGTTCTACTTTTAGTTCTTTAAGGAATCTCCACACTTTTTTTTCACAGTTGTACTAGTTTACATTCCCACCAGCAGTGCAGAAGTTCTGCCTGTTCACTGCATCCACACCAACATCTACTGTTTTTTTGATTTTTTGATTATGGCTATTCTTGCAGGAGTAAGGTGATATTGCATTGTGGTTTTGATTTGCATTTCCCTGATCATTAGTGATGTTGAGCATTTTTTCATATATTTGTTGGCCATTTGTATATCTTCTTTTGAGAATTGTATATTCATGTCCTTAGCCCACTTTTTGATGGGATTGTTTTTTTTTTTCTTGCTGATTTGTTTGAGTTCCTTATAGATTCTGGATATCGGTTGTTTGTCTGATTGTGAAGATTTTCTCCCATTCTGTGGATTGTCTGTTTCCTCTGCTGACTGTTCCTTAAGCCATGCAAAAGCTCTTTAGCTTATTTAAGTCCCAGCTATTTATCTTTGTTTTTGTTGCATTTATTTTTGGGTTCTTGGTCAAGAAATCTTTGCCTAAGTCAATGTCTAGAAAGGTTTTTCCAATGTTATCTTCTAGAATTTTTATAGTTTCAGATTTTAGATTTAGTTGATTTTTGTATAAGGTGAAAGACGAAGATCCAGTTTCATTCTCCTACATTTGGCTAGCCAATTATCCCGGCACCATTTGTTGAAAAGGGTGTCCTTTCCCGACTTTATGTTTTTGTTTGCTTTGTCAAAGATCTCAAAGGCTGTAAATACTTATTTCTGGTTTCTCTATTCTTTTTCCATTGGTCTATGTGCCTATTTTTATACCAGTACCATGTTGTTTTGGTGACTGTGGCCTTATAGTTTGAAATCATATAATGTGATGCCTCCAGATTTGTCCTTTTTGCTTAGTCTTGCTTTGGCTATGTGGACTCTTTTTTGGTTCCACATGAGATTTACAATTGTTTTTTTCTGATTCTGTGAAGAATGATGGTGGTATTTGATGAGAATTGCATTGAATTTTAGGTTGCTTTTGGCAATATGGTCATTTTCAGAATACTGATTCTACCCATTCATGGGCATGGGATATGTTTCCATTTGTTAGTGTCATCTACGATTTATTTCATCAGTATTTTGTAGTTTTCCTCGTAGAGGTCTTTCACCTCCTTGGTTAGGTATATTCTTAAGTATTTTATTTTTATTTTTTGCAGCTATTGTAAAAGGGGTTGAGTTCTTTATTTGATTCTCAGCTTTGTGGCTATTGGCATATAGAAGAGCTACTGATTTGTGTACATTAATTTTGTATCTGGAAACTTTGCTGAATTCATGTATCAGTTCTAGGAGCTTTCTGGAGGAGTCTTTAGGGTTTTCGAGGTAGACGATCATATCAACAGAGAACAGTGACAGTTTGACCTCCTCTTTACCAATTTGGATGCCCTTTATTTCTTTCTCTTGTCTGATTGCTCTGGTTAAGGCTTCCAGTACTATATTGAAGAGGAGTGGTGAGAGTTAGCATCTTTGTCTTGTTCCAGTTCTCAGAGGAAATGTTTTCAACTTTCTCCCATTCAGTATTATATTGGCTGTGGGTTTGTCATAGATGGCTTTTATTACATTTAGGTATGTCCCTTGTATGTCGAGTTTGCTGAGACTTTTAATCATAAAGGGATGCTGGATTTTGTTGAATGCTTTTTTCTGCATCTACTGAGATGATCATGTAATTTTTGTCTTTAATTATGTTTATGTGGTGTATCACATTTATTGACTCACGAATGTTAAATCATCCCTGCATCCCTGGCATGAAACACACTTGATCATGGTGGATTATATTTTTGATATGCTGTTGGATTTGGTTAGCTAGTATTTTGTTAAGGATTTTAGCATCTATGTTTATCAAGGATATTGGTCTCTAATTTTATTTTTTGGTTATTCCTTTCCTGGTTTTGGTATTAGGGTAATCCTGGTTTCATAGAATGATTTAAGGAGGTTTCCCTCTTTATCTTGTGGAATAGTGTCAAAAGGATTGGTTCTAATTTTTTTGAATGTCTGGTAGAATTCTGCTGTGAATCCATCTGGTCCTGGACTTTTTTTGTTATTGTTGGTAGTTTTTTAATTGCCATTTCAATCTCACTGCTTATTTTGAATTGTTCAGGGTATATAATTCTTCCTGATTTAAGCTAGGAGGGTAGTATCTTTCCAGTAATGTATCCATCATTTCTAGGTTTTCTAGTTTATGCAAATAAAGGTGTTCATAGTAGCTTTGAATGATCTTTTGTATTTCTGTGGTGTCAGTTGTAATATCTCTCATTTCATTTCTTATTGAGCTTATTTGGATTTTTCCTCTTATTTTCTTTGTTAATCTTGCTAGTGGTCCATCAATTTTATTTATCTTTTCAAAGAACCAGCTGTTTTATCTTTTGTAATGTTTATTTATTTGTTTGTTTGTTTCAATTTCATTTAGCTCTGCTCTGATCTTGGTTATTTCCTTTCTTCGTCTGGGTTAGGGTTTATTTTGTTCTTCTTTCTCTAGTTCCTTGAGGTGTGACCTTAGATTGTCTATTTGTTCTCTTTCAGTCGCTGCAGGCATTTGGGGCTATAAACTTTCCTTTTAGCACCATCTTTGCTGTATCCCAGAGGATTTGATAGGTTGTGTCACCATTGTTGTTCAGATCAAATAATTTTTTAATATCCATCTTGATTTCATCTTTGACCCAATGATCATTTAGGAGCAGGTTATTTAATTTCCATGTATTTACATGGTTTTGAAGGTTCCTTTTGGAGTTGATTTCCAGTTTTATTCCACTGTGATCTGAGACAGTACTTGATACTTTTCTTAAATTTATTGAGTCTTGTTTTGTGGCCTATCATATGGTCTATCTTGGAGAAAGTTCCATGTGATATTTAATAGAATGTATATTCTGCAGTTGTTGGATGGAATGTTCTGTATATATCTGTTAAGTCAATTTGTTGATTTTCTGACCTGATAACCTGTCTAGTGCTGTCAGTGGAGTATTGAAGTTCCCCACTCTTATTGTGCTGCTGTCTATCTCATTTCTTGGGTCTATTAGTAATTGTTTTATAAATTTGGGAGCTCCAGTGTTAGGGGCATGTATGTTTAGGATTGTGATATTTTCCTGTTGAACAAGGCCTTTTACCATTATATAATATCCCTCTTTGTCTTTTTAAAATGCTCTTGCTGTAAAGTTTGCTTTGTTTGATAGAAGAATAGCTACTCCTGCTTGCTTTTGGTGTCCATTTGCATAGTGTTTTTTTCCACACATTTACCTTAAGTTAATGTGAGTCCTTATGTATTAGGTGAGTCTCTTAAAGGCAGCAGATGGTTGTTTGGTGAATTCTTATCCATTCTGCAGTTCTGTATCTTTTAAGTGGAGCATTTAGGCCATTTAAACTCAACGTTAGTATTGAGATGTGAGGTACCATTCCATTCATCGTGCTATTTGTTGACTGTGTACCTTGGTTTTTTTTTTGTTGTTGTTTAAATTGTGTCCTTGTTTTATAGGTCCTGTGAGATTTATGCCTTAAAGAGGTTATGTTTTGATGTGTTTCCAGGATTTGTTTTAAGATTTTTGAGTTCCTTTTAACGGTTCTTATAGTGGTGGCTTGGTAGTGACAAATTCTCTCAGCATTTGTTTGTCTGAAAAAGACTATCTTTCCTTAACATATGAAGCTTACTTTTGCTGGATCTAATATTCTTGTCTGACAATTGTTTTATTTCAGGAGGCTGAAGGTAGGGCCCCCAATCCCTTCTAGCTTGTAGGGTTTCTGCTGAGAAGTCTTCTGTTAAGCTGATAGGTTTCCCTTTATAGGTTACCTGGTGCTTTTGCCTTACAGCTCTTAAGATTCTATCCTTCAACTGAACTTAAGATAACCTGATGACAACGTGCCTAGGTGATGATCCTTTTGTGATGAATTTCTCAGGAGTTCTTTGTGCTTCTTGTCTTTGGATATTTAAGTCTCTAGCAATGCCAGGAAACTTTTTCTCGATTATTCCCCGAAATATGTTTTCCAAACTTTTAGATTTTTCTTCTTCCTCAGGAAAGCTGATTATTCTTAGGTTTAGTCATTTAACATAATCCCAGACTTCTTGGAGGCTTTGTTCATATTTTCTTATTCTTTTCTCTTTGTCTGTGTTGAATTGGGTCCACTCAAAGACCTTGTCTTTGAGCTCTGAATTTCTTTGTTCTACTTGTTCAGTTCTATTGCAGAGACTTTCCAGAGCATTTTGCATTTCTGTAAGTGTGTCCATTGTTTCCTGAAGTTCTGATTGTTTTCTATTTAGGCTGTCTATTACACTGAATATTTCTCCCTTTACTTCTTGTGTCATTTTCTTGAATTCTTTACATTGGACTTCACCTTTCTCTGGTGCCTCCCCGATTAGCTTAACAACTGACCTCCTGAATTCTTTTTCAGGTAAATCAGGGATTTCTTCTTGGTTTGGATCCATTGCTAGTGAGCTAGTGTGATTTTTTGGAGGTGTTAAAGAACCTTGATTTGTCATATTACCAGAGTTGGTTTTCTGTTTCCTTCTCATTTGAGTAGGCTGTCAGAGAGAGGGTCTAGGGCTGAAGCCTGTTGTTCAGATTCTTTTGTCCCATGGGTTGTTCCCTTGATGTAGTACTCTCCCCCTTTTCCTATGGATGTGGTTTTCTGAGAGCCAAGCTAGAGTCTTTGTTATCTCCTTTCTAGATCTAGCCACCCAGCAAGTCTACCAGGCTCCAGGCCTTTACTGTGGGTTATCTGCACAGAGTCCTGTGATGTGAATCATCTGTTAATCTCTCAGCCATGGATACCAGAACCTATTCCAGTGAAGGTGGCAGGGAGGTGAAATGGATTCTGTGAGGGTTCTTAGCTTTGTTGGTTTAATGCACTATTTTTGTGCTGGTCGGCCTCCTGCTGGGAGGTGGTGCTTTTCAGAAATTATCAGCTGTGTTAGTATGGAAAAGAATAGGTGGTGGGTGGGGCCCTAGAACTCCCCAGAGTATATGCCCTTTGTCCTCAGTTACCAGGGTGGGTAGGGAAAGACCATTGGGTGGGGCAGGGCTACGTATGTCTGAACTCAGACTTTCCTTGCGGGAGTCTTGCAGTGGCTGCTGTGGAGGATGGGGGTGAGCTTCTCAGGTCAATAGAGTTATGATCCTAGGAAGATTGTGGCTGTTTCTACTGTGTCATGCAGGTTGTCAGGGAAGTGGGGGAAAGCCGGTAGTCACAGGCCTCACCCAGTTTTCACACAATCTCAAGGGCCGGTCTCACTCCCACCATGTCCCTCCCAATAGCACTGAGTCTGTTTCCAGGCAGTGGGTAAGCAGGGCTGAGAACTTGCCCCAGGCTACCCACCTCCCAGTTGTGAAAGCAAGTATGGATTTCCTTTCCCCACCTGTAGAGTCTGCACACTGGATTCATGCCTTCTCCCAAGTTCTGGCCAGAAGGCTTCTCAATCAGTTCAAATCATTACAAAGTTCAGCTGGAGATTTCATTCTCCCTGTGGCCTTTTCCCAGCACCTCTGGCTGCCCTCCCAAAGGATCCCTGAGAGGCCAGGCAGGAATGGCCTGCTTGGGGACCCAGCGAGCTCACAGGGCCTTTCCCGCTGCTTCCTCTACCTTTGTATTTTGCTCGGCTCTGTAAATTGACTCAGCTCCACGTAAGGTAAGAATCTTCTCCCATAATCTAGACCTTCAGTTTCCCCAGTGGGAGTGTTATCTTTGGAGGTGGATGATCTCCCTTTTCCATTTACGCAGTTTGGGCACTCACAGTATTTGGAGTGTCTCCTGGGTCCTGCAGGAGCAATCTGCTTCCTTCTGAGGGGCTGTGGGTCCTCTCGGGTTTCCTGGTTTATTCCTGCAGTCATTTTGGAACTAAAATTTATGATGCAAGCCTCCATAAACTGCTCTGTCTGTCCAAGTCAGAGCTGCAATCTAGTCCTTCCTCCAGTCTGTCATAATCCCCCATTGTCTGGAAGACTACATTTAGTAATTGGCCTCTTTAAGCATGTGTCTTTCTGCTTTAAGAGATTGTTTCCTGAAACCTGTGGTGTTTGCAGTCCTCTTGGCCTTTGCTTCCCTGGCTGTATGGCCAGGAACCACTTTGGGGCTGCTTGTGCATGCTCCACGTGAGTCTGCTGATAGTGCTTCCCGGCGCACTGCAGCTGTGGACTCAATTTTTAGTTTTTCTTAAAGAAACTTCCAAGCTGTTCTAAATAGTGGTTTTATTCATTTACATTCTCAACAATAGTGTGCAAGGGTTCCATTCCATTTTCTCCATATCTTTGCAAGCATTTGTTATTGCCTGTCTCTGGATACAAGCCATTTTAACTTTGGTGAGATGATATCTCATTGTAGTTTTGATTTGCACTTCTCTGATGATCAATGATGTTGAGCACATTTTCATATGCCTGTTTGACATTTTATATCTTCTTTTGAGAAATGCCTATTCAAGTCTTTTGCCCAGTTTTGATTGGATTATTAGATTTTTTTCTATAAAGTTGTTTGAACTCCCTATATATTTTGGTTATTAACTCCTTATCAAATAAGTAGTTGGCAAATATTTTCTCCCATTCTGAGGGTTGTCTCTACATTTCATTGACTGCATCTTTTGCTGTGCAGAAGGTTTTCACTTGATGTGATCACATTTGTCCATGTTTGCTTTGGTCGCCTGTGCTTATAGGGTATTGCTCAAGAAATCTTTGTCCAGAACAATGTCCTGGGGGGTTTCCCCTATGTTTTATTGGAGTATTTTAACAGTTTGAGGTCTTAGATTTAAGTTTTAATCCATTTTAATTTGATTTTTTGTATATGGGGAGAGATGGGGCTCCAGTCTTGTTCTTCTGCATATGGATATCCAGTTTTCCCAGCACCATCATTTATTGAAGAGACTGTCTTTTCCCCAGTGTATGTTCTTGGCACGTTTGTCAAAAATAGATTCACTGTAGGTGTGCAGATTTGATCCTGGGGTTTCTATTCTGTTCTGTTAATCTATATGCCTATTTTTATGACAGTACCATGCCACTTTGGTCACTATAGCTCTACAGTATAACTTGTCAACAGGTTATATCATTTCTAAATTTTTGTTCTTACTTATAATAGCTTTAGCTATTCTGGGTCTTTTGTGGTTCCATATGAATTGTATGATTGTTTTCTCTATTTTTGTAAGAATGTCATTGGTATTTTATAGGGATTGCATTGAATCTGTAGATTGCTTTGGGTATTATGGACACTTTAACAATATTGATTCTTCCAATCTATGAAAGTGAAATATTTTTCCATTTTTGGTGTTTTCAATTTCCTTCATCAGTGTTTTGTAGTTTTCATTATAGAGGTCTTTCAATTCTTTGGTTAAGTAAATTCCTAGGTATTTAATTTTATGTGTGGCTATATTATTGCTTTTTATTTTTATTTCACATTGTTCACTACAAGTATGTAGAAATGCTACTGAATTTTTTATGTTGATTTTTATTCTACAAATTTACTGAATTAGTTTATCAGTTCTAATAGTTTTCTTTTGGACTCTTCAAGTTTCTCTAATTATATGATCATATGATCAGCACATAAGGATAATTTGATTTTTTCTTTTTTAATTTGGATGCCCTTTATATCTTTCTCTGGTCTTATTGCTCTAGCTAGGCTTTCCAGTACTATGTTGAATAACAGTGGTGACAGGGGACCTTCTAGTCATGTTCCAAATCTTAGAGAAAAGGCTTTCAGTTTTTCCTCATTCAGTATGATACTAGCTGTGAGTCTGTTATATATCACTTTTATTATTTTGAGGTATGTTCCTTCTATATCCAACATTTTGGGTTTTTTTAATCATGAAGGGACATTAAACTTTTTCAAATGCTTTTTTAGGATCAATTAAAATGATCATATGTTTTTTATCCTTCATTCTGTTGATATGATGTATCACATTAATAGATTTTGTGGATGTTGAACCATCCCTGCATTCCAGGGTTACATCCTACTTGGTCATGAGGAACAGTCATTCTAGTGTATTGTTAAATTCAGTTTCTAGTATTTTG
The DNA here is from genome assembly GCF_000001405.40 of Homo sapiens. Classification (NCBI taxonomy): domain Eukaryota; kingdom Metazoa; phylum Chordata; class Mammalia; order Primates; family Hominidae; genus Homo; species Homo sapiens. The sequence goes on from NC_000023.11 coordinate 126,932,542, forward strand.
TTGGTGATTTTTGCATCAATATTTATCAGCTATGTTGGCCTGTAGATTATTTTTATGATGTGTCTTTGTCTCGTCTTGTTATCAGTGAAATACTGTCTTTGTAGAATGAGTTGGAAAGTATTCCTTCCTCCTCTATTTGTCAGAATAGTTTGAGTAAGATTTATATTAATTTTTCTTTTTAATGTTTGGTAGAATTCAGCAGTGAAGCCATCAGGTCCTGAGCTTTTTTTTACTGGAAGACTTTTTATTACAGCTTTTATCTTATTACTTGTTATTGGTCTGTTGAGGTTTTTCAATTTCTTTCTGTTTCAATTTTGGAAGGTTGTAAGTATCTAGGAATTTGTCCATTTCTTCTAGATTTTCCAATTTATTGGCATGTAGTTGCTCCTGGTATCCTCTAGTGATCCATTTAATTTATGCAATATCAGTTGTGATGTCTCCTTTTTATTTCTGATTTTTTCATTTGAAACTTATCTCACTTTTTTCTTACTTAGTCTGACTAAAAGTTTGTCAACTTTAACTTTTCAAAAAGTTAAGTTTTTGTTGCATTGATCTTTTGTATTATTTTCCTCATTTCAATTTCATTTCTTTCTGCTCTGATCTTTATTAATTTTATTCTACTAACTTTGAATTTGGTTTGCTCTTGCTTTTCCAAGTCTTTAAGATGCATCATTAGATTGTTTATTTGAAATTTTTTCTCTCTTTGATATGGGCACTTATAGCTATAAACATCCCTCTTAGTACTGCTTGCGCTGTATGCTTTAGGAATGGGGAACTCAGAATTCTGACCAGTGCCCTATCCTGCTGTAGCTGAGCTGGTATCCAAGATGCAAGACAAAGTCCTCCCCACTCTTCTTTCTCCTCTCCTTAAGCTGAAGAAATGAGATTTTTTTGGAGCCATGAGCTGTGCAGCCTGGGGTTAGGGGAGGGGTGATGCCAGCACTCCCTTGGCTTCCCCAGCTGGGGTCTTAGTATGCTGTTTGCCCTGCCCCAAATCCACTGTCTCTGGGCCTAGTTCAGTACTTGGACTTGCCTAGGAATTGCAGTCCTTATGGCCTAGATGGGCTTTAAAGTTTACTTAGAGATTGAGAGCACTTTGGCCCTCAAGGATGAGATTTTTGGGCACTCAAGTTCAAACTGCTGGGACCTATCAGAGATTCCCCTCTGGCTAGGGCTGGTTTAAATGCTCCCTCTGTCGGGGGGCATTAGCTGAGTTTCACCAGGTTTTTCTTTGTGCTCTAACAGGACAGAACTGAGTTCAATTCCTTCCAATTGCTGTGTTCTCCCTCCTCCCAACACCCAGATATGTTCTCTGCCACCCACTCTACGGCTGCTGGAGAAGGGAGAATGGCAGCATCACAACAGATAGGACTGTATTTTCCATCTCCTCATGGTCTCCCTCAGTGATAAGAAGTTAAAACCAGGAACTATGTGTACTCACCTGACTTTTGGTTCTTATGAAGGTTTTTTTTTTTTTTTCTGTATAGAGAGTTGTTAACTTGGTGTTCTTAAGTGGGGGACAATCAGTGGAGCTTTCTATTCTGCCACCTTGCTTCCCAGAATCAGCCTGGCTCAATAATTTAAACTTAAGTAAAAGGCCAAGCACCTTTCCCAGTTTAATTAAATTATCAGAAGATTAATTTTCTAAACTTTGTATATTTTTCTGAAATGATGTTATTGTGATTGAATATACAAGTACATTCAGTAAAGATGTTCAAAATATTTGTACATCTTTTTCCCATCCCCATACCTCTCCCTCACCCTAGCCTCTATTTGCTACCTTTCTACTCTCTGTTTTCCTGAGATAGAAATTTTAGATTCCACATATAAGTGAGATTATGCAATATTTGTCTTTCAGTGCCTGACTTACTTTGCTGAGCATATTGTCTTCCAGTTCCATCCATGTTTTTACAAATGACAGAATTTCTTTCTTTTTAAAGACTGTATATTATTCTATTGTGTATGTGTACAACTTTTATTTATCTATTCTATCCCTTTTTTAATCTATTCATCCTTTGATGGACACTGAGGTTGTTTCCAGTTTCCATTTCTTGGTTATTGTGAATTATGCTGAAATGAACAAAACAATGCAGATATCTCTTTAATATATCAATTTTAATTACTTTGTGTATACCCAGAAATGGGATTGCTGGATGTTGATGAAAAGGTACAAAATTTCAGTTAGACTGGAGGCATAAGTTTTAGTGATCTATTGTAGTGCATGTTGACCACAGTTAATAATAATGTGTATTTCAAAACAGCTAAAATAGATTTTTAATTTTCTCTCTACAAAATTATAATAAATGGGTGAGGTGATTAATATGTTAATCAACTTTATTGACTCCCTCCATAATGTATACATAGATCAAAACATCAAATTATGCCCTGTAAATATACACAACTATTATTGGTCAATTAAAAATGTAAAAATTGTGCATTTCATACGGATAAAAAATGCTATAAAAATTCTCAAATGAATGTTGTATGTATGTTTGTGCGTGATATTTATTTTCTTCAAAAATATAAAATCTAGAAAAGAGGACAGAGGTTATTTAACAATGAATTATAGTAAATAGAAATAAACATGACCTTAACAATCAGAAAGAACCTCAAACTGTCACATGGTAAAGGAAAATAACAAGATAAAAGAGGCAGCACAGAATAAAGTCCTAGATTTTTGTTTGTGTTATGACCCACACTTTGTAGGAATAATCATGAAACAGGTAAATTGGGCATTTAAGATTGGGTATTTTTTTCCAAAAATATCTTACATAAGATTAGATATTGAATTAATAGCTGTAATATAATTAGTCAACCTTACTTGAGAAGTTCAGTGATCACTTGTTGCTTTTGGGATTTTGTCCCTAACTCACCCACTTAGTATCTTAAGTGCCCAAAGATATTTCTTCAGATTTATACACCTGCAGCACAAGAAAAAAGAACCAAAATTTGGGGTTAACTGATTGTTCCTAGATTTCTTAGTCCTTAAACTCTCATTCTTTGTTCTTCTACAAGTGTATAAATCAAAGTAAAGCAGATCATACAATGAAGAGTTAACTTTGGCAGTGCCATATACATATGTCTTTCATGAAGAAAAGTTTGCATCAGAGTCATTGCTTTCTTGTTCACTGACTATGCATCTATTTCCAAACAGGTGATAGGAGAACTCCAAAGTTAGATGATTTTAACCCTCAAGAAGAAAGGACTTGGGCCTTCACAGTGAAAATCAGCACAATCAATAATTTATCTTTGCCTTTTATCCTACCTAAATTATATGTATTCTGATTAAAGTGGAAGCTATAAGTAGGATAAGGCAAACTCATCTATCTAATGTGACAGGGTTGAAGCTAGATAGGCATTATGATCCTGAAATTGCTTATATTCTCCTCAATTTTATTAACATTTAATTTAATATGTTTTGTTGTCTGATAATTTCTTGTATATTTTTACTATTTTCTACTACTGCAGACAAATTTCCCACATCCTAGCAGAGCAATACAAACATTGGAATACCATTCAGCCACAAAATAAACGAAATCCTGTGATTTGTGGCAACATGGACTAACCAGGAGAATATTATTTTAAATTAAATAAGCCAGGCACAGAAAGAGAAACACCACACGATCTCACTCACATGTGGAATCTAAAAGAGCCGATCTCCTAGAAGTAGAGAGTAGAATAGTAGTTACCAGGAATTAGGGAAGGTGTGGGGAAGAGAGGGTGGAGAGATATTGGTGAGGGGGTGCAAAGTTATGTTTAGACAAGAAGAATAAGTTCCAGTGTTTTATGAGTCCATTTTCATGCTGCTGATAAACCCCAAGACTGGGCAATTTATAAAAGAAAGAGAAGTTTAATGGACTTATAGTTCCACGTGGCTGGGGAGGCTGCACAATCATGGTGGAAGTCAAGGAGGAGCAAGTCACATCTTAATATGGATGGCAGCAGGCAAAGAGAGAGAATTTGTGCAGGAGAACTTCTTTTTCAAAACCATCAGATCTCGTGAGACTTATTGACTATCAAGATGAACAGCATGGGAAAGACTTGCCTTTATGATTCAATTACTTCCCACACCCACCAGGTCCCTCCCATAGCATGTTGGAATTCAAGATGAGATTTAGGTACACATCCAAAGGACACAGCCAAACCATACAAAGTGTTCTATTAAATAGTAGGGTGACTAATAATAATAAAGTGCATATTTCAAGATAGCTAGAAGAGAAGTTTTTGAATGTTATCACTTCAAATAAATCATAAGTGTTTAAAGTGATGGATATGCTAATTACTCTGATTTGATCATTATACAATGTATATCTGAATTGAAACATCACATTAATACCCCATAAATATGTACAATTACTGTGTGTCAATTATAAATATTTTAAAAGTAAATTTAGAAAAGAGAACCTCTAGTAAATGATGCTTTCTGATCATTTGGCAACACAAATCCTATTCTCTCAAAGGAATTCTTGCTGTGTACAATAGATTCCTTAGAGCAATAATTAAGAATGATTAAGTGGATGGTTTACTAACAAGTCATAGCAAACAGAAAGGTTTCCTCTTTTTAAAATAATAGTACATCTTGCCTAACTACAATTATATCCATTTCACCCATATATTGTATGTATGTGATTATCTGCCTTGTTTGTTAGATTATTTAGGTAGCTTAACAAGGAATTAATTTTTCTGTGTTAAAAATGTACTGTATCTTGGTACCATATAATAACAAAAATAATTTATCATTTCCATAGGTAACTATTTGAAATGCTACTCAGTAACTAAATATAGCTTCTTTGGATGTGAATTTAACCAACAATATAAAAACTGTGGGCTTGATTCATCTTCATAACTTACTAATAGCTTAAACAATTAGGCCAATATTTTGTAAAAATGATTTATAATACAAAATTATTGTACTATCACGTTTAGAGTAGCAAGTACCCTCAGTCCCTGATGTGTTTATTAAAGAGCTAAGGCAGTTACTTTTTTGATAACTTGCTGCTACAGCATTTATACTTATTACAAAACAGATGGATATCCTTTACTTACAAAAAGCATAAAACTTTAAATGGCAACTCTTACTTTCTAAGTTATTACTATTATTATTTTAGAAGAAACAGCAGCCTGGGACAAGACCATAAATGACAGATTATCTCTCAGTTTCCACTTAACCTGATTAAATAAAAACACAGTTTGTCCTTATCCACTCCCAGTAGCCTTATTGGAGCTAATAGAGCAGATGTTTTGTCACCCAGATAGTCACAATTGCTTTTCACTCTGGTGAACATATTTTGGAAACAAGCTAATGAGGCGATCTGCAACAAACACACTTGGTCCCCTTTGGCTGATATTTCTTTGCTGATGTCATTTATCCTTCATTGTTAATTAAATGAAAATAAGCAGCAATTGCTTTCCCCATATTGTACATTCAGAAATAAAACTGTGTAATGTGGTGTATAAATTTGTTTTTTGTTGAAATGTTGAAGTTCAAGTGATGAACTTTAAGTCTGTGCTAATTGTTTAAATGAGGGCACAGATATTTATGAAGACCGAAGCTCATTATAAGAAGTACTAATGTAACAAGGGTATGTTCTTAATGGAAGCTTCTTTCCATTTATATGATACAAGCATTTCTGTTAATCCTGGGGTTTATGAACCAACATATCCCTGTTGAAAATGCTAATGATCAAATGTGGTAAGAATTATCTACATAACAAGTGGCTAGACATGCTTATCTGCAGTATAAGTGATGCCCAATGTAGAACTTTATGTTTACTTATGCAAGGGATGAGAAGTCTCATCAAGTTGCTGCCAGTAACTTGTTCTGAACATTTTTTTTTCTATTGGACCACTAATTAAATAATAATCATAATCATAATAATCCAAGAGGGTTGTATTAGTCAGAGTTCTCTTAGAGGGACAGAACTGATATGTGTGTGTGTGTGTGTGTGTGTGTGTGTATATATATATATATATACATATCAGACTCCAAGTTCTTCAGTTTTGTGACTCAGACAGGCTCTCCTTGCTCTTCAGCTTCCAGACAGCCTATTGTGGAACCTTGTGATCATGTAAGTTAATTCTTAATAAACTCCCCATATATATATATATATATATATGTGTGTGTGTATATATATATATATATACATATATATATATGTATATATATATAACTAATATATATTAGAGAACTAATAAGGTTTGCATATGTCATATATATGTATATATATATAATATATGTGTATATATCTTATTAGTCCTCTAATATATATTAGTTATATATGTGTGTGTGTGTATATATATATATATATATGTATAAAGGGGAGTTTATTAAGTATTAACTTACATGATCACAAGGCCCCACAATAGGCTGTCTGGTAGCTGAGGAGCAGGGAGAGCCTGTCTGAGTCCCAAAACTGAAGAACTTGGAGTCTGAATTTCGACGGCAGGAAACATCCAGCATGGGAGAACGATGTAGGCTGGGAGGCTAGGCCCGTCTCTCCTTTTCACGTTTTTCTGCCTCCTTTATATTCACCAGCAGCTGAATAGATTGTGCCCACCAGATTAAAGGATCTGCCTTCCCCAGCCCCCTGACTCAAATGTTAATCTCTTTTTTCAATACCCTCACAGACGCAACCAGGATCAATACTTTGTACTTTTCAGATCAGTCAAGTTGACACTCGGTAATAACCATCATCAGTCCACCCTTGTCAACTTGAACCCATACATGTATGCTGAGATCATACATGATCTTCAAATAAAGACAATAATAAGGTCATAATTTTGCCTAACATAATAAAACTATCCTTCGTACAAATGGAAATGCACCAATCCCCAACCCAAATACTAATACATAAAGTTAACAATGCTTAAATGCTGATATGAAGTCAATAAATCTTATGTCACACAAAGGAAAAGGAAATAAAATGAAGATTTCTTTGTACAAGTGTATACATGCACAAACATGTTTTAAACAAAAGAAGGGGGAAATACTCATGACAGTTACAATACTTGTTTCTGCAGCTGGTCACGTGGTCGTAGCTAGTATTGATGACTACCTTCTTCTACACCCATTCTGTATTCCCTTTGCCTTCAGCGAGCACCTCAGCAGGTTATGGTTTTTCCCCAGTGAAGTGACCTGAACCTTCATTCCTGAGGGATCTGGACCATTTGTAGTCCTGTCTGGATTGGGCTGTTGTGGTTTCCCATTGACCTTAATCACAGGGCATGGTAATACTAAGAGACGCCTTAATGGATCTCCTGTATTCCATGCATACACTTCCTTACCTCCATTGTGGTGTGGTTGACTGATTTCATCTTGATAGTCCAGGTCAATCACCTCAGCCAACACTGTAACTCCCTTCTTAGCCTGTTGACTTAAAGGTAGGAGGAGCCCAAAGTGTCCAGGTGTCAATCTTTGCTTCCAGTTTATGGAATTATGGTTGTGTCTCATGGTGGCAGTGTTCATCCTTCTGGAACTAAGACCTCTAGGCCAGCAAAATGTAATGTCATGGGAATAGGAAGCAAAAATTTGGCTAGTGGATCACTAGGGGTGATGGTGAGTGGTGCCACTTCCACTTCCACACCTTGATTCCTGGACTCATGAATCTTGGTTATGGGAGAAACAGTACCATATATTGGATGCTGATTCAGAGCATACATGGCCTTCTGGAGAATTTTGCCCCAGTCCTGCATAGTATTGTCACCTAGTTGGCATTGTACTTATGACTCCAAAAGGCAGTACCACTGTTGTATCAATTCAGCTGATTCAGGAAGATGGGGCACATGGTAAGACCAATGAATTCCATCAGCATGAGCTCACTGCCACACTTCTTTAACCATAAAGTGAGTGCCTTGGTCAGAGGCAATGTTCTGTGGAATACCATGACGGTGGATAAGGCATCCTGTGAGTCCACGGATAGTAGTTTTGGCAGAAACATTGCTTGCACGATGGGCAGGCACAGTGTTGGTCTCTGCAACTGGCAAATTGGACCCTCATCAGTGGCTATAGCCAGGTCAGCTTTGGTGAGTGGAAATCCATGTTGCTGAGCCCATAGGTAACCTCCATCCCTGCCACCATGGCCACTTTGTTCATGGGCCCATTGGGTGATGAAAAGGATGGCTGGGGAAAGAGGCTGAGGGGTGTCCTCAGAATGGTTCATCCCATCCACTTGATTGTTAAAATCTTCCTCTGTTGAGGTCACCCATTGGTGAGCACTCTCATGGGATACAAATATCTTCACAGTTTTTGACCATTCAGAGAGGTCCATCCACAGACCTCTTCCTCAAATTTCTGTGTCACCAATTTTCCAATCATGCTTCTTCCAAGTCCCTGACCATCCAGACAAACCATTGGCTACAGCCCATGAATCAGTATATAATCATCCTAGAAAAGGGCTGTAGTGCTGCAGCTGTCCCCTTTCGGGTGATGCCTGCATATCGTGTAGAACCATCTGTGAACCAGGCCCTAGTCTTCTCTTCCTCTGTCAACTGATCATAGGGAACTCCCCATGAGGCCATCAGTGCAGGCTGGGGGAGAGAAGGCAGTGTGGCAAGAGTGAAGACCATGGGCATTTGAGCCACTTCCCCATGTAACTTACTTGTGTCTTCAGGACATGCTTGAGGCTGATCACATATATACCACTTCCACTTGATGATGGAATGCTGCTGTGCATGATCCACTTTATGGCTAGATGGGTCAGAAAGCACCCAGTTCATGATAGGCAGGCCAGGTCACATGGCGACTTGATGGCCCATAGTCAAACGTTCAGCATCCACCAAAGCCCAGTAACAGGCCAAGAGCTGTCTCTCAAAAGGAGAGTAGTTATCTGCATAAGATGACAGGGCCTTGCCCCCAAATTCTAGAGACCTCTGCTGTGATTCACCTATGGGAGCCTGCCAAAGGCTCCAAACAGCATCCCTATCTGCCACTAACACCTCAAGCACCATTGGATTTGCAGGATTATATGGCCCAAGTGGCAGTGTAGCTTGCCCATCAGCCTGGACCTGTTGCAGAGCCTTCTCCTGTTCTGGACCCCACCCAAAACAGGCAGCCTTTCAGGTCACTCGATAAATGGGCTGGAGTAACACACCCAAATAAGGAATGTATTGCCTCCAAAATCCAAATAGGCCCACTAGGCATTGTGCCTCTTTCTTGATTGTAGGAGAGGCTAAATGCAGCAACTTAACCTTTACCTTAGAAGGGATATCTTGACAGGCCCCACACCACAGTACCCCTAGAAATTTTACTGAGGTAGAAGGTCTCTGAATTTTAGTGGGATTTATTTCCCATACTCTGGCATGCAAATGTCTTGCCAATACCTTTAGTGTGTTTGCTACTTCTTGCTCACTGGATCCAATCAGCATAATGTCATCAATGTAATGGACCAGCGTGATATCTTGAAGAAGCGAAAAGCAATCAAGGTGTCTTCGAATAAGATTATGACACAAAGCCAGAGTTGATATGCTCCTGAGGTAAGACAGTAAAAGTATATTGCTGGCCTTTCCAGCTGAAGGCAAATTTCTTCTGGTGGGCCTTATGGACAGGAATGGAGAAAAGGGCATTTGCCAAGTCAATGACTCCATACCAGGTACCAAGAGATGTGTTAATTTGCTCAAGCAATGAAACCACATCTGGTACAGCAGCTGCAGTTGGAATCACCACTTGGTTAAGATTATGATAATCAACTGTCATTCTCCAAGATCCATCTGTCTTCTGCACAGGCCAAATGGGAGAGTTGAATGGGGATGTGGGGGGAATCACCACCCCTGTGTCTTTCAAGTCCATAATGGTGGCACTAATCTCCACAATCCCTCCAGGGATGTGATATTGTTTTTGATTTACTATTTTTCTAGGTAGAAGCAGCTCTAATGGCCTCCATTTGGTTTTTCCCACCATAATCGCCCTCACCCTACCAGTCAGGGAGCCAATGTGGGGGTTCTGCCAGCTGCTAAGTATGTCTATGCCAATTATGCATTCTGGCACTAGGGAAATGATGACAGGATGAGTTCAGGGACCCACTGGACCCACTGTAAGTCGGGTCTGAGCTAAAACTCCATTAACTAACTGACCTCTATAAGCCACTACTTTAACTGGAGGACCACAGTGACATTTTGGGTATCAATGACAGCTCAAAGCCAGTGTCCAGTAATCTCTGAAATGTCTGATCATTTCTCTTTTCCCAATGCACAGTTAACCTGGTAAAAGGCTGGAGGTCTCCTTGGGGAAAGATGGGAGAAAGATTCACTGCATAAATTGTAGGTTATGTAGTGGTGTCCTTCCTCAAGAGGACCCAGCCTTCCCTTCATTCAAGGGGTTCTGTGTCCATAAACTGGCTCAAGTCTGGAAATGAGTTGAGGGGCTATGATTCTCTCTTTTTATAATTCAAATTAGCTTTGTGTCCATTCGACCTAGAAGTTTTCTGTTTGTATAATTTAAGTAGGAATGCAGTAGGCTTCCTATTAATTTCTCTTCTAGGAGCACTGTGATTAATTACCCAATGCCAGAGCTCTACACGAGTCAGAAAATTCTGATTGCCTCTTTCCCTCTGCTGTCCATTGTGGTAGCTATGCCCACCTTGCCTTTGATGGTTGAGTGCTGCCACTTGGCCCCTGCCACCTAGGGATCCAATTATTCCCATTGTATTTAAATTTTGTACTTGAGTGGCTGTGGTTCCCACGATTAGATCTGACATACAGAGAAGAGAAATTACAGGGCTTTTTGCAGATGCACGTGCCACCCTCACAAATCTATTTCGCAAGGCATTGGTCCAGGTTATATCTCCTGGGCTGACCTAGCAGTGATGAGTAGGCCTAAAGTGACTTATCCAATCCACCATACCAATCTCCCTAAGCCTTTGGATCCTTTCCCCTACATTAAACCAAGAGAGATCAGGCATTTCCGGTTTGCTCACAGTGGACTATCTTTTCATCCATATTTCAGCTAACCAAGCAAATAAAGTATTAGAACCTTTTTAACTCCCTGAGCTGCAATATTAAAAGCAGAGTCCCTACTTAGTGGGCCCAAATCAATACATTCAGCCTTATCCAACTCTATATTCCATCTCTCATTATTGCATACCCTTAATATCAATTGCCATGTCTGTTCTCCAGATTTCTCTTTATATAAATTAGATAACTCAAACAGTTCTTTACTAGTGTAGTTCACCTCCTCATGGGTCACACTCTTAACCTAACCTCCAGAGACCTGCCAGGACTTTAGTCTAGTTATGGGTCTAAAAGCAAACAGGGGTGTTGGGGGTGGCTCCTGAGGAGAATCAACATTATTTTGCCTGGCAACCGCCTCAGGGGAGGCCATCACTATTGCCTCAGGCATGGCAGGGTTTATCTCCTCAGACAAAGGTGGAAAGGCTGATAGTAGCATGGGTCAGGGAGGGGATGTTGCCACTACTTGGGATGAGGAAGCTGTTCCTTCTGGCAAAAAAGGTTCATCAGAGTTTACAAACTGAGTACTCCCAGCTTCATCAGGGTCCTCCCACACGTCCCCATTCCAAGTTTCATGGTCCCATTCTTTTCCAATCAATGCTATCATTTTAACAATAGACATCTGGTGAGGCTGTGCATGCACCTTTTGTTGCAGGTCAGCCACTGGCATGATAAGAGCTTGGGTCTGTTTTTCCAAAATTACAGCTTTTCTCTACAGCAGATAAGACTCTCCCTCAGGGCAATCTTAACAGATTTGAGGCTCAGTATCTGCCTCTGACGCTGGGAGACACAATCTCTGAGTTCATCATTTTCTTTCATCATTTTGTCCAGTGAACTTAGGAGCAACCAACCAGCTTCATTATGTTCCTTGGTTCTCCACATATGGTCAAAGGTATTATGTACAGTGACACTAAGCTCCTTGCCTCTCATAAGTGGTGAATCAGGAGTGTCAAATGCATTTATTTTATTTATTTTGCATAACTCTCTAAACGGTTCATGGCAAGGACTATCAGTGTTTTCCACATTATTAGAAGTAGAGTCCTTAGCCTTTTTAGGTCTAATCATATTAGGCAGCCAACTCCAGAGACCCAAAAACCAACAAAAGAACTCCATCCTTAATATTCTGTTCCCCTAGAACCACTCCTTATACCAAAATCTGTATTAATCAAGGTTCTCTTAGAGGGACAGAACTAATAGGACAGAACTAATTAGGACAGAAGTAATATATATATATATAATATCATATATATACTATTAAAAGCAGAGTCCCTACTTAGTGGGCCCAGATCAATACATTCAGCCTTATCCAACTCTATGTTCCTTCCCTCATTATTGCATACCCTTAATATCATATATATCATATATATATCATATATACATATCATATATATGATATGTATATCATATATATCATATATATCATATATATATCATATATATCATATATATATCATATATATCATATATATCATATATATCATATATATCATATATATATCATATATATCATATATATATCATATATATCATATATATATCATATATATCATATATATATCATATATATCATATATATATCATATATATATCATATATATATCATATATATCATATATATATCATATATATATCATATATATATCATATATGGGAGTTCATTAAGTATTAACTTACATGATCACAAGGTCCCACAATAGGTTGTCTGCTAGGTGAGGAGCAAGAAGAGCCAGTCTGAGTCCCAAAACTGAAGAATTTGGAGTCCGATGTTCAAGGGCAGGAAGCATTCAGCATGGGAGAAAGATGTAGGCTGGGAGGCTAGGCCCCTCTCTTTTTCACGTTTTTCTGCCTGTTTTATATCCGTTGGTAGCTGATTATATTGTGACCACCAGATTAAGGGTGGATCTGCCTTCCCCAGCCCACTGACTCAAATGATAATCTCTTTTAGCAACACACCCACAGACACACCCAGGATCAATACTTTGTATCCTTCAATTGAATCAAGTTGACACTCAGTATTAACCATCACAAGGGTATTGCTTGCAGAGTAACTAGTGTCCAGGGAGATCATAACTTAAGATCAGTTATCTGCTTAAAATTTATGTTTATCATATTATAAAATTGGTTAAATTCTTTAAAAATTTGTCTTGATAACTGCAGTTTTGCCTTTAAGACTTGCAATTAATACCCCTATTCTATTGCATTCCCTCAATTCTATCTCTTGTAGGAAAGGTCCATAAAACTTTCAAGGGTAAATCACGAGAAAGATGAATAAGAACAGGAGATTGTGAGTCCCCTTGGAAAGGCTACAGAGACTGAATTAGGTAAGGTCATTAGATGCAGAGGTTTTAAGACGGTGCTTCATAGACTTTTGTATTTAATGAACCAATGCTAACTTTAAAAAATGATTAGGAATGAACATATTCCTAAGGTGTTTGTTGGTGGTGGTATTTTCGAAGTAAGGCCATTAAAACAACACACACACACACACACACACACACACACACACACACACACACACACACCAAAAACACTTTGTATTGGCTGGGTCAATGCTTTTCAATGTCCCTCTAAAAACTATCCAAAATAAGTATAAGTATGTTTTTGCAAGGCAAATGGCTCATTTACAACCATTCATTGTCCCAAACTCCTCATAGGTAACATTTTTGGAAACATAACTAACCATATTCTATCCTATCTCTTAATAACAGAAACAGTATTTTGTAATAACTAATACAGGAAAGATACGGTCTTAGGACATATTTCCTGCAGTTTGAAACCAATGTGTTCAAATATGAACTCTGCTTCTATCTTAAAAAAAATCTTATTTCATCCCTAAATGCGACCCTTTGGCTAGAAACGCAAGGACTATTTTGAGTAGTCATCCAGGATACCTTCTTCATCTTCACCTTCAATGTTTAACTGGACATTCAGTCCAGCTAGTTCTATTTCATTGTACCTCTTGAATCTGTTTGTTCCAGCACCTTTCTTAAGGTTCTCATTATTTCTTTCTGTCATGGACTATATTAGAATGGGCATACAAAATTCAGGATGCTGAATTAAATTTAATTTCAAATAAACAATGAGACATTTGAGCATATATTAAGTATTACAGGGAACATATTTACAATAAAGAAATCATTGTTTAACTGAGATTCAATTTAACTGGGCATACTGTATTTTCATTTGCTCCATTTGGCAACCCTTGACTAAGTGCAAAAGATTCTTTTCTCTAGGGAGTATCCTCTCTAGTTCCTCTTTAACACTGAGCCCCATTATTTACTTCTTAAAAAGTAAATTGGGGTAGGAGTTTTCAAGATGGCTGAATAGGAACAGCTCCAGTCTACAGCTCCCAGCATGAGTGACACAGAAGATGAATGATTTCTGCATTTCTAACTGAGGTACCAGGTTCATCTCATTGGGACTGGTTGGACAGTGGGTGCAGCCCACAGAGTGTGAGCTGAAACAGTGCAGGGCATCGCCTCACCTGGGAAGTGCAAGGGGTCAGGGAATTCCCTTTCCTAGCCAAGGGAAGCCGTGACAGACGGTACCTGGAAAGTCAGGACACTCCCACCCTAATACTGCACTTTTCCAATGGTCTTAGCAAATGGCACACCAGGAGATTATTTTGCACACCTAGCTCAGCGGGTCCCGAGCCCACGGAGCCTCGCTCACTGCTAGCACAGTAGTCCGAGATCAAACTGCGAGGAGGCAGCGAGGCTGGGGGAGAGACGTCCGCCATTGCTGAGGCTTGTCTAGGTAAACAAAGTGGCCCAGAAGCTCGAACTGGGTGGAGCCCACTGCAGGTCAAGAGGCTAGCCAGCCTCTGTAGACTTTATCTCTGGGGGCAGGGCATAGCTGAACAAAAGGGAGCAGAAACTTCTGCAGACTTAAATGTCCCCATCTGACAGCTTTAAAGAGAGCAGTGGTTCTCCCAGCATGGAGTCTGAGATCTGAGAACAGACACACTGCCTCCTCAAGTGGGTCCCTGACCCCCGAGTAGCCTAACTACAAGACGCCTCCCAGTAGGGGCCGACTGACACCTCATAAAGCTGGGTGACCCTCTGAGACGAAGCTTCCAGAGGAAGGATCAGGCAGCAACATTTGCTGTTCTGCAATATTTGCTGTCCTGCAGCCTCCACTGGTGATACCCAGGCAAACAGGGTCTGGAGTGGACCTCCAGCAAACACCAACAGACCTGCAGCTAAGGGTCCTGACTGTTAGAAGGAAAACTAACAAACAGAAAGGAATAGCATCAACATCAACAAAAAGGACATCCACACCAAAACTCCATCTGTAGGTCACCATCATCAAAGACCAAAGGTACATAAAACCACAAAGATGGAGAGAAACCAGAGCAGAAAAGCTGAAAATTCTAAAAACCAGAGTGCCCCTTCTCCTCCAAATGATTGCGGCTCCTCACCAGCAATGGAACAAAACTCAACAGAGAATGACTTTGAGGAGTTGACAGAAGAAGGCTTCAGAAGATCAGTAATAACAAACTCCTCCGAGCTAAAGGAGGATGTTCGAACCCATCACAAGGAAGCTAAAATCCTTGAAAAAAGATGAGAAGAATGGCTAACTAGAATAAACAGTGTAAAGAAGACCTTAAAGGACCCGATGGAGCTGAAAACCATGGGACGAGAACTACCTGATGCATGCACAAGCTTCAGTAGTTGATTTGATCAAGTGGAAGAAAGGGCATCAGTGATTGAAGATCAAATGAATGAAATGAAGCAAGAAGAAGGTTTAGAGAAAAAAAGAGTAAAAAGAAACGAACAAAGCCTCCAAGAAATATGGGAACATGTGAAGAGACAAAATCTACGTTTGATTGGTGTACCTGAAAGTGACGGGGAGAATGGAACCAACTTGGAAAACACTCTTTAGGATATTATCCAGGAGAACTTCTCCAACGTAGAAAGGCAGGCCGACATTCAAATTCAGGAAATACAGAGAACACCACAAAGATACTCCTCGAGAAGAGCAACTCCAAGACACATAATTGTCAGATTCACCAAGGTTGAAATGAAGGAAAAAATGTTAAGGGCAGCCAGAGATGAAGGGCTGATTGCCCAAAAAGGGAAGCCCATCAGACGAACAGCGATCTTGCAGCAGAAACTCTATAAGCCAGAAGAGAGTGGGGGCCAATATTCAACATTCGTAAAGAAAAGAATTTTCAACTCACATTTTCAAATTCAGCCAAACTAAGCTTCATAAGTGAAGGAGAAATAAAATCCTTTACAGACAAGCAAATGCTGAGAGACTTTGTCACCACCAGGCCTGCCCTAAAAGAGCTCCTGAAGGAAGCACTAAACATAGAAAGGAAAAACCAGTACCAGCCACTGCAAAAACATGCCAAATTGTAAAGAACATCGATGCTAGGAAGAAATAGCATCAACTAGCGAGGAAAATAACCAGCTAACATCATAATGACAGGATCAAATTCACACATAACAATATTAACCTTAAATGTAAATGGGCTAAATGCCCCAATTAAAAGACACAGACTGGCAAATTGGATAAAGAGTCAAGACCCACCAGTGTGATGTATTCAGGAGACCCATCTCAGGCACAGAGACACACATAGATTCAAAATAAAGGGATGGAGGAAGATCTACCAAGCAAATGGAAAAAAAAAAAAAAAAGGAAAACAAAAAAAAACCCTATCAGAGACTAGGGTTTGCAATCCTAGTCTCTGATAAAACAGAAAATGCAACCAATACAGGAGCACCCAGATTCATAAAGCAAGTCCTAAGTGACCTACAAAGAGACTTAGACTCCCACACAATAATAATGGGAGACTTTAACACCCCACTGTCAACATTAGACAGATCAACGAGACAGAAAGTTAACAAGGATATCCAAATCTTGAACTCATCTCTGAACCAAGCAGACCTAATAGACATCTACAGAACTCTCCACCCCAAATCAACAGAATATACATTCTTTTCAGCACCACATCGCACTTATTCCAAAATTGACCACATAGTTGGAAGTAAAGCTCTTCTCAGCAAATGTAAAAGAAAAGAAATCATTACAAACTGTCTCTCAGACCACAGTGCAATCAAATTAGAATTCAGGATTAAGAAACTCACTCAAAACCATACAACTACATGGAAACTGAAAAACCTGCTCCTGAATGACTACTGGGTAAATAACAAAATGAAAGCAGAAATAAAGATGTTCTTTGAAACCAATGAGAACAAAGACACAACATACCAGAATCTCTGGGACATATTTAAAGCAGTGTGTAGAGGGAAATTTACACCACTAAATGTCCACGAGAGAAAGCAGGAACGATCTAAAATCAACACCCTAACAGCACAATTAAAAGAACTAGAGAAGCAAGAGCAAACACATTCAAAATCTAGCAGAAGGTGAGAAATAACTAAGTTCAGAGAAGAACTGAAGGAGATAGAGACACAAAAACCCTTAAAAAAATCAATGAATCCACGAGCTAGTTTTTTGAAACGATCAGCAAAATACAAAGAATGCTAGCAAGACTAATGAAGAAGAAAAGGAAGAAGAATCAAATAGAAGCAATAAAAAATGATAAAGGGGATATCACCACTGATCCCACAGAAATACAAACTACCATCAGAGAATACTATAAACACCTCTATGCAAATAAACTAGAAAACCTAGAAAAAACGGATAAATTCCTGGACACATAAACCCTCCCAAGACTAAATCAGGAAGAAGTTGAATCCCTGAAAAGATCAAAAACAGGCTCTGAAATTGAGGTAATAGTTAAGAGCCTACCAACCAGAAAAGTCCAGGACCAGACGGACTCACAGCCAAATTCTACGAGAGATACAAAGCGGAGCTGGTACCAATCCTTCTGAAATTATTCCAATCAATAGAAAAAGAGGGAATCCTCCCTAACTCATTTTATGAGGCCAGCATCATCCTGATACCAAAGCCTGGGAGAGACACAACAAAAAAAGAGAATTTTAGACCAATATCCCTGATGAACATCAATGCAAAAATCCTCAATAAAATACTGGCAAATGGAATCCAGCAGCACATCAAAAAGCTTATCCAACATGATCAAGTTGGCTTCACACCTGTGATGCAAGGCTGGTTCAACATATGCAAATCAATAAACGTAATCCAGCATACAAACAGAACCAAAGACAAAAACCACATGATTATCTCAGTAGATGCAGAAAAGGCCTTTGAAAAAATTCAACAGCCATTCATGCTAAAAACTCTCAATAAACTAGGCATTGATGGGACGTATCTCAAAATACTAAGATCTATTTATGACAAACCCACAGCCAATATTGTACTGAATGGGCAAAACCTGGAAGCATTCCCTTTGAAAACTGGCACAAGGCAGGGATGCACTCTCTCACCATTCCTATTCAACATCGAGTTGGAAGTTCTGGCCAGGGCAATCAGGCAGGAGAAAGAAATAAAGGGTATTCAATTAGGAAAAGAGGAAGTCAAATTGTCCCTGTTTGCAGATGACATGATTGTATATCTAGAAAACCCCGTTGTCTCAGCCCAAAATCTCCTTAAGCTGATAAGCAACTTCAGCAAAGTCTCAGGATACAAAATCAATGTGCAAAAATCACAAACATTCCTATACACCAATAACAGAAAAACAGAGAGCCAAATCATGAGTGAACTCCCATTCACAATTGCTTCAAAGAGAATAAAATACCTAGGAATCCAACTTACAAGGGATGTGAAGGACCTCTTCAAGGAGAGCTACAAACCACTGGTCAACGAAATAAAAGAGGACACAAACAAATGGAAGAACATTCCATGCTCATGGGTAGGAAGAATCAATATCATAAAAATGGCCATACTGCCCAAGGTAATTTATAGATTCAATGCCATCCCCATCAAGCTACCAAGGACTTTCTTCACAGAATTGGAAAAAACTACTTTAAAGTTCCTATGGAACAAAAAAGAACCTGCATCGCCAAGTCAATCCTAAGCAAAAAGAAGAAAGCTGGAGGCATCACACTACCTGACTTCAAACTATACTACAAGGCTACAGTAACCAAAACAGCCTGATACTGGAACCAAAACAGAGATATAGACAAATGGAACATAACAGAGCCATCAGAAATTATACCACATATCTACAACCATCTGTTCTTTGACAAACCTGACAAAAACAAGAAGTGGGGAAAAGATTCCCTATTTAATAAATGGTGCTGGGAAAACTGGCTAGCCATATGTAGAAAGCTGAAACTGGATCCCTTCCTTACACCTTATACAAAAATTAATTCAAGATGGATTAAAGATGTAATTGTTAGATCTAAAACCATAAAAACCCTTCAAGAAAACCTAGGCATTACCATTCAGGACATAGGCATGGGCAAGGACTTCATGTCTAAAACACCAAAAGCAATGGCAACAAAAGCCAAAATTGACAAATGGGATCTAATTAAACTAAAGAGCTTCTGCACAACAAAAGAAACTACCATCAGAGTGAACAGGCAACCTACAGAATGGGAGAAAATTTTTGCAATCTACTCATCTGACAAAGGGCTAATATCCAGAATCTACAAAGAATTTAAACAAATTTACCAGAAAAAATCAAACAACCCCATCAAAAAGTGGGTGAAGGATATGAACAGACACTTCTCAAAAGAAGACATTTATGCAGCCAACAGACACAAGAAAAAATGCTCATCATCACTGGCCATCAGAGAAATGCAAATCAAAACCACAGTGAGATACCATCTCACACCAGTTAGAATGACAATTATTAAAAAGCCAGGAAACAACAGGTGCTGGAGAAGATGTGGAGAAATAGGAACACTTTTACACTGTTGGTGGGACTGTAAACTAGTTCAACCATTGTGGAAGACAGCGTGGTGATTCCTCAAGGATCTAGAACTAGAAATACCATTTAACCCAGCAACCCCATTACTGGGTATATACCCAAAGGATTATAAATCATGCTACTATAAAGACACATGTACACATATGTTTATTGCGGCACTATTCACAATAGCAAAAACTTGGAACCAACCCAAATGTCCATCAGTGATAGACTGGATTGAGAGAATGTGGCACATATACACCATGGAATACTAGGCAGCCATAAAAAATGATGAGTTCATGTCCTTTGTAGGGACATGGATGAAGCTGGAAACCATCATTCTGAGCAAACTATCGCAAGGACAGAAAACCAAACACCGCATGTTCTCACTCATAGGTGGGAAGTGAACAATGAGAACACTTGGACACAGGGTGGGGAACATCACATACCGGGGCCTTTCATGGAGCGGGGGAGGGGGGAGGGATAGCCTTAGGAGAAGTACCTAATGTAAATGACAAGTTAATGAGTGCAGCACACCAACATGGCACATGTATACATATGTAACAAACTTGCACGTTGTTCACGTGTACCCTATAACTTAAAGTATAATAATAATAAAAAAAAGCAAATTGGATTATAGAAGTGTCTTACTTAAGAAGAACCTCTTTTGCATCTTTATTTCCTATAATAGAACTTTGAAATTGCATAGCTTGTCTTCTATGGCCATTCACATTAGGTTTTAAAGTATCTTTGGAGTTACATCATCTACCACAGGTCCCCAGGCCATGTGCAGGTTATTCCACACTGGACTTCTTGTTATTGCGTGAACTCAAGCACGATTTGAATATGTGATTTCTTTTGTGTGAAACATCCATTTTCCGCTTCATTACCTAGAAACCTCTTATATAATTTAAGAAAAAATTCTAATAATAATTCTTTTTCAATGTTAATTTATTAACTCTTTTTTCTTCCAGTATTTTTAAATTCCAACATTCTCAAGTTTTTTCAGCAACCGTTTCTGTGGCACTTTGTTATGATAATTGCCCACACTGTACTGTGGTGATCTGTTTGCAGAGTTGTTTCTCTGTCACTTGACATGATCTACCACAAATAAGTGATGACAGTGTATTATTTATCTCTGCATCTCTAATATTTAACTGAGTGCCCCACATTCAGTAGATTTTCAACAAATGCTTGATGAACCTACAAATATTTCATATCACTGATATTTTTGACATATCTCTGAAGTTTGGTTGGCAGTGAAAAATCACTTGTAGAATTATTTTTATTTACCCTCCTCTCTTATTTCTAAGTGGTGTGTATGGATTCACCTGTAAATTTTGTTTTTTTGTGTACCAAAATTTGCCCCTCATAACATCTGTTATACGCCATAATTCCCAAATGTGTTCAACAATTAATTTTGCATATGCAGTGATAAGCAGAAATCCATTGAAATATCTCATTAAAAGCAAAGCCCTTTTCTGAAGGTTCTTTGTGATTCATTTGCCTCCACAGGCTTCTATCTAAAATTGAGTTAAATGCAATAAATTCATGTAATTTAGAAGAACAAAATGTGGTGAATCTCACGAGGCCTAGGGAATTTGCTAGCCAGGTTCTGACACTTTTGCTGGCACTTCTCCAGAAGTAAAAATGTTTGGTTGGTCATTAAGACCTTATTTCTCTTCTTCAATTAATATTGAAAAGAGAAATCTAGGAGTTAGTAGCAGGAGCAATAATGCATAGCAGTTCAAACAGACCATATCTGAGTGTTTCTTTTTTTCCTCCATTTTCTGCTAAGACTGCTTACAGTATACCAAGGACAACCTTAGAGAAACAAATGCACAACACACCCAGACAAGGACATGTACCTCAGAACAACCAGGAAGCAACATATTTGATAAAATTCTGGGCACATTTGAAAGTTTTAAGGCAAAGACATAGACCTGGAAGAACAACTTAGAGCAAAGTCCTCTGGCAAAGACCCAGAAAAATAAAACAACCTATTTGGTTGTTAATGGCTGTGAGAGAAGAAACAATAATTTAGAGAATGAACTGCCCCATGGATTGACAGCTTCCATGAACATCTTATACATTTAATAATTTATGTATGTATCCACGTATAAATTCTATTCACTGAAAGTACCTCTTTATACTTTTATATTTTTATTATTATTAAACAGAGGACAAAAATTGTCACAGCCCTGCTTGTTTAAGGCAATTCAAAACCTGTGGTCGAGTGTAGACAGAAGAAAGAGCCAATATAAAATAACATCCTGTAAATCTAATCACCCATGGCACTGAAGAAGAGTGCACTGAAATAGCTGTTATCTTTCTGTTGTACGTTTTTTATGGGTATTGAGTCAGGTGTGTTCAATGTCTCAATTTATCAGACTTCCCAGTGGGATCAAGAACATTAGATTATCAACTTTTTTCTCCTGATTGATTTAGCATTCTACACACTTTGAATAATTTACGTAAATGTTGTCCATGAGGTCTTCCATCTTTCAATAGAAATGGAGGTCAAATATATAAAATCTCAAGAAATCTCAAAATGCATACGTTAATAGCAAGGAGTCATAAAGAACAGACATTTTATGTAGGCAAAAGTAGAATTAAAAAAATATATACACATGAAATAGACCTAGGGACTTTTCTGAATGATCTGCAAGGTTCAAGGTAGCCATAAAGTCTGAAAATACAGATTGATATTATTTTCCTTTATTTGTTTAACCAATAGAATCTGCTTGATTACCTCTTCTGGTGTATGTCAATATCACAATTCTTTAGTGAAAAGAAAAGAGACAACTTATACAAGGCAATATATTTTGAATATATGTGCTGAGATTGATAGAAATACATGGATGCACAGTGTCCATTGCAACTTTACCCAAAACAGTGACCTGGACATTGCTAATAAAGTACACACATTGAACATACAATTTATTTTTGTGTCATTTAACTTACAATGTAATATCAATAAAATACTTATATATTTTATCTGTTTCCAGATATTATGGTGACAGTGTATATCCAAGTATGTGTGTTTATCACATTGGGAGATATACCTAATGCTAGATGACGAGTTAGTGGGTGCAGCGCACCAGCATGGCACATGTATACATATGTAACTAACCTGCACAATGTGCACATGTACCCTACAACTTAAAGTATAATAAAAAAAAAAAAGAAAAGAAAAAAGAAAAAAAAAAAGATATAAAAGATTTTTTCCCAAGACTATTAGATTTGTCTCCCCTGTAGCTTCAATATATCGCATTCTAATACTTCCGTCTAGTAGAATTTGTTTACATAAAGAGGTTTTGCAACACACACTTCCATATATGTCAAATCTTTAAAGTTATATTGTAATATTTCTCTTCAATTTATTATTTTTTCTGCCTACTTAAAAGTTTTAAAAATAGAACAAGAAACATTGTAATGTGTAAGAGAGATACATTTTATTAGGACAAAGGACAAAATTTTAGTAAATTGTCTTTCTAACACACATTTCCCCTCTGTCTCCATCTCTACACACATACATACACACACAGACACACACACACGCACACACACAGTCTCTCTCTCGCACACACACACAGTTCATTCCAAATCTCTCTATCCACTTCTCAATTACATATGTACATTAATAAAATATTAATGAATGTGGTAATATAAGAAATCTGCCTTTCAAACAGTCCACAAAC
This sequence comes from Homo sapiens, assembly GCF_000001405.40. Taxonomy (NCBI): domain Eukaryota; kingdom Metazoa; phylum Chordata; class Mammalia; order Primates; family Hominidae; genus Homo; species Homo sapiens. The sequence continues at coordinate 126,955,966 of NC_000023.11, forward strand.
AATACATTGGGCTCCCATTCCATTGTTGAATATGATTTATAAATACAGGGGGAAAATATTACTAAGAACAAAGAACTGACCTTGATGATATAATTTCATCTTGAACCATGCTTGATAAATAGCCTTCTTCTGTTGAGTAGTAAGAGAATACCGTAAATCCTCAAAGCATTTTTCCTCACTTTGATACAGCATGACACATATGCTTTGATATGACTGGGTGAAATATCGGAACTTATATTATGCTCAGTAAACCTTTAATCTTACTTGCATAAGATCCTCATCTAAAATACATTTGTGAAATCTTAGGAACTCTAGTGGCTGCAAAGAACTTTGACTCAACTTTTGCTTTTTAGAAGCTTCTACTCTTATTAAATATAGATATTATTAAGCATGTATGCCAAACTATCTAAAAAAAAATTTTATCTAAAAAATGCATTTCAGATAAGTTATATTTAAATTCAGATAATTTACACCCATCTGAAATGTAAGTTTCCACTATTTCACTTTTCTAAGCTGCACGTCAAAATTCCTATTGATATATCAAATACATTTCAATTTTGTATTTCTGAGAAAACGTAAGCATATGTAAATATATTTAACCTCTGTTATAAAACCATAAAATAAGCTCAATATAAAATTATAAAAATAACCTCAAGATCAGCATGACTAATCTGAAATTTTGAACAAGTGATGACCAGGTAGAATTTCTGCTTGTTGAACTTTGACTAACTCAAGACTATACTAAATCAACCTTATAATGGTCAATTTAATTGGCCTTCATTAATTGACAATTGTGTCGCTATTTCTTTTCTTTTTTTTTTTTTTTTTTTTTTTTTTTTTTGAGATGGAGTCTCGTTCTGTTGCCCAGGCTGGAGTGCAGTGGTGCAATCTCGGCTCACTGCAAGCTCCTCCTCCCAGGTTCACGCCATTCTCCTGCCTCAGCCTCCTGAGTAGCTGGGACTACAGGCGCCCGCCACTACGCCCGGCTAATTTTTTGTATTTTTAGTAGAGATGGGGTTTCACCGTGTTAGCCAGGATGGTCTGGATCTCCTGACCTCGTGATCCGCCCGCCTCAGCCTCCCAAAGTGCTGGGATTACAGGCGTGAGCCACCGCGCCCGGCCTGTATCGCTATTTCAGTATGAATACACATCAAAACACACTTGCATATGATAAGCCATACTATTCAGAGATATGTGCAATGATCTTTGGAACTCTTTTGAGTCATCATCAAACCTAGATCTATGCCAGATTATTATCCAAACTAAGATAGTAAGGGTGAATATGTGATTAAATAAGATAGAATAAATAAAATATTTTTATCTGGAGAAACACCAAAACAACTTCTTTTCCAAGCTCTGAACAGGTATTTGCCTTGGGAAGAGTCCCTATATAAAATAGATAAAAATTGAGACCTGTAATCAACTAAAACCTGCCTCATCAACAATAGCAAATTATAGCAATTAAATATAGTATTAATGGTAGCTTTTGATGTGGTTTCTAAGCTCTGGTTACATAGTTGTCCAGGGATTGACGAGTCTATTTCTAGTCAATGCTTTACATTTTTACTAGAACGTAAGAGGAGTAACTGCACTCTTTTTGAAAAGATTATCTATGAGTTAGAAGTTTTCAATTATTAATTCATCATAAAAAACCTTACAGGCTGCATTTTTTAAAAATTTTATCTGATATAGCTTGTATTTGAATCAATTAGACAGAAGACATCTAACTGCTGATTCTTTTGGTTGTTTTTTACTTTCTAATGTCAGGTATAATTACACGTTAAAATGCCAAAACTCATTGATGGTACGGTTTAGACAAAAATAAAAATTTAACAAAAGGATAAAGAAGCTCTGTTATGGGCATTGCAATTTTCCAAATCAAAACAGTCTGTAAACAAATATCAGTAGGGAAATAATCATAACTAGCAGATGTATGAAGAGATTCAACCTCTAGTTCTTAAATTATAGCTGCTTCCAGATTAAAGCAACACTACTGATGGAGCAGTGTGCTTGATATCCTCTGGCAACATCCTTTTTTATTGCAGTAGAAACCAATGTTGAATTTCCTGAATAATTACATAAATAAACCATGCATTTCACTTATTTGTGTGCCCATATTTAATAATGTATTGTGCATGTAACTTTCAGGAACATGATTTATGGCATTTTATATTGCCACAGCGGGGTGTTTACTTGAAATATGTACTTGAAAATATCATATAAAATTATGTTATTTGATATATATTCAGAAATAATCTGATTTTTCAAGAAAATGTAAGCTGAAAAACCTACCTGCAATTAAATCATTCTGAGAGTGTTCTTAATTGAATTCTCAAGTTTAAATGATGTAACAGACTAATGAACATAAACATATAAATTATATTTATTTTATCCTATGTTAAGATGCTAGAGATTCAAACAGTTCTGTGGGTTGACTGGTACTACATTCAAAAGGGTATAAAGCAAATCCATATCTTGAAAGTCTAAAACTTTTAGTATATGTGAATGAATTGTTAAAGCAAATTTTGAAGGCCAGCAACCATAAATTTAACTTTATGCTTCCTTTTTGACTATTTAATTTAGTTTGATCCAACTTAAAAATAAAGGACTTCTTAAAGTTAAAAAATATAGTCACATTCTCATGGCTGCTCCATAAGTATATATATGACAACATTAGGCAGAAAGAAATCTTTCTAGACTACCATATACTAATTTAGAAAGGTACTACATCCTGGTTCTAAACATGTTTCAGACCAGGCATGGTGGCTTACACCTATAATACCAACACTTTGGGAGACCAAGGCGGGAGGATCACTTGAGCCTAAAAGTTCAAGACTAGCACTAGGCAAAATGGCAAAACCCCATCTATACATACATACATATATATATACACATACATACATACATAGCTGAGCATGGTAGAAAATACCTGTAGTTCCAGCTATTCTGGAGGCCGAGGTCAGAAGATTGCTTGAACCTGTGAGGTTGAGGCTGTGGTGAACCATGATTGTGCCACTCTACTCCAGCCTGAGCAACAGAGCAAGACCCTGTCTCTTAAAAATTATAAAACATATTTCAACTTTCTTCTTAGTAGATATTCCTAGAGAAGGAATTCAGTGTGATGTAGAAACACCTCAGATTCTATGCATCAGATTAAATGATTGAAATACTATTGAATGGTTTATTGAATGGTTTAACTGTAGGCAACTAGTAATCATATTAATTCACTTCAATATTACTTCTTTCTACTCTTATTTACCCCACTGACACATTCCTTTGGCACTTGTTCTGTGTTCCCTACGGTCCTCCATTTCGACGCTGAAAACCTCATTAAATATTTAACATCTTTATTAAACCTTTTTATTCCCTTTATTCTTGCTCTTGTTGCTCAGGCTGGAGTGCAACGGAGCAATCTTGGATCACTGCAATATCTGTCTCCCAAGTTTGACCGATTCTCCCGCCTCAGCCTCCCGAGTAGCTGGGACTACAGGCACACACCACCACGCCCAGCTAATTTTTGTATTTTCAGTAGAGACGGAGTTTCATCATGCTGGCCAGGATGGTCTCGATCTCTTGACCTCGTGATCTGCCCAACTCGGCCTCCCAAAATGCTGGGATTACAGGCATGAGCCATAGCACCCGGCCTATTAAACCTTTTTAAACCTCTCTGACTTCATTAAATTTTTGCTCTCTATTGACATTGCTACTTTGGCTACAAATGCAAAAAAGACTGATTACTGCATATACTAGAACAAACAGGAGAAACTGGCATTCTCTTTCTTTCCCCTGCTACCTCCAGACCAAAGTTCTGGACACTTCAGTCTCTTAAAAGATAATTCTTGCCCTCCTATACTCCTGAAAGTCCTTCCTGAAATGAGAGATATAGTGGAATTCAATGGCTGCATCCTGGCACATATTCTTTTGATCTCTTTGCAGTACTTAGTATTATTAACTTCTCTCCCCTTTGGCTATTTTTTTTTTTTTTTGAGACAGAGTCTCACTCTGTCACCCAGGCTGGAGTACAGTGGCACAATCTAGGCTGATTGCAACTTCCGCCTCCCAGATTCAAGTGATTCTCCTGCCTCAGCCTCTTAAGTAGCTGGTATTACATGTGCACACCACCACACCCGGCTTATTTTTGTATTTTTAGTAGAGACAGCGTTTCACAATGTTGGCCAGGCTGGTATCGAACTCCTGACCTCATGATCTGCCAACCTCAGCCTCCAGAAGTGCTAGGATTACAGGCGTGAGTGACCGCACCAGTCTCCTTTCGCTATTTTTATCCTTTAGTACATCCATTTGGTTTTCTTTGCCCCTATTTGGTTCCTTCTTTGTCTCAGTCATGGATTCCTCCATACTTTCTCCTACTTAAAATATTGTGATCTCCAAGATTCAGCTCTCTTTCTCTTATTTTTTAATGAGCTCACTCAGTTCCAACATTGTCACACTTATAAATGATAAATGTACTCTAGATCTTTATTTCAAACTGCCTCCTTAAACTTTTATGTGGATGTTTCAGAAAACCTCAAACTTAACCCACGTCAACCCAAGGTAAGCTATTGAACCCCTGTTTTGTGTCTTACTCCTGACATGCATTTCTCAATTAATGGCTTCTCCATTCTTCTAGGAATTGTGGTTCACTATTAGTAACCCAACAAACCTTTCTCTGGAAGGTACCTGGAAGAAGGAAGATAATAAAAGCATGAAGAAAAACATAAATAGGCCACATCATTAAAAAAGTTAAAAATTATGAGAACTCATGGACGCAAGGAGGGGAACATCACACGCTGGGGCCTGTCGTGGGGTGGGGGGCAAGGGGAGGGAGAGCATTAGGACAAAAACCTAATGCGTGTGGGGCTTAAAACCTAGATGATGGGTTGATAGGTGCAGCAAACCACCATTGCACATGTATACCTATGTAACAAACCTGCACATTCTGGACATGTATCCCAGAACTTAAAGTAAATTTTTTTAAAAAGCACATTAAAAAGTTACAAATTACCACAATAGCTTATTGTGCCTTTCATTATCAAAGCTACCAAATTTTCATGTAATTATTTGTTGAGAAAACTTTCCACCTCACCTTACCCCCAGCTCTTGAAGGCAGTGACCATATCTTAATTCTTTTTGTAATCCAACAACCAAGTCTTTAGTTTTCTCATCTATTAAATGCAAACTATATGTATCCCTACTGTATAGCCACAGATTACTGAAAACAAACTACATAAGTGATAGAAAGTATCTTTGAAAACTATAGTGCGTTTCACATAAATAAAACATCATATTTGAATAATTTATTAACTTATATTTTGTGAATACCTATTATGTACAAGTTAGTAGGCCAGGGAGGTAGAGCATTATGCCAGTCAACAGTGCGGTTTCTATAGCCAGAATGCCTAAGTTCTAACCCATTTCTATTTCCTAACAGTTGTGTTACATTGAGCAAGTTACTCCTCTCTGCTTTGGTTTTTGCATTTATTAAATGGAGCTACTAATGTTGACTGTCTCATCAGATCATTATAAGGATTAAATAAGTCAATACATATATTAATAATTATATTATCAGCTGGGTTTGTTGTATTCCTCATTCTCAAAACTCAATTCTGACCTGAAAGCAACAGACTCACCAAGTTTAAGACTCTTTCACATTTCTCAATCCAGGTGTGTTCTAATTCTAAAAAAAAGATTCATTTTAAATGTAATATCTTTATTGATGCAAAAAGACAAGTCTGTTTATTTCAATTTTATTCCAAGAAGGGCTGTGCTGAAAGTGTCCATCTAACTAGGAGAGACCATCAATTGTTAATTCACAGTGAATGACTAGTTCATAGCAACTAAACTGAACATAAGAATAGACAAAAAAAACAAATTGTTAATTTAATTTATATTTAGATTAGTACAGCCTGGTCTTAAAGGTCTGACAGGCAATTTCTCTTTTAGGTGACTTTGCTTATCTTTGTTCTGATCCATTAGTTGCTGATTTTGCAGTTTAACTCTCCAAGGGAACTGTATTTACCTTATCTCTTGACGACTAAGCTCTGATTTTTTATCTTACCCAAATTCCTACCTAAGGGGTATAGGGAGTCATGCCCTACAAACCATAAATTCTCATCAGATGGGTTTTATTTGACTCTATATATTGTGACTTACTTTTCAATCTGACTCTGGCATAACATTACAGACAAGGAAAAATGTTTTACCCCAAAATATACTTCCTTGCCATACCTTGAAATTGCCCTGCAAAGTCTCTTGTGGGAATAATCTGCATTCTATAGAGAATCCCTTCCCCTTTCATTTTCCTTCCTTTCTTTCCAGATTCAGGAAATAATCAACTAAGAGCCAGGTACCCTTTTAAGTCCAATAAGAAAGAATTTACAACCTGCTGTCTCTGAAGTCTGCTATCTGAGAGCTTCCTCTGCACAATAAAACTTAGTCTTCACAATCCTTTACCTTAACCTCAACATTCCTTTCCTGTTGGGAATAAGCCCCCCAAAATCTGGCCATAAACTGGCCCCAAAACTGGCCATAAACAAAATCTCTGCAGCACTGTGACATGTTCATGATGGCCATAAAGCCCACGCTGGAAGGTTGTAGTTCTACCAGAATGAGGGCAAGGAACACCTGGCCCGCCCAGGGTGGAAAACCACTTAAAGGCATTCTTAAGCCACAAACAATAGCATGAGTGATCTGTGCCTTAAGGACATGCTCCTGCTGCAGTTAACTAGCCCAACCTATTCCTTTAATTTGGCCCATCCCTTCGTTTCCCATAAGGGATACTTTTAGTTAATTTATTATCTATAGAAACAATGCTAGTGACTGGCTTGCTGTTAATAAATATGTGGGTAAATCTCTGTTCGGGGCTTTCAGCTCTGAAGGCTGTGAGACCCCTGATTTCCCACTTTACACCTCTATATTTCTGTGTGTGTGTCTTTAATTCCTCTAGCACCACTGGGTTAGGGTCTCCCCGACTGAGCTGGTCTCAGCACTTTCCATTGATATCAGGTCTTCAAATAAACTCAACCAATTGTCAACCAGAAAATGTTTAAATTTACCAATAGCCTGGAAGCCCCAGCTTTTTTTTTTTTTTTTTTTGAGACGGAGTCTCGCTTTGTCACCCAGGCTGGAGTGCAGTGGCCTGATCTCAGCTCACTGCAAGCTCTGCCTCCTGGGTTCACGCCATTCTCCTGCCTCAGCCGCCCGAGTAGGTGGGACTACAGGCGCCCACCACCACATCCAGCTAATTTTTTGTATTTTTTAGTAGAGATGGGGTTTCACCATGTTAGCCAGGATGGCCTCGATCTCCTGACCTCGTGATCCACCTGCCTCAGCCTCCCAAAGTGCTGGGATTACAACCGTGAGCCACTGCACCTGGCCAGCCCCAGCTTTGAGTTGTCCCACCTTTCTGAACCAAACCAATGTATTTCTTAAATGTATTTCATTGATGTCTCATGCCTCCCTAAAATATATAAAACCAAGCTGTACCCCAACCACCTTGGGTACATATTCTCAGGACCTCCTGAGGGCTGTGTCATGGGCCTGGTCACTCATATTTGGCTCAGAATAAATCTCTTCAAATATGTTACAGAGTTTGACTCTTTTCATCAACACTCCACATTTTTAAATGGCAAAGCATTGAAGGCTCTAAGTATACAAACAATACCCTATTTAAACTGTTATCAAAAACATAGACATACCCAGTAAATGAGGTAGGAGTCATTTAAATGCAATTGTTATGCAGTTTATGGCAGCTTTGTTCTCTTCTTTTATGAAGATTCTAATGGTTTTTGCCTTTTTTTTTTTCTCATCCATTCCCTCCTGCCTCCATAGGTCATGATAACATTGGAAAGACAAAGTTAAACTACGATGGCTCAGGGTAGGGGGAGAGAGATGGTTGTAATGATGTTCTTTTCATATTTTATGTCAACTGTTTCCTGTGTCCAGGAAAAAAAATATGATTTAATTTTAATTTGAACTTTAGCACCTGTTTTCAAATGAGTTCACCTGTCTTCAAATGACTTCTCTCAGCAAAACACAAGAAACTAACACAAAATTCAAACACTTTGCTTGCTTTCGAGTTGTTTATAAAGATTTTTCAGTGAAACTAAAATGATTTCTTATCTTTTGTGAAAACTTTATTAATATTTAGGTTTAAGCCTCCCAAGAAGGTTCCAACAACACTTTGGTACCAGACACAACTGGTTTTAATTACTAACCTCACTTACTTTAAATTAGGATGGCAATAATCTGCAAATGCTAATTTAAACCTGGACTTGCTTCTGAGCAGCCTGCATGTAATAATGAACAAGCAGCAGATTATACTCAGAAGGGCAATATACTGTACCACAAATCACAAGTTGCATTTCCTCCTTTTTTTTTGAGTGCAAAATGTGATTCCAAAAAAGATGTTATTAAGCTATAACGCCTTAGTCATTTTCAAGCTCTAGGCACTTAAAGTGCTGAATTTTAGATTACTTTTTTATATTCTGCCTGTGCCTAGTTTCCTAACTGTATGTAAAGTTATTAAAGCTGTCTGTTCCAATTTCTTCTCTACTTAGGAAGGGATGACAAAAAGATGAAAGAGACTACTTTTAATCTCAAAAGCTAAACTCAATGCAGAAATGAAACAGGAAAATACATAAAGACAATAAGAGTACTTTTCTAAAGGTGGTTTATGATCACTGAGTGGTCACTAAAAAAACACTAAGCTGGAAGTATGTGACAACCTAATAGTCCTGAGGCTCAATTTCCTCTCTAGATAGTTGATGCCTTTTTTTTTTTTTTTTTTTTTTGGTAAGCTAAATAATTGAAATTCCACTTGCAATACAATGATTTGCTTTACATGGGGATGGGGGAGGGTGAGGACATTTGTTCCGTAAACTGCCTAAGGAGAAAAAAAAACATATTAAGGCTTCAGTGTCAATTAGATTCAGCAATACCTTTTTCAAAAAGTACTCTTAAAGTCTTTCTCAAAACCAAAAGAGAAATTGGTAGTATTATTTTTTCTAATATAAAGGTTGAAAATAAAAATGGGTTCAAAGGTCTAACGGAATAACGATCTTTCTAATTGCTTGACATCCAAATAGAGGTATGGATTTTCAAGGATTTGTATTTAGTTGCTTTAACACTTTTTAGGATTTATATCTATGTACTGGGTTTTTCAACTTCTGAGATTTCTAGAGCTGGAAGCATTTGAAGTCACATGGGTCTTAGATCATAAGTTCTTGCCTTATGTTGAGGCTTTCATTATGCAATTGTATTCTCTCAGAAGTCCAGTCTTTCATTAATTTCTTCCTCATTTCTATCTGAACCAAACTCTGCCTATTTACCAAAACAAGAAACCTAGAATCAGCTTGGAAACTAAAATCTCTTCTCCCAACATCTAGTCAGTTAGAAAGTCCTGTCAAAAATTACTCCTCTAACTTTTTTCTTTTCCACTGTTCAAGTGTTGGCTCTTATTATTTCCACCTAAATTATCAAAAATTATCTTTACTGGTCTTGTTGGATTTCCATCCTTTTCTTTCAGCTATTAATAAATATAGCTATTTTGTTATAATATTATTTATAATAGTTGGCAGATTGCTCTTTCTATAACAGATTAGATAGTTTTATCCTATGGCAAGGGTAAGCAAACTGCAGCTTGCAAATGAAGAGTGGCATAAAATTATTAATGGTTGCCTATAACATAAAAGACAAAATGTATATATTTTTAGAATAACATACAAAATACTTGGTGATAAACTCTTACCTACTTTCTTTGTGTTGCTATAAAAATACTTAAGGTTGGGTAATTTATAAAGAAAAGAGGTTTGTTTGGATCATGGTTCTGCAAACTGTACAAGAAGTATGGTGTCATCAACTGCTTTTGATGAGGGTCTCAGTGATGACCAGATGTGGGGCTTGAGGAAGGGTCAGTACCATACAAATACAAAAATCTTTTTTCCTTTCACTTCTGAGCCTTTTTCTCCTTGGACTTCTTCTGAGGGTAGAGGAAACTGTGCACCACCCCAGCCCAACAAATGAAGGAATGCAGGATGGACGGGTGAATGGAGGCTTCCCTGCTCCCCTCCCAGCCAGGGCTGGGATGCATGCTCCAAGGGTGCGCAAGGGCAGGCTGGCCAGCACTCCCCACCACATTTTCATTGAGCCTTCCCCTCTCCAAGTCAAGGAGTCCCACTCCATGAGACAGCAATTAAATTTCTCTCCCTGGTGGAGGAACCCATTTACATAAAAATGAGAGGTTCTTCCCAATGCATCTTTCTTTTCTCCACCCCATCAGCGGTTAACACAGCCCTGCATTTAAGTTATTTTTCCTTTTCTCCACCAGGTCAGCAGTTGACTTTTAAGTGAGGATTACTTTCCTTTTGGAAGATGTATTGCTGGGCCAGAAATTATGGGGATCAGTGTTTATATTCTCTGTAGAGTTTTAATTGTAAAAAAAGATTTGTGAGGTTCATCTTAAGCTGTAGCCAATCTGGAATGCTTTGCATGACTTTCTGTATGGCCAGTAGCAAACTTTGCTGCAGGCCTCCATCTTGTTTCATGTCCTTGGGAGCAAGACTGACTTGTAACCAAGTGGCAATGTTTTGTTCTAGCCTCTGCCATTTTACAATGGTGGTCTGGGGTTCAATCCTGGCTTAGGAAATGAGTGCTTTCCATTTTGATATCTGTGCAACCTTTGCTATCTGTTGATTCTCTTCCCCTCCATGAACCGCCTTGAATTTTCCTTTCTCTGGCCCTTTGGTAAAGTTTGAAAGCCAGAAATATTGGCCACTTGGCACGGCTAAAGATGGGAAATAAGGGAGTTAAAAGAACTTTCATAAAGAGTGCTCAGCTTAATTAAAAGTGGATATCCAAGTTATAGTATATTTAAAAGACCTTTATGTTTTTCTTTTCTTGGATCTTGTTTTGCTGGAAAGAGGATTTTTCTCAATTGACTGAATCATTTTTCTCCATTTTGCCTTGCCACTCTCAATGCACTCATGAGAGGGGAGAATCCTCTGTTTTCTTCATGGAACCCCAGGAAATAAAAGTGGATAGATCCCTCTCAAAATCTGTTTTTGCCTCCCAGTCATGCCTATTTATTAGGCCTTATAAGCTGCATGTTTTCCTAGCTCTGTTTCACAGTGGGATCCACCCAGAGGCCAATAATTCAAATAGGATATTAGCAAATGAAAGATATTATGAGGACTGGGTTTTCTTCTGCCTGTGTAGTTACATATATGTTGTGCGTGATAGCTATTAAAAGAGCTCTAATTAATTGGCCTAAAGGAAGACAAGCACTTGGATCAAATGTTTTTTAAAGGGAAGATAAAAGCTCTGGTAACTTTTAATTCATGTGACTTTAATCTTAAAACAGCCTTAAAAATTATCAGTAAAAATTATTGGTAAAATATTGGTAAATAAAAACAGCCTTAAAATTATTGTTAAAATGCAGATGTCATCAAAATATAAATACGTGGACTAAATTATTATGCATGTCAGGTACTAGGTTTGCTAAATGTTTTAAGGTAATAAAGTGCCTTTCTGGTTTTTGAGAACTTTTCAACTTGCCGGCCTCACAATTTGTGAGGCCTGGGGAAATATGTAATTAGCCATCCCCTTAATTAATGCTGGAAGAAGTCAAACCTCGGCTGCACCTAGCACATAATTAAAACAACTTACCAAGTTTTACATTAAAATTAAAAATTGCTAGGAGTTACCATTTTAATAGGTAACTGAAACTATTGGAAGGAGATTTACATCCAAGATGTATAAGAAAAGTAATTTTTTTTTGTAAAAGATTATAAAAATGTAAATTCTTGCATGGGGTTAAAAATTGTTTTAAATTAGATAGGATAAAGTTAAAAGTTCAAACAAGTAGTGGAAGGATTGTAAAAATTAGTCTTGCAAAAATTCCATGTGTGAACATATAGACTAAATTCAAAAGGGTATTATATGGTTTTTCAGTAAATCGAGCGCAAAACAAGGTACTTTTAAGTCACTAATCTGCTCTTTGGCAAAATTTGTAAAGGACTATAAAAGGTTTTTGCTATTTAAAAATTTCTGACTCATCATTTTGGCAAAATAAATAATTTATTATAGTCTGGAATTCTATTTCATAACATCAAGTGTTTTAAATCTCTAACACTTAACAGGCTTCCCAAAATCAAACTTCAGCTTCAAAATTGTCTTTCCTGATGCCTGGCTTTTAGATGCTTCAGAGGGCCCCTGAAGTATCAAAAAGAGAGGTAAACAGGATTATTTGACATATTTAGGTATGCGAGATTGCCAAAATGGTGTTCAATCTTCTTTAGGTTATATTTTGGTGAATAATACTAATATATGTTCGAAAATTGTATGGTATTTCTAAAATTCTAATGTCTTAGTATATGCTATCAATCATAATTAAGGTTGTTAAGTTATTGTAAACCATGGAGATAACCAAACTTCTTTGTCAATTGTGTTTCTAATTACAAGTACCCTAGACATTTTGTTATTCACAGGCAATTGTTGTTTTGTTTTAATCCTTTTCATAAGATTATTTATAATAAGCTATAGAACTTTGACAAGTGCTCCCAAATGCAGGTTTCTGATAACTTTGGAGATTGTAACATTGGAATAAAAGAAAAATGTACAGGACTCATGAAGAGCTAAAATGTCCAAGAATATCAAACAAAAGAAGAGTTAACTAAATGGGCTGAACTCATAGAAAACTGAAGCAATCTGTTTTACTTTTGGTTGGAATATTGCTGATCCTTGTTTTGATTTTCAGAGTCAAGGAAACTTATTTTGAATTATTTATGGCCTTTAATAATTGAGTAAGGTATACTCCTGTGAACAAAATTTGGAGCATATTTCTCTCTATTTTCTCTCTCTCTTCCTGGATTCTCCAGAATTTGAAAACTAGTTGTAAGTATTATTAACTTATGGCAATATAGTTGTTTACATCAGTGCAAGAAAACTCCATTTTCTTTTGCAACAAGACACAATTGGAGAAACTTGTTTTTTTATCAAGGCTTTGACTGGAAGGATATGTATCCCTCTAAGGAGACGAGCTTGACTTGCAGAGCTGATAAAATCCCCTTGGGAAGACTTGCATTATACCTTTGTCTATGCAGTCCCTGTACAAGATTCCTGACCTGTGGTAAGTAAAGAACATCACTTTCTGACAGACCCAAGATCTCCAAGTTTATCTTGGTACCTTAAGAGGAGAGAACAAAGGTGGAGGCATCACCCTACCCAACTTCAAACAATACTACAAGGCTATAGTAACCAAAACAGCATGGTACTTGTACAAGAACAGACATATAGACCAATGGAACAGAATAGGGAACCCAGAAATAAGACCGCACACCTACAACCATATGATCTTCAACAAACCTGACAAAAACGAGCAATGGGAAAAGGATTCCCTATTTAATAAATTATGATTGGATAACTGCTTAGCCACATGCAGAAAACTGAATCTAGACCCCTTCCCTACAGCTTATACAAAAATTAACTCAAGATGGATTAAACACTTAAATGTAAAACTCAAAACTGTAAAAACCCTAGAAGAAAATTTAGACAGTACCATTCAGGACATACGCACAGACAAAGATTTCATGAGGAAAACACCAAAAGCAATTGCAAAAAAAGCAAAAATTGACAAATATGATCTGATTAAACTAAAGAGATTCTGCACAGAAAATAAACTATCAGAGTGAACAGACAACCTACAGAATGGGATAAAATGTTTGCAATATATCCATCTGACAAAGGTATAATATCCAGAGTCTACGAGGAACTTAATCAAATTTACAAGAGAAAAACAAACAACCCCCTATTAAAAAGTGGGCAAAAGAAATGAGCAGACACTTCTCAAAAGAAGACATCTATGCTGCCAACAAACATGAAAAAAAGCTCAACATCCCTGATCATTAGAGAAATGCAAATCAAAACCACAGTAAGATACCATCTCACACCAGTCAGAATGGCTATTGTTAAAAAGTTCAGAAACAACAGATGCTAGCCAGGTTGTAGAGAAAAAGGAATGCTTTACACTGTTGGTGGGAGTGTAAATTAGTTCAACCATTGTGAAAGAAAGTGTGGTGATTCCTCAAAGACCTAGAGGCAGAAATAGCATTTGATCCAGCAATCCCATTACTGAGTATATACACAAAAAATATAAATCATTCTAGTATAAAGATACATGCACATGTATGTTCAGTACAGTACTATTCACAATAGCAAAGACATGGAATCAACCCAAATGTCCATCAATGATAGACTGGATAAAGAAAATGTGGTGGTACATATACACCATGGAATATTATGCAGCCATAAAAAATCATGTTCTATTCAGAGACATGGATGGAACTGGAAGCCATTATCTTCAGCAAACTAACAGAGGAACAGAAAACCAGACACCACATGTTCTCACTTATTAGTGGGAGCTGAATGATGAGAACAGTTGGACAAAAAGTGGGAAACAACACATCCTGGGGCCTGTTGGTGGGATGGGGAAAGGAAGAGCATCATGAAGAGTAGCTAGTGGATGCTGGGCTCACTACCTAGGTGATGGGATAATCTATGCAGCAAACCACCATGGCGCATGTTTTCCTGTGTAACAAACCTGCACATCCTGCACATGTGCCTCTGAACTTAAAATAAATGTTGGAAAAAATAATAAGTTAATTCTATATTTTAAAATAACTTAATATAATTGAATTTTTTATAACTCAAAGCATAAATGCTTGTGGTGATGGATATCTCATTCTCCATGATGTGCTTATTTCACATTGCATGCCTGTATCAAAATATCTCATGTACTCCAACAATATACATACCTAATATGTACCCAGAAAAAAATTAAAAAAAAAAAAAAACAAAATGAAACCAAATGTGATTATTAGGAAAAGCCAACACAATTAATAAATCTTCATAAAGACTAATCAAAGAAATAAAGAGGTATATAATGTCAACAAGATGGAATCACTAGCAATAATGTTTCTTGTCACCCCACAGAAACATTGAAATAAGGACAAGCTGCCAGAACCAACTTTGTCAGACACGGAAAACACATGTAAGTGTTTATAGCAACCAAGCAGATATTGAATTAACTAAAAAGAAACTTCACAATGTGTGTGGCATTCAAATAAGTCTCTGTCAAAAATAATATAGAAGCTGAATATAAGATAAGGAGCAGAGCCTTCAGTGACCACACAAAAAAAGAATGGAATCTTCATAAAAATAATTTGAGTCACTGAAAATGGACTACTGCAGTTTTTTTTAACAATTAATCAACAGCAACAAAACCAGAAAAGCAATGTGAAGTGAGAAAATCAGATTTTCATAGTTACTATGTTAAGATATTCAAATGTCCAGCTTCCAAGAGAAAAGAAATCACAAGGCATAAATGAAACAGGAAAGTATGATGCATTCAAAGAAACAAAATGGACAGAAACAATCCCTGAAGAAGTGGAGACATTAGTTCTATTAGAAAAACACTTTAAAAACAACTGTTTTAAATATGTTTAAAGAGTTAAAGAAAATAGGACCAATAACTTAAAAAATCAGGAGAATGATGCATGAACAAAATAATAATATTAATAAAGATATAGAGAATATAAACAAACTCCAGGAATTGAAAGTATAATAATTGACATAGAGAATTCACTAAAAACATTCACCAGTAAATTTAAACAGACAGAAGAAAGAATCGGTCAACCTGAAAATAATATAATTAAAAGCATCAAGTCTGAGGAGCAAAGAAGAAAAGAATGAATAAAGGTGAAGAGAGGCTACCAAGCAGAATAACATACGCATTATGTAACTCACAGAATATTAACAAAGATAAAATAGTCATAACAAATATTTGAAGAAACAATAGATGAAAACTTCCCAAATTGGATGAAAGATATGAATCCACAAATTTAAGAAATCAAAGAATTCCAAGTAGCATAAATGCAGAGTTTCACACCAAGACACACTAAAATCAAACTCTTGAAAGCTGAAGACAGAGAGAATCTTGAAGACAGCAAAAGAGAAGCAACTTATTACATACAGAGCAACTTCAGTATGATCAGTAATTTTTCATTAGAAACCTTCAAGGCAGAATGCCTGGGATGACAATGAGGTAACATTTTGAAAGTGTGGGAACAAAAAACTATATATTAATTAAGAATTCAATAACTGGTAAAACTTCTCAAAATGAAGGAGATTTTTCAGCAAATACCTTGCAGGCTAGAGTAGAGTTGGATTATATTAATATATTCAAGTGCAGGAAGAAAAAAAAACTATCAATTAAGAATACTATACTATACTTCAAGAATGAAGAAGATATAAAAACTTTCCCAAAAAGAAACTCAGGTAATTCATCGCCAGTAGACTTACTTCACAAGAAATGCCAAAGGAAGTTCTTCAGGTTGCAATGTAAGGAATTGAAATGCCAACACAACTGCAGAGAAAAAGATAGAACACATTGCTGAAGATAAATATACAGAAAAATACAGAATATTGCATTTCTCTATTGGGGTTAAATCATTTTTAATTCTAACAAAAAAGTTATAAAAGTATGAAAATATAAATAGAACTATACTAAAGACACACTGTAAATGCATATAAATTATAACAGCAATAGCATAAAGTGTGTTGGAGGGAGAATTAAAAGCATAACGCTTTTGTATGTGATTAAAGTTAAATTGTTATTAGCTTAAAATAGAATGTTATAACTATAGTGAGTCCTCACTTAACATTTTAGATATGTTTCTGAAAACTGCAACTTTAAGCACATTGACATAGAGCAGGTTCTGAAACAACATTATATTGTTCACTCATTTCATTATAATGTTGACGAAGAAAAAATGATTTTATTATCTGTCATTTCACTTAAAGTTTCAATTTCCAAAGAACTATCTATGATGTTAAGTGAGTGCTTACTGTGTAAGATATGTTATATAAGCTCCTTGGTAACCACACACAGACACAAAAACTATTGAAGTTACATAAAGGAAAAAAAAGAAAAGAATTCAAACATATCAATCCAAAAATTTGACAAAACACAAAGAAAGACAGCACGAGGGGAAAGGACTGACAAAAGAATTATAAGGCTAACATAGGATGTGAAGAAATAGGAACACTTTTACACTGTTGGTGGGACTGTAAACTAGTTCAACCATTGTGGAAGTCCGTGTGGCGATTCCTCAGGGATCTAGAACTAGAAACACCGTTTGACCCAGCCATCCCATTACTGGGTATATACCCAAAGGACTATAAATCATGCTGCTATAAAGACACATGCACACATATGTTTATTGCGGCACTATTCACAGTAGCAAAGACTTGGAACCAACCCAAATGTCCAACAATGATAGACTGGATTAAGAAAATGTGGCACATATACACCTTGTAATACTATGCAGCCATAAAAAATGATGAGTTTATGTCCTTTGTAGGGACATGGATGAAGCTGGAAACCATCATTCTCAGCAAACTATCGCAAGGACAAAAACCAAACATCACATGTTCTCACTCATAGGCGGGAATTGAACAATGAGAACACATGGACACAGGAAGGGGAACATCACACACCGGGGACTGTTGTGGGGTGGGGGGAGTGGGGAGGGATAGCATTAGGAAATATACCTAATGCTAAATGACGAGTTAATGGGTGCAGCACACCAACATGGCACATGTATACATATGTAACAAACCTGCACGTTGTGCACATGTACCCTAAAACTTAAAGTATAATAATAATAATAATAGAGAATTATAAGGCTAACATAAAAAAGTCAACAGTTAATTATTCTCCGTAGATGATTACCTTAAATACAATTTGATTAAATGCCCCAATAAAAAGATATAGAATGGCTGAATGGGTTTTAAGAAACACTAGTTTACATGCAAGCCACAAGAAACTCACTTTAGCTTTAAGGGCACAAGTTGGCCTAAAGTAAAGAGAGGAGAGAAAGAGATTTTATGTAAATGGCAATCAAAAAAGAGCAGGGGTACCTGTAGTTATATCAGAGAAAATAGATTTTAAGTTAGACTTCTATGCATTTTCCTCATTGTCTTGGCTATTAACATTCAGCTCCTTTTTACTTACGCAAGTTTCTGCAGCCAGCTTGAATTTCTCCTGGGAAAATGGGTTTTTATTCTCTATGGTATGGCCAAGCTGCACATTTTCTAAACTTTTATGTTCTGCTTCCCTTTTAAATATAAGTTCCAGTTTCAAACACTCTTTGATCATGCATATGATAATAAATTGTTAGAAGCAGCCAGGTCATATCTTGAAAGCTTTGCTGCTTATAAATTTTTTTTCTGCCAGATACTCTACATCGTCTGTCTTAAGTTCAAAGTTCCACAGATTCCTAGGGCAGGGGCACAATGCTGCCAGTCAATGTGCTAAAGCATAGCAAGACTGAACTTTGCTCCAGTTCCCAATAAGTTTCTCATCTCCATCTGAGACCTCCTCAGTCTGAACTTTACTGTTCATATCACTATCAGCATTTTGGTCACAACCATTCAACAAGTCTCTAGGACATTCCACATTTTTTGTCATCTTCCTCTTGTCTTCTGAGCCATCCAAACTGTTCCAACTTCTGCCCGTTACCCAGTTCCAAAGTCACTTTCACATTTTCAGTTATCTTTTATAGCAATACCCCACTCTTGGCACCAATTTTCTGTGTTAGTTCATTCTCACATTGCTATAATAACTATTTGAGACGGGTAATTTTTAAAGTAGAGAGGTTTAATGGGCTCATGGTTCTGCAGGCTGTTCAAGTTTCTGCTTCAGGGGAGGCCTCAGGAAACTTACAATCATGGCAGAAGGTGGAGAAGCAGGCACATATTACATGGCCGGAGCAGGAGCAAGAGAGAGAGGAGGAAGGTGCTACACACTTTTAAACAACCACATCTCAGGATCACTCACCATCATGATGACAGCACCAAGGGTCATGGTGTTAAACCATGAGAAACTGCCCCCATGATCAAATCACCTTCTACAAGGCCCCTCCTCCAACACTGTGGATTACAATTTGACATGAGATTTGGGCAGGGATAAAAAGCCAAACCATATCAGTAGCCCTCCATATTTGACAAATTATTTAACAACATGCACTGTGTTAACATAGTTAAATTTTGTAGATGACATTTCTATACTTTACTATAAATAATTCATTAAAAAAACAAGAAAATGTCATAAATCCACAGTGTGCCATGACGGTGTCAGATAAGGGAAAACAGAAACAATAGAGCTAGTATCTGCCCAGTACATAGCACCAGTTCTTTGGACTGTTGGGAAGCATGAGTAAACTTATATTTCCTATACTTTGGGGCAATTTAATTGTTCTGTAATTATTGAGAGTGGTCAAATTTCACACTTCTTACTAAAGTTTTATCAACATATTAAGAAATACACTTATTTTAATATTAAAATGCGATAAACATATTAAAAAGCAATTTCACATTTAGGCAGTTTGTCAAATGCCCTTTAAGTCTAAGGTAATGCTACACTGTAGTGTAGTTGTGCTTTCAAAAACTACAAATAACACAAAATGTGACTATATTCTATGTGTGGACTAAGACCAATGTTAGAGAAAAATAAGAAATTAAGAATTTCTAAATACAAATGTAATATTTAAGCAACATTAAATTCCCAATTCTCCTAATATTTGCTTATTAAAAGAACAAAATACATGAATTATTTTAAAAATATTACTGATACAATCATACCTTCTTCATTGACTAAGATTTTGAACTTTAATAAAAGATACCAATGAATGTATTCAATTTTGGCAAATTCTATAAAATAAATGCTAAAAAATGTAAATAGGGTTTTTTGAGACAGGGTCTTGCTTGGTTACCCAGGCTTGAGTGCAGTGGTGCAGTCATAGCTCGCTGTAACCTTTTTCTCCTGGCCTCAGGGGATTCTACTAACTCATCTTCCTGAGTATCTAGGACTGACAGGCACACACCACAATATCTAACTAATTTTTTAAATTTTTTTTGTAGAGATGGGGTTTTGCCATGTTACCCAGGCTAGTCTTGAACTCTTAACCTCAATCAGTCCTCCTGCCTTGGCCTCCCAAAATGGTGGGATTACAGGCATGAGATACTGCACCTGACCCAAATAGTTTTATTTTGGGCAAGCATTTCCTTAGTCCACATTGCTTATTTGTACAAGCATTAAAATTTAAATAGAATATATTTTGTGCACTGAATAATATACCTTAATGACCCATATTTGCTATACTTTCAACACATTTTTAAAGGGGTTAGGTTTATAATATATAGTTACTCCAGAAGCATACATTAGTCTACAGTAGATGGAAATTTCTTCAAAAGGTAACATTGCCATTTTGTTCAATTTATTTTACTGATCTTCTCGAAGAAGACACAATGGCATTATAAACCTGCCTTTCAATGTCATGGCTGGTAGTATGCAAAAAATGCCTCATTATTTCAAGTGAAGAAAGAAGTAATGCTTCAACAAGCAAAGTGACATAAATATGTCTACAATTATTACTCTTGAATGGAATTGAAGAAATTGCATTTTTACATCAAAAAGTTGTTTAACCTGCAAAATAGCCTGTGCCAAAGAAATCAAGTTTCAAGCACTGAATGCAATTTTTTTCTTCATGAGAAAGAACTGAAGCTGCATATAAACAGAACACTAGTCACCAACAAAACTGAGCAAGACAAAATAAAAGCCTAGTTGAACACGTGGAAAAAATAAAGTTTTCTAGAATCTAGATGAACCTATATTAACTCTATATTCTCATTAATATGTGAAGTAGTCTTTGTGAGTATTTGGTGTAAATGAACAACTCAAACCATTTTTTTTTTGGTAAATTTAAAGTGATACCTACATAGAAATTTTCATTTGGTATGTATTATGTGAACAATTTCTCAATTCACCATGGCCATTAACAAAGTGATCCAGAAAGTTTGGTGTAACTTATTAAAACAATTTATTTGTATAATACAATGACTGGTTTCTATTAAATCGTTGCTCTAAAATATTTAAATGCAAAAATTAAAACAAGCAATTGCAAGTGAAAGTATTTGAATGAAAATACACCATAGTTTTTTAAAGAGAAGAACAGGACTTTACAAAAACACCTTTTGAAGTTCACGTTGTGCACAGTAATTATGCTCTGTAAAGAAAAACTAACAAAGACTATAAGTCCCTCTTGGAGAACACTAAACTGGGAAGATCATTGTCCAAGATGCCACATTCTTTAAAAATGTAAACTTATTTAATAAGAACTTAAAAATAGAATGGCCTTCTTTGATCATACAAACATTTGAGTATATATCCTAACCCTCTAACATATGAAAGGTGAATAATAAAATTTTGTACATATTACTTAATCATCCAATGGAGGAAAAGTCTCAGACATTTAGCAAGGGTTTTACTTGCTAAAATCTCTAATGATTAAGCAATTCGTTAGGTCAAAACATTGTTTAAAATGCCTTCACAAAGCACTTCAAGAGTAGTTACTTCTCTTCCACCTCCCACTGTCCCCAACAGTGGCTGATTTACTGCAGCAGGTATTCAGAATTTATGTTTTTAACAGAAATATAAAGACATATGCTGAAGATTTATAAAAATCAATCATACTCATCGTAACGTTTCTGCTCAAAACATGTATCTACCTTAGGCACTAATTTTCACTTAACCTGTACTTGAGTTAAACATTTGACCACTGAAACCTGGTTTCTCTTTTCATTAACCTACCTGTCTTCAGGGTGATATAATTTAAAATTCTCTGTTACTAGTCTTCATACTTCTCAAGTAATTAGAGAGGACCAGGTTTTGAAATCCTTTATATGCAAAGTTCTTCAATAAGGGAATATTTGACTAATGTGGTACCTGAAAAAATTCAGCAAAGGTGTTCCCAGCACTAGTGAAATTATTCTGAGTGTCATGATTGTTCCTTGCCATTGCTGAAAGGGTTGTCATACTATCAGTACCTCACCCTGACTGTATAAGTGGGAAAGTAAATTAGATAGGCTTTCACATAGAAGGATTGCAAAAAGAAGGAAATAATACAGCTTTGGGAAATTAAAGACACTTTCTTCTTTCTCATCTACTTTTTGTAGTCCCCACAATAAAAAAGAATGATGCATTTACAATTATGACATAGTATAGAAAGGTGTCTGTTCTTAAATTTTACATAAACAACCAATGAAATAGATACCTACTTGTGGAAACTTGGTAAAAAAAATGCATGGAGAATGTAAATGTTCCCTGACAATTGGAGCTAATTACTGTAAATAAATATTACTCGATACTTTTTTGTTGGTAGGTTTTGTTCCTGGGGAAAAGTTATGCCAGTGAATAAACATAGATCTTATAATATTTTCTATATTAAAAATTCCTTATAAGAGGTACTCAATAATCATTCAGGACTTTTGAGAAATAAACCAGCATCTTTGACCCTGTTCATTTGTCTTCCATACTATTCACTGACCTGCTTCACTCTGCTATTCTTTACTGCTCAGACCTATCCCTTCTTTTATGTGCATTTACCCTTTATTCCTACTTCTATTTAATATTTTTTCATGTGTTAATAGTCTAACAGTGATTAATTGATCTTATGTGTGATCGTATTAATCCATAGTGCATTTTTCCTATTCCTAAACAATTATGTTTATCTCAGTATTCAAGATAAATTCACTTTGTAGGGTTTAACTAATTTGCTCCTCTGCTTCCTTCTATATTAGTTTAATTTCTTTTCATTATTGCAATATATGAGGAATTAGAATGTTTACTTTTTTTTACCACTATTTTTAGATTTGGTTTCAGAGAATTTTCTTGAAATTAATTAGCTTAGATCAAATTGTAGAAAATATGTGTGTTAAAATGACAACTTCACATTTTCACCATGGAGACACATTATTTATATTGAAAATTCATAATTACACTAATTTATGAGGTACAAAGTGTTGTTATAGTTTATGAATACAGTGTGGAATAATTAAATCAAGATAGATATCATACCCATCCCCTCAAATACTTAACATTTTTATGCTGGAAACATATGAAATTTAATCTCTTAGCAATTTTGAAATGCATAATACTCTCTTTTTCCCTATATGCAAATATCTGCAAACTATACATCTGACAAAGTGCTAGTATCAAGAGTCTACAAGAAATTCAAACATCTCAACAAGAATAAAACAAATAATCCCATTAAAAATGAGCAAAGGACATGAACAGACTTTAATCAAAGGAAGACATGCAAGTAGCCAACAAACATGCAAAAATATTCACCATCATAATTATCAGATAAATGCAAATTAAAACCACAACGAGATGCCATCTTACACCATTAAAAATGGCAACTATTAAAAAGAAAAAGTGACAGATGTTGGCAAGGATGCAGAGAAAATGGTAGGCTTATACACTGTTGATGGGAATTAAAATTGGTGCAACCTCTATAGAAAACAGTATGGAAATTTCTCAAATATCTAAAAATAGAATTACCATTCAATCCAGCAATCCCACTACTGGGTATCTACCAAAAGGAAAATAAATTATTATATCAAAAAGACTTGCAGATGCATGTTTATTGCAGCACTATTCACAATAGCAAAGTCATGGAATCAATCTAAGTGTCCGTCAATGTTGGATTGGTTAAAGAAAATGCAGTATCTATCTATCTATCTATCTATCTATCTATCTATCTATCTGTCTATCTACACACACACATACATGAACAACCACCATGTAATCTATGCAGCCATAAAAATGAATGAAATCATATCTTTTGCAGCAACATGGTTTGATTGGGAGGCCATTTTCCTAAATGAAATGAATCAGAAAAAGAAAGTGAAGAACTACATGTTCTCACTAATAAATGAGAGCTAAAAAATGCGTACACATGAACATATAGGGTAGAATAATAGACATTGGAGACTCCAATGGGAGAGAGGAGAGGAGGGAGGTGAGGAACGAGAAATTACGTGTTGGGTAGAATGTATACTATTTGCATGACGATTACACTTAAAGCCCAGACTTCACCACTACACAATATATCCATGTAACAAAAATGCACCTGTACCCTCTAAATAAAAAAAAATAAAAAACTGTGTTCACCACACTGAGAAACAGAACTCAACACAGCAAAAAAGCATATTCCTCCTGTCTGTTAATTTGTGCCCTTTGACTATTATCTTCCCATATCCCCAACCCCCAACCTCTGTAACCATCATTCTACTCTCTGCTTCTATGAGTTCATTTTATACCTCTCACTTTCAACCTTTGCCACAAGTCTTTAAAAAAAAACTGAACTTGAGCATTTTTCCCTATATATTTCTCCCCATAAACATTGCAAAGGCATTATGTAGTAAGTGCCTTGATATATGTTTGCTGGATTTCATGGAGATCAGGGTGCCTGATTACTGGAGAATATGTTTGTGGGATCTGAAGGTGAGCAAGCAGGAAAATTATTCTGGTTTCTATCCAATTTCCCAGTCTATATTTTCCTTACATATAAGTTCCATCCAGTTTTCTTCAAAGTATAAACACAGGTAGCACAAGTGACAAAGGGTATGAGTCGGGTTGCATTAAACAAGCACAATGCCTAGAAATCTGTGATAGACTGAAAGAAGAAATCACAAATTATCAGCAAGAAACAGTTGGAACTAGGCTTGAGGTAAACAGAAACACAAACAACACGTCAGCCATGATAAAGAGTGTAAATTTGAACAGATGTCACTTCTAGAGCAGCAGCAGCCAGATTATACAAAATTGGCTTTGGATGAAATACAAAGGAGGGGAAGAAAATATGAAGCCTGTAGGAGCACTGTGTCCAGCAGCTCTTCCATTGTAATCATACCTCAGCTGAGTAAAAACAAATAAACACCTATTGGGTAGAAAAAAAAAAAAAACAGCAACAAAAGCCATACTGATTAAATGAACTACCAGTATGAGGATTTATTTTTGAAAGAAGAAGATCAGCTAAAATATGAAACAAATAGTGTAAATAACTAGGAAGATGTAAGTGAGATGCCCATTTGTCAACCTGCATCATATATCATAACATTTATTCCATTAATAGATATGCTACTATTGTGTCAATAGACAAAAAAACTTAGAGAAAAGTCCCCATAAACACATATACATTTCAAAATAAAACTTAGGGATTTAGATAAGTTTGATAACAATTTTATGTAATTTTGTCTAGTCTGGTTATGACTCTGGAGTTAACTCAAACAAAATGACTACACACATAAACATCAGCACTAACCAGGGTTGTAAACTGAAATATGATTTCAAATTACAAGTAGATTATTTTTCAAACCTCTTTTTCACTTTTCAACTCCACTTTATCAGAGTGCCCTGAACATTCTCTAATTTTATTTTTTTCTTTTGAGACAGAGTCTTGCTCAGTCGCCCAGGCTGGAGTGCAGTGGCACGATCTCGGCTCACTGCAACCTCCGCCTCCCGAGTTCATGCCATTCTCCTGCCTCAGCCTCCCTAGTAGCTAGGACTACAGACGCCCGCCACGATGCCTGGCTAATTTTTTTTTTTTTTTTGCATTTTTAGTAGAGACGGGGTTTCACCATGTTAGCCAGGATGGTCTCGATCTCCTGACCTCGTGATCCACCCACCTCGGCCTCCCAAAGTGCTGGGATTACAGGAGTGAGCCACTGCGCCCAGTTCTAATTTAATTTTTAATTAAATGTTTAAAATCTTGACATACAAAATTGTATGTATTTATCAAGTACAACATGAGGTTTTGCAGTATGTATACTTGTGAAATCACTAAATCTAGCTAATTAACATATGCATTACTTCACATAGTCATCATTTTTGAAACTCAAACAACTCAATAGCAAGAAAACAAAAACCTGATTAAAAAACAGGCAAAAGACATGAATAGATATTTCTCAAAAGACATACATATGGCCAACAGGTACATAAAAAAACTGTTCAACATCACTGATCATCAGGAAAATTCATATAAAAGCTACATTATCATAACTTCAGGTTTCCTATGTGAGCTGCATTGTCCATTTGTGGCTATGCCCAACTCATGAAATTTTTGTAAAAGTGATTCTAATAACATAAGTTTAAAAATTAGTAAACTGTGACGTGCTAAATAAATGGTAATAATTATTTTTCCAAATACAAACATGAGGAACACGAGGACTTTTCAAGGGTCTAGTATGTGTAGTATGATCAAGAGAATAGGTAGTTAATTTTTTTGAGCAATTATAATGGGATAAGGACAGCTAAATTCTTTATACACATTGTTTCATTTAATCTTTACAACATCTCAATGGGTTAGATATTACTACTTTCACATTTCAAACATGAAAAAAAAAAACAGAGACTCAGGATGGCTGAGTAATGTTTTCAGTGGCAAATAGCTAGAGTAGGATGTGTTCGCAAGTCTGTCTGAATCTGAAACCCACAGCACCCTCTCTCGCTTTCAAGTGAATGAGTGATAACAACATATAAGGTTGAGGAAACTACAGGTGACCATGAAATTCTTTACCACTTCCCTCTGGTGATCTCTCAATTCAAAATATAATTTAAAATAAATATATAATTGAATCTTTTCTTATGAAACAGTTAGGTAACTTTTAAAGCTTTCGACCCTTTTTTTTTTTAAAACCAGAGATGCATATCAGTATTTCCTGGGTACATTTTAAGTACACACATATTCAGGAATCACCACTAGAAATTCTGATTTCATATTCTTGGTTGAGAACCACTGTCCTATAAGAAAGCAGTACCATACTAATCTAAATAAAGCAAAAAACCTGGAATGATGAAATAGTTTTAACTGGTTTCTGAGAGGAAAACAGCAAGCAAATAAACTAAAGTATGATCTCCAGAGACTAATGAAAGTTGGATACATTTTTTTTGGCTTATTGAGCAAGAGTATGTGATTGCCTTTTCATTTTCAAGAAAGATAAGCGTAAGATGAGTGTGTGAAACAGAGGAGGAGAGATGTGTTTTTAGCTAGAAGTGGATGAAAACTAGGCACAGAGAGAGTCTCCTTATAATGGAAGAGACAACCATGTCTATAGGCTAAACATGAGGTAAAGTAAGAGGCTTAAAAGATGGGAATACTTTTGTTATCAGAGTAAGGTTTTGGAGAAGGCTAGGGTTGTAGAGAAAAGGGAAATACAATTGAAAACAGTTCAGAGACAAATATAATGATTAAAAATAATGATAAAGGTGAGATTAAATGCCATCAACTCATTATGGTACTAATCCACAGTGACTGATTGCAGTTTTCATTTACGCTGTTGTAGCAGCTATTCAAGTACAGTAGCCATAGAAGAAGGTTGAGTTGATTCAAGGCTGGTGATATAAAGAAGAGATGAAAAAGCAAGAAAAGTGATCAAGAGAATTAAGGGTGATGGTAAGAAAAGGAAATGATGGGTAATGGAGAATCATATTAGATAGTAAGGAAATACATCCATGACGTCTAATAAAGTTGGAGAAAATGATGTCAAAGGGACTGACATATTCAATGAGGTTATAAAGCATATGTAGTGGGAGAGAGAAGAAAGGAATAAAATAATTTGTTAGAAAGTACACTATTCAAAGTCAGTATTTCAGAAAAAGCACAATTATGTGTGAAGGCAAGATTCAAGATGTGAAAGGGACTGGCTGAAGTGGCGTGAAAAAGAAAACTGAAAACTACTTATTGTACACCTGAACATAGAAGTCACCAGGTATGGTAGCAGGGAGTAGGGTGGAGAGGCAAAATTGTGAGGACTTGCCAATAACATTGACGATTATTAAGGAGTGACTTCGAGATTTTCATGTCACTGATAAGGAGGAATAAAAGAGGTATATAACTGGATGCCCCAGACATCATGATAGTACTTTAACATGAGCATAAAGAAGCTACAGGTTGAATGGAATATTGGTAATAAAAAAATATGTGATTCCTAACTTACAATCTTGTGGTATAAGGACCAAGCAGTTTCAAAGTGTATATTAATTAAAACTCTTGACAGCGATATAAACTTGGAAAGCCCAGAACTGAGGCAAGACTGGAGATTTAGGGAAAAAGATGTAATGGGAAGTCTCGTTGAGAAATCATTGTTGAGATAAATAAGCAGTGAACATTTTTCACCTCTATGTTACTGCACTCTCAAGATTCAAAACCCAGGGGGAAAGAATCTGATTGGCCTTATTTGTGTTACATTTATGAGTTTGTCAGATGGAAGTGGTGCTGTATATTTAACATTTACTTATATAAGCTTGAAATTGTATCCCACATATAGTGAAGAACGCTGCATCCTTTCAAATAACCTGGTTGTGGTGCACTTAGAATACTCCTGGCCATTCTTGTCGCATATTCACACATAATCATTGTATATCGTGGTATTGTTATAGAATAGAAGATTGAAAGGGAACAGGGGAGGGGAGTGAAGGAGTCTGTGCATATCAGCAATCAGCAGAAGAAAATCTGAAACTGAATACTTTATATCACCGTTTGTAAAATTTTCTCTCTCTCTCCCTCCCCCACCCCGTCTCTTCATACACCCATTTTCTCCTTCCATCTAATCGTTAGCTCATTCGCCTCCGATTCCAAAACTCAATTTCAGTTTTCATGCAAACCAGTTGAGCTATCTTCAAATCTAATTAAGGGTACGCCTGAGAGCAACTTCACTAAAACTAAAATGAAGTTGAAATCTATATATAACTTCTAATAATAATTTTTGTACCATCATATCTATGTATTTTGTTTTGTTTTGTTTTGCCTAATGATGTTTTCTTTTTCCCGTTGTTGGAGAAGTATTTTCCCACTCCAAAAACACAGATTTTTTTCTTTTTTATCTTTTCTTTTATACTTGTACCTTTTACATTTAGGTCTTCAATCTACTTGGGTTCATATTTGAGAATATATAAATAGCTTTCTTTCTCTCCATATAGAAATCCTGTTTTTCTAAAACTATTTATAAAACAATGTGTATTTATTACAGATTTTTAGTACCCCATCAAATGCCTTTTTTGAACTTTTGTTTGTGCATAATGTTTAAAATACAATAGTTTTTTCCTGTGTACTTGTAATTAACTTCTAATCTTCAGAGGCCAGAACTCACAAGAGACTACTTTGCCTCCTAGTTTTTTTATCTGAATTTTAAGCTAGTTTCAAAAATTTTATGGTGACTTGCTTTCATTTTGGGAGGAGCCCTAGAGCTAAACTAGGTACATTTGTTGTCAATGAAATATTGTTCCAGAATGAGAGCTACTTGAAGATGTACCCTTACTTTCATTCAGTGTTTAGATTACATGTAGTGCTTTTTATTAAAGCATGGCTTGGTCCAAAGTTGGAGAGGCTAAGAGTTATTTCTATTTTTAATTCCAGGAACTTGGCTCCTAAGTAAGAGTTCTTTTGCAATCAGGTTTTGATGGCACCTCAGCTAGTGGTGAAGTATGTAAGACAGTTCTATAAGAATGTATAGTATATTTTATTTTAGTTTGGTCATTTATTTTGGCTACAATTTCTGATTTTTTTAACAGATAATTTCTGAGATGCAAGATTGTGGCAGGCCAGGTCTCACCAACACAGGCCTCCATAACAAATGTTTCAGTACTGACTGAGTGGTTAAGTTAAATATTAAAAGCTGTAAGAGCCAGTGCCCTTATGCAGGGGCTGGAACGTTTAAAAAAAAAAAAAAAAAAAGCCCACCAACAGTTTTGCCTAGGCCTTTCCTGAACCTTAAAGCATGATTAAACAAGTTTTACTGGGGTTCAGAAGAAACTCCCCAGCCCTCCACAAACAAGTTTATTGTGGGTCTGAAGTAACTCCCCAAACCTCCATGGTTTAGCAGGAGACAAGATAAGGGTAATCACCCCAGCACCTGGACACATTTAGATTAAGTAAATGAACTGAGGCTCCAGAGGAAGGTCTTCAAAACTCAGACCTTAGCTATAGTTTAAAAGAAGTTAATCACTTATGTCTTTAGATGAATGCCCACTTACACACAGACATATAGCTTACAAGCTCTGGAAAACTTCCTAATTTTAGAGTTGGTCTGGTGTTAATTTCCAGGCCTTCTCCCTCTAACCGGTTTCAGAAATAAAAACTCTCTTTCTCCCCAGTTCATCTGGATCTGGTTATTGGGCCATGTGAAATAGCCCAACCCTTAGTTTGGTCTGAGAACAAAATTTGACAAGACAGCCAGGAGAGACCGGGACGGTGTGTGTTCAATGGCCAGTGGCTTCCGATGAGACAGTCTTCGGGAGGATCCCGGCAGCTGCTGGGTGGGATTTTCCCGGAACCCTCCCGAGGGCTGTCTCTTGTTCAAAATTGCACATCCTTTTCACTACTGAGGAAGAACGGAGATCAGGAGCAGATGCTCTCAAAGGGTGAGTTAATTGTACGGTATGCCAGGAGCCTATTGTTTTCCTATCTGAGCTTATTAAGCTATTTGTCCCATACTGCCAAGAGAAGCAATAGGGCTTGCTCATACACCCGCTTTGTATTTTGGTTGAGATCAGGTTTTGAGTTGGTTTTGAGTCTGTTTTGCCTGAGTGCACTTCCCCTCGTGTCATTCAAAATTTGTCTCCACTTGTCTGTGTATCTACCTGTCTCGTTCTTTTGATGCCATGTAAACTTGAAAATGAAAGGTACTGAGTCCATTCCTGCTGAGAGGCCACTGGGAAGGGAAAACATTTTTTTTAGGAGCTCAATGGTTAAAAGTGAATTTAATTAAAAGCTAACATCCAAGATGTGTGTATGTATGTGTGCATGTTTGTATCTAAAAGGCCTTCATTTTTATTTATTTCTCTACTAAGACCTTGTCTTTTTGAGCAAGTTTTTTTTTCTTCTCAGTTGACTGAATTCTGTTCTCTTCATTAATAGCTATTGCAACAGAAGCTACTCTAGGGTTTTTATGAAAAAGTATAATTTAGACACTTAGAAATGTCTTTCTTTTTGGAAAAAAAGTTTAAGTGCACTGTAAAAGCATCACATGGTCTAGTCTCATAATAATTCTTCGTTTTTGAAAACCCAGAATTCAGCATGGGCTGTGTCCAGAGCTCAAAGATCAAATTAAAAAATAGGTAGTCAACATCTAAATAAAGTTAGTCTCTTTATAGTCTTGTGATAAATTTCTATAATTTTATGTGTGACCTGGCATCCAACTTTAATCTCCCTTTAGCACCACCAGACTTTTTCTCTGTGTACATTGAGATGTAAATCTTGCCATCTGATTTTTCACCTAAGAGTTGTTTCCTTCAATATACAAATTTAGGGCTATTTAGTTGACAACTGCCAGAGTCTTAAACCAGGTTATTAAGAGTTTGCAAGTCTAAGATAGGAAAAAGAAGGACTTATGAATCTATAAAATGTACTTCTATTGGCATGCCTAATAAATCTATGCATTTATGTCTTGTGTAGACCATGTTTCACCACTGGAAATATATAAAGCAGTTCTAATTAATTGGCTCAAAGAAAAATAAAAGCATTTAAATACTTTAACAGAAAAAGGAAAGACTAGTCAAATGCTTTTTCAAGTTTATGTGACTTAAGTAAAATCTTTAATAAATAAGCTAACTTTAAAATTATTGGTTAAGTAATATTAGAAGTGTTTTAAGAGTTTCCAGCATACATTTTTGTTTGCATTTAT
This sequence comes from Homo sapiens, assembly GCF_000001405.40. NCBI lineage: Eukaryota > Metazoa > Chordata > Mammalia > Primates > Hominidae > Homo > Homo sapiens. The sequence goes on from NC_000023.11 coordinate 126,987,544, forward strand.
TGATCAAGCAATTTCATACTTACCTATGCCAAATAAGGTGTAAAATTTTGGCATAGAGGTTACACAACTATGACTCAGCCCAAAACAGAATGATCTTTGCTTGTGTAATATTTATTGAATAAAACATTAATATTGGCTTAATGAAGATAGCTACATCTTGAATTATTTAGTAAAATACTCTAATTTCTAATGTTGTGGCCTTAGGCAGTCTAGTCCACAGACATGAAGGAAGTTTGTTCTGGGAAAGGACTGTTATTATCTTTGTTTCAAAGATAAACTATAAACTAAGTTAATGACCAGGAATAGCTTGGAGGTTAGAAGCAAGATGGAGTCAGTTAAGTCAGATCATTTTCACTCTCTCAGTTATAATTTTGCAATGGTGGTTTCATAAGTTTAAATGATGACTATTGAAGTTTTTATAAATAATCTAGGTAAATGATAAAAAATAATTAGATAAATGTAATAGGATAAATACTCATAAACTTGTCATAATTTAGAACTTAGTTATATTATTAAATTAAACAACAGATATTTCATTATTTGGGTGTTTTCCAATAAAAACATATTGTAGGAAAACATTCTTTCTAAATATTGATTCCTTTTTAAAGGGCAACAGATTTTTGTCTAATTCAAAGCTTATTTAAAGGTTATATATAAGACAAGGTAAAAGAAACCAGGAAATAAGAGACATACAAAGAAAGTTATAAAAAGATTATTGGTGAAGTAAAAATATCTTCAAAAGTGTAAACATTTCGTCTAAATTATGCGGGTCAAATATTAGGTTTGCTAAATGCCTTAGGTCATACACTGCTTTTTTGACTTAAAAATTGTTCAATTTATTTTGGAGTGTTAAATTCGAAATAAGGCCCCTAGCTATGCAAATAGGTATTTAAGAAAACAGATTTTATATAAGAAAGAATCTTGTATGGTAAATTCTTGTCCTAAAGTAAAATAATGGGTTGCTTAAAAAGAGGGATGTTTAGGACAAGTCAGAAAGTTAAGGGATGTCATAGCCTGTCTTTGTAAGTTGTAAAAGAATGTATGAAGGGAAATTTATCCAAGAAATGTTGTATAATTTAAAGGCGATTAGGCCTCTTAAATGCTTTATAAAGTGTCACCATAACTCCCGGCTGTACAACTTGCCTGCTTTACAACTAGGTAAAGCCTGGGACACATGCAGTTAGACGCTGGAATAAGTCAGACCTTATCTGCACTTCTGTCTGGGTCCTAGACACCGCACCTAGTACATAATTAAAATCCCAAACTTATCAAGGTTTTCACCAAAAGTAAAGGTTGCTAAGAGTTAAAAATGTAGCATGTATTTAAGACTATTGAAGAAACAGTTTTACATGCAAGGTGTATAAAGAAAGTAAAATATACTTTTGGTAAAAAGATTATAAGGAGGCACAGGAATGTGGATTTTTGCATAGATTGAAAGGTTGAAGGATTGTTTTAAGTTGGATAAAATAAAGCTGAAGGTTTAAGCAAGTTGTGGAAGGTTGATTGTGAAGGAAGTTCTGTGTGTAAACCTATTGGCTAAAGTTAAAATGGTAACATTCAGTTTTTATGGAAATTGATCATTAAAATAAAAGCAAAATGTGTTTCTCTTAGAGCACTAACCTGCTCTTTAATAAAAATTGTAAAGGGTTGTAAAAGGTCTATAAAAATCTTACCTTATAGTTAAATATTAAAATTGGGTAAATATGTCTATAAGGTTTTATTAAGAATTGGGCTTAACATTGATTGTACACTAATGTACAGGTGAAATTTGACTTATTTGGTATCAAAAACCATACAGGAAGCATTGCCAAATATAAAATGGTGTTAGGCTTTCTTTGGGCTATATTTGTGTAAATATGTTATTGGTATGTGTCCCAAAATCATGGGAAACTCCTATAATTCTGATATATCTTAGCATATATTATCAGTAATAATTATAATTGTTCTGTTAAATTATTGTGTGCCACAGAGGTAACATATTTCCTTGTCAATTGTGTCTTCAGCTATGGCTTCCCTAAAACTTTTTGTCATCCATAAACAATTGTTGTCTTGTTTTGATCCTCTTTAGAAGATGGTTTTATAATCAGCTATAAAACTGTAACATGGCCAGGTGCGGTGGCTTACACCTGTAATCCCAGCGCTCTGGGAGGCTGAGGCGGGTGGATCACGAGGTCAGGAGATCGAGATCATCCTGGCTAACACGGTGAAACACCGTCTCTATTAAAAATACAAAAAATTAGCCGGGCGTGGTGGCAGGCGCCTGTAGTCCCAGCTTCTCGGGAGGCTGAGGCAGGAGAATGGCGTGAACCCGGGAGGCGGAGCTTGCAGTGAGCCAAGATTGCACCACTGCACTCCAGCCTGGGTGGCAGAGTGAGACTCCATCTCAAAAACAAACAAACAAACAAACAAAAAACTCTAACAGGTGCTTTTGAAGGCAGGTTTCTGATAACTTTAGAGATTTGTGACATCAGAATAGAGGAAAAAAAGTTCAGGGCTCTTGAGGAGCTGAAATGTTCATTAATATCAAACAGTATGGGAAATAACTGCATGAACTGAACTAATAGGAGATCGAAGTGATCTTTTTGACTTTTTGCTTACAATATTGCTAATCCTTTGTCTGCTGTTCACAGACAAGGAAACTTTTCTTTTGAGCTATTAACAGCTTTTAATAATTAACTAAAATATACTCCTATGAACAAAATTTGGAGCATATTTTTCTCTCTTCCTGATTTTTCTGAAATTTGGAAACTAATTGTGAGTATTCTTAATTTATGGCAATATATTTATTTGCATAAGTGTAATAAGAATCTGTTTCCTTTTGAAACAGAACACAATTGGAAAAACTGTTTTTTTTTTCTTTTACCAAGGGTTTGCCTGTAATGATGTGCTTTCCTTTAAGGAATTAAACTTGACTTATGAAGCCAATAAAGCTCTTGGAAAACTGGCCTCATATTTTGTGTACACAGTTGCTGTACAGGGTTTCTGATTTATGGTAAGTAAAGAATGTCACTTTCTGAAAGGCCCAGAATCCCAAGTTATCTTGGAGTCTCAAGAGGACAAGAATTCACCCAACTCACAGGTATTTGGTGTTACAAATCCATCGCTGGGCTTGGCTTTAAAAAGGTCTTATCTCAGAATCCTTCTATGAAACAGAGTTCCATCAAAACCAATTTGAAAGGACTATGTGAAAAATAATTATTCTTGCTGCACTGTATACAAATAAGTAGGCCAACCAATCTTACCATCATTTGTCTTTTAATAAAAATGGGAAACTGGAGAGAGAGAAAATATGTTTTGAAAACTATAGTACACCTGTTGTTAAATTCTAGTCTTACCTGATATTTTCCAGCCTTTATTATTTTCTACAGTTTGGATTAATTTCTAATTTTTCTGACTACAATTCTCCAAAATAATGTTTTCAATTTTTTCCTTTTTCTTTTCCTTTTCTCCCATTTTTCCTAATTGATAATCATTGAAACCTAAGCTATGCTTTCTTAGAGCCCTGCAAACTAAAGACTAGACAACTTCAACTTCAGAAGAAAACAGCAGCAACCTATGTATATGTGTTGCTGTTGCATACTTTTATGTTTCAGCAGGAGCTGCCTCTAAGCCCATAAAACAGAAAGTGCTACCAGAAAGAAATCGACCTCTTGTACTCCAGCGTTGTGTTTGGGTGCCCCAAAATGATGACCCTTTCTCAGCAGGAAGTAGCCACAAAGATTATGATGCCCCATCTCCCTACAATCTTGTGATAAATACATATACAAATATTATAGAAATCATGCACAGATTTACAGTGGGGATTGTGGCAGGCCAGGTCTCACTAATGCAGGCCTCCATAACAAATGTTTCAAGTTAACCATTCAGTACTGACTTAGTGGTTAAGTTAAATATTAAAAGCCATAAGCATCAGTGCCCTTATGCAGGGGCTGGAATGTAAAAAAAAAAAAAAAAAAAAGGCCCACCAAGTTTTGCCTAGGCCTTTCCTGAACCTTAAAGCATGATTAAACAAGTTTTATTGGGGGTCAGAAGAAACTCCCCAGGCCTCCACAAACAAGTTTATTTTGGGTCTGAAGTAACTCCCCAAACTTCCATGATTTAGCAGGAGGCAAGATAAGGGTAATCAGCCCTGTACCTGGACCCATTTAGATTAAGTAAATATACTGAGACTCCACAGGAAGGTCTTCAAAACTCAAACCTTAGCCATAGATTAAAAGAAGTTAATCACTTATGTCTTTAGATGAATGCCCACTTACATGTAGCCATATAGCTAAGAAGGTATATAAGCTCTGGAAACTGTAATTTTGGAGTTGGTCTGGTGATAATTTCCAGGCCTTCTCCCTGTAACTGGTTGCAGAAATAGAAACTCTCTTTCTCCCCAGTTCATCTGCATCTTGTTATTGGGCCATGTGAAATAGCAGCCCGACCCTCACTTTGATCCGGGATCAAGAGGGCTTCTTTGGCATTTCCGTTCTATTTTTTCAGAGGCTGAAATTCACATCTAAGACAACGTATAAAGGCTTTAGAATAAACAGACTTTAAAAATATACATTATAAAAAGTTGAGTTTCTTTATAATTGCAATAGATCTACCAGTGGAGAAAGAAATTATATACAGATTTTTGGGCTTTAGCTCTGAAGATTAAGATGTATTGAGTTTAGAATGTGGCCTCAAAATTCACTCATTAAAAAAAAGCTCTAAGAAGATTCCTATATGTGCAAAGATTTAGGAAGCCCTGCATCACGGTAAGTAAATAAATATGCAACTTTGAAATCCATAAGATGAAAGATATGAGTATGTTGAATAAAAGCAAATATTACCATGCAACTAATGTTAGTTTCTGCTATATTTATTTTTTTCTTTTTGGTTGTAATTAATGAATGTGGTGCTCCTGAATGTAAATATTAAGAAAATTTAGGCTTAAAAACTGGCAAATATATTGTGTGCTTTTATCAGATAACTTTGATTTTTACTTACCATTTTGAAATGTATTATTAAAATGATCCATATGCATTCTTTTTGTGTAGTCTTCATCAAATTATTCTGAGGACATTTCATGGAGTGTTGACTCAATTTCATGAACAGTACAAAACTGAATGACAAGTTCTACTTTTTCAGAAGTAATTAATATCAACTTCCCTAGTTAATCCAAAGCTCCATGTGGAAGACACAAAAATAGCTTCTTCATTTAATATGCATAACAGATGCCATTATATTTCTAAACATCTGAATAGTGTTTTCATATTGTAAGAATTGAGTGCAATATTTCAATCTGAATTGTTGCAGATTTTTTTCAGAGCAATAATACAAGCCTACAAAATTAAAATGCACTACTTGTGTCAAACATAACAGAATCGTTGTTTGTTTATTTTTTAAGGTGCTAATAAAAAAGACTAATGATACTGCTGGATAATGAAACAATCTGCCAGGAGGCAAGTCCCAGAATATAGAGTGGCACAATAGCAAGGAGAGGTCAGGAAAAACACACACACACACACACACACACACGCACACACACACAAAATTTTCCTCCCTGAATACATTCAACAGAATTCTTTTTACCACTTGGCTGACATTTAGGGTTTAAGATTTTACTTTCTTTTTGTGTGTTGCTCAAATGCCTTGAAAATTATTTACCACCAGACAGGGAGCATTTGCATTTGAAAAGGTTTGTGTCAAAAAATCAATAAAGTTATTTAACCCCTATAAAAAGTCTATTTCCTAAATGAAGATACCTACTCTTAAACATATTACATGCAGTAACACATCATTAATGCAGACCCCAATAACTCAAATTGATGACAGTCCAAACCAGTTACTTTCTGACGATAAAGAACAGTTCTACTTAACAAATCAAAAGTTTATTAAACTAAATGGAGAAAAGTAGAGTAGCCAAACTTTTTACTTTACCTAAAAAACAGCTCCAATTGCTTTCAGTATCACTAAAATATAAGTTTTTCAATGCAAAAATGTCATTCTTTCCATTTATTGAATAAAGTCCCAAAGGGGCCCTAGCAGACTATACATACATTTGGCCCTCTGCATCCGTCGGTTTTGCATCTGTGGATTAAATCAACTGCAAATTGAAAATATTTGAGAAACATTACATCTTTATTGAACATGTACTGACATTTTTCTTGTCATTATTCCCTAAACAATACTCTATAACAACTATTTACATACAATTTATGTTGTATTAACTATTATAGGTAATCTAGATATTATTTAAAGTACACAGAATAATGTGTGTAGGTTATATGTAAATACTATACTATTTTATACCAGGGAATTGAGCATTCTTGGATTTTGGTAACCTCAGAAGGTCTTAAAACCAATTTTTCATGGATCCTGAGAGACCATTGTACTTGATTAACAGTTATCTTGGCCTAGTAAGTCTGAACACTTAGAAAATTAAACTAAGGAGGGAGCAGAGCAAGAAGGCTGAATAGAACCCTCCAGCGATTTTCCCCGCTGAAGGAACACCAAATTGAACAACTCTCCACACAAGAAAGCATCTTCATAAGAACAAAAAGTTAAGCGAGTGATCATAGTACCTGGTTTTTATATCATATCAGAAAAAGAGGCAGTGAAGAGAGAAAGGCTGTCTTGAATTGCTGACACCACTCCTCCCCCATTCTCTGGCAGGGCCCCAGCGGCACAGAGAGAGAATCTGTGTGCTTTGGGGAGGGAGAGCAAAGTGATTGTAAGACTTTGTGTTGAAACTCAGTGCTGCTCTGTGACAGGAAAATGCAAAACAGGGTAGAATTTACCCAGTGCCCACAGAGGAAGCACGTAAATCAGCCCTAGCAAGAGGGGAATCATCCCACCCAGAAGTCAAAACCTGAGCTCTGCTTAGCCTTACCATGGCAGGATATAGTGCTCTGGGGTGCTAAATCAACTGGAAAAGCAGAGCTACTAGGACTATAATTCATGGGCAAGTCCTGTTGCTGTACTGGGCTCACAGCCAGTGGATGTGGCATGCACATTGTGATGGTTAATATTGAGTGTCAACTTGATTCGATTGAAGGATGCAAAGTATTGTTCCTGGGTGTGTCTGTGAGGGTGTTGCCAAAGGAGAGTAACATTTGAGTCAGTAGACTGGGAGAGGCAGATCCACACTCAGTCTGGGTGGGCACCATTTAATCAGCTGCCAGCGCAGCTACAATAAAGCCGGCAGAAGAAAGTGGAAAGAGCAGACTTGCTGAGTCCTCCGACCTTCATCTGTATTTCTGTATCCCATGCTAGATGTTTCATGCCCTCAAACATCAGACTCCAAGTTCTTCAGTTTTTGGACTCTTGGACTTAAACCAGTGGTTTGCCAGGGGCTTTCAGGCCTTCAGCCACAGACTAAAGGCTGCATTGTCAGCTTCCCTACTTTTGAGGTTTTGAGACTTGGACTGGCTTCCTTACTTCTCACCTTGCAAACAGCCTATTGTGAAACTTCACCTTGTGATCATGTGAGTCAATACTCCTTAATAAACTCCTCTTCATATATACATCTATCCTATTAGTTCTGTCTCTCTCTCTAGAGAACCCTGACTAATACACTCGTGAACTAGCGAGACACCAGCTGGGACAGTCAAGGGAGTTTTCACATCACTCCTCCCCCTATCCCAGCAGCACAGATTGCACCTCCAGAAAAGACTCCTTCCTTCTGCTTGAAGAGAGGAGAAGAAAGAGTAAAGAGGATGTTGTTTTGAAACTTGGATATCACCTCGATCACAGAAGGATATAGGGCAATGAGTAGAGTCCTGGAGTCCCCGTTCCAGAACTCAGCTCCTGGAGAACATTTTTAGACATACCCTAGGTCAGAAGGGAACTTACCGCTTTGAAGGGAAGAATGCAATTCAGGCAGGATTCCCACTTGCTGACTAAAGAGACTTGGGTCTTGAATAAACATCAGTGGTACCCAGACAGTACTCGCTGTGGGCTTTCGGGGAGACTAAAGACTATGCTGACTTCAGGTGTGACCCAGAGCATTCCCAGATTTGACAGTCATAGAGACAAACTCACCTTGAGGAAAGGAGAGGGAAGGGTAAAGGGGACTTTGTCTTACAGCTTGGGCATCAGCTTGGCCACTGTGCATTAGAGCACAACGTGGGCTCTTGGGTTCCCTGCATCCAGGCCTTCATGCCTAGAAAATATTTCTGGACCTTCCCAGGGCCAGAGGGGATTGCTCTGTCCTGAAGGGAGAGACCTAGGCCTGGCAGTGGCCACCACAAGTTGACTGACGTGACTTGGGCCTGGAGTTAACATCAGTGGTAGTCACACAATATTTTCTGCTGGCCTGAGATGATGGTAGCCATGAGGAGAGATTCCTTCTGCATGAGGGAAGAAGAGAGTAGAGTGGGAAGAACTTTGACCTGTGGCTTGGGTGCCAGCTCAGCCCCAGTAAAATAAAGCACCAAGCAGATTTCTGAGATTCCTGAATACAACCCATGACCCCTGGACCAAATTTCTGGACAAGCCCTGAGCCAGGGGAAGCTCATTACCCTGAAGGGAAAGACACAAGCCTGGCTGAATTGACTACCTGCAGATTAAAGAGCCTTTGGTCGTTTTGTGAACATCAGTGGTAACCAGACAGTGATCATTGTGGGTTACAGTGACCAAAGGTATACATCCCAACAATCAATTCCTATTGAATACTTGGAAAGCCATTAAAAAAAAAGGTATAAAAATCCCAGACAGTGAAGACTAGAAGAAATACCTAACTCTTCAATGGCTGGACACCAAGGAATATCATCAAGCATCAAGACCATCCAAGAAAATATGACCTCACCAAACAAACTACATAAGGCACAAGGGACCAATCCTGGAGAAAAAGAATATGTAACATTTTAGACAGATAATTCAAAATAACTATTTTGAGGAAACTCAAATAAATTCAAGATAACACAGAGAAGAAATTCAGATTTCTATCAGATAAGTTTAACAAAGACTTTGAAATAATTAAGAGAATGAAGCAGAAATTTTGGAAATGATAAATTCAAATGACACACTGAAGAATACATCATAGTCTCCGAAAAGTAGAAATGACCAAGCATAAAAAAAGGAACTTGAAGACAGGCTACTTGAAAATACACTGTCAGAGGAGAGAAAAACTAAAAGAGTAGAAAAGAATAAAGCTTGGCTGCAATATATGGAAAATGCTTTCCACAGGGCAAATCTAAGAGTTATTGGTCCTAAAAAGGAGACAGAGGGAGAGAGATTGGGGTGGAAACTTTTTGTAAAAAGACAATAACAGAGAACTTCCCAAACCCAGAGAGAGATATCTCAAGTACAAAAAGATTATAAACATGAGGCAGATTTAACCCCCCAAAAACTACCTTAAGGCACAAAACTGTCAAATTTTCAAAGGTCAAGGATAAAGAAAAGATCCTAAGAGAAAAGAAAGACATACTATACAAAGGAGATCCACTACATCTGGAAGCAGACTTCTTGATGGAAACCTTATAGGCCAGAAGAGAGTGGGCTGACATAGTCAAAATGATGAATGGAAAAAAAACACATTTTATCCCTGAATAGTAATCCAGCAAAAATATTCTGAAAGCATGAAAAAGAAATAAAGACAAAAAAATGCTGAGGTATTTTATCAACACCAGACCTGTCCTACAAGAAATGCTAAAGGGAGTTCTTCAATTTGAAAGAAAGGGATGCTAACAAATGATAAGAAATCATCTGAAGTCCCAAAACATTGTTAATAGTTAGTACACAGTTAGACACAGAATATTACAACACCGTGATTGTTGTATGTAAACTACTCATATTGAGAAGAAACACTGAAAGATGATCCCATAAAAATAACTACAGAAACTTTTCTAGACTTGCATAGTATAATAAAATAAAAATAGAAACAACAAAAATGTGAATATGTGGGAGGTAAAGCTAAAATTTAGAGTCTTTATTAGTTTTCTCTTTGCTTGTTTGTTAGTTTGTTTCTTTTTGGAATATTGTTAAATTGTCATCAGTTTAAACTAATGGGTTCCAAGGTGTTATTTGAAAGACACATGGTAATCTCAAATCAAAAACCCACAACAGATAAACAAAAAGAAAGGAATTTAAAAACATATCACAATAGAAAATCACTTTTGAAAAGGAAAACAAAAAAGAAAGACAGTAGGAAGGAAGGGAAGACCAGAAAACCAATAACAAAATGACAATAGTAAGTCATTATTTATCAATAAAAATAATGAAAGTAAATGAACAGAACTCTCAAATCAGAAGACACATGGTGGCTAAATGGATAAAAAATAAGACCCAATGATTTTCTGACTATGAGAAACACGCTTCACCTATAAAGACACATAGAGTGAAAATAAAGGGATGAAAAAATATATATTCCATGTCAATGGAAGCCAAAAAAGAGCAGGTACAGTTATACTTATATTAGACAAAATAGATTTCAAGATAAAACCTGTAAAAAGAGACAAAGAAGGTCACTATATAATGAAGAAGGGGTCAATTCAGCAAGAAGATATAAAAAGTATTAAATATACATACATCCAACACCATAGCACCATGATATATAAAGCAAATACTGTTAGAGCTAAAAAGACAGAGAGACCCCAATACAATAATAGTTGGAGCCTGCAACGACCCACCTTCAGCATTGGACAGATCAACCCTACAGAAAACCAACAAAGACACATAAAACTTAATCTGCACTACAGACCAAATTGACCTAATAGATATTTACAGAACATTGAATCCAACAGCTGCAGAATACACATTCTTCTTCTCAGCACGTGGATATTTCTCAAGGATAGACCATATATTAGGCCACAAAACAAGTTTTAAAGTATATAGTATCCTCTCACACCACAATGGAATAACAATATAAATCAATAAACAGAGAAACATTGTGAACCATACAGAGACATGGAAATTAAACAATATGTTCTTAAATGGCCAGTGGGTCAATCAATAAATCAATACAGAAATTTATGAATTTCTTGCAACAAAATAAAATACAAATACATCATACCAAAACCTAAGTGATATGGCCACAGCAGTGTTAAGAGAAATGTTTATAATAGTAATGCCTACATCAACAACGTAGAAAAACTTCAAATTATCAACATAACAATGCATCTTAAAGAGATAGAAAAACAAGAGCAAAACAAGCTTAAATTAGAAGAAAATAATCAAAATTCAAAGAATAAATAAACTGACATTAAAAATACAAAAGATCAATAAATAGTTATTTTTGAAATGATAATAAAAATAAAAACTTTTAGCCCAACTATGAAAAAATAGAGAAGGCCCAAGTAAAGTCAGAGATGAAAAAAGAGACATTACAACCAATACTGAAGAAATTCAAAAGATCATTTGAGATGATGAGCAAATATATGCCAAGAAATTTAAAAACCTAGCAGAAACAGTTACATTCTTAGGCATGTACAAACTTTCATGATTGAATCATGAAGAAATTCAAAACCTGAATAGACCAATAACAAGTAATGACATCAAAGCTGTAATAAGAAGTCTCCCAGCAAAGAAAAGCCTGGGAGCTGATGGCTTTACTGCTGAATTTTACCAAAAGAAGAACTAATACCATTCCTACTCAAACTATTCCAAAAAGAAAGAAAAAACTATATCCAAACTCAAACTACAAAACCAGTATTACCTTGATACTAAAACCAGACCAAAAATATCAATAAAAGAAAACTATAGATCAATATCACTAATGAACATTGATGCAAAAATCAGCAAAATATTAACAAAGTGAATTAAACAACACATTGAAACAATCACTAATCATCAGCTAGCGGGATACATACCTGTATCAAAACATCTCATACACCCTATAAATATATACTTCTACTTTGTACTTATAAAAATCTAAAAGAAAAAAAAGAAAATCAAAGTAATAATGATAATGATAAAAATGGAATATATGTATCAAAATCCTTAGATATCATGCACAGAGCACTCTTTATGTATTTCTTCATGTTATGCTAAATCCATATAAGATATATCTCATTATTTTACAGATGAAAAAACTAAGGCTGAAATATTAATGTGCCAAAGGTCACACAGCTTTAAGTAGAATATCATTTGTCTTTATAGCCATTGATCTAAACCAATAGTTTTTGAAATTTGGTCTATGGTCAAGCAGCATTAGCTGCTGATGCCAGTGTTCAGGTCCTACTTCAGATCTGCCAGATAAGAAACTCTGGAGGTCAGACACATCCATGTGTTTTCATCAAGCTCTCCAGGTGATACTGAGACATTCTAAAATTTGAGAACCAATGATCTAAACAATAAAAGCCATCATAAATAAAAATATCTATGTATATCATATTAATATGCTCTATCACTCTCTTATATTAACCATTCAGCCAATACTTAGATTAGTAGTTCATCCTTTAGTAGATTAGTTCCCTCCATCATCTAAAATTATACCTAAAACTTGTGTATTATGTAAGAATCAATGTATGGGGAAAAAAATAACTGGCTTTTGGTCTCATAAGTATAAACTAAAATCTGCAAGTCTCAGTTCCTTCATATGTAAAATAACATATTTTAATTAGATAGTCTCTAAACTCAAATTTATCCCTTTGTCTAAGTTCATTCCTGCTGCTAGAACAGAATTTCTGAGACTGGGTTATTTAGAAAAAGCAGAAATTTATTTTGAGGCTGGGAAATGCAAGATCAGATCACTGGCAGGTTCAGCTATCCATTGAGTGCTGCTTCCAAGATGGCACCTAGATGCTACATCCATTGGAGGGGAAGAATTCTATGTCCGCACATGGCAGAAGGTAAAAGGGCAAGAGATGAACACCTTCCATCGAGTCCTTTTAGAACAACACGAATCCAGTCATGAATGCTTCAACACCTTTCAAAATGCCCTGCCTTTCAGTGCTGTTGCACTGGGGATTAATTTTCCAAAACAAAAATGTGGGGGGACACATAGCACCCTGCTATAATTTTAGTAGTCTTGAAAATGTGAGCTGTTGATTATAGGAGTGTTGACTGATCCATGTCTTCACTGCACAACTCTGGGTGGAAGAGATGTTGTTTGTATCACACACTATATGAGTGGTACTTGTGGATGTACAATTAGCAAAGCAGTAGTCAGTTGTTCTGTGTGATCACTCACCTTTATTACTAAAGAAAACAAACAAGAATTCCCACAAATAACTCTTAACTCCTCAGATGTTCCACTGTCAAAGACCATAAGGGCATTATTTACAGAGACAGTTCATGCAGTGAAGAGGGCAAGTAACGTGGGGTAAGAGAAATGACTTCAGATTTAGTTCTTCTATGATTTGGCTTCGAGATCTCCAGGTAATTATTAGTCTCTCTGAGATTTGCATAATTTATAGAAAAAAATAGATATAAATATTATGTTACCTAATGTATAGCAGAGTAAAAAATAATTAAATAATGACTTTTATATGAAAGCACTTTGAAAATTTTGGCTACTATTAGTATATAGGAAAGTAAACTTTAAAGACAATTCCTTTTAAAGTATCCCATAAATGTTATTTCAGCAACTCAGATGGTTTTTTCTCCCAACTGCTACAAAAGAATAAAGATTTACTACATGTGAAAGTGATCATTTTCTTGCTGTTACCATATTTGAAAGTTACACAATCAGGTAAAAATCTTGCATATTTTGTGGAGTGTATTCTTGATTCTTTTTAAAAAAACCCAAAAAACAAAAAATAAAAATAAATAAATAAAAACTTTGTTTTATGACTCTTTGTTTTTTGTTGCTGTATTTTTTTTTAGATGGAGTCTTGCTCTCTTGCCCAGGCTGGAGTGCAGTGGTGCAATCTTGGCTCACTGCAACCTCTGCCTCGCAGATTCAAGCAATTCTCATGCCTCAGCCACCCGAGTAGCTAGGATTACAGGCACCCGCCACTGTGCCTGGCTAATTTTTGTATTTTTAGTAGAGATGAGATTTCATCATGTTGGCCATGGTTGGCCAGGCTGGTCTTGAACTCCTGACCTCAGGTCATCCGCATCCCAAAGTGCTGGGATTACAGGTGTGAGCCACCGAGCCTGTCCTGTTTTATGACTCTTTGAATAGAAATATATTACTTAACTCTTTGCGTCTTTTAATCTGTCAAATTTCACAATGCTTGCTTCTCTTTTATCAAATTTAACACTTCACAAGCTCTGATACTACAAGCTTACTTTACTCTCTGGCTTCAGGATCTTTGGACATACTCCTCCCTTGTACTCGAATATTTCACCCTTCTCTTCTCATCCCCCTATTCCTTGGTGAATCTGACTCCTACTCATCCTTTAGGGTTCAGTTTAGACATCACCATCTCTTAGATGATTTCTGGGGCACACAGATCTGCATAAGAAAATCCTCTTCGGTGTTTGTATTAGATATTCTGCTAGGTCCTTTATATGTATGCTCTAGGTGGGCCCATTAAGGAAGTGTGGGAGCAGCATTTATTACCTTTGTTTGACACTCATGCAGGCTTCTGTTCTTCATAAATAATATGCTGATACACTGTACTAAATGATTTGCCATTTTTGACTTACTAACTGGAAGGACACCTTATACAAAGGCAACAAATCTATAGTTGGCAAGGAAGCTTCACGATAGCCTGGTTGGAAACTCTTTTCCAACAGCATGTAGATTAGTAAAATCAAGTTGATTATGATATTGAAAGAGAGTTTATTGGTTGGTGGCAAGTGACAAATCACAATGAACTCAAAATGAAGGTACTATGCAAATAATATGAAGTGTCAGAAGCTGGGGGTAAAAAAAGGATTGAGGATTGGGCAATAACAAGGTTGGCAGGATAATGGTAGAAGTCTTAGAAGTGGGGAAGATAATAGGAGAGTGAAGCAACTCCATTTTTTTTTTGTTTTGTTTTGAGATGGAATCTCACTCATGTTGCCCAGGCTAATCTTGAACTCCTGGACTAAAGTGATCCTCCTGCCTCCAACTGAGATAACATGCCATGTACCTGAGGTTACAAGCATGCACCACCATGCCCAGCTAAGAGCTAACAACATGTAGGAAAGAAAATTAATTTAATCTTGCTTAGAAGATAATAAAATAACTGAATCATTAGAGTTGTATTGGAGTCTTCTAATTGTTCAGCTCTGTTCTAGGACCAATGGCATTTAACTGCATGAATATTCCTGTGAGACCTGATCATTTGCCTAAGATCCCTACACAATTATACCATTACTAATTGTAAAAAACTGAGTGAGATTTTATTTATTTTCCTCAAGGGTGTAATTTACAACAACTCTGCAAGACAGGAATTATTATCACTAAAACCTAACTGAGGAAATGGTAAAATAGTTAACTGGCTTTTTAAGGAAAAGCAGCTAGTACATAACAGAGAGAGGATTTGACCCTAGCTCTGATTCCAAAACGTAGCCTATATTCACATAGTCTGACTTCCTTTTACTTGTTGTTATTATTATTCTATTTTTATTATGAAATAGTTAAAATAGAAGAGGCAATTATAACCATGTACTTAACATGATTTTTACAAATATTAAAAGTGCTATATTTATTTTATAACTTTTGTTTTAAAATTATGAATACAGCTGAAGCCCAATCCCTCACAATTACACTTCCCTTTCTTTACCTTAAATATTGCTTCATGTTGAGGTTAGCACATTTTATTTTCTTGCATTTATCTATACTTATCTTAGTTTATTTTCTGATGCTGTAACAGAATATCACAGACTGAGTAACTTATACAGAAATGAGATTTATTTGGCTTAAAGTTCTGGAGAATGGGAAGTTCAAGAGCATGGCACTGACATCTGGTGTGGCTCATACAATGTTGGAAGGGTAGAAGATAGAAATGAATGCATGAGACCAAGAGAAGAAATTGGGTGAATCTCATATTTCATATTAGGGAGCCACTGCTGTGATAACTAATCCACTCCCATGACAATGGCATTAATCGCTACATAAGGACAGAGCCCTCATGGCCTAATCAGCTCTTAAAGACCCCACTCTTAGTACTGTTACATGGTAATTAAGTTTCCAACACATGAACTTCTAGGGGACTCATTCAAACCATAGCAATACTCTTGTAATTGTGCATACAGAAACAAACAAGGCCCAGAATGCTGAAGTGATCTACTTAGTATTAATGGTTCTCAGGATTTTTGACATCATAAAGAATAAAAATTGAAAACTAAATGGATAAATAGGTAAATGATAAATAGATGCTGCTAACTGGTATGTGTGCATGTGTCAAGTAAAGGCTTTTAAAATAATATTCACCATCACACACACTATAGCTGTTGTCATCTACTTTCACCCATTTTAATTCAACAATTAGAAAATATTCTCAGTCAGAAGTATAGCAATTAAAATGAGATATTTTAGCTACCTGAAAAGCCCTCTACTTTTTCTTTACCTGTAATCAGTGTAAATATTTAACATAGGCTGGTAGTTAAGTCGGACCAGCTTCCGGGAGCCACAGAGACAACTGAAGAATAATAGAGCTGGAACTTGAACTCAGGGTTCCTGATCTCCCAGTGCAGTGCTCTTTTTATTATATCATGCTGTTAATATACACCACCTTTATGTTGTTGACCAAGGGCACAAAGTGATCTCCCTCAGAAACCTACAATAGTGTTCTATAACCAAGTCCTTTAAATAGGCCATTTGAAGTTCTCATTAAAAAGGTCACTGTGCTATCAGGATGTGATAACCAATACATCATTCTCATCTACTTAACAACAATTTGTCCAATTTTCAGATTAGTAACTGGTCATTTTAGGGCCTGAAAGTATATGATCAAGGACAGGAGAAATTTGAAATCCACAGGAATTGACAATGGGTGACTAGACACAGCTAGGTGCAACAGCTGCCACTGAGGGACGGAGATAACTGACACCCTCCTAATAAATCTTTAGAGGGAAGGCACTGTGTGTGGACAGAGGGAAGACACAGAAGCTTGGCTAAAGTGGGGAGAAGCTGGGAACATTGCATGCGGCTACCATGTGTTTCTGTTCCTAAATGACTCCAGGGAAATGGATAAGTTGAATTGGCAAGGAGTATTCTGATCTTGCCGTGGGCCTCTGGAATCCTAGCAGGAGGAGACCTCTCAATCACCAGGGACACTCGAGTTGGTAGGGAGAGTTGCCTATGGAAGTCGTAGGGGCAGCACATCAGCTGAAGGGGACCCCAGAGAGTTTGGTGCAATATCATTTGTAGGGGAGCATGGCCAGAGAATCCCATTTCCCTAGGCTCAACCTGCTCCCATAGGAGACTTTAGCCCAGGGAAACTGTTGCACTTGAATCTGCAGGTCGGTCTTGCCTATCAGACAGGGCTGGTCTGACTTGAGAACCCCTTTATTTGCTGCCTTCTCCTGGGTCCCCAGCCTGGCAGCACTTGCTTGTAGGGTAGCCTCAGGTACCCGTGGGGGCCCACATTATAGCTTCTAAACTAGCTGACTATGCCTGACCGGCAGAGAACTCTAGCAGGGTGGCTCCTATGGCCACACACCATCCCAAGCACTCCCTCCCAACACTGCAGCTTCCCTCAGGCACATGTCAACACCCTTAACTGCTTGCCAGCATGTATGTGTGTAGGCAGGTTTTGCCTTCTTTGCCCTGCCAGCAGGTCTGTGTGCATGCACCTTGCTTTGCCATTGCTGTGTCAGGAGTGCACCTCACTGCCTTCCCAACACCCCAGCCAGCGCAGTGCATTCCAAAACTTGAGGAGTTAGAACACATATTACAGAAGTTAAGAGCTGAGTGCTGGCCCCCTAAAATCTTTCTGATATGATTCCAGTCTTCTGAATCCACCTTGTACCACAATCAAACCCTCAAGGTCATCAAACAGGATAAAAAAACTACCCAAAGGTCAGCAACTTCAAAGACTAAAGAAACATCAGTCCACAAAGATGAGAAAGAACCAACACAGTAACTCTGACAACTGAAAAAGCCAAAGTGCCTTTTTTTTCCTCCAAACAACCACACCATCTCTCTAGCAAGGGGTCTGAACTGGGTTTAGATGGATAAAATAACATAAATAGAATTCAGAATATGGATAGGAACAAAAATCACTGAATGCAGGAGTATGTGGAAATTCAATCCAAGAAAGGTAAGAATCAAAATAGAATAATACAGGAGGTGACAGACAAAACAGCCAGTATAGAAAAGAATGTAACTGACGTGACAGAGCTGAAAAACACACTACAAGAATTTAATAATGCAGTCACAAGTATTAATAGCAGAATAGACGAACTGAAATAAAGAATCTCAGAGCTTGATGGCTGATTTTGTAAAATAAGACAGACAAAAAAAGGGAAAAAAAAGAATAAAAAGGAACAAATAAAACCTTCAAGAAATATGGAATTATGTAAAGAGACCAAATCTATGACTCACTGGAGTCCCTGAAAGAGATGGGGAGAGTGTAAACAACTTGGAAATAATATTTCATGACATCATCAATGAGAACTTCCCCAGTCTATCTAAAGAGGCCAACATTCAAATTCAGTAAATGCAGAAAACCCCAGTAAGATAATTCACAAGAAGAACATCCCCAAGACACATAACCATCAGATTCTCCAAGGTCAAAATGAAAGAAAAAATGTCAAAGGCAGCTAGAGAGAAAGGGCAGATCAAAGGGAAGCCCATCAGACTAACAGCAGGCCTCTTACAGACACTCTACAAACAAAAAGAGATTGAGGACTAATATTCAACATGCTTAAAGAACATGAATTGAAACCAATAATTTCATTTCTGGCCAAACTAAGCTTCATAAGTGATGGAGAAATAAGATTGTTTCCACACAAGCAAATGCTGAGGGAATATGTTACCACAATACATGACTTACAAGAACTTCTGAAAGAAGCATTAATATGAAAAGGAAAGACTATTTCCAGCCACTACAAAACACACACTTAAGTGCACAGACCAGTGACACTATAAAGCATCCACACAAACAAGTCTGCATAATAACCAGTTAATATCATGATGCCAGGATCAAATCCACACAAATCAATATGAACCTTGAATGTAAATGGGCTAAACACCCGAATTAAAAGGCACAGTGTGGCAAGCTGAATAAAAACCCAAAACCCATTGGTATGCTTTCTTCAAGAGACCCATTTCACATTCAATGACACCCACAGGAGCTAAATAAATGAATGAAGAAAAATCTACCAAGCTAATGGAAAACAGTAAAAAAGGAGGGATTGCAATCCTAATTTCAGAATAAAAAGACTTTAAACAAATAAAGATCAAAAAAGAAAAAAAGGGCATTACATAATGGCAAGTGGTTCAATTCATTAAGAACTAATTATCCCAAATATATGTGCATGCAACACAGGAGCACCCAGATTCATAAAGCAAGTTCTTAGAAATCTTCAAAGAGACTTAGACTCCCACACAATAACAGCTTGAGACTTCAACACCCCACTGACAGTATTAGACATATCATCAAGACAGAAAACTAACAAAGATATCCAGGACCTGACCTCAGCACTGGGTCAAATGGACCTGATAGACATCTTCAGAACTCTCCATCCAAAAACAACAGAATATAGATTCTTCTCTCTGCCACTTGGCACATGCTGTAAAATCGATCAAATAATCAGACAAAAACACTCCTCAGCAAATGCAAAAGGACTGAAGTAATAACAACCACTCTCTTGGAAAACAGTACAATCAAATTTGAAATCAAGACTAAGAAATTATCTCAAAACCATAAACAATTACATGGAAATTGAATAACCTGCCCCTAAATGACTTTTGGGTAAATAATAAAATTAAGGCAAAAATCTAGAAGTTCTTTGAAACTAATGAAAAAAAAAAAAAAAGATACAATATACAATATACCAGAATCTTTGGGACACAGCTAAGGCAGTGTTAAGAGGGAAAATTATAGCACTAAATGTCTATATTAGTCAAGGTTCTCTAGAAGGACAGAAGTAATAGGATGACGTATATATGAAGGGGTATATATTAAGGAGCATTGATTCACAAGATCACAAGATGAAGTCCCACGGTAGGCTTTTGGTAAGCTAAGGAGCAAGGAAGCCAGTCTGAGTCCCAAACCCTCAAAAGTAGGGGAGGTGACAGTGCAGTTTTCAGTCTGTGGCTGAAGGCCCAAGACTCCCTGATACGGTTTGGCTATTTCCCCACCCAAATCTTATCTTGAATTGTAGCTCCCACAATTCCCATATGTCTTGGGAGGAACCTGGTAAGAGGTGATTGAATTATGGGTGGTTGGGTCTTTCCTGTACTGTTCTCATGATACTGAATGAGTCTCATGAGATCTGATAGTTTTTAAAAAGGGAGTTTCCCTTCACAAGCTCTCTCTTTGCCTACTGCCATCCATGTAAAACATGACTTGCTCATGCTTGCCTTCCACCATAATTGTGAGGCTTCCCCAGCCACATGGAACTGTTGGTTCTCCATCAAACTTCTTTCCTTTGTAAATTGCCCAGTCTCAGGTATGTCTTTACTAGCAGTGTAAAAACTGGCTAATACAGCCCCTATCAGATCACTGGTGTAAGTCAAAGAGTCCAAAACCTGAAGAAATAGGAGTTTGATGTTCGACAACAGGAAGCATCCAGCCCTGGAGAAAGATGAAGGTCAGAAGACTGAGCAAGTCAGCTTCTTCCACCTTCTTCTACCTGCATTATTCTAGCTTTACTGGCAGCTGAATAGATAGTGCCCACTCAGATTGTGGGTGGGTCTGCCTCTCCCAATCCACTGACTCAAATGTCAATCTCCTTTGGAAACACCCTCATAGACACACCCAGGAATGATACTTTGCATCCTTCAATCCAGTCAAGTTGACGCTCAATATTAACCATCACAATGTCCATATCAAAAACTTAGAAAGACCAAAATTTAACAACCTATCATCACAACTAAAAGAACTAGAGAAGTAAGATAAAACCACCCTCAAAGCTAACAGAAGACAAGAAATAACCAAAATCAGAGCTGAACTGAAGGAAGTTGAGACATGAAAATCTATTCAAAAGATCAATGAATCCAGGAGTTGTTTTTTTGTAAAACATTAATAAAATAGATAGACTGCTAGCTAGACAAATAAAGAAAAACAGAGAGAAGGTCTAAATAAGCACAATTAGAAATGACAAACGGGATGTTACCACTGCCACACATAAATACAAATAATCATCAGAGAACATTATGAACACCTCTATGCACATATACTGAAAAATGTAGAAAAAAAACAAATACATTCCGGGACACATACACTCTCCCAAGACCAAACCAGGATGAAATTGAATCCCTAAACACACCAATGATGAGCTCCAAAATTTAATCTATAATAAATAGCCTACTAACAACAACAACAACAAAAATTCAGGACAAGGTGGATTCACAGCCAAAGTCTACCAGATATACCATTTCTAATGAAACTATTTTAATCAATTGAGAAGAAGGAACTCCTTCTTAATTCATTCTATGAGACCAGCATCATCCTGATACCGAAACGTGGCAGAGATAAAAACAAACAAACAAACAAACAAACAAAAACCCAAAAACAAAACAAAACAAACAAAAAACACTTCAGGGCAATATCATTGATAAACATTAATGCTAAAATCTTCAACAAAATACTGACAAATGAAATCCAGCAGTACAGCAAGAAAGCTTATCTACCATGATCAAGTAGGCAA
Organism: Homo sapiens; assembly: GCF_000001405.40. NCBI lineage: Eukaryota > Metazoa > Chordata > Mammalia > Primates > Hominidae > Homo > Homo sapiens. The sequence continues at coordinate 127,009,153 of NC_000023.11, forward strand.
GTTATCCTTGGAATGCAAGTTTGGTTCAACATACGCCAATCAATAAACGTAATTCAGCACATAAACAGAACTAAATACAAAAACCAAATGATTATCTCAACAGATGCAGAAAAGACTTTTGATAAAATTCCAACACTTCTTTTTGTTAAAAACTCTCAATAAATTATGTATTGAAGGAACATACCTCAAAATAAGAGCCATCTATGACAAAACCACAGCCAACATCATACTGAATGGGCAAAAGCTGGAAGCATCATATTGAAAACTGGTGCAAACAAAGGATGTCCTCTCTCACCACTCCTATTCAGCAGAGTATTGGAAGTCCTGGCCAGAGTAATCAGGTGAGAGAAAGAAAAAAATAAAGGGCATCCAAAGAGGAAAAGAAGAAGTCAAATTATCCCTCTTTGCAGATGACATGTTCTATATTTAGAAAACCCCATAGTCTTGGCCCAACAGCTTCTTCAGCTCATAAATATTAATAATTTTCACAAAGTCTCAGGATACCCAGTCAATGTACAAAAATGACTGGCTTTCCTATACACAAACAACAGTCAAGCTGAGAGCAAATCAGGAATGCAGTTCCATTCACAATTGCCACAGAAAGAATAAAATATCTACAAATACATCTAACCAGGATGATGAAACATCTCTACAAGGAGAACTACAAAATACTGCTCAAAGAAATCAGAAATGACATAAACACATGGAAACATTCCATGCTCATGAATAGGAAGAATCAATATTGTAAAAATGGCCATACTACCCAAAGCAATTTATAGATTATATGCTATGCCTGTCAAAATACTAATAACATTCTTTAGAGAACTAAAAGAAAATAATACTATTTTAAAACTCATATGGAACTAAAGAAGAGCCTAAATAGCCATGGCAATCCAAAGGAAAAAAAAAAAGTTAGAAGCATCACATTACCCAATTTCAACATATATTACAGGGCTACAGTAACCAAAACAGTATGGTATTGGCACAAAAACAGACACATAGACCAATGGAACAGAATAGAGAACCCAGAAATAAGACTGGACACCTACAACCATATGATCTTCAACAAACTTGACAAAAACAAGTAATGGAGAAAGGACTCCCTATTCAATAAATGGTGCTGGGATAGCTGGCTAGCCATAGATGGAAGATTGAAACTGGACCCCTTTCTTACACCATATACAAAAATTAACTCAAGATGGATTAAAGACTTACATGTAAAACCCCAAAGTATAAAAACCCTGGAAGACGACCTAGGCAATATAATTCCAGACATAGGAATGGGCAAAGATTTCATAACGAAGATGCCAAAAGCAATTACAACAAAAGCAAAAATCGACAAATGGAATATAATTGAAGAGCTTCTGCATGGCAAAAGAAACTGTCAATAAAGTTAACAGACAACCTAGAGAATGGGAGACTTTTTTTTTTTAAACTGTGCATCTGACAAAGATCTAATATCCAGCATCTATAAAGACCTTAAATTTACAAAAAAAATACAAACAACAGACAGAAAGACAAAACTACCATTCACCCCAGCAATCCCATTACTGGGTATATACCCAAGGAATATAAATTGTTCTATCTTAAAGACACATGCACACACATGTTCATGGTAGCACTATTCCCAATAGCAAAGACATGGAATCAACACAGATGCCCGCCCATCAGTGGTAGACTGAATAAAAAAAATATGGTATATATACACCATGAAATCCTATGCAGCCATAAAATATAATGAGATCATGTCATTTGCAGGAACATGGATGGAGTTGGGGGCCATGATCCTTAGCAAACTATCGCAGGAATAGAAATCCAAATACTGCATGTACTCACTTATAAGAGGGAGCTAAATGATGAGATCACATGGAAACATACAGGAGAATAACAGACACTGGGGCCTACCGGAGGGTGGAGGGTCGGAGGAGGGAGCAGATCAGGAAAAATAACTAATGGGTACTAGGCTTAATATCTGAGTAATGAAATAATCTGTATAACAAACCCCCATGAAACGAGTTTGCCAATATAACAAACCTGCACATGTACCCCTCAACTTAAAATTAAAGTTAAAAAATAGGAAATCTAGAGGGATTAAAGGAAAGCGGTATTTATGCTTTAATAACTGCAATGGGAATGTCTAATGATTTCACAAAAGGAAGTTCAATAACAAAAGCAAACTTTTTAACAGTAAAATACATTTGAAGAAGACTTTCTTTGAAGGTTTTCCTTCCTCCATAACTTCGTAAATTTGGAAAGCTCTAAGGCTCATTTCTTAGATCTTTCTTTGCTCTATTTACATTAACTCTTTTGTTGGACACATCCAATTTCAAAAGACTTTACATACCATCTATATGCTAATTACTACAAAATGTTTATTTCCCTCCTAGGTCTTTTTCTTCAAATCCAGACTTCTGTATCCAATTACCTATGTAAGATGTCAATTTTAATATCTAATAATCATCTCAAACTTGATACATTCAAATCCAGACCCTTGGTATTCTTCTCCAAATCTGTTCCACTTGTAGCTGGTCTTGTTTTCACAGATGTAATTCAATTCTTCTGGTTGCTCAGGCCAAAAACTTTGTCTTTGACTTTTTCTCATACTCGGCATCATCCAATATGTCATGAAATATTTTGGTTTCGTTTTCAAAATACATTTAGAAACTAACCACTTCCCATTAAATTCACCACTACCAAACCAACCCAAGCTGCCATCATCTCTTGTGTGAAATGGTGCAACACCCTCATAACTAGTATCCCTTATAGCTTCTTCTTTACCCTTATAGTCTATTGTCAACAGATAAGCCCAGATAATTCTTCAAAAGTTCAAATTAGACAATCTATTCCTCTATTCAATAATTTTCAACAGCCTCAAACTTCAGAGTAAAATGCAAATCTTTTAAAGTCAAATATGAGGAGCTATAAGATATAGTCATATATTCTCCCAAATAAATCTAATGTGAGAAATTATGTAATTTCAGATGTTCAAATAGCCACATTAAAGAAAGAAAAAAGGCTTGGTGCAGTGGCTCATGCCTGTAACCCCGACACTTTGAAAGGCCAATGCAGATCGCTTGAGTGCAGGAGTTTGAGACTAGCCTGGGCAACATGGCAAAACCTGTCTCTACAGAAAATACAAAAATTACCTGGACATGTTGGTGCATGCCTGTAGTCCCGGCTACTTGGTAGGCTGAAGTGGGAGGATTGTTTGATTCCCAGAGGCAAAGGTTGAAGTTGAGTCAAGATCCTGCCACTGCACTCCAGCCTGAGCAACAGAGTGAGACCCTGTCTCAAAAAAAAAAAAAAAAGTTAAAAAAATGGGCAATATAATTTTTGAATAAATTTAACACAATATACACAAAACATCACCTCATCATGTAACCAATATAAAAATATTAATAATGAAATATTTTACATTCTCCTTTTCATACTAACTCTTCAAATTCTGATGTGTATTTAACATTAACAGTATATTTCAATTTGAACTAAACACATTTTTGTATTTTAAATTTTTGTGTGGACATAGCAGGTGTATATATTTATGGGATATATGGGAAATTTTGATCCAAGTGTGCAATGTGTAATAATCAAATCAGGGTAAATGAGGTGTCCATGACCTCAAGCATTTATTCTCTGTGTCACAAAGAATCAAATTGTACTTTTAAGTTATTTAAAAATGTACAATTAAATTATTATTCTGACTATAGTCACCCTGTTGTGCTATCAAATACTAGATATCATTCATTCTTTCTAACTGTTTTCTGTACCTATTAACCCTCTTCTCTTTCCCCTTACCCCCTCACTACATATCCCAGCCTCTGGTAACTATCATTCTAATCTCTATCTCCATAAATTCTATTGTTTCCATTTTTGTCTCCCATAAATGAGTGAGAATATGTGAAATGTGTCTTTCTGGGTCCGGTTTATTTCACTGAACATATTATGCTACAGTTGTATCATGTTGTTGCAGATCACAGTATCTCAGTCCTTTTATGGCTGAATAATATTCTATTGTGTATATGTACCACATTTTCTTCACTCATTCATCTGTTGATGAACACTTAGTTTGCTTCCAAATCTTGACCCTTGTGAACAAAGCTGCAACAAACATGACAGTGTAGATGTTACTTTGTTATACTGGTCACTGTATTTCCTTTATTTGGGTATATACTCAATAGTGGGATTGCTAGATGTATGGCAGCTCTATTTTTAGTTTTTTGAGGAAACTTCACAAAAATTGTTATATTTTTATATTGAACAATATAAAAAATTACATTGTTCTCCATAGTGGTTGTACTAATTTACATTCCCACCAACAGTGTACAAGAGTTCCCTTTTCTCTACCTCCTTGCCAGCATTTTTTATTGCCTGTCTTTTGGAGATAAGCCATTTTAACTGGGGTGAGATGATATCTTACTGTAGTTTTTATTTGCATTTCTCTGATGATCAATGATGTTAAGCATCTTTTCATATGTCTGTTTAACATTCATATGTCTTCTTTTGGGAAATGTCTCTTTTGATTTTTTGGCCATTTTAAAAACATATTTGAACTAATCACATTTCAAATGCTCAGCAATCACATGTGGCCAGTGACTACCATATTGGGCAGCCCAGGTCTAAACTCTTTATTATTTCTTTAACTTCATCTCCTGCTACTTACCCCTCAGTCATTCAGCTCAGTGATATTCTAGTACTTTCTTATTCAGTCACTCTAGGAAGACTCCTCACTTGCTGTTCCTTCTGGTTACATGCTTTTCTCCTAGATACCCAAATGATTTATCTCCTCACTTTCTATAATCTTTGGTTAAATGTTACCTTTTCAATGAGGTCATCCCTGACTACCCATAACAATCGTTCCTGCACTTTCTATCTCCTTTCCATGCTTTGTCTACATGGAAGGGGGGTAGATAATCAATATTTAAATATATAATATAATTTATTTTTAAGATTATTTAGCTCCCTAGACTAGAATGTGAATTCCAGAGGGCAGGGAGTTTTTTCGTTGTTTTTGTTTGTTGCTGTTGGATTTCCAGTACTTAGAACAGTACCTGACATATAGTAAATAATAAATAATTATTCAATAAATACATTTATACATTAGCAAAATATACACAATGTAGAAATCATTATATAGCAGTAACACCTAATTCTGGTTTCACATACTCTGAGGTATCTACTAGTAATCTCAATAAATCCTTTCATCATTGAATATTTAACAAATTACTATAGCGTACTAAGTGATGGAGACACAAGGATACATCTAAGAGAAATTATACCTGCCTTAATGGAGTATTCAGTCTAGTTAGAGAGACAACCATTAAACAAACAATCACACTAATGAATGATTACAAACTTTGTAAAATGCTATAAGGTTTCAAATGCTACTCAGAAATAAGAAGGAAAAATTATTGATATGCATAAATGATAAGATGAACCTCCAGGGAATTATGCTCAGTGAAAAAAAATCTCTAAAATTTACATATTTTAGGGTTCCATTTATGCAACATTTTTAGAAATAATGAAATTATGGAAATGTAGACTGGTTAGTCTGCCAGGGGTTGGGGAGGTGAGGAGGGTCAAAAGGTAGTGGGTGTGGGCAAAAGGGAAAAATAAATATCCCTGTAGTGATGGAAATGCTATCTGATATGGTTTGGCTGTGTCCCCACCCAAATGTCATCTTGAATTGTAGCTCCGATAATTCCCACCTGTCATGGAAGTGACTGGTGGGGGGTAATTGAATCATCGGGGCAGGTCTTCCCCATGCTGTTCTCATGATGGTGAATAAGTCTCATGAGATCTCATGGTTTTATAAAGGGGAGCTCCCTTACAGAAGCTCTCTTGCTTGCCACCATGTAAGGCATGACTTTTCTCTCATTCAGATTCCACCATGATTGTGAGTCCACCCCAGCCATGTGGAACTGTGAGTCAATTAAATCTCTTTTCTTTGTAAATTACCGTCTCAGGTATGTCTTTATTTGCAGTGTGAGAACAGACTAATACATGATCCATCTTGACTGTGTCAATGTGAACATCCTAATTGTGCTGTTGTGCTATAGTTGCTAGGACTGGGAGAAATCCAGTACAGGTACACTCTGTATTATTTCTTACAACTGAATATGGATCTACATTTATCTCAAAATGAAAAAGAAAGGTGTAGGATGCTATGAAAACATGGAATATATCTAGTGATTAAAGAGGGCTTCCTTGAAAAGGTGACATTCAAGCTGAAATGGAAATAACATATAAAAGATAACTGGAAGAGGGAGAGGGGCACACATTCCAGGCATCAGCATCATTCTTCTCCAGTGCGGGAGACGAATTAGAGAAGAGTCAATGGTTAATGCAGGAAGATGCATTGGGTGCCCATTAATTGCTGTCTAGGCAAGTAATAACAGTAGCTTTTTCTTATGTGATTACCAATGGAATGGTAATTAAATGGACTCAAATGCTACTCAGGATGTGAAATAACGTGACCAAAAAGTCTTAAAGATAGTTGAAAATAAATTATATAAACTTATTTAATGATAATGGCTCATATATTTTAGCAGCGTTTTAAAACATCAGATCGTTGTAACTCTGAAAAGTTTGTAACTAACCAGTACAGCGTAACACATAGCTTTCCCAAATTACTTTGATTTGCAACAGATGATATTTACACAAACACTAAGTGATGCCAGTTTGCCTCTCACACAATCAAAGAAAGTACTTCTTAGTCTTAATTGGCCTGGCCATCTCCGCTAGTTAAGAGCTGACCACTTGTTCTTAACACTCTCTGCTCCACTGACTCCTGCAAAACAACTGTCTCTGAGTCCTCCTAATAATTTTGAAAGTTATTCCTCCTTGCTTTTTGTGGACCTACTTTCCCTATTCATTCCTTAAAAATTAATTTTCCTATAGCTCTGCTCTCAGAAAACTGACTGCCTCATTCTACACAGTCTCCCCATCCTTTGATCCTTCCTTTTGAATAAAAGGATGTGATTTCATCAGAGACATATAGGCTATGAATATCAAAGATCTATCTCTAGCCCCAGTTGCTGCACTGACACCATATTCAGGACTTAATTCTAACTTAAGTGCTTGGTGTTCTCATCCTACATTCTACAAGGCCCTCAAACCAAACATGGCTAAGATTAAATTCATCATCTTGCTTCCAAAACCTGTTCTACTTCACTTATTCTGTATCTTTTCTAATGTCACAAGTACACCACTCATTCATCCCAGATAGAGTCTATCTTTGAGTCACCATCCACAAAAACAACTGTTATGAATGTACAGAAAAGCTTAAAGTATAATATAAAAACTACTTAGATATCTTAGAACAGTTTTGTCATGACTTTTTTTTACCATCTTTGTTTCTGATCCTTGTTTTCATAAACAAATCTTTGGAGTATGTAAGCATACACCCCTAAAATCAGACTCTCCTTCCTCCCTTTCTAGAAGTGACCACTATTTCAATTTGATAGTCATGATTTTCAAGCATGTTTTTATATTTTCATAACATATTGATGTATCCCAAAACATTATTTAAACTTTATGTAATTAGAATCATTCTGTACTTGTAATTCAACAATTTAACATTTTTATCCAACCTTATGACATTTATCCACACGCTTTTTAAAATTATGTGTGGGTTTTTGTTTTATAGTACTCAATTTTACAAGTGTACCATGATCCACTTTCTTGATTAAAATTATGTTGTTTTCTTTTTAAAAACTTTTAAGTGCTACAATTTTACTCTGAAAATGTCTCCATGTGGACATGTACGGGAGCTTCTCTAATGCATAACTCGCATTGAAATAGCTAGGCATGCTCATTTTTTTCATTACTAACTATTATTGCCTTATTCTCCAAAGGACTTGTGCATATTTACACACCTACCAAAGGTGTGTAAGCATCTCATTATCTGCATAACATTGCAAAACCTGATATTGTGGGTTTTTTATTTTTTCTTATCTGATACGTATGTCTCATTTTTTAATACACATTTTTCTGATGTTTCATGTGTTTCAGCATGTTTTTACGTATACATTAGCCAACCAAAGTCTTCATTTTGGTAAATTACACACCCTTTTGTCTTCCTTTTTGAATTTTTATGATTCTTATTTCCTTGTGATGTTTAAAATTATTCTAGATACTAACCCTTTGTCAGATAGATATATTGCAAATAATTCTTCTGATATGAAAGATGTTTTTCTAATATTCTTTGTAGTTCATTTGCTGTACAGAAGGGCTTAATTTTGTTGTATAAAAAGGCTTAAAATAGCTCAATGTGTTACTCATTTTTAATAGATTTAAGTCTTTTGTGTGTGTTATATATAAAAATCTATTTCCATCTTGAGGTGAAAGATACTATCTCAACATTCTTTAAAAGTTTTGCAATTTTGCTTTTTATATTTAAATATTTACTAAATCTGAGATTTCTATTTTTCCTAGTGGAAGATATAAAATGAATAGAAATATCTTTATAAATGTAATTCACTGTCCCTGTATCATTTATTGAAAGGTTTGTATTGTTCTGTACTTATTTTTAATATCCTTTACTTTTATATATCAGGTTTCTGTATATGTACAGGCTCATATTGTGTCCACTGGAAAATGTACATCCCTGTGAGAATAACGTATTCCTTATAAAATATTTATAATAGTTTTGAGTATTATAAGATATACCTCCCTTTTTTCAAAATTATACTGTCTATTCTTGATTTTTATATATCTACATATATTTTTGGATCTATAGAAAATTTTTATGTTTGTCAGTTTTCAAAATTTTTTTTTAGAATTGTGAGGGGAACTGCATTGAATTTACAACGTATTATTGTCATATATGTCATGTTGTCTTTCCTTCCAAGGAAATAGTGTATCACTCCATTAAGTTTTACATTATATTTTTTACTATATGTTTATAATTTATCCCAAAATAGTTTGCTCAATTTTGTAAGCTTTATTCCCTGGTACCATGTATTTTTGGTTTCTATTATAAATGGAAACTTTAAATTATTGTTTATTTTTGGTGCATAGAAACTCAGATGAGTTTTATATTTTAATAATTGTATTCATCCATTTCTTATGCTCTCTGAACATTTCAAATAGCCTTTAAGTCTCTTGAACTTTTTCTTAATATAGATGACTGTTTAATCTGGCAAGGAATGGTAGTTTTTTCTCCAATCCTTAAACGTATCCCTTCCTTCTCTTTAAAAAAAATCATCTTGCTTCACCAACAAAGATTTTTTCGTTCAATATTATATAGAAAAATGATAGACAAGATGATTTTCTTGTTCTGCTTTAAAGAGAAATTCATTCAAAATCCCCTAGAAGATATACTCTATCAGCTTAAGGATATTCTCATTCTTTTCTTTATTTGCTATGCCTGTGTTTTAAAATTACAAATGAGTTTTAAATTTTTTGGCAATTTCTCTTACTCCTTTGGCCTGTAAATGTGGTTAATTATGTAAGTAGGTCATTAATGTGAAAACATCCTTGCTGTTTCAGAAGAATCCAATTTGTTCATATATCTTAATTGCTTGATTAATTTTGTTATTATTTTACTAAGGATTTTAAACTTATTTATATTCCAAAATGAAGTGACCTATTATTTTTCCTTCACGAGTTTTACTTGTTTGTTTTGGCATTGACATAATGCTGGTCTAACAAAATAAGTTATAAAGCTTTACTTCTTTTTTCCCTCCTTTCTTTTGTTTCCTTGCTTTTTAGCCACTAACACTACATCACAACATATCTCTTTGTTGCTGAACACTTGCTGTCTGATTCTCCAATATTATGGTTTGTACATCTCCTTCCATTACTTAATATAATTTGGGCCCAAATATAAGACACAGGGTAAGGCAAAATTGAAGAGCCAGTCTTGGATTTAGGGCAAGGGCCCTTTACTCTAGAAAGTCATAGTAAAAAAGTAAAAAAGAATACAACAAAATTAGAAACTGCTCTACTTTTCCTAGAAGAATATATGAAGATAAAAATAAGACACTAGATGTAAGCGTACACTGAAAACTTTAATGTTCAGTGCAAGAGCCAGACACGTTATCATTACAGATTTACATTATAAAGAAAATGTAAATATTGTTTCATTGACTTCATAAATTATGTTGGGTTAATTATTGTGTTTAGGGCAAGGCTGTTCAATTATGTACTGGGAACTGTCCTTGATATTTAAAATAAACCTTTGCTTCTTTATGAATCTCCAAAACAAATTTGTGACTCTTCAAAAAAAAAAATAGAAGAGGAGGGAACTCTTTCCAAATTATTCTGAGACCCTTATTATCTGATGGCAAAACTAGACAAAGACATCACTAAAAGAGAAAAACTAGACAACAATACCTCTCATAAAGACACAAAATTGTTTACATAATAATAGTTTAGGGGTGGAAAACTTCATTTTACACTCTTAGGTTCTGTGGCTGGCATAAGAATTAAATGAACGTAAGACAGATTAACAGGAGAAAAGCATACGAATTTATTTAATACTTTTTTACAGTTACATGGGAGTCCTCAGAAAAGAAGAGTAGAAGAAACCATTAGGCACAAAAGCTTATCTATCTTTTTACACAGAGAATGATACATTTTGGCGATGTGACAAGACAAGGGGTCTTGGGCTAGGGGCAGTAATTGTTAGACTGTAAGTATAAAATGGCCAAAAATATGGCCGAAACTAATGAATATAAAGGTTGTTTTATTAAGTTTGTTTGTACAGGTCTATTCTGGTGTTGACTCCAAGTATCTGGTGATAAGAATGCTCTCTTCCTGGTACAGGGAGGGCGCCTTTCTCAAGAAAAATAGTATGAACTGCTTTTAAGTAGAATTGGGAGGTCAGAGGCCAGGCGCAGTGGCTCATGCCTGTAATCCTAGCACTTTGGGAGGCCAAGGCGGGGAGATTGCCTGAGCTCAGGAGTTCGAGACCAGCCTGAGCAAAACGGGAAAGCCCCGTCTCTACTAAAATACGAAAAATTAGCGGGGCATGGCGGCGTGCACCTGTAGTCTCAGCTACTAGGGAGGCTGAGGCAGGAGAATCGCTTGAATCCGGGAGGCGGAGGTTGCAGTGAGCCGGATAGTGCCACTGTACTCTAGCCTGGGCAATAGAGAGAGACTCCACCTCCAAAAAAAAAAACAAAACAAAAGAAAAGAAAAGAAATGAGAGGTCGGAGAGCCCTTCCTGCCCTTGCTGTTTCTCAAGTGCCTCCAGCTCAAAATAATCAATATGCCCAAGTGGTATATTTTGGGATGGCATGTTCTGAACCACTTAACTAGCAACTTATACCTAACAACATTTAAAAAAGAGTATACATTTTGACCAAAGGAGATATATCCAAGGAATGTAAGGTTGTTTAAACAACCAAAAAACAAAAAAAAATTAATATAATACACTACATTAATAGAATAAAGGACAAATACACATGATTATCTCAATATACACAGAAAAGACACATGACAAAATTCAATACTCATTCATGATAAAAAATTGAACAAATTAATAATAGAGAAAAATTTTATGAACCTAATAAGGGCCATCTATTTTAAACAAAACAGCAAACATCATATTTAATAGTTAAAAACTGAAAGCTTTATTCCTATGACAAAGAATAAAGCAAAATATCATTTTTAGCACATCTACTCATCATTGTAATGGATAATTTATCTAGGGCAATCAAGCAAGAAAGAGGACTAAAAGCCATCCATATTGCCAAGGAGGAATTAAAATTATCTCTATTTGCAGATGACATTGTCTTATATTTAGAAAATCTTAAGGAATCAACAACAGCAACAAAAAGCTATTAGAGCTAGTAAATAAATTTATCAATGTTGCAGGATATAAGATCAATGTGTAAAACTCAGTACTATTTTTATACAAGGCAAATGAAAAAAGTGAAAATGACATTAACAATACAATTCTTTTTATAATAATATCAAAGGGATAAAGTAATTAGAATGAAACGTAACAAAATAATTGCAAGACTTGTACACCGAAAACTACAAATCACCACTAAAGATAGTTGAAGACCTATCTTCCTAAATGAGGAAGTCATCCATGTTCTGGGATTGGAAGATTTGTTATTGTTGACAATGTTAGCCAAATTGATCTATAAATCCATCACAATATGGAAAAGCTGAGCCTAAAATCTGCATGGAAATGCAAGGGAACAAAAACAGCCAAAACAATTTTGAAAAAGTACTAAATTGGAGGACTCACACTTCCTGATTTCAAAACTTTCTACAAAATTACAAAGATAAAAACACTATGGTACTGGCATTAGTATAGACATATAGATCAATAGAACAGAATTAAGAATCCAGAAAATCTCATATGTCTATGGCCAATTGTGTTTTAATAAAAGTGCCAAGACCATTCAATGGAGAAAAAAATAGTCTCTACAACAAATGACAATAGGGCAACTAAGTAGCCACCTGCAAACAATAAATTATTCTTTTCCCTCATTTCATATGTAAAATTTAACTCAAAATTGGTTAAAACATAAATTTCAGAGCTAAAAATATAATTAATAGATGGAAATGGTTAACTGTTTATGGCCTTGAATTTGGCATTGGTTTCTTAAATATGGAGGCAAAAGTGAAGGCAAAAGAAAATAAAAATAGAAACATTGGACCTTCAAAATAAAAAACTTTTGTGCTTCAAAGGACACTATCTAGTATGTGAAAAAACTCACAAAATGGAAAAATGTATGCAAAATGTATACTATAAAGCATATATATGATAAGCATCTAATATCAAGAATATAAAAATAATTGTTACAGCTCAACAATAAAAAGACAAATGACCCAATTTTAAAATGCACAAATGAATTGAAGAGACCTTTCTCCAAAGAAGATATACAAATGGCCAACATGTCCATGAAAAGATGCTCAATATCATTAGACATCAGAAAAATGCAAATCAAAACTTCAATGAGATACTGGTTCACATCCACTAGAATAGCTATAAACAAGCAGACAGATAATAAAAAGTGTTGGTGAGGATTTGGAGAAATTGAAATTCTCACACATTGCTGGTGAGCTGGTAAAATGGGATGACCACTTTGGTAAACAAACTGGCAATTTTTATAGGAACCCAGCAATCTCATTCCTACATAGATATACAAGACAATAAAAAATATATGTCTTCATGAAAATTTGTACTTCATAACAGCCATTAAATGAAAACATTAACCATTAAATGAAAACAACTCAAATGTCCATTAGCTGATGAACTTCTGAATATGATGTGGTCTATACATAAAATGGAATATTATTCAGCCATTAAAAGAAATGGAGTACTGATGCAGTCTACCATGTGAATAAACTTTAAAAACATTAAGTGAAAGAAGTAAGTCACAAAACTCACATATTACATGGTTCCATTCTTATGAAATATCCAGGATAGGAAAATCCACAGAGACAGAAAACAGATTAGTGGTTGTTAGGGATTGAGGGTTGAGGAGAATGGAGAGTGAGTGCTAACAAATATGAAGTTATTTTAGAGTGATAAAAATAATCTGAAATTAAATAGAAGTGATGGTTGCAAAACCTTGCAAGTATAAAAATATTGACTTTCATACTTTAAAAGGTGAATTTTATGGTTTATCAATTATGTTACAATGAAACAGGAAAACATGTAGGCCATGGGTTTTCCAGATCTTACCTATAGAATAATCTGGGCCTGGTGTGTGCATATGTGCATGTGCACGTTTGTGTGTGTGTATGTGTGTGATTGTGAACTACTGATTCAGTTCTTTATTGTTTATCATTCTATTCACTTTTCTATTTTATGGTATCAGTTATGAAAAGTTTTTTTTAAGAAAATAGTCTATTTTATCTAATTCATTGGCATAAAATCATGTTTAGTATTCTCTTTTAATATATTGTGTTTTTTCCACTCTAGTGAGGAAAACCAAAATATTTCACCCCAAAATATATCTTTGGCATAAAAATTATATTTGAGCTGAAGGCATTTAATGTATGTGTGTGTGTGTGTGTGTGTGTATGTGTGTATGTGTGTGTGTGTATGAAGTAACGTCTTCAGAACTAAGATACGGGGGGAAGGAATCACAATCAGTGTCGTCTGTAGCTTTTTAACATCTTGTACTTTTCATGTGCATTAAAAGTAATACAAGAAAAGTTCTTAGAGGAAATAACTTAAATTTGTGTAAAACTAAAATCCTACATACATCAGTATGGCACACAGGAAACATACAAAAGTACATCCTTACATATAAAATTTTAAAAAGAAAACATTCTTCATACTGAATGCAGGGTTAGCATATTACATGTTGGGACCTACACCCAGTTTGTGTCCCTTGTTTTGCGTACCTAATCAGTTTGTTCACCAACCTAACTCATCAAAAGAAAAAGCAAATTTCATTCATATACCAGCAAAAATAACAAGATCAACAGTGTCTTTCTTCTTCTCTCCCCTGAATGATCATTAACACTAGACCCACGTTTTCCAAGCACAGTATTCATATGGAACTGCTGAGATCTTTGTAATTCCCACACCTTTCTTAACCAGACAAATGTCAGGACTTCTTTACAGAATGCAGGTGTGTCATAAATCCTACCAACTGACTATTCCCTTGAGAACCACAGCTTATCTTCTTGATGACACTATTAACTCCTTTATGCCTATGTGGGTATGTCTGTATATCTGGTGTGTGTTTGGGAAGTTTTAATTAGTAAGCTATTGCTTCAGAAGCTTAAGGAGGTGGCATTCCTACTCTGACCTCCCCACCAAGAGACCTTCTGCCTTTACAACTAGCTGTTTCTTAAAAGGAAACTGTAATTTTTCATCATAGTTTTGTGTTTACCAGGTGCCGTATCTGCAAAGTATTCTTAAAAGCATGATTTTAACCTCCCTTGACATTTAACAGGGTGACCACATACAATCATTAAACGCTTTAAAAAAAAATCCCTAAACTGTTATTGATAATAGAAAAGCTCATTTTGAAGCAAATTTATCTTAATGCTAATTTTCAGGCGTGTTAGTAAACTCACTTTGTCTTTTTTATTTTTATTTATTTATTTCTTTATTTTGAGACAGAGTCTTGCCCTGTCACCCAGGCTGGAGTGCAATGGTGCGGTCTCAGCTCACTGCAACCTCTGCCTCCTGGGTTCAAGCGATTCTCCTGCCTCATCCTCCCGAGTAGCTGGGACTACAGGCGCAGCCACCACACCCAGCTAATTTTTGTATTTTTAGTAGAGACGGGGTTTCACTATGTTGACCAGGCTGGTCTCGAACTCCTGACCTTGTGATCCGGCCGCCTTGACCACCCAAAGTGCTGGGAATACAGGTGAGAGCCACTGTGCCTGGCCCAACTCACTTTGTCTTAGGCATTTAACCCATTCTTCTCAAGGATACCAGAATAATCTTCCTGAATCACAGTTATGATGTTATTCTATCGTTCAAAATATTTTATGGCTTCCAATCGCATGCAAGGTCAAATTAATTCATCTTAAAGTCAGTTATTGAGAGCTTTCTCTGAGCTAGAAATCAAGGAGATACAAAAGAAAAAAATGTCAAAATTACTGCCTTCAAGGAAGTCACAATGAATGGGGAAAGAAGATATTGATGAAAAAGTAGTACTTTAGGTGCCACAATGTAAATATACTTAGGATACTGTGTGACCACAGAGGAGAGAGTGTTACTAGAATCTGGGGGTAAAGAATGGGAGGCAGAGGAATAAGGGGAGGGGATTAGGTAGATCTTTACAGAGTTGACAATAGTTTAGCTAAGTTGGAATAACTTATTAAGTAGTCTCACAAAAGATGAGAGGGTTCATTCATTACGGGTGATGGAACTGAGGCAGAATAGGTAGTCAAGGAAATATCCACGTTCTCAGAATGCAGTAACTGTGGTGACCTTACAGTCAATATAATAAGCCTCAGTATTCGCATTGTAATTGAGTGCATTCAAGCAAAGCTATCTTTAGAAGTGACTTTCCCCTCTAGAGAGCATGCACATTTTGTGACCCTTTGCTCCTTGTAATAGAAACAAAAAAACCTCCTGGGTTGAGATTTAAGATGCTAATGAGACATCCAATGTATGAACAAATATGTACAGCTACTATGCATGTGTACCCAGCGGAACACCCAGAACATGCTTACTAGTAACACCCCTTTCCCACCTCCTTATGAATAATCATGTAAGACTCCCACAAAGGGAGTCTCCCTGATGCCACTCTTTGCTGTCTTGTCCTTGTGCACAGCCTGCCTTGAATTCTCTCTCTCAAGGTGTACTGTCTATTCTGCACCTAACTTACAAAATATTTTTCCTTTGCAATAAATTACTCGATGCTGCACTTCTTTTGCTGTGTGTCTCTTTTTAAAATTATTTTAAACTAAGAAGAACTAAGGTATTACATCAGCTGTCAACAGAACCACTTTGGGACAAAACAAAGTATATTTATATTAAAAGGCTTGAGGCACATAGGAAATGTTACTGGTTCTGTTGTCTCAAAGGAGACAGAATACAATAAAGAGTGACTGGTGATCAATCTGGGAAAGTGGGCAAGGAATTGTCCAAGATGAGACTTAAGTACAACACCATGGGTTTAAGCAGAATACTTACATGCATAGACTGGTATTTCAAAATGATAGATCTTAGAATGTGAAAAATGGACTAGAAAAGACTGAAGGTGGAGAAACCAACTAGGAGGCTGCTTCAGTGATTCAGTTAAGAAGCAATAAAGCCCTAAATTTTGGAAGCAGTGGTGTGAAAGGAGAAGAGGTAGATCTATCAGAGATTTGAAAAATAAAAATGAAATGGCTTGGGGACTGATTGGAGGCAGGATGTGAGTTGAGTTAGAGGTAAAGTGTTTAAGATGACCTTCAAATTTCTGATTTGGAGAACTCTAACTGGGTAACAAACATAGAGAATAGAGAAGAGGGAATGCCTTGAGGGAAGAGTGCTGGTTGGAGTTTGAACATGTGGAGTTTGGAGATGACCATTTACTGATGATTAAAAGTCTCTCCATGGTCTGGCTCCCATTCTACCTTACAGCCTTATTCTTATTATATTTTTTTCCCAAATTCTGTGCTGGCCATACTCATTTTTTCCAAAAACAAAAACAAACAAAAAAACACTGCTGTTTCACTTCTCTATGTTTTTGCTAAAAATGTAGTAGCTTTGCTTACTAGCAGGGTCCTCTAATTTAAGAATTAATTCAGGCA
Source organism: Homo sapiens (assembly GCF_000001405.40). Lineage (NCBI taxonomy): Eukaryota > Metazoa > Chordata > Mammalia > Primates > Hominidae > Homo > Homo sapiens. Next base: position 127,026,325 of record NC_000023.11, read on the forward strand.
TGCATTAGAAATATTTGTGGAGCACCTATGATATGCCAGGTCTTATTCTAGTTGTTGGAAATACCTCAGGAAACAAAACAAACAAAACTTCTCTTGTGAAATTTCCCTAAATATGTTTATAAACCTCAGAACATCTTTCGTGAACATTTAAAAATTATATGAGTTAGAATCAGTCTCATTATTAAATCTCTGCATAGCACTTTGCTCATCCATTTTAGCAGTACAATAGTTTATATTTAATTGTGTGCATATCCTATAGACAAATACTGTCCAATAGAACTTGCTCTGATGACAGAAATAATTTAAATTGCACTGTCCAATAGAGTAGTCACTATAGTTACTATACTGAGCAGCAAAAAAGCTAATATATTGGCCATCGCACACGTGGAATCCATATGATGTGACTGATAAACTGAATTTTTAATATTATTAATTTTAAGTAATATAAATTTAATTAACCACACATTGCTAGTAGTTACACATTTTACAGTACAGTAGACTACAAACTCCTGGTGGACAGGGACAAGAATTTTCATCTTTCAATATATCATACTGGTTAATTACATGAGTTTTGGAATAATACACAGCTGAATTAGAATTACGATTTTGTTACTTGTTAGTTGGTGACCTTAGACAGTTTATTTAAATTTCATGAAACTGAACTTTCTTAACTCTAAAATGAGAATAATGGTGTCAACCTCTGAGATTGTTTTGAAGTTAAAATAACATTATTGGACAAATTTTGCTTCCAGGAAATTTGATTTAAAAAAATCAATATTGGTAAAATATCCATAGTACCAAAGCAACCTACAGATTCAATTCAATCCTTGTCAAAATACCAATGACATTCTTAACAGAAATAGAAAACAAACTCTCCTAAAATTTGTATTGAACTAAAAAGACCCAGAATAGCCTGAGCTCTCTTGAGCAAAAATAATAAAACTCGAGGTATAACATTACCTAATGTCAAAGTATACAAAGAGGTATAGTAACCAAAACAACAAGGTACTGGCAGAAAAACAGACACATAGACTAGTGGAAAAGAATAGAGAACCCAGAAACAAATCCATGTCTCTAAAATAAACTCATTTTAGAACAAGATGCCAAGAATATACACTGGGAAAAAGATAGGCTCTTCGAAAGAAATGGTGCTGGGAAAACCAGACATCCATATGCAGAGGAAAGAAACTAGAAACCCTATGTCTCACCATATACAAAATTCAAATTGAAATGATGAAGACATAAATCTAAGACCTCAAACTATGAAACTACTGCAAGAAAATTTTGGGGAAAATCTACAGGACACTGGTCTGGTCTAGGCAAAAATATCTTGAGCAATACCGCAGAAGCACAGGCAACAAAAGTAAAAAATCAGAAAATATGATCACATCAAGTTTGAAAGCTTCTGCAAAACAAATAAAACAATCAACAAAATGACTAGATAACCCAGAGGGAAAAATATTGGCAAATTACCCATCTGACAAGGGATTAGTAACCAGAATATATAAGGAACTCAAACAACTCTATAGGAAAAAATAAAAAAATCTGATTAAGAAATGAGCAAAAGACTTAAACTGACATTTCTGAAAAGTATACAAACTACAAACAAATGGCAAACAGGCATAAAAAAAGGTTCTCAACATCACTGGTCATCAGAAAAATATAAGTCAAAATTACAGTAAGACATTATCTCCCCTCAGTTAAAATGGCATATATCCAAAAGACAGGCAATAAATAACAAATGCTGGCAAGGATGTGGAGAAAAAGGAACCCCCATACACTGTTAGTGGGAATGTAAATTAGTACAACCACTATGGAAAACACTTTGGAGCTTCTTAAAAAAAAGTGAAAATAGAGATATTATATGATTCAGCAATCCCAGTGCTGAGTATGTACCCTAAGGAAAGGAAATCAGTATATTGAATAGATATCTGCACTTCCATATTTGTTGAACTACTGTTAACAACAGCCAAGATTTGAAAGCAACCTAAGTGTCCATCAATAGATAAATGGATAAAGAAAATGTGGTACATATACACAATGGAGTACTATTCAGCTATAAAAAATGAATGAGATCCTGTCATTTGCAATAAATAAATAAATGAAACTGGAGGTCATCATGCTAAGTGAAGTTAGCCAGGCACAAAAAGACAAACATTGCATGTTCTCACTTATTTGTGGGAACTAAAAACAAAAACAATTGGACTCATGGAAGTCGAGAGTAGAAAGATGGTTACCAGAGCATGGGAAATGTAGTCGGAGGTTGAGGAAGAGGTGGGGACAGTTAATGGGTACAAAAAATAGAAAGAATAAATAAGACCTAGTATTTGATTACAGGGTGACTATAGTCAATAATAACTTAATTGTGCATTTTAAAATAACTAAAATAGTATAATTGGATTGTTTGTAACATGGATAATGCTTGAGTGGATGGAGGCCCAATTTTCCATGATGGTAGTATTACACATTGCATGCTGGTACCAAAATATCCTATGTAGCCCATAACTATATATGCCTACTATGTACCCACAAAAATTAAAATTAAAAAGAGATAATGAGAAAGAGACAGAAAAGAGAGTGAAAGAAAATGGGGAAGCATGGAGATCATGAGAGAATGGATCTAGAGAGAAAAGGAGTGATCTATATGAACTCTTCAATATAGCAGAACAAACATTACAGCACTTTATGGGAAATGTGTGACATCGTTGCAAGAAGCACCATCATTGTACTCAAATACTAGTTTTGAGATTGATTAGAAATTTATTATATTGAATTAATGACCTGCAAGGACCAGGGCAAATGCCTGTAGGAGAGGGAATATGTTGCTCATTTTAGTATTAAAACTTTTGTGTAGTCATTTAACAGTCACTTTGAGAATCTAGATAGAATGGGGCAAAAGGTGAGTTAATGATCAAGGAGGGAGTAAGTAAAAATTCATGGCATGTGTCTATTTCTCAACTGAGAGCCCCTGGCAACATTAGTCTCTGGTTATATTAGTGCACATGTTTGGAGATGAGGGTGATGTGAGAGGCAGTGCTTACAGGAAGGTAGGAAGAGAGCAAAAAAACTTATGAAAATTTAAGAGTTAATGTTTGAACCATACAAAATTGCCATTTTAATTCATTAAAATGAATGGATATGGACAATTTCTTGTCTTTCCACCTAATACATAGGCAATCACTTTATAACTCTAAAAATTCTATCCAACTATAAGAAATTATTACTGAAACATTTGATGATCCAAAATGGGGAAAAATTATTTGGGATCAGAGCACCTCAGTTATGGTTCTAGTTCTGCCCTTTCCTAGCTGTGTTACCTTTGGTGAGTGACTTCACCTCTCTAAGTCTTCTCTTTTACAAAATCAGAATATAACATTTATCCATGCCATAGCCAACTTCAAAGGGCCTCTGTGTAAGAACAAATTAAGTTATTTTATTTAAAAGTGCATTGCAAAGTGCACTATGCTATCTAAATGCAAATAAATCTTGGAAAATGCTGTCCTCTTCATATATATTAAAACACATTGTGTTGATTTTAGATGTGGGTTTTTGGTTTTTGTTTTGTTTTGTTTTTTGAACTTTTGTTTTAATGTTTTCCTTTAGTGGAATTTGAGAGAAATACCTTAACCATAAAAAGAAGATTTTTGTTGTTCTTTTTAAGGTTGCAAGTTTTTTTGAGGGATTGGAGGAGAAAGGAAGCATGACTCCTGCTCTATGAGAAAGATAAGTTCAACATCCAATACTAATGGCAGGAATCCCACGGCCTCCCCTTAATCCCCCTCAAAAAAATCTTTCTTTGTTTTCTGTTCCTTTTAAGGCCTAAAGATACAACAAGCCTTCCTATTAAGTAAATCTGTTTAAACACAGACAGCTTTGGGCTTCTTTTCAGCCTGTGTCATCATCTCTTCTGATACGGAGGAGTTATTTAGTGTGTCCTTCAATTATTTGGCAAGCGACCAAATTACATGCATGTTTTTCTACTCGTGATCATCATCAAATTTTTTTTCATTATGCTTGTCAGAGTTAAAAAAGCTTTAAAAGTACTTCAGTGGATAAATACTTAAGTGGATAAACATTTAATATACTTGTAGGTTATTCTTTATTAAGAAGATTGTGCTGTGAATTTTACTTTGTTATCTGGGCAGTTTAGAAGGAACAATCAGTACTCTAGCTCCACTCTGTCTTTATAACTATTTTTATCAGGGTAGGGAGGGTGTCATGGCCAGTACTGCTGTCTCCAGTTAGAGCCACTGAGATTGAGCAAGACTCTGCTTGTACAAAAAGAAGACAAAACAAAACAACAAAGTCAAGAGTCGTCAAACACCAGACAGCATTATGAAAAACATCAATTGGTATAGAGTGCTAAAACAAGTTTCATAATCAATATACTTACATAAGCATGCTTGTAGCAATGTATATTGATCTCTCTCACACACATACAGACACACACACACACACACACACATACACACACGTCCATCAAATTATAATGACTAAATTTGCCTTGCTACAGGCTATTTTGCTGGCTCTATATAACCATAGAATTAGTGATGTATATGGGTGATTTATTTCTATTGTGATGTAAATACTGCCTTTTCAAAAACTAGACTTAAGGTTTTATGATAGTTTTCCCAGTGAGTGGATAGAATCCTAAAGCAATCTTCACTTCCATATCTATTATGTTCAATTATATTGCAAGATATTGCCATGTGGCATTAATTGCCTTGTTTTGTAGGATCAATGAAATGTATCATGTATATATATTTATTCCTATTTAAATAATAGGTAAAGAGATACAGCACTATCTCTAATCCCCCTGATTTGATAGATAAAATGTCAGAGAAACCTCTGTCTAATTTTTCTGGCTTGCCTAAGAGCCAAATGTGTTACATTTATATAAGCATTAGATACATAAGGTAAAGAATGAACAAAACTCCTGTTACTGGTTGCTCACAAATGTGTATTTTGTATTACTTCCAATCATGGCCCATGTACTGCATGCAATCTCACTTATTTATAACCTCATTTCACACCAATGTTACTGCTATGTCTTCACTGATTCTATTAATCCATTATTGATTCCATTATTGATTCCATTATTTTCCCACCTGCACTGCTATAGATTCATTTCTGCCAACTGCTTATAAAGCACTTCTTTACTTCCTTAAAAATGTGACTTAAATTTACTCATCTAGGATATATTACTCATTATATAAAAGTGAATTTGATCACTTCTTTGTTCTACATTTCCTATGAAATATTTCTTTATTGCTAAGCCATTGTTTTTTAAGTGTTCTTAAATGATTATAATTATCAGGGGAATGTAAGATAAGTTAGCATTCACTTGATAGTGAATTGAAGAAAATTTTATTAGTCACCTGCATATAGAAGCCACTGTGTTGGGGATTGTAAAGAGGAAAACAAAAAGAATAAGGAATGCAAGCACCATAAAAGGCAAAATTAAACAACCATTAAATGGATGAGATGAAAAATGCTATGAATGAATAGCAGAAAACAAGCTTATTGAATTAACTACTGTAGGCTGTATTTATATTTTTTGTAAAGTCTTATGATGCACAAACTTTTAATTTTTTAATTTAATTTAATCACACTTCAGGAATATTTACAGTAATATCACAATGTCCTTTAAACCATCTTTTTATTTATTTATTTATTTATACTTTAAGTTTTAGGGTACATGTGCACAACGTGCAGGTTTGTTACATATGCATACATGTGCCATGTTGGTGTGCTGCACCCATTAACTCATCATTTAACATTAGGTATATCTCCTAATGCTATCCCTCCCCCCTCCCCCCACCCCACAACAGGCCCCGGTGTGTGATGTTCCCCTTCCTGTGTCCATGTGTTCTCATTGTTCAATTCCCACCTATGAGTGAGAACATGTGGTGTTTGTAAACCATCTTTTTATAATGTTAAGTATCTCAGGTTTCTAGTTTTCCTAATTATTTAAGAAGTTTAAAGATATGGGTCATTCAAACATGAAAATTTCTATATAAGGTTGATTTCAGAAGTCACAGACTTAAAATCCTAGAGCTGCAGGGACATATAGTATATAAATACAAATGAATAAACAGGCTATGTGTAGGAAAAATAGAGATTAGTGGGAACTATGATAAACTGAAGTCCCATGTCCTTTTTAAAGTAGAATATTCTATCTAGCTCCAGTCAATTTTCATTATGTGAGGAAGGAAACCCACTACTGCCAGATCTTTTTATTTTTCAGGAGAACCTCTTTAAACTGGATTTTATGTGAAATCTCTCCATTTTAAACTGCCAACAAATGACATAAAAACATTTTTTAAATGTGTAGGTCAAACAAACATATCTGTGGCAATATTTAGCCCATAAGGTAATCATTTTCAATGTCACTTCTAGACAAACTAGTTAGGTACATCAAGTTGATCTTTGGCAATACTTGTTCTTCCCTTGAATCCAAACACAACGTGGAACTCAGTATCTCCTGGAGGTTGGCAGGAATAGAAGAAAGAGTATTGAACTGAGATTCATATGGAACGAGTTTAATTTTTTTTCTATTTCTAACTCATTTTATGACTCTGCGTCTTCTAGGATCTTAGTTTCCCTTTCTATAAAATGAGACCATTGGATTACACATATGCATAAGCTTTTCCAGCCTTAAAATTCTGTGATTCTCAACTTCTTGCAAGTAAAAATGTACCTATACTGTTTTTACTTTATGAGAGTATTTATAACTGAACAGTAATATATTCATCTGGTAAACTCACTCCTGGTAATTTGTACCCTTCCAAAATAACATACTGCCTTAATTCAGTGAGAACATGTGATTCTCTCAAGATTGGTAGTTGTGTTGGGATTCTGTAGCACAGTGACAGTCTATCAGATATTTCTAGTTCAGATATTCTTAAAAGTGCTTATTAGCATACAGTAATATTTTACCCTATTTCAAGAAATCCTACAGGTTTACAACAAAAAAGTCATACATCAGTAAAATGAGATGATATGAGAGATTTTATAATAGATCCTTGGTGATTCGGTCTTGTGACTTGCGATTTTGTCTCTCTCCTGATTGCATATATTAAGTTCTCAATAGACATTTATTGAACTGTTTTTTGATAAGCCTTCCAAAATTAGAGAATAGAAATTATTGAGGCTTCTGCTCATTCATCAAATATTTATTGCTCATCTACTATGTGGCAATTGTGACATACTCCAACCATATCTACCATAGAAGGAACACAATCAATACTGATCTACTCACTTACTTTGTCAACCTCATTCCCTCACAGTAGAGAAAATTTCATTTTTACTAATTTTTCTCTTTGCTTTTTTTTTTTTTTTTTGCATTCTAGAACATAGACCCTTTTCAAAATCAGATTAATCAGCCATTCTCCAAATAGCCTCACCTCGCTTTTAGGTGGTCTAAAAATGCTTACTACATTCTGTCACTCATTTCTTCTGAGTTCTTATGCTCCTTGATAAGTGCAGCATACATGGAAAAATATGTATAATTTAAAAAGGGCTGGGCAGGGTGCAGTGGCTCATGCCTGTAATCCTAGCACTTTGGGAGGCTGAGACATGCATGTTGCTTGAGCCTAGGAGTTTGAGATCAGCCTGGGCAATACGGCAAGAGTCTATCTCCACAGAAAAAAAAAAATACAAAAATTAGCTGGGCGTGGTGGCACATGCCTGTAGTCCAAGCTACTGGGGAGGCTGAGGTGGGAGGATCACCTGAGCCCAGCCCAAAAGGTTGAGGCTGCAGGGAGCTATAATCGCACAACTGCACTCTAGCCTGAGTGACAGAGTGAGACCCCATTGGGAAGGAAGAAGAAGAAGAAGAAGGAGAGGGAGAAGGAGAGGGAGAGGGAGAGGGGGAGAAGGAACCAATCACTGAAATTATTTCAAAAAATCCAGATGAAGAAACTCTTTCCTAACTCATTCTTTGAAATTAGTATCACCCTGATATCAAAAATCAGCCAAAGACACAATAAAGAAAGAAAACTACAGGCCAATATCCGTGATGAACATAGATGCAAAATTCCTCAACAAAATGCTAGCAAAGAGAATCTAACAGCACATAACTGAAAAAAAAATACATCACAATAAGTGGGTTTTATTCCAGGGATGCAAGATTGGTTCAACATATGCAAATCAATGTGATTCACCACATAAGAAGAATTAAGAACAAAAAACATATGATCATCTCAATAGAAGCAGAAAGATATTTTGGTAAAATCCAACATCCTTTCCTGATAGAAACCCTCAACAAACTAGGCATCAAAGGAACATGACTCAAAATAATAAGAGCCATGTATGACAAACCCGCAACCGACATCATACTGAATGGGGAAATGTTGAAAGCAGTCTCCCTAAGAACTGGAAAAGGGCAAAGATTCTTTCTCTCCACTTGTATTCAACATGGTACTGGAAGTCCTAGACAGAGCAATAAGGAAAGAGAAAAAATATAAGGCATCCAAATAAAAAAAGACGAAGTTGCATTGCCTATGTTCACTGATGACATAATGTTATAACTAGAAAACCCTAAAAATTTCTCCAAAAGACTCTTAGACTTGATAAATGAGTCCAGTAAGGTTTCAGAATACCAAATCAATGTACAAACATCAGTAGGATTTCTATAAACCAACCATGTTCAACTGAGAACCAAATAAGGAACTCAATTCCATTTAAAATAGCCACAAAAAAATGAAATATATAAAAATACCTTTAAACAAAGCAATGAAAGATGTCTACAAAAAGAACTACAAAACACTGATGAAGAAATCATAGGTAATACAAATAAATGAAAAAACAAACATCCATGCTCAAGGATTGGCAGAATCAATATCATCAAAATGACTATACTGTCCAAAGCAATCTGTAGATTCAGCGCAATTCTTATTACAAATGTAATTTTTCAAATAATTAGAAAAAAATTTTAAATTCATATGGAATCAAAAAGGGCCTGTGTAGTCAAAGGAATCCTATGCCAGAAGAGAAAAGCCAGAGGCATCACATTACCTAACTTCAAATTATACTGCCAGGCTATAGTACACCAAACAGTGTAGTACTGGTACCAAAATAGTCACGTAGATCAATATGACAGACTAGAGATCCCAGAAATAAAGCCACAAACCTACAACCAACTGATTATGACAAAGCCAACACTAATAAACAATGAGGAAAGGACACTCTATTCAATAAATGGTTCTGGGAAAATTGGATAGCCATATACAAAACAGTGAAACTATATACAAAAATTAACTCACGATGGATTAAATATAAGATCCGAAACTATAAAAATGTATAGGAAAACCTCTTCTGGATATTGGCCTAGGTGGTTGATGTATGACTAAGTTCTCAAAAGCAAATGCAACAAAAACAAAAATAGACAAGTGGAATTCAACTAAACTATAAAGCTTCTGCACAGCAAAAGAAATAATCAACAGAGTAAACAGACAACCTACAGAATGAGAGAAAATATTTACAAATTATACATCCAACAAAGAACTAATATCAAGAATTTGCAAGGAACTCAAACAACTCAACAAGTGAAGGAACAACCCATTAAAAAGTGGGCAAAGGATTTGAACAGACATTTCTCAAAAGAATACATACAAGTGGTCAACAAACATATGAAAAAAAAATGCTCAACATTACTAATTAGAAAAATGCAAATTAAATCCACAATGAGATACTATTATACCCAAGTCAGAATGGCTATTATTAAAATGTCAAAAAAAACAGAGATATTGGCATGCACTTCAGAGAAAATGGAACAGCTATACACTGTGGATGGAAACGTAAATTATTACATCCTCCATGGAAAACGGTATGTAGATTTCTCAAAGAATTAAAAATAGATCTACCATTCAACCCAGCAATCCCACTACTGAGTATCTATCCAAAAAAATCATTTCATAGAAAAATACCTGCACTCATGTGTTTATTGCAACACTATTCATAATAGCAAAGTCATGGATTCAATCAAAGTGTCCATTACTGTATTAGTTCTTTCTCATGCTGCCATGAAGAAATACCCAAGAATGGGTATTTATAAAGAACAGAGGTTTAGTTGACTCACAGCTCCACATGGCTGGGAAGACCTCAGGAAACTTACAATCATGGCGGAAGGCACCACTCCACAGGGCGGCAAGAGAGAGAATAAGTGCCGAGTGAAGGGGGAAGCCCTTTATAAAACCATCAGATCTTGTAAGAACTCACTATTATGAGAACAGGACGGGAAAAACCACTTCCATGATTCCCTTATTTCCACCGGGTCCCACCCTTGACATGTGGGGATTACTACAATTCGAGGTGAGATTTGGGAGGGGGACACAAATCCAAACCGTATCGCTGAATGATTTCATAAAGAAAATGTGATATATGTACATGACAGAATACAATACAGCCATAAAAATAATGAAGTAATGGCCTTTGAACAAAATGGATGGAGCTGGAGGCCATTATTCTAAGTGAAATAACTCACAAACAGAAAATCAAGTACTGCATGTTCTCACTTATAAGTAGGGGCTAAGCAATGGGTACATGTGGACATAAAGATGAAAATAATAGACACTGGAGACTTCAAAAGGGGAAAATGTTGGAGGGTGAGGATTGAAACATTACCTATTGGATACAATGTTCACTTTTTGGATGATGGGTACAGTAGACGCCAAAAGCTCACCATTACACAATATATTACTGTCACAAACCTGCACATGTACCCCTGCATCTTAAGTAATAACAATAAGGAAAATATATATACTTATTCTACCTCTGTGACCCTGCCAAAAAACTAAAATGCCATGAATATCATGACCCAGATTTTCAGGAAAATTAAGATGAACTCTTTCACTGAACTTCCCAAAGCTTTTTGTCACTCTTGCTATGACACTTATTAAGCATCCTAGATCTCAGAGATTAGTCAGGAAACCTGACTGACTCACAGCATCAGCCTTTTCTTGCCCTAATTCGTCTTCAACTCTGGCCATCTCCCAAGATAGTGGTGAGACTATAAACAGTTGGAGCAACTCCTTTCTCTGAGGCCTTGATGGAGCACAGGCCTATGGCACAGTTCCTATTCTGTCACCTTTGTAGGATCACACAACCACAGCTGATATTTCTTTTGACATTTCATTTTTGCCTTTCTTTTTTATTATTATACTTTAAGTTCTGGGATACAAGTGCAGAACATGCAGGTTTGTTACATAGGTACACACGTGCCATGGTGGTTTGCTGCACCCATCAACCCATCATCTACATTAGGTATTTCTCCTAATGCTATCCCTCCTCTAGCCCCCCGTCCCCGACAGGCCCCACTGTGTGATGTTCCCCTCCCTGTGTCCATGTGTTCTCATTGTTCAACTCCTACTTATGAGTGAGAAGATGCGGTGTTTGGTTTTCTGTTCCAGTGTTAGTTTGCTGAGAATGATGGTTTCCAGCTTCATCCATGTCCCTGCATGGAACTGGCAGTTTATCAAGTGGCGACTCAAATCACAAAACAATCTTAAAAACAATCAAAGCCATGGATGACAGGGTTTAGAGGGAGAGGAGGATATGATCTCTGCTTCTATCCAAGAGACCCATTGATTTAGTTATTTGTGGAGTATATGTATTAGCAAAAAGAAGTTTGTTATTACTGTTTTTGTGTATGCATGTTCAATTCGAAAAGTATGTGTTTGTTTCTGCGTTATTTACTTATAAGTACTTCTCTAGTTTGTTTTGTTATTGTCATTTATTGAACACTTACTGAGTGTAAGACTCTGTACTCAGTACTTTAATCTTAACATCAACTCTTTGAGTTAATTATTATTCTTCCCATTTTACAAAGGAGTAGACTTAGGCTGGAAGAGGTAAATAACATGTTGATATTGCACCTCTTTAGAGGTAAAGCCAGAATTTTAATTTCGTTACATTTGACTCAAAGACTTGTACCTTTTAGCATTGCATAACACTGCCTCACTGTGGTAAAGTTGAGTATAACTAAATTATAGCACATTTGCAATAAACTAGCTAAACTTGCTATATAATGAGAACTTACCCTGAATCTATCATTTTTCAATATCAAACATCACTGTAAATGTTCCTGTTTTGTATGTTAATATGAATCAGGGTTTCTATAACAAACCTTATTTTTTCTGAAGAAATATTGATATGATGCTCTTAAAAATTAAGACCCAAACATATTTTTTGAATATTCAAAATTATTGATTTTTTTCTTGGTGCTCTGATGTACTCACATCAATGCAGAATGAAAAAAAAAAAGATCAAGGGTCACCCAAGGGGTAGGAGACATAACATTGATTAAAAAAGATTAGTTGATGACAGCCATATTTTTGTTAAATATAAACACTTTAAACCTGTTGGCAAACAAAAAACAAATTCTACATATTTTTTGGACACATTTAGTAGCCTAATAATTTGCTTTATCTTTGATTTGTGGAAAGAAATTGTGGGGTCTTTATGAGAACAGGAAAATGAATAGTCCTATGCCTGAGCAAAAGACGAGGGGCCATATCTTGGTGTGCTTGCTTTGAAGGGACTATATTAAAAATAGAGCTCCCTCATCTATTTGCAAAGGGCATGAGAAACGTCCATCTCTCCTGTGAGTCATGACATTCAAAGCCAAGCTTATTCTTTCTCATATTTGCAAGATTAGGTCAATCTGAGCCATTCATCTAGAAATGACCCAAGTAAGAGAAAGAAAGCTCTCAGAGGGATTGGACACTATAAACTGAAACAGTTGGAAAGAGGGGGCTGAACAAATTTCAGCTCCTTGACATTTGGTCTATGATCCAGGAAACTGTGAAGGTAGCATCTTTGTTTGCTCTTTTGACAGAATATTGATTGATTGTGATAAATATGATGGACAGAACTTAAATGTTCGGAACCAAAGAATCCTTAGAGAACAGGTTTGGCTTTCATGGCAATACTGTAAAGTCAATCAGCTGAAATGCATTTGAAAAGGGGTTGTTCTTATCCCCATCTGTAAAAAAATATTAGAAAGAGAGGGAGGAAAACTAACATTATCTTTTCAGATTTTCTTGTTGGGGTGATGATAGTGTTTAATACCACATGCTTATTTATGCATTTCTTATGGGAATCTGACAGGGCCAATCTTTTTTTTTGGAAGCATACTCATCATAGACATGAAAAGAAGACTCAATAACATGTAAACACAATGGAGAATTAGGGAGAGGTTCAGAAGGAAGAATAAGAGCTACACTGAGAAACAGCTTTAATTCACCTTCCTTACCCCACACCCTAGGCTGTTGTTCTTTCTGGTGCAGAACCTGATATTCATAATGTGGGATGAAGATTAGAAAGATAGCATCAAAGTTAAATCAATGGGTTTTTTTTTCTTTTTATGGATAGTCTAAGAAGAAGAGATGAAATGGTGGTCACTTAAGCTCCAAAAATATTTGTACAGAAGTGTCATAGGGGTGTCTCTTAAAACAAAACATTATTGATTGCTACAATAATTCACCTGTACTAAAAATGAACTGCCAAATATCACTTTTAAAAGTTACATATAAAAGTGCAAAAGCATTTATACAGTGGCCATCATGCCAAAGCTTCTGAATTCTTCATTGCTTTAAGAGCACATAGCTCCAAAATAACATGGCTAAACTGCAAAAAAAAAGTAAATATGGGATAAACCACTTTAATGTCATTTAGCAATAAATAGCAAGAAATAGTTGTTCTTTGATATTTGCACATGATATTTTGCAATTCAAAAGATTCTGATTAATTTATCCTTTTTAAAATAAGATGTATTCAAGTATCTCCAAATAGTTACATAAATATTATAATTCAACAAATTCCAGGTTATGTCAGATATATATGTATATATGCCATATATACATATATGTGTGTGTGTGTGTGTGTGTGTGTGTGTGTGTGTGTGTAAAGACTTATGGAAGCAATTTCCACAGTTTGGGGAAAAAGGATATTTTAAAATGGAAATATATAGAGGACGAAGGCTAACATATGAATCCCATTCTTAATAGCTTTTCATTTTCATAAAAAAACCACATACACAGAAATGGGAAAATTCACATAAAAGCAGGTAGGTGCAAAGATTATTTTTGCACATATTCATCAAGTTTCTACTGTCTGCCTGAAATATACTAGTCACTATAAAGAATATATTAAAAAATAGAGTAGTAGAGACAAATAGGTGAAACAACAAGCAGGAAAACAAATAAGTGTTCCAGTGGTAAGTGTCTGTGTAACTGCTAAGGGAAACAGTGATGTGGTCGTGGAAAGAACACTGGTCTGGCACTCAGGTGAGCGAGCATCTTGTGTGTTCTCAACCTGGTTATGAACTGGTAAACTAGTAACTTTTGGCAAAATCTCAAGCAAAGAATTTAAGCTACTTTTAGGAGAGATGACCAGAAGGAATGAAGAAATTAATTTTAAACATATTCAAGGAAATGGAATTTCAAAGGCCCTGATTGGTCATCCTCTATAATCTCTATTTTCATATAGAAATCCTTTCTATAATTTTCATAACATATGGTCATTAGTTATTTGCTTGAACAATTGAGGTAAAGCAACTTCCTATCTAAAAGACGAGACAATTCATTTGTAAAAATATTTTGAATCTTAGAAAACTGTCCTTTATATTGCATCCAAATGTAAAATCCTTTGGGTTATTTTGCGCATCACCACATTTTCAAGCTTTTTGTGTGTGTTACTGTGTGCATGTATAAACAGAAATGGAGACCTTTACATTAATCATCTTAGTCTATTAAGGACAGTTTGAGTCAAAATTGTATAATAATGTGTGTTTTGTTTGCATATTATTGGCAAATTTGATAAGCTTTCACTTCTGTTGTTATCTAAGTCACCTATAGAGAAAGAGCCAAATGACATATCACAAAAGAAACCATAATCCTTATTGCTCTTCACTCTGGAGAAAATCTCATGCAACTAAATGTCTGTCCCTATACTTAACAATATGTTTTTGTAAAAGTATGTCATATATTTTATCTTTTCAAACTAAGCTACGAGCAGTCTCCGTGGCTAAGGGTAATTATCTATGACAACATTCTGAACCTGGTAAATTTTAGGCCATATATAGTTTGCTTAGGTCTCATATTGCTAAGATATGAATTAATTATCAACATAGTAGGCCATTCATCATAAAGATCAGAAGACTCTAAGTTCACCTTGCTTGAGAACTCAGCCTAACTGAGGGGATACACATTAAATTGTGACTAACCAGCAAAATATGAGCATTTCCCTTGAGACATTTTAAATGTGTGAAATGGAGTGGGACTTAGGTGGAATGAAGGACAAATAAAAACAAATAGCAAGAAAAAAGAAGATAGAAAAGATAAAAGTTGCATTATTAGTTTGGTAAAGTCAAACTTTTCTGATCACAGTGGTGTGAAACTAAAAATCAATAACAGGAGGAAAAGTGGAAAATTCATACATGTGTGCAAACTAAACAACACATTCCTAAAGAATAAGTCAGTCAAAGAGGAAATTAAAAGGGAAGTAAAAAAATACAGAGAGACAAATGAAAATGGAAGCATAAGATGCCTAAATTTATGGAATGCAGCAAAAGTAGTTCTAAGATGTGATAAACTTCTACATGAGGTAAAAACAAATATCTCAAATAAACAATCTAAATTTACACCTAAAAGAACTAGAAAAAAATAAAGTCCAAATTCAGCAGAAAAACAAAATAAAAATAATCAGAGTAGAAATAAATGAAATAGAGACTCCAAAGAAATCAATATAAAAGATCAATGAAAGTAAGAGGTGGTTTTTAAAAGATAAAATCAGTAAACTTTAGCTAGACTAAGAAAAAAAGAGAAATAAATAAAATTGTAAAATGAAGAAGAGACATTACAACTTATACCACAGAAATAAAATGATCATAAGAGTCTAATAGGAACAATTATACAGCAAAAACTGGATAACATAGAAGAAATGGATACATTTCTAGAAAGATATAAGCTTCCAAGACTGAATCATGAAGAAACAGAAAATCTGAACAGACCAATAATAAATAAAAAGATTGATTCAGTAATCAAAAATCTTCCAACAAAGAAAAGCACAGGACTCAACAGCTTCACTGGTGAATTCTACCAAATTTTTAACAACAACAACAACAACAACAAAACACTAATCCTTCTCAAATTGAGGAGGAGGGAACATTTTCAGACTTATTTTATGAGGCTGGCATTACCCTAACACCAAAACCAGAAAAGGGCACTACAAGAAAAGAAAGTTTGGCTGGGCATGGTGGCTCATGTCTGTAATCTAGGCAATTTGGGAGGCTGAGGTGGGTGGATCACTTGAGCCCAGGAATTCGAGACCAGCCTGGCCAACAGGGTGAAACCCCGTCTCTAATAAAAATACAAAAATTAGCTGTGTGTGGTGGCGCATGCCTGTAGTCCCAGGTACTTGGGAGGCTGAGGCATGAGAATCACTTGAACCTAGGAGACAGAGGTTGCAGTGAGCTCAAATCATGCCACTGCACTCTAGCCTGGGTGACAGAGCAAGACTATGTGAAAAGAAAGAAAGAAAGAGAGAGAGAGAAAGAGAGGGAGGGAGGGAGGGAGGAAGGAAGGAAGGAAGGAAGGAAGGAAGGAAGGAAGGAAGGAAGGAAGGAAGGAAGGAAGGAAAGTAAGTTTACACGCCAGTTTTTCTGATAAGCATAGAAGCAAAAATTCTCAATGAAGTACTGGTAAAGTGAATTCAACAGCAGATGAGGAGGATTACACATGATTAAGTAGGATTTATCCCTGATGCTTCAACTTGCCCAAACCAATCAATGTGACACACCACATCAACAGAATGAAGGATAAAAACTCTACAATCATCTAAATAGATGCAGAAAAAGCATTTGAGAAAATTCAATATCCTTTTAAGATAAAAACTCTCAGCAAATTAGGCATAGAAAAATGTATCTCAAAATAATAAAGGCCATATATGACAAACCCACAGCTAACTTAGAAAATGTAAAAAAATAAGTTTTATCTCCAAGATCAAGAATAAGACAAGGATGCTCACTCTTACCACTTTTATTCAATATAGTACAAGAGTTCTTAGCCAGAGAATATAGTCAATAAAAAATTAAAAGATATCCAAATCAGAGAGGAGGAAGTAAAATTGTATCTGTTTGCTAATGACATGATCTTATAAATAGAAAACCCTAAAGAATCTACCAAAAATAATCCATTAGAACTAACAAACAAATTCAGTAAAATTGTAGGATACAAAATCGACGTATGGAAATTAGTAGTGTTTCTACACACTAACAATGAACAATCCAAAAAAGAAATCAAGGAAACAATCTCTCATTACATCTATTTAGTCCTATTTAATGCAACAGAATCAAAAAATTCTTAGGAATAAATTTAACGAAGGAGGTAGAAGATCTGTACACTGGAAACTATAAAATATTTGCAAAATCCATTGAAGAAGATATAAATAAATGGAAATATATCTGATGTTTATGAATCCTAGAATTAATATTGTTAAAATATTCATAATGTCCAAACAGATCTACAGATTCATGTATTTCTATCAAAACTCCAATGGCATTTTTCAGAAGATGCTCGAAAATTATCACAAGCATCATTATTTGGTTAAATATTCACTAAGTATCTTCTCTGTGCTAGTTTTGGAAAATAAGGCAATGTAAAATGGGGTATCTTCTGTGACGGAACTGAAAATCTGGTTGAACAAACATTGCACATACATAAAGATATTAATTACAATGCAAGAAACTGGATGCTGTGAGTAAAAGAGCGTAATGGGCAATAAACGCCATTGGGAGGTCAAAGAAGGAATAATTCAGGAAGTCAAAGATGATTTGTGAATGCTTACGAGAGAAGAAAGGGGGGTAGGAGCTAAGCACAAAAACAAGTAGAAAATACTAGTCTACATTTTAAAATTTATCTGGTGTGTATATATTTATTTGAATTTAACACATAAAACTATGCTGCCACGTCTATCCCATTCTTTTTTCTCTTATTGAGATATAATTCATAAGACATAATATGTATTATTTTAAAATGTACAATACACAGTTATTAGTATATTCACAAATTTGTTCAACTCTCACTAGTATCTATCTCTGATCATTTCCTTACCCTCCCCCACATATCCTATATTAGCAGTTTTTTCTCATTCTCCCTCTCCCCAGTCACTAGCAACCACTAATCTATTTTCTGTCACTATAGATTTGCCTATTGTAGGCATTTCAAAAAATTGAATCATACTATATGTGGTCTTTTGGAGCTGATTTATTTCACTTAGCATAATGTTTTCATAATGTTTTGCATATGTGGTGCAAAATGTATCAGTACCTCATTCCTTTTATGGCTGAATAATATTGCATTTGCATGGATATATCACATTTTATTTATCCATTCATCAGTTGAGCATTTTAGTTATTTCCACTTTATGGCAATTATGAATGATGCTATCTATGAACATTCATGAACCAATTTTTGTATGGATATATATTTTCAGTTCTCTAGAGTATATACCTAAAAGTGGGACATAAGGCACCTCTATGTTTAACTTGTGTAACTTTTTGAGGAACTATAAAGCTGTTTTCCAAAATGGCAATAGCATTATTCATTTACCACCAAAAATATATATGAATTCTAATTTTCCACATTCTCACCAGCACCTGCTGCTGATTGACGTTTTAAGAATAGACTTGCCTGTAGATACGAAGTGGTACCTTATTACATTATAGTTTTGATTTGCATTTCCCTGATGGCTCATGATGTTGAAAACCTTTTATGGGACTATTGACCTTTTGTGTGTCTTCTTCGGAGAAATGACTATTAAAATCTTTACCCATTTCTTTTAAAATTAATTATTATTTATTTAC
Source organism: Homo sapiens (assembly GCF_000001405.40). Taxonomy (NCBI): domain Eukaryota; kingdom Metazoa; phylum Chordata; class Mammalia; order Primates; family Hominidae; genus Homo; species Homo sapiens. The sequence goes on from NC_000023.11 coordinate 127,045,190, forward strand.
AAAAGATGTCACCTTTTTAAAAACAGAATTTATTTTTTGAATAGTTCAGATTCACAGCAAAATTGAGTGGAAAGTACAGAGTGTTCCCATATACTTAGCACCTCTACATATGCATAATCTGTCTCATTATCAACATCCTACCCCAGAGTAGAAGGTTTATTACAATCAGTAAATCTACACTGACACATCATCACCACCCAAAGTCCACATTTTATATTAGGGTCACTCTTAATGTTGTACATTCTATGATTTTGATACATGGATAATAATATGTTCACACCATTACAGCAACACAGAGTGGTATCACTGCCTTAATATTCCTCTGTGTTCTCCCTACTCACCCCTCCCTCCTCCTCACCCCTGGCCAACACTGAACTTTCTACTGTCTCCATAGTTTTGCCTATTATGGAATGTTATATAGTTGGAACACTACAATATGTAAACTTTTCAGATTGGCTTCTTTCACCTAGTAATATACATTGAAGATTCCTCAATGTCTTTTCATGACTTGATAGCTCATTTATTTTTAGTGCTTAATAATATTCCGGCTGGGCAAGATGAGTCACTCCCGTAATCCCAGCACTTTGGGAGGCCTAGGCGGGAGGATCACTTGAGGCCAGTAGTTCAAGACCAGCCTGGCCAAAATGGTGAAACCCCGTCTCTACTAAAAATACAAAAATTAACCAGGCATGGTGACACAGGCCTGTAGTTCCAGCTACTCAGGAGGCTGAGGCAAGAGAATCCCTTGAAGGTGGAGGAGGAGGTGGAGGTTGCAGTGAGCCAAGATTGCACCACTGCACTCCAGCCTGAACAACAGAGCTAGACTGAGTCTAAAAAAATATATATTCCCTTGTCTGTATGTACCATAGCGTACTTATTCATTTGTCTACTGAAGCACATCTTGGTTGCTTCCACAGTTTGGCAATTATGAATAAAGCTGCCGTATATATCTGTGTACAGGTTTTTGTGTGGATATATATTTTTAACTCCTTTAAACATATATCAAAAATTATAATTGCTGCATCCTTTATTAAGAGTATGCTTAGTTATGTAAGAAACTGCCATACTGTCTTCCAAGGTGGCTATACCATTTTGCATTCCCACCAGCAATGAATGAGAATTCCTGTTCCTCCTAATTCTTTCCAGAATTTGTTGTTGTCAGTGTTTTGGATTTTCGTCATTCTAATAGATTGTGTAGTGGTATCTCATTGTTGGGGATTTTTTTTTTTTTTGCAATTCTTTAATGGCATATTTAAAACAAGTACATATTAAAAATATTGGACATCTTTTAATATGTTTACTTGTTATGTATATATCTTCTTTGGGGAGGTGTCCGTTGAGATATTTCATCTATTTATTAATTTGCTTGTTCTTTTTTATTGTTGAGTGTTAGGTGTTCTTTGTGTACTTTGGATGTCTTTTCCTCTTTAAAAATTTTGTTATTCATCACTTTTGATTGATTTGTGTTGTTTATATGTTTTGGATACTAGACTTTTATACATTTTCTGATTCTATGCATTGTCTTTTTACTTTCTTGATAATATCCTTTGATGCACAAAAGTTTGTAATTTTGAAGAGTTCTAAATTATCTATATTTTCTCTTGTTGCTTGTGCTTTATGTATGATATATAAGAAACCATTGCCTAATCTAAAATAATGAAAACTTACCTCCATGTTATCTTCTAAGTTTTAGCTCTTACATTTATGTCTTTGATCTACTTTCAGTTAATATTTGTATATGATTTGAGTTAAGGGTTCAAACTCAAAGTTTTGCATGTGGATATTCATTTGTCCCTGCATCATTTGTTGAAAAGACTATTTATTCTCTCATTGAAGAGTCTTGGCAACCTTGTTGAAAATCAATTAAACATAAATGCATAGGTTTCTTTCTCTATCCTCAATTCTATTTCATTGATCTTTATGTCTACTCTTTTGCCTGCACAACACATATTTTTTTTACTGTAACTTTGTGGCAACTCTTGAAATTGGAAAGTAGGAGCCCTTGAAATTTGCTCCTCTTTCTCAGCATTATTTTTGATATTTTCAGTCCCTATTTGGAGAGTTTATTCTGGGTTCTATATGAATTTCAGCATTACCATGTGAATTTCTGTAAAAAATCTAGTGTGGATTATAATAGGCTTTGCAATGAATCTATAGATAAATTTGGAATGCATTGCCATGTTAACACTATTAAGTCTCCCTATCCAATAACACAGAACTTTTTTTTGTTTATTCACATTTCCTTCAATTTATTTCAATGATATCTTACTGTTTAACTTGTACAAGTCTTTTACTTTTTGATTAAATTTATGCCTAAGTATTTCATTGTTCTTGTGCTATCAAAAATGGTATTGTTTTCTTAATTTCATTTTCTGATTGTTCACTGCTAGTAATTTTGGGTACTGATCTTGTACCCTGCAACCTTGCTCACCTTGTTCATTGGCTCTAATATTTCTTTGGTGAATTCATTTGGATTTTCTATATACAAGATTATATTACCTTCCAGTAGAGAGCTTAACATTTTTCCCAGTCTTTACATTTCATTAAAACTAAAAGTTTCTAGCTGAAACTTCCACTACAATATAGAATGGAAGTGGTAAAAGCAGACATTCTTGCCTTGTTGCTGAAGTTAGGGGGAAACCCTTTGTAATTATTAAATAGCTGTTAGCTGTATGTTTTTCAAATGTTTTAAAAAATCAGGTTGAAATAAGGAAGTTCCCATTCATACCTAGTATTGAGAGTTATCATAAAAGGATGTTGATTTTCTTCCCAATGTTTTGTGTGGCTATTGAGATGATCATGTTTTTTATTAATACCATACTGTATATTGATTTACTTTTATATGTTGAACCAACTTTACATTCTTGGAATAAATACCATGTGTTTCTTCATGGTATATATTTCTTTTTATATGTTGCTGGATTTGTTTTGTTAGTGTTTTCTTAGAATTGTTATATTTATATTTATGAAGGACATTGGTCTATAAATGTGTTATCTTGTAATGTTTTTGTCTGATTTTGATATCTGAGTAATACTGACTTTATAGAATGACTTGAGATGTGGTCCTACCTGTTCTATTTTCTGAAACAAGTTTGAAAAGAGCTGGAGTTAATTTTTTGCTTACCGTTTAGTAGAATTTACTAGTAAAGGCATCTGGTCCTGGGCTTTTCTTTGTGGGAAGTGTTTTGACTACTATTTTAATTTAATTGCTTGTTATTCTATTCAGATGTTCTTGTTCTTCTTGAGTCAGTTTTAGTAGTTTGTGTTTGTGTAGGAATTTTTACATTTCATTAAGGCTAACTTATTGGCATACAATTCTTCATAGTATTCTACATAATACTGTTATGTATATAAGAGCTGTAGGAATGTCATTGCCTTCACTGCTGATTTTATGAATTTGAGCCCTTACTCTTTCTTTCTTGTTAATCAGGCTAAAGACTTGTCAGTTTTGTTGATCTTTTCAAAGAACAACTTTAGATTTTGCTGATTTCCTGTTTTTTTTTTTAATTATCTATGCCATTTATTTCTGCTCTAGCATTTATTATTTTTCTTTTTCTGCTTGCTTTCTGTATAGCTTGCTCTCCTTTCTCTAATTATGGTGGGCATTTACATTACTGATTTAAAGCTTTATTTTATAACACAGGCATTTAAAGGTTTAATTTTTTTCTCTTAGCATTGCTTTAGCTGCAACCCATCGACTGGGGTATACTGTGTTTCATGTTCATTCATTTCTAGTATTTTCTAATTTTTCTTGTGATTTCTTTCTCAAGTTATTTAAACTTGATTTTAAAATAATTGTCCATAACTTGTCAATTTCACAAATTTTCTCCAGTTACTGATTCTAATTTTATTCATTTTAGTCAGAAAATTATTTTGTATTATTTTAATCTTTTAAATTTATTTAAACTTTCTTTAGAGCATAACATATGGTCAAACACTGGGAATGTTCCATGAGAACTTGAGAAGAATGTGTAGTCTGTCTTTGAGTAGAATAATCTAAAAATGTCTATTAGGTCTAGTTTTTTTGTACTAAAGTCTCCTATTTAGTTCTTTATCTTCCATCTAGTTGGGGTTTTTATTATTAAAATTAAGGTATTGAAGTGTCTAACAATTATTATTATTATTATTTTGAGATGGAGTTTCCCTGTTGTTGCCCAGGCTGGAGTGCAATGGTGCGATCTCCACTCACTGCAACCCCTGGCTCCTGGGTTCAAGCGATTCTCCTGCCTCAGCCTCCCGAGTAGCTGGGATTACAGATGCCCACCACCACACCTGGCTAAATTTTTTGTATTTTTAGTAGAGACGGGGTTTCACCATGTTGGCCAGGCTGGTCTTGCACTCCTGACCTCAGGTGATCCACCCACCTCGGCCTCCCAAAGTGCTGGGATTACAGGCGTGAGCCACCGCGCCTGGCCTAACTATTATTATTTAGTTGCTTATTTCTTCTTCTATGTCTGCTAGTTTTTGTTTTCAGTATTTTGAGGTTCTGTCGCTGGCTGCACATATGTTTGTAACTTTTGTATGGATCGACTATCTGCTACCAAGTTTTGACCTAAACACTATTTTTTTATATTAAGGTGGTCATTATAGCCCCTTTTGTTACTGTTTGCATTGTATATTTTGCTATTCTTTTACTTTTAATATATTTGTGACTTTGAATCTAAAATATGTCTCTTTATAATCTTTGCTCTAAGTCCTTTATATCAGATAGGAGAAAAAGAGTTTTGCAAACTAAAAATATATTCATACTGTTATCTGTATTTACTTATGCAGTTACCTATAGCAATATTCTGTATTTCCTTACATAGATTCATTTTACTTTCTTGTACACTTTCATTTGATTCTGAAATACTCCTTTTACAATTATTCATCAAGCACATGTTTTAACAACACATTTTCTCAGTTTTTGTTTATCTGGAAATGTTTTCATTTCTCTTTATTTTTTTAAAAGGATACTTTTGCTAGATATAGAATTCTTGTTTTTTTAGCACTTTGAATATGTTATTGTACTATCTTTTCAAATTCAAAATTTCTCTATGGCTTTTTATTGAATGAAATTTCTATATTTTTGATATTATCTATTTGAGAAGACATTCTTCTCAGACTTTGTTTTTATTTCTTTAGACATAGTTTTCTTTTGTTCCCTGCACATATTTAAAGTAATCGTTTTAAAATCTTGTCTCTACATTCATATCTGGTCTTCCTCAGAGAAAGTTTCTATTCACCATTTTATTTCCCATGCATAGATCATGCATTCTTGTTTCTTTGCATTTTGTGTAATTTTTTTGATAACTAGATATTTTATATAAAGTAGCAACACTAGAAATCAGATTCTCTACTTCTTAAGGTTTTATTGTTGCTTCTGTTTACTGATTTTGCTATTCATCTGTTTAAGTGACCTGGCTGAACTAATTTTTAAATTCTGTATTCTTTGTATTGTCTGGCCACTACAATCTCTATTCAGATAGCTTCGTGGTCAGCTAATGATTGAACAGATAGTTTCTTAACTGCATGGAACCAGTAAGTCTCTGTCTTTGCTGATGGGCTCCATATGCATACTGGAACATATCTTTAGTACTCAGCCAAATTGGGTGCTTTCACTGTTCTTCTGGAGATTTGGCTGTTATTTATTTATTTATAATTATTATTATACTTAAAGTTCTAGGGTACATGTGAACAATGTGCAGATTTGTTACATATGTATACATGTGCCACGTTGGTATGCTGCACCCATTAAATCATCATTTACATTAGGTATTTCTCCTAATGCTATCCCTCCCCGCTTCCCCCCACCCCACAACAGGCCCTGGTGTGTGATGTTCCCCACCCTGTGTCCATGTGATCTCATTGTTCAATTCCCGCCTATAAGTGAGAACATGCAGTGTTTGGTTTTCTGTCCTTGTGATAGTTTGCTCAGAATGATGGTTTCCAGCTTCATCCATGTCCCTACAAAGGACATGAACTCATCCTTTTTTATGGCAGCATAGTATTCCATGGTGTATTTGTGCCACATTTTCTTAATCCAGCCTATCATTGATGGACATTTGGGTTGGTTCCAAGACTTTGCTATTGTGAATAGTGCCGCAATAAACATACATGTGCATGTGTCTTTATAGTAGCATGATTTATAATCATTTTGGTATATACCCAGTAATGAGATCGCTGGGTTAAATGGTATTTCTAGTTCTAGATCCTTGAGGAATCGCCACACTGTCTTCCACAATGGTTGGACTAGTTTACACTAACATCAACAGTGTAAAAGTGTTCCTATTTCTCCACATCCTCTGCAGCACCTGTTGTTTCCTGACTTTTTAATGATTGCCATTCTAACTGGTGTGAGCTGGTATCTCATTGTGGTTTTGATTTGCATTTCTCTGATGACCAGTGATGATGACCATTTTTTCGTGTGTCTGTTGGCTGCATAAATGTCTTCTTTTGAGAAGTGTCTGTTCATATGCTTTGCCCAATTTTTGATGGGGTTGATTTTTTCTTGGAAATTTGTTTATGTTCTTTGTAGATTCTAGATATTAGCCCTTTGTCAGATGAGTAGATTGCAAAAATTTTCTCCCATTCTGTAGGTTGCCTGTTCGCTCTGATGATAGTTTCTTTTGCTGTGCAGAAGCTCTTTAGTTTAATTAGATTCCCTTTGTCAATTTTGGCTTTTGTTGCCATTGTTTTTGGTGTTTTAATCATGAAGTCCTTGCCCATGCCTATGTCCTGAAGGGTATTGCCTAGGTTTTCTTCTAGGGTTTTTATGGTTTTAGGTCTAACATGTAAGTCTTTAAACCATCTTGAATTAATTTTTGTATAAGGTGTAAGGAAGGGTTCTAGTTTCAGCTTTCTACATATGGCTAGCCAGTTTTCCCAGCACCATTTATTAAATAGGGAATCCTTACCCCATTTCTTGTTTTTGTCAGGATTGTTAAAGGTCAGATGGCTGTAGATGTGTGGTATTATTTCTGAGGGCTCTGTTCTGTTCCATTGGTCTATATCTCTGTTTTGGTACCAGTACCATGCTGTTTTGGTTACTGTAGCCTTGTAGTATAGTTTGAAGTCAGGTAGCATGATGCCTCCAGCTTTGTCCTTTTGGCTTAGGATTCTCTTTGCAATGTGGGCTCTTTTTTGGTTCCATATGAACTTTAAAGTAGTTTTTTCCAATTCTGTGAAGAAAGTCATTGGTAGCTTGATGGGGATGGCATTGAATCTATAAATTACATTGGGCAGTATGGCCATTTTCACGATATTGATTCTTCCTATCCATGAGCATGAAATGTTCTTCCATTTGTTTGTGTCCTCTTTTATTTTGTTGACAAGTGGTTTGTAGCTCTCCTTGAAGAGGTCCTTCACATCCCTTGTAAGTTGGATTCCTGGTATGTTATTCTCTTTGAAGCAATTGTGAATGGGAGTTCACTCATGATTTGGCTCTCTGTTTGTCTGTTATTGGTGTATAGGAATACTTGTGATTTTTCCACATTGACTTTGCATTCGGAGACTTTGCTGAAGTTGCTTATCAGCTTAAGGAGATTTTGGGCTGAGATGATGGGATTTTCTAAATATACAATCTTGTCACCTGAAAACAGGAACAATTTGACTTCCTCTTTTCCTAATTGAATACCCTTTATTATTTTCTCCTGCTTGATTGCCCTGGCCAGAACTTCCAACACTATGTTGAATAGGAGTGGTGAGAGAGGGCATCCCTGTCTTGCACCAGGTTTCAAACAGAATGCTTCCAGTTTTTGCCCATTCAGTATGATATTGGCTGTGGGTTTGTCATAAATAGCTCTTATTATTTTGAGATACGTCCCATCAACAACTAGTTTATTGAGAGTTTTTAGCATGAAGGGCTGTTGAATTTTGTCAAAGGCCTTTTCTGCAGCTATTGAAATAATCATGTGGTTTTTGTCTTTGGCTCTGTTTATATGATGGATTACATTTACTGATTTGCATATGTTGAACCAGCCTTGCATCCCAGGGATGAAGCCAACTTGATCATGGTGGATAAGCTTTTTGATGTGCTGCTGGATTCGGTTTGCCAGTACTTTATTGAGGATTTTTGCATCGATGTTCATCATGGATATTGGTGGAAAATTCTCATTTTTTCTTGTGTCTCTGCCAGGCTTTGGTATTAGGATAATGCTAGCATCATAGAATGAGTTAGGGAGGATTTCCTCTTTTTCTATTGATTGGAATAGTTTCAGAAGGAATGGTACCAGCTCCGCTTTGTACCTCTGGTAGAATTCGGCTGTGAATCCATCTGGTACTGGACATTTTTGGTTGGTAAGCCATTAATTATTGCCTCAATTTCAGAGCCTGTTATCTGTCTATTCAGGTATTCAACTTCTTCCTGGTTTAGTCTTGGGAGGGTGTATGTGTCCAGAAATTTATCCATTTTTCCTAGATTTTCTAGTTTATTTGTGTAGAGGTGTTTATAGTATTCTCTGATGGTAGTTTGTATTTCTGTGGGATTGGTGGTGATATCCCCTTTATCATTTTTTATTGCTTCTATTTGATTCTTCTCTCTTTTCTTCTTCATTAGTCTTGCTAGTGGTCTGTGTATTTTGTTGATCTTTTCAAAAAACCAGCTCCTGGATTCATTGATTTTTTGAAGGCTTTTTTGGTGTCTCTATCTCCTTCAGTTCTGCTTTGATCTAATTTCGTGCCTTCTGCTAGCTTTTAATGTGTTTGCTCTTGCTTCTCTAGTTCTTTTAATTGTGATGTTAGGGTGTTGATTTTAGATCGCTCCTGCTTTCTCTTGTGGGCATTTAGTGCTATAAATTTCCCTCTACACACTGCTTTAAATGTGTCCCAGAGATTCTGGTATGTTGTATCTTTGTTCTCATTGGTTTCAAGAATATCTTTATTTCTGCCTTCATTTCGTTATGTACTCAGTAGTCATTTAGGAGCAGATTGTTCAGTTTCCACGTAGTTGTGCGGTTTTGAGTGAGTTTCTTAATCCTGAATTCTAATTTGATTGCACTGTGGTCTGAGAGACAGTTTGTAATGATTCGTGTTCTTTTACATTTGCTGAGTAGTGTTTGCTTCCAACTATGTGGTCGATTATGGAAGAAGTGAGATGTGGTGCTAGAAGAATGTATATTCTGTTGATTTGGGGTGGAGAATTCTGTAGATGTCTATTAGGTCCAATTGGTGCAGAGCTGAGTTCAAGTCCTGGATATCCTTGTTAACTTTCTGTCTCATTGATTTGTCTAATGTGGAGAGTGGGGTATTAAAGTCTCCCATTATTATTGTGTGGGAGTCTAAGTCTCTTTGTAGGTCTCTAAGGACTTGCTTTATGAATCTGGGTGCTCCTGTATTGGGTGCATATATATTTAGCATAGTTAGATCTTCTTGTTGAATTGATCCCTTTACCATTATGTAATGGCCTTTTTGTCTCTTTTGATCTTTATTGGTTTAAATGTGTTTTATCAGAGACTAGGATTGCAAACCCTGCTTTTTTTTGTTTTCCATTTGCTTGGTAGATCTTCCTCCATCCCTTTATTTTGAATCTATGTCTCTGCACGTGAGATGGGTCTCCTGAATAGAGCACACTGATGGGTCTTGACTCTTTATCCAATTTGCCAGTCTGTGCTTTTAATTGGGGCATTTAACCCATTTATATTTAAGGTTAATATTGTTATGTGGGAATTTGACCCTGTCATTATGATATCAGCTGGTTATTTTCCTCGTTAGTTGCGGTTTCTTCCTAGCATCGATGGTCTTTCCAATTTGGCATGTTTTTGCGGTGGCTAGTACCGGTTGGTCCTTTCTATGTTTATTGCTTCCTTCAGGAGCTCTTGTAAGGCAGGCCTGGTGGTAACAAAATCTCTCAGCATTTGCTTGTCTGTAAAGGATTTTATTTCTCCTTCACTTATGAAGCTTAGTTTGGCTGGATATGAAATTCTGGGTTGAAAATTCTTTTCTTTAAAAAGGTTGAATATTGGCCCCCACTCTATTCTGACTTGTAGAGTTTCTGCTGCGAGATCGCTGTTAGTCTGATGGGCTTCCCTTTGGGTGTAACCCAGCCTTTCTCTTTGGCTGCCCTTAACATTTTTTCCTTCATTTCAAGCTTGGTGAATCTGACAATTATGTTTCTTGGAGTTGCTCTTTTCAAGGAGTATCTTTGTGGCATTCTCTGTATTTCCTGAATTTGAATGTTGGCCTGCCTTGCCAGGTTGGGGAAGTTCTCCTGGATGATACCCTGAAGAGTGTTTTCCAAATGGGTTCCATTCTCCCCGTCACTTTCAGGTACACCAATCAAACGTAGATTTGGTCTTTTCACACGGTCCCATATTTCCTGGAGGCTTTTTTCATTTCTTTTTACTCTTTTTTCTCTAAACTTCTCTTCTTGCTTCATTTCATTTATTTGATCTTCAATCACTGATACCCTTTCTTCCACTTGATCGAATCAGCTACTGAAGCTTGTGAATGCATCAGGTAGTTCTCGTCCCATGATTTTGAGCTCCATCAGGCCATTTAAGGTCTTCTTTACACTGTTTATGCTAGTTAGCCATTCGTCTAGTCTTTTTTCAAGGTTTTTAGCTTCCTTGCGATGAGTTCAAACATCCTCCTTTAGCTCAGACAAGTTCGTTATTACCGATCTTCTGAAGCCTACTTCTGTCAACTCGTCAAGGTCACTCTCTGTCCAGCCTTGTTCCATTGCTGGTGAGGAGCTGTGATCCTTTGGAGGAGAAGAGGTGCTCTGGTTTTTAGAATTTTCAGCTTTTCTGCTCTGGTTTCTCTCCATCTTTGTGGTTTCATCTACCTTTGGTTTTTGACATTGGTGACTTACAGATGGGGTTTTGGTGTGGATGTCCTTTTTGTTGATGTTGATGCTATTCCTTTCTGTTTGTTAGTTTTCCTTCTAACAGTCAGGATCCTCAGCTGCAGATCTGTTGGACTTTGCTGGAGTTCAACTCCAGACCCTGTTTGCCTGGGTATCACCAGTGGAGGCTGTAGAACAGCAAATATTGCAGAACAGCAAATGTTGCTGCCTGATCCGTCCTCTGGAAGCTTCACCTCAGAAGGGCTCCCAGCTGTATGAAGTGTCAGTTAGCCCCTACTGGGAGGCATCTCCCAGTTAGGCTACTCAGGGGTCAGGGACCCACTTGAGGAGGCAGTCTGTCCATTCTCACATCTCCCATTCTGGGAGAACCATGGCTCTCTTCAAAGCTGTCAGACAGGGATGTTTAAGTCTGCAGAAGTTTCTGCTGCCTTTTGTTCAGCTATGCCCTGCCCCCAGAGGTGGAGTCTACAGAGGCAGGCAGGCCTCATTGAGCTGCAGTGGGCTCCACCCAGTTCGAGCTTCCAGGCCACTTTGTTTACCTAGTCAAGCCTCAGCAATGGTGGATGTCCCTACCCCAGCCTTGCTGCTGCCTCACAGTTTGATCTCGGACTACTGTGCTAGCAGTGAGCAAGGCTCCATGGGCATTGGACCTGCTGAGCCACGCACGGGATATAATCTCCTGGTTTGCTGTTGGCTGAGACCATTGGAATAGCACAGTATTAGGGTGGGAGTGTCCCAATTTTTCATCTGTTGCAGCTTCCCTTGGCTAGGAAAGGGAATTCCCCAACCCCTTGTGCTTCCCAGATGAGGCAATTCCCTGCCCTGCTTCGGCTCACACTCTGTGGGCTGAACCCACTCTCTAACCAGTCCCAATGAGATGAACCCTGTATCTCAGTTGGAAATGCAGAAATCACCCGTCTTCTGCATCACTCATGCTGGGAGCTGTAGACTGGAGCTCTTCCTATTTGGCCATCTTGGCTGCCTTTTGATTTTCTGTTTTTTCTTAAATGTTCTCCAGATTGTTGCAACCCTTTGGTAATTTTTAATGATAGTTGAAAAATTTGGCCATAGCTCTTACTTTCTGTTTATACAGAGCCTTAAGCTCAGTCAGGGGTAAGACTTTAGGTCATTCTCAGATCTACCCTGGATATGCTGGATGTCTTGTGGATATCCTGGATATTTCTGGGTGTGCATATAGCCCCATACATACACATGGCCTTTTAGTTTCTGAAGGATATGTTAGAGAATTTGGAAGGCCCCTGTAGGCATCTCATTTTCTAAGTTTTTCTTTTTAGCTGTTTTATGTGATTGCTGTTTGCTCCCACTGTTATCTCCACTTGAAGAAGCTATGATATTAAGTAATTTCTTCCAATGTTTATTTTTATGTGTCAATTTGGGTTAAAAGATGCCCAAATAGCTGGTAAAACATTGTCTACTGTGTCTATGAGTGTGTTTCAGGAAAAGATTAGCATTTTAATCAACAGAAAGAGTAAAGAAGATTGCCATCACCAATGTTGGGAAAGTTAATGGGCATCATCCAATTCATTCAGGACCCAAATAGAACAAAAAGGTAGAGGAATGGTAAACTCCTTTTGTCTGTTTGAGGTAAGACATCTATTTTCTGCTCTCAGATAAACTGTGTTCCTGGTTCTCAGGCCTTCAAACTTAAGACTAGGAATTATACCATTGTCCCCTCATCCTCCAGAGTTCCCCCCACATTCTCAACCATTTGGACTCAGACTGAATTACACCACTGTCTTTTCTAGTTTTCTAGTTCTCCAGCTTGCAGAGGGAAGACTGTGGGACTTCTGGGCCTTCATAATCACATGAACCAATTTCTTTACTCTCTCTCACTCTCTCTCTCTCCATACATCTCCATACACACACATATATAGATAAATAGATGCTTCAAAATTTACAGTGGGGTAGTATTCTGATAAACCCATTGTACACTGAAAATATTGTAAGTTGAAATACATTTAACACACCAAACATACCAAATATCACAGCTTAGCCTAGCCTGCTATGAACATGTACAGAGCACTTATATTAGCCTACAGTTGGACAAAATCATCTGCCAGCACAGTACACTGTAGATTATCAGTTGTTTACCTTCCTGATCATGTGGCTGACTCGGAGCTATGGCTTGCTGCCACTACCCAGCATTGCAAGAGAATATTGTGTCACATATTGCTAGCCCATGAAAAAAATAAAAAATCAAAATTCAAAGTACAGTTTCTACTGAACTTATATTGCTTATGCAACATCATAAAGTTTAAAAATCATAAGTTGAACCATCATGAGTTAGAGACAATCTGTGTGTGTGTATGTGCACACGCACATGTATGCCATTATATATACTATTGGTTCTGTTTCTCTGGAGAACCGTGACCAGTACACTGCTGAATATCTTGACAAACAGCTTTAGAAAGTTGGTCATGCTGGTTGAGCTCTGAGTCAGGCCAAATAAAAATAAGACTTGTGAGTGAGAGTTTCCAGGGACCTGCCAGAAAGGTCAAATGATGGCAATTATTTGAAACCAGGCTCTTGAAAGAGCTTCAACATATTCTGATTCCTACAGTATCCCTAGGCTGCTGGTTTTGACTGTGATTTCACAATTTATTTTTTTAATTTAATTTTTTAAATATTTTGTTTAATGGATCATGATTTTTGTGTTGTGTCTAAACTCTCATTGTCAAACCTAAGGTTACCTAGATTTTCTCCTGTTATCTCTAGAAGTTTTATAGTTTGGTGTCATAGGTTTAGGTCTATGAACTATTTAGAATTTTTTGTTAAAAGGTTTAAATTTGGTGTCTGGATTCATTTTTTTCTTTTGCATGTGAATATCCACTTATCCCAGTACTATTAGTTGAAAAGGCTCTCCTTTCTCCATTGAATTGCCTTTAACTGAAGACCATTTGACTATATTAATGTGGGTCTCTTTTGAGAGTTCTATTATGTTTCATTAATATATTTTCTTTCACCAATACTACATCACCTTGATTACTGTGGATTTATAATAAGTTATAAAATTGGATAGCATCTGTGCTCCAACTTGATTTTTCTTCTTTGATAATAACGTTGATAATTCTAGGTCTTTTGCCTTTATATATAAACTTTATAATCAATTTGTTGATATCCACTAAGTAAGTTGCTGGGATTTTTATCAAAGTGGCATTCAATCTGTAGATCAGTTTGGAAAGAAATTTTAACTTTGTGCAGTATTTATTCTTCATATCCATCAGCATATATTATATCTTCCAAGAATAATGTTTCTTTCATATGCTCTGATCTTATTTGTTGTATAGAAAAAAATCTTCAAATATCTGACACTATAGATAACCAGACACTTGCTTGTTACTCAAGATGATAGCTACAATATTTTGATTATTCACTGTATACAGTGTTGATGCTATTCAATAACAATGTTGAGAAACAGTAATCTAAGATATATTACCATGACTTACTCTAGTTTGACATCTAAATTAAACCAAGGCTTAGTTTGATAATTCAGTGAATATTAATATTGTCCAAGCATCCACTACATATTTAATGTGCAACACTATGGTTTTTTACTGCGTGATGTAGTGAACAAGAGTGTATCAGGCCAGTAAAACTAGGAAAGGTGTTTTTTTAGTCATCCAGAAAAAATGGTTATTCCTTGTTATTTAGTTTTTCATTGTAAGGGACAGAGGGTAAAACATTGCATTTTTCATTTGTGGAATGTGTAATGCTCATAATACCCTGACTCCCAGAGCATCCTGGAGATATTTAATAAAAATTACTGGAGAGACAGCAAAAGCTTTCTTTATATTCTTTCCAGACCGTATTATTAGGGAGCTATCAGTCGAATCATACCTAGCTACACTTTTGGTGGGATAGTAAGGCTGATTGTGAAAAAGTTAGAATATATTTTCATGGCCCAAGATTAGTAAGATTATTTAACAGAGAAATATTCCTCTAATCATTGATATCGGTACAGAAAGTTTGACATATGTCCACAGCACATAAGTTACTCCCATTAGCTTGAATACACACGAAGAAAAGTGCAAAGCTACTTTCCAGTTTTTCTATCCCTGCCCGTTTAATTGGGAGAGGAAAAATAAATTAATAATATTTTTCACTATTCAGAAGACATAGAAGGTCAGAGTCAGATAAAGGTTTAAGTGTCTATTAACTAAAATTAATTAGTTGGCAGTGCGTGGTGGCTCATGCCTGTAGTCCCAGCACTTCGAGAGGCAGGCGGGCGGATCACAAGGTCAGGAGACCGAGACCATCCTGGCTAACACTATGAAACCCCATCTCAACTAAAAATACAAAAAAAAAAAAAAAAAAAAAATAGCAGGGCGTAGTGGCAGGCGCCTGTATTCCCAGCTACTCGGGAGGCTGAGGCAGGAGAATGGCGGAAACCCAGGAGGCGGAGCTTGCAGTGAGCCGAGATCGTGCCACTGCACTCCAGCCTGGGTGACAGAGCAAGACTCTGTCTCAAAAAAAAAAAAAATTAGTTACTTGCATATATTCATAAAAATTTTCTGGTTAAATGTGTAAATACTCTTAGACACATGATGAAAGTGTTAGCACGTCCAGGATTTAGTAACGTGGTTATATATTCTTTGGTGTCATTGAGATAGAAATATAATTAGAAATTTTGTAACTGAAAGTAAAGAGTGTTAGCTGAATGCAATATTACAGTATTTAGGTATATACAGAGAAGATTAGGAGACTGCCTACGATATGTCTCAACTTTCTATCTCTCTCAGTAATTAAAATCTAGTTATTCAGCAATCACACTAAAGGTACAAGTTACTTTGAGCCCTTAGTATAATCAATGTATGTAGAATATAGTATAT
The DNA here is from genome assembly GCF_000001405.40 of Homo sapiens. NCBI lineage: Eukaryota > Metazoa > Chordata > Mammalia > Primates > Hominidae > Homo > Homo sapiens. The sequence continues at coordinate 127,060,823 of NC_000023.11, forward strand.
TCCAAGAATAAAACTCTATTACATACTATTCAGTTTACCTTTCTAAAGAAATGACTTCAGAAATGTGAGCATAATTCTTAAATTAAGTGAACACATTTTGTCCCTGTTTCAGTAGTTGAGTAAAAGTATGATCATGGCCAGCAATTCACTGACTATTAAAGAAGCTATAATAGTCCACTGGCTGAGCTATTCTTTTAACTAGCAAAATCTGACCTTTAAGTGGGTACTATCCTTTTAAATTGCTTTATCTTGTATTTTTGTAACACTGTTTTTTTTTTTTTTCTTGGCACACAATGACCCTTCTTCATTGAAAATCTCATATGCATTTCTTGGAAGATAGACAACAACGTTAATAGTAGAAATATAAAATTAATTTCAGTTATACAAACCAAAAGAGATATGGACCATAGTCATTAAAGAAGGATCTTGTTTGCTGGATTTATTATCTTTTGCTCCAAGCTCATTAAGAAAGAGTCCAGCAAAGGGCTAAGGTCTCAATTAATTTTAATGGGCATGACCAAGGTTTAATAGAGTATGTGTTTTAATTGCCTTGAGATTACGTTAAATTGTAGCCTTAGTTGGCTATTGATAGAAATGAGATTTTGATCAAGAGGGACAAAATACTTCTCTAAAAAAAATTGATAAAGCTGTTTACCTATGTAAAAGTGCATTGTTTTGCCTAGGAAATGTATTCATTAATATGAACTTCTAAAATAAACTACGAAAACTGGCCCAACACCAAATATTATATGATCAATTTTCAAATGCAGATGCTGATCCAAATATAGCAGGTGTTGAATACAAAAACCCATCTGCCATCACATTCTTCGTGACTATATAGGTAAATCATACAAGGCTCAGAATATCTGTGTCATGAATGGCAAGCCGTATAATTTAAAAACACTTTTAAATCCCTTTCTTGTAGCCTTCAATTATCAAACTAGCCAATCAAACATTTTGGTGGGACATGAGTGTTACTTTTTCAAAATGGAATTGGGTAAAATTAAAAAAAAAATTAAGAGGCTTGCAGTTTGGTTTAGGTAGTTTGGTCAGTTGCCAATAAAATGAATGCTGTAATGAATAAGTTCATCTTCAGGGCTATTGGCTAAGCAAAACTGCCTAAGCACTTTAGACATTTTGGAAAGCTAAACTTCTGTGAATAATAGAAAATGAAAACAATCTACTCATAGGAATATGATTTCATTCTCAGTAGATAAACAAATTAACTGTCATATAATTATTTTCAGTGAAAGGAAGAGCAGACCTATAGGAAAGACACTGGGGAAAGTTCTATATTTTCTAATAATTCATGATTTTCATTGCTAAAATGAGTTATTTAAAATTGTATTTAAATATCAAACGATATTATCTCAGTCGTTTAGAACACAGCAATAATGAGGCCAGTGTTGCCAGGGTTGTTTACTTATGTATGTGTGTGTCGGGCGGAGGGGGAGCTTATGGGTAAATTTAGTGTGTCAATCTGGTTAAGCTATGAGGCCCAGTTGTTCAAACACTTGTCTATATATTGCTGTGAAGCTATTTTTATATGTGATTACAATTTACAATCAGTTGACTTTAAAACAGATTACCATCCATAATGTGGGTAAGCTTTACTCAATCAGTTGAAGGCCTTAGGAACAAAGGATTTGGTTTTCCAAATAAGAAATTCTGACTCAAGTCTACAGATTGTAAATATTGTCTAAGTTTTCACCCTGCTGCCTGCGCTATGAATTTTGGACTCAATAATGCAACATCACCTTTTACTTGAATTTCTAGTCTGCTGGCCTGCCCTACAGATTTTAGGTTTGCTGGCCTCCATAATCACGTGATCATGTGAGCCAATTCCTTAAAATAAATCAGTTACAATAGAAAGATAATCGATAATAAATAGATACAGGTACATTAACATAGGTATGCATTTATCTTATTGATTCTGTTTCTCCAGAAACCCTGGCTGATACATGGGTTATGCTGACGTTGCCTTAGACCATGCTGTCTGTGACACGGTGAAACCCCGTCTCCACTAAAAATACAAAAAATTAGCCGGGCGTGATGGCGGGCGCCTGTAGTCCCAGCTACTCGGGGGGATGAGGCAGGAGAATGGCGTGAACCTGGGAGGTGGAGCTTGCAGTGAGCCGAGATCGCGCCACTGCACTCCAGCCTGGGCGACAGAGCGAGACTCCGTCTGAAAATAAATAAATAAATAAATAAGTAAATAAAATAAAAATAATCTCAAACTCCAATGTAAATACTTTTTTCTAATCATCATTTATGATCTCAACAAAGCTTAACATTCAATTTAGATGATTGACAGGTGATCTAGTAATTGAGAGAGCTAAATTTGGTGAGTGTCAGGAACACCTGTACCTGACCTCGCAGAAGTAAGGAAACACCTGCCTTGGGTTGTCTTAACTACTTATTATGTCTTCCACAATCGCTGGGACTTATTTTGAATTGACATTCGTATTCAACTTGCCTTGGCAAACCAGTACAAATATTAATTTGTTATCAGGCACTTTATATTCTGGGTGTGTGACTTCTCCAGGTAATGGCAAAATTAGTGCAATGGACTTGGATTATTTTGCACTAACTCTGACAACATCAAATGTGTCTGTCTACAGGGTGAGTGTTCCTTTTTGGTGCTCAGGCTGAGCTTGGTAATGACTATAAAATCAACACAGCTATTTATAAATGATATATGGAATTTAAAACTCTCTGTCAACTGCACTCAGGGAATGCAGAGTAGAATAGAGCTGCTCTGGAATTTAGTTCCTGCATGTCTTTATATGATGCCATATCAAGAAAAGGTATACAGAAACTCAGCAAATTTGGGAGAACTAAACTTTATTGCAGTCTTTCATATTTTTGTTTGACTCTTTTCTATGTTTATTTTAAAATATAATATATGCTTTAATTGTGAAATTTAGAACAATAGTAAATGTTAATGTGTAAATCTTTGAAAACAAGAAGAGGAAATAGAGTATTTGAAATTTTTGTTGGGTACAATTTATTTCTCCTCACAAAGGTCCTTCTCACTATCTGTTATTAAATGACCTGAATAGCATATATATCTGCTGGTCTGTATACCTTTAATTGTCTTCTTATATTTCATTATTGTATTTTTCTATGTATAATCAATACTAATGCAAGGTATATTAACTTGATATCTCTTGAGTCCATACATTGAGTGAAATAAGCAGTCAGTTTGCGGAAGGGAGAAGAGAATCAAGTAATTTTCTTAGTCAAAAGTCAAGCCAGTATCTTTTGGGAGAGTCTCCTTTCTGATACCTCAGAATAACAGTTGTTGAGAGTTTAAAAACTAGAGATTGCCAGGGTCTGAATTCTGGCTCCAACACTTATTAATTATATGTTCATAGACAAATTAATCACATTTTTTTTGCTTTGGTTTCTTTACCTATAAAATTATCATATATTAGCACTTACACCTTTATTGTGAAGATTATTTTGAGGATTAAATGGATGATATATGCAACACTCTTTGTTTAATACCTGATGTGTAGAGAGCTGAGTAACAGATGGTATCACTGTTATCCTCTCCTACTAGAACCTTGTGAAGTATCAGTATAGCAAAGAAAGAAGACACATGAAATGAGAAATACATTTCAAAATTAAACAATGCTTTCATCTTCACATATTTTTAGTTCTACCTTAAAACTTTATATGGTTAAATAGATGTATTAGTCAAGGTTGATTACATTTGATACTTTACCTTTTTTCTATATTAAAAATAATGCTATTATAATTTTGATTTCACTGGAGGTAATGAATAGTGTTAAATAAAATATTTTTAACACCCTTTGTGACTTTTCTTCAAAGACATATGACAGAAGCTGATACTGAATATGCCTGAAATCTATAAAAGTTGCAAATGCTACCTATGGATTAGGCAAAAATAAACTGGTTCATAATATCCCTGAACTTCAAAATTAAAGGGTTCATTTTGGAAAACTCAGTAGTGGTTCTTTTTTTTTTTTTTTTCTGTATGAGACAGGAGTCACACTGTCATTCAGGCTGCAGTGCAGTAGTATGATCTCGGCTCAATGCAACTTCCACCTCCCAGGGTTCAAACAATCCTCCCACCTCAGCCTCCCGAGTAGCTGGGACCACAGGTACACACCACCATGTCAGGCTAATTTTTTGTATTTTTGCTAGAGATGGGGTTTTGCCGTGTTTGCCAGGCTGGTCTCAAACTCCTGACCTCAGGCAACCTACCCACCTTGGCCTCCCAAAGTGCTGAGATTACAGGTGTGAGCCACCATGCCCTGGCAATAGTTGACCTATTTTATACAGCAAATATTAAATCGATGAAACTTACTATCCAAAGAGAACTCACAGAATAGGAATATATATTTACTCTGAATTGTTTAGTAAATTTATAGATTGTAAAGACAAAATAACATCCGTTAAAAAACTAGAATTGTGTGAAAGAAACATATGCTCTCCCCAACATGACTTTCCAGAGCTTTAGTCAAAATCTTTATGAACAATGATGAAGACACAGTATATCCACAGTGAATATGGTGTTTTTAGAAGCTCACAGTATTTTTGAATTTTCTTATTTACTGGAATACTTTTGGTAAAATAACAAATAGCTCCTTTGGAAATAGATGCAAGGATGTATATTTAGAGACAGCCAAAGTCTTCCATTTTCTTTCATAAATGGGATGTTGGTGAACATAATCTGAAAACATGCAAAGATTTAGAAAGTATTCTGATAATGTAGAAAGAATTAGAAAATGGATGCATTAACCAACACAAAACACTTTTAAATGAAAAGATGATTTTAAATAACATTTTAAGAAATTATCCTTAAAATATGGAAGAAATTTGATGCAAAATGTTGGATATTCTCTCTTCCAAATGGAAGTAGCATTTACTCATATAATTGAAAATCATTTTTGAAAACAATTTAATTACTTTAAAAACTGCATTATGTTACTCTATAATAATTTATTTTTTAAATTTGGCATTTGTAATTTTTATAGGTATGTAGTACATATATATATATTCATTAGGTACATGAGATAATTTGATACAGGTATACGATGTGTAATAATTATATCAGAGTAAACTGGATATACATCACCTCAAGCATTCACCATACCCTACTGTTACAAACATCCCAATTGTACTTCCTCAGTTATTCTAAAATGTAAAAAATTTATTGCTTACTGTACTCACCCTGTTGTACTATCCAATAGTAGATCTAATTCATTGCATGTAGCTATATTTTTGTATCCATGAACCATTCCCATTTCCTTCCCCCTCCCAACTACCCTTCTCAGCCTCTAGTAACCATCATTCTACTCGCGATCTCCATGAGTTCAACTGTTTAAATTTTTAGCTCCTATAAATAAGTGAGAACATGTGAAGTTTGTCTTTCTGTGCCTGGTTTATTTAACTTAACATAATGAATAATCAGTTCCATCGATGTTGTTGCAAAAGACAGGATCTCATTTCTTTTTACAGTTGAATAGCACTCCATTGTGTATATGTACCACATATTCTTTATCTATTTCTCTATTGATGGACACTTAGGTTGTTTCCAAATCTTGGCTGTTGTGAATAGTGCTGCAAGAAACATGGGAGTGCAGATAGCTCTTCAATATGCTGATTTTTTTAATTTGGTATATACCTAGGAGTGAGATTGCTGGATCATATGGTAGTTGAGGAAACTCCATAGTGTTCTCCATAGTGATTGTACTAATTTATATTCCCACTAACAGTGTACAAGTGTTCCCTTTTCTCCACATACTGGATAGCATTTGTTAGTGCCTGTGTTTTGGATATAAGCCATTTTAACTGGGGTGAGATGGTCTCTCATTGTAGTTTTGATTTGCATTTCTTTGATGATCAACGTTAATCACCTTTTCATATGCTTGTTTGCCATTTGTATGTCTTCTTTTGAGAAATGCCTATTCAAATCTTTTCTCTATTTTTTTATCAGATTATTAGTTTTTTTATAGAGTTGTTTGAGCTTCTTATTTATTTTGGTTATTAATGCCTTGTCAGATTGGTAGTTTGCAAATATTTTCCCCCATTCTGTAGGTTTTCTCTTCACTTTGTTGATAGCTTCTTTCGCTGTGCAGAAGCTTTTTGACTTTATTTAATTCCATTTTTCTATTTTTGCTTTGGTTGCCTGTGCTTGTGCGGTATTAATGAATAATTTTTCCCCAGAGGACCATCCTACAATTTCCTCAATATTTTATTGTAATAGTTTCACAGTCCGTGGTCTCAGATTTAAGCCTTTAATACATTTTGAGTTGATTTTTATATATGATGAGAAATAGGGGTCTAGTTTCCTTCTTCTACATATCTAGATACAGTTTCACCAGCACCATTTGGGAAGAGACTGTCCTTTCCCAATGTACCTTCTTGGCTCCTTTGCTGAAAATAAGTTAACCGTAGATGTATGGATTTTTTGCTGGGTTCTCTTTTCTGTTCTATTTGTTCATGCGTCTGTTATTATGCCAGTACCATGCTGTTATTTTCACGATACCTCTGTAGCACAATTCAAGGTCAGGTAATGTGATTCCTCCAGTTTTGTTCTTTTTGCTCAGAGTGGCTTTGGCTATTCTGGGTCTTTAAATGGCTTGATAAAAATATTAGAATTATTTTTTATGTTTCTGTGAAGAATATCATCGGTATTTTGAGAGGGATTGCATTGAACCTGTAGATTGCTTTGAGTAGTATTGACATTTTAACAATATTGACTCTTCCAATCTATAAACATGGAATAGCTTTCCTTTCTTTTGTGTCCTCTCCAACTTATTGCTCCAATGCTTTATCGTTTTCAATATAGAGATCTTTCATTTCCTAGGATAAGTTAATTCCTAGGTATCTTTTTTTAAAAAATTCAGTTTTATTTTATAAAGATAAAAAACATTTTTGATAATCTTAAAAACATAATTTAAATAAACACACTTATAGAGAGGCTACAAGTGAGGATAAAGAACATTTTTTCTTTTTTTTTCTTTATTTTTATTGGCAAGTAATTATTACACATATTCATGGGGCACAGGGCACATGGTGACGTTACAATACATACAATATATAGTTAGCACCTAATTGTAAGTTCTTACCACCTTGTACAAGTTAGAACAATATTTACCAACTGGATGTATTTAAAGATGAATTTAGAGTGAAATTATTTCAGTTCATCCACGTAGGTGCCTGATCCTGGTCTTGCCCCAAGTTCCCCCACTCTGAGTTTTAAATATCCTCAACAGAGAACATACGTGCATAGTGGTAAAAAATCAGTGAGAAAGTGAATAATTTGAATTATTTCACTGAGACGTCTCAGAATTGATATTAACTATTTGAACTGCTGGAAGCTCTGCAAGGACTTCATGTCTAAAACACCAAAAGCAATGGCAACAAAAGCCAAAACTGACAAATGGGATCTAATTAAACTAAAGAGCTTCTGCACAGCAAAAGAAACTACCATCAGAGTGAACAGGCAACCTACAAAATGGGAGAACATTTTCGCAACCTACTCATCTGACAAAGGGCTAATATCCAGAATCTACAATGAACTCAAACAAATTTACAAGAAAAAAACAAACAACCCCATCAAAAAGTGGGCGAAGAACATTTTTTATATACCCCTTGAGAGTTAGGTTGACAAGAAGATATCCTTCTGTCCCAAATACTAGTTTTTGTTTTTGTTTCTGTTTTGGTAGGGTATCTATCACGGCAAGCATTTATCATTTGTGTTTCAAGCAATCCAGCTGTAGTCTTTTAATTATTTTTAAATGTACAATTAAATTAACTTTTTACTACAGGTACCCTGTTTTGCTAGAAAATACTAAGTGTTATTTATTCTTTCTAACTATATTTTGTACCCATGAATCATCCCTTTTTCCCCCCAACCCCTGACTACCCTTCCTGCCTCTGGTAACTATCCTTCTACTCTCTATCTCCATGAGTTAAATTGTTTCAATCTTTAACTCCCACAGATTAGGGAGAATTTGTGGTGTTTCTCTTTCTATGCATGGCTTATTTCACTTAAAATAATGACCTCCTGATTATCAGAGAAATGCAAATCAAAACTACAATGAGATATGTTACTCCAGTTAAAATGTCTTTTATCCAAAAGACAGGAAAAAATAAATGCTAGCAAGGATGTGGAGAAAAGGGATCCCTCATACACTGTTGGTGGGAATGTAAATTTGAGCAACTATTATGAAGAACAGTTCATAGCTTCCTCAAAATACTAAAAATAGAGCTATCACATAATCCAGCAATCCCACTACTAGGTAGATATGAAAAAGAAAGGAAATCAGTATATCAAAGAGTTATCTGCACTCCCAGGTTTATTGCAGTACTATTCACAATAGCCAAGATTTGGAAGCAACCTAAGTGTCCATCAACTTACAAAGGGATAAAGAACATGTGGTACATATACACAATGGAGTACTACTCAGCCATATGAAACAATTAGATTCTGTTATTTTTTGTAGTTATGGTAAATGGGATTATTTCCAATTTGATTATCAGATAGTTCACTGTTGGCATAAAGAAATACTACTGATTTCTTATGTTTATTTGTATCCTACAACTTAATTTTTTTATTAGCTCTTATAGTGTTTCATTGGAGTCATTAGATTTTTCCACATATAAGATCATATCATCTGCAAACAAGGATAACGCTATTTCTCCCTTTCCAATTTGGATGCCCTATATTTCTTTCTCTTGTCTGATTGTTCTAGCTAGGACTTTCAGTAATATCTTGAATAACAGTGGTATAAGTAGGTATAAGAACGACCCACTGGTTATTCAGGAGCATATTGTTTAATTTCCATGTGTTTTTATGGTTTCCAAAATTCCTCTTGATGCTGATTTCTAGTTCTATTTATTATTATTGTGGTCGGAAAAGATACTAGATATATTATAATTTCATTATTTTTGAATCTTTGAAGACCTGTGGCCTAACATATGGTCTATCCTTGAGTATAATCCATGTGCTGAGAGGAAGAATGCATATTCCGCAGCTATTGCATGAAATGTTCTGTAAATACCCAATAGGTCCATTTCATCCATAATGCATATTAAGTCCGATGTTTCTTTGTTGATTTTCTGTATGGATGATCTGTACAATGCTGAAAGTGGAGTGTTGAAATCTCCAACAATTATTGTGTTGGGATCTGTCTCTCTTTTTAGCTCTAATAACATTTGTTTACATATCTGGGTGCTCTACTGTTGGGTACGTATATACTTAGAATTGTTGTATCCTCTTATTGAATTGATATTTCTGAATTTCTCATTATATAATGACCTTATTTGACTCTTTCTATAGTTTTTGTCTGGAAATCTATTTTATTCAATAAATAGAGCTATTCCTCCTCTTTTATGCTGTCTGTTAGCATGGAATATCTCTTTTTACCCCATTATTTTCATTCTACATCTGTTTTTGTAGGTGAAGTGAGTTTCCTACAGCCAATAGATCATTTGGTCTCGTTTTTTTTTTCATTTATTCATGCACTCTTTGTCTTTCTATTGGACTTTCAATTTTGTTTACCTTCAATGTTGCTACTGGTAAGTAGGTACTTTGCACTGCTATTTTGGTATCTGTTTTGTTTGTTTTGTTGTCTTCTTTTTTCCTTCCTTCCCATCTTCTATTTTTGAAATTGATTTTTTCTGTTGGTATGTTTACATTTCTTAATTTATATAATTTTTGTATCTGTTTCTGGTTTTGCAATTAGAGGTTACCATGAGGTTTCCAAATCATATAACCCATTATTTTAAACTGATGATAACTTATCTTTGATGGCAAAGACAGTTAAATTAACAAACAAATAAAGAGAAAACTAACCAAAACTCTGCATTTTAACTTTATCTGTCTGACTTTTTAACTTTTTATTTTTTCTATTTATATATCATTGTACTATCTATGTCTTAAAAAGCTGTAGTTATTATTTTTGGTATATTCATCTATGAGTCTACCTACTTAAGATATAAGTAGTTTACATACCACAATTAGAGTGTTACAATAATCTGTATTTGTCTGTCTACTTACTATTACCAGTTTGTTTTGTACCTTAGGATGATTTCCTCTTGCTCGTTAAGATCTTTGTCTTTCTTTTTTAATTTTAATTTTTAATTGTTTGATTAAATAGATGAAGAATAGATGATTTCTGGTTGTGTGGATAAGTTATTTAGTGGTGATTTCTGATATTTTAGTGTACTCATCACCTGAGCATTGTACACTGTACCCAATATGTAGTCTTTTAACCCTCAAACCCTCTCCCAGCCTTACCCCCAAGTATCCAAAGTCTGTTACATAATTTTTATGCCTCTGCATCCTTATAGCTTAGTTCCTACTTGTGAGACCATACAGTATTGGCTGTTCTGTTCCTGACTTAATTCATTTTGAATAATGGCCTCCAGCTGCATCCAAGCTGCTGCTAAGACATTTTTTGTTCCTTTTTATGTCTGAGTAGTATTTCATGTTGTATATATACCATATTTTTTTGTCCACTTATTGGTTGATGGGCACTTAGGTTGATTCCATATCTTTGCTATTGTGAATTGTGCTACTATAAACATGAGTGTGCATGGGTCTTTTTCATATGACTTTTTTTTCCTTTGGGTACAAAACCAGTAGTCAGATTGCTGGATCAAATGGGAGTTCTACATTTAGTTCACTTGGGAATCTCTATACTGTTTTCCATAGAGACTGTACTAATTTACATTCTCACCAGCAGTGTAAAAGTGTTCCCTTTTCGTCAAATTCATGCCAACAACTATTGTTTTTTAAATTTTTAATTATGACAATTCTTGAGAGAATAAGGTGGTACCTCATTGTGGTTTTAATTTGCATTTTACTGATGATTAGTGATGTTTGGCATTTTTTCATATGTTTGTTGGCTGTTTGTCAATCTTCTTTTGAGAACTGTCCATTCATTCCTTTGCCCACTTTTTGATTTAATTTCTTTTTCTTGCTGATTTGTTTGAGTTCCTTGTAGATTCTGGATATTAGTACTTTGTTGGATATGTAGTTTGCAAATATTTTCTCCCACTCTGTGGGTTGTCTGTTTGTTGATCATTTCTTTGGCTGTGCAAAAGCTTTTTAGTTTAATTAGGTCCCATTTATTTATTTTTGTTATAGTTGCATTTGCTTTTGGGATTTTAGTCATGAATTCTTTGCCTAAGCCAATGTCTAGATGAATTTTTCCAATGTTATCTTCTAGAACTTTTATGGTTTCAAGTGTTAGATTTAAGTATTTGATCCATCTTGAATTGATTTTTGTATAAGGTGAGAGATGGGAATCCAGTTTCATTCTTCTACATGTGGCTTGCCAGTTTTCCCGGCACCATTTATTGAATAGGGTGTCCTTTCCCCAATTTATGTTTTTGTATGCTTTTTAGAAGATCAGTCAGCTGTAAGTATTTGTCTTTATTTCTGGGTTCTCTATTCTGTTCCATTGGTCTATATTCCTATTTTTATACCAGTACCATGCTGTTTAGGTAACTATAAATTTGTAGTATAATTTGAAGTCTAATAATGTGATGCTCCCAAATTTGTTAATTTTTCTTAGTATTGAATTTCTTAGTATTGTTAATTTTTCTTTCTGGCTATGTGAGCTCTTATTTATTTGGTTCTGTATAAATTTTAGAATTGTTTTTTTCTAGTTCTGTGAAGAATAAGCATCTTTTTCTTTCTGATTGAAGTACTCCCTTTAGCATTTCTTGTAGGACAGGTTTGGTGTTCAGAAAATCTCTTAGCTTTTGTTTGTCTGGGAGTGTCTTTATATCTCTTTCAAGTTTGCAGGATATTTTTGCTGGATCTACTATTCTAGGATTTTTTTTTCCTTCAGTGCTTTAAATATGTCATGCCACTCCCCTGGCCTGTATAGTTTCCACAGAGAAATTTGCTGTGAGGTGTATTGGTGCTTCATTGTAAGTTATTTGCTTCTCTTCTCTTTCTACTTTTAGGAATATTCTTTATAAATGACCCTCGTGAGTTTGATTATTAAATGTCTTGAGGTATTTGTATTTCAGTTAAATCTCATTGATGTTCTATAACCTTCTTGTTCTTGAATATTAATAGCAGAATTGAGGTTTGAAAAGTTCTCTTTTATTATCCCTTTGAATACACTTTCTATCTTGATCTGTCTACCTCTTCTTTAAGGCCAATAACTCTTAGACTTGCCCTTTTACGGCTATATTATAGATCTTGTAGGCATGCTTCATTGTTTTATTATGTTTTATCTCATCTGAGTGTGTATTTTGAAATAGTCTGTATTCAAGCTAATTCTTTTTTCTTCTTGATCAGCTTAGTTATTGAGAGACTGTCACACATTCTTCAATTTTTCAATTGAATTTTTTATCTACAGAATTTCTAAATGATTTTTCTAAATTATTTCAATCTCTTTGTTAAATTTATTTGATAGGATTCTGCTTTCATTCTCTGTGTTATCTTGCATTTCATTGAGCTTCCTCAATAACAGCTATTTTGAATTCTCTGTCTGAAAGATCACCCATCTCTGTCACTCTGGAGTTGTTCACTGGTGACTTATTTAGTTCATTTAGTGAGGTCATGTTTTCCTGCATAATCTTGATTATTGCTGATGTCTTGGCATTGAAGAGTTAGATATTTATTTTAATCTTTGCAATCATGGCTTGTTTGTAATCATCATTCTTGAGAAGGCTTTCCAGGTATTCAAAGGGAATTGAGTGTTGTAATCTTTGGTCACTGCAGTCTTATGTGCATTAGAGGTCATCCTAAGCCCAGTGATACTGTGACTCTTGCAGATGCATGGAGAAACCACCTTGATGGTCTTGTGGTAGATCTGGGAGAATTTCCTGGATTATTAGAGAGATTCTTTTGTTCTCTTCCTCTATTTTCCCCAAACAAATGGATTCTTCTTTCTGTGCTGAGCTGCCTGAATTTGGGGGAAAGGTGATGCAGGCACTCTTGTGGCCTCCACTACTGAGATTGTGCTTGAAGCCAGCACTGTACTGGGGCTCACCGAGGCCTCTGTCAATAATTTCCTGGCTATTGCTAATGTTTGTTCAAGACTCAAGCGTTGCTCTTCGGCCTGCAGATGATGAATCCTGCCAGGACTGAGTCTTTCACTTCAGATGAGTACGTTCCCTTTTTCCCCAGAGTAGGTCTATGAATGCCATCCAGGAAATAAGGCCTGACATCGAGGGCTTTAGGAATCTGCTTCATGCTTTATTTCACTCGGGCTGAGTTGGCACCCAGATTGCAAGACAAAGTCCTTTTTTTTTTTTTTTTGAGAAGGAGTCTCACTCTGTTGCCCAGGCTAGAGTGCAATGGCATGGTCTTGGCTCACTGCAACCTCCACCTCCCAGGTTCAAGCAATTCTCCTTCCTCAGCCTCCTGAGTAGCTGAGACTACAGGCGTGTGCCACCACACCAGGCTAATTTTTGTATTTTTAGTAGAGACGGGGTTTCACCATATTGGCCAGACTGGTCTTGAACTCCTGACCTCGTGATCTGCCTGCCTTGGTGTCCCAAAGTGCTGGGATTACAGGCATGAGCCACCACACCCAGCCCAAAGTCCTCTTTAATTAGTCTTCTCTTTTCCTTAAGCAGAAGAAGTCTCTCCCCTGGCCACCACCGTCCTAGGCCCATGGCAAGTACTGCCAGGTACTGTTTCTTATTTAAGGCTCAAGAACCCTTTAGTCAGCAGGTTGTTAAGTCCTGCCTGACCTGGACCTCTCCCTTTAGGAGAGTGGGTTCCATTCTGGTCCAGAGTAGATCTAGAAATGCACGCCAGGAACTAAGGCCAAGAATTGGAAATGTTAAGAGACTGCTTGATACTTTATCTTACTGTGGCTTAGCTGGTGTCCATGTTGTAAAATTAGATTCTTTTTACTCTTCTCTCTCCTTTCCTCAAGCAGAAAGAGTCTCTCCCCATGGCCACCATAGCTGGGAATGGCCTGGGTCACTTCTGAAGCCAGCATGGCCCTGGGTCTCACCCAGGATCCATGACGAGTACTGCCTGGCTACCACTGATTTTCAGTCAAGTCCCAAGGGCTCTTAAGTCAGCTTTTGGTGAATGCTGCCAGGCCTGGGACTCTGCCTTCAGGGCAGTGGAATCCCTTCTGGCCCAGATAAGGTCCAAAAATTCCACCCAATAACCAAGGCTTGAAATTGGGGACCCCAAGAAACCACTTGGTACTCTACCTGACTGAGGCTGAGCTGGTACACAAGCTGCAAGACAAAGTCCTCTTTACTCTTCCTTCTCCTGTCCTCAAGAAGAGGGAAGAAATCTCTCCTGGAGCTGTGAGCTGCACTGCCTGGGACTGGGGGAAGGGTGACATAAGCACTCCTTTGGCCGACTGTGTTGGTATCTCACTAGACTGTGTGCCCCTCAAGTCCACTGGCTCTCAGCCCAGTACAGCAGGAGGAGTTGCCCAGGATTGCAGTCCTTGAGTCCTAGACTATCTTTTAAGTTTATTTTGAACCCCATAGCACTTTAGCCCACTGTGGTGGGGCTAAGCAGAACTCAGGTTCTGACCTCTGGGATGGTAAGTCCTCTTTGGCTATGACTGGTATAAGTGTTCCCTCCATTGGGTGCTGGACTGTATTCTACCCTGGGATGTTTTCCATTGTGACAGGGCAGCACTGAGTTCCAATGAAATGTTCCGTCATCACTTTACCCTCCCTCCCCCAAGCACACAGATTCTTTCTCTGTGCCACATGGCCACTGCCAGGGTGGGGAGAATGTGGGAGGGTTGACGTTGGCAATTCAAGACTGTCTTTCCTACTGTCTTCAGTTAGTCTTAATAGGATGTTAAAACCAGGTACTGTGAACACTTGCCTGACTTTTGGTTCTTATGAAGGTGCTTTCTTATGTGGATAGTTGTTCAATTCAGTGTTCCCGTGGGGGACAATGATTGGTGGAGGTTTCTATTCTCCTCCTGTCTTAATTCAAATAGTTTTTGCTGATATAGATCATTTCAAATTTTATCACTACAAAAAATGCTTCTACTAATATATTCATGCATAACTTAAAGACAGAATACATTCTAAGAAATGTGTCTTTGGGAAATTTTCATTCTTGTGTGAACATCATAGATTTTACTTACACAAACCTAGAGTTTATGGCCTACTACACACCTAGACTGTATGGTATAGCCTATTGCTACAGGCTACAAATCTGTACAGCATGTAACTGTACTGAATACTGTAGGTAACTGTTTGTTATATAGTGGTGAGTATTTTTGTATATAAACATGTCTAAAGATAGAAAAGGTACAGTAAAAATATGGCATTATAATCTCATGTGACCACAGTGCTATACATGGTCTCTTGTTTACCTAAATATCATTCTGTGGTTCATGACAGTACATTTAAGATTTTTTCATATTTTGGATTAGTTTTCTTATGATAGATTCCCAGAAGCATCATTATTGGATATAAATTACTATATATATATATATATCTCCAATAATTTTTATATATATATATATATATATATATATATATATATATTCTGAATTACTAGAATGTCATCCCACAAGCAGTCATTGAGAAATTCTCTATGATCTCACACCACCAGCATGGAATTTCATCTTTTTAAAACTCGATAAAAGATGCAGCAGATTTGACTTGACATTTTCTGTGATACCCAACTAGTCTAATTCTAGGAATTAATGAACAAATAGAATAATCTGAAATCATTAGAATATGATATAGGTTAGCATTCTCTTGGTTGCAGTTAACCAACTTAAATTACCTTAAGCAAGATGAAAGTGATTTATTGTAAATAAACAGGATTTATCAAGGAACCCAAGTACAGAAGGAAACCAGAAAGTAACTAGAAGCAAGAATGCTATCAGTGTTTTCTTTCTAATTTGTTTGTACTCTGTTCTGTGTGTTTTCTTCATTTTTCTTTTTCTTTGCAGAGTGACTTTCTTTGCTTCTGTAGTTCATATGACTGTGTTTGTTTAGTATACAACAACCAGGAGATAAATTGATATCATTTCTTTCATTTGCAATTAAAATTTCTGGAAAAGAGTCTCGGATTAATCCAGCTTGCATCAGATACCCATTCATCATTTGTTCAACTGTGTTTGTTGTGGGATCACACAATAAAGTCTGCCAAAAGTCTTGCCACTCTAAAATAATGTTTCCAGAAAATTAGTAAATGGCCAGATACTCCAATAGATTTCCAATGCAAAAAATTCAATGATTGAGACACTAGTAGCATTAGATGTGCCAGTTATCCTCAAAAACTGTCCAAAGTCTCAAAATCTAACGTTTCTTCTTCAGCTATGATTAAAGAAAATTTTGTCTTGAGTATAAAATTTTCCATAACTAGAGAGTCTTTCTTTTCCCAACTCTCTTGAGTGTGAGGTGGTTATAACTTCTGGAAACTATGTATTCAAATGTCATACTATATCTGTCCTTTAAGTTCAAATTTGAATTTCTCAGTGAAATCACATGATGGTATCGTTTTCAAGTCATTCATAGAAGCTATTGTAGAAATAAAATAAAGCATGGATATACCTTTGTAGCAGATATTAAAATAATATGCTTATTTTTTCTGTATGATATAACTTTCCTCTTTACTCTCTCTCCCCTAGTTTCACATCCAAAATCATACTTTCCAGAAAAGGAAACTAAGATCCAAAGATGTTATTGACCTGCTCAAGACCCCACATATATGTAGAAGCAATGTCAGGACTAGAAGTTGGTTGCTTGATTTTATGTCACTGCTTTCTCTGACATATAATAAAATTTATGTTTTATCCTTTAGTGGCGGAAAGTCTTATTGATATATCACAAATATTTTATTTAATATTTTCCAATAATTGATAGAGGCACATACACAAAATTTAAAATTTACAAAAAGAATCTAGTTGAAAGGAAATGTCAGGTCAAAACACACGTATGCTCAATGATGAGATCCCTGGATATCTCCCTTCATTACACTTCTAGAACACTGGAAGCCAGGACTTTACCCTTCAGTACAGACAGGGAGAGCCTTCTCTGAGGAATATAATCAGTTCAAGAGGAAATAACTAAATAACTGACATTGAGAAATTAGCAGTTATCTGAAAAAAGCCTCTGTAAAAATTAGTCATTAAAAAAAAAAACAGGAAAACTTAAGGATAAAGAGTGTCATAGTTAGCATTCTCCAGAAACAGAGGTTGAAATGAGATTTTTGTAAAAGTGATTAGTGTAGTGGTGCCTGCAAAGGAAGAACATTGAGGCTTTAGACTGGTGGAAAAAGCATACCAAGCCTTTGGACTTAAAGCCCTGAGACTATAAAGCTTAGTCCCAGGAGTAGCAATGAAGCTTAAATGTACCATAGATTTGGTCTCACCTTGGAAAAAGGTCAACGGCTTTTTGTTATTTTTCATGTCAGTCAATCAGTAAAAACTGGTTGGCTGCTTGAAAAAGGGTACAACTTTCTGGGAAAGATTTCCATGAAGGCAATGTCGATAGGGCACCTACAGCATATGCTGCATAGAGATTTTAAAAAAAGAAAACACACCTCAAAAATTGTCATTACACTCTAACAAAAACAAGTTTGCATTAGTAAGATTCCCTATATGACATTGCAAAGAAACTGTAATAGCATGTTTCCTTTTCTTTTTCCTTATCTCAAGTAAACCATTTTCAATGTTTCACCATTGAGTTTAATGGTTGCTGAAAAGACTTTTTTTCTGGAAATTCTTTATTATATAAAGAAGTTTCTCTTTATTCCTCATTTTCTAAAAGTTTGTTTTTAATGAATTTGTGTTATATTTATGCCCATTTTTTAACATATAATCTTATGGTTATTTTATTTTCTTCTTATTTTGTCAAGGTGAACTGCATTGTTTTGGAGATGTGATGTAATACCCTTTTCATATATCACTGAACCCAATTTTCTATTATTTCACTAAGGATTTTCCATCAAGTTTGTGAAAGTGTGGTCTGCAATTTGCAGAAACATAATGTCCTTGTTCGATTTTGCAATCAGTTATTTTGATGCATAAAGAGTTACTAGCTTCAGAAAGAAAGAAAAAAAGGAAAAAACACGACCAGAGTAAACTACGTTTTCTTATGTTCAATAAAAAGAAGTTAATAGATACCAAAAACAAATAAATCCAATTATAGAAAATATATAATAGTCATATCCATTAAATAAATTAAATTTATTATTTGAAACTTTCCCTCATAGAAATCCCCAAGCTCAGATGGCTTCACTGTGCACTCTTCCAAAGAAGAAATAAACCCAATTGTACATAAACTCTTCCAAAGAATGGAAAAACAGTAACTACTCTATAGCTTATAAAGAGAATCCTAACTAATGTATAAGGTAAGAAAAGGAAATAAAAGCATAAATATTTTAAAATTATATATATATATATTTTCATTTGTAGATGATATGGTTGTAGATGTAGAAAATCCAAAATAATTTTTAAACTTTTAGTATTTATCAGCTAATTTAACAAGATTTCTCAATAAGCATTTAGAATAAAAATCAACAAATAACTAAAAAACAAAATTTTAGAAATTATACCATTTGAAATAGCATTAAAAATAAAATACCTAAGAATATGTTGAACAAAATACGTGGATTACAGCTATGCTAAAAGCTATAAATCAATATTGAGCAAAATTTTAAAAAGGATGATACAATAAAGGGATATATTTTGTTGATAGAGTAAAAGACTCAGTATTGAACAAATGTTAATTGTTCCCAAATGAATCTAAATATTGAACATAATTCTAATGAAAATCCTGGAAAATGACCAGTAATAGCCAAGGTGAACATAAGGAAGCTCAAAGCTAGAAAACATACAGTACTGGATTTTAAAAACTATTATAAGATTATAATAATTAGAACAGTGTGTTAGTGATGCATAGATAAACAAACTGAATAATAGAACAAAACAGAGTTCAGAAACAGACCTATGGATTTACAGCAACCTGAATTTCTATAAAGACAACATTAAAGAACAGGGTAGATGAATGACTTGTCTTTTTAAAAAATTGCATTGGGTCAATAGAATATCCATCTGGAAAAATTGAATTTTAATGATACCATATATAAAAATCAATTTCAGAATGATTGCATATTTTAATGTTAAAAGCAAAAAATGAAACTTCTATAGAAAACTTGTAGAATGTATTTATGAACTTCTGGAAGACAAATATTTCTTAAACAAGGCAGAAAAAATAACCATAAAAGAATATAATATATATTTAATTACATGAAGAATGTAAATCAATATAAAGATACCAATAAGAAAATTAAATAACAACTCACAGAGTGAAAAAAGATATGCATACCTCTGAGCAAAAAAAAAAAAAGTACTCAGAATACATAAAGAACTCCCATAAATACAAAAAGGATACAACTAATTAGGAAAACAGACAAAAGACTTAAACACTTTTCAAAGGAGGATAACCAAATGGCCCCAAAACACACAAAAAAACCCCATTTCACTATCTAGAAGGAGTAAATAAATTAAATGCACAATGCAATATCACCATATGCCCACCAGAATGGCAGTTGTAAACAATAAAGCACCAAGTGGTGGCCTTACACTGAATTATACCAGTCTGCCTCTCTAATATTATGTACCATTTCTTCACTCATTACTTATACTCCAGCCTTATTGGACTTATTTTTGTTCTTCAGATTCACTCTTCTTGGAATTTACATTTGGATCTTCACATAGCTGTGTCCTACTCATCATTCATATTTTACTGTATGTGTTGCCTTTTCAAAAGGAATGATTGCCTCACAGTTTTCTATATTTGATGCTTCCTTCTCTCAGCTTATCTCTTTATTTATGTCTCTCTTGCCCCACTAGAATGTGAACTCCATGTGATGAGAACCTCATCTCTCATATATACTGCTGTGTTCCATTAACCTGATTGGTGGCCCAGAAATAATTTTTTGAGTGAAATAACAATGAATAAATAAAATGTATATCTCTGCTGTGGTTTGAATGTTTGTCCCCTTCAAAACTCATGTGTTTGAAACTTCGGTCTCAAAGCAGCAGTGTTTGGAGGTACCACCCAATGGGAAGTGTTCAGTTAATGAGGGCTCTACCTTCATGGATGAATTAATGTTACAATAAAAAGGGCTTTTGAAAGTAGATCCACCCCCTTTTGCTCTTCTGTCATGTGAGGAACAATGCTCCTCCCTCTGGAGGATGCAGCTTCCAGGTGCCATATTGGAAGCAGGGACTGAGCCCTTAAAGACACCAAATTTAGTGGCACATTGATCAATTGTCTGTTTAATATTTCCACCTGGATATCTCAAAAGCACATAAAACAACATATTCAAACCAAATCCAAATAAAATGCTATTAAATTTCTCCTATTTAAGTCAACAGGACCATTATATCCCCAGTTTTTCAAGTCTTGGAGTCATTTTTGACAT
Organism: Homo sapiens; assembly: GCF_000001405.40. Lineage (NCBI taxonomy): Eukaryota > Metazoa > Chordata > Mammalia > Primates > Hominidae > Homo > Homo sapiens. Next base: position 127,081,209 of record NC_000023.11, read on the forward strand.
TAACCTACCTCTCCTTAAACACTACACCCATCTAATTGATTGCCAAGTCCTATAAATTTTATATTCTAAACATTTTTGATTTATCCAATTTTCTCCATCTTTATCACCACAACCATTTTAATGCAAACTACCCTCATTTCTAGCATCAACTATTACAATAGTCTACTAACTCTCCCCTGCCCTAAACCGGTATCTGGTCTTGTTTCTCTCCAATCCATTCTCCACCCTATATTCCAAGAGTTTCTTGAACTACCAATTCAGTTGTAGCGTTCCTTACTGCACCCCTCCAAGAATAAACTTAAAATACTTTAATGGTTTATTATTGTACTCAGGATGGTCTTGTCTTTACCATATCCCTAGCTTTTTTTTTCATGAACTCCCTTCTTCAGCCACATTGAGATTCCTTTAGTTCTTTTAATATTTCTTGTTCTTTTATGCCTAAAAGTACTTTGGCTAGTTGCTTTTTCCTGGTATTTATGCTCACTCTCTGCCTTGGGGTAGAATTCACATTTGGATCTTCACATGGCTCCCCTTCTTTCAGATATTCAGTAAAGCATCACCTTATCTTATATGTCAGATCTCTATATGATAGCCTTGTCTTCATAGACATTTATCATAATTTTAATCATATATTTGACTGTTTACAAATGTAATTTATATCTCCCATACTAGACATTGAACTTACTGAGAGCAAGGTCTATCTCTTTTTTGATCCCCTACCTAAGAATTGTATCCCCAATGCCTAGTAAAGCACCTGACACATAGCAAGAGTTTAGGAATTATGTTTAAGCCAGAAAGTGTATTTGCCTTATACAGAAGTTGAATCAAGTATTATTTAAGTGTTACATTAGTCAAATCAAAAACATAACCCCATTTACAATACACACACACACACATACACACACACACAAATACCTAGAAATGCACCTAACCAAGGAAGTAAAATATTTCTACAAAGAGAACTACAAAATACTGCTGAAAGAAAGCAGAGATGATGCAAACAAATGGAAAAACATTTTATGCTCACAGATTGGAAGAATCAATTTTGTTAAAATGGCCAAACAGCCCAGAGAAATCTATAGATTCCATGCCATTTCTATCAAACTACCAAGGCTATTTTGCACAGAATTAGAAAAATGATTCTAGAATTCACATATAACCAATAAAGAGGCTCAAAAGCCAGAGCAATACTAAGCAAAAAAAACAAAGCTGGAGGTATCACACTATTCAACATCAAACTATACTATAAGTTAACAGTAACCAAAACAGCATGATACTGGTATGTAAACAGACACATAGACCAATGGAATAGAATAGAAAATTAAAAAAAGAAAGAAAGAAAGAAAGAGAGAGAGAAAGCAAGCAAGCTGCACACCAACAACTATCTGCTTTTCAACAAAGTTGACAAAAATTAGCAATGGGGAAAGAACTCCTTATTGAATAAATGGAATAACTTGTTATCCATATGCAGAAGAAGAAAACTGGACCCCTACCTATCACCACATACAAAAATAAACTCAAGATGGATTAACGACCCAAATGTAAGACTTCAAGCTATAAAAATCCTATAAGAAATCCTAGGAAATACCATTCTGGACATTATACATGGCAAATAATTTATGATTAGGTCCTCAAAAGCAATTGCAACAAAAATAAAAATTGACAAGTGGCACCTAATTAAACTAAAAGCTTCTGCAAAGCAAAAGAAACTATTAACAGAGTAAAGAGACAGCTTACAGAATGGGAGAAAATATTCACAAATTATGCATTTGAGAAAGTCTAATATCCTGAATCTGTAAGTAACTTAAGCAATTGGACAAGCAAAAAACAACCCCATTAAAAAGTGGACAAAGGATATGAACAGGCACTTCTCAAAAGAAGACATAAAAGCAGCCAACAAACCTATAGAAAAATACTCATCATCACTAATCATCAGAGAAATGCAAATCAAAACCACAGTGAGATACTATCTCATACCAGTCAGAATGGCTGCTATTAAAAAGTAAAAAAATAACAGATATTGATGAGGCTGCAGAAAAAAGGGAATATTCATACACTGTTGGGTGAGAATGTAAATTAGTTCAGCCATTGTGGAAAGTAGTTCTGATATTTCTCAATGAACTTAGAGCTACTCGACCCAGCCATCCCATTAGTGGGTATATAACAAAGGGAAAATAAATCTTTCTACCAAAAAGGCACATGTACTTAATTGCATGTTCATTGCAGCACTATTCACAATAGCAAAGACATGGAATCAATCTCGGTGCCCAACAAATGGTGAATTTGATAAAGAAAATATGGCACATATATACTATGGAATACTTCATTTCCATAAAAAAGAATGGAATCATCTACCTTGCAGCAACATGGATACACCTGGAGGACATTATTGTAAGCAAATTAATGCAGGAGCAGATAATCAAATACTGCATATTCTCACTTCTAAGTGGGAGATAAACATTGACTACACATTGACATAAAGATGGAAACAAAAGACAGGAGGGATTACTAGAGGGGAGAGAGATAAGAGTGGACAAGGGCTGAAAAACTACCTATTTGGTACTGTATTAGGTCATTCTTGCTAACACATTGCTATAAAGAGGTACCTGAGACTAGGCAATTTATAAAAAGAGGTTTAGTTGGCTCACAGTTCTGCAGGCTATACAGGAAACATGGCTTCTGGTGAGGCTTTAGGCAGCTTTTACTCATGGCAGAAGGCAAAGTGAGAGCTTGAAGGTCACATGGCAAAAACAGGAGTAAGAGAGAGAGTGAAAAGGAAGGTGCCACACACTTTTAAATTACATTATCTTGCAAGAACTCAGAGCATAAGCTCATTTATCACCAAAGGAATGGCCCAAGCCATTCATGAGTGAGTGATCCAACCCCATGATCCAACTACCTCCCCAGGCCCCACTTCCAGCATTAGAGATTATAATTCAGCGTGAGATTTAGGCAGGGGCAAACATCCAAAATATATTAGGTACTATGCTCACTACCTAAGTAATGGGATTATTCATACTCCAAACCTCAGCGTCAAGCAATATACCCATGTAACAATGTACTCTCTGAATCTCTCTGTACATGTACTCTCTGAATCTAAGACAAATGTTGAAACTGTTAAAAATTACAACAATAAACAATATTTCAAACAGAAATAATTAAGTAAAATATTTTCTTCAAAATATAATGTGAGTAAGTCAAAATTTTGTATATTATTTTGTCTGGAGAATGTTTCACCTACATACATTTTATGTTTGCCTCCTTTCATACCTAGAACTCTATAAATACTGGCAGGAAGTGTCTACGATAGAAATAATTATAGAGATTATGTAAGAACACTATATGGAGTAAGAAAAATAATAATTAAAATATTTAATATGTTTTCATTATAAAACTAAGCCCACAAAACTTTCATATAGGATCAACAAGTCCAGTTGATAAAAGCAGGATGATAATTTACTCCTGGTAAACTCATTTACTTATCTTAGAACCATTATATCTTTCCAGTCTAATTTGAGGTATTTACATGCATTGTTTCTGAAAATAAAGTCATAAGAAATGAAATAGGAGAATGAACAGGTACATTTGTTCAATATGACACATTTGACCATAGGAAGATGAAAATGACATGCCTGACCTTAAAATGCAACCATCCTTTTTATAGATAATTCTGTTTTGTTAGGAATGCCAATCAAGTATTTCATGAATATATTTCAGTAGCTGTGAAATTTGATTAAAATTTAATGTAGCCTCACTTCTTCTCTAAGTCTGAAATAATTTAGATGGTCAACTGTCTGTGAAATTATAGTTTTACTTGTTAATTGTTCATGATCTTTGTAAGAAGAGAGTTCATGATCTTTGTAAGAAGAGAGTTAGTTTTACTTTGTTCTAAAAACTGATGGATATTATATTAACCAGATCACAATCTTATTATTTTCATATTTCTAACATGGCTTTTAATACGAAAAACGATTAATGATAAATACATTGTCTTCATGAAGGTCACAGACACATACACACCTACACACACACACACACACACACACACACACACACCATTCTGAAAATTGTTTCCAGAGTATTCATATGTAAACTGAGGCTACAAAAAATTATTGCTTAGTGAACATAAATATTATAGAATTTAGTGAATATTTGTAAATTGTGAGATATTGAGATCTGAAAGAGAAGGCAAAATAACATTTTATGTTATTTACAATAGGAAGCTCTCTAAGGAAAGCGAGTAACTACACAATAGCTAAAAATGGATATGGGATTATTGTCTTTACATATAGGGTACAAGCATAAGTAATCACTCAAAAAAAAGAGAGGAAATATGTTTTGCATCCTGAGTGGCATCGTGAAAATACTTGTGACCTCCCTTAAATAGAATTTTTTTTTATCGTAGTTACATTATTCTAAGCCCATTATATTAGCTTTAAATAATCTTGAACCTTACTGGGGGAAATAAATTCAGAAATATAAGGTGGAGCAAGCAGAAGTATAAGTGCTGTGCTAAAGACTTGATTCTATCCTTCCAGTGGCTTGCAATTACTTAAGGAAGATAAGGCACATGAAACAATTACAAAACAAGACAGTGTGCTAATTTTTTACTGCTGTGTAACAAATTATCACAGATTTAGTCACTTAAAACAACACTCATTTATTAACTTAATTTCTGTAGGTTAAAAGTTCAAGCAGGCTCAACTGGCTTTTCTGCTTATGGCATCAACAGGCCAAAATCAAGATGTTGGCCCGACTGGACTCACAAGGAGGCTCTGGGGAGAATATACTTTAAATAAAAGTTGTTGAATAATTCACATGTTTGCAGTTTTGAGATTGAGGTTCTACTTTTTTGGCTGGCTGTCAGTGGGGGTGGGGGCCTACTTTCATTTTCTAGAGGCCACCTGTATTTCTTGGCACAGGACTCTCCCCACTTCAAGCCAGCAAGGGTGTTTTGAGTCTTATTCATATTTCATATCTCTCTGGCTTCTATCACTAGACAGAGGAAACTCTCTATGTGGTATATTGTTTCCTATCTTTTTACTTTCAACCTATTTTTGCCTTTAGATATAAAGTGTGTCTTATAGACAGCATGTGTTTGGATCATGATTTTTTTTGCCGATTGCTAATTTTGGAGTGTTTAATCCATTTATATTTAATAAAATTATTGATAAAGAAGGATTAACATCTGCTGTTTTTCTGTTTGTTTCCCTATGCCTTGTGTCCTTTCTGTTTCTCTAGTCCTCCATTATTGCCTTCTTCTGCATTAAATAGATATTTTATAGGGTATTATTTCCATTCCCTATTGAATATATTTTAAAAATATAGTTAAATATAGTCATTTAACTATATTTTTTAGTTATGGTGTTAGTGTATTTTCCCAGTTTACAATTAACATTCTAATAAACATTGTAGTTTCTATGAATACCAACTTTAAATAGTATAGAAAATCTTTGCCCAAATAAAGCTCCATTTCTTCCTCCTCTTTTTTTGGTATTATTTTCATTAAAATGATACACACGCACACACACACACACACACACACACACACACAGTATTTTGATCAGCACAGACACATATTTATTATTTTATGTAGTTGTTTTCTAAATAATTTAGACTGTTGGAGCTAAAAACAGTAAATAGATTAATGTTGCCTTTTATTTTTACCTACGTAGTTACCTTGATTGGTGTCCTTTATTTTATTGTGAAGATTTATGTTACTGTCTTATGTCCTTTCATTTAAGCCTGAAGAGCTTCCTTTAGTATTTTTTTCAGGGTAAGTCTGCTAATGATTTGTTCTCTCAGTTTTTGATCATCTGGAACTGTCTTAATGTTTCCTTCATTTGTGAAGGACAGTTTTGCGGGATATAGAATTCTTGCAGAATTCTTGATTGAGATTCTTTTTCTTTCAACATTTTGCACATATCATTCCACTGCCTTCTAGTTTCCATGATTTCTAATGAGAAGGTGACTGATAATTTTCTTTGTTTTCTTTCTTATTTATTTTATTTTAGTGTTATCAAGGTATCATTTATATGCTAAAATTATACACATATGATATATACATCTTCATGAGTTTGGACATATTCTGGTTGACTGATGATCAAATTGAGGATCTCTTGTACATGACAAGTGATTTTCTTTTGCTGCTTTCAATATTCTTTCTTTTTCTTTTCTTTTAGTAGTTTGAGGCATGAATCTCTTTGTATCCTACTTGAAGTTTGCTAAGCATCTCAGATGTGGGTATTAATTTTTTTAAATGAAATTTGTTTAAATCTAGACCATTATTTTAAAAATATTTGTTCTGCCCCTTTCCTCTCTCTTGCATATGTTTGTATGCTTGATTGTGTCCTACAAGTTTTGGAGGCCCCGTCCAGTTTTCTTCATTCTTTTTTATTTCTTTCCCTCAGACTGGATAATCCCAATTGTTCTATCTTCAAGTTTACTGATACATTCTCCTGACAACTTAATTCTGATCTTAAGCACCAATAGTGAATTTTTTATCTCATATTGTACATTTCAACTACAGAATTTCTATTTGGTTTGATTTAATAATTTTTATCTTTATATAGATATTTTCTGAGATGATAAATCATCTTATAATCCCTTTAATTTATTTGACATGATACAATTTATATACATACATAGATATGTATTATTTGTATCTAGTGATTTGAACATCTGGGTTTCCTTAGGAATAGTTTCTATTGACTGCTTTTTTCCCCTGTGTATGGGCCACATTGTCCTGTTTCATTTCAAGCCTTTTAATTTTTGGTTGAAAATTGTACCATTAAAATAATTAAATGTGGCAATTCTGGAAATAAGATCTTACTCGACCTGGTGGGTTTTTTATTATTATTGTTGTTGCTTTTGTTGTTTTGTTGTTGCTACTATTTGATTTTTTACTTACTTTCTTGGAGTTATTCTGTAAAGTCTGTATTCTCTCTCATGTGTACACACTAAGGACTAAGGTCTCTGATCAATTCATTTAATGGTAAGCTAGTGATTGGAAAGGGACGTTAAATGTCTTGAATCAATAAGTCCCTTTTTTTTGCCAAGGAGCTCTGCATGCATGTTTAGGCATGTTTTCAATGATTGGTAGGCAACTCACAATTCTACCTTAGCTTTTAATTTCTGCTTGTACAAGTATGTAGTCAGCCAGTGGTGGGAGATTTGGGCCTTTTCAGGACTTTCTTGGGAGTTTGCATGACCCTATGCAGGCAAGTTGCCTTCTAGATAATCAGGAAAGCAACTTTTGAAGTTTTGTTTGTGTTTTTTCTTATTTTTGTTTTTGTTGTTGTTGTTTTTCTTTCCCTTCCCTACTCTATTGGAGTTTACAAAACCCACTATGGGATATCTCATTCCTCAGATCTTCCTTTTAAATTGTGTAGACAGCCTCTTATTTATCCCAACTGGTGTCACCAACACAGGCAGCTGTGACATTAAACAACAAGCTCTAATTGCTTTCAACAAAATGCCCTGGGGAATGGGATTTTCACACTGAAATAACTCTGAGTCATATTAAAAAACAACAAGCGCTGTAAATTATTCTTTTCCAGGGAGCATCAAGACAAGTTAAATAAGAAAAATTCTCTTTAGATAGGTCTTTTTAAAGAAGATCCAAAACTATTCTTCCCCTTTGAGTGGCTACTATAATTCTGACCTTCATAGCTATTAAGTTTGCATAGTTAATCATTTCTAAGGTTACTGTGGTGATGGGAGAAAGGGATGAGAATAGGACAAGTTAAAATTCCACAAAGATCACTAAGGTTTGGCTGAGGTGTTTTCTTTGGGTTTGTTTTTTAAATAACTATGTATAAGAAAAAGAAATATGAGCATTCTTATTGTGGCAATTTTTTATTTTCAACATTATAAAATATTTGATTTTGACAGCTTTTGCTAGTGTTCATACTGGTGTAATGGAACAGGTGATTTTCAGAGCTCCTACTACATAATTTGACCATTTGTCCCATGTAGTTTGAGTTATCATTCCTAGTCGATGTATTGACTCTCTTAGAATGTCAAAGTGTCTCTCTTTGTCTCTAGTAACACTCCATGTCTTGAGATATATTTTAATTAACATTAATATAGTCACTCCAGTTTTCTTATGCTCACTATTGCATGATGCACCTTTCCCATCTTTTTAACTTTCAACATACTTGAGTCTTTGTGCTTAAAGTAAGTCTCTTGTAGGGTAAAGTGTAATTGCTTGCTGTTTTTAATCATGCCTAAAATTATCTGATTTTGGTTGTTGTATTTAGTTTTGACATCCTGCTATTTGCTTCCAATTAACTCTATCTTCCTTTGCCTCTGACCCTCCTATTCTACTTTTATTAGTATTAATTACCTAGTTATAATATTCTATTTAAATTTTTCCATTGGCTCTCCAGCAGTATCTTTTTGTTTTGTTACTTAATGGTTGTTCAAAGATTTTAACATAAATATTTTACTTGGCACAATCTATACAGTTTCAATATTAAATGACTTCCAAAAATTTAAAGAACATACAAGAATCTTGGACAAGTATATTTCCACTGAGTTCCAATTATTATTACTATTGTCACTAAGAATGTATTATACGTATTAAATAAGTTATAAATCTTTCAATACAATTAAAATTTTTGTTTTAAATAGTCAAATACTTTTAATGAACTTTAAGAAAAAAGAAAAATGTGTGTGTATAGTATTGTATATTAATACAGATGTTTGTCATGTTCAATGATGCTCATTCATGTAGACTTGAGTTGACATCTACTGACATGCCATTATCCTTCAGCCTAGGCCTGGTTACCACTTATGATGTTCAAGGCCCTAGGACTCTAGAATCAGCAGGAGGCGACGACAGCCAGGCTTGTGTACTTCCCTTCAGGGAAGCAAATTTGCCCCAGTCCTGGGCAGGTCCAGAGATGCCATATGAGAGCCAGGGCCTAGAGTTGGAAGCCTTAGGAATCTATCTAGTGCTCCATTCTGCTGCTGACCTGGCACCCAAGACACAAGACAAAGTGCTTCCCACTTTTCCCTCCCATTTTCCACAAGCAGAGGTGTCTCTCCCCGTGGCCCCAACCACCCCAGGCCCATAGCAAGTACTGTCTGCGTACCACTGATGCTCATTCAAGGCCCAAGGGCTATTCAATCAGCTAGAGGTGTATGCTGCCAGGCCTGGTACTCTTCCTTCAGGGTAGTGGGCTGCTGTCTGGCCCAGAGCAGGTCTGAAAATGCCATCCAAGAGCCAAAGCCTGGAAACCAACCTACTTGGTGCTCTATCTCACTGTGGCTGAGCCAGTAACTATGCTGATTTTGCGTTCTTATGAAGGTGCTTTTTTGTATGCATAGTTGTTCAATTTGCTGTTCCTGTAGGGAGGGCAATTAGTGGAGTCTTCTGTTTGGACATCTTGCTTTGCCTTCTCTTAAGTTTGGATGTAGTTAGAGTTAGTTCCTTCTATTGAGTTTTCTATCCTTGAAAGCAGATTACACTTTCCTGTATCTTTGAATATCCAGTAAGTTTTGGAAACTAGATAGTTTAGTTTAGATGATATGTTTTAGATATTCTGGGTTCTGCTTTGTTCTTTTGGAGATTTTTATTGTTCTTGCTCTTATATGCAGTTACCTTGCTTGGACCCAAACATCATACTCTGTCCATCCTACAGAGTGCAGCAGTTGATATCTCTGCTCCTTCCTTACATCTTTCAACTGCTACTTTTTTTTTTTTTAAACTAGCTCCCTGGGTTTTCCCCTGCAAATGTAGTTTGTGCTTAGCCAAAATTTTGGACTGGATTGTGGTTTCTTTGCTTCTGTGGATTTTCTTTCACATCTGCATCTGATTGGCTAGCTTTAGACTCTATCAACTAATACTTAAGCCAGTAAGTCTTCACTTTTTTACTTTCCAAGATGGCCATTGTTGGGGAATTAATGCAGTTGAAAAAGGAGCAACCTCAAAAAATTCATCCAGTGCAGTTCTGTCTCCTGGTGAAAAATTCCTCTCTAGTCTTTCTAATATTTTGTTTGTTTGTTTGTTTTTGAGGCGGTTTGTTTGCTTTTGCTCTGTCACCAGGTCTCTCCCTATATACATGTAGTTTTGTGGACAAGGGTAGAGTTACACTCAGATTTGGGGTCTCATTTTTTCTTATGTTTCTTGCTTCCAAGATTTTTCCCATAAATTTCTGGCTGCTCTTCCAGTTCTAAATTCTGTTCCATTCTACCTCAATCTGGTAAAGTTACTGTTTTATCTACACTATGGCTATGTGGTTTTGGAGCTCCCTCCGATAAGAGAAGTTCAGACTTGCAGTTCTTGTCCTTTGCAGGTACAGTTTTTTTTTTTTCTTAAGAGAAAACTCTCCTCTTACTTTGTTCTGCTTTTGTTTGCTCTCCAGTACCTTTTAAATGTGGCTTCTTACTGTTTGTCCAGATTTTATCACGACTATCTGCACACTACCTCTTCAACCCATTTTCATTATGAAAATTATTTCTAAGAAATAATTTTCCAGAAAAAACTTTGTGTATAAACAACCTCATTGTAGCATTTTATATTAGTAAAATTTTAATAGTAAAGTAACTTAGGACAAATCATATCAGTGCAATATTGTGCATAAATAAGATGATTATGAAGGCTGTGCATTAACATAAAATGTGTACTTTATAATATTAGGTGATTAGAGAAGAATACAAAATTATATCTTCAGGCACACATATTGACAATAGTTAGTAGGAGATGTGGAAAACTGGTAATTATTTATTTTATGAATGTAAAATTATAAAAAGCTTATTTGTATTCATTCATTCCTTCAAAAATTATGGTGAGTGCTACTAAATATCACTGTACATATATAGTTAAAACAAAAATTACCACTCTTAAGGAACTTAAAATCTACCAGAAATGCTTATACAAATTCAGAGATTTTTTATAATGAACAAAATGTGCAAATATATAAACTATAAATTACACAATGGGAGTAGAAAAAGATCTTAAGTCTTCATTTTTTTTCTATTTAAAGTAACTAGATTTCTCATTCAAAAGTAATCCATGCTCATTTTAGAAAAGAAAATGAAGATATATATTCACAGAGCAGGTGTAATCTTAGCTGATTTTTGAAGGAAGATAAGACTTTATCAAGTTGGTTCTGAGTTAGAGAACAGAGAGACAATTATTGGTCTTATTTATGGATTATGTTAAATTTTTTATAACTGAGCAATACAACGTTTAAGTCATTTCACAATAATATGCAGATTATATGCTACAACCCTAGCATATGGCAAAATAGACCTCACATTCATGGCTTGTGCCTTCTGGTTGTTTACAAACTGATAGTACTCATTTGAGTTAAAGTTATGTGAGGGATAGCTTACAGAAAATATAGTATTTGGAAGCCAAAATATACATACATAGATGTATACACACACACACACACACACACACACACACACACACAGTCTATTAAATTTATCATTTTATTTGACCTAAACCTTCAACTATGGCTTCAATAAAGAAGACATACCTAAAAATAAGCTGATTCTCAAAGTATGAACTTAGAAGGAAAGTAGTATTCTACAGCTTGTATTGTACCTGATAGCATACATCTTTTGTTATTTCACTCCTTTTTCCATGTTAAGCTTCTTGAGGGAGTGGACCATACTGGATTGATATCCTTACTCTCTACATAGTATTTGCATAATGACTTACATATAAAGTCCATTAAATAAATATTTCATAAATAATTTTTTACTAAAAATAGAAAATATGCTTCCAGAGAAATATAAACCAGAAAGGATCATCTTTATTGTTGAATTTGCTTGAATAATGCAATAAAAATATGTGAAACCACTTTAACCTCTATCACTGTCTTATTTGCTACTTTCTTCTCCCCTCTCTACCTCTGTTCTCATTTTAAGCTATAGTCAAATGGCTTCTCTTGTGGACTGTACATATGCAGTAAGAATAAAGATAATTTAATGTGGCTAAAACTGAAAGGAGAAATAAGAACATATGTGAAATAAATCCAAAGTTAAAATAGTTTTAAACCAATGAAGTTTATTTCTCAAGGCTATTTAAATGGAAGATCCATTCCTAACTGTTTATGCATTCATAAAGATACAATTATTCTGATGAAAGATTTTTTTAAAAATTATTCTTAGCTTAGAGCACAGGCCTAACCATTTGGACAAGACCCAAAAATAAAACCTAAACATTTTAGTGTTTCTCAAAAATGATTTGATGTTTGAGTTAAAGCTCAACCTTGGTAGATGAGTATAGTAGAATTCCGTCTCACTACAAGTGATCCACAACTCTCCATTAACAAATATTTACTATGTCTTAATATGTACCAGGTTTGGCGGTAGGTGCTGTGGTTGAAAAGGTGAAATAAACAGACATAGTTGCTATCCTCCTGGAGCTTACAGTATAGCAATCTTAACTAGTCTAATCATTATCTTTGGTTATAATAATCAATAAAATACTCACATAACCTACAAAAGTTAGCATAGAACTAGAAATAAATAACAGTTACTGGAAAAACCTAAAGATTTTCAACTGAAAGTCATATTTAGACTGGTTCTTTTGCTAATTGTGATAGTAATAATAGCTGATATTTAATGATTGCCTACCACTTGCTACATAGTGCTCTAAATCTCTGATAAGCATTGATTTATTTAATCATCACAATAAATGTCGGTAGCCTGCACTGTAATTATCTTCATTTTGCAAATGAGGAAACTGAGTCTTATGACATTAGTAAGCTGTCCAAGTAATCTAGTTATAAAGCAACAGACCCACTGCAAGGCAAGTACTCCAGCTCCAGTGTCAGTGCTTTCCAACACAATGAAGCTCACTATGTGTCTAGGACACCCACAGATCCACACAGAGCATAACTTGAAGTTCATTTTCCAAATGGATAAAGGGATATCTAAGAATGCTTTAATTTTAGAAGAAACAAATTTAAAGGCATGTGTGTGTGTGTGTGTGTGTGTGTGTGTGTGTGTGTGTGAAGGATTGGAAGAAACTATTATAACTTCAATAAATTTACTACTTTGTTATTTAGTTTTATATGAATTTATTACAAATAACATAAATCATGGAGGGGCTAGAAATTCATAACTCTTGTTTTAACAATACAAAACAAAACTGTCACAACATAGCAACTTTGTGACAGCTATTGTACAGAGTGGATAATGATCATGGAGTTTATTATTGCAGGTAATGATACTATCATAAACCCTTTCGATGCATATAAACTTTTTGTAAGAGACATACTTGGTAAGATATGATGTAGTCATTCTAGACTGCTTTCCTGCTGTGTCCTCACATAGTGAGGAGAGAATAATCTCTCTGTGTCTCTCTCTCTCATTCTTCTGATAAGGTCACTAATCTCATCACGAGGGCCCCACCCTCATGACCTCATCTGACTCTAATTTCTTCTCAAAGGCCTCATCTCCAAATATCACATTGGAAGTTAGGACTTCAACATATGAATTCTGGGCAGGGGAGGAACATAATTCAGTCCATAACAAGTCTTTATTCCATAATTTTTACATAAATCAGCCCTCTTGCAAAAAGTAAATTTCTCTTTCTTAGTTACTCAACCTGTAGTTGGGCTTATTTAAAATATCTTCACTTAAAACATTCCGAGATTGACATATATGTATTATCTAGTCAACTTGGTTTTTAAAAAGTACAAATAAACAAAAATAAATTATCTCAACCTTCACTATAGGCTAGGGAAATTTTATTCTAGCAAGAGGATAGTAGCTGTTCAAATATACCATGCAAACATTTCTAAACACCACCAGGTTTCCCAAAGTCACTGTGAAAAATGTATTTGTCAAACTTCCAAAACAAAATCTTTCATAGTAGAGCTGAAAATTGACTTATTTAGTAACTCATTTAATAGAGGTGCATATTCTTTATAATTACATTAACAGATGTTATTAACAAGTTTATTGAGTATGGGTGTTCTAATATCTCATGAGGTGCTTGACAATCCCATCTGCTGATGGGTGCCAAATAAAGAAACTAAAAGAGACACAGGTGCCTTTGGACTCACTATAAACATAACATTACCCACAAATCATGCAGCCTAATGCTATCTGCCTATTATCTCTGTCTCTAAAAATACATCATACTAGAGAATATACTTTATGCATTACATTGTTGCATAAAATTCCTACTTGGAAAAGAGAAATCCATATCACCAAACTAATTTTCCATAACTAATGTGTGTATTACCCCATGCAATTTAAGAATATTCTCCTTCTTGAAAAGATTAAAATCATATCTCATGAGTGATTGCATAGCCCCTTTTCACCTTGAGGTGCAAGAAAATGAATAGGAGCAATTTTCCTTTCAATAGGCAATTGTAGATAAGTAAGCAATACACAGATTTACTTTTAAAAATCACCCAAAATTAGCCCATGTGGCTGAGGCAGTATCTTTACACATATACATAAAATAAATCTGATTAAGAATGCCTATTATTTTTATTATGATATTTGCTCCTTGATTGTAATCTTAGACATCTCAAATTTTAAAACGAAATAGAAACTTCGAAAGTTAAAATAAAGCTTTTGTCAAAAATAGTAAACTCCCTCAACCCTACCGATCCAAGATCCAAATTTGTTTTTAAAAGTTTTCTGATTCTCTCCTAATGTATGACATAATTTTTTCAGAGAGTTGTATTTGTTCAAAAGACTCTCTGCTCTGATTGACTCTTATACATTATAAAAGTAAATATTTTTCAGTTAAATAAGAGTGAATCTCATGAGCCTTAAAAATTGAAATCATGTGTCTGAGCCTAACCTATAATGTCCCTTGGCCCATTTTATTATCTATAATACTGTGATTACTCTTAGGTGTAGTAAAGGTACAATCAGCCAGAGAAAGAATACAAAATAATCTAACTTTTAACTTTTCTCAACCCCAAATCTTTGATAACAAATAGAACCTCTACCTTTTTTTTGACATATCCAGAAATATGTTTATCTTGTCAATATGTTATTTGGGAGGGCATTGCTTCTTTGGTTCAGTACTCAAGAGAAGCGTTGCATCTGTTTTCTAGTAATAAGCAACCCACACAGCAGGAAGAAGGCAGTTCATGTACTTTTGAATTTGATTATATACTGAAAAAATATTCATCGATCTGGATTGATGGTACATTTGTGTGTATATTATCTTTGCCTGTGTACTCAAATGGGGAATCTGTCTTTAATCTGACAGTATAGCTCATGAACATCCAAATTGAGCAAGTTTCAGATGCAAGCTAATCAAGTTCTCTCTGACAACCTCAGCAATCTTTCCGTTTTTGGTGGGATGACATATTCATCTTCCTCAATCACGCTATGACTAATGTATGAGAATGTTAACATCTTTCATTCTTTATATCTTTGTAGAGATAATTTGGAGAAGAGAGTAGATACTGTGTGCCACATTAGGGCTTGTTTTGCTCATTCTTTAGACAATTAAAAGGAGACAAGTGAATATAAAATATGACAATGTTAATATTTATTTTCAGCAATAACATTTTCACTTGAAAGCCTCCCTTTTGAGTGGGAGTTTCTTGCCAACTCATTTGTCTATCATATTTCTATTGAAATGAATGTTCATCATTTACAGTGTGTTATGTGCTGTGCTGAGATCTTTGGGGCATCTTTTCCAACAAGGCAGTCTCTAACTGGTTAAGCATCTCTTCTTTGAAACAGTCAAATAGAAAACTATCCTAACTCAGATATACAAAAGGTAATTGCATTAGTCCACTTTGTGCTGCTATATCAGAATACCTGACATTGGGTAATTTATAATAAACAGAAATTTATTGATGCACAGTTCTGGAGGCTGGAAAGTCTGAGATTGAGAGACTGGCACCTAATAAAGGGATGCTTGCTGTGCCATGCCATGAAGAAAGGGTAAAGAGAGGGTACGAGAGACCGAGGTGGGGACAAACTTGTCCTTTCATAAAAAACCACTCTCATAATAATGAACCTACATTCACAATAATGTCATAATTTCATTTTTGAGGTCGGTGCCCCATGACCTAAACACCTCTATTAAGTCCTACCTCCATATACTGGGGGCCAAATTTCCAATACATGAATTTTAGGGAACACACTCACACCATAGCAGTAATATAAGAACCTATGGTAGACTGGGGATTCCTTTTAAGAGAAGCTCAAATCAATATGTTGAAAGGTAAAAATGTTTTGGAATGTTTTAAGGGCATTTATTTTGCTGATTGTTAAAGTAATAGAAGCTACATTAAGATCATATTCATGGTAGTATTTAAAATGTGTTAATTTATTTCTCTTTTCTAATTTTCTTATAAATTATTTTATTTTACTATTATGTCCCAATTCCATAATGTGTAATTTGGCATGGCTTGTTTCCTGTTACATAATACTTTTGATATTTATCCTTTTTCCCCTCTGCTTTATTGCAGTATACTTGGCAAATATAAATTGTCTGTATTTGAGGTGTACGATGTGATGTTTTGATATACATATACACTATGAAATGATGACCACCTTCAAGCTAATTAGCACATCCATCGCTTCTTCTACTTACTCTTTTTTGTGTATGTGTGTGCATGTGCATAGTTAGAACACTTAAGGGTTTCCTTTTTTTTTTTTTAACTTTCTCCCTATCTTTTGACTTTATGGTAATAACCATGCTAACAGGTGTGAGGTGATATGGAGGTTTTGATGTGCAATTTCTTGATGATTAGAATTAGTGCCGTTGAATGCTTTTTTATATACCTCTTGGCCATTTGCATGTCTTATTTGAAAAAGAAAATGTCTATTCAGGCCTTTTGGCCATTTTTAAATGTTTTTTTTTGGTATTGACTTGTATATATTTTCCCTTAATTTTGGATATTAGGCCTCTATCAGATAGACGGTGTGCAAATATTTTCTTTCACTCCATAGGTTTCCTTTTCTGTTCATTGATTGTTTCCTTCACTGTGCATATTTTTTGAAATTTCCCGTATTCTCATTTTTTAAAAATTTTACTTTTGTTACCTGTGCTTTTGGTATCATATCCAAAAAATAATTGTAAAGTCCAATACCAAGGACATTTTCCCTGTGTATGCTTTTAATATTTTTAAGGTTTCAGGTCTTAGATTTAAGTATTTTTTAAACTATTTCACTTGATTTTTGTGAAATGTCTAAGATAAAGGTCTAATTTCATTCTTTTACATGTGGATATTCAGTAACATTTTTTGAAGAGACTATTCTTTCTACATTGCATATTTTTGGTACCATTTTTGGAGATTAATTGACTATGTCTAACTAATCTCTTAAGACAGTTAATGGTGCAAAAAATACGAGAAACTGGTGCAAAAAAAAATATGAGAGAGACTCGCAGGATCCAGTGGAAGAATATACTAGGCAAGTTCATTGAAGTTGCAAGGAAGAGGAAAAATAGGTTAACTTTACTTTTGGAGATTTATTATAAAAATATGCAAGAATGATAATGTGTTAAAGGTCACTCTATCAACCATCTAGTCAGAGATGCACAGCACAATTTATGAAAACTGGAAAATTTTCTTAGTGTTTCTTTTTCTGGAAGCCAGAGCTTAAATAACCTATTTTCTCTTTGTAACTCTAACACAATTGCCTAAATGAAGAATGCAACTGAGTTGATTGATTGCTATCCTATATGGAATAACTCATATACAGCTAGCCTTCTTCAAAACAAGGCCATATACTGTTGCCTTCAAACAAGCACTGGGGGTTCTAGTATATTCCTAAGTTTAGGGAAGTTGGAATCATTTCAGCTTGAGCTAGTGTCAATACTATGTCACTGTAGTCAATGCATGAGAGAGGACACTAAAACATAAATCATTAGCAAGTGAAGTTATATAAAAATAGTATTAAATGTCCTCTACAGTATTTTCATTCAGATGAACATATTTTAATTTGCCTCTGTTTTCCACTTTATTTCCAAGAATTTTGAAACTGGTTATTTAACAGATATATTAATAAAAAGTTTTGTATAAAAACTTTGCTTATTTTAAACATTGAACAACTTCAGTAGGTCTCCTTTCCATTGAACTTGTCAGAACTTTTAATATGTACTGTAAATTTTCAAAAGAAAAGGGATTCCTTCACTTTATTTGTCATCTTTTCTTTTATTTCTTTCTATGAAACAATTTGTTCTCAGTGTACACATTAGCATGCATTTGTTCTTAAAGTACAATTTTGGAAAGCACAGTAATTTAAGGTGTAATATTTCCTTTTGTCAGTTTTAATGTAATAGTCAAACTCTCCTCAATTCCTGATTTGCTAGTGTATTACAAAACCGAACTACATAATTGTGAAGAAACACAGACATGGGAATATAGACAATATCACAGTGGATTGCTTCACTCATCTAATTTATCCTGCATAATATAGTGTTTTTTGTTTAATTTTACCCAAGAATACCTCTGGCATTTCTTATTCTGCATGTAGTTGTCATATAGTATTTCCAGATTATTTCTCAGGAAGATTTTGAAGCTCTAAAGGAGGAAGAAGCCATGAGAGTCTTGTATCAGGATCTAAGTTTGTAGTTTGGCAATTGCTGGGATCCTACTTTGCATTCTTTGGCTATATTTTTTGGCAAAGAGCTGATTCAGGTAACTTTCTTCAGAAGGATTTATGATATTTGGCAAGTATTTTGAGGTTTCATAGTTATTACTTGAAACCCATGCAGTTCAAAGAAATAATGTATTTAAGGAAAGATTAATGATTTTTGGTTTATTTTCTTTAGCTCTAAAGAAATTAGGAAGAAAAGAGATAACTGATGGAGCAAAATTCCAGATTAGTGAAGACAGAGTGAAATAATACAGTGGTTCTGCTGTCCTTGAGTTCTAAATAAAGTTCCTGAGAGTTCCTGGAAATGACCAAATTACTATACAATCTAGCATCCATTTAGATAGATGACCATCTGTTTAGAAATATAGAAGGTTGGCGGAGGGGCCAAGATGGCCACTTAGAAGCAGCTGGGTTCGAGGCTTTCACAAAACGACAAGTGAATTCTGCACCTTCAACTGAGGTATCCAGGTTCTCACATTGGGACTGACTAGGCAGAGGGCTCAACACACCAAGAGCAAGGAAAACTAGGTTGGGGTTATGGCCCACCTGGGAGTGGCACAGAGACAGGGTAGCCCCCACCCCAGCCAAGGGAGTCAGTGAGGGATTCTGCGGCCCTGCCCAGGAAAACATGTTTTTCCTACATATCTTTGCAATCCGCGATCAGGAGATTCCCATGTGAGCCCATGTCACCATCCTTGGGTCTGAAGCACAGAGCTGTGTGGTGTCTCAGTGGGGCAGCCACTCACTTGGTTGCTTGGGAAACCCAGGAGTTTTGCATACTCTGGCCCAGGAATTCCAGCAAGGTGGGAGATCCTGTGCATTCCCCCTAGAAGGGGGCTGCATCCAGGGAGCTAAGTGGCATCATTCTGTGGGCCACACTCCCACAGCACCTCACAAGTTAAGACACACTGAGTTGGAATGCCAGCCAGCCAGTGGCAGCAAGCTGGAGATGGCATGAGACATGAGACAGACCAAGTTCTCAGGGGGAGGAGCAGCTACCACATCTGCCATTCCTCAGGCCCTCTAGTCTGCCAACACCAGGGACTTGGAGTAATTTCCCACAACACAGCACAGCTATTGTTCCTGATCATGGCCAGTCTGTTTCTTTAAGTGGGACCCTGATCCATCCCTCCTCACTGGGTGGGACCTCCCTGCGGAAATTTCAGCAACTACAGTCATGGTTATACAGGCAGAACTCTAATCTCTCCCTGGGATGGAGTCCCTAGGGAGAGGGGCAGCTGCTGACCCTGTGGTTCAGCCAACTTCGTCTTTCCAGGTCCCTGAACCTGTTCCTACTGATTGGGTAAGACCACCCAACAGGGCTCTCCAGACACCTCCTACAGGAGTGTCCTAGCTGGCATTAGTTCCTGAGATGGAGCTCCCAGAGAAAAGAACAGGCTGTCATCTTTTCTATTTCACAGCCTTCACTGGTGCTACCTCCAGGTGAGAGAGGGACTGAGAGGACTAGGGTCTGAAATGTACCCCCAGCAAACAGCAGCGGCTCTACGAAAAAGTAACCTGATTGCTAAAGGAGAAACAAAGAAAGAAAGAAACAAAACAGAAAGCAACAACATCAACAAAAAAAGACCCCACAAAAACCCTAATCAAAGGGCAGTAACCTCAAAAATTAAAGGTAGATAAGGCCACAAAGATGAGAAACAATCAAGGCAAAAATACTGAAAACTCAAAAAGCCAGTGTGCCTCTACTCCTCCAACTGACTGCATCACCTCAAGCAAGGGTACAGAGCTGGGCAGAGGCTGACATGGATGAATTGAATAGGCTTCAGAAAGTGGGCAATAATAAACTTCACTGAGTTTAAGGAGCATGTTGTAAGCCAATACAAAGAAGGTAAGAATTACGATTAATAAAAGGGGGCTGATAACTATTACAGTCAATTTAGAGAGAAGCATAACTGACCTGATGAAGCTGAAAAACACAACACAAGAACTTCACAATGCAATCACAAGTATCAACAGAAGAACAGACTAAGGGGAAGAATTAATATCAGAGCTTAAAGACTATCTTTCTGAAATAAGACAGGCAGACAACAATAGAGAAAAAAGAACAAAAAGCAGTGAACAAAATCTCCAAGAAATATGGGACTATGTAAAAAGACTGAATCTATGACTCATTGGGGTACCTGAAAGAGATGGGGAGAAAGCTACCAAGTTGGAAAACATACTTTAGGATATCATCCAGGAGAACTTCCCAAACCTAGTGAGACAGGCCAACATTCATATTCAGGAAATCCAGAGAACCCCATTAAGCTACTCCAGGAGAGGATCAACCCCAAGACACATAATCATCAGATTCCTCAATGTCAAAGTGAAAAAAAAAATGTTAAGTTCAGCCAGAAAGAAAGACCAAGTTACCTATAAAGGGAAGCCCATCAGGCTAAAAGTGAACCTTTTCAATGGAAACATAAGAAGCCAGAAGAAATTGGGGGCCAATATTCAACATTCTTAAAGAAAAGAATTTCTGGCTTCCATTCCAAGATGACCGAATGGGAACAGCTCTGGTTTGCAGCTCCAAGCGTGATTGACGCAGATGATGGGTGATTTCTGCATTTCCAACTGAGGTAGCTGGTTCATCTCATTGGGACTGGTTGGACAGGGGGTGCAGCACATGAAGGATGAGCCAAAGCAGGGTGGGTCATCGCCTCACCTGGGAAGCACAAGGGGCCAGGGGATTTGCCTTTCCTAGCTAAAGGAAGCCGTGACAGACTGCACCTGGAAAAATGGGACACTCCTGCCCAAATACTGCGCTTTTTCCACAGTCTTAGCAACCAGTAGACCAGGAGATTCTCTCCTGTGTGGGTCCCATGCCCACAGAGCCTTTCACACTGCTAGTGCAGCACTCTGAGATCAACTTGTGGGGCAGCAGCCTGGAGGGGGGAAGGGCGTCCACCATTGCTGAGTCTTTAGTAGGTAAACAAAGTGGCCAGGAAGCTCGAACTGGGCAGAGCCCAACGCAACTAAACAAGGCCTACTGTCTCTATAGACTCCACTTCTGTGAGCAGGGCATAGCTGAACAAGAAGCAGCAGAAACTTCTGCAGACTTAAAAGTCCCTGTCTGACAGCTCTGAAGAGAGCAGTGGTTCTCCCAGCATGGTGTTTGAGCACTGAGAATGGACAGACTGCCTCCTCAAGTGAGTCCCTGACCCCCATGTAGCCTAACTGGGAGACACCTCCCAGTATGGACCAACAGACACCTCAAACAGGCAGGTGCCCCTCTGGGAATGAAGCTTCCAGAGGAAGGATCAGGGAGCAATGTTTGCTGTTCTGCAATATTTGCTGTTCTGTAGCCTCAGCTGGTGATACCCAGGCAAACAGGGTCTGGAGTGGACCTCTGGCGAACTCCAACAGATGTGCTGCTGAGGGACCTGACTGTTAGAAGGAAAACTAACAAACAGAAAGGAATAGCATCAACATCAACAAAAAGGACATCCACACCAAAACCCCATCTGTAGGTCACCAACATCAAAGACCAAAGTTAGATAAAACCACAAAGATGGGGAGAAACCAGAGAAAGGGTATCAGTGATTGAAGATGAAATTAATGAAATAAAGCGAGACAAGAAGTTTAGAGAAAAAAGAGTAAAAAGAAACAAACAAAGCCTCCAAGAAATACGGGACTATGTGAAAAGACCAAATCTACATTTGATTTGTGTACCTGAAAGTGACAGGGAGAATGCAACCAGGTTGGAAAACACTCTACAGGATATTATCCCAAAAAATGTCCCCAACCTAGCAAGACAGGCCAACATTTAAAATCAGGATATACAGAGAACACCACTAAGATACTCCTCAAGTAGCACAACCCCAAGTCACATAATCATCAGAGTGACCAAGGCTGAAATGAAGAAAAAAATGTTAAGGGTAGCCAGAGAATAAGGTCAGGTTACCTACAAAGGGAAAACCATCAGACTAACAGCAGATATCTCACAGAAAACCTACAAGCCAGAGGAGAGTGGGGGTGGGGCAAATATTCAACATTGTTAAAGAAAAGAATTTTCAACCCAGAATTTCATATCCAGCCAAACTAAGCTTCATAAGAGAAGGAGAAACAAAATCCTTTATAGACAAGCAAATGCTGAGGGATTTTGTCACCACCAGGCCTGTCTTACAAGAGCTCCTGAAGGAAGCACTGAACATGGAAAGGAATAACTGGTACCAGCCACTGCAAAAACATGCCAAGTTGTAAAGATCATCAATGCTATGAAGAAACTGCATCAATTAATGGGCAAAATAACCAGCTAACATCATAATGACAGGACCAAATTCACACATAACAATATTAACCTTAAAAGTAAGTGGGTTAAATGTCCCAATTAAAGGACACAGACTGGCAAATTAGATAAAGAGTCAAGACCCATCAGTGTGCTGTATTCAGGAGACCGAACTCACATGCAGAGACACACATAGGCTCAAAATAAAGGGATGGAGGAAGTCTACCAAGGAAATGGAAAGCAAAAAAAGGAGGGGTTGCAATCCTAGTCTCTGATAAAACAGACTTTAAACCAACAAAGATCAAAAGAGACAAAGAAGGCCATTACACATTCAACAAGAAGAGCTAACTATCCTAAATATATATGTACCCAATACAGGAGCACCTGGATTCATAAAGCAAGTCCTTAGAGACCTACAAAGAGACTTAGACTCCCACACAATAATAATGGGAGACTTTAACACCCCACTGTCAATATTAGACAGATCAACAAGACAGAAGGTTAACAAGGATATCGAGGACTTGAATTCAGCTCTGCACCAAGCAGACGTAATAGACATCTACAGAACTCTCCACCCCAAATCAACAGAATATACATTCTTCTCAGCACCACATCACACTTATTCTAAAATTGACCATATAATTGAAAGTAAAGCACTCCTCAGCAAATGAAAATAAACAGAAATCACAACAAACTGTCTCTGAAACCACAGTGCAATCAAATTAGAACTCAGAATTAAGAAACTCACTCAAAACTGCTCAACTACAAGGAAACTGAACAACCTGCTCCTGAATGACTACTGGGTAAATAACAAAATGAAAGCTGAAATAAAGATGTTCTTTGAAACCAATGAGAACAAAGATACAACATACCAGAATCTCTGGGACACATTTAAAACAGTGTGTAGAGGGAAATTTATAGTACGAAATGCACACAAGAGAAAGCAGGAAAGATCTAAAATCAACACTCTAACATCACAATGAAAAGAACTACAGAAGCAAGAGCAAACAAATTCAAAAGCTAGGAGAAGGCAAGAAATAACTACGATCAGAGCAGAACTGAAGGAGATAGAGACACAAAAGGCCTTCAAAAAAATCAATGAATCCAGGAGCTGGTTTTTTGAAATGATTGACAAAATTGATAGATTGCTAGCAAGACTAATAAAGAAGGAAAGAGAGAAGAGACAAACAGACGCAATAAAAAATGATAAAGGGGATATCACCACTGATCCCACAGAAATACAAACTACCATCAGGGAATACTATAAACACCTCTACGCAAATAAACTAGAAAATCCAGGAGAAATGGATAAAATTCTGGACAAATACCCCTCCCAAGACTAAACCAGGAAGAAGTTGAACCCCTGAATAGACCAATAACAGGCTATGAAATTGAGGCAATAATTAATAGCCTACCAACCAAAAAAAGTCCAGAACCAGATGGATTCACAGCCGAATTCTACCAGAGGTACAAAGAGGAGCAGGTACCATTCCTTCTGAAACTATTCCAATCAATAGAAAAAGAGGGAACCCTCCCCAACTCATTTTATGAGGCCAGCATCATCCTGATACCAAAGCCTGGCAGAGACACAACAACAAAAAAAGTGAATTTTAGACCAATATCGCTGATGAACATCAACGCGAAAATCCTCAATAAAATACTGGCAAACCGAATCTAGCAGCATATCAAAAAGTTTATTCACCACAATCAAGTCAGCTTCATCCCTGGGATGCAAGGCTGGTTTGACATATGCGAATCAATAAATGTAATCCGTCACATAAACAGAACCAATGACAAAAACCACATGATTATCTCAATAGATGCAGAAAATGGCTTCAACAAAATTCAACAGCCCTTCATGCTAAAAACTCTCAATAAGCTAGGTATTGATGAAACGTACCTCAAAATACTAAGAGCTATTTATGACAAACCCACAGCCAATATCATACTGAATGGGCAAAAGCTGGAAGCATTCCCTTTGAAAACCAGCACAAGACAAGGATGCCCTCTCTCACCACTCCTATTCAATATAGTGTTGGAAGTTCCTGCCAGGGCAATCGGGCAAGAGAAAGAAATAAAGGGTATTCAATTAGGAAAAGAGGAAGTCAAATTGTCCCTGTTTGCAGATGACATGATTGTATATTTAGAAAACCCCATCATCTCAGCCCAAAATCTCCTTAAGCTGATAAGCAACTTCAGCAAAGTCTCAGGATACAAAAATCAATGTGCAAAAATCACAACCATTCCCATACACCAATAACAGACAAACAGAGAAACAAATCATGAGTGAACTCCCACACACAGTTGCTATAAAGAGAATAAAATACATAAGAATCCAACTTAAAGGGATGTGAAGGACCTCTTCAAGGAGAACTACAAACCACTGCTCAATGAAATAAAAGAGGATACAAACAAATGGAAGAACATTCCATGCTCATGGATAGAAAGAATCAATATCATGAAAATGGCCATACTGCCCAAGGTAATTTATAGATTCAATGCCGTCCCCATCAAGCTACCAATGACTTTCTTCACAGAATTGGAAAAAAACTACTTTAAAGTTCATATGGAAACAAAAAAGAGCCCACATAGCCAAGACGATCCTAAGCCAAAATAACAAAGCTGGAGGCATCACGCTATATGACTTTAAACTATACCACATGGCTACAGTAACCAAAAAAGCACGGTACTGGTACCAAAACAGAGATATAGACCAATGGAACAGAACAGAGTCCTCAGAAATAACACCACACATCTACAACCATCTGATCTTTGACAAACCTGACAAAAACAAGAAATGGGGAAAGGACTCCCTATTTAACGAATGGTGCTGGGAAAACTGGCTAGCCATATGTAGAAAGCTGAAACTGGATCCCTTCCTTACACCTTATACAAAAAGTAATTCAAGATGGATTAAAGACTTAAATGTTAGACCTAGAACCATAAAAACCCTAGAAGAAAACCTAGGCAATACCATTCAGGACATAGGCATGAGCAAGGGCATCATGACCAAAACACCAAAAGCAATGGCAATAAAAGCCAAAATTGACAAATGAGATCTAATTAAACTAAAGAGCTTCTGCACAATAAAAGAAACTACCATCAGAGTGAACAGGCAACCTACAGAATGGGAGAAAATATGTGCAACCTACCCATCTGACAAAGGGCTAATATCCAGAATCTACAAAGAATTTAAACAAATTTACAAGAAAAAAACAACCCTATTGGAAGTGGGCAAAGGATATGAACAGACACTTCTCAAAAGAAGACATTTATGCAGCCAACAGACACATGAAAAAATGCTCATCATCACTGGCCATCAGAGAAATGCAAATCAAAACCACAAAGAGATACCACCTCACAGCAGTTAGAATGGTGATCATTAAAAAGTCAGGAAACAACAGATACCAGAGAAGATGTAGAGAAACAGGAATGCTATTACACTGTTGGTGGGAGTGTAAATTTGTTCAACCATTGTGGAAGACAATGTGGTGATACCTCAAGGATCTAGATCTAGATATACCATTTGACCCAGTGATCCTATCACTGAATATATACCCAAAGGATTATAAATCATGCTACTATAAAGACACATGCACATGTATGTTTATTGCAGCACTATTCACAATAGCAAAGACTTGGAAGCAACCCAAATGTCCATCAATGAAAGAGTGGATTAAGAAAATGTGACACATATACACCATGGAATACTATGTGGCCATAAAAAAGGATGAGTTCATGTCCTTTGCAGGGACATGGATGAAGCTGGAAACCATCATTCTCAGCAAACTATCACAAGGACAGAAAACCAAACACTGCATATTCTCACTCTTAGGTGGAAATTGAACAATGAGAACACTTGGACACAGGGCGGGGAACATCACACACCGGGGCCTGTCATGGTGTGGGAGGCTGGGGGAGGGATAGCATTAGGAGAAATACCTAATGTAAATGACAAGTTGATGGGTGCAGCAAACCAACATGGCACACGTATACCTATGTAATAAAACCTCATATGTACCCTAAAACTTAAAGTATAATAAAAAAAAGAAAAGAAATTTCAACCTAGAATTTCATATGCTGCCAAACTAAGCTTTATAAGCGAAAGAGAAATAAGATTCTTTTCAGACAAGCAAACGCTGAGGGAATTTATCACCACCAGGCCTGCCTTGCAAGAGCTCCTGAAGGAAGCACTAAATATGGAAAGGAAAGACTGTTACCAGCCACTACAAAACCACACTGAAGTAAACAGACCAGTGACACTATGAAGCACACACATCAACAAGTCTGCAAAATAACCAGCGAACATCATGACAGCATGAAATTCACACACAACAATATTAACCTTAAATGTAAAGGGATAAATGCCCCAATTAAAAGACACAGCATGGCAAGCTGGATAAAGAGTCAAGATCCATCAGTATGCTGTCTTCAAGAGATCCATCTCACATGCAAAGACATACATAGGCTCAAAATAAAGGAATGGAGTAAAATTTACCAAGCAAATGGAAAATAGGAAAAAGCAGAGATTGCAATCCTAGTTTCTGACAAAACAGATTTAAACCAGCAAAGATCAAAAAAGACAAGAGCATTACACAACAGTAAAGTGTTTAATACAACAAGAAGAGCTAACGATCTTAAATATATATTTACCTAATGCAGGAGTACCCAGATTCATAAAGCAAGTTCTTAGACACCTTTACAGAAACAGACTCACACACAATAATATTTGGAGACTTTAACACCCCACTGACTATACTAGACAGATCATCAAGACAGAAAATTAACAAATCTATTCAAAAACTAAACATAGCTCTGGATCAAGTGGATCCGATAGATATCTACAGAACTCTCCATGCCAAAACAACAGAATATACATTCTTCTCATCTCCATGTAGCACTTACTCTAAAATTGACCACATAATCAGAAGTAAAACACTCCTCAGCAAATGCAAAATAACTGAAATTATAACAGTCTCTCAGGCCACAACACAATCAAATTAGAACTCAAGATTATGAAACTCACTCAAAACCACCCAACTACATCAAAATTGAACAACCTGCTCCTGAATTACTCCTGGGTAAATAATGAAATTAAGGCAGTAATCAACAAGTTCTTTGAAACTAATAAGAACAATAGGACAACATACCAGTATCTCTGGGATGCAGCTAAAGCAGTGTCAAGAGGGAAATTTATAGCACTAAATTCCCACATCAAAAATCTAGAAAGATCTCAAATCAGCAACCTAACATCCCAACTAAAAGAACTAGAGAACCAAGAGCAAACAAACCCCAAAACTAGCAGAAGACAAGAAATAACGAAGATCAGAGCAGAAGTAGAGGAGATAGAGTCATGAAAGCCCTTCAAAAATCAACGAATCCAGGAGCTGATTTCTTGCAAAAAATAATATAATAGACTGCTATCTAGACTAATAAAAAAGAAAATAAAGAATAACCAAATAGACAAAATCAAAAATGAGAAGGGGGTATCAGCAATGACCCGGCAGAAATACAAACAACCATCAGAGTATACTATAAACACTTATATGCAGATAAACTAGAAAATCTAGAAGAGTTGGATAAACTTCTTGGAACATGCACCCTCTCAAAACTGAATGAGAAATAAATTGAACCGCTGAATAGATCAATAACAAATTCTGAAATGAAGGCAGTAATAAATATCCTACCAACAACCCAAAAAAGCTCAGGATCAGATGGATTCACAGCTGAATTCTACAAGAGGTACAAAGAAGAGCTGGTACAATTTTTACTGAAACTATTCCAAACAATTGAAAAGGATGGACTCCTCCCTAAATTATTTTTATGAGACCAGCAGTATCCTGATGTCAGAAGTTGGCAGGAATATAACAAAAAACGAAAACCTCAGGCCAACATCCTTGATGAACATAAATGCAAAAACCCTCAATACAATACTGACAAACCAATTCCAGCAGCACATCAAAAAGCTTATCTGCCATGATCAAGGTGGCTTCATCCACAGGATGCAAGGTTGGTTCAACACATGCAAATCAATAAATGTAATTCATCACGTAAACAGAACTAAAGAAAAAACACCTGATTATCCCAATAGATGCAGAAAAGACCTTCAATAAAATTCAACATCTCTTTATGTTAAAAACTCTCAATAAACTAGGTATTGAAGCAATATACCTTAAAATAATAAGAGCCATATATGACAAACCCACAGTCAATAGTATACTGAATGGGCAAAAGTTGGAAGCATTCCTTCTGAAAATTGACGCAGACAAGGAGGCCCTCTCTCTCCACTCCTATTCAACATAGTATTGGAAGATCTGGCCAGGGCAGTTGGGCAAGAGAAAGAGAGAAAGGGTATTCAAATAGGAAGAGAGGAAGTCAACTTTTACAGATGACATAATCCTGTATCTAGATAACCCCATCATCTCAGCCCCAAAGTATCTTAAGCTGATACGCAAATTCAGGAAAGTCTCAGGATACAAAATTAGTGTGCAAAAATTACTAGCCTTTCTATACACCAACAAGAGGCAAGCAGAGAGCCAAATTATGAATGAACTGCCATCCACAATTTCTACAGAGAGAAAAAAATACCTCGGAATACAGCTAACAAAGGAAGTGAAGGAACTCTTCAAGGAGAACTACAAACTACTGCTCAAAGAAATCAGAAGACACAAACAAATGGAAAAATATTCCATGCTCATGGGTAGGAAGAATCAATATTGTGAAAATGGCCATAATGCCTAAAGTAATTTATAGATTTAATGCTATTTAAATTAACTATTAAACTACCATTGACATTCTTCACAGAATTAGGAGAAACTATTTTAAAATTCATGTGGAATTAAAAAAGAGCCTGCATAGCTAAGACAATCCTAAGCAAAAATAACAATGCTGGAGGCATCATAATACCTGACTTCAAACTACACTACAAGGCTATAGTAACAAAAACAACATGGTACTAGTACAAAAACATGCATATAGGCCAATGAAACAGAATAGAGAACTCAGAAATAAGACCACACACCTACAACCATCTGATCTTCAACAAACCTGACAAAAACAAGCAATGGGGTAAGGGTTCCCTATTTAATAAATGGTGCTGGGAGAACTGGCTAGCCATGTGCAGAAAATTAAAACTGGACCTGTTCCTTACCCCTTATACAAAAATTAACTTAATATGAATGAAAGATTTAAACCCAAAACTATAAAAATCCTAGCAGAAAATGTAGACAATACCATTCAGGACATAGGCAATGGCAAAGATTTTATGACAAACATGCCAAAAGCAATAGCAACAGAAGCAAAAATTGATAAATGGCATCTCATTGAACTAAAGAGCTTGTGCAGAGCAAAATAAACTCTCATCAGAGTGAACAGACCACCTACAGAATGGGAGAATTTTTTTTCTTTCTATCCATCTGACAAAGGTCTAATATCCAGAGTCTACAAGAAACTTAAGGAAATTTACAAGGAAAAAAAAATAAAACCATTAAAAATTGGACCAAGAGCATGAACAGTCACTTCTTAAAAGAAGACATTCATAAGGCCAACAAACATGAAAAAAGCTCAACATAACTGATCATCAGAGAAAAGCAAATCAAAACCACAATGAGATACCATGTTATGCCAGTCAGAATGGCAATTATTAAAAAGTCAAGAAACAGCAGATGCTGGTGAGATTGCAGAGAAAAAGGAACACTTTTACACTGTTGGTGGGAGTGTAAATCAGTTCAACCATTGTGAAAGACAGTGTGGTGATTCCTCAAAGACCTAGAGGCAGAAATACCATTTGACCCAGCAATCCCATTACTTGGTATATACCCAAAGAATATAAATTATTGTTATAAAGATACATGCATGCGTGTGTTCATTCCAACAGTATTCACAATAGCAAAGACATGAAATCAATCCAGATGCCCATCAAAGATAGAGTGGATAAAGAAAATATGGTACATATACACCATGGAATATTATGCAGGCATAAAAAGGAACAAGATCATGTCCTTTGCAGGGACATGTATAGAGCTGGAAGCCATTATCCTCAGCAAACTAATGCAGGAACAGAAAGTCAAACACCACATGTTCTCACTTATAAGTTGGAGCTCAACAATAAGAACATATGGACACATGGCAGGGAACAGCACACACTGGAGCCTGTTCACTGGGGCTGGGGAAGGAAGACCATCAGGAAGAATAGCTAATGGATGCTGGGCTTAATGCCTGAGTGATAGGTTGATCTGTGCAGCAAACCACCATGGCACACCATTACTTATATAACAAACCTGCACATCCTGCACGTGTACCCCAGAATTTCAAAAAGTTGAAGAAAAAAACCAAACTAAAAACCAAACAAAAAAAGAAATATAAATGGCCATCAAAATTTCTTATAAATAACATTTTTTTCAGTTAGCTTTATATATAATTTGAATTTGCATTTTAACTCTTGTTCATTAACTCTAGCTTCTAATAAATTTTTAAAGCCAAATTTCTGAGTAATTGATTTATTTAAAAAAATCAGGACGGTTTTCATGAGTTAGACAAAGCTTATTTTTTTATTTGAGGGAAGGCAGAAAATTATCACACTAGTAAACTGTTTTGTACTTGTACCTAATACAGTTCTAAAGTCTTTACATTTATTAATTCATTTACTACTGACAACAAACTATAATTAGGCACCATCATTACTGTGGCAGTTTTAAAATATGTCCACAAATTCTTTGATATTTTTTTCTATAAGAGATGGAATTCAATTCTTCTCCCCTGGTGCGTAATCTAGATTTAGTGATTCACTAATAATGAATAAAGTAAGACAGAAATGACACATCTGAGGTTAGGTTAAAAAAAAAAATTTGACTTCTCCTTTGTTATTTCTCTCTTTGAACATTCATTCTGAGATAAGTTAACTGTCATGGCATGAGGACAGTCAAGTTTCCCTTAGGAGAAGCCCAGGTGATAAAGTACTGAGGACTCTTGCCAATTACTATGTGATTGTGTATGAAAACGGATCCTGCAGGCCCAGTCAAGCCTGCAGACGACTGTAGCCTCAACCTTTATCTTGACTTCTATCTCAAGAGTAAAGTGAACAGCTTGCCTCAATTTGCTCAGGACTTTCTTGTGTTTTAGCACTGAAACTCCTGCATTCCAGGCATCCAGTGTGCATGACCAACTTTTTCCAGTTTAGCAAGGAATATCCCAATTTTAAAATTGAAAGCCCACATTGCTGTAACTCCTTCAGTCCCAGGAACACCAGGAGAGTTGGTCAGCTTTTCATGAGGAATCTTGAGCCAAAATCACACAGCTAAGCTGCTCCCAAATTCCTAACCCATAAAATGTGTGATATGATAAATGCTGATTGTTTTATACTATTATGCTTTGGGGTAACTTTTACATAGCAACAAATAACCAATCCTGTGTCCATTTTACTGTTGAGGATCAGAGGTACACATTACATATTCAGAAAAATTCCCAATTATACAGTTGCTTAGCTTCAATATTTAGTATAAACATGCATGACACTTTATGTGAGTGTGGATGAGCTACTAGGAAATCATGTCTGTTAAAGTGATACGAAATTTTAAAAATATAAACCACTGATAATTCAGTCCTCAGTAAAGGCCTGGGATTTCAAAGAGAACAAACAAACAGTACTGGTTTGTTAAACATCAAAACCTTCTGATATCATCAGCCTTTACTACTCAGGAAGTTTATTAATTAGCACAACTTTGAATAAAATAAGATAGTTTGCTCTCTCCAAGTCATCAATATTTTGAATAACTTACTCCACTCAACAGCTTGTGTCTTCCTTAAGACTACTCATGCAACAAAACGAGTTACCTATATTTGTGTTTAATGCAATTAAGCTTTCATAATAAGCCTTATTTTCCTGTATTTGGAATAAACAATTACACATACTCAAAGTAGATGCAGATTTTAGCAGATATTATGTCTTAAAGTAGCCCAATAATGAAGGTTTTACTTGCAACAATAGCATTTATTGCATTGCTTCTATTCTTTTATGTTATATATAGGGCTATAGCCAGAGGCCTTCTAGCACTCAAAGAAATGAGAAAAGCAGCTGCCTTTTAAAATTATGTAGCTGGAAAACTGAAAGTTGAGCATTTCATATTCTCTCTGTGTGAAAGTTAGATCTGCATTTAAAATTCATTTGTTTTGAATAAGTGATAGAAAAATCTAGTTCACACTTGAATCAATTAGAAAATACAAAAATTAATGAAGTTTATTTAGTTTAAATATATATTTTCAGGTAAATGTAATAGCTTTAAGGCTAGATTAAATTGAGCTTGGATGTAAAGTTAATGGCTTCGGGCTTTGAGTTGAAGTCCAGCAATTCCTCAGTCTTGCCTGCACTTCAGAATGACCTAGGAGCTTCAAAAATAAATAATCCAGTACTCTAACCCAGACTCATAATTCTGAATAGCCGAGGTGGCGATTTTTTTGCTTTTAGATTTTTATAGTAACATGATTTAGATTTGATTTTGATTTAGATTTACAGTAACATGATGGAAGTGGTGAAAGTGTTTTAGGAAACTAATTTTAGGCCAATTGTATAAGATGAATTGAAGTGAAGATAGAGTGGGGAGGGAGGAGGCTCTTGAGAGGCAGTGGCAATTCCACTAAGGGGTTTTCTAAGAGATGGTCTTAGGTATTAGATTGCATGTGCCAAGATTAGAATAGTGGTAATGGTGACGGAAAAGAAAAGCATGCTACTAGTATCAGATGTTTCCACATGTTTGTTTCTCACAGCTATTTTTGGTTTGGTTTTATCTTCTCTGGTGTGTTCTTCCTTTAAAGGCCAGATAATGTTAAATTTACATCTATATTGAATAAACCACAAGAAATTTGAAGTAAGAAATGTCATCCCATCAGCCTGGGTTCTGCTTTGAAGAGCCGTTTAGTCAAAAAAGAAAAAAAGAAATCCTAAACTTCCTCTGAGATTTGATCCTCAAATCTTACTCTTCCCACCAAAGAAAAATAAGTTAAAAAGGGAGGAAAATTATCAACGAATGCTTTCTGCAAACCACCAATGCCCAAACAGACAGGAGAAGATAAGCAAGGTCAAGAGAGAAAAGCCTCAAATAAGAGTAGTCATATGTACAAAATAATATTACACATCATTCCTGGAGCTGGAGGTATATTAGATGAAAGCATTTTCATTTCATCAAAACAGGAGCAAGCAACCCCAAATCACCTATGGAGTTCCCTTTATGCATGTTGATAATGGGTGACAACTTGCTATTCTCTGTATTCAATCAGATATTCTTGGCAAGTGCTCTTTGTACTCAGCCCAATCCTGAACAGTCTTGTCCACATGTCAACTAAGGAGATATTTTGATATACAAAAAAAAAATTATCTACCAAAAACAAATAGAATGTATAATTTACTGGAAACAATGATGCACCATAAGCCAAAGTTGTTTTTGTTTTGTTTTCCACAAAACTAGCTATTTGATATTATTAGTAATAGCATTTTCCTGCTTTTGAATGACTACCTGAACTTCTATGATGCATTCAGAATAAATATCCAGGTGAAAGTTAGCTAGATGTATCAGTTGTGGAAAGGATATCTAGAACACTGCTCACCGAGAGGAAAGTTGAAACATCTTTTGTGGTTTAGGAGGAAAGGGTATATAATATTAACATTAACCTTTGTGTAATTTTACACTGGATTTTCTTGCATATTTGTTCTTATGTTTTCAGAAAGTTATACAACATTTATATTTATGAATCAGTTGCAGTAATTTTAATAATAGTGAAAGCAATGATAATAGCAATGGTGATAGTGTCAGGTTATTAAAAACTTATTTTCTGCCAGCTAGCTTTAGTATTTACATAAACTGTGTGAGAACACAGAGTTTTGTCTGGTTCTTGCTATAATCTCAATGCCTACAACTGTGCCTGGGGCCACATTATAAGCTCCATAAATATTGCTTGAATAAATAACCATCTACTATGTGCTCAGCATCGTACTGAGTGCTGGGGATAAAAAAGTAAACAAGAGAAACAAAGTGTCTGCTTTCATGGAGTGTACAATCTAGCATAATGGTTTCCTCTTGAGTATATGTAGATAAATGAGAAAAATGTACAGGAATGGGTTTAAAACTTGTGTATTTTATCTTTTTAAAAAATTTGTTCATTGTGTGTTTCTCCCCATTAGAATACAAGTTATATGTGGACTGGGACCTTGTCCATCTTATTCATCAAGTTTCCTTATGCATAGAACAGTATCCTGCATATGATACTCAATAAATAGTAGTTGGATGAATGACTTCTAAACTTCTGGTAATTCTACCTAAACTGGGTTTAGGTCATTTCCTGGACATTTATTAACTTACGAAAGAGATGAAGATATATTAAAGCCAGAGTCAAAAATTTTCTGAGTAAAAATTAAGCACAAAAAAGTGTTGAAAGATAGGAGGGAGAATTCAATATAGATAATTGTTTAAAGTGATTGGAAATGATAAGATTATAGAAATGGAGAACAGATTAGAGGTTTCTGGGTGTTGGGGCAAGATGAGTTGCAGAAAAGTGGGTGTAGCTATAATAATGACACTCACGGGACCCTTGTGACAATGGAATTGTTCTGGATCTTGACTATTTCAATGTCAATATCCTAGTTGTGATATAGTAATGAAGGTGTTGCCATTGGGAGAAACTGATTAAACAAACACGAGACCTTCCTGTATTATTTCTTTTTTTTTTTTTTTATTATACTTTAAGTTTTAGGGTACATGTGCACATTGTGCAGGTTAGTTACATATGTATACATGTGCCATGCTGGTGCGCTGCACCCACTAACTCGTCATCTAGCATTAGGTATATCTCCCAATGCTACCCCTCCCCCCTCCCCCCACCCCACAACAGTCCCCAGAGTGTGATATTCCCCTTCCTGTGACCATGTGATCTCATTGTTCAATTCCCACCTATGAGTGAGAATATGCAGTATTTGGTTTTTTGTTCTTGCGATAGTTTACTGAGAATGATGGTTTCCAATTTCATCCATGTCCCTACAAAGGACATGAACTCATCATTTTTTATGGCTGCATAGTATACCATGGTGTATATGTGCCACTTTTTCTTAATCCAGTCTATCATTGTTGGACATTTGGGTTGGTTCCAAGTCTTTGCTATTGTGAATAATGCCGCAATAAACATACGTGTGCATGTGTCTTTATAGCAGGATGATTTATAGTCACTTGGGTATATACCCAGTAATGGGATGGCTGGGTCAAATGGTATTTCTAGTTCTAGATCCCTGAGGAATCTCCACACTGACTTCCACAATGGTTGAACTAGTTTACAGTCCCACCAACAGTGTAAAAGTGTTCCTATTTCTCCACATCCTCTCCAGCACCTGTTGTTTCCTGACTTTTTAATGATTGCCATTCTAACTGGTGTGAGATGGTATCTCTTAGTGGTTTTGATTTGCATTTCTCTGATGGCCAGTGATGATGAGCATTTTTTCATGTATTTTTTGGCTGCATAAATGTCTTCTTTTGAGAAGTGTCTGTTCATGTCCTTCGCCCACTTTTTGATGGGGTTGTTTGTTTTTTTCTTGTAAATTTGTTTGAGTTCATTGTAGATTCTGGATATTAGCCCTTTGTCAGATGAGTAGGTTGCGAAAATTTTCTCCCATGTTGTAGGTTGCCTGTTCACTCTGATGGTAGTTTCTTTTGCTGTGCAGAAGCTCTTTAGTTTAATTAGATCCCATTTGTCAATTTTTGCTTTTGTTGCCATTGCTTTTGGTGTTTTGTACATGAAGTCCTTGCCCACGCCTATGTCCTGAATGGTAATGCCTAGGTTTTCTTCTAGGGTTTTTATGGTTTTAGGTCTAACGTTTAAATCTTTAATCCATCTTGAATTGATTTTTGTATAAGATGTAAGGAAGGGATCCAGTTTCAGCTTTCTACATATGGCTAGCCAGTTTTCCCAGCACCATTTATTAAATAGGTAATCCTTTCCCCATTGCTTGTTTTTCTCAGATTTGTCAAAGATCAGATAGTTGTAGGTATGCGGTGTTATTTCTGAGGGCTCTGTTCTGTTCCATTGATCTATATCTCTGTTTTGGTACCAGGACCATGCTGTTTTGGTTACTGTAGCCTTGTAGTATAGTTTGAAGTCAGGTAGTGTGATGCCTCCAGCTTTGTTCTTTTGGCTTAGGATTGACTTGGCGATGCGGGCTCTTTTTTGGTTCCATATGAACTTTAAAGTAGTTTTTTCCAATTCTGTGAAGAAAGTCATTGGTAGCTTGATGGGGATGGCATTGAATCTGTAAATTACCTTGGGCAGTATGGCCATTTTCACGATATTGATTCTTCCTACCCATGAGCATGGAATGTTCTTCCATTTGTTTGTATCCTCTTTTATTTCCTTGAGCAGTGGTTTGTAGTTCTCCTTGAAGAGGTCCTTCACATCCCTTGTAAGTTGGATTCCTAGGTATTTTATTCTCTTTGAAGCAATTGTGAATGGGAGTTCACTCATGATTTGGCTCTCTGTTTGTCTGTTGTTGGTGTATAAGAATGCTTGTGATTTTTGGACATTGATTTTGTATCCTGAGACTTTGCTGAAGTTGCTTATCAGCTTAAGGAGATTTTGGGCTGAGACGATGGGGTTTTCTAGATATACAATCATGTCGTCTGCAAACAGGGACAATTTGACTTCCTCTTTCCCTAATTGAATACCCTTTATTTCCTTCTCCTGCCTGATTGCCCTCGCCAGAACTTCCAACACTATGTTGAATAGGAGTGGTGAGAGAGGGCATCCCTGTCTTGTGGCAGTTTTCAAAGGGAATGCTTCCAGTTTTTGCCCATTCAGTATGATATTGGCTGTGGGTTTGTCATAAATAGCTCTTATTATTTTGAAATACGTCCCATCAATACCTAATTTATTGAGAGTTTTTAGCATGAAGCGTTGTTGAATTTTGTCAAAGGCTTTTTCTGCATCTATTGCGATAATCATGTGGTTTTTGTCTTTGGCTCTGTTTATATGCTGGATTACATTTATTGATTTGCATATATTGAACCAGCCTTGCATCCCAGGGATGAAGCCCACTTGATCATGGTGGATAAGCTTTTTGATGTGCTGCTGGATTCGGTTTGCCAGTATTTTATTGAGGATTTTTGCATCAATGTTCATCAAGGATATTGGTCTAAAATTCTCTTTTTTGGTTGTGTCTCTGCCCGGCTTTGGTATCAGAATGATGCTGGCCTCATAAAATGAGTTAGAGAGGATTCCCTCTTTTTCTATTGATTGGAATAGTTTCAGAAGGAATGGTACCAGTTCCTCCTTGTACCTCTGGTAGAATTCGGCTGTGAATCCATCTGGTCCTGGACTCTTTTTGGTTGGTAAACTATTGATTATTGCCACAATTTCAGCTCCTGTTATTGGTCTATTCAGATATTCAACTTCTTCCTGGTTTAGTCTTGGGGGAGTGTATGTGTCAAGGAATGTATCCATTTCTTCTAGATTTTCTAGTTTATTTGCGTAGAGGTGTTTGTAGTATTCTCTGATGGTAGTTTGTATTTCTGTGGGATCGGTGGTGATATCCCCTTTATCATTTTTTATTGTGTCTATTTGATTCTCCTCTCTTTTTTTCTTTATTAGTCTTGCTAGTGGTCTATCAATTTTGTTGATCCTTTCAAAAAACCAGCTCCTGGATTCATTGATTTTTTGAAGGGTTTTTTGTGTCTCTATTTCCTTCAGTTCTGCTCTGATTTTACTTATTTCTTGCCTTCTGCTAGCTTTTGAATGTGTTTGCTCTTGCTTTTCTAGTTCTTTTAATTGTGATGTTAGGGTGTCAATTTTGGATCTTTTCTGCTTTCTCTTGTGGGCATTTAGTGCTATAAATTTCCCTCTACACACTGCTTTGAATGCATCCCAGAGATTCTGGTATGTTGTGTCTTTGTTCTCGTTGGTTTCAAAGAACATCTTTATTTCTGCCTTCATTTCGTTATGTACCCAGTAGTCATTCAGGAGCAGGTTGTTCAGTTTCCATGTAGTTGAGCAGCTTTGAGTGAGATTCTTAATCCTGAG
Source organism: Homo sapiens (assembly GCF_000001405.40). Taxonomy (NCBI): domain Eukaryota; kingdom Metazoa; phylum Chordata; class Mammalia; order Primates; family Hominidae; genus Homo; species Homo sapiens. The sequence goes on from NC_000023.11 coordinate 127,120,036, forward strand.
TTCTAGTTTGATTGCACCGTGGTCTGAGAGATAGTTTGTTATAATTTCTGTTCTTTTACATTTGCTGAGGAGAGCTTTACTTCCAACTATGTGGTCAATTTTGGAATAGGTGTGGTGTGGTGCTGAAAAAAATGTATATTCTGTTGATTTGGGGTGGAGAGTTCTGTAGATGTCTATTAGGTCCGCTTGGTGCAGAGATGAGTTCAATTCCTGGGTATCCTTGTTGACTTTCTGTCTCGTTGATCTGTCTAATGTTGACAGTGGGGTGTTAAAGTCTCCCATTATTAATGTGTGGGAGTCTAAGTCTCTTTGTATGTCACTCAGGACTTGCTTTATGAATCTGGGTGCTCCTGTATTGGGTGCATATATATGTAGGATAGTTAGCTCCTCTTGTTGAATTGATCCCTTTACCATTATGTAATGGCCTTCTTTGTCTCTTTTGATCTTTGTTGGTTTAAAGTCTGTTTTATCAGAGACTAGGATTGCAACCCCTGCCTTTTTTTGTTTTCCATTTGCTTGGTAGATCTTCCTCCATCCTTTTATTTTCAGCCTATGTGTGTCTCTGCACGTGAGATGGGTTTCCTGAATACAGCACACTGATGGGTCTTGACTCTTTATCCAACTTGCCAGTCTGTGTCTTTTAATTGGAGCATTTAGTCCATTTACATTTAAAGTTAATATTGTTATGTGTGAATTTGATCCTGTCATTATGATGTTCGCTGGTGATTTTGCTCTTTAGTTGATGCAGTTTCTTCCTAGTCTCGATGGTCTTTACATTTTGGCATGATTTTGCAGTGGCTGGTACCGGTTGTTCCTTTCCATGTTTAGCGCTTCCTTCAGGAGCTCTTTTAGGGCAGGTCTGGTGGTGAGAAAATCTCTCAGCATTTGCTTGTCTGTAAAGTATTTTATTTCTCCTTCACTTATGAAGCTTAGTTTGGCTGGATATGAAATTCTGGGTTTAAAATTCTTTTCTTTAAGAATGTTGAATATTGGCCCCCACTCTCTTCTGGCTTGTAGGGTTTCTGCCGAGAGATCCGCTGTTAGTCTGATGGGCTTCCCTTTGAGGGTAACCCGACCTTTCTCTCTGGCTGCCCTTAACATTTTTTCCTTCATTTCAACTTTGGTGAATCTGACAATTATGTGTCTTGGAGTTGCTCTTCTCGAGGAGTATCTTTGTGGCGTTCTCTGTATTTCCTGAATCTGAACATTGGCCTGCCTTGCTAGATTGGGGAAGTTCTGCTGGATAATATCCTGCAGAGTGTTTTCCAACTTGGTTCCATTCTCTGCATCACTTTCAGGTACACCAATCAGACGTAGATTTGGTCTTCTCACATAGTCCCATATTTCTTGGAGGCTTTGCTCATTTCTTTTTATTCTTTTTTCTCTAAACTTCCCTTCTCACTTCATTTCATTCATTTCATCTTCCATTGCTGATACCCTTTCTTCCAGTTGATCGCATCGGCTCCTGAGGCTTCTGCATTCTTCACATAGTTCTCGAGCCTTGGTTTTCAGCTCCATCAGCTCCTTTAAGCACTTCTCTGTATTGGTTATTCTAGTTATACATTCTTCTAAATTTTTTTCAAAGTTTTCAACTTCTTTGCCTTTGGTTTGAATGTCCTCCCGTAGCTCAGAGTAATTTGATTGTCTGAAACCTTCTTCTCTCAGCTCGTCAAAGTCATTCTCCATCCACCTTTGTTCCGTTGCTGGTGAGGAACTGCGTTCCTTTGGAGGAGGAGAGGCGCTCTGCGTTTTAGAGTTTCCAGTTTTTCTGTTCTGTTTTTTCCCCATCTTTGTGGTTTTATCTACTTTTGGTCTTTGATGATGGTGATGTACAGATGGGTTTTTGGTGTGGATGTCCTTTCTGTTTGTTAGTTTTCCTTCTAACAGACAGGACCCTCAGCTGCAGGTCTGTTGGAATACCCTGCCATGTGAGGTGTCAGTGTGCCCCTGCTGGGGGGTGCCTCCCAGTTAGGCTGCTCGGGGGTCAGGGGTCAGGGACCCACTTGAGGAGGTAGTCTGCCCGTTCTCAGATCTCCAGCTGCGTGCTGGGAGAACCACTGCTCTCTTCAAAGCTGTCAGACAGGGACATTTAAGTCTGCAGAGGTTACTGCTGTCTTTTTGTTTGTCTGTGCCCTGCCCCCAGAGGTGGAGCCTACAGAGGCAGGCAGGCCTCCTTGAGCTGTGGTGGGCTCCACCCAGTTCGAGCTTCCCGGCTGCTTTGTTTACCTAAGCAAGCCTGGGCAATGGCGGGCTCCCCTCCCCCAGCCTCGCTGCCGCCTTGCAGTTTGATCTCAGACTGCTGTGCTAGCAATCAGCGAGATTCCGTGGGCGTAGGACCCTCCGAGCCAGGTGTGGGATATAGTCTCGTGGTGCGCCGTTTTTTAAGCCGGTCTGAAAAGCGCAGTATTCGGGTGGGAGTGACCCGATTTTCCAGGTGCGTCCGTCACCCCTTTCTTTGACTCGGAAAGGGAACTCCCTGACCCCTTGCGCTTCCCAGGTGAGGTAATGCCTCGCCCTGCTTCGGCTCGTGCACGGTGCGCACACCCACTGGCCTGCGCCCACTGTCTGGCACTCCCTAGTGAGATGAACCCGGTACCTCAGATGGAAATGCAGAAATCACCCGTCTTCTGCGTCGCTCATGCTGGGAGCTGTAGACCGGAGCTGTTCCTATTCGGCCATCTTGGCTCCTCCCCCCCTTCCTGTATTATTTCATATCACTGCAAGTGAGTCTACAATTATCTCAAAAGTAATTATTTAGTTAGAAGTCACTGAAAACCAGTTAGAAGCAATTCACAAGAAAAAATTTAGTTTTTTCAATGTACAAAAATCAGTAGCATTTCTATATACCAACAAGTGTTCAAGCTGATAGTCAAATCAAGAAGACAACCCCATTTACAATAGCCACAAAACAAATAATATACCTAGGAATGCATTTAACCAAGGTGGTAAAAGACCTGTACAAGGAGAACTACAAAACATTGGTTAAAATTAGAAATGACACAAACAAATGGAAAAACACTCCATGATCAAAGATTGGAAGAATCAATATCATTAAAATAGCCATATTGCCCAAAGAAATCTATAGATAAAGTGCTACTCCTATCAAACTACCAACATCATTTTTTTACAGATTTAGAAAAACAATTCTAAATTCATATGGAACCAAAAAAATAGCCCAAATAGCCAAAACAATCCTAAGCAAAAAGAACATAGCCAGAGGCATCACATTATCTGACTTCAAATGATATTATTAGTCTACAGTAAAAAAAAAAAAAAAGTATGGTACTGCTATAAAAACAGATGCATATACTAGTGGAACAGAATAGAGTACTCAGAAATAAAGCTGCACACCTACAATCATCTTTGAAAAACTTGACCAAAATTAGCAATGGGGAAGGACTCCCTATTCAATAAATGGTGCTGAGATAGCTGTCTAACCATATGCAGAAGAATGAAACTGGGACCCTACCTTTCACTATAAAAATTAACTGAAGATAAATTAAAGATGTAAATGTAAGACCTCAAACTATAACAAATCCTAGAAGAAACCCTAGGAAATACTCTTCTCAGCATCAACCTTGGCAAAGTGTTTACGGCTAAATCCTCAAAAGCAATCACAACAAAAACAAAAATTGACAAATTGGCTGTTCACAAGCTCTTTAGCTAACTAAGAGATGTTTAGCTTACTAAGCTAAAGAGCTTCTGCAAAGCAAAATAAACGATCAACAGAGTAAACAGACCACCTACAGAATGGGAGACAATATTTGCAAACTATGCATTTGACAAAGGTCTAATATCCAGACTCTATAAGAAACTTAAATAACTCCACAGGCAAAGAATAAAAAACCCTATCAAAAGCGGGCAAACACATGAACAGACACTTCTCAGAAGAAGACATGCAAGTGGCTAATGAAAATTTAAAAATGCTCAACATCATTAATCATCAGAGAAATATAAATCAGAACAACAAGATAACATTTCACACCAGCCAGAATGGCTATTAATAAAAAGTCAAAAAATAACAGTTGCTAGCCAGCCTGCAGAAAAAAAGAAATGCTTATACACTGTTAGGAATGTGCATTAGTTCAGCCATTGTGGGAAACATTTTGGTGATTTCTCAAAGAACTTTAAAACAGAACGACCATTCGACCCAGCAATCCCATTACTGGGTGTACACCAGAGGGAAAATAAATTATTCTACCAAAAAGACACACACACTCATATATTTTCATCTCAATAGCAAAGACATGGACTAAATTTCAGTGACCATAGATGGGGGATTGGATAAAGAAAATGCTGTACATATACACCAGGGAATATTATACAGCCTCAGCAAGAATGAAATCATGCCCTTTGCAGCAACATGGATGCAACTAGAGGTCATTATCCTAAGCAAATTAACACAAGAACAGAAAACCAAATACTGTATGTTCTCACTTATAAGTGGGAGCTAACCATTGGGTTTTCATGGATATAAAGACGGGAATAATAGACACTGTGAACTATTAGAGGGGAGAGGAAAGAAGGGAGAAAAGAGCTGAAAAACTACCTATTGGGTACTATGCTCACTACCTGGGTGATGGGATCATTTGTTCTCCAAACCTCAGCATCAAGCAATATTATCATTTAACAAACTTAAACATGTACCCCCTGAATCTAAAATAAAAGTTGCAAAAATAGCTACTGGTTCTTTTTAAAAATTTTTTTTAAATGAGACAAAAGTTTTGCTCACCCATAGCATGCTTCACTTCTAACTGTATTTTCAAAGGATTGATAGAGACATCTCAGAAGCCCAAGCCAGTAATTACTGACATAAGATAAAGTGGTGTACTACTTAAATATGTGTTTTACCCATCTCTATTGCCATAAAAATATTTCAAAAATCCAAAATGTCATGTTTTCAAGTTATTCTCAAAGCCGCTGGCAGTTGTAACTGTTGGTAACATTGATTCTTAGTCTGAAGTCTTTGCTAAACAACTTGAACATGGTTCTGGGATTTGGCATGTAGGTCTGTTAGCTCTTTTCAATGATTTTGGATGACATCCAAGCCAACTCATAAATGTAATATTCAGAACATACTCCTTTTTTTCTCCAGCCTTCTAGTAGCACATAAGTCACGTTTGTGAGGGATGTCTGGATTCTTCCTACCTCTCCACATTTTAAACAAGAAGGCAAGTCAAAAATACTGTATGTCCTCTGGAACAACACTTCTATGAGAATTCTGTGGAAAAGGAATACAGTTTTTAAAATCATAGCCTGGTACATAGATCTCCCAGCATTGCAGTCTTCAACTCCAGAGCAGCAACCTTTTGTGTTTGTTTGGTATCATAGGAAAATAATACTTTACAAACATAAATATCTATCATATCTTGTACCAATGTTGAGTCCAAACTGTCCACTCTATTGAAATCTTATATAAAAGTTATAAACTAAATTCTCAAGCTCATGTTTTATTTTTTTCATGAGATTAACTCACATAAGTGACAACATAATTATACACACAATGTGGTCACTGTAAATAGAGTGTGTGTGAAAGACATTTTAACTCATGAAACCTTTGTGAAACTGTCATATTTGGTAAATGTTTAAATATAATCCTGTTATGCTATTTAAAAGCTTCCGTTTATAAATTTGTTATACACACTTACAAAAGTATGCATGTTAATGATTGCTAAGCTGCTTCAACCTCATTAAATTCAGAATTCTTTTCCAATTGGTACGAACATAGCATATTTCATAATTTTATAAACTAGTTATACTACCTGTAGTACAAATTAACCCCTTGATAATTGTGTTTTTCTTTTCATATAGCTGCTCGACAACCATTATTCTTAAACCTCCTTTTCCAAATATAAATAAATTTATATTGAATATAAAAGTATGTAAAACATAGAAAAAGAAAAAAATGCAAAATCATAGGTAGTGCCATTAAACAAGGACAGCTATTTAGCTTTTTAATTACTGCTATATACATTTATATACACATATTTTCTGTATATAATATTTTTTGCATTTTGATGAAATAGATTGGATTCACATTTCTTTTTGCTTTTCATTCCCTAGCTGTGTGACTTTTTGACAAGTCATTTAAGCTCTCTGTGCTTTATTCTTCTCATCCGTAAGGTTAGAAAAATATCATCTACTTCTCCATATAATCGTGAAGATTAAATGAAATGATCCATGCCTGGCTTTGAGTAAGAACTCAATGAATACTTAGCTGCTATTACCACTGGTACTACTAATAATACCATCACCAGTACCACCACCACCACTACTACGTGCTTTTGTGTTCTGCAATTATTTACTTTAAAGTTATTATAACAAACATTTCCCCAGTTTATCAGGAACTTTGTATGAACCATTTGAGGGCTGCATACAGATGTATTTAATTTGCTTTAGCATTCTTGCTTGTATCTTTTATAAACAACACCTTGATGAACCTCTTTGGACATAAAACATTTAAAGTTTTTTTTTATTTTTAAAATAATCCATAACCCATTCCATCTAGTGGCGGTCTCAATTGCTTTAATTCATTGCTGAGTTATATAGATTATATGGATTTTTGTTATCTGACCTTGGAAACTATATTATTTTTATATAGGAAAAGTAATTCTACATTTCAATTACTAAAGTAAACAATGCCTTTGGAAACTAATTACTTTATAAAGTGGTGATTGCATATAGGTATGAGTTTTGTCTTCATGTTTGCACATACATGCATATCATTCTATTTATCTATATCAATAAGTATCTATTTATCTGTCTATATCTCTATTCACACACGCATCTTCAGTCTTATAGGAAGGTCACTTCATAGTTACTGGCAGATGGATTATGTCTAAAATATCAAAGAAAAATCTTTAATATTTTAAAATCTATCTCACTATTCACAGCTATTTTATGTTGTTAGATGTAATTTTGGAACTGGGCCACAGCTGGCAGCAGTGATGGAAAGAAACAATGAAAAGAGAAAGCAATTGGTCAAGCTACTAATGAACTGATTTGACACAGTGTTTAGCACACAGTTCATTATAAACCTGTAGATGACAGATATTTTAAAATTCTATGTGACAGTACTAAGCAGGAAAATAAAGCAGTGTTTGTAGTTGATATTGCAAAATCATCTACAATAATGAAAGGGTCAAATATACGTTGTAAAACTACATATCTCTTAATGAACCAAGAATACATAGGTAAACTAGAAGTTTAATAATATAGCCAAAACTCTTACCAGAAGGAAAAATATTTGAAAAACGGTTTATAGCATCTTAAAAATATAAACATTAGAAATGTATCAAGACTCTCTTAATTTGAATGAGTTATTTAATATTTATTATTATAGATATAGGAAGAGAAACTAATTACTTTAAACTGGAGAGGGTAAATGGACTCACTAAGGTATAAAAGTTTCAAAATGTAAATTGTGTGGAGTCTTCTAGACTTCAAATTTTAAAAAGGAATAAAGAAAGTCATTCTCACGGTATTCAAAAATCATCCCATAAAAAGATTCCAACAAAATTTCTTGTTAATTGTAGTAAAATTACAAGAGTTCCATAACTTCATGCCACAGTATGTCAGGAAGGGCTGCCAACGCAGAGAAACTCAGAAGACTCCTAGAAATACAACTAGAAAGAAAGTCAGTGGTTATGAATATCAAAGAGACAGAGTTAAAATTGCCAACACGTGTGACATTTCCTGAAGGGCAAAAGCAAATTCTGTTGTTTAGAAAGGCAAACATAGTCATTCAAAGAGTACTTTTCTGTACTCCCTGTATTCAATTACGCATAAACAGAAGCCAAACAGATTGAAACATTAAACAACAAGCAGTCTACGGTTAGTTTCAGAGAAGTAAAATGTTAATGTTAAATACCTCACATACGACACTGTTTCATAAACAAATGATCACTTCTCTAGCCCCTCCTCCATATAAATGCCTATCAATTTCTGGTCTATGAAGACTTAGTTTATTCAAAGATAAGTAATCACCAATCAGGAACCAGCAGCAGATATATATAAATACACCATAAGGCAGCTATAAAAACAGGAACAGAAAAAAGCAAATGATAGGCAGGAATAGGTGGAGCAAGATGGCAGAATAGAAAGCTCCACCAATTGTCCTCCCTTCAAAGACACCAATTTCACAAGCATCTACACGGAAAAGGTCACCTTCATAAGACCCAAAAGTCAGGTGAGTACTCACAGTACCTAGTTTTAACTTCATATCGCTAAAAGAGGCACTGAAGAGATATGAAAAACAGTTCTGAATATCCAAAACCACGCCTCCACCACTGCTCGCAGCAGCTGTGAGCTGTGGAAAGCCTCTCTAGGCACTGGCGAAGAGAGAACACAGCAATTGTGAGACATTAAACTGTACAGTTCTGTTAGAGCAGAAAGGAACCTGGACCCACCTCAGCTGGCACCCACCCACAGAGGGAGCACTTAAACCAGCCCTAGCCAGAGGGAAATCACTGCAACTGCTAGAACTTGGGACCCGGAAGCCTTCCCAGTGCAGGCTAAAGTGTTCGGGATCTCTAGGTAAATGTGAAAGGCAGTCTAGGCCACAAGAACTGCAGCTCTTATACAGATGCTAGCACTGAAATAGGTACAGAGCCAGTGGACTAAGACAGCAGCAATCTACTGAGATGACAGCAGAGGCAGCAAAGGGAGTGGTGATATCACCCCTCCCCTAAACCCAAGCTGCACAGCTCACAGTTCCAAAAGACACCCCTTTCTTCCACCTGAGGAGAGTAGAGGGAAAAGTGGTGAGAATTTTGTCTTGCACCTAGGATAACAGCCCAGTCACAGCAGGATAAGGCACTAGTCAGAATCATGAGGCCCCTGTTCCAGGCCCTAGCTTTCAGATGACATTTCTAGATAGACACTGGGCCAGAAAGGAACCAACTGCCTTGAAGGAAAGGACTCAGTCCTTGCAGCATTCATCACCTGCTAAATGCAGTGCCTTTGTGTCCTGTATAACCAGCGGTGATACCCCAGTACTACACTGAGGGCCTTGGTGAGCCTCTGAGACTAGTTGGCTTCAGGCGAGACTCAGCACATTATCAGATGTGGTGGCTATGGGGAAAAACTCCTTCTGCTTGAGAAAAGCAGAGAAAAAAGTAAAGGCCTTACACCTCAGGTACCAACACTGCCACAGGCAGGTAGAGCATCAAGTGGGATCTTGGGGTCCCTGTCCAGGATTTGACTCTTAGATGGCATTTCTGGACCTGCCCTGGGTCAGAGGGGAGCCCACTGCCCAGGCTAGGCAGCATTCACCACTAGCCAACTTAAGAGACCTTAGGCCTTAAGGCAACTTCAGTGGTATTCTGGCAGTACTCCTCTTGGCCAAGGGTGGTGGTAGCTGTAGGGTAAGCCTCCTCTCCCTCTGGAAAGCAGAGAAATAGAGGGAAGGACTGCTTCTTGTAATTGAGTGCCAGCTCAGCCACAGTACAATAGAACACCAGGTAGACTTCTCAGGTTTTTGACTATTCCCTGACTCCTAGAACAGCATTTCTGGACCTACCAGGGGAATGGGGGACCTCATTGCCCTGAATGGAAGGACAACAGGCCTGGCTGGCTTTGCCATCTGTTGACTGTAGAGGCCCAGAGCCTTGAACAAATACAGGCAGTAGCCAGGGGGTGGTCACAGCAGGCCTCGGACAAGACCCAGTGCTGTGCTGAGTTCAGTCTAACCCAGCACAGTCATAAGTGAAGTGGCCACAGGAGTACTTGTGTCACTCCACCCCCAGCTTTCGGTGACTCAGAACAGAGAGAGAGACTCTGTTTGTTTTGGAGAAAGTAAGAAGAGAACAAAAGTCTCTGCCTGGTAATCCAGAGAATTCTTCTAGATATTGTCAAACACCATCAAGAAGTTACCTCTATGAGTCTGTAAGAACCACAGTGTTGCTGGGCTCAGTGTGCTCCCTAAAGCAGAAACAGTGTAGATTACAACAACCAAGTCCTTTCAAATATCTGGAAAGTCTTCCCAAGAATAATGGCTACAATAAGGCCAGACAGTGAAGACTACAATAAATGCCTGACTCTTCAGTGTCCAGAAACTGAAGAGCATCCATTAGCATCAACACCATCCAGGAAAACATGGCCTCACCAAAGGAACTAAATAACACACCATTGACCAATCCTGGAGAAACAGAGATATATGACCAAAAAGCCAGAGAATTCAAAAGAACTGTGTTGCAGAAACTCAAAGAAATTCAAGATAACAAACAGAAGGAATTCAGAATTCTATCATACAAATTTAACAAAGGGATTCAAATAATTAAAAAGAATCAAGCAGAAATTCTGGAACTGAAAAATGCAATTGGTGTGCTGAAGAATGCATCACAGAACTTTAATAGCAGAATGGATCAAGCAGAAGAAGAATTAGTGAGCTTGAAGACAGGCTATTTGAGAATACACAGTCAGAGTAGACAAAAGTAAAAAGAATAAAAAATAATGAAGCACATCTACAGGATTTAGAAAACAGCCTCAAAAGGGAAAATCCAAGCATAATTGGTATGAAAGAGGAGATAGAGAAAGAGAAAGGCTAGAAGGTTTATTCAAAAGGATGACAGAAAACTTCCTAAAGCTAGAGAAAGCTATCAATGTTCACGTACAAGAAGGCTATAGAATACCAAACAGATTTTTCCCAAAGAAGAGTACCTCAAGGTATTTAATAATCTAACTTCCAAAGGTCAAGGATAAAGAAAGAATCCTAAAAGCAACAAGAGAAAAGAAACAAATAACATACAATGCAGCTCCAATACATTGGGCAGCAGACTTTTCAATGGAAACCTTATAGGCCAGAAGAGAGTGGCATGGCATATTTAAAGTGCTGAAGTAAAAACAAACAAACAACAACAACAAAACAACCTTTCACCCTAGAATAGTATACCCAGTGAAAATATCCTCCAAGCACGAAAGAGAAATACAGACTTTTCCACACAAACAAAAGTTGAGGGATTTCATCAATACCAGACCCATTCTCCCAGAAATGCTAAAGGGAGTACTTCAGTCAAAAAGAAAAGAACATTAATGAACAATAAGAAATCATCTGGAAATATAAACTCTCCAATCAAAAGACATAGACTGGCTGAATGGATGAAAAAATAAGACCCATATACCTGTGGCCTACAAGAAACACCCTCACCTATGAAGATACATATAGACTCAAAATAAAGGGAAGAAGAAAGATATTCCATGCTAATGGAAATCAAAAAAGAGCAGGAGTCACTATACTTATATCAGACAAAAGAGATTTTAAGAGACAAAATACTAGAAGAGACAAAGGTCACTATATAATGATAAATGGGTCAATTCAGCAAGAGGATCTAATTTTAAATATATATGCACCCAACACTGGACAACACAGATATATAAAGAAAATTGTTAGAGAGAGAGAAATATTAAAAAGAGAAATAGGCCACAATACGATAATAGCTGGAGACTTCAATACCCCACTTTAAGCATTTGACAGATCTTCTAGACAGAAAACCAAAAGGGAAATCTCAGAGTTAATCTGCACTATAGAACAAATAAATCTAATATATATATTAACAGAACATTTCATCCAAAGGCTACAGAATACACATTCTTCTCAGCACATGGAACATTCTCAATGATGAACCATATCTTAGGTCAAAAAACAATTCTTAAAACATTTAAAAAATTGAAATAATATCAAGCATCTTCTCTGACCACAATGAAATAAAACTAGAAACTAGTAACGTGAGAAACTTAGGAAGCTAAACAATTACATAAAGAATAAACAGTATGCTTCTGAATGACCAGTGGGTTTATAAAAAATTTAAGAAGAAAACAAGAATTTCTTAAAACAAATGATAATGGACACACAACACACCAAAAATCTGTGGAATACAGCAAAAGCAGTACCAAGAGGGAAGTTTATAGCTATAAGTGCCTACATCAAAAAAGAGAAAAAATTCAAATAAACAATCTAATGATGCATCTTAAAGAACTGTAAAAGCAAGAGCAACCCTTACCCAACATTAGTAGAACAAAAGAGGTAATAAATATTGGAGCACAAATTTTTAAAAATTGAAATAAAAAACCAATACAAAATCAATGAAACAAAAAGTTGTTTTTTTGAAAAGTTAAACAAAATGGACCAATCTTTAGCCAAACTAAGGGAAAAAATAGAGAAGATATAGATAAAAGCAGAAATGAAAAAGGAGACATTGCAGCTAATACTGCAGAAATTCAAAGGATTATTAATGGCTACTATGAGCAGCTATATGTCAATACATTGGACAATCTAGAAGATGAGGTTAAAATTCTAAATGCATAAAACCTAACAAGATTGAACCCAGAAGAAATCCAAAATCTGACCAGACCAATAAAGTAATGAGATTGATGCTGTAATAAAAATATCTTCCAGTAAAGAAAAGCCCACTACCTGATGGCTTCACTGCTGAATTCTACCAAACATTGAAAGAGGAACTAATACCGATCCTACTTACACTATTTAAAAATAGAAGAGGAAGGAATACTTTCAAACTCATTCTATGAGGCCAGTATTAGCCTGATACTAAATGCAGACAAAGACACATCAACAAAAGAAAACCACAAGCCCATGTCTTTGATGAATATTGATGCAAAAATCCTCAACAAAATACCAGCAAACCAATTTAGACAATACATTAGAAAGATCATTCACTATGAGCAAGTGTTATTTATCCTTGAGACACCTCGACATATGCAAAACATTCAATGTAATACATCATATAAACAGAATGAAGAATAAAAACCATATGATTATTTAAATTGATGCTGAAAAAGCACTTGATAAAATTCAACATCCCTTCATGATAAAAAGCCTAAAAAAACTGGATATAGAAGGAACCTACCTCACCATAATAAAAGCCATGTATGACGGACCCACAGCTAGTATCATATAGAATGGAGAAATTGTGAAAGCCTTTCCTCTGAGATCTGGAACATGGCAAGAATGCCCACTGTCACCACTGTTATTCAACGTAGAACTGGAAGCCCGAGCTATAGAAATCAGACAAGAGAAGGATATAAAGGGCATCCAATTTGGAAAGGAATAGTCAAAATGATTCTTCTTTGCTGATGATATGATCTTAAATTGGAAAAACCTAAAGGCGCCACAAGAAAGCAATTAGAACTGATAAACAAATTCAGTAAAGCTTCAGAATACAAAATCAACATACAAAAATCAGTAGCATTTCTATATGCCAACATGGAACGATGTGAAAAAGAAATAAAAATATAATCCCATTTATAATAGCCGCACATAAAATTAAGTACCCAGGAATTGACTTAACCATAGAAATGAGATCTTTATAATAAAAAAATTATAAAACACTGATAAAGAAATTGAAGCAGATATCAAAAAATTGAAAATATTGCATGTTCATGAATTGGAAGAATCAATACTGTTAAAATGTCCATGATAACCAAAGCAATCTACAGATTCAATGCAATCCCTATCAAAATACCAATGACATTCTTAACAGAAATAGAAAAAAAACTACCCTACAACATATATAGAAACACAAAAGACACAGAATAGCCAATGCTATGTTATGCAAAAAGAACAAAACTGTAGTAATCATATTACCTGACTTGAAATTTTACTACAGAGCTATAGTCACTAAAACAGCATGGTACTGGCATAAAAACAGACACATTGTCCAGTGGAATTGACTAGGGAAAGCAGAAACAAATCCACACACCTATAGTGAACTCATTTTTGACAAAAGTGCCAGGTACATACACTGGGAATAAGGCAGTATTCAGTAAACAGACCTGGGAAAACTGTATATTCATATGGAAAAGAAATAAACTAGACAACTATCTCATGCCACGTACAAAAATAAAATCAAAATAGATTAAAGACTTTTAACACCTAAAACTATAAAACTACAACAAGAAAATCTTGGAGGAAATCTCTAGGACATTGGTCTTGCTAAAGATTTCTTGAGTAATACCCCATAAGCACAGGCAACCAAAGCAAACATGGACAAATGAGATCAAATCAATTTAAAAACCTTCTGCACAGCAAAAGATATAATCAACAAAGTGAAATTGCTGGATCAAATGGTAGTTCTACATTTAGTTCTTCAAGGAATTTCTCTACTGTTTTCCATAGTAGTTGTACCAGTTTACATTCCTATCAGCAGTGTAAACACGTTCCCTTTTCACTACATGTATTCCAACATCTATTTTTTTTTTCATTTTTAAATTATGGCCATTAATGCAGGAATAAGGTTTTATCTCATTGTGGTTTTAATTTGCAATTCACTGATAATTAGTGAGGTTGACTATTTTTTGATATTTGCTGGCCATTCATATATCTTCTTTTGAGAATGGCCTATTCATGTTTTTGCCCACTTTTTGATGGGATTATTTGTTTTGTTTTTTTTTACTGAATTGTCTGAGTTCCCTGTAGATTCTGAATATTAGTCCCCTGTTAAATGCAAAGTTTGCTAATATATTTTGAGAATTGTTTATTCTTGTTCTTTGCTCACTTTTTGATGGGATTATTTGATTTATCCTTGCTGATTTGTTTGAGTTCCTTGTAGATTCTGAATATTCGTCTTTTGTCAGATATTTAGCTTGGTAATATTTTCTTCCACTCTCTGTTGTTTTATGAATAAATAAGACACTTGCACATGCGGGTTGATAGCAGCACAATTCAAAACTGCAAAAATATGGATCCAACATAAATGCCCATCAAACAATGAGTGAATAAAAAAAATTGTATATACACACCATAAAATAATACTCAGCCACAGAAAGGAATAAAATAATGGCATTTGCATCAACCTGGATAGAGATGGACACCATTATTCTAAGTGAAGTAACTAAAAAATGAAAAACCAAACATTGCATGTTCTCAGTTACAAGTGGGAGCTAAGCTATGAGAACTCAAGGGCATCAAAATGATATAGTGAACTTTGGGGACTCATGAGGAAGGGCGGGAGGGGGTGAGTGATAAAAGACCGCACATTGGATACAGTGTACACTGCTCAGGTGACAGGTGCACCAAAATTTCAGAAATTACCACTAAAGAACTTATCCATGTAACCAAAAGCCACCTGTTCCCCAAAATATATTGAAATAAAATAAAATAAAATAAAATAAAATAAAATAAAATAAAAAAGTAGAGACAGCCCACAGCACGGAAGGAAACATTTGCAAACTACCCATTTGACAAGGGAATAATAACCAGAATGTATCAGGAGCTCAAACAACTTTATAGAAAAAACACCTAATAATCCAACCAAAAAATGGGCAAATAATTTAAATAGACATTTCTCAAAATAAAACATACAAATGGCAAACAGACATATGAAAAGGTGCTCCACAGCATGGATCATCAGAGAAATGCAAATCAAAACTACAATGAGATATCATTGCACACCAGGTCAAATGGTTTATATCCAAAACACAGGCAATAACAAATGTTGGCAAGGATTTGGAGAAAAATGAAAGTTTGTACACTGTTGATGGGAATGTAATTGGTAAAACCACTATGAATAATAGTTCGGAGTTTCCACACAGGACTAAAAATTAAGCTAACATATCATCCAGCAATCCCACTAATGGGTATGTACTAAAAAGACGAGAAATCAGTATATTGAAGAGATATCTGCACTTCTATATTTGTTGGAGCACTGTTTACAGTAGCTAAGATTTGGAAGCAACCTAAGTGCCCATTGACAGATGAATGGATAAAGAATGAGGTACATATACACAATGGAGTAATATGCAGTCATAAAAAAGAATGAAATTCTGTCTTTTGCAACAACATTGATGGAACTGGAGGTTATTATG
Source organism: Homo sapiens (assembly GCF_000001405.40). Lineage (NCBI taxonomy): Eukaryota > Metazoa > Chordata > Mammalia > Primates > Hominidae > Homo > Homo sapiens. The sequence continues at coordinate 127,135,855 of NC_000023.11, forward strand.
TTAAGTGAAATAAGCCAGGCACAGAAAGACAAACATTGCATATTCCCACTTATTTGTGGAATCTAAAAATCAAAACAATAGAACTCATGGACATAGAAGGATGGTTATCAGAGGCTGGGAAGGATAGTGGGGTGAAGGGATAGAGGTGGGGATGGTTAATGGGTACAAAAAATAGAAAGAATGGATAAGACCTACTATTTAATACTGCAATAGGGTGACTATAGTCAATAATAACGTAATTGTCTATTCTAAAATAATTCAAAGAATGTAATTGGATTGTTTGTAACTCAAAGGATAAATACTTGAGGGGATGGATACCCCATTCTCCATGATGTGCTTATTTCACATCGCATGTCTGTATCAAAGCATCTCATGGACTCCATAAATACATACATCTACTATGTACCCACTAAAATTTTTAAAAATATTAAAATAAAATACAAATGGTAGGCAAATAATGCTAATACAAATCCTGTGAAGTAAAAAATAACATAAATATTTTATTGTAAATTAATGCATTAAAGAACTATATCTTTAAAATAGGATCTCAAAACGAAGATACAAGGTGTCAGAGAAGATATAGCAAAATGATATGAGATAAAACATGAGCCAGAAAAACTAAAAACAAAAGTCAGAAAAAATAGTCACCTTATATTTGAAATACCATAAAGAAAAGTAAACAGTTGAAAACACAACAAGGAATATAAAAAAGAGAATTGATAAAAGTTTGTAAGAAAAACATGAATATTAACAGTGTCAGAAAGTTTTTAATTTAATTTAAATTTAATAGAAAACAAGCAAGAGAGCCAACTTGTGCATATTTGCTGTCACTGAAGAAGAGAATCAGATAAATGGAATATAAAATCAATGTTTAAAATGATTATTTATAAATCCTTTCTGAAAATAAGAAAATGTTATGTATATACACTTTAGGACACTGAGTAACAAGGAAAAAAAAATTAACACAGCCATCAACACCAAAGCACAAGCTAGTAAAGTTTCTAAGCTTCAAAAATAAAGCAAAATCCTTTGGATATCCTAACAAAATATGGGGAAAGAAACTTTGAAAACTGACAAATAAAAAAATCTATAAATTTATGAAATCCACTTCTATCTGTTCCATCACTGATAGATTCACTGTTGCATCTATCAGTGTATATGTGTCATGTGTATGTGATATTTCACCACAAAACATGTGAAAGAGCTCTAATCAATTGGCTTAAAGAAAAAATAAGTGCTCAAATAAAATATTGCATTAGAAAAATAGAAGCTAGGTCAAACGCCTTTTAGTTCACATGACTTTAATAATCTTTGGTAAATAAAACTAGTTTCAAAATTCTTTTCAGTAATTTAAAATGATAAAGACATGTTATGTTAAATTTAAACCCAGGTTTATCATTGGAAATTAGAGACTAAGAGCAGAATAGTAGTTAATATATGTAATTAAAACCATTCTACATATGGAATACTAAAAGAAAGTAGGATTATTTTGGTAAAAGTTATAAAAACATGAGGATATGTTTTTGGCTTAAAGAATAAGCAATTTTGTCTAATTTGGAGGCTATTTAAAAGTTGCTTCAAAATGAAAGAAAAAATGGTATAGATAAAACTAAATAGATAGAAAGAGAAAAGATAAAAAGGTGTGGAATGAGAAACATTTGATTCCTGTGTGGCCATGTAGTCACCCATAGTATGGAGCTGTAGCTGTGCTGCATTCAGTTATTAAAGGTAACTGTTACCAGTAGAATTTAGAGATGGCTCAAACTCCTGGGGGATTGGTTCAATGGATGTATAAGGAGAAAGAAACTAATAAGCAAAAAGCAAAATATTCGATCCTTTGGTTATTATCTATAACAGCTAAAATAAAAGTAAAAGAGAGTGCTGGGTTATGCCTTGAGGCTGGACCAACCTCAGATGTGGATCTGTCCGAGTTCAGATCACTAGATTCAAAGCTACTCACAAAGGGGAAAATTATGCCAGGGACAAAAGAAAGTACCTCTGAGACCTGTGCTTACCAAGAAGGCAGTCAAAGTGGGGAAGGGGCAAAACCAAGTAACTATTGAGACTAGAGGATATGATATGAAGGAATTGTTCCATTTTGTAGATGGGTATCATCAGCTCACTGATAAACTTTTACTAAAATGGATTGTGAACATAACTAATTTGGGAACAATGTCTTAGATTTTAAATGCTATAGTAAAAGAGTATGTTTCCATTGATGCAGGACCCACAGCTCAATACTGAACAATTCCAAATAGATACATATGATCCGGACACACAGGAGGTTATTTCCAAGGGAACAGCTATCGTGGCGGACTGGATAAAACCACTGTAAGTTCTGTTTACTCTGAGAAGAGGGGCTATCCAACTCCCCCTAAAATTGCCAAGAACAGCACCCCAGATAATGCAGCTGATATGCTTTATATGCAAGCCATGGGAGATTAGTTTTAGGATAAACAGGATATGCACCCAAGGAATAGGCCTGTTACCCAGGTCATGGTACATGCTATTGAAAAGGGTGTCCCCTTTGGTTTCATCACTACTGCAAAACTGAATAACAGTTCAGAAAGGCTTCTCAAATTCGCTGTCTCAACTTCCCCTTGTGGGTCTTTACAGATGTTAATGGAAACATTAGGTTAATTAACAAGAAGAACTTGGGGAAAACAAAAGGTAACAAGAACATGAGAATCAAAGGACTCATCCCAGGAAGGTAAAACATTTTAAATAGTTATTTTTTTAAAAAAGTAAGTTTTAAAAACATTGATGGGGTGATATTAAGAGAAAAAGGAAAGGAAGAGGTCATGGGACTCATCCCGGCAGGGTAGAAAATTTTAGATGGTTATTAAGAAATGGGATGAATAAAATGTAAATTGATGTGGTTAAAATGAAGGTCTTAAATCCTCAAAGCCAAAAGCCAAAGTTGGGTAGATCAAAAAGGTCCCTTGCTGGTCTGCTAACATTAAAGGATCTCAACCAAACCAATTTTTTTTTTTATTTACTGCAGATTGGAGAAAAAATAAAATTAGAAGAAAAAGGTTATAATGAGAACACTAACAATTGCCTCAAGATAAGATTGACAAAAGGATCCAAATCCTTTGACCCAACCCCCTCCTGGGAACTCAAATTCTTTTACACAAGAAAGGGTAAAATGGTCTGCGAGTGGAAATGGAAGTTACTGGGACCAGAACATAAAAATGTAAGGGTTGATATACTTATGAAATTTGAAATGTTTAAACAGACTAATATAAAATAGTTGTGTCTCCATTACCTAAATGCTTTCTGAAAATGAATATTATATATAACTAAAGGATGTTCTCTCTACCTACCACTATAAAACAGAAGGCTTGAAAATCTGCCCTTGAGCAATATTAATTGGACATGCTAAATGAGAACAAGTAAGATTGCCCAAGCCCACAGACTGTAGTGCAGAAACTGGAGTACGAGTTGGGATGAATTGTCCATCTAACAGGCTTTGTGAAGCATTTACAGGGGCTTATGGCAAATGCCTGTGAGCACCTTGCAATAACAACTTTTGGGACTTTGCTCTAGAGAATTTCCACTTGAGGGGTATTTAACACCTTGCTATGGGATGTTAACTGAAGCTACCCTTATGCTAATGAAAATAGCAGTGCCCAGAAGAGTTCCATGAAAAAATTGAAATGGTTTATATAGGATCTTGCTTCTCAAAGAATGTAAGGAGGAAATACTCACAGTCCCTTTTTTCCCTCAGGACTAATATGGAAGTGTTTAAGAAGCTGCTGGATTCTATAGTGCCCAAGAAACAGCTCTCATCAGACTGACAAAGAGCTACTTGGTTTGTGGAAGGCGTTTCAAGGGAGACTGGACAACATCTTGTTGGGAAGGCTGTTACTCTGAAGAAGAATCAAGAGAACCTATTTTCTTTCTAGCTATTTACAGCTTAGAAAAGTTGTGACACAATTGGAGACACTGATTATTTTATCAAGGCTTTGACTGGAATGGCATATATTCAAATATGACCAGATTGAGGAATTGAGGTCAAGTTTATGGAGCCAATAAAAATTCCCTTGGAAAGACTGACCTAGTTAGTACCTTTTCTAAATGGTTCCTTTACAAGGATTCTTTGTAAAGAATGTCACTTTCTATTAAAAATAGGCCCAGGAACCCCAAAACATTTGGGGACCTCAAGAAGAGAGGAATTCGTACAGATATTATAAGCAAAGTCTAAGGGTAAATCCTTGGGTTGGCTTCTGGCCTTGAGGATTTTAAAACGTTGAGTCTAAAATTCCTTATAAAAGTTCCAGCAAAGCCAGGTTAAAAGGAGTCTATATGGCTGATCACTATGCTTGCTACACTTTATGCAAATAACCATGGCAAGTACAATGAGAACAAAATTTATTTTGCAAACAAATTGGTCTTATTGTTACAGGTAGTCAGGCATGAGCAGGGCAGGAGAGGGACCCCCCTCCCACTACCCACCAGGAATGTCAGGTGATCATCAGGTGATGGTTTGGCATCTATCACACTTCCTCTCTAAAAATGATAATTGGCAGCCAGCACCAGGGAGATGCCATTTTCTGAAGGTGCACAGTTATGACAATAAAATAATAGATCGCAGGTTCCAGCGAGAGGCAGTTTCTCTACAGATAAAAACATTTGAAATTGGTAATTGGCAGCTTAGGAATTGGGTGAGCACACTCCAGCATGTGCGTTAAGAGACAAAATGGGCCAGACGCAGTGGCTCACGCCTGTAATCCCAGCACTTTGGGTGGCCGAGGCAGGCAGATCACGAGGTAAGGAGATCGAGACCATCCTGGCTAACACGGTGAAACCCCGTCTCTACTAAAAATACAAAAAATTAGCCGGGCATGGTGGCAGGCACCTGTAGTCCCAGCTACTGGGGAGACTGAGGCAGGAGAATGGCGTGAACACAGAAGGCGGAGCTTGCAGTGAGCCAAGATCGGGCCACTGCATTCCAGTCTGGGCGACAGAGCGAGACTCTGTCTCAGAAAAAAAAAAAAAAAAAAAGAATAAGTAAAATACATAGAAAAATTGTTCTTATCTATGAAGCAGATCTCAAAAACATTCAAAGTTTTAAAATCATACAAATATGATCTCTAACCACAATGAAATCGTGGTAGAAATCCAGCAAGTATGAAAACAAACAAAACATTTTTATATGTTTGAAAATTAATGAATACACTTCCAAATAACACACTGACCAGAGAAAATAACAGTTAAGGAAAGTTAAGGAACATTTTGAACTAATAAAAATAAAAATATAACATATCAAAACATATGGGATACAGCTAAACTTTGTTTATAGGGATATTCACAGACATAATTGCATACATTAGAAAAGAAAATTGTCTCAATATCAATGATCTGAGCATCCACCCAACAGCAAATGGGTTTATTCTGGAAATACAAGCTTGATTTTGCTTTTGAAAATGACTATAGTTCCCCACAATATCAGAATAAAAGGCAACATTATGAATTATTTTATAAAGAGTGTGCATTCCTGCAACAATACAATAATGGATGGATCAAACATAATGGAAAGTTCAGAAACAGTCTCATACATTTATGGACAATTGATTAGTAACCAAGTTAATACCACCATACAATGGAGAGAGGATGCTGTTTTTCCAAGAAAATGATGCTGGTTCAAACAGAATGAAAATTTTTATGAATGAAAAGATACTTGGTCTTTACCTTACAGCACACCACAGACACATACATGCCATATAAATTATTTATCTCAGTGATAAAGGCAAATAATAAAGTTTTTGGCAGATAGCATAACACATATCTTTATGATTGAGAGAAGAAATAGACATAACAAAATGATTGATAAATTGTAGCTATATTAAAATTAGTAACTCTTGTCAATTACCAGTAAGATAATGTAAATATATACCAGAATGAAAGTACACACTCAAAATACTGATCAAGAACTCATATCCAAAACTTACTAATACAAAAGAACAAAAAATCACTCATAGTCTAAGAAAAGGCACTCAACCTTACTAGTAATCAGCAAAATAAAATTACAATTAGACACTACTCATATCCATCAGAATGGCCAAAATTAAAATGATTGACAATTTCAACTGTTGGGAAAATCTAGATGAACTCTCAAATGGTGGGAGTATAAATTTATACTGGTGAGCAGATGCATAAAATGTGGAAGGAGAATAGAAATGGGACAGAATAAATATTGTATAAATATCAAAATGTATGCTCCCATCAAGAGACACATTTAAGACACATAATCCCCTACACCTCAGCACATACATACAATTATTGGGCTATATCTTATACATATGCTCACAGATGTATAAAATATCCAAGGGCATTCATTACAGCATATTTATAGCAGCAAAAGACTAAAAAATGTTTATCAATTAGAACTGGTCAGATAAAATGTGGTACTTCTGTGCAATGTTAACTAAATAGTTGTAAAAATGCAAATCAAAACCACAGTGAGATATCATCTCATGTCAGTCAGAATGGTGATCATTAAAAAGTCAGGAAACAATGGATGCTGGAGAGGATGTGGAGAAATTGGAATGCTTTTACACTGTTGGTGGGAGTGTAAATTAGTTCAACTGTTTTGGAAGACAGTGTGGTGATTCCTCAAGGATCTAGAACTAGAAATACCATTTGACCCAGCAATCCCATTACTGGGTATATACCCAAAGGATTATAAATCAATCTCCTATAAAGGCACATGCACACGTATGTTTATTGCAGGACTATTCACAATAGCAAAGACTTGGAACCAACCCAAATGCCCATCAATGATAGACGGGATTAAGAAAATGTGGCACACATACACCATGGAATACTATGCAACCATAAAAAAGGATGAGTTCATGTCCTTTGCAGGGACATGGATGAAGCTGGAAACCATCATTCTCAGCAAACTAAGACAAGAACAGAAAACCAAACACTGCATGTTCTTACTCATAAGTGGGAGTTGAACAATGAGAACACATGGACACAAGGAGGGGAACATCACACACCAGGGCCTGTTGGGGGGTGGGAGGCTAGGGGAGTGATAACATTAGGAGAAATACGTAATGTAGATGATGGGTTGATGGGTGCAGCAAACCACCATGGCAAGTGTATACTTGTGCAACAAACCTGCACGTTCTGCACATGTATCCCAGAACTTAAAGTATAATTAAAAAAAAATAAAAAAAAAAATTGATCGGTGGATGGTTAGGGCAGTGAAACTACGCTGCATGAGACTGTAATGGTGGATCCGTGTCTTTATACATTTGTCCAAACCCACGAAATGTACAATGCGGAGGGTGACCCCTAAAATAAACCATGGGCTCTGGGTGATGGTGATGTAGCAGTGAAGGTTCATCAATTGGAATAAACGCACCATTCTAGTGAGGGATGTTGCTAGTTGGGGAAGCCATACATGTGTGGGGCCTCAGGTGTGTGGGAAATCTCTGTACCTTCCTCTCAGTTTTGCTATGTACTTAAACTGTTCTAAAAAATAAGGTCTATTAATAAATAGACAGGTAACCAAAAAAAAAAAAAAAAAGAAGAATGAGGTAGTTCTAAATCTACCAATATAAAATCACATGTATGATATATGAAAACTAAAAGCAATATGCAAAACAGTATCTAATTCTTAAAGGTGAGCTATCTATCTATTTCTTTGTGTAAAATTATTTTACCAAAAAAAAATTCAGTGAAAGTAGTTGCCTCTGGAGAAGAAAACTGGTACCTTAACAAGAAGGATACAATAGTTTGCTAAAGTTATTATGAGGAATTTTTTAACGGTTTGACTCCAATTCATGTCTTAATCTTCTGCAGTCTAGGTTCAAACTACGTAATCGTTGCACCTGTTATTCTTGAAATGCAGCTAAGGATTGAATAGTGAACTGAATAGACATTTGATTTTGCTATGTCATCCAGTGACTGCAGGTGTAACTAAATTCGTGTCTATTCTGTCTTCAGCTCACTACCAAAAGCATGTCTTTTAAAAATCTAGATTTCTTAGGTATGAGCTGAGAGGAGTCAAAAAATTAAAATAAATACAAGTCTACATTTATCATGCAAGTTAGGAGGAGCACATGACTTTTGTGTAGCAACCGGAAATTTGATTTTCAAAATGGGTATGACATTATATGTTTACAGACATGTAAAAAAGTAGAATTTTTATATGTAATGAAAGTTAAAAGAACTGCTTTTCATACTTTGTGTATGTTTTTGAATTTTTAAATTTCTGAAAATTATCCAAAGTTCCTATTCTAAGGTAGCATATCAGAATTTACTGCAAACAATTGCTAGTTAGAAGAGCTTAATTAATAAGTATAGTGGGACTCATATTTGCAATAAGCATTTCCCTGAAGAATTGTGCATATCCTAAATTTTTAAAAATTAAATTACACTTTATATGTATTAGAGGAGTTTCCTACTTAGGGACAATCTTTCATTTGTCATTTGAGCTTATCAGGCTTGTTTAATTAAATTTAGTATAGTAGATATAAAATTACCCAGTACTTGGCATTGTTACCCACCGCCAAAACCAGCATTTAATTAAAAGAAAAAATCTTATAGGTGTTTGAATTTATCAATTTATTCTACAAAATTGATTAGGTAGCCCTTTGAAGAAAAAATATGAATACTGAACAAAGTAGTAGTCTGTGAGATAATATACAGGTTATACTCTTGAGAAGCTTACACTGTGGAGTTGGGAAAAGAACAAAATCCTTTATTTAAACTAAAACAAAATATTTAGCAAGCAACGTTCAGAGCAAGCGATCAATGCAAGGTTATAAATTCCACAGAACATGTTACGATACATAGCTCAGAAGTGAATACCCTGGACAAGCTTAGAAGAAGCTACTCAACAAGAAAAGGTTATCTGTTAACCTTCATTTTGTAACATTTCTACTTTATTCCTATCAACATGTATACTTTTCCTCTTCTCTCATCCTTTTTACTAATTTCTTTCTCTCTCTCTCTCTCTCTCACACACACACACACACACACACACACACAGTCTTTTACTCCACAGTACCAATAAATACAATTGCAAAGACTTTTCTTTCCTGATGAAATTTCCAAGTTAAACTTAGTCTGTGCTCAAGACCTTTAAGAGCTTGGAAGCATTTTTATATATTGTTCCCTGGTGTCTTTGATCTAATTTCTGGAAACTATTTGAAAATCTCAGGTGTCTGAATGCAAATTTTATCCTTACAGTTCATTAATAGCTCTATAAAAGTTAAATATATGAGCTACTGCAAAATGGATCAGCTAAACTATTTGCTTAATGGATACACAGCCTGGGTACCACAGTACTAAGAGAAATATAAGGTCACAGTGTCAATTTTACTTGCTCATTTATTTTTTTTCTTTCATCATTCCTGCTTCTATGCATTAAGAATGCAAATTCATATTAAAATATATATGACCAAAAAGAAAATAAAATAAGAAAATTAGAAACACTGTTGTGGTCAAGTATTAATTCGAGAAAATTGATAATGTTAATTTAATATGTGGTCTGCTATTGTGTTAAAAGCTTTACACATATTATTGCATTTAAAACAAAACACAGTAAGTTAACTATTATTATCATTTTAAAGATAAAAACAAAGAGCAAAAGACTCAATGACTTGCCCAATGTCACACAGTTAGCAAGGAATAAATCTAACTCCAAAACCTGGATTATTCAAACTCTTTCTCATTAATTTGGCGTCAGATAATCCAGGTTCTTACCTTGTCTCTGCGACTGAACTGTGTGACCATGGAAAAAGCAGGTAACATCTTTGTGCTTCATTTTGTTTTCATCTTTAAAACAGGGATAATAATAGGACCTACCTCAGGGTCATTCTGGGTAATAAATTAGTTGATATATGTGCGGTAGTTATAAGTATGGAATAAGTGTCAGCTATTACATTAGCATTGTTGTTCTTTTCATTACTAATTAATTATTTGGGGAAGGGAAGGAGATAAATTACCCCATTTTTATATTCTGAAAGGGCTCGACATCACCAATTTCTTTGGTAATCCATCACAGTTGGAGCATGGAATGTTCTGGTTAACCTACTATTCTGTTTGATAAAGTGCTATACAATTCATCTTATTCAGATAATAGAGTACCAAATAATTTTAAGATACTGGATATACTATACTAAATTTATACTTAAGAAATTTTATCTCATAAATTAATCAGAAAATGCTACAGTCCATTTTTGGGCTTTACTCTCATAAATAATAAATGCGCTTACTATTGGTATTTCAGTAGTGAAATGTAGAAAGGAATCTAATGTGATACAGGACAGGAAATAGAGTTTACTCTCAATGAACAAACAAAATTTGATTCTTCTGAGTTTAGTAAAGGGACCTTTTTGAAAGCAGATTGTCATATCAAGTATTATACTTGCTATTAGAGAAAAATTAAAAGATGTCATTCTCTCTGAAAAAATACATAATACCATAAATGTAGGTAAATTTCCAGATAATACAGGCCTTCTATACAAGGGGCAGCGTGTTCTTCAGTTCTATCTGCTTTGCCTTGGCATGACATCTCACTCAGAGCTTTAATTTCAAGGAAGAATCTTTTTCTAGCTAACATCCTTTAAAGCAAACAAAGAAGGCTGTGCACTGAGGTATATTAAGTTCACATATATTAAGCATTGCTTACATTGTCTCTGCAATACAGAAACAAATAGCTATTTTTATAGGATTAATGCACAAGTCATTTCAATTAACAGAAATCATTAAAATGAAGGTTCCATTTTCTACAGAAGTCTGGATAGTACTTTCAATAAATACTCCAATTTCTTCAAAGATTTGCATGAGGATTTAGTTGTATAACTTCACTGAAAATTAATAGGATTCAGACATCAGGACTTCCACTTCAGGATAGGATAAACTTAAGAGACCGAATTTACCACTACTCCATCTGCCCAAAACAACAAGAAGAAATCAAACAAAAACCCTTCCAAACACACAAAATGATGGTTTATAAGACAATTAATATCAAACAAGTGAGGACAGTGATTCAGAAAAGATGAGAAAAAAAAACAAACCGAAACAACAAAAATAGTGAGTCTTATGAATGCTTCACCCTACTGCCTTAGAGTTTTCAGGTTACGTTGCAGATAGGAGGAACACAGGCTGAATCTGACAAACTGCCTCAGTTCAAGTGATGGAGCTGAGAGTCTGGGGACACCAAAATGACTAGAATTTTCATGACAAAGTAACAGATCAGAGAGAGAGAGAATGTCAGAAATCCATAGATAATTACCACTGAGCATTTAGCAGAGTACTGATTAGTACATGCATGTAAGGAAGACAGGAAAAGAGCCAACAGAAAGTATTAGAGGGAACACTGTTTGGCAATCACAAAGGGCAGGAAATAGTGCCTGTTGTAACAAGCCAGAATGGAAACGCCTATGAGAGTTTTTTTTGTTTTGTTTTGTTTTTTCCTCAGTGCAACCAATTCCCCAATTCTCTGACACCAACTGGGTGTCTTACAGTTCAATTCAATTCTGACACTATTTGAAGGTCACTCAGAACCCACAGGTTAAGGGTTCAGTCCACAAGACTCCTCCCACTTCAAATAGCAACTACAAATGGGGTGCCTAGGCTATCCACATTTCTGTCTGGCTGACTACAAATTTGGGGTTTAAAATCCCCTTACATTTGACCATTCACTACTATAACCCACAGGAATCAGGAAAGTACTTTGTTTACCATTACCCGTTTATTATAAAGAATATAACTCAGGAACAGTAAATGGAAGAGATACATAAGGCAAGGTAAGGGTTGAAAGGAATAGTGTGGAGCTTCCATTCCTTCTAAGGGTGTACCATTCTCCCAGGACCTTGTGTATTTACCAACCTGTAACCTCAATGATCCCCATCATTTAAGCGTTTTATAGAGGTTTCATTACATAAGCATGATTGATTAAATCATCAGTTATTGGTGATTGACTCAATCTCCAGCCCCTCACCCTTCCTGGAGGTTTGGGGGTGGAACTAAAGCTCCAAATTTTTAATCAAGGCTTAATCTTTCTGGCAACTGGCCTTCATTCTAAATTTATGCTAACCTCAAACTTGAAGCTATCCAGGGGTCCACTAAGAGTCAACTCATTAGTACAAAAGAGGCTCCCATCACTCTTATCTCTAAGGAAAGTCCAAGAGTTTTAAGAGCTCTGTGCCAGGAACTAGAAACAGAGACCAAATATCTTCTTTAGATACCAAGCCTCATAATTCATGAGATAGTGGGTGGGAAACTGAGAAAGGTTATGTTTCAGTATTGAGAGTAACTAGACTTGGACTATTTGGATCTGGCTAACTAATCTCGAAAGCAAGACCCAAAGGGATAAAACTATTTCCAAATAGTTTAAATGCATCTCATAACAAAGTACAAGGTTATTTATAGGAATACAAAAATATGCAGGACCAAAGTAAAATTTGCAATGCTTGGATCTATTCAAAAATTACAAGGCATGAAAAGAAGCAGGAAAATAAACCCCATAAATGAGGAGAAAAATCAAATAGTTTCTAAACCAAACCACAACTGACACTGATGTTGGAATTAGCAGACAAGTACTTCAGAACATTTATTGTAACAGTAATCCAGATGTTCAGGAAGTTGGTTGAGACATGGAAAATATTTTTAAAAAGCTCAAATCAAATTTCTAGAGTTAAAAATTACAACTGAGATTTAAACATAATATAAAGGATGGAATTACTGGGCTAATAGACATTGAAAAATAAAATATTAGTAAACTTAAACCCACAATAAGACACTATCTAGAATAAAAAAAGAGAAAACAAGATGTGCAAAATAAGTGAAAAGAGCACATATGAGTTACTGGATCACTTAAAGTGTCCTAGAACGTGTTTAATTCGATTCCCAGAGGAAAAAAGATACAGCATAAAGGGGTACAAGGATGATGATGAGCACTCTCACTTCTAGTCAACATTGTAATGGAGGTTTCATCCAGTGCAACAAGGGAATAAAAAGAAATAAAGGGAACTCAGATTAGAATTAAAGAAATGAATTGTGTTTATTTGCAGAAAATGTCGTGAAATCTACAAAAAAGCTACAAATAGTTTTTAGGATACAAGATAAAATGCAAAAATTAATTCCATTAATCTATACTAGCAATGAGCAATCAAACTTTGAAAAAATATATTATTTATAATAAACTCACAAAGTATTCAATACTCAGGAATAAATGCCACATAAAATTTGCAAAGATTGTACACTAGCAACTTTAAAACATTGCTGAGAGAAATTTTAAAAGCCTTAAGTTATTGAAGAGATATGCCTTCTTTATTGGCCAAATGACTCAATATTGTTCACATGTCAATTATCCTCACACTGATTTATAATTCCACATAATCTGTATCAAAATACAAGTTGGCTTTTAAAATAAATTGACAAACTGGTTCTAAAATTTATATGTAAATCCAAAGGACCTAGAATAGCCAAAATCATTTTGAAAAAGAAGAAAAAATTTGAAGGGCTAACATATCTGATTACAGGAATTATTATGAGCTTCAGCAATCAAGACAGGATAAACAAATACATCAATGGAAGAGAAAACATAATTCAGAAATAGACACACATAAATAAATGATTCTTAAATTTTTCATAAAATACATTAAAGTACATGTATCATAAAATGCACATCCTTAACCATTTTAACTGTACAGTTCAATGTGTATTTTAAATACACTTTTATATATACTTTAATGTACACTATTAAGTACATTCACACTGTTGTGCAACCATCACCACCATCTATCTTCAGGACTCTATTCATCTTGCAATGTTGAAACTCTATATCCATTAAGCAACAAGCCAATTAAAACTTCTATTTTCTCCTCCCACCACTACTTTTTGGTAACCACAATTCTATTTTCTCTCTAGAAATGTGACTACTCTAGTTACCTCAAATAACTGGTATTAAAATATTTGTCTTTTTGTGACTGACTTATTTATTTCACTTAGCCTAATGTCCTCAAGGGTCTTCCATACTGTAGCCCATTTCAGAATATCATACCCTTTAAAGACTGATTAATATTCCATTGTATGTAGAGACCACATTTTCCTTATCCAATGCTCAGTTGATGGACACTTGAGTTGTTTCACCTCTTGGCTTTTGTGAATTATGCTGCTATGAACATGGTTGTACAAATATATCTTCAAGACACAGCTTTCAATTATTTGTAGTACATACCTAGTAGTGGAATTTGCGGCTCCTGGGGTAATTATATTTTAATTTTTTGAGGAATCACCATACTGTTTTCCACAGTGGTTGCACCATTTTATATTCACACCAACAGTGCACAAGGGTTCCATTTTCTCCACATCTTCATCAACACTTACAATTTTCTGGGTTTTGTGTGTGTGTGTGTGATACTAGCTATCCTAATAGCATGGTGTAAGGTAATATTACCTTATAGCTTTGATTTGCACTGCCCTAATGATTAGTGATGTTAGCATCTATTCATAAGCTTATTGGCCACTTGTATAATTTTGGAGAAATGTCTATTCAAGCTGTTTGCCTATTTTTGAATCAGGTTATTTGTTTTGTTGTTGTTGTTCAGTTTTAAGTGTTCTCCATACATTTTAAATATCAGTTCCTTATCAGATATGTGATTTTCAAATATTTTCACTGACTCTCTGGGTTGCCTTTTCACTGTGTTGATTGTATCCTTTGATGCATGGAAGTTTTTTCATTTTATCTTAAGGTAGTCTAATTTATCTGTTTTTCCTTTTTTTGCTTGTGCCTTTGGTGTCATATCCAAACTTTGCTGCCAAATACAATATCATGAAGCATTGTCCCTATGTTTTCTTTTAAGAGTTTTAAAATTTTAGCTCTTAAGTTTAGTTCTTTCATCGTTTTGACTTAATTTTTGTATGTGGTGTAGGGTAAGTTTCCAACATCATTATTTTGCATGTGGGTGTCTAGGTTTCCAAAAACCATTTGTTGAAAAGACAGTTCTTTCCTTCATTGAATGGTCTGAACACCCTTGTTGAAAATTATTTGACTATATATGGTATAGTTTATTTCTGGGCTTTCTGCTTTATTCTATATGTCTGCTTTTAGTCTAGTACCATGTCGTTTTGATTACTGTAGTTTTATACTAAGTTTTGAAATCAGGAAGTGTGAATTCTCTAACTTGTGTCTTTTTTTCAAGATTGTTTTGGCTATTCAGGGTACTTTGGGATTCCATGTAAACTTTGGGGTGAGGGTATGATTTTTCAGCAAAAAAAAAGTTGTTGGGTTTTGATAGAGATTGCATTGAATCTAGATCACTTTGGGTAGTATCGACATCTTACATCTTAATGATTTTAAGTCTTCCAATCCATAAACATAAGATGTCTTTTATTTTTGTATGTCTTCTTCAACTTTTTTCAGCAATGTTTTATAGTTTTTATTATATGACTTTGTTTTACTTCCTTGGTTAAATTGCTTCCTAAGCATTTTATTATTTATGATGCTATTGTAAATGAGATTGTTTTCCTAATTTACTTTTTGGATTGCCCATTATTAGTGCATAGAAATATAATCCCTCCTGGCTTTTAAGGTTTCTGCTGAGAAATCTGCTGTTAGTCTGATAGGTTTTACTGTGTAAGTTACCTGATGATTTTGTCTCACAACACTTAAAATTATTTCCTTCATCTTGATTTTAGATAGCCTGAAGACTGTATGCCTTTGTGATGATCTTTTTGTGATGAATTTCCCAGGAGTACTTTAACCTTCTTATATTTCATTGTATAGATCTTTAGCAAGGCCACAGTTTTCCTCAATTATTCTCTCAAAAAAATTTTCCAAACTTTTACATAGATTTTCTTCCTCAGGAGCAACAATTATTTTTAGGTTTGGACATTTTATATAATCCCATATTTCTTGGAGACTTTATTCATTTTAAAATCTTTTTTCTTTGTCTTTATCTGATTTTGTCAATTTGAAAGCCTTACTTTTGAGATCTCAGATTCTTTCTTCTACTTGTTCTTGACTATTGTTGAAACTTTCCACTGAATTTTGTATGTTCCTACGTGTGTCTTTCATTTCCAGAAGCTCTGATTGTTTTTTCTTTATGATATCTATATTTCTGGAAATTTTATTCATATTCTAATTTTTAAAATTTTTTTATAAATTCACTTTTACGTTTCTCCAGTATCTCCTTGAGTAGCAACCTTAATAAGCAACCATCTGAATTCTTTATCTGTCATTTCACAGATTTCATCTTTGCTTGGATCCATCGCTTGGGAGCTAGTGTGATCATTTGGGGGTGTTATCAAATCCTGTTTTGTCCTATTACCAGTATTACTTTTTTTGTTCCTTCTCAATTGAGTATAGTATTTCTGAAAATTGCTCTTAAATTTATTTTTTGCTAGGACGGTGCTTTTTAATTTTTTTTCCTTTTAATTATCTGACTTTAAGGCTTATAGTTTATTGTAGTCTAATTTAATTCTGGGTGCTTTTAGGGGTGAAAATTCTATATGAGTTTCTTAGTTATACAGAGTCTTTGTGCACTGGATTTCCCAGATTCTGGTTGCAGTGGTGATGTAGTTTGTGTGTGGGCAAGTTTAGTGTCCCCTATTGGTTTGGTATGTGGTATGGCCAGGATCTCTTGAAACTTATCTAATTCTCTCATAGTGTGTACTTTACTTATTTATTTAATCCCCCCCTCTCAGTATTTTATTTGCTTAGTTGACGATTCAGACTTCAGGGCAATAAGGGGGGTATCCCTGGGTAGGCACCAGCTGTAGCTAAAGCAAGTGTATAGATTTAATATCCAATAGTGTGCAAAGGTCCCAGCCTTGATGAAGGTGGCTAGATTAGCTCTCAATTAGATGTGCTGAGATTTTCTCAGGGTGAAGGGTGGGAGCTATCTCAGCTCACATGCCACATGGGCAGGAAATATGTCCACCTCACAGTCTGACCACTGTCCCAGTGTTCTGGCTATTTACATCAGACAGGCACCTCTTTTCATCTAGAGCAATATTGATGTTCCAAGTAGGGAGAAATTGTGACTTTGCCTCTCATGAAGGCCTGAGTCTGGAGAGTGCTCCTCCTGTGGGGCTGCAATCACCCTGAATTGTTCCAGGAATGCTGTCTATACATGCAGCCATGCTGTGTTCCTGTGGGAGAAGCCCCAGCTGTGTCTGCAGTGGTCTACCAGGGGATACACCAGTGGGGAATAAGGATGCCTTCTCCAAGACGCTTCATCATCATACAGGCTGCCTGCCTGTTGGGGTAAAGGTGCAGACTTTCCCTACTGCACCCATCAGTGCAATTGTGTTTCTGCTATGAGTAACTTTCCACCAGCAGAAGGATCTGGGACTCAAGACCTGCTGTTCAAATTATTTTGTCCCATGGGGTGTTCCCTTGATATGGTGTTCTCCTCCTTCCCCTAGAAATAGGACTCCTGAGATTCAGACTTCAGTGATTGCTATTGCTCTTCTGGGACTATCCAGCCTGTAGGGCTTCCAGATTCTTGGATGGTTCTGGAGAATGTCTGCAAAGGATTCAGTGATGTGACCTTTCTTCGAATCTCCCAGCAGTGTGTACTAACACCTGCTCTGATGGACGTAGACGGAGAATGACCTAGGCTCTGTAACATTCCTTGGTTGTAGATAGGCTTGGTGTGATGGCTTTCTTGAATGCTGGTTATACTGGTAGTGAACTTGTCATGTAGACAGACTCAGGATCTCTGTTTAGCCAGGGTGTTGCAGACAGTGGTGTTGAGACCACACAGCCATTTTCTCCTTCCTATGCACAGTGTTATTCAACTGAGAGGTGTTTAAATGACGTGTGTTGGTTGACCTTCAGCCTGAAGGTGGTGCTTGCAAGAGAGCACCAGCTGTGTTAGTAGCAGTGGAATTTGAGCTTTCCCTAAGTTGCCCAGGGGAAGCATTATGGTTTCTCAGGCAATGGGCAGGGCCATAAAGCTCCCAAAAGTTTATGTCTTTTGTGTTTAGCTACCAGGGGTGGATAAATGCCACCAGATGGAGGAAGGTTTATGTGGGTCTGAGCTCATATTCTCCTTGGGTGGGTCAGGTTGCAGCCCCTGTGGAGATGGGAGGTGGTTCTCAGGCCCCTGGGGTAATGTTTCAGAAGGGAGTATAACTGTCTCTGCTGTGCAGAAGAGTTCACAAATTGAATGGGGAGTAGCGGGCAGCAGTAAGCTTCACTCAGCTTCCATGCAGTTTACAAGGCCAGTCTCACTCCTGCAGTGCCCCACTAACATTGCCCAGTTTAGATTAGGCAGCCTGAGCACAGGACTTACACTTGTCCCCGGCCATAAGCTTCCCCACAGAGATAGCAACCATGGCTTTTAGGCCACGTCCCTCCCCATCAGCTAGTAAGGCTGGGCACCCATCTCCTGTACTCATTTCTGCAGTGCACATTCTGCTCACGACCCCAACCCAGGCTCTGCTCAAGGGAGTTTGTCCCCACTTGAGATTATATCACAAAATTCAGTTGGCATCTTCTTTCACCCTGCAAACACCCCCTGAGCTTGTTGGCTGACTTCTCTGAGGGGCCCTGTGAGATATAGTCAGGAATGCCTTCCCTCAGTGTATGCTGGAGACTGGTAATGCCTACAAGGCACTGCCCGTTGCTGCTTCTACTTTTATATTTCATGCAACTCCCTAAATTTGTTCCAGCTCTGGATAGGGTCAAGGCCATCTCCTGTGGCCTGGATTTTCAGATTCCCTGGTGGGGATGTGTGCTCCCCAAACAATTTTTTGAAAACAAAAAATTATTTTGTTATCAAAATAATTTGAACAGCAGGCCTTTCACACTCTGGAAACTTAAAATTTTTCACTTGTCTTATGGAGTAGGCTGAAGCCTAGTGATTCATTCAAAGGGCATGTGGATTCTTTCAGTTTTTTAAGTTCCTATGGTGGTTCTTGGAAAAATAAAATCACAATGTGAATCTCTACCTGTTATTCTGTCCTTCCACATGGGAAGGGCACACTAACACTGCCTCCTCGCCATGATCTTGAAAAAATATTATTTTCTTTTGGGTTTAGTTTATTTTTTGTAGTAAAACATTTCATTTTTTTTCTCATTTCCTTTTATGTATATTGTATAGGTATTTCCTTTATGGTTGCCATGGGAATTACATTTTACATACTAAAATTAAAACACTCTAATGTGAATTTTTATAATGTAGTACCTTCGCAAATCAGGGTTTCCCTCTTCTCCAGGGTTTTATTTATTTATTTATTTATTTATTTTTAAATTCTTTTAGACTGCATCAGTCCAAGGCATAAGCTTAATTTCAATAACATATAAAGAGTATGCTTCTATGAAGCTATGCCCTACCCCCTTTAGTTTATGTCATGAAACTATACCCCTATACATCATGTATCTAAAAACATAGACTAATAATTTTAATGCATTAGTTTCTTAAATCATGTAAAAACAAAAAGTGTAATTATAAACCACAATTACTATATTTTTAGATTTTATAATTAGTCACCATTTCCTGTGATGCAGGGAACTACTTTTACTTGGTTCCAAGCTGATTCCAGTTGGGGTTTGGAGTAGTAGAAACCTTTCCGTCTATTCTCTATGTGGCCATCCTGAGTTTCTGTGTTCACCAGGATTTTTGTCACTCCTCTCATACAGTCCAGCACTCTCTCTCAGCTATTTTCATTTAAATGTAATCGTTTATTAATTGTTCTGGCTGCCTATGTGAAGGGGGATTAGGACTAGCAGCTTCTAGCCAGCCATCTTGATAATGTCACCTGCCCATACATTTTCTTTACCATGATCTCTATTTCATTAGAAATCTTTTAGTTTTTGAGTACTACTGTTTTTCATTAAAGGGAACACTCTAGTATTTCTTGCAGGATAGGTCTGGTGGTAACAATGTCCCTCAGCGTTTTTTGTTTTTTTTTTTTAATCTGGAAAGTTTTAGTTTGTGTCTCTTTTTAAAGGAGAGTTTTGCCAGATACAGGATTCTCAGAGGACGATTTTTTTTTTTAGTGCTTTGAATATATCTGCCCACTTCCTTCTGGTCTTCAAAATTTCTGATGAGAAATCTGCTGCTAAATTAATTGAGAATCCCTTCTCTGTGATGGGTCATATCTCTCTTCCTTCTTGCTATCAAGACTCTCTGTTTTCCTTTGTCTTTTGATAATTTGATTATAATTGTGTTCCAATGAGAATATCTTTGAATTCATTTTACTTGGGATTTTGTGAGCTTATTTGATGTTTATAGTCAAATATTTCATCAAATTTTATCCATTTTGGGCCATTATTTCTTCAAACAATATCTCTCCTCCTTTTTCTATTTTCCTTTGAAACTGCAACAATGTATATTTTTGTCTGCTTCATGGTGTCACACAGGTCCCTTAGGCTCTGTTCACATTTATTCAATTTTTATTTCTTTTTTTCAGACTTGATAATTTCAATTATTCTATCTTTAATTTCACTGATTCTTTCTTTTGCCTGCTCAAATCTGTTTATTAGTCCTGCTAGTGAAATTTTTATTCCAGTTTTTGTACTTTTTAATTCCATAATTTTTTTGTTTCTTTTACTGTTTTCTCTCTTTGTTGGTATTTCTATTCTGTTAATACATTATTTAATTTACTTTCTCTATGTCATCTTTAGTTCATTGATTATTTTCAATACAGGTATTAAAAGTGCTTATTTAGTAAGTCTGTATCAGGTTTTTGTCCACAATAGTTTCTGGACTTTTAATTTTTCTTCTTTGAATGGGCCACATTTTTCTGTTTCTCTGTATGCTTTGTGATTTTTTGTAAAAGAGGACCATTTGTATCTTATAGTGTGGGAACTTTGGAATTCAGGTTTTCCCTCTTCCTCAGGTTTTATTTATTTATTTATTTATTTTTACAATTCTTGTAGGCTATATAATTCTGAGGTGTAAACTTCAGGCCTTTTCAGGTATTTAGTGATCTTGTGCCTTTGCTTGGGCATGTGTGGTGACTTTCTAAATTTTTCACACATGTGGGTGCTTTTGAATGTCTCAGTTCTTAAATGTCTGGTTACTTACAGGAAAAAAAGCGAGAATGAATTCAGGGAGGGAGGAGAATTACTTCAGCCAGAGAGGAAGAAGTGGCAACAAAGTTGGTGAGGGTTACAATAATGGCTGCTCATCTCTGTGTCTGCACCTCTGCAATCAGAAGCAGCAATCAGCAATCAGAACATAGATCTCATTCATCGGGAGTGGAGCATCCATATTTCCCATTCTGCCTCTGGAAGCTGAATGCAAGCTGCTCCAGGAACACACGCATAGCTGTCTGCTACAGGGCTGGTGGTGGTGGATGTCTACGTGCTACCAATGTAATAGCTGAAATCGACTGAAATTAACCCTAATTTACAGTCTAAACCTTCATCTGTAAGTTGCATGCCTTTGAATGGACTCCAGAGCTCCAAAATTGTTACATCAGATAGATTCTGCCAATGCAATTGTTGTCTAGGTGAAGAGATGGATTTCTCGTGCTTCAAACTCTGCAATTATTCCAGAATCTTTTCCTTTATTAACAACCGATTTTTGACAAGCATACAAAGGCAATTTAGTGGAGAAAGGATAAATAGTCTTTTCGATAAAACATGCCAGGAAAATTGGATATCCAAATGCAAAAGAATAAATTTGTATCCATGCCTCCAACATGTTTGTTAATTAACTCAAAATCGATCTGAGATTCAAATGTAAAACCTTGACATGTAAAACTACTAAAAGAAAACTTTGAAGCAAATCTTTGTGACCTTGGGTTAGGCAACTATTTCTTGGATATGATACCCAAAACCCAAGGTATAAAAAGAAAACATTATCAAAATTGAAACCATTTGTTTTCTAAGAGACACTGTTTACATAATGTTAAGAAAACCCACCAACTCAGAGAAAATATTTGCAATTAATATTTCTTACAATGGTCTTATATAAAGAACATATTTTTAAAAAAATCTCAAATGTCAATACAGGTTGAGTATCCCTTATCAGAAATGCTTTAGACCAGAAGTGTTTCAAATTTGGGATTTTTTCAGACTTGAAATATTTGCATTATACTGGTTCAGCATCCATAATCCAAAAATCTGAAATCCAAAATGCTCCAATGAACACTTCCTTTGATTGTCATGTCGTTGCTCAAAAGGTTTCAGATTTTGTAGCATTTCAGGCTTTTTTTTTTTTTGATTTTTGGATTAGGACACCCAAACTGTAATAAGAAAAACAAGTATCTCCAATATAGAAATGAATCAAAGGAGATATAGCTTAAGCACACATAATACTGATAAACATGCTTAACTGTCAGGGAAGTGTAAATTGAATCCACAATGTGATACCACTACAAATGAATTAGAATAAATAAAATGTAAAGACTAATCATATTAAGTTTTGGTGAAGATGTGGAAAAATTGGAGCTCTCATACATTGCAAAAGGGTACAATCACATTTGAATACAGTTTGACAGTGTCTTAAATATTTACAGATTAATATATCATTTGACCCAGCCATTTCACTTCTAGGTATTTATCCATGACAAAAGGAAGCATATATCCTTACAAGCATTTCTACATGAATGTTCATAGCAGCTTTATTTGCACTAGCAAAAAGTGAAAGTAACCTAAATACACACATCAATATGTAAATGTATAAACTGAGGTTTATCCCTATAATGGAGTACTTCAAAGCAGTAAAAATAATAAAACTAGTGTTAAATGCAGGCACATAAATAAATCTCAAAATAATTATTCTGGACAGAAATGATTCCACTTATATAAAACTCTAAAAAAATGCAACATAATCTGCATGGTCAAACTCAAAACATTGCTGACCTGGGGAGAGGGAGAAAAGATGGGACAAAAAAAAATTATAAAAGTGTATATAATTTGGGGGGTACATATGTTTATTATCTTTATTGTATTTGTTACTTCATGACAGTGTACCTTATGTCAAAACTTAGATTGTACTGTTTATATTTATTATATGTCAATTAAACCTCAAAACAGTTGTTGAAATATAGTGGCTATTGCTCAGAAGGTCAAAGAATACAGATGTTCCAAATTTCTATGGTTTATATATAAAGATGAAACTACAGGCTTTCCATTTTAGAAGGTCTAAACTTTGAACTGGGAATGTGTACAAACATACTCTCCATGCCGCTGCACAGCTGCACATAGCTATGAGAATCATTTATTGCATCATAGTACTTTTATTTTAATTTTCACATAGTTGCTCTTTGATTTTATGTTGGGCTTGCATGTTATTTACTACACCTACCCTGAACTTGTATTTTTCCCTATATTTAAAGTTTACTCTTAGCCATCTACCTTCTTTCCTACAGTACAACCTTTAGAAACAGGTGCATACTCTCTTTTAATATGCATTACAGTGTATTTTCCTCAAACATTTACAACGTAATGGGTGAATTGTATAGATTTTTTTTTTTTACGGAGTCTCGCTCTGTTGTCAGGCTAGAGTGCAGTGGTGCGATTTCGGCTCACTGCAACCTCTGCCTCCCACGTTCAAGTGATTCTCCTGCCTCAGCTTTCCGAGTAGCTGGGAATACAGGCATGCACCACCACATCTGGGTAATTTTTGTATTTTTAGTAGAGACAGGGTTTCACCATGTTGATCAGGCTGGTCTCAATCTCCTGACCTCATGATCCACCTGCCTCGGCTTCCCAAAGTGCTGGGATGACAGGCATGAGCCACCGCGCCCAGCCCCGCACAAATGTGTTCTTAATGGGACAAATCAATGCTTCTCAAACTCAGCTCTATTGGGATTTTATGCTGAATAACTTTCTTTTGTGGAGCACTTTTCTATGCATTGTTGGATATTTGCAGTATCTCCTTGCCTTCACACACTATATGCCTGTAGGATCCACCTGCTGAGTTGTGACAACCACAAATGTCTGTAGACATTGTCAAATCTCCCTGGGGAGACTGCAAAATTATCTCCAATTGAAAACCATTGGCATAAAATGATTATTATTGATCTTTGTGTTCCTATCACCTAGAAAATTGCCTAGTGTGATAGTTGTTTATTGAGTACTGAGTAAATAATTTCGAAAAGACTGCTGGAAATTAGAGGAAAACATTGGGTACTGATAATATAGAACGCAGTGAATTCCCATACATATTGAACTCATGGTAATGGCTTCCTTAGGAAACAAAAGTAAATGTTTGATCTAGTCAGACTTGGTTGACTTGGTTAAAACCCAGTGACTATTACTGGGTTAGGTACGATAACAATTTTCACATTATCAACAATAGAGGTAAATCTCTGTTATGGACACTGCAAAAAAAAAAAAGTTAAAACTCATGGAAAAATAAAGCACATTCAGGGTGTTGTTCAGGATCTTAAAACAAAAAGAAAGACATGAAATCTTCACCCATGCCTATGTCCTGAATGGTATTGCCTAGGTTTTCTCCTGGGGTTTTTATGGTTTTAGGTCTAACATTTAAGTCTTTAATCCATCTTGAATTAATTTTTGTATAAGGTGTAAGGAAGGGATCCAGTTTGAGCTTTCTACATATGGCTAGCCAGTTTTCCCAGCACCATTTATTAAATAGGGAATCATTTCCCCATTTCTTGCTTTTGTCAGGTTTGTCAAAGATCAGGTGGTTGTAGATATGCGGCATTATTTTTGAGGGCTCTGTTCTGTTCCATTGGTCTGTATCTCTGTTTTGGTACCAGTACCATGCTGCTTTGGTTACTGTAGTCTTGTAGTATAGTTTGAAGTCAGGTAGCTTCAGGTCTAAAACACCAAAAGCAATGTCAACAAAAGACAAAATTGACAAATGGGATCTAATTAAACTCAAGAGCTTCTGCACAGCAAAAGAAACTACCATCAGAGTGAACAGGCAACCTACAGAATGGGAGAAAATTTTTGCAATCTAGTCATCTGACAAAGGGCTAATATCCAGAATCTACAATGAATTCAAACAAATTTAGAAGAAAAAAACAAACAACCCCATCAACAAGTGGGCGAAGGATATGAAAAGACACTTCTCAAAAGAAGACATTTTTGCAGCCAAAAGACACATGAAAAAATGCTCATCATCACTGGCCATCAGAGAAATGCAAATCAAAACCACAGTGAGATACCATGTCACACCAGTTAGAATGGCAATCATTAAAAAGTCAGGAAACAACAGGTGCTGGAGAGGATGTGGAGAAATAGGAACACTTTTACACTGTTGGTGGGACTGTAAACTAGTTCAACCATTGTGGAAGTCAGTGTGGCGATTCCTCAGGGATCTAGAACTAGAAATACCATTTGACCCAGCCATCCCATTACTGGGTATATACCCAAAGGATTATAAATCATGCTGCTATAAAGACACATGCACACGTATGTTTATTGTGGCACTATTCACAATAGCAAAGACTTGGAACCAAGCCAAATGTCCAACAATGATAGACTGGATTAAGAAAATGTGGCACATGTACACCATGGAATACTATGCAGCCATAAAAAATGATGAGTTCATGTCCTTTGTAGGGACATGGATGAAGCTGGAAACCATCATTCTCAGCAAACTATCGCAAGGACAAAAAACCAAACACCGCATGTTCTCACTCATAGGTGGGAATTGAACAATGAGAACACATGGACACAGGAAGGGGAACATCACACACCAGGGCCTGTTGTGGGGTAGGGGGAGGGGGGAGGGATAGCATTAGGAGATATACCTAATGTTAAATGACAAGTTAATGGATGCAGCAAACCAACATGGCACATGTATACACATGTAACTAACCTGCACGTTGTGCACATGTACCCTAAAACTTAAAGCATAATAAAAAAAAGAAAGAAAATGGAACACAAATTCTTAGATCCTAGAAGCATCTTGTAAATTTTATAGATTCTAGAATCTTCTATTATTTTGTAGATTAATAAAAGGAAAATTAGAGGAAGAAAATGACTAGCTCAAAGTCATAGACTATTCACAGTACCAAGGCCTCCTGGAACTTATTATTTTCTAACAAGTGGTACAATCCATTTATAACCCAGGTATATTTACTTGGTAGTAGTGAAAGGCAAGAGAGCATTAGCTTACTTATATTTTGGATCAGATTTTTTTTTGAAGTAGAGAAAATTTGACTTATTTCAATCTGAAATAACTGGGGAATTGGGGGAGGAAATGGGGTGGGTGGGGAAAAATGTTTCTAGGATACAAATCAACCTGAATAAGCCTCTACAAAAATTGTCTGTTTTCTGTGACTCTAAAGTTAACTCTAAGATTGGAAAGTAGCCTTGAAAACATGCCATTTATTATTACAATGCTAATTTCACACAGAAATGTGCAAAGCCAGACAGACAAAGGAGGTTATCTCCCACGAAAAACCTGTTTGATATAATCGTAGAGGATAGGGAAAGTTATAGGGGAGAACAATGTGTCCACTATATGGAGGAAATATGAAACAAGGAGCAGAAATAAGGAAATTTTGTATTATACGGTAGTTATACTTTTGATTTTTGAAGAACTTTCATACTTTTGTCCTTAATAGCTGTACTAACATTTTTACCAACAGTGTATAAGAGTTGCTTTTTATTCACATTTTCACCAGTATCTGTTATTTTTTTGCATGTGTGTCTTTTTGATAATAGCCATTCTAACTGTGGTGAGGTGCTAATTCATTGTGATTTTTTATTTGCATTTCTCTGATGATTAGTGATGATGGGCATTTTATCATATACCTGTTGGCTATTTGTATGTTTTCCTTCAGGATATGTTTATTTAGATCCAGAGTTGTTCCTTATTTTTAGTTAGATTATATGTGCTTATTTGCTATTGAGTTGTTTGAGTTGCTTATATATTCTGGATATTAACATCTTCTCAGAGACACAGTTTGTGAATATTTTCTCTTTTTTTGTAAGTTTTCTTTACAATTTGTTGTTTCCTTTGCCATACAGAAGCTTCTTCATTTGATGTAATCCCATTTGTCTATTTTTGCTTTTGTTGCCTGTGTTTTGAAGCCTTATCCAAAAAATTCTTGCCTACACCAATGTCCTGAAATGTTTCCATGTTTTCTTCTACTACTTTCAAAGTCTCAGACCTTAAATTTAAGTCCTTAATCTATTTTGAGTTGATTTTTGTGTGTGGTGAGAGATAAGAGTCTAGTTTTGCTCTGCACATGGATATCCAGTTTTTCCAGCACCATCTATTGAAGAGATTGTTCTTTCTCCAACATATGTTCTTGATGCCTTTGTCAAAAATTCAATTGGCTGTACATGTGTGGATTTCTGCATTCTCTATTTTGTTCCATTGATTGATATGGATAGTTTTAAGTGAGTACCGTGCTGTTTTGGTTACTATAGCTTTGTAGTATATTTTGAAGTCAGGTAATATGATGCATTAAGCTTTTGCTCAGCATTGCTTTGGCTGTTTGGGTTCTTTCTGGTTCCATAAAAATTATAGAATTGGTGTTTCTATTTCTGTGAAAAATGTCATTATTATTTTGATAGTGATTACATTGAATCTATAGACCATTTGGGGTAATATAGACATTTATATTAAATTAATTTTTGAAATTCAAAAACACAGGATATCTTTCCATTTACTTGTGTCTGCTTCAATTTTTTTCATCAATGTTTTATCCAAAGTAAATAAAATCAGTATGTCAAAGAGATATCTGCATTCCCATTTTTATTGCAGTAATATTTGCAATAGTAAAGGTATGGAGTCAACCTAAGTGTTTATCAACAGATTAATAGATTTTTGTTTATTTATTTTTGACACGAAGTCTCACTCTGTTGCCCAGGCTGGAGTGCAGTGGTGTGATCTTGGCTCACTGCAACCTCTGCCTCCTGGGTTCAAGTGATTCTCCTGCTTCAGCCACCTGAGTGGCTGGGACTACAGGTGCATGCCACCACGCCCGGCCAATTTTTTTTTTTTTTTTGCATTTTTAGTAGAGACAGGGTTTCACTGTGTTAGCCAGGATGGTCTCGATCTCCTGACCTTGTGATCCACCCACCTCGGCCTCCCAAAATGCTGGGATTACAGGCGTGAGCCACTGCACCCAGCCAGATGAATAGATTTTAAATGTGGAATATATAAACAATGGAATACTCTTCAATCATGAAAAGAATGGAATTCTTTCATTTGTGACAACATGGATTAATCTACAGGACATTACGTTAACTGAAATAAACCAAGTATAGAAGGACAAATACCACATGAGTCCACTCATATGTGGAATCTAAAAATGTTGATTTTAAAGAAGTAGAGAATAAAATTGTGGTTTCCAGAGGCTACAGATGGTAGGGGGAGGGGGAAATGGGGAGAGGTAAGTCAACAGGGACAAAGTTACAGTTAGATAGGAGAAATAGGTTGTAGTGTTCTCTTGTGCAGTAAGGTGACTATAGTTAACAACAATACATATTTCAAAATAGCTACAGGAGAATTTTTAATCTTCTCACCACAAAAACATGATAAATATTTGAGGTGATGTATATGCTAATTACCCTTATTTAGTCATTACACAATGTATACAGGTATAAAAATATCATACTGTACCCCATGAACATGTCCAATTATGTCAATTATAAACAAAATAAATCATTAAAAAGTGGGAATTTTCAGAAACAAATTTCAAGTTAAAATTCTTGATAGAAGTCGAGCATGAAAGGTAAAGGATAAAGCTAAAAAGATTATTTTAACAGAAGGCATTTTCTTATATACTCAATATCCCTTGCTAATAAGTGCTTCTCTGAGCACAAGTGCTTTTGATTAAAAGGAAGAAATAGGAGACTATTTTAAAATCTCAAACATATGCCCATCCAGCTGTGCAGCTGTTCAGGGGATCTTCCAGCCATGCCAATTTATTCTCAGTTGGCAATTAAAAAGTGGCAATTATTAAGAAAATTAAGTAAAGAAGTCAAATAAACAAAATAATACAATTTGGATTCCATAAGAACTCTCAGTTTAATGCTCTAGTATTGAACAGAAAATATTTTCACCATCAAGACAAGAAGAACCATCAACTACTATCTTTACTATTTTTTGTGTGTTGTGTGTGCGTGTGTGTGAGCAGACAACCCAAATAAGTAAGTGGGTTACTTACTTATCAAGTACACAAAGAAAATCAAGTATACAAAGAAAAGAAACAGATACAGAGTAAAAAACTAAGGTTTTAGGCAAGGGGTCAGTTACTAGAAAGGGTGGGCCTGTCAATTGCATTTTTAGATTTTTCATTCCTACTGTTTAGAAATACAATTAATTTGGTATATTGACCTCATATCCAGGAATCTCACTGAGCTCATTTATTCATATCAATAGCTTTTTCAGGTATTCCTTGGGATTTTTAATATATAAGATCATTTCAACTGCAAATATATTTTTTTCTTACTTTCTAATCTACATGATTTTATTTCTTTGATTTGCCTACTTGCCTTTGATAGAACCTCCAATAAAACACTGAAGTGGCAAAAGCAGATATCCTTTTCTTGTTCTCAAATTTAGAAGAAATGCATTCAACCTTTCACCATTAAACATGATGTTAGGTATAGATTTTTTATAGGTGTCTCTTGGCTTCTTATTTCATAATAGACTGATCTACTCATTTAAAAATGAGTATTATAACAGTACTTACCTCAAATAACTAAGAAATACATACTACATATATAGCAACTCTCAGAGTGTCTGGAAAACATTAAGAGCTAAATAAATGGTACAAATGTTTAATTATTATAACTCACACTAATAACATGAGCTCATTTCCTCTAATACACCAAAACTAGCAATAAAATTTATTGATACGCCCTTTATTCCTTTGATATCCTTGTCTCTTTTCTTATAAAATTAAACTCCATAGTTAATTATTTTAATCATTCTTTTTATTTATACTTCAGCTTCTACTCTTTGCCTTTCCTAAACAAAATTGGCCAAACCAAATGCAATTACCTGTTTATTGCCCATCAGTACAGTGCAGCTGAATGTGACTAGAGGAAAATACACAATCTATAGACTGATCTCCCTTTAAATTCAAGAACACAAACCTAAAATGAGCTCTTAATGATGTCATATAATGACAGCTCTCCTTTCTTCTAGATAGCTACTTTATACATTTTTCCTCCTCAAATTCCAATATCTCTTCCATCTTTACTTTTAGTTGATCTTTCATTCTGTTTTACCAAGAAAATTGAAATGATCAGAAGAGAAATATATTTTAATGTAAAACAATTAAAAATAACATTAGCTTGACAAGTGATTATGGAGTTTATTTGAAAGAGTGAACGAGAAAGAATGACATAAAAATCTGTAATAAAGAATAATGAGAGCGGGCCAACCCTAATAAACCTTTAAACAGACTGAAAATTTCTTTTAAAATCAAGTGACTTTGGTGCTTCAATAGACGAATTAATGAAATAGAATTTTTCAACTTCCCCAATTGGCTCAAGCTCACATGGAAATTCAATAAATGATGAAGACAAAATCTTCACTCTTTAGAGAAAAGAGGGACATTTTAATAAGTGATATTTTAAAAAGCCAGATAGTTATATGGAATAATATAAAACTGAATATAGTATTCATATGATGCACTAATATAAATTCCAAATGTATCAGAGATCCATAAGTAAAAATAAAAATATATAAGTATTAGAAGAAAACATGTGTCAAATTCTTTATCATAGGAAGGTGTAGAGTAATCTTTCAAATGATGACCCCAAATCCAGAAATAATAAATGAAGATAATGAAACATTGTTCTATATACAGTTTTTTAAAAGCTTGCATGGTAAAAATACTATACACAATTATAAAATACAAACAAAAGGCTTACTGATAATTTTGGCCTTAGAGACAAAAAGCTAAAATTTGTATATATAAAGATCTCCTCCAAATTGATATTATCAACATCCTGACAGAAAAATTGGCAAAAGAAGTGAATAGACAGATAATAGAAAAAATAAAATGGCCCTAAAACTTGTGAAAAAAATTCTTAAGCAGCATTTCTACTATGAGAAAGGCAAATAAAAATTACATTGATTACAATTTATTAGCATCTATCAGAATACCAAAAATACTAATGTTTGACAACATATTTTATTAGAGACATACACTCTTGTATATTGCTATTAGGAATGCAAAATGGTAGAAACCCTTATGGGGAAAATTTGGCAGTAGCTAGCAAAACGTATCTGCATTCATCATTTGAGCCAACAAATCCACTTCTAGAAACCCTTCCCAAAGTTACTCAAGCAGAAAACACTAAATGACATATGAACAAGCACGTTGATTACAACATTATTTTTAATGGCAAAGGCATGGAAATAATCCGTATGTTCCCAAATAAGGGTAAGGTCGAGTAAATTATAATAAATTCACACAATGAAATATCCTAAATCTGTAAAAAGGCAAATGAGGAAGGCCTCCACATTATGTTATAGAATGATACTTAGGTTGTAATATGTGAAAAATGCGAGTGGCAAAACATTGTTTTTTAAAATGAAAATAATGGCGCGATTAGACCATAACTAACACATGATTTTTATGGTAGAGAGAAAACATAAAGTGAATATACCTTCTTTATAATTTTGCCTTTGGGACCCTCTAAATGTTTTACATAATTGTAATAAAAAATTAGAGAGAGGAAAATCCAAACGTTAAGAATTGAAAACAAAGTGAAACAAATTATTACAACTGTATATTAAGATACTTATAACCATCAATAGAATAATTGTTTAAAGTAATTTAAAACAGGCTATTTTTTTTTTCTGTATATTACGGTGGCATATAGCCTAAGAATGGCAAGGAAATCTTAAGGTACATTTTGTAATCCTGTTGTTAATATAAATATCAGTGTTGTTACTTTGGATCTATCATTAATATATTGTATAACAAGTCACAAAATTAGTTATGTTAGGTAAATATTTTTAGTGTAAGAGCAAAAAGATAAAAATATAAAATCAAAGAAGAGAAGCAAAGTTCCGTACTATTAAGAGGAGATGGAAGAATCCACAATTTATATTTTATTTTTGTAAACTTATGAAACATTCTACCAGTGTTGACTGAGATATCCTACAAGCAATGAAAACCCAATAATAATTAGCATTCTTTTTGCCCAGAATGTGATTTCTACATACCATTTCTCGCTAAAGGGACCAAGAAGTCCTTTCCATGGTCTTTTCTATGTCTGAAGCAGGAAAATCACATCATGAATATGGGTGATATCATTGTGCCAGGAGGCAAGGAAACTATCAAATAGATTATTTCACAAGGTATACATGTATCAAAATATCACATTTTATTCCATAAATATATACAATTATTTGTTATTTAAAAGAGAACAAAACTTAAAAATAGTAATGAGATTAATCCAAAAGAACACAGAAGCCAATTTAAAAGGACTCTGTCTTTGCCTAAATATCAGACAATTGGAACATGAAAAAATAATGTCTAAAATGTGTTAAAGCACATGAACTTTACTTTAAATTCTGAGAGTTTATAATGATTCTTCAAAGAGAAATCTGATAATCATTAGTAGCTGCTAAGCACCAAATCATTACTTTAAAAATTTGATAAAGAAAAATAATTAAGCATTTATCCTGCCTTTACTATGTGCAAGGTAATTAAATAATTAATGATAGAAAGTTATTTCATATGGAACGATTCCAGCTAATAAATACAGAGAGAATATTAGAATTGGAAAATATCAATTTTGCTATCTTAAATGAAATAATGAATGCAAGCAATGAATATTATTGAGTGTTAATCTATTGGGTGAAAGGTTAGTATTTATAATGAGAGGAGAAGATTGACACCACTTAATCTCATTAACAATTTTAGAATAGATCGAAATGGAACAGTAAGTCATGATGGTTTAATTCGGTGAAAAGTACACAACAAAACCTATTAAGAATTCTTGCCAAACGAACAGAATAGAATGTGAATCAATCTATCATCCAGATTCAACTATTAGTGTAAAGAAAACATATAAGCAAGAGGAACATATTGAACGGTATCACAAGAATGGAAATGAATACAGAATACAGAAAATTTTAGAGCATGAATGGCCTGGATTCTTCAACAAAGAAGAGGTATTAAAAAAAGATGCTATACATTAAAATAGATTAAAGAAATATATTAACTAAATGCAACCTGTGGACCTTGTTTGATCACTATTTATACAGTTAAATGTAAATAGACAGTTTTGAGACAATTGGTGAAATTTGAACATGGAATGAGATTTGGATGATATTATGGAATTATTTTAAAATTTCTTACGAAATTGAGATGATAGTTATGTTCAAAGAAAAAGTCCCATTAGTAATTATATATTAGAATAACTACTGAAGAATTTATGAGTAAAATTATATGATGTCTGGTTTTTAAATTACGGTAGTCTAGCAAAAAAGTGTGTTTTTTTTATGTAACAAGATTGGCAAGATGATGTAATCTTTTTCTCTTTTTTTATATATTTGAAAGTTTCTATAACAAAATGTTTTAAAAAACAAACTTCCACAGGCTCCCATTACCAGATCTATCCACCAAATTAGCCTCTATACCCTTATATTCCCTAATTATATAGATGAACTATCCATGTGCCTGTTTATATCCAAAACCTCCCTGTATGCACTAGATTTTCTTTCATGCCTACTGAAGAATAATGCTACAACAATTCTGCCCTTGTTCCTTCATTATACATGGTTTGCTTCCTACTGCATTCACATTAACATATAAGCATACCCTTAGTCCTACAATCTTAACAACAAACAAAAAGCTATTCTTGGCTCATTTTTTAGTTATTGCCTTGTTTTTTGCTTCCCACCTGCAGCAACATTTCTTGAAACTGTAGGCTATCCATAGCGCCCCAAATTACTCTTCTCTCATTCTCCCTTAAGTCCACTGCCATTAAGCTTTCAGAAAAGTTCATGGAATATGTGAAATATGAAAAACTATGAACATATTTCAAATTTTTGCAGCAAAATAAATTTTTACTAACTTGTTATAACATGTCTAAACAGGATCTAGTTTGAGGCACTAAGAAGGAAAAGATATCCGTTTAAAAAGAGTTCCTATCAGAGCAACATGGATTCTGCTAATATAGAAGCAAGAAAAAACATGAAATTTATGGTGAAGCTTGGAAGGAATAATCGTGAAATCAATGACGCTTTATGCAAAGTTTATGGGAACAACTTCGTAAAGAAATCAGCAATTTACAAATGAATAACTCATTTTAAGAAGGGAAGAGACAATGTTTAAGATGAAGCCCACAGCAGCTGACCATCCATACCAATTTTTGAGGACAAAAATAATCTTCATGCCCTAATTTAAGAGGACTGACAACTAACAGCAGAAACAATAGACAATACCACAGACCTCTCAGTTGGTTCAGCATACGCAATTCTAATAAATTAAAATTGAGCAGACTTTCCACCTCATGGGTATGTATCTAAGCCATTGGAACTTGGTCATCTACAGACAAGAGCAGAGCTTTCAATAGAAATTTTAAACAAATGAGAATAAAAGCCTGAAGGAGTTCTTTGAAAAACTGTAACAGGAGATAAAATAAAGATTTACCAGTAGGATCCTGAAGACAAAGTACATCAAATCAATGGCTACCAAGAGGTGGAAGTGGTCCAGTCAAAGAAAAAGCAGATGAGTCAGAAGCAAAAGCAATGGCAACAATTTTCTTGAAATGCTCAAGGCCAAAGAATAATAATATGTGCTCATTATGAGAGTGTTTTGAGAAAGCTAACCAATGCTTTAGCAAAAAATACCCAGAAAAATGTCTTGAAATTGATAGATCTTAAGGTGAGAAATAAAAGTCATTTTTAATTTATATTTTATAATAACATTTTTCATGAACTTTTAAGTCCCCTCATGTAGATATTATTTCTATTTTACATGTGAGAAAAATGATTTATCAAAGAGCTTGCACAAGAGTTTTTTTAATTTAGAAAATATTATATTTATATTTGAATTAGGATAACTTTTATGTTCTCAAAATTCAGCCCAGTTAAAACAACAGAATATAGGGGCAGGGCACAGTGGCTCACGCCTGCAATCCCAGCACTTTGGGAGGCTGAGGCAGGCAGATCACAAGGTCAGGAGATCGAGACCATCCTGGCTAACAAGGTGAAACCCTGTCTCTACTAAAAATATAAAAAAAATTAGCCGGGCATGGTGGCAGGTGCCTGTAGTCCCAGCTACTCAGGAGGCTGAGGCAGGAGAATGGCATGAACCTGGGAGGCGGAGGTTGCAGTGAGCCAAGATAGTGCCACTGCACTCCAGCCTGGGAGACAGAGTGAGACTCTGCCTCAAAAAAAAAAAAACAATTATATTGTAAGAAAATTTCAAAGAAGTTAATTTTTTTCCACCATTTCTACTTTGCATTATTACTTACACTTGATATATTACTTTTTTTTTTTTTATCACCTGACTCTTCCTCACTACCTCCAACCTCATGCTCATGGTTTGTTTAATTCATTCATTTCATAGTGGTCTTAAGAGGTTTTTCATGTATTTTGACTAGATGCTAAGTCTGGATATGGAAGGAGATCTTAAATTTCCCATTTCTCCTTCTATCTTAAAATATGTTTGGAGAGAAATAGTGAAACAAGATAAAATAAAATAAGAGAACAGAAAGCCAATTTGCTTCATGCTTAAACTCCCTAAGTAGGAAAAAAATCACATGAATAATAGCAACGTTAATAATTCACCTGTAGAAAATTGAAGAGGCTGTGTGTAAACAGGTGTAATTATAAGCAATAGTTCCATCTATGGATAACCCTCTTAATGGAGGCTCCTTGAGCTGAAATCCACAGACCATCGCAACAGGCCCAGGGGTAGATTTTAGGTGTTCCATATTATTATCTTTCTTGTAAATGTAGGCAACAAGCCACAGTATTGTTGGTAGATCCTGTGATTTTTGTCACCAATAAAAATATTCTATTTTTTTAATACCATTGATATAGAAATTTTCTCTTGGCATCTTTGCCGGACTTGCAGCAGGGGCACCCCATCTATCGACCTGCTGCGCTCAGCCACTTGCAGGAGGGAATACATGAGTGAATGAGTGTGGGATCTGGCCCGCCACTCTGAGAGCCAACACAGATTTTCTTTCTAGGGCTTCAACCTGAAGCTTAGAATTGAGTTTAGAACAAAAAGGTGCCTCAGGGAGTGCAGGGATTGATTTAAATTAAGTCGCAGGTGGCCCTGGCTAAATTTGCAGCCAGCAGCCAGCAGGGCTGCTCCTTTGCTTCCTCCTTGTCATAAGCCAAATGCCAAAGTGAAGCTGTGGATCTGGGTCCTC
The DNA here is from genome assembly GCF_000001405.40 of Homo sapiens. Taxonomy (NCBI): domain Eukaryota; kingdom Metazoa; phylum Chordata; class Mammalia; order Primates; family Hominidae; genus Homo; species Homo sapiens. Next base: position 127,172,078 of record NC_000023.11, read on the forward strand.
CTCAAACAAGAGAGAGAAAAGGGAGAATTGGAGAGCTGACCTAGTAAGATGCTTTCCAAAAGGAAAAAAAAAAAAAAAAAAAACAACTTCTCTCATAGAAAATCTCCTTGTATTCACATGTGTGTGTTAACTCCTGACATGATGGAGAAAAGAAAAAAAAAAGCACAGATGATAAATGTGGGGGTGGGGGTGTGATGGTTAATATTGAGTGTCAGCTTTCTTGAATTGAAGGATGCAAAGTATTATTCCTGGGTGTGTGTGTCTGTGAGGGTGTTGCCAAAAGAGATTAACATTTGAGTCACTAGACTGGGAGAGGCAGACCCACTCTCAATCTGGATGGGCACCATCTAATCAGCTGCTAGCATAAAAGCAGGCATGGAAAGAGCAGACTGGTTGAGTCTTCTGGCCTCCATATTTCTCCCAAGCTGGATGCTTCCTGCCCTCAAACATCAGACTCTAATTTCTTCAGCTTCTGGACTCTTAGACTTCTACTAGTGATTTGCCAGGGGCTCTCAGGCCTTCAGCTACAGACTAAAGGCTGTACTGTCAGCTTCCCTACTTTGAGGTTTTGAGACTCGGACGGCTTCCTGGTTCCTCAGCTTGCAGATGGCCTATTGTGAGACTTCACCTTATGAACATGTGAGTCAATTCTCCTAATAAACTCCCCTTCATGTATTTATCTATCCTATTAGTTCTTTCCCTTTAGGGAACCCTGTCTAATACAGATTTTGGTACCAGGAGTGGTTCTAGAGGAACGGGATTTTAAAGATGAATTTCTTTAGTTGGTTTTGGGGTTTCTGGAGTTGGCTGCTTAATATGATTAGACCCAGAAATATTAAGGACTCTACTTCTAATAGTAGAGAGAACAGTGGTAGTCCTTGGCATGAACTGTTTAGAGATTTATGCAAAATAAATGCATTTGATACTCCTAATTCACTGCTTGTGAGAGGCAAGGAGTTTAAGGACTCTATACATAATACTTTTGACCAAACGTAGAGAAGCAAGGAATATAATGGAGTCAGTCGGTTGCTCCTATGTTTGCTGGACAAAGTGATGAATGAAAACGATGAACACAGGGATTCTAACTCCCAGATCCAAAAGCACATACTGAGCCTCAAATCTTCTAAGATTGCCCTGAGTGATAGTCTTATCTCCTGTAAAGAAAGAGCTCAAATTGTGGAAAATCAGACACAAGCTTTTATCACGCAAGTGGTTGACCTGCAATGAAATTTGCCTGGGGGAAAAAGCCTCTTGCTTTATGTAAATGGGTTCCTTCAACAGGAGAAAAACCCTTAATCACTGTAGCTTCCTTGCCAGCTAGAAACCGTATTTTTTATTTTTTATTTTATTTATTTATTTTTTTGAGACGGAGAGTTCTGCTCTTGTTGCCCAGGCTGAAGTGCAATGGCACCATCTCGGCTCACCGCAACCTCTGCCTCCCGGGTTCAATCGATTCTCCTGCCTCAGCCTCCAGAGTAGCTAGGATTATAGGCATGCGTCACCACGCCCCGCTAATTTTGTATTTTTAGTAGAGACAGGGTTTCTCCATGTTAGTCAGGCTGGTCTTGAACTCCCAACCTCAGGTTATCTGCCCTTCTCGGACGCCCAAAGTGCTAGGATTACAGGCGTGAGCCACGGCGCCTGGCCTATTGTTTTGAATTGCATATCCGATGGCTGGGCTGAATGCTCATTCTACCTAGTAATATCTCTGCAGTTTGCAGCAACACCCTTACCATTATAAAAGAGATACTAGCCATTTCATACCATGAAAGAAGAAAGGAAAAATGCCAGAAAATTTTGGGGGTCTTGGCTGATGCCCTAACTGGTGGTTGGGGACGGAATCAGTCTAGGGGCTTGCTTTTCAGCAACACGAAGACATGGCCTCAGCCGGATGCCTTCAGTTGCCCCAAGACTTTATTCTAGTCCTACACCATGGCTAGACCTTCGTGATAGGAAACAAAGCCAACGTTTCTTTCCCCACAAAGAGAGAGAGAGAGGTGGCAGGGTTGCATCCTGTCCTCTGTAGCTGCGCCATTCACTTTCAACAGACTAGTCAATGGTTCAGTGCTTCGTCTGCATTCAGAAGAAAGTCTGAGGAGAAGCAGCCTCGGAAAAAAGTGAAGACTCTAGGTCCACATTTACTCACAATTCAGGTATCCCAGATAAGTCCCCAAAATGATGCATAATTTTTCTCTCGGCCCCTTTTCCGGACTCATAGCAGGGTCGCCCTGTCTACTTAGCCTGCCGCCATCAGCCCCTTGCAAGGCTGGAGCACGTGAGCCAGCCAGTGCAGGATCTGGTGGGGCCCGCAGCCAGACCAGGCATGTCACCTAGAAGGGAATGCGGTGGTGCCCAGGCAAGGATGCTCGCGACCCTGAAGCCCTAGAGAGGATGTTAGTGTGCTAATTAGCTCTTTTAATTCCACCATCCACATCCTGATAGATGGTGGTATGTTAACAGTTCAGTCGCCCCCGGCTCTGCTGCATGAGGCACCTGCCCTCCGCTGGTGGGGGCCAAAGGCCAGTGTGACAGCCTTTCTGGGTACCTGCACTCAGTGGGTCCCAAGCTCTTGTGCAGCATCCAAGAAGAACGAGCATATACTGACAATCAAAGAGGGAGCAAGGTGGGGAGTTTTATTGAGTGATGATATGGCTTTCTGCTGAGAGGAGATGCGGGGGCTGTCACCCTACTCGAAGGCAGGAATATCCCCCCAATTTGGGTGAGCCTGGGATTTTATGGGCTCAGAACAGGGAAGGGGCAGGCCATAGGTAGTATTGGAAAAGGCAACATTCGATTGGTTAAAAGGCATCATTCAGAAATAGTCAGGAAAGGGTGGGCTAAAAAGGAACAGAAGGTCTTACTCTGGGTCTTGGGTTTCATCTGGGGCCAGCAGTCTGGTCTTTCAGCTTTCAGGCTGATTTTGTCTTGAAGGTGGGGTGTCACCAGGGACTCATCTCTAGCTGCCTAGGCATTTGGCTGCCTCATGTCTCTACCAACATTTCAGTTTTAAAATATCATTTACACTCATTATTATTTTAAAATTGTGGTAGTTTTTAGACCTGTCATGAGATTGCTCACTATTTCTCCTTGCACAGTATTACAAAGGTTATAGCACAGCTATCTGCACTGGAAGAGATCAACATGGTTTGTGAACAGTGAAAAAAACTTAGAAGTAGTTTTTTACTCAAATGCTGTGATATGTTTTTGAAGGAGTTCATCAAGGAATGGGCATCCTCAACATTCACTTTCACTATGTAACTAGATAAAACAATAGACACCTCTCAATGTAACCAACAGCTTGTTTTTGTTCACAATGGGCATACTGACACCTTTAAAAAGAGAAATTGCATTTTTTGAGTGGTCCCTTTTGGATATTGCAAGGGCTGATGATGTTTAGAAACGGTAAAAAGTTATTTTGCCGAATAAATATTTGACTAAGAAAAAAAATCGTCATACTCTTTGCACAGATGGAGCTTCTACAATGACTGGCAATACATCTGCTTTTGCTACTTCAGTGAAAAAAAATCATCTTATGTCATTGTCACATGCTGCTTTTTACAGAGACATGCACTGGCAACAAAAGCTTTTGCAACAAACCTGAAAGGAGTTTTGTCAAGAGCCATAAATGTTATCAATAAAATCAGATGTAGATCTCTGAGTCACCTTATTTAAATTTTTAAAAAGTAATAATATATTCATCTCTACCATATGGAAATTCAATGGCTTTCAAGACAAGCCTTGCTGTTCTGGCTCAAATTACATGCAGAAATTTTACCTTTTTGGAAAAAAAATTACTCTTGGATCACTTTGGAAGAATGCATTTTATCTATTGGTTGATTTACCTGACAGGTATTTTTAACCAAATGAATGAGATAAATCATTAAAAATTCTGAAGTCACCATATGGACGCTTCTGAAAATTTTCAAGCTTTCTTGACTAAGCTGCCAAAAACGAAATGTAGAGTCAGAAGTACTTGTGAACTTCACATTCTGAGGGAAATATTTTAACATAATTGAAAGGTTTTATATAATGTTCCATCAATTTATTTGAAAAGAGAAGTTTACAAAGACTAGAAACACATCAGAACGTTTTCAAAAGGTATTTCTGCATTGATAGCACTATAGATGAATCATAGATTCGCAATCCTTTCTTCTGATATAAACTGTGTGAAAGATGTTGAACTAGCCAAAGAGGAACCCATTGATGTTAGAAAGAACTTTTTACAATTAGAATTTTACTCAAGAAGCCCTGGACAATCCTAATGTTCATTGTGACAAACCAGTCCTTGCATTCTAAAGGGATATATATATATATATATATATATATGAAAGCTTTAATTTCATGTTCAATAATATATCTTTGCAGATAGATATTTTCTGCTCTTGTAACCATCAAAATAAAAATTAAAATTAAAATCAATTAGATGTTCATCATAAAGTATGTGACTCCACATGTTAATGGTCTTATTCAAGCTAAGCAGCATCTACTATCACAGGAAAATGTTAAAAAATAATCTTAACTCACTTGTATTTAATATATATTATTTTGTTATTGATGCATTAATGTGTATATTACTATATAACTATAGTTTTTAATATTTTGTAAGTAATTCAATATAATTTTTCTTTGAAATCTTATCTATTTTTTAATCTATTACAAACACTAATCTGAGAATTCATATGCTTTACTTGACAGCTGTATCCAAACCTTTGAATGCAAGGACTTTTTTGCTTATCTGTGGTGGTGGATATCACAAAAATTATACGCGGACCTTTATTTTTTAGCTCACCAGTTATTGTTAGTGTTAGTGTATTTTATGTGTCGTCCAACACAATTCTTCTTGACATATGGCCCAGGGAAGCCAAAACATTGGACACGCATGCTTTAACAGATTGTTATGGCTCAGAAATGGTTAAGAATGCCCATCTCCTCTCCACCATTTTATATGTGTGTGTGTGTGTGTACATATATATATAAATATATGTATATACACATATATATGTATATATATACGTATATACACATATATATGTATATATACGTGTATATATATGTATATGTGTGTGTTTGTGTGTGTGTGCGTGTGTGTGTGTGTATATATATATATATGTATATGGTTTTCTGGCCTCCAATTGATAGGTTATATATTCACTTGATTTAATACAAAACCCGCTTACCAATATTCTGAACACTGAGCAAAAATGTAGATCACTCCCTATATTGACTACAATTTTTTCCATCCATACTTCAATGCATTTACAGAAAATAATGAAATACAGATGTATACTTAGATATTAAATATTTTCAAGTCACAATTTTCACCAGCATCAATTGGTAATAGGTATTGGCTAGAGTTCATAGGCATTCTTGTATTGTTAGTCTGTCCAGTACAGGGATTTAATACTTATTTTTTGTCTGCATACTGTTAATTTTTTTCCAAATGAATTCTGTGGCATGACCTTGAACAAAATCTTAATCTTATGTCCACAAGTTTATTCCAGTTGCTCTTGTTGCTCTTGAACTGCACCACAGTAACCTGCGAGTCGTCAAGTCCATTTGTCTGTAAATTGACTAAATTAAACATCTCAAATCCAATTTACCCGATCCTTCTACCATCAAGGGAGAAAATGATGCTGTCTGTCAGTTAAAATGAAATGGGCTTAAAATGACAACCAAAAGGAAATGAAAAGAACAAAAAAATGAAAAAAAACAATTCCTTAAGGAATTCAGTGGCATTACTCTCTATTGCTAAAGATAAGATATGCAGATTACAAAATAAAAAGAATAATTAAAAAGCCATATAAAATAGCTTCACTCTGAATGCATTATACCGTTTCTGATAAAGTGAAGGAAAAGTTAAAATAGGGAGGCTTCATTCTCTCAACTGCAGTCATGCCTATGATAAAATCTAAGAATCCTATGTATGACTCTCTTTTGTCTTTCCCGTGAAGCTTTTAATTGACCATTATGTTTCTGACAATATACCTTTTCTCTTTTCAATCCATTTGTTCAATTTAAACTCTACTTGACTCCATTGTTACCCTTAGCCACTATTCCCAGAGCAGTTCTTAAAGCGTAGTTCCTGGAATGAAAACAGCAGCATCACTTAAGAACTATTTAGTAATACAAACTCTTGGGCCTCACCCCAGACTTACTTGTTCAATAACTCTGGGGGACAGAGCTTATCCACCTCTGTTTTAGGAATATCTGTTTTAATTCGATAATTCTTATGCATGCTAAAGTGGAAGAACCACTGGTAGGAAAATGAAATCCAGCTTTAATTTTGAGTTGTATTCCAACAATTTACCATCTGTGTATGTGACCTTTTGCAGATTTCAAAACCTCTCCGGGTTTCAGGTTCACCATTTGTAAACTGGATATTTTAAATACCTATTGTCTGAGAGCCATGAAGGTTAATAAACTACTTCCTCACTTCTTCGAGTCCCAGTTTTCTCAGATAGATGTATAATCAAGATAATATTACATACCTCCAAGAGCTGTAAACATTAGTAAGTACTAATACTAATAACATAGCTTCTAGCACTGTGTGGAACATATTTAACAGAAGATGAATGTTAATTTAATGCACTTGCACATAGCAGTTATTGGACACAAATCAATAAATTTCAACTGACTTTTTTCTGAAGTATCAGTTGACATAAATATCAAATTCTGATGTAGATTTTCCTGGGCTGCCCATTTTGTTTCTTTTTAAAATTCAGCCAATATCTACTTGTTGTAGAAGTATATTTTGCTTTCTTTAGAGTAACAACTGAAAAATATTCTACTTATTTGAATTTTAAGTATATATGATAGCCGGGCGCGGTGGCTCACGCCTGTAATCCCAGCACTTTGAGAGGCCGAGGCGGGTGGATCACGAGGTCAGGAGATCGAGACCATCCTGGCTAACACGGTGAAACCCCGTCTCTACTAAAAAATACAAAATATTAGCCGGGCGTGGTAGCGGACGCCTGCAGTCCCAGCTACTCGGGAGGCTGAGACAGGAGAATGGCATGAACCCGGGAGGCGGAGCTTGCAGTGAGCCGAGATCGCGCCACTGCACTCCAGCCTGGGCGACAGAGCGAGACTCCGTCTCAAAAAAAAAAAAAAAAAAAAAAAAAAAATATATATATATATATATATATATGATAGGGTGGCTATAGTAAAAAATAATTTAATTGTACATTTTAAAATAACTTGAAAGTGTAACTGGCCTGTTGGTAACTTAAAGGATAAATCATTGAGGGGATGGATATCTCATTCTCCATGACATGTTTATTTCACATTACATGCCTGTATCAAAATATCTCATGGACCTCATAAATATATACACGTACTATGTACCACAAAAATTAAAAATCAAAAAATATTTGTGATTACTTTTGAGAAAACACATTTAGAGTTGCAATTTAGAATCTCCTTAAAATGACCTATCATTTTCAATTGTTACTGCTGTGTGTTCACGGCACAATCACTGATTATGTTGAACTATTTAGAAACATTGTTATGTAATTGTAGCCTATAATTTCTCAGAAATGTTTTGTAATTTTTCATTAATGAACACCTTCTACATAGAGCTCAAGGTAATTCATACATTATATTTTCTTTATAGACTTTCTTTTCCCCCATGAGCATCATAGAACATAAAGGTAATTCAGATTTTTTTTTCCAAAAATTGTGTATAGGCCTCTATAACAACAGTTTTTTCTTCTTAATGTCAAATAATTCCCAATTTCTTTAAAAAGTTCCTTCTCAAGTTATTCATCCATAATGTTTTCCAATGTCTTGCTTAGGGGTTTGATAAAGATTTGAATAATATGACATTTTATGAAAATAACTGGGTAGCTTTCAGATTAATGTAATAAAACATGAAAACATATAAACTGTATGTTTCTCAAGAGACACGGTGAAAAGAGCACTGGTCATAGAATCAAGAAGCACATGAGCCCTGACAGCAAATGTATTTGTAACCTTGGGAAAGTTTTTTAACCAATATTAAAACTTCTTACCTGTTAAATTGGTTGATGTGAAGATAAGATCATGTAATGTGAATATAAAGTCTGTATGAATGCATCAATTTGTTTCAGATGTTATTTGTCTTACATTAAATTATGCTTACAGAACTCTAACAAATGTACTCATGCTTTTCTGAAAGTATATATATATATATATATATATATCTCTCCAAATTTGCATCAAAATTCCTTGTTAAAAGAGATCCTAAATAGAAAGGCTAAGACACTTTTGTTTTTATTTGATACTACAAAATTAAGGCCAAAACTAGAGAAAACAGAAGCGTATGCAATTTATGACATGATAAATTATGATGTATTAAATCTAACAATTTACAATAGCTTCAATTTTTTCATTATTGATTTGACTATGTGATAGTACATGCATAGAGCAATATATATACTTTTGCGTACTTGTGGATGCATCAATATGTTTAAAGCATTTCACAATTTTTCATAGTTATCATCCAATAAGGATATTCAAATTATCTGCAACATTATAATTCTACTTGAACTCATTAAGTTCAGGGAAAGACAAGATGAGAAACAAAAAAAATTAGTACTAAGCTTGAATGTACTTCCCACAGAAGGCAAAAAAGGAAGAATTCAGCACAACAAACATAGATCTTCTGAAAATAATAGGGATGTACTTAATAAAAAATGAGATGACCTATATAAGATACAACTTCCAGATATGCATAAAGATTTGTTTATATAGGGAAACTAAACTTATACTTGGCTGGGAAGAGTCAATAGTTTCAAACTATCTATCCCTAAATTAATAATAAAATTTAACCAATTTGGTAGTCCATATTTACAAATAAAGCTTAAAAATGATAGTAATATCTTCTTCATAGGTGATATGTGGAATCAATACAACGTGCTGTAGAATAATCATGTAGGAACTCAGCCATTTTTGAGAAATATCCATAGATATTTGTGCCTGATATATGATATGTGAGGAGCCATTTAGGTAAAAGGATGCTCATTATAGTAATCATGTAGTGAAAAATTAGAGCTATCAGAAATGTTCAATGATAAGAGGTTGGTTAGATACCTTGGGTTACACTGATATAAGCATTATATATCTTTTAAAATATTATGCCATAGAATACAATTTTGACATAGTAATGCTGCCATATTAGTACTGACAACTCATATTTTTCCAGAGCTTTTTCACATACCAGGCACTGTTAGAAGTACCTCCTATATGATAATGAATTTAATGTTTGTGAAAGCTTTATGCGATAGGTATGATCATTATTCTTCCTATTTTACAGATGAAGAAACTGAGGCACCGAGAGGTTCTTATATCACATAACCAAGTTGATAAAACTATTGAGTGGAAGAGCCTAGTAGTCTAGTTCCAGAGTCTTTACTCATATTTTAAGGCATGTAAAAGGACAATTCAAAATAACACTCCATGTACAGCGTGATTCCAAATATGTATAGTAATTAGGTGAATACACATACAGAATTATATACATAAATATATTTAGGAAAAAAATTGAAAATTATAAAGCAATATTTTAAGAGACATTAGGAATGACTTTTTTAAAAGTTTGTGAGCTTTTTTATTTTCCAAATTTCCTGTGGTTAGCCTATACTTCATTGGAGATCATTTTTTGAAATACTAAAACAGAAACTTTGTAAATAAGCCAATACCTTAGTAACACAGGACTTGTCACCAAGTAAATCATTAAATAATAGGTCATCTTAATAAGATAGTTTCAGCAACAGTTTATGAGAATCCAATTGCATTCATTACATATAAATATTTGTTAAAGTGCGGATGAGAGGAGACAAAAATGGGCATGCTGTGAAAATGGCATGCTTGACATATAAAAGTGACATGGGGTAGACACAAAAGTGTACCAGAGGAAAAGAAATTAGAAAAGAGAGATAAATCATGATTTTTACGATAATGTGAAGTGAGAAGCTTAAATTTAATCATTAGTTTGCAGACAAAAAAAACTGAATAAACTAAATTTTAAAATGGAACATTTGTCACTCTATGTAATAGATTTACTTCAAAACTGATTTTAATTTCTACATGTCAATTATGTTTTCATTTTCTTTTACTTAAGTTAAACTCGACATTTATTCATTTCTGGACTTGTGGGAAAAAAATCCCCAAACTTAAAAAAAAAAATCAACAAAAAAAAGCGACAGCAATAGTTACAAAATGCAATATTTTGTTAGAAAATACCAGCTGTGAATGTTATGGACAGGATTCCTACAGTATGAGGTAATTGGACTAAATGACCCTAAAGCGTCATCTAAGTTGGAAACACTGTGATTATAATTATAAGCAAGAAAAGAAATGATAACCATAAGACTAATACTGATAGTGACACTAAAACTAATATTAATACCAATGAAAGGTCAATACTAACACCAATGCAAATATTTATATTAAATCCACTATCAATTCTAATTAATATTAATATTAAGCAAGCAACCATCATGCATGACATTGAGTTTTGCATGAATTTCTATTAAATCCTCACGACAATGTTATAAAGAATATATTATTATATTTATAAATAAGAAAAATGAAAGTCTATATAATTAAGTAACTTGTCTGATGTATGACAGTTAGAAAGTGAATGTCTCAAGATTGTCTGTCCATTTTCAGAAACTATGCTTCCCCAACCAAATATTAGTTTGGCTTGGGTCTTTCAACACAGAATCACTGTCATGCTAAGCCATCTGAAATTATAACTTACCTTGTATTATACTAACAATAACTTCATCAAATTTTATGAAAAGTTTTAATCCTCTTTTACTGCTTTTACTAGAGCTATGATTTTCCCCCAGATTCATTCTACAATTTCCTATTAGCAATTTCAAAATCAGATAAAATAAAAACATATTTTGAATAAAGTATTTCTTTGGCCCATAGGAAAGACTAAAAGTTAATTTTCTACTAGCACTGTGGCAAACACAATGAACTGTTGATGTTCAGTGGCATTTCACTAATATGGTTTTGTCTCCAGAGTTTCTGCTTCTTCACTACTAATTACTATTTTTTTACTCCACAATTTCTTTTGTTTTATTGTGCTATTCTTACTAAATTCTTTCCTAGTGTTAATGCATTTGAAAATACTATCATAAAATTTTATATGCCAATAGTAATAAAAAATTATTGATGGGCTGGTTAATGGAAATCAATTATTAATAAGTAAGTGAGTAGCCTGAGCATGTCTATTAAAGATCAAATTGCTTTATTTTTTAATTGCTTTTCAAAATTCATTTGATTCCTTAGATAGAGATCAAACTGTGTAGAAAACAAGGCTTACACATTACTCTTTATGACTTTAATACCAGCATTTATCACACTTTAAAATAAAATTGTTAAGATGGGCTTATGCGTAAGTATTCTTTGCCATAACCAGTTGATATTTCTGAAATAACAATCAGTGAGAACGAACTGTCTTCATTCAAGGGAACTAGGTAGCTCTAAGTAGGACACATTATCTTTCCTGCTCACAGCTCCATGTGACCAATAATAGCTATTTGACTAGACAGTTGTTAAGGGTTCTGTGTGCAGATTCTGTCATGAAAAGGGCAAATCCAATTGATCCACCTGGGGACTGATGGGTTAACAGTGCTCTCAATAGTATGAAGTGGAAAAACTGAACTAACTAGACAGAGACTAAAAGCAATTTTCTATTCCTCTTAGAAGGAGTATGCATATATATGGCCATTTAAGCCCTGCTGTTTTTCTTCTACTTAATACATGTATTTAAACACTTTATCTTATTCATAAATTACAGATGTTTTTTATATATTCTTAATTTTCACTACCTTCAAATCAAGTTTGATATTAGAACAGTGCTTTTGAACAATGTATTTCTGATTTAGTTACTTCCCCACACTAAAAAAGTAAAACTGAAGGAACACATTTAAAAATAGAAAAAAAAAGTATAAAATTTAAAATACCGGAAAGACTTTAACCCAAAATATTTACACTCTACAACACTAAAACCTCTCTTTTGTTTTTGAAGATCTCCTTGAAACAAGGACTGACCCAGCCCTTATATTAGTTGATATTCCTGAAATGCTCAAATTACTTGCTAAGATTTAAAGAAAAAAAATATCTCAGTCCATACCCCAACCTATGACCCCAGCCAGGACAATTAGCCTGTCTGTTCTGCCATTTTCCCATCTCTGAAATGGGAATGATAATAGTGAATTGGTACTTGGAATTATTGTGAAAAATTACTGCAAACCATTTGGAAAAATACAAAGTGCTACCCAAATTATTGCTAATTATAATAATCACACTACATGTGAGTGTCCTATGCACAAAATCATAAGCTCAGAAATGTAAGTAAATTATTGAGAAACTCTACTAAAAAAATTACTTGGCTCACGCCTGTAATCCCAGCACTTTGGGAGGCCGAGGTGGGCGGATCACCTGAGGTCAGGAGTCAGACACCAGCCTGACCAATATGATGAAAACCTGTCTCTACTAAAAATACAAAAATTAGCCAGGTGTGGTGGCATGTGCTTGTAATCCCAGCTACCTGGAAGGCTGAGAAAGGAGAATCTCTTGAACCTGGGAGGTGGAGGTTGCAGTGAGCCGAAATTGCGCCATTGCACTCCAGCCTGGGCAACAAGAGAGAAACTCCATCTAAAAAAAAAAAAAAAATTGCCTTGATGGACAAAACTGAACCATGTTAGTTTTTTAGAAGGCATGGATCAGCAGAAATAGTGATACGCTGACCACAGAGAGAGCTGTAGTAATTAGTACAAACCTCAAAGCCTGTTGAAAAATATTAACGTCAATATAAATCATAGTGGGAGAATGTAGGTTTGTCTTCCTCATTTGATACAGTCTGATATTTTTACCATTCTTAAATATGTGATTAGGGTCTATAATTGTCTTTATTTCTGTGCCCATTTCCTTCTTACTGTAATAGCTTTAGTGACTCTTCTTTCCCTTTCTCTATTCCCCAAATGAAGCAAACTACGTGAAGTCCTGTGAGTCTCAATAACTGAGTTGTGGGAGGTGACATAGGTTCTGCTCCATTCCCAAAGTAAGAACTCTTCAGATCCCACACTTTATTCTCATGGACACACTATCGACTGATAGCCTACTTGCTTCTTTTATCAACAAGATGACTCTCCTTTTTTCCTTCAGTGTTACAGAGAGGCTGGGTTGGGAAACAGTGATTGAAACCAAGTCACACTTTTGTAGATGACTCTGAGTCCTGGAGCTCCCCATCAAGACTTTGTAGGAGTATACCATAAAGGAACAACAAAAAAAGTTATCTTCTAGACATCTGCATAGGTTACACATTAATAGTATCAGCTGTTTCATTTTCAGAGTCTAAACATGCTTGTAACTATAAAGCACTGGAATATCAATTGAAGTGAAAGAATTTCACTGCCAACTGTCATCTTCTGCTATTTTAATAAGATAACATTTCAGGATGCACAAACAAGCAAAAACTGTAGTGGATTCATTCTCTTTTGTGAGCTGTAATGAAAACACCAATGTGCTTCAAGAACCACTGAGTTAATAATAAAAAGGGAACAAGTATTTCTGTCCTTGTTATAAAGGCCAAGTACTAATTGCCATTATTATTATACGTGCTTATAGTTTCTTTTTAACAGCATTATTGAAGTAAACTGCACATACCATAGAACTCACCCTTTTAAATTATGCAATTCAGTGGTTTTAGTATATTCATGAAGTTGTGCATTAATAATCACAATCTAACTTCAAAATATTTCTGTCACCCCAAAATAAACCTCACGTGCTTTAGCAGTCATTCCCTATTTCTTCCTCTTGGCAGCCCCTGGCAACCACTAACATATTTTCTGTCTTTATTTTTATTTATTTATTTATTTATTTATTTATTTATTTATTGAGATGGAGTCTCGCTCTCTGGAGTGCAGTGGCGCTATCTCGGCTCACTGCAACCTCCGCCTCCCAGGTTCATGACATGCTCCTGCCTCAGCCTCCTGAGCAGCTGGGGCTACAGGCGCCTACCACCACGCCCAGCTAATTTTTTTTGTATTTTTAGTAGAGATGGGGTTTCACTGTGTTAGCCAGGATGGTCTTGATCTCCTGACCTCGTGATCCACCCACCTCGGCCTCCCAAAGTGCTAGGATTACAAACGTGAGCCACCGTGCCCGGCCTTCTGTCTTTATAAATTTTTCTATTCTAGACAATTCATATTAATGGATTCATACCATATGTACCCCTTTATGTTTGGCTTGTATCATTTAGTATAATATTTTCAAGGTTCATCCATGTTGTAGGATGTATCAGAATGTCATTTATCTATATTGATAAATAATAGTTCATTGTATGTATATACTTCATTTGTCTTGTCCATCTCTTGAATGATACTTGGATTGTTTCTACTTTTTGGTTATTGTGAATAATGTCACTATAAACATTCATATGCACCTTTTTATGCGGTCATTATATTATAACTTTTCTTGTCTGTATATCTAGGAGTAGAACTGCTGGATTATATGGTAACTCCAAGACTAAATTTTGAGGAACTGAGAAACAGTACTCCACAGTAGTTACATTACTTTACTTTTTCAATGTCAATCCATGACAGTTCCAATATTTCCAAACTCTATTTGAAACTTTTGTTTTAGTTTTTCCATAGCTATTCTAATAGGTGTGAAGTGATATCTAATTGTAGTTTTGATTTACATTTCTGTAATGTCTGATGATATTGAGCATTTTATGTGCTTATTAATTCCTTGCATATCCTCTTCATAGAAATGTCTATTTAAATCCTTTGCCCATTTTTAATAGAGTTATACATTCTTTACTACTGAATTGTAAAGGCTGTTTATATATCCTGGACAATATACCTTTTATAATTTGAAAATATACTTTTTTCATTCTGTGATTGCCTTTTCACTTCCATGATAGTGCCCATTTAGGAAAAATTTCTTTTTAAAATGTTGAAAAGGCCCAAATTATTTTGATGTTGCTCTTTGTGCTTTCGGTGTATTATCTAAGCAGTATGTCACTAGACTGAGTCTGTCTTCACAATTTGAATTTTTATGCAACAAAGTGCAACCTAACTTACCATGTAACCAAACAGAAACTTAATTTATGAGTCCAAGTTTTGTAATAGCTAACAGTTCCTGAGCAAACCACCAGCAGTCAAGCTCAGCCAATCACAGGCAGCCAACTGATCAGACCATATCCAAATAAGGAAACAGCCTATCCGTAACTAATCGAGCTAAATCTATACCTCATTTTTGTGTTCTGTCTATAAATATTCACTGTCCACATTACAGAGCAGAGCTCTCTGAACCTCTCTGGTTTCTGAGTGCAGCCCTAGTCACGAATCATTCTTTCCTCAAATAAACTCTGCTCAATTTGTCAAAAGTTTTTCATTTAACAGTTTTATGTTTAAGAAACCATTGCTTAATCCAAAGTCATACAAATTTCCTTGCAGGTTTTCTTCTAAGAGTATTATAATTTTATCTATTATATTTAAGTCTTTGATCCATTTTGAGCTTTTTTTTATATGCGAGGAAATAAAGGTTTAACTTCATTCTTTTACATGTGGCTGTCTAATTGTTCAGACACTATTGGTTGAAAACACTATTATTTCCTCATTTTCTCATCTGGGTCAAAATTAGTTATACATGCAAAGGATTTTTTTAAAATATGCTCTCAATTCTGTTCTACTGATGTGTAACTCTATCTTTACACCAGTGCCACACTCTTTTGATTTCTGTAGCTTTATAATACAATAAATAGGGAAAGGTGAATCCTCCAACTTTGTTCTTCTTTTTCAAGATGGTTTTGGCTGTTCTTGGGTTTTTGCATTTTGATGTAAGTTGAAAAATTAGCTTGTCAATTTATGTTTAAAATTATCTTAATATTTCGTTAGAAATTGTATTGAATCTACAACTCACTATGGGCAACAATGTCATCTTGATAATAATGAACATGGAATATCTCTCCACTTATACATCTTTAATTTCTATCAGCAATATTTTATAATGATCATTATGCAACTCCCGCACTGCTTTAACTATTTTATTTTCCAATGTTATTTTGATTAGAATTGTTTCATTAATTTTATTTTAGATTGTTCATTGTTAGGATATCAAAACATAGTTGAATTTTGTATACCAGTCTTACATGCACTGAGTTTGTTAAACTTGTTTGTTACTCTCTTTTCTACACACAGTCCCATGTTGTCTTGTAGGTTGCATTATAGTGAAGGGAAAAGTGCAATAATTCTTGCACTATTCTATCAAAATAGGGGGAAAAATGGAGTCATGTATTTCAAGAAAAATTGGAGAGACATATTGCTTTTTGGAAATGCAGTATGTTCTTGTGTGTTTTGTATATGCAAAATGCATTTGCAGTTTTTCAATCAAGTTAATATTGATCATTCTTCTTATTTATATTATCTGTCTGGCCCCTTACTTGTATTTGTGATTGGTTTATGAATTTAGAGTCAGGTAACCTGCGTTCAAGTCTTGGTTCTACTACATAATAGCTATGCAACTTAAAAAAAAAACTATTGAGGTGTTAATATTCCATTTTCAGCCTCACTAAGGACAACAAAGTCATTGTCTATAAGATCAGAATATTAATACCATACATCAGAGTTATTGTGAGAACAAAATAAGATGAAATATACACTAAAATATTTTGTAAATTGAAAAGAATTATGAAAGTCATAGTTGTTATTTTAAAACTGATAGTTATTCTACCTTAGAACACATGGCCACAGGACAAAATTCCAATTTATTAACATTCTATTTCTAGTTTACACACTAGAAATAGGACTTCACCTTGGATGAGCTGTATATCCTAGATGCATTTGTATAATCTTGTTAATCCATTGTAAGCCTTTGTATCTCCTGTAAAATGAAAATATTATTATATCTTAAGTAGTAACAGTCTACTTCCATCAACAGTAAAATACTTAGAGG
Source organism: Homo sapiens (assembly GCF_000001405.40). NCBI lineage: Eukaryota > Metazoa > Chordata > Mammalia > Primates > Hominidae > Homo > Homo sapiens. The sequence continues at coordinate 127,189,034 of NC_000023.11, forward strand.
GTGAACTCAAATGTGATATCAACAGTGTAAACACTTTAGCCATGAATACTGTATGAGTTTTGGCTTCATAATGAACATTCATTAAACTTGAATTATTTATTCATAATCTACACTTCTTCTATGCAAGACTTTCAGATTTTAGTTCAATTTCTTATGCAGCCCATAAATGAGCAGATTTGTAAATCATTGCTATTTGATGACTTTCAATTTTTAAACACTTTTCCCAACATAGGATAGAATTGAAGAGATGTAAATATGTGAATAAAACATGCCAGTGACTAAATGGTGTAACTTCTTTTAAGTCAATCTTTTCTGCTTAGTTTTTTAGAATGAGGATATTTTCTCTGTTGCGAAACAAAATATAGCAATAATGTGATCAAATAGTCTTATAGTAGTGCTTGCTTTGTGCTAAATAGTAAATCATTTAAATACAATTTTGAAGCCAAAACAATGCTTTCTAGTTCTGATAAAATCAAACTGACAATATAAGCTTAACTGAGCAAATGGTAAGCTGTCTCTCAGAGATTATAAAAATAATATCACTAACTTCTCATCTTTCTCCATCATATGATGAAAATAAACACCAAGATACCTTTAAGTAAAATGTAAGTTTATACATCTTAAATAAAACATTGTGGCTGCACTTGAAAAATGATAGTCTTTTGTTTATAAGAAAGAAACATAAAGGAATACAAACTAATTTCACCACTTAAAAGAATAGATAAAATATTGTGGCGATTCCTCAATGATCTAGAAGCAGAAATACTATTTGACACAGCAATCCCATTACTGGGTATATACCCAAAGGATTATAAATCATTCTACTATAAAGACACATGCACATGTATGTTTATTGCAGCACTGTTCACAATAGAAAGGACTTGGAACCAACCCAAATGCCTATCAATGATTGACTGGATAAAGAAAATGTGGCACATATATACCATGGAATACTATGCAGCCATAAAAAACGATGAGCTCGTGTCCTTTGCAGAGACATGGATGAAGAAGGAAAGCATTATTCTCAGAAAAACTAACACAGGAACAGAAAACCAAATACCACATGTTCTCACTCATAAGTGGGAGTTGAACAATGAGAACACATGGACACAGGAAGGGGAACATCACACACCGGGGCCTGTCGAGAGGTGGGGGGCTAGTGGAGGGATAACTTATGAGAAATACCTAATGTAGATGACGGGTTGATGGGTGCAGCAAACCACCATGGCACGTGTAAACCTACGTAACAAACCTGCACTTTCTGCACATGTATCCCAGAACTTAAAAGTATAATTAAAATATATACATTTTTAATTATTTGAAAATAATAAACTCTATGGCATGTAATCTAACACTTAGATTTACATCTTTAGGCTCTGAAAACGTATAGCTTATTATTGGTTATAATTTCTCTATATTCAGTCTCATTTATTTTTGCATGTTTTACACAGCAGGGTGGGACTCTATACACAAGCCGTAAGACAGTATTTTATGCCAAGCTTTGTTTTGGGAAGAATGTTTCATGGCAACTACAATGAAAAACATAAATAAATGAAATTCCACCCTTCTAACCATATTATGTGACTTCAAGTAACCCCGGGACTTACAGGAATTCCAAAGCTTACTTAGGGGGTTAGAGGCAATAGATATAGGATTCTAAAAGGGCAAATATTACAAAGATTGCCCAATACAGACCAGAAACTGTTTCCACAGCTTCTACATCCCTACAAAAATTAACATTTTTATCTCCTTTCTCAGGAGAATGCTTAATACAGTGGTCTTGGTAAATGACCAGTCACACATCTTAGAATCTACAGCTCTGAGGATGGAAAGGCAAAAATCTGTATAGCTCAAAATATTAAACACAGTTATTTTACTTTGATCTATATTTATGTAAGCTTGAACATGGGTAAATGGCAATGTAATTGGTAGGAGATCTAACCAGAAATCTTACTGTTCAAGAAGAAGATTTCTTCTGAAATCCTTCGGGAAGATTTACTCAAATAGAGTGCCAAGGGAGGGGCTCATTGCAGATGTTGACAATTTTCCATTAAAATGCCTAAAAGGCCAGTTAAGTCAGTATTGTGTGAATTCGAATACTTTTAAAACAACAAAAAAATTGATACCTTGAAATGAACAATGGATCTATATATGAGCTTGCATATTTATGTGTGTATGCATATATACCTCCCATATTTATGCATATTCATATTTACATATGCATTTTTTATATTTAAGTATTGTTTCAATCACTTCTATTCCTTTTTAAAAAATTTACATATCTATGAACTACAGTCAACTCAGCTTTGGACCAAAGCACATACCCTTTATTAATGCCTTCTACCAAAGTGATTTTTATACAATATTGCTAAAAAATTATTTCAAGCTGTAGTGTGAAGGAGTATTAAAGATATACCTATTTAAGGTAGGAAAAATATTTTAATTTCCTGTTTAAATGTTGTTTATGAGTCTTCAACTCACTCAAAAGGTCAATATTCTATTACTGCTTCTTATGTACACTTTTCAGACATTTTTCAAGCAAAACAGCTAGGGTTAAAAGTCTGTTACCTGAGTTTCTGGAGTTTTGATATTTAATAATTTAACCTATTCTATGTAGGCTACATATTCTCCATAAAAGTTTTATAATAGCCTACCTAGGTTACTGCAGTGATCCGTAGAGCTCAGTATTCTGTTTTGGACAGTAACAGCTTTTTTAATTGTTAAAATTTTTACAAGGCTCAAGAATTAATGGTAACCAGCTACCTGAACTTAGCACCTACTTAATTTTGTAAGGCTTTCTATTCAAATTTGTGACTGCAATTTTCCATTTGACTAGTTTCTTTCTTTATTGTTATTTGAAGATCTATGTAACTGTCATCCCTCTAAAGTTACAAGCCAATAACCAAGCACAGGTCTTTAAACATTTGTAAAAACAGAACAAATATACATATTACAATATACATAAAAAAAATTGTCTATGGTATGCTTGATTGTAGCATAAATTTAGGTCCCTTATGGTTCATGATTATGAAAAAAGTCTTTTCTTTTATGCTTACACTAATAAAAAATAAAACAAAATATAAAAAAGAGAACCCATAATACCACCTAAACCTAAAATTAAATTACCTTTGCCACCTAAAAAAATTCCCGGCAAAAAAAAAAACAAACAGGTAAACAAACTAAAATAATAAAAACAAAACATATGACCTCAATTTTTATAACCTACAAAGAGTTTCCACTAACTATATGGCTGAAAAAGCAGGAGTGAAAACAACAATATCAATAAACTCTTTATGTATTACTACATGAAATAGAGAAGTGCTACCAATTTGTTGGAAGGGACATGACATGATCCATAAAAAGAGACAGTTGTACTAACTATCTTGCATCTGTATCAACCAGAAACTTGAATTGTGATTTTTAAATTGTAAATATACTATTTTGAAGAAACCAATTATTTTGCTCTTTCCCCATATCTCTCTGTATTCATTTAAGAAATTGAATGTCAAGGAAAACTGACAAAAAAAGGGAAACAGGTAGAAGTATGGGAATGAAGGTGAAGGGAAATATACGGATGGTGATAATTCATTGTGCATCGTATTTTAGAAGATGTAGTAATAGTAAATGAAACAATTCAGATGGAATAAAACAAAGAAAAATTTTGGTATCTCTTTATTCTAGTTATTATATTTTTTGTACATTCATAAGTTGAGGCTATCATTAAAGAAGATATTAAAGGTAAAATAATATTTCATTAGGGTACTGTAGAGCTTCACTGGATAAATTCTGGCTAAATAACAAAAATTGACCTAAGAAGTGAGCATATCAGTTGGATCTTGAGCCAAAGATCTGATAAGGGCACTCAATAAGACTCTCAGTAAAAAGTGAATTGACCCAAGGGAAATTCTTGCACCTTCTATAGAAAGGTGGATAAAAATACCCTTATAGAACTTTTTCTATCAGAAGATTGATAAGTTGATAGAAAAACAAAGGAGTTATCAAACAAAAACCAAAAATAAAACTAATAAAAACATTCCTCATCACAGACGGATCTATGAAAATGAATACAGAAGAATAAAAAAATATTATCAGGGTGATTCACAGGAGTTTCTAAAAAATGTGCATTTCAGTTCCTGAAACATGAATATATGTTAGATTTTATGGCAAAGGAAAATTAAGATTGTGAATCAATTGACCTTAAAATAGGAGATTATCCTGTATTATCTTGTTAGGCTCAATGTAAACAAAATGGTCTTGAAATGTGGAAGTGGGAGGCAGAAGAGAAGTCAATGTCATACTGAGGCAGAAGCAAAGGAAAAATCAGTTAGGTAGATAGCTAAGGCTAGTCCTCAGAAAAGCAGCCTGCCTGAAAAATCTCAGCTACAGGCAAAAATTTAGCAGCCTGGGAAAACTCAGACTGCACCTGCACAGATAAGCAGGCAGGTTCCAGCACAGAAGCCTTTTGTTTTTTGTGTTATTAACGGGCTCCCAGGACAAAATTTTCTCTCCTTTTCAGACATGTTCATGGTGGGTTCTGTGGAAACTTGCATAAGGAGGAGGAGGTCTCACCTAAAACAAACCCACAGTTACACAAACAAGTGGCGCTTTGTGCTTTCCTAGAGATAAACCCACAGCTGCGTAAGAGGAGTTGTGCAGACAGCTTCACCGATAAGTTACTCAAACAGCTACAGAGATGAGAAGAGTTTCTCATAAAGTTTTTGGATTCAACTGTGTAAACGGCAACCCACTTGGGCTCCCCTCTCTACTGTGGAGAGCTTTCTTCCTTAGCTTATTGCACTTTTGTTCCAATATGACCCTTTGTGTCCATGCTCCTTAATTCTCTTGGTCATGAGACAACGAGCTTTTATAACACCTTAGACAATCAGACCAGTGACCACTGACCTGTTTTAATAGTGATGCAATGGGAGAAAGACTCCATCTATTCATTAATATCTCTGAAGATGGAAGGAGATGAGTAGCTGAGAAATTTGGGCAGCCTCTAGAAACTGAACAAGGCAAGGAAACAGATTGTCCTCTAGAACCTTCAAAATAGACAGCCAGAGTAAACCTTAATTTTATCCCAGTAAAACTCATTTTGATCCTCTGACTCCCAGAGCTGTAGCAGAATACATTTACATTGTTTTAAGCCAATAAGTCTGTAGCAATTTTTTACAGCAGGAATAGGAATCTAACATAGCATGTATTGGGGGGAATAAAGGAAATTTAAGTCCCCCCTTTATATATGTAACCAGTAAACTGAAGATGAATTAACATTTTTAATATTATAAAAATTGAAGTAAATACATTCTAATGCTAAATATTAAAATAGAGAAAATGAGATTAATGACTAATTGATCTTGAAATAGGTAAGACATTTGTAAGTATTAAATCAGTTTTGACCTTATTAAATATTTTAGTAATAAAATTTCTTTGAACTAAGTCACAAAGAAAATAGCAAGGTAGAAAAACTACTAGAAACAAATGTGAGAAGTGAGGGCAATATATTTTATATATAAAGGTTTATAATACATCAAAACGAACTCTTTACTCTCTAGAGAAACACATGCAAGGAACATGAATTGACAATTAAAAAAGAAAATAAAATAATAAACATGAAATCAAGTTTTACTTTAAAAAGTAATGACAATAGAATATATAACATTGATTTAGATGTTTGGATCTAGAATCAGAATGTATGCAATCTATCACAGCTTACCTAACCTTTCTTTGCTTCAATTTCTTCACCTCTAAGTGTTAACAATAATATTTTCATGAAGTTAATGTCAGAAATGAATGAGTGAAACTATGCAAAGTGTTTATTAAAGTGTGTGGTGCACATGTAAACAATTAAACATTCTATTAACTGTTATTAATTAAATAAATGCAATTAAAATGATATAGAAAAATTACACAATGTTGGCAAGGGGTTGAGAAATACATTCTCATCTACAGGTTTGGGGAATTTGATTGATTAAGTCTTTGTGCAAATAAACGGACAACATGCACCAAATGTTTTACAAAGTGAAAAATTAAATAAAATATTATAACTCATTCATTAATATTATGTTTTCCTTAGAGTGTGAATGGATGAAAATAAAACACCATTGTGTACCCAGATAATGGAATGCTACACGGCAATTAAAAAGAACAAATTATTGATTCACAAAACAACACAGGTGGATCTCAAAATAATTATGCTGAGTTAAAGAAGGCAGTCACAAATATTATATACTCTGTGGTTTTATTTGTATGACATTCCACTCATATGTCATTTCATTTATATGAAAAGCCAAACTATAAAGATGGATAATGTATCAGCGGTTTCCACGGCATAGAGTTGGGGGAAGGCTTTGCTACAAAGAGGCAGTATAAGGGAATACTTTTGAGTATTAGAATTTCTGGTATCCTGTTTGTGGTTGTGATTACAAGGATATATGTATGCATTAAAACTATAAACGTTTGTTTTGTTTGTTTTGTTTTGTTTTGTTTTTTAATTTGAGATGGAGTCTTGCTCTGTCTCCCAGGCTGGAGTGCAGTGGCATGTCCCAGTTCACTGCAACCTCCACCTCCCAGTTTCAAGCTGTTCTCCTGCCTCAGCCTCCCAAGTAGCTGGGATTATAGGCTCCCACCACTGTACCCGGCTAATTTTTATGTTTTTTAGTAGAGATGGGGTTTCACCATGTTGGCCAGGCTGGTCTCGAACTCCCGACCTCAGGTGATTTGCCCGCCTCGGCCTCCCAAAGTGCTGGGATTACAGGCATGAGCCACCGCGCCCGGCCTGGAGATTTCTTAAAAAACTAAATGTAGAACTACTATTTGATACAGCAATTCCACTACTGGCTATTTACCCAAAGAAAAATAAGTCATTATATGAAAAAGTCATATATACACACGTTTATAGAAGCAGAATTAACCATTGCAAAACTATTAAACCAACCTAAATGCCCATCAACAAATGAGTGGACAAAGCAAATGTGGTGTATATACAACTTGGAATACTACTCATCCATAAAATGGAACAAGTAATTGCCTTTGCAACAACTTGGATGGAGTTGCTGGCCATTATTCTAAGTAAAGTAACTCAGGAATGGAAAACCAAATATTGTATGTTCCCACTTATAAGTTGGAGCTAAGCTATGAGCACACAAAAGCATAAGAATAATATAATGGACTTTGGAGGGGGGTGAGATAAAAGACTAAACATTGGGTACAATTGTATACTGCTCAGGTGATGGGTGCACCAAAATCTCAGAAATTACCACTAAACAACATATCCATGTAATAAAAGGTACAGGTGGTTACCTGTACCCCTAAAACTATCAAAATTAAAATAAAGAAAAACAAAACAAAATGATGAAATAGAAGCAATTTGAATTTACTGCTTACCTTCCCCCAGAAAAGAAAAAACAAATATGCAGTGTAGGGATTATGACCAAATGCAACCCAGAACTCAAATATGAAGATGAAATAGTTCCCGGGGCCAGAGAAAAGCGAAAAAGCTTCAAATGGAGGGGAAGAAAATTGAACTTACACTCTGCAATATTCATCCCCACATTCTGCTCAACACCAAGCACATGAAAATTTTTCCCCCAACTCACTATTTCTACAGTAGAAAAAGTGAGATTGACATGGACAATGAGCTTCCTCACAATCATGGGTTCCCTCTCAGGAGACATGTCTCTACCTTAACCCAAAGGAAGCCTTGCAAGTACACAAAAAGATAAATATCCCTGAGGACTGGCAGAGACAAAGAACTACCATCCTCAGTCCTGGAAAGTATTATCTGTAACTCAGCCAAAGGAGATGCCAAACAGAGTGGCTGCTCAACAGCACCATGCTGTAGAAATTTTATCCCTCAGGGCCCCTGGGCATGAACTCCTACCCAGCCTTCTCACACTGCTGGCATATTCCCTTTGGGCTCTCTCTCATTTGGGAAGGGCAGTGCTCCATTCATTTACTACAGGTTAGGTGAACCTGGGCTTAAGTCACCACCTACAGCTGCAAAGTAGGCAGTGATCTCAGTGATCTAGTGATAAAGAACCTCTAAGAAAATGTATACAGTAAAATAGAAAATAAACCAGACAGGAAAATTAGAATAAACAACTTATCTTTCATGGCTAAGATACAGAAGTACACCCACAAGAAACAACAGAAAACAGAGAAATATTTTTCCAAATTGGCAAAGCAAAGAACCAGTAACTAATCCTAACAAGACAGTGATATGTGAGCTCCCTCAACAATAATTCAAAATAGTAATTTTACAGAAATTTAGTGATCTTCAAGATAACACAGAAAAGCAATTCATTTACTGCTGAATTCTACCAATCATTTAAAGAAGAACTAATACCAATTCTACTCAAATTTTTTTAAAAATTCAAGAGGAGAGACTACTTGCAAATTCACTATACAAGGCAAGAATTGCCCTGATATCAAAACCAGACAAGGACCTAACAAGAAAGAAAACTACAGGTTAATATAATCAATAAAAATAGATGCAAAAATTCTCAAAAAAATTACTAGCCAGCCTAACTCAACAACACACTAAAAAGATCATTCACCATAATCAGTGGAATTCATCTTGGGGACACAAGGATGGTTGAACATACACAAATTGACAAGTATGAAACATCAGATTAACAGAACCAAGAACATAAACTATATTATCACTTCAATAGATGCTGAAAAAGTATCAAACAAAATTCAACATCCTCTTTTGATAAAAATGCTAATCAGACTGGCTAAGAAAAAAGCATACCTGAAATAATAAGAGCTATATATGACAAACCCACAGCTAATATCATATGGGACAGAGAAAAATTAAAGTCCTGTCATTGAAGATCTGAAACAAGACAAGGATACCCACTTTCACCACTTTTATTCAGTATGGTACTACAAGTCCTGGCTAAAGCAATTATGCAAGAGAAGTAAATAAAGGCTGCCTATCCAAATTGGAAAGGAAGCAGTCAAATGAGCAGTGTTTACAGATTACATAATCTTATAATTATAAAAACCTAAAGATTCCATCAGAAAAACTGTTTGAAATGATAAACAAATTCAGTAAAGTTTCAGGATACAAAATCAACATACAAAAATCAGTAGGATATATTTATGCCAACAGCAAACAATCTGAAAAAAAAATGAAGAAAGCAATCCCAGTTACAGTAGTTACAAAGAATATAAAATACCTAGTAATAAATTTAACCAAATAACTGAAAAATCGATACAAGGAAAACTATAAAACACGGATGAAAGAAATCCAAGAGGATACAAAAAAGAAAAGATATTTCATGGTCATGAATGAAAAAAATTAATATTGTTAAAACGGCAATTTAACAATTTGCAGATTCAATGCAATCCCTATCAAAATACCAATGACATTCCTTATAGAAAAAGAAAACAAATCCTAAAATTTGTATGAAAACACAAAATACCCAAAATAGCCAAAGCAATCTTGAGCAAAAAGGACAAAGCTGGAGGCAGCACACTACCTGAATTCAAGATTTACTACAAAGCTATAGTAACCAACTAGTACTGGCATAAAAACAGGCACATTGACCAATGGAACAAAATGGAGAACCTACATATAAATCCACAGTGAACTAATTTTCAACAAATGCACCAGGAACATACAGTAGGAAAGGGATGTTGTCTTCAGTAAATAGTGCTAGGAAAACTGCATAACAAAAATCAAGTCAAAATATACTAAAGACTTAAATCTAAGGCTTGAACCTATGATACTACTAGAAAAAAACATTGGGGAAATGCTTTGGGACATTGGTCTAGGCAAAACTTTTTGTAAGACCTCCCTCAAAAGCACAGACAATCAAAGCAGACATGGACAAATGGGACTACATGAAGCTAAAAAGGTTCTGCACATTAAAGAAAACAATCAGCAAAGTGAACAGACAACCTACAGAATGGAAGAAAATATTTGCAAACTACTTACCTAACGAGGGATTAATAATCAGAATGTATAAGAAGCTTAAAAAACTCAATAGCAAAAAAATCCACTTAAAATGAGCAAAATAAATGATCTCTTGACATTTCTCAAAAAAAAAAAAAGACATACAAATGGCCAACAGGTCTATAAAAAATGCTAAACATTGCTAATCATCAGAGAAATGCAAATCAAAACTACAAGGAGATATCATCTCACCCCAATTAAATTGGCTTTTATCCAAAAGACAGGTAAAAATGAATGTTGGTGAGGATGTGGAGATAAGGGAAAGCTAATACACTATTGGTAGGAATGTAAATAGTATTGTTAGTATGCAGAAGAGTATGGAGAGTTCTCAAAAATCTAAAAATAGAAATAACGTACAATACAGCAATTTCACTACTGGGCATATATTCATGAAAAGAAAATCAATATATTGAAAAGACATCTTCGCTCTCATGTAAAGCACTATTTGCAATAGCCAAAATATAGAAATGACGTAAATACCTATCAAAGGAAGAAAGGATAAAGAAAGCATTGTACATATACACAAATTGTATTCGGCCATTAAAGGAATGAAATCCTAGTATTTGCAGCAAAATGGATGGAACTGAAGGTCATTATGTTAAATGAAATAAGTCAAGCACAGAAAGACAAATATCACACATTTTTATACATATGTGGGTATAAAAGTGGTCATGAAAATAGAGAGTTGATTGGCAGTTACCAGAAGCCAGGGAGGGTAGTGGGTGAGGGGATGAAGACAAGTTGATTAATGGGTACAAATATGCAGTTTGAAGAAAGATTTAGTGTTAAAAGAACAGCAGGGTGAATAGAGTTTACAAAAGTCTAATGTATATTTCAAAATAGCTAAAAGAGAAGAACTCAAATGGTTCTAGCATAAAGAAAAGGCAAATATTCCAGACAACAGATATCCCAAGTACACTGTTTTGATCTTTACAAATTATGTGAATATTAAATTATCACATGTACCCTATTACTATGTACATGTGTTATGCATCAATAAATAAAAGAAGTAAAAGCACACAGAGCATTCACCAAGAAAGACCATATGCTGGGCTATAAAATAAGTCTTGATAAATTTTGAAAGACTCAAATTTTGATTTTTGTATATGCTGTAAGGAAGGGATCTGGTTTCAATCTTCTGCATATAGCTAGCTAGTTGTCTCAGCACCATTTATTGAATAGGGAGTCCTTTCCCCATTGCCTGTGTCAACTTTGTCAAAGATCAGATGGTTATAGGTGTGCAGCTTTATTTCTGGGCTCTCTATTCTTTTGCATTGGTTTATGTCTGTTTTTGTACCAGTACTATGCTGTTTTAGTTATTGTAGGCTTGTAATATAGTTTAAGGTCGGATAACATGATGCCTCCACCTTTGTTCTTTTTGCATAGGATTACCTTGGCTATTTGGGCTCTTTTTTGGTTCCATATGAATTTTAAAATAGTTTTTTCTAGCTCTGTGAAGAATGTCATTGATAGTTTGATAGGAATAGCATTGAATCTGTAATTTGCTTGGGCAGTATGGCCATTTTGACAATATTGATTTTCCAATTCATGAGTATGGAATGTTTTTCCCTTTGTTTGTGTCATCTCTGATTTCTTTCAGCAGTGTTTTGTAATTCTTGTGGTAGAGATCTTTCACCTCCCTGGTTAGTTGTATTCCTAGATATTTTATTGTTGTGGCTATTGTGAATGATATTGAATGCATGATTTGGCTCTCAGCTTGGACATTGTTGGTGTACCTGCACATGTATCCCTGAAACTGAAATAAAGGTTAAAATATAATAACATTATGAAATATTTGTAGTAAAAATAGAACTGAAAAAATATTCTCTTGGTAAAGAGCTGATTAGAAATAAGTAACAGTAAAATATCTAGAAAATCTTTGAGTATTTGGACGGCAAGCAACAGCATTCTCACTAACTTACTGGTCAAAACACATACGTATATGTAAAAGGGAAATTAGAAAAATGTTTAAATAAATTATAATTAAAACACAATGTTTCAATATTTGTATGTGCTTTTAGGGAATTGCTTTTAGGGAATTTGTAGTTTTAAGTACTTTTAGCATTGCTTTCAGGGAATGTGCAGTTTTAAGTATTTTTTTTAAATTAATCAGATGTTATTCTTCTCCACATAAGACTTTTTGATAATAATTAGCATCTGAAAGATAGCAAATATAAATTCATCACATATTAACAAAATACATAATATAAAAGTTTATAAAAGGCCTAGTGGGAAATCAGTGAGGAACAAGTGTATTACATTTTATTTGGAGTAAAACATTAAGCTATGATTATTGAGAATAAATAAACATTTCACTTCCAGACAAAGAAAAAAAAGACAAGAAATGTACTTATTAAAACTTAAGCAAAAATATAATTTTGAAAGTTAATACTGAGTTTTAGAAGGGGTGAAGCAAAAAGTGGCTATTCTTTATTATTATTATTATTATTATACTTTAAGTTCTAGCGTACATGTGCACAACGTGCAGGTTTGTTACATATGTATACATGTGCCATGTTGGTGTGCTGCACCCATTAACTCGTCATTTACATTGGGCATATCTCCCAATGCTATCTCTCCCCCCTCCCCCCACCCCACAACAGGCCCCAGTGTGTGATGTTCCCCTTTCTGTGTCCAAGTGTTCTCACAGTTCAATTCCCACCTATGAGTGAGAACATGCGGTGTTTGGTTTTTTGTTCTTGTGATAGTTTACTGAGAATGGTGGTTTCCAGCTTCATCCATGTCCCTACAAAGGAAATGAACTCATCCTTTTTTATGGCTGCATAGTATTCCATGGTATATATGTGCCACATTTTCTTAATCCAGTCTATCATTGATGGAAATTTGGGTTGGTTCCAAGTCTTTCCTATTGTGACAGAAATACAAACTACCATCAGAGAATACTATAAACAGCTCTACGCAAATAAACTAGAAAATCTAGAAGAAATGGATAAATTCCTGGACACATACACCCTCCCAAGACTAAACCAGGAAGAAGGTGAATCCCTGAATAGACCAATAACAGGCTCTGAAATTGAGGCAACAATTAATAGCTTACCAACCAAAAAAAGTCCAGGACCAGATGGATTCACAGCCAAATTCTACCAGAGGTACAAGAAGGAGCTGCTACCATTCCTTCTGAAACTATTCCAATCAATAGAAAAAGAGGGAATCCTCCCTAACTCATTTTATGAGGCCAGCATCATCCTGATACCAAAGCCTGGCAGAGACACAACCAAAAAAGAGAATTTTAGACCAATATCCTTGATGAACATTGATGCAAAACTCCTCAATAAAATACTGGCAAACTGAATCCAGCAGCACATCAAAAAGCTTATCCACCATGATCAAGTGGGCTTCATCCCTGGGATGCAAGGCTGGTTCAACATAATGCAAGTCAATAAATGTAATCCAGCATATAAACAGAACCAAAGACAAAAACCACATGATTATCTCAATAGATGCAGAAAAGGCCTTTGACAAAATTCAGCAGCCCTTCATGCTAAAAACTCTCAATAAATTAGGTATTAATGGGATGTATCTCAAAATAATAAGAGCTATCTATGACAAACCCACAGCCAATATCATACTGAATGGGCAAAAACTGGAAGCATTCCCTTTGAAACTGGCACAAGACAGGGATGCCTTCTCTCACCACTCCTGTTTAACATAGCGTTGGAAGTTCTGGCCAGATCAATCAGGCAAACGAAAGAAATAAAGGGTATTCAATTAGGAAAAGAGGAAGTCAAATTGTCCCTGTTTGCAGGTGACATGACTGTATATTTAGAAAACCCCATCATCTCAGCCCAAAATCTCCTTAAGCTGATAAGCAACTTCAGCAAAGTCTTAGGATACAAAATCAATGTGCAAAAATCACACGCATTATTATACACAAATAACAGACAAACAGAGAGCCAAATCATGAGTGAACTCCCATTCACAATTGCTTCAAAGAGAATAAACTACCTAGGAATCCAACTTACAAGGGATGTGAAGGACCTCTTGAAGGAGAACTACAAACCACTAATCAATGAAATAAAAGAGGATAAAAACAAATGGAAGAACATTCCATGCTCATGGATAGGAAGAATCAATATCGTGAAAATGGCCATACTGCCCAAGGTAGTTTATAGATTCAATGCCATCCTCATCAAGCTACCAATGACTTTCTTCACAGAATTGGAAAAACTACTTTAAAGTTCATATGGAACCAAAAAAGAGCCTGCATTGCCAAGTCAATCCTAAGCCAAAAGAACAAAGCTGGAGGCATCACGCTACCTGACTTCAAAGTATACTACAAGGCTGTAGTAACCAAAACAGCATGGTCCTGGTACCAAAACAGAGATATAGACCAATGGAACAGAACGGAGCCCTCAGAAATAATACCACACATCTACAACCATCTGATCTTTGACAAACCTGACAAAAACAAGAAATGGGGAAAGGATTCCCTATTTAATAAATGGTGCTGGGAAAACTGGCTAGCCATATGTAGAAAGCTGAAACTGGATCCCTTCCTTACACCTTATACAAAAATTAATTCAAGATGGATTAAAGACTTAAATGTTAGACCTAAAACCATAAAAACCGTAGAAGAAAACCGAGGCAATACCATTCAGGACATAGGCATGGGCAAGGACTTCATGCCTAAAACACCAAAAGCAATGGCAAGAAAAGCCAAAATTGACAAATGGGATCCATAAACTATAGAGCTTCTGCACAACAAAAGAAACTACCATCAGAGCAAACAGGTGACGTACAGAATGGGAGAAAATTTTTGCAATCTACTCATCTGACAAAGGGCTAATATCCAGAATCTACAATGAACTCAAACAAATTTACAAGAAAAAAACAACCCCATCAACAAGTGGGCAAAGGATATGAACAGACACCTCTCAAAAGAAGACATTTATGCAGCCAAAAGACACATGAAAAAATGCTCATCATGACTGGCCATCAGATAAATGCAAATCAAAACCACAATGAGATACCATCTCACACCAGTTAGAATGGCAATCATTAAAAAGTCAGGAAACAACAGGTGCTGGAGAGGATGTGGAGAAATAGGAACATTTTTAAACTGTTGGTGGGACTGTAAACTAGTTCAACCATTGTGGAAGACAGTGTGGCAATTCCTCAGGGATCTAGAACTAGAAATACCATTTGACCCAGCCATCCCATTACTGGGTATATACCGAAAGGATTATAAATCATGCTGCTATAAAGACACATGGACACGTATGTTTATTGTGGCACTATTCACAATAGTTTTAAGTATTTTTAATAGTGCAGAGGAAAGGTTTAAAATCAATTTCTACCTTAGCAAGCTAGAAAAAGCAGAACAAAATACATTTAAAATAATAGAAGAAAAAATAGAAAAGAGAAAGGCATAAATCAAAAGAATAAAGGTGATTAAGAAAAACTTTATGTCAAGATATTTGAAAAATTAAATGACATGAACAAATTATTTGAAAAACACAACTTTAAAAACCAACATAATGAGCCCAATCCATTTGCATGTGTCTGTAGTACCAGCTACTTGGGGACACAAGAAAGACGATCACTTGAGCCAAAGAATTTTATTTCTGCCTGGGCAACTCAGCAAGACATCATCTTTTAATGAACAATGAAAAAAAGCTGATATGACGAAAATAGAAAACATTAATGTATTTTTTTAAAGAAATAAAATTTATAGTAAAACATATAGACATATAAGGAAAACTACAGACCTAAATGATTATGCTGATAAATTTTATCAATCACTTATGGAAGAAATAATAATAACTTTACACATACTCTTTCAGAAAATGCAATAGATACACTTTGCTAAACATTTTATGAGGCCAATGTAACCATGATGCCACAACCAGACAAGGACATCACAAGAAAAGCATATTATAGTTCTGTATGTTTTATGAGGCTGGATGGCAAAAAAAAAAATGAGTGCCAAAATATTAGCAAATTAAGTATATCAGATATATTTAAAGGATAACATAACATGATCAAGTAGATAATATTCCAGGAATGCAAATTTGTTCAATATTTAAAAAGCAACCAATGCAATTAATAATATTAAAATAAAGAAGAAAGTCATATTTTTGTAGCAGTAGATACACAAAGAACAATTGACAAAATCAATATCCATTCTAGATAACAACTCTCAACAATAAACTATGAATAGCGGGGGATTTCCTGGAAATCAGACAAAAAGCCACAACAACAACAAAAAAACCCACTTGTATCTGACATTATGCTAAATGGTGATATATTACACACTTCATCCCTAAGACTGGAAAGAAGGCAAGAATGTTTGTTCTCACCATTTCTGTTTAATATTGTACTCAAGCTCTGAAAAAGTGCGAGAAGGCATAAAAATATTTAGGACACATACAGATTGTAAAGGTGAAAGTAAATTTGTCACTTGAAAGTCATTCAGAGATGACTTGCTTATGTACATTAAAGAAAACTAAAGAATCTTAAGAAAAAACACTAATAGGAAAAATGAATTAAGCAAAGTTACATGTTATGTTGATAAAATACAAAAATAGTTGTATTTCTCTTTACTAGTAGCAAATAATTATCAAGAAAAATTTAAAATTATCTGAAGGTATAAAAATGCATTAAATATTTTAAAATATATTTTACAAAAGGCATATATCACCTTGTCACTTAAATCCACAGCATATTGCTTAGAGAAGTGAAACAAGACCCACATAAATGGAGAAGTGTACTTTATTCATATGTTGGAATACACAAGATTGCTACAATTTGCATTCTCCCCAAAGTATTTCTACAGATTCCATGCAATTTCAATCAAAACTCCAATACATGTAATATATCAATTGACAGTATTATTCTAAAACATATGTTGAAATTGGAATTTAAATTATCTAGAATAGCCAAATTAAGTGTGAAATAGAAGCAATAAGTTAGAGGACACATGCTACCTTATTCAAGGCTTACTATAAAGCTATGGTAATCAAGACAGTGTGATGTTGGCATAAGAACAGACACATAGTTCAGTGGAAAAAAATTAAGAGTCTAGCAGTAAACCTACCTATCTATGTGCAAATTATATTGACAAAACCACCAGGGTAAAAAGGAAAACTTGAACAATGATGCTAGGACAACTATATATCTCTACGGAGAAAAGAAAGATAAACTATTATTGATCACAATACATACACATACAAATTCAAAATGGGTTATAGACCTAAAAATAAAATTAAATTTAGACAATTTCTATAAGAAATATTGCATTGGCCATCTTTTCATGAATGAAAACATGGATAAATTTGACTTCATTGGCAGCAGAGACCTGTGCTTTTTAGAAGTTACCAGTTTAACAGAATGAAAAGTCAAGCCATTAACTAAAAACATGTGTGCACTACATATATCTGACAAAAATCTTGCCTGGAAAATATATAAACAACTTTTAACACAATAACAAATAAGAAAAGAAAGAAATTACAATTATGCAGAATACTTAAACATTCACAAAAGAAGATGTAGAAATGACAATACGTGAAACAATAAGCAGCAATTTTAGTCTTCAAGAAAATTCAAATGAAAACAACAATATTACTTCCCATCCACTAGAATGGCTTAAAAGACAAGATCGGACAAGGACGAATGTTGGTGTGAATGTAGAGCTATTGAAAGTCTCATGTTTTTCTGGTAGGAGTATAAAATTATACCTCATACTTGACAAAGAGTTTGACAATTTCTTATAAAATTAAACATGCACCTGTTCTGTGACACAGTAATTCCAATCTTGATTATTTCCTCAAAAAGAAATAAAAATATATACCCACAACAAGGCTTATACACATATGTCTATACCAGCTTCATTTATAATAGCCCCAAAATGAAAATAGCCCCACAATCTATCCACTGGTAAGTAGATAAATAAATTATGGTATATTTATGCCACAAAAAAAGACTCAGCAATAAAAATGAGCTGCTGCAATGCACAGTAACATGAATTAATCTCCCAGATATTATTTTGAGGGAAAGCAGCCAATCCAAAACACTACACACAGTATATTTACATTTATATAAAAATAATCTAAGTTATGGTCACAAATATTAGATCAGAGATTGCCTCAGGTGGAGATAGGATTGTGAAAATAATTTATAGTAAACTATTAGAACTTTTTTTAACTCCCCAAGCTGCAACATTAAATGCAGAATCCCTGCTTAGTGGGCCCATATCAATAAATTCACCCTGATCCAACTTTATGTTTCTTTCGCCATTATCCCACATCCACAATATCCATTCCCAGGCCTGTTCTCCAGATTTCTGCTTATATAAATTAGAAAACTCAAGCAGTTATTTTGGGGTGTAACACATCTCCTCGTTGGTCACACTCTGAACCTCACCTTTAGAGGCTTGCCAGGACTTGAGTCTAGTTATAGGTCTGGAAGCCAACAGGGGTTTGCGGGGGTGGGTTCTGAGGAGAATCAGCATTGTATTGCCTGTCAACTTCTTCAGGGGAGGCCATCACTGTTGCCTCAAGCAGTGCAGGGTTAATCTTCTCAGACAAAGGTGGAAAGGCTGATGGCAGCCTGGGTGGGGGAGGGGATCTTGCCACCACTGGGGGTGGGGAGGCTGTTTTCTCTGGCAGAAAAGACTCATCAGAATTTAGGAGTTTAATGCTCCCAGCCTCATCGGGTTTCTCCCATATGTCCCAATTTAAGTTGCAGGGTCCCATTCATTTCCAATCAATACCCTCACTATAAAAGCAGACAACTGGTGAGGCTGTGTGTGTGCCTTTTGTTGCAAGTCAACCACTTGCATGATAAAAGCTTGTGTCTGATTTTCTACAATTTTAGCCACATGTCTACAGGAGATAAGACTCTTACTAAGGACAATTTTAGAAGATTTGATGCTCAGTATGTGCTTCCGGAGCCAGGAGTTAGAATCACTGAGCTCACGGTTTTCGTTCATCACTTTGTCCAGTGAACTTAGAAGCAACCAAACAACTTCATTATATCCCTTGATTTTCCACATACGGTCAAAGATATTGTGTATAGAGTCACTAAACTTCTTGCCTCTCAAAAGCGGTGAATCAGAAGTATCAAATGCATTTATTCTGCATATTTCTCTAAACAGCTTACACCAATGACTATCAGTGTTCTCCATACTATTAGAAATAGAGTCCTTAGCATTTTGGAGTCTAATCATGTTAAGCAGCCAACCTAGAAACCCCAAAACCAACTGAAGAAATCCATCCTTAAAATTTTGTTCCTCTAGAACCACTCCTGGACCAAAATCTGTATTAGTCAGGGTTCTCTAGAGGGAAAGAATAGGAAAGATGTATATATGAAGGCAAGTTTATTAAGAAGTATTGATTCACAGGATCACAAGGTGAAGTTCCTCAATAGGCTATCTGCAAGCTGAGGAGCAAGGAAGCCAGTCCAAGCCCCAAAATCTCAAAAGTAAGAAAGCCAACAGTGCAGCCTTCAGTCTGTGGCCTGAGGCCTGAGAGGCCCTGGCAAACCACTGGTGTAGATCCAAGAGTTCAAAAGCTGAAGAACTTGACGTCTGATGTACCAGGGCCAGAAGCATCCAGCATGGGAGAAACATGAAAGCTGGAAGACTCAGCCTGCTTTTATCCTAACCATGCTGGCAGCTGATTAGATGGTGCCCACCCAGATTGAAGGTGAGTCTGCCTCTCCCAGTCCACTGACTCAAATGTTAATATCTTTTGGCAACACCCTCACAAACACACCCAGGAATAATACTTTGCATCCTTCAATCCAATCAAGTTGACACTCAATATTAACCATCACACATAGGAAAGAAAAAATACATTATAGTACATGGCTCAGCCACTCATAACATTTATAAAGTCATGATAATGTAGACATTAACTATTGAACCAACCAAAATGGCAATATAACTATATTAGGAGAATGGGAAGGGAAGTGTGTGTGTGTGTGTGTGTGTGTGTGTGTGTGTGTGTCGTGTATGTGTGAAAAGTAATTATGCATTAGTTTTCTATTGCTGACCTAAAAAATTATCACAAATTTGGAAACTTACAGTACATTATTACCTCACAGTTTTGTATGTCAAAAGTATGACATGGATCTCATTGGGCTAAAAACTAGATGCTGGGCTGGGCGCGGTGGCTCACGCCTGTAATCCCAGCATTTTGGGAGACCAAGGCAGGCAGATCATGCAGTCAGCAGATTGAGACCAGCCTGGCCAGCATGGTGAAACCCCATCTCTACTAAGAATACAAAAATTAGCTGGGAGTGGTGACACGTGCCTGTAGTCCCAGCTACACGGGAGGCTGAAGCACGAGAATCGCTTGAACCCCAGAGTCAGAGGTTGCAGTAAGCCAAGATTGGGCCACTGCACTCCAGCCTGGCGACAGAGCAAGACTCCGTCTCAAAAACAAAAGAAAAGAAAACAAAACAAAACAAACAAACCCAAAACAAACAAAACAAATTGATGCTCACAGAGCTACATTTATTTCTAGAAGTTCTAAGGGAGAACGTATTTCCATGATTATTCAAGTTCCTTGTGACTAATTGTTATGAATGATATCCCTTTTCCTTGCTGGCTTTAACTTGAGGATCGTTTCTATTCCTTGGCTCATGACCTCCTTCCTTCATCTTCAAAGACAGCAATGGCGTGTTTACTATCTCTCAAGCCATATATCTCTCTAACATGCTCTTCTCCCTTCATCTTCCACTTTTAAGGACTCATATAATTATATGACTATATTGGGACCACGAGGATAATCCAGGAAAGTCTTCCCATCTCAAGATCCTTAGCTTTAATCACATATACAAAATCACTTTTGACATGTAAGATAACATTCAGGACCCAGGAGTTGTGGTGTGGATATCTTTGGAGGGTCATTATTCTGCTTACCACAAGCTAAATCCTCATGTTCTCTTTTCAGATGTCAATGGATTATGCTTAAAACTAGACAATTCCTATTATTGTAAATAAATCTGCCAAGAAAGGGGAGATAAAGGCATTGAAATATTCAGCAAAGATCAGTCATTCACATTTCTGCAGTAATTGTAGGTCTGGACCATTCTCTACCATTCCACCATTTATTTCAATGTATCATGGCAAACTAAAAACAGTATGGTAATTTGTAGTCAGACCTACCTTGGCTGGAATCCCAGGCCCATCAATTACTAATTAATACTAGAGCATGGGCCTTGCCTCTCTGGTCTTGGTTTTCTCATTTGTAAAATGGGGGTATATATGAAGATTAGATTTAATATATGTTAAGTGTTTAACAGAGAATAAGTCCTGAATAAATGAAAAATAAACATTCTCTCCTATATGACACACCTTTTATCTCAGGGATTATAAATGGAGAACAAGTAACTGTTGTTGCCAGCAAAGATTAGTGTTTCCAGTAAGTTTTCAAAAACTTTTACAACATAGTATTTTATAAAGTGGAACCCCTCAGTGACTAATTCTTATTGGGCCTCAACCATGGAATGTTCTCTTCTGACCTCTGCAGGCTAGATTCATTTGTGCTGCTACCTAGATTTTTCTGTGACTCAGTGGTACTTAACTTTGAGTCATATCACTTTTTCATATTAATCAGCTCAAGTATTATATTCAAGATAACGCTCTAGGATTTCTGTCCTTCTCAGGTGGTATGAAATAATCTTAGGCTACGTGAGGTTTAGAAGAAAATAGCATGAGACATGACAATAACAGAATTTCCCTTCCTAGGCATCTTCATATTGTGATGTACTATAGCAAAATAAATTACATTTGGTAAATATCTGTATCCATGGGGACTTTGGAGCTTGACCTGAAAAAGACCATGATGACTAAGCTCTGATTTTTTTTTTTTTATCTTGTCCAAATTCCTATCTAAGAAGTCTGGGGAGTCATGGCCTACAAACAATAAATTCTCATCAGATGGGTTTGTTTAACAATATATTGTGACTTATTTTCCAACCTGATTCTGGCATAACATTATGAGACAAGGAAGAAAATTAAAATATTTCACCCCAAAACATGTTTATTTGCCATATCTCGAAATGGCCCTGCAAAGCTGTCCTTTGTGGGGGAAAATTTGGATCTGTAAAGAATCTCTATTAACATAGCTAGATCTTTTTCTTCCAGGCCCTCCCAATCCTAAAGACATTACTTAAGGGTCTAGAACCTTTTAAAGATCTAGATAGGAAACATTTGTCATATATTGCCTCCAAGGGCAGCCACTATAAGACTTTGAAGGAACCTTGGTCTCCACAATCTTTCATCTTAACCTGAACATTCCCTTTCTATCAGTTCCAGGTCTTTAGATAATCTCAACCAATTGTCAACCAGAAAATGTTTAAATTTACCTATAGCCTGGAAGACACCCACCTCCCCGCCCACGCTTTGAGTTGTCCCACCTTTCTGGACCAATGTATTTCTTAAATGTATTTGATTGATGTCTCATGCCTCCCTAAAATGTGTAAAACCAAGCTGCTCCCCGACTACATTGGATACATATTCTCAGGACCTTATGAGGGCTGTGTCATGGGCCATGATCACTAATATTTGGCTCAGAATAAATCTCTTAAAATATTTTGCAAAGTTTTACTCTTTTCATCGACAACAATTAAACGGTTTTAAATCCTATAGTAAGACATTTGCCAACATTGCTTGATCATTTTTACTTCCACTCAATCATTAGGTCCCTTTAGGAATAGTCCCTTGAAGTCGGAGACCACATTTTAATTTTCTTTGTGTTGTTGGCAATTAACACAGAGCCGGCAACATGGAAATTACTTAATACATGTTTGTTGAAAGTTGAAAAGATTACAATTACAAGAACATTGTTGTCATTATTGCGAGAGAGGAAGGCTGATCCCCCATAGTTATACTATTCAGGTTGACCATACCAATTAATACCAATATCTAGAAATACTGGGTGTGGGAACAGGGTCACAACTTTTCTACAACATCTTTGGTGAATTCATTACAGCTGGCACATCTCTATGAATTGCTCAGCCTGCGTTTGGACAGAAAAAAAGTATTGCAAATAAATGCCACTATGAGAGAAATTGAGTCAATCTCACAATTTGGTTCATCTTGCCTTTTATGTGGTGGTAGCATAGCATTATTGCCTATCTATTTCTGTTCTTACTGTACAGGATGCTTCAGTAGCAAATGAATTTTGAAAACATCATGGCATTTTTTGGACAATTTTTTTCTCATGAAATAAGTCACTTTATACTCTATATTGATATTTTTTAAAAGACCAGTTTTATGGGTGGAAGCCAGTAGAAAAGTTTATTTTCTAAAGACAAACAACTTGATATATTTAAATAATGTACACAGTATAGATTTCTTGGCAAGTGATTCCTGATTTTAGCTCATATGCATAACCTACCTTTACTGTCACTGCAATTGCTAGCCAAATTTAATAGGAAATTAAGACAAAAAGAAAACTTGCTCCTTTGCAGTAACCGCATGATTCATTACAATAGTCCTTTTATAGCAGAATAAAAAACGGAGAGATGAAACTTCAACTATTTGATTGCTTTAAATATACAGCCAAGAATAAGCTTGTATGCATCAGTCTCTGGCTTTAGCATAATTTAGTTTTCTAAAGACCAAGATGTCTTTGAACTGAAGGGGACACCCTTTTTAAAACCAGCAAATGTGATACCTGTCAACAAGGATAAACATAGTATTAATGAGAGTGTATGTTAATACATTAAACTAGCAGGATATCAGCAGGATATCAGTTTTATTGCCAACTGATTTTTAGAGATGACCCACCATTTGAATTAGTGTTAGTGATAAATTATTTCCAAGTAGTATTAATCATACTCACTGAGAAATTAAAATGTCATAAAATGATAAAGTGTTAAAGAAACAGTACCTCACATCTAAACCTGAATATTCAACTTAATATGACTGGAGTGTCTTCTCAAAAACATTCACAAAAAAATACTATTTTAACATGGTTTGGAGTTATATAACTGATTTAACATTCTACTAATTCTTTTAGTAATGCCTTAATAAAACTAAAGAATTTCTATACGTGGAAAAATGGTATATACCATATTATGATCCCTGTTTGCAAAAAAAAGGACATAACTGAAATGACAGAAGATCCTTCTTATTTTCCCACTGATATAGTTTGGTAGATATTCTTTTTGTGGAATTGTGAGCTTTTAAAATTCTATGACTGCAAAGGTTCTGATTGAATAGGATCCGGAATTCTTTCTACAAATGAATTTATCTTTCTATACCTCGCTTTCAAGAGACTTCTGGATTATTGAAAGTTATTTAATAGGTTATAGGTATGCTCTTTCATAGCAAAAATGTGAGCTCTTTGGAAATAAGCAAAACCAGTAAAACGAAGTCCTTTAATTTCAAGGGTATTCTTTATACTTTTTTCAATTTTATTGCATTTTGGAATATTGGTACATTTTAAATTCAATGTTGTGCATATCTAGTATATAAAGACTCCAGTTTCAAATGTATAGCTGACTCAAAATTGAAAATAAATTCAAACTTAAAAAAAATAGGCAAACACCCTAAAATTTCACATAGCTCTCCTTCTAATTCAGAAACTCAAAAACGATCAGCATTCTAAAATGTTTTAAATGTATTACACATAATGAATGGAAAACATTCCAGTGAACCAAATTCCTATGATGAATTATGGAAGCAAAAGTAGGAAGAAAGGTAAATTATGCAGATTGTAAGTTTTGCCACAAAATAAAAAAAAAATATCAGTATTAAATGAAGCTTCTAATAAACTAGAAAGAATAGTAATTTTTATTACCATCCTTGTTTTCCTAAAATAAACTTGTTCACAAGAAATGATGACTTTTAAACAAATGAATCCCAACTAATAGGTCAAATGTTCTGATGATATTCAAATTATACTTGCTTTTTGTTCTTCTGACAGTTCTAGTCAGGATATAAATCCTTCCCAAAGTCTCATTTCTAGAACTAAGGAGTTTTCATTTTATTATCACATGGCTAAATAGCTTTTGCCATGATGTACCATTTAGATCAAAGAATTAATGACCACTGAGAAGAACTTTTTCTGAGGAATGTGAAATTTAATATTAAGAGTTTGGGGCTGTTGTTTCTATTACATATTCCTTCATGAAAATGTAGAATGTGCTAAACATTGATTTTTTTCAACCAAAACTTTTATTATGCTTTCTGTTTAAAAACTGATCATTACTTTTAAACATGTCTGGGTCCATCCATACTAGGAGAAAAATGCCCAAAATTTAACTTTATTTAACCTAATCATCCATTCTAGAAATGTCTCTTCTTTTCTCTATCAATCTTCTCTCATGTTTAATCTTTATCATCTGTCCTCCATTTTCTCACCACCGAAACTCTGCTGTATTCTTTGAATCTGGTTTAGCATCCCACAAGTCTACTGCAAACCATTATCTCTAATATCATCAGATTCAACAGACCTTTTTCTGCTCTCAATATCTAATCAGCAGTTGATAGTTTGAGGTAATTCATATTCTTTTCTTTGGCTTTCTTGAGGCTACTTTATCTTTGGGAGATTACCCCACTTTATATTTTGTGCAAAAATTGTTTCCTGTTTAAAATGTGTTGGAAACATAAACATTTTATAGGTCTATCAGGCCTTTCAGAAAAGAGTTTAGTAATTAAAT
This sequence comes from Homo sapiens, assembly GCF_000001405.40. Taxonomy (NCBI): domain Eukaryota; kingdom Metazoa; phylum Chordata; class Mammalia; order Primates; family Hominidae; genus Homo; species Homo sapiens. The sequence goes on from NC_000023.11 coordinate 127,214,634, forward strand.
TAGACTTTAGCAACAATAAAGTTTAATCCACTGTACTCTGAATGCTTGTACATCTTTTATTCTCTCTGATAAGAGTTGTACTCAAGATTTTGTCCTTCCCATCTGTATATCACCATCATCAAAGACCAAAAGTAGATAAAACCACAAAGATGGGGAAAACACAGAACAGAAAAACTGGAAACTCTAAAAAGCAGAGTGCCTCTCCACCTCCAAAGGAACGCAGTTCCTCACCAGCAACGGAACAAAGCTGGATGGAGAATGACTTTGACGAGGTGAGAGAAGAAGGCTTCAGATGATCAAATTACTCTGAGCTACGGGAGGACATTCAAACCAAAGGCAAAGAAGTTGAGAACTTTGAAAAAAATTTAGAAGAATGTATAACTAGAATAACCAATACAGAGAAGTGCTTAAAGGAGCTGATGGAGCTGAAAACCAAGGCTCGAGAACTACGTGAAGAAAGCAGAAGCCTCAGGAGCCGATGCGATCAACTGGAAGAAAGGGTATCAGCAATGGAAGATGAAATGAATGAAATGAAGCGAGAAGGGAAGTTTAGAGAAAAAAGAATAAAAAGAAATGAGCAAAGCCTCCAAGAAATATGGGACTATGTGAAAAGACCAAATCTACGTCTGATTGGTGTACCTCAAAATGATGGGGAGAATGGAACCAAGTTGGAAAACACTCTGCAGGATATTATCCAGGAGAACTTCCCCAATCTAGCAAGGCAGGCCAACATTCAGATTCAGGAAATACAGAGAACGCCATAAAGATACTCTTTGAGAAGAGCAACTCCAAGACACGTAATTGTCAGATTCACCAAAGTGGAAATGAACGAAAAAATGTTAAGGGCAGCCAGAGAGAAAGGGCGGGTTACCCTCAAAGGGAAGCCCATCAGACTAACAGTGGATCTCTTCGCAGAAACCCTACAAGCCAGAAGAGAGTGGGGGCCAATATTCAACATTCTTAAAGAAAAGAGTTTTCAACACAGAATTTCATATCCAGCCAAACTAAGCTTCATAAATGAAGGAGAAATAAAATACTTTACAGACAAGCAAATACTGAGAGATTTTGTCACCACCAGGCCTGCCCTAAAAGAGCTCCTGAAGGAAGCGCTAAACATGGAAAGGAACAACCAGTACCAGCCGCTGCAAAACCATGCCAAAATGTAAAGACCATGGGGACTAGGAAGAAACTGCATCAACTAACGAGCAAAATAACCAGCTAACATCATAATGACAGGATCACATTCACACATAACAATATTAACTTTAAATGTAAATGGACTAAATGCTCCAATTAAAAGACCCAGACTGGCAAATTGGATAAAGAGTCAAGACCCATCAGTGTGCTGTACTCAGGAAACCCATCTCACGTGCAGAGACACACATAGACTCAAAATAAAAGGATGGAGGAAGATCTATGAAGCAAATGAAAAACAAAAAAAGGCAGGGGTTGCAATCCTAGTCTCTGATAAAACAGACTTTAAACCAACAAAGATCAAAAGAGACAAAGAAGGCCATTACATAATGGTAAAGGGATCAATTCAACAAGAAGAGCTAACTATCCTAAATATATATGCACCCAATACAGGAGCACCCAGATTCATAAAGCAAGTCCTGAGTGACCTACAAAGAAATTTAGACTCCCGCACATTAATAATGGGAGACTTTAACACCCCACTGTCAACATTAGACAGATCAACGAGACAGAAAGTCAACAAGGATACCCAGGAATTGAACTCAGCTCTGCACCAAGCAGACCTAATAGACATCTACAGAACTCTCCACCCCATATCAACAGAATATACATTTTTTTCAGCACCACACCACACCTATTCCAAAATTGACCACATAGTTGGAAGTAAAGCTCTCCTCAGCAAATGTAAAAGAACAGAAATTATAACAAACTATCTCTCAGACCACAGTGCAATCAAACTAGAACTCAGAATTAAGGATCTCACTCAAAACCTCTCAACTACATGGAAACTGAACAACCTGCTCCTGAATGACTACTGGGTACATAACGAAATGAAGGCAGAAATAAAGATGTTCTTTGAAACCAATGAGAACAAAGACACAACATACCAGAATCTCTGGGATGCATTCAAAGCAGTGTGTAGAGGGAAATTTATAGCACTAAATGCCCACAAGAGAAAGCAGGAAATATCCAAAATTGACACCCTAACATACAATTAAAAGAACTAGAAAAGCAAGAGGAAACACATTCAAAAGCTAGCAGAAGGCAAGAAATAACTAAAATCAGAGCAGAACTGAAGGAAACAGACACAAAAAACCCTTCAAAAAATTAATGAATCCAGGAGCTGGTTTTTTGAAAGGATAAACAAAACAGATAGACCGCTACCAAGACTAATAAAGAAGAAAACAGAGAAGAATCAAATAGATGCAATAAAAAATGATAAAGGGGATATCACCACTGATCCCACAGAAATACAAACTACCATCAGAGAATATTACAAACACCTCTACGCAAATAAACTACAAAATCTAGAAGAAATGGATAAATTCCTCGACACATACACTCTCCCAAGACTAAACCAGGAAGAGGTTGAATCTCTGAATAGACCAATAACAGGATCTGAAATTGTGGCAATAATCAACAGCTTACCAACCAAAAAGAGTCCAGGACCAGATGGATTCACAGCCAAATTCTACCAGAGGTACAAGGAGGAACTGGTACCATTCCTTCTGAAACTATTCCAATCAATAGAAAAAGAGGGAATCCTCCCTAACTCATTTTATGAGGCCAGCATCATTCTGATAACAAAGCCGGGCAGAGACACAACCAAAAAAGAGAATTTTAGACCAATATCCTTGATGAACATTGATGCAAAACTCCTCAATAAAATACTGGCAAACTGACTCCAGCAGCACATCAAAAAGATTATCCACCATGATCAAGTGGGCTTCATCCCTAGGATGCAAGGCTGGTTCAACATACGCAAATCAATAAATGTAATCCAGCATATAAACAGAGCCAAAGACAAAAACCACATGATTATCTCAATAGATGCAGAAAAGGCCTTTGACAAAATTCAACAACGCTTCATGCTAAAAACTCTCAATAAATTAGGTATTGATAGGATGTATCTCAAAATAATAAGAGCTATCTATGACAAACCCACAGCCAATATCATACTGAATGGGCAAAAACTGGAAGCATTCCCTTTGAAAACTGGCACAAGACAGGGATGCCCTCTCTCACCACTCCTATTCAACATAGTGTTGGAAGTTCTGGCCAGGGGAATCAGGCAGGAGAAGGAAATAAAGGGTATTCAATTAGGAAAAGATGAAGTCAAATTGTCCCTGTTTGCAGACGACATGATTGTATATCCAGAAAACCCCATTGTCTCAGCCCAAAATCTCCTTAAGCTGATAAGCAACTTCAGCAAATTCTCAGGATACAAAATCAATGTGCAAAACTCACAAGCATTCTTATACACCAACAACAGACAAACAGAGAGCCAAACCATGAGTGAACTCCCATTCACAATTGCTTCAAAGAGAACAACATACCTAGGAATCCAACCTACAAGGGATGTGAAGGACCTCTTCAAGGAGAACTACAAACCACTGCTCAAGGAAATAAAAGAGAATACAAACAAATGGAAGAACATTCCATGCTCATGGATAGGAAGAATCAATATCGTGAAAATGGCCATACTGCCCAAGGTAATTTACAGATTCAATGCCATCCCCATCAAGCTACCAATGATTTTCTTCAGAGAATTGGAAAAAACTACTTTAAAGTTCATATGGAACCAAAAAAGAGCCCACATCGCCAAGTCAATCCTAAGCCAAAAGAACAAAGCTGGAGGCATCACACTACCTGACTTCAAAACTATACTACAAGGCTACAGTAACCAAAACAGCATGGTATTGGCACCAAAACAGAGATATAGATCAATGGAACAGAACAGAGCCCTCAGAAATAACGCCACATATCTACAACTATCTGATCTTTGACAAACCTGACAAAAACAAGCATTGGGGAAAGATTCCCTATTTAATAAATGGTGCTGGGAAAACTGGCTAGCCATATGTAGAAAGCTGAAACTGGATCCCTTCCTTACACCTTATACAAAAATCAATTCAAGATGGATTAAAGACTTAAATGTTAGACCTAAAACCATAAAAACTCTAGAAGAAAACCTAGGCAATACCATTCAGGACATAGGTATGGGCAAGGACTTCATGTCTAAAACACCAAAAGCAATGGCAACAAAAGCCAAAATTGACAAATGGGATCTAATTAAACTCAAGAGCTTCTGCACAGCAAAAGAAACTACCATCAGAGTGAACAGGCAACCTACAAAATGGGAGAAAATTTTTGCAACATACTCATCTGACAAAGGGCTAATATCCAGAATCTACAATGAACTCAAACAAATTTACAAGAAAAAAACAAACAACCCCATCAAAAAGTGGGTGAAGGATATGAACAGACACTTCTCAAAAGAAGACATTTATGCAGCCAGGAAACACATGAAAAAATGCTCATCATCACTGGCCATTAGAGAAATGCAAATCAAAACTACAATGACATACCATCTCACACCAGTTAGAATGGCAATCATTAAAAAGTCAGGAAACAACAGGTGCTGGAGAGGATGTGGAGAAATAGGAACACTTTTACACTGTTGGTGGGACTGTAAACTAGTTCAACCATTGTGGAAGTCAGTGTGGCGATTCCTCAGGGATCTAGAACTAGAAATACCATTTGACCCAGCCATCCCATTACTGGGTATATACCCAAAGGACTATAAATCATGCTGCTATAAAAACACATGCACACGTATGTTTATTGCGGCATTATTCACAATAGCAAAGACTTGGAACCAACCCAAATGTCCAACAATGATAGACTGGATTAAGAAAATGTGGCACATATATAACATGGAATACTCTGCAGCCATAAAAAATGATGAGTTCATGTCCTTTGTAGGGACATGGATGAAATTGGAAATCATCATTCTCAGTAAACTATCGCAAGAACAAAAATCCAAACACCGCATGTTCTCACTCATAGGTGGGAATTGAACAATGAGAACACATGGACACAGGAAAGGGAACATCACACTCTGGGGACTGTTGTGGGGTGGGGGGAGGGGGGAGGGATAGCATTGGGAGATATACCTAATGCTAGATGACGAGTTAGTGGGTGCAGCGCACCAGCATGGCACGTGTATACATATGTAACTAACCTGCACATTGTGCTCATGTACCCTAAAACTTAAAGTATAATCCTTTAAAACAGAGAAGAAAAGAGAAGTATGTGCCATCCATTGGACTACATGTTTCCTTTTTTAAACCTTTTTAGGTACAGGGGTACATATGCTGGTTGGTTCTGTAGATAAATTGTATGTTGCAGGGGTTCAGTGTACATATTATTTCATCACTCAAGTGATAAGCATGTATGTGATAGGCAGTTTTTTGATCCTTACCTTCCTCCAACTTTCCACCCTCAAGTAGGGCCTGGTACCTATTGTTCCCTTCTTTGTGTCCATGTGTCCTCAATGATAAGCTCCCACATATAAGTGAGAACACATAGTGTTTGATTTTGTCTTCTTGCATTAGTTCCCTTAGGATACTGGCCTCTACATCTATCCACATTCCTGCAATGGACATGATTTGTTCTTTTTTATGTCTGTGAAGCATTCCATGGTGTATATTTACCACATTTTTGATATCAAATCTACCATTAATGGGCCTTTAGTTTGATTCCATGTCTTTGCTATTTTGAATAGTGCTTTGACGAACATACATGTGCATGTGTCTTTCTGGTAAAATTATTTATATTCCTTTGTGTATATACCCAGTAACAGAATTGCTTGGTTGGATAGCAGTTCTGTTTGAAGTTCTTTGAGAAGTTGTCAAATTGCTTTCCACAGTGGCTGAACTAATTTAAATTCCCACTAGCAGTGTACAAGCCTTCCATTTTCTCTACAGCATCACCAGTTTCTGTTATTTTTTGACTTTTTAATAATGGCCATTCTGACTGGTGTGAAGAGCTATCACATTGTGTTTTGATTTGCATTTCTCTAATAATTAGCTATGTTGAGCATTTTTTCATATGCTTGTTGGCCATACGTATGTCCTCTTCTGAAAAGTATCTGTTAATATCTTTGTCCACTTTTCAATTAGATTGTTTTTTGCTTATTAATTTAAGTTCTTTATAGATTTTGGATATTAGGACTTTGTCATATGCATAGTTTGCAAATATTTTCTCCCATTCTTTGGGTTGTCTGTTTACATTTACTCTGTTGATAGTTTCCTATGCTGTGTGGAAGCTCTTTAGTTTCATTAGCTCCCATTTGTCAATTTTTGTTTTTGTTGCAATTGCTTTTGGCATCCTTCTCAAAAATCTTTGCCAGGGCCTATGTCTAGTGTGGTATTTTCTAGGTGATTTGGTTTGGCTGTGTTCCCCCTCAAATCTCACCTTGAATTGTAATAATCTCCACCTGTCAAGGGTGGCACCAGGTGGAGATAATTGAATAATGGGGGCAGTTTCCTCCATACTGTTCTCTTGGTAGTGAATAAGTCACACAAGATCTGATAATTTTACAAATGGGAGTTCTTGTGCACAAGTTCTTGCCTGCTGCCATGTAAGACATGAATTTGCTCCTCATTCACCTTCCGCCATGATTGTGAGGCCTCCCCAGCCATATGGAACTATGAGTAAAGTAACAGTCTTTTTTTTTTCTTAATAAATTACCCAGTCTTAGGTAAGTCTTTATTAGCAGTGTAAGAACAGACTAATACATTAAATTGGTACTTGGAGTGGGGTGCTGCTGTAAAGATAACTGAAAATGTGTAAGCAAATTTGAAACTGGGTAAAAGGCAGAGGGTGGAACAGTTTGGAAGGCTCAGAGACAGGAAAATTTGGATAAGTTTGGAACTTCCCAGAGACTTGTTGAATGGCTTTGACCAAAATGCTGATAGTAACATGGACAATAAAACCCAGGCTGAGATGGTCTCAGATAGAGATGAGGAACTTATTGGGAACTGGAGTAAAGGTCACTCTCACTATGCAAAGGGACTGGTGGCATTTTTTCTCCTGCCCTAGAGATCTGTGGAACTTTGAACTTGAGAGAGATGATATGGGGTATGTGGTGGAAAAAAATTCTAAGCACAAAGACTTCGAGAAGTTACAGAGCATAAAAATGTGGAAAATGTGCAGGCTGACAATGTAGTAGAAAAGAAAAACCCATGTTCTGGAGAGAGAGATTCAAGCCTGCTGCAGAAATTTGCATAAGTAATGAGGAGCTGAATGCTAATTACCAAGACAATGGGAAATGTGTCTCCAGGGCATGTCAGAGACCTTCATGGCAGCCCCTCCCATCACAGGCCCAGAGGCCTAGGAGGAAAAAATGGTTTCCTAGGCTGGGTCCAGAGCACCCGTGCTGTGTGCAGCCTAGGAACTTGCTGCCCTGCATTGCAGCTGCTCCAGCCATGGCTAAAGGTGGCCAAGGTACAGCTCAGCCCCAAACCTTGGCAGCTTCCACATGGTGTTGAGCCTGCAGGTGCACAAAAGTCAAGAATTGAGGTTTGGGAACTTCCCTCTAGATTCCAGAGAATGTACGGAAATGCCTTGATGTCTAGGCAGAAGTGTGCTGCAGGGGTGGGGCCATCATGGAGAACTTCTTCTATGGCAGTGCAGAAGGAAAATGTGGGGTTGGCGACCCCACACAGAGGCCACACTGCAGCACTGCCTAGTGGAGCAGTGAGAAGAGGGTCACCATCCTCCAGATCCCAGAATAGTAGATCCATCGACAGCTTGTACCATGCACCTGAAAAAGCCAAACACACTCAACACCAGCCCATGAAAGCAGCTGGGAGCAGGGGCTGTACCTTGCAAAGCCACAGGGGCAGAGCTTCCCAAGGCAGTGGGAGCCCACCTCTTGCATCAATGTGACCTGAATGTGAGATATGGAGTCAAGGAAAATCATTTTGGAGTGTAAAGATTTAATAACTGCCCTGCTGAATTTTGGACTCAAATGGGGCCTTTTGCTGCTTTGTTTTGGCCAATTTCTCCCTTTGTAATGGGGGTATTTACCCAATGGTTCTGCATCTCCCCCCCCCCCGCCATTGTATCTAGGAAGTAACTAGCTTGCTTTTGATTTTACAGGCTCGTAATTGGAAGGCACTTGCCTTGTCTCAAATAAGACTTTAGATGTGGACTTTTGAATTAATGCTGAAATGACTTAAGACCTTGCAGGACTGTTGGGAAAGAATAATTGATTTTGAAATGTGACTGCATGAGATTTGGGAGGGGCCAAAGGTGGAATGACATGGTTTGCCTCTGTTCTCATCCAAATCTTACCTTGAATTGTAATAATCTCCATGTTTCAAGGGTGTGGCCAGGTGGAGACAATTGAATTATGGGGGCAGTTTCACCTATATTATTCTCATGGTAGTGAATAAGTCTCATGAGATCTGATAATTTTATACATGGGAATTCCTGTACACAAGCTCTTGCCTGCTGTTATGCAAGACATAAATTTGCTACTCATTCACCTTCCACCATGATTGTGAGGTCTCCCCAGCCATATGGAACTGTGAGTCAATTAAACCTCTTTCATTTATAAATCACCCAGTCTTGGGTATATCTTTATTAGCAATGTCAGAATACACTAATATACTAGATTTTCTTCAAGAGTTTTTATAGGTTTCACATTTAAGTCTTTAATCCATCTTGAGTTGATTTTTGTATATGGTGTAATGAAGGGGTCCAGTTTAAATCTTCTGCATATGGCTAGCCAGTTATCCCAGCACCATTAATTGAATAATGAGTCCTTTTCCCATTGTTTGCTTTTGTTAATTTTGTTGAAGACCAGATAGTTGTGGGTGTGTGGCTTTATTCCAGGGCTCTTTTTCTTTTTCCATTTGTCTATGTGTCTATTTTTTGTACTACTCCTGTACTGTTTGGGTTACTGTAGCCTTGCTGTATAGTTTGAAGTCAGGTAATGTACTGTCCCCAGCTTTATTCTTTTTCCCTAGGATAGCTTAGGCTGTTTGGGCTCTTTTTTGGCTACATATGAATTTTAGAATAGTTTTTTTCTAATTCTGTGAAGAATGTTATTGATAGTTTAATAGAAATAGCATTGAATCTATAAATTGCTTTGGACAGTATGGCCATTTTAACAATATCGATTCAACCTATTGATGAGAATGGAATGTTTGTGTCATCTCTGCTTTCTTTTCACAGTGTCATGTAATTCTCATTGTAGAGCTCTTTCACCTCTTTGGTTAGCTGTATTCCATTTCTGTAAAGGCCACTGCCTGGCCTGGCTTTTCTACCATTGTCTCCACAGAATCTAGCAGAGTACCTGGTGTACACTCAATAAATGTTTACTGAAATAAAAAATCTGTTATATAAAATTATATTACATTGGTTAGGGAATTAGCTATCTCCTCAAATCAGAGTGCCAATGGAATTTTGTAATAACTTGGAAGTTTTATGATATAACAAATAGTTTACGATATTAAATCAAGCTGTTCTAAAACAGGTTGCTATGGTATTCCTAAGAAAATCATATTTTACTTGAAATTATGCCTACTTTATGTAGTAGCAAGAATGTATTTTAGTAGGAAATACTTTGTTCATTTTCAAGAATGTAGTCAACTTTCTGGTATAAAAATCAAGATATTTGGGTTTCAAACTGAAATAGAAACATACCTATCTTTAATAGCCTTCTCTTCTAGCTAAAAAGAAAATACCATCTGAAGTATTTCAACTAAAAAATCAAAAATGAAAGACCCTCCAACATTACTGGAAGCCAGAGAGAACTATAACCATCCTTTTGATTACTCAAATTGGGTAGATAAACAGCCCTTGGCTAAAACAGAATTAAGCCTCTGACAACTACAAGAACTTAGAAAGGACTTTGATGTCAAGATGGTTTGATGTTGTAAGCTGACATAGCTGAGACACACGCCAAGCTAGTTATTTACAGTGAGTTTGAATGAAGAGTTCTAAATAAAATCTAGAAAAATGAAAGACTAGGATCTAGATCAAGATACATTTAATAATAGAAACATCAGCAAAAATTTATAAAATAGTAGAAATTTCCATAATGCTTTATAGAAATGTATCTACTGATTATTGTTCAATTTCTAATGTTTTAATAGCATATTCAATATTTTTTCACAAATATGGGAAAACTAACTTATTTCAATCTTATGCCAGACAGCAGTATCTTTAGCCTACTCTTCAGCTTACCTTACAGTGACTGAGGCACCTCTGTAATCTGCTGGGGTAATACTGTGATCAAAGGTTCATTTATTTTAAGAGTACATAGACATCTTGAAAGTTTATTCTAAATACTGAAATATATAAACTATCAACAGCAAACATCTTAGATTTGTACTTAGTTATTAAGTCGTCTCAATTCTTCCTTCAAATTTTGAGTATGATAGGAGATTTGTCAAAAGTCAGGGCCACCTCTGCTCAGAGTCCCTTTCATTGGTCACCAATTTGTAAACCAAAACCTATCTGAGACAAGTCTCAATTTAAAAAGTTTATTCTAACAAGTTTAAGGGCATGCCAATGACACAGCCTCAGGAGGTCCTGACGACAGGTGCCCAAGGTGGTTGAGGCACAGCTTGGTTTTACACATTTTAGGGATACATGAGACATCCATTAATATATAATATGTAAGATGTATATTGATTCTGTCCAGAAATGTGGGACAACTCAACAGTTAGGGGGCTTCCATATCATAGGTAGAAAAGAGAAAAGGATTGCATTCCTTTGAGTTTCTGATTAGCCTTTCACTGAACACACAATTTAGAGGAATAGTCACTTATGCCTTAGGCTGACTTAGTAAAACAATAGGGCAAAGGAAGCCATCAGATATGTATTTGTCTCAAGTGAGCCAAAAAATGATTTTAAACTCTGTATGTCCTTTGTCCATAAGGAATTTCCTTGTGGGCAAATTGTGAGGGAGGTGTGTAGCTTTTTATTTTATTTTTTTAATCTTAGTAGTTATCTTATTTTTTTTCTTTATTATTATTATTATACTTTAAGTTTTAGGGTATATGTGCACAATGTGCAGGTTAGTTACATATGTATACACGTGCCATGCTGGTGCGCTGCACCCACTAACTCGTCATCTAGCATTAGGTATATCTCCCAATGCTATCCCTCCCCCCTCCCCCCACCCCACAACAGTCCCCAGAGTGTGATGTTCCCCTTCCTGTGTCCATGAGTTCTCATTGTTCAATTCCCACCTATGAGTGAGAACATGCGGTGTTTGGTTTTTTGTTCTTGCGATAGTTTACTGAGAATGATGATTTCCAATTTCATCCATGTCATATAAACAGAACCAAAGACAAAAACCACATGATTATCTCAATAGATGCAGAAAAGGCCTTTGACAAAATTCAACAACTCTTCATGCTAAAAACTCTCAATAAATTAGGTATTGATGGGATGTATCTCAAAATAATAAGAGCTATTTATGACAAACCCACAGCCAATATCATACTGAATGGGCAAAAACTGGAAGCATTCCCTTTGAAAACTGGCACAAGACAGGGATGCCCTCTCTCACCACTCCTATTCAACATAGTGTTGAAAGTTCTGGCCAGTGCAATCAGGCAGGAGAAGGAAATAAAGGGTATTCAATTAGGAAAAGAGGAAGTCAAATTGTCCCTGTTTGCAGACGACATGATTGTATATCTAGAAAACCCCATTGTCTCAGCCCAAAATCTCCTTAAGCTGATAAACAACTTCAGCAAAGTCTCAGGATACAAAATCAATGTACAAAAATCACAAGCATTCTTATACACCAACAGACAGAGAGCCAAATCATGAGTGAACTCCCATTCACAATTGCTTCAAAGAGAATAAAATACCTAGGAATCCAACTTACAAGGGATGTGAAGGACCTCTTCAAGGAGAAATACAAACCACTGCTCAAGGAAATAAAAGGGGATACAAACAAATGGAAGAACATTCCATGCTCATGGGTAGGAAGAATCAATATTGTGAAAATGGCCATACTGCCCAAGGTAATTTACAGATTCAATGCCATCCCCATCAAGCTACCAATGACTTTCTTCACAGAATTGGAAAAAACTACTTTAAAGTTCATATGGAACCAAAAAAAGAGCCCGCATCACCAAGTCAATCCTAAGCAAAAAGAAGAAAGCTGGAGGCATCACACTACCTGACTTCAAACTATACTACAAGGCTACAGTAACCAAAACAGCATGGTCCTGGTACCAAAACAGAGATATAGATCAATGGAACAGAACAGAGCCCTCAGAAATTACGCCACATATCTACAACTATCTGATCTTTGACAAACCTGACAAAAACAAACAATGGGGAAAGGATTCCCTATTTAATAAATGGTGCTGGGAAAACTGGCTAGCCATATGTAGAAAGCTGAAACTGGATCCCTTCCTTACACCTTATACAAAAATCAATTCAAGATGGAGTAGTTATCTTATTTAGGAATAGAATGGAGGCAGGTTTGCCCTGTGCAGTTCCTGGTTTGACTTTTCCCTTTGACTTCGTGATTTTGGGGTCCTCTTTCACAACGCTTACAAGATACTTGATGTCCTTGCATTGAATCTCCATATACCACAGCCAGGAAATTGCTAGCAAGTTATTCCGTTCTATATTGTTTCCTATTACATTAAGTTTGCATTTCTCTGGCTGTGTTTCACGGTTTAAAATGTGCTCTATTATAATTCTACAGCCTTCATTTTCACTACAATGTGCTCCTAGTTCTTTTTGCATTGATGTGCTATGCGAATTCACCACTCAAGGACTTTGCTTCTGTATTGTTTGTGACATGGTATATAAGTGCAACCCTATTCTGCCTATGCAAATTCCACATTTCCATTGAAGTCCAGATTACATTCCATTCCCTGCTTGAAGGCATCTTCAGTCACTCTGGAGACAAAATATCTCTTTCTTCTCAGAATATGTGCAACACTTAGAATTCATACTATGCAGCTTAGTCCTGAGTTATATTCTATCTCACTTTGTAAGCTATTGTTTCAACCATTGTCTCCCTAATCAGATTTCAAACTTCTTAAGAATACGGAACTTGTATGACATATTCTCTGAATACCTTCTCCCCATATTTTGAAGATTATATAGACAACATAGTAAATATTAACAAATATAGAAAACATTAACAAGTTTCATAATAGAAAACTTGTTAATTGAATACTTACAGCATAAAAAGTAATTTTTGTGATTGTTCATTTAAAAACTATTTTTGCAAAGTTCAATATAATTTTCTTATTAAAAAGTGATTGTTGTAGGCTGTAACAAATATGTTTTGCTTGACCACAATAATGCTTTTACTACCTTCACTGGCAAAATTCTTCTGGAAATATAAAACCTTTTGTTGCAAGAAATCCATTATATGTTCATCTTGAAAAATGTGTAATATAATTTCATTATTACACATTGTTCCCTCTCTAGTCTTTGTTCCCAGTGCAACTCATCCCAAATCCTCCTTCTTTCCCTCCTGCCTGTCCTCTCAGTCCCAACCCCAAGCGTAGCTGAGTCTTTCTAATCTTCCTTTTCTACAGACCCATCTGACCTCTCCCCTCCTCCCCATGCTGCTCCTTACCAGGCCAAGCCAGGTCCCAATTCTTCCTCAGTCTCCACTCCCCCACCCTATAATCCTTTTATCACCTCCCCTCCTCACACCTGTTCCGGCTTACAGTTTCATTCTGCGACTAGCCCTCCCCCACCTTCCCAGCAATTTCCTCTTAAAAAGGTGGCTGGAGCTAAAGGCATAGTCAAAGTTAATGCTCTTTTTTCTTTACCTGACCTCTCCCAAAATCAGTTAGCGTTTAGGCTCTTTTTCATCGAATCTAAAAACCCAGCCCAGTTCATGGCTTGTTTGGCAGCAACCCTGAGACGCTTTACAGCCCTAGACCCTGAAAGGTCAGAAGGCCGTCTTATTCTCAACATGCATTTTATTTTATTACCTAATCTGCTCCCGACATTAAATAAAGCTCCAAAAAATTAAATTCCAGCCCTCAAACCCCACAACAGGACTTAATTAACCTCGCCTTCAATGTGTACAATAATAGAGTACAGGCAGCCAAGTAGCAACATATTTCTGAGTTGCAATTCCTTACCTCCACTGTGAGACAAACCCCAGTCACATCTCCAGCACACAAGAACTCCAAACGCCTAAACCGCAGCGGCCAGGCATTCCTCCAGGCCCGCCTCTCCCAGAAGCTTGCTACAAGTGCCAGAAATCTGGCCACCAGGCCAAGGAATGCCTGCAGCCCGGGACTGCTCCTAAGCCGTGTCCCATCTGTGTGGGACCCCTCTGGAAATCGGACTGTCCAACTCACCTGGTAGCCACTCTCAGAGACCCTGGAACTCTGGCCCAAGGCTCTCTGACTCCTTCCCAGATCTTCTTGGCTTAGCAGCTGAAGACTGATGCTGCCCAATCACCTTGGAAGCTTCCTGGACCATCACAGACGCTTTACGTAACTCTCACAGTGGAAGGTAAGTCCATCCCCTTCTTAATCAATATGCAGGCTACCCACTCTACATTACCTTCTTTTCAAGGGCCTGTTCCCTTTCCTCCATAACTGTTGTTGGTATTGATGACCAGGCTTAAACCTCTTAAAACTCCCCAACTCTGGTGACAACTTAGACAATATTCTTTTAAGCACTCCTTTTAGTTATCCCCACCTGCCCAGTTCCCTTATTAGGCCGAGATATTTTAACTAAATTATCTGCTTCCCTGACTATTCCTGGGCTACAGCCATGCCTCATTGCCGCCTTTTCCCCCAGTTCAAAGCCTCCTTCACATCCTCCCCTTGTATCTCCCCACCTTAGCCCACAAGTATAGAATACCTCTACTCCCTCCTTGGTGACTGATCATGCACCCCTTACCATCCCATTAAAACCTAATCACTCTTACCCCTCTCAATGCCAATATCCCATCCCACAGCTTGCTTTAAAAGGATTAAAACCTGTTATCACTCGCCTGCTACAGCATGGCCTTTTAAAGCCTATAAACTCTCCTTACAATTCCCCCATTTTACCTGTCCTAAAACCAGACAAGCCTTACAGGTTAGTTCAGGATCTGTGCCTTATCAATCAAATTGTTTTGCCTATCTACCCCGTGATGCCAAACCCATATACTCTCCTATCCTCAATACCTTCCTTCACAACCCATTATTCTGTTCTGGATCTCAAACATGCCTTCTTTACTATTCCTTTGCACCCTTCATCCCAGCCTCTCTTTGCTTTCACTTGGATTGACCCTGACACCCATTAGGCTCAGCAAATTACCTAGGCTGTACTGCCGCAAGGCTTCACAGACAGCTCCCATTACTTCAGTCAAGCTCAAATTTCTTCCTCATCTGTTACCTATCTGGGCATAATTCTCATAAAAATGCCCGTGCTCTCCCTGCCGATAATGTCTGACTGATCTCTCAAACTCCAACACCTTCTATAAAACAACAACTCCTTTCCTTCCTAGGCATAGTTGGATACTTTTGACTTTAGATACCTGGTTTTGCCATCCTAACAAAACCATTATATAAATTCACAAAAGGAAACCTAGCTGACCCCATAGATCCTAAATCCTTTCCCCACTCCTCTTTCTGTTCCTTGAAGACAGCTTTAGAGACTGCCCTCACCCTAGCTCTCCCTGACTCATTCCAACCCTTTTCATTATCCACAGCTGAAGTGCAGGGCTGTGCAGTCGGAATTCTTACACAAGGACCGGGACCGTGCCCTGTCGCCCTTTTATCCAAACAACTTGACCTTACTGTTTTGCCTAGCCCTCAAGTCTGCGTGTGGTAGCCTCCACCGCCCTAATACTTTTAGAGGCCCTTAAAATCACAAACTATCCTCAACTCACTCTCTACAGTTCTCATAACTTCCAAAATCTATTTTCTTCCTCACACCTGACACATACACTTTCTGCTCCCTGGCTCCTTCAGCTGTACTCACTCTTTGTTGAGTCTCCCACAATTACCATTGATCCTGGCCTGGACTTCAATCCGGCCTCCCACATTATTCCTGATATCACACCTGACCCCCATGACTGCATCTCTCTGAGCCACCTGACAGTCACTCCATTTCCCCATATTCTTCCGTGTTCCTCACCCTGAACACACTTGGTTTATTGATGGCAGTTCCACCAGGCCTAATCGCCATTCGCCAGCAAAGGCAGGCTATGCTATAATATCTTCCACATCTATCATTGAGACTACTGCTCTGCCCCCCTCCACTACCTCTCAGCAAGCCAAACTCATTGCCTTAAGTCAAGCCCTCACTCTTGTAAAAGGACTACACATCAATATTTATACTGACTCTAAATATGCCTTCCATATCCTGCACCACCATGCAAGAGGTTTCCTCACTACACAAGGGTCCTCTATCATTAATGCCTCTTTAATAAAAACACTTCTCAAAGCTGCTTTACTTCCAAAGGAAACTAGAGTCATTCACTGCAAAGGCCATCAAAAGGCATCAGATCCCATCACTCAGGACAATGCTTATGCTGATAAGATAGCTAAAAAAGCAGCTAGCGTTCCAACTTATATCCCTCACTTTCAGTTTTTCTCCTTCTCATCTGGCCACTCCCACCTACTCCCCGGCTGAAACTTCCACCTATCAATCTCTTCCCACACAAGGCAAATGGTTCTTAGACCAAGGAATATATCTCCTTCCAGCCTCAAAGGCCCATTCTATTCTGTCCTCATTTCATAACCTCTTCCATGTAGGTTACAAGCCACTAGCCCGTCTCTTAGAACCTCTCATTTCCTTTCCACCATGGAAATCTATCCTCAAGGAAATCAATTCTCAGTGTTCCATCTGCTATTCTACTACTCCTCAGGGATTATTCAGGCCCCCTCCCTTCCCTACACATCAAGCTCGGGGATTTGCCCCTGCCCAGGACTGGCAAATTGGCTTTATTCAACATGCCCCGAGTCAGGAAACTAAAATACCTCTTGGTCTAGGTAGACATTTTCACTGGATAGGTAGAGGCCTTTCCCACAGGGTCTAAGAAGGCCACCATGGTCATTTCTTCCCTTCTGTCAGGCATAATTCCTCGGTTTGGCCTTCCCAGCTCTATACAGTCCTATAACAGACCGGCCTTTACTAGTCAAATCACCCAAGCAGTTTCTCAGGCTCTTGGTATTCAGTGGAACCTTCATATCCCTTACCATCCTCAATCTTCAGGAAAGGCAGAATGGACTAATGGTCTTTTAAAGACACCTCACCACGCTCAGCCAACTTAAAAAGGACTGGACAGTACTTTTACCTCTTTCCCTTCTCATAATTCAGGCCTGTCCTTGGAATGCTACAAGGTACAGCCCATTTAAGCTCCTGTATAGATGCTCCTTTTTATTAGGCCCCAGCCTCATTCCAGACACCAGACCAATTTGGACTGCACCCCAAAAAACTTGTCATTCCTACTATCTTCTGTCTAGTCATACTCCTATTCACTGTTCTCAACTACTCATAAATGCCCTGCTCTTGTTTGCACTGCCAGTTTTCACTGTTTCTCCAAGCCATCACAGCTGATATCTCCTGGTGCTATCCCCAAACTGCCACTCTTAACTCCCTCTTAAAGTAAATAAATAATCTTTGCTGGCAGGGCTATGCTGAATCTCCTTAGGCACTCTAATTAGATATCCTAGGTCCTCCCAATTCTTAGTCCTTTAATACCTGTTTTTCTCCTTGTCTTATTCCGTTTAGTTTTTCAATTCATACAAAACCATATCCAGGCCATCACCAATCATTCTATACAAATGTTTCTTCTAACAACCCCACAATATCACCCCTTACCACAAAATCTTCCTTCAGCTTAATCTCTCCCACTCGGCTCCCATGCCGCCCCTAATCCCACTCAAAGCAGCCCTGAGAAACATTGGCCATTATCTCTCCATACCAACCCCCAAAGTTTTCGCCGCCCCAACACTTTACCACTATTTTGTTTTATTTTTCTTATTAATATAAGAAGACAGGAATGTCAGGCCTCTGAGCCCAAGCTAAGCCATCATATCCCCTGTGACCTGCACGTATACATCCAGATGGCCTGAAGTAACTGAAGAATGACAAAAGAAGTGAAAATGGCCTGTTCCTGCCTCAAGTGATGATATTACCTTGTGAAATTCCTTTTCCTGGCTCATCCTGGCTCAAAAGCTCCCCCACTGAGCACCTTGTGACCCCCACCCCTGCCCACTGAGAAAAACCCCCTTTGACTGTAATTTTCCTTTACCTACCCCAATCCTATAAAACGGCCCCACCCCATCTCCCTTAAATGACTCTCTTTTCGGACTCAGCCCGCCTGCCCCCAGGTGATTAAAAAGCTTTATTGCTCACACAAAGCCTGGAAGCAAGTGAAACAGAGAAAAGGGAACACTCATGCTGTTGATGGGAATGTAAATTAGTTTAACCTCTATTAAAAACAGTATGATGATTTCTCAAAGAACTAAAAATAGAAATGCCATTTGACCCAGCAATCCCACTACTATCTACCTAAAGTAAAAGAGCTCACTATATAAAAAAAGACATCTGCACTCATATGTTCATTGTGGTACTATTCACAGTAGCAAAGTCATGGAATCAACCTAAGTGTCCATCAATGTTTGATCAGATAAAGAAAATGTGGTATATGTACACTATGGAATACTACCCATCCATAAAAAGCATGAAGTCACGTCCTTTGCAGCAACATGGATGGATCTGGAGGCCATTATTCTAAGTGAATTCACTCAGAAACAGAAAATCAAATACCATATGTTCTCACTTATAAGTGGGAGCTAAACACTGTCTACACATGGACATAAAGATGAAAATAGTAGACACTGGGGACTGTAAAAATGGGGAAGATGAGAGGGGGGTGAGGATTGAAAAATTACCTATTAGGTGCACTGTTCACTATTTGGGTGATAGGTACATTAGAAGCCCAACCCCCATCATCACACAATATACCTATGTAACAAACCTGCACCATGTACTCCCTGAATGTAAAATAAAATAATAAAAGTAAAAGTAAACTATTTTTTGAATATCAAATATATGCCAGACAGTGTAATTGATGCTTTAGTGTTTAAAAACTAAAATAAGGCCAGATGTGGTGGCTCACTCCTGTTATTCTGGTGCTTTGAGAGGCAGAAACAGGAGGATCATTTGAGCCTAGGAGTTTGAGACCAACCCTGGTAACATGATGAAACCATGTCTCTACAAAAAATAAAAAAATTAGCTGGGGATGGTGGCACCTGCCTATGGTCCCAGATACTCAGGAGGCTGAGATGGAAGAATCACCTGAGCCCAGGAAGTTGAGGCTGAAGTGAGCCGTGATCACATCACTGCACTCCAGCCTGGGTGACAGAGTGACACCCTGTCTCAAAAAACAAACAAAACTAAAATAACACTATCATGTAGAAATTATTATTTCAGTTTTATAGACATTGAAACTGAGACTTAAAGAAGATAAATGACTTTTCCAAAGACACTTAAGTTATGGGTGACAAAAGTTGGATTTCAATTGGATGTGTCATTGCTGTTAGTGACACATACTTTATCACATAGGAAACTTATCTGCTACCATCTGGAATTCTGATGCAAATGGAATATTGTTCTGGGTAGATGCCTTAGACTCTCTCTGAAACACAGCCAACTTGATTCTATTTTATTTGGTTTTGAGATACTGAGCCTGAAATATGGAGTAATGGCAGTAAAAATAAAATAAAAAGTAGAGTCTCACTTAAGACAATGACTTGACCCATAGCTTCTTTATTAGATGTTTAGTGAATAAAAACATCCTACTCTGCTCTTGCAAGAAAAGTTGTAGTCTTGTGTTCTAGTCATAGGCAAGGTAAGTTAGAAAATTTGACTATGTATCAAAAATTAATAAGGAGGCCTTATTCAATATTATTATCTATTATATTTGTAATTTATTTGTTCTTTGCTACACTGTTTTAAGCTAGGAAAATATATTGATATAGGAATTCCCTAATATTTTGTTGAAAAGCTTGCTTACCTGGTAATGACATGAGAAACAGAGAAAGAATTCTTTGTAAAAGTAGCATAATATTTGGTAGATCACATACATAAAATTTAAAATACTATGACTGTTTTGCTTAAAGCAATCAAATAAGCAAAAATACTTGTTTGTAAACACAGCATTTTTTACATGTTAGATAGTATTCCTTTTGAGGACAGGAATTGTGATTTTTTAAATTCCTCTGTCTCCTAAAATACTAAGCTGAGCATGGTTACTTTCACATAATAAGCATGTAAAAGTTTCATTGTACTTAAACATGAGAAATAATATGATCACTTTTACAAGAAATCAATTGATGATGCTTCAATTACATTCTGTGGTCTTTCACTTCTCAAGTGAGTGCATGTCTCACCTCCAACCCCTTCTCCTGGGAGTTACAGTCTCTAGGAAAACAAAATTATCATGACCTTCACAACTCTTCCTTCTCATTTGAAATGTAATGGTAAATAAATAATGACAGTTTATAGCATTAATGAAAATTATGCAGTTTTTCAAGAAATAGACCAAATATATTTAAAAATGAAAAAATTCAGACATGAAGTAACATGCCAGGTGTATCTTTTATCTCCAGTAATTGGAAATGATGAAAAAAGAAACCCTGCTGCTATAATGACAAGAGTTGTTTTTCTGTGCTTCTAACAATGCTTTAGTCTCTAGAGTGCAGGGGCAGCATGTTTGAATAATATCTGTTGATTAATTAAACATACAATGAAATGGCCCTATATTCCCCTTGATGTTTTGCAAACCATTTACTGTTTATTTGTATTTTTTAACCAAAGAAGTGATGCTTTTTTATCTTTGTTATGTCAGTCAATGTGAATGACACCCTATGTCTAGAGGAACAGGCACTAAAATGTATTAGCTTAGAGTTAAGTAGAAAAGAAACTCTGAAAGTATTGTGCTGTAACAGTGTTAACCTCTGGCACATAATTGTTTGTAATATAATTTTGCTAAGACACTATGAGTCTAGAAGTGTAAAAGTATGCCTATGAGACAGACAAAAACAAAATTATGATTTCAACTTGACTTCAGCAATTGATCATAGTTCTTACAAATCTTTTGAATCTAGGCACATGAAAATAAAGGGTGTCAATTTCCCAAAAAGGCATAAGACAGTATTAACATTTCTCTATAACTGGAAAAATGCAAAAGCCTTCTAGTTGAAAGCATCTCAAAACTAATCCTTTGAAACCGAGCAGAAGTAAAGGATTTTTTTTCCTACGGCATTCTTGACATAAATCCTTAATTCCAGTGTTTTTCCGTCCTTTCCTAAGGCTTTCTATTGCTGTCCACTCTCTGCTTTCTTCCATTCTCAAGTTATTCTCCTAGTATACTCACTCTATTTTTGGATACACGCAGAGTTTCAGTGAGACACATGCATTGAACATGTCCCTACATTTTCCACTCACAAATTAAATCAATATACTTATCAATTAGAATATTTGTTTCACACACACATTATCCAACAAAAAAGTCACAGAATATTAAGACTCTGTGAAGATGTGAACTAAACACTGGGGATATAGAATGTAACACTGTTCATTGGCCCCAAGAAACTCAGTATAATGAGAGTTTGAGATGACTGAAAAACAGGAAGTTATAATACAATAACGTGTTATAATTGATCTTTTACAAAATGCCATGGGATAATGGAAGAGAGAATGACTTACTCAGAAGATTGGGAAAGCTCTCTGAGGAAATTTCGTATTTGAGGGAAGTCTCGAGGAATAAGTAGGCATTCAGGCATTCAATAAGTAATAAAAGAGATAAACTGGCATCCCTGGGAAGGGCATAGTGTTTATATAGCAACAGATTTATGGAAAACCCCGCAATTTGGGAGGAATAAGAAGTAGCTCAATCGAGAGCATATGGATTGAAAAAAAGAAGTTGAGGTTTGAGAGGTAGATTCAAATCAGCTCATAAATGTCTGTGGAATTTCACCAAAGAAGTTTGTACTTATCTGTAGACAATGAGAGATCATTTTATGGCACTATGTAAGGTGACCTGCTCAATTTGTGGTAAGGAGATTAGGTAGAGTTTTCATAAAATAAACTGACTCCTATGGAATGCTCTCATAACTCATATAGAAACCCTCATTCCTTACATCAAGGCCAAACATACATGTGTCCAGAAGATTCCAAAGATGTAAACTATATAATGAGAACCCCATGCACTGAAGCAAGCAAGATTAGTAGGTATTTGAGGCAAGATTTTTGATCTTCCAGTATTAGTATGAACAGTACACAGCAATTAGCCCCATTATTTATTGCATAGGGCCAACTCTCTAAAGGTTCCTGTTTTTGTTTGCTTATTTTTTCTGGTTGTTTTTAAGAGTAAAGAAGTATAGATTCTCTAGGTGAAAGGAGCATTGGAAATCATCTGGACCAATCTTCTGTCAATATATTACTTTCTTGTATATTTGTCTACCATGAGGAAATTAGGCCTCTGATTAAACAGATTCAGCAATGTACAGTAAATGTCTTCTGTGGAAAGTCAATCTATTGTTTGGCAATTCATATCACTGAAAATATTTCTTTTACTGAATCAATGTTTTTTCTGCCTTGTCTGTGACCTACTACTTCTAAATCTGCCACGTAGAGAAAAAAAAAAGAGTTTAATTCTGTCCTACATAACAATCCTTAAATACTTGAAGGCAACAATCATGTATCTCCTTCATTAGTACCCTACTGTGATGGTTAATTTTAAGTGTTAACTTGACTGGATTAAGAGATATCCAAATAGCTGGTGTAGCATTACCTTGGGATATGGCTGTTATAGTATTTCCAGAAGAGATTGACATTTGAATCAGTGGACTGAGTAAGCAATATCTGCCCTAACCCAATGTGGGTGGGCACCATCAATCTGCTGAGTGCCTGGATAGAACAAATGGGCAGTTCATTCTTTTTCTTCTGGAGTGGAGACACCCCTTTTCACCTGCGTTTGTACATCAGGACTCTAAATTCCCAGGTCTTTAGACTTTAAGACTCACACCAGCAGCCTCCCAGTTTCTCAAGCCTTCAACCTCAGACTGATAGTTATACCATTGGCTTCCAGGGTTCTCAGGCCTTTGGATTTGGACTGAGACAAGCTACTGGCTTCCGTCATTCGCCAGCTTGCAAAAAGCCTATCATGGGACTTCTTAGCCTCTATAATTGCATGAGCCAATTTTCCTAATAAATTTCTATCTATCTATCTATCTATCTGTCTGTCTGTCTGTCTGTCTGTCTGTCTGTCTATCTATGTAGCTATCTATCTGTCTACCTGTCTGTCTCTGGTTCTGTCTTCTGGAGAACCCTGACTAATACACTTACTATATTTAATCACATACACCCGACTACAATCTGTTAAAACTAATCAGTTGGATTTTTTTTGCTGGATTTTTTTAGGCTCAGGAGTCAAAGTGAGGAATACTTATTTACCTACACAGTGCAGCAATAAATTTGCATGAGCATATTCATTACTACTTTTAAATCCAGTGGTTCACCCTCCTTTCAGAAAAATCCTGGAAATTTGTGACATTTGGTATTCATTCGTTTCTTTGCTATCATCCTAGAGTAGATAATTAAGAAATAATTGTGTAAGATAAACCATCTTATGCACAATTCCAAAACCTAACACCAGCAGGGTGAAAGGAAAGCGTATTTTTCAGTTGTTCATGTTTGATGTCCCATGCAGAGCAGGATATCTGAATGATACACATATCTGCAGGGGTTTGATTATTATGCTGTATAAATTAACTTTCATTTAAAATTTATAAAAATAAGGCATGAGGTATTTTTTTCATGTGTTCGAAACAATTACATTAAACCACTTAAGCAATATGGCATCAAGTCATGTTTCTAAATATTTAAATTGGAAATCTACAGATGACAAAACTAGAAATTAGAATTAAACTCTTACAGAGGAAATGATCCAGATGGACCACTAAGCCATTAGGAAGCTATATAAGGATGAAAATGAGGAGAAATGCAATAGAACAACCCACTCCCATAATACAACAAGTTAAAATGCTAATAACAGTTCAGGCAACATTTAGCTGGTCAAACTCTCTTAAATCCATTGAAACTTCATATATGTGTGCTAAGATACAGAGAAAGACTCATGCTGATATGAATCATAGAAATAGAAAGATAAGGTCCAGTTGAAGCAAATGAAACTGTATTAAGAAGTCCAAAGCTCATTGATGCACAAATTGCATTTTAAGTGTTAGATAATATCAGACTATCATTTTGCCTTATTTCATCAACTCAACTCCTATTGATATAAATACTACCTACTTCATCAACCGTCTAAGAAGGAGGATGAAGAGCCTTGGCAGATTAGAAATATAAATTAAACAATGCCAAATCTATTGTTAACAGGATTATTTCTCTTTTCTCACACTAAAAATCTTGGCATATTATTTCTTTCAGACACTGGGGTTGATTTCTTTGAGTTATAGCAAAAATCAAACCACTATTAATCCCTTTTGCTGTAATGAGACACTAACAAATAGAGCTTAAAGGTGAGTTTAAGGCCAAACCTGTCAGCTACTGGTTCAGCTGTTCTTTGAAACAAGTTGATATCATTTACCTATGGCTCTGTCAATTAGATATAATCTTGCAGTTAAACTTGGTAATGAAGATTACACAAATAGTACTCTCCACACAACTCAGAGAACATTGTTTACGTGTGTTCTAACAACCTCCTTGAAGCAGGTGTGGAATAGAAACAGAGAAAGAGACATAGAGACACATAGGAGACACACTGATAAAACAAAGTAGAGCGCCAGAGAAATACTTCCCACCCAATGTTTTGCATATAGAAGGTGCTCAATAAACATTTGTTAAATTATTCAATTATACTAAATTAAGAAGCTTTAAAATAAAGTTTTAACAGAATTTTCAATTTTACATTCTACTGAGGGGTCAAGAAAATCAGAAACTGTCTGTGCCTCCATCCGTCACTACAAAATCCACTGTCCAAGTAGTTTGCCATGGAGACAGAATCCTAGCTATGTATGCCCTCAAAGCACCAACCTAATGGGAACTGGGCTGATTCACTACATGACTATTAAGCATAGCCGATGACATTAGAAAGTGCTGTTCAGGGGTATTTTCATTAAAATGGACAAAAATATATACTAAAATGCTTGCGGTAGGGGGAAGAAAATCTGCATTGCAGAAATGACTTAAATACCACAGTTCATAAATTATCTCTTTTATACTAGTTATTGATTCTTGTCAATGCAAATGACTACGGGTTTTATTGCAGACAAAAAATGCAAAAGAAAAGCTTGAATTTCTGTTTAAAAATCAAGGCCAGAATTTAAAATAATAATAAAATTATTTCAATTCTCTGTTATAGAATTTTTTTAAGAAAACCAGCTCATAGCTCATATTCAGGAAAAAGGCCTTTCAAACAATAACTTCTGAAAAGTTTCAGGTATTGTCTTATCTGTCCAAAATTGTGAAAGACAAAATATATTATAGTGCAAGAAACATCTTTCTTGAGATACTTTTGTCTTGTTTATTCCATTTTCTCACTCAAAATTTGGATAAAATGTATTCATTTATTCATTAAAAATAATTGAGCTTTTTAGCATCACTTATAAAGTATCGATGATAAAAAATGTTTAACTTAAATTTAATCAAACCTTTAGATCTAACTTTTAGTTAACAGGAAATAGAATAGAGGAGTAAGTAAAATGTACCACATAGAAAACGTCAAATCCAGAATGTGAGACTATCTATAGAACAAGATTTCTGGTTGTGTATCATAAAACCAATCATGAAAGAAGTCCAATATCATGAAAAAACTGGGGAATCTATTTTAGATTATGATATTAAGAAGATATAACAACCAAATACAATCTGTGAATAGTGGTTGGATTCGTTTGTTTGTTTGTTTGTTTGTTTTTAGAGCCAGAGTCCCTCTGAATCACCCAGGCTGGAGTGGAGTGGCATGCTCGTGGCTCATTGCAGCCTCAAACTCCTGAGCTCAAGCCATGCTCCTGCCTCAGTCCCCAGAGTACTTTGAGCTACAGGCACACATCGCCATGCCCAGCTAGTTGTTTTCTTTGTAGAGACAGTGTCCCACTGTGTATTCCAGGCTGGTCTCAAAACCCCTGATCTCAAGTGATCCTCCATCCTTGCCCTCCTAAAACATTGGGATTACAGGGGTAAGCCACCACACTTGGTCTCTTTGTTGTTTAATTAAAAAAAAATAAGACCAATTTTAAGGCCAACTGGGGAGTATTTAGATATAGACTGGATAATATATAATATTAGAGAATTAGTGTTAATTTTCTTAGAAGAAATAATAAAACTCAAGCTTTTAAGGACATGAATGTAAAGTAATTAGGGGAGAACTATTAAGATGTAGGTAGCTCATATTCAAATGGTTCAGTAAGGTACATAAACACAGATGGAAAGAAAGCAACTGTAGCAAAATATTTACGATTGGTCAATTTAAATAATGTTTGTGCTCATTGTACTATTTTCTGCTTAAACATTGCCATAATAATAAAAATATAAAAAATAATAGTTTAATTAGGAAAATCATATATGGATATATACACACAAATATGCATATATACACATGCATATATGCATACATTTTGTATGTGTACTTTGTGCCACATGCTGTTCTAGATACTGGGAATAACAATAAGGACAAGACATTTACTGTCCCTGTCATCAAGTGTGTCCAATGAGAATCAGTGTCAAAGGCCCAGAAACAAATAAAAATTGCTTTAAATAAATTTATTTAAATAATTTGTACACCATAAAATTTACAAGTTGTAAAAGTAAAGCTAGGTATGTTTTGGTAAATTTACAGAGTTTTACATTTATCACTTCAATTCAATATTAGACCATTTCCATCACACTGATAAAACCCCTCATGTCCAACTGCAATTAATCTCTGATTCCACCTCCAGCCCCAGGCAACACTAATTTACTTTCTGTCTCTATAGAATTTCTGGACATTTTAAACAAAAGAAATTATACAGTATATGAACATTTGTATCTGGCTTCTTATCATGTTTTTGAGACTTATTCATGTAATGGCATGCATTAATACTTCATTTCTTTTTTGGCTAAATAATAGTTCATTGTGTAAATATACCACATTTTGTTTATCCATTCACCAGTTTATGGACATCTGGATTGTCTCAACTTTGGGACTCTTGTGAATAGTGTTGCTATTGACATTCATGTACATTTCTTTGTATAGAGATGTTTTCATTTTTCTAGGTTAAGTAGGAATGGAATTGTTCCATGTAATACTATTTAATTTTACTTGTCATCACCGAATGGGCTCATGAACAAAGTGGCCATGGTGTCAGAGATGGAGGCTGTATATTAGTTCAGCAACATGGACTCCCATTCAACAAGGCTGACCTGGCTACTGCTACTACTCAGTGTCTAATTTGCCATTAGAAGAAACCAACATTTGTTCTCATTATGACACCATACTCCAGGGATATCAGCCAGCTACCTGGTGGCATGTTGATGACATTAGACTACTTCCATCATGGAAGTGGCAGTGTTTTGTTCTTGGTAGAAGAGACACTTACTCTGGGTATGGATTTGCCTTCCCTGAAAGGAATGCTTCTGCCAAAATTACCATCCATGGACTTATATAAGATATCTTTTATCATGGTATTCCACACAACATTGCTTCTGAGCAAAAGAAGTGTGGCTGTGGGCTGTGGGCTCATGGAATTCACTGGTCTTACATTGTTCCTCACCATCATGAAGGGGCTGGTTTGATAGAATGGTAGAATACCTTTTGAATATGCATTTACAGAACCAGCTAGGCTGCAACATCTTGCAGGACTGGAGCAGGTTGTCCAGGAGGCTGTGTATGTTCTGAATCAGTATCTAATGTATGGCACCCCTTCTCTCATAGCCAGAATTCAGGGGTCCATGAATCAAAAAGGAAACCAAGGAGTAAAAATCAGGAAGCACCACACATTATTACACTCAGTGACCCACTAGGAAAGTTTTTGTTTCTTATTCCCATGACCTTATACTCTGTTGGCCCAGAGGTCTTAGCTCCAAAAGGAGGAATGATTTTACCAGGAGATACAGCAATAATTTCATTGAACTGGAAGTATAAATTGTCACCTGGACAACGTGGGCTCCTCATGCCTCTGATTCAAAAGGCAAAGGAGTTACTATACTAGCTAGGGTTATTGGGCCTGACAACCAAAGGGGAAATCGGACCACTATTCCATAACGTAGGTAAGAAACAGTATGTCTGTAATACAGGAGATCCTTGGGTTGTCTCTTAATTTTATCATGACCTGTGATTAAAGTAAATAAAAACTGCAACAACCCAATCCAGTCAGTACTACTAATGGCCCAGAGTCTTTGGAAATGGTTCAAATCATACCATCAGGTTAAGAACCATGACCAGCTGAAGTGCTTAAGAAAGGCAAAGAAAATACAGAATGTATAGTAGAAAAAGGTAATTATAAACATCAAACATGACTATATGGCCAGTTACAGAAAAAAGACTGTAATTATCCTATTTTCTCCTTGTTATGAATCTGTTCGTATGTGTTGGGTGCCAAATATTGTTTGATTTCTTCCCTCTCCTATTCCCTTATCATGTAACCCGAGATATACTGACTTTATATCATAGTATTAAAATATAGTACATATTACATCATAGTATTTAACTTATGGGATATCAAGTAGAAGAGTAAACATCACTCAAGAACTTTACCTTCTCTTCTGGGGAAGATGTTAGTGCATTTTTCTGTTGAATTATGTGTGGAGAAACTATCACTTTGTCATTGTTTTTATTTGGAAATTAAGTATAGCTTAAGGATATGCTTAGGGGTCTGTAGTCGACAAGGGGTGGTCAACTTGGGATAGTTAAGTTTATGTGTCAACCTGAATGGGCCCTGAGGTAGTCAGATATTTGGTCAAACATTATTCTGGGTCTTTGAGGGTGTTTCTGAATGAGATTAACATTTGAATTGGTAGACTTAGTGTTATGGGATCTTTGGGGTGTTGCTTTTCTGGCCAAAAATCTCTGTGGCCAGTGGTGCCTTTGCCTGAGTTTTGCTTAGGGTCCACTGGTGTCATTCCACCCACCTGACCTGGCAGGCTGCACTTGGCTCACGCTACCAGCTTGGATCTCATGCCTGCCAAGGGCAACTGAGGCATGGAGTAGGGAGGGATGTGAGAGCAAGTGTGGGTTCCAGTCACTGTGCAGTCAGACATGCTAGCTGCTGCCACTGGGTGGGCAGCTCCAGGTGCCGGCATGGGCACCAGGTCTCTGTGAGGCTGTGGCTAGATCAGGCACACTGCAAGCAGCTTCCATGTCTGGCACTGGGGAATGCACTGGCGCCCAAAGCTTGGAGATGCCAGGAACCACAGGGCCCCAAAGAGGGAGTCATAGCCCTGGCTCTGGGAGCTCCCATGTCTGGGGTCCCAGAAGGGCCGCAGCTCTTCTCTTTACCCGCAACACGGCAAGCATGTTGCATGTTCCAGCCCTGCTTATGTTACAGCTCTTTTAGCCCTGCCATTCTACAGGTCCTGAGTTCTTGTCCTGCAACAAGGAAGAATGAGGTACACAGACAAGTGGAGGGTGATCAAGATGAAGAGGAGCTCCACTGAGTGACAGAACAGCTCAGAAAAAACCTGCAGTCGGTAGCTCCTTTCTGCAGCTCATCATCCTGACATCACTGCAGCTCTCAGCAGAGAGGAGGCCCTGGAGTGGGTAGCTCCTCACTGTTGGAGCAGTCGCTGACAGGAAGGAGAAGCCAGGCAGTGGGAGTAGGCATTTCCAAGCTGTGAGGGCAGAGGGGGCCTTCCTTTGCCTCCAGAGCACAGAGATACCCAGGTCCTCAGCCGCAGCTTGGGCAGCTGCAGTGGCACCTGGGGAGCTCCCACCCCAACTTGGAAGGGGTGGTGCTCCCACTTGTCCCTGGCTCCCAGCAGCTCCATGGATTGTGCAGCCCTGGCTGTGCCTCCATGCTGCAGCCAATGTAATGGCAGTGGACACTCTAGATGGCCCCCCACTGCCATTATTAGTAAAGTATATTGCCTTTCTTAATGTGAGTGACCACATCCAAACAGTTGAAAGCCTGAATAGAACAAGAAACCTGGCCTTCTCTTGAGTAAGAGCAGATTTCTCTTGCCTTAATGCCTTTGAGATGAGACATCAATCTATTTCCTAATTTGGGACTTGAACTGAAACACTGGCTCTTCCTTGGTCTCAAGTCTACCAGCCTTCAGGCTGGAACTACACCATTTGCTATCCTGGTTTTCAGACTTTCTGACTTGAACTGTAAATATACCTTTGGCTTTCCTGTTTTTCAAGCTTACAGACTGCATCAGAGCATGGGACTTCTCAACCTTCATAATTATCTGAGCCACTTCCCCTCGTGTGTGTGTGTGTGTGTGTGTATGTGTGTGTGTGTGTGTGTGTGTGTGTGTGTGTAGGTATATGTATACCATTGATTCTATGTATCCTGTTGCTTTCAGATTGCAGACAGCAGATTGTGGGATTTCTCAGCCTCTATAAGTGAAATCCTCAAACTGAATCTCTGAGTATTGTTTCCATTTCTCTGGAGAACTCTCACTAATACAGATGGCTATGCTATGACTACCTATGGCAGAGGTAATATAGATAATTTCATGATTTCTAGCTAGATGGATACACCATTTTCAAGTCTTTTAGTGCCAGGAATTCCAAATTTTCAGTCTTTCAGTTACAGGAATTCAAAAATTGCCACCACATACACTGTTACCTGAAGTACAACTTGTATTATATAAAGAATTCATATTTTTCTTCTTTGTAAGAATAATATTCTGAAATATCTTTCAAAATATTCCTTAAAATATGATTTATCAATATACATTTCAATCACTGGTCATTCATTGCAATGCACTATAGAGAAGTATTTAAGAGAAAAGCCTTTGGAGTTATGCTTAATGATATCCTTTGGATTTGTGTCCTTGCCCAAATCTCATGTTGAATTGTGAGCCCCCATGTTGGAGGAGGGTCCTGCTGGGAGGTGACTGGATCATGGGGGTGGATTTCCCCCTTGCTATTCCCATGACAGCAAGTGAATTCTCATGAGATCTGGTTGTTTAAAGGTGTAGAGAACCTCCTACTGCTCTCTCTTCCTATTGCTTTTGCCATGTAGGATGTGCCTCCTTCCTCTTCACCTTCTGCCATGATTGTAAGTTTCCCGAGGCCTCCCAAACCATGCTCACTGTACAGCCAGTGGAACTGTGAGTCAATTAATCATCTTTTCTTTGTAAATCACCCAGTCTCAGGTAGTTCTTAATAGCAATGTGAGAATGGACTAATACACTTAATTAGTTTGAATTTATTTTTTCTACTTTTATCTGTGTGATCTTTGACAAGCTACCTTAGTGTTCTGTGTCACAGTTCTCACATGTGTAAAAATGGCATATAAAAATGAATATGACACATTGGGCACATTTCAAGTGCTCAGTAAATAATAGTCACCATAATTATTAATCTTTATCTTATTTCTCATTTCTTTGTCTTCATCAAAGGAGATCTGTATATATTTGTAGATTAAACTTTTCAAAAGAATTTAATGGCCTGCTGTCAATTCTAACATGACCAATTGCCTCTTATCTAAATCTGATCTCTAATGTAAGTCCAAAATAATCCACTAAAAAGAAGACATTTTTCTGCAAAGCTCAAGGATCACCAATTTCTACATTAAATTGTCAAATCTATGTTATCACTTTGTATCAGAAGTTATTCCTCTACATGTTCTGTTACTGAAATTAGAATAGAAAAGAACAAAAGAGAAATAAAATATTCAACCAAATGGTTCTCTCACTAACCCCCACCCCCATAATTCAATGCCAAAATCAAAAGAAACCAAAGCTTAAGTGATATTTCCATCAGACCTAACATTTTAAAAAGGAACAAGATGCAGAAACAAACACTTTGAATTAATTAGCTGTTGTACTATTAGATAAATAACTCTGAGCTAAGTGATTATAAGTCAAACTTTGTAACAAGTACATTTTGACAGCCTTTCGTTACTAGCTCTGGGTAATAGAACCTTTACTATAGTGAAAGGTAAACTAGGCCAGTTGCAGTTGCTCATGTTTGTCATCCCAGCACTTTGAGAGCCAAGGCATGAAGATTGCTTGAGGTGAAGGGTTCAAGGCCGGTATGAGCAATATAGGGAGACCCTGTCTCTAAAAAAGTAAAGTTAAAATTTAGTTGGGCATGGTGATGCTCACCTGCAGTTCCAGCTATTCATGAGGCTGAGTGGGGATGATTTCTGAAGCTCAGGAGTTTGAGGCTATGACTGTGCCACTGCATTCCAGCCTGGGTGATGGAGAGAGACACTATTTCAAAAAAAAACAGAAACAAAAACAAAAAAGATCAACAAATGCTTCCCCTACAAATTTCCATTTTTTGTAACCTTCATTCAATAATAATCAGAGAAATGTAGTTTAATTTTATTGAAACAACACCTTTTTATTTTTTATTACTGTTGTATGACATAGTGTTAAGCAAAAATATCCACCATAAATCCCCAAACCAGATTTTCAAACTTGCCTTCCTTTAAGTATGTATGTTCCAAGTCTTCATGCAATTTTATTCAGATTGAAAAGCAGTATTTATCTACAAACTCTAAAGAAAAAAAAAATATATTAATTAAATTTTATATGCACTAGATTTATTTATTCTTATTTTGGTATTGAAACCCTCTTAGAAGAAAGTCCTTGGGCTTGGAAAAAAATTTTAAAGTGGAGTTTTGCAGTTTGAAAATAGCTTTGAAGCATGTAGAAGTCCCAACAGAAGTCTTAGTGAGATTTCCATAGACGTACGTAAGTGTATTTTGCTGTAATTCAATGTCCCCTTAGGTCATTAATTTTTGTAAGTTTAAAATTAAAGGTAAAAGAAATAGTAGGATAATGAGGCCATGGACTTACATAGCAGGGTAGAAGATGGAACAAAAAACATGTACATAAATAAACATTTTGGACAGCCTTTATGATCTCATGAAAAAAAAAGAAGGAAAGGAGTATGAACTTGAAAAACTCTAATATGCATGTAAGTAAAAAAAAAAATCCTTCATACTGTATAATTGTAAAAAACATAGTATAGGTTTAGTGGAGTTATAACATCATTTGTAATTTAAGGTTGAGTAGCTGGCTCATATGTGTATGCATATAAACATGTATGCAGAGCATTGAGAGGTTATGTGACAAAAAGATGAGATTTGAGTTTGAAAGGCAAATTTAACTTTTAAATAGAAAAGAAAATATTCCAAAGTTTATATAATAAACATCAGACAATGAATTCACAGTAAAGTGTCTTGCAACAAATTTACCATCTTGGTTTACACCCAAATCTCAAATATCTATGTATCTTCTTTCTTAGCACCACATTTAGAATGAATAAGCTGAAGCTAGAGGCAGACACATTGGAAAAAATACGAAGAGTTGTCTGACAGCAAAATAAGTGGTATCAACACTATTTGAGTTGTCCATAATGTACTAATTCAAGACACTCAGCTATCATGAGCTATTTAGTTTAGGGGAAAATGGTTTTGCCCACTGTCACAGCTTCTGAGGTCATGATTTATATTACAAGCACAATCTTGGCTGTTTGCAATGAAGATTATATCATGCCTAGGAAATTGTGTTTTAAATGGTTAAAAAAAAGTCATACATTCACAAAAAGAAATATTTAAAAGTATTTAAATAAGTTCATTCAAGTTTTGGGGAAAATTCACTTAAGAAAAACAATGTCCTAGAGCTGTTGTACACTATACACACAGGTATTTGACAATTTGCCTCCTGCTCACCCACTCCGTCAATTGGTACAGAAAAGCCATCGTGATTTATTCAACTCACAAAATCACCTCTTTAGCCTCTCTTTTTCTTCAGGAAGTTGTGTCCTCTTCAGCAGTGTGTCAATAAAGCCAAGTGCTACCTGTGCCACTGCATTAGAAAGGAGAATTTAATTTGTAAAAACTCATTGATTTGCTCCTAGTCAATAGGGTAGACTGAGCTGACACAGCAGGACACACTCTCATCCTGCCCACCTCCCACTCAAAACACTTAGAAATGTTTGATAAAAGAAAACAAAATAATTTTGGGATATATAACTGAATTTGACATAAAGAAAGTGAAATATTGTGATGCCAGAGATGACAAAGGAAATAAATGAGAAAAGTAACAAAATCCAAAGCTAAATTTCAGATCTGAATCAGGTGTACACCATAATGCTTGCGGTCCTGAGGATCTGTCACTCTCTTGACAGATGATACTTAGGCTACCAGCCCCATTTCTACAAAGAGCTGGAGCTAGGCTTCAGGTGGCAAAATAGTTATCTTCCTTCCAGAAATCAAAACCCCACATGTGCTTGGTTGTGGGGTCTGATGTCACAGGACCCATAAGGCATGGGACTCAAACCAAAACATGCATTTACAAATTTGATTCTTGATTTCATGTGTTGCAAATATTTTATTCCACTCTGTGCCTTGAATTTTCCTTGGTGGTGTTTTTACATGAAAAGTTCTGATTTAATATAATCTAATTGTCATTTTTTTTCCATTATGGTGATAATAAAGAAAGAGAATCATGCCTGCTCCCAGTTCACGAAAGAGAATGTTGCTTATTCCCAGTTCATGAAAATATTTTTATATGCTACCTTATGTAATGTTTCATCTATTACATTTAGAATGACAATCCACCTGGAATTAATTTTTATGTGTGTTCAAAAGCAGGAGTCAATCTAGCATGTATATTGGAAAAAAACTTCTATAAGTTAATAAGAAAAGATAGGTAATAAAATAAAACGGACAAGATACTTCAACAGTCATTTCAGAAAAGGAAATATTCAAATGACCAATCAATCAGCATATGAAAATGTGATTGACATTACAACTCATCAGGAATATGAAAATTAAAATCACAACTACACATACATCAGACTCCATGTACATCAAAATGGCTAAAATTTAAAACAGGCAATAATACTCTAAAGTTGGGGTTGCTTCCTCTGTCATATACTGCTTGTGAGAGGAGGAAAAGTAAATTCTTAAAACCACTATATAAAATTGTCTGGTAATATTAACTAAAATTTAACATACACAGAACCAGGGACCCAAAATTCCATTCCAAACTAAATATCTAAAATTGTGTGTGTGTGTGTGTTCATGTGGGTAACAATCCAATTGTTCTTTAACTGAAAAATAAATTATGCCATATTCATACAGTAAAATACAACAGTGAAAATACATGAACTGCTATATGCAACCACATGGATAAATACTATAGCCATAATGCTGAACAGACAAGCTAGACATAAAATGCATACATAAGGATTTCATTTATATAAACTTATACAAAATTATAATATTATAACTCAGGGTATAACTCAGGGTTATTATAATATATAATATATAATTATATTATTATATAAAAATTATAATTTATTATAGAATTATAATATAATTTATATAATTTATATAATATAATTTATATATATTATAAAAATTATATAAAATATATAGTATATATATAATTATAATATTATAACTCAGGGTATTTTTTGTATTGTCTTATTTTGCTTTGTTTTGTTTAGAGAGGAGAGGGAAGGAAACTTGTTAGGTATCAGTAATGTCCGTTATTTTGACTTGATTAGTGGATACCTATATGTGATTATAGTATAATTCACTGAACTGTACACTTAATATTTTGCATTTTTTTCTGATTGTGTTTTGTATTTCAACAATAAAATTTATTTTTAAAAATTTGATTTTTTTTGTTTTTTTTTAAATTTTATTATTATTATACTTCTTTAAGTTTTAGGGTACATGTGCACAACGTGCACGTTTGTTACATATGTATACATGTGCCATGTTGGTGTGCTGCACCCATTAACTTGTCATTTAGCATTAGGTATATCCCCTAATGTTATCCCTCCCCCCTCCCCCCACCCCACAACAGTCCCCGGTGTGTGATGTTCCCCTTCTTGTGTCCATGTGTTCTCACTGTTCAATTCCCACCTATGAGTGAGAACATGCAGTGTTTGGTTTTTTGTCCTTGCGATAGTTCGCTGACAATGATGGTTTCCAGTTTCATCCATGTCCCAACAAAGGACATGAACTCATCATTTTTTATGGCTGCATAGTATTCCATGGTGTACATGTGCCACATTTTCTTAATCCAGTCTATCGTTGTTAGACATTTAGGTTGGTTCCAAGTCTTTGCTATTGTGAATAGTGCCGCTATAAACATACGTGTGCATGTGTCTTTATAGCAGCATGATTGATAATCTTTGGGTATGTACCCAGTAATGGGATGGCTCAGTCAAATGGTATTTCTAGTTCTAGATCCCTGAGGAATCACCACACTGACTTCCACAATGGTTGAACTAGTTTACAGTCCCACCAACAGTGTGAAAGTGTTCCTATTTCTCCACATCCTCTCCAGCACCTGTTGTTTCCTGACTTTTTAATGATTGCCATTCTAACTGGTGTGAGATGGTATGTCATTGTGGTTTTGATTTGCATTTCTCTGATGGCCAGTGATGATGAGCATTTTTTCATGTGTTTGTTGGCTGCATAAATGTTCTCTTTTGAGAAGTGTCTGTTAATATCCTTCGCTCACTTGTTGATAGGGCTGTTTGTTTTTTTCTTGTAAATTTGTTTCAGTTCATTGTAGAGTCTGGATATTAGCCCTTTGTCAGATGAGTAGGTTGCAAAAATTTTCTCCCATTTTGTAGGTTGCCTGTTCACTCTGATGGTAGTTTCTTTTGCTGTGCAGAAGCTCTTGAGTTTCATTAGATCCCATTTGTCAATTTTGGCTTTTGTTGCCATTGCTTTTGATGTCTTAGACATGAAGTCCTTGTCCATGCCTATGTCCTGAATGGTATTGCCTAGGTATTCTTCTAGGTTTTTGATGGTTTTAGTTCTAACATTTAAGTCTTTAATCCATCTTGAGTTAATTTTTGTATAAGGTGTAAGGAAGGGATCCAGTTTCAGCTTTCTACGTATGGCTAGCCAGTTTTCCCAGCACCATTTATTAAATAGGAAATCCTTTCCCCATTGCTTGTTTTTCTCAGGTTTGTCAAAGATCAGATAGTTGTAGATATGCGGCATTATTTCTGAGGGCTCTGTTCTGTTCCATTGGTCTGTATCTCTGTTTTGGTACCAGTACCATGCTGTTTTGGTGACTGTAGCATCATAGTATAGTTTGAAGTCAGGTAGCATGATGCCTCCAGCTTTGTTCTTTTGGCTTAGGATTGACTTGGTGATGCGGGCTCTTTTTTGGTTCCCTATGAACTTTAAAGTAGTTTTTTTTCCAATTCTGTGAAGAAACTCATTGGTAGCTTGATGGGGATGGCATTGAATCTGTAAATTACCTTGGGCACTGTGGCCATTTTCACGATATTGATTCTTCCTACCCATGAGCATGGAATGTTCTTCCATTTGTTTGTATCCTCTTTTATTTCATTGAACAGTGAAATTGTAGTTCTCCTTGAAGAGGTCCTTCACGTCCCTTGTAAGGTGGATTCCTAGGTATTTTATTCTCTTTGAAGCAGTTGTGAATGGGAGTTCACTCATGATTTGGCTCTCTGTCTGTTGTTGGTGTATAAGAATGCTTGTGATTTTTGGACATTGATTTTGTATCCTGAGACTTTGCTGAA
The DNA here is from genome assembly GCF_000001405.40 of Homo sapiens. Lineage (NCBI taxonomy): Eukaryota > Metazoa > Chordata > Mammalia > Primates > Hominidae > Homo > Homo sapiens. The sequence continues at coordinate 127,252,336 of NC_000023.11, forward strand.
GTTGCTTATCAGCTTGAGGAGATTTTGGGCTGAGATGATGGGGTTTTCTAGATATACAATCATGTCATCTGCAAACAGGGACAATTTGACTTCCTCTTTTCCTAATCGAATACTCTTTATTTCCTTCTCCTGCCTGATTGCCCTGGCCAGAACTTCCAATACTATGTTGAATAGGAGTGGTGAGAGAGGGCATCCCTGTCTTGTGCCAGTTTTCAAAGGGAATGCTTCCAGTATTTGCTCATTCAGTATGATATTGGCTGTGGGTTTGTCATAGATAGCCCTTATTATTTTGAGATACGTCCGATCAATAACTAATTTATTGAGGGTTTTTAGCATGAAGGGTTGTTGAATTTTGTCAAAGGCCTTTTCTATATCTATTGAGATAATCATGTGATTTTTGTCTTTGGTTCTGTTTATATGTTGGACTACATTGATTGATTTTGGTATGTTGAACCAGCCTTGCATCCCAGGGATGAAGCCCACTTGATCATGGTGGATAAGCTTTTTGATGTGCTGCTGGAATCGGTTTGCCACTATTTTATTGAGGATATTTGCATCAATGTTCATCAAGGATATTGGTCTAAAATTCTCTATTTTGGTTGTGTCTCTGCCAGGCTGTGGTATCAGGATGATCCTGGCCTCATAAAATGAGTTAGGGAGGATTCCTTCTTTTTCTATTGATTGGAATAGTTTCAGATGGAATGGTACCAGCTCCTCTTTGTACCTCCGGTAGAATTTGGCTGTGAATCCATCTGGTCCTGGACTTTTTTTGGTTGGTAAGCTATTGATTATTGCCTCAATTTCAGAGCCTGTTATTGGTCTATTCAGAGAGTCAACTTCTTCCTGGTTTAGTCTTGGGAGGATGTATGTGTCAAGGAATTTATCCATTTCTTCTAGATTTTCTAGTTTATTTGCGTAGAGGTGTTTTTAGTATTCTCTGATGGTAGTTTGTATTTCTGTGGGATCGGTGGCGATATCCCCTTTATCATTTTGTATTGTGTCTATTTGATTCTTCTCTCTTTTCTTCTTTATTAGTCTTGCTAGTGGTCTATCAATTTTGTTGATCTTTTAAAAAAACCAGCTCCTGGATTCATTAATTTTTTGAAGGGTTTTTTGTGTCTCTATTTCCTTCAGTTCTGCTCTGATCTTAGTTATTTATATCTTGTGTTCTGCTAGCTTTTGAATGTATTTGCTCTTTCTTTTCTAGTTCTTTTAATTGTGATATTAGGGTGTCAATTTTAGATCTTTCCTGCTTTCTCTTGTGGGCATTTAGTGCTACAAATTTCCCTCTACACACTGCTTTGAATGTGTCCCAGAGATTCTGGTATATTGTGTCTTTGTTCTCATTGGTTTCAAAGAACATCTTTATTTCTGCCTTCATTTCATTATTTACCCAGTAGTCATTCAGGAGCAGGTTGTTCAGTTTCCATGTAGTTGAGCGGTTTTGAGTGAGTTTCTTAATCCTGAGTTCTAGTTTGATTTCACTGTGGTCTGAGAGACTGTTTGTTATAATTTCTATTCTTTTACATTTGCTGAGGAGTGCTTTACTTCCAACTATGTGGTCAATTTTGGAGTAGGTGTGGTGCTGAAAAGAGTGTATAATCTGTTGATTTGGGGTGGAGAGTTCTGTAGATGTCTATTAGGTCTGCTTGGTGCAGAGCTGAGTTCAATTCCTGGGTATCCTTGTTAACGTTCTGTCTCGTTGATCTGTCTAATGTTGACAGTGGGGTGTTAAAGTCTCCCATTATTATTGTGTGGGAGTCTAAGTCTCTTTGTAGGTCACTCAGGACTTGCTTTATGAATCTGGGTGCTCCTATATTGGGTGCGTATATATTTAGGATAGTTAGCTCTTCTTGTTGAATTGATCCCTTTACCATTATGTAATGGCCTTCTTTGTCTCTTTTGATCTTTGTTGGTTTAAAGTCTGTTTTATCAGAGACTAGGATTGCAACCCCTGCCTTTTTTTGTTTTCCATTTGCTTCGTAGATCTTCCTCCATCCTTTTATTTTCAGCCTATGTGTGTCTCTGCACGTGAGATGGGTTTCCTGAATACAGCACACTGATGGGTCTTGACTCTTTATCCAATTTGCCAGCCTGTGTCTTTTAATTGGAGCATTTAGTCCATTTACATTTAAAGTTAATATTGTTATGTGTGAATGTGATCCTGTCATTATGATGTTAGCTGGTTATTTTGCTCGTTAGTTGATGCAGTTTCTTCCTAGTCTCAATGGTCTTTACATTTTGGCATGATTTTGCAGCGGCTGGTACCGGTTGTTCCTTTCCATGTTTAGCGCTTCCTTCAGGAGCTCTTTTAGGGCAGGCCTGGTGGTGAGAAAATCTCTCAGCATTTGCTTGTCTGTAAAGGATTTTATTTCTCCTTCGCTTATGAAGCTTAGTTTGGCTGGATATGAAATTCTGGGTTTAAAATTCTTTTCTTTAAGAATGTTGAATATTGGCCCCCACTCTCTTCTGGCTTGTAGGGTTTCTGCCGAGAGATCCGCTGTTAGTCTGATGGGCTTCCCTTTGAGGGTAACCCGACCTTTCTCTCTGGCTGCCCTTAACATTTTTTCCTTCATTTCAACTTTGGTGAATCTGACAATTATGTGTCTTGGAGTTGCTCTTCTCGAGGAGTATCTTTGTGGCGTTCTCTGTATTTCCTGAATCTGAACGTTGGCCTGCCTTGCTAGATTGGGGAAGTTCTCCTGGATAATATCCTGCAGAGTGTTTTCCAACTTGGTTCCATTCTCCCCATCACTTTCAGGTACACCAATCAGACGTAGATTTGGTCTTCTCACATAGTCCCATATTTCTTGGAGGCTTTGCTCATTTCTTTTTATTCTTTTTTCTCTAAACTTCCCTTCTCACTTCATTTCATTCATTTCATCTTCCATTGCTGATACCCTTTCTTCCAGTTGATCGCATTGGCTCCTGAGGCTTCTGCATTCTTCACATAGTTCTCGAGCCTTGGTTTTCAGCTCCATCAGCTCCTTTAAGCACTTCTCTGTATTGGTTATTCTAGTTAAACATTCTTCTAAATTTTTTTGAAAGTTTTCAACTTCTTTGCCTTTGGTTTGAATGTCCTCCCGTAGCTCAGAGTAATTTGATCGTCTGAAGCCTTCTTCTCTCAGCTCGTCAAAGTCATTCTCCATCCAGCTTTGTTCCGTTGCTGGTGAGGAACTGCATTCCTTTGGAGGAGGAGAGGCACTCTGCTTTTTAGAGTTTCCAGTTTTTCTGTTCTGTGTTTTCCCCATCTTTGTGGTTTTATCTACTTTTGGTCTTTGATGATGGTGATGTACAGATGGGTTTTTGGTGTGCATGTCCTTTCTGTTTGTTAGTTTTCCTTCTAACAGACAGGACCCTCAGCTGCAGGTCTGTTGGAATACCCTGCCATGTGAGGTGTCAGTGTGCCCCTGCTGGGGGGTGCCTCCCACTTAGGCTGCTCGGGGGTCAGGGGTCAGGGACCCACTTGAGGAGGCAGTCTGCCTGTTCTCAGATCTCCAGCTGCGTGCTGGGAGAACCACTGCTCTCTTCAAAGCTGTCAGACAGGGACATTTAAGTCTGCAGAGGTTACTGCTGTCTTTTTGTTTGTCTGTGCCCTGCCCCCAGAGGTGGAGCCTACAGAGGCAGGCAGGCCTCCTTGAGCTGTGGTGGGCTCCACCCAGTTCGAGCTTCCCGGCTGCTTTGTTTACCTAAGCAAGCCTGGGCAATGGCAGTCGCCCCTCCCCCAGCCTCGCGGCCGCCTTGCAGTTTGATCTCAGACTGCTGTGCTAGCAATCAGCGAGACTCCGTGGGCGTAGGACCCTCCAAGCCAGGTGCGGGATATAATCTCGTGATGCGCCGTTTTTTAAGCCCGTCGGAAAAGTGCAGTAATCGGGTGGGAGTGACCCGATTTTCCAGGTGCCGTCTGTCACCCCTTTCTTTGACAAGGAAAGGGAACTCCCTGACCCCTTGCGCTTCCCAAGTGAGGCAATGCCTCGCCCTGCTTCGGCTCGCGCATTGTGCGCGCACCCACTGACTTGCGCCCACTGTCTGGCACTCCCTAGTGAGATGAACCCGGTACCTCAGATGGAAATGCAGAAATCACCTGTCTTCTGCGTCGCTCACGCTGGTTGCTGTAGACGGAGCTGTTCCTATTCGGCCCTCTTGGCTCCTCCCTCGGTTTTGGCAGTCTTAAATGGTAATACAGGAAGCTCATTTAGGATCCAGTTGAATAATCCTCAAACTGCCCCACTCTTCTTTCTTATTAAGAATTTAAGGCTGCCTAGTGCAGTACTCTTCTTCTTTTCAGTACACAAATATATATTAAAGAAAGTGACAATTATCCTTCATGATGTGAAGGGCTACAAATTTTCCCATAATAATTTCTAGCTTTCCTGAATAACCACCATCCCAGAATTTATCTAAATCTAAATAAAATGAATTGATCTTTCTAACTATACCTACCACTAAGGGTAATGAGCACTATACATTTTCTAGTATATGTTAAGAAATAAGTACTCCATTTGAGTTGTTTCCAGTGCAGATTTTTAAGCATCAATAAACTTGTTTCAGTTACATTAATAACTGATAAACACTTCTTTTCCATCCACTTAGTTTCCGAACACTGCTTTAGGCACTCTGTATTTGATATTTTTAATTCTCACAATGATGATTATAATACTGTGGAAGGATTCATTGAATAAATATAAGTGTTTTACATGAATCTTATACTCTTATCAATATTCTGAAATGTTTATTATTGCAATTCCCACTAAAATTACTGTTATGGGGGAACTGAGTCTCAGAGGAATTAAAACTTGTTAAACAACAAACAGCTACTACCTAGAAAAGTGGAGAATAGAGCCCATATCTGAACCCTAAGGGTGGGCTTTTTTCACTACTTTACAATCATGTGATACACTAAAAATGAAGCAATGGATGAGAAGACCAATATCTTGGTTTGTGTCCTAATATTCCACTTAAGACATGCATAAACTTGGGCTTATTATTTAACTTCTTTCAGATTCAGCTGTTTCTTTTAAAAAATGGAGCAGGATGTTGAATCAAATGTGATTCTGAATGCAAAATGTAGAACTGTAAATTATTATATAATGACAAATGAAATTAATAATGCTGAATATAGACACTATGCCTAACACAATGTCTGATATATATTAGGTGTTTAATATGTGTTGGGAGAAAGGAAAAATGGGAGTAAAGGGGAAAGTGAGAAAAGGCAGATGAAATGTTAAGTAACATGGGCTTAGATATGAGGTAGAATTGGATTCAAATGTGGCAGTCACTTATTAGCTCTGAGACCTTGAGAAGATTACTTACCTAATCAGTATATTGTTTTCTCATGTACCAGGCAGCATAATGCCTTATGATGATTAGAAAGAATGTATGCAAAGAACCTAGCATAGTATTTGACATGCATTAATAGCTCATTGAAAAATGATGATGGACTAATTTGTTGGACATGGCCTATTCACATAAAAAGTGTCCTACTATTCCAACCTCTGTAGTGGTAGTAGTTGGTTTAAGAATATGACATGAGTTAACATTGCTAATCTTATTATTATCATTCATTAACTCACCATTCATTAAGGCTCTACCCTGTGTAAACCCTGTACTAGGTATTGGTAATTATAAAACAGCAAAACAAGGTTCTTGAGGCTAAATGCTTACAGATTACTACTAATATCTCTGAAAAAAACAGAATCTGGAAATGAGCCTTCCAGAATATCAAATTCATGTGTCAAACATATAATCTTAATTAGGAGGTTAAGCTAAGATCTCGTGGGGAGAATGTCCTCTCTTTTACTTTCTCTTTCTCTGTCTCTCTGTCTCTCTCTCTTACTCTCTCCCAGTCTCTTGCTGCTGCCTCTAAGACCTAAAGGTAAATCCACCTTTCTTCAGTGCAGTCCCTGTCATTTTCTCCTTGATGTTGATCTTTCAGAGTGGGATTGGAAAGGAAAGGAAAGGACAAACAAAAAGAAAATTCTCATGCCTTGGATGAATTTTCAATTGTGACTTGGGAGATCTTACAGACCTGTAGGATGGCATTTCACTTGGCTGGAAACCAAATTCTAAAATTCTAAGGCTTAAGTAGAACAAGTTTCAGCAATGTGATTATACAGATAATTTACTTTGTGACCTCGCTGAAGTCCATTAATGCTATGTTTTTCCCTTTTTATATTACGGAGACCGTGCTAAGTGCATTGCTTTTGTAAAATCACATTTGATTTTCACAATAACCCCATAAAATAGATTCTATTACAGTTTGTTTTTACTACATATAAATAAAATAGAGGCTTAAAGTCATATCAGGAAATATGTCAGTATAACAGAAAGGATTAAAATAAGAATACCAAGATCTAAGCTCAAGTCCTAACTCCTACTTATGACTTGAACTTGGATAAAATTATAATTTCACTTTAACTTGCTCATTTATGAAATGAGGGTGCTGAGCTATAATGTATCTATTTTTACTTCCAGTCCCAAAATTATAATTATTTACTCTATTTTCACTGGAATCTGAGTAAAAATAATTTACACGGTATTTTTGGTAAACTAACTCCTTACTTACTCTAGTATATAAAAACTATTTTTCCAAAATTTTAGTGAGATTCTCCATTTAGAAATAATTATAGACACAGTCTTTTTGAAGAGTTATGAACAATGCAACTCAGATATTATTTATATTTAATAGACTAAGGTTATATTTACCATTTATAATCCATGCACCAGTATGACCTTCAAACAGCCCAAGACTTAAATGCACCCATTGCCATAGAGCAATTTTTTCAATCTTTTTTTCCAATAGAAACAGGACTACTCAGAACCACTCACAACTCACAATGACATACTCTTCCCAGGCAATTATTTAATGATTATTTAATAATAACAAAAAAAGACATTACTTTTCAAGCAATATCAGTGACTGCTATATTTAAACAAATTTTGCCCATGTAATAGAAATATAGTTATTACTATATAAAAATACGAGTATTTCATGAGACCAGTCAGCTAGATCAATGCTTTTCAAATTTTAATGTGTATAGGAATCACTTCGAGATCTTGTTAAAAAGCAGGTTTGCATTCATTAGGTACCTCTGAGGTGATACCTGATATTCTCTATTTAAAATGAGTTTCCAGAGGTGGAACAAGGTGATGGAACAGAAGCCTCCGCCAATCATGTCTCTGCAATGACACCAATTTAACATGTATCTACACAGAAAAAAAAATACCTTCATGAAAATAAAAAATCAGATGGTCACCTATAGTACCTGGTTTTAACTTTCTATCACTTAAAGCAATACTGAAGAGATAGAAAAAAAAATCTCCAATATTGAATGCTACCCCTTTCCCACACCCCAGTCAGGGTGGCCTGGTGCTGAGAGTGTCTAAGGGTACTGGGGGAGGGAGAGCACAGCAAATGTGAGGCAGGCACTGAACTCAGTGCTATCCTGTTAGAGCAGAAAGGAAAACCAGACCAAACTCAGCTGATGCCAGCTCATGGAAGGAGCATTTAATCCAGCCCTAGCCAGAGGGGAATTGCTAATACCAGCAGTCAGAACTTGAGTTCCCACAAACATCGCCACCAAGGGCTGGAGTGCTATGGGTTTCTATATAAACTTGAAAGGCAGTATACATCATAAGGACTGCAACTTGTAGGTAAGCCCTAGTGCTGAAGGAGGCCCGGAGACAGTGGACTGGAGGTGGGGCACACAACACACTAAAATACCAGCCGAGAAAGCTAAGGGAGTGCTGGCATTACCCCTTCCCTAACCCCAATCTGCAAAGCTCACAGCTCTAAAAGAGATCCCTTCTTGTAGCTTGAAGAAAGGAGATGTAAGAGTGGGGAGGATTTTGTCTTGCATCTTGGATACCACCTCAGTCACTGCAGAATAGGGCACTGGCCAGAGTTGTGAAGCCTCTGTTCTAGGCCTTAACTCCCAGACAACATTTCTAGACACAACTTGGGCTAGAAGGAAACCCACTGTCTTGAAGGAAAGGACCCAGTCCTGGCAGGATTTATTAGCTGCTAATTCAAGAGCCCTTGGGGCCTGAATAGTCAGCAGAAATTCCCAGATACTATGTCCAGGGCCTTGGGTGAACCTCTGAGACTTTCTGGCTTTACATACTAGCACAGCCACAGGGAAGGTAGACCACTAAGCAGGCTTATGGGATTCCCAATTCTAGGACTTGATTCTTGAACAGCATTTCTGGACCTGCCCTGGTGAGAGGGGGCTCACCACCCTGAAAGGGTGAGTCCTAGGCCAGGCAGCATTCACAAGCTGACGTAAGGGCCCTTGGGTTTTAAAAGGACATTTGTGGTATTATGACAGTGCACTTAATGGCCTTGGGTGATGATAGCTACTGGGTAAGGCTCTTCTGCTTTTGGGAAGGAGAGGGAAGAGTAGGAAAGTCTGCATCTTGTGGTTTGAGTGCCAGCTCAGCTACAGTACAATAGAGCACCAGGTAGACTTGTAAGGTTTTTGACTTTAGTCCCTGACACACGGACGACACTTCTGGATCCACCTGGGGCCTAAGGAACCTTCCTGCCCTGAAGTGGAGGACACAGGTCTGGCTGGCTTAGCCACCAGCTTATTGTAGAGCACCCAGGCCTTGAGTGAACATAGGCAGTAGCATGGGAATAGTTAAAGCCAGCCTTGGGTAAAACCCAGTGTTGTGCTGGCATTGGATCTCACCACAGCACAGTAATAGTGGTGGTGGCCACAGGGGTACTTGTGTCACTCCATTCCAAGCCTCACCTGGCTCAGAACAGAGGGAGAGACAGACTTTTTTTCTTTGGGAGAAAGTAAGGTAAGGGAACAAAAGTCTCTGCTTGATAATTCAGAGAACTCTCCCAGATCTTGTCCACGACCATCAAGGTGGTACTTCTATGAGTCTGAAAGAACCATAGTGTTACTGGGCTTGAGGTGGCCCCTAAAGCAGATACAGCTGAGATAATAACACCCAAGTTCTTTCAAATAGCTGGAAAGCTTTCCCAAGAAAGATGGCTACAAATAAGCCCAGACAGTGAAGACTACAATAAAAATCTCACACTTCAATGCCTAGAAATCAAATAACGTCTATCTGCATCAACACCATCCAGGAAAGCATGACTTCACCAAATGAACTAAATAAGAAACTAGGGATCAATCCCGGAGAAACAGAGATATGCGACTTTTCAGACAGATAATTCTATAGCAGAGAAATAATTCAGAATTATATCAGATACAGTCAACAAAAAATATTTAAATAATTAAAAAGAAGCAGAAATTCTGGAGCTGAAAAATACAATTGGCATACTGAAGAATGTATCAGAGTTCCTTAATAACAGAATAAATCAAGCAGAAGAAAGAATTTGTGAGCTTGAAGACAGGTGATTTGAAAGTACAATAGTGAGAGGAGACACAACAGAAAAAAAAGAATAAAAGCAATGAAACATGCCTACAGGATATAGAAAATAACTTCAAAAGTGAAAATGTTAGAGTCTTTGGTCTTAAAGATGAGGTAGAGAAAGATAAAGGGATAGGAAGTTTATTCAAAAAGATAATAACAGCGAAGTTCTTAAACCTAGAAAAAAAATCAATATCCAAGTACAAGAAGGTTATAGAACACCAAGGAGATTTAACCCAAAGAAGACTATCTCAAGGTATTTAGTAATGAAACTCCCAAAGGTGAAGGATAAAGAAAGGATGCTATAAGCAACAAGAGAAAAGAAACAAATAACAAACAATGGAGCTTCAATACATCTGGCAGCAGACTTTTCAGTGGAAACCTTACAGGCTAGGACAGAGTGGTATGATATATTTAAAGTGCTGAAGGAAAAAATACCTTAGAATGGTAATCTGGTAAAAATATCTTTCCAACATAAAGAAGAAACACAGACTTTCCCAGAAAAGCAAAAGTTGAGGGATTTCATCAACACCAGACCTGTCCTACAAGAAATGCTAAAGGAAGTACTTCAATCAAAAAGAAAAAGACATTAATGAGCAATAATTAATCACATGAAGGTGCAAAACTCACTGGCAATTGTAAGTACACAAAAAATAGATATAACACTGGAACTGCAATGTGTAAACTACGCTTATCCTAATTAGAAAGACTAAACAATAAGCCAATTCACAAATAATAACTACAACAAGGTTTCAAGACACAGGCAGTACATATGAAGTAAATAGAAACAACCAAATGTTTAAAAGTGGGGGGACAAATTTAAGGCATGAAATTTTTATTAGTTTTCTTTTGCTTGTGTGTTTGTTTATGCAAACAGTGCACAAAACAACCAGGAAACAACTAACAAGATGGCAGGAATAAGTCCTTCATTGTTAATAATAAAATCGACTGTGAATAGACTAAACTCTCCAGTCAAAAGACACAGACTGAATGGATGAAAAACAAGACTCATTGATCTGTTGCCTACAAGAAACATGCTTCACCTATAAAAACACACATAGACTGAAAATAATGGAATGGAAAAAAATATTCTATACCAATGGCAACCAAAAAGAGCAGAATTCACTATACTTAGACAAAATATATTTCAAGATGACAACTGTAAGTAGAGACAAAATAGGTCACTGTATAATGATTAAGGCATCAATTTGGCAAGAAGATATAACAATTTTAAACATATAAGCACCCAACATTGGAGTGTCCAATATATAAATCAAATATTATTAGAGCTAAACAGAGAGATAGATCAAACACAATAACAGGTGAGGATTTCAACACCTTATTTTCAGCATCTGACAGATCTTCCAGGCAGAAAATCAACAAAGAAACATTGGACTTAATCTGCACTATAGACCAAATAGATCTAATAGATATTTACAGGACATTTTATCCAGTGGCTGTAGAATACACATTCTTTTCCTCAGCACATCAATTATTCTCAAGGATAGACCATATGTTAGGCCATAAAACAAGTCTTATAACATTCAAAAAACTATCAAGAACCTTCTCTGACCACAATGGAATAAAACTAGAAATAAATAACAAGAAGAATATTTGAAATGTTATAAATAAATGAAAAACAATGGGCTTCTAAATGACCAGTGGTCAATGAAGAAATTAAAAAGAAATTGAAACATTTCTTGAAACAAATGATAATGAGATAGTGGAAGCACAGTATACCAAAACCTATGGGATACAACAAAAGTAGTATTATTAGGGAAATTTATAGCTATAAATGGCTACATCAAAAAATAGAAACAAACTTTAACAATCTAATGAATGGTCCATCATAAAAAACTAGAAAAACAGGAACAAACCAAACCCAACATTACTAGAAGAAAAAAATAATAGAGAGCAGATAAAAAAATTGAAATTGAAATAATGAAAAAAATACAATAGAATAATTAAACAAAAATTTGCCAAAAGACACATGAAAAAATGCTCATCATCACTGGCCAACAGAGAAATGCATATCAAAACCACAATGAGATACCATCTCACACCAGTTAGAATGACGATCATTAAAAAGTCAGGAAACAATAGGTGCTGGAGAGGATGTGGAGAAATAGCGACACTTTTACACTGTTGGTGGGACTATAAACTAGTTCAACCATTGTGGAAGTCAGTGTGGCAATTCCTCAGGGATCTAGAACTAGAAATACCATTTGATCCAGCCATCCCATTACTGGGTATATACCCAAAGGATTTTAAATCATGCTAGGTATTTTATTCTCTTTGAAGCAATTGTAAATGGGAGTTCACTCATGATTTGGCTCTCTGTTTGCATGTTATTGGTGTATAAGAATGCTTGTGATTTTTGCACATTGATTTTGTATCCTGAGACTTTGCTGAAGTTGCTTATCAGCTTAAGGAGATTTTGGGCTGAGATGATGGGGTTTTCTAGATATACAATCATGTCGTCTGCGAACAGGGACAATTTGACTTCCTCTTTTCCTAATTGAATACCCTTTATTTCCTTCTCCTGCCTGATTGCCCTGGCCAGAACTTCCAACACTATGTTGAATAGGAGTGGTGAGAGAGGGCACCCCTGTCTTGTGCCAGTTTTCAAAGGGAATGCTTCCAGTTCTTGCCCATTCAGTATGATATTGGCAATGGGTTTGTCATAGATAGCTCCTATTATTTTGAGATATGACCCATCAATACCTAATTTACTGAGAGTTTTTAGCATGAAGGGCTGTTGAATTTTGTTGAAGTCCTTTTCTGCATCTATTGAGATAATCATGTGGTTTTTGTCATTGGTTCTGTTTATATGCTGGATTACATTTATTGATTTGCGTATGTTGAACCAGCCTTGCATCCCCGGGATGAAGCCCACTTGATCATGGTGGATAAGTTTTTTGATGTGCTGCTGGATTCAGTTTACCAGTATTTTATTGAGGATTTTTGCATCAAGGTTCATTAGGGATTCTCTTTTTTTGTTGTGTCTCTGCCAGGCTTTGGTATCAGCATGATGCTGGCCTCATAAAATGAGTTAGGGAGGATTCCCTCTTTTTCTATTGATTGGAATAGTTTCAGAAGGAATGGTACCAGCTCCTCCTTGTACCTCTGGTAGAATTCAGCTGTGAATCCTTATCATGCTACCTGACTTCAAACTATACTACAAGGCTACAGTAACCAAAACAGCATGGTACTGGTACCAAAACAGAGATATAGACCAATGGAACAGAACAGAGCCCTCAGAAATAATGCCACATATCTACAACCATCTGATCTTTGACAAACCTGACAAAAATAAGAAATCGGGAAAGGATTCCCTATTTAATAAATGGTGCTGGGAAAACTGGCTAGCCATATGTAGAAAGCTGAAACTGGATCCCTTCCTTACACCTTATACAAAAATTAATTCAAGATGGATTAAAGACTTAAATGTTAGACCTAAAACCATAAAAACTCTAGAAGAAAACCGAGGCAATACCATTCAGGACATAGGCATGGGCAAGGACTTCATGTCTAAAACACCAAAAGCAATGGCAACAAAAGCCAAAGTTGACAAATGGGATCTAATTAAACTAAAGAGCTTCTGCACAGCAAAAGAAACTACCATCAGAGTGAACAGGCAACCTACAGAATGGGAGAAAATTTTTTCAATCTACTCATCTGACAAAGGACTAATATTCAGAATCTACAATGAACTCAAACAAAGTTACAAGAAAAAAACAAGCAACCCCATCAACAAGTGGGCAAAGGATATGAACAGACACTTCTCAAAAGAAGACATTTATGCAGCCAAAAGACACATGAAAAAATGTTCATCATCACTGGCCATCAGAGAAATGCAAATCAAAACCACAATGAGATACCATCTCACACCAGTTAGAACGACGATCATTAAAAAGTCAGGAAACAACAGGTGCTGGAGAGGATGTGGAGAAATAGGAACGCTTTTACACTGTTGGTGGGACTGTAAACTAGTTCAACCACTGTGGAAGTCAGTGTGGTGATTCCTCAGGGATCTAGAACTAGAAATACCATTTGACCCAGCCATCCCATTACTGGGTATATGCCCAAACGATTATAAATCATGCTGCTATAAAGACACATGCAAATGTAAGTTTATTGCAGCACTATTCACAATAGCAAAGACTTGGAACCAACCCAAGTGTCCAACAATGATAGACTGGATTAAGAAAATGTGGCACATATATACCATGGAATACTATGCAGCCATAAAAAATGATGAGTTTGTGTCATTTGTAAGGACATGGATGAAGATGGAATCCATCATTCTCATCAAACTATCGTAAGGACAAAAAAACCAAACACTGCATGTTCTCACTCATAGGTGGGAACTGAACAATGAGAACACATGGACACAGGGCGGGGAACATCACACACCGGGGTTTGTTGTGGGGTGGGGGGAGTGGGGAGGGATAGCATTAGGAGATATACCTAATGTTAAATGGAGAGTTAATGGGTGCAGCACACCAACATGGCACATGTGTACTTATGTAACAAACCTGCACGTTGTGCACATGTACCCTAAAACTTAAAAGTATAAAAAAGAAAACTAACTTTATTCACAAAAGCTAGAAATAGAATTAAATACCAAGGAATTAACTTAACCAAAGAAGTGAACAATCTCTACAACAAAAATTATACAACACTGATGAAAGAAATTGTAAAGGACTCCAAAAAATGGGAAAATATTCATGATCATGGATTGGAAGAATCAATATTGTTAAAGTATCCATTCTATTCAAAGCAATCTACATATTCAAGGAAATATTCAGGTCGGGCGCGGTGGTTCATGCCTGTAATCCCAGCACTTTGGGAGGCCAAGGGGGGAGGATCACAAGGTCAAGAAATGGAGAACATCCTGGCCAACATGGTGAAACCCCGTCTCTACTAAAAAAACAATACAAAAATTAGCTGGGTGTGGTGGTGTGTGCCTGTAGTCCCAGATACCAGTGAGGCTGAGGAAGGAGAATCGCTTGCAACCGGGAGGCAGAGGTTGCGGTGAGCTGAGATCACGCCATGGCACTCCAGCCTGGCGACAGAGTGAGACTGTCTCAAAAAAATAAATAAATAAAATTAATTAATTACCGAACCTATTCAAATACAAATATAATAAATATAAACCAGAAACTTCAAACTATGTGTTTATGTATTACTAAGCCCTTATTTTAGGCACAATTAACTTGTGTTAAAATTCACTAGCAAAACATCATCTAATGAGTCTAAGCAAATTTGCCTTCAACTTCACATATAAAGTTCAAAGCATCACTTTAGTTAAAAGTTACTGTAAAAACAAAGACTTCACCCATTTTCCTGGGCTTTATGCAAATTGTCTGACATTAAGGAGATTCATAACCTTAAGTCTTCAGACTACAGTATTTTCTTCAACTCAAAAACTTTGCTGTAAATTGTGCATAAAGCCCTAACACAGATTATTGAGGAAATTTAAATACATTTAATTAGTTACTATGCCTCCTTAAAGTGATAGGACATTGAACTATCATGTTAGAGGTCTCCTATTGAGTTCACTAACCCTAGAGATTATAGTAGAAGAGGTACACAGTGAACACTTTTGAAGCACAGTGAAAAAGACTGAACAAAAGGAAAATGTACAAAGACAACTGATAACAAAGATTCATGTGGTATGGGGAAAGACAGCAGCCACTGGGACTAATTTGCAGGGTTTTTTTCAGGCTAGGCGAATTATATAAAACACAGGACTTGATTAACTGTGTACATGTAAGCTTATATTTACAATTTTCTGCTCTTGAAAATATGATCATACATGAAGGATGCTGAATTTAGCGTTTCTTGTTGTTGTTAAAGAGAAGTAATTATCTCTTCTGATCGTGTTGCCTAAAAGCTTCCAACCTATATGTCACTTCCAGAGATTTGTATGTTTGGAGCTACTTATTGTTTCATATTTAAAATCAAAGTAGATGATTGTCCCTATGTAGCTTTGTGAGTAAATAAATAAGTATAATGATACTGATATAAAGTTGATAGCCGTCCACATTATCCCTTTTCTTGTGTAGATTAATGATATTTGGAAGGAAATTAATTGAAGCATTTATCTCTATTTTTGTCTAAAAGGCAAAATACACAAGGTGAACTAGTAATAGTAAAGATTTAGACACAAATGGATTGTGCTACATTTATTAAGGAAACAACTTGTTTTGTCATACACATCAAGGAAAGTGGATAGAAAGATTTCTTTATTCTGCCTTTTTTTTGAGAACTATTTGAAAGCTACTGAAAACTAGAATATTTTCAAGACACCAGCAACAGTACTCCTAAGAATGATCATTTGAAATCTAACTTGGATTACGCATATTCAGAAAAAATTTATTTCTCCATTTAAATATCCATATAACCATGAGTGTAAAAAACAAATGTAAATATTCCACCTGCAGCACTTTCACTCTAAAACCCATTTTCAACACTGTTGACAAAAAAATAACATAACGTGTTAGCCTAAGTCATATATTACAGAAGAATTCTGAATAGGTAGAATCAGAAAAGGAGTTTTTTAAAGAGAAATCAGAACCTGTTCCAACTCTGCAGCCTCACTTGAATATGCTTGCAGAAGTTTACATGCACAGTAAAATTATATGATCAGAACATCTATCAGGTGAGGACATATTAGTGCCTGGAAAATGCAATTGCCCTTGCAGGCCAGATTTTAACGTGATTTTGATGCAATTGTCAATAACAGCAGACAAATCATTCCGACGAAACAGGATGTCATGCTAAAGAAAAAAGATCTACACATGTGAGTATGTCATTCATTTCTTGACAGAAAAATAATGAAATGGTCTCAAAATAGGAATATTGTTTATCACAACAATAATTTCCCACGAACCCATGTAAAGAATTCAAAGTTCACTATCACTTCTTTATATGTGCTACAAAACCAAATATCCATCTAAGGATTAATAATGATAACCATTGAATCATCATTGTATTATCTTAAATGTTTTTAAATTTCAAGTTCATATTTAAATATGCATCAATAATTACTAAAATTACTAATATCAGCTGTTAAGGTATCAATATAAAATACCTCACTGAAAATAATCCATGCTATTTTGGAGATTTAGTGATTCTTCATTTATTCTTACTTTCTGCCAAAGACCATGTTGGATACTTTCAAGATAGTACAAACATACATGATAGCCACCTAGCTTTTAAGCATACACATCATTGATTGCTGGCAAGAAGAGACAGAAAGAAAACATTTTTAAATTGGAGGATGAACGTTACTGAAGAGTGGGAGATAGTTTTCTTGGCAGGAGTCTTACCAGCCTGTAAGGAACAGTTGAATGATAAACAGTGTATCAGAACTACAAATGTGTTTCTGGTCTATGGTGTTTAAAACAACAATAACAGCAACAACAAAATATGATAGCTGAAAGATTAAATATATACAATTTAAAAATACGAAGTAGTCAACACTAAGAAATGTACCATTTTTCTCCCTTAGAAATTGGAAAACTTTTATACTATGTAATAATGATAATGAATACAAATTTGCACTTGCATAATTATAATTAGGCACTATCATGGCAAGAAAATCCAATATCATTCTCAGGCAAAACCCGTGTTTCTTTATGAAAATACTGGAGCAAGAAGATTAATATTTTATATGTAGGGCTTTAATGCAACGATGGAGCCCTAACACGCGATATTGCCAGCATTTTGGTGTTGTTACTATTTTTATCCTATTGTACCAATGATTAATTAACCCAGGCCTACTTTCTCAAGCCAGGACGTTGAGGGTGATGAAACTCAGTGGACCACACTCAGCCAAAATTTTATGTACATAAGGAAGGGAGAAGAGAGCTCAGTGAGAAAGACAGAGACATCAGAGAATCAGAAATAGTCACGGGGCAATGTTGTGTTATTAGAGCTGTAATAGAATGATAAAGTAATACCAAAAAGCTTTGTTATACAGTAATCTGGATACACTATTTTCCCTGACTAGACTATTAAAGGGGATATATTCAGGAAATTTGTTTATTTTTGTTCCCTAACATCCAATTTGAGAATATTTCATGAAGAATAGCAATTAAAACTGTGCCTTATGTGTAGTAGGAGCTCAAATATTTCTTGATTTTCTTACTGATTCAGCCATAAATCCTCAGTTCAACATACAAGCACCTCTTAAGTACAATATTATGTAGTGTTGATTTATTACAATGCCATTTTTGTTTTGATTTTTTTTCATTTGTGTGTGTGTTACATATGAGTTCACTCATGAGAAGTGATTCATATGGGTCTGAGGAATACAGCTGTGAAGAAACCAGACAAAAAGCCTTGACATCATTGTGAAAAAAAGCATACAATACACAAATGTACAAGTGAAACACATGGCAGGTGAAATGGTGATAAGTTCTATAAAGAAGACTAAAGCAGGAAATGAGTAGAGAGTGCTGATATTTTAAATACAATAGTCAAAACAAGCCTCAATGATTTTGAAGTTGAAAAATGACTTGAAATTTGAGAGAGCTAGAGAGACAGCTATCTGGAGGGAAAACATTATAGGCACAGGAAGCAGAAGGTTGTCAACAACAGTATGAGATAAGGTGGTCTATCAAAACCATGAAAAGTTGATGTAATCACTTAGGGATTAAGTGTAAATAAGAGGCTCCAGGAATGATGCTTGAAGAACACCAAAATTTAAAAGGCTGAGAGATCAATTCCAGCACACGTGCTCCCTTTCTTTCTCCTCCCTCCTTGTTCTTTCTCCACTTAATTATCTGTGTGCTCTTATATACACTCAGGAATGAGAACTAGTAGAGCCAACTATATACTGTTGGCATTCTCCCAGACATTAAGTGTCAAAAATAGCATACTGCCAATATTGCTCTAACTATCCTGAGTTGAGTGTTTTGCCGTGTGCGTTATTTACACCACTGTGGCCTTTCTCCCCTTCATTTTAGATTCTGGCTAACAGATTTGATTATAAGTTTAAAGCAATAGTATCAGGTCTGTCCTGAGAAAAATATTGCCAAGGTGAATATTAAAATATAAGTTTTATGGTGACTAGAGTTACCTTTACGCAAATGGTGGAAAAAAACAGGGTAAAAAATTGCAAGTAAACAAAGACTGGGAAAGCCCTTTGATATTATGAAATGTATCACAAACTACTTCAACTTGGGAAGACTGATCAAAATAATATGAAGGAAACTATGGCCAGAGACATTTCATGATTTCAGAGGATTTAAAGAGAACAGAAAAGTAGATGTCAATGTAATATTTCTGGACACTTCTCCGTAGAGGCTTTGCTGAAAAGGCTCTGACTAATTCAGTTAGTGCTCCCATTTGCAGAAATGCAGTCCACAGGCATATCCATAATGTGTTCTTTCTTTTGGTTGGCCATAAAGCAACATTTTTAATGGAAATTTTACTAGTTATTAAAGAACCCCCCTCTTCCAGTCCAGTCCATTATGTCTTTTGAGGTTGAATTTACTTGAAATTTGTCTCAAAGAGTGTTTAGATATTAAAGACTATTTAATCAAAACTCCCTGTTTTACAGATAATGAAATGAGGTCTAGGGAGGAGCAATAACTTGCTGAAAGTCAGTACATCAATTGGATGACATATCTGGCACTTTAACTTCTGTCTTCAGACTTTCTCTTCATGTGAAAAATTAATAATAAGTAAATACAAAGCAAACAAGACTATAAAGTTCTTCCTCCTTCGCCTTTTAAACTCATAGCACATTTCCCTCTTCTAGAATATTCAGATGTATATTTTATACAAAGAATAATGCAAGACCTCTGTAATTTTCCTTTAGCTATTTGCCAGATTAGACACTATTACACACTCTGAGCAAAGAAACCATGTCTAACTCATCTTTCAATATTGCTATGACACTTAAAAATATTTCACATATTGCAAGAACCCACAGAATATCAACGGAAAGTTGATCAAGTGAAAGGAGTCACTTCTTGACATGTACAAAAATGAACCACACATATGAACCTTATGGTTTATTTTCCATTAAGTAATACCTGCTGTCATTTACTTAGTGTTGAGTACTGTGCTAAGAAATTCACCACATCCATATTTTACTTTATCTTCACAACAACATAATGAGATAGGAGTTATTACTATCCTCATTTTATAGGTGAGGGAATTGAGGGTCAAGCAAAAATTTGCAACTTGCCATGATTATATAGCTAGTAAGATGTATGAAGCAGAGACTAGAATGTGGGCCTGGCTGATTTCAAATCTTGGGATTTTCTTAGATATTATACTGTACTTCCTCCTAATTAAAAAATAATTAAAAAAACAATAATGAGATCTAGACTGAAAATTACCCTGGCTTGTACCAAAATCTAAATGGGACAATAGAAAAATGAAATTTTCCATATGATTTCTTGGGACTTATTACTCAACATTTTTCACTGTTTCTGGATTTTAGAAACGAATACAAAGATTTTGGTTGAAGACTGAAAGAAGTGTAGAAGTCTAACCCAAACAGTGATTCCACCAGCATTTACAAAAATTAAGAGTAAATCTGTTGGCCCACTAATGGTAGTAAATGAAATCTTTGGGAATGATTTCAGTGATGTATATGACAAAAGATATCTGAACTTTACTGCTTTTATGTTATATAGCAGCATATTTTTACAATTTAATTTCTTTTAACGAGACCTACTCCTATACAGCTACACTTAATAATGGCCACTAATGAGAACCCACAGTATGTTTAGTCTTTAGTCCTTATAACAGGCATGAAAGAATGCATTAGAATCGTTACTTTGCAAGACTATAATTGTCATAAAATTCTTGTTAGCCCAAGAAGACATTTAACTGGCAGACTGTATGTTTCTGACAGTTTCCAAAGATTTCAGACAAAGGCAGAAAAAGGAGCTTACAAATGTCAGTGACTTGGGCTAGGATTGTTTTTCACACCTTGTGTGTAATCATGTCTTATTTAATCACTTTTGTCTTATTCAATCACTTTAGCAAACTTTTTTTAAATCAATGTGCTTCTAAAAATGCATTTGAGGATCTTTGTCAAATAAACTACTTTAGAAATTGTACCTCCACAGTTTTCTAAAATTGTGTCCATTTGTCCTTCTAGAATTTCCTGTCTGTAATTTTAGAGAACTCTATTTTTTCTGAGATCTTCATTGCATTCATATACTATTTCTGCATTAAAAACGAGGGACTGACATCACCTTCAAAAATTCTTGCAGGAGCAGAAGATAGGTATGAAGATGTATCTAACACTTTGGTCTATCAAAGGAATTCATGGCACCACATCTTGGGAAAACAGCTTCCTTGGGGAATATTCCATATGTGAATAATAATGTGAATCTTTGTATTATTGTCCGTGAAAGTAGCATTTGTTTGAATAAAAGAAAATTCTACTGTAGTATGACATCCACATGGAATTCAAATGATTAAACACATATTGTTGGTCCTTTCAATATTGTATTACTTTTTTGCCCTCCATACTATGCTCCCGCCAAAAAAAGAAAGACATTGCAAATAACACTATTCAGTGTTAAATCTTGTCTATAAGCTTGTAAAATCTTGAGTGCAAAATGTAAGTTACTTCCTGTAGTATTCTTACTGTCAATATGAAAATATATTTGAAAAAAAAGTTCTACCTAATAACACAGAGATATTATGTACTGTTTTTCTCTGTCTAAACAACCTCATTCAAGCTTAGGAAAACTTCTGCTAACATGGTTTAAAATTTCTCTCTCTTTTGCTTTCTCTCTCTCTCTCTCTTCCTTTTTCTCTTGCTCTCTCCCTGTTGCTCTCGTTCTTGTTCCTTCCTCTTTTTGATAGGTTCAATATTCTAATCACTGATTAGTGCACCAAGCAGCCTAATAAATATCTTTGATGGGAATTTAATGAGAAAAAGAAGTCCTCATCAATTTCAAGTGAAGTTTTACCAAAACACTTAATACATTACACTCAGCTTATAATAGAATGGAGGCTAATTTTTAAAAATTAGGAGGCCCAAATTAGGATTTTGGCTCTGCAAATTACAAGTCATATTGTCTTTCACAGTTCTTCATGCTCCAGATTTTATCTGTAGAATTTAAAAAAAACTTGCCCATATTTCTAGGTTGTTCTGAATCTTATATAAAATTCAGGATATAAAAATGAATTTCAAACTGTCAAGTAAAATACTTGAGTAAGGAAATTAGAGAAATATTAGTATTTCTCTAATTTGAGTCTCACAAAATAGTGAGAGTTGTAAATTCTAAATAATTTTAAGGCAATACAGTTTGATTATCTTCAAAGGTGGGAAGTAATTCCCACTAGGTTCGTGCCTTACTGACTGATTCAATAAATACTTAAGAATAAGTTAAAATTCACATCTCACTTGGGAAATGTTTCAGGCCATTGAAATATTTTTTTCTTTTAAATCTCAATTTGAGCTGTCCAACACAGTATCTACTTGCCACATGTGGTTATTTATATTAATATTAAAATTAATTAAAATTAAAATTCAGTTCCTCAGTGTGCTAGCCACATTTCTAGTGGTCAATATCCACATGTGGCTTGTGCCTACTACATTTCACACTACTGATATGTAGACCTTTCCCATTGTCACAAAGTTCTATTGGACAGGACTACTAGATAGAGGGAAGTTGTCGTTTGAGTTGGAGCTTGAAAAATGAATGACAGTTTACCTGTCAAAGAAACACATGCACATAGGTCAGCATAAGGCTGTGGTGTGTGTATGTGTGTGTGTGTGTGTGTGTGTGTGTGTTTGGAGGAGGGTGTTCCATTGAACAGCTTTAGTCTAAATAGTCTTAGTACCCCCCCAAACCTTGTTTTTTTACTTTAGCAAAACTTTCATTTATAAATATCACATATCTTTTATAAACCGGTATTACAAAGTTAAAACCTAACCCAGATGTATTCTATTTATCATGCTTTAGAGAAAATGGTGTATTAAGTAGTAGGCTTTTTTTTTTTTTTTTTTTTTTTTTTTTTTGAGGCAGAGTCTCGCTCTGTCGACTAGGCTGGAGTGCAGTGGCACGATCTGGGCTCACTGCAAGCTCCGCCTCCTGGGTTCACGCCATTCTCCTGCCTCAGCCTCCCGAGTAGCTGGGACTACAGGTGCCCGCCACCACACCCAGCTAATTTTTTGGTTTTTTTTTAGTAGAGGCGGGGTTTCACTGTGTTAGCCAGGATGCTCTCGATCTCCTGACCTTGTGATCCACCCGCCTCGGCCTCCCAAAGTGCTGGGATTACAGGCGTGAGCCACCGCACCCGGCCTAGTAGTAGGCTTTAATAGCACCACATAAACTGATGATACGATTCACATTTTTCATTCCTTTGTAATTTTTAAACTTATACTGAAGCTGAGTCACAGTCCATCAGAGTTTCACAGAATATTAATGATCACTAGTTTAAAACCCCTATTCTCCAAGAGAAGAGACTAAGGCTCAAAATGAAGGTCTTGCCAACAAAATGTAGACTTTAAGTGACAAAGTCCGTTGTAATTTTACTAGTAAGACAAGAAATGGTAATACTTGAGGTTTCTCCCAATTTGCTATCAATTACTAATATCCTTATTCTTATGTTTTCCCCATATAAAACCAGACACATTTTATTATTAGATGCATGTAAAGATATTACCTCTAGCATGCTGATGATGAAGTCTATAGGCTTTTTATCAAATACATTATTTTTATTAGGTTGGTGCAAAACTAATTGGGGTTTGGCATTACTTTCCATGGCAAAAACCGCAGTGATTTTTGCACCAACCTAATATTACTCTCTGGATATCCAAATAGGCAGAACATTTTGAAGAGACCTAATGAAATTTAATAGCAATTTGCAAATTTACCCATGTTTTGGGAAAATTTAGAATTATTAAGTTAGAAAAAGTAGAAATATATCTATAACCTATTTCTAAATGTAGAAAAGGTATTGATTTTTCAAGACTCAGGTAAAAATTCAACCTTCCAAATCATTAACACATTTAATATATTTTTAAGGTTTATCATTCATTAGGCACAATGCTAGATTCTAGCTACACATACCTAGAGTAAAATTTGATTATAGTCTTATGGATAAATAGATATGCAAAGAGATCATCAATAAAATTGTCAGTAAGAAACATACATTTATTAATTAAATACTATGTATAAGGTACACCATGTGGTAATTGCAATATTGGAGGAATGGACAAGTTTCCGTGGAAACCCAGAGAAAAGATCACCTAATTAATATTTCTCTATGTTTCTATAAATGCCATTTATTGCTTTGTTATGTCACTTACATTTTTATATTCTTCACTCTTCAGTAATTTGTGTATGAATTTATCTTCTTTAATAACGTATATGAAACTGATGGACAAGATATTATATTAGACCACAGAGCTTAGTATTCTGTTATGTACATGGTAGGTACTTCGGAAATGCTGCCTGAATATTTTTTAGTAGTAAGAATAAGCTATGCAAGGTGCAATGCACGTTTGATTATAAATGGACTTTCATTGGCTTATATTGATTTTTGAAAATAAATAAAACATTCTGAAAATATTGCAAAACAACATTATTTTTTTTCTTATTAGCAAAAAAAGAAACATTTTTAACAGTCCATAAGAATATTTGATTAAAGCTGCTTTTGGTTTTGAAGACCTTACTTCTCTCAGAAAGAATGATGATCCTGTAAATAGATTTTATGCTTCTTGAAGTAAGACTGCTACCCAACCATATGTTTATCTTTCTTTCTTGTCAGTAGGGATACAGTTGCCATGGTAACTGAGTTATGTAGAATGTAACAGAGCAATATTTGTTGACAGTTTCTAGTCAGATTACTGGCCAACCAGGCTCTTAGAGAAAAAAAGACAGTGCGTATTACCAAAAATGTTCTCCTTAGTTTAAGTCAAACATATTCCCTATCCAAAATGTCGTTGCCATAGAAGTCCACTTATCTTTATGCAGGGGGGTATTTAAAAAATAATTGTGCTTGTCTTATATGGGGTGATTTCTCTGATGCAATATGATGTGCAAAGCCTTATTTATGGTGAGAAGCTTCAAAAAGTTACTTTTGAATTATTTTATCTAAGTAAGCACATTGTGTAGGAGTAATGTTATGGGTAAGAAGGGCTAAAAGGGCAGTTACCATAATGATGATTCCTTTCTCTCAGAAATATTTTTAAAATGATTACAACATAGGAGATGTTTGGAAACTTACTTCATTTGTTGTGACCTAAATTATTTCTAACCAAAATTAAACACATTGTCCCATGGATGAAGAGAAAGACAAAAAAACAAAACAAAACATCTAAGTTGACTGCAGCTGCTCTGGAAATTTTCTTTTGGCAGACTGCAGTATGTCAGAAGATCATCTGAGTTATGTTTAGTGATACATGTATGTGTATTTCAAAAACTTACTAGCCATATAAAACTTATTTGCTCTCAAAGGCAAAGAAAAACATAAGCTGAAGGGACAGCTCCCAATGTAAGCTACATTATTACATAAATGGCTTTCTAGTCTAGGCTATGGAAAAGGTAGATGGTCTCAGATAAGGAAGGTGAAATGTGGGGTGAAGATCGCAAAAGTTCTAAAGAGAAAATCAGGCAAGACCAACTGATCAAATAAAACAGTGAGGCTAGTGGCTCCTGATTCTTTCTCCAGCTAATTGGACTCCACATACACACCAAGAAGACCCAGTAAGAACACCACCAGCTGGCAACGAATCAGTCATTTGACATTTTCAGTGTTGGGTACAGGTCTGTTTACCCCTCCGTAAATAGAAATGCGTTAACCTCCCCAATCTCTTCTCTACATCTCATCAACTCCCTCTAGCTCTATCTGTCTAAGGGGATCTGCTTGAAAGATTTCAGGAAGAGCCTCTAGAGCAAAATTCCTTAAAGTTAGGGCATTCAGAAAGTCCTTGAAATTGAATTAAAAAACACATTTTTATTTTAATTAACCTTTCATAGAAATTAAGCACTTCTTCCAATTAATGAATGCTGCTAACAGTCCACAGTGTTATTATCAGAACCTTAACTTGGTCACCAATAGAAATCATAGATATTATTTTACATAACATTACAGCTTTTGCCAATATCACTAAAAGCATTACTTTGAAATCCTGGATATTTTTACTTAATGTATTAATAATTCACTGCATATATTATCATGATACAATTTATGTTATACAATATTTTTATATCTTCATTTCAGTATAATTGGTTTGTCATCCTTGTATTTTATTTTATGCATTTAAAAATATTATTGTGAAGGGGTCTGTAGATTTCACCAAAGTGTCAAGGAGATGAGTACCATGACAAGTTTAATAACCTCTGCTATAGAGGGAAAGGAAGAAGTCAGTAATTGTTTTCATGCAGCTTAAGTATTCACTGTTTAGAGTAGGCAATTATTTTACTCTGCAAATAAAGTAAAATTTGCTTTACGCTTCAAAAATTTGTCTGACGGAAAAGAAACACTTAAAGCATCTCTTTTAAAATACAGAATCTTGGGCTCATCCCTAGACTTACTGAATCAGAGGGAGTAACTTGGCAATTTTTACTTTAAGTAGCACAAATCTGTGCTTTTATCTTAGGAAAAATTGAGGAAAGACTGAATTAGAGGAACTATGAATGACTGAAAAGAGGAATTCAGTGGGAGGTCAAACAACTAGGTGACTGGACTTTTAAAACTAGAGTACCTCATGTTGTCACTCATAGGTGGAAGTTGAACAGTGAGAACACATGGACACAGGGTAGGGAACATCACACACGGGAGACTGTCGGCAGGTGGGGAGCTGGGGGAAGGATAGCATTAGGAGAAATACCTAATGTAAATGTCATTAATCTCCAGTGAAATCTCCAGTGAAATAGATAACATAAATAAAAAATAATCACAGCATCAGGAAACAAAGGACACACTTAGAGAAATGCAAAATGTTCTGGAAAGTCTCAACAGTAGAATCGAAGAAGAAAAAGGAAGAACTTTAGAGCTCATTGGGAGGCCAAGGTAGGAGGATCACTGGAGGTCAGGAGTTCAAGATCAGCCTATCCAATATGGTGAAATCCTGTCTCTAATAAAAATACAAAAATTAGCCAGACATGATGGCATGTGCCTTTAATCCCAGCTACTTGGGAGGCTGAGGCAGGAGAATCATTTGAACCCAGGAGGTGGAGGTTGCAGTGAGCTGAAATGGCACCACCGCATTCCACCTTGGGCAAGAGAGTGAGACTTCATCTCAAAAAAAAAAAAAAAAAGAAAGAAAGAACTTCAGGCTGGGCATGGTGGCTCATGCCTGTAATCCCAGCCCTTTGGGAGGCTGAGAAGGGTGGATCACCTGAGGTCAGGAGTTCAAGAGCAGCCTGGCCAACATGGTGAAACCTGTCTCTACTAAAGATACAAAAATTAGCCAGGTATAGTGGCATGTGCCTGTAATCCCAGCTACTCAGAAGGCTAAGGCAGGAGAATTGCTTGAACCTGGGAGGCAGACATTTGCAGTGAGCTGAGATTGCACCACTGCACTCCAGCCTGGGTGACAGCCTGGCAAGACTCTGTCTCAAAAAAAAAAAAAAATATAGAACGTCAGCGCTCCAAGAGAAAGTTTTCAAATTAACCCAATCCAACAAAAACTCACAAAGAGAATAAAAAAATAATGAGAGCATCCAAGAAGTTTGGTATTATGATAGATGACCAAACGTAAGAATAATAGGCATTCCTGAGGAAGAGGAGAAAACTAAAAGTTTGGAAAACATATTTGGGGGAATAATTGAGAAAAACTTCCCCAGCCTTTCTAGAGACCTAGACATCCAAATATAAGAATCTCAACGAACACCTGGGAAACTCATCATAAAAAGACCATCACCTAGGCACTTCGTTATCAGGTTATCTAAAGTCAAGACAAAGGAAGAATCTTAAGAGTTGTGAGACAAAAGCACCAGGTAACCTATACAGAAAAACCTGTCAGATTAACAGCAGATTTCTCAGATGAAACCCTACAAACTAGAAGGGATTGGAGCCCTATCTTCAGCCTCCTCAAACAAAACAATTATCAGCCAATAATTTTGTATTCAGCAAAAGTAAGCTTCATAAGTGAAGGAAAGACAGTCTTTTTCCAACAAACAAGTGCTGAGAGAATCCACCACTACCAAGCCAGCACTACAAGAATTGCTAAAAAAGAGCTCTAAGTCTTAAAACAAATCCTGAAAACACATCAAAACAGAATCTCTATAAAGCATAAATGTCACAGGGCCTATAAAACAAAGATACAGTAAAAAACAAACAACCAAAGCCCTAAGGTATACAGGCAACAAATAGCATGATGAATAGAATAGTACCTCACATCTCAATATTAACGTTCAATGTAAATGGCCTAAATGCTTCACTTAAAAGACAGAATTGCAGAATGGAAAAAAAAATTCACTAACCAACTATCTGCTGCCTTCAAGAGACTCACCTAACACATAAGGACTCACATAAACTTAAGGTAAAGGGGTGGAAAAAGACATTCCATGCAAATGGACACCAAAAGTGAGCAGTAGTAGCTATTTTTATGTCAGACATAACAAACCTTAAAGCAATAGCAGTAAAAAAGACAAAGAGGGACATTATATAATGATAAAAGGCCTTGTCCAACAGGAAAATATCACAATCCTAAATATATATCCACCTAATACTGGAGCTACCAAATTTATAAAACAATTACTACTCGACCTAAGAAATGAGATAGACAGCAACACAAAAATATTGGGAGAGTTCAATACTCCACTGACAGCACTAGGCAGGTCATCAGGACAGAAAATAAACAAAGAAACAATAGATTTAAGTTATACCCTGGAACAAATGGACTTAACAGCTATTTACAGATCATTCTACCCAACAACCATAGAATATACATTCTATTCATCAGCACATGGAATTTTCTCCAAGATAGACCATATAATAGGCCACAAAACAAGTCTTAATAAATTTCACAAAATTGAGATTATATCTAGTACTCTTTCAGACCACAGTGGAATAAAACTAGTAATCAACTCCAAAAGGAATGTTCAAAACCATACAAATACGTGGAAATTAAGTAACCTGCTCCTGAGAGATTATTGGGTCAACAATAAAGTCAAGACGGAAATTAAAAAATTCTTTGAACTGAATGATAATAGTGACACAATCTATCAAAACCTTTGGGATATAGCAAAGGAAGTGCTAAGAGAAAAGTTCATAGCCATAAATGCCAAATCAAAAAGCCTGAAAGAGTGCAAATAAAAAATCTGAGGTCACACCTCAAGAAAATAGAGAAATGAGAACAAACCAAATCCAAACCCAGCAGAAGAAAGGAAATAACAAAGATCAGAGCAGAAATCAAATGAAATTAAAAGAAGAAAAACAATACAAAAGATAAATGAAATAAAGCCTGTTTCTTTGAAAAGATAAATGAAATTGATAGGCCATTAGCAAGATTAACCAAGAAAAGAAGAGAGAAAATCCAAATAGGCTCAGTGAGAAATGAAATGGGAGCTATTACAGGTGACACCACAAAGACAAAAGATCATTCAAGGATACTATGGACACCTTTGCATCATAAACTAGAAAATCTACAGGAGATGAATAAATTCCTGAAAATATAAGTCCCTCCTAGGGGACATGGATGAAGCTGGAAACCATCATTCTCAGCAAACTAACACAGGAACAGACAACCAAACACCGCATATTCTCACTCATAAGTGGGAGTTGAACAATGAGAACACATGGAAAAATGGGAGGGGAACTTCACATACTTGGGTCTGTTGAGGGGTGCAGGACTAGGGGAATGATAGCATTAGGAGAAATACCTAATGTAGATGATGGGTTGATGGGTGCAGCAAACCACTATGGCCTGTGTATACCTATGTAACAAACGTGCACATTCTGCACATGTATCCCACAACTTAAAGTATAATAATAATAATAATAAATTACCAACAACAAAAAAAGTCCATGACCAGGGGGATTCACAGCTGAATTCTACCAGACATTCAAATAATAATTGGTACCAATTCTATTGACACTACTCTACAGGATAGATAAAAAAGGAATCCTCCCTAAATCATTCTATAAAGCCAGTATCACCCTAATACCAAAACCAGGAAAGGACATAACAAAAAAAGAAAACTACAGACCAATATCCCTGATGAACATAGATGTTGAAATCCTTAACAAAATACTAGCTAACCAAATCCAACAACATATCAAAAAGATAATCCACCATGATCAAGTGGGTTTCACACCAGGGATGCAGGGATGGTTTAACATACACAAGTCAATAAATGTGATACACGACATAAACAGAATTAAAAACAAAAATGACATGATCATCTCAATAGATGCAGAAAAAGCATTTGACAAAATCCAGCATCCATTTATGATTAAAGCCCTCAGCAAAACTGGCATACAAGGGACATACCTTAATGAAATAAAATCCACCTATGACAAACTCACAGCCAGCATAATACTGAATGGGAAAAAGTTGACAGCATTCCCTCTGAGAACTGGAAAAAGACAAGGATGCCCACATTCACAACTTCCATTCAACACAGTACTGGAAATCCTAGCCAGAGTAATCAGACAAGAGAAAGAAATAAAGGGCATCCAAATCGGTAGAGAATCAAACTGTCACTGTTTCTGATGATATAACTGCATACCTAAAAAACCCTAAAGACTGCGCCATAAAGCATCTATAACTGATAAAATAATTCAGCAATGGCTGGGCGTGGTGGCTCACATCTGTAATCCCAGCACTTTGGGAGGCCGAGGCAGGTGGATCACCTGAGGTCAGGAGTTCAAGACCAGCCTGGCCAACATGGCGAAAACCTGTCTCTACTAAAAATACTAAAAATTGACCGGGTATGGTGATGGGTACCTGTAATACCAGCCACTTCGGAGGCTGAGACAGGAGAATTTCTTGAACCCAGGAGGCAGAAGTTGCAGTGAGCCAAGACTGGCGCCATTGCACTCCAGCCTGGGTGACAGAGTGAGACTCGGTCTCAAAAAACAAACAAACAGACAAACAAAACAAACAAAAAAAGAATTCAGCAAAGTTTTAGGATACAAAATTGATGTACACAAATTAGTAGCTCTGCCATATACCGACAGCAATCAAGCTGAGAATCAAATCAAGAACTCAACCCTACTTAGGAATATACTTAACCAAGGAGGTGAAGGACCTTTATAAGGAAAACTACAAAACACTGTTCAAAGAAATCATAGATGACACAAACAAATGCAAACACATTCCATGCTCTTGGATGGGTAGAGTCAATATTGTGAAAATGACCATACTGCCAAAAGCAATCTACAAATTCAATGTAATTCCCATCAAAATATCAGCGTCATTTTTCACAGAACTAGAAAAAAAATCCTAAAATTCATATGGAACAAAAAGAGAGCGCTCACAGCCAAACCAAGGCTAAGCAAAGAGAACATATCCTGAGGCATCACATTACCTGATTTCTAACTATACTATAAGGTCATAATCACCAACACAGCATGGTACGGGTATAAAAATAGGCACACAGACCAATGGAGCAGAAAAGAGAACCCAGAAATAAACCCAAATACTTACAGCCAACTGATCTTTGATAAAGCAAACAAAAACATAAAGTGGGGGAAGGACAACCTATTCAACAAATGGTGCTGGGATAATTGGCAAGCCACATATAGGAGAATTAAACTGGGTCCTCATCTCTCACCTTATACAAAAATCAACTCAAGATGGATCAGACTTATATCGAAGACCTGAAACTATAAAAATTCTAGAAGATAACATTGGAAAAACCTTTTTAGACATTGGCTTATGCAAGGACTTCATGAACAAGAACCCCAAAGGAAATGCAATAAAAACAAAGGTAAATACGTGAGAATTAACTGAATTAAAGGGCTTTCACATGGCAATAGGAACAGTCAGCGGATTTAACAGGCAACACACAGAGTGGGAGAACATCGTCACAATCTATACATCCAACAAAGGACTGATATCCAGAATCTACAATGAATTCAAACAAATTAGTAAGAAAAAAATTCCATCAAAAAGTGGGCTAAGGACATCAATAAACAATTCTCAAAAGAAGATATACAAATGGCCAGCAAACATGAAAAAATGCTCAACATCAGTAATGATCAGGGAAATGCAAATCAAAACACAATGGGATACCACCTTACTCTGGTAATGATGGTCATAATTCAAAAATAAAAAAAATAGATGTTGGCATTGATGCAGTGAAAAAGGAACACTTCTATGGTGCTGGTGGGAAAGTAAAGTAGTGCAACGACTATGGAAAACAGTGTGGAGACTTTTTAAAGAACTAAAAATAGAACTACCATTTGATTCAGCAATCTTGCTATTGAGTGTCTACCCAGAGGAAAAGAAGTCATTATATAAAAAAGGTACTTGCACACGCATGATTATAGCAGCATAATTTTCAATTGCAAAAATGTGAAACCAACTCAAATGCTCATCAATCAAAGAGTGGATACAGAAACTGTGGTATATATATGATGGAATACTACTCAGCCATAAAAATAAATGAATTAATGGCATTCACAGTAACCTGGATGGGATTGGAGACTATTATTCTAAGTGAAGTTACTCTGGAATAAAAAAACAAGCATCGTATATTCTCACTCATAAGTGGGAGCTAAACTATGAGGATGCAAAGTCATAAGAATGACACAATGGACTTTGGGGACTCAGGGGGAAACAGTGGGAGGGGGTTGAGGGATAAAAGACTACAAATCGGGTTCAGTGTATACTGCTCAGGTGATGGGTGCACCAATATTTCACAAATCACCACTAAAGAACTTACTCATGTAACCAAATACCACCTGTTCCCTGAAAACCTATGGAAATAAAAAAAAATAAAAAATAAGTAAATAAAAATAAAGTGAATGTCCTGGAGAGAGCATATAGTTGGATCCTGTTTTTTAAATTCATTCAGCCTGTCTGTATCTTTCGATTGAAGAGATTCATCCATTTACATTTAAAGTAATTACTGATAGGGAAGGACTTACTGTTGCCATTTAGTTCATTGTTTTCCATATGTCTGGTAGCTGTTTTGTGCATTTCCCCTCTTACTGACTTCCTTTGTGTTCTGTTGACTTTTTGTATTGATGTGCTTTTAATGCCTTATTATCTCCTTTCATGTATATTTTGTAGTTATTACTGTGATTACATAAAACATCGTGGTTACAGAATTCCATTTTAAACTGATAACAATTTAAACTGATAACATATAAAATTCAACTACTTTACTGCTCCATCTTCCACACTTTATGTTATCAATGTCACAAAGTATATCTTTCTATGTTGTATATACATTAACATTGACTTTTAATGTTTTTATCATTAAAATTATATGGACCAAAATCACAACAGTACAGGATATATTAGCCCATGTATTTACCATTACTAGAGAGCTTTATATTTTTGGATGGCTTTGTGTTACTGCCTACTGCCTTTTTTGTTTCAAATTGAAGGACTCCCACTAGCATTTCTTATAGAGTAGGTCTAGTGGTAATAGGCTTCTTTGGCTTTTGTTTATCCAGGAAAGTGGAGGAGTAAGGCCTGGAACAGGATTTTCCCTTACAGCCCTCAGAAAGAACCAACCCTCCTGACAACCTGATTTCAAAATTATAGACTCCAGAACTGTGAGAACATAAATTTATCTTGTTTTATCTGCTCAGTTTGTGGTGGTTTGTTATTGTGGTCCTATCAAACTAATACATCCAGTAACTTAATTACTGTGATGTAAAGTTAACCATTATTAAAACATCTTATGTTATAGGATAAGGGGATAATAAAGAAGAAAACAAAAATTTTATATACACTCAAAACAAAATTCAGCATACATATTGAAAATTATTACAGTACTCATAACTAAAAACTGATTGCATGGTTGTAGCTTCTATTTATACTTACCTTTTCCCACTTTCCATTGCTTGCATTCTTTGTTCTCAGCAAGAATGTCAGTTGGCCATGGTTCTTTGTCTGGTGGGTAACACAAACCTTCATTCTTGTAGGGTCTTGGCTACTGGTAGTCCTGCCTGGATTTGGTTGTCATAGTTTTCCATTGACTTTAACCACAGGGCATGGTAGCACTAACAGATATCCAAAAATATCTCCTGCCTCCCAGACATAGTCTTCCCTTACCTCTATTGTATAGCAACAGTCCGATTTATTCTTGGCAGTCAGGATCAATTGTTCCAATTAGCACAGTAACTAAAAATAAGCAAAATTTACTTAGAGGCATGAGAAGCCCAAAGTAGATGGGTAGCAGTCTTAACTTCTATTTCAATGAAATCATTCTTGGGTCTTCTGGTAGAAGCAGTCTTCCCTCTGGAACTATAATCTCTTGGCCAATACAGCATAAATTCATCTGAACAAGAAGAAACAATTTTGTTCATGGGTCAACAGAGGCAGTAGTGAGTGGTGTCACTCCCATTTCTACCCTTGATTTTTTGACACACATATTGCGTGTATAGTAGAACCAGCATTATATGTTGGACACTGATTCAGAGCATATACATCTTCCTGGAGAACCTTGCCCCAGCCCTGCAAGTTACTGCTACTTAGCTGCCACCATCACTGACTCATCAAAAGATTATTACACTGAGTTATCAGGCCAGCTGCTGCAGCATGGTGAGAAACACAGTAAAATTATTGAATTCCATGAACATAAGCATATTGCCTATAATTGCTGTGAAGTGAATTATTTAATCATAAATAATGGTGTATTATATACCATGGTAGTGTGTAAGGTATTCTGTAAGTCTGCAGATGATAGTTTTTTCAGAATCATTGTGTTCAGGGAAGGCAAATATTTTTCTAAAGTAAATGTCCATTCCAGTCACATAACAGAGTGCTGCTTCTTTCATAATAGAAATGGTTAAATGTAATTAATCAGTTACCAAATAGCTGTCTGTTCATCTGGTGAATAGTCCATATCAGAGACTCAGTGTTGGTTTCTGCTGCTAGCAAATTAGACACTCAGCAGTGGTGGTAACAAAATCAACCTTGATGCGTGGAAGTTTCTGTTGCTGAGCAATGCATAATCTCCCTCTCTGCCATCATGGCCATTGTTATGAGCCCACTGGTTAATACAGGAGTGTCTTGGAAAAAAAGTCTGATTGCTATCATCAGAATTGGTCATTCTATCCATTTAATTTTTTTCTCCATCCATCTGGGAATTTTCTCCTCTTCCTAAAATTTAAAACCAGCTTGAGCTTCTGCCTACTGAGAGAATTTTCCTTCACCGTTGTCATTCAGAGACGTCTCAGAAAGGGGCTGCTGTGCTGCAGCTGTCCACCTTCAGGTGGTACTGCATATCATATAGAACAATCTGTAAACCAGACCTGAGTTTTCTCTTATTCAGTGAAACAATCACAAGGAACTCCACATGAGGCTGTAAGAGTGGGATGAGTGAGTAAAGGTAATATAACAAGCGTCGAAACTATAAGCATTGGGGCTACTTTGTTACATAACTTCCTTGTGCCTTTGGGTTTACTCAATCATGATATTGTTTGTCACTTCCATTTAATAATGCAATGCTGTTGTGCAAGCTCAACTTTATAGATTCATGGCTTAGACAATATCCAGTTTATGATGAGAAACTCAGGTCATATGTTAACTTGGTGGTTCATAATCAAGCATTCATAATTTACTAAGGCCCAGTACCAAGCAAAAAGCCACTTATCAAAATGACAAAACCTTCAAAAAGCATCTCTATCTGCCATAGACACTTGAAGCACCATTGGATCTGTTGGCTCATGTGGCCCAAGTGACAGAACAGCTTGCACAGCAACCTGGGCCTTCTAGAAAGCCTTCTCTTGTGCTGGACACCACTTAAAACTAGTAGCTTTTTATTTCAGTTGAAAAATGTACTGGAGTGGTATACCTCAATGAGATATGACTGCCTCCAATGGCTAAAGAGGCCCATTAGATGTGTATTTTTCTTTTTCGGTTGCACAAGGATTCAGATGCACTCATGTATTCTTCATCTCAGGAAGTATATCGTGACATGCTCCACACCACTGGACCTCTAGAAATTTCACTGACATCGAAGGCCGCCAAATTTCTGTGAAATTTATTTTGTTACCTTCTAACACAAGGAAATTTTTTACCAATAATCCTAGAGTAATTGCTACTTTCTACATACTATATCCAATCAGCAAAATACTATCAATGTAATGGACCAGCATAATGTCTTATGGAAGAGAAAAGCAATCAAATTTTCCTTACATCTATGATGGCATAGGGCTGGAGCATTGATATACCCATGGAGTATAACAGTAAAGGGGTATTGCCGGTCTTGTCGGCGGAAAGTCAACTGCTTCTGGTGGTCTTTATTAACAGACGTAAATAAAAAAGCACTTGCTAGATCAATACCCACATACTAGGTGCCAGGGGATGTGTTAATTTGCTAAAGAAATTAAGTCACATCAGATACAGTGGCTGTAATTGGAGTTATGACCTGGTTAAGCTTACAATAATCCACTGTCATTCTCTAAGATCTATGTGTTTTCTGCACAGAACAAATAGGTGAGTTTAATGAGATGTGGGGGGGAGTATCTTTCAAGTCCATGGTTGTGACACTAACCTCTGGAGTTCCTCCAGAAATGTGGTACTGCTTTTGTTTACAATTTTTCGAGGTAGAGGCAGTTCTAGTGGCTTTAACTTGGCCTTTCCTACCATAGTAGCCCTCATTCTGCCAGTTGCTGGATATTTCTATTTCAATTATGTATTCTGAAACTGAGGGATTTACCAAAAGATGGGTTTGGAAACCCTCTGAGCTCATTGTTTGATGGATCTGAGCTAAAGCATCATTGACCACACTAACTCTACAAACCAAAAATTCGACTGGTTACACTTAGTAGTATTTTTGGCCACCTGGAATTAGTGTGAGTTCAGAACCAGTGTAATTATGGCTAATAATTAATGCCCAAAAAGTCTGATTATTTGCTTTTTCCCAATGCACAGTAACCCTAATAGAAGACTTTAGGTTCATTTGGGGAAGTCTGGGAGAAAGATTAATGGTATACATTTTTGGCAGTATAGTAGGGTTCTTCTCCACAGGAGCCTGGACTCCCATTCATTCAAGAAGTCGTAGGTCTGTAAAGTGACTCAAGTTTCAAGATTGATTGAGCGATTATAATTTTCTGTTTTGGTGATTCATATTACAGAAGTGTTTGAAGTCAATTACATAATTGACAATAAAGAAATAATTACAGTCTGGTTTGCAAAGACCAATCATATTGGCTACTTGATCAGGATTTTCATTGACGATAAACAGGCAGTTGACGAAATGCTTTCTTGATGTGTGCCTATCTATTTCCCTTGCCAATTACTGTGACCATACCTACCTTGACTTTGGCAATTAAGTGTTGCCACTTGGCCTCTGCAACCCCAGAATCCATTTAAAGATTCCTGTTTAGTGGTCACCCCATTGATTTAGACATCCTTATTCATTGGCAGTAGTTCCCACTGTAATTTCTAACCTAAGGGAAGGAGAAACGCCAGAGTTTTTCAGTAATGCCAGGGCTCCACTTGCAACTTTATATGTCATAGTTGTAATGACAGAAGTCTTCTGTAGACCCTTCTGGAATGGGTAAGCAAGTTTTACATAATAAATTCATTGTAAGTTTTCAATCTCCCTAAGCCTTTAGATACCTTCTTCTACAGTATACCAAGGAAGTTCTGGTACTTTATTTTTATTTAGCATGGGCACATTTTGGTCCATATTTCAGCCAGCCATCCAAACAAGTTATTAGAAAGCTCTAACTTAAGCTGCAACATTGAATACGCTCTGCTTTGTGGGCCCATATAAAAAATTCAACTTGATATAATGGTATGTTCCATTCACCATTATTCCACATCCCGAATATTCATTCCCGTATATATTCTCCACATTTTTGTTTATTCATAAATTGGAAAACATCATACAGTTCTTTTGGAGTATAGTGCACTTCCTCATGGGTAACACTTTGTACCTTACCCTTTAGGGCCTGCTGGGACTTGTGCCTAGTTATAGGTCTAAAAGCAAAGAAAGACATTAGGGGTAGGTCCTAAAGAGACACAGAAGTGCCTTATAAGGGAACTACCTCTGGGAAGGTCATTAAAATTCCTCAGGCAAAGACAGGGTAACCTCCTCAAACAGGGGTAGAAAAGCTGCTCCTACTAAGAAGAATCATCAACATTTAGGGGTTCAATATTCCCAGCTTCATCAGGATCTGTCCATATGTGCCCAGTCCAATTTTAAGATTCTCAGTCCTTCTCATCTAATACTCTTGTCTTAACAGAAGATATTTTACAAGGTTGAGAATTCAAGTCACTTTGTAATTTATTCACTCACAGGATGAGTCTCTGGATTTGGTTTTCAACACTCTCAACCCTGTGACTATGGAAGATAGAGTTTTCTCAGGGAAGACATAAAAACTTTCAGATAATTTATCTGGACCTTTAGCTGGGAATTATAAGCCTTAAGCTCATGCTTCACTTCCTGCCCATCCACTTCCAACAGCATAGTTAGAAGAAACCAGCCAGTTACATTATTCTCATTAGTTTGACAAAATGTTCTAAGGTATCGAATGCCTGGTTACTCAGAACTTTGCCTTTTTGTAAGGGGTTTTAGTTTTCTATTTTTAAAATAACTATTAGATTAGGGGTATTTAAAGGTGATATTTCACATATCTGTATTGCCACATTATGCCATTGACTATCAGTGTCCTCTTTACCAATAAAAATAGAGTAATTAGTGCCTTGAAATCTAATAAGGTTAGAGAAGAATGTCCAAAAAAAACAAATAATTAAGAAACTAATTTTTAAGATTATGTTGCTGTGACAATCTCTTGGTACCAAAATCTATATCATTTGGGGTTTCCAGAGAAACAGAACCAGGAGAGACAGACAGAGAGAGAGAGAGAACTGATAGATAATTAATACAAATAAAGATAAACATATATATCTTAAATAGATTGGTAGATAAAGAAGTCTATAGATTATCTCAGTCTATTTATCTCTAGAAGCGTCTATCCGTCTATTTATTTTTCTACCTATCTGTAGAAATACATTTATTGTGAGAAATTATCTCACGCAGTTGTGGGGGCTGGCAAGTCTGAAATTGGTAGGGCAGGCCAGCAGTCTGGAAAGTCAAGTAGGAGTTGATGCTGCAGTATTGAGGCAGAATTGCTCTTTTTTTCAGTTAGCATCCATTTTCATTCTCAAAACCTTTGAACTAACTGGGTGAGGTCCTACTCACATTATCCAGTGTAATTTTTTAGATTTAAAGTCAACTTATTGTAGATGTTAACTACATACAAAGAATATGTTCACAGTAATACACAGATTATTGTTTGATTATTATAAATAATTGGGGACTATCTTCTAGCTAATTTAACACAAAAAGCTAATAATCACACGTAGCATCTACCTGAAATATTACTATTTTTGTTAAAAAATCTATTTAATTTTTTAAAGATTAGATATCGATCTAAAATGCATTCTATCTAATATAACTTTAGAACTTATCTTTGTAAATGAATATATTGTTCTGACTCATTTGAGAATAACAGAGGATTGGAGATATTGAATGTTATGGGTTGACACGTGGTCACCCAAAATACACATGTTGAAGTCCTAATCCCCAGGGCCTCAAAATGTGACCTTATTTGGAGATAAGGTCTTTACAGAGATAACCAAGCTAATGAGGGATGATTACAGTTGACTGCAATACAAAATTATTGATGTCCTTATGAAAGGGGAAAATGTAGGCACAGGGGTACAGGTAGAACACCATGTGATGAGACACAGGGAGAAGACAATCATCTGTAATTCAAGAGGGATACCTGAAATAGATCTTTCTTTCACAGCTTCAGAAGGAACAAACCTCACTGACACCTTGATTTTGTATTTCTAACTTCTAGAACTGTGAGAAAGGATTTGTTTGTTTGTTTAAACCACCCAGTTTGTGATGCCTTGTTATGGCAGCCTCAGCTGTCTTGAACAGTTCTTTACATGCCTGATTACTTCAGTACCTGTCTTCTAAAAATAAAAGTAAAAATATTCTCTTACATAGCCAGAGTATAATTATTACAATCTGCACATTTGATATCTGCTATAATACTATTATCTAATCCACAGTCCCTAAATACATTTTTACCATTGTTGAAACAATGTATGTTAAAGCTATACAATTTCCCTATTCATCATCGAATACAGGAGCATGCATTACATTTAGTTTTCATATCTCCTCAGTCTCTTTTAATTTGAATCAGTTCCTTATCTTCTTTTTATAATCCTTAATATTTTTTGAAGTATACAGGCCTGTTATTTTGAAGTATATCCCTAAATATTAGATATTTTCTCATGATTATGTTTAGTTTATACATTCTCATTATTATGTTTAGTTTATACATTCTAGCAGGGATAACAGGAAAGTGATATAACCATTCCAAGGCATCATAATAGAAAACAAGTGATATGAGTTTATTTTATTATTGGTGATTTTAACTTTGATTACTTATATAAGGTGCTGTCCTCCAGATTTCTCCACTTTCAAGACACTTTTCCCCTCTTTTTAATTAATAGGTAGTTTTTGAGAAGATACTTTGAGATGATATAGATATCCTGTTCTTTATTAGACTATCACTCACAAGCTTAAAATTTCAGTGATAATTTTCTAATTCCATCATTCCTTCTACATTTACTAGTTGGCATTCTATTTTTTCTCCCCCATTTACCTATTTACTTATTTTTATCACTATGGAAGTATGGATTCTTACGCTATTCAATAAGTTATAATCCATTACTATTAGTATTTATTTTGATGTTTAAATGTTTTCACAATTGGCCCAGTATAGGGTTTTTCAAGATGACTTTGTGTCCTTTTGACATGTCCCCATGATTTTTTGAACACTTTTTTACTTTCTAGTATAAGAAGACATCTAAGATCATCTTGTACATTCCCTATCTCATTCCTTGGGGGGCATGCAAAAACTTGATATTGTTTTTAATCCTTGAGATGTATAAGAAGACCATTCAAGATCTGTGGTAAGATGCCCTAGGAACAAGACCTTCAATCTCATAGGAAAATAATTTCAAAACCTATCTAACATAATAGAACTGAAGTATCCACAATATATTGTACATAGCATGGATTATGTTCACCTAGAAAATTTTTAAGGCATGTGTAACCAATACCCTCTTTAACCAATAAGGGATTACAATAAAATAGACATTAAGAATTTCTAGAACATGGACATATGTTGTTATCAAGTGAGTTTCCTCTTGCTAGAAGACAAAGTCATTGCTCTTCATTTTGTGTCCCCTACGATGCTGAAAACAGTGTTGAGCATATAATATTGAAGTGAATTATTTATAAGAAGTGTGGTCGCAAGACATCTAATTCAAACATGCCTGATGGCATGGGATTGCATCCCCTTAATACTTTTTAATGTCTATTTTATTGATATTATTTTTATAGTTAATGTGGTTATTAGTTACACATGCATGAATTATTTTCAAGGTTAAGATTATTTCATCCATGATATATAAAATCTCACACACGCAATGTATAACAATTATACCTATATATTTTATGGTATCCTCTCATCAGAATGGTCCCTTGTAAAAGTAGGAGAGGAAAAAGAATATTCCAGGGATGGCATTGTTTTTTGGGTCTTATTACAGAATCAATATTTTCAAGATCCTGAGTAGTAAAAGCTACCTGAACCAATTGAAACAGTTTGGTTCTTTTGGCGTGTGCTGAATTCTCAAACTCATTAGGCTCAGCATTCCACTCCTCCTATGCCAAAGCAGAAGGCTCAACACTGAAGTCAAGCAAGCAACGTGAGGCTTCCTGTCACAACAGGTAATTCTTGGCTCTTAAAAAGCAAATACTTTGCAGAAGCGCAGGTGTATCTGTATTTCCCCCATGAGTCTAGCAAGTTATTTTCATGGTTACCTGAATCTCTTATTCTGCCAGCCATAGTTTTCTTATCCATGCTATCACTTCAGTCCTCTAAGAAAAGGCAACTCCACAAGTTCAGAGGTTTCCACATTTGTTGAATTTTAGATGTTCAAATCACATTGTATTTAAAATTGCTTGGGGACTGTTGTCATTGCAAATAGGTAATACAACAGCTTTGGGCTTACCAGCTTCCCTGATATATTATCAACTCCATGTTGTGGATTATTTGGGCACATCTGGCATTTGAGTTTCTACTGACATAATTGCAAATATATCATGTGTTGAGATCTCAGCTTTTATACTGGCTTCCTAGGAGAACATTTGAAAATAACTCTCTCTTTACCTCTCATGAGGATTATTGCTCAGCTGTTCAAGCTCACTAACCACTCCTCTGTAGAGAAGTTGTGGAGGAAACCTAGAGGGGAAAAAAAAAAAAAACATTTCCAGAAGTGTCTCAATAGATCCACTGGCAATCTACCATGGTTAGTTTAAAAATATTGAGATGTTTTGGGGACCCTCAAACTTTTGAGGTGAAGGTTATGTTCTGGCATCCTTGTTGGTGAACAATAGTCTCTAATAGTTAAACACTTGCTATTCATACATCCACAAATATATTTTCTTTGAAGTTATTAACAAATGTAAAGGTTTCCCCATACATACTAGATAATTATTTTCTCATGACTCAAGAAAATGTCACTGCCAGATATGTCCACTCAGTCATATTCACACAAACTTGAAAAACAACCTAATGCTGTAAATTGCATTGTTACCTGTTACTTTTAAACAGTACCTTTACATTAAGGCACTTAGCAATGTTAAGAAAGAGAACATAATGAAGTGACAAATCATATTTATATTACCATGATGTCTAGCCATTTGAATAGTAAATATAGATCAATATCCTACCTGCCCATGTGTTGCAAATGGCATCTGGATTTCATATCTGCAATGATAATATGCCAGCTCTTTCCCTAGTGATCTTATTAGTTGTCTGCTACATGTCTAAATAATAAGATACTAAGGGAGTTGTAGGTAGCAAATAGGCCCTTATTGTTAAGATCTGTAAGTATGGAAAATAACTTATTTCTTAGAGATATGACAGTTCACTAATTTCTACAGATAAGTCAGGGTACATTGTGAACACTGGTTTAAAAAACCTGAAATAGGATAAATTAAAACTGTGAAATTTGACACTAAGGTTAAGGCTGACATTAAGAATTTTAGTACCTTTATTCCAAGTTAATCATTATTAGTATAAAAATAGAGATTTCCAAAGTGATGAGAATTTTTTGCAGTGGTGTTCAGCAGATAGGAAGGCATCAAACACTGTGCATACGGTTGGGGGATACAAGCATACCTTGGCAACAATGTGGGTTTTGTTCCAGACCACTGCAAAAAGTAAATGTTGCAATAAAATTAGTCACAAGAGTATTTTGGTTTCCTAGTGCATATAAATGTTATGTTTACACCATACTGAAGTCTACTAAGTGTACTGTAGCATTATGTCTAAAAATGTACATACATTTATTTAAAAATATTTTATTGCTAAAAACTACTACTGATCATCTGAGCCTTTAGTGAGTCATAATCTTTTTGCTAGTGAAGGGTCTTGCCTTAATGTGGATGGATGCTGACTGATCAAGATGATGGTTGCTGAAGGCTGGGATTCCTGGAGCAATATTTTGTAAAATACAACATTGAAGTTTGCCACATCAGTTGACTCTGTCTTTCACAAAAGATTTCTCTGGAGCATGCAATGTTGATTTACAGATTTTTACCTACAGTAAAATTTATTTCAAAATTGAAGCCAATCCTCTCAAACTCTACCACTGCTTTTTCAGCTGTTTGTGTAATATTCTAAGTCCTTTCTTGTCATTTCAACTATGTTCAAAACATCTTTACCAGTAAACTTCATCTCAAGAAACTACTGTCTTTGCTCATCCATAGGAAACAACACCTTATCTGTTCAAGTTTATCATGAGATTGAAGCAATTCATTCACATCTTCAGGCTCCACTTCTAATTCTAATTGTCTTGCTATTTCCATCACATCTGCAGTTACATCCTCCAATGAAGTCTCAAATTCCTCAAAGTCATCCATGAGTGTTGTCAAGAAGAGCATTTTTTTAGGGTTTCTTTCTAGGATTTTTTATAGTTTCAGGTCTTACAATTAGGTCTTTTGTCCATCTTGAGTTAATTTTTGTATATGGTGAGAGATATAAGGGTCCACTTTCTTTCTTCTGCATATAGTTAGCCAATATTCCAGGGAAAATTGGAGTAGCATTTTTAATTTGCTTCAAGATATTTCCTTTGCATTCACAACCTGCCTGATCGTTTGACACAAAACACCTATTTTTCAGCTGATCTCGGCTCTTGATGTGTCTTCCTCACTCTTCTTAATTATTTCTAGCTTTAAAGTGAGAGATGTGCAACTCTTCCATTCACTGAACTCTTAGAGGCCATTGTAGGATTATTAATTGGCCTAATTTAAATATTGTTCTGTTTCAGGGAATAGGAAGGCCAGAGAAGAGTGACAGACGGGTGAATGACTGGTCAGTGTAGCAGTCAGAACAAACAACATTTATCAGGTAAGGTATGGGTGTGGTTCATGGCACACCAAAGCAATAACGATAGTAACATCAAAGGTCGCTGATGACAGATCACCATAACAGAAATAATAATAATGGAAAGTTTAACATATTACAAGAATTTCCCCAATGTGATATAGAGACACAAATTGAGCACTTGCTGGTGAAAAAATTGTGCCAATAGAGTTGCACAATGCAAGGATGCCACAAACCTAATTTATAAATAATGTACTATTTGTGAAGCAGAATAAAGTGAAATGCAATAAAACAAGGCATGCCTGTATAATACAATCAAGTTACACAAATCTTGTATGTAAAAATAAATCCAGTTGTGTAAATTTACAAAAAATGTCCTAAGCATGTAAGACCAAAAGGTGTTTTAAAAAGCAATCAAGGGAGGCAGTGTTTCATGATAAAGCACTAAACCAAGTATCATGAGCCTTGGATCTGGTTCCAGTTGTCTGACCAACAGGGATCTCAGTTTTTTTTCTTATATCAATAATTATGTTAC
Source organism: Homo sapiens (assembly GCF_000001405.40). Taxonomy (NCBI): domain Eukaryota; kingdom Metazoa; phylum Chordata; class Mammalia; order Primates; family Hominidae; genus Homo; species Homo sapiens. Next base: position 127,296,812 of record NC_000023.11, read on the forward strand.
TAGCCACCGTATATTAAAAGGTTGTCGAGATAATCAACTGGAGTAATGTATTTGAAAATATTTTGAAAGGGTAAAGTGTTATATAAAGGCAAAGAATTATTACATGGACTATTCAGGAAAAGTTAGATTGAGTCTTGTCAAAAATGGGTGATTAACTAAAATGTTACCAAACAGAAAACCAATAACATTGTAAATATTGAACTCTCAAAAGAGAAGTAATTCTTCCTAGTGACTTTGATGTCAAACTAGTCCTCACAGATGATGGAAAGCTATAGATATACATATAGATGGTAGAGATAATATATTAATAGATGATATAGAGATATAGATATAGAGTACCTAAATATTGCAGAAGTGACAGATAAAAGCTATATAACTTCTAGATGTCATAGAATATGGCTTCCAAGGTCTAGTTAGGCTTTCCTTTCAACAAATTTGGTCAGGTTTCCTAAGTGATTTCTAAGTTGTGTTTGTGTGTGTACATTATAGTGACATAGGAAAATTTGATTTGTTTTGAGTACATCTGTGATCTGTGATACATGATGTAGTGCAAAATGATATGATTGTTAAAACTTGACATTGGAACACCATATAATTAGTTCACATCTCCTAATATGAGATCAATACAGTAAAGATTTTTTACAAAGCAGCAATTTCTTATACATGAAAATGTAGAGGCAATGGTAATGTGCTAGTAATAATTCAAAAATATTTTAGGAAAAATTTGCCAGTAATTTCAAAACGGATAAATATTGTTGCAAATTTGATCTACCAAATAATGAAGACAATTAAGGACAACTTATTGTTTGTGCTGTTATATTGGAACTAATGTTTGTTATTTATTTGATCAGTTATTTAATAATTTATTCCTTTGTGTTTTTAATCTTAGTTGGAAATACACTTTTAATGGATCACACAAAACCGCCAAAAATAATATTTGATAACAAGGCTGAATCTTCAGAATTAGGAACAGGATCTTCTAGTCCCCAGAGGTTTATTTGCTTTAAAAAAAGTTTTTGTTTGTGTTTTTAGTTAGCATTTTTTTTTCTCCTGTATACAAGAACAAATTTCTGATTGATTTAAGATGTTGACAAGTGAATCCATGTCTCAGCATTAAAATGGGCCTGGGCAATTGCATTATTCACTTCAAAAAGTGACACTGATGAAGCACTGTCTAGGAAACACTATAAGAGATACAATTTATACTGATTTTTGTGGCCTATACTGATTTTCTAAAGAAGGAAAAGCATTTTAATTTCACTTGCAGTCTCTTATACTTGAAACTAAAAGGAGTCTACAGTTAATACATTGTTCTAAATATTATTTTTCCCTTCCTATTCATGTATGGGTCAGCTCTCCAGTTGTAGGGCATCTCACGTATTTACTATGTAGAAAGTATTAGCAGTAGCCACGCACATAGAAATTCACAGACACACTAAAATGCAAAATTTAAAACAAGACATTGAAATGTATATGCACCCAACAACCTGCTATTGTCCTTTTATTGGACCAAGTTATATCAAAACACAATTTTGGAGAGATAGTTGTATAGCCTCTTGCCTGATCTACTGTACACATAAAATTTAGTAATTTTGAGCTAAAACAAAAAAAAAAAGGTGAGTCAAGTAATTATGCACATCAAATTCTTAATAACCTCCATAAAAAGACTTCTATGGTCAATTTCTCATTGCTTTAAGTTTCCCAAATGAGTGGATGGGGCTCAGGGTGAAGGGTGAGTGGAAAATTGAAAGATGTGGATTATTTTTTCTTGGTGAGGCCAGTTTGAATTCTTTTAAACATTGCAGTAATATTTAGAATATTAGTCAATGATGTTAGAAAAGAGAGAAAAAGTGTGGAGGAATGATGCATCAGGTAGAATGACAATAAACAATAGTTCTTGAAAGCCAGAGATAGAAAAGAATTAGTAGTCATCTGGAATGACAAAAAAGTTTTATTTTCAGAATAAAATAACTAGGAATACAACTAACTAGGGAAGTGAAAGATCTCTACAAAGAGAACTATAAAACACTGCTCAAAGAAATAAGAGATGACACAAATAAATGGAAAAGCATTTGATGCTCATGGATAGGAAGAATCAATATTGTAAAAATGGCCATATTGTCCAAAGCAATTTATAGATTCAATATGATTCCTACTAAATTACCATTGAGATTCTTTACAGAACTAGAAAAAAAAAACTATTTTAAAATTCATAAAAACCTAAAAAAAGGAGCCTGAATATCCAAGGCAATCCTAAGCAAAAGAAAAAAAGAAAAAAAAAAAAAAGCAGGAGGCATCATGCTACCCAACTTCAAACTACACTAGAGGGCTAAAGTAACCAAAACAGCATGCTACTGGTGCAAAAAAAAAAAAAAAAAAAAAAAAAAAAAAAGAGAGAGAGACATATAGATCAATAGAACAGAATAGAAAAGCCAGAAATAAGGTGCATACCCACAACTATATGATCTTTGACTAACCTGACAAGCACAATTAATAAGAAAAGGATTCCCTATTCAATAAATGGTGCTTGGAGAAATGGCTAGCCACATGCAGATGATTGAAACTGGACCCCTTCCTTCCACCATGTACAAAAAATAAGATGAATTCAAGACCTAAATATAAAACCCAATATCATAAAAACCCTGGAAGGCACCCTAGGCAAATAAAATTGAGGACATAGAAAGGGGCAAACATTTCATGATGAAGTTGTCAAAAGTGATTGCAACAAAAGCGAAAATTGACAAATGAGATCTAATTAAACTGAAGAGTTTCTGCCCAGCAAAGATAACTATCAACAGAGTAAACAGACAACCTGCAGAATAGGAGAAAATTTTTGCAAACTATGCATCTGTCAAAGGTCTAATATCCAGAATCTAGAAGGAACTTAAACAAATTTACAAGAGAAAATCAAACAACCCAATTAAAAAGTGGGCAATGGACATAAACAGACACTTTTCAAAAGAAGACATACATGCGGCCAACAAGCATATGAAAAAGAGCTCAACATCACTGATCATTGGAGAAATGCAATGACAACCATAATGAGATACCATCTCACACCAATTAGAATGGCTATTATTAAAGAGTCAAAAAAAAAAAAAAAAACCCAGATGCTGACAAGGCTGTGGACAAAAAGGAATGCTTATACACTGTCGTTGGGAGTGTGAATTAGTTCAGCCATTTTGGAACACATTGTGGCGATTCCTCAAAGACCTAAAAACAGAAATACCATTTGACCCAGCAATCCCGTTACTGCATACATGCCCACAGGAATATAAATGGTTTTATTGTAAAGATGCATGCACAAGTTTGTTCATTGCAGCACTGTTCACAATAGCAAAGACATAGAATCAACCTAAATGCCCATCAACGATAGATTTGATAAGAAAAATATGGTACATATACACCATGGAATTCTATGTGGCCATAAAAAGAATGGGATCATGTCCTTTGCAGGAACATGGATGGAACTGGAGGCCATTATCTTTAGCAAACTAATATAGGGACAGAATACAAAATATCACATGGTATAACTTATAAGTGGGAGCTAAATGATCAGAACACATGGACAGGAAGAGAACAACAGACACCGAGACCTTTTGGAGGGTGGAGGGTGGGAAGAGGGAGAGTATCAGGAAAAATAACTAATGGGTAATAGGCTTAATGCCTGGTTGATGAAATAATCTGTACAACGAATCCCCATGACACAAGTTTGCCTGTATGAAAAATGTGCTCTTGTACTCTGGAATGTAAAATAAAAGTTAAAAAAGTGTTATTTTCTTTGCACACAAGTCAATTGGTTTTGGTTTCTAGGGCTGTGAAAGTTTATTTGATCATATCTAGGGTCAGCAAAGCATAATAGCATGATGAATTATACATGTTTGCTTATTGTTATGTTTTTGCTGATCTCAGTGATTTCTAGCCTACCTTTATTTTTCTTTTAAATGGGATTTGAAAGGTTACAGAGCAGCAAAGACAGGACTAGAATCCAGGTCTTTTGACTTCTATTTTATTACCTTTTTCTACTATGTGATATGCCTTTGGTAAAAATGTTCTATAAAATCATATTTAGGAAGGTACAATCAGCAAATACCATCCATTTACAAAAGAATTAACATGATTTTTAAAATTAGAATTAGGAGATTTTATTGGGACATCATCATTCTCCAGACATGTATCATTTGATACAGAGCTATGCAGAAATATTGAAACTCATAAAGGAAGATAAATTAGGGAATAATTATCTGTCTACATCATTAGTATATAATGTATTTAAATAGTCTATTTTCTCATAAAAAATAACATAATATACATCATAAATATATGGCTTATAAATACCTTCAAAAGGAAACATCTATTACATGTTCTTTTGAGGAGAAAATAGCTGCTAATGAATGGCATCAAAACAATAGGAATATTTGAATCAGAAAAAAAAATTAAAAATCCCTCCAACAGAACTGGGCTATATAGTAAATAGATTAGGAGAAGCGATGCTCTAAAAAGGTAATAATTAAATAATCTGAATATGTGCACATCATCAGACTCAAGAGTATAAAACTAATCAATAGAGAAGAAATCAGGTATAATTTTTAAAACAAGACAGAAACAGTCTTAATAATGAAATGAAAGAGTGTAACTGTTATAAAATAAAATAAAACATATCAACATAATTCTTAAAATTACAAGTATATATATTTATTGCAACAATTAAAACAATATATGAATGTATTTTAAAAGTTTAATTTCCAATAATCCCCCTATCCCTTTTCCTATTAACTTTCTCCCTGAGATAACTGACAACAGCTGCCTAGTTCGTATCTGAGACTTGGTAATTTATAAAGAACAGAAATTTATTTTTCACGGTCTTGGAAACTGGGAAGTCCAAGAGCAAGGCACAGCAGGTTAAGGCATGGTCTCTCGGCTTCCAGGATGATACTTTGAATACCACATCTTTCGGAGAGGAGAAACACTATGTCATCTCATGTCACAAGAGCAAAACAAAGAAAACCCACCCTTGCAAGCCTTTTTTATACAGGCATTAATTCATTCATGAGGATGGAGCCCTTATGACCTAAAAACCTCACTAAGTCTCCACCTCCCAACACTATGGCATTGAAGTTCAAGTTTCTAACACATAAATTGAGGGGAAGACCCATTAAAACTATAGCAGCATTGGTGTAGATATTACAGCTTTTTCGGTTATCTACTTTGTTATTTCCAAATTTGTTGTTTAGGTATTGATTTTGTTTAAAGCACCTTTTGCCTTAGAAAAATTATTAACTTTTGTAAATGAAAGTGCTTATTTCATTTTCTTTTACAGATATTAGGTTTCCTGTCTTGGTGATGAACTTATTTTCCAATCCTACATTGCTTATTTAGTCTTGTACATGTTTTAAGATTTTTAGTTCATCATACATTGCTTTTAATTCATGTTCTTATTTTGATACATTGATGAATAGTATTATTATTTATTTTCTTAGGGATGTCTAGAGTCGTGATTATCCCTTATATGAAATAAACTATTCTTTTACCACTGAATTGAAAAACCATTTTTTTACTATATTAAATTCTCATTTGTCATAGGATCTGTTTCTGAATTCTTTCCTTTGTTCCAGTAAAATATTTCTTTATTCCTATGTCTATACAATATTGACTTGATTATAATAGCTTTATAGAATATTTTGATATCTAGTAGGGCAAGTAATGCTTAATTATTACCTTTTATAATTTTCTTAGATATTCTGATCATTCTTTCAAATAAACTTTAAATAATTTGTGTTTCTAAAATAAACAGACTTACTAATATAACTATAAGATTATATTTGGAATTTCATTAAATGCATATATTAATTTTAGGATAATTTACATTGTTGTGATATAAAATCTTCCTATATAGTAGTATAATATTTATTTTCAGTATTTCAGCTAAGTCTTGAAAGAGAACATTATTTTTCAAATCATTATATTCTGTACTCAAAAAGTGTGACTCGGGTAAATATAAGCTAACGGCCATTGTCTAAAATGACAATCAACAAATTCATGAGTCAATAGAAACAGTAGGACATAACTATGAAAAGAACATACATAGGCTTTGAATTTAATTTGATTTTGACTCTTGAACTTACTCTAGTCAATCAGTCTATCAGAGTCTTAGATTCCTCAACTGTAACAAGCATGTAATACATGACAGCGCTGTGAATATTACATTCTGGTACCCAGAAAAGTGCCAAGTAAGCACATAAAAAATATTTAGTCATAAAATCCACTTTGTGATGCAATCTTCAAGTTTGGCAAGCTTCAATTGATTTTAATTTTGCTCTATTCATTAATATTATACACCTTAAATCTTTTCTGCTGTGTCTGTGTCTATATTAAAAAAACACCATATACGTAAATGAATGTTTATACTTTAGGATTTCCAAATACATTTTTACTACCCATGTGGACAACTTATGTTAATTGAGTAGAACATAAAAAACATTGTTAATCACTGCATTAACTTGCTATTTCTCTTTGCAGCTTTCAGAAACGGGGTGCTTTTTAACCTGAAGTATACACATATAATAAAGGCCCTTCAAATAGTATACATTAAATGGAACATTTTTTTCAGTGCTATTTTCTATATCTTATTCGTTCATGTAAGCATTTATTTAAGTATTTAAGTATTCATTCACATAAGTATTTACAATGTACTTACTATGTAGCAGGCACTCTGATAGGCAGTGAAAATAAAAGGATAAGCATACAGGAACAGTCCCTGACCTCATGGAGCTTATGCTATAACAGGGAGACAGAAAACAGATAATTAAATATAAATTGATAAACTATAATCATGGTGAGTAGTATGAATTTAAAAAACCTGTAGGAGCATTTATGCAGTGAGAGAAGGAGAATCAAAATTGAAACCTGAAGAATAGATATGTGTTAAGTAATTGAAGAAGGAATGAGGCCAGTGAGGCTAGAGAATAGAGCAAGAAGAGTAATACAAAATTAAGTTTGGAGAAACAGGAATGGAGCAAAATTTGGAAACTTATTGTAAGAACAACAGAAAGTTACTGTAAGATTTTGAATGGGAATAGTATAATTGAATCTATTATTTTAAGAAAATTACTGCAGAGTAGAAAATGAAGAAAGTCAAGAGCACGTATGAAAAGACCAAAATAAAATGATTATCCACTGAAATTTAAATGCTATCAGCTCAAGAAAGCTACATGAAAACATTTTTAGATGAATACAATTTTATTAATCAGCTTGATCTTTCTGTGGATTAGGATCACCTGGTTGTTAGTAGATTGGCAACGAAACACATTGGTTCTATTTTCAGGACACCAGTGTTTTATGGTATCACACTTTGAAAACTTTTAGCATAGAAGCTGCAAGTGAATGTAAACAGGTAACTTTTGAATTTTCTGAATGCACTTATTGTGTTTTATATGATAATTAATGAGATACACTTTATTTTTATAATTTATAAATTAATGTTTAGATTTATAGCTTAGATCTTGAAATATCTTGAGAAGATTGTTTAGAAGGACAGTAGACTTCATCATCAGACAAATCTGTATTTGAATCTCAATACTTTTACTTCATGTCTCAGTGATCATCAGCAAATTATACAATCTCACTAAGCCTTGGTTTCCTTGCCTGTAAAATGGAGATACACCTTTCTAGATGTTCATTTTACAGATTATTATTGAGCTCTAATTTAATTAATGTGTATATGGTGCTGAAAACACTGTAATTGTACAGAAAATTTGTAGAGTAATAAATTTGCTAATTAATAATGAGAATACAAATAATAGGAATGATAATAAGAATAAGAATTATAATTCTATTAATAACAATAAAATAGTTTTAAGCTATTTTTATTAACAATAAAATACTTGTTGTTTTAGTATTTTATTCATTGCCAAACTGAATAAAAGAAAGTTCTTCTTGCCATACCTCTCAAAAAAAGGACATTAGAGAGAAAGAATCTTTGATGGTAGAAAAGTGAACACATGGTGCTTCAAGATGCTTTCATCAAAGCTGAGCCATTAGAAGATCAGACAAGGAAAAACTACTCCTAAGCTATGATACATAGAGAAATTCTTCATTCACAAAGTAGAAAATCTAGCTTTGTAGGAACAGAAATGTGAAGAGAAATCTTCAAAGAGAAAAGAAAAGGCTGAGCTGCTCAAAATCAGTCCATTTATTAAAAAAAAAGAATGTATTTCTTTTTATTTATGTCCATTTGCAGAATGATTAAAATCACAAACCCATTTTGCTTTAGTCCACAAAGCATTTATAATATCACATACTGCCTGCAATGATTAATTTTATTAGTCATTTTTCCAGAGAAAATCTTTCAGATACAGAAATATCATTTATTCTCTTTTTAAAGATGAGTGAACTGAGTCAGCAAATTATTAAGCAGTTTCTAAAATGATAAAATTTGTGGATGACAGCTCTTCAATCAGTAAAGTTTATTCTCAGTCAAATTTTTAATTCTCAGCTCACTGAACGTTGTTGACACATAAACCACATAAAATATAGAAGATGGCTAATAAAGCCTTGCATGCTATATCCAGTGTTTCTTCAGAGGACACAAGTATTTTTATTTGTCATCACTTAAAATCGAGTATAATAAAGCCTTACTTCTCAGACAACTTATTAGCATACGCCAAAAATAGAAAGGAAATGAAAATGATTTCTGAGAATTAAAATATATAGTGGAAATTGGCCAAATAGGAACAGCTCCGGTCTGCAACTCCCAGTGAGACCAAGGCAGAAGGCGGGTGATTTCTGCATTTCCAACTGAGGTACCCAGTTCATCTCACTGGGACAGGTCAGGCAGTGGGTGCAGCCCACGGAGGGCGAACAGAAGCAGGGTGGGGCATTGCTTCACCCGAGAAGTGCAAGGGACCAGGGACCTCCCTCCCCCCAGCCAAGGGAAGCCATGAGGAATTGTGTTACCCTGCCAGGTTACTATGCTTTTCCCACGTTTTTTTGCAATCTGCAGATCAGGAGATTCCCTCATGTGCCTATACCACCAGGGTCCTGGGTTTCAAGCACAAAACTGGGCGGCCGTTTGGGCAGACACCGAGCTAGCCATGGGAGATTTTGTTCATACCACAGTGGAGCCTGGAACCCCAGGGAGATAGAACCGTTCACTCCCCTGGAAAGGGGGCTGAAGCCAGGGAGTCAAGTGGTCTCGCTCAGCGGCTCCCACTCCCGCAGAGCCCAGCAAGCTAAGAACCACTGTCATGAAATTCTTTTTGCCATCACAGCAATCTGAAGTTGACCTGGGATGATCAAGCTTGGTGGGGGCAGAGGCATCCGCCATTAATGAGGCCTTAGTAGGCAGTTTTCCCCTAACAGTGCTAAGGAGGCTGGGAGATCTGGGTTGGGCGCAGCAAAGCGGCTGTGGCCAGACTGCTTCTCTAGATTCCTCCTCATTGGGCAGGGTATCTCTGAAGGAAAGGTAACAGGCCCAGTCAGGGGCTTACAAACAAAACCCCCATTTCCCTGGGACAGAGCTCCTGGGGGAAAGTGCAGCTGTGGGCGCAGCTTCAGCGAATTTAATCGTTTTTGCCCGACAGCTCTGAAGACAACAGCTGATCCTGACGAGGATTCTTCCAGCATAGCGCACCAGCTCTACTAAGGGACAGACTGCTTATTCAAGTGGGTCCCTGACCCCCAGGCCTCTTGGTTGGGAGAAACCTCCCAACAGGGGTCGACAGACACCTCATACAGGAGAGCTCCAGCTGGCATCAGGCTGGTGCCCCTCTGGGACCAAGCTTCCAGAGAAAGGAGCAGGCAGCAATCTTCACCCTTCTACAACTTCCACTGGTGATACCCAGGCAAACAGGATCTGGAGTGGACCTCCAGCATACTGCAGCAGACCTGCAGAAGAGACGCCTGTTAGAAGAAAAACTAACAAGCAGAAAGCAACAACATCAACATCAACATAAAGGACCCCTCCATAAAAACCCTATCCAAAGGTCTTCAGCCTCAAAGATCAAAGGTAGATAAATTCATGAAGATGAGGAAAAACCAGTGCAAAAACACTGAAAATTCCAAAATCAAGAATGCCCCTTCTCCAAATGATTGCAACTCCTCTCCAGCAAGGGCACAAAACTGAACGGATAATAAGATTGATGAATTGACAGAAGCAGGCTTCAGAAGGTTGGTAATAGCGAACTCCTCTGAACTAAAGGAGAATGTTCTAACCCAATGAAAGGAAGCTGAGAACCTTGATAAAAGGTTACAGGAACTGCTAACTAGAATAACCAGTTTAGAGAGGAACATAAATGACCAGATGGAGCTGAAAAACACAGCACAAGAACTTCGTGAAGCATACACAAGTATCAATAACCAAATCGATCTAGTAGAAGAAAAGATATCAGAGATTGAAGATCAACTTACTGAAAAAAGGCATGAGGAAAAGATTAGAGAAACAATAATGAAAAGGAATGAACAAAGCCTCCAAGAAATATGGGACTATGTGAAAAGACCAAACCAACGATTGATTGGTGTACCTGAAAGTAATGGGGAGAATGGAATCAAGTGGGAAAACACACTTCAGGATATGATCCAGGAGAACTTCCCAAACCTAGCAAGACAGGACAACATTCAACTTGAGGAAATAAAGAGACCAACACTAAGATACCCCTCGAGTAGAGCAACACCAAGACACATAATCGTCAGATTGTCCAAGGTTAAATTGAAGAAAAAAATGTTAAGTGTAGCCAGAGAGTAAGGTCAGGTCACCTACAAAGGAAAGTCCATCAGATTTCTTGCAGAAAACCTACAAGCCAGAAAGGGGGGGGGGTGTAATATTAACATTATTAAAGAAAATAATTTTCAAAGTAGAATTTCATATCCAGCCAAACTAAGCTTTATAAGTGAAGAAGAAATAAAATCATTTCCAGACAAGCAAATGCTGAGGGATTTTGTCACCACCAGGCCTGCCTTAAGAGAGCTCCTGAAGGAACCACTAAATACAAAAAGGAAAAAGAGTTACCAGCCTCTGCATAAACACAAAATATAAAGGCCAATGACACTATGAAGAAACTGCATCAAATAATGTTTAAAATAACCAGCTAGCATCATAATGACAGGATCCAATTCACGCATAACAATATTAACCTTAAATGTAAATGGGCTAAATGCTCCAATTAAAATGCAAAGACTGGCAAATTGGATAGAGTCAAGACCCATCTGTGTGCTGTATTCAGGAGACCCATCTCGTGTGCAAAGACACACATAGGCTCAAAATAAAGGGATGGAGGAATATTTACCAAGCAAATGGAAAGCAAAAAAAAAAAAAAAAAAAAAAAAAGCGGGGGTTTCAATGCTAGTCTCTGATAAAACAGACTTTAAACCGACAAAGATCAAAAAAGACAAAGACGGGCATTACATAATGGTCAAGGGATCAATGCAACAGGAAGAGCTAACTATCCTAAATATATATGCATCCAAAATAGGAGCACCAAGATTCATAAAACAAGTTCTTAGAGACCTATGAAGAGACTTAGACTCCCACACAATAATAATGGGAGACTTTAACACCCCACTGTCAATATTAGATTGATCAATGAGACAGAAAATTAACAAGGATATTCAGGGCTTGAATTCAGCTCTGGACCAAGTGGACCTAATTGACATCTACAGAACTCTTCACCCCATATGAAAATAATATACATGTTTCTCAGCGCCACATAGCACATATTCTAAAATTGACCACAAAATTGGAAGTGAAACACTCCTCAGCAAATGCAAAAGAACAGAAATCATAACAAACAGTCTCTCAGACCACAGTGCAATCAAATTAGAACTCAGGGTTAAAACTCACTCAAAACCACAACATTACATGGAAATTGAACAACCTGAATGATTACCGGGTAATAATAAAATTAAGGCAGAAATAAAGAAGTTCATTGAAACCAATGAGAAAAAAGAGACAACTTACCAGAATCACTGCGACACAACTAAAGCAGTGTTAAGAGGGAAGTTTACAGCACTAAATGCCCACAACAGAAAGCTGGAAAGATCTAAAATCAACACCCTAACATGACAATTCTAAGAACTAGAGCAGCAAGAGCAAACAAATTCAAATGCTAGCAGAAGACAAGAAATAACTAAGATCAGAGCAGAACTGAAGGAGATAGAGTCACAAAAACCTTTCAAAAAATCCATGAATCCAGGAGCTGTTTTTTTAATTAACAAAATAGATGGGCCACTAGCTAGACAAATAAAGGAAAGAAAGAAGAGTGAAATACACACAATAGACACAATAAAATATGATAACGGGATATCACCACTGATCCCACAGAAATACAAACTACTATCAGAGAATACTACAAACACCTCTACCAAAAAAAAATTAGAAAATCTAGAAGAAATGGATAAACTCCTGGACACATACACCCTCCCAAGCCTAAACCAGGAAGAAGTCGAATTCCTGAACAGACGAATAACAAGTTGTGAAACTGAGGCAGTAATTAATAGACTACCAAACAAAAAAGCCCAGGACTGGACAGATTCACAGCCAAATTGTACCAGAGGTACAAGGAGGAGCTGGTATCATTCCTTCTGAAATTAATGCAAACAATTGAAAAAGGGACTCCTTCTTGACTCATTTTATGAGGCCAGCATCATCCTGATACCAAAACCTGGCAGAGACACAACAACGAAAAAGAAAATTTCAGGCCAATATCCCTGGTGAACATTGATGCAAAAATCCTCAATAAAATACTGGCAAACCGAATCCAGCAGCACAACAAAATCTTATTTACCACAATCAAGTCAGCTTCATCCCTGGGATGCAAGACTGGTTTAACATATGCAAATCAATAAACGTAATCCATCACATAAACACAACCAATGACAAAAACCACAAGATTATCTCAATAGATGCAGAAAAGGCCTTTGATAAAATCCAGCATCCTTTCATGCTAAAAACTCTCAATAAACTAGGTATTGATGGAACTAATCTCAAAATAATAAGAGCTATTTATGACAAACCCAGAGCCAATATCATGCTGAATGGGCAAAAGCTGGAAGCATTCCCTTTGAAAACTGGCACAAGACAAGGATGTCCTCTCTCAGCACTCCTATTCAACATAGTATTGGAAGTTCTGGCCAGAGCAATCAGGCAAGAGAAAGAAATAAAGCATATTCAAATAAGAGGGGAAGTCAAATTGTCTCGGTTTGAAGATGACATGATTGTATATTTAGAAAACCCCATCATCTCAGCCCAAAAAACTCCTTAAGCTGTTAAGCAACTTCAGCAAAGTCTCGGGATACAAAATCAACGTGCAAAAATCACAAGCATTCCTATACACCAACAATAGACAAGCAGAGAGCCAAATCATGAGTGAACTCCCATTCACAATTGCTACAAAGAGAATAAAATACCAAGTAATACAACTTACAAGGGATGTGGAGGACCTCTTCAAGGAGAACTACAAACCACTGCTCAAGGAAATAAGAGAGGACACAAACAAATGGGAAAACAGTCCATGCTCATGGATAGGAAGAATCAATATTGTGAAAATGGCCATACTGCCTAAAGTAATTCATAGATTCAATGTTATTCCCATCAAGCTACCAGTGACTTTCTTCACACAATTAGAAAAAAACTACTTTAAATTTCATATGGAACCAAAAAGAGTGCATATAGCCAAGACAATCCTAAGCAAAAAGAACAAAGCTGGAGACATCATGCTACCTGACTTCATACTATACTACAAGGCTACAGTAACCAAAACAACATGGTACTGGTACCTAAACAGATATATAGACCACAGGAAAAGAACAGAGACATTAGAAATAACAGCACACATGTACAACCATCTGGTCTTTGACAAACCTGACAAAAGCAAGCAACGGGGAAAGGATTCCCTATTTAATAAATGGTGTTGGGAAAACTGGCTGGCCTTATGCAGAAAACAGAAACCGGACCCCTTCCTTACACCTTATACAAAAACTAACTCAAGATGGATTAAAGACTTAAATGTAAAACCCCAAACCATAAAAACCCTAGAAGAAAACCTAGGCAATACCATTCAGGAAATAAGCATGGGCAAATACTTCAGTATTAAAACACCAAAAGCAATTGCAACAAAACCAAAATTGACTAATGGGCTCTAATCAAACTAGAGAGCTTCTGCACAGCAAAAGAAACTATCATCAGAGTGAACAGACAACTTACAGAATGGGAGAAAGTTTTTGCAAACTACCCATCTGACAAAGGTCTAATATCCAGAATCCACAAGGAACTTAAACAAATTTACAAGAAAAAAAAAACAACTCCATCAAAAAATGGGCAAAAGACATAAACAGACACTTCTCAAAAGAAGACATTTATGTGGCCAATAAACATATGAAAAATAGCTCATCAACACTGCTCATTAGAGAAATGCAAATCAAAACCACAATAAGATACCATCTCACACCAGTTAGAATGGCGATATCCAAAAGACAGGAAAAAAACAGATGCTGGCGAGGCTGTGGAGAAATAGGAACACTTTTACACCGTTGATGTGAGTGTAGCTTAGTTCAACCATTGTGGAAGACAATCTGGTGATTCCTCAAGGATCTAGAACAAGAAATACCATTTGACCCAGCAATCTCACTACTGAGTATATACCCAAAGGATTATAAATTATTCTACTATAAATACACATGCACACATATGTTTATTGCAGCACTATTTACAATAGCAAAGACCTGGAACCAACCAACCATGGAATACTATGCAGCCATAAAAAATGAGTTCATGTCCTTTGCAGGGATATGGATGAAGCTGGAAGTCATTCTCAGAAACCAACACAGAACATAAAACCAAACACCGCATGTTCTCACTCATAAGTGGGAGTTGAATAATGAGAGCACATGGACACAGGGAGGGGAACATCACACACTGGGGCCTGCTGGGGGTTGGGGGGCAAGAAGAGGGATAGCATTAGGAGAAATACCTAAAGTAGATGACGGGTTGATGGGTGCAGCAAACCACCATGGCATATGTACACCTATGTAACAAACCTGCATGTTCTGCACATGTATCCCAGAATTTAAACTGTAATAAAAAATGAATAAATATTATTAAAATAAAAAAGTGGCAATATTAAGATTAATTCTTATTTTCTGCAGCGTCAGTATGACTACAGTTTAGTAAGTGTAACAGAATAACTGATTTTGTTGTTTTGCCTGTCCTAATAACCTTATTTCTCAAAGACTTGGTGACAAAATCTCTGTGGAATTTCTTCCTAGGTTTACTCAATTTTTCTTCAGTGTATTCATTCTTTCCTGTCTTGTTTAATCATTTGTAAGTCCTCATGTCTCAGATGTATAGATGTCTTTTCTCTCTATTACTATTGAATTCCCATAAGATAATTATTCAATAGTAAATGAGGCCAGCATTTATAAAATGTATCCTTTTTAATGCCCTCCCAGCCTTTGGTCTTTAATGTGGTTCCTTTCATACTTGATTCTTATTGGCATCACAGTTTTTCTGAAATATCTATATATTCAATATTTAACCTGATAATCTCTGTCAAGTTTCTAAAGGGTAGAAGCCACATTTTCACTACGTTTATTCTCAATGGCTTCATGGTATGTACCATAAAGTAAGTAATTAAGTAATTTATGAATGTTGAATGGAGCTGAGATGAAATTGACTGACAGCTTCAGGGTTAAATGGTTGCATATCTTCACTGTCTTAATTTACTAGGACAGTTTTTGTTGTTTATCTCATCACTAAATATAGGTATGTAGTCATAGCTATTATCCTATGATGCTTGGTACAATTATTTCCTAAAAATGGCGGTTTTGCGTCAGGGAGTGTGTATCCCTGGAGAAGTATATATATGGGCAAAAAAAAAGTACTTTATAAAGTACAAGGATTCCAGAGACCATATTTTTCAACTTAGCAGTGACTTCTCATCCATCTCTTATCTTCTCTGCTCCAGGTACTTTCTTGCCAATTGAACTATTTTATTTTATCACTTCAACTTTTCCTAGGGATGTCAACTTTGTTCTTTTTTTTTTTTTTTTTTTTTAAATGACGAAGCAATGCCTGGCCAAATCCAGATTCTTAAACTTGATGAACCACTTCTTTGGCACAAGTTGTGGTGCTTGCAATAGATGTAGAGAATTTTTAAGACTATTAGATACATAGTCTCTGCCCTGAATTAAAATAGAAATGACAAAGAGGTACGTTGAATCAATCACAATGGCTAACTGGATAACTACATCTTGAAGGTATATATTGCTTCATACATTCCAAAGTATTTCCACAATAATTGCATCATTTGACATTCACAACAATTTTGAGAGAAAAGTTGGGAAGATATATTATCTTTTCCAGTCTTTAGAAGAAGAAATTGAGATACAGATAGGTTTAATGGTATACTCAAAGTCACATGGGAACTTTCTGTCAGGAACAGAACCCTAGAATTCATATATCTGACATAAATTAGACTACTTCTATTATACAAAACTAAGTTTAGTAATTTATCAAGATGTTTCCTGTTTTATGCATACAAAATATATACATACATTAAAATTTGGCTAATTTTTTACATGGATTTAATCTGACTGTGCTACAGTGCTAAGGTGTATTAGTCCATTTTCACACTGCTATAAAGAATACCCAAGACTGGATAATTTATAAAGGAAAGAGGATTAATTGACTCACAATTCCACATGGCTGGGGAGATCTCAAGAAACTTACAATCATGCTGGAAGGGAAAGGGGAAGCAAGGACCTTCTTCACATGGCTGTAGGAGAGAGAAGAAAGCATGTATAGGAGGAACTGTCAAACACTTATAAAACCATCAGATCTCATGAAGAACTCACTCACTATCATGAGAACAGCATGGGGGAAAATGTCCTTGTGTTCCAATCATCTCTCACCAGTTTCCACCCTCCACACATGGGGATTATGGAGATTACAATTGGAGAAGAGATTTGAGTGGGGATACAGAGCCAAACTATATCACAAGGTTTCAATTGAGAAATAAGTTGGATGGAATGCCACGTCAGCATATTTGAGACAAAATGGAAAAGTGATTTTGCAGTGAATATAAATGAAACTTTTTTTGAAATACAATAGTTTAAATTACTGAAAGCCTTAAATTTGCTATTTTTAATTTATTTAATAACCAGTGAACAAAACTTTACCTTTTAATGTGACAAGATTAGAAAAAGAGTTTTATGTCTAAAACAGTTAAAGGTGCTTTTTAGAAGACAAAGTCTAAGGTGGAAGTTAGGGAATAATAATATACTTCTATAAATATAAGTCAGGATACTTTGATGATAGCTCCAAATTTTCAAAGGCTTCTTTTATTTTTATTTTTATTTATATATATCTATATATTTTATTATACTTTAAGTTCTAGGGTACATGTGCATAACGTGCAGGTTTGTTGCATATGTATACATGTGTCAAAAGCTTCTTTTAAACACTGACTTTTAAATTAACATCAAAGCTGAAAAATCACACATAAGGATAATACTTTTATTTCTAACTGGAGAATAAATAAGGTGAATCTATTAGTAAATGAAGTAAAAGTCATTGCATTCAAACTTCAGAAAACCCAAATAACCTCATAAAATTGATGTATGTGATTATGTGCCACTGTAGGTGTTGTTTGTATACATTTTAATTTCACCAGCACCAAAAATATGGCACAACAGTGGACTGATTGCTTGTATTTCCTAAAATTCATTTGTTGAAGCCCTAATTCCAATGTATTAAGATGTGGGTCTTTTGGCAGGTGATTAGGTCGAGTGTGGAACCCTTATGAATGGGATTGGTGCCCTTAAAAAATAGACCACAGTGAGCTCTTCTCTCTATGTGAAAATACAACAAGAAGTCATCAGTCTGTAACCCAGAAGAAGGCCCTCACCAGATACCACATGTGCTGGTGCCTGGATATTGGATTTTTGTTCTCCACAACTATAAAAAACAAGTATTTGTTTTTAAGCCACCCAGTCTATGGAATTTTTGTTATAGCAGCCTAAATGGACTAAGACGTTACCATGATCCAGTAACAAAACAAAATAGAATGTGATTATTGAATCTCATCCTCGTGAGGGGAAAGTAATTGAATTTATATATTTTTCAGATGCAGATAGCAGGACTTATAGCATCATCTGTAGCTAATGAAAGTGAGTTTTTATTTGATGTAAGACTTGTTCCCTACTACCTAAATTGGGGATTATAGAAAGGACTTTCTTACAGTTATTATGATTTTTAATACAGAATTACTAGAGAAAATGCCACTTAATGTAATTATTGTTATTTGCAGGTGTTCTCACCACTTTTACAAGGGTAACATTAAATTCCATAATAATTAAACATAAATTTTTTGTGCTAATGTCATTTTTCTCATGTACTGATGAAATTTCTGTCAAGGCTTTGTGAAAACAAATGTGATAAGCTTACGTTAGGAGGTTTTTGGGCCCTAATGATCCCCAGACTATGATTCTGAACAAAGGAACTAACAGTACTACTTTGCTGAATTAACATATCTTTATATATAAGAAAAAAGAACACAGTTGATTGTTTTATATTACTGATTTAGGAAAAATAATAACATTTGTGTTAGAAGAGCAATGTGTTTTTTAAGCTTTGATTTATGGGAATCCTCATGGGAGAAAATTAATTTTGACCTGAGTATTGTTTACACATGCTTAAAATGGAAGTGGCTCCTTGAGTACTGGGCCTGCACTTTGTATTTCTTATGAATAGCTCAGTGATTCATAAGTACTGCTGGATTCACCATAGAAATTCTTTTTAAAACTTGTTGAATTGAAATGAATATACATGAATGTATATAAAACAGCTGAGTTAAAATGGGAATTGACTGTATTCTCTGAGTTTATCTTAGTTTAGTGAAACATCTGCTGTTTATTTTCACGTTGACTTATTTACAATATATATTATCATCTTTGGTGTGAGACTTAAGGTCTCTTCTCACAATTTATTGAGTTTTATCTGAAAATGTGAATGTTTATATGGCTCCAACCATTTTGCAAACACCAACAACCATATGCATCTTGGCATACGAGACTGGAATAATAAAAATAATAACTAACTTTTACTGAGTGCTTACGATGTACCAAGCATTGTAAATCCCTAAGAACTTTCTGAATAGTTTGGATTCCCAATCTATAAAATCCTATAATAACCCTATTATTTTCTTCACGGTGAAAACAAGAGAACTGAATGAAGTACAATGAAATTAAGTAATTTGGCCAAAGTCACTTAACTAAAAATGTAGTAGGGCCAGGATGAAAAGACAATGTAAAAATTTTAGTGTAAGGAGGTAGGGTTTCTTAACCACAACGCTTTATCACTTTTGCTTAGGCACCTAGGCTGCTTCAATAAAATGATTCAAGAATTACAATGTGTAAAAAAGAATAAAGTAGTGATGAGAGTGTGCTTTCTGGAATACCAGATTGTTCAGTGTGCTTCATTAGCTAAAGGTTTATAAAGCAATGTTTGATCCCAAATATTGCTTTCATGATGGCATTCTTCTGTGCAAAAATTTTACAATTTCCTATAGAAATATATCCACAAACCAACCTCAGTCTAGCTTTCCAAGTTGATTATATTCTAGTTTTCTTGCCTTGTCTACCTGTTGTTTTGTTTAACATGTAAAAATTCACCTTTCTAGTCAGCACCCTCCACTTTCCCACTCATTACAGCTTCTATACCTGTTCTCATGCCATTCTCTCTCTGCCTGGGATGTTGTCCTCAAGCAAAATCCAAACTAACTGACAATGTCCCTGAAACCACACTATCTCTTTAGGGTGCAATGATTACTTTCCGTTGAAAGTGCTATTGGAGCAGGAAAAATAAATTTACTTATTATTTTATAATTTTATTTAAATATTGTTCTCTAAAGGCACATTGTCTCTTTAATCATGTTAACTTTGACATCTCTTGCATATTTTTTGTGTTTTTCTCTAGCATTTTTGTCTAATGGTATGCAGTCAGCAGGTATTCAATAATTAAATATTGTTAGACTGAATAACCAGGTTATATTGAGAGGCTCTATGTTCATCCTCAGCAAAATATAGCCCCCTTTCCAAACCATTGACACAGCAACAATTGCTGGATTTCATATTGATTGGTAATAATGTTAATGTAAATTGCTAATTAGTATTTAAAACTGTATATTCAAATTGAATTGAATCGGTTGTAATACTGAAGATTTTATTAATTTTAACATGTTTACTTTTTATTGTTATCCATGAGGAGATCATTAGTATTTGTTGAAAGATAAATCTTGGCACTTCAACATTTTAAAATAAAAGTTTTCCTTTCAACCACCTCCAGAGGAGCTCTTTTGCTCCTCTGGAGGTGGTTGAAAGGAACTCTGGAGGTGGTTGAAAGGAAAACTTTTATAGGGTGAATGTGAAGGAGAGCAAATAAATTATTGCTTAAAGTTTGACCAATTGCCTTATTTGTACTATCCTGGTGGGAAGGTCCTGAAAATATAACTAATACCCAGTTGGCCACCTGTGATTGGCTGAGCTCAAGTTTCGTTTTCTTTTACATTAGGTGCTTAAAGGAAATGAATCAGAGTTAGGTTTTGTTTGCTTATATAGGAATGCAGGGTATTAGAACCACCTGTTTAACGGCCTCTCCCATTTAATTATTTTAACATATTCAATAGACTGGTCTCTCTATGGTTTCAAAAATTATGTTTGCCTTATACAAACCTCTTCTGTTTCAGAGTCTTAGAATCAAATGAAAAACTCATGATATAAAATGCATTTCCGGTATCGGGGAAAAAAAATACCTCACCTTAAAAGGCCAATTATTAATTTGACTTCTCTTACCAATATCTATTAATATGCGACCTCAATTTTCCTTATTTAGTAACTCTTTAGCTATTTTGCATTTGGAATAAGCTAATACCAAACTGTGCTACCTTGCTTCATACAAATATTTGCATAAAAGTGGTACTAAAAATAAACTGGAAGAAGGATGAAAGTGAGAGGAAAAGGTCCATCTTTGTTCTACATTGAGATCCAATTGTCTTTGTTTACAGTATTAAAAGGTTTATTTTAATTTATTTTTTTAGTTTATTTGAGACAGGATCTTGCTCTGCCACTCAGGATGGAGGGCAGTGGTGCGATTTTGGCTCACTGCAGACTCCACCGCCCCAGCTCAAGCGATCTTCCCAACTCTGTATCAGGAGTATTTGGGGACCACAGGTGCACAACATCATATCCCGCTAATGTTTGTATTTTTTGAAGGGATGGGATTTCACTATGTTGCCCAGGCTGGTCTCAAACTCCTGAGCTCAAGTGACCCACCCACTTTGTCCTCCCAAAGTGCTGGGATTACAGGCATGAGCCACTTCATCTGGCTATTTTTATTTAAAAAGAACTAAAAATTCAGCTAGAAATTGTTAAAATAAAATTTGTTATTTCTGCGTGTTATTTTAGTTATTTTATGTATTATGCTCAGCACTTCTCAGTAGACCTGTCCCGTGAAATACATAGCCTTCTGTAGAGTACTCACTTTTCCATGCTGGAATAACCAAAGAAAAGCACAGAGATGAAGATTATAATTAAAGTCTTATCTGTCAGCCCATAATATTCTATTTAACAACAATTTTTGTGTGATAAGAAGGAAACCAGGAGAAATTAGAGTTGGCAGGAATAAAAGAAAAGCATAGGAGTTATTCCCAGTTGGCAGGTCAGGTTACT
Source organism: Homo sapiens (assembly GCF_000001405.40). NCBI lineage: Eukaryota > Metazoa > Chordata > Mammalia > Primates > Hominidae > Homo > Homo sapiens. The sequence continues at coordinate 127,318,529 of NC_000023.11, forward strand.
ATATGATGTGCATTGTGCTACTTTCACTTTAGTTCTATCATAGCTATCTTGTATAAATTGTGAAATATAAAGGCTAGAATTAGTAGTTTCATTTTACAGACAGATGATATAGGGGTCTAGGGAAAACGTCCCCTTTGCCCTCTGAAGTTTCTCTGAAAAATCAACTGACAAAATGGTATACAAATTTATTAGCACGCAAAGGGAAGTAAATTATTTTTAGAGGAATTCAATGGACTTGAAGAATACAATGGGCCTGGGACAAAGTCTATTGGACCCCCAGAGCTAACAAGGTTCATGACAAAAGACTGTGCAGGTTTATTGACAGATTAACAGATTTCACTCTTTCTTCTTATAGTGTGAGTTTAGTTAATGAACACTCAGTTTTTGTTGTTTTTCTGTTGACAAGTCTGGACTTTAGGGAGATAAGGAACTTCAGAGAACAACTTTATTCCGTGTTTTAGGAGACACATTGGATTGAGAGATAGGAGGCAGTGGTGGGAGGGTCGTGGAGGGAAGGTCAGAGAGACCTTGTGGCTTCTCCTTCAGTTCAGCAAAATGCCATAATCTGGGTTATCGGTTTCTGACCACCAATGATAAGACTGAAATAGTTATGGACTGTATCAAAGGTCACATAACAAGTAATGAGGTCAAGACAGTAAGTATTTAAACTCCTAGTGTTTTTACTGGACCATGCCACAATCACACAGGCTGAAATATATGACAGGAATCAATTCATGACTCTTTTTATGCAAAAATAGTGCAATCCTAGATCCTCAGTTGTTTTATCGGAATCTTCCTCTTTAATCAGGAATGTTTTGTGCCTTCCCCCATGGACATAATTAAATTTCACGTAAACCATGTCTTAACGTAATGTGCTGAAAATTCAGTTTCCACACCATTTTCCTATCCACCTATACATACAAAAAGACAATATGTATCGGTCCTTTTGCGTCTGGGTATTGGCAAGTGACTAATTGTAGAATGTAGAATGTAGACAGTGATGAATGTCAAATCCATACTGGGCTGCTAAAAATCTGCTTGATCATTTATCTCTCTTTCTCTCTCTCTCTCTCTCTGTGTGTGTGTGTGCGTGTGTTTGTTTGTGTTGTGTAAATCTCACTCTTTTCAACAGATGGCTAAATGTGTATTATATAGTGCAGTATTCTAAGGAAGCCCTTGACATTGGCCACTAAATAGAAGGAGCCTGGAACTCTGAATCACTGCTTGGGATAAAGCTGCGCAAAATAAATGTCCATGCAGGAACATCTGGTTTTTTATGAGCAACTAACATTACGGCATATATTATTTCTACAGCAAGCATTAATTACCTATATAATGCAGGCATTTTTTGTTCCAGTCTCTATGATTGAGGACACATGCAATAGAGACATACAATCAGTAGTCACTGCCTACTGGAAAGTACTCTTGTCTACAAGAGAAATGTCATCCTTTCCAATGCCAATTGTGATCAGATAGTGACTATAGTAGTGTGAATATTAAATTACGCACATTGTCCTTTACTTGTTGCCTTCAAATAATACCGACAGTGTTTTATCAAAAAACATGTTTTCATTCCAGTTAGAAATATAAATCTGTGCAGGTGTAGGTGCTGCTGCTACAGTTACTCTTGTCTTGACACTAAAGTCTGCAAAAGTAAATTCTAATTACAGGATTTTAATAACCATGGAATTAGCCACAGAAGTGCCCCAGCAGCTAACAGTGTGATTGTAATGTAATTATAAAAACCCACTGCATTTGCACATGCTATAACCAGTATCTAAAGGGCCCTAATCCTTAAGTCTGTTGAGAAGTCTCCCACATGATTTGCAGTATTTTCTTTGAATAGTAGCCATGCCTGGAAATATGCACATTTACCCTAAAAATTTTCCATTACTTGGTGTGTAGAAATAATGTTTTTGACTTCTAAAAAACCCTTGCATTTTGATTTTACACGAGATGACTCACACCTGAAAAGAAAAATGAAATAAAACAACAAAACCATTTCTGATTTTCTGTAAAGTTTCCCAGCCATGCCCACCAAGATTTTGCACCTACAGAGCCAAGGATGATTTGCACTTCAATTATTTAAGTAAACTCCAAGTGCTTAACTTTATATGAAAGTATTTTCCATATACTTTATAATTCACTGATCTCTCTTCTTTAAATTTTAGATTCCGGGGGTGCATATTTGTTACATGTGTATATTGCTTAATGCTGGGGTTTGGGCTTCTAGTGAACCCATCACCCAAATAGTGAACATAGTACCCAACAGGGAGGTTTTTAACCCTTTCTCCCCTCCCTACCTATGCCTCTTTTTTGTAAGACAGAGTCTCCATCTGTCTCTCAGGCTGGAGTGCAGTAGCACAATATCAGCACACTGCAACCTCTGCCTTCTGGTTTCAAACCATTCTCATGCCTCAGCCTCCTATGTAACTGGGACTACATGTGTGTGCCACCATGCCCGGCTAACTTTTATATGTTTGTTAGAGACAGGGTTTCTCCATGTTGACCAGGCTGGTCTCAAACTTCTGGCCTCAAGTGATCTGCCCACTTTGGCCTCCCAAAGTTCTGGATTTACAGATTGGAGACACCACGACCTGCCCCTGCCCCTCTTTTAAGTCCCTAGTGTCTATTTTTTTTTTTTTTTTGCATCTTTGTGTCCATGTGTTCCCATTATTTAGCTCTCCTATGTGAGAACATGTGGTATTTGGTTTTCTGTTTCTGTGTTAATGTACTTAGGATAATGACCTGAAGTTTCATCCATATTGCTGCAAAGCACATGATTCCCTTATCTTTATGACTGCATATTATTCCATGGTGTATATGTACCACATTTGCTTCATTCAATCCACCATTGATGGACTGTAAGATTGAGTCCATGACTTTGCTATTGTGAATAGTGCTGATCTTTTTAAAGGTTGTTTTCGAATAAAAATGTTCCAAAAATGTAAAGATATGAGTCCAAGTAATGTTGGACTAATGTTATTGACCATCTTATCTGTGAGGGAATACCACTGATTCACCTATCCTTGAGTTGGAGTTTCTCTTAGAATCACATGGATTGATATTTAAAGATCAGCTGCTCCCAACTGAGCCTTCCCATAATCAGTTTAATTCTATGACATTCAATTCATCCACAATAGTTTCACATCAGGTCATATTCCTTGTCACGTATTCTGTGTATTACCATACTCTATGGTAGAAGGGTTGGTGTTGCTCTCTGATTACACTGTGTATTGATTTACACTGCATGATATTTGTCACATATCCCTTATCCATTCATCACCTCTTCCCTAATTCAGTCCCTTTTTTCATGCTTAGGGTCTATTGCAATATGCCCTTTTCCCTCTGATTTGTACTGATTTTAAACTACTACACTCCTACCACATTGATCTTACTAAATTTCAAAATTGATTATGCCATTTACTTTCTCTAAAACTGTCCTTTGTCTTTTGAATAATATCTAAATTCCTCATGGTATTCAAAAGTACCATCATCTCTCTTAACCTACCTCTTTAGCCTGGATTCTGATCATTCTTTACTCTGCTATAAGTACTTCGGGCTGCACTTGTGTGGTTCTTTGCATTTGTTCATGATGTTTTCTCTCCTTGGAATGACATCAGCTCTATCTCTGACTGTTAAGGTCATACTTATTTTAAAAATACCAATGCCAAAATTAAATCCTACTTTCAACTGCATTATTTTCTTTTCTCACACTATACTTTGTCTGGATGTCTATGATGTTACTGTTTACGTAGTGTTTTCAAGTAATTATGGGTCAAACGTTGCTTATATTTTTGTCTCCTCTTCTAGAATATGAACCACTTGAGTGCAATAACCATTTCATATTCTTGTTCATATCAGATGTTCTACAATACATACTTATAAAATGAATTTGCTCACTGACCCTTATGACTTTATTTCTATATGGAATGTCAAGACTAAGCTTCTATTAAAACATGTATGATATAAAACAGTCATGCCCAGTCATTTGCCCAATTATCCTCATAATTGAAGCTTTTTTTTTTGACATTTACCTCTTGTAAACCTAGATTATTTGCCACTGAAAAGTCAGTAAAATCAGTCAATCAAGCATCACTGAAAGTAATAGGAATTCAGAAGTTGTTTTTAAATAAATAAACCTGAGAAGTACATGGATAATGCAGAGTGCTAAGAGAAGAATAGGAAAAGCTGACATTGAATATAGTCAGAAATATCTACTTGGCTTTACTCTATTGAAGGGACTTTATTAACTAGATTCACGAAGTGTCACATCCCAACTATTGCTCACTGTGTTCTTGACATTTCTTTTTCAAATCCAAATAACATATTGTATAAAATGTTGGGTTTCTACTGAGTGTGTATTAGCGTGGGCTAGAGGAAATAAAAATAACTTGAGAAGTAAAAATTTTAATAGTTTTTGAAAGGGCAAAGCTAATTACAATACACTAATTCAATATTTATTAAGCTTATTCTAGAAACATGATACTGTTTGGGGTACTAAGTTGTTATCCGAAAGGTGGAAGGCATGGTCCCCTTCATAAGCTCAAAGCCAATCAATTGTAAGCTATCTTTTAACATTTACTTCAGTAATGCAATTATATGTAGACTTTTATATGTGGCTTTTCTCATGTAAATCTCACAAATTTTGAAAAAATTTCAGATAGGTACATTCATTATTCTATGATTTTACGTTGACCACAGATCCAACTCTATCCCCATAAATATAATCTCACACAGTAATAACTTGTTGTAGAATAGTCCAGTAATATGATAAGTTTTCATTGAAGACTGTGCCTGCAAAGTGCCAGCCTCTGTACCAAAGGAAATGTGTACTAAAGTGATAACAATTGGCATATATCCCAGTGTTGAGCAGCCCACAGTCTAATAGAAGAAACAGATAAATATACGGATGAAGGAAAGAAAGCCAGTTTTTATTAAAATCCTGTATATTCTGGATAGCATGCTGGGTATTTTACATATGCAATCTGTAACTAAAACATGATCTGCTGTATCATAGCGGCCATGGCCCCATCCAAGAGCTACTAAATTGGGATCACTGTCTCACGTCAAGCTGTGTATTTAGAAAAAAAAAAAAAAAGAGCAGAAAAACCTATATAGTAAAAACAAGTTAATCTTGTGGCCTACATGTCTATATGGATGTAAGCTGACACAGATTTCCGCCAACTTTTTAAAATTGGTATCTATTTTTTAGGGACGGATCATTAACAGGGGGAATTGAGGCTGTAATAAGAAAACAAACAGAAATAAAATAAAAATACAATCCCTTTAGATCCTAGTTAAGCTAATTTATCTTACTAAAGTGTGAGGCGTAGACTTATCTTTTTAGAACTCATCCCAGCCCCATTCATCTCTGTCCTAAGCTAACATTATGTGGTCTAGAAAAAAATTTCTCAGAGATCAAGAAGATTCTCATTTCTATTTCCGTATTTTCAGATGAGTGTGCTTGTCTGTTTCTGATCAAATGCTGCTGAATGAGTAAACTAAAATGGAAGGTAAATTTTTAGTTTGAGATTGTGACTTATGTAAAGTAGCCTTACTCATATTTTATATTTTCCTATTTGTTTTGTGTACTCGATCTTGTGATAATATATAGTGAGTAAATTAATTAATTATGCCTGCTTAAGCACTGAACTAGAACCCATATAATCTGGATGTGACTTGAGAAAGTCATTGCATCACTCTCGGCCTTGGTTTAATTCTACGTACAATGAAAGGATTACATTCTTTCTGATGTCCCTTCTAGTTGTAAATGGGCTTATCGCAATATTACAGATGACGTCATATCAATAGGAACACAGAAACACATATGTAAGTAACTATTTTAATACTGCCTAATTGGTTATTCAGGGATGAAATCTATTCCTTTCTTTAAATTCCATATTGTTCTCAATCTCTATCAAAACTTGAAAACCAAATTATAATTGTCTATATTACAATGTTCCATGGTTTTAATAATATTCATTTTAATAGAACATTTGAAAGACAGCATAGGATTTCGTTGAAACCAATATATCAACTCTTCCAGAAGACCACTGAAACCCAGACATGCTTTCTGTCACCATAGTCTATAAGAGTGAATTCTGCTCCACAGTGGTTCCTATAATTTCTCTGATTTATGCTAATATATGCAGATTTACATTTCCTCACTATTAAACTGCTGACTTGCAACCACTGTTGCATACCAGCAGCATTATATTGTTAAGAGATCAATTATTAGTTATGGGTCTGTATATAAAATACTCACTCCTACAAGGAAATATGTAGCCATTGAAAACCAGGTCAAGGGTACATGAAACTTCTCTGTACTATTATTGCAAATTCCTGTGAAACTATAAGTATCTCAAAATAAAAAAGTTTAGGAGAATAATACAGAGAAGGTGGTGAGTTCCTCAGTGAAACCTTTCCAGCAGAATCACTGTACAGTGAAGAACAAAAATCAACAAGCTCCAACAATGTACATAGCACTTCCAAATAACTTCATAGGACATTTTCTTAGCTATGGAATACAGGCAAGGACTAACAAATTGTTGCAGAAAGGGTGTAACCTGAGCAAAAAACAAAAGAAACAAGCAACCATGAACATTGTCAATGACATAAAGAAAAGATAAGTTATTTAATATGCGATACAAAAAGGACCTCCCTCTATCTCTCTCTCTACACACAAACACACACACATACACACATAAACAGGTTATATATACATATAAACTATACATATATAGACAGATAGATATAACCTGTTTATATGTGTGTGTATGTGTGTATATAACATCTATATATCTATATATATAGATAGATATAACCTGCTTATATGTGTGTGTATATAACATATGTGTATATCTATATATATATATAGAGAGAGAGAGAGAGGAAAAAAAGGAAAGAAAGGATAAAGTTGAAGTACTCCTTCACAAGGTAGAAAGAAGAGAGAGAAGGAAGGATAGAGGAAGGAAAGGAGGGAGGAAGGAAAAAAAAGAAGAAAGGAAAAAAGAAGGAAAGATTAGAACAATGACAAAGAAAATAGAAGAGAAAATAGTCAAAGAACTAATTTAAGGACATTTAGCAGATCTTAAGAATATGAGATTCTAGGATGAAGTGGCTCAAAAAGTACTCATCACAATGAATGAAAACATAGCTGCATAAATATTATGTTATTAAATTTTAACCCTAAACATAAAGAGATTGCCTTTTAAGCTTCCAGGAAGAGAAACACAATCTAATAACATTCAAAACATCACAAATCAGTAGGGTATCAGGCTTCTCAATGGCAGTATTGAAAACTAGAAGACAAAAGAGCATAGTTTTCAAGATTATGAGGGAAGATGATTTATAATGTAAACTTACATTTATAATGTAAACCAGATTATAATTTGGAAGTGATTTAAAAAAAGACATTTTGTGACAGGAAAACAATTTAAAAAGCAACTTCTCACTCATCTTTTCCAGGAAACAACTTGAGAATATGCTCAAGAAAGTGAGGATGTAAACAAAAATATAGAAATTCAAGGACGTGGATTCAAAACAGTAATGAAGTGAATTTTCAGGATGACAGCAAAAGAAACTCCATAAAAGCTATGTTGTGGTCCACATTGTAACAGAGAACAGAGAGTTTCAGGAGGAGTTTTTTGCAGATTTAAAAAGAAAAAAAAAGGAAAAAAAAAACCCAGACTACTTGCTATGGTGGAATGTATTGAAATGAGATTTACATGGCTTAAAGAGAGTGTAGTTATGGACTACTTATAAGTTCAGTGAAAATCAGGGTAATAAAAAAATCTAAAAGGTTATTTTTAATTCCAAGGAAAGGAAAACATCATAAATATATGAATAATTAATGCTTCCTTAATTAAAAAAACTGTGATACAAGTATAATGGAAGCAGAGAAGAAAGAATTTTTTTTCTTTATTGGAGGTTGAGAGCATAAAGCTAAAGCCTCATATTCTATAGTAGGAAGTTAACAGGTAATATGAAAGTAGAAAAAAATGAATACTACTAGTATAATCACACTATTTAGGACTGTGGAAATAATCTATAAGAGTTGAGAACCTGTTTTAGAGAAGAAGAATAAGTCATTAAGAGGAACAGGGCAGATGACCGAACAATTTATTTTCCTTTATTAACATGTGGAATAATTTCAGTTTTTAAACTCTGTGCATATATAATTTTGATTAAAATAAAATTAAATGTACAGCAAAACTACAAATTGCACAATTTTTCTAAAAGCTACTCTGGCTATTCATTTTCTGAGTGATTGTAAACCACTTATTTTGCTGCCACTTTGTGTGGCTTTTGCTTTTGTTTTTGTTTCATTTTTTAAAGCAGTAGTCATTTCATTAACAAAATAAATGTCTTGCTAGTTTCCCACAGTGAACTTGGTCAATAAAAATATAGTGTATGTTATCTAATTCATTAGTAAGAATATTTGTATTTCTTTAATCAATTGAAAACCTCCCTTAGTTCCACTATCTCATTTCCCTGGTCTTATTTTAGGCCTTCATTATCTGTTGCCCCTACATAATCAAAATCAGCTTCTGCATGATATTTTTGCATTTACATTCTGTGAAATTAAAGTCTTCTTTTTAAAAACATATGTAAACATAAAATAGTAATTGTGCAGACAACAATGTTTTAATTAGATTTTATGCACACAGGCCCATTTCATGTAATATATTCCCAGAATGACAGGTTTCAACTAGGTACAGAGAGTTAGTTAAGCTAACTAATGATTTTTCGTTCATAATAGAACTTAAAACGGAACATTAAATAATAGATGTGTGTATTAATCCATTCTCATGCTGCTAATAAAGACATACCAGAGACTGGGTAATTTATAAAGAAAAAGAGGTTTAATGGACTCACAAGTTCCACATGGCTGGAGAGGCCCCACAATCACGGTGGGAGGTGAAGGAGGAGCAAAGGCACGTCTTTCATGGTGGAAGGCAAGGGGGAGTGTGTGCAGGGGACGTGCCCTTTATGAAACCATTAGATCTCATGAGACTTATTCACTATCATGAGAACAGCATGGGAAAATTCTGCCTTCATGATTTAATTACCTCCCACTGGGTCCCTACCATGACACATGGGAATTATGGAAGCTACAATTCAAGATGAGATTTGAGAGGGGACATAGCCAAACCATATCAGTGAGCTAGTAGCTGCTCCCTGTCTTTCAGACATTAATCCCAAGTCCTTTTTTAACCAGTTATACATGGCTTGGCATAATTCTATGATATAATGGTAATACTGGAAATATCATCAATAAATACTCTACATAGTATTTTTTAATTTCTTAGCCGCATAAAACAGTTTTAAGCATCAAATTTATGTGTCCTATATTAAAACTGTGCAAAGAGATTTTTATAATGATACCACCTTTATTATTTTAAATTTGTTCAGTTTTTTTCTCTTTTAAAGATAGTTTGAAAAGTTAAAGCCACATTACTGTGACTCACTCCAGCTCACTACTTTTAACATATTAATATATACACACAAACACACATATATGCACATTTTACAAATCTTTCCGATCTGTGAAAAGAAAAATGGTTTTACTTTTTTTCTGTTTTCTATATCATAATTTTCATAACATATCACTCCCAAATTTAGTTACTTGTTTGTTTTCTAGTATCATAACTTTAAAATGCCTTTTTTTTTAAAAAAAAAAGCTGTCTCTTTGAATATCTCAGGGTGACACCTCATTGTACACTACATTGTCTGATTACATCAGTCACATAGGATTAGGTTGTGTCTGTAATGAACACAATGTGACTGAAGTAACTGGGCATGACATATCACAGCACTTGGTTAGCTGATCTGTAAAATCCAATGTAGGTTTCTGAAGTGGAAAAGAAGAGGCAGTAAGTTAAAGTGTAATGACTAACTTCAGAAAATTGAGTTTCTTCCATATTCCTTTATAATGTAGGAGAGCCAGACAGAGTTACAAAATAGAGTTGCTCCAGCCATCAAAAATGTGTAGAAATCTACATTTTGTCCAATCAGAGTCTGTATATAGATTATATCACTCTGTACAGCTTGTTCTAATGTCCAAATTTATATCCATTTTATAGAGAAGCATTTTCAGCTCTCTTTCATCCTTAGTCTGCTGGCTAGTGATGTACCACTATGTAAAAATAGGGTCACCAACGTTTGTAAATATGCCTCCACACATAAGCTCTGTGGAACCAAGCCTAATGAAAACTGCAATTTGGTTAACTGACTCCAGGAAAAGCATCTCTAAAGTATATTTTTATTCTTCAAAGGGCATGCTAACCTTAAGAAACCTACAGGAACCTAAAGATTAGTACAATTCTTAAAGGCCAGGCTTTCCTGTGCTACTAAGCTAAGGAAATCTATCATTGTGATCATTTTGCAGTAACATTGCTTCAGCTGTCAAAGAGATCTCTGGGGCGGTTCCCTCAATTTGAAACTGCATGACGTTTTGGAGCCATCGACTAAAAGCCACATGGAAAGTTTATCATTTATATGCAACATATGTGGTTTCTCTACAAGATTTTTACAACCGAGTTGATAAACTCTCAGCCAAAACCAAACACATTTATCATCTTGCTTAGCCTGTGCATCATTACATTTGATATGTGCTGTATTTCCTTTAAACTTTTTGAAGTATTTAAAATAGCACACAGATGTAGAGACCTTAGGCACAGAATCTAGTATATTGCTTCTTTCCATTAGCCTATTGAAGTAAATTTTTGATTAATGGTTTTGTCGCATTGGTATTTTTAATACTCATTTTTAGTCTATTCTCTTTATAGAGGGGAGATACCACCTGACCGTTATTTTACCTTTGGGGAACATTGATAGTTATAAATGTAACAAATGCATCACGTGTCAAAGAAAGTAACTGGCTAAGCCTAAGCTCAAGAGGTGGAAAGCTATATTCTGTTTATGGAGACGGGATGGGGAGGGAATCAATAATTTAGAACAATGATCTAATATAATGCAAATGGTAACTAAGATGGTGCATTAAATGGTGAATGTCCTCTTATGTTTTTTAAATGCTGATCACATTGCCACTATCTGTGAAGAGATGGTTTAATTAACAAATATGTAAGATAAGAGCTATTGGATAATTTTGTGGTTTTTTTGTATTCAATTTTGCTAGGTTCTTCTGGAGCAAACTACAAATCCAGGTTACATTGCTTTCTATCATTCAAACATTCAACCACTCATTCACTAAATATTCGCCCATCACCTTTTATATGTAAGACAAATAAAGAAATAAAATTAATATGTACTGAGTTTGTATTATGTGAATAGCACTGTGCTAAATGATTTCTACAAACAATAATTATTTTCATTTTATAAACAATGAAGCTCTAGCACAAATATTAAATGAGTTGTTTAAGATCTTTCAGTTTAGCTGCTGGAGTCAGACCAAACCCAAATACTACACTAGGCCTACTTTCAAGGACCTTGTGATCTAGAACACAAAAATCAAGTGACAGTGATTATAACAAAATGTTGTAAATACTACTCTGACCACATCAGTGTAATTAAATACCACTCCTGGCTAAACTGGATTTCCATAAAATCTTTCAATAAAACATATCCCTGACATGTAACATGACATGTCTATATATTTATTTGATGGAGATAAGAAGATAAAAAGTGGATTATAAACATACAAAGTTGCTAGAAAAAACTTCATTCAACAATTTTTTATAGGAATAGATAAGGTCCATAAGGACCTGGTCTAGAGAAAAAGTAGTGTCCCAAGTACCTATCACTGACACGACCTTTACAAGACTTGAGTCCTGGCTTTGATATGAAGAAGTTGTACTTCATCATTATTAAGATGCTTTCAAGATACATGATTCTGTGGTAATTATATCATAAAGTATCAATGGCATTAAATACACTTAAAAATTCTGCATGGTTTATAATAATTGGTTAGGAAAAAGTCAAGTTGCATATACAGGTTGGGGCCAGCAGTGTTTTAGATTTGGGACATTTTTTGGATTTAGAATATTTGCATATACATAATAAAATATCCTGGGCACAGGACAACGTTTAAACAAGAAATTTAACCTTCATATTAACCTTTTGCACATTCCTTAAAGGTAATTTCATACAATAATTTTTATAATAATTTTGTGCATGAAACAAAGTTTTGACTATGACCAATCACATGAGGTCAGATGTGGAAATTTTCTCATGTGGTATCACGTTGGAGATCAAAAAGTTTCAGAATTTGGAGCACTTTGGATCTCAAATTTTTGTGATTTGGGATGCTCAACTTGTGTGCACTACATAGCCTTAAATAAGTTTCTTAATTCCTTTGATTTAAAGTTTCGTTGGTTATAAAAGGGGAATAAAAACAGCTCCCTCAAAGGGTTTTGTGAGCTTCCAGTTACAGCGTGCATGTTAAACATCCAGTACGGTTTTCTTATAGGGTTTTTATGGTTTTAGGTCTAACGTTTAAGTCTTTAATCCATCGTGAATTGATTTTTGTATAAGGTGTAAGGAAGGGGTCCAGTTTCAGCTTTCTACATATGGCTAGCCAGTTTTCCCAGCACCATTTATTAAATAGGGAATCCTTTCCCCATTGCTTGTTTTTCTCAGGTTTGTCAAAGATCAGATAGTTGTAGATATGCGGCGTTATTTCTGAGGGCTCTGTTCTGTTCCATTGATCTATATCTCTGTTTTGATAACAGTACCATGCTGTTTTGGTTACTGTAGTCTTGTAGTATAGTTTGAAGTCAGGTAGCAGGATGCCTCCAGCTTTGTTCTTTTGGCTTAGGATTGACTTGGTGATGCGGGCTCTTTTTTGGTTCCATATGAACTTTAAAGTAGTTTTTTCCAATTCTGTGAAGAAAGTCATTGGTAGCTTGATGGGGATGGCACTGAATCTATAAATTACCTTGGGCAGTATGGCCATTTTCACGATATTGATTCTTCCTACCCATGAGCATGGAATGTTCTTCCATTTCTTTGTATCCTCTTTTATTTCCTTGAGCAGTGGTTTGTAGTTCTCCTTGAAGAGGTCCTTCACATCCCTTGTAAGTTGGATTCCTAGGTATTTTATTCTCTTTGAAGCAATTGTGAATGGGAGTTCACTCATGATTTGGCTCTCTGTTTGTCTGTTATTGGTGTATAAGAATGCTAGGCATTACCATTCAGGACATAGGCATGGGCAAGGACTTCATGTCTAAAACACCAAAAGCAATGGCAACAAAAGACAAAATTGACAAATGGGATCTAATTAAACTCAAGAGCTTCTGCACAGCAAAAGAAACTACCATCAGAGTGAATAGGCAACCTACAGAATGGGAGAAAATTTTTGCAACCTCCTCATCTGACAAAGGGCTAATATCCAGAATCTACAATGAACTCAAACAAATTTACAAGAAAAAAACAAACAACCCCATCAAAAAGTGGGCAAAGGACATGAACAGACACTTCTCAAAAGAAGACATTTATGCAGCCAAAAAACACATGAAAAAATGCTCACCATCACTGGACATCAGAGAAATGCAAATCAAAACCACAATGAGATACCATCTCACACCAGTTAGAATGGCAATCATTAAAAAGTCAGGAAACAACAGGTGCTGGAGAGGATGTGGAGAAATAGGAACACTTTTACACTGTTGGTGGGACTGTAAACTAGTTCAACCATTGTGGAAGTCAGTGTGGCGATTCCTCAGGGATCTAGAACTAGAAATACCATTTGACCCAGCCATCCCATTACTGAGTATATACCCAAAGGACTATAAATCATGCTGCTTTAAAGACACGTGCACACGTATGTTTATTGCGGCACTATTCACAATAGCAAAGACTTGGAACCAACCCAAATGTCCAACAACGATAGACTGGATTAAGAAAATGTAGCACATATACACCATGGAATACTATGCAGCCATAAAAATGATGCGTTCATGTCCTTTGTAGGGACATGGATGAAATTGGAAATCATCATTCTCAGTAAACTATTGCAAGGACAAAAAACCAAACACCGCATGTTCTCACTCATAGGTGGGAATTGAAGAATGAGAACACATGGACACAGGAAGGGGAACATCACACTGTGGGGACTGTTGTGGGGTGGGGGGAGGGTGGAGGGATAGCAGTAGGAGATATGCCTAATGCTAAATGACGAGTTAATGGGTGCAGCACACCAGCATGGCATATGTATACACATGTAACTAACCTGCACATTGTGCACATGTACCCTAAAACTTAAGTATAATAATAATAATAAAATAAAAAAAAATTTTATTGATTCTCAAAATGTACTGATATAAAATTAGAATATCCATTCTTGAAATGTTTAAAAAATAAATTAAGTGTAAGTTTATATTTAACTTGTTTGATTCCTAATTAAAATTTTAAAAAAATGGAAAAAAAAATAATAAAAAAATAAAAATAAACATCCAGTACGGGGCTTGTCTCAGAAGAAGCATTAAGAAAATAAAGAGTTTTGTTATCTACCTAGAGCTTATGAAGCCTGAGCTATGAATCCCTGTGTAATCATGGTTTTACTTACATAACTATTGCACACACAGGGCTACCCTGGAGTTAAGTGCTCAATAAATATTTGATGGATCAATAAATGTGTATTAAGCAGTTAGCTATTCTCTTCCTCCAACGTTATTTCCAACCAGATGTTGACAACCAATTGCATTGACTCGGTTTTAATCTCATTCTAGCACTTACTGGCTGGCTATATGACCATGGGTAAGCTACCTAACTTTTCTGAGTTTCAATTTTTCTCATATATAAAATGAGAAAAAATATTATCTTCTTTATAGGACTTGTGTTCAGATTAAATGACATACTGCAAGGAAAGTGCCTCGTACAGTGTCTGGTCGTAGCAAGCATACAAAAAACTGGTCCCATATTTCCAAAGTTCTACGCAACTAAATTATGCTGGTAGAAAAATAACTATGATGTTCAACTATGCATCAGTTGTATCTGTGACAAAAGTATATTTAAAACTAAAAAGTCTTTGAATACTTAAAATTAATTGAACAAGAAGTACAATACATAAATTAAAAGCATTAACATACTCTAATAGCGTGTACACATTTTACAGCCATATACACTGCATAAACACCAAAATATCTATGTCATATTAAAAATAAAACATTAGTCTTCTAGTTACATGAAATTACTTAATTTAATACTAAAACTAATAAACAAATGGCTGGGTGACAATCCTAAGAAATGTAATTGATCAATAAGAATGGGAAGTGAAAAAAGTGAATTAAAAGTTCACCCCTACCCATAAACATTCTTTCCAAATGCATTTAAGTGCACTGATAAAAATCAACCTTCAGGGTGAAAAAGGAAGTGAAAGCTTTTTTCTTCATTTCAACCTTATCTATGAAGGTCATCATTTTTTTTTTTTTGTTCTAATGCACTTAGCTAACAACTGAAAAGAAAGAGAATTCTCCACAATGATACTTCAATATATTCCCTGATTCCAGTCAATTTTTTCTCACTTTTACTTGTACCCTCCCCTTGGGGCTTTTGACCTAGAGAGTCATTTTGAGAACAGAACTGTTTTCTGTAAACTTTTGATGTGAGGGAAAAATTTTGTTGGCCATATCTAGATTTTTCTCTCCTGAGGGAAAAGTAAAATTTTTGTGTATTGAAAAAATGTGCATGTAGAGAGTGAATTAAAAAACCTTATTTGCTCATGAGGTAAAAGGTAGACAGATGTTGGTCAGAAACAAGTTGACCACAAAATGAAGGGAAGCTAAAACTCAGGCTGATTATGGTATAGCCTGGGCCATGGCATGTCTTAGTTCTAAAAGAATAAATGGGATATTTAAATTATGAGCTGTCAAGGGTAAATAAGTCTATAGTGCTGTTGATAGTAAAGGCAAAGACACCATAATGGTAAACTAGAACAGTGGTAATATAGAGAGGTTGTAATAACTTTGAAAAATCAATTAATATAATTCACCACACCAGCACATTTGTGAGAAAAATCAATGACCTCTCTAAATAAACAAAAAGAATTTGTTAAAATTCAACAAAATTTTTGTCCCCCTCATTCATAGGAAGAAAAAAAAACTTAGCAAACAAGGGATATTTTTAATCAGGAAAACACCTACAAAATTAAGAGCAAACATAATAATGTTAAAATGGTAAAAATCATTTACTTGTCTAGATCTGTGTTAATAGTTGTTGAACACTGAAAATATTTCACAGTTTACTGACTTCAGTACCTAGACAAGGGTGCTTGTTATTACCATTTCTTTTCAACACTGCACTGGCCATCCTACTCAGTAATGTAAGTGAAAAGAACAAATCTGCAGGGATTGGAAAGGATTTTATGATTCTGTAGACAGACAACTCAAGATAATTTATGAATAAATCATGGAATTAAGGTAA
The DNA here is from genome assembly GCF_000001405.40 of Homo sapiens. Taxonomy (NCBI): domain Eukaryota; kingdom Metazoa; phylum Chordata; class Mammalia; order Primates; family Hominidae; genus Homo; species Homo sapiens. Next base: position 127,334,915 of record NC_000023.11, read on the forward strand.
AATTTCAGCAAGGTGGTTGTTTACAAAAATCACTATGGAAAATCAAATTGCATTTGTAGATACCAAAAACTAACAGGAAGAAAACGTAATTTAAAAAACATACTTACAATAACACCAAAATATAATTATACTTATTACAAAAGTTTTCTTGAGACATTTAAAAACTTTATGAAAGATATTAAATAATTATGAAATAAATGGTAATCCTATGGACTGAATTATGTCACCCAAAAACTCATATTAAGAACCAAATCTTCAATGTGCCTGTATTTGGAGATAGAGCCTTTAGGGAAATCATTCAAATTAATGAGATCATAAGGATGGGGCCCTAATCCCATAGAACTGATGATCTTATAAGAAGAAGAGACCCCGGAGAACTCTCTGCATGTACACAGAGGAAAGGCCATCTGAGGACACAGTGACAAGGTAAACCAGGAAGGAGACCTCACCAGAAAGCAACCCTAATGATACCTTGATCTTGGAATTGTGGCCATGAAAACTGACAAAATAAATTTCTGCTATTTAAGCCACTCACTCTGTTGTGTTTTGCTATGGCAGCCCTAGCAACAAATACAAGTGAAATATATTAGGTTTATGGATCAGAAGACTGCAAATCATTAAAAAAATCTTATCTCCTTAAAATAATCTATATAATTATTCTTTTCTTCAATATTCAACAATTATTTATTGGGTCCCTATTATACACTAAGCATTATATTAGGCCTATGGGGTATAAGTGTGAGCAAAAAAATAATAATCACTGCCCTGATAAGCTTATATACTGGTTTCTGAAGTTTAGAGTCAATTACTTAAGAATATAGAATCTAGAATTTGAAAAATTTTAAGTTGAATACATTGCCAGCAAAAAAAAAATTCCAGGGTTTTTTGGTGCAATTTTACCTAATTTTAACGTATATATTCAAGTGAAAATGTCCAAAAATAGCAAAGACATGTGAAGAAGAAAACTATGGTAGTATGATTTGCCTAACAAGGTGTAAACATTATTATAAAACTATATTAAGTCAGGACAGATGAATAGACAAACATATACATTGAACAGAACAAGGGATCCCAAACCAGAAATGATATATAAATGGAAATTTGATACCTAATGAGTTGGCAAGATTAGAAAGACTTTTCAATGTGTTGTTAGGACAATTGGTTGACTATATGATTAAAAAAGTGAAATAGGACCTATAATTCACCGCATGTATTTTTTTCCTAATTTTAGTTTGTATATTTTTTTTAATTTTTAGTTTTTTGTGGGTACAGAGAAGCTGTGTATATGTATTGGTTACATGAGATATTTTGATACAGGCACACAATGTGTCATAATCACATCAGGATAAATAGAATATCTACCGCCTCAATAATGTATCTTCTATTTTCCTTTTTATATACTAATTTTGTTTTAATTTTTAAAATCAGGCATACAATGTATAATAATCACATCAGGATCAGAAGAAATGGGGTATTCATCACCTGAAGCATTTATCCTTTGTGTGAGAAACAATCCAATTATACTCTTTTAGTTATTTTAAAATGTATGATTAAATTGTTACTGACTACAGTCACCCTACTGTGCTATCAAACACTGGATCTTATTCATTCCTTCCATTTTTTTGTACACATTAACCACCCCGACTTCTTTCCCAAAGCCCTACTACACTTTCCAGCCTCTGATAACTATCATTTTACTTTCAATGTCATGAATTCTATTGCTTTAATGTTTAGCTCCCACAAATGAGTTAGAATGTATGAAGTTTGTCTTTCTGTGCTTGACTTATTTTACTTAACATTATGACCTTCAACTCCATCCATGTTGTTGCAAATGATAGGATCTCATTCCTTTTTATGGCTGAATAGTATTCCATTGTGTATATGTACCAAATTTTCTTTATTAATTCATCTGTTGATGGACAATTAGGTTGTTTCCAAATCTTAACTATTGTGAATAGTGTTACAATAAACATAGGAGTGCAGGTACATCTTTGATATACTGATTTCCTTTCTATTGGGTATATACTGAGCAGTGGTAGTTCTACTTTTAAAATTTAAGGAACCTCCAAATTGTTCTCCCATAGTGGTTGTAGCAATTTACATTCCCACCAACATTGTATGAAGGTTTCCTTTTCTCCACAAACTTGCCAGCATTTGTTATTGCCTCTCTTTTGGATAAAAGTTATTTTAACTGGGGCGAGATGATATCCCATTGTAGTTTTGATGTGCATTTCTCTGATGATAGATGTGATGTTGAGCACCTGGTCATGTACCTGTTCACCATTTGTATGTCTTCTTTTGAGAAATATCTATTCAGATTTATTGCCGTTTTTAAACAGATGTTTAATTTTTTTTTCCTATTGAGTTGTTTGAGCTATTTATATATTCTGGTTATTAATCTCTTGTCAAATGAGTAGTTTGCAAATATTTTCTCCCATTCTGTGAGTTGTCTCTCCACTTTGTTGTTTCCATTGCTGTGCAGAAGCCTTTTAACTTGGTTGGATCCAAGTTGTCCATTTTTGTTTTGGTTGCCTATGCTTATGGGGTATTACTCAAGAAATCTTTGCCCAGTTTAATGTCCTGAATAGTTTTCCCAATGTTTTCTTTTAGCAGTTTCATACAGGGAGGTCTGATATTTAAGTCTTTAATCCATTTTGACTTGATTTTTTATAATTGGAAGATAGGACTTCAGTTCCCTTTGACTGCATATTGATAAGTTTTTCCAGCACCATTTGTTGAAACAACTATGCTTTCCCCGATATTCTTGGCACCTTAGTCAAAAATGAGTTCACTGTAGATGTGTGGATTTGTTTATGCATTCTCTCTTCTGTTCCATTGCTCTATATGCCTGTCTCCATGCCAATACCATGCTGTTTTGGTTACTATATCTCTGTAATACAATTTGAAGTCTGGTAAGATGATTTCCCCATTTTAATTTTTTTTTGTAGAGGATAGCTTTGGTTATTCTGTTTTTTGGTGTGTGTGTTTCTATATAATTTTAGGACTATTTTTTTCTATTTCTGTGAAGAATATTATTGGTATTTTGATAGGGATTGCATTGAACCTGTAGATTGATTTGGGTGGTAAGGATATTTTAACAATTTTGATTTTTCTAATCCATGAGCATAGAATCTTTCCAATTTTTTTGTGTCATTTTCAATTTATTACATCAGTGTATTATAGTTTTAATTGCAAAGTTCCTTCACTTCTTTGTTTTTATTCTCAAGTATTTTATATATTTGTAGCTATTTTAATGACCTTGCTTTTTCAATTTCTTTTTCAGATTGTTTGCTATTTGCATACAGACATGTTACTGATTTTTCTACATTGATTTTGTAACCTGCAATATTACTAAATTTGTTTACAGTAATCCCATGAGTTCTAATCATTTTTTGGTGGAATCTTTAGGTTTTCCAAATATATGATCATATCACATACAAACAAGATCATTTGACTTCCTCTTTGCCCTTCTTTGGATCTTTCTTTCTTTCTTTCTTTCTTTCTTTCTTTCTTTCTTTCTTTCTTTCTTTCTTTCTTTCTTTCTTTCTCTTTCCTTCTTTCTTTCTTTTCTTCTTTTTCTTTCTTCTGTGTGTTGATTTCTGTAGATAGGACTTCCATTACTATGTTGAATGACAGTAGTGAAAGTGGGCATCCTTTTCTTCTTTGACTTCTCAGTGTAAAGGCTTTCACGTTTTCACCATTCAGTATGTGACCAGCTGTGGGTCTACCTGTGTTGAGTTGTGTTCCTTTTATACCAAGTTTTTTGAGGGCTTCTATCATGAAGAGATTTTAATTTTATCAAATGGTTTTTCAGCATCAATTGCAATGATCATATGGTTTCTGTCCTTCATTCTGTTGATATAATGTATCATATTGATTGATTTGCATCTACTGAAACATCCTTTCATCTCTGGAATATATCCCACTTAGTCATGATGAATGATCATTTTCAACTGTTGTAGAATTTGATTTGCTAGTATTTTCTTGAGAATTTTTGCTCAGTGTTCATCAGGAATAGTGGTCTGTAGTTTTCTTTTTTGATGTGTCTTTGTCTAGTTTTGATATTATGGTAATACAAAATGCACAGAATAAGTGTGAAAGAACTCCCTACTCCTCTATTTTTTGGAATAGTTTCAGCCAGATTAGTATGAGTTCTTTAAATGTTTGGTAAAATTCAGCAGTGAAACCATCAAATCTTGGGCTTTTCTTTGCTGGGAGATATTTATTAGGGCTTCAATCTCATTACTTTATATTGGTGTGTTCAGGTTTTGGGTTTTTTATGGTTCAACCTTCTTAGGTTGTGTATGTCTAGGAATTTATCCATTTCTGTTAGGTTTTCCAATTTATTGGCACATCATAGTTGTTTATAGTAGCCTCCAATGATCCTTTAATTTCTGTGGTATTGATCGTGATGTCGCCTTTTTCATCTCTGATTCTATTTATTTGAGTCTTCTCTCTTTTGTTCTTAGTTTGATTAAGGGTTTGTCTGTTTTGTTTATCTTTTCAAATATATCAACTTTTTATTTCATTGATCTTTTGTATATTTTTAATTTCATCTATTTCTGTTCCGATCTTTATTACTTTTTTTCTTCTACTAATTTTGGGTTTCACTTGCTCTTGCTTTTCTAGTTCTTTAAGATGCATCATTAGGTTGGTTATTTAAAGTTTTTCTTCTTATTAGATATAGGCCCTTATTGCTATAGTCTTTTCTCTTAATAACGATTTCACTGTATCCCATGGGTTTTGTTAGATTGTGTTTCCATTTTAAATTGTTTCCATAATTAAACAAAATTCTTCTAAATTTATTCATTTTACCACTGGTAATTCATTAGCATATTGTTTAATTTTCATGTGTGTGTATAGTTTGCTAAATTCATCTTGTTAATGATATCTAGTTTTATTTCACTGTGGTCAGATAATATTGCTTTACTTTTTTGAATTTTTTAAGACCTTTTTTATGCCCTAATACATGAGATATACTTGAGGATAATCCATGTGTTGAAGAGAAGAATGTGGACTTCACAGCCGTTGGATTAAATGTTCTATAAATAACTACTAGGTCAATTTGTTCTATTGTGCAGATTAAATTTGATGTTTCTTTTTAAATTTTCTGTCTGGATGATCTGTCCAATGCTGAAAATAGGGTGTGGAAGTCTCCAGGTATTACTGTATTGGGGTATATCTCTTCGTTTAGTTCTAATAATATATGCTTCATATATCTGGGTGCTCCAGTGTTGAGTGCCTATATATTGACAATTGTTATTTTTTTTGCTGAATTCTTCCCTTTATTGCTATATAATGACCTTTTTTGCTATTTTTTATACTTTTTGTCTTGAGATCCATTTTGTCTGATGTAAGTATAGCTACTCCTGCTTTTTTTTTTTCTGGTTTTCATTGAGATGGAATATATTTCTCTATCCCTTTGTTTTCAGTCTCTTTGTGTATTCATAGGTGAAATGTTTTTCATGTGGGCAATAGATTGCTGGGATTTTAAAAAATCCATTCATCACTCTATGTCTTTTGATTGGAGAGTTTAGTCCATTTATGTTCAATGTTATTATCAATAAGTAAGAACTTACTTTTATTTTTTATTTGTTTTCTGGTTGTTTTGTTGTCTTCTCTTCCTTCTTTCCTTCCCTCGTGTCTACGTTTTAGTGAAGGTGGTTTTCTCAGGTCTTATGTTTGAATTTCTTGCTTTTAATTTTGTGTGTGTATGTTGAACTTTTTTTAAATTGATGTTAGAATGAGGTTTGCAAAGAACATCTTATAACCCATTATTTTAAACTGATGGCCACCTAACACTGATTGCATAGGAACAACCAGTCTAACAAACAAGCAAAGATAAAACTAATCAAGGCTCTACCCTTAACTTCATCTCCCTGCTTTTTAACATGTTGTTGTTTCTATTTGTATTTTATTGTATTGCCTATGTCTTGAAAAGTTGTCATAGTTATCATTTTTTATTGGTTCATTTTTTAGCCTTTCTACTCACAATATGAGTAATTTACAGAACTTAATTACAGTGTTATAATATTCTGTGTTTTTCTGTGTACCCACTGTTACCAGTGAGTTTTGGACTTTCAGATGATTTCTTATTGCTCTATTGCTAATGTTCTTTTCCTTCAGATTGAAGAATTATTGAGATATTATCTCACTATTGAGATAATTATGTGTTTTTCTGTCTTTATTTCTGTTTATGTGATGAATCACGTTTACTGATTTGTGTATGTTGAACCAACCTCGCATCCCAGGGATAAAGCCTACTTGATTGTGATGGATAAGCTTTGTGATGTGCTACTGAATGTGGTTTGCCAGTATTATGTTGAGGGTTTTTGCATCATTGTTTATTAAGGATGTTAGCCTGAAGGTTTTTTGTTGTTGTTTTTTGTATCTCTGCCAGGTTTTGGTATGAGAATGATATGGGCCTCATAGAATGACTTACGGAGGAGTCCCTCCTCCTCAATTTTTTTGGAATAGTTTTAGTTGGAATGCTTCCAACTTTTCTTTGTACATTTTTTGTACATATTTACAATTCAGCTGTAAATATGTCTGGTTGGTAGACTATTTATTACTGCTTACATTTCAGAAATTTGTATTAGCCTGTTCAAAGATTCAATTTCTTCCTGATTCAGTTTTGGGCAGGTGTATGTGTCCATAAATTTATCCATTTCTTCTACATTTTCTAGTTTATGTGCATAGAGGTGTTCATAATATTTTCTGATGGTTGAATGTATTTCTGTGGGGTCAGTGGTGATATCCCCATTGTAATTTCTAATTGTGTTTATTTGAATCTTTTATCTTTATTTTTTATTACTCTAGCTAGTAGTCTGTCTATTATAACAAGTCTTAAAGCATTTAAAAATTTGAAATATTATCAAGCATCTTCTCTGATCATGATAGAATAAAACCAGAAATTGTGGAAACTAAACAAATATGTACAAATTAAACAATATGCTCCTAAATGACCAGTGGGTCAATAAAAAAATTGAAAAGGAAATCTAAAACTATCTGGAAATTTTGGAAGTGGAAATACAATGTAACAAAACCAATGAATACAGCAAAAGTTGTAATAAGAGCGAGGTTTATAGTTTTAATTTTCTACCTCACAAAACAGGAAGAAATTTCAAATAAACAATCTAACAATGCATCTTAAAAAACAAGAAAAGCAGGAGCAAACCAAATCCAAAATTCTTAGAAGAGTAATAAAAATAAAGCAGAAATAAATAAAATTAAAATGGAAAAATATATACAATAGATCAATGAAATAAAAAGTTGATTTTCTTGAAGTTATACAAAATTGACAAACATTAACCAGCCTAAGAAAATAAGAGAGAAAATCCAAGTAAATAAAATCAGAAATGAAAAAGGAGACATTACAATGGATACTGCAGAAATTCAAAAGATTATTAGTAGCTACTATGAGTAACTACATGCTAATAACTTGGTAAATCTTGAAGAAATAGACAAATTCCTACCTACATAAAAGCTACCAAGATTGAAACAGGTAAAATTCAAAATCTAAGCAATCCAATAACAAGTAATTCGACAAAACCCATAATAAAGAAAAAAAAAAAGCCAGAGACCTGATGGCTTTACTGCTGAATTCTACCAAACATTTAAATGGAAACTAATACCAATCCTACCTAAACTATTTCAAAAAATAGAGAAGGAGAAAATACCTTCAAACTCATTCTATGAGGCCATTATTACCCTAATACCAAAACCAGACAATGACACACACACACACACACCCCTACAGGCCAATATTTCTGATGAATACTTATGCAAAAATTTTCAACAAAATACTAGCAAACCAAATTCAACCATGCAGTTAGAATGACCATTCATCATGACCAAGTGGAATTTATCACTGGGTTGTAAGGATGGTTCAATATATGCAAATCAATCATATAAAACATTATATCAACAGAATGAAGAATAAAAGCCATATGATCACTTCAACTGATGCTGAAAAAACATTTGATAAAATTCAACTTCCCATCATGATAAAAACCCTCAAAAACTGGGGATAGAAGGAACATACCTCAATACAATAAAAGCCACATAGAACACACCCACAGCTAGTATCATACTGAATGCAGCAAAACAGAAAGCCTTTAGTCTAAGGTCTGGAACATGACAACCATGTCCTCCTTTACTACTGCTATTCAACATAGTCATAGATGACCTAGCTGGAATAATCAGAAAAGAGAAGGATATAAAGGGCATCCAAATTGGGAAGGAAATGTCAAACTTTCCTTGTTTGCAGATGATGTGATCTTCTATTTGGAAAACCTTAAAGACTCTACCAAAAAACTATTTGAACTGATAAATTGAGTAAAATTGCAGGATACAAATTTAACATACAAAAAACAGTATAATTTCTATATGCCGACAGTGAACAAATTGAAAAATAAGTAAAAAATTAATTCCATTTATAATAGACACACAAAATTAAATATCTAGGAATTAACTAAAGAAAGTTCTCTATAATATAAACTATAAATCAACGAGAACATCAAAAGATGGAAAAAATAATCCCATGTTTATGGATTGGAAGGATTGATATTGCTAAAGTGTCCACACTACCCAAGGCAATTTACAGGTTTAATGCAATCTCTTTCAAAATACCAATGGCATTCTTCACAGAAATAGAAGAAAGAATCCTATACTTAGCAAAATGAACAAAACTAGAGGAATTACATTACTTGACTTCAAGTTACACTATAGAACTATAATGAACAAAAGATCATGGTACTGGCATAAAATCAGACACATAGAACAATGGAACAGAATACAGAACCCAGAAACAAATCCATACACCTAGAGTGAACTCACTTTTAACAAGATGCCAAGAACATTCACTGGAAACAAAGCAGTCTTTTCAATAAATGGTGCTGAGAATATTAAATATCCATATGCGGAAGAATGAAACTAGATCCCTATCTTTTGCCATATACAAAATGTATTAATGACTGAAATTTAAGACCTCAAACTATAAAACTACTACAAGAAAACATTGGGGGAAATCTCCAGGGAATAGTTCTGGACAAGAATTTCTTGAGCAATACCCCCAAGCACAGGCAACCAAGCAAAAATGGAAAAATGGGTTCACATCCAGTTAAAAATTTTCTACACAGCAAAGGATACAATAAAAAAAATTGAAGAGACAACCCACCAAATAGGAGAAAATATTTGCAAACTACGCATCTGGCAAGGGATTGATAACCAGAATATAAAAGGAGCTCAAACAACTCTATAGGAAAAAATCTAATAGTCTGATCCAAAAAAAAATAGGAAAACGATTTGAATAGACATTACTCAAAAGAAGACACCCAAATGGCAAACTGACATATAAAATTTGCTTAACATCACAGAAATGCAAATCAAAACTACAGTGACATAGCATCTCATCCAAGTCAAAATGGCTTATTATACAAAAGACAGGCAATAAAAAATGCTGGCAGGGATGTGGAGAAAAGGGACCCTTTGTACACAATTGGTTGGAATTAAATTAGTACAACCACTATGGAGAACAGTTTGGAAGTTCCTCAAAAAACTGTAAATAGAACTACCATATGATTCAGCAGTCCCACTGCTGGGTATGTATTCTAAAGAAAGGAAATTGGTACATGGAAGAGATATCTGCACACCTATGTTTGTTGCAACACTGTTCACAGTAGCTAAGATTTGGAAGAAACCTAAGTGTCCATCAACAGATGAATAAATAAAGAAAATTTGGTACATATACACAATGGAGTACTATTCAGCCATAAAAAATAATGCAAAAACATGGATGGCCCTGAAGATCATTACGTTCAGTGAAATAAGCCAGGCACAGGAAGACATACATTGCGTGTTCTCACTTATCTGTGAGATCTAAAAATCAAAACATTGAAGCTCATGGACAAAGAGAGTACAAGGATGGTTACCAGAGGCTGGTAACCTCAGGGAAGGGTGGCGAGGGTTTGGCAGAGTAGGTGGGGATGATTAATGTGTAAAAAATAAGAGAAAGAATAAGTTCTACTATTGGATAGCACAGCAGGGTGACTGTAGTCAGTAACAACTTAATTTTACATTTTAAATTAACTCAAAGAGTGTAATTAGATTGTTTGCAACACAAAGGATAAATTCTTGAGGCAATGGATACATCATTTTCCTTGATGTCCTTGTCTCACATTGCATGCTTGTATTAAAACATCTCATGTACCCCATAAACATATACACCTACTATGTACCCAGAAAAATAAACAATAAAAAATAATATTCATTATATATATTGGCCTGTAGTTTTCTTGTTTTATGTGTCTTTTTCTGATCTTGGAATCAGAATAATGCTGGCCTTGAGAATGAGTTTGGAAGTTTTCCCCTCTCCTCTGAATAGTTTGAGTAGCATTGGTATTAGTTCTTCTTTAAATGTTTGGAAGAATTCAGCAGTGAAGCCATCCAGTCCTGGGTTGTTTTCTGTTTGTTTTTGTTTTAGTTTTCACTGGGAGAATTTTTATTACAGTTTCAATCTTGTTACTTGTTACTGGTCTCTTCAGATTTTAGATTTATTCCTGGTTCAACCTAAGCAGGTTGAATGTGTCTAAACATTTGTCTATTTCTTCTAGATTTTCCAATTTATTGGCATACAAGTTGCTGATAGTAGCCACTAAAGATTCTGTGAATTTCTGCATTATCAGCTGTAATGTATCTTTTTTCATTTCTGATTTTATTTACTTGTATCTTCTTTTATTCTTAGTCTAAGGTTTTGTCAATTTTGTTTAAATTAAAAAAATTTTATTTCAGTGATATTTTTTATTGTTTTCTTCATTTCAGATTTATGTATTTATGGTCTGATCATACTAATTACTTGTCTCCTACTATTTTTGAGTTTGGCTTTCTCTTGCTTCTCTAATTCTTTAAGATACATCATTAGAGTGTTCAGTTGAGGTGTTTTTTTTTTCTTTTTTGATGCAGGCACATGTAGCTAGGTAGCTATAAACTTCCCTCTTAGTGCTGCTTTTGCTGTATCCCATAGGTTTTGTATGTTTTGTGTATATTATTAGTTGTTTCAAGAAACTTTTTAGTTTATTTCTTAATTTCGTCATTGGCATACTGGTTATTCAGGAACATATTGTTTAATTTAGGTGTATTTTCATAGTTTCCAAAATTCTTCATGTTATTGATTTCTAGTTTTATTCCATGTGGTCAGTGCAGATACTTGATATTAATTCATTTATTTGAATGTCTTCAGACTTGTTTTGTAACCTAAAATATGGTCTATCCTTGAGAATAATTCATGTGCTGATGAAAATAATGTGTATTCTGCAGCTCTTGGATGAAATGTTTTGTAAATATGCATTAGGTCCATTTGGTATACAATGCAGATTAAGTCCAATGTTTCTTTGTTAGTTTTTTGTCTAGTAAATTGCTGGGTCTCACCTGAAGCCAGCAAAGTCTTACAGATTCACCTAACGCCCTCAACATAGTACCTGGGTATCGGTACTGCTTATTCAGTACTCATAGGCTCTTCAGTCAGCAAGTTACAAATGCTGCCAGAACTGGCCTGTTTTCTTAAAGGCAGTGAGTTCCCTTCTGTCTCAGGCCATGTCTACAAATCTCACCCAGAAGCTAGGGCCTGGAATGCGGACCTCATAACTCTGACTAGTGTCCTACCCTGCTGTGTCTGAACTGGTATGCAAGGTGCTAGAGAAAGCCCTTCCTACTCTTTCCTCTCCTTTCCTCAAGTGGAAGGAAGGGGTCTCTTTTAGAGTCATGAGCTGTGCAGCTTGGGGTTGGGGGGTGATTGATGCCAGCACTCCTTTTGGCATCCCAGCTGATGTCTCGCTAGGTTATGTACTGCCCTAGTCCACTGTCTCTGGGCCTAGTTCAGCACTGGGACTTGCCTAAGAGTTGAAGTCCTTATGGCCTAGACTGCCTGTTGAGATAATTAGAGACTTAGAATACTCTAGACCACCATGGGGTGGTTAGTGGGAACTGGAGTTCTGACGTCTGGAATCAGCAGTACGACTCTGACTGGGGATTGTTTAAATTCTCCCCTCCATGGGCGGGCATCTGGTCCAGTTTTTTTTCTGTTTTTTTTTTTTTTTTTTTTTTTTTTTTTTTTTTTTTTTTTGTCTAACAGGACAGCACTGAGTGTTCAATGCTTCATGATTTCTGTGCTCTTCCTCCCCTAGCACTTAGAGTGGTCCTCTGCACCATGCTGCCACTACTGGGGGTGAGGGAAGGGTGGTGTCTGTGATTCAAGACTGTTTGTTCTACGTTTAAAGTGCCTCTTTCAGTGATACTAAGTAAGATTGAGGTATTATGAGGGCTCACCTAATTTTGGGGTCTTACGAAGGTGGTTTTTTGTGCAGATGGTTGTTAACTTGGTGTCCTCATGGGTGGCACTATCAGTGGAGCCTTCCTTTCTGCCATCTTGCTCCCTCATCACTTAATTGTGAGTTGGGTACTATTAATCTCTCCTACCTTTAGAAAATAAAAAACTAAACTTTACATGGATTAATTAATTTATCAAAGGCCACACAAATAATGAATGATGGAGCCATAGGTAAGGGTAATAACTGAATATAATGCAATGGAAGAAAATAGAAAGTAGACTGATATATAAATGCAAAAGACAAATTGCAATCATAGCTTGAATTCCTAATTTGAAAATATTTAATACGAAATATTTCCGTGAGGGAGTAGAATAGCTAGAAATGATATAAACTTTTTTTCCTAATAAGATTAGAACTAATATCTGGAGTAAAAAATATACATAGAATTTTTCAGTAAACACTTTTGAACTTTATGTTTTGTGTTGGCAGATTGAACGAAAACATAGGTAAGTAAAAATATTTGTGATTAGCAGTAGAACATAACTATTTTGTTTAATCAAAAATATTAATATTTGAAGCAATACTGCTGTATTATCTTTGGGTTTTAATAATGAGGTTAATACTGATTATGCTAACACTATAGTTTTTGTTTAGATATCAAGGGCATACCTCTCTCTCAGGGATCACACTTTTGTAATATTAAGTATTAATGAATAATAGTTAATTTTTAATGCACACTTAATGCACAGTTGCATGTATTATGTCATTTAATTTTCACAATCATCTCATAATTTCTAAATATGTAATACCACACAAATATATAAACATATATATAGCTATACAAATATATAATCAAATATGTTTATTTATTTATACACCTCCCATATTGCATCTTTGGAAAAGACACAGAATTTAAGCTGTTCCAGGTTATACAGCTACTAGATGATAGAGTCGGGATTGATAAAGTGCATCTTCTGTACATTCTTTAGTTCAGGGAAAATTTGTTTATAAAAAACATAAGAATATGTTGCATAAGAATATCCCTATATCAGGGATATTTTTTGCACACATGTATTGTTCACTTATGTCCTGAGTTTAGACCTTGATCCTTTTTTTGTCTAGACTATTGCAACAGCCTTTTAAGTGGTCTCTATGTGATATTTCTAATTTCTTTTATCTCTAGTCTACTCTTCATTGCGGAAAATAACACTTTTCTGCTTAAAATCCTTCAATGTTACCTCAACACCTATAAAATTCAAAATGTTAATGTGAAAAATAAACCCTTCATAATCTGACCACTATCTAGCTTCACAATTTCATCATCTACCACCTGCTCAGATACACATTCTTCTCCAAGCCTCACCATTTCAATAACATACCATGCTATCATGCAAGTCAGTGCTTTAAATTAAAATGTCTTTAGCCTCTTTTTCCATAGGAAAAAAAAAACTACTTTTTTTTTTTAAGACTCAGCCATACATTATCTTGGAAGGCTTTCATGAACTTTACCCCCACCTCAAGGAAAAGTAGACACCATTACTTCTCATAAAGCATTCTGTGCTTATTTATTCTCTATTCACAGTATTCTGATTGATTATACTCATGTATTTCTTTTTACTGTGAATAGCTGAGACTAGTGGGCTAAATCTTATTAATCTCTATAACTCAAGTAGTTGTAGAGTTTATAACATATAAGAGGCTCTGGAGAAGTATTTGTTAAAGTAATGAATGAAAAAGATGAATGGTTGGTAGACGGATGACTAATTGTGAAGAGATTGATGTGTTGAGATCATTTACAGTTTAAATACCTTTTCATAAATAAAGCACATTCTCAAGACAATGATCATGCATTTGAATTAGTTGAATTCAAAATAATGGGGTCTCTGAGGATTTTTTCCTAACTTACTACTAAAATATACCTTCCATTTTTTACAAATATCCATTTGGTAAGGACCAAAAAGGTCAGAAATAGGTACGAATCTGGGATTTCTAGTGAACTGTATTCTTTTATTTTGGCTTGAATAAAGATAAGGACTATTATTAAAACATATAGTATTTAGTTTATTGAACGTTTATTAACTATAAAAGAAATAACAGGATATAAATTATGACGTAAATCTCCACAGTGACTACATTGCATTTGGCCTGGGCTTCTTGCTTCACAGTGCAGTAGGTGCAAATAATTGCACTAGTATCTACAACCTATTGTGCCCCTATGGCTTAATAAGAAATTAATTGTTGAGCATATTTCCAAGACTAATTGTTAAAGAAGTTGCAAATTAATGCAGTTAATTTATTGAAACCAGTTCTTATTTTCACATGCAAAAAAAATGTGTAGTGGCTAAAATTGTCTATATCTCCATTTTACTTATGAAAATTAATAATTTAAAATATAAAATACTATCTTCAGTTTTGATCCAGAAACATCTCTGGCTAACTGTAAACACTGTGAAACTAAAGGCAATGAAAATAATAAAGAAATTCAATTTATACTAAATTTCCAATTTTTAAAAAATTTTATTACTAGCCATTTACTTTGGAGAACTAAAACATGAAATATGTGTGTGTGTGTGTTGTAATGAATTGATTTTACTGAATCAACGTTTTGTTTTACTTTTTTTCTTCCCAAGTGAAACATAAAGCTGAAAGGAGTTAGCCAGCTTGCTTTAGGCAGACAGTAATGAAAGCGTCCCCCAGAGAACCTCCAAGCCACCCCACAAGTGATTATACCAGATGTTTTGTGCAGATAATGGAACTTGCACAGGGGGCTTGCCTAAACATTCCCACAGTGAAAAATTTTGTTCCTTAACACATGCTCAGTAAGCAAAAATAAATCAATATGGAGCAGCTAAGATTAAGGGCCTACAAGTTCACTGGAAGGGCGGGGTGGCACCACCAGGAATTTGCACCTTATACAAATAGGGAACCCCCTGACAACAGGAGGACAAGAAGTGTGTGGGTAAGGGTAAATAATTCCAACCCCCAAGGCTCCCTGTTTACAGGGGTGAAAGACACATTGGCACTCCACTAAAGTCACTGGGACTCGAGGATATAAGGACAGAAGAAAGAAAGAGCATGCTTTATTGTTCTCTCTCTCATGTAGGCTGGCTATCCACTAGGAAGAAGGAATGGGGGATGCCTTGTCCCCCTCTTTCTAGGTGAGTAACCAATCTGCAGCCTGCACTTCTCTTGAATGCCTTCTGAATCACTGGGTCTCCTTTGGAAAAAAATGCCCTATTTCTCTCTTTTCCTCCTTTGTTCTCTGTCCTTTTTCTGTGGATAGAAAATTGTATTTCTGTACCACAGGACTCTTCCCTCAAGGTGCATTCTCCAAACTGGGAAAAGTTTATTTCCTCAAACCTTAAACTTCTTGGATTAAAATGGAGCTGGGGAAAGGGAACCCAGAAGCCTGACATGCCAGCAAATGGGTAGAAGTTCTTACCAGTTGGACTTCTGGCCTCCCTCTCCCTGTGCAAACTGGTTGAATGAATGATAAAATCACTGTTTATATGCTCTGCAAAGATTTGATAAATGGAAAAGAGGATTTATGAGGCTAGTCTTAAGCTGTAGCCAATCTGGAGTGCTTTGTGTGTCTTTCTGCATGGTTGTGTCATAAGGAGGAATACCTTAGGATAGAACACAGGCTTAGGATGCCAAAAGCCTGCTGTTCAAGCCAGCCCAGCAAACAGGTTAGTAACAAACTTTGCTACAGGCTTCCATCTTGTTTTACATCCTTAGGAGCTTGACCTTGTAACCGTGTGGAAGTACTTTATTTTGACCTTTGCCATTTTACAATGGTGGCCCAAGTTCAATCACAGCTTAAAGAATGAGTACTTTTTGGGTTAATATCTGCATGACTTTTACCATTTGCTGATTCTCTTCCACTCCATGAACAACTTCTAGCTTTCTTACTTGAATATTTCCCTCTTTGAGCTACCTTTGAAGATTCTAGATTTTGTAGAAACTCCTTACCATATCTTTAAAAATATCTCATGCACTCATGGTTCAGTAATAACATTAGTTGAGGCTTGTTGGTTTCACTTGTGAGGTTACTTTTGCTAAAGCTCAAAAGCCAGAAATAATGGGCACTTGGCATGGCTAAAGTCAAGTAACAAGGTATTTAAAAGGCTTTTCTTAAAGAGCACTGAACTTAATTTAAAGTGGATATCCAAGCTATAGGTATATTTGAAAGGCCTTTATGTTTTTCTTTTCTTGGCTCTTGTTTTTCTGGAAAAGGTTTTTCTCTCAGTCAACTGAATTACTTTTTTCCATTTTATCTCACCAATATTTATGCATGCATGAGAGGTCCTAAGAAAAATTCTGATAGCCTGGGACTCCTGGGGAAATACAGAGAAGGCACCACAAACCTCATTTTGGGGAAAAAAAAAATCTGTTTTTATCATAGGGCCCCAGGAGTTAAAAGCTGATAGATACCTCTTAAAATCTATTTTTGTCTTCCAGCTATATCTTCTTATTAGGCTCTGTTAAACCACATGCTTTCTTAGCCCTGTTTCTTGAAAGGCTCCACCCTGAAGCCAATAATCCAATTAGGAGACTGGCAAATGAGAAATCTTATAATTACTGGATCTTCTCATGTCTGTCTGTGTAATTATATATGTGTATGGGTGTAATGTTTATATAAAAAAGAGAGTTATAATTAATTGGCTTAAAGAAAAGTAAGTTATTAGATCATATATCAGATATTTTTAAAGAAAATAAAAGCAGTAGTGACTTTTAGTTTATGTTATTTAATTTTTAAGAAATAAAGGCAGTTTTAAAGATAATTGGTAAAATAGAAATGTCTTCAAAATGTAAATATGTGGGCTGAATCATGTAGGTCAGATATTAGGTTTGCTAAATGTTTCAAGTTTATAAACTTCTTTGACTTTTAAAAACTCTTTGACCTGCCTGCTTCACAATTGGTAAGGCCTGGTTACATATGGAATTAACTGTGCCCTTAACTAAGCTGGAAAAATGTCAGATTTTATCTGTGCCTAGTACATAATCAAAATAACTTACCAAGTATTACATTAAAGTTAAAAATTGCTAAGAGTTACAATTATAACATGTAATTGAAACTATTGAAAATAGATTTACATGTAAGCTGTGTAAGGAAAGTAAAATGTGTATTTAATAAATAATTATAAGAAGGTATGGAAATGTAAATTTTTGCCTAGGGTTAAATGATTGTTTTCAATTGGATAAGATAAAGCTGAAGGTTTAAACATGTGGTGGAAGGCATATAAAAATTAATCTTGCAAAAGAAATTCTGTGTGTTAACATATTGACTGACTTCAAAAAGGTATATGGTTTTTAGGTACATTGAGAATTGAAATAAATGCACAGCAAGGTTTTCTTAAGGTAGTGATCTGCTCTTTAATAAAAATTTGTAAAGGGTTATAAAAGGTTTACAAGAATCTCACCTCATGGTCAAGCTTGTTAAGATTAGATAGAATTATCTAAAAGGTTTTATTTTAAAAAATGGAGTTGACATTTATAGTAGACTAATGCAAGGGTGAAATTTGGCTTCATCTCTCTTATACTGGATTACTACGTTAATATTAAAGAGATTTTTTTTTTTGGAAAACTAAGTCTTCCCTCTTAATGAGTAAAAGATTTTGGCTTGTTTTAAAATTTTTGAGTTATCATTTTGGCTAAAATAAATGAATTATGGTAATCTGGAATTCTATTTCATAATACCAAGTGCTTTGAACCTCTAACATATTTAACAGGGTTCCAAAAATCAAACTTCAGCTTCAAAAATTGTCATTCCTGACCCTTAGCTTTTGGATGATACAGAAGGTGCCTGGAGCATCCAAAAGAGAGGTAAACAGGATTATTTGACATGCTTAGTTACATGCTACAGCCAAAATGATGTTCAATCTTCTTTAGGTTATATTTTAGTGAATAATATTAATATATATTTCAAAATTTTATGGGATTTCTAAAATTCTAATGTCTGCCTAAATGGTATCAATCATAATTAAGATGATTATGTTAAGTTATTGTAAACCACAGAAATAATAAAAATTTTCTTGCCAATCATGTTCTTGACTGTAACCACCCTGGATATTTTGTCATTCACACGTCTGTGAATTACGATTGATGTCTTGCCTTCATCCTTTTCAAAAGATGGTTTATAATCAGCTACAGGGCTCTGACAGGTGCTCTCAAAATGGAGGTTCCTGATAACTTTGGATATTATGTCATTGGAATAAAGGAAAAACATATGGGATTCATGAAGAGATGAAATGTTCATGATTATCAAGCAGAAAAAGAGTTAACAGAGTGGACTGAACTAACAGAAAACTGAAGTAATCTTTTAAACCTTTTTGAGTAAAATGTTGCTTATCCTTGTTTTGGTTTTCAGAGTAAAGGAAAATATGTTTTGAGCCATTTATGGTCTTTAATAGTTAAGTTTTACTCCTATGAACAAAATTTGTAACATATTTGTTTCTCACTGCCTGGCTTCTCCAAAATTTGGAAACTATTTGTGAGTATTCTTAACTTATGGCAATACAGTTATTTGTATTGGTGCAATAAAAATTCATTTTCTTTTGCAATGGGGCACAATTTGAGTAAATGGTTGTTTTACCAAGGCTTTGACTGGGAGGATATGTTTTCCTTTTTTTTTTTTTTCTGAGACAGAGTCTCACTCTGTCACCAAGGCTGGAGTGCAGTGGTGTGATATTGGCTTGCAGGGAAAAGAAAGAGAGATCAGATTTACTGTGTCTATGTAGAAAGGAAAGACATAAGAGATTCCATTTTGAAAAAGACCTGTACTTTAAACAATTGCTTCGCTGAGATGTTGTTAATTTGTAGCTTTGCCCCAGCCACTTTGACCCAACCTGGAGCTCACAAAAACATGTGTTGTATAAAATCAAGGTTTAAGGGATCTAGGGCTGTGCAGGACATGCCTTGTTAACAAAATGTTTACAAGCAGTATACTTGGTAAAAGTCATTGCCATTCTCTAGTCTCAATAAACCAGGGGCACAATGCACTGCAGAAAGCTGCAGGGACCTCTGCCCTTGAAAGCTGGGTATTGTCCAAGGTTTCTCCCCATGTGATAGTCTGAAATATGGCCTCGTGGGATGAGAAACATCTGACCATCCCCCAGCCTGACACCCGTAAAGGGTCTGTGCTGAGGTGGATTAGTAAAAGAGGAAAGCTTCTTGCAGTTGAGATAGAGGAAGGCCGCTGTCTGCTGCCTGCCCCTGGAAACTGAATGTCTCGGTATAAAACCCGATTGTACATTTGTTCAATTCTGAGATCAGAGAAAAACCACCCTATGGTGGGAGGCGAGACATGTTTACAGCAATGCTGCTTTGTTATTCTTTACTCCACTGAGATGTTTGGGTGGAGAGAAACATAAATCTGGCTTACATGCACGTCCAGTCATAGTACCTTCCCTTGAACTTAATTATGACACAGATTTTTTTGCTCACATGTTTTTTGCTGACTTTCTACTTATTATCACCCTGCTCTCCTACTACATTCCTTTTTGCTAAAATAATGAAAATAATAATCAATAAAAACTAAGGGAACTCAGAGGCCGGTGCAGGTCCTCGGTATGCTGAGCGCCAGTCCCCTGGGCCCACTGTTGTTTCTCTATACTCTGTCTCTGTGTCTTATTTCTTTTCTCAGTCTCTCGACCCACCCGACTAGAAATACCCACAGGTGTGGAGGGGCAGGCCACCCCTTCATTGGCTCACTGCAACCTCCACCTCCAAGGTTCAAGTGATTCTCCTGCCTCAGCCTCCTGAGTAGCTGGGATTACAGGTGCCTACCACCACATCCCGCTAATTGTTTTTTTTGTTTTTTTGTTGTTGTTGTTTTTTGTATTTTTAGTAGAGATGGGGTTTTGCCATGTTGGCCAGGCTGGTCTCGATCTGACTGCAGGTGATCTGCCTGACTTGGCTTCACAAAGTGCTGGGATTACAAGTGTGAGCCACCACGCCCAGCCAGATAATGTTTTCCTTTATGGAATCAAGGTTGATACGTAGAGCCAATAAAAGCCCCTTGGGAAAACTGACCTCATACCTTGTCAACACGGTCCCTATACAGGGTTCCCAACATGTGGTGAGTAAAGAGTGTCACTTTCTAACAGGCCAACGAGCCCCATGTCCTTGGTACCTCAAGAAGAGAGGAATTTACCCAACTCATAGGTATTTGAGGGTACAAACCCATGGTTTGGCTAGGCTTTAAAATGTCTTATCTGAGATTCCTTGTGGAATAGAGTTCCATCAAAGCCATTTTAAAAAGCCTATGTAAAAATAATTATTCTTGCTGCACTTTATGCAAATAATCTGGCCAAGTATAAGACTAAATTTTATTTTGCAAACAATTCAGTCCTGCTATGATTTGTTTTTCATAAAATGAGGACCAGAAAGACAAAAATTATGTTTCAAAGCTCATCATACATTTGTCACTAAATTCTAATCTTATTGATTGTTTTTTAAGTTTTTGTCTACATTAGACTAACTCTGCTTATTCCTGTGAACCAACCAGCGATCTCTGGCTGCAGCTCAGAAGAAACAAAACGGATAGGTAACATAAAAAATCTGGATCAATGTTTTAATTCTGAACAATTACCTTGCAAATTTTGTCAGATGATAGGAGTAAATAAGGTTCCCATTACCCAGAGGTTTCTTTATTTGGGAAAATAAGACCAAGGGAGCTAAACAAAACCAAGCCCCATGCACCCAAATCTTAGCAGGCATAACTATAGCCACCAGTTATCTGGGCATGTCAGCAGCCTTGGGATTTTTTATCTATCTTTACCCCCTTGTTTCATTTTGATATATGTCTTCTAATAACCTGAATTGTTTCTTCTCACTTAGAGGCCAATAAACTTCAAATGGTGATGCAAATGAAATCATGCATGGACATGCCATTCTTCTGGGGAACCTTAAACCTATCTCAGGAGAAGCCCTAACTGCCACTTTCCCAAAACAGCGACCCCTGTATGCAGGAAGCAGTTAAGAGTGGTCATCATCCACTTTCCCCAACAGCAGTCGGGGTCTCCACTCCTGAAGGGGGTAATAAAAAGAGTTAGCTAGCTTGCTTTAGGCAGACAGTAAGGGAAAGTTTTCCCAGAGAACCTCTGACTTGGCCCACAAGTGTTTACCCCAGATGTTTTGTGCAGATAAGGGAACTTGCACAGGGGGCTTGCCTAAACATTCCCCTAGTGAAAAATTTTATTCTTTAACGCATGCTCAGTAAGAAAAATAAATCAACATGGAGTAGCTCAGACTCAGGGCCTGCTTGTGCACTGGAAGGATGGGGTGGAGACACCGGGAATTTGCATCTTATACAAATAGGGAACCCAGCCCCATCAGCTTGGCTATATAGGAGCTCTTGTATTCAAATGTGAACAGGGCAACCAGCAACCTCCTTTCAGGACCTCTTTTTTGCTGATAACTTTTCTTTTTGCTTAATATATTTTACTCCACTCACTCTTCAATGTCCATCTGCCTATTTCTTCCTGGTCATGAGACAAGAACCCAGATCTAGCTGAGATAAGGAGCAAAAAATCCTACATCAAATCCAGTAAAGTTTCTTATTGTGGGTAATTTACTTGACATACAAATGCTGTCAAAAGCATCAACACAGCTATTTGAATAGCAATATTATCTCATGGTTGATTTGAAAGTGAATTCTCACCAGTAAATACAGAAATTCAAACTTAGTTCATCTATATATATATCCACTCACTCAAACTTGAAAGACTTAGAATAAGGAATGATCTTTCAAGTGGTCTGTGAGTCAGAAGAATGTTAGTTTGGAGATAATTTGTCTACATGCTTTGTTGCAAGTAATGTACATTTTGTAAAAAAAAAATCAGTGTTTTGGCTTCAACAAAAGGTTTTATTTAAGTAAAGCATGTATTCAAAAACTACAAAAATCTCAAGGGCACAGTTCTATGTAATCTTGATATGAAACTACATAACTATTATCCAGTTTAAAAATTAATATTTTTAGTATTCTGGAAGATATATTCATGTTCCTTTCTAAATGTTCTTTTCACCTTATATTCCAATGGGAATCATTATCCTGAACCCTAAAAGGTGAGAATTTTGCTGAGTTTGAATTTAATGCAAACATGTAATTTTGTTTCTGGAATTTTTCACTCAGTATAATACTGAAACTCATTTATGTTGTCATCATGTGTAGCAGTAGTTCATATAATTTTACTAACTGACATTTTATGCAATGAATATACCAATACTTACTGTACTGTTAGCACACATTTGTTTTTTTCCATTTTGTGAATGGTTTACTTTATGCTTATTTTAACATTCTTGACCCATTTTTGGCAAAAACGTGTGCTCATTTTTGTCAGGTACTTATGCAAAAGTAGAATTATTTAATCTCAGGTATGCATATCTACTGTTTTAGCAGTTAATACTAAAGACTTCCAAAGTAATTGTAAAAATTTAAATGCATGTCATCAGTGTATAAGAGCATTTATTTCCTATGTCCTCTCTGAAACTTGGCATTATTGGTCTAATTAAATTTTATTTGCACCATTTTGGTGTGTATGTAGTGGTATATTGTATTTTCAATTATAATTCATTTTATTACTAATAAATTTATATTCAAATATTTGTTTCCTTTGGAGCATCATATTTTGTAAAATGTCTTTTCATGTATCTTTGATAATATTTTTATTGGATTGTCTTTTTCTGTTTTTATGACTTATTCAATTTTTTTTTTTTTGAGATGGAGTTTCACTCTTGTCGCCCAGGCTGGAGTGCAGTGGCACAATCTTGGCCCACTGCAACCTCTGACTCCTGGGTTCAAGTGATTCTCCTACCTCAGCTTCCAGAGTAACTGGGATTACAAGCACCTGCCACCACGCCTGGCAAATTTTTATATTTTTAGTAGAGATGGGGTTTCACCATGTTGGCCAGGCTTGTCTCGAACTCCTGACCTCAGATGATCCACTTGCCTCGGCTTCCCAAAGTGCTGGGATTACAGGCATGAGCCACTGTTCCCAGCCAATATTTTTAAGTTGACAAACATTTGTGAGACTTGTTTTCTGAACTAAGATATGACCTATCCTGAAGAATAGTCTGTGTATGTCTGAAAATAATGCGTATTCTTCCCCTGTTGGGTGGAATGTTCTGTGTGTCTGTTAGGTTAATTTGGTCTAAAGTATTGTTCAAGTCCAATGTTTCCTTATTGATTTTCTGTCTGAATGATCTTTCCATTGTTGAAAGTGGGGTTTTAAATTCCCCTACTGTTATTTTATTGCAGTCTCTCTCTGTTTTCAGATCTATTTATACTTGCTATATATATTCAGAGACTCTGGTGTTTGGTGCAAATATATTTACAAGTGTTATATCCTTTTGATGAATTGACACCTTTATCATAATGTAATGATAGTCTTCGGCTCTTTTTCCAGTTTTTTACTTAAAGTCTATTTTATCTGTTATAACTATAGATAACCCTGCTCTCTTTTGGTTTCTATTTGCATAAAATATCTGTTTTCATTCCTTCACTTTCAATCTACATGTGTCCTTAATTGCGAATTGGGTCTCTTGTAGGCAACATACAGCTGTATTCTTCCCTCCTTTCTTTTTCTTTCTTTCTTTCTTTTTCTTTCTTTCTGTCTTTCTTTCTCTCTTCTCTTTCTTTTATTTTCCTTCCTTCCTTCTTTCCTTCCTTCCTTCCTTCCTTCCTTTCTTTCTTTTTTCTTTCTCTTTCTTTCTCTCTCTTTCTTCCCATTCAGCCACTCTATTTATTTTGATTAAAGAATTTAATCCACTTAAATTCTAATCATTATTGATAGATAAGAACTTACTCCTGCTATCTCAAGAATCACTTTCTGGTAAATTTGTAGATTCTTTGTTTCTTTCTTCCTCTCTTGCTGTCCTTGTGATTAGATTATTTTCTGTAGTGGTATTCATTGATTCTTCACTTTTCAATTTTTTGTGTATCTACTATGGTTTTTTTGCTTTGTGGTTACCTTGTGGCTTACATAAAACATCTTATAGTTATAACAAGATATTTTAAGTGATTAACAATGTAACTTGGATTCTGGCTTGCTTTGCCAGTGGGTATAGTGACTGAGGCATGGGAACTCTCAGTGCAGCCATAGAGCCTTGAGGACAGATACACAGAGAGCTATAATGGCTCCAGTGTCCATGGCATGGTCTGGCTCTCCATGGTGACTGAATTGGTTTCTGGAACACAGGTGTATGCAGAGGCAACTTGGCTTAGGTTCCAGCAGTATGCACTCCCTCACTATGAGCATGACTCTGGCACCTAAGGCATAGGTGCATACAGCACAACTACAGAGACAAGGTCCAGAACTTGAGTGTGCTCTTAGATAGAGAAGAACTCCAGCTTCTGGAGCATGAGTGAGGTCTCTATGAGTAATCTTGTGCCTGCAGCTTGGTTTCACAAAGAGAGATTGTGGCTCTTGGGCCAAGGGTGCCATCTATGGCAGTGGCTCCAGTGTCTGAGACATGAGAGAGTGCCACTCATCACAGGGCCAAAATTTGGGGTTTGGACACTCACTGTGTGGCTGCAACTCATGGGTCAGGGACACCCACATAGGGTTGGGAGAGGTGGCTACTAAAGTCCCTGGGTGTCACAGCAGTGTCTGCTTGTTGAGAAGAATATGAGTCACTTTTCTCTCTGAAAAGTTCCCCAAAAGGAATGCCTCTTGGTTACTACAGTGACAAAAGATTTTCATGTCCTCTGCTGAGCAGGCTGCTGGGGACCACAAATGTTCTTGCCAAGTGATTGGCAAGATCTAACTTTCTTCTCTGTTCATAGTCATCTCCAGTGGGCTCAGGTACAGTAGTCTCATCAGTGACATTTTTTGTGCAGATAGTCTTCATTGTTTTACTACACTGTGCTACTGCAGATTCTTAAATAATCGTTTGAGTACTTCTGGGATTATTTTCATTTGCAAGTAGCTGTCTATAGCTGTTATTTTGTGTCAGGATAAAAACTTGTATCTCCTACTTCATAATCTTGGTTATGTCACTCTAAGTTGTCTTGGTCTTTTTCTTATTGATGTATGAGAATTTATGTAGTGGGTAATACCTTTATTGATATGTGAGTTCTATATTAATGTTATTTACAGAAATAAATATATATATGTAGTCAATACTGTTATTTGTGATGTTTAAATATTACCTTCATTAATTTTTAAGAAGTTAACTTTTTATTCTATAAGTTTTAAATTTCCCCCAAATTATGAAGATATCAGAGTCCCCATATATTTTGTATCCACTTTCCTCTATTGAGCATATCTTAAATTAGTATGATATATTTGCTATAATTAGTAAATCAGTATTGATATGTCTAACTAAAGTCTACAGTTTATTCAGAATTGCTCTATTTTTATCATATTTTTTTTGTTGTAGAATTTTGTCCGGGGTACCACATTACATATATTCAACATGTCTCTTGGACTCTGTATTATTCCATTCTCACATTGCTTTAAAGAAATATCTGAGACTGGGTAATTTATAAAGAAAACAGATTTCATTGGCTCATGGTTCTGCAGGCTGTACAGGAAGCATGGCTGGGGAGGCCTCAGAAGACTTATAATCATAATGGAAGGCAAAGGGGAAGCAGGAACATTTTACATTGCTAAAGCAAGAGGAAAAGAGAGAGAGTGGAGGTGCTGTACACTTTTAAACAACCAGATCTTGTGATAAAACACTCGATATCATGAGAACAGGACCTAAGAAGAAATCCACCCCACCACGCATCAGGCCCCACTTCCAACATTGGGGATTACAATTTGACATGAGGTACAAGTGGAGATGCAGACATAAACCATATAATTCTGCTCTTGGCCCCTCCAAAATCTCATGTTCTTCTCAAATTGCAAAATACAACCATGACTTTCCAACAGTCTCCCAAAGTCTTAACTCATTTTAGCATTAACTCAAAAGTTCAAAGTCCAAAGTTTCATCTGAGACAAGCACAGTCCCTTCAATCTGTAAGCCTACAAAACCAAAAACAAGTGAGCTACTTCCAAGATACAATGGGAGTATAGGCATTGAGTAAGTATTCTTTTTCCAGTGACTTTCCTGTTGTGGCAAGGCAGTTATTAAATCTTAAAGCTCCAGAATAATCACTTTTGACTTCATGCCTCATATCCAAGGTACATGATGCAACAGGTAGGCTCCCAAGGCCTTGAGCAGCTCTGCCCCTGTGGCTCTGCAGGGCTCTGGCCCCACAGCTGCTCTCATGGGTTGGCATTGAGTGCCTGTGGCTTTTTCAGGTGCACTGTGCAAGCTGCCAGTGTAGCTACCATTCTGGGGACTGAATGACAGTGGCTTTTTTCTCACAGCTCCTTTTGGCAGTGCCCCAGTAGGAACTCTGTGTGGGGGCTCCAACCCCACATTTTTCCTCTGTGCTGCCCTAGTAGAGATTCTCCATAAGGGATCCACCACTGCAGCAAGCTTCTGCCTGGGCATCTAGGGTTTTCCATATATCCTCTGAAATCTAGAGAGAGACTCCCAAACCTCAATTCTTGATGTCTGTGCACTCACAGGCTCAACACCCCATGGAAGCTTGGGTCTTGCACCCTCTGAAGCCATGGCCTAAGCTGTACCTTGGCCCCTTTTAGCCACTGCTAGAGCTGAAATGGCTGGGATGCAGGACATCATGTCCCTAGGCTAGACAGATCAGTGAGAACCATGGGCTAGGCTCATGAAATAATTCTTCTCTCCTAACCCTCTTGGCCTGTGATGTGACGGGCTGCTGCATAGGTCTCTGAAGTGCCTTTGAGGCCTTGTTCCCATTGTCTTAGCTATTAACAGTTGACTCTAACTGGTGTGAGATGATATCTCATAGTGGTTTTGATTTGCATTTCTCTGATGGCCAGTGATGATGAGCATTTTTTCATGTGTTTTTTGGCTGCATAAATGTCTTCTATTCACAATAGCAAAGACTTGGAACCAACCCAAATGTCCAACAATGATAGACTGGATTAAGAAAATGGGGCACATAGGGGAGGAGCCAAGATGGCCGAATAGGAACAGCTCCGGTCTACAGCTCCCAGCGTGAGCGACGCAGAAGACAGGTGATTTCTGCATTTCCATCTGAGGTACCGGGTTCATCACACTAGGGAGTGCCAGACAGTGGGCGCAGGCCAGTGTGTGTGCGCACCATGCGCGAGCCGAAGCAGGGCGAGGCATTGCCTCACCTGGGAAGCGCAAGGGGTCAGGGAGTTCCCTTTCCGAGTCAAAGAAAGGGGTGACAGACGCACCTGGAAAATCGGGTCACTCCCACCCGAATATTGCGCTTTTCAGACCGGCTTAAGAAACGGCGCACCACGAGACTATATCCCACACCTGGCTCAGAGGGTCCTACGCCCACGGAATCTCGCTGATTGCTAGCACAGCAGTCTGAGATCAAACTGCAAGGCGGCACCGAGGCTGGGGGAGGGGCGCCCGCCATTGCCCAGGCTTGCTTAGGTAAACAAAGCAGCCGGGAAGCTTAAACTGGGTGGAGCCCACCACAGCTCAAGGAGGCCTGCCTGCCTCTGTAGGCTCCACCTCTGGGGGCAGGGCACAGACAAACAAAAAGACAGCAGTAACCTCTGCAGACTTAAGTGTCCCTGTCTGACAGCTTTGAAGAGAGCAGTGGTTCTCCCAGCACGCAGCTGGAGATCTGAGAACGGGCAGACTGCCTCCTCAAGTGGGTCCCTGACCCCTGACCCCCGAGCAGCCTAACTGGGAGGCACCCCCCAGCAGGGGCACACTGACACCTCACACGGCAGGGTATTCCAACAGACCTGCAGCTGAGGGTCCTGTCTGTTAGAAGGAAAACTAACAAACAGAAAGGACATCTACACCGAAAACCCATCTGTCCATCACCATCATCAAAGACCAAAAGTAGATAAAACCACAAAGATGGGGAAAAAACAGAACAGAAAAACTGGAAACTCTAAAACGCAGAGCGCCTCTCCTCCTCCAAAGGAACGCAGTTCCTCACCAGCAACAGAACAAAGCTGGATGGAGAATGATTTTGACGAGCTGAGAGAAGAAGGCTTCAGACGATCAAATTACTCTGAGCTACGGGAGGACATTCAAACCAAAGGCAAAGAAGTTGAAAACTTTGAAAAAAATTTAGAAGAATGTATAACTAGAATAACCAATACAGAGAAGTGCTTAAAGGAGCTGATGGAGCTGAAAACCAAGGCTCGAGAACTACGTGAAGAATGCAGAAGCCTCAGGAGCCAATGCGATCAACTGGAAGAAAGGGTATCAGCAATGGAAGATGAAATGAATGAAATGAAGCGAGAAGGGAAGTTTAGAGAAAAAAGAATAAAAAGAAATGAGCAAAGCCTCCAAGAAATATGGGACTATGTGAAAAGACCAAATCTACATCTGATTGGTGTACCTGAAAGTGATGGGGAGAATGGAACCAAGTTGGAAAACACTCTGCAGGATATTATCCAGGAGAACTTCCCCAATCTAGCAAGGCAGGCCAACGTTCAGATTCAGGAAATACAGAGAACGCCACAAAGATACTCCTCGTGAAGAGCAACTCCAAGACACATAATTGTCAGATTCACCAAAGTTGAAATGAAGGAAAAAATGTTAAGGGCAGCCAGAGAGAAAGGTCGGGTTACCCTCAAAGGAAAGCCCATCAGACTAACAGCGGATCTCTCGGCAGAAACCCTACAAGCCAGAAGAGAGTGGGGGCCAATATTCAACATTCTTAAAGAAAAGAATTTTCAACCCAGAATTTCATATCCAGCCAAACTAAGCTTCATAAGTGAAGGAGAAATAAAATACTTTATAGACAAGCAAATGCTGAGAGATTTTGCCACCACCAGGCCTGCCCTAAAAGAGCTCCTGAAGGAAGCGCTAAACATGGAAAGGAACAACCGGTACCAGCTACTGCAAAATCATGCCAAAATGTAAAGACCATTGAGACTAGGAAGAAACTGCATCAACTAATGAGCAAAATCACCAGCTAACATCATAATGACAGGATCAAATTCACACATAACAATATTAACTTTAAATATAAATGGACTAAATTCTGCAATTAAAAGACACAGACTGGCAAGTTGGATAAAGAGTCAAGACCCATCAGTGTGCTGTATTCAGGAAACCCATCTCACGTGCAGAGACACACATAGGCTCAAAATAAAAGGATGGAGGAAGATCTACCAAGCCAATGGAAAACAAAAAAAGGCAGGGGTTGCAATCCTAGTCTCTGATAAGACAGACTTTAAACCAACAAAGATCAAAAGAGACAAAGAAGGCCATTACATAATGGTAAAGGGATCAATTCAACAAGAGGAGCTAACTATCCTAAATATTTATGCACCCAATACAGGAGCACCCAGATTCATAAAGCAAGTCCTGAGTGACCTACAAAGAGACTTAGACTCCCACACATTAATAATGGGAGACTTTAACACCCCACTGTCAACATTAGACAGATCAACGAGACAGAAAGTCAACAAGGATACCCAGGAATTGAACTCAGCTCTGCACCAAGCAGACCTAATAGACATCTACAGAACTCTCCACCCCAAATCAACAGAATATACATTTTTTTCAGCACCACACCACACCTATTCCAAAATTGACCACATACTTGGAAGTAAAGCTCTCCTCAGCAAATGTAAAAGAATAGAAATTATAACAAACTATCTCTCAGACCACAGTGCAATCAAACTAGAACTCAGGATTAAGAATCTCACTCAAAGCCGCTCAACTACATGGAAACTGAACAACCTGCTCCTGAATGACTACTGGGTACATAACGAAATGAAGACAGAAATAAAGATGTTCTTTGAAACCAACGAGAACAAAGACACCACATACCAGAATCTCTGGGACGCATTCAAAGCAGTGTGTAGAGGGAAATTTATAGCACTAAATGCCTACAAGAGAAAGGAGGAAAGATCCAAAATTGACACCCTAACATCACAATTAAAAGAACTAGAAAAGCAAGAGCAAAGACATTCAAAACCTAGCAGAAGGCAAGAAATAACTAAAATGAGAGCAGAACTGAAGGAAATAGAGACACAAAAAACCCTTCAAAAAATCAATGAATCCAGTAGCTGGTTTTTTGAAAGGATCAACAAAATTGATAGACCGCTAGCCAGACTAATAAAGAAAAAAAGAGAGAAGAATCAAATAGACACAATAAAAAATGATAAAGGGGATATCACCACCGATCCCACAGAAATACAAACTACCATCAGAGAATACTACAAACACCTCTACACAAATAAACTAGAAAATCTAGAAGAAATGGATACATTCCTCGACACATACACTCTCCCAAGACTAAACCAGGAAGAAGTTGAATCTCTGAATAGACCAATAACAGGCTCTGAAATTGTGGCAATAACCAATAGCTTACCAACCAAAAAGAGTCCAGGACCAGAAGGATTCACAGCCGAATTCTACCAGAGGTACAAGGAGGAATTGGTACCATTCCTTCTGAAACTATTCCAATCAATAGAAAAAGAGGGAATCCTCCCTAACTCATTTTATGAAGCCAGCATCATTCTGATACCAAAGCCGGGCAGAGACACAACCAAAAAAGAGAATTTTAGACCAATATCCTTGATAAACATTGATGCAAAAATCCTCAATAAAATACTGGCAAACCGAATCCAGCAGCACATCCAAAAGCTTATCCACCATGATCAAGTGGGCTTCATCCCTGGGATGCAAGGCTGGTTCAATATACGCAAATCAATAAATGTAATCCAGCATATAAACAGAGCCAAAGACAAAAACCACATGATTATCTCAATAGATGCAGAAAAAGCCTTTGACAAAATTCAACAACGCTTCATGCTAAAAACTCTCAATAAATTAGGTATTGATGGGACGTATTTCAAAATAATAAGAGCTATCTATGACAAACCCACAGCCAATATCATACTGAATGGGCAAAAACTGGAAGCATTCCCTTTCAAAACTGGCACAAGACAGGGATGCCCTCTCTCACCACTCCTATTCAACATAGTGTTGGAAGTTCTGGCCAGGGCAATCAGGCAGGAGAAGGAAATAAAGGGTATTCAATTAGGAAAAGAGGAAGTCAAATTGTCCCTGTTTGCAGACGACATGATTGTTTATCTAGAAAACCCCATCGTCTCAGCCCAAAATCTCCTTAAGCTGATAAGCAACTTCAGCAAAGTCTCAGGATACAAAATCAATGTACAAAAATCACAAGCATTCTTATACACCAACAACAGACAAACAGAGAGCCAAATCATGAGTGAACTCCCATTCACAATTGCTTCAAAGAGAATAAAATACCTAGGAATCCAATTTACAAGGGATGTGAAGGACCTCTTCAAGGAGAACTACAAACCACTGCTCAAGGAAATAAAAGAGGACACAAACAAATGGAAGAACATTCCATGCTCACGGGTAGGAAGAATCAATATCGTGAAAATGGCCATACTGCCCAAGGTAATTTACAGATTCAATGCCATCCCCATCAAGCTACCAATGACTTTCTTCACAGAATTGGAAAAAACTACTTTAAAGTTCATATGGAACCAAAATAGAGCCCGCATCGCCAAGTCAATCCTAAGCCAAAAGAACAAAGCTGGAGGCATCACACTACCTGACTTCAAACTATACTACAAGGCTACAGTAACCAAAACAGCATGGTACTGGTACCAAAACAGAGATATAGATCAATGGAACAGAACAGAGCCCTCAGAAATAATGCCGCATATCTACAACTGTCTGATCTTTGACAAACCTGAGAAAAACAAGCAATGGGGAAAGGATTCCCTATTTAACAAATGGTGCTGGGAAAACTGGCTAGCCATATGTAGAAAGCTGAAACTGGATCCCTTCCTTACACCTTATACCAAAATCAATTCAAGATGGATTAAAGATTTAAACGTTAGACCTAAAACCATAAAAACCCTAGAAGAAAACCTAGGCATTACCATTCAGGACATAGGCGTGGGCAAGGACTTCATGTCCAAAACACCAAAAGCAATGGCAACAAAAGCCAAAATTGACAAATGGGATCTAATTAAACTAAAGAGCTTCTGCACAGCAAAAGAAACTACCATCAGAGTGAACAGGCAACCTACAACATGGGAGAAAATTTTCGCAACCTACTCATCTGACAAAGGGCTAATATCCAGAATCTACAATGAACTCAAACAAATTTACAAGAAAAAAACAAATAACCCCATCAAAACGTGGGCGAAGGACATGAACAGACACTTCTCAAAAGAAGACATTTATGCAGCCAAAAAACACATGAAGAAATGCTCATCATCACTGGCCATCAGAGAAATGCAAATCAAAACCACTATGAGATATCATCTCACACCAGTTAG
The DNA here is from genome assembly GCF_000001405.40 of Homo sapiens. Lineage (NCBI taxonomy): Eukaryota > Metazoa > Chordata > Mammalia > Primates > Hominidae > Homo > Homo sapiens. The sequence goes on from NC_000023.11 coordinate 127,367,562, forward strand.
AATGGCAATCATTAAAAAGTCAGGAAACAACAGGTGCTGGAGAGGATGTGGAGAAATAGGAACACTTTTACACTGTTGGTGGGACTGTAAACTAGTTTAACCATTGTGGAAGTCAGTGTGGCGATTCCTCAGGGATCTAGAACTAGAAATACCATTTGACCCAGCCATCCCATTACTGGGTATATACCCAAAGGACTATAAATCATGGTGCTATAAAGACACATGCACACGTATGTTTATTGCGGCACTATTCACAATAGCAAAGACTTGGAACCAACCCAAATGTCCAACAATGATAGACTGGATTAAGAAAATGTGGCACATATACACCATGGAATACTATGCAGCCATAAAAAATGATGAGTTCATGTCCTTTGTAGGGACATGGATGAAATTGGAAACCATCATTGTCAGTAAACTATTGCAAGAACAAAAAACCAAACACCGCATATTCTCACTCATAGGTGGGAATTGAACAATGAGATCACATGGACACAGGAAGGGGAATATCACACTCTGGGGACTGTGGTGGGGTCGGGGGAGGGGGGAGGGATAGCATTGGGAGATATACCTAATGCTAGATGACACGTTAGTGGGTGCAGCGCACCAGCATGGCACATGTATACATATGTAACTAACCTGCACAATGTGCACATGTACCCTAAAACTTAAATAAAAAAAAAAAAAAAGAAAAAGAAAAACAGTTGACTCATCTTTACTTATGCAAATTTCTGCAGCAGGCTGGAATTCTTCCCTTGAAAATGGGTTTTTCTTTTCTACTGCATGGCCCGGCTGCAAATTTTTCAAACTCTTAAGATCTGCTTCCTTTTTAAATGTAAGTTCCAGTTTTACATCATTTCTTTGCTCATGAATATGAGATTAGGCTGCTAAAAGCAGCCAGGCCAAATCTTGAACTCATTGCTGCATAGAAATGACTTCTACCGCATACCCTAAATCATCACTCTCAAGTTTCAGAGATCCCTCGGGCAGGGAACCAATATAACCAAGCTATTTGCTAATATATAACAAAAACGACCTTTGCTCCAGTCCCTAGTAACTTCCTTATCTCCATCTGAGATCTCCTCAGCCTAGACGTCATTGCACACATCACTACCAGCATTTTGGACACAATTTAACAGGTCTCTAGGAAGTTCCAAATGTTCCTTTATCTTCCTGTTTTTTTTCTGAGCCTTCAAAACTCTTCCAACCTCTGCTCATTACTGAGTTCTAAAGTTGCTTCCACATTTTCAGATATCTTTATAGCAATACCCCACTCTTAGGTTCCAGTTTTCTGTATTAGTCTATTCTCACATTGCTATAAAGAAATACCTGAGACTGGGTAATTTATAAAGAAGGGATTTAATTGGCTCATTGTTCTGCAGGCTGTACAGGAACAGGAAGCATGGCTATGGAGCCATTAGGAAACTCACAATCATGGTGAAAGCAAAGGGGATGCATACACATCTTTCATGGCTGGAGTAGGAGGAAGAGAACAAGGTGGGAGGTGCTACACACTTTTAAACAACCAGATCTTGAAATAACTCATTGACTATCATGAGAACAGCAATAAAGGGGAAATCTTCCTCCATGAGTCAATCACCTCTCACCAGTCCTCACATTTAAAATTGGGAATTACAATTTGATGTGAGATTTGGGTGGAGAGAGAGACCCAAACAATTACAGGCTTCTTTTGTCTGTGACAGAATGTTTCTGCCTCATGCTTCCCTTTCCTTCCTTCTAGGACTTCAATCAACGTACAAAAAGTAGATCTTTTCTCTATTTTCTGCTTTTTGGTTTTCCCTATATAAGTCTAGCTAATTTTTTTGGATCTGTTTTTTATTTTATTAATTCACTCCTTCTGAGAGTCTAATATGCTACTCAATCTACTTATTGCATCATTTATTTAATGTATTTTGTTTTTAAATTATAAAATTTTATTTAGTTTATATTTACAGTTTTCAGTTTTATGTCAAAAAAGCAATCTTGTCTTCTAATTGTTTGTTCCATTATTCATAATTTAAAAAATTCCAAGCGAAAAAAATCCTCTATTATTTAAATAACTTATGGGGTTTTTTCATATGTCTGTAATATTCTTTAGCTTTTGGTGACTTGCTGTAACTACTTATATGCCTGGTAATTTTCATTGTGTATCATAAATTATGTTTCAAAAATTATAGAGTTATTTGAAGATGTTGAATGATATTATCTCTGTCCCTAGGAATATTACACATTAGATTTAGAAGTATATTTTGACAGGAGACTAGCTACAGAAAGTAGTAATCCCTTACCAATAACCCCATCAGGGTTGTTGTCATTCAAAGATAAAGTTTAGTCTCTGTGAAATCTGGTCTAGTTCTACTTCTCTTTTCCCTTAAATTATACTCCCTCAGAGTCTTCAGTCAGATGAGGATGGTTTGACTAAGGTGATTCCTCCTTGGAAAGCCCTGGTCTTTAACATTGATGACCTGGCATGTCAGTGGGTTTATTGAAACCAATGCTCAACTTAACCATTAAGCTTAACTTTCAGAATCTGCAAATGCCTCTGGGAAAATGTTACCCCAAATTCTAAGTTCATATCTGTGGGCTTTCCTTCTCTTTCATCTGTATCATAAACAATAACTCACTAAAACATGTATCATGGTTGAACAGTAACTCACTGAAATGTCATGCACTAGTTATTTCACATGGATTTTTAAATTATTTTTTATCCATTTTAGTTCTCAATAAGAGTGTTGGCCCACAACATTCAGCTTACCATTCCAAGAGGCAGACCACAGTGCTTCACTCGAACAAAATAGAGTCAGCTCAAGATTATTATAAAATTATGCCATTCATACTCACAATTTAACATTTTGACTGAAGTAAAAAAAAAGGTAGAGTTTGGAGACTAGAGATGGAATTGAGTATATGTTGGAGTAAGCCCTACGGGAGTGTAAAATTATGTACATGACCTCTTTCTTGTGTATAAGAGAAGAAAAAATTGTTGAAACCATTTACTGTGAAACATGTAGTGTAGCTTCATTTTGAATTATTCTGTCAGTCTCCAAATCTTATAAGCCATTACATTTTATCTCTGAATATTTGCCTTATTTTTTGCAGCAGAAATATAACAGTTTTTTCCTATATCATATATTACAAAACTTATTTGTTTGAAAATTTTATGAATGTTTAATATCATCATCATCATCATTATCAAAACTTGTATTAAACATTAACTACATATTGGGCTCTCCTTATGGCCTCATTTATTTTGCTTGGGAATCCAGGCATTTCCATACATCTTCTGAAATCTAGGCAGAGGTTCTGAAACCTCAATTCTTTATTTCTGTGTACCCATAGGCTCAACACCACATGGAAGCTGCCAAGGCTTGGGACTTCTACCCTCTGAAGCCATAGCTAGAGCTCTATATTGGCCCCTTTCAGCCACATCTGGAGTGTCTGGGACACTGGGCACCAAGTCCCTAGGCTGCACACAGTACAGAGACCTTGGGCCCAGCCCACCAAACCACTTTTCCCTCCTGGGCCTCTGGGCCTGTGATGGGAGGGGTTTCCATGAAGGTCTCTGACATGGCCTGGAAACACTTTCCCCATGGTCTTGGGGATTACCATTAGGCTCCTTGCTACTTATACAAATTTCTGCAGCCAGCTTGGATTTCTCCTCAAAACATGGTTTTTGTTTTTGTTTTTGTTTTTCTACTGCATTGTCAGGCTGCAAATTTTCTGAACTTTTATGCTCTGTTTCCCTTTTAAAATGGAATGCTTTTAATAGCACCCAGGGCACCTTTTGAATCCTCTGCTGCTTAGAAATTTCTTCCACCAGATACCCTAAATCATCTCTCTCAAGTTCAAAGTTCCACAAATCTCTAGGGCAGGGGAAAAATGCCACCAGTCTCTTTGCTAAAATACAACAAGTGTCACCTTTGCTCCAGCCCTCAATAAATTCCTCGTCTCCATCTGAGAACACCTCAGCCTAGACAATATTGTTCATATCACTATCAAAATTTTTGTTCAAGCCATTCAACAAGTCTCTGGGAGGTTCCAAACTTTCCCACATTTTCCTGTCTTCTTCTGAGCCCTCCAAATTGTTCCAACCTCTGCCTATTACCAAGTTACAAAGTCTCTTCCACATTTACGGGTATCTTTTCAGCAATGCCCCATTCTACTGGTATCAATTTACTGTATTAGTCCATTTTCATGCTGCTGGTAAAGATATACCTGAGACTGGGAAGAAAAAGAGGTCTAATTGGGCTTGCAGTTCCACATGGCTGGGGAGGCCTCAGAATCATGGTGGGAGGTGAAAGGCACTTCTTACATGGCAGCAGCAAGAGAAAAATGAGAAAAAGGCAAAAACGGAAATCCCTGATGTACCTGTCAGTTTTTGTGAGACATATTCACTATCATGAGAATAGCACAGGAAAGACTGGGAGGAACGGAGCTGCTTCTGTTGCACAAAAGTGTCCCTGCGACATTAGCCCAGTGACCAGGGAGCTGCCATCTGACCCCCATTGGAGCTGCCACTTGCATCCGCATATAGGGAGCCAGAATGTAGACTTGCTGGGTCCCATCCGGCTCTGCCCCTCCACCTGCCTTAGTAGCAGAACACAGGAAGGGACTTTGGGAGTTCCATAGCCCCACCCATCGCCTGGGACATGACCACTTCCCCTGGGTAATATAAGACAAAGATAAATCCCACAGCCATCACCATAGCTGGCTCTCTCTTGCAAGCACCACTTTCTTCCCAGAGGTCAGATGGCACAGCCTATTATAATATATGCTGGCGCAATAATACAGCACTCAGGAAAAACAAACAATCAAACAAACAAAAAAACTTGTGCTATCTCAAGTAACACCATTGCCCACACCACAATGGTTACTTAGGAGGTATTGAGCCTGTTCATATGCCAAATACATTGCTATTACAGCTGTCAATTGAGAAAGCCACCACACTAAGGCCATTTACAACCAAGAAAATCTTAGAGCCTTTGTCAATCCCTTGCCACCACCGTCAGAACTGGTACTTGCACCAGCTGTTGGGAGACCACAGGGCTGGTCAGTCTGGGCCAGCTACATCTGAAATTGTCCCTTCTAGAGCTAAGAGTGGAGCCCAAGCCACTGAACATTTCGCAGACAACTTCAAAACTTGAGGCATCAGAGAGCTTCTTCAGAGGGCTGACTAGAGATGTTGGTGACCAATTCTTCTCAGAAGGAAGAACCCAAATTACAAGTGAATAATCATAGCAAATGGAGTGTTAAGGAGAGAATGCTGGAGCCTATCAGAGTTCACTGGAAGAATCTATGACACACACATAAAAAGAAAAAAAAAAGATGGCAGAGATCAAACACTAAGATTCTTAGTATTCCATGAAAAGGATAAGTAGGAGAGCTTCTGGCTTCTCTAGCCCCTGTAGAATACTGCCAGTATTTGAACTCAAGGAGAGCTTCTTTGCATTGAAGTGAGCTGAGATTTGGGGACTTCTCAAGTTAATTACACTGGCCTACAAGCTTGTGCAGTTTTCCCCTGGACACCAACCATAGTAGTAAGCACCATACTGGGTGCACACTCATTGTGAGGATTATATTCTTCTCAGAGACCTTCAACTCTTTGGTCTTCACATCACCAGATTCCTTACAGATATTCCTCAGCACTAGGGTAGACTGGCAGCCCCTCATGGTGACTAGACCCATAGGAACAGCAGAATTCACAGTGGTCTAGCCTTCAGAGTTTGCCACTTCTAGGGGAAGGAAGAGTGAAACATACCAAGAAGGCATATAGTGGGATAAAAGGAACCAGAGTGTAGGCTTTTCTCTGTCCCAGAACTTCCCACTTGTTTGAATTTTCCTTGAGCAAATGCATGCGCACAGTGCTGGGCTCAGTGGAAGACTGCAGTTCTACCCCAGCAGTCAAGCAGCTCTGATGCTTGTGAAGGGACTTGGATAAGATAACTTCTCCCTATTACCCACCCATTGTAGACACATCTGGGACTATTTTTGTAGATCAGCATGGGTACACCTATAAGCTGCATTTCTGGAGAACTTTGGAATGAGTGCATCCCCATGATAAGTGTTCCCTCTGGGCTCAGACTTACATGGGTATTAAATCTCCATTCTTTACACACAAAATGTCAGTGTTCCTGCAGATAAACAGAGATGCCTGTCCGATCTGAATATTCAAAAACAGCAGGACAGGTGTATGATGGGGATAAGAATCATTTTCCTGCAGGCCTGGTAGTGAAGGTTGAGATGGTTCCCTTTATTTCCCCTGTGAAGACCTCAGTGCATTTCACTGGGATTTCCCTCAGCTACACCTGTCAAGTCTAAGAATTTCATCCACCACTGTAGTATTGCACATACATAACTGTTTCAGCCACAATCATTTCTTACCAATGAATATTTCCTACTGATCTGAAGGCTGAACTGACCAACCTAGTGAGAAAAACAATACTGGAAAATATTCACATCACTAGGAAACAAGATAAGCTTCATGAGACCTCTGACATCCTGTCCCTACAGGAGATAGTGAACCTTCTTACACACCGGCTATATCACTACTACTAGCAACATTTGACAAAGCCATCATACAAAAATTACAACCAAGGAACTCATACAGAGTTTTTGCCACTGAAAGCATCCAGAGTCAAAGCTAGATGACTATAAACTGTATATATTAAAGTCAGATCTTCAAGGAGGTAAAAAATAAATAAATTCAAAAATAATAAGAAATGCTCTACCCAGATGAGAAGGAACCAGAAAACTAATTCTGACCATATGAAAAAACAGTTTTACAACACCCCAAAAAGATTACACTAACTGTCCAGCAATAGATCCAAACAAAGAATGAAATCTTTGAAATACCAGATAAAGAATTCAAAAGGTTAATTAGAAAGTTATTCAATGAGATTCCAAAGAAAGTTGAACACCAACATACAGAAATATAAAAAATAATTCAGGATATGAATAACAAATGTCCTTAAAAGATAGATTTTAAAAAACAAACAGACAAAACTTCTAGAAATAAAAGATTCATATAGGGAATTAAAACATGCAGAGTAAGGTTTTAAAAACAGAATAGACAAAGCAGAAGAAAACAATTATAGAGCTTGAGGACAAGGCTTTCAAAGTAATACAATCAAATAAGATAAAGAATAAAGAATTATGAAATAAAGTATTAGACAAAGATGGGATTATGTAAAATATCCAACCCTAAGAATCACAGGTGTTCCTGAGGAAGAAAAAAAGAAAACAGTTTGAAAACCCTGTTTGAGGAAACAATTGTTAAAAACTTCCCTGGTCTTGCTAGAAATTTAAACATCTGGGTACAAAAAACTCAAGGAATTTCTGGGAGACTCATGGCCAAAAGATGTCACCAAGGCCTATATTAATCAAGCAATCTAATGTCAATGTGATAAGATAATTCTAAGGGTAATGAGACAAAAGCATTAAGTCACTTATAAAGGAAAACCTATCAGACTAGCAGCAGACTTAGTAGACTCTTAGAAGCTAGAAGGGATTGGCATACTATCTTTAGTCTCCTCAAACAGAATAACTGTCACCCAATAATTTTTTGTCACACAAAACTAAGTTTCATAAATGAAGAAGATAAAAAGTATTTTCCAGTTAAGCAAATTCTGAGGGAACTTTTTACCACTAGACCAGCCATATAAGTAATGCTCAAAGGAGTTCTAAACATTAAATGATAGGTCAATATTCACCAGCATAAAAAATACTTGAAAGTATAAAACTCACATGGCTTATAAAACAATAACACAATAGAAAAACGAAACAACTAGATAACAACATGACGATTGGAACAGTACATCACATATCAGTAAAAAATTTGTAAGTAGTCTAAATGCTCCCACTTAGAGATAAATATTGGCTGAATGGATTAAATGTCACAAAGTAAATATCTGCTGTCTTCAAGAAAGTCACTTAACTTGTAAAAATTCTTAGACCCTTAAGGTAAAGAAAAAGAAAAAAAATTTCCACAAACGGAAGGCCAAAACAAGCAGGAGTGGCTATTTTTATACCAGATAAAACAGACTGTAAACCAACGACAGTGAAAAAAGACAAAGAATGCCATTATATTATGATAAAGGAATAAATTCAACAAGAAAATATAACGATCTTAAATATATACTCACCTAACACTGGAGCTCTCAGATTAATTAAACAAGTACTATTAGACCTACAAAAAGAGAAAAACAGTAACACAATTATAGGTTGAAATCTTTCTAGTGATACAGCATTAGACAAATCACTGAGGCAGGAAGTCAACAAAGAAAACTGGACTTAAACTGGACACTAGAATAAATGAACTTAACAGACATTTGCAGAACATTCTACCAAAAACTGCAGAATATACATTTTCATTCATCAGCCCATGGAACCTTTTCCAAGATAGACCATAGGATGAGCCACAAGATAGTCTTAACACATTTAAAAATATTTAACTAAAATTAAGTATCTTATGATATGACAGTGGAATAAAACTAGAAATTAATTTCAAGAGTAACCACCAAAACTATGCAAATTAAACAATCAGCTCTTGAGTGATCTTTAGGTAAATGAAGAAATCAAGATGGAAATTATTATTTTGTAAACGAATAACAAGACTGGCATATCTTCAAAATCTCTGGATAGAGCAAAAGCAGTACTAACAGGAACATTTATAACACGAAATGCCTAAATCCAAATGACAGAAATATCTCAACTGGACAACCTAACATTACCCCTCAAGGAACTAGAAAAATTAAAATAAAAATAAACCTAATGGAAGCAGAATAAAATAAATAACAAAGATCAGAGCAGAACTAAAAAAATGAAACAAATAAATAATACAAGGGATCAATGAAATAAAAAATTGATTCATTGAAACGATGAATCAAATTGATGGACAACTAGCTAAATCACCCAAGAAAAGAAGAGAGAAGATTCAAGTAAGCTCAAACAGAAATGACAATGTAGACATTAGAACTGATACCAAAGAAGTAAAAAGATTTTCCGAAACAACTATAAACATCTTTATGAACACAAACTAGAAAATACAGAAGGAATGATTAAATTCTTGGCAACATACAGCCACCTAAGCTTAAATCAGAAAGAAATAAAAATCCTGAACATAGAAATAAAAATTAGTGAAATTCATTCAGTAATAAAGTTTCCAACAAGAAAAAGCCCAGGACCACACACAGATTATCAATCAAATTCTATTAGACATTTAAAGAAGAACTGGGGCCAATCCTACTGAAACTATTCCAAAAGATCAAGAAAGGGATAATTCTCCCTAACTGATTTTATGAAGCCAATATCACCCTAATACCAAAACCAGGAAAAAAAAAACACAACCAAAAATAAAGTACAAACCAATATCTCTGATGAACATAGATGCAAAAATCCTCAACAAAATACTTGCAGACAGAATCCAACAGCATATCAAAAAGATAATTTATCACAACCAAGTGGATTTCCTCTCAAGGATAAAGTGATGGTTCAATACACACAAGTTAATAAATGTAATTTATCACATAATCAGAATTAAAAACAAAAATTGTATTACCAGCTCAATAGATACAGAAAAAGCATTAGATATAATTCAGTGTGTTTTCATGATAAAAACCTGCAACAACTAGGCATAGAGGAAACAAATCTCAAAATAATAAAAGCCATATATGAGAAACTCAAAGCCAATGTCATACTGAATGGGGAAAAGATGAAAGCATTCCCCCTAAGAACTGAACATGATAAGAATGTCTACTTTCACCAATTCTATTCAACATACTACTGGAAGTCCTAGCTACAGCAATCAGGCAAAAAAAAAAAAAAAAAAGAAATAAAGGGTAACCAGATTGAAAAAGAGAAAAAGAAGTCAAACTACCTGTGTTTTCCAATAATATGATCCCATATCTTGAAAACCCAAAAGATTCCCCAAAGGGACTCCTAGATTTGATAAATGAATTCAGTAAAGTTTCAGGTTACAAAGTCAATGAACAGGAATCACTAGCACTACTATACAACAATGTCCAAGCTGCAAATTAAATAAAGAGCTCAATCCCATTTAAAACAGTAGCAAAATATATAAAATACTTACAAATATACTTAAAAGATATCTACAAGAATAACTACAAAATATTGATTAAAGAAATAATAAATGACACAAATGAAAAAATACACTCCGCTCATGGATTAGAAGAATCAATAATATAAAAAAGACCATGTTGCCCAAAGCAATAGCAACCTACACAATAAATGCAATTCCTATACAAATACCAATGCCAGTTTTCACAAACTTAGGAAAAACTATTCTGAAATTTGTAAGGAACGAAAAAAAGAGCCCAAAGAGCCAAAACAACCCTAAGCAAAAAGAACAAATCTGGAGGCATTACGTTACATGACTTCAAATTATACTACAAGGCTATAATAACCAAAACAGTATGGTACTGGTATTAAAATAGACACATACATCAGTGGAACAGAATAGAGAACCCAGAAATAAAGCCAAATACTTACAACCAACTGATCTTGTAAAAGTCATCCAAAACATACACTTGAGACAGGACACCCTATTCAATAAATGGTGCTGGGAAAATTGTATAGGTATATACAGAAGAATGAAATTAGACCTGTATATCTTGTCATATAAAAATTTATCTCAAGATGGTTTAAAAGCTTAAATATAGGACCAGAAACCATAAGAATTCTAGAAGTAAATCTAGAAAAACCTCTTCTGGATGCTGGCACTATCAAATAATTTGTGAATAAGTCCTCAAATAAAAATTCAACAAAAAATAAACAAATGGGACTTAATTAAACTGAAGTATTTCTGCATAGCTAAAGAACTAATCAACAGAATAAATAGACAATCTATAGAATCAAAGAAAATATTCACAAACTATACATCCAACAAAGAACTAATATTTCTACAAGTAACACATCAGCAAGAACAAAATGAATAATAACATTAAAAAGTGGGCAAATGATATGGGTAGATATTTCTCAAAAGAAGACATACAAAGGGTCAAACATATGAAAAAAATGCTCAACATCAAGAATTATCAGGGAAATGCAAATAAAAACCATCAGGAGATATCACCTTAGCCTAGTCAAAATGGCCATTATTAAAAGTAAAAAATATATATATCATAAATGTTGGTGCAGATGCAGTGTAAAGGGAATGCTTATACACTGCTGTAGGGAATGTAACTTAGTACCACCTCTACTAAAAAATATGGATTTTTCCAAAGGAACTAAAAGTGGTTACATTATTTGATCCACAATCCTAGTACTGAGTATCTACTCAAAAGAAAATAAGTCATTATATCAAAAAAAAAAAAAAACAAACCCTGCACTTCTATGTTTATCACAGCACAATTGATGATTGCAAAGCAATAGAATTAACCTAAGTACCCATAAACCAATGAGTGGATTAAAAAATGTGGTTTGTGTATATATATATGCATATGTGTGTGTGTGTATATATCACATTTATGTATATATATACACACATTACATGTACATTTATTGTTATGTATATATACTCATACACACATCATGGAATATGTGTGTGTATACCACATTTATGTATATACACACATATACATTTATATTTATGTACACATTTATGTGTGTTTGTATATATTACACATACACACATTGTTAAATACTATTCAGCCATAAAAAAGAATGAATTCATGCCTTTTGAAGTGACTTGGATGGAACTGGAGGCTACTATCTATTATCCTAGGGGAAGTAACTAAGGAACGGAAAACTGAATAACACGCATTTTCATTTATAAGTGAGAGGTAAGCTATGGGTAGGTAAAGGCATACAGAGTGGTATAATGGACATAGGAAACTCAGAAAAGGGGAAGTTAGGAGGGGTGTGAGGAATTAGAAAATCACCTTTTGGGCAAAATTTATACTATTTGGATAATTGGTATACTAACCGCTCAGTCTTTGCCACTATAAAATTTATCCATGTAACCAAAAACCACTTGTACGCCTACAGCTATTGAAATAAAAATGCCTAAGTTCACAGAGTGTGTTACTTGCAGAACTTAGATTCCAACTCTGATTGATTTAATTTCAAAGTTCTTCATTTTAACTAATATGGGGCAAGTGTTTGCAAGCTCATTTCTTTGCATGTCTTATAAACCTCCAAACATATTTTATTTTTTTCTCTTTTATTTTAGATTCAGGGGTACATGGCAGGTTTATTATATAGGTAAATTGTGTGTCACAGGGGTTTGGAATACAGATAATTTCATCATCCAGTTAATAAGCATAGTAAATTATAGGTAGTTTCTCAACCCTCTCACTCCTCCTGTTCTTCACCCTCAAGCAGGACCTGGTATGTGTTGTTTCCTTTTTTGTGTCCATGGGTACTCAATGTTTATCTCCAGTCATAATCCAGAATATGTGGTATTTGGTTTTCTGTTCCTGTGACAGTTTACTTAGGATTATGGCCTCCAGCTTCATCTATGTTGCTGCAAAAGATATGATCATGTTCTTGTTTATGGCTGCATAGTATTCCATGATGTTTATGTACCACTTTTTCTTTATCCAGTCTACCATTGACAGATATTTACGTTGATTCCATTTATTTGCTATTGTAAATAGTGCTGCAATGAACATATACATGCAAGTGTTTTTATGATAGAAAGATTTATATTCCTTTGGGTATATACCAAATAATGAGGTTGCTAGGTTGAATGGTATTTCTTTTTTTTTTTTTTTTTTTGAGACGGAGTCTGCCTCTGTCACCCAGGCTGAAATGTAGTGGTGTGATCTTGGCTCACTGCAACCTCCGCCTCCTGGGTTCAAGTGGTCCTCCCGCCTTGGTCTCCCAAGTAGCTTGGAATTACCAGTATGCACCACCACGCCCAGCTGATTTTTTGTATGTTTAGTAGAGACATGGTTTTACCATGTTGTCCAAGCTGGTCTCAAACTCCTGATCTCAAGTCATCTGCCTGCCTCAGCCTCCTGAAGTGCTGGAATCACAGGCATGAGCCACTTCACCTGGCTTTAATGGTATTTCTGTTTTAAGTTCTTTGAGAAATCGCCACACTGCTTTCCACAATGGCTGAAGTAATTCATACTCCCACCAACATCGTATGTGTTCCCCTTTCTCTGCAACCTCACCAGAATCTATTTTTTGCTTTTTAAATAATAGCCATTCTGACTGGTGTGAGATGGTATATGATTGTGGTTTTGATTTGCTTTTCTCTAATGATTAGTAATGTTGAGCATGATTTTATATTCTTGTTGGCTGCTTTTTATATTCTTGTTGGCTGTGTGTATGTCTTCCATTGAAAAATCTCTGTTCATGTTCTTTGCAACACTTTTTAATGGGGTTCTTTGGTTTTTGCTTGTTCATTTGTCTAAGTTCCTTACAGATCCTGGGTATTAGACCTTTATGAAATGTACAGTTTGCAAATATTTCCTCCCATTTTATAGGTGGTTTGTTTATTGATAGTTTCTTTGTGCTGTGTAGAAGTTCTTTTGTTTAATTGCCATTTGTCAATTTTTGTTGTTGGCATCTTCTTCATAAAATCTTTGCAGGGCCTATGTCTAGAATTATGTTTCCTAGGTTTATTTCAAGGGTTTTATTTATTGTTTTATTTTTGAGATGGAGTCTCGCTCAGTAGCTCAGGCTGGAGTGCAGTGGTGCAATCTTGGCTCACTGCAAGCTCCGTCTCCTGGGTTCACGCCATTCTCCTGCCTCAGCCTCCCAAGTAGCTGGGACTACAGGCACCTACCACCATGCCCAGCTACTTTTTGTATTTTTAGTAGAGGTGGGGTTTCACCGTGTTAGCCAGGATGGTCTCGATCTCCTGACCTCGTGATCCACCCGTCTCGGACTCCCAAAGTGCTGGGATTACAGGCGTGAGCCACCACGCCCAGCCTATTTCAAGAGTTTTAAATAGGGTAGGCTTTTACATTTTAATCTTTAATCCCTCGAGTTGATTTTTGTATATAAGAAAAGGATTCAACTTCAATATTCTGCATATGCCTGTCATTTATCCCAGCACTATTTATTGAACAGAGTCCTTACCACATTGCTTGTTTTGTAAACTTTGTTGAACATCAGGTGGGTGTAGGTGTGTGGCTATATTTTGGCTTTCTATTCTGTTCCATTGGTCAGTGTGTCTGTTTTTGTCCCAGTACCATGCTGTCTTAGTTACTGAAGCCTTGTAGTATAGTTTGAAGTTGGGTAATGTGAGGCCTCCTGTTTCATTCCTTTTGTTTAAAATTGCCCTGGATATTCGAGCTCATTTTGGTTGGCTCACTGTAACTTCTACCTCCCAGGCTCAAGTAATTCTCATTCCTCAGCCGCCCAAGTAGCTGGGGTTATAACACACCCAGTTGTTCACTTATTTATATATATTTTTGTATTTTTAGTAGAGATGAGGTTTCGCCATGTTGGCCAGGCTGGTGTTGAACTCCTGGCTCCAAGTGATCTGCCTGCCTTGGCATCCCAAAGTGCTGGGATTACAGGCATGAGCCACTGTGCCCCACCACATATGAATTTTAAAATAGTGTTTTTTAAAAAAAAAATCTGTGAAGAATGTTATTTATAGTTTGATGGGAATAGCATTGAATCTATAAATGGCTTTGGAGAATATGGCCATTTTGTCAATACTGATTCATTCTATACATGAGCCTGGAATATTTTTCCAGTTCTTTGTGTCATCTCTGAATTCTTTGAGCAATGTTTTGTAATTCTGATTGTACAGATCTTTCAGCTGCCTTGTTAGCTGTATTCCTATGTATTTTATTATTTTTGTGGCAGTTGTATATTGGATTGCATTCTTGATTTTGCTTTCAGCTTGGATGTTGTTAGTGTATAGAAATGCTACTAATTTTTGTTCATCAATCTTGTATCCTGAACTGTGTTAAGACTGTTTATCAGATACAGGAGCTTTTGGGCACGGACTATGAAGTTTTCTAGGTATAGAATCACATTGTCTACAAGCAGAGATAGTTTAACTTCCTCTCTTCCTATTTAGATGTATGTTATTTATTTTGCTTTTCTAATTGTTCTGGCTAGGACTTCCAGCACTATGTTTTATAAAAAAGGTGCAGGTGGGCATCCTTTTCTTGTTCTGGTTCTCCTGGGGAAGGCATGCAGCTTATGCCCATTCAGTATGATGTTGGCTGTAAGCTTATCATAGATGGCTCTTATCATTTTTAAGTCTATTTCTCCATGCCTAGTTTGCTGAGGGTTAACATGAAGTGATACTGAATTTTATCAAAAGCCTTTTCTGAATTTATTGAGATGATTATATGGTTTTGTTTATAGTTCTATTTTTGTGGTGAATCACATTTATTAATTTGTGTATTCTAAATCAATCTTGCATCCCAGGGATAAAGCCTACTTGATCTTGGTGGATTAACTTTCTGGTGTACTGCTGGATTCGGTTTGCTAATATTTTGTTGAGGATTTTGGCTTCTGGCATCTATGCTCATCAAGGTTATTGGCCTGATGTTTTCTTTTTTTGTTGTCTTCATGCCAGCTTTTGTTATCAGGATAACACTGGCTTCATAGAATGAGTTAGTCAGGGATCCCTCCTTGTTGATTTTTTGGATAGTTTGAGTAGCAATGGTACCAGTGCTTCATTATAAATCTGATGAAATTTGGCTGTGAATCCATCTGGTCCTGGCTTTTTTTCTTGTTGGCAGGCTTTTTATTACTGATTCAATTTTGGAACTCAATATTGATCTGCTCAGGGATTTAGTTTCTTTCTCCTTCACTCTTGGGAGATGGTTTGTTTCTGGGAATTCATCCATTTCTTCTGGGTTTTTTAATTTGTGCACATAGAGGTGTTCATAGCAGTCTCTGAGACTTTTTTGTGTTGCTATGGGGCCAATGATAATGTCTCCATTGTCATTTGTGATTGTGTTTCTTTGGATCTTCTTTATTTTTTATTCTTTATTAGTTCATATAGTAGTCTATGAATCTTATTCTTGCATTCAATAAACCAATTCTTCAATTCCTTGATGTTTTGTATACTTTTTTGTGTCTCTGTTTTCTTCAGTTCAGCTCTCATTTTGGTAATTTCTTGTTGTCTGCTAGCTTTGGGATTGGTTTGCTCTTGTTTCTCTAGGTGGAATGCGAGGTTGTAAATTTGCGATCTTTCTAACTTTTTGATGTAGGTGTTTAGTGCTATAAACTTTACTCAACACTGTTTTAGCTATGTCTTGGAGATTATGATATGTTTTATCTTTGTTCTCATTGTTTTCAAATAATTTATTGATTTCTACCTTAATTTCATTGTTTACCCAAAAGTCATGCAGGAGCAGGTTGTTTAATTTCCATGTCATTGTATGGGTTTGAGTAATTTTTTGGTGTTTATTTCTATTTTTATAGTGCTGTGATCCAAGAGTGTGTTCAAACATATTTTAAATAATCAACATCTAATTATTAGTTAAGCGTAACTATTAAAGAACAAATGATGTTACTCTGATTTGAAAACTAATCACAAGGTTTCTTTGCATACACTTTACCGCAGAGAAACTAGTGGAGATGTACAAAATGACTTGTGCAAATGTAAGCATGAATTTTTTTTTCAGTCAAAGGAGTACTGGAATGTGAACTCAAAAAAAGAGATGCATGCACTATTTTTTGGTGCATTCAAATATTTTATTGTAAATGAGTTCTGCAGATGATATAATTCACATAGCTAGTATTATCTTAAGTTCAATAGGGTGTTGAAGGGTCAAACTCACCTAATTGTTAATGTTAAATTTTTACAGGGAGTCACTATTTCTACACATTTGGGGAAAATAAAGTTCTCTTGAAAAATTAGGATTAATTTAGATGTTGGCTTTAAAATATACCACTTGTGATAGTATTGCATAGATTTTTAAATTTGGTTGACATGTTTTAAGTTTTCCCTTTCCCACAAAGTAAACTTTGGTTTGAATAGAGGTGCTCAATATAAAAACACTGCTTTTTAAATTATTCAACACTTGTTATAATTATCTATGTTAACTTCAATGTGTAGACAATGCAATATTCTTACATTTTCATTGCAAATTGAAGCTTTCGCAATAATGCCTATTAATTAATCTAAATTGGCCACCTTGAAATAATTTCAAGTTTCAGTGTGATAATTTTTTATATGTGAAAATAAAACTTGGTGTCTTTTTTACAGCTAATTATTATAAAGACAATTTTAGCAATTTTCTTCACAAAGGAATGTAGAATCAGTTAAACTTTGGGGTGCTAATTGAATTAACAAATTTTCAATGCCACAAGGAAGCACAGATAAAGTTACAAACGACACTGATTATTTCCAAACTTCAATTTCTGCCTGTTGTCATTATTATGCATAGGTCTCTAGGCTCTCTTAAGGTAATGCATGACTTATTTAAAAGTAAATTTCCAGTGATGTCAGTAAAAATGGGAGAGTATAAAACTACCAAAGCCCATTGTTCCACAAAAGCAGATATTTATATGGCATAAATTGACACAATCACATTTAGAAGAGCTCTGGGAACTAATCAGAAATTCACAGCAACAAAGTAAATATTTTTAAAAATATGTATCTCATTAAGAAATTTTGTAAGTGTTTTACCGACCCTAAACCCACCCCATACTTCTCAGGTTGACAGTGGCCTTAAAGAATATTGCCCACATCTGGTTATAAATTCCTAGTGATGGAGAAAGACAATAAATCATATACTCCAAGAATTATAGTTTTTAAATTTTTTTTTATTTATTTTTTACCTATTTGGTGACACCCTGAAGTATCAGCTCAAAGGGCTTCCTTTTTTTTTTTTTTTTTTCTTTTTGACAGAGTTTTGCTCTTGTTGCCCAGGCTAGAGTGCAATTAGCACGATTTCGGTTCACTGCAACGTCTGCCTCCCGGGTTCAAGCGATCTCCTGTCTCAGCCTCCAGAGTAGCTGGGATTACAGGCGTGTGCCACCATGGCCGGCTAATATTTTGTATTTTTTGTAGAGACAGGGTTTCACCATGTTATGCTGGTCTTGAACTCCTGATCTCAGGTGATCCAACCGCCTTGGCCTTCCAAAGTGCTGGGATTTCAGGCATGAGCCACCACACCCGGCCAGGGCTTCCCTTTATTTCACCTAGCTCAGTACTCTAGCAGGGCTGAAGTGGTTACCCTTGGGGAATATTGTGGAAAACATTTAAAAGTAGGTGCATTATTTGTTGCCACATAGGGCAATGGATAGTAGTGGGGTAAATGATAGACAAACTAAAATGACTGAGAATAAAAGCTGGTTACTGAGACATATTGGGAGTAAAGGCTTTAAAAAGCTGCCACATATTTCTGGGAATCTAAGATGTCATGTGCGTGCCCAGGACTGGCATGTATTCAGAAGTTACGTGAGAAGTCCCTAAACTTTCGCCTTGGCTGACCTTTGGGAGACTCACAGGCAAAAAAATGAAGGCAAAGTTAGCTTTGGGAGACTCACAGGCAAGAAATGAAGGAAAAGTAGAGTTTTAAACTGCCAGGCCAAGTGTTGAAGGCATAAACCAACACAAATGCAGAGTCAATCTGACACAACTGGGAGGTTTTTGTTATCGTTTTTTCAGATATTTAAGGAAATATCTGTTGAGTCACTAGCTCATTGCTAAGCTAATGTTAAACAGGTTTTTGTGGTCACGCACAACAAAGAATATGTACTTTACAAAATTAGTTCAGACAAGTCAATAAAGAAAAAACAATTGCAATAAGCAATAACAACAAACTTTGGAGCTAGAACAATCTAATTTCCAGAGTTGCCATATTATAATGTACCAAATGTCCAGTTTACCAGAAAAAAATATAAACCAGGCAAAAAATAGAAAATATTGCTCTTACACAGCAAAAAACAAAACAAAACAAAACAAAACATAAAAACTACTAAAATCTGTGCCTGCAAAAGCCCTGACACTGGATTTCTAAACAAAATTTTAAATCAACCATTTAGAATATGATCAATGAATAAACAGAAACTATATACAAAGAAATAAAGGAATGTATGAGAATCTCTAACCAAATTGAGAAGATTAGTAAGGAGACAGATATAACCAAAATGAACCAAATAAAAAATTCTGAGTTAAAAAGTGCAATAATTGAAATGAAATAATTACTAGAGTAGTTCAAGAGCAGGTTTTTTTTTTTTTTTTTTGAGATGGAGTCTCTCTCTGTTGCCCAGACTGGAAGGCAGTGGCGCGATCTTGGCTCACTGCAAGCTCCGTCTCCCGGGTTCACGCCATTCTCCTGCCTCAGTCTTCCCAGCAGCTGGGACTACAGGCGCCCACCACCACGCCCGGCTAATTTTTTTTGTATTTTTAGTAGAGACGGGGTTTCACCGTGTTAGCCAGGATGGTCTCGATCTCCTGACCTCGTGAACCGCCTGCCTCGGCCTCCCAAAGTGCTGGGATTACAGGCTTGAGCCACGTGCCCGGCCTCAACAGCAGTTTTAAGCACGCCAAATAAAGGATGAAGGATCTTGAAAACAATTAATTGAGATTATTTAGGCTGAGAAACAAAGATTTTTTAAAAAATTTAAAATACACAGGATACAACACATTTATGAATGTGTGCATGATGTAGTTCCAGAAGTAATACAGAGATAGAAAAGACATAAATATAATTTGAAGAAACAGCTCTCAAAATAGTCCCAAATTAAGTTATAGACATAATTCTAAATATCAAGAAACTCAATAAACCCTAAGTAGAATATTCTCAAAGAGATATACTTTGAGAAACATATAAAACTCTCAAAAAACAAAAACAAGAAGATAATTTTTAAAGCAGCAAGACAGAAGCAGCTTGCCACTTACAAGAGAATCTCAATAAAATTAATAGCTGATTTCTCATCAGAAACCATGGAGCTCAGAAGACAGTGGCAACATATGTCAAGTGTTCAAAGAAAAAAATCTGTCAATCAACAATTTTATATTTGTTAAAATTATCCTTCAAAAATTAAAGAGAATTTAAATCACTTTTACATGAACTAAATCTGAGAGAATGTTATGGACTGAATGTTTGTGTCCTCCCTAAATTAAATTATATGTAAATTCTCATTGTGCCTATATTTGAAGGTAGGTTAACTAAAGAGGTAATTAAAATTAAATGAGGTCATAAAAGCAGAGCCCTGATCTTATAGGATAAATGGGTTTGTGAGAAGAGACACCAGAGAGCAGTTTCTCTCTCTCTCTCTGTCTCTCCCTCTCTTTCCCCCATCTCCATAAATGCACAAAATAAACTTCATGTGATAGTAAAGTGGTCGTCTGCAAGCAAAGCAGAGAGCCCTTACCAGAAACAAATTCCTGTGCAAAAATTGATATTGTATTTTTCAGCCTCTGGTGTTGTGAAAAAAAAAAATGAATTTCTATTGTTGTACCTAGTCTATGTTAGTCTGTTACAGTAGCCTAAGCAGGCTAGTGTAATTTATCACTCATAAACCTTTCATACAGGAAAAAATAATGGGATTGCTTTATCTTGATGACCACAAAATATATAAATATGTAAGTTGTGACAAGAACAGTAGAGAAGCAGAGCTATATAGGAACATGGATTTTGTATACTATTAAAGCTAAGTTTGTAGTAATTAAAACTACATTGTTAGCAGTTTAAGATATACATAGCAATCCTCAAAGAAAGCCCCTGGAAAAATTATGCAAAAAATATGCAGAATAAAAGTTAAGAAAGAAATCTAACAGGTGCATGCATACACAAATGAATAAAACATAAAAAAATAGTAATGAAGAAAATAAACAAAAATGACATAAGATGTATAGATAAATAATAGCAAACTTGCATATCAATATTTTTTTATAATTTTTAAAAAAGTAAATGAATTAAACTCTTCAATTAGAAGGCACATATTTGCATAAAGGATAAAAAGAATTAATCAACTATCAGAGGTCAGTAAGAGACACACTTAAGAACCCAAACCATAAATCGATTACATGTAAAAGAATGGAAAAATATATTCCATACAAACTTAAGCCAATGAGAGCTGAAGTGGCTACACTAATAGCAAATATAAAAAACTTTAAAGCAAAAATTCTTACAAGACAATAAATGCATTACATAATGATAAAGAATTCCATTAATCACAAAGTATTTTAATTATAAATATATACACAACAACAGAGTCAAAATATATGAAGTATAATCATTAGATTGAGAGGAAAAGTACATTGTTCTAAAATAATAGCAGAATATTTCAAAATCTACATTTAATAATGGAAAAAATATAGAAAATGTAAACAAGGAAATAGAAGACTTGAAAAAAACTATAAACATATCAGACCTAAAAGATACACAGAGAACAACCTAGCCCATATTACAAAGTAGGTTTTATTCCCAAATGTGCAAAAAATTCTCATGGATAGACAATATTTTATATGTGATAAAACATGTCTCAATAGATTTTACATAACTGAAATCTTAAAAAGAACTTTACCTTACCCCAAAAAAAGAATGAAATTGAAAATCAGTAACTGAAGGAAATCTGGAAAGTTCACAAATTAAAGAAAAAACCTCTCTTAAAAGATTATTTTAAAAAATTACAAGAAAATTAGCAAAGTAATTTAGATAAATAAAAAAAGTATGAGATGAAGTAAAAACAGTACTTAAAGTAAAATATACAGCCATAAATGCTATTTTAAAAAAAGAGAAGAATCTCAAATCAATACCTTTACACCACCTTAAGTAACTAGAAAAAGAAGAGAAAACAAATTGAAAAACAGCCACAAGGAATAAAATAATAAAGACTATAATAGGATGAATGAAATAGAGAATATAAAAGCAATAGAGGGGATCAACAAACCCAAAAGTTGTTTTTTAAAAAGATTAATAATTAAGTTATTAAAATGTATGTAGACTGACCATGATTAAAAGAGAGAAGATTTATATTAATAACTTCAGAGGAGAGGAGCAGAGCAAGACCATAGAGGACTCTCCAGAAATTCTCACCTGCAGAAACATCAGTTTGAACAACTACCCGTTACTGAAAACTTTTCACAAGAGCTTTGAGACGGAGTCTCGCTCTGTCACCCAGGCTGTAGTGCAGTGGCGCGATCTCGCCTCACTCTGCAAGCTCCGCCTCCTGGGTTCACGCCATTCTCCTGCCTCAGCCTCCCCAGCAGCTGGGACTACAGGCACACGCCACCATGCCTGGCTAATTTTTTGTATTTTTAGTAGAGACGGGGTTTCACCGTGTTAGCTAGGATGGTCTCGATCTCCTGACCTTGTGATCCGCCCACCTCGGCCTCCCAAAGTGCTGGGATTGCAGGCGTGAGCCACCGCGCCCGGCCGGAACAGGATGACACTTTACAGTGTCCAGATGCAGTACAGAAAAATAAAAAGATGCACTGAGGGGGAGGATAAAAAGGGCAGTTTGACATTACTCACATCACCCCTCCCCCAACCTTAAGGAGCACAGTGTTGAGAGAGATACCTTCCACTTGGGGTAAGGAGAAAGAAGCCAGCACTAGACATTGCCTTAGCCTGTAACACTAGGTTAACCACAGTAAAACCTAGCACCAAGTAAGTCACCATAAACCCAGACTCCAGGCTGGTATCTACAGTACTGAGTCACGAATATTCTCCAGTGCCAGGCCATACCCCACAGCCCCAGAGTTCAGGCATGCACACCAGAATTGATCTCTGGTTTGCACCACCACCAGACAGACTTTAGCAACCTCAGGCTCCCTCAGCCCTCAGTGGCAGGGTGACCACAGAGGTCCTGGGTTCCAGAACTGACCCACTGCCAGGGAGGATTAAGTGGCCCTAGGCTTTAGGCCTACTCAAGCAAGCAACTGCATTTCCTGTTGTCGCCTAAGCATTACTACAGGATTAGCCACATTCGTCTACAAAGAGATTTTCATACAAACGAAGTAATATGTAAATAGACAAAAATGAAACACATACTGGCAGAAAGCACTGTTACTCTCCAGACAACCATTGTTTACATATTAGAATTTTGAAACCTAGCACTCCCACTCCCAAAGGACTTACTAAAATGAGCATTTGTATGTCCCATATTAAAAGTACTTCTAAACTATTTCAAAGGATGTTTTTGGCAATCAGAATGAAATTATTTCACGTTTAGCTCAAATCAAGAGAAATTCTCACCAATTGATACTTTTAAGGAAAGTATCAAATCATGACTGGTTAAAACAAACCAAAAAGAAAAGTGAAACAAGGCATAAAATCTCTGAAAAAAAATCTGACAAATAAATAAAAAAGTATCCTCTTCCAAAAGAGAAATGCCAGATTAGACGTAAAAAGAAGATATAAGTAGTCTTCTTTATTATATGACTATTATAGCCACAAAACTTAAAAAGCCATTCTACTTTTCATCAAATTATGTTAACTCTTATTTCAAATGTGGGGAAAATGTGTCTCAAAAAAACAGGGAAAAAAAAAAAAAAACAATTCCAGGACATATCAGAACTTGAAGGTAAGCAGGTTGAAGAAGGGAAATTAAGTTCTCCAGATCTTGGCATGCTGACTGATAAGTCAGGCTCAGAATCTTCTTTAGATACTGTGGAAAATCCTTCAAATCCTATTGCAATACTTGAAGTTCTTCTAGTTTCAACTAAAGTATTACTAACTTTCTTTTTCATCCCAGTGAAACTGTATAATCTTTTGTAGGTGGAATATTGGTGGACTTGTCCCCAAGTTAAATTATGATTTAAAGAGACACTTAGAAAAAGAGGAAAAGCCTACTAAAACTGAGCAGGCTATCAGCAAAGACAAAAATGCAGAGAAGAACAACCGTTTATCTCTTCAGGGAGAAATTATTATTGCAATTATATTGATAACAGAACCTGGGTGTTAGTTCAGGTATTAAGAAAAACAACTGACCTGAAGTTCTGTATTACTGGGGTTGAAGAACTGAATTTTCATCATCTAGAATATATTGAAGGAAATGAGTGTCTGTTAAAGAAAGAATTATTCCATATTTATTCTGGCTGAGATAAATTAAAGGTGAAACACTTTAGGCTGCACTTAGATAATTTTCGGCTTTAATTGCCTACGTGCATCCAGTGAAAGGGAGAGGAATCCCAATTTTCATAATTGAAGATGGAGGAACAAGTTATGTGGTTGCTCTGCAGATACTATGCAAATTAGTTGAACTAACTCAGAAACCAGTTGATCAGCCCTTTGATTACATTTGTGGTGTGAGCACAGGTGCCATATTAGCTTTCATGTCGGGATTTTTTCATATGTCCTTGGATGAATGCGAGAAACTATAAAACATTAGGTTCAGACGTATTTTCACAAAATTTCATTGTTGGAAAAGTTAAAATGAGTTGGAGCCATGCATTTTATAGAAGTCAAAGGTGGGAAAAAATTCTGAAAAATAGAATGGGATTTACGCTATTGATGGCAACAGCAAGAAACCCCACATGCCTTAAGGTAACTGCCATAAGTACCATAGTAAACAGAGGGATAACACCAAAATAATTTGATGTTTTAGAAACTATGGTGCTTTAGAAACTATAATTTGTTGTTTCTAAACATAGAAACTATGACCATTTTGCTGGAATCAACTGTCATTTCAGAGGTTCTCAGTATAAAATGTGGCAGGCCATTAGAGCCTCATCTGCTGCTCCAGGCTACTTTGCAGAATACACATTGGGAAATGATCTTCATCAAGGCGGAGGTTTGCTTCTGAATAACTATTTGGCATTAGCAATGCATGAGTATAAATGTCATTGGCCGGATATCCCATTAGAGTGCACAGTATGCCTGGGCACTGGACATTCGGAGAGTGACATGAAAAACACTGTGATACACACAAGCTTGAAAACCAAACTTTCTAATGTTATCAACAGTGCTACAGATATAGAAGCAGTCTGTATAATGCTTGATGTTCTGTTACCTCCTGACACCTATTTTATATTCAATCCTGAAATGTGTGAAAACAACCCTAGATGAAAGTCAAAATGAAAAGCTGGATCAGCTGAAGTTAGAAGGGTTGAAATACATAGAAAAAAATGAAAAAATTTAAAAAGTTGCAAAAATATTAAGTCTAGAAAATATAACTCTGAACAGAATTAATGATGAGATATAATTGAAAACAAACATGTATGAAGGCCTGCTATTCTTTTTAAAGTTGCAATGAGTATATGCTTATGTTCTGATAAATGAAGTCCTGCTCAGAAGATTCACCAAAGTCAATAGGAAATGTGGGGTTCAACATCAGTTACATTTGAAATAATTATGAATTCTAGAGAATCCTGAAGAAGACTGTGCTTCCACCAGTTTGCACAGCATAGATAATATGCTTGGTTGCATAATTCATATGAGAATTAGGTTTTTAAGATGTTAATAACTAAGTAAGTTTTAGGAGTCTCATTGTGATCATGGTATCACGGTATTAGTAGATGCTGGTGTTATTTTGTTTGATTTTGGGAAATGTATTAATATATGTGTCAAACAAGGAACTGAAAACTATTACACTTTGTATTTTTGCTTTTGTCATCATAATCATGTTGAATTTATGTAATCATTGATTTTATTTCATGTGGAATAGCTAATTGCTTCTTAAAATTATGTTATTTAATGTTTTCATTAGCTACACTCTACAATCCACATAACACCTTTTATTTTAAAATTACGTAAATATATGCAGAAAGTAGAATTTTTTATTAAAATACTTTTATGCTTGAAATATGAGAACCAAGTACAGTTTTCTATTCAAAATTTTCTTATTTTAATACTGTTTGGCTAACAAAGATAGATAAAGTTTCATTCAAACACTTTTCTCCTTAAAATTTCAAGATAACGTACATTAACTTTTCTATGTCTAACCCTAGCTTATCCTTCCCTGTTATAAAGTTGATTGCTTAAACTTACTGAGAAAATATTCCCATCATTAACAAAAATAAATTATTGAAATAAAAAAGGATAGAGGTTCAACATATTTAGTCATTATGGAAGTGCAAATCAAAGTCATATGCCACTTCACACCAACCACATTTGTCAAAATAAAAAAAAAAAAACAGGAAATAGGAATTGTTGATAAGAATGTGGAGGTATTGGAACCCCTGTACATTGCTGGTGAGAATGTAAAATGGTGGTGCTACCACAGAAAACACATTGGCTCTTTGTTAAAATGTAAACATAAAATTTCCTTACAAGTCAGTATGAGTACTTCTTAATTGTATACCTGAGATAACTGAAAACATATGTTTTTTAAAATAACTTTTGTCCAGATGTTCATAGCATCATTTTTTACTGTAGTTGAAAAATGGAAACAAACTAAATGTCCATCACCTACTAAATAAAATGTGGCATAGCCATACAATGGAATATTGTAAATCTGTGAAAATGAATGAACAAATTACATAAGGGATTAACCTCAAAAACATTATACTAAGTGAAAGAAGCCAGATACAAAAGGCCAATATTGTATGATTCTATTTTTGTGAAGTGCCCAGAATAGGCAATTTTATATGGAAAGAAAGCAGAGTAGTGGTTTCCAGGGGCTGAGTGAGGGAAAATGGGGAATAACCACTTAATGTGTACAAAGTTTCTTTTTAGGATGATGAAAATGTTCTAGAATCAGTGGTAATGGTAATAAAACATTGGGAATATACTAAAAGCCACTGAATTGTACCCTTTAAGATGGTTAAAATGGTTAATTTTATGTTATGTAAACATTATTTCTCTAATAAAGTAGATTTTCAGCAACAAAGGGCCCATTAGAATGGAAGCATACTCTGAAGGGTTATTAGTTATCAACTCCTAACATGCAAAATATTTTTAGGTAGCATTTTTATATAGAAGAAATTATATTAAGGCATATTAAGCATTGAGTGTCATTATTATTGATGTATAATGGATTCCCATCCAACATTATGGTGTGATTTTAAAAGAAGAGCCAGGAAATCAAAAGTATTTTCTCTGGGGCTTAATCTTTGATCAGATCATTGAAAAACTTATGGCTTCCAGATTTGTGGGGGACAGATACTTTTACTCATTATCCAATGCTCTAAGGCCACCCAGAGAGACTGGATTATCTACATTGACTATTCACATTTCCTTAGATATATTTATTTGAATGATGGCTTCTACAAAGTAGAGAAGTCTGTCATTATGAGAGATAAAGCCAGCTGGGCTTCTGGGTTGGGTGGGGTCTTGGAGAACTTTTCTGTCTAGCTAAAGGATTGTAAGTGCACCCATCAGCACTCTGTAAAAACACACCAATCAGCACTCTGTGTCTAGCTAAAGGATTGTAAACACATCAATCAGCACTCTTTAAAAACGCACCAATCAGTGCTCTGTGTCTAGCTAACGGATTGTAAACACACCAATTAGCACTCTGTAAAAACGCACCAATCAGCACTCTGTGTCTAGCTAAAGGATTGTAAACACACCAGTCAGCACTCTGTAAAATGGACCAATCAGCATTCTGTAAAATGGACCAATCAGCACTCTGTAAAATGGACTAATCAGCACTTGTAAAATTAACCAATCAGCAGGACATGGGTGGGGCCAAATAAGGGAATAAAAGCTGGCCACCCGAGCCAGCAGTGGTAACTCATTTGTGTCCCCTTCCATGCTGTGGAAGCTTTGTCCTTTCGCTCTTCACAATAAATCTTGCTGCTGCTCACTCTTTGGGTCCTCACCACCTTTAAGAGCTGTAACACTCACTGTGAAGGTCTGCAGCTTCACTCCTGAAGTCAGTGAGACCACAAACCCACCGGGAGGAAAAAACAACTGTGGACGCGCCACCTTTAAGAGCTGTAACACACACTGCGAATGTCTGCAGCTTTACTCCTGAAGTCAGCAAGACCACGAACCCACTGGAAGGAAGAAGCTCCAGACACATCTGAACATCTGAAGGAACAAACTCCGGACACACCATCTTTAAGAACTGTAACACTCACTGCTAGAGTCTGCGGCTTCATTCTTGAAGTCAGCGAGACCAAGAACTCACCGGAAGGAACCAATTCCGGACATATTTTGACATCCCAGATGGGACTATCACCTATTGCCAAGCGGTGAGTTCCATCGGACCCCTTTTGCTTGCTATTCTGTCCTATTTTTCTTTAGAATTCGGGTGCTAAATACCGGGCACCTGTCGGCCAGTTAAAAGCAACTAGTGTGGCCACCGGACTAAAGACATGGGTGTCAGGCTTTCTGGGGAAGGGCTCTCTAACAACCCCCAACTCTTCAGAGTTGGGAGTGTTGGTTTGCCTGGAACCAGCTTACGCTTTTCCTGTACTTCTGGGCTGAGCTGAGGGTCAACAGAGAGGAAAGCCATTCAGCTCCAGGATCCGAACAAGTTGGTTGACCCTGTGGCCATGAGCGGAGCTCTCAAAGCCATGTCACCAAAGTGAGACTCACCCATCTATCCTATCTATCGTGACCCTTGCCTCCTGGGTCCTAATGCCTTTCAGACAAACTTCCTCTCACCTCTTCTCCAAGGCTAGTCCCACTTCTAAAAACCACTCCCTGTCTCTGGTGCTTTTCTAGTTTCTCCTATAAGAATGATTTCTAGTATAAACCTCAGGACTCTGTTCCCTTCTTTTGGCACCTGGGCTCACCAATCAGAAAGACATAATTTTTGCCCAAAGCCCCACTGGGGCGGGGGGACTATCTGGAATTTTAGGATCCCTCCTCAGACTAGCAGGCTTAACAAAAGCTATTCCTGAAGCTAGGATATGGGAAGCCTCAGAAATGATATCCTTCCTATTCAAGTGAGGACAAAAGGCATCACTCTTCCAACTCTGGAGATCCCTCCCCTCCCTTAGGGTATGGCCCTCCACTTCATTTTTGGGGCATAACATCTTTATAGGACATGGGTAAAGTCCCAATACTAACAGGAGAATGCTTAGGATTCTAACAGGTTTTTGAGAATGCATCAGTAAGGGCCACTAAATCCGATTTTTCTCAGTCCTCTTTGTGGTCTACAATGACAGGCAAGGTTGCAGGTTTTCGAGAATGCGTCAGTAAGGGCCACTAAATCCGACCTTCCTCAGTCCTCCTTGTGGTCTAGGAGGGAAACTAGTGCTTCTGCTGCTGCGTTGGTGAGTGCAACTATTCCAATCTGCAGGGTCCAGGGACCATTGCGGGTTCTTGGGCAAGAGGTGTTTCTGCTGCTGCTTCGGTGAGCGCATCTATTCTGATCAGCAGGGTCCAGGGACCATTGTGGGTTCTTGGGCGGGGGGAAGCAAACAAACCAAAACCGTGGGTGGTTTTGTCTTTCAAATGGGAAACACTGAGGCACCAACAGGCTCACCCTTGAAATGCATCTTAAGCCATTGGGACCAATTTGACCTGCAAACCCTGAAAAAGAAGCAGTTCATTTTTTTCTGCACTATGGCTTGGCCCCAATATTCTCTCTCTGATGGGGAAAAATGGCCACCTGAGAGAAGTATAAATTACAATACTATCCTGCAGCTTGACTTTTTCTGTAAGAGGGAAGGCAAATACCTTATGTCCAAGCTTTCTTTTCATTGAAGGAGAATACACAACTATGCAAAGCTCGCAATTTACATCCCACAGGAGGACCTCTCAGCTTACCTCCATATCCTAGCCTTCCTACAGCTCCCCTTCCTATTAATGATAAGCCTCCTCTAATCTCCCCTGCCCAGAAGGAAACAAGCAAAGAAATCTCCAAAGGACCACAAAAACCCCTGGGCTATCGGTTATGTCCCCTTCAAGCAGTAGGGGGAGGGGAATTTGGCCTAACCCGGGTACATGTCCCCTTCTCCCTCTATGATTTAAAGCAGATCAAGGCAGACTTGGGGAAGTTTTCAGATGATCCTGATAGGTACATAGATGTCCTACAGGGTCTAGGGCAAACTTTCTATCTCACTTGGAGAGATGTCATGCTATTGTTAGATCAAACCCTGGCCTTTAATGAAAAGAACGCAGCTTTAGCTGCAGCCCGAGAGTTTGGAGATATCTGGTATCATAGTTAAGTAAAGGATAGAATGACAGCCAAAGAAAGGGACAAATTCCCTACCGGTCAGCAAGCCATCCCCAGTATGGATCCCCACTGGGACCTCGACTCAGATCATGGGGACTGGAGTCGTAAGCATATGTTGACCTGTGTTATAGAAGGACTAAGGAGAATTAGGAAAAAGTCCATGAATTATTCAATGATGTCCAACATATCTCAGGGAAAGGAAGAAAATCCTTCTGCCTTCTTCGAGTGGCTATGGGAGGCCTTAAGGAAATATACTCCCCTGTCACCTGACTCCCTCAAGGGTCAATTGATCCTAAAAGATAAGTTTATTATCCAATCAGCCACGGATATCAGGAGAAAGCTCCAAAAGTGAGCCCTGGGCCCTGAACAAAATATGGAGGCATTATTAAACCTGGCACCCTCGGTGTTCTATAATAGGGACCAAGGGGAACAGTCCAAAAAGGAAAAGCAAGATCAGAGAAAGACCGTAGCCTTAGTCATGGCCCTCAGACAAATAAACCTTGGTGGTTCAGAGAGGACAGAAAATGGAGCAGGTCAATCAGCCGGTAGGGCTTGTTATCAGTGTGGTTTGCAAGGACACTTTAAAAAAGATTGTCTAACGGGAAATAAGCTGCCCACTTGCCCATGTCCACTATGCTGAGACAATCACTGGAAGGTGCACTGCCCCGGAGGATAAAGATTCTCTAGTCCAGAAGCCCCCAACCAGATGATCCAACAACAGGACTGAGGGTGCCCGGAACAAGTGCCAGCTCATGTCATCACCCTTACTGAGCCCCGGGTATGTTTAACCAATGACGGCCAGGAAATTGACTTCCTTCTGGACACCAGCACGGCTTTCTCAGTGTTAATCTCCTGTCCCAGACAGCTGTCCTCAAGGTCCGTTACCATCCAAGGAATCCTGGGACAGCCTGTAACCAAGTATTTCTCCCACCTCCTCAGCTGTAATTGGAGACTTTGCTCTTTTCACATGCCTTTCTTGTTATGCCTAGAAGTCCCACACCCTTATTAGGGAGGGATATATTAGCCAAAGCTGGAGCTATTATCTACATGAATATGGGGAACAAGTTACCCATTTGTTGTCCTCTACTTGAGGAGGGAATCAACCCTGAAGTCTGGGCATTGGAAGGACAATTTGGAAGGGCAAAAAATGCCCACCCAGTCCAAATCAGGCTAAAAGACCCCACCCACTTTTCCTTATCAAAGGCAATAACCCTTAAGACCTGAAGCTCATAAAGGATTACAGGATATTGTTAAACATTTAAAAGCTCAAGGCTTAGAAAGGAAATGCAGCAGTCCCTGCAACACCCCAATTCTAGGAGTACAAAAACTGAATGGTCAATAGCGACTAGTGCAAGATCTTAGACTCACCAATGAGGCAGTAAATCCTCTATATCCAGTTGTACCCAACCCCTATATCATGCCCTCTCAAATACCAGAGGAAGCAGAATGGTTCACTGTTCTGGACTTCAAGGATGCCTTCTTCTGTATTACCCTGCACTCTGACTCCCAGTTTCTCTTTGCCTTTGAGGATCCCACAGACCACATGTCCCAACTTACTTGGATGGTCTTGCCCCAAGGGTTTAGGGATAGCCCTCAACTGTTTGGTCAGGCACTGGCCCAAGATCTAGGCCACTTCTCAAGTCCAGGCACTCTTGTCCTTCAATATGTGGATGATTTACTTTTGGCTACCAGTTTGGAAGCCTCATGCCAGCAGGCTACTCTAGATCTCTTGAACTTTCTAGCTAATCAAGGGTACAAGGTGTCTAGGTCGAAGGCCCAGCTTTGCCTACAGCAGGTCAAATATCTAGGCCTAATCTTAGCCAGAGGTACCAGGGCCCTCAGCAAAGAATGTATACAGCCTATACTGGCTTATCCTCTCCCTAAGGCATTAAAACAGTTGTGGGGGTTCCTTGGAATCACTGACTTTTGACGACTATGGATCTCCAGATGCAGTGAGATGGCCAGACCACTCTATACTCTAATCAAGGAGACCCAGAGGGCAAATACTCATCTAGTAGAAAGGGAACCAGGGGCAGAAACAGCCTTCAAAACCTTAAA
This sequence comes from Homo sapiens, assembly GCF_000001405.40. Lineage (NCBI taxonomy): Eukaryota > Metazoa > Chordata > Mammalia > Primates > Hominidae > Homo > Homo sapiens. Next base: position 127,399,536 of record NC_000023.11, read on the forward strand.
GCATGCCCTAGTACAAGCTCCAGCTTTAAGCCTTCCCACAGGACAAAATTTGTCTTTATACATCACAGAGAGAGCAGGAATAGCTCTTGGGGTACTTACTCAGACTCGTGGGACAACCCCACAACCAGTGGCATACCTAAGTAAGGAAATTGATGTAGTAGCAAAAGACTGGCCTCACTGTTTAAGGGTAGTTGTGGCAGTGGCTGTTTTAGTGTCAGAGGCTATCAAAATAATACAAGGAAAGTATCTCACTGTCTGGACTACTCATGATGTAAATGGCATACTAGATGCCAAAGGAAGTTTATGGCTATCAGACAACTGCCTACTTAGATACCAAGCACTACTCCTTGAGGGACCAGTGCTTCAAATATGTATGTGTGTGACCCTCAACCCTGCCACTTTTCTCCCAGAGGATGGGGAACTAATCGAGCATGACTGCCAACAAATTATAGTCCAGACTTATGCCGTGTAAGATGATGTCTTAGAAGTCCCCTTAGCTAATCCTGACCTTAACCTATATACCGATGGAAGTTCATTTGTGGAGAATGGGATACAAAGGGCAGGTTATGCTATAGTTAGTGATGTAACTGTACTTGAAAGTAAGCCTCTTCCCCCAGGGACCAGTGCCCAGTTAGCAGAACTACTGGCACTTACCCTAGCCTTAGAACTGGGAAATGGAAAAAGAATAAATGTGTATACAGATAGCAAGTATGCTTATCTAATCCTGCATGATCATGCTGCAATATGGAAAGAAAGGGCGTTCTTAACCTCTGGGGGAACCCCCATTAAATACCACAAGGAAATTATGGAGTTATTGCACACAGTGCAAAAACCCAAGGAAGTGGCAGTCTTACACTGCCAAAGCCATCAACAAGGTGAATGAGAAAAAGCAGAAGGAAACCGTCAGGCAGATGCTGAGGTCAAAATTTCTGCCAGGCGGAACCTCCCATTAGAAGTACCTATGGAAGGACCCTTGGTATGGAACAACTCCCTCCAAGAGATTAAGCCCCAGTATTCCCCAACTGAAACAGAATGGGGACTTTCACAGGGGCATAGTTTTCTCCCCTTGGGGTGGTTAACGACAGAAGAAGGAAAGGTACTTATACCCGAAGCCAGCCAGTGGAAAATACTTAAAACTCTCCACCAAACCTTCCATATGGGTATGGAAAACACTCATCAAATGGCCAAATCCCTATTTACAGGGCCAAATCTCTTCCGGACCATCTGACAGGTAGTCAAAGCCTGTCAGGTGTGCCAAAGGAATAATCCCTTAGTCCATCATAAGGCCCCTTTGGGGGAACAAAGAATAGGTCACTATCCCAGAGAGGACTGGCAGTTAGACTTCACCCATATGCCTAAGTCAAAAGGATTTCAATACTTGTTGGTCTGTGTTGATACCTTCACAAATTGGATGCAAGCTTTCCCCTGCAAGACATAGAAGGTTCAGGAAGTGATTAAAGTCCTAATTCATAAAATAATTCCTAGATTTGGGCTTCCCCAAAGCTTACAGAGTGACAATGGTCCGGCTCTTAAAGCCACAATAACTCAGGGAATTTCCAGGGTGCTAGGGATACAATTATCACCTTCACTGTTCCTGGAGGCCACAATCCTCAGGGAAGGTTGAGAAGGCAAATGAAACACTCAAGAGGCACTTAAGGAAACTAACACAAGAAACTCATCTCCCACGGCCTACTCTTTTGCCTGTGGCCTTGTTGAGAATCCGAAATTCTCCTCACAAAATGGGGCTCATTTTGATGCTGTATGGACGACCTTTTTTCACAAATGACCTCCTACTTGATCAGGAAACGACCAACTTATTCAAAGATATAACTTCTTTGGCAAAATATCAACAAAACCTTAAAAACCTACCTGAAGGATGTCACAGAGAAAAGGAAACAGAGTTGTTTCAACCAGGAGATCTAGCGTAGGTCAAATCTCTCCCTTCTACCTCCCTATCTATGGACTCTTTGTGGGAAGGACCATACTCGATAATCCTCTCTACCCAGACTGCAGTTAAGGTGGCAGGAGTGGAATCTTAGATTCACCACACCCAAGTTAAATTTTGGACACCCGCTGAGGAACCTGCAGGACCGCCAGCTCAGGAGTCACAAGATCAGCCAGACCAGCCTCGATACACCTGCAAACTGTTGGAGGACTTGCATCTCCTACTTTGAAAGGAAACATCCCAGACTAAAAAGGCTCCTACTGCTGATCCTGAGGAAAAACCCTTTCCTCCTTAAAAAAGATAAGTGAAAACCTACACAATCTTTATATTTAACACCTCTCCTTGCCCCTTTAATGGAATCCTTTTACTATTTCATCATATTATTAAGCAGCATACTAACCATACTCTTTGTGATAGGGCTATATACTGTAGCTCCTGCTGGGATGAAAATCCTAATCACATCAACCTTCTTTCTATCTTCCTTCCTTCTGACAGCAATTTACTCCTACCTTTAACTTAATCCACTCTCTGTTAAGCCAGTCCAATCATTCCCTGGCAAATGACTGTTGGCTTTGTATCTATCAACTCTGCTTATGTTGCCACTCTCATTACTACAAAAAACTGGGTCTTTACCAACTTAACCTACCACCCTCATTATGAAGGAAAAGACCGTTTCCAACTTCTAAATATGCAATAATTAGCCAACTTCCCCATCTCTAATAGGACCAAGAATACCCTAACAGGACATGCAATCCAACTTTTACATTCTTACATTTCCAACCTCACCTATTACATAAGCAATGAAAAGCCCATACACGGCCCTGTAACTATGAATACTATCTTAACTTTCCAAGCCCCTTTATGCATCCAACGCAAACTGTTATCAGGCCTGCCCCTGGGGCACCTGCTACCCCATCAGTGTAATTACACCCTACAACTTCAAGCCCCAACTGATCATAGTAACTTCCAAGTCACCCAAACAGCTCCATTCAGACTGCTTGTCTGCTTCTCAGGGTCCCCCAAAATCATCACCTCCTTCCTACTTAACAAACATTCCAGGTTTTGTAATGGCAAACATACTCCCTGCATGACCATTCACCCCTGGACTCCCTGCAGTAGCGACCCCATCACTGATGAATGCCTTCTCATCCCCTCTTTCAATCACTCTCTCGAATGGTTCCTAGTAGATACAAAACGGTTTTTTCTCCAATGAGAAAATAGAACACAGGGAGCCACTCTGTTTGCTCCCAACACCCCTTTCCAGCCACTCACCAGAGCCAGCAGACACATGAAAAAATGCTCATCATCACTGGCTATCAGAGAAATGCAAATCAAAACCACAATGAGATACCAACTCACACCAGTTAGAATGGCGATTATTAAAAAGTCAGGAAACAACAGGTGCTGGAGAGGATGTGGAGAAATAGGAACACTTTTACATTGTTGGTGGGAATGTAAACTAGTTCAACCATTGTGGAAGTCAGTGTGGCGATTCCTCAGGGATCTAGAACTAGAAACCCAGCAATCCCATTAGTGGGTATATACCCAAAGGATTATAAATCATGCTGCTATAAAGACACATGCACACGTATGTTTATTGCAGCACTATTCACAATAGCAAAGACTTGGAACCAAGCGAAATGTCCAACAATGACAGACTGGATTAAGAAAATGTGGCACATATACACCATGGTATACTATGCAGCCATAAAAAATGATGAGTTCATGTCCTTTGTAGGGACATGGATGAAGCTGGAAATCATCATTCTCAGCAAACTATCACAAGGACAAAAAACCAAACACTGCATGTTCTCACTCATAGGTGGGAATTGAACAATGAGAACACATGGACACAGGAAGGAGAACATCACACTCTGGGGCCTGTTGTGGGGTGGGGGGAGGGGGAAGGGATAGCATTAGGAGATATACCTAATGTTAAATGACGAGTTAATGGGTGCAGCACACCAACATGGCACATGTATACATATGTAACTAACCTGCACGTTGTGCACACGTACCCTAAAACTTAAAGTATAATAAAAAAAAAAAAAGAAGTTATTCATTCCGGCAATCTGTTGCACAGCATGGTGAACTCTGCTCTTAGCTATTTTATAAATTGGTGTTCTGCAAAATCTTTTATTTGAAAACAAGATTTGACTGCTAAAAAAGGAGCAATTGGATATCATTGCCCATAAAAATTTAGTTTGCAAGCTGCTCTACCAAAGAATTTTAAAATTCCTTTCATCTTTGATTTCTATGTGACTATTCTGACTTTTAATTCTGGAGCTTCTGTTATCAAGATAATCCTGCCCAAAAGTACAATTACAAGCCTTGCAAAAATTTTCATTCAACAATTCATTATAGTTTATCCTATTGAGAAAATGGTGCTTTAAGAGATTTGCAATAAGTATTAACTCTAATCTTCATAGTAACACTGTGAAACAGCCACTGTTTTCATGCCAATTTTACAGAAGAGAAAAAGTGAAGAAAGAGAGGTTAAAAAATTTTCCAAAGCGGCAGTAAACAGAGCTGGGATTTGAACTCTAAGGTTGCTTCACAGCTTTGCTATGCCATCTTTTCATATTAATAAAGTTACCTTTCCCTATTAATGAAACTCTGTTAGTGCTGTTCATTTTTTAGGTTTTGAACCACTAGATAAGGGAATTATCTGTGCTCTCTTATAGACTTTTTTGTGACATCAGGGAGGCATTTTGAGATGGCTGGCTAATCTCTGGGGAACACATCTTGAACAGGACTTACTGTGATTTTGTCTTTTATTTATTCTAATAAAGGCAACCATTACTACATGCAAGCCAGCGAATACTGCTTATATAACCAATTAGCTGACTAGGAGATGGACCCAGAACTGTGATGCTGCCAACTCTATGACCTAATAAAACTTGACAGCTAACCCTAGAGACCCATAATGGCAGCATTTCCAGGACTAAGACAATGACTTTGTTGATTAATACATCTTGTTGAAATTTTTTTTTTCTGGGATATAATTAACCAATGTGTGTTTAAGCAACTCTTTTGGTAATATGTGAATCCCATCTCTCAAATACCTGGAAATAACTATGTTTATTTATAAAACTCATGATCATGCATTTATGTTCATAATAAAAATACTTTACTAGTCCAACACTGATCCAGAGTATGATTGTGCTGCATGTCCTCTAGTAACCTCTTTAATGATGACAAGCTAGATAAAATGTAGAATGCATGTGAGGCAAGTTCAAATTTCTTAAGATTTGCAAATAAAGCATAGAGTCCAGTAGATGTCTACTGATATCATTGGGGCTGCTTAAATAATTTCTAAAATAGATAACTGGCATAATAAAGTTTAATTTAAAATATGGAATGGATAATGAAAAACTCCTTTTTCAATGACGGAATATATTTCCATCATTAAATAACTATAGATTTGTATCCATTTAGTAAGATCAGTAGTTATACTGCTAAAAATATTCCATAATAAAAACAGTTTATATTCTTTCAACATTTTTTAAAGGATGTTATAGGTTTAGATAACCTGAAGATATTATGAAATTGATTCTGAAAATATTTCAAATTTTGGAAAATAAGACTCAGGAGAACGGAGAGGAAAACTAAGCTTATTTTTTTCTGAAATAGAGAAGACTAAAGAAAAACATGATAATGGATTTCAAGTGCATGAAGTCTGAAAATTTAGAAGAAAGAAAAGGGCTAAAAGTATAAAATTATGAATTTCCTAAAATAATCAATCTCTGAGACACTGGAAGTGTTAGTGATGTGAAGTCAATTTTTTTAAAGGAGGCATGAAGCACTGTGAAAAATAAAGTAAAAAATTAAATATTTAAAAATACAATATGATAACTGTCACAGATAGAAGGACTTTACTAAAGTATAAAGCCATTTAAGAATACAAGTGTCTCTTCCGGTGATAAGCTGACATTTGAAATCCATGGTATTCAGACATGTAGAGAAATTTACCTTGAAGATTTAAGGAATTTTAATACTGAGATTTCTGAGAACAAGGGAGTATGAACTATTATCCAGAGCTGCTATGTAAAATGAAAATACATAGAGAAAACACAATTGTGATTTATTCCACTTTGAAGGTACTCACATAAGCAGACAATTATCTCATTGATACAGGAGAATTTACCACCATTTGTCATTTTATAAACCTATGCAATAAGATGGCAGGATTGACTATGATGATAGTGTTTTCACCTTTAATATTTTTCTCACAATTTATAATACATCCTGACATTCTAAAACTCAAAGGAGTCATTAATTTAATGATTTAATTCCTAAATCAATTCCTAAGAAGAAAATGCCAGTAGGGCATTTTAATTTTAAAAATATACCAGATATTTCACACATGTTGTGCATGTGTGGCCTGTGTGAATGCTTGTCTGTGCTCATAGAAGATTGCTAGGTTTTGAAAACAAATACAATTTCTGTCTCAATAAAGAAATTATGTATCTATTAGATTTATTATAGTTGTAAAAAATTAAACCCAAGAGAACAGAACTTATAGTGGTTCATAAGTGCTACTTCCTACTGTTAAGTTAATGTTTTATGACATAATTATGCAACTTTTTCACTCCCATCGGAGAATTGTCCTCTATTCTCTCTTCTTGAAACATAGCCTGAAACAATATACTCTGATAACCGTTCTAGCTGAAAATCATATTTGCACCCTGTGGAGAAATATAGTCCAATTTAAATTAGTATTTCTAGTAAATATACAAAAACACTTTCCAAAACATCTTTCAGGAAAGCTGCATCACCAAATGATGTATTTTCTAAGTAATGCAGAACAATTTGTATTCAAGTCATTTTGCCATTTCATTAAACTTTACAGCATATGGCATTTTCTTCAAAAGTAATGGGACAAAAGAAAAGAGACACATTAGGAAAAGAATAGTAACCACTTTCCTTTCTATTATAGATTTTTGCTTTGGATTTTTTTTTGATAATAAAACAGTTTTGTTTTGTTCTTTACTCCATAAAGAGAAATATATGGATGTACATTTTAGATAATATTGTGAATCTGCAGGCAATGTCTATTTGTTTCCTTTTCAGTGTAGAACAAATGTTGAAACAAAAAAGATTTTGTAAGTTTATTACTGAAAATGAAAAGTCAGTGAGAATTTAAAAAAAAAACAAACTATCGATCTCCTATTGTGTGCAAACCTCTTCCACTTCACCATTAGTTAACAGGGCCCCTGGTCTCATATAGCTTACATTCCATGGAAACACGAAACAAAGCAGGTAGAGGAGGATAAAAAACCTGAATAAGTTAATAATATTTTTATTTTACATATTTAAATTGTAAAACATGTTGTTTTCTTATACATAGTGAAACAGTTACTATCATCCAGCAAATTAACATTATCTCACATAGTTACCCATTAAACAATACATTTTATTGTGTATATTTAAGGTTCACAAGGATGTTATGGGATGCATAATGATACATAGATACATATAGATAGTACAATGGTGACTATAGTGAATCAGATGAACATATCTATTATCTCACATAGCAATTTTTTGTGACAAGAACAGATAATATCTACTTGTTTAACAAAAATCTCTAATACAATGGTTTTAACTTTAGTCCTTATGTTGCACATTAAATTTCTAGACTTGTTCATTATACATATCTACCACTTTGAATTATTTGACCTACATCTTTCCATTTCCTCTCCCCTAGAGTCCATCGTAACCACTGTTTCATTCTCTATTTTTGTGTATTTGAGCTTTTAAAAAATATTTCACATACTGTATAAATGAGATTATGTAATATTTTTCTTCCTGCATCTGGATTATTTTACCTAGAACAATGTACTATAGGTCCATCCATGTTGTGGCAAATGGCAGGATTTCCCTTATTACATCTGAATATACGTATGTGTGTATGTGTGTGTGTGTGTGTGTGTGTGTGTGTGTGTGTGTAGATAGATAGATGGATAAATCAGTCTCAAAGTTTATTTGTTCATGCATTCATGACCACCTAGGTTGTTTCAATATCTCAGTTATTGTTAATAATGCACCAATTACTATGGGGATGCAAGTTTGTTTACAAGATGGTGCTATTTTTTCAGTTGGGTATATACCGAGAAGAGGAATTTCTGGGTCAGATGGTAGATGACATCATCTTAATTGTAGAAACCCCAAAGATTAAACAAAAAAAGCTATTAGAAATAACAAATACATTTAGTAAAGTTGTAGGCCTAAAAACAATATATGAAAATTAGTAGCATTTGTATATACAGATAATCATTTATCTAAAAAAATTTAAAAAATCCCTTTATGGTAAGATAATTAAAAAATTCCCTTTATGGTAAGATAAAAAAATCTAGTAATAAATTTCACTGAAGAGTTGACAGACTTGTACACTGAAAATGATAAAACATTAATGAAAGAAATTGAACAAAATACAAATGAAAGGAAAGATATCCTGTGTTCATAGGTGGGAAAAATAATATTGTTAAAATATCCCTACCACCCAGAACAATATAGACTGAACACAATCTCTGTGAAAATTCCAATGGCATTCATCATTAAAATAGAAAAAAAATCCTAAAATTTGCATAGAACCACCAAAAAACCCTGAAGAGCCATACTTACATACATTTTGGTATGTTGTCTTTCTATTATCATTTGTTTCAAGAAATTTTTCAATTTATTTCTGAATTTTTTCATTGACCAACTAACTGGTCAATTAGCAATATATTGTTTATATTTGTGTGTTTGTATAGTTTCCAAAAATCCTCTTATTATTGATTTTTTGTTTTATTTCATGGTGGTCAGAGAATATACTTGACATCATTTCATTTTTTTAAAATTTTTTCCAAGACTGCTTTTGTAGTCTAACATATGGTTTATCCTTGAGAATAATCCACATGCTGAGGAGAATAATACATTCTGTCTCTGTTGATTGAAATGTTCTGTAAACATACGTTAGGTCCATTTGCATTATAGTGCAGATTCTGTCTGATGCTTTCTTGTTAATTTTTGTATTAATGTTCTCTCCAATGCTAAGAGTGAGAACTTGAAGTCTCCAGATATTATTGTCTTGGAGTCTATCTCTCTCTTTAGTTGTAGAAATCTTTGCTTTGTATATCTGAGTGCTCCACTGTTGGGTGTATACATATTAAAATTGTTATAGTCTCTTGCTGAGTTGACCAATTTATCACTATATAATGACCTTATTTTTGTGGTTTTCTCTTGAAATCTGTTTTGTCTAATGTAAGAATAACTACTCCTGCTCTTTTCTGGTTTTCATTTTCATGGAATATCATTTTCCATCCCTTCATTTTCAGTCTGTGTGTCTTTGGAGGTTAAATATGTTTCTTTTAGGCAACAGATCATTGGGTCTTCTTTTTTGATTGAGTAATTTAGTCCATTTATGTTGAATGTTATTATTGATCAATAATGATTTACTTCAGTTATTTGGTTATTTGTTTTCTGGTTGTTTTGTGGTCTTATCTTTCTTCTTTCCTTTCTGCATGTCTTCTCTTTGATGAAGGTGATTTTCTCTGGTGGTATGTTTTAATTTCTTGCTTTTTACTTTTTGTGTATCTGTTGCATGTTTTTTGATTTGAAAAACCACTAATACAGTGTTATAATATTATGTGTTTTTCTTTGTGCTTACTATTACCAGTGAGCTTTGCACTTTAAGATGATTTCTTCTTGCACATTAACGTTCTTTTCTTTCTGATTGAAATAGTAACTTTAGCATGTCTTTTAGGACAGGTCAGGTGTTGATAAAACCACTCAGTTTTTGTTTGTCTAGGAAGGTCTTTATTTCTCCTTCATGTTTGAAGAATAATTTTGCCAGATATAATAATCTATGGTAAAAGGTTTTTTTCTTCAACACTTCAAATATGTGATGCCACTCTCTCCTGGCCTGTAAGATTTACACTGAAAATTCTGCTGATGGAAGTATTGGAGCTCCATTGTATGATATTTGTTTCTTTTATCTTGCTGCTTTTATGATCCTTTATCTTTGGGAGTGTGATTATAAATGTCTAGAGGTAATCATCTTTGAGTTAAATCTCCTTGGTGTCCTATAATCTTTTTGTACTTGAATATTGATATCTTTCTCTAAGTTTGGGAAATTCTCTAGAATTAACTCTTTCAACAAATTTTCTGCTCCATCTCTAACTCTACATCCTGTTTAAGGCCAGTAACTCTTAGATTTTTTCCTTTTGAGATTATTTTCTAGATCTTGTATTCATGCGTTATTCTTTTTATTATTTTTTTCTTTTGTCTCCACTTGTTGTGTATTTCCAAGTAGCCTGCCTCAAGCTCACTAATTCTTCTGCTTGATCAATTGTGCTGTTCTGTGACTCTGATGCATTCTTCAATATGTCAGTTGCATTTTTCAGCTCCAGTGTTCTGCAGGATTCTTTTTTATTAATTCAATCTCTTTGTTAATTTTCTCTGATAAGATTCTGAATTACTTCTCTTTGTTATTTCTAATTTCACTAAGTTTCCTCACGACAACTATTTTGAATTTTCTGTTTGAAAGGCCACATATCTCTGTCTCTCCAGACATTGGTCCTTGGTGCCACATTTAGTTCATTTGGTGAAGTTATGTTTTCCTGATGGTCTTGACACTTTTGGATGTTAATTAGTGCGTCTGAGATTTAAAGTGTCTGAGATTTAAAGTGTTAGGTACTTATTGTACCATCTGGGTTTGTTTGTACCCATCCTTCTTGGAAACGTTTTCCATGTAATCAGTTACTGTGTGTTGTAATTTAAATTTAAGACATTCTTTACTGCATCCATAAAGTACTTTAGGAGGTACTGCAAATCCAGTAATGCTGTGGCTTTCAGTCTCATTGAGAAACCTTCTTTGTGGTCTTTAATAAGATCCTAAAGCATTTTCTGGATTACCAGGCTGAGACTCTTGTTCTCTTCCCTTACTTTCTCTCAAATAGTCTCTTTCTCTCTGTACTGAGCTGCCTGGAGCTGGGGGAGTGATCAAACAAACACCCCTGTAGCCACCAACAATGGGACTGTGCTGGATCAAACTTGAAGCCAGCACAGGACTGGGTCTTACCCAAGGCCTGTGATAACCACTGCCTGGCTATTGTCTATGATAGCTCAAGGCTCTGTGGCTCTACAATCAGCAGATGGAAAAGGCAGCCAGGCTTTTGTCATTTTCTTCAAGTCAGCAGGTTCCCTCTGGCCAAAGATATGTTCAGAAATGCCATCCAGGATCCATGGCCTGGAAATGGAAGCCTTCAGAATCCACTTGGTGCTCTATTCCACTGTGGCTGAGGTGGAACCCAAAAAACAAGACAAAATTCTTCTCACTATTCCCACCCATTTTTATAAGCACATGAGTCTCTCTCCACGACCACCACTGGCCCAGGCCCACAGTGAGTACTGACTGGCTATGCCCAATGTTCACTCAAAACCCAAGGGGCTTTACTCAGCTTGTGGTGAATGCTGCTAGGCCTGGGACTCTTCATTCAGGGCGGTGGGCTCAACTCTGGCCAAGGGCAGACCCAGAAATTCTGTCTAGATTGCATGCCCCCCACCAGGACTCAGCCAGGAATTGCAGGTTTTGTGGGGCTAGACTGCCTTTCAAGTTTATTTAGAATCCCAGAGCACTTTAGCCCATGGGGGCAAAGCTTGCAGGACCTAAGGTTTGGACCTCTGGGATGGGCGGATTCCCTCTGGCTAGGGCTGGTCTAAATGCTCCCTCCAAGGGCACCAGGTGAGTTCTGTCCAATGTTGCTTTTTTCTGTGACAGGGCAGCATTGAATTCTAACGCAAAGTCCCACAATCACTGTGCTGTCTCTCCCACAAGCAAACAGAATGTCCTCATGTTACATGACCCTTGTGTGGAGTCATGGTGTCAGCAGTTTAAGACTGTCTTTCCTACCCTCTTCAGTGCCTTGTTTAGTAATATAAATTTGTAACCAGGTACTGTGATAGCTCACCTGATTTATGGTTCTTATGATGTTGCTTTTTTGTGTGTATAGTTTGTCAATTTAGTGTTCTTACAGGGAGGACACCAGGTGGAGGCTTCTATTTGGCCATCTTGCTCCTTCTTCTCGTTTTACTAGTTAGACATATGGTCATGTTGCATATGTAACTTAATATTATTTTCTGCTTAAAATTACATAATTACTAATAATGGGTTATAAGACAGTATTCACAAGCCTCATAATGACCTCAATTGAAAAACCATACAATGGACACACAGAAAATAAAAAGCAAGAAATTAAACTTTATCATCAGAAAAAATTACCTTCAACACAGAAAGACAGAAAAAAATCAAGATGAAAGAGAAGATCACAAAACAACCAGAAAACAACAAAATGGCAGGAGTATGTCCTTGCTTATCAATAATAACATTGAATGTAAATGGACTAAACTCTCCAAGCAAAAGACATAGACAGACTGAATTAATAAAAACACAAGGCCTATTGATCTGTTGCATACAAGAAACACATTTTACCTATAAAAATACACATAGACTGAAAAGAAAGGTATGGAAAAAGAATTCCATGCCAATGGAAACCAAAAACAAGTGGGGGTTTCTATATATATATAAGACAAAGTATATTTCAGACGAAAAAATATAAGAAGAGACAAAGAAGATTACAATATAATGATAAAGGGGTCAAGCAAGAGGAAATAACAATTTTAAATATATATATATATATATATATATATATATATATATATATATATATATATATATATATGTCTCCAACTCCAGGGAACCCAGATCTATAAAGGAAATGTTATTAGAGATAAAGAGAAATACAGCCCTCAGTATAATAATAGCTGGAGACTCAACATCCTACTTTCAGCATTGGACAGACCTTTCAGACAGAAAATCAACAAAGAAACATTAGACTTAATCTGCACCATAAACCAAATGAACCCAATATATGTTTAGAGAACATTTCATTTAATAGCTACAGAATACACATTCTTTTTCTCAGCACATGGATTATTCTCAAAGATAGCTCATATGTTAAGTCACAAAAGACGTCTGAAAACATTTTAAAAACTAAAATAATATAAAACATCTTCTCTGACCGTAAGGAAATCAAAAATAACAAGAGAGATTTTGAAAACTATACAAATATATGGAAATTAAACAATATGCTTCAGAATGACTAGTGGGTGGATGAAGAAATTAAGAAGATAGAAAAAATTCTTGAAACAAATGGTAATTGAAATACAACATACCAAACCCTATGGGATACAGGAAGAGCAGCATTAAGAGGGAAGTTTGTAGCTATAAGTGCCTACATCAAAACAGAGGAAAAACTTCAAATTAACAACCTGATGATTTATCTTACAGAACTAGAAAATCAAGAGCAAACCAAAACCAAAATTAGTAGGAGAAAGGGAATAATAAATATCAGAGTAGGAACAAATGAAATTGAAATATAAAAATACCAAAAATCAGTGAAACAAAGCTATCTTTTTGAAAATTTATACAAAATTGACATACCTTTAGCCAGAGTAAAATATGAAGAGAGAAGATCCAGATAAACAATATCTGAAATGACATAGGAAACATTACAACTGATACTGCAGAAATTCAAAGGATTATTAGTAGCTACTATGAAAAACTATATGCCAATACACTAGAAAATCTAGAAGAAATGGACAAATTTCTAGACACATGAAATCTACCAAGGTTAAATCAGGAAGGAATTCAAAACTTGATCAGACCAACATCAAGTAATGAGATCAAAGTCATAATAAAAGTCTCCCAGCAAAGAAAAGTCAGGGACCTGATGGCTTCACTGCTGAATTTTACCAAAAATGTAAAGAAGAAATAGTACCAGTCTTACTCAAACTATCCTGAAAAATAAAGGGGGAAGGAATACATCCAATCTTATTTTGTGATGCCAGTATTATACTCTGATACCAAAACCACACAAAGACACATCAGAAAAAGAAAACTACAGGCCAATACATCCGATGAATATTAATACAAAACCCCCCAACAAAATACTAGCAAACCAAATTCAAAAATACATTAGAAAGATCATTCATCATGATCAAGTGGGATTTATCCTGGGGATGCAAGAATGGTACAATATACACAATTCAGTCAATGAGCTACATCATATCAACAGAATGAAGGATAAAAACCATATAATCATTTCAATTGATGTTGAAAAAGCATCTGATAAAATTCAACATTCTTTTATGATAAAGACTTTAAAAATCTAGGGATAGAAGGAACATACCTCAACATAACAAAGACATATAGGACAGACCCACAGCTATTATCATACTGAATAGGTAAAATTTAAAAGCCTTTTATCTAAGATCTGGAAAATGACAAGGATACCCATTGTCAACACTATTATAAAACATAGTACCTGCAGTTCTTACTAGAGCAATGACACAAGTGAAAGATATAAAGGGTATCTAAATTGGAAAGGAATATTTCAAATTATGCTTGTTTGCAGATAATATAATCTTATATTCGGAAAAACCTAAAGACTTTAAAGAGAAATGTTAGAGCTGATAAACGAAATCAGTAAAGCAATGGGATACGAAATAAACATACTGAAATCAATAGCATTTCTATAGGCCAACAGTGAATAATGTGAAAAATATATAAAAATAGTAATCTCATTTATGGTAGTCAAACATAAAATTAGATACCTAGGAATTAACCAAAGAATTGAAAGATCTCTATAATAAAAACTATAAAACACTGATGAAAGTAATTAAATAGGACAGAAAAAATTAAAAAAAACTCCATGTTTATTAATTGGAAAAATAAATCTTGTTAAAATAGCCTTATGCCAAATTTGTGTAAACATATTCAAGTTTGTTTTTGAAAGATGTGAAGTGTAAACGACTATATAACTAAAAAAGGATATACATAAATTTAAATACTATACAACATACCATTCAGTGAATGCAATGAAATTGACTCAGTCCCTTATAAATAATTGACAAATTAAATATCTTACATAATTTCTGTAATATTATTTCAAAGAACATTTTCTCCAAATCTTGTCAATATTTTAGACTATCTTTTTAAATTAGGTTTATAATATTAGGATTTCTGAATGGAAGGATAGAGAATAGTACTCACTGGAATTGAGTCTGGTTTTGCTAAATAATATACATATGTGGGCTAGAGTTATTTTATGGAGAAATGCAAATAGAAAAGCTGAAATAATGTGGTGGTATTTTAATAACAGCAGCTTACCACCTTCAAAGCCAGATGAGAACTTCTGTATACATTATACATGTGTCTAATGTAAATGTTACTAGACTTCCATCTGAATACCTGCATGTATATTCAGTGAGGTCTGGTGCTGTGAGCTATGTCTACTATGAATTCACTCTTTATAGTGGAGCCTCATGGCAGAACATCTGAAGTCATGATAGAGTAGAAAATCTACCAAATAACTCAGTAGTCCAAGTACCCCAGACACAGTCGGTATCATATGCCATAATGAGTTAAGACAAACTGATACAATGATTCATTTCAAACTGAGTTTAGTGAAGCATAGAAAAAACTGTTAACTCACAGCAAAACTGGTCATCATTCCATACTATATCTAAATAAATTTAAATTATACTAAAGTTACTTATCTAACCCTTCAGAAATTCATATTCATTTTAATTGGTAATAAACTTTTCTTCAAACACTAAACTGTTTTTTCCTTTTAACTTTCCAGATAAAATTGACCTTATGCAAAAATATTCAGCATGTTAGATGGAAATTGAACTTAGAAACCATTTGGTAAATTTCCCCACATTTTATAGAGGACGAAATTAGATCCACTATCTCTTATCTAAGACAGTCAAAATCAGGTAGCTGGTAGGTGATAGAGAAGAGGCAGGAAACTGGGTCTCCCACTTTCCAGTTAAAGGGCTTTCCATTATCCTATCACTTCCACCCCTCCATCTATCACAAATTTGCTAGTGGTGCACTTTCATTTTCTGGCCACTTTATAACCTCTGAGAATGAGTAGTGGTAGATTAATTAAACTAATTTCTAGTGATGGATATCTAACTCATTCATCAATATACCGCATTAGTTAGTAGACTCTAGAGACACGAACTAAAACAGTGCCTCAGACCTGCCTTTCCTAGACATACTAAAAATCTCGGTATTCCTTTCTGACTTATCCCCGGCTAGTTGGTTAATAGGTGGTGTATATCAAGGTTTGATTTTTGGCACTCTTCTCTCTCACACTTCATTCTCTTCCAAAATAATGTAATTTATGCTTGAAGGCTTTTGTAATTACAAGCAAATTATCTCAATTTCAGGCCTCATCTTTAACGAATATTCAATTGACTAGTTAGTACCTCCTCTTGTAATTCCAAACTCATGATGTAGAAAGTAAAACCCAAGATTCATGGTGACCAACATTGGAAGATTTCCAGTTCCTTTCTCATTATTCCTTTTCTGTTGAATGGCATGTCCATCCATTCGGTAATGCCAATCCAGAGCTTTGACAGTTTTTCTTGACACTTCCCTCTCTTTAAGTCCTAGTAATCTCATAAATTGTCAAGTTTTGGGAATTTCTACTCTTCTACATCTCTAGAATAAGGACATTAAGATTTGGAAATTTAACTTCTCCTAAGCCTTTTAAATCTGTCATCTTCCTCCTCCAAGCTACCATTCTCAGAGTCCTAGTTTATGTAGCATCCTAACTAAACCACTTGCTTATACTTTGTTTTTATTCTTAAAATGTTATGAAGTTAGAACCAGTGTGATTTAGCAATTGAATGTAGAGATAGGAAAAAGAGGAATCAAAGATGGTATCCAAGTTTTTATTTAGATGACTGGGTGGATAATGTTTTAAGTCATTGAGATAGAGAACACAGAAGGAGTATAAGTCTTTGTGATCTCAAAAGTAGCCTGTGTGTAGGTTGTGATGTAAAGACATAGGAGTGGATGAGATCTTCTAGAGAGTTTAATAAAAGAAGTTGAAGAAGAATGAAACTTGAAAAGTAGAATTATCATTTTTAGTAACATAGTACTCTAAATTTAAAAAAAACGAGCAAAAACAGTATTAGAAATATTAAGTGCTAAGTATTCTAGTGAGACAGATTCTTCAGGTGATGAATCTTTTGGTTAGATGACATACATAACTGCTTGTTTAATGTCTGCCTTTTCTACTAAGGTGGACACCGTAGAGAATGGTGACATGATAAGGAAAAAAATTAAACAATGTGACTGCTTTTACTTAAACATCATAACTATTCATATCAAATGGACCTGACAATCCTACTGCGTTTACCTAATCAATTTTTTCTCACTTTCCTGGATGACATATCTCACCTGAAATATCTATTACTTCCTCCCACTTTCCTCATTTTCAGCTGATGACATTAATTCTTATTTAACAAGAAAATTGAAGCAATCCGAAGAGAGTCACACAATAATCCTATCCTTTAGTCTATGAAATTACCTTTTTCCTGTCCCTATTACAATTTTATCGTATTATTTTTGTATAAACTATCCCTGTATCTTCATAAGGACAATTATTTTATTATGCACTGGATTCCGCCCCTCTCACACTCACTTATCCAAAGACTTTCTCTAAGTTTTTATTCCCTCTATCATCAATTGCTCGCACTATACTGCATCATTGCCAGCTGCCTACAAACATGTCATAATCCTTCCTATCTTAATAAATTCTCTGGATTCTGTACTCTACTCCAGCTGCTACCACCACTTTTCTCTCCTCCCCTTTAAGGATAACATCCTTGAACAGATTATCTACACATGTACCCTTTACTTCCTCGCTTCTCATTCTGTCCTATAAATATGTGGGAGATAATAAACACAGCATACAGAATATACAGAGATTATGCATATGTGAATTATGATATATATAAAAAGTGAATAAAATATAGAGAAATAATTTAACAAATATTTATAAAGCAAAACTGTTACTACCATCCAGTTAAAAAATTAGAACGTTACCAGTACCCCAGAACCACTCCTTTGTCTCCCAATATCTGGTTATTCCCACTCAAGACATCACATTCCTAGAGGTAACTTGTTACCATGAGCTTCATAACAATAATTTATTTGCTGTATTTTATAGTTTTACCTCAAATCTCTACATCCCTAAATAAAATGGTTTGCCTTTGCTTGTTTATAAAACATGTATAAATGAAAATTTACTGTATTCTTTTTTCTTCTTTAACATTGTCGTTGTATTTAATAAAACTCATCTGTGACAAAGTTCATGTTCATTGATGAATAGTATGTAATTGTATAAATACACAGAAATTAATTTATCCTTTTTTATTGGTGGACATAAAGATGTTTATATATTTTGGGTTACCTATGTAACAAACCTGCACATTCTGCACATGTATCCCAGAACTTAAAGTAAAAATTTTTAAAAAAAGAAGAGAAAAAGAAAAAAAATTATACATATATGTAATATATCTCACATTTTCTTTATCCACTTGATTGACGGGCATTTGGGATGGTTCAACATCTTTGCAATTGCAAATTGTACTGTTATAAACATGTGTGTGCAAGTATCTTTTATGTATAATGATTTATTTTCCTCTGGGTAGATACCTAGTAGTAGGATTGCTGGATCAAACAGTAGACCTACTTTTAGTTCTTTCAGGAATCTCCACACTGTTTTCCATAATAGTTGTAGTCATTTACATTCCCACCAACAGTGTAAAAGTGTTCCACTTTCACTGCATCTATACCAACATCTATTTTTTTTTATTTTGTTTTTATTATGGCCATTCTTGAAGGAGTGAGATGGTATCTCATTGTGATTTTGATTTGCATTTTCCTGATAATTAGAGATGTTCAGCACTTTTTCACATACTTGTTGGCCATTTGTATATCTCGTTTTGAGAATTGTCTATTCATGTCCTTAGCCCACTTTTTGATGGGATTGTTTTTTTTTCTTTTGTTGCATTTGCTTTTGGATTCTTGGTCACGAAATCTTTGTCTAAGCCAACGTCTAAAGGAGTTTTTTGATGATATCTTCCAGAGTCTTTATGGTTTCAAGTCTTAGATTTAAGTCTTTGATCCATCTTGAGTTCATTTTTGTATAGGGTGAGAGATGAGGATCCAGCTTTACTCTTCCACATGTAGCTTGGCAGTTATAACAGCACCATTTGTTGAATAGAGTGTCCTTTTTCCACT
This sequence comes from Homo sapiens, assembly GCF_000001405.40. Taxonomy (NCBI): domain Eukaryota; kingdom Metazoa; phylum Chordata; class Mammalia; order Primates; family Hominidae; genus Homo; species Homo sapiens. The sequence goes on from NC_000023.11 coordinate 127,418,630, forward strand.
TAATGTTTTTGTTTGCTTTGTTGAAAATCAGTTGGCTGTAAGTACTTGGTTTTATTTCTGGGTTATCTATTCTATTCCATTGGTCTATGTGCCTATTTTGATACCAATACCATGCTGTTTTTGTGACTATGGCCATATAGTATAGTTTGAAGATGGGTAATGTGATGCCTCCAGATTTGTTCCTTTTCCTTATTAGCCTTGCTTTGGCTATGTGGGCTCTTTTTTTATTCCATGTGAATTTTAGGACTGATTTTTCTAGTTCTGTGATAAGTGATGGTGGTAGTTTGATGAGGTTTGCATTGAATTTGTAGATTGCTTTCGGCAGCATGGTCATTTTCACGATATTGATTCTATCCATCCATGAGCATGGGATGTGTTTCCATTTGTTAGTGTCATCTATGATTTCTTTCCGCAGTGTTCTGTAGTTTCCCTTGTAGAGGTCTTTCACACCCTTTGCCACGTATATTTTAAAATATTTTATTATTCTTTTGCAGCTATTGTGAAAGGGGTTGAGTTTTTTATTTGAGTCTCAGCTTGGTAGCTGTTAGTGTATAGCAGAGCTACTGATTTGTGTACATTAATTTTGTATCTGAAAATTTTACTGAACTCATTTACCGGTTCTAGGAGTGTTTTGAATGAATCTTTAGGGCTTTCTTGATATATGATCATATCATCAGCAAACAGTGACAGTTTGACTTGCTCATTACCGATTTGGATGCCCTTTATCTCTTTCTCTTGTCTGATTGCTCTGGCTAGGACTTCCAGCACTATATTGAATAGAAGTGGTGAAAGTGGGCATAGTTTTCTTGTTTCCGTTCTCAGGGGGAATTATTTCAGCTATTCCCCATTCAGTATAATGTTGGCTATGGGTTTGTCGCAGATGGCTTTTATTACCTTAACATGTGTCCCTTCTATGCCTATTTTGCTGAGGGTTTTGATCATAAAGCGTTGCTGAATTTTGTCGAATTCTTTTTCTCTGTCTACTAAGATGATCATGTGATTTTTGTTTTTAATTCTGTTTATGTGGCATATTACATTTATTGGCTTACATATGTTAAACCATCCCCGCATCCCTGGTATGAAACTCACTTGATCATGGTGGATTATCTTTTTGATGTTGGATTTGGTTCACTACTATTTTATTGAGGATTTTTGCATCTATGTTCATCAGGCATATTGGTCTGTAGTTTACTTGTTATGGGCCTTCCCGGTTTTAGTATTAGGGTGATACTAACTTCATAGAATAATTTGGGGAAGATTCCCTCTTTCTCTATCTTTTGGAGTAGTGTTAATAGAATTGGTACCAATTCTTTGAATGTCTGATAGAATTCAGCTGTGAATCCATCTGGTCCTTAATTTTTTTTGTTGGCATGTTTTTTAATTATCATTTCAATCTCGCTTCTTGTTATTTGTGTGTTCAGAGATTCTGTATCTTCCTGGTTTAATCCAGGAGGGTTGTATATTTTCAGGAATTTATTCATCTCCTTTAGGTTTTCTAGTTTATGTGCATAAAGGTGTTCATACTAGCCTCGAACCATCCTTTGTATTTCTGTGGTATCGGTTGTGATATCTCCCGTTTCGTTTCTATTTGAGCTTATTTGGATCTTCTCTCTTCTCTTGGTTAATCTTGTTAATGGTCTATCAATTTTATTTATCTTTTCAAAGAATCAGTTTTTTGTTTCAGTTATCTTTTGCATTATTTTTGTTGCTGTTGTTTCAATTTCATGTAGTTCCACTCTAATCTTCATTATTTTTTTACTTCTGCTGTGTTTGGGTTTGGAATGTTCTTGTTTCTCCAGTTCCGTGAGGTGTGACCATAGATTGTCTATTTGTGGTCTTTCAGACTTTTTGATGTAGGACATTTAATGCTATGAGCTTTCCTCTTAGCACCACTTTTTCTGTACCCCAGAGGTTTTGATAGGTTTTGTCACTATTATCATTCAGTTCAAATAATTTTTTTAAATTTCCATCTTGATTTTATTCTTGACCTAATGATTGTTCGGGAGCAGGTTATTTAATTTCCATGTATTTGCATGGTTTTGAGGGTTCCTTTTGAAGTTGATTTCCAATTTTATTCCACTGTAGTCTGAGGGAGTACTTCAAATAGTTTTGCTTTTCTTAAATTTACTGAGATTTGTTTTGTGGCCCATCTATAGTCTGTCTTAGAGAATGTTCCATGTGCTGATGAATAGAATGTATATTCTGCAGTTGTTCATAGAGCAGTCTGTAAATATCTGTTAAGTCCATTTGTTTTAGGGTATAATTTAAGTGTTTCTTTGTTGACTGTCTGTTTTGATGTCTTGTCTAGTTTTAGGGTATGGTTTAAATGTTTATTTGCTGACTTTCTGTTTTAATGACCTGTCAGTGGAGTGTTAAAGTCCCTCACTACTGTTCTGTTTCATCTATCACCTTTTTCAGGTCTAGAAGTAATTGTTTTATAAATTTGGGAGCTCCAGAGTTAGGTGCATATATATTTAGGATTGTGATATTTTCCTGTTGGACTATTCCTTTTATCATTATATAATGTCCCTGTTTGTTTTTTTAATTGCTGTTGCTTTAAAGTTTTGTGTGTCTACTATAAGAATAGCTACTCCTGCTTGATTTTGGTGTCCAATTTGCATGGAATATCTTTTTCCACCCCTTTACCTTAAGCTTATGTGACTCCTTATGTGTTGAGTCTCTGGAGGACATCAGGAACTTGGTTGGTCAATTCTTTTCTATTCTTCCATTCTTTATCTTTTAAGTGGCACATTTAGGCCATTTACATTTAATGTTAGTATTGAGATGTGAGGTACTATTCTATTCACTGTGCTATTTTTTGCCTGAATACCTCCTTTTTTCCATTGTGTTATTCTTATATAGGCCCTGTGAGATTTACTCTTTAAAGAGGTTCTAATTTGGGGTATTTTGAGGATTTGTTTCAAGATACAAAATTTTTTGTTGATCATTGTTTTGTTTAAGGAGGTTAAAAATAGGACTCTAATTCTTTCTAGCTTCTAGGGTTTCTGCTGAGAAATCTGCTGTTAATCTGATAGATTTTCCTGTATAGGTGACCTGATGCTTTTGCCTCACAACTCTTCAGATTTCTTTTTTTGTCTTGACTTTAAGTAACTTGATGACTGTGTGCCTAAGTGATAATTTTTTTCTGCAATGAATTTTTCAGGTGTTATTTGAGTTTTTTGTATTTGGATGTCTAGATATCCAGCAAGGATGGGGAAGTTTTCACCAATTATTCCCTCAAATATGTTTTCCAAACTTTGAGATTTTTCTTATTTCTTGGGAACATCAATTATTCTTAGGTTTGGAGGTTTAACATAGTCCCAAACTTCTTGGAGGGTTTGCTCATTTTTACAAAATTATTTTGTCTTCATCTTTGATAGATTGGGTTAATTCAAAAGCCTTGTCTTCAAGCTCTGAATTTCTTTCTCTGCTTGTTCAATTCTATTACTGAGACTTTCCACTGCATTTTGCATTTCTCTAAGTGTGTCTCTGATTTCCAGAAGCTGCGATTGTTTTTTATCTATCCTTTGTATTTCACTGAAGAATTTTCCTTTTATAGCCTGTATCATGTTTTTGATTTATTTAAGTTGGACCTCACATTTCTCTGGTGCCTTCTTGATTAGCTTAATAATTGACCATCTGAATTATTTTTCTGACAATTCATACATTTCATCTTGGTTTGGATCCATTGCAGGTGAGCTTGTATAATCTTTTGGGAGTTTTTAAAAACGTCATTTTGTCAAATTACCAGAATTGTTTCTTTGGTTTCTTCTTATTTGGGTAGACTATGTCAGAGGGAAGATCTGGGGTTCAACGGCTGTTGTTCAGATTACTTATGAAATCAAGCTCCCTTGATGTGGTGTTCTTCCCCTTCCCCTAGGAATGGAGCTTCCTGAGAGTCGAACTGCAGTGATTGTTTTTGCTCTTCTGGATCTAGCCACCCAGTGGAGCTACCGAGCTCTGGGCTGGTACTGGGGACTGTCTGCAAAGAGTCCTGTGATGTAAAGCATCTTCAGATCTTGCAGCCATGAATAGCAGCAACTGCTCTCGTGGAGGTAGCAGGGGAGTGTGGTGGACTCTGTGAGGGTCTTTGGTTGTGTTTTTGTTGGTTTTGTACTGGTTGGCCTCCAGCCAGGAGTTGGTACTTTCAAGAGTGCATCAGCTGAGGTCTTACAGGGAAGATGCAAACTTGTTCTAGGCACATATGGTTACGTATTCAGGTTTTTCAGATGGTGGGCAGGGCCATAGAGCTCCCAAGAGATTATGACCTTTGTCTTTGGCTACTAGGGCAGGTAGAGAAAAACCACCAGATTGGGGAAGGATAGGCATGTCTGAGCTCAGCCTCTCCTCTGGCGGGGCTTGCTGTGGCTGCTGTGGGGGATGGAGTGTGGTTGTAAGTTCATGGAGTTATATTCCCAAAGGGATTATGGCTGCCTCTGCTGAGTCATACAGGTTGCCAAGGAAGTGGGGGAAAGCTGTCAGTCCCAGGCCTCACCCTGATCCCATGCAGCCTACATGTCCTAAAGGCCAGTCTACTCCCACCATGTCGCCCCATCCCAAATAGCACTGAGTGTATTTCCAGGGGTGTGAACTTGCCCCAGACCACAAGCCTTCCCATTGAGAAAGCAAGCCGGCTCTTTTTCTGCATCTCAGGGAGCCTGTAGGGTTGATCCAGTTCCTTCAAAGGGTCTGAGGTTTCACTCAGCAGATATTTCTCATAATTCTATTATTCCAAAGGAAATTGACTAGTAAAGGCAAATGTTACCCCTACTCTATTATAATATGATACTTACTCTTTATATACTGAAGAAAGAATTGGTGTTGATAACTGACTTTCTTAAGAAAATATCAGAGTATATAATCCATGTTAATAAAGCTTATATTACAGAAGTGAGCATCCTTGTTAGGAGAATTAAATACAGACCAGACATATGTTAGAACCTGCATGTATCTTGATCAATCCACAATCAAATTGGCTGGGAAAACTAATTAAGAACCTAAAAGCAATAAGGTCTATAAAATAAAAAATTAAAGTACTTAATGGACATTTAGAACATTTTATATTAAAATACTCTGAAAGTTAATTACTTTTATTCTTTTATTTTTTACAGTCAAGTATGCAGCCAAGAGAGTGAGCTGACTTATTTAAGTTTGCATACCTATTTTTCCAACAGAATTGGGACTAGAACATTAATTTCTTAGACAGTGATTTTTTTATCACAAAAACTCACCATGTCAATTGGATTTTAAAATAGTATTGAAATAAGAGTCTTACTTTAAAATATCTTTTAAAAATCTTTCAATTAATTTAAGACTCAAGATAAGTGCCTTCTTATTTTCCTCCCCTCTGTCCTCCTCCTCCTCAGAAGAATAACTTGTTTTGTAACTGACTGGCCTTGAATTCAGTAAACCGTTGCATAAATATTTTAAGTATATTTCTAAGTATCCAGAATTAAATGAATGTATAACTGCCCTATAATAATTCAAATACAATATATTAAAATTAAAACATTGCTATAAACCATCAACTACAGCTCTCTCTATTTATATAACACATTTACAATGTTATTATGTTTACCTCCTTGAAAATCTACCTCTCCTCTCCTTGTAAAATTTTAGTGTGTGATTTGTTAACACCTCTCACTTATAGTGTAACCTCTTTGTGGATACAGTGTTAATTGCATTTTTTTGGATTAACTTTGCATTTAGCTTAATTGGTTCTGCTTTAATATGAAGTGACACAGTTTGGATTCTGCTAACAATTTAAAGCTTTTCCAAAGGTTTAAAAGGTAGACATAAAAAAAATGCTCTTATCCAAACTTGGCATTCGATGACTTGGTATTATATTTAAAATCTTGGCTGTATATAACAAGATTGAAAAGTCACTTCATAACTCCCAAAATGTGAGAGTATAATGTGAAATAACAGAGTTAAAAAATAATTTTCTCTCTCTCTCTCTCTCCCTTTCGCTCTCTCTATTAACAAAAGCATAACATAGAAATCAAGTATAGAAAAAGTTCATTTATTTCTTATTTCCTTTGCTTTATATGTTCAATGTGCCATTTCATAATCTATGATATCAGATTAGCCTGCATGTAGATATAGATTATCTATCTTCTAAGCCTGTATGAAGATATGAATTAATATTGTGCAGTGTTTTAACAATTTTGCAACCTCAAATCATCTTTCTGAAATCCCATTTCATTATCTTTTTCTCAGTGGCAATTGAGACCGTGCTACTTGACTTTCTCAACTCCCATTTCTGCTCCTTCACCTTTATAGTACACAATAGTGAATTTGGATGATGTAAGAGTCCACTTTCTAAACTGGTAAGAAATCTGCTCAAAAATACATTTTATATTTTCAACAATCTTATGGATAATAAGTCTGAACTGTGTAGAATTCTTCAAACAGAAGTAAGGGGAGTCACAAAAAGTTTCTATTTGAAAAAAAACTTGTCAAGCATTAGTATTATTTTTAAAGCATAAATAAATATGGAAATAATACCGGAAAAGAGTCACCCAAGCTTTTCATCAGTTCTCTGACATTGAGAATCTTAAGGAAAAGAAGAGATAATCAGTTGTCCAGTATGATATCTACATTTGTCAACTTCAAGTGATGAAATTTGGTGAGATAGTTTCTTAATATTCTTCCCATCTTTTGTAGTCTAAAAAACAATATGTCTGTGAGTCGGTGCAGAGTGACATGGCATGACAACATGAGTAATAGCCTGGATTCTTTGGGAACATCATCCCTCTGTATTCAAAATTACTTTATACATACGTAGAGATTGGATAATGTTCTCTTCCAGGCTGCTGGATCAATTTCATAATTACCTGAGAAAATAAAATGACAGTTGCTTCATCAAGCAACAGACATTTTATGAATTCTACTTTTATTAGTCCTTTCATTCATTTATTCATCTATTCAAAATTTACTGTGTTCCTATGATATCTATAGCATAATATAATAATTGTTTCAGGGATATAAAATAGGTAATACAATTCCATTTTTAGATACAATAGAAAGCTAATTGGACTTCTCTCTTCCTTTTCCAACCCCCAGCACATGAAAGATATGGGCACTGATGGTTCTCAGAATGCCAGCCAGTAATAAACGCACAAATATTGAAGAATCCTTGGAAAGTCCCAGAAAGAAGGGTAAGAATCCCTGTTTACAAGGAATAATAAACTGGAGCAGGAAAGGGACAGGAGCCACAGTAAAGACAGGTTGACAGGAACTTCCCAATACATACATTTATTAAAAAGTATAATTTGTGCAATGATTTTGGGTCAGGTGCTCTTCTAAATACTGAGGACATAGCAATGAACAAAACAAGAATCCTTGCCCCAATGGAGTTTATATTCTTGTATAAGGAGTCAAACAATATTCTAAGTAAGTGAAATATAATTATGTCAGTTGATGATAAGTAATATAGAAAAAAGAAAGTAGGGAAGGGGACAGGGAATTGCAGAGAATGCATGAAAATTTCAATAAAGTGGTCAGGGATGAACTTAGGGTGGAGGCGATACTTGAATACAGACAAAGAGGTGAAGGGAAGTACCATAAATAGTTTTGAGAGAAGAGCATTCCAGTCTAAACAAATATATTAAGGTGGCAGTTAGTCTAGCATGCATTCAAGATATAGTAAGGTGGCCTATGTGACTGCTATAGAGTGAGGGAGCATAAGACTAATAGTACAAGATATCAGAAAGAAAATGATGGTGGGACAGATTACGTATAGCCTTGTAGGCCATTATGAAGACTTTGGCCTTTACTCTGAGTGATACTGGGCGTCACTGGAGGACTGTGATGAGAGAGTAAAATTGCAAGACAATTTTAAACAGGGTTACTTTAGCTGCTATGTAAAATACAGACTGAAGAAAATAAAGTAGAAAGCTGGGAAAATGTAAGGAAGCTATTGGAATAATTTAGGTGACCAATACTAGTTCTGTGGCCCAGAACAGAGCTTCTCAACCTTGGAATTATTGACATTTGAAGCAGGTAATTCTGTGTTGTATATGTCTTGAGGTGATCAAGTGCTCTGTGCATTGTAGGATATTTAGCAGAACTTCTGACCCCCCACCCACCAGAGGCCAGTAGCAACCCTGCCCCTAGTTGTGGCAACTGAAAATGTCTCCCAACATTGCCAAATGTCCTCTGGGGCGAAAAATCACCTTCAGTAGTCAGAACTGCTGGCCCAGGACAATAGCAGCATAGGCAGTAGTAACTTACTACATTATAAATTATTTTAAAGGCACAGGCAACATGATTTGCTGACAGATTTTATATGAAGCAAAATACAAAGAGGTAAATCAAAATGTATAAGAATTTTTTTTCTTAATAACTGAGGGAACAGAGATTGTCATAAACTGAAATGGGGAAGCCTGCAAAGAGCAGGTTTGGGAGAATAACAAGGGTGAAGCTGTAGTTATGGTAATTTTGAAATGCCTATTAGACATCAAGTAAAAATAGTGCTCCTTTCTTTCGTTCATGTTAACTACATATCTCTCTTCACCCAGAAGCTTATGTATTTTGTGTGACATGTTTACAAGAAGATATAACACAGTCTATGTGATCTGAGCAAAATGAAGTAAAGGAAAAACCAATAACAGAAAAATAGCCTCCCAGACCACAAAAATCTCAATATAAAAATATATATACCATTAGACAACTCCATAGCTTATAAGGAAATTTTCATGTAAATTACTCAATATGGCTAACTGACCAAGTATTGCATGTTCAAATTTGTGGTATTCAGCTAAAACAGTACTTCAGAGGGAATTTAGAGCTTTGAATACACATACAAGAAAAATGAAAAAGATTGGAAATAAATGAGCTATGTATTCAATTCAAGAAGCTAGAAAAAGAGCAACAGAGTAAACTCAAAGAAATAAGAAATAATAATAGAGGACAATGATATATTCAAAATGATTGACCAAAAAAAACTGATTATTTTAACACAATGGTAAAAAGGATAGGTAGCAAGATTAATGAGGAAGAACAAAAGCAGAGAGAACAAATACAGATTTAAATACGGGTAGTGACTAGGCTCAAAGTAGAGATATCAATGTAAAATAATATTGTAACCAACATTATGCAAATATTTAAAAAAAATAAATGAAGGTAATATATTTCTGGAAAAATGTCAAGTGCCAAATAAATACACAGTGAAACAGCAAAGTAGAAATATACAAAAATAATTACATAAATTAAAATAATAAAAAATCTCCCACTACTCCACATATCATTGCCAATAATTCCCAAACCAGAACATTTTATACTTGGATTCTATGAAAGATTCAATAATCACAAAACACTGACTCTCATCTTGTACAAGTAGCTCCAAAACAATAGAACAATAACTTTATAAGTTTCTCAAACATATTTAACAGCTTTATTGAGATATATTTAGCATAATATTAAATGTTGGCAATGATTTGTGGTAAATCTTGTATTTCTAGTGAAAATGCAAACTGATATTCATTCTGTAAAACATACTTAAAATACATTTAAGTATGTGTAGATCCCGAGAACTATAGTCTTCTTACTGTGCTTCTATGTTGGAGAAAATTGTCACACAGTTCAAAAAATAAGTGAGCTGTCTTTTTCTATAAGTTACTTAATATAGTAGCTGTTTCTGTTGTTAAGTAAAAATTGACTGTCACTATCACGTTGAGTGCCTTTTTTTCAGAAAAAAATGTACATATATTCAGATATAACCTCTGGGCATTATGATTTAGTAGGTCTGGAGTAGGGTCCAGGTATGGGTATTTTTAATCAAGCTTAACAGGTGATTCTGACACTGCATTCCTGGTTAAGATCTAGGGATATGATGTAATTAGCATAGTGAATCTGCATACTTCCAGGAGTTCCAGTGTAATACTTCCAGGATTTTCATTAAAGGATTTCCATAGTCCACCATGAAGAAGTTGGGGAGCTTGACATATGTTAAAGAACAAAGAGCCCAAGAGATCATACAAAGTAGCTATTTTCCAGTTTCCCCTCAATCATTAGATGGTCCATTTATCAAAGTCAGAGAATCCAGGAAATTCATCATATAAATCTTGGAATAACACATTTTGAAACAAAGTGAGCATGTATGGATACTTTGGGAGAGCTTATGCCAAACATACTGAAGCCTCTCTCTCTGAAGTTTTCTCCCAGGATTAAAAAAAAATAGTATTCCATAATCCACTAGTTATATTACCTTTATCTGAAAAGTGTACAAGACTTTTATTTTTCCCACTAGTATCAAAAATTCCATGTCAAAAAACATTATCAAAACTGCTGAATATTTTCCTATAGGTTAATATCAGAATATAGCCTCTGCCTATTAGAGCTCACTGGATGTTGGCTGAGAGTGCAGAAAAAATGTGAGGCCCTCTACAGTTAACATTATTCCCCACTCCAACTCCAAAATAACCAAGAAATCATTATCTCAGGTTGATTTCTAGAACTTGTTTGCTTGCTGGTTATGATTTGAGCCACATGTTCCTTACCTTTAACCATTCCCTCCTTTCAAGCCAAATGTTATCAAGCAACAGATAATATTTTTGTCTTCTTGCTAATGCGTGAAATTCCTCACCCATGGATAAATCTTACTTTCCAAATTGAGAGAGTTAAAGTATAACAAGCTAGTCAATCCAAAGCTTAACAGACTTATTATGATCATTCCATTTTGCAAATAGAGAAAAGGGTAAAGAAAGGGCATAAAGAAGGAGATGAGAGCAGAGGGTAGAACGGTGAGAGATAAAGAAGGGCAGAGAGAAGAGTATAGATTTATTACTGACTTCAAGTATAGGTAAAAGGATTCTTCTAAGTGTCCCTTGGACAATGACAATCATGTAGCAATATAATTCTCAGCTTGACAGCTGTAAATACAAGCAACTCTGCCTCACAGGGCTTAATACCTATTTGTTTAAACCTAGCAGGTTACATAGAAAGTGTGTTTGGAGAATTTTTCTTGAATTATTTTAAAATTTTAATTTCATTACAAAGAGTACTTCTTATGTGGTACCCTTTAAAGTGCTGTCAGAGCAATCTGTTTAAGCAAAATACTTTTCTCTATGGCGATGCTGGGTAACAGAAGAGCTTCTCTACTACCCAAATTTTTCCTGTGGGCTTTGTGATGAAGCAAAGTAAACTTACAAAATAAAAGTGACAAATATCGAGTAGAATCTGTAGCTAAAAATGAAAACTCTTTCAGTCAATTGTTACTGTGTTTAGAGGATTTCTACCCCATACACTTAGTTGCAGCCTGAGGAGATGAGAGAAAATAACATTTGACACCGTAAGAAGAAAGCTGCCTGACAGATTATTTTTATTTTAAAGCTGGAAAATTGATAAGAGGAACTGAACAATGGTAGAAAATTGAATAGGCTACAGTGATAACATTCTGATGGTATCCTGTCCTTTGAGCAAGCAAACGTTGTAACTTAATGCCCTCCACATTTCCCTGGCCACTTTATTTAAGAAAAGTGGGAGAATAGGAATTACCTTTTAGCAACAGTAGAGGAATGGTGTGGTTATAAGCAGAAGGCTAATTACAGAGAAAAAGTGTAGATAGTGGAATGCAGTGAGGACTTGGATTCAACAGAACTGAGTTTGAATCCTGGCGTTAGTATTTTTTAGAACTATGACCTTAAGCAAATTAATTTGTGTTCTTACTTTCTCATCTTTAAAATTGGAATGTTAACACCAGATTTGCAAAGTTGTTGTGAGGTTTAGAAATAATACATGTAAAATATCTTGTACTATACATCAGCTCAGTAAATGATAATGATTATTGTTACCTTTCCCAGAACCAAGGAGTATTAACTGAGGAAGATTTCAAAAGTAAACGCATATTGTAGTGCTTTTGCCACTGCTTTGGTAGTAAATATTCTCAAAAAGAAAGAGTGTTGCCAACCAATTTTTCTACTTGTTTATACAATTAAATTGCCTGTTTTAAAAAGTTCAGCTTTCACTACTCTAGGAAGAAAATTGGGTTTTAAGTAAGAAATAACCATACAACTGAAGACTGTCACAGGGCAATGTGTGAGAGCACCGCTGGTAAACTAATGTGGAATAATAAAAAAAAAAATGGAAACGCTGTGACTACATTTTATTTTGCTTGCTTGTTGAGGCATTTTTTCCCTATAGCTGTGTTCCAGGTAAAAAACTGTAAATGTACATGAAAACTGCATTGCAGTTTCTTAACAAGCATCTCCTACAAAGCAATCAGTGATCTCTGGCCAAAAATAACATAAAATAAACTTACAAAATTTCTCCAAGGCAAAGAAATACTGCATGTAAATTTAATTTGAAGTAGAATAAGCCAGATCATTTTATAAACTTTGGGGTGTTGTAATTACAACTGCTATTACCTTGGATTAATAATAGGCAAAATAAGATTTTTATCTAGTAACAGTTATTACAAACTTGGATGTTTAACTTATGTCGTTAAAGTAATTAAAAAACTTATTTAGTTCAGATATAAAGACGACTAAAGATAACTCCAAAATTATTAAAAAAACAAATTCTTGATACTTTACAACATTCATCTTACTTACTTTTAAAGGCCAATAAAGAATGAAAGATGAAGAAATACAATAAAATAGTGGTTAATAGAGTATTCTCCTCAAACGATTTTTTAAAATATAATTTTACTTTATTTTATTTTAAGTTCTGGAATACATATGCATGATGTACAGGTTTGTTATACAGGTAAATGTGTGCCATGTTGGCTTGCTGCACCTATCAACCCATCACCTAGGTATTAAGCCTAGCATGCATTACCTATTTTTCATGATGCTCTCCCTCCCCCCACCACCTCCCAACAGGCCCCAGCGTGTGTTGCTCCCCTCACTGTGTCCATGTTCTCTCATCGTTCAGATCCCACTTATAAGTGAGAACATGTAGTGTTTGCCTTTTTGTTCCTGCATTTGTTTGTTGAGAATAACGGCTTCTAGCTCCATCCATGTCCCTGCAAAGGACATGATCTTGTTCCTTTTTATGGCTGCCTAGTATCTCATGGTGTATATGTACCACATTTTTTAAATCTAGTCTGTCATTGATGGGCATTTCGGTTGATATCACGTTTTTGCTATTGTGAATAGTGTTGCAATGAACATACACATTCAAGTATCTTTAAAATAGAATTATTTATGTTCCTTTTGGTATACACTCAGTAATTGGATTGCTGGGTCAAATTGTATTTCTGGCACTAGATCTTTTAGGAATCCCCACACTGTCTTGCAAATTGTTGAACTAATTTACACTCCCACCAACAGTGTAAAAGTGTTCCTATTTCTCCACAGCTTTGCCAGCATCTGTTTCTGAACTTTTTAATAATTGCCATTCTGACGAACATGAGATGATATCTCATTGTGGTTTTTATTTGCATTTCTCTAATTGAGGTTTCAAAAATATATTTCTTGGCTGCATATATGTCTTATTTTGAGAAGCATCTGTTCATGTCCTTTGTCCACTTTTTAATGGGGTTGTTTTTCTTCTTGTAAATTTGTTTAAGTACCTTGTAGACTCTGGATATTAGGCCTTTGTCACATGGAAAAACTGCAAAAATTTTCTCCCATTCTGCAGGTTGTCTGTTCACTCTGATGATAGTTTCTTTTGCTGTGCAGAAGCTCTTTAGTTTAATGAGATTGCATTTGTCAATTTTTGCTTTCGTTGCAATGGCTTTTGACGTTTTTGTCATGAAATCTTTGTCCATGCCTATGTCCTGAATGGTATTGTCTAGATTTTCTTCTAGGGTTTTTATGGGGTTTTAAGTTTTTAATCCATCTTGAGTTATTTTTGTATAAGGTACAAGGAAGAGCTCCAGTTTCAATTTCCTGCCTATGACTAGCCAGTTCTCCCAGCACAATTTATTAAATAGGCTATCCTTTCCCCACTGATTGTTTTTGTCAGGTTTGTCGAAGATCAGATGGTTGTAGACATGCAGTCTAATTTTTGAGATCTCTATTCTGTTCCATTGATTTATGTGTCTGTTTTCATACCAGTACCATGCTGTTTTCATTACAGTATAGCCTTGTAGTCTAGTTTGAAGTTTGGTAGCATGATGCCTCCAGCTTTGTTCATTTTGCTTAGGATTGTCTCATCTATACAGGCTTTTTTTTGTTCCATATGAATTTCAAACTAGTTTTTTTTTCTAATTCTGTTAAGAATGTCAATGTTAGTTTAATGAGAATAGCATTGGATCTATAAATTACTTTGGGCAGTATGGCCATTTTCATGATATTGACTCTTCCTATCCATAAACATGGAATGTTTTTCCATTTGGTTTTGTCCTCTCTGACTTCCTTGAGCAGTGGTCATAGTTCTCCTTGAAGAGTTCCTTCACTTTCCTTGTTAGCTGTATTCCTAGGTATTTTATTCTCTTTATAGCAATAGTGAATGGAAGTTCATTCATGATTTGGCTCTCTGCTTGCCTGTTGTTGCTGTATAGGAATGCTCGCGATTTTTGCACATTAATTTTGTATCCTGAGAATTTGCTGAAGTTGCTTATCAACTTTAGAAGCTTTTCAGCTGGGATGTTCTAGATACAGGATCATGTCATCTTGCAAAAAGAGACAGTTTGACTTTTTCTCTTCCTATTTGAATACCCTTTATTTCCTTCTCTTGCCTGAGTACCCTAACCAGAACTTCCAATACTATGTTGGATAGGAGTGATAAGAGAGGACACCCTTATCTTGTGCCAGTTTTCAAGGAAAATGCTTCCAGCTTTTGCCCTTTCAGTATGATATTGGCTGTGGGTTTGTCATAAATGTCTCTTATTATTTTGAGGTATGATCCATCAATACCTAGTTTATTGAGAATTTTTAAATGAAGGGATGTGGAATTTTATTTAAGGACTTTTCTGCATCTATTGAGATAATCATGTAGTTTTTGTCTTAAGTTCTGTTTATGTGATAAATTATGTTTATTAATTCCCATATGTTGATCCAGCCTTGTATCCTGAGGATGAAGCCAATTTGATCATGGTGGATAAGCTTTTTGATATGCTGCAGGATTCAGTTTACCAGTATTTTATTGAGGATTTTTGCATTAATGTTCATCAGGAATATTGGCCAGAAAGTTTTCTTTTTTTGTTGTATCTCTGCCAGGTTTTGGTATCAGGATGACGCTGATCTCATAACTGAGTACGGAGGAGTCCCTCCTTTTCAATTGTTTGAAATAGTTTCAGAAGAAATGGTACCAGCTCCTCTTTGTACCTCTGATAGAATACAGCTGTAATTCTGTCTGGTCCTGGGCTTCTTTTTGGTCGGTAGGCTATTTATTACTGCCTCAATCTCAGAACATGTTATTGTTCTGTTCAGGGACTCAACTTCTTCCTGGTTCAGTCTTTGAAGGGTGTATGTTTCCATGAATTTATCCATTTGTTCCAGATTTTCTTGTTTATTTACATAGAAGTGCTTGTGGTATTTTCTGATAGTTGTTTGTATTTCTGTGGGGTTAGTGTTGATCCTTTATGATTTTTTATTGTGTCTATTTGATTCTTCTCTTTTTTTCTCTTCATTAGTGTAGCTAGTGGTCTATTTTATTAACTTTTTCCCAGAAATTTTTCATGTCTCTTTCTTCTTCAGTTTCGCTCTGATCTTGTTTACTTCTTGTCTTCTGCTAGTTTTGAGGCTTGTTTGCTCTTAGTTCTCTAGTTCTTTTAGTTGTGATGATAGGATGTCGATTTGAGATCTTTCCAGCTTTTTGATGGGGACATTTAGCGATAATTTTCCCCTTAACACTGCTTTAGCTGCATCCCAGAGATTCTGGTACATAGACTCCTTTTCCTCATTGGTTTCAAAGAACTTCTTGATTTCTGCCTTTATTTCATTACTTACCCAGGAGTCGTTAAGGAGCACATTGTTCAATTGTCATGTAGTTATGTGGAACTACATATGTGGAGTAAGTTTCTGAATCTTGAGCTCCAATCCATTCTGATTGTGCCGTGGTCTGATTGACTGTTATGATTTCAGTTCTTTTGCATTTGTTGAGGCATGTTTTACTTCCAACCATGTGATTCAATTTTAGAGTAAGTGTCATGTGGCTCCGAGAAAAATACATACTCTGTTGTTTTGAGGTAGATAGTTCTGTAGACATCTATCAGGTCCACTTGATCCAGTGCTAAGTTCAAGTCCTGAATATCTTTGTTAACTTTCTGTCTCTATGATCTGTCTAACATAGACAGTGGGCTGCTAAAGTCTCCCACTATTATTGTGTGGGAGTGTAAATCTCTTTGTAGGTCTCCAGGAATTTGTTTTATGAATATGGGTGTTCCTGTATTGTGTGCATATATATTTAGGATAGTTAACTCTTCTTGTTGAAGTGAGCCCTTTATCATTATGTGATGCCTTTGTTTGTATGTTTTGATATTTGTTGGTTTAAAGTCCTTTCTGTCAGAAACTAGGATTGCAACCTTTACTTTTTTCTGCTTTCTATTTGCTTGGTAAATTTCCCTCCACCCATTTATTGTGGGGTAGCACAATCACTCACTACCGTCCTTGGCTGGAGGTGGGAGCTCTCCTTACCCCATGTATCTCCTGGGTGTGTTGTAGCTCCACCCTGCTTTGTCTCACTCTCCTTGGATCATGCCAACCATCTAGTCAGTCCCAATAAGAGAATCTGGGTACCTCAGTAACTGGCACATAATTCACTCACCATTTCATTCTTCTTGGTAGGAACCTCTGACCACAGCTGTTTCTAGTTGGCCATCTTGGCCCCTCCTCCCAAACTATTTTTTAAAATGAACAATTCGTTATATTATGTTAAAATTCAAGGAAATTATTCTAGATAAAATTTAAAATCCAGGAGAAATTGATAAGCACAGAATAAAAATTTAGCAAGGTCTCGCACTGTAGGTTTGATGCTATCTCTATAATATTCAGACACAAATTATGTTTCTGTCACTGGATGAGATAAGAACTGAGAAGATTTTATCTGATGGTTTGAGTTGAAATTCCTCAGATGAGATTAGGGAATTTTTAGGGCTCAACCTCAAAATCTTTGCCCTTGGATGTGAAACAGGTTCCTTGGGTGATTCTTATGAAAGAAAACTTTTGAGAACCACAGGATTAGAACGTTTTAGAGATGTCATATAAATCTTTCAGATGCTGCTTCATATTACTGCTGCAACAAATTGTGAAGGGACATCAGTACTCATTAACATATTAATTATTTTTCTCCACTCTTCTCAATAGTTTTATGTAAATTTCAAGTTCACAGTCTATGAACGTATTCTCCTAACAGTATTACCAGTTTATGTGGAGAAACATGACCTGTTATATCAGATTTGCTCTTATGGGATTGGTTCTTTTCCATGCTCTGCATTTAGAGATAAACAATGCAGAAAATATCACAGTAAAGATGAGACTCTAAGAAAGCTAAGTAAATAGAATTTGTAAGTGCACTGAAGATTGAGTCTTCTCATCTGTATACATGACTCTGGTCAGTCCAAGGACATTAGATATATGTTACAGAGCTGTGGGATCAAAACAAATACTGATAGGCTACAGTTATTAATATCTTGCTATATTTGGTTATTACTGGTTCTGGAATTAGATAGTACCAAACTTACAAGTAATTGGTTTTTATTGCCAGCATCATGGTTGATCAGAGTGTTGTAACATATTTATTGATATAAACGTATTTCACTGAATCTTGATTCATTATCTCTGTCTAATAAATAAGCCATTACTTTTGCAATAATTAAACACTTTCAGATTTTCTATTCTAAGTTCTCCAATGGACAACAAAGTTTTACTTTCATTTGCTTCAGTAAAAACAGGAGTTAGTTGAGGCTTTTCCATGTGTAAAAGAGTATTTCTTTTTACAAAGCACTGTTAAACAGAAAGAGGAAGGTATCTAATTTGAGGATTTCAGATGGCCTGAAATAAACTCCTCTTGAAATGATAAAAATATTTGGTAAATAGAAATGTAATTTGGTGGAAAGTCTCCACAATTTCTAGTAAGATATAAATCTTATCCATAATAAGAATTAAATAAAACATAATAAAAATAAGTTAGCTGAAGAAGTTATAAATAAAAATGTCTTTGTGTGAAAACAGGAGACATATAGCAAATATCTACTTATTCCTTCAAATGAAAACTAGTCACTTCAAACTTAGTATTGCAAATTAGCATTTCATTTTGGATTAATAGCGAATTTTGAATGTTAGACAGATAATTGACTTTCACAATTGTGATAATAACAGTATTTACTATATACTGTACGCTATTAAATCTAGTATCTATTTGCTTAATCAACAGACATTTAATTATGCAAAGTAGGTTATAATTAGAAATGAGATTTATGATCCTACTTTACCTTAGTCTACTTCACAAAACTGCTATATAATTTTATAACATTGTAATTCTCTTTAGAAAAGTTACAGATTAAAGAACCACAATATGTTATTATTAAGAAAAGTTGAAAAGGATGAGTTTGTGTGACCAAATCATAGACAGATGGACACTTCTTTGATCTCAGTTGTTGATTTAAGAGATTCAGCATTATAATTCTATATATATATGCTAAATATTATATTTATATAATTAATTAGCTTTTCTTAAGTAATAAATTGTTTAATAAGTTCAGTATAAATTTTGTGTAAATTTAATCTCTTTATTTCAAGTATTTGGAAATTATTTCAATTATTATGAAATCAACTAGTACCTATCCTAAATATTAAGGCCTCCACAACAACCTGGGATAATCAGTTCCCACTAAGAATAGCAATGCTACAAATTTCATCAGACTTAATGTCATTTTTTAAATGAATTTCAATATCATCTATCTATTGTATTATTTCAAGAAAATGGGCTATTTATGAAATTATTTAATTACAAGCTGTGCAGTAAAGTATATCGTTAGTTCTTATTATACTTCTACAGTTTAGTCCTTAGTCTCATACTGATTGCATTCTTTGTTAGATTTCAGTTTTTCTATTTTTCCACAAAAAGGACAGACTATAAATTTCCATTATTTAAAAGTTAATTTCATGGTTATCATAAGATTCTTGCATTCTAATTTGCATGGATGTTCTAATTACATCACTTTCTTGAGCAACAGGATTACTTTTCTCTCATGGGTTTAAAATGCATAATTACTTATGTAAAGATTTGTTAATGGTTCATTGAAATGTATTTTAATATACAGATTTCAGCAGCATTGTCTCTTCAATTTATATGATAAAAGGGTGTGATAAAAACAATCTGACTTCAAAATAATACATTCTAGCAGCAATTAGTATGGATAAAGTAACCTACGTTGTAATATAATTAATTTAATCACAAAACAAAATTGGTAAATTCTAATTTGAAATAAAGTACCTGAAAAAGGTAAGTAGTTGGACTATTATCTTCAAATATCAATTCTAGATTTGCAAATACAACAATAAAATAATATTGAAAAGTAATGTAATTTTCCTTTTTCAGAAAGGCAAGCACCTACTAATCTTTCTAAGAGAGACAATAGGTCTTTTGTTTTTACCATCTTAACCATTTTTTCAGTTGTAGTTTTTTACAACTTATTTTTAGTTTTAATTATAAGTCTATTTTTGAGGTGATTCAAAAAGGAAGAAAATGACATTAAAGAGAGAAGAGCCACAATGCAATTAAAAACTAACATTATTTTACCAATGGCATAAAACAGGCAAAATAATGCAAGTTCTTAATTGCTCTGTGGCTCTTCTCTCTTTAATGCACAAGATTATTTTACTAACTTCTAATTCAACATTTATTCAATGCATAGTTCAGGCAAGATACAAGATAAATATTCATATAATAAAATCAATTTTGTCTCATCAAAATGAATATGGGCTGAGACAATTTCAGAAACTTTTGGCAAAAGCAAAGTATTATTGCCACAAAATAATAATTGATAATAATCATAACATTTACTGAGTGCTTATTCTGTGTCAGACATAGTATACTATTTTCCTTCCATTCATTAATCCTATGAATCATTACATTTATTCATTTAATTATCAAAACTACCTTATGAGGTTGCTATTACTATTTGTTGTACAGATGATATAATTTTGATGTTTGGAGAGAATGATTTACTTATTAAAGGTCACAAGGCTAGAGTAAGTGCTGTAAATGGGATTGAAAACATATTGCTATTCAATTCCAGAGCTGCAGCACTTAACTACCAAACCCTAATGTATTATTACATGAGATAGGGCAGGATCTTATTTGTATATATTCTTACTTTATCTAAAGGGCACTAAAATAATTGACTAGTTAGTTCCTGAAAAGTACACTGAAGCTTAATAGGTGTGGTTTTAGTATCACATGGACACAGGAAGGGAAACATCACACACTGGGGCCTGTTGTGGGGTGGCGGAACGGGGGAGGGATAGCATTAGGAGATATACCTAATGCTAAATGAGGAGTTAATGGGTGCAGCACACCAACATGGTACATGTATACATATGTAACAAACCTGCACATTGTGCACATGTACCCTAAAACTTAAAGTATAATAAAATAATAATAATAATGATAATAATAAACTACTAGGAAGTCCTTCAAAGTGAATGTATTGAAATTACACAAGCTCTGGGATTTTTATTTGAGCCACTCACTACTATACACATGCTACTTTAAAGGAGTTCATTTTAGTAACCTAGATGGGAAGAATCTCATTTTCATTTGTAGTATCAAAATATTTGACCCTAATTCAGAGTTACACATTCAACGAAGTCAATGGAGACTTATCAAGGTATCTTCCTTAAGTGTAAGAATTATTATATTGGTCTGAATATTAGAAATCTCTGTTCTGCAAATTCAATAATTGAATTAGACATTCAGGATATGTCTATATCTTCAAAAAAGACTAACTTGTAAATGCTATATGAAAAATTCTGATATCAAAATTAATTAATTTGAAATTCAGAGCACTTATATATCTACGCAAAGTATCAATAATGGATATAATAAAGGGCTAACTAGTTGTAACAACATACATGTGCATTTGTGTTTTTTTGTTGAGTACTCATTCATGCAGAAATTTGAGAAAATATAATATTGGGGGACTATTAAATTGGCCAGAATATTGATTGCCCCGTTTTACTAAAGAAAGCAATAAATCAACTTTATTGAAGTGATAATGGATTTTCTTGAACTTAGACAATTAAGAAATCTTTATTCTACATTGGTTTGATCATTAATTCAAGACTGAACTTGAAAAGCTGTTAAACATTTACTGTTAATAGATCAGTGTACAAGGTTGCTGCTTGTAGATGGCAATGTGCAGTAGAAAAAAATGTGGTGGGGTAATCTAGTTATCTATTGCTATGTAATAAATTAGCATAGACTTTAACAGATTTAAACAACGAATACTTTTCATTTTAAGTTTCCACATTATTCATAAATTCAGGAGTATCCTTGCTGAGTAGTTTTTGGCTTAGTTTCTTTCACAAGATTTCAAACTAGTTGTCAGCTAGGTATGCAGTCTGAAGGATTGGTTGGGATTCACTCAAATTGCTGGACTATTAATGCTGGTTATTTGCAAGTGGCCTCAATTCCTTCTCTTATGGGCATCCCCATGGGGCTACTGAGAGTCCTCACAATATGACAGTTGGTTTCCCCTGGAGCAAGTTATCCAAGAGAGAAAGCAGAAGTTGTGATGTGTCTTATAAATCAAATTCAGAAATCACAAATTGCAATTTCTGAAATATTGATTACACTGGTCAGTTATATTACATGTGATAGCACAATTCACAGGAATATGCATAACATGAGGTGAGTATCATTAGGGACAATCTTACGGACTGACTACCACAAAGCCGTGTAGTAACTGTAGGATCTTGAACAATTCGCTTAATATCTTTGGTGCACAAAATTCCTCATCTATAAAATATCAATGATCTATCACTGCGAAAAAAGTCATCCCAAAATTAGTGTCCTAAAATAATAGCAATTTATTATTTCTCGTAATTCTGTTGGTTGACAAGGTTGTACTTCTGCTCCACATGTTATCGGCTGAAATTACCCAAGAGGCTGAATTGATCTGGGAGTTGACTGGGGCTCCAATTTACCTGGCCTTTCCTTCTACATACTGTTTCATCTTCTAGAATCTCTCTATGTAGTCTCCCTCTTTCAAGCAAAATGGCCTATTCTCCCTTACAATATTACAGCTTAGTCTTAAGAGGAAGAGTTTCAGAAGTACAAGACTAAATATATGTAACAGTGAGAGAAATCTAACATAGCTGACTCCGTCTTGTTTCTAACCTCACAAGCGAACTGCTTTTGCTTATTCATGCATGTAAGCCAAGCTAACTATGGGAGGAATTTAGTTTATATTTTAACTTTAAAGCAAGGATAATAATAGTCCCTTCCCCAAACTAACCCCTGAGAGGATAAAGAGGGTTTACACACAGATATCAATGTTATGTTAAAGATTTATAGGAGCACTGTAACCTGACCAAGGACAAAGAAGTTTTGCCAACTCCTAGGTCTCATGCTGATGCCCAGATGTCTGTGGTCACTAATCACCTGCTAACCTCAATACCTTACTTGTTCCCCTTCTCCAGTAAAAAGGAAGCTTGAGATTCATGCCTTTTAACATGCCTTTAGGACGTTAGTCTGCCATCTACTCTGTTTGCTGGATATGTGAAATAAAGTCACATTCCTTGCTCCAACACCTTGTTCCTTGACTTACCGGCTGTCATGCCGTCAGCAGTATCAGCTTTGGACTCAGTTACAGGTGCTTGTCAAACCTATGCTTGCATCACATTTGCTGATGTCCCATTGGACAAAGTGAGTCACGTGGCCAACCTGAGCGTAGGAAGGGAGTACACATGGGAACATATTCTACGAGGCATGGTTTATTGGGAGCCATCAATATAACAAAACACTGCAAAAGGTAATAGTGCTATCAGTAGAATGTTTGTAAGCATTAGCAATAATGTATTAACACATATGTCTAGTAGACATTCAATAATTGTTATTATTGAATAAAAGTTATTATTATCAAAGAGTTATTTACAAGGGAGCTTTGAAAAAGGTATGTCAGATATAGGAAATACAATCCTTTGCTCAGAACAAATGCCAGAGTAGAGACTAGAAATATTCATTCTGCATTTCTGAGAAAGGAATACTGATAAGAGAAATGCAATGTAAATTCAGAACAGAAACAATGTCTTTGGAAAAAGGATAAATTGTAGGAACATGTGAACCATAATAATATTAAGAAGAATTTTCACTGTTTCAAAAGCAGAAATATGTTTCCAGTACACAATCACTAATCCCTCTCCCCAACACCCTTGTCTCTGTGAGCAGTCTGGCACTACTTTTTCAGGAGGTAAAATTAAATTTAAAAAATCCATAACATAATTTCGTTCATAAATGACATATACATTGGTTTTATTCTTATGTTTGTTAATGTCCTAGTATCAATGCATTAATTTCATGGGGACAGTTGGCAGCTCAGTGAAAAATGAATCACATTTCCCCAAAAAGAAACAGCAGGAGACTTCTGAATCATGGTTCTAGGAATCAAGGGACTTTTGTTGGCAGCAGTTATTTAATCCATTATCATTTTAAAATCAGTAATTTTCTCCCTTATTTCTAAAACAAGAGTTATTTGTTTCTTTAGATGTTGTCAAAGGAATTGGAAGAATATTTACACACTGCAATCAACTAAGTTTATGTTCTACGAGTACAGCAAAAATCTAGCTTATTGCAACTCTAAAATTCATCAGCTGGCTCTTTCCCTGTGAAATATGATTAGGAAATAAGCTCAAATTCTCCATTCAGCTAATGTTTTAGCTGATTTCCTGCATTTTTTTTCAGTTATCTTTCCTAATAATTCTTTCTAAAACTGTTGTAACTAGCGATCCACAAGTGGGACAGCTAAGCAGAGGCGAGATGTCAGGTGTTGTTTACAGATGTTTGCCCCAGAAGAAATAATTACAGTTCACACCTTTGCTTTTTAGTGCTATAGAAAATAAACTGAGAATTCGTCTTCTGTGCTGTCTCAATGAAATGGAAACATTTGAAATGAACTAGGACTTAGCATGTTGGTCAGCTTTCTGGAATAACTAGAATTATTGATTCTCAAATTCCATTATACATCAGAATTACCTGGGGTAGCTGTTAAAAATGAAAATTCCCGTGTTCCAAGCTAAAGATTCTGATTCAACATATATGGGGTAAGGCCAGGAAATATGCCTTTCAAACAAATAATGCTGATATAGGTGGTCTTCAGACCTCCTTTTTTGCTGGACAGCTCTTCCTGTGGCCCCGGCCTCCTAAGAAAAGTGAACTAGTCATTGGTATTTTCAACCTCAAGACAACTATTTCAGCAAAAGAGGCCAGAAAAGTGCACCTCCATGCTCTTCAAATGAAAGTGATGGGACAGAGTTAGAAGTCAGTGTTACTGTCAGAGTAGGGTGGCCCTAGCAGCCTGGAAGGGCACTGCGATGCAGAATATGGGACAGGGTTTCTACAGCAAACACAGAGGGGAAGAACATTCTAGGGTAAAAACACTGTTTGGACAAAGATGCAATTAAGAGGTTCAGAGCATAGGCTTTGAAGTCAGGCCCACCTAGGTCCATACCCCGGCTCTGTTATTTAATAATCATTTTATCTATGACTTTACTTTCAATATCTCTGTCAGTTTCCTGTTTTTATACCTTACTCCATTGTGCTAACATGACTCTAATGTAAAATATTCTCATAACTTTGCATGCTTAATTAGGATGTTATCTGTCTCCTTTCAAAGGCTATACCACGACTTCACTCTCTTATATTGAACATGTTTTTGCCTAGAAGACTAGCCATTTTATCCCACTTTTAACATAGGTTTTTATTGCAAAATTGTGTCACCAGACCCCCTTTAAACACAGATGTCATGTCGATGATTACTTCGTTATTTGTAGCATTTTCAGCTCAGGTTTCTAAATGCAAGTACAAATATAAGTGCAAATCTTAGATGCTTCCTATCACATTTCTCCTGGATGACCTATCCCATTTCCCCCAAACATCCTCTGTACCCCAGTTCTAATGCCATAATTTCAGAGAAGGTCACGTGTTAAAATGAAGTGGATAAAGAATGGCTTCATAGAATAGGCTATAGTTGAGCTGAGCCTTAATAGATAGACAGAATTTATGCAGAGAGAAAGAGCATTCTAGAAAAAGGGTAATATAAACAAAAGCAGAGTCTACAGTGATTCTGATTCGTTAGGTCTGAGGTAGAGTCCAGAAATCTGTATCTCTAAATGAGTTCCCCAGTTGATTCTAATGCAGTTGGTTTGAAGACTTCAAAGACAACACTTTGAGCAACAGTGTTTAGACTCATTGATTCTATAGCAAAATCTGAACTACAGGGTGCCGCTTTTCGGCTTCATATAGACATTCTATAATCACAAAACTACAACTGGTTTGTGATGAGTGAGTCTTTCCATCTGATGGGAGAGAATATATATGAAGGAAATAGGGGGAAACCACAGAATCCTGAAAAATGTTTACAAAATAGAAGAGTGGAAATGTATAGTATTTAGTCCAAATAGAACTGAAAGTAAAATGTGTAGGGTTGGAGTGCCAATGATTATTTATTAGGAACACTCCAACTTCCTAACAAAAGGCTATTCTACCAGTTTAATACATACAGCATATTGCAAAAACAAAATAATAACAAAACAAAATGCCTTGGTCTTGAGAGAGACTTATTTTATGAAACACGGAAGAAAGAGATTGTTATTTCTCAATAGCACTTGTATTAAATAAATATTTGGCTTCTACCATGCAAAGCCAGGCTCAGAAAGCATTTTTCCCATAGTTTTAAATCTAATTTGGCTAGAAGGCTTCAGGAGGAATACAGTGAATATGAAAAACAGAAGCAAAATTTATAGATTTTACCATTGTCCTGTTTTTAGAGAGAAACCAGGTGAAATATGTGCACTAGTTGAGAGGCAGGCCTAGCCTTAGGCTTTGAAAAAAGGACTTCTAAGATGAAAGATGCTGCAGAGCAGAAGTGGTATGAATTGATGTCAAGATGACTTATTATATCCCACATTTTCTGGTTCATTATGGAGCTTCCTGTATGATCTCCTGTATAAATCAGAAAGGCTAGAGTAAAATAGACACAGAATTTCATACCTAAAAGCTCACAAAAAGAGCTAACCTTATCATTGCAAAATCAACTCACATGTTTCTCTACAAAGACAATTTGTATTTGGTTTCTATTTGTTTTTCACTTTTCGGAATGTTGCTAGGTATTTTTCTTCAAATTATTTTGTAGGACTGCATCCTCTTTTCCCAACTAGACTGCAAACTTCACAAGGCCAAGGGTCATGCCTATGAATTCTTTGGTAGCTTCTCACAGAGTCTAGCACAGCATTTGGTGCACCTACTGGGCACTCAGAAGCACTTGAGAACTGTCTCAATACAGTAGGTAAAGACAGCTATAAACTCTTCTGCATTTAGTGCAGCTGCCAAAATGTGGGGCCTCAAGTTAAAAGGCATGCGTTGTATTAATAAAGTTGCAGGCTTTTCTGCAAATACCTCAAATGAAAACTGTCTTTTCCTATAACGGGATTGTCAGAGAGATTAATTTATATTTTCCGATTGGCTCCTGACAGTAACGGAAGTATTGTAATTTTTGACTGTATTAATGTTACTGAATTTATGGAGGCTTTTCACCTTATTACATAGCTTCATAAAAATACTTCATTTTAAGAAAATACTTCTTCATATGGAATGATAGAAGGCTATTTAGGGATTCTCTGATAACCACTTTATCCAAAAAGGCACTCAGAGCTAAAGGACAGATCTAAAACTGTGTGTAGGTATCTCATAAAAGACCCTGAAAATTATCTAGGTTCAGGAGAATTTCATCATTGGTTCTTATTGCATCTAGTCACTTATATTATTCCATATAGCATGTGATGGTGAAAATATAATGAGCCATATGTCTTAGAGGAAAATTCTTAAAAGAGGAAAGATTTTACATAGTACTATATAAATTAAGGTGCATTGAAAGAATGTTGGAAAGAAACAATTTTTAAAGACCTACTAACGTATCAGATGACAAATACAATTCCCTTCTGGAGATTTTAATTAAAATGTTTCAAAAAAAAATTCATGAGTCTTCATGTTAGTAGTAAGAAAAAACACTCAACAAGTGTGCTAACTGGGGTCTGTACTAAGCAAAAGTTGTTTGGGTGGAATTCTGATCCTGGAAATATTGCTCAGCTAATTGAATAATACAGTGCCATTCTTATGCAGAAAATGTTTTGCAAGATCCTCCCTTCAGTACTATCTGAGCTGTGAGTTGGTTAATTGGGTATGGTTATAAGATGGGATCCAAACAGTCACTGTCTTGTCTCTTAATGTCAAATAGAAAATCAGGAGAAATACATCAAAGCATGAATCTGCAATTTTGACATCATAACCATAGTATTGGTGCTTTCTCCAGGTGACAGTAAATTGCAAGTCAATGAGCTATCTCTATGCTCACCAAACTCTGACTATCTTATCCTGAGCCTGCAGGTAGCTACAACATGGCTTAACATTGTGGTCTACATCTAACGTTTGTCATAAACTTTTCAATATTTTATTTGGTTTCCTCCATAAGTACAATCAAAACGGTCAGACTGGG
Source organism: Homo sapiens (assembly GCF_000001405.40). Taxonomy (NCBI): domain Eukaryota; kingdom Metazoa; phylum Chordata; class Mammalia; order Primates; family Hominidae; genus Homo; species Homo sapiens. The sequence goes on from NC_000023.11 coordinate 127,446,234, forward strand.
TGAGGACAGACAGTCACTGTAACTACGTCGTAAATGTCCTGTACTTCTCGTATGGAAATATTTCACTAAAAGTAAAAATAAAAATTTCAACAATCACACAGCAGCAGAAGCAACATGGCAACGACAATAACAGCTAATATTACTTAAGTACTTACTGTGTATTCAAAGAACTATGCCAAGAAATTTGTCTGCATTAACTTCATAATTTTATGTAACACGCTAAAATGCCTTTTTGTGTTCTATAATTATCATATCACACTTTTAAAATCCCGATGATGCATTATTATGATTTCCCTAATTTCTCATCTGCAGATGAGAAAATTTCTAGGCTTAAAACATTCAGCTCTTAAAGACACAGGCAGAATATAAGCTAGGGCCAGTTCAAACAGGCTTTGTCTCAATGGCTCACGGAGCACTATAATTTTCAAAATTTGTGTTGGATGAAAAAACCTTTGGTAAGTCCAATCAGTTGTTTAGCATCATGGGTATCATACCCTCTACCTTTATGATGGTTGTCTTTTTACCGGTTATGGATTTACAGATTGGTGTGTTATATCTCAAATCTATTCAAATCTCTGTAGCACAAGCTTGTCTGACCTGTGGCCCGTGGGCTGCATGTGGCCCAGGACAGCTATAAATGCAACCCAACACAAATTCATAAACTTCCTTAAAACATGATTAGATTTTCTGTGAATTATTTTTTTAGCTCATCAGCTATCATTACCATATTTTATGTGTGGCCCAAGAAAATTCTTCTTCCAATGTGGCCCAGGGAAGCTAAAAGATTGGACACCGCTGCTATAGCATCTTTATCATTATCATATCATCATTCCTTATGTAGTCAAATTTTACAAAGTATTCCTACATTTCCTTCCTGTGGAGAATTTGAGGAAAGGAGCAGTCAAGATCAAAGCTCTGTTAATTAGCTCAAAGTCTGCCTGACGGGGGCCATCAGCAAGGAAAATTGTGAGGCAATCAATAAAAAGACTTCTGTCTCAACAATACAGAATGAAATCGGCAAGATTTTAACAAACTAAATGTAATAGCCAACACCAAAAACCCTCTATGCATTTCAATCTAATATGGATACAGAATACTACATAAACCCTGAATGTATGCAGAACAATTAACTAAAAATCTTTTTGTGTATATAATATTAATATTTAAACTAACTTCATTGTCCAAAGGAAAGAAACATTTTGAAAGATCCAATTGGCAAATAGCCAAAGAAAAAGAGCACAAACTTCTCTTGTTCTGAATCCACTGCTGTTAGACAGCAACGTATTATGATAAAAATCTATTTGATAGCATGAGAATATCAGGCAAATATGCACCTATATTTTAGTGATAGTAATCCAGTGTTAACTTTACATTTATATTAATCTCTGTAGTTTATGAAATGTGTTCAAGAAAATCGTAAAAAAAAATCCAATATACCAAGACAGAGGTAAAAATAAATGCAACTATTTAAAAATAAACGAACATAGCCAGGCCAGGTGGCTCATGCCTATAAACCCAGCACTTTGGGAGTCCAAGACAGGAGGATCGCTTGAGCCCATGAGTTTGAGACTAGCCTGGGCACCATGCCAAAACCCCGTCTCTACAAAAGATACAAAAGTTAGCTGAGTGTAATCACGTGCACCTGTAGTCCCAGCTACTCAGGAGGCTGAGGTGGGAGGATAGCTTGAGCCCGGGATTTCCAGGCTGCAGTGAGCCATGATCATGCCACTGCACCCCAGCCTGGGTGACAGAGTGAGACCCTGTCTCAGAATTAAAAAATATATATAATAAATAAATAAATAATAGAATAATAAAAATAAAACAATAAAATACAAGAGAAAAAAATGAATGAGTAAATTTTTAAGTGCTTACTGTGTATGTAAGGTACTACGTCAAGAAATTCTTATGCATTACCTTCATAATTTTATGTAATACAACAAGAAAACAAGATAGAGTCAATTTGATATTATTGAATAGATTTGATTTTGTTAACTAATGTTTTCGTTAATGCAAACAAATGTGATAAGACTTTAATGAATCCATCTTAATCTGGAAAATAACAAGTAGCCAAAACAACCAAGAAATGTTTTTCTCTATTCTGAAGAATCCTCTGTTTCACTGAACTTAAAATCATGATAGAATTAGGAACTATACTCATTGTAAGAAAATAAAATGGGAACTACCCTCATTGGAAGACAATAAAATAGGAACTACACTCATTGGAAGACAATGAAAGTCTCATCCAAAGGATTATCTCCCAGAAGAGTACAAGTGGTGATACAAACACACACACACACACACACACAAACACACACACACACACAGAGAGCACAGTTTGGTTTTTGCTTTTCATTTTACACAGAACATAACCTTGTATCTGGATTCAGGCAGTAATGGTAAAGTGTGGAAAACTGCTACCTCTTCAACACAGAGATAAAAACTTATAAGCCATGCTTTAGTTCATAATTACTTTTCCTCTGCATCTGTTTCTAAACTTTCATACCTAACTTTATAAACCTCCACTTAAGCCTTTAGCTCTCAGGATTGCTGCCTAACTGTGGTGATTTTATTGAATTTTGCTTATTATTTATTTATTCAGCAAATACTTAGCAAAATCTATGTGCAAAATACAGTGCTAGTTACTGGTGATATGACGATTAACAAAATTAGTCAATGTTCTTTACCCTCATAGAGCTAATTCTTTATTTGAGAATAGAGGTATTAATTTAAAAATACATAATGATAGACATATAATCAAATGTAGGTATTTAGAAAATCCCCCTCTCCACCCATATGCAAGGAACAAAAACATCAAATGTATTTTGAGTAAAATATCAAGTTAAAAACAGCCAGAAGGGATGAAGAACAACCATTCCCTTACTCATCAGGCTTTATATGCCATTCCTGTATATTACATGTGTGCAGAACACTAACTGTGCAGAGCTACACATAGTATGGGAAAGGGGGATCAGGGAACAAAGAAAGAATGGCATGATTATAAAGCAAATGATACTGGTTTAGAAAACCAAGACAATCATAGGAATTTAAAAGTTCTAGGGATTATAGAAGGATAGCAAAATTCAATATATTTTTTTCAGTCATAATATATGGATTCATCTCCATCATTAGATTTTTGGGAGAGCAAAAACTAAAACACTTGTTTGAATAATATTTATTACTCTTCAGTAGCCTAAAAATTCAGTTTATAAAATATACTATAGAATTAAAGTACAGTGTGCTGCAGTGTACAACAAAGATACCAAAACTAATCTGGGAGTTCAGAGAAGGCTTTCCAGATAAAGGGGTTTTAAAAATGAAATATGAAGGATAACTAAGATTTCTGCAAGTAAATAGTAGAAGCTGGGAAAGAGTGGGTTCGAAGAAGAAGTGATGACATTTATAAAGGACCAGTGTTGAGACAAGCGCAGGTCATCTAGGGTCTCATGGACCCCATATTAAGAACTAATATGGGGCACTAAGACGATTTGCAAGCTACCATCTATTCAAGAAAATTAAGTAGATGTTTGAAATAATTTGAATATGTCCAGTAGAAGAGATCAGGTTCAAAGTATTTTTAAAGATTCTTATATCGGCAAAATTCTATTGATCCATGAAATTTGCCATATACTTTTTACCTCTATGATCTTATATCCATCACTATGCAAGGAAATTTATTACACGTGTCAGACAGGTAGCATAATATGTAAGTGTGGTGAGTGATTGTTTCAAGTTAACATAATAATGAACAGCCTTATATAGTAGAGTTTGAGGTAGAATTTGAAACAAGCATGTAATTCTGATAAGCATCATAGTCACAGTGGTTAACATGATGGCAGTATCTTCTTTGAGGAGAACAGAATAAGAAAAACACAGATATGAGAATGTGAGGGGCATGTTCTGAGTGCAGTGAGGTGAGCAGTTTGGGAATCATAGAAATGAATTATAAGCCTACATGGGAGGTCATAAAATCCTGAACTAAATCAGTGTCAGAGAAGGTGGTACAACATGAGAATTCAGAAACACATCCAATTAAAAATCTGTAAGACTTTATGGCTAACTAGATATGAAAAATCAGGGATGAATATAAAAGAAAATGTTTGCTTTATACGTGAGTGATAGGAAGATAAGTACCAAATAAGAAATTTCATTAACTCGGTTACAATCAGTCTTCATGTAGTTCTCACTTTCACATAGTATTTTTAAATGACACTGTAACAAGACTGCCAGGTTCATATGTGTGCTGCATAGCAACAGACACATACATTGACAGTGGGGTTTGCAGCAAAGAGTTTAATAATCACAAGGCAACAAACTAGGAAATGGGAAGAATTCTCAAGCCTCAAACCTATTTTGTTGAGGAGTTTTGGACAAGGAGATTCTGAAGGGTGAAGGGCTAGAAAATTTGGGTTGTTGATTGGTTGGGATAAGGGGGATGAAATCATCGTAATATGGTAACTGAATTTCTCCATGAGATGGTTCTTACTAGGCCCTCCAGACCAGCTGGTGTTGATAGTTTTGTTGGCATGCATAACCTAAAGAAGAAGCTTAAACAGAAAGCCTATTTCTTCACAATACCTTGAATTTTATCCATACAACAGGAAAAGAATAAAAACTCTTGTAAAAAGAGTTACATTATCCCAGAATAGCAAGTAGTTACCAGCTACAAAAAAAGTGGGTCAAAGGGCAAGCTGGCTTAATGACTGCTGATACTGTGCTTCAAGCCTAGTTAGACTTTATTTTTTCTCCTTAATTGATATTATAAAATGTTATTTGAGATGGTTTAATATACACCCTAAAATGTATGTTTTTTACTTAATTTAGACTTCTGTATATCAGCTGACAAATAATAACTATGAGTTACTGCATGCTGGTACTCTCTGCCAGCCAGTCATTCAGTTTTGGTGGCATATTCATCAATGTCAGCAGAACAATACCTGTCAGTACAAGTGTTTACATATTTAAATACATTTTAATTGTATTTTATAACAGAAGAAACTTAAGAAAAAACTAATGCTTCTTAAAGAAGTACAGACCTAATACATTAATTCAAGCATGATGAAGATAAAATAATCAAGTAGAAAAAAAATCCCCCTTTAGACTTGTTGGATTTAAACATGTAGTAAATTTTGAAAGGAAAACATTGTTCAAAAAGTACAACATGCCACAGATATATCCATTAAGTGTGTATCTAAATAAGAGTTGTATATCAGGAGTTTAATTTTTCTCTTTAAGAAAATAAGTTCTTATATACTACAAAATTTTTGTTGTTGGTGTGTGACATATTTGGCATGGTACATGTTTTCTCAAGTATGCGTTGTAATAAAGTACTTCTTGTAGGAAATTCAGAAGAGTAAATCAGTTTTTTGGCATATGAAGAAAAGTGTTTTAGAAATGTAGTTTGAGGTGATGGTGAACATGAATGTGGAAATATCTTGTAAATAGTTAAAACATTAACACTAGAGCCCCAGTTGGAAATAAACATTTAGGAATTTTTTGATAACAGTAGGTATATAGACCATAAGAGTGGAACCAAATTACTAATGGGATAACAGATCCAGGAATATTTTGTAGATACTGGCATTTTAATACATAAAAAAGGTGGAAAGGCTTTGGATCCATGGATGGCTGAAAACTGGAACTGAGCTCTCTGCAAAATGGTAGAATCCATATTTCTATAAAACAGGCATTAAAATAGCTCTACTCACTGGCCTAGAGGCCTAGAGACTTAGTAAGAATGTTGGCCATCTTGACAGTGTTGTAAAAAAATTATTACCTGTGAGGAATCAGAACCTCAAACAAGCACCACAGGCAGAAAAATGTCTAATTTATACTATGCAAAAATGATAAAAATTGCAAACAAAGAAATTAATATAAAAGTAGCCTTGGAAACATTGATACCCTTAGAGGCTGACAGAGACAAATATGAAGCTGAAGCAAATCTGCACAATCCAGTAGATGGAAGAATCCTGTACAGAAATAATTACTTTGAAGATGAGATTATAGTTAAAATGATATATCACACATGGAAAGGAACCACTAAGAGAGAGTAAGCAAATAAAACAAACATACAATTTAATACAATGTAAACTATATTTAATAGAACAAAGTGAAAGAGATTTACAGCATGTTTAAAAGAATAATTAAGAGTCAAATAAAGCATAGATATAATACAAGTAAGAGCAAGAAACCACAGAAAAATAAAAAAAAAATCAAAAATTCTTAATCAAAATACAAGTATTTTTTGTAAGAAACTTGAGGAAAAGAAAAAAGTAGACTATATATAGTTGAAGAAATACTTAGTGGAATGGAATATAAATCTGAGAGAATGATCCAATTGTAGCATAGAGCATTAAAGATAAGAAAAATTTAAGAAAGAAATCCAAACAACATGGAGAAGATCCAATAGAGTATTATCTAGTAGGAGCTCCAGAAGGACAGATTAAAGAAGATGAGAAAGAGACAATTTTCTAAAAATAATTGACTAAGAACTTCACAGAATTGAGAAAAGACAAACCTGCTTACCATTAAGGAATACACTAGGTACTGAACAAGATGAAAAACAAAATCATCAAACTTATATCTAGGCTAATCAAGTCACTAAAATGGAAATATCAAAGACCAAAAGAATACATACAGTTTACCAGAAAGAAAAGACTAATTATCCACAATGGAACTGTAGGCTTACATAAGGCTTCTTATCAGCAAAAATAAAGGTCAGAATTAAATGGAATAATTTCTTCAATGTACTGATATAACTTTTTCTTTCTTTCTTTTTTTTTTTCCAGAATCTCCACCCAGGCTGAAGTGTAGTGGCGCAATCTCGGATCACTGCAACCTCTGCCTCCCAAGTTCAAGCGATTCTGGTGCCTCAGCCTCCCGAGTAGCTGGAATTACAGGTGTGTGCCACCATGCTGGGATAATTTTTTTTATTTTTAGTAGAGATGGAGTTTTGCCATGTTCAAGGCCAGGCTGGTCTCGAACTCCTGAACTCAAGTGATCACCCACCTCAGCCTCCCAAAGTGCTGAGATTACAAAAGTGAGCCATCGCGCCAGCCAATGTGTTGATATAACTTAATCTAAAACTATAAATTCATTTAAAGTGCCATTTAAGAATGAAACTGAAAGAAACATTGGGACCTACAAAATGTGTGGGTTTACTACTATAAAATGTACTTAAGTTTGAAAAAAGAAATGAAGGGCTTGGAGGCAAGAGCAATGATGAAGAAAGAAATTGGTAAAACTAGTTGGTAAATTTGAATCAGTAATGGTTAACGCTACACGAAAGTTCCAATCAAACTGTAAATAAAAGTACCAATCAATTATAATAATAATTACTGTGAGGCTTAATAACAATGTGCACCTAGAAAGCTAGACAATAGTATGAAAGATTGGAAGAGATATATTTGAATCAAAGTATTCTAAGATCTTTGTCTCTGAGGAAAGAAAATATAGACACTGACTATAACAATTTCAGCTTAAGTGCACCTGTTGAAATGTAAAGAAAATCATCAAAATAAAATAGAAAATATAAATTCCAGACAAATAGAGGAAAGAAAAAAATGTAAGAGATAAATGATGAAAATTTGGTCAATTCAATACATGACAAGAAAGGGAAAAAAAGAACAAAGAGAAAAATGGTAAAGAAAAACAGAAAATTAATAGAAATGAATCTATGTACTAATCACAACTAATAAAATTATTGGCATCTGTTTAAAGAGAGGCAGAAATACAGTCCAGATACAGGTAATGAAGATAGACAAATATAATAAAAGATACACTACGAAAGTAATACTAGTATTAACCAATAGCAATCTGATGCACAGAATAAATCAGCTTTATCTCTGTATCTCTCTCTCTCTGTATTATGTATCTACCATCCGTTTGAATATGGTTAGATAGCAAAACCATGATGCCAATTTTTAAAAGCACAGAAGTATATTGCATTGTTATATTACTTATAGAAGTTTAAAATGTCAAAAGTACTTTATTATTTATAGAAAACATATACATACGTGGTAATTTATAAGAACATGGATTTGGGATGCTAACAGTGGGATCTTTACTTGTAAGAATGTTTTATTTCTCCTTAAAATATCACAAGAAAATACAGCAAATGAAGATGATATCATCATATTTATTAATGTTTCTTCAGCATTTAGTGTTTAGCATTTTTGAAAACACTTTATCTGTATTAAGTTATTTAATATTATAGAAGTACTATGAGGTTGATATTTTAAAACGTTGTGTACTGGATACATGGGCATTTGTTATATTACACTACATAATTTTGATATGGTTAAATATTTAATAATGATAACAGCAAAACCAAATGTTCTGAGTACTCAGGAGGTCCCTGGTGTTACTTTTGAAGAATATAGTTTTAACGCGTAGAAGTGAATACAAAGAAAATGATAGAAAATTACAGCAGATTTAACTCACGTAAGTTCTATAGAGCAGTTTTACTCCCACATACATGCAATATAGGTTTACAAGAAAGGCGCACATTTTGTAAGCATATAGGGTGTGTCTGTTTATTTTTATCTCCACATGACACTCAGAAACAGCCTCTAAATCAAAATGGTCTCAATAGATATTAGTTAAATACAAAGGAGAGTCAGATGACATATTTTAAGCTCTATGCAAGCAAATTCTTGGCTATTTTTAGAAATTTACTATCTCAAAAGTCAATTCATTTCAATTTTTTCTCATTTTCAAATATGATATAATAGCTCAGAGTATGCCCTCTGTCATTGCTGAAGACAGTGCTACTGATCTACTTGTGGAAAAATATTAACATTAACATGTTTCCCAAGAGACAGTGTGATATTATATTTATGCCTGATAAAATTTGGTGATCATGCACATGAATTTACAATATCCCTAGGTAGTTTACAGTCCCATCTGTGCCAGGGAAACAAAGCTATTTCAACTACAGCATAAGAGAATAAAAAATGTTGTCCAAAATTTTATTAAATACTTACTTTATAGATGGCACTTTAGCATGTGCTTATTAATATGCACCTTACAAAACTGAGCTCATAAGTGAGAATTTGACCTGATAAAATTTGAAATGCTTTGCTTTGGCAAGGTCAGCATATTGGTATTCCTGCTAATTCTACATCACAAATACCATACTTAGTCAATAGCGCTTCAAACATTGGGATGCAGTGAGCAAAACACAGGCATCCTCAGAAGAGATTCTTCTTTGTACTACAATCTTGAGCAAGTTACTTCTCTCCAGGTTTCTGGTTTTCTTCTCTGGAAACTGAGGACATCATACTAGATAGTCCTGAAGACTTTGTCCCTGAACAACTCCAGGAAAATAATTTTTAAAAGTCTGATTCCACATATTAAAATCCTATCCTAATTTTGAAAACTAGATAAAATTTTATTTAAAAAGTGTTACGGATAACCTAAAAATAAGACAGTAGAACCAGTGTTCTTTAAGAAGAAACGGTAGAGAATGGATGCCCTAGGGAATCCATAACCCTAAAAAAAGTTTGATAAATACTTCTGTGAAAATTTCAGATTTGGGGTAGCATAAGGGAATGTTGGAAATTTGTGTGGTGTATGTAGAATCTACTAGGTTGTATACATAATTTTATTAATATTGAATATGTAACAGCGGCACTTGCATTACTTCAAACATCAATCAATGGCTTGATTAATGACTTTTCGAAGGATAAGACAAAAAGTTTATAAAAAAGAAGTCTAAGAATGGCATCTGAAAGAGGCCAGTGACTTCACTTAAAAATGTGTTTCTGCCCTAATGCAAACAAAATGTGGCTACATTATCTTGTTATCCAAATATTTTGACAGTTATTTAGAAAATGTGAGCATATCCGTCTTTTCTTCTTAGAGATTTATTCTTTTGTGGAATTTTTCATTCATACTTTTTGTAGAAATAATAATCCCATTTCATATGTGGGTACTTTAGAGTCAACAAACCAATTAGTTAATTTTATTTACACAATCGCTAGATATAGTAGGCAGACATTTCAGATGTAGAAATAAAAGCTTGGAGAGATTAAGTACTCTGGGAAGTGGCAGAACCACAATGAAAAGCTAGGTTAACCTGTCTCCACAAACATATATTCCTTTCTATGTGACCATCATGCCAAAATCCCTTTTAATGAAAGTGCCCTACATTAACAAATATCACCCTTAAGGCAATATCTAGCTTTTATTAGGGGACACTAATTCCTTACTCCTTTGGAAGGAAGAGTGGGTCTTTTAGCCAGCTCCTTCTTCTACCTTTCTTTACTTTGTTAAGTTTTATTGAGATATAATTCTATCTTTTCTGTCGTTTGGCTTGCTCTCAGAAAGGTGCACATAGTTGTGTGCTCTAGGTTGCATAATAAACCTATAAAAAAATGACTGTCTATTTGAAGGGGATGAATAGCAAATTTATAGTGTTGTCTGTGACTAGACAAGTCCAAACAATTTTAGGGAATGCAGCAAGCAGTGATAAGTGTAAGTTGCATCCTCCAATTTAACATTTAATTGCAAAAATACTAATATTTTCATCTTGGTATTTCTCACCCCTGACTGTATCTCTCAATTGATTCCAAGTGCAGAAGGAAAATGAGATGCTTTTATTGGGCCCACTAAAACACTGACATTGACAGGAATCCAACGATTCATTTTCCTGATTATATCTACTGTGAAGGGCAATTAAAAAATACAAATGAATATGACATGTTCTTAGTCTATTATTAAGAAATATACACAATTTTAACTTCAAATATCTCTCAAATATCTCTGGTCTGAATATCAACATTCCTCTTCTTGTTTACAGTTTCTTATGGCTCAAGAAAAATAGTAGCTCCGAGAAAATTTTTCTTCAAATATTATAGAGTTTATGGATGGCCAGTGGCAGGACTTGACAAAATATCAAAATGTTGACAAATTAACTGGAATTTAGACTACAGGTCAAAACAGATCTATCAGCAGCAAATGCAAGGAAGGAATCTTAGAGTAGTGGAACTCAGGAGGACTTAGATTAGTTGAGATTTAGCTTGTGGCCTGAAGTAGGATTCCATTCTTTAGGATAGTAGAGTAGAGTAAGGCACATCCTGGTCTAGACTACAAGTTTGTGACTCATGCATAGGAAATATGACAAAGACCCAGTTCCTAGAAAGCAGAGTGTTAGTGGAAAGGAAAGGAGGAAAATGTGAGTAACAGAACTAAGGTAAAAGGTTGGAGTGGCAGGTCTGGTTGTTTGGTCATCAAGCTATGCAATAAATGATCTCCATACTTGCTTCTAGAATCTAACTCAGAGCTAAGCTACAAATCAGAGTTCTGTTACCCCACCTTTGAGAAATAGGAGAAGAAGCCACAGAAATTATTACCACAGCATCTAGTGCAACGCCATGTTTCCAGTTGATACTGGTGAACACTGGTAAAGAGAGAGTGTTATGATATTGGAGAATAAAAGCATGGATTAAGTATTAGGAAACCTGGATTCTAATATTGGCTATGTCAATAACTAGCTGGGCAGTCTTGGAGAGGTCACTTTTCCTCCCTGAACTTTAATTTTCTTCTCTATATGGTGAGGGATTTGGAATATATGGATCTCTCTTATTTCTTTCATGTTTAGTATTCTATGATAAGAAGACAAATCACTTGTATCTACTATTTTATTTAAGCCAGATATGCTGAGATGCATGACTGACTGTACCTGAGATCAGAACATGCTTACATAACCAAACCAAAACCTAGGTTTTTTTTCAGTTGACTGTATTTAGAAACATCATTAAAAACAGCATTCTTGTTTTGAGTTCTTTGGTCCTTCTCTCCACTTTTTTGGCCAATATTAAAATGATGTCACTGAATATTCACAGGGACATTCAAAATAAATTTTCCTTTTGTTTATTCTACAAATAAAGTGAACATTTCATACTTTTTAAAGTGATAATACTTGGCATAGGCCATATGTGTTTATGTTATTAGTGGGTAATTTTTAAGCTGTATTTTTCGATGTGTTTCACAAACTAATGAATATTTTATATTTACTCTGAATTTCATCCAAACTATTATGGTTGCATCTCCTATTAGATCTGAAGACTTGATTTAGAAATATTTCAAAGATGAAATATGTCTGGGCATTTTAATCTTCCTTGTGCAGGAAGGAAAGGTAATGGATCCACTCTTATTTTGTTTGATTATTTTCCTTTGTAGTATGTTAGTTTGGGAGATTTTCTGGACAACAATGTTCTTCTTGTTTGGCAAAATTACATCTATTGGACAACACTATTCATGCCTCAATTGACGTTGCCTCACAATTTATAGTGTTGTTTTTGATTATGAAATAAGGCTCCACTTGTAAAACTTGCAATTTCTTGACTCTGGGTGCCAAGGAAATAATAAGAAAGGCTCATACCCCTACACACACCTTGGTTTCTCCTAAATCATTTTATTCCTTTTTTGCAGAGAATCCAGGCATCTCACAGCTATTTTTCCTATTCCATTTTTAAGTCACCTTCATTAAGAAGGCAACATTTGAGTTTTACATTGAAACATGTATTTTTGTTAAAACGCATCAGCACAATAATTCTTTGACTTTCAGTTTTTATAAAATGGAAGGAACTAAGTGAATTAAATGAAGCTATAAGAATCAAGTCCTTATTTCATTTTGGCAATTAAGGAATGATTTTTCAAAGTAAGTAGTATGGAATCCAAGGATTTTGAGCAAAAAAAATTAAACGTATTCTAACACAGTTTACAAATACTAATATTTCCATTATAGGTTTTCTCAAAGACCCTTTGAAAATGTATTTAACTGTTATACTAATGGGTTAACTCACATAGTTTTTGCTGTTATACTTCCCTATACAGAAAAAGTTATAATCTGTCATGTATCCTATAACTATCTGAGTATATGCGGCAAGCAACAAAAATATCAACTGTAGACCAAAAATTGTGTGAGGTTCTTTTGAGTAGGTTACATGTGAAGAAAGAATAATGGAACTATAAGGTAAACATACATGAAACAGCTAGAGAACAACAAATCATGTGCTACTAAATTGAAATATAGTATTAATTGAACCCTATACTAAAATTCATGCTGTGAAAACGTAGTTGTTTAATTCACAGATACTTTAAATACAGATAAGAGTTTTAGAGCAAACACAACTGACTTGTTGCACATGGAAACCAAAAATGGTCATATGCCTTGGTAAAGCAACAGGAAAGTGTCAAGTGTTCATGACAGCAAGCCACAATTAGAAAATAACTATACTTAAAGGAAAATCAGCTCATCTGGTTTATTTAGAAAATTTGAATTATCTTGGTCTCTCCAAAACAACGCATGATGCTGTCTCAAGACACTTTTTCTAGACTAGGAGAAGAAGACATCAATGATTTCATTGATATTATTACATTAAAAATCTAGGGGAACTTTTCGTTCGACAGGAAATACAAAATAGCTTTAGCTCCTCAATAAAAATGAAATAGCTTATTAAGGCACCAGTGTGTGGGGTGGTTATTTCAGTTTAAATAGGTAACATGCTCATAGTAACACTCCTGCTAATTGGTTCAATCCACAAGAAGCAGTTAGATCCCAAAATCTGCCAGTTTTTTAGACAACACAGGCTTTTAAAATTAGCAGAGATATAAGTTAAGGTGACTCAGGGCACCTTCTTAGCATCAAGTGATCCCAGTTGTATTTCTATTGTAAATGGCAGAGTTGACACTACTGCCACCCAGCTGCCCCCAGAGGAATGAGTGGTCGCAGTGAGTGAAGGCAGCTCTGAAAAAACATGTAAAATGTGACGTTTATCTGTTGACTATTTAGAAATGACTTAACACCCCTGGGGCACATCCGCCTCTGATTCACTCTCATTGTCTGTCACTGTTCTCAAAAGAGGCAATAGCAAGCATGAAAGATCTTTATTATAAAACACCTTCGCCCCATGCTGAGGTCACATTCCAATGACCATGGGTCTATGGATAATGAAACATGCTTTACATAACCTAGGACAGTAGCTTTAACATTTTCCTTTTTTAACTTTGGACCATGATAAAAAACAATAATAAATAGATTTTACATAGAAAATCTATATACACACACATAACAAGAAAAACATATTTTAATGAAAATACCCTTCTATATTAATTTTAAAATGGTTTTTTTTTAGTTCTGTGAAGAATGTCAATGATAATTTAATGAGAATAGTATTGAATCTATAAATTGCTTCGGGCAGTATGGCCATTTTAACAACATTGATTCTTCCTATCCATGAGCATAGACTGTTTTTCCATTAGTTTGCTTCATCTCTGATTTATTTGAGCAGTGTTTTGTAGTCCTCCTTATAGAGATTTTTCACCTCCCTGCCTAGCTGTATTCCTAGGCATTTTATCTTTTTGTGGCAATTGTGAATGGGATTGTGTTCCTGATTTGGCTCTTGGCTTGACTGTTGTTGGTGTATAGGAATGCTAGTGGCTTTTTTATACATTAATTATTTATCCTGAGACTTTCCTGAAGTTGTTTATCAGTTTAAGGAACTGTTAGGCTGAAACTATGTGGTTTTCTAAATACAGGATCATGTCATCTGCAAACAGGGATAGTTTAGCTTCCTATTTGGCAGCTCTTTATTTTTTTCTCTTGCCTCATTGTTCTGGCCAGGACTTCCAATATTATGTTCAATAGGAGTGGTGAGAGAAAGCACCCTTGTCTTGTGCTGGTTTTCAAGGGGACTGCTTCCAGTTTTTGCCCACTCAGTATGATCTTGGCTGTGAGTCAGTCATAGGTAGCTCGTATTATTTTGAGGTATGTTCCTTGAATACCTAGATTACTAACAGTTTTTAACATGAAGATGTGGCTTTTTGATCTGCTGCTGGATTAGATTTGCCAGTATTTTGTTAAGGATTTTTGCATTGATGCTCAACAAGGATATTGGCCTGAAGGTTTTTTTGTTTGTTTGTTTTTGTTTTGTTTTTTGTCTCCGCCAGATTTTGGTATGAGGATGATGCTGACCTCATAATGAGTTAGGGAGGAGTCCCTCCTCCTCAATTTTTTTGGAATAGTTTCAATAGGAATGGTACCAGCTCTTGTTTGTACATCTGGTAGAATTCAGCTGTGAATCCCTCTAGTTCTGGGCTTACTTTTGGTTGGTAGACTATTTATCACTGCCTCAATTTCAGAGCTCATTATTGGTTGGCTCACGGATTTTATTTCTTTCCAGTTCAGTCTTAGGAGGGTGTATGTGCCTAGGAACTTGTCGATTTCTTCTACATTTTCTAGTTCATGTGCATAGAGGAATTCATAATATTCTCTGGTGGTTATTTGTGTTTCTGTGGGGTCAGTGGTAGCATCCTTCTTGTTTCTAATTGTGTTTATTTGGATCTTCTTTCTTTCCTTTTTAATATTCTAGTGAATGGTTTACCTATTATATTAATTTTTTTTCAAAAAAACACAGTTCCTGACTTCATTGATCTTTTGAATGGTTTGTTGTATGGAACCACAAAAGAGCCTGAATATCCAAAGCAATTCTAAGCAAAAAGAACAAAGCTGAAGGGATCACACTATCCAACTTCAAGCCATACTATAGGTCTGCAGTAACCAAAACAGTGGGATACAGGTCCAAAACCAGACACATAGACCAGTGGAACACACTAGACAACCCAGATATAAGACTGCACACCTACAACTATCTTATCTTCAAGAAAGCTGATGAAAACAAGCAACAGGAAAAGACTCCCTATTGAATAAGTGGTACTGGGATAACTGGCTAGCCATATGCAGAAGATTGAAACTGGAGCCCTTTCTTACAAAAATTAACTCAAGATGGACTAAAGACTTAAATGTAAAGCCCCATACTATAAAAACCCTGGAAGACAACCTAAGCAATACCAATTGAGACATAGGAATGGTCAAAGATTTCATGATAAAGACATCTAAAGCAATTGCAACAGAAGCAAAAATTGACAAATGGGATCTAATTAAATGACAGAGCTTCTGCACAGGAAATGAAACTATCAACAGAGTAAGCAGACACTCTACAGGATGGGAGAAAATATTTGCAATCTGTGCATCGAACAAAGGTCTAATATACACAATCTATAAGAAACAATTCAACAAGCAAAAAATAATCAACCTAATTAAAAAGTGGGAAAAGTATCTGAACAGATACTTTTCAAAAGAAGACATATAGTTAGCCAACAATCATGTACAAAAAAAGCTCAATATCACTGATTATTAGAGAAATGTAAATCAAAACCACAATGAGATACCATCTCTACCAGTCAGAACTGCTATTGTAAAAAACTCCAAAAATAACAGATGTTGTGGAGGTTGTAGAGAAAAAGGAATTCTTATATGCTGTTGGTGGGAGTGTAAATTAATTCAGCCATTGTGGAAAGCAGTATGGCGATTCCTCACAAAACTGAAAACAGACCAAGCGTTCAACCCAGGAATCCCATATCTGGGTATATACCCAAAGGAATAGAAATTATTCAACCATAAAGACACAGGCATACATATGTTCAGTGAAGCACTACTCACAATAGCAAAGGCACGTAATCAACTTACATGCCCATCAACAGTAGACTGGATATGGAAAATATGGTACATATACACCATGGAATGCTATGAAGCCATAAGAAAGAATGAGATCATGTCCTTTGCAGGAAGATAGATGGAGCAAACTAACACACAAACAGAAAACCAAATACCACATGTTCTCACTTATAAGTTGGAGCTAAATGATGAGATCATGTGAACACGTAGAGGGGAGCAGCACATGCTGGTGCCTTTCAGAGTGGTGAGGATGGGAGGAGAGAGAGGATCAGGAAAAATAACTAATGGGTATTAGGCTTAATACCTGGGTGACAAAATAATCTGTACAACAAACCCCATGAACAGGTTTAGCTATATAACAAACCTGCTCTATATACCCCTAAACTTAAAATAAAAGATAAATAAAAAAGAAAAAAATACCTTTAATTGTGCAAAATGCTTTATGACAGTTTTATTCTATTTCATTTTATTTTTTTTAAGTTGCTGGTTGCAGCCCATTTAATTTATTGCAAAACTCACTAGTGTACTTCCACTTGCAGTTTGCAAAACATTGGTCAAGGAAGCTCTATTACAGTTCCAATCTTTTCAACCTGTTTTGTCACCAGGAAAAATAAATGAAAACTTAAAACAGTTTATAAATATGTGATGTGAAGTTTGAGATACAAATGTTAAAGTGCGTTTTGCAAGTGCTAAAGTACTATATTTGTTATTTTTCTTTGATTTTACTAAAAAATATGGTGTGACATAAACGAACATCTAGGGCTGATGATTTACAAAAATCATGAATTATCACCACATTTGTATTTCAGTATCAAATTATAAATTTTGTTACAAAAATCAGTACCATTGCTATATGCCAACAGTGAACAATCTGAAATAGAAATCAAAAACTAATCTCATTTACAATAACCACACATAAAATTAGGTAACTAGGAATGAACTTAACTAAAGAATTGAAAAATTTCTATAATGAAAAGAAGGAAACACTGATGAAAGAAAGTGAAGAGGACACCAAAAACATATTCCATGTTCATGGATTGGAAAAAATAAACATTGTTAAAATGTTCATACTACCCAAAGCAATTCACGGATTCAAAGCAATCCTTATCAAAATACCAATGACATTCTTCACAGTTATAGAAAAAAAACTATCCTAAAATTTATATGGGGACACAAAAGATGCAGAATAGTCAAATCCATCCTAAGCAAAAATAATAAAACTGGAGGAATCACATTACCTGACTTCAAGTTATACTACAGAGCTATAGCAACCAAAACAGGATGGTACTGGCATTAAAACGGGCACATAGACTAATGGAACAGAATAGAGAACCCAGAAATGAATTTGTGTGCTTACAGTGGGATATCCATATGCAGAATGAAACTGGACTCTTATCTCTCCCCATATACAAAAATCAAATCAAAATAGATTAAAGACAAATAAAGGACTTGAAACTATGAAACTACTACAAGAAAACAAAGAAAACATTGGGGAAAATCTCCAGGACATAGGTCTGGGTAAAAATTTTTTGAGCAATATCCCAGAAGCACAGGCAACCAAAGCCAAAATGGACAAAAAGAATCACGTCAAGTTTAAAGGTTTCTGCATAGCAAATAATACAATCAGCAAAGTCAAGAGACAACCTACAGAATAGGAGAAAATATTTGTGAAGTATCCATCTGACAAGAGATTAATAATCAGAATATATAAAAAGCTAGGAAAAAATCTGATAATCCAATATAAAAATGGGCAAATATATGAATAGATATTTCAGAAAAGAAGACATACGAATGTCAAACAGGCATATGAAAAGGTGCTCAACAGCATTGATCACCAGAGATATGCAAATCAATACTACAAGATGTTTTCTCACCCCAATTAAAATGGCTTCTATCCAAAGACAGGTAACAGCAAATGCTGGTGAAGATGTGGAAAAAAGGGAACACTTGTACACTGTTGGTGGAAGTGTAAATTAGTGTAACTGCTACGGGGAACAATTTGGAGGTTCCTCAAAAAACTAAAAATAGAGCTACTATATGATCCAGCAAATCCACTGCTGGCTATATATCTAAAAGAAAGGAAATCAGTATGTCGAAGAGATATCTACACTCCCATGTTTGTTGCAGCACTGTTCACAATAGCCAAGATGTGAAGCAACCTAAGTGACCATCAACAGATGAATGGATAAAGAAAATATGGTACTTATACACAATGGAGTACTATTTAACCATAAATAAATGATATTCAGTTATTTGCAATAACATGGATGGAACTAGAGATCATTATGTTAAGTGAAATAAACCAGGCACAAAAAGACAAACATCACGTGTTCTCACGTATCTGTGGGATGTAAAAAATCAAAACAACTGAATACATGCAGATAGAGAGTAGAAGGATGGTTACCAGAGGCTGAGAAGTATAGTATGAGGGTTTGGGGGAGGTGGGGATTATTAATGGGTACCAAAAATAGTTAAAATGAATGAATAACACCTAACATTTGATAGCACAAGAGGGTTTCTATTTTCAATAATAATTGTACATTGAAAAATAACTAAAAGAGTATAATTGGATTGTTGATAACACTAAATATAAATCATTGGGGGGATGGATACCACCTTTTCCATGTTGTGATTATTACACATTGCATGCCTATATTAAAACATTTCATGTGCCCCATAAATATATACATGTACCATGTACTCACAAAAGTTAAAAATACAAATAATAAAATCAAACTCCACATATTATCTGGCCATGCAAAGAGGTTGATCTATATAAACCTTTTGAAAGATCTCCCCTCCACTATGCATTTCAAAAAAATATTTAGAAGAGTCAAATTAACTGAAATGTATTAATGGTCATGAAAATCCACAGAATGAAGTGTTGGCTATTAGAGAAGTGATTAGCTTATTTGTTAGAACTGCAAGCAGTGATCTTTCATGGCATTCTTTTTTGTTGCCTTACCTAGCAATGACAAATTTATTTCATGCACATAACATATAATATTGACATTAAATGCATATAGATGTATATTCAATACTCATCAAAACTGTTCATACAAATCTTATGAAAAATCATGGAAAATAATATATTCTGAAAATAATAAATTATATATTCTTACTTAGAGCTTTTGATGCCTGAGGGGCCTCATGTTTTTAAGTTTTAATTTGTCTGTCTTTATACCCAGAAAAGGTTTCTCCTGATTATTTATTTGTTGTATTATTTTTTTAATAAAAACTGTAGTACAAATAAGAAAGGATTCTAGTTCAAGGTTTAATGAATAAAGACCATGATGACTGACACACAGTAGTCAGTAGATGATCAGTGAATATTTTTTGACTTGATAATCATATCTAGACAGAATTACAGTTCTGACTCTTGGCATTTTCTTTTAGCGTTACATTTTTATTCTTCCTCATGGTTTGAAGAAAGTAAAGTTTTCTTAAGCATAACTACACAGGCATTTTACCCAGTGGACTATAATTCTACTGTCTCACTGTTTCTTATTGCAATGTTTTTAAATTTTCTGGCTACTCTCTTCCCTTGTGTCATGCTCAATTTCATTGCATTCATTTATTTTGGATTAGAAGACAATAACATAATACAACATGACAGATTCAAGTGAACATGATTCTTTATGATATTTCACATCAGCCTAGGAAAATCTGATCAGATGTGGTTAGAAAAAATGATTTTCAAATGACACTTTTCTCTGATCTCATACTTTTAATATGTACAAGACTGCAGTAAAACACTCCAAAGTTTACATAGAAACAGATGCATTGCAAAAGTTTCTAATATTAGATTTGGTTTGTAGTCATGTAAGGCTTTTTTGTTCTTTAGAAGAAGAGTCTGGAACTTTCAGATACTGTAAAAAATATAAATAGAAAATTAAATGTCCAAATTAAGGCCTTTTATGGGGATACAATATTAGATACATAATTAATGCACAAAGCTAATGATCTTGGGTTTTTACAAACGTGTTTTCTCTCTAACTCCCAAGGTATGAATTCTTTTTGGGCTACCATGTTTAGACACATTATACTGGATAATGTGATGGACTAGATATCAAATAGAGTATAATCTTCTAAACCTAGATTTACTACTATTAGGTAAATTTAGGTATGTGGTAATTCAAGTAATCCAGGGAACTGCCATTAAAATTTTCTGAGCTGCTCTTTGCCCCATATATTAAGGTCACATATAGCCATGCATACTAATATACTGCAACAACTCAAACTTCTTAACGGAATGATATACAGCAGATTCTAAAGAAGAAACTGGAGACACTTCCCCACACTAACCACGTGGCCCTTCTGAAGGATCAGTTGGATCTCAAATCTTAACTGGCTGAAGCCAAATGAACCAGTTAACCTTGTCACTATTCTTCTGTTCATGACAGTGGAATGTAGACACAATTTGAGGCACAGCAGAGTAATGAGATTTTTGCTCAAACCCTATAATTGAATTTTAACAAGGGTTGAATTAATATCAGTCAAAAAAAGTGATCTGAGTCCAATATTGTGTCAAGTGTGGTGAAGTATAGAATCATTATTAAGGAGGTGCATATAGCTCGACCAAAACTGTTGATTTGATGCCTGTACATACACAGCACAAACTTCCTTTGAAAAATTTCAACCTAATTTATCCTACAGTTTAGCACAGAATCTGTTAAAGTGATCTAAAATGGAGTTATTATTTAAATTTTTCTAATTTCTCTATCCCAATTATGAAAATGTGGTAACCCAAAAAAATAGCTTTTTAAACAATTTACGAGACATAAACATTTTTGTAAACCCCTTAAATAAATAAGTCTAGTTTAATTTACTTTGAGGACACTGTTTGAGATACTTTGATAAATTTATAGTTTATTTAACATACCTAATTTTTACTAATTTTCTCACTTGCAATCATTTTTCCTCTTTTTTTATAAATTATAAATGTTACTCATCTTTCAGCAATTCATCCTATTTCCCAGCCCTAATAGATAAAATTTAAGTTAATAGTTTTCCTTACAATAACTAATATGAAACAAATTAGGGATAAACTAAAAAACAATGAGAATATTTCAAAAAGCAAATGACAAAAAGTGTGATAGTTATTATATTTGATGGTTATATGAGTCATAAGTTTCATCACTGACTATTATTTATCTAACTTACTTTTATTAACATCCTCTGGGCCACAAGGCATTTTATTCTGATTCACATTTTTCCAACTGAACTAATAAAAGCTTGTTTTTATGAAACAAAGCAGTGCTTTGTGGCTTTGCTCTTTTCTTGACAGGGTCTTCCAGTCTTGTTAACACCTTTGTGTTTCCCACCACATAAATGAAAGATAAATAATTTCTTAATAACTTCTTCTAAATTGAAGGAATAGTCACACAAGATCCCAAACAATTCCTCATTGTATCTTAAGTCAAAAATAATGCAAAGCTGGAGAATAGACTTTAATATTATGGAACATTATACTGATGTTTTCCATCTTCTTGCATAGATTAGCCAATAAAATACAATGAATAAAAGGCAGACAAAAGATAATCTCAGAAATCTCACTGCCTACTATGCTCCCCTCAGTGCACCAGTCACATTATTCACCAGAAAACACAACTTCCTTGCTGGTCTGTCAGTCAAAAGTGTGTAAAATGCCAATGGAAAATAATTGTGACTTTGTATGCATATGGATCATAGGATTTACTTCCAATTAGAGTTATTATAAGATAGTAATTCCCAGCTGATTGTCTACAGTACAATATTGAAAAAGTCAGTAGCTCTCATGAAGGTATTAAAAATACCCCAAACAATATTGAACAAACAATGTAAGATTATGATAATATCACCATTACAACAATATAATGTCTCACAATACTTGGCAGAGGAGCTCTAATAATTGCACTATTCACTTGGTGGATCTTAGGCATGTTGTCAGGATTTGTTTAAAGCTGCCTAATGCCTCGACCTTATTCTCCTGTATTCAAGCAAGGCAAAGCATCTTTGTGTTTAAAGAAATACGCAATCATTCTTTGGTTTGACTTTAAATCTGATGAAATTTTCCATAACATTATTCTTCCTTCATAGGAGGAAAGGCTTATTTTACACATGAATAAAAAATTGGTAGCATACCATAATGCCATTGGACAGTTGCTGTGGACCAGAGTTTAAGATCATCTTTCAAAAGAAGTAATGGTTGTTCCCAATTCAAAGTGATTGACCTAAAAGGAAAAGTGTTTTTAGGTTGCCAATACATCATTCTTCTTTTTGCCAAAACAACTCTAGAGGTCTTCAGACCATTCTTCAAGAACAAATATCTCCTAAGTATCAGTCATCATTGTAATTATATTTTCTTGATGAATGTATTTCTGTATTTTCATCCTGCTTCACCGTCCCTTTGAAGTATATGTCCACATGAGTCAGAATAGCTTATTACTAGTCAGTAATAAAAATGCCAATAGCAAAATAAGACCTGGGCTTCCTAGGTAAATCACTTAAAATCAACCATAGTTTTTGTTTGCTTGTTTGTTTAATAAACATAATGGAGATGGTAGTGAATTGGGTGATTTAAAAGATCTTTTTTCTATTTTAAAATTATGTTATTCATGTGATCTTCAAAATAAAGGTATATGTTACATATGGCGATTATATTTATCTCTGTTTCTGGTAAAATTTCCCAAAACATGTCTTATAGATGGCATCTTACAATTTTGTAAATTTGTTATTTCAGAATAAAACTTAACTTGCTCTTTTTACATTAATATGGCTTACCTTATGTTATATGCTTTGAATATATAATAGGTAAGGTTGTTATTTCTCTAAAACATAAATGAAAACTGTAAATGTTGTTTTGAGACAGATACATTGTAACGTAGGTATTGAATCTGCTTCTCAATATCAATATTTTATCAATAGGCAGACAGTAGATATTTGGACAGAGAACCAAAGGAAACCAAGGCAATGTTTTCTCCATTCATTGGCAAAACAATCTTTCATACATCACGAATTCATGCATCTTTTTGGTAAATTTGAAAAAAAAAAAGGTGGTAGTGATTGCAAATTAAATCAAATCACTTTGAAAACAGGAATAATAGTGAAAAAGAAGTGGCTTCATAGACTGTGTTTTAGTTACACTTCGTCCTGCCTCAGCATATCCTACATCCAATTCTGTCATTCCCTAGTGTCTGTCCATTAAATTTGGAAGAGCAAGGCAGGTGTTTTGTTAAATATTAACTCATGCTACCCAGAGCAAGAAAAATAACCTCAGAAAATGAAAGATGAATGAACTTATTAAAACATTACACATTGCTTCCAAAAACAAAATAGTAAGAGAAATTCCCTAATCAAGAGGGTAGATGTCTCATTATGACACATTACTTATTATTTTCTATAAATTCTTGCCTTTTGGATTTGTTATAGACACCAGAGGGTGGAAGTCTATTCATTATTATCACTTCTCCTTTATGTTCTCAAAATGGCTCTAAATGCTCTTCACTTTTCAATACCAGTAATCTGATGGGTAAATATAAGCAAAGAGGGCTGCCAGTTTTAAACATATGGAAAACTAAAGAAGGATTGAGAAGACTGCAGATGTGAAGGAGAAAAAAATTCAACTTCATCTGAACTGAATTGTTTCATTCTTTACATTACAGCCATCAACATTATCAACTTTATCCTACAACATGCTTACCTTTTTTTCAGTCTTTAAAAGGTGTGCCAATCAAGTTCCTGTCCTGCCATTTAGAATATTATACATAAATTATAAAAAAATACGTAATTGTCTTTTACTGATAGAATTGAATGACTTTCCAAACTGAAGCGATTCATGAACAATTCCCTGCCACTTTGATCTTAATTGTCATTTTATATTTCTAAAAGTAAGGAATATTAAACCTAGTAGCAGTCCAATATGTGATACATTTTACAAAATCAGTATTACCTCATTTTTTTTCATAAATACAAGTCATAGTCCCAATGCCTTGTACACAGCCCCTTGCTTCATTTTTGGATAGCTTGGATTTTATAGATGCTTGACAGCCATTAGTTAATTGGCATCAGACTACTTTTACCCTCTCGACTTTTGCCTTTGTCCCTATTTTTACCAGATTTAGAGGACCAGAAAGTAATTGTGTGCTCGGAAATGTATTCTCAATTCCATTTTGTCCCCTTCTTCCCCTCAGTTCAGTGTTTACTTCATAAAGTGACAGGTAAGCCTTTGTTGGTTTTCTTATAGCACACACATTGTCCAGCATTTGTTATTATTCTTCATTAATCTTTGACTACTTCATGTGCAATATATTCAAACCCCGATTTCACTGAAAAGTGAAAATAAAATATTTAGCACACAGTTCCTGGCACAATATTTCTCAACAATTTTGAACTATTGTACAAATGATAATTTTTTTCCTCTTTTACACTTATCTTAGTTTTTCAGTTTTTGTAATCATTTCAGGAGTTACTTAGGTATAATTTGAAAGGCTGATGTGATTTCAAATTACTCAACATAACCATAAGTCTCAAACATATTAGAATGAATAGCAAAGTAAAACAAAGCAAAATAAAAATTTTAACAAATGGTGATGGAGAAGGTCCAGGGAAGAGAGATCAAAACAACTGAAAGGGGAAATTATTTCTGAGATAGTTTGCATGTCTTCCAAACTGGCAGTCAGTTATATGAATTCAGTCTAGAAAACTATTTTTCTTGATATCACAGAGTTTAAAATAGTATATATTTAATATTATCAGATAAGACACGTACTTTCTGGGTGACATAGAGCCCATACCTCTCTTTTGGCTTACCTGGACATTTTATTCCACATAATGTCATGTATTTGGGAATCATAACTATGCATTTTCATTTCTGGCAAAACCTTACTGAAATTCATCATACAACTGATATTAGATCTTTTTCCTGTCTAGGTCACATTCCTCTGGGCATACTCCTGTTTCTTAGTGCTCCTCTTAAGATCTTACAACCATCTCTGGAGACAATATTTGAGCAGTCATTAGTGCTCTTTAGAAAATATTTATTATTATTATTGGGGCACATGGTAGTATTTTATTTTCCTACCCCCTTGGAGTTTGACTAGCCATGTAACTTACCTTGAAAAAATTATCAGTGTTAATGGTGTGACACCTCCAAATGAAAGCTACAAAGACAGTATACAATCCATCATGATCTTTGTTTTCTGCCATAATGACCGGCATTATTCTAGACTGCAGCTGCTCCATCAGTCTGGGTCCCAGACTGAGGACAGCAAGGTTGAAAGGGCAATACAATCGATCATGGATATATAAAATGAGCAATACATATAAATGTATTCTTTAACTCATTGAGAATAGGATATTGTTAGTTATTAAAACATAATCTGGTCTATCTTGATTGATGAAGAAAGTACTAGAAGTTATTAGATATTGTGGCCCTGCTAACACACACATACACACACACACACACACACACACACAAAAGTTCTACTTTCACTTCCATTGTTAAAAGCATTCAATTGATTACATTGGCATCTGCTACATTTATTTAATTAAGAAAATGTCTGGAGATTATCATGGCAGACAGGAGGCAGGACTAGATTGCGGCTCCAACTCAGATGGACAAAGCAGTGTGTGGAGGCTCACATCATGAATTTTAGCTCCAGAATGAGTGCAAGAACAAACCAGAAATCCCAAGATGACCCACAGATCACAGACCCTCTGAAGGAAGCAGGTTGCTCCTGCAGGACCTGGGAGACACTCTAAATACCATGAGTGCCCAAACTGCTGAAGTGGGAAAGGGAGATCTTCTGTTCCCAAACACACACCCTCACTGGGGAAACTGAAGGCGTAGTTTGCAGAAGTTTCCGACCTTACCTGGAGCTGAGTCAACTTAGAGAGGTGAGCAAAATACAGGGGTGGAGGAAGCAGTAGGAAAGGCCCTGGGAGCTCACTGGGTCCCCAAGCAGGCCATTCCTGCCTGGCACCACAGGGATCCTTCTGGAGGGCAGCCAGAGACATGGGGAAAACACCACAGGGAGAAAGAAGTCTCCAGCTGAACTTTGTAACAGTTTGACCTGTGCAAGAAGCCTCTTGGCCAGAACTCAGGGGAGAGTGTGAATCTGGCATGCAGACTGCACAGGCAGGGGAAGAATCAAAGCCCTTTTCTTTCACAGCTGGGAGGCAGGCAGCCTGGGGCAAGTTCTCAAGCCCTGCTTGCCCACTGTCTGGAAGCAGACTGGGTGCTGTTAATGGGGGGCATTGTGGGAGTGAGATCAGCCCTTTGAATTGCATGGGAGCTGGGTGAGACCTGTGACTGTTGGCTTTACCCCACTTCCCTGATAACCTGCATGATTCAGCAGAGGCAGCCATAATCCTCCCAGGTACACAACTCCATAGACCTGAAAAACCTTACCCCCATCCCCCATAGCAGCCACAACAAGACCTGCCCAAAGAGAGTCTGAACTCAGACACAACTAGCCCTGACCCCACTGTGTGGTCTTTTTCTACCCACTCTGGTAGCTGAAGACCAAGGGTATATACTCTTGGGAGTTCTAGGGCCCCACCCACTGCCAGTTCCTCTCCATACTACCACAGGTGATGCTCTCTGGAAAGCACCACCTCCTGGCAGAAGGCCAACCAGCACAAAAATAGAACATTAAACCACCAAAGCTAAGAACCTTCATGGAGTCCATTTCACTCCCCTGTCACCTCCACCAGAACAGGTGCTGGTATCCATGGCTAAGAGATCCATAGATGGTTCACATGACAGTACTCTGAGCAGACAACCCCCAGTACCAGCCCGGAGCCTGGTAGACTTGCTGGGTGGATAGGCCCATAAGAGAAATAACCATCACTGCAGCTTGGCTCTCAGGAAGCCACATCCATAGGAAAAGGGGGAGAGTACTACATCAAAAGAACACCCCGTGGGACAAAAGAATCTGAACAACAGCCTTCAGCCCTAGACCTTTCCTCTAAAAGGGCCTACCCAAATGAGAAGGAACATTGGGTTTCAGTCTCATTGACTGAAACCAGAAAAAATAACTCTGGTAATAAACAAGGCTCTTTAACACCACCCAAAAAACACACTAACTCACCAGCAATGGATCCAAACCAGGAAGAAAATCCTGATTTGCCTGAAAAAGAATTCAGGAGTTTAGTTATTGAGCTAATCAGGGAGGCACCAGAGAAAGGCAAAGCCCAATGCAAGGAAATCCAAAAAAAGATACAAGAAGTGAAGAGAGAAATATTCAAGGAAATATATATCATAAAGAAAAAACAATCAAAACTTCAGGAAACACTGGACACACATATAGAAATGCAAAATGCTCTGGAAAGTCTCAGCAATAGAATTGAACAAGTAGAAGAAAGAAATTCAGAGCTCAAAGACAAGGTCTACAAATTAACCCAATCCAACAAAGACAAAGGAAAAATAATTTAAAAACATGAACAAAGCCTCCAAGAAGTCTGGAATTATGTTAAACGACCAAACCTAAGAATAATCAGTGTTCCTGAGGAAGAAGAGAAATCTAAAAATTTGGAAATATATTTGAAGGAATAATCAAGGAAAACTTCCCTGGCCTTGCTAGAAACTTAGACATCCAAATACAAGAAACACAAAGAACACCTGGGAAATTCATCCCAAAAAGATCATCACCTAAGTACACTGTCATCAAGTTATCTAAAGTTAAGACAAAGGAAAGAATCTTAAGAGCTGTGAGACAAAAGCAGCAAGTAACCTATAAAGGAAAACCTACCAGATTAGCAGCAGATTTCTCACAAAACCACACAAGCTAGAAGGGATTGGGGACCTATCTTTAGCCTCCTCAAACAAAACAATTATCAGCCAATAATTTTGAATCCAGAGAAAATAAGCATTATATATTAAGGAAAGACACAGTCTTTTTCAGACAAACAAATGCTGAGAGAATTCTCCACTACCAAGCCGCCACTCCAAGAACTGCTAAAAGGAGCTTTAAATCTTGAAACAAGTCTTGGAAACACATCAAAACAGAACCTCTTTAAAGCATCCATCACACAGGACCTATAAAACAAAAATACAAGTTACAGAGCAAAAAACAAACAAACAAAAAAGTACCAAGCCACAAAGGCAACAAATAGCATGATGAATGGAATGGTACTTCACATCTCAATACTAACATTGAATATAAATGGTCTAAATGCTCCACTTAAAAGATATAGAACTGCAGAATGGATAAAAACTCACCAACCATCTGCTACCTCCAGTAGACTCACCTAACACATAAGGACTCACATAACCTTAAAGTAAAAGGGTTGAAAAAGGCATTTCATGCAAACGGACACCAATAGCGAGCAGGGATAGCCATTCTTATATCAAACAAAACAAACTTTAACAGCAGTTAAAAGAGACAAATAGGGACATTATATAATGGTAAAAGGCCTTGTCCAACAGGAAAATATCACAATCCTAAACATATATGCACCTAACACTGGAGCTCCCAAATTTATAAAGCAATTACTAATAGACCTAACAAATGAGATAGACGGCAACACAATAATAGTGGGGGACTTCAATATTCCACTGACAGCACTAGACAGGTCCTCACGACAGAAAGTCAACATAGAAAAAATGGATCTAAACTAAACCTTGAAACCAATGGACTTAACAGATACATATAGAACATTTCATTCAACAACCACCACAGAATATACATTCTATTCCACAGCGCATGGAACTTTCTCCAAGATAGACCATAAAATAGGCCACAAAATGAGCCTCAATAAAATTAAGAAAACTGAAATTATATCAAGCACTCTCTTAAACAACAGTGGAATAAGACTGGGAATCAACTCCAAAAGGAACCTTCAAAACCATGCCACTACATAGAAATTAAATAACCTGCTCCTGAATGAGCATTGGGTCAAAAACAAAATCAATATGGAAATTAAAAAATTCTTTAAACTGAAAGACAATAATGACACAACCTATCAAAACCTCTAGGATACAACAGAGGCGGTGCTAACAGGAAAGTTCATAACCCCAAATGCCTATCAAAAATTCTGAAAGAGCACAAACTGACATTCTAAGGTCACACCTCAAGGAAATAGAGAAACAAGAACAAACCAAACCCAAACTCAGCAAAAGAAAGGAAATAACCGAGATCAGGGAAGAACTAAATGAAATTGAAACAACAACAAAAAATACAAAGATAAATGAAAAAAAGCTGATTCTTTGAAAAGATAAATAAAATTGATAGACCATTAGCAAGATTAACCAAGAAAAGAGGAAAGAAAATCCAAATAACCTCATTAAGAAACAAAATGGGAGATATTACAACCGACACCACTGAAATACACAAGATCATTTAAGGCAGCTATGAACACCTTTATGCACATAAACTAGAAAACCTAGAAGAGATGGATAAATTCCTGGAAAAATACAACTTTCCTAGCTTAAATCAGGAATAATTATATTCCCTGAACAGACCAGTAACAAGCAGCAAGATTGAGATGGTAATTAAAAAATTACCACCAAAAGAAGTCTAGGACAAGACAGATTCACAACAGAATTTTACCACACATTCAAAGAAGAATTAGTACCAATCATTTTCACATTATTCCCCAAGATAAGATGGAGAAAGAGGAAACCCTTCCTAATTCATTTTATAAAGAGAGCATAACCCTAATACCAAAACAAGAAAAGGACATAACCAAAAAGAAAACAACAGACCATATCCCTGGTGAACATAGATGCTAAAATCTTTAACAAAGTGCTAGCTAACCGAGTCCAACAACATACCAAAAAGATAATCCACCATGATCAAGTGGGTTTCATGCCAGGGATGCAGGGATGTTTTAACATATGCAAGTCAATAAATGTGATACACCACATAATCAGAATTAAAAATAAAAATCACATGATCATCTCAATAGATACAGAAAAAGCATTCAACAAAATCCAGGATTCTTTTATGATTAAAACTCTCAGCAAAATTGGCACACAAGGAACATGCCTCAATGTAATAAAAGCCATCTATGACAAACCCACAGCCAACATAATACTGAATGGGGAAAAGTTGAAAGCATTCCCTCTGAGAACTGGAACAAGACAAAGATGCCCAGTCTCACCACTCCTCTTCAACATAGTATTGGAAGTCCTATTCAGAGCAATCAGACAAGAGAAAGAAATAAAGGGCATCCAAATTGGTAAAGAGGAAGTCAAACTGTCACTGTTTGCAGACAATATGATTGTTTACTTAGAAAACCCTATCAACTTCTCCAGAAAGCTCCTTGAACTGATAAAATAATTCAGCAAAGTTTCTGGATACAAGATTAATGTACACAAATCAGTAGCTCTTCTATACACCACAGCAACCAAGCTGAGAATCAAATAAAGACTCAACCACTTTTATGATAGCTGCAAAAAAAAATACTTAGGAATATACCTAAATAAGGAGGTGAAAGACCTCTACAAGGAAAACTACAAAACACTGCTGAAAGAAATCATAGACAACACAAACAAATGGAAACACATACCATGCTCATGGCTGGGTAGAATAAATATTGTGAAAACGACCATACTGTTAAAAGCAATCTACAAATTCAATGCAATCCCTATCAAAGTACACCATCATTCTTCACAGAATTAGAAAAAATAATTCTAAAATTTATATGGAACCATAAAAAAGCCAACATAGCCAAAGCAAGAATAAGCAAAAAGTACAAATCTGGAGGCATCACACTACCTGATTATAAACTATACTATAAGGCCATAGTCACCAAAACAGCATGGTACTGGTGTAAAAATAGGCACATAGACCAGTGAAACAGAATACAGAACCCAGAAATAAACCCAAATACAGCCAACCAATCTTTGACAAAGCAAACAAAAACATAAAGTGGGGAAAGGACACCCTTTTTAACAAATGGTGCTGAGATAATTGGTTAGCCATGTGTAGGAGAATGAAATTGGATCCTTATCTCTCACCTTATACAAAAATCAACTCAAGATGGATTAAGGACTTAAACCTAAGACCTGAAACTGTAAAAATTCTAGAAGGTAACATTGGAAAAACCCTTCTAGACATTGGTTTAGGCAAGGATTTCAAGAACGAGAAACCAAAAGCAAATGCAATAAAAACGAAGATAAATAGCTGGGACTTAATTAAACTAGAAGTTCATGGCAATAGGAACAGACATCAGAGTAAACAGACAACCCACAGAGTGGGAGAAAATCTTCACAATCTATACATCTGACAAAGGACTAATATCCAGAATCTACAACAAACTCAAACAGATCAGTAAGAAAAAAACAAACAATCCTATCAAAACCTGGGCTAAGGGCAGGTATAAACAATTCTCAAAAGAAGATATACAAATGGCCAACAAACATATGAAAAAATGCACAACATCACTAATGATCAGGGGAATGCAAATCAAAACCACAATGCTATACCACCTTACTCCTGCAAGAATGGACATAATCCAAAGACAAGAAACAGTAAATATTGGCATGGATGCGGTGATCAGGGAACATTTCTACACTGCTGGTGGGAATGTAAACTAGTACAGCCACTATGGAAAACAGTGTGGAGATTCCTTAAAGAACTGAAAATAGATCTACGATTTGATCCAGCAATCCCACTACCGGGTATCTACCCAGAAGAAAAGATGCCATTATACGAAAAAGATACTTGCACATGCATGTTTATAGCAGGACAATTCACAATTGCAAAATCGTGGAATCAACCCAAATTCCCATCAATCAACAAGTGGATAAAGAAACAAGTGGATAAAGAAAGTAGTATTTCATATACAATGAAATACTACTCAGCCATAAAAAGGAATGCATTAATGGCATTCACGGCGACCTGGATGAGATTGGAGACTATTATTCTAAGTGAAGTAACTCAGGAATGGAAAACCAAACATTGTATGTGCTCACTGATATGTGGGAGCTAAGCTATGAGGATGCAAAGGCATAAGAATGATACAATGGACTTTGGAAACTTGGGAGGAAGAGTGTGAGGGGGGTGAGGGATAAAAGACTACAAATATGGTGTAGTGTATACTGCTCGGGTGATGGGTGAACCAAAATCTCACAAATCACCACTAAAGAATTTACTCATGTAAACAAACACCACCTGTACCCCAATAACTTATGGAAAAATAAAATAAAATGCCTGGAGAAAAAAGGAATTACAGCCATGTGCAGTATAATGACATTTCAGTCAACAGCTAACCGTAAAAAAGATGATTTTACCATAAGATTATAAAAACATACTTTTACTGTACTTTTCTAAGTTTAGATGTTAAGATACCCAAGTGTGAAGTCACGGGGGCTCACGCCTGTAATACTAACACTTTGCGAGGCCAAGGGGGGCAGATTGGCTGAGGTCGAGAGTTCGAGATCAGCCTGGGCAACATGGTGAAACTCTGTCTTTACTAAAATACATAAAATTAGCTGGGCATAGTGGCACATGCCTGTAATCCCAGCTACTCGGGAGGCTGAGGCATGAGACTAGCTTGAACCCAAGAGGCAGAGGTTGCAGTGAGCCGATATCATGCCACTGCACTCTAGCCTGGGCCACAGAGCGAAACTCTGTCTCCAGAAAAAAAAATATACACAAATGCTTACCATTGTGCTACAATTTCCTACAGTATTCAGTATGGTAATACATTGTATAGGCTTGTAGCTTATGAAAAATAGGTTATATGGTATAGCCTAGGTATGTAGTAGGTGGCACCTTCTAGGTTTGTTTAAGTATACTTTATGATCTTCATACAACTAAAAAATAATTCCACAGAATGTATTCCCATTTTTAAATGATACATGACTAAATATTTGTCTTTTCCACCACAGTATGATTGGCCCAAAGTCTTTGCAACTAGATTGACAGATGGAAGCAGGGAGACAAGAAAGCAATGAAGTACAATGAATCCAGTGAGAATACCTGGAAAATAATTATGGGTGTAGCCATCAGCACATGAAACTGACTGGAATCAAACACATGAAAAGCCTATTACGTTTTCAAAAATTTCATTTGATTTGTAATTGTACATACTTATGGGGTATAATGTGATATTTCAATGCATATATACATTGTGTAATGATCAAACTAGGGTAATTAGCATACTCATCACCTCAAATATTTATTGTTTCTTTGTGGTTAAAACATTTACAATTTCTTCTTTTTTCTATTTTGAAATAGGCAATATATTGTTAACTACAGTCATTCTACTATACAAGAACATTCTGTCATTTGTGGCAATACAGAAGACCCAGGAGGACATTGTGTTAAGGGAAATAAGACTGGCACATAAGGATAAATACTGCAGTATTTCACTCATATCTAATATCTGAAGATGTTAATCTCATATAATTAGAGTGTAAAATAGTGTTTACCACATGCTGGGAAGGGTGGGATGGTAATGGAGTTGAGGGAGTGTGCAGAGATTGCTCAATAAGTATAAAAACTTACATAGAAGGAAAAAGGCTATGAAGCTTTTAAGAAAGTTTAGTGCTCAAAAAATCACGAGGAATTGCTTGTGACTGCAGAATAATCTAGCATATCCTGACTGACAAACAGGCTCAATTTTTTTAATTTTTAATTTTTATTGGTAAATAGTAGGTTCATATATTTATGGGGCACATGAGATATTTTCAAAGAGGCATGCAATGAGAAATAATCACATCATGGAGAATGGGGTATTCATCCACCTAAGCATTTATTATTTGTGTTGGAAACAATCCAATTATACTCTTTTAGTTATTTTTAAACGTACAATTAAATTAAATTGACTATAGTCACTTTGTTGTGCTATTAAATACTAAGTCTTATGCATTAATTCTAACGAATTTTATTTTACAAATTAACCATCTCCACAACCCTTTCAACCCTCCCACCTCAATACCCTTTCCAGCCTCTGGTAATCAGCATTCTATTCTCTCCATGAGTTCAATTGTTTTCATTTTTGAACCTCACAAATAAGTGAGAACATGCAATATTTTCCTTTCTGTGCCTGGCTTATTTCATTTAACATAATGATCTCCAGTTCCATACATGTTGTTACAAAGGATAGTATCTCATGCTTTTTATGGCTTTTTTATTACTCCATTGTGTATAAATATCATATTTTCTTTATCCTTTAATCTGTTGGACACTAAGGTTGCCTTCAAATCTTGGCTATTTTGCACAATGCTGCGACAAACATAGGAATGTAGATATCCCTTCAACATACCAATTTCCTTTCTTGTGAGTGAATACCCAGAAGTGGGGATTGCTGGATCACATGGTAGCTCTATTTTTTGTTTTCTGAGGAACCTCCAAACTGTTCTCCATAGTGGTTACACTAATTTACATTCACATAAACAATGTACGAGGGTTCCCTTTGCTCCACATCCTCACCAGCATTTGTTGTTGCCTGTCTTTGGGATATAAGCCATTTTAATTGGGGTGAGGTTATATTCCATTTTAGTTTTTAGTTGTATTTCTCTGATGATCAGTGATGTTGAACACCTTTTCATATGCCTGTTTGCCATTTGTATGCCTTCTTTTGAGAAATATCTATTCAGATCTTTTGCCTATTTAATTTGATTATTAGATTTTTTTTCTAATAGAGTTGTTTGAATGCCTTATATATTCTGGTTATTAGTGTCTTGTGAGATGGGTAGGTGGCAAACATTTGCTCCCATTCGGTGGGTTGTCTCTTCACTTTGCTGATCGTATCCTTTGCTGTGCACAAGCTTTTAACTTAATATGATCACACTTTTTGCTTTGGTTGCCTGTGCTTTGTGTATTCCTCAAGAAATATTTTCCCTGACCGATGTCCTGGAGTGTTTCTCCAATGTTTTCTTATCGTAGTTTTATAGTTTATGATTTTAAATTTAAGTCTATAATCCATTTTGACTTGATTTTTTATATGATGAGAGATAGGGCTCTAGTTTCATTCTTCTGCTTATGGATATCCTGTTTTCACAGCACCATTTGTGCCTGTCTTTTCCCCAGTGTATATTCTTGGTACATTGTCAAAAATAAGTTTCCTATAAGTGTGTGGATTTGTTTCTGGGTCCTCTATTCTGTTCCATTAGTCTATGTGTCTGTTTTTATGCCAGTATCAGGCTGTTTTGGTTACTATAGCTCTTCAATATAATTTGAAGGCAGGAAATGTGATTCTTCCAGCTTGTTTTTTTTTTTTTTTTTCTTGTTACTCATAATAGCTTCGGTAGCTTCGGCTATTCTGGGTCTTTTTAGGTTTTATATAAATTTTAAGGTAGTTTTTTTTTCTATTTCTGTGTAGAATGCCATCGGCATTTTCATAGGGGTTATGTTGAATCTGTAGATTGGTCTGGGTAGTGTAGACATTTTAACAATACGGATTCTTCCAATGAACGAACATGGACTATCTTTCCATCTTTTGGTGTCCTCTTAAATTTCTTTCATCAGTGTTTTATAGTTTCCATTGTAGAGATTTTTGAATTCTTTGGTTAATTCCTGGTTATTTAATTTTATTTGTGGCTATTGTAAATGAGATTAGATTTTGATCTGCATCTCAGAGTGCTCATTGTTGGCATACAGAAATGCTACTGACTTTCATATGTTGGTGTTGTATCCTGCAACTGTACTAAATTTATTTATCAGTTATAAGGATCTATTGATGGAGTCTTTTGTATTTTCCAAATATAACATCATATGTTACGTATACATAATACATAACATCAGATGTTATGTATTTCCAAATATACATCATATGCTACAAGGATAATTTGACTTCCTCCTTTCCAGGCTGAATGCCTTTTTCCCCCTCCCGTCTAATTGCTCTAAATCAGACGTCCAGTACTATGTTGAACAATAGTGGTGAAACTGGGCATCCTTGTCATGTTCCAGATCTTAAAGAAAAGACTTAACAGTTTTTCCCTGTTCAGTATGATACTAGTGGTGTGTATGTCATCTACAGCTTTTATTATGTTAATGTATGTTCCTTCTATATCTAGTTTTTTGAGGGTTTTTATCATAAAGGGATGTCGAAATTCATCAAATGCTTTTTTAGCATCAATTAAAATTATAATGTAATTTTTGTCCCTCATTCTGTAGATACAACTTATCACATTGAACAATTTGCAAATGTTAATCAACACTTGCACCCCTGAGATGAATCCCATTTGGTCACAATGGATGAATTTTTTAATGCATTGTTGAATTTTGCTTGCTAGTATTTGATTGAGGATTTTTGTGTCAATATTTATCAGAAATATTGGCCTGTAGTTTTCTTTTTTTGATGTGTCTTTGGTTTTGCTTTCAGAGAATACTGGCCTGGAATGAGTTTGGAAGTACTCTCTCCTCTTCTATTGTTTGTAATAGTTTGAGTAGGATTAGTATTAGCTCCTCTCTAAATGTTTTGTATAATTCAGTGGTGAAACCATTGGGTCCTGGGGTTTTCTTGGCTGGGAGACAATTTATTATAGCTTTGATCTTGATACTTGGTTATTTTTTGTTCAGGTTGTGGATTTCCTCATGGTTTAATCTTGGTAGTTTCTATATGCCTAGGAGTTTATCCGTTTTGCTATATATTTCAATTTGTTGGTATTTAGTTGCTCGCAGTAGTCATTAAGAATACTTTGAATTTTCATGATATCAGTTGTAATATTTTCTTTTCATCTCTGATTTATTCATTTGAGTCTTTTCTCTTTTTTTCTTCATTAGTCTTTCTAAAGGTTTGCCAATTTGGTTTATCTTTTCAAAACCCCAACTTTTTATTTTGTTGATCTTTTATTTTTTTTATTTTTTTTTTATTATTATGCTTTAAGTTTTAGGGTACATGTGCACATTGTGCAGGTTAGTTACATATGTATACATCTGCCACACTGGTGCGCTGCACCCACTAACTCATCATCTAGCATTAGGTATATCTCCCAATGCTATCCCTCCCCCCTCCCCCCACCCCACAACAGTCCCCAGAGTGTGATGTTCCCTTTCCTGTGTCCATGTGATCTCATTGTTCAATTCCCACCTATGAGTGAGAATATGCGGTGTTTGGTTTTTTGTTCTTGCGATAGTTTACTGAGAATGATGATTTCCAATTTCATCCATGTCCCTACAAAGGACATGAACTCATCATTTTTTATGGCTGCATAGTATTCCATGGTGTATATGTGCCACATTTTCTTAATCCAGTCTATCATTGCTGGACATTTGGGTTGGTTCCAAGTCTTTGCTATTGTGAATAGTGCCGCAATAAACATACGTGTGCATGTGTCTTTATAGCAGCATGATTTATAGTCCTTTGGGTATATACCCAGTAATGGGATGGCTGGGTCAAATGGTATTTCTAGTTCTAGATCCCTGAGGAATCGCCACACTGACTTCCACAATGGTTGAACTAGTTTACAGTCCCACCAACAGTGTAAAAGTGTTCCTATTTCTCCACATCCTCTCCAGCACCTGTTGTTTCCTGACTTTTTAATGATTGCCATTCTAACTGGTGTGAGATGGTATCTCATTGTGGTTTTGATTTGCATTTCTCTGATGGCCAGTGATGATGAGCATTTTTTCATGTGTTTTTTGGCTGCATAAATGTCTTCTTTTGAGAATTGTCTGTTCATGTCCTTTGCCCACTTTTTGATGGGGTTGTTTGTTTTTTTCTTGTAAATTTGTTGAGTTCATTGTAGATTCTGGATATTAGCCCTTTGTCAGATGAGTAGGTTGTGAAAATTTTCTCCCATTTTGTAGGTTGCTTGTTCACTCTGATGGTAGTTTCTTTTGCTGTACAGAAGCTCTTTAGTTTAATTAGATCCCATCTGTCAATTTTGGCTTTTGTTGCCATTGCTTTTGGTGTTTTAGACATGAAGTCCTTGCCCATGCCTATGTCCTGAATGGTATTGCCTAGGTTTTCTTCTAGGGTTTTTATGGTTTTAGGTCTAACGTTTAAGTCTTTAATCCATCTTGAATTGATTTTTGTATAAGGTGTAAGGAAGGGATCCAGTTTCAGCTTTCTACATATGGCTAGCCAGTTTTCCCAGCACCATGTATTAAATAGGGAATCCTTTCCCCATTGCTTGTTTTTCTCAGGTTTGTCAAAGATCAGATAGTTGTAGATATGCGGCGCTATTTCTGAGGGCTCTGTTCTGTTCCATTGATCTATATCTCTGTTTTGGTATCAGTACCATGCTGTTTTGGTTACTGTAGCCTTGTAGTATAGTTTGAAGTCAGGTAGAGTGATGCCTCCAGCTTTGTTCTTTTGGCTTAGGATTGACTTGGCGATGTGGGCTCTTTTTTGTCCCATATGAACTTTAAAGTAGTTTTTTCCAATTCTGTGAAGAAAGTCATTGGTAGCTTGATGGGGATGGCATTGAATCTGTAAATTACCTTGGGCAGTATGGCCATTTTCACGATATTGATTCTTCCTACCCAAAATCCTCAATAAAATACTGGCAAACCGAATCCAGCACCACATCAAAAAGCTTATCCACCATGATCAAGTGGGCTTCTTCCCTGGGATGCAAGGCTGGTTCAATATACGCAAATCAATAAACGTGATCCAGCATATAAACAGAGCCAAAGACAAAAACCACATGATTATCTCAATAGATGCAGAAAAGGCCTTTGACAAAATTCAACAACCCTTCATGCTAAAAACTCTCAATAAATTAGGTATTGATGGGACATATTTCAAAATAATAAGAGCTATTTATGACAAACCCACAGCCAATATCATACTGAATGGGCAAAAACTGGAAGCATTCCCTTTGAAAACTGCCACAAGACAGGGATGCCCTCTCTCACCACTCCTATTCAACATAGTGTTGGAAGTTCTGGCCAGGGCAATTAGGCAGGAGAAGAAAATAAAGGGTATTCAATTAGGAAAAGAGGAAGTCAAATTGTCCCTGTTTGCAGACGACATGATTGCATATCTAGAAAACCCCATTGTCTCAGCCCAAAATCTCCTTAAGCTGATAAGCAACTTCAGCAAAGTCTCAGGATACAAAATCAATGTACAAAAATCACAAGCATTCTTATATACCAACATCAGACAAACAGAGAGCCAAATCATGAGTGAACTCCCATTCACAATTGCTTCAAAGAGAATAAAATACCTAGGAATCCAACTTACAAGGGATGTGAAGGACCTCTTCAAGGAGAACTACAAACCACTGCTCAATGAAATAAAAGAGGATACAAACAAATGGAAGAACATTTGTTGATCTTTTATATTATTTTCATTTCTTTATTTTTTCCAGGCTATGCTTTATTTATCATGATCTTTTCCCTTCTCCCTCCACCCACTGACTGCATATAGTAGGAACTCCAGTGTTGGCTGACTAATAAGCTAAGGCTTTAAAATGACTAGAAACACTAGTTAACATGAGTATAAATTACAATCTTAGGATCATTTGACTCCAAATAGTCCTAATTTTCAATTTTTCATTTAGCAAACATTTATCAGGCTCTATTGTAGGACCTCTATAGAGCAGAGAAGAAAAGAGGCAAATCCCTGTCTCCTGGAGCTTATGCTTCTAGTGAGGCAGGGTGGGATGGTGAGCTTCCAACAGTAGGTAATTGTGTGAAGTGAGCTCAGTTAATGCTATCAAGAGAAAGGAAAGATGGTCAAAAAATTGGGGGGTGGCAGGTGCTGTTTAGACAGAGCCATAAAGGAGGCCTCTGAGTGCAGGCGGGAAGAAGTGGGGCAAGCACATGCTCCCCTTCTGGGGGAGAGCACCCAGGTAGGCACCTGGGAGCAGGGACATGGTGGATATACTTGAGGAGGAGCAAAAGGCTGAGCATGAAACTTTAAAGAGAAACAGGATATTTGCACAGCTTCCAAAATATTTTCTCCTCACTATAGTACTTTTAATATAGATCCATACACTCTTTGATACTTCTCCCTCTGGTGTGGAGCTTGACTCTCCTACCCTTGACTGCAGATTGGCTTCTAACAAATGGGGCGCGGAAAAGGAAAATTAGCATCTTCACGGTGGAGAAACCTGCCATTTGCCCTCAGGACTCAGAAGATAATGTTCATCGCTCCATTTCAAATGCTTTTATTTCTGTACTGATATTTGTTATTTTTACCCCTACTAATGTTGAGTTTTGTTTGTTCTTGCTTTTCTACTTCTTTAAGATGCATAATTAGGTTGTTTGTTTGAGGTTTTTCCCTTTTTCTGATGTAGGCACTTATAGCTATAAATTTCCCTCTCACTACTGCTTTTGCTGTATCCCACAGGTTTTGGTATACTGTGTTTTCATTATCATTTGTTTCAAAAAATTTTCAATTTCCTTCTTAATTCCTTCATTGACCCCCTGGTCATTCAGGAGCATATTGTTTAATTTAAATGTGTTTGTATATTTTTCAAAATTTCTCTTCTTTCTTATTTTATTCGACAGTGGTCTGAGAAGAAGCTTGATATTATCTCAATTTTTCAAATGTTTTAAGACTTGTTTTGTGACATAACATATGTTTTATCATTGAAAATGATCCATGTGCTGAGGAGAAGAATGAGTATTCTGTAGCCTTTGGATGAAATATTCTGTTAACATATGTTAGACCCATATATTCCATAGTGCAGATTAACTCCAAGGTTTCTTTGTTAGTTTTCTGTCTGGAAAGTCCGTCCAATGCTGAAAGTGGGGTGTGGAAGTCTCCAACTATTACTGAGGTCTATGTATCCCTTTAGCTACAATAATATATTCTTTATATATTTGAGTGCTCCAGTGTTGGGTGCATATATATTTCCTGTCCTATGCAATTGCTGGATTGACCCTTTTATCATCATATAATGACATTCTTTGTGGTTTCTTACAGTTTTTGTCTTTAAATCTACTTTGTACAATATAAGTATAGCTACTCCTGCTCTTTGTTGGTTTCCAT
Organism: Homo sapiens; assembly: GCF_000001405.40. Taxonomy (NCBI): domain Eukaryota; kingdom Metazoa; phylum Chordata; class Mammalia; order Primates; family Hominidae; genus Homo; species Homo sapiens. Next base: position 127,487,575 of record NC_000023.11, read on the forward strand.
TGACACAGAAGAGCTTTTTCTGTGACTTTATTTGCAGTTTCTGTGTGTCTTTATAGGTGAAGTGTATTTCTTGTAGGGAACACATCATTGTTTCTTGTTTTTTCCATTCAGCACTGTCCATATTTCTATTGGAGAGTTTAGTCTATTTACATTTAATGTTATGACTGATAATTAGGGACTTACTCTTGCCATTTTGTCAGTTGTTTTCTTATTGTTTTGTGGTCGTATCTGCCTTCTTTCCTCTCTGTCTTCCTTTTGTGAAGGTAATTTTCTCTGGTGGTATGATTTATTTTCTTGGTTATTTTGTGTGTGCGTGTGTGTTCATTGTGTGTTTTTCTATTTGAGGTTACCATGAGGCTTGCAAATATTATCTTGTAACTCATTATTTTAAAATGATGACAACTTAACATTGCTTGCAGAAACAAAGAAACAAACACACAAAAAGCAAACTAATAAACACTCTACATTTTAACTGAATTCCCAACCCATTTTTTAACTTTTCATCATTACTATTTGTCTTATTGTACTGTCTATGTTTTGAAAGTTGTATTCATTGTTTTCAATTGGTTCATCATTTATTCTTCCTTCTTAAGATTAGTTTACACACCACAATTACGGTGTTGACTATTCTGTGTTTTTCTGCGTGCTTACTCTTACCAGTAAATTTTGTACTTTCAGATGATTTATTATTGCTCATTAGCATCATTCTCTTTCAGTTTGAATAACTCCCTTTAGCATTTGTGTAGGATAGGTCTAGTGTTTACGAAATCTCTCAGCTTTTGTTTGTCTAGAAAAGTCTTTATTTCTGCTTCAGGCTTGAAGGATATGGTCTCCAGTTATACTATTCTATAGTAAACATTTTTTTTTTCCTTTAGCACATTAAATATACCATTCAAATCTCTCCTGGCCTGTAAGGTTTCCACTGATAGGTCTGCTGCTAGACATATTGGAGTTCCATTGTATGTTATTTGTGTCTTTCCTCTTGCTACTTTTAGGATCCTTTCTTTATTCTTGACCTTTGGGAGTTTGATTATTGATGACTTGATGTAGTCTTCTTTGTGTTTAATCTGCTTGGTGTTCTATTACATTCTTGTACTTGCATATTAATAACTTTCTCTAGGTTTGAAAAGTTCTGTTATCCCTTTGAATAAACTTTCTACCCCTCTTTCTTTCTTGACCTCCTCTTTAAGGACAATACCTCTTAAATTTTCCCTTTTGAGGCTCTTTTCTAAATCTTGTAGGCATGCTTTATTCTTTGTTTTTCTTTTCTGTTTATTTTCAAATAGCCTGTTTTTATGGTCAAATTCTTTCTTTTGCTTGATCAATTCTGCTATTAAGAGATCTTGATGCATTCTTCAGTATGCCAATTGCATTTTTAACTCTGGAATTTCTGTTTGATTAGTTTAATTATTTGAATCTTTTTTGTTAAATTTACGTGACAGAATTCTGAATTCTTTCTCCATGTTATCTTGAATTTCTTTCAGTTTCCTCAAAACAGCTATTTTAAATTCTCTGTCTGAAACTTCACATATCTCTGTTTCTCCAGGATTGGTTCCTGGTGCTTTATTTATTTCATTTGATGAGATCATCTTTTCCTGGGTGATCTTGATGCATGTCAATGATTGTCGGTGTCTTGGCATTGAAAAGTTAGGTATTTATTTTAGTCTGTGCAGTCTGGGATTATTTATGCCCATCCTTCATAAGGAGGCTTTCCAGGTATTTGAAGAAACTTGGGCTCCAAGCCCACTAACACTGTGGTTTTTGTAGACTAGTAGAGGTACTGCCTGTGGTCTTGGATAAGATACAGAAGAATTCTCAGAATTACCAGTCAGAGACTCTTGTTCTTTATCCTTACTTTCTCCAAAAAGATGTATGGTACCTCTCTGTGCTGAGCCACATCAAATTGTGGGTGTGGTGATGCAAGAACCCCTGTAGCCACCACCACTGGAACTGCACTGGTCAGACCTGAAGGCAGCAGAGCAATGGGTATAGACCTACGCCCACTTTAACCACTACCTGTCTATTACCTATTTTCACTGAAGACCCTAGGGCTCTACAGTCAGCAGGAGGTGAAACCAGCAAGGTTGGTTTCCTTCCCTTCAGTGAAGCAAGTTACTCCAGGCCTTGTCAGGTCCAGAAATGCTGTCTGGGAGCCAGGAATTAGAGTTGAAACCTTAAAAATTTGCCCAGTGTTTCATTCTACTGTGGCTAACATTCAAATCACAATATAAAGTCCTTCCCACTATTTCCTCCCCTTTTTACAGACAGAGGAGCCTCTGCTTGTGGCCACAACCACCACCAGCCCATGGGGCGGTGGGGGTTCTGCTAGGCCACTGCCAATGTTAACTTAAAATCCAAGGCCTCTTCTGTCTGCTTATGGTGAATGCTTCCAAGGCTATGATTCACCCTTCTTGGTGATGGGCTCCTCTATGGCCTAATACAGGTCCAGAAATGCTATCCAAAAGCCTAGGCCAGGACTCAGGGACCCCAGGAGGCAGGTTGTTGATCTACCCTACTGTGTCTGAGCTGATGCCTAAGGTGAAAGACAAAGTCCCCTTTACTTTTCCCTCTGTTTTTCTCAAACAGAAGGAGTCTTTCACAATAGCCACCATAGCTGGGAATATGCTGAGTCACACCTGAAGTCAACATGTCTCAGAGTCCAAAGCCCATTGTAGACTACCTGAGTATCGCTGCTGGTTATTCAGGGACCACAGGCTCTTTGGTCACCAGGTGATGAATCCTGCCAAGACTGGTCCTTCCATTCAAGGTAGTGGGTTTCCCATTGGCTCAAGATGTGTCTAGAAATGTCATCCATGAGCTGGACCATGGAGTGGGTGCCTCATGACTCTACCTGGTGCCCTATTGTATTAGTCCATTCTCACACTGCTATGAAGAAATACCTGAGACTAGGTAATTTATAAAGAAAAGAGTTGTGGCTGGGTGCAGTGGCTAACACCCATAATCCCAGCACTTTGGGAGGCCGAAGTGGGCAGATCACGAGGTCAGGAGTTCAAGACCAGTCTAGCCAACATAGTGAAACTACATCTCTACTAAAAATACAAAAATAAAAACATAGTCAGGTGTGGTGGCACACATCTGTAGTCCTACCTACTCGAGAGACTGAGGCAGGAGACTTGCTTGAACCTGGGAGGCAGAGGTTACAGTGAACCAAGACCACGCCATTGCACTCCAACCTGGGTGACAGAGTGAGACTCTGTCTCAAAAAAAAAAAAAAAAGGAAAAGAGGTGTAATTGGTTTACAGCTCTGCAGGCTGCACAGAAAGCAGAGCAGCATTTGCTTGGCTTCTGGGGAAGCCTCAGGAAACTTAAAATAATGACGGAAGGCAAACAGGAAACCAACACTTTACATGGCAGGAGCAGGAGGAAGTGGGGGGAAGGTGCCACACACTTTTAAACAACCAGCTCTCTGGAGAACAGCACTAGGGGATGGTGCTAACCCATTCATGAGAGCTCTGCTGTCTGAACCTCATGATTCAATCACCTCCCACCTCCAACACTTAGGTGAGGCCCCACCTCCACCACTGAGAATTACAATTCAATGTGAGATTTACTGGGGACACAGATCCAAACCATATCACTTATCCTACTGTGGCTGACCTGGTATCCAAGGTACAATACCAAGTTCTCTTTCCTCCTCACCCTCCTGTCCTTAAACAGAAAGAGAGTCACTTTCATTGCTGTGAGCTGTGCAGTCTGAGGTTGAGGTATGGATACCACAAGCCCTCCCTAAGCTGCCGTGGGTAGTTTCTTCCTGAGTCACATGCCACCTAGTCTTCTGGCTCTGAGCTTAGCCCAGCACTAGGAGTTGCCTAGGAATTGCAACCCTAGGTCCTAGACTGCCTTTCAAGATTACATAGGACCCTAGAGCATTTTGGTCTGTGGTGGCAAGGCTTGCTCAAAAACTCATGTTCTGACAACTGGGATGGGTGATTACTCTCTGGCCAGGACTAGTTCAAATGCTCCCTCCATGCATGGGTGCTAGCTGAGCTCAGCATGGCTTTGCTCTCCGATAAGGCAGGGAAGCACTGTGTTCAATATAAAGTCTCCCAGTGCTGCACTCTCCCTTCCTGAAGTACACAGACTTCTCTATCAGGGGAACCCACCCCCAATATTTCAACATAGGTTCTTTCTATTTTCCATAAGTGTTGGCCGACTGAGAAATAAAAGAAAGAGTACAAAAAGAGGAATTTTACAGTTAGGCTGCCGGGGGTGACATCACATATCAGTAGGACCATGATGCCCACCTGAGCCTCAAACCAGCAAGTTTTTTATTAAGGGTTTCAAAAGGGGAGGGGGTGTAAAACAGGGAGTAGGTACAAAGATCACATGCTTCAAAGGGCAAAAAGCAGAACTACCTATAAGGGTCCAACAAAGATCACAAGGCAAAGGGCAAAAGCAGAACTATTGATAAGGGTCTATGTTCAGTGGTGCGCATATTGTCTTGATAAACATCTTAAACAACAGAAAACAGGGTTCAAGAGCAGAGAACCAGTCTGATCACAAATTTACCAGGGCAGAGTTTTTCTCTACCCTAGTAAACCTGAGGGTACTGCAGGAGACCAGGGCGTATCTCAGTCCTTATCTCAACCACATAAGACAGACGCTCCCAGAGTGGCCATTTATAGACCTCCCCCCAGGAATGCATTCCTTTCCCAGGGTATTAATATTAATATTTCTTCCTAGGAAAAGAATTTAGCGATATCTCTCCTACTTGCACATCTGTTTATAGGCTCTCTGCAAGAAGAAAAATATGGCTCTTTTTGCCGGACCCCGCAGGCAGTCAGACCTTATGGTTGCCTTCCCTTGTTCCCTAAAAATCACTGTTATTCTTTCCTTTTTCAAGGTGCACTGATTTCATATTGTCCAAACACATATGTTTTACAATAATTTGTATAGTTAACACAATTATCACAGTGGTCCTGAGGTGATGTACATCCTCAGCTTACAAAGATAACAGGATTAAGAGATTAAAGACAGGCATAAGAAATTATAAAAGTATTATTTAGGAACTGGAAAATGTCCATATTAAAATGAAATCTTCACAACTTATGTTCCTCTGCCACGGCTCCAGCAGGTCCCTCCGTTCAGGGTCCCTGACTTCTCGCAACACTTCCCACATCATAGGGCCTTTGGCTGGGGATGGAAGAGAGGTGGTGTCAGTGATCCAAGACTGCTTCTATGGCCCACTCCAATACCTCTTTCAGTGATGAATTTAAAACCAGGTACCGTGATTATTCACCTGATGTTTGATTCTTATCACGGTGCTTTTCTGTGTGCAGATAGTTGTTAAAATGTGGTATTCCTGCAGAGGGCACACATGACATAGGCTTCTATTCTGCCATCTTGCTCTGCCCTCCTGTCTCAGATTTGGCCAGAACCTTGTAGAGTAGAAGAGACAGCATGATTGCCTCTCTTCTCATAAGACTTTTGTGTCTATTAGTTCTACTTAAATGTTATATAACTAATTAATGCAGTGTACAAATTTATTAAATATGATTTAATGAATATGAAATGTAATATTTAATACTGATTTTATATTGGCTGAAAACAAAAAATAATGAAAAACGAGCCAATAAATTCTAGAACTTCAGATACATCATTAGTTATTAAAAAGTTCTGAGTGTTTGATAGGCTCATTGATAGTAATAGTGTTGCAGGCAGACAGCCAGAAAACACTGGGCTTTATTGACTATTTTACTGAAGAAGAACTGCAGAAGACATAGGAGAATATCTTCGTGCACAAGGTTTACACAAAAATTTCATAGATATAATAAAGATTATTTAAATCACAAAAGTATAAATGATAAATTGGATATCGCCAATATTAAAAAATTCTGCTCTTTGAAATATACTGTTTAGAAAATAAAAAAGTCATAGGAGGCTGAGGCTGGAAGATCACTTGAGCCCAGGAATTTGAGGCTGCGGTAACCTATGATTGTGCCACTGCCTTCTAGCCAGAGTGACAGAGTGAGACCCTATCTCTTCAAAACAAATTTAAAAAATGAAAAAAGAGGTCACAGGCTAGGGAAAATATTTGCAATTCACATATCTGAGAAAAGATTTGTATCTAGGATATGCAAAGAGTTCTTACAAGTAAATAGAAAACAACACAACAAAAAAATGAGCAAGAGATTTGAACAGACAGTTCATCAAAGAACATATTCAGATGTTAAGTAAGCACAGATAAAGATGTCTAACATCACTAGCCACTGGGAAAAATGCAAATTAAAACTACAGTATCACTAAATATTGGCTAGAATAAATAAAGTTAAAAATTACTGGAAGTGTAAAGTATAGGTGAAGATACAGAACACTGGAAATCTCATATATTTCTGATGGAAATACAAAAGTGAAGGACAATTTTATAAATATTTTGGTGATCTCTTTCAAAATAAATCATACATATACCATATGACCCAGCAATCCTACTCCTAGTTATACATTAATTAAAATGAAAACGTATATCTTTATGCGAAAATTGTACAAAAATGTTTCTAGGAGTCTTATTGATAATTGTCAAAAACTGGAACAACCCCAAAGCACATTCACTGGCACATATAACAATATATTATGCTACAGTCATACAATAGAATGCTTTTCAGAGGCGAGGCACCATGGCTCATGCCTGTAATTCCAGCACGTTGGGAGGCCAAGGCAGGTGGATCACCTGAAGTCAGGAGTTTGAGACCAGCCTGGCCAACATGGTGAAACCCTGTCTCTAATAAAAATACAAAAATTAGCCAAACATGGTGGTGCGTGCCTATAATCCCAGCTCCTCAGGAGGCTGAGGCAGGAGAATCACTTGAACCCAGGAGGAGGAGGTTGCAGTGAGCTGAGATCTCACCATTGCACTCCAGCCTGGGGGACAGAGAAAGACTCCATCTCAAAAAAAAAAAATCCTATTCAGCAACTAAAAAAGATGAAATACTAATACTCACAATAACATGGATGAATCTCAAAGGAATTAGGATAAATAAAAGAAGCCAACTTAAAAGGCTGCATACTGCATGATTTCATTTATATAATATTCCAGGAAAGACAAAATCATAAGTAGAGAAAGCATTTTAGTGGTTGCCAAGCTTGAGGGATGTTCAAATTTTTTTTTTTCAGAGAACTTACTGTAACAGAAGCTCATAATTATTTTTGGAGTGATAGATTTTCACAACTGTAGTGACCGTATGATTGTATACAATTGTCAAAACTCATCATGCTACCTACCCCTCCTCCATTAAGAAGAATTGAAATAGTGAGTAGTCATACTTTGAATAGATCACCCAAGAGAGAACACTGGAATTTAAAAGAAATGTCACAGAAAACACCTACAGACAGAAAGAAAAGGAAAACAAAGCAGCCTACTTGTTCAGGTTCAGCTGGGAGCTAGGAAACACCAATTTGAGGAAACAGTAAGTTAAAGATCTCCAGTCGTCAGCATTCCCACCATGGACTCCTACATTCCTAGCCATAGTAAAGCACTTTGACCCTTCTGGGTCCTGAAACTAAACATAGGGAGTTGCCTGGTCACACAGCCTGATGGCATTTAAACAGGGAGGTAGCTTGTGCTGGGTACCAGACGCCGAACAAGTGCTAAGCAGCTAAAGTATCCTGCCATTTTATAGCCCAGCTCTAGAGAAACTGCAGGTTGTCCTAGGGTGCGGTAGTGCTGGGGCTGAAACGTAAACAAAACATGAACTGCTACAGAGGCTGAGGCATGAGCGTGGTGAGGGGTGCCACTGCCTGACTTGAGAGGCAAACAGGGCAAGTGTTCTCCATCCACTGGTATAGGCTGCTACCACTGAAGGTGGCCCCACCCTCACCAGTTGAAGGGCTACAGCATGGCTGCTGCAGATCTCACTCAAGCGTTCTAATGGAGCTCTGGGAATTGCTCTGCCTCTGCCTACATGGCAGGTATCTGCACACTATTGGGGGCCTATGTATAAATTTGTCCAGCCCGACTTTGTCTCCCCCAAACCTGTGCAGTCTATGGGCCTTGGAAATTCCCAGCTCAGTCTACCGCTGTTGGTACCTGCACATCCCTCCAAGATGTCCATGATTGTGTTTACTACCCAGCTGCTACCACCACAGCTGGCACTTCTCTGCATGCACCACCTGTGGGCCTAGAGACTGGCCCACCCATCCCACGACAGAAAGTGCCAAGCAAGCACGTGCTACTCAGGACACAAAAGGTCATCCTGCCATGCTATTCCCATCATCCCCACCACACTGGCCCTGAGAATCTGCCCAACTGCCCAGCCTGCCACTGCCACTACTGGCATCTAAGCAAGCCACCTAAAGACCCGAGAATTGGCCAGCCAGGACCTGCTGACACCAGTGCCAACACATGCTTCCATGAGATCCAAAGACAGGTATGCTTAGCCCAAAACTGCCACCACTGCAATTGTATTTATATCAGATAAAACAGATTTCAACTCAAAAACAGTTAAAAAAAGAGACAAAGACAGTTATTATATGAAGATGAAGGGCATAATTGAACAAGAAGATATAACAATTCCAAACCTTTATACACCCACCAACTATGTATCCAGATATATAAAGCAAATATTATTAGATTTAGAGGAAGAGACAGACTCCTATTCAATAATTCTTGGGAATTTCAACACCCCAATATTAGTGTTGGATCATCTAGATGGAAAATTAACAAACAAACATTAAATTTAAATTTCACATGAGAACAAATAGACCTAACAGACATTTGCAAAGCATTTCATCCAATAGCTACAGGATACAGTCTTCTCATCAGCACACAGAACATTCACCAGAATAAACCATATTAGGCAACAAAACAAGTATAAACACATTTTTTTAAAAATCAAAATCATATCAAGTATATGCTCAGATCCCATGAAATAAAACTAGAAATCAATACCAAGAGGAGGTTTGGAAACTGTACAATGAGATAGACATTAGGAAACATGCTCCTGAATGACCACTGAGTCAAGGAAGATATTAAGGAGGAGATCAAAAAGTTTCTTAAAACAAATGAAAATCAAAATGCCACATGGCAGCATTTTGCAAAATACAGGATGCAGGATAGAGCGAAAGCAGTGTTAAGAGAGAAGTTTATAACAATAAACACCTACATAAAAAAGTGGAAAGATTTCAAATAAACAATATAATAATGCACCTCAAGTAACTAGAGAAACAACAAGTCAGACCCCAAATTAATAGGCGGAAATAAAAAATAAAGACCAGTATATAGCTAAAGAAATAAAAACTGAAGAAAAGGATTGCAAAAAGAAAACAGTTGTTTTATAAATTTGATAAAGCACGTGCTACATTAACCAAGAAAAAAAAGATCCAAATAAACGAAATCAGAAATGAAAATGGAATTACAAGTGCTAACACAGAAATACAAAATATCATCAGAGAGTATTATGAGCAAAGATATACTACCAAACTGGAAAACCTAGAGGAAAGGAATAAATTCTTAGAAACATACAGCTTGCCAAGATTGAATCAAGAAAAATAAAACAGAAAGCTGAACAGGCCAATAATAAGTAATAAGATTGAATCAGTTATAAGTCTCCCAACAAAGAAAAATTCCAGGCCCAGATTGATAATACCAATTCTCCTCAAACTATTCCAGAAAAAAAAGAAAGAAAGGAAAAAAAACAAAAATAAAAAAACATTGAGGAGAAATTCTCCCTAACTCACTCTACAAGGCCAGCATTATCCTGATACCAAAACGAGACAAGGGTACAACAACAAAAAAGAAAACTACAGACCAATATCAACAATGACCATAGATGCAAAAATTCTCAACAGAATGCTAACAAAAAAATTTCAGCAGCATATCAAGAAAATAATAAACTATGATCAAGTCAGATTTGTCTGAGGAATGCAAGTATGGTTCAATATACCCAAATTAATAAATGTGATAGATTACATCAACAGAATAAAGAACAAAATCCATATGGTCATCTCAATTGGTGCCAAAAAAGCATTTGATAAAATTCAATATCCCTTCATGCTAAAATTGTTCAACAAACTAGGCATACAAAGAACATATCTCAACATAATAATGGCCATATATGACAAACTCACAACTAATATCATACTGAATGGAGAAAAACTAAAAGGCTTTTTTTCTAAAAACTGGAACAAAACTAGGATGCCCACTTTAACGACTCCCACTCAACATGGTACTGGAAGTCCTAGTCAGAGCAATCAGGCAAGAGAAATAAATAAAAGACATATAAATTTAGAAAAGAGAAAGTCAAATTGTCATTTGTTGGTGATACGATCCTATATGTAGAACAACCTAAATCTCCATCAAAAAAACTCTCAGAATTAATAAACTTGCAAAACACAAAATCAATATAAAAAAGTAGCTTCTCTATATACCAACAACGAACTATCTGAGAGAGAAGTCAAGAAGGCAATTTCATTTACAATAGCAACAAAAAAAAATAATGAGGAATAAATTGAACCAAGGTGGTGAAAAATGTCTACAAGGAAAACTACAAAACACTGATAAAAGTAACTGAAGAGAACACAAAATAATGGAAAGACATCTCATGCTTATGGATTGCAAGAATTAATATGGTTAAAATGACCATACTTCCCAAAGTCATCTACAGATTCAATGCAATCCTTATCAAAATACCAACATCATTATTCACAGAATCAGAAACAACAATTATAAAATTTGCATGGAACAACAACAACAACAAAGAATTCAAATAGCCAAAGCAGTTCTGACCAAAAAAAAAAAAAAAAAATCCCCCAAAATTAAAAAGCTGCAGTGATCACACTACTTGACTTCAAAATATATTACAAGGCTATACCAAACCACCAACCATCCAACCAAGGCATGGTATTGGTATAAAAACAGACACCTATAACAATGTTACATAATAGAAAACCCTGAAATAAATGCATATACTCATAGCAAACTGATTTTTCACAGAAGCATCAAGAATATGCAAAAGGGTGCCCTCTTCAATAAATGGTGCTGGGTAAATTAGATATCCATATGAAGAAGAGTAAAACTGAATCACTACCTCTCATGTCATACAAAAGTCAATTTAAGATGGATTAAAGACTTAAACATTACACCCCACACTGTAAAACTACTAGATTAAAACATAGGGAAAACACTTCAGGTCATTGATTTAGGTAAAGATTTTACCTTTTGGCTAAGACCTCAAAAGCACAGACACAAAAATAAAAACAAACAAATAAAGCTATATTAAACTGAAAAGCTTCTGCACCACAAAGGGAACAATCAACACAGTGAAGAGACAACCTGTTGAATAGGAGAAAATATTTGCAAACTATTCATCCACCAACAGACTAATATCTAGCATATACAAGGAACTCAAACAACTCAACAATTAGAAAATGAAGAATCCCATTTAAAAGGGGGAAAATGTCATGAATTGACATTTCTCAAAAGGAAATGAACATGCCCAACGGGTATATGGAAACATGCTCAATATCACTGGTGCAACTTAAATCCTACTTGTTATATTTGAAAAAAGACTGAATATCTCTACAGAAGAAAAAGGATAGAAATAATCACACCTAACAACTGTAAGTTGTTAATTATAACCAAGAATTATGTTTCTTTTTTATTAAAAAGAAAAGACATTTTCATGCAAAGCTTAAGTAGTACATATTCATCACACTTTGTTCTTATCTGCTGCAATTAATCCAAAATGTTCAAGGAAGTTAGCTCTTATTATGCCCCAGAGTAGTCATTACATGAGGTAGCTATTAGTAGGCAAGTATTATTCCTTACAAAAGCTTCATTGTTTTATCCTTCACTCTTCATTTTAAGATAACTTCTTTCTTCAAAAGCCCTTCTGCATCCAATTCAGGTTATTTTCTTTCACTTATTCCCACAAAAGGAAAATTTCTAAAACACATAAAATGAAAATAAAGTGACTTTTTACAATCCATGTATATATGACAACTTTACTCACTTTGCCCTTCTTAAGTAACATTCTCAAAAGACTGTCAAATGAAGAGACATTATACTACAACTTAGCTAGGTGAAATGTACATTTCTTTATTTGTGTAAGAAGATATATTCCAATAATGAAGAAGACTACGTGGTGTGAAGAGACAGAAGAAAATTCGTATACAAGTGAAAGTCATTTTCAATTTTCCACTGAAATATCTGAGAATATATACATATACATATATATATAACAAAATCATAAAAAATGTCTGACAACCAGTTGCCATAATTAATGAAGAATTTCCAGTACTTTTAAGGCTAATGGAGGAAGGTTCAAGCAAATAATTAGTGGCCAATCTCACTATCTATGAAATATGACATAGCTTGAAAAAAGACAAGTAGCTCATTTAAAAAAAATCTTCCATTAAATATTACTTATATCTGAGACTCTGAAACCCAGGGTAAGTACTAATGAGATAATTAGACAGCCATTCCATTGTCATAGCAATTAATGTTTGCATTCTATCTATATATTTACCTACCTCTCTATGATCTGTTTATTCATCTGTCTATCTAATCTGTTCATTTATCCATGTGATAAAGTTTAATCCCAAGAAATCATTGCAGGCTTATGAGAGAGACTAAATGTCATGCTTTTGGAGCAGCAGTCTTGAAAATGTGAAATATTATTTGGGAATGAGAATGGAACAACCTGTGTGGAATATGCAGATCAAAAGTGTGCTTTGGTTTCAAAGCTAAATAATAGAAATATGATCTATTATTTCCTGGATTTATTATTCTTCATCACTATATGGTACATTTCAGTAGCTTTTTAATTATAACATAAGCTGTATAAGAGCAGATGTTAATCTGATTTTGTCTGTTTGTATTCTATCAAGAACAATGCCTGGCACATTGAGATGCTCAACCAACATCAAATGATTGATTAAAAGATGTTTCTAATATAGTGTTGAGGAAAATCTGAATAAATTATATATTTATAGTTTATCTATTTCTACCCTCTACTGGAATCCACTTTTCTTCAGAGCAGGAAAGATATCTTACTGGTTTACAAATATCCAAGCACACAGGACAGTGTCTGGAATGTAAGTGAATGTTTTTTCAGTTAATTAAAGATTTGTGCCAGAGAGAAAATAGAAGCCGGAAGGTATACAACATAGAATAAATAAAAATTATAAAAATGTATTGTGATCAATTGTTTCATTTTACCCATTGAAAAGGTAAAAAAATAATAATAATTTCCAGTGTATTAGTATGGTTTCTCCAGAGAAATGGAGAGAGACAGATAGATAGATAGATAGATAGATAGACAGACAGACAGATAGATATAGATAGATGATTGGTAGGTAGATGATAGATAGATAGATAGATAAAAAATTATTATAAAGAAATTATTATAAAGAATTGGTTCATCCAACTGGGGAGGCTGAGAAGCCCCCGGATCTGCGTCAGCAAGCTGGAGAGCCAAGAGAGCCGATGGTATAGTCCCAGTCCAAGTCCAAAGTCCTGAGAACAAGGAAAACCAATTACATAAGTTCTAGAATGAGTCTAAGTCTGAAGGTGGGAGAAGACTGATGTCTCAGGTCAAATCACTCACAAAGAGAGAATCCCTTCTCACCAAGCCTTTGTTATATACAGACCTTCAATGAATTGGATGAGGCCCACCCAAATTAGAAAGGAAAAACAATTTTTCTCAGATTACCAATTCAAATGTTAATCTAATCTAGAAACACCTCACAAACACTCTCAGAATAATATTTTACCAAATACAGTGGCACTTTGTGTCCAAATAAATTTGAAACATAAAATTAACCATCAAATGCAGCAATTACTAATAATCATTGAGTCCTTATTATGTCTAATTACATTGCTTATATTATTTCATTTACTCCTTAAAACACCAAACAAATCAGGTACCATTATGTTCACCATTTTACTGAGGAGGAATCTGAGGTAGTTTAAGACACATGTCTTCACAGTAGTTCATATCTCTCCAAGTAATTTCAAATCAGAAACAAAATTTAAGTCTTAGCATTTGTATCCCTTTATTTTTAAGGAGCGTCATATACATAATATGTAAATTTAATGAAGAAGCTCATTTATCTCCTTTATTCACCATTGTATCACTATAGACTAGAGCGTGCTTTTCCTCTATAAACACTCAATATTAGTTTAATGAATTACATTAGACAATTTAGCTCATAGGCCTTGAGTTCAATAAAGAAGATTGGAAATGCAGTTGACCCTTGAACACCACAAGTTTGAATTATGTGTGTCTACTCCTATGTAGATTTTCTTCTGCCTCTGTGACAATTGAGACAGTAAGACCAACCCCTTTTCTTTCTCTTCCTCCTCAGCCTCCTCAACATGAAGACCACGTGGATGAAGACCTATATGATGATACATTTCCACTTAATGAATAGTAAATATATTTTATCTTCCCTATGATTTTCTTAATAACATTTTCTTTTCTCTAGATTAATTTAGTATAATAATACAATATATAATACATATACAAAATATGTGTTAATTGTTTATGTTATTGGTAAGTCCTCCAGTCAATAGTAGGCTATCAGCAGTTACATTTTTGGGAAGTCATAAGTTTTTCATGGATTTTCAACTCTGAAATGTGTCCGTGCCCTTAACCTCTGCATTGTTCGAGGGTCAACTGTACATATTTTGAAGGGAGGAGTACAGACGTTACTTGAAGCTCTTTTATTAAAATATTCAACAAATATTTAATCAATCCTTGATCTCTGCCTGTCACTGATTCTGTGGATATAGCAAATCTAATGATATCTCTGCCTTTAAGTAGCTTACAGCATAGTGGGGAACAGATGGGATGACTTAGGGAATGTGCGTAGTGAAGTAAGAGAAGATAGTTGATACCTGAATCATTGGGAGACTACCACCAACAATAGATGAAAAAAAATGAAGTGTATTTCACCAAGAAGCAAGGAAGATGAGAGTTACCGAAAGAATAACAAAGGCAATATTGTCAAATGCTGCAGAGTTCAAATAAAACCTGAAAAAAAAAAAACAGACTTCACAATTGGTTAACAATCTCTGAGACATCGGTTCCAGTGGCAACAGGTGAGGCAGATTTCTATGATTCAACATGGTTACGGTAGTAATCTTCAGCACCCTAATATTGTTTGTGGAGCTCTAAACACCATATTATATCTTTTAAACAATAAATATTTGTTGCATTATTAAATAAAGGAATTTTGAAGAAGTGTAAATTTGTGAGTGAATGCACAGGCAGTGTCACCTTAACTATCTAGGTTTATCTTCAGTTACTTTTAGTATGAAATTTATCTTAGAGCTTTTAAATTAAACAGTAATGTGTTTTTCATCTGTATCTTTGCTCATGCTGTCCTAATTACCTGAAATAGCCCTATTTCTACTTTTTAATTCAAAGTCTATACCTTTTCCCCCAAATCCAATTTAACATCTTCTTCATTAAAACTTCTTTCATTTTTATATCATAATTATCTCCTCATCTTTAATTTTTCATAGAATACATAAAGCTGTGCTAAACATTTTCACACTTGATCAACTATCTGTTCGTATTTATATTTTTCTCTCAAAAGATGGATAGCTTCAGCAGAACTGGACGCATTGAAGCACATGGCAATATGTGCTTAATACATACACAAAACTTAATTGACTATATATTTCATGAACCTTACTTTAACATTGAGGGAAATTGAGAGATGAAGCAAAATTCTTCAAGGAAATTATTGGAAGCCATTTATTTTTTGTCCTTACTTGTACCCTTCCCCAACTTTCATATGAATGTCTTTTCCCACATTCTATGACTGCTGTTGTAGGAATAAAAAAAAAAGAAAATTAAAACAGTGTTACTGATGGTCTCATTTGATAACTATGCCTTGTAGTCGAAATAAAATCGATTTAGTCAGTTATAGAAATGTTGACTTTGTGTTTTGCTAGAAACTGAATGTAGAGTTAAGTGCTGACATCTTTTGGATTGGGTGGTTTTGCTTATATTGCCATGTGGTTATATAAAGAGTATTGAAGTGAGAATTTGAAATGTTGTGTAGATATAGAAAATAATAGTCATTTCTAGATATTTTTCCTTTCTTTATAAAGTTAACCAATTGAGTCTTTTTTCATTATTATCTGTAAACACATCTGGACTTACTAAATTTTCATTATTCAGAGTTCAACACAAGTCTTAGCAGGATACAAAGGCATGAATATTAAACCATTTCAACAGCCAGTTTTTTAAAGAATCATATTTAGAGCCTTGCTGCATTTCAATTTCCCCACATGGCTTCATGAATTAATAACTTTTGGAGGTCATCATGGACTATCTGCTAGCTGTTCTGTATGATGAGATGAGCAGGGAGCAGGTGAATCAAGCAAGGCGGAGATGGCTTCCTGAATTGAACAGGATATAACATTTGGGTACTTTTATTAGTTTTGTATTCTCTCCCTGCAGCTGAGGGCCATCCACTCTTTTTTTCACAGTATTTTCAAGTGTATACCCCTTTTTCTTTGTTTCTTCTTTCTTGGTTCTATTTCATGCCTCCCCCTCCCCAAGGAAAAAATGATTAGGGCTGTGGACATTAATTTATTTTGATCCGTTTATTCCAATCATGAAGCTAGATTTGTGTGTGTGCATGTGTGTGTGTGTGTGTAACTTTTATTGAATATTAAATATATGCCAAGAATAAGAACAAGTGCCTTCACATGGAGTCTTACGTAATCTTCTCAACAAACCTATTAAGTGACTGCTCTGATTATCTCCACTTTATAAATGAGGTTAAGTTGCCTGCCTGTGTCACACAGCTAATAATGGACAGCGCCATAATTTTCATCCTCCATTAAGAAATGTTTTTCAAGATTAAAGACAGCTAAACTCACACCTGAGTAACACCAAATGCATGCTGTTAAACACTGTGCTATTTTTTGTGTGGCTGTTTGGCTGACTTGAACAATTCATCATCTAAATTTTCTTACAGGTGACTCATAAAAATGTGGGACAGAGTAGGCCTATGGCTCACTATTGGCTCCTTTTCTAATTATTGGTAAGTATGCTGGAGCATCAGGATATTAATCTGTGTGCCAGTTTATAAACCCGCATTCCTCTTCTTTGGATTCTTACCCACTCTACACAATGTAAGAACATAAGCAGTCTAGCTGACTCCCCAGCATTAGTAGGGGCTATGGTTCCCTTTAGGATACTTAAATTTAAGAGTTTACATTGGTAGAGATTATGTTTTCCCTGTACAACAGCTCTCTGTAAACTACTAACTTGTGGCACATAAACAGATTCTGCCTGGAGATCACATTGATGGGGCAGCTCAGAGCTAACTTAAATAATAGCACGTGTCTGTCTACCTGTTAGTGCACAGTCATTTTCTATAGTAAAATAAAGAATATTTATTGTTTGTGTGCCATACACTCTGTTAAGTGTCTTGTGTTTATTATTTCATTTAATTTACACAGCTATATGAAGAGGGAAGTACTTTTATTATTTATATTTTACAGCCGAAAAATGCTAGTAAGTGGGAATTTGAGATTTGACCTAAGATTGATTCCAAAATCGATTTTCTTATCTACCATGTCTATTATCTTTATTTAAACATAAAGATATTTAAATATATTTAAACATAAAGATATTTAAATATATTTAAACATAAAGATATTTAAATATATTATTTAAACATAAAGATATTTAAATATATTATTTAAACATAAAGATATTTAAATATATTATTTAAACATAAAGATATTTAAATATATTATTTAAACATAGCCATTTTTTTCTTTTTCCACTTTCATTTTAGAATCATAGGGTACATGTGCAGGATTGATACAGAGGAATATTGTCTTTTGCTGAGGTTTAAAGTATGACTAAACCCATCACCCTGGTATTGAACACAGTACCCCATAGGTAGATTTCCAGCTTTTTGTCCCCTCCCTCTCCCCACTCTAGTAGACCCCAGTGTTTATTGTTCCCATCTATATGTCCATGTATACCCAAAAAAAAAACCATTCTTACTTGATTTTGATATTTGTGCCAAGAGGAGTATATTATTTCTTAGGATAGTGGTTAGAATGTCAGCTTGTGAGATTGCCAATGCCACTGACATTTCCTTTTAGAAGTTAATGCTACTTCCTTAGATGGAAGGAAAGATAAGGACTGGTCAGTAGCAATTTTCTCTTAAAACTGTGGCTCCTGAGGTCATCGGATTTTAGTCTTATAAGACTGTGCAATGTTTCTCTTTGCCATTGAATTATTGTTTCTTAACCTGATGAATGCCCTCTGCCTTCTTTCCAAAGTCATGGATAATAACTGTCATTGATGTCTTAGTCAGTTCTGGCTGCTGTAATTGAACACCGTAGACTGGGTAGCTTAAATTATATTTATTTCTCACAGTTCTGGAGTCTGCAAGACTGAGATCAGGGTGCCAGCATGGTCAGGTTCTAAGTGAGGGCTCTCTTTCTGGTTTAATAATGGCTGCTGTCTTGCTGTATCTTCACATGGTGGAGAGGGAGAATACTGCTCTCTTTTTTCTCTTACCTGGGCACTTATGACATCATGAGGGCTTCACCCTCATCGCATTATTTCAACTTATTCACCTCCTAGAGACTCTTCCTTCAAATACTATTATAGTGAAAGGTAAGCCTTCAACATATGGATTTTGGGGGGACACAAGCATTCAGTCCATAGCCCATGGATTCTTGCAAGTTTCTTGATTCTTCTGTTTAGAGACAGACTATTTAGAGATAGATGATTTAGCTGATCCAAGAGGAACAGATTGTTTTCCTTTTGTTTCTTCCCTGAATATGGGCTTAATACCTTTTTATAAACTCAACCTATAACCATTGAACAACTATAGACACTATACTAGGCTCTAGAGATTCAACTACGACCAAAAAGGATATATTTTACCCTACAGATCTGAGTGAAGTGAATGTTACTCTCCTACACTCAAACTATATCCCATCATGTCAGAATTTCCTAATATCATTCCCTCTGAGAAGCACAAAATTTATATCATTCTTTCCTGTTTTTATTCTATGAGAAAGTTTTGTCCCATGTCAATGACATTATTTTTCTAGAACCCAGAACTGTCAGTTACTACTATTTACAGTTTTCTCAATGTCTGGTGGGGCATTTTCTTACAGTTCATTGTGCATCTCTTTTGTTATACAATGCCTATATGTATTGGGCATTATGCTAGGTGCTGAGGATTAAAGGAGGTAGATATGACAGTCCTGCAGTTATGCAGATTGTATTATTATTTAGATATCTGTGGGAATATAGTTCATAAAATTCATAAATTATGAATCCTAAATTTCTAGGAAAATCAAAACAACACCCCAATCTTCTGGTACACAGTGATTGAATTTGAACTATTTGTGACTAGCTCAGTAAAAGGAAGGTCTCAAAGCACCAGACTGTCAACATGGAAAAGAAAAACAAACATGTACTGCTGTTTACCATCAAAGCAATGTTCCTTACTAGTTTGACAGTGTTTTGTCTATTCCACACAGAGCCTGTCTACTATGACTTTGACATAATGATATAAAGTTTCCTAGGAATTTCAGTGGTATAATGAAGACCAGGGATTCCTTCAGCAAATCCTTAGGCAATTAAGTTTATTTATTTTTAGACTTAGTATACTTTTCTGTAAAATAAATATAATAATAACTATATTTCAGGGTTATAATAAAAATTAAAGAAGCTGGGCATGATGGCTCACACCTGTAATCCCAGCTACTCGGGAGGCTGAGGCAGGAGAGTTGTGTAAGCCCAGGAGGTTGAGTGCAGTGAGCTGTGATTGTGCCACTGCACACTCCAGCCTTGGCAAAAGAGTGAGATCTCATCTCTAAAATTTTGTTTTAAAGAACTAAATAAGAAAAGATACCTATAGTGCCTAAAAATAGTATGCATTCAATATCTGATAGCTACAATCTATATCATCATCATCTTCACTATCATCATCATGCTCATGATCCCACTGAAAATGGACCACATTTTGCTAGTAACCTATACTGGATGGATTCTCTTTCTTTTTATATAGCCATGGCCTTCTGGTAAGTCTCAGGCTCAGGACTGACTACAAGCAGCACTTGACAAAGCTCCAATAGGAGAATTTTTATTCTTAATATTGATGCAGAAAACAATCAGGATGAAGAGTTTATTGATAGTAGAGCTTTAAGGGAAGTGGTAATTTTTCAAAATATTTCAAAAAGTTAAATTATTTCCCTTTTTTCTTGTTAAGTACTATAAGAAAACTCATACCAGAAAATATTTATTTCTTACCAACACTTACTAAAGTCATTTAGAAGGATATATAAACATTCTAGAAAACTGGCAGGTCATGGAAATATGCAGCACATGCACTATCAACTCTCTTTAAGGGTGAGAAGTACAGTTCGGAAATAGGCATTCAAATGTAATCAATATCTGTAGGACCTAATATTTTTTCAGTAAATCAGTGGAAATAACCCTTAGTATGACAAATGCAAATCTAATGTATACTCTAAACATGATATTGTTTACTATTACTGGCAGTGTTTACTATTTATCAGCAGTGATACTGTTTACTATTGTCAGTAGTGACCAATGAAGATAAAAGAAAAATTATCTCAATTTCTTTTGGAATGTGGTAAGCCACATTCCCAATAATAACGACAAGAAATCCTTAAATAATAATATCTATCTTGTACTGACTGTTTACTATGTGCGTGCTCCTTTGAATCTTAAATATATTATTTAATTCTCACAATGAACCTATATAGTAAGTATAATTGTCTTGATTTTGCTGATTAAATAAACCATGGCTTAGAAAAAGACTAATAAATTTAGTTACTGATACATTGCTAGTTTGATTGGAATTCAGGATTCAATCCCAAGTTCATGAGATACCAATATTTAAGCACTTAAGTACTTCACATTACTTCCTTTCTTTCTAAAGTATCCCCAGATTCCTTCCACCTACTGTATGTTGCAGCCATATTCTGTCTGCTTCTCTCTTGACTTCATGTCTTTGTATGTACTGTTCTTTTTTTCTAACCCTTCTAAGGAAAAAATATCTATTCATGGCAGATATTGTATTGAGACTATTTTTCCTATGGGAAGCTTTCCCTGACTGTCCTGAAGAGGTTGGCTGTTCATGGTAGTGCTCTCACAGAATACGTGCATTCCTTCTCATCACATTGTCTTGTAAAGATTATTTTTTTTTTTTTTTTTTTTTTTTTTTTTGAGACGGAGTCTTGCTCTGTCGCCCAGGCTGGAGTGCAGTGGCGCGATCTCGGCTCACTGCAAGCTCCGCCTCCCGGGTTCACGCCATTCTCCTGCCTCAGCCTCCCGAGTAGCTGGGACTACAGGCGCCCGCTACCACGCCCGGCTAATTTTTTGTATTTTTAGTAGAGACGGGGTTTCACCGTGTTAGCCAGGATGGTCTCGATCTCCTGACCTCGTGATCCGCCCGCCTCGGCCTCCCAAAGTGCTGGGATTACAGGCGTGAGCCACCGCGCCCGGCCAAAGATTATTTTTTTGTTTGATCTTTCCTTGTTTGTAAGCTCTTTAGGTAAAAGTGCCATATTCAACTTGTTTACTATTTAATCTCCAGTCACTAACATAGTTTCTAAAACATGGTAGAGACCTAAAAGTGTTAGTTAAATGAAAAAGTTGTATAAAATTTTGGTATGTTTATAATAGCTTGCACATGTTAACGGTTTTACTTTTAATGCTATATTATATAGGAACATTTGCATGCATGTTAAGTTTCTTTTTAGGTTCCAAGTTCCATAAGGTCACACATCTTGTCATTTATCTTTTACATCCTTTCTACAGAGGATTAGCGCAAAGTTTTGCACATGAAAGTGCTTATCAATCACTCATATGATGTGGAAAACATTGAAGACAAAATACATAAAACATATGTTGAATTGAATGTCTCATATGGCACACAAAATTGATCTAACATTAAAGAGGTTGCTCCATGTTTCAAATGCCATTTTAAAAATGGGTTTTGTAGAGTTGTTAAAAGGAGTGCATTAATTAAAAGAGAAATAAACAGTATAATATAGAAGTAACAGCACTCAACATTAGGGTTCTTGGACATCAAAAATGTGATTTTAGCTCCAATCCTAATGACATATTATCCCTTAGAGAAGTCATTTGACTTTACTGTCATATATTATATTTTAATCCTATAAACAGATAGCATGTTTATAAACATAGAGCTAAGGTATAAACAATCAGACAGAAGTGATGTGACTGACTCATTACACATTGTAACAGTTAATTTTAGGTGTTACCTTGGCTGGAATAAGAGACAGACAGATAGCTGGTAAAGTGTTACTTGTGGGGGAGTCTTTGAGGGTGTTTCTGGAAAAGACTGGCATTTTCACTCAGTGGACCGAGTAAGAAAGATCTGTTCTCACACAATGTGTGTGGAAACCATCCAATCAGTTGAGGGCCTGGATAGAATAAAAAGGCAGGGAAAGGCAAAGTGCTTCTCTCTTTCAGAGCTGGAACAACCTTCTTCTTCTGCCCTTGGGAAACAGATCTTCAGGTTCTCTGAGCCATTTACTGAGTCACCCCAAAATATTGCTTGAGTGAGGACTAGAACAGGAGAAGGCTCTGCAACAGGACAAGGATGTTGTGTATGCTGCTCTGCAAATTGAGCCTAATAATCCAGCAGATCCAATGCTATGTGAAATGTCAGTGGTGGATGGGGATACTGTTTGGAGCTTTACACAGGACCTTATAGGTAATTGCAGCACAGGCTATTAGAACTGTGGAGCAAGTCCCTGCCACCATCTACAGATAACTACTCTTGAGAGGCAGCTCATGGCATGCTACTGGGCCTTAGAAGAAACTTAATGCTTGACCATGAGCCACCAAATTACCAGGCAACCTGAGATGTACGTCATAAACTGGGCAATAGTTGATCCACCAAGCCATAAAGCTGAATACGCACAGAAGCATTCCATCATCAAATGAAAGTGGTATACACATGACCAGGCCCAAGCAGGTCCTGAAGGAACCTGTGAGTTACATAAAGAAGTGGCTGAAGTATTCATGGTTCCTACTCCTGCTACTCTGCCTTCTGTCTCCCAGTCTGCACCTATGGCCCCATGGAGAGCATCCTATGTTCGTTAGACACAGGAAGAGAGACTAGTGCCTGGTTTTCAGATGGTTCTGCACTATATGCAGGCACCACCTGAAAGTAGACAGCTATAACACCACAGCTGTTTTCTAAGATCTCCCTGAAGTACAATGGTAAAGGAACATCTTTTCATTAGGAATAACTTAGAACAATGCACCTGTTTGTAAACTTTGCTTCGAAAAAATGGTCATACATGTGATTATATACCAATTCATGGGTTGTAACCATAGATTTGACTGAGTATCAAAGACATTGAAGTGACATGACTGGAAAATTGGTGACAAAAAAATTTTGGGAAGAGATATGTTAATAGACCTCTCTGAATGGGCAAAGGATATGAGTATATTTATGCCTCATGTGAATGTTCACCAAAGGGTGACCTTAGCAGAGGAGAAACTTATCAAGTGAAAGAATAATTCATCCTGTGAATAATGTAAGTCAACTGCCTTCCCTAGCCACCCCTATCATTGTCAAATGAGCTCATTAACAAAATGGTCAACTCTCCACAGCTGCGTGTGCACAGTCTGCCACTAGTAGAGACCAACATCCAGCCCCCAATATGGAACCATTCTCTGGAGTAATCAGCTAGCTAGTGGCAGGCTAACTACACTGGACTGCTTCCATCATGGAAAGGGCAATGTTTTGTCCTCACTGGAACAGACACTTATTTTTGGGTATGGATTTGTCTTACCTAAACTCAATGCTTCTGCCAAAACTACTATATGTGTATGCACAAAATGCCTTATCCACCATCATGGTATTCTACACAATATTGTTTCTGATAAAAGAACTCAATTAGTAGCCAAAGACACACAGCAATTAGCCCATGCTCATGGAATTTACTGGTGTCACTATGGTTCCCACCATCCTGAAGCAGTCGGCTTGATAGAACTGTGGAACATCTTTCTGAAGATACAGTTACAGTACCAGCTAGGTGGCAATATCTTGCAAGGCTGGGATAAGGTACGCCAGAAGGCTGCATATGTTCTGAATCAGCATTCAATATAAGGTACTGTTTGTCCCATAGCCAGGATTCACAGAACCAAGAGTCAAGGGATGGAAGCGGGAGTGGCACTACTCACCATTATGCGTAGTGACCTATAAAGTTTTGGTTTTCTATTACCACAACTTTATGCTCTGATGTCCTAGAGATTTTAGTTTTATAAGAAGAATGTGTCTACCAAAATATACAGCAATGATTCCACTGAACTGGAAGTTAAGACTGCCACCTGGTCACTTTGGGCTACTCATTCCTCCAAGGCAACAGGCTAAAAAGGGAGTTATGGTGTTGGCTGGAGTGATTGATTCAGAGAACCAAGGAGAAATTGGACTACTACGACACAATGGAGATAATGAAGAATGTGTCTGAAATACAAGATTCTTGAGGGTGTCTTTTAATATTATCATGCCATATGATTAAGATCAATGGAAAATTACAACATTTTAATTCAGGCAAGACTATGAATGACCCAGTCCCTTCAGGAATTAAGGCTTGGGTCACCATACCAGGGAAAGAATCATAATTATAACCAGATGCGGTGCTTGCTGTAAGCAAAGGGAATACAGACTGGGTAGTAGAAGAAGGTAGTTATAAATAGCAAATATGACCACATGACCAGTTACAGAAAGGAGGACTGTAATTCCCATGAGTATTTCCTATTTTGTTAAGATTACATTTTTGGGGGCATATATACATATATTAGGCAAATATATTTGTTTTCTCTCATTCTTTTATTATGTAACAAGATGTATTGAGTTTATATTAGTATTTAATTATTACTAATGTTATATCATAGTATTTAGTTTATGGGATTTCAGAAGAAGAGAAAACATCACTGAAGGACTTTATCTCTTCTGAGAAAAGAATGAATGTGTTTTAAGTTCTAAACAAGATAGTTATATCATCTTTTGTGGAGCTATGACCTTATTATCATCTCTATTTGGAAATTAAATATGGTTAACGGAGATGTGTATGGGTGCCAAGTTGACAAAGGGTGGACTTGTGATGGTTTACTTTAAGCGTAAACTTGACTGGATTAAGGGATAATCAGATGCCTGATAAAACAATATTTCTAGGTATGTCTGTGAGGATGTTTTTAGAAGGGATTGACATTTGAATCAGTAACCTGAGTAAAGAAGATCCACACTCACTCAATGTGGGCAGGTACCATACAATTGGCTGAAGGCGTGGATAAAACAAAAAGGCAAAGGAAAGAAGAATCCTGTCTCTTCTGGAGCTGGGACACTCTTCCTCCCCTGGCCTATAGACATTAGACCTTAACCTTTTCCAGCTTTTGGACTCTGGGACTTGCACCAATAATCTCCCAGGTTTTTGAGCCTTTGGCTTCAAACCGAAAATTTTACATTGACTTCCCTGGTTCTGAAACCTTCAGATATAGACTGAGCCATGCAATTGGCTTCCCCAAGTTCCCGTTTGTAGATGGCCTATTGTGGGATTTCTCATTATCCATAATCACATGAGCAAATTCCCCTAATAAATCCCCTCCCATCTATCTATCTATATTTATATATCCTATTGGCTCTGTCTCTGGAGAACCCTGGCTAATAGTCATGTGAATGTTGAAATTATCTGTATAAAAAGAAAAGATACTAAAAATGTTCCATGGACAAAAGTCTTAAGGATTTCTCAGCAGCAAATGGAAGACATCTTCATAGAACATAAAATGCTTTTAAAATATTTCAAAATATAAACACTCTTAAATGTGTATACTCTTTACTTGAAAATGCACTTCCTTTTGAGAAAAACTAGAACTTTTGTCAACTGTTAAAGGTTCTTAGCTTGTAGATTCAGTATTTAAACACTAGTCTCTATTGTAAGAAAATATGACAGGGATTTGGAGGAGAAAGTTCATAAATAAAATGAAAATAAACTCCTTTTTCTTATTCAAGAGCCTAAAAAAATAGTAGTGCTTCAGTCTATGCAATTGTCTATCCTCTGCAGACAATTGAAAATAAATCTTAGATACTTCAGGCCACTGTTTCTAACTCACAATAGAAACTGAAAATCTAGAATTACATGATTGTTGTTGAACAAATAGTGGAAAGTTGACTGAAAAATAAATTTAAGGCTGAGCGTGGTGGCTCACTCCTGTAATCCCAGCTCTTTGGGAGGCTGAGGTAGATGGATCACTTGAGCCTAATAGTTCAAGACTTGCCTGGGCAAAATGGCAAAGCTCTATCTCTACAAGAAAAGAAAAAAATAGAGAAATTAGCCAGGCATGGTGGAACATGCCTGTAGTCCCAGCTACATGAAAGGCTGAGGTGGGAGGATAACTTGAGCCCACGAATCGGAGGTTGCAGTTAGCTGAGACCACGCTATTGCACTCCAGCCTGGATGACAGAGTGAGACCCTGTCTCAAAGAAAAAAACTTTCCTGATTATATATATGTGTGTGTGTGTGCACGCACGTGCATGTGCTTGTGTATGTATGTATAAATATATACATATATAATTATATTATATAATATTATATTTATGTATATATGCATATATTGACTACTTACATGTCATATATCAGTGGGCAGATTAATTCCAGCTCTGCTTTGTGCAGAATTATAAGTTCTTCTTTTATCTCCTAAATTAGTATGATCCAAATTATTTCTGGAGGTGCAGTTTTAGTATCCATTGCACATCATCAAGTTACTCCAGTCATTCATAATTATAAAATTTTAAATGCATAGCATATACCCACATTACTGAAATGGGCCAAAATTTATTAAGGTAAGGAATGGAATGTGTTCAGTAATTTTGTGTTCATGGAACAAATCTACTAATACTAAAATAAAAAATACATATGTATTTAATATATATTTTCAACCAAAGAAATGGATATGCTTTAAATTTCAGTACATAACCTTCTCCCTAATTTCTAACAATCACATATTTTTTAGAAAAACTGCTTGCTTTACAAAGGAAAGTTACCTAAATATTGAAAGTATACTGGCATTCATAATTAAATTATTTTTCTATCGATCATTTTTATTGCATTATTTCACATTTCACCATATTATTTATAGAACACAGTAATGAACTTCCATTGCTTTATTGCATTATTTGGTAAACAATGTAACAAACTGGAGAACTAGAGTAATAAAAATAAGGTGATTTAGCAATAAAGCAATTCCCCAGATTTTAATTAAATTATGGAAATTTATTATCTAAAGAGTGCAACCTAGGACTCAGTAATATGGGTCTGGGGCATCACAGATTTAGGAATAGAGCTCTGAAAATCCAAATAAGTAAAATATATAGTTGATTTTGAATATGCCTTAAAAATGAAGAGACATGAAGTGATAAATAATAGCTACAACCTTTCCTTTTTCCATAAATGAGGATCCCTTGCAACAAGCATGAGTCCTGACATCTAAGAGCCTCTATCTAGATGAATGTTTCGAGAGGATTGACCTCAAATATGTAACAAATTTAAAACAGATCTTTGAAACAACCGAATGATTAGTTCTCAAGCACTCAATTGCAGTTTTCAGAATTATTTCCCAGGATATTTTCTGTAGAAAGAGTGTAAATCTAGGCAAATAATTTTTAAAATAAAAATAATAAAATACTCAATTTTCAAAATGAAATTAGAATATATCAAATGTTTGGAGCCATGAATATAACTTACTCCTTGATAAATATTCAAGGGCATTAAAAGCTTATTCTAATAAAATTTTAAATGCTAATTCCTATTAAATAAATGAATCTAAATTCAGAAACAAATATCCTTCTGTTCATCTGATCATCCAACTCAAAAATGCTAAAATATTTAATTGCACTTGAAACTTTACTAATAATCAATATATGTTCATCGGGACTTAGAAGGCTAACATCCTAAAACATTATCAAGCTACCAAAAATCTAAACCAATAATAAGTAGATAAAATCTGATTTATAGCCACATAACTTGATAACTGGAAAGATTAGGAATAGAAGTTGATTCAGAGAAAATAACTAAGTTTAGGTATGGGGTAATCTATTAAGATTGTTTTCTTTCTTGTCAGAAATTTAAGCTAGTTTCTCAGATGACTGCATTTCTCAAAGTTTCACACTCACAAGATTCCTCAAAGACATTCTTTGCTTATTTTTCTGAATCTTCCCAATATTAGATTTTTTTTAAGTAAAAAATGTTTTTATTGCTCCAGCAATCAGCAATCTCTTGCCCCACCACCTGTTTATTATTATTATTATTATACTTTAAGTTTTAGGGTACATGTGCACAATGTGCAGGTTTGTTACATATGTATACGTGTGCCATTTGGTGTGCTGCACCCACTAACTCGTCATTTAGCATTAGATATATCTCCAATATTAGATTTTAAAAGCCTTAAAGTTTTGTTTTCATTTTGCAGCCTCCTTGGATGTAAGTTTAGATCTTATTCACTAGATATTAAGGATATAATATGAGCTCCAGAGACCTTTTATCAATCAGTCCTTTTATAGATAATTTTACTGTAGCCTTTTTCTTTCTGACTCATTCTGTACAAGTATTTCATTACACATATTTATTCATTTTTTTCCAATTAAGGTTTTTGTACTTGCATTTTATTTTTTCAATTGTCTTCCTGTGTAAATAATCACTGGAGTACATTCATCTCCTGCTTGGTCTACAAACATTTACTTTTGCCAGAATTGTGTGCTTCGCCATATTCTCATTCTACATGCTCTTCTTCAGTGCATCCTTTATTTTCCCATCGTTTTAATACTATTTTCTATGCTGATGACTGACAAATCTCTTTTTCCTGTGATAACTATCACTACAGAGTCAGATCTAGTTGACATCTCTCTTTGGTTGTCTCACAAGCACTTAAACTTAAAATGTGCCAAAGCACCATCCTAAGATCTCTGATTTGACACAACACTTCATAAGTATAAAGGACATACTGTATGTATTTCTCTACCCCACCAACAATTACAGTATACAGCAGCTATTAAGTATTGAATAAATATCTGCTGAACTGTCCTATGTGTTGTAGAGTATGAAAAGCCTCACACCCCTAACCTGTTATTTTTTATGTGAACCTTTTTTTTTTCTTTCTTTCTTTTTTTTTTTGGTATATACTGTCTTGGATCTTTTCCCTTGGCCACCTCTGCTGTTTGAAGCAAGGTACTTTCCAGCTCTTCATCTCAGGTCCCCTTCTATTTAAAAAGTGATTAGAATAGATTATTGCTAAAGTTCCTTTAAACTCTGATATCCTTAGGAATAAAAGTTAAATGCTGTAGGAAATGTCAGTGAAAGCTAATACTTAAATTGAGCATTGAGGAGTAGTTGACACATTTTCCTTAACTTTTTCAAATTTTGCATAACAGTTTTACTGCTACATATTTTACATAGCAAATAGTTTATTTTTTTAAAGTATATAATTTCATGGATTTTAATATATTCATAGAGTCGAGCAGCCATCACTACAATCAGTTTAGAACATTTTCATAATTCATTACTCATTAGCAATTACCCACATCAGGTCTCCCTAATCCCCCCCAAAGCCAGCCCCAGGAAACAACTAATATTTTCTTTTTTCTATCTAGATTTACATGTTCTGGACATTTAATAAAAATAAAAATATAAACTGTGCGGTATTTTTGACTAGCTTCTTTCACTTAACATTAATTTTTCAAGTTTAACCTATGTTGTAGTATGTATCCGTACTTCATTTCTTTTTATTGTTGATTATATGGATATATCACAATTCTTTATCCATTTATCAGTTGATTTGTATGGATACATGCTTTCATTTATCTTAAATATATAGCTCATAGTGAAATTGCTGGGTCATATAATTTGAATGTTTAACATTTGGAGGAGCAGCCAGACTGGACTGTTTGACAAATTCCCTAAACCTCTTTATTCCCACCAAGAGTGTATTGGTAGCTGCATTTCTCCCTGACAGTTGTCTTTTCAATATAGCTATCCTAATGTGTGTGAAATGGTATCACATTGTAGTTTTAATTTTCATTTTCCTGATGACTAATAATGTTGAGTATTTTTTTGTATGCTTACTGAACATTTTGATAGCTCCCTTGGGGAAATGCCAATATCTGTACTTTGCTTCTTTTAAATCAAATTACTTGCCTTTTTCTTGTACTCTTCTAAGTGGCAGTTATACAATCTAAATATAAGTCCCCTATCACATGCATGATTTGCAAAATTTTTGTTTATTTTGAATGTTGTTTTTTCACATTCTCTATGGTATCTTTTGGAGCAAAACAGTAATTTGATGATTATTATTTTTTGTTTTTTTTGCTAGTGTTTTTGGTGTCATATTAAAATTAAGAGTTGCTTAACTCAGGGTCATGTAGATTTTCATCTGTTTCCTTCTAAGAATTTTATATTTTCAACTCTTATATATAGATATTTGATTAATTTTGAGTTATTTATTGTATGTGATGTGAAACAGAGTTTTGATTTCATTTTCTTACCAGGATAAGAGATAGTTATCTCACCACTATTTGTTTCAAATTTTACAAAAAATATTTATCATATTAAATTGTATGGCAGGTATCTTTGTTTAAAAACAACTGACAATTTATTGGTTTGTTTTTTGGACTTTCAATTCCATTCCATGTAACTATATATTACTTAGTATGCTATTAAATAATTTGAAAATCAGTCTTAGTTACTGCTGTTTGTAGTAAGTTTTAAAATTGGGAGTCTGAGTCTTCCAATACTGTTCTTATTTTTAGCTATTCTTGGACCCTTGAATTTCCATATGAATTTTATAGTCAACTTGTCAGTTTCTGCAAGAAAAAATCCATCTGGAATTTTTATGTAAATTACATTGAAACTGTGGACCAATTTGAGGGAGGACCACCTTGCTAATAGTATTAAATAATCTTATTTATCAGTGTGGAATAGTTCTCTATTTAGGTCTAGGTTTTTGCTTTCTTTTGTTAAATTTACTCCTGCTTTATTCCCTTGAAGCTATTAAAAATAAATTTTTAAAATTTTATTTTCAGTGTGTTCATTTAAGGTGTATAGAAATGAAATTTATTTTAGTATACTAATCTGTTCTGAAAGCTTGCTAAACATGTTTATTATTTTTAATAATTTATTAAGGGATTCCTTAAGATTATATATATATATGTGTGTATATATATGACTTATGATTTTATAAGAATTCGTTCATTTTATCTAGTCCAATTTTTGGCATAAAATCATTCATAGTATTTTCCTAAAATCATTTTTATTTCTATAAACTGAATTGTAATGTCTCACTTTTTTAGTTGATTATAGTAACCTCAGTCTTTCTTATCTCCTTTATTGGTCAATCTACATAAATAGTTGTCTATTACATTGATTGATCCAAAACCATCTTTTAATTTAGAATGTTTTCTCTTATATTTTTTATACTCTATTTCACTAATTTTCACTTTAATATTTTTCTTTCTTCTGCTTGCTTTTGGCGTGGTTTTCTTTGCCCTTTTTCCAGTTTTTAATGTAGACAGGCTATTGATCTTCCTTTTTAAATGTAAACATTTACAACCATACATTGCCATTCTAGCATTGCTTTAGCAACATTATTTAAGATTTAGCATGTTGTGCCTTCATATTCACTCATGCGCTGGGGAGTCCAGTTTGTCTGGACAAGGAGGAATCCCCCACAATGCAGCACAGCTACTGTGCCAGATAGTGGCCAGATTGCTTTTTAAAGCAAGAACCGAATCCATCCATCCTCACCGATATGGGCCTCCCTGTGTCTCAGTAAATCCAACTAGGGTTATACAAACAGAATTCTGATCTCTCCCTGGGACCAGAGCCCCCAGGGGTAGGAGCAGCTGCATTTCTGCAGTTCAGCCGACTCAGCAGTTCTAGTCTGCCAGCTCCAGTGAGTCCAGGTGGTCCTGATGAGAAGGAGTCCCCCACAATGCAGCACAGCTGCTGTGCCGAATTGTGGCCAGACTGCTTCTTTAGGTGGAATCATAATCCATCCCTTCTCACTGGGCAGGGCCTCCCTGCAGGAATTTCAGCAACTCCTGCCAGGGTTATAGGGACAGAACTCTGATCTCTCCATGGGACAGAGCCCCTGAGGGGAGGGGAGGTTGACATCTCTGCAGTTCAGTCGACTTAGACTTTGTAGCCTGCTGGCTCTGAAAGAGTCCAGGCAATCTGGCCGAGAAAGAGTTACCCCCAATGCAGCACACCTGCTCTACTAAAAAGCAGTCAGGGCCGGGCGCCGTGGCTCCCACCTGTAATCCCAGCACTTTGGGAGGCCGAGGTAGGCAGATCACCTGAGGTCAGGAGTTCCAGACCAGCCTGACCAACATGGAGGAAACCTATCTCTACTAAAAATACAAAATTAGCTGGCCATGGTGGCGCATGCCTGTAATCTCAGCTACCTGGGAGGTTGAGGCAGGAGAATTGCTTGAACGTGGGAGACGGAGGTTGTGGTGAGCCAAGATCATGCCATTGCACTCCAGCCTCGGAAATAAGAGCAAAACTCCATCCAAAAAAAAAAAAAAAAAAAAAAAAGCAGTCCGACTGCTTCTTTAAGCAGGTCCCCTATCCTGTCCCTCCTGACTGGGTGAGACCTCCCAACAGGGGTCTCCAGACACCTCCTACAGGAGCATCTCAGCTGGCAACAGGTCAGTTCCCAACCTGCAATGGGTCTCCCAGAGGCAGGAGCAGACTGCCATGTTTGCTGCTTCACAGCCTTCACTGGTGGTAGGTACCTCCAAGGAAGGGAAAAAACAAGGAAACTAGGGTCTGGAGAAACCCTTAACAGGCCCTTACAGAAAGTGGCCTGTTAAAGAAAAACAAACAGAAAGCAACAGAAATAACAGCAGCAACAAAAAAGACCCCATGAAATCCCCATTCACAGGTCAGCAATCTCAAAATTGAAGGTATGTAAGTCCACAAAGATGTGAAAGAATCAATGCAAAAATGCTGAAACTCAAAAAACCAGAGTGGCTCTTCTCGAAATGACTGCAACACCTATATAGCATGAGCACAGAACTAGGTTGAGGATGAAATGGCTGAATTGACAGAAGAAGGCTTCAGAAGGTTTATAATAATGAAATTCTCTGAGCACAATGTAACCCAATGCAAAGAAGCTAAGAATTGTAATAAAACAATACAGGAACTGATAACCAGAATAGCCAGTTAAGACAGGAGCATAACTGACCTGATGGAGCTGAAAAACACAACGTGAGGCCTTCACAATGCAATCACAGGAATCAATAGCAGAATATACCAAGTGGAGGAAACAATGTCAGAGTTTTAAGACTATCTTTCTGAAATAAGACAGAGAGACAAAAATAGAAAAAAACAGAAAAAAAATGAGTGAAAAAGAGACCTCCAAGAAATATGGGACTATGTAAAATGACTGAACCTGCAACTGATTGGGGTACCAGAAAGAGAGAGGATGGAACCAACTTGGAAAACATACTTCAGGATATCATCAAGGAGAATTTCCCTAACCTAAAAAGACAGGCCAACATTCAAATTGAGAAAATCCAGAGAGGCCCAGCAAGATGCTCCACAAGAAGACTCACCCCAAGACACATAATCATCAGATTGTCCAAGGTCAAAATGAAAGGAAAAATGTTAAGGCCAGCCAGAGAGAAAGGTCAGGTCACCTACAAAGGGAAACCAGTCAGACTAACAGCAAATCTCTTAGTGGAAACCCTATAAGCTAGAAGAGATTGGGGACTAATATTCAACATTCTTGAAGAAAATAATTTCCAACCCATAATGTCATACCGGTCCAAGCTAAGCTTTATAAGTGAAGGAGAAATAAGATCCTCTTTAAACAAGAAAATGCTGAGGGAATTTATCAAAACCAGGCCTGCCTTACAAGAGCTCCTGAAGGAAGCACTATACACAGAAAGCAAAAACTCTTACCAAATACCACAAAAACAGACTGAAATTCACAGACTAGTGACACTAGGAAGCAACCACATAAACAAGTGTGCAAAATAACCAGCTAGAATCATGATGGCAATATCAAATTGACACATGACAATATTAATCTTAAATGTAAATGGGCTAAATGCCCCAATTAAAAGATACAGAATAGAAAGCCAAAGAGTCAAGACCCATCTGTATGCTGTGTCCAAGAGACCCATCTCACTTGTAAAGACACACATAGACTCAAAATAAAGGGGTGGAGGAAAAATTACCAAGAAAATGGAAAAGAGAAAAAAGTAGGGGCTGCAATCCTAGTTTCTGACAAAACAGTCTTTAAACCAAAAAAGATCAAATAAGACAAAGAAGGACATTACAAAAAGGTAAAGGATTCAATTCAACAAGAAGAGCAAACTGTCCAAATATCTATGCACTCAATACAGGAGCACCAAGATGAATAAAGCAAGCTCTTAGAGACCTATATAGAGACTTAGACTCCCACAAAATAATAGTGGGAGACTTTAACACCCCACTGACAATATTAGATCATCAACACAAAAAATTAACAAAGATATTCAGGACCTGAATCAAACAGACCTGATAGATATCTACAGAACTCTCCACTCCAAAACAACAGAGTATACATTCTTCTCATCACCACGTGGCACTTATTCTAAATTTGATCACATAATCAGAAGGAAAACACTCCTCAGCAAATGCAAAAGAACTGAAATAATAACAATTTC
The DNA here is from genome assembly GCF_000001405.40 of Homo sapiens. Taxonomy (NCBI): domain Eukaryota; kingdom Metazoa; phylum Chordata; class Mammalia; order Primates; family Hominidae; genus Homo; species Homo sapiens. Next base: position 127,522,303 of record NC_000023.11, read on the forward strand.
TCAGAACAAAACACAATCAAATTAGAACTCAGCACTAAGAAATTCACTCAAAACCACACAACTACATGGAAATTGAACAACTTGCTTCTGAATGACTCCTGGGTAAATAATGAAATCAAGGCATAAATCAAGTTCTTTGAAACTAATGAGAAAAAGGAGACAACATATCAGAATCTCTGGAATGCAGCTAAAGCAGTGTTAAGAGGGAAATTTATAGTACTAAATGCCCACATGAAAAAGCTAGAAAGACCTGAAATAAACAAACTAACGTCACAACTAAAAGAACTAAAGACTCAAGAGCAAACAAACCCCAAAGCTAGCAGAAGACAAAATTTAACCAAGATCAGAGCAAAACTGAAGGATATATATATATATATAACTTCAAAAAATCAACAAATCCAGGACCAGATTTTTAGAAAAAAAATAATAAAATAGATAGCTAGCTAGACTAATAAATAAGAAAAGAAAGAAGAATCAAATAGACACAAACAGAAATTATAAGGGGGATATTACCACTGACCCCACAGTAATACAAACAACCATCAAATACTATAAACACCTCTATGGACATAAACTAGAAAATCTAGGAGAAAGGGATAAGTTCATGCACACATACACGCTCCCAAGACTGAAAGAGGTAAAAATGGAATTCCTGAATAGACCAATAACAAGTTGGAAATGGAGGCAGTAATAAATTGCCTACCAACCAAAAAAAAAAAAAAAAAACCCAGGACCAGAGGGATTCACAGATGAATTCTACCAGAGGCACAAAGAAGAGCTTGTACTATTTCTAAGGAAAGTATTTCATAAATTTGAAAAAGAGGGAATCCTAACTCATTTTATGAGGCCAGCATCATCCTGAAACCAAAACCTGGCAAAGATGCAACAAAAACAAAAACTTTAGGCCAATATCCCTGTTGAACATGGATGCAAGAATCTTTAATAAAATACTGGCAAACCAAAACCAGCAGCACATCAAAAAGCTTATTCGCCATAATCAAGTTTGCTTCATTCCCCAGATGCAAGGTCAGTTCAACATATGCAAATAAATAAATGTAATTCATCACATAAACAGAATTAAAGACAAAAACCACATGATTATATCAATACATGCAGAAAAGGCCTTTGATAAAATTGAACATGCGTTCACATTAAAAACTCTCAATAAACTAGGTAATGAAGGAACATATCTCAAAATAATAAGAGCCATATATGACAAAGCCACAGCCAATATCATACTGTATGGGCAAAAGCTGGAAGCATTATGCCTGAAAACTGGCACAAGACAATGATGCCCTCCCTCACCATTCCTATTCAACATAGTATTGGAAGTTCTCACCAGGGCAATCAGGTAAGGGCAAGAAGCAATAGGCATTCCAAAAGGGAGAGAGGAAGTCAAATTATCTTTGTTTTCAGATGACATGATTCTATATGTAGAAAACACAAAACCTTTATCAGCCTCCAAATCTTCTTAAGCAGATAAGCAACTTCAGCAAAGTCTCATGATAAAAAATAAATGTGCAAAAATCACTAGCATCTCGGTACAACAAAAAAAGGCAAGCAGAGAGACAAATCATAAATGTGCTCGCATTCTCAATTGCTACAAAAACAATAAAATACCTTGGAGTACAGCTAACAAGGAAGTGAATCACCTCTTCAAGGAGAATCACACACCACAGCTCAAATAAATCTGAGAGAACACAAACAAATGGAAAAACATTAGATTCTCATGGATAGGAAGACTCAATATTGTGAAAATGGCCATACTGCCCAAAGCAATTTATAGATTCAATGCTATTCCCATTAAACTGCCCTTGACTTTCTTCACAGAATTAGAAAAAACTACTTAAAAATTCATATGGAACCAAAAAAGAGCCCAAATAGCCAAGGCAATCCTAAGCAAAAAGAACAAAGCTGGAAGCATCACGCTACCTGACTTCAAACTATACTACAAGGCTACAGTAACCAAAACAGCATGGTACTGGTACAAAAACAAACACATAAACCAATAAAACAGAATCAAGAACTCAGAAATAAGACTGTACATCTGAAACCATCTGATCTTTGACAAACCTGACAAAAACAAGGAAAGGGGAAAGGATTGCCTATTTAATAAATGGTGCTGGGAGAACTGGCTAGCCATATGCAGAAAATTGAAACTAGACCCCTTCCTTACACCTTATACAAAAGTTAACTCAAGATGAACTACAGACTTAAATGTAAAACCCCAAACTACAAAAACCCTAGAAGAAAATCTAGTCAATACGATTCAAGGCATAGACAGGGACAAAGTTTTCATGAAAAAAACATCAAAAGCAATTGCAACAAAAGCAAAGATTGACAAATGGAATCGAATTAAACTAAAGAGCTTCTGCACAGCAAAACAAACTATCATCAGAGTGAAGAGACAACCTATAGAATAAGAGAAAATTTTTGTAATATTTTCATTGGACAAAGGTCTAATATCCAGAGTCTACAAGGAATTTAATTAAATTTATAAGAAAAAAACAAACAACCACATTAAAAAGTGGGCAAAGGACACGAACAGACACTTCTCAAAAGAAGACATATATGCTTTCAACAAACGTGAAAAAAAAAGCTCAACATCACTGATAACTAGAGAAATGCAAATCAAAACCACAATGAAATACCACCACACTTCAGTGAGAATGGCGATTGTTAAAAAGTCCAGAAACAACAGATGAGGTGGTGGAGAAGAAGGAAAACTCTTACATTGTTGGTGGGAGTGTAAATTAGTTAACCTATTGTGGAAGACAGTGTGGGGATTCCTCAAAGATCTAAAGGCAGAAATACCATTTGACCCAGCAATCCCACTACTTAGTATGTACTCAAAGGAATATAAATCATTCCGTTATAAATGCACATGCATGTGTATATTTATTGCAGCACTATTCACAATAGCAAGACATGGAATCAACCACATGCCTATCAATGATAGACTGGATAAAGAAAATGTGGTACATGTACACCATGGAATACTATGCAGCCATAAAAAGCAATGAGATCATGTCTTTTGCAGGGACCTGGATAGAGCTGGAAGCCATTATCCACAGCAAACTAACACAAGAACAAAAAAAAACCCACCACATGTTCTCACTTATAAGTGGGAGCTAAGGATGAGAACACATGGACAGAAGGCAGGGAACAACACACACTGGGGCCTGTCGGGTGGAGGGGTGAGAGGAGAGCGAGCATCAGAAACATTAGCTAATAGATGCTGGGCTTAATACCTGTGTGATGGAATGATCTGTGCATCAAACCACCATGGCACACATTTACCTATGTAACAAACCTGCACATCCTGAACATGTACTTCTGAACTTAAAATAAAAGTTGAAGAAAAACAAACTAACCGAAAACAATTAACAAAATAGCAGATTTAAGGCTTCTCTTATCAGTAATTACATTGAATGTAAGTTTTTAAATCAAACCCAGACATTGGCAAAAGGTATTAAAAACAAACACAACTTGGTCTGAATATAGATGTTTTATAAGAAAATCTAGATTGAAAGTCACAGATAGGTTGAAAGTGAAAAAATGTGAAAAGATATTCATTTTATGTAAACAGTATTCAAAATAGAGCTGGAGTGGCTATGCTTCTGTCAAACAAAATCGACTTTAAGACAATAGTTTTATTAAAGACAAACAATAACATCATATGAAAGAAGGACATCATAAAGTGACAATGTGCCAAGGAGTTATAAACATTTTAAATATGTGTGCCCTTGGCCGGGCGCGGTGGCTCATGCCTGTAGTCCCAGCACTTTGGGAGGTCAAGGCAGGAGGATCACCTGAGGTTGGGAGTTCGAGACTAGCCTGAACAACATGGAGAAACCCCGTCTCTACTAAAAATGCAAAATTAGCAGGGCATGGTGATGCATGCCTGTAATCCCAGCTACTGGGGAGGCTGAGGCAGAGAATCGCTTGAGCCCAGGAGGCAGAGGTTGTGGTGAGCCGAGATGGCTCCATTGCACTCCAGCCTGGGCAGCAAGAGTGAAACTCCATCTCAAAAAAAAAAAAAAAAAGTGTGCCCAACATTAGAGCCTCCAAATACATGAAACAAAACTCATGTAATTGAAGAAGACAACTAAACAATTAAAAAATAATACTCATAGACTCTAATGCCACAGTTTTAATATTGGTAGGAAAATTAAACATACCAGGAAGAAAATAGGACCATTGAACATTTCTACAAACCAGATAGACCTAATAAACATCTATAGAACATTTCAATAAATAAAAGAAGAATACATATTCTTCTTAAGTACATGTGGAATTTTTTTTCAAAATAGATTATATGTTAGACCACATAACAAGTCTCAATGAATTTAAAATATTCAGTTCATATCAAGTATGTCCTGTGAAGACAATGGGATATTAGAAACTGATTATAGAGGAAAATTTGAACAATCAAAAAATATGTGCACACAAAATTAAAGAGTGAATTAGAAAATACTTTGCAAGAATGAATACAAACATGCAACATAGCAAAATTAATTAGGTATCGCAAAAACAGTGATAAGAGGGAAATCACAGCTGTAAATGCACACAGTAAAAGAGAAAAAATATATAATATCAATAACCTCACCTTCAAACTTAAGAAACTAGCAAAAGAAGAGCAATATAAACCTGAAGACAACACAAGGAAGTACGTAATTTAATACCATTCAGGACATAGGCATGGGCAAGGACTTCATGTCTAAAACACCAAAAGCAATGGCAACAAAAGACAAAATTGACAAATGGGATCTAATTCAACTAAAGAGCTTCTGCCCAGCAAAAGAAACCACCATCAGAGTGAACAGGCAACCTACAGAATGGGAGAAAATTTTTGCAACCTACTCATCTGACAAAGGGCTAATATCCAGAATCTACAATGAACTCCAACAAATTTACAAGAAAAAAACAAACAACCCCATCAACAAGTGGGTGAAGGATATGAACAGACACTTCTCAAAAGAAGACATTTATGCAGCCAAAAAACACATGAAAAAATGCTCACCATCACTGGCCATCAGAGAAATGCAAATCAAAACCACAATGAGATACCATCTCATGCCAGTTAGAATGGCAATCATTAAAGTCAGGAAACAACAGGTGCTGGAGAGGATGTGGAGAAATAGGAACACTTTTACACTGTTGGTGGAACTGTAAACTAGTTCAACCATTGTGGAAGTCGGTGTGGTGATTCCTCAGGGATCTAGAACTAGTAATACCATTTGACCCAGCCATCCCATTACTGGGTATATACCCAAAGGATTATAAATCATGCTGCTATAAAGACACATGCACACGTATGTTTATTGTGGCACTATTCACAATAGCAAAGACTTGGAACCAACCCAAATGTCCAACAATGATAGACTGGATTAAGAAAATGTGGCACATGTACACCATGGAATACTATGCAGCCATAAAAAATGATGAGTTCATGTCCTTTGTAGGGACATGGATGAAGCTGGAAACCATCATTCTCAGCAAACTATCGCAAGAACAAAAAACCAAACACCGCATGTTCTCACTCATAGGTGGGAATTGAACAATGAGAACACATGGACACAGGAAGGGGAACATCACACACCAGGGACTGTTGTGGAGTGGGGGGAGGGGGAGGGATAGCATTAGGAGATATACCTAATGCTAAATGACGAGTTAATGGGTGCAGCACACCAACATGGCACATATATACATATGTAACAAACCTGCACCTTGTACACATGTACCCTAAAACTTAAAGTATAATAATAAAAAAAATCCTTGATCTTAAAATAAATAAATAAATATTAGAATAGAAATAAATAATATAGAAAATAGAAAACATCAGAGAAGATCAATGAAACCAAAGTTGATTAATTGAAAAGATCAACAAAATTGACAAACTTTTAACTAGACTGATCGTGGAAAAAAAGAAGGTGGGGACATTACTACTGTTAAAAAAGTGAAAATGATTACAAGAAAATACCAGGAACAATTGCATGCCAACAAATTAAATAACTTAGATGAAATAGAAAAATTCCTAGAAACATGCAGGATATCAAAATTTATCAAGAAAAATTTTATTTCAATAAACTTATAGCAATTAAAGCACTGAGTTAATCATATTAAAAATGTCTAATAAAGAATATCACAGAACCAGATTTTTTTGATAAATTATATCAAACACTTAAGGCACAATTAAAATAAATGCTTCTCAAACTCTTCCAAAATATATTGAGGAGGAAGAATTACTTTCTAACTTTTTCTATGAGGCCAGTATTACCCTGATAGCAAAGCCAGATGATAACATCACAAGAAAACTAAATAACTTATTGTCTGATATTGATACAGCCATTACATCTCTCTTTTCTTTTTAAAAACAAAAATTAGTAAACTTTGTAATTTAGGGCAGCTTTAGGTTCACAGCAAAATTCAGCAGTAAGTACAGAGAATTCATATATACCATCTCTCTCTCCACACAAAACTCCTCTGCTCTCTTACTGTTCTGTTGGGCACTACACATTTTATAAGTCTTCCTGAGATTGTTCTGAGATTCAGTTAAGTTTCTTGGAAATTCTATATCCTTTCAGTGTTGGTATCAGAGCAATGAAGAATGCTTAATCTGAGATTAATTATTCTTCACTACTGAGGTTAAAATACTTCTGTGTGTATTCTTTTTCATGTCCCATGAATCTTAAGGTTTTTTTACTTTTATTTTCTTTTCCCGTATCCTCATGGGAAGATGTACTGTTCCAAGACTTCTGTGAGTGCTGGGCGTTATTACTGCTAACCCTTTTAGAATGTTCATTGCCTGGTCTCAGGTATATTTTTCACATACATATGCTTACCAAGTGAGGTGAACACTTAGGATGACCTTGTGATGATCTCTTTAGTTCTCTCTCTGAAGCTGTCTCCTCTTCAGTACTCTGTTTTTGGAATTATAATTGCTTTAGTCTTCCCCTATTCTCAGTTCTATTTCCTTAAATCAGAAAGGGTGCTCTGCTATATGCCTGGATTCCCCTTATTTGCACTGTTAGTTGGAATCACTCTAGGCAACAAGGTGGGTGAATTATAAGGCTCAACACAATTGTTTTTCATCTCTAAGGGATCACTGTCCTTCTTTATCTCATATATGGTTACTTACAATCTGTATTTTCATATATATTTTTTTTCTGTTTAATGGTTGTTTTAGAAGAATAAATCTGGTTCCTGTTTTTCCATGTTGGTAAACAGTTAAAGTCTAAGTTGGAAGAATTATATTGTTCTCTTCATTTTTCACAAGAATATTTGTAAATATTTGTTCAAAGAGTTGGTAAAGTATACATTAAATATTAGCAGAGAATAATACTGAAGCAAATATATATATGAAGTTCACTTAAAATAAGTATTCTAGTTAGAACGATGGTTTTAGTTTTGATTATGTTTGTTTTTGGAATTCTCTTTCATTTAGGCAATTAGACTACTGAGTGACAAATACTGACACTCTACATTGATGAATTCCTTTGAATAAATTTTCAAATATGTATGCCATAGATATTTAAACTCCTGAAATTATTTTGTTTTCTTAAAAGTAGAAATGAAACTAATTGGCATGTATCCACTAAATTTCAAACCAGAGTGAAAAACTAATATATTATTGAAAATGTACTATATGAAATGGCAGTTAAAATAAAAGTGGTTAATTATAATACAAAACTTGCTGTTTACACCATCTTAGGAAAGTGGCATATAACACATAAGAGGGGGAGTACATCTCCATACAGACAGAGATGAGGGACAGTAAGGAGAAAATTAAATAAATTTCTAGGCTTTTATCAGTTCAACTTTTTTTTTCTGCTAAATATTGGTACCCAAAATAGAAGGCTCAACACCCTTTGACTCTTCAGAGGATGCAAAACAACAGAAATTAGAGAGTTAAGTTGCTCTCCATGTTAAACTGAGGGAAGTATTTTGTGTGTGTGAGTTGGAGGAGATGATAAGGAAAATAGAAAATAGGAACAGGAAAATAGGAGTGGTAATATTAGGAGTGCCTTGAGGTAGAGAGGTGACACAGAAAAATGATCATTAAAAAGCACATACAGGCTGAGCACGGTGGCTCACACCTGTAATCCCAACATTGTGGGAGTCTGAGGTGGGCAGATCACTTGAAACTAGGGGTTGAAAACAGCCTGGGCAACAATTCAAGACCCTGTCTCTAATATACGTATATATATTATATATTTAAATATATAAGAATATTTTATAATTATATATATAATTATAAAAGATATGCCACTTTCCTATATAATAGATATTATATATTATTGTATATTATATATTATATAATATTTTATATAATATATATTATTTATACAATTATAACATATTTACATATATTATTATATATTATATATTGTATTATAATTATATTGTATATTATATAATTATGTTATATTTACCTATTTTATATATTATATAATTATATGTAATATATTAATGTATATATTATCTATATTATATATTATATATAATCATTATACATAATATATATTAATTATATATAATATATAATATAGTAATGATTATATATAATATATATGTTATATAAAATATATCTTAATGATTATATATAATATACATATTAATATCTATTAATGATTATATATAATATATTATATATATTACATAATCTATAATTATATACTATAGATCATATAGTATATGTAAATATATATCATATATGTAAATATATATCATACATTATATATGTAAATACATATTACAGATTTACATGTTATATATAATATAGGTAAATATATATTATGTATAATATATAATATATATCATATATTATGTATAATATATGTAGATATATATCATATATTATGTATAATATATGTAAACATATATTATGTATTATATCTATGTAAATACATATTATATATATGCCAATATATTATATATTATATGTCAGTATATATTATATAATCTATAATATATGTAAATATATCATAATCATCTATAATATATGCAAATATATTATAATCTATAATATATGCAAAATATATATTACATAGTATATAATATATGTAAATATGTATGGCATATTCTATATAATATATGTAAATGTGTATGGCATATTCTATATATGTAAATATGTATGACATAGTCTATATATGTAAATGTGTATGACATATTCTATTTATAATCTATGTAAATGTGTATATATTCCGTATATAATATATGTAAATGTGTATGTTATATTCCGTATATATGTAAATGTGTATTATATATTCCTTATATAATGTATGTAAATGTTATTATATATTCCATGTATAATGTATGTAAATATGTATTATATAGTCCATATATAATATATGTAAATATGTATTATATATTCCATATATAATATATGTAAATATGTATTATGTATTCCATATATAATATATGTAAATATGTATTATATATTCCACATATAATTTGAACTATGATCATGCCACTGCACTCCAGCCTGGGTGAGAGAGTCCAGACCCTATCACCAAAAACATATAGAGCACAACCACATTGCATTGTGTCAAAACTTTAATAAAATGCACTACAGCCCAAATTTCCCAATTCATACTTTTCTGACAGGTAATGGGGGTACAGAATCCTGGGGAGATATTTGACTATTCACTTTGGGTTTTTCATTAAACATACAGTAGGGAAACACTGCAGTAGCTGATTAATGATACAAAATCAGAAATAAGAGGAATTCACAGCTAGGAGTGACCACAAATATTTTAGTCCCTGAAGAATTCACAGAAATCTTGAGGAGAACATTAGACTTCCTAAGCATATAATAAATGAAGCTACATCTTTTTATCTTAATGAATAAGGTAGTCAAAGCCAGTATGTAGGATGGATGGATGGATAGATAGATAGACAGATAGATCGATAGATAGATAGATAGATGATAGTTAACTGTATTTATTTCGGGTATATTAACATCTATAATATTCCTGTGAAAATGGTGTTCTTCTAATTTCATTTTATAGATTAAGAAACTGACGTTTTGAGGTTAAAAGGTTAAATTACTTTCAGAAGATCACATTACTGGTAAAGGAGAGGACTAGGATTAATAAATACCCAAATCACAAGGAAAACTACAAAACGCTGATGAAGGAAATCAAAGAGGACACAAAGAAGTGGAAAGATATCCCATGCTCTTAAATCAGAAGATTTAATATTATTAAAATGATCATACTGCCAAAAGAAATCTACAGAGTCAATGTAATCTCTGTCAAAGTACCAACATCATTTTTCACAGAAAGAGAAAAAAAAATCTTAAAATTTGCATGGAACAGAAAAAGAGCCTAAATATTGAAAGCAATCCTAAGCAAAAAGAACAAAGCTGGAGGCATCACATTACGTGACTTCCAAATACATTACAATGCTATAGTAAGCAAAACAGCATGGTATTTGTATAAAAACAGATATATAGACCACACAGACCAGTGGAACAGAACAAAGAACTCAAATAAATTTACATAATTACAACAAACTGATTTTTGACAAAGGTGACAGGAACAACCTTGAAGAAAAGATATCTTCTTCAATAACTAGTGCTGGGAAAATTGGATATCCATATGCAGAAGTTTGAAACTGTACCTCTATCACTCAAGACATACAAAAATCAAATCCAGATGAATTAAATATTTGGATGTAAGTCTCAAAACTATAAAACTTCTAGAAGAAAACATAGAGAAAACACTTTAGGACATTGGTCTAGTAAATAATTGTATGTCTAGGACCTCTAAAGCACAGACAACAAAAACATAAATAGACAAATGGTACTATATTAAACTAAAAGTCTTCTGCACAGCAAAGAAAACAATCAACAGGGTGAAGAGGCAACCTGCTGAATGGGAGAAAATATCTGCAAACCATATCACAAGGGACTAAAATTGAGAATACACACAGAATGTAAACAACTCAGCAATATAAAACAAGTAGGAAGAGGTCATGGACAGACATTTCTCAAAAGAAAACAATTAGCCAACAGATATGTGAAAAAATGCTCAATATCACTAATCATCAGGAAATGTAAATGAAAACTGAAATGACATATCATTTTACCCCATTTATAATGGCTATTACTAAAATGACCAAAAATAACATATGATGGCAAGGATGTGGAGAAAAGGGAACACTTATACACTGTTGTTGGGAATGTCAATTAGCCACTATGGAGAACAACATGAAAATTTCTAAAAAAAAAAAAAAAAAAAAAAACTGAAATATAATTACCACATGATCCAGCAATCCCACTACTGAATATTTATCCAAAGGAAAATACATCAGTATATCATAGGGGTACCTGCACTCTCATGTATATTGCAGCACTATTCACAATAGCAAATATATTGAATAAACATAAATGTCCATCAATGTTCAAATGGATAAGGAAAATGTGGTATATATACACAATGGAATCCAGTCATAAAAAAAAAATAATGTCATTTGTAACAACATGGGTGGAACTGGAGGTCATTATGTTAAGTGAAATAAGTCAGACACAGAAAGACAAACATTGCATGTTCTCATTCATATGTGGAAGCTACAAAAGTTGATCTCATGGAAGTAAAGAGTAGACTGAATAGATATCAGAGGCTGGGAAGAATGTTTGGCTGGGGTGAGGAGATACGACCAGAGGTTGGTTAAGCATAAAACACACAGTTAGATACAAGGAATTTGTTATAATGTTATACGGAAGACTAGGGTGACTACAGTTAGCAATAATGTATTGCATATTTCAAAGTAGCTAAAAGAGAAGACTCAAATTGTTCCCAATCCATACAAATAATATATACTCAAGGTGATGGGTACCTCTTATACTCTGACTTGATAATTACACATTCTACGCATGTAACAGAATATCACATGTACCCCTAAAGTATGTAAAATATTATTCATCAATAAAATAAATGCCCAGTTCTGTCTGACCTCAAATTTATACCCTTTATAGTATGTTTTTCTGCATCTGTTTAAAACTTTATGTTAGCATTTAACATCTATGTTAAAAACTATGAAAGAATATTCTCTCGCATGTCATCATTACCATCAAATATGTATAATTAATAATTTATATTTTTATAATAAGCCATGCATTTTCTGGTTGCTTAAAGAAAAGTCTGAATAGTTTAGTAAAATATTATTAGCCAGCAAGTCAGCAGTTCAAGGTGCTAGTCTCAAATCTTCCACAAAGTGTCCTGAAAGTGTTGAAGATTCCCATCGTTTGATCCTCTTTCTGAATTCTAGTATTGCCATCTTTTTTTTTTTTTTTCTAAAACATGTTTCAGGGAATACTGTTCCACAACATGACACACACAGGTGTGCACACACACACACACACAATTCTGTGATAGAATAAATTTAAAAAAATGCGAACTACAGCTTCATTTAGAAATCTGTGATGTAGTTTAGCATGGCTCTAAGACATAATTAGTTAAGGAACCTGTTAAGGTTTTTAAACACATGTTTTCTAAATTGTAGGTAACTTGGACACATCCTCCCTTTTGTCAAAATATTTTCAATGGAAAACAGTGTGTGAAATGTTGATGTGTGTTCTTTCTAATGATCTTTGTAGTTTCACATTTTATGGCTCTTATTACTGTTCCTTAGTGGTATTTCAAAACAATGCTAGGAATACTAAGTAATTATTATTCTTACTGGGAAAAATATCATTGAGTCAAGTTTTCCTTTATCAGTATGTTTTGAATATAAACGAAAAATTTCCCCCAAACTGGTTTTAATAACAAAACCTATTGTTATATAACAAAATTAAATAATAAGATTTCAAGAGTAATATCTGAGAATTCTACTCTCACTTCTCTATAATTTTTAAGTTTGAATTCCTTCAGATGTTGTTTTCATGCTCAGCCACTTAGCAAGATAGCTATATAGGTTCTGATAATCAGTCGAGACATGGAAATATTTTTTTTTCCTTAGGAGAGTGGAAAGCATTCCAAAATGTTCTTTAGAGGACTTCACACATATGTTGTTGGTCTCATGGCTGTTCTTAATCCAATCACTGGTAAGAAGGCTGAAATTGCCATGAATGAATTGAACTAAATGTTATCCACTATCTGGAAGTAGAGGTCAGGTCAGCTTTCACACAAACACGTGATTATATGCTGGCGGCTGAACAGTGAAAAAAAAATCAATGTTTTCTTAGGAAGAGGAATGAGGGCGTGGCATATTAAGCATAATCTTATGCGAATGTTAAGAATATAGAAGAAAAATGTTTCAAAATAATAGATTTAGTTGACGCAGAGTAACACATAGAAGACAAACATCAGGTAGAAAATTTGAAAGTCTGAGATCTATTGTCAGTTTTCACTTAAAAAAAATATGTCCTCAGGCCAATCATTAAAACTATGTAAGCCTCAGTTTTCCTACTTACATAGAGATGTTATTACTTGCCTATTATTATTCAAATAGATATTTAGATAACAAAATAGAGTAATAGGTATGAAAGCTCTTTTATATAGAAGTATTATCTTATTTTAAAAAAATATTTTTATTTAACTTTGAGAAAGAAAATTCAACGTTTTTACATTTTTTACAATGATAAACAGTATAATTAGACACAATCCATTAACAAGACAAAAATGACAATTTGTCATGTTTTCTCTTTTTTTATAATGACTTTGATAGTTCTCTTACAGGTATTCAAATAAAGCATTATTTAAACAATGTTAAACTCATCTTTTTTTTTTTTTTCAGCAAGGCTTCTTGAAGATGGTTGCCTGTATTTCTGATGAGTTTGCAAGCAAGAGAAAGGTCTGAAATCCAGTAACTCAGAGTCGATATAATGCTTACAGTAACATAAATGACAAAGTGTCATTGATGACTGAGATGACAAATGACAACATGCATATTAATAAGCACTAGACGACATTCAATCACTGTCCAATATTCTTAGTCACGCTGAAGGACAGTGCAATCTTCAAATGCAGCACCCCACAGAAGAAGTGTGACTGTCACCAAACAACCTCTACAACTTAGAAAGTCAGCAGAAAAGTGTCAAGGTTATGGCTATCTTCATGGAAAGGTGAATGACACCTGCATAATTTTTATATCCATACTACGGGGGCAACAACAATAGCCTCCAAATTATACTTCTACACAATAAAAATAGGCTCCAAATTATTGTACAGAAGTTGTGTCTACACATATAATCAGTTCAAGCCTTTCAACTAAATTTAGTAATGAATGAAATTAATTTTTTTCATTGTGCTCTCTTTCTTTCTCTCTCCATCCCTGCCTGTTTCCCTCTCTATCTATATAGTTATTTGACAGGAGTGCTTGTGTGTTTGATCAATTTCATTAAAGTAGTCTATCTAGGTGGAATTTATGTGGCTCTTAATCTAGTCATGTGACACAAGTGCTACGTGTATGTGTATATGTTTCTATATAACACACACGTAAGTAATTTTTATATCTCAAATGTCCGGACATTTTATGAGTCATCTACTTTATTATTTACAGATTTTTTTCTTTTTTAATATATAGAACAATTTCCTGAATATATTTATTATGAACATATGATAAATATAAATAATATAGATACTTGACAAAAACACTTAACAACCCAAAAAGGAAGAGCTGAGGTGGATAGTCCAGTCCAAAGGCTTATTGTTCACCAAAGTGACAGGTAGAGTGCATTCCCTCTGGTAGTGCAGAAATGGCTGATATTGTTGTTATGTGTTACAGCCCTAATGTCATTCAACAGGTATTTTAGACTGAATACGAAAATCGTTAAAAAAACTATTTATGTTCCTGGGCTTGAATATAAATATACACAGAAGCCTCAACTCTTCTGCTCGTATGTTCTTTGCTTTTCTACTGAATATCAACAGATATTTTTCTTTTTGTCTACACTGAAAACAATAAGCTATATTGCAGAGATGGGTGGATTATTTCAAATGTACTTTCTTGAACTTGTAACCTTAAGAATGATGATATTAAATAAAACTTAAGCTATCTTAACCCAAGAAATAAGAAGTTGTCTATATAAAAATGTTAGAAAGAGTTGGCTTTTCTGTATAATTATTTATCTTTAGCCTAGTTTATTAGTCTACTGAGGCTGCCATAAGATAATATCCCAGACTGGGTGGTTTAAACAACTGAAATTTGTATTCTGACAGTTTTGGAGGCTAAAATTCCCAGATCAAGTTGTCTGCAGACTTGGTTTCTCCATAAGACTATTTTCATGACTTGTACATGACCACCTTCTTATTGTTTCTTCACATGGTCTTTCCTCTGTGCTAGCGTACTCTTAATGTCTCTTTCTTTCCTTATAATGTCATAACCCTTATTGGGTAAGGGCCCAATCTTTATGACCTCATTTAACCTTTATTACCTACTTAAAGACTCTGTCTCCTAATACAGTAATATCAGGAGTTAGGGCTTTTAATTTGGGGGAGGGCATAATTCAGTATAAGACACGGAGTTAGAAAATTCTATTTGTCTCAAGGAAGCACTTGGTACATCATTATCTACTAAATTCAACTTTATTAAATTAGTATTTAACATATATTCTGTGATAAAATATGCAAATAATACTTTCTGTCACCTGAAACATACACAGAAACAGTAAATATTTGTTATCATTAGCTTTCTAGTGCATAAAAGAGAGAAAGGAATGAGAGAAACTGTGCGCGCGTGTGTGTGTGTGTGCGCCTATGTGAAATGAAGGTGTTTGCTTTGCTTAGAAAGCAGTAAAGCATTTGCCTATTATATGAGGCATAACCTGCAAGATATATATATATTCTCAAAAGATACCGAATGGACAGAACAAACATTTAAAGTTATCAATCATTCATTGGGCACATAGAGTGTTGTGGAATTATAAAATTTATGGTATTATGAATTTTAATCCCACAAAAAACCTACACATATAAAAACTGCTTCAAGTCAACACAGTATAAGGAAGTACTGTGTAATGTATTCACATATATCACAGCTATATTATTATGATTAATTCATACATAACTATTAAATAATATTCTTTCTTCCATTAAATCACTATCTTTCAGTCATAGTTTACCAGGAAGAAAATAATTAAAATGACAACTACCTATAGCATAATTGGTATCAATTTTGGTAACTGGCTTAATATAAATTTCCATTTAAGTTTTGTTGAATAAGTAAAGCTTATTTAATTTTTATATTTAATTATTATGGGTAAAAGAAAGTGCATATATTTATGGGGCATAAGAGATATTTTGATATAGGCACACAATGCATAATAATCACCTCATGGAAAAGGGGATATCCATCCCCTCAAGCATTTATCCTTCGAGTAACAATCCAATTATATTCTTAGTTATTTTAAATGTACAATTACATTATTATTGACTATAGTCATCCCATTACACTTTCAAATAGTAGGTATTAATCATTCTTTGTAACTATTACTTGGTCCCACTAACCATTCTCACCTTCCACCCCCTCACTATCTTTTGCAGACTCTACTAACAATCCTTCCTATCTCTATCTTCATGAGTTCAATTATGATGAAATTACATTTTTAGACACCACAAGTAACTGAGAATACGTGATATGTGTCTTTTTGTGCCGGGCTTATTTTACTTAACATAATGATCTCCAGTTCCATCCATGTTGTTGCGAATGGCAAGGATGTCATATTTTTATGCTTGAATAGTACTCCTCTGTGCATATGTACTACATTTACTTTAACCATTAATCTGTTGACAGACACTTAGGTTGCTTCCAAATCTTAGCTATTGTAAACAATCCTGCAACAAACATGTGAGTGCAGATATCTCTTTGATATACCGATTTCCTTTATGTGGGGTACGTACCCAGCAGTGGGATTGCTGGATCATATGGCAGCTCTATTTTTAGTTTACTGAGGAACCTCTAAACCATTCTCCGTAGTGATTGTACTAACTTACATTCCCAACAACAGTGTATGAGGGTTCCCTTTCTCCACATCTTCACCAGCTTTGTTATTGCTTGTCTTTTGGATATAATCCATTTTAACTGAGATGAGATGGTATATTATTGTAACTCTGATTTGCATTTTTCTGATAAGCAATAATATTGAGCACCTTTTCATATTCGTATTATTCTGTTCTTGCACTGCTATAAAGAAATATCTAAGGCTAGATAATTTATAAAGGAGAGAGGTTTAATTGGCTCACGGTTCCACAGGCTTTTACATGAAGCTTAGTGACATCTGCTTCTGGGAAGACCTCAGGAAGCTTCTAATCATGACAGAAGGCAAAGGTGGAGCAGTTGTCTTACACAGTGGGAGCAGGAGCAAGAGAAATAAGTTGGGGTGGGGAGGTGCCACACACTTTTAAACAACCAGATCTTGTGAGAACTCACTATCATGACGTCAGTACCAAGGGGGATGGTGCTAAACCACTCATAAGAAACCACCCCCATGATCGAGTCACTTCTCACCAGGCCCCAACTCCAACACAACACTGGGAATTACAATTTGACATGAGATTTGATGGACACACAGTTGTAAACCATATCAGTATAGTTGTTTCATATTTGTATGTCTTTTGAGAAATATTTATTCAAATTTCTTTTCTCAGTTTTTGATCAGATTATTAGATTTTTTTCTATACAATTATTTGAGCCCCTTGTATGTTCTCATTATTAATGCCCTGTCAGATGGGTACATTGCAAATATTTTCTCCCATTTTGTGGGGGTTGCCTCTTCAGTTTGTTCATTGTTTCCTTTGCTGTGCAGACTTGATGTGATCCCATTTGTTCTCTTTTGTTTGCTTGCTTGTGATTGTGGGGTATGAATCAAGAAATTTTTGCCCAAAGTAATGACCTTGAAAGTTTCCTCAATATTTTCTTATAGCAGTTTCATAGTTTCAGGTCTTACGTAAGTCTTCAATTCACTTTGATTTTTTTTTTTTTTTGTATATGGCAAGATATAGGGCTCTAGTCTCATTCTTCTGCATATATATATCCAGTTTTCCCAGAACCATTTATCGAACAAACTGTCTTTCCCCAGGCACGTTCTTCGCATCTTTGTGAAAACTGAGTTCACTTTAGGTGTGTGGATTTTTGGGGTTCTCTATTTTGTTCCATTGGTCTATGTGTCTGTTTTTATACCAGTACCATGTTGTTTTGGTTAACAGAGCTCTGTAGTATAATTTGAAGTCAGGTGATGTGATTCCTTCAGTTTTGTTCTATTTGCTTAATATATCTTTGGTGATTCTGGGTCTTTCATGGTTTCATATACATTTCAGGAATTTTTTCTATTTCTGTGAAGAATGTCATTGGTATTTTGATAGAGATTCCATTGAATATATTGCTTTGTGTAGTATGGACATTTTAATAATATTAATTCTTCCAATCCATGAACCTGGAATATCTCTGCATTTTTTGGTATACTTTTAAACTTCTTTCATCAGTATTTTACAGTTTTAGTTGCAGAGTATTTTCATTTCTTGCTTAAATCCTATGTATTAAATTGTATTTGTAGCTATTTTTAATGGGATTACTTCTTAAATTTCCTTTTCAGGTTGCTCACTGTTGGCATATAGAAATGCCACTGAATTTTAATGTTGATTTTGTGTCCTACAACTTTACTAAATTGACCAGTTGTAATTTTTTTTGGAAGAGCCTTTAGGTTTGTCCAAATATATGATCCTATCATCTGCAAACAAGAATAATTTGACTTATTTCTTTCCAAATTAGTTGTCCTTCATTAGTTTCTGTTGTGTGATTACTCTTACTAGGACTTCCAGTACTATGTTGAATAACAGTGGTGAAAGAGGGCATCCTTGTCGCGTTCCACATCTTAGAGAAAAGGCTTTCAGTTTTTCCCCATTCAGTATGATACTATGTCTCTCATATATGGCTTTTATTATATTGAGATATGTTCCTTCTATACCCAGGTTTTTTAGGGTTTTTATCATGAAGAGATGTTAAATTTTATCAAATGCTTTTTCAGCAATTGAAATGATCACGTTTCATGTCCTGCATTCTGTTGATATAATGAATCACATTGGTTGATTTGCATATGTTGAACCATCCCTGAATCTCAGGGAAGAATCGCACTTTGCCGTAATTAATGATCTTTTTAATTTTTGTTGAATTAGATTTGCAAGTATTATTTTTGAGTATTTTTAATTTGTTGTTGAAGTCGGTTTGCAAGTATTATTTTGAGTACTTTTGCATCAATATTATTCAGAGATATTTGCCTGTAGATTTCTTTTTTTGATGTGTTTGCTTTTGGTATAAGGGTTATAACGGCCCCATATAATGAATTTGGAAGGATTGCTTTTTCCCCTATTTTTCAGAATATTTTGATTAAGATTGGCATCCGCTCTTTCCTAAATGTTTGATAGAATCCAGTAGTGAAACCATCATGTCTCCAGCTTTTCTTTACTGAGATTCTTTTTTTATTATGACTTTAATCTCATTACTTGCTATTGAGCTTTCAGGTTATGCATTTTTTTCCTGGTTCAATCTTGGTAGGTTGTATGTGTCTAGGGACTTGCCTATTTCTTCTATATTTCCAATTTATTGACATGTAGGTGCTCATAGTAGCCTGCTTTTTTTTCTTATTCTGGCTGAAAGTTTGTCAATTTTGTTTAACCTTTAAAAAACCTTTTAGTTTCATTTATCTTTCAAGTTATTTTCTCCAAATCAATTTTTTCTTCTGATCTCATCTTTATTATGTATTTTCTTTTAGTAATTTGGGGTTTGGCTTGATTTTGCTTTTCTTGTTCCTTAAGAAGCATTGCTAGATTCTTTATTTCAATATTTTATTCTTTTTTGATGTAGGTGTTTATAATTATAAATGCCCCCTTAGTCCTGCTATCGTCATATCTCACAAGTTTTTGTCTGTTTTGTTTAATTATCATTTTTTTCATAAAATTATTCCATTTTCTTCTGAATATCTTCATTGATGCCCTGGTCATTCCAGAACATATTGTTTAATTTCTACATGTTTCTACAGTTTCCAAAATTCCTCTACTTATTCATTTCTAGTTTCATTCCATTGTAGTCTGAGAAGATGCTTGATATTATTTCAATTATTTGAATGTTTTAAGACTTGCGTTGTGACTTAACATATGGTCTATCCTTGAAAATGATCCATGTGCTGAGGAAAAGAATGTGTATTCTTCAGCTATTGGATAAAATGTAACTGAAATATCTATTAGGTTCATTTGGTCTATAGTATAGATTAAGTCTGAACTTTCTTTGTTGATTTTCTATCTGGAAGATCTGTCCAGTGCTCTAAGTGGGGTGTTGACATCTCCAACTATTGGTGTATTAGGGTATATCTCATTAGCTCTAATAATATTTGATTTATATATCTAGGTGCTCCAGTGTTGGGATACATATATTTAAAATTGTTATATCCTTTTACTTAATTTATTCCTCTGTCATTATATAGTTACTGTCTTTGTCTCTTCATACAGTTTTTGTCTCAAACGCTATTTTGTCTGATATTAGCATAGCTACTCCTGCGTTTTTTGGTTACCATTAGCATGAAGTATTTTTTTTCATCCCTTTATTTTCAGGCTATGTGTGTTTATAGAGCTGAAGTTTGTTTCTTATAAGCAACAAATCAATTGGTTTTGCTTTTTTAAAAAAGATCTATTAATTCTGTCTATGCCTTTAGATTGGAGGGTTTAATTCATTTACATTCAATGTTATTATTGATAAGTAAGAATTTACTCATGCCATTTTCTTATTTTTTTCTGGCTGTTTTGTGGTCTTCTCTTCCTTCTTTCTTTCCTTCTTGTTTTCCATTTAGGAAACTTAAATGTTTTAAATGTGATTTTCTCTGGCGATATGACTTAATTTATTGCTTTTGATTTATGTGTATCCTTTGTATGTGTTTTGATTTGAGGTTGCCATGAGGCTTGCAAATACTATCTTATAAACCTTATTTTAAATTGATAAAACTTAACACTGTTTGCATAAACAAACAAACAAGCAAAAAGAAAACTAATACAAACTCTATGTCTTAACATTGTTACTCTGCTTTTTAATTTTTTGTTGTTTCCGTTTGTATATTACTGTATATAAGGTCTATGTCTTGAAAAGTTGTTATAGTTATTATTTTTATTGGCTCATCATTTATTCTTCTTAGGATAAGAGTAGTTTATATACCACGGTTACAGTGCTACAGATAATGTCTTGATTCTGTGTGGTTTTATGTCTAATTACTATTAGCAGTGAGCTTTGTAACTTCAAGTGATTTATTATTGCTCATTAGTGTTCTTTTCTTTCTGATTGAAGTACTCACTTCAGCATTTCTTGTTGGACAGTTCTGGTATTCATGAAATCACCTACCTTTTGTTTGCCTGGGTAGGTTTTATGTTTAAATATATATTTAAACATTTCATATATATATATATATATATATATATATATATATATATGATAAAACTTAACACTGTTTGCATAGGGTAAAAGTGTTTTTTTTTTCTTTTCTTCAGCAATTTAGATAAGCAGGTCACTCTCTCCTGGAATGTAAAGTTTCCACTGAAAATTCTGAAGCCAGGCATTTTGGAGCTCCACTTTATGTTACTTGTTTCTTTCCTCTTGCTGCTTTTAGGTCCTTTCTTTATCCTTAATGTTTGGGAGTTTGGTTACTAAATTCCTTGAGGTTATCTTCTGTCTCTTTCTCCAGGTTTGGTTTCTGATACCATATGTAATTCATTTGGTGAGGTCCTGTTTTTCTGGATGGTCTTGATACTTATAGATGTTCTTCAGTGTCTGGGCATTGAAGAGTTAGCTATTTATTATAGTCTTTGCAGTATGTGCTTGTTTGTACCCATCCTTTGGAAAGGCTTCTCAGATATTTGAAAGGAATTAGTTGTTGTGATCGAAACTGTATGTGCCTTAGAGGACAATCTAAGCCCAGTAGCACTGTGTTTCCTGCAGATTCTTAGAGTTACTGCCTTGATGGTCTTGGACTATATCTGGGAGTATTGTTTAAAATATCAGGCAGAGACTATTATTGTCTTATTTTTACTTTCTCTCAAACAGAGTGTCTCTCTTCTGAGCCACCTAAAGCTGGGGGTGTAGTGACACAAACCCCTGTGACCACCACCATTATGACTTCACTGGATCAGACTCTAACATAGATCCAGAATAGCACTGGGTCTCACCAAAGGCCTGCTGTAGCTACTCTCTGGCCACAGTCTATCTTTTCTCAAGGTCCTGGAGCTCTACAATCAGCAGACAGCAAAGTCAGCCAGGCCTCTGTCCTTTGCTTCATGGTGATGAGTTCCCCTAGGCCCAGTTGTTTCCAGAGATGCTATCCGGGAGCCAAGAAGTAGAGCAAAAATCCTTCTACCTGATGTTCTATTGTACTGAAGCTGAACTGGCCCTCAAACCACAAGATACAATCCTGCACTTTCTTCCTATCCTTTTCCAGGTGCAGAGGAGCCTCACCCAATGACCATTACCACCACAGGCCCAGGTAGATCCACAGAGGTGCTGTTTAGGAGCCAGGGACTAGAGAAAAATCTTTAGAAGTCTATCTGGTGTTGTATTGTACTGTGGCTGAGGTGGACCTCAATCCATTAGATTCAGTCCTTCCCAGTTATCCCTCCTCTTTCCAATGGCAGAGGACTGTCGTCCCATGGCCACTGCCACCACAGGCCAACCAGGAGTACTTCCAGACGACTGCTGGTGCTCCCTTCACCTCAGAGGGCTCTTCAGTCAGCTTGTGGTGAATGCTGTCTGGCCTGGGGCTCACGTTCAGGGCAGTGGGCTCCCCTCTAGCCCAGGGTAGGTTCAGAAGTGTTGTGCAAAAGCTTCATCCTGGAATTGAGAACTTCAAGAGCCCACTTGGTGCTCTATGCCCCTATGGCTGAGCTGGTACCAGAAGCCACCAAGTTCCAAACTCTCACCAAAAGCCCTTGATGTAGTACCTGGGTATTGCTTCTGGTTATTCAGGGCCCAAGGGCTCTTCAGTTAGCAAGCGTTGTAGGCTATCCAGACTGGGTATTTCCTTTCAAGGCTGTGATTTCTTTTCTGGCCCAGGTTGTGCCTAGAAATGTCCAGGAACTAGGGTCTGGAAAGGGGGCCTCATTACTCTGACCCATGCCTTATCCTGCTGTGGCTGAGTTGATATCCAAGACGCAAGACAAAGTCTTCCCCACTCTTCCCTCTCTTCTCCTCAGGTGGAAGGAAGTGGTGTACTTTGATGCATCTGGAGTTAGGGAAGGGGTGATGCTACCACTTCTTTAGCCTCCACAACTGGCGTCTGTGAGTGCTGCCTTAGTCCACTGTCTCTGGGCTCAGTTAAGCACGAGGACTCCCACAGGTGTTGCAGTCCTTGTAGCCTACACTGCCTTTCAAGTTTATTTACAGCCCCAGAGCCCTTTAGCCCACTGTGGCGAGACACATGGGAACTCAAGTTCCAACCGCTGGGATCTGAATTAAAAAACAAAAAATCCTAGGACAGAGATATTTTCTAAAAATTGCCTGATAGTTTGCATCTATAAGTTTGCCCTCATTTTATCATTCAGCAATTACTCAATTGGAAAAAAGGAGGTGCACTGTTAAACTGCATGTCTTTTACATTCTCATACTGTATTAATATTTGGTTTTCCACAAAACAAAGGCATAAAATGCATAATAAGCCAGGGAAATCATCACTTTTTACTGATTCCAGTTAGTTCACCCTTAACAAAGAAAACCATTATAGGTGTCAATCTAAATAACAAAGAGAAAAAAAGATCTCTAAAAGATAATCATATTTATTTGGGAATAGGGCATTAGTTTGACAATACAACTGCTGTACTAAACTGTGGGCACTTTCAGGAAGGTAAAGGAAGACAAAGGTTTTTAAAGGTCAAATAGGAGGAACACATAATTGTTTTCAGATAATACGCTTGGCTACAAGGCTCAATTACAAGGGTGGCACTGGTCCAAGAATAGGCAGGCAGGTGCTGGGTCTAGGTCCTCACAAATGTATTATCTCTAAGGTTACAGTGGCCTTTGCACAAGGTTCAGGGTTTTGCAGAGTCTTTTTACAGAGCAGTAGTGCTCATTATCAGGAATTTGCATGAGAAATCTCCCTTCATGGCTTTTCCTGGCTTTTTTTCAGTATCTTATTGTTTTCGTATTGTTTTTTAACATGAGTGACTCAATTTTGATTCCTACTCTTTTCACATAGGAAAGAGTATTATATGTTGATATGGTTTGAATCTGTGTCCCCACCCAAATTGCATGTGAATTGTAATCCCCAATGGTGGAGGTGGGGCCTGGTGGAAGATGATTGGATTATAGGGGTAGATCTTTCATGAATGGTTTAGCACCATCCCTTTGGAGTTATTCTCATATCTTGTTGTCTAAAAGTGTGTGGCACCTCCTTCCTCTCCTCTTCCTCCTTATCTGGACATGTAATGTATGCCTTCTTCCCCTTTACATTCTGCCACATTGTAATTTTCCAGAGGCTTCCCTAAGCAGATGCCAGCATCATGCTTCCTGTACAGCCTGCAAAAGCATGAGCCAATTAAACCTCTTATCTTTGTAAATTACCTACTCTCAGGTATTTGCTTATAGCAATGCAAGAACAAACTAATATGGAAAATTGGTAATGAGGAGTGAGGCATTCCTATAAAGATTCCTGAAAATGTGAAACCATGTTGGAACTGGATAATGGATAGACATTGGAAGAATGTGGAGGTCTCAGAAGAAGCCAGGAAGATGAAGAAAAGTTTATGACTTCCTAGAGACTAATTGAATTGTTGTGACCAAAATGCTCATAGTAATATTGAAAGTGAAGGCCAGGCTCAGGAGGTCTCAGATGGAGATGAGAAACTTATTTAGAACTGGAAAAAAGGTCACTTTTGTTATGCATTAGCACAGAGCTCTGTTGAATTGTGCCCATGCCCTTGGGATCTGTGACATTTTGAAATTTAGAGGGATGATTTAGGTTATAGGGCAGAAAAAAAGTTTCTAAGCAGCAAGGAATTCAAGATGTGGCCTGGCTTCTTCTAGAAGCATATGGTCATATTTGTGAAAAAAAAAAAAAAAAAAAAAAAACACATGATGTAAAACTGAAACTTCTATTGAAAAGGGAAGCAGATTGTAAAAGTTTGGAAAATTTGCAGCCTGGTCAGGCAGTAGAAAAGAAAAACCAATTTACAGGGGAAGAATTTAAGAAGGATGCAGAACTTTGCATAAGAGGAGCCAAGTAATGATAGCCAAGACAATGAGAAAAAGGCCTTGAAGGCATTTTAGAGACTTTTGAGACAGCCCCTTCCATCACAGGCCCAGAGGCTTAAGAGGGAAGAATAATTTCCTGGGCCAGGGCCAAGGCCTCACTGCCCTGCACAACCTTGGGGCAATGATTTTTGTGTCCCAATGTCTCCACCTCCAGCAGTGGCTAAAAGGGCTCCCGGTACAACCCAGGTTGTGGCTTCAGAGTGTGTAAACCATAAGCTTTGGCAGATTCCACATGGTGTTAAGCCTGCAGGTGCACGGAGTGTGAGAATTGAAGCTTAGGAGCCTCTGCCTAGATTTCAAAGGATGTATGGAAAAGCCTGAATGTCCAGGCAGAAGCCTGCTGTAGGGTGGAGCCTGCACAGAGAACCTCTACTAGGGCAGTATGGAAAAGAAATGTGGGGTTGGAGACCCCACACAGAGTCCACAATGGCACACTGCCTAGAGGAGCTGTGAGAAGAGGGCTACTATTCTCCAGACCCCAGAATGGTAGATCCACTGGGAGATTGCACCCTGCACCTGAAAACACTGCAGGAACTCAATGCCAGCCCTTGATAGCAGCCATGGGGACTGAACCCTGCAGAGCCACAGGGGTGGAGGCCTGGTAGCCAAACCCACCATTGCAGTAGTGAGACATGGTGTTAAAGGAGATTGAAATGAGAATGTTTACCAAATGCTTGTTTTTTATTTTACTGGTTCATAGGTAGAAGAAACTTGCCTTGATTCAGTTGTGAATTTGGACCTTGGACTTTTGACTTAATATAGGACAGAATTAAAACTTTGGGGGAACTGTTGGGAATGCAAGATTGTATTTCGAAATATGAGAAGGATATGAGATTTGGGAAAGGCCAGGGGAAGAATCATATGGTTTGGATCTGTGTCCCCACTATAATCTCATGTTGAATTATAATCCCCAGTGTTGGAGTTGGGCCTGATGGGATGTTATTGAATCATGGGGTTGGATCCTTCATGAATTGTTTAGCAACACCCCTTTGGTCCTGTTTTCATAATAGAGTTCTCATATCTGATTGTTTAAAAGTGTGTAGCACCTTTCCCTTATCCTCGTCTCCTGCTCCAGCCATGTCTGTCATGCCTGCTTCCTGTTCACCTTCTGCCATGATTGTAAGTTTCCTGAGATCTTTCTGAACAGATGACAGCATCATCCTTCCTGCACAGCCTGTGGAATCATCAGCCAATTAAACCTTTTTTCTTTATAAATTACACAGTTTCAGGTATTTCTTTATAGTAGTGCAAGAAAGGACTAATAAATGTGTCCTGAGAAAAAAAAATGTGATTACCTGTAAAAAAAATCAAGTATTATCAATACTTTTAAAGCATGAACAAGTATAAAGTTTCTGGTTGTAATGGAATTATAGTTAGAATCATAGTATTCTAGAAATTGAAGAAATTATAGTAGCCACCTGGTATAAAATCTATTGTTTGACCGGTGAGGAAAACTCAGATTAGTAAGAATAAAACCATTGACCTTAAACTGCTTTACGCCCTCAAAACTGCAACAATTGTGTCCATTTTTGTGTTTGTCCAAACTGTGGGTTGTCTTTCAGTATCATTTTTCCCTTCCTTCATAATAAGATAATTTTTACCTAGACATATGGCTGCCCAGAATGACGACTACTTTTCCTAGCATCCCTTGGAGGTTCTCTGGTTCAAGTGAATGAATTCTGGTCAGTGGACATAAAAAAAGGTGTTGTGTGGTTCCTTATGTAAAATTCCCTTATCCTTTGCCCCTTACTTTTCATTATTTTCATCTTGATGGCTGGAACATTCATACAATGGCCAGAGGTGGAGTAGCCCGCCTGGGAAACCTTGGGAATGGAGGCCCTGCCTGGACAAGTAAGACTGTTGAATGATTTCCAGTTTTATGGAGGATGGTCCTGGACCTCAAACTCCTGAAGTTTTAATAAGAGAAGATAAAAAAGAAAGCCTTCTATCTTATTGAAGCAATAAATATTTTTCACTTTTCTATCACTCTTAGTCAAACCTGATTCTAACTCCTTTTCTGCTGTGACATTGGAGCATGGCACAGTGGCTGACATATAGGAGGTGTTCAATAGATGTTTATAGCAGTCTTGGAGGCGTCTGTTACAGCTGCTGTACTTTCCTCCATATCTAAGCCAGCACTAGGTCCTGCTAGCTTAACATCATGACAGCGCCCAAATTTGTGCACTTGTCTCCATCTTACCCCACCTATATGAGCTGAAGCTCTCACTTTGTCTTGCCTATAGTTTTCTCAAGCCTTCTGAATGGGCTTGTCCACACTGAATCTTTTTCTTTGAAAACTTGGATTGTTTATTTTGGGAGAAAGACCCAAATTCTTGATGTATGCCGTATCTCTCTGGCCTCATTTCATGCAATTTTCAACTCTGCTATCTGAACTGCCCATTCCCATCAGACCTCTATTGAATTGATTTCTAGGACTCCTTTAGACTTCCCCTCAGCACTTTCTCAGGAAAGACTTTCTGGACTGCAGAAAATCTCCCATGATGCTCTTACGGCACTACATACCTTTCTCTCCTGTTGACGTCTATATTTTTAGAAAACTTCTAACTCAGATGTCATTGTTCTAAAATTTTCCATGATACAATTGTGGACATAAGGTTTATGACTAGTTCAATCTTATTAGATAGAGTGCTACAAAGCTTCCTTCTTGTGAAGTGTCTCATTAGGTACTAGATTCTGGACTCTGTGGTCTCTATACTTGGCCATAGAGGTAGTAAGAGTCTGTTACACTACTGATTTCTGATTTTTGTAAAATGATTTACCTTTGATTAATGTAGAATAATTTCACAGATAATTTGATCTTTAGTGTTTAGAAAGCCACCACTACTTTCAGTTTACTATAATGTGTTGATTAAAGGGGCTGATGTATCAATGGAGAGAATATAATCTGCTCTCCTTTTTCAAAAGAACTTGTTTTGCTTTGCTTTAAACACAGATGTGCAAAAACTGTTCCTAATTTAGGCAAAACTTAACCCCAAATGTTGATGACTTAGGTCTTCTATTGAAGGATAACAGTAATAAAACTAATAATAGTTTTAGAGACAATTTATGAGGCTTTCATGAGCAGATTATTCCCTTCATTCAATGTCCTAGGTTTTATCAAGTTATAATATATATACCATACGTTTCACTCACATAAATTTTATATTTCTAAGGTTTTTATTATATTCTCATATATGTTCAAACACAATTTTATAATAATTTTATTGCATTAAAAACAGACACTATACCCTTTAGCTATTACCTATATAGCTGCTCATTCTGTAACCAGCCCTAAAGAACCACATTTAATATCAAAATATTCCATATGCCCTATGAACTCCACAAATATATACATATACTATACTGTATCAAAATATCACATATACCCCATAAATATATACACATACTATATATCCACAAAAAATAAAATTTAGAATTACATGTTTTAAAAATAAATAGTGAATGTGAAAAATGGAAGTTGTGTCACATGTGTACTATCATAACAATGGTGATGTACTCTAATAATAGCAGACATCAGACTATGCACAGGAAAATACACACACACACACACACACACACGCACACACATAATCTCACAGATGATGAAGGTAGTTGTTCATTATGAAATAATAATAATCATTTACGTTTACAAATTGATACATAACGTTTTACATATTTAGGGGGTATAAGCATTAGTTACATGAATATGATCAAGTCAGCGTGGATATCGATCACCTTCGATATGTATCATTTCATGTGTTAGAAATATCTCAAGTTGTCTCTTCTAGCTGCTTTAAAACATACAATACATTTTTGCTTATTATAGTCACCCTACTCTTCTATTGAACATTATAACTTATTCTTTCTATCTAACTGTATGTTTGTACCCATTACCAACCTCTCTTCATTTATTCCTCCCACCCTCTGCCCAGCCTCTGGTATTTATCATTCTATTCTCAACCTCCATGAAATAAACATTTTCGGCTCCCACATGTGAGTAAAAACATACAGTATCTGTCTCTCTGTGCCTGGTTTATTTCATTATACATAATGACCTCCAGTTCTGCCCATATTGCTGCAAGTCATATAATTTCATTTTCTAATGGCTGATTACTATTCCTTTGTGTATATATGCATTTTCTTTATGTCTTCATTCATTGAACCACCATTTAATTTTAAACATCAAATAATGTAGTCTAAAAATTTACAAATCAAAGCTTAACAGGAATTTAATAAAAAAACTTAAAATATTCAACCTATAAAATCTTTCATAATGGTAAGTAAACAAATTAAGGACTGAGTTAATAAACACACTATATATTAAAACTTGGAGAAAGTTAACTAATACATGTTAGAAAATTTAAAAATAAACTAATTCCACATAGTATTATTTTTTAAAAAAGAATATAAAATTAAGATAAAATAAAATGATATGGAGAATATTTAAGATATAGAATATGGAATAAGTAAACAGAATGAAAATAGGTGAGTTATGTTGCCTCCTGCTCCATGAGGACCTAGAGGTCAAGGCCTGATGGCTGTCTCATTGAATATTGAAAACTACTATGAGTTTCACTTCACACTTTCTAAGGTGTGGAACAAAAATTTTAGAAATATTTCAAACTAGGGAATGAAAGGCTTCAGTTTCTCTTGAACAAGTATGGTCATCTTCATTGAATCACCTTAAAGCCATATATCCTACCAATATATCATAAGACCAACAAAAAGATTATATAAAACCACACATAATCCACAATCTTAGGACCACTGGAAAACAGAGAATACTAATATTTCAAATTACATTTATAGAGAAACATCAAATTCTGAGAGAGTTTCTGCTGTGACTACAAGACTGTAGGTGTATATAGAAGGAGTAAGAATGCTTGAAACAGTCTATGAAAAGAGGTGAGAGAATTCAAAGAATTAATGAAGCACAGACAAAATTATCCTAAGAAGGAGAACAGAAAATGCTAAGAGCCAAATTACTAAACACAAGTTTGGCACCAAATATATGAAAGGGACTTGAAAGTATAATAAATGACACTGAAAGTGGTAGTATTAGACAAACTTTGTTCTAGGAGAGAAAATAGAGAATGCGTTTGTGCCCTTGAGAAAGATGACAGTAAAAAGAAAAGAAAGAAAAGAGCAAGAGAGAAAGAAAAGAGCATGAGATCTAGTGGTTTAAGTGTGTAGCACCTCCCCCCTCACTCTCTCTTGCTCCTGCTCCTGTCACATGAGATGTCTCACTCCCGCTTTGTCTTCCATCCTGAATGGCAGCTTCCTGAGGCCTCCCCAGAAGCAGAATCCACTATGCTTCCTGCACAGCCTGCAGAACTGTGAACCAATTACACGTCTTTTCTTTATAAATCACCTGGTCTCAAGTATTTCTTTATAGCAGTGTGAAAACAGACTAATAAAATGATGGAAACAATGGAAAAGAAAAATCTAACTTTTCCAACTGCTGTGGCAGGGAAGGGAAGAATAAAGCCAAGATTCTTTTAATCATTTTATTAATACTATACTGTATCTTTAGTTACTTACATGGATTAAGAATGCTGGCCTATATTTCATAAAACATCTATGGTATTCATCAATTCATCATATAGGTACTTAGATTGTCATTTCAGCGTGATAAGATAATCTTATTTCAATTCTTCTAGGATTGAGCATAGTGAATTTTACTGAGAAATATAACACATTGAGAATGGTTAATTCTGTAGCTGAGTATTTTAAAGTCTAAAAGGTTTTGAATTTCAGTTAATGTAGCACAAAAGCTAGTTAGACTGTTAAGTGATTTCCTATACAAAATAAGCTATTCTGCCAGTTTTTGTAACAATACCATATGAAAAAAATGTTAAAGCACCTTTCAAAACACACGTGATCGGCTGATTAACAGAACATAGGTGCTGAAAGTAAGCTGCATTGTGAAACAGTCATTTCAAAGTGATTTTCTCCAAGAACTGTCATCGGGAAGAAAAAAAAGTTATAGCTACGTAAGCCAGAAATTATGCAATAAAACTTTAATTAGATATAATTATCTGATGATTTTTTTTCAGGTATGAATATTTCAGTCACTAGTCTTACTGCTAAAGATAAGGCATTGAATGCATATTATATGCAGAAAAATTAGCCACAATTTATTTCAAACTACATGTATTAGAAACGGTACATCACAAATCAATGCAAATAAGAATATTGAACAACTATTGTCTTTTAAAATTCATCTTGGCCGGGGAAGGTGGCTCATCCCTGTAATCTCAGAACTTTGGGAGGCCGAGGCGGGAGGATCACTTGACATCAGGAGTTCAAGACCAGCCTGGCCAGCATGGTGAAGCCCCGTCTCTACTAAGAATACAAAAATTAGCTGGGCATGGTGGTGCGTGCCTGTAATCCCAGCTACTTGGGAGGCTGAGGCAGGAGAAACACTTGAACCCAGGAGGCGGAGGTTGCAGTGAGCCGAGATCACACCACTGGACTCCATCCAGCCTGGGTGACAGAGCGAGACTCCATCTCAAAAAAATAAATAAATAAATAGATAAATAAATGCATCTTGTAAAACTCATTTTCTATATAGTACAAACAAGGATTTGTTATAATTGATAAAGATTTTCAAATATTCTCTAGCTCTGAAGTATATCATGGTCCTATCAAGCATAGAGATAATATTGCAGAGATAATAATAAGATGGCCACATTTATTTGTTCTTATTTTAATAACAAGCCTATATTAAAATATATGTATAATTAATTAAAATCCCTGAGAAATAGTATGTTCTGGTTATTATGGTGTTGTGGTTATTCATAGCAAGCTTTAGTACTCATAAATAAAACCTTTGAACTACGTAACATTAATCTCATATAAGATTTTTTTCATACTTTATCACAAACTGAGATCTCTGGGAGGCAGAATTTCGCATGTGGCATGTTTATTAGTTAGTGCTCTTATAATCAATTCCTGTAGAAAGGAGAGGGAGAAAGGACTATTGGACAGAGGGAGAAACTAAGCTGTGATACAAGCCCAAGTAAGGTTTTAGCAGACTGCTGTTGGAACTCTAAAGCTGGGATATCCCTTCAGCATTATCTCAAATAGAGTCGGGTGTTGGGGCTGAGCCTTTACACCTTCACATTGATGAATAATTTCATGTGGGCTGCCACAAGTAAGGGAACATTGGGTGAGGCAGTTTCCTTCAGCTGAGGCAGCTGAAGGTCAATACCAGAAAAAGTAAGTTCATGATTGCTAAAGATGAATCTGGGTAAATCATGACAGTTCTTTCATGGAATAAGAAAAAGTGGTCACTGTACCAATGGATTAAAGACAAAATTTTTATATTTTTCTTAACAGATTCAGAGAGCTATACATGGAAAATTTCATCTACCAATATCCATTCATCTCCTGTTTTCTTCCTATGTATGTGTCATTTATTTATATTATATACTTTCAGGAAGAAAGTAATGACTCTGCTCTGAGCTAGGTAATCAGTAAAAATGATATGATGGCGAGGCATTACTTATATGATAAAATTATAATTCAGGTATTATCACATATTTCTACTTAGTTTTCTCTTTTCTGTGTAGGGTATTGACACAATATATTGCATGTGCTTTTAATGCTATTTGTTGTATACATGTAAATATTTACTTTTCTAACTAATTCTACAAGATAAATAATAATCTTCCTAAACATAAGGAAAACACACATACTTAACATTTGAAAGTTTTTACTCTTGATACACTGTTTTTATTTTCACTGCTTCCCTTTTCTAGAAAATGCAATTTTTCAGCTTTTCACGAGAAGACTAAACAAAGAGGACTGCATAGCACTATCAGTAGACAATATAGTAATATTTGAAATCTAGATTTATAAAATTAATTTTGTTTCCATGTATAAACCAGTGACAAGGCAAGAGAATATTGTAGCTGATGTGTGTATCCTGCTGTGCTGAGATTGGTTGTCACTGCAGAACGAAGCTCAGTGGAATAAGTTAGTGTGGAATAAAAACCTTGGAAACGCTTTTGCAACATATGTTGTATGGGATACCCACATCAGTGAAGTAGTCCAAATTAAATTAAGCACATGCTTTCAGATCTTTCTATTTTGTAATTTTGGAAAAGTGATATTATATGTTTTATTTTGTTTTCTTATGTTTCTTTCTTATTTTGCATGCTGCTCTCTTCTTTAATTTTTACTTGAATTGCGGGGTGAAGGATAAAGGGGAGAGTTCAAAATTAAACTGACATTTACTAGCTTTTTTTTTTTTTTTTTTGAGACGGAGTCTCGCTCTGTCGCCCAGGCTGGAGTACAGTGGCAGGATCTCGGCTCACTGCAAGCTCCGCCTCCCGGGTTCACGCCATTCTCCTGCCTCAGCCTCCCGAGTAGCTGGGACTACAGGCGGCCGCCACCACGCCTGGCTAATTTTTTGTATTTTTTAGTAGAGACGGGGTTTCACCATGTTAGCCAGGATGGTCTCGATCTCCTGACCTTGTGATCCACCCACCTCGGCCTCCCAAAGTGCTGGGATTACAGGTGTGAGCTACCGCAACCAGTCGACACTTACTAGCTTTTATCTGACGAGTTTCAAAATACCGTATCATGTTAACTTCCTTCCCAATTTCAGAGAGGATTTCTATTACCATCTTGTGTTAAATAGTTTCCAATCTCACTTCCCCAAAACTTCCAGTTCCCCATTATTTTCTATTTTTAAACTGGCTTTTATTTTCTTCATGGATAAACTAACAGTGTATGGTTTCGTTATTTTCTCTCTTTTTTTGCTTGTGTCTATGACTTCCAGAAGAATTGAAAACTTAAAAAGAAGGACTTTGTTCTTTGTTTCTTAAGTTTATGGCCACTTCTCTAGCCTGGAGCACAGGAGGCAATTAGATAGATAGATAGATAGAGAGAGAGAGAGAGAGAGAGAGAGAGAGAGAGAGAGAGAGAGAGAGAGATAATAGATAGATGCTAAATAGATAGATGGGTAGGTAGCTAGACGTAGGTCAAAAATTAGATCAGTCTAGAAAAAAATTAAAGTTTATTGCCATACAAAACATATTGATCTCAGTCCAGGAAACTTTAAACCAAGTAGTAAGAAGCTTGTCTTACAGCAGTTACAGCACAATTTATATACCGTAAAGGAGGAACTATTTTCACCTTTATTGTGATTCACTGTTTTCTTTGATTTTTATTTTTTATTTTTCATAAGTTATTGGGGTATAGGTGGTATTTGGTTGCATGAGTAAGTTCTTTAGTGGTGATTTCTGAGATTATGGCACACCCATCACCTGAGCAATATGCACTGCACCCTATTTGTTGTCTTTTCTCCCTCACCCCCTTACACTTTCCCCCAAGTCCCCAAAGTTCATTGTGTCATTCTTATGCCTTTGCACCCTCATAGCTTAGATCCCACATATCAGTGAGAACATGCAATGTTTTATTTTCCATTCCTGAGTTACTTCACTTAGAATAAGTCTCCCATCTTATCCAGGTCACTGCAAATACTGTTAATTCATTCCTTTTTAATGGCTGCCTAGTATTCCATTATATATATATACATATATATATATCACAGTTTGTTTATCCACTCGTTGATTGATGGGCATTTGGGTTGGTTCCAATATTTTGCAATTGTGAATTGTGCTGCTATAAACATGCACGTGCAAGTATCTTTTTTGAATAATGACTTCTTTTCCTCTGGGTAGATACCCAGTAGTGAGATTGCTGGATCAAATGGTAGTTATACTTTTAGGACTTTAAGAAATCTCCACACTGTGTTCCATAGTGGCTGTGCTAGTTTGCATTCCCGCCAGCAGTATAGAAGTGTTTCCTGTTCACCATAGTCATGCCAATATCTACAGTTTTTTTTAAATTTTTTTTATTATGGCCATTCTTGTAGGAATAAGGTGGTATCATATTGTGCTTTTGATTTGCATTTCCGTGATAATTAGTGATGTTGAATATTTCTTCATATGTTTGTTGGCTCCTTGTATATCTTCTTTTGAGAAGTGTCTATTCATCTATTTGGCCCACTTTTTGATGGGATTGTTTGTTTTTTTCTTACTGATTCGTTTGAGTTCATTTAGGTTCTGGATATTAGTCATTTGTCAGATGTATGGATTGTGAATATTTTCTCTCACTCTGTGGGTTATCTGTCTACTCTGCTGACTGTTCCTTCTGCTGTGCAAAAGCTCTTTAGTTTAATTATGTCCCAGCTATTTATTTTTGTTTTTATTGCATTTGCTTTTGGGTTCTTGTACATGAAATCCTTGTCTGAGGCAATGTCTAGAAGGGCTTTTCCAATGTTACCTTCTATAATTTTCATAGTTTCAGGTCTTAGATTTAAGTCCTTAATCCATCTTAGTTGATTTTTGTATAAGGTGAGAGATGAGGATCCAGTTTCATTCTCCTACGTGTGGCTAGCCAATTATCCCAGCACCATTTGTTGAAATGGTTGTCTTTTCCCCACTTTACGTTTTTGTTTGTTTTGTCGAAGATCAGTTGGCTGTAAGCATTTGGGTTTATTTCTGGGTTCTCTATTCTATTCCCTTGGTCTATGTGTCTACTTTTATATCAGTACCACACTGTTTTGGTGACTATTGCCTTATAGTATAGTTTGAAATCAGGTACTGTGATGCCTCCAGATTTGTTGTTTTGCTTAGTCTTGCTTTGGCTATGTGGGCTCTTTTTTGGTTTCATATGAATTTTGAAATTGTGTTTTCTAATTCTATAAAGACTGGTAGTAATATTTCGGTGGGAATTGCATTGAATTTCTAGATTTCTTTTGGCAGTACGGCCATTTTCACAATATTGAGTCTACCCATCCATGAGCATGGGATGTGTTTCCATTTGTCCATGTCGTCTATGATTTCTTTTAGCAGTGCTTTCTAGTTTTCACTGTGATACATTAAAAATGTTTTAGAGCTCACAGAGATATTTAAGCTGATTTGTCCATAGCTGATTGGTTTAATTTCACTAACAAATAAATAAAGCTTAACTTTTGTGTTTGTGATTAGAGAAAACATTTCCAAGAAATCAGAATGACTTCAGTTTTGCTTACATGGTGGTGGGTGTTTGGCCTTGGTATGTATTTCAACTATGGTGTGTGTATATATATATATATATATATATATATATATATATATAGACACACACACACACACACACACACACACACATACACACACACCATATATATATAGTTAAACATATATATATGCCTATATATATATTTAAAAATATATTTTTATTTTTATATATAAATATATATGTAACAATATATATATAATAAATAAATAGAACTTGAAGTTTAGGTCCACGTTTCCTAGGTACTCCCCTCCAGATTTTCAGATGTAAGAAATTATGACTTTATGTGGCTCTGTTGTGTTCTACTCACAGTCTCACTGTGTTGAATGCATTTTAGCTGTTGTGATGGTTAATATTAACTGTCAACTTGACTGGATTAAGGATTACCTACAGAACTGGTAAAGAATTAGCTCTGAGTGAGTCTGAGAGGGTTTTTCCAGAGAAGACTGTCCTGTGAGTCAGTGATTAAGTGGGGAAGACTCGCCCTCAATGTAGCAGTCATCATGCAATCAGCTGGGGAAACATATAGAACAAAAAGATAATTTCTTTTGTCTCCTAGAGCTGGAATATACTCTTTTTCATCTGTCCTTAGACATCAGAAGTTCAGGCTCTCCAGGTTTTTGAATTCCAGGAACTGCCCCAGTTCCACCCTCCTACCCTCAGTGTTCTTAGGCCTTTGGCTCCATAATGAGAGTTATACCATTGACTTCTTGGTTCCAAAAACTTTTGGTGTGGACTGGGCCACATTACTGGAATCTCAGGTCTCCAGTTTGTAGGCTGCCTATCATAGGACTTATCAGCCTTCATAATCACATGAGACGATTCCCTTAATAAGTACCTCTTATCTATCTATCTATCTATCTATCTATCTATCTATCTATCTATCATCTATCTTCTATTAGTCCCTCTGGATAACTCTAATATAGCTGCTAACTCCCTGGATTCAGTGCCTGATAGTTAAATTTATATATTTATCTTACAGAACTTGTCTCTATTTTTCATTTTTATTAGGAAAAGTTCAAACATAAATACAAGTGAAGAACAGCCTAAAAGAATCCCCACGTGCATCATCCAGGAAAAATAATTACTTATTAATGACCAATCTTATTTCATATACACATCTATACACTTCCACCCATACCTAATTTATTTTGAAATGAACATTAGAATATCTTCTAATATAATGCTTCACAATGTAGTAGCATTCATAATTAAAGAAAAAACAAATTTTGAGAGTCAAGCATCCTAAATTTGTAAGGTACAAACAGCTCCTCCCTTGCTTCAATCTTTCCGTTATTAATGCTGTGAGGAATCCTGAGAAACATCATGTAGAAAAACATAATTCATCTTTATTATTTTATTTTTTAAATATTTTGTGTTTAATTTTTGTGGGTACATAGTAGGTGTATGTATTTATGCAATACATGACATATTTTTGTACAGGCATCCAATTTGTAATAATCACATCATGGAAAATTGGGCATCCATGCATTCAAATGTTCATTCTTTGTATCACAAACAACCCAATTCTACTATTTTAGTTACGTTAAAATGTACAATTATTATTGAATAAAGTTGTGGTATAAAACACTAGATATTATTCCTTATTTTTAATTGCTTTTTGCACACATTAACCTTCCCCACCTCTGCATCACCACCCCACTATACTTATTAGATTTTGGTAACCATTTTTCAACTCTCCATCTCCATGAGTTCAATTATTTTGATTTTTAGATTCCCAAAATAAGTGAGAACATGTGATGTTTGTCTTTCCGTACCTGCCTTATTTCACTTAACATAATGACTTCCAGTACTATCCATGCAGTTGCAAATGACAGGATCTTATTCTTTTTATGGCTGAATAGTACTCCATTGTGTATAATTACCACATTTTCTTTGTCCATCCATTGATGGACACTTAGGTAGCTTCCAAATCTTGAGTATTGTGAACAGTGCTGTAACAAGCATGGGAGTGCAGATATCTTTTCGGTATACTGATTTCCTTTCTTTGGGGAATATACACAGCAGTGAGATTGCTGAAACATATGGAATCTCCATTTTTAGTTTTTTGAGGAAACTTCAAACTGTTCTTCGTAGTTGTCATACTAACTTAAATTCTCATCAACAGAGTACAAGTGTTCCATTTTCTCCATATCCTCAGAAGTGCTTGTCATTGCCTGTCTTTTGGATAAAAGTCATTTGAACTGGGTGAGATAACACATTGTAGTTTTGATTTGCATTTATCTGATAATGATGTTGAGCACCTTTTTATACACTCAAGTGCCATTTGTATGTCTTCATTTGAGGAATGTCTATTAAGATCTTTTGCTCATTGCTAAATCAGATTATTACATTTTTTCCTACAAAATAGTTTGAGCTCCTATTATATTCAGGTTATTATTGCCTTGTCAGATGGGTAGTTTGCAAATATTTTCTCCCATTCTGTGAGTCGTTCCTTCACTTTTTTGATGGTACCCTTTGCTGGGCAGAAGCTTCTTAACTTGGTGTGATGCCATTTGTCCATTTTTGCTTTGGTTGCTTGTGCTTGTGGGGTATTACACAAGAAATCTTTGCCCAAACTAATGTCCTAGAGATTTTCCCCAATGTTGTCTTGCAGCAGTTTCACAGTTTGAGATTTTAGATTTAAGTCTTTGTATTAATCCATTCTCACACTGCTATAAACAACTACCAGAGACTGGGTAATTTATGAAGAAAAGAAGTTTAATTGAGTCAGAGTTCTGGAGGCTTAACAGGAAGCATGACTGGGAGGCCGCATGAAACTTACAATCATGATGAAAGGTGAAGGGGAAGCAAGCACATATTATAATGGCAGAGCAGGAGAGAGAGAGAGAGAGAGAGAGAGAGAGAGAGAGAGTCACACACTTTTAAACAACCAGATCTTGTGAAAACAGCAAGGGGGAAATCCACCCCCATGATCCAATCACCTCCTATCCTACCAGGCCCCTGGTATGCTGATGCTTTCTTTCCCCCAACACCCCTAACAGGCCCCAGTGTGGGTTGTTCCCCTCCTTGTTTCCATGTGTTCTCATTTTTATGCTCCCACTTATAAGTGAGAACATGAGGTGTTTAGTTTTCTGTTCCTGTGTTACTTTGCTGAGTATAATGGCTTCCAGTTCCATCCATGTCCCTGCAAAGGACATGATCTCATTCTTTTTTATGGTTGCATAGTATTCCATGATGTATATGTACCACATTTTCTTTATCCAGTCTATTACTGATGGACATTTGTGTTGATTCTATGTCTTTGTTATTGTGAATAGTGCTGCAATGAACATACATGTGCATGTATCTTTATAACAGAATAATTTATATTCCTTTTGGTGTATACCCAGTAATGGGATTGCTGGATGAAATTGTATTTCTGGTTCAAGGTCTTTGAGTACTTGCCAAACTGTCTTCCACAATGGTTGAACTAATTTACTTTCCCACCAACATTGTAAAAGCATTTGTATTTCTTCACAGCCTCACCAGCATCTGCTGTTTCTTGACTTTTTAATAATTGCCATTCTGTCTGGTGTAAGATGGTATCTTTGTGGTTTTGATTTGCATTTCTCTAATGATCAGTGATGTTGAGCTTTCTTTTCATGTGTTTGTTGGCAGCATAAATGGCTTCTTTTGAAAAGTGTGTCTGTTCATGTCCTGTGCCCACTTTTCAATGTTTTTTTCTCTTGTAAATTTGTGCAAGCCCTTATAGACTCTGGATATTAGACCTTTGTCAGGTACAAAAATTGCAAAAATTTCCCTCCATTCTATAGATTGTCTGTTCACTCTGATGATAGTTTCTTTTGCTGTGCAGTAGTTCTTTAGTTTAATGAGATCCCATTTGTTCATTTTTGCTTTAGTTGCGGTTGCTTTTGACATTTTCATCATGAAATCTTTTTCTGTGCCTATGTCCTGAATGGTATTGCCTAGATTTTTTTCTAAGTTTTTTATAATTTGGGGTTTTACAGTTAAGTCTTTAATCCATCTTGAGTTAACCTTTGTACAAGGTGTAAGGAAGGGGTCCAGTTTCAGTTTTCTGCATATACCTAGCCAGTTTCTCCAGCACCATTTGTTAAATAGGGAATCTTTTCCCCATTGCTTGTTTTTGTCAGGTTTGCTGAAGAGCAGATGGTTGTAGATGTGCAGTCTTGCTTCTGAGATCTTTATTCTGTTCCTTTGGTATGTGTCTCTTTTTTGTACCAGTGCCATCCTGTTTTGTTTACTGTAGCCTTGTGGTATAGTTTGAAGTCATGTAGCATGATGCCTCCAGCTTTGTTCTTTTTACTTAGGATTGTCTTGTCTATACAGGCTCTCTTTTGGTTCCATATGAATTTTCTGGTAAGTTTTGTCTATTTCTGTAGAGAATGTCGATGGTAGTTTAATGGGAATAGCACTGAATCTTTAAATTACTTTGGGCTGTAGGGCTATTTTCACGATGTTGATTCTTCTTATCCCTGAGCATGGAATGTTTCTCCATTTGTTTAAGTCCTCTCTGATTTCCTTAAGCAGCGGTTTGTAGTTCTCCTTGAAGAGATCTTTCACTTCTCTTCTTAGCTGTATTTCTAGGTACTTTATTCATTTTGTAGCAATTGTAAATGGGAGTTTATTCTTGATTTTCAGTGCCACACATTTTTAAATAACCAGATATCATGAGAATTCACTCACTATCACTATAACAGCAAGGGAGAAATCCATCCACATGATTCAATCACCTTCCACAAGGCCCCACCTCCAATTCAACATGAAATTTCAGTGGGGACACAAATTCAAACCATATTAGTCTTTCATTTTTGATTTGATTTTCATATATGGAGAGAGATATGGTTATAGTTTCATTTTGCTGCATGTAGATATTCAGTTTTCCCAGCACAATTTATTGAAGAGACCGTCTTTTTTTCTAATATATGTTCCTGGCACCTTTGTCAAAAATGAGTACGCTGTAAGTGCCTAGATTTGTTTCTGGGTTCTCTAATCTTTTCCAGTGGTCTGTTTTTTTTGTTTGTTTGCTTGCTTGTTTGTTTTTGCCAACACCATGCTGTTTTGTTTACTATAGCTCTGTAGTAAAATTTGAAGTCAAGTAATGTGATTTATCCAGTTTTTTTTTCTTTTTGCTCAGGATAGCTTTGGCTATTCTATGTCTTTCATGATTCTACATAAACTTTATAATTATTTATATTTATGTGAAGAATGACATTAGTATTTTTATCTTTGTACAGTAGGCTGAGGAGGAGGAAAAAAATGACGGGTTGTTCTTTGCAGCAGAGGCAGAAGAAAATCTGTGTGTAAGTGTACCCCAACCACTCAAATTTGTGTTGTTCAAGTTG
Source organism: Homo sapiens (assembly GCF_000001405.40). NCBI lineage: Eukaryota > Metazoa > Chordata > Mammalia > Primates > Hominidae > Homo > Homo sapiens. The sequence goes on from NC_000023.11 coordinate 127,563,924, forward strand.
ACTCTTAAGCAGAACATGCTATATAAAGGTGACAAGGATGAAGACTTTTAGGATGATGCATTTCCACTTAATGAATTGTAAATTTATTTTATCTTCCTTGTGATTTTCTTAAAAACACATGTGCTCTAGCTTAATTTATTGTAAGAATACAGTATATAATATATATAACTTGCAAAATATGTAATATTGACTCTGTATATTGTTACTAAGGCTTCTAGTCATCAGTAGGCTATTAGTTATTAAGTTTTTGGCAAGTTAAATCTTATAGACAATTTTTTTACTTGATGGGGCATTGGCACCCCTAACTGGTGTTTTGTTCCAGGGTCAACTGTATTTTATAAAATATTAATTTTCACTGGAACAAAAATTTAGTATAATTCGAGGTTCAACTGTGATAGAATTAATTTTCAAGGGACTCAGAAGGATAATCTAGCATTTTGTATTGTGAAAAAATGAATGTCAGTTCCATTTTGCATAACTTTATCTCTCTTTATATTAAGATATCTACTAAGTAGTATAAATATATTACCTGAAAAAGAAGTCACATCATTAGGGTATCCTCACTTCATGTGAATTGGCTATTATGACACGAATGGTAGAAACTGCTAAATCTTAGTGATAAGGAGACCAATAAATGCTATCTTGAAGTACATGTCTATACCAGGTGCCAAAATCCAAAGATTAATGAATTGATGATACCATAATTTACCTAATGAGAGACAAGGAAAAGAAATTAGGAGAAGGGGAGTGGCACAGTGGCTGGTAACCTTGCAACCAATCAATCAAGAAAACATGCCTTATATATGGTACCAGTGAGACAACACTGGCAGTTGTGCTATTTTTTTGCACTTAGAAACATGAGGAAACTTACTGAAATAAACTTATAAAGCCATAGTGAAACTTTGGCTTTATAACTGAAGACATATATGTAGCTTTATACAATTCATAAAATGGACTCCTCTTTACTGCATGCAGGTAAACATTTTATTCACTTCCTCCCAGTAATGCCATGTCTTCTGTTACTACTATTTGAAATATAACATATGCACTGGAGTTTTTATCTGCATGTATATATTAATATTCCATTTGTTTTTGTAGGTATTTCTCAGTTAATTTTTACTTATTTATCCTAAATATTTCCTAGATATAGGTAGAAATTATTACACAGGCTTGAAAAATATAAGCTTTCCTACTTCCTACTCCCTCCCATAGTCATTTCTGAATTCTCTAGTAGTCCTAATCCATGTCAAAAGCAAGTCTGCTTAGGAATGAGTCCTCAGACACATGAAGTTATCCACCTCTAGACCTTTAAGAACTTCAAAGCTGGAAAGCATATACATCCTGGGACACTGAATCCTCTGTATCATTAGTATTTTTATTGTAATTATTATTTCTTCAAATGATCTAGCCACATGATGGTTATCCTGCCCTTATCACAGTTGAATTCAAATAATCATATTTCATATCATTCTTTCCTGCTACTCTATCAGCTTCATGAGGGTGGAAATCTTGTCTAGTTTTACCTAATGCACAGTAGGTACTAGGCAAATGAGTGAATTAATATATTATTATCATTATTTACCTTATTTCCTATACCATGTACTAATCATTGTACTAAGTCCTACTAACACAAAAGGTGGAAAATATAATTCCCAATTTAGGTGATTTCTACATATTATAAACAAGATTGAAAGATAGTAAATATTTCCCATTCTGGAAGAGTGAATCATTGTGTTTTCTCTTCGCATTTGCGTGTGACAATCAAGGTCTTTCAGATGTCTTAAAGTTTGTCTCAAAATTTACCAAAATCAGCTTTACAAAGAACAATAAATTATTAAAGATACTAATATTGTGCCACTCTGTATTTGTAAGTGCACACAGTTCCCTTAGCTCTCTGAAGTTTTTTGAATACTCTCCTTAACTGACTCATGAAACAAATATAGTTTTGACAGTAAGCTGAGCAATATACTGTACTTTTTGGAAGAGTTGTCATGAAATGAAGGCTATAAGGTGCTACAACTCAAACAATTGTGGAACTTCATGATTGAGCTGTGTTCTACTTCTGTCCCTGCACAATAGTTCTCTGAGTGACCTGGAAATAATCCAGTTCTTTTCCTTTCTTCTTCGTAGATTTCAAGAATAACTATAGAATGCACTGGGAATGCAATATCTTGAGATAGGAAAGAAATGCCCCAAATAGCCCTGGACTAGTTTTTGTCCTTCCTATGGAATGTAACATCTTCTAACTACTTTTCTGTACCCATTAACCATCCGTATTTCCCTGTCACCCATTCACTACCTTTCTCAACCACTAGTAACCATTGGTAATTTAATATCTTGAGTTAGAGAGGAATTGCTGGGACAGGCCGGGCTTTTTTCCTCATTCTGTTGGAAGAAGGATATCTTTCAAAGCTTTACCCAGGATTCCTTTTGTCCCTGAAACATATAATCTGGAGTGGAATGCCTTTTGGGGTCCCTCAGCTATAGTGCAAGTTAAGAAAGCATAGTAAAGACTCTAGCCACCCAGGGCAGATTTCTCGAGCCTAGAGGAATCAGCTCACAATGGATCCTAGTCTTTTAGCCCATGGTGCCTACCTGTAAGTAATAAGTTATCTTCACCTATCTTTTCACATATGAGTATGTTCTGTATCACTAGGCTCACGTAATTTGGTAGCCAAAGCACAGTGAATCTGCCTCACACAGTCCCAACAACTGCTAGATGAGTAAACAGGCAAGAAAATGTGATTACATCCATAAAACTGAATAACTCATTTCACTAGCTTTATTTCATTGAATTTATTTTCATTTGGGCTTCTCAGTCAAAATTATCACAGTAGCCTTTATTTTTGACACATGCACTTGACTGTAGAAGTTAGCACTAGGGAATGTGTTTTATTCTAAGTGAGTATTTTTGAAGACCATCAAGTATTATCAAAGAGATGCCAAGCTATTTTTTGAAAATGCTTGGATTAAGTGTTTTCCAGTTAACTTTTTTTCTTTAGCTGATATCACTTAGGAGGCTGTGACTCTGTGAATGTACAAATGGCTATTTTATGAAATGCTGTCAACCTCAGCAAGCAATAAAATATCTCAAATTCCACAAGATCTTTAATTAGCTGTATGGACTATGCTTAAAATACAATTGAGAATACTATGAGATAATAAAGACTTGTTTGGTGTTGATATAACAGAATGATCTGGTCACTATCTCTATATTCCAAACCCTACTTAGAACCATTGCAGGTAAGTAAAACTAACTTAAACCATTTCAGAAAAAAGAGAATCTTAGTCGTGTATATGAATGAATGTACACTGTCTCCTATAAAGCAGCATACCAATTATCAACAGTTCATGTTTTACCTGCTTATTTGATATTACTAAGAAATAGCCATTTTATAGTTCTCCCAATCCCTTCCTGTTTATTCAGGAGATTAAATGAAAGCAACAGTAGTGAACAAATTGGGTAGAGTGGTGAGGAGAAGCAGCCTATTTTAATTGAAATCCATCGGCTCTGGAGTCTGATAAATATGGTTTAGAATTTACACAATTATATTTTAGTTGATAGAGTCATATAATGATAATGAACCAATATAAATCTGTCAAATAGGAATAATGACTGTACCCCACTCATAGCATTTCTCGGAGGATTTCATGGGATTTTACATATAAACATATTGTCACAATGGCTAGTCCAATGTAAACATTCAACAAATTCTGGTATCATTCATCAAGCAGTGGTAATCTCATCAATAAATACATCTTTAAAAATAAAGGAATCAAAAAGTAGGAACAACTATATCAGCATGAACTTAACTTAGAAGTAAATGTCTATTATGGGGTACAGTTATCCCTTTGATATACTTAGCTTGTTAATCCTCTTTTGCTTCTGGCATTGTATTACTGTAGTGCTAGATTATATATATATATATATATATATATATATATATATACACACACACACACACACATACATATATACACATATATGTGTATATACACATGTATATACACACATATATATACACACATACATACATGCACATATATATGTGTATATATATCACACACGTATTTTCCTCTATGTTTTATTTTGTAAAATTTCAACTTTTTTAGATTCTGGGGTACATATACATGTTTGTTTCATTGGTATATTGTGTGATTCTGAGGTTTGGGGGAAAACTGGTCACATCACTTAGGTAGTCAGCATAGTTAAATTATATTTTTAAAAGGAAGGAGGTGTCAACATTATCAAATGCTGGTAAGAGACCAAGTAAGATGAAGACTGGACGCTATGATATTTAAGTAATTGATCACATTAGAAATAATTTTTGGCTGGAGGAATGCAGATGAAAATTCGTGTGTAATCATTTGTTGATTGAAAAAGAATGGAGAAAATGAGGGCAATGAGTATAAACTGACATTTGGAAGAAGAAAGAAGAAAGGATTGTAGCTAGACAATAAATATGAGGTCTGTGAAGTCTAATTGGTTTGAATTTTGTTTTATTATTTTTGTTTTCTCTTCTGCTTTATTTCTCCCCTTTTCTTTTTTATTTCCTTTTACTTTTAGTTGGTAAGTAATAATTGTACATATTTATGGAATGAGTGATATTCTGATACATGTATACAATGTATAATGGTAAAATCAAGGTAATTAGCATATCTATCACCTCAAACATCTATTATTTCTTTGCGTTGTGAACATCCAAAATCCTCTCTTTTAGATTTTTGAATATATAAGATACATTTTAGCTAACTATATTCAACTTACAGTGCTGCAGGCCACCAGAATTTATTCCTCTTATCTAGCTATAATTTTGTATCTATTAATCAACCTCCTCCCATACTCCTCCATTACCCTTCCCAGTCTCTAATACTCACAATTCTAATCTCTACTTTTATGAGCTCAAATTGGTTTAGTTCCCACATATGAGTCAGAACATGCAATATTTTTCTTCCTGTGCCTGACTTATTTCACGTGATATATGGTCACCCAGTTTCATTCATGTTGCTGCAAATGACATTATTTCACTCTTACTTTGTGGCCAAATGGCATTCCATTGTGTGTATGTACCACATTTTCTTTATCTGTTTATCTGTTGATGGACATTCAGGTTGATTCCATATCTTAGTTATTGTGAATAGTGGTGCAATAAACATGGGGGTACAGTTATCCCTTTGATATACTGATTTCCTTTCCTTGGAATAAGTGACCTAGTTTTTTGTTTCAATGGAAGTGGTTAAAATATGTTTTAATGCAAATTAGAATAATCTAGTTGGGAGGGAGAGTTGGATTATTCAAGAAAAGGGATGGATACTGGTTAGTGTAAAGTTCCTGCAAAGGCAGGAGAGGATGAGTTTTAAAACACAGAAAAAGGAATAGAATTTACATACAGGAGGGATAGTTTCTCCTCTGTTCTAACATGAGAAAAGGAGAATGGGATAAAGACAGATGTAGGTAAATTATTTGGTGGGGAGTTCCCATCTGAAGCTTTATACTTTCTGTTTGAATTCTGGGACATAGCCAAGTGCTGAGAGAAACAGAGATTGAAACTGAGGACTAAAAGTTTGAGTAGAATAATGAAAGTTTAACATGAATACTGCAGTTTGTAAGAGAAAGCATGTTGCATAGAGGCAAATAAAAAGACTGTCAGATGGTGTGAAGTGAGGTATATAATTTAAAACTGACATTCATAAACTTCATTGTGAAAATATTGTGTGTTCCATATATTTTTTCTGCAACACAGGGAGAGTAGTAGTGTACAGGCATAGAGAAAGGGAATACTTATATCTATTAATGGTGGATATTTTGCAAAAGAGGAGCTTCTGAAAGGTAGAAAGAGAAGTGCAAGTAGGTCATTGGCCTGAAATATTTTGAAATGGCAGCTCATAAAAGCTAAGGTTGATGGGAAGGTAAATAAATAGATGTTAGGGCATGTGATTGGGAAAAATAAATTATAGAAATCAAGGGACTAAACACTTCAGTAAGTTTAAGGATTAGTCTTCTGTATGGACTAGTAGAAAAAGCAAACCGGAAAAAAAGGTTTGGGACAAACTGGAATGTTTTAGTGACATTAAAAGAGGCACACTTAATAATATTGGTGAGGTCCAATATATGATAATGACAGTGGGTGGCTGAAGGAGGATAGAGGAAGTTCTTAAAGCTGATATAGTCAATCTCAGGCCACAGTGTTGAAATGAGTCTTCATGTAAACTTGGAATCAACCAAGATTGTTGAAAAGAAGGCTGTGAGCATTTTCCCAAGCTCTTCACTGTTTTAAAGTATAGGTTGTATTATTATTCAGATATGGTGAGGCCAACAAATCATGAGATGACTGCCATTGAAAAGACTTTGTTATACCAACAGATCCAAAGAGAAAAATGCATGAGGGGCCACACAGAGAAACACTGGGTTCAACCAGAAGGAAGAGGTAGCAGTAGAAATTGTGGGCAAGAGCCTTTATTTTGGTTGCCATGGGAAGGAACATGCAAGCAAAGGTAAACAGCTCAACTGGCTAGTTTGAGTAATTTCAGCAGGCTCTGGGGTGTAGGGGCTGCCTTTAGTTATCTGGCACATGGACCTGGTTTACATTTGAAAGGTGTGTTCCCAGGTGACTTTTTTTTTTTTTTTTAAATATTTCTAGGAATTAGCTAACCCTAGGAGGCAGCAGTCCCTCCAGTGTTAGTAAATCTCTAGAGGTTAAAGACTGAAAATACAGAAAATAAAAACACAAGTTTAATATAGAAGGGTAAAAAATTATCGGCTGGGCGCGGTGGCTCATGCCTGTAATCCCAACACTTTGGGAGGCCGAGGCGGGCGGATCACCTGAGGTCGGGAGTTCGAGACCAGCCTGACCAACATGGAGAAACCCTGTCTCTACTAAAAATACAAAATTAGCCGGGCGTGGTGGTACATGCCTGTAATCCCAGCTACTCAGGAGGTTGAGGCAGGAGAATCGCTTGAACCCGGGAGGCGGAGGTTGCAGTGAGCCGAGACTGCACCATTGCACTCCAGTCTGGGCAAGAAGAGTGAAACTCCGTCTCAAAAAAAATCATAATCATAATCATAATATCAATAACTGTGAGAAGGAAAGCCTAGTGAAATAGTCATGAACTTTGCAGCATCAAGTTTGTTTTCTAAGAGGTTGGGGAATTAGTAGTATGGAAGCAGTACAAGGGAGGGACTACGAGATGAAACCCACTGCTAAACTTGGGGATGTGTACAATGGGGGAGAATAAGCAGAATAATATCAATTTGTGAGGATTATAGAAGTCAATAATGTCTTCAGAGGAAACTGTTTGCAGTTAAAAAATAAAAGGTAGGTAAAGGCTCACAGAAGCGGTGGAGGCTACAAGGGTAGTTGCCCATTACACAGAAAAAAAAGTTAGAGGACACACTGTAAGAGTTTATAAATAGAGTTTTTGTAAAGAATAAGGAAGAACAAAGATTTAGAGAGACAATGGCACAATAAAGGGTGAATGGCTTGTAGACATAATTTACTATTTGGACATTGGCAGGTGGAAGTAGCTAGAAGAGATATCTGTCATTTTCATTTTATTGTGTTTACTGGTTAAAACAGTGATTAGGAAACAAAAGTCATTGGATAAGGAAGAAAAGAACTCAAAATCAGGGTCAAACACATAGACAATAAGGTTATACAGCATGATGTCAAAACTTCCAAGATTGAAATATTTACTCAAGCCTTCAGTAGGTGAGAGTGGGATAATAATTGTGTGGTATACAGTATTTCAAGACTTACAGAAAATATAAAAACATCTGACACATTTTTAGAATGTTCATTTTTGTAATGAGGTATGTTTTCTTAGAAACTTACTGTGAACAGTTTAGGTATTTTTTTAATGTGGTACTGAATTTTCAACTGTACATATATCTGTATATAACTTCACTCATTTGTTCTTTTGCAAAGAAATCTCTAAGGCCAGAGCGTAAAGTAGAAAGAACCCATTTAGTGACAGAGTTCAACTTAATCTTTAAAAAATGCTACTGATTTATTTTTGTCCGTTTCTTTGCCAGGCTCAAATTGGTTAATGCTAAGGATATTAAAAGCCCGACCAAAAAAAAGCACAACAGTGTGAGAAATAGGAAGAAAAAAAAGGAAGTGGCAAAGAGTTTTATAAACCACAGGATCCTTTAATACAAGAAATTCAATGTAAGAAACAAAAAGTTAACAACTCCCCAATTCCTTATTTTTAACAAGTCCCTAGATAGGTAACAGTAACCTTCTATATGTCAGTCCATGGCAAAGAAAATGTTCTAAAATTTCCTTTCTTTTGCAACAAAAATAGTCCTTATGAAGTCAAAGGCAACTATGAAAGAACTGTCCCCCTGACAATAGAACCCTGTAGAGCACAAAAACTAAAAGCACTGACTGGGAGAGAGAGAGAAAGAGAAAGAGATAGAGAGATTGAATACTCTGGCTCTAGTCAAAATGCCTTGTTAGGGCACAAGGAGGAAAAAGAATACAGAAACAAAAAGTTCAGTTACAACAGAAACCATTCAGAGAAAAAAGCAATGTTTATGACCTAGTGGTAGGATTTTCAGAAGAATATTGTAAATTGTAGAGAGAGACCAAAATTACAAATTAAAGAAAGGAGGAAAAAAGAGAGATTGGATTGAGTTAATAAAAAGTGCCAAGGCTGAGGTTTAAAAGGTAGAGCTTTCACCATCTTACGCAAAGTGGCATATTTTGTTCCTATTTCAGAAAATAGGAACAAAAATTTCAGAAAAATTTTCATTATTAACCAATAGGTAAATTTGGTTTTGTAAGTTTGGGCTATTATGAGGGAAGTGTAAGAAATTATGATTTAGAGAGGGCAGGTAGTAAGTGTACTGAAAGGAAAGCACTACTAGTAGTGATGTCAGATAAAATAGAAGAAACTCATTAAAATTTAAATTTTATATAAACAACAAATACTATTCCACATGACATGCTAATACTAAAATAATACCCATAGTTTATGCAGAATTCAAATTTACCTTGATGCCGTCTATTTTTATTTGCCAAATCTGACTATCCTAGCCATGGAATAAGGTAAATGAGGAAATTTAACTAATTAGAAATATGGAGAGGCAGAGTTGATTTGCAGAGTGGGATGACCCCAACTGAAGAGAAGTGGTAAGTGCTGACTCATTTTTTTCCCACATGAAAATTAGTTACAATGGATAGAGATTCATATTTAATCATAAAATTTTACATTTATTCATGCAATTACATAATACATTTACTCTCGTGATGATACAGTTCATACAATCATATGGTACATTAATCATGGAGTATTCATGACCTTAATGGCTATTTTTATTAAAAATTAGTTTTATAATAAAGTTTAGTTTTGAGAGCAAATATATTATGCCAGAAAAAAATGAAACTGGTAGCCTCTAATCACATCACAGAGTCTGGATGGTATGGAATTTTTATCAATATGTGTTCTCTTTGCTAAATTTGACATTATTAATTACCTCCAGTATTTTACTGAAATACTTGTAACTTCAGTCACACTAGCTGTCTTCCCAGGCACTCATAATGGAGTAGCACATCCATAAAACTGTTAAATACATAACTCACCAAACAATGTTCTTCCACTTTTTTTTCAGCCATCACATTTTCTAATTTATCATTCATTTGAACAAAAATCTCCAGGATATACAGCAAGCATCAAAGTAATAGGTATAAAGATATATTTATGGGGTATATGAGATGTTTTGATACAAGCATGCAATGTATAATAATCACATCATGTAAAATGGGGAATCCAGTCACTCCAGCATTTATCATTTGTGATTATGAACAATGCAGTTATATTTTTAGTTATTTTAAAATGTGCAATTAAATTATGATTGAACAAAGTCACCATGTTGTGCTTTGAAACATTAGGTCTCGTTCATTCTTTCTGTACACTATCTTTCTGTACACATTAGCTTACTCCAGTTTTCCTACAAAACTAGGAGTTTTCCTACTCAACTACTGTTCCCAGCCTCTGGTAACCATCCTTCTACTCTATCTCCATGAGTTCCACCCTTTCGTTATTTTAGATCCCGCAAACAAGTGAGAACTTGTGATATTTGTCTTGCCGTGCCTGGCTTATTTTACTTAGCATAGTGACTTACAGTTACATCCATGTTGTGGTAAATGACAGGATCTCAATTCTATTCATGGCTGAATAGTACTCCATTGTGAATACGTACTGCATTTTTTTATCCGTTCATCTGTTGATGGACACTTAGCTTGCTTCCAAATCTTGGCTATTGTGAAAAGTGCTGTAACAAGCATGAGAGTGCAGATATCTCTACAATATGCTGATTTCCTTTCTTTTGAATACCCAAGAGTGAAATTGCTGGATCATATGGTAGCTCTACTTTTACTTTTCTGAGGAACCTCCAAACTGTTCTCCATAGTGGTCGTCCTAATTTACATTCCCATCAACAGTGTACAAGGGTTCTGTTTTCTGCACATCCTCACTGGCATTTATTATTGCCTACTTTTGGACATAGCCATTTTAACTTGGGTGAGATGATATCTCATTGTAGTTTTTATGTACATTTCTATGATGATCAACACTGTTGAGCAACTTTTCATATGAGTGCCATTTGCATGTCTTCTTTTGGGAAATGTCTATTCAGATCCTTTGCACGTTTTTTTGAGCCAATGATTAGATTTCTTCCTGCTTTTGCTGTGTCCCATATATTTTTGAATGTTCTGTTTCCACTATTTATGTCAAGAAAACTTTCAACATACATTTTAATTTCTTCATTGAATCACTGATCATTCAATAGCAAATTGTTTAATTTTCATGTAGTTGTACAATTTCCAAAACTCCACTTGTTATTAAATTTTAGTTTTAATCCATTGTGATTAGAGCAAGTGCCCATGGCTGCAGATCCAGGAATCCCTGTGCTCTCGGGGGCCTGGGAAGCCCCCTGCCTCTGCAGACTCAGAAGTGCCTGCTCCTGCTCTCTGCCCCTCCCCTCTCCCAGTGCATGCTCTGGTGAGCAGGAATGTTGTGGCCAAGCCCAAGTGCTGTCATGACCCGGCTGAGTGTGAGCACACTTGGAGCGGTGCTGAGACACCAAACCCCCCGCCACCTCAGCCCCCCAGATGTTGGGTGCCCACGAGCTCAGGAGGGAGGCTGGAGAACTGAGAGCAGCTCAGAGTGGGTTTTCAGGCACCCCTTGGTGCAGATAGCCTGCCCGCCATGGACAGCAAGTTGATAACAATGGGAGACAGAGAAGTTCCGAGGTGGGAGGGGCAGGTCCCCAGTGAAACCCCAATGTATTAGTGTGTTCTCATGCTGCTGATAAAGACATAGCCAAGACAGGGAATTTATAAAGAAAAAGAGCTTTGATTAACTCACAGTTACACGTGGCTGGGGAGGACTCATAATCATGGCAGAAGGTGGAAAGCACATCTTACCTGGTGGGAGACAAGAGAGAACTTGTGCAGGCAAACTCCCCTTTAAAAAACCCTCAGATCTCATGAGATGTATTCACTTTCACGAGAACAGCATGAGAAAGACGTGCCTCCATGATTCAATTACCTCCCACTGGGTTACTTCCACGACAGGTGGGAATTGTGGAAGCTGTAATTCAAGAAATTTGGGTAGGGACACAGCCAAACCACATCATTTCACCCCTGACCCCTCCCAAATCTCATGTCCTCACATTTCAAAACCAATCATGCCTTCCCAACAGTCCCCGAAAGACTTAACTCATTTCAACATTGACTCAAAAGCCCACAGTCCAAAGTCTCGTCTGAGACAAAACAAGTCCCTTCTGTCTATGAGCCTGTAAAATCAGAAGCAAGTTAGTTACTCCCTAGATACAATGTGGGTACAGGCATTAAGTAAATAGAGCCATACCAAATGGGATAAATTGGCCAAAACAAAGGGGCTACTACAGGCCCCATGAAAGTCCAAAATCCAATAGGGCAGTCATTTTTTAAAACTTCAAAATGATCTCCTTTGACTCTATGTCTGACATCCAGGTCATGATGATGCAAGAGGTGGGTTCCCATGGTCTTGGACAGCTCTGACCCTGTGGCATTGCAGAGTACAGCTTCCCTTCATGCTGCTTGCAGGAGCTGGCATTGAGTGTCTGTTGCTTTTCCAGGTGTACAGTGCATGCCATTAGTGAATCTTCCATTCTGGGGTCTGGAAGATCATGGCCCTCTTCTCACAGATCCACTAGGCAGTGCCCCAGTGGGAGCTCTGTATGTGGCCTTCAACCCCACACTTCCCTTCCAAACTGCCCTAGTAGAGGTTCTCCATGAGGGTCCCTCCAAACTGCCCTAGCAGGGGTTCTTCATGAGGGCCCTGCCCCTGCTGCAAACTTCTGCCTGTACAACCAGACACTTCTATATATCCTCTGAAATTTAGGCAGAGGTTCCCAAACCTCAATTCTTGACTTCTGTGCACCCACAGGCTCAACACCACATGGAAGCTCCCAAGGCTTGGTTGGGGCTTGCACCCTCTGAAGCCATGTCCCAAATTGTACCTTGACCTATTTTAGCCATGATTAGAGTGGCTGGGATGAAGATAACCAAGTTCTTAGACTGCACAAAGCAGGGTGGTCCTGAGCCCAGCCCACAAAACCATTTTTCCCTTCTAGTCCTCCAGGCCTGTGATTGGATGGGCTGCTGCAAAACTTTCTGACATGTCCTGGAGACATTTTCCCCACTGTCTTTGCGATTAACATTTGTCTCCTTGTTACGTATGCAAATTTCTGCAGCTAGTTTGAATTTCTCCTCAGAAAATGGATTTTTCTTTTCTATTATATCATCAAGCTACAAATTTTCCGAACTTTTATGCTGTATTTCTTTTAAAACTGAATGCTTCTTACAGCACCCAAGTCATATCTTGAATACTTTGCTGCTTAGAAATTTCTTCCATCAGATACCCTAAATTATCTCTATCATGATCAAAGTTCCCCAAATCTCTAGGGCAGGGGCAAAATGCCACCAGTCTTTTTGCTAAAACATAGCAAGAGTCATCTTTACTCCAGTTCCCAACAAGTTCCTCATCTCCATCTGAGACCACCTCAGCCTGGATTTCATTGCTCATATCATTATCAGCATTTTTGTCAAAACCATTCAACAAGTCTCTTAAAGTTCCAAACTTTCCCACATCTTCCTGTATTCCTCTGAGTCCTCCAAATGGTTACAACCTCTGCCTGTTACCCAGTACCAAAGTCACTTCCACATTTTCGGGCATCTTTACAGCAACACCCCACTACCAGTACCAGTTTTCTGTATTAGTCCATTTGCATGCTGCTGATAAAGACAGGACCAAGCCTGGGTAATTTATAAATAAAAGAAGATTTAATGGACTCACTGCTCCACATCGCTGGGTAGGCTTCACAACCATGGTGGAATGTGGAAGGCACATCTTACATGGTGTCAGACAAGACAGAACTTGTGCAGGGGCACTCCCCTTTATAAAACCATCAGATTTACTGAGATTTATTCTGCATCATGCGAAGAGTATAGGAAGGACCCAACCCCATGATTCAATTACTTCCCACTTGGTCCCTCCCACAACATGTGGGAATTGTGGGAGCTACAATTCAAGATGAGATTTTGGTAGGGACACAGCCAAAGCACATCACCCACCTACAAGCCAGGGATGGCCTGAAGCCTGGGGACCCAGTTCCACATGCAGTCTGCAACCCAGAGTGAGAATTTCCCTGATGCCTTTCAGCCAATCAGATGGTGCTTTTTCAGGCTGGCTCATGGCTGCCCATGGACCAATCAGTACACACTTTCTCCCTTCTGAGCCCATAAAAACCCTAGACTCAGCCAGACTCAGAGATTCACTGGGAGACCTGCCGGTGGATAGGAGTTACTCAGTTCGGGTCTCCTCTACACTCATTCAGAAGACCTTCCAGCAGATAGGAACTACCCACTCAGGCTTCCTCTCTGCTGAGAGCTGTTCGGTCACTCAATAGAGCTCCTCTCTGCCTTGCTAACCCTCCAGTTATCCATGTGACCTCATTCTTCCTGGACGCAGGATAAGAACTTGGGAGCCACCAACCGGCAGGAGTGAAAGGAGCTGTAAGATATTCCTGGCTGACTCACCAAGCTTTCAGTGGTGACATGCTCCTGGACTGTGAGAGTGAAGAGTGGCGACACTTCTGGGGGCCCAGACCGCAGGAATCCCTGAGCCAGAGCTTCTGTAACACTCTAGCATTTCCTTCCTCTGCCAGTGCCAGGTGGTGGCCCTACGCATTGGAAAGTAGCATCATGGCAGGGCCAGACCAGGAGCCATCGAGTAGAGAGGCAGGATTGAAAGATCAGTAATACAAATGGGATGGATCATACCCCTCACACCCCCTCTCCCACCACCACTCACTGCCCTTTGGCAACAAGAGGGACAGAAGAGTTGCAACCCTTCTGGGAGCCCAGACCTCAGGGCTCCCTGAGACAGGACTGTAACATGCATAACAACCTTTTTGGGGCTCTGTGGTTCCTGACATCTCCAAGCTTTTGGGCACCACCACATTTCTCTTCCCCAGACATTGATCCCTGCAGTGGAATCTGCTTGCGGTATGTCTGGTCCAGCTTCAGCCTTACACAGAGTTGGTTCCTGTGCTGGTGCCTGAAGCTGTCTGCCCCTCCCCAGCAGCTAGCATGCCTGGCTGTGCACAGTGGTTGGACCCTGTGTGCTTGCTTACTCACACACCCTTCATCACTCTGTGCCTGGCTTGCCCTTGGCAGGTGTGGGATCCAGGCCACTAGCATGAGCCAAGTGCAGCCTGCCAGGCTGAGTGGGCAGAAAAAGCCCAGCAGGTGCAAGCAAAACTCACACAGAGGCATTGTCAATCACAGAGGCTTCTGGCTGGTGAAGTGGTAGCCAAAGGATTCTTTGACAGTTTCTTTGTGAATTTTCTGTCTGAAAGACCTATTCAGTGCTGAAGGTGGGTTGTTGAAGTTTCCATCTATTATTACACTGAGACCTATCTCTCTCTTTATCTCTAATATTTCCTTTATATATCTGACTGTTTCAGTGTTGGGTGCATATATATTTAAAATTGTTATATGCTCTTGCTGAATTGACCCCTGTATTATTATATAGTAACATTCTTTTTCTCTTATGGTTTTTGTCTGAAATGCATTTTAGCTAATATAAGTATAGCAACTCCTCTTTTTTGGTTTCCATTGGCATGGAATATCTGTTTCTATCCTTTTCATTTCAGTCTGTGTGTGTCTTTATAGGTGAAGTGTGTTTCTTGTAGGCAACAGATAATTGGACCTTCTTTTTTATCCATTTGGTCATCCTATGTCTTTTCATTGGAGAGTGTAGTCCATTTAAATTCAGTGTTATTATTGATAACTAAGGACTTACTTATCCTATTTTGTTATTGTTTCTGATTATTTTGTGGTCTTCACTATTTTTCTTTTCTTGCTGTCTTCTGTTGATTGAAGGTGATTTTCTATGGTGATATAATTTAGTTTTTTACTTCTTTATTTTTTGTGTATGCTTTGTGTTTTATTTTGTGTTATGAAGTTACCGTGAGGCTTGAAAATTCTATTATATAAACCATTATTTTAATTTGATAACCTAAGACTTTTTGTGTAAACAACCAAAAAGAAAACTATAATATTCTATGCCTTACATTTTCCCTCTGCTTTTTAACTTTTTGTTGTTTCTATTTATATCTTCTTGTATGCTCTATGTCTTAAAAAGTTGTTGCCATTATTATTTTTAATTGGTTCCTTATTTAGTCTTCCTACTTGAGATAAGATTAATTTACTTGTCACAGCCACATTGTTATAATATTCTGTCTTTTTCTATTTACTTAATCAGTGAGTTTTGTGTCTTCAGAGAATTTATTATTACTTTTTATTACTAATGTCCTATTCTTTCTGAATGAAATACTCCCTTTAGCAGTTCTTGTAGGATAGGTCTGGTGTTGATGAAATCACTCAGCATTTATTTCTCTGGGAAGGTCTTTATCTCTCCTTTATTCTTGACAATATTTTCACCAGATATACTTTTCTTTTTTTTTATTCTACTTTAAGTTCTAGGGTACATGTGCACAATGTGCAGGTTTGTTACATATGTATACATGTGCCATGTTGGTGTGTTGCACCCATTAACTTGTCATTTAGCATTAGTTATATCTCCCAAAGCTATCCCTCCCCCCTCCCCCCACCCCACAACAGTCCCCAGAATGTGATGTTCCCCTTCCTGTGTCCATGTGTTCTCATTGTTCAGTTCCCACCTATGAGTGAGAATATGCGGTGTTTGGTTTTCTGTCCTTGCGATAGTTTGCTCAGAATGATGATTTCCAGCTTCATCCATGTCCCTACAAAGAACATGAACTCATCCTTTTTTATGGCTGCATAGTGTTCCATCTTGTATATGTGCCACATTTTCTTTATCCAGTCTATCATTGGTGGATATTTGGGTTGTTTCCAAGTCTTTGCTATTGTGAATAGTGCCACAATAAACATACGTGTGCATGTGTCTTTATAGCAGCATGATTTATAATCCTTTGGATATATACTCAGTAATGGGATGGCTGGGTCAAATGGTATTTCTAGTTCTAGATCCTTGAGGAATCGCCACACTGTCTTCCACAATGGTTGAACTAGTTTACAGTCCCACCAACAGTGTAAAAGTGTTCCTATTTCTCCACATCCTCTCCAGCACCTGTTGTTTCCTGACTTTTTAATGATCACCATTCTAACTGCTGTGAGATGGTATCTCATTGTGGTTTTGATTTGCATTTCTCTGATGGCCAGTGATTATGAGCATTTTTTCATGTGTCTGTTGGCTGCATAAATGTCTTCTTTTGAGAAGTGTCTGTTCATATCCTTCACCCACTTTTTGATGGTGTTGTTTGTTTTTTTCTTGTAAATTTGTTTAAGTTATTTGTAGATTCTGGATATTAGCCCTTTGTCAGATAGGCAGATTGTAAAATTTTTCTCCCATTCTGTAGGTTGCGTATTCACTCTGATGGTAGTTTCTTTTGCTGTGCAGAAGCTCTTGAGTTTAATTAGATCCTATTTGTCAATTTTGGCTTTTGTTGCCATTGCTTTTGGTGTTTTAGTCATGAAGTCCTTGCCCATGCCTATGTCCTGAATGGTATTGCCTAGGTTTTCTTCTAAGGTTTTTATGGTTTTAGGTCTAACATTTAAGTCTTTAATCCATCTTGAGTTAATTTTTGTATAAAGTGTAAGGAAGGGATCCAGTTTCAGCTTTCTACATATGGCTAGCCAGTTTTCCCAGCACCGTTTATTAAATAGGGAATCCTTTCCCCATTGCTTCTTTTCATCAGGTTTGTCAAAAATCAGATGGTTGTAGATGTGTGGTATTATTTCTGAGGGCTTTGTTCTGTTCCATTGGTCTATCTCTCTGTTTTGGTACCAGCACCATGCTGTTTTGGCTACTGTAGCCTTGTAGTATAGTTTGAAGTCAGGTAGCATGATGCCTCCAGCTTTGTTTTTTTGGCTTAGGATTGTCTTGTCAATGCTTAACCAGATATACTTTTCTAATGCTTAAGATTTTTTCCTTCAGCAATTTAAATATGTCACACCATTCTCTCCTGACCTCTAAAGTATCCACTAAAAAGTCTGCTGCCAAATGAATTGCAGCTCCATTGTATGTTATTTGTTTCTTTTCTCTTGCTGCTTTTAGGAGACTTTCTTTATACTTGACCTTTGGGAGTTTGATTATCAATTGCCTTGAGGTAGTCATCTTTGGGTTAAATCTGTGTGGTGTTCTATGATCTTCTTGTAGTTGAATATTGATATCGTTCTTCAGGTTTGAGAAGTTCTTTGTTATTATCCCTCTGATTAAACTTTCTACCTCTATCTCTGTCTCTACCTCCTCTTTAAGGTTCAATAACTCTTAAATTTGCTCTTTTGAGGCTATTTTCTAGATCTTATAGCTGTGCTTTATTGTTTTTTATTATTTTTTCTTTAGTCTCATCTGTGTATTTTGAAACAGCCTGTTCTCAAGCTCACTAATTCTTTCTACTGCTTGATCAATTCTGCTATTAAAAGAGTATGATACATTCATCATTATGCCAATCTCTGTTTCTCCAGGATTGATACTTGGTGCCTTATTTAGTTTGTTTGGTGAGGTCATGTTTTCCTGGATGGTCTTGGTATTTTTAGATGTTCTTCTGTGTCTGGGCATTGAAGAGTTAACTATTTCTTGTAGTCTTGAGCTTGTTTGGAACTATCTTTCTTGTGAAAGGCTTGCAGATATTATAATTGACTTAAGTGTTGTGTTATAAGCTAAATCTGCTTTAGGGAGTACTTCAAGCCAATTAACATCGTATTTCTTACAGACTCTTAGAGGTACCACCTTGATGGTCTTGGATCAGATCCGGGAGAATCTGCTGGATTACCAAGCAGAGATTCTTGTTCTCTTTCCTTACTTTATCTCAAACAAACAGAGTCTGTCTCTCTGTTGTGAGCCACCTGGAGCTGAGCTTGGAGTGGCACAAGCACCCCATTTCCCACCACTTTTAGGATTGCATTGGGTCAGTCCTGAAGCCAGCACAGCACTGGGTCTCACTGAATGACTGCTGTAACCACTCCCTTGTTGTGGCCTATATTCACTCAAAGCCCTGGGGCTCTATACTCAGCAGGTGGCAAAGCCTGCCAGGTCTGTGCTCTTCACTTCAGGGTGGCAACTTCCCTCAGTCCTCAACGGTTCCAACTGTGCCATCTGGGAACCAGAGACTAGATTCAAAAACTTTAGAATTCCACATAGCGTTCTACTGTATTGTGACTGAGCTGGCACACAAACCACAAGACACTGTTATTCCCCCTCTTCTCTCTCTTTTCCAAAGGCGGAGGAGACTCACACTGTGGTGACTCCCACCATACGCCCACAGGAAGAATTGCAAGACTACTGCTGGTGTTCACTTAAGGCCTATGGACTCTTCAGGCAGCTTGGGGTTAATGATACCCGGCCTAGGACTCACCCTTCAGGGCAGTGGGCTCCCCCTAGCCCAGGGCAGGTCTAAAAATGCCCTCCAGGAGGCAAGTCATGGAACTAGGTATCTAAGAGCCCACATGTTGCTCTACCTTCCTGTGGCTGATCTCGTACCTAAGTTGAAAGAGAAAGTCCCCTTTACCTTTTCCTCCACTTTTCACAAGTGGAAAGAGTCTTGACCCATAGCTACTACCACTGGGAATGTACTGAGTCTTTTCTGAAGCCAGCAAGTCTCAGAGTCTCACCCAATACCCTTGACACAGTACCTGGATATTGCTGCTGGTTATTCAGGGCCTAAAGTATCTTCAGTGAGCAGGTGACGAATACTGCGATTAAGGCATTCTTCTCTTCAAGGCACTGGTTTTCCTTCTGGCCCAAGGTGTGTCTGGAATTGTTGTCCTGAAGCTAGGGGCTAGAAAGGGGGCCCCATGACTCTGTTTTGTACTCTATTCTGCTGTAGCTGACATGATATCCTAGATGCAAGACAAACTCCTCCCCACTTTTTCCTCTCCTCTCCTCAAGCAGAAAGAAGAGATCTCTTTTGGCACTACGAGCTATGAAATCTGGAGTTAAGGAAGGGGTTATGTCGGCATTCCCTTAGCCATACTGGCTGGTGTCTCAGTAAATGCATGCCCCCCACCCCGCCCCACTGTGGCCCATTCCTGGCTCTTATTCCAGAGGTGCTGCAGTCCTTGTGGACTAGACTGCCTTTCAAATTTACTTGGAGCCGCGCAACCCTTTAGCCAGTGGTAGTGAGGCTTGTGGGAACTCAAGTTCAGACCACTGGGATCAGTGACTACCCTCTGGCTAGGGGCTCATTTAAATACTCCCTCTGTGGATGGTTGTCACCTGAGTTTGCTCTGGTTTTGTTTTCTGCTGTAACAGGGCAGTCCTACGTTCAATGCCTCACAGTTGCTGCACTCTCTCTCTTCCCAGTGCACAGAAATGCTCTCCACCCAAAGCTGCTTCTACTGGTGGATGGGGGAGGGAGTGGCATCAGAAATTTAAAACTTTTTTATATCTCTTTAATGCCTCTTTCAGCAAGATGAGGTTAAAACCAGGTACCGTTAGTGTTCACTCACCTGATTTTTGGTCCTTATGAAGGTACTTTTTATGGGTAAATAGTTGTTAAATTGTTGTCCTTATTGGGGAGGGTGCGGCACTCATTAGAGCCTTCTATTCTACCATCTTGCTTCAACCTCACTCCTGATTGAGTTTATTTAATTTTCAATTCCAAAGTAAAATTCTTATCTGATTAAGCATTTTTTAATCAGTTATTTCAAATCAATATAGGCTGTTAGTGCACCTACTATGGAAGAATCTGTGATCAGATATTTCACTGTCATTTTCCACAGGAAAAATTTGCTTTCTCAGGCGTCATTGGCTACCTTACAGAAACTTGAATGGCCTTAGCCACTTTCTCTCATAACAATACATGGCTGTAATTATTTGTGCTGTTAATTTAGTTCCAGAAGGCCAGCTTTTTTGAAAGAGTCAGGCTTCAGCTGACCCAAGTCCCCTTGGCTCAGTAACAAAGCCCTCAACAATTGCCTAGCTTTTGCCCCAAATTATGGAGAAATCACAAATTAAAACCAAAAGGAAAATATTTTTTAAAAATCAAAATTCAGACCCCTTTGTTTCTAATTAGATCATCTTATAAAAGATACACATTAGTAATTCAATAATATATAACCATGCAAATTTATGTGTAATTTTAGATTTTTTAGTAAACACAGTACAAAAAAAAAGAAACAGGGATGATTAATCTTAATAACATATTTTATTTGACTAAATATATCTAAAAAATTATTTCACCATGTAATCTATACGAATTATTAATAAGACATTTTACCTTTATTTTATTTTTATATTAAGTATTCAAAATCCAGTCCCTATTTTACTCTTAGAGCATATCTCAATTCTGACTGGCCACATTTCAAGTGATCAATAGACACATGTGGTTAATAGCCACTGCATTGGATAGCACAGATCTAAATCATTTAAGATAGGTGAAATATGTTACCTTTAAAAAATAGATTCTTTACACTTCTAAAGTTTGGGTACATTGATAGAAAGAAATTCTTCCTCATGCATCAACTGAAACAGTCACTTTTGGCCTTATTTTAAAATCATTTGCTATTTTTTCATTCTGGCAAAACTAGGAAACTACTGTTTATATTTTACCATAAAACAATCATTTCATGTGATTAAATAAGAATAATAGTAATGTCGATTTTTTGTATGTGTCACATTTTCAAGTGCACATATTTCAAGTGCACATTTTCAAGTACACATATTCAAGTGTGTATATATATACACGTACACACATACACATATTATATATATATAAACTAATTTATCCCAGTAACTCTATGAGGTTGGTATTATTTTTATCATCTTCACTTTAGAATTGAGGCAATGAGAGGTAAAGTAACTTGCCTGAAATCACATGAATATTTAGTAAAACCTGTTTTTAAACCAAGGAAGTCTGTCTGTAGAGTCCTTGATTTTGACCACTACCCTTAAATATCTTCAGAAAACATTCAACTCATTCATTGATGTGCAATATTGTTGGATAAATGTACTTGCAGGCTGAGAAAATGTTCCATAAAATGGACTTGAGAATTTTAATGCAACAGTTTAATGTTTACTTACTATTATTTATATTGAAACTAATTCCATTTCTCTTAGGTAATTCACTTTGTTTTGTTTTTGACTTTAGCAAACCATAAAGTTATTTAAGTAGCAGCAAAAATATGTATCTTTATCACTGTCTCTATCTCTCTATCTCTCTCACTGTATGTATGTATGCATGTATGTATGTATATAATTATTTTAATTAAACATTATATAATTATTTTAATTAAACATTTATGCTCTGGAGGCTAGGCAAATAAATATGCTTGCAGATTAGAGAAGTTTATAAAAACTGCTAGTTGAAATCCAGCCATCTTTCCTGTAATTCTTTCACAAACCCAGATGACAAATCAAATGTTATGGTGTTACAAGAAAAGTAAATCAGCAAAACAAAACATTTATTTGAGTGTTCATGGTGGACAGAGAATATTATTCTAAATACATTCATGTTCTTGTCTGTGTATTTAATATCAAAACAGACTTTCATTCAAGAAAATCTAAGGTGGTGACTTCAAACTATACTACAAGGCTACAGTAACCAAAACAGCATGGTAGTGGTACCAAAACAGAGATATAGATCAATGGAACAGAACAGAGCCCTCAGAAATAACGCCGCATATCTACAACTATCTGATCTTTGACAAACTGGAGAAAAACAAGCAATGGGGAAAGGATTCCTTATTTAATAAATGGTGCTGGGAAAACTGGCTAGCCATATGTAGAAAGCTGAAACTGGATCCCTTCCTTACACCTTACACAAAAATTAATTCAAGATGGATTAAAGACTTAAACATTAGACCTAAAACCATAAAAACCCTACAAGAAAACCTAGGCATTACCATTCAGGACATAGGCATGGGTAAGGACTTCATGTCTATAACACCAAAAGCAACGGCAACAAAAGCCAAAATTGACAAATGGGATCTAATTAAACTCAAGAGCTTCTGTACAGCAAAAGAAACTACCATCAGAGTGAACAGGCAACCTACAAAATGGGAGAAAATTTTCACAACCTACTCATCTGACAAAGGGCTAATATCCAGAATCTACAATGAACTCAAACAAATTTACAAGAAAATAACAAACAACCCCATCAAAAAGTGGGCGAAGGACATGAACAGACACTTCTCAAAAGAAGACCTTTATGCAGCCAAAAAACACATGAAAAAATGCTCACCATCACTGGCCATCAGAGAAATGCAAATCAAAACCACAATGAGATACCATCTCACACCAGTTAGAATGGCAATCATTAAAAAGTCAGGAAACAACAGGTGCTGGAGAGGATGTGGAGAAATAGGAACACTTTTACACTGTTGGTGGGAATGTAAACTAGTTCAACCATTGTGGAAGGCAGTGTGGCGATTCCTCAGGGATCTAGAACTAGAAATACTATTTGACCCAGCCATCTCATTACTGGGTATATACCCAAAGGACTATAAATCATGCTGCTATAAAGACACATGCACACGTATGTTTATTGCGGCACTATTCACAATAGCAAAGACTTGGAACCAACCCAAATGTCCAACAATGATAGACTGGATTAAGAAAACGTGGCACATAGACACCATGGAATACTATGCAGCCATAAAAAAGGATGAGTTCATGTTCTTTGTAGGGACATGGATGAAGCTGGAAATCATCATTCTGAGCAAACTATCGCAAGGACAGAAAACCAAACACCGCATATTCTCACTCATAGGTGGGAACTGAACAATGAGAACACATGGACACAGGAAGGGGAACATCACATTCTGGGGACTGTTGTGGGGTGGGGGGAGGGGGGAGGGATAGCTTTGGGAGATATAACTAATGCTAAATGACAAGTTAATGGGTGCATCACACCAGCATGGCACATGTATACATATGTAACTAACCTGCACATTGTGCACATGTACCCTAAAACTTAAAGTATATAATAATAAAAGAAAAAAAAATAGCGAGGGTAACAGGAGAAGGTAAAAAAAAAAAAAAAAGAAAATCTAAGGTGGGCCAAATGCAGTGGCTCATACCTGTAATCCCAGTACTTTGGGAGGCTGAGGCAGGAGGATTGCTTGAGTCCAAGGGTTCGAGGCGGCAGTGAGCTATGATTGTGCCACTGCATTCCAGCCTGCACAACAAAGTGAGACACCATCTCTAAAAAATAAAAGAAGAAGAAAAAATCTAAGGTACAGTGTGAATCCTAAAAGCCCATTTTGGCTCCACTTTACCTAACAGCTTATTGAGCATCTCAGTTTTATATTAATTACCCATTATAACAAGCATATAGTTGTGTTCCTGCTGCTGTTACAAGGCTAGTGAGTTTATATTCTCCTTAATTTTTAGGAGACTTGAGTCTCTCTGATAATTTACTAATTCTCTGTCAGATCCTTCCAAATTCGTAGTAATAAATGACAAAATGATTCCACAGAGAGATATTGATTACAGGTAGAGTATTCGACTACGTAAGACTGAAAATCTTGTCTGTGTTCTAATTCCAACTTACTGACTGTTATCTTAAATGAGTCCTTCTCTTTTTTGACCTCCACTTCCTCATGTGTAAAATGATGAGAATGGAAGTAATTCTGTGATCTCTTACAGCTAAAATCCTTAGTGAGCCACCAACGTAACATTACAGTAATAATTGAAAAGAATAGATAATTCGAGGCATCCCCTCGATAATGTAAGCTCCCTGCAAAACTAATCCCCAATGCCTGGAATGTTATCTAAGGGAAAAAAGAACTGTACAGTGTTTGTTGAATATGGAAACTGTTTCCCTAATGATGGTTTTAAAACTGTTAAAACAATGAAGCTCTTTTCTAAGTAAAATCCTAGATTGAATTGCAACATACGAATATGATATAACTTGAATCACTTTAGTTGCATCCAAGAGCCCCACACACTCAATCCCCAGAAGCAACTTTGAGGGAGCCTGGGGCTCAACTGAACAGTGTTTTAGAAACTAAAGATCTAGAATATGAGTAACTTTCACGTAGTTACTGAGTTCTTACCATAAGTTAGCTCTAGGAAATCAGCAGTACAAGCAACCTAGTTTAGGGACCATGGCAGGTTTCCCTAAGTAAATGGCAATTAAGCAGACCCCTAAAGGATGAATGAGTATTAACCATATCAAAAGGAAAGAGTGCAGTTGAAGTGGAGTAAAATTGTGTTCTAGAAGAGAGAACTGCATATTAAACTGTTTGTTGTTTTTGCTGTCTCACACTCATGGTTGATTGTTTCCTTTAATATTTGGTGTTTGATTTTGGCCTACAACTAAAAGCCAGCAGTATGAAAAAAAAATGGTTGTCAATTTTGCTTTGAGTTGCTAAAAGCAGCAATGCCACCTGAGAGAGATGACAAATTGCAATTTTTGAACAAAATTATAAATTTTAAGAGCTTGGGAATCAGCTGATCCTTTATAGTCCAAGGTTAGATCATGTTTCAAAATTCTCCTCTAATCGATGCTTGACTTCACAGTGAACTCTGAGAGAAATTTCATACCTATCTCAATGAAGTTCTTCAGTTACTATGATATAAAATTAATTATATTTATTTTTGAAATAATTATGGGCTTTCTGTTATGCACATTTTATATGGTTTTGGATTTTTTGTGTATATGAGTGTGTAATAGCTAGCATTAAATATTTGTGTACTATTCAGTATAAATGTCCTCTAGGATTGTGCTGATTATTTTTTATATTTTTAAGAATTATTACATACATTTTTCAGAATTTAGCGAGAGTTTAATTACTTTGTTCAACCTCACATAGCACATAAGAATTAGACCCAAGATTTAAACCTAGAACATTTGAATTGAACTAAAACTAGATTAAGTTGTGTATTCCACATTCATTGTGTATGTATATATATATATATATGAACAAAAATATGTAATAATATACACAAATGCTCTATGTATGTCATTGTGTGTATAGACCAGTATATTAATAGAGAAATAGGAGACAGAGATAATTCATTAATCATTATCTATCTTGTGGTGGATACCATTGGCTTTTGAAGTGTGTCAGAAAGACATTAACATACTGGAATTTGGGGCAATCATGTCATATTTTTTTCACATAAAATTTATCCTAGTGTAAAGACAGGCCTTCCAAATTCTGAAATTTGATAGTGGTACAGTTGGACATCAACACATGCTTTCTGATTGCTAACTTAAAGTTCTATCTCTGTACTTTATGGCTTTCCAGAATTTCTTAACTCTCAAATATACCTCCATCCATCAGAAGAACAGCCTAAATTTTGCAAGGAATGCATTCAAAAGCAGTTACTTCGCCCCGTAATTTTAAAACAGATAGTTTACTTAAGCAAATAACTTCTGATTCAACTGACAAATTTAAAACAAACAACTCGTAGAAATTTTCTTTATCTAAACAATTTTATTCATTATATGTGAAACAGTTTTTAGGGATATAAAGACCACATGGATTCAATAACTGACAGACAAAATATTAGAATTACAGAAGTTAATATCAAGAAATGACTAAGGTTTTAAAAAACTTGTTTTCAGAGATATGACAAACTGAAGCTTAATTTAAATCAAAACATTTTTACGTTGAAATTTAGTAATGATATTCATGTGAATGTGTTCTTCATGTGAGGGTTAAATAAGAAATGGCATATAATCAAAAACAAATGGCATCCAAAACCAGAAGTTGAGAAAATCTACTTGCGAGTTGGTTTGGAACATTCAATATTAATGGAAAACTGACACCAGCAAATTTAATCTAAAGGTCAGTTATATCTGGCAGTCAAATAGAAAAAATAATCCAAATTAGATCTACTTTTCTCATATGAATTATAAATGGTATTATTTAACCAGTACTTTTTGAACCAACATATCTTGGATTTCATTGGTAATTTTTTCCCATTCTTTCTTTACAAACGTATTGCTCAGTATCACAACACAGGTTTTCTATTTAATTTTATTTAGATGCTTCAGATGCATTATGTTCATGATTCTTATTATTGTTATCATAGAAAAGTTTAATCAATTAACTTTTTCATTTTTATCATTTATCTTTTTAAAAATTAATTTTCAAAATCTGGTTTGTGCTGTGATAACTGTTCCATCCTCATAGATAATCAGAAAATTCCAAGCTAAGAGTAGATGAACATGACCTTAATTTCTTTCAATTTTGTAAAGAAACCCAGCCATCCCATTACTGGGTATATACCCAAAGGATTATAAATCATGCTGCCATAAAGACACACACACACGTATGTTTATTGTGGCACTATTCACAATAGCAAAGACTAGGAACCAATCTAAATGTCCAACAATGATAGACTGGATTAAGAAAATGTGGCACATAGACACCATGGAATACTATGCAGCCATAAAAAATGATGAGGTTCATGTCCTTTGTAGGGACATGGATGAAGCTGGAAACCATCATTCTCAGCAAACTATCGCAAGGACAAAAAACCAAACACCGCATGTTCTCACTCATAGGTGGGAATTGAACAAAGAGAACACATGGACACAGGAAGGGGAACATCACACACCGGGGACTGTTGTGGGGTGGGGGGAGGGGGGAGGGTTAGCATTAGGAGACATACCTAATGCTAAATGACGAGTTAATGGGTGCAGCACACCAACATGGCACATGTATACATATGTAACAAACCTGCACGTTGTGCACATGTACCCTAAAACTTAAAGTATAATTAAAAAAAAGAATAGATTTTATGCACATGAGTCTGGACAGAGGAGATAATTGAAAAACTACCAGACTAAATAGCTATGGAGATTCTCTTTAATGGTTTCCTCACTTTCCTAATATTCCCTAACTCTCAGCTTGTATTATGTATACAGTGAAAATAAGCAAGAATGATATATTCTTCTTACATACCAAACACTGGTATATGCCTATAAATACTCTCAATCCAAATTTCTTGCCTTAGAAACCCAAAAGTCTAATAGAGATGTGGAGAGATTGGTTTTGTCTTCTGTACTTGAATGATATTTTTAATTGTATTTTCTTTCCTTCATGGGTTATTCATCTCACTATTCACTTTAACAGCAAATTTATCCTAGGGCTCTTCAGAGAGAATCTTTACACAGCTTAACTCCTCTGGGGTAAAAATGAGGGAGAGCCTCATTAGTCTAATGTTAAGAAAACTATGGGGATTGTGGTGAACCTTTTTGACAGAAGTCTATGTTTAACAGTTTTTACCAATCTAGGTTTCAGCATTCATCAAATTCATCATGTTTCCCATACCTACGTTTCCGATTTTTTTGGTAAATATTGGCATATCTTACTAAATACATTAAATTATCTTTGATTCTTCTCTATTTTTACTAGAACATGTTTTTTTTTAACCTTTGTAATGCCTTTCTCATCTTGTAATCTAGTTCTGATCGAACAGCTGCAACCCTGTATTTGATTTTAAACATATGCCGTATAAACCATTATATGTTATAATGGTCATAACATTACATGTTATAGTAATATCATAACATTACATAGCCTACTACCTAGTTTCCTCTATGTCTAAGTTCTTCACTCTCCAAACCACTTTACACTATGACCAGTTTAAGCTTCATCAAAAATAATTCAGACCAGGGCCTTCTCTTGCTCTCTAAACTTCTTTGTTCTCTCCAAGTTATAAACGCTCTCTCCCTCCTCTGAATTCCCATAAAATGTTTTGATCTCCGATACCACACACTACACTACATTACTGTGCTTTGTGTACATGCCTTATCATCCTGTTGCAGTACTTGACATATTGTACCTTATGCTCTGTCCTCTTTACCTAGCCTATATATAGATCAGCTGTCGCTGCTTAGCATTTAAGCATAAGGGAAGGCTATTCACCCTAATTTTTTAAAAAATCTATTGGCTGAATCCTACATTAGTTTCTACTTTCTGAAATCCCATCTTAAATTGAATATATCTAAACATCTAGAGGAAACATAAAGATACATTTATTTATCTGAATATTTTATCTATTTGTTTTTTGTGAATTAATAATATTGTTTTTATTTTATTATTATTATACTTTAAGTTTTAGGGTACATGTGCACAATGTGCAGGTTAGTTACATATGTATACCTGTGCCATGCTGGTGTGCTGCACCCACTAACTCGTCATTTAGCATTAGGTATGTCTCCTAATGCTATCCCTCCCACCTCCCCCCACCCCACAACAGTCCCCAGAATGTGATGTTCCCCTTCCTGTATCCATGTGTTCTCATTGTTCAATTCCCACCTATGAGTGAGAACATGTGGTGTTTGGTTTTTTGTCCTTGCGATAGTTTACTGAGAATGATGATTTCCAATTTCATCCATGTCCCTACAAAGGACATGAACTCATCATTTTTTATGGCTGCATAGTATTCCATGGTGTCTATGTGCCACATTTTCTTAATCCAGTCTATTGTTGTTGGACATTTGGGTTGGTCCCAAGTCTTTGCTATTGTGAATAGAGCCGCAATAAACATACGTGTGCATGTGTCTTTACAGCAGCATGATTTATAGTCCTTTGGGTATATACCCAGTAATGGGATGGCTGGGTCAAATGGTATTTCTAGTTCTAGATCCCCGAGAAATCGCCACACTGACTTCCACAATGGTTGAACTAGTTTACAGTCCCACCAACAGTGAAAAGTGTTCCTATTTCTCCACATCCTCTCCAGCACCTGTTGTTTCCTGACTTTTTAATGATTGCCATTCTAACTGGTGTGAGATGGTATCTCATTGTGGTTTTGATTTGCATTTCTCTGATGGCCAGTGATGATGAGCATTTTTTCATGTGTTTTTTGGCTGCATAAATGACTTCTTTTGAGAAATGTCTGTTCATGTCCTTCGCCCACTTTTCGATGGGGTTGTTTGTTTTCTTCTTGTAAATTTGTTGGAGTTCATTGTAGATTCTGGATATTAGCCCTTTGTCAGATGAGTAGGTTGCGAAAATTTTCTCCCATTTTGTAGGTTGCCTGTTCAGTGATGGTAGTTTCTTTTGCTGTGCAGAAGCTCTTTAGTTTAATTAGATCCCATTTGTCAATTTTGGCTTTTGTTGCCATTGCTTTTGGTGTTTTAGACATGAAGTCCTTGCCCATGCCTATGTCCTGAATGGTAATGCCTAGGTTTTCTTGCAGGGTTTTTATGGTTTTAGGTCTAATGTTTAAGTCTTTAATCTATCTTGAATTAATGTTTGTATAAGGTGTAAGGAAGGGATCCAGTTCAATATACACAAATCAATAAATGTAATCCAGCATATAAACAGAACCAAAGACAAAAACCACATGATTATCTCAATAGATGCAGAAAAGGCCTTTGACAAAATTCAACAACCTTCACACTAAAAACTCTCAATAAATTAGGTATTGATGGGACGTATCTCAAAATAATAAGAGTTATCTATGACAAACCCACAGCCAATATCATACTGAATAGGCAAAAACTGGAAGCATTCCCTTTGAAAACTGGCACAACACAGGGATGCCCTCTCTCACCACTCCTATTCAACATAGTGTTGGAAGTTCTGGCCAGGGCAATTAGGCAGGAGAAGGAAATAAAGGGTATTCAATTAGGAAAAGAGGAAGTCAAATTGTCCCTGTTTGCAGATGACATGATTGTATATCTAGAAAACCCCATTGTCTCAGCCCAAAATCTCCTTAAGCTGATAAGCAACTTCAGCAAAGTCTCAGGATACAAAATCAATGTACAAAAATCACAAGCATTCTTATACACCAATAACAGACAAACAGAGAGCCAAATCATGAGTGAACTCCCATTCACAATTGCTTCAAAGAGAATAAAATACTTAGGAATCCAACTTACAAGGGACGTGAAAGACCCCTTCAAGGAGAACTACAAACCACTGCTCAGTGAAATAAAAGAGGATACAAGCAAATGGAAGAACATTTCATGCTCATGGGTAGGAAGAATCAATATCGTGAAAATGGCCATACTGCCCAAGGTAATTTATAGATTCAATGCCATCCCCATCAAGCTACCAATGACTTTCTTCACAGAATTGGAAAAAACTACTTTAAAGTTCATATGGAACCAAAAAAGAGCCCACATCACCAAGTCAATCCTAAGCCAAAAGAACAAAGCTGGAGGCATCATGCTACCTGACTTCAAACTATACTGCAAGGCTACAGTAACCAAAACAGCATGGTACTGGTACCAAAACAGAGATATAGATCAATGGAACAGAACAGAGCCCTCAGAAATAATGCTGCATATCTACAACTATCTGATCTTTTACAAACCTGAGAAAAACAAGCAATGGGGAAAGGATTCCCTATTTAATAAATGGTGCTGGGAAAACTGGCTAGCCATATGTATTTTATCTATTTGATACTTGGAAATTCAGCATAACTAGATGTTCAATTTTTACCTATTGTTCGGTGTCATGTAGCTATAAATATAGTTTGATACTTAATACTACTTTTTGTTATGCCTTTTAAATAATTTTCTCCTTGATAATTCCAAACCTCTTGTATATCTATACTAGTTATTTTTTTACATTTCAGATATTTTATTTGGTCTATTTTTCCATTTGGTCTTCAACAAAAAGTGCCATCTAGTTGCTCGAATATTACTTGATCAAAGCCCATGCTTCTGCCCACAAATAAGTCTGCCTCTGCCATAGAAATGGGGATTATTTTAGATTGAACTATATGAAATTACTATTTTTGTAGGTCAAAATGGTCAAGTATTAGCAATTTCATATGGTTTATCATAGTTGAATAGGTTACATTTTTGGACCAGATTGATGCTAAAATGAATCTGAATTAAAACTCGATTGTTAAACTTTAAAATATTACTTACACAAACTCTCAACACAATGCATCTTCACTCTTTATTTGCAATGACAATGTAAGAAACAGAAATAAAACCTATTGATTTTTTCTTTATAATGCGTATCTTAATGTACCATCCTTTCCATGTTTACCATATTATCTTATTCTAGATGATCCCAAAGCACCTCAATTCTGCAATTCTAGAGTTGGTGCTTAATTGATTTGCTGCCTAGATACTGTGATAAGCAAATACATACACACAGTGATTTGCATATGACTTTCTTCCCTACAAAACATCAAAACAACCTTGGCACTTTTTACACTATGATCAATCATGAGATATATCATACATAACTATTTACTAAATGTAAAGTACGATCAATACAAGATTTAAATAATAAATTTGAGTGGATTCATAATTATCCCTACGATAACATTCTCACATATATTCAGAAACACTTTTTTATTTGAGAGAGAAAGAGCTGAGGATACATCTCCTACTCTGGGAGTTGCATATATTTCCAGTTATGCCCGTGGGAATGCATTGTTTATTTGAATGCCATCCATCAGATATACTGGCAAAGAAAAAAGGTTGAGAATTGAGGTGCTACAAGATAAGAGTACAGATTCTTCAACAGTTGTCTTTCAAAGCTATCCACAGTTTGTTTTTTACCTATTTCAGCATACATATCCCTTACATGAAACCGCGCCTGTAGCTCAGCTGGGCAATTATCCTCCCAAGAATATGTGATATGCATTTCTGTCCCTAATTGAAGTATGGAAAATAGTTTTTATCAGAAGTGCAAACTCTTATTACTTGGTAGTAGTTTCCTAAAGCACTGTTAGGAAATAGAATAGTCAGAATGGGATTATCATATGGGACTTTTTCAATCTAAATCCTACCCGATACTGTTTCATCATTCTGAAGTAACCATTTCATTCTCTGTCCAAAAGTGGAATTACTGTGATCCTATATATTCTTCAAGACCTTATTAAATCCCTATATATTTTTTTAAATATAAATTCACTTATTATACTAGGAGTTTGGTTTTTTTATTAGTAAAGACAAAATTTTTCTGTAAATGTTATTTCTAAAATAGGAGGTTCTTGGCCTTTACTCTTAAATGTGGGAAACCCTTTCCTTACCTACACTTGATTTTGGTGAAAATAGAAAGTTTTTTTTTTTTAAATAAAAAGGAAAGACCAACTTTAACCAAGCACACCCACGTGGTCAGAAATTTCAAATTACTGGGTGACTTCATTATGCCAATTACACATAGTAACATGTAATTTAGACTTCACCAATGAATACATGAGTAAAGTCAATTCTTTGATCATTCATTTTGTATTAAATATGTTCTCTCCAAATTTATCTGTCAAGTTAGAAGATTAGTGCCATGTTCTCTAAAAAAGAAAAACAATAAATAAACTCTCATATATGATTAATTTGAAAATAATATTTTAAATGAAAATCCCTTCAAACACCTATGTTATTAGGTGTTTTTATTGCTATTAAAAACTATCCAATCTAACTTCTAGTCAAACACAAAGAATAGTACTTTTTACAGTTGTCCCTTTCATTGTGATTGTGCATTGCCAAAGCAGTGAGCACTGATGCTCACATAAGCTCTGAAGTTGTGCTATTGGAAGAGTCCAGTTAGGTTTGGCTTAATTTGTGTTTAAGAAAGCAATGCTTCACTCCCTACCAGCTTTGGTGATAAATAAACGGTTTGTATTCTCCTCTTAGCACTGAGTTTGATAGAGATGCTTTCCAAGTAAATACTGTAATCAGACATGGTTTATGGGAATGAGTCTTTAGTAATCATTTCTGGCAGGTACAGTACAGCACTTGAGCTGTTTCCTTTTTTAATTTGACATTGCATTTATGTTTGACTATTTTCATCTGTGGAGAAATGATGGAGTGGCACAAGAGTTTTTTGAAAATGGTAGAAATAATACTTTCCAATATTGCCTCATTATGGAGAGAATGTTCTGGTTCTAGTCTTTGTTTCTTTCATACTGAGGAGAAACCTGATAAACTATTTTACATAATCCTGAAGTGCTTTTAGTTAGAAATGGCTGCTATAAGATGTTTTAAGTGTACTAGATTCTCCTGGTTTTGGATTTGTCTGGAATACAGAAAATATAGAATACAAATAAAATTTCATTTTATTGTTGGTTGTGTAGCTAGGTACTCGCCTTTCCATCACCAAAGACTTTTCAAAAGTTTCAGTTTGTCCTTAAGTGACTCCTTGAAAACATAGACCACATCATAATTGGATATGCTTCCATCTATGCATCATTGTAAGACTATTAATTTAGGACCAAAACAATACTCACCTCAGGAGGCTATCTTTAAACTATTAATGTTGTATCACAGTAAACGTCTCAAGTATTTTTTTCAAAGCAAGTATAGCAATAATAGAAATTTTAAGACACACTCATGCACACAGATACTCACACACAATATTTTAGAGAAAATTAAAAGTTGGATTAACAGAACATGCACTTTTGAGTTGAAGAGTCTATTTTGTAGTTTCATGGACTGTGAAAATATATCATTTAGTAATAAAGAAAATGAACAAAGGCACAGTACTGCTATTAATTAATTTATCTATGTATGCCGTAAAATCACAGCCTTTTAACTTTAGGCAACACTATTATTGGTGACTTTGTGTTAAAAATTCCATGAGTATTCTACATCGACTTTATAATTTTGTAATTGGAGAAGACCAGTGGCACCTAGATATATAAGAAAAACCTGATGAAACTTCGTAAGAAAATCTTGTAAACATTTTAGGAAAATGATCAATAAATTCCAATTATTTAATAATATTTTTCCGGTACAGCAGTATTGGTTAGAATTCTCTAATATTAGTTTTAGTTTTATTATATTTTTAATATTTTAATTTTTTCATAACTGCTTTTTTAAAAATTTCCCTTTTAGTAAATGTAGTCATAACTGTTAATGTTTTACATGATACACAAAATGCTAAGAATAATTCCCTCAGCGTTCCACTTCATATCGCTTGGAATCTACACATATAATGGATATCACTTCTGTGATTATGTTATGTTATATAGAATAGTTCACATTAAGAAAAAGAGATTATCCAGACAGACCTAATCTAATCACATGAAACTCTAAAAGCATAGAGCTTTCTTTAGCTGGTGTCCAAAGGAGAATCCAGACAGATTTGAAGCAAGAGGAGAACTTGAGAAGCCATTGCTTCTTTGAGGATGGAGTGAGCTACCTAAGAAGGAGTGGGTGGCCATGAGAATCTGAGGACAGTAAGCAAGAAAATGGAGACCTCAATCCTACAGCTATAAGGAACTGAATTCAGCCAATGATCTAAATGAACCTGGAAGCAGATTATTTTCCAGATCCTTCAGACAAGAGCCCAGCTAAGCCTACACTTTGATTCCAGCCTTGTGAGACCCTAAGTAAAGAAACCAACCAACCTCACCAGAACTTCTGATTTATAGAACTGTTAGATAATAACCTAGTCTTGTTTTAAGTAATTAACTACATGGTCATTTGTAACACAGCAATAGAAAATGAATGCATTCTCCCTGAAATGTATTGTATTGTATGCATGACGAATGTAGTCATCCCTCCATTTCTCCTTTTTGAAAAAGAACCTCTAAAAACGCTGTAATTCACAGGTCTCCCCTTCTGGAACAAGCCACTTAATTTCCCAGATGCTAGTGGTGGTGTCTGTTGATGGCTTCCTCCTTAGGAATTACCCTTGACCAATGGGAAGTCGCTTAACTAAAGTCATGCCTCTTCCTTTTCTGGGACACTTTCTGTTCTGAACATGTTAGTCTAGGATTGCCTCAACTCTAGAACATTTCTGAAAGGTCATCGCTATTTCAGTGATTTCTGAGGGATTCACTGTGGCCAAAGGTTGCAAACAAATTATAGCTCAATTCTATTTTAATGAATCCTGATTCTAATATTTCTTTACAGATATTGCTCTTGGGAACACCCATCCCATTAAATTCCTGCAGGCAGATATCTTATTTGAACTCCAATTCTAGGGAAACTTGACTTAAGACAGCTTAAGTCTTAATACTATCTAGGTATTACATCTCCTAGCCTTCCTTAAAATGACACTTGCAACTTTCAGGTCCTATCCCTAAAAGGAAGCCGGTTGCTCTCCGCTCCTCCAAACCTACCTTCTTTTGGAAGTGGTGATGGTAAAGCAATTTTGACAGAGGCAAAATCTTGGATATTGATAAAGCAGCAACAACCTTTTTGACCTTAGAGGAGAAACCCCTTTTATGCCCCAGACATCTAACTACTTACAAAAGAGACACACCTTTTATCTTTCTTAAGCCTCTGTAATTAGATCTCTGTTAAAGTAGCTTTACAATTATTCTAACATATGTAATAAATAACTAATCTGGTATTTAAGGAACTATTTTGGTATGAAGCTATTTGGAAGTTTTAGATTATTTACATATTGTTGCTTGTGTGTTGGACTTTTTAGGGGTGTCAAGATGATTCATCTAAACCTGCTTGCTGACATTTAAAACATCTTTAACAGACTTCACTTTTGTCTTTTCCATAACATAAGGCCAGATGCCTTAGTAAACAAATATAGTGTGTTTTGTTTTTAACATATGAATGCTAGATACTCAAATATTTATTTAGTGATCAGTGTGGTCATTTGCTTTGTTCTAAAAACTGGGACTGCAGAGAATAATATGATAGTATTAGGAGCTTAGGAACCACTGGAGAATTCAAAACTGTAATCAAATAATTATAATACAATGGGAGTGGAAGAATTTCCAGAACTAGATAGCATAGAACAAGATGGAAAACTTCAAATGTGAGAAGCCAGTAAGGAAACAATCAAAAAAGGGTGATGAAGGCCTGACCCTTGGCAGTGGGGATGCTTTAACAAAATAAGATATTTAGAAGTTAGAATTGTCGCCAGACACGGTGGCTCACGCATATAATCCCAGCACTTTGAGAGGCGGAGGCAGGCGGATCATGAGGTCAGGAGTTCGAGACCAGCCTGATCAACATAGTGAAATCCCGTCTCTACTGAAAATATAAAAATTACTCGGGTGTGGTAGCATGTGCCTGTAATCCTAGCTACTCAGGAGGCTGAGGCAGGAGAACTGCTTGAACCCAGGAAGTGGAGGTTGCAATGATCCGAGAATGTGCCACTGCACTCCAGCCTGGGCAACAGAGCATGACTCCATCTCAAAAAAAAAAAAAAAGAAAGTAATTAGAATTGTCAATACCTGGTGACTTAATGAATTCAGAGTGTGAGGACTCCCTATATAAATGAGATCATGCAATATTTGTTTTTCTGTAACTGTCTCACTTCACTAAATATAATGTGTTCCAGGTCCATCTATGTTGTTGCAAGTGATGGTATTTCCTTCTTTTTAAGGTTGAATAAAATTTTATTGCATATATATACACACATCATATTTTCTTTATTCATTCATCTTTCAACTGACATTTAAGTTGGTTCCTGTAATAGTCCGTTTTCACACTGCTATAGAGAACTTCCTGACACTGGGTAATTCATAAAGCAAAGTGGTTTAATTGAATCACAGTTCCTCAGGGCTGGGGAAGCCTCAGGAAACTTACAATCATGGCAGAAGGCAAAGGGGAAGCAAGCACTTTCTTCACAAGGCATCAGGAGAGAGAAAGCAAAGGGGGAAGAGCCCCTTGTAAAACTGTCAGAGCTAGTGAGAACTCATTTACTATCACATGAACAGCATGGTGGAAATTGCCTCCACGATTCAATAACTTCCAACCAGGTCCCTCCCTTGAAATGTGGGGATTATAGTTCGAGATGAGATTTGGGTGCAAACACAGAGCCAAATCATATCAGTTCCATATCTTGGCTATTGTGAAATAATGCTGCAATGAACATGAGAATGCAAATGTCTCTTCAATGCAATTATTTTATTTCCTTTGGATATATATCCAGAAGTAGGATTGCTGGATTACTTGTTATTTTTATTTTTAAATTTTTAAAGGAATTGTCATACTGTTTTCCATAATATTTATACTATTTACATTCACATCAACAGTGTACTAGGGTTTCCACTTCTCCACATCCTTTTGAACATTTATTTG
Source organism: Homo sapiens (assembly GCF_000001405.40). Taxonomy (NCBI): domain Eukaryota; kingdom Metazoa; phylum Chordata; class Mammalia; order Primates; family Hominidae; genus Homo; species Homo sapiens. The sequence goes on from NC_000023.11 coordinate 127,601,386, forward strand.
ATAAAGGAATATCATGCTTTATTACACTTCACAGATATTGTATGTTTTACAGATTGAAGGTTTGTGGCAACCCTGAACTGAACAAATCTATAGGCACCATTTTTCCAACACCAAGCACTCATTTTGTGTCTCTGTCTCACACTTGGTAATTCTCATAATATTTCAAGCTTTTTTTACTTTATTTTCTTTTTTTCTTTTTTTTTTTTGTGGAGACAGAATCTCACTCTGTTGCCCAAGCTAGAGTGCAGTGGCATGATCTTGGCTCCCTGCAGCCTCAACCTCCCAGGCTCAGATGATCTTCCCACCTCAGCCTCCCAAGTAGCTGGGATTACAGGCAAGTTCCACCATGCCTGGTTAATTGTTTGCATTTTTTGTAGAGACTTGGTTTCGCCCTGTTGACAAGGCTGGTCTCAAACTCCTGGGCTCAAGTGTTCCTCACACCTGACCTCCCACAGTGCTAGGACTACAGGTGTGAGCCACCATGCTTGGCCTAATTTCATTATTATATATGCTGTGGTGATCTGTGATCACTGACCTTTGATGTTATTTTTGTAATTATTTGGGGGCACCATGAACTGATCCACATAAGAGGAGAAACTTAACAAATATTCTGTGTGTTCTGACTGTTCTGCCAACTGGTCATTTCCCTAATCTCTCGCCTTTTCCTTAGGCCTTCCTATTTTCTGAGATACAAAAATATTAAAATTAGGTCAATTGCTAATCCTACTGTGGCATTTATGTTGTTCTCATGTGAAAGGAAGAGTCACATGTTTCCATTTAAATCAAAAGCTAGAAATGATTAACCTTAGTGAGGAATGCATGTCAAAATCCAAGATAGGCCAAGAGGTTGGGGTTTTGTGTGAAACAGAGCCAAGCAGTGAATACAAAAGAAAAAAAAATTACTGAACGAAGCAAAAATGCTACTCCAGTGAACACAAGAATGATAAAAAAGGGAAACAGCTTCATTGCTGATATGGAGAAAGTTGTAGTGGTCTGGATATATCAAACCCGCCACAACATTCCCTTACGCCAAAGCCTAACCCAGAGAAAAGTCATATCTCTATTCAATTATATGAAGGCTGAAAAAGATGAGGAATCTGCAGAAGAAAAGTTTGAAGCCAGCAGAGGTTGGTCATGTGGTTTAAGGAAAGAAGCTATCTCTATAACATTAAACTGCAAGATAAAGTAGCAAGTGCTGATGTAGAAGCTGCAGCAAGTTATTAAGAAGATCAAGCTAAGATAATTAATGAAGGTAGCTACACTAAATAACATTTTCACCGTAGACAAAACATCCTGACACTGGAAGAAGATGCCATCTAAGACTTTCATAGGTAGAGTGGAGAACTAAATGCCTCGCTTCAAAGAACAGGCTGACCCTCTTGTTAGGAGCTAATGCAGCTGATGACTTTAAGTTGAAACCAATGTTCATTTATCATACTAAAACTCCTAGAGCCCTTAAGAATTATACACAGCCTGCATTGCCTGTGCTCCATAAATTGAACAACAAAATCTGGATTGTAGCACATCAGTTTATAGCCTGATTTACTGAATATTTTAAGCCCACTATTCAGACCTACTGCTCAGAAATAGATTCCTTTCAAAATATTATTACTTATTGACAACACAATCACCCAAAACTTCTGATGGAGAGGTAAAAGGAAATTAAATGTTGTTTTCGTGTCCGCTAACCCAACATCCATTCTGAAGCTAATGAATCCAGGGTAACTGACATTCGAGTGTAATTATTTAAAAATACATTTTATAAGGGTATAGGCTGCCATTGATCATGATTCATCTGATGAATGTGAGCAAGGTAAATTTAAAATCTTCGGGAAAAGATTTGCCATTCTAGATACCATTAAAAACATTTATGATACATGCAGGGGGTCAAAGTATCACCTTTAACAGGAATTTGAAAAAAGATGGTTTCAAATATCATGGATGACTTTGAGTGATTCAAGACTTCAGTGGAGGAATTAGCTTCAGATGAGGTGGAAATTGTAAGAGTAATAGAATTAGAGGTGGAACTTGAAGATGTGATTGAATTGCTGCAATCTCATGATAAATCCTGAATGGATAAGGAGTTGATTTTTATGAATGAGCATTGAAAGTGGTTTCTTGTGATGGAATATACTCCTGGCGAAGATGCTGTACACATTTTGTGAAATGACAACAAAATATTTAGAATATTATATATACTGAATTGATAAAGCAGTGACAGGGTTTAAGAGGATTGACTCCAATTTTGAAATAAGTTTTAGTGTGGGTAACATGATTTCAAATGGCATTGCATGGTAAAGGAAAAATTTTCATAAAGGGAAGGGTCAATTGATGTGACAAATTTCCTTACCGTGCTATTTCAAGAAATTGCCATAGCCACACCAACTTTCAGCAACCATCACCCTGATTAGTGATCAACCATCAACATCAGGGCATGACCTTCAACCAGCAAAATATTGTGACTCAGATGATTGTTAGAATTTTTAGCAATAAAGTATTTTTAAGTTTGATCTATGCATTTTTAAATGTAATCCTATTGCAGACTTAATAAACTATAGTGTAGCGTAAACATAACTTTCATATGCACCAGAGAACCAAAAAATATTCCGTGGTTCACTTTATTGTGATATTCACTTTATTGAGGTAGTCTGGAACCAAACTCACAATATCTCCGATTTATGTCTGTATACGTATGTATATGTTTTAATTATAGACATCTATGACAGGAGTGAGGTACCCCTTTCACCACACCCTCACTCACACTTGTTATCTCTTGTCATTTTGACAGTACCCCTCCTAACAGATGTGATGTGGTATCTTAATGTGGTTTTGATTTGCATTCCACTAATGACTAGTGATGTTGAGCAGCTTTTCAGAAACCTTTTGGTCATTTGTGTATCATTTATGGAAAAATTTCTAAAGTGAACATCAGGTTTTATAATGCGATTGCAGCAATTTAATCACATTGTCAGGCTCCACTTCTAATTCAATTCCTTCTAATTTTTAATTGGCTTATTTTTTGTTTTGGGGTTTGTTGCTATTTTATTGTATGAGCTCTTTGGTATATTTTGGAAATACATACACAAACAGGCACACACAACACATATGGTTACAAACATTTTCTTTTATAGTTTTTATGTTGCCTTTTCATTTTGTTGTTTCCTTTGTTGTGCAGGAACATGTTAGTTTCATGTCATCCCACATGTTTATTTTTTTCTTTTTTTTTTGGCCAAGTGTTTAATGTGATATGCAAAACATCATTGCCAAGACCAAAATGAAGCAACTTTTCCTTATATTTTTTGTTAGGACTTTTATGGCTTACATTTATGTGAATGTGTTTAATCCATTTCTAATTGATTTTGGCTTGTGGTGTAAAAAATAAGGCCCAATTTTACTTTTTGCATGTGTTTGATGATTAATATTGAGTATCAACTTGATTGAATTGAAGGAGGCAAAGTACTGATCCTGGATGTGTCTGTGAGGGTATTGCCAAGGGAGATTTACATTTGAGTAAGTGGGCTGGGAAAGACAGACCCACCCTTAATCTGAGTGGGCACCAATAATCAGCTGCCAGTATAGCTAGACTATAAAACAAGCAGAAAAACGTGAAAAGACTAGACTAGCCTAGCCTCCCAGAGTACTTTCTCCCATGAGGGATGCTTCCTGTGCTTGAACAATGGACTTCAAGTTCTTCAGTTTTGAGACTCAGACTGACTCTTCTTGCCCTTCAGCTTGCGGATGGCCTATTGTGATCATGTGAATACTTAATAAACTCCCCTTTACACACACACACACACATATATACATATACACATACACACACACACACACACACATATATACATATATAAAATACCTATCCTATTTGTTCTGTCCCTCTACAGAACCCCGACAAACACAGATTTTGGTACCAGGAGTGGTTCTAGAGGAACAGAATATTAAGGATGGAGTTCTTTCATTGGTTTTGGGGTTTCTGGAGTTGGCTGCCTAATATGATTAGACCCAAAAATGCTAAGGACTTCCATTAGTATGGAGAACACTGATAGTCCTTGGTGTGAACTGTTTAGAGGGTTATGCAAAGCGAATGCATTTGACACTCCTGATTCACCACTCATGAGAGGCAAGGAGTTTAGTGACTCTCTATATAATTAATATCTGTGACCATATGTGGAGAACTAAGGAACATAATGAAGCTGGTTGGTTGCTCTTAAGTTCAGTGGACAAAGTGATGAAAGGAAATGATGAGCTCAGGGATTCTAACTCCAGAGTTCAGAAGCAGATACTGAGCCTCAAAACTGCTAAGATTGCCCTGAGAGAGCGTCTTATCTCCTGTAGAGAAGGAACTGAAATTGTGAAAAAACAGACACAAGCTCTTATCATGCGAGTGGCTGACCTGCAACGAAAGGTGCATGCACAGCCTCGCCAGGTGTCTATTAGTGAGGGCACTGATTAGAAAAGAATGGGACCATGCAACTTGGAATGGAAATGTGGGAGGACCCTAATGAAGGTGGGGACACTGAGTTTGTAAACTCTGATGAACATTTTTTTCCAAAATAAATATTTTCTCCAACTCCAGTAGTGACAACACCTGCTCCCCAACCCATGCTGCCATCAGCCTTTCCACCTTTGAGAAGATAAACCCTGTGCTGCCTGAGGCAACAGTGATGGACTCCCCTCAGGCAGTTGCCAGGCAAGATAATGTTGATTCTCCTCAGAATCAATATGCAGAAATTATTTCCAGGGTGAGTCTTCAGACTTAGATTTCCCATTGGAACAAGCCAAGGAAGAAAGTGTTAGGAATGTTCACTCTCCCATTCAAGCCGGCAGAGGTCTACCAGCCTCCTTTCAGGGGAAGACTTCTGGTCTGGTGTTATTGCTACAGTAAGCTGCGAAAGACTGTATAGGGAGTTCCCACTCTCCTTTTTAGGTAAGCAGAAGTTTCATCCCTTCCTTCAAGAGGTGGTGTGGGTTTGTCACTGTAACTAGCCAGGGAAGAAGGCAGACAGAGTGCTCACTCTCCTATTCAGGAACACCAAGATCTCTAAGCCTCCTTCCAGTGATAGATTGCTGAGATTTATGGGGTAGAACAAGCCAAGGAAGGAGACACAAAGAGTGCTGTCCCTCCAGTTCTTGCTCCCAGTGGTCTCTAACCTCTTTCCAGGGAGAGCCTGTATGCTTGGTTTTATTGCTGCTGCATGCTGGGGAAGAAGATTTTGGGCATGTAATTTCTCTATTTAGGCTTCAGAAGGTTTATTCTTTATTTGTTATGAAAGCTCCTAGATACTAACCTTTTAGAAGCCAGAACCACAGGGATCTACTGGAAAAGTATGCAGGCAAATTGTTTCCAGGGTGAACTTGGGAGTTGGACTGATTCCAGGGGTGACAGCTTCTGGAAGTGCTCACATGGTTGAATACTTCTTCTCCCGACTTTGTTCATTTTGCTTTGGGAAGATACTTTGGTGCTTAGTGCCTGCTACTACTCAACCAAGATGATTTAAGAGCCAAGCCTTCTGGCAGGGGCCATAAAAGTTGGGGTGCAAGCCTCTCACCCCTCAGGAAGAAGCTGAAAGTTGGTAAATCCTTTATGATTGTGAAGTGCTATGCTCAGGGTAAACTTGGTGCTAGAGTATATTTCCGCTTTTTCTGCATGTTTTGATGTGTATAGTTTCTTAGACATTCAGTGTGTAAGAGTCTTCCAAATAGATTCTGGCTTTCTTTTGAAGAGAATCCAACTGTGTGTAGATATTTACTCAATTTATCCATGAGAGATAGTCAAGGGCCTCCTATTCTACCATTTGCTGACATCACTCCTAGAATTTTTATGACACACGGATAAAATGACTCTATCTTTATGAAACACCTCTCTTTATTCCTAGAAAAAATTCTTGTTCCAAACTTTATGGTATTTGGTATTAAAATAGCGATTCCAACTTTCTTATGATTACTGTTTGGAATATCTTTTAAAATCCTTTTGCTCTTGAACTATATTTCCTTTAAAGTGAGTTTCTTGTAGAATAGAGTTTTTTCATTGTCCCATCAGATGATCTCAGCCTTTTAACTGGAGATTTACATGCACATGTAATGTATTTAGTGATATACCAGGTTTAAATAAACCTACTTTCTATTTGCCCTCTCTTTTCTTTAATCATTTTTTCCCTTTTTTTCTGTCTTATTTTGGATTAGTTGCATATTTTAGTATTCCATTTTATTTACACTATTGGCTTAGTTGCTATACTTTTATTCCTACTTCCAGCTCTTTGTGATATAAATAATCTACTTCCGTATGTGTGATTAAATAATAACACATCATTTTTTCTATATAATTTAAAGAATCTAAAGATGAGAAAATAAATACCTCTCATTTACCACTTTGGGTGGTTTTTATTAATTTGTATATTTAAAGGTTTACATGTGGTAGCACTTTTCTTTTTCCTAACAAACTTTCTTCCACATTTCCCATAGTTCAGGTCTGCTGGCCACAGCTGTCTCTGAGTTTATTGTTCCAAAATCGTCTTTAGTTTTCTTCATTTTTCAAATAAATTTTTACTGGCTTTACAAGTATAACTTTTCAGGTTTTTGTGTGTTTGTTTTCACAGCCCTTTGTAGATGCTGTTTCATTATTTGCCTGGCTTACATGGTTTCTGAGAGAAAGTATAACACCCTTTCTAAGAGCTAAGTTTTATAAAAAATGGTGTCTTTTCTCTGGTTACTTTTAAATATTTATTTTTTATTATTCATTTTTAAGCTATTTGAATTTCGTATGTCTTTGTTCAGTTTTCTTTTTTTATCTTGCTTTATTTTATTAAGTTTTCTGAATCCATGCTTTCATAGATGCTTTCAAACTTGGAAAATGTTCTTGAATATTGTTTGTACCTTTCATTCCCTCTCCTTTCCTAATGATATTCCAACTACATGTATATTATACAATTTGATGTTGTCTGAAAAGTCACCAAGGTTCTGTTTGTTCTTTCAGTCTTTTTTTTCCTGTGTTACTCATGTATATTAAGTCTTATTGCTATGTGATCAAATGCATTTATCTTTCTTTATGCAGTGTCAGAAGCATTGTTAATCCAATCCAGTGAAATTTGTATGTTCTTTATCATACTTTTTTCTAGAAATGACATTCTAATTTTATCTATTCCATTTTTCCTCATTAAGTTTGTGTTTTCCTAAACATATGTGAGCATATTGGTGATATTTGCAATCGTTATTTAAAAGATCTTGTCTGTTGATCACAGCATCTCTCCCCTTTCTGTGTGTTTCTACTGAGTTATCCCTTGCTTATGAGTCACATTTATTTCTTCTTAGATCTAGTAATATATTAGTACACAGATTTCAAGGTGAATGAAGTTACAGTATTATGACACTAGGCTAAAGTGAAGTATAAGATTTTATCCTGCTTTTGAAAATACGAAGTTAAGCATCTTTTTTTCCCCAAACTTGAAACACGTAATCATTCATTTATTTCATAAACATTTATTGATCTTGGCACTTTTTTGGTTGCTGATGAAAATATCATTACAGAAAGAGAGACTTTGACAATTATTTATTCAGTAAACTAAAATATTTTCTAAATTTCTTAGCCATTTCTCGCAGAGTCAAAAGCAAATTAGACTGTAGGATTTTCTAGGGTATGAACTAGGACTGAATTATATTTGTATCTATCCTCCAATCACTTAGCACAGTCAATAACAGGAGCTCAATAAACATTGCATTTAATCAAAAGGCAGGTAAAGAAGAAGTCTGTAAGAAATATAGAAGAAGTCTCTATTTCTTTGACTTCCCTAGAAAACTAAGAAGCCTGCCTTTTTCTTTAAAAAAAAAAGCTATTATTTATCTATTTTTTAAATTTTATTTCTCTTTAAGTTCCAGTATACGTGTGCAGAATGTGCAGGTTTGTTACATAGGTATACATATGCCATGGTGGTTTGCTGCACTTATCAACCCGTCATAAGTGACAAATTATGGTTGACATTTCCAAGTGATAATTTTACTTAAGTGGCAAAAATGTACCACATAAAAAGATTACATAAGAATGTCTAAGACTTTTCTGAATATGTTTAATCTTACATTTTTCTATTCAGTATGCTGCATTCTGTAAAGTCACTTTCATTTTCACAAAGGTTCAATTATGCACATTTTCTTGGTTAATCTGGCTGCAGAACTGGATGGTTACTTTGCTTACTTCTAAATTGCTAATTTATTGTTTGTGAGCTATTACCTATATAATAATTGTAAGAATTAAACCTTAAAAGGGATTACGAATTAATCTCAGAACACAGACTGGTTCTTCTCAAGTGTAGCTACAGGTATTTATTAAGCCCAAATTCAACCCTCTTCCACAATGTACCTGGATTAGAAAATGTTAAATGGTAAGTAGGACTGACTTCATTCGGAATGGGTGTTAACATTCAGATGTACTAATAAATTCTTGAGGTAGAAAAATATTTGACTGAAAAACTAAAGGCATGTATTTTCTGTGGCTAGATTATTACTCTGATTTTTTTACAGTAAGAACTAATTTGGTATTTAGCCATTATATATGTTGAATGATAGCAAGTGATTAATGAAAACTGAATAAGTAACATAGGGAAACACAGAAATCTATAATTTGCCATCATATTCACAGTGTTAGAGAATGTAAAACGAGGCATCCACCTCAATCCCTAATATACATTCAAAATAGCTTATGTTCATTAAGAAATTTGCCTAAAATAATATGTCAGGAATTCAGATTAACAGTCCAGGATTTTTCCATTCATCTGTACTGATTGTTTTCTTTGTATTTAGCTACACAAAAGATGTCAAAATTGGCCGGGCGCAGTGGCTCACGCCTGTAATCCCAGCTCTTTGGGAGGCCGAGGCGGGCGGATCACCTGAGGTCAGGAGTTCAAGATCAACCTGGGCAACACGATGAAACCCTGTCTCTAGTAAAAATACAAAATTAGCAGGGCATGGTGGCACATGCCTGTAATCCCAGCTACTCGGGAGGCTGAGGCAGGAGAATCGCTTGAACCTGGGAGGCGGAGGATGCGGTGAGCCGAGATCGTGCCATTGCACTCCAGCCTGGGCAACAAGAGTAAATCTCTGTCTCACCAAAAAAAAAAAAAAAAAAGATGTTACAATTACAATCTCCTTCAAGCCTTCAGAAGATTATCTTTGGTTAACCTGCTATGCTGGGGGGAAAAACGGTTTCTCAAACGGGAGTTCACCCTTCATTGGCAGCTTCCCATGGGAATCCAAAGTAGAGTTGAGTGAAGAAAAGAAGCAGATAAAATGAAGGATTGAGGAAAGTAGAACCAGAAATATTAATAGAAAGAAGAGGCTAAATGGAAATTATGGTGACAGGCACAAAAGGATTGTTAAAGCTGAATAAACAAGACTTAGGCTGACAGAAAATGGATTGAGGGTTTCTGAAAAAAGCATATACTCATGCAGAAAGACTAAGCATATCCAACCCCAATTACCAACCAAAAAGAGTCCAGGACCAGATGGATTCACAGCGGAATTCTATCAGAGGTACAAGGAGGAACTGGTACCATTCCTTCTGAAACTATTCAAATCAATAGAAAAAGAAGGAATCCTCCCTAACTCATTTTATGAGGGCAGCATCATCCTGATACCAAAGCCGGGCAGAGACACAACCAAAAAAGAGAATTTTAGACCAATATCCTTGATGAACATTGATGCAAAAATCCTCAATAAAATACTGGCAAAACGAATCCAGCAGCACATCAAAAAGCTTATCCACCATGATCAAGTGGGCTTCATCCCTGGGATGCAAGGCTGGTTCAATATACGCAAACCAATAAATGTAATCCAGCATGTAAACAGAGCCAAAGACAAAAACCACATGATTATCTCAATAGATGCAGAAAAAGCCTTTGACAAAGTTCAACAACCCTTCATGCTAAAAACTCTCAATAAATTAGTATTGATAGGATGTATTTCAAAATAATAAGAGCTATCTATCACAAACCCACAGCCAATATCATACTGAATGGGCAAAAACCGGAAGCATACCCTTTGAAAACTGGCACAACACAGGGATGCCCTCTCTCACCACTCCTACTCAACATAGTGTTGGAAGTTCTGGCCAGGGCAATTAGGCAGGAGAAGGAAATAAAGGGTATTCAATGAGGAAAAGAGGAAGTCAAATTGTCCCTGTTTGCAGATGACATGATTGTATATCTAGAAAACCCCAGTGTCTCAGCCCAAAATCTCCTTAAGCTGATAAGCAACTTCAGCAAAGTCTCAGGATACAAAATCAATGTACAAAAATCACAAGCATTCTTATACACCAATAACAGACAAACAGAGAGCCAAATCATGAGTGAACTCCCATTCACAATTGCTTCAAAGAGAATAAAATACCTAGGAATCCAACTTACAAGGGATGCGAAGGACCTCTTCAAGGAGAACTACAAACCACTGCTCAGTGAAATAAAAGAGGATACAAAGAAATGGAAGAACATTCCATGCTCATGGGTAGGAAGAATCAATATCATGAAAATGGCCATACTACCCAAGGTAATTTATAGATTCAATGCCATCCCCATCAAGCTACCAATGACTTTCTTCACAGAATTGGAAAAAACCACTTTAAAGTTCATATGGAACCAAAAAAGAGCCCGCATCACCAAGTCAATCCTAAGCCAAAAGAACAAAGCTGGAGGCATCATGCTACCTGAATTCAAACTATACTACAAGGCTACAGTAACCAAAACAGCATGGTACTGGTACCAAAACAGAGATATAGATCAATGGAACAGAACAGAGCCCTCAGAAATAATGCCGCATATCTACAACCATCTGATTTTTGACAAACCTGAGAAAAACAAGCAATGGGGAAAGGATTCCCTATTTAATAAATGGTGCTGGGAAAACTGGCTAGTCATGTGTAGAAAGCTGAAACTGGATCCCTTCCTTACACCTTATACAAAAAGTAATTCAAGATGGATCAAAGACTTAAACGTTAGACCTAAAACCATAAAAACCCTACAAGAAAACCTAGGCATTACCATTCAGGACATAGGCATGGGCAAGGACTTCTTGTCTAAAACACCAAAAGCAATGGCAACAAAAGACAAAATTGACAAATGGGATCTAATTAAACTAAAGAGCTTCTGCACAGCAAAAGAAACTACCATCAGAGTGAACAGGCAACCTACAAAATGGGAGAAAATTTTCACAACCTACTCATCTGACAAAGGGCTAATATCCAGAATCTACAATGAACTCAAACAAATTTACAAGAAAAAAAAACCCCATCAAAAAGTGGGCAAAGGACATGAACAGACACTTCTCAAAAGAAGACATTTATGCAGCCAAAAAACACATGAAAAAATGCTCACCATCACTGGCCATCAGAGAAATGCAAATCAAAACCACAATGAGATACCATCTCACACCAGTTAGAATGGCAATCATTAAAAAGTCAAGAAACAACAGGTGCTGGAGAGGATGTGGAGAAATAGGAACACTTTTACACTGTTGGTGGGACTGTAAACTAGTTCAACCATTGTGGAAGTCAGTGTGGCGACTCCTCGGGGATCTAGAACTAGAAATACCATTTGACCCAGCCATCCCATTGCTGGGTATATACCCAAAGGACTATAAATCATGCTGCTATAAAGACACATGCACACGTATGTTTATTGCGGCTCTATTCACAATAGCAAAGACTTGGAACCAACCCAAATGTCCAACAACGATAGACTGGATTAAGAAAATGTGGCACATATACACCATGGAATACTATGCAGCCATAAAAAATGAAGAGTTCATGTCCTTTGTAGGGACATGGATGAAATTGGAAATCATCATTCTCAGTAAACTATCGCAAGGACAAAAAAACAAACACCGCATATTCTCACTCATAGGTGGGAATTGAACAATGAGAACACATGGACACAGGAAGGGGAACATCACACTCTGGGGGCTGTTGTGGGGTGGGGGGAGGGGGGAGGGATTGCATTAGGAGATATACCTAATGCTAAATGACAAGTTAATGGGTGCAGCACACCAGCATGGGCACATGTATACATATGTAACTAACCTGCACATTGTGCACATGTACCCTAAAACTTAAAGTATAATAATAATAAAATTAAATTAAATTAAATTAAATTTAAAAAGGCTCATATATATTCTGACTTATTTTTATCAGTCCAATATTATTTATCTTTTCATAATGTCGTAATCTCATGGGAAAGAAGACATAGAAATTTAAGGTTTAAAAACTTACCTCTATTAATGAGAAATCCTGTGAACTGATGTGTGGATTTTATTTCCTTTATCTTTGTTTATTTTGCTTTAGTTTTTATTTTTGCTTTAAATTAATCAGTCACTGAACATATTTTTAAAAGGACTAGTTCAGTGTTTCCCAGCCATTGCTTCACAGACCAAAGAAGCGAGATATGTCTCTAATGTTCACTCCTGGCATCAATAGGACCAAAATAATACAAATCAAAAATTCTTGATATAAATTCTATTTCTAAATACTGTCCTAAATTTCCCCCAAAATTTCAAAGAAACCAGTGAACAGGTTCCAACATACAGAAAATATTTATAAATCACAAATTATTAAACAATTCCTTCAAATATTTGAATTTTTAAATTTCTTCATTTTAAAAATAAAATACCTAGCCAAGAAAGTTGTAACTCAATGATATCACAAGAAGGCATGATTCTTTCTGGAGTATTAAATCCTATTTTATATCACATAAATGTATAGAATAATGTTTACTTGGCTTTATTGAAGGTGTAGTACTAAATTTGAAGATAACAAAAATACAATTAAAAATAGTCCTTTATGATAGAAGCCTTTCTAGTATCTATTCTATTCCCTGATAGTTCAAAAAGAAAACCAAATAGAATTTAATTATTTTATAACTTAGAATAAACATTGAGTCTCATCTATTATACTGTCTTTGTAAGAATTGAATTCAAAACTATTTTTAGTTATTTTATTACTTTTGTTGGCATCACATTTTGAGTTTTTACTTCTCTTGTCATTATAAACCTGCCTTTAAAAATTTCCTCTGCACTCTATTTTGTTACTTATGATCACTTCAGAGCTAGAAAATCAAATGAACAGATTGTATGTTAAAGTAATATCACTATGTCTGTGGTTGAAAAAATGCATAGTTCCAGGCTAGGGTTTTGTGACAGCTACATTAGTAACTCAAATATTACCCCTATTTCTTAAATTGTGTCTATGTTCTCGAGGACTGAGATTTTATTTTACTTCTGTTTGAACATTCATCTGAAATATGCTGAAAAATGTGCATTGTACACAGTTTTTTTTTAAATCAAAGCAATCTGGCACTTAAAAGTGTTCATTTCAGAAAATTTACATTGTAAAAGCCAATAGTTAAATTTGGAGGAGGGAGGAAAGAAGTGTAATGGTAATCTGTTCCCATCTGAAGATAGAATTATCCTTCACGGTTGAGTGGATATAATTTGCCATCATATAACTCTCATGACAAATAGTGCCTTCAGGCAATGTGGCTGTAATAATTGTTCAATTACATACTTTTAGCTTTCAAATGACCAAAGCCATTATTATGCATCCTATTAACAGATATACAGGCATATACTAAGCACATGGATAAAATATGGGTTTTTTGAAGGATTAATTTAGCTTTGAAAATAAGCTATAATTATCTGTAATTTTAGTAATTGTAATTTAATTTCTTCTAATCTAATAATGATAATTACCCTCTAATCAAACAATTTTACCAAATGTAATTCCTGTCATCCAATCGAACTATAAGACTGATTCTTATCTAATTTAATAAAACTAGTAAAAAAAGGTATTTATTTTTTAGAATAAGAGATGAGTATTTTAGCAACAAAATATCTTGGGTTTGAAACATGTTGACTATATGTAGGACGCTTTTATGTACACAGAAGTTCAAGGTTCTTGAGTAATGGTCTTTTTATAAACTCATTTTATTGATCATATATGTTTCATTTCTAAAAGCATTATTCAGATCTACAAATCACTCCGTAGTGAAGAACATTGTTGTACTGAGTGTAACTTTAGTTTTATTATTATCCCTTACATGTAGAACACGGAAAGAAGTTTGTTTTATATTTATCATACCCTCATTGGAAGTATTAAGTTGATTATACTATACTTGTTTTTTAAACAAGAAATGTTTCAAACATAAAACTGTATTTCCATAGGAATAATATCATTGACTATTGAACTTTAAACAAAATTGGAATTGGGGCAAAGAACTAAACAAAAATACAGTCAATACCTTCTTGATAAGGCAAAGGCTTTGTTTCTGAGGCTCCCAAGCTCTGTGACTAAGTTTTTTAATTAAAAAAATTTAAAGCAAAGTGGGACATGATTGTTATATAGAAAAACCTTTCTAATAGTTCTGTGACTCCTAGATCTTCAATGGATATTAGATGGAATACCCAGGGAAACAAGCAAAAGGTGAATTTTTGAAAAATACCTCCAAGTTTACCACTCAGCAATATTACCCTCTAGATTTGTGTCACTTGCATGTGGAGTGCGTCAACTTATTGCCCAGTAGTATGTTATCCATTATATACATTTCAAAGCATTTCATATCAACTATCTCATTTGGGATATTTAATCATTCCTCTTACCTAGGATTTAAAACTCTGATATCGAACTGGGTTTATAAAGCTGTTTTATTTTTTTCATAAGGATTATTTTTCTGAAATTCAGGTAAGAGCCCTTCAGTTTTTGTTTGTTTGTTTGTTTTTTGAGAATGAGTCTCACTCTGTCACCCACGTTGGAGTGCACTGGCACCATCTCAGTTCACTGCAACCTCCATCTCCCAGGTTCAAGCAATTCTCCTGCCTGAGCCTCTCGAGTAGCTGGGATAACAGGGTAGCCCTTCAGTTTTAAATGTAACAGATTCATAAGTTCTTTGGAAAGAATTGTGATCGGTGAGTTAAAACACAAAAGAAGGTTCATAAATGTTCTCAACACAAAAAACTGAAAAGTATTTGAGGTGATGAATATGTTAATTAGTTGATTTAATCATTCCATAGTATAAACATATCTGAAAACATAAGATTGTATCCCATAAATATAGGCAATTAGTGTTTCTCAAATAAAAAAAGAAAATATTTTATTTAAAAGGCAGAGACAAGCACATTCTCAGGAAAATAATTCCTGGTATTTCTTCTGTGATCTAAATTTTAAAGTAAGAATTTAAATTTTGTAAAAAATAGATTTCCCAAGCCAAGCCACCTGCCCACCAGTTCTGCTTCTCCCCAAAGCATGAACCAGCTCAGTGCCCAGCCCATAGAGGAGCTTCCCCTGAGCAAGGACCAATCTGGCACACTACCTCCAGGGAAGTGACATCTAAGCCAAGTCATTGGCTGACCAGCTTCACACTTTTCTTGAACATGAATCAGCCTGGCATTCTATCCCAAGGGGAGCAGTACTTGAAGTGAGCTGCAGATCAACCAGCCCTGTGCCTCCCCAGAGTGCAGATGAGCCCCGTGTCCAGCCACAATGGGAGCAGCACCCAAACATAGCCTCCACCAAATCAGCCTTGATCTTTCCCCAGAGCACAGATCAGCCTGATGCCCGGGCCCTAGGGGTGTAGTGCTGCACCCAAATGTCCAGGCTTCCCGAACTTCCTTTCCCTGGGAAAGAGTTCAGCCCAATGCCCCATGTCCATGGGAGAAGAGCCCAAGTAGGCAGTCTAGCCACAGAAAAAGCCTCTGCAGCTTAAGCCACTGAGACACTTGCAGATACCCCGTGCACATATATTGGAAGAATTAATATTCCTAAAATGTTCATACTATCCAAACAATCTACAGATTCAATGCAAGCACTATCAAAATACCAATGACATTATTCACAAAAATAGAAAACAATTCCAAAAATTTGTATGAAATACAAAGAGCCAGAATATCTGAAGCAACCATGAGCAAAAAGAAAAAAAGATGCAGGCATCATAATATCTGGCTTCAAAATATACTACAAAGTTATGGAAACCAAAACAGCATGGTACTGTCATAAATGCAGATACATGGACCAATGGGACAGAATAGAGAGCCAACAAATAAGTCACGTTATTTATATCCAAACCATTTTCAACAATGGCTCCAAGACACTAGAGTGGGAAAAGGACAGTCTCTTCAGTAAGTGGTGCTGGAAAAACTGGATATCCATATGCAAATGAATGATACCAGATGCCAATTTCTCACCATGTACAAAAATAAACTCAGAATAGATTAAAAAATTAAATGTAAAACCAGAATCTGTAGAACTACTAGAAGAAAACTTAGAGGAAATGCTTAAGTATAATTGTCTGGGCAAATATTTTATGATTAAGTCCTCAAAAACACTGGCAACAAAGGCAAAAATGAACAAATGGGTTCATACTATAAAGCTTTTATATAAAACTATAAAACTTCTGCACAGCAAAGAAAATAATCAATAGAGTGAAGAGACAACCTGAAAAATGGGAGAGCATATTTTTAAACTAGTCATCTGATAAAAGATTAATATCCAAAATATGCAAGGAATTCAAACAACAAATAACAAATAATAATAAGAATTTTAACATGAAAAAAGACTTGAATAGAAATTTCTCAAAGGGAGACATATGAATGACCAACAAGTATATGAAAATTTCTTCACCATCACTCATCATAAGGAAAATGAAAATCAAAACCCCAATGAGATACCATCTCACCCCAGTTAGAATGGCTATCATAAAAAAACAAAAAAATAGCAAATCCTGGCAAAAATGCCAAGAACAGGAAACAATTATATACAGTTGGTAAAAATACAAATTAGTATGTTATTAGAAAAACAGTATGGAAGTTTCTCAATAAACTAAAAATAGAACTACCATGTCATCTAGCAATTCCACTACTGGATTTAGAATTGAAGGGAAGGACATCAGTATGCTGAAAAGATATTTACATTCCCATGTTTTATATAGTACTATTCATAATAGCCAAGAAATGGAATCAACCTAAGTGTCCATCAATAGATGAACGCACAAAGAAAATGTGGTATATATACACAATGGAATACTATTTAGCCATAAAAAAGAATAAAATCCTTTCATTCACCACGATATGAAAGAGCCTGCAGGGCATTATGTTAGGTAAAATAGGTACAGAAAAATTAATACTTCATGCTGTCATTCACATGTGGAAGCTAAAAGAGTTTATATCATGGAAGTAGAGAATAGAATAGTGATTACTAGAGGCTGGGAAGAGTAGAGGGAGAAAGAATAGGGAGAGGTTGGTTAACAAAGATAAAATTATAAATTACACCTAAATGGGAGTAATAAGTTCCAGTGTTCTATAACACTGTATGGTGACTACAGTAAATAATAATTTATGGTATATTTTCAAATACCTGAAAAGGAGAACTTTGAATACTTCCATCACAAAGAAATAATAAAGGTTTGAGGTGATATATATGCTAATGACCCTGATTTGATCATTACATATTGTATTCATGTACTGAAATATCACACTCTACCCCATAAATATATACAATTATGTGTCGACTATATATATACATAATAAATAGCCAGAATTCAAATTGTCTTTTCATAAAGATTTAAATTACTTTTCAAAAAAACATTATAGGATATCTTTACAATTGACTGATATAATCTGATACATTAGATCTTTGCCATTTTTTTATTCTTTAAGTAGGCTATTTTACAACTCTAGAGATAGAAGCTTTAACTTGTAGAAACTTGTAGAAAATAGAGATTAATACAAATAATTCCTGACCATAGAAATGCAAAATGTGTCAGTGGAATGCAATTGATTATTGCTGTGTGGATACTGAGCAAATTTTCATTTGTAAATTTATTTTAGCATTCCTTTCTGACAATAAATGTTTGAAACTTGAGTTCTTTTTTGATCTTACAGCATATCCCACTGGCTCTCTCATTAATTAATTAGTTAAGAAATGTTTGAAGCATGCTATTATTAAGAATAACAATTCTCTTTGTCTAATATTTACTAAATCAATATTTCAATAACTAATTTATCTAAATTGCATATAAATATATTATGGGCTGAATTGTGTTCCTCAAAAATTCAGGCATAGAATTTCTAATCCTCAGTAGCTCAGAATGTGACAGTATTTGGAGAACCTTAACATGGTAATTAGTTAAATAAAGTATGTAAGACTTAATAAACTTTGATTGGTATCCTTATAAGAGAAGGAAATTTAAACACACAAAGAGACACCAGGTATGCATTCAAACAGACAAAAAGCCATGTGAGAAAACAGTTAAAAGGGGGCTATCTAAAAGCCAAGGAGAAAGGTTTGGGAAGAAACCAAACCAGACACCTAGATCTCGGAGTTCTAGCCTACAGAACTGTGAGAAAATAGATTTGTATTGTTTAAGTCACGCAGTCTGTGGCATTTTGTTGTGGCATAAATATATATATATATATATATATATATATATATATATATATATATATATATATTTAAGAGGCATATATATATATATATATATTTAAGAGGCATATATATATATAGATAGATTTATAAGATCACTGTGTAAAATATTAAAATCACTCTAAATGCCCATGAGTAGAGGTAAATATAGAAATATTATGGTATATGAATACAATGACATACTATTGAACATGTTAAAATTAGTGGAATAGGTTTATATTTACCAAGATGAATACATATAAAGAACAAAATATGAAGTGAAAATACACGTTGTACGATGGTTAATACCTGGTTAATACCATTAGTGTATATTTCAAAGATATAAATACAAAAACCCAGTTGTATATACTGTTCACTAGTATACATAAATATATAGTATATTATAAAATATTAAATCATAAGTATAAAATATTCGTAAGAGTGGCAATGTCTGATAATAATGGGAGGAGAACTGGACTGAAGTTAAACAATGAGGTTTATTCAAAGTTACTTATGTTAAATACATATAAATCATAAGATACAAAATGTAAAATGCTTTCATTAATATGAAAATAATTTGATTAATCCTGTGACATGATATTATAGGTGTTTCTTGCAGCTTTCAACATAGTTTTTTCTGAATTTTTTAGTGAATATAAAGACATAAAATAAACACTAAAAAATGATTTTATTATGTAGTTTTAGGAGCACTGCAACTTTCCACAGTGACTGAAAACTAAGATATAATTGGAGAAATCGCCACTAAGTCTTAAATTTTCGGTGAGTATGGCCCTGTGCTATAGGCTATTTAAACGTAATTGACATCAATTAAAATATAATTCATAAGAAAAGATAAATGGCAGTGTGACATTACTTACAATCGAATGACCATTATTCAGAGCATTTTCCGAAAATGTGTTTTGTTCATTTGCATCTGCCATTTTTTGAGAGTAGAAGTTTATTTCACTAATTTCTATTCTGGTCGGATTGCTTTCTGAGTGTAAAGACAAGCTTTGCTAAAATGCATAGATAGGTAGGAATTGTTGAACAGAAGGATTAGTCCTATTGGGAATTTCACAGCTAGATTCTATGAGGTAAGCACATGACTTCTAAATTTCTCATGGATTAAAGTAATGCATGTGATTCACTAAACTTTTCTTGAAGTTTAAAATTAGAGTTGATCTTGCTTAAAATGCAAGATTTGCAATCTACCTTAAAGTAAGGTGGTATTGTAGTAATTTACCAACCTTTATAAAATCAATATAGTCATTTCTAGTTCATCCAGCTCTCACAAACTTTGCATTTTTGACATTTTTGCAAAATTATCTCCTACCATCTCTGTAGTAATTCGCATTGATTGCAATGCACTTGATCAGAGACAAAGCAATAAACTGCAGGCACCGATGATGCTAAAGTCAGCAAATAAGCCAGTTATGGTTTAATTTTCTATTTTTGCTTTTTCATACCTTTTTTAAGTTTTAAAACAGCAAAATTTTGTGCTCTGGAATTTAGAAAGCATCTTCACACCAGGCTTGGCTAAACCATCTAAGCTAACTTCATTATCCCAAATGTTAATAATTGCATTTCAATAATAGCTTTCATTAAAGTACCTCCAGGCGCTTAACACTCATCAATTAAGGTACAGCACGCCCCTGTGAAGCAGGTCAGGATTATTATATCCTCTGAGACACAATGAGGTTGCTGACTGAAGGTCATGGAGCAAATTAACAACGAAGTAAGTAGTAAAAGAGCCTCAGTTCCAACTAAACTCTTGCTTTTTCTCTTAGTATTATATTTGATTTTCTAAATGCTGTCTGCATTTTATTTGCCTTCAATTTTAAATGATATAGAAAGTCAGTATTTCAAATATTGTAAATTTAAAATATATAACTATAGGTAGCTTTACCAATTCTGATCTACACAAGGTTGATCAGTTAATGCCAAAATTTTAAAACACTGCTTGGGTTTTATACTTTCTGCTTAAGAAAATGGTTCTAAGACATTCGTATTTTAAACACTAATGCTAACATTTACCCTTAAATATAATTTTCTCATAAATCCACTAAGTAACATTATACTTATCTATGGGTTAAATTGTTTCTTATACTTCGTCTTTACCTACAGAAGCCAAGTCAGTAATCATGGTTACACATAATGAATCACCGTCATTCCCCGGCAGGAGCTAACATGAGTAGCAGATAAATAAATAAATGTTTTTTGATTGACTGTTTGGCAGTACCTACTTGGAAAATGGAACACTAGAACAGGGTACAGAGAAACTCAGCTGGAAAAGGACTGATAAAGGGATGCTAAAATGATGAAAAGTTTGTAGAGACATTCATACGTACTCAGGCTTAGGACTTGTGAGTTAGGAAAATGAACACTACGGAAGATATATAATTTATTAAACCAAGAGGTGTGTGTCGAATGTGTTCAGAGTCTTAAAATAGTAGTATACCATACCTTGAATCTTGAAAGAGGTATCTTAGAATCATTGGATTTATCATTTTAAACAGTAAGTAATAATCATATGATGAAATAATATGATATGGATTATATAATAATTTATTGGACTGTAGATGTTTCAGAAAAACAACACTGTTATTAAAGCTACTGTTTATTTAAACACATGTCATTTGGCTTATGTATAAAGCTTCTATCTTGAAAGCTACATATTAAATATTCCATTTATCTACCATGATTATTTATATAGACCACCTAACTGATTTGAAAAAAAATCACTTGGTCATTGATTATTTTGAGGCAAAGATGTCCCATTTTCCCTGAGAACTATGATGATATGTTGCATCA
Organism: Homo sapiens; assembly: GCF_000001405.40. Classification (NCBI taxonomy): domain Eukaryota; kingdom Metazoa; phylum Chordata; class Mammalia; order Primates; family Hominidae; genus Homo; species Homo sapiens. The sequence continues at coordinate 127,622,621 of NC_000023.11, forward strand.
ACAAACTCGCAACTTCTGTATCACATTTCTGTTATGCGAAAGAAAGCTATATGTGTTTAGTGGTTAAATATAGAGTTATGGATGTGAATAAACAAACTTTGAATGTTTATTCAGTTTAAATATCCGCTTAATTCATTTAAAATATCCTGAATGACTTATTTTCCTCTCTTGGGGGATTCGGTGCGCTATTGATATTTTTTGTCTTAGCCTTTTCATTCATTCTAAATCAGCAAAGAAAGGGGAAAAACTTTAGCACGAAAAAATGAAAAGGCAGGAAACCTTAATTCAGAGGATGATATTTATCTTAGATACACCCTACAGAAGACAACTTTAGTAATGAAGTGATTTGGTTCCTAAAAGTCAATTTTACCCAAGATTGGTTTCATAGTACTCAGTGAAAGGTTAGTCACCTTAGGGGAACCTGGGCAGTCTAGGAAACTGTATAAGGAGAACGTGACAGGCACTGGACTCTGTATAGTTCTCCACTAATAAGCATCTGATATCTTACAAACTGCCTGTTCATTATTTCCCAGTTAAACGGCAGGTTGGTAACGATCAATGGATGACAATACCTACTATTTATATCTTGTTTAATTTCATGTAGCAAGTTATGACTCACATTTTGTGGGCCAACAAATATAAAGAAACTATGGAAATAACCCTAAACATTATTTCTTTTTTTTTTAATAGCAAATAGTTTATTGGTAAGTACATGGTTTCAATGGGAGTAATAAATTCACATGAACAGGAGACAATAATCAACTCAAAAGAATAAATGCTTACTAATCATCAGAAAATCTGTGGCCATTAGCGCTGGCATGTAAAAATTCAAAATCACTCAGAGGCCAAATCTGGAATCTGTAGCATTCTGTAGATTATCACATTTTAACCAAACATGACCCACTGGCACCATAGGTCTGTTCTATAATTCGCTCAATTTTTAGGGAAATCGCAGGGCTTCCAGAAAAAAAAAGTAGAGCATGTCTCAAAGCGTATGTGGGTGATCCATAATTTCAGGAATCCTCGGGCCGCAAAGAACCCTGAAGACCCTCAACCAGGACACAGGTGACCTTAAAAAATATTACCTTTTGAGCTTTGTTTATTTAAAGAACTGTGATATTGAAATATAATATGTTTTGTTTTTAAACTAGTCTGTGGTGAGGGCACATGTAAATAATGAAAACCTACAAGCCATTTCAGAAGTTGAGGAGATCCTCAATAGGAAGCTTACAGCAAGTGCAGGTTTTCATTTTATACTGCCTGCCAGTTATGCTCAAACTAGTGTGGGCTGAGTAAAGGACATGAGTGAGAAGGCATTGACTACTGCTAATTCAGAATGATGTTTAGAACTGTGTTTTTATGCTAGTTTTGAGGCTGTTATTTTTTAAGTCCAAAGAATGCAAAGAAGTATATCAAGAAGAGGTACATATTAAAATAGGGGAGTGATAATTAGATTTGTTTATTCTTTAATAAGACCCAACTTTAAATTATGCATTCTTTTTGGGCCATCACATGAAGATAAAATGAGATAATACAAGTTCCATTAAAATCATATAATTGACAAATTCACTCATATTTGTCTTTCTGACTCCATTTGAATTTAAGTGAAAAAAAGTGGTATAAAAAATAATAAAAAGAGATAGAGCATTTCCCCAACAGGAACTGCTGAGAATGTATCTACCAATATTGCAATCTTCATTTTATTTCAGAACTCTACAGCACGTATAGTTGAGTTTTTTCAGAAATAGAAACTTAAAATATAAAAATACAGAGATGTAATACAACTGCTTGGGCAAAGTTCTAATAAGTGAAACAATGATTTCCCAAACCAACAGGACTCTTGTTCTGTTAGCTTTTACAGAAAATGCTGCTGATACTTCTGCCAGCTAACCATTTGAAATGACATTTGCAACTTGATAGAATACACACACACACACACACACACACACACACCCACCCTTTAGGAAAGTCAGTGCCTAGGAAAGCGTAATGCTTACAATTGATGCAGCAGAATGCAAAGTGGGAATGTGTTTTCCACAGTATTCTTTGGTACAGGAATTAAAGCAGTTCTGCAACTCCATGAGACAAGCAAAAATTGCCTCTGACTTATATGCTCTCTGCATATAGATGATGCTGATAGTATAGGGCTAAAATTTGACACTGACAGAAATGAAATATGTCTCAGAAAGTGTCTCCCATAGGAAAAGAGAAAAATCAGTACTCAAAATCAGCACACAGAGATGGCAAATCCATGGTCCTTGTCTTTAAAGCACTTATATTTTGGTGAAGGGGAGATATATAGACATGTAAATAACTACTCTGAATACAAGAAAAGATTACTAGGTTCAAAATAAAGTGTGTGAAGTATGGGTCAAGAGAAGTTGTTAATTTTAATTACCATTAGTAGTGATTTCGTTGAAATGGTGGCACTGAAGTAATTTTAAGGAGTCCTGGATATTAGGATTCGGAAGTAATAAGCACATAAGAAGATGAAGTCAGGTATGTGAAGAAGAAAGTGAAGAATGAAAAAAAAAAGGAAGAAAATTTCAAAACATCAGAGAATATCTAAATAAAACAATTGAATAGCAGCATCAAGGACTTGGGTGAGGAAAGCTGACGTGGATTTGTTCTCTGAACGTTCTTTGATGTCCAATCTTCCCTCGTATTCCAAACTTCCCTATTGTTGAGTACAGGGATACCCCATTTCACCAAGCTTAGGGAGCCAGTCAATGAAGGGAGGATGTAAAAGCATGAGGGATGTCAAAGGCTGAGAAAATACGGAAAATGTGGAAACCTGCTGAATTGGGTACAGTGAGAGTCAAGGACACCAGGAGGTTGTAATCTACAGGAAGAAGCATCTCAGTTTGAGCTGCAGATCAGGACAAGTTATAATTGTTGCCACAAGAAAATAGGGCTGCAATGAGGTAAAAGTGATTATCCTCAGAGAAAAGAAAATTAAGGAATTGTGATGCCAAGGTGTTATGTGGAATACGCATGTGAATACAACAATAGTATGTGATCAACCCCATCAAACCCAGTAAGGGCATGTGATGAAATTTAACATATAAAAATGATAAGACATTTTTTAGTAAACTGCGGATATATGAGACTTCCTAAATCAGTAGAAACTATGAACAAATATTTACAGCAAACATCACACTTATCTTTTGCTGTAGAAAAAATATTAGAAACGCGGTATGGGGAAGGGACCTGTGATGAGCAATGCCACTGTGGAGAATGAGAAGGTTGAGGTGTACTTGGATTACAATGTAGGCTTCAATGGAGGAGAGGTAGCTAAAGAAAGGTGATGAAACATGATTGTATATCTAGAAAACCCCATTGTCTCAGCCCAAAATCTCCTTAAGCTGATAAGCAACTTCAGCAATGTCTCAGGATACAAAATCAATGTACAAAAATCACAAGCATTCTTATACACCAATAACAGACAAACAGAGAGCCAAATCATGAGTGAACTCCCATTCACAATTGCTTCAAAGAGAATAAAATACTTAGGAATCCAACTCACAAGGGACGTGAAGGACCTCTTCAAGGAGAACTACAAACCACTGCTCAATGAAATAAAAGAGGATAAAAACAAATGGAAGAACATTCCATGTTCATGGGTAGGAAGAATCAATATCGTGAAAATGGCCATACTGCCCAAGGTAATTTAAAGATTCAATGCCATCCCCATCAAGCTACCAATGTCTTTCTTCACAGAATTGGAAAAAAAACTACTTTAAAGTTCATATGGAACCAAAAAAGAGCCCGCATCGCCAAGTCAATCCTAAGCCAAAAGAACAAAGCTGGAGGCATCATGCCACCTGACTTCAAACTATACTACAAGGCTACAGTAACCAAAACAGCATGGTACTGGTACCAAAATAGAGATATAAATCAATGGAACAGAACAGAGCCCTCAGAAATAATGCTGCATATCTACAACTATCTGATCTTTGACAAACCTGACAAAAACAAGCAATGGAGAAAGGATTCCCTATTTAATAAATGGTGCTGGGAAAACTGGCTAGCCATATGTAGAAAGCTGAAACTGGATCCCTTCCTTACACCTTACACAAAAATTAATTCAAGATGGATTAAAGACTTAAACATTAGACCTAAAACCATAAAAACCCTAGAAGAAAACCTAGGCATTACCATTCAGGACATAGGCATGGGCAAGGACTTCATGCCTAAAACACCAAAAGCAATGGCAAGAAAAGCCAAAATTGACAAATGGGATCTAACTAAAGTAAAGAGCTTCTGCACAGCAAAAGAAACTACCATCAGAGTGAACAGGCAACCTACAGAATGGGAGAAAATTTTTGCAACCTACTCATCTGACAAAGGGCTAATATCCAGAATCTACAATGAACTCAAACAAGTTTTCAAGAAAAAAACAAACAACCCCATCAGAAAGGGGGCGAAGGATATGAACAGACACTTCTCAAAAGAAGACATTTATGCAGCCAACAAACACATGAAAAAATGCTCATCATCACTGGCTATCAGAGAAATGCAAATCAAAACCACAATGAGATACCATCTCACACCAGTTAGAATGGCAATCATTAAAAAGTCAGGAAAAAACAGGTGCTGGAGAGGATGTGGAGAAATAGGAACACTTTTACACTGTTGGTGGAACTGTAAACTAGTTCAACCATTGTGGAAGTCGGTGTGGTGATTCCTCAGGGATCTAGAACTAGTAATACCATTTGACCCAGCCATCCCATTACTGGGTATATACCCAAAGGATTATAAATCATGCTGCTATAAAGACACATGCACACGTATGTTTATTGTGGCACTATTCACAATAGCAAAGACTTGGAACCAACCCAAATGTCCAATAACGATAGACTGGATTAAGAAAATGTGGCACATAGACACCATGGAATACTATGCAGCCATAAAAAAGGATGAGTTCATGTCCTTTTTAGGGACATGGATGAAGCTGGAAACCGTCATTCTCAGCAAACTATCACAAGGACAGAAAACCAAACACCGCATGTTCTCACTCATAGGTGGGAATTGAACAAAGAGAACACATGGACACAGGAAGGGGAACATCACACACCAGAGACTGTGGTGGGGTTGGGGGAGGGGGTAGGGACAGCACTAGGAGATATACCTAATGCTAAATGACGAGTTAATGGGTGCAGCACACCAACATGGCACATGTATACATATGTAACAAACCTGCACGTTGTGCACATGTACCCTAAAACTTAAAGTATAATAATAATAAAATAAAAGAAAATAAAATAAGATAATGTGAATTATTAAGAAAAAAACCACAGTCCTACTCTTAAGTAATTTCTATAGACAGTTCTTCAGCTAGACGGGGAACTATGCCAGAGAAAAACATGAAATACCAGTCATGAAGAAAACAAATAAATGGTAACTATTTAGCTAGATATAAAAATACTATGTCTTTCCTATTTAATTCATTAATCTATATATTATACTTGAAGGCAAAAATTATAATAGTGTATAATGAGGTTTCCAATGTATAGAGATGCAATAGGTAAGACAATTATAATGGTGAAGAAGGTGAGGAGACCTATGTGTTTGTAAAGTTATCATATTTCACGTGGAGTGGTAAAATATTAATCAGAAGTAGACTGTGAAGATTTAAGTATATATATTATATTATAATACCTAAAAAACCTACTGAAAAAAGATATAGTCAAAGAATGAATGTTAAAGGTTAAACAAGTTCAAATAATATAAAAGGAATAAAAAGGGAAACTGAGGGAAAAGCACAGAGCAATTAGAAAACAAATAATAAAATGATAGAACTAAACCCAAACATCAATAATTGCATTAGATGCAAATGTTAAACCAATTAAGAGAAATTTTCAGAATAAAATAAATGAACCAATTATATGTGATATATAAGAAACTCATCTCAGATATAATAATATGAATAGGTTAAAGCTAAAAGAGTAGAAATACATGCGTCATCCAAAGAGTAATCAAAACAAACTTGAGGTAGCTAGATCAATATCAGACTAAGTATAATTTTGAGAAAAGAAAACTGCCAGAGTTATGGAGGGACATAACAAAACAATGATAGGATCAATTTACCAGAAATATAAAACAGTCCTGTTTATGCACAAAACAATAAATCTACAAAATATATTACACAGAAACTGACAGAATAGAAAGGAGAAACAGACAAATCCAAAATTATAGTTGAAGACTTAAAACACTCATTTGAACAGCACCATTAACTAACCGGACATAATTGACATTTATGAATTATTTCAATGCAAGGCAACAGAAAACACATTATTTTTAATAAATAAGAAACTTTTATCAGGATGGGCCATGTCAAAACATACTTTAATATATTTAAAATAATTTAAAGCATACAAATAAAGTTATTAGATGATAACAGAATTAAGCTAAACTGGATTACAAATTGATAGCCCGGGAATCTTCCAAACACTTGGCAGTTAAATGACACGATTATCCACAGTTGCCATGATTGTCTATGACTCTCATGTATTTTATAGGAAAAAATATTGTAAATATAAGGAGTTTAGAAAATTTTCAAGACACAAGGCAGCACACAAAATCAATTGTGTATCTCTATAGTAGCAAAGAACAATTGGAAACTGAAATTTATGTATGTATGTAAATATATATATGTAAATACATAATTTTTATATATATATATACACACACACACACACACACACACCCACACGCACCCACGCACCACACACATGCTCCAAAAAATGAAATGCTTAGGTAAAAATTTAGCAGAATAAGTACAAGGTCTTCATGATGAAAAGTACAAAACACTGATGAACTAAATTAAAGAAGACCTAAATAAACGAAGAGACATACAGTGTTCATGGATTGGTAATCTCGAGATAGTAAGGAATTTTGTATTCTAATTGTGGTGGTGGTGGTGGTTATGCAAATATGCATGTGTTAAAATTAATATAACTGCATCAAAATAGTTAATTTTACTGTAAAAAATTTAAAACAAAAAATAAGCAAAATTATAACTATTATACGTGGTATGGGAAGACCATAAAATAAGCAGACTTTTTATAGAGAAAAGTTGAGGGTACATATATTTGAGGAAGTAATAGTTGAAATAGAATATTTAGAATAAATGGGAATTATCTAGACAAGAAAGAGGAAGAACATTCTGTATATTGGTATAAGCATGTTCAAGGGTATATGGCAAGAGGAAAAATAATGAGAATGAAAGATGCAAAGAAATTTGTGTGGCTAAAACACAGAAAGCCAATTTTGATTGGTACAAGATGAGGCTGCAGAGATAGGGAGAGGGCAGACCATAGACTTGCAGTCAAGTTATTAAATTTTGCATTGCTTGTGATAAAGATAGGAAAACTTTGAAACATTTTAAATATAGGAAAATGAGGGGAGTAACGTCAAAAGTCAGATTTGCATTTCTAAAGATAGTTCTTCCTGCATTATGAATAATAAATTGGGAGGAAGCTGACTAGACAGAAAAAGAGCAGATAGAAATCTATTAAAAATGTCCAGAGCTAAATGGATTTGAAATATATTTGGGACTTGCTTTTTAGTAATGCCAGACTACATAATTTAACTACCACTGATAACTATGATAGCCAAACAAAACATACTTTTAAAATGTTCTTGATGATATTGGAGAGCTAACAAGATAATAAATAATTATCAATACATGATCCAGAAGAGAGGATGGAGTCCCAGGAAAAGAAGCCTGATAGTTGAAGGCCACTTTTCCTGCAGATAATTTACCAATATAGGACAGGGTGACGGAGAGACAAAAAAAGCCTTTAACAATTTTGAAAGCCTTGTGGTACCAAAGCACAGGAATTTGAATCCGGCACACCAAGAGAGGACATCTGATAAAGTCCTCACAATATATTTAGAATGGAATGACTCTTAGGAGTAAATTAGAACCAGATATAGACAAACACTTGCAGGGAATTCAGACCACTCTAGCAACTGAATCTCAATCTCCAAAATTTATTTCAGATACTTCTAGATTACTAGTGCTTCTAGTTATCTCTTCAAAAAGACAACATAATCAGCTTCAGATTATTTCTATATACAATTTCCAAAACGCCATTTCTGGTGAATATAACAAATGAGGACGTTAGAAAACATGACTAAACACTAGCAGAAAGAGCAGAAAATAGAAATCAGACACCAAGGGCCTTCAGATAACAAAATAATCAGACATAGACCAAAAAATAACTATTTTTACTATGTTAAAGTAAATTAAACAAAAACGTCAGTAATTAAGCAGTTAATGAGAAATTCTTTTTAAAAAGAGAAACCAACAGGAAATTATAGAGTAGGGAAATATAATAATTAAAATCAAGACCTCCTAATAGCAAGAAAGCCAGGGAAACATATCGTGATTTCACATTCCTGCATCTCTCTGATCTCTTCCAATAAGGTCCTGTTTGCTAAACCCAACTCAAAGCCACAGGTTAAGGGAATCATGTTGACGTAGTTCATATATGTCACTCACCAAAGGCAGAGAAAAATATGGGGAATGAATCTGAAGAGGTAAATGGAAGTTACCCAGCAGAGGACAAAAGACAGAGTAAATTATACCTAAGGATTTCTAAAAACTGATGAAAGCTATCAAGATCAATATTCATGAATCCCAAGCAGAAATTTTGTATTTTTTTAAAAAAGGATACTCACACCTAACTTACCATAGTAAAACTGCTGAATAACTAAGACAAAGAACAGTGAAAAAAATAGATGACTTCCAAAGAAACAATCATTTAAATGTTGGCTGACTTTTCAGCAGAAACAATGGAAGTTATAACACTCTGAAATTTACGTCTTTAATGTGCTTTAAGTTAATCATTTCCAACTTAGATTTATATACCAGTGAAAAATAGTATACAAGATAATGTGAAATAAGAAATTTTCACAAAAACAAAAGCTGAATAAATATGACATCAGATGTGGACTACAGTTCATAGTAAAGTGTGTTCTTCAGTAAGCAAAAAGTAAATACAGATTGAAAAATAAAATAAAATAAAAACACTGCCAGAAGGAAGGTGAGACATGCAGGAGGTAATAAAAGACACAGAAAAAGTAAAGGCATTGATACATAGAAACAAAAACATATATAATAAAACAGCAATAATGCATCCAGTGGTGAGTTTTAAAAATATATATTATATATATTTTTATATATGTATAATGAAATATATAATGATCAAATGGAATATGTATTAGAAGGAGTAAATGAAGTTTAATTCTTTTAAGATTTTTGCCTGGGAAAGATTAAAAGTACTAACATTACAGTTTGATAAATCACAACAACTTCACCTGTTTTATTCAGAGTTGCATTCAATCTCTCTTCCATATTGCAATAGCATTGAATAAAGTTTTTCTTTCCTGTTTAACTAAATATGGAGCAACTTACCTTTGACACTTTTAATGATCAGATTTATCACTGGACCCTGATCTCTCACCCAGGACCTCAGGCGCACCTTTGAAGCCTTTGTCTTCACTCCTGACTGATTAATCAGAGATCCATTGACGAGTCCTTCTCCTGATCCAGTTTTCTGAATGACATCCACTGAAGCACCACCGTGAGGACAGATTTTGATTCTCAGGATTCTGAGTATACTTTTGAGGCTTGGATAGAGTCCTAGGCTTTTTTTTTCTTTTTGGAAAGGTATTGTTGGTTAAGAATATTGGAAATTCTCATTGAGAGATCATTTGATCAAATTTCAGTTCTTCAGTATTTAGAGTACTATTTCTTAGTGGTGATTTCATTTTGATTCTTTTTTTGGCACAATCTCATAGAGATATTTTGAAGAATAATTTGGAACTTAAATGTCCTTTTTCAACTTTATTGATGTATAGTTCAAAAATAAAAAAGTACATGTTTAAAGTGTACAATTTAATGTGCTGACATATGTATACACTGCAAAATAATAACCATAATCAATCTAATTAACATATCTATTATATTACATAATTGCCTTTTTCTTTTCTTTTTTCTTTTTTTTTTTTGAGACGGAGTCTTGTTCTGTCACCCAGGCAGGAGTGCAATGGCACAATTTCGGCTCACTGCAACCTCTGCCTCCCTAGTTCAAGCGATTCTCCTGCCTCAGCCTCCCGATTAGCATGTGACTATAGTTAATAATACTGCATAGTATACTTGAAATTCAATGGCCTCTTTGGGAAACTTGAGGTCTCCCTAAATGGGCTCACTTAAAACTTCTCTACTGCCTTTACCTTCATTCCTCATTCTCCTTTTATCACCTTAAATATTCTCTTCAGTTTATTTAAATTGTATATGACATGTCTAACTTCAACACCTCTGCCTCCTCCATCCCTCTGCTCATCTTTGCCAGAACTTTCCATTCCTACTCTGATCCCTCAACTATCCAAAAATAGTTTATTTTATTTTGATGCTTCCCTGAAAGCTCTCTTTTTCAATCTAATTTTTATTGTTATTTTTTGTGAGTACATTGTAGATGTATATATTTATGGGGTACATGAGCTGTTTTCATACAGGCATGCAATGCATAATAATCGCATCATGGAGAATGAGGCATTAATCTCCTCAAGCATTTATCCTTTGTGTTACAAACAGTCCAATTATACTCTTTTAGTTATTTTTTAAAATATAATTAAATTATTATTGACTATAGTCACTGTATTGTGCTACCAAATTGTAGGTCTTAATATTTTTTTCTTCTAAAACCTCTTGTAATCAACTACAACTAAAGTGTTTTTTTCTTCAGTGAAAGGGACTGTCTTAGAAATCTATGAAAGTGACTATGGCCAGCTAATTTGAGACACAAGCCTCCAGTGACATTGCTTAAATGCTCTTCAGACCACGCCACTGGGCTAAGTCAGGATTTCTAGAACTCTAGTGGAGAAATGAATGTGTTCATGAAACTACTAATCCAAGATCAAGCAAAGAAATATTTAATTACCCACGGCTGAATAAGCTGATGCAGGATTATTATGGGCTCTGTTTGGTATATTGATGATGCTGTAATGTTCTGTTTTCTCTTAAGCTAACTTACAATAATCTATTGGATTTTATTCTGTAATTAAAAATTTAACATTTATCTTCTTATCCTAGCCTGATTTCTCAAGAATTTGGAAACCCTTGATGAATATCTTTTTCATGGCAGTAAAATTATTTATATAGTTTTGGCAAGAATCAGTCCTTCTTGAAACAATATAATTGGAAAAAAATGATTAAATAACCAAGTCTTTGATTAGAGTGTCATATTTGAAAATAAAGCATAGACTCAGATATGGTTAAAGAATTTTAAAGAACTGAGGTTGACTTGATGGAGCCAACATTTATATAAAGCCTGTTTGAGTAAATGGACATGATGCCTAGACTGCATATTTCCTAGCCTTACAGCAAAGTAAAGAGACTTTTTTTTTTTTTTTGACAATTCCGTGAAGTCTGGTGGTGAGTTCCTGCCTTGGCTTACAAACCCAAGAGACTTCTCGAAGTCCAATCAGATTCCCCATGAAAACTTTCAGCAAATCAAACTTAAAAATACCTATGTGATTAATTACCATCCTTGCAACAGATATAAATAAGCAGGCCAAATCTGATCAAAACAAACCTATATTTTAAACAAGAATATCTTATTTTAATTTTCTTTTATCAAAAAGAAGTGGGGTGCAAATTGAAATTTTATATTTCAGTAGAAAACCCATCATTATGAGTTATCAAATTCTCGTCACATTTATTACCTTTGAACTATTTTTCACTCCTCTGTAAACTATAGTATACGGTTTTGTTATCTAGCTATCAATTGGACTGGATTCTATCATCTTGAACGTTTTGTCAGTCCTTACAAAATTTTCTTTGTTTTTTTTTTTTTCTTCAGTAGCTGGGTACAACTATACAAGCCTAAATTTCTATTTTTTTTCCTGTCCTCCTGAACTGGTATAACTCAGAACTAAAATCTGACTTCCTGGATCATAACTGATACCCTAGTTTGTCTTTTAGCTGACTTTTCCCATTGGATCTAGAGAAGTCCTGTGAGATGAAACAGGATAACTTTTTATAAATTGCAAAGAACTCACCACCATGCCAGGTTATGTATGAGCAACCTCTGTGCCTGAAACTGCTGCTAAGTGGGCCATTCAGGAACTTTACTAGAAATTTGCACTGTCCGTGCCTTTGTTCTAGGAAATAACCATGGTTGTGGATAAACCTACTAACCTCTTAATGTATATGCCATCACCAAACATTTAAACTGAAAACCAGGAAATCAATTAGATTGCCATTACCATGATCATTACACTCTCTAAAAATGCTTTGAGTATCTAGGATCCTCGATCAACTGTGATTTTGACACAGAAACTCCATTACTAGTCTGGTTCAACAAGTAATCTTTGTTGTTATTTTTATATTTTATAGAAATGTCATTTTTATTAAATACCTGATGGCTAACACCATTCAGAAAATATCCTCTACTGCCAATTATTAACAGATAGGTAAGCTGGTCTTTAATTAACGAAGGGCGACTGAATGAAAAACAGACTTACATTGTACAGAGGAAAAGTAATATCTTATTTCCTTGCACAGGAGGAAGAACTAATAAGGACTCTTTCCTTGTACAGGACAGGAGACTAACAAGAAGAAAATTCTAGTCAGCCTTTTTGAACTCTTCTTCTCTACTAGGTCTCTTTCTTGGCCTGCTGTTCTTGACCTGCCAACTGAATTAGCTTTACCCCACCAAACCAGTATAGTAAGAATATGTCCACCCTTTATAACCTAAGCAAGTTTTTCTTATAGTTTTTTACCCACTGACTCCCTCACTGTGCTCATTGGCTATAAATCCCTATCTACCTATTTCTATTTAGCACTGAGTTCAATTTCTCTCACCTATTACAATAGCCTTGAATAAAGTCTACTGTGTCTGCTTAATTCCCTCTGGTGCAATTTCTTTGATACTTTGTAACTTAAAAGATGTGTAGCTCTGGTCAAATTATTTTATTTCAGTGTGCAGTTTCCTTATATAGAAAATGAGAATAATAATAGTGCCTATACCTTATGTATTTTGTGGGGTTTTTTTCAGAATTAAATAAAATATCTGTAAAATGCTTAAAATATAAAAATGGCACTAGCACATAGTAAGAATAAAAACTTAATAACTGTTAGATATTATTAGGAAAAATCTTCAGTGTCTTATCATGGCCATATACAAAATAAAAGGACAAAAATATAGTAAATAAATACTTCAGCAAGTCACATTTCCTTATTATAATGTCTACTGATAATAATGCATTTTCTTAGCACTGTACTACATACAGAATAGAAATTCATTCAGAGAAAAAAAAACACAACAAAAATTGACTTTTATAGAGTATGCACCAAATGCCAGTCACTGCATTAGTAACTAGGGTTACAATGATGAAAAAGCCTTGTTCTTGGCCTTTGACAAGCTCATAGTCAAGTGGGAGACACAGACGTAAAAAATAAATCTTTACAATTGAAATGGTTTAAATATAAATGACCAACCATATTTTCCTTTTGAAAGAAATCATTCAGGAAACATTAAAATGGAGAATAGCTTAGAGGGCAATGAGATAAACAGAAAGACCAATTAGTTTACTATTGTCATCATTTAGGTAAAGAATAATCATTTAAGTAAAGACAGTAGCAACAGGAATGAAGAGTGAGAATGTGTATCTGAGATACGGTATCATCACATGAACTATTAGAGAAATAAAAGCCTTGGGTAGGGGTATGGCATGATGACAATATTCAAATATGAAGGCCTACCATGTGGAAAACAACTTAGACTAATTTTTTCTTGGTGGTATGTCAAACAATCCAGATTTAAGGAGAAAAGGTTACTGGGAAGCAGAGTTAGGGAAATGAAAAGTTTAATCAGATCCTTCAAGAGACAATCCATGTAATTGTAAGTACTGAAAATAGAGTCTGAGTGAACAATTATCCATAACTGTTATGAACAGTAGTCATATATTTGGCATGGAATGATTCCACAGTACTTCTCCCTTATCATTTGCTTAAGATACACGTCTTATTAATATTTCCTGAAAAGTTATTCTGTTCTTCTTTCTCTATTCCTTTGTGTTAAACAAGGCTATTCTCAATGGTGTGAGTCCTTCCTTCTTTCATAACTTGACTCCCACCTAACTCTCTCACCCGCTTACAAAAAATCAACTCAAAATAGATTAAAGACTTAACTCTGAAACCTGAAACTATAAAACTACCAGAAAAAATGTAGTAAAAATTCTTCAAGTCATTTTTCCAGGAAAGGATTTTTTGGATAAGTGTATTACTCCATTTTCATAATGTTGTGAAGAAATACCCAAGACTGGGTAATTTATACAGAAAGAGAAGTTTTAATGGACTCACAATTACACATGGCTGGAATAGCCTCACAATCATGGCAGAAGGTGAAGGAGGAGCAAAGGTCCATCTTACATGGTGGCAGGCAAGAGAGCATGTGCAAGGAACTGCCCTTTATAAAGCCATCAGGCCTCATCAGATTTATTCACAATCACAAGAACAGCATGGGAAAAACCTGCCCCCATGATTCAATTACCTCCCACCAGGTGCCTCCCACACACCTGGGGATTATAGGCGCTACAATTCAACATGAGGTTTCGGTGGGGACACAGCCAAACCATATCAATAAGACTTCAAGAACACAGAAAACAAAACGGAAAAAAAGATAGATGTTATTAGATTAAGCTAAAAAGCTTCTGCACAACAAAGGAAACAATCAACAAAGACACGATTCAAAGAAAGGGAGAAAGTATTCACAAACTAATCATCTGACAAGGGGTTAATATAAAAAATATATGAGGATCTTGATCAATTCAGTAGCACAAAAAATAGAAATAATCTGATTTTAAAATGAGTAAAAGATCTGAATAGACATTTCTCAAAAGAAGACATAATGAACACATGAAATGAGCAATGAACATATGAAAAAAATGCCCAACATCATTAATCATCAGGGAAATGCAAATCAAAAGCACAATGCAATATCATTCCATCCAGTTAAAATGGTTATTATCAAAGAGACAAAACATAAGAAATGATGGTAAGAATTTGGAGAAAGGGGAACTCATACACTATTGATGGGAATTCAGATTAATGAAACAATTATGAGCAAAATACTAAAAACAGATCTAACGTATGATTCAACAGTCCCAATACTGGATTGGGATCCAGTATCCAAAGGAAAGGAAATCAGTATGTCAAAGAGATATCTAGACCCTCATATATATTGCAGCACTATTCACAATAGCCAAGATGTGGAATCAAACTAAGTGTCCATCAACAGATGAAGAATTTTTTTTAATGTGGTAATATTTACACACTGGAATACTACTGAGCTATAAAAAAGAATGAATCCAGCCAGGCTCATGCCTGTAATCCGAGCACTTTATACCTGTAATCCCAGCACTTTGGGGGGCAGAGGTGAGCAGATCACGAGGTCAGGAGATCGAGACTATCCTGGCTAACACGGTGAAACCCCGTCTCTACTGAAAAACACAAAAAAATTAACTGGGCGTGGTGGCACGCACCTGTTTTCCCAGCTACCCAGGAGGCTAAGGCAGGAGAATCACTTGAACCCGGGAGGTGGAGGTTGCAGTGAGCCGAGATTGTGCCACTGCACTCCAGCCTGGGCAACACAGCACGACTCCATTTCAAAAATAAATAAATTAATCAATCAAATAACAATAAAAAAAGAATGAGTCCTGTCATTTGTGACAACATGGATGAACCTAGAGTACATTGTTCTAAGTTAAACAACTCAAGCACCAAAGTGCCAATACTGCATGATTTCACCCATATGTGAAATCTAAAAAAAGTTCATCTATATAAGTGAAGATAGAATAGAGCTTGATCAATGAGTACAAAGTTACACCTAAATAGGAGGGATAAGTTCCAGTATTCTCTTGCACAGTAGGGTGACTACAGTTAATAAAAATGTATTTGTCTATTTCAAAATAGCAAGACAAGAGGATTTTGAATGTTTTTATCACACAGAAATCTCAAGTGTTTGAGGTTATGGGTAAGTGAATTACCCTGAATTGATAATTATACAATGTGTATGTGTGCTGAAACATCACACTGTACCCCATGAACAGGTACAATTATTACATATCAATTAAAAACAAAACTTTAAAAAGTTATTAAAATGTATGTTAAATGTTTCTTTAAATTATTATATAATCCTAATTTAAAGATAGAAGTTTTAACTCTGATATAATTCTACTCTGCTGTTATTAATTTGATATCTTTTTTAATTTCTTCCAAAACCCCATCTTTGTATACAATTTTCCTTAAAAGTTTCTGATATATTGCTTTATTATGTTATCTAGCAAGAGAGAAAACTTAAGTATACTCTTTAATTTTATTGAAATGTTCTGTTGGGTATATGAGATTTACCATGTGTTACAGACTACATTGGGTCCCCTTCCCTGCCTAAATATAATAATTCTTATATTGAAGGCTTTACCCCAATGTGACTTTATTTGAAGATATGGCTTTAGGAGGTGACTACAGTTCAATGAGGTCATAAAGTGGGCCCTAATCAAATGGTACATGTGTCCTTATAAGAGGAGGCAGAGAAACCAGAGAGTGTTCCTTCTCTTTCCATATACATGGAAAAGATCTTGTGAAGACACAGTGAGAAGGTGGCCATCTGCAAGCCAGGAAGAAAGCTCTCAACCAAAATTGAACCCTTGTTAAACTTTATCTGGGATTTCCAATCTCCAGATCTGGGAGCAAATAAAATTTTGTTACTGAACCCATGAAGTCTATAGCACTTTGTTGGTAGCTTAAGCAGACTACTACACCATGTCTTCCCTTTCCTTTCTTCAATTTTGCTTTGCTTACCACCATAGTCTCTCTGGGTGTTTTATTTTTTGTCTGTCTTCTAAAACTTTTTATATAACTGGAGAAATAAATGAGGAGATTTCCTCTGTCATAGTTCACACACTTTTCCTTTTATCTGTTACATATTTGTGTTGGCTATGTTTCTTTGTATTATTAAAATCTTGTTCATTCAAAAATTAAACAATGAAAACTAAATCAGAAGACAGAAAGTAGTAATACTAGCAATTTGGGCTTCTGGTAGTGTTGCATTGAGAGGGCATGTATTTCTCTCTTGGAAAAACTGGTAATAGAAATTAGTATTGGAAGGCATAGTGTGATCTGCAATAAAGTCAACAGGATTCATAAGGAAGTCCCAGGACAGTTTATAAAGGCAACTACTATAGAGCAGTTTTCGTAGATGCTTTGTAACTTGCTGCCCACTTAAAAAATTATATTTTCAGCCTAAAGTATGCTTCTTTCATTTCTTATAATACCACTATCACAATTATGGCTCGTATTTCTCTCTGGTGTTTTAGATATGGATTTTAATGTATTATGGACAAGTCAATCTCTAGAGGTTGAAACACCTGCTATCAGAATTTTCCACTATTTTTAAAGATAGGCCAGATTCATTGGATACAAGATTCAAATTCTAGATTCACTGAGTAACTGGATAGCTGCCTACTGCCTTCTTTTACCCATCAAAAAAAGAAGAAAATATTGGTTATGTAACTCATACATGTGGGGTACTATGGGGACAGAGGTAAAGAAAGCAACTTTTCCAAGACTAGTGTCGATCTCCAATGAGAAGATTAAAAAAGAATTCCATGTTCTCACTTAATATTTAGGTCTAGTATTCTATCACATTTTTTTCCTGAGACCAAATAACAACCAAGTTCCAATTGATAGCTAAGGTTAGTATGAATCTCAAAAGGATTTTGGAATATGTTAGTTTTCTATTACTGTGCAAAAAATCACAAATGGAGCAGTTTAAAACAATTCCCATTTATTCGCTCATAGTTTTGTGAGTCATAAGTCCAGGTGTGCTCACCTGGTTTCTCTACTTAGGGTCTCAACAAGACCAAAGTCAAATTGTTAGCTGGATGGGCTCTTACCTGTACGTTCTGTGGAAGAATCCACCTACAGTATCACCCAAATTGTTGACAGAATTCAAGCCTTTGCAGTTGTAGTTAATGTAATCTCCATTTTCTTGCTGGCTGGCAACCTGGGACCACTCTCGTCTAGCAGAAGGCAATCTCGGGTCTTTACCTCATGATTCCTTTCTATTAAACAATTGAGAACTTCATGTTGAATCCCTCTTACACTTCCAACCACTCTGAATTACTGTTCTACTATTGTCTAAATAAAACTATCTGTCTTTAAAGGGCAATGTGAAAGGTTAAGCCTAACCAAATAATCTCCCTATATTTAGGTCTAAGTACACTTAATAACACCTGCAAGATCTTTGTCACATAGCATGACATAATCATAAGAGTAACACCTTGGGTGCTAAAGTCATAAAAACTATCTTAGAATTCTATCACACAGAGTAACAAAGAAAGAAAAATTTTAAAAAGCAATAAAGGAGAAAAACAAAGTGAAAGCAAATACAAAGTGAAAATATACTAAAAAATTTAAGATTTTACAGTTTTGGGTATGATAATGTTTTGAAGCAGGAAACATGTATGTATTTGTAAATACCGATAGGATAAGCACAATGTTAAAATATTTTGACGTTGATAAGCATGTAAATCAAGCCTTATTTTCAGTGTAGCATCTGTCAGATAAACTGGTAAATTGGTAACTATTTAGGAAAACATTAATTTATCAACAAGAGAATGAATAACTCCTTATAGTTTAGTGCACAACACAGAATAAGGAGCCAGACCAATATATAGAGACCCAGTTGGTAAATTTGAAATCAATTGAAAATGTAGTAAGTAAAAATGAGAGAAGATAAACTGTCACATAAAATAATAACAACACAATGCATTATTGAAGAGGAGAAATGATGTACATGAAAAAAAAAACATTAAGATAAAAAGTAAGTCATTAGCCGGGACATTTTAATTTTCTTACCAATTAAGTTTATAGAATGTTAATACATTTTCAACATTTAAAAACTACTTTCACACAAGTATTCATGTGAGACATGATACCACGAGATGCTCTGAAATGCCAGATGTAATTGAAAGACTTTACTTAAAAAAAAAAAAATAACTATTTCTTTTTGCAACATATGGGAGGGTGTAAGCTTCACTATGTGATCCATCCGACTTGTGCTCCAAAGAGACAGGTGTTAAATTCCTGTTAAAGGAAGATTTTGTCTTTGTAATTCAATTTATTTTACTTGTATTACTGTAATTGTAATAACACAATATTGTTTAAATCATACTACCCTAAAAGTAGTCTTAACCTTAAAAAAATCAAATTACTAGTTGATATTTCTTGCCTATTATGTGATAAATTTCCCATAACCTTCTCTAAATAACAAAATTTTGGGTATGGGAAACAGATTAATATTTTTCAGGGGTTAGGGGTTTGAGGAAAATGTTAATATAGCAGAAGGTTATTTATTTGGGTTGATGGAACAGTTCTGTATCATGATGGTTGTAATGATTACATGAAACTATACAGGCTACAAAATTTCACAGAAGTATAACAACACCAACAGTATAACGAGTACATGCAAAAACTTATGAGATATTTATGAGGTACATAGTTTATTTAATAGTATTGCACCAATGTAAATTTCCTCCAGGTATTGATAACTGTATTAAGATTTTGTAAGAATTTTTCACTGGGGGAAGCTTGGTGAAGTGTACAGGGGAAATAGGTATACTACTTTTGCAATTTCTATTTGAATCTCAAACTATTCAAACTAAAAATTTAAAAAGACATATATCATCAAGTCAAAACTATATTTTTAAGATAAACACTTAGCAAGTCAGAAAAGACACTGGAAATGTGGGAAGATATTAGTGCCTGGAGTTACTAGAGAGTTTAACAAGGATCTTATTTATTTATTTTTATTTAAAAAATAATTTCAACATTTATTTTAAATCCAAGGGGTACATGTGCCTGTTTGTTACACGGGTATATTGCGTGATGAAGATCGGGATACGATAGAGCCCAGATTGAACCCATCACCCATAAAGTAAGCATAGTAACCAATAGTTTTTTAACCCTTGCCCCTTGCCCTCCCTCCCACCTCTTATAGTCCCCAGTGTCTATATTTGCCATTTTTATGTCCATGAACACCCTCTGTTCACCTACTTTCGATAAGGGAAGGAGTCAAGGAAGTCTTTAACAAAAGGAGGCATTTAAAGAGAAACTTTAAAACATGAATGCAAATAAGGTGAAAAGAATAAGGAAGACTATTCCAGCTAGATGGAGCATCACTGAAAAGATCTTGATGTAAGAAAGCTTGCCATATTCCAGAAATTAAAAGAAGACCAGTAACTTAATTTCAGAGACCTAAGGAGAGAATGAAACAGATAAAATTGAAAAGTGAAACAGAAGCCAGGTCATATAAAGCCTTATTGACCATGGGTATTTTTATTAAGTTTTCACTTGAGTAATGGAATACGATGAATGCTTCAATCATATTTACATTTAAAAATAGCACCCTGGCTACACTGCAGAGAATGAAGTGCAGTGGGGCAAAGATGGAATTCTGAATATGTGTCATTAATGTATCACAGTGATGCAGAGAGTAGATGCTGCTACCTTGAGGTAGAGTGCTGCCAGTGTTAATGAAGAACAATGGTCAAAATTGGAGTATTCACATTTGAAAATATACCCAGGATACATGGTTGGGGCATATGAAATAAAAACATTCTCATTTGGGAAGAGAATAGACAGACAGACTGGAGGGATCTGATGAGAAGCCTCTATTAATCACAAGAAAAGGAAAAATAAGAGAAAACATGAATTTTGGTTTTTAGAATGTTATGAGTTGAGTTTTGAGACATGCAGATATTGAGGTATCTATAAGATAGCTACATAGAGATGTCTGTTAAAAAGTTGAATAATTTAACCTGCACTTAAGACAGAAATATAAATTAAGATACCACTTTGAAAGTTATTGGCACTCTGTTCATAATGAACACAATATTCCTTGTTGAGATCAGATACTTTTTATAGAGTGAGACAGAAGTTCCAAGGTAGAAGTTTGGAATCTATATACTAGGAAGAGGAAGGCAATCAATTAAAAAATTAGAAGAGCCATTGATATCACTCCTTAGAAAGTAATTTACCCTAACTAGATGAGGTCCTGTAGGGAAGACAGGCCTAAATAATTTTCAAGTGCTTCTTAATAAATATCCTGTAACACTTGCAACAGTCAATTTTGTACTATAACAATGCCTGTGTTTTTGAATCATTCCTACAAGTTTCAGAAATTCTATGGTGAAGAGAGAGCATGTGTTGTCATCTTGGTATCCTTGTCAGTTCTTTTCAGAATGCCTTGTAGGTGCTCACTAAACCTATTTCGAATTGACTTTCAAGTAATTTTAATAACAAAGCTATGTGATATTTCAGTTTACAATCCTTCAACCATTATCCAAAGCAGAAAAATTGAATAAAAAATAAAAATAATGATGTATACATAATAAAAATTTGTTCTTTCAGTTGAAAAAGTCAAACTATTTGTTAGTGTTACTTTAGATTTTGTATCTCTCTCCCCATGGTAGACTACTCTGTTATCTAGGTAAAACAGCCACAGTGGAGAGAAAAGTAAGGAAGAAAGGCAGGAAGAATAAAGGGGAGGGAGGAGGAATTGAATTAAGTCTGGCCTAAATCTGTCTCCATACTTGGATGATACAGTTTCGTTGAAAACAGACTCTGTATGTGGTGAACTGTAACCAAACTTGATGTGTAAGCAAGTGTAACTTAACCTAGATGTATACTCTTGTAACCAAGAAATTGAGTCTCAATCTTAGCACTGAATTCTCAGCCAATCCCAGACTGAAAGCTGCCCAGTTGTGCCCAAATAAGACAAACTCAGAACTGCACCAATCGCATAATCCCTGTATGTCATTTCCTGTTTTCTAGTTATAAAAATAGTTTACGACATTGGAGGTAGGGGCATTTTGAACCATCTTAGGC
The DNA here is from genome assembly GCF_000001405.40 of Homo sapiens. Classification (NCBI taxonomy): domain Eukaryota; kingdom Metazoa; phylum Chordata; class Mammalia; order Primates; family Hominidae; genus Homo; species Homo sapiens. Next base: position 127,644,585 of record NC_000023.11, read on the forward strand.
GTGGAATGCTGCCAGGTTCTAGACTCTTTCTAATACTCAAATTTTGCTAACTTTAACTAGTCTCAGTACTTTTTAAAGAGGGGAGGCAGGGAGGGGAGTAGGAGAGAGAGGAGGAATGAAATGTCATTAATTTGAAATTAGGCCTTGAGATTGTTATCTATTTCATTTATCTGTGATTCAAAACAAGTAAACATACTTTTAATGTTGTGGATATTTAGCAACTTAGATATATATCCTCACAGCTTGACAGGTAAGCAGTACAGTCTCTGAAAGCTTGAAAAAATATGGCTAGTTTTCCTTCTACAGTTGCCTGTTTAGCACTTTTATAATCAGTATTCCCAAGAGGTGGGCAAACATAAAGCTGGGTCACTGTGATTTGCCATCATGATAAGAGGCTATACTTCCCATATTTTCTGGGAAACAAGATATATATTTTGTTTATCTGTACACCAATACAGATGTAAAATGGAAGTATCCATGTTATGAACAAAAATGGTTTTGAAAGTCAGACTAAAAGTTGTTATAAAAGAAAGATGTTAAAAATATTACATCCTCTTATCAGTAGGAGCAACATAGGCAAATCCTAGGGGACAACGTGTAATAGAGTTGTTCTCCTTATGTAAAAAAACTCTCATAATTATCTGCCAGTATATCATTTGACCTACTCCTTTAACACCTTGACATTATATGCACAGACAACTCTCTGTAAGAATGCAAGTGGATGGAAGACACTAATACATTTTAGTACTATTGGCTCCTTTAGCTAGGCATATGTCATCAAATTGCTAGTTGGAGATGAGGAGCCTTATGTGTGACATTAGTTTCAGGATATTGTCTGTAGGAGATATGTCATAGACTGTCCTTCTAATTGAAAAACTGATATCTTCAAATGGATATCCAAGGCATTTTTGAAAACCTTGTGTTAACATTTTTTATCCCGTGTATAATGTTAAATTAATCAGGACAGTACAATTTTGTTATCTTCTCTGAACTTTAATTATAATAGCATCTAAAAGAAGGGAGAGGCCGGGCACGGTGGCTCACACCTGTAATCCCAGCACTTTGGGAGGCCAAGGAGGGCAGATCAGGAGGTCAAGAGATTGAGACCCTCTGGCCAACATGGTGAAACCCCGTCTCTTCCAAAAATACAAAAATTAGCTGGGCATGGTGGCACGTGCCTATAGTCCCAGCTACTCGGGAGGCTGAGGTAGGAGAATCACTTGAACCCAGGAGGTGGAGGTTGCCGTAAGCCAAGATTGCGCCCCTGCTCTCCAGCCTGGTGACAGAGCGAGACTCCATCAAAAAAAAAAAAAAAAAAAAAAAAAAAGGAGAGAGGTTTGCATTTCTAGATGGCAAACTAAAGCTACATTTTTACACCTGTTTATCTGCAAACTGCAAAACAATGATGGTAAAGGGAAATTCTTGTGGCAGTGAAGAGAATGGAAAAGGAGACATTCAGCGATTTGGGGAAGATTTGGGGAAGATTAAAGAAGGTAAAAGCCATTTGACAAAAAATAAAAAGGAAGGACTAGCAGTCTAAATAAACACAAGGGACTGCAGAAGAAGATAAACTCTAGGTTCCAAATTGGCAGGAATAAGAAGAACTCCCAATTAGGAGAACTTAATTCCTAGTCCACTTAAAATAAATTCCCACATTTCTGTCCTCTTCCTATGTGCTCAGAACCCAGGCAGCTAAGTATTTCAGCACTACATGAATGCAAAAAGGCTCTTTCCTAAAAAATGCAAGCAAACAACTTGAGGGGAATTAGAATTCAGGGTGAACTTGCATGTTCATAAGCACAATTTTTACCATTCTGGCATTTGTGAGCATCCTAGCCTAAAGGTTGGTAGGCTACCTGCTTGTTTTAAAATTAAACCTATCAGTGGATAATACCAGCCCACATACATAGAATTCCAAGTCAGACTTCATAAACATGGGGAAACCTAACTAGAAAATGATCCACACAGAAACAAAGTTACCTAGAAAAAGTAAACTGCCTATTCTCAAATGTAAATAAAAATCAGAAAATGAAAAAAAATTAACAGCATGAAAGACAAAAAACAAAGAACAAACACAAGTATCGACCACAGGGAACAATTCTAAAAATATATAATTCAAGAAACAACAAAGCAAAGAAACAATTAACTCTAGAGGCTTCTAATTTGCATTTTCAGAAGGATTTGTAAAGGAATTTCACTCATTGAAAAATGAAATAATCACAGTAAAAAACAGAAATTATCATGAAGCATAATTTCCTAAATTAAGAATTATATAGAACTTTGGAAGATAAAGTTGAAGAAGCATTTTAGGAGAGAGAGAAGAGAGAGGGAGAGGGGTAGATATGCAGGTCTTGGGGAAGTCAAAAGACGAAGCAGAGTTATTGAAACAAAAAGAGAAGCTTAAGTAGCATTTAAAGGTGTAAGAGTAACAGAGTGTTTGTGATAATGGCAGTGACTTCAAATCTTGACTTTCAAAGAAGAAAGTTAATGGGCAATGTATTAAATCAAGAAATCAATATAAGCAATATAAGCATTTCTAAATTAAATCTATAAAACAAAAAAGAAAACTAAAAACAGGACATGGTTAAAAATGTTTACCTCAGAAAATTATTTGGTAATAAAAAGGAATGAATGATGTACTCATATATACAATTGCATTGGTGAATCACAAGAACATTATATTAAGTAAAAAAGTTGAACACAGAAGAGTACGTACTGCATGCTGTATGTTTCCAATTAAATTAATTCCAGGCCGGGTGCAGTGGCTCACGTCTGTATTATCAGCACTTTGGGAGGCCAAAGCGGGTGGATCACAAGGTCAAGAGATCAAGACCATCCTGGCCAACATGGTGAAACTCCGTCTCTACTAAAAATACAAAAATTAGCTGCATGTGGTGGTGCGCTCCCATAATCCCAGCTACGCAGGAGGCTGAGGCAGGAAAATTGCTTGAGCCCAGGGGGGTGGAGGTTGCAGTGAGCCAAGATGGTGCCACTGCACTCCAGCCTGGTGACAGAGCGAGACTCTGTCTCAAAAAATAATATTATTATTAATAAATTATTAATATTATTTATAATAATAATAATTAATTTTTAAAAATTCCTCTCCAGAAAACACAAATCTATAGTGATAGGAGGGAAATTGTTGATTTTCAAGTGCCATAGTTTGAGGGAAGAAAACCAACTGCAAAGGGAAAGGAAGAAACTTATGGGTCTGATGGATGTACTTCATATCTCAAATGTGCTTGTGGTTACACAACTGTATCCATTTGTCAAAACTCATCAAATTGTACAAACAAAAAGGAATTCAGTGAATATATTTTATACTGTGAATTACTGATTACAAAATAAGTAAAAATGGTTACCTCTAGGAAGTGGAACTGGGAATACGAAGTAGTGGGAAATGGAACAGTTGCAATGTATTAAATACTCTTCTATATCATTTGATATTTAAAGCATGCTTATGTATTACTTGAATAAAAATTAAAACAAACAAAACCAGAAGGCAAAGAGTAAATATATATACATATAAATACCACCTGAAGAGATTGTACTTACTGTTAACTTTTTTATTTAAAATGACTTTTTTATTTAAAATGTCTTCTTTTTTTAGTTGTGGGTAAAGAACTTATCTTACTCAAGACTTTAAAAGAACCTTTTAAACAAAAAAAGAAACACATGGTTTTATTTTTTACAGCATTTGAATTACAAAATGGTATAATTTTATTATAGGCTGTAATTTTTTATTTGATAAAATCATTCTATATATTTGGTTGCTCTTAACTCCTCAGTTGAGAAACTAACTGGCTGACCATGCATGTAATAAATTGCTAGAACATCTGACAACAACGGAAGAGAGACAAGTAGACAAATTTAATGTATCTCTTTACTCTGAGAATAACATTATATTGTAATTACTTATTTGTCTTTATTTTCATAAAGACAAGAGCTATGTCTATCTTGCTTATCATCTTATACCATTATCTATAGAGTATGGGACATATAATAAGGATTAAATATATGTGGAATAAATTGATCTATAAGGGAATATAGTACAATTTATTCACCCAACCAATATAAATGTATTGAGCATTTACTATGTGCAAGTATTACATTGGGAATATGGTGACAAAGTTAACAGAAGTCATGGTTTTTTCTCACAAGAAATTTACATTCTTGGAAAGTTATCAACTAGTAAATAATTTAATACTTTGTGATAACTGTTGTAACTTAAAATTCACACTGGCTTTGGAAGCTTAGAGTATTATTCACTAATTTTTCCTGAGATAATTGAGAAAAGCTTCAAATATAAACCACATTTTAGCTGGGGGGGATATTGCTGAGTTAAGGATAATACTAGAAACTAAAGAATTCCATTCACAGAATTCAACATGTACAAAGGTTGAGTAGTGTAAAGCAACATGTTGGATGTCAGGAAAAGTAAGTAGTTTCATGTAGCAGGAGCACATATGGAGGAAGAAATCATAATTCAGTCCTGGAGAGATAGACTGGGAATAATTATGACCAGAAAAGGGTTAAAGAATTCATCCTAGAGCCACTGGTGAGTCAAAGGAGGGTTTTATTTAGGGAAGTGCTGTTCAGGTCGTAGTGTGAAAGAAAAGAAGTTTCTCAGTGCCTAGAGGGAGATATCAGCTAGTAGATGATTGCAGTTGTCTAGGCTGCAAATGTACACAAATACAAAGCAAGATCCCTAAAAGTAAATGGGATTTGATAAAGGAAATGTTTTGCCTGACATAAGGGTAAACTTTTAAAGTTAGGTTAATCTGTATTTTGAAACATAATTACTTCACAGATATTATATAAAATTGCTTTGCTTTTCTCGTTAAAAGACTACATAGAAAAATATGCTAAAAATATTTTAGTATTTCTTTAAATATTTGAACATTCTGTAAAGAAAAAAATGATTAAACAAGTGTGAACACTATCCCAAATCAAAATATAAATTGTGTGCAGATAACTCGAAGTTCCGTTTTTATCGACATCAATTCAAAATACTCCTTAGAATTAGAGTAAAGTTTTTTGTTTTGCTTTTTTTTTTTTTTTTTTTGAGATGGAGTCTTGCTCTGTCTCCCAGGCTGGAGTGCAGTGGCATGATCTCGGCTCACTGCAACCTCCGCCTCCTGTGTTCAAGCCATTCTCCTGCCTCAGCCTCCCCAGTAGCTGGGATTACAGGCATGCACCGCCATGCCCAGCTAATTTTTGTATTTTTAGTAGAGACAGGGTTTCAGCATTTTGGCCAGGCTGGTCTCGAACTCCTGACCTCGTGATCTGCCCGCCTCGGCCTCCCAAAGTGCTGGTATTAAAAACTTGAGCCACCGTGCCCAGCCGAATTAAAGTTTTAATAGCACTTGGGGTATAATACTTAACCCCAGAACCTATTTTGTTATTGCGTATATTCCAGGCACCCTGGTCTCCCATCTGTTTTTACTTTACAGGAAAGCTAAGAGAGTGTGGGTAATTATTTCATTTCCACTATTGGCAAGAGAATAATTTTCTTAAACAGAGTAGAAGGGAAGGAACAATTAGTGGTATTGAGCATTGTTTCACATGCTTGTTGGCCGCATGTATCTCTTCTTTTGAAAAGTGTCTGTTCATGTTCTGATATGAGTTTACCCTCAAACTTGTACATGTATCCCTGAATCTAAAATAAAAGCTTAAAAAAGGAGGAATGAACGGTTTTAACATGGCAAAGATTATTTAATCAAAATATGGATAATACAAATGCCTAATTTTTTCATTTCTAAAAACATAATTTCAAATCTTCTTGAATCCTCAACCATTATATTTAGCTATTTGTAAGCAAGAAACATGTTTATTCATCTCTATTGTCCAGCACTTTTTCACTCCATGGGCTGTAAATAAATCTCCTGGATGTTTCAAGCAATGAGAAAATGATTAATGGATAGCAGCAATAATATTATTGATGAGACCTTTATAAAATCTCCCTTGCATCCTTTCAAAAGAATTTAAACAAATACTATAATATAGGGAAGGTGTTTGTTACTGACTTCTCGCTTATTCTGAGTTTCTTCACAACCACAGGTAACTCAGATTGGATTACAACAAAGAAAGTGAATATTGTTGAGACCTATTTGTCTGAAGACTTCATAGAAGCATCTCTCTCATTGCTTTATAGGTACCGACTAAACAATTGGCACCCATTCATTCTTTACTTAATTCAGAATACACTTCTTGAGTACTGTCTTAGTCAGCAGTTGGGCTGCTACAACAAAAATTCCACAGATTGGGTGGCTCAAAAAACAGAAATTTATTTCTCACAGTTCTGGATGCTGAGATGTCTAAAATCAAGGTGGCAGCAATATGGTTCCTGGTGAAGGCTTTCTTCCTGGTTAGCAGATAGATATATTTTTTTGCTGTATCCTCACATTGTGGAGAGAGAGAGGAAGCAAATTCTTAGTCTCTTCTTATAAGGGCACTAATCGCATCATGAAGGTTTCACCTTTGTGATCTAATTGCCTCGCAAAGGCCCCCATTTCCTAATACCATCACATTGGAGATTAAGATTTCAACATATGAAAAAAACACATCCAGTCCATAGCAAATGCATAATATTTACAGAGGTTTAGGGTTATAGAGATGAATGTGACACAATCCTTTTCTTCAATGGTCTCAAAAATAATGGATGAGAATGGCATGTCAAAAAAGTATAATACAAAAGGTGTGCATTATAATAGGTGTAAGTATGTGTTGTGGACACTCAGAGAAAGGCGCAATTTTATATTTACCTGAAAAAATCAGTTAGGGTTTATAGAAGTGAGATTTTAGGTGGTTCTTGAAGGATAAGAAGTGTATAACATACATATATTCGGAATGACTGAGGATAACATTTTGGTTATTCAAAATGGGAAATTTAAAAAAAACGTATGCAAGAATGCAGTGCATTCCATGATTGGTAAATGGTGAAGTGTGTCAGCAATATGGCTTGTATGTATGGTAGTTCTAATAGATTAGGCCAGAAAGATAAATGAGGCCAGGCTGCCAATAATATAAAGTGCCGTAACAGAGGGCTTAGATTTTAGTATGTATGTGGCAGAAAACAATGAAGATTTTTTGCATGTGAACAATATTATTCACTCGTGTTTTAGAAGGCTACCTCAGACTGCAGTGTAAAAGTAGATTGATGAAGATGAGATTGTAAGTAGAGACCCTGGTTAGGAAATGTTTACAGTAGTCTAGGTAAAAGACCACGAGACAAAATTAAGATAGTGGTAAAGGAAACAGATTAAATAGTGATTTAGGAATATATGTGGTACTAGATTTTAAAATAAAAATCAGGCCTAAGTAACATACAGGTGAAAAAATAAGTATTGAAAATTGAAATAGCTGAAGTAATGAGAAACTCTCTGGAATCAAACAGAGAAGACAAGCAGAGGACTTTGAAGAATGCACCAATATTTAAGAAGGGAGGGAGAGTGAGAGAAAATGATCGAAGGAGGTGAAAAATATCAAGCCATAGTGCCCACAGAGGCAGGGTTAGAAATAGAATGAAGTGGTTGTGTAGGAAGCCAAGATAGGAGAGATTGTCAAGAAAATGTCAACAATGTCAAAAGTGAATGATAAGTAAAATGAAGTTTGATAAAAAGCTTGCTGGAATTCACAAGTAGGAAGTCATTGACTGTCTTTCTGCTGAGCAGTTTTAAAAAACTTAAAACCAAAACACATTTAGAGTAGATTGAAGAATAAATAACAGGTAAAGAAGTGGAGACAATGAGAAAAGCCTACTTCCTTAAAAAGTTTGTCAAAGAAAATAAATATATCAATAAGTTAAAGAGAAACCCATATGAAAGAAATACATTCTCTTCCTCTTTCTGCTTCCCCTCTTCTTGCACCTGCTCATTCATTTTCTTCTTTTTATTTTTTTAAGGGAAAATGTAAGCATAATCGTAGGGAAGGTAGAAAGGAAGGAGACATTATAGATAGTGAGAGTGGTGGGGAAAACAAATAATTGACGGTTTAAGGTCACAGACCAAAAAGGTTAAAATTTGTTAACATAACTCAAAATAATAAAAGTCATATATGACAAACCCACAGCCAATATCATACTGAATGGGCAAAAGCTAGAAGCCTTTTCCTTGAAAACTGGCAAAAGGCAAGGTTGCCTGCGCTCTCTCATGACTCCTATTCAACATAGTATTGGAAGCTCTGGTCAGGCTAATCAGGCAAGAGAAATAAATAAGGGGTATTCAAACAGGAAGAGAGGAAGTGAAATTATCTTGTCTTGCAGATGACATAATCCTATATCTAGAAAACCCCATCGTCTAGCTCAAAAGATTCTTAAGCTGATAAATAACTCCAACAAAGTCTCAAGATACAAAATCAATGTGCAAAAATCGCTAGCATTTCTATATACCAACAACAGGCAAGCAGAGAGCAAAGTCATGAATAAACTTCCATTCACAATTGCTTCAAAAAGAGTAAAATACCTAGGAATACAGCTAACAAGGAAAGTGAAGGACCTCTTCAAGAAGAACTACAAAACACTGCTCAAAGCAATTACAGAGGACACAAACAGATGGAGAAATATTCCACGCTTATGGATAAAAAATCAGTATCATGAAAATGGCCATACTGCCCAAAGTAATTTATAAATTCAATGTTATTCCCATTAAACTACTATTGACATTCTTCACAGAATTAGAAAGAAACTATTTTAAAATTCATATGAAACCCAAAAAGAGCCCCAGTAGCCAGGACAATCCTAGGCAAAAAGAACAAAGCTGGAGGCATCACGATACCCAAGTTCAAACTATACTACAAGACTACAGTAACCAAAACAGCATGGTACTGACACAAGATCAAACACTTAGACCAAAAGAACAGAACAGGGAAGGGAACCCAGAAATAAGACCACACACCTACAACTATCTGACCTTCGACAAATCTGACAAAAAAAGCAATGGGGAAGGGATTCCCTATTTAATAAATGGTAAGGAGAGGGCTGGCTAGCCATATGCAGAAGATTGAAACTGGACCCCTTCCTTACACCACATACAAAAATCAATTAAAGATAGATTAAAAACTTAATATAAAAACCAGAACTATAAAAATCCTAGAAGAAAATCTAAGTAATACAATTCATGGCATAGACATGGGCAATGGTTTCATGCCAAACATGCCAAAAGCAATTGCAACAAAAGCCAAAATAGACAAATGGGATCTAATCAAACTAAAGAGCTTCTGCACAGCAAAAGACACTATCATCAGAGTAAACAGACAACCTACAGAATGGGAGAACATTTTTGCAATCTATCAATCTGTCCAAAGTCTAATATCCAGAGTCTACAAGGAACTTAAGCAAATTTGCAAGAATAAAACAAGCAACCTCATTAAAAAGTGGGCAAAGGACATGAGCAGATACTTCTCAAAAGAGACATACATGCTTTCAACAAACATAAGAAAAAAAGCTCAATATCATTGATCATTAGAGAAATGCAAATCAAAACCACAATGAGATACCATCTCACGCCTGTCAAAATGACAATTATTAAAAAGTCAAAAAAACAGCAGATGCTGGCGAGGCTGTGGAGAAAAAGGAATGCTTTTACACTGTTGGTGGGAGTGTAAATTAGTTCAACCATTGCAGAAGACAGTGTGGCAATTCCTCAAATACCTAGAGGCAGAAATACCATTTGACCCCGTAATCCCACTACTGGGCATATATTCCAAAGGAATATAAATCATTCTATTATAAAGATACAGGCATGCATATGTTCATTGCAGCACTATTCATAATAGCAAAGACATGGAATCAACCTAAATGTCCATCAATGAAAAACTGGACAAAGAAAACATTATATATATACACATACACATACACACACACACACAGTGGAATACTATGTAGCCATAATAAGGAACAAGATCATTTCTTTGGCAGGGACATGGATGGAGTTAGAAGCGATTATCCTTAGCAAATTAATGCAGGAAGAGAAAACCAAATGCTGTATGTTCCAACTTGTAAGTCGAAGCTGAATGATGACAACACATGGACACATGGGGAGAACAACACACACTGTGGCCTGTCAGAGAGGTTGTGGGAGTGACAGCATCAGGAAGAATAGCTAATGGATGCTGGGCTTAATATTTGGTGATGGGATGATCTATGCAGCAAACCATCATGGCACACATTTACCTTTGTAACAAACCTGCACATCCTGCACATACACCCTTGAACATGAAATAAAAGTTGAATAAAATAAAATAAAAATAAAGAAATTGATAACACATGATTTAACATTTAAGATTCCAGGATGTAGAAACTGAAAGATCTGGTTTTATATCCTGGCTCTCCATTTAATATTTGTGTGAATTTAAAAATCTGTAAACTTTTCTAATTTTAGTTTCATTGTCTGTAAAACTGGAGCTAAATTATAACCACATAACAGGGCTATTATCCGAATAAAATGAGAAATTAGAAGAAAAAAAGACCATAGGCCAGGCACAGTGACTCACGCCTGTAATCCCAGCACTTTGGGAAGCTGAGGCGGGTGGATCACCTGAGGTCAGGAGTTGGAGACCAGCCTGACCAACAGAGAGAAACCCCACCTCTACTAAAAATACAAAAATTAGCCGGGCATGGTGGTGCATGCCTGTAATCCCAGCTACTCGGGAGGCTGAGGCAGGAGAATCGCTTGAATCTGGGAGGCGGAGGTTGCAGTGAGCCGAGATGGCGCCATTGCACTCCAGCCAAGGCAACAAGAGCGAAACTCCATCTCAAAAAAAAAAAAGAATGACCATAATACAGTTCCTGCCACATGGTAAGCCATTATTATTAATATTTTTACTATCACACAATTGGCTTTACAACAGTGACAGGGTAGCCATTTTTGTAAAACATTACAAAAATGGCTAAGGATAATAAAAGACAAATAATTTTGTAGGTTACCAAGTCTATTGTTAAAATTATTTCTGGGACTGTTGTTGTGTGCGCACATTCACACATGCTGTAAATACCATGTGCACTTTTTACTTGGGCGTGAATAGGATGGAAGGCCAAATGTATTACCTGAACCATCTTTAACTTCTCTGTGATCAAATATTTAAGTTCCTGCCAAGTATTTAGTCATTTAGATTCAAACATAAAGTTTGGGATTAATAAAGTTGAACCAACTACACCTGATCTCCCGTTCTCATCTGATCCTCCCCAATGGTAAATAAGCTCAACATATTATTCATATTTGTGCTAACATAGTTAAAGACTGCTCATATATTTAAAACTTATTTGTTTGCAAATTAGATCTAGATATTTGACACCTTAGCACTTCAGAATGATGTTTCGAGTCTTCCTTCATCTATATTTTGTTCACCAATTACTTTTTTGTAAAAACATTTTTTCTAATATTTGTCTAGTTTTCCCAATGTTGGCACACTGAAGCTGTAAGCCAGTGACTCAGAACCACTGTAAGCCCACTGGATCCTATTACTGGTAGAACGATTATCTGCATGTGCATATTGCATCAGCAAAAATTGAATATTGAAGAATTGTAGTTTGGAAGGCACTTATGGATATATCACTGTCCTGCTGTAAAACAGGTCACTGTCTTTGCTTCCAGCTTAAGAGGTAGATTAGCTAAAAGTTTAACCCATTAATGTAATTTTGAGAATTAATGTTTTAACACCCTATTTTCTTTGCCCTGTGCTCATTCCGAAGCAGCTATGATAAAAAGAATTTTCATTGTTCTATAGGGAGATGTTAGTTTGTTATACTACATCTGTTACTAAAACCCAGGGACTCTTAGTGGCAGTTGAGGCAGATAAATCTGTCAAAAGATGTGCTCAAGGTTCCAGAGGCCGAAATGATTTCCTTCTCCTAAGTCTGTATCAATAATGATTACAATATTGATAAGAAGAAGTTGAAGTCACCTGCTCAAACCTCCCTTCCATAATAACTGTTCAGAATTAGATATCCATGATAACATTTTCTGTTAACAATGAAAATTGTCAGTCTAGCAGCTTGATAAATTGTAGCTCCAACTGGCAGAGCCATTTGCTTTGTGGTAAGCACAAAATGACAGATCTTTTTTGAATACAAACTATAATGCTTGCACCTTTCACAGCTGGTTTAGCTTGTAAACAGAGCAGAAAAAGAAGACTGATAAAAATTGAAGGTTATGTACAAAACAAGCCCCATGACTAACTTTTTTTTTCTAGTAAAAGGATATTACCTCTGTTATTGCAACATGGCCCAAATGAGTACCCTAAAAGAGTGGATGATGATGATTCAAAAGTTCCAGTGACATACTACACTGGATATTTCACACGCATTTTCAACTAGTTTAATTTTCAACAGTTTGTTATTATTGTTTGCAAAATGGTCTCCTTTTATCTGTCATTACTTTCCACTCAGAACTCGAATATTTACCAGTACTTTTTATAAACACTGTACCATTGCTTACACAGGTGTATCTCCAATACCAAGTAATTGTAATTATTTTATACAAATTACCACCCTGTATGTACTATCAAGAAATAGCTAAGAAAATATTTCAAAACATTTTAAAGATGCTATTGTGTAAAATACCAGATTATTCTCTAAGTCTCCCCTTTTCCATAGTTACTGAGTAGATATCATGATATCTGAGCTACAATTTCAAGGTAGATCTAGAAATTGATATAATCTTCCCTTTTCAAACAGATCTAAAATTATAGGCATAGGTTTAATGCTTTCATCCAGAGAAAGGGATTATTGATTAATAGTTAAATTTAAGATATTGTTAACAATTACTTTAAAATTCTAGGTTAAAGCCAATATTCTAAAACCCATAAACTTCTACATTACAGGGGTGTTACTTTACATTTTTATTGTGGCAAAACATTTAACATGCAATTTACCCTGTTAACAAAAATTTCAAGTGCACAAAACACTATTGTTAATCATTGGCACAATTTTCTACATCAGATCTCTGAAGCTTATTCATTTTATATAACTGAAACTTTATACCTATGGAACAGCAACTTACTGTTTCTCCTTCTCCCAGCCATTGGAACCCAGCATCTTAGCTCTTTCTATTAATATAAGTATGAATATTTTAGATGCCTCTTGTAAGTGGAATCATGCAGTTATTTTTCCTGTGACTGGCTTATTTCACTTACGGCAATGTACTACAGCATCATCTGTGTTGTTGCATATGACAGGATTTTCTGCCTTTTTAAGACTGAATGATATTCCATTGTATGTATATACTGCTTATTTTTATTCATTCATCAATCAATAGATATTTAACTTATTTTCATGTTCTGGCTTTGAGAATAACACTACACTGAATACAGGATTATAGATATATTTTCTAGATCCAGATTTCAATTCTTTTGGCTATATACCTAGAAGCAGGATTTCAAGTCTATAACAAAATCAAATAACTCAATTAAAATGTGTAAAGCATTTCTATAGACTTTCTTCCAAAGAAAACACCTTTTTGGAAAATAGACTTTCCCCTAAACACATATAAATGGCAAACATGCATATAAAAATATGCTAAACATCACTTATCTGCAGAATGGAAATCAAAACTACAATGAGACATCACTTACACCTGTGAGGACGACTAATTAAAACAAAAAACAAAAAGCAAAATTAACAAAAAAGGATACCTAGTCTTGTTGAAGATGTGGAGAAATTGGAATCCTTTAACAGTGTTGGTAGGACTATAAAATGATACAGCCACTATCAAAAATAATATGGAAGTTCCTCAAAACAAACATAACACGTTTTTTGTACCCAATGTTAATCACTTGCCTTCATTTCTAGTTATCACTGACTTTAATCAGTGTTAAATAAACTTAAAGAAAAGACCTTACCTATCATCACCCTGCCCCCTTATAATATTAAGACTCAACTCCTTCATATATATCTTCACCTCTCTAGGCCTCAGGATTGTTGGACCATCAACAATTCTCCTTATATTTTTTTAATATCTTCAAATCTCAACTATGACAAGGATAAGAAAAATAATACTGTAGGAAAATAAAACTGTTTGTCTCTTAAGACCCTGCTGTAATAAGGTTTTGCTTTATCCAATAACAATAAAAATATATTTTTCTTAATATGTTTTTCTACTTTATTTTGTATGTCAGCGTAAATTTAAATACAAGATGCAGATTTACTTGACTTAAAAGCCGTTTTTAAGTTAAAAAAGATTAAGTAAATCAAACAAGTCAGATAATAATAAAAGCAATGTCTTTGAAATACGAATGCATATAGTAAAGTGCTCTAATCTTAATTGTGCAGGTTAGATATATTTTTACATATGCATATACTTCATCACCACCATGGAGTTTAAGATAAATAACATTTTTAATATTCCATAGAGTTCATTCATGCCCATTTTAAATCAATCTCCCCACCCACAGGGACAACCACCATAAATTAAAGTTTTTATTTCTATGTTTTTATTTATATCACCATAAATTAAAGTAATCACACACTGCATGTACTAATTTGTAAATAGTTTTTGTGTGGTTTCTGTAAAATAACTTAATGCCTGTGAAATACATTGACAGTGTTATATGTAGCAAATATTTTGTTCTATTTATTGTTGGATAGTATAACATTGTATACACAGATCACATTTTCCTCATTCTACACTTGGTGGGCTTGTTTTCAGTCTGAGGATATCATAGATACATTTGCTATTAATATTCCATTACATGCTCTTCAGAGGATATATGCACATATTCACTCATTTCTCTAGCAATGGGATTGTTAGGTTGCAGCATAGATAGGAATATTATTGTTCCTATTAGATATGCTTTGTTAGATACTGCCAGATAGGTTTTTAAAATACCCCCGAAGTGGATGTATCATTTTTCAAAACCCAAAGAACATGTGAGAGTTCTAGTTGTTCTGCATCTTTACAAAATCTGGAATCTTCAGCTTTATAAATCTTACCTGTATTTGTATGAATATGTCAATATCACATTGTATTTTTATTTCTGTTCTCCTAATGAGAAATGATGTTGATCACCTTCACATATTTGGAGCCACTGGCCAACTGAATCTAATGAAAGCTATCACAAAGGCCAGGGACAGCTCAACCACAGAGCAGATTCCTATAGTCTTCTATTCTATCATAACATCAAAAGAAGAAGTGTGGCATTTACTTGAGGTAAATATCATACGCTTCATCCTCTAACATTGTGTTACACAAAGTGTAAACAAAATGTGACTGCTGTAAAATACAAAAAATTAAAAACCATACAAATAATCCGACAAATGCAGCTCAAAATCAAGACTGAAAATGTTAATCAAAGTAAGATTATAGAAATTTTAATTAGCATCCAAGAACATTAAAATAGCTATGATAAATGTTAAATGGCCTATTGGGTAAAGTGGACAGCATGAATGCACAGATGGAGCATTTCACATAAGAAATGGAAAAAATAAACTAGAATAAAATGGAAAATGTTAAATGTAATGCTACAGCATTATAAATGAAGTATTCATTCAATGTGATTAAAAGCAGACAGGAAAAAAAGAAAGTATCAGGAAACTTGAAGCCAGAATTTGAAGAGAGACCAACAAAAATTACTCCAATAGAAGTACAAAATAGGGAAAAAAAATTAAGCATCTGAGTTGTGTGAGACTATTTCAAACTGCCTAACACTCATATCTTTGAGGTCCTGTAATGAGAAAGAGAATGAAGCAAAAGTAATATATAAAGCAACAATTATCAAGATTTTTAAAAATTGCTGAAATTCCTCAATAACTGATCAAAAAATTTCAAAAATCGACAAATGAAGAGAAAAACCTCTACGCACATTTTATTCAAGCTAATAAAAACCTAGAAAAAGATAGCATCTTAAATGCATCCAAAGAAAAAAAAGATTATACTCAGGGTATAACTGAGAATGAAAACCTAATTTTCACGAGAAACAACGGAGGTCAGAAGACAATGAAAATAACTAATTAAAGTGATAAAAGAGAATTTAAAATATCGTACAGAATTTTTATCCAACAAAAATATCTTTTGTAAAAAAGAAAGCGAAATAAGGATAGCTTTAGACAAATATAGAAATAATTCTTTACTAGCAGACCTGCACTAGAAGACCTGCGAAAATAAATTCAACCATTTTGAAAATTTACAATACCAAGTAGAAATAAATAACAGCATGAAGGAAGTAAGAACACAAAATATTAAACATATGGGTAAACAAGACAAATAAATTTTAAAAGTCTATATATACTGTGTAAAATCATTAAATAAAGGAAGACAGCAAAAGAGAGAGGAACAAAACAACTGTGAAAGAGAAAAAATAAAAAATAGCAATAGTAAGTCATCACCTATCAATAATTACTTTAAAAGTAAATAAATTAAGTTCCCCAGACAAAATGCATAGAGTAGCTGAATGGATAAAAATAAACACATGTAACTAACCTGCACGTTGTGCACATGTACCCTAAAACTTAAAGTATAATTTAAAAAAATAAAATAAAAAAATAAACAAGTACCTGTGATATACGGCCTTCACTTGCTGTGCTTTCAATAATGAATTGAACATATAAATAGAAAACCAATAAAGAAACAGCTGATTTGAATAAAACTATAGACCAAATAGACTTAACAGACGTATATAGAACTTCTCACCCAGGAAAGGAAGAACATTTTCCTCAAACACATGATGATATGTTAAATCACAAAACAAGTCTTAACAAATTTAAGAAGATCGAAATCAGCACTGATCTCTGGTAGGAGACCCGGGTTCAAGTCTACCACAGCTTGGAACAAATGTTCCTCAGTGCCACTCCCTAGAGCGAGCAAGGTTTTGAGTAAACCGACATAATTTGGACAGATCTAAGGAGAGAAAATTCCAAAAGTGGGTGGAGATGTGACACAGATGCTGCATGGGATCCCTGCATGGGATACTCAAATGCTGGGGCTAGTTGCCAGCCTGGAAAGGCTCCTGGGGAATGAATGAGTGAAGAAACTGTGGGACAGGCCACTGTTGCTGTGGACCTCCAGGATCCCGGCTACAGGGGTCCCCATGTCCCCCACATACATTTAAGCTGACAGGGAGATCTTCCCAGACAGTAGACAAAGAAGAGGCTTAAGCCAGCACAGAGCTGGGGGACTTTGTGCACCACACACCTCCAGCAGAATACGGCCATAGGGACCTATCTCCCTGGGCTCCCCATCTTTCTCTGACGGAGCTCTAGCCTAATCTGACTACCAGGCCAGGAGAAAGTGGGGCCGAGTTCTCTGCAGCACTGGGCACATCTGTTCTGCAGGCCCTCCTGACCTGTAGCTACGCCCAGGTCCACTGTCTGGCTGCTAAGAGTGTGTGCATAGCCCAGCCTCTGCTGCCAAGCCTGGGTACTTTGCCTCACCTGCTTACATTCATGGTGGCCAGGGAGCACTTCAGATCACTCAGTGCACCAACAGTCCGGAGGAAGTGCGTCCGGAATTGGTGGGTTCCTGGTCTCACTGACTTCAAGAATGAAGCCACGGACCCTCGCGGTGAGTCTTTCCAGTTCTTAAAGGAGGCGTGTCCGGAGTTTGTTCCTTCTGATGTTTGGATGTGTTCAGAGTTTCTTCCGTCTGGTGGGTTCGTGGTCTCGCTGGCTCAGGAGTGAAGCTGCGGACCTTCGCAGTGAGTGTTACAGCTCTTAAGGCGGCGCGCCTGGAGTTGTTCGTTCCTCCCGGTGGGTTCGTCGTCTCGCTGGCTCAGGAGTGAAGCTGCAGACCTTCGCGGTGAGTGCTACAGCGCTTAAGGCGGCGCGCCTGGAGCTGTTCTTTCCTCCCGGTGGGTTTGTGGTCTCGCTGGCTTCAGGAATGAAGCTGCAGACCTTCGCACTGAAAGTTACAGCTCATAAATGCTGTGTGGACCCAAAGGGTGACCAGCAGCAAGATTCATCGCAAAGAGGAAAGAGCAAATCTTCCGTGATGTGGAAGAGGACCGGAACACGTTGCCACTGCACGCTTGGGCAGCCTGCTTTTATTCTCTTATCTGGCCCCACCCACATCCTGCTGATTGGTCCATTTTACAGAGAGCCGATTGGTCCATTTTACAGAGAGCTGATTGGTCCGTTTTGACAGGGTGCTGATTGGTGCATTTACAATCCCTGAGCTAGACACAAAGTTCTCCACTTCCCCACTAGATTAGCTAGATGCAGAGTGTCCACACAAAGGTTCTCCAAGTCCCCACCAGAGTAACTAGATACAGAATGTCGACTGGTGCATTCACAAACCCTGAGCTAGACAGAGGGTGCTCATTGGTGTGTTTACAAACCTTGAGCTAGATACAGAGTGCTGATTGGTGTATTTACAATCCCTTAGCTAGACACAAAGATTCTCCAAGTCCCCACCAGACTCAGAAGTCCAGCTGGCTTCACCCAGTGGATCCCGCACAGGGGCCACAGGTGGAGATGCCTGCCAGTCCCACCCCACGCTCCCGCACTCCTCAGCCCTTGGGTGATCGATGGGACTGGGCGCCATGGAGCAGCAGGCGGCACTCGTCGGGGAGGCTCCGGCGGCACAGGAGCCCACGGCGGGCGGGGGAGGCTCAGGCATGGCTGGCTGCAGGTCCCGAGCCCTGCCCCGCAGGGAGGCAGCTAAGACCCGGCGAGAAGTCGAGCACAGCAGCTGCTGGCCCAGGTGCTAAGCCCCTCACTGCCCGGGGCTTGTGGGCAGGCCGGCCGCTCTGAGTGTGGGGCCCGCTGAGCCCACGCCCACCCGGAACTCGCGCTGGCCCGCAAGCGCCGCGCGCAGCCCTGGTTCCCGCCCGCGCCTCTCCCTCCACACCTCCCTGCAAGCTGAGGGAGCCGGCTCCGGCCTTGGCCAGCCCAGAAACGGGCTCCCACAGTGCAGCGGTGGGCTGAAGGGCTCCTCAAGCGCGGCCAGAGTGGGCGCCAAGGCCGAGGAGGCGCCCAGAGGGAGCGAGGTCTGCCAGCACGCTGTCACTTCTCAGAAGGAGCTGTTTGTCAATCCTGGCACACCAGGGCTTCAGTGTGCAACTCAGGAATGCCAAGTCAAGATCTGTGTCTAGCACTTTAAGAAAGAGAGGAGCCCATATTCTCAGAACACTCAGAGGGGTGAGATGCATGGGCTTGTGGGCTGCAGTGGGAGCGGGGCATGTCTCCTTCTACAGGGCTGGCCTGAAAAGGTGTGACGAATATCCCTGCCACAGACTTGGCTTAGGGAGCCCCATAGCCTCAAAAACCTCACAAAAGAAATGAGGGCACAGTGCCAGTGCGTGGAAGGGGTTCCCCCCCCCAACACACACACACCAAAGAGCACTGCTGCAAATGAGAGGAGATACAGAGGAGTTGCTGGGCTGAGTAGGAGCCTATTTACAGACCATTGTTCTTAGGTACCTTCTACTGGATCACAGCTCAGACTACAATACCAAAAAATATTTCGTTAGATTTCACCACTGCTGCCCCACTCCCACTGGTGCAAGGGCATGTGTGCGGACCCTACTGTGCTACCCCCACTGGAGTACATGTGCAAGGAATCCATCACAAAGCTGCTGCACCACCACTGCTAATTTGGCTCCTGGCTTGACTGTTGTTGGTGTATAGGAATGCAAGTGATATTTGCACATTGAGTTTTTATCCTGAGAGTTTGCTGAAGTTATTTATTAGCTTAACAAGTTTTTGGGCTGAGATTATGGAATTTTCTAGACATAGGATTATGTGAACTGCAAACAGGGATATTTTGAGATCCTATTCCTATATGAATGCCCTCTATTTTTTTTTATCTTGCCTGATTGTCCCAGCCAGAAATTCCAATACTATGTTGAATAGAAGTGATGAAGGACGTCATCCTTGTCTTTCGTCAGTTTTCAAAGGGAATTCTTCCAGCTTTTGCCCATTCAGTATGATGTTGGCTGTGGGTTTTCATAGCTGGCTCTTATTATTTTGAGCTCTTTTCCTTCAATACCTAGTTTATTGAGAGTTTTAATATGAATGGATGCTAAATTTCATCGAAGGCCTTTTCTGTATCTATTGAGATAATCATGTGCTTTTTGTCTTTTATTCTGTTTATGTGATTAATCACATTTATTGATTTGTGTATATTGAAAAAACCTTATATCCCAGGGATGAAGCCTACTTGATCATGGTCAATAAGTTTTTGATGTGCTGCTGGATTCAGTTTGCTAGCATTTTGTTGAGGAAAAAATGACTAACAGAGTAAACAGAAAATCTACAGAATGGGAGAAAATTTTGGTCAACCATGCAGCCAACAAAGGTCTAATATCCAGCATCTATAAGGAAATTAAGAAAATTTACAAGAAAAAATAACAAACAACTGCATAATAAAGTGGGTAAAGGACATGAACAAACACCTTTTTAAAAGAAGACATACATGCAGCCAACAATCATATAAAAATAGTCAACATCAATGATAATTAGAGAAATGTAAATCAAAACTACAATGAGATTGCATCTAACATAAGTCAGAATGGCTATTATTAAAAAGTTAAAAAGTAAAAGATGCTGGCAAGGTTGTGGCAAAAAAAGGAATGTTTATACACTGTTGGTGCGAGTGTAAATTAGTTCAGCCATTATGGAAGACAGTGTGGGGATTTCTCAAGGACCTATAGATAGAAATACCATTTGACCCAGCAATTACATTGCTGAATATATAACCCAAAGGTTATAAATCTGTCTATTATAAAAGACACATGCACGAGTATGTTCACTGCAGCACTATTCACAATAGCAAAGACATGGAATCAACCTAAGGGTTTATCAATGATAGACTGGATAAAGAAAATGTGGTACATATACCTTATGGAATACTACGCTGCCAAAAAGAAGAACAAGATCGTGTCCTTTGCAGGGACATTGATAGAGCTGGAGGACATTATCCTTAGCAAATGAACATGGGAGCAGAAAACCAAATACTGCATGTTCTCACATATAAGTGGGAGCTAAATGATGAGAAAAACATGGACGCATAGAAGGGAACAACACACACTGAGAACTTTCAAAGGGTAGAGTGTGGGAGAAGGGAGAGGATCGGGAAAAACAACTAATATGTATTAGGCTTAATACTTGCGTGATGGATTTATCTGTAAAACAAACCCCCATTACATAAGTTTACCTATGTAACAAACCTGCACATGTACCTCTGAACTTAAAATAAATGTTAAAAGAAAAAAATCCAAGAGTGTAACCACATATGAACAGATCTATTATTAATGTTTGTCTTTCAGACTCACTCAAATTCCAAAGAAAACTATTTACCAGTTAATCTCTGGTCTCCATTTCTCAAAAAAATAAAGGCAGCTAGAGAGAAGAGACAGATTACCTACAAAGGGAACTGCATCAGGCTAACAGTAGAACTTTCAGCAGAAACCCTGAAAGCCGGAAGAGACTGGGGGCCTATATTCAGCATGCATAAAGAAAATTACTTCCAACAAAGAATTTCATATGTAGTTGATATGGTATGGCTGTGTCCCCACCCAAATCTCATCTTGAATTTTAGCTCCCACAATTCCCATGTCATGGGAGGGACCTGGTGGCAGGTAATTGAATCATGGGGGTGGGTCTTTCCAATACTGTTCTCATGATAGCGAATAAGTCTCATAAGATCAGATGGTTTAATAAAGGGGAGTCCCCCTGAACAAGCTCTCTCTTGTTGGCCACCATGTAAGATGTCCCTTGCTTTTCTGCCATGATTGTGAGGCCCCCCCAGTCATGTGGAGCTGTGAGTCAATTAAACCTCTTTCCTTTATAAATTACCCTGTCTCCAATATGTCTTTATTAGCAGCGTGAGAACAGACTAATACAGTAAATGGATACCAGTAGAATGGGATGCTGCTGTAAAGATACCTGAAAAAGTGGAAGTGACTTTGGAACTGGGTAATAGGCAGAGGATGGAACAGTTTGAAAGGCTCAGGAGAAGACAGGAAAATGTGGGAAAGTTTGGAATGTCCTAGAGACTTGTCGAGTGGCTTTCACCAAATGCTGCTCATCTCAGATGGAGATGAAGAACTTGTTGGGAACTGGAATAAAGGTGACTCTTGCTAGGTTTTGGCAAAGAGACTGGTGGCATTTTGCCCCTGCCCTAGAGATCTCTGAAACTTTGAACAGGAGAGAGACGATTTAGGGTATCTAGTGGAAGAAATTTCTAAGCAGCAAGGCATTCATCAGGTGATTTGGGTGCTGTTAAAAGCATTCAGCTTTATGTAGTCACGGAGATATGGTTTAGAACTGGAACTTACATTTAAAAGGGAAGCAAAGCATAAAAGTTTAGAAAATTTGCAGCCTGACAATGTGGTAGAAAAGAAAAACCCATTTTCTGAGGAGAAATTCAAGTGGCTTGCAGAGGTTTGCAGAAGTTATGAGGAACCAAATGTTAATTGCTAAGACAATGGGGAAAATATCTCCAGGGCATGTCAGAGACTGTGGCAGCAGGCCCTGCTATCACACGCCTGGAGGGCTAGGATATAAAAAACGGTTTTATCAGCCAGGCCCAGAGCCATACTGGTCTGTGCAGCCTATGGTCTTGGTGCCCTGTGTCCCAGCTGCTCCAGGCGTGATTAAAGGAGCCAAAGTACAGGTTGGGCCATGGCTTCAGAGGATACAATCCCCAAGCCTTGGCAGCTTCCATGTGATGTTGAGCCTGCGGGTGCACAGAAGTCAAGAATTGAGATTTGGGAACCTCCACATGATTGTATATTGCAGTGTGAGAAGGACATGAGATTTGGGAGGATCCAGTGGTGGAATGATATAGTTTGGATATTTATCCCAGTCCACATCTCAAGTTGAATTTTCATACCTCATTTGTAGGTGGTGCCTGGTGGAAGGTGTTTGGACCATGGGAGCAGTTTCCACATGGCTTGGTGCTGTCTTTGTGACAGTGAGTTCTCACGAGATCTGGTCATTTAAAAGTATGTGGAACTTTCTCCCTGCCATTGCTCTTGCTGCTGCCATGTTGGATACCTGCTTCCCCTTTGCCTTCTGCCATGATTGTCAGCTTCCTGAGGCCTCCTCAGAAGCAGACGCTAGTGCTATGTTTCTTGTATAGCCTGCAGAACCATAAGCCAATTATATCACTTTTCTTATGATTACCCGGTGTCAGGTATTTTTTATAGTAATGCGAGAATGACATAATATACTAACATATGCATTTAATATTATATTTTAATAAGATTTTATATGTAGCATTTCCATTATGGTTTAGTTTTAAATAATGTAAATTTTTCTTTATTATTCCTTTTTCATCCTGTGATATATTGAGAGGAACAAGTTAAATTTTTGAATTTGGAAAATTTTGACTACATTTTATTAACAGTTTATAATTTATTGCATTGTTTTAGAAGAATTTGGTGTTGTCTACCTGGTAATAATTATTTCAGTTTGATTTGCTTTGAGGCCAGTTTTATGGTCACTTACGTAAATGTTCTGTAAATTTTAAATAATCTGAATTATTTACTTGGTGGTTGCAGATTCCACACACGTATTAGATGAAATATATTTATTGTGTTATCATATTTTTTATAAATCTTGCTATTTTTGGCTGTTTAATGAATCAATTATTGGAAAGATGGTGTTAATTTATCTTAGTGATTGTGAATTTTTCAATTTTCTTTCAAAATCAGTTTTATCATTATATGTTTAAGCCTATTAAATTGGGTATAAACAGAACCACAACTTTTATAGCTTATGTAGAAAGTACACTTCTTAACAATAAGTAGCAACCACATACTTATTGCTGCTTCTTTTCTTTATTTTATGTATATTAATATCAGGTCTGCATCATTCTTTATAATTAAAATTACTGATTATATATTTTAAATATTTATTTCAACATTTCTGTGACATAGTTTATGTGGGTGTGTTTTAATAAATATTTAGTTTTAGTTTTAAAGTAGAAGTTTGACATTTTCTTTCCTTTAGTTGTTGAGTTTGATCTACTAATATTCATTATGAATACTGGCTATTCCCAAGTATTTTACTTTATCCTTTCCTTTTGTCTACCATGTAATTCAACTTTACTTTTTTAAATTTTACTTTATCTAGTTGGATATTCTCTATTCTATTTCAAGTTTTGATTATTACTTTAAATTTTTTTGGCAATGATACTTCGCTATTTCTAAATTTATTAATTGTATCTACCATGTCTTACACAACAAAAGACAATAGAGTTTAAATTCAGGCTCCCTTCACCCTTATCTTATTAATTATTTTTCCTTCAGCACAGATTCCCAAAGTAAGGAGAAGCCAGAAGCAGTAAGAGTCCAAGAACCAGTTACCTTCTCATTACAAGCCTCAACCAAAAACTAGAATGTGCCACACAGAAATTATTATTATCTACTTGTCCACTTATGTTAAAAAATAATACGAATTTATGGCCTAGAATTTTATTTACACCACTTCATTAACCATCTAAACTTAGCCCTTATTATAATCCATTTGTATAGGCAATGCATATTCAAATCTACTCATTGGTTTATTAATCTTTTTGCACACCACTTCTTACACCCTACGATTTCTGTTTGATTTTCTTCCACTTGAAATACATCCCTTAATAGATCTTTTAGTGGTTTTATTAATCATAATTATCTCATTATTCGCCTGTAAAATGTTTTCATTTGATTCTAGTTATTGTTTGATGGTATAGTTGCATATAAAATTCTAGTTTTGCAGTTCTTTTTTCTCAAAACTTTGAAATCATAGTCCATTCTTTCTGTCACTTATTGCGTATTTTTTATCTCACAATTTTGGTGGGTTAAGAATTCAGGCATGTGTAATTGTGTCCTCTGCTTCAGAGTATTTCGCAAGGCTTCAATCAAGATATCAGCAGTGACTGAAGTCTTATTTGAAGACTTGACTGAGGAAAGATTCACTTCCAAGCTGACTCACATAGGCGACAAGATTCAGTTCTTCTAGTGTTGCTAAACTGAGAACCTCAGTTCCTCCCTGGCTGTTGGTTGAAGGCTTTCTTCAGTTGCTTTTCAAGTGTGTCTCTCCAAAATGATGGCTTACTTCGTTAGACACACCAAATGAAAGAGTCTGCTAGTAAGATGTAAGTGACAAGCCATTTAATCTATTATTGGAAATAACATACTCTCAATAGTATTGCCATATTCTACTGGTGAGAAGTTGCACAAGACCATGGATATCAGTATAAAGGAATTATATGGGACCTGTCTTAGACAATGTCTGCTCCAGGCCTGGAATAAGGTTCTGGTTTTTCAGGTAATATACATTTTTACCTCACCACTGTACAACCAAAACAGGTAAGAATTTTTTCTTTGCTGTCCTCATCTATATGGAAGGTTTATTTATGCTAGTCTTTAATATAAGCCTTTGGGGGAGTCTAAGCCTTATGCATAATATACCAATTATATTTTCCAACTTGAATATGACCAAGTATTTTTTATTCTCCAATGCCCTTTCATCTTCAAACAGAAATTTAAAAACAAAAGAGTGAATGATGGCTTTAGCATTCTCTTAAATTCTATTTTCAGACTTGTAATGGTTTTGTACATTCTTAACAGTCAGTTCGCTTAATAATTCTAAAATAAATATCCAACATATTATAATTTATTTCATTGATATGGATATTCAGGATGCCTTGTTTTCAATGTTGTGAAGAACATAGTCCCAAATAGAATATCTATCTAGATATCAATATTTACATCTAGATTTATATACAATCTGTTATTCTGTGTCTCTGGAAAACCCTAATACGTATTTTGGTTCTAATAGTGGTTACAGAAGAAAATAATTTTAAGGGTGACATTTTCTGCATTGGCTCTGAGGTTTCTGGAACTGAGTCTCTAATATGATTAGATATAAAGACACTAATGACTCTATTTCTAGTAGTAAAGTGAGTACTTGATAGCTGTAGCAATGGAGATATGCAAAATATCACTAGTGGATTCTCCTAAACAACCCACTTATAGCAAGCAAGGAACTGGGTGACTGTTTGTATGATATTTTCAAACATTATTATCTAAGGAGTGTAATGAGATTGGCTGTTGCTCCTAATGTCACTGAACCTTTAAAGTAGAGAAAAAAAAGGATAATATCAGTAATTCAGATAACCAATGCAAGCACTACACAAACGATCTAAAAGCTTCTCTATGTGTTCTAAAGGTGACCTTTATATCCTGTAGCTGCAAGGCTGAGATTGCTAAATATCAAGTACAGAATATCATTTTGCAATTGTCTCAAATACAATAAAAATTGAATTCTCAGCCTCATATTGTGTCTACAGTTAAACTTAGTGCATTGACTAGGAAGAGACCCTGGAAGTTAGAATGGGAATGTGTGGTAGGTCCCTGACGAAGCTGGGGACATTAAGCCCCTCAATTCTGATGAAACTTCTTTGCCATGGAAGAAGCCTCTCCATCTCAGGAGTGGTCTCTCCATCATCAGTGGGAGTGGTCTTTCCACCCCCATCTGAAGGGATTAACTCTGCATTTTCTGAGTAAATTGTAATGCCACCCCTGCCCTCTCAGAGGCAATGTCTACAAAAGACAATACTGAGTCTCCTCAGAATCCATTGCTACTACCTCTCTTTGCTTTTAGACCTATAACTAGCCTGAAATCCCATCCAGCCCCTAAAAGTGAGTTACAAAGAGCAAACCTTGAGATACACTACACTCCAAAAGAACTACCTGTGTTTTATCATTTATATGGCAGAAATCATAAAAACATGCATTGGAGTAAAAAATAAGGGTGTGCAGTAATGGTGAAGAAACATAAAGACAGATCATGACAAAGTTATTAATATGGGCTCACTAAACAGAGATTCTACATTTTACCTTACAGGTTGGGGAGTTGGAAAGGGCTCTAGCAGTCTGTTTGCATCATTGACTAAAATATGAACTGAAAGATGGACAACAGTGAATAAATTGGAAAGCTAGACCTGCTTTGGTTTAATGTAGAAGAATCGATTTAATGGCTTAGGATGCTTGAAATGTTACAGAGGATTTGTTTTCTGAGACCTACTCATCCACAATGAAAGAGTTTAAAGGACATATTTTTTACCACAACTGTGAGAAATAAATTTAAGGGGAGCTTCAGCATTCTTGAAGAGCTTGTGATTTCTCTATCCATAGGTCAAAACTTAGAGTGGAAACTGTAGTCATTGAATTGGCATTTGATCCAAGGGTGGCAGGAGCCAAGCAGTAACACTCAACTACCAAAGGTAAGATGGGGATGGTTATCATAATTGGCAGTAGAGTCAAATCAGTGATCACAATAGTCTAATTTGTGCAGATTTATGACATAGTCTAGTTGATCATGGTATTCCTAGAAGTGGAATAGACAGCCTACAGAATTCTTACTTAATACATATAAGCAGAACATTTCTAGGTCAGTGAACAAAAATATAACCTGAATCATAAAAACAGAGTTATAGCTCCTCAATCAATTTCCAGACTTTAGCCAGTTTACAAATCCAGAACCCCTTAAATGAAGAAAAAGCTTGGTGCCCTTGAGGAAGGGCCCTAGTACACTGCCTAAAATCTGTACATTTAATCTTCCTCCTAATCTTCCCAAAAGAGACTTATGTCCTTTTACCAGTGAAACTGTTCATTTGGGTAATAGAAAATAATCAAATCAGGTACTACTGGACCCTGGCTATGAACTGATGCAAATTCCAGGAGACCTAACATGCCATGGTGGTCCACAAAGAGAGTGCTTATGGGAATCAGGTGATCCATGGAGTTTTAACTCAGGTCCAACTCACAGTGGGTCCACATTGTCCCTCATGTACCCTGCAGTTATTTACTCAGTTCTGGAATGCATATTTTGAATAAATATACTCATGCTGACACAATCTCCATAATGGTTCCCTGACCTGTAAAGTGAAGTGTATTATGGTGGGTAATGGCAAATGGAAGCCAGTTTTAGGAAAATAGTAAAGCAAATGCAATATTTCATCTCTGTAGGGATTGCAGACATTAGTGCCACCATCAAGGGCTTGAAAAATGAACAGTGGTGATTCCCACCACATCCCCATTCAGCTTGCCTATCTGGCCTTGCAGAAGACAGATGGATCTTAGAGAATGACAGTGAATTATTATAAACTTAACCAGGTGGTGACTCCAATTACAGCTGCTACACCAGATGCAGTTTCATTGCTTGAAAAAAACTAACACATCTCCTGGTACCTGGTATGCAACTATTGATCTTGCAAGTTCTTTTTCTTCATACATGTCAATAACAGCCAGCACAGGCAATTTGTCTTCAGCCAGCAAGGCTAGCAATACACTATCACTTTCCTACTTTCAGAGTGTATCTTCAGCAGTATGTCACAATCTAGTTCACAGGGACCTTGACTGCCTTTCCTGTTCACACGATATCACATTGGTCCATTACACTGATGACATAGTAGCGACTGGATATAGTGAGCAAGAAATATCAACTATTCTTGACTTATCAGTAATACATTTGCATGTCAGAGGGTAGAAAATAAATCTGATTAAAGTTTAGGGGCTTTATACCTCAGGAAAATTTCTAGGGGTCTCGTCATGTGGGACATGTTGAGATATATTTTTTAAGGTGAAGAATAAGTTGTATTATCTGGCCCCTCCTATAACCAAAAAAAAAAAAAAAAAAACAAAATGGATATAACACCTAGTAAACCTCTCTGAATTTTGAAGGCATCATATTCTTAATTTAGATGTGTTACCCTGGATCATTTTCTGAGTGATCTGAAAAGCTGCTAGTTTTGAGTAGGGCCTAGAACAAAACAAGCCTCTGTAACAGATCCAGACTGCTATGCAAGCTGCTCTGGCACTTGAGTCATATGATCTAGCAGATCCTTGAAGAATCAGTAACACATAGGGATGCTCTTAGGTATCAGAGAGGCCCCTACAGGTGAATCACAGCTTATGCTTTTAGTATTTTGGATCAAAGCCCTGCCATTCTCTGTGGTTAGCTACTCTCTTTTTGAGAAAGAGCTGTTGGCCTGCTACTGGGCCTTCATAACAACTAAATGTTTAACCATGTAGCACCAAGTTACCATGTGACTTGAGTGGACCATCATGGGCTGGGTTTTGTCTGACCCACAAATCTGATGTGCTCTGCATTGTAACACTTCATCGTCAAATGTATGTACTATGTGTGTGACTGGGTCTGAGAAGTCTTGAAGGCAAAACGTTACATGAAAAAGTGACCCAAACTCTCACAGTCCCTACTCCAGTTACACTACATTCTCTGTTCCAGTCTGCACCTATGGCCTCAGGGGGAGCTCCTTACAATTAGTTGACAGAGGAAGAGAAGACTTGAGGCCAGTTCACAGTTGCTTCTGCATGATATACAGACTCCATCTAAAAATGGACACTTGTAGCAATGTTAGCCCCATTCTGAGATCTCCCTGAAAGACAGTGGTGAAAGAAATTTCTTCTGGTGATGAAAAATTTGAAAGTTGCTCCTATATATTCATGAGCTGGGGCCAATGAGTTGGCTGTATGGTCAGGGACATAGAAGGAATATAGCTGGAAAATTGGTAATAAGGAAATTTGAAGAAGACATATGTGGTTAGACCTCTCTGAATGGGCAAAACAAATGAAGATATTTGTGTCCTATGTTAATTTTTACCATAGCATAATCTCAGTAGAAGAGTATTTTAATAATCATGCGGATATAGTTGCTCATTCTGTGCATACCAGTCAGGCTGTTTCTCCAGTTACCCATGTCATCACCAATAAGCTCATGAACAAAACGGCTACAGTGGCAGGGATGAAGGTTATCCATAAGTTCAGAAACTTGAACTTCTACTTATCAAAGCAGACCTGGCTATGACCACAGCTGAGTATCCAGTGGCCAACAACAGAGACCAATACTGAATCCTGAATACGACAACGTTCCCGTGGATGATCAGCCAGCTAGTGGGTGTTGGGTTATTACACTGGACCACTTCTATCATAGAAGAAGCAGTGTTTTGGCTTCACTGGAATAAGCTCTACATATGGATTTGCTTTTTCAGAACACAGTGCTTTGGACAAAATTACCATTGCAAACTTACAGAATGCCTTATCCACCATCGTGGTATTATACAAAACACTGATTCTGATCAAGGAAACCACTTCACAGCAAATGGAAGAGTGGCAGTGGGCTCACGCTCATGATATTCACTGGTCTCACCATGTTTCCCACTATTTTGAAGTACCTGGTTTGACTGAAAAGTGGATGCACCTTTTGAGGACTGTTAAAGCACCAGATAGGTGGGAATCCATTGCAGGGCTGTAGCAAGGTTCTTCAGAGGCTGTGCATGTTCTGAATCAGCATCCAATACATAGTTCTGTTTCTTCTATAGCCAGGATTTGTAGGTTCAGGAATAAAGGAATGAAAATACAAATGCCATCACACACTACTACACCTAGTGACCCACTAGAAAAAAATGTTGCTTCCTCTTTTTGAAAACTGTGCTTTGCTGGCCTAGAGGTTTTAGGTCCAAATGTTGGAATGCTTTCATCTAGAAACACAACAATATTTATTTGTTTAAGTTAATTTAATTTTAAGTTCCAAGATACATGTGCAGGACGTGCAGGTTTGTTACAGAGGTAAATGTGTGCCATGGTGGTTTGCTGCACCTATCAACCCATCACCTAGGTATTAAGCCCCACATGCATTAGCTTTTTATCCTGATGCTCTCCCTCTCCCAGCCCCATTGACAGGCCCCAATGTGTATTGTTCCCCTCCCTGTGTCCATGTGTTCTCATTGTTCATCTCTCACTTATAAGTGAGAACATGTAGTATTTGGTTTTCTGTTCCCATGTCAGTTTCCTGAGGATAATGGCTTCCAGCTCCATCCATGTCCCTGCAAAGGACATGATATCATTCCTTTTTATGGCTGCATAGTATTCCATGATGTATATGTACCACTTTTTTTTATTCATTCTATCATTGATGAGCATTAGGGTTGATTCCATGTCTTTTCTATTGTGAACAGTGCTGCAATGAATGTATGCGTGCATGTATCTTTATAACAGAATGATTTATATTCCTTTGGGTATATACACAGTAATGGGATTGCTGGGACAAATGGTCTTTCTAGTTCCAGATCTTTGAGGACTCACCACACTATCTTTCACAATGGTTGAACTAATTTACATTCACACCAACAGTGTAAAAGTGCTCTTATTTCTCCACAGCCTCACCAGCATCTGTTGTTTCTTGACTTTTTAATAATCACCATTCTGACTGTCATGAGATGGTATCTTATTGTGGTTTTGCTTTGCATTTAAGAGACACAAAAATATTTCTATTGAACCAGAAATTAAAAGTGGCCTCTGAATCAACAGGCCAAGAAGTGAGGTACGGTGTTTCTAATCCTGACTATAGGGGAAAACTGGACTTCTTCGTCACAAAGAAAGTTAAGGAAGAGTATGTCTGGAACACATGAGTTCCCTTAGGGTGTCGAAATATTACCATGCCTGTAATTAAGGTCAGTGGAAAACTACAACAACCTAATCCAGGCAGGACTACAAAATGTCCAGACCCTTTAGGAATGAAGGTTTGCGTCACTCTACCAGGTAAAGAACCACAACCAGATGATTTGCTTATTGAAGGCAAAGGGAAAACAGTATGGACACTGATAGAAAGTAGTTATAATTACCAACCATGACAACATGCCTATTAACAGAAATGAGGACTGTAATTATCATTACTTTGTTATGAATATTTGTTTGTATGTATATTGGAGTGTATGTGTATGTGTGTCTAGTATATATCTGTTTTCTTTTTTACTCCCTTCCTTATTCCCTTATCCTGTAACATAAATTGCATTAACTTTTTATTATAACATTAAGTAGTGTTAATTTTATTCCATAATATTTAAGATATGGTCTATCAAGGAAAGTAGTAATCCTCACTGAAAGATGTTAACTTCTCTTTTGGTAAAGAGGTTATACATTTATGGTTGTATGCAGGATAGTTGTATTATGGTAGATTGAAGGATGACCTTGTTATTATTTGTATTTGGAGAGTAAGTATAGTTTAAGGAGATAAATATGAGTGGTACAGTTGGTAAGGTATGAACTTATGATAGTTAATTTTATGTGTCAACTTGACTGAGCCACAGAGTGCCCTGTCATGTGGTCACATTATTGAGGGTTTGTCTGTGAAGGTGATTCTGGATGAGATTAATCTTTGAATCACTAGACTAAGTAAGGCAGATTGCCCTGCCTAATGTGTTGGGCCTTGTATTAGTTCATTATAACACTGCTATGAAGAACTGCCTGAGACTGGGTAATTTATAAACAAAAGAGGTTTAATTAACTCACAGTTCTGCACGGCTGCAGAGGCCTCAGGAAACTTACAATCATGGCAGAAGGAGAAGGGGAAGCAAGGCACATCTTAACATGGTGGCAGGAGAGAGACAGCGAGTGAAGGGAAGAAGTGCCACAAATTTGAACTATCAGATCTCATGAGAACTCACTATCATGAGACCAGCATTGGGGAAACCACCCCCATGATCCAATCACCTCCCACCAGGTCTCTCCCTTAATATGTGGGGGTTACAACTCTGCATGAGATTTGGGTTGGGACACGGAGTCAAACCATATTATTCTGCCCCTGGCCCCTCCCAAATCTCATGTCCTTCTCACATTGCAAAATACAATTATTCCTTCCCAACAGTTCCCCAAAGTCTTAATTCATTCCAGCATTCCATAATTAATTCAAAAGTTCGATTCCAAAGTCTCATCTGAGACAAAGCGAGTCCCTTCCACCTAGGAGTAACATCAAAAACAAGTTAGTTACTTCCAAAATACAGTGGGGATACAGGCATTTCGTAAATGCTCCCATTTCACATGGGGAAAAAATGGTCAAAACAAAGGGGCTACAGGCCCCATGCAGTCTTAAAACCAGCAGGACAGTCATTAAATCTTAAAGTTCCATATTTATCTCCTTTGATTTCATCTCTCACATCCTTAAATAAATAAAATCAAAAATGAAAAAGGGGACATTACAACCAATAACATAGAAATAAAACATCATAAAGGACTACTATGAACAAGTATATGGCAACAGATTGGCAACTTATAAGAAATGAATAAATTTCTAGAAACACACAACCTACAAAGACTGAATCAAGAAATAATAGAAAGACCACTGTATTAATCTGTTTTCTCACTGCATAAGTAACAAAGAGCTAAAGGAGAAGCAAGTCATGTTTTATGTGGAGGCAGGAGAGAGTGAGTGAAGGGGAAAGTGTCACACTTTCAAACCATCAGATCTCATGAGAAGTCACTCACTATTATGAGAACAGCATGGGGAAACCACCCCCATGATCCAATCACCTCCCACCACGTACCTCCCCTGACACATGTAGATTTCAATTTTACATGATATTTGGGTAGGGACACAGAGCAAACCATATCAGGACTCATCCAATAAATTAAAGACCTGAATATAACAAAAAAAAAGCTGAGTAAGAGGAAGCTCCTCTTGCCTGACTGCTTGGGCTAGGATATCAGTCTTTCCCTGCCTTCAAACTGACTGAAAAATCAGATTTGTTCAATCTTGAGCCTGTCAGACTTTGGACTAGAATTTACATCATCACATTTCCTGTTTCTTATGTCTTCTGATTGTGATTGAAACTACACCATCTTCGTTCTTTGCTGTCTAGCTTGCTGATTACAGACTGTGGGACTTGTCAGAGCCTATAATCATGAGAGTCCATATCCATATACAGGTAAGAGTACCTGATTTTTTGTAATTTATTCACAAATTCTCATCTCAGTCATTGGTGTGGGTTGCTCCTTTGGAATGTTAATTTTCTAATATTATGGCATATGTTATATATAGGCAGAGGCATTTTTAGTCACCAGAAGAGCTTTCAGGCAAAATGGTACTGGTACTAGCTATAGGTAGTTGAGCCAGGATACAGAGAAATGCTAGTAGCTGAGGTGGTATAAGCAGCCAACTGAAATCACATGCTTCATAAAACAAATAGAATAAATATGTCTGCAGCTCAGCAGGTAACTTTTGGCTACAAATATGCATTTGCAAATCATAGTCTTATTTAAGTCATTAGAATTGATTGTATCTTTCAGGGTTGTTTTGTATAATGATAAGCCTAGGTCAGATTCTTAGAGAAACCCAGTATTTTAGTGATGCTAGAAGAGGAGAAACCAACAAAAGAGTCACAAGATGGCCCAAAGAAGTAAACGGACACAAGACTGTGATGTCATGAAAGTCAAGGGACCAAAGTGATTTATCTCCAATACAGTGTGCTTGAGAACTTCAAATGCTGCCATGAAGGAAGATCAGATATGAAAAATATTCTTTGGACTTAGTCACATAGAGAACCCTTGTGATCTTGGAGAGTTGTGGGCCAGAATATCAAATCCCAGTGTATTAAGTTATGCTCAGTAAGATGCATGTTGTTTCAGAAGATTTTAATAGAGTAACAAAATTAAACTGAGATAAATTATTTTATTTGCTTGCTTATACTCAAGGTGGGAAACATATAAGCATGTTTATCAGTTGATGGTAGAGGAAGTAGAAGGAGAGTGGTATAAGATAAATTAAATGTAGAGGATAATCAAAAGTGTCATATTCCTGGAAGAAAGGAAATCATGAGACTCAGAGTACAGCTTGAGGAACAATAATTACACCTTTAACAAATGGAAATTATTAAATTTGGAGAAGTTGCATTATAAAACGAGAACCATATGTATACATTATTAGGCCTGAGTATTAAGAAAATGGTTAGATTAGATTATAAATTATTCATATTGTAGACTTGAAATTGATATGGTTTAAGCAAGCAGTGAATGATATATAATATTTTATAGATTCATTCATTTTGTTGTGTATGCATCAGTAGTTTATTCTCTTTGATTAGGGTGCAGTATTTCATTCTATGGCTATAGCACAATTGGTTTAAACATTGGTTGATGCACATTTGGATGAGGAATATTACAAATAAAGCTTCTATAAACACGATGAGACACTCCTTTAATGAAACTTTAGTCTGGCTCCTCTGAGTCTCCTTTATCTACTAGTCCCAGTCCCCAGTAGGCATGTCAAGAGTCCAGTTTTAGCAGGAATCCTGCTGTATCAATTTAGAGACAATCCCCACCCTCAATATCTGATCATCTGTTTAGTCAGAATTGCCCCTTGTCTCCAATGCTTTCACTTAGTAATTTTCCATTCACTAAATCCCCACCTTTCTCCTTAGCTATAAATTTCCACTTGCCCATGCTTTATTTGGAATTGAGCCTAGTTTTATATTGAGATCTCTTTTCTCCTATTGCAATAGTCCTGAATAAAGTATATTTTTAATACTTTAGTTACTGTCTAGCTGTTTTCCTTTGACAGCATTCCTGTACATGTTTTTGTGCAGATATGTTTTTTGTTTGTTTGTCTGTTTATTTGTTTTGAGATGGTGTCTCGCTCTTGTTGCCCAGACGGGAGTGCAATAGCACGATCTCTGCTCACTGAAACCTCCGCCTCGCAGGTTCAAGCGATTCTCCTGCCTCAGCTTTCTGAGTAGCTGGAATTACAGGCGCCCGCCACCACGCCTGGCTAATGTTTTGTATTTTTAGTAGAGACGGGGTTTCGCCATGTTGGCCAGGCTGATCTCAAACTCCTGACCTTAGGTGATCCACCCACCTTGGCCTCCCAAAGTGCTGGGATTACAGGCATTAACCACCGTGCCCGGCCCCTGTGCAGATATGTTTTTATTGCTCTTGGTTAAATACCCAAGAAATTTTCAAGGAACTGCCAAATTGCAGCAGCAGTGACAGAATCATTATCATTTATGGAGGGCTCACTTTATGTTAGTCACTATGCTTCATGCTAGACACTTCACAAAATATCTCGATTAAATCCTTGAAACAAGTCTATTCAGTGTATATTCTTTTTTTCTATTTTACCAATGAGAAAATTGAGCATCAAAGAAACAAAGTCATGTGCTCTAATTTACACAGCTAATAACTGTGAATTTAGGATTTAATTCCAGAGTGCTCTGATTCTAGAATCTGTGTTGAATAAAGAACATTCTACTAGTGTCATTCTTGGCTTTAGCTTTTGAGGTTTTGAAGATTTATAAATAAACCTCAATTTTCAATTTTCCTGGGTGGCTGCTGGTGAGAACCAGTCATTTGACCAGTTTCTGAGCTTAGGGAAGTGCTATGACTTTGATTTTTTGCTTATTATCCCATTAGCAGTAACACTAATAAAGTAACTAAGTAACAATACATGCAACTCAGTATGCCAAATTCTAGTAGTTGATGTACATAAAAAGATAACTGTAGTTATAAAATTGAAGTTAAATAATTAAACAATTAAAGAGGAAATATGGATTTTGTAAAGGCTTTTAACTTTTCCGTGAATGAGGCCATCAAGATGACCAAATTGTGAAACTGTTTTAGTGAATGTTCGATCCACTGCAAAAATTATTAATGAAAAAAAGATAGAGTCTGTATAGGCAATAGAAGCTCTTAATGGAAATATTCAGCAGAAAGACAGGATCCTATGGAAAATTATCATAATTATAAAGTTGGTAAAGGCTCTAAGGTTGCTATCCAACTGATCTTTATTTTTTTTCTCATTTTATGAAAGAAATAATGTGCTATAAAGTTACTCAATGATTAGAAATTTTTGAAGTTCCTTTGACAGATCCTTCATTATTTTCAGGTCTTTTTTTTAACTTTTGCATTGATGGAATGAGTTACAATGATCTGTTTATGTGCCAGTCTTCTTTATTCTCCTCTGAGCTATTTTAGGATTAAGATCCTGCCTAATTGACTCTATTTCCCCAGCATTTAGCATAGTACCTGCTCCAAAACTTATGGTAGGGACTCAGATGTTTATTTAGTGACCAAATTAATATATAAATAAATGAGATACTCAAAGGAGAGGCTTGGCTCAGTTGCAATCATAGGAAATCTCTGCATAGGTTAAAAATATAAAATTTGGGAAAGAAGATTTGCAAAGTATTTTAGTCTTTACTAGCAAAGGTCATTGGTTTCCTAAACCAAATAAGATACTTGTAAGAAACCTTTTTGGCTGTATGAATCTGAACCAAATAAAAACTAACATTCTACTTCTACCAATATATGTTTTCACAAAAACATAGGTCAAGATAAATGTGCTGTATGTTTCTGGAAATGCAAATGCACCACTTGAACATTCAACTCTGAAATGGTCGACTATAAAAGAGAGTATGCAAAAATGTATTCATTCCAAGTTAATTAGAAAATGAAACATATTGCATGTCATTGTCATATTTTCATTTGCTTTCTAGTTTAGTAATTCATTTATTTATTTAAACAAAATTGCATTTATTTATTATTAAATTAAAATTTATTAAAATATTTTTATTTATTAATATGTTTCATGTATTTATATTTAAATAAGGTAAACATTTATCATTTTGAAACTATATTTTTTCAGTAAAATGTGTTTTGAAATCTAGCAATAAAAGAGGGGAAGGACCAATTTCAGACAGTACTCAACAAGTTCTCTTAGAATGAGCCTCAATCCATAAACTCATATGATGGGAAAATGGCACCACCAAAGCAGTGAACTCAGATGCTACTGATTTCAGGAAGCATATCTCCAAATGTAAGACCGTATCTCAATCCCTGCGTGAAAGCCATGGTATTTGAAGCTAGATCTGCTTATTAATATCTTCTTGCTTGGAATTTCCAACCTGCATTCTAACTAAGGACAAGCAGACTCTAACAATTTTTTTCTCACCCTGCTTAGTCAGATTATGATTGAATTCAACAAACTAAATTCTGCTACCTCAGCAACAGCTGACTCGTAGGAATCTGCCACCATTTTTAAAAGTTAGACTATATTAATAGGTACAAATATGACTCTGCCGTCTTTAGAAATAGAGTTGCTGGTGTAGAACATCATTAAATGCATCTTAATAATAATTTATTATTAAATATCTGCTATGGAGAGTTCAAGGAGTGACCTGGCATTTTGCCTCAGAAACAAATACATAATACAGAATATTTATAATCTTCTTTTGAGTGCCGATAACCTAGTTAACTAGAATAAGAAGAATAGCACCGAGATCCAAAAAGTAATGACATCTATGTGATAGTTTTTCACAAAGTAAGATATGTGTGTATTGATTAAAATACAGAGAAGAAAAAAAGGTCACCTTGCTCTTAAGTCATCCATATACCTTGTCATTCATGAAAAGCATGGAGGTCATAAGGATATCTTTTGGTAAATCAGAGAAAATTTGTCCTCACAGTTAATTAACAGAGACTCTTAAGTAAAAAAAGAGCTTCATGGTTTAATGATTTTTATCAATTCTTTATTGGGCTACAATTTTTCCAACTACAATTTTAACATGTGAAGATAGAAAAGAATTTGGGTAATGAATGAAATATTGTTAGTGCTGCTCTTTAAATCGTCCATTGTATTATCATTTTTATATTTTAATGAGAAAGTCGTCACAAAGAAAATGCCACAGCAAGACAATCTACATTATTACTGAACTTTCAAGCCAAATAATCATAAGAGTTACTTTCTACCAAGCTTTGTAATGTAATTAGTATGGGACACTGCCTGTTCTCCTCAGGCCTTGCTCACAATTTTGGAGTATCTCAGACACCATGATAATAATTATTGAATATAAATTAGTACTATTAGAGTGCTGAGAGTTTTTTGTAAAATCATTGTTATCTAGTAGATACAGAAAAAATATTGTTATGATTATCTTTTAAAGTAAATGACCCAGTTGCACTACAGAAATTATCTCTGCACATGGTACTACTAAATAGTTGGCATGTTAGATTTAAGATGTGCTAGTTGTAAATAGTTTAAAGGAAAAAAATAACCTATTTTTAAAATTCCATTCAATATAATCATATAAACATTATAACTCTGCTTGTAGAAAAATGTTCTCCCAGAGGATGGACCTAAGGGAAAAATATTATATTTTATTAAACTTTTCAATTGTCATAAAATCATTTATTAAAAACTATATTTTAGGCATTATGCTAGAAAAAATGGAAAATTATGCATGCTATAGTGAAGCCCACTATCCAAAAGAGATCAACATATACACAAAACTTTATTGTTATATTAAAATGAGGAAATGAATAAGAACAAATTTCTCACTAGGCTGAAAATTTGTATTGATTTGCCAGATACATTGAAGATAATAAAGCCTAATGCCCAAGTGCATGGAGGCAAAGGAGATTATGATTTATATAGAGAAGATCAGATGTGAGATTGTGATGGTTAGAACATTGGGGATAAATCAGTGGGAAAATTATCAGACATAATGCTGAAGTCCCAGGGCCATATCATATAGGATTCTGTTTATGTGTCAATAAAGAAGTCTTTATCCTGTAGCCAGTGTGAAGCCATTGAATAATTTTAAGTAGTATTAAATATAATTAAATGAGTAGCCATTTGGGATGGATTGGAGACAGTGGAGTGAGGTAAAACTAGAGGTAGAGTGACTAATCAATATTCTACAACACATACTGAAAATCGGCCATAGGATAGACACACTGGAGCTGGAAGAAAGACCTTGATATAAGAGATAAGAAAAAAATGTACAGATAAAAGTATGGTGTGCAACTCTTCCTCTATAGGTCCAATGGGCAAAGAAGAAATGAATTTAAAATTTCCTGAGGCAGCAGTAGAGAATAGCCCAATCTACATATGCATTAATTTCTTATTGCTGATGCAACAAACCACCAAATTAGTGGTTTAAACAAGACAAGTTTATTATTTTACGCTTCTGATGGTCACAAGTTAAAAATGAGTTGCATGGGACTAATATCAAATGTTGCCTTTTTTCTGGAGCCTCTAGGGTGAAACTGTCCTTTGCTTTTTGCAGGTTCTAGAAGCCATCTGTGTTCCTTTGTGTCTGGCCACATCACTTCAATCTTTGTTTCTGTTGTTAACATCTTTCTCTGCTTCTGTCATCACATCAGCTTCTATAATGCTCACTGTCCTGCTTAGAATAGCTCTGACTATTCTGGGTCTTTTGTTCTTCCATATAAATTTTAGAATTTCTTTACTATTTCTGTGAAAAATATAATTGGTATTTTGATAGGAATTGCATTGAATATGTATATTGCTTTGGTACTATGGCCATTTTAATAATATTGATTCTTCCAATCCATGGACATGGAATTTTTTTTTTAATTTTGGTATCCTCTTCCATTTCTTGCATCAGTGTTTTATAATTTTTACTACAGAGATCTTTCAATTCTTTTAAGTGTGATTACTTTTTTATTCCTTTTTAACATTGTTCACTGTTGGCACATAGAAATGCTACTAATTTTTGTATGTTGATTTTACATCATGCAACTTTACTGAATTCATTAACAGTTCTCATAGTTTTCTTGTGGGGTCTTTAGGTTTTTCCAAATGTAAGATTTTATCTGCAAACAAGGATAATTTGACTTCTTCTTTTTCAATTTGGATGCCCTTTATATCTTTCTCTTTACTGATTGCTCTAGCTGGGACTTCCAGTAGTACGTTGAGTAACAGTGGTGACAATGGACATTCTTGTTGTCTTCCAGATCTTAGATAAAAGGCTTTAATTTTTATCCCATTCAATATGATACTAGCTGTGGGTCAGTTGTATATGGCTTTAATTATGTTAAAGTTATGTTCCTTCTACACCCAGTTTTTTGAGGGCTTTTATCATGAAGAGATTTTGAATTTTACAATTACTATTTCAGTATCTATTGAAATTATCAGTTTTTATCCTTCATTCTGTTGACATGTGGTATCCTCTTGATTGATTTGCATATGTTGTACCATTCTTGAATTCCAGAGATAAGTCTCACTTGGTCATGATGAATGAATTTTCTAATGTATTGTTGAATTTGGTTTCCCAGTATTTTGCATTAATATTAAACACAGATATTTACCTATAGTTTTATTTTTGATGTGACTTTGGTTTTGGTATCTGAGTAATACTGGCCTTATAGAATGAGTTTGGAAGTATGTCCTCCTCCTCTGTTTTTCAGTATAGTTTGAATAGGATTGGTATTGATACTTTTTTTAATGTTTGGTATAATTCAGTAGTAAAGCCATCAGGTCCTGGGCTTTTATTTACTGGGAGACTTTTTTATGGCTTCAATCTCATTACTTGTTATTGGTCTGTTCAGATTTTGAATATCTTCCTGGTCAATCTTGGTAGGTTTTGTATGTAAAAATTTATCCATTTTTTTCTAGATTTACCAATTTATTGGCATATAGTTGCTCATAGTAGCCACTAATGAGCCTTTGATTTTCCGCAGTATCAGTTATAGTGTCTCCATTTTCATTTTTAATTTTTTTGTTTGGATCTTCTCTCTTTTTACTTAATCTGGATAAAAGTTTGTTAATTTTGTTTATCTTTTCAAAAATCTAACATTTATGTCATTGATCTCATATTTTTTATTTCAATTTCATTTGTTTCTGCTCTGATAATTATTATTTATTTTCTTGTATTGATTTGGGGATGGTTTGTTCTTGTTCCTCTAGTTATTTAAGATCCATCATTAGATTGCTTATTTGAAGTTTTCCTCTTTTTTGATGTAGGCACTTATAGTTATAAACTACTATTTTAGTACTGCTTTTGCTATATCCCACAGGTTGTGGTGTGTTGTATTTCCTTTATCACTTGTTTCAAGGATATTCTCAATTTAATGTAAATTTTTTTATTGACCCATTGGTCATTCAGGATATTATTTAATTTCCACATATTTGTATAGTTTCCAAAATTCCTCTTGTTATTGATTACTAATTTTATTCCACTGTGGTTAGAGAAGATGCTTGATATTATTTCAATTTTTGAATGTTTTAAGACTTGTTTTGTGACCTATCATATGGTCTATCCTTAAAAATAATACATGTGCTGAGGAAAACATTGTGTAGTCTGCAGCTCTTGGAAGAAGTGTTCTCTAAATGTCTACTAGAATCATTTGGTCTCTACTGCAGATTAAATCAGTTGTTTCTTTTTTGATTTTGAGTCTGGAAGGTTTGTCCAGTGCTGAAAGCAGAATGTTGCTCTCTCCAGCTATTGTTCTATTGGAGTCTCTCTCTTTTTCTGTAGCTCCAATAATATTTGCTTTGTATATCTGGGTTCTCCAATGTTGGGTGCATATATATTTTAAATTGTTATATTCTCTTGCTGAATTGACCCCTTTATAATTATATAGTGACTTTATTTGTCTCCTGTGGTAGTTTTCGTCTTGAAATCTATTTTGTCTGATATAAGTATCATAACTCCTCTCCTTTTTAGTTCTCATTGGCATGAAATATAATTTTCCATTCCTTCATTTTCAGTCTATGTGTTTTTATAAGTGAAGTGTGTACCTTGTAGGCAACAGATCACTGGGTCTTGTTTATTCATCCATTCAGCCAGTCTATGTCTTTTCATTGGAGAGTTTAGTTCATTTACATTCTGTGTCATTATGGATAAGTAAAGACTTAATCCTGCCATTTTTAAATTTCTTTTCTGTTTCTTTTTAATGATCTTCTCTCCCTTCCTTCTTTTCTTCCTGTCTTCCTCTAGTAAAAGTGATTTTCTCTGGTTATATGATTTTGTTTGTTGCTTTTTATTTTTATTTTTTGTATCAGTTGTAGGTTTCTTGGTTTGAGGTTACCACGAAGCTGGCAAATACTATCTTATAACCCATTATTTTAACCTAATAGCAACACTATTTACATAAACAAACAAGCATGCAAAAAAGACTAATAGAGATTATATACCTTAATTTTGTCATCTGGTTTTTAACTTTATATTGTATCTATTTATATCATATTGTACTGACTATGTCTCAAAAATTTGTCATAGTTATTATTTTTTATTAGGTTATCATTTAGTCTTTATCCTTAGAGTAAGAGTAATTTACACATCACCATTACAATGTTATAATATTCTATGATTTTTAGTGTACTTACTACTACCATTGAATCTTGTAACTTCAGGGGATTACTCATGGCTCATCAATGTTCTTTTGTTCTAATTGACACACTCCCTTTAACATTTTTTGTAAGACAAGTCTGGTGTTGATGAAATCTC
Organism: Homo sapiens; assembly: GCF_000001405.40. NCBI lineage: Eukaryota > Metazoa > Chordata > Mammalia > Primates > Hominidae > Homo > Homo sapiens. The sequence continues at coordinate 127,687,547 of NC_000023.11, forward strand.
TCAGCTTCTGTTTGTCTTTATTTCTCTTTCATATTTGAAGAATAAATTCTCAGGTTATACTCTTAGGGTAAAATTATTTTTTTTATTCACCACTTTACATATGTCATGCCTCTCTCTCCTGGCCTGTAAGACTTCCACTGAAATGTCTGCTGCCAGACATATTAGAGCTCCATTGGATGTTATTTATTTCTTTTTTTGCTGCTTTTAGTATTATTTCATTTATCCTTGGCCTTTCGGGGTTTAATTATTAAATGACTTGAGGTAGTCTTCTTTGTGTTAAGTCTGCTTAGTGTTCTATATCCTTCTTGTACTTGGACATTAACATTTTTATCTAGGCTTGAGAAGTTATCTGTTGTTATCACATTGAATAAACTTTCCACCCCTATCTCTTTCTCTGCCTCCTCTTTAAGGCCCATTATGCTTGGGTTTGCACTTTTGACCCTATTTTCTATATCCAGTAAGTATGCATTATTGCTTTTTATTGTTATTATTATATCTCATTCCACTGTATATTTTCAAATAGCCTTTCTTCAAACTCACTAATTCTTCCTTCTGCTTGGTCAATTCTGCTATTAAAGAACTCTGATGCATTCTTCAGTGTGCCTGTTACATTTTTAAGCTCCAGAATTTCTGCTTGATTCTTTTTAATAATTTAAACCTCTTGTTAAATTTACCTGACAAAATTCTTAAATCTTTTTCTGCGTTATTTTACATTTTTTTGAGTTTTCTCAAAACAGCTATTTTGAATTACCTGCCTGAAAGGTTATATATCTCTGTTTCTCCAGGACCAGTTCATGGTGCCTTATTTAGTTCATATGGTGAGGTCATATTTTTTTGAGTGGTGTTGATCCTTGTTAATGTTCTTTGTTGTCTGGGCATTGAAGAGTTAAATATCTATTGTAGTCTTCACTGCCTGGGCTTATTTGTACTTGTCCTTCTTGGGGTGGCAGATATTTGAAAGGGCTTTGGTGTTGTGATCTAAGCTGTATCTGCATTATGGGGGCACCCCAAGCCCAGTAATGCTGTGACTTTTGCAGACTCATACAGGTACCACCTTGATGGTCTTGAACAAGTTTTGGGAGAATTTTCTGGATTAGCAGGTAGAGCCTCTTTTTCTCTTCCTTTACTCTCTCCCAAACATACAGAGTCTCTTCTCTCTTCTGAGCCACCTAAAGCTGGGGTTGAAATGACACAAGCACCCCTGTGGCCACCAATACTGACTGTGCTGGGTCAGACTTGAAGCCAGCACAGCACTGAATGTCTCCAAAAGTCTGCTGTAACTACTAACTGGTTAGTGCCTATGTTTGCTCAAGGCCCTAGGACTCTACAATTAGCAGATTGCAAAGCCAGTCAGGCCTGTGTCCTTCCCTTAAGGGAAATGAGGTTCACCAAACCCCAGGTGGATCCAGAAGTACCATCTGGGAATCAGGGTCTACAGTCAAAAACCTTAGAAGTCTACCTGGTGTTCTATTGTACTGCAGCTGAACTGGCACTCAAATCACAAGACACAGTCCTCCCTAAATTTCCCTCCACTTTTCAAAGGCAAAAGAACTTCACCCTATAGCCACCATTTCCACAGGCCATGAGGAGTACTGCCAGACTACCACCAATGTTCCCTTAAATCCCAAGGTCTCAAATCACCTTGTCATGAATGCTGCCTAACCTAAGACTCACCCTTCTGCACAGTGGGCTATCCACTGGCTCAGGGTAGGCACAGAAATGCTGTCCAAGAGTCAAGTCCTGGAATTGAACACTCTAACAGTCCACTTGGTGTTCTGACCATCACTGGTCATGCTGATGCCTAAGGTACAAGACAAAATCCCCTTACTTTGCCCTGTGCTTTTCTCAAGATGAATGAGATTTTCCCTGTAACCACCACAGATGGTAATGTGCTGAGTCTCACAAGAAGCCAGCATGTCTCAGAGGTTCACCAAAGGTCTTTGATGTAGTACCTGGGTATTGCTGCTGATTATTCACTGACCCAGGGCTGGTAAGTTTGCAGGTGATTAATGCTACAAGGACTGGATCATTTTTTCAAAGCAGCAGGTTCCCTTCTGGCCCAGAGGGTGTCTAGAAATGTTGTCTGGAAGCTAGGGCCTGGAACATGGGCCTCACAACTCTGACCAGTGCCCTATCATGCTGTGGATGAAGTGATGTCTTATATGCCAGAGAACTTCCTCCCAACTCTTCCCTCTCCTCTCCTCAAGTGAAAGAAAGAAGTCTTTTTTGGAGCAATGAGATGTGCAGTCTTGGGTTAGGGAAATCATGATTCCAGTACTCCCTCAGCTGCTCCAGCTGGTTTCTCAGTATGTTACATGCCCCTGCTAGACCACTGTCACTGGGCCTACTTTAGCACTGAGAATCACCTAAGAGTTGCAGTCCTTATGGCACAGACTTCCTTTCAAGTTCACTTAGAGACACACAGTGTTGTAGCCCTTGGTGACAAGGTTAGCAAGCACTCAAGTTTGTACCACTGGGATCTATGATTCCCCTCTGGCAAGGGCTGGTTTAAACTCACCCTCTGTGGATGGGCATCAGCTCAGTTTGATCCAGTTTTTCTTTCTGCTCAAACAGAACAGCACTGAGTTCAATGTCTCCTAATTGCTGTATTCTCCCTTCTTCAACACCCAGAGATGCTCTCTGCACAATGCTGCCACTGCTGGGGGTGGAAGAGAGGTGGTATCAGCAATTCAGGACTAATTTTTCTATCTCTTCCGTGCCTCTTTCAATGATATCAAGTTAAAACCAGGTACTGTGAGTACTCACATAATTTTTTGGTTCTTATGAAGGTGTTTTTCCTGTGTAGATACTTGTTAACTTGGTGATATGGTTTGGCTGTGTCCCCACAAAAATCTCATTTTGAATTTTAGTTCCCATAATCACCTCATGTTGTGGGAAGGACCCAGTGGGAGGTAATTGAATCATGGGGCGGTTATCCCCATGCTGTTCTCATCTAGTGAGTGAGTTCTCATAAGATCTGATGATTTTATAAGGGGCTTTCCCTGCTTGAGCTCAACATTTCTCTCTTGCTGCCAGGTGATGAAGGACATGTTTGCTTCCCCTTCCACCATTATTGTAAGTTTCCTGAGGCCTTCCAAACCATGTGGAACTGTGAGTCAGTTAAATCTCTTTTCCCAGTCTCAGGCAGTTATTTTTAACAGTGTGAGAACAGATGAATATAGTAAATTGGTACTGAGGGAAGGGGCACTGCTATAAGGATACCTGAAAATGTGGAAGTGACTTTGGAACTGGATAACAAGTAGAGGTTGGAACTGTTTGGAAGGCTCAGAAGAAGACAGGAAGATGTGGGAAAGTTTGGAACTTCCTAGAGACTTGTTGAATGGTTTTGAACAAAATGCTGGTAGTGACGTGGACAATTAAGTCCAGACTGAGGTGGTCTTAGATGGAGATGAGGAACTTGTGGGGAACTGGAGCAAAGGTGACTTTTGCTATTCTTTAGCAAATAGACTGGTGACATTTTGCCCCTGACCTAGAGATCTGTGGGACTTTGAACCTGAGAGAGATGATTTAGTGTATCTGGTGGAAGAAATTTTTCATTTTCTGGAGAGAGATTCCAGCCTAATGCAGAAATTTGCACAAGTAACAAGGAGCCAAATGTTAATCAACAAGAAAATGGGAAAAATAGCTCCAGGACATATCAGAGACCTTTTGGGCAGCTCCTCCCATTACAGGCCTGGAGACCTAGAAAGAAAGAATGGTTTCATGGGCTGGGCTCAGGGCCTCCCTACTCTATGCAGCCTTGGGACATGGTGTCTTGTGTCCCACCTGCTACAGCTCCATTCATGGCTAAAAGGGGCCAAAGTAAAGCTTGGGTCATTTCTTCAGAGGGTTCAAGTCCAAAGCTTTGGCAGCTTCCATGTGTTGTTGAGCCTCTGGGTGCACAGAAGTCAAAAATTGAGGTTTGGAAACCTCCAGCTAGATTTCAGAGAATGTATATAGATGCTTGGATATCCAGGCAGAAGCATGCTGCAGGGATGGAACCCCCATGGTGAACCTCTGCCATGGCAGTACAGAAGGGAAATGTGGTGGTGGAGCTCCCACACAGAGTCCCCTCTGGGGCACTGCAGACACTGAATTCCAGCCCATGAAAGCAGCTTGGAGGGGGTCTGTACCCTGCAAAGCCCACAGGGGTGGGGTTGCCCAAGGCTGTGGGAGCCCACCTCTTACATCAGTGTGAACTGGATATGAAACATGGAGTCAAAGGAGATCATTTCAGAAGTTTAAGTTTGACTGTCCCACAGAATTTTGAACTTGCATGGGTCCTGTTGCCCTTTTGTTTTGGCCAATCTCTCCCATTGGGAAGGGGTGTATTTACTCAACGCCTGTATCCCCATTGTATCAAGGAAGTAACTAACTTGCTTTTGATTTTACAGTCTTATAGGCAAAGGAACTTGCCTTGTCTCAGATGAGAATTTGGACTTGGACTTTTGGGTTAATGTTGAAATGCATTAAGACTTTGGGGGACTGTTGGAAGGGCATGGTCGTGTTTTGAAATGTAAGGACATGGGATTTGGGAGGGTCCAAGGGGAGAATGACATGGCTTGGCTATGTCCCCACCCACCCAAATCTCATTTTGAACTGCAGTTCTCATTATCCCCACATGTTCTGGGAGGGACCCAGTGGGAGGTCATTAAATCATGGAGGCAACTACCCCCATGCTGTTCTTGTGAAAGTTAATTCTCACAAAATCTGATGGTTTTATATGGGTCCTTTCCCCCTTTGCTAGGCGCTTCTTTCTCCTGTCCCCATGTGAATAAGGACATGTTGGACATGTTTTCTTCCTCTTTCACCATGATTGTAAGTTTCCTTATGGCTCCACAGCCATGCTGAACTGTGAGTCAATTCAACCTCTATTATTTATAAATTACCCAGTCTCGGGCAGTTCTTTATAGTAGGGTGAGAATGGAATAATAAACCTGATGTCCTTGTCGGGGGTACAATTGGTAGAGCCTTCTATGCTGCCATCTTGCTCTGCCTCCTTCCAATACACTTTTTTGAAAATCAAAATATGACTGCCAAAATTAAAGAGAAATAGTGAAGATAAGGACTAATATTCCAGAAATGGACTATTTTGTAGTCCTTCTGACCCACTCACACTCCCATATATCTTTTTGAAAGGTCTGAAATTATAATGTCAAGTTGTTTTGTTACTTTTTAATACTTTGTCATGAAACTTCATTTATACATTTATTACACTTATTTTTAACCTACATAATTTTCTGTTTTTTCTTTATTGCACTTTCCTTGTATTTTATATTTAGTTACTTTTCTGGAGAAATTTTTTCAATAATATTCATCAGAAAGGGTGTATGGATGCTTAAATTTTCTCATTGCTTTCTTTAATTTTTTTGAATCAGATTTGAATTTTCCCATTACCATATTATATTTTGTGAAGGACCTGTTCAAGTCTGTTGGACAATTATATTATGTTGTCCTCTTTTTTATTGACTAGTTTTTAGAATTTTTACATATTCTGGATACAAGTCTTTTGTAAATAAATATATCATTAGTCTCATTGTGGTTTGCATTTTCCCTCAATGGTGTCCCTAGTTGAATAGAAGTTCCCAACTTTAGTGAAATCCAATTTATTAAACTTTTCTTTTATGGCTAGTTCTTGTGTATCTTCTTTAAGAAATTATTGCCTATTGCAATATCATGAAGATATTCTCCCAGTGTCTTCTTGAAATGATGCTTAGTATCATTAGTCATCAGAAAACTGCAAATTACAACAGTGAGATACAATTACACCAGAATACAGTGCCTACAACTGAAAAGACCAGCAACACCCAGTGTTGGCAAGGGTATACAGAAAGTGGAATTTTCATATACCGATTGTAATATTATAAGTTTGTGTGATCACTTTGTAAAACTAGTAATATATAATAAATATACTATATGACCTTGCAATTTCACTCCTAGATATATTCCCAAGAAAAGAGGGTGCTTGTAATTATCAAAAGACATGTACACAAATGGTCATAGCGGCATTATGATTTTATATTTTAGCCCCAAGCTGAAATCAACACAAATATATTTCAACAGGTCAAAGAATTTGGGATATATTCATACAAACAATGTAAAGGAAGGAATTATGAGCAGAAACATGTATGAACATCACAATCACTAATATTTTTAAACATCCATTGTCTTCCATCTTCTTTCTGAAATTTCTAGAAATTACCTGTCTTCTTGTCACTAAACTTTTCTCATTATCTTTGTATAAACATAATGCTCTAAAATTGTGACACGAGAACAGCAAGTTTATAACTTAATGTGTATTGCAGAAGGCCTTGTTAAAAATGCAGATTCCTACCTCATACCTCCTCCAAGGAATTTTTATCTTAGTCATTTATTTTACACATATAGTTGTTGATTCTTAAACAAATTTGTTATTGTAATGGATTTATGTTGTTTTATTTTCCAGCATCCATTCCGTTTCTTTTTGGCAACAAACCTGATTTCTCAGATCATGTGTCTTTTAGAGAAAGTGGGAGTCTGGCAAATGTAAATATTGTCAATTAGGACATTATACTATTTTGGTCAATGTGACTGGTTTGAGCATATGCACATGGCCTAAGTCAGGCCAACACAAAAATGCAAATCAGATCTTGAAATTTTGTTAAGATATTGAGAAGGATTACTTGCTCTATAGTTCAAATTTTTACCCGGAATTAAATAGTGTTAAAGATTGTGCAGCAAGTTGATATTCATAAATGGAATATTATTTCAGAATACAATTAACATAGGATAGGTAAATCAGGAAATGGAGAGGAAAATCTGGTTCTGATGACATTATTTGAATTTTTAGATGTAGCCATAATTTAAACCTATATATCCCATGTGCTTTTAGTAACATGAATCAACATGCTTCCTTTCCTTCTTTTCTTTCCTTCCTTCCTTCCTTCTTTCCTTTCTTGTTTTCTGTTTGTGTTTTCTCAATTTCTTAGGTATTTTCTCAATTATAACTAATATTTTTATTATCATGTAGTTTAAGGTATCAATTCTTAATTTTTTTAAAGTTTCCCTTACCCTTCTTTTTATAAAAAACCTAACTTATCCTAATATGTAGTATCTATTCATGTGTATCTGTTGTTTTCCAGTTGCACTTAAAAAATATGAAAATCTTTAAACCACAAGGAATTACTTGGGATATGCGGTTTCTAGTCCTGATCTATTTTTTCTCTTAAAATGTTATATTTTTCCTCTTCAATGAGTAAGCCATAATTAATCCCTAATTTTTAAATGCAAACATCTTCATATACTAATTATATAGGTGCAGAACCATTTATCTATTTACTTGTAGTGTTCATGTTCTTTTAATTACTATGGATTTTACAGTTCACAACAAATAAAGTAATTTAATGTTACATAACCATAAAAGACCAGGAATGATGTTGTATATTATAAACATATACAATATTTATAATATTGATATATATAATATAAAATACAGAAAACATGGTTCAGTGACAAAAATGACAAAAACATATGCAACTTTTAGTCCAGACAAAATAGCAATAATTTAATACACAAAGAATTACTACATACACACACACATAAACACACCATATAAATAGAGAGACAAAGACTCTCTATATAGTATCTACATACATACTATGTATGTATATGTACATATATACACAAACATACATTCATACATGTATAATGGAATTTTGCACTAGCAACATGAACAGTCAATTTTTTTAAAGTGGTATCAGTGAAAATGGCAAAGTAGGGAAATCCAAAAGTTTGTCCTGTCACAAAACCAATGAATCAATTCCCCAAATTGTCCGAATCAACTGTACTGGAACTTTAGAAACTAATTAAAACCTTACAGCAACCAACGTAACACCTAATCAAGAAAATCCAGCTGAATCTCTGTAAGAGAGCTCCATGGCATTTTGACTTGCCCTGGTACTAGTCCCAGCTCTCCGACTTGGCAGTGGCCTGGAAGACAACAGCCAGCATTACTGGCACAGATACTTTATGCTGAAAGGAGCAAAATGAACCTTGTTCTAAAAAAAATGTGGTTGTTGGCTTTGACTTGTCTTGTGGCTCTCTAAAGGACTGTATACAAATAGTTGCTTTTATTTTGCCTAACTTGGAACTCTCTAAAGGCTGAGAGGGATACCAAGGGGGAGGAAACATTTGTGGAAAACATTTAAAGGCAAATGAATTAGCCTATACATCCTGGGTCAAGTTATAACAGTTTGGGAAGACAACAGGCTACTCAAAATCTTGGGAGAAGAAGCAAGGAAATGAGATTCTTTGGGAAATAAGGACATTGAAGAGGTTTCAATATTCCTAGAAATCTGGAAGACTATGGTGCATGCCTAGGGCTGGATGCATGCTCAGCAAATATTTGCAAAGGTCCTACAACTCCTACTTATGGCTAACCTTCAGGCTTTATGCAAGCAGGTAGAGAAGGTTGAAAGTAATTAAATAACTAGAAATACTTTTACCCAATACGTTTCAGAAGTTCAGCTGAGCTGGAGAGAACTGATATGTCAGATGTCAGAGTAACTGACTATAGCAACAAGCCAAAATGGAAGTAAAAGTGAAGCCTCTAATCATATTCTGTGATGGTATAAGCGAGAGACAAAAATCTGCGAAGGCACTGACTCCCGTCTGTTCTATGTCCCAAATTAAACAGCACTCTGGTCAAGGGTCATATGATCAGCATAGATGTAGGTGTGGTTTCACTGTTGAGAGAGCCTCAATCAGAAAGCTTCTGTAGTTTTATGAATGCTAGGGCTATGGGAAGGAGTAGGGAGAGGGGTAGGCATGAAAAACTTCTGAGTACTGAGTCAGAATGAGAAGTATTTAAATGATTTTACCCTCCTTCGCATGATAAGGAAGTCTTTGTAGAAGTGCCTGAAGAAGACCTCTGCCAAAGACCTCAGATAAAGGAACTTAAGAATGAATGCTCTCATTTAGAAATGCAAATATGAAAAGTATATGACTGGACAGGTGGGTCTAAGTCCTTGACTGCAACTCCCCTCAGAGACATGACTGCATATACACCAAATGTGGTGTAGGGAGGGCAGCATTTTCTCATAAAGTCTGCCAGTTAAAGGCTTCATAATTTGCTTATTGTTTGGCCTGAAAATCACACAAAAGCCTTTGGCCAGGAGCTGGACACCTCAGGATATTCAAGACTTATAAACTGAAACCTGGGAAGATGACTAAAATTAAAAATAATAATAATAACATAAAAATGGCTTGGTGACAAGTATGAGAATAAATTGGAATCCAAGTCTACTGTTTTTGGGAATATGAAACGTTGTGGATGCTGTGGAAAGTTGTTTGAAAACAACATGGTAAGAAAAAAAGCCAGACAAAAAAGGCTACATATTTTATGATTCAATTTATATGAAATGTGAATGGATTATAGCTCAAGAGTCACTGACTCTTGCCTTTTTACTGGGATAGAGTAAATTTTCTTAAATATTTATTTATTTGCTGTATGCCCTATGGGCAATTTTTAGAAACTGTAAATGCTGCTGTATTACAATTTATACCAATTATGTTTTTATCCTATGGTGTTTGGATCAGCAGAGCTCCTCAAGCCACCACACCAAAAGTGGATCAAATTACATACATTTATATATTCAATTTAAAATTCAGATTAATGATTTATTAAATAATTTAATTCATGCTGTTTTCATATACTCCAAACTGCTTTGATTTATAGATAAGTTTATATAACCAACTAACTAGCATATCCTCACATATCAAAATATAAAACATTTCCACACATATCATAATATAAAATGTGTTCTTTATTAGAGAAAATAGAACGCTAATATTTGTATACTTATGAAGAAGATAACATGGCCAGGTAAATCTTAAAATAGAGCTAAAATTACTTTACATGGAGATGATAACAGCTGAATCAGTCATCACCCAAAATGAGCTGTTATATTTTCAAATGACTAAAATTACTCATTGGTGAAATAGGACTACATTTTCATTCTTCAAATTTACCTCATAAAAGGAAAGTATGAGAATATGTATAAGTTTCCTCATATGTGTAGGTTTCATTTTTCAGATTTATTTTTATTATGTCATAAATAATCTGATGACCTTTGACTTTTCTGTGAGTGTGACCAGAAGGAAACTAAGAATCTGTCATGTACCATTTTCTGTATAATATAGAGAAGAGTAGTTACTGAAAGTTCTGTTGTACTATTCATAGATCATAATGGCGTTTCTTGCAGATATCTAGAAGATGTGTGGGAAAAACAGCAATAAAACATGTTTTATGGTCTTCACTCTAGCTTTTCCTGCATAACATATATCACTCCTTAAATGCACAAAACTATATAATCTGAAGATATTAAAACATTCAACAGAACTACAATTTTCTTTTTCTGATTTTTATTTGGTCATCTTATACTAGATTGTGAAGAATATATTTGATGTCAGTGAGCTAAATAAAGTCAATACTACTGGTCATGATATCAAGTTCTCCAAGAGCTGACTCATGGTAAGATTTCACTTGCTGTGGCTAAAAATATGAGCAAATATGACAAATGTCACTTCCAGGCTGATGCTCAACTCTTCAGCCCAGCTGTTCCACTACTGCAGAAATTGTGAAGTATATGTTGAGGGGGTGCCTCCATTAGAATAAGGCCCTATGTGACTACAATGAGCAAAAGGCCTTGGCAATTCACACCAGTTATATACTATGAATGAAGAAATATTTTTTTATGGGTTTAAATAACTGAGACTTTGAGATCACTTGTGATATGATTTGGGTCTGTGTCACCGCCCAAATCTCATGTCAAATTGTAATGCCCAATATTGGAGATGGGGCCTGGTGGGAGGTGATTGGACCATGGTGGTGGACTTCCCCTTTAGTTCTGCTCTTGTGATAGTGAATGAGAGCTCATGATATTTGGTTCTTTAAAAGTGTGTGGTATTTCCCCCACCTCTCTAGTCTTCCTTCTCTGGCCATATTAAGAAGTGCCTGCTTCCTCTTTGCCTTCCATCATGATTGTAAGTTTCCTGAGAACCTTCCCAGCCATGCTTCCTGTACAGCCTGAAGAACCGTGAGCCAATTAAACGTCTTTTCTTTATAAATTATTCCGTCTCAGGTAGTTCTTTATAGCAGTATGAGAATGGACTAATACAATTTGTTAATGTAGCAAACCCTAACTCATTTACATATTTTGACTAGTCAAGTTGAGATTTATATATAACTAAAACTGCTATCATATATATATATGTAGAGAGAGAGAGAGAGAGACAGAGAGAGAGACAGAGACAAAGAGAGAGAGATGCACAATACAGGAATCATATATATATAATATTTACATAAAAAATATATAGTTAGATATATGATATAATATGTATATAATTATATATAATATATAACAACTATATAAAAATTATATAGCTATGATTATATACGAACGCAAATATATGTATATATATATATATTTTTTTTTTATGTTTGTCTTTGTATTTGAGTTGAATCTTACCACTTCTCAGTTTCCAGGTTAGATATCATTTCTTTCTGTAGGTAATCATGACCACCTCCAATCTAGGCTTTCTTTTTAATGGGTGTATGCTTGTATGCCATTCTATCATTTGTACCTTGTATATTGTATTTGTTTACTTATATTTCACACACCATGTCCTCAGACTTTGAGCTAAATGAGGCTCATTGCTTTGTCTGTCTTTTGAAAATAGCAGAATGGCTAGTACATATAAGGCTTTCAATACATTTTTTTAAACTTAGAGATAAAAGTGTTGGATAATTGATATAATTATCAATAGTAGGCATTAGTTCCATTAATTATTTCCAAAATCTAACATAAAATATAGATTTAGAAAATATTATTCCTTTAAAACACATATTTTTATCTGATTTCCTCTACAAATTCAACTTTTTTGTTATGCGTAATTCAGTTTGAGCTTGTATTAAAAAAGATTTGAGAGAAACCCAAATGGCATTATGTAGATACTTCCTGAAATAATTTTAACCTAAATATTAATCAGCCTTTTTCTGAAGAATTTTAAGGCAGTGGCTTAACATATTTTAAACTTTGTTTCTAAGATTTGGTAGTAGTTACACTGTGAAGAAGGATGTCATGTGACATTCCACTATTATGGTACGTGGTCTGATTAAGATATTATATACTATGTAAGCGTACAGTAAAGTCAACACTTTGTACTGCACAGTGCTTCTAGGCAGCAGACATTAATTTGGGAAAAAGTCTGTGTGGGCTTAATATTAATTGCTTAGTGAATTTCTCTCAAAAGTGGTTTACAAGTTCTCACTTAAAGATTACTTTTGATATTCACCTCTAGGAGAGCTATCCTAATATGTCTTACTTCAGTTTTGAAGAGAAAGAAAATCTTGTAAATGAAGATTACATTTTCAACCATATGGTAATTACACAACCTGACTGAAAAACAATAATTTCTTTGGGTGATTTACTAGGGATATGTTTTGAAATTTTGCAAGTGGGGGCAGGGTGGGAAGCATGGGGAGAGGGTTTAATTTTCTGCTCAAGTGAGTATGACACTAAAATACCTAGATAAAAGTGAAAAATTCAGTAAGTCAACCATGACGGCCTTCAGCTGACAGAAATGACGCTCAGTATGCAGTTTTATTTCTCAATAAAATTATAAATTTAAATTGAAAAACTATAACTTCATTCTGAATGATTTCATGTATAATTTTCTTAGATTATTATATAGAATCATTGACTATTATAGCAGAAAGAAACCTTAAAGACTTTCTGGAATTCTCCTTTCCATTTCTTCCACTCCAATTCTTTACTTATTATTTTATGTAAGCCTTTTAACCTAATTGTTCCTGCTATGCATTCCTATATTATTTTGCATTTTTAAAATTCCTTGTAACAGCTCTAGTGACATTTTAAAAATTTAGTCATTTATTTGTTGATTCAAAAATAGGTATTAAGGACTTACTGAGTGCCAGTTTCTGTTATTGTGTAATTGTGATTGCTTATTTCATTGTACTTCCAACTAGGTTATAAGATCTAGTAGAACAGTGAGTGGGTTTTTTTTGTTTGTTTGTTTGTTTTAATACAGGCAGCCCATATGAGTTAGGTTTGGTTGGTTGTGTATTCGTTTGCTATGGATGCCATAAGAAAAGTACCAAAGACTGAGTGGCTGAAACAATAGAGATTTGTTTTCTCACAATTTCATAATTTAGAAGTCTGACATCGATGAGTTGGTAAGGTAGCTTCTTTGGAGACCTCTTTCTTTGGCTTCTTAACAATCATTTCCTTCTTGTGTCCTCACATGGTCTTTTCTCTGTACATGTTACAGTCCTCTTCTTATAAACACACCAGTCATATTTGATTAAGGCTCATCCTAACAACGTCATTTTAACTCACTTACATCTTTAAAGAGCCTGTCTTCAAATATCATCACATTCTGAGGTACTGGAGGTTAGAACTTCAACATACAAATTTTGAGGGGACTCAATTCAGCTCAAAAAAATCTATATAAAAGGGAAATACACAAGAAACTAAGACATGGACTACAAATGTTAGGGGTTAACTTTTCTCTCACATAAAACAAGATTAGAGGTAGAGAGTGAAGAAAAGATATCATTCTTCACTTCCTCCTCCTAGTACACTTGCCCACCAAATTTAGGGTCTCTCCCTCTTCCATCAAGATGGTTGCCAGTGCATAAATTATCATATTCATATTATGGTCAGAAAGAAAAAGAAACTCCAAAATGAAAAGAACAGATGCTAACTAAGTATTCTCCATTGCAACAACTTCCACTCATGCCATATTAGCTAGAAATGTGCCACATGGCCCAGACAACCTCCTTTGTGATGCTGATTGAAATATATATTTTAAAAAATTGTATTTGTCCGTATCCTAAAATATATAAGGATTTTATTAGGGGTAATTGTGAAAGGATGAGTATTCAGTAGGTATTAGGAATCTGTTTAAGACATTTTACTCAATAAAATTTATTATATGAATGACAGGAATTAATGAATAATGTATGTCTTGTCCAGGAGTTTGTGTGGTTGTTGTTGTCATTGAATAGTTCAGTTAAAAAGTTGGAAAAAAACTATGTTTTTAGTATTCGCTAGAGTCCCTCTACAGAATCTAAAGGCTATAAGGGCAAAATTTAAGAAAAAGTCACAGATCTAATACATTCCCTTCATTTTATGGATTAAAAATAAACATTGTCTCATTTGAATCCCACAACACTTTAATAAAAGTAAAGCTGGTATTCTAGCTGATAATGAACTGGATGTCCAGAGTTTTCAATGGCTTGCCCAAAGTCTATGTTATCTAGAGTAGAAATTAGTAGGTCTCTTGGCTATTTCATATTGTTTCACAATATTAGAACAGTTAAATCAAATACAGAGGTAAAAGATGTGAATTACAATCCATTTATTTTTCAATCTTAATATGAAAATTTTACTATGTTTAGTTACATATTAACTTATATCTTGCCTTTACTTAAAATATGGTACTAACACTCCCTCCAAAGACTCATGAGGCTAGTCAGTGATTCTCAGTGTTGTCCACAGATAAACAATGAGCATTACCTGGGAATGTGTCAGAAATAAAAATTCTCAGGCCCTCCCAAACCTACTGAATCAGAACCTCTGTTGACAAAACCAAAAGTATGTGAATTAACAAACCCTCCAGGGGATGTGGATTCCCATGTACGCCAAACTTTGAGAATCCCACTTTTAGTAGAAAAATGATTATTGCTATGTTTTTGCCTTTTTCTCTATCTTTCCAAATCTTAACCCTTTTTAAGTACAAAAGTATATGGTACATTCTCCAATAAAGTTGCTGGAAATATTTCAGGATACACCAGGAATTTGTTACTTTGAAATCTAGATGTCAATTATCATTAAGTACCCAAGTAGCAATAAAAACAGCCCCAAGAAACAAGGATACCTGGGACTAAATCCCTGTGCAAATATGACTCCGCTTTATAGTTCCTAAACTAAGTTCTATCCCTAGTATAAAGTGTTCCTTCCTTTTTCAGATCTTCCTTGTGTTCTGCTGTAACTAGCCTTTTCTAACTGCTTTGGTGTACCCCTATTCTGCTTCTCGGGTCAAAAACTAAATATTTATTGGACCTGCTTATTCCTCCATATTGTGTTATAACCCTGAAAGATGCTGACGTCATCCTATCTCTACCCAGTCTCATATAAAACAGAGCAGAGCCATTCTATTGGTCAGATTCTCTGTTTCATAGGGTTTTTTTTTTTTAATTCATTCTAGTATGTGGAATCCTGGGTATAAAAATGCTTTAAAAGTCCTCTCTCAATTAGCCAGGCATGGTGGTGGGCATATGTAATCCCAGCTACTCAGGAGGCTGAGGAGGGAGAATGGCTTGAACCTGGAAGGCGGAGGTTGCAGTGAGCTGTGATAGTGCCATTGCACTCCAGCTTGGGCAACAAGAGCGAAACTCCGTCTCAAAAAAAAAAAAAAATTCTCTCTCTCTCTCTCTCTCACTCTCACTCAAAACCCTCAAGAATGAGGAGGGGTAATAAACAGAGAGAGAACAAATCTGCCTTAAAGCAGGCTGAATTTCAATCAATGTAAAGATTAATTTGTATATGAGAATGTACAAGTGATTTGCAAATATATTAGTTAGGTTCCAACTTGCATTTTATGGTAGGCAAGAAATAATTCACTGCCTAAACGCTTTCATGATTCTGATAAAAAGTATTTTTGTAAGACAGGTTAAGAAAGACTTGTGAGAAAATTTAACATATAAACAAACCACACATATTTATGAAATCCAAGCACATCGTATCCTACTCACAGGCAACAACAAGTACATTAAATAGACAAGAAGAAATCAATTGAAGCAAATGTATTTTTAGTTGAAAATTGAATTGCAAACATGACCCACATTTGTACTTTAATATAGATGTTCTATAATGTAAGTATGATCATATTACATTTTTTATCCTGCTTTATTTTTCTTCTTAGCAGTTAAAATATTTATAGTGCATAATTTGTTTTTTGGATTGTTTTGCTTTTATTTTCTAATTTTATTAAATTTTTATGAGTACATATTATATGTATATGCTCATGGAGTACATGAGATATTTTGATACAGGCATGCAATGTGAAATAAGCACATCATGGAGAATGGGGTATGCATCCCCTCAAGCATTTATCCTTTGTATTACAAACAATCCAATTACAATTTTTTAGTTATTTTAAAAAGTACAGTTAAGTTTTTATTGATATTAGTCACACTGTTGTGCTATCAAATTGTAGGTCTTATTTATTCTTTCTATTTTTTGTACCAAGTAACCATCCCCACCTCCCCCCCACAAGCCCCCCACTAACCTTTCTATCCTCTGATAGCCACTCTTCTACTCTCTACATTCATAAGTTCAAATCTTTTGACTTTTGGATCAATTCTTTTGATTTTTGATTCTTTTGATTTTTGGATCCCACATATCCAAAAATCCAAATCCAAAGTGAGAACATGCAATGTTTGTCTTTCTGTGCCTGGCTTATTTCACTTAACATAATGATCTCCAATTTCATTCATGTTGTTGCAAATGACAGCATATCATTCTTTTTGTGGCTGAATAGTACTCCATTGTGTATATGTACCACATTTTCTTTATCTGTGCATCTGTTGATGGACATTTAGGTTGCTTCCAAATCTTAGCTATTTGTATATTATCTGTTTATCTGCTAAATTATAAGGTATATGAGTGCAATGGATAGTTTTTCTTCAGTGCTTTATCCTCAACACCTAGAAAAATGCCTACATCATAGTTAGCATTCAATAAATATAAGTTGCATGAATGAAAGAAGAAGGAAAGAAGGTCGTTCTTGGAATTTAAAGTGCAATTCATTTAAAACAAAATCTTAATATACCCTCTGATAAGTTTTTTTTCTATTATAAAAACACTGATCTGATACCAATGATAATTAAACCACAATATCCTGTTTATGACAAAGTGACAAACCATAAGATAGGTAATGATTCATCATGAATACAAATATACTGCCTCTGAACCAGCATCTTAGGTGCTTTTCAAACCTTATTATGATTTAGATTAATTCAGGCTAACTTAATAAGTAACATTGAATGTGTAATCTCACCTTCTAGTTTTATAAAGCAACAACAAAAGTTGAAATATACATTTTTAATCACCTAGTATGGATTATAGGACAAAACATAAGTTTCAAATGTGTTTTTGGCTTTTTCTAAGGACTTTTTAAACAAGTGAATCCTTGAGAAGTTGACTAACAGCATGAAAACAAAGTTTAATACTAAATGGTACAGTTGACCCATGAACAATGCAGGAGTTAGGTATGCTGACCCCTCACACAGTTAAAAATTCACGTATAGCTTTTGACTTCCCCAAAACTTAACTGTTAATATACCACTGTTGACCAGAAGCCTTACTGAAAACATAGTCAATTAACAAGCTTTCTATGTTATTTGTATTATACATTGTATTCTTACAATATTATAATAAAGCTAAAGAAAACAAAATGTTTCAAAAACCTCAAAAGAAAGATAAAATATACTTACTATTCATTAAGTGGAAGTAGATCATCATAAAATCTTCATCCTTGTCATTTTTGCATTGAGTAGGCTGAGGAGGAGGAGGAAAAGGAGGGTTTGGTCTTGCTGTCACAGGGGTAGCCGAGTCAGGAGAAAATCCACGTATAGGTGGACCTGTGCAGTTCAAGCCTGTGTTGTTCAAGGATAAACTGTATGTCTGCTTTGCTTAAACTTCAAACTCATATTAGAAATATCCTACAATAAAGATAAATCTGTCCAGAAGAAGTTGGAATTGTTGGTTGAAATCATGCATGTATTTTATTATGTTTCATCTTTATGTTTGCCTGTAAATCATGACCTTTTAATAATTCAGAGCCTTTTGACAATTCCTGCTGTCTATATGTTAAAACTGCTTAATATTTTGAGTTTTCATTTCGTAAAAATGAAAATGAAGCATTTACATTCCATTTGCATTTTAATTATCATTTTATTTTGGTTGAATATAATTAATTGGTTGGATTTTTGCAAATTCTAATTTTGACTTATCCACTTTTAAAACTGTAAATATTTTACAGTTCTCTAATGATAGTAAAGTATTATTTTGTTTTCAGTTATATTGTACATATTTTTCAAGTTATTGTTGAACTATTGCAAACAATATGATAATGACCATGTTTGTAAAGAAAGTCTTTTCCTGTTTTTGAAAACAATGAAAATAGGACCAGTGGTTTAAAAAGTATGAATATTTAAAGGCTCATGATGCAGATTTTCGTGATACTTCTCAAAAAAAACTGTAAAATTTAAATATTCATTAGGAGTGTGCAATCCCACCTCTTTCATATAAACTCCTTTTCATATACACTTATATACTATTAGTTTTGTCCCTCTGGAGAATTCTGACTAATAAAGATTTTGCTACTAGGAGTGGTTCTAGAGAAACAGAATTTTAAGGATAGATTTCTTTAGTTGGTTTAGGGGTTTCTGGCATTGGCTGTTTAATATGATTATACCCCAAAATGCTAAGGACCCTACTTCTGATACTAAGAACTGATAGTCCTTGGCATGAAATATTTAGAGAGTTATACAAAATAAATGCATTTGATATGCCTTATTCATTGCTTGTGAGAGGCAAGGAGATTAATGACTCAATATATGATCCTTTGAGCATTTGTGGAGAAGCAAGAAATATAATGAAGTTGGTTGGTTGCTCCTAAATTCACTGGACAAAGTGATGAAGGAAAAAGATGAGCTCATGGATTCTATCTCCCGGCTCCAGAAGCACATAGTTAGCTTCAAATCTTCTAAGATTTCCCTGGGTCAGAGTCTTATCTTCTGTAGACAAAGGGCTAAAATTGCAGAAAATCAGACACAAGCACTTATAATGTGAGTGGCTGACCTGCAATGAACAGTGCATGCGCAACCTCACCAGGTGTCTACTGTTAAAGTGAGGGCATTGATTGGAAAAGAATTGGACCCTGTAACTTGGGATGGGGACGTGCGTGAGAACCCTAATGAAGCTGGGGGCACTGAGCTCCTAAATTCTGATAAGCCTTTTTTTCTGCCAGGGGAAATGGCTTCCCCATCCCAAGTGGTGGCAACATTTCCTCCCCCACCCAGGCTGCCATCAGCCTTTCCACCTTTGTCTGAGGAGATTAACCATGCACTGCCAGAGGCAGCAGTGATAGCCTCCACTGAGGCAGTTGCCAGGCAAAACTAGGCTGATTCTTTTCGGGACCCACCCCCACCACCCCTCTTTGCTTCTAGATCTATAACTAGATTCAAGTCCTGGCAGGCCCCTAGAGGTGAGGTTCATAGTGTGACCCATGAGAAGGTGTGCTACACTCCAAAAGAAATTAGAAAACTACTCGAGTTTTCTAATTTATGTAAGCAGAAACCCAGAGAACGGGTATGGGAATGGATATCAAGGGTGTGGGATAATGGTGGAAGGAACAGAAAGTTGAATCAGGTTTGGCTGGATGGTCAGGGAATTGGAAGGGCATGACTGGAAAATTGGTGACAAAAAAATAATTTGGGGAAGAGGTATGTGGATGAAACTTTCTGAAAGGTCAAAAACTATGAAGATATTTATGTCCTATGTGAATGCTTACCAAAGTATATTTTCAGCAGAGGGGGATTTTAATAATCAAGTGGATAGAATGATCTGTTCTGTGAACACCACTCAGGCTCTTTCCCCAGCCACCCTGTCATAGCCTAATGGGCTCATGAATAAAGTGGCCATGGTAACAGAGATGGAAGCTACGCATAGGCTCAGCAACATAGACTTCCACTAACCAAGGCTGACCTGCCTATAGCCACCACCAAGTGCCCAATCTGCCAGCAGCAGAGACCAACGCTGAGCCCTCGATATGGCACCATTCCTCGGGATGATCAGCCAACTACTTCATGGCAGGTTGATTACACTGGACCTCTTCCATCATGGAAAGTGCAGAGTTTTGTCCTCACTGGAATAGACATTACATCCAGATATGGGTTTGCCTATCCTGCTCACAATGCTTCTGCCAAGACTACCATCCGTGGACTCATGGAATGCCTTATCCACCATCATGGTATTTCACACAGCATTGCCTCTGACCAAGCTACTCACTTCACAGCTAAAGAATTGTGGCAGTGGGCTGATGCTCATAGAATTCCCTGGTCTTACCATGTTCCCCATCATCCTAAAGCAGCTGGCTTGATATAATGGTGAAATGGCCTTTTGAAGTCACAACTACAATGCCAGCTTCGTGACAATACTTTGAGGGCTGAGACAAAGTTCTCCAGAAGGCTGTGTAGGCTCTGAATCAGTGTCCAATATGTGGCACTCTTTCTCCCATAGCCAGGATTCATGAGTCCAGGAATCAAAGAGTGGAAGTGGAAGAGGCATCATTTACCATCACCCCTAGTGAGCCACTAGCAACATTTTTCATTCCTTTTCCCACAATATTATTTTACGCTGGCCTAGAGGTTTTAGCTCCAGAGGGAGAAATGCTGCCATTAGGAGATAAAACTATGTTTCAACTTGCATACCAGCTTACCCATAGTAAAATAAAGCAACAAGGAGAGTCCTGAAGCCCCCATTCCAGACCCCATCTCCTGGACAACATTCTAGACACACATTGGGCCTGAAGGGAACCCACTGCCTTGAAATGAAAGACCCAGTCCTGGCAAGATTCATCACCTGCTGACTAAAGGGCCCTTAGGCTTGAATAAACAGCAGCAGCAGCCAGGCAGTACTCATCATAGGCCTTTCAATGAGCCCTAGTACTGTGCTGGCTTCAGGTGTGACTCAGCACATTTCCAGCTGTGGTGGCCATAGGGAAGGACTCCTTCTGACTGGGGAAAAGAAAGAGAAGGCTAAAAAGGACGTTGTGTTGCAACCTCGGTACCAGCTCAACCGTAGTAGTAAAATAAAGCATGAGGCAAACACGTGAACTCACTAATTTCAGACCTTAGCTCCTGGATGGCAGTTTTTAGACTTGCTCTGGGCCTGAAGAGAACTCATTATCCTGAAGGAAGTGAATGAGGCCTTTCAGGATACATCAAAAGCTGACTAAGAAGCCATGGGATCTTGAATAAACATCAGTGATAGCCAGGCAGTGCTCACCACAGGTCTATGGTAATGGTGGCCACAGAGAGAAATTCCTTCTGCTTAAGGACAGGAGAGGATGGGTAAAGAGAATTTGTCTTACAATTTGGGTACCAGTTCAGCCAGTGCAGTAAAATTCAGCACTTATTAGATTTCTAAAGTTTCATATTCCAGGTCCTAGTTCCTGAACAGCATTTCTAGAATCACTCTGGGCCAGAAGGAAACCTGCTGTCCTAAAGGCAAAGACATAAGCCTTACTGGATTTACCACCCATCAGCTTACTAAACAGCCCTTGAGCCTTGAGTAAACATCACCAGTAGCTAAGCAATAGTCACCCAGGCCTTTGGTAAGACCCAGTACTGTGCTCACTTCAGGTCTGACCCCGAACAGTCTCAGTGGTGGTGGCAACAGGGGTGTTTCTCCTCTCTCCCAGCTCCAGGCAGCTCAGCAAGGAGAGAGAAACTCCATTTGTTCAGGGAATATGTGATGGTTAATATTGTGTCAAACTGATTGGATTTAAGGATGCAAAATATGTTCCTGGGTGTGTCTGTGAGGGTGTTGCCAAAGGACATTAATATTTGAGTCAGTGGGCTGGGAGAGGCAGACCCACCCTCAGTGTGGGTGGGTACCATCCAATCAACTGCCAGCATAGCTAGAATAAAGCAGGCAGAAGAAGGTGGGAGAGGCAGACTTCCTGGCACTTCTGGGCTTCATCTTTCACCCATGCTAGATGCTTCCTGTCCTCAAACATCAGACTCCAAGTTCTTTGGCTTTTGGACTCTTGGACTTACACCAGTGGCTTTCAGGCCTTTCAACCACAGACTGAAGGCTCCACTGTTGGCTTCCCTGCTTTTGAGGTTTGGGACTCAGATTGAGCCACTACTGGCTTCTTTGCTCCTTAACTTGCAGACGGCCTATCGTGGGACTTCACCTTGTGATCATGCGAATCAATTGTCCTTAATAAACTCCCTTTCATATATACATATGTCCTTATTATTGCTGGCCCTCTAGAGAACCCTGACCAACACAGCATAGTAAGGGAAGAGAACAAGAGACTGCCTGGTAATCCAGGGAATTTTCCCAGATTTTACCCAACACCACCAAGGTGCTACCATTATGAGTCTGCAAGAGTCAAAGTGTTATTGGGCTAGGGTTGTCTCTTAATGTACATATGGCTGCAGTGACCACAGAATTAGATCACAACACTCAATTCCCTTTGAATACTTGAACAACCTCTTCAAGAAAGACAGGTACAAAGAAGCCTGGCTACAAAGATTACAATAAATACCTAACTCTCCAATGCCCAGACATTGAGGAGCATCCATAACCATCACGACCCTCCAGAAAAAACATGACCTCACTACAAACTAAACAAGGTACCAATGATCAGTCCTGGAGTGACAGAGATATGTGACCTTTCTGACAGATAATTCAAAATAGCTATTTTGAAGAAGCTCAATGAAATTCCAGATAACACAGAGAAGAAATGCACAATCCTATCAGATGAATTAAACAGACTGAAATAATTTTTAAAAATTCAAGCAGAAATTCTAGAAATAAAATATATCCAATTGACATATTGAAGAATGCCTGAGTTTCTCAACAGCAGAATTCATCAATGAGAAGAAAGAATTGCAGTGCTAGAACACTGGATATTTAAAAATACGCTGAAGAGAGACAAAATAAAAACATAGAAAATATTGAAGCATGCATACAAGATCTAGAAAATAGCCTCAAAGGGGCAAATCCAAGACTTATTACCCTTAAAGAGGAGGCAGAAAGAGAGAGAGAGACTGAGGTGGAAAGTTTATTCAGAGAGATAATATCAGAGAATTTCCCAAACCTAGAGAAAGATATAAACATTCAAGTAAAAGAAAATTATAGAACACCAAGAAGATTTAACCCCAATAAGACTACATTAAGACATTAAATAATCTAACTCCCAAAGGTCAAGGATGAAGAAAGGATCCTAAAAGTAGCATGAAAAAAGAAACAAGTGAACTACAAAGGAGCTCCAATATGTCTGGGAGTAGAATTCTCAGTGGAAACTTTACAGACCACGACAGAGTGGCATGATATATTTAAAGTGCATAAAGATAAAAATCTTTATTCTAAAACAGAATATCCAGTGAAAATACACTACAAATATGAAGGAGAAATAAAGGCTTTCCCAGAAAAACAAAAGCTGTGGGATTTCATCAATATCAGGTCTGTCCTACAAGCAGTGGTAAAGGGAGTTCTTCATTCTGAAATAAAAGAAAGTTAATAAACAATAAGAAACCATGCAAAAATGCAAAACTCACTGCTTGTAAGTACACAAACAAATATAGAATATTGTTACATTGTAACTGTGGAATGTAAACTATCATATTTTGAGTAGGATAACTAAAAATTGCATCCATTAAAACAATAACTAAAATAACATTTTAAGACATAGAGAGTGTAATAAGATATGAATAGAAACAACAGAAAGTTTAAAAGTGAAGGCATGAAAGTAAACTGTTGAGTTTTTAACTAAATTCCTCTTTGTTTATTTGTTAGTTTGTTTATACAATCAGTGTTAAGTTGTCATCAGTTTAAATAATGGATTATAAGATAGTATTTTCAAGCCTATGGCAACCTCAAATTTATAAACCTACAGTAGACACACAAGAAATAATAAGCAAGACATGAAAACATCGCCAGAGAAAATCACTTTCACAAGTAACACCGGAAGAAAGAAAGGAAGCAAGAGGACACCACGAAACAACCAGAAAACAAATAACAAAATGAAAGTAATAAGTTTTTACTTATCAATAATAACAAAAAATATAAATGGGCTACACTATCCAATTAAAAGACATATATTGGATGAATGCATAAAAAACAAGCCCCAAATATCTGCTGCCTACAACAAACAGAGTTTATCTATAAAGACATACATAGATAGAACACAAAGGGATGAAAAAAGATATTCTATGCAAATGGAAACCAAAAATGAATACCTAGACTTACATTAGATACAATAGATTTGGAGATGAAAACCTTTAGAGATAAAAAAGGTCAGTATCTATTAAAAAATAGGTCAAGTCAGCAAAAGGATGTAACAATTATAAATATATACGCACCCAACATGAGAGCACCCAGATATGTCAAGCAAATATAATTAGAGGTAAAGAGAGAGAAAAAATCCAATACAATAATAGCTAGATTTTTCAACACCACATTTTCAGCACTGGACAAGTTTTTCAGACAGAAAATCACAAAGAAACATTGGACTTAATCTTCACTGTAGATGAAGTGAATCTAATAGATATTTGTAGATCATTTTACCCAATGGCTGCATAATACACATTCTTCTACTCAGCACGTGGAACTTTCTCAGGGATAGATCATATGTTAAAACACAAAAGAAGCCTTAAAAATTCAAAAAACTTTGAAATAATATCAAGTATCTAATCAGATCACAATGCAATAAAACTAGAAATCAATAACAAGAGGAAATTCGGACAGTATAAAACACATCAAAATTAAAAAATATATACTCCTGAATGACCAGTGTGTCAATAAAGAAATTAAAAAGAAAATTGAAAAATTCCTTGGAACAAATGAAAATAGAAACACAAGATACCCAAACCTATGGGATACCACAAAAGCAGTACTAAGAGGAAAGTTTACTGCTGCAAGTGCCTATATAAAAAACATACAAAAATCAAAGAAATAACCAAATGATGTATCTTAAAGAACTAAAAAACCAAGACCTGAAAACCAAAATTAGTAGAAGAGAAATGAAGCTCAGTAGAAATAAATAAAATTTAAATAAAAAATACAAAATGTGAAAAAGTTAAAAGTTGTGTTTTGACAAGATATACATAATCCGCACATTATTAGCCTGACTAACTTAGAAAAAAAGAGAGAAGTCAGAAATAAAATAAAATCAGTGATCAAAGGAAGACATTACAACTGATACCACAGAAATTCAAAGGATCAGCAGAGACTAATAGGAGCAACTATATGCCAATAAATTGAAAATCCTAGAAGAAATAGATAAACTCCTAGACACACACAATCTGCCAAGATTTAATCATGAAGAGATCCAAAACCTGAATAGACTAGTGGCAAGTAATGAGATTGAAGGCATAACATAAAATTTCTCAGCAAAGAAAAGCATGGAAACGAATGGACTCACTGCTGAATTCTACCAAACATTTAAAGAAATAATACCAATACTTCTCAAATCATTCCAAAAAAAAAAAAAAAAAACAGAGGAGGAGGGAATACTTACAAATGTATTCTATGAAGCCAGTCAGTATTACCTTGATACCAAAATGAGACCAAGACACATCAAATAAAGAAAACTATAGGCCAATATATCTGTGAACAATGATGCATATATAGTTTTTTTAATTTTACTTTAAGTTCTGGGATACATGTGCAGAAAGTGCAGGTTTGTTACATAGGTATATATGTGCCATGGTGGTTTGCTGCACCCGTCAACCTGTCATCCAGGTTTTAAGCCCCGCATGCATTAGGTTTTTGTCCTAATGCTCTCCCACCCCGACAGGCCCCGGTGTGTGATGTTCCCCTCCCTTTGTCCATATGTTCTCATTGTTCAACTCCCACTTATGAGTGAGAACATGATGCGTATATTTGTAACAGAATAACAGAAAACTACAAATCAATTGATGTGATACATCATATCAACATAATGAGAGACAGAAATCATATGATTATGTCAATTAATAGTGAAAAAGCATTTGTTGAAATTCAACATCCCGTCATGATAAAAACCTTAAAAAAACTGGGTATAGAATAAACATACCTCAACATTAAGAAAAAGCTATGTATGACATACTCTAGGCTATAATTATTCTGAATGGGGGGAAAACTAAAATCGTTTTCCTCTAAGATCTAAAGCAAGGCAAACATGTTCACTTTCACTACTGTTATTCAACATAGTACTAGAAGTCTTAGCTACAGCAGTCAGACAAGACAAAGAGATAAAGGGCAACCAAATTGTAATTGAAGAAGTTAAATTATCCTTTTTGCTTATGATATGATCTTATATTTGGAAAAACCTGAAGACCCCACCAAAATACTATTATAACTGATAAACAAATTCAGTGATGTCATAAGATACAAAATCAACATACAAAATTTAGTAGCATCTTTATATGCTAACAGTGAGCACTCTGAAAAAGAAATCAAGATAGTAACCCCATTTAAAATGGATAGAAATAAAATAAAATAAAATACCTAGAAGTAAACTGAATGAAAGAAGTGAAAGTGCTCTACAAAGAAAACTAAGAAACACTGATGAAGAAAGTTGAAGAAGATGCTGAAATATGAAAAATATTCCATGTTCATGGATTGTGAGAAGCAGTATTGTTGAAATGTCCATACTGCTCAAAGCAATGTATAGATTCAATACAATCTCTATCAAAATACCAATGACATTCTTCACAGAAATAGAAAATAAAAACAATCCTGGAATTTATATGAAAACACAAACAACACAGAATAGCCAAAGCAGTTCTGAGCAAAAGGAACAAAACTGCAGGAATCACAATACCCGACTTCAAATTATACCACAGAGCCAAAGTAACCAAAACAACATGGTATTGTGTATCCCCCAAAGCAAGGAAATCAGGATATCAAAGAGATACTTGCACTCTCATGTTTATTGCAGCACTATTTACAATAGCCTGTATTGGGAAACATCCTAAGCATCCATCAAAAGACAAATGGGCAAAGAAAATGTGGTATATGTACACAATGGAAAACTATTCAGTGATAAGTGAGATCCTGTCATTTGCCACAAAATAGGAATTGGAGGACATTATGTTAGGTTAAATAAGCTAGGCACAAAAAGAAAAACTTTGCATGTTCTCACTTATTTGTAGAAGCCAAAAATTAATACAGTTGGTGCAATGGAGATAGAGAGCTGAATGATGGTTACCAGAGGCTATGAAGACTAGTGGAGAGGGGGAAGGAAAACTGTGAATGATTAATAGTTACAAAAATGTAATTAGATAGAATGAATAAGATCTAACATTTTATTGTGCAATAGGGTGACTACAGTCAACAATAGTTTATCCTACATAAAATAACTAAAATAGTATAATGGAAATGATTGTAACACAAATAAATTATAAATCCTTGAGGTAATGGATACTCCATTTACTCTGAAGTGATTATTATGCATTGTATCACTGAATTAAAATATCTCATGTACCCCATAAACATATACACTTATTATATATCCATAAAATAAGAACAATTAAAACAAAAACTTTAAGAAACAAACATAAATACCACATATTCTCACTCATATGTAGAAGGCAAAACTGTATCTCACAGAAGTAGAGAATAACATAATTGTTACTAGAATCTGGGAAGTGTAGAAAGTAGAGGGGTTAGAAAGAGGTTGATTAGAAGATACAAAATTATAGCTAGACAGGAAGAATAAGTTCTAGTTTGCTATAGCACTATAGGGAGACTATACTTAGTAATGATTCATGGTATATTTCAAAGAGCGATAAACAATGATTTTGAATGTTCCCAACACAGGGAAATGAAAAATGTTTGATGTGCTGAACATGTTAGTCTGGTTTGATAATTACATATGAGATATATATATATATATATATATATATATATATATATATATTTAAACATCACTCTGTATCTCACAAATATGCAAAATTATTAGGTGACCATTAAAAATTTCTAAAAATGTAATCAAGTAGCACAACACACTGTGCAATTAGAGCCATATGTATACAAAAGGTATACTAGAGCTGAAAAATACAAACTGAAATGATTATTTTACTTGAAAGACAAAAGTAGTATACAAATTGCAGAAGAAAAGATTAGTAAATTTCACATAATTCAATAGAAACTATCCACACTGAAGCACAAAGAGAAAAAAGTATATATTAGCAAATCCTCAGTAAATTTTGAGACAATATAAAGCAATCATCACAATATTCATGCAGTTGTAATCTCAAAATACAATTAATTAATAATAATAACTGTTTACAACATATGGAGAACTAAAATAAAAAAAGTTGGATGATGAAAGTTTTGGTATGCTACAAGTTAAACTAAAGATAACTGTTGTAAAACCTTAAACAAATAAACAATTATATAAAAAGAATATGCCAAAAGAAGAGATTAAATGAAACGCTAAAAACACTCACACAGCCCTGAAATCAATTCATGCTTTTATAATCAACTGATTTTAGGCAAAGGTGCACAGATGACACAATGGGGATAGGACATTCTCTTCAATACATGCTGTTTGGACAACTATATGTCCACAGGTAGAAGAATAAAATTTTCACCCTTTTCTCCTGTCATCTACAAAAATCAACCCAAAATGAATTAAATACTTACAGGTAGAACCTGAAACTATAAAACTATGAGAAGAAAACATAAGTGAAAAGCTTCATTACATTGATCTTGGCAAGGATTTTCTTAGATATAGCCCCAAAAGTTCAGGCAACACAACAAAAATAGATAAATGAGATTATGTCAAACTAAAAAGCTTTTGTACGGTCAAAGAAACAATCAACAGACTGAAGAGATAATCTATGTAATAAGATAATATATTTGCAAGCAATATATCTGATAAAGTCTTATATCTAAAATATATCTAAAATACGTAAGGAACTCAGCTAACTTAATAGTAAGAAAACAAATAATCTGGTTTAAAAAGGGCAAAGGCACCTGAATATACGTTTATTCGAAGACATTCAAATGGCCAATAGGTATATTAAAAAATGTTCAACATCATTATTAATCAGAGAAATGCAAATAAAAAAACATGATAAGATATCGCCTTACACCTGATAGAATGGCAATTATAAAAAAAAAAAAAGATTAGTGCTGGTGAAGATGATAAGAAAAGGGAAACCTTGCACAATATTGGTGGGAATGCAAATTAGTACAGCCATTATAGAAAATATTATAGAGGTTCCTCAAAAATTAAAGATAGAAGTACTAAATGATCAAGCAATCTAACTACTGGGTATGTATTCAAAGGGTATGAAATGAGTATGTCAAAGAGATATCTGCACTCCCATGTCCATTACAGCAGTACTTAAAATAGCCAAGATGTGAAATCAATGTAAGTGCCCATCCATGGATGAATAAATAAAGAAAATGTATACATACACAATGAAATACTATTTTACCTTATAAAATAAGGAAATTTTGTCATTTGCAACAACATGGATAAACCTAAACGACATTATGTTAAATAAATAATCCAGGCATATAAAGACAAAAACCACATGATTTCACTTATATGTCAAATTTAAAAATGTAGAACTCATAAAAATAAAGAGTAAAATGGTGGTTACCACAGGCTGCAAGGTAAAAATATTGGGGAAATGGTGATCAAAGGACAATAAACTTCAATTAGGAAAGACTCATAAGTTCAAGATACCCATTATACCTTATGGTGACTACGGTTAATAACAATATATTGCATATTTGAAAATTGCTAAGTGAGTAGATATTAAGTGTTCTCACTACAAATAAATGATAACTATGTGAAGTATGATCATTTAAATAGTGTTTTATAAAATAAAATATATTACTAGGTATAAAGACAGATATTTCATAATAAAAAAATCATAAATAAGGCACTTACAAATGAAATTATTATTAAGTACAGACTATACTTAATAAGTCTGAAAATTAATAGCATAAGTTTATAGAACTGAAAGAAACAGAGAAGTCCACATTTGTATTTAGAGACACTAGAATTGCCCTCAAATAATTGAAAACTTCATAGAAAATCAATTAGAACATAGAATAATTGAACAACACTATCACACAATATAACCTAAATTACTTGTATAGAACATTCCATGTAACAGATACATTTATTCTTTCAAGTGCATTTGGAACATTGACCAAGGTAAACCATGTATTAGACCATAAATCCAGTCTTAATTACTATAAAAGGATTAAAATTATAGACCAAGTGTTCTCTGAACCATAAAGGAATTCAATTAGAAATCAATTAAAAAAATTTGGACATTAGACAACATTATTGTAAATAACCCATGTATATTAGTTCATACTGCTATAAACAAATACCCAAGACTGGATATTGTATAAAGGAAAGACGTTTAATTGACTCATGGTTCCACATGGCTGGGGAGGCCTCAGAAAATTTGGTGGAAGGCAAAGGGGAAGCAATGACCTTCACATGGTGGCAGGAGAGAGAAGTGAGGAGCGAAGGGGAAAGAGCCCCTTATAAAATAATCAGATCTCGTGAGAACTCACTCACTATTACAGGGACAGCATGGAGGAAACTGCCTCCATGATCCAATCACTGCCACCAGATTTCTCCCTCGTCATGTGGGGATTACAGTGATTACAATTCAAGATGAGATTTGGGTAGGGACACAGCCAAACCATATCACCATGGGTCAATGAAAAAATCAAAACAGAGTTAAGAAGTAAGGATCATTTATAGAAATGAATGATAAGGACAACACAACATATCAACATTTGTGGGATACAGCAACAACAGAACTTAAAGTATAGCCTTAAATGCTTACATTAGAAATGGAAAATGCTTTAAAATCAATGATATAGGCATTAAACTTATGAAGCTAAGAATGAATAGCAAATTGAATACAAAGTAGGCAGAAAAAAGATAAACATTACAGTGAAATTTAGTAAAATAGAAGATAGGCAAATAATAGAGAAATTTGAAATTGAAAGTTAATTAAGAACAATTACAGTACAAATTAAATTAAAGAACAAATACACAAATTCTTTACAGAAATACAACTCATCAAAGTGGATTTTATATGAAAGAGAAACTTTGAGCAGAAATATAAGAAAATAAGAAATGTAATTTGTTTTCAAAAACTTTCCCACACACAAAAAAACTTTAGGCTCAGTGTAATTTGTTTTCAAAAGCTTTCCAACAACAACACAAAAAAAAAACCTTAGGCTCAGGGGATTTTACTGGTAAGTTCCAGAAAGCATCCAAAATCACCATAACACTAACATTATATAAATTCTTTTAGCAAATAATGGAGTGAACACTTTCTAACAACTTTTAGGAAGACCAAATTATCCTGATATAAAATTCAGATAAACACAGAAAGAGAAATGATAGACAAATGCCCCTCATGAAGATAGATGTGACTTCCTCCCGAAACTATTAGCTATTTGAATACAAAATATGTTTTTAAAAAATATATTCCAATAATATCTAAAGTTGGTTTAACATTAAAATTTAAAAAATATATTTACCACATTAACAACATGATGGGGAAAACTAATATGTTTAACTCAAAATGCTCAAAAAGCATTTGATACAATTCAACATTCATCATAATAAAAACAAGCAAACAAAAAACTTACTACACACTAAGAACAAAAGAGGCTTTCTCATCCTGATAAAGGGTATCTATGATAAACCTGAAGAAAATCTCAAACTTAGTGATAAAGACCGAATGTTTTTTTCCTAAGACTGGGAACAAGTTTTTGATACTAGCACTCACCATTTGCATTAAGCATTTTACATAATGTTTCTTTAGTGCAGTAAGACAAAACAAAGAAAAGACAAACTGATAGAAAAGGAAAAATTAAAACTATCTTTATTCAGAAATGGCATGATCATGATTATAGACATTGTTATAACTCTACAAGAATCTACAAGTACTAGTTAGTAAATTTAGCAGGACACAGAATAAAAGGCCAGTATCAATTTCATTTCTATATGCTAAGAACAAAATTGAAAACTTAAAATAAGTCATATACAATTGCATTAAAGGTATAATAGAATATTTAAGAGAATATTTTTAATATATGTCAAGACTTCTATATTTTAAGATATGTCAAGACTTCTACATCAAAACCACAAAACATTGGTGAAATAAATTTTCAAACAAAAAAAATGGAAATTTAAACCATCATTATCAATTGAAAGATTCAATGTAGAGAAATTATTATTTTTTCCCAAATTGACTTATTTGTTCTATGCAATTTTGAGTAAAATTTCTGCAGAATAATCTATACATAATTTATACAGCAATTCTAAATTTTATATGAAAAAGTAAAGAAACTAGAATAGAAAGAATACTTGAAATTAAAGATTAATATATGATGCATGGGATATGAAGATTTACTGTGAACTTATAACAATCAAGAGAGTGCAGTATTGAAGCAATGATAAATCTATATATAAATGATACAGAATGGAGAGTCCAGAAGTAAACCCATACATATATAGTTAACTTATTTTTAATAACAATGCCCTGGTAATTTAATGAAGGGCATACAGTGTTTTCAACAAACTGTCATGGAGCAATAAAAATAAGAAAAAATAAGACTTACATTTATTCCTATCTCACACTACATACAAATATTAATTCAAAATGAATCACAGAATTAAAAGTAAAATGTAAAATGATAATATTTATTAAATAAAACGAGAAAAATACTTTCATCTTTAGTGCATCACTGATTTTCAGAAAGGAGACAATGATTATAAAATAAAAACAAAGACAAATTAGACTTTATCAATATTAAAAATTACTGCTTTATAAAAGACACCATTAAGTAATTAAAAAGATGGCAGAAACTAGGTAAAAATATGCACCAAACTCATATCTGAAAAATTAATTGTATACACAACTTATACAAAGGTCCAACACTTCAATACACAAAAAATTAATGCTCCTAAATGTCAAAATATTTGAAAAGATACTTCACAAAAAAAGATAAAAAAAGTCCAATATTCATATGAACAATTTTCAACATCTTTAGACACTGAAAAACAAAAACATATAGTACCCACTAGAATGGCTAAAATAAATAACTTGACAATGCAAAATGCTTTCTAGGATGTAAAGAAATGGAACTCTCATTAATTTTGTGAAAATATAACTACCAAAATTGACTCAATGTAAAGCAGAAAATCTAAGTAAACTTTTATCTAATACAATAAATTAATTTTGTTCTGAAAAATCTTATCACAAAGAAAATTCTAGGCCATGGTGACTTTACTATAAATGTGATATAATGGGTGTAATATAATGCAAATTGTTACAATTTTAGAAAATACAAAATGGAAATATAAAATGGTACAATCACTTTGGGAAATATTTTGACAAAATCTTATAAATTTCTAGTAAGTTACTAATTAAACTTAGAATTTAAGGCAATGTCCAATTTTTCTTTCTAATATGAGAATATCATCTTCTCTTAAAGTTTAGTCAGTTTTAGGAGAATAGATTCTTCTTCTTAAGATTATTTTTAAATATTCTGGAATGGGTATGCTAGCCATGAAAAAGAACATCAATATATATGGAAATTTACCCATATAGAAGATATACTATTATGCTTTCCTTACTTATAAGATGCCTATAATCAAATGCATCAATTAACTCATATTTCTAAGATTAACCAAAAAGTATATATTAAAATATAATTTTTAATTTTTTTCTGAAAAATGATGGCTAATTTTTAAAGAATACTAAATCAATGCTGGTATTCTTTCTTAAAAGCTGAAAACATTTCATATTTTATTAAGGCAAATTCTTGTCTATATGGAAATGCATTAATGTAAAACTACTAATTGAATAAAATTATCACCTTAAATCAATAGCACAAAATTACTCTCTTGGCCTTAGTTCAAAAATAAAAAGTAACAATTTTAAACTTTCACTTTCTAATACACACAGCAAGAAGATTTAACAATGTTGACGTTCATTCAGATAGAGTCCCAGCACTGAGTCAAAAGCATTTAACTTGGATCTTAGATTTTCAAAGTATCACTTGTATCGTTAAAATAAAGAAATGCAGGCTTTCTCCAGCAGACAGTGATTATGAGGTTCTCTGCTCACTTAAGTAGGATAAATTAATTCTTATTCAAAGGCAGAATACGAACAGTGAAAGATGTGAGAGCCTAAAACAAGTACTAAATGACTCTGACCAAAGCTTGTTTAGACTCTTAAGATATACACCACTCTGTATCTAATACAAGTAACCACATCATTAGTATGTGTTTATATACTAGAATGAAACAGTCTCTATTTATCTGTAATAGATACATTTCCCTAAACTGATATTTCCGATTTAATGGAAGAAGAAATTATTTTTTTAAATTTTTCCTTTTCTTCTTGTTTCTGGCTCTGATTTAATAGACACATGATTAGACATACAGGAATTCATATATTTATATAGCTATATATCTAGTCATTTATCATATATGTATGATACCATAAACACAAATGTATGATATAGATATGCATATATGAATACATATGTCTATACACATATAGATATACATAAAGATATATAGGTGTATTGCTATTTTATTCTTTTTCCCATAAACACAATCAGATTAATAGGTAAATGGAATATAATAAAAACAAACCAAATAACACATTATGTTACAAATTTGAAAAATAAGTAAAATAAGTAAGTTAACACAAAAAGCACAATTACAGAGGTATAAAAAGGTATACTTCTTTAGTATATCTCTAATGCCTGGCACAGTGCTGAGTATATAGTAAATAGCTCCCGACACAAAACAACATTGGCTATGCTTAACAACTTCTAACACTTGAATGTAAATCTTGGCATATTTTATTTTAAATTCTAAAGCTCTACAACTCTTTCTAAATGGGCTAATTCATTTTTCACCTTGGAATTTCAAAACAAACAAACAAAAAAGCCTGTTCTGTTTGGTCAAATAACTCATCAAGGGAAAGCTTAGAAGACATTTAATGGAGAGACATACTCAGTAGCAGCGGTGAGTCTATCAATTGCTTTTAATTTTACAGGCTCATAGGCAGAAGGGACTTGCCTTGTCTCAGATGAGACTTTGAACTTGGACTTTTGGGTTAATGCTGGGATGAGTTTAGACTCTGGGAAACTGTTGGGAAGGCATAATTGTGTTTGAAATGTGAGAAGAACATGAGACTTGTGAGAGGTCAGGGACAGAATGGTATGTTTTGTCTATGTTTCCCCACCCAAATCACATCTAGAATTGTGATTCCAACATGTCGAGAGACCTGCTGGGAAGTGATTGGATCATGGATTTGGTTTTCCCATCCTGTTCTCATGATAGTTCTTATGAGATCTCATGGTTTAAAAGTGTTTGACAGTCCCTCCCCCCACTGCCATGTAAGACATGCCTTGCTTCCCCTTCATCTTCTGCCATGATTGTAAGTTTCCTGAGGCCTCCCCAGCCATGTGGAATTGTGAATCAATTAAAATTCTTTTCTTTATAAATTACCCAGTCCAGGTAGTTCTTTATAGCAGTGTAAAAATGAACTAACACACCACTCCCTAAATCAGTTCAGTGCTGAGTAGAGTTAAGGCCTTCCCTTATGTCTGGATTTTCAGGCTCCCAAGTGGGGGTGTATATCCTCTAGGCAGTCTCTCCTTCTCTCATACTCCTAGTTTTCACCTGGCTCACAATGTAGGTTGCAATCTGCCACTTCTTTGAAAGATTCTGTGAATTCTTTCAGTTTTCCTGTTAATTCCCTGCATTGCCTTTTTAGAAAAGTTCACACTATGTATCTCTAAATACTATTTTGTCTTTCCAAGAGGGAGAGGCATGCTAACTCTGCCTCTGATTCACGACCTTAGAAAAGTAAAATTTAAGTGAAGAATTTATAAAGTTTTAATATTAACTAGTTTTTTATTTATTTTATTTTATTTTTTGAGACGGAGTCTCCTTCTGTTGCCCAGGCTGGAGTGCAGTGGCACAATCTCGGCTCACTGCAACCTCCCCCTCCCAGGCTCAAGCGATTCTCCTGTCTCAGCCTCCTGAGTAGCTGAGACTACAGGCACCTACCACCATGCCCAGCTAATTTTGTGTATTTTTATTAGAGACAGGGTTTCACCATGTTAGCCATGATGGTCTCGATCTCCTGACCTCGTGTCTCCCTGCCTTGACTCCCCAAAGTGCTAAGATTACAGATGTGAGCCACCGTGCCCAGCTAATAAACTGATATACTCCAAATATTATACTTGAAAAAAAATTTTTTTTCCCCCAAGGCAGACTTTCGCTCTTGTTGCCCAGCCTGGAGTGCAATGGCATAATTTCGGCTCACTGCAACCTCCATCTCCCAGGTTCAGGAGATTCTCCTGCCTCAGCCTCCCTTGTAACTGGGATGACAGGAGTGCACCACCATGCCTGGCTAATTTTTGCATTTTTAGTAGAGATGGGGTTTCACCATGTTTGTCAGGCTGGTCTCGAACTCCTGACCTTAGGTGATCCACCCGCCCCAGCCTCCCAAAGTCCTGGGATTACAGGCATGAGCCACCGTGCCTGGTCTGCTATTTAATAAATGTTTAGTAGAAATAACTGGTAATGATATGTCATGGTTTGGCTGTAACCCACCCAAATCTCATCTTGTATTGTAGTTCCCATAATCCCCACGTATCACTAGAGGGGCTGGTGGGAGGTAATGGAATCATGGGAGCAGTTTCCCATATGTTGTTCTGTGATAGTAAGTTCTTAGGAGATCTGATGGTTTCATAAGGGGCTTCCCCCTTTGCTCGACTCTCATTCTCTCTCCTGTCGCCCTGTGAAGAGGTGCCTTCCACCATATTGTAAGTTTCCTTAGGCCTCCCCAGCCATGTGGAACTGTGAGTCAATTAAACCTCTTTCCTTTATAAACTATCCAGTCTTGGGTATTTCTTTATAGCAGTGTGAGAAGGAACTAATACATGCCATCTGAGAGTGGATTTTGTTGGAAGATTTTTTAAACATTATTAATAATTTAATCTCCATATTTTTATAAATTTATTCTGATTTATTCCTTTTTCAATTAGTTTTGATAGTTTTGGCCTCTCTAGAAATGTGTGCATTTCAAATATGGTACCTAATAAATTGGAATACAGTTGTTCATAATATTTCGTTATAATTCTTTATTTGTGTAAGGTTGGTAGCAATATCCCCACTTTAATGCCTAATTTTAGCAATTTAAAATTTCTCTCATTTTTGCCTAGTGAATTTAACCAAAGGTGTGTCAATTTACTCGATCTTTTCAAAGAAACAACAACGTTGAATTATGTTGATTCTTCCCTACTTGGAGAATTTAATCCATTGACATTTAACATAACCACTGACAAGATGGGCTTTATCTCTACCATTTATTATTTGATTTCTATATGTCTTATATTTTTTGTTCCTTAATACCTTTTTAAGTGCCTTATTTTGTATTAAAGGGATATTTTCTGGTGTGTCATTTTAATTTCCTTGTCATTTCTTCAATTACATATTTTTAATTATTTTCTTAGTGGCTTCCCTGGGAATTATAATAATCATATAATTTCACATCAACCTAGTTTGGATTAATACCAATTTAATTTCAATAACATGTAAAACCTTTGTTTATAGCTTTGTCAACGACTATTTATGCTTTTTATGAAACGAGATACATCTTTATACATCGTGTATTTTATCAACAGAGATATTTAAGAATGTTTCATATGGTTGTCCTTTAAAATAGAAGAAAATGAAGTATAAACAAAAACTACATTTGTTTATCTATTTTTCATAACTTTTATATTTACATTTACTGTATTTTTTCAAAAAAATATTTTATGAAGATTTGAACAACTGTCTTCTTATTTCAGCCTGAAGGACTTTATCATTTCTCATAGCTCCTGTCATCTACTGACAAACGCCCTAACATCATGTTTATACAGTGTCTTAATTACTCCTTCATGGTTTCTGGTGAAAAATAAGCTATTTATTTTATTGAAGATACTTTGTACATAATGATTCAATTCTCTCTTCTTGTTTTCAAAATTCTTTGTTTTTGATAGTTGGCAGTGGGATTAAGTTGCATCTAAATGTGTATCTGTTTTGGTTTATCCTTCTAGGAGTTTCTTATCTTCTTAAATGTGCAAGTAGAGGGTTTTCAGAAAATGTGAATATTTTCCCCATTACCTTTAAATATTTTTTGCCATTTTATTTCTTCTGGTTTCCCATTATGCATATGTTGGTACACTTATGCTGTCCAACAGGATCCTTAGGCTCTGTTCATTTTTCTTCTTTTTT
This sequence comes from Homo sapiens, assembly GCF_000001405.40. Classification (NCBI taxonomy): domain Eukaryota; kingdom Metazoa; phylum Chordata; class Mammalia; order Primates; family Hominidae; genus Homo; species Homo sapiens. The sequence goes on from NC_000023.11 coordinate 127,725,704, forward strand.
TTTCTGTTACAGAGTGTATAATCTGAATTGCTGTATTGAAATACATTGAATATTTATTTTGCCTGTTCATATCTGCTGTCTATTCTAGTGAACTTTTCAGTTCAGTTGTATTTTTCTACTCCAGAACTTGTATCTTGCTTTTTAAAAATAATTTATATATTAATCTTTTTCTCCATTTTGTGATGGATTGGTCTTACATTTTTTTCTTAATTCTGTAAATGTGGTTACCTTTGACTCTTTGAACATATTTATAATAGATTGTTTAAATTTTTTCCTCAGTATGCTTAACATCTAGTCTTCTCCAGGCACAGTTTCCATTGACTGATTTTTATCTTGTGTGTGATCATATGCTTATTTCTTTATATACCTTGTAATACCTTGAATACTAGTCATTTTGGATATTATAATAAGACTAGCCTGCAAATCAGATTCTCCTTTCTTCCTAGAGTTTGCTTTTGCTTTCATTTGTTGTTTGTTACTAAAGTAACTTTTCTGAACTGAATCAATAAAGTCTGTAATCTTATTTAGCCATTGAAGTGTTTGATTAGTTAACATTTTACTCAGGAAATGAATGGAGAAAGATTTTCTTAAAGGACTGAAAGCAAAAATGCCCTAACTTTGTGGAGAGGTTTTGTGTGCAAGTTTGGTCATTTCTTTAACACTCAGCAGGGAAGTTTACAACTCTCCCTTAGCTGTAACTTCCTGCTTGTTCAGAGCTTCAACACCAGTCAGAAATTAAAGCTTAGAGACATGTCAGGTCTGTGCTGAGCAAGTGCACAGCCATGGGCATGCACTTTCACTTCTAGATTCCCAGTAACTTTTAAAATCCCTTATGTACATCTCATTTCTAAGCATTTTCTTCCATGTTTTATGGGTAGCTTCTTGTTTCTCCCAACTGTTACACATTGCCTCAGGCATCAGTGATCAAAATATTTCCTCTAAATGTTTTAATACACAACCCCACATAATGATTTAGCACTGCATGAGTTCTGAGTGAGACCGAATAAGACAAGTATTTTTGGGTGTTCTTTCAGGGAGCTACCAGACAGAAGAAATAATGATCCTTTTTTGAGAATGAGATTTGTTTTTCTCCCTCCAGTACTGAGAATATACGCTATTATTTTCAATGCTACTGCTGAGCTGGAGAGTGTAGGAAAGGGCTAGAGCAAGTTAAAATTCTTCAAAGCTCACTGTTCTTACAGAGAGCCATTTTTCTGAAAAACAGGTACTTGCAAGTTTTTGTGTGGCTGAAAGCTTTTGGATAACTTTTCAAAAAGTTGATTCTCACATTGCTTAATCTGTTTTCTTTATTGCTTTTAAGGACAAGTAGAATTTCAGATTTCCTTACTTTGCTATTTTCTCTGACATCTCCATATAACATTCTTAAAATACAATGCATAGAAATGGAAAACTAATTAGAACTTGCCCAGTTTTAAGGTAGGTTGGGGAGAAGGATATTGTGTGGTTATAAAAGGTCAACATCAGGAATTCTTGTGGTCATAAAACTATTCTGTATTGTATGTGCAGGTGTCTCTGTTTTATTTTGCACAACTGTGTGTGAAAATACAATTATTGTAATATTTCAAAAAGTTTAAGTGAAAAAGAAACTAATAAAAGGGACTGAGTTACAGATACAATAGAACAAAAAATAATTTTCTATGGAAATCAGATTCCATCTCTTTTGAGAATGGTTAAATAAGTGCATTGCTTGTATCTATGTGCCCAATACTTAGACAACTAAATATCAACATAATTACATCCAGTGGAAGTTCTTTGTAAGTGTCACGAATGGGAAACTTACAGTATATATATAATCTTTCTTAATGTGTATTTATTCATTCACTGGAATGAATAACAAAATAATAACAAAACTTTTAATATTGAGATGTGTAGGAGGAAATGCAAGAAGGAAAAGAAAGAGAAAAAGAAAAATAATAGCTGATACCAGTTTTATGATGTAAATATAGTATCTTAAATTGGTCAACACAAAGAGCAAGTACTGAAATAATTTAGTGGTTTGCTTTGGTAATGTATTTTAAGTTCCTTAAAATACTGCTCACTTATTATTGACAACTTCCAGTCCAAATTATGTCTGTAGTATTAGGATTTGTTTTTATGTCTCAAGTGAAGAGTCCCACATACTCTGTAGACAATGTTCTTAGTCTTGTGGTTTCCACTTATAGCTTTACTATTATTTTATTGGATAATTTCTACTAGTCATTACCATCATTCTTGCAAATTTCTCTGGAAACTATGCTTTTATTAGTTTGAAAGTCTCCCATCCCTTACTGTGTGAAAATGATTCTTGCTGTGATTAAATGAGGAGCAAAAAGTCACTCGCAGCAGGTCTAGTGGCATTCACTCTTCTTTCATGCAGAGTAAATGGGACTGGTGGGCTTTCTACTGAAAATCATTTCTGGGATTTCTCAGAAAGAAGGCAGACTGTGTGAACCATATGTAGATGGGTTCTTATGGCTTCTCAGACAATCAGGGAAGGAAATTTTCTCACCTTCGCTTGACAAAGTTGAATACGTCCAGATTATTAGCATTAGTCACTTTTACAGATGTCCCAGTTTCCTCTGTGTGTACTCAAGCACAGATATTTCTTTTTGTATGTTTTTCCAGTTATGCCTTATGCTAAACCAAAGCAACTAGAAAATTGATAGGAAGACTACTTGTAAGAGGAGGGAGCAACTAGAAATGGATAGTGGTTTAGTATAATGAGATTATCTCATCGGGTAGAAATTTATGTAGTATCTCTTTCTCTGCCTGTGTACTGCAATATATGGTTTCATGTTTAGTAGCTGTATTTTAAAAATAAGAAGGAAATAGTGAAAGAGGAAAAAGTCAAAAACTGATCCACTCTTTGAGCAAAGTTTTTTTTCAGAATTTTGTTAGTATTCATCATATACCAACTAGTTTACATATTTAGTTCTTTACAATGAAAATGATAAAAAATTATAAGCACACATTTTATGATTTTAAATTCAGATTATGAAAAATTCTATCTAATTTGTAAATAACATCTTTAACACCTGAGTGAGTTTACTTGCTCAGAAAGGAGTATGAGGTTTATTTCTACCTAAGGATTTGATACATTTCATTAGTACTAAAATGTTTTTATTAACTTCAGCACCTTCAAGCCTAGTTTGCCTGCCCATACTGGAAGTATAACCTCCTCTTTTCATTTGTTTTCAAATTGATGAAATAAAATTTTCAAGCATTTTTCCCCTTCTACCAATGATCTGAAATACTACATGGCTCTAAGATGAATGTACATTTGCACGTTTGACTGGAAGTTCTGCAACTATTGCCTATGCCAATGAGTTTAAGTACACTGTCAACACATTTGACCTCCCATTCTTATAATCTTGTCACTTGAACCTGCTGTTTTGCATCTTCTAGCACTCTTAATTTTGTTTCCCTATTTAGCAAGTCAAACATCTTCCCACTATAAATTTCAAAAAAGGTATCATATACTTGACATTCTAGCTTCTTAGAGTTTGGCTTCCTTAGCATTAAAAAAAATAGAGCTGCTAATGCATAAATTCCTTTAGAATAATCTTGATTTTTCCTAAAAAGTCACCACCTATAGTGGTGAGTTTTTCTATATCCAGTCTGCCCATAAGCAACACATGTAGCCTAGTGGTCTAGTGGTAAACCTTTTTTATTGGGTGGGTGTTTCTTTTTTTTTTTTTTAATTTATTAAAGTTCTGGGATACATGTGCAGAACGTACAGGTTTGTTACATAGGTCTACATGTACCATCGTGGTTTGCTGCACCCATCAACCCATCATCTAGGTTTTAAGCCCTGCATGCATTAGGTATTCATCCTAATGCTCTCCCTCTCCTTGCCCCCTACCCGCGACAGGCCCTGCTGTGTGATGCTCCCCTCCCTGTGTCCATGTGTTCTCATTGTTCAACTCCCACTTATGAGTGAGAACATGTAGTGTTTGGTTTTCTATTCCTGTGTTACTTTGCTGAGAATAATGGTTTCCAGCTTCATCCATGTCCTGGCAAAGGACAAGAACTCATTCTTTTCTTTATGGCTGCACAGTATTGCAGTACTCCATGGTGTATATGTGCCACATTTTCTTTATCCCTTCTACAATTGATGAGCATTTGGGTTGGTTCCAAGTCTTTGCTATTGTGAATAGTGCTGCAATAAACATATGTGTGCATGTGTCTTTATAGTAGAATGATTTATAATCCTTTGGGTATATACTCCGTGATGGGATTGCTGGGTCAAATAGTATTTCTGGTTCCAGATCATTGAGGAATCACCACATTGTCTTCCGAAATGTTGAACTAATTTACACACAAATACATATAACCGTGTTCATTAATAGGATATTCTGTTGTTAGTGTCTATAATCCAAACTTCCTCTAAAGTCTCTGATTATATACATAATTTTATAATTTGGGTTTGTAGCATCAACATCCTGGGCTATTTTTTTCTTTAAATTCTTTCTGCTTAAGTCACTTTTTTCTTATTTTCTTTTTAATTTTTCTACTTCTTTTACACAATTAGATTTTTTTTTTGACAGGGTCTTACTCCTGGTGTGCAGTGGCACAATCTTGGCTCACTGCACCCTCTACCTCCCAGGCTCAAGTGGTCCTCCCACCTTAGCCTCCCAAGTAGCTGGGACTACAGGCATGCACCATCACGTTCGGCCAATTTTTTGTATTCTTAGTAGAGATGGAGTTTCGCCACGTTGCCCAGGCTGGTCTGGAATTCCTGGGCTCAAGCTATACACTCAACTCAGCCTCCCAAAGTGCTGTTATTACAGGTGAGAGCCACCACGCCCTGCCTGCAATTAGATTTTCTACGTATCTTCTGTTGTGCAGAGAAAAACTGTTCAGGAAGTTGACCAGGTGTGCATGAGTAGAACCAATGATTTTTTTATCTCTCTTGGTGGAGAGTCATTGTTAATAGAAGCCACTACAGTCCATTAATTCTTTACAATCTTGTTTAACTTGCCTGAAGATGTTAGAGATGAGGGTGTTTCTATACTGGGTTAATTTTTTTCTGTCAGTTACAAGGTCAGGGTTAAGGGAAAGATGCTGATCAGGTCAATATCTTTGTATTTTGTAGCTCCATTTTCTATCCATTTAACAGTTACACCATCCTTATCTGTTTTTGAAGATTTTACCATTGTTTGATGCATTTGCCTATTGCTCCAATAGATCTGCACATAAATCCTAATCTGAATCTTGCCAATGTTGGCCACTCATAGTGAATTTTAAAGGATGAATATAAAGTCATATATATATATTCCTCATCTAAATTATGTACACTACGTTATGACATATTATGTTAAAATACATTCTATTGGCAGTTGAGAAAGGTTACAAAGTTTCGAGCACATTTTAGAAATACAACCAAGTTAAATACTTAAAAAAATATATTTTTATAATGCAGGTATGGCATGATGTATCAATGAACCTATTGCTTTAGACATATTAATATTCATGTTTATCCATTCAATTTTTAACTACCTTTCCAAAACTGCCACATCAGCTGGTTGTTCTAAAGTTGTTTCTAAATACACACATTTGTCTTTTCTCAGTAAAAACTTAAAAACAAAAACCTAGAAAACTAGATTGAAATTAAATGTGTGAAACATATTTTTCAAAAGGTACAAGTCAGAAACTAATAGATTTAAGAATTGTTAGATACATTAATTAGTAATATTTTTAATAACTAGAAAAACAAAAATATTTGGTATTTGTTTTTTACCTTTAATGATACTGTATAACTGGTGACCTTTCTGTTATAAAATATTTATGATCTATGTTAAGTGATGAAAATTGAAGATAAAGAGGTTTATATTGGTGAATCATTATTCTGTGATAGTTTGAACTATTTACTGACTAGCATTTCTTCCATCCTTTTTCTTGCCATTTTTCCTCTGCCTTGTTGGCTTTGTTCTTGGCCATGTTATTTTGCTGCATATAAACAGATGTTTTAAATGTAATTTTTGTGTGCTGTGCCCTCTTGCTCTGACTCTTCATCATTAAAATAGTATGTCCTAGGTAATGAATACATTCCTTCAGTGTAGATTCTGAAATGAGAAGACTTGTGGAGCCATGTTTAACCAAATCTAGCTGAGCCTAGAATATACAGGCCCCACAGAGTCTAGTGAATCCAGCATAAAACAGCAAAGCCAAGAGAGCCCAATAGAGCTACAGTGTACTCAAGACCATAAAGTAAAGTAAGTAAGACATAAATGTTTGTTTTTTGAAGCCTCTGAGAATACATGGCTGTTAAAGCACAAAACCTTATGAAATCTGATCATTATACTTATCTAACACTGACTTGAAGAACTTTGAATTAAAATAGCCACTGTTGGCGTTTGTAGGTTCAATTGAGTCAGATTGGTTAACTCTTTGGTGTAATCAATTGCTACATTACTAATCATCAAAACAGAAGGAAACCCATAATACATGTGCTCATAGTTTTGTTAGACCATGCTTACAGAACCCCTAGAGAATTAGGGAATCAGTGAGAGCAGAATAATACATACAATAATGACAGCAGTTTGGACCTTACTTGTAATCAACAAACTTGATTACAAACAAAATTTTAATAAAAAATAAGAAAAATAAAATCCTATAACAAAGCTTTTATTTGATCTTTACTGTAGGTTGTAGATTAGAACATTGTTATTAATATAGAAGACTTATTCATCTTAAGCAGTTAGAGACCAAGTCGACTTCATTTATAAAGGATAATTTTATACTTATAGTCTGAAAGAGATGATGATCATCACTAGAATTTGAGACAGAATTTATCAAAATTGATTTCTCAAATAATCATAGTTTGTAAAATTGTTTATAATTACCATGAGGCATTCAATTATTCCAAGATAGGAGCATTTTTATTTAAAAAATAGAATGATTATTATAGTTTATAATAGCAAAAACCGCAATTACTTTTACACCAACCTAATAGTTCATTTATTATGTCTTTAATACATGCCATGTGGAATGTCCAGAGGTCATTGTAAATAAACAGCATAAAGAGTCCCAAACATAGGGGAAACAAACAATCACATGAGCAAATTACAATGATAACAAAAAGGTCAGTATTTGGAAAGGTTACTAAAGAGAAGCTTGATTGAAGATTTGGCATCTAATTGTGCCCAGAATCACAATGCTAATCTCTATCAGTGTGTAGCATTCAGGACTTCTAAAGGTAGAGATGAATACACTCTCAGCAAGCAGTAGAAGGCCTATTGGGTTACCTGAAACCCATCAGTGTCACATAACAATAACCTTTATTTTGGTATTCATCTTTAAATCTATCTCATACTGCTTCCCATTGTTGGCTTTGCATTTATTTATTTTTTAAGAAACCAAATCCAACTGAGATTGCAGCCAACACTGACTGTTACAGATAATTGTGCTTAAAAGCACAGCTATAGGTGGAGATATTTCCAACTCTTATTATTGATGCTGGCCCACATAATGATAAAATGCTGTTTCAAAGGAATATTTAGAGTGTTATTTACACTGAATGAATCTGCTATAATTCTAGGACAAATAAGTGAAGAAATCTGAACTAAATCACAAAATCACAAAAACACCAAGTAACAAACTTATCATATGTTTCCAGGAATCATCTATTCATTCAATAATAATCAAGGATAGCCCACTGGGTGCTAGTCACTATTATATGTCATAAGGATACAGCAGTCAGGAAGCATACAAGTTCATGCTTTCATGAGATATTCATCATTTTCTAGTTAGAGAGACAGACAAAAGAGGTAAACTAGTTTATACTTTATAGTTATATATTAAACAAATAATACAGAGTGATTTGGGAAGTGAGAATAATATATGAAGGCAAAATAAACAAGATTATGACATCTAGTTTCTAGTCTGGCATGTAAGGAGCTTGAAAGTCATTACTCCACCTTAGCAACAAGTATAAATCTAAACAAATTTCAAACCAAAAACTCTTTGTAGAGAACTACACCTGACCACAGCAGAGACCCTCAGACAGAAACCTTAAGTTAGAACCAGTAACAGAGTAAGAAAACTTAAACTGTAACTGACAAATAGCAGGAGGCTCATTGTGGACAAGTATGAGAGTTAAAAACTCCAGGGAATCCAGTATTAGAGGGCACGTCCATATTTTGTGAGTTTTGCTTTACCTGGTTTTTGCAGTACAGAGCTTAGAAAAGCTTCTTTGTGCCTCTGGAAGAGGGGAGGAAAAAGTAACCCTCTGAAATATCTCAAAGTCTTGTGTTCTTCTTAACAAGGCCTGCCCTTAAGAGAAACTATTTGACCACATCTTACCACCACATTGCTAAAGGCTCATTTACTATAGTTCATTTTATCATTTTATCCAGTATATTGTGTCAAGCTTTCAACTAAAAATTGCAAAACATACTAAGGAAACAGAGTTTCAAGAGACAGAGAAGGCATCAGAATCAGACACAGATATGAAAGGAATGTTGAGATTATCAGATAAGCAATTTTAAATAACTATAATGAATACAGCAAGGGCAGTAATGGAAAAATTAGACAAAATGGAAAAAATAGATGGGTAATGTAAGGAAAGAGAAGAAAATGTTAAGAAACAATAAAAATAAATGTTAACTCTGTAACCAAAATAAAAAGAATGCCTTGGATGAGCTCATTAGTAGACTATATACAGCTGAGGAAACAATGTCTGAACTTGAATACAGGTCAATAGAATCTTCCACAACTACAATATCAAAAAGAAAAAAGACTGAAAAAATAAAATAGAAAATCCAAGAGGTATGAGACAAATAGAAATAGTAGAAGGAGAGAAAAATAGGCAGAGAAATATTGGAAGTAATAATGACTGTGTATGTCTTCAACTTAGTGTCTGACATGAAACCACAGATCTAGGAAGTCCAGAGAACATCAAGCAGAATACACTTAAAACAGACACATTCAAAACCCAAAGCCTACATCCAGGCATATTATATTAAAACTGTACAAAGTCAGATATAAAGAAAAAAACCTTGAAAGAAGCCAGAGGGTGAAAAACAGCTTACCTATACAAAAGCAAAGATAAGAATTACCTTTGACTTATCAGAGATCATGCAAGCAATAGAGTGGTGTGAATATTTTAAGTCTTGATTAGTGAGAGAGGGTGGGAGACAGAACTAGCCTTGAATTCTGTATCCTGCAAACTTATCCTTTAAAAGTGAAAGAGTATACTTTCTCACATAGACAGATATTGAAGACATTTGTTGCCGGTACACCTAGCTTGCAAAAAATGTTAAAATAAGTTCTTCAGAGAGAAGAAAAATGATAGAGATCAAAGAGTAGATCTACAAAAAGAAGGGAAGAGCACTAAAGACAGAATGACTGAAGATAAAATAAATCTTTGTTTTTTATTATTAATATGATAGATTACAGTTTGTTAAAACCAATAATGACTATGTAGTTGATGAATATTGCTTATGTATTCGTGTAATAAATGACAATATTGGTACAGGGATAGAAGAGAGTAATTAAAAATACAGATGCTTCTTGACATATAATGGGGTTATGTCCCAATAAACCCATCATAAATTGAAAATATTGTAAGTCAAAAAATGCATTTAATACATTTAATCTAGTGAACACGGTAGCTTAGCCTAGCCTACTTTAAGTGTACTCAAAACAGTTCCATTAGCCTATAGTTTTGTAAAATCACCTAGCATAAAGCCTATTTTATTTAAAAAGTTGAGTATTTCGTATAATTTATTAAATACATGAAAACAGAATGCTTATATGAAAACTTGATATATGTGTTCTACTGAATGTATATCACATTCACACCATCAAAAAGTCAAAAAATTGTAAGTCAAACCATTGTAAGTCAGAGACCATTTGTGTTATGTTACTATAAAGTACTTACACTATTTTAAATAATGTTATTTTAAAGTAGACTTGAGTAGTTGTAAATGTATGTAGCAAACTCTTGGGCAACAACTAAAAAAACTAAAAAGAAAAAGAATTATAATTGATGTGCTATGAAGCAAAGCAAATAAAATCATACACACAAACTGCTTAATAAGAACTACAAAATACAGAAAAAGAGTGGAAAAATAGAGATAAAAGGGCAACAAATAGAAAATAGTAATAAATAGTGTAGCTATTAATCCAAATATATCAATAATCACTTTATATGTCAGTGTTTTAAAAGCACCAATTAAAATATACATTGAAGGGAACAAAAAACATGACACAACTATATGTAGGCTACGTGAAACCCACTTTAAATATAAAGAAAGATTTAGATTATAAGTAGAGGGATGGAGACGGCTATACCATGCTAACACCAACCCAAAAGAAATTGGGATAGAAATAGTAACTTGGATACAGCAGACTTCAGAGCAAGAAAACTTATCAGGGATAAAGTGAAGCATTACTTAATAATGGGTGGATTCCTCAGGAAATCACAACAATCCTTAAAGTGTATGAACCTAACAACAGAGCGTTAAAATACATGGGGCAAAAACAGATAGAACTACAAGGAGAAAAATATGCAATTAATATTATAATTGGAGACTTTAACACCCTTCTCTCTATCAGAAACAAACAGATTCATCAGGCAGAAAATCAATAATTACATAATTCAACCCTATAACACTATCAAACAACTAGGTATAATTGACATCTATAGGCTATTTCATCCAACAATAGTAAAATACATATTCTTCTGAAGCTCACATGGAAAATTCGCCAAGATAGAACACATTCTGGGTCATAAAACACACCTTGCCAAATTTAAAAGGATAGATATCATAATGTATTCTCTCTGACCACAATTACTTAAACTAGAATTCAATACCAAGAAGATAGCTATAAAACCCCAAATCACATGGAGATTAAAGAACATACTTCTAAATAACAAATGGGTTAAAGAGGAAATATTAGGAGGAATTTTAAAATATTTCAAAGTAAGTAAAAACAAATATACACAACTTATTAAAATTTATAGGATGCAGTAAAAGCAGTGGAGGGGAATTTATACTACTGAATATTAGAATAAAACAAATATCTAAAACCTACAATCTAAGGTTCCACTTCGTAAAACCAGAAAAAGTAGAGCCAATAATATTCAAAGTAAGAAGAAGAAAAAATGATAATGTTTAGAGCAGAAATCAATGAAATTGAAAGCAACCAGTCAATAGAGAAAATCTATGAAAACAAAAGCTGGTTGTTTAAAGAATAAAACTGATAAAATTATAGTCAAGCTAACTAACAAATAAAAGAGAGAAGACACGAATATCAGAAATAAAATGGGGACATCCTTAGAGATCCCATGGGCAATATAGAGAAAATAAAGGAATACTGCAAACAAATCTATACTGACAAATTTGATAAACTAGATAAAATGAACCACTGAAAGACACAATCCATGGAATCTCACAAAAGAAGAAATAGACAATTAGAATAGGCTTATATCTATAAAAGAAATTGAATACATAATTAACAACCATCCAAAACAGAAAGCACCTGGCCCAGATGAGTTTGCTCCTGAATTCTACCAAACACTTAAGGAAAAAATTTTATCCATTACCTACAATCACTTGTAGAGGATAGAAAAAGACAGAATCCTTTCCAACTAATTTTATGAGGCCAGCATTTTCCTAACAACAAAACGAGACAAAGACAGTACAAGAAAATAAAACTGCAAACCAATATCTCTTATGTACATATATGCAAAATCATAAGTGGGATATTAGCAAATTGAATATAACAATTTATAAAAATTATTATACATCATGACCAAGTGAAATTTATTCCAGACAGCAAAGCTGTCTCAATTCTCAAAAATCAATTGATGCAATGTGTTATGGTCTGAATGTTTGTGTCTTTCCCAAAAAATCTGTATTTTAAAATCTAAACTCCCAACGTGATGGTGTATGAAGGTGAGTTTTTTGGGAAGATGATCAGGCCATGAGGGTAGAGAACTCATGAGTCATTAGTGTCTTTATGAAAGAACCTTCATAGAGCTCCTTTACTCCTTCTATCATGTGAGGACACAGAAGTGAGCCATCTATAAACCAGAAAGGGGACCCTCACCAGACACTGAATCTGTAAGCCCTTGATCTAAGACATCACACGTTTTATAACTGTGAAAAATAAATGTTTGTTGTTTATGTCTGTTTAGAGTATTTTCATTATAATGAAAATATAATGAAAAGCATTCTAATGAAAATGATCCATCACATCAACAGTCTAAAGAATAATCACATGATCTGATCAATAGATTCAAGAAAAAATTGACAAAATTCAGTGCCCATTCATAGTAAAAACAGTCACCAAACTTGGAAGAGAGGAAATTTCCTCAACTGGACAAAGACCATGTACAAAAACCCTATAGCTAGCATCATACTTATTGGTGAATAATGTGAGGTTTTCTCACTAAGATCAATAAAAGGCAAGGAGGTTCCCTCTCATCTCTCCTTTTCATCATCATACCAGAAGTCCTAGTTAACGCATTAAGACAAGAGAAGTAAATGAAAGGTATAGAGACTGGGAAAGAAAAAATAAAATTGCATTTCTTTGTTGATTATATGTGTGTATTAAAAAAACAAGTATCAATAACCTCATGTAACTAAAAAGCAAATATAGAAAGGCTTTAGGATACAAGTCATATATAAAATTTAATCACTTTCCTACACATAAGCAATGAACAAGTGGAACTGGAAATTAAAACACAATACCATTTATATTTGCACTAGAAATAATACTTAGATATAAATCTAACAAAATAAACAGAAGATGTATATGAGAAAAACTATAAAATAGTGAAATAAGAAACCAAATAACTAAATAAGTGCAGAGATGTTACATATTTACGGGTAGGAAGAGACAATATCGTCAAGATGTTAGTTCTACCCAACTTGATCTATACATTCAATGAAATCCAAGTCAAATTCCTTACAAGTTAATATTTAGGATATTGGTAAACTGATACAAAATTTATATGGACAGTCAAAAGACCAGGAAAACCAACACAAACACTGAAAGAAAACAAATTTGGAAAATGACATTACCTGACTTCATGACTTATTATAAAGCTATAGTAATCAATACAGTGTGGTCTTGATGAAAGAATGAACAAATAAATTGAGGGAAAAAATAAAGCATAAAGAAAGAGATCCATACAAATATAGTCAACTAAATTTTCAGAAAAAAATAAAAATAATACAATAGAAAAAAACTATTTCAAACAAACGGTGCTTTAACTGAATATCTAATACAAAAAAAAAATCTAAACACAGAACATACACCCTTTACAAAAATTATCCCAAATTTATCATATACCTAAATGTAAAAATGTAAAATTATAAATCTCCTAAAAGATAAAAGGTGACCTTGGTTTGGTGATCATTCTTCAGATATACCAAAGGCACAGTCCAAGAAATAAATATATGATAATCTGTACTTCATTAAAATTAAAAGCCTCTCTTTGCCAAAAGATACTGACAAGAGAATGAAAAGACAAGCCACAGACTGAGAAAAAAAATTTGCAAAAAACATTTCTGATAAAGGACTCTTAGCTAAAATGTATGCAAAATTCTTTAATTCAACAATAAGAAAATGAGCAACCCTATTTTAAAATGGACAAAAGATCTGAGCAGACCCTGCATAAAAGAAGATATATAGATAGCAAATAAGCATATGAAAAGATGCTCAACACCACATATCATTAAACAAACTTTAACAGCAATGTGATACCACTACACACCTATTAAAATAGAATCTCAAACACTGACAGTACCAAATGCTGGTGAGGATATGGACAATGGAAAGCCTCATTCATTGCTGATGGGATTGCAAAGCAGTACAGCCACGATAGAAGACAGTTTGGTGGTTTCTTAAAAACTAAACACACTCATTACATGATCCAGCAATCATGCTCCTTGGTATTTACCCAAAGGAAATGAAAACTTATGTCCACACAAAAACCTGCACACAGATATTTATAGCAGCTTCATAATTTCCCTAACTTGGAAGCAACCAAAGTGTTTTTCAGTATATGAATATATAAATAAACAGTGGCACATCCAGACAATTGAATATTGTTCAGTGCTAGTGAAAAATGAGCTATCAAGCCATGAAAAAACACGGAGGAAACTTTAAAAACACATTACCAAGTAAAAGAAGCCAATCTGGTAAAGGCTATACACTATATTGTTCCAAGTATTAAATTACAAAAAAGGCAAAAATTATAGCAACAGTAAAAGTATCAGTGGTTGTCAGGGTTTAGGGAGGAAGGAGAGACAAATAAGTGGAATACAAGGTTTCCAGGTCACTTTAAATGTTCTGTAAGATACTATAGTGGTGGATCTGTGTCATTATACATTTGTCAAGAGCCACAGAATATAAAATGCCAAGAGTGAATCCTAATATAAAGTACGGATTTAGGATGGCAATATGTCAGTGAAAGTTCATTGAATGTAACAAATGTATTACCCTGGTATGGGAAGTTGATAGTGGAGAAGACTGTGGGCGTGTGGTGTCAGGGGTATATGGGATCTCTCCATACTTTCTGCTCTATTTTGCTCTCAACATAATCCTGCCCTAAAAATAAAATATGTATTTAAAAAATTAATAAGGAAGCATTTCAGGCAGAGAAAAAACATCAAGAAAAATATTCCCTGAGTTTGTACAGGTTTAATATGTTCAAGGAATATAAAGAAAGGCTATGAGGCTACCACTCAAGAATGTGGAGTCTATTCATGGGTCAAACAGTGCCATTTATAATACCAGTTGGTATTGCAAAGTAGACTCAAAACTCATAATTGATCTGAGTCTACAAACACGAATATAGCAATTGGAAAGTTCATTTTATTTGGTTTTGTCATTGTATTTTGAGTCCCTACTAAATATAAAAAACACTTTTCTGGGTCTAGGAATGAATTAAAAACATGAAGAAGACACTGTTCCTACTCTAATGGAGCTAAAAATCTAGTATGATATAGAAGATATAATTAAAACAGAAAGTAATACATAACAGCTCATAAAAGATAAAAATTGAATACTCTAAGGACTGAGTGGAATAACTTACATATTCATTTTTAATAAAAGTATTTCTTGAGGAATTATTGTGTGCCACACATTTTTCTAGGCAATAAGGATGATCATTAAACAACATAAACAAAAATATCTGTCCTCCACAGAGAGTATATTTTCATGAGCTGTGACAGACAGCATACAATAAATTTAATAAATAAATGCAGTATACAGAATGTTAGAAGTTGGTAAGTGTTATGGAAATAAATAGAGCAGTCCAGGAGATTAAAAGGTCTGATGGCAGGTGTGAGGTGGGAATGAGTCCAGTATTAAATAGGGTGATTGGGGAAGAGTAACAACAAAGGGAATATATTAACACTTACTTGAAATAAGTGATAGATTTAGCTATTAAATTGTGTTGGAAGAATATGCAGGGAAAATAAAACAGCATCTGATTCAATAGGAAAATAATATCAGTGTCCCTGTTACTGTTAGAAACAAGACAGAAATGTCCTTTCTCTCTACCACTATTTGATATTATGTTGAAGGAATTAGTCAATACAGTTAGACAAGGGAAGACAATTAAAAGCATACCAATTGGAAAGTAAAAGTTAGTCTAGCTTAATTTGTGAATAACACAGCTATACATCTAAACAACCTAAAAGAATTCACTGAAAAAGTGCTACATCAAACAAGATAATTTAATACATTCTCAGGTAATGCAATTAATGTATAAAATTAATAGCATTATGAATAAAAATCAAGACCAATTTTAAGAGATAAGAGGAGATAAGGAGGAGAATATTTCATTTACAAAATAAATTTAAAATTTGGCTTTAGTGAGTAATTCCAGAACTGGGGAAATAAATATACAAGATTATCTTAGGGTATTTTATAGTGCCAGAAAGTAAAAGTAATGCTCAAAAAGCCAAACTAAACAAGAAACCTACAATGATTTGAATGTGTCACAAGCCAACTGAAAAGAGCGTCCATTGACCAAAAGCTGGAAGAGATTGAACATCTTAATATTGGATAATAATAAAAATATAGAATAAATATTCCTGCATCTGTACTGGTATAAATATATAATTAAATAGATTCATAAGAAAGAACAAATCTCCTATGCAGAATTTCAAATAAATTATGGAGATTACAGCCCCCAAAGGAGGTGAAGCATAAATCTCCACTGCTTAAGTGTGGGATGCATGTATTGGCTTTCTTTCAAAGAGTACACTACAGATAGTTAAAAAAGAGACCTTTACAGTAAAGAAACCTGATGAACACTGCCACAGCCATGTGATCAAGCTTATTATCACTAGTGATAAGTCAGTCATATTGACAGCATAATATGATGTGATGAAAATCACATTTTGCCTCTATGGTTTCTCTATAAACACACATAATCCCAGTCTAATAATGAGAAAAACATCAAACACATCTCAATTGGGTGATATTTTAAATATACTTGAAGAGTACGCCTAAATTTGTCAAGGTCATTAAAAAAAACAAGGAAAATCTAAGACACTGTAACAGCGAAGACAAGTTTAAAAAGACACAATGACTAAATATAATGTGGTACTGTGGATGGGATACTAGAACAGAAGAATGATAATAGGGTGAAAAAACTAATGTAATTTAAATAAGTGATGGAGTTTAGTTAATAATAATGTGTTATATTTAATTATTAATTAGAGCAAATATATAAAACTAACATAAGAGATAGGTTAAACTGGGTGTGGGGGATATGTAACTTTTGTACTACCTTCACATTTTTTTTCAGTAAATCTAGAACTAATCTAAAAAATGTTTTTTAAATATTGGACATGAGCTTAACAAGAAATGTATAAAGCTTATATGAGGGAGATATAAAACACTCTGCAAACATGCCAAAGTGAACATAAAAGCAGGAAAAAAATAGTATAAGGTTTTAGAAAAGAAGACTTAATTTCATAAATATTCTTTTCACCTGTAGGTTAATTTATAAATTTTAGTAATTCTAACAAAATTATCATCTGGCTCTTGTTCCTCTAGTAGAACTAGAAGAGTTTATAATATACACACTTGGAAGAACAAACTTACCAAAATCGGGAAAAAATGAATTATAAGAACAACTGGAGTAACCATACCTGATATTAAAAGAGCCTGTAAAGGCAATATACTTAAAATATTTTAGATTGTTATTAATAAACAGAATGATGTAACAGAAGGAAAATTTAAGAAATCCCCTCCCAACTCCCACCCTTCCTAGTCTGTAATTTCTATTATTTCACACTCTATGTCTATATGTACACATAGTTTTTCTCCTACTTATAAGTGAAAATATACAGTACTTGTCTTTCTGTGTGTGACTTGGTGCACTTAAATTAATGGCTTTCAGTTCCATCCATGTTACTGCAAGAGACATGACTGCATTCTTTTTTATGGCTAAGTAATATTCTGTTATGCATATACACCACATTTTCTCTATCCAGTCTTTCATTGATGGACACTTCGGTTGATTCCATATCTTTACTACTGTGAATAGTGAAAAACACACAGGTGTAGGTATCTTGTTGATAAATGATTTCTTTTCCTTTGAGTAGATACCCAGTTGTTGGACTGATGGATCAAATGGTAGTTCTATTTTTAGTTCTCTGAGAATCTCCATATTTCTTACAGATTTGGAGGCTGTGATGTCTAAGATCAAGGTGTGGTAGGTTTCGTCTCTTGTGAGGGCTGTTCTCTGCTTCCAAGTTGATGCCTTGTTGATGCATCCTGTGAAAGGGGACTAGTGCTGTACTCCCACAGGATAGGAATAATGGAAGGGCAAGAGGGGAGAATGCTGTGTCTTCACATGCCAGAAGAATGAAAGAGCAAATGGGAAAGCCTAAGCTATTTCCCTGCAGCCCTTTTATAAGGATTAATATCCATTCATAAGTGGGGAGCCCTCATGACTTAATCACTTCCCTAAAGGCCCCTTATTTGAATACCACCACAATAGGGATTATTTTAACCCCTGAATTTTGGAGGATATTAAGACCATAGCAGGTTATTTTTTTTTAATGGTCATAAACTTAACAAGAAATATGTAAAGATCCTACTCCTTCCCTTCCCTTCCCACAGCTCAGCTTAAAGTAAGTTCTGCTTTGGGTGGGTGTGGCTAAAATAGAGTTCTCTCACTCTTCATCCTTCAATTAAGGGTTACTGTATCTCTCCGTAATTAGCAATAAAGCCAGCATTTCTCATCCCCTGTGCCTCCAAACTGAAGAGGTAAAATGTGGCTGATTAGTGTGGCTGAAATATTTGGGACTTCTTTCCTCCATTGAGCCTCTATCTATAAGACAGAGGCTCTATGCCAGATGCAGCAGGCTGAAAATACTAGGACCTGATTGCCCTCATTTCAGCTTGCTTATAGGAAAAAAGTTTTATGCTGGGAGAGGCAAGCTGAAAAGGCCACAGGCCACCACCACACCTGATTCCCACAGCAGTGTCTCTGATATTATACATAAGTGCAAAGGCATTCCACAAGAAAAAAAAGTGAACTAAATCACTTCCTAAAAGAACTTGATTTTATGTGAAACAGAGGACTGGGAAGTTTGAACCTAACTTTGAGGTATCCTAACAGTTATTTTAAGAGTGCCCTCAAAATAACAGCTCCTCTTAAATAAGAGAAGCAAGCTAAACAATAGCCCAACTTGTTGACCACAGAGCCCTCCTACAGTTATGACAAACTCGAAGACTGGCATCAAGATCTATCTTGTCCAAATTCAACTGAGAAAAAAGGTTGTTGAGCAAGTTAAACCCCAGGCCACTGTTGATCATCAGCTTGTAATTAGTGGAGCCTAAAGGCTGCCAACTAATTGTCAACTAAAAAAGATCACTTAGCAGAGTATTAGAAAGAGAGGTAGACAAAGAAAGCCCTACTAAATCCATTGTGCATTTCAGTGTGATTATACGCAGGATCCTCATACTGTGGGAAAAATGAACATCACTAAAAGCAAACATGCCTGAATTGATCCTAATAAGGTGACTCTTAGTAAATATAACAAACTTTATAAATGTGCACTTGCTCTACTTTCTATTCATTGATATAAAATTATCAAAATAATAATTGTTACAACGTATAGTCAGCTTTGTAACATATTGATATAAAAATTACAGCACAAAAAATGAAGAAATGGAATAGAGCAAAATAGGAGTGACATTTACATATCTGGCTGAAATCAAGTTAGTATAAATCTAAGGTAGATTGCAAGAATTCAAGATGTATATGGTAAGTAAGCCCTAAAATGACCACTAAGAAAATAATTCAAAACTATAGTGCATTGTTTACTAAAGAAATCAAAACCTTATAGTAGGAAATATCCACTTAATGTGAAAGAAAACAGTAAACAAATAGTTGAGAAATTAAATAAACATCTTCAGACAGCAAACTGACAGATATAAGTTCAACTTCCTCAGTAATAACAATAAATGTAAATGAATTAAACAATTAAATAAAACATGGCGATTGTCAAACTAGATTTTTAAAAAGTTTAAACTATAGCATATCTATAGAAGACATGTCTTAGATTCAAATCTAAAAATAGAAAGAAAAAAAGATGTAAAAATGTATGTCCTGCAGCCAGAAAACATAGAAAGCTGTACTGCCTAAATGAATATGACACAATAGATGTGAGAAGAAAAGTTATTAGAGATAAAGAAAAAATTTATACTGATAAATGTATCAATACATCAGGAAGTTAAAACAATTATAACATATATACACTTAACAGCAGAGCCCCAAAATATATGAAGCAAAATTTAACAGTAATGTGGGGAAAAATACATGATTTAACAATTCAATTTCAATATTTCAAATTCAATAATGTGTAAAATAATTACGCAGACTAGCAAAAAAATAGACAACTATAAACCAACTAGACTTAACACACACATATATAGAACACTTATCCAACGACTGAACACACATTCTTCTCAAGTGCACACAGACATTCTCCAGGATAGATAAGATACTAAGATCATAAAACCAGCCTCATTAAATTTAAAAATTATTTTCTAACATGAAGACAGGAGCATATTCCTCTTCTATAACTCAGGTTAAAAGTAGTTTTACTGCCCTAAAAAACAATATTCCCATAACTTTATATTTTTGTATTTTTCATTTGTTACTTTGAACAATTCAGTTTGCAGAAAGTTTGTTTTAGAAAATGTAGCTGTAGAAACAAACAGTGTAGCTTGTTTAAAAGATAGGTGATAGGCCGGGCATGGTGGCTCACACCTGTAATCCCAGCTCTTTTGGAGGCTGAAGGGGGTGGATTACGAGGTCAAGAGTTTGAGACCAGCCTGGCTAATATGGTGAAACCCATCTCTACTAAAAATACAAAAATTAGCTGGGAGTGGTGGCGCATGCTGTAGTTCCAGCTACTTGGGAGGCTGAGGCAGGAGAATCACTTGAACCAGGGAGGTAGAAGTTGCAGTGAGTCGAGATTGCAACACTATACTCCAGCCTGGGCAACAGAGAAAGACTCCATCTAAATATATATATATATATATATATATATATATATATATATTATATGATAGACACAAATAATTTTGATAGCCTGTAAGGCACCCATATCAACAAAAAAAGTAAAAATTTTATTTACTTAAAAATGCACTCAATGGGGCATTCTTTGATTTCTTAGCCCAAACTATGAATAAAATCTTATGTATATTTATTTATGTAGAGACTAGTTTCATTGTTTATTTGCAAACAATAATGGAGAGATGTGTTCATCTTATTAGTATTCTTTATTTTCAAAAGTCAATATTCAACTATCAATAAAAAAATTCGAAATACTCTTTGAAGTGATTTGCTTATGTTCTCTCTATTACAATAAAGAAACGTCAGAATTGCTCTTCTCGATGGTAATTTGCATGCTTTGTAGATTCTATGTAGCTAAGGTGATGGATAAATAGTGGTGAACGTTATACATGTAGTAAGCCCAAGGGAGAGAATCTAATGACATTGCTGAATTGTTTAATGGCCTTTTATCTTTTGGAACTACATACATTTGCCAATTACAATAGATTCTTTTTAGCTAAAGATACTTTAGTATTACTAAATAATCGTGGAACGTTTATAAACTAATAGTAATCAACATATATTTTGAATATTGGCAAGAAGGGAGCTCTCCAAACCAACTTATGTCTTTGACAAAGACCACTAAAATATTTTTGGTCATTTCAAGTTTAAAACTCCAATATCTATGTCCATATCAGACCTGTTTACTGTATTTAAGCATTTAAATTGTACTGAATAATATTCCATTGGGTATATATGCCACATTTTCTTTATCCACTTGTCCATCCATGAAAACTTAGATTGATTCTACCTCTTGGCTATTGTGAATAGTGCTGCAGTGAACATGGGAGTGCATCTATCTCTTCAATATACTGATTTAATTAGTTGAATGTATAAAATATTTGACATACATACACAATTGAATACTATTTTGCCTTAAGAATAAAGGGAATTCTATCATTTGCAACAAGACGGATGAACCCAGAAGACATAATGCCAAGTGAGATAAGCCTGTCACAGAAAGACAAGTACTGCCTGAGAGCTTCCTTTTTTTCGTTTGAGATGGAGTCTAGCTCTGTCGCCCAGACTGGAGTACAGTGGTGCAATCTCGGCTCACTGCAATTTCCACCTCCTAGGTTCAAGTGATTCTCCTGCCTCAGCCTCCCAAGTAGCTGGGATTACAGGCGCCAACCATCACGCCCAGCTAATTTTTGTATTTTTAGTAGAGACGGGGTTTCACCATGTTGGCCAGGCTGGCCTCGAACTCCTGACCTCAGGTGATCCACCCGCCTCAGCCTTCCAAAATGCTGGGGTTACAGGGATGAGCCACCGCGCCCAGCCTGCCAGAGCTCCTAAAGGTGGACTCTGTAAATGTCCAACTCATATCCTAGAAACAGAGAGTAAAATAATATCTATCCTGGAGAATGTCTATGTGCACTTGAGAAGAATGTGTGTTCAGTTGTTGGGTAAGTGTTCTATATATATGTGTGTTAAGTCTAGTTGGGTTACAGTTATCCTTTTTTTTTTTTTCGCTAGTCCAGTTACCGGGGGATAAAAGATAAAAGTGGGGTATTAGGGAAATGTTACTCTACAAAATATAACTAAATAAATAAATAGGGGATAATGTTAGGTGCCTGTAATCCCAGCCACTTGGGAGGCTGAGGGAGGAGGATCACTTGAGCCTAGGAGTTTGAAGTCACAGCCAGCCCTAATCATGCCACTGCACTCCAGACTGGGTGACAAGGTGAGACTCTCTCTTTAAAAATAAATAAATCAATAATAAGTTAAAAAATTAAAAACATAAAAATGTACTGCTTTGGATGACAAAATATAGAATTATTTTAGCAACTCATGGGACCTTTATATTTTTGAAAAGAAAATTCATGTAGCATAATTACTCAGTAATATAAACAACAAAAGCAGTGATTTAGACTTCCTCTTACCTGTAAGTTTTTAGTGATTGAGCAATATATAAAGAAAGAACAAGCTACACAGAAGTCCCACCTTATCCATGGTTTCGCTTACCATGCTTTCAGTTACCTGCAGTAAACCATTGCCTGAAAACAGTAAGCAGAATATAAGAAGATATTTTGAGAGAGAGAGAGAGTGAGAGACACCACATTCACATAACTTTTCACAGTATTTTTATAACTGTTCTAATTTATTATTAGTGTGTTTATATTTTACTGTGCCTAATTTGTAAATCAAACCTTATCATAGGTATATATGTATTAGGAAAAACAGAGTATATATAGGGTTCTCTATTATCTGCAGTTTTCGTCACCTACTCTTGGTCTTGAAATTTATCCTCTATGGATAAGGGGGGATTACTGTTATTGTACTGTTTCTTTTTGTGTGTGTGTTTTTCACATCTAGGATTCCAGTACGGAGACTGCAAAGATGATAAATTTAGAAAACTGTCACAAGTGGCATATGGATAAACAGACACAGTATTTATTTAAGTAGCATGTGTATAAAGAAAATGTTTGCCAAGTCATTGACCTTGAGGAGGAAGTAAAAATAATAATATTTGAATAGCATAGAGAATGCAACATAGAGTGAAAGTTTATTCTCTATTCCATATCATTCTAGATGACATTTAGGTCTATACCAAACATCCAATATTCAAATTTATTTAACAGTTAAAATAATCATTGCATATCTCTTTAAAAGTACCTTTTTTAGCAGCATGCAAATCACCATTACATTATTTTATACAGTCTGCCAAACAAAATCTGACATTTGTGTCTCTTTTCTGAATTTTCTCAGTCTTTGGAATCAAAATAGGGAAGTTTAAAATTGCTTTCTAAGCTACCTTCTTTTCTGAAGGCCTTTCTAACAAAGAAAACAATAGTTTATGAAGGCAGTGGATTAAGATGAGTGCCTGTTGTCCTTATTTGCTAAAGTTTTCTTTCTCTTCTGATGGCCTGGAGGCTAAAGACGTCAATAAGGAGAAAAATTAAATAGATTTTCTCATTTAATTTTGATTATAACTGTGAAAAATATATTACTTTATTCATTTCTGATTTCTGTTGAACAGTAAATTATTCTAACAATATTTACAATTCTGTTTTTTATTTAAGAATCATTAGAAATGAGTGGCTATTAAAGAACTTTTTACAGGTGACAAAAAGTGGGACTTAAAACAATTTATTTTGTTTATTGTTCTCTGTAATTATCTTAACATCTCACTTAAACATCTCTACACTATAATAATTATATATATATACAGCTATTTGTATACATATATACGTATATATATACACATATATACGTATATATATACACATATATATACGTATATATACACATATATACGTATATATACACATATATACGTATATATACATATATACACATATATATACATATATACACATATATACATATATACACATATATACACATATATATACATATATATACATATATATATAAAATATCAAATGTCTAAAAATACAAGGGGTGCTGACCTCAGTGTATATTGTCCGATTGTGACTCCTATAATAAAAATATACCAAGTGATATGCAATCCATTTTATACCACTGTTGAACTTAATATCAACTAATAACCTTCTGTGGTAAAGATGGTTATCTGTCCATTTAAATCAAATGTTTTATCTTTACTATTATTTGTATCTAGGTAGTAGTTACCTCATCAGCGACTTTCATGACAAGACTAGTTCTCCCCAAAGGCATGTGAGTAGAAGTAACCTGTGTCGCTTCAAGGCCGAGGCTTTTAAGGAGCCAGTGTGCTTTCTTCGTGTTCTTTTCCCTTTCTGATCACCTGAATGGCAATCTCTAGAAACATTTAAAATCAAGTTTTAGGATGGCAGAACTACTAACCTGAAACTTCCCTGGACATTTAGATGAACAAGAAATAAACTTGACTATTTTATTGAGTCATTTTATATTTTAAACTGTTACCATATTCTAGCTCACTCTAATTAATATAGACCTCCCAAACTTTTTGTTTCCGGTAACCAAGATTGAGCTATTGAGCACCATTCTTTCATCACCAACCATCTCTTAATAACAAATACTGGTTTTAGATTCATACATTTTATAATTGCCAACCTCAATATGTACTCAGTATAATGTGGTAGAAATTGTTTATTTCTGAGGGTCAGGAGACTTCAGTTGGAACCCCACTTTGCTACTTTCTAGTAGTGTTACTTGGTGTAGTTCATAACCTGTAGGCCTCAATTTCCTCATCTGAAAACTGATAATACATACTTCACAGTTGCGTGTGTGTGTTGTGTAAAATAACTAAATAATATTTATGATGCCTACAAGCATGGACTTGGCATTCACATGATTTGAATAACAGGAAGGTGGCAATAGAAATAAGCAGGTATTATCCCAGGATTTAGACAGAGAACATGAAATACAGAGAATTTAATTCAGTAGCGTTGGTGAGATTAAGGAGAGACCGTCACTTTTACTTTACTTATGGGTTTTGCTAGCCTTTTTCCAATGAACATGAATAATAATTGGGATAAAATGTTTAACAAAAGCACTCTTTGGGGAACCAACACATTGAACTACTCAGCAGGTAATAAGACTTGGGCAGCTTAGAAGGCTATTTAAAAGAGAAAAATAACAAAAGCATTTGGTAATGAAGAGCTGGCATAGGGTAGCAGTTGAATAAAGGCTCTGAAACAAGATTGCTTACATATATAATTCTGTTTCACCATTTACTATCTGTGTAACTTTGGGTAAGTTATTTAATACTCTAGGTCTTGGTTTCATAATCTGTAAAAAAGTAGACGATAATAACCCTTACTCGTTGGGCTGTTGTGAAGGTTAAGGGAGATGACCCACATAAAGCTCTAGGAATCATGTTTGGCACATAGTAAACTTTCAAATGTTAGTTATTTTAATAAATGAGAAATATGTGATACATATGAGGAAATATGGATGTTGAATGCTGAAAGAATCAGGAAAGAATCTTTTGATTGAGCCAGTACCTCACTATCTAATCTCTCAATCAGGTGGCTGAAAAATACCCAATAATCTTTAATAATACCATTTTCATCACAACCTAAGCCTTCATGTCCAAGTTCATTCATCCAGGCGTAGTTACCTAACTACAGGGAAGCTTTTAGCTTTTACTTTGCAAGTGCAGATAGATAAAATTAAACAGAATTATGCTGAACTGTGGTTGAAATATCATTCTTTGCCTACTTCCCAATGGACAGAATGATCAAATGTTCAGAAGATGAGAAAAGCACTAGCATAATTACTTTTTATTTAACAAGACTTCTGCTTCCTTTAAATATCCTTCTCCCTTTATGATAAAACTAAGTTATAGCTTATTCGTTTTCTGATTAAGCAAGCATTTCCATGGCAACTAAAGATGATTTTTCTACCAGGGCAGACGATTTAAAAAGTAAAAAATATAATGGGTTATTTATAATTGTTGGAACAATATCTACATTCCCTATTTGATTCCAGCCAGTCACTGGGACACTGTGAAATATAACTCATACATTGACATATGTAAATACTTGTTCTAAATTACCGCCCTCTCCTTATGAGCAGGTAGCCATAGGTAACCTGTGAATATGAGAGTGGTTAAGTTGTTTTTCAAATATATGAGACTTATATTTTTAAAATATTTTAAATGAAAGTATCTGTGCAGTATAAAATATCAGGCACAACTCTTGGATTTAATTTTAACCTAAAATTTATCTTGCAGATAAAATATAAAACTATAGAGTCACAATGCCAAGTAATTTTTAATATGAGAAAAATGTCTGTTGCCACACTCAAGAAACTACTGTTTTCTTAAAAAGTCATTTTTCCACACAGTAACTGTAGCACACATGTTAAACTTAGTATTACCTGTCCTGATATTAGTTTAACCAGCAATTTTTTCATATGGACAGTTGATTATTTCCATTTGCTTATTCCATTTATAAGATTATTCTCAGAAAGAAGGCCTATATAGACAATGTTATTTCCCCAAAACATTGTTTATAAACTCACTAATGAATAAATAATCATGTACGTCCTGTTCTCAAATTTGTATTTGAAAATACATTCATTTCATTAAAATTATTTGTAATTATTAGAATAATGTGTGTCTTTTACTTTAAGACAAAATAAATGACACATGGAAAAAAAAACTTTGCTTCAAAAACCATTAGGACAATTATTTAAAGTAACTTTTAACCATGTTCAGATTTTCTTCCCACCACTTTGATAAGGATGAAAATAATGAATTCTTCAAAATTACTAGTGATTAGCTAGCGCTTTCCTTCCAATGTAATTTTCACTCATTTAATTTACCCTCCAGAGAGTGTGTGCTTCACTTTATGGAATAAAATTACTATCTTCATTTTAGAAAGGAGAAAATTCAGGTGCATTTAGGCATTGAAATGTTTGTCAAATGATTGCAACCTGCTAAGGATTGACTTGTTTTCAACCAAAATTAATATACTGAAGCCCTAAGGCCCAAAGTAATTGTATTTGGAGATGGGGCTTTTTGGAGATAATTCGGTTCAGATGAGGTCATGAGGGTGGAGCTTTTGTGGTAGGATTAATAACTAATATAGTTTTGCTATGTCCCCAACCAAAATCATAACAATCCTCAGGTGTCAAGGGTGGGGCCAGGTGGAGATAATTGAATCACGGGGGCGGTTTCCCCCATACTGTTCCCATGGTAGTGAATAAGTCTGACAAGATCTGATGGCTTTATAAATGGGAGTTCGCGTACACAAGTTCTCTTGCCTGCCACCATGTACGATGTGATTTGTTCCTCATTCACCTTCCACCATGATTATGAGGCCTCCCCAGCCATGTGGAACTGTGAGTCAATTAAACCTCTTTCCTTTATAAATTACCCAGTTTGGGGTATGTCTTTATTAGCAGCATGAGAACAGACTAATACAATAACCTTATATGAAGAAACACTAGAGCATACTCTCACATTCTCACATTCTCTCTCTCTCTCTCTCTCTCTCTGCCTCTCTCTCTTTCTCTCTCATGCTCACTTGCCTGCTCTTCATCATGTGAGAACGTAGTAAGAAGGTGTCCATCTGTAAGCCAAGAAGAGGGCCCTCACTAGGGAATAGAATCAGCAGAAAACTTGATTGTGGATATCCCAGACTCTATAACTGTGAGAAATAAATTCCTCTTGTTTAAACCATCCAGTTTATGGTATTTTTTTAATTTCTAATTTTAGTGGGTAAATAGTAGGTATATATATTCATGGGGTACATGATATATCTTGATACAGGCATATGATGCATAATAATTACATCAGGGTAAATAGGGTATCTATCATCTCAAGCAATTATTCTTTCTTTGTGTTGCAAACAATCCAATTATACTCTGTTATTTTTTAATGTGCAATAAAATATTGTTGACTATAATCACCCTATTATGTGGTCAAATACTAGAATTATTTTTATCTAACTATATTTTTGTACCATTTAACCTTCCCCACTTTCCATTTCATTATGGCAGTCCCAGCTTACTAATACACAATCCTTTCCAATTTAATGGTAAACAGATGAGACTTCTGCAAGGAGACACAAAGAATATTATCAAACAAATTTAGCTGGCAAAGTGTTTTGGGCTTCAATTCTTTGTTTACAGTCGGAATATTTGAGATACATTAAATATTATCCTTGCTTCTACATTTTTTAATCCCGGTTTTACTTAAAGATAGATCATATGGGCTTTTTTTCTAGATGCTAATTTTACTTAATGATTATTGGTATGACATTTTAAAAGTCCATATATGACTTGCGGCAAATTATCTGAAAAGATTACCAAACTTTCATATTCATATATCTCAATAGAATCTTACTGAATCACAATTTCTGTGGTAGATTTTTGGGATCTACACTCTACAATTGTAAGCATTTCCATTTTGTTCAAGGCACCCTAAAATTGATAGTCAGCAATTTGGAGAGCTAAATCATATAAACAGAAAATTAGAACAATTAGAAAACAAAATATCTTAGCAATCAGTCTTCACTGGAGGTCTGTTTTAACTCAGAGAAAAACTAAAGGATATGCTAATTCATAAATCACTGTGGTTGATTAAAGACCCTGATGACTACGGCCTAATGCCAGTATTCCTATATATTTAATCTCTTTTAAATTTTAATAGTTTCGTGGATAAATTCATAAGCACCCAAACAAGACAATCTTTACCTACATCTAAGCCTTTGTTCATAATGTTCCACTTTTCATCCATTTACTAATTATTAACAACTTATTTAGTTTGTGACTGTTTTAGGCAGTAGGGATAAAACAGTTTTAAGCAATATGGATAAAACCATTAATTACAGAGCCAAGGGCCCGAACTTATGCAACTTATACTTTATTGGGAGGGAAACAGAAACTCAAGATATAATCAAATAATCAATTAAATATATGATAAAAACTATGATGAAAATAAAAGAGAGTACATTATAGAAAGTGATTAAATGCATGGATGGTGGGGGGTACATTAGCTGTGATCAATGGGAAAGTTCTCCCT
The DNA here is from genome assembly GCF_000001405.40 of Homo sapiens. NCBI lineage: Eukaryota > Metazoa > Chordata > Mammalia > Primates > Hominidae > Homo > Homo sapiens. The sequence goes on from NC_000023.11 coordinate 127,754,746, forward strand.
GTTGCAGTGAGAGTGTTTTACTTGGAGATATAAAGAATAAAAGGTCTAGGGAAAAAAAGCCTTCTAGGAAGAGGAAATAGTTAGTGAAAGGTCCTGAGATAGAACAAGCTTGGGGTGTTTCAGATCAGAAAGAAATCCTGTCAATCCCATTACTGGGTATGTACTCAAAGGAAAATAAATCATTCTACCAAAAAGACACATGCATTCATATGCTCATTGCAGTAAGTATAGTTCAACATACATTAATCAATAAATATGATAAACCACGTTAACAGAATGAAGAAAATAAATCATATGACCATCTCAACAAACACAAAAAAGCATTTGACAAAACACAGCATCCTTTTATAACACAAACTCTCAACAAATTAGGTATAGAAGGAATGTACCTCAATACAATAAGGGACACATATGACAATTCTACATACATCTTCAAACTCAACAGTGAAAAGTTATAAGCTTTTTCTCTGTGATCTGAAACTAGATATAAATGCCAGGACTTATAAGGAACATGATTAGAAAGTGAGAGACACAATAATGACTCCACTGAACTAGAAGTTAACACTGCCATCCAGCCACTTCAGACTCCTCATGCCTCTGAATCAACAGGCAAATAAGGGTATTATTGTACCAGCTGGAGTGACTAATCCTGACAATAAAGGGGAACTGGACTGGTACAAGTGATACGGAAGAGTATGTCTGGAATATAGGAGATCCTTTAGGGTGTCTCTCATTATTAACATGCCTGGTGATTAATGTCAATGGAAAACAAGAACAACACAATCTAAGCATAGTTTCTAATGGCCAAAATTCATTAGTAATGAAAGCCTGATCATTTGAACAGATAAAGATCCACAACCAGAGGAAGTGTCTACTGACCGCAAAGGAAATAAGGATTGGATAGTGGATGAAAGTAGTTATAAATGGCAGCTACAGCCACATGACCAGTTATTGAAATAAGGACTATAATTTTCAGGAGTTAGGAATACTGTATTTCCTTTTTATTTTGTTATGAATGTTTGTTTATACACACACACACTGAATATATTTTTAAAAATATTTTTTCTTCTCTTATTTCCTTATTATGTGACATAAAATATATTGATATTTTATTATATAAGTATTGTTAAATTTGCATCATAGTGTTAAATTACAGGATTCAAATTATTGGATCAAAAAAGAGAGTGAACATCACTCAAGTATTTCACATCATCTTCTGGGGAAGAGGTTAGTGCCTTTTTAGTTGTACACAGCTTAGTTACATCATGTTAGATGAAATCATGGCTTAATTATTGTTTTTATTTGGAGATTAAGTATGGTTTAAGGACATGCATTACGGGGGCCAAGGTGACAAGGATTGGCCTTGTGATGGTCAATTTTATATGTCAACTTGACAAGGTAATGTAATGGGGTACCCAGATATGTTGTTAAACATTATTCTGGATGTGTCTGTTAAGATGTTTCTGGAGCTGGGCACAGTGGCTCATGCCTGTAATCCCAGCACTTTGGGAGGCCGAGGCAGGTGGATTACCTGAGGTCAGGAGTTCAGGACCAGCCTGGCCAACATGGTGAAACCCCGTCTCTACTAAAAAAAATACAAAAATTAACCGGGTGTGGTGGTGGGCTCCTGTAATCCTGGCTACTTGGGAGGCTGAGACAGGTGAACTGCTTGAACCCAGGAGGCGGAGGTTGCAGTGAGCTGAGATTGCGCCATGGCACTCCAGCCTGGGTGACAAGAGCGAAACTCCATCTCAAAAAAAAAAAAAATGTTTCTGGGGATAAGCATTTGAATCAGTAGACTGAGTAAAGCTGATTGCCCTTCCCAACGTGCCAATGTGGGTGGGCCTCATCCAATGTATTGAAGACCTTAATAGAACACAAAGGTTCAGCAAGGGAGAATTACCTCTCTGTCATTGAGCTGGGATATGGGTCTACTCCTGCTTTCAGACTCAAACTGGAACTAAACCATTGGCTCTCATGGGTCACCAGCTTGCTACCTGCAGCTCTTTCTCAACCTCCATAATCATGTGAGCCAATTATTTTTGACATATATATATATATAAAATACACACATATTACATATACAGTCATGCGTCACTTAATGATGGGTGTACCCACTGAGAAATGCATCACTAGGTGATTTTGTCATTGTGTGAACATCATATACTTGCACAAACCTATATGGTATAGCCTACCACACACCCAGGCTATAAGGTATAGCCTACTGCTCCTAGGCTACACGCCTGTACAGGATGACACTGTAGTGAATACTCTAGGCAATTGTAACACAGGGGAAGTATTTGTGTGTTTAAACTTATCTAAATCTCTAAATGGTGCAGTAAAATATATGGTATGAAAGATAAAAATCAGAATACAGAAAAGTATTATGAATGGATCTTGCAGGATTGAATACTGCTCTGGGTGAATGAGTGAGTGAGTAGGTGGTGAGTGAATGTCAAGGCCTAGGGCACTTTCGTAGACTTCATAAACATGGTACACTTAGGCTATGCTAAATTTATTTAAAATATTTTCCTTCCACAATAATAAATTAAACTTAGCTTATTGTAACTTGTTTACACATTTTTATTTTTTTCCTAACTTTTTGACTCTTTCATATTTACACTTAGCTTAAAGCGCAAATACATTGTTCAGCTGTACAAAAGTATTTTCTTTCCTTATGTCCTTATTCTATGAGCTTTTTACTATTTAATGTTGTTGTTTTCGTTTTTCTTACTTTTTAAACTTTTTTCTTAAAAGTAAAGACACAAACAAACATATTAACCTACGCCTACACAGGCCAGGATTGTCAATATCACTGCCTTTCATGTCCACTTCCACATATTGCCCACTGGAAGGCCTTTAGGGGCAATAACATGCATGAAGCTGTCATTCCCTATGATAACAATGCCTTCTTCTGGAATACCTCCTGAAAGATCTGCCTGAAGCTAATTTATGGTGAATTTTTTAAATGTATATAAGTAGAAAAAGTACACTCTAAAATAATGATAAAAATATAGTATAGTTAATACATAAATCAGTAACATGGTCATTTATCATTGTTATCAAGTATGATGTTGTGTACATAATTGTATGTGCACTATCTTTGTACAACGGACATCACAGTAGGTTTGTTTACATTAGCATCACCACAAACACATGTGCAATACATTCTGCTATGACATGATGATAGCTATGACATCACTAGATGAGAGGAAGTTTTTAGATCCATATATAATGGATCTTATGGGACCACTGTGGCATATGCAGTCTGTCATTAACTAAAACGTCATTATATGGCATGTAACTTTTAATTTGCTAAAATCTGCAAGTAGGGAATGAGCAAACAACAAAGACTGATTGTATAATACACATACTGATCTTTTTCACTCCAATGGTCTTTTTCATATCTGTATGTGTATAGATGATACTTAAGTTGTGCATAGTTTTTCATGATTTTGAACACTGTTACAAGAAACAAATTTCCTCCATTTTTGATTGTTTTCATTTCCATAAAATAAAATCCTGAAATAAAAATGAAATTTCTTGGTCAAAATTTGAAATATTGGTCAAACAGTGCAACTATTTAGTATTTTAGCAAACTTGCTCTCCAACAAGTTCCCACCAATTTATACTTTGGTTAGAAGCATATGAGAATGCCTGTTTCTCCATACCTTCACCATTACTGGTTATTGTCATGATCTTAAATTTTTGTCACTATATTGCTTGAATAAATGAGAGTTGTTTTAATTTTCATTCACTTGTTTATTAGATATATCTTATTTCCCATTTAAATTTACATTTTTGTAATTTTCTTGTTTATATCTCTTTAACATGAGTGTCATAAGCTACTCCAAAACTTTAAAAGTCCGTGATTTACTTTTCCAACTAGAAAATGACAGATCTAAATTAATTCCAAAGGTAGAGTTGGTAGAAAGTTTTATTACCTCTCTCCACTTCACTGTACACCTGTAGATTAATAGAAAGAAACAAACCACTCCCCACTTCATCGTACACATGTAGATTAATAGAAAGAAACAAACCAAGCTCTTATATACTATGTGCTTCCTGAAATGTCCACAATGTTAAAAATAAATACTTAAATAAAATAAAAACTAATTAAAATAAAAATGTTTATTGTTTGCACTATTGTGAATAGTGCCACAGTAAACATACGTGTGCATGTGTCTTTACAGTAGAATGATTTATAAACCTTGAGGTATACACCCAGTAATGATTGCTGTGTCAAATGTCATTTCTAGTTCTAGATCCTTGAGGAATCGCCACTTTGTTAGCATTTGGCTTATGGTGGGTACTCAATAAATATATATTGAATGAATAGATAACTCCAGTTTTCATTTGGTTTTGTTTAACTGGATTAATAATTGTATCATTTACTGAGAAAGGGTATATTGGAAGAAGGCAAGATTTTTTTATTATACTTTAAGTTCTGGGGTTCATGTGCAGAACATGCAGTTTTGTTACATAGGTGTACACGTGCCATGGTGATTTGCTGCACCCATCAACCCGTCATCTACATTAGGTATTTCTCCTAATGCTATCCCTCCCCGAGCCCCCCACCCCCCGACAAGCCCCTGTGTGTGATGTTCCCCTCCCTGTGTCCATGTGTTCTCATTGTCCAGCTCCCACTTATGAGTGAGAACATGCAGTGTTTGGTTTTCTGTTCCAGTGTTAGTTTGCTGAGAATGATGGTTTCCAGCTTCATCCATGTCCCTGCAAAGGACATGAACTCATTCTTTTTTATGGCTGCCTAGCATTCCATGGTGTATATGTGGCACATTTTCTTTATCCAGTCTATCATTGATGGACATTTGGGTTGGTTCCAAGTCTTTGCTATTGTGAATAGTGCCACAATAAACATACGTGTGCATGTGTCTTTATAGCAGAATGATTTATAATCCTTGGGGTATATACCCAGTAGTGGGATTGCTGGGTGAAATGGTATTTCTAATTCTAGATCCTTGAGGAATCGCCACACTGTCTTCCACAATGGTTGAACTAATTTACACTCCCACCAGCAGTGTAAAAGCGTTCCTATTTCTTCACATCCTTTCCAGTATCTGTTGTTTCCTGACTTTTTAATGATCGTCATTCTAACTGGTATGAGATGGTATCTCATTGTGGTTATTATTTGCATTTCTCTAATGACCAGTGACGATGAGCATTTTTTCATATGTTTGTTGGCTGCATAAATATCTTTTTTGAAGAAGTGTCTGTTCATATCCTTGAAGAAGGCAAAAATTTAAGGATAAAACTTTTGTTCTGTTTTTAATGTGTTGAGACAGTTTAATAAATATAAAAATAGGCAATAGGATATATAGGTCTCGAACTCAGAAAAGACATGTCACCTGGAGATATAATTTTCAAAATCATCTGTGTATAAGTAGTAATGAAACTATTCATATGAATGAAATTATATTTTCTATAAGTAGAAAACAGAACAAAAAGACCCTATTTTGTGTTTTGAATAACTCCCATGTTTAATGCTGAACTTTCTATAGCGACTTAGAAGAAGAGATAGAATCACAATAGAAATCCCAAGAACATTTGAATAAAACAAGAATGAGTGTTGTGAATAATTATTTACAGTCCTGATTTTATGTTTTTGTGAGTTTATTTTTCTTGTGCTTTTTAAATTAATAAATATTTATCAAATTTATATATATATCATTTTATTTATTTTATACAATTAAATACACTAATCAGAAAAAAATACTATACCCTCATTATATTAGTTTCCTATTATCCCTGTAAGAAATTGCCACAAATTTAGTGGCTTAAAACAAAACGAATCCCTTATTTTACAGGTCTAGAGGTCAGAAGTCTAAAATGAGTCTTCAAAGGTTAAAATCAAGGTGTTTACAGGGCTGGTTCTTTTGGAAGTCCTACATGGAAAATCAATTTCCTTGCCTTTTCCAACTTCTAAAGGCCAACCATATTCTTTAGCTTTTGGCCTCTTCCTTACTTTTCAAATACAATAACACAGCATCTTATCTCTTCTCTTATCTACTTCCTCTCTTCTATAAAGATCTTTGTGATTATATTAGGCTTACGTGGATGATTCAAGATAATTTCCCTAACTGAATATCTTTAACTTAGTCACATCTGCAAAGACCATGTTACCATGCAAGGCAACATATTCACAGGTTCTAGAGATTAGAATGCAGAACACTGTGGGGTCATTATTCAGCCTACCAAAATAACTTCTGTTTCAGAAAATATATTCAACCCAATGTTCATGTAAAATGTACATCAGATACAACAATAGCATGGGTGATGTAGTCAAATTATGGAGGGCTCGAACATTACTTCTTTGACTGTGAGTCATGAATTTACCAGGAAATAAGAGAGAGAAATAACTGTAAGGAAATTACACACATAGTTATTACTGCATATCATGGAGATGGAAATATCAGACATTAGAACCTTGAAGGTGGGTTAGAAGTCCTTGAAATAGAAAAACCTTGAAATAACAAGGACTTGAATTTATGTAACACTTGAAGAAAGGGATTTAAGATAATTAATAGGAAGGACCTAATTGAATCTGACAACTCTACTGAGACAGAAAGAGTAGATTATTTCAAAACCGCTAGAGAGAGAGTAGGTTTCGGGATATAAGATGATGTATTCTGGTTTTGGCATGCTGAGTTGGAAGTGCTAGCAGAATATGTACATAGCCTTGTTCACCATAACACTGCAATAGTGATTTGGATATCAGGAATTATTGCCAAAAAGATATTTAAGTCTTGCACTTAGAGGTTATAATTGAAGCCATAAGGATGCATAAAACCATTAAGGAAGTGAGAGAACAAAAGTTGTGTGTATACATATAGACACACACACAAACACACACACAAAGACCTGTTTATATGCCATTGTGAAAAATATTTACAATTTAGCTTATATAGAATTTATGCGCCTTAATAGATAATACTACCTGAAAATGTGGTATGAACCTAAATCTAAGACTTAATGCAAAACCTTTGTAAAACAAGCAAAGAAAGTTTCTGATATTAAGAAGAAATACAAGAAAATATCATCCACAAAATAACAACCATCTTTACTGTGAAGGAGAATTAATATATTTGTTCATTGCTTTTCACTTCTGCAGATATAAGCCAGTTAACTTTTAATCTAGGACACATATAAATATCCATGGAGACTACAGTTACACAAATAACTTTTCCTATTCGACAGTGATTGAGATCATAAAATTAGTGGCACTCAGCTGCTGTAGCTCTCTAGGCATATGTATTTCTGTCTTCATCAATCAGCTCTCTGCTAGGAACAAATGTATGGTTACACTTTACACAGATTGCTCCATTGTTTAAAAAAAGCTATTTAAATAACTTAATGTTCAGTTTCACCACTTCAGGGTATACTTTGAGCTAGGTACATAACTATGTTAGTATATTATTTTATGTAACTTTTCTCTGGGGAGCATTTTTCCAATCATTCTTTCCTTTACACAGAATTTCGAAGAAATTTGGTTACTCTGTAGAGAATGAAGTGAGAACCAGTGTTATTCATGTCACCCATTTTCACTCCAACTATTTTAGCTGCTGCTAAAAAAGATTAAGTGATTAGGACCTTGGAATATACAAAAATTTAATTTGAAGAAAGACAACTTCTATTTGTTATTTTTTGTTGTAAAAAACATACATGCTTATAACTAAAACTATTTTAATTGAACAAAATATTTGAAATAGGTTGTGTTATTTAACACAATTTTTAATGCTGGTGGATTCTTTAATATTACAGATATTTCTCAAGCACAAATTTGTAATATAAGCACACGTATCTATACAAATACATAGTTAATTTACATTTCTGACAACTATAGTTCATGGAACTCAGGTCAACAAAACAGTTATAGAGAGAATACATTTTGCATTTTTCTAAACTTACATACTTGCACATCATTTTTCTTGGAAACTGTTCACTTCTGCAGTATCATAGCATGGAAATATTGGGTAGTAAATTAAAAAAAATGTTTGAATGCATAGCTCACTAATAATATGGCTTTGCCTTCTGTTATGATTTTCCTACTTGACACCTAAATAATTCACAACTGTCAACCTTTTTCCCAGCTATGACTTCAGGCAATGTAGGTATCACTATGCTCATTAATACAGAAAAGAGCTGTCACCCAGAGAGGTTCAGGTATTTATGAAACACATCTAGGTTTCTGATAACTGAGCCAGGAATATAGACCTCACAGCAGGAATAAGGACAGAATATCTGCTCCCACCACTTTCATTAAATACTATCATCATTGTCTTAGCCAGTGAAATAAGGCCAAAAATTAACAAAAATAAAAACTGAAAACAAGAAATAAAATTTTTTTGTGTGTGTATAACATTATTCAGTGCATAGAAAATGCCAAGGGATCTACAGAAGCTATTAGAACTAATAATTAAATTAAACAATGTCACAGAATACAAGATGGATATAAAAGTTCAATTGTATTTCTATATACTAATAATGAAGAAATAGAAACAGTATTTACAATACAAAGAAAAAATGTATAACGAGAGAAGCATAAAATCTAAATTAATTTGAAAACTAAGAAAACATTGCATGGGGATATTTTTAAAAGTCAATGCAGAGGTAAACTATATACTTGCAAGGGAGGTCATAGTATTAAGATTGCAGTTTCACTGAAATTGACTAATAGATTCAGGCAACATTTACAACTTTTTTTGGAAGAAATTAACAAGCTTATTTATAGAACTTATATGAAAATGTCATTGACCTAGAATAGATTAAACAGTCAAAAAATAGAATAAAATTTTGGAGAACTTAACACCACCCATTATAGAAAGTTAATGTATGTTTTTACTTCCAGCATGACAGTATGAGGCGCTGTGCATACCCACTTCATAGTAAGGCTGTTGAAAATTATTAAAAAAAAAAAACTACTTGAAGTCTCTAAGCCTTCTTTGAAGATTGATATCATGCTGATGGTAAAGAAGGAGATATCAGTCTTCATTCTCACAAACACACAAATAAAACAATATGCACAGCTATCCACAAGCCAAAATAACCCCGTGAGTGCTCAAGGGCCAGTTTAAGAATCTGAAGGCACAGAGTAGTGCAAAAGCAAGCAAACAAACAAACAAAAAATGAAAAGGAGAATATCCACACTGAAAGTATCACTGGTGATAGCACACCTGAGAGGCCAGAAGATGGCTAGATACAAAGAAGAAAGGGGCATAGACTATTTGTGTCAGCAACATGGTAGGAACCACCATGGTCCTCAGGAACCTGCTCTGCAAAAGACCTAGCATGTTTTGTCACTGAGTTAAAAAAGAGTCATTCCCAATGAGAAGCCCCAGAGAGAGAAGTGCAGCTTCACACACCCCCAACTTAAGAGGCAGCAACAGTGGTGCTACTCTGAGACTGGAGCCATACACTCTTCCAGTCCTATTCATGCCCTTAACTCACCACCTCCTGCCCAATGGGCCATGGCTGTTCCGCAAGTACCAAGACTCCAGACCTCAGTTTTGTGACTATACTGTGCCTTCCCGTTTCTCAGAAACCAAAGCCATAGTCGTAACAAGCTAGTTTGCATCTTGTGCCCTGAAGCCAAGGTCTCTCTCTGGGTACCTGCACTCCAGTCACCAGCTCAGCTACTATAGACAGATCACGTGTGTACCAACACCAGAGCTTCTGAAGCAACATGCACTTCCATGCTCCAGATTCTGGCTCCAAGTTTGTGCTGTATACCCTCACACCTGCCCCTTAAAAACTAGAGCCACTGACTTAACAAGCTAGCTCACAGCCTGGACCGTGGAGTCAAGGTTTCTCTGAGTGTGTCCACATTCCATTCTCGAGCTCAGCCACTATAGAGGGCTAGGCCCAGCCCCAGACTCTAGAGCCATTGTAGCCCTGTGAATGCCTGTGCTCCCATCTTCAGTCCTACAGCTGCATCAAAGGTACCTGCAGCTCACACGCTGTTACCAATGTGGCAGGGGTAAGATCCCACACTCTAGGTACTGACACTAATACCACACTGGACCAAAGAGCTATAATCCTCCATGTATGCCTGTGCTTCAGGCTTTGGCTCTATGGCTGCTCCATGGGTATGACTCATAGGATAGTGGCGTAAATCATTAGACACAAGTGTCACTGCCACTGTAAGCATGCTCATAAGCCAGAGGCGGTAGTAAGGGAGATACCCTTAGCCACAGCTTCCCATGTGGAGAAAAAGAATTCAGGAGGATCATAGCAGACATCACCACTAAAGACTTCAACAGCTCTCACAGCTTCTGAGGACATTCACAGCATTGGGAACTGAGGATTTCTGCAATCAAAATTGAACTCAGCAGGAAGAGCTCCACAGAGAATACATGGCTGCACCTTTACAAGTGAGAGACCCACTTCCCCACTGAGCCAGCACCCTCATACAGTTCCATAGAGGAAGGCTTTTTACCTACTGAAGCCACCCTATAAAGTCTAGAGGAGGTGATATTACACCAAATGCACAGACATCCTGTAAGGCAACAAGAAGCAAGAAAAACTAAGGACAAATATCACCACCAAAAGAATATAATCATTTCCCAGTAGTTGGCCACAAAGAGATCTATAAAATGCCTGTCAAATTATTCAAAATAATTGTTTTAAGGAAGTTTAGTTAACTTTAAGCAACACAGAGAAATGATTCAATAAATTCAAGAAAAAACTAAGTGGACAAAAGGAGAAATTTAACAGAGAGATAGAAATAATAAAAAACAAATTCTGGAACTGAAAACAATGCACAAAATTAAAAATTTAATAAAAAATATCAACAGGAGACTAATCAAGCAGGAGAAATAATCTGTTAAGTTAAAGACAGATTATCTAAAAATATAGATTCATGGGAACAAAGAGAATAAAACAATGAAAAGAAATGAAGAAATCTTACAGATTGATGGGACAGCATCAATAGACCTAAATTCAGACTATAGGAATTGAAAAAGATAGAGAAAAAGGGGCAGAAAGCTTAGTCAAAGAAATAATAGTTGAAAAATTTCCAAATATGGAGAAAGATATAAATATCCAGCTGCAGAAAAGTCGAAATTCTCCAATTGATGCAATATAAACATGACTACACCAAGATATATTATACTTAAACCATCGAAAACCAAAGACAAGGAGTAGATCCTGAAAGCAGCAGAAGAAAAGAAGCAAATCACATATAAGGGAGTTTCAACAAGGCTTGCCACCGACTTTTCAGCACAAACCTTACAGGCCAGCAGAGAGTAGGTTGATATATTCAAATTGCTGAAGGAAAACGAAAAGTTCCCAAACAAAATATATTACTTGGCAAAGCTTTCCTTCAGAAATGAAAAAGACATAAAGACATTCCAAGACAAACCAAAGCTAAGGAAGTTCATTATCACTGCACTGGGCTTGCAAGTGAAGCTAAGGGGAGTTTTTCAAACTGAAACACAACAGTGCCAATTAATAACATGAAAACATGATAGTATAAAACTCAGTGGTAAAAGTAAGAACAAAGTCAACTTCATAATACTCTAATATTGTAATGGCAGCATGTAAATCACTTATATAGTTAGCATAAAGATTAAAAGACAAAAATATTAAAACAATAGCTATAACAATTTAAGGCATACACAATATAAAAAGCTGTAAATTGTAAATCAAATATCTAAAATGGGTCTTTATATGGGTGGAATAAAAGTGTAGAGAGGTCTAAATTAAGAAGTTATAAGTTTGAAATAGCTTGTTATAAATGCAAATGTTTTATGTAAGCTTCATGGTAACAATGAGGCAAATAACTATAGTAGGTACACAAAAGATTAAAAAATAAAGAATTAAACAATTCCACTAAAAAAATCATGTAGTCACAAAGGAATAGAAGAAGAAAAAAAGAAACAGAGGATGTACAACGCAGACAGAAAACAATTGCTAAAATGACACCAGTACGTCCTTACTTATCAATAATTACCTTGAATATACATGGGCTAACTTATTCAATCAAAAGACAGAGTGGCTGAAGAGATTAAAAGAAAACAGCACTTGACAATATGCTGCATACAAAAGATTCATTTCATCTTTAAGGACACACACAGATTGAAAGTGAAGAGATGAAAATATATATCAGGTAAATGGAAACTACAAGAAAGCAGTGATAGCTATACTTGTATCATATAAAATAGACTCTAAATTAAAACTATAAAAGGAGACAAAGGGGGTCACTGTATAATAATAAAGGAGTCAATACATCAAGAGGATATAATAATTGCAAAAATATATACACCCAGAATCGGTACCCCTAGATATATACAGCAAATATGAATAGTTCTGCAGGAAGAAATAGACTACAATACAATGAAAATAGGTGTCTTCAATACTACAGTTTCAACAATAGACAGATCATTTAAAAGAAAATCAGTAAGAACACACTGGACTTGTTATGCTTTAGAATAAATGAATTTAACAGGCAGATACAAAACATCACATCCAATAACAGCAAAATAAACACTCTTCTCAAGTCTACATGGAACATTATCCAGGATTGATCATATGTTGGGCCAAAAGCTACTTTTAAAAGATTTAATATTGAAATCATATCAAGTGTCTTTTCTGGTCACAGTGGTATGAAACTGCAAATTAATAGCAGTAGGAATGTAAGAAAAATCTTAGATACATGGAAATTAAGTAACATGCTCCTGAACCACTAATGAATCAAAGAAGAGATTAAGAGCAAATTAAAAATTATCTTGAGAAGAAGAAAAATAGAAACAGAACATGCCAAAACTTATGGAATGCAGTAGAAGCAGTTCTAAAAATGAATGTGATATCAAAAAAAAAGAAACCCTCTTATTAGGTTCTTTATCTCAAATTAAGCAAATTTATATAGATTTATATTAATCTCGAGTAAATAACCTAATATTACACCTCAAGAAACTAGAAAAAGAACAAACTAAGCCCAAAGCTAGTAGAAGGAAGGAAATAATAAAGGTTAGAGCAGAAATAATTGAAATCAAGATGAGAAAAGCAATGGAAAATATCAACAAACCTAAGATGTGCTTTTTGAAAAGATAAAACCAACTTTTAGCTAGACAGAAAAAAGAAGACTCAAGTAAATAAAAACAGAAATAAAGGAGGAGACATTAAAACTGATTCCACAAAAATACAAAGGATCATAAGGCACTACTCTGAACAATAATATACCAACAAATTGGTAACCTAGAAGAAATGGATAAATGCCTAGACCCATACAATCTACCAAGTCTGAGTAAGAAGATTAGAAAAAATGAACAGGCCAATAACAAGTATTGAGATTAAATCAGTAATAAAAACCTTTCCTGAAAGAAAAACCTAGGACCTAATGGTGTCACTGCTGAATTCTACCAAGCATTCACAGCAGAACATTTGGTTATCAAACTTCCAAATAATTGAAGAAGAGGGAATACCTCCAAACTCATCTTGCAAAGCCAGCATTATAGTGATACCAGAGCCAGACAAAGACACTACAGAAAAATAAAATAACACGTCAACATCTCTGATGAACATAAATGAAAGAAAACCCCTCAATGAAATACTGGTAAACAAAATTCAACAGTTTTATTAAAAGCATCATTCACTGTGACCAAGTGTAATTTATCCCTGAGATGGAAGAATGATTCAACGTACGCAAATCTATAAACATAATACATCACGTTAACGAAATGAAGTACAAAACTATATGATCGTCTCAATAGATGCAGAAAAAAAGCATCTGACAAAATATAGCATTCTTTTATGATTAAAAACTCTTAACAAATTAGATTGAGAAGGGATTTACCTCAATACAATGAAGGCCGTATATGACATGTCTACAGATAACTTCACGCGTCACAGTAAAAGTGAAACACATTTCCTCTAAAATCAGGAATAAGAAATGGATGTCAACTCCTGCCACTTCTATTAAACATAGTGTCAAAAGTCCTCAGCAGAGCAATTAAACAAGATAAAGAAATAAGGCATCTGAATTGGAAAGGAATAAGTTAAATTGTCTCTCTGGGCAGATGACATGATCGTCTATACGGAAAACCCTAAAGGCTCCATCAATAAAACTGTTAAGCTTAATAAACAAATTTTGTAATGTTGGAGAATACAAAGTCAACATACAAAAATCAGTAGCAATTCTATATACTAACAATGAATTATTCAAAAAAGAAATTTTAAAAAACCCATTTACAATAGCTACCAAAAAATAATGAAATACGTAAAAATATATTTAACCAAGGAAGTGGATAAATCTGTAAACTAAAAAAACATAAAACATGGATGAATGAAAACAAAACTAAATGGAAAGAGATTCTCTGTTCATGGATTGGAGTAATTAATATTGTAAAATGCCTATATTACCCAAAGTGATCTACAGATTTCATACAATCACCATCAAGATTTCAAAAAATAAAAATATCTAAATTTTGTATACAACCACCAAAGATCCCAAATAGCGAAATTATTACTGAACAAAAAGAACAAAGCTGGATGCATCATACTACCTGACTTCAAACACAATACAAAGCTATAGTAATCCAAAGAGTATAGTGTTGCCATAAAAGGAAACACACACACCAATGGAACAGAATAGGGGGCCCAGAAACAAATCCATGAATTTATGGTTAATTTGTTTTTTACAAAGATTCCAAGAACACCAAATAGTGAAAGGACAGCCTCTTCAAAAGTCTCCGGGAAAACTGGATATCCACTTGGAGAATAAAATTTAACTCTTGTCTCACATCATATACAAAAATCAACTTGAAATGGATTAATGACTTTCAACATAAGACTTAAAACTCTAAAACTACTAGAAGATAACATTCATGAAAAGTTCCTTGACAGTAGCCAGGGCAATATTTTTTTTTTAATATGACCACGAAAACATGGACCACAAAAGCAAAAATAGAGAAATAGGATTATATCAAATTAGAAAGCTTCGCAGCCAAGGAAATAATTAACACAACACACAGAATAGGTCAAAATATTTGCAAATCATACATCTGATAAGAGGTTAACATCCAAAATACATAAGGAACTCATTTGAACAGCAAGAAAGCAAATACAATGATTAAAAATGGGCCAAGAGGCCAGGCGGGGTGGCTTACGTCTGTAATCCCGGCACTTTGGGAGGCTGAAGCGTATGGATCACCGGAGGTCAGGAGTTCGAGACCAACTGGACCAACATGGAGAAACTCCGTCTCTACTAAAAATACAAAATTAGCCAGGCATGGTGGTGTATGCTTGTAATCCCAGCTACTCAGGAGGCTGGGGCAGGAGAATTGCTTGAACCTGGGAGGCGGAGGTTGCAGTGAGCCAAGATTGCACCATTGCACTCTGGCCTGGGCAACAAGAGTGAAACTCTGTCTCAAAAAAAAAAAAAATGGGCAAAGGACTTGAATAGATATTTCTCAAAAGATCTCGTACGCATGCCCAATAGGAGTATGAAAAATGCTCAAAATCACTAATCTTCAGGAAAAATGCAAGTTAAAACCACAGTGAGATATAGATGAGGTCACACCTGTGAGAATGGCTACTATCAAAAAGATAAGGATAGTGGCCAGGTGCGGTGGCTCATGCCTGTAAGTCCAGCACTTTGGGAGGCTGAGGCAGGAGGATCACCTGAGGTCAGAAGTTCGAGACCAACCTGGCCAACATGGTGAAACCCTGTCTCTACTAAAAATACAAAAATCAGCCACACGTGGTGGTGGGCGCCTATAATCTCAGCTACTCAGGAGGCTGAGGCAGGAGAATCACTTGAACCTGGGAGGTGAAGGTTGCAGTGAGCCGAGATCATACCACAGCATTCCAGCCTGAGCAACAGAGACTCCATCTCAAAAAAAAAATACAACAAAAAAAAGAAAAAAGAAAAGATAAAGAGAGCAAGTGTTGGCAAAGATATGAAGAAAAGGGAACCCTCGTATTACATTCTTGGTGGAAATGTAAATTGGTACTGTCATTATGAAAAGTAGTATGGAAGTTTTTCAAAAAAAAATTAAAACTATGATCCAGCAATTGCTCTACCAGGAATATTTCCAAAGAAAATGAAATAAGTATGTCAAAAAGATATCTGCATTCCCATGTTCATGTCAGCCTTATTCAAAATAGTCAAGTTATGAAATAAAACTAAGTGTCCATAATGAGATGATTGAATAATAAATGTATATGTTATATATATATATACAATGGAATACTATTCAGCCTTTATAAAGAAGGAAATCTATTTCTAGATAAAATAAACACCAAGTCATTTTAATAATCTATTTTTGAACATGATTTTGCTGTAAGGTCGGTTGACACACAGACTATTCAAAACATACTCAATATAACTCTCAGTTTACTCAGAGTTTTCATTTATGAGACTCCTCATTGATTAATCCCTGATAAATGAGCAACATTACTCTAGCCTACATTATTTTTGCATAAACCCAAGTCACTTGTGAATTTTTGCATAGAAACACATCATTAATTTATTAATTTCTCTTTAAGTGACTCAAATAAAGGTAGATTTAGGGAATAGCAATGACTGTCCCTATTCTATAAGCCTATAACTTCTATTGTGAATTATTAGGGCCAGACATGCATATCTTTATCGTCAGCCTCCAAGTCATTGATAAATAGATAATAGTTGTAGAGGGCATTAAACCATGTTCAAGAAGGAACTGCTGCTATTTGAAGCATGCAATAAACGTTTTACACCTACACCTATCACTTCACAGTTTTACTGTTTGAAAAGTAATCCAAAGAGCAGAATGAAAAGTACATAAGGTAAATAAAGTTGATTACTTAATGTTAAGTATTACCACACTTATCTATTTTCTCTTATCACCTATCTCTTTTTTTCTCCTTACCTCTAATGTAGAGAAATAAATGAAAATATAAATAAATATTTATGTGTTTATTTCCTGATCTTCCCCCCTTTCTAGCTACCTCCATTCTGTATCCTTACCTCAGGCCATAATTTCCTTAATGAACTTCTCTGAGTTAGCCCAATCCTGAAAAAAAAAAAAAACTGTGTTCCAGGAAAAGCTTATTTTGAATGCCTTTCCAACTTTCTACTTCTAATTGACTTCCCACACAATCCTTAATTTTTTGATGTCCTTCTACCATGTGATTTTTAACAATAAGTCTCTAGCATTCTGGATAAAATCTTCTATCTATCTTCTCTGGATAAAAGTTCATAGTTCAAGCTTTTTATCCCACTAAAAAATAATTTTCAATATGCCATTGCTTTAAGGTCTTCCACTTAAAAATTGAGTAAAAAAATTATATGTTGGCTTCTGTGCTGGGATGTTATGGGGTGATATCTATTGAAACACATTTGTAGTTTAACTAAGAAAACACCTTTTCCCAGGGGTTGTTTGGGGTAAACAGACCTCCTGTATGACCTCGGGTATCCATAAACTTGTGCGGGAAAAAGTAAAACCCTCTTTCCTCTACCATGAAAATAAAATTCAGATTTTCCTCTTATTATATAGGTCAAAAACAGTCTAACATATTAGGAGTATCTGTGATTGTCTGAGTGACAGAAAGATGGATATTGTTCAAATCCATTTTACCCATTGCAGATAAATGCTATTGGTGCTAATAACTTCTTCAAAATTACGATAGCAGACCCACTGCTGTATGTTTTTAAGTGAGTTACTTGATAAGTACATATATTACCATATCACATTTTTAGCATTTTGATAATTATATCAATACTTTTTTCTTTGAAATTTTATATACTTTATGATATGCATTTAAAATCACTATTCTCAGAAAGAATCCATTGGCTTCACCAGATGGCCAAAGTGGCTCATTGTCAAGAAAGGGTTACGATCCCTGATTTAATCTAAATACTGCACCTCTTTGGTGACAGTTAAAATATCACAGATGGTATGAGAAAAGGACAATACATTCTAGAGACTCATTTTCTCTGTCTATAGAATAGACACTAGATTTACCTGGGGTTCGTTAAGAAATACTGATGCATGAACCTCACTCTATAGATTCTCATTGAATTTATCTGAGAGGCAGCTTGGACATGAGAATTTTCAATAGCTTCCAGGCATTTTTAAAGTGCAACAAAGGTTGATAAAAACCTAAAGGAAACACTGATGGCAAATATTGCACACCAGCAAATGGTTCCTTCTTATGATAGGTGAGGCAACTGATATATATTTTAAGGGGTATAGTTTTAAGTGTTAATAACAGCAGAAGATTAAGTTGTAAACCACAAGAAGTATATTATATCATTCTCCACTTACCTTTAAATGCTCTTAAACTTCCAAAGGCTTTGTTAGTGGCAAAATAAAATTTTAAGGTAAAGCTTACCTATGTGTATATTTAGAGCTAAACTTATCAATTTTTCTAAATAAATTTTAATTAATTTTATGTGAAAATAAAATATATTTTTAAAGATAAAAAACCATATGAAACAGTTTAATTTTATTTAATGGAAATAGAATCATCTCCTGACAACTTGATTATCATCCATTAAATTTTACAAGTTTCTAAGGGGAGATAATACCATTAAAGGGTGTAGATAAATAGATGGCTGGATAGGTAAAAGGATGAGTGGACAAAACAGATTGATAGCTAGTTAGCTAGCTAGTAGCTAGCTATTTGTATCACGTTTAGCAGGTTTCTTACAATAGATCTTTTCATAAAACTGCAACCAAGTTAATAAATGGACACTTTTTATTGATATTTATTGTAATTAGACACTTCGATAAAAGCTATGACAAAAGTTATCTCTAGTTTTGATGAACACTGTGATTATGCAAATAGCAAACAGCTTGATGAAAGAATTAGATCATTTTTTGGAAGTTGACAGATTCCCTAGAATGGGAGCAGAGTTTCTCTTTTCAAGGGTGAGGGAGAAATATTGCATTGACTAATACAAGGTACATCATGTCCTGACTTCTAATGATATGCATTCAAAAGGTACAGAATATGTGCTTCAGTGCTATGGAAAAAATTATGTTTTTCCTTAAAGTTTCTTATATGCTGGCTCCATGACTTTGGTAAAATTAGAATTCAGTTGTAGTTTGTATTAATTAGAGGAATATTTCAAGAAGAAACTTAAAAAATAAATAAGAAGGGGAAGAATCTTAGAAAAGAGTAGGAGGCATGGAGAAGTGAAATAAATGATTATTGAATAAGCATGTATGTTTTAAATATGAACATTATATTCTATAATTTAATGTAAAAATCAATATAATGGGAGATTTTGATAACAGAAAGAATACTGTAATTTCCAAATTCAGGATATGACACTGTACCAAATCAATGTTCAGTTAAGGGTTAAAAATAAATTTATACGTAAGGATTTTCATGAGTGCTTTATTTTGTAAAATTTCCTATTTAACAGAAATTTTATCTGAATTCATAACAAATCATTTGCGTAATAAAGAGAAACACCAGTTAAATATTCACATAATAAAATTTTGGCTCAAACACCATAATGTTCTTATTTATATACATTTTCTTGTAGATAAGAAGAAAACTAATCTGTGACAGAAAGACCATAGGTTCACTTTTGCAAATGGAAATGCTACGTGTAATGTTTCCTTTGGCATTTCTCCTATGGCTAAGTTCATTCTGAATTTTACTTTCAAAAGTCCATGCTGCTCCTTTGAATTTGTTATTGGATTATGTGCCTGCATTGTATATGTCATCTATGCTATATGCCACTATGATACTCCTTTCTAGTGGAAGCTATTCTATTCAAAACCCATGATGGTAGATAATCATAATGTATGTGCCCCCTACACTCATGCCACTTTGGCCAGAACTAATTGGATTTGGAAGGGGCTATTGACCCAAGAGCTGTAAAATTCCTTTTGAAGTCTGGCTCAATAAGAGGAACTGAAAAAATTACAGTAAATTTTCAAAATTTGCACTAAGAGATATAGAAGGAATCTGCTAGTTCATATTAAAAATTGTAACTAAATAGTTATAAGGGAAGATGAAAACGGAGAAGTACAAGGTAGACTTCAAAGACAGAAGGAAATACAAATTATTAACTATCATAGAAGGCCAATTGGTAGCGTAAAATAAAGAGGCATGTAGGTAGAATATAGTTGAAAAAGATTACTAATGGAACATCACAGCAAAGCTCCCCAATTTTTGCTGCAAAATTTCCTAAAGCTACATTAATTTGGAACCAGACCCTATCTCCTTTCTGGAAACCATTCTGGAAGGCCAATACTAAAAAGGCTTATTATCTTAGATTTTTATAAATTGTTTTCATAACAACTCTCTATTTGTATCAGTTTTAGTGGATTTACTTTCTTTATAATGAAAAGAGACAATGAAATAGACTAAAGCACTCTTTTTCCCATTTGCAGAATTTCAAGTGGGAAAAGACTACTATCAACATACACACACATACACACACAGAATACGGCATTATAACTTTTAATGTGTTTATTGCACATATTTTTGGGAAATAAGGAAGCCACAAAATATTGGACTAGTTAGAGGATGCTTCACTTGAGGTTAGCTTGGCCTCTGGTGGTGACACTATCCAGACACCTCACCAGATCTGAGCTGCTACACCACTGTGATATTCTTTTGTACTCTGGCGTTAACTAAATGGATTGAGAAATTAAATAAATTTAATTATTTAAAATTTATACAATAAAATTTTAAATATTTTTGTGATAAACTTTATAAAACTAAAATTTCAAGTAAAATTTTGTAACCTAACAGATGTTAACTACCAAAAATCTATAGAGCTTAACTACCAAAAAACTATAGCAAAGTTTACTGTTAGTAGTATAAATCACAGAAGCATTTCTTTAAATAACAAAAAAAAATAGTAACTTAAATTCCGGCTTATGAAAACTTCTAAACCAAACTGAAAAATGAGGCCAGCTGCAGCGTCTCAAGCCTGGAATCTCAGCACTTTGGGAGGCCAATGTGGGAGGATTGCTTGAGTCTGGGAGGTTGAGGTTGCAGTGAGCCATGGTTGTGCCACCACACTCCCACCTGGGTGACAGAGGAAGACTGTCTCCAAAACTAAATAGATAAATAAAATAAAATAAAATAAAAAACTAGAGCTAAATTTTACTCCATAGAAAGTGCTGATCATCTGTTGCAGGAAGCCTGGGACCCTGAATGGAGTGACCGGCTGGAGCCATGGCAGAGGAACATAAATTGTGAAGATTTCATTGACATTTATCAGTTCCCAAAATTAATACTTTTATAATTTCTTATGCCTGTCTTTAATCTCTGAACATAAATTGTGAAGATTTCATAGATATTTATCAGTTACCAAATAATACTCTTATTATTTCTTATGCCTGTTTTTAATCTCTTAATTCTGTTATCTTTGTAAGCTGAGAATGTATGTCACCTCAGGACCACTATTGTACAAACTGATTGTAAAACATGTGTGTTTGAACAATATGAAATCAGTGCACCTTGAAAAAGAACAGAATAATAGCGATTTTCAGGGAACAAGGGAAGACAACCATAAAGTCTGAGTGCCTGTGGGGTCGGGTAGAATAGAGTCATATTTTTCTTCTTGCAGAGAGCCTATAAATGGACATGCAAGTAGGAGAGATATTACTGAATTCTTTTCCCAGCAAGGAATATTAATAATTAATACCCTGGGGAAGGAATGCATTCCTGGGGGGAGGTCTATAAACGGCTCCTCTGGGAGTGTCTGTCTTATTCAGTTGAGATAAGGACTGAAATATGCCCTGGTCTCCTGCAGTACCCTCAGGCTTACTAGGATTGGGAAATTCCAGCCTGGTAAATTTTGGTCAGACCATTTCTCTGCTCTCGAACCCTGTTTTCTGTTAAGATGTATATCAAGAGAATACATGCACAGCTAAATGTAGACCCTCATCAGTAATTCTAATTTTCCCCTTTGCCTTGTGATCTTTGCTTTGTCATTTGCCTTATGATCTTTATTGGCCTCAGAAGCATGTGATATTTGTTACCTACTCCCTGTTCGTACACCCCCTACCCTTTTGAAATCCTTATAAAAACTTCCTGGTTTTGCAGCTCAGGTGGGGCATTACAGACCTACCGATATGTGATGTCACCCCCGGTGGCCCAGCTGTAAAATTCTTGTCTTTGTACTCTTTCTCTTTATTTCTCAGACTGGCCGACACTTAGGGAAAATAGAACCTATGTTGAAATATTGGGGGTGGGTTCCCCCGATAATCATCAAACGTTATATCTGAAAGTTTTGGTAGACATTCCAAAAAAACCTTAAAATCCTGTTCCATTCTCAATATTTGTGTAGATATATATATATATAAGATCCTCAGTAAAAGAGATATAATTCCAAGTTATTTTTATATGAATTTAATGAATTTTCAAATTGTCTCCCTCCAGTTAATATATGCTTATATTTCAGTATATTAAAGTAAATAAGTGAAATTGATGTAAGCATTAAATTTGAGATAGTAAGCTCAGAAAAATTATTTCACTATGTGAATAAATATTTCTTATTTAAAGCAGAAGTTATAATATTTTAACGTATCAGAGGTTAGAATGTAAGGCTCTGTAAAAGTTGTATTTCTATGAAAACTTCAGAAGTACTTGGTCTCCTGTAGAAAACTTCCTTTTCTAATTTCTCTTCATCTTTCCTCTGTAAAAAAGTACCTCTTTTGAAGGAACAAAACAAGCAATGCACTTTTGGTATCAGGTTCATAACAAACAAAAATCAGAGGTGAGAGATATAGATCAAAAATGAATGGCTCATTTGGAATATATAAAATGAAATGAAATGAAATGGAATCAAGTTGTCCTGAGTTGCAAATTTTCTCACAAAACCTTAGTCTTAGCTCTGTAATAAACAGGTCCTATTTATGTTGGCTCATTAAACTGCCCTACACAAAATTGCTTGAAGTTCTAAATTAGTTTTCTGTGATTATAATTACAGTTTATGGAAATAATTACTTTATAATTCAATAATTCTTCAGATAATTCTCTTGATACTTAACTTTGGAAATTTTTGTTGTGTTCTATCTTTCTAATCATAAATGAAATCAAACTACTTAATTGCAATTACATTAGAACGTTAAAAATATGATGGATTCTCTTTATCTTCACTTTCTTATACCTCTCCCCATAAATTCTTCTTTTTTGAATTTTTTAAGAATTCTCACACCATTTTCCATGATCAAATCCCACAGTGGTTAATAACACTTCCTTTCAAGGAAATTCAAGATTGGTGAATATGGAAGGATTGTTTCAAAAGCTTGTTGCAATACTCCTTCCCATCAACAATATATCCTATTCCATGTGTCCACTGGCAATGTGATTTTTCTAATTCTACCATCAATAGGACGGGTTTATATCTCTTCCACTCTGAATATGGGCTGGCTTGCGACTTGTGAACATCAAAAAAAATGACAAATGTATTATTGGCAAGTCAGAATAAGACTCTCCTTCCAAAGATGCTTACATGAAATGAATGAACATGTTATGTTACATAGAAAAAGAGAATTAAAATTAAGGTTGCTAGATGACTTTTAAATGAGGAAATTATTATGAATTATCTGGACAAGTATGAAGGTAATTATAAGAATCCTTAAAAGTGGAAAAGTGGTGGAGAAGAGAAGTGTCAAAGTGAGATGTGTCTATGAAAGAATGGTAAAAAAATATATATATATATGCAGTGTTACTGGGTTTAAAGTGGAGAAATGGAGCTACCAGCCAAAGAATGTGAACACCCTTGAGAGATTCAAAAACTGGAGGAAACATATTGTCCTGTAGAGTCTCCAGGAAGGACTACAGCCTTACTGGCACCATGATTATTAGCTCAGTGAGACCTGTGTTAGACTTCTTACTTACAGAGCTGCAAGATAATACATTTGCATTTTAAAATCTCTAAGTTTGTGGTAATGTTTACAACAGTATTAAAGAACTAATACAGCAAACTCCAAGTGCTGGACAAAAATAGGCCTTTAATCTTCCACATTCACTCTCTTCAAGCTATGAGAAACTATGGTAATGTTGCTCCAATACTACTTCAACAGCAGTCCCTGGTAACTACCATTCTACTCTTTGCTTCTATGAGATTATCTTTTGTAGATTCCATATATAAGTGAGAACGTGTCATATTTGACTTTCTGTTTCTGGCTTATTTCACTAAACATAATGCCTTCCAAGTTCATCCATGCTAATGCAAATGACAGGATTTCCTTCATTTGAAGGTTGAATCGTATTTTATCGTGCGCATATGCCACATTTTCTTTATCCATTCATCTGTCTACAAAAATATAGGTTGTTATCCACATTGTGGCTACAGTGATTAGAGCTTCAGTGAACATGTGAGTGCTAATATTATTTTGAGACCTTGATTTCAATTCTTTTAAACAAATATCCAGAGTGGGACTGTTATATTATATGGCAGTTACATCTTTAATTTATTTTAGGAAGCTCCAAACTATTTTCCATGGTAGGGGCACCATTTTGTATTACAACCAACAATGCACATGAGTTCCAATTTCTCACATCATTGTCAATACTTGTCTTTTGATTTTTTGATGATAGTCATCGTGACAGGTGTGAAATAATTTTTTATTATGTATTTATTTAAACTTTTATTTTAAGTTCAGGGGTACAAGTGCAGGTTTGTTACATAGGTAACTTGGGTCATGAGGGTTTGTTGTATAGATTATCTCACCACTCGAGTATTAAGCCTCATATCCATTAGTTATTTTGACTTATCCTCTCCCTCTTCCCACCCTCTGTGCTCTGAAAGGCACCAATGTGTGTTGTTCCCCTCTACATGCCCATGTGTTCCCATCATTTAGCTCCCACTTATAATTGATAACATGTGGTATTTGGTTTTATTTCCTGTTAGTTTTACAAAGATAATGGTCTACAGCTCCATCCACGGTCCTGCAAAGGACATTATCTCATTTTTTATGGCTGTGTAGTATTCCATGGAGTATATGTATCATATTTTCTTCATCCAGTTTATCCCTGATGGACATTTGGGTTGACTCCATGTCATTGCTATTGTGAGTAGTGCTGTAATGAACATACATGTGCATGAATCATATATGAAAAACCCACAGCCAACATCATACTGAATAGGCAAAAGCTGAAAGCATTCCTCTTGAAAACTTGCACAAGACAACTATGCTTTCTCTCACTACTCCTATTCAACATAGTATTGGAAGTTCTGGCCAGGGCAATAACATAAGAGAAAGAAATGAAAGGCGTCCAATAGGAAGAGGGGAAGTGAAACCATCCCTGTTTGCAGATGACATAATCCTGTATTTAGAAAACCTTATAGTCTCAGCCCAAAAGTTTCCTAAGCTGTTAAATAACTTCAGCAAATTCTCGGGATACAAAATCAATGTACAAATATCACTAACATTTCTATACACTAACAACAGTCAAGCTGGGAGCCAAATCAGGGATATTTCACTGTAGTTTTGATTTGTATTTCCTCGATGAATACTGATGTTGATTTTCTTCATGATACCTGCTGATCATTCGATGTCTTATTTGGAGAAATGTCTATTCAAGCTTTCAGCTCATATTTTAATTGGGTTGTTTTTTGGTATTGAATTGTAGAAGTGCCTTATATATTTTGGATGTGAACTATTTATCAGAAATGTGGTGTGAAAATATTTTCTCCTATTCTAAAGACTGCTTTTGACTCTGTTAGTTGTTTCCTTTTTCTAAAGAAGCCTTTTATTTTAATGAAGTCCCCTTGTTTACATTTGTTTTTCTTGCCTGTGCTTTTGGTGTCACAGTCATAAAATCACAGCCAAGAAAAATGCCATTAAATTCTCCCCTATGTTTTCTTTTAGAAGTTTTAGAGTTTCAGGTTTTACAATTAAGCATTTAATCAATTTTGAGTTGAATTTTATATATGGTTCAAGATAAGGGTCTAATTTTCCTATTCTGCATGTGTATATCCGCTTTTCCCAGCATGATTTATTGAACAGAATACCTTTTTCTCTATTGTGTATTTTTGGCAATCTTATTGAAGATCAGTTGACCATTTATTTCTGGGCTCTCTATTCTCTTCCATTAGTCTAAATGTGTATCTTTATGTTTATACCATACTGTTCCCAAAACTGTAGCCTTTAATATGTTTTAAAATTGAGAGAGTAATGCCTGCAAATTTTTGTTTTCCACAAGATTTATTTGGATATTTGTTCTTTTTTAGTTCCATATGAATTGTAGAATCTCTGTGTGTGTGTGTGTGTGTGTGTGTGTATCTGTGTGTGTGTAAACACCACAGGAACTTTGGCTGAGTTTGCATTGAATCTATATATCCCTTTTAGTAGTGTGTACATTGAAACAATATTAAAGCTTCCAATCTATAAACACAGAAAGTCTTTTCATATGTTTGTGACTTCCATAATTTCTTTCATCAATAACATGCAGTTTTCCATGTAGAATTTTTTTACCATCTTGGTTTATTTCTATTTTATTGGTGTTATTGTAAATGAGATTGTTTTTCAGATTTTTAAAAATAGTTTTCTGTTGTACAAAAACATAATTTATATATAACAGAAATTATATGTTGATTTTTTATTCTGTTAACCTTACTAAATTTATTAATTCTAAAATTCTTTCTATTAAGTCTTTAAGGCCTTGTCCCTTAAAAATTATATCATCGGCAAACAGAGATCACTTTATTTCTTCCTTTCCTATTTGGATGCCTTTTATTTATTTTTCTTTCCTAATTACTCTGGCTAGGACTTTTTGTACTATGTTGAATAAAAGTAAGGAGGTGGCATTACTTGCTTTTTCCTGATCCTAGGGGAAACGGTTTCGGTCTTTCCAGGTGAGTGTGATGCTAGCTATTGGCTTCTCTTATATAGCCATTGTTATAATGAGTTAATTTCCTATTTCTAGATTGTTGAGAGTTTTTATCATGAAAGCCTGTTGAATTTTGTCAATTTATTTTTCTGCATGTGACTTATTCTTTATCCTGTTATCATGGCATTGCACATTAATTGATGCGGATATGTTGAATTATCTTTGCATCTCAATCATACATCCCACTTTGTCATGATTAGTGATCCTTCTAATGTACTGTTTAGTTTGGTTTGCTGATATTTTCTTGAGAACTTTTGTATCTATATTCACCAAAATATTGGCCGGTGCCTTTGTCCAACTTTGCTATAAGAGTAATGTTGGCCTTATAAACTGAGTTTGGAAGTATCCTCTCTTCTTCATTCTGCTAGGAGATTTTGAGAATAACTGGTATTAATTCTTTCTCAAATATTTTGTAGAATTCACTAGTGAACCCAGGGATTCACAAATCCAGAGCTTTTTTTGTTGTTGTTAGGTTGTGCTTTAATTACCAATATAATGTCCTTAACAGTTACAGGTCTGTTTAGATTTTCTGTTTCATTATGATTCACTGTTGTGAGGTTGAATGTTTTTAGGAGGTATCCATTTTTTTTAGGTTATCCAATTTGTATAATTGTTAATAGTATTCTATTATTGTCTTTTTTATTTTTTGGCACAAGTTATAATGTCTTCTCTTTTATTTCTGAATTTATTTGTATGTTCTCTTTTGTTCTTAATAAGTCTAGCTAAGGATTGTCCATTTAATATTTTCAAAAAATAAACTCTTTGGTTGATTTAATCAGTTTTTTAAAAATTTCCTGTATTGTTTATCTTGGCTCTGAGTTTTGTGATTTCTTCTTTTTTTTTTTTTTTTTTTTTTTTTTGAGTCAGAGTCTCCCTCTGTCACCCAGGCTGGAGTGTGGTAGCGTGATCTTGGCTCACTGCAACCTCCACTTCCCAGGTTCAAAATATTAGTGATCTCATCCTCCTGAGTAGCTGGGATTACAGGTGCCCGCCACCACACCAAGCTAATTTTTGTATTTTTTTGTAGAGACAGCGTTTCACCATGTTACCAGGCTGGTCTTGAACTCCTGACCTCAAGTGATCTGCCCGCCTCGGCCTCACAAAGTGCTAGAATTACAGGCGTGAACCACAATGCCTGGCCTGTTAGGTCCATTGGTCTGTAGTGCTTATTCAAGTTTTTTATTTCTGTAATATTTCTTTTTAATTTTGTGGATACATAGTAAGTTTAAGTGTTTATAGTGCACATAATGTTTTGATACAGAGATACAAAATGAAGTAAACACATCATGGAGAATGGGGTATGCATCACTTCAAGCATTTATCCTTTGATTTATAAATGATCTAATTATATTTCTAAATTTATTTCAAAATTTATAATTAAGTTATTGTTTACTAAAGTCACCCTATTGTGCTATAAAAAGTAGGTCTTATTCATTGTTTCTGATTTCTGTACTCCCAAAATAGATTAAACATACCCACCTCTCTTCCCCCGGCTCCTGCCCACTCCTACACTTTCCAGTCTCTGGTAACAATCCTTCTACTCTCTATCTGCATGAGTTCAATTGATTTTATTTTTAGAATAGCTCACACAGTTATGTGAGAACATGTGATGTTTGTCTTTCTGCGCCTGGCTTCTTTCAATTAACATTATGATCTTCACTTCCATCCACATTGCTGCAAATGACTGGATCTCATTATTCCTTATGGATGAATAGTACTGCAGTCCTAATATGTACCACATTTTCTTTATCCATTGATCTATTGATGGACACTTAGGTTGGTTCTAAATCTTAGCTGTTGTAAACAGTGCTGCAATAAACATAGGAGGGCAGATATATTTTTGATGCACTAATTTTCTTTCTTTTGGGGATATACATAGCAGTGAGATTGCTGGATTTTATGGTAGCTATATTTTATTTTTTTGAGGAACCTCCAAACTGTTCTCCATAATGCTGTTATTAATTTACATTCCCACCAATAGTGTACAAGTGTTCCCTTTTCTCCACCTCCTCACCAGTATTTACTATTACCTGTATTTTGGATAAAAGGCATTTTAAATGGAGTGAAATGACATCTCATTTTAGTTTTGATTTGCATTTATCTGATGATCAATAATGTTGAACAACTTCTCATATGCCTGTTTGCCATTGGTATGTCTTCTTTTTATACATGTCTATTCAAATCTTTTGTCTATTTATTGATCAGATTAGTAGAATATTTCCTATAGAGTTGTTTGAGATCCTCATATATTCTAGTTACTAATCCCTTGTCAGAGGGGTAGTTTGCAAATCTTTTCTCACATTCTGTGGGTTGTATCTTCACTTTGCTTATTGTATCCTATTCTGTGCAAAAGCTTTTCAACGTTATGTGATCCCATTTGTCTATGTTTGCTTTGGTTTCCAGTACTTGTAAGGTATTGCTCAAGAAATCTTTGCCCAAAGGTCCTGAAGGTTTTCCCCAATATTTTCCTGTAGGATTTTCATAGTTTCAGGTTATAGATGTAAGCATTTAATCCATTTTGATTTCATTTTCTATATGGTGAGAAATAGGTGTATAGTTCCATTCTTTGGCATATAGATATCCAGTTCTCCCAATGTCATTTATTGAAGAGGCTATCTTTTCTCCAGTATATTCTTGGCATCTTTGTAAAAAATGTGTTTACTGTAGGTGTGTACATTTGTTTCTTGGTTCTCTATGCTGTTGCATTGGTCTATGTATTTGTTTTTATGCCAGTGCCATGCTGTTTTGGTTATTATGGCACTATAGTATAATTTGATAGAGGTAACGTGATTCCTCCAGTATTGTTCTTTTTGCTTAGGATAGTTTTGGCTATTCTGCATCTTTTTTGTTTCCCTATAAATTTTAGAATTGTTTTTTCTATTCTGTGAAGAACTTCTTTGGTATTTTAATAGGTATTGCATTGAATCTGTAGATTGCTTTGGTTTGTACGGACATTATGACAATATTGATTCCTCCAATCCATGAACATGGAATATTTTCCTATTTTTTGGTGTCTTTTTCAATTTTCTTCATCAGTGTTTTATAATTTTTAGTATAGACATCTTTCACTTCTTTGGTTAATTCCTAGGAATTTAATTTCATTTGTGGCTATTGTAAATCAGAGTAAATTTTCATTTTTTAACATTGTTCACTATGGGCATAAAGAAATGCTGCTGATTTTTGTATGTTGATTTTGTATCCTCTAAATTTACTGAATTCCTCTATCAGTTCTCATGGTTTTCTTGTGGAGTCTTTATGTTTTTCCAAATATAAGATCATATCATCTGCAAACAATGATAGTTTGACTATTTCCTTTCCAATTTTGATGGCCTTTATAGATTTCTCTTGTCTAATTGCTGTACCTAGCACTTCCAGTATGTTGTTGAATAACAGTGGTGACAGTGAGCATCCTCGTTGTCTTCAAGATCTTAGAGAAAAGGCTTTCAATTTTTCCCACGCAGCATGATATTAGCTATGGGTCTGTCATATGTGGCTTTTATTATGTTGAGTTGTGCTCCATCTGTACCTAGGTTTTGAGAATTTTCATAATAAAAGGATGTTGAATTCTACTGAATGCTTTCTCAGCATCGATTGAAATGATCATATGACTTTGATGCTTCATTCTATTCATATAATGTATCACATTGATTCATTTGTATATGTTGCATCATCCTTGCATCCCAGGGAAAAATCCTGTTTGGTCATGAGAAATGATCTTTTTAATGTATCCTGGAATTTTGTTTGCTAGTATTCTGTTTTGGATTTTTGCATCAATATTCAGCAGATATATTGGCCTATAGTTTTCATTTTTGATATGTCTTTGTCTAGGTTTGGTATCAGAGAAATACTGGCCTCATAGAATCAGTTTGAAATTATGCCTTCATCTATTTTTCAGAATAGTTTGAGTAAGATTGGTATTAGCGCTTTAAATGTTTGGTAGAATTCAGTAGTGAATCCATCAGTTCTTGGGCTTTTCTCTACTGGGAGACTTTTTATTATGGCTGTGAACTTGTTACTTATTGGTCAGTTCATGTTTTGTATTTCTTCTTGATTCAATCTTGGTAGTTTGTATGTATCGGGCAATTTGTTCATTTCTTCTAGATTTTCCAACTTATTGGTATATAGTTGTTCATATTAGCCACAATTGATCATTTGAATTTCTGCAATATCAGTTGTAATGTCTCCTTTTTCATTTGTGATCTTATTTCTTTAGATCTCCTTTCTTTTCTTCTTAGTCTAGCTAAAGGTCAGTCAATTTTATATTTTTTAAAACAATACAACTTTTTCTTTACTTGATATCTTATATTTTTGTTTCATTTGCATTTCATTTATTTCAGCCCTGAGTTTTAACATTTCTTTTCTTCTACTAATTTGGGGTTTGTCTTGGTCTTGCTTTTCTAGTTCTTTAAGGTGCACTGTTAGATTGTTTACATGAAGTCTTTCCTCTATTTGGATGTAGGCACTTATAGCTATAAACATCCCCCTAAATACTGCTTTTACTGTATACTATAGGTTTTGGTATGCTGTGTTTCCATAATCATTTGTTTCAAGAAATTTTTAATTTCCTTCTTAGTTTTTTCATTGACCCACTGGTCATTCAGGAGTACATTATTTAATATCCATGTATTTATATAGTTTCTAAAATTCCTTTTATTAATTTATAGTTTTATTCCATTGTGGTCATGGAAGATGCTTGATATTATTTCAGTTTTTGAATATTTTAAGACTTGTTTTCTGAACTAACATATGATCTATCCTTGAGAATGATCCATGGGATGAGGAAAATAATGTTTATTCTACAGCGCTTAGATGAAATGTTCTGTCAATATCTATTAGATCCATTTGGTCTGTAATGAAGATTAAGTCTGATGTTTCTTTGTTGATTTTGTGTCTGGAACATCTGTCCAATGCTAAAAGTGGGGTGTTGAAGTCTCCAGCTATAATACAGGGGGCTACCTTTCTCTTTGGCTCAAACAATATTAGCGTTCTATATCTGGGTGCTCCAGTGATGGAGGCAGATATATTTAAGATTATGTCATCATCATGCTGAATTGACTCTCTAATTATTATATAGTGATCTTCTTTGTCTCTTCTAACAGTTATTTCACTGAAATCTCTTTGTTTGACATAA
Organism: Homo sapiens; assembly: GCF_000001405.40. NCBI lineage: Eukaryota > Metazoa > Chordata > Mammalia > Primates > Hominidae > Homo > Homo sapiens. Next base: position 127,786,688 of record NC_000023.11, read on the forward strand.
GAATAGTGACTCCCTCTTTTTTTGGCTCCCAATGGCTTGAGATTTCTTTTTCCAGCCCTTTTTTTCTTTTCAGTCTATGTGTATCTTTGTAGGTGAAGCATGTTTCTTCTAGGCAACAGACCAATAGGTCTTTTTTTTTTTATACATTCAGCCAGTCTATATCTCTTAATTGGAGATTTTAGTCCATTTACTTTCTATGTAATTATTGATAAGTAAGGACTTACTCTTACAATTTTATTATTGTTTTCTGGTTGTTTTGCAGTCTCTTTCTATCCTTCCAGTATTCCTCTAGTGAAGGTGATTTTCTCTGGGATATAATTTAGTTTCTTGATTTTTATTTTTTATGTATCCATTGTATGTTTTTTGGTTTGAGGTTACCCTGAGGTTTGCAAATACTATCTTATAACCTACTATTTTAACCTAATAACAACACTATTGGCACAAAAAAGTAATTAGCAAAAAGAAAACTAAAAATGATTCTACACCTTAACTGTATCTCCCTGCTTTTTAACATTTTATTGTTTATATTTATATCTTATTTTCTTGACTATGTCCCGAAAAGTTGTCGTGGTTGTTATATTTGATTAGTTTATCCTTTATACTTTGGTTAAGAGGAGTTTACATACCACAGTTACAGTGTTATACTATTCTGTGTTTATCTGTGTGCTTACTATTGCCAGTGGGTTTTGCACTTTCAGGTGATTATTTATTGCTCGTTAATTTCCTTTTTCCTTCTGATTGATATACTCCCTTTAGTATTTCTTAGAAAACAAGTTTGGTATTGATAAAATCTCTCATCTTTTGTTTGCCTCGGAAAGTCTTTATTTCTTCTCCACATTTGAAGGATATTTTCATTGGATATACAATTCTAGGTTAACAGTTATTTTCCTTCAGCACGTAAAATATGTCATGCCACTGTCTCCTGGCCTGTAAGATTTCCACTGAAAAGTCTGCTCTCAGATATATTGAAGCTCCATTGTATGTCATTTGTTTCTTTTCTTTTGCTGCTTTTAGAATACTTTCTTTATCTTTGACCTTTGGGAGTTCATTAATTCCTTTGAGGTAGCCTTCTTTGGGTTCAATCTGCTTGGTGTTCTGTAACCTTCTTCAATGTGGATACTGATATCTTTCTCAAGGTTTAGGATAAACCTTGAGATAATTTCATAAAATGACATTATCAACGGGAATAGAATATCACCAAATGTCATATTTTATGGTTCCTTAAAGCATCTCATTCCTAATATTTACATAAAAAGCTTTTTTGTTAGTCTATTGTTACCTCCAAGTGTTATATGTATTACCTCAGACATCAGTGACTAAAATATTTGTCTACATTTTTCACCAAAGGTTTTCCATGCAGCAGCTTTAACACTGGGCAAGTTCTACACAAAGTGAGAAATCCAAGGCTTTTGATCTGTTCTTCAATGGAGCGACCAGACAGGTTAATAAATCACAAATCCTCTCAAATGAGTTCCACTCTGCTTCCTACAGTATTGTGCTGATATCAGAAATGTGTGCTTTTATTTTGATGGCTACCATTGAGCTGGGGAGTGGGGAATGAGACCAGGTAAGTTATAATGCTGCACAGTTTGCCGTTCTTATCAACATCAGAGAGTTCTTCTTCAGTAAACATTTATCTTCTTGCTGCAAGATTTTGGTTAGTTTCCAGAATTCCACAAAAGTTTATTCTGACTGTCTTTGCTGGTTTTATTCTCGCTTTTGTGAAAATATAAATTTTTGGTGTTCCTTATTTCATAATTTTCACTGAAGTCTTCCCTGTGCCTGTTTATTAAATCCCATGAAATCCCTTTTTTCTTGGTTCAAAATTTTCTAGATTAATACTCTAGATTTTTAAAATAAGATACATAACTGATAAACATCATAGTCATTGAATTTCTATAGTATTTTTAGTTTGCTTTTATTCTTAGTAATTATTTTCCAATTATCTTCCCGAGAGTTTCCAACAATGTATACACTCATCAGTAACATATGAGTGCTTTGTTTTAAAGCTCTCATTACAGAGTCAGTTATGTTAAATACTGAATATAGCAGATCAGGGAACCTGGGAGGCAAACTACAAGTATCATCAGTTTTAAAATATTTGTAATTTTAGGTGGAGCCAAGATGGCCAAATAGGAACAGCTCCAGTCTACAGCTCCCAGCAGGAGCGACACAGAAAATGAATAATTTCTGCATTTCCAACTGAGGTACCAGGGGCAACTCACTGGGGATTGTTGGACAGTGGGTGCAGTACACCAAGCCTGAGCTGAAGCAGGGGAAGGCATCGCCTCACCTGGGAAGTGCAAGGGGTCAGGGAATTCCCTTTCCTCCTAGCCAAGGAAAGGGGTGACAGACGTACCTGGAAAATCAGGTCACTCCCAACCTAATACTGCACTTTTCCAACAGTCTTAGCAAATGGCACAACAGAAGATTATATGCTGTGCCTGGCTCGGACGTTCCTACGCCCTCAGAACCTCACTCATTGCTAGCACAGCAGTCTGAGATCAAACTGCAAGGCAGCAGCAAGGCTGGGGAAGGGGCGCCCGCCATTGCCCAGGCTGAGTAGGTAAACAGAGCGGCCGGGAAGCTCAAATTGAGTGGAGCCCACTGCAGCTCAAGGAGGCCTGCCTGCCTCTGTAGACTCCACCTCTGGGGGCAGGGCATAGCCAAACAAAAGGCAGCAGAAACCTCTGCAGACTTAAATGTCCCTGTCTGACAGCTTTGAAGAGAGTAGTGGTTCTCCCAGCACACAGCTTTAGATCTGAGAACGGACAGACTGCCTCCTCAAGTGGGTCCCTGACCCCCAAGTAGCCTAACTGGGAGGCACCCCCCAGTAGGGGCAGACTGACACCTCACACGGCCAGGTATTCCTCTGAGACAAAACTTCCAGAGGAACGATCAGGCAGCAACATTTGCTGTTCACCAATATCTGCTGTTCTGCAGCCTCCGCTGCTGATACCCAGGCAAACGGGGTCTGGAGTGTAACTCTGGCAAACTCCAACAGACCTGCAGCTGAGGGTCCTGACTGTTAGAAGGAAAACTAACAAACAGAAAGGACATCCACACCAAAACCCCATCTGTATGTCACCATCATCAAAGACCAAAGGTAGATAAAACCACAAAGATGGGGATAAAACAGAGCAGAAAAACTGAAAATTCTAAAATCAGAGTGGCTGTCCTCCTCCAAAGGAATGCAACTCCTCATCAGGAATGGAACATAGTTGGACAGAGAATGACTTTGATGAGGTGAGAGAAGAAGGCTTCAGACGATCAAACTACTCCAAGCTAGAGGAAGATGTTTGAAGCCATGAAGAAGTTAAAAACCTTGAAAAAAGAATAGACAAATGGCTAACTAGAATAAACAATGCTGAGAAGTCCTTAAAGGACCTGATGGAGCTGAAAACCATGGCACGAGAACTATGTGACGAATGCACAAGCTTCAGTAGCCGATTCGATCAACTGGAAGAAAGGGTGTCAGTGACAGAAGATCAAATGAATGAAATGAAGCAAGAAGAGAAGTTGAGAGAAAAAAGAATACAAAGAAATGAACAAAGCCTCCAAGAAATATGGGACTATGTGAAAAGACAAAACCTACATCTGATTGCTGTACCCGAAAGTGACAGGGAGAATGGAACCAAGTTGGAAAACACTCTGCAGGATATTATCCAGGAGAACTTCCCAAACCTAGCAAGGCAGGCCAACATTCAAATTCAGGAAATACAGAGAACACCACAAAGATACTCCTCGAGAAGAGCAACTCCAAGACACATAATTGTCAGATTCACCAAAGATGAAATGAAGGAAAAAACGTTAAGGGCAGCCAGAGAGAAAGGTCGGGTTACCCATAAAGGAAGCCGATCAGACTAAAAGCTGATCTCTTGGCAGAAACTCTACAAGCCAGAAGAGATTGGGGGCCGATATTCAAGATTCTTAAAGAAAAGAATTTTCAACCCAGAATCTCATATCCAGCCAAAATAAGCTTCATAAGTGAAGGAGAAATAAAATCCTTTACAGACAAGCAAATGCTGAGAGATTTTTTCACCACCAGGCCTGCCCTAAAAGAACTCCTGAAGGAAGCACTAAACATAGGAACAACTGGTACCAGCCACTGCAAAAAATATGCCAAATTGTAAAGAACATCGAGGCTAGGAAGAAACTGCATCAACTAACGAGCAAAATAACCAGCTAACATCATAATGACAGGATCAAATTCACACATAACAATATTAACCTTAAATGTAAATGGACTAAATGCTCCAATTAAAAGACACAGACTGGCAAATAGGATAAAGAGTCAAGACCCATCAGTGTGCTGTATTCAGGAAACCCATCTCACGTGCAGAGACACACATAGGCTCAAAATAAAGGGATGGAGGAAGATCTACCAAGCAAATGGAAAACAGAAAAAGGCAGGGGTTGCAATCCTAGTCTCTGATAAAACAGACTTTAAAACAACAAAGATCAAAAGAGACGAAGAAGGCCATTACATAATGGTAAAGGGATCAATTCAACAAGAGCTAACTATCCTAAATATATATGCACCCAATACAGAAGCACCCAGATTCATAAAGCAAGTCCTTAGAGAGTCATAAAGAGACTTAGACTCCCACACAATAACTATGGGAGACTTTCACACCCCACTGTCAATATTAGACAGATCAATGAGACAGAAAGTTAACAAGGATATCCAGGAATTGAACTCAGCTCTGCACCAAGCAGACCTAATAGACATCTACAGAACTCTCCACCCCAAATCAACAGAATATACATTCTTTCAGCACCACACCACACCTATTCCAAAACTGACCACATAGTTGGAAGTAAAACACTCCTCAGCAAATGTAAAATAACAGAAATTATAACAAACTGTCTCTCAGACCACAGTGCAATCAAACTAGAACTCAGGATTAAGAAAGTCACTCAAAACCGCTCAACTACATGGAAACTGAACAACCTGCTCCTGAATGACTACTGGGTACATAACGAAATGAAGGCAGAAATAAAGATGTTCTTTGAAACCAAAGAGAACAAAGACACAACATACCAGAATCTCTGGGACACGTTCAAAGCAGTGTGTAGAGGGAAGTTTATAGCAATAAATGCCCATAAAAGAAAGCAGGAAAGATCTAAAATTGACACCCTAACATCACAATTAAAAGAATTAGAGAAGCAAGAGCAAACACATTCAAAAGCTAGCAGAAGGCAAGAAATAACTAAGATTAGAGCAGAACTGAAGGAAATAGAGACACAAAAAACCCTTCAAAAAAATCAATGAATCCGGGAGCTGGTTTTGTTGAAAAGATCAACAAAATTGATAGACTGCTAGCAAGACTAATAAAGAAGAAGAGAGAGAAGAATCAAATAGACACAATAAAAAATAATAAAGGGGTTATCACCACCAATCCCACAGAAATACAAACTACCATCAGAGAATACTATAAACACCTCTATGCAAATAAACTAGAAACTCTGGAAGAAATGGATAAATACCTCGACACATACACCCTCCCAAAACTAAACCAGGAAGAAGTTGAATCTCTGAATAGACCAATAACAGGCTCTGAAGTTGCGGCAATAATTAATAGCTTACCAACCAAAAAAAGTCCAGGACCAGACGGATTCACAGCCAAATTCTACCAGAGGTACAAGAAGGAGCTGGTACCATTCCTTCTGAAACTATTCCAATCAATAGAAAAAGAGGGAATCCTCCCTAACTCATTTTACGATGCCAGCATCATCCTGATACCAAAGCCTGGCAGAGACACAACAAAAAAAAAGAGAATTTTAGAACAATATCCCTGATGAACATCAATGCAAAAATCCTCAATAAAATACTGGCAAAAGGAATCCAGCAACACATCAAAAAGCTTATCCATCATGATCAAGTGGGCTTCATCCCTGGGATGCAAGGCTGGTTCAACATACAAAAATCAATAAATGTAATCTAGCATATAAACAGAACCAAAGACAAAAACCACATGATTATCTCAATTGATGCAGAAAAGGCATTTGATAAAATTCAACACCGCTTCATGCTAAAAACTCTCAATAAATTAGGTATTGATGGGACGTTTCTCAAAATAATAAGAGCTGTCTATGACAAACCTACAGCCAATATCATACTGAATGGGCAAAAACTGGAAGCATTCCCTTTGAAAACGGGCACAAGACAGGGATGCCCTCTCTCACCACTCCTATTCAACATAGTGTTGGAAGTTCTGGCCAGGGCAATCAGGCAGGAGAAGGAAATAAAGGGTAATCAATTAGGAAAACAGGAAGTCAAATTGTCCCTGTTTGCAGATGACATGATTGTATACCTAGAAAACCCAATTGTCTCAGCCCAAAATCTCCTTAAGCTGATAAGCAACTTCAGCAAAGTCGCAGGATACAAAATCAATGTGCAAAAATCACAAGCATTCTTATACACCAATAACAGACAAACAGAGAGCCAAATCATGAGTGAACTCCCATTCACAATTGCTTCAAGGATAATAAAATACCTAGGAATCCAACTTACAAGGGATGTGAAGGACCTCTTCAAGGAGAACTACAAACCACTGCTCAAGGAAATAAAAGAGGATACAAACAAATGGAAGAACATTCCATGCTCATGGGTAGGAAGAATCAATATCAACAAAATGGCCATACTGCCCAAGGTAATTTACAGATTCAATGCCATCCCCATCAAGCTACCAATGACTTTCTTCACAGAATTGGAAAAAACTACCTTAAAGTTCATATGGAACCAAAAAAGAGCCCACATCGCCAAGTCAATCCTAAGCCAAAAGAACAAAGCTGGAGGCATCATGCTACCTGACTTCAAACTATACTACAAGGCCACAGTAACCAAAACAGCATGGTACTGGTACCAAAACAGAGATATAGATCAATGGAACAGAACAGAGCCCTCAGAAATAATGCTGCATATCTACAACTATCTGATCTTTGACAAACCTGACAAAAACAAGCAATGGGGAAAGGATTCCCTATTTAATAAATGGTGCTGGGAAAACTGGCTAGCCATATGTAGAAAGCTGAAACTGGATCCCTTCCTTACACCTTATACAAAAATTAACAAGATGGATTAAAGACTTAAATGTTAGACCTAAAACCATAAAAACCCTAGAAAAAAACCTAGGCAATACCATTCAGGACATAGGCATGGGCAAGGACTTCATGTCTAAAACACCAAAAGCAATGGCAACAAAAGCCAAAATTGACAAATGGGGTCTAATTAAACTATAGAGCTTCTGCACAGCAAAAGAAACTACCATCAGAGTGAACAGGCAACCTACAGAATGGGAGAAAATTTTTGCAATCTACTCATCTGACAAAGGGCTAATATCCAGAATCTACAATGAACTCAAACAAATTTACAAGAAAAAAAGAACCCCATCAACAAGTGGGCAAAGGATATGAACAGACATTTCTTAAAACAAGACATTTATGCAGCCAAAAAACACATGAAAAAATGCTCATCATCACTGGCCATCAGAGAAATGCAAATCAAAACCACAATGAGATACCATCTCACACCAGTTAGAATGGCAATCATTAAAAAGTCAGGAAACAGCAGGTGCTGGAGAGGATGTGGAGAAATAGGAACACTTTTACACTGTTGGTGGGACTGTAAACTAGTTCAACCATTGCGGAAGTCAGTGTGGCGATTCCTCAGGGATCTAGAACTAGAAATACCATTTGACCCAGCCATCCCATTACTGGGTATATACCCAAAGGATTATAAATCATGCTGCTATAAAGACACATGTGGCACTATTCACAATAGCAAACACTTGGAACCAACCCATATGTCCAACAATGATAGTGTGGATTAAGAAAATGTGGCCATATACACCATGGAACACTATGCAACCATAAAAATTGATGAGTTCATGTCCTTTGTAGGGACATGGATGAAGCTGGAAACCATCATTCTCAGCAAATTATCGCAAGGACAAAAAACCAAACACCGCATGTTCTCACTCATAGGTTGGAATTGAACAATGAGAACACATGGACACAGGAAGGGGAACATCACACACCAGGGCCTGTTCTGGGTTTGGGGGAGGGGGGAGGGATAGCATTAGGAGATATACCTAATATTAAATGACGATTTAATGGGTGTAGCACACCAACATGGCACATGTAAATATATGTAACAAACCTGCACGTTGTGCACATGTACCCTAAACCTTAAAGTATAACAAAAAGAACTCCAGTAAGAAAAAAAAAACGTTTCATATTTTTAAAATTTACAAAAAATTTTAATGTTAATTGGTAAATATATTTAATCTTTTTAGATTTGAATTTTTGCGGTGGTTAATGAAATTACAACATTTTATTTGCTTATTAGGCAAAATGGTATTCTAACACTTAAAATACTGAAAACATTTCTGTCATATATATGAAGTAATTTAAACCATAAGATACTCATGTATTTATCTAAAGAGTGAATCTTTATATATAATTATTCTTAAGGCTGTATGTTATTCTGTGTTACTTCCATCTTCTCTCATCTTTTCTTTCTGGGCAGTGATGTAGCATGAAATGTTATTTATTTCTTATATGAAACACTTAAAATTATTAATAGAAATAGTTTCTTAATTTAAATATATACCCCATAAAGAAACAATACTCTATAGAATTAGCAATTCCCTTTGGAATAAAAAATACAGAATAAAGACTTTTTCTCTCTTCTTACAAAATCTTATACAGTTTCAAATAAAAACAATCAATTCTACATCATTATTTGTATTTTTTATGTAATACCTCTTAAATTTTGGATGGCCTGTCCTTTACAGAAATAACACAGTGGCATCAAGCGAAATTATTAACTGTAATGGAATATCATCAAATGTCAGGTTTTCTTTTTGCTCTTATTTTAGGGGCATTTTACATCTTCTGAGGAGTTGTTTACAGCTTAGAGGAATAAACACTAAATTCTGCAGTATCAAAGACGATGGATGAACTTTGAAATAATTATGTTAATAGAATTAAGCCAGTCATGGAAAGAAAAACACAGTATGGTTCAACTTCATATGATGTATCTGAAATTTTGAAAGTTATAGAATCTGAGAGTAAAATGGTGGTTGTCAGTGGGGGGTTAGGAGAAAATAGGGAGTTATTACTCACAGTGGGTACAAGTTTCAGTTAAACAAGATGAATCAACTCTAGCCATCTGCTATACAACATTGTACTTTTAGTCATCAGTAATTTATCCTGCACTTAAAAATCTGTTAACAGTAGATTTCATATTAAGTTTTTCTACCACAATAAAATATAAATTTTTCATCCCCAAGAATGTGAGAAAATATTTGCAAATCCCAAATATGATAAGACTCTAGTGTCCAGAATATATAAAGAATTCTTACAAGTAAGCAACAAAGACAATCATTCTAATTAAAAAATTAGGATATGGCAACCAAGAAGGAGATGCAGTTTGAGTTGGAGACTGAAACCAGTGGCCTAGGGTGGACGCTCAAGAAGCCATGGAAGTATGACAGTGGTGTGTCACACTTGGAATAAGTCACCAACTACGCAGAGAAGGAGATCCAGAGTTCCAGTGAACCTTCAATAGCAGGCCGCAGGATCAGAAACCAAACAGGAGTGGGAGAAAGAACTTGAAAAAGTCACTGTCAAGAAAGAAGATCCTGGACAGGCGCAGTGGCTCACGCCTGTAATCCCAGCACTTTGGGAAGCTGATGATAATGGATCACGAGTCAGGAGATTCAGACATCCTGGCTAACACGTGAAACCTGTCTCTACTAAAATACAAAAATTAGCTGGGTGTGGTGGCGGGCACCTGTAGTCCCAGCTACTCGGGAGGCTGAGGCAGGAGAATGGCGTGAACCCGGGAGGCGGAGCGTGCAGTGAGCAGAGATCATGCCAGTGCACTCCAGCCTGGGCAGCAGAACGAGACTCCGTTTCAAAAAAAAAAAGAGGAAGATCCTGAGCTGATAATGACAGAGGTGGAACTCTCTCAAGCAGTAGCAAAAGTAGCAAAATGCAGCTTGCGGGTACATATGGGCAACATGGCAGAAGTTCCTATTACAATAAAGTTTTTTTGTCTTTAAAATAATAAAAATTGAGCAATGAACTTGAATAAGCATTTCTCCAAAGAAGACATACTAATAGCCAATAAATAAAAAAAAAAAAGATGCTCAACATCATTGACCTTTAGGACAACATAAATCAGAACCACAATGTGATACCACTTCAAAACTTCTAGGGTGTTTATAATCAAGTAAATGGAAAATAAAGTTCAGTACCACAATGTGATACCACTTCAAAACTTCTAGGGTGTTTATAATCAAGTAAATGGAAAATAAAGTGCTGTGTATGTGAATAAATTGGAACCATCGTCCCTGTCTTGTGTGAATGTAACATGGTGCAGCCACTCTGGAAAAGAGTTTGGCAGTACCTCCAAAATGTAAAAATAGAGTTGCCATACAATCTAGAAGTTTCACTCCTAGGTATAAACTCTGAATTAAAAGCATGTTCACACAGTAACATAACATGTGTATTCACAGCAGCATCATTCATCATAGCCCAAAAGAGGAAAGAAAAGTGTCCATCAACTGAGGAATGGATGAACAAATTATGGTATATTCATACAATGAAATATTATTTCACTATGAAAGATAATGTTATATGCTACAATGTGGATCATGCTTAAGAAACCATGCTAAGTGAAAAGCCAGACACAAAATACTACTTATTGTATAATTCCATTTATATAAAATATGTAGAATAGGCAAATCCCTATAGACAAAAAGAAGACTGTTTCCCAGGACCTCCAATGCAAGGCATCATGATAGGTTGACATCTAAGGAATTCCAGGTTTCTTTTTGGAATCATGAAAATATTCTAAATTTGAATGTGATAATGCTTGCACAATGCCATGAACATACTATAACAAATTATGCAGTTCAAATGAGTGAATTCTGTCATATGTTACTTTCCAATAAGGCTGTTTAAAAAAGAAGGAAACAGTCACAGGTAAAACCATAAAGGAGCTAATAAAAAGTTGTTCATTTTTATATCAACTCATGAAGACCCATGTAGAAATACAGAAGATAATGTACTGTTAACCTTTATAGTCTGAAATTAATATCATCAATATAAATTGGGAAAGAATAGGTTTCATGTATGACATGGGTAAGTGTATTAATTTCCTGAGAGTTGAATAAAGATTATCCATATGGAGTGACTAGAATAGACAATTCAAGAAATAATCTTTTAGGAATATTATGTAATGCCAGAAGTGCAATGATTTGTAGAGCTACATGTGATGACAAGAGAATGAGAATATGTTGGTAAGAGATAGTGTAAATAAACTAATTTTCTGTACTTTATAGTAGGGACTCATTTATATGAATATATCAATAGAAGTGTAAGTATATTATTAGAAATCTTGAGTGTAACCACCAAAAGAACAATTAAAAACAAACAACAGAAATAACAGCAAGAATAAAACCTCATAATAGGGCTTACCCCTTGAGAGTGTGATTTTGAGCAGAGGATGATAGTTTTATTTTACACTGTATAGCCTCTGATACTATTTGGTATATACTTTTTGGCCTTCCTGCTTGCCTTCCTTTCTTCCTCCTTTCCTGCGTTTCTTCTTTTTGGCTTGCCTTTCATTGTTGTTTTCTTTTTATTCAATGTTCAGCATTATTTCTATAATTAAAACTGATTAATTATAAGTATGTTGACACATATTGCATTTACAAGAAATATCCAGTATAAGCAAATGCATAGAGACAGAAAGCAGATTAGTGGTTGCCTAGGGCTATGAGTGGACAGGGAATTGGGGGTTGACCACTTACAAGTGTAGGAATTGTTTTGAAAGTAAGACTGAACTAACCCAAAAACAAAACTCAAAAACTTCAAATGTAATTTTCAGTAAAAAAGGAAAGATATAGTAAAACATATTGTCTTCAATCAAATAAACACGTGTAAAAATACTGGAAGGAGGCTGGGTGCAGTGGCTGATGCCTGTAATCCCAACATTTTGGGAGGCTGAAGCAGGAAGATGGCTTGAGGTCAGGGTTTAAGACCAGCTTGGTCAACATATATAGAGTCTCTCTCTACAAAAAATACAAAAATTAGCTAAGTGTGGTGGTGTGTTCTTGTAGTCCTAGATACTCAGAAGGTTGAGGTGGAAGGATGGCTTGAGCCCAGGAAGTTGAGGCTGCAGTACGTGAGCCATGATCATGCCCTTATTCCAGCCTAGGTGATGGGGTAAGGTCCCATCTTAAAAAAAAAAAAAAGCTCTGAAATGTATCCCTTATTATTTGTTTCCAATTTTTCTTTGATATCAGGATATTTTCCAAACATTCTACAATTACTTTTTGTCATATTTCTATATTTTTCAAACTACAATGCTTATTTTATGACTAGGCAAATTACTGTCTATGCATCATTGATTAATGCTACTTTACCATAGCTTTGGGATTAGGAAAGTATGAAATAACATTCCAAGCAAATAGAGCTAAAAAATGGTTGACTTTACTAATCTCCACAGTCTCTTTACAACATTTTTGAATAATTAGGTATAAAAGAGAAAACTGACTTCTTGAAGAGGATGGTATCAATCAAAGCCACACAACTTCTCATCCTCCCTGAAAAGCAAATGTATTGCAAAAGAGAATACTTTTAAGGATTTAGAAAGACAAATGATTATTTTTAATCTAGTTTGTATGCCAAATTATAGCCAGTTTTTCTCAGTTTCATGATCCCAAAAGTATACCCTCCATGAATATGTAGTCTTACAATAAATTAAAAGTTATAAAATTATAGTTTATTTCTTATTTATTACTTATTATAATGTCTCCATAAGGATTTTATTCTGTTTACAGTAAAATATATTTCTCACTGACTTGAGTTCTGAAATGCAAGCTGGTTTTTGGGTTAATTTTGTAAAAGTGTATCTGGACACATGGGTACCTGTGTCACAATCAGAGACTGTCATATAGAGACAGAAAGGGGCTTTATTTGTTTGGTTGCTTGCTTGTTTTGCCATAAACGTGAAAATGAATGAGAAAAATTACAGTGAGTTTAGAAATGAATATTTGTCAGAATTTTAACAGCTATTTTTTCTAGTATTGAAGAATTAATTTTCCTTTATGCCTTTGTATTTTTCAAAAATATCATGTAGCTACATTGAGCATATTTTACTTTGGCATTAAAAATACAAACTAGAATAATAATTTAGTGCAATAATTTATTGGTCACTGTAGAAATTTATAAAACATATAGCATATTTACAAATCACCAGTGATCAGTTGGAAAATAATGGGAGGAGGTATCATTCCCAATAGTAACTGAATTTTTTTTAAATACTGTAAAAATACAAAAGAATCAGCTTAATAATAAATATACTGGACACATTCAAAGAAAACCACACAACTTTACTTAGGGATTCAAAAGGAGTTATTGATTTTTTTGAAGGGTTTTTTGTGTCTCTATCTCCTTCAGTTCTGCTCTGATTTTAGTTATTTCTTGCCTTCTGCTAGCTTTTGAATGTGTTTCCTCTTGCTTTTCTAGTTCTTTTAATTGTGATGTTAGGGTGTCAATTTTGGATCTTTCCTGCTTTCTCTTGTGGGCATTTAGCGCTATAAATTTCCCTCTACACACTGCTTTGAATGCGTCCCAGAGATTCTGGTACGTGGTGTCTTTGTTCTCGTTGGTTTCAAAGAACATCTTTATTTCTGCCTTCATTTCGTTATGTACCCAGTAGTCATTCAGGAGCAGGTTGTTCAGTTTCCATGTAGTTGAGCGGTTTTGAGTGAGATTCTTAATCCTGAGTTCTAGTTTGATTGCACTGTGGTCTGAGAGATAGTTTGTTATAATTTCTGTTCTTTTACATTTGCTGAGGAGAGCTTTACTTCCCAGTATGTGGTCAATTTTGGAATAGGTGTGGTGTGGTGCTGAAAAAAATGTATATTCTGTTGATTTGGGGTGGAGAGTTCTGTAGATGTCTATTAGGTCCGCTTGGTGCAGAGCTGAGTTCAATTCCTGGGTATCCTTGTTGACGTTCTGTCTCGTTGATCTGTCTAATGTTGACAGTGGGGTGTTAAAGTCTCCCATTATTAATGTGTGGAAGTCTAAGTCTCTTTGTAGGTCACTCAGGACGTGCTTTATGAATCTTGGTGCTCCTGTATTGGGTGCATATATATTAATGAATCCAGGAGCTGGTTTTTTGAAAGGATCAACAAAATTGATAGACCACTAGCAAGACTAATAAAGAAAAAAAGAGAGAAGAATCAAATAGATGCAATAAAAAATGATAAAGGGGATGTCACCACCGATCCCACAGAAATACAAACTACCATCAGAGAATACTACAAACACCTCTACGCAAATAGACTAGAATATCTAGAAGAAATGGATAAATTCCTGGACACATACACCCTCCCAAGACTAAACCAGGAAGAAGTTGAATCTCTGAATAGACTAATAACAGGAGCTGAAATTGTGGCAATAATCAATAGCTTACCAAGCAAAAAGAGTCCAGGACCAGATGGATTCACAGCCGAATTCTACCAGAGTTACAAGGAGGAACTGGTACCATTCCTTCTGAACCTATTCCAATCAATAGAAAAAGAGGCAATCCTCCCTAACTCATTTTATGAGGCCAGCATCATTCTGATACCAAAGCCAGGCAGAGACACAACAAAAAAAGAGAATTTTAGACCAATATCCTTGATGAACATTGATGCAAAAATCCTCAATAAAATACTGGCAAAACGAATCCAGCAACACATCAAAAAGCTTATCCACCATGACCAAGTGGGCTTCATCCCTGGGATGGAAGGCTGGTTCAATATATGCAAATCAATAAATGTAATCCAGCATATAAACAGAACCAAAGACAAAAACCACATGATTATCTCAATAGATGCAGAAAAAACCTTTGACAAAATTCAACAACCCTTCATGCTAAAAACTCTCAATAAATTAGGTATTGATGGGACGTATTTCAAAATAATAAGAGCTATCTATGACAAACCCACAGCCAATATCATACTGAATGGGCAAAAACTGGAAGCATTCCCTTTGAAAACTGGCACAAGACAGAGATGCCCTCTCTCACCACTCCTATTCAACATAGTGTTGGAAATTCTGGCCAGGGCAATCAGGCAGGAGAAGGAAATAAAGGGTATTCAATTAGGAAAAGAGGAAGTCAAACTGTCCCTGTTTGCAGACGACATGATTGTATATCTAGAAAACCCCATTGTCTCAGCCCAAAATCTCCTTAAGCTGATAAGCAACTTCAGCAAAGTCTCAGGATACAAAATCAATGTACAAAAATCACAAGCATTCTTATACAGCAACAAAAGACAAACAGAGAGCCAAATCATGAGTGAACTCCCATTCACAATTGCTTCAAAGAGAATAAAATACCTAGGAATCCAACTTACAAGGGATGTGAAGGACCTCTTCAAGGAGAACTACAAACCACTGCTCAATGAAATAAAAGAGGACACAAACAAATGGAAGAACATTCCATGCTCATGGGTAGGCAGAATCAATATCGTGAAAATGGCCATACTGCCCAAGGTAATTTACAGATTCAATGCCATCCCCATCAAGCTACCAATGACTTTCTTCACAGAATTGGAAAAAACTACTTTCAAGTTCATATGGAACCAAAAAAGAGCCCGCATTGCCAAGTCAATCCTAAGCCTAAAGAACAAAGCTGGAGGCATCACACTACCTGACTTCAAACTATACTACAAGGCTACAGTAACCAAAACAGCATGGTACTGGTACCAAAACAGAGATATAGATCAATGGAACAGAACAGAGCCCTCAGAAATAACGCCACATATCTACAACTATCTGATCTTTGACAAACCTGAGAAAAACAAGAAATGGGGAAAGGATTCCCTATTTAATAAATGGTGCTAGGAAAACTGGCTAGCCATATGTAGAAAGCTGAAACTGGATCCCTTCCTTACACCTTATACAAAAATCAATTCAAGATGGATTAAAGACTTAAACGTTAGACCTAAAACCCCTAAAAACCCTAGAAGAAAACCTAGGTATTACCATTCAGGACATAGGCATGGGCAAGGACTTCATGTCTAAAACACCAAAAGCAATGGCAATAAAAGACAAAATTGACAAATGGGATGTAATTAAACTAAAGAGCTTCTGCACAGCAAAAGAAACTACCATCAGAGTGAACAGGCAACCTACAAAATGGGAGAAAATTTTCACAACCTACTCATCTGACAAAGGGCTAATATCCAGAATCTACAATGAACTCAAACAAATTTACAAGAAAAAAACAAACAACCCCATCAAAAAGTGGGCGAAGGACATGAACAGACACTTCTCAAAATAAGACATTTATGCAGCCAAAAACCACATGAAAAAATGCTCACCATCACTGGCCATCAGAGAAATGCAAATCAAAACCACAATGAGATACCATCTCACACCAGTTAGAATGGCAATCATTAAAAAGTCAGGAAACAGCAGGTGCTGGAGAGGATGTGGAGAAATAGGAACACTTTTACACTGTTGGTGGGACTGTAAACTAGTTCAACCCTTGTGGAAGTCAGTGTGGCAATTCCTCAGGGATCTAGAACTGGAAATACCATTTGACCCAGCCATCCCATTACTGGGTACATACCCAAAGGACTATAAATCATGCTGCTATAAAGACACATGCACACGTATGATTATTGCGGCATTATTCACAATAGCAAAGACTTGGAACCAACCCAAATGTCCAACAATGATAGACTGGATTAAGAAAATGTGGCACATACACACCATGGAATACTATGCAGCCATAAAAAACGATGAGTTCATGTCCTTTTTAGGGATATGGATGAAATTGGAAATCATCATTCTCAGTAAACTATCGCGAGAACAAAAAACCAAACACCGCATATTCTCACTCATAGGTGGGAATTGAACAATGAGTTCACATGGACACAGGAAGGGGAATATCACACTCTGGGGACTGTTGTGGGGTGGGGGGAGGGGGGAGGGATAGCATCAGTAGATATACCTAATGCTAGATGATGAGTTAGTGGGTGCAGCGCACCAGCATGGCACATGTATACATATGTAACTAACCTGCACAATGTGCACATGTACCCTAAAACTTAAAGTATAATAAATAAATTTTAAAAAAAGGAGTTATTGATAAATTCAGACATGAACCAAGCCACTGAAGTTAACGCCTTTATAGCTATAAGTAACTCGTATTTATTTAAGTCTAATCATCTTCCAGAAACTGTGACAAATTTTTATATGTGTTAATTTAACTTTATATAGATAACAAACTTAACTGAATTTATTTGTACGTCTAATTCAATACCATGAAAAAAATTAAGAAATTAACTAATAATATAACGGATTTGTTCCTAAGCTTAACTAGATTAAATGAACATAGATTTATATGCTATTGAAAACATAAAAAAATTATAGGGACTTTTCTTGTTATTCATTTGAGCCTATCAAAACTTTATAGTAGTACAATTTTACATAAGACCAGGAGTTGGCAAACGTTTCCCATAAAGGAATCACAAAGTAAATATTTTTGGCTCTTCTAGCCATATATGGTCAATCATTGGTACAACAACTCAACTCTGCTGTTGTATTGTAAAAGCAGCACAGAAAAAGACATAAACAAATGGGCATGGGGCTATATTTCAATAAAACTTTATAAGAAAGGTTGTAGGCTGATGTTCACAAGCACAGTATATTGACCTAGGTATGAGAGCATAATATGTCATAAAAGTGGCATTTTAATTCTGTTTTTGAAACAATAGGTTCTTCTACCATTGATATTGATATAAATTAATGACTGTCAAAAAATTGAAGAGAAATTAGGTAGATAGTTCCTATATATTATTTAACAAACACATTCCAGATAGAGCATATATTTAAGTGCATTATTTATAAAAAGCACTGGAAGAATATATAGGAATATATATATATACACATGCATACACACGCACACATATACACATACTTGGATTTTATATACGTTGGCTTATATAGATATATATGAGCCACATATATCCATATATATGCATATATATGGGCCATATATGTGTGTGTGTAATCTATATATGAATGGACCATTTATATGAATATATGAATATATATGACCTATATACATATATAGGCTCATATTTTTTTCATATATAATATATATATCTGTATTTATATAGAAAATATAGAGAGAATATATGTATATATGAGTCAACATATGTAAAATGCAAGTTTGAGAAAGGAGTTCAAAAGCATGAGAAATGGCAGAAATTATTATTAAAATATTTATTCACTTTTACATAAAAGGTAAATGCACTTAAAAGAACACTCTGAAGAAATGCTTTGCCACATGAGAGAAAAAAGTTATATAAACAGAAAAAAATACATAAGCACATTACTGTAAATACAAAAAAAGCATATGAGGAGACAATTAAAATATAGTGAGCTAATCAATATTTGAAAAAAAATTGCCTTAATGCTGAAGAAATGCAAATTAAATCAACAGAATCCCATTTTCACTTATCAGATTGACAAAAATTTTTAAATGATAATACTCATGTTAAAATATTAGTAACAGTTACTTTCTTACATAACTTGGAGGCTTGTAAATTGGTAGAGTTATATTGAGGGTATTTTGTCAATGCATATATTTAAAAATTAATATCTGCATAAATTTTACCTTGTAATTCTCCTTATAGGAATATATGCCAATAATCTTAGAAACCTGTGAAAAGTTCACTCCAACATGTTTATCACAGAGTTGTTTATGAGCATGAGAAACTCGAGTCAATATAAATGTCAAGCGGTAGTCAATTAAATAACATGTGAAGCATTTATACAATGTTAGATCACGTAGTCTTTAAAAATGCCATTTTTTCAAGAGCAATGATTATGATATGGTAAGTGGAGAAAGCAAGATTCAAACTAGCATACAAATATAATCTGAAAAATAAAATAATAATGTAAATACATATGCTGAAAATATTAACAGCCCTTGTGTTTATGTACTATAAACATGGGCAATGTTAATTTTCTTTATACTTTCTGGCATTTTTCTAAATGTTTCCTAATAAGCACACATTACTTAACCAGAAAAAAAACAGTAAGTAATTTTTTTTATGGAAACAGATGTTTGAATTAAAAAAAAATTTAAGCCATTAAAATTACAGAGGAATGTCTAGTAAGATTTAAATGTCTTCCATATAATCACTAATAAAATAAGATGTCAAACAGATACATGGTATCTTATTGTAAAAATAATACATATAGAAAAAGATTTTATATAAAAACAAAGCATTGTAAGAAATTATTTCTAAGTGAGGAGATGAAGCATGAAGTTTCTTGTGTTTTGTGTTGTGTTTTCTCTAAATTTGTTGCAATTCATTGATATTTTATAGGAAAAAAGTTTATAATAAATATGATAATGCATTATTTTATTAGTTTTAATAAAATTAAAAATGATGACACACTGGATTAACACAGTGCATTTTAACACAGAAAAAAATTTAAAAGATTCATTGATACCTACCTCATTATTCTGCCTAACTATTCCCTCCAACTTAATCCAATTCAGTCAGTTATTCAAATTGAGATTAGGCATAAGACTAAATAGAGATAACTTTTTGAAAACAAAACTTGGAGTAATCATAGAAGTTGGTTGTATATATTTCAAAGTGTTTATTTCTGAGATATCATCAGCTGCAGTTAAAGATAGAATCATCAAAGGTAATTAGTGTTAGAGGAAGAAAGAAACAAAAATAAGAAAATCAGACAAACAAGAAACATGTGGCCAAGCAAAACAGATGTTAAGTACCTTTTCATGGATATGGCAATAAAACCATAGTCTGGAACAAAATATTTTATTACAGACATGTTCATGCTGTACTCTACAAAGAGGAGACAGTGAAAATCTAACAGTGTTATAAACAAAGATATCTTAATAGTCATGTAGAGAAGTGGAAATACATTTTAAAAAGCACTATTTTTTCAATCTAAATATTAGTTTTAGATCCTTCAAATAAACTAAATCATATCTAAATAATAGAGATTCTATATTGCATTTATAAAAGCCTAAAGCATTTTTTTGAAGTTTTTTAATAACCTTATGTAATATTCAATGAATACTAAACTGAAAATATCATGTTGACTGTTATTAATTAAAATAAATTTTATACAGAGGCACTCCTATATGTTCAAATCTCATTCAAACTTACCAATCATTTTCTTTTCATATGTGAAATAGGTACTGCCGATGATTATTAATGTGGTTATTTTAATGAAATTAAACAATCCCTTTTTTTCTCTTAGCTTGTTTCTTCTCTAACTGAGTCAGCTCAGGAAAATGTGTTTCTCATGTAAAATATTTCACAGTCAATAAACACTTATAAAATTTAAGATCATGGATATAAGTATTATTTTATGAAGAGTCTTCTTCATCTAAAAACTGTGATTAAGATTTCAGACAATTTTTTAATTAATAATCACTACACATATTTTGTCATTGTTGGCTTTATTTCAAGGTGCTTTTTTTTTCTTATATACTTAGTTATGGTTGTGTGAAGCACACTGCCAATGAGCAATTATTTGTGGCATTTTCCTAAGTACTAAGATGATGGTTCCTTGTTTGGAATGAGTTGGTTGAAAAATAATTTAAAAATAAAATGAAAAGTAATATGAACGGTACGAAGAGCAATATGATAGAATAGAAGACTCTACCATTTATTTCCCTCTGCAAGGAAACCAATTTAATGACTATCTACAAAAATAAAAATAAATAAATAAATAAATAAATAAAGGACCTTCATAAGGACCAAAAATCAGGTGAGTGCTCACAGTACCTGGCTTTAACATTATATTGCTGAAAGAGGCACTTAAGAGGTAGGAAAAACAGTCTTGAATCCACAACTTTATCCCTTCCCTATCCTGTGGTAGCAGCAACTTGGTGCAGAGAGGCTTTCTGTGTACAGAGGAGAGGAAGAGACCAGCAATTGTGAGGCATTGAACTAAGTGCTACCCTATCATACCAGAAAGAAAAACTGGAACAAACTCATCTGAGACTCATGCAGAGAGGAAGCATTTAAATCAGCCTTAGCCATTGAGGAAGCAGCATTTCCAAAAGTCTGAACTTGAGTTCACACAAGCATGGCCACTGTGGGCTAAAGTGATCTGGGGCCTAAAATAAACTTGAAAGGCAGTCTAGGTCACAAGGACTGCATCTTCTCGGCTAGCCGTAGTGCTGAACTGGACACAGCACCAGCAGACAAGGGGCACATGACCTACCTGAGACACCAGACCAGATAGCTAAGTGGGTGCAGTTATCACCCTTCCCCATACATTAGGCAGCACAGCTCACAGCTATAAAATAGACCCCTTCTTTCCACTTGAGGAAAGGAGAGAAAAGAATGGGGAAGAGTCTGTCTTACATCTTGGATCCCAGCTCAGCCACAGCAGGAATAAGGCTGAACAGAGTTGTGAGACCATGGTTCCAGGCCCTAGCTCAAGGATTACATTTCTAGACACACATAGGGAGCAAAAGGAAGCCATTGCCTTGAAGGTAAATAACCAAACCCAGTAGACTTCAACACCTGGTAATAAAGAGCCCTTGGGCTCTGAAAGTGGATGGAATAGTAAAGGGGACTTAATTTTGCACCTTAGGTACCAGCTTGATCAAAGGGGTAAAGCACCAAGTGGACTCTTGGGGTCACTGATTTCAGGTGTTGGCTCTTGGATGGCATTCCTGGACCTGCCCATAGCCAGAGGGAAGCCCACCGCTTTGAAGGGTGAGTCCCAAGCTAGGCAATATTAACCATGAGCTGAATGAAGAGCCCTAGGATCTTAAGGGAACATTGGTGGTTTTCTGGCAGTACTCCCTGTGTGCCTGTGGTGACGGTAACAACAAAGTGAGCCTCGTCTGCCTTTGGAAAGGGTAGGGGAGAGTGGGAAGGATTTTGACTTGTGATTTCAGTGCCAGATCAGCCACAGTACAGTACAACAGATAGAAATCGAAGGTTTTGGACTCTAATCCCTGGATCCTGGATGGCACCTTTGGAAACACCTGGGGCCTGGTGTGGCTGGACACAGGTCTGGCTGGCTTTGACACCTGCTGATTATAGAGCCCCAGGTCTTTGAGAGGACATAAGTGGTGACCAGTGTGTGACTACAAGAGGACTTGTGTGAGACACAGTGCTGTGGTGGAATCAGGACTCACCAAGCATGGTCCTAGTGGTTGTAGTCACAAGGGTGCTTGTATGGCTTGACTGTCAGATTTAGGAGGTACAGAACAGACAGAAAGAGACTCTGGATGTTTGTGAGAAAGTAACGGAAAATAATGAGTCTCTGCCTGGGTAATCCAAAGAATTCTTCTGGACCTTGTCCAAGACCATCAATGTGGAACCTCTACAAGTCTGCAAGAACAAAAGTGTTACTGGACTTGGGGTGCCCTCTAAAGAAGATACAGCTTCGATTACAAGACCAAAATGTTTTCAAATATCTGGAAAGTCTTCCCAAGATGGAACAGTACAAACCAGTCCAGAATGTGAAGACTACAATCAACACCTAACTTTTCTATGCCCAGACACAAATAAACATCAACAAGTACCAAAGCAATCCAGGAAAGCATTACCTCATTAAAAGATCTAAATAAGGCATCAGGGACTAATCCTGGAGAAACAGAGATATGAGATCTTTCAAACAGAAAATTTCAAATAGCTGTTTGATGAAACTCAAAGAAACTCAAAATAACACAGAGAAAGAATTCAAAATTTCATCAGATAAATTTAACAAAGATAATAAAATAATTAAAAATAATTTAGCAAAAAATGCTGGAGTGGAAAAATGCAAGTGGCATACTGAAAGATGCATCAGAGTCCTTTAAAAGCAGAATTGATCAAGCAGAAGAATGAATTAGTAAGTTTGAAGACAGGCTATTTGAAAACAAACAGTCAGAGGAAACGAAGGAAAAAAGAATAAATAAAATAAAGAATGCTCACGGAAAACTAGAAATAGCCTCAAAAGAACAAGTCTAACAGTTAATAACCTCAAAGTGTAGGTAGAGAAAGACATAAGGGTAATAAGTTTATTCAAAGGGATAACAGCGGAGAACTTTCCAAACATAGATAAATATGTTAAAATCCAAGTAAAAGAAGGCTATAGAACACCAAGCAAATTTAAACTTCCCAAATGTGGAAAATATGTTAAAATCCAAGTAAAATAAGGCTATAGAATACCAAGCAAATTTAATTCAAAGAAAACTACCTCAAGGCATTTAACAATCAAACTCCCAAAAGTCAAGAATAAAGAAAGGATCCTAAAAGCAGCAACAGAAAAGAAACAAATAGCATACAATGGAGTACCAAAACTTCTGGCAGCAGATGTTTCAATGGAAGCCTTACAGGACAGGAGAGAGTAGCATGACATATTTAAAGTGCTTGAGCAAAAGAGCAAAAAGTAAGCCTTTTACCCTAGAATCATATATCCAGAGAATTAATCTTTCAAACATGAAGGTGAAATAAAGACTTTCCCAAGCAAACAAAAGAAATTTCATCAACACCAGACCCGTCCTACAATAAGCACTAAAAAGATTACTTTCATCAGAAAAAAAATGAATTGTAATGAACAAAAAGAAAACATCTGAAGGTTAAAAAAAAAGTCCCTGGTAATAGTAACCACAAAGTAAGAAACAGAATATTATAACACTGTAATTCTCGTAAGTAAAATACTCTTATGCAAAAAGACTAAATGATGAACCAATCAAAACGCCTGTAATACCAGCACTTTGAGAGGCTGAGGTGGGTGGATCACTTGAGGTCAGGAGTTCAAGACCAGCCAAGCCAACACGGTGAAACTCTGTCTCTACTAAAAACACAAAAAATTAGCCAGGGGTGGTGGTGGATGCCCATAATCCCAGCTACTCAGGAGGCTGAGGTAGGAGAATTGCTTAAACTTGGAAGGTGGAGGTTGCAGTGAGCTAGGATCATGCCACTGCACCCTGGCCTGGGTGACAGAGTGAGAATCCATCTCAAAAAAATAAAAGTATTAATAATAATAACTATAACAATTTTTCAGGACATAGGCAATGAAATAAGGTATAAATAGTAACAACAAAAAGTGAAAAAGTGGCAGGATACAATTAAGGCATAGGGTTTTTACTAGTTTTATTTTTGCTGTTTGTTGCTTGTTTATGAAAACAGTGTTAAGTCATTATCAGCTTAAAATAATGGGTTATAAGATAGTGTTTCCAAGACTCATAATAATGTCACATCAAAACACAAACGAATACACAGAAAATAGAAAGCAATAAGTTAAGTCACACCACCAAATAAAATCAAATTCATTAAAAGGAGGACAAGAAGGAAAGAAACAAGAAAGAGAACACCACAAAAGAGGAAGACAAATCAGAAAATGGGAAGAGTAAGTCCTTATTAATCAACAATAACATTGATATGGTTTGGCTGTGTCCCCACCCAAATCTCACCTTGATTTGTAGCTCCCATAATTCCCATGTGTTGCAGGAGGGACCCGATGGGAGATAATTGAATCATAAGGGTGGTTTTCCCAATACTGTTCTCATGGCAGTGAATAAGTTGTACAAGGTCTAATGGTTTTATAAGAGGTTTCCCCTTTCACTTGACTCTCATTCTCTCTCACCTGCTGCCATGTAAAATGTCCCTTGGCTATTCTTTCATCTGCCACCATGATTGTGAGGCCTCCCCAGCCACGTGGAACTGTGAATCTATTAAACCTCTTTCCTTTATACATTACCCAGTCTCAAATGTCTTTATTAGCAGTGTAATAACTGACTAATACAGTAAATTGGTACTGGTAGAGTTGGGTGCTGCTGTAAAGATACCTGAAAATGTCAAAGCAACTTTGGAACTGGGTAACAGGCAGAGGTTGGAACAGTTAGGAGGACTCAGAAAGAGACAAGAAGGTGTGGGAAAGTTTAGAACTTTCTAGAGACTGTTCAGTGGCTTTGACCAAAATGCTGATAGTGATATGGACAATGAAGTCGAGGCTGAGGTGGTCTCAGATGGGTATGAGGAACTTGTTGGGAAATGGAGCAAAAGTCGCTTTTGCTATGCTTTAGCAAAGAGACTGGCAGCATTTTGCTTCTGCCCCAAAGATCTATGGAACTTTGAACTTGAAGGAGATGATTTAGGGCATCTGGCAAAAGAAATTTCTAAGTTGCAAAGCATTCAAGATGTGACTTGGATACTGTTAAAAGCATTTAGTTTTATACATTGACAAAGATATGGCTTGGAATTGGAACTTATGTTTAAAACGGAAGCAGAGCATAAAAGTTTGGAAAATTTGCAGCCTGATGATGGATTAGAAAAGAAAAACCCATTTTCTGAGGAAAAATTCAAATCAGCTGCATAAATTTGCATAAATAATGAGGAGCCAAATGTTTATCACTAAGACAATGGGGAAAATGTCTCCAGGGCATTTCAAAGGTCTTTCATCAGCCCCTCCCATCACAAGCCTGGAGGCATAAGAGGGAAAAATGGCTTCCAAGGCCAGGCTAGGGCCTTGCTGCATTCTGGAGTCTCAGGATTTGGTGCCCTGTGTCCCACCTATGGATAAAAAGGGGCCAACATAGAGCTCAGGCTGTTGCTTCAGAGAATGCAGACCCAAAGCCTTAGTGGCTTACACATGGTGTTGGGCCTGGAGGTAGACAGAAGTCAAAAACTGAGGTTTGAGAACCTCCATCTAGATTTCAGAAAATGTATGAACATGGCTAAATGTCCAGGCAGAAGTTTGCTGCAGAGGTGGGGCCCTCATGAAGAACCTTTGCTAGGGCAGTGCAAAAGGGAAATGTGGGGTTTAAGTCCCCACACAGAGTCCCCACTGGGGCACTGCATAGTTGAGCTGTGAGAAGAGGGCCACCGTCCTCCAGGCCCCAGAATGATAGATCCATCAACAGCTTGCATGCACTGTGTGCCTGGAAAAGCCAAAGACACTCAACACCAGCCTGGCAGAGTTGCTCAAGACCACGGGAACCCACCTCTTGCATTACTGTGACCTGGGTGAGAGACAGAGTCAAAGGAGATCATTTTGGTGCTTTAAAATTTGACTGCCCCACTGGATTTCAGAATTGCATGGGGCCTGTAGCCTCTTCGCCTTGCCAAATTTCTCCCATTTGTAATGAGTGTATTTACCCAATGCCTGTACTCCCATTTTATCTAGGAAGTAACTAAATTGCTTTTGATTTTACAGGCTCATAGGTGGAAGGGACTTGCTTCATCTTAGATGAAACTTTGGACTGTGGACTTTTGGGTTAATGCTGAAATGAATTAAGACTTTGAGGAACTGTTGAAAAGACATGACTGGTTTTGAAATGTGAGGACATGAGATGTGGGAGGGGCCAGGGGTGGAATGATACAGTTTGGTTCTGTCCCCACTGAAATCTTATCTTGAATTTTAGCTCCCATAATTCACATGTGTTGTGGGAGGGAACCAGTGGTAGATAAATGAATCATGGGGTACTTTACCCCATTCTGTTCTTGTGGTAATGAATAAGTCTCACAAGCTCTGATGGTTTTATAAGGGGTTTCCCCTTTTGGTTGGCTCTCATTCTCTTTTGCCTGCTGCCATGTAAAATGTCCCTTTCCTCTTCCTTTGTCTGCTGCCATGATTGTAAGGCCTCCCCAGCCATATGGAACTTTTGAGTCCATTAAACTTCTTTCCTTTGTAAATTACCCAGTCTCTGGTATGTCTTTATTAGCAGCATGAGAACAGACTAATAAAAACATTGAATGTAAATGGACTAAAGTATCCAATCAAAAGATACAGACTGGATTGACTGATGAACAAACAAGACCCATTGATCTCTTGTCTACAAGAAACATACCTCACATTCAAAGACACACCTAGATTGATAATAAAAGATGGAAAAACAAATTCCATGCCAAATGGACACACAGAAAAGAGCAGGAGTAGCTGTACTTATATTAGTCAAAACTGATTTCAAAATAAAAATATAAGAGACAAAGAAAGTCACTATGTAATTATTAGAGGGTCAAATCAGCAAGATGACACAACAATGTTAAATATATATACCCTCATCACAGGAGCACTCAGGTATAGAAAACAAATATTATTAGAGCTAAAGAGAGAGATAAACTCCAATACAATAATAACTGAAGACTTCAACACCCCACGTCTGTCTTCTAGACAGAAAATCAACAGAGTAACATTAGACTTAATCTGCACTACTGACCAAATAGACTTAATAGATATTTACAGAACATTTCATTCAAGAGCTGCAGAATACACATTATTTTCTTCCACACATAGATTATTCTCAAGGATAGACGATGTATTAGGTCATAAAACAAGTCTTAAAACATTCAAAAAGTTGAAGTAATAGCAAGCATCTCCTCTAACCACAATGAAATAAAACTAGGAATCAATAATAAGAGAAATATAGAAAACTATAGAAATACATGGAAATTAAATGACAAGCTCCTGAAGCACCAGAGGGTCAACGAAGCAATTAATAAGAAAATTGAGAAACTCCTCAAAACAAGTTACAAAGAAAACACAACATACCAAAACCTATGGGATATAGCCAAATCAGTACTAAGAGGGAAGTTTATAGCTTTAAGTGCCTACATCAAAAAAGAAAAAAAAAACAAATAACCTAAAGATGAATTTTAAAGCACAAGAAAAGCAATAGGAAATTAAACCCAAACTTAATAGAAGAAAAGAAATAATAAATATCAAAGGAGAAATAAATGAAATTAAAATGAAGAAAACAGTACGAAAGATCAATGAAACAAAAAGTTAAACAAGACTGACAAAATTTAGCCAGACTAAGAAAAAAAGAAGAGAGAAGACACATACAAAAAATCTGAAATGGACAAAGAGACACTACAACTGATACTGCAGAAATTCATTAGAATCATTAGGGCTACCATGAGCTAGTATATGCCAATCAATTGGAAAATCTGGAAGAAATGAAAAAATCCTGGTCACATACAATGTACCAAGATTGAACCATGAAAAAATAAAAACCATGAGTACACCAATAGAAGGTGATGAGATCAAAGCTGTAATAAAAAGTCTCCCAGTAAAGAAACCCCAGGACCTGATGCCTTCACTGCTGGATTCTACCGAACATTTAAAGAAGAACTAATACCAGTCCTACTGAAACCATTCCAAAAAATGGAGGAGGAAATTTTTCCAGACTTATTGTATGAAGCCAGTATTACCCTGATGCCAAAACCAGACAAAGACACATCACAAAAGAAAACTACAGGCGAATATCTCTGATGCATACTGATGCAGAAATCCTAAATAAAATACTAGCAAATCAAATTCAACAATACATTAGAAAAGATCACTCTTTATCACAAAATCCAGGTTGAAGTTAGTTTTGGAAAAGCATTTGTCACATTAGATTACTGCTGTCCAAGTGTTTTTCCATATTTCTTTTATAAAGTGTTAGTGCATATTTTTTCTAAATGGTAAGAAACCATGTGAACATGAGTGCAACAGTAAAATATTTGAGAAACATTCTTTCCATTTTCTCTGCCACGTAGGTCTTTGAAAAAAAAGCAGCTGGAGATGGTAAGAAACTGTACAAAACAACTTTCTAGGGGAAAAATGTCAAATAGGAGGCAGGACTAACTTGCGGCTCCCACTTGGACATACAGAACAGCATGTGGAGACCCACGTAATGAAATTTTGCTTTTAAGAACTATCACAGGAACTTACCAGGAAAACTGAGAGAATTCACAGACCCTGTGAAGGAGGTGGATTGCTGCTGCATGCTCCATGGGACAGCGGAGGAACTGTGAGTCAACTTGCTTTCCCAGCTGAGAGTCTTGTAGCCTGGGACAAGTTTTCAGTCCTGCTCACCAGCTGTCTAGAAATAAACTTGGTGCTGTTGTGGGGGCACTGTGGGAGTGAGACCAGCCTTTAGAACTGCAGGCTGCATGGGGGCTGGGTGAGGCCTGTGGCTACCAGCTTTCCCTCACTTCCCTGGTAACCTGTGTGATACAGCAGAGATACCCAAAATCCCCCTGGGAAATGTAATTCCATTGGCCTGGGAACCCCACCTCCATCCCCCACAGTAGCCACAGCAAGTCTCACCCAAAGAGAGTCTGAACTCAAACACACCTAACCCTTCCCCCACCCGATGGTCTTTTTCTACCAATCCTGGTAACTGAATACAAAGGTCATAATCTCTTGGGAGTTCTATGGCCCTGCCCATGGCCTGAGAAATGTGAATACTTATCCAAATGTGAGTCTAGGACAAGCTTGTATCCTATCCATACAACTGATGTACTCTTGAAAGTGCCACCTCCTGACTGGAAGCAACCCAACACAAAGCCAGTGCACTTAAGAAAAATACAACCAAGGACTCTCACAGAGTCCACTTCACTCTCCTGCTACCTCCACCAGAGTAGGTGCTAGTATCCACAGCTGAGAGACATGAAGACAAATCACATCACAGGACACTTTACACACACTCCCCAGTACCCGCGTGGAGCTTAGTAGCTCTGCTGGTGTTACCAGGGGTGGTCCTTGCTCCCAGAGCTCCCAAGATGGTGGCAGGCCACTTCCAAAATGGCGGTTGGTCACTTCCAAGATGGTGGCAAGCCTCCTGTTCTCTGACCTGGGATTCTTGGCCTCACGAATTCCAAGAAATGGAATCCTGGGCCATGCACTGAGTGTTATGGCTCTATTAGAAGCCATGGGTCACGGAAGAGAACCGTGGAACCCAGTGACTAGTGTTCAGCTTGATTAGGATGAACCCGGGCACTTAGCGTGCAGGAACAATGGCAAGACTTTAGCCTGATCAGGAGCGGCAATGGGCGCATCACTGGATCAGGAGCACAGCAGACACCCTGCCGGATCCGGAGGGATGGAAGTCAGCGGTGGGTCTACAATGGCGGGAAATGGCAGTAGTGGACGGCGAGCAAAAGCTCAGCTCAAGCCGTAACACAGACCAGAAGAGAGTGCAGTTGCAAGATTTAATAGAGTGAAAACAGAGCTCCCATACAAAGGGAGGGGACCCAAAGAGGGTTGCCGTTGCCAGCTCGAATGCCTGGGTTTATATCCCGATCATTGTCCCTCCCACTGTGCTCTCAGGCAATAGATGATTGGCTATTTCTTTACCTCCTGTTTTTGCCTAATTAGCATTTTAGTGAGCTCTCTTTACTATCTGATTGGTTGGGTGTGAGCTAAGTTGCAAGCTCCGTGTTTAAAGGTGGAAGTGGTCACCTTTCCAGCTAGGCTTAGGGATTCTTAGCTGGCCTAGGAAATCCAGCTAGTCCTGTCTCTCACTGGGTCACCAGCAATGTATCCAAACCAAGACAAAATCTGTGAATTGCCAGAAAAAGCATCCAGGAGGTTGATTATTAAGCCAATCAAGGAGTCACTAGAGAAAGGTGAAGTCCAACTTAAAAAATATTTTTTTAAATGACACAGTATATGAATGTAAAAATATTCAGTGAAATAGATAAAATGAATAAAATCAATCACAACTTCTGGAAATCGAGGACACTCATAGAGACGCAAAATGCACTGGAAAGTCTCAGCAATAGACGTGAACAAGCAGAAGACAGAACTTAAGAACTCAAAGACAAGGCTTTCCAATTAACCCAATCTGACAAAGACAAACAAATTTTAAAAAATGGACAAAGCCTCCAAAAAGTTCTGGATTATGTTAAATGACCAAACCTAAGAATATTTGGTGTTCCTGAAGAATAAAAGAAATCTAAAAGTTTGAATAACATATTGGAGGGAATAATCAAGAAAAACTTCCCCAGGAGGCTAGAGAGCTAGACATTCAAATACAAGAAGCTGAAAGAACACCTGGGATAGGCATTGCAAAGAAATCATCACCTAGGCAAATAGTCATCAGGTTATCTAGAGTTAAGATGAAAGAAAGAATCTTAAGAGCTGTGAGGCAAAAACATCAGGTAACCTATAAAGGAAAATGTATCTGATTAATTGAAGATTTCTCAGCAGAAACCCTACAAGCTAGAAGGGACTGGGGTCCTATCTTTAGCTTCCTGAAGCAAAACAATTATCAGCCAAGAATTTTGTATACAGTGAAACTAAGCTTCATAGATGAAGGAAAGATACAGTCTTTTTCAGATAAACAAATGCTGAGAGAATTTGCTACTACAAATCCAGCACTACAAGAACTGCTTAAAGGCGCTGTAAATCTTGGAACAAATCCTCAAAATACACCAAAGTAGGATCTCCTTAAAGCTAACTCTCACAGGATCTATAAAACAATAACACAGTGAATTAAAAAAAACAAGGTATTCAGGCAACAAACAGCGTGATGAACAGAATAGTACCTCACATCTCAATAATAACATTGAATACAAAGGCCTAAATACTTCACTTAAAACATACAGAATGGCAGAATGGATAAGAACTCACCAACCAAATATCTGCTGTCTTCAAGAGACTCACCTGACACATAAGGACTCACATAAACTTAAGGTAAAGGGGTGGAAAAAGACATTCCATGCAAATAGACACCAAAAGCGAGCAGGAGTAGCTAATCTTACATCAGACAAAACAGACTTTAAAGCAACAACAGTAAAAAAAAGACAAAGAAGAACATTATATAATTATAGGAGGATTAGTCCAAGAGGAAGGTATCACAATTCTAAATTTATATGCACCTAACACTGGTGCTCCCAAATTTATTAAAAAATTACTACTATTCCTAAGAAATGAGATAGACAACACAGTAATAGTGGGGGACTTCAATACTCCACTTACAGCACTAGACAGGTAATCGAGACAGAAAGTCAACAAAGAAACAATGCACTTAAACTATACCCTAGAACAAATGTATATATGGATACTTATAGAACATTCTACCCAACAACTACAGAATATACATTCTATTCATAACCACATGGAGCAATCTAGAAGATAGACCATATGATAAGCCACAAAACAAGTCTCAACAAATTTAAGAAATTAGAAATTATATAAAGTACCCTCTCAAAGCACAGGGGAAGAAAATTGGGAATCAACTCCAAAAGGAACTCTCAAAATCATGCAAATATATGGAAATTAAATAATGTGCTCCAGAATGATTGTTGGATCAACAATGAAATCAAGATGGAAATTAAAACATTCTTTGAACTGAACAATAAAAAGGGACAAAACCGTTGAAACCCTCTGGGATACAGCAAAAGTGGTGCTAAGAGGAAAGCTCATAACATTAAATGCCTATATCAAAAAGTATGAAAGAGCACAAATAGACAATCTAAGATTACACCTCAAGGAACTAGAGAAACAAAAACAAATCAAACCTAAATCCAGCAGAGGAAAAGAAATAACCAAGATCAGAACAGAACTAAATAAAACGTAATCAACAACAACAACAAAAAATACAAAAGAAATGAAACAAAAAGCTGGTTCTTCGAAAAGATAAATAAAATGATAGCCCTTTAGTGAGATTAACCAAGAAAAGAAGAGATAAGAGCCAAATAAGTTCAATTAGAAATGAAATGGTAGATATTAAAACCAATACCACAGAAATACAAAAGATCATTCAAGGCTACTATGAACAACTTTATGCACATAAACTGGAAAACCTAGAGGAGATGGATAAATTCCTGGAAATATAAAACCCTCCTAGATTAAGCCAGGAATAAATGGAATCTCTGAACGCATCAAAAACAAATAGCAAGATTGAAATGGTAATTCAAAACTTACCAACAAAAAAAAGTCCAAGACCAGACAGATTCACAGCTGAATTCTATCAGATATTCAAAGAATTGGTACCAATCCTATTTATACTATTCCAAGATAGAGAAAGAGGAAATCTTTCCTAAATCATATAATGAAGCCAGTATCACCCTAATACCAAAACCAGGAAAGGACATAACAGAAAAAGAAAACTACAGACCAATGTGCCTGATGAACATAGATGCAAAAATCCTCAACAAAATATTGGCTAACAGAATCCAACAGTATCAAAAAGATAATACACCATGATGAAGTGAGTTTCATACCAGGGATGCAGGAATGGTTCAACATCTGCAAGTCAATAAATGTGATACACCACATAAACAGAAATATAAACAAAAAATCACATGATCATCTAAATAGATGCAGTAAAAGCATTTGACAAAATCCAGCATATCTTTATCATTAAAACCCTCAGCAAATTAGGCATAGAAGGGACATACTTTAAGGTAATAAAAGCATCTGGCTGGGTGCCAGTGCCTCACACCTGTAATCCCAGCACTTTGGGAGGCTGAGGCAGGTGGATAACTTGAGGTCAGGAGAAGTTCGAGTCCAGCCTGGCCAACATGGCAAAACCCCATCTGTACTAAAAATACAAAAAATGACCAGGTGTGGTGTTGCATGCCTATACTCCCAGATACTCAGGAGGCTGAGGAAGAGAATTCCCTGAACCCAGGAGGTGGAATTTGTAGTTAGCCAAGATTGCACCGCTGCACTCCAGCCTGGGCAACAGAGTAACAGAGTGAGGCTCCATCTCAAAAAAAAAAAAAAAGAAAGAAAAAGAAAAAAAATAAAGCAAGCAAGCCATCTATGACAAACCCACAGCCAACAATATACTGAATGGGGAAATGCTGAAAGCATTCCCCTGAGAACTGGAACAAAACAAGGGTGCCCACTTTTACCACTTACATTTAACATAGTACTGGAAGTCATAGCCAGAGCAATCAGACAAGAGAAAGAAATAAAGGGCATCCAAATTGGTAATAAGGAAGTCAAACTGTTGGTCGCTGTTTGTTATGGCATAATCATATACCTGGAAAACCATGAAGACACATTCAAAAAGCTTCCAGAACTGGTGATTGAATTCAACAAAGTTTCAGGATACAAAATTAATGTACACAAATCAGTAGCTCTGCTAACACAAACAGTGACCAAGCTAAGAATCAAATTGAGAAATCTATCCCCTTTACAATAGCTACAATAAAATAAAATACTTAGGAATATACCTAACCAAGGAGGTGAAAGACCTCTACAAAGAAAACTACAAAACACTGCTGAAATAAATCATAGATGACACAAACAAATGGAAACACATCCCCTGCTCATAATTGGGTAGAATCAATATTGTGAAAATGACCACACTGACAAAAGCAATCTACAAATTCAATGCAATTCCCATCAAAATACCACCATCATTCTTTACAGAACTAGAGAAAAAATTCCTAAAATTCATATGGAACCAAAAAAATTTCACATACCAAAAGCAAAACTAAGCAAAAAGAACAAATATGGAGGCATTACATTATCCAACTTCAAACTATAATATAAGGCCACAGTCACCAAAACAGCATGGTACTGGTATAAAAATATGCATCTACACCAATGGAACAGAATAGAGAACCCAGAAATAAAGCCAAGTACTTACAGTCAACTGATCTTCGACAAAGCAAACAAAAACATAAAGTGGGGAAAGAACACTCTATTCAACAAACAGTGCTGGGATAATTGGCAAGGCACATGTAGAAGAATGAAACTGAATCCTTATCTCTCACTGTATATAAAAATCAATTCAATATGGATGAAAGAATTAAATATAAGACGTGTAACCATAAAAATTATAAAAGATAGCATTGGAATAAATCTTTTAGACATCAGCTTAGGCAAAGATTTTATGACCAAGAACCCAAAAGCAAATGCAACAAAAGTGAAGACAAATTGATGGAACTTAATTAAGCTAAAAAGCTTCTGCACATTCAAAGAAATAATCATTAGAGTAAACAGACAACCTACAGAGTGGGACAAAGTCTTTGCAATCTATACATCCAACAAAGGACTAATACCCAGAAACTACAAGGAACTCAAACAAATCATCAAGAACAAAACAATCCCATCAAAAAGTGTGCTAAGGACATAAATAGACAATTATCAAAAGAAGATACACAAACGGTCAACAAACTTATGAAAAAATGTTCAGCATCACTAATGATCAGGGAACTGCAAATCAAAGAATGGCCATAATCAAAAAATAATAGATGTTGGTGTCGATAAGGTGAAAAGGGAACACTTTTACACTGCTGAAGGGAATGTAAACTAGTACAACCACTATGGAAAAGAGTCTGGAGATTCCTTAAAGAACGAAAAGCACAACTATCATTTTGTCTAGCAATCCCACTACTGGGAATCTACCCAGAGGAAAAGAAGTCGTTATACAAAAAAGGTACTTGCACATGCATGTTTATAGCAGCACAGTTTGCAATTGCAAAAATATGGAGCCAGCCCAAATGTCCTTCAATCATTGAGTGGATAAAGAATATGTGGCACACACACACACACACACACACACACACACACACACACACACAAATACACACCATGGAATACTTTTCAGCCATAAAAAGGAACAGAGTAATGGGATTTGCGGCAACCTGGATTGAATTCAAGACCATTATTCTAAGTGAACTAATTTGGGAACGGAAAACCAAACATTGTAGGTTCGCACTCATAAGTGGGAGCTATGCACTTTGTAGACTCAGGGGAAAGGGAGGGAGTAGGGTGAGGGATAAAAGACAACATATTGTTTACAGTGTACACTGCTTGGGTGATGGGTGCACCAAAATCTCAGAAATCACCACTAAAGAACTTATTCATGTAACCAAACACAATGTGTTCCCCAAAAACCTATTGAAATAAAAAACATTAAAAATAAATTATACAAAACAATCTTGTTGAACTATTTATAACCTCACATTTTCCAAAGGTATATGACTTGCATACACATTTCTATGGTACACATTAATACTGTCTGAGAAAAATATTCAATAGAACAACATTTTCAGAAATATTTCAGTTTAGTCCTTAACTAACTTTTCATTAAAATTTCCTTATATAGGCCGGGCGCGGTGGCTCACGCCTGTAATCCCAGTACTTTGGGAGGCCGAGGTGGACGGATCACGAGGTCAGGAGATCGAGACCATCCTGGCTAACACGGTGAAACCCCGTCTCTACTAAAAATACAAAAAATTAGCCGGGCGTGGTAGCGGGCGCCTGTAGTCCCAGCTACTCGGGAGGCTGAGGCAGGAGAATGGCGTGAACCCGGGAGGCGGAGCTTGCAGTGAGCCGAGATCGCGCCACTGCACTCCAGCCTGGGCGACAGAGCGAGACTCCGTCTCAAAAAAAAAAAAAAAAAAAAATAGAAAAAATTATAGCCAGGCTTGGTGGTGAGTGCCTGTAG
The DNA here is from genome assembly GCF_000001405.40 of Homo sapiens. Taxonomy (NCBI): domain Eukaryota; kingdom Metazoa; phylum Chordata; class Mammalia; order Primates; family Hominidae; genus Homo; species Homo sapiens. Next base: position 127,822,890 of record NC_000023.11, read on the forward strand.
TCCCAGCTACTCGGGAGGCTGAGGCAGGAGAATGGCGTGAGTCCGGGAGGCAGAGCTTGCAGTGAGCCAAGATTGTGCCACTGCACTCCAGCCTGGGTGACAGAGCAAGACTCCATCTAAAAAAAAAAACATTTCCCTATATAAATGAATAAATATCTAGGAACACATAAATTACTAAAACCGACTCAGGAAGCAAGAGAGAATCTTAACAGAACTATAAGAAATAAAGTAGTTGAATTGGTAATCAGAAATCCCTGAACAGTCTAAAACCAGATTGCTACTCAGGTGAATTTTATAAATTATTTAAAGAAGAATAGACATCATTTCTTCTCAAATGTTTCCAAAAATAAAAGAGGAAGAAACACTTCCTAACATATTCTATAATATCAGCATTACCCTGATACTAAAACAAAACTTAAAAAATTCACAAGAAAACTTCAGAAAATGTCCATTATCAATACAGATGAAAAAATCTTACACAAAATAATAAAATGATTCCAATAGCATATTGAAAGATTATACACCATGACCAATTGGGATTTATACTGGAAATGCAAGGGTGGTTCAACATGAGAAAAGTAGTCAATATGATGTACAACATTAATAGAATGAAAGAAAAAATCATCTCTATGCAGAAAAATATATTTGACAAAATATAACATTTTTTAATAAAAACATTCAGAAAACTAGAAATAGAATCATCTTCAACATGATAAAGGGCATTCATAAAAACCTCACAGCTAACATCAAGCCTAAGAGTAAAACACTGAAAACTTTCCACCTATGATAAAGAATGAGACAAGTATGCCTGCTTTCACAACTGCCATTCAATATTTTGCTGGGAGTTCTACCTAGATAAATCAAGCAAGAAGACTAATAAAACACATGCAAATTGAAAAGTAATGATAAAACTATCCCCATTCCCAGATTACTCGATCTTATATATAGAAACTCCCAAATAATCCATATAAAATCTAGTAGAGCTACAAAATAAATTCAGCAAGGTTTCAGGCTAATGATATTAACACACAAAACTCAGTGGTGTTTCTACCAAGCATGGTCTGCAAAGGAAATTAACAAAGCAATTTCACTGAAAATAGCATGCAAAAATAGAAAGTTAATTAGGAAAAAATCATCCAAGGAGGTTGATATGGTTTGGATTTGTGTCCTCACCAAATCTAATGTTGAATTGTAATCCCCAATATTGGAGGTACAGCTCATACTGTGGATGATTCATACTGTGGATGATTGAATCATATGTGTGGTTTCTAATGAATGGTTTAGTGCCATCCCCTCGGCCGTATTCTCATGATAGTGAGTTCTCTCGAGATCTGGTTGTGTAAAAGTGTGTGGCACCTTCCCCTGTTCTTCTCTCTTGCTCCTGCTCTGACCATATGAAGTGTCTGCTCCCCCTTCGGCTTCCACCGTGATTGTAAGTTTCCTGAGGCCTCCCCATAAGCAAAGCAGATGCCAGCATCATGTTTCCTGTACAGACTGCAGAATCGTGAGCCAATTAGACCTCTTTTTTTTTCCCGTAAATTAGCCAGTCTTAGGTGTAATATTCAGTAATGCAAGAACAGACTAATACAGAGGTAAAATATTTGCACACTGAAAACTACAAAACATTGCTGAAAAAATTATATAACACCTAAATAAGTAGAAGGACATCTGGTGTTCATGTATTGGAAGGCATAATGTCCGTAAGATGTCAATACTATCCCAAGTGATATACACAACAAATGTGACCTCTATAAGAATTCCAATGGGCTTCTTTTCAAAAAATGGAAAACCCTATCCTTAAATTATACATATATATACATATGTTTATAATATTATATGTAATATACATATATATAACATATATGTGATATGAGATATATGATTGCAAGGGGCCTCAAATAGCCAAAATAACCTGGAAAAAGAACACAACAGAAAGGCTTACAATACCTGATTTAAAAACTTATGAAAAAGCTTGAACAATCAAAGTAATGTAGTATTAGCTTGACCCCTTCAACAAATCATTCTGTGACAAATGGACAACCAAATGCATAAAAAGGTGGTATGCTATCTCACACCATAAACAAAATTATCTTAAAATGGATACACATGCTAAAGTAAACCATAAAATGCTTATGAGGAAACATAGGGGTAAGTCTTTATGTCTTTGAATTTGGCAATAAATTTCAAATAAGACACTAAAATTACTATCAATAAAATAAAAAACTTAGATAAATTAGATTTCATCAAACACTTAAAGTACATCAAAAACACTGTTAAGAAAGTGAAAAAATATCCAACAGAGTGCGATAAAATATTTGCTAACCAAATATGTGATAAGGATATCATATTCAGAATATATAAAAATGTATCACAGCTCAGCAACAAAAAGACAAACACCCAATTATAAAAATTGGCAGAGAGTTTCAGTAGACATTTCTCCAAGGAGGATATACAAATGACCAGCAAGCACATAGAAAGGTGCTCAACATTGTTAGTCATTAGGACAATGCATATCAAAACCATAGTGAAGTGTCACTTCACACTCACTGGATTAGATATATTACAAAAGAAAAAAATGTATTGACAAGAATGTGAAAAAATTAGAAATATCATACACACCCAGTGTGAATGTAAAATGGTTCACTCTATATGAAAAACAGTTAAATAGTTCTAAAAATGCTAAACATAAAGTTGTCATATGACCCCTGCAATTTGCTTGTCGAGATACAAAGTAATATAAAAAAGTCATCCAAATTACGACATGAATATGAATATCTATAGCAGCAGTATTCACAATAGCCAAAATGTGTAAACAGTCCAATTTTCCATAAGCTGAATAACGGATAAACAAAATGTGGTATACAATAGAATATAATTTAACTTAAAAAGGGAGTACTTAATTTTTGTATAGGATGTAAGGAAGGGGTCCAGTTTCAGTTTTCTGCATATGGCTAGCCAGTTTTCCCAACACCATTTATTAAATAGGGAATCCTTTCCCCATTGCTTGTTGTCAGGTTTGTCAAAGATCAGATGGTTGTAGATGTGTGGCATTATTTCTGAGGCCTCTAGTCTGTTCCATTGGTCTATATATCTGTTTTGGTACCAGTACCATGCTGTTTTAGTTACTGTAGGCTTGTAGTAGAGTTTGAAGTCAGGTAGCGTGTTTTGCTCTTTTTGCTTAGGATTGTCTTGGCTATATGGGCTCTTTTTTGGTTCCATACAAAATTTAAAGTAGTTTTTTTCTAATTCGGGGAAGAAAGTCAATGGTAGCTTGATGGTGATGGCATGGAATCTATAAATCACTTTGGGCAGCATGGCCATTTCCACGATATTGATTCTTTCTATCCATGAGCATGGAATGTTTTTCCATTTGTGTCCTCTCTTATTTCCTTGGGCAGTGGTTTGTAGTTCTCCTTAAAGAGGTCCTTCACATCCCGTGTAAGTTGTATTCCTAGGTATTTTATTCCTTGGTAGCAATTATGAATGGGAGTTCACTCATGATTTGACTCTGTCTGTTATTGGTATATAGGAATGCTTGTGATTTTTGCACCCTGATTTTGTATCCTGAGATTTTGCTGAAGTTGCTTATCAACTTAAGGAGATTTTGAGCTAAGAGGATGGGGTTTTTTAAATATACAAACATGTAATCTGCAAACAGAGACAATTTGGCTTCCTCTCTTCATATTTAAATACTCTTTATTTCTTTCTCTTGCCTAATTGCCCTGGTGAGAACTTCCAATACTATGTTGAATAGGAGTGGTGAGAGAGGGCAACCTTGTCTTGTGCCAATTTTCAAAGGAAATGCTTCCAGCTTTTGCCCCTTCAGTATAATATTATTAACTCAAGATGGATAAAAGACTTAAATGTAAGACCTAAAACCATAAAAACCCTAGAAGAAATCTTAGGCAATACCATTCAGGACATAGGCATGGGCAAAGACTCCATGACTAAAACACCAAAAGCAATGGCAACAAAAGCCAAAAATTGACAAATGGGATCTAATTAAGCTAAAGAGCTTGTGCACAGCAAAAGAAACTATCATCAGAGTGAACAGGCAACCTACAGAATGGGAGAACATTTTTGCAATCTATCCATCTGACAAACGGCTAATATCCAGAATCTACAAGGAACTTAAACAAATTTACAAGAAAAAAAACAACCCCATCAAAAAGTGGGCAAAAGATATGAACAGACACTTCTCAAAAGAAGACATTTATGTGGCCAACAAACATATGAAAAAAAGCTCATCATCACTGGTCAGTAGAGAAATGCAAATAAAAACCACAATGAGATAACATCTCATGCCAGTTAGTATGGGGATCATTAAGAAGTCAGGAAACAACAGATGCTGGAGTTTTATAATTTTCTCTCTCACATTTTAGTCTATTTTCCATTTTGAGGTCATTTTTGTAAATGGTGTTATATAGAGTACAATTTTTTTTTCTTTGAGACGGAGTCTCACCCCGTTGCCCAAGCTGGAGTGCAGTAGTACAGTCTCGGCACACTGCAGCCTCTGCCTCCCAAGTTCAAGCGATTCTCCTGCCTCAGCCTCCTGAGTAGTTGGGACTACAGGCGTGCACCACCACACCGGGCTAATTTTTGTATTTTTAGTAGACACGAGGTTTCACCATGTTGGCCAGGCTGGTCTCCAACTCCTGACCTCAGGTGTTCCGCCTGCCTCGGCCTCCCACAGTGCTGGGATTACAGGCCTGAGCCACTGCCAAGGGACAAACAATTTAGTATTTTTCTTGCATGTGGATATTCATTTGTCCCAGTACTATTTGTTGAAATGAATGTTTATTTCCTTTTGAATAGCCTTGGCAAACTTGTCTAAAATAGAATAACTATGGAGTATTGATTTATGAGCTCTCCATTGTATTCATTTGATATATATGCCTGTCCTTTGTCAGTAACTCATAATCTTGATTACTGTAGCTCTATAGCAAATTTTGAAATTGGGAAGTTAATTCTCTAATTCATTCTTTAAGACTCCTTTATATGATTTTAAATCAATTTCAAGAGCATTTCCATCTTAGTCATCTTAACTATATGATTCCAACCCATTTCTTAAAATCTTCTTTAATTCTTTAATTTCTTTGAACACTGTCTTTTTGAAAGAGCTTTTATAGTATTGGTGTTAATTATTTTTTAAATATCTCAATAAAATCAGTAAAGTCTTCTGGGCCTGGGCATTTCTTACAAATACAAATTCAGTGTCATTACTTATTATAGGTCTATTCAGATCTTCAACTTTTTTTCTTGTAAGATCTGAGTAAGATTTAGTAAGATTTATATCTTCTTGGAATTTGTCCATTTCTCCAGATCACCTAATTTTTTTTTACTTACAAGTGTTCCTCGTATTGCCTTACACTCCCTTTCTCCTCCTTCAAGTTCCCTTGTACTGTTTGAATTTTCATTTCCTGTTTTGGCAATTTGAATCTTTTTTTTTCTCAATCTTCTTAAAAATGTGTCAATTGTATTGATCTCTTTAAAAGACCAACTTGTAGTTTTATTGATTTTCTCCCTTTTTTTTTCTCATCTGCGTATCATTTATTTCCATGATAATTATTACTATTCCTTTTGTGGGTTTGGTTTCATTACTAGGTTATTTAAGTGGAGTATTAGTTTGATTTGTAAATACATGAATTTGCAGGTATAATTTTCTCTGTGTACTGCTTTAGCTTCATCCTACACATTTTCATATATTGTATTTTTATTTACATTCATCTTAGAGTATGTTTTAATTTCCATTGTGATATTTTTAATTCTTTTCATTCAGGCAGGATTGTCTTGTTTAATTTGCACATATTTGTAAATTTAACAAATGTTTTATGTTACTAATTTCTAATTTTGTTATCCTCTAGTCAAGCTATAATTTGCATAATTTCAATATCTTAAAATTTATTGACATTTCTTTTATATCATGACATATGTTCTATTCTTGAGAATGCTCCATGTGTACTTGAGAATAATGTTGTTGTGTGCAGTGTTTATACATGTCTGTTAGGTCAAGTTGGTTCATAGTATCCTTCAAACCTTCTATTTCCTTCTTGATATACTTCCAAATTTTTCTATTCACTATTGAAAGTGGAGTATTGTAGTATCCAGCTATTATTTTTCAATTATCTATTTTCTCCTTTTATTTTATTTATTGATTGATTGATTTTTGAGATGGCCTTTCACTCTTGTTGCCTAGGCTGGAGTTCAATGGTGTGATCTCGGCTCACTGCAAACTCTGCCTCTTGGGTTCAAGTGACTCTGCTGCCTCAGCCTCTCGAGTAGCTGGGATTACAGGCACCTGCCACCACACCCGGCTCATTTTTTTTTTTTTTTTGTATTTTTGGTAGAGAAGGGGTTTCACCATGTTGGCCAGGCTGGTCTCGAACTCCTGACCTCAGGTGATCCACCCACCTCGGCCTCCCAAAACGCTGGGATTACAGGCATGAGCCACCGTGCCGGCCAACTTTCTCCTTTTAATTCTGTTAGTTTTTGCTTCATATATTTTGAGGTCTCTCTTAGTAAGTGCATACGTGTTTACAATTTTTATGACTTTGTAAGGAATCAATGTATTTATAATTGAAATGTTCCTATTTATCTCTGGCAACATGTCTTAAGTTCACTTTGTGTAATGTTGATATGGACACTCTAGCTTTCTTATTGTCACTGTACCACACGTATTTGTAATAGACTCTCAATTGTCTCAAAACGTATGTACCCCATTTACATTTTATTCTTCACACTGCAGCCAAAGTGATTTTTATGATACATAAATTAGATCATATTGCTATTTTATACAGAAACCACTAATGCACTACAATTTAACTCAGAACAAAATATAAGTTTCATATGGTGTTCTACAATGCCCTACAGAGCCTGACTCGCGCTTTTACCAGTCTTTCTGTTATTTACATGACCTCAGATATGGCCTTTTTGAATTCCCTTAAAAATGCTAATCAAGATCTTCAGGGCTATTGTACACTCTGCATTCTCTGCCTGTAATGCTTTTCCCTAGAAATCTGCAGAGCTTGCTGCCTTACTTCATTCAGATCTTTGTTAAAATGTCACCCCATAAGAAAGGACTTAACTGTCCACCTTATTAAAATATCCTTCCAATTTCCCCACTTTCCACTGGAAATTTGTTTCCTTTTTCTAGTCTTATTTTTCTTATCTCAAATTTATAAATATATTTATTGTTTATTTTTCATCACAAAAGTTTAAACTACACGAGAGCAAGCGCATTCTCTGTTCCTTCATTATTGTATCACCCATGCCCAAATCACTAGAGGATATGGATGGTGCTCCAAAAATATTTGATGAATAAGTAAATGGATATTAGTAAATGAGTTTATGTTTACCTCTTCAGACATTGAAAAATATTAAAATAGTACATATGCTTCTTCCCCCATCTTCCTTCTTCTGTAGCTCTTCCCCACTAGTTTCCTTCTTCCTTATACAAGAATAATATACCTATGAAGTGTATATTGTGAAACTTTCTTATTGGGAGTGAATGTAGCCTTTTATTACTGTTCTTGATTATTAAAACAAGCATTTAACAATTTTTTCCATCCCAGAAAGAGAACTATACATATATATGTATAAATGATATGCATACACACATACACACACACACACACACACACACACATATATATAAAATTTCTAGTCATATTTTCTCAAGTTATAAACCTAAGTATGTTTATAATAAAGTCATCATCTTTGATTTTACATTCATTCTTATTGGTTGATTTTGCTCATAAGAGAAATAAAGAGGAAAAATCTTTGCTCTGTGGTTCCAGATGGCTTACTTAACCTGGTACAGCCATCTCATGTGCCTATATTGATTAAAAAAAATAAACAAAAATATATACATAGCTCAAAAGTAAGCATGTTTTATAAGAGGCTGTCAATTACCATACATGTAATATGTGACTGGTAGACACCTATCAAAATTCATGAACATTTTCTTACTTTCTAAAGTTTTGTATTACTTATTTCATGGCATCTTTATGAAACAGGAGTTATATTTTTTGGTTAACAAATCTTCCCTGGTCCTAGAATATACATTAATGATATGGGATAAAATTCTGTTCTGAATTCATATAAACACTGACTGATCTCCCTTACTCAACAAGTGTTTCCTCTTCCTCTGCTCCACTTTTATATTTATTTTTAGATATACGGCTAGAAACTCTAGCCATCTCTCCAATTATAATCATAAATTACAGAGCTGAAATTCAGAGAATATGATTTTCCTCAATGAACTTTTTAAGGCTTGTAAAAGATTAAATGACATAAATCAGCACTCTGGCACAATTATGCTATTCTAAAGGTCATTCAGAACCTTCTCCCATCAGTAGCTTTTTAATGGGGATTCCTTGAGTTGTTTCCTGGATGATCTGTAGCCTTGTCTTTAATACCAAACAATCTCTTTTCGAAAGAGGAGGCACTTTGACAACCATTTTAACTTACTGATCAAATTGTGCCATGGATTGTTCCCAATCACCATATCTTCATCTATGACCACTGGCTTCCGAAAGATATTTCCTAATGCAGCAGTAAAATTGGCTTCAACGCTGGACATAGGCCAACTACCTCTGGCTTTGCTCCTCTGATGGCTTCTATCAAAGGGCTTTGAGCAGTTTTTGTCTGCACTTTGGCTTCTTTCTCAATACAATGGAAGAGAAAGGTCATCATCTATAAACAACTCTATCTATTTAGAAGTACCAAGTTAACTACTTCCTAAGCCAAGGAATCCTATTATATGAATGCTATATATAAAATACTTTTCAGATATTGAAAAGTGATTCAAATGAAAAATTACATGTTTTCTGGATAAAAATAGACTTTTAAAATTAAATGGGCCGGGCACCATGGCTTACGCCTGTAATTCAAGCACTTTGGGAGGTTGAGGCAGGCAGATCTCTTGAGCCCATGAGTTTGAGACCAGCCTAGGCAACATGGCGAAACCCGATCTCTACAAAATATATAAAATATTAGCCAAGTGTGGTGGTGTGTGCCTGCAGTCCCAGCTACTTAGGAGGCTCAGGTGGAGGATCCCTTGAGCCTTGGAGGTGGGTATTGCAGTGAGCCCAGATAGCAACACTGCACTTCCGCGTGGGTGACAGAGACCTTGTCTCAAAAAATTAATTAATCAATTAATGGCTTTATATTTAAATTATTCGAAGGCCTATGTAAAAATCCACAAAAATTCTCAGTGGTGCTTCTATTGACATTTTTATTTCCAGGTTATTGGTTTATTATTTTGACTAATGTTTGCTTTTCTCATAAGCAGTTGTCAATATCCATATCAGCATTAAACACACATCAATTTTGTCAAAAGTTGTGTGTTTTAACCAAATCTACAAGACAAATAATAATACAAAAGGTGGCCTTTAGTTTTTGTTACGGACTGCATACTTTTATTATCTGGCTGTTCACCACCCCTAATGTGATGGTATTTGGAGAGATAATTGAAGAGTTATGCACTTTGGGAGGTAATTAGGATTACATCAGGTCAGGAGGGTGGGGTCTTCATGACAGGATTAGTATAATTTTAAGAATAGACATTAAAGAGCTTACCCTTTCTCTCTCTCTGAATATACACCATAGAAAGGCCATGTAAGCATACAGCAAGGAGTTGATCACTTGCAAGCCCAGGAGAGTACCCCCACCAGGGACTACATTGGCTTTCATCTTGATCTTGGAATTTCCAGCATGCAGAGCTGAGAAAACTAGAGTTCTGTTGTTTAAGCCATCCAGTCCATGGCATCTTGTAATGGGAGCTCAAACTAATACAGGTTTTAAAAAATTAATACTGTTTTAATTGACAAATATTAATTGTATACATTTAAGGAGTACAAGTTGACTTTTTTTTTTTTTCAGAGACAGGGAGTTGCTCTGTCACCCAGGCTGGAGTGTAGTGGCATGGTCACGGCTCACTGCAGCTTCGACCTCCTGGGCCTGAGCGATCCTGGTGCTTCAGACACCAAGTAGCTGGGACAATAGTCGTGCACCATCACACCTGGCTAATCATCGTATTTTTTGTAGAGACAGAGTTTCACCAGGTTTTCCAGGCTGGTCTCAAACTCCTGAGCTCAGGCAATCTGCGTGCTTTGGCCTCCCAAAGTGCTGGGATTACAAGAGTGAGCCACCATGCCCAGCCATGATGTTTTGATATATGTATATAATGTGAAGTGACTAAGTCAAGTAAATTAACTTATCCGTCACTTTGTTTACCTATCATTTTTATGGTGAGATATTTGAAATATCTTCTCAGTTATGTTGAAATATACAATACATTATTATTGACTATAGTCACCCTCCTGTATAATAGATCCCAAACTTATTTCTTCTATCTGACATTTTGTACTCTTTGGCCAACTCCCCATTTTTCCCCTTCCCACCTCCCTGCCTAGCCTCTAATAACTATCGTTCTTTCATTCTGTGAGTTAAACTTTTTTAGATTCCACATATTCTAAGAAATATAGAAAAATAGGCATTTTTCTTTCGATTTCCTTTGTTTATTAATCAACGGTGAGTAACTCCTTAAAAGATTATTTTAATAAAATTCCATGGAATAATATTCCATGAAAAACACCACATCCTGGTGTGGTAAGAACAAATTGGCATTTTAAAGATGAATACTGATTACAGATATCTTTAAGGAACAACAGAATAAATTGATATTAATTGCTATGTTTCAGATACTGTACTATCTAAATATATAGGTTTAACCCTTAACTCCTAAATATGGCTCTTTTTAGCAATGAAGAAACTAAAGCTTAAAGAGTTAGGGTAGCTTGTAAAACCATAGGCCTAACAAACAAGAACAGGGAGTAGAATTTATAGTATCTAAAACCCTGTGTTCTTTCCACCAAGCCATATTACCTCTCATAACATGAAGACTCTTTTTTAGTTCTCAATCTATCAAGTAGTTAAGAGACTGTGGGACTTGAGGTCTTATCCTTCTCTGAAACTAACAATAGGTTTAAGATGCTCTAGAATACTACTTTTCAAGTTTCATTGCATTGATTCTCAATGATTCCAAGTTGATATTTTCTGAGTTAATAGGAAACTCCATTATTAGTAATGTCAATTAATATAATAGTTAAGAATAAAAACTGATACAGTTCTACCTGGTTGAAGTCTCAACTCTATTTAAATAATATTTTATGCCTCTTGTACCACATTTATAAAATAAGTCAAATAATAGTAGATAATTTGTAGAGTTACTGTAAGGATTAAGGGAGGCAATATATCTAAAGTATTTAGAAATGCGCCTTGTTGGCATTTTGTAGGCACTACATAATTACTAGTAATTTTTGTGATTATAAATGAAGCAAATGATGTTTCCTCTTCTTTTGGGAAAAAAAAGAGGAAACATACATTATTTAGAAGTGGTTAAGTGTTCGAAAATTAGTGACTGTATTTTGGTCTCAGATTCTTAGACTGGTTGGGGAAAACATAATCTTTGTAAGAAGAAGATGGCATGCTCATGCACTGAAATCATCCATTGTTTATTTTGTTGTTTCATAAAACAAGAAAAAGGACTTTATTTTATTCAGTGTTTTATTTCCAGGACCTCAAAAAGTGCCTGGTATATATGTATTTGTTGAATTAATTCTGAATAAAAGGCTTTTTTTATTCCTTATAGACAGTGTAGATTTGTATATGTGTTTTCTGGGGCAGGGGATAACTTGAAAATAATTTGAATGGGTCTCAGAAGTCATGTATCCTAAAACTGGCTTTTCTTTTTCCTTTCTGTCTGTTTTTTAAGCAAGAGGTTTAATTCTCTTAGCATCAGTTTTTCTATCTCTAAGTCAGAAATGATATTTATCTCCTGCTCTAAACACATCCCAGGTTTGTATTTATAATGAATTGAGAACTAAAGGCACTTAATAAATGATAAACTGATAAGTATCAGTTGCCAAAAAAAAGTATTGAACTAAATCCCCAATCAAGAATGTATATTATAATATCTTTACATATATAAGGCAAAAACAATGACTTCTGAGAATTTTTTAAACATATTAAGCATCAAACCTCACCAAAGTTTTGGAATAGCAAGTCTTTATTACCAATGTCATAACAATTTTTAATTACTTTTAAAAAACTAATAATTCTAAAGTGTAAAGTAAAACTCTTTTTAGGTGGACAGTTTAATGATTCTTGACAAATATATAAAATAATGTAATCTCTACCACAGTCAAGATACAGAATACTTCCATAACCACAAAAAAGTCTGCTACTGTGTAACTTGTCCTCTCCACCATTCCTAGCCTCTATCCTCAATTCTGGGCCAGAACTTCTCTGCTTCAGGGGACACATTTTTCTGCGTTTCAGGTCTCTTTGGAAGAGCTTATATCACTTTAGAATTCAGACTGCTTTGACCTATTTGCCCTGCTTGCCGTGTAACCTTAACTATTTGATGGGCTCAAGAAAGTAAATTATTTTTTAGATTATCTGACATTTTCTTATTTCTACTGTGGTACCAATGCTCCTGCTTTCATCTTGCATAAAAATGCTTTATACATGTTTTATATATCCATATATCCTTCTTGGAAATTAAACTATGATGATTTTCTGGACATATATTACCATGCTCAAAAGAAAAGTCAGAAGCAATTCTAATGTATCATTTCATCTCCAAAAAGCAATCCTAATCAACCCAATAGTTGTCTTTATTTTGGTTGTCCTATTTCTATCACGCCCTCCAATTCCAAATTTTCTTCCAATTTTGCATATCAAAAATATTTGTGTTTTTTTTGTCTCTTTATATACTTGTAGATTTGGGATGTTATTTCATGTTTAAAGACACTGTAGGAAAGTGCCAAATTTCCTTGATGTCTTCAAGCCTGAAAAAAAGATATAGAAAATCTCCTTAAAAACTCCCAGTTTGACCTACTAAATTTTCAAAGAAAGAGAAAGGAGGAGACAGAAAAGGAAAGAGAGAGAAGGAAGGTGGGGAGTAGGGAGCACTGATTGTAGCCGAAATGTCTACTCATCGAGTAGTAAATGGAAGTTATTTTTCTAGATATTACCTTTGCATAAGTTTAGTCTTTTTAGAAATTGATGAATGTGTGCATTGTATACATTTTTAATGCTTATTTTAAAATTTGCAATAGATATGTCCTACTCCTTAGAAGAATACTTTCTATTTTTATAGTCAATTAAGCTGGTGTATAATTTAGAACAATATTTGACCATAACAAAAGTATTAAGAAAACTGCTGCATAGAATTACTGCCCCTCCGCAACAAAATTTATTGTGAGCCCCTGTATATAAACTCCATTAATTTGGGTTGTGAAAAAAAAGAACTTACAAAGTTGTTTCTTTCAGGAAAGATAAAATTCTTTGGCAAGCTACATTCCCAACATATGAACATATGGTTCTCTTTTATACTCATCCTTTGTCATTAATCAAGATTATGGTATCATATTCCAAACGTAAATGATCTACACGTTTTCTTAGCATTTTTTATATTAATCGGTGTCATTGTGATAATTCATTGAGTAATTATGCATTACATTAAATTGTGGACTTGATTTCTATTTTTGTTTCCTGACAGGCTACAGTTAAATCACATAATTGATGTAGTCCAATTTTGAGCCACATGAAATGGAAGGAAGAAATATGTAATTCATTGAAATAGGAAATTCTTCATATGGAACCAAAAAAGAGCCTGAATAACCAAAGAAATCCTAAGCAGAAAGAACAAATTTGGAGGCATCATATTACCTGACTTCAAACTATACTACAAGAATACAATAACCCAAACAGCATGAAACTAGTATAAAAGTAGATACATAGACCAATGGAACAGAATATAGAAGACAGAAATAAAGCCAGATACTTAAGACCAACTTATCTTTGACAAAGAATACAAAAACATAAACTGTAGAAAAGACATCCTATTCAATAAATGATGCTGGGAAAATTGGACATCCCCAAGTAGAAGAATAAAACTGGATCCCTATCTCTCAGTATATATAAAAATTAACTCAAGATGGACTAAACACTTAAATGTAAGACCTGAAACCATAGAAATTCTAAAAGAGAAGATGGCAAAAACTCTTTTGGACACTGGCCTAGGCAAATAATTGATGACGAAGACCCCAAAAGCAAATGCAACAAAAGCAAAAATAAATAAATGGAACCTAATTAAACTAAAAAGCTTTGGTACAGCAAAAGAAATAATCTTCAGAGTAAAAAGAAAACCTACAGACTAAGGAAATTTTTGCAAATCATGCATTCGACAAAGAACAATATTCAGAATCTACAAGGAACTCAAACAAAACAGCAAGAAGCAGCCAAATAATCCCATTAAAATTGGGCAAATGGCATTAATTGACACTTCTCAAAAGAAGATATACAAATGGTCAACAAACATATGAAAAAATGCTCAACATCACTGTATTAGTTCATTTTCACACTGCTGATAAAGACATATCTGAAACTGGAAACAAAAAGAGGTTTAATTGAACTTACAGTTCCACATGGCTGGGGAAGCCTCAGAATTATGGCAGGAGGCAAAGGGCACTACTTACACTACTTACATAGCAGCAGCAAGACAAAAATGAGGAAGAAGCAAAAGTGGAAACCCCTGATAAACCCATCAGATCACCTGAGACTTATTCACTATCATGAGAACAGCACGGGAAAGACCTGTCTCTATGATTCAATTACCTCCCACTGAGTGTCTCCCACAACATGAGGGAATTTTGGAAGATATAATTCAAGTTGAGATTTGGGTGGGGACGTAGCCAAATCATACTATTCTGCTCCTTGCCCCTCCAAATCTCATGTCCTCACATTTCAAAACCAATCATGCCTTTCCAACAGTTCCCCAAAGTCTTGACTCATTTCAGCATTAACCCAAAAGCCCACAGTCCACAGTCTCATCTGAGACAAAGTAAGTCCCTTTCTCCTATAAGCCTGTAAAATCAAAAGTAAGCTAGTTAGTTCCTAAATACAATGGGGGTACAGGCATTGGGTAAATATAGCCATTCCAAATGGGACAAGTTGACCAAAACAAAGGGGTTACAGGACCCATGCAAGTCCAAAATCCACTGGGGGAGTCAAATTTTAAAGCTCCAATGATCTCCTATAACTCCAGGTCTCACATCCAAGTCATGCTGATGCAAAAGGTGGTTTCCTATAGTCTTGGGCAGCTCCACCCCTGTGGCTTTGCAGGGTGCAGCTTCCCTCCTGGCTGCTTTCACTGGCTGGCATTGAGTGTCTGCGGCTTTTCCAGGTGCACGGTGCAAGAGGTTGGTGGATCTACCATTCTGGGGTCTGGAGGATGGTGGCCCTCTTCTCACTGTTCCAGTAGGCAGTGCCCTAGTAGGGACTCCGTGTGGGGGTGCCAACCTCACATTTTCCTTCTGCACTACCCTAGCAGAGGTTGTCCATGAGAGCCCTATCCCTGCAGCAAACTTTTGCTTGGGCAACCAGGCGTTTCCATACATATTCTGAAATTTAGGCAGAGGTTCCCAAACCTCAATTCTTGTCTTCTGTGCACCTGCAGACTCAAAACCAAGTGGAAGCTGCCAAATCTTGGGGCTTCCACCCTCTGAAGCCACAGCCCAAGCTCTACATTTGGCCCTTTCAGCCACAGCTGGAGCAGCTGGGACACAGGGCACTAAGTCCCTAGGCTCCACACAGCACAGGGACCCTGGGCCTGGCCCCAAAACTACTTTTTCCTCCTGGGTGTTGGGGCCTGTGATAGGAGGGACTGCCGTGAAGGTCTCCGAGATGGCCTGGAGAAATTTTCCCCATGGTCTTGGGGATTAACATCAGGCTCCTTGCTACTTATGCAAATTTCTGCAGCCAGATTGAATTTCTCCTCCAAAAAATGGGTTTTTCTTTTCTACTGCATTGTCAGGCTGCAAATTTTCTGAACTTTTATGCTCTGTTTCCCTTTTAAAATGGAATGCTTTTAACAGCACCCAAGTCACCTTTTGAATGCTTTGCTATTTAGACATTTCTTCCACCAGGTATCCTAAATTATCTCTCTCAAGTTCAAAGTTCCACAAATCTCTAGGGCAGGGGGGCAAAATGTGGCCAGGCTCTTTGCTAAAACATAAGAAGAGTCACCTTTGCTCCAGTTCCCAACAAGTTTCTCATCTCCATCTGAGACCACCTCAGCCTGGACCTTATTGTTCATATCACTATCAGCATTTTTGTCAAAGCCATTCAACAAATTTCTAGAAGGATCCACACTTTCCCACATTTACCTGTCTTCTTCTGAGCCCTCCAAACTGTTCCAACCTCTGCCTGTTACCCCATTCCAAATTCGCTTCCAGGTTTTTGGGTATCTTTTCAACAACTCTACTGGTACCAATTTACCATATTACTTTGTTTTCATGCTGCTGATAAAGATATACCCGAAACTGGGAACAAAAAAAGGTTTAATTGGACTTACAGTTCCATGTGGCTGGTGAGGCCTCTGAATCATGGCAGGAAGCAAAAGGTACTTCTTACATGGCAGCGGCAAGAGAAAAATGAGGAAAAAGCAAAAGCAGAAATCCCTGATAAACCCATCAGATCTCACGAGACTTATTCACTATCATGAGAACAGCATGGGAAAGATGGGCCCCCATGATTCAATTACTTACCCCTGAGTCCCTCCCACAACACATGGGGATTTTGGGAGATACAATTTAAGTTGAGATTTGGGACACAGCCAAACCATATCAACCACTAATCATCAAGGAAATGCAAATTAAAACTGCAATGAGGTACCACATTAATGCAACAAGAATGGCCATTATTAACAAGTCATTAAGCAATAGATGTTGGGATGGATGTGATTAAAAGGGAACACTTACACACTGCTGGTGGGAATATACATTAGCACAACTTCTATAGAAAACAGTATGGAGGTTTCTCAAATAACTAAAAGTAGATCTACCATTCAATCCAGAAATGCTACTACCCAAAGGAAAAAAAAAAGTCCCTATTTCAAAAAGATACCTGCACATGTATACTTATCACAGGACTATTCATAACTGGAGTTCACCATTATAAAATTCATCCATGTAACCAAAAAAACACTTGTATTCCTAACACTATTGAAATAAAAAATTAAATTAAAAGAATAAAGAATAAAATGAAATTTTAGAAAGTAAAAATAAATAATAAATGCTAATGCTTGTGTCATTTCTTCATGTTATAGATTTTTATATGATCATTGCCCATCAACCCATCTTTAATTATCTAGTTTCCATTATGAAGTTTATTCAATATTTTTATCTTTAAGTATACATGAAGTATAGAAAACATGTTTAATTATAAAATATCAAAATGTGAGCTTCTTTATGATAGTGCTATAAGACTATCCTTCTCATTTTGTTTAAAAAGCCATTTATTTTTTATGACAACTTTCTAAGTTCTTATTCATGGGAGCTAAATATTAAAACAATTGAAATCATGGAGATAAACAATAGAATAATGGTTCCCAGTGGCTAGGAAGGACAGTTGGTGGAGGGAGTGGTGAGGGGAAGTAGGGATGGATAGTAGTTACAAAAAAAGCAGTTAGAAAGAATGAATAAGATCTAGTATATGATAGCACAACAGGGTGACTAGAGTCAATAATAATTTAATTGTTCACTGAAAAATAACTAAAAGGGTATAATTCGATTGTTCATAACACAAAGGATAAATTCTGGAGGTGATGGATACTTCATTTACCCTGATGTGATCATTAATATTGCATGCCTGTATCAAAATATCTAATATACCCCTTAAATGTATACATCATTTTTCCATAAAAATTAAAAATTAAAAAAATAAAAATTAGAAAAAAAGTTAAAAATGTTATTTCAGCAACCTCTATGGTTGACTAATGAGGATTAAAATATAATTTGGCTAAACTTCAGTTCCCACTATTGAATTTAGGACTCACAAATTAACATGTAATTTTGAACTCTAAACACACTTTCTGGCTGTGACAATTGGACAAATAACTTCTTCCTCAGGGATTCACTATTGTCATCTTCAAAATGAAAGTTTGAAACTTGGTTATTTCTTCAGAAGCATTATCCCTAACAATTCTTAGACTTATTCTAAGGACTTCATTTTAAATCTGTGAGTTTATCTGTAAAATAAAGAATAACTCATTGATTTGCCATTTTTTATTTAATGTTATAGATACATATTTGATTTTTAGGCATAATGTGTGGTGAGAACAATTTTAACAACTCTACCTGCCATTCCTCTATTTTGCAATATTCAGGAGGCTTCAAATAAAAATCATTGAGTTTAGGCTAGTAGCACTCCCTGACGAAATGGGGAAGTTTGTATGACCCTTTTCTGATTACTTCAGGCAAAGAAGATATTTCCTAGGTCTGTAAGAGATCCACATTTACTTCAAGACAGAACCAAAATCTTGCTTTATAGGATTATTATTTTTTTCAACATGGATTTTGACTGTGCTATTTCTGATGAACAGAAAGAATGTTTTACTTTCAGAAATGTGAATATTTAATAAACCAAGTAATAAGACACCTTTCAGGCTAAGAATTTCCACTGCTTGGATACTGAAAATTAAATTAACATTAAAGAATCCCAGAATGAAGCAATACTAATGGCCACGCAGCTGAAGCCATCCAAGTCTTCTGAGGTTACTATTCAAACAAGCAACTGTAGGACTCTGTAAGACTCCAGAGATGAAGACTCAGTTTTATTTTAACTTGTGAAAAGGGGTACAATATTCTCAAGGGTGGAGATAGTATAGGTGATAGAAAGGAGGCTTTAAACACATAGGCATAAAATTGAAGGTAGGAGAACCACAGTTTGAGTGGAGGGAATCCATGAGGAAAGCTCTTTTTGAGAAAGTCCAAATCATTAAATGCCTTTCCTATGAACTTATGGGGAAGCTCAATTTACCTAGCATTTTAATTTTTCTCTTTATCCCATCATAATTTTGTATTAATATTTCTTATATCAATACCAAAGAACTTTAAATAAGCCCACACATTTTTGTACATTAGTGTTATATAGGCTGAAAGGTCACTGCATCAGGAGAAAGGGATCTTGTCAAACCAAATTCCATCTAAGCTTCAGCTGCGAAAAGCAATCTTCCCATGAGGTTGTCTGTTACTTATAATTTCAGGTGGTGATAGAGTGCTTCAATAATCTTAAGAAACTCTGGCTACTTCCATTTTTGAGGCTCATATGAAACCATGATTCTTTTTTAAATTTTATTTTTAATTGACAAATTAAAGATTGTTTATATTCATGATATATGACATGATGTTTTGCTATACAGTCACGTGTCACTAAATGACGGAAATACGCTTTCTATATGCTTGATTCCAATCAGGTTCATGTGCTGATGAATATACCCTTAGTTATTTTCTAGGTTTCCTCTTTAGATTTGTTGAAGTTCTTTGCTTTCTTGTCTCTATGCCTCTGTCAACCTAAGACTGTGACAATCATATTATGGTGGAAGAGCTAAATCTTTTTTTTTTTCGTATTTTCTTTTTTTAATTTAATTTAATTTTATTTTATTATTATACTTTAAGTTTTAGGGTACATGTGCACAATGTGCAGGTTAGTTACATATGTATACATGTGCCACGCTGGTGTGCTGCACCCATTAACTCGTCATTTAGCATTAGGCATATCTCCTAAAGCTATCCCTCCCCCCTCCCCCCACCACACAACAGTCCCCAGAGTGTGATGTTCCCCTTCCTGTGTCCATGTGTTCTCATTGTTCAATTCCCACCTATGAGTGAGAATATGCGGTGTTTGGTTTTTTGTTCTTGCGATAGTTTACTGAGAATGATGATTTCCAATTTCATCCATGTCCCTACAAAGGACATGAACTCATCCTTTTTTATGGCTGCATAGTATTCCATGGTGTCTATGTGCCACGTTTTCTTAATCCAGTCTATCATTGTTGGACATTTGGGTTGGTTCCAAGTCTTTGCTATTGTGAATAGTGCCACAATAATCATACGTGTGCATGTGTCTTTATAGCAGCATGATTTATAGTCCTTTGGGTATATACCCAGTAACGGGATGGCTGGGTCAAATGGTATTTCTAGTTCTAGATCCCTGAGGAATCACCATGCTGACTTCCACAATGGTTGAACTAGTTTACAGTCCCACCAACAGTGTAAAAGTGTTCCTATTTCTCCACATCCTCTCCAGCACCTGTTGTTTCCTGACTTTTTAATGATTGCCATTCTAACTGGTGTGAGATGGTATCTCATTGTGGTTTTGATTTGCATTTCTCTGATGGCCAGTGATGGTGAGCATTCATGCTACCTGACTTCAAACTATACTACAAGGCTACAGTAACCAAAACAGCATGGTACTGGTACCAAAACAGAGATATAGACCAATGGAACAGAACAGAGCCCTCAGAAATAACGCCACATATCTACAACTATCTCATCTTTGACAAACCTGAGAAAAACAAGCAATGGGGAAAGGATTCCCTATTTAATACATGGTGCTGGGAAAACTGGCTAGCCATATGTAGAAAGCTGAAACTGGATCCCTTCCTTACACCTTATACAAAAATTAATTCAAGATGGATTAAAGACTTAAACATTAGACCTAACACCATAAAAACCCTAGAAGAAAACCTAGGTATTACCATTCAGGACATAGGCATGTGCAAGGACTTCATGTCTAAAACACCAAAAGCAGTGGCAACAAAAGCCAAAATTGACAAATGGGATCTAATTAAACTAAAGAGCTTCTGCACAGCAAAAGAAACTACCATCAGAGTGGACAGGCAACCTACAAAATGGGAGAAAATTTTCACAACCTACTCATCTGACAAAGGGCTAATATCCAGAATCTACAATGAACTCAAACAAATTTACAAGAAAAAAACAAACAACCCCATCAAAAAGTGGGCGAAGGACATGAAAAGACACTTCTCAAAAGACGACATTTATGCAGCCAAAAAACGCAGGAAGAGCCAAATCTTTATAGTCATGCATCACTTTATGACTGATACATTTTGAGAAATGCATTATTAAATGATTAATCACTGTAGAAACATCACAGACTGTACTTACACAAACCAAGATGGTATAGCCTACTACATACCTAGGCTGTACGGTATAGCCTATTGTTCCTAGGACATAAAACCGTACATCCTCACACTGACCTGAATACTGTAGGAAATTGTAACACAATGAGAAATATTTGTATACAGTAAAAACACAATATTATAGTCTTAAAGAAGCATCATTGTATAATGCAGTCTATTGTTGACCAAAATGGTTTTTTGTGGCATATCACTGCACATGTACATTGTGGAATAAATAAATCACAAAGAAAATGATAATTAAGTCAACATAAGTTAGCTAAAGTTTCTTTCCTAAGGATGGAAGGAGTAGCCTGTGAATTATTATGCTTGATGCTTTTTTTGAGAATAGATAAACTAAAAGACCTTGATGTTGACCCAGAACTACCAAGAGTAGTAATCCTTTGTTGTTCTTTTTTGACTTCCCACTGACTCTCTATGTGTGAGAATGTTCTACATTAATGATGCAGAATATTCTCCTATTACAAAGACTTAAAATGCCAGATATTCACGTTCTTAGATTCCCTTGAAGCTAAGATGCAAGGACATGACTCACTATTGAAAAATAGTATTCACTGTCTCGGATATTGACCACATACCACTGGCTAGAAGAAGCAGGGCCATGCAGAAACCCCTGCGATGATGGCATTGTCATGGCAGTTGATACATCCAATGTCTCGAAGCTGGAGTGATATCACTTGTAGCAGTATCATTAAGCTGTGCTCACAATAAGCAAGTTGTGGTGTCTGTGACCATTGGCAATAATAACGTTATCTTTATAAATCTAATACTGTGGCATTATTTGGGGCATATCTTCTGGCACCACAGACACAAGGCTTGGTTGTACTGTCTTCCTAGAAATCCTTTGAGCTTTCAAATATTCCCAAAAGATAGTTTCTGCTTATTAATCAGAAGTGGTTTCTGCTGCTTAAACCCCAAAAACCCCAATGGATACACAAATTAAGAAGTAGAATAATCTGCTTTTAGTCCATATATAACATTGATGGTGCCTAAAACAACTCTTACTGAATAGTTACTTAAATATAACATGTTGAATTGAGCCTTATAGTGTAAACGTTAATTGAATCTCTGCTTTTAGCCACTCCTTAAAATCTTTCCTTAGGAATGATGTACATGAATTGCATGTTAGATTAAGCATCATAGATTAAAAAGAATAAAACCTATATATTAGTTAATTTGTAATATTATTAGTAACACTGATACTAACAGGGAAATGTGTTAAGTCTCCTTAGATGTCTGGCAGCAAATCTTATCCCTCCTTCTCTCTTTTTCTGTCCAAACTATCTCTCTTTCTCTGATACGCCAGATTGTCCATTTTTTTAATCACATAAGTACCAAATCATTCTATAAGCTTTCAGGGGTTATGCTGAATCTTAGTAGTTTCACAGAGTAAGGCATATAGAAAGATAGACTGCTAGATAGGTAAGTAATAATAGATAGATAGATAGATAGATAGATAGATAGATAGATAGATAGATAGATAGATAATCTCCAGGTAAATTATTATCACTGAAAATAAATAAGCTTATAACAAGAGCATGCTTGTAGGAACTTAAGAAGTGGTACAATTATAAAAATATCAAGTTTCTGTTATACTCCTAAGAATTACTATTAAACTTAATTTCTTGAGTGATTTCAGTATCTTAAGGAGAGATAAGTTTCACAATAAAATCACTATCATTTAAACTAAAGAAAAAAATGTTTCTGTGTCAATTCTTCTCTAACATTAAAGAAACAAGTAAGGAAGAAAACTATTACAGATAAAATATTTTTGCTTAAACACAAATTTAATATTCCCAATTACACAGGTATATTAAGGGCCTCCTCGTGAATTTAAAAGTACTCATTGCATCTATTGACAATGGCCTCTTCTAATATCTTTTTTCTTATCAGTCTTTCTAAAAGGAGTATTATCATATATTACTGGTTTTTTTTCTCATTATATTAAAAACACAACATAAAATCTACCCTCTTAACAAATATTTACATACAATACTGTTAACTATACAAACAATATTGTACTGCAGATCTTTAGAATCTGTCTTGTATAACTTAAGCTTTATATTAGTTTAACAGCAACTTTCAATCTCCCACTGCCGCCATCCCCGGCAAACACCATTTTGTTCATTTCTTTACATGTGACTGTTTAAGATATCGCATATAACTGGAATCATGCAGTATTTGTACTATTGTGACTGGCTTATTTCACTTAGAATAATGTGCTCCAGGCTTATTAATCCATCACACGTGTCTGAATTTTCTTCTAAGTGTGAATAAAATTTCATTATATGCATATGTCATATTTTCTTTATCCATTCATTTATCAATAAACATTTAAGTTTCTTTCCATATCTTTGCTGTTATCAATAATGCTACAATGAGCATAGGGGTACAGATATACATGTCTAATTTTAATTTTGTTATTTGTGGTTTTGGTGTCGTATCTAAGAAATCATTAACTAGAATAATGTCAAGTAGTCTTTCCCCTATGTTTTCTTCTAGTTGTTTTACAATTTCAGATCATATGTTTAAATCTGTAATCCATTTTGTGTAAATGTTTGTGTATGTGTAAGATAAAAGTCCAATTTCCTTCTTTTGCATGTGGATCTTCGGTTTTCCTAGAATCATTTGTTGAAGAGACTACCCTTTCTCCCTTTTGTATTCTTAGAACCCTTGTTGAGGATAAATTGACTGTGTACATGAGAGTTTATTTCTGGGCAGTCTATTCTGTTCCATTGGTCCATATATACGCTTTTATGCTGGTATCATCATTTTTAAATACTATAGATGTGTAATATTCTGAAAGCAGAAAGTGCGATGCCTCCAGCTTTGTTCTTTCAAGACTGCTGTGTTATTCATGGTCTTTAGCATAAAATTATCCATATGAATTTTAGAATTATTCTAGCATTTCTATTAAAAAATGACATTGAGACATTTTATGGAGACTGCATTAAATCTGTAGATTTATTTGGGTAGTGTAGACATTTTAACAATATTAAGGCTTCCATTCATGAACAAAGGATGTCTCCATTTATTTGTGTCCCCTTTAATTTATTTAATTTTTTTTTATTTTCAGTGTAAAACTTTTTCACTTCTTTGGTTAATTTTATTCCTCAGTGTTTTATTATTATTGGTGTTACAAACAGTATTGTTTTCTTAATTTCTTTTCTGAATAGTGTCTTGATCAATTTTGTGTTGCTGTAAAGAAATACTGGAGGATGAGTAGTTTATAAAGAAAATATGTTTATTAGGCGCAAAGTTCTGTAGGCTGGAAGAAGCATAGCACTGGCATCTGTTGAGGATTTTTGTGCTGCATCAAAACATGGCAGAGAATGTCAAAGGGGAAGCAGGCATGTGCAAAGAGGGACCAAACAGGAGGAAAAACCTCACTTTATAACAAACCAGAACTAATCTATTCCCAAGATAACTAATTTCATCTTTCCTGGAGAACATCTCACTACTGGGAGAACAGTACCAAGACTTTCATGAGGGACCTACCTCCATGAGCCAAACACCTCCTAACTAGCCCCAACACCATCACATTGGGGATCAAATTTAAACGTAAGTTTAGGGAGGATAAACCAACAGTATCAAAGTAATAACAAAGACCTCATCATTAATGTATAAAAACAGAACTGATTTTTATATGTTGATTTGGTATCCTGCCACTTTCCTAAATTCATTCACTAGTTTTCATTTTTTAAGTGCCTTTAAGGTTTTCTACATATAAGGTCATGTCATGTACAAAACGAGACAATTGTGCTTCTTCCTTTCTGATGTGGGTGCCTTTTGTTTACTTTTTTTCCTAATTGCTCTGGCTAAGTCTTCTAGTACTATGTTGAATACAAGTGGTGAGAATAGGAAAATTCAAAAATATGTAAAAAATAAATAACACATTCTTGAAACCAATAAGTCATAAAAAAATAGAGAAATTAAAAAATATATCAGGACAAATGAAAATGACAACGCATCACACACCAAACTTATGAGATGCAGCAAAAGCAGTAATAATTTGGAAGTTTATAGCAATAAACACCTTTATTTAAAAAGAAATATGTCAAATATGCAACCTAACTTTAATCCTCAACAAATTAGGAAAAAAAAAAGACCAAAGATAGCAGAAGGAAAAAAATTAAAGACTGGAGCAGAAATGAGCAAAATAGAAAGTAGAAACACAACAGAAAGAAATGAACAAAATTAAGAGGTTTTTTTTTGAAAAGATAAAATTAACTAACATACTTCTAGCTAGACTACGAAAAAAGAAGAGACAAGACTCAAGTAAATAAAATTAGAAATGAAAGAGGACACATTACAACTGACGGCACAGAAACAAAAAGAATCATAACAGACTAAACAATTATATGCAAATGAATTAGATAACCTAAAAATCTGATACATTTCTAGAGATGCAACTTACCATGACTGAATTATGAATAGAAAATCTTAATAGATCAGTAACAAACAAGGAGATTGAATCTGTAATCAGAAACCTCCCAACAAATGATAATCCAGAACTAAATGGCTTCACTGGTAAATTTTACCAAACATCTAAAGAATAATTAATGCCACTCCTTCTCAAACTCTTCCAAAATGTTGAATATACGTGAACCCTGAAAATTTGAGACAGGTGTCAGTTAATATAGAAAGTTTATCTTGCCAACGATGAGGACATGCACCTGTGACAAGCTTCAGGAGGTCCTGACTACATGTGCCCAAGGTAATCACAGCACAGCTTGGTTTTATACATCTTAGGGAGATATGAAACATCAATTAACATATGTAAGATGAACATTGGTTTAGTCAGAAATGCAGGACAACGTGAAGCACAAGCTGGAGGGCTCACAAGGGAGGGGGCTTCTTCCAGGTCATAGGTAGATAAGAGACAAATGGTTGCATTCTTTTGAGTTTCTGAATAGCCTCTCCAAAGGAGGCAATCAGATATGCATTTATCTCAGTGAGCAGAGGGGTGACTTTGAGTAGAATGGGAGGCAGGTTTGCCCTAAGCAGTCTCAGCTTGATATTTTCCTTTAGCTTAGTAATTTGGGGGCCCCAAGATATTTTCCTTTCACACATATCACAATCATATGTGCAGTATGTTTAATTTGGAACACTTCTGACTCAGCTATGGTTAAAAAAAATCAATACGCCTTATCTGTTATTGGTGAGTTTTTAGTTGATAATTTTTGTTATTGTTTAGAAGTAGCAATTTTTTAAACAATAACAAAAATTATCAACTAAAAACTCACAATTTTCGAAGCCTCCAGAAATCTAAATAGTTTTACCCACATATATTTTATGGCCAATTTTTAACCTACTGCTATATACAAATTATACACTTGTGACTTAATTCATTCTATTACCTAAGACTTAGATCCTCCTCCTAGATACTATCATCTGCTTACTTAAATTGTAGTATTTATTATATACCATATATAGATTTGATTATTGTGATGGCTGTTTTATATACTATTGAGTGATCATGAGATAAAATGAACTAGCAATTATGCTTATGCTAATAGATGTCTCACAAAAAGAGGTGAGATTTCTAGTAAATTACTGGCAAAAATAGTGAAAAGAAATGGTTAGGAAGAGAGTGCATGTTTGAGTAGGTGGAGTAATTACTGAAAATAACAGAGATCAGCAGCATAATTAAGAAAATGCAAACGATTGTAAATGATAGCCCTTAGACTTGTGTAAGAACCCCAGCAAAAGAGACATAAAACTGAAAGCATAAGCTCTGGGTTGGGGAGTAGTTTGATGAGTACATTTAATTGAGTCTAAAGGCACACAGGTCACACAAAAGCAAAAGAAATTATAAAAATGTCAATTGTGAATAATTAGAAAATCATATTAAGTATTATTAAATTTTCTATCAAACAGTCAAGAAAAGAAACCTTCTTTCAGACATTCCATTAAACCTACATTGAAAACTACCTCCTGCTTCCCTACAACTGAATTTTGCCACCATTAATTAACTATCCTTACTCTTGAGTATCTGTAAATGAGAGAAGAATTTTCTATGTAATTGGATAAGTGCTCATGAATAAAATAGAGTTATTAATAATGTATGAGTCTATTAAAAGTCAAAAACAATGCATGTTGAAAATGTCACTAAACCCTTTCCCCTGAATCCTCTATTTCTAAAAATTATCGTATTTCTCTTTGATATGTAAAGTTAAGGAGAAGGGCAAGGTGACATCTTAGGGTTTCTTATAGTGCCATAATTTTATACTATATAATCCAAGGTTTTTGAATATATGTCTTATATTAGTCAATAACCAAAAAGCCAATATCTGTAAACATCATTTCTAGAATTCATAAAATGCTGAAAAAATAGACTCAATATATTGGAATGTTTCCCAGAATAACTCTGATAGTTTGCCAAGGATGATTAGGAAATTTGCTGTCATAAGAAAATATAAACACCTCATTTTTATTATTCATATTACCATCTAGTCTACAGTCTTGATGCAACATTAGATCAAATTTACTCATTGCAGACTATTTAAAATTTATCCCAGATTTATTAAATAATTCAGATAAATTATATCAAGCAATGTTGGTATTTATTAACTATAAAACAATTTCACAAGCCCCAATTCTTCTAATTATTTTTTACTTCCTTGCATAATGTCACATATTTAATTTTTGAATAACTCAGTGTTACTCCCTCCTTTCTTGTCAGAATTTCCAAATCATTTTGAAGACAAAATGAAAAAAAATCCTTAGGCTTTTGCACAAAAAAATACTCAAAGTAGGCATTCTACTTTTCCACAGAACAGTAAGGAGGCAGCAGATGTCTTAGCATGTGTAAAAGCAATCTACAGAGGTGATTGGTGTCTCTGTGCCAAAAAATATGGAGAAATATTTGATAGGTGACATAGCTTTATAAAAAGGTATGCTGCATTTCTGTAATGTATTTGTGGGATGTGATGGAAGACCTCAGAAGTTTGTCAAATATCCCGGCCTGTAATCTCAGCACTGTAGGAGGCCGAGGCAGGAGGATCACCTGAGGTCAGGAGTTCAAGACCAGCCTGGCCAACATGGCGAAACCCCATCTCTACTTAAAAAAAAAAAAGTACAAAAATTTAGCTGGGCGTGGTGGCGTGTGCCTGTAATCTCAGCTACCCAGGAGGCTGAGGCAGCAGAATCACTGGAACCCAGGGGGCAGAGGCTGCAAAGAGCCAAGATTGCGCCACTGCACTCCAGCCTGGGCACAGAGCAAGACTCCGTCTCAAAAAAAAAAAAAAAAAAATCCGAACTGCTTCTCGGTCTTGCGAATTCAGGTAGGCTAAACATTACCTCCAGATGAACCCTAAAAAATACCTTTAAGGACAATTTCAAAAACTACAATTGAATGATCTGTTATAAAATTCAAATCTTACTCTAGTTTAAAAAGAAGAAAATGTGGTCTCATGAAGTCATTACTGCTGAGATTTTCTGAGTCTAACAGAAATATTTAAATTTCAAGATATGCTATATAACCATACATTAAATTTTGTTCAGAAAAAAAATACATGTTAATGAAGAAATTGGTAGGAAACGGCAATGATATGTCTTCAGTTGTTGTTTATGATAAGTGTGACCTCACCAGCAGAATACAGGTCGAAGTATCAATACCAAATAAAATAGGATTAAGTACAAAACACAAAGAAATCAAGCATACCACCCCCATCTCTTTTAGTAATATGGATCACAGTTTTTATGACATTTGAGTAACGGATTCTTAGACAGGAATTAACACCAGATATGCATATGTCTGTTGAGTGACTTGCTGGTATTACCAAAAAGAAAGTAAGCTAAAAAGGGAGGTGAAAGTGTAAGAATGCTGAGATAAAATTGGAAGTATTACAATGGAAGTCATCAGGTATGATTTCAAGATGATAAACAAACTAGGAAGGTTATTTATTGGACTTCAGATGAGAAAGATACCATGGAGAAGAACTGAAAAACGATCTGTAAACTCATGCATGAGAAAACAGTATTCAGGAAAATTCACTTCAGGCTTTACCATGAAGACATACATATAATTCCCACAGAGATTATAAAGATTTAGTAAGATGCAATATAGGACTGAAATTTGTCTGTGGAAGGGAAATATTGCTCAATAAATACAGACTTGTTAGAGAGAACTAAAGTATCTGGTATCACTGTATGTGTCTATTTGCATAGATATCTAAAATTCTAAAAATGAAATATATCTAAAAAGCAGTTACATGAAGATTAATGTAGAGAAGAGAGCAACTTACAAAGTTGTAGGCATGCAATTCCTGATAACACAGTGAGATAAAAAGTAGATAATGCAATACTGACTCAGAAAGGTGGCACGAGGGCAAAATATAGACTTAAGAGACAATTTCAAAAATGGAGACATCTGCTAGAAGTCATACTAAGCTAAAATCAGCATTGTGATAAATTCTTTAATTTACTGATAATAGAAAAAAATAACAAAAATAAAAAAATATAGACCTAATTCTGACTATTAAATTAATATTAGTTGATGAAATGAGAATTTGGTGGAAACAATGAGCATAGGTAAGGATGGAGTAAAGTGAAATAGTCAAATATTTATCTAAATCTTTGAAGAGGCAGATTGCAAATTTCATGATCTATAGCTTGTGACTCTTAAAAGTAAATATAGTTTAAGAAGACTAAGAATCATAATTCTAAGTATATAGTTATAAATGACATGTGAAGAAAAGTTAGTCTCTAAAACATGAATACAATTTTATATAGAGCCACTCAGTGCATTCATTTCTAGAAAAATACATTTTAAAAAGTGTAAAGGTTCTTGATTAACGGATCAGAGACAAACTGATAAGGATGTTATGATTTTTCTGGTATAGTCTGTTGAAAGTCTCAAAGTAAAATGTTACTCAAAAATTATCTAGAAAAGATAAGCTATTTTTTATTTATATCCAGAACAACTAGCAGAACAAATAATACACATTTTCGTTTTGGCGATGGTGAAGTTATTAAAATGAATGACAGAAATAACACAAAACTGCTCAATCTTAATATAATGCACAACTATATTTAGAATACTATTCTTCAGGCTAAAAACTGTGGAACAAACACTGGCAAGAATAAACTAAATCCTAAAGTATTTGGTATTGATTTCAAGAGGTCACGTAATTGCTTTACATAAATCCAAGATCGCAGTCTACCAAAAAAGTTCCCAGATGATACTGCCAGAGCACTGTTTACAATCCTGCACAAATAATGGGATTCAGAAGAAGTGACAACAAATTTAGGTAGACAAATGCAACTCTATTTTTTTTAAAGGTGGAAGAAATTGCATTCTGCAATGAGTCACTGAGTTTGATGTTACCTACAAAAAATATGGCAGCGTATATAGATAAAATAATGGTTTGTAAGTATTTAATACAATAAAAACTCTGTATTAGAAGTCAATTATGCCATTAAAACAACATCCACATATATCTGGATACCAGTAGAAAACCATCAGAGAGAAGGTAAGGTGGACCGATTTACTCTCTAGGTCTGATCTCTAAGGGAGGTGTTGCACATTCTGTTCAGAAAAGAATCTGGAGAATTCAAGTGTATTCTGAACTGGCATAAATACCAGAAATTTTCACAATGATAATAAATTAAGGAGTCCAGTCCCTCGATAAAAACCTGTGTGTGATTTTTCAGATTTGATCACAGACAATTTCAAAGGCTTTACCTGGCAGGCCTCACGGGGGAAAGCTGCCCTCCCTACGCCAGACTTGCTAAACAGCCAGTGCATGGGCATCTCTAAAAGAACTTAAGACAAGGACTCAGAGCTTTTCCTCAGGCACCTCTATTGAGTCCTTATTATGAGATGGAGGGTGGAGAGGAAAATATTAAAGATGCTTTTTCCTACCCTGACTTGGTACCAAGTAGCCTTTTTCATTTTAATTTTAAGTTCTGGGTTACATGCACAGGATGTACAAGTTTGTTACACAGGTAAACATGTGCCACGGTGATTTGCTGTACCTGTCAACCCATCACCTAGGTATTGAGCCCAGCATGCATTAGCTGTTTTTCCTAATGCTCTCCTTCCCCCTACTGCAACCCTCAACAGTCCCTAGTGTGTGTTGTTCCCCTCCCTGTGTCCATATGGACTCATCGTTCAGTTCCCACTTATTAGTGAGAACATGCAGTGTTTGGTTTTTGGCTCCATCATTAGTTTGCTGAGGATAATGGCTTCCAGCACCATCCATATTCCTGAAAAGGACATGAGCACATTCCTTTCTATGGCTGCATAGTATTCCATAGTGTATATGTACCACATTTTTCTTATCCAATCTATCATTGATGGGCATTTGGGTTGATTCCATG
This sequence comes from Homo sapiens, assembly GCF_000001405.40. Lineage (NCBI taxonomy): Eukaryota > Metazoa > Chordata > Mammalia > Primates > Hominidae > Homo > Homo sapiens. Next base: position 127,854,286 of record NC_000023.11, read on the forward strand.
TCTTTGCTATTGTGAATACATATGTGTGCATGTGTCTTTATAGTAGAATGATTTATATTCCTTTAGGTATATACCTAGTAATGGGATTCCCGAGTAAACAGTATTTCTGGTTCTAGAACCTTGAGGAATCGCCACACTGTTTTCAACAATGGTTGAATTAATTTACACTCCCAACAACAGTGTAAAAGCGTTGCTATTTCTCCACATCCTCTCCACCATCTGTTGTTTCCTGACTTTTTAATTATCGCCATACTAACTGGTGTGAGATGGTATCTCATTGTGGTTTTTATTTGCATTTCTCTAATGACCAGTGATGATGAGTTTTTTTTCATATGTTTGTTGGCCACATAAATGTCTTCTTTTGAGAAGTGTCTGTCCATTTCTTTTGCCTGCTTTTAAATGGGGCTGTTTTTTTTTCTTGTAAATTTGTTTAAGTTCCTTTTAGATTCTTGATATTAGACCTTTGTCAGATGCATAGATTGCAAACATTTTCTCCCACTCTGTAGTTTGCCTGTTCTCTCTGATATTAGTTTTCTTTTGCTGTGCAGAAGCTCTTTAGTTTAATTAGATCCCATTTGTCAATTTTTGCTTTTGTTGCAATTGCTTTTGGTGTTTTCATCGTGAAATATTTACCCATGCCTTTGTCCTGAATGGTATTGCCTAGATTTTCTTCTAGGGTTTTTATAGTTGTAGATTTTACATTTAAGTCTTTAATGCATCTTGAATTAATTTTTGTATAGGTGTAAGGAACGGGTCTGGTTTCAATTTTTTCCATATGACTAGACATTTCTCCCAGCACCATTTATTTAATAAGGAATCCTTTCCCCATTGTTTGTTTTTTGTCAGGTTTGTTGAAGATCAGATGGTTGTAGATATGTGATCTTATTTCCGAGTTCTCTATTATGTTCTATTGGTCTATGTGTCTGTTTTTGTACCAATACCATGTTGTTTTTGTACTTGTAGGCTTGTAGTACAGTTTGAAGTCCGGTAGTGTGATTCCTTCAACTTTGTTCTTTTTGCATAGGATTATCTTGGCTATACAAGCTCTTTTTTGGTTCCATATGAATTTTAAAATAGTTTCATCTAATTCTGTGAAGAATGTCAATGGTAGTTTAATGGCAATAGCATTGAATCTATAAATTACTTTGGGTAGTATGGCCATTTTCATGAGCATGAAATGTTTTTACATTTGTATGTGTCCTCTCTGATTTCCTTGAACAGTGGTTTGTAGTTCTTGCAGTTCTTCAGTTCCCTTGTTAGCTGTATTCCTAGGTATTTTATTCTTTTTGTAGCAATTGTGAATAGGAGTTCATTCACGATTTGGCTCCCTGCTTGCCTATTGTTGGTGTTTAGGAATGCTTGTGACTTTTTCACACTGACGTTGTATCTTAAGACTGCTGAAGTTGCTTATCAGCTTAAGAAACTTTGGGGCTGAGACGATGGGGTTTTCTAGATATAGAATCATGTCTTCTGCAAACAAAGACAATTTGACTTCTCTCTTCCTATTTGAATGCCTTTATTTCTTTCTCTTGCCTGATTGCCCTGGCCAGAACTTCCAATAGTATGTTGAATAGGAGTGGTGAGAGAGGGCATTGTTTTCTTTTGCTGGTTTTCAAAGGGAATGCTTCCAGCTTTTGCCCTCTCAGTATGATATTGGCTGTGCTTTGTCATAAATGGCTCTTATTATATTGAGGTATGTTCCTTCAATACCTAGTTAATTGAGAGTTTTTAACATGAAGGGATGTTGAATTTTAAGGAAGGCCTTTTCTGTGTCTATCAAGATAATCATGTGGTTTTTGTCTTTAGATCTGTTTATGTGATGAATTACACTTATTGATTTGTGTATGTTGAACCAGCCTTGCATCCTGTGGATGAAGCCAACTTGATTATGGTACCAAGTAAATTTTAATCCTAGTCCTCCCTGCTTATTTCTCCCCAGCCCCAGGGCTCATAAAAGTGTCAGTGCCCTTGGTTTGAAATTGTATTATAGGCTAAATTTTTCCCCTCAATATTCATATGTTGAAGCTTTAACCCTCAGTACCTAAGAAAGTAACTGTATTTGGAGACAAGGGCTTTAAAGAGGTAATTAAGGTAAAATTAGGTTATATGAGACGGGGGGTGTGCTAATTCAATCTTATTGTTCTTCTTATAAGAAGAGATTATGTGGACACCAATACTTACAGAGGGAAGAACACATGAAGCCATCTCAGGAAGACAGCCATTCACTAGCCAAGGACAGAGGCCTTAAGAGAAATAAACCCTAGCAATGTCTAGAATTCTAGCTTTGAGGACCATGAGAAAATAAAATTCTTGTTTAAGCCACCTAGTCTGTGGAACTTTCTTATGACAGTTTTGTTAGTTTTATAGGGCTGCCATAACAAAATACCACAGACTGGGTAACTTAAAGGAGAGAAACTAATTTTTTTCAGAGTTCTAGAGGCTGGAATTCCAAAATCAAGGTGCCAGCCAGTTTGGTTTCTCCTAAGGCCTCTCTTCTTGGTTTGCAGATAGCCACCTTCTCTTTGTCCTTACAGGACCTTTTATCTTTGTGTGCAAATCCCTGCTGTCTTTTGTGTGTCCTAATCTTTTCATATAAAGTTAACAGATTGGATTAGAGTCTACTTTAAAGACTTCATGTGAATAAATCACCCATTTAAAGATCCTATTTTGCTAATATAGTCACATTCAGAGGCACTGGGGATTAGAGCTTCATCACATGAATTTTGGGAGTACACAATTTAGTCCATAACATCAGCCTAATTAAACTAATTACAGGCACTCTGAACAGTGAGATGATCCACATGTCTACATCAATCCACATGAACTTCTATCAGCACATTGTTACATAAGGGAAAATGAAATATGACGAGTTGACATTTACTTCAATCTTAGCATGGTGTTCCTATTATTGCAGTAAGTAGTTAAATATTTGATTATTGTTTTCATTTTTGACTTGTTGCTTTAATCAGTTACTGGACATCTCAGTTCACTCTCCAGCTCAGTGAAGTGCCTGACATAAATACACCAGTTGAAAAAGATCCTAGATGATGATTGGGAGTATAGGAACAATGCTCAAATGTCCAGCTCCCCACTAAAAAGAGCCTGAAATAAATTAAGATGTTCAGAGACACAGTCAAGTAGGTGGGGACTCAGTGGTGAAACAGAATGAAGCAAATAAGACATAAGCACAGGGACCAGCAATAGCTACATTCACCAGTAACATGGAGAGACAAATACCAGTGCAATTAAGTGTTGAGATTTGTTCATAAAAGCCACTCCACATTTCATGCTACAAAGGTTAATTCCAGAACCTACCCCTCTTTTGTTGACTTCTCAAAATTATCACATATTGTCATGGGTGTGGTGAAGAAGAACACAGTTGTGAAGAAAATGTCTGACATTGATATTTATTAAGAAAATAATACATTCCATGGATTAAAGATTTAAATGTAATAAATCAAACTAAAAGAATCCTAAAAGATCTCATTTTCCCTATTTTTGTACCAAATTTAATTGCATATTTTAAAATAACTAAAGGAGTATAACTGATTGTAACACAAAGGATAAATGCTTGAGTTAATGGATACCCCATTTACTCTGATGTGATTATTATGCATTGCAAGCCTGTATTAAAATATTTCATGTAACCCACAAATATATACACTGACTGTAAACCCGCAAAAACAAAAAATAAAAGAATCCTAGAAGAAAATCTGGGAAATATCTTTCTGAACATCACCCTTGGGAAATAATTTATGACTAAGTCTGCAAAAGCAATTGCAATAAAAACAAAAATTAACAAGCGAGACCGAATTAAACTAAACAGTTTGTGCACAGCAAAAGAAACTATCAACAGAGTAAACAGATAACCTACAGAATGGGAGAAAATATTGGCAAACTATTCTTCTGATGAAAGTCTAATATACAGAATATGTAAGAGCTTAAACAATTCAACAAGAAAAAACCAGATAACCTCATCAAAAAGTGAGTGAAAGAGATGAAGAGACACTTTTCAAAAGAAGATATGCAAGCAGCCAACAAACATAAAAAATGCTCCACATCACTAATCATCAGAGAAATGCAAACCAAAACCACAGTGAGATACCATCTCACATCAGTAAGAATGGCTATTATTAACAAGTCAGAAAACAACAGATGCTGGCAAGGCTATGGAGAAAAGGGAATGCTTACACACAGTTTGTCAAAATGTAAATTATTTCAGCCACTATGGAAAGCAGTTTGGAGATTTTTCAGAAAAACTTGAAACAGAACTACCATTTGATCTAGCATTCCCATTACTGAATATATACCCAAAAGAAATAATTCTACCAAAAAGACACATCAACCTATATGTTCATCACAGCACTATTTACAATAGTGAAGACATGGAATTAATATAGTTCCCTGTTAATTGTGAATTGGATAAAGAAAATGTGATACATATACACCATTGAATACTACATAGCCATTTAAAAAAATCAAAATAAGATTTTTGCAGCAACATGGATGTAGCTGGATGCCATTATCTTAAGCAAATTAACATAAGAACAGAAAAGCAAATTCCATGTGTTCTCACTTATAAGTGGGAGCTAAACATTAGGTATGCATAGGCATAAAGACGGGAACAATAGACGCTGGCAACTAGAAGAGGGGGAAGGGAAGAATGGGGGGAGGAGTTGAAAAACTAACTATTGTATAGTATGATCACTATCTAGGTGATGGAATCAATCATAACCCAAACCTCAGCATCACACAATATTCCCATGTAACAAACCTGCACATGTGCACCAAGAATCTAAAATAAATGTTGAAATTATTTACAAATATACAGCAATGTTGTGTATTAGTGGAATGTAAAACAGCATAGAGATTTTTTTTAAAAAACTATTATATTTTATTAAGTAGATAGATGACAAGTCACAGCTAACTTACACATATATTTCAATAAATAGATACATGCTGAGGCACAGGGAACCAACACACACATTTCATTTTTTAAGAAATATTTCAGTTTATTGTTAAATCAGTTTTTTTGAGGAAAAAACACTTCTTTATTAAGAATTTTAGAGTTTTTATTTTTTTTTCATTTTTTTAAACTTTAAGATCTACATCCAGAATGGTATTTCTAGATTATCTTGCAAGGTTTTTATTGTTTTTGTTTTTATAATTGAGTATTCCATCTCAAATTGATTGTTTTACGTGATGTAAGGAAGGGGTCCAGTTTCAGTCTTCTGCATATGACTGCTACACAGTTATCCCACCATTATTTATTAAATAGGGAAATCTTTTCTCCACTGCTTGTTTTTGTTAACTTTGTTGAAGATCAGATGGTAGTAGGTATGTGACTTTATTTCTGGGGTTTTTATTCTGTTCTATTGGTCTATGTGTCTGTTTTTGTATCAATACGATGCTACTTTCATCACTGTAGTCTAGTAGTATAGTTTGAAGTACTGTAATGTGATGTCTCTAGCTTTCTTTTTTCTTAGAATTGCATTAGCTATTCTGACTTTTTTTGGTTCCATATGAATTTTAAAATAGTTTTTTTCCTAGTTCTATGAAAAATGTCACTGATAGTTTGATAAGCATAGCATTAAACCTGTGAATTGCCTTGGGCTGTATGGCCATTTTAATGATATTGACTCTTCCTATCCATGAGCATGGAATGGTTTTCCATTTGTTTATGTCATTTCTGATTTTTTGAGCAATGTTTTGTAATTATCATTGCAGTGACCTTTAACCTCCCTGATTAGCTGTATTCCTAGGTATTTTATTCTTTTTTTTGTGGCAATTGCGAATGGGATTGTGTTCTTGGTTAGGCTTTCAGCTTGGACACTGTTGATGTATAGAAATGCTACTGATGTTTATACATTGATTTTGCATCCTGCAACTTTGCTAAAGTTGTTTATCAGGTCTAAGAGCTTTCGGCCAGAGAACATGGGTTTTCTAGGTATAGAATCATATCATATGCAAACAGAGATATTTTGACTTCCTCTCTTCCCATTTGGATACATTCTATGTCTTTTAGAACAATTTTTATACAAAGTGTCCTTAAATTTAATAAATTTACTATTAATAAAAAAGAAAATAATACACCCCTAACAAATTGAATTTGCTTTGATGAGAGTGCCTAGCGTGCTGAACCATATCAATGTGTACAAAAATCACATACCTGAATTTATGCAATGATTGCATTCAAACATTTCATGATAAACACATGGAAATGATTTTATTATTTAGCAAAGTGAGAAAAAGTAGAAACTGTTTAGAATTACAATGACGAGTGCTCTTTGTTTTATGAGGGAGTTATGCTCTAATAAGCCCATTATGAGTTTAAAATAGTGTAAATCAAAAATGCATTTAATACACAACCTACTGAACATCATAGCTTAGCCAAGCCTTCCTTAAAGGTACTCAGAACAGTCACTTTGGCCTAAAGTTGGGCAAAATCTTCTAACACAAAGCCTATCTTGTAATAAAGCATTTAGTTCTAAATTGTATCTGAATTCTGTACTGAAAGTGAAAATATGAATGGTTGTATGGGTAACCAAATATGATTTCTACTGAATGCACATCATGTTTGCAACATCATGAAATCAAAAAATTGTAAGTCAGGGATCATATGTAGTTGAATGTCCATAAATAAAAACTTCTGATTAAGGGATAACTATCAAACTGGAGGGATTTTTAAATAATTTTGCTGTCAGCTGTACACTATTAAATATTTGTATTAGTGATATAAACAAAGACATTAATTACTTGCTAATAATGTTTGTGGAAAACATGAACCAAGAAAGAAAAATTGACATGTTAACCAGTAGGATGAAACTCTATAAAGATCTAATGGGGTGATATCTAACAAGATAAAATTTAACAGAAGTAAATGTAAAGTTATGTTTTTGAGTCTAAAACCTGGACAAATTAAAAGAAACGTTGCCTAACTGGTTTATGTTATAAAGAATTTTGCAGATATTCCTTCAAAGAAATGTATTTATGCAGGAGGACTTCAAGATGACTGACTACAGGCATCTGGTACTCACCTCCTCCAAAACTAAGAAGTGAAATAGCAAGAAGGTAATTACACTTCAAATAAATTACCTAAGATAAAATATTGGAATTCAACAGAGAAGTCACAGGAAATTCCTAACACAAGGAAGGAAAGTGAGGCAAGGCAGCCTGATTTGCTGGGATCCTGTAGAGCCTTCCCAATGCAGGGAAAGGGTAAGTAAGTCACCCCCAAAAGTCTACATTCTCACCATGGACTCTAGATAGTCCAGCCATGGGAGAGCTACTCAACCCATCAGAACCCCAAACTAACATTAAGAGCTGCCTGGAGACCAGTTGATGGCATTGCTCCAGAGAGAGAGCACATGTTGGGTTTCACTCACATCCCAAATTCTAAGCAGCTGCTGCAAGGTGACATTTTAAGTGCCTAGCCATCACCACACTGCACCCTGCCCTGGCGGTCAACAATCCCTTAATCTCCACATCCCTGGAACCCCAATGATATGCTCTGTCCACATCTGGGAACTGCTGCTGGCTGCAGCTGTCAGGGCTGAAGTATGAACAATTGGCTGTGATCTCACTACCCCAAGTAGCAGGGCCACTGTGCATTTTAAATTGCCCTGAGAAAAGGCTACTCCACTTAGAGCTGCCGCCTGGAGCCCCAGCTGCCTGTTTATGGCTGTTGCCACTGAAAGCCATCCCACCAGGGAGCAGCAGGGATGCGGCACAGCCACTGCTGCCCCAACCCAAGCATTCTTATAAAGGTTTGAGAATTTTGTCAATGACTACCACAGTCAGTACCAACAAACTCCACAGAGAAGCTCAGGATAGTTCTGCCCAGCACAGCACAATCTCCTCAGTGCCCAGGCACACCGTCTGATGTCCTCAAGACCACTCTGTCCCATCTATCACTGTACCTGAGTACTCTTCTTAGGGTCTTGAGGATGGGCCTAAACAAACTTCTACTATGCCCACAGCTGGACTTACCCACATGCATCCCTGTAGGCCCGAGGACTGACCCACACAGCCATGAGCATCACCACCGTGGAACGCTTGGAAGCCGGAGGATTGTCCTATCACTATTACTGCCATTGCCCAGGACAAACTGCTGCCCAGGGGCACAAAAAATGTGCCCACCATTGCAATTTCTGGCACCCAATCAAGCTGCATGGTGGCCCAAAAATCAGCCCACCTGGACCTGCTAACAATGGTGCCAGTATATGCTGCCCTGCGACACAAGGATAGGCACAGTCGGTCCACAATTGCCACCATTGAAGAGTGGTCCACCTGATATCACCATCCCCAGGAAAATATCATCACAGCCTGCATTAAAAACCACACACTAAGCCAATAAAGAAATCAAAGACACTATTGATGCTGTTTAACACTGAAAAGATTATATGGTGACTAAACTACTTCATGCACATAGAATAAAAGCCAAATAGCCCTACCCAACCAACATGACAAAAATATCTTCAGGAAAAAGTTCTTCCCCAAAAATATATTTTTTAAAAATTGAGGAATCCAACTATTATACCAAATGCACAGATAACCACAGAAGGACACAAGAAATATAAATAAACAATAAAAATTTCACCTCCAAAAGAACACAATAGTTCTCTAGTAACACTCCAGTGAAGAAACTTATGAAATCTCAAAAAAAAGAATATAAAATAATGATATTAATAAAGGTCAATGAGATAAGAAATCTCAGAAAAACAATAAAAAGAAATAAGAAATTTTTTTAAAAAATTCAGGATATGAATGAGAAATTTACCAAAGAGATAAATATTTTAAAAAAGAAAAAATATATCAGAAACCAAAAAATTCATCGAAAGAAACACAAAACACATTTGAAAACTTCAAGAATACAGTATATCAAGCAGAAGAAAGAAATCAGAACTAGAAGACAAGTCTTTTGAAATAATCCAGTCAGACAAAAATAAAGAAAAAAATTTTAGAACTGTTGCAAGAAAAAGTAAAATAACTAGGAATGTACTTACACAAGTAGAGAAAGATCTCTACAAGGAAAACTGCAAGACACTGATGAAAGAAATTGTAGGTGACATAAACAAATGGAAACACATTCCATGATCGTGAATGGGAAGAATCAATCGTGTAAGAATGATACTATTGCACAAAACAATCTATAGATTCAACGTAATTCCCATCAATTACCATTATTATTCTTCACAGAACAAAAAAATCAATCCTAAAATTTATTTGGAATCAAAAAAGAGCCCACATAACCAAATAAATACTAAGCAAAAAGAAAAAATATGGAGACTCACATTACCCAACTTCAAATAATACTACAAGACTATACTTACCAAAACATTATGGTATTAACATAATAGTAGGCACATAGATCAATGGAACAGAATGGAGAAGCCAGAAGTAAAACCAAATACTTACAGCCAACTGTTCGTCAACAGAGCATGTAAAAACTTAAATTGTGGTGGGGTGGGGGGAGGGGGGAGGGATAGCATTGGGAGATATACCTAATGCTAGATGATGAGTTAGTGGGTGCAGCGCACCAGCATGGCACATGTATACATATGTAACTAACCTGCACAATGTGCACATGTACCCTAAAACTTAAAGTATAATAAATAAAAAATTAAAAAAAAAACTTAAATTGACAAAAAGACACACTATTCCATAAATGGTGCTGAGAAAACTGGCAAGCCACATGCAGAAGAATGAAACTGGAACATCGTATTGCACTATATAGAAAAATCAACTCAAGATGGATCAAAGACTAAAATATAAGACCTGAAAGCACAAAAATTCTAGATGATACCATTTGAAACACTCTTCTGGACATTGGCTTAGGTAAACAATTCATGGCTAAGATCCCAAAAGCAAATCAACAAAAACATAATAACAACTGGAATCTATTTAAACTACAGAGCTTCTGCCCAGCAAAATAATAATAATAATAATCATCGTCATCATCATCATCATCATTATCAGCACCAGCAGAGTAAACAGACAACCGCAAAGTGGGAGAAAATATTCACAAACTATACATCCTACAAAGGACTAGTGTCAACAATCTACAAAAAACTCAAGCAAATCAGCAAGAGAAAAACAAATAATTCCATCAACAAGCGGAAATGAATTGACATTTCTCAAAAGAAGATATACAAACAGCCAACAAACATATGAAAAAATGCTTAATATCACTAATCATCAGGGAAATGTGAATTAAAACCACAATGAGATAGCACCTCACTCCTGCAAGAATGGCCATAGTTAAAGTTAAAAAATAATAGATGTTGACATGATTGTGGTGGAAAAGAAACACTTATAGACTACTGTTGGGAATGAAAATTAGTACAACCACTATGGAAAACAGTACGGATATTCCTTAAAGAACTAAAAGTAGAACTACCATTTGATCCAGCAATCCCACTACTGGGTATCTACCCGAAAGAAAAGAAGTCATTATATGAAAAAGAAATATGAACATAAATGTTTATAGCAGCACAATTCACAATAGCAAAGATAATGGAACCAACCTAAGTGTCCATCACCCAATGAATGAATAAAGAAAATGTGGTATATATACATCATGGAATACTACTCAGCTATAAAAGGAATGAAATCATGTATTTTGCAGCAACATGGATGGAGCTGGAGCCCCTTATTCTAAGTGAAGTCACTCAGAATGGAAAACCAAATATTGTTATGTTCCCACTTAGAAGTGGGAGCTGAGCTATGAGCACACAAAGGCATAAGAATGATATAATGGAATTTGGGGACTTAGGAGAGATGTTTTGGAAGGGTGAGCAATAAGACACTATAAATTAGGTACAGTGTACATTTCTTGTGTGACAGATGCACTAAAATCTTAGAAATCACTACTAAAGAACTTATCCATGTAACCAAAAACCACCTGCACCCCAAAAACTATGGAAATAAAAATATTTTAAAATAATAATCAAAGGTTACTTAACATATGAGACAGCATAAAGTGACAAAATATTCAATTTTTTGATGTCCCAGAAGTTGAAGAGAAAACAAAAGAAATAGGAAATCTATTTAATAAAATAATAGCTGAAAACTTCCCAATCTAACAAAACATTTAGACATCCAAATGTAGAAGGCTCAAAGATCTCCAATAAGATACAATTCAAAAAGATCTTCACAGCACATTATAGTTAAACTATCAAAAGTCAATATCAAAGAGATAATTATAAAACCAGTAATGAAAAAAAAATTACTAGTCACTTTTAAGTGTATCTCCATCATACCAACACTAGACATATCAGCAGAAACATTATAGGCCAGGACAGAATAGAATAATACAGTCAAAGTGCTGAAAAAAAAATAGCTGCTAGGAAACAATACTATGGACAACAAAGTTATCATTTATAAATAAAGAAGAAATGAAGACTTTCCCAAAGAAAGTAATCTTGGTTGGAAGCTTTTTTTTTCTTTCAGCACTTTGACTGTGTTATGGAATTCATCACCACAAGATGGGTCCACAAGAAATGCTTAAGGGATCCTACATGTGGAAGCAAAAGGACGATATTTATGATCATGAAAATACACAAAAGTACTAAACACACGGGTAGAGCAAACACACAAATGAGGAAGAGAAAGGACTTCAGTGTTACCACTACAGAAAACCACTAAACCAAAATAAAGAAAACAAAACATAAATTAAGGAGCAAAATATATTTAATAAAATAAATAAAATGACAAGTATAAGCCCTCACATATCTATAATACCCTTGCATATAAATAAACTGTCTGCTTAAATGTTATAGAATGATTGAATGAATAACACAACTTGATCCAACTATATGCTGCATAAAAAAATCTCATTTCACTTCTAAATACACATATAGACTGAAAGCACAGAGATGAAAAATTATATTCCATGTAAATGGAAACCAAAAATAAACAGCAGTATTTTGTATTATGTCCTTTTGTGCCTAGTTTATTAAGAGTATTTATCATGAAGGGATGCTGAATTTTAGCAAATGCTTTTTCTTTATCTATTGAGAAAATCATGTTTTTTCTCTTTATTTGGTTGATCACATTTATTGATTTGTGTGTATTGAACCATTCTTAACATATGAAGTTTAAAACTCACCTGATATGATTTTGATTTTTAAAAATGTGTTTATACTTTGTTTTTGTCCTAGTATATGGTTTATCTTGGAGAATATTCCATGTGCGGATGAGAAGAATGTACATTCTATTGCAATTGGAATGTTATGTAAATGATTGCAGCTGACCAGCACTGGTGCCATAGCCCCAATAGCGGCCACAGTTCATGTGCCTGAGAGCAGTAAGACTGTTCCACCTACCCTTGCTTGTCAGGGCTCAGCACCAGTTTCCACCCAGGCATAATTTCCTATGCCTGTCTTTACTTTTATCTCTTAATCCCATCATTTTCATAAGCTGAGGTTGTATGTCGCCTCAGGACCCTATGATGATTGTGTGAACTGCATAAATTGTTTGTAAAACACGTGTGTTCAAACAATATGAAATCTGGGCATCCTGAAAAAAGAAAAGGATAGCAGCAATTTTCAGGGAACAAGGGAGATAACCATGAGGTCTGACTGCCTGTGGGGCCGGGCAGAACAGAGTCATATTTCTCTTCTTGCAGAAAGCAAATAGGAGAAATAGTGCTGAATTATTTTCCCAGCAAGGAATAACCCTGGGAAAGGAATGCATTCCCAGGGGGAGGTCTCTCAAATGACCACTCTGGGAGTGTGTGTCTTATGTGGTTGAAGATAAGGGATGAAATACGCCCTGGTCTCCTGCAGCGCCCTCAGGCTTGCTAGGATTAGAAAATTCCAGCCTGGCGAATTCTAGTCAGACCAGTTGTCTGCTCTCGAACCCTGTTTCCTGTTAAGATGTTTACCGATGACAATGCATGCCCAGCGGGACATGGAACGTCATCAGTAATTCTAATTTTGCCCTGGCCTTGTAATCTTGCTTTGCCATTTGCCTTGTGATCTTTTATTGCCCTGTGAAGCATGTGATCTCTGTGACCCACTCCCTATTCGTACACCCCTCCCCTTTTGAAATCCCTAATAAAAACTTGCTGGTTTTGTGGCTCAGGTGGGCATCACAGAACCTGCCGATATGTGATGTCACCCTCGGAGGCCCAGCTATAAAATTTCTCTCTTTGTACTCTTTTTCTTTATTTCTCAGACCGGCTGACACTTAGGGAAAATAGAAAAGAGACTACACTGAAATACTGGGGCTGGTTCCCCAGATAACTACCAATTACTTTCTTCACATAACTAGAAAAAAACTATTTTAAAATTCATCTGGAACCAAAGAGGAGCCTGAATAGCCAAGGTAATCCTAAGCAAACAGGACAAAGCCGGAGGCATCACACTATCCAACTTCAAACTACAATACAGAACTATAGTAACCAAAAGAACATGGTACTGGTACAAAAACAGACACATAGACCAATGCAATTGGTTATTCACAATAGCAAAGATGTGAAAACTATCTAAGCATATATAAATGGATGAATGGATATAGGAAATATTGTATACTTGTATATACAATGAGATATTCAGCCATGAAAAGAAAATTCTGCCATTTGCAACATGGATGAAACTAGAAGATGTTATGCTAAGTGAAATAGGCCAGACATAGAATAGAAATACTTCATGATATCACTTACTTGTGGGATCTGTTCAACATGTTGACTACAGTTAATAATACTGCATTACATACTTGAAATTTGATAAGAAAGTAGCCCTTAAATATTATCACCTTAATGATACCTATGTATGGTGGTGGATATATTAATTACCTTGATTGTGGTAAACATTTCACAATGTATACACACATCAAAGCATCACTTATACACCTTAAACATGCAATTTTGTCAGTTATACCTCAAAAAGATGGAAAAATCATACATAATAAGTTGTTTCTATACACTATTAAAGTACTACATGAAAAAGAAATTAGGAAATCATATAATTTACAATAGCACCCAAAATAATAAAACACTGAGGAATATTCTTAATTATGGTGATTAATTATACACTGAAAACTACAAAACATTTGTGGCATAAATTGAAGAAAGCAAAAACAAACTGAAAGACATCTTCTGTTCCTGGATGGAAAGGTTTACTGTTAAATTGCCCACATAAGCCAAAACGATCTAAGTAGTCAATGCAATTCCTATCAAAATTTCATTGGCATTTTTTAAAGAAATAGATAAAACAATCCTAAAATTCATATGGAACTACAAAAGACCCTGAATAGCCAAAGCAACCTGAGCAAGAACAAAGCTGGAAGCACCACATTTTCTGATTTCAAATTATTAACATGTTACAAAGCTATGGTTACAAAGTATTGTAGTGGAATAAAAACAAGACTTGTAGACTAATGGAGCAGACTAAAGAGCCGAGACATCAGTCCTCAAATATATTGTCAACTGATCTTTTACAAGACTGCTATATGCAAGAATGGATCATCTCTTTAACAAATCGTGATGAAAAACCAGATATCCAATTGTAAAAGAATGTAATGGGACCCTTATCTTACATGATAGACAAAAGTCAACTCAAAATTAATTAAAGACTTTCTGTAAAACTCCTAAAAGAAAACAGGAAAAATCTCTATGACATTGGTTTTGGTAATGATTTCATGTATATGACAACAAAAACACAGGGAAAAACATCAAAAATAGACAAGTGAGGCTACAGCAAAATAAAAAGCATTTGCACAGCAAATAAAATAATGAACAGAATGATAAGGCAATGTACAGAATGGGAAAATATATTTGTAAACCATATATCAAATGAGACATTAGTTTCCAAAATATATATTAGAACTGCAACTCAATAGCAAAAACAAAAAATAAACAAAATTAATAACCCAATTAAAAATGGGCTAACAATGTGAACAGACACTTCTCTTAAAAAGACATACAATGGTCGACAGTTATTATGAAAAGATGATTAGTGTCACTAATCATGGAGGAAGTTCAAATCTAAGCTCAAATGATGTATCACCTCAAAACTGTTATGCTTATGTTTTAAAAAACAAAATACTTATTTCACTTAGCATAATATCCTCCAGGTTCATTCATGTTGTTATAAATGGCAGAATTTCCTTCTTTTATGGCTGAATAATATTCCAGTGTGTGTGAGTGTGTGTGCATATCTCCATCCATCTACAGGCACTTTTTTTCTATAACTTGGCTATTGTGAATAATGCAGCAATTAACATGAGAGCTCAGATAAATCTTCAAGATACTATTTTATTTCATGTGTATATGTACTCCGAAGAGGGATTACTGGACCATATATCGTATTTTTAATTAAAAAAAAAAACTTCCATACACTTTCCCATAATGACTGTACCATTTTAAATTCCCACCAACAGTATACAAGCATTCCAATTTCTCTACATTCTAGCCAACCTTTCTTTAAAAAAAAGTGTAACAGGATTATCTGTTGATCCTATCTGCCTATCCCAACAGATATAAGACAATATGTCAATGTGATTTTGATCTCTATTTCCCTGATTAGTGATATCGAACACCTTTTTATGTACCTGTTGACAATCTTTAAGTCTTTTTTCAAAAAATGTCTTTTCATGTCTTTTGTCCATTTTTAATTAAGTCACTTGTGGGTTTTGATATTGTTGTGTTTTCTATATATTTTGAATATTAATCCCTAATCTGATGTATGGTTTGCAAATATTTTCTTCCAACCTACAGGATGCCATTTTATTTTATTGATTGTTTCTTTGCTCTGCAGAAACTTTGCAGCTTCATGTGGTTCCACCTGTTTAGTTTTGTTCTTGTTGACTGTTCTTTTGATGTCATAGTAAAAACTCATTACCAAGACCAATGTCAAGTAGCTATTTATCTGTATTTTCTTCTAGTGGTATTATGCTCAAACAGGCCAGACACATAAAGAAAAATACTACCTGATCTCATTTATGTGTGGAATTGAAAAAAGTTGAATTCATAAGAGCAGACAGCAGAATGGTGGTTAACAGGGGTCTGGGGATAAGGAAAACGAAGAGATAATGGTCAAAAAGTACAAAGATTAGGTTTATAGGATGGGTACTTTTACAAATCTAATGTACAGCATGATGATGACAATTAATAATACCATATTTTATACTTGGAATTTGCTAAAAGATCAGATTTTAAGTGTTCTCATCACAAAAAGTGACTATGTGAGGAGATTATTATGTTAATTAACATGATTTTAGTAATCAGTTTACCATGTTTATTATGTAGAGCAAAGCATCAAGTTGTACACCTTATATGATGCGTACTAAAAACTAAAATTCAAAATGAACAAAACTATTAAAAAACAAAAGATGAATGTTGATGAAGATTTGGCAAAATTGGAAACCTCATACATTGTTAAAATGAATGCAAAATAGTGAAGCCGGTGTGGAAAACAGTACAAAGACTCCTAAAAAAATTCAAAATACAGCTACCATATGATCTAACACTCCTATTTCTGTGTACTTATGCAAAATAATTATATTCAGTATCTCTAAGAGATATTAGCATCCCCATGTTCATTGCAGCACTAATCAATATGTCCATAATAATAACCTAAATGCCAATTGACAGATGAATGGATAAAAGGAATGAGGTATATACATGCAGTGTCATATTATTCAGGCTTATGCAAGAAAGAAATCCTGCAATATAGAACAAAATGAATGAATCCATTATGCTGAGTTCATTATACTAGTTGAAATAAGCCAGTCACAGAAGGATAAATACTGCATGATTCAAATTATACGAGGTATCTAAAAATATTCAAATTCATGAAACCAGAAAGTAGAATAGTGGTTTTCAGGGCCTGGGGGCATGGAGAAGTAGGAAATTGCTAATCCATGGGAATAAAATTTTGATTATGCAAAATGAATAACTTCTAGAGATCTGTTATACAGCATTGTTCCTAGAGTTATCAATATAGTATTGTAAATTTGTGTTGAGAAGGTACATCTCATGTTAATTGTGTTTTAGCACAGAAAACATAAATTTACTATAAAATAAAGTTCTAAGTGCAAATATCATGGAGGATTTATTATTCACTTAAATTTCAACTTGAGTGTATATATCAGATTAGTAATGAAGAACACGGAATCCTTCAGTAGTTCATGGAACCAAGATTGCGAGGGAACAAAGTGTGGATGTGGGGAAAATTTGCAGATATTTAGCTATTTCATCCTATGGTAATAGTTAAGGAGAAAAAAATTCTCAGGTATGGCATACTATCTTTTCTCCATTTTTTCACTTAATTATATTCCTTCTGGCTGTGGAATTTTGAGTTTCTTCATAAACATGTTTGTATATGTGCATACACATATAAATTTTTTTATTTCCTGCCTAAAACTTAGATTATCTTTATTGTGAGCATTAATTTCAAAATTTTGTTGACATTTTTATTTACTATTTCATTCAGAATTTTGTTAACTTTGCCATGTTCGAAAGGTAGAAGAACCAGGATTAAAAAGTGAGCAAAAATAAGTTACTGAGCTTAGTATTTGTGAGTACATTAGTTTACTGAATTATCACAACACTAAGGTAAAACGTTATTATTTTTATTCAATTATTATTATTAATTGAAACTGCTTTTTTTTCCTGATTACAAAATCAAAGCACTTCAGAATGATGCTATTTAATGTGATTTTTAGCTCAATGGAGAAGAACTGCTAGATAGTCAGAAGACTTCAAAGGAGTTCAAAGAGAGGTTATGATCCCTCTTATGTGAAAGGTAACAGCTGAGGTTTGATGGTCACTTGACAGCGATATAATGGAGATTAGAGCATTGTACAAGTGGTAATTTCTCCAAGTTGTGAGATTCTCTTCTTCTAGATATGAAACTAGGTCGCTGCACTGGGGACAGGACAAAAGATGGGAAGACTATTTATTGATTTTTTTTTCCTGCATGACTTTATTTTTTGGACTGTATTGTTGAGTATTTCCAGAATCCATATTTAAGTGTTAGAATAAAAGTCTCTCAGGGCTAATTATAATGTGATTGGATGACATCTCTAATTTTGTGTTATCTGAGCCATCACTACCTTTCGTGAATCCAGACAATCAAAAATGAATAAGTGAACAGTGCGAAAAAGAGTTCAAGAACAATAAAATAGATTAATGTGGTCTATTATATCTTTTTATTACACAAATATGATAGATGGCATAACATTTAAATACACAAAATAGGAGACATTTGCAAAAACAATTTTTCATTTAAACTTTACAAAATATGTATGCATTTTTAACTAGAAAAAAAAGGATATCACATGGTTAATCCAATTCCAATATCAACCATTATGTTCTCCCTACTGCTGCTTTACTTAGCAGTCACTTTGTTAAAAGCATTAATAGGCCATAATGAACTAGAAATCTAGCAGTTAATTGCGTATAATGATTGGTTTCTTAGAGACAATAGTCTTAAATGTATTTTAAAAGTAATGTGTCTCCAAGTAACTTCTATGTATGCATAAAACTTACAGCAAAATAAACATTGGTTCTTATCTTTTGATTTGTAAAAAAGGAATACAAGAAAAAGTCTTATAGTCCTGTCACAAAATACACAGAATATTCTATTTTTAGTTTATTTACATACTAAGTGGATTTTCTCTATACGCAGTATAAATCTCTCTATGCAGACATATAATTCAAAATAGTTGGTCACATCTACAGACATGTTAGATTAAGATGGGTCATTCATAATAATGCAATATTTTGGCCAGGTGTGGTGGCTCATGCCTGTAATCCCAGCATTTTGGGAGGCCAAGGTGGGCAGATCACTTGAGGTCAGGAGTTCGAGACCAGCCTGGCCAACATAGTGAAACCGCAGTCTCTACTGAAAATACAAAAATTAGCCAGGCCTGTAATTCCAGCCACTCAGGGGCCTGAGACAATAGAATCGCTTCAGCCTGGAAGGCAGAGGTTGCATTGAGCCGAAATCACACCACTGCACTCCAGCCTGTGTGACAGAATGAGACTCCACCTCAAAAATAATAATAATCATCATCACACAATATTTTATTAATATAAGTTTTGTTAGGACTTAGGTTACTGTGTTTGAAATCTGACTTTTGAAAGCAATTACCTTATTAAGTTCAATTAAAAGGCATATTAACATAAGATAGCCACTCATGGTGAGAGAAAAAACAAAATTAACAAAATCCTAGTTATAACATTGTGACATGTACCAAAGTAATGGGACTTTCGACTCTAAAGCAGTGGTCCCCAACCTTTTTGGTAACAGGGACTGGTTTGGTGGAAGACAATTCTTCCACAGACCAGGGGGTGGAGGGATGGTTGCAAGATGATTCAAGTGCATTATGTTTATTGTGCACATTATTTCTATTATTATTACATTGTAATATATAATGAAATAATTTTACAACTCACCATCATGTAGAATCAGTGGGAGCCCTGAGCTTGTTTTCCTGTAACTAGTTGATTCCATCTGTGGGTGATGGGAGACGGTGACAGATTATCAGGCATTAGATTCTCATAAGGAGTGTGCAACCTAGATCCCTCAATAAGTGCTATTCACAATAGGGTTCCTGCTTTTATGAGAATCTAATGCCACTGCTGATATCACAGGAGGCAGCGCTCAGGCGGTAATGCACGCAATGGAGAGAGGCTGTAAATACAGAAGAAGCTTTGCTGGTTCACCCACCACTCACCTCCTTCTGTGTGGCCTGGTTCTAACAGGCCATGAACCTGTACTGGTCCATGGCCCAGGGGTTGGGGCCATGCCTTGCCCCCAAGGCAAGGCATACCCTTGCCCACAAGGATGGTAAAAGCTCATTGACTCTCAACAGAAGTTATGTCTTGCTAACAAATACATTATTTTGTACAGCGACAAAGATAAGAAAGTTCAGATTTGCCTGCATAGATGCTACAAGCAGTTAGGAAACGTATATTTTATTTTTTTTTTAAAAAAAGGAGATACAAATTTCACTCACAAACAGCATAAATGTTAACATTCTTCAATTTTTTCACTTGTACAGATAACTGTTATATTTTCACTTGTATAGATACTGTTACTGTCATTCAAAATTAAGAATTTTCAAAATGATATTAAAAGTAAACATTTAATAATTTGCTATTATAGATAAAATAAGTTGGAAATTCTAAAAAATAAATACAGTTATTCGAGAAACAATTGTTATAACAGATTCTTCACTAGGTGCTGAAAACAGTCACTTTTTTTGGGGGGGTGTGAGGGTGGTGATAGAGTCTCGCTCTGTCGCCCAGGCTGGAGTGCAGTGGCACAATCTCCGCTCACTGCAAACTCCGCCTCCCAGGTTCACGCCATACACCTGCCTCAGCCTCCCGAGTGGCGGGGAATACAGGTGTCCGCCACCACGCCCAGCTAATTTTTCTTTTTTTAATATTTTTAGTAGAGATGGGGTTTCACTGTGTTATCCAGGATGGTCTCGATCTCCTGACCTCATGATCCGCCCGCCTTGGCCTCCCAAAGTGCTGGGGTTACAGGCATGAGCCACCACACCCAGATGCATTCACACTTTTTAAAGCAGGTTATAACAAAGGAAATAATGATATTGTGAATATGTTATTGTATATTGTGTTTCATAATATTTCTGATTCTTATTATTTTAATCAAAAGTAAAAGTATATAATTTTAGTACTATTTACTTTTAAATACAAGCACTTGTAAAAGTAAAATTGATGTTCAATGGGTATAAGGTTGCAGTTATGCAAGATGAGTAAATTCTAGAGATGTGCTATAAAACATAAAACTTTGTGCTTATAGTCACCATTACGTATTATGCATTTAAAAAATTTGTTAAGATATTAGAACTCACGTTAAGTGCTCTTACCATAATAAAATATAGATTTTATCTATGGAACATACAAATGTACATATAACATTTATATAGTGGTTATATTTTGCAAAACACATAAATGCCTTGATTTGTTTGCATCAAAAATTCAGAGTGATTCTATTTGTACACTGTAGCAAAATTTTGAATAAATTTTGACTATTCTAGTTCGAAAGTATGACCTTGATATTTCCCTAATGTGCTTCGGTTAATGTTTTAGAAATAGATATATCATTTTATAAAACAAAATTTTTTCTTTCTTTGTCCACTTAGCACTCAACATGTTAATAACATTTTTATTCCTTTCAAAATCGTTTTTGTAACTATATTGAGGTCTGATTGGTATTTTAATGCTGCATGTAATTAAAGTATATAATTCGGTGAGTTTGAACATATGTATGCACTCATGATACTCTCACCACAATCCAAGTAAAGAAACATATCTATCATCTCTAAAAGTTTCCTTATGTCCCTTTGTTTTTTTGTTGGTTTTTGTGGTAAGAGCATTTAGTATGAGATCTACCCTCCTAATAATTTTTAGGTACTCAATACCTATTATTAACTATAGGCACTATGTTATATAGCAGATCACTGGAACTTACTTCATCTGGTATAACTGTAATTTTGTACATGTTGAAAAACAACTCTCCATATACTCCTCCTCCCATTCTCTAGTAACCGTCATTTTATTATTTACTTCTACACCTTTATTTTAGATGCCTCATATAAGAAAAATCATGTAGTGTTTGTTCCTTTGTGACATACATTTCACTTAACAGTCTTAGCATCGATGTTGTTGCAAATGGTAGGATTTCCCTCTTTTTAATGCTGAATAATATTCCTTTGTGTGTGTGTGTGTGTGTGTGTGTGTGTGTGTGTGTGTACATACATAGACAAATAGATAGATGGATAAAATTTTCTTTATCCATTCCTTTGTTAATGGACGCTTGCATAGTTTTCATATCTTGTCTCATTTGAATGATACTGCAATTGACATGGAAGTGCAGATATCTCTTCAACATACAGATTTTAATTTTTCTGGATAGTCAGAAGTTGGATTGTTGAATTTCATGGTATTTTTATTTTTAATCTTTCAAGGCACATCCCTAGTGTTTTCCATAATAGCTATACCAATTCCATTTTCACCAATATTGTACAAGAGTTCCAATTTCTCCACAACCTCACCACTTGTCTTTTTTTTTTATAATAACCATCCCAACAAGCATGAAGTGATATTTCACTGTGGTTTTTATTTGTATTTACCTGATAATTAGTGATGCTAAAAATGTTTCATATCCCTGTTGGACTACAGATTCATTGCAATCCCCATTAAAAACCCAAAGATATTTTGTGCTGTAATAGGAAAAACAATCCTGAAGTTCATTTAGGGTCACAATATACTCCAAATAAAGCAATTTCGAGCAAGAAGAACCAAGCTCGAAGTGTCACACTTCCTGATTTCAATACATATTACAAAGCTAGTAAACAAAACTGTGTGATGCCAGCATAAAAATAGATACCTAGACCAATATAATATAATAGAAAGCCCAGAAATAAACTCATTTTACCAATATGCCAAAATATGCAATGGAGAAAGGACAGCCTCTTTAATAAATGAAGGAAAAATTGGATATTCACATGCCAAAGAATAAAACTGGACTGTCAGTGGTGTAGCCTTAGTAAATTAATTATTTGATAAGACAAACACACATATATATATATATATATATATATACATGCCAAAATTAATGTTAAGATATCTGGACAAAGCAAAGAACTACGATATCTATTACTTTGTTGAACTGAACAACTCTGTCTTATTTAGAAAAAAATTAATGGTAGATTGCAATTCATATATTTTTAATTTTATATTTGTATATTCTCAAAAGGTACCCAGGATTAGTCAATATTCTAATAAAATTATGTCTGTAATTAAAGTATAAACTTTTACTTATATAAATTTAATTATTTTACTAGGCTATTTAAAAAGGATTCATACAAAAGTTCCAATAAATTCCTTGTTATCTAAGAATTTTTTAAATAACTTAAGTATGATACAGTGAATAAATTCAATAATGCTTTCTTAATATATTATTAAATATTTTCAGTAGAAAAGGGTAAAGATCAATCTTTTGTAAGACAAACAACAGCCACTAAAGAAACACAATGCTGAAAAATATGAATGAACTATGCCCCCAAAGAGTCCAGGAAATTAAAACAATATCTTAACTTATGACGTGTCTTTGAATACCCTAAACTACATTCACCTATTGTACAGAACAAAACTTACGGCAATACATTTTACTAAAGCTAATGCAATAGTGTTCCTAAACAAATAGAGCAGCTGTTTCTATAATTGCAAAACAGATAACCCTTACTACTTTCGGACATGACTTCATGGATATGAAACAGCTGCAATTTTGTCAGCTGCATCCTAATGTTCCACACACACTTCTGCTCAAGAAGATAGAAGTAGAGACTGTCTCCTTTTTTTTATATGAAGTGTCCTCTCCTTTCAAAGAAGAAATATCCTGAATGTCATTAACAATGTTTACCAGGAACATTTTCATTCAGGGAAAGGTGGATGATAGATGCTAGATATCTAGAAGTCAGCACTAGGATTTTAACACAGAAAATCATGAGTTAGAAGAATTAAAGGGGCGGCAGAAGGGACTTCCTACCTGGTACAAGTTCTGCTTCCTTTCACAGCCTGAAAACCTAGTTGTTGGCTTTTAGACTTCATTGCTGAAATAACTTTTTTTTTCTAACAAGAAATGGGAAAACATTAAAAAAGGAATCCTATTGGTTGTTGCCTTCTTAGAAAAGAATTATTTAGGGCCGATTGAGGTGGTTCACGTCTGTAATCCCAGCACTTTTGGAGGCCGAGGAGGGCGGATCAAAAGGTCAGGAGATCCAGACCACGGTGAAACCCCGTCTCTACTAAAAATACAAAAAATTAGCTGGGCGTGGTGGCGGGCGGCCTGCAGTCCCAGCTACTCTGGAGGCTGAGGCAGGAAGACGGCGTGAACCCGGGAGGCGGAGCTTGCAGTGAGCCGAGATCGCGCCACTGCACTCCAGCCTGGGCGACAGAGTGAGACTCCGTCTCAAAAAAAAAAAAAAAAAAAAAACAAGAATTATTTAATACCCTCCCAACTTCTATGTCTGTCGTTCTTTGTCCCTATTTATTTTCTGTCTCTCCCTGAAGAGTAGTTTAGAGGGAGAAAAAGGGAGTGTTTATCCTGGCTCGGAGGATACACGTTTGTATAACTGCTTGTTCTCCGCAGTATAGCTGGTGCAATGTGATGTGAATACGAAAGCAGACTGCATTAGGCATAGCTTAACTGAGCCAGTTTTCCAGTCACATTTGCTATCACGGGAGTGGAATGCTTTGAAGGAAACTGGAGTGTTATAATGATGCAATGAAACAGCTCAGGGTTTTAATAATTGTGTTTGTGGGGAAAGGATTCCAAGGAAATGTTTATGAAAGCAGATCTGTTCTTTTCTTTTTAACCCAGATTATCAGTTTCACAGAAATGAAGCTCTCTCTACTTTTAAGTAACACTCTTTTTTGCACATAAGTGATTACTGACTTTTGCTTGTTGTTTCTATCTGCTGATTTTTATAAAATACATTTGTTTAGTTTTTCAGTAGTCAACTCTCATATACAGTCTAATCCAGGAAACACTGATACTCCCTTAAACCTCATACATAGATAATACTTGAGATACTAGGGTAAATTATATACTTCGTTGCCTTTCTTGGACAAAGAATGATGAAAATTTAGTATGGACAAAACCCCTAACATTGGCATATAGATAGAAAAAGCCAATACATTTGTTTCAGTATTTATGCATACATTTAAAAAAATAAATATGTTAATCTTAGTTTATAAAATACCTTACTTTGCTGGCATATATCAGGTTTAGAGATATAAAATAAAGGTAATTAACATTAATATTTAAAATGCATATGGTTCAGAGACAGCAAATGTCATACTCCTAAAATATTTTAGAAAGAATTTAAGTATGATTAACATATCAAACTCAAAACAGAATGATCAAAAATAGCAGGTATGAAGAATTCATTCTCATAGATTATACGTACAGATGATTCACAAAATTAGAGTAATAGATTTTTAATTTTGCACTTATTTATAATAAATTTATGTATAAATTATATTGTATATATTATAAAATATTTATTATTATTTATTATATATAAATATAGAAATATATTATTCGACATAAATAATTATTTATATTATACATTATTATAAAATATTTTACACTTTTGTAATGGGCTCACCTATCAACTCTGACACACCATTAGACAGATAGAAACGAACTGGTCATCAGATCAATTTACTCTACCAATATTTCATCAGAGAATTAGCCTACATCCAATAATACTAATTTTTAAATATTTCCAGAGCTTCAGTACAGCACTACTTTTCTTCAAAATAACTCTCTAAACTTCAAAATCTGAAAGTGCTTCATAAGATAAAATCCTTCCCTTTGCAGTTGGGAAAGCATTTAGTGCTACTAATAATGTTAATCTGATAGGAAATACCAAATTTGAGTCTTACATAAGTAGAATCTAAAAATAAACACCTTTCCTCACTACTTTCTCATAAAGCATGTGTAATCAGTTGATGATTCACACATGCAACTATTAAAAACAAGATTCTAACCTTCACGTCAACTCTTCCCTGAATAAAAAGATGATCATCTTTCAGTGACTACGGACTTCATAAAGTGTTTTTTATTTTTTTTTTTTGTTTTTAATATTAGAGTTGGTTCATCAGTGCTTGGAAATATGTTGCCATAAAGGATCAGGAGACAGCACAAGTGACGCCTGAATTTTGCACTGTTTTTCACCTTTAGAGTCAGATATTAGATTGAATTATAGCAAATAGCTGCAGCTGACTTGTATATTTTTTAGTATTAAAATTATATAAGCCACTGAAGACAGTGGAATCAATATTTGCAAAAGCTGACCTATAACAAAGTAAAAGGTTTTTAAATGATACTATAAATAATATTTACTTAAAGTTATGTTTCCTTTTAGAATTTTCAGAGAGACATTTAAACCTAGGATATTTTTGGGAGATTTTAAAAGCCACTTAATGTGAAAAAAAATACTTGAATTAGGGCAATATTTAAAAATATTGTTTTATGCCAAACTGTCATCAGTAGTTAGCAAAAAAAGGCTAACAATATAAAATAAATTAATAAAAAGAAACAGTCTGTTGCAGTTATTCATGCAACTGTTATTCTTTCAGTCTTACAAAAGACTTACATTTTGAATAAAATAGAAGTAACATTTGGTTGCCAAAAATATCTTACAGGCAAGTGTGCTGAAGATATTATATATTAACATCAAAATGTATGATGTTCACTGTGCAGTAATTCTTCTTGAGCTTTAACTCAGAGCCTTCATGGAGTTTTAGGTGTCTTTAAACTTGGGTTATAACAGCAGAATTATGGTTTGATGAGCTACTGAAAAAAATCCCTGGTATCTACAACAGACTTGGGGAAAATATCCATTACTATCAACAAATACAGAAACTTAAAACAGAATTGAAGTGACTGTTCTCATTTTTATAACAAGTTTTCTAAATCCATGAAACAGAAGTTTGCCCGTTACCCTCCCAAAAAACACACAAAATTTACAAATGTATGACCTAAAAACTATAAAGATCCTGTCATCATTATATCTGGTAAGACAAATGAAAATGTATTCAAGGTTTTCACTTTACTTAATTAGGAATTACATTTTATCATTTTCCCAAGAGATTGAGGATGCTCTATAATAATGCACAATTATATGTTAAAAATAGGGAGATATATATATATATATATATATATCCTATGTCCCTAAGCTCTGCCTGCAGCCCAAGAACTAAATAAAATATTTGTAAATAATTTCAAAATTATTCATGTATACATTTTAATCTAAGTGTTTTTCTAAAGAATATTGTTTATATTTCTTAATGAAAGTAGCTTGAGGGAGAAAATTGTGATCTTATAAGAAGAGACTACATTGGACAATTATATACATCTTCTGGGGATATATGGTCTAATGATACTCATTGTACATAAGAGTCATCTTGAGAGATTTTACAAAATGATGATCCTTAAATTTCACTTCTAGATATTCTAATTTAGTAGATCTGGGATGTGATGCATAAATTTAAAAAATCTCAACATAATTTTCATCTATAGCCAGATTTGGCATTAATCGAATTTGCCTATCACCGTTAAAAAGAGTATAGAACAATACAAGACTTCAACAAAGAGATTTATATCTGTTTGTTAGGCTAGACAATAGAGTACCAAATCAGAAATTTTAAATTGTTTCAGGACAGAAAAGGAATTGTATTACCAAGGATTTTATGGATTAAGATATTGTTATAATCAAAGGGCATCATCACAAGAAGCTCTAGTAAATCATTCTCAATTTCATGTCCAGAAACCAGAGCCTAGAACATATTGTGCAGATAGATGAGGAGATCACTAAGTATTTTATTATTTAAAGATTAACTTAACTGAGAAATCACATGAGGTATGCATTTTGGATAAGTTGATTTTCTAAGTACCAAGCTTTATATTGAACTTATTTATGGTAATTAAAAGTCAAAAAATAAACATCTGCTTCTAAAAAAGATAAAGTAACAAGGATCAGATTTATCCTCTGACTTGAAACAACCAAAAATATGCAAAATATATAAAACAAGGAATTATAATACATGAAATAGTAGGTAATGGAAGATAGCGAGACATCAGCTTACAACCTTGAGAGAGATTCCAGGCGAAAACAGTGACAGAGAGACTCCAAGTACAGCCTGATGGGTTTCGTAACTTGAAGAAACTGACCTAAGAGTCTACAGAGGACAAAAAGATTAAAATTCATAGGACAGAATACAAAATAGTAAAGGGCTATGTGGGGACAGCTCCAAATATTGGCAGTAACCACCTCGAGTATTCAACAGAGAACTAATCAGCACATGGATGTTAGGAAATACCTAAGGTCCAGAAAAAACGCCCCAAAAAATTAGAGAAAAAAAGGGAAGGAACATATGAGACAAATAAAAAACAAATAAAAAGATAATAGATATACACCTATCCATATCTATTATATATCAATAATCAATAATTGTTATATCGATAATCATATAAAATATAAAATACCTATATTTTATTAAAAGCAAGAGTTGTCAGAATGGATTTAAACCTGAAGGAAAACCAAACTATTTGCTGTCTAGCAAAACATATTTTAAACATAAGGCACCAGTAGGTTAAAAATAAGGATGAAAGTTAGATATGCCATGCTGACACTAAACAAAAGAAAGAATAACTATCTTAACCTCAAGCAAAATAGATTTCAGAGCCAAGCATATCACCATTGATAAAGAATGTCATTTGATAATGATAAATTGGTCAATTCATCAAGGGAAGTTAATAATTCTAAATGTGTATGCACTTAATATCATAGCTTCAAAATACATGAAGCAAAACCTGATAGATCTGCAAAGACAGAGAGAGAAATCAACATGTATTTGCAGATACTTCAATACCCATCTGTTAATAATTGATACAACAGGCGGACAGATAAACAATAAAAAAATCAGATTAGGAAAACACTGTCAATCAAATTTTTCTAAGAAACATTGTAGAACATTATGTCTAACAACAATAGAATAGTTATTTTTCATGGGCACATGGAAGATTTATGAAGACAGACCATAGTGTGGACTGTAAAACAATTATCAATAAAGTTTTCAAGATTTGGCTAATACAAAGTATGTTCTCTAACCACAATGGGATTAAATTAGAAATCATAAACAGATTTAATAAAAATCCAAAATATTTGATAACAACAAACACACTTCTAAATCACCCATGCTTTTAAAAAATCAAAATAAAAATAGACTACATTTTGAATTAAATAGAAATGAAAACAGAACATATGTAAAATTGGGGATTACCATTAATACAGTACTTGGAGTTATATATATAGCACTATACAATTATATTACAAAAAAACAGAAAGGTCTTAAATTTGTGAGCTCAGCTTCCACCTTAAGATATTAGAAAATAAAAAGCAAATTAAACCCAAATGAGTAGAATAAAGGAAGAAAAAATGAAATATTTGCAAACTATGCATCCAACAGGAAAATAATATCCAGAATTTGTAAGGAACAAACAACTCAAAAACAACAAAAAATCAAATAACCCCGTTAAAAACTGGACAAATCCCATGAATATACACTTTTCAAAAGAAGATGTACAAGCAGATATCAAGCACATGAAAAAGTGCTCAACATCACTAATCAGAGAAATTCAAATTAAAACCACAATAAGATATTATCTTACACGAGTGAGCATGACTATTATTAAAAAGTCAAAAAATAATCGATCTTGGTAAGCATGTGGAGAAAAGGAAAGGCTTATACACCGTTGGTGGAAATGTAAATTACTTTGCCCTCTATGGATAACAGTATGGAGATTTCTACAAGAAATAAGAACAGAACTACCACTTGATCCACCTATCTCACTACTGGGTATACACCCAAAGGGAGAGAAATCATTATGTCAAAAAGACAACTGCACTTGCATATTTATCGCAGCACTACCCAGAACAGCAAAGATAAGAAGTCAACCTAAGTTCCATCAATGAATGATTAGATAATGAAAATGTGGCATATGTATGCAATGAAATGCTATTCAGCCAAAAAAAAAAGAGTAAAATCATGTTTTTCCTAGCAACACAGATGGAAGTGAAGGCCATTATCTTAGATGAATAACTTAGAAACAGAAAGTCAAATACCATATGTTCTCACTTATAAGTGGGAACTAAATAATGTGTATACATAGATATAAAGTGTGGAATAATACACATTGGAGACGCAGAAGAGTGGGAGGGTGAGATAGGGGTGAGGAATGAGAAATTACTTAACGGGTACAATACACATTATTTGGGTGATGGTTAAGCAAATGCTCAGACTTCACCACTAAGCAATATATCCATGTAAGAAAGCTGCACTTGTACCCCTTAAATTTATAGAAATAAAAAAGCAGGAGAACCACTGAAGAAGAAACCAGGAAAAAAATATATATCAAAGCCAAACACTGGTTCTTTGAGATCAATAAATTGATATACAACTAGCCAGAGGTGGCATAACTATAGATTCTACAGATATTAAAAGGATAAATAGAAACTTTGTAGAACACATACCAATACATGTAACAACTTAGATAAAATGATTGTACTTATTAGAAAACAAAAACTGTTAATACTTTCTCAAGAAAAAATATATAGCCTACAGTTCTACATTTATTAAGTTAATAAAATTTATAATTAAAAATGGAATTTTAAAGAAAGTTTTAAATTGCAGGTACAATTTTCTTACCAGATAAAGGACTATTTGTTTTTCCTTTTTTCTTGAATTCCTTTCTTAGACTGTGATTTTCAAAGAATTGATTTATTTCATCTAGGTTTCCAAATTTATTAGCAGAAACTTTCCCTTAGTATTGTCTTATTGTCATTTCAATATCTATAGGATCTACAGTGATCTCTACTCTTCCATTTCTGATATTGATAATCTGTGGGTTTTCTTTTTCATTTTTCCTTGATCAGTCTTTAATGACACAACTACAATGTAAAAGTTTAAGAGTGTTAGCACTTACAGACCTTAGTGAGTACACAGCACACCTGGAGGCAACACACAAAAGGTCAGGGAGCACAAATAGGAAGAAACAGGAGAGTCTGGCAACTAGCAGTATCTATATCTATATCTATCTCTATATCTATCTATTTATATGTATATATTAGGGAATGAGATGTGGATCACTTTAAATTATCAGGCAAATGCCAGAATGGTTACTTGGAAGGAAGTGGTCCTTTGGGAATGCAGGCAACCCCGTTTGCTAGGCTGAAGAAATGTCTTTATGTCCTTATCTTTGGCTATCAGCTTGAGTCATTTGAGTGTAGTAGAGAACTGGAAACTGTGTCAAGGTTTGCTGAGCCCTGCCTCTGGCAGGAGAAAACAAACTTTTGGCAAGGCACAGTGTCTCACACCTGTAATCCTAGCGCTTTTGGAGGCTTGAGGCGGGTGGATCACTTGAGATCAGTAGTTTGGGACCAGCCTGGCAAACACGGCAAAACCCCGTCTCTACTAAAAATACAAAAAATTAGCTGGTCGTTGTGGTGCATGCCTGTAATCCCAGCTTCTCGGGAGGCTGAGGCACGAGAGTCGCTTGAACCATGGAGGCAGAGGTTGCAGTGTGCTGAGATCACACCACTGCACTCCAACCTGAGCAATAGAGCAAGACTGTGTCTCAAAAAATGATAATAATCATAATAAATAAAAAATAAATAAAATGGATGCTGAGGTTAACAAAGAATTATAAGAAATCACTACAATTCACCCCTTGGTGCCTTGGCATCAGAAAAATGGAAGGCAGTTATAGTTGAGTTGTGGGGATCTACTGACTTTAAGAGAAAAGAGTGTTTATGGTAGCTATGTTTGGAGACACAAGGTGAGAGATTATGGTGGAAAGCTGGAGGAAGGTAGTAGGAAAACTCAGCAGCAAGCGGGTGGTCTGCTCCCAAAGAGGTCAAAGGAGCCGAAGAATTGACTAATATGGGAGTGGTGCCTCCTGGGGAACGCAATAATCTCCATCAAGTTTAGTATCCATTGTCTGAGTTCCCTTTAGGTATGAAAGTACGAGAGTCTACATTTGAACAGAGAGCAAGAACTATACCATGGACTAAGCAAACAGTGAATGCAGGAAGAAAAGCAAAAATGCCTTATGCCTATTTGCGTCTTAGGAGAGGCAGTCCATGAACATCACTGGGTAGAGGTTTAATATAAGTGGTAAGGTAATCTGCGGCACAGAGGGCAAAGTCATCTCCAGCATTGAAGTCTTAGGTTGGGTCAGTGTCTCCTGTGGCAATGTCATCTCCTGCAGCAAGATTTTGGGCCAGGGCAAAGTAAGCTAGGATGTAGAGCTGGGGTATCCTTTTCAAGTAGATATACACTAGAGTTGATGTGGGCCTCAGCATTTATCATAATTGGTTAAAGCAGTCACCTACTGGAGAGTTTGGGCCTCCAGTTGTAAACCAAAGCACCCAAACCAGTAGTTAAGTAATACAACCAGCAATCAACAGAATAGTGTACAGCTACACCTGACAGAATTTTGTGTTGGATGAAAGTTTAAGTGGAATAATCTGAGTCCCAGAAGATTATGTGCCCTCAGTCTAGTCTCCGGCCTCTATAAAATGGAGTAAGATCAAAAATAAATAAAAATAGGTGAAAGCCTGGGGTAAACTAGAGAATTTTTGAAGTTTATTTGTTTCACTGTAATTTGAAAAAGAGTTATTTGAGTACATCATTATGTCTCTCAGTTAAATCAGTTATTTGAGACTTGTCAGGGACATGAAAGTTCTATTGAATGCCTCACTTAAGGGCCCAGCATGACGTACTCTAAAAAGTGAAATTATGATTTCTTTACTATTAGTACTGTCTGCAACACTGAAGGGAATAAGGAATATCCTAGCAAGGCAATGTACTGTGGTCTTAGTGTATGTGGAGATGTGTTATTTTGATTTATATTTTGAGTGTCTGTGAGGCAAGAGATTTCCCAGAGGTTTTTGTTTGTTTGTTTTCAACATTGAAGGGGACAATTTTTAGGTAATGGTTCAATACAAATAGTTCAATAGTTTATAATAAATGTGAAGATGAGACCACTTGTAGACCAGGTCATCTTGTGTGAACATGACTGCCTGGAGTTAGTCCAAGTGCGTTGTTTCTTGGGTCCCATTCTTTATTAGGGACATTCAGGCTAAGGAACGGAAAGCAGCACATTCCACTAAGCTCCATATTATATGGAGTGCTATTTGCACCATCAACAAACTTTCATTATTGTTCACTCAATTAATCCCAAGGGCTTTCTCAGGTAGTCAACGGGTCTTGGAGAGGGATGACCTTCTCCAATACCATGGCACCTGGCAAGAGGCTGAGACAAAGGAAGCCTCTCCCTCCAGCAAATGGAATATAGAAGGGGGCTCAGGATTGACTCCATCCTGTCCTTTGGAGGCCTCAGTAGCCATGCTGAGCTTGCAGGGTACTGTTTCCATGATCCAAATCATAATGGAAAACTGGGTATGAAAGACCACAGGCTCAAGGTCTGTGAGAGCCTCTATTTTCAAGACAGCCCAGTAGGTAGACAGCCATTTGCTGTTTTAATGGTGTATAGCACAAGGCCAAAAAAAGGCAATACCCTGCACCAGAAGCCCTGGGGCAACTAATGGTTACTATATATAGTCCAGAGACTCCAGGAGGCATTACAATGGATTGTTAAAGCCTCTACAGTGAAAGAGTTCTATGAGATTATTAATAGGAGTGTCTGTTGACTTTATTTTAAAAGTAAAATTTGTAAATGAGAAATATGTTGCCACCAAAACCCAAAAGTACTAAGAAATATTAAACTTAAATGTTCTTAAAGAATATACCAAATGAATCTCCTTGGATGAGGGTATCCTCAATGTACTGTCATACCTGGGCTCCTAGAGAAAGTGGGTATCATTAAAATCTTGTCTGCAAAGACTGCGTATGATGACAAAGCTGTAGAGGTCACCCATGGGCAGCCTGGAAATGTGTATTATGTTCCTTAAGAGATGGATGCAAACTGCAGCTGAGAGGCTATTGAAATAGGCACTAAAGAGAACATGTTAGCCAAATCTATAAGAACAAAATATTTATCAGTTATTGATTGAAAACAATCATAATATTAAGTATTAGGATTGGGGTACTAATGGATGGCGCCACAGTGTTATGGGTGTAATAATTATTCAAAAGGCACCCTTCATATATGTATTTTTTCTTACACTTGAGAACAGCCAAAATTGAGCTGTTAAGTGGAGAAGCAGTGGGGGTAATCACACTTTTACTAATTAGGTTTTATATAATGAGTGCTAATTCTTAAAAACTCCATTTTGACTTACATCAGGCCACATTAACTATCTTACTGGGGCTTGTGGGGTCCCATTTTACAAAACCAATTCATAAGTACAAAAAGCTTACTTCAATTTTAATTTATTTATTGTGTCAGAGCATCTATGTCTAACAGAATATTTTACAGCAATAGGTATATGACTGTACAGGGAAAGGCCACAGCTAAAATGAGGCATATAAATTTTTCTCTATTTTGTATTTAATTACCTTCTCAAGATTATATGGATAGAGTGTTTAAATTTAGCAGTATCCCAGGTATAACTATAATTTGAGCCCCAGTATTTATTAAGTCCATGAATTTGTATTAGTGCATTTTAGCAAATATTAAAGTTATAATGTATATTGTAGAGGTACAAAAGCCAATCAGTGCCTCTTTTATAATTTTGTTATATAAATTTTTAGTATATAAATATATAAATTTTTAACTTCTAATTGAATCAAATTATGGAAAACTATCACATAAAAATTTGTTATATATTTACATTTAAATATAATTTATTGAATTACATTTTATTTTACCATCATACCTAGCAGTTTGTTCATAAGTGAGTAAGTAATCTAGGGCTAGCATTATGTTTTCTCAGACCTAGGATTTACTCAGTGCTTAAAGTTTAAATTTCCTTTTTTTTTTTTTCTTGGAATTGTAGCCATCTAAAGAAGTAGTCTCTTTTACATTTTTTTTCTCTCTGTCTAAAAATATTTTTAGTCACCTGAAACTGAGGTTCTTGGTTTCTGTCTCTAACTGATAAGATGAAAAGGAGGAAAAGGGCCCACAGTCTCTGGGTAGTAGTCTCTTCCTGGAAATGCCCCCACCACAACATAATAGGGAGCTTTCAGTTATTCGTCAAGTGGCTGTACTGGGCTACAGTTGGCCCAGGAAGCTGTACAATGGTTAGTCGAGGAGACTCAGAAATCCTAGAGACTTGGCTCTGGTCAGCTGTAGGATGTGCCTGGTCAGATCTTCAATAGCACCATCAAACTTGGATGCCTGTCTATTTGATTGTCAGTGGCAATGGCTTTACAGATATTCAAGGGAAGGACAAGATTTGGCTTTCTGTTATTTCTACAGTCTGTTATGGACCAGGTTGGGTAGCAAAAAGCTCTCCATTGGAGGTATTCTTTACAAATCTCTTAATAATACTTGTGTGTGATTTCCAAAGTAGTATTTTAAAAGTGTTTAAATTTCTTATTTTAAGAAAATCATAGAAATATGCAACTTAAAAGGCAAAGATTCTCAGTTGTCAGTTTTTGTGTGGTTTTTTTTTTAAAGACATTTATGCAGCCAAAAAACACATGAAAAAATGCTCACCATCACTGGCCATCAGAGAAATGCAAATCAAAACCACAATGAGATACCATCTCACACCAGTTAGAATGGCAATCATTAAAAAGTCAGGAAACAACAGGTGCTGGAGAGGATGTGGAGAAATAGGAACACTTTTACACTGTTGGTGGGACTGTGAACTAGTTCAACCATTGTGGAAGTCAGTGTGGCGATGCCTCAGGGATCTAGAACTGGAAATACCATTTGACCCAGCCATCCCATTACTGGGTATATACCCAAAGGATTATAAATCATGCTGCTATAAAGACACATACACACGTATGTTTATTGCGGCTCTATTCACAATAGCAAAGACTTGGAACCAACCCAAATGTCCAACAATGATAGACTGGATTAAGAAAATGTGGCACATGTACACCATGGAATACTATGCAGCCATAAAAAATGATGAGTTCACGTCCTTTGTAGGGACATGGATGAAACTGGAAACCATCATTCTCAGCAAACTATCGCAAGGACAAAAAACCAAACGCTGCATGTTCTCACTCACTGGTGGGAATTGAACAAGGAGAACACATGGACACAGGAAGGGGAATATCACACACCGGGGCCTGTCATGGGGTGGGGGGAGTGGGGAGGGAAAACATTAGGAGGTACACCTAATGTAAATGACGAGTTGATGGGTGCAGCACACCAACATGGCACACGTATACATATGTAACAAACCTGCATGTTGTGCACATGTACCCTAGAACTTAAAGTATAATAATAATAATAAAAGTCTTTAATCAATTTGATTAGATATTTGTGTATAGTGAGAGATGGGGGTTTACTTTCATGATACTGCCTACAGTTATCCTGTTTCCTCATCACCATTTATTAAAAAGACTACCCTTTTTCTCGTGTATGTTTTTGGTGCCATTGTCAAAGATGAGTTGGCTGCAAATGTGTGGATTTATATCTGGATTCTCTATTATGTTCCATTTGTCTGTGTGTCTGTTTTCATGTCAATGCCGTGCTGTTTGGTTACTATTGTTCTTTAGTAAATTTTTAATTCAGATAGTGTGATGCCTCCAGCTTTCTTTTAGCTCAGGATTGCTTTGGCTATTGAGTGTCTTTTGTGATTCTTTAAGAATCCTAAAAGAATTTAGGATTCTTTTTTCTGTTTCTATGAAGAACATCATTAATATTTTGATAGAGATTGTGTGCATTAAATTTACAAATTGCTTTATGTAGCACTGTGATTTTAACAACATTCGATCTTTCAATCCATAAGTATGAAATGTCTTCCCATATTGTTGTCTTCTCATCAATTTCTTTCATCCGTGTTTTATAGTTTTCCTTTTATAGATCTTTCATTTGTTTGGTTCTATTGATTCCTAGGTATTTTCTATTCTTTGGAGATATTATAAATGGGACTGCTTTCTTGATTTCTTTTACGGGTTGTTGGATGTTGGTGTATATAAATATACTACTTTTTATGTTAATTTTGTATCCTGCAATGTTATTTGTCAGTTTAAATAGTTTTTTGGTGTATTCTTTAGGTACTTCTAGGTATAAGATCATGTTATCTTCAAACAAGGATAATTTTACTTCTTCATTTCCAACTTGGATGCCTTTTATGTCTTTCTGTTGCCTAATTGCTCTAGCCAGGATTCCCAGTATTATGTTAAAGAAAAGCAGTGGAAGTGGGCATTCTTGTCTTGTTCCAATACTTAGAGAAAAAGCCTTAATTTTTTATCATTTCGTATGGTATTAACTGTGGGTTTGTCATATATGATCTTTATTATTTTCAGGTATATTCCTTCTGTAACCATTCAGATGAGGGTTTTATCATAAATGGATGTTGAATGTTATAAAATTCTTTTTTAGTATATGTTGAAATAATCATATGATTTTTGTTTTTTATTTTGTTAATGTGATGTATCACCATTTATTTTATTTTATTTTGAGACATAGATTTACTCTGTCGCCCAGGCTGGAGTGCAGTGGCATGATCTCAGCTCACTGCAACCTCTGCCTCCCGGGTTCAAGCAATTCTTGTGCCTCAGCCTCCTGAGTAGCTGGGACTACAGGCGTGCACCACCACACCTGGCTAATTTTTTTTCTTTTGTATTATTAGTAGAGACAGGGTATCATCATGTTGGCCAGGCTAGTCTCAAACTGCCTGCCTTGGCCTCCCGAAGTGCTGGGATTACAGGCGTGAGTTATTGCACCTTTATTGATTTGCATATGTTGAACCATACCTGATTTCCTGGAATGAATTCTGGTTGATAATGGTGAATGATCTTTTTAACATGCCATTTATTTCAGTTTCTAGTATTTTATTGAAGATCTTTGGATCTATGCTTATCAGGGATATTGGTTTTTAGTTTTTTTTTTTTTATTGGAGTTGTCATATCCTTGTTTTTAATTTATCAGTATAATTATGGCCTTGTAGAATAGGTTTGGGAATATTCCCTCCTCTTCAATTGTTCAAGAGAGTGAGAGTAAGATTGGTTTTAATTAAAAAAAAAAAAAAAGTTTCGTAGGCCGGGTGTGTTGGCTCACGCCTGTAATCCCAGCACTTTGGGAGGCTGAGGCGGGCTTAACACCTGAGGTCGGTACTTCGAGACCAGCCTGACCAACATGGAGAAACCCCCTCTCTACTAAAAATACAAAATTAGCCAGGCGTGGTGGTGAATGCCTGTAATCCCAGCTACTCGGGAGTCTGAGGCAGGAGAATCGCTTGGACCTGGGAGTTGGAGGTTGCAGTGAGCTGAGATCGCACCATTGCACTCCAGCCTGGACAACAGGAGCGAACCTCCATCTCCAAAAAAAGAAAAAAAATGTTTGGTAGAAGTCAGCAGTGAA
The DNA here is from genome assembly GCF_000001405.40 of Homo sapiens. Taxonomy (NCBI): domain Eukaryota; kingdom Metazoa; phylum Chordata; class Mammalia; order Primates; family Hominidae; genus Homo; species Homo sapiens. Next base: position 127,892,292 of record NC_000023.11, read on the forward strand.
GCCATTGGGTCCTGCACTTTCCTTTGATGGGAGACTTATTATTATGGCTTCTATCTCATTGCTTATTTTTTGTTGAGATTTTTAAAAATTTCTTCATGGTTACACATGTCAAGGAGGTTATCCATTTCTTTTAGGTTTCCCAACTTATAGGCATATAGTTGTTCATAATAGTCTCTAATAATTTTTTTTTGTATTTCTGACATCTCAGTTGTTATGTTGTCTCTTTTCTGATTTTATTTGAGTCTTTTTTTATTACTAGGTATAGCTTAAGGATTAATTTTGCTTACCTTTTTAAAACACCAAACTCGTTTGTACTAATTTTAGTCTCAAATTCATTTAATTCAGCTCTGATTTTTAAAACTCATTTCCTTACAGTAATTTTGACTTTGGTTTGCTCTTGCTTTTCTAGTTCCTTGAGGTGCATCTTCCGGTTGTTAATTTGAAAATTTTCTGCTTTTTTGATACAGGCATTTGTTGCTATAAACTTCCCTCTTAGTATTGCTTTTGTCATAACCCTTAAATTTTGCTATGTTGTGTTTCCATTTTCCTGTTTTGTCCCTGACTTTTGAGAATTTGATTATTGTATGCTTTGGGGTAGTCTAATTTTGGTTGAATCTGTTTGGTGTTCTCAGATGATCCTGTACCTGGCTATCTGTATCTTACTCAATTTGTGAAGTTTTCTTTTATTATTTCCCTGAATAATATTTCTACCCCTTGCTCTTGCTCCATCTCAAACACCAGTAAGTATTAGATTTGGTGTTTTTAGGTAATTTTCTATATCTTTTAGGCAGTCATCATTCTTTTTTTTCTTTTCTCTTCTCTGAATGTATATTTTCACTTAACCAATATTTTATCTGACTGATTCTTTCCTCTGCTTGATCCAATTCTCTGTTGAGAGCCTCTAATAATAGTTCAACAAATATATTTCCCAGTTCCAAATTTTCTGTTTGATTTAAAAAACTTATTTCAATCTCCTTGCTAAGTTGCTCTGATAAATTTCTGAATTGTTTCTGTGTTACCTTGGAAATTATTGAGTTTTCTTAAAACTGCTATTTTAAATGTATGGTCAGATAGCTCACAAATTGCCATCTCATTATGATCAGTCACTGGATCCTTTCTTTGTCCTTTTGGGGAACCCATGGTTTTCTGTTTGCTATTGTGTTTGTAAGTATACTCTACTTCTTTGTGTTGAAGCATTACTTATTTATTCCAGTTTCCTCTGACAAACTTGTTTTTTTTTTTTCATTGAATATTTCCTTCACAAATTTTTACTGTTAGGTTACTGCCTCCTTTTCAGCCCCAGGTGAAAGCTCAGGTTCATCTCAGCTCTGGTAAAAGGTTAGAAGCACTGCCAGTCCCAAATGGGAGAGGTCCAAAAGGGATTTAAGCTCAGGCTCATCTCAGCTCTAGTAAATGTTAGAAGCACTGCCAGTTCCAAATGGGAGAGTCCCAAAAGGGATTATTCTGGCAGTGTGGGAAGGCTGGCTCAGAGTTTGTGCCCAGAGGACCTGTGGAACATACCTCCTACTGTGTGGTGTTGCTAAATACCCACTCTGATTTTGCGTCTTCTTTGGCCAAAGTACAGAGCAGATTGTCCATGGCTGGAGATGATTGTCCCCCCACCCCTTGCTTCTGCTGGTTTTCGGGGATACTTCTTCCTTTAGGCTGTCACAATGCTTTCTGTGGGTTAAGACAGGTTCAACTTTCCTGCCAGAGAACCCAAGATGGTGCAGAAGCTGGTTCACCCCCTCAATCTGACTTTTTCTAGCGTAGAAACCATGCGCTGGGGGAGAGTTTCTGTATGCTTGGTTCTGGGAAGAACTGGAGAGAAGGGCATCACACATGTGGAACTTTGATTCTCTAACCATATGCTCAGAGTTTTTGTTGTTGTTGTTTTACTGATCTGTGGCCCCTTGAACTGTTTCATCTTCATATTTAAGTTCTGGCTTTGTGGCCAGTATAATTTAGGTGCTATATATTTGTTTTGGGTTTTCTTTTGGGGAAAGTGATGCCTATTTACTTCTACAACACTATTTTGGAACCTGAAGTCCAATTCCTTTTTAAGTACTACAAAGGCAGGCTACATTAATGAATGATTTTTGAAATTAAGATATTGTGTATCTTTTGGAGGTAGTTACTGGAAAAATGCATGTAGCAGCATTTAAGATGCTAATTATATTAATTTTCTTTACCTGGTTGATGGTTACATGATCACTGAAAAGTAAACTGAAGTTAGGATCTTCTCACCACATCTTTCAACCTGATCTGACATGACTCCTTCAGTATTACTCATATCACAAAGTGGCAACTTTCTCTTTCCAGTGGCTCAGGCCAAAAGTTTAAAACATCTTTGATTCCTTGCTGCTTCAGAGAATTCTTGTTGTAATCACCAGTACATCTTACCTGAGTAATTTCCGTAATATCTTAAGTAATTTCCGTATACCCTAACTGGCCTCCTTGCTTCTGCCTTTGCTCTCTACTGCGGTTACCAGTGATTTTGGTTTCATTGGGACTGAGGAGTTTCCCCGAATGTGGGACTGCCAATGTCAAAACCATGACAGCCCTGGACAAAAGAGGACAAGTTGGCCAACCTCTATTCTCGTTGCTTTTCTATTTAAAGTCCTGAAATGGCTTTCCACTACAATTAGAATAAAAGTGAATGTTTTAAAATTATTCTATAATGCCCTCCCTAGTTGGAACCCCATTATATCTTTGACATGTTTTCCTACTCTTCTTAGGTTCACTTGCTCTGCTCTATCCACTCTGGTTTTTTTGCTGTTCCTATAATATGCCAGGCATGTGTCTGTATTAAGTCTTTCATAGTTGCTATTCACAATGCCAGAAATGTTTTGTTTTTTATTTCTCAGATAGATACTTGGCTAACTCCTTTGCCTCCTTCAGGTCTTAATGGGTCTGTGTACTTTGAAACTTACCCTGTTTTGTTCACTGTATTTCAAATTGCCATCCTCAGAATTCACGGGTCCCCCTAATCCCCTCATTTTCTAGAATACTTGTGATTGCTAATTTTATGTCAAATTGGCTGTGCCCAATGTTCAGATATTTGGTTGAATATTATTATAGATATGTTTAAGAAGGTATTTTTGGATGATATTAAAATTGAATCAGTGGTCTCTGTGTAAATCAGATTGTCCTCTATTCCATTTAGTTGAAGGCTGAATAGAACAAGAGATTGACCTCCTCTGAGCAAGACCAAATATAACCAAATACTTAAATTGCAACATTATTTATTTCTGAGACTCCAGCCTGCTGACTCACTCTGCATTTTGGACGTGCCAGCTTCTATAATTGTATGAGTTAATACGCTAATTTCTTAACGATAGACATCTCTTTCTCTCTATAAACATACATAGATAGACATAGATATTCATTATAACATGAAACTTTCAATACCAAAACCGTGAGAGTCCTGGAAAAAAACAGGACAAGTTGGGCAACCTCTAGAGAAACATAATCTTAGCTATGAGTCTTCTGAATTGGTACTGGTATTTTTGGATTTTTCTCTTTAATCTGATTAGATTTAAAGACACTCATGACTCCGTTTCCAGTAGTAAAGAGAGCAGCGATTGCTCATGTCACGATGTGCTGAAAAGAGATACACAAAATACCACCATTGGATACTCCAAATGAAACACAAGAGGTAAGGGTTTGGCTAACCATGTACAATAATATCTTCAAACATTTTTGTCAACTAGCAAATATGAGATGAGATGGTTGTATCTAACAATTCAGGACAAAGTGGAAAGAGATAAGGATGAGCTCAGAGATTCAAATTCCAAGCTCAAGTACCAAATAAATTAAAGAAAAAAATCTTTCTGCCTGAAATGAGATATTTATCTCCTATTGCTGCAGGGCTGAGATTACTGGAAACCATACCCAAACTATTATCCCGACAATGACTGAATTAAAGCACAAATTGGATTACCAGCCTCCCTGGGTCTCCACTGATAAAGTTAGGGTATTATTTGGGAAGAAGTGTGTTCCAGAAAGTTGAAAATGGAGACATGTGGGAAGACCCAAATGAAGCTGGGAGCACTGAGCTCAAAATTTTGAAGGAAGATCCAGCCTTCTTGAGGAGCATTGTGATTGCTCTTCTCTCTAGGCCAGAACATACAGTGGGAACTTCTGTCACCAAATTGGAAACCTAAGCACAATGAGAGTAATTGGATCACAGGGCAGCAGGAGATAAGTGGCAACACTCAATGGCAAAAGGCAAGGTGGACATAGTTACCATAACAGACAGTAAAATCAAAGCAGCAATTAAAATAGTCTTACTTGAGCAGGACTAAGACATTGGCAAGTTGATGACAGTGTTTCTACAAGTGAAATATATAGAAAGTCTACTAAATTCTTAATTCTCCTGTATAAATAGAAAAGTTCTAGGTCAAGTAAACAAGTCTGAAATGTATCATAAAAATGAAGAGCCACAACCTCTTCATCAACAATCAATTCCCAGTTTCAAACTAGCTTACAGACCCAGAACCCATAATAATATAAATATTTGGTGGTATACTAGGGTCCTTCCTCAAAGGGACCCGGCCTTCTCTTCATGAAGGAAAGACACTGGTACCCTACCAAATATTTATATTATTAAATTGTTACAACCCTTCTCAAAGAGACTATGAACTTGTACTAGAGTGAAGGAGTATAGAGGAAAAGAAAATAATCAGCCCTTTCATAGACTGGTGGTCACCAGCTCTGATCTGATACTAACTCCAGGAGACCCAAAACATCACTGTGGTCTAACAGTCAAGTAGGGGCTTATGGAGGTCAAGTGATCAATGGGATTTTCGCTCATGTTTATTTTACACTGGGCCCAGTGAATCCAAAATGTATCTTGTATTTATTTCTACATTTCCAGAATGCATAATTGGAATAGACATACTCAATAACTGACAGAATCCCCACACTGGTTCTCTGCCATGTAGAGTGAGGAATATTATGGCATTATGGCCTGTTTGGCCTGTGCAGAAGACCAGTGGATCTTAGAGAATATTAATGGGCTACGGTAAGCTTAACAAGGTAGTGACTCCAATTGCAGCTGCTTTATGAGGTATAGTTTGAGAAAATTAACACACAACTTGGTACTTGTTATGCAGCTATTGTTTTTTCAAATATTCTTTTATCTCCATCTCTGTTAAAGACCAACAGAAGGACTTTTCTTTCAGCTGACAAAGTTGGCAGTCCACTTTCACTGTCTTACCTCCTGGGTGTATGGACTATAAAGCTCTGTGTTATTGTTACAGACTAAATTGTGCCCTCCCCCAATGTAATAGGTTGATGTCCTAACCCCCAAAGTGACTGTACTTGAAGATAATGTCTTTAAGGAGATAATTGTGTTTAAATGAACTTTTAAGAGTTGAGCCATAAACCAATATAAATGGTGAACTTATGAGAAGAGGAAGAGAAGATGGCCAACTAGACACAGCTATGAGGAATATCTGCCACTAAGGGACAAGGATATTTAAAAAACTGGCACATGATGAGAAAACCTTCAGAGGGAAGGCATTGCCACCCCCAAGACTTGCCATGCTCCCCTAGAAGACTTTAGCTTTAGGATGGCTGTTGGACCTGAATGGAGCAGGATGACCTTGACTGTGAGATGGGGCCAGTCTGACCTGAGCAAGCCCCTGTTTGATGGCCTCTCCCACTGAGAATGCCCACATGGAAGATGGTGCCTCTATGCCTGCCAGTGCCCCACTATAGCCGACAAGTGTGCACCTTGCAATGTTGCTGGCACAAGCAAACAAGCACAGATCCCACTGACACCGCCCAATGAAGCATTTTGCTAACACCACCAATTAGACTGTTGTGACCGGTGGTATGGGAAAACATTGGCCCTTCCAGCACAGCAGGTTTCTAAACTTGAGGGACCAGAGAAATAGCTGATGGCCCAAAACCAGTCTCACGAAAGTAGAGCACACAGCCCAGGAGTTTTGAACTTAGCCCTGGCCCCCTAAAATCTTCCAGAAATGAAGCCAGTTAACTGAATCTACTTTATACCACAATCAAACCCCTCAAGGACATCAAAGAAGATAAAAGCAAAGAAAAAAAGATAAAGAAAAGCAACCTCAAACATTGAAGGAACATCAGCCCGCAAATGAGAAAGAACCAGCACAAGAACTCTGGCAACTCAAAAAGACAGTGTCTTCTTTACTCCAAATGACTGTAATAGATTCCCAGCAATGGTTCTTAAACCAGGCTTAAGTGACAGAAATAGAATCCAAAATATGGATAGGAATGAAGATCATCAAGGTTCAGAAGAAAGTCAAAACCAAATCCAAGGATTCTAAGAAATACAATAAAATAGTAGAGGAGATTAAAGACAAAATTACAGTTCTAAGAAAGAACCAAAGTGATTTGATAAAGTTGAAATATTCACTTTAAGAATTTTAGAATAAAATCACAAGTATTAACAGCACAATCAACTAACCCGAGAAAAGAATTTCAGAGTTCAAAAATCAGTTTCCAAAATCATCAAGCAAAAACAGAAAAATAATGAAGAATGAACAAAACTTCTGAGACATATGGAATTATGTAAAGAGACCAAATCTATGATGTATTGTGTTCCTGAAAGAGAGGAAAAGAAAAAAAAGCCACTTGGAAAATATATTTCAGGCTTTTATCTATGAAAATTTCCCAAACGTCTCTAGAGAGGCCAACGTTCAAATTCAGGAAATGCAGAGAACACCGACAAAATACCACAAAAGAAGACTTATTCCGACATATAATCATTAAATTCTCCAAGGTCAAAATGGAAGAAAAAATGTTCAAGAAAGCTAGAGCAAAGAGGCAGGTCACCTACAAAGAGAACACCAGCAAGCTAGCAGCAGACCTTTCAGCAGAAACTCTACAAGCCAGAACAGATTGCAGGCCTATGCTCAGCATCTTTAAAGAAAATAATTTCCAACTAAGAATTTCATATCCACCCAAACTAAGCTTTATAAACCAAAGAGAAATAATACCCTTTCAAGATAAGCACATGCTAAGGAAATGTGATATGCTAGACCTGCCTCACAAGAGGTACTGAATGGAGTGCTAAACATGGAAAGGAAAGATGACTACCAGCCACTACAGAAACATACCTAAGTACACAGACCAGTGACACTATAAAGCAACCACACAAACAAGTCTTCACAATAATCAGCTAACAACATTATGACAGGAAAACACACACACACGTTAATACTAACCTTAAACGTAAATGGGCTAAATGCCTGAGTTAAAAGATAGAGTGGCAAGTTGGATAAAGAAGCAAGACAGAATGGTATGTTGTCTTCAAGAGACCCATCTCACATGCAATAACACCCATAGGGTAAAAGTAAGGGAGAAAATTCTACCAAGGAAATAGAAAACATAAAAAGCTGGGGTTGCTATTCTAATTTCAGACAAAACAGATTTTAAACCAACAAATACCAAAAAAGACCAAGAAGGGCATGATGTAATGGTAAAGGGTTTGATATGGGTTGGCTCTGTGTCCCCACCCAAGTCTCATGTTGAATTATAATTCCCACTGTTAGGAGAGGGACCTGGTGGGAGGTGACTGGATCATGTGGGCAGATTTCCCCCTTGGTGTTCTTGTGATAGTGAGTGGGTTGTCATGAGACCTAATGGTTTAACAGTTCATGGCACTTCCACTTTTGCTCTCTTTTTGTCTTGATCCACCATGGTAAGATGTGCTTGCTTCCCCTTTACCTTCCACCATGATTGTAAGTATCCTAATGACTAGGGTTTCCTTTGCTTAATCAACTAAAATCATCTCTTTCCCAAAAACCTGCACTACCCATTCTTCTGTTTTCTCTGTGTGTGCTCTGAAATGGCCATGTGCACCCACCAGACCATCTCCCTTCAGGGAGAGTCTGCCTCTTTGCTTTCATGTTGTATGCTACATAAGTTCTTAAAAACACACTCACTGTTATCTGTGCACCTGTGGTTCTGTGCAATTGTGTGGCAGCAAAGACATGTGCTTCCCTGTGGATATCCCCTGTGATTTACACTAGTTCTTACCCTACCAGGTCAGATAACCTCCAACCCTTCCCCTGTCTGCTGGCACATGGTCAAGACAGACATTAATTGGAACAGCAGTTCCAATTGTGATAGTCAACTAACAGCAGTTCCAATTAGTGTCAGGCTGAACTCTGCTAGCTCCTTATGACTTAGCATATGCTTTTCCTTCCTGTTATGCCCCAGGGCTGCATTTTCTGGTGGCTCTTAAAGCAGATTGTTCACCTGCATAGGGCTTCATTCTGGCACTTTAAGGATCCCACCTACTTGGTTTTTTGAGTTAGCACCCTTTGAGAGGAGAAATTCTGCCTTTGCCATTTGCAAGTTCTTACCCTGAGCCCCAAATCCTCCAGAGGTTGCTATTTTATATCGAGTGTAAATAAACGTGGCCCTCTTGAATCCAAGGTCTGCTGTTTTTGTGAGCATATCAAGGCTTTTCATGAGTATTCCTCTCACTTTCTCCCATTTCTTCCTGTAGCTTCCAGTTCTCTAATTATTTCCATGCCCTTCTCAAGATGTATCAAGACCTCCAAGGTCATATTTAAAGGGAGCAGGGAGGGAAATCCAGCCTCCTTGAGACAGCTGAAAAACAGGCTTCTGGTCTACTTAAATGAACATGAGAAATGGGAATCTAAAAAAAAAAGAGATAATCATTTTATTACTAAAATACTTTGAGTGACAGTCACCATAAGGTCATGGAGACAAGGATATAGGCTGGCCCAAGGCTTCAAGTCCGCAGACACAGAGACCAATAAGACAGAGATGAAGGGTGGTCCCAGGCTAACAGATTATCATTGGAAGAGAGATGAAAGCTTAGGAAGTACATGGTAAGGCAAGTTATTCTGGAACTCCAAGCATAAACAGGGGGCCCACTCTTCACTCCAGTATCTCCTCTGTTCTAAAGCAGAAAGTTGTGACAAGTTGAGATCAAGGGTACACAGTAAGACGAGTTCATTCTGGAACCCAAGGACAATGGGGGACACTCCATTCAGGATAATAGAAAAAAAGGGGAGGATGCCTTCCTTTTCCTTTTTTATTTTTCCTCTGTTCTGTCTTCACAGGTGGCAGATGGGTAATCACATCTCCATACCACAGGACATGCCCCTTGGATGCATCCCCCAAAGCTGGGAAAAGTTTGATTTCCCTGAACCTTAAAAAAAAAGTTTTCCTTTGTAATACTGTTTATCTTCATACCCCTTTATATTACCTAAGGGACCAATTACCATGCTCTCACTGGTCCCTGGTAATGTCTAAATACCCCACACCTCTTTGGAGCAAAAGTACACTTTCCAAGATCAGTGCTCACTTAGTATTTACACCACCTCTGAATTCATTTTTCTCTCTAATAGCACTATTTATCCAGGGAATGGTACCTAAATCTTTAACCAATAACTTCAACCTGGATGGTCTTACCTCAGGGGTTTAGAAATAGTCCACACTTATTCAGACAAGCCCTAGCAAAATTCTAACAAAGCAATCTCTTGAGGGAGGATAACTTCTATAGTATGTAGATAACCTCTTTATTGGCTCCCCTTTTACACGACACACACAGCAACATGCAGTACAAATCTTAACTTTCTAACAAAGGAAAATGAGTTGTGTCTAATTTAAATTTTCCATGAAAAGGAAACAGACGATTTTCCTTTGTGTTGCAGCTTGGCCCCCAGGGATACGGTGTGGTAAGCAGGGTGGCTAGGGCCTCTCAGGGAAAGGGAACCCTGAAGCCTGGCATGCCAGAAAAAGGGTGAAAGTTTCTTGCCAGCCAGACTTTGGGCTTCTCTGTCTGTAAACAATTTGTAGGAATGGTAAAAATTACTGTCTCCTCTGCACACATTTACCTATGTAACAAACCTGCATATCCTGCATAGACCCCAGAATGGTAGTTCCATTGGCAGCTTTCACTTTGCATCTGGAAAAGCTTCAGGCATTCAATGCCACGTTTAAAAGCAGTGATGGAGGCTGTACCCTGCAAAGCTACAGAGTAGAGCTCCCTAATGCCTTCGAAGCCCATCAGTTGCATCATTATGCCCTGGATTTGAGACATGGCATCAAAAGAGATTATTTTGGAGCTTTGAGATTTAATGACTGCCCTGCTGGGCTTTGGACTTGCATGGGGCCTGCAGCCTGTTTGTTTTGGCCAATTTCCCCTTTTGGAATAGGAATATTTATCCAATGCCTGTACTCCATTGTATCTTGGAAGTAACTAGCTAGTTTTTGATCTCACAGATTCAAAGGTAGAAGGGATTTGTCTTGTCTCAGATGATACTTTGGACTTGGACTTTTGAGTTAATGATGGAATGAGTTAAGACCTTGGGGGACTGTTTCTAAGGCATGATTGTGTTTTGAAATGTGAAAAGAACATAGATTTTGGAGGGACCAGGGCTAGAATGATATGGCTTGGCTCTGTGTCCCCACCCAAATCTCACATTTAATTTTAATTTCCAATATTGGGGAAGGGACCTGGTAGGAAGAGATTAGATCATGAGGGCAGATTTCCCCCTTGGTGTTCTCGTTATAGTGAATGAGTTCTCATGAGATCTCATGGCCTAAAAATGTGTGGCACTTTCCCCTTCACTCTCTCTCTCTCCTAATCCAGCATGGTAAAATGTGCTTTCTTCCCCTTTGCATTCTGCCATTATTCTAAGTTTTCTAAGGCCTCCTCAGCCATGATTCCAGTACATTATGCAGAACTGTGAATCAATTAAGACTCTTTTCTTCATAAATTACCCAGTCTCAGGTATGTCTCTATCACAGTGTGAGAATTAACTAATACAGTGTTTAATTCAACAAGAAGACCTAACTATTCTAAATATATGTGCACCCAACACAGAAACACAAATGTTTATAAAACAAGTTCTTAGAAACCTACAAAGAGACTTCAATAATCAAATAATAATAGTAACAGACTTCAACATCCCACTGACAGTAACAGATAGATCATGGTGGCAGAAAACTAATGACACTCAGGGCCTAAACTCGACTCTTGACCAGTGGACCTAATATACATCTGCAGAACTCACCATCCAAAAATAACAAAGTATATATTCTTCTTATCTGCACATGGCACATACTTCAGAATTAACCTTACAATAAGACATAAGATGATCCTCAGGATATTGAAAAAAATATCAAATCATAGCAATCACACTCTCACACCACAGCATACTAAAAATAGAAATCAACACTAAGAAAATCACTCAAAATGATACAATTAAATGGAAATTAAACAACCTACTCTTGAATAACATTTGAGTAAATAATGAAATTAAGGCAGAAATCAGCAAATACTTTGAAACTGATAAGAACAAAGATACAGCATACTAGACTCTTTGGTGCACAGATAAAGCAGTATTAAGAGGGAAACTTATAGCACTAAATTACCACAAAGAAAATTTAGAAAGATCTCAAATTAACAATCTCTCATTGCAATAAGAGGAACTAGAGAACCAAGAGCAAATCAACCCCAAAGCTAGAAGACAATAAATAACCAAAATTAGACCTGAACTGAAGAAAATTGAGACACAAGAAGCCATACAAAAGATTAACAAATCTTAATATTCGTACTTTGAAATGAATAATAAGATAGACCACAAGCTAGATTAATGAGGATAAAAAGGTAGAAGATCCAAATAAACACATTCAGAAATTACAAAGGGGATGTTACCACTGACCCCACAGAAATACAAAATAACCCCAGAGACTGCTACAAACATCCAAATGCACATAAGCTAAGAAATCTAGAAGAAATGAATAAATTTCTGGAAACATAAAACTCTCAAAATTGGACTAGGGAGAAACTGAAACCCTGAAGAGACAAATAACAAGTTCCAAAGTCGAATCAGTAATAAAAAGCCCACCAACCGGAAAAAGCCAGGCATCAGATGGATTCACAGGCAAATTCTACCAGATGTATAATGAAAAGCTAGTACCATTCCTACTGAAACTATTCAAAAAAATTGAGGAGGGAGTCCTCCCCAACTCAGTCTATGAGGCCAGCATCATCCTGATGCCCAAACCTGGCAGAGATACAACAAAAAAAGAAAACTTCAGGCCAATATTTTTGATGAATATAGACACAAAAATCCTCAATCAAATACTAGAAAATGAAATTCAGCAACACATCAAAAAGCTAACTTGCCACAATCAAGTAGGCTTTATTCCTGAAGTGCAAGGTTGGTTTAACTAAGCAAGTCAATAAATGAGATTCATCACATAAAAAGAACTACAAACAAAAACTACAAGATTATCTCAATAGGTGCAGAAAATGCCTTCAATAAAATTCAATATCCCTTTATGTTAAAAACCCTCAACAAACTGGGCATTGAAGAAACATACTTCAAAATAGCAATAGCCATATATGCCAGACTCACAGATAGCATCATACTGAATGGGCAAAATCTGGAAGCATTCCCCTCAAAGTCCAGAACAAGACAAGAATGGCCTCTTTCGCCTCTCCTGTTAAACATAGTACTGAAAGTCCTGGCCAGAGTAATCGGGCAAGAGGACAAAAAAAAAAATAATAATAAAAGGCATCCAAATAGAAAGACAAGAAGTTAAACTATCCTTGTTTGCAGATGATACGATTCTATACTTAGAAAACCCCAGTCTCTGCCTAAAAGTTTCTTGATCTAATAAACAACTTCAGCAAAGGTTCAGAATACAAGATCAATGCACAAAAATTAGTAGCATTCCTATACATCAATAACATCCAAGCTGAGAGCTAAATCAAGAATGCAATCCCATTCCCAATAGTGGTGACAAGAATAAAATACCTATGTAGACAGCCAACCAGGGAGGAGAAATATATATACAATGAGAACTATAAAACACTGCTCAAAGTGTACACACACACACATACACACACACACATATATATATATATATTTGTATATGTATCTCATTGGTTCTGTTTCTCTGTAGAATCCTTACCAATAATGAAATAATTACCATCTAATTTATAATTCAATTTACATATTTATTTGGTTATGTTTTTGTGGCCACTATAATACCAGCTTTGCAAGTGCAGTGATATTTTGCTTCTTATTTTAAAACTGATGCCTCCTAGGTAATAAGATATACATAAAACAATTTTTTGCTCCATAAATATTAGTTGCATACATCAATCAGTGATTGAATAGAGCATTAGCTTTGCTTACCTTCCATATCTTTATTTATTGTGAGAAGGCAATAAATATTAACATAGAATGAAGCTAATTCTAGATTGTGAGAATAAGGACTTGTGATGGTTAATACTGAGTGTCAACATGATTGGATTGAAGGATACAAAGTATTAATCCTAGGTGTGTCTGTGTGGGTGTTGCCAAAAGAGATTAACGTTTGAATCAGTGGGCTGGGGAAGGCAGATCCACCCTTAATCTGGTGGGCCCAATCTAATGAGCTTCCAGCAAATGCAAAGCAGGCAGAAAAACATGAAAAGAAGAGATGGGCCTAGCCTCCCAGCCTACATATTTCTCCTATACTGGATGCTTCATGTCCTTGAACATCAGACTCCAAGTTCTTCAGTTTTGGGACTCAGACTGGCTCTCCTTGCTCCTCACCTTGCAGACAGCCTATTGTGGGACCTTGTGATTGTGTAAGTTAATACTTAATAAACTCCCATATATATATATATATATATATATATATATGTATATATAGATATGTGTATATATATAATAGGATGGATATATATATATACCCTATTTGTTCTGTCCCTCTAAGAGAAATCTAATACGAGACTATTTCTTATTTTTGCTTCTTTGTACTTAAAAATAGATTGCAAAATTATTTTTGGTATTTCTTGAGAAAACGTATGTTGATATGAACAATTATGTGCAAGTGTCTATGTACAGAAATTCACAAAGTTACCCATACATTCATAAACCCAAGAAAAAATGGACCATATATGGTCTAATCCTGACAAAAAATAATATATCAAAGATTAAAAATACAATTGTTTATGCATCTAGACATTGAAAGTAAGTTACTTCACAAGAAAGGAGAAACAGAAAAATCAGGCTTTCCTCAGATTTCTCCTTTGCAACATTCTGTGCATTAAGCCAAGAAAAAAGTGTCTCCACCATTTGAATAGATAAAATTTGTAGTACAGGTAACCCTAGCAACCAAATGGTCTTTAATGAATGAAGACAGTAGAAAGCAGATGAAGAATTAGAATATATATTAACCATGTACTGGAAAATAAGCATTATTAAATATCATATTTCTATTGACAGAGATAAAAATGATGGGGACATGACAATATCCAATACATTCTTCTAAAAGTTTAAAGCAGGTATAAAAATTTTCTCAATTATACATTTTGATTACTAAAATGAATATAAATTTTCAAATGGGGGGAAACAAATATTTCATAACATTGTCTTTATTATTGATTATATTTGTATATTCTACTTCTGCATGCCACTTCTGTATGCTTTTGTTGTCATTACAGTGACTCTGCTTCCAACCTATTGCCTGATTTTGTCTGTTTATCTCATCCAAATACGATTCCTCCTTTCTTACGCAATAAAGTCTTCTCTTTGTGACATGATTTTACAACGGGATGAGCCTTTCTTTCCTTTCCCTTAATAATAGGTGAACAACTAATTGTAAACGATTATTTTTGCTGGAAATCTGACCACTTTGCCAGCAAACAGAAATTCACTGTGAGGCTCAGAAATGTTCATACAAATTTAAGAACAAGGGCACAAAAGCCAGGAAGAACAAAACAATCAGTCCTTCCTTTTAAAAACAACAATTACTTGTATCTGATTCATGCCTTCTTCAAATGGTCAGTTTAGTTTAATCTAAAATTACAAAGTTTTGGAGAGAAAGACCAGAAGTTTATGGTTGATAATTTTGATGTTTCACTGTTTGGCTTCTTAGGTCATTTGGCTTTTTTATTATTGTTGTTTCCATTTTGTCCTATGTAGTTTTTTGAAATATATTTGTGCAATAGCGACAGTAATAAAAAAGTTACTATTGATTACTCATTTTTCTCATCTCTAGTAAGACACGATTGTATTATTTGATTTCTAAAGTCTGTTGCAGTTCTAAAATATAATTGTAGTTTGATAGATATATTTTTCATTTAGCATTCAGCATATATTAATTTTTCTACAAGTCATCAAACCTTTCTGTTAATTTAGTTCACTGAAAAAAATATGTGAACAAGACATAGGTGATTGGATTTTTCAGTTTTCACTTTTCAACAGGTTGTATTTATATCATGCCAACACACTAGGAAAGAAAAACTAGTTAAAATAATTGCGTCAGGAGAAAAATAAATGGTTGCATGTGTGTGTGTGGGTGTGTATCTGTGCATGTGTATATATATACACACACGTATATGTACTCTCAGGTCAGTCTTTTTTTCTAACTTTGACAGTGTCTTTAATACACAAACAATTTGTGTTAATGGAAGACAAATTTGAAAATACTTATAATCAAAAAGATACAAAGCAGAAATGAAATAGAAAAAAATGGTTTTTATTCAAACATCTGGGATAACCAGTATTGTTTTATTGTGTATTTTCTCTAAATTTCTCTTTTTTACCTTCACCCATGGCATAATATACATGCAGTTTGTACCCCCATTATCTCAATGTTATATCATAGTTCTTTTTATGTCAATAAAATGACATGTCATTCTTATTCATCTTCCATAAAGATTCTCTCATTTGATATATCATTATTTGTTTAATGTTGCATTTTGGTATTTTATTTTCCCATTTTTTTCTTCAGTAGAATAAGGTTATAATGCATATTTTGAGAAAGCTGAAACATATATCCCAGTAAGTAGCTCCTGGCTTTAAACCACTTCTATACTTCATGAAGAATCTATTTGAATATAAAATATGAGACAACTATATAGAGTTATAAAAATATATATGTATATGTGTGCATATATATATATACATATATATATATATACACTAAATGATTATTCTTACAAACTAGACTGGCAATTATTTAATTTCCAGTTTGATATGCTCTATTCATCATATATGAAATAGTTTTGTCCTTTTTCTATAATCACTTTTTTGCTCAATGAATCTGTATGCTCATATTTTCACTAGTATCACACACTTTTTATTATAGCTTTAAGCCAACTGAGTTTACATTGTGTAGGCAATTGCTATAATTGTTGGTATATACATTGCAGCAGGAAAAAATCAGCCATGACAAACTGTCTATACATGTGATATATGAGCATCAAGTTACGTAATGTCTTGACAGATGCACTGATAGACTGCAAATCCACTTACTTTAATTCATTTTAACGTGACATTTTTACTGACGGCCTTTGTACTGGTGCGTGACTTGGGCTGCGGCTCTCAATTAAGAATGACAAGCAAGAAGAGTCTTCCTAGATATAAAAATGCAATTCTCTAGAGAAAACTGTGATACGTTTAAAACCCAGTGAGTCAGGAAAACAGTTTTTCCACTTATTTACTAATTTGATAATTATCCTTATCAAACTAAGGATAATTTGAGAAATTAAAATGCTTCAAATGGTTCATTTTGATATAAGTGTTGTCCTGATTTTGGAGTGTTATAAATGTCAAGGATATGCTCTAGTTCAAAAGTATGACATCAAAGACACTTCGAAGTATTGAAAAAAAGATATTATTTTCAATGTTAAAACTCCATAATTAATAATAGAACACCAGAAGATGGATAATAAAAATAGAGAAATAATATAACAACTTCATTACTTCCACCAAGCCAAAAAATGAAACAATTTGATCTGGAGACTCCAAAATGTGGGAGAGCTGGGGTGGGGTGTTGGTAAGGAAGAAAAAATTACCTATTGGATACAATGTACACTATTCAGGTGACAGGTATAATAAAAGCCCTGACTTTGCCACTATGCAATGTATCTATGTAACATGTACCCACAAATCTATAAAAGTAAATTTAAGAATTATATAATGATTATATACAAGAGACTCACCTAACATATAAGAGTTCATATAAACTCAAGTTAAAGAGGTGGGAAAAATATTCCATGCAAATGAAAAGCAAAAGCAAGCAGGAGTAGCTATCCTTATATCACATAAAACACATTTTAAAGCAACAACAGTATAAAAAGACAAATAAGGTCATTATATAATGACAAAAGGATCTATCAACAGAGTAAACAGATAATCTACAGAAGTGGAGAAGATATTTGCAAACTATGCATCTGACAAAGGTCTAATATCCAGCATCTATAAGGATCTTAAAGAAATTTACAAGAGAAAATCAAGCTACCCCATTAAGTGGACAAAGGACATGAACAGACACTTCTCAAAAGAAGACATACATGCAGCCAACAAGCATATGAAAGAAAGCTCAACATCACTGATCATTAGAGAAATGCAAACCAAAACTATAATGACATACCATTTCATTCCAGTCAGAATGACTATTATTAAAAATTCAGAAAGTAACAGATGCTAATGAGGTTGTGGAGAAAAGGGGACACTTATACACTGTTGGTGGGAATGTAAGTTAGCTAAACCATTGTGGAAAGGAATATGATGATTCCTCAAAGAGCTAAATGCAGAACTACCATTTGACCCAGCAATCCTACTACTGAATATATATACAGAGGAATATAAATCATTCTACCATAAAGCCACATGCATGCAAATGTTCATTGCAGCACTATTCAGAATGGCAGACATGGAATCAACCTAAATGCCAATCAGTGACAGATTGAAAAAAGAAAATGTGGTACATATACACCATATAATACCATAAAAAAGAATGAGATCATGTCTTTTGTATGAACATGGATGGAGCTGGGGGCTATTATACTTTAACACAGGAACAGAAAATCAAATACTGCATGTTCTGTCTTATAAATGGGAGCTAAATGATGAGAACTCATGAACACAAAGAAAACACAGACACTGAGGTCTACTTCAGGGTGAAGGGTGGGAGAAGTGAGAGGAGCAGAAACGATAACTATGAGGTACTGGGCTTCATACCTGGGTAATGAAATAATCTGTACAACAAACATCCATAACAGGAATTTACCTATGTAACAAAGCTTCACATGTGCTCCCAAACCTAAAATAAAAGTTAAGTTTAAAAGAAAGGGCCGAGTGTGGTGGCTCACGCCTGTAATCCTAGTACTTTGGGAGGCCGAGGCAGGCAGATCACGAGGTCAGGAGATCGAGACCATCCTGGCCAACATGGTGAAACCCCGTCTCTAGTAAAAAATACAAAAATTAGCTGGGCGTGGTGCCACACACCTGTAGTCCCAGCTACTCGGGAGGCTGAGGCAGGAGAATTGCGAAAAGCAAGAGAAAAGATGAATAGAAATAACAGTTGGTTTTGAAAAAAATAAAATTGTCAAACCTTAATTAGACTATGTAAGAAAAAAGAGAAAAGACCCAAATAAAATTATAAATGAAAGAGGAGAGGGTTTAACCGATATTATAGAGATACAAATGATCATAAGACATTACTAGGAAGAACAGCATGTCAACAAATTGGGTTATCAACAAGAAACATAAATTTCTAGAAACACACAAGCTACCAAGAATAAATTAAGAAGACATACAAAATCTGAATAAATAATGACTAAAGAGATTGAATCAGTAATCAAACACCTCCCCCTCAAAAAAAAGTATAGGACAAGATAGCTTCAGTGGTGAATTCTACCAAACACTTAAAGAAAAATTCATCCCAATACTTCCAAAACTTAAAAAAAAAATGAGGAGAGTATACTTCAGAGCTCGTTTATGAGGCCAGAATATCCTGATACCAAAATCAGACAAGCACACTACAGTCAAAGGAAATTTCAGGTCAATATCACTGATAAACATAGATTCAGAAATCCTCAACAAATGCTAGCAAACCAAATTCAACAGCAAATTAAAAGGGTCATACCCTATGATCAAGTGGGATTTATCACTGGGACAAAAGGGTGGTTCTATATATACAAATCAATAAATGTTATTTATCACATTAACAGAATTAAAGATAAAAGTCGTATGATCTGCCTCTTTTGAGATCAAAAGAGGCAGAGAAAACATTGGACAAAATTCAACATTTTTTGGTAGCAACTGTCAACAAATTAGGTAAAGAAGGAATGTACCTCAACAAAGTAAATACCATAACTGACAAGTGTTCAAGTAACAACATACTCAATAGTGAAAACCTGAAAGTCTTCCTCTGAGATCAAGAACATTACAGGGATGTCGACTCTCAAGACTTCTATTCAATATAACATTGGAAGTTCAAGACATAAAATTAGGCAAATTAAGAAATAAAAGCATACAAAGCAGAAAGGAAGTAGTAAAGTTGTCTCTTTGCTAATCACATGATCTCATATGTGGAAAACACTAAAGACTATTTAAAAAATCTGTAGGAAATTTTGCAGTATATGATCAACATACAAAGTTGGTAGCATTTCTATACAGTACTAACAAACTCTCTGGGAAAGAAATCAAGAAAACAATCACATTTACTTTTACATAAAAAAATAAAATACTGAAGAATAAATTTAATCAGGAAGGTGAAAGGCCTGTACACTGAAAACTCTAAAATGATAAAAGAAACTCAACAAGACACAAATAAGTGGAAATACATCTGTGTTCATCGATGGGAAGTATTAATATTGCTGAAATGTCCATACCACCCAAAGTGGTCTACAGATTCAATGCAATCCCTATCAAAATTCCAATACAAATTTTCATGGAAATAAAAACAATAGTCCTAAAATTCATATGGAACCACAAAAGACTCAAGTATCCAAAGCACTCTTGAGAAAAATGAACCAACATGGAGGCATCAAAGTACCTGATTTTAAAATATTTTACAAATCTACAGTATCCAGAACAGTATGATATTGATGTAAAAACAGATATATAGACTAATGGAACAGAATAGAGTCCCAAATCAAATCTACATATTTATAGTCAATTTATCTTTGACAAAGATACCAAGATCATAAGACAGAAAAAAAAGTCTTTAATAAATAATGTTGGAAAACTGGTGTGAAAAATCCATACGCAGAATAATGAAATGCAACCTTTATCTCATATAATATCAAAAATTAAGTAAAATGAATTAAACAAATATAATAACTGAAACTGTAAAACTACTGGAAGAAAATATAGGACGAAAGTGTCTTCACATTGATCTGGGCTATGATTTATTGCATATGACACTAAGAACATAGGCAGTGAAAGTTTAAGTGTATGGAATTGCAGTAAACTAAAATCTTTCTTCACACCAAAGGAAACAACTAATAAAGTGGAGATACAGCATACAGAATGAGAGGAAGTATTTACAGATTATACATCTGATAATGAGTTAATATTTAAAATATAAAAGGAACTTAACAGCAAGAAAAACATTACCCATTTTTAATGGGCAAGAGACCTAAATAGACATCTATTTAAAAAAGACATATAAATGACCAAGATGTATACAAAAACAATGCTCAACAACACTAACCATCAGGGAAATACAAAATATTATATATCATCTTATACCTCTTAGAATGGCTATCATCAAAAAGACAAAAGATAAGTGTGGTAAGGATGTAGAGAAAAGAGAACCCTTGTATACTTACGCTGGGAAAGTAAATTTTTATAGCCGTTATAAAACACAGTATGGTATTTCCTCAAAAAATTAAAAATAGAGCTGCCATATGATCCAACAATCTTATTTTGGAGTATATAGCCAAAAGAAATGAAATCAATTATGTGAAAGACATAGCTGCACTCCCATGTTCATTGCAGCAGTATTCACAATAACCAACATATGGAATCACCCTAAATTCCCATCAATGGATAAATGAATTAAGAATAACAGATGTACATATATGCACAATAAAATATTATTCAGCCATAAAAAAGGATAAAATCTTATCATTTGCAAAAACATCGATGAACCAGATTATGCTAAGTGAATTAAAACAGGTACAGAAAGACAAATAAATACATATGATGTCACTGATATGTGGACTGAAGTAGATAGAATGGTTATGTCCTGGTGCTGGGGGCAGTAAGTGAAATGAGAAGATGTTGGTGAAAGGGTACAAAGTTTCAGTTAGGAAGGATGAAGAGGTTCTGTAAAACTAATGTACAGCATGTTGACTATAGATAATAATACTGTATTGTGTACTTGAAATTTGCTACAAGAGCATGTTTTAAATGTTCTCCCCACAAAAAAAAACATGTAAGGTGATTATATGTTAATGAGCTTCATGGTAATTATTTCATAATGTATACATATATCAAAGCATCACATTATACACTGTAAATATATACATTTGTTATTTGTTAATTATACGTCAATAAAGCTGGAGGGAGAAAGAAAATGATTTCGCAGTGTCAACAGATTGTTCTTGCATAGGAAGTTAGTAACTGTGTAACCATCCTTAAATATGAAGCAATAAGAATGACAGCATCTTTTCATAAAGTTTGAATAAACACTAAACGGAAGCTTCGGTTCTCTTTCTTTCACTCATTCCTTTGTACCACTCTCATCCACATATTATCTTTATTTTTCTCTGTAGACTAACCCATTCGTTAGATGAATATACTTGAATCATAGCCACAGATTTTCTCAGATATACTAGTGACTATGTAAGACTGTTCTTGCAGGAAAAGAACAAAGTGATGATGAAAAAAACTGTACTTTATTTCACCATTCCAACAATGAATATCTCATTGGCAATGCCTCAATCAATTCTATTCATATAGTATGTCCTCATCATTCTTCCACAAACAAGAGGGTATTTAAGTCGCATAGGATTACTATGATCTAAATGCCATTGCACTTGTGTTGGTAACATACAAAAACATTTTATCACATTTTATGTTATTTGGATGATTTTTCCATGTTTATTTCTAAACAAGTACTGCTAATCTTTATGATAATTATATGAAAAATATGATATTTCCTTCCTTTTTTACCATATTATAGTTGGGGTTCCAAAATTAACAGTTTAAGAAAATAATCATACAATTTGAACTCAGCATTTTTGCAGGTTAATGAAATAAGTATAACTTACTTGTTTTAGAAATTTTTTGATAAAAATGATAGGATGTGAGCTGCCTTTTTGAGAAAATTCTAGAGTATGTAGTTTTCTATTAATATGCTTTACTTAATAACTTTCAATGGTATTCTGCATATGGCACAGCTAAAAGTAAGGCTTCTGCAAATAAATATTTAAGGTTTTACAGAACTGTACTCAAATTGACAGTGTTTTTATTTCTTTTCAGTTATACCTCAGTGCACTGAGGAAACTGTAATGGGTTACCACCTAGTTTTCCAAAGCAAAGCAGCTTTTATTTTAATGCCAGTTTTATTGAAAGTGTTTGTAAACAGGGGAATAGTGTGTGTGCATGTATACTTGTGCATAGGCCTGTGCACATTTGTGTGTGTGCTTCTGTAGTCTATAGCTTATCTCAAGTAGATTCCTTTCCTCAGAAACAATAAAAGTAAAGCAGTGTCTATTAACTTTATCAATGGCTATCACCTTGAGCAGTACTGTCCATTGATTTCTATATAGTCTATGCTTTTTACATGAAATCAGGTGTTATTGACCAAAAGGATATAGATTATTTACCACTAGCACTGGAATAAATGTAGCAGTCTAATTAGAAATAAAATTATATACTATTTCAGCTAGCCTTTTTAAAACAATGCTTAATTAACAGTCCCATTCTCTAGATATTTTACTCACTACGAAAATACAATATACAAATGTCTTAATTATGTAAATATAATTATGATAATTTAAGATAATAAAAAGCAATTTCAAAATGCTAGAAATCAATACTATTTTCAACCTAGGATGCAGACACACACAAACACACACACACATGCACACCTGTAAATCAAGAAACAGATAGAAAAGGAACAATCTAAGGTATTAGGAACATATGTGTTGTTTAAGGAGCGATTCTTGAGTCAATATATAAACCAGAAATAGTCCCAATCCTGAAAGTCACGCAGTCTAATGGGAGAATCAAGTTTTACCTAAATAGATAAATCTATAAAAATTATAAACCTTCACAAATCCAACTTTTTGCAGTAAAGGTATATAGAGAAAGGTCAATAGAACAAGCAGAGTATAGTAATTTTTATCTAGAAAGACTATTTTTTACTTTTAAATTTGTTCTAATATTTAACTGAAGTACAATATATATAGAAACATGTACAAATCATAAGTATACAATTAGATACTATCTTACAAAAATATATGTATGTGCATATATATATATATATATATCCATCCATCATTCGGGCAAAGAAATATATATTTTAGCAGCACTGAGGCACATTCAGAATATGACCCTAACCCAAGAATGACAACTATTCTGACTTTTAGCATTACAAAGTAGTTCTCCATTGTTTCAAATTTTACATACATTTACATACATACAGAAGAATGGATACATAAGTTTTAGTACATTCAAGTGATGAAAACATCAATGAAAATTACCACTCTAGGAATGAAATGGAAGTCCTAGGCTATTGAGTATATATTTGGCAATATATTGTAGCTATTGCCAAGCAATTTTCCAAAGTGAATTTACCAATTCATTCTTCCACCAGAACTATAGGAGTGGTTAGGTTGTATTACATCTGACCAAAACTTGGTACATTCTGCTTTTAAATTTTTAGCCATTATAATAGGTATTTAATCATTTCTCATTTTATTATTTTTTTTTTTTTTGAGACAATTTCACTCTGCTGCCCAGGGATCTCGGCTCACTGCCACCTCTGCCTCCTGGCTTCAAGCGATTCTTGTACCTCAATCTCCCAAGTAGCTGGGATTAGAGACATGACACCACTCCCGGCTAATTTTTACAATTTTAATAGAGAGGGGGTTTCGTCATGTGGGCCAGGCTGGTCTCAAATGCCTGGCCTGAAGTGATCCACCCACCTCAATCTCCCAAAGTGCTGGGATTACAAGCGTGAGCCACCACACCTGGGCCTCATTTTGATTTTAATTAGCATTCCCCTGATGACTAATTGACATTGAATACATGTAATATGTTGATTGGTGATTTGGAATCATCTATAGGGAAGAGCTTGTTCAAGTTGCATATCAGTCTTTTATTAAATTCATTTGAAAGAGTTCATTATATATTTTGGAGGGAAATCACTTCTTGGATACATGTATTGCTAATTTTTATTAGGGGGAATATTAATCTACTGCATGATTCACCTTCATACGTTGTCTATCATGCTTTTGTCATATATGCCACCAACTCTCAATTCCATTCCAACATCACATAACTATTAAATCAATCCATATTTTCTCAATTGGTTTGCATGCTTCCAGTGCTTTAGTTTTTTACTCTGTTTTGTAGACCATGACAACTTGACTCCTCTTAAACCTTGCTTTCATCATTATACTTTTCAGCTTAAGAATTTATCAAGGTTGTATTATAAGGCCAAGAGATTTCATTGCAGGAGAGGATTGTAAGGATCAAAACAGGTGAGAGAGGGAGCTGTAAGAGGTGGAAATAGCTGTTATCCCATACTGCATGTTTTCTGCCTATAAAGAGAGAATTAGCTGGGAAGAATCTCAGACTGTAGCAGAAATTTAATAAAATTTGTGTCAGACTGATACAGATTCCTAGAGTGAAAGTTGCTCTGTTAGATTATAGGGAATGGACCTGCCTCAGTATAGCCATGGATCTCAGGCTTTTGCTGAGAGAAGCCTATGGGAAGTGTAGCCTTATGCAAACATGGTGGTAGATTTATAGCATAACACTGGGGGTATTCCATCAATCACACACACACTTGGGTTGATTTTATGTCATTACTATTGTGAATAGTGTTTTGATGAACATATGTACACAGTCTATGCTTTTTACATGAAATCAGGTGTTATTGCCCAAGAGAACACAGATGAATCAGAAGATCCAAAAGCTGCATGTTTATCGTTTCCATGACAAAAAGCTCATTATAAATGATCCGAATAATTTAAAATCCTCAACACTTCACATTCTTGGCCTATTTTATAAAGCTTATAAATTGTTATTCTTTTTAACAAAATTCTTGTTTTAATCTTTACTGTGCCTTTCTCCTATTCCTCATTTCCTTAGATGCTACTTTTTAATTTTTAAATTTTGTAGATACATAGTAAGTGTATATTTTTATGGGTATGTGAGGTATTTTGACAGATTTCTTTCTGGGTCTCTCTTCTGATCCATTGAACTGACAGACTTTTTATGCCAGTACCATTCTCTTTTGCTTACTATATCTCTGTAGTATAATTTGAAGTCAGGTAATGTGATTCCTATGGTTTTGTTCTTTTGGCTCAGGATAGTTTTGGCTATTCTAGGTCTTTTGTGGTTCCATATAAATTTTAGGACTTTTTTAAAAAATTTCTGTGAAGAATGTCATTGGTGTTTTGATAGGGATTGCATTGAACCTGTAGATTGCTTTAAGGGAGAAGACCACCCCTCATATTGTATTATGCCCAATTTCTGCCTCCAAAGAAAGAAGTAGTAAAAACTAAAAGGCAGAAATGAAATCCACAGGCAGATAGCCCAATGCCATGCCCTGGGCCTGGTAGTTAAAAATCAACCCCGACCTGCTTGTGTTATCTATAGATTTCAGACATCGTATGGAAAAGCATTGTGAAAATCCCTGTCCTGTTCTGTTCTGTTCTGATTACCGGTGCATGCAGCCCCCAGTCGCGTACCCCTGCTTGCTCAATCGATCACGACCCTCTCAGGCAGACCCCCTTAGAGTTGCAAGCCCTTAAAAGGGATAGGAATTGCTCACTCGGGGAGCTCGGCTTTTGGGACACAAGCCTGCCGAAGCTCCTAGCCGAATAAAGCTCCTTCCTTCTTTAACCCTGTGTCTGAGGAGTTTTGTCTGCAGCTCGTCCTGCTACAGCTTTGGGTAACATGGACATTGTTAACAATATTGATTCTTCCAATCCATGAACATGACATATCTTTCCTTTTCTGTGACTTCTTCAATGTTTTGCAGTTTTTATTGTAGAGATGTTTCAATTCTTTGGTTAAGTGTATTCCTATATATTACATTTTCTTTGTATCTATTGTAAATGGAATTACTTTCTTGATTTCTTTTTTAGTTTGTTCACTGTTGGTATATTAAAATGCTACTAATCTCTGTATGTTGATTTATAATTTTGCAACATTACTGAATTTGTTTTTCAGTTCTCATACTTTTTTGATGTAGCCTTTAGATTTTGGAAATGCAATCCCCAATGATTTGTGGTGGAGTCTGGTGGAAGGTGGGGATGGTGTATGGGCCATGGGGCAGATTCCTTGTGAATGACTTGCTGCCATCCTCAAATATTCCTTTATAGCTATGTAAGCTAATTAACACAGGCTCACCCATCCAGGATCTCCCCCACCAAAGCTAGCATCTGCCCGCACATGCCAGCTGTGGGCCTGGACACTGGCCTGCCAACAACATTGCAGCCACCACCAATACCAGTGCACACTGCTTAGGACCATGCTGCTATTTCCATCACCCATGCCACATCTGCTGTCCAGGGACCTGAAAACCCACCTGACCTTTCCAACAAATGAAAATCTAACACAAAATACCAAAACCAACGGTATATAGAAAAAACAGTATGAAGGGAAAGTTTACAGCAAAAAGCACCTTCCTCACAAAAGTAGAAATATTTCAAATAAGTAACCTAATTATGAGCCTCAAGGAGCTATTAAAGTAAAAATAAGCTAAATCCAAGATTAGAAGAAAAAATAATAAAAGTTAGATAAGAACTAAAGGAAATAGAGATTAAGCAATACCAAAAGTAAACAAGACAAACAAAAAATTTTTAAGACAAACAAGATGAATAAACTCAGTTAGACTAACTAAAAAAAGAACAAAGATGCCAATAAAAGTCAGGATAATGTTGGCCTCATAGAATGAGTAGGGAAGGAGTCCCTCCTGCTCAATTGTTTAGAATAGTTTCAGTAGGAATGGTACCAGCTCTTCCTTATACATATGGTAGATTTTGGCTGTAAAACCATCTGGTCTTGGGCTTTTTCTGGTTGGTACACTTTTAATTATTGACTCAATTTTGGAACTTATTTTGGTCGGTTCAAGAATTCAATTTATTCTTGATTCAATTTTTGGAGATTGTATGTTTCCAGGAATATATTTATTTCTTCTGGGTTTTCTAGCTTGTGTGAATAGAGGTGTTCATAATAGTCTCTGAGTGATTTCTGTATTTCTGTGGTAACGTCTCCGTTCATTTATGATTATGTTTACTTAGATCCTCTCTGTCTTTTTATGTCTAGCTAGGGATTTATCCATCTTACTAATTCTTTCAAAAAGAAGCTGCTGGATTTACTAATCTTTTGTATAGTTTTTACATCTCCATTTCCTTCAGTACAGCCCTGATTTTAGTTATTTCTTGTCTTTTGCTAACCTTGGGGTTAGTTTGCTCTTGTTTTTCCAGTTCCTATAAGTATGATTTTAAGTTGCGAATTTCAAACCTTTCTAACTTTTTGATGTGGACATTTAGTACTGTAAACTTCCCAACACTGCTTTGGCTGTGTCCTGGAGAATCTAATATGTTGTATCTTTGTTTTCATTAGTTTCAAAGAATCTCTCGATTTCTGCCTTAATTTTATTCTTTACTCAATAGTCATTTGGGAGCATATTGTTTAATTTCCATACAACTGTATGGTTTTTGGTAATTTTCTTAGTATTGGTTTTTATTTTAATTGCACTATTGTTTGAGAATGTGGTTTGTATGATTTCAGGATTTTTTGAATTTGCAGAAGTTTGTTTTATGCCAATTATGTGGTGAATTTTAGAGTATATGGCATGTGTATATGAGAAGAATATATATTCTGCTGTTCTTGGGTGGAGAGTTATTTAGACGTCTTTTAGGTCCATTTGCTCAAGTGTCGGGTTCATGTCCTGAATATTGTTAGTTTTCTGCCTCCATTATGTGTCTAATACTGGCATGTGGCCATCTCCCACTATTACGGTGTGGTTTATCTAGCACTCTTCATAAGTCTCCAGGAACTTCCTTTGTATATCTGGGTGCTTCTCTGTTGGCTGCATATGTTAGAATAATTAGGTCCTGTTGTTGAATTGAGCCTTTTTACCACTATATAATGCCCTTCTTTATATTTTTCTATCTTTGTTGGCTTAGTCTGTTTTGTCTGAAATTAGAATAACAGCCTCTGCCTTTTTAAGTTTTTCATTTGCTTGGTAAACTTTTCTCCATTCCTTTACTTTGAGGGTATTGAGTCATTGCATGTGAGATGGGTCTCTTGAAGACTGCATATCATTTTGTTTTGCTTTATGATCACACTTGCCACTCTGTCTTTTAATTTGGTGGTCAACCCATTTAGTTTGAAGATTAGTATTGATATGTGCAACTTTCTATCTGTCATCATATTATGTGCAGATTATTATGTAGCCTTGTTTGTGTAGCTGCTTTATAGTGTCACAGATCTATGTATTGATACCAAAACCTGGCAGAGGTACAGCAAAAAAGAGAACTTCAGGCCAATATCCTTGTTGAATATAGACCCAAAAATACTCAAAAAATACTAGCAAACTGAAACCAGCAGCACATCAAAAAGCTATTCCACCATTATTAAGTAGGCTTTACCCCTGGGATGCAAGGTAGGTTGAAATATGAAGAACAGTATATATGATTTACCACATAAACAGAACTGAAAATGAAAACCATATAATCATCCCAATGGATGTAGAAGTCGATTTAAGTAAAATTCAATATCCATTTATGTTAAAAAAAAAAAAAAACCTTAAACTAGGCATTGAAATATACCTCCAAATAATAAGAGCCATCTATGACAAAACCACAGCCAACATCATACTGAATGGGCAAAAGCTGAAAATATTCCCTAGAAAACAGGAAAAATATAAGGGTGCCCTTTCTCACAACTCCAATTCAACATAGTCTGGCAGCACTAGCAAGAGCAGTTAGGAAAGATAAATAAATAAAAGGCATCCAAATAGGATGAAAGAAATTAAAATTGTTCCTGTTTGCAGACAATGTGATTCTTTACAAAGAAAACCCCACTATCTCTGTCCAACAGTTTTTTAATCTGATAAACAACTAGAGTAAATTTTCAAGATACAAAATCTATGTACAAAAATAAGCAGCATTTCTGTACAGAAACAACATCCAAGCTGAAGGCCAAATCAAGAATGCAATTCCATTCACAATAGCAACAAAATTAATAAAATACTCAGGAATACAGCTAACCAAGGAGGTGAAAGACCTCTACAATAAGAGTGATAAACCACTGCTCAAAGAAATCAGATATAACACAAACAAGTGGAAAAACATTCCCAGCTTATTGATAGGAATAATAAATTTTGTGAAAATGGCTATACAGCCCAAAGCAATTTACAACTTCAATGCTATACCTATCAAACTACCAATGACATTCATTACAGAATTAGAAAAAAAAACATTTTAAATTTCAAATGGCACCAAAAAAGAGCCCAAATTGCCAAGGTAATCCTAAGAAGAAAAATAAGCTGGAGGCATTACATTACTCAATTTCCAACTATACTACAAAGCTGCAGTAACCAAAACAGCGTGGAACTGGTACAAAAACAGACACATAGACCAATGGAACAGAATAGAGAGCCCAGAAATTATACCACATACCTACAACCAGCTGATTTTTGACACAATTAAAAAAATGGGAAAAGAACTCTATTCAATTCAGGGTGCAGGAATAACTGGCAAGCCATATGCAGAAAATTCAAACTGGACTCCTTCCTTATATCATATACAAAAATAAACTTAGGATGAATTAAAGTCTTAGATGTAAAATCTCAAACTATAAACATTCTGGAAGACAACTTGGTAATACCATTCTGGTCATACCATCTGGGAAGGATTTCATAATGAAGACACCAAAAGCAATCACAACAAATCCAAAAATTGACAAATGGTATCTAATTAAACTAAAGAGCTTCTGCACAGCAAAAGAAACTATCAACAGAGTAAACAGACAACCTACAGAATGGTAGAGAATATTTGAAAAATATGCATCTGACAAAGCTGTAATATCCAGAATCCATAGGAAACTTA
This sequence comes from Homo sapiens, assembly GCF_000001405.40. Taxonomy (NCBI): domain Eukaryota; kingdom Metazoa; phylum Chordata; class Mammalia; order Primates; family Hominidae; genus Homo; species Homo sapiens. The sequence continues at coordinate 127,922,362 of NC_000023.11, forward strand.
AATTTACAAGCAAAATCAAGCAACCCCATTAAAATCGGGCAAAGCACATAATCAGACACTTTTCCAAAGAAGGCATATGCATAGCCAAAAAGCATTTGAAAAAGTGCTCAACATTACTGATCATTAGAGAAATGTAAATCAAAACCACAATGATATACCATCTCATGCAGTCTGAATGGCTATTATTAAAGAAGTAAAAAAATAATGATGACAAGGTTGTTGGAAAAAGGAAGTACTTATACACTGTTGGTGGGAATGTAAATTCAGCCATTGTGGAAAGCAGTTTTTGATTCCTCAAAGAACTTAAAACAGAATAACCATTCCACCCAATAATCCCATTATCAGGTATATACCCAAAAGAATATAAATTGTTCTATCATAAAGACACATGCATATGTTCATCAAAACACTATTCACAATAGTAATGACATAAAATCAACCCAAATGCCCATTAAGAGTAGACTATATACAGAAACTGTGATATATATACACATGGAATACTACCCAACCATTAAAGAATGAGATTCTATGTCGTTTTCAGCAACATGGATGAAGCTGGAGTCCATTATCCCAAGCAAACTAACACAGGAACAAAAAGCCAAATACCACATGTTCTCACCTATAGTGAGAACTAAATTTTGAGTACATCTGGACACAAAGAGAATAACAGACACAAGGGCCTTGAAGGTGGATGGAGGGAGGAAAATATTACCTAGGTGACAAAATAATCTGGACACTAAACCAATGTGACATGCAATTTACCTATATACCAAACCTGCACAGGTATCCCTGAACCTAAAATAAAAGTTAAGAAAAATAAAAAATAAAAAAGAAGGCCTTAGATTGGATGCTACAGAAATAAAAAAGATTTTCAGAGACTCTTATGAGCAACTATACACTAAAATACTATAAAACCTAAAATAAATGCATACGTTCTTAGACATTTACAACTTACATAGTTTGAATTAAAAAAAATAGAAAATTTGAGCAAGCCAATAAGAAGTAATGAGATCAAAATAGTAAGAAAATGTTTATCAAAGCAAAAGTCCAGAACTACATAGGTTTATTAGTGACTTCTACCAATTTTTCAAATAAGAACTAATAACAATTCTCCTCAAACCATTCAAAAAAAAAATTTGAAGAGAAAGGCACTCTCTCTAACTCATTGTACAAGGTCAGCATTTCCCTTACAACAAAACCAGACAAATATGCAAGATAAAAAGAACACAATAGGCCAATATTCCTGATTAACACAGATACAAACATCTTCAATAAAATACTAGCAAATTGGATGTAATAGCGTATCAAAAAGTTATAAACCATGATCATGTGGGATTTGTTTAAGAGATGCTAGGATACTGTAACATATTGAAATCAATAATCATAATACATCACAACAACAGAATGAAAGACAAAAAACATATGATCATTTCAATAGATATAGAAAAAAATTCAACATCTGTTGATGATAAAAACTCTTACCAAACTAAACATAGAAGAAATGCACTTCAACATAATACAGGCCACATATTAAAAACCCACTGCTAACATCATACTAAATGAGGAAAAGTTAAAAGCCTTTTCTCTAACAACAAGATAATGATGCCCACTTTTATCATTCCTATTTAGCATAATACTGGAAGTCTTATAGCAATCAGGCAAGAGATGCAAATAATAGACATGAAAATTGGAAAAGAGAAAGTCAAATAGTCCCTGTGTCCTGATAATGTGATCTTATATATAGAAAAACATAAAGTCTTTACTAAAAAACTTATACCTGATAAATTCAGTAATGTTATATGATACAAAATCAGTATAGAAAAATCAGTAATGTTTCTATACACTAGTACTGAACCAGTTGAGAAAGACAAAATAAAGCAATTCTATTTACATTAGCTACAATAAAATAAACTGAAATGCCTATAAATGCATTTAATCAAGAAGATGAATATCTCTACAAAGAAAACTGCAAAATATTGATGAAAGCAATTAAAGAGGAAACAAAGAAATGGAAAGACATCTCTTGCTCATGTCTCAGAAGAATTAATATTGTTAAAATAGCCATAACACCTAAAACAATCTATACATTCAATAAAATCCCTATGAAAATACCAATGTCACTTTTCTCGTAAATAGAAAAGACATTCCCCAAATTTTATGGAATCGAAAAAGAGCTCAAATAGCCAACAAAATCCTGAACAAAAAGAATAAAGCTGAAGGCATCACACTACCTAACGTCAAAATATATTACAAGGCTATAGTAACCAAAACATCATGGTACAGGTATGAAAATATATACTTAGACCAATAAAACAGAACAGAGAATCCAGAAAAATAAATTAACATATTTGTAGCCAATTGATTTTTGACGAAGTGGCCAAGAACACACATTGGGTAAATAAAGGGTGCTGGAAAAATTGAATATCCATATGCAGAAGAAAACTGGACCCCTATCTTTCACCATCTACAAAAATCAACTCAAGATGAATCAAAGGTTTAAATGTAACACCAGAAACTATGTAACTACTAGAAGAAAATATGGGGAAACACTTCAGAACATTGGTCTAGGCAAGTATTTTGTGGCTAAGACCTAAATGGCACAGACAACTATAACAAAAATATACAAATGGGACTATATTAAACTAAAGAGCTTCTGCAGGCTGAGCATGATGGCTCATGCCTATAACCCCAGCATTTTGAGAGGCCAGGATGAGAGAATTCTTGAAGCCAGTAGTTCAAGCCCAGCCTGACTGACACAGCAAGACCTCATCTCTACAAAAAATGTTTTACAAAATTAGGCAAGGATGGTGGTGTACACCTGTAGTCCCAGCTTCTTGGGAGGATCACTTAAGCACAGGAATTCAAGGCTGCAGTGAGCTATTATCATGCTATGGAGAAAATATTTGCAAACTGTCAGTCTGATAAGAAACCAATATTTACAATATATAAGGAACTCAACTCAACAGTTTTTTAAACATTCTATTAAAAAATGAAGAACATAAATTGATATTTCTCAAAAAAGACATACAAATGGCCAACCGTTATATTAAAAAATGCTTAATATCACTAATCATCAGGGAAATGCAAATCAAAACTACGAGATATCATGTTATCCCAGTTAGAATAGCTATTATTAAAAAGTAAAAACAAAACCGCCAAATGTTGATGAGGATGAAAAGAAAACTCTTATACACTGATGATGGGAAGGCAAACCAACAAAGCCACTATGAAGTATGAAGCTTCCTCAAAAAAGTAAAAATAAAACTACCATATTGTCCAGCAATCCCATTATTGGGCATTTATCCAAAGGAAAGGAAATTGGCATATCAAAGAGACATCTACATCCCCATGTTTATTGAAGCACTATTTACAATAACCAAGATACGGAATCAACTTGAGTACCCATCAACAGGTGAATGTATAAAGAAAATATAAAACAATGAAATACTATTAAGCCATAAAAAGGAATAAAATCATGTCATCTTCAGCAACATAGATGGAACTGGAGGTCATTATGTTAAGTGTAATAGGCCAGGCACAGAGAAACAAATATCATATAGTCTCAATCATATGTGGGAGCTAATAAAGTTGGTTTTATGGAAGCAGAGAGCAGACTGATAGATACCAGAAGCTGAGAATGGTGTGTGCATGGGAGGGGGTCATGAAGAGAGGTTGGTTAATGGGTATAAACATAGAGTTAGGCAGAAGATGTAAACTGTAATGTTCAGTAGCAGAGTAAGGTGACTACAGTTAGCAACAATGTATTGTATATTTCAAAATAGCTAGAAAAGACTTCAAATGTCCCCAACACATAGAAATAAGTACTCAAGTGATGAATACACGAAATGACCTTGATTATTAACCATTCTATACATGTAATAAATACTAACATGTACCCTATAAATATGTATAACCTTATGTATCAATTTAAAAACAAAAAATTAAAATTATTACAAATGGGTGGAAATTTAAGACGTGAAAGTATCATAGTTCAGAGTGACAATTGGGTCTTATGCCAAGTTGACATATGTCAGTATTCTAACAATTAGGCTTGGATACAAAATGTCAGAATCCAAGCAATTTCAACAACGGAATCATGAGTGAGAACAGGAATTTAATCTATGTTGGAGACTTACTTTGTAGATTTCCCAATATACATTTTATTGAGTAAAGGAACTAGGCTAAAACTATAGTCATTCCCCAGAGGAAAGAAGTGGAGATATTTAGCTAGATTTGAAATAAAAAACCAGGTAAATCCTCATAGCTCTTGTACAAAGTTTTCCAGTGTGTGTAAAAGTTAGGTCAATGCAAGTTTTAAAAATTCACCATTAATCAGACACATTGCAATAATTAATAATCTATAAATTGTAATCAAATTTAGTAGTCTCAGTCTTAAGTACATTTTTATTTCTAGTCATTATACAAAATTGAAAGAAAAATATTTTACAACTCTGAAAAATAGAAATAGACACAAGCACAATGTACTGCTGTATAAAAATATTTATATGTTTATAATGCGCTAATCCTCACTGATAGGATATTAGCCATCAGTTAAATATACTATTCAGTTGGTATCAACATAGGCATGATTATTCACTAACAGGTATTAATGTTGTGATTTCTAGAGGCCCAAGAGAGTGGCAGAGTAAATTATGAAAACATCTGTCTTGAAAATATAAAACTATTTTTTCAGGAATCATTAACAAGGGCTAATAGCTACTGCCAATGAAAATAAATCCTCGGTGGCCTGTAGTAATGATTCTAATTATTTAATTTACACTTACTGTTTCTGTTCCCATTTCAGCCTTTCAACAAAATTGTGTTTTTCCCTCATTCATTGTCAGCATGCAAATGTGTTTCCATCTCAATAAATAACACTTTAATTGTTAAAATGTAAGCCATTGTCTTATTAAACATCAGTGTCCAGTCTAATGCAAAATAAAGTAGCCTAGTAATTAACCATTGTACCACACAACAATGCCCTGATAAACACTGAAAAGAGTATTCCAGTATTCAAAAAGTATTTTTCTCTAAAAGTATTTTTCTCTATAAAGTACATCGAGGTAATAATTTTGCCTGACTATACTATTGTGTGTGCAACTGTGGAGATATAGTAAGAAGCTCATGATGAGAACAAACTGAGAAATACTTTACATACTATGCATATGCATTTGAAGTTACTTTGCGTATATTTATAACAAAAAATAAATACATTACAAAACACAGTCAAGTCAGTTGAAGTTAGGAGAAACTTTAATGATTATCCAATTGAAACTCTGAATGATTGAACTTACTCCAAATAATAATAGCAGTTGGTTTTCTAAATCCTACTTAAAATTTTCAGTGTTATTAAACAAATGGCCACCCAAAGTATTCTATTGCATTCTTAAATAGCTCTAATTGACAGATATTTCTTCTTTATTTGGTATTATCTGTGCCTCTGGCATTTTATCTCTGAGGGTACTCATGGAATATTTCTAATATGTGAAGAGAGCTAAATGTACCCTCAAACAACGAAGTCTTATTTTTAATAAAATTTAATCATTTTAACCATACTGTGCATCAATAAAATTATTGCTACAACTGTGGAACTTTACATACATCTTTAATAAATTTTATTTGCATAGATACAACTAACATTCTGATGTATCTAATTTATGTTTTGGTTCTGTTAAATCAAGTTTAGCCTAAAGCTGTGTCTTTACATATTTTAAGTTTGGCCTTAAAGTTTCTCTGTACATCATGAACTATAACCTAAATGGAATTGTAATCAGACTGTAACTACTCTTGTGCCAATCACCAAGATTTGGCCAATCTAATGTGGCCAACTGTTTAAACAGTGTTCAAATAAGACAATCAGGGAGCTATAACCAATTCAGCTGTTTATGTACCTCACTTCCATTTTCTGTACATCACTTTCTTTTTTTTTGTCCATAAATATTCTTCCACCACGTGGCTGCACTGAAGTCTCTGAGCCTACTCTGGTTCAGGAGACTGCCTGATTCACAAATTGTTCTTTGCCCAATTCAACTCTTTAAAATTTAATTTGGCTAAAGTTTTTAGTTTCTTTTTTTTTTTTTTAAACAGATGGTATCAGAATTGGGATCTGAAGTAGAGCTTCTAATGACCCCCAGGAGCGCAGAGTGACCAAGTGAGGTACTCACCTGGCCCATTGTGTCCATTGCTCTCTTGGAGCAGTTGTGGATCATGGTAAGTTCTCTCTCGGACTCTGAAGCTCCACAGATTTGTGTTTTAAGCTGAGTTTCTTTGAGCAAATTTCTGATCCAAGCTGGGTCTGGAAGTCACAACAGAAACTAAACTGGGTCCAGGATCGGATTGGATCCAGTAATTAATTGGCTTGGATCCAGTTAGAGGCCTCTTATGTTTGACTGGGTCAGAAAGAACCTGGTAGTAAATGGCAATATTGCAGGGGGTGTAAAATTTGGCTTTTGGAAATTTGCAGGGATTTTTGTGTTCTACACCTGTTTCATTTTTCCTGCCTGCTTAGGGAGGGAAAAATATCATTGGCTAAGTTTATCAAGGGAACCTGAGAGCCAAAGCCAATATTTCAGATAAAAACGGGATCCTTAATTTCTGAAGAAATGAGTTCTGACTTATACATGCATAACTATTAGGCCCCAGAAGCAGCGAAGTCTTACAAAAACAATGAAATCTTACTAAAGAAAAGTTACGGTGGAATGTTCCAAATTAGCAACACTGCACTGAAGTGCATTTGAAAATGAGTGTTCCCAAATTAGTCTCATCGAGAAATGCCTATTGATATGGAGAAGCTTCTGAAAAGATTACAATATTTTTTATTTAAAGAAAGACTGTATAAAAGACAAATAAAAAGTATAAGTGACTAATTGATTTAAAAATTATATCTGTTAACCGTTTGGCTTACTGTTTCATGCGAAAACTGGAAAGAAAGCTACTCTAGATAAGGTATTTATAAAAGGTGGACCCTCAGGTAAAACAGGCTTGCTTGTTTTTCAGATCTATTTATGCTTAGTCCAGGCATACACTGCTTTGTTGGCTCTATTCTTTAATGAACTTCACCCATTACCGTAAACTCAGTAATTTTAGGTAAAAAAACAGTAACTAAGTTAAAAAAAAAATCCTATTTAACTAAAATATACTTTTCTGGAATTTAATTGCCTATCTTGAAACTCTTTTGTAAAAGAAATTTACATCTATAAAGGAAATTTCCATTCTTAAGGATGTCTGCTTACATATATTAGAAACTCTTACCATTCTTTTAAATTTATATAATAAGTCATACCTATGTTTAAGACACTTTTCTGGCCATCTTAAGTGAACTTTTGAGTAGTTTTTTTCCCTTGGTTTGAACAAATGACGATGCAATATTTAGCCCTAAAATCTTAGCTCTGTGCATATGAAATATAAAATTTTGGGGGGTCCCACTTAAGAGTTGTCCCTTTAGAAATGAAAATTTGTTGCTTTTTTAACAATTGCTTAAGGCAATTAAACTGAAAATTGGATGACTCATAGAATGAATGGGGAGAAGAAAAATACATTTAAAAGCTAGCAAATGAAAATCCTTTATGAGCACTATAAGATCTGTTTCTATGTGTTTGTATCTCTGTATGTGTTACGTGTATATAATTATTTGATAAATAAAGCTAGGTTCTAAATTGTTGGTAAAATAGAAATGGTTTCAAAATTATCAGTTAAATACAATTAGATACTTGCTTGATTTGACTGTGAGCTAATATCTTTGGTTTAGAGTCTCTGGATTCACAGGTCTGGATAGGGAGCCACAATGAGGTTAGGATATGTGTTTCCTGCCTAGCCCAGAAGTTACAAGTCAGAATCAAGCCTAATATGGCTCCTTATTCCTCTGCTTTCTCTGTTTCGCCTACTAGCTATCTTGGGAGAGGTTGGATCCTCCAGGTATAGTCTTCTCAGCTCTTTTCGTCTGTCCTGATGGACTCAGACAGGCCTTGACCTTCATAGCCCTTCTGGGTGCCATGTGGCTACTTGAGACCTAGAATTACTGGGGGATATTAGGAAAGCCACCTGTGTCATAGTTTCAAAATTCTTTTTAGCTTAAACTATTGGAGTCATGCTATGTTAAATTAAGTAATAGATAATTACAAAATATCTGAGGCATCTGTAAGATACAAAAATATTAATTATTAAAAATGAGTTTGTCTATATAATGACATGTTATTTTTACATGGTATAGAAAAGCTAAATATTTTTAGATCTGTTAATAAATAATAATTTGAAAAACTATTTTTTGAAAAAATTATAAAATATTTTTTATTTACAAATACCAATGTAAAGAATTTCAAAATAACTTCCTAGGGTTTTCACTAGAAATTCAAGTTACTAATAGTTAAAACTGCTAGATATGAGAGAAACAATTTTGTATACAGACTCTATAAAGAAAACCAAAATACACATTTGATGAGGAAAGTTATAAAGGCAAAAATGTGTATTAACATTTTTGTCTAATTTAAAATTACTCAAATATTTCAAATTGAAGGAGTAAAAAATAGACAAAACAATATATAAATATAGAAAGTTGTGGAAAATGTAAAATGAAAAGCTTATGAAAATCATGTGGTTAAAATATGATAGATTTTATTTATTTATGAGGCTTTATTAAAATTAGTTTTAATATTAAAAATATATTGATACAAAAGTAAAATTTGATTTTCTCTTTTGAAAAAAATTTGTATAGTATTAATAAGACACAGTAAAACATTTTTGTTCACTTTTTGAGCAAATCACAAAAAAAAAAGAAGAAAGAAAAAGAGATTCTGTCTCATGCTATCTTAGGTCTTTTAATTGTTTGGAAAACTGAGTCTCCTTTATCTAAGAGTATAGGTTTTTGTTTTTAAAAATCTTTTAATTATCACTTTGTTTAAATGAATGACTATTGTTTTATGGTGACCTGTGATCTTATTTGGGTCAAGTGTTTTAAACCTTTGACATATTTGACAGCTTCTCAAAACCAACTTTCAGCTTTAAAATTAAGTCTTTCTTGACCTCTAACTTTGGGATGCTGCCCAAAGTTAGGGGCATCCTCTAACCCTAAGGCATCCAAAGAGAGGTAAATAGGATTATTTGACATGTTAAGTTACATGGGAAATACTGTCATACAAGAAATAATGTTTAACTTTATTCAGTTTATATTTTAATCAATATTATTAATATATGTTCCAAAATTATATGGGATTCAAAAAATTCTGTCTGTGTATATGCTATGAATCCTGATTATGGTTATTATGTTAAATTATTGTAGACCACAGAAATAACCAAATTTCCTTGTCAATTATGTCTTTATGACTGAAGTTATTTCCACAGTTAATTATTATGCAGTTTCTGAAAATTTCACAAGCACACAAAGTTCTAGAATATGATGTCTTTAAGGAGGTTCATGAAAAGAAGGAAAGCACCCTGAAAAGAACCCTTTAATACAGATTTTTAATAACTTTGGAATCATATATTTTGGGCTGGGTAAGAATTCAAAGAACCTTAATGAAAAGACTGACTGGTTTATAAAACTATCAACCCAAAAAGAATAAAAATTACTTGAATACCACCGGGCGCAGTGGCTCACGCCTGTAATCCCAGCACTTTGGGAGGCCGAGGTGGGCGGATCACAAGGTCAGGAAATCGAGATCATCCTGGCTAACACGGTGAAACCCCATCTCTACTAAAAATACAAAAAATTAGCCAGGCATGGCAGCGGGCACCTGTACTCCCAGCTGTTGGGGAGGCTGAGGCAGGAGAATGACGTGAACCCGGGAGGTGGAGCTTGCAGTGAGCCGAGATCACGCCACTGCACTCCAGCCTGGGAAACAGCGAGACTCCGTCTCAAAAAAAAAAAAAAAAATACTTGAATACCAATAAATACTTTGCCAGATTTTCATGCTGTATCAGTCAAAACTGAAATTTTGTAGATATGAAATTTGAATGAACTCCATGGTCTAATTCAAATTACCTGTGATAATTCATCAGTTATCAGTGCTATGCACCCAGATTGGAAAAACAACTAGTATTCAAGAGGACCTAAGTCTGTTCAATGTTTAAGCATGGACTCATAGAGAACTAGGACGGTTGCTTTGTCCTTCATGAGTCCTTAAAGCTTTTGTTATTAAAAGTTCTCCATTCAGCCACGTGTGGTGGCTCATGCCTGTAATCCCAGCACTTTGGGAAGCCAAAATGGGTGGATCGCAAGGTCAGGAATGGAGACCATCCTGGCTAACACGGTGAAACCCTGTCTCTACTAAAAATATAAAAATTTTATATTTTTATATTTAAAATATAAAATTTAGCCGGGCCTGGTGGCAGGTACCTGTAGTCCCAGCTACTTGGGAGGCTGAGGCAGGAGAATGGTGTGAACCCTGGAGGCAGAGCTTGCAGTGAGCCAAGATCACGCCACTGCACTCCAACCTGGGCAACAGAACGAGACTCTGTCTCCAAAAAAAAAAAAAAAAAAAAAGTTCTCCATTCTATGACTCATCATGGAAAAAATAAAATGATCTAAATTAAATAGATTATATATTGATGTGGTGACTTCTAAATTGCTAAAATAGTTTATAAACAATGTTTTGTTTGTCAAACCCATATTCCTGGGAAGACAATTAAAATCTCAGGTACATTATACTTCCTGATGAGCCATTTAAATATTTATAGAGGGATTTCATTCAATTGTCATTTTCAGTGAATATTTTCTAGTTGTATAAATGTTTTCCCATGCAAAAGGGCTGATGTTACAGCAGTAGCTCATTATGCCACAGTGTGTTTTTACCAGGTAAAAAAAGCTTTTCATGGTTCACTGATTAAGGACAATCAACCCCTCCATAATATAAAACCCAAAAATTGGATCTTCTGAGAATGTCAAAGAAAAGCTGCCCTTGACATCCATACTGCAGCAAAACTTCAGGACCTTAAACTTTGGATTTATAATCTCAACTCAGAAGCATCCCTCCACACTCTTGGAACTGTACACCCATTGGAAGCCTTAAGATAAAGCTAACTAGGAAAGTTTCTCCCAAGAAGAAGATGGCATCCTTGATGTGAACAGCTTTTTGCTAAGATCATCAATCAAGACTTCTCTCCTATCATGATACTCTTATTTTGGAATTTTCCCCTTGCTTATGCAATTATGAACAATAGAAGTGAAAAGGGATCTGTTGTATGCATTCATAGGGTATACTTTTATTTGTGAGGGATTTCACAGCCTGCCTTATACACAGATAACTTTATGCTGTGATATATGGAAAATGAAGGCCCAATATAGGTGAGAAATTTTAATGGTACATATGTTGCCACATAATCAGTCAGAAACAGAACATTGGTCCACTCCCCTTAACCAATTGTCATGGGTTAAACAGAACATTGCCATGAGATCCAAACTCTTCTGAAGGGCATCATTTGTTTGGTCCTTTTTTCATGGTTTGGAGTAAAATGAGGCAATATTTAGAAATTCATCCCTTATGATAGGTTCTATAGCAAATTCTACTGTAAGGGCTATGGTTACATAGCAGACTTAAATTATCTTGTGAAAGTTAAGCTCAATAATTGAATTGCTGTAGGTTACTTACTGGCTAAACAGAGAAGTAGTTTTGCAGCTGTTGGCAATTGTTGGTCATGGAGAAATACATCATATCAGGTATTACATAGATTCAGGTGTAGGGAACTAAAGACAAGACTGCTTATTTAAAAGAAGACTCTTTATCTAGATCATTCTTTGATCTATTTGATTTTAGTTGGTTTGGTTTATGGAGATACTGGCTAATGAGCATATTCCAAACTCTTTTTATTATCCTCATGATGTTCATAATAGTATTCTCCCTGGTGTACTGTATTCTCTCAAAAATGTTAAATGCATGCATGCAGCCCTATTTAGAATGTCAAATGGTCTCTCTTCAACTAGAATGACAAGAGCTAAAATAAATGTGTGACCATGAAGGCACCATAACCTCTGAATGATGTGCTGAGACTGGAAACCCTAAGTGATGGTAACTGAGAGTGGCACTAAGGCCCTAAGTTTTGGTCACATTCTCACCTAAATGAGAACCTGACCAAAAGGGTGGAATTTTTAAACAAATTATAAGAGGCCATTGTTTTGGACTGAGCTCATGCACCAGGCCCCAACAGACCAGACCAAACCAAAATGGAGTCACTCATACTAAATGTGGCATAATCAAACTAAGACTTTAAGGAAACACATAGATCCTAGGAGAGACCAGGTTGTTTTTCCTCCTGTAAACAGGACATTCCAGCATAAGGAGGTATCTTCTACTCTAACCCTTTCAAAAAGAAATTAACCTGAAGTTCTTGTTTCTGCCTTACAAAACCAACTCTCCTGCTCTTTCCCAGTGCGTTTAAAGACCAAATAAGTACATTTACGATGCTGATACTGACATCAATGATTAAAGTTTTGATCAGTCTCAAAATTGAGAGGATGACGAAAAAGGGGGAATTGCTAAATCAAGTTTAGCCTAAAGCTGTCTCCTTACATATTTTAAGTTCAGCCCAAAGGTTTCTATGTACATCATGAACTATAACCTAGAAGGGATTATAAACATACGTTAGCCTACTCTTGTGCCAATCACCAAGCTTTAAACAATCGTATGTGGCCAAATGTTCAAACCATGTTCATATAAGGCACACACAGAACCATAACCAATCTGAAAGTTTCCATACCCCACTTCCATTTTGTGTACGTTGCTTTCCTTTTTCTGTCTATAAATCTTCCACCAAGTGGCTGTGCTGGAGTTGCTGAGCCTACTCTGGCTTAAAAGACTGCCCGATTTGTGAATCATTCTTTGCTCAATTAAACTCTTTTAAATTTAATTTGGCTAGTTTCCTTTTTGAACAGTTTTAACATTCTAATTTGTCTTCCTATTCTAATGTCATACACAAATTATAGAATTCATCAATATTCTCCTTAAGAGCTTCTGTACATTATTAATAAAAGAGATGTTTGTGACATGATATTGGCAAGTATATTCTAGGTACATAAGGACCTGAAATCAGCACCATCTATGTGAAGTGAGGTTCTTCAATCAGTTAAATATCAACCAAATATTATCATTTAGCTCAGATCTTTCCATCTTTTCCAGAAAGACACATTAAAACTGACAAAATGCAAACATACTATACCATTTCCCTGATGTGTAAGTCTAGAAGCCCAGTCAAAAAATAAAGTTGTTGACTAGTGTTACAAAATTAGTAAATTGTTATACTGTTACAAACTGTAAAAGAGTCAACAATTTAATGGTTCATCTTGTAATTGTACTAAAATCAGGAAAGATGTCACCAAAACTCCCTTCCCTTTTCATGAAAATTAGGGAAATGGTTTTCTACATTCAGCATTGACTGACATGATCACAAGGTGAAGTCCCACAGCAGGCCATCTGCAAGCTGAGGAGCAAAGAAGCCAGTTAGAGTCTCAAAACCTCAAAAGTAGGGAAGCCTTCAGTTTGTGGCTGAAAGCCCAAGAGCCATTGGCAAACCACTAGTGTAGGCCCAAGAGCCCCAAAGCTGAAGAACTTGGAGTCTGATGTTCAAGGTCAGGAAGCATCCAGCACAGGAGAAAGATGGAGGCCAAAAGACTTAGCCACACCAGAGGGGCCCTAGAAATTTTACTGAGGTAGAAGGTCCCTGAATTTTAGTTGGGTTTATTTCCCATCCTCTGACACAAAAATGTCTCACCAATAAGTCCAGTGTGTTTGCTACTTCTCACTCACTGGATCCAATCAGCATAATGTCATCAAGGTAATGGACTAGTATAATATCTTGTAGAAAGGAAAAGTGATCAAGATCTCTTCAAACAGAATTATGACACAAAACCTGAGCATTGATATACCCCTATCAGTATACTAAAACAGTGAAGGTATATTGCTGGCCTTGCCAGTTGAAGGCAAATTGCTTCTTAGGGCCTTTTGGACGGGAATGGAGAAAAAAAGGCATTTACCAAATCAATGGCCGCATACCAGGTACCAGGAGATGTGTTAATTTGCTCAAGCAATAAAACCATATCTGGTACAGCAGCTGCAATTGAAGTCACCACTTGATGAAGCTTATGATAATCCATTGTCATTCTTCAAGACCCTTCTGTCTTCTGCACAGGCCAAATAGGAGAGTTGAATGGGAGTGTGGTGGGAATCACCACCCCTTCATCTTTCAAGCCCTTGATGGTGGCACTAATCTCCATAATCCCTCTAGGGATGTGGACATTGTTTTGAATTTACCATGTTTCTAGGCAGATGCAGCTCTAATGGCTTCCATTTGGCCTTTCCCACCATAATAGCCCTCACCCTACCATTCAGGGAGCCAATGTGGGGATTCTGCCTGCTGCTAAGTATTTCTATGCCAATTATGGATTCTGGCACTGGGGAAATGACCACAGGATGAGTCCAGGGACACACTGGACCCAGTGTAAGTCACACCTGAGCTAAAACTCCATTAATTATCTGACCTCTATAAGCTCCTACTTTAACTGTAGGACCACAATGATGTTTTGGATCCCCTGGAATCAACATCAGCTCAAAGCCAGTGTCCAGTAGTCCCCAAAAGGTCTGATAATTTCCCTTTCCCCAATGCACAGTTATCCTGGTAAAAGGCCTGAGGTCTCCTTTGGGAGGGATGGGAGAAAGATTAACAGCATAAATTGTCAGTAGTGTAGTGGAGTCCTTCCTCAAGGGGAGCCAGCCTCCTCTTCATTCAAGAGGTCCTGGGTCTGTAAACTGGGGCAAGTCTGGAAATTGATTGAGGGGCTTTGATTCTCTTGTTTTTATAATTCAAACTAGTCTTTTGTCCATTCAACCTAGAAGTTTTCTGGTTAAATAAGAATGCAGTAGGCATTCTATCAGTTTCATTTCTAGGAGAACCATGAATAATCAGCCAATGCCAGAGCACTGCACCAGTCAGACTATTCTAATTGCTGCTTTGCCTCTGCTGTCCATTACAGTAACTATGCCCACCTTGCCTTGATGGTTAAGTGCTGCCACTTGGCCCCTGCCACCTCAGGGACCAATTATTCCAACTGCATTTAAATTTTGTAGTTGAGTGGGATCTTGCAGTTCCCACTGTAAGATCTGGCATACAGAGAAGAGCAACTAGAGCTCTTCAAGGATGCAGGTGCTCCCCTCATAAATCTGCTTCACAAAGTATTGGTAAAGGGTATGTCTTCTGGACCCTCCCAGCTGGGATGAGTAGGTCTAAAGTGACTAATCCAATCCAGCATCTCAATCTCCCTAAGCCTTTGGATCCCTTCCCATACATTAAACCACAGGAGATCAGGCATTTCCAGCTCACTCACAGTGGGCCATCTTTTAATTCATACTTCAGCTAACCAAGCAAATAAATAAAAACAGAACTATTACCTTTCTTAACTCCCTGAGCTGAAACATTAAATGCAGAGTCCCTACTTGGTGGGCCCAAATCAATAAACTCAGCCTGATCCAACTCTATGCTTCTTCCACCATTATCCTACACCCTTAATATCCATTCCCATGCCTGTTTCTCCAGATTTCTGTTTATATAAATCAGAAAACTCAAGTGGTTCTTTCGAGTGTAGCACCACCTCATGGGTCGCACTCTCAAGCTCACCTCTAGGGGCCCGCTGGGACTTTAGTCTAGTTATAGGTCTAGAAGCAAACAGGGATGTTGGGGGTGGCTCTTGAGGGGAATCAACATTGTTTTGCCTGGCAACTGCCTCAGGGGAGGTTATCACTGTTGCCTCAGGCAGTGCATTGTTAATCTCCTCAGACAAAGGTGGAAAGGCTGATGGCAGCCTGGGTGGGAGAGGGGATGTTACCACCACTGCGGGGTGGGGAGGCCATTTCCTCTGGCAAAAAAAAGCTCATTAGAATTTAGGATTTCAGTGCCCCCCAGCTTTATCAGGGTCCTCCCACTCTTCCCCATTCCAAGTTGCAGGGTCCAGTTCTTTGCCAATCAGTGCCCTCACTTCAACAGTAGACACCTGGACCTGAGGAGGCTGTGCACACACCTTTCTTTTCCTTTTTCTTTTTTTTTTGAGGGAGTCTCGCTCTGTCACCCAGGCTGGAGTGCAGTGGCATGATCTCAGCTCACTGCAACCTCCACCTCCTTGGTTCAAGTGACTCTCCTGCCTCAGCCTCCCGAGTAGCTGGGATTACAGGTGCCTGCCACCATGCCCGGCTAATTTTTGTATTTTAGTAGAGACAGGTTTTCGCCACGTTGGCCAGACTGGTCTCAAACTCCTGACCTCAAGTGATCTGCCCACCTCAGCCTTTCAAAGTGCTGGCATTACACACATAAGCCACCAGGCCTGGCCTGTGCATGCACCTTTCACTGCAAGTTAGCCACTCACATAATCAGAGCTTGTATATGATTTTTCCACAATTTCAGCTCTTTCTTTACAGGACATACGACTCTCGCTCAAGGCAATCTTAACAGATTTGAGGCTCATTATGTGCTTCTGGAACTGGGAGATAAAATCCCTGAGTTCATTTTCTTTCATCTCTCTTGTCTAGTGAACTTAGGAGCAACCAACCAACTTCCTTAGGTTCCTTGGTTCTCCACATATGATCAAAGGTATTATGTATAGAGTCACTAAACTGCCTCTCATGAGCAGTGAATCAGGATTATTAACTGCATTTATTTTGCATAACTCTCTAAAGAGTTCACACCAATGACTATCAGTGTTCTCTGTACTTTTAGAAGTAGATCCCTTAGCATTTTTGGTTTCAATCACATTAAGCAGTCAACTCCAGAACCAGAAACCCCCAAACAAACTAAGGAATCCATCCTTAAAATTCTGTTCCACTAGAATGACTCCCAATACCAAAATCTCTATTAGTCAGGGTTCTCTAGAGGGACAAAACTAATAGGATAGATGTATATATGAAAGGGAGTTTATTAAGGAGTATTGACTCACATGATCACAAGGTGAAGTTCCACAACAGGTCGTCTTCAAGCTGAGGAGCAAGGAAGCCAATCTGAGTCCCAAAACCTGAAAAGCAGGGAAGCCAACAGTGCAGCCT
The DNA here is from genome assembly GCF_000001405.40 of Homo sapiens. Classification (NCBI taxonomy): domain Eukaryota; kingdom Metazoa; phylum Chordata; class Mammalia; order Primates; family Hominidae; genus Homo; species Homo sapiens. The sequence continues at coordinate 127,939,374 of NC_000023.11, forward strand.
TTAGTCTGTGGCCAAAGGCCCAAGAGCCCCTGGCAAACCACTGGTGTATGTCTAAGAGTCCAAAAGCCAAAGAACATGGAGTCTGATGTTCGAGAGCAGGAAGCATCCAGCACTGGAGAAAGATAGAGTTCAGAAAGCTTAACCAGTCTTCTCTTTTCATGCCTGCTTTTATGCTGACAGCTGATTAGATGGTGCCCACCCAGATTGAGGGTGGGTCTGCCTTTTCCAGTCCACTGACTCAAATGTTAACCTCCTTTGGCAACACACTCATAGACACACCCAGGAACAATACCTTGCATCCATCAATCCAATCAAGATGAAACTCAATATTAACCATTCAATGCTTTATATCATTCTTTTCTCTGACTGCTTCAGCTAGGACCTCTAATACTATGTTAAATAATAGTAGGTGACATTGGATATCCTGGTTTTGTTCTAGATCTTTGGGAAAAGGCTTTCTGTTCTCCCTATTCATTATGAGACTAGCTGTGTGTCTGTCCTATACGGCTTTTATCATGTTATGTTTCCTCTATACCCTATTTTTTAGGTTTTTATCATGAAGTAATGTTTCACTTTATTGAATGCTTTTCCAGCATCAATTGAAATACTGATTTTAATCCTTCAATCTGTTGATATGATGCATCACATTGATTAATTTGCATATGTTGAACCATCCTTGCATCCCAGGGATAAATCCTACTTGGTAATGGTGAATAAGCTTTCTAATATACAGTTAGCTAGTATTTTATGGAAGATTTTTGCATCAGTATTTATCAGAGATATTGGCCTGTAGTTTTTTTTTTCTATCTCTTTGTCTGATTTTGCTAACAGGGTAATATTGGCCTCATAGAATGTTTAAAAATTTTCCTCATCCTCTATTTTTTGGAAAAGTTTGAATTGGGTTGTTATTAGTTATTCTTTAAAAGTTTGGTAGAATTCAGCAGTGAAGCCATCAGGTCCAGGGGGTTTCACCATGTTGCCCAAGCTGGTCTGGAACTCCTGGATTTAAGCAATCCACCCACTTCAGCCTCACAAAGTGCTAGGATTACAGGCATGAGCCACCAAAATGCTGGGATTACAGGCATGAGCAACTGCACCCAGCCTGAAGTTTCAATCAAGCAAAACTGCTTCCTTGAAGATTATTCTGAGAAATACTTGACCCTTAGTCATTTTCCTGTATTGGGAAAGCAATGTGTTTTTAAACTACTCTTGAGTAATAAACATCACTTTGCAGGGCCAAAACAAAGATCATAGATAGAAAAAGAAAGTTTTTCCAATTTAGCTTTTAAGAGACATTTTGGTGAAAGAGTATTCAAAACAGCCTATTTCTATTCATTCTGGACAAATTTAAAGCACAAATTTGAAAAGCATATTTTTGTTGTTTACTTATTAGAATGAAAGCATGAGCGATTGGAACAAAGTTTGGTCATGTGATATTGGGAAAGCTGACATACTAGAAAATAAAAAGTAGGAAATGCCTCAAACATAATTAGCCAGATAAGTTCGACAGAGACCTCTGCAGCTATAAAGAGGTGGACTGAATTCAATAAGAAAGTTGTGAAGGAATACACAAGTAATTGTTGCTTTAAGTAATATATTTCCCTTTTCTTTTAAATGTTTTATTCTGGCATCTCTCCTGTGGTCTCAGGGTTCTTTGGAATGGCTTGGATATGGGGTAGAGGTGCAGAGTAAAAAGGGAGAATGAAGGAAAACCACCGCATGCAGGATTTATTATAATTTAAAATTGTATGATGCTTTAGAACAATTGAGCTATAAATTCATACAGTTCTTTTAGTGCATTTCAGGAGGAAGAATACCCAATTTCCCTGATGTGTATTTTAAATATATTTGTTTCACCATAATACACATGGCAAGTATGCTGAATGGGTGAAGATTAGTTAACATCAGAATGAAACTTCAAAGGAAGCTTTGTATCTTCCATATTTGTTCATGAACTAATTTTGCACACTCCTCCCCACCTTACTCTTAATGGTTTACTTTTTTGTGCTTTTATCTATTTTTACAAAGTGTCAACTAGGGAGCTGCTGATTGAATCAGTTGCTTTTCAATTAGTCACTCTCTGAGATTTGCTACATTCAACTAATTACAAAGTATCCTTCAGAAAGTCCCTTAAGAAAGAAATTAGGTATTATTTCCTTTCTAAATAGAGAATGGTCTTTGGTGTACTTAACCGCAAAGTGAATTTTACAAAGAAAATTACACATATTTGCTAGTTATCTGAATGCACTTTTTAACATCAGAGGACTAATACAGTTCTGGAGTTTTAAATGACACAAAGAAAGTCTTTCAATATACACCTATAAGGTGACCAGGTGTCTTGGTTTTCTCAGGGCTGTCCCAGTTTTAGAACTGGAAGTCCTTCATTACAGGAAACTCCTGAGTCTGGGGAAAACCTGGATAGTTGGTTATCTCATTGTATGGCTAAAATGGAGAGATGTGGACTGAATGGCAGTGCAGACACATAGATTCAGAATTCATAGAACATATTCAATGACTGTCGTGATGCAGCATTTTACCTTTTTATCAATTTCTTGGATGTATATACTGTGTACATACTGATCAAAGATACATGTAGTTGACTGGTATTGGTGGCTCACGTCTGTAATCCTGGCACTTTGGGAGGCCAAGGCAGGAGAATTACATGAGCTCAGGTCTTGGAGACCAGCCTGGGCAAAATAGCAAGACCCACCCCCCACCACTCCCCACCCACAGCCTCTACAAAAAACTTAAAGAAAAAATAGCCAGGCATGGTGGTGCATGCCTGTGATCCCAGCTACTCAGGAGGCTGAGGCAGGAGAATCATTTGAGCCTGGGAGACTGGGGCTGCATTGAGCTGAGATCCTGCCACTGAACTCCACCCTGAGCAACACAGCAAGACCCTGTCTGGGGAAAAAAAAAAAAAAAAAAAAAAGTACATGCAGTATACATATTGAAGGGAGACGGAAATAAAGCTAAAATTAACAGGTAAAATGTTAGATCAAGATCCCAAAATATTTACCTTTGCTCCCGCTGTTAGTACTTTGTAATAAAACTTCTAGATAAAATTTAAAACTTTTATAAAAAAGTTACACAATTGGATTTGTGATAAATGTGTCACAGGTTAAGAATAAACTGATCACTTACACTCAGAAATGTTCTCACTTGTCTAGTGAAATAGTGGAGTGGCCTTGAGTTCCATTTGCGTGAGGCATTGGCCCATCTGGAAGGCATCATAAAGGAAGAGTTAGGGCACCAAGCTTAAATCAGTTACAAAGCCTTAGTTTTCAGAAATAATATGTGTTTCTGAGAATAGAATAGTGTTTGTTAATTGAATTTGTTTTTCACTTAGTGTTATATTTGCCTAAATCCTATGAAGAGCTGGTAGTTTGGGAGAAGAGACTGTTAAGTAAAATTTGCAAACAATATTTCACTAAAGCACATGATAAAGGAAAGACTGCAAACTGGTAGCTGTCAGTGCAAATATAGCCCACAGATACATTTTGTTTGGCTCACTTGTTTTTACAAATTGATTAAATAAATCACAGGAAGCCTTGTGGTTGATGGGACAGTTCTGTATCTTGATCATGTGGTAGTTACAGAAATGTACACACGTGAAAAAAATTACATTGAATCACACACAGGCAAAGGAGTGCACGTAAAGCTAATGAAATATAAATAAGCTTTACAGATTTTCCTGGTTGTGTCAATTTCCTAGTTTTAGTATTGTATTATAGTCATGCAAAATGTTACCATTGAAGGAAACATGTCCTATATACCATAAGACCTCCCTGCACATATTTTGTAACTTCCTATCAATGTATAATTATTTCAAAATTTTTTAAAAAGTTAAACGCCATGTTTCAGAAAAAAATAATTGACATAGTAATTGCTGTACAATTTTCACACCTCATTATTAGATTTTATATTCTATAAGCCTCTCAGCCCCCAACAAAGCTCTACAATGAGAATTGAACAAACCACTATATAAGCAAAGAAACAAAATACACAAAATCTTAACTATTAATTTCAAAATCCACTGGTCTGAGAGAAAAAGGACAATATGCATATTTACAGAATATATTCTACTCCCTGAAGATTAAATAATAAACACCAAAAACTTGAAAAGGAGTGGGAGGATCACATGGATAAAAATAATCTGAGACCAAGAAAGAATAAGCTTCAACTAACCAAGTGATTTTAATGGCCCTCCTCAGGATGCCACATAGAAATGGAATCAGAGCCCTGTTATCTTTTTTTGTTACTATCTGTTAAAAACCCATAACAGTGTGATCTAACTAGGAGTTATGTTCTTTTTTTCTTCAAAACTCTGCTTAATCCCCTGCCTTTCAAATGCACTATCCTGTGTTGATAACAGCTGTTTCCACTGCCTGGGGCACCATAAACCCTGTAGAATGGAGATATCCTTAACTCCTCAAAAGGTGTTGGTGATACAAAGAGAAAGGAAAACATTCAGATCCCTCAAGCCGGCCCTTGTCAAGTATATCCAGAATAAAACCCAAGAGGGATTCTCTGAAGTCCCATTACAATGCTGCAACATACCAAACCTATTACAGCTAAGATTGAAAAATGTATTCATGTATTCAACAAATATTTTTGATCAATTACTATCTGCCAGGCACTATTCTAAGCACTGGCAATAAACCAATAAACAAAAGAGACAATACTCCCTGCTTATATGGAGCTTACATTCTAATGCATCTGTTTCCAGAGGAAGAGTTGTTAGTTCAAAAACAATCAAATCACTAAAATACATAGGCATATTAGATCATGATAAATATTGTTAAGAAAAAGACAGGAAATATTTTCTTTTTCTTTTTTTTAAGAGTCTTGCTCTGTTGCCCAAGCTGGAGTTCAGTGATCTTGGCTCACTGCATCCTCTGCCTCCCAGGTTCAAGTAATTCTCCTATCTCAGCCTCCCGACTAGCTGGGATTACAGACACCCTCCATCACATCTGGCTAATTTTTGTATGACAGGAAGTATTTTCAGCATGGTAAAGAGGAAGGCAAGCTTAATTTTATGTAGGCTTTTAAAAATTACCAGGACAGGCCCTATGTATATAGAAGGAAAATATTTCTTAAAAAATGAAGATTGAGGGAGTGAGGACATGATAATATGTGGGAGAAGCACATTCCTTATACAGCAAGTGCAAAGGCCCTGAAGTGTGATTTGTCTGTTGTGTTTCAGGTACAGTAAGAAAGTCACCGTGTCTCTATCAAAGTGATGGAGACAGTAGTCAAAGATGAAAGTCAGAGTTAATGGGGGGTTTGTGAAGTTAATGGTATCTATTCAAGTCCAACTTCCAGAGAAGACAAAACATAACCACAACCCTATATCATTTTGATAATTTAGATGCCAACTCCCAGCAGAACCAGAGAGACAGTCCCAACTTCCCATCTCATTTTATCCAGTGTTGCAGTGGGTCAAATGCCCAGGATGAAATAATTTTCTTCAGCCATATTTAGTTCTTTTCAGACCTAGTATTTTTATTTTTTACTATATGTAGCCAGGAACCAGTTTCTTCACCTAATCCTATGTTGAGTCAACCAGTCTGAACTAAGATTGTTTTCCTGAAAATATTTCACTACATGTATATTTGCAGATTGTAAAAATAGAATTAGGTAACATTTAAAGAAAGAAAGATTTTTTGCTTATTATTCAGATTAGAAAGTAAAACTATCTCTATTTGCAAATGACTATATCTTATGAAAAATCCTAATACAATAAAAATCATAATAAATTGAACAAAGTTGCAGGACACCAGATCAATTTACAAAAATCAACTGTATTTCTATGTAGTTGCAAAGAACAATTCAGAAATAAAAACAATTCCATTTAAAACAGAATCAAAACAATGAAATACTTAGGAATACTTGACTTACCCAAGTAAGAAACACAAAACTTGTACTATGAAAACTACGAAACAGTGTTTAAAGAAATTCATAATAAATGAATAAAAGGAGCGACATCTAATGTTGATGGATTAAAAAACTTAACGTTAAGATGCCAATACTCTCTCACAAGTCCCTATTATCATACAAAATTAATACCAAATGAACCACAGGGTTAAATGTAAAAGCTAAATACAGAAACTCAGAAGAAAATCCACGTTCATGAATATTTTGTTAGAAGTGAAAAAGATCCGAGTTACCCGGAGTTACCTGTGGCAAATCCGTACGCACTCACAGCAACTTCAGTCCTTGCCTTCTCAGAGGAAAGAATTTGACTGAAAGGCATGAAGCAAAAAAAAAAAAAAGAAGAAAGAAAGAAAGAAAGGGAGAGACTGAGGCAAGTTACAGAGCAGGAGTGGAAGTTTATTTTTAAAACCCTTAGAAAAAAAGGAAAGAAAAGAAGGTGCACTTGGAAGAGAACCAAGCAAGCACATAAGGTTAGAGAGAGGTCAAGTGCCCCATTTAACTGTGATCCCAGGACTTTTATAAGCTCACCTCTTTCCCATGATTCTTCCCTTAGGGTGGGCTGCCTACATGCGCAGAGCCCTCCTTACCCTTTGGAAGTGAGCACACACAGTGTGTTTAGGGAGTTATATGTATGACCATCAGAGGCTTTCTTCCTTTTTCCAGTGGTATGAACCCGGAAGATCATTCTTTGCCATTTTTGTCTCTTAATATGCAAGCTCAGGAATTTGCTTCTCCCTGGGGCCTGCATTCAATTATCATTTTGGTGTTAACAGGTGTGGACCATCAGGAACTGGCCTCTCCCTGGCGTTGCTAAACTTTCATTTTTAGAGAGGCAAGCTGATAATTGCTGAAACATCACCCCACATTCTAGTGGGTTGGGGGAGAGCCCTCTCCTGCCCCTGCTCATGCCTAACTACCTGTAACAATTTGATCTTAAATTTTCTTCTATGAGTTTTATACTTTTATACTTTCGTCCTTAGTTTTGGACCCAAGATTCACTTGGAGTTAATGAAACTATCTTTACAAGGTTAACAAGAATTACATGCCAGGTTCTGGGCAGAAATATATTTATAATTAAGCATTAATTAGGTATGGATGAAAAGAGTCCAAATCTTTAAAATATTTGAAGAGATTTATTCTGAGCCAAATATGAGTGACCAATGGCCTAAGGCACAGTTTCAAGAGTTTCCCCAGAAGGTCGTACTTCACTATTTTGTTTCTTAATGTGCATGGCCAGGTTGCTCCCCGCTGGCGTCTACATTCAATTAACACTTTGATGTTAACAGCTGTGGGTCATCAGGAGATTGGCTCTTCCTGGAGCCCTGGCTCTGGCTGTATGATAATTGTTGAACCATCATCTGACATTCCTAGTGGGTAAGGGAGAAGAGCCTTCTCCTGTTCAGCTCATGCCCATCTAACTACCTGTAACATACCGAATTTATCTTTTAATCATTATACACTCACTTTCTTTGTCTTTATTGTTTTTAAGTTTGTTTTGTCTAAGTCTTGCTACTCCTCCTCACTTTTGGTTTTCATTTGTGTGGAATGCCTTTTTCCATGCCTTTACTGTGATTCTCTATGTAGCTTGGTTGCTGATATTGGCAACAGTGCATCAAGCATGTGGGTAGGTGGGTTTTCTGGCTCCTGGAAGTGGGTGTGATGTGGACAATGGCTGAAGCAGTGGTGAGGCAACCCACCGGACCCAAAGCAATTCATGCTGGTGTTGGCAGTGGCTGTAAAAGGCTGGGTGAGCCATTCTTCTGGCTCACAGGTGGCTTATGTGGGTGGGCACTAGCTGTTGTGGTATTGGCAGTTTTGGTAGGCCTGACCTCAGACCTTTGAAGGAATGTTCAGATGTCAATGGTGGTGGGCTTGGCTGTGTGATCCCCAGGTTCCTGCCCAGAGTCCACAAATGCTGAGGGAATGGGATTGGGCTGGTAGACTTATGCTCAGCTCATCTGGTAGTGTGTTCATGTGCTGGCTATGATAGGCAGAGGTGAAGATGTCCCCAGGTCACTGGCAGAATGCTCAGGTGGGGCCAGTGGTGACTACACTGTGAGCCTGCCTCCAGGGAGTATGAGGTCACTATCAGTGGGAGCAGCATAGGCAGGCAGCTATGGAGCTCAGTTTGCTCATGTCTTGTTTCTGCAGGTGCTTGAAGCCACTGGCAGCAGCAGAAGCAGGGGCATATTTGTCTTTAAGGCATGTGAAAGTGCTCAGCCTCCCCTTTTCCTCCTTGGCCTAGTGGCATCTGTGGCATTGGCCCCAGGTCAGGACATAGTCCTTTGTGGCTATGCTTTCAGACTGGCACTGGCTGCAGGCCACTCAACAGAGAGGGTGGGACCATTCTCAGTGCAAGCTTCATAGACAGGCAGCTGTGAGATATGCGGGTTTCTCACATCTCAGTCCCACAATAGCCTGCCTATCATCTTTCTCCTTTTTTGCTTTTGGTGCCTTCTATCACTTCTCTATTGAATTTCAGTGTTCTCTCTTACATGACCGATTAGAAGTGTGAATAATTGCTTGCTGTGTTGGTTCCTCTCTATGGAAGGGTCACATACTAGCTGCATTTAGTTAACTATCTTGCCTTTTCCTCAAAATAAAGCATCTGCTAATCTTATTAAGTATCCCTTTTATGTCATAGTTTTTCTATTTTTGCTTTCAAGATTTTCTCTTTATTTATCTATTACATTAATGTGGCTGTGGTATGTCTAGATGGGGAAGTCTTTGAGTTTCTTCTACTTGGAGATCTTTAAGCTTCTTGCATGTGTAATAAAATGTCTCATAAAATTTGGAGAGTTTTCATACAATATTTATTTAACTATTTTTTTTCTCCCCTTTTCATTTTTTTTCTCTTCTGGGGTTCCTCTTAAACATTTGTATGCTTTATGGTATCACACATCTCTCAGGATCTGCCTATTTCTCTTCATTTTTTCACTTTGCTTTTCAGACTACATAATCTTAATTTTCATTTTTTTATTCTTTATTTGCTAGCTAATACCTGTTTCTGAGCCCTTCTAGTGAATTTTTTATTTCAATCCCCTTCAAAGAATTTCTATTTGATTATTTCAAATAGAAATAATCAATTTCAAATAGAAGTAGTCTCTGTTTATTGAAATTTTCTGTTTGGTAACACTTTGGTCTCATACTTTTTAGGCACAATTTTCTTTACTCTTTTGTTGGGAAAAAGCTGAGTGTTGGGAGGGAAACTGAGACAGGGCTTGCATAATGTCCTCTGCAATGTGTCTAGACTTGCTGGCTCCATGCTTCTAGCCCTCCTAGGCTCCCAGATCAATTGTATTCCCAGTATCTCAAGTAGCAGAACACGTTCCTTATAAATGCTAAACTGTCACAGCTGTAGATCATGCACCTGCCCTTTTGACCTCCACATTCTCACCACCTGTTTCTTTGCTGGATTACCAATAAATAGCGTGGGCTCCCAGAGCTCGGGGCCTTCACAGCCTCCATGATTGTGATGGCTCCCTGCTTCCCACTTCTCTCTCTCAGACTGTCTTTTTCTCAATCCTTTGACTCTGCCAGAATTTGTCAATCCCACGACCTGGTGTTGGGTCTGATCACCCCAACACTCTTTTAAAAATATTTTTAATAGCCTACATAGTCTTTTGCCTACTCAGTCCACAATCTGGACCCCTAAGGGACTTTTGCTTTTGATTATCTTTTCTTCTTTATATGTAGCATACTACCCTGTTTTTTTCCCATCTTTCTTAATTTTTGGCTGAAAACTTGCCATTTTACTAATTAGATGAAATACTGTTGTAAGTCTGCTATCAGCTTCTTTTTCACCCACATGATTTGTGGTTGTTGCTGGTTTGTTCTCATTATTGCCATCTTTCTTATTAGCACTTATTGGCAGCCTTAGTGAACTAAGTAGTTTATCCGATTGTGGAGCCACTGAATACTCTGCTAGCTGTTTTCTTCTTGTTTTATTTTTAAGCCTGTCTTTCTTGGTGTCACACCTGAGTCAATATAGTTTATTGCTCAGCCAAGAATTTGTCAGATTTTCTTAAATACCTTGCTTTTATATCCTCCACTTTTTTCTCCCCTAAAGGGATATATGTAAGAAAGAACACTTTAAAACTTCAAGCAGTTTCCCAGACTGCCTTAGGATTCCCTTTTTGCTTGTACCCAATCTCAAAGTCATCCACAGGTGAGTAATTGGAGCCTTCTCCTTTCACAAATATTTTCTGGAAATATGCATAACCGTCTACATGAGTGAATCCTATTATATTGCCTGTATCGTGTCAGAGCTTTCCAAATTATTTTTTTATTATCATTTAGCTTTCCAGTATATTCTTTTACATTCCTGGCCAGGCTCTAGTTTGCCACATCTTAAATCAGTCTTAGGCAGCTGAGATGTTGCTTGAGTTTGCTATTATTTGAATAACTGTCAAATAAGACAATATATTCACTTTGAGAATAGTGATTTTTTGGGAACACAGGTTTTGATGAAATATTAACTATATTACAGGGGTGACGCTTTTAACAGAAATACAAAAGATATCAAATTTCTCCAATATCAGCAATGCCATCAGATTTTGGCCACTGCACTACTAAGCATGGGCGTGAAGGGTTGTAGGATAAGCACAAATTAAAATGTTATAAATTCAACTATCTTACTGCGTGGGGTTCAGTAGTTTTCTCTGGGTTAGATCATTTGCAGTTTGTTCTATGACTTTCATTAATTGCTAGAGTTCTGTAATGGTTTGTTTCATTTGTTTTACCACATTTTAACGGTTTTGCGAGGAGAGCAAGTGAACCAAGGTCCCCACTCTACTATTCTGGAAGTCGATCAATCAAGAGAGTTTTTTTTAAGCTGGATAAGATGTTTGAGTAGATGACTACTCTCTTGCTTTGAACTCTGAGATTCCATGCTTTTGTAACTTAAAATGTGCCCCTGTGAAAATAAAATATGTATTCTAAAGCAAGCCTTCACATATAAATGAAGCTGGGGATTTGTTAATATTACCTTATAAAAGAATGAGTATGAATTGTTTCCATTTCTGGATGAAGTTATTTAAGGGCTTTGGGAACAGAATAATCCACTCATTTAATTTAATTTTTTATTACTATTACGATTCTTCCAACATGGTGTCTATTACTTCGAAGAGAATAATTAGTCAGTGCACATGATACCAGATTTAGAATCCCAGAAATAAAACATTCTACCACATCTCTGTGTTTGGATAGATAAAAAGGAAGCTGACACACAACAACCCACTGAAGGTTTGACAGCTGGTCACATCCAAACCTTGGTTTCAAAACTCTCTTTAGTTCCACAAACAATGTGGAGAAAAGGGTGGTTTCCATTTAGTGATAAAGTAGCATTTGCATTTATTGGAAATACACTAGGTTTATATGGCCAAAACATAAAGTAAAACAAAAAAACAAAACAGTGGTAAAGTTAATCTTTTTGCAGTCAATATTAGGCATAAAATGCAGTAGTGGGCTTTTTAAAATTAAATATAACAAATCAGTAATTTGGTCCCACCACCTGACAATTAGGCATGCTCCACCTTGTGTTTTGTCTGTCTAAAATTACATGAAGCCCATGTATTTAAAAATGTGATCTGAGAGGCAGTTTGTTTACATCTATACCCTTTTTAAAGTCACAAGTACAATTAGGCTCTCTAGTTAGCTGACTGGAATTCATACATGAGTGAACAACAACAATTAAAAACCAAGATTAATCAAATTACCATAAGTATATCATCACGAACAAATAATCATGTAAATATTGACTGAATTTTGAGCAAATCCTGACACATTTTATTTTTCACATTGCTGGGGGATTGGAAAAAATATTCCACAAATAGGACTAAATATCCTCAAAACCTCTACAATCAGCTTTCCCCAACACCATCTGGACATTATATAATACATTCACAGTCCTTTGATGCATCATGGACATTTCATTGGAAAAGTTGTATGTGCATCTGTGTATATATGTGTGACTATGTATAATAGTCCTTGTAATATAATGATTTTAGTCCAGTCAGCTAATAATCCACTCAGTGATTCCACTCCACTGAACTACGTAACCAACTTTAGAGCTTGGCTAGCAACTCAGCTACTTTCTGGAAATGCAGAGAATTCACACAGCCCTGCACTCAAACAGGAAAGCTTCCTTTCCCTTGGAATCTTTGTAAAGTAAATATGTAGTAGTTCTATACCTACCTTTTTTGCCCAATGATAACACCGAAAGGGGAGAGAACAGAATATATCTTCTCACACTCCAAGATTAGATGTCATACAGAGTTATATAATTATGACCATATATGTCAGCATAAGAACAAACTATTTTTCTCCCTTTAAACTTTTAAATTATTATCTCATTTATGCATGCCTAATCTGTTTTGAGTCCACCTATGTTACCAGCATATCATATAGAAAATGATTAGTATATCAGGCCACTGTTGTTATAGTTGAGACAGGAAAAAGATAATTTTGCTTTGACAAACCAGTAATTTATTTCTGCAAAATTAATGAGGGATGATCTCACTGAGCACTGTATTTTGCAATTAAAGGAATTTGAAAAATGATCACAACAATCCTAGGATCACTAAATTAAAACTAGTGGCAATGTCCTCTGGCACACAGAGAGGCATGCAACTTATGTAATCTTTTTTTTTTTATTGTGACAAAATATATATGATATCATTTTATAAACTTAAAAGCTTACAATTAAATGATATTAAATATACCCATAATGTTGTATAACCATCATCACTATCTATTCCCAAAACTATTTTAGTATTCTTATAAAAACCTTATACACATTAGACAATTACTCCTTATTCTTCCCATGCCCCAAACTCTAGTCAACCCTATGCTACTTTATGTCTTTATGTATTTACCTATACCTTCTATAAGTGGAATCGTACAATATTTATTCTTCTGTATCTGGCTTATTTTACTTGGCATAATATTTTCAAGGTCCACTAATGCTGTAGCATATATAAAAATTACATTATTTTCTTTGGGTGAATAATATTCCATTGTATGAATATACAATGTTGGTTTAACTCTTCTTTTACGGATGAACATGGGTTTTTTACATCTTTTGGCCAATCTGAGTAAAGCTACTGTAAACATTGTTGTACAAATATTTGTTTGAGTCTATGTTTTCAATTATTTTGTATACATACCTAGCAGTGAAATTGCCAGGTCTTAAGGTGGTTCTAGGTTTAATATTTTGAGAAAATACCAAACCGTTTTCTACAGATGTTGCACTACTTTACATTTCCAACCAGCAATGCATGAGGGTTTCAATTTCTTCACATCCTTTACAACACTTGTTATTTTGTTTTCTTTTATATTAGCAATTCTAATTGGTGTAAAATGGTATTGTATTGAGATTTTAATTTGCATTTCCCTAATTACTAATGATGTTGGGCTTATTTTTATTTGTTTACTGGCCATTGGTATATCTCCTTTGGAGAAATATCTATCCAAGTCATTTGCCCATTTTTTGTATTGGGTTGTTTTGTTTATGTTGAGCTATAGATATTCTTTATATATTCTGGACATTAATCCCTTACCAGACATTTTATTTGCAGATGTTGTCTCCTATTCTCTACATTGTGTTTTCAGTTTATTGATAATGACCTTTGATGCATAAACTTTAATTGTGAAAACGTCCACTCTATTTATGTTTCTGTTGCTTGTACTTTTTGTGTTATATACATAAAATTTTCACATCTGTGTATATCCATATCCATAATGTCATATCCAATCCAATGTAGTAAACATTTTCCTGATGTTTATGTCTAAGAGTTTTATAATTTTATATCTCCAGTTTAGGTACTTGAGCCATTTTGAAATAATTTTGTATATACTTTAAGGTCACAGTTCAAATTCATCCTTTTTCATCGGATATTCAACTTTTGTAGCACCATTCATTTAAAAGACTGTCCTTTCTTCATTGAAGGCTCTTGACATTGTTGTTGAAAATCAATTCACTATATATGTGAAGGTTTATTTCTGAGCTCTCTATTCCATCTTATTGATGTTTATCTGTCCACATGCTGGCACCACCTTGGTTTTTTAATAAACTTTCCTTTTGTGTGTGTGTGTACATATACTTTATCTTTGTAATATGTCACAGACAATTAGAATTTAAATTAACCTAGTGATTCCTTGTGCATTCTTTTATAAATACTTTTATTGGTACATAATAATTGTACATATTTTTGAGGTACTTATGATATTTTGATACATGCATTCAATGTGTAATCATCAAATAAGGATCTTTAGCATATTGATCACTTAAAACACATATCACTTTTTATGTTGGGAACATTTCAAATATTCTCTTTCTAGCTATTTTGAAATATACAATAAATGATTGTTAATTGTAGACACCCTACTGTAATATCAAACACTAGAATTTACTCTTTCTGTTTAACTGTATGTTTGTGCCCATTAGCCAACCTCTCTTTATCCCCCTAACCTTCCCAGATTTTTGAATAAATATTTAATTGACAAAAATAATTGTTTATACATCTGGAGGACAATGTGATGTTTCAATACACATATATTATAGAAGGATTTAATCAAGCTAATTGACATATTTGTCACTTCACGAATTTCATTTTTGTGTGTGTGGTAAGAACATCAAAAATCTGTTTTGCAAATTTGAAATAATACATTTTTATTAATTATGGTCATCACACTCCTTGGTATTTACCCATATGGTTTGTAAACTTATGTCAAAAACGAAAACCTGCACATGGATGTTTATAGCACTTGTGTTTGTAATTGTCAAAACTTGGAAGCAACCAAGATGCTATTCAATAGGTGAATAAACATACAAAGGTAAAACCAGACAATGGAATATTATTCAGAAATAAAAGGAAATGAGCCACAGAAAGACATGAAAGAAGCTTAAATAACTATTAAGTAAAAGAAGCAAATCTGGAAAAGGTGCATACTCTGTGATTTCAACTATATGGCACTCTGGAAAAGGCAAAATTGTGGAGCCAGTAAAATTCAGTGGTTACCAGGGGTTCTAGTGGGGAAATGAATTTAAGTACAGTATAGGTAATCTTTAAGGCAGTAAAACTATTCTGTATGATACTATAATTATGGAAATGTATCATTTACATTTATCAAAACCCATAGAATGTGCAGCACCAAGAGTGAACTCTAATCTAAGAATGAAAGGGTATACACTAGTCTTATTCCTGATCATGGTGGAAAACATTCTATTTCTTCACTACTGAGTATATTAGGTGTATGGCTTTTGTAGTTGCTCTTTATCAAAGTGAGGAAGTTCCTCTCTATTTGTAGTGTGCTGAGGGTTTATGATGATGATGATGATGATGAATGGGTGTTGGATTTTGACAAATCCTTTTTTTTTTGACTCTATTCATGTGATCATGCCATTTTTCTATTTTAGGCTTTTGATGTCATGAATTACATTACTCGATTTTTTTAATGTTGAACCAGCCTTTCAACCTGGAATAAATCCCATTTGGTCATGGTGGATAGTTTTTTATATATTGTTAGATTTTATTTGCTAGTGTTTTGTTGAGGATTTTGGCACCTGTGTTAATGAAAGTTATTAGAGTGTAATTTTTCTATCATATCTTTTTGAATGGTTTGGTATCAGGATAATACTAACCTTATACAATTAGTTAGGAGGTGTTCTTGTTTCTATTTTTATGGAAGAGATTGTAGAAAATTGGTATACTTTGTTCCTTAAATGTTTGGTAAAATGCATCAGTGAACCCACCTGGGCTTGGCGATTTCTGTTTTGGAAAGTTATTATTAATTCAATATGTTTAATAGATACAGACCTATTCATATTGTCTATTTCTCTTTGTATGAGTTTCGGCATATTGCATCTTTCAAGTAATTAAACCGTTTCATTTCTTCTAGATTATTAAATTTGTGGACATACAGCTGTTCATAATATTCCTTTATAATACTTTGAATGTCAATAGAATTTGTAGTGATTGTCCCTTTTTTATTTCTGATATTAATTTTTGTCTTCTTTTTTTCTTAGTTAACATGGGTGGAGGCGAATCACTTTTATTAATCTGTAAAAGCAACCAGCTTTTGGTTTTATTGATTTTCTTTATTGAATACCTGTTTTCAGTTTTATTAATCTGTGCTCTAATTTCTATTATTTCAATTCTTCTGCTTACTGAGATTTTAACTTCCTCTTCTTTTTTTAACTTCCTAAAGTGGAAACTGAGATTGATTTTAAATCTTTCCTCTTTTCTAATATATGGACTCAAGGCTGTAATTTTCCTTGAAGAAATACTTTCATTTTTTGTCTCACATTTTAATAAGCTGTTTTATTATTTTCATTTAGTTCAGTATTAAAAATTTTTCGTGAGACTTTTTTGACGCATGTGTTATTTACAAATGTGTTGTTTAATCTTCAAGTACTTTAAGATACTCCATCTCTCTTTCTTGTATGTATTTCTTATTTAATTTCATTGTGGTCTGAGACCATACACTGTTTTAAGTTTTTATTTTTAAAAATTTGTTAAGGTGTGTTTTATGACCCTGGTTGTGATATATTTTAATGAGTTTTTTTTATATATACTTCAGAATAATGTGTACTCTACTCTTGTTAGATGAAATACTTTGTAGATGTCAATTACATTTAGCTGATTGATGGTGCTATTGAGTTTAACAACGCCTTACTGATTTTCTGCCTGCTGTATCTGTCCATTGCTGATTGAGGGTTGTTGAAGTCTCCAGCTATAATAGTGAATTTATGTTTCTCCATGCAGTTCCATCGGTTTTTGCCTCACATATTTTGATGCTTTCACCACATTGTTTTAATTATGGTTGCTTTGTAACTAGTTTTATAGTCAAGAAACATTAGCCATCTAACTTTATTATTTTTCGTGATTCCTTTGCTAGTCAAGGTTCTTTGTAATTCTATATAAATGTTCAGATCTGCCTATTTCTGGAGAAACAAAAGTTGAAATTTTGATAGGGATTTTATTGAATCTGTAGATTGCTTTGGGTAATATTGACATCTTAACAATATTAAGTGGTCTTATCAATGAGCATCCCATATTTTCAATTTATTTAGATCCTTAATTTTGTTCAACCATATGTTTTAGTTTTCAGCATGTCTTTTATATCATTGGTTAGATCTCTTCTTAAATATTTAATATTTTAGATGTTATTGTAAATTTAAGTGGTTTTTCACATTCTTTTCAGATTGCTTATTACTAATGCATAGAAATGTAACTCAAATGTTGATTTTGGACCCTACAACTTTTCTAAATTTGGTTATTAGTTCTGGTACCTTTCTTGTGGATGATTTGGTAGAATTTGATCCAGAAATTCAAGAATGTTCCAACATAAGAAAATCAACCAATGTAATACAGTTCAGTAACAGAATGAGACAAAAATTATATAAATTTATTCAAAAGGAGTATTTGAAAAAATTCCACACCCTTTTATAATAGAAACTCTCATAGATCTAGGAACAGAGGCAAAAATTTCAACATGATTAAGTGAATGTATTAAAAAACATTCAAGTAACATCATCCTTGATGGGGAAACACAGTGGTGAAAGACAAAACATTTCCCCTAAGATCAGAAACAAGACAAGGATGACCACTTTCCCTCCTGCTATTTAATATTTTAATAGAAAATTATTGCCATAGCTATCAGACAACAAAAATAAATGAAAACTTCAAAATAAGAAAGAAGTAAAACTATCTCTATTCACAGATGACATGATCCTGTATATAAAGAGCACAATTTGAATAGACATTAAATCAGTTCCCTAAGCCTCTTTGTTCCTCACTTGAGAAGTGAAAATCATTTCTTATCATGCTTACCTCACTGGATATTTGAGATGATTAAACATTATGAAAAATGTGAATGTACTTAAAAACAATTAGGTTCTCTTTAAGTCAATCGTGTTTGTTTTGGGGTGGATCAAGAGGTCAGGAGATGGAGACCATCCTGGCCAACACGGTGAAACCCTGTCTCTACTAAAATACAAAAAATTAGCCAAGTGTGGTGGTGCGCACCTGTAGTCCCAGCTACTCAGGAGACTGAGGCAGGGGAATCCCTTGAACCCGGGAGGCGGAGGTTGCAGTGAGCTGAGATTGCACCACTGCACTCCAGCCTGGTGACAGAATGAGACTCTGTCTCAAAAACAAACAAAAACAAACAAAAAACAGAGGAAAAGCTTCATGACATTGAATTTGGCAATGATTTCTTGACTATGACTTCTAAAGCACAGACAATAAAATAAAAAATAGATTAATTGGACTTAATAACAAGCACTTTTGTGTATCAAAGGATACGATTAATAGAGGGAAAAGGCTACCTACAAAGTGGAACAATACATTTAGTATTCATATATCTGATAAGGAATTAATATTCAGATAATATTTTCATGTGATTCAGCTATTCCAGCTTCTAGGTACACACCCAAAATAATTTAAAGTAAGGGCTCAAACAGATATTTGTACACTCATGCTCATAACCCCATTATTTATAATAGCCAAAAAATGGAAAACAATGCATATGTTTAAAGATAGATTAATGGATAAGCAAACTATGTTATAAATACACTGGAATATTATTCCATCTTAACAAGTAATTAAATTCTGATACATGCTACAGTGTTGATGAGCCTTGAAGACATTATGCCAAATAAAATAAAACAAACACAAAAGGACAAATATTGTATAATGCCTATATCAGATACCTAGATTAGTCAAATTCATAGGGACAGAAAGTAAAATGGTGGTTTCCAGCAACTGAAAGGAAAGTTGTATGAGGAGCCATTGTTTAGTGGGTATAGAGTTTCAGTGTGGGAAAGATAAAAACATTTAACAATGATGGTTGCAAAATAATATACCACTAACTTATAAGCTTAAAAATAATTAAAACAGTACACTACAAAGTTTGTAGTGTAGATGTCGCAGCACAGCTTGGTGTATATAAATTCAGCCTTTTCAGGTCATCAGAATTTGAACTGAAAATGTTAGTATTTGAGAAAAAGTAGGCCGGACATGGTGGCTCATGCCTATAATCTCAACACTTTGAGGTATAATCTCAACAATTGAGGCCAAGGCAGGCTGATTGCTTGAGCCCAGGGGTTTGAGACCAGCCTAGGCAACATGGTGAAACCCATCTCTACAAAAAGTACACAAATTAACCAGGTGTGGTTGCACATGACTGTAGTCCCTGCTACTCAGGAGACTGAGAAGCAGGAGGATCACTTGAGCCCTGGAGTTTGAGGCTGCAGTGAGCCCTGATCATGGCACTGCACTCTAGCCTGGGTGACAGAGAATGACCCCATTTCAAAAATGTAAAATAAAGGAAAAGATAAAAGAAAGAAAAACAAGAAAAAGTAGCCAGGTATGGTGGCTCATCCCCATAATCCCAGCACTTTGGAAGGCTGAGGTGGAAAGATCATTTGAGACCAGGAGCTCAAGGTTGCAGTGAGCCATGAGCCATGATTGTAACACTGCATTCCAGCCTGGCAACAGAGTGAGACTCTGTCTCAAAAAACAAAACTAAACAGAAAAAGTACATGTTGGGGATTAAAGGATTCAGTACTTTATAGGTGCAGAAGTAGTTATTCTCTCTCCAAAATTGAATCTACAATATCTTGTGGGCAATACAATTTGAAATGACACAGCAGAGGCTGAAACCTCAAGTATTAGACTGAGTTATAGGTTTCTTTTAATATCTCCCTGCCTCAGATCAGATTCGGTCTAGAAACTTCTGAATTAGTTAAATTTATAAGAGTTTTAGGGTTGGTTCCCCCTGAAACAGGGACAGAAACTGACATTAATGCAGGGCATACCCTGTAAATCCTGGTAAGTTGATTTGTTCCTGAATTAGGCTAGAATACAGCTAGAGAAGAATCCAAGAAAGAGAACAAAACATAAAAATAAAACAGTGGTTATATTAAAGTATGAAAAATAGTATGTAATAAAGATATCACTTTTGTGTCTGAATCAAACTTTCTTAAATTTGATTAAATATTAATTATTGATGTGCTATATGGATGTTTCAAATGTGCACCTGACAAAAGAGAGGTTTGTTTTGTTGAAGCATAATTAAATCCAAAGAAAAAGGCATTTGGCTAATTAGAAAGCTGAAGGGCCATCAAAAATAATCAAAGTAAATGTTCAAAAATCAACTACAGAACTCAAACATGAAAAACATACCTTAGAAGTATATATAAAGGTTTCAACTGCCACATTTTATTTCAATAGATTTTGGGAAACAAGTGGTGTTTGGTTACATGAATAATAATGAATTCTTATACTGGGAATTGCTGAGATTTGGTGCACCTCTCACCCAAGCAGTGTATACAGTACCCAATGTGTTGTCTTTTATCCCTTGCCACCCTCCCACCCTTATCCCCTGAATTCCCAAAGTCCATTATATCATTCTTATGCCTATGCATCCTCACAGCTTAGCTCCCAATTACAAGTGAGAACACACAACATTCGGTTTTCCAATCCTGAATTACTTAGAATAATGGTCTCCAACTCCATCCAGGTTGCAGTGAATGCCATTATTTCATTCCTTTTTATGGCTGAGTAGTAGTCCATGGTGTATATATATACTACATTTTCTTTATCTACTTATTGGGTGATGGACATTTAGGTTGGTTCCTTATCTTTCCAATTGTGAATTGTGATGCTATAACCGTGTGTGTGTAAGTGTCTTTTTCATATAATGACTTCTTTACCTTTGGGTACATACCCAGTAGTGGGATTCCTAAATCGAATCGTAGTTCTACCTTTAGTTCTTTAAGGAAACTTTATACTGTTTTTCATAATGGTTGTACTAGTTTATATTCCCACCAGCAGTGTAAAAGTGTTCCCTTTTCACCACATCCATGCCAGCATCTATTATTTTTTGATTTTTAAATTATGGCCATTCTTGCTAAAGTAAGGTGGTATATCAGGTATATCATTGTGGTTTTCATTTGCATTTCTCTGATAATTAGTGATTTTGAGCATTTTTATATGACTTTTGGCCATGTGTATATCTTCATTTGATAATTGTCTATTCATGTCATTTGCCCACTTTTTAAATGTGATTATTGTTTTTTTTTTTCTTGCTGATTTGTATGAGTTCCTTGTATATTCTGGCTACTTGTCCTTTGTCAGATGCATAGTTTGCAAATATTTTCTCCCATCCTGTGGGTTGTCTATTTAGTCTGCTGATTATTTCTTTTGCTGTGCAGCAGCTTTTTAGTTTAATTAGGTCCAATCTATTTATTTTTGTTTTTGTTGCATTTGCTTTTGGTTTCTTGACCTTGAACTTTTTGCCTAAGCCAATGTCTAGAAGAGTTTTTCCAATGCTATCTTCTAGAATTTTTATGGTTTCAGTTCTTATATTTAAGTCTTTGATCCATGCTGGGTTGATTTTTTTATAAGGTAAGAGATGAGAATCCAGGTGAATTCTTCTATATGTGGCCCGCCAATTATCCCAGTACCATTTGTTAAATAGGGTGTCCTTTTCCCACTTTATGTTTTTGTTTGCTTTGTCAAGGATCAGTAGACTGTAAGTATTGGGCTTTATTTCCAGGGTCTCTATTCTGTTCCATTGGTTTACATGCCTGTTTTTAACCAGTACCATTTGCAGTTTGGATAGTTATTGTATTATAGTATAGAAGTGGTGTAATGTGATGCTTCCAGATTTGTTCTTTTTGCTTAGTATTGCTTTGGCTAGGCAGGCTCTTTTTTGGTTCCATGATGGTTTATTCTAGTTCCGTGAAGAATGATGATTGTACTTTGATAGGAATTGCATTGAATCTGTAGACTGCTGTGGGCAGTATGGTCATTTTCACAATATTGATTCTATCCATCCATGAGTATGGGATATGTTTCCACTTGTTTTTGTCATTGATGATTTATTTCAGCAGTGTTTTGTAGTTTTCCTTGTAGAGATCTTTCACTTCCTTGGTTAGGTGTATTCCTAAGTTATTTTATTTTATTTATTTATTTATTTATTTTTGCAGCTGTTGTAAAAGGGATCAAGTTCTTGATTTGAGTCTCAGCTTGGTCATTGTGAGTGTATAGCAGTGCTACTCATTTGTGTACATTGATTTTGTAGCCTGAAACTTTACTGAATTCATTTATCAGATCTAGCAGTTTTTAGATGACTCTTTGGGGTTTTCTAGGAATCCAGTCATATAATCAGCGAACAAAGACAGTTTAGCTTCCTCTTTACCAATTTGGATGCCCTTTATTTCCTTCTCTTCTCTGATTTCTCTGGCTAGGACTTCCAGTACTATGTTGAATAGAAGCTGTGAAAGTAGGCATCCTTGTCTTGTACCATATTCAGGGTAACGCTTTCAACTTTTTCCCAGTTAGTATAATATTGGTCATGGGTTTGTCATAGATGACTTTTATTACCTTGAGTTATGTCCCTTCTTTGCCAATTTTGCTGAGGATTTTATTCATAAAGTGATGCTGGATTTTGTCAGTTGCTTTTTCTGCGTCTTATCATATGATTTTTGTTTATAATTCTGTTTGTGTAATGTATCAGCTTTATTGACTTGCATACATTAAATCATCCCTGCATCCCAGGGATGAAACCCACTTGATCATGGTGTATTTTCATTTTGGTATGCTATTGGATTTGGTTAGCCAGTATCTTGCTGAGAATTTCTGCATCTATCTTCATCAGAGTTATTGGTATGTCATTTTCTTTTTTTGTTATGTCCTTTCCTGGTTTAGTTATTAGGGTGATACTGGCTTCATAGAATGATTTAGGGAGGATTCTGTCTTTCTCTATCTTTTGTAATAATTTCAATAGAATTTGGACCAATTCTTCTTTGAATGTCTGGTAGAATTCAGGTGTGAATCCACCTGATCCTGGACTTTATTTATTGGCAACTATTTATTACTCTTTCAATCTTGCTACTTGTTATTGGTCTGTTCAGAGTTACTATTTCTTTCTGATTTAATTTAAGAGGGTTTTATATTTCCAGGAATATATCCATCTTCTCTATAATTTCTAGTTTTTGAGCATATAGGTGTTCATAGTAGCCTTGAATGATCTTTTTTGTTTCTGTGGTATTGGTTGTAATATCTCACATTTCATTTATAATTGAGCTTTTTTGAAGCTTCTCTCTTCTTGGTTAATCTTGCTAATAGTCTATCAATATTGTTGCTCTTTTCAAATAACCAGCTTTTTGTTTCTTTTATCTATTGTGTTTTTTTGTTTCAATTTCATTTAGTTCTATTCTGATTGTTACTTCTTTTCTTCTGCTGGGTTTGGGTTTGGTTTGTTCTTGTTTCTGTAGTTCTTTAAGGTGTGACTTTAGATTGTCTATTTGTGCTCTTTCAGACTTTTTGATGTAAACATTTAATGCTATGAACTTTCCTCTTAACACCACTTTTGCTGTATCCCAAAAGTTTCGATAAGTTGTGTCACTGTTATAGTTCAGCTCAAAGGCTTGTTTAATTTCCATGTTGATTTCATTTTTCACCCAAAGATCATTGAAGAGCAAACTATTTAATTTTCATGTATTTGTATAGTTTTGAGAATTCCTGCACAATGTGCACATGTACCCTAAAACTTAAAGTATAATAATAAAAAAAAAGAGAATTCCTTTTGAGGTTAATTTTCAGTTTTATTCCACTGTGGTCTGAGAGGGTACTTGATATAATTTTAGTTTTCTTAATTTTATTGAGATTGATTTTGTGATCTTTCCTATGGTCTGTCTTGGAGAATGCTCCATGTGCTAATGGAAAGAATGTAGATTCTGAAGTTGTTAGGTAGAATGTTCTGTAAATATCTGTTAAGTCAATTTGTTCTAGGGTATAGTTTAAGTCCATTGTTTCTTTGTTGACATTCTGTGTTGAGGACCTGTCCAGTGTTGTCAGTGGAGGATTGAAGTTTCCCACTATTATTCTGTTGCTGTCTAGCTAATTTCTTAGGTCTAGTAGTAATTGTTTTATAAATGAGGGAGCTCCATTTTTAGATGCATATGTATTTAGGATTGTGATATTTTTCTGTTGACTTAATCTTTTTATCATTATATAATGTCCCTGTTTGTCTTTTTTTTTTTTTTTTTTTTTAACCATCGTTTCTTTAAAGTTTGTATTCTGTGTTATAAGCGTAGCTGCTCCTGCTCACTTTTGGTTTCCATTTGTGTGGAATGTCTTTTTTTCACCCCTTTATATTAAGTTTATGTGCATCCTTATGTATTAGGTGAATCATTTGGAGACAGCAGATACTTGGTTGGTGGACTTTTATCCATTTTGCAGTTGTGTATCTTTCAATTGGTGCATTTAGGCCATTTACATTCAACATTAGTATTGAGATGTGAGGTACTGTTCTATTCATTATGCTAGTTGTTGCCTTAATACCATTTTTTATTATTATGTTATTGTTTTATAGGCTCTGTGAGACTTATGCTTTAAGGAGGTTTTAGTTTGGTGTATTTTGAGGTTTTTTGTCAAGATTTAGAAATCCTTTCACCATTTCTTTTAGGGCTGACTTAGTAGCGGCAAATTCTCTCACTATTTGTTTGTTTGAAAAATACTTTATCACCCCTTCCATTATGAAGCTCAGTTTTTGCTGGATATAAAAGTCTTGGCTGACAATTATTTTCTTTCAGGAGGCTAAAGATGGGACCCCAGTCCCTTCTGGCTTGTAAGGTTTCTGAATTTTTTATCTGGCAATTCAGAGATTTCTTCTTGGTTTGGATCCATTTTTGGGAAGCTGGTCTGATTTTTTAGGAGTGTTATAGAACCCTGTTTTTTCATGTTACCAGAATTACTTTTCTGGTTCCTTCTCATTTGGGTACACTATTTCAGTGGAAAGGTCTGAAACTCAAGTCTTGCCATTCAGATTCTCTTGTCCCACAGGGTAATCCCTTGATGTGGTGCTCTCCATATTCCTCTAGGGGTGGGGCTTCCTGAGAGCTGAATTGTAGTGATTGTTATTGATCTTCTTGGTCTAACAACTGGAGCTACAGGACTCCAGGCTGGTGCCAGGGAATGTCTGCAAAGAGTCCTCTGATGTGATCTGTCTTCAGGTCTGTTAGCTATGGATAGCAGTACCTGTTCTTGTGGAGGTGGCAGGGAAGTGAAGCAGACTCTGTGAAAGTCCTTGGTCATAGATATGTTTAGTGTGCTGGCTTTCTCAAGTGCTAGTTATGCTAGCAGTGAAGTTGTCATGTGGACACACTCAGGACCTCTGGTTAGCCAGGATGTTGCATGCAGTGCAATTAGGTGTTGTCTTCTCTTTCCTGGGATCAGGGTTATTCAGTCATGAGTTGCTGTAATGGCCTGCATTAGTTGGGCAGGAGGTGGCTTTTTCAAGAAAGGACCAGCTGTGGTAGTAGTAGGGGGATATAAGCTTGTCCTAAGTTGACTAGGGTAAGTATTTCAGTTTCTCAGGTGATGGGTGGGGCCTTAAAGCTCCCAAGAGTTTCTATCTTTTGTGTTCAGCTACCTGGGTGGTTAGGGAAATACCATCAGATGGGGGCAGGGTTAGGTGGGTTTGGACTCAAACTCCTTGGGCAGGACTTGCTGTGGCCACTGTGGGAGAATGAGGATGGGAGGGTGGCTCTTAGAAATTTTTATTCTCACCCTAAGGAAGTTCTCAGAAGGATACCAGCTCCAAAATAGACCTAAGTTCAACTTTCATGAAACATTTATAAACGTTGCAGATCTTGAGTCTAGACTCTTTCGTTGGGGGTAGGGACATCAAAGTAATTTATAGTGTATAACATATGATGATCATTATTAATATATCTAAGTATCCATTCCATCCCTTCCCAAATCCAACAGTCAAGCCATATCCCCTTAAGGCACCTGCCTTTACTCATGCTCTCTCTCTCTCTTTCTCTCTTTTCCCTCTCTTCTTCCTTCCTCCTTACTCCTCAGTTCTCCTCCACCCCATTTCAAGTAATTATGGAGACAAATTTGACAAATATCAAATACTGTTATTCCCCATCATTCTCCTTTCCACTCCTCACTCTCTTGAATCTAACAGTGGCTTTTGGTAATTACCATAGCAAATAAAGTTTCGTTTCTTTTGAAGACAAAAGAAGAGGACCATTATTAAAATTTATAATATATTATTTTCTTTCATTCACATTTGACTATGTACTATAGAATGTTTTATTGGTTAAAGTTCCATGGCTTCAAATTTCTACACTTTTTACACCAACATAGGTGACGCTTAGGGAATCTAAGAGAGCAAACAGAAACAATTTTTCTAACACTACTAAATTAGTTATTTTTGTTATGAAGAGCCAAGTAGAGAATACAGCTAATCTTTGAGTCTTCTTCTGATGATTATTTAGCATAGGAAGAGGTCTATGAATCTATGCTGAAGGGATCCTGGAAAAACTTTTGAAAATAAATAAATATACAAAAACAAATATCTCTAACTCTCACCCTAATCTGTTAGTGGCTGCTAAGAAAGATATAGGGATACTCTGAAGTTC
Source organism: Homo sapiens (assembly GCF_000001405.40). NCBI lineage: Eukaryota > Metazoa > Chordata > Mammalia > Primates > Hominidae > Homo > Homo sapiens. Next base: position 127,965,757 of record NC_000023.11, read on the forward strand.
TACCACAGAGAAGGTGAAACTAAGCAAATATAAAGATAATGACAAAAAAATGAGTTTTTGCCATTATTAGCTAAAGATAAGTGCTCTCATTTTGACATCACTAATTCTAACTTTGCATCTGCAAAGAGGAACATCAACTTGGAATTTAAGTCAATACTTTAACTAATTTTCTAAAAATACTTTTTTTTTTAATCTAAAGGGTGCAATTAACTGTAATGAGAGAAAATTCACTCCAAAGGACACAATTGTTTTCTCCAAAAGTAAATTGGAGAGGCAAGAATCACGTGATTCCTTTAAGGTTTATTCTATCTGATTTTTGCATATTACAGTTAATCATTCTATTCCACTCACTTTACTGATGACCTGATTTCCAGGCACTTTTAATGATGAAATCACAAATACTTATTAACGAGTTAAACACTGGCAGGAAAAGCAGAATAAAATTACTTGTCTGCTTTTTCAGAGTATAAGTTTATTAACTCTTTGGGAAATAATGTATTTTGCTAATGCAGAAACTATCTAAGTCATGTATGTCCAAAATTGCAATGTAAATACTTGACTCTTGAATAGAATTTAATGAATGGTCTATGATCAATTTACTAGATATGAAACAATAACAATAGTAAGTTCTGAAAGATGAAATGGCATTGACAGAAAACATGAAGTAGCAACAAAAATGTCTTACAAAATATGTATTTATATTGTGTGTAAGATAACATATGACCTTTCTAGAATAGATGTAGACAGAAGGAGTTCATAATTTTCATACACCACATTGGATTTTACCTCCATATCCCTTGCTATGCTGTTCTTCCCCCACAAGAAAGAATTTTCTTCTCTTCTTTTGGTTACAAATCAGATTTACCCTTTTTGAAGCATCTCATGATCTATCTTGCTCTCATTTCCTTTTATTGTACACTCATAGCAGTTAAAAGAATGAAAAATCAATGAAATGTTAATCTTAAAGAAAAAAATTATAACAGAAAGCCTTTTAAAAGATGTTTTGCACATACTGATGATCCCCAATTTATAATAGTTCAACTTATAATATTTTTTACTTTATAGTGGGTTTATCAGGATGTAACCCCATCATAAGTAAAACAGCACTAGTATTTTAAAATTATTTTAAATGCATAACTTTAAATACTAGATAATCTTAATGAAGAAACAGGTGCTATTGGAATTAGTTGTAGCCACTATGGACAATGTGTCCATTAAAATTCACATGATTGTAAATAATACTGTCTAATGATACCTGAAAATTATAAGGAAACAAGGGGAAGAGAAATATTGCTAACTAGCATTGATAATAAACCTTCACAGTTAGAGAAAGCCTGAGAATAGAGTAAGTCTCAGGAGTAAGAACAACTTGAACAAGATCTTTCTGCTAGTATATATCTCCCTAGAAATAATTACGTGTTTTTCTTACTTTTTTTTTTTTTTTTTTTTTTTTGAGAAGGAGTTTTGTTCTTGTTGCCCAAGCTGGAGTGCAATGGTGTGGTCTCAGCTCACTGCAATCTCTGCCTCCTGGGTTCAAGCGATCCTCCTGCCTCAGCCTCCTGAGTAGCTGGATTACAGATGCACTCCACCACGCCTGGGCTAATTTTTTGTATTTTTAGTAGAAACGGGGTTTCACCATGTTAGCCAGGCTGGTCTCGAACTTCTGACCTCAGGTGATCCACCTGCCTCGGCCTCTCAAAGTACTGTGATTACAGGCGTGAGCCACCGTACCCAGCCATGTGTTTTTCAAAAGCAAATAAACATGCTAGGAAACTCTTCAATAAATTAAATGGGACATTAGTTGATACTCATTAGGGCCTAATTCCTAGGGAGTTACTTGTACCTATTGAGGAAATGTATTTAACAAAAGCTTGAAACTGTTATGCTATTGAGATTGTAGCAAGTCTGGTGTTAGGGTTCTTTGAACTTTGACTAATAAACTTAGAAAAAATTGGACCATAAATAAGATGCATTAATTTAAATCCTAAATGAACCTAAATTCAAAGGTGCTAATTTATAAGGAGACAAGTTATTAATCAGTTGCTTTAAATAAAAACTGACTAACTCCTGCCACTCAAGACTCTGCCCCAAGTTTTAAAGAAGACACATTTCAGATAAGTAAATGAGTAATTTATTATTATCGTATGATAGCTACTTAAAGAATTATGTACTGTTTTAATAGTAATTTTTAAGGTAATATTTATGCTTATTTCTGAAATTCAGAGGGTTCAAGTCTATCGGGGGAACCAGCCCCCAATATTTCAACGTAGGTTCTTTCTATTTTCCCTAAGTGTCAGCCGGTCTGAGAAATAAAGAGAAAGAGTACAAAGAGAGAAATTTTACAGCTAGGCCTCTGGGAGTGTCATCACATATTGGTAGGACCATGATGACGACCCTGAGCTGCAAAACAAGCAAGTTTTTATTAGGGATTTTAAAAGGGGAGGGGGTGTACAAACAGGGAGTAGGTCACAAGGATCACATGCTTCAAAGGGCAATAAAGATCACAAGGGAAGGCAAAATTAGAATTACTGATGAGGGTCTATGTCCTGCTGTGCATGCATTGTCTTGATAAACATCTTAACAGGAAACAGGGTTTGAGAACAGACAACCAGTCTGACTAGAATTTACCAGGCTGGAATTTCCCAATCCTAGTAAGCCTGAGGGTACTGCAGGAGACCAGGGCTTATTTCAGTCCTTATCTCAACTGCATAAGACAGACACTCCCAGAGTGGCCATCTATCAACCTACTCCCAGGAATGCATTCCTTCCCCAGGGTTATTCCTTGCTGGGAAAAGAATTCAGTGATATTTCTCCTACTCGCTTTCTGCAAGAAGAAAAATATGGCTCTATTCTGCCTGACCCCACAGGCAGTCAGACCTTATGGTTATCTTCCCTTGTTCCCTGAAAATCGCTGTTATTCTGTTCTTTTTCAGGGTGCACTGATTTCATATTGCTCAAACACACATGTTTTACAATCCATTTGTACAAAAGTGGTCCTGAGGTGACATACATTCTCAGCTTACGAAGGTAACAGGATTAAGAGATTAAAGTAAAGACAGGCATAAGAAATTATAAGAGTATTGATTGGGGAAGTGATAAATGTCCATGAAATCTTCACAATTTATGTTCAGAGATTGCAGTAAAGACAGGCGTAAGAAATTATACAAGCATTAATTTTGGGAACTGATAAATGTCCATTAAATCTTCACAATTTATGTTCTTCTTCCTCGGCTCCAGCCGGTCCCTCCATTCAGAGTCCCTGACTTCCCGCAACACAAGTCCTTGATAGAAAACTCAGAGTAAGGTTATTCTCATAAAAAGTTCAAGAATAAGAAAAACACATTTATTTTAAAAACAAAACAATTATCATTTCAAAGTCACATATAACTCTCTGAGTAGTGGGAAAATAATCTTCATATTAGCAAACAACCAGACAAAACAACACAGATTATTTTACTTCCTTGAAAATGTAAAAAGAAACCTGTAAATAATTTTTGGCTGAATAGTACAGGCAGCTCTTTTAGTGTCATATAACTCAGATTATTACTTGTATTTGAAAAGCTTAGAGTGGAGTTCTTTAAAATAGTAAGAACAGTTATTTGCCTTATCTGCCACTGCACAGGATTATACAAAATGTCTTAAGCTGTATTTCAAACCAATTTTTACTATGTTCAATGGCTATATAGGCATACCTCGAAAATACTGTGAATTTTATTCCAGACCACCACAATAAGGCAAATATTGCAATAAAGTGAATCACACAAATTTTCTGGTTTCCCAGCGCATATAAAAGTTGTATTTACCCAATACTGTAGTCTATTACTTGTGCAATAGTGTTATGTCTTAAAAACCGATGCATATACCTTAATCAAAATACTTTATTGCTAAAAATGTTAACAATTATTTGAGCCTTCAGCCAGACATAACATTATTCCTGGTGGAGGGTCTTTTCTCAATGTTGATGGCTGCTGACTAATCAGGGTGGTGGTTGCTGAAGGTGGAGGTGGCTGTGGCTTATTCTTAAAATAAGGCAATGATGAGGTTTGCCACATTGATGGACTGTTTCTTTCAAGAAAGATTCTGTAGAATATGATGCGATTTGAGAGCATTTTACCCACAGTAGAACTTCTTTCAAAATTGAAGTCAATTCTCTCAGACCCCAAGACTGTTTTACCAACTAAATTTACGTATATACTATAAATTTATTGTTCTTATTTCAACAATGTTCACAGCATTTTCATTGGGAGGAGATTCCACCTCAAGAAACCACTTTCTTTTTTCACACATAAGAAGCAACTCCTCATTCACCAAAATTTTACCATGAGATTGTAGCACCTCCATCACATCTTCAGGATCCACTTCTAATTCTGTTTAATCTCTATCTCTGGCTTCCTCCATTGAAATCTTGAACCTCTCAAAGTCAGCTATGAAGGTTAGAATCAACTTCTTCTAAACTCCTGTTAATGTTATTTTTGGGGTTTTTTTTTTGGTTTGTTTTTCTTTTTTCTTTTTCTTTTTTTTTTTTTTTTGGAGACAGAGTCTTGCCCTGTCACCCAGGCTGGAGTGCAGTGGCACGATCTCAGCTCACTGCAACCTCCGCCTCCTGGGTTGGGTTCAAGCAATTCTCCTGCCTCAGCCTCCCAAGTAGTTGGGATTACAGGTGCCCACCAACATGCCCGGCTAATTTTTGTATTTTTAGTAGAGCTGGGGTTTCACCATGTTGGGCAGGCTGGTCTCAAACTCCTGATATGAAGTGATCCAGCTGCCTTGGCCTCCCAAAGTGCTGGGATTACAGGCATGAGCCACCATACCTGGCCTCCTGTTAATGTTGATAGTTTGAACGCCTCCTCCCATGAAGCACAAATGTTCTTAATTCCATCCAAAAAGATAAATTCTTTCCAGAGGTTTTCCATGTACTTTGCCCAGATCCATCAGAGGAATCACTATCTATGGCTGCTATACTCTTGGAAAATGTATTACCTAAATAATAAAACATAAAAGTTGAAATGACTCTTTGATACATGACTAAGGAAGAGATGTTGTGTTAACAGGCATAAAAACAATGCCAATCTCATCTCCATCAGAGCTCTTGGGTGACTAGGTGCTGTAATATTTCAAAAGAAATCTTGTTTTTTTCTGAGCAGTATGTCTTAACAGTAAGCTTAAAATATTCAGTAAGCCATGCTATAAAAAGATGTGCTGTTATTCAGGCTTTGTTGTTCTATTTATAGAGCAGAGGCCCCAAAGATTTAGGATAATTATTAGGGCTTTAGGATTTTCAGAATGGTAAATGACCATTAGCTTCAACTTAAACTCACCAACTGAATTAGCCCCTAACAAGAATGTCAGCCTGTCCTTTGAAGCTTTGAAGCCAGGCATTAATGTCTCTCTAACTATAAAAGTCCTAGATGGCATCCTCTTCTAATATCAAGTTGTTTCACATATACTGAAATTCTGTTGTTTAGTGCACCCACCTTCATTAATTACCTTAGCTAAATCATCTGGATTTCTTGCTGCAGCTTTATATGAGCACTTGCTGTTTCACCTTACACTTTTATGTTATGGAGACAGTATCTTTTCTTAAACCTCATGAACTCACCTCCGATAGCTTTAAAGTTTTCTTTGTGAGCTTTTTCACCTCCAGAGAATTGAAGACAGTTAGGACCTTACTCTGGATTAGGCTTTGGCTTAAGGCATGTTGTGTCTGGTTTGATCTTCTATCCAGATCATTAAAACTTTCTCATTATCAGCAATAGGCTGTTTTGCTTTCTCCTTATTCTCATTTTCTGAAATAGCACTTTTAATTTTCTTCAAGACCCTTTTCTTTTCATTCACAAAGAATTGTTTGTTTGGTTCAGGAGGCCTAGCTTTCCACCTATCGTGGCTTTCAACATGCTTTCCTCACTAAGCTTAATCATTCCTAGCTTTTGATTTAAAGTGAAAAACAGATGACTCTTCCTTTCACTTGAACACTTAGGAGTCATTTTAGGGTTACTAATTGACCTAATTTTAATATTGTATTTTCTCTGGAAATAGGGAGGCTCCAGCAGAGAGAGAGAGAGATGGAAGAACGGCCGGTTGGTGGAGCAGTCAGAATATACACAACATTTATTAAGTTTGCTGTCTTATGTCAGCATGATTCATGGTGCCCCCAAATAAATACAATAATATCAAAGATCACAGATCAGAGATCCCCCTATAAGATATACTATAATAAAATAATTTGAAATACTGTGGGAATTACCAAAATGTGACAGAGACATGAAGTGAATACATGTTGGAAAAAAATGGCATCGCTGATAGATTTGCTTGATGTAGAGTTACCAAAACCTTTAATTTGTTAAAAAAATACAATATCTGTGAAGTACAATAAAGCAAACAGAATAAAATGAGGTATGCCTGTAATCATCACTTGAGTGGCTTAAGATGGGTTAACCTGTTTTATTTATCAGTTACTCACATGTAAATTACTAATTTTAATAGGCATTTATTTCTCACTTAGCTTCCAAAAGCATTTTACAGTGATCACATCTTCAACACAACTGTGAGGTAAATAGATGGCAATTATCATTAACCTTATCTCTATTGGGATATCAGGAATGAAGAGAGGTAAATTACCTATTTAAGGTCACCTAGGGAATCAGTGGCAGAGTCAAAATATTTTTTAAACTGCAATTCTAAGTTTCATAAAGACATGCAGATGAGCTTCTATGAAACTAATAGTTGTTGCAGTTAATCTGAGAAATTAAATATGATCAAGTTTCAAAAGAAATCAATACAATGAATAGAATATTGCATAAATATGATTTTTTCTCTTTGCCTCCTTAGCTAAACTGTTTCAAAGAATGAAACATTTCCCTGAACTATACATTATATAAAAATTTTCACATGATCCTTGTCTCCTGAACTGTGTCAATGTAAATAAAATTGCCAATTATATAAAGCATACACCCATGTACACACATGTAACAAAGGTAGCAAAATGGCATTTAATAAAATCTTCACCAATATCAACAGTTTTTGGCAAGAATTTGAATAATTCATTTTTATAAAATTAATTTCTTTTTAGTATATAAAGAAAATCAGTTTAATAATATAAACTCCAGGATAGAGTCTTAGTTTTAATAAGATGATAAGAAGTTTAAATTTAGCATAATTAGCTGAGATTTTAGATGAAATCCTGTCAAATTCTATTAAATTCTCAAGTATGGGAGTTTATACTAATGAAGCTTGGGTGTATTGAATGCCAAGCAAAATGCTACTCAAGGTTTAAAGAAGCTGCAGTCTCTGGATTTAATAACTTTTTGGTCCCTTTAAAATATTATTGATGTTTACTGTTCTTTGTCAAGAGCTATTACAGCTTGACTAGAAAGGCATCTGCAGATATGTGGTGTTATCTCTATTGTGTAATGTTCAGATTTTTCAAATGGAAAAATGGCTTTCCCTCTGTATGCTCAGCATTCAGGTACCAGTTCAACCAGAAAATGCCTCAGATCAGTGGAATAGATGATACAGTATTTGGGAATAAGTAAGTCCTTCCAATTGTCAGTGTTCTTCCATGTTTGTTACAGAAAATCAAAGCTTGGTGGACACACATGCTGATCTCACATAAGAGGAATGAGGCTTAAAAAAGCAAATGCAAATGGTGACCTTTAAAAGTAATTCAAGTTGTTTCATAAAGTGTTTTAAAAACTAAAAAAAAAAAAGGCACTAGTTCTGGGAAATAAATATGACAGAATCAAAACTGCCTTTATTAGTTTATATTATTGTTTTTTACAAGACTCTCATTGCTTTGTGTAAAAGCACCAGTTCCCTTTTTTAAAAAAAAATATTGGTTTGGTCCTTAGAAAGGTTAGGTAAACTTTCTAATTCTAGCAAGTGAAAAGTAGTCCACATTTTCTTTTGCCTTATCATGTGAAATTTTCAATGTTTTGATGAGACATGTCAAAAATCACAATTGCACAGAAAGGAAAAACAATATAACATTGCTTGATTTTTTTTTTAATTCAGTACTATGAGGCCATAGTCAGTTCTGAAATGATAAAATGACAGCTCTCAGTGGGGATGGATTCATCAAAGGAATATTCAGCAGTTTAGGAAATCACTAAAAGGCTTTACTTTTAGTAAAGGGGGATAAAAAGACTTTAATAATTGAAGAAACATACTATGGACAAATTGATAACTTAAAAATGTATACATATACACATTTCCCCAATAATTACATATATTCCAAGAATTTTTTTAATACTCAAAAATATTAGTTTTGCAAAATACATGGAAAATGCATACTATGATACCCATCTGAACATGGCAATATAAGGTAAGAATTTTCTATTTATCTCAGAAATCACTAAAAAATAGAGAACAAGGAAACATGACACAAACACAAAAGGTCTAAAGTGCTGCTAAAAATGGTAAAGTTTAAGCTGAAGTACTAAAAGAGCTAGATAGAGAAAATTCCCTTGGCTGCTGATGTCAGAAATAATAGTGTATTTTTCTTTAAGTTTACATGTGAGCTGTAAAACCAAAATCTCTTTTATAGAACAATGGAAATAGGCACCAGTTGATGATGGGCTTTTCTAATCATACACTTTGGTTCCACAAAAAGGAATCAGGTTTAAATGCATAAAAGAGACAAATTATTTTCTTGTGAGAGAGGTCTTGTTCTGTCACCCAGGCTGGAGTGCAGTGGCATGGTGTCAGCTCACAGCAACCTCTGCCTCCCAGGCTTGAGACATCCTCCTCATCCGCTCGAGTAGCTGGGACCACTGGCATGTGCAGCTATGCTGGCCTGTTTTTTTCTTTTGTTTTGTCAGAGATGGGGTTTTGCCTGGTACACTAATTGGTCTAGCAAAAGTACCCAACACCAATGTTCAGTGGTTGTCATGAAAATGGATTCTGGTACTGTATTGGTAGAATGGGAATTAAGACAAAGCAGTCAATGGGCCAAACTACAGGCAGTTTGGATTCTCATCACCCCAAAGCTCTGGCTGCTACTCACTTGCACAGATATTTGGACTGCACACAGAGGTTTTACCATGTAGATCAATCAATGGACCACAGATAGTCAGCAAACTTTGGGCAGACCCTTTTGGGAATGTTCATGTGCCAGGAAATCCACATCAGGTTACAAGAGAAGATGCCTATCTTATGGTGTAGCATGTAGATGTATGCAGCCCCAAGTCACCTCCAAGAAGTCAGGAGACAGGCATACTTTGTTTGAGCAATTTGCCAGAGCCCATTGGAGGAAACTGCCATGTGAGTACGTAGTGGGAACAGCCACCTTGGGAGCACCATGGAGTGGACCATAGCAAAGGCAGCAGGTAATCCCATCCTGCAGATGTTTTGGCAGCTGTTCAGAACTGTGAGATCTATTCATGGCTGTGACCTAGAAAAGTTCCCTCTGCACCAGGTAACTGACATCAAGCATACAACCTTTTTGAGACTAGCAAGTCAATCATATGGACCCGTGGGCTGTGATATCCAACACTGGGCATCAGAACAAAATATGGACTGGGGGTTCCACTTACCCTATAATCCAGCGGGGGCAGGCTTCATAGAAAAAGCAGGGACTGTTAAAATCCAATTATATGCGTTGTCTCAGGAGAGTTCTTTAAGGTCCTGGACTAAGACTTTCCCTGAAGCTATACAAATTTTAAATGAGCGTCCCACTACTACACATGGCATCTCTCTCTATGAATGGTTGGCAAGGCCTGTAAAACAGGCCCCACAAACTTTCATGGTTATCTCTGAGACTCTGAGTCATGCTCCTGAAGCAGCTGATCAGACTGTGCTTCTGAGAGCACCAGGATCTGCCAAGTGGCAATGGCTACATGGACCTGAAATTGAGCTGGAAAGTGCCCGCATATTGGATCAGTTTTATGGTACCAGAGAGCACCAGGAAGACTGCCAGAGGGGAGGTGATTCCAGCTATGCTTCTTGATGGAGGTCTGAGAGCCTTACAATATCAACATGCAGCAACGCCATACCTGCTGGAGGAGTCATAATGCAGATATGTGGGCAAGGCTGGAAACTCACTAGTTGACTATTATATCCTCTCCTAGGGAGGGAAGCCATGTGTGGTGCTATAAGCCAGGCCTGAAGCCCATAGTGTCCTCCTTAATAGGGCCAATAGAAGAAAATACAGCAGTAGTAATATTACAAGGAGTGGATACACTCATGAGGGTTCCCACTAAACACCTGTGTTTATACACATAGGCTGTTGTTTCTGCTAAGCATGGCAGCTGGTAATGTCTTTCTGGACTGGGATGTGACTTCAGCAGCAGTCAGCAGCCAGTCCATTTGTTGGGTATATGGATACCTCTCCCTATCTAATGATAATAATATGCCTCCGAATAGTCTGCCTTTCTCCTTACATAGCTGGGGTAACTGCTTCTACAGCACCAATAATGCAACCCAGGTTCACTGGGGATTGCCTCTCTCTAGAAGCCCAATCATAAACTCCATGGAGACTCAACATCATGTGCTCTTATAGGTGCTACCTACTGCACCTATATCCCTAATAAAGAAAATAACATCACAGATGCTTTAAATCATTTGTTAACTCAGATCCATAATATAGCCCAGTTAGTTTTCTTTGACTAATTCTCAAATTGGCTGCATACTTTACCTACTCATTGGAGTTATGTTTTGCTAATAGGCATCATAATTATAGTTAGCTTCTGATTTTTATGCTGTTATGTATACTGTGGATGTACTCTATAAACAGAAGCTATGGCCATACATTATGGACCCGTATAGTTCTTCCCCTTGTGCCCTGCTCTGGGATTCTCATGAAAAATTTGTGGAGAGAAGGTAAGAGCTGGGGAATGGGGTAGATTGTAGTATGATGGGTCTCCCACCAGGTTACTTAATGGTGGATGCCCACTGCCCGAACCCTGAAGGCCAGGTGATAAGTCAAGGCCATTGTGCCCAGCTGAAGAAGAGGTGTCCCTGAGAATCTAGACATCTCAGAGAGAATCTGAGAATCTATCAAGAACAGTCCCATCACATACACACACAGTAGGCAAAGAGCCAGAAAATTAGTTTCTAAGCAGCTTATGGATGGGAAAAGGCATGCATCTCTAAAGCTGTCCTGTTGCCATCCAGGGGTGCCTCATATGTAAGTCCTAATAAACTCATCTACTCACCAAGATGGACTTGTCCGAGTCATTCGTTGGTCTCTCAGCTCCCTCTTGGTTTGGGAGAAGGATTTTTAAATATGATTCAGGGTTTTTCTTACCGCATAAAATATGAAAGAACGTTCAAGTAAGTCACAATGAATAGTGCTTCTGAACGATATTCATATCCTAATTCCCAGAACCTATGAATATTTTACTTTGCAGGAATAAAACGGATTTAGCAGATGTATGTTAAGAATCTTGACATGGAGCAATTATCCTGGACTACTTGATTGGGCGTAATACAAAGATTCTTAAAATATATATTTGAGCATTTTCATAAAATATTTGAAGAAATAGGTTAAAAGAACAAGCCAAGAAAATGTAGAAGAAAGGAAATAATACATAGCAGAAATGAAATTGAAAACAAAAAATACTATGGAGATGAAAAATTGAACTAAAATAACAAAGAATTAAATGATAAGGAATAAAAAATAATATTAAAAATGGGATATAACAACAGATGGAGTAAAAACAACCAAGAATATATCAAATTATCTTGGAAAATTTTATGTTAAATATTTGACAACTTGTATGATACAATGGTATTTTCTAGAAAAATGGTAAAATTATCTCAGAGATAGAATATTATGAGTTTTCCAGTAATCACAAAAGATATTCAATCAGAAGTTACAATCTAGAACAAAAATATAACAAAATAAAAACAAAAAAAGAGAAGCTAACAAACCTCAATATGATATGACACATTAACAGAATAAAGAATAAAATCATATAATTTTCACAATGGATACAGAAAAGTTATTTGACAAAATTTAACTGTTTCATGATAATGATGATCAACAAACTATGTATAGCAGAAATATATCTCAACATTAAAAGGCAATATATGTTAACTCCACAGCTAACATTACACTCAATGATAAATGAAACCTTTTTCTCTAAGATCAGAAACAAGACAAGGATGCCCAACTGCATCGAAAAAGCAAAGTCAAAGTGTTTTCTTCTATTTTCTCACTCAACAATAATCTACACAGAAGAGTTCTGTGACAAAGTGTTTGGGATTTCTTTTCCCACACACCAAGCAAGAAATCAGTTCTGCAGGGGACACCAGGTAGATGTCCACCAATTTAATTCTGATGCTATCTACCTGGAAATGGCATCAGATTCCACGGGTTGAGGGCTCAGTCCTACAAGACTGCTGCCCCTTTAAACACTAATCAGAAGTCCAGGCTTCTGGAGCTTCTGACCAACCACCTTCAAGTTGGAGTGTCCACAAACCTCTCTTTGGGTTTTATTAATTTGCTAGAGTGACTTACAAAACTCAGGGAAACACATTTAGCAGTTTATTATAAAAAATATAAAGAATACAGATGAAGAGATGCATAGTGAGAGGAAATAGGAAGGGGGCATGGAGCTTACATGCCCTCCTTGGGTATGCCACCCTCCAGGAACTTTTAAGTGTTCAGCTCTCCAGAAGCTCTCAAATTCAGTCTTCTTAGATTTTTATGAAAGCTTCATTATCTAGGCATGATTGATTAAATCATTGGCCATTGGTGATCTGTGTAATCTTCGGCCCTTCTCCCCTTCCCCATGATAGAGGGGTCGGACTGAAAATGTATCCCTCTGCCCACACACCTGGTTCTCCTGGCTAGTCCCCTCATCCTGTGCTTTCTAGAGTCTTTCCAAAAATTGCCTGGTAAGCTCAGGTGTGGTGGAAAGGGTTTGTTATAAAAGACTGTCTTTCACCTTTATCTTTCAGGAGATACTTCAGGAATCAAGGACAAAAGGTCAAATACTTTAACAAAAGATACCCTTATTGTTCTAGTCACTCAGCAAACAACAAGGCTAACAGGAGCTGAGAACTAGCAATCTTGGATGAAAAACAAATTTATCCATTATATTATCACAGCATTCTTACCACTTCCATTCAACATTGTACTGGAAGTCTTAGAGGATTTAGGCAAAGAAAAAAAAATAAAATTAATCCAAACCAGAAAGGAAGAAGTAAAAATATCTCTGTATGCAGATGACATATGTAGAAAACTCTAAACACTACAGAAAAATACTATTAAAACTCATAAACTAATTCAGCAAAATTATAAGATAAAATCAACACACAAAAATCAGTTGTGTTTCTGTAAACTAATAACAAACCTTTTGAGAAGAAAATTTTTTAATAAACAAAGCCATTTATAACAACTCTCCCAAAAATATTACTTAAAAATAAACTTAACCAAGGAGGTGAACAATATTTATCCTTAAAACTGTAAAACCTTGATGAAAGAAATTAAAGTAGATAAGACAGAAATAATACAGAAAAGACATTTGACAAAATTTAACTTTTTTATGATAATGATAACCAACAAACTAGGTATAGCAGGAATATATCTCAACATAAAAAGGCAATATATGTTAACTCCACAGCTAACATTATACTCAATGATAAAAATTGAAACCTGTTTCTCTAAGATCAGAAACAAGACAAGGATGCCAAACTGTGTGGAAAAAACAAAGTCAAATAAAAATCCTGTGTTCATGGATTGGAAGACTTAATGTTGCTAAAATGTCCATCCTACCCAGAAAGCTCTACAGAATCGATGCAGTTCCCATCAAAATCTCAATGGTATTTTTTACAAAAATAGAAAAACAATTCTAAAACTCATATGAAATCACAAAAGACCACCAATACCAAAATCACTCTTGAGAAAGAATAAAATTGAAGGCATCACATTTCCTGATTCCAAGATATGTTACAGAGCTACAGCAACTAAAAAAGTAAAGAATTGACATAAAGACAAAGATATAGATCAATGCAACATAATAGAAAGTCCAGAAATAAATTTACATGTATATGTTCGACTGATCTTTGACAAGAGTCTCTAAAATACAAAATAGACAAGGGTAATCTCTTCAATAAATAATGCCAGATAAAATGGATTTCCACATGAAAATAATAAGATTAGACCCCTACATTACATTATATACAAAAATCAACTCAAAGTGAATTAAAGGCCTAGAAGAAAACATAGGAAGAACTTCTTGACATTTGTCTTGACAATGATTTCTTGAATATGACACCAAGAGCACAGGCAACAGAAGCAAAAATAATTAAATGTGGCTATTACAAACTAATAAGCTTCTGCAAGCAAATAAAACAATCAACCGAATAAAAAGTCAACCTATGGAATGGGAAAAAAATTTGAAAACTATATTATCTGATAAAAGGTTAATTTCCAAAATATGTAAATAGCTTATACAACTCAATAGCAAATAATCATAATAATAGCCTAATTAAAAAATGGGGAAAGTATTGGAACAGACATTTCCTCAAAGTGGACATACAAATGGCCAATATGTATATGGAAAATTGCTCAAATTATTAATTATTTTAGGGCATAATTATTAAAGGAAAAATTATATTTTTGGTGATATTACAAATCACATTTTCAATTTTTTTATTGAATATTGATTGTATGTTCTTAAAAAGACAAATTCTCTGATTCGTCAGACTTTAATAATTAATATAATTTTTGAATGCCATAGAAAATATATGAAGAACTTTACTGAAGAGGAAGGATTTTCAATATACATTGTTAAGAACACAAACCGTAGTACGTTTTGAATTGGATAAAATGTGTACGTAATTAAGTATAAACACTGTCAATGAACACACACAATGATATACACAAGACTATATATTACGTATGTAAACACATCTATTGACATGCCCCAAATGCATGATAAATCATCAGACAAACCCAAATTGAGGAAATGTCTTCAATATGACTGATAAGGATGGCAGGGGTGGGGAACAGATAAGCAGAAATTAAGGAAACATGGCAAAATATTTAATACAGTATACTTGAAGAAATCATGGACCAGGAAAAATGCACATGAATTGGGAATTTGAGTAAGGTTTATAGCTTAGTTATTAGTACTACAGCAATGTTTCCTAGTTTGATCATAGTTTTTCCTTACATAAAAACTATTTCTGTAAGATACTTACATTTGTTTAAACAGGTTAAGGGTTCATTGGGAATCTAATGCTACTTTTTTTTTTTTTTTTTTTTACCTTTTCTGTAAGTCTCTGTGTAATCCAAATAAAAAGGTGACAAATAAAAACTTACGTTCTTCTTCACTTATATTTCTTTTCTATATTTTCTTCAGCTTAAGAGTAATTTTCTACAGTTATTTTAACAGAGGAGACAATAAAAATCAAATTCAAGTAAAGAGTTAAGTGTACACATGAATTGTTAAGACGCCTTTAGAAATTGAATTAACTTAGTAGCTCTTTTATATATGTTGTATTTTTGGTTTTCCATCTCTTTGGAAATAATATTTAATAAATGATTTAAAAATGTATTCATTTTTAAAAGTGCTATCAAAGCAATAAGTATCAATTTTGCTTATCTCATACAAAGAAAGCATTATTTATAATGAAGAAGGTAATGTTTATTCCTGTCTTATACCTAGCACACAGTACTAAATACTACAACATTTAATATCCAAACACTGGTTTTAAATAAGCAGTACATTTTTCTTGTTGGATGCTAAATCACGTTATCAGCTCATGTTCAACTTTAGCAATAAATAATTCTTTTTAGTAAAAGTCTCATTGTGTAGATTTTCCAGATCATATAAATATTTCTTAAGCCACATAAAATTCAGTGCATGAGATTAGGTTCTAAAGCATATCGAATATGTATAAGCCATCAACCAACTTTTAAAATAGCTTACTTATTTTAAAAAGAGTTTATACTAGAATCAGACTATTGAAGAATGAAAATACTGCATCACAGAGAGCATATAATTGAATTAAATTTGTTTCCTAGATTGTATGATACCCAGTGTAAACGTTATGCTGATCAAGAACAACAGAAATCAATGTTGGATAGTATTATCTTGGGAAGTATACTAGAACCATGGAGACATAGATTAGCCTAAAAGGTCAATATAATTCAGACACTATTGAAAAGATATTTAACAACATGTCTGTCCTGTATTAGTGGTGAGCAGGGACTTTGAGGACAGTAAATAGTAAAGTTTCTATTCAATAATTTGTCTTTAGTTACTTGTCCATCCTTGGGCAAGTCGCCTAGCACTTTACAGTCCACTTCCTCTCCTCTAAATGTGAGGAGTAACTTACAAATATTTTAAGTTCTAATATTTTCTGCTTTTTAAAATAGAATTTATTTTTATAGATATTTTAGGTTCAAAGAAAGATTGAATAGAAAGTATAAGGAGTTCCCATATACTCTCTGCCCACCTGTACCCCCATATGCACAGTCTCTGTCACTATAGACCTCCCCCACCAAAATGGTGTATTTCTTACAATTGATGAACCTACATTGATACATCAGTATTCCAAAAGTCCATAGTTAACATCAGGTTCAGTCTTAGTGTTGTATATTATATGGGTTTTGGCAAATGTATAATACAGGTGTCTACCATTTTAGTATCATACAGAATATTTTCACTGCCCTAATATTCTGTTCATTTCTTCCTCCCAACCCCTAGCAACCACTGATCTTTTTACTGCCTTTATAGTTTTGCCTTTTCCAGAATGTCATAAAGTTGAAATCATACAAGGGGTAGCCTTTTCAGATTTAGTTGATTCACTTAGTAATACGTATTTAAGGTTCCTTCATGTCTTTTTATGACTTGATAGCTCATTTCTTTTTAGCTCTGAATAATATTCCTTTGTCTGGATGTAGCAAGGTTTATCTATCTATTCACCTGCCAAAATATATCTTGGTTGCCTTCAAGTTTTGATGATCATGAAAAAGTCTGCTATAAACATCCTTGTCCAGGTTCTTACGTGGACATAAGAATTTTTTTCTTTTGGATAAATGTCAAGGAATGTAATTCTGGGTTATTAAAAATATATTTAGCTTTGTAAAAAAAAATCCAAATTATCTTTCAGAACGACTGTACTATTTTGCATTCCCACCTGGAATGTGAGTTTCTGTTGCTCCACATCTTTGCCAGAATGTGGTGTTGTCAGTATTTTTTGTTTTGGACATCCCTTTAGTTCAAACGGTACCTCGTTGTGTGTAGTGGTATCTTATTGTTTTATATTGCAATTCCCTAATAAATGGATATTGAGCATTTGTATACACTTATTTGCCATCTGTATGTCTTCTTCTGTTAAATGCCTATACATCTTTTGCCCATTTTTTAATCAAGTTGTTTGTTTGCTTATTGTTGAGTTTCAAGTTTTCTTTGTGTATTTTGGATAGCAGTCCTTTATCAGATGTGTCTATTGCAAATAGTTTCTTCCAGTCTTTGGCTTGTCTTTGCATTTTCTTGATGGTGTTTTTCACAGAGCAGTGTTTTTGTTTTCTTTTTTTTTTTAATGTTGATGTAGTTCCACTTATCAATTATTTCTTTCATGGATCATGCCTTTGGTGTTGTATCTAAAAATTCATGGTCAAAACCAAGGTCAGGCCGGGTGTGGTGGCTCCCTTCTGTAATCCAAGCATTTGGAGGGCCTCAGGCAGGAGGATCATTTGAGCTCAGGAGTTTGAGACCATCCTGGACAACATAAGTAGACACCCCCATGTAGTTCTGCATGGCTAGGGAGGCCTCAGGAAACTTCCAATCATGGCAGAAGGCAAAGGGGAAGCAAGCACCTTTCTCATAAGGCAGCAAGCCAAATCACATTTTCAATTAATCCAGATACATTCTTAAAATTTAAAGACATGGGTCATAAAAGGGGAGAAAATATTTAGAATACATGTAAGAGAATATTTTTCTTTTGCAGATATATTTTATGATCATAATAGACTTTTTTAGTATTAAAATAGTAGAAACATTTCATATTCATGACATAACTTTTTTGGAGGTAAACAATATTTTGTTGAAGGTAGTACATTTATATAACTACTTTTGAAATTGAGACAGAATACACATAACATAAAATTTACCATCTTAACCATCTTTAGTGTTCAGTATTTTCAATTACAGTATGTTCATATTGTGTGAACAATCTCAAAAAAATTATATTGCAAAACTGAATCTCTGTACCCATTTAAGAGCAAATATCAAATTCCTCTTCCCCCAGCTACTATCAACCCCCATTGTATCTTCTGTTTCTATGAATTAGACTACTCTTGATACTTTATATAAGTGTAATCATACAGTAGATGTCTTTTTGTGACTGGCTTATTTCATTTAGAATAATGCACTCAAGTTTCATTCATGTTGCAGAGTGAGTCAAAATTTCCCTCTCTTTAAATGCTGAATAAAATTCCATTATATAGATATACCCCATTTGCTTATCCATTCGTCAATGGACACTTGATAATTCCCATCATTTGTCTATTACAAGTAATGCTGCTATGCATATGAATCTGTCCATATCTCTTTGAGACCCTGTATTCAATTATTTTGAACACATACCAAGAAATGGAATTGCTAAATTATATGGTAATTTCAATTTTAATTAATTGAGAAACCACCATATTGTTCTTCACAGTCCTGCACCATTTTACATTCCAACCAACAGGGCACAAGATTTCCAATTTTGCCACACCCTCACCAATACTTGCTATTTACTTTTTTGTTTATTTTGATATACACATTTTGATGGGTGTGTGTGTATGATATCTCATTGATGTTTTGATTTGCAGTTTTAAATTATTATTGATGTTGAGCATCTTTTCATGTGCTTGCTAGCCATTCATATGTCTTTTTTGAAGAAATGTCTTTTCAGATACTTTACCTTTAAAAATATTGCATGATATTTTCTTGTTGAGTTGTAAGAATTCTTTATAAATTCTAGATTTTAACCCCTTAGCAGATAAATGATTTACAAATATACTCTGTCATCTTATATGTTGCTTTGTCACTCAATTGTGTCTTTTCATGAACTAAAGCTTTTATTTTTCATCTAGTCCAATTTACCTATTCTCACTTTTGTTGCTGGTGCATTTGGTGTCTTATTCAAGAAATCATTGCCAAATCCAACATCATGAAGTTTTTTCTTGTATTTTATTCTAACACTTTTATTATTTTAGTTCTTATGTTTAGGTATTTGATCTATTTGAGTTTATTTTTATATATTGTTTGAAGTAAGGATTCAACTTTATTATTTTGTATGTGGACATCCAGTTTTCCCAACTCCATTTGGTGAAGACTGTCCTTTCCCTATTGAGTGGATTTGGCATCTTTGTAAAAATTATTCGAACACATATGCAAGGATTTATTTTTATGATTTATATGCTTTTTCATTAGGCTATATATGTCTTTATGCCAGCACCACACTCTTAATTACTGTGCCCTTGTAATAAGTTTTGAAATCAGAAAGTGTGACACCTTCAACTTTGTTATTTATCATGAGTGTTTTGGCTATTCAGGGACCGTTGACATTTCATATGGATTTTAGGATAAATTTGTCTATATCTTCAAATAATGCCATTGGAATTTTGATATGAATTGCATTACACCCGTAGATAGTTTTGTCAGTATTTTCATTTTAATAATATTAAGTCTTTCAACCTATGAACAAAGAATATCTTTCCATTTTTTGTGTCTTCATTTTTTCAGACAGGTTTTGTAGTCTTCAGTGTACAAGTATTTCATCTACATGGATAATTTATTCTTAAGTATTCTATTATGTCTATGCAATTTTACATCATTGTTTCTTAATTTTATTTTCAATTGTCCATTGTTTATGGTAATGCAATTTATTTTTGCTCATTGATTTTGTATCTTACAATGTCACTGAATGTGTTTAATTGGGGTGTGTGTGTGTATGTGTGTGTGTGTGTGAAGTTTTTCAGGTTTCTTAAATACAGGATAATATCATTTGCAAACAAATATTTTTAATTCTTTCTTTCTTTCTAATTTGGATGTTGTTTATTTCTTCTCTTTTGTAATTGTTCTGGCTAAGTCTTCCAGTACTATCTTGAAGTGACAAAGGAGGGCATTTTTATTTTGTTTTTGTTTTTAAAGGAAAAGTCTTTCACTATTGGCTAAAAGGCTAGCTGAGGAGGCCGGGCGCGGTGGCTCACGCTTGTAATCCCAGCACTTTGTGAGGCTTAGACGGGCAGGTCACCTGAGGTCAGGAATTCGAGACCAGCCTGGCCAATATGGCGAAACCCCGTCTCTACTAAAAATACAAAAATTAGCTGGGCGTGGTGGCATGTGCCTGTAGTCCCAGCTGCTCAGGAGGTTGAGGCAGGAGAATCGCTTGAACCTGGGAGGCTGAGGTTGCAGTGAGCCGAGATCGCGCCATTGCACTCCAGCCTGGACAACAAGAGCGAAACTCCGCCTCAAAAAAACAAAAGGTTAGCTGAGGACTTTCATACATAGCCTTATAATGTTCAGATAGTTTCTCCTTATTTCTAGTTTTTTAAGTTGTTTTCATTATGAGAGGTTGGTGAATTTTATCAATATTTTCTGCAACAATTGAGATGATCATGACCTTTTTCATCATTTTGTTAATGTAGTGTAATACATTTATTAATTTTTACATGTTGAACAACCTTGCATACCAGGGTAATTCCCACTTGGTCATGATGTACAATATTTTTAATGAACTGTTGAATTCTATTTATAGTACACATGCTCCTAGACTAATGATGAAGTTACTTTCTGATAAACTCATCATAAGTTGAAAATATTGTAAGTCAAATACATTCAACCTACCAGACAAAATAGTTTAACTTAGCCCACCTTAGACGTGCTCAAATCACTTACATTAGCCTTCAGTTGAGCAAAATCATCTAACACAAATCCTATTTTATAATAAAGTGTTGAATATCTCACATAATTTATTGTATAGTATCCTGAAAGTGAAAAACAGAATGATTATATGGGCACTTGAAGTATAGTTTTTACTGAATGTCTATAACTTTCACACTATCATAAAGTGAAAAAATCATAAATTGAACCATCGTAAGTCAGGGACTGTCTGTATCATGTATGTGCTTGCATCAATATTCATCATGAACAGTGGTCTGTATTTTTTTATGTAGTGTCTGTGTCTGGCTTTGTTATCAGGGTAATGCTGACCTCCTAGAATGAGATTGAATATATTCTTTCTTTTCTATTTTTTTGTAAAAGTTTGAGGTACATTGGTGTTTATTATTTTTTAAATGTGTGAGAAATTTACCACTGAAGCCATTGGCTCTGAGTTTTTCTTTTTTGAGAGGTATTTGATTAGTAAATCTCCTTACTAGTTATAAGTCTGTTCAGACTCTATTTCTTCATGATTTAGTTTAAGTGGTTTGTTGTGTTTCTGGGAACTTATTAATTTAATCTAGGTTATAAAATTTGTTGGTGTACCAGCATTCATAGTATTCTCTTGTAAATTTTTATTTCTATAAAATTGTGTGATTCCTTTTTCATATCTGATTTTAGTTATTTCAGTATTCTCTCTCTCTTCTGATAATCCACCTACGGTTTTGTTAATTTTGTTCATTTTTTCAAAAATCCAACTCTTGGTTTTATTTACTTTTTCTATGATTTTGGATTATTATTTTTGGTAAGCAGAATAAGCTTAAAAATCAATACAAATAGAAAAAAACTACCCAGTAGAGTAATAGTCAAATATAAGAACAAGAAATTCATATCAGAGGAAATCTAAATAGAGAACATACAAAATAATTTAAAGTAGCTATAAGAGAAGTGCAAATTAAAATTGCACTTAGAGTTATACTTTTTTCCCTGTCATTCTACTCCCAAACAATTAAGCTATGAAGGCATTTCATAGGACAGCAAGGTAGTGGTTGCAGTAGGTGGAGTGCAGTGGAAAGTCATGATGTCTCAGAGTAGAGTATCAGAGAATGATTAAGACAAGAAGGACATCCATGTGATGTTGAGGGTGGGGATGAGGCCATCATAGAAATCCAGAACCTGAATGGAGTCAGGAGCACCTCCATGCACAGGGGAAACTAATGTCGGGTATCAGAGCCAAAGCAGGGTTAGAAGGGAGTCCATGCTGATTAAAAACTAAGGATCAGATCCTTAGTGGATTATAGGCAGTATTATGTAGGAAGTATCTCCTGGCATAGTAGTTTAGACTCCAAGAAGGATAAGGAAAATGTCCACGTGGGAAGTGTGTGTTAGATGGAGTGTTAGAGCCTGAGCTGAGTGAGTAACTTATACATTCAAGGAAGGTACCAGGCATGGGGAGTCAGAGCTCAAATTAAGGTGAGGAAGACTTCCATGCAATCTCAAGCGAGAATAAAATAGATCCATAAGATAAAATCTTAGAGTCTGAGTGCAGTAAGGAGGATAAATTCACAGCGGTAGGTTAAATTTTTACCTAGTCATTCGTATATGAATTAAAATCTAGTTCTATTTAATCATCTCCTATGTCAAATAGTGTTATGAGGAACACTGGACAAGAAAAATGATGTTGAACAAATATTTGTCAGCTAGATTTTCTCTAAAAACTTTTATTAGATTTTTTTAAAAGCCTGTCTTATTTTATAAAGGATAAATTAAAAGCTATTAGCATGTCAAAATTCTTAACATGGCATACAATTCCATATTTATTTCAAGTTCAATTCCAAGTTATTTTAAATTTAATTCCAAAATAAATTTCATAATTCTTTTAAATTCCAGTCTTGCATTCTATTTTTTTCCTAGACACAGTTGGCTCTAGCCCCACTGAATTTCTCAGGTATTTCTTTAATATTCTCTCTGACTCTGTTTTCTCTATCCCTCTGTCTGCTTTGTTGATAGTCATTCTTTAAGATCTAGTATTATAAGTACATTTCTTCAAGATCTAGTATTATAAGTACATTTCCTTTAATATTACAGGAAGATTAATTGTTCAGTATGACACTTTATTTTCTGCATTATTCCCTCCCTATTTCATTATGCTCTTGCTTACCTCATACCAGTGCCATTTTTACTCTGTGTCCATTTAGTTGTAAACTCCTTCCCATGATAGAAAGTCACTTAATCTACCCAAACCAACCATATCAAAATATTTTTGCCACTTTTTTCTGCGTTATTGTTCTTCCAATTAAATCACCATCACCACCACCACCACCACCATCATCATCATCATTCAAGAAAATATTTAAAATCACAATTTTTCTAAAACCCCTCTAAGGTAATATTTTAGCCTGATGTTGGAAGATCTATTTTATATCCAGGAATTAATTCACCATTGCAGATCATCTACTTTATCTAACATAATCTCATCTATGCACATAGTACTGAAACCTGGTTGAAGAAATGAAATGTAATAATTCAGCTTTATAATAACAGATGTTTAGCATTTATAATACAAAGTGTAGAGAAATTTGTGAAATTTGTCATTTCATATTTACAAGATTTAATAACCTACTGATATTTTATACGTTATATAATTATTTTACATCTATTTTCTGGTTCAAACTAGTAAAGTCGAAAAGTAAAGTAAAACAATTTATCATGATAAAAATCTGGCTAAAAATTCCAATAGTTTATTAGGCTTTGTGAGTCATCCAAAAATTTTTTAAAATAGTAATATGATTATAGAATAATATTGAAGTAATTTGGAATTAAATATGAATGAATTAATTATCATTTCAAGTGAACACACTAATAGTTATCAAAACAATTTAATGCTTTGTTTTTAATGGTTCAAAGAATCCATTCCATCAGTTATCAAGAAATGTTAGAATGCTTTTATGTGTGAAATGTAATACTTTGATCACGGCATAATATTCCTACATAAAAAGGGAAAATAAATTTTGAAAAACAACCTTCCACATAAATAAATTGATTATCATTAGAAACACATCTCTCAATCTTACTTGACTATTCTTGAATAGAGAATGTTTCCTTTCTTTATTGCTGCATAACAAAATATCTCAAAACTTAGTGTTTAAAATATAAATAATTTTTTCTCACGATTTTCTAGGTTCCTTAGCATCATCTGGGCATTTGTCTGCCACCTGTTTTCAGCTGAAGCTTCATTACCTTTCAGCTGAGTAGAGCTTGGGATGTGTAAGTTAGTTTCATGCACCCATTTTGGGTCTCAACAAGACTAGTTGAAACAGTCAGCAGCAGACTGGCCCCCTGTTTCTCCAAGTAGTCTTTCATCATTTAGTAGTCTGACTTGAGCTTTTTAAAGTGGTGTTCCTATATCAAGGAACAGAAAGAAGAAGTTACAAAACCTTTCATAAGGTGAGGGTTTTGAACTCTCATATAATTGTTATAACATTTTATTAACCAAAGAAAGCCATTAACACCAGCCAAGGCTTTTTTAAAAAGTAGAAAACTCACCTCTTGAGAGAGAAAGGACAAGAATGTACAAACATAAGAAAAATTGCTAGTAACAGTTTCGGAAAAAATCTGCTATGGTTCATATGTTTGTTGCTGCTGAACCTGTTAAAATTTTATCCCTATTGTTGGAGGTGGGGCCTAATGGGAGGTGTTTGGTCATGGTGGTGGATTTTTTGTAAACAGATTAATACCCTACATTGAGGGTGAATGAGTTCTCACTCTATTATTCCCCAGGATAGCTGGTTGTTAAAAAAAAAAGCCTGGCAAGTTCACACCATTGCATCCATTCTTGCCATGTGATCTCTGTACACACTGGCTCTGCTTCACTTTGTGCCATGAGTGGAAGCAGCCTGAGACCCTCTCAAGTTGCAAATGTTCAATCTTGCACTTTCCAGCCATTGAGCATAGTGATCCAAAAACGAACAAACAAACAAACAACAACAACAAAAAAACCCATTTTCTTTATAAATTACCCAACTCAGGTATTTCTTTCTAGCAACACATGACAAACTTAAACAGAAAATTCATACTGGGAACAGAGAATTGCTGTAAACATACCTGAAAATGTGGAAGTGGGTTTGGAACTGGGTAATGAGCAGGGATTGGAAGAGTTTAAATAGAAAAAGATAGACAAGGGGAAATTTGGAGCTTCATAGAGATTGTTTAAGTGGTTGTGACAAAAATGCTGATTGAAATATAGACAGTAATGGTTATGTTGCCCAGGACTCAGATGGAAATGTATTTATTGGGAACTAGAACGAAGGTCACCCACGTAATACCATAGCAAAGAACTTGGCTGCATTGTGTCAATAGGCTTTGTGGAAGGATGAACTTAATAGTGGTGATCTAGGTGGAAAAAATTTCAAAGCAATAAAGTGCTCAAAAAGTGGTGTGTTTACATTTAACAGCTTCTGCTGAATTATGGCAGCAACGAAATGGTCTAAAGGTGGAATTTACCATTAAAAGGAGAGAGAAGCAGAGTAAGATGGCTGAATAGAAGGCTCCACTAATTTACTGATCATTACCTCCCTCAGTAAAATCAATTTTTACAACTATCAACACAAAAAAGTACCTTCTTAAGAACCAAAAATAAGGTAAGAACTCACAGTCCCTGGTTTTAACTTCCTATTGCTGAATGAGGCACTGAATAGGTGTATTAGTCCATTCTCACACTGCTATAAAGAAATACCTGAGACTGGGTAATTTATAAAGAGGCTCATAGATTCATGGTTACACAGGCTATACAGAAAGCATAGTGGCTTCTGCTTCTGGGGGTGCCTTGGGGAGCTTTTACTCATGGCAGAAGGCAAAGCAGGAGCAGGTAAGTCTCACATGGTAGGAGCAGGAGCAAGAGAGAGAGGGAGGAGGTGCTACACACTTGTAAACAACCAGATCTCATGAGCACTCACTATATATTACCAAGGGTAGATGGTGCTAAACCATTCATGAGAAACTGCCACCATGATCCAATTAACTCCCACCATGCCCCACCTCTAACACTGGGGATTACAATTTGACTTGATATTTGGTGAGGACACAGATCCAAACCATATTAACAGGGTAGGAAAGACAGTCTTTGATTGCTGATGCCATGCTTTGCCCATTCCCTGACAGCAGTTGGTCAGTGCATAGAGATAATGTACAGCTAAGGAGAAGGAGAGTACAGCGATTGTGAGACTTCGCATAGAAATCAGTGCTGCCCTGTCACAGCAGAGAGCAAAACCACGCTGAACTCAGCTAACACCCACTCATGAAGGGAGCATTTACATGAGCCCTAACCAGAGGAGACTCTCCCATCCCAGTGGCAGATCTTGAGTTTTGGCAAACCTTGCTACTGCAGACTAAAGTTCACTGGGGCTCTAAATAAACTTGAAAGGCAGTCTAGGCCACAATGAGTTAAATTCCTAGGTGAATCCCAGTGCTGAACTGGGCTCAGAACCAGTGGACTTGGGGAACACATGACCTACTGAGACACCAGCCTGGGCAACTAGGGAGTGCTTGTGCTGCTCCTCCCCCAATCCCAGACAGCACAGCTTGCAGTTCCAAAAGAGACCCTTTCATTCCACTTGAGAGGAGAGGTAAGAGTAAAGAGGACTTGGTCTTGCATCTTGGATATCAGCTCAGCCACAGTAGGATAGGGCTCCAATCAGAGCTGTGAAGCCCTTATTCCAGCCCTCACTTCTGGATGGCATGTCATGGACACATCATGGACCAGAGAGGACCCTGCTGCCCTAAAGGGAAGGATGCAGTTCTGGCAGAATACATCACCTGATGACTAAACAGACCTTGGGCCCTGAATAACCAGCAGTCATACTCAGGTAGTAGGCCATAGGTCTTGGGTGAGATTTTGAGATGTGCTGCCTTCAGGTGAGACCCAGCATATTCCCAACTGTGGTGACTATAATGAGACTCATTCTGCTTGAGAAAAGCAAAGAGAAAAGTAAAGGGGACTTTGTTTTGCACTTTAGGTACCAGGTATGCCACAGAGAGGTATCAAGTCCAACATCAAGTGGACTGTTGGAGTCCCCAGTTCCAGGATTTGGCTATTGGATGGCATTTCTGCACCTTCTGTGGGCAAGAGGGGAGCCCACTTCCCTGAAGGGCAAGTCCCACGTCTGGCAGCATTCACTACAAGCTGATTGAAGAGTTCTTGGGCCTTAAGTGAGCATCGGTGGTATCCTGGCAGTATTCCCTCTGGGCCTGTTGTGTTGGTGGAAATGGGATGAGAATCTACTGCCTGTAGAAAGGGGAGAGAACAGTGGGAAAAAAAACTGCATCCTTTGGTTTGAGCACCAGCTCAGCCACACTTCAACAGAACACCAGGTAGCTTTCTAAGCTTTTTGACTCTAGTCCTTGGGTCATGGATGATACCTCTGGACCTGGACAAGGCCTGGGGAAACTTGGTGTCTTGAAGGGAAGGACACAAACCTGGCTGGCTTCACGCTCTGCTAATCATAGAGCCCTAGATCCTTGAGTGAACATAAGCAATAGTCAGGTAGTGGTTACAGTGGGCTTTGGGTGAGACCCAGTGCTGTGCTGGCTTCAGGTATGACCCAGCACAATTACAGTGCTGGTGGCCACTGGGGTGCTTGTGTCACAACAACTGTAGCTCCTGGTAGTTCAGAATGGACAGAGAGACTTCATTTATTGAGGACAAGGAAAGGGAAGAAAACAAGTGTCTCTGCCTTGTGGTCTAGAGAATTCTTCCAGAACTTATCGAAGGCAACAAGGTGGTACCTCTACAAGTGTGCAAGAACCACAGTGTTCTTGGGCTTGGAGTGCCCTCTATTGCAGATATGGCTTACATCAAAATCCTCAGTATATATATATATATCTGGAAAGCTTTTTCAAAATGGATGGGCACAAACAAGCCCAGAATGTGAAGATTTCAATAAATACCAAACTCTTCCATGCCCAGACATGGGTGGACATCCACAAACATTAAGAGGATTAATGAAAACATGACCTCACCAAGCAAACTAAATAGGGCAACATGGACCAATCATGGAGAAACAGTGATATGTGACCTTTCAAAATAGCTGTTTTAAGGAAACTCAAGATAACCTAAGGAAGGAATTAAGAATTCTAACAGATAAATTTAACAAAGAGACTGAAATAGTAAAAGATAATCGGCCAGGCACAGTGGCTCACACCTGTAATCTCAGCATTTTGGGAGGCCGAGGCGGGCAGATCACGAGGTCAGGAGATCGAGACCATCCTGGCTAACACGGTGAAACCCCATCTCTACTAAAAATACAAAAAATTAGCTGGGCATGGTGGTGGGCACCTGTGGTCCCAGCTACTCGGGAGGCTGAGGCAGGAGAATGGCGTGAACCCAGGAGGCAGAGCTTGCAGTGAGCCGAGATCGTGCCACTGCACTCCAGCCTGGGCAACAGAGCGAGACTCCATCTCAAAAAAATAAAAAAAAAACCAAGTAAAAATTATGGAATTAAAAATGTGACTGCCATAGTAAAGAGTGTATCACAGTCTTATAATAGCAGAATTCATCAAGCATAAGAAATAATTATAGTGAGTTTGAAGACAGGCTATTTGAAAATAAAGTAGACAAAAGAGGGAAGAATAAAAAAGAATGAAGCATGCATACAAAATCCAGAAAATAGCCTCAAACAGGAACATCTAAAAGTTTTGGCATTAAAGGAGGAGGTTGAGAAAGACATAGGGGGAGACAGTTTATTCAAAATAATCGTAACAGGAAATTTCTCACACCAAGAGAATAATATCAACATTAAAGTACTAGAAGGTTATAGAATACCAAGCAAATTTAACCCGAAGAAGACTAACCCAAGGCATTTAATAATCAGACTCCCAAACATCAAGGTTAAACAACAGATCCTAAAAACAGCAAGAGAAAATAAACAAATAACATACAATAAAGCTCCAATAGGTCTGGCAGTACACTTGTCAGTAAAAACCGTACAGGTCAGGAGAGAGGGGCAAGAAATTTAAAGTGCTGAAGGAAAAATAAAAAACATTTACCCTAGATTAGTATAAGTGGAGAAAATATCCTTCAAGCATGAAGGAGAGAAAATATCTTCAGAGACAGACAAAACCTAAGGGATATCATCAACACAAGAACTGTTCTATGAGAAATGCTAAAGGGAATCCTTATATCTGAAAGTAAAGGAAGTAAATAATCAAGAAGAAATGATCTGAAGATACAACTCACTGGTAATAGTAAGCACATAGAAAAAGAATATTATTAACACTGTAACTATGGTGTGTAAACTTATGAAGAGAGAACAAATAATGAATCAATCAAAAATAATGAACACAAACACTTTTAAGACAAAGACAGTACAATTAGAAATACAGGAAAACAGCAAAAAGCTAAAAATTCAGGGTACAAAGTTAAGGGTTAGTTTTTATTAGTAGAGTTTTTATTAGTTTTCTTTTTACTTGTTTGTTTATGAAAACAGTGTTAAGTTGTTATCAGTTTAAAACAATGGGTTATAAAGTTGTATTTTCAAGCCTTATGGTAATTTCAAACTAAATATTAGACAATGAATACACACAAAAAAACAAGGAATTAAATTGTACCAACAGAGAAAACCACTTTCATTAAAAGAAAGAAAGACAAGAAGAAAGCAAAGAATAAAGAGAAGACTACAAAACCACCAGAAAACAAGTAACAAAATGGCAAGAGTAAGTTCATACTTATCAATGATAACACGGAATATAAATGGACTAAACTCTACAATCAAAAGACACAGAATCACTGAATGCATAATGAAACAAGATCCAATGATTTGTTGCCAACAAGAAACACACTTCACCTATGAACTCACACATAGATGGAAAGTAAGGAACAGGAAAAGTTATTTCATGTCAATTAAAACCAAAAAAAGAGTAGAAGTAGCTATATTTATATCAGAAAAAAATAGATTTCAGGATAAAAACTGTAAGAAGACAGAAGAAGGTCACTGTATAGTGATAAAGGGGTCAATTCAACAAGTTGATATAACGATTGTAAATACATATGCATCCAACAGTGTATCACCCAGATATATAAAGCAAATATTATTATGCTTACAAAAGAAAGACTCCAAAAAATAAAAGCTGAAGGCTTGAACATGCCATTTTCAATAGTTTCAGAATTGGGCATATCTTCCAGACAGAAAAAAATATATATAAGACTTAGTCTGCACTATTAACCAAATAGACCTAATAGATATTTACAGGACATTTCATCCAATGGCTATGGAATACACATTTTTTTCTTCAGGACATGGATCATTCTCATGGATAGACTATGTTTGGTCACAAAGCATGTCTTGAAACATTCAAAAAATAGAAATAATACGAAGCATCTTCTCTGAACATGATGGAATAAAACTGAAAATCAATAACGAGTAATTTCAGAAACAATACAAACACATGAAAGTTAAAAAATATGCTCCTGAATGGCCAGTGGGTCGAAGAAAAAAGGAAGATTTAAAAAAATTGTTGAAACCAATGATAATGAAATCACAATATACCAAATCCTATGGGATATAATGAAAGTATTACTAACAGGGAAGCATACAGCTATAAGTGCATACAAGAAAATAGAATAAAAATTTTAAATAAACAACCTAATGATGCCTATTAAAGAACTAGAAAGGCAAGAGCAAATCAAAACCCAAATTAATAGAAACAAATAATAAGAATTAGAGCAGAAATAAATAAATTTGAAATGAAAAAAGCAGTACTAAAGATCAATGAAACAAAGTTTATTTACTGAAAAGATAAAATGAACTAACCATTAGTCACACTAACAAAAAAAGAGAACATCTAAGTCAATATAGTCAGTGATAAAGAAGGAGACACGACAACCGATACTGTCTGCTATGAGCAATTGTATGCCAATAAATTGAAAAATCAAGAAGACATGTACTAATTCTTATGATCATTTCCATTGATGTTGAAAAATTATTTGATAATATTTAGCATCTCTTCATGAAAAAAATTAAGAAACTGGGTACAAAGGAACATATCTCAATATAATAGAAACCACAGACAAAAAATCCATAGCTAGTATCATACTGAATGTGGAAAAACTGTAAGCCTTTCTGCTATGATCTGGAACACAAGGATGCTCACTTTCACCACTGTTATTCAATATAGTACTATAATTCCTAGCACAGCAATCCGACAAAAGAAAGTAATAAAAGGCATCCAAATTTGGAAAGAAATAAGTCAAATTAACCTTCTTTGCAGATGATATGATCTTATATTTGGAGAACCCTCATGACTTCACCAAAAAAAACAGTATTAGAACTGATAAACAATTTCAGTAAAGTTGCAGGATACAAAATCAACATACAAAAGTCAGTGCATTTCTATATGTAACAGGGCACAAACTGAAAAAGAAATAAAAAAACATAATCTCATTTACAATAGCTACAAGTAAAATACCCAGGAATTAATGGAAGAAGTAAAAAATTCTGTAATAAAACCTATAAAGCACTAATGAAAAAAATGGAGAGAACACCTAAAAAAGGAAAAATATTCTATGTTCATGGATTGGAAGAACTGATATTGTTAAAATGTTCATACTACTGAAAGTAACCTACAATTTCTATTCAATTCCTAACAACATGCCAATGACATTTTTCACTAAAATAGAAAAAAAAATCCTAAAATTTGTATGGAACCACAAAATATCCAGAATAGCCAAAGCCATTTTAAGCAAACAGAGCAAAACTAGAGATATCACATTATCTTACTTCAAATTATACCACAGAGCTATAGTAACCAAAACAGCATGGTACTGACATAAAAACAGACACATAGAGCAATGGAACAGAATAGAGAAACTAGAAACAAATTCACACACCTACAGTGAACTCACTTGTGACAAAAGTGCCAAGAACATACACTGGGGAAAAGACTGTCTCCTCAATAATTGTGCTGGAGAAACTGGATATCCATATGCAAAAGAATAAAACTAGACTCCTATTTCCTGCCATATACAAAAAACAAATCAATAATGATTTAATAATTAAATCTGAGACCTCAAACTATGAAACTGCTACAAGAAAACCTTAAATACACTTTCCAGGCAATTGGACTGGGCAATGACTTTTTTGAGTAATACCCACAAGCACAGGCATCTAAAGAAAAAAAATGGACAAATGGGATACCATCAAGTTTAAAAGCTTCTGCACAGCAATACAATCTAGAAAGTGATGAGATAACCCACAGAATGGGAAAAAAATATTTGCAAACTACCAATCTGACAAAGGATTGATAACTAGAATATATAAGGAGCTCAAAAACATTGTAGGAAACAATCTAATAATCCAATTTAAAAATGGGCAAAATATTTGAATAGACATTTCTCAAAAGAACACATACAAATGACAAAGAGGTATGTGAAAAGGTGCTCAACATCATTGATCATCAGTTAAATACAAATCATGCTTACAATGAGATATCATCTCATCCCAGTTAAAATTGCTTTTATCCAGAAGTCAGGTAATAATAAATTCTGGCAAGGATGTGGAGAACAGTTTCCCACTGTTGGTGGGAATGTAATTTAGTACAACTACTATGGAGAACAGTTTAGAAGTTTTTCAAAAAACTCAAAATAGAGTTACTGTAGGATCCAGCAATCTCACTGCTGGGTATATATCCAAGAAAAAAGAAATTAGTATACTGAAGAGATATCTGCATTCCCGTGTTTATTGCAGCACTAATCACAATAGCCAATTTTTAAAGCACTCTAAATGTGCCTCAACAGATGAATGGATAAAGAAAATTTCTTACCCATAGAAATGAATGAGATCCTGTCATTTGCAACAACATGGATGAAACTGGAGGCTATTATGGTAAGTGAAATAAACAAGGCACAGAAAGACAGCATCACATGTTCTCACTTATTTGTGTGAGCTAAAAATTAAAACAATTGAATTCATGGAGACAGAGAATAAAAGAATAATTTGCAGAGGTTGGGAAGGGGAATGGGGCATGGCAGGGAAGTGGGGACTCTTAATGGGTACAAATAAATAGTTAGAAGAGTGAATAGGACACAGTATTTGCTACCCAAAGAGGGTGACTGTAGAAAAAATATTTTAATTATGTATTTAAAAATAAGTAAAATAACATAATTGAGTTATTTGTAACACAAACAATAAATGCTTGAGGTGATGAATACCTTATTTACCCTAATGTGATGATTACACATAGCATGTTTGTTTCAAAATATCTCATGTAACCCATAAATATGTACACATACTATGAACCCACATAATTTAAAAATAAAAAAGCAGAGCATAAAAATTTGGCAAATTTATGACCTGCCAATTTTTTTAGAGAAGAAATGTTATTTTCAGGAGAGAAATATAAGGGTACTGATAGAGACCACTTGCTAAAGAGATTGGCACGGATAAAAGGGAGCCAGAGGCCAACAGTAAAGGTAATGAAAAAGGGCCCAAAGGCATTTCAAAGATGATTAAGGTCTCTGCTCCCATCACAGACCCCAAGGCTCAGAGAGAGAGAATGATTTTGGTTGATAGGCCTGTGAAACCACTGCCCTGGGCCAACCAAAAACATCGTTCCCCCTATTCCAGCTGCAGATGAAGCTCAAATACACCCAGGTGTTGTTAGGGTAGTCACTCTGAAGAGCGGAATTGTTAGCCTTGGTGGCTTCCATGTGGTGTTAATTCTTCAGGCTTCCAGAATGTAAGAGCCACGAAGGGTTGGTGGTTTCCACCAAGATTTCAGAGAATGTGTCAGAAAGCCTGGGAGCCCTGATGGAACCCTGCCAAAGTGTTGGGGCTGCCACAGATTATACCCACTTGAGCAATGCTTAGTGGAGCTACAGGGGTGAGGCCACTGCTCTACAGTCCCCAGAATTTTAGAGTCACTGGTAGTGTGCACCCTCAGCCTGGAAAATCCTGGGGACTCCATTCCTTGCACCACTGTGCCTCAGATGCAGAATATGTAGTAAAAGGAGATTATTTGGGAGCTTTAAGATTTAATATCTACATTGCTGAATTTAAAACTTGTGTAAGGCCTGTCATTCTTTTATTTTGGTGGATTTTTTTCTTTTAGAATTGAAATGATTGTTCAATGTCTGCATAACCATTGAATCTTGCAAGTAAATAACTTGTTTTGTTTTGTTTTACAGGATTATAGCTGGAAATAACTTACCTTGAGTCTCAGATGAGACTTTTTACTTTGGATTTTTGAGTTGATGTGAAGACTTTTTGGACAATTTGCATGAAATGGTTACATGCTGCATGTGAGAAAATGTAAGTTTTAGAGAGCCAGGGGTGGAATGCCATGGTTTGAATATGGTTTGATTGTCCCCACCAAAACTCATATTGAAATTTGATCCCCAGTGTTACAGTGTTGGAAGGTAGGTCCTAGTGGGAGATGTTTTGTTCAAGGGGGTGGATATGTCACTAGGGGTTTGGGACCTTTCTCACAATAATGAGTTCTTGCTCTTGTAAGAGTTGATGGGTTCCCAGGGAAATGTATTAGTTCTCAACAGAGTAAGTTGTTATAAAGCCAGGATACCCCTCATGTTTGGTCCCATTTCACATGCACCTATTTTCTCTTTGACATTCTCTGCTTTATTTTTTATTTATTTATTTATTTATTTATTTATTTATTTATTTATTTATTTTGAGACGGAATCTCACTCTGTCACCTAGGCTGCAGTTCAGTGGCGCGATCTCGGTTCACTGCAAGCTCCGCCTCCCAGGTTCATGCCATTCTCCTGCCTCAGCCTCCAGAGTAGCTGGGACTACAGGCACCCACCACCACACCCGGCTAATTTTTTGTATTTTTAGTAGAGATGGGGTTTCACTGTGTTAGCAAGAGTGGTCTCCATCTCCTGACTTTGCGATCCACCCACCTTGGCCTCCCAAAGTGCTGGGATTACAGGTGTGAGCCACCGTGCCCGGCCCTCCGCTTTATTTTGATACAGCACAAAAGCCCTCTTTGGAAACTGAGCAAATGCTGGTGCCATGTTTCTGGTACAGACTAAAGAACTGGGAGCTAAATAAACCTCTCTTCTCTATGAATAACTCAGTTTCAGGTATTCCTCTGTAGCAACAAAAAACAGACACAGACACAGTCTATCATAATACACTCTCCGGCTACCACAATCTACATATTTCTTAAAGGCAAATTACACTAATTCTCACAGTCTTATCCAATTGTGGCATAAACTCAAAGTCAAGGATCTCATTATCAGCATTATGTTGAAAAGCAGAAATACCTCAAGCATACGATTGTTCTAAAAACTCTTGAACTAAAATAAGTTCTCTGTCTTTAGACCCCAAACTTACCATTGTTACATGGGGCTTAAATAGCTATCATAGTTACTACCATTGAAAAGGTGCAGAAAGAAAGGCACCTTGGAACACTGGTTCATTAAAAACTGTGCTAGAAACATGTAATGGCTTGCCACTGCTTAGGAGAGAGAAGATGTTCCTTGAATAGTTTTTAATTATGCTTTTGGGAATAGTTCTATAATCTGTTTTTCTTAGTGGCATTTGGCTCCACCTTCTAAGTCTTCCATATTTTTCATAAAATATGTCTTATGTTTGCTATTGAATAATTCCCTTATCCCACTGACTGCCAATAGAAAAATGATAGCCAGAAGCTTCTTTTCATTATGAATAATCTATATGACTATTAGCCCAGGCTGCTTTTGTAAATATAATTAAAAATTAAAATACTTTGTGGTTTTTAGTGAAACTTATTTGAAACCTTTTCATACCACATTCATAATTGTTTCTTAGATGTACCTTTCTCTTCTGTGGGAGTGTCAGGCTGCTGTAAGCCAACATTAAAAAAAAATCTTAATAGTCATTTTATCTAGTGGAGGGGATCTTCTAGGAATGAATTTAAAGATTTTTGAGGTATTTACAAAGGTTTTACAGTTGCAACTTTTATTTTATCTTGATCCTTAGACTATGATTCACTGGCTTTACTATGGTCTTTGCCCTTTAGTGTTTTTTACTTTCAAAACATTTTGTCAACTGAAGAGACTGTCCTGGGTCCCAATTTTTCTTGAAAATACTTTTCCTACTTACCTTTCTTTTGCAATTCCTTATCATAGTCTTCTAAAGTATGTTATTTGATATTTCCAAACATTCTGCCCAGAGTTCTTCTCTAGCCAGATTCCCAAATTTATTAGGTACCTTAACTCTCTTCCATAGTACCTCATCTCTCTTCCATAGTACCTCAGGTGACAGTGCTAGCCAACTTTTGCCAATATATAATAGGGTTTACATTTTTTTCCCATCTATCAGTCATGTTTTGTTCACTATTCTTCTGATGTTTACTAACAGTCTCCTCATAACTTTTCCAGCCTCCAGCTAACATTTTATCTCAAAAGCAGAATACATTTTAGCTTTTCATTAAGGGCAACATTCTACCTACAGATATTAATTTCTGTGTCTGGTATCAATTGCAGAATATCAAAGCACCCAACACATGATAGTGTTAAAATACTATGAATATGATTTCTAATGATTTTATGAGTTGTCTTCCCTTTTTTGTGCACTTCTTCAACAACGTGTGTTCTGCTGTCACTCCTGAAGTTACATGAATCAACAAGTTTCGCTGGGGCTGAAACATCCAAGATCATTGATTTTACTGAAAGCATTGGCACCTTAGATGATATGACTGGAAAAGCTGCAGGCAGAATAGTCATTTTTTTCTACATATATTTTCTCCAGTAGGATATCCAGACTTCTGGTCTCCAAAATAACGAAGTTAAAATTGCTTTGCCTCTTAAGGCCTAGGACCAGATAGAGCACAGCATTAATAAATTCTGTCATATTATATTTATAGTAGTAAGACACAAAACCATCTCAAATCCACATGGAAGGGAAATAGACCACCTTTTCAGGAGAAAAGTGGCATGCACTTACAGGAATGGGAAGAATTGTTGAAGGTCACATTTGCATGTGTTCCACCAGAGGTAGTGCATTATTATACTATGAAACACAGAAGAACAATTAATGGGTTAGGACTTTGATGCTGTGGTTTCGGTTACATTAAAAACATCTTGGGTATGTTTAACTATAAAATGTTAACTAGAATTCAATTCACAAGAACTCTCAAATAATGGGTGTTTGTGAGACTTCAATCAATTTGGATAAGGCTAATAGAAAAATATGTTAATTCCAGAAAAAATATAATCCATAGGCTTCAGTTAATAGAGTGGCTAAAAAATACTTTAAAAATAAAAAAATCCATAGGCCACTTTAGAAATAATCCAGATTTAGTACATAAGCCATTTAGTCTTCTACACCTATAACACATAAACCTTACATGCAGTATGAACTGCTTAGTGATGGATGACCCTGCAGGTCTATAGGGTTTTCAAAGAGGCATTTCATTAAGCTCATCTTATATGAGTTTGTATGTGATATAAACAAAGTAGACAGAGGAATTTTAGACAACTATTAAACAACACAAGTTGAAACAAAGTGTTTTTTGCTTAAGTGTCACTTAAGCACAACATTTAAACAATGTCTACCTACTTCTTAGGCATTCTTGTTAATCAGAGTTTTAATATATTTTGTGAACTCCACATTTTAAAATTAGTTTTATTCAAAGTACTTTATGTATTCTGAAATCTCAAATATGAATTAGAGATAAAATAAACCAAATGATTTTAAAGGCGTATTTCTAAAACTTAGAGAGACAAGCTAGATAAAATCATAATTGAATTCAATTGAAGGTAAATTAAATTGATCAGAGCAGAGGAACAATTCTTATATGCTGAAAAGAAGCCTTTATTCAGGATGGAATACTAAAATGAAGTAATCTATTCAAATACCTTGAAATAAGCAACATTTCCCCCATCAAATTTAAACTAATTTACAGTACATCTATCTTTCTCTTGATACTTTTTCAAATATTTAAATAGCATTCAAAGTTGGGAGATAAATTTCTTCATTTCACTTTCAGAATTTGAGAAGAGTTTAACATTTTCTACTCTAATTCTTCATCCTGACATTTAAACATTAATTGATAGAAAAAATATATAAATTATGGAATTTATGTGTTTGTGATAGAATATCACAAATAAGTTGCTAAAGTAAGGAAGTATATATGGCATTCCATGAAGAATTTTTTATATTTTCATTTTATTTTAAAATTATAACTATCACAATATTATGGGTGTAAGAATGCATAGGAAAGAAAAAATAGTGAAATCATAGCTGAATATACAGATATAACAAGTATGTGTCATGCAGTGGAAATAAAATTTTAGTTTCTGAAATTTTCATTGCATGTTAGCTATTTCTAACTTGCAATACATATCTTTCATAGAATCAATACTATAACTGAAGGTAAATATCTCAGATAATGCAATATTTAAAACAAATTCTGCACAAAATTTGCTATCCCACTCCTAGACTTTAAGGATATGTTCACATTCTCCTGATTTTGGTATCCCATTTAAAATGTCATTATTCTGATTTCTGATATTAAGATGTAGAAAGACATCTGTGTCTTACTTGCTCTCAGCCATCACTACATACCATAATGTAAACTTTCATGTTTTTCTCCCCTATATTTTATTCTACTTTTTGTTATTTAATTCATTTATTATATTATAATTTTATACATACACACGTGTGTGTACATATGTGTGTGTGTGTTATGACCTGTGCCTTTTTTCACATCTACCAGTTGCTGTTCTAGAAGTTCTAGTAGAGGAACTAGTCAAAAGGGAACCTATAAGCATAATGGAAATATTATATATCTTGATTTTGGTGATGGTTACAATGGTTACACACAGAATTGTACACCTAAAACCAGTGAATTCTGTGATATGTAAAATATTCCTTAATATAGCTAAATCTAACTTATAACTGGAATTAATTTTTACCATTGTTAAGTTTAATTTTGAATTAATTAAATCTAACATTAATTGTCATTATTAACTAAATAGAAAACTAATGGTAGTTATTTCTTTGGTAATACTAAGAAAGGTGTGAATGTTTTCTACCAGATAATCCAATATGGTTCTCTTATAATGATAATTCAATTATTCTGTATACTTCTCATTATTTTCTGTACCACATTTTAATTATTCACGTTAGTGAAATTAAGTTCAAACACTTTATTATAAACAATGTCAAAATTATTCTTTGATTTAGCTACTTTCAACCATCAAAAAACTTTTCAAATCTTTCCTGACATATATATATGTATATATATATATATGTGTATATATATGTATATATGTATGTGTATATATATGTATATATATGTATGTGTATATATATGTATATATGTATGTCTATATATGTATATATATGTATGTATATATATGTATATATGTGTGTATATATATACAGGTTCTTTATGGTTTTACTATATGTAATAAGGATTAGTTAGTTAAATAATTATAGGAAACTAAGAATGCTTTCTTTACTGAAAGATTACAGCAATCATAATTAAAACAGAATAATGCAGGCAGTACACAATGTGTTTCCTGGCATTAGAAAACACAAGCACAGACTGACTGAATAAAAATTCAGTAGCAATATAAGTTCAACTTGATGGTATTGAGGGTCCCTGCTTCAAATATTGAGATATTTAAATGTAATTGGCCTAGATTTGTGTTATGTGAAAATTTGATTAGCATGCTATATAATTGTGTTTTGATCATTAATAAGATATAGAATCAAATAAAACAGCCATTTGTCTCATAAATCACTTTATCAAGAATTAAATCAATATATTAATAATTACTCTTTGGATACATTTAAATATTTCTTCATCTGCTACCGTAATAGCTCACATTATACTTAGTGGTCCTAAAGACACCTATTCTCATAGGTAACTAGATGTTTAATAATCCAGTTTAGACATTTTACTGGATATTTATCACAAAGTGTACATAGCAATAATTGAGTATTATTTGGAATTAGACAGGTGCTTCAATTCTGTCTGCCATTTATAAGCTCTATAATGCAGGGCAAGGTACTTGTCTGAATAGTTCACCTGTAAAAAGCTGGAATTTATTTCTGCCAGTCTATGCTAATGTGAATGAATTCCCTATCTGTATTAGTGTCTTTTGGTTAGAAGTAAAAGAGGGCCTTGCTATATTGTCAGTAAGTCGTAATTTTAGAAACCATCTTGTTTGTTGAACTTCTCAATTTTTGTATGTAATTTTTCACAGAACCACTCTCCTTCTCCATTGAATGTTCAAAGATTGTCAACAATGCTTCTCTTTATATTCTGAGATATTAATATTTTCAGATATCGTATGTATAATCAATGAGACTTTAATTCACTTGGAATGTGTAATTTCTCACATAGAATCTCTTGAATTACCTCATTTACCTATTCCAATTTTTGCCTCAATGTCTGTTTCACCTTCACTATATTGAAGTTGATCTCCCTTGATAGAGAAAATGGAAGACAATTAAGAGGTGAATAAGTTTTCTTTATAGTTTTCAGCCCTTAATAAATGTGTCCCAAAGAGTGGACTAATATTTTCTTATTATTCTTGTATATACTGGTTTCACATTAAGTTTTATTTTACTGACAAGAAAGAAATGTTGCTAATATTCTTCTTTGCATGAATATATTATTAATAGAACTACTTTTTATTTTTATATATTTAGGGGATACAAGTGCTTTTTCATTATACACACACACGCATACACACGCATGCACACAGACACACACCCACGCGTGCGCGTGCACACACACACACACACACACGTATATAATGTTAATGTGGTGGTCAATCGGGGCTTTTAGTGTAACCATCACTTGAACAGTGTATATTGTATGCATTAAGTAATTTCTCATCCCAAACCATCCTCCCACCCTTCTGAGATTCCAACGTCTATTATTGCACTATGTCCACGGGTACATATTATTTATTTCTCACTTATAAGTGTGAACATGTGGTATTTGGCTTTCTTTTTCTGAGGTATTTCACCAAAGATAATGCCATTAATTCCATACATGTTGCTACAATGTGATATAAATATATATACCTGCATATATATACACATATATGTGCATATATATACACACATGCACATAAATACACACATACATATCATGTTTTCTTTATCCAATCATATATTTACATCACATTTTCTTTGTTCAATCATCAATTGATGGACACTTAGGTTCATTCCATATCTTTGGTATTGTGAATAGTACAGCAATAAATCTACAGTTGGAGTTGGGTTTTTTTTTACATAATAATTAATTTTCCTTTGGACATATATACCCAGTAGTGGGATTGCTGGATCAAATGAGAGATCCATATTTAGTTTTTTTAGAAATCACCATAATGTTTTCCAAAGAAGTTGTACTAGCTTATATTTGGACCAAGAGTGTATAAGTGTTCCCTTTAATCCACATTATTGCCAACATCTGCTATTTTTGTCTTTTTAATATTAGCCATTCTGACTGCTCTAAGATCATATCTCATTGTGGTTTTATTTGCATTTCTCTGATGATTAATGACTTTAAGCATTTTTTTTTCATATCATTGCTGGCCATTTGTCTTCTTTCACAAAACGTCTGTTCAGTTCTATTGTACAATATTTTCCAAATTTTTAATTGTTGTAGGAACATCGTTGGTGTATATATTTATGAGGTACATGAGATGTCTTGATACTGGCATGTAATACATAATAATCATATTATGGAAGACAGAGTGTCCATCCTTTCAAGTATTTATCTTTTGTGTTACAAACAATCCAATTATACTCTTTTAGTTATTTTTAAATGTACAGTTGCATTATTATTGACTATAGTCACTCTATTGTACTATCAATTACTAGGCCTTAGTCATTCATTCTAAGTATTTTTGTACCCATCAAACATTCCCAGCTCTCTCTGAACCCCCACTACACTTCCCAACTTCTGGTAACCATTCCTCTGCTCTCTATATACATGGGTTCAATTGTTTTTATTTTTAGATTCCAAAAATAAGTGAGAACTTACGTGGTTTGCTTTGTGTCCGTCGCTTATTTCACTCAACTTAATAACCTCCAGTTCCATCCATTTTGTTGCAAATAACTGAATCTCATTCTTTTTATGATTGAAGAGTACTCCATTGTGTATATGTACCACATTTTTTATCCTTACATCTGTTAAGGGACATTTAGGTTGCTTCCAAATCTTGGCTATTGTGAATAGAGCTGTAAAAAACATGGGAGTACAGATATCTCTTCAATATATTGATTTCCTTTCTTTCAGGTATATACTCAGTTTTGAAATTTCTGGATCTTATGGTAGCTCTATAGAGCTACCAAATTGTTCTCCATAGTGGTTGTACTAATTTACATTCCCACCAACAGTGTATGAGAGTTCCCTTTTCTTCACATCTTTGTCAACATTTGTTGTTGCCTGTTAATTGGATATAAGCCATTTTTACTGGGGTGAGATGATATGTCTTGTAGTTTTGATTTGCATTTCTCTGATGATCAATAATGCTGACCACTGTTTTATTTGCCTGTTTGGCATTTTTATGTGTTCTTCTGAGAAATGTCTATTCCTAGTCTTTGCCCATTTTTGATTGGATTATATGATTTTTTGCTATATAGTTGTTTGAGCTCCTTATGTATTCTGGTTATTAATCCATTGCCAGATGGTTAGTTTGCAAATATTTTCTCCCATTCTGTGAGTTGTCTTTTCACTTCGTTGATTGTTTCCCTTGCTGTGCAGAAGCTTCTTAACTTGACATGATCCTGTTTGTCCATGTTTGCTTTGGCTGTCTGTGCTTGTAGTGTGTTACTCAGGAAGTCTTTGTGCAGAACAATGTTATGGAGAGGTTTTCAGGTTTTTTTGTAGTAATTTCATAGTTTGAGACATTATGTATTTAATATATTTTTATTTGATTTTCATATATG
The DNA here is from genome assembly GCF_000001405.40 of Homo sapiens. NCBI lineage: Eukaryota > Metazoa > Chordata > Mammalia > Primates > Hominidae > Homo > Homo sapiens. Next base: position 128,008,493 of record NC_000023.11, read on the forward strand.
GTGAGAAGTAGGGGTCTAGTTTTATTTTTCTGCACATGAATATAGATTTCCTAGCACCAGTTATTGTGAAAAGACTGTCTGTTCCCCAGTATACACTCTTAGCACCTTTGTCTAAAATGAGTTCACTGTAGGGATGTGGATTTTTTTTTTTGAGTTCTCTATTCTATTCTATTGGTCTATGCGCCTGTTTTTATGGCAGTACCAGTGTGTTCACTGTGTTTCAGGGTTCTCTATGCTGCTACATTTGTCTATGTGTCTGTTTTTATGCCAGTATCATGCTGCTTTGTTTACTATAGCTCCGTGGCATAATTTGAAGTCAGGTAATGTGATTCTTCAAGTTTTGTTCTTTTTGCTTAGGGTAGCTTTAGCTATTTTGAGTCTTTTGTGGCCCCTTGTAAATTTTGGGATTATTTTTTCCATTCTGTGAATAATTTTATTGGTATTTCAATAGGAATTGAACTGAAATTGTAGATTGCTTTAGGTGATATGGACATTTTGACAATATTGATTGTTTCAAATGCATGAACATATTTTTTTTTACTTTTTTGTGTCCTCTTTAATTTCTTTCATCAGTGTTTTATAGCTTTACTTCTAGAGATCTTTCACTTCTTTAAGTTAATTTCTATGTATTTAATTTTATGTATGGCTGTTATAAATAAGATTAATTTTTTTATTGTTTTTCAGATTGTACACTGTTGTCATATAGAAATGCTATAGATATTTGTATAGTTACAGATATTGTTTCTTAGATATAATGCTATCATATACACAATAATGTACAGTATAGTGTTAACATAGCTTTTATATTCACTGAGAAACCAAAAACTTTGTTTGACTCACTTTATTGTGATATTTACTTTAATGCGGTGGTCTGGAACTGAATCCACAATATCTCTGGAGATTTGTCTGTACTGATAAGTCTTATAATGTCAATAAAACAGAGTATGGGAAGATTACGCAAGCATGGTTTGTAAAGAACATCATTATACATTTAGTTTTTCAGTAAGACTTCTCTGGATGAGTCGATCTTTGAGCTGAGATGAGAATTATAAGGAGAGAAATGTATTAAAAAAAAGATATTCAAAAATGGTGCTCCAAGCAGAAGAAATAGGAATAATGAAGTCCTCAAAACAAAAATAAGTTAATATGAGTAACAGAAAAAAACAAGACCAGCGTCCTAGAGTTCACTTAGATAGTTATTAAGTTTGAGATACCTACCACACATCCACTGTGGAGACATATATTAGACAGTTGCATATACAAGAATGAAGGCTCTGAGTATGTCCAAAGATAAGGGCTAAACCAGAAGTTTTGACTTTATTTAGAACAAAAAACACTTCTTTCCATCATAAAAAGACAGTAGGGAGTATACATGAGTATAGATACTGGTAAGTTTATGAGATTTAAGGCAACAAAATAAAGTATTTCTCTGATTGCATAGTTTATTTATGATGTGTGTATGGAGGTTATTAGCTAAGGTAGAAGTAAAAATTGTAGGAGACATAAGTTATTAACTGGACATCTTACACAGTGGAAAAGTGAATATAGTAGGAAAATATGATGGAATTGTCTGGCAAAATCCTATAGTCATTGATAACTTTTGATTCTATATTTAAAGTGAGTTTACTTAGAACAATCATAATTTTCTCTGTCAATATTCAGGTTCATATTAAATGAAGGAATATTATGCCAGAAATAATATGGATGAGTATAGACTGTTTTCCACAGAAAAGTATATGCACCAGATGGTGGAAGAAAATGAATTCTTAATCCACCTCAGTATACATGTTTTTCCAAGTGTTATAAAAATTTTCCAAACCTTACTGGCTAAATATTATGCCCAATAACTCACAAGATGATACATTTTCTAACTTCAACTCTTGGTGGATTAATGTTCAAAAGCCTCTTATTTGGACTCTATTATCCACTAATCTTTTTAAGCCTTACACATGCATGAGAATAAATTTCAACTATGTATTTTATTGCCCTGGTGAGAATGGAAGAGAAAAGTAAGAAGGGCTAATTTAGCCTACTTTACTTAAAATATTGCCTTTTAGAAAAGATAAAGAGTAATTGAAAACTGAAAGCTTTGAAAAGCTTCACTAAATTCAGAAGATGTTTTCAATGGAAAAAGGTTGTAATGTCAATATTGTACTAAATAGATTACCCATCTGTGGTGAGAAGCAAAAGAGTATATTATTTGTGACTCAGAGATACGTTAATTGATATTAGACCCTTACAATAGTAAGTATTTCTGGGTTTGTGCCACTACTGGAATTAGTTTGAGAATCTGTAAGGTAGATATGGCTACTTCAACAACCCCCACATCTCAGTGGGTTGGCACAATGAAGGCTTTTACTCACTTATGAAAGTTAGCATAGATCCAGGAACCTGTACCAAACACCTGCCCTCTGTCTAGGGATTCAGTAATTTTGGATGTGGAAGGCTTTAAAACACTCTGTAGTTGCACTATGTGATATATACAGCTTTCTTGGTTAGAGAGGCATTAAAAAAGATAACATGAGGAAAAGTATTCGATCTTGAGTTATCCCACACAAAAGTGAGGTATACAAAGGCTTCAAGATGGGTAACTAGAGGCATCTTATACTTGCCTCCTCCCAAATAAAGAACCAAAATAGTAAGAAGATCATCCCAGGGAGAACACTGGAATTCAATAGAGAAGTGACAGGAAACACCTAAACCAAAGAAGAAGCAGAAAGTGAGGTAGCTTGCTTAGCCAGGCTTTACATGGAGCTGGGAGTACCTCCCAAATGAAGAGAAGATGTGAGAGACCCCACGAAGCCCACCGTTCCCACCATGGACTGCTGTGATCCTAGCCATAAGAGAGGCTCTCAACACTCATGGACCTTGAAACTAACATAAGAAGATGCTGGGACATTGTAAAAGGGGAGTGTTCCAGGGGAAAGTGCACACTGAATCCCACACACTCCCAGACCTAAGCATCTTGAACAACATGCCATTTTAGAGCATAGCCCCCAGTAATTTGAAAATCATCATGGGGCCCAGTGGTTCAGGGTCTGAGGCATGAAAAAAGCATAAACTACCATTGCCAAGGCTGAAGGGTGAGGAGCAAGTTACACACAGCAGGGCTGAGGCCTGGGAGCCACCAGAGCTGAGGAGCAAGCAGGGCCCATGTTTTCCTAGGTTTTCATTACTGAAAGTGTCCTCACCATCCCCAGTTGAAGGGCCACGGTGAGGCTGCTGTAGTCCTTCACTAAAGCATTTCACTGGGGGCTGGGAATCACTGTTTCTGACTACTACAACTGATGCTTGCACACACCATCATGAGACCTGAGGACTAACTGCCTGGACTGTCTTTGTACCCCTTCCCTTGCCAAAGCACACAGTCTAGGGACCTTGGTATTGACCAGCCCAGAATACAACCATTGACACCTGAGCACTCCTCCTAGGAGGCTGAGGTTAGGCCTACTCACACTGCTGTTATCACCACAGCTGGCGCCTACACGAATGTGCCACTTTCAGGCTCAGAGACTGGCCCATCCAGTCTCACATTATTAACACCAGCACACATCATGTGAGACTCAGAGTTTTCATGTCATTGCTACTGTCATTACACATGTTATGCTGTCATCCCTGGGGCCCAAGAACCCAACAACCTGCTTGGCTCAACACTACCACTACCAGCAGATCACCTGGAAGGCCAAGAATTGACAAACGTAGAATTGCTTCTGAATTGCTGACTGGTTCTTTTTTAATTTCATTTGGTGAGTTCATGTTTTCCTGGATGTTCTTGATGCTTGTGAATGCTCATAAGTTTCTGGGCATTAAAGAATTATGTATTTAATGTATCCTGGCTTTATCTTTTATTTTCTAGGTTGTGCAATTTAAACAATAGTTGTACAGCAAAAATAGAAGATTTGGATAAAGTGTACATGTGTATTTATATATTTATCTATATCTACACACACATACCTTTATATATTAACATACCCATTTATTTGAAGATATGTAAAAGCTAAGAAGACAAAAATGTTTTTTGTCATCAGGATCTAGGAAAAAGAAACCTGAGATGTCACCCTGGAATTTGGTCCACTAGGATAATCTGCTAACTGCACAACACATCTTTATAGCTGTAACTATAGAGAGAGATTATAAAGGACTCAGGGCAATGGGCAACAAATGGAAGTTAAGGGATAGTTGAAGAATAAATACATTTAAAAAGCACAACCCTTCCCATGTCTTGAAATCTTATTAAAATCATTCTGTTTAATTGTGTATAATTATATCATAATTTAGAACACCAAATTATATCTACAACTTCTTTGTTCAACATCCACTTCACAATAAAAAGCATTAAAACATGTCAGGAAAGAAGATGGTATGATCAAATCTAAGAGATTGCTGAAGAAAATTAAAACAGATTCAAATACTATTGTAAATGTATTGCAACTACAGGATATAATTAACAAGATAAGGAGAAAACTGGGAGATTTACAGAGAAAAATTTAACCTTTTTAAAAGGACAAATTGGGAATTACAGAAATAAACATAAAATATTTGGAATAAAACATTTATTATATAGACTTAACAGCATACAGAACACCATAGAAGAAGCAGTTCTTTAACTTAATAACTGGATAGTATAGACAACATTGAAACTAAATCACAGGGGAATAAAGAAGAGAAATGAAATGTACAGGTGATACCAGTATGAGTAATATCAAATAATTTAATACTGTATATGCATAAATAGATTATCAGCAGGAAAGGGGAGCAGCAATAAAAAAGTTTGAAGACAAATGTTTGAAGACATGATAGCTATGTTTTTTCTACAATTGGAGGGACACAACATGCAAATGTATAAAGCTCAGCAATTCAAAGAATAATAAATATGGTGAAGACAATACCTAGGTATAGCATTGTCAAACTGCAGAAACTAAAGATGAAAGAAAATCTTAATGAAATACAAACAACACTGGATGCAGGGAATTAATAATAAAAAACATTGTTAAGTTCTTGTGAGAGAGAATAACAACCAGAAGAAAGTATAACATAAATTTTATAAATGTTCAAGTAGGTCAGAGTGGAGGGAGTATCAGCTAAGAATTCAATATCCAGGAAAAGTACTCTTGAAAATTAAAAAAATAAAGACATACAAATAAAACCCGAGAGAACTAATTCCTAAATTGTCGCAACTAAAAGATAATTATGAAAGGCAGTCTTCAGTTTGTAAGAAAATGATCCACATATTAACTTGTATCTAGAACAATTAATAAAGAGAACTGGAAATGTTATTTATGTGAGTAAATATAAAATAATATCTAAATGACATTTAAAGTGTTGTGAATATGAAACAAAGAATATTGTGGAGATTACAACTTGCATATTTGGATATAAATATAACTATGGTACATTTTTAGTAAGAGCAAGAAATACTATAGTTATCTAAGTTTCTTACATTGAATGCTATATTAGTCTGTTCCATGCTACTGATAAAGACATACCTGAGACTGAGTAATTTATAAAGAAAAGACATTTAATTGACTCACAGTTCCACATGGCTGAGGCAGCCTCACAATCATGGCAGAAGGTGAAGAAAGAGGAAAGTCACATCTTACATGGCAGCAGGCAAGAGAGCATATGCAGGGGAACTCCCCTTTATAAATCCGTCAGATCTTGTGAGACTTATTCACTATCACAAGAACAGCATGGGAAAGACCCACCCCCATGATCCAATAGCCTACCACCAGGTTCCTTCCATGATATGTGGGGATTGTGGGAGCTATGATTCAAGGTGAGATTTGGGTGGGGACATAGCCCAACCCTATTATTCTGCTCCAACCCCTCCCAAATCTCATGTCTTCACATTTCAAACCCAATCATGCCTTCCCAACAGTTCCCCGGAGTCTTAACTCATTTCAGCATAAACTCAAAAGTCCATAGTCCAAAGTCTCATCTGAAACAAGACAAGTCCCTTCTACTTATAAGCCTGTAAAATCAGAAGCAAGTTAGTTACTTCCTAGATAAAATGGAGGTACAGGCATTGGGTAAATACAGGCATTCCAAATGGTAGAAATTGGCTAAAACAATGGGGCCATAGTCCCCATTCAAGTCCAAAATCCAGTGGGGCAGTCAAATATTAAAGCTAGCTCAAAAGGAACTAATTTGACTTCATGTGTCACATTCAAGTCATGCTGATGCAAGATATGGGTTCCCATGATTTGGGGCAGCTGTGCCCTGTGGCTTTTCAGGTACAGCCCCCTTCCTTGCTGCTTTCACCAGCCAGTGTTGAATGTTTGCAGCTTTTCCAGGTGCATGGTGCAAGCTTTCGGTGGATCCACTATTCTGTGGTCTGGAGTATAGTGGCCCTCTTCTCACAGGTCCACTAAGTGGGGCCCCCGTGGAGCCTCTGCATAGGGGCTCCAACCCCACACTGCCCTAGCAGAGGTTCTCTATGAGGGTCTTGCACCTGCAGCAAACTTCTGCCTGGACATACAGGCATTTACATACATCCTTTGAAATCTAGGTGGAGGTTCCTAAACCTCAATTCTTGACTTCTGTCCACCCACAGGCTCAACACCACGTGAAAACTGCCAAGGCTTGGGGCTTGTACCCTCTGAAGCCATGGCCCGAGCTGTACCTTGGCTTTTTAGCCATGGCTGGAGCAACTGAGATGCAGGGTACCCAGTCCTGAGACTGCATAGAGCAGGGACCCTGGGCCTGGCCCATGAAACCATTTTTCCTCCTAGGCCTCCAGTCCTGTGATGGGAGGAACTGGCACACAGGTCTCTGACATGCCCTGGAGACATTTTTATCATTGTCTTGGAGATTAACACTTGGCTCCTCGTTATTTATGCAAATTTCTGCAGCCAGCTTGAATTTCTCCTTGAAAAATGAGTTTTCCTTTTCTATCACATTGTCAGGCTGCAAATTTTCCAAACTTTTATGCTCTGCTTCCCTTTTAAATATAAGTTCCAATTCCAAACTGTATCTTCCTAAATATATAAGACTGAATGCTTTTAAAAGCACTCTAGTCACCTCTTGAATGATCTGCTCCTTAAAAATTTCTTCTGCCAAATGCCTGAAATCATCTCTCTCATGTTCACAGTTCCACAAATCTCTAGGGCAGGGGCAAAATGCCACCAGTCTCTGCTAACAACAGTCACCTTTGCTCCAGTTCCCAACAAGTTCCTCATTTCTATCTGAGACCACCTCACCCTGGACTTCATTGTTCATATCACTATCAGCATTTTGGTCAAAGCCATTCAACACTTGTCTAGGAAGTTCCAAACTTTCCCACATTTTCTATCTTCTTCTGAGCCTGCCTAACTGTTCCAACCTCTGTCTGTTACCCAGTTCCAAAGTCATTTTCACATTTTCTGGTATCTTTACAGCAGCCCCCTACTACCTTTTACCAATTTACTGTGTTAGTCTGTTCTCACATTGCTAATAAAGACATACCCGAGACTGGGTAATTTGTAAAGGAAAGAGGTTTAATTGACTCACAGTTCTACATGGCTTGGGAGGCCTCACAATCATAGCAGAAGGTGAAGGAAGAGCAAACTCACGTCTTACATGGCAGCAGGCAAGAGAGCATGTGCAGGGGAACTCCCCTGTATACAATTATCATATCTCATGAGACTTATTCACTATAAGAACAGCACGGGAAATACTCACCCATCTGATTCAATTACCTCCCACCGGTTCCCTACAATTCAAGATGAGATTTGGGTGTGGATACAGCCAACCCATATCAAATGTAAAATTGAATAATATTAATTAATGACATATTTTAAGTTAGGGCTAAGGGTGTATATTTTAAACCATAGGGCCACCAGTAAAAATAAAGAGTTGAAAATAAAAAAAGCAATTGAGTAAATAAAATGGAATATCAAATCTTAATTATTGAGAATAACAGGAACCAGATCTTTCAGTCTTGCCTTAAACAGCTAAAACACAGGGTAAACTATAAAACACAATCATTTTCAGATCTTGAAGAATAGGCAACTCAAGATAGTGATTCCTGGATGAAGGAAAAGAAACAAGGTAAATGCTACAATTAGCATAGCTTATTGCTTGAAGAGAGTTTCAAAGCCAAATTGCAAATAGGGAAAACACAGAAGGGTTCAGCACTCTCACTGAAGTGAAAAGACATTTGTGAGTCTGGGGAGGTCAAAGTAGCTAAAATTTTGGTTTGGAGTACTGAAGAGTAGAAAGCTATCCACAGAAGAAGCTTAGGAGATCTGCAGAAGGTTCATTTCAGGTCTTCAGCTAAGTACTAATCATGTGAGTAAATTACCTTAGGTCAGAGAAAGAACCACTGAAAACGCTCAGGCAAAAAATTGGCAGAGCTTTCTGTGTGACAGATTGATTGTGTTCCATTAAAGTGGAATAGTTTCCTGGGTTTAGTCCTCAGAAGGGTATCACATCACTAGTGTGGTCAAAGGAAACCTAAAGTAAGTGCTTTCCTGAGACTTCCCTAAAAAATCATAAAAAGAAGCCACAAAAGCATAAAAATGATTACAAAAAACCTTAATTGCATCCTGGCCTGGGAAGGGCAATTGTATTAACAAGGGTGCAATAAAATTCAGTACTGTAAGCTTGGAAGCTGAGGTGGAAGAATTGCTTGAGCCCTAGAGATTGAGGCCAGCTTGAGCAACATAGCTAGATTTTATCTCTTAAAAAAAGTCAGCACTAAAATTTGTATAAAACATACAGTTGATTTCTAGGGATTAACAAAAAGGCAGCATCTGAAAAGGAATGCAGTTAGCTGGATGGGATTTACACAGATCAGGTCTTGTAGAACTAAATATTTGTGAACTTGAAGAAAGCTATCCAGAATGAAACAGAAAGAAAAAAAAGACGAGAAATAAATACATACAGCATCTGTGAGATATGAGCCAATTTCAAAGAGCATTACGTTTGTAATAGTAATTTCAGAAAAAAATCATTAGATAAAAATGTTTGTGAGAAGAAGAAAAACATTTCCAGATTTGATAAAAACTAAAACCTACAGAGCCAAGAACTCAACAAAATGCAAGCATAATGAACATAAAGAAAACCATATCAAAGCAAACAATAATCAAGTTGCTGAAGAATGGTAATAAAAATAAAATCTCAAAAGCAATCAGAGTAGAAAAGTTGCATTATGTATAGAATAGTAAATACAATAATGGCAGTTGACTTCCTGTAAGAGTAAGATGTAATCCAGTGGACAACACAGTGACGTGTCTAAAGTACTGAAATAAAAAAAAAAAATTATCAACACAGAATTTTATACCTTGAAAATATATGTCAAAAATAGAGACTTAATTATTTTTCAGGCATATCAAGGTTGAGAGAATTTATGGGCAGGCCATCGATTGTACAAGAGTTTTCAGGCAGACTAAAAATAATACCAAATGGAAATTTGGATGAACACAAATAAACGAAGGGCTTTGGAAATTGGAAATATGTAAAGGAATATAAAAAGTTTGTTCTTAACTTTTGAATCTCTTGAGAAGGTATACACTGTTTAAAGCAAAAATATTGTGTTTTGGAGTTTATTGTATTGTATACTTCAAAGTACCACAAGGCAAAAATACTGCATAGGTAGGAGGAGAAATAGAAATATATATGGTAATGTTCTTACAGTACCCATGAAGTGATGTAATAGCATTTTAAACTAGGCTGAAATAAGTCAAAAGTGTATTTTTAAACTCCAGAAAAATCATTTACAAAAAAAACTGTTATATGTAAAGTTAGTAATAGATAAAAATAACATAATAAATTAATCTTAAAGAATAGTGCCACAAATATATGGTCAATTTTAACTAGTGTTGATAATTAAAATATATACAATTAAACTGTAGAGACTGTCAGATTGGCTATACAATTGGTATTCAATTTTTTGCTAATTATAATAAATATATTTTAAATAGGAAGACACAGACAGGTAAAACATAAAAATACCATGTATGATAGCACTATTAAAAGAAATTTGGAGTAAGTATATTCAAATCAGGTGACATAGATGTCAGAGTTGGCTATATAACAAGAGACAGAGAAAGTCATTTCATAATGATAAATGGGCTAATTAATTGAGAGTGCAAAAAAATGTTACGTCTATGCACCTAATAACGAAGTTTCAATATTCATAAAGCAAACATTAATAGAACTGAAAAAATGAACAAATCTAGAGGAATAGAGATTGCAACATCCCTCTCTAACCTAATTGATAGTAATATTAGACATAAAATCAGTAAATATATAGTTGACTTAAAAACTGTTACCAAATAAGTTAGCCTATATATGATTTTGTATAAAGGTCTTATCCCAAAAAGGCAGAATACAATTTTTTTTTTAAGCACAAATGCAACATTATCCAACATAAGCTATGTTTGGAGTCATAAAACATGCCTCAATAAATTTGCAGGAATTGAAATTATGTGACATAAAGTCTCTGTCCACACGAAAATAAATTAGAAATTAACAACAGCGTGTTATGAAGAAATCCATGTGTTTAGAAATTGAACACACCTCTAAATAATCCATGGGTGGAAAAGGAAATCACAAGGGAAGCTAGGGATATTTTCAACTGAATAAAAATAAAATCCCAACATCTAAAAATTTGTAGGATGCTGCCCCAAAGTCCGTAGAGAAAAATTTACAATGTCAAACACATATATTTAAATAAAATGTCTCAAGTGAGTGATGTAGGCTTCCACCTTAAGAAAACTAGCAAAAGAAAAACAACTGAATTCTAAAGTTAACAAATGGAAATAAATAATACCAATAATAGCAGAAATCAGTGACATGGAAAACATAATGCACTAGGCAAAATCGATGAAAACAACAGCATATGATTTGAGAAGATCAAGAAAATCAGCCAACTATCCATAGTAGTCTTGGAAAAACAGTCTGAGGGACAAAAGGGGAAAGGTATATATTACCCATATGAAGAAAGAAAAAGTAAGTGTCAGCATATATATTAAAGGTATAAAAACGGAATATTATTTTATGTCAATAAATTTACCAACATAGATAAAATAAAAATTCCTCAAAAGATCAAAAATGCCAATGCCCACTAAGAAGAAATAGATAAAATAAATAGCCATACATATATTTAAAAATTTGAATTTACAGTTAAAAAAAACCTTCTCAGAAAGGAAAAATGGAGGCCTAGTTGACTTGACTTGTAAAATATGTGTGCTAAACATTTGAAAGATAAATAATACACATTTTATGTAAAGTCAACCAGAATATAGGAGAGGTGACAATTCCCAACTCATTCCATAGAACTATTACCATTATATCAAAGGGGAAAAAAGACATGAAAGAAAACTGCAACCAGTCATGAACATGGATGCAATTTCTTAACAATACACTTGGAATTTGAATTAGCTATATATGAAGGAAAACACGTTATAACCAAGTTGGGTTTATTCCCAGAATGCAAGTTGGTTTTAGGTTTAAAGTTTCAACCAAAGCAAAACAGCATATAAACTAAAAAGTAAAATTATGATATTATTTCAAATGATGCAGAAAAGCATTGCAAATAATAATATTTACTCACAATAAAAAACTCTCAGCAGTCTAGAAATATAATAAAATCTATTTAAACTGACAAAGGGCATCTGTGAAAAGCTACAACTAGGATGAGATTTAATATCAAAACATTGAACAAATTCTACCTAAGATAAAAAGCAAGACAAAGACGTCTGCTGTCACCATTTCTATTCAGCATTGTTTTGGAGATTCTGGCCAGTGCAAAAGGCAAGAAGAAAAATGCATAAGATTATAAGGAGAAAGAATTATATTGCCTTTATTTTCAGATGACACAATTGTATACGCAAAAATTCTGAAAACTAAAATTTACAAAACAAAAACTCTAGAACTAGAAACTGAGATATGCACGATCATAGGATAGAGGATCAATATACAAAATCGATTTACTTTTATATGCTATTGGTGAATGATAAGAAATTGAAATTTAAAATTCAAAAATATTGTTTATATTACTATAAAAGTCTATGGAATACTTAGTAATATATTTAAAATATTTGTATGGTTTGTAGACTGAAAAACACAAAGCATTGTTGAGATAAATTAAGTATTTGGAGAGACAAAAACTAAAAGAAAACCAAACTCTGTAAAGTATTTCAAAGAAGTTTATTCTGAGCCAATATGAGTGACCATGGTCCAGGGAGAAAACAAACCCAAAAAGCCTAGAGTAGTGGTCTTGAAGTGGTCAGACTGCAATTCTGTTTTATACATTCTAGGGAAGGGAAGCAGAAGTTACAGACAAAGTCATAAATCCATACATGGAGGTTATATATAGGTGAGTTCACAGATTTCTTAATTCACAATTGGTTAAAGGAACAAAGCTTTGTCTAAAAACTTGAAGTCAGCAGACAGGAATGTTTGAGTAAAGATAAGGAAATCTATTAGTCATCCTATGATATTATGCCAGAGTCAAGTTGTGAAAGCAAAACAGTAAAATGAGTCAGAGTGGCCTCTAGGGGATACCTGACTACACACGTGCCTGGTATGACCCTAGGTCCTGTTTATAATTTGGTATCCTGTTTCCACGAAGAACCTGTTCTGTTCTATCAGTCTTATGATCTTTATTTTAACATTAATGCTGAGCAGTTGTTGTGTCTGAACTGCAAAAGGTAGGGGGTATAATATATATCTAACTTCCTGTCCCATCATAGCCAGGAACTCAATTTTAAGGTTTTTCTGGGGTCCTCTTGGCAAAGAGGGGATTGTGCAAAAGCAATTCTACAAGGGCAATTTACAGCAATAAATGCCTATATCTATAAAGTAGAAAGATCTCAGATGAAAAATACAACATTGCACCTCAATAAACTTGATAAAAAGAACACAGAAAACCAAAAAGTAGTAGATGGAAAGATATAATAAAGATCAGAGCAGCAAAAAATAAAATGGAAATAAAAAACAATAACAACATCAAAAAAGATCAATGAAATGAAGATTTTTTTTTTGAAAAGAAAATCAACATTGACAAACTTTTACTTTACTAACAGAGAAAAAAATGACTCAAATAAAATCAAAGATGAGAAAGAAAATATTACAACTGATACTAGATATAAAAAGATTAGAAGAGAATATTATGATCATTGACAGATATGCCAAAAAATTTTAAAACCTATAATAAATGAATAAGTTACTGAACACATAAAACCTACAAAGAGTGAATCATAATTAAATAGAAACCCAAACAGACCAGTGGCAAGTAACAACATTGAATCAGTAATAACAAGTCTCTCATCAAAGAAAAGCCCAGGTCCTGATGCGTTCACTGCTGAATTCTACAACACATTTAAAAAAACTAACACCATTTCTTCTCAAGCTATGCCAAAAAAAAATAATAATAATGAATAGGAGGAAATTCTTTCTAACTTATTATCTGAGGTCAGCATTACCCTGATATCAAAACCAGACAAGGACACAACAAAAAAAGAGAAAACTACTGGAAAATATTCTTGATAAACAGAAAAACAAAATATTCAACAAAATAATAGCAAACTGAATCCAGCAGTGCATTAAAAATATCATTCATCATATGTGAATTCATCTCAGGGATGAAATAATTGTTCAACATACACTTCATAATACAAACCCTCAACATATTAATTATAGAATAAATATACCTCAAAACAATAAAAGCAATATGTAACAAACCAACAACTAATGTCATACTGAACAGGGTAAAGCTGAAAGCTTTTTCTTTAGTATCTATAATAAGACAAGGGTTCCCACTTTCACCACTGTTATTGAACATAGTTCTGGAAGTCCTAGCCAGAGCAATAAGGCAAGAGAAAGGAATAAGGGGTATCCAAGTTTAAAGGGAGGAAATTAAATTGTCCTTGTTTGCATACAACATGTTGTCATGTATAAAAAATTCTAATGATTCCTTCAAAAACTATTAGAATTAATAAATTTACTAAAGTTGCAGAATTTAAAATTAATAACTGAAATCAGTAACATTTCTATACACTAATAGCAAACTATCTGAAATAAAGTCAGAAAGACAATCCCATTTATAACAGTTACAAAAGAAAAAATATCAAGGAATAAATTTAACCAAGGAGAAAAATGTCTCTAAATTAAAACTATAAAACATTGGTGAAAGAAATTGAAGAAGACACAAATAAGTGGAGGTATTTCACATTTATGGATTAGAAGAATTAATATTTTTAAAACATCTGTACTACCCAAAGCAATCTACAGATTCCATGTAATCTCTATCAAAATACCAATTACATTCTCCACAGAAATGGAAAAAATCCTAAATTTTGTATAGAACAACAGAAGACCATAAATAGCTAAAGCAATACTGAACAAAAGGAACAAAGCTAGAGGTATCATACTATGTGACTTCAAAATATACTACATGTCTGTAATTACCAAAACAGCATGGTGTGGGCATAAAAAAAGGCATTGATCAACGGAAGAGAATAGCAAACCCACAAAACAAATTCACACTTCTACAACCAGCTGATTTTCAACAAAGGTAACAAGAATACACACTAGGGAAGGGACAGTTTCCTCAATAAATGGTGCTGGGAAAACTGTGTATTCACATGCAAAAGAAAAAATCTAGAATCGATTACTGTATGCACAAATCAACTGAAAATGGGTTAAAGACTTACATGTAAGACCTAAGAGTATAAAACTATCAGAAGTAAATATAAAGAAAGTGCTTCCTGACATTGGTCTGGGCAGGAATTTTAAAAATAAGACTTCAAAAGCACAGTCAACAAAAGGAAAAATAAACAAATGGGATTTCATCAAATTAAAAAGATTCTTCACAGCAAAGGAAACAATAAACAGAACAAAGAAACAACCTATAGAATGGGGAAAATATTTGTAAACTATGTATCTGACAAGGGGTTAATATCAAGAATATATAAAGTAATCAGGCAAATCAAGAGCAAATAAGCAAATATTTTGATTTTAAAAATGGGCAAAAGACCTAAACAGTCATTTCTCAAAAAATACATACACATGGCAAACAGTTCTATAACATATAAAGCTAAATATCACTAATAATCAGAGAAATGCAAATCAAAACCAAAATGCTGTATCATCTCACCCCAGTTAGAATAGAGTATTAGTGCATTTTCACTCTGCTGATAAAGACATATCTGAGACTGGGAAATTCACAAAAAAAAAAAAAAAGAAAGCAAAAAAAGGGGTTCATTGAACTTACAGTTCCACATGGCTGGGGAGGCCTCACAATTATGGCAGAAGGCAAGGAGGAGTCAGTCACATCTTATGTGTATGGCAGCAGGCAAAAAGAGAGCTTGTGCAGGGAAATTTTCATTTTTCAAACCATCAGAACTCATGAGACTTATTAACTATCCAGAGAACAGCACAAGAATGACCCATCCCCATGATTCAGTTACCTCTCACCAGGTCCCTCCCACAACACGTGGGAATTCAAGATGAGATTTGGGTGGGGACACAGCCAAACCATATCATTCTGCCCCTGGCCTCTCCCAAATCTCACGTCCTCACATTTCAAAACCAATCATGCCTTCCCAACAGTCCCCCAAAGTCTTAATTCATTTGAGCATTAACTCAAAAGTCCACAATCCAAAGTCTCATCTAAGACAAGGCAAGTCCTTCCACCTTTGAGCCTGTAAAATTCAAAAGCAGGTTAGTAACTCCTAGATACAGTGAGCGTACAGCCATTGGGTAAATACAGCCATTTCAAATGAGAGAAACTGGCCAAAACAAAAGTGCTACAGGCCCCATGCAAGTCCAGAATCCAGTAGGGCAGTCAAATCTTAAAGCTCCAAAATGATCTCCTTTGACTCCATGTCTCACATCCAGGTCATGCTGATGTAAGAGATGAGTTCCCATGGTCTTGGGCAGCTGTGCCCCTGTGGCTTTGTAGAGTACAGCCTCCCTCCCGGCTGCTTTCATGGGCTAGCATTGAGTGTCTGCAGCTTATACAGGTGCACGGTGCAAGCTGTCAGTGGATCTATCATTCTGGGGTCTGGAGTGTTCTGGGCCTCTTCTCACAGCTCCACTAGGCAGCACCCCAGTGAGGTGCTCCTACTGTGCTTCTGTGTGGGGGCTCCAACCCCACATTTCTGTTCTGCACTAACCTAGCAGAGGTTCTCCATGAGGGCCTTGCCCCTGCAGCAAACTGCCCCAGCATCCAGGCATTTCCATACATCCTCTGAAATCTAAGCAGAGGTTCCCAAACCTTAATTTTTGACTTCTGTGCACCCACAGGCTCAATACCACATGGAAGCTGCCAAGGCTTGAGACTTCCACCCTCTGAAGCAACAGCCTGAGCTGTACCTTGGCCTCTTTTAGTCATGGCTGGAGCAGCTGGGATGCAGGGAACCACATCCCTAGCCTGCACACACAGAGGGACCCTGGGTCCGGCTCAGGAAACCATTTTTTCCTCCTAAACCTCTGGACCTATGATGGGAGAGGCTGCTGTGAAGACCTCTTACATGCCCTGGAGATATTTTCCCCATTTTCTTGGTGATTAACATCACTCCTTGTCACTTATATGCAAATTCTGCAGCTGCTTGAATTTCTCCTCTGAAAATGGGATTTTCTTTTCTATCACATTGTCAGGCTATGAATTTTGCAATCTTTTATGCTTTGCTTCCCTTATGAAACTGAATGCCTTTGACAGCACCGAAATCACCTCTTGAATGCTTTGCTGCTTATAAATTTTTTCTGCCAGATACCCTAAATAATCTCTCTCAAGTTCAAAGTTCCACAAATCTCTAGGGCAGGGGCAAAATGCAGCCAGTCTCTTTACTAAAACATAGCAAGAGCCAACTTTACCCCAGCTCCCAACAAGTTCCTCATCTCCATCTGAGACCACCTCAGCCTGGACTTTATTGTCCATATTGTTATCAGCATTTGTGACAAAGCCAATTGACAAGTCTCTAGGAAGTTCCAAACTTTCCCACATTTTTCTGTCTTCTTTGAGCCCTCCAAACTGTTCCAACCTCTGCCTGTTACCCAGTTCCAAAGTTGCTTCCACATTTTCAGGTATCTTTTCAGCAGTGCCCCATTCTACTAGTACCAATTTACCATATTAGTCAATTCTCATGCTGCTGATGAAGACGTACCTGAGACTGGGCAATTTACAAAAGAAAAGGGTTTATTGGACTTACTGTTCTACATGGCTGGGGAGGCCTCACAACCATGGCAGAAGGCAAGGATGAGCCAGTCACATCTTACGTGGATGGCAGCAGGCAAAAAGAGAGCTTGTGCAGGGAAACTTTCCTTTTTAAAATCATCAGAACTCATGAGACTTATTTAATATCAGGAGAATGGCATGGGAAAGCCCCGCCCTCATGATTCAATTACCTCCCACCAGGTTCCTCCCCCAACATGTGGGAATTCAAGATGAGATTCGGGTGGGGACACAGCCAAACCATATCAAATGGCTATTACCAAAATTAACAAAAGAAAACCACAGGCAATGATGTGGATCAAGGAGATCTATCATACACTGTTGGTGGCAATGAAAATTAGTACAGTCTTTATAAACAACAGTATGGATGTTCCTCAAGAAATCCAAAATAAAGCTACCATAGGACCCACAAATCCTACTACTGGATATATATCCAAAGGTAATGAAGTCAGCCTAGCAAAGAGATAGCTTACTTCCATGTTTATTGCAGCACTATTCACAAATACCAACATATGGAATTAACCTAAATTTCCATTAATGGATTAATGGATAAACAAAAAGTGGCATATATAGACAATTGAACACTATTGGTCCATAAAAAATAATAAACTCCTATCATTTATGACAACATGGATTAGTGTATAGGGCATTATATTAAGTGAAATAACCCAGGCACATAAGGGCAAATACCATGTAATTTCATATTTCAAAAAAGACAGAAGAGAGGAAATTAAATGTTTTTACCACCAGAGAAATAATAAATGTTGAGGTGATAGGTATATTAATTACTCTGATTTGATTATTATACAATGTATAGATGTATCAAAACATCACACTGCACCACATATATATGTACAATTATTATACCAATTGAAGATGAAATAAAACATAAAGAACAAGATAGAAACATTAAACAACAGAGAAAATTCATAGATCTGGTTATTTAAATCATTTAGAAGTGAGTAAAACCTCTGATAAAACTGATCAAGATTAAAAAAATAAGATACCAATGAACGTAAAGAAAATGTTAAAAATTTAGAGAAATCACAGAAGTTAAACTATGTATAATACACAAAAATAGTCATTTTGAAAATAAGATTAATATACTTTTATAAAAACAGAAGCCTTCATAATCAGCAAAAAGTAAATATAAAATGTGAATTGTCCTATTAGTATTACAAAATTGTATGACAATGAATAACTTGTCTATCAAAAAATATATTCAGAATAAATGCAAAAATAAAAGAAATCCAAGTCCATACAATTTCAATGAAAGTTTACAAGCTGTTCCAAAAGACAGAAATTGGTATAAAGACTCCCAACTCATTCCATAAGCCTCATTTAACTGATAATATAAATATACAATGACATTTTTAAAAAGCAAATGAGAAATAAGCAAAACCAGAAGACAGACACTTAAAAGTTAAAAAAAACAAAGACCAAAAAAAAAAAATTCAAAGGTCCCTGATGCCAATGAACACAGATGTGAAAACTATATATTAAATAATACATAACTGAATGCAACATTGAATTAAAATATGTATCTTGATCTACTCATAATTACCACAATTAAGTGTGACTTTCATCATAAAAATGAATTAATATATGTTATATATTACTGAACCAAAGTATCAGAGCAGCAAGGAAATAATAAATATATATGTGTACCTTGGAGATATTGTAGATTTTGTTCCAGATCTCTGAAATAAAGCAAATGTTAAACTTAAGTGAGTCACATGATTGTACTGATTTCCCAGTGCATATAAAATTTGTGATTACACTATACTATAGTATACTAAGTGGTTAACAGTATTATGTCTAAAAAAATGTTCACACTTTCACTAAAATATACTTTAAATTATTGATAAAAATGTTAACAATCATCTGAAAATTAACATCATTTTCTGGTGGACAGTCTTGCCTGGATATTGATGGCTGTTGGCTGATTAGGGTATTGACTGATGATCGTTGGAGTGGTGGTGGAAATTTCTTAAAATAAGACTAAAATAAATTTTGTCACATCATTAAACTCTGTCTCAAAAATATTTCTCTGTAGCATGTGTTGCAGTTTTACAGCATTTTACCCATAATAGAACTTCTTTCAAAATTGGAGTGAATCCTCTCAAACCCTAAGTATGTGTGATATTCTGAATCTCTTATTTCAACAATGTTCACAGGATCATCACCAGGAAGGTTCCATTTCAAGAAACCATTTTCTTTGTTCATTCATAAGAAGTAGATCTTTATCCATTAAAGTTTAATTATGAGATCTAGCAATTTAGTCACATCTTCAGGTTTCACTTCTAGTTCGATTGCTATTTATACCACATCTGCAGTTACTTCCCCCACTGAAGTCTTGAACCTTTAAAGTCATCCATAAGGATTGGAATCAATTTATTTCAAACTCCTGCTAAGGTTTATATTTTGACCTTTCCTTATGAAGCACCTTGATCAATGGGCTGAAGAACAGATGTTGTGTTAGCAGGCATGAAAGCAACATTAATCTCCTTGTACGTCTCTATCAGAGCTCTTGTGTGACTAGGTTCATTGTTAATACTTTAAAAGAACCTTTTTCTGTGCAGTAGGTCTCAATATTGGCCTTAAAATATTAAGTAAGCCATGCTGTTAACAGATGTGCTGTCAACTAGGCTTTGTTGTTTCATTTACACAACACAGAAAGAGTAGATTTAGAACAATTTTTAAGAGTCCTAGGATTTTCAGAATGATAAATGAGCATTGACTTTAACTGAAAGTCACCAACTGCATCAGCCCCTAATAAGAAAGTCAGCCTGTCTTTTAAGCTTTGAGGCCAGATACTGACATCTCTCTAACTGTGAAAGTGCTAGATGGAATCTTCCAATATCAGGTTCTTTTGTTTGCATTGAAAATCTATTTTTTATTGTAGCCACCTTCAATAATTACCTTAGCTAGTTCTTCTGGATAACTTGCTGTAGCTTATACATCAGCACTTGCTGCCTCATCTTGCACTTTTATGTTATGGAGATGGTTTCTTTCATTAAACCCTATGAACCAAAGTACCCTAACTTCAAACTTTTCTGCTGTAGCTTACTCACCTCTCTCGGCCTTTATAGAACTGAAAAGAGATAGAGTCTTTCTCTTGATTAGGCTTTGGCTTAAGAGAATGTTGTGGCTCATTAGATCTTCTATCCAGACCACTAGAACTTTCCCCATATTGACAGTGAGGCTTTTTCACTTTTTTATTATTTGTGTGTTCACTGGAGTAGCACTTTTAATTTTTTAAAAACTTTTCCTTTGCAGTCACAATTTTTCTAACTGCCACAAGAGCCCTAGATTTCATCCTAACTGGGCTTTTGACATGCCTTCCTCACTAAACTTAATCTTATTTCTAGCTCTTGATTTAAAGTGAGAAACATGTAACTTTTCCTTTCACTTGAACACTTGGAGGCATTTTAAGTTTTATTAATTGGCTTAATTTCAATGTTGTTGAATCTCAGGGGACAGGAAGGCCCAAGAAGAGGAAGAGAGGCAGGGGAATGACTGGTCCTTGGAGTAGTCATAACACACAAAACATTGATTAATTAAGTTTGCTCTCTTTTATGGGCATGGTTTGTGGCACCTCAAAACAATTGGAACAGAAATATCAAAGATCATTGATCCCAGATCTCTATAATGGATATAATAATAATGGAAAATTTGAAATATTATGTGACATACAGATGCAAAATGAGCATACACTGTTGTAAATTTGGCACCAATAGACTTGCTCAATGCAGGGTTGCCACAAATCATCAATTGTAAAAAAAAAAAAAAATGCAATACCTGTGAAGTTCAATAAAGTGAAGTGCAATAAAACAAGTCATGCATCTATAATGTTTCTAGAGGAAATCATAACAATGAATGCACAGTATTTTAATGTACTAATATTAAAATGCTATTAAAAATTAAAAATTTTTTGGATACATAAAAATGCAACTTTTCATGAATGGAATAACTTAGCATGTCAATAATATTTTTCTCTATAATTAATAAATTGCATGTATCTATAAATTGTATTCAATCTCAATTGAATTTCTAGCCAGAAGATTTAGAAGCCTGACAATTTCAAGATAAAATGAAATGTAAAAATAAAGGTCCATAAATAGCTAGACATCTTTGGAAAAGAAGACCAAATAATGGTGTCTTAACTTTCTAGTAAGGTATCATAACACCACAGAATTAAAAACTATATGAAACTGGCAGAGTAATAGAGACTAATAAACATAATAGAGAATTTTAACGGAAACACTTGAAAGTAGGAAAATAATATATGACAAAAAGAGGTGCCACAAATCTTCATATATTTTATATATACATATATATGTATGTATATATAATGTAAAGTGATAAAGACCAAACTACACAAAAAGACTGATGTCTTCTGCTAACAGCCACATGAGTGAGGTTGGAAATGGACTATCCACCCCAAGTCAAGCCTTCAGCAACTGCAATCCCTCCCATTCAAAACTTGAATAGAACTTCAGGAGTGACAATGAGCCAGAACCACCCAGCTAAGGCACAGATTTATGAACCTCAAGCTATATAAGATGACACATACTTATTATTTTAAGCTTCTAAGTTTGGGAGTAATGTGTTACATGGTATACCTAATTTATTATACTGTAGAATGAAATGAGTATGACTAGCTCAACTTTGCATTTAGTATTCAAATAAGTAAAAAGGAAGAAGTGAAGTACACTCATCCTCCTTCCTCCTCAATTCTCACAGGATAAATAGTAAGCAGAGAAGGAAAGTGGTTAAGAGTGGAACTTTTAAAGTCAGTTTTTGAATTCTGTCTCCACCACTTGCTAACTGTGTAACACTGGGCAAGTAACTTAGGCTCACTGCCTAAGCAAAATGAGGATAACAGTACCTACCTAGAATGATTGTAATTTGTGAGTTTCAATAGTTTGTTTGCAAAACATTTATAACAGCAATAGCACATGGTAAGTATAATATAGTGGTTTTCTATCTAAAATTAGGTTGGTAACTGAGAGAAAAATATAACATTTCTTTTTAAATCACATACCAGGTTTCAAAAATGATAAAGTATAACAGTATAAAACAATCCAAGATATAGATTCTTCATATTTTTAATAAGAAATTATGAAATGAAATACTTTTGTTGTTTTTTAAAAAAATGTCATGTTAAGTTATAGTTTATTGAATTATTACATTTGATATGGTTATACGCCTTAAATATTGGTGGCTATAAATCTGAATGATCTTGAGCACAAAACAACCATCCTGAATTTCAGGAAAAGAAACCTACAATTGCTATCTGACTCTAAAGGGCAATTACTATAGACAATTTGGCCATTAAAACCTGTAAAAGCAGCCACGAAAATGACAGGTTTGTGACACTTTATACTTTATTATTGCCATTTCTCTTTGTAGAAGTGAGAAATACCTTTTATAAAATCAACTGGCAAATTTATTAATTAATGAGGCATACTATCATTAGATAAATGTGACAATTAAAGATGAACTGTTCTATTTCTTTCAAAATAGAAATATTTGTCTGATACTAAAATTAATATATGCTGTTTGTAAATTTTAAAAATCAGATAATTAAGGGAACTATAAAATATAAAAATCACTATTCATCTCATAAGACAGTGCTAGACACTCTGAACATCAGCATGCATATTTGTTCAGGTATTAATCTATGTAAATAGATTTTTTGTTTGTTTTACTTTCAAGTACAGATCATGTACTGCATGGTCTCTTTTCTAATAATATAGTTAAGATATTTTCTATATCGGTGCATTTTTAGCACTCAAGAGTAATCTTGATGGCTCTAATATATTAGCTAATTTTATATTCATGGACATTTATTCTTTCATTTCTAATTATTTTATATTATAAAACATAGGAAAGAAAATCTTTATGCACATTTGTGAACCTGTAACATTATTTTCTCAGGGACATTTATAGAGTTGAAACCGTGTCTGTGCTAATTTGTAACAATTTGATGCATAGTTTCCCATAAAAATAATTTCTAATATAATAATCAATGTATTCATTTTCTCCCAACTTGCCATTAAAATACCAAAGTTTTTTCATCTTTATAAATCTTATAGGAAAAGTATATTACATTACTTTAATTTATATCTCTTTAATTAATAAAGTTAAATAATTTTCATATCTATTGACATTTTCATTTCTTCATTGGTGAACTTCCTTTTAAAGAAATTTGTCTGCTTTTTCTAATGAACTGTCATTTTAAGTTTTAATAGTATTTCAGTTATCGCTTTTATAATATAAATATATGCTCATTAAAAATTTCAGCAATATTTCCAAGAAAGTAGATTTTAAGTGTTTTCACCACAAAAATGACAACTATGTGAGGTAATGCATATGTTAATCAGTTTGATTTAGCCATTCCACAATGTGTGTGTGTGTGTGTGTGTGTGTGTATACATTTCAAAACATCATGTTTACATGATACATATACATAAGTTTATCTGTTAATTTAAAAATTAAAATAAAACATTTCAGGGATAGAGGATGATAAGACAACAAATGTAAAACACCCCAAATTTCACCACCTATGCATAGTTATTTCTATCATAAATGAACCATGAACCATCACTCATAATAGCTATTTTCATACATACAGGTAGGTGACTAACAAGTATCTAGATAGAAATAAGGAGAAATTATGTCACACATGCTATATTTAATTTTATGTGAATTAATTTAGCACAAAGAATCACTTTGCAGGAGTAAATCTGAAGGTATTGCTAAACTTCAAATAAATGTTTATTCAGAGTGAGAGACATCCATTTAGACAGAATTTACCTGCATTGTTTGTTAAAAAGAATATGGAAAAAATTCTAAAAGGTGTAGTTTCTCCTTGTTGCTCATGTATAAAAATATACTTGAGGTTTTAAATTTTGATCTATAACTAGCAATATGTCTAATTATAAATTTGTTTAAGTTTTTTGGAGTTTTTTAATATTAAAGATGATATAAGAAGATTTAATTATTTAATCCTTAAGCCATTTATTTATATTTGTCTTACTTTACTGCACTCACTAAGACCATCCTTATAATGTTGAAATGTAGTTCTCATGGCGGGCCAATCTTTTCTTGCTCCAGATTTTAAAGGAATAGAACTTTCCCCTTTTGTGGCAGAGGCAATGCTATGTATTTATCACATCACAAATCTTTTCTGTTTTACCGTGTACACAGAAAACTATATTTTCAATCACTTTTTGCAGTTAGGTTGAGGATATGTAACTAGATTCAGGCCATGAAGTATGGGCATATTCAATGTAAAACTCTCCAAGATCTAGCCATTAGAATGATCTCTTGGCCTTTAAGTGATCTCCACTTGCTTTTCCCTTTTTTGTGATACTGGTGTCTGTAAACTTCAGATGTTAAGGCTATGGGATGGAAGCAGCTTCTATCTCTGAGGTACTACATTGAAAAGGTGCTGTCCTGAAGAACTGTCAGACCTGAATTAGAATTCACCTAAAAGTGAAATAATGTATAAATCCACAATAATTTGGTACTCATCTATTGTTGAAGTAAATCTTTTCCTCTTTGAACAGCTAAATTCTATCATCTACAAATCAAATCTGAACAATACACTGTCTATTCTTGTTTGATAAAAGGCTGCATCCATTTCAATTTATGAAGAATGTTTAATTTTATCAAATACACATTTTCTCATCTATCAAGATGATTATATTAATCTTTCAATTTGTTAATGTTTTGAATTGAATAACTAGAGTTTCTAACATTAAATCAGACTTTCATTCCCAAGATAAATGCAACTTGATAATGTATGGTCATTTTTATTAAGTGATGGATCTAGAGAATGGAGCAATATGGCCCAATAGAAGGTTCCACCAATCATACCTCCTGCAGGAATGCCAGTAGTAACAACTGCCTACCCACAAAGAAAGCCATTTTATAAGAAGCAAAAATCAGGTGAGAATTCACAGTACCTTGTTTTAACTTTATACCACAGAAAGAGGCACTGAACAGGGTAGGAAAGACAGTCTTGAGTTGCCAACAGAACTTCGCACCCCAGCAACAGGTGCATGGCACAGAGAGAGAAGCTCTGCACTTGGGAGAGGGAAAAATGCAACGATTGCAAGGATTTGCATTTACTCAATCCTGCACTGTCATAGCAGAAAGCAAAATCGGATGAATTCAGCTGATGCCCCCCAATGGAGGGAGCATATAGACAAGCCCGAGATAGGGGGGAATCACACATCCCAGTGGCCAGAATTGAGTTCCAGCAGGCCTCACCACTGCAGACTAAAGTGCACTGAGGTCTTACATAAACTTGAAAGGCAATCTAGGCCACAAAAACTAGAACTCCTAGGTAAATCCCAGTGCTGAGCTGGGATGAGAACCAGTGGACTTGGGGAACATATGACATAATGAGACAGCATCTAGGACAGCTAAGGTAGTGCTAGCAGCAGCGGCTCATGGCTCCAAAAGAGACTCTTTCCTTCTGCTTGAGGAGAAGAGAGGGAAGAGTAAAAATGACTTCGTCTTGCATCTTGGTTACCAACTCAACCACAGTAGGATAGGACACTGGTCAGAGTGGCAAGGCACCCATTCCAGGCCCCACCTCAAAAATGACATATCTACACACACCATGGGCCAGAAGGGAATGTGCTACCATGAAAGGAAGGACCCAGTCCTGGTAAGACCCATCACGTGCTGACTAAATATCCCGTGGGCCCTGAGTAATCAGCAGCAATCCCCACTTAATATGCCATAGGTCTTGGGTGAGATACTGAGATGTTCTGGCTTCAGGTGCGACCTAGCACATTCCCAGCTGTGGTGGCAACAGTAACAGAGTACTTCTGCTCGAGAAAACCAGAAGAAAAATAAGGGGACATTGTCTTGCACCTTATATACAAGCTTAGATGCAGGATGTTAGGGAATCAAGTAGACGCTTGGGAGTCCTGATTCCAGGTTTTGGCTCTAGAACAGCTTTTATGGACCTTCACTGGGCCAGAGGGGAGCACACTTCTCTGAAAGGTGAGTCCTAGGACTGGCAGCATTCACCACAAGATCACTGAAGGGCCTTGGGCCTAAAGTCAACATTAGCAATAGCCTGGCTGTACTCCCCATAGGCCTCTGGTGATGGTGGCCATGGGATTAGGCACTTCTTCCTGTGGAAAGGGGAGGGAGGAGTGAGAAAGAATGCAATTTATGGTTTGAGTGCCAGCTCAGCCACAGTAAAATAGAACAGTAGATGGATTTCTCAGGTTTTTTATTCCAGACCTGGGCTCCCAGATGGCATCTCTGGACTCACGTGGGGTCTGGGGGAGCTTGCTTTCCTGAAGGGAAGCTCATAAGCCTGGCTGGATTCACCCCATGCTAATTATAGAGTCCCAGGGCCTTGAGGTAACATAGGGTGTAGCCAGGGAATGGTTACAGCAGGCCATGGATGAGACCCAGCGCTGTACTGGCTTCAGGTCTGACCCAGAGCATTTTCAGTGGTGATAGCCACAGGGGTGCTTGTGTCACAACATCCTCAGCCCCAGGTGATTCAGCATAGAGATACTTCGTATGTTTGGGTGAAAGGAAGGGAAGAGGACAAGAGCCTCTGCCTGGAAATCCAAACAATTCTTCCACATCTTACCCAAGACCACCAAGAAGTACCTCTATGAGTCTGCAAGAACCACAGCATTACAGGACTTGGAGTGCCACTTAATGCAGATATGCCTTAGAGCACAACACCCATGTCCTTTCAAATAACTGAAAAGCCTTCTGAAGAAGGATGAATACAATAAGCTGAGGCTGCAAAGTCTACTATAAATAACTATTTAATGCCCAGACCCTAACTAACATCCACAAGCATCAAGAACATGCAGGAAAACATGACCTCACCAAATGAAGTAAATAATGTACCAGGAACCAGTCCTGGAAAAACAGAGATAAGTGACCTTTTAGTCAAAGAATGCTAAATATTCAATATTTTGTATTGAAATATTGAATATTTCAAATATCTCAAATATTTGAGCTGCCACTCAAACCAAAAAACAGCTATTTGGAGGAAACTCAAAAACATTCAAAGATAACACAGACAAATAATTCAGAATTCTATCACATAAATTTAACAAATAGATTAAATAATTATTAAAAATCAAGCAGAAATTCTGGGGTTAAAATGCAATTGAGATACTGAAGAACGCATCAGAGTCTTCTAATATCAGCATTGATCAAGCAGAAGAAAGAATTAGTGAGCTTTATGGTCAGTTTTCATAAATGATTTATGTATGCTAAATAAGAAAGTGTATTTTAAATGATCAGTTTCAGGGTTCTATGTATTCTACTATGTGTGTATATAATTTTGATCATCAATATTTTGCATTTTTCTATAATAATCAAAGATGACATAATGAAAATGGCCATATGATTTAGAATTATTCTATTTGTAAGTGACAGGGAAGCAACTTAAAACAGCTTATGCAATAAACCATAACAATAACAAACAGAAAAAAATATCAAAAACATAATGGCTTAAAACAATGCAAATTCATTATCTTGCAGTTTCAGAAGTCAAAAGTCAAAAATAAGTCTTATAGAGCTAAAATCAGTGTCAGCAGGGGTGGTTTCTTCTGGAGGCTCCAAAGGAGAATAATTTTCTTATCTCTTTAGGCTTCCAGAGGCCTTGACATTCCTTGCCTCTTAGCCACATCAGTGTAATTTCTGCCTCCATTTTCACATTGCCTTCTACCCACTCTGATATCTTGCCTCTCTTTTAGAAAGATCCTTGTGATACATCATTGGATATACCTAATAAATCAAGAATAAACTTCCCATGGCAATATACTTCATTTAACCACATTTATAAAGTCTCTTTTGCCATTCAAGGTAACATACTCACAAATTCAGGGGGTTTGGATGTGGACATCCTTGGGAGAGACGGTCTTCAGTCTACCACAGAAGCAAAGAGCTCTAAAAGCAGAGAGACCTGGATATTTAACATTGAAATAGGGTGATAAGGAACCAGCAACCTAGGCAAAGAAGGAAAAGCCAACGAGGTAGGAGAAAAACTGTTACAGGTGCGCTGTTTTGTTAGTCAAGTGGAGAAAGTGTTTCTGATGGAAGGCCAATACAAAGTATACGAAAAACCACTGACAGGTCAAGTGAGATGAAGACTGACAATAGACCTATTCGATTTGGCAATGTGGAGGCTACCAAAGCAGGTTCGGTGGAATGATATGGACAAAAGAAAAACTAGTTTATAAAAGGAACAGGAAGAAAGGAATTTGAAATAGGACCTATAGAGAACTCTTTTGAGGAATTTCTCTATAAAACAAAACAATAGGTCTATACTAAGAGAGAAATATTGGGTCAAGTAGAAGACTGTCTTTAAGATGAGAGTAACTAGAACATGCTTTTATGCTAACAAATAATATAAAAAAAATAAGATAAAGAATGTATAGGTCATCCAGGAGAGGGGCAGGGTGGTATTTCTTTCTTTTTTTTTTTTTTTTTTTGAGACGGAGTCTCGCTCTGTCGCCCAGGCTGGAGTGCAGTGGGGCGATCTCGACTCACTGCAAGCTCTGCCTCCGGAGTTCACGCCATTCTCCTGCCTCAGCCTCCCGAGTAGCTGGGACTACAGGCACACGCCACCACGCCCGGCTAATTTCTTTTGTATTTTTTTAGTAGATACGGGGTTTCACCGCGTTAGTCAGGATGGTCTCGAGCCCCTGACCTCGTGATCCGCCCGCCTCAGCCTCCTAAAGTGCTGGGATTACAAGCGTGAGCCACCACGCTCAGCCGGTATTTCTGAAATGATATCCTTGAATAGGCAGGAAGGGATAAAATCTAGCATATAAGTGGATCAGTTTTCTGTAGATATGAACATGGATATTCAGTTTATATTAACATGAAGGAAAGCTGAATTCATGTTGACAGATGTTAATAGGAAGATATATTTTACTAGTAGTTCATGGATATTCTTTTCTGACAGGTTCTATTTTCCAAAAGAAATAGGATACAACGTTATTTGTTAAAATTGAATAGAGAGGCAGTAAGGGAAGGAAGACAGACTTCCATATGTGGTTGCACAGGTTGTGCCTGGCACGTTTATCCCAACAAAGAAACAAAAGGCAACAAATATCCAATCCTTGCTAAACTCAGAAAAAGAAGTCCTAATGAAAGGAGTTAGTTTTCTTATTATTACTATTAGTTTTTGAGATGGAGTTCCCTCTTCTTGCCCAGGCTGGAGTGCAACGGCGTAATCTCGGCTCACCACAACCTCCGTCTCCCGGGTTCAAGTGATTCTCCTGCCTCAGCCTCCTGAGTAGCTGGGATTACAGGCATGCGCCACCACGCCCAGCTAATTTTGTATTTTTAGTAGAGACGGGGTTTCTCCATGTTGGTCAGGCTGGTCTCGAATTCCCGACCTCAGGTGATCCGCCCGCATCCGCCTCCCAAAGTGCTGGGATTACAGGCGTGAGCCACTGCAATCCAGAGGCACAGTATAAACTAAAGGCAACCTAATTGGAGGTATGAGGGGGAAAAGGATTTAAAGCAGCTAAAGAGATTAAAGGTGAGTTAATAGTGAGTATACATTACTTTCACATGAGATAGGTCAACATCATTATCTTTTCCCACCAGGCCAAGTTTAGCTACACTTTTGCATATAAAGAGTAGGTGGAATATGTATGTAACCAGTACTGGCGTTTTGCCAGGTGAGTGCAATGACATAAAAGAGTGACAAAGGAGATTAACGTGTATACAGAGGAACCTCTATTTTTTCAGCAGTATTACTTATCTAATCATTTTTTAAATTCATAATTAAATTAAGAAAATGTATCTTTACTCCATAACATTACCCTCTTCTTATATAACAAAAGGAATTTATATTAGTTAAACCCAATTATCCTCTCCCATATACTCAATCTATAGTCAATATTTTAGTTTTTACACGTTTTATTTTTAAATTCTCAATTCAACATTATTGTCATTATTTCATTTATTAAATGTTTGTTTACACTGTATACATACTTTGTTACTCACAATTATTTTGTAATTCTAGTTCTTACTTATGTTTTTACATCCTGTAGAAATTCCTTTAGTTTATTTCAATCCTTATTTTCTATAATTTTACTTAAATTGGTCCAAATATGTGTTTCCAAAAAGTTTTCCTGCATAGGATGTATTGGATGACTGAATCTGAAGATTAATGTCTTCATCAATTTTGGAAAATTTTAAGACTCTCTCTGTAAATAATATCTCTTCATTATTTTCTCCCTAACGTTCTTCTGGAACTTATATACTTTTATCATTCTATAACCAATTATAAGATTTTTATCATTCTATTCTTCATCTTCTCTTTTTTGTTGCCGACGTATAGTGCCTTCCGTCTAACTTTTCCATAGAAATTTTAATTTTATTAGGTAATGCCCAATTTTATTTTCCAAACAATTTAGACCAATTAAACTCCCATAAGCAACATAAGAGAATACACTTTCCTCATATATTTAGTAACACTTAGTATTGTATGATGTGCATTTTAAAATTTTACCAATTTGTTGTATGTAAAATTATATGTCATTATAGTCATAATTCTGACTTTTTTATTATTAATACAGTTTAGATATTTTACATTTATTAGTACTTATGCTTATTCACCTGTGAAATATCTGTTTATGTTTCTGGCCCCTTTCCTCCTCAATGATTTGTATTTTTCTTACAGAGGCATAGGAGTTTTTCTGGAGATTGTTACTTTGTTGAAAATATGCATTGCGTATAGTTCTCCTGGCTAATGGCTTGTATTTTTAAATTCTTCAAAAGGGTAAAACATACCGAGAAAGTGCAAAAACTATAATTATACACATTAATGCATTATCATAGCCAAACACCCAGTAACCACTTGAAATCTCATGAGGAGATACTCTGTTCCTACTGGGGAAAAGTAGCTCATCAGAAGCCATTTTCAAATGGTTTATAATGTATACTTCTGTGCATTGTCTTATCTGGAATCCTAGGGGTCTATGTTGTGATGATCCTTTTGGGATTCTTTGTAAATTGCACAATGTGCCTTTTCCCATGAAGACTGACTAATACCATAGAGTTCACTAATTCATATGGGCCAACTAGCAGGGTCCCTTAAACTGCAGCCTGAACTTGTTACAGAATGCTTTCTTTCTGTGGACCTCACTTAAAGCTGACTGCCGTTTGTGTAGTGCAATATATTGATCGGTTGGAGCATTATCTCCAAGTGAGCAATATACTAGTTTCAGACTCTAAAAAGGCCTATCTGGCCTTATGCTTCCTTTTTAGTTGGAGTTACATGAGCTAAAAATGTGTTGTCTAATTTAGAGAGGATGTCCAGCATGTTACAGACCCCTAGACTGCCCAAGATTCTAGGGATTAGGCAAGTCCCTGGTTTGTTTTAAGGTTTATCTGCCACCTTCTTGAACACATGTACTATAAAAAGGCCTCCAACATACCAGTCATCTCTTGTTTATACAACCTAATTAATGATGACATCAACATACTGGATCAATGTCCTATTGTCTACTGTATACAGAGGACTATGATCCCTTTAGACTAATTACAGAGGATGAAAGGA
Source organism: Homo sapiens (assembly GCF_000001405.40). Taxonomy (NCBI): domain Eukaryota; kingdom Metazoa; phylum Chordata; class Mammalia; order Primates; family Hominidae; genus Homo; species Homo sapiens. Next base: position 128,040,238 of record NC_000023.11, read on the forward strand.
GTCACATAAATTTATACTCTTGCCCATTCGAAGTGAATCAGAACTGCTTCTTATGGCCCTTTATGATAAGGATAGAATAGAACACATTTAGCAGACATATGGCTGTAAACCACATAGTTCAGCCCATGTTAATTTGCTTTAGCAAAGATGCCACACCTAGAATAGGTGCAATTGGAATTCACTTGTTTGAGATTGAAGTAGTCCAGTATCATTCTATAAGATTAGTTTAGCTACTATATGGGTTTGCATAGTGAATTAAATGCATACCACCATCCCAGCATCCTTTAGGCCATTAGAGGTAGCAATCATCTCTGTCATTTTTCCAGATCAGAGGTACTGTTTCTTCTGACTGATTGACTTACTAGGTGTGGAGGTAAAAATAAATGTGCCTGACAGGCCTCTAGCTACAGGGAGCACAGTTGACCAAGGACGTCAGCTGCTATACTCTGAGTCAATCAGCATATTTGTACCAAGGCCACACTTCCCACAGATTGCTGCCTGGCAAATGACTGAGTATAGTCGAGGTACTAATGCAGGCCTGTTCCAGATACACAATAGGCTACTTTGCAGGTCAACTTTGGCTTCAGGACTTCCAAACAGTTTTGCTGAAACTTCCTTAGACTGCATAGCTAAAGAAAACAATTTTGCCAGCAATCCCAAATTAAAAAGATGTCTTATATTATCATACAGAATTGTAATATTGACTTTCAAATTTGAGTCTTTGATTCTTCTATAATTGTCTGTCTCTCTCTCCCTCCCCCTCACTTTCTCCCCTCCTCTCTTTGTGTACGCTATCACATACACATTTTTATTCATTATTTTTCATAAGGTTAACTATTTACCCAGACATCATTGATCTGCATTTCTGCACTCTCAGATTTCCAAATATGACTGCATTATTTCTAGACTCAATTTACTATCATATTAATTTATCTGGGAATCATTACCACACTATCTTAATTGTAATTATTCTCAATAACTTATATCAAGTTCCCCTGCTTCGTTCTATTCCTTTCTATTTCTGGACTGCGCTGAAAATTCTTGGCCCTTGAATCTTACATATAATGTTAGAATAAGGTAGTTGTGCTTTACAACTTAGTTGGAACTGTGATTGAAATTTATTGAATCTGCAGATAATTTTATGATGAAATGTCATCTTTATGATTTAAAATGTTTCTATCAATGAACATGGTGGGTCTCTCCATTTCTTTCGGTCTTCTTAAACAATTTTCCAAAAAAGTATTTTTTTTTTAAATAAAGGTCTTGAACATACAATTATTTTGAGAAAACATATTCTTTACTACTATTTGTAAATATTATGTTTGTTTCTAAATTTATCTTCACTGGTGCTACCACTAGAAATGCAATTGCATATGGTAAATTTACTTTATATCCAATAAATCATCTCAATTCTAACACTTTTATAACTACTTTAGGTTTTCTCTTTATTTAATGTCAACTTTTGTGTTAGATATCGGGAGTGCAAGTGCAGGATTGTTACATGAATATATTGTACCCATATGATTAGCATAGTACCCAATAGGTAGTTTTTCAACTCACGCCCCCCTTCCTCCCTGCTCTAAGAGTCTGCAGTGTCTATTTTTCCCATGTTTATGTCCATGTGTTCTGAATGTTTAGTTCCCACCTATTAGTGAGAACATGTTGCATTTGGCTTTCTATTCTTTTGTTAGTTTGCTTGAGATTATGGCCTCCAGCTGCATACATGTTGCTGCAAAGGACATGATTTCATTATTTTATGGCTGGATACTATTCCATGATGTATAGGTACTACATTTTCTTTATCCAATCCACCATTGATGAACACCTAGGTAGATTCCATATCTTTGCTATCGTGAATAGTGTGGCAATTATCATACAAGTGCATGTGTCTTTTTGGTATAATGATCTACTTTCCTTTGGGTATAAAACCACTAACGGGATGACTGAGTCCAATGGTAGCTCTGTTTTCATTTCTTTGAGAAATCTCCAAACTGCTTTCCACAATAGTTAAACTAATTTACATTTTCATCAACGGTGTGCAAGTGATCCTTTTTCTCCACAGCCTCACCAGCATCAGTTGTTTTTTGACTTTTTAATAATACTCATTTTGACTGGTGTGAGAAAGTATCTCATTGTGGTTTTCATTTGCATTTCTCAAATGATTAGTGATGTTGAGCATTTTTTAATGTGTATTGGCACCCTGTATGTCTTCTTCTGAGAAGTGTCTGTTTATGTCTTTTGCCCTCTTTTTAATGAGTTTATTTGTTTTTTGCTTGTTGAGTTAAATTCTTTATAGATTCTGGATATCAGACATTGTTAGATGCATAGTTTGTGACTGTTTCCCCCATTCTGTAGGTTTTCTGTTTACTCTATCAATAGTTTCTTTTGCTGTGCAGAAGCTTTTAGTTTAATTTCGTCTCACATGTCAATATTTGTTTTTGTTGCAATTGCTTTTGGGGACTTGGCCATAATTCTCCGCCAAGGTCAATATCAAGAAGCATATTTCCTAGTTTTTCTTGTAGAAGTTTTACAGTTTGAGGTCTTATATTTCAATTTTAATCCATCTTGAGTTAATTTTTTTATGTGTTGAAAAGTGAAGGTCCAGTTTTAATCTTCTGCATATGGCTAGCCAGTTATCTCAGCACTATTTATTGAATATTGGGTCTTTTTTCCATTGCCAGTTTTTGTCAGTCTTGTAGAATATCAGATAGTTGTAAGTGTGCAGCTTTATATATGAGTTTTCTATTTTGTTCCATTGGCCTATGTGTCTGTTTATGTATCAGTACCATGCTGTCTTGGTTTTACGATATAGTTTAAAGTCAGGTAGTGTGATAACTCCAGCTTTATTTTTCTTTTTTGCTTAGGATTTCTTTGGGTATTTGGGCTCTTATTTGGTTGCATATACATTTTAGAATAGGTTTACCAATTATATGACGAACAATATTGTTAGTTTTATAGGAAGAGCATTAAATCTGTAGATTGCTTTGGTCTGTATGGCCATGTTAACAATATTGATTCTTCCTATTCACAAGCATGGAATGCTTTTCCATTCACTTATGTCATCTCCAGTGTTTTTCAGCAATGTTTTGTTGTTCTCCTTGTAGAGGTCTTTCACCTCCTTGGTTAGCTGTATTCCTAGGAATTACATTTTCTTTGTGGATATTGTAAATGAGATTGGGTCCTTGATTTGGCTTTCAGCCTTGAAATTATTAGTATGTAGAAATGCTACTGATTTTTGTACATTGATTTTGTATCCTGAAACCTCACTAAAATAATTCATCAGTTTCAGGAGCTTTTTGCCAGAGTCTTTAGGGTTTTCTAAGTATAGAATCAAATCATCAGTTAAGAGAGAAAGCTTGACTTCTTCTTTTTATATTTGGATGCCTTTTTATCTCCTTCTCTTGATTGATTGCTCAGGCTAGGACTTCCAGTTGTTGAATAGGACTGGTGAGAGTGGGCATCCTTTCCTTGTTTCAGTTTTCAAGGGGAATGTTTTCAGCTTTTGTCCATTCAATATGGTGTCGGCTGTGGGTCTGTCATAGATTGCTCTTATTTTTTTGAGGTATGTTCCTTTGATACCTAGTTTGTTGATGGTTTTATCATGAAGGGATATTGGATTTTATCAAAAACTTTTTTGCACCTATTGATATGATCATATCATATTTTGCTTTTAATTCTGTTTATGTGGTGAATCACATTTATTGATTTGCATATGTTGAACCAGCCTTGCATCCTAGAAATAAAACCTACTCAATCATGGTGCATTAACTCTTTGATGTGCTGCTGGACTCAGTTTACTGAATTTTGTTGAGGATTTTTGCATCTATGTTCATCAGGGTTATTGGTCTGAAAGTATTTTGTTGTTGCATTTCTACCAGATTTTGATATTAGGTTGATGCTGGCTTTGTGGAATTAGTAAGGGAGGAGCTCCACCTCCTTAATATTTTTTAATAGTTTTAGTAGAATTTCTACCTGTTCTTCTTTGTATGTTCAGTAGAATCCAGCTGTGAATCAATCTGGTCCAGGACTTTTTTGGTTGGTAGGTTTTTTATTACTGATTCTACTTCAGAGCTTGATATTGGTCTATCATGGTTTCAATCTCTTCCTGATTAAATCTTTGGAGAGTGTGTGTTTTCAGGAATTTATCCATTTACTCCAGATTTTCTACTTTGTATGCATAGAGTTTTTCATAGTACTCTCTGAAGATTTTTTGTAATGTCATTATCAGTTATAATATCATCTTTGTCATTTCTGATTGCACTTATTTAGATCTTCTATTTTTTTCTTCAATTAGCTAGCATTTTATCATATCATATTTTCATTGTTTCAAAGGAACACCTCTTGGTTTCAGTGCACTTTTGTAGAGATTTTTGAATCAGAATTTAATTCAGTTCTCTAATTTTAGTAATTTCTTTTCTTCTGTTGGCTTTGGAGTTGATTTATTCTTTTTTTTCTAGTTCCTGTAGGGGCAAAGTTAGATGATTAATTTGAGATTTTTCTAACTTCTTAATGAAGGCATTAAGCACCATAAACTTTCCTCTTACTACTGCTTTAGCTGCAAACCAGAAATTTTGGTAAGTTGTGTTTCTATTTTCATTAATCTGAAATAATTGTTTTTGATTTCTGCCTTAATTTCAATATTCACTCAGGAGTTATTAAGGAGCATGTTGTTTAATTTTCATGTATTAGTGTTGTGTTGAGAAATCTTCTTGCTGTTGATTTCTATTTTTATTACACTGTGGTCTCAAAGTCTGCTTGGTGTTAATATTTTGAATTTATTAAGACTTGCTTTATTGCTGAGCATGCAGTCAATTTTAGAATATGTTGTGTGTGCAGATGAGAAGAATATATATTCTGTTGTTGTTGTGTGGAGTGTTCTGTAGATACCTGTTGGATCCAATTGGTCAAGTGTTGGGTTTAACTGTTGAGGTAAGAGTTTCTTTGTTAGCTTCCTATCTCAATGATTTGTCTAAGGCTGTCAGTAGGATGTTGAAGTCTTCCACTATTATTGTGTGTCTGTCTAAGTTGGTGAAGAAGAACTTGTTTTATGAATCTGAATGATACAATGTAGGGTGCATATACACTTAAGATAGTTAAGTCGTGTTGGATTGTACCCTTTATCATTATGTAATGCCCTTCTTTGTCCTTGTTAATTTTTAACGGTTTAAAAATCATTTTTTTCTGATATAACAATAGCAATTCCTGCTCTTTTTTGTTTTCCCTTTGCATGGTAGATCTTTCTCCATCCCTTTGCTTTGAACCTGTAGGTGCCATTATATGTGAGATGGGTCTCTTGAGGACAGCAGATGGTTGGATCTTGTAATTTTATCCAGTTTGCCACTCTATGTCTTTTAATGGGGCATTTATCCCATTTACATTAAAGATTGGTATTGATATGTGAGATTCTGAGTGTGTCATCATGTTGTTAGCTGGTTGTTATGTAGACTGATTGTGTGATTGCTTAATAGTAGCTTTGGGCTATGTGCATAATTGTGTTTTGGGAGTAGAAGCTTTCATTCTTTCAATTGGGTGTTTAGCACTCCCTTAATGACCTCTTTATAAGCCTGGTCTAGTTGAAAAAAATTCCCTCAGCATTTCCTAGTCTGAGAAGGATTTTATTCCTCCTTTACTTTTGAAGCATATTTGGGTGGGATATTAAACTCTTGAATGGAATTTCTTTTCTCTAAGGATGCTGAAAATAGGCCCCCGATCTCATCTAGCTAGTAAGGTTTCTACTGAGGGGTCTGCTGCTAACCTGATGAGGTTCCCTGTGTATGTGACTTAAACTTTCTCTCTAGTTGCTTTCAAGACTTTTTTCTTTTGTGTCGAGATTTGTGAATCGTTTATTATATGACCTGAGATGGTCTTCTTATATAATATCTAGCTGGGGTTCTCTGTATTTCTTGGCTTTGCATGTTAAATTCTCTAGCAAAATTTTCATGGAGTATATCCTCAATATATTTTTCAAGTTGTTTATTCTCCCTCCTACTTTATCAGGAATGCCAATGAGCCACAGACTAGGTCTCTTTACATAATCTTATAGATCTTCAAAGTTTTGTTCAGTTCTTAAAATACTTTTTTCTTTCATTTTTGTCTGACTGAGTTGATTTGAAGAACTAGTCTTCAAGGTCTCAGATTCCTTCCTCATCTTTGTCTATTCTGCTATTAATACTTCTGATTGTAAATATAAAATGCTTACAGTAAATTTTTCGCTCTAGAAGTTCAGTTTGCTTCTTTGTTAAAATGGCTATTTCATTTTTCAATTCTTATATCATTTTACTAGATTCCTTGCATTGGATTTCACCTTTCTCCTGAATCTCTGTGAATATCCTTGCAATCCAGATTCTAAATTATATGTTGTCATTTCTGCCTGGTTAAGAACTATTGCAGGGAAGCTAGTGAACTTGTTTAAAAGTAAGGAGACATCTTGGATTTTTGAATTATCTGAGTTATTGTGTTGGTTTTTCCTCAACTGGGAGGGTTGATGTTCATTTAACTGTGGTGTAAGTAGAGTATAGACAGTTGGATTCATTTATGGATGTTTTCAGAGGGCCAAGCCTCTGTGCAATGTCTTGATTTGTGGCTGAATTATTGCCCTTTGTTTCATAGGGGGCTATATTAGCAAATTTTTTTTTGCTTTGTAATTTGGGTTGTGATATAGTAGATGGGGGTTAGGAGTAATGGGTGGTAAATGGGCTCTTAGCCATGTGGCTTTTTTGTATTTTCTTTAATTCGTAGTTCTCTGTTTTGCAGTGAGAAGAAAGGCAACCCCTTCACCAGGTCCATTCCTGGGCTTTCGGGGAGCCCCCTCTAATCATTGGCACTGCATTGTTTCCTTTTTGTTGTTGTAAGGGGTTCCACCCTGGGGGGTTCCTTGGGGCAGAGGCCATGTCAGGGAGATAGGTCACACCCCTTCTGGACTGGTTCTGTGGAGGTTGTCATGCCCTCTTTCCACAGCAGCCCATGAACTTGTGCAGCTCACCCCTCTTCACGCTCAGAGAATGTGGACTCCTCTCCCACTCAAGTGGTGGCCACAGACCTCGGTTCAGCACTCCTGAGCTGTGCACTGCAGCCCTGGAGTGAGCTCAGGCTTTTTGTTCCATCCACAACTTGGTGGGCAGAAGAGGCAGGGATCATGGTGGTGGCAATGGCAGAGAGACTGTCAGTTGTCTCTGGGAGCTCCACCCCAGAGAAACAAACAGCCATGGCTGATCAAAGTGATCATCCAGGAGTCGGGTGGCTGTGATGTAGGCCCAAGCCAGGGGGCCCTGCCTTGTGAAGAGCAGGTGAAGTAGCATCTCCTGGAGAAGATAATCTAGCCTTCTCTCTATAGTTCAGCTGCAGTATTATGAAGGTGTGAGAAAAGCAATCAGGCTCTTTTTTCTCTCCCCAGCCAGCAGATAGCAAGAGCAGGTACCACAGAGGTGGCAGTAGCAGAAGGGCCTTCAGTGGCTCCTGGGAACTCCACCCCAGAGAAGTAAAGAGCCACTGCTGATCGAAATGATTGGCTGGGGATGGGGCAGCTGCACTGTGGGTCCAAGCCAGAAGGCCATGTTTGGTGAGGAGCAGCAGGGGCAGGAACTCATGAGGAAAACAGTAAGGCCACCTTTCTGTATGAGAGTTACGGCATGTTGGAGGCACACAACAGTTCTGCAGTTCTTTGTTCCTTCTTCAGCCTGAGGGCAAAAAGGGTAGGGTGGGACCTTGACAGTGGCAATCACAGAAGGTATGCTAATTACATCTGGGAGCTCCATCCCAGGTATTTGCAGAGCTTCCACCAACTGGAGCACTCAGGTAGAGGTGGAGAGGCTGCACTGGGGGCCCAGCCCAGTCTGGAGTCTGCTCCTCAGCACTGTGGATGCAGACTCTATCCTTAGGGCATGTGAGAGGGGCTGGCCTCCCTTGATGGCAGGGCTATAGCAGCTAATGCTGGGGTTTTCAGGGATCCAAGGATCATGGAGCTTCATGTGTGCTTGAGGCAGATCTCTGTGTTAATCTGGAGGTATAGGGGGTCAGGAGGGATCTCTTCTGCCCCAGATTGCTAAGATCCATGGTAGAAGTTTGGATCCCCAAGGACTCTTGCTCACTCACCTTTTCCCCATGGTAGGAAACCTCCCCTGGCTCCATGCCAATCCCAGTGTGAGGCTGTCCTGCCTCTCTTCTCTCTGCTCTCTGTAGGTTGCCACTGTTTCTTTAATTAATTCTAATGTGGCTTCCTGGGTGATCAACTTAAAGAGCTAGTGTTTACTCATCACTTTGTCATCTCTTTGTGAGAACAACACACTCTAGCTGCTTCCAGTCAGCCATCTTGGTGCTTCTGACTTTAGGTGTTTTGAAGAATATTCTATAATTTCTGAGTAATGACAATTGCATTTATTCTTTCCTAATTATTACACTTTTCATTTCTTCTGTCTTCAGTGATTTTATTAGTATGTCTATTTATTTTATCTTTATAAAGAACAAATTATTCTTTGTTTATCTTCCTTATCTTTCTGTAATAGCTCATTAATTTATCATGTCCTGCTTTTTACTTCCTAGTAATTTATCTGGGTTAATTCTGTTTGCTTTATTAAATTCCACAATTGGGTACTTGGCATATTTATATGCAGCATTTCTTTATTTACTAATAAACCATTTAAGTCTATGCATTTCTTACTAATTTCAATTTTACCTGCATTCCAGTATCTTGATACCTAGTATTTTGTTATCATTCACTTTTTGTATGTAAATCCATTACAATTTCTTTTTACTCTATTTAAAACTGTTGTTTGATCCTTACATTATTTGAAAATTAACTTAATGTTTAAGGTTTTTACAATCAGAATTTAAATTAATGTAAGGGTTATTTAGTTATTTAAGTTATTTAAATTATTAAGTAATATAAGGGTAATTTAAATATTTTTGTTAATTTTTAAGGTTTTATAGTCAGAATTTCTTCAGTTTCAACATAAAGATTCTAAGTTTAATTAATACTTTTCTTTCTGAATAATGCAAATGTATTTAAATATTTTAAATTCAAACGAGTATTCATGATTTGTGGCTATGTTTGTACAATGGAAGGTTTATTGTCTATTTTACTACTATAAATTTATACCAGCCAGGCGCAGTGGCTCACGCCTGTAATCCCAGCACAGCACTTTGGGAGGCCAAGGTGGGTGGATCACCTGAGGTCAGGAGTTTCAGACCAGCCTGGCCAACATGGCGAAACCCCATCTCTACTAAAAATAACAAAAATTAGCTGGGCGTGGTGGTAAGCACCTGTAATCCCAGCGACTCGGGAGGCTGTGGCGGGAGAATCACTTGAACCCAAGAGGTGGAGGTTGCAGTGAGCCAAGATCGTGCCATTGCACTCCAGCCTGGACAACAAGAGTGAAACTCTGTCTCAAATAAATAAATAAATACCATCAATATTTTTTAATTTACCCCCCTTTTCAGCATTTTAAAATTTTATTATTTTTTCTAACATGTTATCTTATTCTGGGGTTATTTCTATATGCCTTAAGTAAATCTTATAAGATTTTCTGTGCTAATAGTGTGCTGACAGTAAGTACTTTTAGTTATTATTCAAAAATGTCTCTTATTTTATGACCATCTTTCTTGTAATGGTTTTCCTGGGTATATAATACTATACTGACAGTAGAGTTTTTCTAACTCATTTTGAAGGTGTTATTCCACTATCTTATTTCTTTGTGGTTTTGATTAGTTACCGGTAAACAGAAGTTTGCTGTTAAGTCAACTCTCTCAAATAAACATAAAAATGAAAAGAATTGACTTATAGTGACTATAGGGCTTGACAATTTTCATGGTTGTATTTAGGCTAGCAATGATGAGTAGATATGTGAAAAAATATAATTTTTTAGATGAATGGTTTTATTTCGTTCAGGCTGAAATTTATAATATAATAATTTCTTTTTTTTAATTTGTTACACCATTTCCTTCCAGCTGCATTACCTCTCATTCCATTCTTCTTCAAGTTGCATAAACTATGTAGTGCCTTTACTTTTGTACTTTTCTCCAAATGCTTATAATTAAATAAAATCACATTTATTAATATATGTATTAACTTAATGAGAAGAAATATTTCTGTATGCATAATTTATTCAATGATTATTTTATTGATAACTATTGTTTCTAGTGTTTTATCCATAACAAAATGATGCTATATAGAGCCTTGAAATTAAAAATGATAAAAAAATAATTTAGAAATACTGATTCTTAATGCTGCAACTGGGAACAAGGACCCTGAGCTTAGAGAGCCTTAGAAAATGGTGATTTCTATGCCCAATTTTTTCTCCATTCTAATTAGCATTTTTGATCTCATAACAGCACAGCAAGAACCCTATTGCACTAACTAAATGACAAACCAGGAAAAAGGACTTGAACTCTAAGACTAGTGGAGGATTTCCAGTTCTGCTTCATTTCCTTCCTTTGCCCACACTTTTCTTCGTGATTTAGTCTCCTGGGAACTGGGTCTATTAGAACCACCTAAGATAATAATTTAATTTAAAGATTCTTGAGATTCTACCAAATCAAGTTCCTAGATATGAGCCCCAGGCACCGTTTGCTACAAATCCTCTATATGAACATAACCTCAACATATAACCCAAGATCTTCTTAGGAGAAAAAAACTTAACAGGCCCATAGGAAAGAAGAGAGTAATAGAGCAACCTAAAGATTCATGACATGACTCATATATTATGGTGCTACTAAGAATAAACTGAAACTTGAAATGGCAAAACTTTTATTGAACATCATGCTGAAGCCCAGAAGAAAATGCCATCTCCCACTGGTACTCCTGTAATCTGACACTTCAAGATGTCTCCTCTGCTCAAGGATCTTTAAAAGCACCTTCTTTGAACCACAGATGTCCCATACTCCTTGAAGTCTGCCGAGGTGACCCACATCTGCTTGAAACTGCTCATAGAGGTCATGATGGATGCACCAATCCATGCAGAGAAGCATCTATCAGGAGAAGCTGTGATCTTGATGGGAGTACCTTTGGAAGCCAGCTGTTCCACTTCCTTCATGAGCCTTTCCTCCAGCCCAGGGAGGAGAGTGGTGCCCCCGGAGAGTACAATGTCTGCATAAAGTTTATTCTGGATGTCAGTGTCACACTTCATGATGCTGCTGGAGACCATTTTTGAGAGTCCTGGGCTGTGGATGCCCAGCTGGTCAGGTGCAAAAAGAACCTCGGGCACTTGGTACAGCTCATCCCCAAAGTGGATGACATGTCCATCTGGCAGTCTGTATGCTCCCAGGACCTCTCCCCGGCTCTTGCGTAGCTCTTTCTCTGGCTCCAAGGCGATGTAGCACAACTTCTCTTTGATGTTATTTACCACGGCCTTGTTGAGTATGCAAGGGAAGTTAAACCCGCTAGCAAAGAGGAGCCGGGTGAGGTGCTCTGTGATGTCCCTCCCTGCCATACAGAGTTTGGTGACTGCGTGAGGCAGGGAGTAACCCTCAAAGATGGGGACAGTGCAAGTGACCCCATCTCCACTGTCCACCACCAGGCCTGTGACACAGGCAGAGGCATAGAGCGCTGCCACCGCATGATTAGACAGGTAGAAACCAGGCACACTGAAGGTCTCAAACATCATTTCTGCTAGCTTTTCTCGAATTTCCCTAGGATTCAAAGAGGGCTCGGTCATAAGTACAGGCTGTTGGCTGGGTTTTACTCCAAGCTCCCGCTCAAAGAGATGTTTCCAGAGTTTCTCCATGTCATCCCATCCTGTTACCAGTCCACGCTCAATGGGGTAGTGCAAATGTAGGGCCTCATACTTGTACAGGGCTTCTTGCCCCACGAAGTACTTCTGATTAAGTCTTGCTAAAGGCACATTGAATTTACAATGTCCCAAGACGGAGCTGATGACATGGCGGGGTCCAATCTCTCCAGACAGGCCTGCTTTGCAGAGTCCTGAACCATTGTCAAAAATTACAGCAGGAACATCTAATGCATGTGGATTAAACATGTCTGTAATATGTTCTCCTGGACTTCCCCCAAATAAAGAAAGAACACTTACGTCACTCTCTGAGATGACAGGCACCTTTAGAATTTTTTAAACTTCAGGGTTCTGAAGTTTCAAGTTGTCACCCATGTACAGCTAGTAGGCTACCTTCAGTCCACCAGGACACCCCATCCTCAACCTCTGAATCTTATCTCCATTCTGTAGGCTCAGGGCCTGCTGAGGCAACATGAGGGGTGATTGCCCTCTATGTCACAATCCAGCCAAGGCAACAATTGTCCTCAGTGAGCATCAGAGGGGCCGGGTGGGGCCTCTGAGCCAATAGTACTCCCTACTTGGTCAGATACAAAGCCAAGGAAAGCAAATCATACCTACAGAGCTATGAGAAACACTATTCTACATGCTTTTGCTTGGAATTATGTTTTCATTTTTTTAGATATATATTTGAGAATAGAATTGCTGAGTTATATGACAACTGTATGTTAAATCATTTGATTTTAATTTCTGTAAGTTCTTTGTTCCAAAGTGGCTGTGACATTTTGCATTCCCACAGTCGCTGTAGGAATGCTCCTACTTCTCCACATGCTTCTAAATTCTATTTTCTGACTTTATGATTCTAGGCATTCTAGTGTGTGTGAAATGTTATCTTATTGTGGTTTTGATTTGCAGCTTTAAGTATCAATGTTGAGAATCTTTATTATGTGCTTATTGGCCATTCTAATACCTTCTTGGGAGAAATGTCTATGCAGACCCTTTGTTCCTTTTTTATAAGGTTGTTTTTTGATTATTCCATTGTAACTGTTCTTTACACATTCAAGAGTCTGGTGTTTATCAGATACATTATGTGCATACATGTTCTTTTATTCTTGTATTGTCTTTTCACTTTTTTGTTAGTGTTCTTGAAATTACAAAACTTTTAAATTTTAAAGGAGTCCAGTTTCTCTGTTATCATTTGTTGTTCATATTTTGTGTCATATGTAAGCATTCATTATAAAATTTAAGATTCTTAAATTTATCTTTTTGTTTTCTTGTAAGAATTTTAAACTTTTAACTATTACATTTAGTTTTTGTTAATTTTGAGTTCATTTTTTATTTATGGTGTGCATTAAGTTTTCAACTTCATTCTTTTGAATATGGTTCTATCTGGCTGTTCCAGCACCATTTGCTGAAGAGGATAATTTTGCCCCATAGAATGACTAGTATCTTTTTCAAGCAACAATTGACCATAGACAGACACCTGGGTTTATTTCTGGACTCACTGCCCTATTCCATTGATCTATATGTCTATCATCATGCTGGTAGCACACTGCATTGATTTCTGTCACTCTGTAATAAATTCTGTAGTTAAGAAGTTTGAGTACTTCTTTGTTCTTCCTTTTCAAGATTGTTTTGGCCATTTTGGGTCCCTTGCAATTCAGTATGCAATTTAGGATCAACTTTCCAATTCCTACGCAAATGTCATATGGAATTTTGATAGAGATTGCCTTGAATCATTAGATCAATTTAAGGAATATTACCATCTTAATAACGTCAACTCTTCCAACCCATGAACATGTGATTTTATTTTGCCATTCACTTGCATATTATTTTAGTTTCTTCATGGAATATTGTCATTTTTGGAGTAAAACTTTTATACCAGTTTTGTCAAATTTTTATTTCCAAGTATTTTATTTTTCTTTTATAACTGGAGTTTTTTTTGTTTTGTTTTGTTTTTGTTTGTTTTTTGTTTGTTTTGTTTTGTTTTTTGTGATGGAGTTTCACTCTTGTTGCCCAGGCTGGAGTGCAATGGCTCTATCTTGGCTCACCACAACCTCCGCCTACTGGGTTCAAGCAATTCTCCTGCCTCAGCCTCCTGAGTAGCTGGGATAACAGGCATGTGCCACCACACCCAGCTAATTTTGTATTTTTAGTAGAGACGGGGTTTCCCATGTTGGTCAGGCTGGTGTTGAACTCCCGACCTCAGGTGATCCACCTGCCTAATTTTATCTTTGATTCAGAGGGGTACATGTGCTTATTTGTTACATAGGTATTACATGTATAATGGTGGGAGTTGGGATTCTAGAGTACCCATTAACCAAATATTGGACACTGTATTCAATAGGTTATATTTTATCTTTCACTCTTCTCCCACTGTCATCCCTTTGGAGTCCCCAGAATATATTTTGCCCATCATTATGTCCATGTGTATCATTTGTTTAGCTTCTACTTATAAGTGAGAGCATCTGTATTTGATATTCTGCTTCTTTGTTAGTTTACTTAGAATAATGGCCTTCAGCTCCATCCATGTTACTGCAAGAGACATGACTTCATTCTACTGTATGGCTGCATATTATTCCATTGTGTATATATACCACATTTTCTTTATCCAACCAACTGTTTGTAGACTCTTAGGTTGGTTCCATCACTTTGCTATGGTAAATAGTGCAGTGATAAACATACAAGTGCAGATGTCTTTTTTATATAATGAATTCTTTTCCTTTGCTTAGATACCCAGTTGCGGGATTGTTGGATCAAATGGTAGTTCTATGTTTAGTTCTTTGAGATATCTACATACTGTTTTTCATAGTGGTCGAAGTAGCTTACATTCCCACTAGTGGTGTATGAACATTCCCTTTTCTCCACATCCATGACAACATATGTTGTTTTCTGACTTTTTTTTTAACAATAGGTATTCTTACTGGTATAAGATGGTATCTATGTGGGGTTTTAATTTGCATTTCTCTGATGATTGGTATGTTCAGCATTTTTCACGTGTTTGTTGGAAGCTTGTATGTCTTCTTTTGAGAAACATCTATTCATGTTCTTTGCCCACATTTTAATGGGATTATTTGTTTTATTCTTTTTGATTTGTTTAAGTTTCTTACAGATTCTGGATATTAGCCTTTTGTTGGATGCGCAGTTTACAAATATTTTCTCCCATTCTATCAGTTGTCTGATTCTCTTGTTGATTATTTCTTTTCCTGTGCATGTTTAGTTTGATCAAGTCTCATTTACCTACTGTTGTTTTTGTTGAGTTTGCTTTGTGGGTATTTGTCATAAATTGTTTGCCAAGGCTGATGTTCAGAAGGGTGTTTTCTGTTTCCTCTGGAACTTTTACAGGTTTAGGTCTGTAATCCATCCTGAGTTAATTTTTCTATATGGTGAGAGATAATGGGTTTAGTCTCTTTTTCTTTCTGTACAGCCCCACTAGTTGTAAACTGATTGCTCTAATGATTTTGAATATTGCCTTTAAAGTGATAGTTCCTGAAGTCAGTTTTTGTGATGTGCTATGATCCCAGGGTCTCTAGTCATAGCTGTTTCTTTTCAGCTTTCTCCAGTAAACTACCCAACCTAAGGTTTATCCCATATCTTCATAAATTTACCAATATTTTCCCAATTACTCTTCACCAAAACATCAAGTGGTTTTTTTGTTTTGTTTTGTTTTTTGTTTTTTTTGAAAGTGCCCTGTGGCTTGAACTTTTTCACATTGTGCTTTAAATAAAGTAAGTTCCTTTTTCAAGGAGTTAGGAGCTATCCATTTTCCAAACTGCTTCTCCCTTCTGGTATAACTAGTAGCACAGGCTCTGAAGTTGGGGTTTAAAAAAAGGCATGGCTCTCTTTGAATGACCCTTCTGCTGTAGGAGCTGAGCATTCAGTATGTGGGGAGAGTGGCCTCAGGCATTCTTAGCTTGCTGTGTCTGGTGTGCCACTGCTACCATATAAGCCAGGATGTGGGTTATCATCACCCAAGTATTCTCAGTGGTACTGTGCCATGGTTGAGCCTCTGTGCCACTGTGTGGACTCAGTAGAAAAGAAGAGAGCCCACATCTCCTAGTCAGCCACATTCACTAACAGTCATAGAAAGAGGTAGCTGGGGGCAGTATAAGAAATGTCTTCCCCTTCTAGGAAGATAGTACTCTATCTGAACGCTCTGAAAAAAGAGAGTTCTGTATTCTTGGCTGAAGTAGTCTGAAGTTTCTTTCTCACTGAGTTGGAAAGGGGTGGAAGGGACTAGGTCTCAGTTCAGATACCACAAACTCTCATTGCTATTTCCAAATTTCAGTAGATTTTCTTGAATAAATGTTTCATTTGCAGCATGTCTTTAGGACCATTTCCATTGACATTAAATAGTTGTTTTTCTGCTTCAAAAAATTTTGCAGTTTTTCTTGAAGAACTTTTACTCTGTCATTCTATAAGTCCATTCATACAAATCAGAGCTGCAAAGTGACATGAACTGGCTCTATCACACCACTATCTGTAAATATGTTCCTCATTTATTTGTTCGGTAATATGTTTTTATTTCTCCCTCTTCTATTTTTTTTTTTTTTTTGGTAGCTGAGTGGTCTACAATAATTTGTGAAGCTATACTTTTTAAATAGTTTTTTCCAGCTTTATATTCATTAGCTATTTGCATTTGTGGATTTGTCTCATTCATCAGTTCTAGAAAGCTCTTCATTTCCCTCAGTGTTATTCTTTCCCATTATCTCTTGCCTCTATAGTATTCATATAAGCCACATTTTAAACTCTATTTCAATCCTTATTTTAACTTAATTTCTAGATGTTGCAGCCTCATTTTAAGCTGCTTCCTGAATAATTTTTATCTTTAGGTTCACTAATGTTCTGTATAGCAGTGTCAATTTACATTTGACACATCTACTGGATATAGAATATTATTTTGTTTGTAATATCAATAATCTCATTTCTAATTTCTAGAAGTTTGTCTTATCTTTTTCTAAATATGTTTAATTATGTTTAATGGTCAGATGTCCCTTTGTAATATATTTAAATGGTAACTTAATTTACTTAATTACAATATAATTTTATTTCGTATACTGTAAAGTATAATTAAAAACATTTTGGCCGGGTGCAGTGGCTCACACCTGTAATCTCAGCACTTTGGGAGGCCTAGGCAGGCAGATCACCTGAGGTCAGGAGTTCGAGACCAGCCTGGCCAACATGGTGAAACCCTGTCTCTACTAAAAATAGCTGGGTGTGGTGGCACATGCCTGTAATCTCAGCTACTCAGGGGACTGAGACAGGAGAATCGCTTGAACCCAGGAGGCGGAGGTTGCAGTGAGCCGAGATGGCGTCACTGCACTCCAGCCTGGGCAACAAGAGTGAAACTCTGTCTCGAAAACAAACAAACAAACAAAACTTCAGTGTTTTCAGGTCTAATACTGGGATTTGTCTTGTGTTCTGTGTCTAGCTGACTGCAGCTTATACACATTAGATTTCTTTTGAGACAAAGTCTTGCTCTGTTACCCAGGCTGGAGTCCAGTGGCACACTCATGGCTCACTATAGCCTTGACCTCCTGGGCTCAAGCAATCCTCTCACTTCAGCAACCACAGGCACATGCCATCATGCCTGGCTAATTTTTTATTTTTATTTTTATTTCTTTGCTTTTGTAGAGACAGGATTTCCCAATGTTACCCAAGCTTTTCTCAAACTCCTAGGCTCAAGCGATCCTCCCACCCCAGCCTTCCAAAGTGCTGCGATTACAGGCATGAGTCACTACACCCAACCAACACTAGATTATTAATGTTTTACTAATATTTTCATTATGAAATAATGTTCTTGCTTGTTGTGGTTTGAAAGTCTGTGTCTCTCCAAAATTCATGTTGAAATTGAATCCTCAATGCAAGTCTGTAGTATGAAGAGGTGGAGTTTTTGGAAGCGATTAGGTCATGAGGATGAACCCTCATGAATGGGATTAGTACCCCTATAAAAGGCCTTAAGGGAGTCTCTTAGTCCTCTTCACCCCTTTCCACTTGTGCCATGTAAGAACACAGCAACAAGGTGCCATCTATGATGCAGAGAACAAGCCTTCATCACTGAATCTGCTGGCTTCTTGAAATTTCCAGACTCCAGAACAATGAGAAATAAATGTCTAATTATTTATAAATTACCCAGTCTGAGGTATTTTGTTAAAGCAGATCAAACAGACTAAGCCACCCATCATCTGTAGAAATTAATTTAATTCTGTATTTAAAGTGAATTCTATTAGAGAAAATTTGCTTTTGCTCTTGATATTGCAAAACTGGAACCATTTTAATTTAAATTTTTTTACTCAGTGTTTTACAAATCATACAGGTACATCAAATACTATTCTCAAACCACATTAAGAAAGTGTGAGATATGTTTAAGAATTCTCAGGAGAAGCTTTATCTCTTACTCACTGTACATGACTCTTTCTTTGGAGGTCTGATTTTTATGTGTTGGATTCAAATGTTCATCTTTCACCATATTTGTGTTTTCTATTTTCCTCTTGTTTCTGTGTATATTACCAAAGATGTAGGCCACCAAAATATAGCAAGATTCATTGCAAAAACATAATATCTAACTCTCTACCACTCTGGATCAAAGTTTTATTTTTACAGGCTTTTGGAGAATTTCCTTTCTTCAAGCTCAGTCATAAATGGAAATATTAATACATTTTATAAGGCATTTTCAATGTCCTATAGATAATTAAATACATTATTTATTAAATATTACCCTTATGCTTTCAAATTTATATTAACCTCCATTTCAAATAAAGGTTTTTTACTTTGTTCTTACAATAAATTGAAAGCTAGTAACCTTTTAATATATGCATAATGAACTCAAGGAACTCACTCTGTAGTGTCTACAGTGTCTCCAGGTAATTTCATAAGCCTTTCAGTGTTCATTATTGACTTATGATAGTAATTTATCTCAGTTTCTTGTCTAAATATAAAATAATCTTACAGCTATGATACTCAGATATTATGCCATTAAGCAGGAGATTTAAAATGCTCTTGCAAGTTTTTGACTTTAAATGAAGTAAGTTTCTAGGAATGTTTCCAAAAAATGGATGTCAGAAAGATTATTTATTTGATTTGATTTAATCAAACCAACATCTCCCAAAGTAAAGAAAGGGCATAATTTCTAACTAATATTAGACTTTCAAATATTCCCATCAAATTATTGTTTCATGGGAATTCTCCAAGTGAATAATTTGTATAAATTGAATAAGACATTATGTAATAAAATTGCTGAATCTCAATATAAACACCATGCTCTGTGGTATCTTTAACTTGCTCTGTTCCTACTCCCTCTCCTCACCTCTACATCCACACTTGTACCAGCAGATGAGAATCACAGTAAAAGTTAGGAAACTGGTAGAACTTGGAGAGGGCAGATTTGGGTTAAAAGACTTATTTCCAAAACAAAAGAAAGAAAGAAATATCATTATTACAATTGTCTATGGTTTCCTGGGAGACTCACTGTGCAATGTTGTCTTTATTTTCTCTAAGTCATAGCTTTCCCAGAGTGAACTGATTTTTCCATAATGCATTATTGAAAAAAATCAGAGGCAATTGTTGAACATCCCTGGTTCCTGAGATGATGGATAACAGCTGTAACAGACAGGATGGAATAGAAGGCTCCACTGATCATCCCCCCCTGCAAAAACACAAATTTAACAACTATCTACACACAGAAAATAAACCAAAAACCTTCGTAAGAACCAAAAACCAGGTGAGCACTCATAGTACCTGATTGTAACTTCCTATTGCTGTAAGAGACACTAAAGAGGTAGAAAAAATAGTCTTGAACCACTGGCGCACCCTTCCCCCACCCCACAGAAGCAAGAGCATGGAAAGAATCTCAGAGCTTGAAGACTAGCTTTCAGAAACAAGACAGGCAGACAAGAATAAAGAAAAAAGAACAAAAAGGAATAAGCAAAACCTCTGAGAAACATGGGATTATGTAAAAGACTGAATCTACGACTGATTAGGGTACCTGAAAAAGATGGGGAGAATGGAATCAAGTTGAAAAACATACTTCAGGATATCATCCAGCAGAACATCCCCAATCTAGCAAGACAGGCCAACATTCAAACTCAGGAAATCCAGAGAATGCCAGTAAGACACTCCATGAAAAGATCAACCCCAAGACAGTAAGATACGCCATGAAAAGATCAACCCCAAGACAATCATAAGATTCTCTAAGGTCAAAATGAAAGAAAAAAGTTTAAGGGCAGCCACAGAGAAAGGCCATGTCACCTACAAAGGGAAGCCCATCAGACTAACAGTGGACAGCTCAGTGGAAACCCTATATGCCAGAAGAGATTGGGGGTCAATATTCAACATTGTTGAAGAAAAGAATTTCCAACCCAGAATTTCATATCTGGCCAAACTAAGCTTTGTAAGTGGAGGAGAAATAAGATCCTTTTCAGACAAGCAAATGCTGAGGGAATTCATCACCACCAGGCCTGCCTTGCAGGAGCTTCTGAAGGAAGCACTGAATATGGAAAGGAAAAACCGTTACCAGCCACTACAAAAACACACTGAAGTGCACATGTCAGTGACACTATGAAGCAATAACATAAACAAGTCTGCAGAATAACCACCTAGCATTATGATGACAGAATCAAATTCACACACAACAAAACTAACCATAAATCTAAAAGGACTAAATGCCTTAATTAGAAGACACAGAATGGCCATCTGGATAAAGAGTCAAAACCCATCAGCATGCTATCTTCAAGAGACCCATCTCATGTGCAAAGACACACATAGGCTCAAAATAAAGAGATGGAGGAAAATTTACCAAGCAAATGGAAAACAAAAAAGCAGAGATCACAATCCTAGTTTCTGACAAAACAGACTTTAAAACAACAAAGATGAAAAAAAAAGACAAGTTATTATATAACAGTAAAGGGTTCAAGTCAACAAGAAGAGCTAACTCTCCTTACTATATATGCACCCAATACAGGAGAACCCAGATTCATAAAGCAAGTGCTTAGAGACCTACAAAGAGACTTAGACTTGCACACAATAATAGCGGGATACTTTAACACCCCACTGAAAATATTAGATAGTTGAGACAGAAATTTAACTAAAATATTCAGGACTTGAACTCAGCTCTTGATCAAACAGACTTCACAGATATCTCCATAACTTTCCACCCCAAAACAACATATTATACATTATTCTCATCATCACAAGGGACTTACTCTCAAATTTGTCACTTAATCAGAAGAACTGAAATCATAACGAACACTATCCCAGACCACAGCACAATCAAATTAAAACCCAACAATAAAAAACTCACTCAAAATCACAAAACTACATGAAAATTGAACAACTTCCTCCTGAATGACTCCTTAGCACATACTGAAATTAAGGCAGAAATTAAGAAGTTCTTCGAGACTAATGAGAACAAAGAGACAACGTACCAGAATCTCTGACATACAACTAAAGGAGTGTTGAGAAGGAAATTTATTGCACTAAATGCCCACATCAAAAAGCTAGAAAGACCTCAAATTAAAAACCTAACATCACAACTAAAAGAACTAGAGATCCAAGCACAAGCAAACCCCAAAGCTAGCAGAAGACACGAAATAACAAAGATCAGAATGGAACTAAAGGAGATAGAGATATGAAAAAACTCTTCAAAAAAATCAACAAATCCAGGAGTGAAAAAAATAAATAAAATAGGTCACTAGATAGACTAATAAAGAAGAAAAGAGGGAAGAATCAAATAGATCGACACAATCAGAAATGATAAGGGGGATAGCATCACTGATCCCACAGAAACAAAAATAACCATCAAATAACACTATAAACACCTCTATGCACATAAACCAGAAAATCCAGAAGAAATGGATAAATTCTGGGACACATACACCCTCCAAAGCCTGAACCAGGAAAAAATTGAAACTCTGAACTGACCAAGAAAGAATTCTGAATTTGAGGCAGTAATAAATAGCCTACCAACCAAAAAAAGCCCATGACCAGACAGATTTACAGCTGAATTCTACCAGAGGTACAAAGAAGAGCTGGTACCATTTCTTCTGAAACTATTCCAAGAAATAATTGAAAAGGAGGACCTCCTCCTTAACTCATTTTATGAGACTAGCATCATTTTGATACCAAAACCTGGCAGAGACACAACAAAATGTAAACTTCAGGCCAATATCCCTGATGAACATTGATGCAAATATCCTCAAATAATGGTAAACTGAATCCAGCAGCACATCAAAAAGCTTATCTACTATGATCAAGTTGGCTTCATCTCCTGGATGAAAGGTTGGTTCAACATATGCAAATCGATAAATGTAATTCATCACATAAACAGAATTAGACCAAAAAGAAGATTATCTCAATAGATGCAGAAAAGGTTTTGATAAAATTCAACATCCCTTCATGTTAAAAATTCTCAATAAACTAGGTATTGAAGGAACATACCACAAAATAATGAAGAGCTATATATGGCAAACCAACAGCTAATATTATATTGAATGGACAAAAGCTACAAGCATTCCCCTTGAAAACTGGCAGAAGACAAGAATGTCCTCTCTCTCTACTCTACTCAACATAGTATTGGAAGTTCTGGCCAGGGCAACCAGGCAAGATAAAGAAATAAAGGTATTTGAATAGGAAGAGAGAAAGTCAAATTATCTTTGCTTGCAGATGATGGGATCCTATATTTAAAAAAACGCCATCATCTCAGCCCAAAAGCTTCTTAAGCAGATAAGCATCTTCAGAAAAGTCTCAGGATACAAAATCAATATGCAAAAAATGCTAGCATTCCTATACATCAAGAACAGGCAAGCAGAGAGACAAGTTATGAATAAACTTCCATTTACAATTGCTACAAAGAAAATAAAATGCCTAGGAATACAGCTAACAAGGGAAGTGAAGACCACTTCAAGGAGAACTTCAAATGACCACTCAAGGAAATCAGAGAGGACACAAACAAATGAAGAAACATTCCATGCTCATGGCTAGGAAGAATAAATGTCGTGAAAATGGCCATACTGTCCAAGGTAATTTATAGATTCAATGCTATTCCTATTAAACTACAATTGACATTCTTCACAGAATTATGAAAAAAAAAAAACTATTTTAAAATTTATGTGGAACCAAAAAAGAGTGAGGATAGCCAAGACAATTCTAATCAAAAAAACAATGCTAGAGGCATCTTGCCACCTGAATTACAACTATATTTCAAGGCTACAGTAACCAAAACAGAATGGTACTGGTACAAAATCAGACACATAGATCAATAAAACAGAATAGAGAACCTGGAAGTAAGACTGCATATCTACAATCATTTGATCTTTAACAAACCTGATGAAAACAAGCAATGGTGAAAAGATTCCCTACTTATTATTAATAAGTGGTACTGGGAGAACTGGCTAGTCATATGCAGAAAATTGCAACTGGACCCCTTCCTTACACCTTATATAAAAATTTGCTCAAAATGGATTAAAGATTTAAATGTAAAACCTACAACTATAAAAACCCTAGAAGAAAATCTAGGCAATACCCTTCAGGACATAGGAATGGGCAAAAATTTCATGATGAAAACTCCAAAAGCAATTGCAACAAAAGCAAAATTTGACAAATGGGATCTAATTAAACTAAAGAGCTTCTGCACCGCAAAATAAACTGTCATCAGAGTGAACAGACAGCCTACAAAATGGAAGAAAATTTTTGCAATCTATCCAACTGACAAAATCTAAAACCCAGAGTCTACAAGGAACTTAAACAAATTTACAATAAAAAACATATAACCCCATTAAAAAGTGGACAAAGAACATGAACAGACACTTCTCAAGGGAAGACATTTATGCAGCCAACAAACATATTAAAAAACCCTCAACATCACTGGTTATTAGAGAAATGCAAATCAAAACTACAATGAGATACCATCTCACACCAGTGAGAATTACAATTATTAAAAAGGTCAAAAAACAACAGATGCTGGTGAGGTTGCAGAGAAAAGGGAGTGCTTTTCCACTCTTGGTGGGAGTGTGAATTAGTTCAACCATTGCTGAAGACAGTGTGTCAATTCCTCACATATTTAGAAGCAGAAATACCATTTGACCCAGACATCCCATTTCAGGGTATATACCCAAAGGACTGTAAGTCATTCTATTATAAAGATATATGCAAGCATATGCTCATTACAGTACTATTCACAGTAGCAATGACATGGAATCAACCCAAATGCCCATTAATGATAGACTGGATAAAGAAAATGTGGTACATATACACCATGGAATGCTATGCCGCCATTAAAGAGAATGAGATCATTTCTTTTGTAGGGACATGGATGGAGCTGGAAGCTGTTATCCTTAGCAAACTATGCAGGAACAGAAAAGCAAACACCACATATTCTCATTTGTAAGTGAGAGCTAACTGATGAGAACACATGGACACATGGTGGGGAACAACACACACTGGGGCCTGTTAGGTGTGGTGGGGAGAGGGAGAGCATCAGGAAGAATAGCTAATGCATGCTTGGCTTCATACCTAGGTGATGGGTTCATAGATGCAGCAAACCATCATGGCACACTTTTACCTATGTAACAAACCTGCACATCCTGCACATGTACCCCAGAACTTAAAATAAAAGATGAAAAAAAAAAGAAAATCTAAAACCTAAACAGACCAATAACAAGTAAAGAGATCAAAGTCATAATAAGAAGTCTGCCTGTAAATAAATGCCCGAAACCCAATGGCTTCACTGCTGAATTCTACCAAACATTTAAAGAAGAACTAATACCTATCCTATTCAAACACTTATAAAAATAGAGCAGAGGGAACATTTCCAAACTCATTATAGGAGGCCAGTATTACCACGAAACCAAAATCAGGCAAACACACATCAAAAAAAGCAACTGCACATCAATATTTCTAATCCATGCTGACACAAAAATCCTCAAGCAAATACTAGCATACTGAATTCAGCAGTACATTAAAAAGATCATTCATTGTGAACAAGTGGGATTTATGCCTGGGATGCAAGGATAGTTCAACATATGCAAATCAATCAGTATGATACATCATATCAACAGGATGTAGGATATGAACCATAAGATCATTTTAATTGATGCTCATAAGCATTTGATAAAATTCAACATCCTTTTATGGTCAAAACCCTCAAAAAACTAGGGATAGAAGAAACATATCTCAACATAGAAAAAGCCATGTATGGCAGACTCACAGGTAGTATCGTACTGAATGGGGGAAAACTGAAAACCTTTTCTCTAAGATCTGGAACATGACAAAGATGCCCACTTTCACCACTGTTATTCAACACAGTACCAGAAGCCCTAGCTAGAGTAATTAGACAAGAGAACAAAATAAAAGGCATTCAAATTTGAATGGAAGAAGTCAAATAATAAAATACCTAGGAATTAACTTAACCAAGGAAACGAAACATCTCTGCAACAAAACCTATAAAACATTGATACAATAAATTTAAGATGACATGAAAATATGGAAAGTTATTCCATGTTCTTGTATGGGGTTAGTCAATATTTTTAGATGACCGTACTACCCAAAGAAATCTACAAACTCAGTGCAATCACTATCAAAATTCCAATGACATTCTTTTTAGCAATAGAAAAATAATCCTAAAATTTATATGGAACCACTAAAGACCCAGAATAGTAAAAGCTCCAAAGCAAAAAGAACAAAACTGGAAAAATCACATTACCTAACTTTAAATTATGCTACAGAGCTTTAGTAACTGAAACAGCATTGTACTGGCATAAAAATGGACACCTAGACCAATGGAACAGAATAGATAACCCAGAATGTTATTCACACACCTACAGTGAACTCATTTTTGACAAAGGTACCAAGAACATACACTGAGGAAAAAATAGTCTCTTCAATAGATGGTACTGGGAAAACTGGATATCCATATGCAAAAGAATAAAACTAGACCCCTATCTCTCACCACATACAAAAATAAAATAAAAATGTTTAAAGAGTTAAGTCTTAGACTTCAAACTGTGAAACTACTACAAGCAGACATTGGGGAAAATCTCCAGGACATTGTTCTGGGCAAAAATTTCTTAAGCAATACACCACAAGCACAGCTAGGCAAAAGATAAAATGGACAAATGGGATAATATCAAGTTAAAAAGCTTCTGCACAGCAAAGGAAGCAGTCCAGAAAGTGAGGAGACAACCCACAGAATGGGAGAAAATATTTGAAAACTACCCATGTGACAAAAGGTTAATAGCCAGAAAACATTAGGAGCTCAAACAACTCTATAGGAAAAAAAATCTAATAATCTGAATAAAAAATGGGCCAAATATTTCAGTAGACATTTCTCAGAAGAAGACATACAAATGGCCAACAAGCATATAAAAAGATGCTCAACATTATTGATCATCAGAGAAATGCAAATCAAAACTACAGTGAGATATCTCACTGTAGCTAAAATGGCTTATATCCAAAACACAGGTGATAACAAATGCTGGCAAGGATGTGGAGAAAAGAAAGAAAACCTTGTACACTGTTGGTGGATATGTAAATTAGTAAAAACACTATGTAGAGCAGTCTGAAGGTTTCTACAATGCCTAAAAATATAGCTACCATTTGCTTCAGCAATTCCACTGTTGGGTATACACCCCTAAAAAAGAAAAATATTGTATCAAAGAGATTATCTGCACTCCCAGATCTGTTGCATCACTGTTTACAATACTTAATATTTGGAAGCAACCTAGCTGTCTATTAACAGATGAATGAATAAAGAAAATGTGGTACATATACACAATGAGGTACTATTCAGCCGTAACAAAGAATGAGATCTTGTTATTTGCAATAACATGGATGAATCTGGAAATCATTATGTCAAGTGAAATAAGCCAGGCACAGAAAGACAAACATCACATATTCTCACTTATCTATGGGCTCTAAACATCAAAAACAATTGAACTAATGGACATAGAGAGTAGAACAATGGTTATTAGAGGCTGGGGAGAGGGTGGGAGTGGGGGAAGGTGGGGATGCTTAATGGGTACAAAAAATATAAAGAAAGAATAATATCTACCATTTGATAGCACAACAGGGTGACTTCAGTCAATAATAACTTACCTGTACATTTATAAATAACTAAAGGAGTAGAATTGGATTGCTTATAACGCAAAGGATAAATGCCTGACAAGATGGATACCCAATTCTTGATGATGTGAATATTACACATTACACAAAACATCTCATTTTCCCTATAAATATATATACCTACTCTGTACCCATGAAAATTAAAAATTTAAAAAAAATCAGCTGTGACAAGCAGTAGGCTAATGAAAAACCTAAAAGAAATATTGGAAAATCAGATATCTAGAGCAGGCTTTCAAAATCCCCAGCATATTCCTGAGGAACTAAAAGGCCACACACTGTGTCTGGTACTCTGCCTATGCCCTGGGCTGTAAATATGCTCAGGAGATACTTGAGAAGGCACTAACCTCCCAATTTTGAGCTGATCTTGAGGCTCTGTACAAGAGGAAAATGGAGACTAAGACAGACTTGTAACTTGTCAGGATGAAGGTTCAAACTGTGTTCAACCCACATACAAAGTTCCTCAGCAGGTACTTGGAGCCTTATCCATTCCATATATCTAAGAAAAATATTCAATGATTATATGGCCACACATGACAATGAATACAGGCTTTACAATTTTTTTAGGGAAAACTACTAAACTAACTATAACAACAATAACCAAACAACAGAGTGACAACAAATATAAGGGAGAAAGAGAATCTGATTTCCAGGTTTGCCACATTATAATATTAAATATGACAAGGATCTAAACAAAAGTTATGAGACATGCAAATATACAAGAAATTACGGCCCATACACAGAAAAATAATAGAAGTCAATTTAAATTATGTCTCAGGAAGTCCAAACATTAAACTTACTAGAATAAGACATCATAACCATACCACTGAAAACCAAAGACAGAGGAAGAAACTTGAAAGCAGTAAGAGAATAATGACTCATCATGAACAAGGTATGAGATCCAAAATAAACAGATGAGTTTCCATCAGGAGCCATGAAGGACAGAAGGCCATTGATAATTAAAGTGCCAAAACAAAAAAAACGATAATCATAACAATGTGAATTTTCTTAATACTAAACTGTACACTGAAAAAAATTAAGATAGTCAATTTTATGTTATGCATACTTCACTACAATTAAAATTTTTGAAATGGATTGCCAGTAAAGAATTCTATATGAAACAAATCTATGCTCCAAAAAGTGAAGTTTAAATCAAGACATTCCAAGACTGATGAAGACTGAGAGAATTTGATGATTGAAGAACTGCCCTAATAAGTCATACCAATAGAAGCTATCTAAGCCAAAATAATAAAAGGACACTAGACAGCAACTCGAACCTACTTTAAGTTATAGAAAGCACCAGTTATGTTAACTACATAGGTGTGTGTATAAAATTGAACACAAATGCACTTTGTATTTAATACATTATTTCTGTTATTTAATTCAAAATACAAATGCATAAAGTAATACTTATAAATATGTATTGGCAACCATACAATTTATAGAGATATACCTCTGTAGGTTTGACAATATTAGCACAAAGAAGGAAGGAAGAAATGTAAAGATATATAAACAAAGTTTTGGATACTACTGTAATTAAGTTTGTATTACTCTAAAGTAAATTGCTATAAATTAATATGTCAATTTTAATTCTCAGTGCAACCAATAGAAAACTAACTCAAAAATATAGTAATGGAGGGTAAGGAAATTTACATGTTACGGTAGAAAATATGTATTTAACAAAAAAAGGTGCAGTAATGGGAGAGTAGTGAAACAGAAAAGACATAAGGCACATAGAAAACGAATAGCAAATTGGCTAGAGTAAATCCTACCATAAAAGTAATCATATTAAAACGAGAAGGTCAAACACTCCAGTGAAAACATAGACTAGCAAAATGGATAAAAAATAACCTAACTATATGCTGTCTAAAAATATACCTTAAATTCAAAGACATAAACAAGTTGAAAATAAATAAGTAAAAATATATACACCAGAAAACCTTAACCAAAAGAGAAATCGAGTGGCTATAACAATGTCCGACTACATAGACTTTAAAAAATAAAAGTTTACCAAAGAACAAAAGGATATTTTAAAATAATAAGAGGGTCAATATGTCAGAAAAATATGGCATGTGTGTGTGCATACATATATATATTTAATAATAGAACAACTGGACAGATGATCAACAGGTTGAAAAAAAGCCTTGAAAGACATAAAACCAATAGACATAATAGAGATCTATAGAACATTCCAGCTGACAAGTACGCATAGAATATTGACCAGAAGAGAATATATATTAAGCTACAAAAATGCTAATAATATTAAAATGATTAAATTCATACAAAATATGTTCTTCAAACACAATGGAATGAATTTGAAATAGCACAAGAAAATTTGGAAAAGTTACAAATATGTAGAAATTAAACAACACACTCCTAAATAGTAAATGGATCAAAGAAAAAAACAAAAATATTTATTTATTTATTTATTTATTTATTTATTTGTTTATTTATTTATTTGAGATGGAGTTTTGCTCTTGTTGCCCCCGCTGGATGGAGTTCAGTGGCTCCATCTAGGCTCACTGCAACCTTCGACTCCCATGTTCAAGCGATTCTCCTGCCTCAGCCTCCTGAGTAGTTAGGATTACAGGCACGCACCACCACACCCAGCTAATTTTTTGTATTTTTAGTTGAGACAGGGTTTCATCGTGTTGGCCAGGCTGGTCTCGAACTCCTGACCTCAGGTGATCCACCCCTTAAATTACTTCTAAACAAATGATAATGAAGACACAACATGCCAAACGTAATGGCACACAGCTAAAACAGAGATGAGAGAAAAATTTACAGCTGTATATGCCTACTTTAATAAAGAACAGTCCCAAATTATTAACTTAATCTCTGCTTTTTTTTACAGCAGACATTAGATAAATAGCTAGTTTCTTACTGGAAGAAAAATACAAACTAAGAAAAGAACAAACTGAACCAAAAGAAAGAAGGAAATAGTGAAAGTTCAAGTAGAAATTGTAAAAGAGAGTAGAAAGTCAATAGAGAAAATCAATAGAATGAAGGTTGATTACTGGAAAGATCAACAATGGTCAGGCATGGAGGGTTATGCCTGTAATCCCAGCACTTTGGGAGGCCAAGGCAGGAGGATGGCTTAAGCCCAGAAGTTTGAGACCAGCCTGGGCAACATAGGAAGATCCTATCTCTACAACAACAACAACAAAAATCCAGGCATGGTGGCATGTGCCTGTGGTCCCAGCTACTTGGGAAACTAAGGCAGGAGTATTGCTTAAGCCCAGGAGGTGAAGGCTGCAGTAAGCCATGATGCACTCCACCCTAAGCAACAGAGTGAGACTGTCTCAAGAACAAACAACAACAAACAAAAAATAACAAACATTTACTTAGACTTACCAAGAAAATATAAAAGAGAGGACTCAAAATTATTTTTATCTTTTAATTTTTGTAATTTCAATAGCTTTTGGGGGTACGAGTGGTTTTTGTTTACATAGATAAATTGTATAGTAGTAAAGTCTGAGATTTTAGTGTACCTGTCACCTGAGTAGTGTACATTGTACCCAATACATAGATTTTTATCCATCAACCTCCTCCACACTTCACCATTATGAATCTACAATGTCCATTATATTTTACCACTCTGTGTGGCTTTGCATCCTAATAACTTAGCTCCCACTTATAACTAAAAACATACAGTATTTGGATTTCCATTCCTGAGTTACTTCACTTAGAATAATGGCCTCCAGTTCCATCCAAGTTGTTCCAAAAGACATTATTTCATTCTCCTTTCATGGTGGAGTAGTATTCCATGGTGTATATCTACATTTTCTTTATCCACTCATCTGTTGATGGGAAATTAGGTTGATTCCATATATTTGCAATTGTGAATTGTGCTTCAATAAACCTATGTGTGCAGGTGTCCTCTTGATATAATCACTTATTTTCCTTTGTGTAGATACTCAGCAGTGGAATTGCTGGACTGAATAATAGGTCTACTTTTATTTCTTTGAGAAATCTCCATCCTGTTTTTTATAGATGTTATACTGATTTACACTCCCACCAGCAGTGTATAAGCATTCTCTTTTCACCATATCCATGCCAACATCTATTGTTTTTGACTTCATAACAATGGCCATTTTAGCTGGGATAATGTGGTATCTCATTGTGGTTTTAATTTACATTTCCCTGATGATTAATGATGTGAGTGTTTTTTCACATATTTTTTAAAATTTGTATATCATTTTTTAAGAAATGTCTATTCATGTCATTTGCCCACTTTTTGATGTATTTACTTGATTTTTCTTGCTGAGTTTTTGAATTCCTTGCAGATTATAGATATTAGCCTTTTGTTGGCTGCATAGTTTGAAAATGTTTTCTCCCATTCAATGGATTGTCTGTTTAGTCTGAAGACTATTTTGTTCTGCAGAAGCTTTTGAGTTTAATTTGGTCCTATTTATTTATTTTTGGTTTTGCATTGGCTTTTGAGAACTTAGTTATAAATTATTTGCCTAGTCCAATATCCAGAGGAGTTTTTCTTAGGTTTTCTTCTATAATTTTTATGGTTTTAGGCCTTAAATTTGTGGCTTTAATCCATCTTGAGCTGATTTTTATATATGGTGACAGATAGGAATCCAGTTTTATTTTTCTACATGTGGCTACCCAGTTTTCCCAGCATCATTTATTAAAGATGGTGTCCGTTTCCCAATTTAAGTTGTTGTATGCTTTGTCGACGATCAGTTGGTTGTGTTTGGTTTTATTTCTGTGCTCTCTATTCTGTTCCATTTGTCTGTGTGTCCACTTTTATAACATTACTATACAGTTTTGGTACTGTAGCCTTGTGGTATAATTTGAAGTAAGGTAAAATAATGCCTCCACATTTTCACTTACTGTTAGGATTGGCTATTTGAACTCTTTTTTGGTTCCATATTAATTTTAGGATTTTTGGTAATTTTGTGAAAAATGATGTTGCCATTTTAATAGGAATTGCACTGAATCTGTAGCTTGCTTTGGGCAGTATGGTAACTTAAATGATATTTATTATTCCAGTCAATGAACATGGGAAATATTTCAATTTATTTGTGTCATCTATGATTTGTTTCAGCACTGTTTTGTAGTTCTCATTGTAGAGACCTTGCACATCCTCAGTTAAGATTATTCCTAGGTGTTTTGTTTTTTTTTCTGTAGCTATTGTAAAAGAGATTGAGTTACTGATTTCATTCTCAGTTTGTTCATTGTTGGTGTATAGAAGTGCTATTTATTTGTGTACATTAATTTTATTACCTCAGACTATACTAAATATATTTATCAGATATAGAAGTCTTTTGGGGCAGACTTTAGGGTTTTCTAGGTATATAATAATATCATCAGCAAACAGAGATCATTTGGCTTCCTGTTTTCCAATTTGTATGTCTTTTATTTCTTTGTCTTGTCTGATTCCTGTGGCTAAAACTTCTAGTACTCTCATGAATGGAAATGGTGAAAGTGGCCATGCTTGTCTTGTTCCAGTTTTTAGAGGGAATGATTTCAACTTTTCCCCATTCAGTATTATGTTGGCTGTGAGTTTGTCAAATATGGCCTTTATTATTTTGAGATATGGTCCCTCTATGCCTACTTCGTTGAAGCACAGAAGGAACATACCTTCTATTTTTATCACAAAGGGATCCTTGATTTTAATGAATGCTTTTTTGTGTCTATTGAGATGATTATATGGTTTCATTTTTAATTCTACTTATGTGGTGATTTATTGACTTGCATATGTTGAACCATCCTGGATCCCTGAGATGAAACCCACTTGATTGTAGTGAATTATATTTTTGATGTGCTGTTGGAGTTGGTTTGCTAGTATTTTAGGGGGACTTTTTCATCTATATTTATCAGGAATTTTGGTCTGCAGTTTTTTTGTTTAGAATTTCTTGGATTTGGTATCAGTATGATACTGGATTCATAACATGGGTTAGGGAGGAATCCCTCATTTTCAGTCTTTTGAAATACTTTCAGTGGGATTAATACTAATTCTTCTTTGAAGGTCTGGTAGAATTTGGCTGTGAATCCATCTGGCCTTGAGCTTTTTTGTTGTTGTTGGCAATTTTTTTAAAATTGCTGATTGAATCTCACTGCCTCTTATTGGCCTGTTCAGGATTTCTATTTCTTCCTGATTCAAGCTAGGAGGGTTGTATATTTCCAATAATTTATCCATTTCCTGCAACTTTTCTAGTTTGTGTGCATAGAGGTGTTCATAGTAGTCCTGAATGAACTTTTGTATCTCTGTGGTGTTGGTGGTAATGTCTCCATTTTCATTTTTAATTGAGCTTATTTGAATCTTCCCCATTTTCTTTTTTTGGTTAATACACCGATAGTCTATCAACTTTATCTTTTCAAAGAACCAACTTTTTGTTCTGTTGTTCTGTTGTATTACTTTTTGGTTTCAATTTTATTTAGTACTGCTCTGATCTTGTTATCTATTTTCTCCTACTATCACTGTGTTTGGTTTATTCTTATTTCTCTAGTTCCTTGATGTATGATGTTAGTTTGTAAATTTGAGATCTTTCTGACTTTTTGATTTAGACATTTAGTGCTATAAACTTTCCTCTAAGTGCTGCTTTTGCTCTATCTGAAAGGTTTCGATAACTTGAGTTAGCAATGTCATTAATTTAAACATTAAAAAAAAATTCCATCTTGATTTCAATGCTAACTCAAAAATCATTCAGGAGCAGATTGTTTAATTTTCATGTATTTGTATAGTTTTGAGGGTTCCTTTATGGAGTTGATTTGTAGCTTTATTCTACTGTGGTCTGAGAAGATACTCATATGATTTTGATTTTTTAAAATATATTGAGACTTGTTTTGTCATTTATGTTCTATCTTGTAGAATGTTCCATGTGCTGATGAAAAGAATGTATAGTCTACAGTTCTTGGGTAGATCATTCTGTAATGGTCTGTTAGGTCCATTTGTTCTAGAGTGTAGTTTATGTTCATTTTCTCTCTGTAGTTTATGTTCATTTTCTTTCCAAAGTCACAGAGTTGCAAGTTGGATGAAAATGCAGGACCCATCTATCTCCTGTCTTCAGGAGACACATCATCACACACATAATGACACCCATAGGCTCAAAATAGAGGGCTGAAGGAATATCTCTCACACAAATGGAAAACAAAAGAGAGCAGAGCTCACTGTCCTTGTATCAGATTGAACAGAATTTAAATGTACAGCACTTGAAAAAGACAAAGAACAGCATTACATAATAATAAAGGGTTTAATTCAATAGGAATATTTAACTTTCTTAAATATATATTTAAGAACATTCCACATTGGAGCACACAGATTACTTCTGGACCTATAAAAAGAGTTAGACAGCCACACAATAATATTAAAGGCCTTCACCACCCTAGTGATACTGTTAAATCATCAAGGAAGAAACTCACAAAGAATTTCTGGACTTAAATTTAACATTTGACCAATTGGACCTAATGGACATCTACAGAAGACTCCACCCAACAACAAAAGAATATATATTCTTCTTATCTGCACACAGAACATACTCTAAGATCACACACATTTTTAACCATAAAACAAGTCTCATGAAATTCAAAATAACTTGAAATCATACAAACCATACTCTCAGAAGACAGTGGGATAAAACTAGAAATTAATACCAGGGTTTCTAAAACCAAACATTTACACTGAAATTAAACAACCTGCTCCTGAATAACATGGATAAACAACAAAATTAAGGCAAAAATCAAAAAATGTTTTGAAATGGGCCGGGCATGGTGGCTTACCCCTGTAATCCCAGCAATTTGGGAGGCCAAGGCAGGCGGATCACCTGAGGTCAGGAGTTCAAGACCAGCGTGACCAACATGGAGAAACCCCATCTCTACTAAAAGTACAAAATTAGCCAGATGTGGTGGCACATGCCTGTAATCCTAGCTACTCGGGAGGGTGAGGCAGGAGAATCTCTTGAACCCAGAAGGTGGAGGTTGTGGTGAGCTGAGATCACGCCATTGCACTCTAGCCTGGGCAACAAGGGCAAAACTCCATCTCAAAAAAAAATGTTTTGAAATGAATGAAAAGAGAGACACAAAATATGAAAATCTCCAGGATTCAGCAAAAGTAGTGTAAAGATAAAAGTATATAGCACTAAACATCTACCAAAAGTCTTTAGAAAAATCTCAAATTAGCAGCATAACGTCACACCTAGAGGCACTAAAAAAACAATAACAAACTAACCCCAAAACTAGCAGAAGAAAAAAATACTAAAATCAGAGCATGATTGAACAAAATTGAGACCCAAAATTCAATGCAAAGAATCATGGAAATGAGAGAATAGACAAAATAGACCACTAGCTAGATTAACAAAAAAAAAAAAAAAAAAAAAAAAAGAGAGAGAGAGAGATCAAAAGAAGCACAATCAGAAATTACAAAGGTGACATTACAACTGATCCCAAAGAAATATAGAAGATCCTCTAAGTCTACTATGAAAACCTCTATGCACACAAACTAGAAAATCTAGAGGAAATGGATAAATTCCTACAAACATACAACTTCCCAAGATTAAAATAGGAATAAATTGAAACTCCAAACAAATATCCAGTTTCAAAATTGAATCAGCAATAAAAATTTTACCAACAAAAAAATAGTCCCAGACCAGAGGATTTACAGCCAAATTCTATCAGACGTACATAGAAGAGCCAGTACCAATTCTACTGAAACTCTTCCGAAAAATCAAAGAGCAAGGAATCATTCCTAATTCATTCTCTAATGTCAGCATCACTCTGGTGTCAAAAGAAAGCTTCCAAAGACATGACAAAAAAGAAAACTACTGTTCAATATTCCTGATGAACATAGACAAAAAAACTCCTCAACAAAATTCTAGGAAACTAAATCCAGTGGCACATCGAAGAGTTAATTCACCATGATCAAGTAAGCTTCATTCCTGAGATGCAAGGTTGATTGAACATATGCAAATCAATACATGTTATACACGACATACAGAGAAGTAAAAAGAAAGACTATAAAACCATCTCAATAGACTTGGAGAAAGCTTTTTATGAAATTCAAAATCCCTTCATGATAATAACCCTCAACAACTAGGTATCAAAGGATCATACTTCAAAATAATAAGATTCATCTATGACAAACCGACAGCCAACATAATACTGAATGGGAAAACATTGAAAGCATTCATTTTAAGACATGGGACAAGACAAGATTGCTCATACCCACCACCACTATTCAACATCATACTGGAAATCTTACCCACAGTTAGAGTCCCAGCCAGAGTCAAGAGAAAGAAATAAATGGCATCTGTATAACAAAAGAAGAAGTCAATCTATCTCTCTTTACTGACGATATGATTATATACCTAGAAAACCTTAAAGACTCCACCAAAAGGCTCTTGGAATTGACAAATGATTTTAGTTTGGGTTCAGGATGAAAAATTAATATAGCATTTCTATACACAAAAGTCAGTGGCATTTCTATACTCCAATAAAGTTCAAGCTGAGAGACAAACCAAGAATGCAATCCCCTTTACAACAGACACACACAAATAAAATACCTATGAATACATCAAGCCAAAAAGGTAAAAGATCTCTACAAGGATAACTATAAAACACTGTTGAAAGAAATCATAAGTGACACAAACAAAGTGAAAAAATATTTCATGCTCATGGATTTAAAGAATCAATACTCTTAACATGGCCATACTCCCTAAAGCAATCTACAGGTTTAATACTATTCCAATCAAACTACTAACGTCATTTTTTACAGAGTTAGAAAAAAAACTATTCTAAAATGAATGTGGAACCAAAAAAAGCCCAACTAGCCAAAGCAATTTTAAGCAGAAAGATTAAATCCAAGGCATCACATTACAGTATTTCAGACTATACTATATGGATGGTGAACTAAAAGTATCTGAGACAGGTCTCAGTCAATTTAGAAAGTTTGTTTTACCAAAGTTATAGATGTGTCTGTGACACAGCCTTGGAAGGTCCTGATGACCTTTGTCCAAGGAGGTCGGGGTATAGCTTGCTTTTATACACTTTAGGGAGACATGAGGCGTCAATCAATATGTGTAAGTTGGACATTGGTTAGGTCCAGAAAGGTGAGACAGCTCAAAGCAGGGGCTTTCAGGTTATAAGTAGACAAGAGACAAAAGGTTGTAATCTTTTGGGTCTTTGATCAGCTTTTAGCTGAATACATAATTTACATGTGAGAGGGGGGTAAAGGAATAGTTACTTATGCCTTAGCTCCGCTCAGTGAACCTGCATTTTTACATAAACAATAAGGCAGAGAAAGCAATCAGATACGCATTTTTCTCAGGTGGCTTTGAGTTCTGTCCTTTGTTCAGCACCAATGACGGTAAGCTATCAATTTACATTGCCAGGGTATAAACCAACAGAACTGTTTTAGGGCAAAGATCTTGAGGCCCATGAAGAATTTCCTTGTGGGCAAATTGTGAGGGAGGTATGTACATTTTTATATTTATAGCTATCTTATTTAGAAATAAAATGAGAGACAGATTTACCTGACTCAGTTCCCAGCTCAGCTTTTCCCTTTGGCTTAGTGATTTTGGGGTCATGAGATTTATTTTCCTTTCACAGGCTACAGTAACCAAAATACCATTGTACTGGTATAAAAACATACAGACCAAAGAAACAGAATAGGCAATACAGAAATAAAGCCACTCACCTACAAGTAACTGACCTATGAAAAAGTTGGCAAAAATAAACAGTGGAGAGAAGGCTCTCTATTCAACAAATGATGCTGGAAAAACTGGCTAGCCATATAGAAAACAATAAAACTACCCTCCATTTCATCATATACAAAAATTAACTGAAGTTGGATTAAAGATGTTAATGTAAGACCTCAAACTACAAAATTCTAGAACAGAATCTAGAAAACATTATTCTGGACATTGGGCTTGAGAAATAATTTATGACTAAGTCCTCAAAAGCAAATGTAACAAAACAAAAAACTGAAAGTGGGACCTAACTAAAGATCTTCTGCAAGGTAAAATAAACTATCAATAGAGTAGACAGAAAACCTACAGAATCGGAGAAAATATTCACAAATCATGCATCTGACAAAGGTCTAATATCCAGTATTTATAAGGAATATAAAAAAGTTAAGAAGAAGAAAACAAATAATCCCATTATAAAGTAAGCAAAAACATAAACAGACACTTCTTAAATGAAGACATACAAGCAACAAACACACGTATGAAAAAAAATTCAACATCATGATCATCAGAGAAATACAAATGAAAACCACAATGAGATATCCTCTCACACCAATCAGAATGGCTATTATTAAAAAGTCAAAAAACAGTAGATGGTGACGGGGCTGTGGAGAAAAGAATGCTTAGGCACAGTTTGTGGGAATTTAAATTAGTTCAGCTACTGTAGAATGTGTAAACCAAAAAGTATCTGAGACAGGTCCCTATACATTTTGAAGTTTATTTCCCCATAATTTAGGAAATGCCCAGGAAGAAGGAACACAGTAATCACAGAAACAGTCTGTGTTCTGTGACTTTCTTCACAGATGATTTTGAGGTCTTCAATATTTAAAACGAAAAAGGATAATTGAGGAAGAAAAGGGAGGGTACAGTCACATTACTCAATCCACATGTTGCAAGAGAAAAGGAGCAGAGAGTGGAATAGTCAAGGATGTATTAGTCTCAAGCTCAGTAAATCTGCTCCTTACATAAGATAAGGTGAATATAGAGTAGCTACCTGTGGAGCTACCTGGCCTTTTATCTGTAGCTATTTGCTTAGGAACAAAAGGAAAGGCAGTTTCTTGCATGACTCAGCTTTCAGCTCAATTTTTCCTTTCGGCATAGCATATTGGGGTCCTAAGATTGTATTTTCCTTTCACATTTTTCCCTCCTCTCTTTATTAAATCTTTTGGAGAAAGCATCTGAGATTAAAGTGAGTTTCTAGGCTAAGATGCTTTATTCCTAGATGGATAGATTCCATGATTTTAGGAAAGCTTATTTTTAGCAGGTTATGGAGTCTCACATCTCATGAAGACAAATTAGGATGGGAAGAAAGACAGAAAGCAGCAATGAAGGAGGAGTAACCAGAAAGGGAAAACAAGCCTGGAAAACTGGCATAAGCCATATGTGGTTTATGTATATAAATAAGTTGCTCTTATTTTCTTCTGAGTTTTAACTTGTCTAGCTTCTATTTACAGGGCTTTAAGACAAGCACAACTTTGATGTTTAGTGAGTTTAAATCAGCAATAAAACTGGAAAGAAATAAGAAAAAGTAGAAAACATTACTCTGGAGACTTGTAGCTGGAAAAATTTTAGAATTCAGTTCAAATTGCAGAAAAATAATAAACATTGAAAAACACTGGATAAAACTAGGGTCTAATAACTGGTATACTGTAGTTTTTTAGAAACATAATTTTCTCTATTAAATTCCCCAATTTTTAAAAGACAAACTCATAGAAGGATCAATTTATTTTTAAAATAAGGTTTAGTCTCATATTTGGCTTGGTTATTTGCATGAAATGCAGCAATAATAATAATATGCCATGTAAGCTCTTTTTTAAAAAAAATGGGTTTGCTGGAATCTTTTTCATAAGGAATCCAAGATTAAACCTTTTTTAAAGCCTTGAGATCAGCCAAGGATTTATCTGTGCCTGCAAATACCTTTATGAATTGGGTGAATTTCTCTCTTTTTGAGGTCCAAGAACATTTGAAGTTTCTGGGCCTGTCAGAAAGTAACATTCTTTACTTTCCATACGTCAGGACCCTGTAAAGGACAAGGAATGAGGCCAGTTTTTCCAAGGGGCTTTTATTGTCTCTGTAAGTCAGCCTCATTTTCTCAAGGCCATCTGAAAATATGCCATTCCACTCAAAGCCTTGGTAAAATAATCTGTGTCTCCAACATGTCCTGTTATACAAGAAATCAGAGTTTTTTTTTTTTTTTTTTTTTTTTTTTTGAGACGGAGTCTCGCTCTGTCGCCCAGGCTGGAGTGCAGTGGCGCAATCTCGGCTCACTGCAAGCTCCGCTTCCCGGGTTCACGCCATTCTCCTGCCTCAGCCTCCCGAGCAGCTGGGACTACAGGCGCCCGCCACCGCGCCCGGCTAATTTTTTGTATTTTTAGTAGAGACGGGGTTTCACCTTGTTAGCCAGGATGGTCTCGATCTCCTGACCTCATGATCCACCCGCCTCGGCCTCCCAAAGTGCTGGGATTACAGGCGTGAGCCACCGCGCCCGGCCGAAATCAGAGTCTTATTTAACTTATGCAAGTAACTATATTATCATAAATTAAGAATTCTCACAAAAAGCTCCCAAATTTTGAAACTGACAAATTATGTTTTACATTTTGGTCATAAGAGCATATTTTACTCAATTGTTAAAAGCTGTAAGTAGCTTAAAAGAAGAAAAGGTTATCTTGGCTCTGAAAAACAAAACAAAAAGAATCAGCAAATGTTTTAAACAAAAAGTCATAAAAATATTTTTTCACTCTTCTATTTATTCAGTTCATGCAATTTACTCCTATTGTGCTCAATATTGGATTAGAAATCCTGATGAATACATTAGTTATCCATGAGAGTCCTGGAAGTTGTTTTCTCTATTCCAATGGCACAAACTCTAAATTTATCAGGAATCTATATTTATGAGAGTGCTCCTCAGAGTACTATAGCTGATTATTAACTTCCCTATAAAAGTATCAAAGTAAAACAATTGTGGATGACAAAAGTCTTAGAACAGCCATAAAGACAAAATTCGTGAGAAAATTTGGTTACTTCTGAGGCATACAACAATTTAACATAATAATCATAATTACTATAATACTTCATAGTATACATTAATAAATATCAGAATCACAGGAATCTCATACAATTTTGGAACAAAAATTAATAACACACTTATATAAATACAATCCAAAGAGGGTTGAACATTGTTTTATATTTGACAATGCTTTCTGTATTATCTTAGTATACAAAACAATAGAATATTATTATATTACAAAATAAAGTAATGAAGTAAGAAACATTGAATTTAGAATGTGATTTTGGAAAGTTTGTCAAATGCCAAAGGTTTAAAACACGTAATGTCAAAAAATAGAGTCATAAGTCATTGTAAAATAAATCATTGATTTAGCTGAGGTGATAACTCTATGATTTCAAAAAAAGAGCAAAAACCTTTACTCTTCGAAAGAGGAGACTTACTTTCCCAAACAATAAGTCATAGTAAAGACAGTATGAGGCTAATTAAATTAAATCTGTCTCTCAAATCTTACAAATAAATCCATTAAATTTTAATCATCTTGACCATAAGATATAATTTTCATAAACCTTTTTATAATCTTTTACAATTGTTTATGAAATGGTGGGTTAATGTTCAAAGACAACCTTGTTAACCTGGCACAGGGGTCCAGACACTTGTTTGCATTAGTGTGTATTTTATGTTAGTGTTTAATTTATAGAAAAACTCTGAGATAATTTTCTCTCTCAAACTTGGCCCTTACAATCTCATGCACCCAGCTCTTTTGTAATAGTACATGGGCCTAAAAATATTGAATAGTTGTATGTTCATGTGTCTCATGAATGCAGTTTATTTTGATTGTCATTTTCTCTGGGATTTGAAGATGAAGCTTTAACTGCTGTCAATATTTAAGATTTAGCAAGAGTTGATGTCTTTTTTAGACCCAGGTGTCAAAGCCCTGTAACTTGACAGCACAAGGACTTTGAAAGCCATACAGAATGGGACAAGGATGTAATAATCTTATTTTATTTAATTTTAATCTCAGTTTTCCTAAGTGAATCAAAAGCTTAATAATGATGACATAAAAATTATTTTGATAAAACATAAAATCTTCTTGTAAGGCCATTTACCAAAAGGCAAAAAAAAGACCTACGGCAATGTAATGACTTCTCCCCATGGGGAGTCCTTTTAGATAACCTGCAAGTCAAAACTAATGAAAATGGTACTTGAATTAATTAGACATTGGAGGAGTGCATCCTGGGTAATAAGTGAATATTTTTGGTTTCATAGAACAATTTAGACATATTAAGAAAAGATGAGTACAGAATGTTATATTGGAAGAAAACACTTTCTTTATACCTTTAGAATAAAACATTTTTAACATCAGGCTACAACAGCAGTTAGAACCTAAGGAAAAAATTATGGGAGCTGATGAAAAATTTGAAGGAGAAAGTTATTATCTCAGGTCTTCTCAAAAAGGAGAAAAAACCTGAAAAGAGTAAGAACCAATAAAAGTTGAATGTTTGGATTAAAATTAAAATGTCTTATAATTTTTTGAGTAAATTAATACCTTGTAAAAATTTTGTTTTTCTAACCAATTTTTAGTGTATTAGTGTATTTTTAATATCAAACCTCAGTCTCTAGAAAAATTATTATAAATGATTTCCTTTTAATTATAGCCAACTTAATCACAAAGATGTTTTTAATTTCTCTTTATGCAAACATTGTTAGGAATTAAACAAGTAATTGACAACAAACTTGGACTTTGTGTTTTATCTTAAAAAAAATCTTTCTTAAATAACTACTTATTTCATATTAGGACAGAAATTTACCATACAACACTCGTTCTCATATAAAATTACTTTTCTTTAATAAAAACATATTTTTTAGAATTTTTTTCCCTTATATATATTTTAATTAGAAATGACCCAGATATTTAATAAATATCTATTATTTTATTTAATATAGCCTTAGATTCTAAATTATATGAAAAGCTTATTTTCAAGCCTTTATTCATTTACATTTACCTAATTGATTTATTTATTAATAACTGACCTAGTTTTTTTAATGAAAATTGCAATTGCCATCGTTTAGAGTTATTTCTCTGTTAATCATTTTTAGAGCTTGTGAATTTCTAGTGTTTACCTAAGTAAGAAACTTAAGGTTACATAAACGGGTCTTTTGCTAATAGCTCAGGATTTAGCTGTTTTTATTAAACTAACAATATTAAGATGTCTTATTTATCAAAAAAGTACAGAAAGATAATTCTGTTTTGGGAGGCATTTAATAGTTTTATAACCCCCATGCCAAATTTTGACAACTTATCATATTTAGTAGAGATAAAATAAAAAACTGCTTGACCAGTATATCTAAACAATAATGTATGCTGACCATTCTGAAGACATTTCTAATTTTATTTTACCAATAATTTAAATTCAGCTTATTAATTAAAAAATGTGCTTAAGTCACATGAACTTGAAAAAGCATTTAGGATTAAAGTTTCTACTTTCCTGATAAAATATTTTTTTTTTACTATTTAAGCCAACTAATTAGAGCATATATATAGAGAGAGAGAGAGCAGTGAAACATTATATAAAGAACATATAAATACATACACAGACACATAGACAAGAGTAGATCTTATAAATTTATAAGACTGTTTTTTCTTTCTTATTTTAGACTTCCAATTTTTTGAGAACTTATTTCACTATCCAAGGCAATTGTCAGCTAGATAGCCCTAAATTTGCATACTAAAGAAACACCTCTAACGTGAAACACAGATAGCAAAAATTTACATATCAAAATACAGAGAGAGAAAGTCTGGTTGTGTTAGAGGAAGATTAAAAATGTATGCCAAGTCAAACATAAAATTATAAAAATCTACCAAAGGATTTTATAATGGGACCCATTTTATTTAAATAAGTAGTTCTAAATTTAGTCTTTAAGTTTTAACTGTACCACTGAGCTCTCAGAGGAGCCCACACTGAATGCTGGGTCTCCAAAAAGAGAGAGATATCATGGGACTATGCCATGTCATGCCTTTACAGTGTACTTTTCTTTACAGTGTACTTTTTTTGTACTTTTCCTTACAGTGTACTTTGTTTTAAAGAAATACAGTTGTATTTCTTTACATGTCTGAACTGCACTCTTTCTTAAACATGCAAAGAGTAGCCCCTGTAGCAATAACTATTTACTGTAAACAACTGCCATTTAATCATTCCCAAAAATATATCAATTACCAAGCTATTACAGATACCAAGAAAAAAATTTTGTCATAATACAAAGTGATTTTTGATACCCTCAAAAGCTAAAAAGATCAGGTAACACAATGCAGAAGAGCACAGAGTTGGACCTGAGGGGAATCTGCCTTTGGCTCTAGTGACTTCACAAAGAAAGCAGAAGACCCTAAAAGAGGGGTGAGTGGCATCTTTATTCTGAGTTATTTAAGGAGTCTGAGTGATTAGAAGCGTTCTCTAGGTCTTTTCACTTGGTACAGAAGATGGCAAAGGGAAAGAGTAATAAGGTGGAAGAAAAGTAAATGAAAGAATAGTTTTTTAAGAAAGGAAGTAAAAAAAGAAACAAAGCACATAGTGTTTTCTTGAAGAGAATTTCAGTCCACTGGAAAAAAAAATTCCCAAAAGCAGGATAAAAAGAGAAGAAACATAAAGATAAAGGCTGTGTGTGTGTGTGTGTGTGTGTGTGTGTGTGTAGTGTGGATACCAGCTTTTAATTAAGTTGACTTTAACCATAAAGCTCCTAAAATAATTCTTTCAAATCTCTCACTACTCTATTTTAGCTAGAACAAACAGCTGATATACTAAGTTAACATAACTATCAAACCAGAAAGGATTTTATTTAAGAGCCAAATCCAGCCTGCCACAGTGAAAAGAGCAGAATCTTAGCTACTGAAATATAGCATGAAATGGCCACTATTGTTCTTCTCAGAAGAAAACCAGACAAACTAGAGGCAGCTTGGTTAGTAAAAGGCAACCTTCTTATGTAAATGAAATCCCTCGAGAAGTCAAAAAAAATTTTTTTGATCATCGTTTGTTATTTGTTATTTTTGCAGCTGCAGGGAATTTTAGCCGATTCAAAACCCTGGTCCCCATAATTTGGAATTCTCATTTAGATTTGACCTAGTTGGGTAGAGTTGGTCAAATCCTGTGCAAGAAAGATGAAAACAACAACAGAACACTCTTAAGGTAAGGAGAAATTAGTTAGTGGCTTGTTGTGAATCTTAACTTTTAGTCCTGAAGGAGAATTTTCAAGACAAAATGGCAATTTGGCTAATTACCTACAAATGGTGCCTGGGCTGAAGCCTGCTCCCTACCATCTCAGAAGCAGGAAAAAAGTAAAACTTGCCTTCCCTGTTATAAGTGAGCTGAAATTCCAGAAAGGAGTTGCCTGTCCTCCATCATGATGGAGGCACGAAAACTCGCTTTCCTTG
The DNA here is from genome assembly GCF_000001405.40 of Homo sapiens. Lineage (NCBI taxonomy): Eukaryota > Metazoa > Chordata > Mammalia > Primates > Hominidae > Homo > Homo sapiens. Next base: position 128,085,190 of record NC_000023.11, read on the forward strand.
TGGGAAGTGAGTAAAACTCCAAAACGAGGAGCTGTACAGCAAAATAAACCTTAGATCTCAACCAAATTTAGTGAGATCATAGATTCTGTGGAGGGAGAAGCTCCCAGACTTTGGCAAATTGTCTTTGAGCAATAATTGTCTTTGAGCAATAAAGACAATTTGAGCTTGAGCAATAAAGTTAGTCCAGGCTGTTGCCATGAACCCATAGGAGATTAGTCAAAGGCCACCTCCACTCAGAGTCCCTTCCATTGGTGGCCATTTTGTAAACCAAAAAGGATCTAAGACAGGTCTCAATCAGTTTTGAAGTTTATTTTGGTAGAACTAAGTACATGCCCAGAAGAAAGGAAAACGTAAATCACAGAAACAGTCTGTGGTCTGTACCTTTCTTCAAAGATTATTTTGAGGTCTCCAATATTTAAAGGAAAAGTGTGCTAGAAGGAAAAGAGGGAGAGTATGGTTACATTACTGAATCCATATGTTGCAAGAGAAAAGAAGCAGGTAGGAAAATACTCAAGTATGTACTATTCTCATGCTCAGTAAATCCACACTTTACATAAGATAAGGTGAACACAAATTCTCATTCAGATTTGAGCTAGTTGGGTAGAGTTGGTCAAATCTAAAATATATTCAAATGATGATCAAAACTAGAGTTCTTAAAATTACATTAAAAAACATGAAGAAATCAACTGAGGCAAATCATAATCAAATTGCTGAAGACACTGAGGAGGAAATTTTAAATATAGACAGAGAAAGAAGACATTACATAAAGATTACCATATATCCAAAAAAAAGAGACAATAACAATAGTAGGCTTCATGTTAAAAATAATTCAATCCATGAGGGAATGTATGACATTTTTAAAGTAAAGAAAATCACTGTCAACCTAGAAATATATACCCAACAAAAACAGAATTCAGAAATTAAAGATAAATATTTTTAAGACAAAAGTTAAAGTGTTAGTAATCACCAGACCTTCACACACACAGAAAAATGTTAATAAAATGTTCAGAAAAATGTAAAATTATACATGTGGAAATCTGGGCATTCATAAAAGTATAAATAGTACTAGAAACTATATACAAAAATATATAAATATAAAGATTTGTGGGGGGTAAGTATGTTTTCATTTTAAAGATCTCTTTACAAGATAGTTGCCTATTTAAAGCAAAATTACACAGTTTATAAAATACATAGAATTAAAACATGTAACCTGGTAGCCCAAAGGACGAGAGGGTGAAATAGAAATTTTCAATTGTAAGGCAATTAAGCAATATAATATTAATTAAAGGTTGGCTATAATAAACTAAATATGTATATTGAAATTTCTATAGCAATCAATAAAAAGCAAAACAAATATAGTAATACATTTGGTGGGAAAAAATGAAATTAACTTTCTATTATTTCCAAATAAAGCAAGAAATGAGGTAAAAATAAATGAACAAATAACATATGAAAGAGAAAATAAATAGTAGCATAACTGATTTAAACCACAAGATATCAATAAGTACATTAAATCCCAATGGTAAAACAGGCATTGTCTCAAAGAAATATAATGTGAATCATATGCAGCATTTTAAATTTTCTGGTAGTCATATTATGAATGTAAACATTAACTTCAGTAATATATTTTATTTAACCTAGTATATTTAAAAGACTATAATTTCAACATATAATCAATGGAAGAGTGTATTAATAAGATATTGCATATCATTTGTCTCCAGACTAAGTCTCCAAAATCCCATGTTTATTTTACACTTATCACACATCTAAATTGAGACTAGTCATATTTCAAGTACTCAACAGGTATATGTAGCTAGCAGCTAACATACTGTAAAGAACACAGCCAAACTTTCTAACTAAAATAGATTATCATAATGTATACGAAAGCAAAATTCAAATGCATGTGGTTTACATAAAACAAACTTTAAATATAAGAACATTAATATGTTAAAAGCAAATGAAAATAGTATGTTATACAAACACTAATCAAAAGGAAGCTGGAGTGGCTATGTTAATATTAGAAAAAATAGAGATAAAAAGTGCTATTTCATAAGGACATAAATATGCTAAATAGGTTCATAATGTAATCACAGAGTTTCAAAATGCATGAAGCAAAAACTAATAAAGGATAAACACACAAATTTGAAATAATAGTTGGAGATTTCAATACTCTTCTCAAATAACAGAATAACAGAAGGAAAATAATTTAAATAATTGCATTAGTTAGAATTTATAAAACTTATTTTTAATACATCCAAATACATGTTATTTTCTAGCTTATACAGAAAAATCACTATGATAGACAATATTTTGGGCCATAAAAAGCCACAATAAATGTAAAATCTTAAAATCAAAATGTATGTATTAGATTGTAAAGGCTACCTTAACAAAATAGTACACACTAGGTAGCTTAAACAGCAGAAATTAATTTTCCCACAATTCTGGAGATTAGAAAGCCGAGACTAAGGTGTCACCAAGTTGGATTTTTACTGAGGCACCTGCCCATGGCTTACGAATGCCCTCTTTTTTGCTGTGATCTCACATGGTTTTCCCTCAGTTTGTGTGTTGTCGATATTCTAATATCTTCTTCTTATAAGGATACCAGTCATGTTGGATTAAGGTCCATTGACATGACCTTATTTTACCTTAATCATCCCCTTTAAAGCTCTATCACCAAATATAGTCTTATTCTGAGGTATAGGAATATAGGGCATCAACAAATTAATTTGAAAAGGGACACATTTTGACCTATAACAGTGTGTTCACTGACCAAAATACATTTAAGCAAGATTAAATAACTAAAAGTTACCTTAAATATCCTGAAATATAGATACAGATATAGATATTTGCTGCAGCAGCACTGTGAAAAAAATAAAAGGAAAGAAGCACACAGAAAGGATTGCTGAGGAGACTGGTATACTTGAGATGCCTGGAGATTCCAAGAAACAAAGAAAAAGGGTAAGGACTATTAATATCAGCCACCTGGTAGGGGCCACCGTAGTATCCAGTGGTCTGATCTGTAGAGGACACTAGCAGTCCAATAGCCATTAATGTTGTGGAACCCCTTTAAGAGAGCAATGCTGCAGTGTCCATCCCTCCCAAGAAGGCAATGCTATTGTGCTGCCCTGGGATTGGAGCAACCATCTCCCAAACCCCATGTGTGCCCCAGACCCCAGAACCACAATCTTCCCATGATTACTTATGCCTAGGACACCAGGGCCACCCTGGAGCAAGAGCTCCCATGCTTAGGAACCAGAGCCAATACAGTCTGTGAAAACCCATGCTCTGGGTTCCAGATCCCCAGCTGTGCCACAAGCACCCATACTTTGTACATTATTACCAAAGCAGCAGTGGGGTTGCCTGTACCCTGTGCACTGGTGCCACTGCTGCATTAATTTCAGTAGTTGTGGTCTCTCCATGCATGCCAGTGTTCCTGATCCCAAGTCTATGGCTGCTCCATGAGCTTCATGCATAGACACTAGTGACATTACTATCACAAGTCCACCCATGTGGTGTACATGGCTTTTAGAGGGATACCCTGGGCTCCAGCTTCCTCGTAGGAGAAAAAGAGATCAAGAGTATGTCAGTAGCTTTTGCCGCAGAAGATTCCAACGGTCCTTACTGCCGCCACAGACAACTACCATCTTGTGTGCTGAGGACCCCCAAAATCTTCATTGACACTGACCTCAGATGACAAACCTACATGGAGATGACACTGATGTACCCTCACCAGAGCTGGAACTGCTGTACTCCCCAACCCTCCACTCATCCAGCCATCACTCACACCTACAAGTAAGTGAAGGTCTTTCCCCAATGAAAGCAGTATGAGAAGTTTGGAAGAGGTGATTTCTCAATAAATTGCACAGACATCCATGCAAGGCAACAAACATTATAAAAAACTAAGGACACATGACACTACCAAAGGAACACAGTAATTTTCCAGTAATTGATCTTAAAAAAAAATGGAGATCTGTGGATTTTCTGACAAGGAATTCAAAACAATTGTTTTAAGAAGCTCAGTAAGCTACAAGAAAATACGGATCAACAATTCAGTCAAATACAAAAACAATATGTGAACAAAAAGGAAGTTTAACAGAGAGAAACCATAACAGAACAGAAATTCTAGAGCTGAAGAATACAATTAATTAAATAAAAATATAATGTAATAGAGAGTGTTAGCAAAATTGATCAAGCAGAATAAAGATTCTGTGAACTCAAAGGTCATTTGAAAATGTTCTATCACAGGAAATAAAAGAAAATAGAATGAAAAGAAATAAATAAAGCCTACAGGATTTATTGGACACCTTTAAGAATAGCTAAATGGTTTAAAAAATATGCAAGTATATGCTCTCTACAAAAGACTCACATCATTTTTAAAGACATACATAGACTGATAATGAAGGGAGATATTTCATGCATCTAGAAACCAAAATAGAGCTGGGGTAGCTATATTTGTATTAGACATAATAGACTTCAAGTCAAAAACCAAAAAAAAGGAGATAAAGTTTTTTTATAGGTGATGAAGAGATCAATTTGTCAAAAGGATATAACAATAATATATATTATATATGTCAAAAGGATATAACAATACTATATATATATATATATATATCTCCAACATCAAAGCACATAAATATGTACAGAGAATGTTGGTAGAAATAAAGAGAGAGAGAGAGACTGCAATATAATAATAGTAGGGCACTTAAATAACACACTTTTATCAATAAATAGATCATCTAGATAGAGAAATAAAAACAAAATATTGGACTTGTTACTTTATGTTAGACCAAATGGACCTAAGAGCAACAGAATACACTATCTTATCAAACACACAGAGAACATTATTCAGGATAGGTGCATTAGGCTATAAAACAAGCCTTAAGAATTAAGAAGATTGAAATTATATCAAGTATCTTTTCTAGCCACAATAACAATAACGCTTGGATTGGAAAACAATTGGATTGGATCCAATAACAACAATTGGACTGGAAAACTTCCAACTATGTGGAAATTAAAGCACACACCCCTGAACAACCACTGGATCAAATAACAAATGAAAAACAAAATTTTAAAATATCTTGAGACAAAAAAATGTAAACACAACATATCAAAACTTATGGAGCTTAGCAAAATCAGTTAGAAAAGGGAAGTTCATAGCAATAAATGCCTTAAAAAAGAAGAAAGCTCTCAAATAAGCAAATTAACATTACGTCTCAAGGAATTAAAATAAAAAATATACTAAGCACAAAGTTGGTAAAATGAAGGAAATAATATATGTCAGGGCAGAAATAAATGAGAGACTAGAAAAATAATGGAAAATATCCTCAAAATTAAGAGTTTATTTTTTCAAAAGAGTAACTAAATTGGCAAATATTTAGCTAGACTAAAAAAGAAGAAAAGGAAAAAAGTAAAATCAGCAATGAAATAGGGAATATTACAACTGATACCACATAAATACCAGGGGACATAAGAGACTATTATAAAAAGTTATATGTCAAAAAATTGAATAACATAAAGTAAATGAATAAATTTCTGAAAACATAAAACCTACCGACACTAAATCATGAAAATAGAAAATCTAAACATACTCATAATGAGTGAGGAGATTGAATGATTAAAAATATATCAAATAAAATCTCAGGATCAGATGGCTTCAATTCTAAATCCTACCAAACACTTAAAAATAATATAATTTCTTCTCAAACTGTTCCAAAAAGATAAAGAGTGAAAAATACTTTTAATAAAACAGATGGAGTACAGACATTTTTTGAAACAGAAAGAATATCAAAGCTCACACAAGAATCAAAGTCACAGTACTCCTTTTCTAAAAAAATATTCAAAACTGCATTCATAATTTAAATATATTTCATCAAATTAAATGCTTGGCATAGGTGGCTATTGGTAAATTCAACCAAATAATTAAAGAATGAAAGTACTTATTTTACCCAAACCAAAAGTTTCCAGAAAAGAATAGCGAAGACAATTATCAACACATCTTATAAGACTAGAGTTATTCTGATAACAAAACTAAAACATATAAGAAAAAATGTTAATTCAACATCCCGCATGATAGAAAAGCACACGTTTTTAACAAATTTTAAAGGGAAAAGTCTAGCAATATATACAAAAGTCATTGCCAAGTAAGTTTTATCTTGAGACTATAAGGGTATCTGTTCTCATCACAAATATTGGGCCTTGCACTGTCAGTCATAGTTAGTTCTAAAAGGCAAGAAAAGTAAATGAAGGGCATAAAGTTTGAAAATGTGGAATATGTAATGTTACTTACAAGAGACACGACTGTTTACATAGGAAAGCCTAAAATACCAACCCTGCCAAAAAACAACCTATATAAACTTTGGCCACAATGAGGTATCACATAGCACCCGCTAAGATGGCTGTAATCAAAAAAGATACACAATAAGAAATATTGGCAAGAATTTAGAGAAATCTGAACTCTTAGACATTGCCAGTGAGAAGGAAATCTATTTAATAACTTTAAAAAACAATTAATCTAGATTTACCATATGACTGAGAAATTCTATTCCTAGACATATAACCAAGGAAAATGAAAATATATGTTCAGACAAAAACCTGAACATGAATGTTTATAACAGCATTATTTACAACCAAAAAGTGGAAATAACCCAAATGTCTATCAACTGATAAATGGATGAACAAAATTTGGCATATCCATAAAGTGAACAACAGTTCATAGCCATAAATAGGAATTAAGTACTGATACATGCTACAACATAGATGAAACTTGAAAACATCATGCCTATTTAAAGTGTCAAGACACATAGGATATAATTGCATTTATATGAAATATCCTGAATAGGCAAATTCATAGGTACAGAAAGTATATTAGCAGTTCACAGGGGCTAGGGTAGAGGGAAATGAGAGTGATTTTTAATTGATATGGAAATTCTTTTGGAGTTAATAAAATGTTCTGGTATTAGTAATGATTGCTGTAAAATTTCATCTATATTAAAAGTCAGTATATTCTATAATTTAGGATTATGAATTTATTATGTGTGAATTATATCGCATAAAAATTAAAAACAAATTTTACCAGGTCACGGTATACAAAGTTAATAGACAAAACCATTTTAGTATGTTTTATAATTATTTTTTTAACTTTTATTTTATTTCAGGGTACATGTGCAGATTGGCAGTGTAGGTAAATTGTAAGTCACAGGGGTTTGGTGTACAGATTATTTTGTCACCAAGGTGATAAGCATAGTACTCGATAAGTAGATTTTTGTTTTTATTTTTTATATTTTTTTGATCTTCACTTTCCTCACTCTTTGTACCACCAAGTAAGCCCTGGTGTCTGTTGTTCCCTTATTTGTGACCATATGTGCTAAATGTTTTGTTCTCACTTATAAATGAGAACATGCAGTATTTGGTTTTCTGTTCCTGCATTAGTTTGCTTAAAATAATGGCCTCCAGCTCCATCCATGTTGCTGCCAAAAAAAAAAAAAAGTGTAATCTTACTCCTTTTTTATGGCTTCATAGTATTCCATGGTGTACATGTACCACATTTTCTTTAGCCAGTCTACCACTGATGGGCATTTAGGTTGTTTCCATGTCTTTGCTTTTGTGAATACGGCTGCAATGAACATACACGTGCATGTGTCTTTATAGTAAAATGATTTATATTCCTTTGGGGTACATACCCAATAATGGGATTGTTGGGTCGAATGGTAATTCTGCTTTGAGTTCTTTGAGAAATTGCCAAACTTCTTTCCACAATGGCTCAACTAATTTACATTCCCACTAGCAGTGTATAAGCATTCCCTTTTCTCCATGGCATTGCCAGCATCTATTATTTTTTGACTTTTTAGTAATACTCATTCTGACTGTGTGAGATAGTATCTCATTGTAGTTTTGACTTGCATTTCTCCAAAGACTAATGATGTTGAGAATTTTTTCACATGCTTGTTGGCTTCTTTTGAAAGTGTATGTATGTCGTTTGAAAGTGTATGTATGTCTTCTTTTGAAAAGTGTCTGTTTATGTTCTTTGCCCACTTTTTAATCCGGTTGTTTGTGTTTTGGTTGTGGATTTCTTTGAGTTACTTGTAGATTATGGATATTAGACCTTTGTCAGATGCATAGTTTGCAAATATTTTCCCATCCTGTACATTGTCTGTTTACTCTGTTGATAGTTTATTTTACTGTGCAGAAGCTCTTTAGTTTAATTTGGTCCCATTTGCCAATTTCTGTTTTTGTTATAATTGCTTTTGGCATCTTCATCATGACATCTCGGCCAGTTCCTATGTCCCTGACAATATTAGATCATCATTCTGTTTTTTCTTTGACTGGGTTATTTCCAAAGACGAGTCTTCAAGTACTAAGATTCTTTTTCCTTCTTGACCCAGTGTATTCTTGAAGCATTAAAATATATTTTCTCCTGTTCAATTAATTCTTCTGTTCCAGAATTTGTTTGGTTTTTTTTTGTGACATGTATCTCTTTTGTAAATTTGTCATTAATATTTTAATTTTTTGTGATTCAATTGTACTGCTTTTTGGAATTCTATCTTGCTAACCTTCTTTAGTATTACATTTTAAGTCGTTTTCTATTATTTTCTGAATTTCTACTTGATTTCAATGTGTTGCTGGGGAATTATTATTTTCCTTTGGAGGTGCCACATGTCCTTGCATTTTCGTGTTTCCTGTGTTCTTACATTCATATCTTCATACCTGGTGTAATAGCCACTTTCTCTAATTTTTTAAATTTACTGTCATAGAGGAGGATATTTTCCTGAAGCTGTATCAATGGTGTTGGTTGGGTACAGCTTTTTTGATTTGATTCTAGATGCATGTGGTAGTGTAGTCTCTGTATCTTTGATTTCCTCAATGGCTTGGAGAGTGGTTATTATTAGTGGTGGCTGTGGTTAAGTTTTGTTGTGGATAGAGATGCCAGGTGCACTGCTGGAGGCAGAGTCTCTTCTCACAGCCCCAGCCAGAAAGACCTCAGGGTCTGGAAATCATCCTCTTGTTTCTTCTGTCCCAGGGGCCTACCTTCTTGGTGTGCTGCACTGTCCATTTTTTGAAGAAGTGGTACTTTATATGGGCTAAAGTACTGAGGACTTTGCAGCACATTTGGGTCCAGATTGTGTCGTGCCACTGTAGTTCTCCAGGTGAATGCTGCGGAATGTCAGTGGGGCCTCCTAAAATTGGGAAATATGAGGGCTGTGGATCTCAGGGTCTAATGAAGTTTGGTGACAGTTATGTTCTCACAATGGTGCTGTTCTACAGCCGCTTAGTTCTCAGGGGATTGTGTGACCCAGTGTGAGTTACCTGTCTAGTGTAATGCCCTCACAGGACCTCCAGATCACCACTGAACCTAGTCTCAGAGTTTGTGTGGGTACAGGAGTTCTCCTGTGCTTCAAATTGTAGCAGTTTGTGATGGGGATTTGGACAACTGAGGGTCCTTCACTTACCCTGCAATATGGAGCCCCTTGGGGCTCCCAGCCAGTATCAGCCAAGATGGATGCTCACTTCCTTCTCCTTCTGTGCCTCAGGTATTTCCTGTGACATCTCTGTTGAAATCTAGTGTTCTCTCCAAGATGTTCTATTCAAAGTCTGATTACCTATTTTCAATTTGAATCCTTCCTTGTAGAGAGGGCAAGTGTCCAATGTCTCTAGTCAGCCATCTTAAACCTATCACTCCTGCTCCACCCTCCATAAGCCACCTATCTGTGATTTCATTCAATATTTTTCCCCATTTGATGGGCTCTCTTTTTACTTTCTTAATGGTGTTTTCTGAAGTACAAACTTTTAAAAGAAATTAGTAATGTACAATTTATGTATTATTATTTTGTTCCTTGTGTTTTTGAAGTCATATATATATATAACACCATTGCCTAATCCAGGTTCAGAAGTATTTGCACCTATTCCTTCTTCTAAAAGTTTTATAGTTTTACACTCTACATTGGGTCTTTTGTTTATTTTGAGTTAATTTTTGTATATGAGGTGTATTAGTCCATTTTCACACTGCTGATAAAAACATACCCGAGACTGGGTAATTTTTTTAAAAAGTATACGTTTCATAAACTCACAGTTCCATGTGGCTGGGGAGGCCTTGCAATCATGGCAGAAGGCAAAAGGCACGTCTCACGTGGCAGCAGACAAGAGAGAATGAGAGCCATTCCTTTTCATTACTTTTGCAAATTTCTGCAGCTGGCTTGAATTTATTCTCAGAAAATGGGATTTTATTTTCTATTGCATTGTGAGGATGCAGATTTTCCAAACATTTATGCTGTCTCCCTTTTAAAACTGAATGCTTTTAACAGCACCCAAGTCACATCATCAATGTTTTGCTGCTTTGAAATTTCTTCCACCAGATACCCTAAATCATCTGCCTCAAGTTCAACGTTCCACAAGTCTCTAGGGCAGGGGCAAAATGCTGTCAGTCTCTTTGCTAAAACATAGCAAGGGTCACCTTTATTCCAGTTCCTAACAAGTTCCTCATCTCCATCTGAGATCACCTCAGCCTGGATTTCATTGTCCATATTATTATCAGCACTTTGATCAAAACCATTCAACAAGTCTCTAGGAAGTTCCAACCTTTCCCACATTTTTCTGTCTTCTTCTGAGTCCTCCAAACTGTTCCAACCTCTTCCTGTTACACAGTTCCAAAGTCGCTTCCACATTTTCAGATAACTTTACAGTAGCACCTTTTTCTACTGGTACCAATAAACTGTATTAGTTCATTTTCATACTACTGATAAAGACATACCTGAGAATGGGTAATTTATTAAAAAAATAGGTTTCATGGACTCACAGTTCTATGTGACTGGGGACGCCTCACAATCATGGCAGAAGGCAAAAGGCATGCCTCACATGGCAGCAGACAAGAGAGAATGAGAGCCAAGAAAAAGGAATTTCCCATTATAAAATCATCAGATCGCACGAGATGTATTTACTACCACAAGAACAGTATGGGGGAAACCACCCCTAAGATTCAATTATCTCTCACCATTCCTCCCACAACACGTGGGAATTATGGGAGCTGCAATTCAAGATGAGATTCAGTGAAGACACAGCCAAACCATATCATGGTGTGAGGTAGCTGAGTTCCTACATTTGCAAGTGGATATCAAGTTGTCCCAGAATTATTTGTTGAAAACTCTATTCTTCCCCACATTGAATGGTCTTGGCATCTTTGCCAAAACTCAATTGACCATAATGTAAGGGTGTATTTCTAAACTTTCAATTGTATTTTGTTGATTTATATGTATGTTCTTATGTCAGTACCACACTTTTGAGTACTGCTGCTTTGTAGCAATTTCTAAAATCAGTAATTTTAAAAATTGAAAAGTGTGGGTGCTTCTATTTTGTACATCTTTTTCAACACTGTATTGGCTATGTCCCAACAATTTATATATAAATTTAGAATCAGCTTGTCTGTCTCTGAAAATTGCAGTAAATATTATAGCAGTTTGCTATCATAAGAAAAATTACTATTACAATTCACTAGCATGGGATATATATCCACTTATGTAGGTTTTCATTAATTTCTTTAACACTCTTGTCATTTCAGAGTACAAGTTTTGCAATTCTGTTAAATGTATTCTTAAGCATTTTTGTTAATGGTACTATAAACTTAATTAGTTTTTAAAGGTCATTTTCAGTTTTCTTACTGCTTCCATATAGATATACATTTGATTTTGCATATTTATCTTATATGTTGCAACATTTATGACTTCAATTATCACTTCTAATAGTTTTTCAATAGACAATTTAGGATTTTTTACATACCAGATGATATGGTTTGGCTGCGTGCCCACCCAAATCTCGTCTTGAACTGTAGCTCCCATAATCCCCACATATTGTGGGAGGGACCTGGTGGGAGATAACTGAATCATGGGGCGGATTTTTCTGTGTTGTTTTCATGATAGTTAATAAGTCTCATGAGATCTGATGGTTTTATAAAGGGCAGTTCACCTGCACAGGCTCTCTTGCCTGCTGCCATGTGAGACTTGGCTTTGTTCCTTCCTTCTTCACCTCCTGCCGTGATTGTGAGTTCTCCCCAGCCATGTGGAACTGTCAGTCCATTAAACCTTTTTTTTCTGTATAAATTACCCAGTCTCAGGTATGTCTTCAAAGTAGTATGAAAATAGACTAATACACCATATTATACCATCTGAAAGTAAAAATAGTTTTATGTCTTCTTTTCATATCTGTATGTTTTCATTAATTTTTCCTGTCTAATTACCTTGGATAGAAACTCAGTGTAATGTTGAATAGATATAGTGAGAGTAAACACCTTTTTTTGTGATCTTAGTAAAAAAAAATCAATCTTTCCCCATTACTTATAATGTTAGCTGTTGGTTTTTTATGCATCTACTTTATCAAATCAAGCAAGGATCTTTCTATTCATAGTCTATTGAGTGTCTTTTATGTTTACTTTGTATTTTTAAAAATAATGTATAACATTTATAGCATTCTTTGAATATTATAACTTTGATTTTTATTATACCTAATAAAGGCTAAATGATATCTGCAGTGTTTTGATATCTATTAGGTTTACATGTTTATTCTCAGCGAATTTTTGATGCATAGTGTAACAATGTACTGTAGTTCCCACATATCCATGGGGATATGTTCCAAAATCTCCAGTGGATGCCTGGAACTGTGGATAATACAAAACCTGATTGCTGTTAATTGGAACATGTTTCCATTCATGTCTTCCACCTATAAATGCAATGTCTTTTTTTTATCATAAATAGGCACTTATCATGCACTCTGGCCATAACTTTTGCAGGATGAGATGCAACAGCAAAACTAGCACAGGCGTCAAGATTAGAAGTAAATTCCAATACACCTTACATATCTCATCTTTCTTTCTTACATAGCCTCTATTTTGACTATGAAGGTTTAGATTTTGTTTTGAACATCTTCCCCATGAATAATATTTAGAGAGTCTTTGTCTTACCGAAAAAAGTCTGTTCTCAGATAAATGATTTTTCTACATCTTCTGCATTCTTGACCATTTTCATCCTTCAGTGTTTTCTTGTCTATGAGTGCAGCTTACCACAGAGGTTTATCTGGGCTTTCTTTTTAGTAATCTATCTGTTCATCAACTTGCTAGATTTCGGGACAGATCTTCATTGGGTTTCCTCCATCTACCATCCAGGACTTTTCGCCTCGTCCCAACCTGAAGATAACATCTGGTTTGGCAACCAGATACCCCATGGACACCAGGTGGCTGTAGTTGCCAAGCATGGCATTCCTGTAAAGATTCTTATGAGGAGAGTCCATTTGCTGCCATTGCTCCAGGACAAAGTCCACAAACATGTCTTTGAAGGTCAATGATTCCCAGGACATGGCCATCCTGTTCTTCTCTGGAAAAGGATGGTGATCTCCTCCTGAGACCTCAGCCTGGGTTTTCTTAGACTAAGTGAGGAAGCACAGGCAAAGATAAGCTGGGGTCTGAATTTGTTTAGCAGCGTTCTCGGTTATGTATTCTGTCCTTGATTGCCAAAGGCCTAAAACCTCAAGTGCAGATGACAACAGACAGTGTCTGTTGAGTATTTTTAACATGAAGTGTTATTGGGTTTTTCAAATAATTTTTCTGCAACTATTACAGAAATTACATAATCATATAATTTTTATTTTATTCTATTGATAGGGTATATTAGATTAATTAATTTTTGGAGGTTGAAACAACCTTGAATTTCTAACTAAAGTTCCATTTGATCATATTGGGTAATTCTTTTATACATTGGTGAAGTCAGGTTGCTAGTATTTTTCTGAGATTGTTTTCCTTTATATTCATAAGTGATACTGGCCAGTAATATTCTTTTCTTATAATATATTCATCTGATTTTGATATTTATCAAACACTGGCCTCAGAATTAGTTGGGAAGTATTTTCTTCTCTGCTATTGTTTTATAGAGTTTGTAAAGAATTTGTATTAATGCCTTAAACGTCTTGTAGAACTCAATGAACCCCCTTGGTGAAGGGTTTACATTGTTAGAAAATTTTGATCCAGTCTCTACTAAACATAGGTCTTTCTGGCTTTAATTTCTTATTTTTTATTGATAAACGAAGTTGGGTATATTTAGGAAGTACATGTGTTTTTTGATAGATGTTGTATTAGTCCATTTTCATGCTGCTAATAAAGACATACCTGAGACTGGGAAGAAAAAGAGGTTTAATTGTACTTAAAGTTCCACATGGCTGGGGAAGCCTCAGAATCATGGTGGGTGGCAAAAGGCACTTCTTTTTTAAAATTTTACTTTAAGTTAGGGATACATGTGCAGAATGTGTGAGTTTGTTACATAGGTATACATGTGCCATGGTGGTTTGCTGCACCTATCAACCCATCATCTAGGTTTTAAGCCCCACATGCATTTGGTATTTGTCCTAATGCTCTCCCTCCCCTTTCCCCAGCCCCCTGACAGCACCAGTGTGTGATGTTCCCCTCCCTGTGTCCATTTGTTCTCATTGTTCAACTCCCACTTATGAGTGAGAACATGCAGTGTTTGGTTTTCTGTTCCTGTGTTGGTTTGCTGAGAATGATAGCTTCAAGCTACATCCATGTCCCTGGAAAGGACATGAACTCATTCTTTTTTATGGCTGCATAGTATTCCATGGTATATATGTGCCACATTTTCTTTATCCAATCTATCGTTGATGGGCATTTGGATTGGTTCCAAGTCTTTGCTATTGTGAATAGTGCTGCAATAAACATATGTGTGCATGTGTCTTTATAGGAGAATGATTTATAATCCTTTTGGTATATACCCAGTAATGGGATTGCTGGGTCAAATGGTATTTCTGGTTCTAGATCCTTGAGAAATCACCACAGTCTTCCACAATGGTTGAACTAATTTATACTCCCACCAACAGTGTAAAAGCTTTCCTATTTCTCCACAGCCTCAAAAGCATCTGTTCTTTCCTGACTTTTTAATAATTGCCATTCTAACTGGCGTGAGATGGTATCTCATTGTGGTTTTTATTTGCATTTCTCTAATGACCAGTGATGATGAGCTTTTTTTCATATGTTTCTTGGCCACATAAATGTCTTTTTCTGAGATGTGTCTGTTCGTATCCTTCGCCCACTTTTGATGGTTTCTTTTCTGTTTTTTCTTGTAAATTTGTTTAAGTTCCTTGTAGATTCTGGATATTAGACTTTTGTCAGATGGATAGATTGCAAAAATGTTCTCCCATTCTGTAGGTTGCCTGTACACTCTGAAAATAGTTTCTTTCACTGACAAACCTAACGAAAACAAGCAATGGGGAAAGAATCCCCTATTTAATACATGATGCTAGGAAAACTGGCTAGCCATATGCAGAAAACAGAAACTGGACCCCTTCCTTACACCTTATACAAAAATTAACTCAAGATGGATTAAAGACTTAAATGTAAAACCCAAAACCATAAAAACCATGGAGACAACCTCAGCAATACTATTCAGGACATATGCATGGACAAAGACTTAATGACTCAAACACCAAAAGCAATCCCAACAAAAGTGGAAATTGACAAATGGGATCTATTAAACTAAAGAGCTTCTGCACAGCAAAAGGTAGTTCTTACACAGCAGCAGGAAGAGAAAATGAGAAAGAAGTAAAAGCAGAAACCCCTGAAAACCCATCAGAACTTGTGAGACTTATTCACTATCATGAGAATAGTACACGAAGGACTGGCTCCCATGGTTCAATTACCTCCCCCTGGGCCCATCCCACAACATGTGGAAATTCTGGGAGATGCAATTCAAGTTGAGATTTGGGTGGGGAAACAGCCAAACCGTATCATTCCATGCCTGGACCCTCCAAATCTCATGTCCTCACATTTCAAAACCAATCATACCTTCCCAACAGTCCCTGAAAGTCTTAACTCATTTCAGCATTAATCCTAAAAGTCCACAGTCCAAAGACTCATCTAAGACAAAGCAAGACACTATACCTATGAGCCTGTAAAATCAAAGGTAAGCTAGTTACTTCCTATATACAATGGGGATACATGGGATTGGGTAAAAACAACAATTCCAAATGGGAGAAACTGGCCAAAACAAAGGGATTACAGGGCCCATGCAAGTCCGAAATCTAGTGAGGTAGTCAAATTTTAAAGCTCCAAAATGATCTCCTTTGACTTCAGCTCTCACATCTAGGTCATGCTGCTATAAGAGGTGGGTTCCCATGGTCTTGGGCAGCTCCACCCCTGTGGCTTTGCAGGTACAGCCTCCCTCTCGGCTGCTTTCACAGGCTGGCATTGAATGTCTGTGGCTTTTCCAGGTACAAGTGCAAACTGTCAGTGGATCTAACATTCTGGGGTCTTGAAGACGGTGGCCCTCTCCTCCACTAGGTAGTGCCCCAGTAGGGACTCTGTGTGTGTGGGCTCCTACCACATATTTCCCTTTTGCACTGCCGTAGCAGAGGCTCTCCATGAGGGCCCTGCCTCTGCAGCAAACTTTTGCCTGGGCATCCAGGCATTTCCATACAACTTCTGAAATCTAGGTGGGGGTTCCCAAACCTCAATTTTTGACTTCTGTGCACTGGCAGGCTCAACACCATGTGCAAGCTGCCAAGGCTTGGGGCTTCCACCCTGTTAAGTCACAGCCCGACCTGTATGTTGACCCCTTTCAGCCACAGCTGGAGCAGCTGAGACACAGGACACCAAGTCCCTAGGCTGCACACAGCACAAGGACCGTGGACCCGGTCAACAAAACCACTTTTTCCATCTTGGCCTCCGGGCCTGTGATGGGTGGGCTGACATGAAGACCTCTGACATGCCCTGAAGACATTTTTCCCATTGTCTTGGGGATTAAAATTCAGCTCCTTGTTACTTATGCAAATTTCTATAGCTGGCTTGGATTTCTCCTCAGAAAATGAAATTTTCTTTTATATTGCATTGTCAGGCTGCAAATTTTCTGAACTTTTATGCTCTGCTTCCCTTATAAAACTGAATGCTTTAACAGCTACCAAGTTACCTCTTGAATGCTTTGTGGCTTAGAAATTTCTTCTGCCAGATACCCTAAATCATCTCTCTCAAGTTCAAAGTTTCACAAATCTCTAGGGCAGAGACAAAATGCCACAAGTCTCTTTGCTACAACATAACAAGAATCACCTTTGCTCCACTTCCCAACAAGTTCCTCATCTCCATGTGAGACCACCTCATCCTGGACCTTATTGTTCATATTACTATCAGCATTTTTGTCAAGGCCATTCAACAAGTCTCTAGGAAGCTCCAAACTTACCGACATTTTCCTGTCTTCTTCTGAGCCCTCCAAACTGTTCCAACCTCTGCCTATTACCCAGTTCCAAAGTCACTTCCACATTTTCTAGTATCTTTTCAGCAACACCCCACTCTACTGGTACCAATTTTCTGTATTAGTCTGTTTTCACGCTGCTGATAAAGACATACCTGAGAGTGGGAACAAAGAGCAGTTTAATTCGACTTACACTTGCATATGGCTCAGGAGGCCTCCGAATCATCGCGGGAGGCAAAAGGCACTTCTTACATGGCGACAGACAGAGAAAATGAGAAAGAAACAAAAGCAGAAACCCCTTATAAACCCATCAGATCTCGTGAGACTTATTCACTATCATAAGAACAGTATGGGAAAGACCAGCCCCCATGATTCAGTTACCTCCCCCTGGGTCTCTCCCACAACATGTGGAAATTCTGTGAGATACAATTTAAGTTGAGATTTGGATGGGGACCCGGCCAAACCATATCAATATGTAATGATCAAGATAATTGAAATGCCCATCACCTCAAATATTTATAATTTATTTGTGTATGGAATATTTCAAATATTCAAACTCTTCCCTTTCAACTATTTTGAAATATATTATAAATTTTTATTAATTATTCTCACCCTACCCTCCTATAAAACACTAGAACTTATTCATTCTGTTTAAATATATTTTATACCCATTAACCAACTCCTGCTTATCTCCCTTTTGCCCCATACCCTTCTCTGTCTCTAGTAAACACCAAACTCCTCACTACCTCCAATTCTATCTATGTTACTGAAAAATTGCAGGATTTTATTCATTATGGCTGAATAATATTTCATTGTATATATATACCATATTTTCTTTATCCATTCCTCTATGCTGTTTTTCATACTTGCTGTGCTAATTTACATTCTCACTAAACGTTTTACTTTCTCTGTATTCTCTTGGCATCCTCACCAGCATCTATTATTTTCTGTGCTTTTGATAATAGCCATTCTACTCAGCACCATTTATTGAAGAGACTGTTTTTTCCCCCATTGTTAGTTCTTGGTGGTTTTGTCAATAGTGCATTTGCTTAAGTGTGTGAATTTATTTCTGTTTCTTTTTTATTCTGTTCTATTTGTCTATGTGTCTGTTTTTATGTCAGTAACATGATGTTTTGGTTCCTGTAACTTTGTAGTATATTTTGAATTCAGGTAGTATGATGCCTCCAGTTATTTTTGTTTTTTGTTTTGTTTTTTTCTTTGCTGGGGATTGCTTTGTCTATTCAGGGTCTTTGATGGTTTCATAAAACTTTTTAGTACTTATTATATTCCTGTGTAGCATATCACTGGTATATTGATAGGGATGGAATTGAATATGTAAATCACTTTGCGTAGTATGGGCATTTTAACGCCATTAGTTCTTTCATCTGTGAGCATAGAATATTTTCCCACATTTTTGTATCCCCTTCAATTTGTTCAGTGTATAAGGTACCATTTATACATTGTTGGTAGTAACGTAAATTAGCTCAGCCATTGTATTTCTTTAACAAAACCAGTGAAAGATCTTACATATAAAATATGTATATATAGCAGCTATTGTAAAAAAATTACTGTCTTGATTTATTTTTCAGATTGTTTGCTGTTGGCATATATAAATCCTACTGATATTTATATGTTGACTTTGTATCCTACAACTTTACTGAATTCATTTATCAGTCCCAATATTTTTTCGTGTGTGGAGTTTTTAGGTTTTCCTAAATATAACATTGTGTCATCTGTGGAAAAGGACATTTATATACCTTCCATTCAAATTGGAATGTCCTTTACTTATTTATCTTGCCTAATCCCTCTGGCTAGAACTTCCAGTACTATGTTGAATAAAAGGGAATAATAAAATTGTTATTTTCCTTTGCTGAATTATCTTCTTTATCATTATATAACTTTTTCATCTCTTCATACACATTTTTTACTAAAATATGTTTTATCTGATAAAAGTATAACTATTCCCGCTCTTTTTAAATTTCCATTTGCATGTAATATTTTTTCTACATCCTTTTATTTTCAGGCTATGTGTGTCTTTTTCATAATTTCAGCTTTTATTTTAAATTCAAGGCGTACATGTGCAGATTTGTCACATCGTTATATTGCATGATGCTGAAGTTTTGGATATGAATGATCCCATCACTGAGGTAGTGAGCATAGTACTCAACAGTTAGTTTTTCAGCCTTTGCTCCTTTCTCTTTCTGCCCCCTCTGGTAATCCCAAATGTCTATTGCCCTCATCTTTGTGTCCATATGTATCCGATGTTTAGCTCCCACTTATAAGTGAGAACATGTAGTATTTGGTTTTCTGCAGGATAATAGGCTCCAGCTGCATTTATGTTGCTGTAAAGCACATAATTTCATAAAAGTAAAAACAATAACAGATGCTGGTAAGGCTGTGGAGAAAATGGAACACTTACACACTGTTGGCAGAAATGTAAACAAGTTCAGACACTGTGGACAGCAGTTTGGAGATTTCTCAAAAACTTAAAACAGAATTACCATTCAACCCAGCAATCCCATTACTGGGTATATCCCCACGGGAAAATAAATCACTGTACCAAAAAGGCATGTACTCATATGTTAATTGCAGCACAATTCACAATAGCAAACACATGGAATCAACCTTTGCATTTCTTTATAAGTGAAATGAGGTTTTTTTGTAGCAAGCAAATAGTTGGGTCCTGTTTTTCTACACTTCTCTCAGCCATTCTATGTCTTTTAATTTGATAATTTAGTCTATCTATATTTAATATTATTTATAATTAAAAACTATTGCCATTTATTGTTTTATAGTTTTTGTAACTGCTGTCATTGCTTCTTCCTTTCTGTCAGTTTTGTTTACTTAATTTTACTTAAAGTAATCTTCTCCAGTGGTTTAATTAATTCCTTGTTTTTATTTTTAGTATAAATATTATAGGTTTTTGCTTTGTGGTTACCATGAGGCTTACAAAAACTATTCTACAGTTACAAGTTATCCTAAACTAATGACAACTTAACTTTGATCACAAAGAAAAGAAACTAACAAGCAAAGAAAAAACTAAAATATTCTACAAATTAAATCCATCTCTTCCTTTATGACATTTTGTTGTCTCAAGTTTTATTTTTTATGTAACCCATTTATTAACAGAATTATATATTTATTGTTATTTTTGACAGATTTTTCTTTTAGTCTTTATACTAAAGATATGAATGGTTTACACACCAAAAATACAGTATTAGCCTGTTCAGAATTATCTGCGCATTTGCTTTTACCAGTGAGTTTTACACCTTCAGATGATTTCTTGTTGCAGATTAACATCCTTTTATTTCAGATTGAAAGCTTCCTTTAGCATTTCTTATAAAATGGGTCTGGTGGTTATAAATTTCCTCAGCTTTTGTTTGTCTGGGAAAGTCTAATTCTCCATGTTTGAAAGATAACTGTGCTGAGTACAATAGCTTTGGTTGAGAGTTTTTTCCCCTT
This sequence comes from Homo sapiens, assembly GCF_000001405.40. NCBI lineage: Eukaryota > Metazoa > Chordata > Mammalia > Primates > Hominidae > Homo > Homo sapiens. The sequence continues at coordinate 128,105,877 of NC_000023.11, forward strand.
TCAGCACTGTGAATATATCAACCTACTCCCTCCTTGTCTGTAAGGTTTTCACTGAAAAGTCTGCTGCCAAATGTATCACAGCTTCTTTATATGTTATTGGCTTCTTCTCTCTTGCTCCTTTTGGTATTCTTTCTTTTTTTTTGATGTTTGAAAGCTCAATTATTATATGCCTCAAGTTCATTTTACTTGAGTTAAATTTGCTTTGTGTTTTTTGACATTCTTGTATTTGGATATTTTTATTTTTCTCAACATTTGGAAAGTTCTCCACTACTGTTTTTTTAAAATAAATTTGCTACCCCTATATTTTTCTCTATTCCCTCTTTAAGGCCAATGTCTTTTAGATTTCGTTTTTTACACTATTTTCTAGATCTTATGAACGTTTTTAATTCTTTCTCACTCTTTTTTCATTTTTTAATTTTCTAACTATGTATTTTCAAATAGCTTGTTTTAGAGCTCATTATTACTTTCTTCTGTTTGATTAATTTTGTGGTTAAAATATCTGATGTATACTTCAATTTCTTAATTGTATTTTTCAGCTCTAGAAATTCTGTGTGATTTTTAAAAAATTATTTCAATCTCTATTATTTCTTCTAATACATTTCTGAATTGTTTTTCTGTGTTTTCTTGAAGTTCACTGAGCTTCTGCAAGACAGCTATTTTAAATTTTCTGTCTAAGAGGTCATACATCTTTGTCACTCTAAGGCCAGCTACTGTGCTTTTTTTAGATTTTCTGATGAGGTCATATTTCCCTGAATGTTCTTGATGCTTGGAGATGTTCATCAATATCTGTGTATTAACAAGTTGGGTCTTTATTCCAGTTATTACAATATGGCCTTTTTAGTGCCTTTTTGTTCAGAGGGTCTTCCAATAATTCAAAGAGGATTTACTATTGAATTTCCTGAGCCTGTGAACACTGTAGCCACTTCAGCACTAGAGGGTGCACTAAGACAGAAATGTCGTGACTCTTGTAGACTCACAGATACCCAGCCCTTATGAACTTGAGGAAGATAACAGAGACACAGGCACACCCATGGCCACTACAGCTGGCATTGTATTGGGATGCACCTGAGTCCCACCCCCTCCCATATCAATGAAGTATCAGACCTCACCTAAGGCCCATGGCTGTTACTTACTGACTACTGCTGATGTTTCCTCAAGGCCTGAGGCCACATTCATCAGCCTGTGGTAAAGTGGACTAGGACATGAGTCCATCTCACTGTGGCAGGGTATTCCTTCCTCATCCTAGACTGGGATCTAGAAATGCCGTTCTGAAGCGACTGCCTGGAATCTGGGACACTGGTGCTCAGTGCTATGTTTTACTGCAGCAGGGCTGGTACTATGTTGCAAGGCAATATCCCTGTACTGTTCCCTCTTCTTTTCCCAAGTAAAAGAAGTCTTTCTCCACACTACAATGCCTGTAATTGAGGGAGGGGTGATGTGGGCTGCAACAGTTTTTGTCACAATGGGGTGTGCCCTGAGCACACAGCCTCCCAGACCAGCACAGCACTGGGGCTCACCAAGGACCAGGGTCACTATGGCCTGGCTGACACCAGACCACTTTATTCACCTATTGGTGAAGTGAGTCAGGTTTTGGTTTCCTCCCAAAGGGGTGGTAAACTTTCCTCTGGACCAGGCCGGGTATTAAATGCTTCCTTTGTGGGCACCAGCCTAAAGTCAAGGACTGAGAAAATCTGCCCAGTTCTCTGTTAGACTATAGCAAGACCAGCATTGAATTCCAATGCAAAATCCTTTACTCACTTCCCCTACTGTAACACTGCACACAGATTCTTTCTCCACACATCCAGCTTTCTTTTTTTTTCTGGAATTAAATTCAATAGTTTGTGTCTTTCTTGTTCATAGTATTCCCTAATAATTATTTGCATATTTGTAAATTGGTATTCATACTCTCTCTTTCCTTTCCAATTTCAGTAATTTACACATTTTTACTTTAAATCAGTCCACCTAAAGTTTTGCCGATCATTTTTAAAAGCCAACTTTTATTAGTACTGGTTTTGTCTATTGTTTTTTATTTATACTTTATTTATTTCTTCTCTAATTTTTATTTCTTCATTCTACTAATTTTGGTGTTGGTTTGCTCTTGTTTTTCCAATGTCTTATAGTAGATATTAGGCTGTTGATTTGAAGTTTTTCTTCTTTTTTATAAATAGAGGTGTTCACAGTTATAAATTATACTATAAGCATTGCTTTATCTGCATTTTATATGTTGGTATATTGTATTTTTATTTTGTCTCAAGGTATTCTCTTGTGATTTCCCCTTTGATGCATTTGTAATTTAAAAGTGACTTCAATATTCCCCAAAGATTGTGAACTACCCAAGTTTCTTTCTGTTATCAAATTATAATTTAATTTCAATGTGTTTATAGGGTATAGATTTTGAGGTAATAATCCTCTTAATTTTGTTGAGTTTGTTTCATGACCTATCATAGAGAAAGTTTCTTGTACCCTGAAAAATAATGTGCACTCTGTTGTTGGCTGGTGGAGTGCTCCATAGATATGTTGTCTAGTTTGCATAGAGTGTTTTAAAATATTTTATTTTTTGTTACTCTTCTGCTGAGTTGTTTTATTCATTAGAGTAAGTGGGGGCATTGAAGTGCCTGGTTATTACCATTGAATTGTCTATGTTTTTTCTCAATTATGTCAGCCTGTGCTGACAAGCCTCTGATGACATGTTCATATACATTTTAATTATTATAATTTCTTGATAGATTGACCCTTTCATCATTATACAATGCCATTCTTTTTTATTATTATTATTTATTTTTATTTCTGTGGGTATACAGTAGGCATATATATTTATGGCATATGTGAGATAGTCTGGCATAGGCATCCAATGCTTAATAAGCACATCATGGGAAACTGGGTATCCATCCACTCAAGCATTTATCTTTTCCATTACAAAAAAAAAATCCAATCATACTTTTTTATTTATTTTAAAGTTCACAGTTAAATTATTATTGACTATAGTTACTCTGTTGTGCTATCAAATACTAGATCTTATTCTTTCAAGTTATGTTTTTGTAGCCATTAACAATCCCCACCTCCCACTCCACACACCCAGTACATTTACCAGCCTATGATAACAACCTTTCTACTTTCTATCTCCATAAATGTAATTGTTTTGATTTATAAATATCACAATAAGTGAGAATATGCAATGTTTGTCTGTCTGTGCCTGGCTTATTTCACTTAACATAATGATCTCCAGTTTCATCCATGTTGTTGTAAATAAAAAGATCCCATTCATTTTTATGGTTAAATAGTACTCCATTGTGTATAAATACCACATTTTCTTTAGCCATTCATCTGCTGATGGACACATAGGTTGCTTCCAAATCTTGTCTATTGTGAAGAGTGCTGCAACAAACATTGGAAAGCAGATCTGTCATTGATATATTGATTTCCCTTCTTTTGAGTACATATCCAAGAGTGGGATTGCCAAATCATATGGTAGCTCTATTTTTAGTTATTTGAAAAACCTTCAAGTGTTCTACATAGTCATTATACTAATTTACATCCCCACTAACAAGGTCTGAGGATTGCCTTTTCTCCACATCCTCTCCAGCATTAGTTGTGGCCTGTCTTTTGGATAAAAGCCATTTTAACTTGGTTGAGATGACACCTCATTGAAGTTTTGATTTTCCTTTGTCTGATGATCAATAAACACCTTTGCATATGCCTGTTTGCCATTAGTATATGTTCTTTTGAGAAATGCCTATTCACATATTTTGCTCATTTAAAATCAGATTATTAGTTTTTTTTCCTATAGAGTTGTTTGAAATCCTTATATATTACGGTTATTATTGTCAGATGGGTAGTTTTCAAATATTTTCTTTCATTCTGTGGGTTGCATCTTCATTTTTTTGATAGGTTCCTTTGCTGTGAATAAGCTTTTTAACTGATGCAATTCCATTTGTCCATTTATGCTTTAGCTGCCTATGCTTACAGGGCATTACTCAGGAAATTTTTGCCCAGAAAAATGTCCTGGAGAATTTCACAAATGTTTTATTGTAATAGTTTCATAGTGTGAGGTGTCAAATTTAAGTCTTTAATGCATTTTGATTTGAGTTTTGTATATGTTGAGAGATAGGGGTCTAGTTATATTTTTCTCCATATGGATAACCAGTTTTTTCAGCAGCATTTATTGAAGGCACTGTCTTTTCACCAATGTATGTTCTTGACACCTTTGTAAAAAATGAGTTTACCGTAGTGTGTGCATTTGTTTCTGGGTTCTCTATATTCTGTTTCATTGATCTATGTGGCTGTTTTTATGCCATAATCATGCTGTTTTGGTCACTATAGCTCTGTGTATAATTTGAAGTCAGGTAATGTGATTCTTCCAGTTTTAGTTTTTTAATTTTTTTTTTTTTTTTTGGCTCATGATAGCTTTAGCTATTCTGGGTCTTTGGTGGTTCCATATAATATTAGCATTGTTTTTTCTATTTATTTAAAGAATGTCATTGGTATTTTGATAGAGAGTACATTGAATTTGTAGATGGCTTTTGGTAGTATGAACATTTTGACAATATTGATTCTTCTAATCCATGAACAAGGAACATCTTTTCTTTGTGTTCTCTCCAATTTCTTTCATTAGTGTTTTATATTTCTCATTGTCAAGATCTTACACTTTTTTGTTTATTTCTCAGTTGTTTAATTTTATTTGAGGCTATTGTAAATGGGATTAATTATTTTATTTCTTTTTCTAATTGTTCTCTCTTGGCATGTATAAATTATACTGATTTTGGTACGTTTTTATTTTTAGCAACACTTTTTTTACAGTCTATTGTTTACTTTTATTTTTATAGCCTCACCATCATTCTTATTGTTGCTGTTTGCATGACATATATTTTTATTTCTTTGCTTTCAACCCATTTCTTTCTTAAAATATAACCTGTGTCTTCTCTAGAAAGTATATAATTGCACTTTGTTTTTTTATTGTGACAATCTTTCTTTACATTGATCAGTTTAATATATTTACATTTCATGACACTGCTGCCTGTGTGAACACACCAAATCACCCCCAATGATGCTTATACATGGGCACCTGGCTACACAGCCATCACCAGCACAAAGATGTGCACAGAGGCAGGCAAACCTATCCCCCTCCCCCACCCCCACAAACATGTCACCGCCATTGCCAGTATGAAGGCATCCATGGAGGCTGATGACCACACCCCCACCAGGACCCTGTCCCCATTGCCACCACCACTACCAATGTAATCACACACAGGAATGCTGCAGCTCCACTCCAGTCCTAGCTAATGAGCATGCACCCCACTGCACTGCTGTGGCTGCTGACTCACCTGAATGACCCACAGATCCAACAACCACTGCCCTGATAAAGCATTTTGGCTAATATCATCCATTGGAGTGTTGTGACCAACATACCAGGAACACTTCTGTCCCTCCAGTGCAGCAGGTTCCTAACCTCGAGGGGCCAGAGAACAAAGCCAACTCAAGGTGAATTAAAAGACTTAAATATAAAACCAAAAACTATGAAAAACATGGAAGATAAACTAGGAAATACCATTTTTGACATAGGTACTACCAAAAATTTCATGATAAAAATGCCAAATGCAATTGCAACAAAAGCAAAAATTGACAAATGGGATACAATTAAACTAAAGAGCTGCTGCACAGCAAAAGAAACTATCAACAGAGTAAAAAGGCAACCTACAAAATAGGGAAAATATTTGCAAACTATACATCAGACAAAGTCCTAATATCCAGAATCTACAAGGAACTTAAACAAACATACAAGGAAAAGACATACAACCCATTAAAAAGTGGGCAAATGACGTGAACAGACACTTTTCTAAGGAAGACATACATGTGGCTAACAACCAGATGAGAAAATGCTCAACATCACTCATAATTTTTGAAACGGAAATCAAATCCACAATGAGATACCATTTCACAAAACTCATAATGGTTATTAAAAAATACTAGATGCTAGTAAGGTTGTGGAGAAAATGAAACACATATGTTGCTGGTGGGAATGTGAATTTGTTCAGTCATTGTACAAAGCAGCTTGACAATTTCTCTAAGAGCTCAAAACAGAACTTCTATTGATCCCAGCAATCCCATTATTGGGTATATAGCCCCCAAAATGTAAATTGTTCTGCCATAAAGACATATGCACACCTATGTTGATAGCAGCACTATTCACAAACGCAAAAACATGGAATCAACCTAAATGACTATCAACAGTTAACTGGATAGAGAAATTTATTACATATACACCATGAAATACTACACAGCCATAAAAAAGAATGAGATGTCCTTTGCAGCAACAAAGGACATTGGAGGCCATTATCCTAATCCTAAGTAAACTAGTGCAGGAACACAAAACCAAATATCGCATGCTGTCGCTTATAAGTGGGAACTAAATGTTGAGTACACATGGACACAAAGAAGGGAACGACAGACACCAGGGCTTACTTGAGGGTGGTGGGTGGGAGTATGGTGAGGATATTAAAACTGCCTGTTGGGGACTATGCTTATCACCTTAGTGATGAAATAATTGGTACACCGCACCCCCATGACACAAATTAACACCGCACCCCCATGACACAAGTTAACAAATCTGAACATGTATCCCTTAACCTAAAATAAGAGTGAAAAACAAAGAAACAAAAAATACATTCACATTTAATACTTTTATTGATATAGTTGAATTTATGTCTAATATTCTACTTTGTTCTCTCTCTGTATTTATGTATAGCATTTGGTGTCTGGTGAGGGAATTATTGTTCTATCTTGAATGATGGAGGAGGTGAAAAGAACAAAAGAGACAAATACTGTTTTCTCAAATGGCAGAAGTATGGAAGAAACAAAAGGGGCCTAAGCTATATCCTTCCTATCCTTTTGTAAGGTACTAATCCATTAATGTGGGGAGACTTTTCATGACTTAATCACATCCCAACAGGACCCACTTCATAATACCACCACAATATGGATTCAGTTTTAACATGGATTTTGGATGTGATACACATTCAAACCACAGCAGAATTTAACCATGTAGGTTGAATTATCCCAGTGCCTGTGTGTGTATATGTGTGTGTGTGTGTGTGTGTGTGTGTGTGTGTGTGTGTGTGTCTGTGTGTGTCTTGCCACAGAGCATTTTCTAAAATATTTTGAAAAAGTTACCATAAAAATGAATTACTGAAGCCTCAAAACTAATCCTTGGGGAAAAAGAGAATTTGATTTCCCAAGTTACCTCATTAGAATACTCAAAGTATTCAATTATTAATAAAAGATTACAAAGCCTACACAAAAACAGAAATACATGGCTCACTAACAGGAAAAATACTAGATAAAATTATATTTTGTAAACCAAGACACTGGAATTACTAGATAAAGATATCAAATCATCTGTTTTATATATGATCAAAGAGTTAAAGAAACCGTGGACATAGAATCAAAAATTAGGAAAAAGACACATGAATAGTAACAAATGTCAATAAATTACTAGAAATTATAAAAAGGAACCAAAAAGGTGTTACTGAGCTGAAAAGTACAATAGCTTAAGTAAATTCACTAGAGACATTCAATGATAGATTTGAGCACACTCAAAATAAGAATCAGCAAACTTAAGGCAATTGGAATTATCTAGTAAGAAGCATAGAAATAAAAAAGAATAAAGAAAAATAACATAACCGAAGGGCCCTGTGGGACACTATATACATACTAATTATGCATTTTTGGAGTCTCAGAAGGAGAAGAGAGAGGAAAAGAAGAGGAGAAAATATTTGAAGAAACAATGGCTGAAAATGTTCTAAATGTAATGGAAGACATAAATCTAAGTATCCAAGTATCTCAGCAAACTCTAGGTATGACAAACTCAAATCCACACAGTATATAGTCAAACCACTGGAAGAGAAATATAAGTCTATGCTTAGGATCTTCGATAAGATTAAGAAATGATTTCTCATCAGAAACCAAGAAAGAAAAATAGCAGTAAGACAATATATTTAAAGTGCTGAAAGAAGAAAAAATTAAGCAAATATTCTATATATGGTGAAACTATCCTTCAAGAATGACAGAAAAATTAGGTATTCCCAGGTTTTAAAAAAGCTGAGAGAGTTGACTATTAGTAAATCTTCCCTAAAAATCTTGACAGTAATTCAAAGGTATATTAAAAAAAATAACATTGGTAAAGGCAATGTGAACTCCCAAAATCTGAGACAGGTCTCAGTGAATTTAGAAAGTTTCTTTTGCTAAGGTTGTGGACACACACCCATGACACAACCTCAGGCCTAATGACATGTGCCCAAGGTGGTCAGAGCACAGTTTGGTTTTATACATTTTAGGGAGACATGAGACATCAATCAACATATGTAAGATAAGCATTAGTTCAGTTTGGATAAGTAGGACAACTCAAATTGGAGAGAGGGCTTCCAGGTCATAGGTAGATAAGAGACAAATGATTGCATTCTTTTGAGTTTCTGATTACCCTTTCCAAAGGAGGCAATCAGGTATATATTTATCACAAGAGCAGAATGATGACTTTGAATAGAATGGGAAGCAGGATTGCCCTAAGCAGATCAGCTGGCTTTGTTCTTAGCTTAGTGATTTGGGGGCCCCAAGATATTTTCCTTTCACATTTCCCCCTTTTCCTTTTTTCTTTTCTTTCTTTTCTTTTTTTTCTTTTTTTTTTTTTTGAGATGGAGTCTCATTCTGTCACTGAGGCTGGAGTGCAGTGGTGATCTCAGCTCACTGCAATCTCTGCCTCCCGGGTTCAAGTGATTCTCCTGCCTCAGCCTCCCAAGTAGCTGGGACTACAGTCATGTGCCACCATGCCTGTGTAATTTTTTTGTATTTTTAGTAGAGACAGGGTTTCACCGTGTTAGCCAGGATGGTCTTGATCTCCTGACTTCATGATCCGCCTACCTCAGCCTCCCAAAGTGCTGGGATTACAGTCGTCAGTCACTGCGCCCGGCCTCCCTCCTTTTCTTTTTAAAAATATTTTAGAGAAAGCATTTTAAAAAAATGAGTCTCTGGTCTCAGATTTTGTCTAATCTCTTGTGGCTAGGATAGTTTATTCCTAGACAGGTAGGTCCCGAGTTATTAGGAAAGCTTATATTTAGAAGGTTGTAAAGTTTCATGTCCTATGAAAACAAAATAGGTGGAAGAAGGGAGAAAATTAACATAAAGCAAAAGAACAATCCTGGAGAATTGACATAGGTCAGATTACTCTGAAGTTGATACATCAGTAACCAGGTATGAAAGTGGCTTATGCATGTGAATAGGTTGCAATTATTGTCTTCTAAAGTTCAAGCTGTCTAGTGTCAGTTTGCAGGGATTTATGAAAGCACAGCTTAGTTTTCAGTGATCCTAAATTAGGAAACATGGGTGGGGGAAGAAGGAAAAAAATGAAAACAACATTTTGAAGACTTGTACCCAAGAAAAATTAGAATTCGGTCCAAACTGTAGAAAATAATAAAAATTTAAAAAGCATTAGGCAATACTAGAATCAAAAACAGGTGTACTATAGTTTTTAAAACATAATTATTCTCTCTCCAGTTTTCCATTTTTGCTAAATACAAATCATGGTGGGACTGGTTTGCTTTATTATACTTGGCCTAATTATTTGTGTACACTGCAGCCAGAATAATTATTTTTTACATAGGCTTTTGCATTGGCTTTGGTGAATTCTTTCATAGAAGGAATCTCAGATAAGACTTTTTTAAAGTACAAATACCTATGATTTGGGTGATCCTTTCCTCTTTAGTCCCAAGATAAAACTTGGGGCTCCTAGGTCTGTCAGAAAGTGATATTCTTTACTTACCACAGGTCAGGAACTCTGTTCAGAGACTGCGTAGACAAGTATGAGTCCAGTTTTCTCAAGGGGCTTTTGTTGGATCCGTAAGTTAAGTTTGATTCCTTAAAGGAAAGGACACCATTCCAGTCAAAGCCTCCGTAAAACAACCAGTTTCTCCGATTGTTCCCTGTTATAAATGAAAACAGATTCTTATTGCAGTTATGAAAATAACTGTATTGCCAAAAGTTCAGAATACTGAAAAATAGTTTTCAAATTCTGGAGAAATCAAGTAGAGCGAAAACAAGTATGTTCTAAATGTTGTTCATAGGAGTATAGTAAATTGTTAAAAGCTGTTAATAGCTGAAAAGACAAGTTTCTTGACTCTGAAAGAACAAACAAAGATCAGCAGTTTTTAAGCAAAAGTCAAAAAGATTATTTCAGTTTTCTATTATTTCAGTGCATGTAGTTAGTTCCTGTTCTGCTGGATATTCATGAACATTTCATCTATCCATGAGTCCTGAAAGTTTTTATTCTCTTCTGATGTCACAATCTCTAAAGCGACCAGAAACTTGTATATAAGAGCACCTGTTAGAGTTTCATAGTTGATTAAAAAACCACCTTCTAAGGAGGACCAAAGCAAGCCAATTGTCTGTGGATGATAAAAGGTTTTAGGGCAGCCATAGTCAATGACGCAACTGACAAGGAAATGTTTTACCTCTGTGGCACACAATAATTTAACATAACAATCATAATTATTACTGATAATGTACCCTAAGTCATATCAGAATTATAGGAGTTTCTCATGATTTTGGAACATATACCAATAACATATTTATACAAATGTAGCCCAAAGAAAACCAAACATCATTTCATATTTGACAATTCTTCCTATATAATTTTTATACCAAATAAGCCAAATTATGTCATTTTTGGACTTTAAGGAACTTAATATCTTAAAGGATTAATTAGGTCAGACAAATACATAATTTACAATTTGATTTTGGAAACTTTGTCAAATAGCAAAGTTATATGGTTTGGCTGTGTCCCCACCCAAATCTCATCTTGAGTTGTAGCTTCCATAATTCCCAGGTGTTGTGGAAGGGACCCAGTGGGAGATAATTGAATCATGGGGGTGGTTTTCCCTGTACTGTTCTGATGGTAGTAAATAAGTCTCCTGAGACATGATGGTTTTATAAGAGGTTTCCCCTTTCACTTGGTTCTCATTCTCTCTTGCCTACTGCCATGTAAGACATGCCTTTCACCTTATGCCATGATTGTGAGGCTTCCCCAGCCATATGGAACTGTAAGTTCATTAAACCTCTTTTTCTTTTTAAATTACTGAGTCTTGGGTATGTCTTTATCAGCAGCACGAAAATGAACTAATACACAAAGGTTTAAAACACCTGATATCACAGGTCATTGTAAAATAAGTCATTCATTTGAAAAGTCATAACTCAAGGATTTCAATAAAAGGCAAAAATCCTTCATTCTTTGAGAGGAGACTTAATTCTCCAAACAATAAGCCCTAATAAACACAACATAAAGCCAAACAAATTTGTTTTTTAAAATTTTATAAACAATTTATACAATTTTAATGTTGACCATAAGATATAACTTTAATAATCCTTTTGTACACTTTATAACCTTTATTAAGGAGTCACTTAATGCTTCAAGAAAACCTTGTTAATCTAACACAGGGGCCCTGTATTAGTCTGTTTCTATTCTACTGATAAAGACATACCTGAGACTGGGCAATCTACAAAAGAAAGAGGTTTAATGGACTCACAATTCTGCAGGGCTGAGGAGGCCTCACAATCATGCTGGAAGGTAAAGCTCACACCACATGGCAGCAGGCAAGAGAAGAATGAAAGTCAAGCAAAAGGGGTTTCTCCTTATGAAACCATCAGATCTCGTGAAACTTATTCACTACCTCGAGACCACTATGGGGGAAACCACCTTCATGGTTCAATTATCTTCCACTGGCTCCCTCCCACAACATGAGGGAATTATGGGAGCTACAATTCAAGATGAGATTTGGGTGGGGACACAGCCAAAACATATCAGGCCCATATGCTGGTCTTGAATCAGTGTGCTTTTGACATTATTAATAATTAATTTATAGAGAAACTGAATTTATTTTATGTCTCAAAATTGGTCCTTACAATTTCACATACCACTGCTTCCATGAAGCGTGTCTTGAGGGGTTGAGTAGCTTTAATTTTTGGTCCTGGGCCTTGAGGAGTTGAGTAGCTTTAATTTTTGGGCCTGTGTCTCAGGAATGCAGTTTATTTTGAATGGCATCTTCTACCAGGCCTGAAGATTGGGCTTTAATTGCTGTCAGTGTTTAAAATTTAGTAGGACTTGGTGTCCTTTTTAGACCCAGAAGTCAAAGCCCTGGAACTCAATGTCATAAGTATTTTAAAAGTGCATACAGAGAGATACATGGATGTAATAACCTTAATTTAAAAATATTAACCTCAGTTTGTTCTTAAGCAAAGCAAAACTTAGTAATAATATGACAACTTGATCACATAAGACTTTTTGTGTCATTGTTTCTAAATTCTCTTATTGTGACTTACACAGACTGTTCAGGAAAGTCTTGGTCTTTCTGGCATGTCCTGAACATCCCACTTTCTTAAACAACTAGTCATTTTACTCTAGGGCTAAATTTACCATATAAGATTCTTTCTCATATGAAATTATTTCTCCTTAAATAATTTCATATTATTTCTTACCAAAAATAAACCCTGTTTATTTTTATAATTTTCTTTACATCTCTTTTATTTCCATGTTCCTTTTACCTTGTTTTATACATGACGTTTAAAAACCTTTAAATTATTTTTTAAAAGGACACACTTTTTTTAGAAAGAATGTTTTTCTACAAATATATTTTTATTGGGAAATACTCAAATAAAATGTATAGTATTTAATTTAATATATTATGACATTTGTCCACAAGTATTTATCCCATTACACTTACTTCATTATTTTATTTTAATTGTTTACCTAGATTATTTATGAAAACTGCAATAGTCATCATTTGAAGTTATTGAACCACTATTGCAAAATTATAAGTGAGATAGTGAAAAACATTTGACATAACTTACTCTATCTTGCTTTTAACCTCCAAGCTGTCCTTGTTCAGTCCTGGGTGTAGGCTGAACTAACTTTGGGAGAAATTTAGTTTATAGTTTAGCTTTGAAACAGAGAGGATAACAAACCTTACTGCCTGTGGACTGAATCACCTAAAGCCACAATGTTAGAAGTTACAGTAATCTTACTAAATTCAAAATGTAGCTATTATTATTAAACCAATATCAATGCCTTATTTATAAAAATTACACAAACAAAGATATTTTGTTTGGGGTTGGGTTTATAGTTTTGTAACCCCTGTGCCAAATTTTGACACCTTTTATTATTTGGCAGGGATAAGTATGAAATTTCCTGATTAATAAATGCAAACAAAAATGTATGCTGGCAATTCTTAAGACATTTCTAATATTACCTAACAAGTAATTTTAAAGCTAGCTTATTTATAAAAGATTTTACTTAAGTTACATAAACTTAAAAAAGCATTTGACTAGTCTTTTCTTTTTTCCTGATAAAGTATTTGATTCAAGCACTTTTATTTTCTTAAGCCAATTAGTTAGATCTCTTTTATATATTTTCAGTAATAAAACATTGTGTACACAAAACATAAATACATAGCTGTATTAGGCATACAGATAGAAGTACATATTATAGATTCCTACAACCTCCTTTGTTTCCTTAGACTAGCAAACTCTTGATGACCTGTTTCATTACTCTGTCAGTTGTCAAGTAAATAGCCCTAAATCTGCATATTGAAGGAAACAACTCTTAGATAAAAAATCAGATAGCAAAATTTACATCTCAATGTATAGAAAGAATAAGTCTGGTGGTTGCAGGGGGAGATTAAAGGTTGGTACCAAGTCAAACATAAAATGTATAGAAATCTATGATAGGATTTTATAAAGAGACCAATTTTATTTAGATAGAGACTGCCTATCTTTTAGCTGGATCACTGAGCTCTGGGCAGAGCCCACACTGAATCCTGGGTCTCCAAAAAGGGAGAATTATTATGAGGCTAGACAACATGATGCTTTTATAGTGCACTTAAATTTTTTAACAAAGACATTTCTAAGTGTCTACACTCTTCCTTAAAAACCCAAGTATGCTCTGCTGCAATAACTATTTTAGTTAAAATATCAGGTAACGCAATACAAAATCAAGCAGTTTAAGAACTGAGATAAACTTCTCTGTTTACATTATTGGGGTTCCATAAGGAAAAACAGATGTTTCTCCTCACAAAGGGAGTCTGGTGCCTTCTCCATTTTCTTTAAGGAAGCTCAGGCTATTATAAACTATTTTAGGTCCCTCATGCAGCAGAGGGTGCAAAAGAAAGGAGAGACAGCAGAAGTAAATGAAGAAAACAGAATTCAGTCAACTGAGAAGAAAAAAACTTTGCTCAAAAAAAGACAAGGTTTTAGGAGGTAAATAAAAAACAAAGACATGAAGGCCTTTTAAATACAAACACGCACACATGCACACATACACACGCACACATACACACGCACATCTTGGATGTTAGTTTTTAATTAAGCTGACTTTTAACTATTATACGTCTTGAAGAAAAGATTTTTAAATTTCATTTCCATATTTCAGCTAGGACAAATGGCTGCTATTTCAGAAGTACCAAATATCAAACAAGAAAGGGCTTGATTTAGGAATCAAACCCAGGCTGTCATGGTGAAAAAAGAAAAAAAGAAAGAAGGAAGAACGTGAGCTATAGAACTGACTTCAGTGTGAGGTGACAGCCATTGCTCTTTCAGTTTGGCCTGGCCAGCAAAAAGTTGGCCTTGTTATGTATATAAAGCCCCTTAAGTAGTCAAAGTAAACAAGCTTTAATTTTTTTTCCTTTTGCTGGCTGTTTTTCTCCCCACCATACTACCTTTTTTTTTTTTTTTTTTTTTTTTGTGGGAATTTAGCCACTTCAGAGGCCTCATTCCCCAAAATTTGGAACTTTCCTTCAGATTTGATCAAGTCGGATAGAGCTGTTCAAGCCCAACTGGAAAAAGGCTGAAACAACAACAAAAACAGCACAAACAACAACAACAAAAACAGTAAGCAGTTAAGCAAAACAAATGATCACTTGACTTTTATTACTGAGCGGTCTAATGGTAAGGAGAAATGAAGACCAGCCGGCTGTTAATTTTTTTAGCCAAGACAAACCACAAGTAAGTTACTTACCTAGGGATTTGTCTCAGGCTGAAGGCTGCTCTCCACCATCCTAGAAGGAGGGAAAAAACTCATCTTTGCTGCTGGAAGTGAGCTTAAACTCCATAAAGGAGTTACCTGCCTTCCATCATCATGGAAGCAGGAAAAACTTGCCTTCTTTGCGTTGGAAACAAGTAAAACTCCAAAAAAAGGAGTTGTACAGCAAAATAAACTTTAGATTTTGATCAAATTTTGGGAGATCAGAGATTCACTGGAGGGGGTGCTTCCAGCCCTCAACAAATTGTCCCATTGATTCGAGCCATAAAGATAGCTCCCGCTGGTACCAAGCACTGATGGGAGGTTTGTCAAAGGACAGGGGCACTTCCACTCAGAATCCCTCCATGGTTACAAAAATGTAAACCCTCAAAATCTGAGACAGGCCTCAGTTAATTTAAAAAGTTTATTTTGCCAAGGTTGAGGATGTGTGCCTGTGACGTAGCCTCAGGAGGTCCTGACAACATGTGTCTGAGGCAGTCAGAGCACATTTTGGTTTTGTAGATTTTAGGGAGACATGAAACATCAATCAACATATGTAAGATGAACATTGGTTTGGTTTGGAAAGGTGGGACAGCTTGAAGTGGGGAGAAGGCTTCCAGGTCATAGGTAGATAAGAAACAAATGGTTGTATTCTTCTGAGTTTCTGATTAACTTCTCCAAAGCAGGCAATCAGATATGCATTTATCTCAAGAGCGGAGGGGTGACTTTGAATACAATGTGAGGCAGATTTGCCCTAAACAGTTCCCAGCTTGACTTTTCTTTTAGCTTAGTGATTTTGGGGCCCCAAGATATTTTTCTTTCACAGTAACTATATAGGTAAATATAAAAGCCAGAATTATTGCACATTTGACTTTTAACTCCTCTTTTTTCCTATACAATTAAAAGTTAAGTGCATAAAGCAATCATTATTAATCAATGTTAATGTATACACAATGTATAAAAATGTCACCTGTGACAATAACAATATAAATAGGGAAGGACAAAGATGTATAGAAATGAAGTGTTTGTGTACTATTGAAACAGCATTATTATTCAAGCTAGTTAAGTTTATTGTATAAGATTAAGATGTTAATTGCAGTTGTCAAGGAAACCACTAAGAAAATAACTGAAAATATAAAGAAATGGAAAAAAGGGAATAAAAATTGTGCACTATAAAAAATAAAACAAATATAAAAAAGATCATAATGGAAAAATTGAAAAATAAGGTATAAATAAAACATGCAGACAACAAGTAGCTAAGTGACAGAAGTGTTTTCCCAGTTGGTAATTGTTTTAAATAAAAATGAATTGAACTCTTCAATTAAAAATAATACGGGCAGAATAGATAAAAACATGACACGTATACACTGCCTAAAAGACACTCTCTTTACATACAAAGACACAAAAAATTAAAACTAAAGAGGTGAAAAAGACATTTTACGTAAGTAGTAACCTGAAGAGAGAGTGACTATGCTAATATCAGACAAAAGAGATTTTAAGTCAAAAAGATTTATTTCAACAATGTACAAATACTTATCAAAATATTAAGAACATATCATATAGATAAAAGGTTCAATTCATTAAGAATATATAACAATTATAATAAATATATACTCACAACCAATATAGCTCAAAAGCATATGAGGAAAAAATGGATAGAATTGGTCTTCTAGCCACTGTGTCTGGGCTCACTGAGGCTGTGCCTTTGGTTTATAGCCTGGAGATAGTTAGGGCCACAGAATCTGTAGTCCTAATATGGACTTACCACGTTTTCATTCCTCATCTTTCCTACCAATACCATTGTATTTTTTCACATGGCTTGTTTGGAAACATGGTAAGTTGAAAACAGACAGTTGATACTTACCTGGCAGGGGAGATACCATGATCACGAAAACAGACAGTTGAGAGGTTTGCTAAGAAATTGAATAATATTTCAAGAAAAATATAAATATATTTTTTGTCCCGAAATCTCTCAAAAGTACAGGTCTACATATGTATTCCTGTCAATAAGTGTCAAAGAGTTGATCCAGGTATCCTGAAGGCCCATCAGAACAGCTTCATCTTGTATAGCAATCTGTGATTGCCTAAGGAGCTAACTTTCTTGGTGGACCCATGAGAGGTGTGCTGTCAGTATGGAGAAAAAAAACAATGCACTAATTGTTGCCAGCTTTGAAAATGTAGTTGAGAACAAGCATTAGATCTGAAAGAAAAGTTCAAGGGCCCTTCGACATGGTTACCTCTGATTATCATTTAGCATCCTCTTCTTCACATGAAAAAACATAAGGAAGTAAAACCCAATTTTGGTGAATGCAACCCCCAGCTCTGCATATCAGATTTTAGAATTGATATTCTTTCCTTTTCCAATATGGTTTTCTTTTGTCCAGAAAAAAAAAAATGAATGTACCAAGAAAATGGTCATCAGACTCACTAACCTACTCTTGCTCCATTAGTTATCCACATTAGGGAAGGAAAAATAAATTACATATTAAAATTGCAGTGACATGGGTACCTCTTCCTGTAATTCACTGGGACTAAAATCACTGGATTATCACGTTAGTTCCTCTCTAGCAACTTGTGTTTCTGTTGGTGTCATGCTGAGAGAAAGGTAGAAATGCCTGACTATATTTTAAAGGTTAAAATTTCATACTCAGAATTGTAAAATTAGGAGAATAAAAGTATCAAACTTATCTTTCTAGAGCAGTTATTGAGAATAATAATTCTCTTAAAAATATATGGACTGGAGATATATTTATTTTCATTAAGAAACTTTATTAAAGTTAGTCAAACACCTGAGTTTTTAAATATTGGACTTTGAGAATTTATATACTGTGCACCAACTTTGTTGGATATGAGAACACTGTAGAAGTGGACAATTTATTCTAGTAATTTTGATCAAATTTATAGTCTGTTATTTATATATAAGGAAATTTTTTAATGTCACTGTTTAGAAGAATTGCATGAAATCATTTGGTTACAAATAAAACGTAGTTTAAAAGAAAAATAAATGAGCAGAACTGAAGGCAGAAACAGTTCTACAATATTAGGTAGAGACTTCAATACTGTGCTTTCAATAATGGACAGAACAACCAAACAGAAAATGAATGAGAAGTAAGACTGGAGAAACACATAAATGAATTAGAACTAATGGATATATACAGAACACTACACACAAAAACAGCAGGATATAAATTCTTCTTTACTACACCTGGAAAATTCTCCAGGATAGCACATATGGTGGGCCACAAAACAAATCTTAATAAATATAAAAAGACTGAAACATTGTAAGTGATATTTTCTGATCAGAAAAAATGAAAATGGAAATAAATAACCAAAGAAAAACTTGGAAACCCATAGATATTTGGAAATTAAGCAACAATATTGAACAATGCAGAGCCAAAGAAGAAATTAAAAGATATTTTTTAGATGTATTAGGAAGAATGAAAACATAAACACAACAAAACTTATGGGATGCAGACATAGCACTTTTCAGAAGGAAATATATAACTATAAACACCTAAATTACAAAGAAGCAAGATTACTGATCAATAACTTAAGCATAAACCTTAAGGAACTAAAAAAAAAGGTTAAAATAAACCTAAATATATCAGCAGGAAGGGAATAATAAATATTAGAGCAGAGATAAATAAAAATATGAAATAGACAATAGAATAAATCAAAGAAACTACAACCGTGTTCATTGAAAATATCTACAAAATTGATAAGCCTTTAGGAAGATGTCAATTATTAAAAACAAAATGAAAGAGGGACACCACTATCTACAGAAATGAAAAGGATCATAAGAGAATGCTATACTGAAAACCACTAAAGAGAATGTATCACTATTCAAAAACCTCACAATAAAGAAAAGAACAGGAATAGGTAGCTTCACTCATGAATTTCACCAAACATTTAAAGAGGAATTATACCAATTCTTCTCAAAAGCTTTCAAAATATAAAAAAAATTCATTCTATGTGGCCAAATTTTTCATAACACCAAAGCTAAACAAAGACACTACAAAAAAGAAAATTACAGATTAATATTGTTTATGAATATATATGTAAAAACTCTCAACAAAATACTAGCAAACCTAACTCAGCAACATATTAAAAGAATTATTCATTATGATGAAATGGGATTCATCCCAGGAATTCAAAAGCAGTTTATCATATGTAAATCAATCAAAGTAATACACCACATCAACAGAATGAAGAAAAGGCTGCCACGTAAAAAAACATAAACAACATAATCTCAAATGATGATGCACAGAAAGCTTTTGGCAAAGTCCAAAACCTTTTTATAATGTAAACAATCTATTAACTAGACGTATAAGGAAATATCCTCAACATGACAAAGACCACATATGAAAAACCTAACAGCTAACATCATACTCAATAGAGAGAGATTACAAGATTTGACCCTAAGATCAGGAAGAAAAAAAGGATGGCTGCTTTCCCAATTCCTATTCAAGTATAGTACTGAAAGTTGTACCCAGATCAATTTAGCAAGAACAAGATTTAAAAATGCATCTAAACTGGAAAGGGAGAAGTAAAATTATCTCTGTTTACAGACGATATGTACTTACATGTAGAAAATTCTACGGAATAAAAATATACACAGAAACATTAGAGCTAATAAACAAATTTAGCCAGCTTGTAGGATATGAAATCAACAAGCATATATCAGTTATATTTCTATACATTATTAAAAACCAGCCTGAAAAGAAAATGAATTAATTCAATTTACAACAGAATAAAATCATAATTAGGAATGAACTTAGGCACAAAACGTGTACACTGAAAACTGGAAAACATTGCTGAAAAAAGTCAAAGATACACATATATGTCAAAGTATATCATTTATGCATATATTGGAATACTTGGCATTATTAAGATAACAATACTAAAAATGTGATATACAAATTCAACACATTCCTTATTAAAATTTTAATGGTGTTTGTTACAAAAATGGAGAAACCTGTTCTAAAATCCAAATCTATTGGATTTTAAGGTTTTCAAGGGACCCCAAATAACCAAATTAATTCTGAAAATGCAGAACAAAATTGGAGAACTCACACTTCCTAATTACAAAATTTACTGTAAAGCAACTGTAATAAAATCAGTGTGGTCGTAGCATAAAGATAAGCTTATATATTAATGGAATCGAATTGAGAGTTCAGAAACAAACCTATACATATAAGTTCAATTGATTTTCAACAAGGGTGTCAAGACCATACAATGGGAAAAAACAGTATCTTCGATAGTGTTGGAAAAACAGGATAGTCATATACAAAAGAATGAAGCTGGACAATTATCTCATGCTGCATAAAAAAATTAACTCAAAATGAATAAAAACCCTAAATGTAAGAACTGACACCACAAGATTCTCAGAAGAAAACATAGGAGTAAATCTTCATGACCTTGAAATTGGCAATGGTTTCCTAAATATGATACCAAATGAAAATGAAGAAAAAAATAAATTGGACTTTAACAAAATTAATTTTTGCACATCAAATGATAATGTCAAGAGAGTAGAAAGCCAAACCAATAAACAGGAGAATAAAACTCACATATATTATAGCAGTGTAATATCTGGACTATATAAAGAACTCCTAAACTAGACTGCCAAACTACACACAAGCCAATTAAAAAATAGGCTAAGGACTGACTAAATATTTCTCCAAAGAAGATATAGAAATAGTAAATAAGCACATAAAAAAATGCTAGACACCACTAACCATTATGGTAATGCAAATAAAAATCACAATGAGATACCACTTTCGAATGGCTATTATTGAAAAAACAAGAAAACTAGCAGTGTTTTCAACAAGGAGAATAAAATACTCTTACATTGATGATGGGAGTGTAAAATGGTGAGGCTACTGGAAAAGCACTCTGGCAGTCCTCAAAAAGTTAAAAAAAAGAATTAGTAAATGACCCATAAAATACACTTACCAGTATATAGCCAAAAGAATTCAGCGGGGACTCAAATAGATACTTGCACAACATTTACAACAATGTGCAAAGAAAAATATATAGAAACATAAAATGTGAAAACACTTTTATTCAACATCCTGAAAAAGCCTTAAGGACAGTGGCACCTCCCACTGGTGCTTCTGTGATCTCACCTATCGGGTTGTTCCCTGAGCTCAAGGATCTTTAAAAGCATCTTCTCTGAACCACAGATGTCCCATAATCACTAAAATCTGCAGAGGTAACCCACATTTGTTTGAAACTGCTCAGAGAGGTCACGAATGGATATACCAATCCACACAAAGAAGCATCGAACAACAGAAGCCATAATTTTGATGTAAGTACCTTTGGAAGCTAGCTGTTCCAGTTCTTTCATGAGCCTTTCCTCTGGCCCAGAAAAGAGAGTGGTGCCCCCAGACAGTACAATCTCTGCAAAAACTTTCTTCTGGATGTCAGTGTCACAGTTCATTATGTTGCTGGAGGCCATTATTGAGAGTCCCGGGCTGTGGATTCCCAGCTGGTCAGGGGCAAAAAGAACTTCGGGCACTTGATACAGTTGGTCCCCAATGTGGATGACATTCCCATCTGACAGTTTGTATTCTCTCAGGATGTCTCCGGCCTCTCGCATAGCTTTTTATGTGGCTCCAAGGCGATGTTGCACAGCTTCCCGTTGATGTTATTTACCAAAGCCTTGTAGAGTATGCAAGGAAAAGTACACCCACTAGCAAAGAGGAGCCAGGTGAGGTGCTTTATGATGTCCCTCCCTGCTACAAAGAGCTCAGTGACTGCATGAGGCAGGGAGTAACCCTCATAGATGTGGACAGTGCAAGTGACCCCATCTCCACTATCCACCATCAGGCCTGTAACACAGGCAGCGGCAGAGTGCTGCCACTGCATGGTTAGACAGGTAGAAAGCAGGGACACTGAAGTTCTCAAACATCATTTCTGCAAGCTTTTCTCAAATTTCTCTAGGGTTCTGAGAGGGCTCAATCATGAGTACAGGCTGTTGGCTGGGTTTCTTTCTGGGCTCCCACTCAAAGAGATGTTTCCAGAGTTTCTCCACATCATCCCATCCTGGTACCAGCCCACATTCATTGGGGTAGTGCAGATATAAGTCCTCCTACTTGTATAAGGGTTCTTGCCCCCTGAAATACTTCTGGTTGGGTCTTGCTGAAGGCATGTTGCATTTAGGACGTCCCAAGATGGAGTTGTTGACATGGTGGTGTCCAATCTCTCCAGACAGGCTGCTTTGCAGAATCTTGAACCATTGTTAAAAATTACAGCTGGCACATCTAATATATGTGGATTAAACATGTCTATAGCATGTTCTTCTGGACTTCCCCAAAATAAAGAAAGAACACTTAGGTTACTTTATGAGAAAACAGACACCTTTGGAAGTTTTAAGGCCACAGGGTTCCAAAATTCTCAGGTTGTCACCCAGGCAGAGCTAGCTGGCAGCCTCCAATCCACTAAAATACCCCATCCTCAATCCCTGAGTCTTGTCTCCTTTCTGTAGACCCAGGATCTGCTGAAACAATTTCAGGGATGATTGCCCTCTGTGTAACAATCCAGACAAGGCCACAGTTGTCCTCGGTGAGCATCAGAGGGCAGGGGTCTTCAAGCAACTAGTACTTCCTAGTTTGTCATATATGAAACCAAGGAAGGCAAACCATTCCTATAGAGAGCTTTGATACGCCTGTGACTCCAAAGGAGAGGCCTCTAGTTATAGAACAAAGTGAAGCTGCCAGTGTTTGTCCCATAGTCCTTCTCTCTCTGCTCTGCTGAGCTGCTTATTGTGGAATGACAAAAATACATTTCCTTTTGAAGGAGAAAAACTAAGCACTAGATACAGGTGAATTTCTGATTTGAGATACCTGCAACTCAGTTCCAGCAGGCATTTAGAATGTACTTTTTTTCTCTTACATTTTCAAAAACAATTTTATTGAGATAATTTTACATAACAACCAATTTACCCCTTTGCAATTATATAACTCAATGTTTTCTAGTATATTTGCTGATATCCGCACATTACAAAAGTAAATCAAAATATTTTTATCACTAAAAAGAAACCCCATATTCTTTAGCTATCATCACCCTCTCTTCAAACCATCCTCCAGATCCTTAAACGACCACTAACGTATTTTCCATCTTTATGGATTTACCAGTTCTTCATATTTCTTACAGTGCAATAATAAAATATATGGTATTTTGTGACTGGCTTCATTCACTTTACATAATGTTTTCAAGATTCATTCAATGTTCGCATATAATACATTTTGTTTATCCATCTATCAGTTGATAGACATTTGGATTTCTTTCACTATTTGACTACTATAAAATATGCGGCTTGAAACAATCTTGTATATATTTGTGTGTGAATTTATATCTTCATTTCTTCCAGTTACATATCTAAAAGTGGAAAAGCTGAGTCATATATGGTAACTCTAAGTATAATTATTTCTGGAACTTTTAGTCTTTTTCTCAAAGTGTCTGAGACATTTAAGTTCCTAATGGCAGAGTTAGTGAGGTTCTCCACATGTTTGCCAATGCTAATTAATACATTTTTTATTCTAGGCATCACAGTAGGTATGAAGTGGCATCTCAGTATGGTTTAGACTTGCATTTCATTGATGACTAGTGAAAAAGGAAATGCAAATCAAAACCAAAATGATATTACTTCACAATCACTAAGATGGCTGTTACAGCACAACAGAAAATATCGAGTGTTATTGAGGATGTGGAGAAATTGGAGACCTCACTTATTGCTGGTGGTAATATAAAATGGTTCAGTCACTGTGTATCTTATTCATTTTCTGCTGATATAACAAATATCACAGACTGGGTAATTTAAAAAAATGTGTATTTGGTTCACAATTCTAGAGGCTAGGCAGTCTAAGAGCATAGTGTCAGCACCTAGTGAGGGTCACCACATAATGGAAGGCATAGGGAGAGAAAAAATGGGGACAGTATTAATCCTTTTGTCAAGAGCCCAGTCTGGTGATAACAAACCCATTTCCATGATAACAGCATTAATCTATTCATGAGGGCTTTACCCTCATAAACAAATCTCCTCTTAAACATCCCCATCTTAATACCATCAAAATGGCAATTAAATTTCAACATGAGTTTTGGAAAGGACATTCAAAACATAGTGCTGTCGAAAAAATATTTTGGCAGGCCCTTAAAAAGTTAAACATAGAATTGATATTTGACCTAATGATTCCACTCCTAGGTATATACCCACAAAATGAAAAGAAGTTACTCAAACTAATAATATTTTGCAAATGTTAATTAACAGCCCTATTGACAATAGCCAACAGATGGAAACAACACAAATGTCCATTAATGGATGAATGGATGAACAAATTGTGATATATATATATGTGTGTGTGTGTACATGAATAATAAGCCATAAAAATAGTTTACACAGAACTTCTGAAGGATGGCTAAACCTTGAAAATGCTAACAGAAACCAGACAAAAAAGGTCACATATTGTATGATTCCATGAAATATTCAGAATAAGAGTCTGTACTCATAGAAATATAAAGCTAATTGGTGTTTGCCAGGTTCTATCAGCAGAGGGGATTAGCATGTGATATGGTTTGGCTCCGTGTACCAACCCAAATCTTATCTCAAATTGTAATCCTCATGTGTAGAGGAAGGGATCTGATTGGAGGTGATTAGATCATGGGGGCAGTTACCCCCGTACTGTTCTCATGATATTGAGGAAGGTATCAAGAGATCTGATGGTAAAAAAGTGACAATTTCTACTGTACTCTGTCTTCTGCTGGCTTGTGAAGAGATGCCTGCTTCCATTTTTCCTTCCACCATAATTTTAAGTTTCCTGAGGCCTCCCCAGCCATGTGGAACTGTGAGTCAATTAAACCTCTTTTGTTTATAAATTACCCAGACACAGGTAGTATCTTTACATCAGTGTGAAAACAGACTAATACAGAAAACAGGTACTGGGATAATGGGGTACTAATATAAAGATAACCTGAAAATGTGGAAGTGACTTTGGCCTGGGTAATGAACAGCAGTTGGAACAGTTTGGAGTGGTCAGTAAAAGACAAGTTGATTTTGGAAAGTTTGGAACTTCCTAGAGACTTGTTGAAAAGTTTTGACCAAAATGCTGATAAGGAAATAGACAATGAAGTCCAGGTTAAGGTGGTCTCAGATGAAGATGAGAAATATATTGGGAACTGGAGCGAAGGTCTCTCTTTCTGTGCTTTAGCAAAGAGACTGATGGCATTTTGCCCCTGCCCTAGAGATTTTGGAACTTTGAACTTGAGAGAGATGATTTAGGGTATCTGGCAGAAGAAATTTCTGAGCAGCAAAGCATTCAAGAGGTGACCTGGCTTATTCTAAAAGCATTCAGTCATATGCATTCACAAAGAGATGGTATGGAATGGGAACTTATGTTTAAAAGGGAAGCAGAGCATAAAGATTTGAAAAATTTGCAGACTGACCATGTGGTAGAAAAGAAAAACCCATTTTCGGGGGAGATATTCAAGCTGGCTGCAGAAATTTGCATAATTAACAAGGAGCCAAATTTTAATCACCAAGACAATGAGGAAAATGTCTCCAGGGCATGTCAGAGATCTTCATGGCAGTCCCTCCCATCACAGTCCCAGAGGCCTAGGAGGGAAAAATGGTTCTGTGTGTCAGGCCCAGGGCCTTGCTGCTCTGTGGTGCCCAAGGACATGGTGCCCTGCATCCTAGCTGCTCCAGCTTCAGTCACGGCTAAAAGGGGCAAAGGTACAACTTGGTTCATTGCTTCATAGGGTGCAAGCCCAAGCCTTGGCAGCTTCAACATAGTGTTGGTGGGCCTGAAAGTGCACAGAAGACAAAGCTGAGCTTTGGGAACCTTCACCTAGATTTCAGAGGATGTATGAAAACTCCTGGATGTCCAGGCAGAAGTCTGCTGCAGGGATGGAGCCCTCATGGAGAACTTCTGCTAGGGCAGTATGGGGGGGTAATGTGGGGTTGGAGCCCCCAAACAGATTCCCCACTGTGACACTGCCTCGTGGAGCTGTGAGAAGAGGGCCACCATACTCCAGACCCCAGAAAGGTACATCCACTGACAGCTTGCACAACGAGCATGGAAAAGACATAGGCACTTAATGCCAGCCCATGAAAGCAGTTAAAGATGCTGTTCCTGCAGAGCAACAGGGGTGGAGCTGCCCAACGCAATGGGACTCCACACCTTGCATCAGCATGATCTGGATGTTAGACATGAAGTCAAAGGAGATTTCGGAGCTTTAAAGTTTAATGAGAGCCCTGCTGGGTTTTGAACGTGCATGGGGACTGTGACCCCTTAGTTTTGGTCAATTTCTCACATTTCGAATGGGAACATTTACTTAATGCCTGTACCCCTATTCTTTCTTGGAAGTAACTAACATGGTTGTTTATTGGTTTGTTTGTTTTGTTTGTTTTTACAGGCTCATAAGCAAAAAGAACTTATTGTCTCAAATGAAACTTTGGACTTGGACATTTGGGTTAATACTGGAAAGAGTTAAGACTTTGGGGGACTATTAGGAAGGCATGATTGGTTTTAAAATGTGAAAAGGTCATGAGATTGCGGGGGACCAGGGGCAGAATGATATGGTTTGGCTCTGTGTCTCCACCCAAATCTCATCTCAATTTATAATCCCCATATGTTGAGGGAGGGACCTGGTGGAAGGTTATTGGATTGGGGGGTGGTTCCCCCATGCTGTTTTCATGAGATCTGATGGTAAAAAAAAGTTACAGTTTTCCCTGCACTCTCTCTCTCTTGCTGCCTTGTGAAGAAGGTGCCAGCTTCCACTTTGCCTTCTGTTATAATAGTAAGTTTCCTGAGGCCTCCCGAGCCATGCAGAACTGTGAGTCAATTAAACCTCTTCTTTTTATAAATTACCCAGTCTCAGGTAGTATCTTTATACCCCTGTGAAAACGGGCTAATACAGCAAGTGAGGGTTTAATGTTAGTGCAATTTTCTTTAAGGGAGAAAAATATTTTGTAACTAGATATAAGAGGAGGTTGCACAACATTTTGCACCTTCATTAAAAATTAGCATGAAGCTGTTTAGTAAAATGAACCATATATTAAGATATAAAATAAGTGTAAAGTAATTACCAAAATCTGAAATCATATAGAGAATGTTCTCTGACATTTAATTTGGAATTCGGTATCAAAATATATATTCAATATCAAAATATATAGAAAAAATAGGGGTTAAAAAACAAAAGAACAATTAGAAAATATTTTCATATATATAGTGAAAACATAACATATACAACTTTTTGAGATGCAGTGACAACAGAGCTTAAAAGGAAATATATAAATGCTAAATTCTTATTTTATAAAACATAAAAATTATAAAGTAAATATAAACTTCTATTTAAAGATGTTTGAGAAAGAAGAAATTTAATGTTCGTAGTTGGAAAGAAATGGTGAAGGAATGAACTAAAACAAATAAAACAGGAAATAGACAAATAATTGAGACAAATATAAAGACAAACAGTTGTTTTCTGAAAATGTTAATAAAATTATAAACATCTAGCAAAACTGATAATGACATGAGAGAGAAGATACAAACTACCAATGTCAAGAATGAAAAAGGTTACTTCATTGCAATTCCTATGAACATTAAATGTAATAATAAAGGAATATAAAAAATGATGAAGTAGCACTATATACCTGTAAGAATGGCAAAGATCTAAAGCACCAAGAACACAAAATTCTAGTGAGAAAATAGAGCAACAGAAATATTCATTCACTACAGATGGGAATGCAGATGGTACAGCCACTTTGGAAGACACTGGCAATTTCTTACAAAACTAAATGTATTCTTACCATAGGATCCAGCAGTCCCTCTGCTTGTTATTTTTCCATATGATTTGAGACTTATGCCCATCCAAAAACTTTCATACAAATTTATAATTGCCAAAACTTGGAAACAACCAAGTTGTCCTTCAGTAGTTGAATGGAAAATAAATAAACTGTGGTACATCAGACAATGAGATGTTATTCATAGGAAAAAAATGGGCTGTCAAGCTATGAAAAGACATAAAACAAACAAGTACATAACAATAAGTGAAAGAAGCCAATCTAAAAAATGTACATACTGTATGATTCCAACTATATGGCATTCTAAAAAAGGCAAAACTATGGAGATATTAACAAGTCATCTGTTGCCAAGGGTTTGGGGGGAAGAAGGGATAATTAGGTGGAGCTATTTTTTTTAAGACAGTACAAGTATTCTGTATGATATTGTAAAGGTGGTTACATATCATTATAAATTTGTCAAAATGCATAGAATATACAAGACCAAGATTGAACTCTAATGTGTACTAGAAACTTTGGTTGATAATGATATGGTATTGCTGGTTCATTGAGTGTAAGAAACATATCACAACTGTATGGAACTTCAAAGGGAAAGGTAATGTATTGCTGGGAAAGGAGTATATGGGAATTCTCTGCACTTTCTTCACAATTTTGCTTGAAAGCTAGACTATTTTTAAAACATATATTGTTAATTTATGCACACACACACATACACACACACAAAACAACTACAGTGTCCAACATCAGAAGTGACTTGAATGGAGGTCTAGCCATCCAAAGGAGCACTGGACAGATAGGAAACATCATGTGGTAGGTCAATAGTACCTGAAGTTTGTTGCTTGATGTGTTAAACAAAAACAATTTGTTATAAAATTAATTGTATATAATAAGGTCATATTTTTGTTTTAAAAAATAAAATACATTTATAAAAAGTAAAAAAGGAATAGTGTCTTTTTTAGTTCAATTTTGATTTTACTTAACAATAATTGTATATATTTATGAGGTACAAGGTGATGCTATATACATATGTGTGTACTTTGTGCAATAATTA
This sequence comes from Homo sapiens, assembly GCF_000001405.40. Classification (NCBI taxonomy): domain Eukaryota; kingdom Metazoa; phylum Chordata; class Mammalia; order Primates; family Hominidae; genus Homo; species Homo sapiens. Next base: position 128,134,776 of record NC_000023.11, read on the forward strand.
AATTGGGCTAATTAACATAACTATCACCTCATATAGCTATCATTTCTCTGTTGTGAGAACATTTAAAATGTACTATTTTAGCAACTTTGAAACATACAATACATTATTATTCACTATAGTCCCCATGCTGTTCAATAGATCACTAGAGCTTATTCTTCCTGCGTAAATGAAATTTTGGAAAATGGTATACAAGGTTTTTGCCAATTAATCTAACAACTAGGTTGAAGTAAAAAAAATTCTTACAAAACAAAATATAGTACAATTATCTCAAAAATAGATAACCTAAATACTTTATATTTATTAGAATAAATTAAGTTTATATTCACATCCCTTTCCCACAAAGACAACTCCAGATCCAGGTAGTTTCACTCTGAATTTTATTAAGCAATGTAAAAAAAGAAATAATATTTATTTTACACATACCCTGTGAATATATATAGACAGCAAACCTTCTCAATATACTCTAGGAAGGAAACAACTCTGACACCATAAGCTGAGAAAGAAATTATGAAAAATGAAAATTACGACCTAATGTCTATCATAACATAGACGCATAAAGCCCTCAATATGATAACAGACGTTTATAATGGACAGGTTGGACAGAGTGGTATGTAACCACAGCTTTTTACTTCTTTTTGGCATGATAAAGCTACAGGAATAATATGTATCATTATCCCACCGCAAACAACTGGAAAAATAACAATGTATTTTAAATGAACATTTTCAGACTTTAATTAATTGGTAGTGATGCCAGGAATCCCTGTGAAAATAGAAACAAATAAAGGTATTCCTATGACTGTCCAGTTTCCTACCTGTAGTGAATTTCTTGGCCACAGAGAAGAGACTGAAAATCCAGTTAGACCCCAATAGTCTTGATGACTTGAGCAGAGAGAATTTGGAGTTGAGAGGGCACAGGATGTCTACAATGCATGGAGCAAAACACTGGATTGATCAGAGCTGCATGATGAGAAAGCTCGGAAGACCTGTACAAGGGTCTGGATGAGTACTGATCTAGACATGTATGTATAAGGAATGTAGATGACTGAAAAAAAATCATTGGCAATTTCTGGGAAAATAACACTCATATACATCTTAGTAAATTAAAAATACATATAGTGCAATGTCATCCACATATTGTAGGTCCTTGACATTTGGTGAATAAATAGATAAGCCAAAGAATAATTACAATAAAAAGGTGGAAACGTAACTAGCCCATTCATTGTAGACTTAGGATGCTATCTTATATAGTTTTAATAACTGTACCAAGAATGTGTTTTATATTTCTTCATACCATAAGCCTCTTATTAAATATGCACTGATGGTGATTTTTAAGAAGTTGAAGGGAACATCTAAAGATTCATTTGATCTCTGGAAGAACATTCCATGCTCATGGGTAGGAAGAATCAATATCGTGAAAATGGCCATATTGCCCAAGATAATTTATAGATTCAATGCCATCCCCATCAAGCTACCAATGACTTTCTTCACAGAATTGGAAAAAACTACTTTAAAGTTCATATGGAACCAAAAAAGAGCCCGCATCGCCAAGTCAATCCTAAGCCAAAAGAACAAAGCTGGAGGCATCACACTACCTGACTTCAAACTATAATACAAGGCTACGGTAACCAAAACAGCATGGTACTGGTACCAAAACAGAGATATAGATCAATGGAACAGAACGGAGCCCTCAGAAATAACGCCGCATATCTACAACTATCTGATCTTTGACAAACCTGACAAAAACAAGCAATGGGGAAAGGATTTCTTATTTAATAAATGGTGCTGGGAAAACTGGCTAGCCATATGTAGAAAGTTGAAACTGGATCCCTTCCTTACACCTTATACAAAAATTAATTCAAGATGGATTAAAGACTTAAACATTAGACCTAAAACCATGAAAACCCTAGAAGAAAACCTAGGCGTTGCCATTCAGGACATAGGCATGGGCAAGGACTTCATGTCCAAAACACCAAAAGCAATGGCAACAAAAGCCAAACTTGACAAATGGGATCTAATTAAACTAAAGAGCTTCTGCACAGCAAAAGAAACTACCATCAGAGTGAACAGGCAACCTACAACATGGGAGAAAATTTTCGCAACCTACTCATCTGACAAAGGGCTAATATCCAGAATCTACAATGAACTCAAACAAATTTACAAGAAAAAAACAAACAACGCCATCAAAAAGTGGGCGAAGGACATGAACAGACACTTCTCAAAAGAAGACATTTATGCAGCCAAAAACCACATGAAAAAATGCTCACCATCACTGGCCATCAGAGAAATGCAAATCAAAACCACAATGAGATACCATCTCACACCAGTTAGAATGGCAATCATTAAAAAGTCAGGAAACAACAGGTGCTGGAGAGGATGTGGAGAAATAGGAACACTTTTACACTGTTGGTGGGACTGTAAACTAGTTCAACCATTGTGGAAGTCAGTGTGCGATGCCTCAGGGATCTAGAACTAGAAATACCATTTGACCCAGCCATCCCATTACTGGGTATATACCCAGAGGATTATAAATCATGCTGCTATAAAGACACATGCACACGTATGTTTATTGCGGCACTATTCACAATAGCAAAGGCTTGGAACCAACCCAAATGTCCAACAATGATAGACTGGATTAAGAAAATGTGGTACATATACACCATGGAATACTATGCAGCCATAAAAAATGATGAGTTCATGTCCCTTTGTAGGGACATGGATGAAATTGGAAATCATCATTCTCAGTAAACTATCGCAAGAACAAAAAACCAAACACCGCATATTCTCACTCATAGGTGGGAATTGAACAATGAGAACACATGGACACAGGAAGGGGGACATCACACTCTGGGGACTGTTGTGGGGTGGGGGGAGGGGGGAGGGATAGCATTAGGAGATATAACTAATGCTAAATGACGAGTTAATGGGTGTAGCACACCAGCATGGCACATGTATACATATGTAACTAACCTGCACATTGTGCACATGTACCCTAAAATTTAAAGTAGAATAATAATATAATAAAATAAAATAAAAAAATAAAGATTCATTTGATCTCATAGAACGGTAAAAATATAGTACAGCTAAAGATTTGGTGGTTTCTATTCACAGAGCTTTGCTGCAGAAATAACAACAAAAGATAAACCAACAGTGTATAAAATAATTACTCTTAAAGGAATGAGTCCCCTGGGCAGCCAAGATCTGTACTGAAAAGGCTTGAAAATGTCAATTGTATTTCTACCTCAGCTTCCTCAACAGTCTGGGAACAGACAAACGTGATCACATTGAAGATGAGCTTAGCTGTCCTGAGAAAATGTTATATGAAGGCAAGTTATTTTGGCAAGTAGTTCTTTTTATTTTGAATAGAAACTCTCAAAAATCATTATGAAAGCTAAATAGATAACCAAATGTTATAAATATCTTCATTCAAATGCATCCAGAGTAACTGTCATTTTCCCTTGATCTAGAAACTTTTCATGTAGTAAAGAAGGTAGAATAAGCAGTAAAACAACTTCTAGCCCCACTTAACTTTTTCAGTCTTTATATATATTTCTGGGACAGTGATTTACTAAGAATCTAGTACTGTTTTTTCTTTCCCACAATTATCAATACCTCCTAAAATGGTGAGATAAATTAAATTAGACTTTGGTTGAGCATCATCCTTTCCTTTGACCTTATAGGTGCAAAGTAACTGCACTTCATGTGAAAATTACTATTTCCCTAGGAATTATATTTGTATTTAACTTTCTTCATGCAGTTTTTCATAAAAGCCGTTTAAATAGAGACTTAGTAAAGTGAATGTATAGGATGAGATAACATTTGCAGTTTGTCCACACTTCTATGTTACTCCCTTTTTTTGAATTCAAACATTAATAGTGAACTAATCTAATGTAATTAGGTACCCCCTAACTGAATACTACATGTAAAACACAATTCACCAAAAATATGTACTGTGTGGCAACAAAATTTCATGTATTAATGTAGTGTCTTACCCTCCTAATGTGTATGTCCTTAGAAATACAAAAAGGACAAAAGCGTCAACATCAGATAAAGTATAATATGCAAATAAGAGAAAGAAAAATAATTTTAATTGAAGATATGAATATCGCTTATTTATTATTCAAATAAGATACCTATTTTCTTAAAGAATATTGACTATTTGTGTACTATGAAAGTGTAATCACAAGGGATTTACAGTTCAACTAATGTGATTATTTACCTAGAATTTAATATTGTTTTTCTTTTATCTTAAAGACTCAATATTTAATTCTGATTATAAAATGCAAAATCAAGCCATTCACAGCATTTAGCATCCAACACGTGATGAGAAGACATTGAATTGCATTCGTAAAAGAAATCTCTTTTTGAGCTAACCAGTATTTTATTTTCAGTTCTTGATTCTTATGTGTTGTATAAATGATATCTCAGACTACATGGCAAATCCTGTCTTAAAAGCAGTAGATTTAGCAACAACCACACAATAGGATATAAAATAATAAATTAGCATAAAATGATACTGAAATAAAGCTTAAATATTCTACAAGGACATAGCAAGTCTACCTTTCCTACTTTCTAAGATCGAAATCTTCAGAACCATTTAATAAAATGTTAGTAAAATGTACCTTTACATCTGCAAAAGATGTTTCATAACCAACAGCTGTCATAGGCTTTGGACCAAGGAATGATGCTGATAAGAATGATAAAATAGCCTCCACTACTATTATTTTTATGTTTCAATCTGTTTGGTAAACTTGTCTTTAAGTCTTTTTTTATATTTTCTTATTTCCTCTTATGAATTATTTTTCATGTTACTACAGATCAAACTTTAAAAATTGCAAGAAAAGATTCTTACTGTTGAATATAACTGCAGTTTCTTTCTGTATAATGATCCTGTATCCACAAATTTTGCTAAACTCTCATAGTACCTATAATCATTTGCCTGTAGCTTATTTTATTTCTAAGCATATCATTGTCATCTGTGGCTAATTGAAATTCTATGCTTAGTTTCTGTTTGTTATAGCTTTCTATTTATTAGCTTACAGCATAATGATAAACAGGGGTGGTAATAAAAGACGCCTTTGTTTCTTTCCTGAAATTAAAATGAATGCCTTCAGTTTCATTCCATTTAAGTATGATGGTTTCTATACAGAATTTTTTAATGTTACCCATTATTAGGATTAAAAAATCGTCTTCCACTTTTTTATTTTGCTAAAAGTTTTTTATGATGAATGAATGTTGAATTTTATCAAATACTATTCTGATAGTGTTTATTACCATCAGATTTAATGTGATATGTTTTTTCTATTATTTATTAACTTATTAAAAAACATTGATTGAAGTGCAAATTTTAAAACAATCTACATTTCTGAAATAAACCTGATGAGGACATAATGCGTTATAGGGTTCAAATATTTTTGTTTTGAGTTTTAAAATTTTTTTAATGATTTTCTCACATATATTCATAAAAGAGAGATGCTTGTAATTTTTTTTTGAACTCCACTTATCAGGATTTGATATAAGCTTTACACATTCAGACTTTATAATGTAAGTTGTGGAGTGTTTTTTCGTTATACATTCTGGAATAGATTTATAAAATGGACTTAATTATTTCTTTTTTGTTATACCTTTCTGTTAAAACTGGCTGAGCCTAGGGACTTTTGGAGAAAAAGAATTCCATTTTATTTAACTGATTTGAGTATAATTGACACACAATAAGTGAACATAGTTAAATATAAAGTTTGAAAAGTTTTACCTATGTATATACCCACAAGACCATATACAAACATAATGAACATATCTATCAATCCAAAAAGTTTGTTCATGACCCATTATAATCCTTCCCTCCTGCACTTCTCCCCTTACTCAGGCAACCTCTGATATGCTTTCTGTCAATACATATTATCTTGTATTTTGTGAAGTTTTATATACATGTAATTACACAATATGTACTAATTTTTATGAAATTTGCTCACAATTATATTGAGGTTTAATTATGTTGTGACATTATCAAAAGTTAAATGTATTTTTATTACTGAGTAGTGTTCTATTACGGTCGTACCACTGTTTGTTTATGTATTCACCTGCTGATGGACATTTACATTGTTTTCAAGTTTGGCTATTAAAAATAAGCTTTCTAGGCCAGGCAAAATGAAATAATTGTGTCTAAACAGTGGTTTTTAGCTCAGTAGAAACGTAACACCAGATGTAAATCAAGCAGAAGAGAAGACAGAGATAGAGATCTTAGGACTTCTATAGCTGCAGGTTGACATTTGGGCTCTGAAATTTCCTTGATGTAATTTGCTCATCAGTTTAAAATGTGCATAAAATACTATAATATGTAAACCTGCTGCAGTACTAGGAAAGCTGACATGCCCTCGAAATTTTAATCTTACACAAACACTTGCTAGTAGAGGTTCCATAAAAACAATGGGGTGCCCAAAAGGGGGTCATTCTACTTGTCTTTCCTAATTCTTAGATAATTTTTCCCATCTTTTTCTCTTAAAATGAGGAACTGTGCTGTGGCCTAGGGTTTAGTGTACTGGATCAAAATGTGCTAATTGTGGGCAGGACTCCACAGTGTGACACCACAGAATTGTTTCTGCTCCTTAATATGGCTCAGTTTCTCTCTCTGGAGGTCTATCACCCATGAGAGGGCTTCAAATGCAGAGTGACAAGCTACTAGCATTTTCTGCAGAAGCCCTTTTAAACTAATATTTTTGGGGGTTCCTGTAGGGCCATTGCACATTGTGGATATTCAACAAACCAGGCACTCCCACTCAGCAATCAGTCACCCAGGGGAAACTTTTGACTGGGAGGGGTAAAATGCCCTTTCTCTTCAGAACTGAGGAAACCCAGTCTCTCATTTATCTATGAACATGACAGTTCAGTTTCCCATGCAAATATGCAGACAAGCCAATTGAGCTTAATTTTTGGAGAAAAAGCAATGGGGAAGACTCTGTAGAATGAATCTCTAGGCTGGAATTGGGATCCCAAACAACAACTTTCTAGAGTAAAAATAAAACAACTAAGACCACTTTCTGTAAACTGTCCTCAGCCACACCCAACTTTGTTGTTCTCATCCACCATTACACATGTCAAACTCAAATCCGCTCACAGTACCAGGTAATCTCTGGTACCCCCAAAAGCCAAAGAGTCAGGTAATGCAATACAAGAAAGCAGAGCTTTAGGCCTAAGAAGAATCTGCCCAGGAATCTTTTTTTTTAATATATTTTTAAATTATACTTTAAGTTCTGGGGTACATGTGTACAACGTGCAGGTGACCTAAACAAAAAACACAACACCTTCAAAAGGGAGAGTAGCACTTTTGTTCTGAGTTCTTTAAAGGGTATGAGTCATTAGAAGCCTTCTCTAGATTTTCTTGATGCCAAAGATGACAAAGGAGGAAGGATGAATAGGGTGGAAGAAAAGTAAAAGGAAGAAAATTGTTTTTCTAAGGAATTAAGTGAACATAGAAACTAAACACGATTCTTTTTTTTTTTTTTTTTTTTTTTTTTTTTTTGCAGCTCAAGGAATTGTAGCCAGTTCATAGGCCTCGTTCCTCATAATTTGAAATTCTCATCCAGATTTGACCAAGTCAGTTAAAGTTGGTCAAATCTGATAGGAGAAAGACCAAAATAACAACAACAATAACAAATATAATTGCTGAGAGCTCTAACGGTAAGAAGAAATTAAGACCAGCTGGTTGTCACTGCTAACTTTTAGTCATTATGGAGAGTTTCCAAGATCAGAAAAAAACAAAAAGCCCAATTTAGCTACTTACCTAGGAATCAGACCCCAGGCCAAGACTATTTTCTATCATCTTAGAAGCAGGAAAACAAAAACAAACAACAAAATCTTGAACTAGCCATCACTGCTGGAAATTAGCTGAAATTCCAGAAAGCAGTTGCCTGTCCTCTATCATTATGGAAGCAGAAAAATTTACCTTACTTGTTGGAAGCAAGTAAAATAAACAGCAATAACATAAACAGTAAAATAAATTTTAAACCTCACACAAATTTTGGGAAATCGGCGATTTTCTTGAAGGAGGGCAGCTCACAGACCTCAGCAAATTGTCCTATTGGTTTGAGTAATAAAAATATCTTGAGCTGGGGTACCAAGCAGATATCCCAGCTGGAAAAACCAGGCATGAGATAGCAATAGAGAGCATCCAAATTAGAAAAGAGGAAGTGATACTATCTGTTTGTCAATGATATGATTGTATACATAGAACACTCTAAAGACTCCTCTAAAAGACTCTTAGATTTGATAAATGAATTCGGTTAAGTTTCAGGTCACAAAATTTATGCACACAAATCAGTAGCACTGCTAAACACCAGCAATGACCAAGCTGAGAATCAAAGAAAAAACTCAATCCCTTTTGCAATAGCTACAAAAAAAACAAATAAAACATCTAGAAATATATTAACCAAGGGAGAGAAAGATCTCTAAAAGGAAGCTACAAAACACTGCTGAAAGAAATCATAGGTGACGCAAACAAAAGGAAATACATCCCATGCTCGTGGATTGGAAGAATCAATATTATTTAAATGACCACACTGCCCCAAACAATCTATAGAGCCAATGCAATGTCTATCAAAATACCAATATTATTTTTCACAGAACTTGAAGAAACACTCCTAAAATTCATGTGGAAAAAAAAAAAAAGAGGTCAAATAGTCAAAGCAATCCTAAGGAAAAAAAAATATGGAGGCATCACATTACTCAAATTCAAATTATACTACAAGGCTATAGGAATCAAAACAGCATGGTACTGGTATAAAAGTATATACATAGACCAATATAACAGAATATAGAATTCAGAAATAAAACCAAACACTTACAATCAACTTATCTTTGGCAAAGCATACAAAAACATAAATTGAGGAAATGACATACTATTCAATAAATGGTGCTGGGTAAACTGGATAGCCATATGCAAAAAAAATAAAACTGGATCCCTATCTCTCACCATATACAAAAATCAACTCAAGATGGATTAAAGACTTAAATCTAAGACCTGAAACCACAACAATTCAGAAGAAAACTTAGGTAAAACTCTTTGGGCCATTATCCTAGGCAATAGATTTATGACTAAAGACCTCAAAAGCAAATGCAACAAAAATGAAAATAAATAAATAGGACCTAATTAAACTAAAAATCTTATGCACTGCAAAATAAATATTCATCAGAGTAAACAGACAAGCCACTAAATGGTAGACAATATTTGCACACTATGCATCTAACAAAGGACTAACATCCAGACTCTATGAGGAACTTAAAAAATCAGGAAGGAAAAAACAAATAATTCCATCAAAAAGTGGAAAAATACCAATAGACATTTCTCAAAACAAGATATAAAAGTCATCAAATATTTGAAAAAAAACCTCAACATCACTAATTATCAGATAAATGTAAATTAAAACCTCAATGAGAGACTGTCTTACCCCAGCCAGAATGGCCATTAATAAAAAAGCAAAACAAAAACAATAATAGATGTTTGTGTGGATGTGGTGAAAAGGGAATGCATATACACTGCTGGTGGGAGTGAAAATTAGTACAACCTCTATGGAAAACACTATGGAGATTTCTCAAAAGAACTAAAAATAGACCTATGATTCAATCCAGCAATCCCACTACTGAGTATCCAACCAAATGAAAAGAAGTCGTGATATCAAAAGGACATCTACACATATATAGTTACCACAACACAATTCACAAGTGCAAAGATATGTAACCAACATAAGTGCCAAGAAATCAATAAATGGAAAAAGAAAATGTGGTATATATACAAAATGGAATACTACTCAGTCATAAATAAGAACAATATAATGTCTTTTGCAGCAACTCAGATGGAACTGGAGGCCATTATTCTAGGGGAACCGCTTGGGAATAAAGAACAAAATACTGCATGTTCTCACTTATAAGTGGGAGCTAAGCCATAGGTATGCAAAGGCATATATGGTGGTATAATGGACACTGGGGACTCAGATGCAGGGAGAGTGGAAATGGGTTAAGGGATAAAAAGCTACAAATTGGGTATAATGTACATTACTCAGGTAATGAGTGCACCAAAAATTTCAGACTTCACCACTATGCAATGTATCCATGTAGCCAAAAACTTGCAGTCTCAAAGCTTGGAAATTTTAAAATATATAAATTAAGAGTTCCCCAGCTGACAATTTTTTTATGGCAGGAAACAGGTAATCAAAGGACTGATAATCTTATTTTAAAATAGTAAAAAAAAAAAACTAGTTAAAAAAAAACTTAAAAACTGGCAAATAAAAAAATATATAACACTACTATATCTCCTGTCTGTCTGACTGTGTACTTATGTGTGTTTTGTGTTTAATGATTATATAAATGAGCTCTAAATAATTGGCTTAAAGAAAAATAAGTGCTTAAATAAAATATTGTGTCAAACATAAAAACTTTATTGCCTTTTAATTCACATGACTTTAGTAATCTTTGGTAAATAAGGACAGTTTTAACGATTATTGATAAACTAAAACAAAAATGTCTTCAAACTTTAGGCATTTGGTCTAAAGTAGTCAGGTCAGATACTGTCTCTACTAGACATTGGAATCACAAACTGTTTCTATGACTTTTGATAATTGTTTGACTTGCCTGCCTCAAAGCCATTAGATTTTAGGTAAGGCCTGGAAACATTTGTAGATAGGCATACACTTTAAATATGCTAGAAAGAGTCAGACATTATGTGTGGTTCTGTCCTGTAGCCGAGACTGTGCACCTGATATATAATAAAAATTGCTTACACTAAAAATATAAATTATGTGTTTTTGATTAAAAGGCACAGGAATGTGTTATTTTTAAAGAAAAAGTTTTGTTTGAGAGAATTTAAGGATTGTTTTACTTTAAACGAAAGAAGAAAACTGAAGGTTTAAGCGAATTGTGGAAGGTTTATGAAAGATTAAGCTTATAGAACTTCTCTGTGTGAGCAATTTGGCTAAAATTTAAACAGGTGTTATTTACTTTCCGCATAAATTAAACATTAAAATAAATGTATGCTGATACAGGGCCAGAATCTGGGATCATGTGTCAGAATAACAGGGTTTTATTAGGCATTTATCTGCTCTGCAAAAAAAATTGTAAAGAGTTATAAAATGTTTATTAAAATCTTACCTTATGGTCAAATTAAAATTAGATAGTTTCATATATAAGGTTTTATTTAAAATTAGGCTTAACTTTAATAATGCACTAGAGCAAAGATAAACTTTGGTTTTCTCTTTTTGAAAAAGATTTACCTGTAATATTGACAGATGATAAATAATATTTGTTTAAACTACAGGAAAAAGAAGGGAGAGAAAAGAGACAGATTCAATTGTCCTCATACTGTCTTTATTGGGTCTTGTTTGAAAAGCTGAATCTCTCCTCTATTATTGAGTAAAGATTTTTGCATTTTTGAATTTTTTTAGTTATTTTTGTCTAAATAAATGACTTATAGTGATTGGGATTCTATTTTGCAATGTAAAGTGTTTTAAATATTTGATAAGCTTTCTAAAGTCAAATTTTAAATTAAGCCATTTATGACCTGATGAACCTTCTTAGATATTAGGTCCCCCTGACATCCAAAAGACATATTTGGCATATTAAAACCATACAGAGGTGGAAGGAGGCAAAGATGGCTGACTACACCCAGCCAGGAGGAACATCTCCCACTGAGGGATCAAGACATTGGAAAGACCAGCACTCTTCTAGCAGACCTTGAGACGTAAAGCATTGAGAGTGGATGGGGAGAAGACGCAGATGCTGGGCTGAAAGGCAAATAATCTGAGAACACTGCACAGGGCTACCATGCACCAGTACTTGTTCCTGGCCCCTACCAACTCCTAGGGAAGGGCTGAGTTGAACAGGCAAAGAGCAACCCACTTACGCCACTGGCCTCTGTAATCCCAGAAGAAGGAGACCCCCTCAATCACCAGACACTTGAGCTGGCAGGGAGAGCTGCTTAGAGAAGTGGTAGGGGCAGAACTTCAGCCAATGCAGAGCTTAGATGGTTTGATGTGGGAGCGTTGGTCATGGAACATGGCCAGGGACACCCATTCTGCTAGGCTCCACTTGCTCTCTTAGGAGACTTTATCCCTAGGGGAACTGTCAGACCTGAGCTCTGCATGGTGGTCTTTCCTATGAGACAGGGCCAATTTGACCTGAGTAGGCCTTGGTCTGCTGGTCTTCCCTGGAAGCCCAGTCAGGCTGCACCTGCTTTTAGTGCAACCCCCAGGTACCTCCTGGGAGTCCACATCACAGCACTTCTGCTGGCAGACTGCACCTGACTGGCAGATTGCTCTAGCTGAGTGGTCTCCACAGACACACAGCAGCCTGACTACAACCTCCCTCTACTGAGGTCTCCCCCATGCCACTTTGCCTGCACACATTAGCCTATAGCAATCTCCCACATCACTTTGCCTGCATGTGTGTGCAAGTATGGACCTTGATTTCTCTTCCCCACTAGGGTATGTGTGCACATGCGCTCTACTGTGTCATTGCTGCCAGCATGAGTGCAACCTGCTCCCCTCCCCATTGCACTACCATTGTCCTTCACACATTGGCGGACAGAAACCCACTAGCACCACCCCTGCCAGTACCCTCCCCCCAATCCAGCCAGTGTCCTGTCCCACACCTACACTGCGGCTGGAACAAAAATAGGTACAAAGAAAAGAAAGACATCCCCTGATCTGAGAGGTAACTGCTGGCCACATGAATGCTTAGAGGACGAACATAGTCCTGTGCCCATGAATGCCCCACCCCCGTGCTAAGACTACAACACAAATGCATGCACAGGTACCAGTGGGGGTGGGGATACTCCACTGCCCTAAGCCAGGCTGTCACTGCTGCTGCTGTGATTGCCCTCATGGAGGCCAGCACCTTGGCACCCACTTGCATCCTGCTGCAGCTAATGAGTGTGCACCACATCATACTGCTGCTGCCCCTGCAGCTGACACATGCAAATGAGGAGAGATCCCCTGGCACCACCCATTACAGTATTGTGACCAGTGGTCAGGGGGCACCTTAGCCCTTTCAGTGCAGCAGATTTCTAACCTCAAGGAACCAGAGAACAACCAGGGACTGGTATCAGTCCTCCAGAGTTAGAGCATGTACTGGAGGTGTCCAGAGCTGAGCCTTGGCCCCCTATAATCTTCCAGAAATGAAGCTAGTCAACCGAACTCACCCTATACCACAATCAAATCCCCAAGGTCATCAAAAGGAATAAAAGAAAAAAAATCTAAAGGTCAGCAACTTCAAAGACTGAAAAAACACCAGCCCACAAAGATGAGAAAGAACCCAGCATAAAAACTCTGACAACTCAAAAAGCCAGATGTCTTCCTTCCTTCAAATAATCACATCAGGTCTACATCAAGGATTCTTAATCAGGTTGAGATGGCTGAAATGACAGAAATATAATTCAGAATATAAATAGAAATGAAAATAATCAACATTCAGGAGAATGTTAAAACTCAATCTAAGGAAGCTAAGAATCACAATAAAATGATACAGGAGCTGACAAACAAAATAGTCAGTACAGAAAAGAATGTAACCAACATGATAGAGCTCAAAAACATGCTACAAGAATTTTATAGTGCAACTGAAAATATTAAGAGCAGAACAGACCAAGCTGAGGACAGAATCTCAGAGCTTTAAGACTGGTTTTCTGAAATAAGACAGACAAGAATAAAGAAAAAGAAATGAAAAGGAAGTGAACCCCCAGCAAACTGCAGCATCCTTACAGAAGAGGGACCTGACCATTGAAAGAAAAACAAACAAACAGAAAGCAACAACAATAGCATCAATTTTAAAAAGTCCCCAACAAAACTTCATCCAAGAGTCAGCAACCTCAAAAATCAAAACTAGACAAACTCAATAAGATGAGAAATAATCAATGAAAAAATGCTGAAAACGCAAAAGACCAGAGTGCCTCTTATCCGCCAAATGATCACAATACCTCTCCAGCAAGGGCACGTAACTGGATGGAAGATGAGATGGATAAATTGACAGAAGTAGGCTTCAGAAGGTGGGTAATAACAAACTCTGCTGAGCTAAAGGAGTATGTTCTAACCCAATTCAAAGAAGCTAAGAACCTTGATGAAAGGTTACAGGAGCTGCTAACTAGAATAACCAGTCTAGAGAGGAATATAAATGACCTGATGGAGTTGAAAAACACAGCATGAGAACTTTGTGAAGCATACACAAGTATCAATAGCTGAATCAATGAAGTGAAAGAAAGAATAGCAGAGTTTGAAGACCATCTTCCTGAAATAAGGCAGTCAGACAAGATTAGAGAACAAAGGAAAAAAGGAACGAACAAAACCTCTGAGAAATATGGAGCTATGTAAAAAGTCTGAACCTATGATTGATTGGAGTACCTGAAAGAGACGGGGAGAATGGAACCAAGTTGCAAAACACACTTCAGGATATTATCCAGGAGAACTTCCCCAGCTGGGCGAGACAGGCCAACATTCAAATTCAGGAAATCCAGAGAACCCCACTAAAATACTCCACAAGAAGATCAAACCCAAGACACATAATCATCAGATTCTCCAAGGCTGAAATGAAGGAAAAAATGTTAAGGGCAACCAGAGAGAAAGGCCAGGTCTTTCTGGGAAAGGGAAGGCCATCAGACTAACAGCAGATATCTCAGCAGAAACCCTACAAGCCAGAAAAGAGTGAGGGTCAATGTTTTGCATTATTAAGAAAAAGAATTTTTAACCCAGAATTTCATATCCAGCCAAACTAAGCTTCATAAGCAAAGGAGAAATAAAATCCTTTTCAGACAAGCAAGTGCTGAGGGATTTCATCACCACCAGGCCTGCTTTGCAAGAGCTTCTGAAGGAAGCACTAAATATGAAAAGGAAAAACTGATATCAGCCATAGCAAAAACACACCAAAATATAAAGACCAATGACACTATGAAGAAACTGCATCAACTAAAATGCAAAATAACCAACTAGGATCATGATGATAGGAGCAAATTCATACATAATAATATTAACCTTAAATGTAAAAGAGCTAAATGATCCAATTAAAAGACATAGACTGGAAAATTAGATAAAGAATCAAGACTCATTAGTGTGTTGTATTCAGGAGACCCATCTCACGTGCAAAGACACACATAGGCTCAAAATAAAAGGATGAAAAAAATTTACCAAGCAAATGGAAAGAAAAAAAAAAAGCAGGGTTTGCAATCCCAGTCTCTGACAAAACAGACTTTAAACCAACACAAATCGAAAAAGACAAAGAAGGGAATTACATAATGGTAAAAGGATCAATTCAACAAGAAAAGCTAACTATGTTAAATATATGTGCTCCCAATATAGGAGCACCCAGATTCATAAAACAAGTTCTTAGAGACCTACAGAGAGACTTAGAGTCCCACACAATAATAATGAGAGGCTTTAACACCCCACTGTCAATATTAGACAGATCAATGAGACAGAAAATTAACAAGGATATTCAGGACTTGAACTCCGCTCTGGATCAAGTGGACCTAATAGATATCCACAGAACTCTCCACCCCAAAAGAAAAGAATACACATTATTCTCAGTGTCACATGGCACTTATTCTAAAATCAACCACATAATTGGAAGTAAAACACCACTCAGCAAATGCAAAAGAACTGAGATCATAACCAATAGTCTCTCAGACCACAGCACAATCAAATTAGAACTCAGGATTAAGAAACTCACTCAAAACCACACAACTACATGGAAATTGAACAACCTGTTCCTGAATGACTCCTGGGTAAATAATGAAATTAAAGCAGAAATCAAGTAGTTCTTTGAAACCAATGAGAACAAAGAGACCACGTACCAGAATCCCTGGAACACAGCTAAGACAGTGTTAAGAGGGAAATTTACAGCACTAAATGACCACAACAGAAAGTTAAAAAGATCTCAAATCAACACCCTAGTGTCACAAAAAAAAAGAAGAAGAAGAAGCAAGAGCAAACATATCCCAAATCTAGGAGAAGACAATAAATAACTAAGATCAGAGCAGGACTGAAGGAGATAGAAACAAAAAAATCCTTCAAAATTCAAGGACTCCAGGAACAAATTTTTTGAAAAAATTAACAAAATAGACCGCTAGCTGGAATACAAAAGAAGAAAAGAGAGAAGAACCAAATAGACACAATAAAAAATGATAAAGGGGATATCACCATTGACCCCACAGAAGTACAAACTACCATCAGAGAGTACTATAAACACCTCTACACAAATAAACAAGAAAATCAAGAAAAAATCAATTCCTGGACACATACAGCCTCCCAAGACTAAACCAGGAAGAAGTCAAATCCCTGAATAGACCAATAACAAGTTCTGAAATTAAGGAAGAAGTTAATCAATTTCTACCTACCAATCAAAAAAAAAAAAAAATAGAGCCCAGGACCAGACAGATTCACAGCCAAATTCTACCAGAGGTACAAAGAAGAGCTGGTACCATTCTTTCTGAAACTATTCCAACCAGTTGAAAGGAGGGACTCCTCCTTAACTCATTTTATGAGGCCAATATTATCCTGATACCAAAACCTGGCAGAGACACAATAAAAAAAGAAAACTTCAGGCCAATATCCCTGATGAACATTGATGCAAAAATCCTCAATAAAATACTGGCAAACCATACTCAGCAGCACATAAAAGCTTATCCATCATGATCAAGTCAGGTTCATTCTTGGGATGCAAGGCTAGTTTAACATACACAAATCATTAAACATAATCTATCACATAAACAGAACCAATGATAAAAACCACATGATTATCTCAATAGATGCGGAAAAGGCCTTCGATGAAATTCAACATCCCTTCATGTTAACAACTCTCAATAAGCTAGGTATTGATGAAACATATCTCAAAATAATAAGAGCTATTTATGCAAACCTACAGCCATTATCATACTGAATGTGCAAAAGCTGGAAGCATTCCCTTTGAAAACTGTCCCAAGACAAGTATCTCCTCTCTCACCACTCTTATTCAACACAGTATTGGAAGTTCTGGCCAGGGCAATCAGGCAAAAGAAAGAAATAAAGGGTATTCAAATAAAAAGAAACAAAGTCGAATTGTCTCTTTCTGCAGATGATATGATTCTATATTTAGAAAACCCCATTCCCATCATCTCAGCCCAAAAAATCCGTAAACTGATAAGCAACTTCAGCAAAGTCTCAGGATACAAAATCAATGTGAAAAATCACAAGCATTCCTATACACCAACAACAGACAAGCAGAGAGCCAAATTATAAATCAACTCCTATTCACAATTGCTACAAAGAGAATAAAATACCCAGGAATACAGTAAACAATGGATGTGAAGGATCTCTTCAAGGAGAACTACAAACCACTGCTCAAGGAAATAAGAGAGGACACAACCAAATGGAAAAACATTCCATCCTCTTGAATAGGAAGAATTAATATTGTGAAAATGGCCATACTGCCCAAAGTAATTTATAGATTCAGTGCTATTTCCATCAAACTACCACTGACATTCTTCATAGAATTAGAAACAACTACTTTAAATTTGATATGGAATGAAAAAACAG
This sequence comes from Homo sapiens, assembly GCF_000001405.40. NCBI lineage: Eukaryota > Metazoa > Chordata > Mammalia > Primates > Hominidae > Homo > Homo sapiens. The sequence continues at coordinate 128,152,316 of NC_000023.11, forward strand.
CCTGTATAGCCAAGACAATCCTAAGCAAAAAGAACAAAGCTGGAGGCATCACGTTTTCTGACTTCAAACTATACTACAAGGTTATAGTAACCAAAACAGCATGGTACTTGTACCAAAACAGCATGGTACTTGTACCAAAACAGATATATAGACTAATGGAACAGAACAGAGATCTCAGAAATAACACCAGACATCTACAACCATCTGATCTTCAACAAAGTTGACAAAAACAAGTAATGGGGAAATAATTCCCTATTTAATAAATGGTGTTGGGAAAACTGGCTAGCCATATGCAGAAAACTGAAAGTGGACACCTTCCTTACATCTTATACAAAAATTAACTCCAGATGGATAAAAGACTTAAATGTAAAACCCAAAACCATAAAAACCCGAGAAGAAAACCTAGGCAATACCATTCAGGACATAGGCATGGGCAAAGACTTAATGACAAGAATGCCAAAAACAATGGCAAAAGCTAAAATTGACAAAGGGGATCTAATTAAACTAAAGAGCTTCTGCACAGCAAAAGAAACCTACAGGCAACCTACAGAACGAGAGAAAATTTTTGCAATCTATCCATCTGACAAAAGTCTAATATTCAGAATCCACAAGAAACTTAAAGATATTTACAAGAACAAAACAAACAACCCCATCAAAAAGTGGGCAAAGGATATGAACAGATGCGTCTCAAAAGAAGACATGTATGTGGCCAAGAAACATATGAAAAAAAGCTCACCACCACTTAGCATTAGAGAAATGCAAATTAAAACCACAATGAGATACTGTCTCATGCCTGCCAGAATGGCGATTATTAAAAAGCCAAGAAACAATAGATGCTGGAGAGGCTGTGGAGAAATAGGAATGTTTTTACACTGTGGGAATGTATATTAGTTCAACCATTGTGGAAGACAGTATGGGGATTCCTTAAGGATCTAAAACCAGAAATACTATTTGACCCAGCAATTCCATTACTGGGTATATACCCAAAGGAATATAATTATTCTACTATAAAAACACATGCACACATATGTTTATTACGGCACTATTTACAACAGCAAACACATAGAACCAGCTCAAATGCCCATCAGTGATAGACTGGATAAAGCAAATGTGGTACGTATACACCATGGAATACTATGCAGCCATATAAAAGAATGAAATCATGTCCTTTGCAGGGACATGGATGAAGCTGGAAGCTGTCATCTTCAGCAACCTAATGCAGGAACAGAAAACCAAACACTGCATGTTCTCACTCATAAGTGGGAGTTGAACAATGAGAACACATGGACACACGGTGGGGGAACATCACACACCAGGGCCTGTGCGGTTGGGGGGAGAGGGGAGGGAGTGCATTAGGACAAATAGCTAATGCATGTGGGGCTTAAAATCTAGATGATGGGTTGATAGGTGCACCATGGCACCTGTATACCTATGTAACAAACCTGCATGTTCTGCACATGTATCCTGGGACTAAAGTAAAATAATAAAAAAATTACATTAAATTAAAAATAAATAATAAAAATTAAAAAAACAGAAAAGGACACTTGCACACATATGTTTATAGCAGCACAATTCACAATTGCAAAGATGTGGACCAACCTAAGTGCCTACGGACTAATGAGTGGATAAAAAAAATGTGGCGTATATGTACACCATGGAATACTACTCAGCCATTAAAAGGAACAAAATAGTGGTTTTTTGCAGCAATTTGGATGGAGCTAGAGGCCATTATTCTAAGTGAAGTAATACAAGAGTGGAAAAGCAAAAACCATATGATCTTACTTACAAGTGGGAGCTAAACTACGAGTACACAAAAGCATGCAGAGTGATATAATGGACTTTGGAGACTCAGAAGTAGGAGGGTGGGAGGGAGGCCAAGGATAAAAAGCTACACATTAGGTACAATGTACACTACTCAGGTGATGGGTGCATTAAAATCTCTGAATTTACCACTATATAATTCATTCATGTAACAAAAAAACACAGTACCCCCAAGGCTATAGAAATTTTTAAAAAAGAAAGAACTAAATTATAAAAATAAAATTAAATAAAATTTGAAAAAAAAAGTATGTGGGAGAAAGGTAGTGTTTTTAACTCTCAAACCACCCCACTGAGCTTTCAGCAATTTATGAAGTACAGTTTAGATTTCTGTACCCCAGTACTCATTCCCATGAAGATTTCTGTTCATGAATTTTTACTCTAATAAGTTACAGTTCTCTGTATTCACCTGTCTGTCTTCATTTTTTAGGGGAGGAGTTTGCCCTGTGATCTCACTTCTCTAATGGATCTAAGAATATTTATTGATTTCTGTGTGTTCAGCTTTCTTCTTCTGTGAAAGAAAGTGACCGCTTTCAAGCTTTTTACACAGCAGATTAATAACTAGAAGTCTGGGATCCTTTATTTTTTTTAACTTTCACATCACCCCTTCTTTCTGGAATTTCTTGGCTAGTATAACCAGGAGAACATTTACAAATATTGCATTCTAGAACTCTAGTACACAGTTCCAATCATAATCTCTGGAGTTAGATATATTAAAGATTCAATCCAGATTTACCACCACCTTGGTATGTAAACTTAAGCAAGCCAGCAATTTAACATCTCTGAGAATCAATTTTTTCTCTTTAAAAATGCACATAATTTTGACTACCTTAAAAAGTAAGTGAGAAAATACAGGTATAGAATAGTTCTTGGCTCATAAAATCATTTATTACATGATAACTATAATTATTAGGAACGAATAATAAAGTAGCATAAAAATTTTCATCACACCACTTCCAAGCATGATGCCTTATCTCGTTTCTATCTTTTTTTAACATTTTTCTGAAATTTTCATTAACCCAATAAATCTAGCTATGATTGTTACAAATACAATTCAAACCACAATGATAAAGATATATCTGAACCACATCTCCGTTGGCAAGTTAATTTTGGTCAGATATTCTTGTCACCCATATAGATTTCTAAGAATTACAGTTCCAATATAATTTTAACCCCCACTAATTTTCTAAACATACCATGAATTATTTCAACAAGTGAATCAAGTATCACATTTCAGAACTGAATTTGAAACAAAAATCCCATGTATTGTTGAATTGCACCTAATTGTAGGAATGGGTCAGTTTGTGTTTCTATTTACTATTGAATAAATGACAAAGCCCCTTCATTTTGGGTATGGTGAAGACAGCTGCTAAAAACCTTTGCCCTCAGCCTTGTCAACATGAATTCTAATTTCTCTAGAACAACTGTTTCAGTGTGGGATGGCTGGCTTCAGTGGTGAGTGCCCATTGCATTGAATATGGAACAATCAACTATTCTCCTGGTGGGCTGTACCATTTTGATTCCAACCAGCACTGTCGGAGTGTTCCAGCTGCTCCACATTTTCTGCAGCCCCGGACATGGTCAGTCATTGTCACAGTGGCCCCTCTAATAGCTTCCTGGTTGTATTTCAAGGTGTATTTGATGTACATTTCTCCAGGGGAGAGATATAGGACACCTTTTGAAGTGGTTCCTTACAGCCCTTTTGAGGAAGCGTCTGTTCAAGTCTTTTGCTGGTTTTTAAACAGCATCATTTTTTTTCCCCCATTGGAGTTTTGACAACTCTTTCTATATTCTGGGTAGGAGTCCTTGCACGTGTGTGAGATTTGCAAATATTTTCTTTCCCAAACTCTAGGTTGCTCCTTTTTTTTTTTTTTTTTTTTTTTTTTTTTTTTTTTTATCGAGAGCATCTGAAGCAGAGCAAAGTAAAGGTGAGTGGTTCAGGTGGGAGGACACCGCATTTCTCCCCTTATCTAGTATGTGCAGTGGCTCCCTCTGTCAATGTGCAGAGATGTCTGTGCAGGGAGACATCATGAAAAAGCAGGTGTGCTTTATTCTTAATAATGCATTTCTGATTCTTGTCTGGGGCTTGAGGGCTCTTGGCCCATAAGCCTTGGAAAAGATGTCTTTGGGTCTTGCACATTAGCCTGTGTTGAACCTTGTGGCAAATTCTGGGCCCTGGACAGCGCAAGGGAGAAAGAGGTCTTAGGGAAGAGCTGGGCAGTGGCTTCACGACATGGAGATCCAACTGGAATTCTTCAGGCAGAGCCTTTCTCCAGGGACCAGGCTTGGGCATCTGGGAGGAGTCCTGGGGCATTGCCGCTCTGTAGCAAGGTTTGAGGTACAAGATGTACTGGGAAGAAGGGCTGATTCCAGGCATGGGGTTTGCTGTGGGTCCCATCAGGTGTGGGGAGCCTTGTGGAGCCTCACTCTTCGTTACTGCAGGTGCCACACACACCTTCTCTGCTCTCTGGGTTCTCACAGATCCATCTTCAATGTTGATCTCCCAGGTGGTCCTGTGCTTATCAGCATGGGCCAGCAGGCACGAACAGGGAACAAGAGATCCTTCAAGGATATCAGACCTGCTCAGGGACCATCAGGAGAAGCACATGGAAGGAGCTGAGCTGCAGGGCTCTCTGTGAGTGCAGAACCAGAACCTCCTCTCCCAGGGGCAGTTGCAGGACCATTTCTGGTTCCAAGACTATGATGATCACCTCCCTCTGGGGAAGCTGTGGACCCTGGGGCAGTTCCAGGGGCAGCTGTGCAGGGTGGTGGGGACCTGGCTGCACTGGGGCTAGTTCTGCACCTGTCTGAGGACCCAGTTCCACTTTCTGACATTTTGGGGCATTTGACTGCATCTTGGTGGAGCTGCTCTCTCCTGCATGGTCACTTTTAGATTCTGTGGAGGAATCACTGGGGCTTCTGGGGCTCCGAGAAACATTCATGGTCAAGGTTTCTGGGCTTCTCAGTGTCAGCCAATGAGAGTCATTTTCTATGTTCTGCAAAGATCTCCCTTTGGCGCCTGGATTTTTTTTTAAGTTTAGCACGAGCATCTGATTTATTTTGGATAAATACACAAACCTGGTCTGGAAGCAATAGTACTCCCTGGAAAACTGGGAATAACACAGTTTTCATTACATAGGAAATGTAGTGTGCTATCTTGATTTATTTCTCATTCCTAGCTTATCTTTTTTTTTAATTTCAATAGGTTTTGAGGAACAGGTGATGTTTGGTTACATGAATACATTATTTAGTGGTGATTTCTGGGATTTTAATGCACCCATCACCAGAGCAGTATACACTGTACCCAATGTGTAGTCTTTTATCCCTCACCACCCCCAACCCTTTCCCCCCGAGTCCCCAAAGTCCATTGTATCATTCTTCTGCCTTTGCATCCTCATAGTTTACCTCCCACTGATGAGTGAGAATACACAATGTTTGGTTTTTCATTCCTGAGTTACTTCACTTAGACTAATGGTCTCCAATTCCATCCAGGTTGCTGCTAATCCCATTATTTTGTTTATTTTTATGGCTGAGTAGTGTTCCATGTTGTGTGTGTGTATGTGTGTGTATCTCACAATTTCTTTATCCATTTGTTGATTGATGGGCATTGGGGCTGGTTCCATACTTTTGCTCTCTAAGGAATCTCCACACTGTTTTCCATAGTGGTTGTACTAGTTTACATTCCCACCAGCAGTGTAAAACTGTTTCCTTTTCACTAATTCCACACCAACGTCTATTATTTTTTGACTATGGCAATTCTTGCAGGAGTAAGATGGTATCACATTGTGGTTTTGATTTGCATTTATCTGATTATTAGTGATGTTGAGCATTTTTTCATATGTTTGCTGGCCATTTCTATACCTTTTTTAAAATAATTGTCTATTCATGTTTTTAGCCCACTTATTGATGGGATTGTTCTGTTCTTGCTGATTTGTTTGAGTTCCTTGCAGATTCTGGATATTAATTAGTCCTTTGCCAGATGTATAGATAATGAAGATTTTCTCCAACTCTGTGGGTTGTCTGTCTGTTTACTCTGCTGATTGTTTCTTTTTCTGTGCAGAAGCTTTTTAGTTTAATTAAGTCCCATCTATTTATTTTTGTTTTTGTTGCATTTGCTTTTGGGTTCTTGGTCAAGAAGTCTTTGCTTAAGCCAATGTCTAGAAGGGTCTTTCCAATGTTATCTTCCAGAATTTTTATAGTTTTCAGTCTTAGATTTAAGTCCTTGATCCATCTTGAGTTGATTTTAGTATAAGGTGAGAAATGAGTTTCATTCTTCAACATGTGGCTTGTCAATTATCCCAACACCATTTGTTGAATAGGTTGTCCTTTCCCCATTTTATATTTTTGTTGCTTTGTCAAAGGTCAGTTGGTTGTACTTATTTGGCTTTAATTCTGGGTTCTCTATTCTGTTCCATTGGTCTATGTTCCTATTTTTACACCAGTACCATGCTGTTTGGGTGACTATGGCCTCATAGTATAGTTTGAAGTTGGGTAATGTGATCCCTCCAGATTTGTTCCTTTTGCTTAGTCTTGCTCTGAGTATGTGGGGTCTTTTTTTGGTTCCTTATGAATTTTAGTATTGTTTTTTGTGGTTCTGTGAAGAATGATGGTGATATTTTGATGTGAATTGCATTGAATTTGTAGATTACTTTTGGAAGTATGGCAATTTTCACAATATTGATTCTGCCCATCCATGAGCCTAGGATGTGTTTCGTTTATTCATGTCATCTATGATTTCTTTCAGCAGTGTTTTGTAGGTTTCCTTGTAGAGAACTTTTACCTCCTTGATTAGGTATATTTCTAAAGTATTTTATTTTTTTGCAGCTATTGTAAAAGGGGTTGAGTTCTTGATTTGACTCTCCACTTGGTTGCTGTTGGCGTATAGCAGAGCTACTGATTTGTGTACATGAATTTTGTATCCTGAAACTGTGCTGAATTCATTTATCAGTCCTAGAAGCTTTTTGAAGTAGTCTTTAGGGTTTTCTAGTATACAGTGATATCATCAGCAAACAGTGACAGTTTAACCTTCTCTTTACCAATTTGGATGCCTTTATTCCTTTTTCTTGTCTGATTGCTCTGGCTAGGGCTTCCAGTACTATGTGGAATAGAAGTGGTGGGCATGAACATCCTTGTCTTGTTCCAGTTCTCAGGGCAAATGCTTTCAACTTTTCCTCGTTCAGTATAATGTTGGCTGTGGGTATATCAATTGTTTTTATTACCTTAAGGTATGTCTCTTCTATGACAGTTTTGCTGATGGTTTTAATCATAAAGTGATGCTGGATTTTGAGAACGCTTTTTCTCCATTTATTAATATGATTATTTGATTTTTGTTTTTAAGTCTATTTATGTGGTTATCACATTTATTAACTTGCATATGTTAAACTATCCCTACATCTCTGATATGAAACCCACTTGGATATGCTGTTGGATTCGGTTGGCTAGTATTTGGTTGAGAATTTTAGCATCTATATTCATCAGGAATATTGGTCTATAGTTTTCTTTTTTTTTTCTTTTTTCTTTTTTTTTTTTTTTGAGACAGAGTCTCGTTCAGTCAGCCAGTGGAGTGCAGGGGCATGATCTTGGCTCGCTGCAACCTCCATTCCCAGGCTCAATCAATCCTCCTGCCTCAGCCTCCTGAGCAGCTGGGAAAACAGGCATGTGCCACCACATCTGGCTAATTTTTGTTTTTTTAGTAGAGATGGGGTTTCACCACGTTGGCCAGGGTGGTCTCAAACTCTTGACCTCAGGTAATCTGCCTGCCTCAGCCTCCCAAAGTGCTGGGATTACCTGCATGAGCCACCGTGCCCAGCCAGGTTTTTTTGTTGTTGTTTTGTCTTTTCCTGGTTTTAGTATTAGGGTAATGTTGTCTTCATGGAATGATTTAGGTAGGATTCCCTCTTTCTCTGTCTTGTGTAATAGTGTCAATAGGATTGGTATCAATTCTTCTTTGAATGTCTGATGGAATTCAGCCATAAATCTGTCTTGACCTGGACTTTGTTTTTGTTGGCGATTTTTTTATTACCATTTTATTCTCGCTGCTTGTTATTGGTCTATTCAGAGTTTCTATATCTTCCTGATTTAATCTACAAGGGTTGTATATTTCCAGGAATTTATCCATCTTCTCTAGGTTTTTTAGTTTATGTGTGTAAAGGTGTTTATACTAGCTTTGAATCATCCTTTGTATTTCTGTGATATTGGTTGTAATATCTCCTGTTTTGTTACTAATTGAGCTTATTTGGATTTTCTCTCTACTTTTACTGGTTAATCTTGCTAATAGCCTATCAATTTTATTTATCTTTTTAAAGAACCAGCTTTTTGTTTTATCTTTTATATTGTTTTGTTGTTTGTTTTAATTTCGTTGACTTTCATTCTAATCTTGGTTATTTCTTTTCTTCTGCTGGGATTGGATTTGATTTGTTCTCATTACTCTAGTTCCTTGAGGTGTGACTTTAGATTGTCTATTTGTGCTCTTTTCAGAATTTTTGATGTAGGCATTTAATGCTATGAACATTCCTCTTAGTACTGCTTTTGCTGTATCCCAGAGGGTTTGATAGATTATGTCACTATTATCATTAAGCTCAAAGTTTTTTTAAATTTCCACCTTGATTTTACTTTGACCCTATGATCATTTGGGAGCAGGTTATTTGATTTCCAGGTATTTGCATGGTTTTTAGGGTTCCTCTTGGAGTTGATTTACAATTTTATTCCACTGTGGTCTGAGAGAGTACTTGATATGATTTTGTTTTTCTTAAATTTGTTGGGACATGTTTTGTGGTCTATCATATGGTCTATCTTCGAGAATGTTCCATTTGCTGTGAATAGAATGTATATTCTGCAGTTGTTGGGTAGAATGTTCTGTCAATATTTGTTAAGTTCATTTGTTCTAAGGCATAGATTAAATCCATTGTTTCTTTGTTTACTTTCTGTCTTGATAACATGTCTAGTGCTGTCAGTGGAGTATTGAAGTCCCACCCTATTATTGTGTTGCTCTCTATCTCATTTCTTAGGTCTAGTAGTCATTGTTTAATAAATTTGGGAGCTCTAGTGTTAGGTGCATATATATTTGTGAGTGCAATGTTTCCTGTTGGACTAGTCCTTTTATCATTTTATAATGTCTCTTTTGTCTCTATTAACTGCTGTTGCTTTAATGTTTGTTTTGTTTGATATAAGAATAGCTACTCTTGCTTGCTTTCAGTGTCCGTTTTCATGGAATATCTTTTTCTGCCCCTTTACCTTAAGTTTATGTGAGTATTTATGTGTCCGGTGAGTCTCTTAAAGATAGTAGATACTTGGTTGGTGAGTTCTTATTCATTCTTCCATTCTTTTGTTTTAGGTGGAGCATTTAAGCCATTTACATTCAATGTTAATATTGAGATGTGAGGTAGTATTCTATTCATTATACTATTTGTTGCCTGAATACCTTGTTTTATTTAAATTGTGTTATTGTTTTATAGGTCCCATGAGAGTTATGTTTTAAGGAGGTTCTATTTTGGTGTATTTAGAGGATTTATTTCAAGATTTAGAGCTCCTTTTAGCAGTTCTTCTAGTGTAGTGAATTATCTCGGCATTTGTTTGTCTGAAAAGACTGTATCTTTCCTTCATTTATGAATCTTAATTTCACTTGATACAAAATTCTTGGCTGATAATTGTTTTCTTTAAGGAAGCTGAAGATAGGTCCCTAATCCCTTCTAGCTTTTTGAGAAATATGTTGTTAATCTGATAGGTTTTCCTTTATAGATTGTATGGTGCTCTTTCCTTACAGCTCTTAAGATACTTTCTTTCATCTTGACTTTAGATAACCTGATGACTATGTGCCTAGGCAATAACCTTTTTGTGATGCATTTTCCAGGTGGTTTTTGAGATTCTTAAATTTGGATGTCTAGATGTCTAGCAAGGCCAGGGAAGTTTTTCTCAATTGTTCTTTCCACTATGTTTTCCAAACTTTTAGATTTCTCTTCTTCCTTGGGAACACCAATTATTCTTAGGTTTGGTTGTTTAACATAATCCTAAACTTCCTGAAAGATTTGTTCATTTTTTAAAATTCTTTTTTCTTTCTCTTTGTTTAATTGGGTTAATTTGAAAACCTTGTCTTTGGGCACTGAAGTTCTTTCTTCTGCTTGTTTAGTTCTATTGCTGAGACTTTCCACTGCATTTCACATTTCTCTAAGTGTGTCTTTTATTTCCAGAAGTTGTGATTGTTTTTTATTTATGCTCTCTATTTCACTGAAGATTTTCCCTTCATATCTTGTGTCATTTTTTAAAATTTTATTTAGTTGGATTTCACCTTTCTCTGGTGCCTCCTTGTTTAGCTTAATAATTGATTTCTGAATTATTTTTCTGGCAATTCAGATATTTTTTGCCTTGGTTCAGATCCTTTGCTGGTGAGCTAGTGGTCTTTTGGGAGTGATAAGAAACCTTGTTTTGTCATATTACCAGAATTGTTTTTCTGGTTTCTTCTCATTTGGGTATATTATGTCAGAGGGAAGCTCTGGGGATCAAGGACTGCTGTTCAGATTCTTTTGTCCCACAGGGTGCTCCCTTGATGTAGTGATCTCCCCCTTCCCCTAGGGATGTGGCTTCCTGAGAGATGAACTGCAGTGCTTTTTATTTGTCTTTTGGATCTAGCCACCCAGTGAAGCTACTGGCCTCTGAGCTGGTACTGTGGGGTGTCTGCACATAGTTCTCTGATGTGAACCATTTTCAGGTGTCTCAGCCATAGATTCCAGCACTGTCTCTGGTGAAAGTGGCAGGGGAATGAAATGGACTCTGTGAAGGTCCTTAATTGTAGTTTTGTTTATTGCACTAGTTTTGTGTTGATTGGCCTCCTGCCAGGAGGTAGCACTTTCAAGAGAGCATCAATTATGGTATTATAGGGATGATCAGGCCATGGGTGGGGCCCTAGAGCTCCCATGAAATTATGTCCTTTTTATTTGGCTACTAGGTTGGGTAGGGAAAGACCATCAGGTGGGGGCAGGGTTAGGCATGTCTTAGCTCAGATTCCCCCTTGGAGGAGGCTTGCTGCAGCTGTTGTGGGAAATGGGGGAGCGGTTCTCAGGCCAATGCAGTTATGTTCCCAGGGGTTTGTGGGTGCCTTTGCTGGGCCTTGCAGGTCACTAGGGAAGTGGGGGAAAGCTGGCAGATACGAGCCTCACTCAGCTCCCACACACCCCAGAAGGTTGGTCTCACTCCCACCATGCCCCCCTCCTCCAAAAACAGCATCAAGTTTTTTCCAGGCAGTGGGTAAGCAAGGCTGAGAACTTGCCCCAGGTTATCAACCTTCCAACTAAGAAAGCAAGCAGGGCTTTCAGGTTTTGCACCTCCCTGCCTGCCACAGCTTCCATGCTGTGTCTGCACTCTCGATTCACCCCGTCCCACAAATTCTGTTCAGGAAACATTGTGTTCCATAGAAATTCATATAAAGTTCAACTGGAAGTTTTCTTCTTCCTGTGTTTTTTTCCCATTTCCTCTGGCAGCCCTTCCCAAGGACCTCTGTGAGACAAAGTCATAAATGGCTTCCCTGGGGAATGAGAGAGCCCACAGGGCTCTTCCCACTACCTCTTCTACCCCTGTATTTCACTTGGCTCTCTAAATTTGTCTCAGCTCCAGGTAAGGTAAAATCCTTCTCCAGTGGTCTGGACCTTCAGGTTCCCCAGTGAGGGTGTGGGTTCAGAGGTGGAAGGTGCCCCCTTCACACTTTCACATTTTGGCACTCATGGTTTTTTGGCTGTCTGCTGGGGCCTGCAAGAGTAATCTGCTTCCTTCAAAGGGTCTGGATTCTCTCAGCTTTCCTTGTATGCTCCTGTGATAGTTCTTGGAACAAAAGTTCATGATGTGAGTCTCCACACATTGCTCCGTCCATCTGAGAGGGAGCTGTAATTTAGTCTTGTCTCCTGTCTGCCACTTTCCCAAAAATGCCCCCACCCCTGTATTCTTTACTTTCTTAGAGAAAGAGGTGTCTTCCGCAAAGGTGGTCCCATAGACTTGGGCTTTGGAGTGATGTAGCTGTGGCCAGAGGCAGGTTGATCAAGCTATGACCAACTCTTGTTTTCTTAAGCAACCTTCCTGACTGTCCCATACCCCAGGGGATGAATATAAAAAATGATAGACATAGTCTTTACAAGTAAAGACTGATACATTTAGAGAAAAAACTCAAAGGTATTTAGCCTCTAGGATGCATATAGGCTTTATTATTCAAATTTGTAACACTCCTTTAATTGCATATCATAGTCTAAACTCATTCTTTCCCTTTTAAATTATATAATATCTAGATGATCTGAATTCCCATTTTATCAGCTTACCAGAATCTCTAGTTATAAAGTCCAGTAAAAAATATAAAATGTTATTTCCAATAAATATCCAAGTGTTTAGGAAAGCCTCTTTCTCATTCTATTTGGTACAATGTAATTTCAAAGAAGCATAATGCAATTAAGACTCTATTATTGGCTTTTAAAATCTCTCATTCACGTCTGAATGTTAAAATTAAATGTCTTAGCTTTCAGGTGTGTTGATCACTATAAAATATGATTAAATATACAAATACCTGATCCCAAAGGAGTATCTCTATTTGCTCCAGGCCTACTGTTGTCCTCAGCACAGACAGCAAAATTTAGGTCAGCAATCAAACAACAAGTCACAAAAGGTTAATAATGGAATAAATTGCTTATCTATCTATCCATCTATCTATTAGCATTATAAATTGAATGTAGGATGACTTTCAGACTCTCCTTACTTTTCTTAACTGCTAAGAAAATGTTGGTGCCAAATGTAAATTGTTAGAGCTGTTTCTTTTTTTGTTCCTTTTTGTTTTCCTCTGAACCTTTTAACTATAGAAATGATATTCTTCTTTGGATCTTTTACAAACTTATACCACTTCCTTTTCCTCCCCTTTTGTTTTCTCTTGCTTTAGAATCAGTGTGCCATAGTAAATTACTATGCTAATGAGAATGTGTTGTATCCCTAATGAAGGATGGGAGAGAAAATTAGGCTGATAGCAGTGGGACTTTGGGATAGACATTTTACTGAATTATTCCACACAGATGATTAAATCATGTATTCCAAACCTGAATGAATTTTGTTTGTTCTATTAAATGGCCATACACTATATACCTAATCCCAAATGCATGCATTGGTTTCAAACATGACAAAATAAATGTGGAAGAATCATTACCAGCCTATGCCTACAACTTCTAGAATAGTTGTGGAACTATTGAATGTTCTTCTGTTACAAGATAAAATGGATCCTCATATTTTAAAAGCTTCCCAGGGGATTATCTTAGGTCAGTCATTCGTAAATAATTCGTAAATGCCAGATTCTGATGGCTATATCAGAAACTCCCAGGGTTTTAAAAGAAAAAGTAATAATAAATAAAAACAACAAAAACAACACTAACAGCAACAACAAAAGCTAGGAGACCTATTGAATCTGAACTTGGGAAAGATTGGAACTATGAACCTGTAATTTAATAAGTTCCCAATAAAATCCTGATAGTCTTCTTAGTATGGGGAGTACTGATTTAAAGACTGGAACTTGAGAAATGGGAAAGATAAACATGAATATATATATTTTACTGAAACTCACCACTGTCTTGGTAATGAAATGAGCTTGCAAGCAGTAACATAGGAAGAATTTCAACTGGAACAGAAAAGAGTACAAACAGAGACACCATGGCAGATAAGTGTTTTGACTATTTGAGGTATTGTAATGGATACTATGTTGTGTTGTCCAGATCTCGTCCTTCAGTACCAATGTATTCACCTACACTTTGCAGGAGTATTGCTTGCTGATGACTCCCAGCTGAGGCTTTCCCCAGAAGTTTTTTCAGCTACAGGGAATGAACTTGCCAAAAGTTATTCTGCTTCCCCAGGGACAGTCCACACCCAATGTCAGGAGCCCAGTGACACGTAAGGAGGGAATCCATTGTCCTGGCCTCATTGATTGAATTTGCAACAATTCTGAAGACCCATTCCAGGTCCAGGGATCCCCATGTAGCTGAGGCCTGTTATGCAAATGTACCACAGTTACACTTATGGCTCTGCCTAATTTTACTTTTCTCACTTCCTCCCAGCTATTGCTGCAAATAGCACTCATTAACATATTCTCTGCATGCAAATATCTGTCTTAATGTCTGTCTTCCAGTCTCCCAGGGAACATAACACAAAATGGTTGGTCCCAGAAGTGGTCTGAGGAAGCGGAATGCAAAATGGGATTTTGATCAAAACCATTCACTAGCCAGGTGGCAATGCCAATCCCAGTACATAGCACCTAGACTTCTCCAGAAGTGTAATTGTTAAAAAAAAATCTCCAATATTGAGCTGGAATCAGATACACTAGTGAGAAAGAATACATTGGTAAGGGCTGTAGTTCAGAGGCTTGAAACAGTTGTAATTACAAGGACAATGGAATTTGATGACTCCTGCTGAGTGACATTATTGCATTGGAAAAAGACAATGAAACATGATTAATCAACAGTATAAGGCAAAGGGCAAAAGTCATGGCCTTTTTGGTAGCATAGAAGGAGACTCTTATCTCTTACAGCCAGAAGGCAGAAATAAGTGAGGGGAAGGATTAGAATTTAAGTATAAGTAGTGGAGCTCCAGGTATGTTTGAATTATTAGTCCTTGCAAGGCAGCTATGCCAAGGTCAAGACCATGTTTACAAAGAAGCGAAATCCTGAGATATAGGATGGAGATATCCAAGGAAATACACTTAAAACTTTGGAATCCCCAGAGTGCACTGAAACCTCTGATTTTGCAGAGGTGGTCCATTGCTCCATGTTAAAGTCTAGCACTCCTCTTCCATTAAGACAATGCCAAGATCTCTGCATTGGAAGACTACAAAAGTCCTTTCAGGATTTATCTACATCACTGCTGCAGGCCACCAGACCAATAACCATAGTCCAGTCACAATATCATTTGTCCAGGAAAGGGATGAACCTGCTAATACAGGTTTTAACAGCTTGGCAATAACTCTGGGAGGTAGTGGTTAATGCACTTCTAGGATGACTTTTGGAAACTTGGAGAGTGATGGTCCACACTGTGTAATGCAGAAATGAATGAATTTCCATGTCAGACAGTAGAAGAAGGAATCAACAGTTTTAGAAAAGTGGACCTACACGTGTATATACTACATAAGGATGGAAAATTTACCAACCAATTACGTTCTCTGGGAAGGCTCTATTTATCATAATAATTAATAGAGTGGTGAGAGTTACCAGCATTGTTGATAATGTCTTGGTTGTCCTCTGTAGGCCATGGGTGATAGTACGAGGTTCACTTTATAGTATCGAGCTCTCTGATGTCAATGACAACGATAGGTTCCTGAAATGCTAAAGTATAGGTGATGGTATTTACATGTAATAAGCAAAACAGGTGCAATTAGTATAATGAGTAGCAAGTTAATAGTCACAACCAGAAAAGCCTGACCCAAAAAGAGCCATAAAGTTAGTTAATAAAAAATAGAGTCCCCAGAGACAAGTTGGCAACCAGCTAACAAGGTATTGCTGAATCTATACCGTCTAGATATATCAAGGAATAGTGACCAGGAGGCTGATTTTAGCTCTCCCCTCAAAGTTTCAATTCATTGCTCAATTTCCTGTTTTTAGATCCAGATTAATGAATTTAAAAACAAGCAGTCTGCTTATAAAGTCTCCCCCACAAGTGTATATAGTAATATTCCCCTAGAACTTTCACAAATGAACTTATAGTTATTTTCTTGGATAACTTAACCCTGGGGCACAGGAAATAACAGACATTTTTGAGACACAGACATAATAGCTGAATAAAAATTGATATCTAGGGACCTAAAGAGTCAGCATAGCTTCTCTTTTAGAGAAGATATACATAAAATATGGTGCCAGGTCTAGCTCATAAGAGCCCATTTATTCCACAGAACCATTTGTTCATCAATAATCAGACCCCAAATGTATATTGGGATAGACATTCCTGGAAATTAAAGGAAACCTTAAATGAGTTACTTGGCCATTGGGGTAAAAGTTAACTCTGTGGGGAAAGCCAAGACATAGCCTCTGAAATTGACCCCTCATTTCAGCAAATATAGTACATACACATACACACTGTATTTGCTGGAGATATATATATATATATATATATATACACACACACACACACAAACACATATACATATACATATATATACATATACATATATATGTATATGTATATATGTGTATATATATGTATATATGTGTATATATGTGTATATATGTATATATATGTATATATATGTGTATATATGTATATATGTGTATATATATGTATATATGTATATATATGTATATGTGTGTGTGTGTGTGTGTGTGTATATATATATATATATATATATATATATATATATATCTTAGTGGAGTAGAACAGCAATGATTAATGCCATGGCTCAAGATAGAAAAATATAAAAATAGTGATACCCAACATATACCTATTTAATTTGACAGTCTAGACTATATAAAAATAAATTGGTTTCAGAGGATGGCAGTGGACCACCACAAACAAAACCAAGTAGTAATCCCAAATGCAATGAATGTGTCTGGTATATATTTTTTAACAGATTAATATGTTCTCACATATGTGGTATGCAAACATTCATTTGGATAATGTGGTCTTTTCCATGGGTGTTAGAAGCAATTTTCATTCACATGGAACAGAAAACAGCATTTATTTATGGGTGTGTCACAGGGCTATGTTATGTCTCTCACCTTTGTCATACTATTGTAATAAGGGGTCTACACTGTCTGCACATTTTGCAGTAAATCACATTTATTTACTATACTTATTATATTGATAAGTCATGTTAATCAAAACAAATGTACAAGAAGTGGCATCTATGTTGTAGACCATAAGACACATAAGCTCCTAGGAAATAAACCATCAACAGATTGAGGGGCCTAAAACATCAGTGAGGTTTTTAGATATTCACTGGTCTGGGCATGCCAACGGATCTTCTCCAAAGTAAGAAACAAATTATTGCATCTGGCAACACTCACCATAAAAAAGACAATACATGGCAGTCCTCTTTTGGTTCTGGAGGCAGCATACTTCACACATCTGGATACTGAACTAACCCATTTACCAAGTAACATACAAAACTGAAAGCTTTAAGTAAAACAAGATTGGGAAAAAATTCTGCGTTACGTCCACGGCTGCAGTACAAGATGTTCTGCCACATGTTTCATATGACACAACAGACGCTACTGAGATATCTGGTAGGAAACCATGACATGTAGAGTTTGCGGAAAACTCTAATTGAAAATAATAATGGAAAACCTTTACAGTTCTGTAGCAAGACCATGCCATCACTAGTGGAGATTATGCACCACTCAAAAAACTGCTTCTGGAATGCAGTCAGGCTTTGTTAGAGCACCTGATCATGAAGCATTAATTGACCATGCTGCCAGAACTGCTCAACAGGATCTCACTTCTTTTGAATTCATCAAGTCCTAAGGTCAAGAGGATCCACTAGCAATCAATTGTAAGATTAAATTGGTACATCCAGAATTATACATGAGAAAGGCCAGAGGGCACAAATAAACTGCATAATCTTGTACCCCAAGTATGAGACCACTGTTATACCAGCACCTTTCTTTAGCTCATAGCTATGGCCACATTGGTAGTGACTCCCTTATAACAAACTGATGGCGGTAGTGAAAAGCTAAGCTCAGTTCATGAATGGAGAGTGTTGTGGAATGAATGTTTGTGTCCCCATCAAATGTATATGTTGAAATCCTAATCCCCAATTTGATGGTATTAGGGAGTTGAGCTTTTGGGAGGTGACTAGGTCATAAGAGTACAGAACATATGTAAGGGATAAGTGTCCTTTTAAAAGAGAGTCCGGAGAGCTCTCTCACTCCTTCTACCATACATGCAAAGTGAGAAGATGGCTGCTGAAAAACCAGGACGTGGTCCCCTATCAGACACTGAATCTTTTGATGCCTTGATCTTGGATGTTTAGGCATCCAGAACTGTGATAAATTGTTGTTTATGGCACCCAGGATATAGTATTTCTGTTATAGCAGCCCAAATAGACTAAGACACAGTGGGTCGGTATGTGGTTAAAAATAAAAAATGTATTGTTTCTGCACTGCCATTCAATTCAGTCCTTGAGCACAGGAATGAGGTTAAATCATCTAAATAGGGAAAGGTTCAAATAATATTACTTATTATCTACTGTTTTGGAAAACAATGTAGTCTTGGATTAGAATGAATAGATATAGATAGATAACAGATAGATAAATTATAGATATAGATATGGAGATAGATGATTGATAGATAGATAGATAGATAGATAGATAGATAGATAGATAGATATAGATGCTCAGTAACAAATGACTTGGATAATTAGTTGGGAGTCTGGAAAGAGTAAGACTGAAAGATCTGCATAAAGAGGTCCAGAAAAGCAGCAACGTGGCTGGACCTATGAAAACAGAAAAAAGAGAGAAGCTCCTTGTATCATATATTAATACCCTCAAGAGAACATATACACTAGAAAAAGCACTAAACAACCATGTAGACAAAATGACTAGGTTAGATAAACTAAGCTAGCCTGCAGCATCAGTCGCCTTTGTGCTGGAAACATGGATGTAATAATAGAGTAGCACAATGGCAGTGATGGAGGTTAAGCACGTGTTCAACATCATGAGCTTCCAGTCTTCAAAGATGATGGAACTAATGCCACTGTGTAATGTTCAACCTATAATTAAAAGAAAACACTGCTGAGCCTTAATACAGCACTATCCTTCACAGAGACTAACCAGCTATTTAGTGTTAAGTTGATTATGTTGGACCCTCTTCTACCCTGGAAAGGCATGTGATTTATCTTGATTGGAAGTGACATGTATTATGGGTATAGTGGTTTGACTTTCCTGTCTGAAGATTCTTAGCAGCACCATTATCTGAGGGCTTGCACGATATTTGTTATCCTGATATGCAATTCTCCCATAACCTCACTGTAGACCAAAGGGCCATCTTTACACCAAAGGAAATTTGGGAGTGGACCCATTACCATAGGATCTACTAGCAGTATCTCATAATGCATAACTTAGAAGCTGTTAGAGAATTATGACCTTCTAAATGTGAGATCAAAGTATAAGCTTATAGATGATACTTTCCAGGGTACTATATGCACTCTGAAGCAATACATGTAATACAGTGCTGTGCCACAAGTAGTTAGAATTATGTTATATGGGTTTGGGAACCAAGATGTGGAAGTTAGAGTAGCTTATCTTAATTAGCACTCCAATGACCGACTAGGCGAGTTTGTGTTTCCCATACCCAAATCTCTGGCTTCTATGGATTTACAGGTTCTAGTTCTCACAGGAAGAATATTTTACCAGAAGAAACAGGGAAAGTATCTATGAGGAGCATAAAATCTCTGACAGTAAAAGGTGATATAATAGAGGTAACAATAATAAAAAAAAGTTAGAAATAAAAATATAAAATACCTGAAGTTAAAAATTTTACTAGATAGACTTAAGCGAGGAATAAATTTGACAGAATGAGTCTGTGAATTTGAAAATATATCAACAGAAATAATACAATCTAAAGGAGAGACATGTTAAAATAGCCATATTACCCAAGTGAGTGACAGATTTAATGCAGTCCTTTACAAAATACCAATTCATTCTTCACAAAAATGGAAGAAAAAAAAAGAATTCTAAAATTTATACAGAATGACAAAAGTCCTCAAGTAGCCAAAGCATCCTGAAAAAAATGAACTAAGTTGAAGGTATCACACAACCTGACTTCAAAATATACTACAAAACTCTAGTAACTAAAACACCATGTTACTGGCATGAAAATAGTCACATAGACCAAGAGAACAGGATACAGAGCCCAGAAATAAACCCATGCACTGTTTTAGTACATTTTCATGCTGCTGATAAACACATACCTGATACTGGGAAGAAAAAGAGGTTTTAATGGATTTACAGTTCCATGTGGCTGAGGAGGCTTCACAATCATGGCAAAAGGTGAGGAAAGAGCAAGTCACATCTTACATGGAGGGCAACAGGCAAAGAGAGAGTTTGTGCAGGGAAATTCCCCCTTATAAAGCCATCAGATCTCATGAGACTTATTCACTATCATAAGAACAGCATGGAAAAGACCTGCTTCCATAATTCAATCACCTCCCACTCTTACCTCCTACAACACATGGGAGTTCAAGAAGAGATTTGGGTAGGGACACAGCCAAACTACATCATGCACCTAAAACCGACTGGTTTTTGACAAAGTGCCAAGAACACACTTTGGCGAAAAGACAGTCTCTTCAAAGAATGTTGTTGGGGTAATTTGATATTCACATACAGAAGAATGGAACTAGATCCCTCTCTCTCATCATGTACAAAAATCAAGTCAAAATGGGTTAAAAAGTTAAACTTAAAACTTGAAACAATGACACTACTAACAGAAACCATAATGGAAATGTTTTAGGACATTGAGCTGAACAAATGTATTTAAAATAAGACCTCAAAAGGACAGGCAACAAAACCAAAAATAGACAAATGAGATTTTATCAAACTAAAAACTTTTGCACAGTAAAGGAAACAATAAAGAGAGCAAAAAGAAAACCCATAAAATAAGAGAAGATATTTGTAAACTATACATCTGACAAAGGATTAATAACCAGAGTATTAATAATATTTAAAAACTCAACAGCAAATAAAACTCACAAAAAACAAGACATTAATAGACATTTCTCAAAAGAAGACATGGAGGTGACCAACAGGTATATGAGAAAATGCCTAACATCACTAATCATCAGGGAAATGCAATTAGATACCACCTCACTCATGTTAGAATGGTTATTATCAAAAAGGCAAAAGAAAATAAATGTTTGTGGGAATTTAAACAAAAGTGACATGCATGCACTGTTGGTGGGATTGTAAATTAGTATGGCCATTATGGACAACAGTATGCAGGTTCCTAAAAAAATTAAAAATAGAACTACCTACCATATGATCTGCTAATCTGACTTCTGGATTTATATGTAAAAAATGAAATTAGCTTGTCAAACAGATATCTACACTACCATCTTTATTGGAACACTATTCACAATAGCCAAGATATAGAATCAACCTAAGTGTCCAATAATGAATTTATGAATAAAGAAAATGTGGTATACATACACAATGGAATACTATGCAGCTATAAAAAATAATACAATCCTGTCATTTGGGACAACTTGGATGAACCTGTAGGACATAATATTAGGTAAAATAAGCCAGACCAGAAAAACAAATACTGTATGATCTCGCTTATTTATGGAATTAAAGAGTTGACATAGAAGCAGAGAGTAGAATAGTGATTACTACAGACTAGAAAATGGAGGGAGAGGGGAGGATAATGAAGGTTTGGCAATGGGCCCAAAGTTACAATTAGATGGGAGTAATAAGTTCTGGTATTCTATTGTACAGTAGGGTGACAATGGTTAAGAGTATGGTATTGTATATTACAAAATAGCTAGAAAAGAGGCTATGGAAAGTTCTCACCACAGACACAATAAATGCATGAGGTGATGGATATGATGAATACCCAAATTTGATAATTATACAGCATATATATATATATCAAAACATCAAATTGTAACCCATAAATATGTACAATAACAATGTGTCAATTTAAAAATACATAAATAACAAATAAATAATTATTGCTTTAGGGACACAATAAATAAAGGAGAGAGAGATAAACTGATTGAAGAAATTGATAGAGCCTCAGAAAACTATAGGACAATATACAATGTCTAAATTACTTGTAATTGGTATCTCAGAATGAGAAGAAAAGGAAATAAGCAAAATAATTACTTGAAAAAATGGCTTACATTTTCCAAATTTTAATTTAAAAATAAACTTAGAGATTAAAGAAGATCAGACAAGTCAAGCAGGATAAACACAATGAAAAATATCTCTAGTCATATCATAGTCAAATTACTTTGAAATGATAAGAAAATCATGAATGCAAACAAAGAATAAATAACACATTACATTCAAAAACATTGAATCTAATGACCACTGCCATCTCATATGAAACAATGTGGGCCAGATGTAATGTAAACTTATGTCTATGTTGAAATCTAAACACAGGTGTTTATAGCAACTTTATTCATAATTGCCAAAACTTGGAAGCAATCAAGATGTCTTTCAGTAAGTGAATAGATAAATAAACTATGGTACATACAGACAATGGAACATTATTCAGTGCTAAAAATATATGTGCTATCAAACAATGAAAAAATATAGAGGAATATTGAATTCATATTTCTCAGTCAAATAAGTTAATCTGAGAATTCTATATACTATGTGATTCCAGCTAAATGACAGTCTGAAAAAGGCTAAGGAGACAGTAAAATGATCAATGGTTGCCAGGGAATTAGGGAGAGGGAGGAATTCTTAGGTAGAGCACTGAGGCTGTTGGGGCAGTGAAACATTTGTCATTCTACAGCTAAAGCCATTGAATGTACAACGCCAAGAGTGAACTCTAATGTAAGCTGGGTTTTGGGTGATGATATGTTAATGTAGTTTCACTGATTGTAATAAATGTATAATTCCGGTGGGGGATGCGCAAAATGAGGGAGGTAGTTGGTATGTGGGATCAGTGGTATATGGTAAAATATATATATACACAAAATAGATATATTTTCAAATGAAAGAAAAATTAAAATCATAAGATCCCGGCACAGCTGGACTATTTAAAAAATATTCAGGATAAAACAAAATGATACCAAATGAGAATTCAGATCTTCTGGAAAGAAAAGAATGCACCATAAATCTTAAATATCTTGCTAAATATAATAGAGTATGCTAACAGAGACATAGACCAATGGAACAGAATTGGGATTCCAGATGTAATACCACACATCTACAATTAGTTCATCTTTGATAAAGCTAACAAAATTATGTAATGGGGAAAGGACTTCTTATTCAATAAATGGTGCTGGGATAATTGGCTAGTCACATGCAGAAAATTGAAACTTGGCCCTCTTTTTACATCATATACAAAAATCAACTCAAGATGGATTAACCACTTAAATATGACATCCCAAACTATAAAAACACCTAGAAGATAACCTAGGAAATATAATTCTGGACATAGAAACTGGCAAAGATTTTATGATAAGGACACCAAAAGTAATTGCAACAAAAGCAAAAATTGACAAATAGGATCTAATTAAAGAGCTTCTGCACAGCAAAATAAACTTTTATATCAACAGAGTAAACAGACAACACACAGAATGGGAGACAACATTTGTGAACTATGCATCTGACAAAGGTCTAATATCCAGCATCTATAAGGAACTTACACAAATTTACAAGCATCAAATAACCCCTTTAAAAGGTGGGGAAAAGACATGAATAGACAGTTCAAAAGAAGACATACATGTGGCTTATAAGCATATGGAATAAAAGCACAGTATCACTAATCATTAGAAAAATGCAAATCAAAACCATAATGACATACTATGTAACACCAGTCAGAATGGCTATTATCAAAAGTCAGAAAATAATAGATGTTGGAAAGGTTGCAGAGAAAAGGGAACACATATATACTGTTGGGGGCAGTATAAACTAGTACAACCATTGTGGAAAGCAGTGTGACAATTCCTCAAAGTGTTACAAACAGAACTACCATTCAATCCAGCAATCCCATTACTGAGTATATACCCAAATAAATATAAATCATTCTACCATAAAGACACACGCACATGTATGTTCATTGTAGCACTATTCACTATAGCAAAGACATGGAACAACAACCTAAATGCTCATCAATGGTAGACTGGATAAAGAAAATGTGGTACATATGCACCATGGAATACTATGCAGCCATAAAAAAGTCAGATCATGTCCTTTGCAGAAACATGGATCGAGCTGCATGTCATTATCCTCAGCAAACTAATGCAGGAACAGAAAAGCAAATACTGCATGTTCTGACTAATAAGTGGGGGCTAAATAATGAGAACACATGGACACAAAAAAGGGAACAATAGACACTTGGGCCTGCTTGGGGGTGGAAGGTGGGAGGAGGGTGAAGATCAGGAAAAGTAACTATTGGGTACTAAGTTTAGTACCCTAATGACAAAATAATCTGTAAACCAAACCTCTGTGACATGAGTTTTCCTTTATAACAAACCTGCACATGTATCCCTGAAGCTAAAATAAATGTTAAAAAAAGAGAGTATGCTTTCTCTTAATTTCTTTTATTTATTTATTTCTTTTTTAAGAGGCAGGGTCTCACTTCATCACTCAGACTAGAGTGCAGTGGTGTGATCATAGCTCACTGCAGCCTCAAACTACCAGGCTCAAGCAATCCTCTTGCCTTAGCCTCGCAAGTAGCTGGGACTACAGGTGCATTTTTTTTTTTAACCAAATAAAACGCTTTAAACAAAAGGAATTTGTCTCATTGTAATCTTTCTATTTCAGATTTTGATATCCACCAGAAACAACATTTAATGGTTTTTTTGTTATTTTTTTAACCAATGTCTTCACAAAAAAACCGACTCATTTTACCAATTGCGGTATTGTGGTTCTAAAACTTAATAAAACTTCGAGTGAATCAAATATTTCAGGTAATGATTAGAAAATGCTGCAATTGACACAAAAGATTCAAACATATTTACACCTGCTCTTGGTGCAGCAGATCTTGTTATACCATTGGCTTTCTCTCTGTATATAAAGTATCTAATTTTAGAATTCTGTGAAGTCATTGCAAGAAAGTAAATGTGCAGTTAATTTTTTAAAAATATGAGGTCAGGCATGGTGGTTCACACCTGTAATCCCAATGCTTTGGTAGTCTAAGGCAGAAGAGTTGCTTGAAGCCAGGAGTTCAAGACAAGCCTTATCAACAAAGGGAGACCCTGTGTCTACAAAAATAAAAAAAATAAAAAAAAATGAAGCATACATGGGAATTCTTTTTTAAAGTTTTGTTTTACTTTTATTTAACACATAATCATTCTGCATATTTATGGGAAATAGTTTGATGTCTTGATATATATATAGTAATGATCAAATCAGGGTAATTAGTATATCCATCACCTCAAAATGTGTCATTTATTTTTGGTGAGAACATTCAAAATCCTAGCTATTTTGAAGTAAACAATATTGTTGGCTATCATCACCTTATTTTGCAATAGAACATCAGAACATTTTTTATATTTAACTCTAACTTTGTGCCTGTTGGCCAACCTCTCCCCATCTTCTCTTTTGCCTATTTTTAATCAGATTATTTGGTGTTTTTTTTTTTTTTTTTTTTTTGCTATTGACTTGTTTGAGTTCCTTATATATTCTGATATTAATCCCTTGTCAGACTCACTTTGCAACTGTTGATCGTTTCCTTAGATTTACAAAAGCTTTTTAGTTCGATGTAATCCATTTATCTATTTTTGCTTTTGTTGACTGTGCTTTGCAGATCTCATTCAAAAAATTCTTGAGGAATCCAAGATGGCCAATTAGAAATAGCTGGAACTCCATGAAGAGGAATGAAAAGGGGCGAGTGAATTCAGCACCTTCAACTGAAATATCCAGGTTCTCACATTGGGACTGATTAGGCAAACAACTCAACCCACGGAGACGTAAAGCATGGGGCATGTGATGGCCCACCTGGGAGTAGCATGGAGCCAAAGGAATCTCCACCCACAGCCAAGGGAAACAATGAGTGATTGTGTGACCCCACCCAGGAAACCACACTTTTCCCACAGATCTTTGCAATCTGTGGATCAGGAAATCCTCTCAGGAGCCCATGCCACCATGGCCTTGGGTCTGATACACAGAGCTGTGTGGAGTCTCAGCAAAGCAGTCACTCAGGCACACACAGAGACCAAGGAGTTTTACATACTCTGGCCCTGAGATCCTTGGCAAGGATCCTGTCTCTACATATCCCTAGGAAAGAGGGATATGTCTGTACATATCCCTAGGAAAGGGGCTAAATCCAGGGAGCCAAGCAGCATTATCCTGTGGGTGCCACTTCCACAGCACCTCACAAGTTAAGATCCACTGGCTTGGAATCCCAGCCAGCCAATGGCAGAGGGTCGGATTCCACTTGAGATGAGTCCAAGTTCCTATGAATAGGGGCAGCCATCATCTCTGTGGTCTGGTTAACGCAGCTGCTCCAGCCTGCTGGGTTTGGAGAATGGAGGTGGTCTGGATGAGGATGGGTCCTGAACAACACAGCACACCTGCTCTATGAAAAAGAAGCCAGGCAGCTTCTTTGGGTGGTTCTCTGATCCAATTCCTCTTGACTGGTTAAGACCTCCCAATGGGGGTCTTCAGCCACCTCATACAGGTGTATATTGGCCGGCAACAAGTCAGTACACCCCTGGGATGGAGTTTCCAGAGGAAGGAGCTGCCAGCCATCTGTGCCCTTTTGCAGGCTTCACTGGTAAATACCTCCTGGTATGGGAGAAACTGACAACTGGGGTCTGGAGCAGACCTCCAGCAAACCACAGCAGACCTATGGTAGAGTGGCCTGACAAAAGAAAAATAAACAAATAGAAAACAATAACAAAAGCATCAACAAAAAGACCCCAAAGAAACCTCATTCAAAGGTCAGCAACCTCAAAGATCAAAGGTATATAAGGTCACAAAGATGAGAAAGGGTCAATGCAAAGATGCTAAAAACTCAAAAAGCCAGAGTGCCTCTTCTCCTTCAAATGACTGCAACACCTCTCCAGAAGGGCACAGAACTGGGCTGAGGCAGAGACGGCTGAACTGTTAGAAGTAGGCTTCAGAAGGTAGGTAATAATCAGCTTCACTGAGCTAAAGGAGCATGTTGTAACCAAATGCAAAGAAGCTAAGAATCATGATACAGCAAACAGGAGATGATAGCCAGAATAGCCAGTTTAGAAAGGAACGTAATCAATCTTATGGAGCTGAAAAACCTAAGCATTTTACAATGGAATAACAAGTATCAATAGCAGAATAGACAAAGTGAAGGAAAGAATCCTGGAGCTTTAAGTCTGTCTTTCTGAAAAAAGACAGGCAGACAAAGAATGGAGGATAAAGAACAAAAAGTAATGAACAAAACCTCTGAGAAATATGGGATTATGTAAAGAGAACAAAACTATGACTGATTGGAGTACCTGAAAAAGATGGGGAGAATAAAACAAAGTTGGAAAACATACTTCAGGATATCATCTAGAAGAACTTTCCCAGCTTAGCGAGACAGGCCAAAATTCAAATTTAGGAAATGCAGAGAACCCCAGTAAGATACTCCCTGAGAAGATTGACCCTAAGACACATAATCGTCAGATTCTTTAAGGTTGAAATGAAAGAAGAAATATTAAGGGCAGCCAGAGAGAAAGGCCAGGTCACCTACAAAGGGAAAGTCATCAGACTAACAGTGAATCTCTCAATGGAAACCCTACAAGCCAGAAGAGATTGGGAGCCAATATTTCACATTCTTAAAGAAAAGAATTTTCAACCCAGAATTTTATATCCAGCCAAACTAAGCTTCATAAGTGAAGGAGAAATGAGATCCTTTTCAGACAAGCAAATGCTGAAGGAATTCATCACAGCAGGCATGCCTTACAAGAACTCCTGAAGGAAGCACTAAATATAGAAAGAAAAAAATCATTATCAGCCACTACAAAAACATACTGAAGTACGCAGACCAGGGACACCATGAAGCAACTACATAAACAAGTCTGCAAAATAACCAGTTAGCATCATGATGGTAGGATCAAATTTACCCATAACAATACTAACCTTAATTGTAAATGAGCTAAAAGCCCAAATTAAAGGACACAGAATGGCAAGCTGGATAAAGAGCCAAGACCCATCAGATGCTGTCTGCAAGAGAACCATTTCACATGCAATGACACAGGCTCAAAACAAACAGATGGAGGAAAATCTACCAAGCAAATGGAAAACAGGAAAAAAAGCAGGGGTGGCAATCCTAGTTTCTGAAAAAACAGACTTTAAACTGACAATGATCAAAAAAGACAAAGAAGGGCATTACATAATGATAAAGGTTTCAATTCAACAAGAAGAGCTAATTATCCTTATTATATATGCACCCAAAATAGGAGCACCCAGATTCATAAAGCAAGTGCTTAGAGACCTACGAAAAACGTAGACTCCAACACAATAATAGTGGGAAACTTTAACATCCCACTGACAATATTAGGCAGATCAGTGAGACCAAAAATTAACAAAGATATTCAGGACCTGAACTAAGCTCTGGATCAAGTGGACCTGATAGATATCTACAGAACTCTCCACTCAAAAACAACAGAATATACATTCTTCTCATCACCCCCTGGCACTTACTTAAAAATTGATTACATATTCAGAAGTAAAACATGCTTCAGCAAATGCAAAAGAACTGAAATCATATAAAACAGTCTCTCAAAACACAGCACAATGAAATTAAAACTCAAGATTTAAAAATTCACTCAAAACCACGCAGTGACATGGAAATTCAACAACCTGCTCCTGAATGACTCTGGAGTAAATGCTGAAATTAAGGCAGAAACTAAGTTCCTTGAAACTAATGTAAACACAGAGACAACATACCAGAATCTCTGGAATGCAGCTAAAGCAGTGTCAAGAGGGAAATTTATAGCACTAAAATGCCAACATCAAAAAGCTGGAAATATCTCAAATCAACAACCTAACATACCAACTAGAGGAACTAGAGAACCAAGAGCAAACAAATTCCAAAGCTAGCAGAAGACAAGAAATAATCAAGATCAAAGCTGAACTGAAGGAGATAGAGACACAAAAAACCCTTGAAAAAATAAATGAATCCAGAAGTTGTTTTTTTTAAAATAATAATAACATGGATAGACCTCTAGCTAGACTAATAAAGAAGAAAAGAGAAGAATCAAGTAAACACAATCAGAAATAATCAAGGGACTATCACCACTGACCCCGCAGAAATACAAACAACCTTCAGAGAATACTATAAATGCCTTTATGCACATAAACCAGAAAATATAGAAGAAATGAATACATTCCTGGACACATACACTTTCCCAAGACTGAACCAGTAAGAAATTGAATCTCTGAATAGACCAATAACAAGTTCTGAAATTAAGGCAGTAATAACTAAACTACCAGTCAATAGAAGCCCAGGACTAGAGAGATTCATTGCTGAATTCTACCAGAGGTACAAAGAACAGCTGGCACCACTTCTACTGAAACTCTTCCAAAAAAATTGAAAAGTAGGGACTCCTCCCTAACGCATTCTATAAAGCCAGCATCATCTTGGTACCAAAACCTGACAGAGATACACCTAAAAGGAAAACTTCCAGCCAATACCCTTGATGAACATTAATGCAAAAATCCTCAATACAATAATGGCAAACTAAATCCAGCAGCACATCAAAAAGCTAATCCACTATGATCAAGTTGGCTTCATCCCTGGGATGCAAGGTTGGTTCAACATGTGCGAATCAATAAATGTAATTCATCACATAAACAGAACTGAAGACACAAACCACATGATTATTTCAATAAATGCAAAATAGGCCTTTGGTAAAATTCAACATCACTTCATGTTAAAAACTCTCAATAAACTAGCTATTGAAGGAACATACCTCAAAATAATAAGAGCCATTTATGACAAACTTCCAGCCAATGTCATAGTGAGTGGGCAAACCTGGAAGCATTCTGCTTGAAAACCAGCACAAGGCAAGAATGCCCTCTCTCGCCACTCCTATTCAACACAGTGTTGGAAGTTCTGGCTAGGGCAATCAGACAAGAGAAATAAATAATGGGTATTCAAACAGGAAGAGAGGAAGTCAAATTATCTTTGTTTGCCAATGACATGATCCTATATCTAGAAAACCCCATCATCTCCATGCAAAAGCTGAGAAGCGACCTCATCAAAGTCTCAGGATATAAAATGAACACACAAAAATCACTAGCATTCCTATACACCAACAACAGGCAAGCAGAAAGGCAAATCATGAATGGACTCCCATTCACAATTGCTACAAGAAGAATAAAATACCTAGGACTAGAGCAAAGAAGGGAAGTGAAGGCTCTCTTCAAGAAGAACTACAAACCAATGCTCAAAGAAATCAGAGGACACAAACAAAAAAGGAAACATTCCATGCTTATGGATAGAAAGAATCAATACCATGAAAATGGCTATACTGCCCAAAGTAATTTATAGATTCAATGCTATCCCCATTAAACTACCATAGGCATTCTTCACAGAATTAGAAAAAACTATTTTAAAATTCATATGGAACCAAAAAAGAGCCTGAATAACCAAGACAGTCCTAAGCAAAAAGAACAAAGCTGGAGGCATCATGCTACCCCACTTCAAAATATACTACAAGGCTAAAGTAACCAAAAGAGCATGTTACTGGTACAAGAACAGACACATAGAACAATGGAACAGAATAGACAAATCGGAAATACGACTGCACACTGAAAAGCATCTGATCTTTGATAAACTTGAAAAAAACATGCAATGGCGAAAGGATTCCCTATTTAATAAATGGTGCTGGGAAAACTGGCTACCCATATGCAGAAAACTGAAACTGGATCCCTTCCTTACACCTTATAAAGAAAATTAACTCAAGATGGATTAAAGACTTAAATGTAAAACCCCAAACTATAAAATCCCTAGAAGAAAATCTAGGGAATACCATTCAGAACATAGGCATGGGCAAAGACTTCATGATGAAAACACCAAAAGCAATTGCAACAAAAGCAAAAATTGACAAATGGGATCTAATTAAACTAAAGAGCATCTGTTCAGCAAAAGAAACTATCATCAGAGTGAAAAGATAACCTACAGAATGGGAGAAAATTTTTGCAATGGAGTCATTTGCTAAAGGTCTAATATCCAGAATCTACAAGGAACTTAAACAAATTTACAAGAAAAAAACAAGAAATCTCATTAAAAAGTGGGCAAAGGACATAATCAGATACTTCTCAAAAGAAGGCACTCATGTGGCCCACAAAGATATAATAAAAAGCAGCAAAGATATAATAAAAACTGTGCATCATTGATCATTAGAGAAATGAAAATCAAATCCACAGTGAGATATCATCTCACCCCAGACAGAATGGTGATTATTAAAAAGTCAAGAAACAACAGATGCTGGTGAGGTTGTGGAGAAACAGGAATGTTTTTACGCTGTTGGTGGGAGTGTAAATTAGTTTATCCATTGTGGAAGACAGTGTGGTGATTTTTAAAAACCTAGAGACAGAAATACCATTTGACCCAGCAATCCCATTACCGGGTATATACCCAAAGGAATAGAAATTATTCTATTATAAAGATACATACATGCACATATTGTATGGAACTATACATATTCATTGCAGCTCTATTCACAATATCAAAGACATGGAATCGACCTAAATGTCCATCAATGATAGATTTGATAAAGAAAATGTGGTACATATACATCATAGAATAGTATGCAGCCATAAAATGAAACAAGATCATGTCCTTTGCAGGGACATGGATCAAGTTGCAAGCCAGTATCCTCAGCAAATTAATGCAGGAACAGCAAACCAACCACTGCATGTTCTCACTTATAAGTGGGAGCTGAATGGTGAGAATACATGGACACATTGTGGGGAACAACACACACACTGGGGCCTGTTGGAGGGTTGGTGGTAGGAGGAGAGAGAGCATCAGGAAGAATAGCTAATAGATGCTGGGCTTAATACCTAGGTGACTGGATGATCTGTGCAGCAAACCACCATGGCACACATTTACCTATGTTGCAAACCTACACATTCTGCACATGTGCCACTGAAGTTAAAATAAAAGTTGAAGAAAAAAAATTATTGCTGAGACCTATGTCCAGAAACATTTCCCTTATGTTTTATTCTAGTAGTTTTATCATTTCAAGTCTTATATTTAAGTTCTTAATCCACTTTTGTTTTTGATACAGGGTCTTGGTCTGTCACCCAGGCTGGAGTGCAATGACAAAATCTTGGCTCAATGTAGCCTTGACCTCCTGGGCTCAAGCGATTCTCCCACCTCAGCATTCAGAGTAGCTAGGACCACAGGTGTGCACCACCACATCCAGCGAATTTTCTTTATTTTTTTGTTTAGACGAGGTCTCACTATCTTGCCCAGGCTTTTAAATCCATTTTGAGTTATTTTTGGAAGTAGTGATATGGGAGTCTAGTCTCAGTCTTTTGTATGGGAATATTAAGTTTTCCCATGGCCATTTATTGAAGAGATTGTTCTTTTAACAATGTTTGTTCTTGACACCTTTGTTGAAAAGAAGTTGCCTGTAGGGGTGTCAATTTATTTTGGGTTTCTCTTTTCTGTGTCTTTGGTCTATCTGCTTTTATGCCAGTATCGTGATTTTTTGGTTACTATATCTTTGTAGCATATTTTGAAGTCACGTCACGTGATGCCTCCAACTGTTTATAGTTCCATACAAATGTTAGGATTGTTTTTTCTAAATTTGTGAAAAATTACATGGGAATTTTGGCAGAGATTGCATTGATTTTGTAGATCTTTTTGGGTAGTATGGTTAGTTTAACAATATTAATTATTGTAATCCATGAACATAGGATTTCTTTCTTTTATCCTCTTCAATTTCTTTTATCAATGGTTCATTGTTTTCATTGTAGAGATCTTTCAACTTTTTTATTAATTTATTTCCCAGATATTTTATTATTTTTATAGCAATTGTATGTGGGATTATTTTCTTGACTTCTTTTTCAGATAGGTTGCTGTTACTGTATAGAAATGGTACTGATGTTTGGATGTTGATTTTTTATTCTGCAACTTTACTAAATTTATTAGTTTGAGCACTTTTTTGAGTCTGTACGGTTTTCTATATATAACATTATGTAGTCTGCAAGCAAGAATAAGTTAACATCCTCCTTCCCAGTGGTATGCCCTTTACTTTATTTTCTTGCCGAATTGCTCTGGCTAGGACTTCCAGAACTATGTTGAATAAAAGTTGGAAAAGTGAACATCCTTTTCTTGTTTCAAATTTTAGAGGAAAACTTTCAACTTTTTCCTATGCATCATGATATTAGCTGTGGGTTTATCATATATGTCCTTTATTGTATTGATG
The DNA here is from genome assembly GCF_000001405.40 of Homo sapiens. Lineage (NCBI taxonomy): Eukaryota > Metazoa > Chordata > Mammalia > Primates > Hominidae > Homo > Homo sapiens. The sequence continues at coordinate 128,185,149 of NC_000023.11, forward strand.
TACATTTCTTCTATACATAGTTTAGGGTTTTTATCATGAAGGAATGCTAAATTTTGTGAATAAATTTTCTGCAACTATTGAAATAATCATATGACTTTTTCCTTCATTCTGTTAATGTGATATACTATGTTTACTGACTTGTATATATTGAAACACATTGGATTGCATTTCTGGGATGAATTCCAATGAAAACGGTGAAAAATCTTTTTGATATACTGTAGGATTTGGTTTGATAGTATCTTGTTGAAAAATTTTGCATCTATGTTCATCAGGCTTGTAGATATTGACTTGCAGTTTTCTTTTCTTGGTGTGTCCTTATCTAACTTTAGTATCAGGGTGATGCTGACCTCATAGAATGAGTTTGGGTAAATTCCCTCCATTTCCATTTTTGTTTGCAATACTTTTAATAAAATTGACATAATTTCTTGTATAAACACTTAGTGTAATTCAGCAATGAATTCATCAGGTCCGTGGTTGCTGATACAATCTCATTACTTTTTTATGGTCTGATCAGTTTTCCATTTCTTTACAGTTAAATATTGGTAGGTTGCATGTGTTTAAAAACATTCATTTTTATAGGTTATTCAATTTGTTGGTGTATAATTGTTTATAGTAGTCTCTTATTATCATTTGTATTTCTGTTATTCCAGTTGTAATGTCTCCTTTTAATTTATGATTGTATTTATTTGAATTTCTCTCTGTATTTTTAGTCTAGCTAAGGGTTTATTGATTTTCCTTACCTCTTCAAAAAATAGTCTTAGTTTTGTTTATCTTTTCTATTGTTTTTCTATCTGTATCTCTTTTATTTCTTCTCTAACATTTATTACTTCCTATTTCTACTAAGGGCTTGTTTGCTTTTGTTTGCTAATTCCCTGTACTGTAACATTAGGTTGTTTATTTGAGATATTTCTACTATTTTGATAGATGTTTATTGCTATAAACTTCTCTCTTAAAACTGTTTTTGCTGTATCTCATAGTTTTTTATGCTGTGTTTTCAATTTTATTTCAAGAAACCTCTTAATATGATTTTTTTATTTCTTTCTTGACCCATTTATTTAATTTACATGTATTTGTACATTTTTCAAAGTTCTACTTTTTATTCATTTCTAGTTTTATTCCATTGTGATCAGAAAACATACTTGATATAATTTTGATTTTTAACATTGGTTGAGACTTATTTTGTGTCCAAACATATGACTTATCCTAGAATATATTCCTTGTTTTTTTTAAAATAATGTATATTCATTCACTGTGAGATGGGATGTTCTATAAATGTCAGTTAAGCCCATTGGGTGTAGAGTATGGTTTAACTCTCATGTTCCTTTGTTGATTTTCTGCTTGGATGATCTACCTGTGCATTGCTGAAAGTGGGGTGTTGAAGTCCTTAACTATTATTGTATTGTAGTCTAACATTCCGTTGAGATTTATTAATATTCACTTTATATATTTATGTGTTCTTATGTTGGATGCATATGTATCCATCATTATGTCCTTTTGCTTCATTAACCCTTTTACATTATATAATAGCCCTTTGTCTCTTTGAGCCATTTTTATTTTAGTTTACACTCTATTTTATGTAATATAAGTGTAGTTACTTCTGCTGGTTTTTGCATTGCACTTGCATGAGATATATTTTTCCACGCCTTCACTTTCAATCTATGCATGTCCTTACAAGTGAAGTGAGTTCCTCTTTGGCAATATACAGTTGGGTCTTGTTTTTTTGTTTTTTTAAATAAATTAATTCACTCTGTCTTTTCATTAAATAATTTAATACATTTACTTTCAAGTTAATTATTGACAGGCAATGGCCTACTATGGACATTTTGTTACTTATTTTTTAATTGTTCTGTAGATTATTTCTTCCTTTCTTTTTCTCCTACAGATTTCTTTTGTGGTTAAGTAATCATCTCTGGTGGTATACTTTGATTCACTGATTTTCATTTTTAGTGCATCTATTGTGAGTTTTTGCTTTGTCATTACCATGAGCCTTACAAAAAATATTTTATAGTTATAACAAGTGACTTTAAGCTGATAAAACTTAACACTGATTGCAAAAAAATATACAAAACACAAAAGCAATTTAACTCCATTCTCTCCCATATTTTAAATTTTCCCTGCCACAACTTACATTTTTATATGGCGTATCTTTTACTAAATTATATTAATTATTTTGATAGTTTTGTTTTAGTTTTATAATAATGATATAAGTTGTTTATAGACCACATCTATAGTATTAAAGTATTAAAGTAGTATTAAAGTAAATAATGTTAGCATTATTTTTGTTTTTCAGTTTCAAGTACAATCTGAAAAGAAAATTAAAAATAATCTTATTTATAATAGCATTGAAAGAAAAAAAACATAAAAATAAACTTTACCAATAAGGCAAAAGATGTGTACACTGAAAACTACAAAATATTGCTGAAAGAAATTTTTAAAATATATTACAAAATGGAAAGCTAAGGCAATTAAAACAGCATTATGCAATCATAAGGAAAGATATAAACCAATAGGATAGATTAGAGAGCCTAGATATAATTCCGCACATGGTCAATTGATTTTCAACAAGAATTTCAAAATCATTTAATGGGGAAAGAACAATCTTTTAAAAAATGGTATGGAGACAGCTAAATATACATATACAAAAGAATGAAATTGGACTCAATCTTATACCATACATATACAAAAGAATGAAATTGGACTCAATCTTATACCATATACAAGAAAAAACTCAATAAGTATCAGAGACTCAAACTTAAGTGTTAAAACTCTAAGACTCTTAGAAAAAAATATAGAGGAAGACTCCATAACATTGTATCCAGCAATGATTTATTACATATGACACCAAACATACAGGCAACAAAATAAATGTAGATGAACTGGACTTCATTAAAATAAAAAACTTTATATTTTTTATTTTATATGTAAATATCCAGTTTATCAAACACGATTTGTTGAAGGGATTGTACTTTCCCCATTGAGTTGTCTTGGCCTCCTTGCCAAAGATTATTTGACCATAAACATGAAGATTTACTTCTGAATTATTTGGTTTATTCCATTAGTCTATATGTCTGTACTTATACATGTAACACACTTTTTAAATTACTGTAGGTTTGTAATATCTTTTAAAATCAGGAAGTGTGTGATCTTCAAGTTCATTCATTTTTTTTCAAAATTGTTTTGGCTATTTAGAGTGCCTTGAAATTCCATATGAATATTAGGTTTTTTCTTTCTATTTCAGTAAAAAAAGTGCTACTGACACTTTGATAGGGAGTGTATGGAATCTGTAGATTGCTTTGGGTGGCATTTACATCCTAACAATAATTCTTCCAATCCATGAACATAAGATACCTTTCCATTTATTTGTGTCTTTATTATGTTCAAAAATGATTTCTAGTTTTCAGAGTGTGTCATTCACCTCCTACTATTTTATCATTTATTTCACATGCTATTTTAAATGCAATTGTTTTTGTAATTTCTTTTTATGATTATTTATTGTTTATGTAGAAAAGACAAAACAAGGTTCTTTAACACACCCAAAAAGATCACACTAGCTCACCAGCAATGGATCCAAACCAAGAAGAAATCCCTGATTTAACTGAAAAAGAATTCAGAAGGTTACATATTAACCTAATCAGGGAGGCACCAGAGGAAGGTGAAGCCCAATGTAAGGAAATCCAAAAAATTATACAAGAAGAGAAGGGACAAATATTCAATGAAATAGATACCATAAATAAAAAAATCAAAACTTCAGGAAACAATGGACACACTTATGGAAATGCAAAATGCTCTGGGAAGTCTCAGCAATAGAATTGAACAAGCAGAAGAAAGAACTTCAGAGCTCAAAGACAGGTTTTTAAATTAATCCAATCCAAGAAAGAAAAAAAGAATAAGAAAATATGAACAAAGCCTCCAAGAAGTCTGGGATTATGTTAAACTACCAAACCTAAGAATAATCGGCATTCTTGAAGAAGAAGAGAAATCTAAAAGTTTGGAAAATATATTTTGGGGAATAATCGAGGAAAACTTCCCCAGCCTTGCTAGAGACCTAGACATCCAAACACAAGAAGTTCAAAGAACACCTGGGAAATTCATCGCAAAAAGAGCATCACCTAGGCACATTATCATCAGGTTATCTAAAGTTAAGATGAAGGTAAGAATATTAAGAACTGTGTGGCAAAAACACCAGGTAACCTATAAATGAAAACCTATCAGATTAACAGCAAATTTCGCAGCAGAAACCTTACAAGCTAGAAGGGATCGGGGCCCTATCTTCAGCCTTCTCAAACAAAACAATTATCAGCCAAGAATTCTGTATCCAGTAAACTAAACTTCATAAATGAAGGGAAGATACAGTCTTTTTCAGACAAACAAATGCTGAGAGAATTTGCCACTGCCAAGCCAGCACTACAAGAACTGCTAAAAGGAACTCTAAATCTTGAAAAAAATCCTGGAAACACATCAAAACAGAACCTCTTTAAAGCATAAATCTCACATGACCTATAAAACAAAAATACAAATAAAAAAAGGTATACAGGCAACAAATAGCATGATGAATGGAATGGTACCTCTCATCTCAATATTAACATTGAATGTAAGTGACCTAAATACCCCCCTTAAAAGATACAGAATTGTAGAATGGATAAGAATTCACCAGCCAACTCTCTGTGGTCTTCAAAAGACACACCAAACACATAAGGACTCACATAAACTTAAGGTAAAGGGATGGAAAAAGACGTTCTATGTAAATGAACACCAAAAGAGAGCACGAGTAGCTACTCTTATAGCATACAAAACAAAATTTAAAGCAGCAGCAGTTAAAAAAGACAAAGAGGGACATAATATAATGACAAAAGATCTTGTTTAACAAGAAAATATCACAATCCTAAATATGTTTGCACTTAACACTGGAGCTCCCTAATTTATAAAACAATTGCTAATAGACTTAAGAAATGAGATAGACAGAAACACAATAATAGTAGGGGACTTCAATACTCCACTGATCATCACTAGATGACAGCACTAGACAGATCATCAAGACAGAAAGTCAACAAAGAAACAATATATTTAATCTATACCCTGGAAAAAATGGATTTAACAGATATTTACAGAACATTTTACCCAGCAACTGCAGAATATACATTCTATTGATCAGCACATGAAATGTTCTCCAAGATAGACCATATGATAGGCCACAAAACGAGCCTCAATATATTTAAGAAAGTTGAAATTATATCAAGCAGTCTCTCAGACCACAGAATAAAACTGGAAATTAATACCTAAAAGAACCTTCAAAATCAGAATTTTTTCATATTGACTTTAGAACTTGCAACTTTGCAGAATTTGTTTAGTAGTTCTAAAAGCTGTGTGTGTGTGTGTGTGTGTGTGTGTGTGTGTGTGTGAAATTTTTGGGGGTTTTACATATAAGAACGTGGGACCAGTGGACAGAGATAATTTTACTTCTTCTTTTCAATTTTGATTTCTTTTATTTCTATTTATGCCTAATTTCTCTGGCTAAAACTATCAATACTATGCTGAATAAAAGTGGCAAGGGCATGCCTTCTTGTCTTGTTTCTAATCCTGTAGAAAAGCTTTCAGTCATTAATCACTAAATATAATGTTACCTGTGGGATTTTCAGTATACCCTTAATTTCACAGAGATTCTTTCTTTCTATTCGCAATTTGATGAGTGTTTTTACCATGAAGGATGTTAACCCTTCTCAAATGCCTTTTCTGCATCAACTGAGATGATAATGTGGATTTTGTTCGACATTTGGCTAGGTGGTGTATTACATGGATTTATTTTTGTATGGTACACCATTATGAAATTTTGAGAATAAATACCACTTAGTTATGGTGTATAATCCTCTTAATGTGCTAAGGTTTGGTAGTATTTTGTTGAGGAATTTTGCATAAATATTCATTGGGGTATTGGACTGTAGTTTTCTTTTTTTACAATGTTTTTGTCTGGATTTGGTATTAGGGTAATTCAGACCTCATGGAACAACCTAACAAATGCTCTGTACTCTTCAAATTTTTGAATGCATTTTAGGAGAATAGGTATCAATTCTTCTTTAAATCTACGGTAGAATTTTTCAGTGAAGCCATCTGGTGTCCCAGGGCTTTGTTTTGTAAAGTAGCTTTTGATTACTGAGATAATCTCCTTACTAGTTACCCATCTGTTCATTTTGTATTCTTCATGATTCCCTCTTAGTGGGTAGTGGGTTTCAAATAATTTATCCATTTTTTCTAAGTTACCCAATTTGTTGGCATACAATTGTTTATAATCATTTATAATGTCATTGCTTTCATTTCTGATTTTAGTTATTTGAGTCTTCTCTCTTTTCTTAGTTAATCTAGCTAAGAGTTTGCCATTTTTGTTGATATTTTCAAAAAACCGACTCTTTGTTTCATTGATTTTTTCTAGTTTTTTCTTTTCTCTATTTTATTTATCTCTGTTCTCATCTTTTTTATGTCCTTCCTTCTGCTAACTTTAGGTTTCATTTGTCCTTTGTTTAGTTCCTTGAAGTGTAAAGTTAGGTTTTTAATATCAGATCTTTCTTCTTTTTAAAATTATGCATTTTTATATGGATATAAACAATATAAACTTCACTTTTGTGACTGCTTTTACGTTTTTCCATAAACTTTTGTATGTTGTGGTTTTCATTACTCTTATTATATTTTCTAATTTATTTTGTAACTTTTTCTTTCATGTGTTAGTGGTTGAAGAGTGCATTGTTTACTTTCCAAATATGTATATGGATTTTCCAGTCTGCCTTTTGCTGTTGATTTCTAGTTTCATTCCATTGTTATTGGAAAATATAACTTGTATAATTTCAATCTTTTAAAAATGTATTAAGACTTATTTTGTGGCCTAACAAGTGGTCTATTCTGGAGAATATTCCACGTGTTCTACAAGATAATGTGTATTCTGCTGTTGGATGGAGTCTGTATGTTTATTAGATTCTAATGGTCTATTGTTTTTGCTCAAGTCATCCATTTCCTTATTTATCTTGTCTCTGGTTGTTCTATCCATTATTAAAAGTGGGATATTGAATTTTTCTATTATTATTGTGTTGTTGTATATTTCTCCCTTCAGTTATATCAAGGTTTGTTTTATATATTATTGTGTTCTGCTGTTGGTTAATACATATTTATAATTGTTCTATGAGGGGACTTTGACAAGTTTATGAAAAGAGGAATTAAAAGATAAAAACAAAATATATAACATTTATTTACAAACATAAGCTCCAAGTTCAAGACACTTTTGTAAGCAATGATATCAGCCATTTAGTCCATCCCTAAAGAACTAAAGGTCTTGAGAATTTAACCATATCTGTGAAGTCTTTTTTACAATATTAACAGATGAAAAATAGGTACCCTTTATAGGTTTTTTAAGGTTAGGAAGCAAAAAGAAGTCAGAAGGAGCCAAATCAGAACTGTAAAGTGGATATCTAATGATTTCCCCTTGAAACTTTTACAAAATTACTCGTTTGATGAGAGAAATGAAAAGGAGCATTGTCATGGTGGAGAAGTATTCCCTTTGAATCTCTCCTGGCTGTTTTTCTGCCAATGCTTTGGCTAACTTTCTCAAAACACTTTCATAATAAGCAGACATTATTGTCGTTTGGCCCTCCCAAAATTTCACAAGCAAAATGCCTTAAGCACCCCAAAAAAAGCACTTATCATGATTATTGTTCTTGACTATTCCATTTTCGGCTCTGACTGGATCATTTCCAAAACTTGGTAGCCATTGCTTTCATTGTGCTTCGTCTTCAGGATCATACTGGTTATGCCATGTTTCATCTTCTGTAATAATTCTTCCAAGAAATGTTTCAAGATCTTGATTCCACTTGGTTAAAATTTTTATTAAAAGCTCTGCTCTTGTCTGCAACTGATTTGTGTTCAACAATTTCGACATACATCAAGTGAAAAGTTTGCTCAATTTGAACTAATCAAGTATGCTGTGGAACCATTGTAGTAAATTTTTCAGTCCAGTTTTGTTTTTTTTTTCAAATGTTATTTGTGTATCTGTATCGTTTGTTAGCTCATTAAGCATCTTAACACTTATTTTAAAGTTTTCCTCAGATAGCTCATAGATCTATGCTTCTGTAGGGTCAGTTACTGACATTTTATACTAATTCTTACAGTGGACCATGTTTTCCTGTTGCTTTGTATGCATTTTGATTTGTTTTTGTATGCTTGCTTGTTTGTTTCGTTTTTGAGATATGATTTGTGCAGGGAAAGACCTTTACTCATCAGCCTAGTTAGAAATCCTAGGATATCTCAAGTTGGATAAGACAGATATTAGTCTTTCAGGTAGACCTTCTTCTACTAACCACAATGTTAGATACATAGTCCATTCTTTTGTTTTTTCCTGAGGGAGGATCTCTAGTATGGGAGGTTTACTCCTGATTATTAAACGTAAGAGAAATAAAGAAAGGGGCATGGGTAAGCACACAAAATGCCATGAATATTCCTACCGTTTTTGCTGGATATTTTTTAAAATTTCACTTTGATCAAGGTGCTGTAACTTCCCAAATGATCTTGAATTCTCACAAAAGTATGCTGGCCTGTATATTGTTGCAAACTCAGTCTGTCTGTAGGAGAATGTGCACTTAAATCTTCCTAGTGTAGTCTGCCTCTTGGTGATTTAACTCTCCTCTAGACTCTTGATCAACCTCCCGTTATCACCTTATTTCTTTTTACTATTTATTCATTTATCAATTATTTATGTAAGTCATATCCCACTCAACAATAGCTCTTTTACTAAGTACTGTACTGGTTTTCTCATAGATTGCTGTGTTAGTTTTCTAGGGCTACCATAATAAAATACAATAGATAAAGTGGCTTAGGTAACCAGAAATTTATTTTTTCACAGTTCTGGAGCATAGAACTCCAAGATCCAGGTCTCAGCGGGTTTGTTATTTTCTGTGGCCTCTCTTTGGCTTTTCAGATGTCTGCCTTCTCACTCATTCCTCACATGGTCTTTCCTCCTCGCACATGCATCACTCGTGTCTCTTTATGTGTAGAAATTCTATATTTGTAAATACACCAGTCAGATTAAATTAAAGCCCCCTTATCATTTAACCTTAATTACCTCTTAAAAGGTCCTATATTCAAATCTAGTCACATTCTGAGGTTTTGGGAGTTGGGACTTTAACATATAAATTTGGGTGACACAAGTCAGCCAACAATATTTAATTGGTATACTGACTGATCCAAAAATTTAAAGATTACACAATAAAATATATTTGAGTCATTTATAGAAAAAAGTATTTATTTAACCAAGTAAATGTCTTTATTTATACATATTGTTCTTGTTTATGTAATAAAAGGACTTACTATTACTTGAAATTTTCAATTTTCTATTTGTCTTAAATTCCAAATCTAAGACAATTTTAATTGAGAATATAAGGCATGATTTTTTTCATTCAAAATATAGGAATGACTGAATGTTGAAAAATGCAAGCAGTTCTATCATTTAAATGTATGAAGAGAATATGATGTGGGGTTATTGATCTACTAATTGCTAATAAGTTTTAAAAACCTTTAATTAATATATTATAAGTGTGTTTAAGCTAATGTGATTCATTAATAGAAGAGTACTACAGTAAAAACACTCCCTCATTAGCCATACAAGGCTCAGCCATGAAGTCAACTCTTGAAAATATCTAAGGTATGTTGGACTTAACAGCCTAAGTGATAAATAGTTCTGTATTATATTTGATTTCTGCAATTTTTTAACATAATTGTTCAGAAGAATTGGCTAGAATAATGTGAATGTAAAACAAAAATCCAAAGCCTCAGCCTCACTGAGAATTTTTTTTACTTGTGAATATTTCTAAGCAAGTAGGTCATTCTACAATGGTAATCCTTTCTTTCCACAAAATGAATATGTTAAAATTTTGACTACACTTTAAAGGCAATATTTCACTTTCATGGCATTAAAAAAAATACAAAATTCTCTCTTTTATCGTTTTTTGAAGAGAGTAGGCCAAACTATCACTCTGAATTTTTAGAATATGGAATAAAGTCATCTTTTGTCCATTTTTAAAAGATTTAATAGTCCACTAGAATGTCAGCCATTTATTAGATTTATTAGGTGATTTGAGAAGATAGAATATTTCGTGACATCTATGAGCTTATTTCAGTAATTCAAAGAATGTTAGAGTTGTATATTGCAGTAATTAGTTCAATCTTACAATTAATCCTTCACAGATATTTATGAAATTAATATCATATGTCCTTATGTGATTATGTATGTCTGAGGGAAACCTATAACTAGAAAAAGATTACAATACAATTGAAAGGCAACCATGTGAGCAAATATGGAATGATTATCCAGTAACGTACCTTTAGTATAAATGATGTAGTCAAGTGCTGAAAAGGAAACTAAGATAATAAATGAAGTAAGATGAGGGTTATCAACTTTCTTAGAAGTAGCAATACTGAAAGTTTCCAATAGTGATTTTGAAGACATGGAATTGTTACCATGTGCACTAGAGATTATAAATGTACTAAGTTGTTCAATGGATTGTCTTGGCTATAATGGCAAGGCCTTATATATTGTAAGCATTAAGGTAAAGCTGAGTCCTCTGGCTGCTTAGCTGATAAAGTCAAACAGTAGAACATATATTAATAATCAGCCATAACTCAAAAATTTTTTGGTCATTTGAGGCACTGCAAATCTTCACCAAAGTAATTTCACCTCTCACATCTTTAGTGTAAATATTTCTAACTATAATTAATTATAGACCACAAGTTCACTCTCACTGTAACATCCTTATTTTTTTCTCCATAGAGATTGATTGTAAATAACTACTTAATCTGTGAAGTATAGTATACAGTGGATGCTGTAATCAAACCCATAAATGTGGCTGCTTCGAATAAATGTGCTTTACTGCATGATGAGAAAAGCAGTAGTACTACAAAGTCTGAATTGCGAGCCCAATTTCCACTGTGCTTTAATTATCAGGAAAAAACAACAACAACAACAACAAAAAAACAAAAAAACCCCTATTTACTCAGCATGAAATAACGAAAAAAGTGGTAATAATTATACTAACATGATCCATGTAGATCTACTAGCTGGATATTTCAGAGGCCAACATTAGGTATGATTTTTAAATCAAAATTGCCTTCTTTGGTTCTGTGAAATATTAACTAGCAAGAAAACTTATAACTCTATCTTTTAATGTGCACTATGAAGCCATAATCTTAGATAATTACTTTTAGATTTTACGGAAACAATAAAATACTTTGCTTTGGGGTAAAAGGGAAAATAATATGATATCACTGAATCTTAAAATTCCATCATATCATTAATTCTGGTCATTACTACACTTCTCTTATCAAGTGTAATTATCTCTTCAAACCAAATAACCTACATTTTTTAAGTTAATTAATTTCCAAAGAAGTTTTTATTGCATAAAAATTAATTTTTAAGTATATTGGAATAGAGATTTTGCCTTTGCAACAAGGACCTAAATTCACACATTTTATCATAATGACTCAGGTGCTTAAGCTAGAACATTTTTATTTTTTACAATAGTATTTCAAATTGGTCCATACCATCTTTGTAAAAAATTAATCCATTTGATGTTTAACTATAATTTCCATCCATCACATTTTAATATGACTTTAATAAAATGTTAGCCAGCTGTTGTATGATAGAAATTCATACTTTAATATATTTTGCCTGAGTTGTCAAACCTGTCCTAAGTAACAATTAATTTAAATGATTTTCACTCCTTTGATTAGGTTCTAAGAGAATATCATAAATCTAGTGAAATTCATCAAGAAAGTCAATATTTTAAATTGCAGATGTAGAAGATTTATTAAGAGTCACACACTGTGATGAGAACTTTTAATGAGTTACCACAAAAAAACCTCATAACAACTCCATGAGATGTCTACTATTAATATTCTTATCCTACAAATGATGAAGAGTGTGTATTTGCTTCTTTTCTCTTTTTTCTCAACTTTTATTTTAGAATCAGGGTATACAAATGCAAAGTTATTACAAAGGTATATTGAACAATGCTGAGGTTTAGACTACAAATAAATCCATCATCCAGGTAGTGAGCACAGTACCCAATAGATAGATTTTTTTTCAGTCTTTTCCCATGTTCTTTCTCCCACTTGTATTCCCCAGTATCTATTGTTCCCATTTTTATAACCATGTTTATTTAGGTAACACTTATAAGTGAGAACATTCAGTGTTTGGTTTTCTATTTCTGCATTAATGTGTTCAGAATAATAATTTACAACTGCTTCCATGTTGCTACAAAAGACATGATTTCATTTTTTTTATGGCTGCATAGTATTCCATGGTATATATGTACCACAATTTCTTTATACAATCAACCATTGATGGGCACATGGGTTAATTTTATGTCTTTGTAATTTTGAATAGTGCTGTCCTGTACATATGGGTTCCTGTAGGACAGAGATTACATACTAGAAGAGAAAAGTCAAGAAAACTAGAGGCTAAAACAACACCCAGGACGTGTGTAGTGGCTCAAAATTTTTCCCAGATGCAAAGGAAGTCCATAGAAAAGAGTGCTCAAAATCTCTCCCAAAAGGAATTAACTTTATTTAAAGAGTGCAAAGAAATTCAAGCCTAAGATCACTCAAAAATAGCTTCTCTAAATGAGGAGTCAGATAGTTTATCATCTGAAAAAGTGGAAAAGCCAACTAAGAGGATCTTTTCTTGCATTGGAGCAAATCTCACAGACTGGCTTCAAAAAGTACCTCTGACATTTTATAAACATATATCAAAACATTACATTCTACCCCATAAATATATGCAATTACTTGTATATTTAACATTTAAAATTCAAAATTCAAAAAAAAAAACTAGTTAAGCCAACACAAACATTAGACATTGAACTTATTTAAAGAAAAAGCAAAACAAAACAAACTATACCCCTACCTGAAGTTAATTGGTCTAGGCTATAAAGCAATTTATATTGTAATGAATTGTTGAAAAAATCAGGAAACCAGTGAGCAATTCATGAAGACTCAAAACTGGGTTTCATACAAAATGAGACAGATATATTAACAGAGACATAGAGGAAATACGCAGTCAAAAAGAGCGCTAATCAATGACTGCAATTAAAGGGAGATTGTGCACATGCTTAAGGCTGAGCCTCCTAAGGAGTGACACCAAATATGTTCAAGAAACTAAAAAAAACCATGATTTAAAAAGTAAAGGTAGGTATAATGCCAATATCTCATCAAATGGAGAATATCAATACAGAAATAAAAATTAAAAAAAGAACCAAACTCAAATTCTGGAATTGAAACGTACAGTGACCAAACTAAGACATTCACCAGAGGGGTTAAATAGTTTATTAGAACTAGCAGAAGAAAGAGGTAGAGAACATTGTGATAAAACAACATAGATTATTCAATATAAATACAAGAAAACAGAATGTAGACAAATGTACCAAGTCTCAGACAAATATGACACATCTTTATGTGCACTAACACAAACATAGTAAGGATACCAGTTGAGAGGAGAGAAAGAATGGATAGAGATCCACACTCAGACCTAAAGAAAGAAATGCTGAAGAAAAAGAGAAAATATTGAAAGCGGAAAAATAAAATGACTTACTACATGCAGGGGAACAACAATAAGATTAAGAGCTGATTTCTCATCAGAAATAATGAAGACAAGAAGACAATGGGATGACACATTCAAAAAGTGAAAAAAAAAACAAAAACAAACCACTGTTAACCAAGAATCTTCTACCAGGAAAACCCATCTTTTAAAAATCAAGGTGGGGGGGTACAGCCAAGATGGCTGAATAGGAACAGCTCCAGTCTACAGCTCCCAGCGTGAGCAATGCAGAAGATGGGTGATTTCTGCATTTCCAACTGAGGTACCAGGTTCATCTCACTGGAGAGTGCCAGACAGTGGGTGCAGGACAGTGGGTGCAGTGCACTGTGTGTGAGCTGAAGCAGGGCGAGGCATCGCCTCACCCAGGAAGCACAAGGGGTCAGGGAATTCCCTTTCCTAGTCAAAGAAAGGGGTGACAGACGGCACCTGGAAAGTCGGGTCACTCCCACCCTAATACTGCGCTTTTCCAAAGGGCTTCATAAATGGCACACCAGGAGATTATATCCCACACATGGCTCGGAGGGTCCTACACCCACGGAGCCTCGCTCTTTGCTAGCACAGCAGTCCGAGATCAAACTGCAAGGCGGCAGGAAGGCTGGGGGAGGGGCACCTGCCATTGCTCAGGCTTGAGTAGGTAAACAAAGCAGCTGGGAAGCACCAACTGGGTGGAGCCCACCACAGCTCAAGGAGGCCTGCCTGCCTCTGTAGGCTCCACCTCTGGGGGCAGGGCACAGACAAACAAAAGACAGCAGTAACCTCTGCAGACTTAAATGTCCCTGTCTGATAGCTTTGAAGAGAGTAGTGGTTCTCCCAGCACGCAGCTTGAGATCTGAGAACAGACAGACTGCCTCCTCAAGTGGGTCCCTGACCCCCGAGTAGCCTAACTGGGAGGCACCCCCCAGTAGGGGCGGACTGACACTTCACACGGCCGGGTACTCCTCTGAGACAAAACTTCCAGAGGAATGATCAGGCAGCAGCATTTGCGATTCACCAATATCTGCTGTTCTGCAGCCACCGCTGCTGATACCCAGGCAAACAGGGTCTGGAGTGGACCTCCAGTAAACTCCAACAGACCTGCAGCTGAGGGTCCTGTCTGTTAGAAGGAAAACTAACAAACAGAAAGGACATCCACACCAAAAACCCATCTGTTCATCACCATCATCAAAGACCAAAGGTAGATAAAACCACAAAGATGGGGAAAAAACAGAGCAGAAAAACCGGAAACTCTAAAGATCAGAGCGCCTCTCCTCCTCCAAAGGAATGCAGCTCCTCACCAGCAACGGAACAAAGCTGGATGGAGAATGACTTAGATGAGCTGAGAGAGGAAGGCTTCAGAAGATCAAACTACTCTGAGCGAAAGGAGGAAGTTTGAACCAATGGCAAAGAAGTTAAAAACTTTGAAAAAATATTAGACGAATGGATAACTAGAATAATCAATGCAGAGAAGTCCTTAAAGGACCTGATGGAGCTGAAAACCATGGCATGAGAAATACACGATGAACGCACAAGCCTCAGGAACCGATGCAATCAACTGGAAGAAAGGGTATCAGTGATGGAAGACGAAATGAATGAAATGAAGCGTGAAGAGAAGTTTACAGAAAACAGAAGAAAAAGAAGGAAACAAAGCCTCCAAGAAATATGGGACTATGTGAAAAGACCAAATCTACATCTGATTGGTGTACCTGAAAGTGACGGGGAAAATGGAACCAAGTTGGAAAACACTCTGCAGGATATTATCCAGGAGAACTTCCCCAATCTAGCAAGACAGGCCAACATTCAAATTCAGGAAATACAGAGAACGCCACAAAGATACTCCTCGAGAAGAGCAACTCCAAGACACATAATTATCAGATTCACCAAAGATGAAATGAAGGAAAAAATGTTAAGGGTAGCCAGAGAGAAAGGTCGGGTTACCCACAAAGGGAAGCCAGTCAGACTAACAGCGGATCTCTCGGCAGAAACTCTACAAACCAGAAGAGAGTGGGGGCCAATATTCAACATTCTTAAAGAAAAGAATTTTCAACCCAGAATTTCATATCCAGCCAAACTAAGCTTCATAAGTGAAGGAGAAATAAAATACTTTACAGACAAGCAAATGCTGAGAGATTTTGTCACCACCAGGCCTGCCCTAAAAGAGCTCCTGAAGGAAGTACTAAACATGGAAAGGAACAACCGGTACCAGCCACTGCAAAAACATACCAAATTGTAAAGACCATCAAGGCTAGGAAGAAACTGCATCAAGTAACGAGCAAAACAACCAGCTAACATCATAATGACAGGATCAAATTCACACATAACAATACTAACCTTAAATGTAAATGGGCTAAATGCTCCAATTAAAAGACACAGACTGGCAAATTGGATAAAGAGTCAAGATCCATCAGTGTGCTGTATTCAGGAGACCCATCTCACGTGCAGAGACACACATAGGCTCAAAATAAAGGGGTGGAGGAAGATCTACCAAGCCAATGGAAAACAAAAAAAGGCAGGGGTTGCAATCCTAGTCTCGGATAAAACAGACTTTAAACCAACAAAGATCAAAAGAGACAAAGAAGGCCATTACATAATGGTAAAGGGATCAATTCAACAAGAAGAGCTAACTATCCTAAATATATATGCACCCAATACAGGAGCACCCAGATTCATAAAGCAAGTCCTTAGTGACTTATAAAGAGACTTAGACTCCCACACAATAATAATGGGAGACTTTACCACCCCACTGTCAACATTAGACAGATCAGCAAGACAGAAAGTTAAAAAGGATATCCAGGAATTGAACTCAGCTCTTCACCAAGCAGACCTCATAGACATCTACTGAACTCTCCACCCCAAATCAACAGAATGCACCTTCTTCTCAGCACCACATCGCACTTATTCCAAAATTGACCACATAGTTGGAAGTAAAGCACTCCTCAGCAAATGTAAAAGAACAGAAGTTATAATAAACTGTCTCTCAGACCACAGTGCAATCAAACTAGAACTCAGGATTAAGAAACTCACTCAAAATTGCTCAACTACATGGAAACTGAACAACCTGCTCCTGAATGACTACTGGATACATAACAAAATGAAGGCAGAAATAAAGATGCTCTTTGAAACCAATGAGAAAAAAGACAAAACATACCAGAATCTCTGGGACACATTAAAAGCAGTCTGTAGAGGGAAATTTATAGCACTAAATGCCCACAAGAGAAAGCAGGAAAGATCTAAAATTGACATCCTAACATCACAATTAAAAGAACTAGAGAAGCAAGAGCAAACACATTCAAAAGCTAGCAGAAGGCAAGAAATAACTAAGATCAGAGCAGAACCGAAGGAGATAGAGACACAAAAAAACCCTTCAAAAAATCAATGAATCCAGGAGCTGGTTTTTGGAAAAGATCAACAAAATTGATAGACCACTAGCAAGACTAATAAAGAAGAAAAGAGAGAAGTATCAAATAGATGCAATAAAAAATGATAAAGAGGATATCACCACCAATCCCACAGAAATACAAACTACCATCAGAGAATAGTGTAAACACCTCTATACAAATAAACTAGAAAATCTAGAAGAAATGCATAAATTCCTGGACACATACACCCTCCCAAGACTAAATCAGGAAAAAGTTGAATCCCTGAATAGCCCAATAACAGGCTCTGAAATTGAGGCAATAATTAATAGCCTACCAACCAAAAAAAGTCCAGGACCAGACAGATTCACAGCTGAATTCTACCAGAGGTAAAAATAGGAGCTGGTACCATTCCTTCTGAAACTATTCCAATCAATAGAAAAAGAAGGAATTCTCCCTAACTCATTTTATGAGGCCAGCATCATCCTGATACCAAAGCCTGGCAGAGACAAAACCAAAAAAGAGAATTTTAAACCAACATCCCTGATGAACATCAATGCGAAAATCCTCAATAAAATACTGGCACACCAAATCCAGCAGCACATCAAAAAGCTTATCCACCACGATCAAGTGGGCTTCATCCCTGGGATACAAGGCTGGTTCAACATATGCAAATCAATAAACATAATCCAGCATATAAAGAGAACCAAAGACAAAAACCACATAATTATCTCAATAGATGCAGAAAAGGCCTTCAACAAAATTCAACAGCCCTTCATGCTAAAAACTCTCAATGAACTAGGTATTGAAGGGATGTACCTCAAAATAATAAGAGCTATTTATGACAAACCCACAGCCAATATCATACTGAATGGGCAAAACTGGAAGCATTCCCTTTGAAAACTGGCAGAAGATAGGGATGCCCTCTCTCACCACTCCTATTCAACATAGTTTTGGAAGTTCTGGCCAGGGCAATCAGGCAAGAGAAAGAAATAAAGGGTATTCAATTAGGAAAAAGGAAGTCCAATTGTCCCTGTTTGCAGATGACATGATTGTATATCTAGAAAACCCCATCGTCTCAGCCCAAAATCTCCTTAAGCTGATAGGCAACTTCAGCAAAGTCTCAGGATACAAAATCAATGTGCAAAAATCACAAGCATTCTTATACACCAATAATAGACAAACAGAGAGCCAAATCATGAGTGAACTCCCATTCACAACTGCTTCAAAGAGAATAAAATACCTAGGAATCCAACTTACAAGGGATGTGAAGGACATCTTCAAGGAGAGTTACAATCCACTGCTCAATGAAGTAAAAGAGGACACAAACAAATGGAAGAACATTCCATGCTCATGGATAGGAAGAATCAATATCGTGAAAATGGCCATACTGCCCAAGGTAATTTATAGATTCAATGCCATCCCCATCAAGCTACCAATGACTTTCTTCACAGAATTGGAAAAAACTACTTCAAAGTTCATATGGAACCAAAAAAGAGCCCGCATCGCCAAGACAATGCTAAGCAAAAAGAACAAAGCTGGAGGCATCATGCTACCTGACTTCAAACTATACTACAAGGCTACAGTAACCAAAACAGCATGGTACTGGTACCAAAACAGAGATATAGACCAATCGAACAGAACAGAGCCCTCAGAAATAATACCGCACATCTACAACAATCTGATCTTTGACAAACCTGAGAAAAACAAGAAATGGGGAAAGGATTCCCTATTTAATAAATGGTGCTGGAAAAACTGGCTAGCCATATGTAGAAAGCTGAAACTGGATACCTTCCTTACAACTTATACAAAAATTAATTCAAGATGGCTTAAAGACTTAAATGTTAGACCTAAAACCATAAAAACCCTGGAAGCAAACCTATGCAATACCATTCAGGACATAGGCATGGGCAAGGACTTCATGACTCAAACACCAAAAGCAATGGCAACAAAAGCCAAAATTGACAAATGGGATCTAAGTAAACTAAAGAGCTTCTGCACAGCAAAAGAAACTACCATCAGAGTGAACAGGCAACCTACAGAATGGGAGAAAATTTTTACAATCTACCCATCTGACAAAGGGCTAATATCCAGAATCTACAAAGAACAAACAAATTTAGGAGAAAAAAAATCAAACAACCCCATCAAAAAGTGGGTGAAGGATATGAACAGACACTTCTCAAAAGAAGACATTTGTGCAGCCAACAGACACATGAAAAAATGCTCATCATCACTGGCCATCAGAGAAATGAAAATCAAACCCGCAATGAGATACCATCTCACACCAGTTAGAATGGTGATCATTAAAAAGTCAGGAAACAACGGGTGCTGGAGAGGATGTGGAGAAATAGGAACACTTTTACACTGTTGGTGGGACTGTAAACTAGTTCAACCATTGTGGAAGTCAGTGTGGCGATTCCTCAGGGATCTAGAACTAGAAATACCATTTGACCCAGCCATCCCATTACTGGGTATATACCCAAAGGATTATAAATCATGCTGCTATAAAGACACATGCACACGTATGTTTATTGTGGCACTATTCACAATAGCAAAGACTTGGAACCAACCCAAATGTCCACCAATGATAGACTGGATTAAGAAAATGTGGCACAGCATGGAATACTATGCAGCCATAAAAAATGATGAGTTCATGTCCTTTGTAGGGACATGGATGAAGCTGGAAACCAACATTCTGAGCAAACTATTGCAAGGACAGAAAACCAAACACCGCATATTCTCACTCATAGGTGGGAACTGAACAATGAGAACACTTGGACACAGGGTGAGGAATATCACACCCTGGGGCCTGTCACGGGGTGGGGGGAGGGGGAAGGGATAGCATTAGGAGATATACCTAATGTAAATGATGAGTTAATGAGTGCAGAACACCCACAGGACACATGTATATATATATATATATATATATATATATCAAACCTGCACGTTGTGCACATGTACCCTAGAACTTAAAGTATAATAAAAAAAAGAAAAGGAAAAAAAAGAGCTGATTAAAGAAAACAAGGCAAAAAAAAAAGAAATTGTCAACAGAGTGAAAACCTACAAAATGAGAGAAAATATTTGCAAACTATGCATCTGACAAGGATCTAAATCTCAAATTTGCAAGGAACTTTAACAAGAAAAAAAACCATTAAAAAGTGGGCAGAGGAAGTGAACACTTTTCAAGAAAACCCACAGACACGGCCAACAAGCATATGAAAAAAAAATGCTCAATATCACTAATAATTAGAGAAATGCAAATAAAAGTTCCAATGAGATTCCATCTCACTCCAGTCAGAATGTCTACTACTGAAAAGTCATAAAATCACAGATGCTGGTGAGGTTGTAGAAAATAGAATTCTTATGCACTGCTGATGGAAATGTAAACTAGTTTATCCTTTGTGGGAAGTAGTGTGGCGATTTCTCACAGGACTTACAATAGAACTACCATTTGACCCAGCAACTCCATAATTGGGTATACATCCAAAGGAATATAAATTGTTCTACCAATAAAGACACATGCACTGGCATGTTCATTGCAGCACTATTCACAATAGAAAATACATGAAATCAATGTAAATGCCCATCAATGGTAGATTGGATAAAGAAAATGCAGTACATGTGCACCACGGAATACCATGCAACCACAAAAAGAATGAGAGGTTCTTTGTAGCAACATGGATGGAGGAGGAGGCCATTATTCTAAGCAAACTAATGCAGGAACAAAAAACAAATACTGAATGTTATCACTTATAAGTGGGAGCTAATCATTGAGTATACATGAAAACAAAGAAGGGAACAGCAGACATAGGGACCTACTCGAAGATGGAGGGTGAAAGTGGGCTGAGGATTGAAAAACCACCTATTGGGTACCATACTTATTACCTGGTAACAAAATAATCTGTACACCAAGCCCCCTTGACATGCAATTTACCTGTATAAAAAACCTGTACATGTGCCCCTGAACCTAAAATAAAAGTTGTTAAAAAAAAAAAACTAAATAGAAAACAAGAGAGCAACTAAAATAGATCACACTTTTAAAATAAAAAGTACTTTCTCTAGTTAAAAAAAATAAATTAAATTAAACATTCCCTAGGATCTGCCATATGCTAGGCCAGAAAATGGTTCTCAACAAGTTTGAAATTATTAAAATCACATAAGATATGTTTTTCAATGAAAATTGAGTGAAATTAGAAATTAATATCATGAAGAAATTTGGAAAATAAAAAATTGTTTGGTAATTAATACACTCCTAAATAATTAATGTGTGAAAGAAGATATCATAAGGGAAATTATAAAAAAAAATTTGAGATGAATGAAAATGAAGACAGAACATATCAAAACTGACAGGATGAAGTAAAATAGTCCTTAGAGAAAAAAAATTATAATCATCTGCATTCAAAAGAAAGAATTCTCAATGTATTAGCCTAATCTCATGACACTGGAAAAACAAAAGCAAACTAAATGTAAAGGAACTGGAAGGAAATAAAAGGGATTAGAGTAGAAATTATTAAACTAGAGAAAAGAAAAATGTTGAAGAAAAATCAATGCAACTAAAACTTGGTTCTTTAAGAAGATGAACAAAATTGACAGTCTTTTAGTTAGAGTAGCTGAGAAAGAAAGAGAGAGATGACACAAAGTACTAAAATCACAAATGAAAGAGGACACAATTGGCCTTAAAGAAATCTGAATGATAAAAGGATATTATGATCAGCCATGTGTCAACAAGTTAGGTAAACTTGTTGAAATGGAGAAATTTCTAGAAAGATAAAAACTACCATCATGGACTAAGGATGAAATAGAAAATCTAAGTCAACCTATAACAATTATAGGGATTAAATTACTAATGTAAAAATAAAAATACAGAAAAAGAAAAGACCAGTCCTATGTCTTCACTGATAAATTTTAGCACATAATCAAGGTAATGAATTCTACTTTTTCAAAAACATTTTCAAATATATAGAGATTATGGAATATTTTCCAACTCATTTCATGAGCCCAGTACTAATCTGATATCAAAATCAGACAAAACATTACAAGGAAAAAAATGACAAATCAGGGTCTGGGAAAAAAAAATGGCAGATAGGAGGCAGGAATAACTTGAAGCTCCCACTCAGACAGAGCATCATGTGGAGACTCATGTTGTAACTTTTTCTCCAAGAATTACTGCAGTGTTCCTGCAGTATCAGGAAAGCTGAGAGAATCCACAGACACTTGAATAGGGTGGATTGATGCTGCAGGCTCAGTGGGACAACAGAGAAACTCTGAAGATGAAGAACGTAATTTCTTGGGAGCTCTGTGGCCCTGCCCATGACACGACCCTAGAGAAAACTTGTATCCTCCCTATAATACTGCAGCTGATGGGCTCTTGAAAGCAACACCTCCTGGCTGGAGGCCAACAAACGCAAAACCAGTACACTTAACAAAAATACAAGCAAGGTTCCTCACAGAGTCCACTTCACTCCCTTGCTACCTCCACTGGAGCACGTGCTGTTATCCGTGGCTGAGAGACCTGAAGACAGATCACATCACAGTGAGCGGAGGTGCCAGCTGGGCTTCCTGGGTCGAGTAGGGGCTCAGAAAGCTGTGAAACTCACTCATTTCCTGCATCATGACTTACTTCGGTCCTGGATGAATCATATTGAAGATATATGCTTAAACTATTCCTAACACCAGGATTTGTGCATGTGTTTTCTTCCCCAAGAAAGCTAAAAACAGCTAATATTTTGCTGTAAGTTTCCCTGTGTCCTCTCTCCCTCTCTCCCTTCCCCATCCCCTGAAACTAAAGTAAAAGGAATGTTAACTGCCCATTTTTTCTGTGACCAGCAGACCTTATCTATACTCCCAATTCCAATTCCTTGTAAACATACTTTGTACAGTCCTGTAAGATCCTGTCTCCTTTGCCATGCCTCTCCAAGGTCATAAAGTAGATATAACCTAGGTTACAATTCCGGTTTTCCTCAAGACCTAAGACATGTTACAAATGGTTAATTGCCTTTGTTTCTTGCTCTGGTAACATCTTCCCGCTGCACGTCTTTCCCACCTTAAAGAGTTTAAAAGGCAATTGTATAATCTAAATCTGGCTACCCGTTCAGGACCCCTTCCACACTGTGAAAGGTTTGTACTTTCACTCTGCTCAATAAAGTCTACAGCTTTTTCTCACTCTTGGTCCGTATCTCTATCACTCGCTGCAGTCAGCCGCCACACCAATTCTTTGGCGTGGCTAGGCAAGAACCTTAGGCATTACAACATGACCCTTTGCAGACACACCATAGTACCAGCCTAGAGCCCAGTAGCTTCACTGGGTGGCTAGATCCAGAAGAGAAATAATAAGCACTGCAGTTTGGCTCTCAGAAAGCCACATCACTAGGGGAAGGGGGAGAGCACTAAATCATGGGAGCACCCCATGGGACAAAAGAATTTGAACAGAAGCTCTTGAGTCTCAGATCCACCCTTTGTCATAGTCTACCAAAAAGAGAAGGAACCAGAAAATCAATTCTGGTAATATGACAAAACAAGGTTCTTTAACATCCCCAAAAGATTACACTAACTCACCAGCAATGGATCCAAACCAAGACAAAAGCTCTTAATTGCCAGAAAAAGAATTCCAAAGGTAAATTATTAAGCTAATCAAGCAGTCACAAGAGAAGGTAAAGTCTAACATAATGAAATACAAAAAGATATAGGATATTAATAGAGAAATCTCCAGTGAAATAGACAGCATAAACAAAAAACAAACACAACTTCTAGAAATGAAGGACACACTTAGAGAAATGCAAAATGCACTGGAATGTCTCAGCAACAGAACCCAACAAGTAGAAGAAAGAACTTCAGAGCTCATAGACAAGGCTTTCAAATTAATCCAATCCAACAAAGACAAAAAATTTTTTTTTTTAATGAACAAAGCCTCCAAAAAGTTTGGGATTATGTTAAATGACCAAACCTAAAAATAATTGGTGTTCCTGAGGAAGAAGAGAAATCTAAGTTTGGAAAACATATTTGAGAGAACAATCAAGGAAAACTTCCCTGGCCTTGCTAAGGATCTAGACATCCAAATACAAGAAGCTTAAAGAACATCTGGAAAATGCACCACAAAAAGATAATTGCCTCACACATAATCATCAGGTTATCTAAAGTCAAGACAAAGTAAAGAATCTTGAGAGCGGTGAGGCAAAAGCAACAGGTAACCTATAAAGGAAAACCTATTGGATTAACAGCAGATTTCTCAGCAGACACCCTACAGGCTAGAAGGGATTGAGGTCCTATCTTTAGCCTCCTTAAACAAAACAACTATCAGCCAAGAATTTTGTATCCAATGAAGCTAAGCTTCATAAACGAAGGAAGGATACAGTCTTTTTCAGACAAACAAATGCTGAGAGAATTCACCACTACCAAGCCATCACTACAGGAACTGCTAAAAGGAGCTCTAAACCTTGACATAAATACTCTAAATACACCAAAATAGAATATCTTAAAGCAAATCTCACTAGACCTATAAAAAAAAACACAATTAAGATAAAACAAGGTACTCAGTCAACAAATAGCACGATGAATAGAATAGTACCTCACATCTCAATACTAACATTGACTGTAAATGGCCTAAATGCTCCACTTAAAACATAAAGAATGACAGAATGGATGATAATTCGCCAACCAAGTATCTACTGTCCTCAGGAAACTCACATGACATATAAGGATTCATATAAACATAAAGAAGAGAGGTAGAAAAAGATATTTCATGAAATTGAAAGCCAAAAGCAAGAAGGAGTAGCTATTCTTATATCAGGCAAAACAAACATTAGAGCAATAGCAGTTAAAAAAGACAAAGAGGGACATTATATAATGATAAAAGGACTACTCCAACAGGAAAATATCACAATCCTGAATATATATGCACCTAAAACTGAAGCTTATAAATTTATAAAACAGTTACTACTAGACAAGAAATGAGACAGAGAGGAATACAATAATAGTGGGGGCTTTAATACTCCACTGACAGCACTAGACAGGTCATCAAGACAGAAAATCAACAAAGGAACAATAGACTTAAACTATACCCTAGAACAAATGGATTTAACAGATACTGACAGAACATTCTACCAAACAACTGCAGAATATAAATTCTATTCTTCAGCACATGGAACAGTCTCCAAGATAGACCATATGATAGGCCATAAAACAAGTCTCAACAAATTTAAGAAAAACAAAATCATATTAAGTACTCTCTCAGATCACAGTGGAATAAAATTGGAAATCAATTCCAAAAGGAACCCTCAAAACAATGCGAATACCTGGAAATTAAATGATCTGCTCCTGAGTGATCATTGAGTAAACAATGAAATCAAGGTAGAAATTTAAAAATTATTTGAATTGAATGATAATAGTGACACAACATATCAAAACCTCTGGGATACAGAAATAGCGGTGCTAAGAAGAAAGTTCATAGCATTAAATGCCTACATCAAAAAGTCTGAAAGAGCACAAATAGATAAACTAAGTGAGAGGAGGTTCCAGCTGGGCTTCCTGGGTCAAGTAGGGGCTCAGAAAGCTGTGAAACTCACTCATTTCCTGCGTCAGGACTTACTTTGGTCCTGGATAAATAATATTGAAGATATATGTTTAAAATATTCCTAACGTCAGAATTTGTGCATGTGTTTTCTTCCTCAAGATAGCTATAAACAGCGAAACTTTTGCTGTAAGCTTCCCTGTGTCCTCGCTCCCTCTTCTCCCTTCCCCCTCCCCTGAAACTAAAAAGAATGTTAAAAGCCCATTTTTTCTGTGATCGGCAGACCTTATGTATGCTCCCAATTCCAATTCCTTGTAAACACAATTCATAAAATCCTGTGAGATCCTATCTCCTTTGCCATGCTGCTGCAAGGTTATAAAGTAGAAAAATGTTAAGTTACAATTCCGGTTTTCCTCAAGATCTAAGACATGTTAATTGTCTTTGTTTCTTGCTCTGGTAACATCTTCCCGCCGCATGTATTTCCCGCCTTACAGAGTTTAAAAGGTGATCAAAAAATCTAACACTGGCTACCCACTCGGGACCCCTTCTACACTGTGGAAGCTTTGTACTGTCACTCTGCTCAATAAAGCCTACAGCTTTTTTTCTCTCTGTCCAATCTGTGTCTCTCTCTCACCGCAGGCTGCTGCCACACCAAATCTTCGGCGTGGCTAAGGCAAGAACCTTTGGTGTTACACAAGGTCACACCTCAAGGAACTAGAGACATCAGAACAAATCAAGCCCGAACCCAGCAGCAGAAAAGAAATAACCAAGATCAGAGGAGAACTCAATGAAATTGAAACAACAACAACAAAATACAAGAGATAAATAAAGCAAAAAGCTGATTCTATAAAAAGATACATAAAATTAGTAGACCATTAGCAACATTAACCAAGAAAAGGAGAAGATCCAAATAAGCTCGATTAGAAACAGAATGGGAGATATTACAACTGATACCATAAAAATACAAAGGATCATTCAAGGCTACTATGAACACCTTTATGTGCATAAACTAGAAAACCTAGAGGAGATGGATAAATTCCTGGAAATATACAATCCTTCTAGATTAAGCCAGGAAGAAATAGAAACTCTAAGTATACCAATAACAAAGAGCAAGATGGAAATGATAATTAAAAATGCTAACAAAAACAAGTCCAGGACCAGACAGATTCACAGCTGAATTCTATCAGACATTCAAAGAAGAATATCTACCAATCCTATTAACACTATTCCAGAGGATAGAGAAAGAGGGAATCCTCCCTAAATCATTCTGTGAAGCCAGTATCACCCTAATATCATAACCAGGAAAGGACAAAACAAAAAAGGAAACTACAGATGAATATAGATGGAAGATTCTCAACAAAAATTAGCTAATGAAATCCAACAGCATAACAAAAAGATAATGCAGGCCAGGAGTGGTGGCTTATGCCTGTAATCCCAGCACTTTGGGAGGCTGAGGTGGGTGGATCACCTGAGGTCAGGAGTATAAGACCAGCCTGGCCAACATGGCGAAACCCCGTCTCTACTAAAAATATAAAAATTAACTGGGTGTGGTGGTGGGAGCCTGTAATTCCAGCTACTCAGGTAGCTGAAGCAGGGGAATAGCTTGAAACTGGGAGGCAGAGGTTGCAGTGAGTTGAGATCTTGCCACTGCATTCCAGCCTGAGAGACAAGAGTGAAACTCCATCTCAAAAAAAAAAAAAAAAAAAAAAAGACAGAGAGAGAGAAAGATAATCCATTATGATCAAGCAGGTTTTATACCAGGGATGCAGGGATGGCAGGAATGGTTTAACACAGGCAAGTCACTAAATGTGATACACCACATAAACAGAATTAAAAACAAAAATCACAAGATCATCTCAATAGATGTGGAAAAAGCATTTGAAAAAATCCACCGTCTCTTTAAGATTAAAACCCTCAATACACTCAATACAATTGGAATCAAACGAACATATCTTAATGATAATAAAAACCATCTATGACAAAACCACAGCCAACATTATACTGAATGGGGAAAAGTTTAAAGCATTCTCTTTGAGAACTGGAATAAGACAAGGATGTCCACTTTTACCACCTCCATTCAACATAGTACTGGAAGTTCCAGCCAAAGCAATCAGATAAGAGAAAGAAATAAAAGACATCCAAATCTGTAAAGATAAAATCAAAATGTCACTGTTTGCCGAGGACATGATTATATACCTCGAAACCCCTAAGACATCCGAAAATCTCCTAGAACTGGTAAATGAATTCAGCAAAGTTTTAGGATACACAGTTAATGTGCACAAATCAGTAGCTCTGCTATATGCCAACAGTGACCAAGCTGAGAATCAAATCAAGAACTCAACCACTTTTACAATAGCTCCAAAAAAAAAAAAAAAAAAAAAAACTGGGAATATACCAAACCAAAGAGGTAAAAGACCTCTACAAGGAAAACTACAAAAGACTTCTGAAATAAATCACAGATGACACAAACAAATGGAAAAACATCTCATGCTCATGGATGGGTAGACTCAATATTGTGAAAATGATCATACTGCCAAAAACAATCTAATAATTCAATGAAATTCCCCTCAAAATATCACCATCATTCTTCACAGAACACAGAAAACAATCCTAATGGAGGATTATTTTCATATGCAACCAAAAAATATCCCACATAGACAAAACAAGACTAAGCAACAAGAACAAATCTGGAGGCATCACATCATCTGACTTCAAACTATACTATAAGGCCATAGTCACCAAAATAGCATGGTACTGGTATAAAAATAAGCATATAGAACAATAGAACAGAATAGAGAACCCATGAATAAAGCCAACTACTTACAGGTGACTGATCTTCAACAAAGCAACAAAAATATAAAGTTGGGAAAGGACACCCTATTCAACAAATTGTGCTGGGATAATTGGCAAGCCAAGTGTTGAAGAATAAAACTGGATCTTTATTTCTCACCTAATAAAAAAATCAACTTAAGATGGATCAAGGACTTAAAGACCTGAAAACATAAAAATTCTAGAAGATAATATCGGAAAAGCCTTTCTAGACATTGGCTTAGGCAAACACTTCATGACCAAGAACCCAAAAGCAAATGCAACAAAAACAAAGACAAATGGATGACAATTAATTAAACTAAAAAGCTTCTGCACAGCAAAAGAAACAGTCAGCAGAGTAAACAGACAACCCACAGAGTGGGAGAAAATCTTCACAAACTATACATCTAGCAAAGGACTAATATCCAGAATCTACAAGGAACTCAGACAAATCAGCAAGAACAGGAAAAAAAACAAGAAAACAAACAAAAAAAAACCAATCACATCAATAAGTAGCTAAGGACATGAATAGACAATTCTAAAAAGAAGATATACAAATGGCCAACAAACACATGAAAAAATTCTCAACATCACTAATGGTCAGCTAAATGCAAATCAAAAGCACAATGTGATACCACCTTACTTCTTCGAGAATGGCCATAACCAAAAAATGAAAAATAATAATAATAGATGTTGGCATGCATGTGGTCAAAAGGCAACACTTTTCAACCATTGGTGGGATTGTTACCTAGTATAACCACTATCTAAAACAGTGTGGGGAGTTCTTAAAGAACTAAAAGTAGAACTACCATCTGATCCAGCAATCCCACTACTGGGTATCTACCCAGAGGAAAATAAGTCATTATACGAAAAGGATACTTGCACATGCATAGTATTTATAGTAGCACAATTCACAATTACAAAAAAATTTGCAGCTCAAATGCCCATCAATTAACAAGTGTATAAACAAAATGTAGTATATAGATAGATAGATAGATAGATAGATAGATAGATAGATAGATAGATATAGATATATACACACATGTATATCATGGAATACTACTCAGCCATAGAAAGGAATGAAATAATGGCATTTGTAGCAACTTGAATGAAATTAGGGACCATTATTCTAAGTGAAGTAACACAGGAATGGAAAACAAAACATTGTATGTTCTCACTCATAAGTGGGAACTACGCTGTGAAGACACAAAGGCTTTTTCTTTCTTTTTTTTTTTGAGACGGAGTCTCGCTCTGTTGCCCAGGCTAGAGTGCAGTGGTGCAATCTCGGCTCACTGCCAGCTCCGCCTCCCGGGTTCACGCCATTCTCCTGCCTCAGCCTCCCGAGTAGCTGGGACCACAGGCACCCGCCACCATGTCTGGCTAATTTTTTGTATTTTTAGTAGAGACGGGGTTTCACCATGTTAGCCAGGATGGTCTCGATCTCCTGACCTCGTGATCCACCCGCCTCGGCCTCCCAAAGTGCTGGGATTACAGGCGTGAGCCACCACGCCCGGCCTGACACAAAAGCTTAAGAATGATACTATTGGCTTTGGGGACTCAAGAAAAAGGCTAGGGGTGGAGTGAGGGATAAAAGACTACACATTGGATATAGTGTACATTGCTCAGGTGATGGGTGCACCAAAGTCTCACAAATCACCACTAAAGAACTTATTCAGGTTAAAAAAAAAAAAAAAAAAATATATATATATATATATATAACTGTTAATAACCTAGAGAAAATGAAAATGACAAATCAATATCTGTTATCAATAGAAAGACAAAAGTCATTAACAAAATACTAGTATACCCAAGCCAGAAATATATAAAAAGGATTATACACCATGAACAAGTAAGATTTATTTTAAATTTAAATGTCTTTTTAAAGTTCCAAAATTATTAATGTAATGCACCATATCAACAGAGTAAAGTATCAAAACAACATGTCATATCAATAGACTCACAATACACATTTTACAAATCTCAACAATACTTAGTGATAAAAAAATACTCAACAAACTAGTAATAGAAGGTAATTTCTTTAACCTGATAAAGCTCCTTATTAAAAATCTGCAACAAAAAATCATACTTAGTGATAACAGATTGAATGCCATCCCTCTAAAATCAGAAGTAAGGCAAGATTGTCCATTCTTTCCACCTCTGTTCAACATTTCACTGGAGGTTCTGTAGGGCAGTTAGATGAGCAAATAAAATAAAGGGCATCCAGATTGGAAAGAAAGAATTTAAAGTGTTTCTATTTGCAGATGACATTATCTTATGTAAAGGGAATTCTAAGTAATCTACTAAAAATTATTAGAACTAATAAACAACTTTATCAAGGTTGATGGATATGAGATTTATAGCAAGGAATACTAGAAAATGAAATTAAAAAAAAAACAATTCTTTAATACTAGAATGAAAAATAAAATACCTAGGAGTAAATGTAATAAAAGAAGTGCAAAACTTATTCTGTGAAAACTACAAAAAATAAATTAAGAAAGATCTAAATAAATGGAAATAACTCAAGTTAATGTGAGAAACTTAATGCTATTAAAATGGTAACATTTCCCCAAATTATCTTCAGATTCAATGCAACCCATATCACAGTTCTTACTGCATTCTTTTCAGAAATTTACAATCTGATCATAAAATTCATATGGAAGTGCAAGGAACATAAGGCAGCAAAAGCGATATTGATAAAAAGCAGAACAAATTTTGAGGACTCACATGTTATGATTTCAAAACTTACAACAAAGCTACATTAATCAAAAGAGTGTGGTACCTTCATAAGTAAAGAGACATAGATCAATGGAATAGAATGAAATAACCAGAAATGAAGACTCACGTCCATGAGGAATTGATTTTGAACATGAGTGAAAATTCAATGCAGAAAGAATTATCTTTTCAACCAAGGCTGCTGGTACAACTGGTTATCCATATGCAAAATAAAGAACTGGGACTCATACTTCAAACCATATGCAAAAATTTCCTAAAAATGGATGAAACATGTAAATATAAGGTTTAAAGCTATACAACTCTAGGGTAACAACATAGGTGTAAATCTTCCAGATCTTCGACTATGCGTTTCTTACATATGACACAAAAAGCACAAGTAACAAAAGAAAATGTAGATATATATGACATCATCAAAATTAAATATTTTATGCTTCAGAGTCCACTATTAAGAAAATGAAAAGATAATCCAAAAGTGGGAGAAAAATTTTGCAGATCATATATCTGAAAAGGTAATTAACAGATATTTCTCTAAAGAAAATATACAAATGGCCAGTAAGCACATAAATCACGTTCAACCATGTGGCACATACACACCATGGAATACTATGCAACCATAAAAAAGGTTGAGTTCACGTCCTTTGCAGGGACATGGATGAAGCTGGAAACCATAATTCTCAGCAAACTAACGCAAGAACAGAAAACCAAACACCACATGTTCTCACTCATAAGTGGAGTTGAATAATGAGAACACATGGACACAGGGAGGGGAACATCACACACTGGGGCCTGTCAGGGAGTGGGGGGCTGGGGGAGCGATAGCATTAGGAGAAGTACCTAATGTAGATGACGGGTTGATAGGTGCAGCAAACCACCATGGCACATGTATACCTATGTAACAAACCTGCATGTTCTGCACATGTACCCCAGAACTTAAAGTATAATAATAAAAAAAAAGATTTAAATATAAGATCTCAAGTTATAAAAATTCAAGAAGAAAACCTAGGAAATACCCTTCTCAACATTGACCTTGGCAAATAATTTTTGTCTAAGTCCTTAAAAGCCATTGCAACAAAAAACAAAAATTGGCAAGTGGGACCTAAAGAAATGAAAGAGCTTCTGCACAGCAAAAGAAACCATCAACAGAGTAAACAGACAGCCTACAGAGGGGTTGCAAAATATTCTCAATCTATGCATCTGACAATGGTCTAATATCCAGAATCTATAAATAACTTACATCAACAAGCAAGAACCAAATAACTCCATTAAAAATGGGCAAAGGATATGAACAGATACTTCTCAAAAGAAGACATACAAGCAGCCAACAAATATATGAAAAAATGTTCATCATCACTAATCATCAAAGAAATGCAAATCAAAACCACAATGAGATGCCATTTCACACCAGTTAGAATGGCTGCTATTAAAAAGTAAAAAACAACAGATGCTGGTGAGGCTGTGGAGAAAAGAGAGTGCTTATACACTGTTGATGAGAATGTAAACTAGTTCAGCCACTGGGGAAAGCAGTTTGGAGATTTCTCAAAGAACTTAAAATAGAGCTATCACTTGACCCGGCAGTCCCATTATTGGGTATCTACCCATAGGAAAATAGATCATTATACCAAAAAGACACCTGCACCTGTATGTTCATCACAGTACTATTCACAATAGCAGAGACATGGAAACAATGTAGGTGCCCATCAGTGGTATATTGGATAAAGAAAATGTGGTGCATATACACCATGGAATACTATACAGCCATAAAAAGAATGAAACTTGTCCTTTGCAGCAACATGGATGCAGCTGGAAGCTGTAATCCTAAACGAATTCAAGCTGGAACATAAAACCAAATACCCATGACCTCACTTATAAGTGAAAGCTAAACATTGAGCACACATGGACATAAATATGGGGACAACAGACACTGTGGACTACTAGAGGGAGGATGGAAGGAGCAGGATGTGGGTTGAAAAACTACCTATAGGGTACTATGCTCACTAACTGGGTGCAATATGCCCAAGTAACAAATTGGCACATGTACCCCTGTATCTAAAATAACAGTTGATTTTTTTAAAAAAGGATATATATAATCTCATATATAAAAAAATCCATAATTGGCTATCAGGAAAATGCACATCAAAACCACAATGGAATGCAACCTCACACCTGCTAAGGTGGATTTAATCAAAACACAGATAACATATATTGATAACAATACGGTGAAATTTCTGGCAGGAATGTAGATGATAAAGCCACTTTGAAAAAGATCTGGCATTTCCTAAAAATACTGAACAAAATTTCCATATGACCCAGCAATTCGGTATGACTTGCAATTCCATATGACTATCATATTCCATATGACTGTCATATTCGATATGACAGCAATTCCATATGACCCAGCAATTCGACCCAACAGAAATGGAAAACATGCCTCCAAACAAAACTTGTCCATGAATGCCTGCAGCATTATTCATAATAGTCAAAGAGGAAACACCCTAAATGTCCATCAACTAATAAATGGATGAACAAGTTGTGGTATATCTACATCATGTTGGATATACAGGCATTAAAAGGAATAAAATATAGATACATGCTACAGCATAGATGAACCTCAAAAATATGATACTAACTGAAAGAAGACAGTCACGAATTACCACGTATTGTATAATTCCATTTATACAACATGTCCAAAGTAGGCAACCTTATAAGACAGACATTAGATTAATACTTGGCTAGGTGTTGAGAGAATAGGGGAATGAAGTCAAAGGCTAAGGGGTGGGGAATTTCTTTTTTGGGTGGTTAAAATGTTCTAAAATCAATTGTAATGGTTGTTCAACTCCATGAATATACTAAAAGTCAATTAATTGTGTACTTTACATATGTGAATTTTTATGGCATGTGAATTTTTTTAAAGAAAATGCTGTTTTCCACTCCTTTTATTACTAATATTAAAAATGTTACAAAGAAGAGAAACTCATTCTCAGTTCTCCAACAGCTCTCATCCCCCTCTCTTGTACATACAACTCCTGGCCCATTTCCTCAGAGCCAGTTCAATACTGACCCTGTTCATTGGCATTTTCACAGAAAACTATCAGTGCCAGGGATGTAGGGGAGGAGTGTTGGAAGATGGTAACAGTACTGTCCCAGGTTCCACCCAAAGATAGGCCTGGTGGAGTTTCACAGAATTCAAATGAAAGGGCTGGTGACCTCACAATGACATAATTTAACTAAAATGGGCTGAAGAAGAGATAGGTAGGTTAAAGCCATCAGAGGTTTCATAAGACATTTTACAGGCCTGGGTCAGACCCAGAATAACCAACACCAAGAGAAGAATGAAGAGAACCAGGGAGACAGTCTTATGGAAAGTTCATAATTCTCCATGTTGGGAGGTGGAAAAGTCTAGAGTGTACCAAGTACCTCACTCATTTTGGCAGAAAAACTTATTCTAGTGTTGGGAAGTCACAAAAATACCACAGACACTGAGAAAAGCTGCAAGGGCATGAACAGTTTCACAAAGTGCAGTGATCACAGACCATAGTGGTGGGGATCATACCACTGACAGAGAAACTATGAAATCCAAAAGTAGCATGTGCATTTTTAATAAATGTTTTTAAAAAATCTGTTCCCTGTAAAAGTGTCTTGTGGTTCTCATCATAATATTCTTATCCTAACTAAAAGGGCTTCCAAACTTTATTACAAATCATTGTGCAGAAGACAAGTTAATTATAGTGAAGTAGAATAAATAGAGAATAAATAAATAAATATTTGACACCATTCTGATTAGTGTGAATATTTACATTAACTTCCATGAAGCAGAACACAATACCAGCTTTTTGTAGTTGGTGGCCAGATCATTCTGTTATGACCCAAGCCTCTTCCTTTTCCTGACTTCTGTTGTTTTAGTCTGGAAAACACTTTGACTATACCTCTATGCTTTCATGTATTAATCATATATGGTTTTTGCTCTGTGTCTGTTTCCTTTTCTCAATGTCATCAGCATATCGTCTTGCCTGGGGGATTAGTTATCTCTGAAGTATAATTTTTGTTCCATTTTAATAATATCCTTAGTAGCCATGCATTCTGCATTCATCATGAAGTAACACACAAGTTTCTTATAAATTGGAATTTAAATGGATTCCAGCACACTTCACTATTTTTAAAGCAAGTCTTACAGGTCACAGCTAGGTTTTTAGAGGATTACTTTTAGATACATCTTTAAATAAAATCAAAACCAAAATTGTTGCATCTGTGAGATATATATATATATATATGTATGTAAGATACTCAAAAAAGGTGTTTCCTTTTTGTCTGTTTTTGAGAAGGTACAAGAAAGCATTTATAAATGACTGCCAAAATTTTAACTTCCATAAAATCTTTAATTAATATCACACTGATGTTCTTCTGATTTAACCTTTATGAAAAAATTTTCCCTATTGGCAGATTATACTTTCTACCTGTAGATCTCTACAGATATAACATCAGAGCCAAAGCTTTATTTAACCCCAAACCTTTAACAAATAAAACTGTTAAATAACCCTACCAGTCAGTCAAAAGTGAAAACCATTAAAACGTTTATATTTATGTAAATATAAAAGATAGAACACTTACTTCCATTATAAAAATAGCTTGCAAGAATGAAGGATACCAAGGATTCAAATTAAAATATATTTAGTGATATGGTTGTCGATACAACCAAAGTGGAATTGTCATGAAACATAATACCCTTAAGGAGCTCCTGACTTCTGTTCATGGTTTATGGTTACTGTTCATAAACAGCAACAGTTTATTCTTACAAGGATAAATTCAACAACAAAGACAAAAACAAATCAACTTCAAACAGTCAAATTTAAATCTAACTACCTTAAAATAATTTCTAAGATGCGTTATTGTTCATTTTTGAAGATCTGTTGTCTTGACTTCCAAGCCTTTCAATGTACAACATAATATGGTTACTAGCTACAGTGGTATAAAAGTCTTGTAATAATGGAATTACGTGATGCCAATTAGTTTGGAACCCCACTGTACTGTTTGGTCAAATAATGTTGAGGTTCTAGAAAAAAAAAGAGGGGATATAGAGGATGATCTAAGGCCTAATAGGAAATAATTCTTAACCAATACTTGCAATATTCAGCAAACATATATTTAATATTTTATTTAAAATTAAGAATAGAATCTAACATCATAATTCATTTCTTACTGTAAATTAGTCAATAAAACATAAATGTTCCTTTAACTAAATATGAATATAAGTTCAAATTTTCATAAGGAAAATCTAGTGACACAATAAGAGCAAATAATAAACAGCATAATTATTTTATATTTTAGCTGAATTCATCTAAGCTTCTGAATTAATTCCATGGACCCATTATATTATATTTAAATCTTATGCTGATTAGAAAATGACCAGATATTAACCCCTCATTACAGAAACTGCTTGCAAATGTTTTCCTCTATTATTAAGGGTTAATATCCAAAATATATAAGAACTTCCTACAACAAACAAAATAACCTGATTAAAAATGGGAAAAGGACTTGAATAAACATTTCCACAAAGAAGACATGCCAATGGTCACTAGGTATGCAAAAAATGTGCTCAACATCATTAATCATTAGGGAAATGCAGATCGAAGCCACAGTGAGATATCACCTCACAGCAGTTAATATGTCTATTATTTTAAAAAGGAAATAAAACAAGTGCTGGAGAGGATGTGGAGAGATTTGAAATCTTACACACTGTTGGTGAGAATGTACAATGGAAAACAGTATGATGGTTCCTCAAGAAACTAAAAATAGAACTAACATATGATTCAGCAATCCAACTTCTGCATATATATTCAAAAAATTAAAATTAGGATCTCAAAGAGATATCTGTACTCCATATTTATTGCAGCATTATTCACAATAGGCAAAATATAAACACAACCCAAATATTAACTGCCAGATGAATAGATAAATAAAATGCAGTATGTACATAAAAGGTAATATTATTTGGCCTTAAAAATTAAGGTAACTCTGCTATTAGAAAAAACATGAATGCATCTGAAGGACATTATGCTAAATGAAATAAGCCAGTCACTAAAGGACAAATATTTCGTAATTCATTGCCTATGAGGTATCTCAAATAGACTCATAGAATAGTGATTGCCATGGACTGGGATGAGGAGGAAATGGGGAATCGTCGCTCAATGCCTACAAAGTTTCAGTTACGCAAGAGGAATATTAATTGAACACTTTATTAATTTATGTCTTCACCATTCAAAAATAATATGAAGATTAATAACATAATAATGATTAAAATGTTTACCTAATTATTAATTCCTTCATTGATTAACATTCAGGTAGTGAGGCACAAATATTTATCGAGAGCCTACAATATGCTAGGTGCTATATTAGATGCTAGAGTTACAAAGATAAAGATGATGAATAAGAATCTTAACTTTTGGGGAACTTTTAATCTAATGGGGCACAGAGATTAATATGAAAGCACAATAGAGTATAAGCGATGAATGAAATATAAAGTATATTTGAAGTATTGAATTGATGCACCAGAGCTAGTTTTTGGGGCTTTCTAAAAAAATGAATCTTCTGGATTTAATCCTGAAGGAAGAAGGTATGAAGAGTGAAAACAATGTATATAAAAGACCAAAGAGGGGAAAATATGGTCAATATTTAGTAGCAAATATGTTCTGAATGGCTGGAGATTACAGAATGGGCATGAAACTATTCTCAATATTTGTGTCCATTTTAAATTACTGATATCATGTGGATTCACTGACTCTAATAATGATGGGGGCAATTATATTTTTATGCAAATGCCATATTTTAAAGAGTTGAATTAGAAGAATCAGGTAGGCTATTCAGTAATACAATCAGTTCATCAAAGTGTATTATTTATAAAACCTAGAAATTATAGATTAGGTAAAAGTTTAAAGCATTCTTACTAAATGCGCCAGGCTCTTCAGGATGCCTTAAAAGTTACTGCATCTTCGTACATATTAATACAATTAAGTTATTAACTCTTCCCAAAATTAAGTTGGTAATTTAGTCAGAAATATTCAGTCTTGAAGGTAAGAAATTACTTGAAGTAACTTTATAACCTAAAAAATGTTCACAAAACTGGTTGTTTAGAGTGAAGATAATCTGAAGACTCCTACCATACAAAAGCAAAACATGAGTATAATACAATTACCTGCTTATTGCTAATGTGTTTTCTGCGTAAAAAGTTTTTGCACCTTTACCTCTACTCATAAGATAATTATCCAATTGTAGACAAAAAATGTAAGCCAATAATATTTTTTAGTGTCTGAATGGCTGACTGAAGAAAAACAGTATCTTTTCAAAAGAATTGGACACAACAGAACCAGG
Organism: Homo sapiens; assembly: GCF_000001405.40. Classification (NCBI taxonomy): domain Eukaryota; kingdom Metazoa; phylum Chordata; class Mammalia; order Primates; family Hominidae; genus Homo; species Homo sapiens. The sequence goes on from NC_000023.11 coordinate 128,223,514, forward strand.
TTGGTATCTGCCTAAATACTAAATGAAAAAATGAAAATGATCCTCTTAAGTTGATTTTGCTATCTGAAATTGTCAGCATTACAATTACACCTCCAGATTCAGCTATTCCCCCCAGAAAGTACCTGTTACGGCACACAAGATACCAGGGAGGGATAATTTACTAATGCAACAATTAGCTGTCAGATTTTCTAACTCTCACTAGTAAACAGCAAGACACTAACCAATGAATTTCCTAGGAAATTGAATACCGGTTAATTAAATCGGATATGGAAAGAAGGGTAGATATAACATTATTTCTAAAACAAAAAAAGTATTGTAATAGTTTAATCTTGGTCCAATTGACATATTGTGTGAAGTTTGCTTATTTTTCATGAACTCTTTCAGTTATATGACTTTGTAACCACAAAATCATAAATATGTTCAAAATATTTTTTTCATTCTCTCCTAAGCCTTATGTCTTTTCTCCTAACATAAACTTACAGATAAACTCATCCAAACTAATGCTTATTATTTATACTCCTGGAATTTCTTAGGTATGGTACTTGAGCAAAAAAAAGTATGCCAGATAGGGCACTATCTTCTTGAACTTAAAAACAATTTAAAAGTCATTAGGAATAATTGTATGAAAAATGAATGTTGTATAACAAGTGTATCACAATCAGTTGTAGGTGGTTACACATATTGTTTATGGAATGACAGTCAAATTCTGCTTCATAGTTTTGTCATTTAGTATGCCACACAATATAAGACAATAAAAATAAAATATACACGTATTGTTTATTTTTAGTGCAAAATCAATGCATAATCAAAGTTTTCCACAACTAAGATGTTTCAAGAACACACATAAACTAGCTTTGAAGATAAGAGGTCGGAAATTAAAAGTGGAAATTGAGAATAGTTATTTCCAAGGGGAAAAATACATGGACACTCTTTTGAGCAACAACTTGCAATTGCAATTTTTTTCCAGCTCTGAATTGTTTTATTTATTTTTTATCCTCTCATTTGAATATAATTATATTAAGATATCTGTGACTAAGATTTCTAAATGGCAAAGCTGGGGCACCTCTCTCTCTCTCTCTCTGTATGTGTGTATGATTATATAAACATCTATTAAAGCTGATGGTTAAAGAGACAATTTGAAAAAAAGTCACATATACATCCAGCTGTTGCCAGTAAAGGCATCTATTAAGAATGTTTTTATAACTACAAAGGTTTGTGAAATCTTTTAATATTTTTCAAATAACAAATTACAGTTATTATATCATTATTCAAAGTGATTACTTGTACTTATTAAGTGGGAACATAAATACTAAGAGAAATGATGTTTAGCAACATATATAGGACTACTTTTGTAATCTCCATATAAAAGTATTTGTTATTTTTTGAAATGATTTGGGAAAGTACCTTAAAACCATGGTAATATAATTTGCAAATGCTCCTTTGCTATAAAGGCCAGACAATATTGGCTAACACCTAGTTATTACGATGTGCTGGATATTGGATATATCTAATATGACAATATTTAATATAAATAGAAAAAAAACAAGCACACAAATCATATCTGGAGAAATGTGGCTTAATGACACAATTTTATGTATGAATATATTTTTATATATGCATATATATGCCAATTATTCTTTTTTAAAAAAATTAATTTTAGGTTCTGGGACACATGTGTAGGATATGCAGGTTTGTTACATAGGCAAACATGTGCCATCGTGGTTTGCTGCACCTATCAACCCATCAAAACTGTCCTCCAGTACAATTGAAGTCAATAGAATAACCTGGTTTCCAAAAAGCTTATGTAATATTAGCCTCTAGTGATGAAGTTAAAGAAGCGATAACACTAGCCATTTTACCTGGGCAGGTCATACTTATTTATTAGGGCAGGTACCAAGCCTCATTAGATATTTTATTCTTTGAACATAATACAGTGTTTAGCACATAAGAGATGCCCAATAACTTACAAGTAAATTGTTGAAAAAAGATTATTTGATATGAGAAATGATAAAAGAAAATATAGAGACAATTTAGTGAGAGAAGGCAGGGAAATAGGCCTATTCATGGTGACAAATAAATTTAGTTGTATTCCAATATGCATTATTATTTTTTTCTGAGAAATACAAATGCCACTTTCATCTGGACACATAACATCCCAAAATGAAGACCATATTTCTGTGCTTCCCTTACAGGCAAGCAGTCATATGAATAGATTTTTGAAAATGTGATTGATCAGAATTGTATTTATAACTTCTGGGAATTTTCACAAAAGTACAGGGGTGACCTTCTCTTTTTCTTTTTACAGATGGTTGGTACAGATGGCTTTATACTGACCTGGTAAATGAAGCTGGAACAGCCACTTTTCACCCCAAAGTAGAATCCATGTCCTGGAATTGCACTAAAACCATCTAGAAGGAGCCTTTATACCTATAAATCAAAGAATTGCTGTACCATCCCTGAATGAATATCTCTGGATTTTGTTTATATGAGACAAAGTTATTTTATCTTATTTGAAATAAGGTTTGTTTGGGTTTTCTGTTACAAGAGCTGAATTATATCAAGGCAGATTTCCTCAAGTGTTTTACAGTTAATTATGCAGAAATTCGATAAGATATTTTCTATATAGCTACAGGGGTAGGTATTGTATCAGTGGGTGGAAGCTATATGGAAACATGTTTGACTGACAGTAATAACTTTCTTACACGTAGAGTCATCTTAATAAGAAAGGAATAGATATTTGCCCATGTTAATGGTTGTTTAGGTAATATAAAGCAACCGCTCTCTTGACTAAGACTAGAAAAGATGTCCATAATGTTATAAAACAACTAATTAGAAACAATAGAGAGCCAGAAAAAAATATGGTAAATAACTATGGGACTAAGATCTGGGAAAAGATGGAAACTCATGGGTATGAATCCAGTATTTAGGAAAGCTATTTCTTAAGAGGAACCTGCTGGCTCTGGAAGATGCTTTAAGTGACAGTGGAAATACAATAGGTCTTGAGAATCATACAAGGCTAAAAGACAAAAATTGAAGTTAAATCCTGTTAAGGAGGGAGCACTCTGATCAAATTTTCATCCTTTGGAATGGGAAACTAAAGAGCTACATTCTAACAATAAAAGGACACTGGAAATGTCTTTCCTCTCAGTAGTGGCAGCACAGTATCAACTTATCTCTACACTTATAACTGAATTTAGGTAATTGGAGGTTAGAATCAAAAGCCAATTTCTTCAGAGGAAAAAAACATTTTGTCCTGAAATTAGTGTTATTATTGCTTTCCACATAAAATAGCCTAAACTAAATAAAAAGTAATCAGTGAAATAATGAAACAAGAAAACAACATTAGCTAGAAACAAAAGAAAATGTTAGACATTAGAGATGCATAGGAGTAAAAGTAATTGTATTATAAGACATGGACTTAAACTACACTTAATTTTTCAAATATATAAAGGAAAATATGAAAACATTAAGTTGCAAATGTGCAAGCATGAAAATATAGTTGAAAAGAAATCTAGAACTGGAGTACAACAGAAATTAACAACTCAGTGGATGTTTTAAGCTTATACTATACACAAGAGGAGACATATTTAGTGAAATCGAAGATAAGTAAGAAAACTGGACATAATAAGGCACAGAGGAACAAATAAGGTTAGAGACAGAGTAGATATAGCAAAAAGGTCTAATATATGTGTATTTCAAATTCCAGCAGAATAGAAGAAATGGAACAAAAGCAAAAATTTTAAAGGCAATGACTGAGAATTAGCCAAAACAGATGTCTGAAATGATTCAGATTCAAAAGAACCTATGCAACACAAGTAGGAAAAAAAAACAAAAGAAAATACACCTAGGCATTTCAGAGTCAAAATAAATTCAGAGTAAAACAAAAGACAAAGAGAAAATCTACAAATCATTCAAAAATATTAATTGCAAAGAAGAAATAATTAGGGTTCCATCTGTCTTATGGAAAACAGTATGACGCTTCCTCAAAAAAGTAAATATAGAATGACCACATAATCTAGCTATCCCACTGCAGGGTATTTATCCAAAAGAAAAGAAATCAGTATATCAAAAAGATACCTGCACCCCATGTTTATTGCAGCAATATTCACAATAGCAAATATATGGAATTAGGATAAATTTCCACCAATAGAGAAATGGATAAAGAAAATATAGGGCATATATACACAACTAAATATTATATGGCCATAAAACATAAAGAAATCATGTCATTTGCATGTATGGAACTAAAGGCTATTATGCAAATCATAACTAAAGGCTATTATGCAAATCATGTCATTTGCATGTATGGAACTAAAGGCTATTATGTTAGGTGAAATAAGCCAGGCACAGAAAGACAAATATCACATGTTCTCACTTATATGTGGGAGCTTAAAAAGTTAATCTCATGGTGGTATGGAGTAGAATGATAGATATCAGAGGCTGGGAAAGGTAGGCGGGTGAGAGTGGGGAGCTGAGAAAGGTTGCTTAGTGGGTACGAATATGCATTTTGTAGAAATAAAATGTAGCATTTGGTAGCAAAATAGGATGTGACTATATTTAACAATAATTTATTATATATTTCAAAATAAATAGAGGAGTGGATTCAGAATGTCCCAGCAGAAATAAACAATAAATGTTTGAGGTGATGGATATCCCAATTACTCTGATTTGATAATTTCAAACTGTATGCTCATATCAAAATATCACATGTATTTCATAAATATGTACAACGATTATGTACCATAAAAGTTATATAAAATTAAAAGGGAGCTAGAAGATAATGTAATGATATATTCAGGGTGTTGAAAGAAAATGAATTCTGACCTAGCATACTATACTCAGCAAAAAAATCCCTCATCATTGAAGGTAAAATAGAAAAACTTTCACATAAGCAAAAACTAAAATAGTCATCATCAGATTCCAGTAAATATGAAAGCACATTCACATTCTTCAGACATAAGGAAAATTATCTCTGATAGTATGTCAGAGATTCAGAAAGCAAAAATAGTAAATAGATGAAATTTTTAAAACAATCAAAACATTAAAATCATAAAAGTATGATCTGAACAGAGTGGCATTAAGCTATAAATCAACAAAGAGCACTAAAAAAAGTCTCTATGTTTGGAAACTAACTCACATATAAAAACAAAAATTAAGAATAGTAACTAAAATCTCTTGTAAATTAAATGAAAATGTAGCAAAAGTAGGGGATGCAAATAAACCAATGTTGGAAATTAAGATAATTATCATAACAAATGCATATATTAGAAAAAAAGACTAAAAAGCAATGAATTTTTATCCTATAACCTAAATAACAACAACAAAAAAACCCGCCATAATGACCCTGTGCTAGGAATTTTTTTTAATGAACACAAATTTTAGTAAAAAAGTATAGTCAAGCGACATTAAAATTCAGCGTTTTACTTATTAAAATACATAAAAAGAGGGAAAACAAAAGCCCCAGGCTGGAAAAATATATTTGCCACACATATAATTTACAAAGGGCTCATATGGAAAATATATAACAAACTTCTACAATTAATATGGAAAAAGCTGACAACCTGAGAGAAAAATACAAAGATGTTTTAACAGGCATTGGAAAGAAAAGAATCTCTAAAGGACTAAAATATACATTAAAAATGCCTATTCTCAGTAATAATTTGAAAATGAAAATTAAAACCATAAGAAGATTCAATACCTCACATATCAGAAATGCTAAAATAAAAATAAGATGGGGAATAACATTTTTTTGGCAGGAATGTGAAGATACTGAACTCTCATGTACTGCTGATGAAACTTGAATGAAACAAATAGTATCTACAAAAGCTGAATATGATCTAGCAAATTCACTTTCAGGTATATGCCTAACAGAAATGGGAGCAAATGTGTACCAAAGACATATACAATAATTTTCATCACAATATTGTTAGTTGAAAGTTGAAAATACAATTTCTATCAAAAGAATCAATATATAAATCATAGTACATTCATAAAATATAATATGATAAAGAAAATGAAGCTTACGCACATATATACAGCATGAATGAAGCCCACAAACAAAATAATGAGGGAAAGTAACTGAGCTAAATGAACACCATGGTTATGAATCTGTTATTTACATTTAATTAACTGGAAAATTTTAACTATGAAATTAAAAGTTAGGATATTGGTTTATTTTAAACAAAAAGCAGTGAGGAGTGATTAGGAGGGAATCCAAATGATACTCTGAAGGGCTAGTGGACTTCATAGTGTTGTAACAGGTGGGTTTACTTTATAATAATTAATTGAGATGTAAACTTATAATTTGTGCACTATTGTTGATATTATACTTTAGTACAATGTTTTTCAAGTTTAATGACAAAGCTAAAGTGATACTCAGAGAGAAATATGAAATGTTGGATAAACATGTAAAAATATGAATAGCTGAAAAATAAATGAGGTAAACATTCAAATCAGAAATAAAATTAACAGCACATTGAACTTAAAAAATAAGAACAGGCCGGGCACGGTGGCTCACACCTGTAATCCCAGCACTTTGGGAGGCCAAGGCGGGCGGATCACCTGAGGTCAGGAGTTCAAGACCAGCCTGGCCAAGATGGTGAAACCCCGTCTCTACTAAAAATACAAAAATTAGCTGGGCTCAGTGGCGGGTGCCTGTAATCCCAGCTACTTGGGAGGCTGAGGCAGGAGAATCGTTTGAACCTGAGAGGTGGAGGTTGCAGTGAGCCGAGATCATGCCACTGCACTCCAGCCTGGGCAACAGAGTGAGACTCCCTCTTAAAAAAAAAAAAGAAAAGAATAAGAACAAATATACAGATAAGAACAAATAAATTTTATGGAAGAAAAACATACTTTACTGAGTACCAACAAAGACAAAACTAAGCTATTGAAAGGTCTAATAAAATTGATAATATCTTGGTGAGCCTGATCAAGTACAAGAGCAAGAAGAAATTAAAAAAAAAAAACAGAACATCACTAAAAATTGTCAAAACTTTAAAGAACTCTGGAGTCTACTGAAGGTTTGCAAATTTCAGGAGAAGGCTTTGATGGTAAATTGTAATTAATTTTGGTCAATTTTAGTTCTTAGGAGAGTAGCAGCTACCCAATCTTCCATCCTTTAGCTCCATGACAGGCAGCTGTGCACATGTTTCTGAAGCAGTTTGCACACATCTTGAGGTAGATAGGGTGATCAAAAAGACCCTGTTCTACAAATATGGGAAATCCCTGTTCTGATCTCTGATTACTGCTTCTGTATCAAAGAGGTGTAGACAGAGGCCTTGGCCATTGTTGTAACTATTACCCCCTTTGTTGCAAGCCACATCCCCTCTGGCTAAAGTGACTTCCAGGAAATTTAAAGGGCCAGTTATTTTATTTCTCACCTTCATTTTTCTCTTTTTCCCCTTTCAGGAGTAACACACTGAAGACCAGGATATTCAAAAGCAACCATATGTACAGGGGAAGTTAGAAAGTCACCTCGAATGCCCAGGGAATAATGTAAGCTCTGAAAAACCTAAGACCTTAAGCTTACACCTCAGACTGATCTTTGGCAAAGAAACAGCCTACTGTAATAAAAAACATATCCCCCATAACAAAAGGAAACCCTGGGGAAAGAGAATAAATTGACTTCCTGAGTTACCACATCATTAGATTAAAATGTCCAGTATTCAACAAAATCTCACAAGGCACACAAAGAAACAATACGGTATGACACATTCAAAGAATAAAAGAAGCCAATAAACCAATAGAAACATCCCCTACAAAATGACTCAATGGCATATCTACTAAACTGACACTTTAAAACAATTGTATTAAAGATATACAAATAAATAAAGGAAGATGTGATGAAAGTCAAGAAAATGATGCATAAACAAAATGGAAATAGCAATAGAGAGACAGAAAACCTTTAAAGAAACCAAAAAGAAATTCTGAAGCTGAAAAGTGCAATAACTGAAATGATAGATTCACTAGAGGGATTCGAAGGCAGATTTCAGCAGTTAAAAGAAAGAATCAGTGAACTTGAAGATCAGACAAAGGAAAGTATCTAGTCTGAGGAAAATGATGGAAGAAGATTGATGAAAAGTCAACAGAACCTAACACACCTATGTATCTGTGAGACATCATCAAGCAAACCAATAATGCATTGTAGGAATTCAGAAAGAGAAAAGAGAAAGAAGAGAGAACATTTGACAAAATATGGCTAAAAACTTCCTTAATTTGTTAAAAAAAATATGAAGTGAATATAATCATCCAAGAAGCTCAAAAAATGCCAAGTAAGTTGAATTTGAAGAGATCCACACTGAGACAGTGAGACACCTTATAATCAAACTATATTGAAACCCAAACATAAAGAATTTTGAAAGCAGCAAGAGAGAAGTAACTCATCTTACATAGGGGATCCTCAATAAGTTTATCAACAGATTTCACATAAGAAACTTTTGAGTCCAAAAGGCAGTGGGCTTATCTATTCAAAGTGCTAAATAAAAGCACTGTGAACGAGAGTCCTATTTTTGGCAAAGCTCTTCTTCAAAAGTGAGGGAGAAGTTAAGCCACTACCAGAAAAACAAAAGCTGAAGGAGTTTGTTCCCACTAGACCTGCACTGCAAGAAATTCTTGAGGGAGTCTCCAGGTTGAATGAAAGATATTAGAGTGTAGCCTAAACCTGTATGAATAAATAAATATATTGATAAAGATAAATACAAGGGCAATTATGAAAGCTAGTATTATTGTAACTATGATGTGTAACTTTACTTTTTGTTTTCTACAAGATTTAAGAAATAAATGAATTAAAAATTATTCGTTTATATTTTGGGATACATGATATATAAAGATGTGATTTTGTGACAACGACAACTAAAAGGAGTGGAGACAGAACTGTAAAAGGAGCAGAGTTTATGTATGCTACTGAAATTAAGTTGGTATAAATTCAAATTGCAGTGTTATAACTTTAGGATAAAAACCCAATTCAAAAATAGGCAAAGGGCTTAAATAGATATATCTCCACAGAATATATATATAGGGCCAATAACACCTGAAAAAATGCTCAACATCACTAATAATTAAGAAAATACAAATCAAAATTACAAAGGGATAGCAATTATCACCTATAAGGATGGCTACTATCAAAATAAATAAAACAAAAACAGAACATAAGAAGCATTGGTGAGATTGTGAAGAAATTAAAAACCTTGTGCATAGTGACAATGTAAAGTGGTATAATTGCTGTGTAAAACAGAATGGTCATTTCTCAAAAAAATTAAAAATACAATTACCATATGATCCAATAATTCTACGTTTGGGTATATAATCAAAATAACTGAAAGCAGAGTCTTGAAGAGATTCTTGTACACCTGTGTTAATAGCAGCATTATTTACAATAGCTTAACTGTGGATGCACATCATGTGTTCATTGAAAAATGAATAGATAAGAAAAACGTGGTGTATACATACAATGAAATATTATTCAGCCTTAGAAAAGAAGGAAATTCTGACATTCGGCTACAACATGGATGAACCTTGGAGATATAATGCTAAGTGAACCAAGCCAGTCCTAAAAAAAAAAAAAGCCAAATGATGTATGCTTCCACTTACATGAAATACTTAGAGTAGTAAAAATCATAGAGACAAAAAGTGGAATTGTGGTTGCCAGGGGCTTATGGCAAAGAGAAGGGAAGTTATTTTTTAATGGGTATAGAATTTTGGAAAACAAAAAAGCTCTGGAGATGCATGGTGGTGATGGTTACATAATGCACTGAACTGTACAGTTAAAATGTTTCAACTGGTAAATTTTATATTATGCATATTTTAGCATACTTAAAAAATAACTTTAAAGATAAACAGGCACAACTAGAAATAAAAAGCTGAAAAATATTTGCAACTTATATTACAAACTATTGGTTGCTGTGCCAAATATAGAGAAATTTCCTAAAATTTGAATTATCAAAAGACAACCAAGCCAACAGAAAAACTGGCAAACATATATGAATTAGTGGTTTGCAGATGAAGACATTAAAATATATTTTAAACTTACAGGATTAGGTTGATGGCTACACTACAAGCCCAGACTTCACAATTACACAATATATCCAGACAACAAAACGCCGCTTATACCCCCTGAATATATACAAATAAAAAATTTAAAAAACAATAAAGAAAAATAAGTAAATAAATAAAACATAAACATACAAAAATATATTGAACTTAACTAATAATAAAATAAAAGCAAGTTAAAACTACAGTGAGGAGGATTCTGGAAACATGGTGCACATATAGCATAATTTTTTCATCTCTCTAAATAATAAATAAAGACAAAGCAAACTTCTGGCACTCACAGATACAACTGAATCCACTGAAACCAGAAACATCATTATAGATATAACTTAAGGTGTTTTAGGGTTTCGGTGTTTTGTTTACTATCAATACTTTACATATTTGTTAGAAATAGTTCACTGAAACTTTGCTTACAATTAGCAAGTCTTAAAAAGATAAAAATTCCCCTCCATTTTGATCTTTCTTGGCCGTAATTTCTCTTTATGCATATTACCACATAGGCAGTATTTTAAACTTCAAGCAATGTCTGTGCATATGTATTATATAAATACATACACATATACATACATATCCACTATGGCAAGATGTCAGCAGTAATTACATAAACGCCCAATCTTCCTGAAAACTCACATAAGAAGAGTCAGAACAACTGGGTAACAGAACCTCATGGACAATATGTAACATAAAATGAGGTTACATTTTATCTCCACAAACCCTAAAATATAAGCAGGTAAGAGTAAGCTAACATCTGCCAAAATACCTGCATGAACTTAACCAATGGGTGGGATAAAGCAGAGGAAATAAGTGGGAATCTAATGGACTTAGGTACTGAAACTTAAAAATCCTAACAGAAGTGCTATAGAAATAATAGGGCTCCAATGGGAGAATAGCAGTTGAAAGTGACTGTTTTGTCCAATCTGATATCCAGAGAGTCCAAAGGCCTGTGGTAAGGTCCTCAAAGATTGTAGAAGTCTAGTTTCTATGAACTCTTTAAACTGAGAAAACAGATTATCCTTTATAGACAAGGCCCCACACTGAGGGAAAAGTCAATGGGAGTAAAATAAAAATTGAGTAGGCTACAGATAAAAAGATAAATTGAAGAGAGGGTCTAGATAAAAGAAGGGACATGGAATAAAATTGGGAAATGGCAGCATATTTAAATGCTATAAAAATACTGAAGAAAAGTATTTTTAAAAGCCTTTTTAACTTCTCTGAAGTTAAAAAGAAAAATCATCTGGAACTATGTCTTTAAAATTTAAAGAAATTAAATTTTACAAATAAATGAACTACCAAACTATCAAGGTCAAGTTCCCAAAAGAGCTTGTTATCAGAAACAGAGAACAAGCAGCAGAATAAGATCCTTAGAAATAATGAAAAGCATATAATGAAAAGGCATGCCCACTGAATAGTTACTGTAAACATCAATTTAAACATTATCTAAAAAATCATTAAAGCGATAATACAAAATATGAAAAAAGCATAACTCAGGATTATAAAACCTGAATTATGAGGTGATAAAGATAGAAAACAATTATAAATAAATACAAAATCAATTTCATAAATGAAGTCTAAGCAAGAAGAATCCAAAGAATGAATATTTTCAACACTTTAAGGGAAAGTAAAGGCAAAAAGAGGAATATTTACACTATTTAAAAGAAGAAATAAAAAAATTAAAATGATTCAAGGGAAAATGACAAATAGTGAAATTGGTATAGAATATCCAACATCTGTATAATAAGACCCCTGAAGAGGAAATCCAAAGTGAGATAGCAGAATAAATGCTAAAATTTTAATTTAAATTAAAGAAATTAGAGTCAAAATTACATATTGAAAGAGCACACCAAACACTTGAGAAAATACAAGTATGGAATTGCCAACACTATGTCATGTTCTACTCAAACTACCCTACACTAAGGAAAGGAAAAAAGTAATTATGCTCCTAGGTAAAAATCAAGTAACCTATAATGAAAGAAAATTAGATTATCATCAAAAAAGTATAAAGCTATAACACTATAACTATAAAAACATACTGATAACCATACTATACCTAGAAGAACAATAAATCTACAACTATAAGTAGAACACTATAACTGACAATACATTTTATAATTATAATAAAACATCTATAATTATAATACAAATATATAACTAGAACTATGAATCTAAAAAAATGACTCTAACTGTAATACAACTGTATAACCATAAAACTACAGAAAAAATTAAACCACGATCACTATAACTGCAATACCGTAACACAAACTACATTACAAATACCATAAATATAACTATAATAGTAGCATGTAACTGTAACACTATAACTATAATATAATTACTATGCTCTATAACAAAGTATAGCACAATAATATAACTCATAAAAATGACCATAACTATATAATAAAAACTATAAAACTATAACTACACTTGTAACTAAAATTGAGATTCAATGCCTAGAGCTAGTATAACTAGACCTATGATTCTACAACAATAAGCATAATTTAAACTAGCAATAACCTTATAATGATAGCACTATTAGTAACAGGATCACTATAAAATTATAACACTCAATCACACTGTTACTGTAATAATAACACTCTATAGCTATAATACTATAACACTATATTTGTATCTATTACTACTACAATATACATTATAACTGTAACACTAATAGTATAACTCCATCAATTATAGTATAATAATAGTAACACTTTAACTGCAACTGTAGTTCTAAAACCATAATGCTAGGCTAGGCCCGGTGGCTCACGCCTGTAATCCCAGCACTTTGGGAGGCTGAGGCGGGGGGATCACGAGGTCAGGAGTTCGAGACCAGCCTGGTCAATGTGGTGAAACCCCATCTCTACTAAAAATACAAAAATTAGCCAGGCATGGTGTCACGCACCTGTAGTCTCAGCTACTTGGGAGGCTGAGGCAGGAGGACTGCTTGAACCCGGGAGGTGGAGGTTGCAGTGAGCTGAGATTGTGCCACTGACCCCAGCCTGGGCGACAGAGCAAGACTCTGTCTCAAAAAGAAACAACACACAAAAAAAACAAAAAAACCCCATCATAATGCTAGCACTACTACTATAACACTTTAACTGTAAGTCTACCACTATAAATATAGGTCTAACACTATAATTATAATGTTAGCCATATAACTGTAATGCCAAACTCTAACACTTTAATCATAATTGTATAAATATAGGGAAAATTGTATAATATAATATGCCACTAACCATGTAACTATAACTATAGTTACAAATATGTTATTTATAACTATAAATATTGCTCTGAACCTACAACTGTAGCCAAAATATAAATATGAAAGTGTTCTTTGCCTTTAATGCACAAATTCTATGCTCTTCTTCCATGAGCTCAAATTATTTTTTAGCTCTCACATATGAATGAGAATTTGGGGTATTTGTCTTTCTGTACCCAACTTATTTTGCTTAGCATAGTGCCCTCCAAGCTTATCCATATTGCCATGAATGACAGGATATTATTCCTTTTTATAACTGAATAGTATTTCGTTGTATATATATACTGTTTTTTCTTTATCCATTCATCGATGAACATTTGGGCTGATTCCATATGATAGCTATCATGGACAGTGCTTAAATAAACATGGAAGTGCAGGTATTCCTTTGATATACTGATTGTCTTACCTTTGGATAAACGTCCAGTATTGTGAGTGCTGAATAGTATAGTAGTTCTATTTTTAGTTTTTTGAGACATTCCCATAATACATTCCATTAGCCTGTACTAATTTACATTCACACCAACAGTGTATAGGAATTTCCCTTTCCAGACAAAAGAAACTATATTAAACTGAAAATTTTCTGCACAGCAAAGTAAAGAGAAAATTTGTAGAATGGGAGAAAATATTTGCAAGCCATTCAACTGACAAAAGACTAATACCCAAAATGTGCAAAGAATGCTAATAACTCAACAGTAAAAAAAAAAAAACAAACAAATAATATGATTAAAAAGGGGGCAAAAGATTTAAATAGACATATCTCAGTAGAAGACATATAAATGGCCAACAAATATATATGAAAAGATGCTCAACATCAAGGAAATGCAAATCAAAACCACAACAAGCTATCATCTCACCTCAGTTAGAATGGCTATTATCAAAAAAATTATAGCTATTGAGCTTTACTAATATTGTTAGAAATATGGTTGCAATTGTAGACTTATAGTATTATGGCTAAGACTGCTATAGTTACAGTGTTAGAGTAATAATTATACTGTTATATTTTTGTAGTCATGTTATACTTTAATTATAGTATTTCAGTATATAGTTTTAGTGTTATAACTGTAGAGTTATTTTACTTTTATATTTGCCATTACACCCTTTTAAGTATTTTGATAATTACAATTTTATTTGTATAGATATAGTAATAATTTTGGCACTATTATAGTGCTAAAGTTATAGTATAGTGCTATAGTTATAGTTACAGTGTTAGTTTTATAGTTACAGTGTTACTATTATAGTTTCAATAGAGTACTATAGTTACGATAGTGTTATACTTACAGTGATAATTGTAGTTAAGATGGTAGTGTTATAATTATTGCATCAAGGTTACAGGTACAGTGTTAGCATTATAACATTAGCATCGAAGTTATGATGGGCCTGTTACAGAAGTAGTATTACAGTTACAGTTTTAGTATATTTATACTGCAATATTTAGAGTTAAATTGTTATAGTGTTACAACGTTTGTGATATAGCTATGGAATTTTCTTTACAGTCATAAAGTAAATATGGGGCCATGGTTATTGTTAAAAGTTTATAGATTTAGTTTCAGAATAGTAGTTATTGTTAGAGGTTTACAGTTATAGTTACAGTGTTATAGTTAGAGGTCTATGTTATAGTTATCACAGTTATCATCCTATGGCTAAGGGCATAGTGCTAGTACTATAGCTATAACGCTATAGATAAAGCAATGATGTTATTAATATAATGGTGATGTTGTTATGTTAAAATTATCATTATAATGGTATAGTTGTGCAGTTATAATAATAATTACAGTCTTATGGTTATGATGATAGTCTGATGAAAGTTGTAATGATAGTGGTTTGATTTTAGTTACAGTGTTGTAGTTATAGTTATATTGTGATAGTTATACTGTTAGTATTAGTTTAATATTGTAGTTATAGGGTTATGCTTTTATTCTTTCTTTTGAATATAAAGTTTAATTATGTTTATAGAGTTGTTTTATTTACATTGTTTTAGTTATAAGTATAATTATAATGGTATACTGATACTGCAATAGATATAATTATTGCTATATAGTTAAAGCAATTGTGGATAGTAGATAGGTTGTAGTGATTGTGGTTTTGTTATAGTTAAAATATTATAATATTATTATAGTTACATAGCTATAATTATACTATTAGTGTTACGCTTTAATATTGTAGTACAGGGTTATAGTTACAATGTTATAAAACTTTAGATATAGTTATAAAATGATGTCATTATAATGTTATAGTTAAAGAGTTACAGGTATAGTGCCATAGTTATATTTAGGGTAGTAAACTGTAGTTGTGCTATCTTTATAGGTATAGCACTATCATTATAGTTTTCATGTTATAGTTATAAAGTGCTATTATTATGGTTATAATGCTATATTTATTATGGTGACACTGTTACAATTTCAGTTCTATAGTTAGTTTTACAGTGTTAGAAGTATAGTTATAATGTTAGTGTTACGGTTACAGGGTTATTTCTGTAGTTATAGGTATGGTGCTATTTTTATAGTAATCACGTTGTAGTTATAGTGATAGTTATGGTGCTAACTTTAACTATAGCACTATACTGTAACTTTAGCACTACAAGTATAAGACTATAAGTCTCTAATCATAACATTAAAACTGTTTTAGTGTTCAAGTTATACATCATTTTGAAAATAATAATAATAATAGTGTTATACTGATAATGTTATAGTCAGAGTTATATTTATGGAGATTTAGGTATATTTTATAGCAGCAGTGATAATTCTATAATAAAAGTTATAGTGAAATGATTATAGTTATACCAGTGTGGCTATGATACTAGTGATACAGTGTTACTGTTACAGTTAAAATTATGTAGTGTTATAGTTATAATTATGGTGTTACATTAATAGTCATACATATTGTATTATAGTGTTATAGTGGAGGAATCATAGTCATAATGTTATATTTTTACGATTATTATAATTATAAAGTTTATTTGTATTTGTAGTGTTATACTTTTGGAGTCAAAATTTGTAAAAAATAAAAATTAAAAATATATAGTAATAGTGATAGTATATTAGTGATAGTGTTATGCTATAGTGATAGAGGTATTGGTATAGTTATAGTGCATTCATTATAGTATTATAATAGCAGTATCACTATAGTTACAGAGCTGTAGTTATAGAATCAAAGTGATAGTTATAATGTTATCGTTCCAGTTATAAGTCATAGTTCTAGTGATATTCTTAGTTATAGTTATTCTTATCAAGTTATTATGGAGCTAGTGTTATTTTATTCATATAGTACTATAGCTATAGTATGGTGATAGAGTTATAGTGAAATAGTTATGTTTATAGTACATTAGTTATATGTGTAGTGCCAAGGTCATAATTGTGGTGATACATTTATTATTAGCCTTATACTGATAGTAATATAGAGTTAGTGTTATACCTATAGTTATAGTGTTATACAGTGTGATTTATATGTTATTTAACCTATGGAAAATAGGAAAAGATTGGTCAACAGATATAAAATTAAAGCTAGGTAGGAGGAATAAGTTCTAGTGTTATTTAGCACTGTAGGCTAAATATGGTTAAAAATAATTTATTTTATATATTATAAAAGTGAGAAGACAGAATTTCAACATCCGTAATGCAAAGAAAAGATAAATGTTTGAGGTGACGTACATGCAATTGCCCTGATTTAATTACCATATATTATATGTATTGAAATAACACTCTGTATGCTATAAATATGTACAGTTATCAAATGTCAAGTAAATATAAAAGTAAATATAGGAAACATGTGTTGTCTGTACTAATCACAAAAATAGCTGTAACTATATAACACTATAGCTCCATATTTATTCATAATGTCAGCTATAACTATTACTCAATTACTATAACACTATATAACATTTCTACAACATAAAAATATAACTCTATAACTTTAATCATTACTCTATTATTTTAACTATAAATTTAAATCTGTAACTCTAACCCCACTCTAACTATATAACTCTTAACACTGTAACTGCTACTTGGACTCTCTAACTCAAACATGCCAAGTGTTACTCTGTATAACTAGATATATATATCTTACTTGATAACTCTATTTTTAATTTTCAACTTTAAATCTATATAACTATAATATTACACACAATAAATAATTTGTATATACATATATGTATACATACATAGACAGACATATAATCATAATGTTAAAATATATTTTCTCATTGAAAGATACAAGAATTAGGGGTCCTTAGAAAAATGACTTATTCCAGTTTGGAACAAGTAATATTCAATATGAACCTGGAAGATGTTGTCATACCAAATAAGATAATGTCAAACACTACCTGAATCTAATGAAGCTTTAGCACTTACATATAATTTATAGAAAACATAGATAGAGATACAAGTCAAACACCATATTAAAGAAGTAAACAGACTTACTCAAAAGGTTGGACATTCTACAGAATGACTAATGTTCCTTCCACTAGCTAATTGCATAAAAACAAAATTAAGTGGATGCTGCTCTAGACTGACCAAGAGATAAAAGACACAATTATGTATGCTGTATAAAGCTAATTTGAATTTTGATCCAAATAAATAAAATGCAAAAATACTACTTCAAGAATATTTTGGAAATTTGAATACGGTCTGGGCATCAGATAAAACAAGAAATAATTGTCAAATTGTTAGGCATTACAATGGACATAAAGGTTATGTAAATACGATTTTACATTTCTAGAAACATTTAGCAAAATATGTAGGATTGAAATTGTATCAGGAATGGGGGGGAGTGAAGATTGTTAATGGGTACAAAAGGTAGTTTGAAAAAAATGAATAATACCTAGTATTTGATAGCACAACAGGGTGACTATAGTCAAAATAATTTAATTGTACCTTTTAAGGTAATTAAAGTAGAATAATTGGATGGCTTGTAACACAAAGGATAAATGCTTGAGGGGATGGATACCCTATTCTCCGTGATGTGCTTATTACACATTGCATGCCTGTATCACAACATCTCATTTACCCCCTAATTGTATATACCTACTACATAGTCACAAAAATTAAATATTTTAAATTAAAAAAAAGAAAAAAATGTCTTCAAGAAAGAAGAGCAAAATAATAATAATAATAATTAGTTAATGACTTGGCAAAATCTTAATAATCTGACAATGTGGTTGATAGCACTATGGGATTCATCATACTGTTCTACAAGATTGTGTAGGTTTGAAATGATTTATAATTAAAAATGTTTGAAAACATAATATGAGGGTATTATGAACAACTTAATAAGTATATATTTGAATTTTTATCGTGAGGGTAATGTCTAAATATAATAAATAATCACAACAGACTTCCTCAGAGTGTACTTCTCCTGTTTGATCCAATTTGTATCGAAGATGAGTCTCAGACATCATCTGATGCTCAAGGAGTTTATTCTGGCAATGCTCTTATAAGATGGATGGTGGAGATGGGCTGTTGTCACAGGCCAGGTGCAATCAGAGGGCCAAATGACAGACTGACTGGAGGGTCACTGTTTGGAGATCATCCTCAGAATTGGGGGAATTCTTTCCTTTTTCTTCTACCTATTATTTAGTCCAGGTCAGTTACCAGGAGTTTCTTTCATAAAAGGAATTAAGCTATTCTTGTAAGGGTAAGCTTTGTTTTAAGGTTTAGGAAAGTTGTATTTGTGCTGAGGTGGTCTTATCTCCTGAAGTCTCTGGACTAGGTTGCATTACATTGCTAAGTTGCACACAGTGTCAGTCTTGTGAGACACTTGTGTCGGCTTTTTGGCTATCATTAATTTTATAGCTACAATATGTCTTATAGTGTATTACACAGACTCAGGAAGAAATATGAAGCCTGAACAATTCCTTAAAGGGCAGAGCAATAGTCAAACTAGACTTCAGGCTTAGTTGTCTTCACCGGTGAATTCTACCAATAATACAGGAAGCAGATAATTACAGCCTTAAAAAAATTTTCCTGGAGATTAGAGGTATAGGGACTATACTCCAACTTGCTTATAAACTAGCATAACATTACTACTAAGAATCATCAAAGACATTACAAGATAGAAAAATTTCAGGCAAATCTCACATATTGACAGACTGGTGGACAAACTATCCAAAGCTAAAATATAAACAAAATAAACTCAGCAATACATACAAAAAAACAAAGCTGAGTTGCAATCACGAATATAACTTTGGTTTAATGTTAGAAATTCAATTAATATAAAATGTTTAGAAAGATAAATAGTTAAAATATATAATCTTATCTGGCAATTTGAAAAATGCCTTTGATAAGCTAAAACAATAAGAAAACATTGTTCACATGATAAAGGGTAGCTATGTAAAATACACAACAATCATACATAAAAGTGTGTCATTAATAGTGTTAACTTTAGTGTTAATAAACAAGGGAAGGATGTCTGCTATGGCTGAGCGTATTCAACATTCTATATAAGTTTCAAAGCACTGCCAGTGCACCAAGACAAGGTAAGAAGAAAAGAGTATCTGTATTAGAAAGGAAGAAAAAAATCTATATGTAAATGAAAATAATTTTTTCATAGAGAAAATACACAACAAGATACATAATAACTGTGTAAATAATGAGAGCTTTAAAATGTGCTGGATGGAAAATCAATATACAGAGAAACTGCATGTTAATATATCAGCAATAAGCAGTTAAAAACATTTCTAAATAATACAATTTTAATAACATCATAATTTATCAGTAGTAATTCTAAAGCTATAGTTACCAAGACAATGAAGTATTATAGCTAAGTAATTTCATCAAAAGCACAGAATTGGGAATCCAAACACACACATACACAGAATAAATTAAGAGGCAGCATTGCAGATCAATGGTGAAAGGATGTATTTGTCATTAAATGGTACATGAATGATTAGGTACCCATATTCAAGAAAAAAATGAAATTGGTATGTACATCACGCTATATCTCTCAATGTTTAAAAATATTGGATTGAAAATATAAATATGTAAGTCAAAAGTGTGACTAAAACTCTGACCACATTTTAAAGCCTGACATTATTAAGGGTTGATAAAAATAAAGAACAACAGAAAATTTCATTTTTAGCTGTGCAAATGCAAATTGGTAAAATTATTGAGAAACTGTTTTGTTTTATCTGCTGAAGTTTAAGAAGTTCAAATACATCTGTACTGTTACCAAAGTTCTACTTATTGAGGAATCATATTTATAAATTAGCTAGATTTAAACTTTCCACAATGTATATATACTTTAAAACATAATGTTATACACCATAAATACATAACATTTTATCTGTCAATTTAAAATAAATAAATGAATAAACACAATTCCATTCATTAATCTAGGGGTGGGTTACGTGTGTTTGTGATTATTCTTAAAATGTACATATATATTTTGTGTACTCTATTTCATATAAACTATATCTCATAATATTAAAAAGTTTAAGCCTTTTTAATCATTAGTTTAAAATCTTTTAGTAAAGAAGGAACCACATTCAGAAAATTTAATGATAAATATAGTAGACATATAAGGAACAATCAATTCTGATTTTGCACAAAATATCACCATGTATAGGAAAACACAGAATAATCTCCAATTAAATGAAAAGAAAACTAACTAGAGAATTTTTTGAATATGATAATTAATATATGCAAAAAAATTATAATCATTTTTAATCAATAAAAATGAAAAGTCTTGTGTTATAACTTCTCTTTAACATTACATTGAAAATCATGATCAATGGAAACAGTCTAGAAAAAATACAAATATGCAAATGAATCAAAAAAGAAAAGGAAAAATTATCATTTTTCCCAGATAATAACATAATATCTATAAAAAACTTACAATATACAGTAAAAGTTTTCAGCTTTGAAAGTTGTTTAGAAAGTGTTTCAGATACATGTCAAAATCCAAAAACCAACTGCATTTCCATATCAACAAATAGTTATAAATGCAATTTTACAAAGGTACATTATAACAGCATTAAAATATTAAGTACTGTTACAGAATGAAAGTGTGAGTCTCTCAAAACTGTATATGTTGATGCCCTAACTTCCAATGTAACAGTATTTGGAGATGTTACTGTAGGAGACAATTAGGATTAGATTACAACGTGAGAGTGGGGACCTCATAATAATCTTATTGGTCTTGTAAGTAGAGGATCGCTGTCTCTCTCTCTCTCTCTCTCTCTCTCTCTCTCTCTCTCTCACTCTGTACCTTATGAAGACAAAGCAAGAAGGCAGTCATTGGCAAACCAAGATGAGAGTTCTCACCGGAACCAACTATGCTGGCATTCTACTCTCAAATGCCCAGCCTCCAGAACTGTGAGAAAATAAAATAAATTTCTGTAGTTTAAGCCACCCAGTCTATAGTATTTTATTATGGTAGCTGAAGCAGACTAATATAAATAGGTTCTAAAGTTATATTTTTAAGACACTGTAGATAATCTAAATCAATAGAGAAATGTACCATATTCATGGAAGAATAGAAAGACACCATTTATCTCAAAATTGATCTGCAGAAATAATATTTTTCCAACTAAACTCTCGACATGAGTTCCCTTTCAATTTTTCATGGAAAAATTAAGTAAATTCTAATGTCTATATTAAGAACAAGAGTTCAATAATAGTCAAGAGATATACAAAGAAAAGAGACAAAGAAACAGGACTTGCTTTCAATACTTTTTACAACATTACACCAATTGAGACATTGTAATATTGTTTAAGAGATATACAAATTTATTATCAATACATGGAGAGTCAAAACGGACCTATGAATATTTAGAAACTTAATGTGACAAAGACAACATTACAGATAATTTTTTTGAAAATAGACTATATAGGTGACAGACACAGCTTATCAAGAAAATCATTTATCCTTTTCATTCGATACACAGTAGACTACATTTCTCAGGATCTTCTTACATTTGATGTAATGATGTTACTGAGGTTATAGCCAATGAAAAAGAAATGAAAGTGAGTTGTGCCATGTCTAATCCTGGCGAACAAAATTTTCCTTGCCTCAATGTTTTTTCATATCAAATACTTGATGCAGAAAAACACATCAAATTGGAAGACACATGTTAAAGATTGTAGTGATGCAATATAAAACAAATCTGATTAAATGAGATCACCAATATTGGACTGTTATATGAACAATATATATTTTATTGTAAAAAGCCACTGATAATTTCAGGTTTGTTTGTTAAAGCATATTGTGTAAAAAGTAAAATCGATCCATACCTAGTATCATTCATGAAATGTAATTTCAGATGGATTAAGGAGATAAAGGCAAATAATAAAACTATAAAATATTTAGAAATAAATATAAAAGAATAATCCTGTATGACATCAAGTAAGAAATGTATTTTTTAAACAAGATATTTAAAGTGCAGATCAGAAAGGAAAATAAACACACAAAGTAAAAAAAATGTCTTCCCAATCAAAAACACTATAGGCACTTCCAGTCTAGATAAAATGGCCATGTATCTATTTTTACCTGCTCCTTTATGCTAAACACAACAGAAAACTCTAGAAATAGCATAAGAGACAGCCAAAAGAAAATTCTGCAAAACGTTAAATAAAAATATTATTTAGAATCTCATGACTGGAAGAACAGTACAGCTGCAGGGTGTAATGCATCTCTTCACTCAACAAAGGAAGACAGTTCAGACGTAGTGTTTCTCTATCCACACTTTAGCAACAAAAAGCAGCTGAGGTGTGTTCATTCTTTTCCTAGATTTAACAGGAGTGCCTCTAACATCAGGAAGCAAAAGCACCAGCAGAAAGCACCAGCAAGGGGCGACAATTAAGAACCTTGTCAGAAATAAACAGCCAAGGGAGGTACTCTCCTTTCTTACTGGTCCTGGGAATTTGGATTTTCACTCAAATAATTCAAAGCAGGTAGAGCCAGCAAAGGAGACTGAGCAACAGAAGGTCTGAGAAACCTTTTTTACCCCATGGTCCAAGACTCTCTTCCTCACCAGGAAATACTGAAAAGCACAATAACTGAAATAAAAATGTGCTGGGTGGTCTCATTCTCATTACAGTGAGAATGTAATTAGACAGAATAATTGAACTTGAAAATTAAAAAAAAAATTATTGATCCTACCTGAAAAAGAGAGGATACTTACTAGGGGAAAAAATAAACAGAGCCTTAGACTTATGGGACAATAACAAAAGATTCAATACTTATGTCATCAGAGTTCAAGATGGAGAGGAGAGAGAATAAAGTTTAAAAACTATTTGAAGAAACAACAAAAGAAAACTTCCCACATATGGAGAATGATTTTCTCTTGGATCTATTGATCCAAGAGAAAAGCAAATTTCAAACAGAATAAACCCAAATCAATTTACACCAAACAAACATAATTAAACTTTTGAAAAGTAAAGACAATGAAAAAAACTTTAAAAGCAGCCAGGAAGCAATGAGATATTACTGATATGAGCCCATCAATTTGAATGATAGCAGATTCATCATCTGTAATTATGGAGGCCAGAGGAAGTGGGACAATAATTACCAAATGCTGAAAGAAAAAAAAAGTCAACTGTAAATACTACATCTGGTTAAACTAAACTTTGAGAATAAGGGAAAATAGAATCAAACTAAGAAAAACTGAAAGAATTTGTAGCTATCAGGCCTACGCTTAAATAATGGCTAAAGGAAGTTCTTTAAAACTAAAGGAAATGATGAAATCTTGGAGCATCAGGAAGGAAGATACAAGGGAAGGAGCTAAAATACGGGTACATCAAATAGACTTTCCATTTCCTCATGAATTTTTAAAATAATTTTGATGATTGAAACACAAATTAAAATACTATGTGATACTCAAGACAATGACAAGAATAAATCCAATCCAAATCAATATATTAATACAATAAATAAATTCTCTGGAAAACAGAGCAACACCTAAAAATATAAAAATTAAAAAATGAAGAAAGTGAAAAGATGGAAAAAGATAGTATGCAGAAATTAATGAAACAAACATGAATGGCCATGTTAATATCAGATAGAGCAAACATCAGAACAGAGAATATTACCAGGGACAAAGAGGAACATTAAATAATGATAAAAGAATTAACCCATCAGAAAAATATAATAATCCTAAATGTGTACAAATCAACCCATAAAGCCTCAAAATATATGATACACGAAGGAAGAAATAGACAAATCCACAATTTATAGTTGTGGACTACAAAATCCTCTCTCAGCAACTGATAGAACTATTAGGCAGAAAATCAGCTGCTATAGAAAATCTAATTGAAACCATCAACCAACAGGATCTAATTGTTATATAGAGGGAATTCCTAAGGACAACACTAGAATGCATAGTTTTTCAAGCATTCATGGGACACTGACCAAGACTGACCATAATCTGGGCTGTGAAATCAACATCAACAAATTTTAAAATATTGAAACTATACAGAGGATGTTAACTGATCATTAGGTAATCAAACTAGAAATCCATAATAAAAAAACAATAGAAAAATATCAAAGTACTTGGAAAATAAACAGCATACTTTAAAATACCATAATTCTAAGAGGAAGTCCAATTTACAAAAACAGAACTTAATAAAAAGGAAAATAAATTATATCTAAATATGAGGGAGGAAGATAAAGTAGTGCTGATGGGGAAATTTAGATAAATAATGTACACATTTAAGGACCAGAATCAGTACTGAAAAGGGGAGTATTACTACAAAGTCTGCAACCACAAAAATGATAATAAGGGACTACTTTAAACAAATTTACACTCATGTTTTTAACAACTTAGAATAAACTAATTCCTTAAAAATCACCAACTAACAAAACTCAACCAAGATTAATAGATAATTTTAATCACACTATAACCAATTTAAAAACTTTCTCATTTAAAAGTTTCTGACAAAGATATTTTTAGAGCAAAATTGTTTGACTACAGAATTTTACTAAAACAAAGAATTATTACTAAGTTTACACACATTTTCCAGGAAATAGATGAATAGTGAATACTTCTCAACTAATTTTATGAAGCCGGTATTACCCCATAACTGACATTAGACAAAAAGAGTATAAAAAAAGAAAACTACAGACCAATATCTCTCATGAGCTTACACATGAAAATCTTCAACATGATATGAATCCACTAAATTCAGCAATGTTACACCATGGCTAGAAAGATTTATTCCAGGTATGCAAGGCTATTTTAAAATTTAAAAAGCAATAATTGTAATCTACTATATCAATGGGCTAGATGAGAAAAATAATATAAGCATTTCAATAAATGTACCAAAACATTTAACAAAATCTAACACACATTCATGATTTTAAACCTCATAAGGTTAGGATAAAAGGAATTACTTCAGTGTGATAAAGAGAATCTACAAAAAAACCCTACAATTAAAGACATATGCAAATATGAAAGACTGGATGCTTTCCTCTTAAGATCATGAATGAGGCAATGATGTCTGTTTTCACCACTCTTATTCCACATACTGCTGAGAATTTTACCCACTGCAATAATTCAAGAAAAACAAGGTATACAGATTAGAAGGGATGAAATAAAACTATCACCATTTGCAAATGACATGATTGCCCCATAGAAAATACCAAAATATTTATTTAAAAACCACTAAAGATAAAAGGTGATTTCAGAAATGTCCCAGAATATGACACAAACACATAAAAGTTCATCATATTTCTATACATGAATAATACACATGAAAACTCTGAAATTGGAATACCATTTGCAACTATTCCAAAGAACATGAGATATGAGATACTTAGGTAAACACTTAACAAATTTTGTACTAACTCTTTACTCTCAATTTTTGTAATAATGAGGATAAAAAAGTCAGATTCTAAATAAATGGACAGACACACTGTGTTCATGGATTGAAAGACTCAACATAGATGACAATTTGCCTCAAATTTTTCTATAGGTTAAAAGCACTTCCTATAAAAAAAAAACTTAGCTAAGATTTTGTAGACATAAACAAACTTTTCCTAAAATTTTAATAAATAGTCACAAGCCCTAGAATAGATGCAACAATTATTACAATAAAGACTAACATGGGAAGAATCACTCAGCATGAATCTGTTTTGATATATATCTGCAGTAATCAAGACAGTTTGGTTTTAGTTTAGACACAAACACATAGGTAAGTGCAACAGAATGGAGAACCCAGAAATAAGAATACAGAAATATGCTCAAATGATTTTTTACAATAGTATATAGTGTATATACTTGTATTAGTTCATTCTCACATTGCTATAAGGAAACACCTGAGACTGGGGAATTTATAGAGAAAAGAGGTTTAATTGGCTCATGGTTCTGCAGGCTGTATAGGAAGCATGATGCTGGCATCTGCCTGGGTTCTGGAGAGGCCTCAGGAAAATTTCAGTCATGACAGAAGCCAAAGGGGAGAGAGGGCAGGTCACATGGCCAGAGTAGGAGCATGAGAACAAGGGGGGAGTTATCTTGTGATAACTCACTCACTATCGTGAGGACAGTACCAAGGGGGATGCTGCTAAACCATTCATGAGAAATCCACTCCCATGATCTAATCACCTCCCATCAGGCTGCACCTCCAAAACCGAGGATTACATTTCATTATGAGATTTCAGCAGGGACACACATCAAAATGATATCAATACTATAATAATATATATAACAATGTAATTACAAAATTACCAAAAGACATGAACAGATAGACATTTTACTGAAGAGGACAAGCAGCTGTCAAATAAGTACATGAGAAATTGCTGTACATCATTAATAAACATGGAATCCAAATTAAAACTACAATGAGATATCACTACAAATTTACAATGCCTAATTTTTTTTTAATGACAGTATAAATGCTGGTGAGGATGTAGAGAAGGTAAATTGCTGGGAAAGTGATATGGTATAGTATACTCTGCAAAATAGTTTTGCAGCTTTTTATAAAACAAAATATGTAATTGCTGTACAACACAGCAATTGAACTTCTGGCACCTATCCCAGAAAAATGAAAACATATGTTTACAAAAAAGCCTGTACAGAAATGTTTATAGGATTTATATTCCTAATATCCAAAAACTGAAATCAGTCCAAGTGTCTTTCAACAGATGAATGGTTAAACAAACTCTGATAAATCCACATCATGTAATACTACTCTGTAATAAAAAAGGAACAGAGGATTTATACATACAACATGGATTAATTTTGAGGAAATCATGCTGAGTGAAATAAGTCAATCCCAAATGTCATATACTGTGCAATTCCATTTATGTTACATTTTTGAATTTATAAAATTTTTTAAATGAAGGAAAAATAAGAAGTTGCCAAGGGTTAGGAATGGGGTGGGGAGGAAACAGTGGTTGTGATTATAGGTGGGCATCACAAAAGATCATTGTGATGTTTGAACTGTTTGGTATCTTCACTGTGTTGGTAGATATACAAATGTGCACTTTCAAAAAAAAAAAAAGAAGATAATCCCCTCACACACACATACTCACAAACACAGATTGGAACATGCAAAACAAGAAAGCTGATAAAGTCAGCGGATTGTATTAATAAAAACATTACTTTTTTTGTGATACTATACTATAATTTGGCAAAATATTACCATTAGAGAAAATTTGAAGAAAGGAACAAGGGATGTATGTATTATCTCCTGCAAGTGTAACTGACTTTACAATCATCTCAATACAATTTTCACTAAAAATATACACTATAGATCCCATCATTCTACTTGGGATGCAAAAGCCTGAAAACGTGGTAACTAATAATAATCTACCAAATCATAATAACTTTTGAAACCATTAGAAGCTTTTCTCACAGCACATGTTATGGATTAAATCTTTTTGCTCCCCCAAAAGTCAGGTGTTGAAATGTTAACCCCCAATATGATGGTATTTGGAGATGAGGCCTTTGGGAGGTAATTAGGTCATGAGTGTAGAGCCCTCAGGAATGATATTGGTGCTCTTATAACAGAAGACATGAGAAAGATGTCTTTTCTCTCCACCAGGTGGGGATACAATAGTAAGACAACAATCCACAATCCAGGAAGAGTATCCTCATCACAAACCAGATGTGCATATAATTTGATCTTAAAATTCCCAGCCTCTGGAACTGTGAGAAATAAGTATTTGTTGTTTAAGCCTGTCAGTCTATGGTATTCTGTCATAGCGTCCCAAACTGATTAATACCAAACTAGCAAAGGTATTAGAAGAGACAAACATTTTCAAAGATCATGTAGATGGGAACACAGGCTATCTGGAGAAGAGTATCAGAGGAACACAAGGCCACCATAGAAGGGCTAAGAAGATTTCAGCTAAAATATTTAATAATTTGCTAAGGAATAGGTTAAAACTATTAAGAAAATGAACAATATCTAGAAGTCAGACACAAGAAGAGTTCACAATGCACATTATAATCTGAAAATGAGAAAAATCAGAGGTATATTGGTTGTGCAGGCCTGGGAGAGGGCAGCAGATACCAATCTCTCTTTTCTGTGGAACAAAAGCATTACAATACTTGGAGAATGTTAGCAAACCTTTTCGCTACTAAAGAACTGGTGAAGATCCATAGCAGAATGAAAAGAGAACAACAACAAAAACAAACCCTACAACCTTTGAGGCAGGTGAGAGAACTTTCTGACCCTGACAATTAGAAATCTACTGTGGATGGAGGAGGAGCAGGAACACTAAAGCATCCCCATCCTCAAGACCCTGGAACACAGGGCCTGCTTAAGACTCGGCCTGATTCAGGAAACAGAGAACAATAACCCCACACCACCATCCAAACAGGTTAGCAAAAGTCGAGTTACCAGTAACAGATGTCTACCACTAAGTATATACAAGAGTATGAAGAGAAACTCTCTGTGAGAATTAGGTTCCTACAAATCTATGAATTTCTAAATGATTTCACAGCAGATTTAGCTATGACACAGATATCAGAACTATTAGATAGGTAATTGAAATTAATACTATTAATACATTTAAGAAATCTCTAATGGAAAAGATAAATAAGCAAGATCAGGTAGGTAATACATTAATCCAGGTTAGCATCTGGATTCTAAGAGTTAATGAGTTTGAAGTATGCAAATTTTTGTTCTTATTGTAAGATCAGGAGCAATGTCCTTTCAGTTCTCTGTGTCTAACGGGAAAACAGAAGTTCTTAGCTTCTAAGAGACATTTTCACTGGATACAGAATATTAGTTCAACATTGTTTTTTTCATTCTGAACTTCAAAGATATTAATCAAGCATCATCTGCCTTGCATAGTTTTGGAGAAAAACTCTGTGCTACTTTTTCTCTCTCTTCTTGTGTATATAATGTGTATTTTTCTCTGTCTTTGATATTTATCTTTGCTTGACAAAAGTGTGAATGAGATGTGTTAAGGTTTATATATTGTGGTACTTTCATGGTTTTGTATTCTCTCACAATCTTGGATGCATTGTTTGATATATTTTACCACTTTTGGAAAATTCTTGACCAATATCTCTTCAAATAATTTTTCTGTCCTGTTTTCTTCCTCTTCTCTTTTGGAGTTATAACTGCATAGATATTAGACAATTTAAATTGTTTCTCTTCATTTAATTTCAGGTTTGCCTAATTTTTCTTGGTTGTGTCTTATTTGCTGATGAACCCAACAAAGCCACAATTTATCTCTGTTGCTCTGTATTGTATTTCTAGCACTTCCATTTTTTTCCTATTTTTAGCCTCTATTTCTTTGTTGAAGTCTTCCATCTCTTCACGCATAGCTGCCTTTTTATTAGAGGCTTTATCATATCAATCGTAGCTCTTTCCCTGTATATTAGTTCCAACATCTAATTTATAACTAAATCTGATTTTGTTAATCACTTGGTTTTCTGGCAGTGAGATTTTTGGTTGTTTGCTTTTTTCTGTGACCAGTAATATTTGGTTGAGAGCCAGACATTGTGTTGAATATGGTAGAGACATAAATAAATGGTATTTATAGTTGGTAATTGGAAGTTTCTTATTCTTCTAGATCTTTCTTATTGACAGCTGATTAAATATATCTATGATTTGAACTGGGTGTGTGTTTTGTTATAAATATGGTTCCCATCATTGCACTAATAATTTTGAATTCCACTAGCATTACCTTATGCTTAAGTAGGTGTTTAGCTGCTGGCACTACGTTTGCAACATTTCTATTCTACCATCATCTTCACAGTTTAACATCTCTTATTTCCTGTTAGACACAGAGAACTGAAAGGACATTGCTCCTGATCTTACAATAAGAACAAAAATTGGACATACTTCAAACTCATTAACTCTTAGAATCCAGATGCTGACCTGGATTAATATATTACCTACCTGATCTTGCTTATTTACCCTTTCCATTAAAGATTTCTTAAATGTATTAATAGTATTAATTTCAATTACCTATCTAATAGTTCTGATATCTGTGTCATAGCTAAATCTGCTATGAAATCATTTAGAAATTCATAGACTTGTATGAACCTCCCCAGAGAACTTAGGTTTCGGGATAAATGGACATCCTAAAATCTGGAGAGAAAGTTGACTTCAGTGAGACATAAGATTATTTGGTCACATTGAGTGGAAACTTCTGGATACAATATAAACTGGTAGAAAACTTGAACTAGATATTTTGATGAATACTAGAGGCCAAATGTAGGCGAATGAATATGAAACATCTGGGGGTAACATTTATAAGAATAATCACATCTTCTTGCTGGATTGTCTTCCAATGAGACCACTAGACTCTTAAATAGCAGGAAGAATCCAAACAAAGCTTCCTTTGTTGGTGCCAGCTGAGGGACAAAACCTAAATATGCACAGACTTCTTACCATATTTCCTTTATGGAGCAAAAGGCTTAGTCTGTATAGAAAAGACTATCAAGACACGTAGTATAAGGACTCCAGTGAAATCTCATCATAGCTAGGAGAAAGAACAGACAGCTAGGAGAAAGAAGACACCAGTAACTCATTTTCTTTATATCCTCTAGGTAATAAAAGCCTTAATCTTTAGGAGAAGACCCTCAAAACCATATCTTGAAGCCTCTAGTGTTTACCTACTGTAACTCAAGAAAGGTAATAGGATGGGAGAAGAAGGTCCAACTCTGGAGAAGAGTAGAAACCCCTGTAAATACCACACATTTAAGACACAGGTCCATAAAATCTTCTAAGCACTAAGGTGTAATTACAACATCAGACAATGTCCCCACCATCTACCACCATGCTAACAAAATTTGAGTAAAAATAACAGTGGAATATGATTTTGAGAGTGTGTGAGTCTGTTGTCATGCTTCTAATAAAGACATACCTGAGACTGGGTAATTTATAAAGGAAAGGGGTTTAACAGACTCACAATTCCACATGGCTGGGGAGATTTCACACTCAGGTTGGAAGGCAAAGGAGAAGCAAAGTCATATCTTACATGGTGGCAGGCAAGAAGGCTTGTGCAGGGGAATTCTCATTTATAAAACCAAAAGATCCCATGAGACTTACTACAATGAGAACAGTATGGGGGCAACCAACCCCATGATTCACTTATCTCCACCTGGCCCCACCCTTGACACATGGGGGTTATTAAAATTCTAGGTGAGATTTGGGTGGGGACACAGCCAAACCATATTATTCCACCCCTGGCTCCTCCCAAATTTCATGTTCTCACATTTCAAAATCAATCATACTCTTCCAACAGTCCCCCAAAGTCTTAACTCATTTAAGCATTAACTCAAAAGTCCAGAGCCCAAAGTCTTGTCTGAGACAAGGCAAGCCCATTCGACCTTTGAGCCTGTAAAATCAAAAGCAAGTTAGTTACTTCCTAAATACAATGGGGGTACAGGCACTGGGTAAATACATCCATTCCAAATGGGAGAAATTGGCCAAAAGGAAGGAGCTACAAGCCCCATGCAAGTCTGAAATACAATGGGGCAGTCAAATATTAAAGCTCTGAAATCATCTCCTTTGACTCCATGTCTCACATCCAGGTCATGCTGATGCAAGAGGTGGGTTCGATGGCCTTGGGCAGCTCTCCTCCTTTGGCATTGTGGGTACATCTCCCTTCCCAGTTGCTTTTATGGGCTGCTGTTGAGTATCTGCAGCTTTTCCAGGCACACAGTGTATGCTGTTGGTGGATCTACCATTCTGAGGTCTGGAAGATGGTGGCCTTCTTCTCACAGTTCCATGAGCCAATGCCATAGTGGGGAGTCTGTGTAGGGGCTCCCACCCCACATTTCCCTTCTGTACTGCCCTAGCAGGGGTTCTCCATGAGTGCTCCAACCCTGCAGCAAACTTCTTCCTGGACATCCAGGCATTTCCATACATCCTCTGAAATCTTGGCAGAGGTTTCCAAACCTCAATTCTTGACTTCTGTGCACCTGCACTCCCAACACCATGTGGAAGCCACCAAGACTTGGGGCTTGCACCCTCTGAAGAAACAGCCTTAACTCTACATTGGCTCCTTTTAGTCACAGCTGGGATACAGGGTGCCAAGTTCCAAGACTACATAAAGCAGCTAGGCCTTGGGCCCAACCCACAAAACAATTTTTTCCTCCTAGATCTCTGGGCCTGTGATGGGACGGGAGGCCATGAAGACCTCTCACATGCCCTGGAGATATTTTCCCCATTGTCTTGGCAATTAACATTTGGCTCCTCATTACTTATGCAAATTTATGCAGCTGGCTTGAATTTCTCCTCAGAAAATGGGTTTTACTTTTCTATAGCATCACCAGGCTGCAAATTTTTCGAACTTTTATTCTCTGGTTTCCTGTTAAACGTTAAGTTCCAATTCCAAACCATATCTTTGTGAATGAATAAAACTGAATGCCTTTAACAGCACCCAAGTCACCTCTTGAATGCTTTGCTGCTTAGAAATTCCTTCTGCCAGATGCCCTAAATAATCTCTCAAGTTTGAAGTTCCACAACTCTCTTGTGCAGGGGCAAAATGCTGCCAGTCTCTTTGCTAAAACACAGCAAAAGTCACCTTTATTCCAGTTCTCAACAAGTTCTTCATCTCCATCTGAGACCACCTGGATCTGGACTTCATTGTCAATATCACTATCAGCATTTTGGTCAAAAGTATTCAACAAGTCTCTAGGAAGTTCCAAACTTTCCCATATCTTCCTGTGCTCTTCACAGCCCTCCAACCTGTTCCAACATCTGCCTGTTATCCAGTTCCAAAGTTGCTTCCACATTTTTGGGTATCTTTATATCAGTGCCCCACTAGTACAAATTTGCTGTATTAGTCTGCTAATAAAGACACACTTGAGACTGGGTAATTTATATAGGAAAAAGATTTAATAGACTCACAGTTCTACATGGCTGGGGAGGCTTACAATCATGGCAGAAGGTGAAAGAGAAGCAATGGAACATCCTACATGGTGGTAGGCAAGAGAGCTTATGCAGGGGAACTTCCATATATAAAACCATCACATCTCATGAGACTTATTCACTACCACAAGAACAGTATGGGGAAATTCCACCCCCATGATTTAATTACCTCCCACCTGGTCCCTCTCACAACATGTAGGGATTATGACAACTACAATTCAAGATGAGATTTGGGTGAGGACACAAACAAATTATATCAATTAACAATCAGGATGAAAAAAGAAGGGTAGTACATAGTGATAAAGCTTTCAGTTCAACAAGAAGACATAACTATTGTAAATATATATGCACTGAACATTGGAGCACCCAAATTCATAAAGCAAGTACTTCTTGACCTATGAAAAGACTTAAACAGTGACACAATAATAGTGGAGGACTTCAACAGTCCACTGACAGGGCTAGACAGATTATCAAGGCAGAAAACTAACAAAGAAATTCTGAATTTAAAATTGACACTTGAACAATTGGACCTAATAGGCACCTACAAAATACTCTAGCCAACAACCGCAGAATATGAGTTCTTCTCAACTGCACACAGAACATATTCTAAGATCAACTGCTTGCTTGGACATAAAACAAGTCTCAATGTATTCAAAAAAAATTAAATCATACCAGGCACACTCTGAAACCACAATGCAATAAAAATAGGAATTAATACCAAGATTATCTCTCAAAACTACACAGAAACATGGAAATTAAACAACTTGCTTCTGAGTAACTCTTCAGTGAACAATGAAATAAAGGCAACATTTTAAAAATTATTTAAAGTTAATGAAAATAGAGACACAACTTACCAAAATCTTTGGGATGCAGCAAAAGTAGTGTTAAAAGGGAAGTTTATAGCACTAAACATCTTCATCAAGAAGTTAGAAAATTTCAAATTAATGATCTGACATTGCACCCAGAGGAACTAGAAACAAAATACCAACCCCAAACTTAGCATAAGAAAAGAAATATATAAAATCAGAGAGACAATGAATGAAATTGAGATCCAAAAGTCCATACAAAAGATCCATAAAACCAAGAGTTAGTTCCTTGAAAGAAAGATTGATAGACTGCTAGCTAGATTAACAAAGCAAAAAAAAAAAAAAAAAAGAAGCACAATCAGAAATTACAAAGATGACATTACAATAAATCCCTCAAAAATACAAAAAGAGCTTTAGAGAGTTTTAGGAACACCTTTACACACACAAATTAGAAAATCTAGAGGAAATGGATAAATTCCTGGAAACATACCACCTCCCAAGATTCAAACAGGAGGAAAGTGAAAACGTGAACAGACCAATAAAAATTATGCTTGAAAGCAAATCAGTAATACAAATAAAAACCCTACAAACTACCAAGGGCCCTGGGACAGATGGATTCACAGCTGAATTCTACCAGATGTCTAAGGAATAACTGATAACATTCTTACTGAAACTAGTTTAAAAAAATCAGGAGAAGGGGCTTCTCCCTAACTCATTCTACAAAGCCAGTATCATCCTGGTACTGAAACCTGGCAGAGACAAAACCAAAAAAGAAAAAAACTTCAGGCCAATATCCTTGACGAAAATAGATACAAAAATCTACAACAAAATACTAGCAAACCAAATCCAGCAGGACATTAAAAAGTTAATTCACTGAGATCAAATAGACTTTATTCCTGGGATGTAAGTCTGGTTAAACATACACAAATTAATAAATGTGATTCACCACATAAACAGAATCAAAAATAAAGATCATATGATCATCTCAATAGACACAGAAAAAGCCTTTGGTAAAATCCAAAATCTTTTCATGATATAAACCCTCAACAGCCTAGGCACTGAAGGACTATAACTCTAAATAATAAGAACTATCTATGACAAACTCATAGCCAACATCCTACTGAACTGGCTAAAGCTGGAAACATTCCCCTTATGAACTGGAGCAAAACAAGGATGCTCATTCTTACCAGTCCCATTCAACATTTTAATGGAAGTCTTCACCAGAGACATTAGGCAAGAGAAAGGAAATAAAAGGCGTTCAAATAAGAAGATAAGTCAAACTATCTCTCTTTGCTGATGATATGATTCTATACATAGAAAACTCACCTGTATCCCCAAAACGAACCAACCCAAATGTCCAACAATGATACACTGGATTAAGAAAATGTGGCACATATACACCATGGAATACTATGCAGCCATGAAAAATGATGAGTTCATGTCCTTTGTAGGGACATGGATGAAACTGGAAACCATCATTCTCAGCAAACTATCGCAAGGACAAAAAACCAAACACCGCATGTTCTCACTCATAGGTGGGAATTGAACAATGAGAACACATGGACACAGGAAGGGGAACATCACACACCAGGGCCTGTTATGGGGTGGGGGGAGGGGGGAGGGATAGCATTTGGAGACATACCTAATGCTAAATGACGAGTTAATGGGTGCAGCACACCAACATGGCACATTTATACATATGTAACAAACCTGCACATTGTGCACATGTACCCTAAAACTTAAAGTGTAATAATAATAAAATAAATAAATAAAAATAAAAATAAAAATGGGCAAAGGACATGAACAGACACTTCTCAAAAGAAGAAATAAAAGCAATCAACTAACATATGAAAAAATGCTCAACATCACTAATCATCAGAGAAATGCAAATCAAAACCACAATGAGATGCCATCTCACACCAGTCAGAATAGCGATTATTAAAAAGTTAAAAAAAATACAACAGATGTTAGTGAGGCTGCAGAGAAAAGGGAACACTTATACACTGTTGGTGTGAATGAAGACTAATTAGTATTTGTAGAAAGCAGTTTGGAAATTTGTCAAAAAACTTAGAACTATCATTTGACCCGGCAATCCCATTATTGGGTATATATCCAAAAGAAATCCAATCATTTTACCAAAAGGCACATGCACTCACACATTCATTGCAGCAGCACTATTCACAATAGCAAAGACAAGGAATCAACCTAGGTGACCATCAACAGTGGATTGGAAAAAGAGAATGGGGTACATATACAACATGGAATGCTACACAGCTGTAATAAAGAACAAAATCATGTCCTTTGCAGCAACATGGATGGAGCTGAAGACCATTATTCTAAGTGAATTAACATAAAAACAGAAACCAAATACTGCGTGTTCTCACTTGTAAACAGGAGCTAAACATCTAATATACATAAACATAGAGATGGAAACAATAGACATTGGGGACTACTAGATGAGGGAGGAGTAGGAAGGCATAAACTGAAAAACCACCTATTGGATATTATGCTCACTATCTGGGTGATGGAATTATTTGTACCCCAAACCTCAGCATCACTCAATATACCCGTATAACAAACCTACATATGTACCCTTTAATCTACAATAGAAGTTGAAATTATAAAAAAGTATCATTTCCTATAAAGTCTTCCATAACATTGAAAAGGAAGAAATACTTTCCAACTCATTTTTTAAGGCTAGCATTGCCCAAACAATAAAATAAATAAAGACATAACAATAACTGAAAACTACAACCAATACCCCCTTGTGAATTCAGAAGCAGAAATAGTGAATGAATATCAGCAAATTTATCTAAAAGTTTATAAACTCCTGTAGAGTTTATATCAAGAATGCAAGCCTGATGGAACATTTAAAAATCAATCAGTGTAGGTTACAATAAAAAGGAAAATATATGATTGCATAAATAGATACAGAAAATTCATTTGACAAAATTCAACATCATTCATGAAAAAATAAAAATATAATGCTCTCAAAAACCTAAGAATAGCTGGTGGTAGTCAGAATGATGTTAACCTAAGTGACTTTGGAAATGAGTGGCGATTATAAGCTAAAGATAAATGTAAATGTATATAAGCACCATACTCTAGTTAATATTAAAGATTAACAATTCTAAAACCACTGTACGCATATATTGGGATTGAAAAAATATGTAAATGGATTGTGGGAGCCAGCTTTCCACATCATGACATGGGAGGTTACATATAACTAAGGATAGAAAGCTAGAATAAGTTATGTGATAGTGAATAAGAATCAGACATTAGCATGAACTCATGTGATACAGTTTGGCTGTGTCCCCACCCAAATCTCATCTTGAATTGTACTTCCCATAAGCCCCACATGTTGAGGGAGGGACCCGGTGAGAGGTAATTGAATCATGGGAGCAGTTACCCCCATGCTGTTCTTGTGATAGTGAGTGAGTTCTCATGAGATCTGATGGTTTTACAAGGAGCTTTTCCTCCTTTGCTTGGCAAATCTCTCTCCTGCTGCCATGTGAAGAATGGTATGTTTGTTTCCCTTTCTGCCATGATTGTAAGTTTCCTGAGGCCTCTCCAGCCATGCGAAACTGTGAATCAATTAAACCTTTTTCCTTTATAAATTACCCAGTCTTAGGTATGTCCTTATAGAAGCAGGAGAATGAACTAATACATTATGTTTAGCTTAATATAGATACGCATGTATATTTATCTTTATATACATATATGTGTGTGTATATATATATTTATGCATAGATGTATGTGTGTGTATGTGTGCGTGTTTACACGTTAGTATTCATTCAAATATTTCCTAGCCTGTCAACTGAGAGAGACTAGGAACAATTAAATCCAATGTATTTGAAATGAATCATGTGACTAGTCATCTTTTTAAACCAAATTTGCAATATCTTTCATTAGGCAGTAAGTTGTCTGATTAATATCTGTAATCAGTTTAGTGAGAGATCTCAACTCATTAGCATACTATCTCATAGGTATACCCCAAATTTATACTAATTTTGGGTATAAATTTGGGGCACACCTATAAGATAGTTTTATTTTTTTTCCAAGAAGTATGATAAGCTGTTTTCAGTTCAATTCCTGCTTTCTTTCTAGGTACTGATGTTCCTTCACATCTCAGTTAAATTTTATATTTTTTCACTCATTTTTAGATAAGAAAGTAGTTCTCATTTTGGTTCTTTAGTCTTGTGTTATTGATACTAATATCTAATCCACTCTTTATTTCCAAGTCCTTCTACTTTTTGCACACTGCCACCCTCCCACTTACCCCAAGATAATGGATAATGCCAGGAGGGAATGGAGAGATCTTATCTTTTCCAAATCCCCTCTCATTTCCTGATATTGCTTTTCAGTACTGGAGTAGAGAATAGGGATTTTTTTTTTAATAATGCAGTCCTCTGAGGTACCTGCTCTAACAAGGTAGCCATCATAGGCTTACTCAACAAAAATGTCACTGTAGCTTGTTGTCAAAAGTTTGATACAGGCTGGAAACTGGCATCTCACAATGAGAATTGTTCTCTTGTGAAATCTAGTTAAATTTGGCAACGTTGTTCAGTGTTTCTCTGATATATGCACCTTTGCTCCATACTGTAATATTTCCTCCAAGCCTACAGGCCCCAAACTCATCTTATCCTGTGTGATTCCTGTTTCAGAGATAGTAACAAGTTTAGGTTTCATCCTCCAAACCTTTCAAAAATGGGTAACTTGAGGCTGTGTCCCTTCACATTTTTCCTCATGACTGTCCCTCATGCCATCTCTCTAATGCTATTTCCTCTTTTGATAATGCTGTATGGTTCATCAAATCTACAGGCTGTGGAGACATTCAACTGGGAATTGGAATGTTTGCCTCCCCTTTTTTCTTTTTCTTTCTTTCTTTTTCTTTTTTTTTTTTCTGTGAGCAACAAGGCTGTTTATTTTACCTGGGTGCAGGTGGGCTGAGTCCGAAAAGAGACTCAGTGAAGGGAGATAGGGCTGGGGCCCTTTTATGGGATTTGGGTAGGTAAAGGAAAATTACAGTCAAAGGGGATTATTCTCTGGCCAGCAGGGGTGGGGGTCACAAGGTGCTCATTGGGGGAGCTTTTGAGCCAGGATGAGCCAGGAAAAGGAATTTCACAAGGTAACGTCATCAGTTAAGGCAGGAACAGGCCATCTGGATGTGTATGTGCAGGTCACAGGGAATATGATGGCTTAGCTTTGGCTTAGACGCCTGACATTCCTGTCTTCTTATATTAATAAGAAAAATAAAACAAAATAGTGTTGAAGTTTTGGGGCGGTGAAAATTTTTGGGGTTGGTGTGGAGAGATAATGGGCGATGTTTCTCAGGGCTGCTTCAAGCGGGATTAGGGGCAGTGTGGGAACCTAGAGTGGGAGAGATTAAGCTGAAGGAAGATTTTGTGGTAAGGGCTGATATTGTGGGGTTGTTAGAAGAACATTTGTCATATAGAATTATTGGTGTGGCCTGGATATGGTTTTGTGTGAATTGAAAAACTAAACAGAATAAGACAAGGAGAAAAACAGGTATTAAAGGACTAAGAATTGGGAGGACCTAGGACATCTAACTAGAGAGTGCCTAAGGAGGTTCAGCATAGCTCTGCCAGCAAAGATTATTTATTTACTTTAAGAGGGAGTTAAGAGTGGCGGTTTGGGGATAGCACCAGGAGATATCAGCTGTGATGGCTTGGAGAAACAGTGAAAACCGGCAGTGCAAACAAGAGCAGGGCATTTATAAGTAGTTGAGAATAGTGAATAGGAGTATGACTAGACAGCAGATAGTAGGGATGACAAGTTTTTTGGGGCACAGTCCAAGTTGGTCTGGTGTCTGGAATGAGGCTGGGGCCTAATAACAAGGAGCGTCTATACAGGAGCTTAAATGGGCTGTACCTTGTAGCATTCCGAGGACAGGCCTTAATTATGAGAAGGGCAAGTGGTAAAAGTACTGTCCAGTCCTTTTTAAGTTGGTGACTGAGTTGATGAGGTATGTTTTTAAAAGACCATTAGTTCACTGAATACTAAGAGCCTGAGAAACTGCTTGGGTGATTTGACTAATAAAGGCCGGTCCGTTATCGGACTGTATAGAGGTGGGAAGGCCAAACCGAGGAATTATGTCTGACAGAAAGGAAGAAATGACCGTGGTGGCCTTCTTAGACTTTGTGGGAAAGGCCTCCACCTATCCAGTGAAAGTATCTACCTAGACCAAGAGGTATTTTAGTTTCCTGACTTGGGGCATGTTGAGTAAAGCCAATTTGCCAGTCCTGGGTGGGGGCAAATCCTCAAGCTTGATGTGTAGGGAAGGGAGGGGGCCTGAATAACCCCTGAGGAGTAGTAGAATAGCAGATGGAACACTGAGAAGTGATTAAACAACTTGACCTTACTGTTTTGCCTAGCCTTCAAGTCTGCCTTCCCTTTTTTCAAGCACCGCATTTCATGAGTGATTTTCTCTCTCGGCTTCTGAGAGAAAAATCATATAAGAGCTGACTCCTGTTGTCTACTGATATGGTTTGGCTCTGTGTCCCCACCCAAATCTCATCTTGTAGCTCACATAATTCCCACGTGTTGTGAGAGGGACCTGGTGGGAGATAATTGAATCATGGAGGCAGGTCTTTCCTGTGCTCTTCTCATGATAGTGAATGTCTCATGACATCTGATGGCTTTGAAAATGGGAGTTTGCCTGCACAAGCTCTCTCTTTGCCTGCTGCCATTCACATAAGATGTGACTTGCCCCTCCTTGCCTTCTGCCATGATTATGAGGCTTCCCCAGCCACATGGAATAAGTCCAATTAGACTCTTTCTTTTGTAAATTGTCCAGTCTTGAATTGTCTTTATCAGCAGCGTGAAAATACAGTAATACATCTATTATGCATCATTTTGCCTTGACAAATGCTATTTTATGGATTTTCATGGTAGAGGATTGAGGGCAGCAGGAGAATACAGTGGAGTCAATGAAAACACTTCTATGTAAATTTAAATTTAGTAAATTCAACATTTAGATATGGTCTTGCCAGAAAGCAGAGACATAAAGGTACTCCACAGTGTTTAGAAAGGTGTAACAAAGTCTGAAAGAGCAAAGCAAACCTTTCTCAGAAAAAAGTGTCTTTTAAACATTTTAGTGTTCAATATATTTTAAAGATGCCCTATCATGAAATCCAATCTATTTTTACAGATGTAGAACCTTGATGGTTCCAGCATCTTCTGAAGAGCTTTTCCCCTACTCCATTGCATACCGTTTTTAGTATTTAGATCTCTATCTGCCCTGAAAAACTGTGCACTCTAAAATAATGTAAAATAACTTCTATTTCTGTATATTCAGCTGCAAACACAAGGTCAAAACATTTGTGGTTCTTATGAAACATTTGTTAAATAAATGTTTTAAAATTCCATATTAAATCTTCAGTAATAGGGGTTAGCTTTATATCATCTTCTTTATCCCTTTAGTTACAATCCTGTATGCACACCATGATTAACTCTTAGGTTAGGAGTTAGGATATTTAAAATACAAAATGCTTTTTAAGTATAAAATGGAAAGCATTATTGATCAATATAATTAACATTTATAGATTTTTATTAAGTAATGAGCACTGTTGACCAGGCATTTCAAGAAGACTCTCAGATTAGAATCACAATCATATAGATATAGAACAGTCACATTAGTGGTAAATATAAAGTATTTAATATGTTTTTCATCCTACAAAAATAAGCAACATAGAGCAAGTATTTAATTACACTGCTTTCTATAGTTCAATTAGAATTTTAGCATAATGCAGCATCTATTTTTGAATTTCAACCTAATAAACCAAACTTTAATTTCATTACCTCAGCATATTTTTCCTCAGGTTCTGCATATAT
Organism: Homo sapiens; assembly: GCF_000001405.40. NCBI lineage: Eukaryota > Metazoa > Chordata > Mammalia > Primates > Hominidae > Homo > Homo sapiens. Next base: position 128,265,741 of record NC_000023.11, read on the forward strand.
CTCTCCTTAATTTTTAAATCCGAATATTGATTTAAATGTTAAAATCATGCACATATATTTATAAACAGTGTGGTACATTAATCTTTCCATTATCATGATTTCCACAGGACTAGGGACTCCAGAATGACTGAGAAGGTACATGTCTCAATGAGTAATGAACCATGGTTACATATGAAGTTATGTAGCTTTCCCTGAAGTGTCATAAGATTCCATTAAAACATCATTAAAGCATTATATTATGTTACCCTTCCAAAGACAATGTAGGCAATGTTACATTAACTTATGGTTAACTTTAACAAATAGAAAAGGTCAGAAAAGACCATTAATGGAGCCATTATGGTCATGGCTCCAAATGTTGTCATGTGAGACATCAGTTATTTCAAATCATCAATGGCTTTATATACATATATATATATATGTATATAAATTAAGGCATCTCATTACATAAAGAGAAAAGACAAAGAATGACCTTTTGCTTTCTGTAACAATTTACTGGGAGTATTATTACTGTAATGATACATTTTATTGAGTTGCACTTACATCTTTTACAAAGTGCTTTTATCTATTTCTGGTTTCCTTATAACAACCTCATAAGAACTCTAATGCAGATTTATCACATAATCAATAAGAATCTAATGAGTATCTGCTGTGTATCCAGCATTGTGCTAGGTATTCTGAATGTTATCAAGAAGTATAAATATAACTCTACAATTCATAATAACAGAAGACAGTCATTTAAGTGATGTTTTGTAACCAGTAGCCCATTTTCAACTACACCTAGGTTTAACTATGACCCAGTTGGGACCACTTTTGCTTCTGGACTATAAGAGCAAACCATCTTTCATGTAAGTTTCTAAACTGTTGTAGGGGAGGCAAACTTTTACATCTACTCTCATAGGTTCCCCCAGCTGGGCCTAAGAAATTAACATAAGACAGATTAGCAGGAGAAAGCAAACCAATTTAATACAAAAGTCGTCATAAGTAAATAAAAATGCAAAGAAGTGGCACCAAATGCCTTTATATTAGGTTGAACAAAGAGAGACAATTCCGAAAAGGCAATTAAATTATGTGCTGAGGCCAAAGGAAGATAATAATTATTTTAACAAGTCCTGTTTGTACAGAATTGTCTAGGCTATGAGTCCCCATTGATGAATGCTTCATTTTTCCTAATACAGGGAGGGCATCTTTCATATGGGAATTTTTATCTCCTGTTTTCAGGAAGTAAATGGGAGAGCAGAAAGACCTTGCATCTGCTATTTTTCAAGTATCTTCAGCTCAGAATAAACCTTATACCAAGTTTTATATATTGGCATGGCATATTCTGCCACCCCTCACTGTACACTTTTTAGGGTAAAGCCATAATTATATTCCTGGAGTAATTCAACGTATTTCTCTCTCTCTCTCTTTCTCTCTCTCCCTCCAATAAACACAAACACAAACACACACTCACACCCACACTTAGTAGTTAAGCTAAAAAAATAGCATACAAAATATAAGGGATTATAATGGTTCAATGTAGAAAGAAACTATAGATATATATTAAGATGTATGTATATATATATATATATATTTGTTTTCTGGAATGAAACATACCTATCTAAAAGTACATTCAAAGGAACATAATTAAAATACAAAATGTGTAGGTTCTGTAGTTAATATATTCAAGTTTCAATGTTTTGGATATTTACTATATATCTCAGAATAATACTACTAATATAAAATGATTTCTAAAATATGTTTAAATATTTTAATTCAACAAATTTTTAATCTTAGTGGAAATAAACAGATGCCTTAAACAGCTAATACCTCCTTAACAAACTCACTTAAAATGATCATAAACTTTATTGATTTAAAAGTTAAATTAATTAAGGAGAAAGGGTATCCTCCAGGTCTAGCATGATAACGACATGCCAGAGTAGAGTACAAATAGGCAACAAGAAAGAATCACTTAAATACAGAGTTAATATGCACATTGCAACATAGTTGTGACTACAGTGAAGAAATATGCATCATTTTACCCTAAAACTTTACAAACACTAATATTTTTAAATTATGGTGTTGGCTGTTGAGATGTTTCTTCATTTTTTCATAAATTTCTTTTAATGCCTCCTACCATCTTTAAGGGGATGAATTTGTCACAGAATTAATTGTTGAATTTCAATGCCAACCTCGCTTTTTTGTACAAATGGCAACTTAGGTAATTATGCAATAGGCTGTAACAAACTGAAATATGTATATTGCCCATTTGTCCCACTGCTCTTCATATTTGCTGCAAGATTGTTAATGCTCACAACAGCGCAGTAATTGAATTACAGAACATTAGCTACATTATTGTTATGATCATAAACTTCCATAAAATGGAAGTCCATGAAATAACATCCCAAACTCTGAGTTTATAAAACAATACTACATCTTGTTCTCTTTTCTGTGCCTTCTACCTCAAAAAGCTTACAATGATGTTGCTCACACAGCATAAAAAATTCCATTGAAACTCTTTATTCTTTAATTTTATGGAAGCTTTCAAATATTGCTGTTAATGAAACCAGTGCCAGATCAATTTTCCTATTTCTCTTTCCTATGTCACTTCCTGAAACCAAGTCCTTGTATGTCTATCCCATAATCTCCAATTTGTAGACTTAATCACACTATAATTCCTGAGATAACCCTGACTCCCTACTAACTCCTGTGGTAGTTTAGTCTACAGTATGACATATGTATGTGTGCTTTGCATCATTTTGCCATAATATTGTTCATTTGTTCTCAAGTCAAAAGGTACCAGTCCTTCAAAATGAGCCAGCACATCTGAAATTACTGGGGTAAAGATTTATTTAAATAAATGGTGCAGAGACGAGTGAGTCCACATGTAACAATATACACAATAATGAAACTGAAATGTAGAAATCTGTATGTAAAAACATTTTAAAACATTTTTAGAAAAAAACAGGTATTAGAAGAAAACATAATTCTTTAATTTTTATATAGTAAAATGTTTCCTAACTATGAGTAAAACTCTCTAAATTGATATGGAGTGATTTCTAAGATATAGTATTAAGTGAAAAAACAAATTCAAAAGAGTATAAGTATTTTACTCTTTGTGTAAGAAACAAGGAGTTATTATAAATGGGCATGTATCTGCTCATTTGGACAAAAGGTATACTAGAAACTTAGTAGGTTGGTTATCTATAGGTGGCAAGTGAATTAGAGGTGGTAAGAAGGGAGGAACTGGAACTGGGTAGCAGGGGTTAGGAGGCAATGACATTTTTAAAAGTCATAATCTTAGAATTATATTAAAGTTTGGCATACACTTTACATGCTAAACATACAAAAATAACTAGAACCAGCCAGGAGTGTGGGAAGGGGCTCAAATGAAATTTAAACATTAATAGGTGGATCTAACATTATAAATGAGTAAGAAAATCACACTAAAAGAATTCAGGTAGAAAATAATTGGTATAAGTAACAGCAAAACACAAATAAATTGTAGATAATAAAATCTGTGCTTCCCAGTATAAACAAAAATCTATAAACCAACAGGGGGTTCTTAAATGAACTTCATGGCAGTAAGTTAGAATCAAAATTATAGGGGTAAACTCATGGCTAAACACAAATACACACACATAGAGATATATGCACATATATACCTATACACAGATAAATAGGGTAAAAATATAGACATATTTGTATTTATATGGGTTACTATATGTGTATAAATATACATATATATGCATATATGTGTGTATGTATGTATATGTATATTTCTAGCCCTGTCTCCTGAGACAGGTTAGAAGTAATTACATCCCAATAACAATGAGTATACTTAGCACCCAGATCTTGGTCCCTAAATACCATTATGCAATAAAGGAAATCAGAGCCTTTAGGACAAGTTGTGGTTGATCCAGTTCTGGGGCAGAGGAAATACAAGATGGTTCTAAAATACCTGGTACTTCCAAGAAAGTAAAGAAATGCTCAAAAAATAATGTGGCCTGTCAAAAGAACACAAGAGATACTTCTCGTCTGGCCACATGGAATAGACTTATTTCTCCCACTCTTTCACAAAGTACAACTATAAATCCTGTAAAAACTATAAGAGGAGAGCAAAGGACAACACTGAAAAGTAGAGATAAGTAGAGAAAAGTAAAGACTCTATAAATAATGTATTAGGACCACCAACCCAAGAGCAGAAGGTGGCCCAAGCCCAGAGAATTTTGATACCCAACATAGCAACAGAACACAACTTAGTCAGGTAGGTTTATTTCTCCCCAGGATCTAATAGAAGCCTCACCAACAACACTTGGCAAACTCAAGAGAAATCACCTAGAACATAAGTGGCCAAGAAAACCATTCTCCTTTTCTGCGAAATGTGAGATACCACTTTCTTCCATCTAGAGACTCTGGCCAGGGAGGTGGTGCTGGTAGCACCCTCTGTGGGGGTCTTGCCATAATCAACAACCTGCCTGGGGAACCTCATTATCTTCACCAATCCTGAGACTCTACTCCCCTCTTTAGAGATACCAGGGATTTAGGTGATTCAGGAAAGGGAGATCCCACGATTAAAAGTACTCAGACCTGGAAGCACTCTTTGTTCTACAGGTCTGTGAAGTCCTGTCATCAGCTAAAGACTGGCCCAAAGTGTCTGAGCCAGAAAGTACTTTTCATCCCCCCAGGCTGGAGAATCCTTTATCCCACCTAGAAAAACCACATAATCAGGTGACTGGATGGCATTGTTAGTGAGACCACACCAAAGTAAGTTTAAGGCCTGGAAGCACTATTTATCCATGGGAAAATAATCCCTTTATCCACCTAGAGATATAAAGTAGCCATACAACTCTAAAAAGTGGGATTTGTCACAACAAGTACTTAGCTCTAGAAAAATGTTTTGTCTCCATAGGCTGGAAACCACCTTTCCTCATAAAGAGGCACCAGGTGGCCGGACATGAGGAAGCTCATTCTGTACTCTCAGGATACACCAGCAGAGAGACAACAGAACCAGGTAAACAAAACAGAAAAAAATATCACTACAAAGGCTCTGAAAATTCTATTTCCATGGGAACTGCATCCCACAAAGTTAGGCTGTAACCTCTGTGCTAAACCTAAACTTCCTTCCTAAATTTAAATATTTAAATAAGACCCAGATCCTTCTAACATAATAGTCAAAAACTCAAGAACATAATTTTTAAATTATTTGTCATAACAAGAACCAAGAAAGTCAGAACTTCAGTGCAAAAAATAAACGATCCTAACACTGAGAACATACAGATGTCAGAATTATCTGACAAGTATTTTAAAGCAACCATCACAACAATGCTTCACATTTCTGCACAGCGAAATAAATAATCAACAGAATAAACAACCTACAGAATGGGAGAAAATATTTGCAACGTATGCCTCCAGCAAAGGACTGACATCCAGAATCTAGAAGAAACTCAAACAATTCAAGAAGAAAAGAATAAAAAAAAAAGCAATGCCATTAAAACCTGAGCAAAGGACAGGAATAGACATTTCTCAAAAGAATAAATACAAGGGGCCTACAGACACATGAAAAAATGCCTGACATCACTAGTCATTAAAGGAATGTAAATTAAAACCATGCTGTGATACTTTACACCAGTCAGAATTGCTATTACTAAAAAGTCAAAAAACAGACGTTGGCATGGATGTAGAGAAGAGAACACTTATACACTGTTGCTGGGAATGTAAATTAGTTCAACTTCTATGGAAAACAGTATGGAGATATCTCAAATAAACAAAACTAGAACTACAGCTTGACTCAGCAGTCCCACTACTGGGAATCTACCCAAAGGAAAAGAAATCATTATATTAAAAAGACACCTGCACTTGTATGTTTATCACAGTGCTATTCATAAACAATGAAACCATGTCCTTCGCAGCAATATGGATACATCTGGAGGCCATTATCCTAAGTGAACTAACTTAGAAGCAGAAAATCAAATATCACAGGTTCTCACTTATAGTGGGAGCTAAACAGTGGGTATATATGGACACAAAGATGGAGATAATGGGCACTGGGAACCCTAAAAGGAAAGGGGAAATGAGTGAAGGTTGAAAATTATCTATTGGGTAAAATATTCAATATTTGCAATATCCCCATATATTTCAAATTCTCACTATGCATGTAATACCCATTTTTAAGCAATTACATATACCCCCTGAATCTAAAATTCAAAGAGAACTACACAACGCAATTTCAAATTATCGTGAGGCAATGAAAAAATTTGAAAATTTTGTGAAAGAATTAGTAGTAATAAAAAATAACAGAATGGAAATGTTATAACTGAAAAACACAAGATGAATAAAACACTCTATATGTGGGTTCAGTAATAGACTATAAATTATAGAGAATAATATAAATGAATTTGGAAATAAGTAATATATTTCACCTAACTTAAGCAACAGAGAGAAACTAGGCTGAAAAAAAATAAATGAACAGATTCTCTGGGACTTCAGGGGCAATTACAAAGCATCCAATAATTATATCATTAGAATTCCAGACAAAGATGGGAAAGAGAAAAATGTTTAAAGAGTATTTGAAAAAATAATGGAAGAAACCTTTCCAAATATGGTGAAAGGCATAAATCTACATATTCAAGGAGCTAAATAAAGACCACATAAGTGAATTCAAATAATTAAATGTCAAGACTCATTACAATTAAATTTCTGAAAATTAAAGACAAAAAATCTTGCAAATAGTCAGAGAGCACTGACATATTATAGGGGAACACCAATTCAAATGACAACATATTTCTCACCTGAAGCCCTGGCATAAGAAGGAAGCAACATATTTTTCAAGTGCTGAAAGTAAAGAACTGTCAACTGATCAAAATTATTCTGGAAAGCAAAGGAAATGAAGACATTATGATGAAGGAAAATTAAAATAATTTGTCCCCAGTAGACCCACTGTTAAAGAGTATTAAATGAATTTCTTCAAAATGAAAGGAAATGATAAATTAAGGAATATTGAAGCATAAAAATAAAGAACAGAAAGAGAAGAAATATGAATAAATAACTTAAATTCATGAGTTTTCTTAATCATATTTGATGATTAAAATACAAATTATAACACAATCTGGCACTCAAAACAATAATACTTAACAGTGGGGAATCTAAAATTAACTAAATAGAAATAAGACTTTCAAAATCCACTTGAAGTGCTAAAATATGGATAGATACCAGTAGACTGAGATAAGTCAACTATGCATATCGTAATACCCAGAGCAACCTCTTAAAAAATACAAAGATATACCCTCAAAACATTATAAATAAATCAAAACTGAATTCTAAAAAGAGTTTGAAGAGCCTACAGGAATTTAGAAAACAGAAATAGAATTGAGAAACACTGAAAACAAACAATACAAATAATAAAATGACAAACTTAAGCTCTAACATATCAAATTATCTTATATGTAGAGTCTAAATATACCATTTAAAAGAAAATTACTACCAGAGCTAATAAAAGTAAGAAAAATAACACTAAATAACGCAATGCTGCTTTTAAGATACTGGCATCAAATTCAATAAAATCAACATTGAAATAATTAAAAGGGTGGATAAACATATACCATGCAAACTTTATTTTAAAAAAGCAGGAGTGACCATATTAATATAAAATAAATAAACTCCAGAGCAAAGAAATTGATGAGAGACAAAGGAAAAAATCACATAATGATAAAAAAATCCACCAGAAAAATATAAATATCATAATGTATATGCACCACAAAACAGAACCTCAAAATATGTGAAACAAAAGCTGATAGAGTTGAAAGGAGAAATAACCAAATCCACAATTATAATTAGAGACTTCAAAACCTCCTCAAAGAAATGAAAAGAACTATAAGTCAGATCTGCAAAGTGTTATATAAAATGACCAGAAATGGCCTCTTCATATCAGTCCAAAATGGCTTGCTGCTTACTTCTTTACAGCAGGCTAGGACCATTAGTTTAAAAACTACCAATGCCAAACTCAAATCCTTACACATGCAATTGCTTTAAAATACATTCCAAATATGTTCGTTGACCATTTATATGTGTTCTTTTGTAAAGTGTCTATTCACACCCTTTGCCCACTTTTTAATGGGGTTATTTATTTTTATATTGTTGTTGAGTTGTTTGAGTTATTTGTAACTTCTGGATATCTGTCCCTTGTCAGGTGTATAGTTTGCAATTATTTTCCGCCATTCATACAAATGGCCAACAAGCATAGGAAAAAATGTTCAACATCAATAAGCAGCAGATAAATGCATATTAAAACCACAATGAGATATCATGTTACACCAGTCAGAATGGCTACTATTAAAAAGTCAAACAACAACAGATGTTAATGAAGATGTGGAGAGAAAAGAATGCTTATACACTGTTGGTGAGAGTGTAAATTAGTACAACCTCTATGGAAAACAGTATGGAGATGTCTCAAAGTACTAAAAATATAAGTACCATTTGATCCAGCAATCCCACTACTGGCTATCTACTGAAAAGAAAATAAACCATTCTATCAAAAAGATACCTGCACTTCCATGTTTATCACAGCACTAGTCACATTAACAAAGATCTGGAATCAACCTAAGTGTCCATCAATTAATAAATGGATAAAAAAATTTTGTTAAATATACATTAGGATACTATCATCTATAAAACAGAGTGAAATCATGTCTTTTGCAGCAAATTGGATAGGATTGGAGGCCATTATCTTAAATGAAACAACTCAGAAACAAAAAGTCAAACACTGCATGTTCTCATTTATACATGGAAGCTAAATAATATGTACACATGGACATAAGTAGAATAATAGACAATGGATATTCCGAAGGGTAGGAAGGTGGGAGAGGGGAGAGGGATGAGAAATTACCTAATGGGTACAATGTACATTATTCAGGTGATTCATATACTAAAAGCCTAGACTTCACTTTTATACAATATATATCTATGTAACAAAACTGCACTGGTACTTATAAAATTATGCAATTGTATGTATATATAAATCCAAAATAAACATATTTTAGCCATTTAGAGCCTATCCACTTTGCATACCCTGAATTACACCCAACACTTGCTAAGCATACTAAGCATAGATAAGATGAACCCTGTAGCTATGACAGACCCCAAATTATTGCTGCCCTTTGGAGCTCTCTTGCCAAGAGACTTTTCATTTTGCTGCTGAGTAACATCACCTAAACAAACAAGCCTCCTATTCAATTTCCTATTCTTCTCTAGGAAGTCCTTTGACCTATTCCTCTTCTATGTGGTGGCCTCACACAACTGTCTTGGAGAATCTCTTGCTGAACACTGTCCAAGCACTGTCCAATAAAGCTTATTATGTGTTACTGTTGCTCACAATCCTGTATCTTTTTTTCTTTCTTTTTCTTTTTTTCTTTTTCTTTTTTTTTTTTTTTGAGATGGAGTCTCACTCTGTCACCCAGGTTGGAGTGCAATGGCGCGATTTTGGCTCACTGCAACCTCCGCCTCCCGGGTTCAAGCCATTCTCCTGCCTCAGCCTCCCGAGTAGCTGGGATTACAGGCACTGCCACCATTCCCAGCTAATTTTTTGTATTTTTAGTAGAGATGGGGTTTCACTATGTTGGCCAGGCTGGTCTCGAACTCCTGACCTCATGATCCACCTGCCTCAGCCTCCCAAAGTGCTGGGATCACAGGCGTGAGCCACCTCGCCCAGCCTTAATCCTGTATCTTTCTTATTTGACCCTGAAATCTTTGAACTGACCACACAAGGATATAGAATATATGAATAACACCTTCACACAACAGGATCTAAATTGACACATATAGTACACTCCACCCTACAAGAATAGAGTACATATTTTCTCTATCTAGGGATATATATATATATATATATATATATATATAGAGAGAGAGAGAGAGAGAGAGAGAGAGAGATAGGAGTGTTTTTTAATGGTCCAAGAAAATATGAACTCTCTTCCCATGTACAAGAGATTCTCCTGCCTCGGCCTTCCAAGTAGCTGGGATTACAGGCGTGTGACACCACACCCGGCTAATTTGTGTATTTTTAGTAGAGATAGGGTTTCACCATGTTGGCCACACTGGTCTCAAACTCCTGACCTCAGGTGATCCACCTGCCTCGACCTCCCAAAGTGCTGGGATTACAGGAGTGAGCCAGCGCGCCCGGCTAGAAAAGCTATTCTAAAATTTATATGGAAAGGCTCAGGCTCTAGAATAGCTAAAATAATCCTGACAAAAAAGAATTAAGTGAGAGGAATCACTTTACCAGACACTAAGGCTTAGTATGTAGCTACAGTAATCAAGGCAATGGGGTATTGTAGAGGGATGAACACATAGATAAATAAAACAAAATAAAAAAATTAGAAGTATACCCAGGAAAATATGCTCAACTGATTTCTGACAAAAATTTAAAAAAATGATTAAATGGATAAAGGATCACCTCTTCACCAAATGGTGCTGGACATCCATGAGCAAAAAAATGAAAAGAAATAAATTAAGCCTAAGCCTCAACATCTTATACAAAAATTGACCTAAGATGGATCATGAACATAAGTATAAAATATAAAACCAGAAAATATTTAGTGAAAAACAGAAAAAAAATCTTCAGGATCTAGAACTAGGTGAATAATTCTTAGGTTTGATACCAAAGGATGATCTATACAAGGAAACAACAACAACAAAAAAGATCATTACAACCTCATCGAGATGAAAAACTTTGCTCTGTGGATGAAGCTGTACAGAAGATGAAAGAAAAGCTGGACACTGAGAGAAATTATTAAAATTACATATGCAATAAAATGATTGTATCCAGAATATATAAAAAAGTTTCTAAACTCAATGATAAGAAAACAATCTAATTAGAGAATGGACAAAATACATAAACAGAAATTTAAACAAAGATTTACAGATGGCAAATAAGAACATGAAAAAAATGTTCAACATCATTAGCTACCAGGAAATACAAATTAAAACCTAAATTAAATACAATGACAAATTTATCAGAATGGCTATAATAAAAATAATGACAACACCAAAGGTTGGTGAAGGTACAGAAAAACTGGATTGCTCATATGTTGCTGTTGGGAATGTAAAATAAGACTATGGAAAATAGTTTTAAAGTTTCTTATTCGAATGAAACGTGCAATTGACCTATAACCCAGCAATTGCACTTTATTTCCCAGAGCAATGAAAATTTGTCTTTATTTTTTTTTAATGTATACAATTTTTTAGGAGTTTTACTTCTAATAGTCAAAAATTGGAATCAGCCTAGATGTCTTTCAAGAGGTGAACAGTTAAATAAACTGTGGTATGCCAATACCATGTGTGAAGGTTAATTTTTTATGTCAACTTGTCTGGGCCATATTGTGCCTAGAAATTTGGTCAGACATTATTCTAGGTGTGTCTGTAACAGTGTTTCTGAATGAGATAATACGTGAATCAAGACACTCAGTGTAGCAAATTGTACTCTGTACTGCGGATGAGTCCTATTCAATCAGTTGAAGGGCACCATTCAATCTGTTAAAAGCCTGAATAAAACAATAGACTTACCCACCAACTAGTAAGAGAAAATTCCTCTTGCTTGACTGCTTTTGGATTCAAACTGAAACACTGGTTCATCCTGGGTCTTGGGCCTATTAGCTTTCACACTGGAAAAGAACTGTCAACTCTGTTGGTTCTCAGGCATTCCAGTTCAGACTGGAACTACACCATCAAGTTTCCTAGGTCTCCAGCTGATTGCATATCTTGAGACATGCCAGCCACCATAATCGCATATCCCATTATTTTGGTCCTGGGATTTCTAGAATTGGCATTTTAATTTGATTAGATTCAAAGAGGCTAGTGATTCTATTTCCAATAGTAAAGGGGGCACTGACAGTTATGGCATGATCTAGCAATGGGGATATGCAAAATATCACCATTGGCTACTCGTAATCAAGTACTTACAAGCAGCAAGGAGCTAGGTGACTGTGTATATAATTGTAAACATTTTTATCAAAATAATACATATAGTGAGATTGGCTGGATGTTCTTAACGTCACTTGACAAAGTGGAGAAAGAAAAGAATATACTCGTGGATTTGAATGTCCAGATCAAGCACCACATAATTAACTTGAAAGCTTCTATATGTGCCCTAAAGATGATCCTTATTTCCCGTTGTCACAGCACTGATTGTTAAAAACCCAAAGCAGTATCTCATCCTATGACTGATGAAATTACAACTTAAGTTAAATTCCCAGTATCATAGTGTTCCTACTGTCAAAGTGAAGGCACTTATTGTGAATCATCATAAAAATCAAAAGGGGGACATGTGGAAAAACCCAGATAAAATTGGGAACATTTAGTCCATCAACTGTGATGAGTTTTCTCTGCCAGTGAAAGAGGCCTCCTCACCCCTGTGAAAGTGGCCTCTCCACCTCACTCTGAGAGGATTAACCTTGCATTGCTTAAGGACACTGTAATGGTCACCAGGAGGCAGTTGTTCAATACTCTGTTGATTCTCCTAAGAACCTACTTCCACCACACATCTTTGCTTCCAGACCTATAACTCAACTCAGGTTCCAGCAGTCCCCTGAAGGTGGAGTATAAAGTGTGACCCATGAAAAGGTGTGTTCACAAATCTACTTGAATTTTCTAATTTATATAGACAGAAATTAAAATAATATGTTTGAAAATGAATACTAATGGTGTGGGATAATGGTGGAAGAAACATAAAGTTGAATCAGGCCAAATTTATTGATATAGGCTCACTATGAACCTGACTAATACAGTAGGTAATACTACTCAGCAATAAAATGGAACAAACTATTGATACATGCATCAGCTTGGACGAGTATCCAGGAAATTATACTGAGTGAAATAAGCCAATCTGAAAAGGTTACAAACTCTTTGATATCATTTATATAACACACTTGAAATGATCAAATTATAGAAATGAAGAACGAAGTAGTGGTTAACAGGGGTTACAGAGAGAGAATATTTGGGGGAGAGAAGTTATAAAAGGGCAATACTAGGGATACTTGTGGTTATGTAACTGTCTGTATCTTGACTCAATACATGAGCCTACATATTTGATAAATCACATGGAATTAAATACACATACATACCATATGCACACCCAATCACAGAAATGAAGAAAACTAAATCTGGAAATCTAAATAAGATCAGTAGATGATTGTGTTTCAATATCCTGGGTGTAATATTGTACAATTTTGCAAAATGTTACCCATTGGGGTTAACTGGGTCAAGGGTGTATGGGATTTCTCTGCATTATTTCTTACAATTGCATGTCAATCTGTTGTTTTCCCAAAATAAAAATACTAATTAAAAAACTGAAAAAGAAAAATAGCACCCACCAAAACCAAACAACACAAAAGAGTCAACCAGAAAGAGCAAATGGCCAAAGCTGGAGCAATTTAAGTAACAAAATAATTGTCATATTAGATTTTAACCTAATAAAATAAATATCCATGAGTCAATACTAACGTAAATAAGTGATTAAATAATACATGAATAAGTGCATGTAGGGGAAGAGAGAGCTCTTTCACACAACATACTTTAAATTAGTGACTGTAAAGAAAAGAAGTAAATAGAGAATCAAATAGACAAGATCCACCCATGGATGCTAAAATTAGTGGGTGCAAGATAGCCCGTATTGGAAAAGTAACAATATCATTGGTGTGGAGTTCTTGCCAAAAAAATATAACCCCCCTCCAATCACTAGAAAAATCTGAAAAGATCTAAATGAACAACATAACTTATTGTTGCCCTTTAAAAGTGTTAAGTCACAGAATGATGGCTGTAAGGACCCTTTGTACTATTATCAATGTTCTGTAAGTATAATTAAAAATATAGTTAATAAAAATGAACCAACACATTTTCATCATTCTCTAATTTTACTTTTGCTCCACTTGAGAAATTATTGTTCGAGGGTTGTCTGTCAGAATTTTAAACTGAAAGATTGCAAGACTTTTGTCTCCTTTTCCCTGATAAGTCCAGCCTATTCACATCTCTTTCTGTGGCTCTATTCTCAAAAGTAATATTTCCCCCGTTTATATAGCTTATATGTATTATGAATTGGTACCTAACTTATTTATCCCATCACTTTGACACAGTGTTCAATTCAAGCACGTACATCTAAGCCAGTGTGTAAGAATAGGATACAAGGAGGTATTGCTGGAGGCTTCTTGGTCTCATCAACATGTTGGGTACAGTGTTATAAAGAGGTAACATCTGGCACTATCACAGTCATTTCTGATAGAATAAAGGAAACAACTGAAAATAAGGCTGACACAGTGTAGGACAGATACAAGATAATTTCAAAGAACATGAAGAGGAGCCCTGATATTATTACAGTGCCTAAAACTATATATAGACTCAGAGCATAGAGCCATTCATTTATATGAGCTGATAAATTTCTTTTTGTTAAAGATAGTTGGAAGTGATTCTTTGATGATAACATAGACACTTAACCAATAGTTCACATTATTACTATTTGTTATGAAAACTTGCACAATGCCAGAATCTTTGTTACCATAGTACAATTACCCATTGATTGTTGTTGGCATACAAGATGCAACCTAGTTTTTATCCTTGACTCTAGTATGTCAGACACTGTGCCAGATGGTGTAGAGGATGCATAAATTAATTGAGGGAGCTCCTGCCCTCCAGGAATGTCCAGTCTACCACGGAATTTAGGAAATTTGTAAAAATATCTATAAGGCAGAAAAGAACATAACCATAATCAGCTACAAGTTTAATGTTACGAATTTTCACAAGAATATGAGATTGCTTATGGCTCGCCAGATCCAGAAAGATTAAGTGGAGAGGTAGCATTTGAGCATGGCTTTGAGAATGAGTGAAATTTAGACATATGGATATGGAGGTGGGCAGTCAAGAATAGAAAAAAACAAAACTTTCCCAGAAGCTTAGAGGCTTCCTTCAACAAAAGCAGTTCTGCTATTTTTTCTGGTTTATTTTACATATACATGTTTACATAAGATTTTAAGTGAGAAGATGGCTTTCTGTGCAATTTTTAATAGAAAATTGGTGATGATATTCCACATTTTATTTTCACATAAGAAAACAAAGGCCTACATATAAGAGAGTGACTTACAAAAGGTCACTGAGTTAATGGCAGAACTGTTGCTTTTACGTGAGAACTGAGGGATAGAGAGAACAACAGCCAAGCTTGGTTTTCAATCCTGCTAATGTCATTGACTAGATGTTTTGTTTTAGACTATTTGTTAAATCTTTTTGAGGGCCTCAATTTTTTTTAATCTATAAAAAAAGGAGGCTGGGCATGGTGACTCATGATTGTAATCCCAGCACTTTGGGAGGCCAAGGAGGGAGGATCACGTAAGGCCAGGAGTTTGAAACCAGCCCTGGCAACATAGTGAGACCCCATCTTTACAAAAAAAAAGTTTAAAAAGGAGCTGAGTATAGTGGTGCACACTTGTAGTCCCAGCTACTTGGGAGGCTGAGATGGGAGAACCACCTAAGCCTCGGAATTCAAGGTTGCAGTGAGCCATGATTGAGCCACCGCACTTCAGCCTGGGTGACATAGCAAAAACCTGTGTCAAAAAAAAAAAGGAGATAATAAGTCAACTATCTCACAGGGTTGTTGAAATATAATTTTTATATAGATATAAATTTTTATACCTTATCTGGAATATACTATGCCTTCATAATAAATGTGGCAAAGACATCTCAATAAAACTTCTCAGCTGCCCATTAAGTACACGTCTCTATTTTAAGAAAAGCAGGCCCAACAGGATCTTTCCTACATAAGCTGCTCTGGTTCATGTGATGTACTATGTAAGAAAAGCCAGTTTTGCAAATCTGAACACATCTCATTGGCCTGGGGAATAATGCACAAGCAGAAGTCACCCATATATGAACTGGACACAAGGACAATCACTTTTGAAGTGGCTTGGCATAACTCTCTCACAGTGAGTAGTAATAAACCATCTCAATCAAAATAGTTTTGGGGAAGTAAGAATGCTAGATCAATAAAGGTAAGGTATATTACTCAGCTCAAGTTGCTGTTTCGAGTTATTATGAATTTTCCTCTTTTATATAAAGACCAGTTTTTATCACAGTGTTAGAAATTCTGAGATTTGTGTTGACAACTGGAAAATTAGGTTATTTATTCTGCACATTTGCAATAAATATCTATCACTAAAGGTAATTTGTGATTTTATTTTCTGTGAAACCCAAAGGAATTTTACAGCTTAACTCATGTGTTCTGATTAAATAGCACCATCAGTAGTGATAGTAGCAGGAGGAGGAGGAGGCAAAGGAGGAGGAGGAGAAAGAGGAAGAGGAGGAAGTGTATTAGCAAAAGCAATGAAGAAGACAAAATAATCGAGTAAAGTAAAATTACATATGGACACTTATTATGTCCCAGAACAATGCAATGCTATTATTAATCTGCACAGATATCTTATGAGATAGGACTCATTTTTCAGATGAAGAAACTAAAGCTTATGTAATAAACAAAACTGTTCCCAAATTATACAGCTCAGAAGTGGAGAGACACGTTCTTTCTATGGCACCATGCAACATAAGACAAGTATTCCTCTACCTTTAGTTTTGTATGAGACTCAATTACTCTAAAACTGGTCTTTATCTTCATCCCTTGCTTTCAAGAGTATCATTCTATTTCCCTAAACATGGCCTTTATACCCATCACTTGCTTTCAAACACTATTGTCCTGTATTAAACTGCAGATCATTTGTGGTGAATCAAAGCTTAACAGATTACTCATTGCTAATTAAATAGCTGATTCTGTCCACTGAAGCTCATACATTAAAGTATTTAATGTTTGTTTGGTAAACTGCTTTACTAAATGCTCCTTTGACTTTTATTGGTAATAAACATTAAGCATTTATGGCCTGTGAAAGCAGCTTCCCATCCAGCTTATGCTGTTACTATTTACAGTTTGTTAATAAAATACCATTAAGGTCCTTCAAATCAAAAGTTGATTTTGTTCTTCTCTTTAACTTTTATTGTAAGGTGCGAATAATAATTCACTAAAATTTGAATGAACTATGCATTTACTAGTGGTTTTTCAATAAAGACAGTACTTTGCTAAGCCCAGCACACTTCAGGATTCAACAACAAGGCCTCAGACCGGACAGAGATCTAATTCCCTTTCTCCACTTCACACTCTCTTTTAACTGAACTGTGCTCTCACTTGGGTACATCCAGACTTCATCATTACTAACAAAATTTTTAAAATCCGACTTCCTTTTACTATGATTTGACTCCTTTTAAACCGATTTTTCGTTTAACCCTTCTGAATACCAATTTCTTAAACTTTCATCTTAAGGTTGAGCTCCTGCTAAAGGAAAGAGTAAGGGGAAAACTTTAGAAATTATGAGCAAGGTCCTGATACTTTTACAGGTTATTTTAAAAGGTATTCATTTTTTAAAATTATTTATTTATTTATTTTTTTATTTATTTTTGAGACGGAGTCTCGCTCTGTCGCCCAATCTGGAGTGCAGTGGCGCGATCTCAGCTCACTGCAAGCTCTGCCTCCCGGGTTCACGCCATTCTCCTGCCTCAGCCTCCCGAGTAGCTGGGACTACAGGCGCCCGCCACCATGCCCGGCTAATTTTTTTTTTTTTTTTTTTTTGTATTTTTAGTAGAGAGAGGGTTTCACTGTGTTAGCCAGGATGGTCTAGATGCCTGACCTCGTGATCCACCCGCCTCGGTCTCCCAAAGTGCTGGGATTACAGGACTGAGCTACCGCGCCCAGCCTAAAAAAATATTTTTAACTTTTCATTTAGGTTCTGTGGTACATGTGCAAGTTTGTTATATAGGCAAACTTGTGACCTTGTGACTTGGGGGTTTAGTGTAAAGATTAATCACTCAGGTATTCAACATTTTTTTTCTCTCTGTTTTTTTTTTCTTAACCCCATCCCTGAAGTAGGTCCCAATGTCTGCTGTTCTCTTGTCTCCCTGTGTTCTCACTATTTAGCTCCAACTTATAAGTGAGAAAATGTGGTACTTGGTTTTCTGCTCCTGCGTTAGTTGCTAAGGATAATGGCCTCTAGTTCCATCCCTGTTCCTGCAAAGGACTTAATTTCATTCTTTTTTTATGACTGCAAGGTATTATACAGTATATATGTACCACATTTTATTTACCAGTTGACCGTTGATGGGCATTTAGATTGATTCCATGTCTTTGCTATGGTGAATAATGCTGCAACGAACATATGCTTGCATGTGTCTTTGGAAGAATGATTTATATTCCTTTGGGTATATAGCCAGTAGTGGGATTGCTGGATCAAACAGTAGTTCTGTTTTTAGTTCTTTGAGAAATCACCACACTACTTTCCACAATGATTGAACTAATTTACACTCCCACCAGCAGTGTATAAGCACTCCCTTTGTTCCACAACCTCTCAAACATTCATTATTTTTTGTTTTCAATAATAGCCATTCTGATGGGTGTGAGATGGTATCTAATTGTTGTTTTGATTTGCATTTCTCTAATTATTAGTAACATTGAGCATTTATTCATATGTCAATTGGCTGCATGTATGTCTTCTTTTGAACACTTCTTTTTGTTCATATCCTTTACCCACTTTTTAATGGGGTTGTCTTTTGCTTGTACAGTTGTTTAAGTTCCTTGTAGATTCTGGATATTAGGCCTTTGTCAGATGTATAGTTGCAAATATTTTTGCTCATTCCATAGGTTTCCTATTGACATTGTTTATAGTTTATTTTGTTGTGCAGAAGCTCTTTAATTGGGTCCCATTTGTCTTGCTTTTGTTGCAACTGTATTAGTGTTTTCATCCTGAAATTTTTGCTAGTTTCTATGTTCAAAATGGTATTTCCTAGGTTATCTTCCAGGGCTTTTATAGTTTGAGGTTTTACACCTAGATCTTTATTCCATCTGGAATTGATTTTTGTTTATGGTATAAGGAAAGGGTCCAGTTTCAACCTTCTGCATACAGCGAGCCAGATATCACAGCACCATTTATTGAATAGAGAGTTCTTTCCCCATTGCTTGTTTTTGTTAACATTGTCAACTATCAGAGAGTTGTAGGTGTGTGACTTTATTTCTGGACTCTCCATTCTATTCCATTGGTCTGTGTGTTTGTTTTTTGTACCAGTATCATGCTGTTTTGGTTACTGTAGCATCGTAGCACAGTTTGAAGTCAGGCAATGTGAATCCTCCAGCTTTGCTCTTTTTGCTTAGAATTGCTTTGGCTATTTTTGTTTCTGTATGAATTTTATAATAGTTTTCTCTTTTTTTAGTTCTGTATAGAATGTCATTGGTAGTTTGATAAGAATAGAATTGAATGGTTAATGAAATTAAGGCAGAAATCAAAAAGTTCTTTGACACCAATGAAAACAAAGATACAACATACCAGAATATCTGGGATACAGCTAAGGCAGTGAGAAGAGGAAAAATTATAGCAATAAACACGCACTTATAAAAGTTAGAAAAATCTCAAATTAGCACCTTAACATCACAACTATAATTACTAGGGAACCAAGAGCAAACAAAGCTATCAGAAGACAAGAAATAACCAAAATCAGAGCTGAACTAAAGGAGAGAGAGACACAGAAAACCATATGAAAAATCAATGAATTCAGGCACTGTTTCTTACAAAAAAATAAAATAAAATAGATAGACCACTAGTTAGAATAATAAAGAAGAAAAAAGAGAAGATCCAAATAAACACAATTAGAAATGACAAAGGGGACATTACCACTCACTCCACAGAAGTACAAATAATCATCACACACTGCTATGAACACCTCTGCACAGAAACTAGAAAATCTGGAAGAAATGGATAAATTCATGGACACATACACCCTCCTAAGACTGAACCAGACAGAAATTGAATCCCTCAGCAGACCAATAATATAATGAGCTCTGAAATCGAATGAGTAATAAATAGCCTACCAACTGATAAAAGCCCAGAACCAGATGGATTCACAGCCACTTCTACCAGATGTAAAAAGAGCTAAATCCAAGAGTCTGAGCATGCCCTCTTGAATAAGTCTGGAGAAATCATACTTATTTCATTTGTGAGCCAACTTAATTGAGGTTTTCAAAAATAAAGCATAACCTAGAAGAGAAATTTAAATCCAAGTCTTCCAACTCTTGCTTTGATTCCATAATTCATTTTGATATTTCTTCATTTTGGTTCAAAACTCTAGATCCTCAAATGACTACTGAATATAATCAAAATGGGGAAAGGAGACTAATTGCCAAAATGACTAATTAATTCATCCTTTAAGGTTAGCTGTGTCCCCAGTTACTCAATAGGCAGCAGTAACTAAGGATGTTCTGACCTTTTAAGGAAGACACCTAAAACATGAACTACAGATGAAAGGAAAGCACAGTCCCTAATATGCTGTTCCAATGCTCAAAGAGAATGTCAAAAGGCCTGTGAAAACTAAATGCCTTCTTCTATAATGCAGTTAATTCAACACTTCTGAGTAGACAGACACACATTTGAAAAGCGTGTTTTATCTGTGCTTATGTTACGAATCTCTGAAGAATAATTTATTTAACAGAACTATTTTAGTCCAAATCTCACCTGTGACTGTTGGAAAGAATTACAGTTGTTGCAAACACTGATTGATATTGAGAATGAATGATTTGAATTGATAACAGAGAAAAGATGAAATATCCTCGGAATACCAGCTACCTGTATGGGTACTTGTAAAGTGTCTGTGTCTGTCATTTTCTGTTATTAGATAGTCAAAATGAAGCAAAGGCATTCAGGTATGGAAAAGAAAAGTCATATGTTTTCTTGTTGAATACAATTTGGTTTGGTGAGAAGGGTTCCTTGCTTTGTGTTAGTCTTGACAATAAACTTTCTCTAGGCCTCTGACATAAATAATAGGTGTAGTGGTGTTTTGTTTATTTTGTTGCCTTAAATACAAGTGAGAAACTAACACAAATAAATATTTTCTATATTTATCAATTTACATAAATAGTTCTGAAGTAATAATTTATAGTTTATTGTCAATCAAAAATGAAAGGTAAATGTAAGCTAAGAAACAAAGCTTGCGGGTTTCTTAGTTTATTTTGTTTTGCTATTAAATACTGAAGTAAGACTTCTTCCTCTTTGATATTTATATTTGAGAACATAAAATTCTATTTTCATTCCAACTATAATAACACTAGAATGTAAAAAAAAGTATGTTTTAAACTGTATTTATATCACAAGTTCAGATATAGGTAGATATTTATTCTCTGTTACATACTTCAGAAATTTCGTTTAGAAACCCTCATAGTGCCTTGGAAAGGCTGGTAGTTCTGTGATGTAGGCATAATCCTATAAATCCTATCATTAAATACCTGACTATGGCATAAATTCATCCATACTATACATCCAAAGAGCTAATTATAGCTCATCTTTTATTCTACTCTAAGACCTAGGAGATTGTTTTCCAATCAATTTAATGTGTGTGTTATACTTTGAGGATCTCCCATTTATTGGGTCTACTTCCTTGGGTCACTAAAATTGGTCAGTTCTCTTGAACAGGATATGAGTGACCTTCCAACTGATGTATTCTCTTGCCCACACACATAGCTAAAAGTAATACTAAACATACTGTTAAGAAATGATGAAAAACACAGTTTAATACCAATATTTGAATACTAGTAAATTAAATTTTCTTCAATATTTCCTTCACTATTTTCATACCTTTTTAATCTTATGATTTTATTCTATACAATATTTGGATTAATGTGCCACACCAACACTATCTTCCCCCTCCCCTGACTGGAAAGTCACTTCAGGGTTAGGACCATTTAATTTTGTTTACCAGAGACAGGAGGAAGAGCAAGATGGCAGAATAAATGGCTTCACCGATTGTTAACCCCACAAAGACACCAAGTTAACAACTATCTACCCAGAAAAAAACACCTTAATAAGAACCAAAAATCAGAGCAGAAAGGAAAACCAAACCAAACTCAGCTAACACCTGTCCATGGATGGAGCACTGAAACCAGCATTACCCAGACAGGAATCATTGATCCTAGCAGTCCAAACCTGAGTGCCTGCAAACCTCACCACCAAGGGCTACATTGCTCTCTGTCTCCAAGTAAACTTGAAAGGCACTCTAAGCCATAAGGACTGTAAATCTTAGGTGAGTCATAGTGCTGAACTAGGCTCAGAGACAGTGAACTGGTGGGGGGCATGTGACATACTGAGACACTAGCTGGGGAAGCCAAGGGAGTGGCTTCCCTAACCGCAGCCTGCACAACTCATGTCTCCAAAAGAGACTCCTTCCTTCTGCTTCAGGAGAGGAGAGGAAGGAGTGGGGAGGACTTTGTCTTGCATCTAGGATACCAGCCCAGCTATGAGAGGATCAGGCACTGATCAGAGGCATGAGGCCCCCATTCCAGGCCCTAGCTCCCAGAAGACAATTCTAGACATATCTTGGAATAGAGGGTCCCCACTGCCTTGAAGGGAAGTACCCAGTCCTGGCAGCATTAATCACCTGCTAACTGTAGAGCCTTTAGGCCCTGAATAACCAGCAGCAATACCCAGTTACTACATCAAGAGCCTTGGTTGTGCCTTTGAGACTTCCTGGCTTCAGGTAAAACATGGCCACAGGGGAGTAGAGCAGCAAGCAGGCTCTTGAGGTCACTGATTTCAAGACTTCACTCTTGGATGGCATTTCTGGACCTGTGCTGGGCCAGAGGGGATCCCACTGCCCTGAAGAGTGAGTCCCAGCCAGGCAACATTCACAACAAGCTGACTTACTAGACCGTGGGCCTTAAAAGAACATCAGTGGTGGCCTGGCAGAATTCCTCGTGGCCTGAGGTGGCAGTGGCTATGGGGTAAGGCTCCTCTGCCTTCAAAAAGGGAAGGGCAGAGTGGGAAGGACTACAACTTGTGGACTGAGTGCCAGCTCAGTCATGGTACAATAGAATGCCAGGTAGATTTCTAAGGTTTTTGACTCTAGTCCCTGACTCCCAGATGGCACCACTGGACCCACCTGGAACCTGGGGGACCTCGCCAACCAGAAAGGAAAGACACAGGCCTGTTTGGCTTTGCCCCTGCTGATTATAGAGCACCAGAGCCTTGAGCAAACGTGGATAGTAGCCATGGAGTTTTTACAGCAGCCCTAGAGCAAGAACCAGTGCTGTGTTGGCTTCAGGTCTGACTCAGTTCGGTCATATTGGTGGTGGCTACTGGGGTTCCTGTGTCACTCAACCCCCAGATTTACATGCCTCAGGACACAGAGAGAGACTCTGTATGTTTGGAAGAATGTAAAAAAAGAGAAAAAAAATCTCCGCCTGGTAACCCAGAAAATTCCCCCAGATCTTGTCCAAGATCATCAATGCAGTATCTCTACAAGTCTGCAAGAACCACAGCATTGCTGGATTTAGGGTGCCCACTAAAGCAGATATAGCTTAGATCACAAGACTCAAGTCCCTTAAAATATCTGGAATGGCTTCCCAAGAATGATGGCTATTCAACAACCCCAACAGTGAAGACTACAATAAATACCTAATTTTTCAATGCCCAGACACTAAAGAACATCTACCAACATCAGCACCATCCAGGGAAACATGACTTCACCAAATGAACTAAATAAGTCACCAGGGATCAATCCTACAGAAGCAGCTATGTAGCCTTGCAGACAGAGATTTCAAAATAGCTGTTTCGAGGAAACTCAAAAAATTCAAGATAACACAAAGAAGGGGTTCTAAATTCTATCAGATAAATTTAACAAAGAAACTGAAATAATTAAAAAGATCAGGCAGAAATTCTCTAGCTGAAAAATTCAAATTGCATATAGAAGAATGCATCAGAGTCCTTTAATAGCAGAATTGCTCAAGCAGAAGAAATAATTAGTGAGCTTAAAGGCAGGCTATTTATAAATACACAGAAGAGACAAAAGGAAAAAGAATAAAAAACAAAGAAGCATGCCTACAGGATCAAGAAAATAGCTTCCAAAGGTCATATCTAAGAGTTACTGGCCATAAAGAGGAGGTAGAGAAAGACATAAGGGTAGAAGTTTATTCAAGGTGGCAATAACAGATAACTTCCCAAACCTAGAGAAAGATATCAATATCCAAGTACAAAAATGTTATAGAACACCAAGTAGTTCCAACATATACTATTAAATCAATTTAATACATCATATTAACAGAATAAGGATAAAAAACATATGATCATTTGAATTGATGTGGAAAAAACATATCACTTCATGATAAAATCTCTCAAATAACTGGGTGTAGAAGAAACACACTTCAACATAAAAAAAGCCGGATATGACAGATCCACAGCTAGTATCATATTGAATGTAAAAATACTGAAAGCCTTTCCCCTAAGATCTGAGACACAATAAGGATGTACATTGTCAACACTGTTATTCAACATAGCACTGGAAGTTCTAGCTGGAGCAATCAGACGAGAAGAAAATATAGGGCATCTGAATTGGAAAGGAAGAAGTCAAATTATTCTTGCTTGCAGATGGTATGATCTTTTCCTGGAAAAACTTAAAGATTTCACTAGAAAACGAATGGAACTGGTACATTCAGTAAAGTTGCAGGATACAAAATTAACATACTATAATCAAAAATCAGTAATATTCCTAGATGCCAACAGTGAACAATATGAAAAAGAAACAAAAAAGGAATCCCATTTACTATAGCTACACAGAAAATTAAATAGCTAAAAATTAACTAAAGAAGTGAAAGATCTCTATAATAAAGACTATAAAGCACTAATGAAAGAAATTGAAGAGGACACCCCAAAAATGAAAAAAATATGCATTGGAAGAATCAATATTGTTAAAATGTCCATAGTACCCAAAGCAATTCACAGATTCAATGCAATCCCTATAGAAATATCAATGACATTCTTAACAGAAATAGAAAAAAAAATCCTAAAATTTGTATGGAACCACAAAAGACCCAGAATAGTCAAATCTATCCTAAGAAAAAAGACAAAACTGATGGAATCACATTGTCTGAATTCAAATTATACTACAGAGCTATAGTAACCAAAGCAGCATGGTACAGACACATGGAACAATGAAACAGAATAGAAGATGCCGAAAAAAATACACACACCTGCAGTGAACTCATTTGTGATGAAGGTATCAAGAACATACAATGAGGAAAAGACTGTCTTCTCAATATATGATGCTGAGAAAACTGGATATCCACATGCTGAAGAATTAAACTAGATCCCTATCTCTCCATATACAAAAATTAAATCAAAATTGATTAAAGACTTAAATCTAAGACCTGGAACTATAAAACTACTACAAGAAATAATTGGGGAAAATCTCCAGGACACTTTTCTGGGCAAACATATATTGAGCAATACCCCACAAGCACAGGCCACCAAAGCAAAAATGCACACATGGGATCACATCAAGTTTAAAAGCTTCTGCACAGCAAAGGGCATAATAAACAAAGTGAACATAGAAGACAAAGAATGGGAGAAAATATCTGCAAACTACCTGTCTGACAAGGGATTAAAAAAACATAATATACAAGCAGCTCAAAGAACTCTATAGAAAAAAAATCTAATAATCAGATCAAAAAAATGGGCAAAAGATTTGCATACACATTTCTCAAAAGAAGACATACAAATGGCAAATAGGCATATGAAAAAGTGCTTAACATCATTATAGAAATGCAAATCAAAACTACAATGAGATATTATCTCACTCCAATTAAAATGGCTTATATCCAAAAGACAGACAATAACAAATACTAGTAGGGGTGTGGAGAAAAGGGAACACTGCTAATACAACCACTATGGAGAACAGTTTGGAGGTTCTTCAAAAAATTACAAATTGAGCTACCATATGATCCAGCAATCCCACTGCTGAGTATATACCCAAAAGAAGGGAAATCAGTATATAAAGAGATATCTGCGCTCTCATGTTTGTTGCAGCAGTGTTCACAATAGCCAAGGTTGGGAAGAAACCTAAGATTCCATCAACAGATAAATGGATAAAGAAACTGTGGTACATATACACAGTGGAGTACTATTCAGCCATAAAAAGGAATGAGAACCCTCATTTGCAACAACATGGATGGAACTGGAGGTCATTATGTTAAGTAAAATGAGCCAGGCACAGAAATACAATGTTCTCACTTATTTGTAGGAAATAAAAATCAAAACAACTGAACTCATAGATATAGATCGCAGAAGGATGGTTACTATTATCCAGGAAGGGTAGTAGGGAGTTAGGGGGAGAGGGGTGGGGATGGTGAATGAGAACAAAAAATAGTTAGAAAAAATGGAAAAGACCAACAATTTGATCGCACAACGGAGTGACTATCGTCAATAATAACTTAATTGCAAATTAAAAAATAAAGAGTGTAATTAAATTGTTTGTAACTCAAAGGATAAATGCTTGAGGAGATGGATACCCCATTCCCCATGATGTGTTTATTTTGTATTCCATACTTGCATCAAAACATCTCATGTACCCCATAAATATATACACCTGCTATGTACTGTATGCGGGTACTATGAACCTACAAATAATAAAAGTAAAAATTTTGTTTACCAGCTCACTAGTCTCAGCATCTAGCTTTTTTCTTCACAGTTTTTCTTGATGTCTCTTTTCTCTTCATCCTGTATTATTTCTTTATTATATATGTACTATGTAATATTTATACATAATAATATTAAAATACTGAATAATATTTTCAATATCATAGTTAAAACGTGCTTAGCACATATTTGCTTAGTGATATTTTAAATATTTTATATGAATTAAGCAATTCAGTCTTCACAAGAACCCTATGAGGTAGGTACTGTTACAATTTTCATGTTATATGTGGAGAAACTGATGTACAGTGTTGTTACTGACTTACCAAAATCTAATAGCTAGTAAGTGATGAAGCTGAGGTTTAAATCTATGCAGCTTGCTTCCTACATAAAACATGTTCTCTTTCCACAACATTATACTGGTAGAAAAATCAAAGAACACAGATAAATCAAAGTAAATATTATTTTAAAATCACACATTTCCACCTATCAGACATAGTCACTATTAACATTTTGGTTTTACTTTCCTTTATGTGTATGATTTTCATAGCATGATTAAATACGTATAATTTTGTAGCCAATTTTTAAGTAACAATATAGCATAAACAATGTTTCATGCCAAGCACACCTATGTATTATGATTCATAATGATTACATAGTACTAATTTATTTGGTTTACTATTCTTACGTAGGATTATTTTCTATTTTTTATTCTAATCAGTTTTGTGATAAAATTTTTATATAGTGTATATAGCCACATATGATTTGATTCTCTGTCCCCACCCAAATATCACCTTGAATTGTAATCTGCATAATCCCCCACGTGTTGTGGGAGAGACCCTGTGGGACGTAAGTGAATCATGGGAGTGGTTTCTCCCATGTTGTTCTCATGATAGTGACTGAGTTTTCATGAGATCTGATGGTTTTATAAATGTCTGGTATGTCTCCTTCTGGCACTCATTCTCTCTCATGCTGCCCTATGAAGAGGTGCCTTCCACCATGATTATGTTTCCTCAGGCCTCCCCAGTCATGTGGAACTGTGAATCAATTAAACCTTTTTTTATATATACAAATTACACAGTCTCAGGCATTTCCATAGCAGTGTGAGAACAGACTAATACAGTAAATTGGTACTGAAATAGTGGGGCACTGCTGTAAGAATACCCAAAAATGTGGAAGCAACTTTGGATGTGGGCAGTTTGGAGGGCTCAGAATAAATAAGACAAAATTATGGGAAAGTTTGGAATTTCCTAGTGACTTGGAGGGCTCAGAAGACAGCAAGATGGGAAAGTTTGGAACTTCCTAGTGACTTGTTGAATGTCTTTGACCAAAATGCTGATAGTGATACGGACAATGAAATGAAGGCTGAGGTGGTCTCAGATGGAGATGAAAAACTGGTTGGGAAGTGGAGTAAAGGTCAATCTTACAATATTTTAGCAAAGAGACTGGTGGCATTTTGCCCCTGCCCTAGACATCTGTGGAACTTTGAACTTGACATAGATGATTTAGGGTATCTGGTGGAAGAAATTTCTAAGCAGCAAAGGATTAAATATGTGACCTGGATTATCCTGAAAGCATTCAGATTTATGCATTCACAAGGAGATGGTTTGAAATTGGAACCTATGTTGAAAAGAAAAGTAGAGCATAAAAGTTTGGAAAATTTGCAGCCTGATGATGCAAAAGAAAAGCAAAACCCATTTTATGGGGAGAAGTTAAAGCCTGCTACAGAAATTTGCATAAGTAACAAGGAGCCAAATGTTAATCACAAAGACAATGGGGAAAATGTCCTGAGGCCATGTGAGAGACTTTATAGCAGCCCCTCCTATCTCAGGCCCAGAGGCCTAGGAGGAAAAGATTGTGTGGCATGTCCCAAGCACCTCGCCCCCCTTCTCTGCTCTGTGCAGTCTCAGGACATGGTGCCCTACAACCCAGTTGCTTCAGCTAGAGCCATGACTAAAGGGAGTCAAGGTACAGTTCAGGCCATTGTTTTAGAGGGTGCAAGCCACAACCCCTGGCAGCTTCCATGTGGTGTTGAGCCTGTGGGTGCACAGAAGTCACAAATTGAGGTTTGGGAACCTCCACCTAGATTTCAGGGGATGTATGGAAACTCCTGAATGTCCAGGCAGAAGTTTCCGCAGGGGCAGAGCCCTCATGGAGGACCTCTGCTTGGGCAGTGCAGAAGGAAAATGTGGGGTTAGAGCCCCCACACAGAGTCCCCACTGGGGCACTGCCTATTGGAGTTATGAGAAGAGGGCCACCATTCTCCAGACTCCGGAATGGTAGATCTACTGAGAGTTTGCACTGTGCACCTGGAAAAGCCACAGACACTCAATGCCAGCCCGTGAAAGCAGCTGGGAGAAGGGCTGTACCCTGCAAAGCCACAGGACTGGAGCTGCACAAGGCCATGGGAGCCCACCTCTTGCATCAGCATGCCCTGGATGTGAGACATGGTGTCAAAGGAGATTATTTTGGAACTTTAATGTTTAGTGACTGCCCTGTTGGATTTCAGAATTGCATGGGGCCTGTAGAGCCTTTGTTTTGGCGAATTTCTCCCATTTGGAATGGGTGTATTTATCCAATGCCTGTACCTCCATTGTATCTAGGAAGTAACTAACTTGCTTTTGATTTTACAAGCTCATAGGCAAAAGGGGCTTGCCTTGTCTCAGATGAGACTTTGGACTTGGACTTTTGAGTTAATGCTGGAATGAGTTAGGACTTTGGAGGGCTATTGGAGGGGCTTAATTGTGTTTTGAACTGTGAGGACAAGAGATTTAGAAGTGACTAGGGGCAGAATTATATGGCTTGGCTCCACGTCCTCAAGCAAATCTCACCTTGAACTGTAATCCCCATAATCCCCACATGTCATGGGAGGGACTCCATAAGAGGTAATTGAATCATGGGGGTGGTTTCTCCCATGCCATTTTTATGACAGTGAGTGAGTTCTCATGAGATCTGATGGTTTTATAAGTGTCTGGCATTTCCCCTGCTGGCACACATTCTCCTGCCACCCTGTGAAGAAATGCATTCCACCACGATTGTACGTTTCCTGAGGCCTCCCCAGCCATGTGGAAGTGTGACTCAATTAAAACTCTTTTCTTTATAAATTACCCAGTCTCATGTATTTCTTGACAGCAGATCACCTGAGGTCAGGAGTTTGAGACGAGCCTGGCCAACACAGAGAAATCCTGTCTCCACTAAAAATCCAAAAACTTAGCTGGGCATGGTGGCACATGCCTGTAATCCCAGCTGCTCAGGAGGGTGAGAGAATTGCTTAAACTTGGGCGGCAGAGGTTGCAATGAGCCAAGATCGTGCCATGACACTGCAGCCTGGGTGACAGAGCAATACTCCATATCAAAAGAAAGAAAGAAAGAAAGAAAGAAAAGAAAGAAAAGAAATGAAAGAAAGAAAGAAAGAAAGAAGGAAAGAAGGAGAGAAAGGAAGGAAGAAGGAAAGAAAGGCATCGAAACAAAAACCATGTGATCATTTCCACAGAGGCTGAGAAAACATTCAATACAATTCAACATCCATTTCTGATAAAAAAAAAAAACTCTCAGCTAAATGTGTATAGAGGGAATATACTGCAAAAACAATAAAGGCCATATATAACAAACCCATAGCTAATACCATACTGAATGGGGAAGATTTCAAAGGCCTATCTCTAATACTTAGAACAAGACAAGGGTGCCCACTTTTACCACTTTTATTCAACATTGTAATGGAAATTCTAGCCAGATAAATTAGGAAAGAGAAAAAAATTAAGGGCATAGAAACTGGGAAAGAAAAGTCAAATTATTCTTGTTTGCATATGACAGGATTTATATTTAAAATAGCCTAAATTCTGCACTAAAAACTGTTAGAACTAATGAACAAATTCAGTAAAGTGGCAGGATACAAAATCAACATGCAAAAACAGTAGCAGTTTTGTATACCAACAGTGAAAATCTGAAAAAAAAAAAAAAAAAAAAAAAAAAAGAAACCAAAAAAGCAATCCAATTTACAATAGCTCCAAAAAGTAAAAGACACAGGAATAAAGTTAACCGAAGACTCTAATATGAAGCCTATTAAAACACTTGTTACAGAAATTGAAAAGGACTCCAAAAATAGAAAAATATCCTATTCTCATTGATTAGATGAAGGAATATTGTTCAAATATCCATATTTTCCAAAGTGACCTTCAGATTCAATGCAATCCCTAGCAAAATATCAATGAAATTATTCACAAAGAATCATAAAATTCACATGAAGTCACAAAAGATGCTGAATAGCTAAAGCAAACCTGAGTAAAAAAAAGCAAAGCTGAGGCATCACACTACCTGACTTCAAACTATACAGAAAGCTATATAATAACCAAAACACCATGTTACTGACATTAAAAAATCCCCACATATATTAGTGGAACAGAATAAGGGAATGCAGAAATAAACTCACTCCCTATAGCCAACTGATTTTCAACAAAGGTGCCAAGAACATATATTGAGAAAATGACAATTTCTTCAATAAATGGTGCTGGAAAAACTAGATATTCATATGCAAAAGGGAAAAACTAGATATTCATATGCAAAAGGGTAAAACTAGACCTCCATTTTTCACTATATACAAAAATCAAATCAAAATAAATGAAATATTTTAAGGTAAGTCCTGGATCTATGAAACTACCAGAAGAAAACATTGAGGAAATGCTTCATGATATTGGTCTGGACAAAGAGTTTCTGTGTAAGACCTTGAAAGCACAGGCAACAAAAGCAAAATACAGAAATAGGATTACATCAAGGTAAAAATCTTGTGCACAGGAAAAAAAATCAAAAAAGTTAAGTGATAACCTACAGAATAAGAGAAAATATTCACAATCCATCTGAAATGAGATTAATGACCAAAATATATAAGGAACTGAAACTACTCAATAGCAAAATAAAAATAATCTAATTTAAAAATTGGCAAATTATCTGAATACACATTTCAGAAAGAAGATACTAATGGCCAACAAGTGTATTTTTAGAAATACTCAACATTACTAATGATCATGGAAATGCAAATCAAAACCACAATGAGATATCAGCTCACCTCAGTTAAAATGGCTCTTATTACAAAGACAAATATAACAAATATTTTGTGATGATATAAATTAGTAGAGCCACTATGGAAAATAGTATGGATGTTCCTCAAGAAAACTAAAAATAAAACTACTACATGTCCCAGCATTCCCAGTACTGAGTATATATCCAAAAGAAAGGAAATTAATATATCAAAGAAATATCAGCACTTCAGTGTTTATTGCACTATTCACAATAGCCTAGATATGGAAATAATCTTAGTGTTCATCAACATTCAAGTGGATGAAGGAAATGTGGTCTATAATTGCAGCAACATGGATGGAATTTGAAGACATTATGTAAAGTGAAATGAGTCAGGCACAGATAAACGAACATTGCATGTTCTCACTCATATGTGGGACCTAAAAAGGGTGATCTTATGAAGGTAGAGAGTAAAATGATGGCTATCAGTCTTGGAAGTGTTGGGAGGAAGAGGGGTGAAGGGAGGTTGGTTAATGGGTACAACAATACAGTTAGATAGAAGGAATGAACTCTAGTGTTTAATAAAACTATAAGATAACTATAGATAATACTTTATTATGAATTTCAAAAGAGCTAGAAAAAAAGATTTGAAATAGTTTCAAAACAAAGAATTAGTCAATGTTTGAGGTCACAGATATCCTAATTACCCTCATATGATTAATATACATTGTATGTGTATATCAGAATATAACAAATACCTGACAGATATGTAAAAGTATTAAGTATTAATAAAAATATTTAAAAATTTAAGAAGAGAAAGTACAATAAGGACTTTGCCATATTAAAAATAAAAGACTGAGCATATTTTGCCAGCAAAACTGCCTTACTAGAAACACTAAATGAGGGACAGGCAGTCACACTAGATGGTACCTTGATCCACACAAAGAAATAGTGCCAGTAAAAGTATTATAAAAATATAGATAACTTTTGAAAATGTGTAAATATTTTCCTTTATTCTGATTTTAAAATATGTAAAAGATAACCACATAAAAGATAATTATAAAGTGCATTATTAGAGTTGTAAAATATTGGCATAGTATGTATAAAAACAATTACATACATGAGGGAATGTTATCAAACTCTATTAGGGAATATTTTTATATTTTACTATAATTAAGATAAGGTAATGATAACTAAAGGTAGATATTATAATTTATTGAACAACAATTAAGGAAATAACTAAAAATAGTAAACAACAATACTAACACAAAGTATATAAACTGGTACAGTAGAAAATATTAATTTACAGTGAGGAGGAATATTTCCCACCAAGAGACTGGGACATCTGGATATCTGGGAAACTCTGAGCAGATCTTCAGAGGGAAGCCATTGAGAGTGCATGGTGGGAGAAAGCAGAAGCTGGGGTGAAGGGGGACAAAGCTGGGAACCTTTCTTGGGGTGACCAAGTGCCAGAACTTGTTCCTGGTCCCTCAACAACTCCTGAGGAAGGGATGAGTTGAACAGGTAAGAAGTGACATAGACCTCCAGAATTGTAGCAGCAGGAGATTCCATAACCTCCAGAAACACTGGACCTGACAGAGAGAGAGCTGCTCAGAGAGGTGCAAAGGCAGGACTCCAGCCTGTGCAGAGCCAAGAAGATTTGGCATAAGAATGGCTGGAGTGGAGCACAGCCAGAGATGCCCATCCCCCAAGGCTCACCATGCATCTTTAGGAGAATTTAGCCTTAGGGTTACTGTCCGACCTGGACAAAGCAGGGGAGCCTTGCCTGTGGGATGGAGCACCCTCCCCACTGCTGTGCAAGTGCACGTGCACAGATGGACCTCACCACTCCTACCCCACCAACATGGCTGCACACACAACCTGTGCATTCCTGCCATTGGTGGCAGCACACACAAAGACCAGCAACCCCCCCCCCCCCATTCTGTGCCACTCATGCCACTGGCATAAACGTGCACATGGATGCTGACAATGCCACCCACACAGGTACCTGGCTCTAGCATGTGTAGCCCACTGGACTGTTGCAGTTGCTGGCACACATGACAAGCACAGATTCCACTGCCATTATCCTGATGAAACACTTTGGCTGAAACCACCCATCAGAATGTAAGTGGCCAGAGGAAAAAAAATTGAAAGCCCCACATAAATGATAGCAAGTTCAAAAAAGAAGTCTCAGCTCCCTCAGAAGACCAGGAATCAGCAGAAGAACTCTAGCAATGGAAAAAGGCAGAGTATTACATTACCTCCAAAGGATTGCACTTGCTCTCCAGCAATGGATCATTACTAGATTGAGGTGTCTGAAATGACAAATATAGAATTCAGAATATGGATGGCAATGAAATTCAATAAGATGCAAGAGAAGGTTGAAATCCAATACAAAGAAGTCAGGAAAATGATCAAAGATTTGAAAAATAACAGATCTCTACTAACAAATAACTAAACAGAACTTCTGGAGATAAAAAATTCACTACAGAAATTTCAAAGCACAGTGGTAAGCCTTAAAAATGGAGTATATCAAGCAGAAGAAAGAATTTCAGAGCTCAAAGACTGGTATTTCAAACCAACCCGGTCAGACAAAAATAAGGAAAAAAGAATTTTAAGAAAACAAAGGCTTTGAGAAATATGAGATTATGTAAAGGGATCAAACCTATGAATTATTGGCATTCCTGGAAGAGAGGAGAAGAATTTAAGCAGCTTGAAAAATGTATTTAAAAATATAATCTGGGATAATTTCTCCAACTTTGCTAGAGTGGTCAATAGGAAGATATAAGAAATCAAGAGAACTCCTGAGAGACACTATAAAAGACAGCCATCCACGAGGCACATAGTCATAAGACTGTTTAAAAAAATGGAAAAGAAGAAAATCTTTAAGTCAGTTAGAGAATAGAACCATATTACCTATAAACGGTATCCCATCACACTAACAACAGACTTCTCAGAGGAAAACTTACAATGCAGAAGAAATTCAGGGCCTATTTTTGGCATTCTTAAAAAAAATGAAAGTGAAGAATTTTATATCTCTTCCAGCTAAACTTTATAAATAGAGGAGATATAAAGTTTTTTTTTTCCCCAGGCAAGCAATCACTAAAAGAACTTGTCACCACCAGACCAGATCTACAAGAGATACTTAAGGAAATTCTAAACATGGAAACAAAAGAATGATACTTGCTACCATAAAAGCACAAGAAAATGCATAGTCTACAGACAAAGCAGCTAGCTAACAGCACTACAAGAGTAACAAAATCTCACATATGAATATTAACCTTGAATATAAATGGCCTAAATTTTCCACTTTAAAGACTTTGGGTGTCAAATTAGATTAAAGAAACAATACCCAACCTTCTGCTGTCTTCAAGGAATCAATCAAACATGTAATGGCATCCATAGGCTCAAAGTAAAGGGATGAAGAAAGATTTATCACACAAATGGAAAACAAAAAAGAGCAAAGATTGCTATTCTTATATCAGATAAAACAGTCCTTAAAACAACAACAGTTAAAAAGGACAAAGGCAAGACAAAATGATACAGGGTTCAATTCAAAAAGAAGATTTAACTATTTAAATATAAATGAGACAAACATTGGAGCACCCAGATTTATAAAACAATTACTGCTAAACCTAAGAAAATACTTAGCCACACACAAACAGTGGGGGACTTCAACACCACAATGAAGGCATTAGACAGATTATTGAGGCAAAATACTAAAAAAGAAGTTCTGGACTTAAATTTACCACCTGACCCATTGAAACTAATACATCTACAGAATAATCCACTTAACCACAGAATATACATTCTTCTCATCTGCACATGGATCATAATCTAATGTTGACCACATGCTGGGTCATACAGCAAGTCTCAATAAATTTAAGAATATCAAAATCAAACCAAGCATCTTCTCAAAATAGTGGAATAATAATGAAAATTAATACCTAGGTGAGCTCTCAAAACCAAAAAATACATGGAAACTAAACAATTTGCTACAGAATGACCTTTGAGTAAACAACAAAAGTAATGCAGAAATTAAAAAAAAATATTTGAAAGAAATAAAAAGAGTGACACAATATACCAAAGCCGCTGGGATGCAGCAAAAGCAACGTTAAGGGGAGAGTTCATAGTGTTAAACGCCTACATCAAGAAGATAGAAAGATCTCAAGTTAACAACTTTACATCACACCTAGAAGAACTAGAAAAACAAAAACAAACTAAACCCAAACTTAGCAGAAGATAAATAATTAAAATCTGAGCAGAAATAAACAAACTTGAGACTAATAAAATTTCATAAAAGATCTACATAATGATAAGATTGTTCTTTGAAAGGATAAATAAGATGAATAGACCACTAGGCTAGATAAACAAAGAAAAAAAGAGAGAAGACCCAAATAAGCACAATCAGAAATGACGAAGGTAGCATCCCAACCAATTCCAAAGAAATACAAAAAAAAAAAAAAAAAAATCTGGAGACTACTATGAACACTTCTATGCACAGAGTTCCTAGATGAAATGTATACATTCCTGAAAAAATATCTTAAGATTGAACCAGGAAGAAGTAGAAACCCTGAACAGAATAATAATGAGTTGCAAAATTGAATCAGTAATTAAATACTAACCAACCAAAAACATCCCTGAAAACAGATGGATTCACTGCTGAATTCTACCAAATGTACAACGAAGAGCTGGTACCAATTCTACTGAAGAATTTCCAAAAAATCGAGTATAAATTCTTCCCTAAGTCATTATATGAAACCAATATTATCTTGATACAAAAATCTGGTAAAGACATAACAAAAGTATCAAACTAATGGCCAATAACCCTGATAAATATAGATGCAAATATCCTCAACAAATCACAAGCAAACCAAATTCAGTAGCACATCAAAAGGTAAATTCACTTTGATTAAATAGGCCTTATTCCTGAGATGAAAGATTGGTTCAACATATGCAAATCAATAAATGTGACTCAACACCTAAACAGAATTAAAAACAAAAACACATGATCATCTCAATACACACAGAAAAAGCTTCCAATGAAATGCAATATCCCTTCATGATAAAAACCCTCAATAAACTAGGCATCCAAGGAACATACCTCAAATTATTAAGAGCCACTTCTGAAAAATCCAAAGCCAACATCATAATGAATTGGCAAAAGCTGGAAGTATTCCCTGGATAACCAAAACAAGAGAAGGATACCCACTATCATCAATCCTATTCAGTATAGTACTGGAAGTTGTAGGCAGAGCAATCTAGCAAAAGAAAAAAATAAAAAGCATTCAAATAGAAAAATAGGAAGTCAAATATTATCTCTTTGATGACAAGATTATATACCTAAAAAGCCCTAAATATTCTGCCAAAACATTCTTAAACGTGATAAAATGACTTCAATAAAGTTTCAAGATACAAAATCAACACAGAAAAATCAGAGGCACTTCTATATGCCACTGATATAAGCTGATAAATGAATTAAGAATGCAATTCCATTTACAATAGTCCCAAAAAGAAAATATTTATGAATACATTTAACCAAGGAAGGGAAAGATCTCTATGAGTAGAACTACAGAACATTCTTGAAGGAAGTCACAGGTGACACGAACAAATAAAAAAAATTCCTCACTCATGCATAGGAAGAATTAAGTTCATTAAAATGACAGTACTACCTAAAGCAATCTACAAATACAATGCAATTCCTATCAAATTACCAATGCCATTTTTCACATAGTTAGAAGAAATCATTTTAAAATTCATCTGGAACCAATAAAAGAGCCTGAATATCTAAGCAATCCTAGGCAAAGAGAACAAAGCCAGAGGTGTCACATTACCCAACTTCAGACTATATTGTAAAGCTGCAGTAATCAAAATAGCATGGTACTGGTAAACAAATAGACACATTCACTAATGCAACAGTATAAAGAACCTAGAATTCAAGCCACACATCTACAACCAATTGATTTCAATGAAGTCAACAAAAAAAAAAAAAAAAAAAAAAACAATGGAGAAAGGATATCCTATTCTTTAAACAGTGCTGGGAAAACTAGCTAGCCATATGTACAGGAATGAAACTGGACCCCTACCTCTAAGCATATACAAAAATTATCTCAAGATAGATTTAAAAATTAAAAGTAATAACTGAAACTAGAAAAATCCTAGAACAGAGCCTAGGAAATACTCTTCTGGAATATTGATTTAGGCAAATAATTTATCACTAAGACCTCAAAAGCAAATGCAACAAAAACAAATATTGACAACTAGGACCTAATTAATCTAAAGATTCTCTTCACAGCAAAAGAAATGATCAACAGAGTAAAAAGATAACCAACAGAATGGGATAAAATATTTGTAAACTATAAATCTGAAAGGACTGATATCCTAAATCCAATAGCCCCTTTAAAACGTGGGAAAAGGACATGAACAGACACCTCTCAAAAGAAGACATGCAAGTGGCCAACAAACAAATTTTAAAATGCTCAACATCACTAATTATTAGAGAAATGCAAATCAAAACCACGATGTGATACCACCTCACATCAGTCAGAATGGCTATTTTTAAAAAGTCAAAAATTACAGATGTTGGTGAGGTTGCAGAGAATAGGGCATGCTAATACACTGTTTGTGGGATTGTATATTAGTTCAGCCCCTATGGAAAGGAGTTTGGAGATTTTTCAAAGAATAAAAAATATAATTAACATTTGCCTCTGCAATCCCATTACTGTATACATATCCAAGGGAAGATAAATTGTTCTTTCAAAAAGCTATCACCTGCACTTGTATATTTCTTACAGCATGATATAGTTAGGTCTTGTGTCCCCACCCAAATCTCATCTTGAATTGTAATCCCTATGATCCCCATGTGTCAAGGTAGAGACGAGGTGGAGGTAATTAAATCATGGGGTGGTTTCCCTCATGCTGTTCTCATGATAATGAGTTCTCATGAGATCTGATGGTTTTATAAGAGGCTCTTCCCAATTCACTTGGCACTTCTCCTTCCTGCTGCCTGGTGAAGAAGGTGCCTTGCTTTTCCTTCACCTTCTGCCATGATTGTAAGTTTCCTGAGGCCTCCTCAGCCATGCTGAACTGTGAGTCAATTAAACCTCTTTCCTTTATGAATCACTCAGTCTCAGGCAGTTCTTCATAGCAGCAGGAAAACAGACTAATACACCACACTATTCACAATAGCAAAGACATCGAATTGACCTAGGTGCCCATCAGCAGTGGACTAGATAAAGAAAATCTGGTATATAAACACAATGTAATACTACACAGCCATAAAAAGGAATAAAATTATGTCCTTTGCAGCAACATGGATGCAGCTGGAGGCCACTATACTGGAGGTGATTAAGCTAGTATTTAGAAAACTAAATAACATATGTTCTCACCTGTAAGTAAGAGCTAAAGACTGGTACACATGAACATAAAGATGATAACAATAGACACTGGAAAACTTCAAAAGAAGGGACGGAGAGAGGGGTGCCAATGTTGAAAAACTACCTATTGTGTACTATGTTCACTATTTGGGTGGTGGCTTCAATAGAATTCCAGACCTCAGAATCACACAATATATTAACGTAATGAACTTGCACATATACCCCTTGAATCAAAAGTAAAAAGTAAATACATTTGAGGAAAGTTTGAGTTTTCAAAATACAGCTTTTTTTTTTTTTTTTCTATGGAGTCTTGTTCTGTTGCCCAGGCTTCAGTCTTCTGAGTAGCTGAAATTACAGGCATGCACCACCATACCTGGCTAATTTTTGTATTTTTAGTAGAGACAGGGTTTCACCATGTTAGCCAGGGTGGTCTCAAACTCCTGACCTCAGGGATCCACCCGCCTTGGCATCCCAGAGTGCTGGGATTACAGGCGTGAGCCACTGCGCTCAGTCAAAATAACAGCTTTTTAAATCATTCTAAGTGTTACACAGTTCTATAGAATTTCTTATTGTCAATTAGTTCATTAAATATTGTTTTCACTTTGTTAAAAATCATTTAAGAATCTTAAATTAAGGTTTTCAATTGTTATAGCACCAAAATAAAGTTGAACTTCAATTTGAGTAAGTAGAGTACCACAGTAGAGAAAGGCTTATCTTGAAAACATTTGCAGGTATGGCATCTCTCTAATGAAGTGAAATACAATGAGATTGAGAAAAGGTATGACTGATTTTTTGAGAAAGTGCCTGTGAAAATATTTGAGCCAAAATATTTATACATTTCAAAATAATAAAAGAAAAACAAAAACACCATTGAAAATATCCTCCATTTAAAAAAAAAATTTTCTGAGTTTATCAGTTATCACATAGCTATAGAAGTATTTTCTCAAGTACACATATTATGATCTATAGATAAGTCCAGTGTTAAAAAAAATCAAATTTACCAATCTTATATTGCCTCTTTGAAGAAGATTGAAAGACATTTCCTAACTAAAAATAAAATAAGATCATATAAAATATATCTTCCAGGAAAACACCATTGGCATGGCGTTAAAGAAAGACCATGCTAAGAAACTGACTGAAGTATAAGACTATATACCAACAATTATTTCTATGCTTATGAAAGTTTTAATATTTAGATAATTCGTATAGAATATTTTCTTTATTTAATTTACTTACAGTTTTTAGAAATAATTTCATTTTTGATATAATTTTTGAATGGAAAAACTATATAAATCCACCAATAACATAAAACCAACTAGTAGGGCAATATATAAATATTCTTATTTACATAATTTTAGTTAATGTTACTGTCTTCATTCTCCTTTGAAAGTTTCCTCATTTGTATGATAAACCATATGATAAAGCAAGTCCCATTAAGCAAAAGTTTGATGGGAAACATAAATGGATGCATCAGGTTTTCACCACCAGAAGTTCCATTAAAATTTACTTCAAAAACTAAACATGCCTTATGGATTACCTATGCCACTGCCCTACATGAATAAATAAATAAATAAATGGTCAATTAAACTCCAGTTTCATACAATTAAACACCCAATGAATTTTCACCAATCAAGTGATATGGTATATGGATAAAATCATCCTGAGAATAGGTCTCTCTACAATTTACCTTCACATTTTACTTTATTCCTAATAGAAAGTCAGAATATCAATTAATAGACTATTCCTGCAGTATAACACCAAATAAATTTCCAAATCCATTTGAATATACTTCTTTCTGTAAAAGTTAAATTTAAATAATTATGTTTGATTTAAAATGTGTTAAGTAATTAATTTAATCCCGTTTCACTTTCAATTCTTTGTGTCACAATAACTAACAATCATCTGTGAACTAAGAATCATCATATTAAATCTTTTCTTTTTCAGCTTTTTAAAATTACTTTGAGGGGACCAATGACTCCATTTGGTTCATATAACCATAAACTCCCCAATCAACATTTCAACTTATCATAATTGAAGATGAGTGATTAACTAAATTTTTCCTTCCAGTTTAATCTTACCCAAATCATTTTTCTGACAAATCCAGGCAATGCTCATTCCTCTATCCTTCACTTTTTCACTTATATGCAAAACACAAATAAGTACACAAGTTCAATTTACAAAATTTTTCTCTGATTGATTGTAACTGGTAATATTGACTCCTCAACAACATTATAAATTCCTGAGGCTAACAAAATTTATTTTTCCATGTAATTTTGTTGATCAATCCTCCCAAATTATTATTTTGCTATAGCTCATGTACTTAACTTTAGAATAACCATGTCACAATTAGATATTGATATGTGACAATAAGGAAACAAATATAAATATATTCACTCTAAAATAAATTAAGCATATTTCCTGACCATTTTATAAATTGTAATCTTCTTCAGAGCAAGCCATTATTTAAAAAACAAAATATGAAATAAAATAAAGGATATATCTAAGGCATATTGTTAATGATTTTCTTTGAAACAGTTCATCAGAAGATACAAGATGATGTTTGGAGGTTGTTTGCAATTTAATTGCATTTCCATTTTGTTTTCTTGGCTTGTTGAGTAATCTGCTCCATAATGTGTTTTTATAATTGAGGGAGATGAAAAGTGAATTTAATAAAGATACATAATTCATTTTTCTTTTTAACTGGTGCTTCTGTACACATTTTATGCTGTCTTCCTGTAGAATTTTAAAATTCAAAGAAGACTTTGCAGATGGTATTTAAAATGTTTTTCTCTAAGTGGTTTCTGTCCACAGTATTATGTTCCATGTCGTACAAGACTTAAAATCTTGAGAAGCAAGAATGTGTTGTCATAAGTTTTTCTTTTATTCTAGCTTAAATAAATAGAACATAAATCGACATTTTAGAAGTGACTCACATAAGTTTAGTTAAAATCAAATACTTTATCTAATACCCAGAAACATGGATGAGATTTCACACAAGTATTTTGAACTATTAAAAAAACCGGTTCCTTGTATAACAAAAAACTTTGGTTTCGGAGATTTCCAAGAAAGATATCTAGGCATTATATGATAATTCAGTTTAGTTATATCACATGCTTCCGCACCTGGCCTGAATATACATGAACTGCTATACTCAACCAAATAAACCCTTATAAATTAAAAATCTTCCCTCCTACTTTAGAATTACTGGCACAGAAAACTCAAGGAATTGCCAAATAATTATCCCAATTAAATGTGTAATTGATGTATAAATCAGAAATTCTTTTATCAGGTTTTATAACTGATCCCATTTCTCATATATGTCAAAATATTCAAAATAATTTAACTTAAATTTAGATAAATATATGAGATGTGTGATACATAGAGGGATAGATTGATGGATAGATTAGATAGATATATTAGGTAGTTAGATAAATAGGTAGATAGATAGATAGATGTTAAGAGAAAGTTTTGGCATGAAAAATAAAAGCTAGAGAGTATTATAGCTCCATACTGAAGTCTTTTGAGGGCTTAACTAAATAATCCACACTAGATTGCTTCAAATATTATGTAAATCAATTAAAGTGACAAACATAACATTGTGGCTTCTGGATATAACAGGACAACTTCTCAGCACAGGTAAATAGACTTCATTTGTTGATTCCTGTGTCTGCACATAAACACTTTATTCCTACTGTGAGCTCAGGGACAAAGTAGGTTCTTTAGGTGGAACATTAGATAAGCAAAAGCCTTATTCTGATCCTTAAGAAGCCTTTATGGTTGGAAAGACACCACCACCACCACCACCACACACACAAGCAAATCCTTCAAACTCAGTTACAAAAAATTTATTAACCAATTTATATACAAACATGAGTAAATATGATGACCTTCCAATGTCTGCATCAACTAAAATATTCTTATTCTCACGATCTTCATTTTTCCTTTCAGAAGAAGCATGAGTAAGATTTTGACATATTTAAAAGGAAGAAGCATAGGAGGAAATGTTTATTTGCTAGATTTTATATTACAGGTAGTTGTTTTCTTTCATATTGCTCTTTTATTTTGTTCTAGTCTTAAATAAAGAACTTGCTTCTTTATAAAATTGATTTTTAAAACCTTAATATGTATTTACTTGGCCAAAGCTTATTTTATCTTCTTGGCTTTGATTTTATATGCTACAAAGTAGCACTTGATGATTTTTTTTGGTGGGCAAAAACCCTATTTGAGCATGATTGTTAGGCTATGACACTGAATCAAGTGGTTTTAAACATTAGCAAGTGCTTGATGATGAATAACTGTTAAATACAGTTTTGAGGACCACTGGTTTTTAAACCCAAT
This sequence comes from Homo sapiens, assembly GCF_000001405.40. NCBI lineage: Eukaryota > Metazoa > Chordata > Mammalia > Primates > Hominidae > Homo > Homo sapiens. The sequence continues at coordinate 128,308,960 of NC_000023.11, forward strand.
CATACTGTTAAAAAAAGAAGCAGCAGCAGCAAAAGAGTAAGCTAATTGTAAGATGTGGCTAAAAGAAGCTAATCTATTCTTAACCTCACTTCATAAATGACAGCAAAAGTAAATGGAGACAATCATGAATCACAGGAGGATGAGAGTTGGGTAACTAATTGGCCTATTTTCTGTGCTGTCAGAATCCTCTCAAGCAATTTTCTTCAATTATAATTACAAATCAGCATGCTATTTCTTCCATATGAACTATCCATTGCCTGAGGTATCCTGGGATAACTCATGATGAATTATTGGAGAATATTTTTTACTAGTGAATAATTACAGGAAGTTCACAGTGAACTATCAGCATTAAGACTCTAAAAGTCCATGATTTTAAAAATCTACAAAAAAAATCATTACATGCAAAGCACTGAGTGCCTTGGTCATCATCAAGTATTAGGTTAATCTTGAAACTGTATGAAACAAAACAAAGCAAAACAGAAACCCAAATATTGCCCCTATATGCTTATCTCTCTGCTGAATATACTGGGCCCACAGTGAGTCAAATAAATGCTATGCTAGACAGAGACTGCTCACAGTTTCAGACTGGGTTGTGCCTTTTTCTGTAATTTCAGTTCAATCAATTCTGTTACTCAGAGTGACTTATATACTCGCTTACATCACCTGGTTATATGGATGACTATGACATAAAATCTTGTCCTCCATACATGAACATCTGTATTGTATTCTGGAAATAAAACACTGTAGTTTCAGGTTTTCACTGTTTTTTACAAAAATAATTAGCCAAATGTTCTATTATCTCCAAAGTTCATCTTTCTTTTTTATAAGTAAGGTAGTTGTTTGACAAGCAGATTTCAAAAACTTCCAGAGAAGTGACTGTATTAGTTTGTTCACAGACTGCTATAAAGTTATACCCAAGAATGGGTAATTTATAATGGAAAGAGGTTTAATTGACTTGAAGATCCACATAGCTGGGGAGGCCTCAGGAAACTTTCAATCATGGTAGAAGGTGACCCTTCTCCAGCAAGGACCTTCTTCACATGGCAGCAGAAGAGAGAAGTGCCAGTGCAGGAAAAACAATCACTTATAAAACCCTCAGATCTCCTGAGAATTCACTCACTATCATGAGAACAGCATGGGGGAAACTGCCCCATAATCCAATCACTTCCCATCAGGTCTCCCCCTAAACACCTGGGGATTACAATTCAAAATGAGATTTGGGTGGGAACACAAAGCATAACCATATAATTCTGCCCCTGGCCCCTCCCAAATCCCATGTCCTCATACTTAAAAATCAATCATGCCTTCCCAACAGTATCCCAAAGTCTTAACTCATTTCAGCATTAACCCAAAAGTCCAAGTCAAAAGTCTCATCTGAGACAAGTCCCTTCTACCTATGAGCCAGTAAAATCAAACACAAGTTAGTTACTTCCAAGATACAATAGGGGTACAGGCATGGGGTAAATGATCCTATTCCCAAAGGGAGAAATTGGCCAAAACAAAGGGGCTACAGGCCCCACCCCATGCAAGTCCAAAATCCAGCAGGGAAATCATTAAATCTTAAAGCTCCAAAATAATTTCCCTTGACTCCATGTCTCACATCCAGGGAATGCTGATGCAAAGGGTGGGCTCCCATGGCCTTGGGTGGCTCTACCCCTGTGACTTTGCAAGGTACAGCCCCCACATCAGCTGCTTTCATAGCTGGCCTTGAGTGCAGCTTTTCCAGGCACACAGTACAAGCTGTTGGTGGATCTACCATTCTGGGGGGTCTGGAGGATGGTGGCCCTTTTCTCATGGCTCCTCCAGGCAGTGACCCAGTGGGGACTCTGTGTGGGGGATTCAACCCCACATTTCCCCTTTGCACTGCCCTAGCAGAGGTTCCCCTTGAGGACTTCACCCCTGCAGCAGACTTCTGCCTGAACATCCAGACATTTCCATACATCCTCTGAAATCTAGGTGGAGGTTCCCAAGCCTCAATTCTGGACTTCTGTGCACATGCAAGCCCAACACCAAACCACATGGAAACTGCCAAGGCTTGGGGCTTTCACTCTGTGAAGCAACAGCCCGAGCTCTACGTTGGCCCCTTTTAGCCATGACTAGAGCTGGAGCAGATGGGACACAGGGCACCAAGTCCAAAGGCTGCACAGAGCTGGGGGACCCTGGACCAAGCCCAGAAAACCATTTTTCCCTCCTAGGCCTCTGGGCCTGTGATGGGAGGGGCTGCTGCCAAGATCTCTGACATGCTGTGGAGGCATTTTCCTCATTGTCTTGGTGATTAACATTTGGCTCCTCGTTATTTATGCACATTTCTGCAGTGGGCTTGAATTTCTCCCCAGAAAATGGGTTTTTCTTTTTCTATTGCATTGTCAGGCTGCAAATTTTCCAAACTTTGGGCTTTGCTTCTCTTTTAACATAAATTCAATTTTAGATTAACTCTCTCAAGTTCAAAGTTCCACAGATCTCTAGGTCAGGGGCAAAATGTCCCCAAAGTCTTTGCTAAAGCATAGCAAGAGTGCCTTTGCTCCAGTTTGAATAAGTTCTTCATTTTCATCTGAGACCACCTCAGCCCAGACTTCATTGTCCACATCATTATTGGCATTTTAGTCAAAACCATTTAACAAGTCTCTAGCAAGTTCTAAACTTTCCCACATCTTCCTGTCTTCTGAGCCCTCCAAACTGTTTCAACATCTGCTTCTTACCCAGTTCCAAAGTCACTTCCACATTTTCAGGTATCTTTATAGCAGTACCCCACTCTCTGCAGTACCAATTTACTGTATTAGTCTGTTCTCATGCTGCTATAAAGAAATAGCCAAGACTGGGTAATTTATAAAGGAAAGAGGTTTAATTGACTTGCTGTTCCACATGGCTGTGGAGGCCTCAGGAAACTTATAATCATGGTGGAAGGCAAAGGGGAAGCAAGAACCTTCTTCACATGGTGGCAGGAAAGAGAAGAGCCAGTGCAGGAAAAATTACCATTGATAAAACCATCAGATCTTGTGAGAATTCACTCGCTATCACAAGAACAGCATAGGGGAAACCGTCCCCAAAATCCCATCACTTCCCATCAGGTCTCCCCCTAAACACCTGAGGATTAGAATTCAAGATGAGATTTGGGTGTGGACACGCAGTCTAACCATATCATTGACCATATTTTCTATGGCAATATCCAGTTGCAAAAAGGAACCTATAAAGTACCATCTATGTATTTTTAAAACATTCTTTTTACTTTTAAAAATCTGATTTGTCATCTGGTGTATTAAAATCCATGTAATAAGAACACATTACTAGGATGTCAAATCCATTTTATTATACCATCATGAAATTTAATTAGAATTAGGTAACTAATACTATACAGTATTTTAAGTCTGTTTTTAGCTCTTTCTTCAGAGAATTTATTTGGGGATTTTATACAGAATGTACATTCAATAAACATTTTGATAGATGAAATTTTTAAAGCATAGACCTATTAGGTATGACACACAAATTTATACATAAAAGGGGGAAGGTACATGATAAAAGTAAAGTTAACCCTTGGCATTTATATGACTTCTCTGGGGAAATAAGATTCAGTTGAAGGTCAATAACTATTTAGACAGCTAAATAAAGGTTTTGAGGAGACACGAACACATCTTCTGTAAGAATCTGGTAAATGCCTACAAAATGCAACTTGGAATATGCAAGCATATCATATATTTTTCAAAGTAGATTGAACTCTAAAAACTATTTGGCACCTCAAACAAAGCTCTATTTATTCTTTAATTTTGTCTGATTTTTGTCTTGACATTTGTTACTGTTACTACAGAAAATCTGCACATCAAAGTGTGAGTTTAATGTGGCAGATTTTATTGTCCTTTTTGTCATTTTAGTGCTTCGTGTTTTTAAGAATTTGATTGGACATCATATTGAAAAGAATTTAATCTACCTAGCAGAGCAGGAGTTCATATTTTTAAAATAATAAAACAAATATTTTGTGTAACTCAAAATCAAACCATGTATACAATGACTAAATTTAGGTAGGAGTTTGATAATACTGAACATTTTTGGAATTGCAGTTATATGTAAATTGTATGACCTAACCAATACCGATGTATCCTTTTTAGATTTGAAAGTTTGTGAAGGCAAAGCCCTTGCTTGTTTGGTTTACCTCATAATATAGTGCTAAGACAGCACTTAGCAACACAGTGTTTACTTGATAAATATGTGTTGAATGAATTCTTGAATAAGTTATTGAAATAAAAAAAACAAAATGTCAAGATAAAACATCTTTATAAAAACAGGAAAAAAGCCTCTCTCCTCCAGTAGGCCACCCAAGATGCTGAAAAGAAAGGCCAAGAAAAAGAAGGTGGGCCTAGGCCCCTGCTGTTGTGAGGAAACAGGAGGGCAAAAAGGTGGTAAATCTCCTGTTTGAGAAAAGGCCCAATAATTTGGGTACTGGACAGGACATCTAGCCCAAAAGGGAGCTCATCCACCTTGTCAAACGGCCCTGCTACATCCAGCTGCCACAGCAAAAGCCTGTCTCCTATAAGCAGTTGAAAGTGCTTCACAAAATTAACCAGTCCACACAGGCGTTGGACCACCAAACAGCTACTTATCTGCTTAAGCTTGCCCACAAGTACAGACAAGAGGCAAAGCAAGGGAAGCAGCACATACTGTTGGATCCAGGTAGAGAAGAAAGCTGCCAGCAATGGGGATGTCTCCACTAAGAGACGTCCAGTCCTTCCAGCAGGTGTTAACACTGTCACTTCCTTGGTGAAGAACAAGAAGGCTCAGCTGGTGGTTACTGTACATAACATGGATCTCATAGAACTGGTTATGTTTCTGCCTGCTATGTGATGTTAGGTGGAGATTTCTTACTGGATTATCAAGGAGAAGGCCAGATGGGGACAACTAATCCAGAGGAAGACTTACACCACCACTGCCTTCACACCGGTTAACTCGGAAGACATAAGGAGCTCTGGCTAAGCTGGTGGGCACAATGGCAGATATAATGAGATCTGCCATCTCTAGAGAGGCAAGTTCTGGACCTAAAATCTGTGACTCAAATTGCCAATCTGGAAAAGGCAAAGTCTAAAATAACTTGCCACTAAAGTGAGTGAAATGTACACTGTTTTTTTGTACATAAAAATAATGAAAATTCTCGTTCAAAAAGTTAAAACATCATGCTAGTTTTCAAACTTGGAACTTACCTATGAACCACTGTAGGATAAGTTTAAAAAATTAGTTATTTGAGAGAAAGACTTGTTCCATTTGTAATGGTGCCACATGTAATTTGTATTTATATTTCCACATACACACACACTCACACGTTTGCACTGCCACACTGTAGGAAATTTGTATATTTTATTACCTCCACTTGAGAACATTTTAAAAGTTTAGTTTAGTTTAATAATAATTTTTCAACATTTTTACCCGATTTTTTGACAAGAAGACAATGCTGTTTTAATTAACAATTATATATTTTTTCTTAAATCAACAATGACTCTCTTGAAAATTTGGTGAGAGATATAAAGTTCTATTTCTGCATGAATAGTAGTGACTAATCGAATAGAAAATAATTCAATCTACTCAAAACTTACATGAGCTTAAGATTTTTTTTTCTTTTTGAAATGGACTAAACAGAAAAGACATAGTAACTGACATGTTCAGGTAAGAATATTTAATTTTTCTGAATAGGACAAGTCAAGATTTTAAGTTCCAGGAAAATAAAAATGTTTTCACTTTACAACTTCTATTAGATTTGTATGACTGATAAACTTAAGGATTTATATTTGATATTGTTTTTTCTTTGTTTTGATCCTTTTAAATGAAATGTTTGTGTGTCTATATTAGCAACAAAATGTCATGCCTGATATTCCCACTTAATTCTTCAACTATTACAACTCAGGTACATTTTGTAAATCTTACAAGATTGACTGACATGCACATCTGGCACTTTATTTGGATAACCACATAATCTGAAAAATGTTTGAAGTTTTTTATGTATAAACCAAGATGAATATGAGTGCCATCTTGAAAATGATATGCCAACTTGAAGGGGACAGAAAAAGTGGCATATTTAGCTTAACCTTAAGATGCTTCCTGAAATATTTGTTATTATGTTAAGCCCAAAACTACATGCTCTCACTTATAAGTGGAAGGTATATACTGTGTATATACAAACATAGAGTGTGGAATGACAGACAATGGAGATTCAGAAGGATGGGAAGATGGGACTAGGGTGGGGGATGCTGAGCAATTACTTAATGGGCACAATGTACGTTATTTTGGTGATGGATACATTAAAAGGGCTGACTTCACTGCAACACAATTTATGCATGTAACAAAATTACACTTGTACCACATAAATTTATATAAATAAAAAAAGAAGCATGACATAAGTGAAAGCTTTCCCAGATGAAAATTCTATTAAAAAAAGAAAGATGGTGGTATTTTGATGGGACTTGCACTGAATTTGTATATTGCTTTTAGCGGTATGGTCATTTTCACAATATTGATTCTACACATCCTTGACCGTGGGATGTGTTTCCATTTGTTTGTGTCATCTATGATTTCTTTCAGCAGCGTTTTGTAGTTTCCCTTATAGACGTCTTTCACCTCTTTGGTTAGGTATAGTCCTAGTGTTTTATTCTTCACAGAATTAGAAAAAACAATCCTAAAATTCATATGGAATAAAAAAAGAGCCGACATACCCAAAGCAAGTCTAAGCAAAAAGAACAAATCTGGAGGCATCACATTACCTGACTTCAAACTATATTATAAGTCCATAGTCATCAAAACAACATGGTACTCGTATAAAAATGGGCACATAGACCAATGGAACAGAATAGAGAACCCAGAAATAAACCCAAATACTTACAGCCAATTGATTTTTAACAAAGCAAACAAAAACATAAAGTGGAGAAAGGACACCCTATTCAACAAATGGTGCTGGGATAATTGGCAAGTCACATGTAGGAGAATGAAACTGGATCCTCATCTTTCACCTTAAACAAAAATCAACTCAAGATGCATCAAGGACTTAAATTTCAGACCTGAAACTATAAAAATTCTAGAAGATAACTTTGGAAAAACCCCTCTAGACATTGGCTTAGGCAAGGATTTCATGATCAGGAACCCTAAAGCAAATGCAATGAAAATAAACGTAAATAGCTGGGATTTAATTAAACTAAAGAGCTTTTGCAAGACAAAATGAACAGTCAGAAGAGTAAACCGACAACCCACAGAGTGGGAGAAAATCTTCACAATCTATATATCCGACAAAGGACTAATAACCAGAATCTACCACAAACTCAAATAAATTAGCAAGAAAAAACCAATCCCATCAAAAAATAGGCTAAGGACATGAATAGACAATTCTCAAAAGAAGATATACAAATGTCCAACAAACATATGAAAAAGTGCTCAACATCACTAATGATCAGGGAAATGCAAATCAAAACCACAATGCAATACCACCTTACTCCTGCAAGAATGGCCATACTCAAAAATTTCAAAAAATAATAGATGTTACCATGGATGTAGTGAGTAGGGAATACTTCTACACTGCTGGTGGGAATGTAAACTAGTACAACCACTATGGAAAACAGTGTGGAGATTCCTTGAAGAACTATAAGTAGAACTAGCATTTGATCCACCAATCCCACTACCAGCTATCGACCCAGAGGAAGAAGTCATTATACAAAAAAGATACTTGAACATGCATGTTTAGAGCAGTACAATTCACAATAGCAAAAATGTGAAATCAATCCAAATGCCCATCAATCAGCGAGTGGAAAATGAAATTGTGAGAGATATATATATATAGATGGATATAGATATATAATGATGGAATACTACTGAGCCATAAAAAGGAATTAATTAATGGCATTTTCACCAACCTGAATGAGAATGGAGACTATTATTCTGAGTGAAGTAACTCAGGAATGGAAAACCAAACATATGTTCTCACTCATAAGTGGAAGCTAAGCTATGAGGATGCGAAAGCATAAGAATGACACAGTGAACTTTGGAGACTCAGGGGGAAAGGGTGGCAAGGGGGTATGGGATAAAAGACTACAAATTGGGTGCAGTATATACTGCTCGTGTGATGGGTACACCAAAATCTCAGAAATTGCCACTAGAGAACTTACTCATGTAAGCAAACGCAACCTATTCCCCAATAACCTATGGAAATAAAACAATAATTTAAAAAAAGAAACCATATCCATCTATCTCAGCTCCCTTTTCCCCTAAAGGACAACCACTTTTGTAACTCTCAATGTGTTCTACATTAACTTCTAGAAAGTTTACCCATTCATAATTACTGACTCTGCTTAAATAAGTTAACTATTGGCAACTCGTTAGAGTAGTCAAATTCAAAGTATTAAATCAAATCCAAAATATATAACCAATTTTGTGATTAATAAGTAAATAATAAATATGATAAGCACATAATAAAAGAACATAGACTGTAATCAAAATTCACCATGCATGTATTTCTAGTTCTAATACCACTACTATTAACTAATATTTATTGAGAGCTTATTATGTGCTAAGTACTGTGTACTTTGCATATATAATCTCATTAAATTCATAGTATTATCTTACTTATTTTTAGATAGGTAAATTTTCTCGCATTGTGGCATTTTAGCTGATATGCAAATAAATTCTGAAAAGGCATATATTTGAAGTCGTAACCATAAATTGATTTTAAAACAGGCTTAATTCTAAAGCCTTAACCATAATAATACATTGCTAATAAAGGATGCTTGAATATAAGGGATGCCAGTGGTGAAGTCTGAGGGTATCAGACCCAACTGTACTGAATGAACTGAAATGGACACCTAAAAATAAAGAAATACTTATTTATTATAACTTTTTCTCTTTAAAAATGAGTTTCCTGTAATTTTATCTATATATTTTAGATTTTAATATTACTAAGAAGACAATAGATGAATGTTATGTTTTTGTATATTTTCAAAACACAAGATTTTTGAAACATAAATTTTAGGCTATGTCTATAGCATATCTCTAAAATGGTTTAAGATGAAAAATTAAGGATCTATGTTTAAAGAATAGTCGCAAGATAAATTCACTGATTGCTTCAAATAAAACTAAACTAAGAAAATATGAACATTTAAATTATGCTAATGTAGACAAACTAATTTTTTGCCTTCTTTTTTTTAGGCTTTTACACTAGATACTGGATTACATACAGGGACTAGAACTGATTGGCAGGAGTGACAATGCTAATGCTAATATTTCGCTGAACAAACTGGCCAAGTCTTTCCAAATAAAATTGATTTATACATACATTCTACCAATAAGAGATGCCAGGTCAGAGTAAGTATATTGCTACTATGGTATTGTAACTTCAGTGTTTATGTTTATTTTTACTTCTATATTAATTTGTGTTGAGGAGTATATTTTCCATACTGCTAGAAGGAGAAGATGGCTTATTACATAATATGGTTCTTGGCTATAACAATGTTTTGTCCTGGAAATGTCAACCAAAATACGAAAATATAGATAGATAAAATACTTACTATTATCAAACTCCAGACTATACACAATATTCAAAATCCAGGAAAGGACCATTAAATAAACCATGTTCAGAATATTGTAAGATCTACCCCCACAAATGTTTACCCCTGTAAACTTCGTAATTTTCATTATTACTATAAATTAGAAAAATAATTTTGGACTAAAATATTCAGTTTAGTGGCTTTAGCATTCACAGAGGGCCAATATTAAGTCACTGAGTTATTAGAAACTGCTAAGATGTAGAGAAATAGAACATTTTAAGTTGGAGGACTCTCTCAGATATTGAAATTGGGATGTTACAACCATATCATATCAAGAATACACTATATGTGTGCATAAGGATAGCTATACACAGTAGCAATTTCATTTTCTAAAATAAAAATTCTATAAATGGGACCACTTTTTATTACTTTTTGGAGCTGGGCTGAACATGAAGTAGACTTTATATGTATACATACCTATTCAGGTCAGACACTCTTAACTGTACCTTATAGAATTTGAAGAACCAGGAAAGACATTAGTCTTAATGAATTCATAGTCAAGCTCCAACTGAGCTTTGCTTTGCTCTATGTTTTCCCAAAGCAAAGCAAGGCTCAGTTTGAACTTGGCTAATGTCCAGGTTTGTAGAGCAGGGAAACATGAGATGACCATGACTACATTAATCAAAATTGCAGAGCACTGCTACCTTTAAAAAAAAAGAAGAAGAAAAGAGACAGTAGGTTACCACTTCAAAAAGTGTCTTGGAAGAGTGGTTGGTAAATCGGTACAACAGAACACTTAGCGTAAGTTCTAGTGTTCAGTAGCACAGTAGGGTGATTATATTAAGAATAATTCATTGTATATTTCAAAATAGATAGAAGATATAGAATATTCCCAACACAAATAATGTGATAGGTGATAGATATCCCAATTAACCTGATTTGCTCATTATATATTATGTACATGTATCAAAATATCACATGCACCCCATAGATATGTATAATTATTATTTATCAACTTAAAAAAAGTATATAGGGCATCTAACAAACATGTAGCCCATAGATCTAACTAATGCTCAGGCAGCCGCGATAGTCCTTAAGAACTCACAAAAATAGGCCCAAAGATGAGAACATTTTTGGAATGCAATTTACTTGGAGATTAGAAACAAACTTACTTCGCCTTATATATCCTACTTTATGAAGTTGAGACCTGGATTTTGAGTGATTTGAGAGATCAGATTTGAAGAAGGCACAGTAGAGTCAGTTAAGTAACAGTAACAAAATTTATACAATATAAAGTTTGCTTTATTGTTATTTAGATGAAGTCATTCATCTCAATCCTATGAAATTCATCAGAGCTGTAGAAGTTTACATAAGGCACAGTAGGCCTAATAGCTATGGAGAACAAATAGCTTGAGAAAAACTGGCATATTGTCAACCAATGAGGATACTTTAATCTAGAGAACTTCCCTCAAAATGTATCAGACCACCAGCCTTGGTTTGATTACATTGTTAAATCATATTGAATTGGTCATTAAGATATCCTGTGGTTAAATTAATCAACATTGTTTTTTTAAATTATTCCATCTTTAATTTATAATTAGTCTCTCAAAAGCAAGGACCATGTATACTGAATTGAACAAATATAATGAATAGCTACTGAATACTAGGAGCTTCTGGGAATAGAAAATAAGGAAATATAATCCCTTCCTTAAAAAGTTTAAAGCTACTAGGAAAGATAAACCAGTTCACCAGTGCACAACTAATGCAGAAGAGTGCTATAGTTGAAATATATGCTATAATAAAACTTTACCAATGCATTAGTGCCCAATTTGTTGATTAACCATGAAAAAAAAACATTCTTTAATGGAAGTTCAAACTTTTTGGATCTTGTATACTGTTTCCAAACATTGGGAGAAAAAGGTTTATTTTACAGTCAGAAAAATGTTGTGCTACTTGTTTCACAAAAACAAAAGTCTCATTATGATGCTAATAGAGAAAAAGTATGTAGAGGAAAGAAGGAAGGAAGGAAGGGAGAGAGGGAGGGAGGGAGGCAGGGAAAGAGAAAAGAAAAGAAGAAAGAAAGGAAGAAAAAGAAAAAAGAAAGAAAGAACACATCATGCCTAGCATTCTTGTAGTTAGTATTTATTTAGTGTATTGACTGAAGCTGGTATCTTTTAAAATGCATTTAGCAAATACTTACATAGTGCTTACTCTGCATCAGGTACTATTTTAAGTAACTTTCTCATATTAATTCATTTGATTCACTTAATTCTCACAACTTTTAGAAATGGATATACTATAATCTCCAGTTTAAACAAGGCAGAGAGAGGTTAAATAACACCCCCAATTACTTCCTGCATGACCACTTGAAAAGTTGGGAAGGAACACATCATTTACTATAGCACTATTCTTCTTCTTCTTTTTTTTTTTTTTTTGTCTTTCGAAAAAAAAAATAGTGATTTCAAGTTATTTACCTGCTCCCTGGTATCTTACACCATCTCACACTTCCCTATCTTTCCAGATAAAAACTTTGGGCCTTTGTCTACTGCCCTCAATTAAAATACATGTATTTCAAGGATTTTCTAGGTGATGATATGCAAATGCCTGATGCCCTTCTAAGGATGAGGTGGCAACTATGTTTAATTACACATTTGCTAATTCTAATCTAATAACTACCCTTCCCAGAGGCACTGTGTAGAAGAGTTCAGGAATTATGTTACTCTCCCTGTGCTTTCTCATTTAATACTCACTATAACACTATAAGAGAGATACTGTATTCTCATTTCACATATGTAGAAACTGAAACTCAAAAAGTTCAGATAAGATGAGCAAGGACTGGGGTTTAAATCAATGTACCTCTGACTCCAAAGCCTGTGCTTTTCCAAATTTTGAAGATATTTTGTCCTAATTCCGAGCTACAGAATACCTGGCATGGACTCTTTTGTTTCATGTACTTAGTAGTCGTTGCTAATTAGTCACAATCTGTCTTAGCTCAGTACTCTAGGTTATCACTACAAATGGATTGAGATTGATATGGGAGATAAAGTAGTTTTAGTACCCTTGCCATAATCCAAATGTGATCTTTTTTTTTCATTTTATAGGTTTAAATGCCTTTGAAGACTTTTATTTTAAATGATGTCAAATTTATATGCAATTATTTTCAGGCAACAATTTCCTGAGACTGGAGGAAGAGAAAAAGATGACAGAAAGGGACCAAAGCTAAATTTTAGCACTATGTCAGATTTTCCAAAAATGGAATTCTATAAAGTTAAAAATAATTCAAAACAAGTGATTCTTGTACATCTATATCAGCAATGTTCTTTACTGAACAAAGTGGAAAAAAACTTTAATCTTAAGGTGATGATAAATAATTAAACACGTAAATGTCAAATTTAGAAATCACCTGGAATTCAACCATAAAGATGTATATTTTAGAATAATTAGCTCAGTGCTAAGACATATATGGATGTATGGAAGACATGAGAGCCACCTGTTCATTTATTTCCCAAGTAAACAGCAAACATGACTTTCATTCAAATCCATGTATTCATTTAAATGAACCCCAAAGCTCTAATACCCTATGTGTAGCTATTTTGCTATTATTTAGCATTAAATGCATTTGTAGGACTTTATTTCATAGAAACAGGCATGTATATGGAACTATTCCTGTCCTCAATTTTATAACAAATCAGTAGTGAGTACAATTTTAGGTCATTAGAGATTAGTAGATATTATACTGAAAAAACATATTTTATTTCCATTGTAAAATGCAGCACATGCACATTTTTATTTACAGTATTTTTTTAAAATTGCCAAAATTATATTCCAACGATTTAATTTAGAACATTTTATTGTAGATACATATTGGTAAAAACAGCCTTCACAACCAATATACATGCTTGGAGTGGTACAGAAATCAAATTTGTGTCACCATCAAACAATAATAATAGTAACAATTATAAAATAAAAATGTTATTCTAATATTTACATACTACTTTTGGTTTATAAAGCACTTAACACACACTTTACTCATTTAATTTTCATAATAATTACCAGATTGCTTGTACTGTAGGTAGCTGATTCTCATTTCCCGAACTATGATTATGATTTAGTATATCTGTGTAGACCAATAATTTGAATTTTACATACTCATCTGCAGGTAATTCTAAGGGAATGTTGCTACTCAGAGTGCTGGCTCACTCAGAACAGCCGTGTGGGCATCACCTGGGAGCTTGTAAGAAATGCAGAAACTTGGGCCTCAACTCAGAACTACTGAATAGGAATTTGCATTTTATTAAGATTCCTCAGGTGATTCAAATATATATTAAAGCTTGAGGAGCATCCCTCTAACTACACTTCAAATGTAGATGTGGTTATCCTTCCATTGAAGATAGTGTTCTCATTTGCAAAATCGGCATAATAAATACCTGTTTCCAAAGATGGTTGTAAAAATATAAAATACAAAGATTATAAAATATAAAGATTATATTAGCAAACTTTCAGCCAATGGTCTCTGCTAGCATTTTCATTCATTTAACAAATATTTTTCTTGAGTACTTGCTGCAAGTCAGGGACACTGTTGGGTTTGCCTTATGAAATGCTAAAGAAGATAGATACAGTTCCTGCCTTTATGGAGTTAATTGTCTAGGGCAGAGCTTGAAGTCATCATAACCATCATCAATGTCATTATCAGCATTAAGATATTTTTTATTATAATGACAGGTCTTAAAATAATATAACAGAAATAGACGAAGGAGGACAAAATGTTTCTCATCAGCAGTGTTGCACAAGAAAAGCAAACAAAAGTTAGCATATTAGTTTGATTTCACAGAGAGAGAGGTCATGGCAAAAAGTATTTACCTGTGGCTGAAGGAGTAAATGGGAGGGGAAAAGGGGGACAAAAAAATACATATCCGGAGCCATATAAATCATTTTCACGAAATTATAGAGAATTCTCTCTTGATAGGTAATACATTTTAAATTGGATTTTAAAAGCAATAGGGAAATAAAACATGAATTTTCCCTAGTTCTTACCTCAATATGTCCTTAGAGCTGACTTCACTGGGGCTGTTTGCCTAGGGCTTAGTCCTTCTGAAGGTCTCAGAAACAAGTTCTATCCTACTGTGGTTATAAGAGGACTGACTCCACATGAATTGGCCTTCATTTCTTAGGCCCAAAGTGTCTCTCTCACATGAATGCATGAATGGCAGGCCTAAAAGAAAAAAAAAAAAGGAAAAATTAACCCACACAATTGATTGACTCAACATTGGAGGGATAAAAAGTAATACATACTTAGATTCAACTTCTGCCTGCCCCAAAGTACACACCAGGAACCCATTGCTTGCATTGACAAATCTCTTAATTAGAAGATGGTATTTGTTCTCAATTAGAGAAACAGATTGAGATGCTCCCTTTAAAGATAAAACCATTGAAAAGTGTGCAGCAGTTTGGTGGAAAAAGAGGCAATTAGGCATATCACCTGGAGACTCCTTGCATTTGCAGCAGTGAATGCGTAAACAAAACAATTACTCCACTCAAGAGATACTTCACCATGGCTCAGAGAGAGAAGGGGATGAATCACTGCTGATGAGTATTTAAGAAATGTCCCCTGAGATTAATTCCTATACACACAAAAAGATAATCACCGCCATCCACATTACCTTGGTATACTTTTCCTGAAACTACACTGAATTTCTGGAAAATAATATGAAGATCATACTTAGAACACAATCAGAAGCAAGCACTTTTCCATGAATTTACTGCAGCAAAGAATACTATTTTACTCAAGTAGCCCAGGTGTTTTGTGTCATTTCATTAATTCATTCAATGAGTAGCACTTATTTTGTGCACAACTCTACTAAACACACAAGTGTACTCAAATATGTAAAAGAATAATCCACTGTCCTCCAGGACCTCATTTGCAAAACATTTGGCAAGATGTTCCATTAGAGGAAAAAATCAAGTCCATGTGTTACAAAATGTGTGCTGGGGAGCTAGTGTGTGTGTGTGTGTGTGTGTGTGTGTGTGTGTGTGTGTGTGCAGGAAGAAGTCTAAGTCTGAGAATCATCAGAATACATTCTTAGTAATATGTTGGAGATGAGTCATACACTAGACCTTGATAAGAGTACAGACTTTAAATTTGGCTGCCTTTAAAAGATACCAAAAGAACCCATTAAAAAGCTGAAAATCCAATGACATCATTACATCTTTTTGTCTATATGATGTAAAATGTTCAGCCTAACATTTTAATTGAATTTTATTGTTTATTCTATCACACAGCCCACCCTACCTTTTTGGCTGAATCCAATAGGATAATGAAATATGTTTTCAGTCATAACTAACTTATTTATATAGGGCATTCCTGTGTGTAGGCAACATGTGATAACAGGAGCTCTACAAAGATCTGTTGTCCAGGACAAATAATTCTTCAACTGTTTCTATCTAATATTATAAGAGAAAATATTTTATTGAAAGAGAATAAATAAGATGTAAAATTGCAGTTCGAGAAGAAAGAGAATGCAGGAATTTAAATACATCTTTATGTGCAAATGAAGCCACCACTAGAACTTGGAGATTTGGCCAATGAACCATCTCAATGAGAAGGTTTCCACAGTAAGTGGCCCAAGGACCCCCTTTGATTTATTAAACCTAAGAAGTATGGACAAATTATAAGGCCCAGCCATAAACTCTACATGATTCTCCTCTGTTTGTTAGGCATGACTCAAATATTTTAAGGTAGTTTCAACTAAACAATATGCCAAATATATGGTTTGTTGGAATTTAAATTTTCACTCTATTGTTTAGGAATATAGGCAGAAATATAGATGCCTACAAGAAAAAAATAATTAAAAACCTGGATATTCAAGCATATTGCAGTTTGTGAAGGGACAATCAACTCACCTGACAGTTTGCTAACTTTTTTGGATACATAATAGAATTTTAAAATAAAATATAAACGTGAGAAAACTTTCTCCAAGTATTATTATTTACTGTGATTAGAAACAGTTGTAAAAAAGTATGAGACAACAAAGAAATTTCACTTTTATTTTGCATTTCCTTTTAATGTAGGCAACAAAGCAAGTACTTTTGTGCTGAAAATACATCCTACAGATATTTACAAGTTACCTTGCTGTTAAAAATTAGTTCTATCCATTGCATAATTTCAAATCTCAGAATACCAAATTCCCTTGACAGATACTTATTAACATCAGATTTACAATTTACTCGCAAATCAAAAGTTTGACTTATTATATTTTCCTCCTAGGGAAAACACTAACTTTAACGAAGTTTTTTGAAGTCATGCTATGAATATACATATATTCCTCCCTTTGCATCTTTGATTCAGCTGGAGATGTACAAGACATTAATTTCAAATAGCACATAAACCATCTTTACATTCTTTTAGGCTTAATTTTATTTTTTTCAATTGATTTGAACTGTGGTAATCTGAACTCCAAGCATAGCAATCTGACTGACTCTGATGCTCTAAATTTTGCACAGCTTGTCTACCCCAGAGGTGCTATTGTCACAAAACTTGTTAGTAACGAAGTACAGTAAATCCATTCTTACAACAGGATTAATTAATAATCACTGCAAATCCATTCTTACAACAGGATTAATAATACCAAAGTTTCTTTCTTATGATGTGTCAGGGATAAAATCTTTGGCCCAAACAAGAAATCAAATAATTGCCTACCTTTTCAGTCTCATTTCCTCACTTATACTTTATGCTCCAACATTTCCTATTCCCCTTTACTTACTTGTATTCACTATGATGGTGCTTGACTTTGCTACTTTGCTTAATGCTACCTCTGTGTCTGAAAGTTCTTCCCACAAACTCAATTATTCAGCCATTAACACTTGGATATTACCTCAGCTCCTCCAGAAAACTTTTTTACTTCTTAATCATTCTCTCCACCTCCACCCAGGCTGATTTAATTATCATTATAATTCTTCCAGTTCTCTTAGCTCAAGGTATGCATATTTCATTTCTATGGTGTTTCATCTTAAGCACATGAGGCTAAAAAGTAGTTGAAATTAAAAAAAAAAAAACCTTCAAAAATACCTTCCGTAGAAGGACGCCCTAGTGAAAGCAGACATTCAACATCCCAGGAACCACCTGATTTGTCTCTTTTCACCAATCATGACTAAGATATATTTTAAAGTCTATTTTGATGAAATGACTTGCTGGAGGCATCGTTTGCTTGAATGTAAATTTTCACTCTATTGCTTAGTAATATAGACAGGAATTTTGAAATCAGCATGTACTTAACACTGTGAGATTGCTAAGGTTGAGTGCAGAAATAAAGGGTTGATACAGTAACTTTCAAAAGTAGATTGTTGGGGGATAGGAGGAGTTGAGTCATATCAGACAGCAAAACAAGTGTGTTGTTTTCTATTGGAAGCCTAATAAATGGCATTGGCATTTGGGAGAAGGATAATGGCGATAAATGGCATAGCACTTGTTTCTGCCTCTCTGGAGATCATGAAGTCCTCATGATCTCAGTCCTCTGTCTCTGCTGTGATGACATCTATGAAGCAGCTAGCATAGAGAGTATGGTAAAGAAATGTTTGCTTCTTCACTCTCTTTCCTCTCTTTTCTACATCTCCATATGTTTTAGGATACACTTTGTCTTCAATGATCTAATCACACTTCAGTGTGGCTGGTCCCACGTGATAGAAAATAGTAATTCACAACAGAATGAAACTGTTGACTTTGTAACCATTTAAACATTTTATTTTTATTTTTAAAATTATTTTTAGAAATTATTTTAGATACAGGGGGCTCATGAGCAGGTTTGTCCCATGGATATATAGCATGATGCTGAGATTTGGGCTTTGATTGAACCCTTGATCCAAATAGTGAAACATAGTACCCAAGATAGTTTCTTAACCTTTCCCCTCTCCTTCCCTTCCCCACTTTGGAGTCCCCAGTGTCTATTTTTCCCATCTTTATGTCCATGTGTACCCAATGTTTAGCTCTCACAAGTAAGAATATGTTAATCCACTATGGATAATAACATTCAGCTGCATCCATGTTGCTGCAAAGGACAAAATTGTGTTCTTTTTGTGGCTGTATAGTATTCTATAGTGTATATATAACACATTTCCTTTATCTAATCGATGATGGGAGGGCGCCTAGGTTGATTCCATGTCTTTGCTATTGGGAATAGTGCTGTAAGAAACATACAAGTGCAGGTGTCTTTTTAGAAGAACAATTTATTTTCCTTTGCAAATATATCCAGTAATGGGGTTACTGGGGTGAATCGTAGTTGTCTTCATAGTTCTTTGAGTAATCTCCAAACTGCTTTCCACAGAGGCTCAACAAATTTACAATTCCACCAACAGTGGATTGGTGTTCTCTATTCTCTGCAACCTTGCCAACGTCTGTAATTTTTTTTGACTTTTTAATAATAGCCATTCTGACTGGTATGAGATGGTATCACATTGTGGTTTTGAGTTCAGTTTCTCTAATAATTAGTGATTTTGAGCATCTTTAAAGTATATTTGTTGGCAGATTGTATTCCTTCTTTTGAGAAGTTTCCATTCATGTCCTTTGCCCCCTCCCCCCACCTTTTTTTTTGAGACGGAGTCTCACTCTGTCGCCAGGCTGGAGTGCAGTGTCGCGATCTCAGCTCACTGCAACTTCCACCCCGCCCCCACCCCCACCGGGTTCAAGTGATTCCCATGCCTCAGCTTCCCAAGTAGCTGGGACTACAGGCATGCACCACCACGCCCAGCTAATTGTTTTGTATTTTTAGTAGAAACGTGATTTCACCATGTTGACCAGGATGGTCTCGATCTCCTGACTTTGTGATCCACCCGCCTCCGCCTCCCAAAGTTGCCCACTTTTTAATGGGGTTACTTGTTTTTTGTTGTTGTTAATTTGTTTAAGCTCCTTGTAGATTCTGGATATTAGTCCTTTGTTGGATGTATAGTTTCAAATATTTTCTCCCATTCTGTAGGTTGTCTGTTCACTCTTTTGACCATTTCTTTTGCTATGCAGAAGCTCCTTATTTTAATTAGGTTCCAATTGTGAATTTTTGTTTTTGCTTCATTTGCCTTTGAGGACTTAGTCATAAATTCTTTGCCTAAGCCTGCGTTCAAGAGTATTTCCTACGTTTTCTTCTAGGGTTTTTATAGTTTGAGGGCTTATATTTAAATCGTTAATCCATCTTGAGTTAATTTTTGTATATGGTGAGAGGTACAGGTCCAGTTTTATTCTTCTGCATGTGGCTAGCCAGTTTTCCCAGCATTAGGTGTGTGGCTCTATTTACAGGTTCTCAATCCTGTTGCATTAATTATGTGTCCACTTTTTTTATTTTTCTTTTTTCTTTTTCTTTCTTTTTTTTTTTTTTTTTTTTGAGATGGGGTCTCGCTTTGTTGCCCAGGCTGGAGTGCAGTGGTGCAATCTCGGCTCACTGCAAGTTCTGCCTCCCAGGTTCATGCCATTCTCCCACCTCAGCCTCCCGAGTAGCTGGAACTAAAGGCGCCCGCCAACACACCTGGCTAATTTTTGTTTTTGTATTTTTAGTAGAGACTGGGTTTCACCATTTTAGCCAGGATGGTCTTGATCTCCTGACCTCGGAGTCTCACTCTGTCATCCAGGCTGGAGTGCAGTGGTGCAATCTTGGCTCACTGCAAGCTCTACCTCCCGGGTTCACACCATTCTCCTGCGTCAGTCTCCAGAGTAGCTGGGACTACAGGCACTACAGGCGCCCGCCACCACGCCCGGCCAATTTTTTTGTATTTTTGGTAGAGACGGGGCTTCACCGTGTTAGCCAGGATGGTCTTGATCTCCTGACCTTGTGATCTGCCCAGCTCGTCGCCAAAGTGCTGGGATTACAGTGTGAGCCACTACACCCGACCAATTATGTGTCCATTTTTTCTTACCTGTAACATGCTGTTTTACTTAATATAGCCTTATAGTATAGTATAGTTCAGTAATGTGATTCCTCCAGTTTTGCTCTTTTTGCTTAGGATTTCATTAGCTATTCAGATTCCTTTTGGTTCCATATGATTTTTAGAAGAGCTTTGTCAATTTCTATGGAAAATTACATTAATAATTTGATAGGAATTGCTTTGAATCTGTAGATTGCATTGAACAATGTGGACATATTAACGATATTGATTCTTCCAAACCATGAGCACAGAATAGTTTTCTATTTTCTTGTCTCATCAACTATTTCTTTCATCAATATTTTGTAGTTCTCACTGTAGACATATTTCACCTTTTTGAATAGATGTACTCCTGGATATTTTCTTCTTTTTGTCGCTATTATAGATGGGATTGCATTCTTGATTTGGTTGTCAGCTTGAATTCTATTGATGTATAGAAATGTTACTGACTTTTGTACATTGATTTCATATCTTGAAACTTTACTGAAGTCATTTATCAGACCTAGGAGTGTTTTGGCAGAATGTTTAAAATTTTCTAAGTATAGAATCTTATTTTCAGTGAAAAGAAATAATTGGTTTCCTCTTTTCCTCTTGAGATGATTTTTAATTGTTTCTCTTGCCAGATTGTTCTGGCTAGGACTTCCAATACTATATTAAATAGGAGTGATGAGCATGGACATCCTTTTCTTGTTCCAGTTCTTAAAAGGAATTATTCTACGTTTTCTTCGTTCGGTATGATATTGGCTGTGGGTTTTTCACAAATTTCACTTATTATTTCAAAGTATGTTCCTTCAGTGCCTACTTTTTTTATGGTTTTTATCATGAAGAGATGTTGGATTTTATAGAATGCTTTTTCTACATCTATTGAGATGATCGTATGGTTTTTGCTTTTTAATTTTGATTATGTGGTGAATCATATTTATAGATTTGCATGTATTCAACCATCCTTGCATCCCAGGAATAAGTCTACTTGATTGTGTTGTATTATGTCTTTTATGGGCTACTGGATTCAGTTTGCTCATATATTGCTGAGGATTTTTGCATCCATGTTCATCAGAAATATTGGCGTGTAGTTTTGTTTTTGTCATGTCTTTGCCAGATTATACTATCAAAATAATACCATACCTGCTTATGATATCAGGATGATACCATAATCTGGAGGGGTCCCTCTTCCTCAATTTTTTGGAATAGTTTCATTAAAATTGGTACCAGCCATTATATGTACATCTGGTAGAATTTGTGTGTGAATTAATCTAGTCCAGGCCTTTTTTTTGGCAGGTAGATATTTTATTACTGATTCAATTTTGTAGCTTGATATTAATCTGTTCAAAGTTATTATTTCCTCCTGGGTCAATTTTGACAGGTTGTGTATGGAATGGAATGTATTCATTTTTCTTTTCCAGATTTTCTAGCTTGTGTGCATAGAGATGTTGACAGTATCTCTGAAAGTCTTTTGTATCTATGTGGGATTGGTTGTAATGTCACCGTTATCATTTCTACTTGTCCTTTATTGGATCTACTCCCATTTTTTTTCTTTGGTAATCAAGCAAACAGTTTATTGGTAGCATTTATTCTTTCAAAGAACCACTTTTTTTCATTTTGTTGATGCTTTGTATGGTTTCGTAAGTCTCAATTTTGTTTATTTCTGACGTGATTTAAGTTATTTCTTTTATTCTGCTAGGTTAGAGTTTAGTTTGTTCTTGTTTTTTTCTAGTTCCTTTAGGGGTAACATTAGTTTATTATCTGAGATATTTCCATCTTTTTGATGTAGGTGTTTAGCAGTATAAACTTTCCTCTTAACACTGTTTTTTTCATATCTCAGAGACTTTGGTACATTGTGTCACTCGTTTCATTTATTTCAAATAGTTTTGAAAATTTCTGCCTCAATTTCATTGTTAACCCAAAAGTCATTCAGGAGCAAATTGTATTGTTTCCATGTATTTTTATGGTTTTGAAAGTTCACCTTGATATGAGTTTCTGTTTTTATTCCACCATAGTCTGAGAGTATGCTTCATATGATTTTAATATTTTTGAATGTGTTAGGGTATCTTCTACATGTATATGATAATTTTGTATATTCTATGGTTTTGGGGTAGAGTGTTCTGTAGATTTCTATTAACTCCAATTTGTCAGCTGTCAAGTTTATGCTCAGAATTTCTTTGTGAGTTCTCTTCCTTGATGATCTATCAAATGCTGATGGTGCCATGTTGAAGTTCCCCTCTTTTAATGTGTGAGTGTCAGTCTTTTTTTGGATCTAGTAGTAATTGTTTTATAAATCTGGGTGCTCCAATGTTTGGTGCATATTTATTTATGATAGTGAAATCTTCCTGTTCAATTGAGCTTTTTACCATTATATAATGCCATTCTTCATCTTTTTTTTCCTGTTGGTGGTTCAGTCTGTTTTATTTTACATAGGAATAGTGATTGCTGTTCTTTTTCATTTTCCATTTGTATTGTAGATCTTTCTGTATCCCTTTACTTTGAGCCTAAGGGTCTCATTACTTATGAGATGAGTCTTTTGAACACAGCAGAAGGTTGGGTCTTGATTTTTTGATTTGCCACTCTGTGTCTTTCGAGTGGAGTGTTTAGGTTGCTTATGTTCAAGGTTATTATTGATAGGTAAGGTTTTGTTCCTGTAGTGGTCTTGGTAGCTAGTTGCCTTGTAGTCTTGATGTGTAGTTGCTTTATATGGTCTGTGGCTATGCACTTATGTGTCTTTGTGTGGTAGCAGGTATCATTCTTTTGTTTCCATGGTTGAAACTTCTGATCTGTAGAGAGTATTTACCTCTCTTCCTCTCACTTTTCTTTCCCTCCTATGGTCTTCTGGAGACCTGAAATGTCCCATTATATTGAATTTATTTAAAAACAAACTGTTTTATTGATGCTGCAAAACTGAAAACCTCCCATTTACTGCATATAGCTTAAGACAGTAAGGACTCTGAGATAGGACCCTATTTAATCATTTTCACTTCAAAGTGGATTTTAAATGTAAACAATATTTTACAAGACTCACAAGAAGAAATCAGAGTAAAAATATATCTCAGGGAATTGTACATAATTTTCATTTTCAAAATTTTGTTTTGCAACACTTTTATTTTAAAAGTACAGAATAAGGGCTCAGTTTCTTTCATAGATAATGCTGTTTTTAATTAAGAGAACTTTTCCTTATTTATTGACAAATAATGCCATTTCATATTAACGTAATAATTTTTGACTCTGTCTAATGATACATACAAATTAGACTTTTGATGTTAATTGTTAATCATCAGTACTAAATGACAACCCTCCAATTCCTTTCATAACTTTTATTATCCTTAATAACACTATTAAAATATATTTACTAGAAGTTCACGGAAGGTGTTGGTTCTGTGCAACATAGTAAATTTCAAACATCATTGTGTATATTTAAATGAAGCAATTGAAATACAAAGTGTTTAACAGACTTGGAAGAAGTCACAAAAATAATTGGCATTTGAACTCCTGAAAAAGGTCTGCTATCAGCTGGGAAATACTATCATAGTCACTCACAGAGCCAAAGTCATCTAACTCTGATGATTCAGAGTTTTCTGCTTTTCCAAAGCTTAATTCGCTTCCATTGGGATTTTTAAATTCACCTCTTAAAGTAAGAAAATAAGACTTAGAGGTCCAGACAAGGCAACTAGCACTTGCATTATACTATGCAAAAATTGACATTTTAAAAAAAAGCGCAAGTTCAAAAAAGTGTGATCTTCACATACTTGTTATTCAGCATGTAATATTAAAGAGTAAGTGGACATATATAAAGTGTAACTGTTGAGGCAACATTGAGATTCTCCAGAAGAAGATGGCATGCTCTTTCTTATATAAGTTGGACATCTGATATAAACCAAAACCTACTAGCTGACATCAGTCACATAGCTCACCTCTATTCATCATCCATCTTGGAAAGGTACTGAAAACCGTAAGACATAATTTGACATGAATGGCACTACTTCTCCAGGGATAATGGGAGATGATTTATGTGCTGAATTTGACAGTGACAAAGAGTAAATCTTTTCCATATCAAAGCAGTGTCCTCTCATCCCATGACATCTTTACCAACTTACTCAGTCCTACCAAAGTTTTGGCAATATCATAAAAATATTAATCTATTTTTGTTACTCTAATTAGAAGTTGTGTGAATAAATACTGATAAAAGATGCTACCTACACTCTACTCCAAAGAGCCCAATTATGAAAAGGTACATATAGCATATCTTTCCAACATTAAAACAACTGGTTTAAAATTAAGTAATTCAAGGTAGAAAACATGGTGACTTGTGGATAACTAACCTGATTACATTTTTTTCCCTTTCAAGTTAATAAATTTTATTTCACTCAGAACTTTGGTCATTCTCAGAACTTTGGTCATTCTTGAAAGTGGCAAGAATTGGGATTAAAAGATAAAAATCAATCATTATGTGTTGTCCTTGGTATAGATAAATTTCTAATCTCATTTGGAAGATAATACTGAGACATATGAAATAATTAGAAAACAAAAGAAGATAATATGGCTGCAAGTGCCAGATTGAGTACTACAGGAAATTCACCATTTTGATACTACTAGGCCCCATAAACCCATTCTTCTATAGTTGACCTAAACCTTTAAAATGTTTTAAGCAAAGGATTTCTGCTAAAATAATCTAGTCATATATTTGTTGTTATTTCATAACAAATGAAGATGCTAAATTAACACTGTCCCTCCAATCACACTTGAAATAACTCATCAAATAATACTTTAAAACAAGTAAACAAAAAATTTACAAGAGAAGAATTTGTATTACATATAAAACAATACCAGATACATTAGTGGAGAGAAAAAGTAACATAATCTAGATATATTCTACTGTCCAAATGTTTGTCTCTCTGTCAATAAATTCTGGTTGCTATATTCTCTGCTACTAAAAAACATGATTTCTAAATCTTAACCATAATTAACTCTAGTGGTATGAAGTGATCAGTAATTGACACCCCTTTTGCACTACTGAGTTCTGAAGCAACTGGGGATTGAAGAAGGATAAGGTAGCTGAAGAACTAAATGACAACATTATTATTGACGAAATTATTTAAGAATTTGGATTACATGTGTGTCAAAGGTGGAATTCTTAATGCTGAACCTCAGTCATAGACAGTGTATGGCAAGCTGCTGGCCTCTCTCTGTTTTAGAAGAGCCTGGCCTTCAAAGACTTAAGGCACAAAGCAGCTTAGCAAAATGGATGGTCCCTGAAGAAAGACTGAGCTTAAAGAGAAAGGGTGAACGTATTGAGTTCTGTATGCCCAATTCTTTGTCTTAAATTTACCAATTGGATAATTAACTCTTCTTTTTCTGAGTAGGAGGCACAATAAGAGGGAATGCAGAAAATCCAGGAGTTCCTTAACTGATATTTCTACACATAGACAACATTTAGGATAAAAGATTTTTCAGATATTTTGGCCCTATCCCATTCCTTATAACATTCCACGAAAAGTTAATGCAATATAAAAGCACTATGAAGAGTGGTTAAGAACTAAAGCTCTGGAACCAGACAGAGATGAGTCTGAGTCTCCACTCTGCAATCTACCGGCTGTGTAACACAAGGCAGGTTAATCATAGAGTTTCCATTTCTCCATCAGTAAATCAGTTATTTTAAGAGAATTAAGCTAGTTAAGTCATGTGAAACACCATAAGACAGATTATAGCAGACAGTATAATGAAATACTCAATGAATTTTAGTTTGAAAGACAAAAATGAGTTTGTGTAATATGATTAAAAAGATGCTTGAAAGCTTCGCCTGTCCAAATAATCTGTCCTGATGCCCTGCCATATTTCTCTAGAATTCTTATTGTCAGAATAAAATTTTTGTCTTAATTTGAGGTCGTAAATATCCAGAAGACCCTCTTTCAAATTCTTAACTCTTCAGAAAGGTAACCCAGAAGTATATAGCATCACTAGATCACAGCAGTTTTTTTTAATTGATTAGTTGGCTAGCAGAGAGTAAGTATCTGAGAGGATTAGGCATGAATATATAAAATTTTGATATGGAAGAGGTTTAGGAAAGTTTGGATGATGAGCTTGGTTGTAAATATTCTAAGAACAAGGATCAGGAAGACTTAAAATACCCAACTTTATCTTTTCTATTGCCATGCCTTGGGCTATTTCAAAATACACCAGAGATATATGTATGTCTAATGCAACTAGCTCTCCCTGAAGTACTGTAATTTGGGAGGTAATAGTATCTGATCCATCAGAAGTATTTATTAACAGCCTATTGGAGACCAGCTACTAATTATGCCTTCAAACACATTTTTCAATGATTGTTTTATATTATCTTATGCATAACTACTAAATTCTCAAATAGTTGTAAAATCTCCATCTTGTGACATAACCATACTGAATTTACTATACTTCTAAAGATGCTTATATCTGATTTTCACTGCTACTCTCCTACTTTGCTTAGCTGCCTAGAAACAGAACTGAACTTTTTATATTGTGATTAAAAACAGAACTCACACAAAGGACATGAGAATCCAACCCAGATGTTTCCTACTCCCTAATGTAATTTTTTTTCTCATTTAATTACTAGCTCCTGGTTGTTCGCTTTTCTGCCTAGTATCCATTAGTTCCAACTTGCTCAAATAACTCTTAGAAAAGAAATGAATTATTATTGTTAAATATATACTTGAAAATGCACATACTTAATAGTCATTTTTAATTGGAGTTTCTTCAATTTATTAGCTAATCCATTCTGTTTCTGATCTCTCTGTCATATAATCATAAAGGTTTCCCATCACCAGTGCCCCTTTTTAATCTCTGACTGCTTTTGTGAGCATGAATTCATTTCACTTTCCTGCTCCCTTTATCTCTTTTCTAAAATTCTTAACTTCTGCAATGGACTCTTATTTAATTCCATTTCCTCTTTCCCCCAGTTTCCAAAACAAAGTTTTCTTTACCTGGAGATCTTTGAACAGTCCTATGGGAAGCTTCACTGAATTCATCTTGATCTTTGTAATTCCTCTGAAAAAGAAAAATAAAATCTGTTATGCTTTAATTATAATCTCCCTTAGGATATGCTGTTCTTCCATAGTCAGGAAGTTTAACACTTCTTCCTAGGAAACTAGAGTCACTAGAGTGCTTAGTTCCATCAAATCTTAAAGCATTTTCCAT
Organism: Homo sapiens; assembly: GCF_000001405.40. NCBI lineage: Eukaryota > Metazoa > Chordata > Mammalia > Primates > Hominidae > Homo > Homo sapiens. The sequence continues at coordinate 128,336,523 of NC_000023.11, forward strand.
TTGAAATTCCATTTATAACCCAATTTAAGTGGCCTTGGTTACCGGTTTCCTGTTGTCAGAGTTTCCCACATTTCCAATTAATTTCCAAGGTTAAAATTGGTTTTCTTCAAAGCCTAGAACTGACTAAGATATATTAGCTTGGCTGCATTTGCTACTCATATATCTAGATGGATTCTGCCTCCTCAAGCTCAAATGAGTGAAGGGATGTAAGTCTATAAAAGAACAACTTAAACACAGTGGTTTTACTTTAACGTGTGTTAAAAAGAACACATCTATAAAACAACACTTAGGAAATGTAGTTAGGATGTTTTGCCAAATAAAAAACATTTTGAACTGTTTTTAATGAATAGGGTGAAATGTGATACACACTTTTATGTTAAATAAATAAAAATGAATAATACAAAAGCACTAAAAATATTTTCTTAAATAAAACAGGTACTATCTCTCCAAAATATGCAATACAGCATGTATTTCCTGAAATACTCAACACACACAGTTATGTGTGTGTATACATACAAACACACATGACTTTTGTATGTACACACACACAAAGCATTTATGAGTTTAAAGACTGGTTAATTTTTTAAATTACTGTTTCTGTTTTGGGTCTCAGAAAAATAGCACCTGTTCTATTTAAACCCTCATCGTTACTTAGTTTGTTAATGCAGACAGAGTTAGTTATTTGCTCCTTTGTGATCCCATGGCACTAATAATATCTGTGAAATAGGACTTATGACATTATAACGTAATTATTTAGTCACAGCTGTCTGTAACTTCCTTAAGGGCAAAGACTGTATCACATTAATTTCTGCCACTATTCCATCTCTGGAGTCTAGCATAGTAACTGACATTTGTTAGATCTTCAGTATAAATTAAAACAAAACCTCTACATTCATTGCTTACTTTGTTAGTCTAAATTGGTGAAGTCAGTGATATGGTTTGGATCTGTGCCCCACCCAAATCTCATGTTGAGTTGTAATCCCCAGTGTGGGAGGTGGGGCCTGGTGGGAAGTGATGAGATCATGGGAGTGGATTTCTCATAAATGGTTTAGCACTATTACCCCTTGGTTCTGTACACTGAGTGACTTCTCATGAGCTCTGGTTGCTTATAAGTAGGTAACATCCCCCCCTTGGTCCTGCTCCTGCCGTGTAAGATGCCTGCTCCTGTTTTTACTTATGCCAGGAGTAAAAGCTCCTTGAGGCCTCCCAAGAAGTAGATGCTGCTGTGCTTCCTGCACAGCCTACAGAACCATGAGCCAATTCAGCTTCTCTTCTTTATAAATTACCTGTTTCTGTTATTTCTTCATACCAAAGTGTAAATGGACTAATCAGAAAATTGGTACTGTATTGAAAAATTGGAGTGGGGTATTGCTATAAAGATACCTGAAAATGTAGAAGCAACTTTGGAACTAGGTAAAGGACAGAGACAGAGGTTGGAACACTGTGGAGGGCTCAGAAGAAGACAGGAAGAGGAGGGAAAATTTGGAACTCCCTAGGGACTGGTTAAAGGACTAAAATAAAGGCTGATGAGGTATCAGATGGAGATGAGGAACTTATTGGGGACTGGAGCAATGGTCACTTTTGTACTGTGTTACCAAAGAAACTGGCAGCATTGTGTCCCTTTCCTAGAGATCTGAGGAACTTGAACTTAAGAGTGATGATTTAGGGTATCTGGTGAAAGAAATTTCTAAACAGTAAAGCATTCAATAAGTGGCCTGGCTGCATCTAACAACATATGCTCATATGTGTGAGCAAAGAAATGACATAAGTAGAGGGATGGCCTTATCTCTGACTGACCTCTATCTATAATATATCATTACTGACTGCATATAAGGCCTTTTTGAGCTGGGAAAGTAGTGGGTCTCAGAATACAATAACAGCTCCTATCTCATTTTCAGACTTTCAGATTCCATGAGAAAAACGAAGCCTTCCTTGAGCTTTCACTCAAAGCAAAAAAGAAGAGTGGCTATATTACTGCCACTATTTTGGCCACAAATGGGACATTTTTCTGCCTTTGTCTAGCCTAAAAGAAAAGAAATAGAGAACAAGTGAGTGGTGGGGTGGGGAATGGTGTGAAACACAGTTCTCTGAGAAATGCTCAGGGATAAATGGACACTATTATGGAGATGTCAGGGCAGGCATTGAATCAACTCCTGTGTCTAGAAAGGAACTAAAGTGAAGCCATGTTTGGCTAGCCTGCATGTTGTCAGTGGCAAGCACATCACTTGGTACAAGGCACACCAGACAAACACACACACACACACACACACACACACACACACACACACACCAGTTCTTTTGCTTCCAACTCTTTAACGTGTCTCAAATCCATCTACTTTTCTCCATGTTCACTATTGACATCCCAGTTCAGGCACCATAATCCCTAACCTGGGCCATTGCAGGAGCATCCTAACTCTCTGCCTGCCTCTGATCTCGCCAAAATGAACTTGTAAACTCCTTTCCCTGACCCAGTCTAAAACTTTTAATGGTCCACTTGAGGAGATATGGAGTGTATCCAAGTCACTGCCTCCAGTTGATTCTGGAGAAAGAGAACATATCTTCTCCACTGAGGATTATGTGATGTTAGTTTTCAAATTATTCTGTTACAAAGTAGAAGGTAACGTAAAAAGAAGGATAGTTTTTTTAATAGCATATTGTGGCACTTTCAGTGCCTCAGCTGTGCTACTATGTAAGTACCCAGCTGAATGGCGCTAGGACACAACAGGAGATTAGGAAGTCCACTGAAACAACAATAACACCTAAACGTGTATTTCCTCACTCAAAGAAGTCCACGTTAGAAACTGACATAAAGGAAAGCAAGAGTGAATGAAATTTGAATATCATTGCTCCTTCTGTTCAGAGGCTGGAAAGATTTGGGGAAATGCAAGTAAATTAAGTATGTATACTACTTAATCTAATAACTGTATTAACATAGCTGATGTTTCAATTTATATAAAGGGTCACCTGTTAGACTCATCTGTTTGAATCTGCAGATTGGAAAAAAGGGGACATCTTAAGGATAGGGAGTATGATATTTCTTTGAAACTCTGGAGACTAGAATGATTTCTATTTACACTTAAGTAATTAGATCTTGAAGAAATTGAATGAAAACTATTGCTAAAATTAGTAGTATTTGGCATAATGTTCCCACCAATGAACTACCCAGCTTCAGACTGTTTATTTCTTCTCAGCCATATTGAAACAAACTGTATTTCAATTTAATCTGGTAAAGTTCAGTCTTTGAAACAAAACCTGTACATCTTCGCTTCAAAATTTGCACTTATTGATGTTACTATGCATACTGGCTCTTTAATCTCTTGCAGTTTTACACTTATAAAATAAAACAAGAAGATCTAAGAAAGAAAAAACACAGTCTTTCCAGTTTAAACAAGCAGTCAAATGAAAGACATGTAACTCTAGGGAGCATACCATAATTATTGTCCAAGATCAGAGATTCTTGATAAATTGACTTTCTGAATGTGCAGCAGCATAAATTGAATGAACATTGTCTTGAAAATTGAAGATTAAAACAGGAGCTTACACCCAGAGAAGATACCCATTGAGAGGTAGTAAATAGCCATCTCTACACGTTCGGGGACTTCAATAACATTCCTTCAGTAGCTATAATACCACAAAGAGTATCTTCATTCATGGATGCAAAATTTCTTTAGACAGAATATAAAATCATTATTAAAAATAAAACAAAAATGTTGGTATTATACAGTAAATTGATGTGGCAAATTATTATCTAACAATTGAAATATAATTATTTGTAAATATTTTTATTTTATTTTAGATTGAGGGGGTATGTGTGCATGTTTGTTACATGGATATAATGCATACTGGTGGGAATTGGGCTTCCAGTGTACCCATTACCCAAAGAGTGAACATTGTACCCAATAGATGATTTTTTCACCTCACAGGGTTGCGGGGGAATGGCCTATACAATTTGTCGCAATAAATGTAGATTCTTCAAGAAACATCGTACAACATTCAGAAAGATAGCTTACTTAAGTTGGTCCAAGAAAGATTTTAGAGACATGGAGAAGCTTCTTATATCAGATTTTAGAAAATCCCATTACAAGAAAGCTGTTAAAAATAAAGTCTAAGGGGCAATTAGGCAAGTTACAATAGTATCAAACATATTCATACTCTTTGACCAAGTAGTAAAAAAAATTTCTGTGAATTAACTCTAAATGTATAAATATATACACAATGATTTATGTAGAATAATGTTAATAATCATGACTAACACAATTCCTGTAAAAATTGAAAATACGTTGTGGATATTTGAAGTCCTACATTATGCATGTAAAGAAAATAACTCATAAAATTTGATTTATAATGGTTAAGGTGAAACCATTACTACCCATGACTATTGAGGCCTAGAGAACCTTGGAATTAGAGAGAGAATACTGTGAATCCTTAAATTTTCAAATTTTAGAAGGATATTTAATGATATGGGAAATTTCTCAGAACATATTTGTATATGGCTAGAAAGATATACAGTTGTCCCTCTATTTTAGAGGGGAATTGGTGCCAGGACCCCCATGGAAATCAAAATTCATGGATGCTCACGTTCCTTAAATAAATGATACAGTATTTGTGTATAACCTACACACATTAGCCTGTACACTTTAAATCATCTCTAGGTTAATTATAATACTTAAAACAATGTAAATGCTATGTTAATAGTTGTTATACTATATTGTTTTTAATTTGTATTATTTTATTGTTGTATAGTTTTTTTGTTTATTTTTCTAATATTTTCAATCCTTGGTTGGTTGAATCCATGGATGCTGAACCCATAGATAGAGATGGCTGAGTGTATATCAACATGTTAATAAGTCACCTCTGGATAGTAATAATAAAAGAGAATTTCCCCTTTTATAGTTTCTGTTTTTTTCATACAAGTTTGTGGTAACTAAAATTTCCTAATATTTTCCTTCGTGCTTCATTTACTCATAATTTTACAGTATATTGACTCTATTCTTTGCTACATCTAGGGATATTATCATGTAATAGATACCATTTCATGTTCCTAACAAGCCCAAATACGTTCTTATTCTAAGAGCAATGCTCCTCTATTCCATGTTAATGTTACATGACACTGTCATCCTGACCATATGTAATTGGACAAGGTTGAATATTGCACAAAAATTGCACCAATCAGATTACCTCTCTCTCTAGAATTTGAAATGGGAGTTGTGAGGTTTCATTTCACTCAGACTTGTCACTTGAACCGAGGTACAATAAACTTATCAATGTGGGGTTGATAAGATTGTTTACATGCAAGCTGAAGCAGAGAAAGGCTCTCTGTAGTGAGAGAAAATAGAAGGAAAGACAAAGGAGGGGAGGTAATGTCAGTGAAAATGGTGGAGTATGGAGCTCTGAAAATTCTCTCCTTTGCAAAAGCAATGAGAACACTTGCAAAAAAAAAAAAAGGTGGCATAACCAGTAATTTCAGAACTCTGTAAATTAACCAGATCCTTGTAGCAATTTAGGTAGTGTTTATTCAAGAAAAATAGCTGAATCTCAATAAGAACAGCAAGCTTAATTTGCTATTCTTTAAATTGCCTTATCCTATAACCTCCTACCAAAATCCATACTAGCTCTAAGAAAAAAATCTCTCATTATGGTGAAAACCAGAAATTTGGCAACATGTAGAGACGATAGAATGGGTTAGGAGCTCCTTAAAAGACAAATTACCAGAAAAGCGTAATTACTTTTGGGGGTTATTTGGAGGACACCATTTATGAGACTTTCCTTATGTGACCAGATTTGAAGCTTGCTCAGTGCAAACATAATTTTTTTCTGGGGATTTCTGTTGGAAAAAAATCATCAGACACAGTTGTTGAACATCTCAGCTGAGGCAGTGGATAAGAGATGGTGCATACACTAGGCTAACCAAAAACTTCAAAGGAGAAGCTGGAGAATGAGATGTGCATGGGGTTTGAAAATCTCTGACATATTCCTGGGAATCTAGAAGGCCGCACACATGACCAGGGCTGTTTACATGTGTAAAGTTGTGCACATGCCCAAGAAAGACCTAAACTCTCACTTCAGGCTTACCTTTAGTCTCTGAACTAACAGGAAATGAAGGGTAAGGCAGAATTGTAAACTGACCGGCTGAGTATAAAAAGCATGCCCCAACATACACACACACACACACACACACACACACACACACACACACACCCCGTTGGCAAAGAATGGCAGACATATTGGTACCAGGCATTTAAGGAAACCTCTGTCTAATCATTATCTGACCACTAAGCAAACTGTATAGAGACTTCCGTGGCCACAAAGAACAAACAATACAGACTTCACATAATTAGTTGAGAAAAGATAATAAATGAAAAAACTTGTCATAGAAATATAAGGGTCAATTCAAGTTTCCCTATTCATATCATATTCTGCGTGAATCATGAGAAACACTTTAACTTCTTGATTTCTTTTTTTCTTTTTTCTTTTTTTTTTTTTTTTTTTTTTTGAGATGGAGTCTTGCTCTGTCACCAGGCTGGAGTGCAGTGGTGCAATCTCAGCTCACTGCAGCCTCAGACTCTCTGGTTCAAGCGATTCTCCTGCCTCAGCCTCCTGAATAGCTGGAATTACAGGTACATGCCAACATGCCCAGTTAATTTTTGTATTTTTAGTAGAAACGGGGTTTCACCATGTTGGCCAGGATGGTCTCGATCTCCCGACCTCGTGATCCGCCTGCCTCAACCTCCCAAAGTGCTGGGATTACAGGCATGAGCCACTGCACCTGGCCTAACTTCTTGATTTCTACATGAAATAGAAGTGTTAGTATTGAAGGAACAATGCATGATATTTTCACCAAGCACTGATCTCAGTGAATATTTATGCATCCTCCAAGCAACACAGACGAATTTACAACAAATATCATGTATATATATTTGTATAAATTATTTTTATTCACAGTATAACAATTATAAGCACATATCAGTTATAATGACTGAAACATATACATAGTATTACTATAGTTTATATGTGCTACATATTTTTATTTAAGATATTTAAAATAAACTAAATACTGGCAAATAGCATTCACTCTTTTTTAAGTGTGTTAGGTTTTTCACCCCAAAACAATTTTTAAGATTTTAATCAAAAAGACCATGTCTTGAGCTTTATTTCCAAATTTGCTTCCTCCATAGCGCCTAATACAATACTGATGTATAACTTTAAATAAAAATGAGTTGGTGATTAATTATATAACCTTCTTAATGACATATCAGAATTCCAATGATAGAATAAGTGAAGACAGGTTTATTGTATGGATATAACAGACAATCTTACAGACATCCAAGGACTGAGCTCTAATTACTAACTGGCTATGCTGGGACTGAAACTGAAGTCAGGAACTGAAAACATTTTTCCTGTCTCTTGTGGGTCATAAGTTACCTTGTCTTTGTTTCTATCTGTGTATATACTTTATTCCCCAATTTCTCATTACAGACCTATGTTTTCACTCATGGATCTCTGATACTCCATACTTTCAGTCTTACTATGGCTTAGACTTGGAGCTGTCAGATTCCAAATTTGACTGGAAATTTGCCAGTCAAAATTTCATTTGGTCTTTTTCTTCAAATGCCCTTTGCTTAATTGTCCTACTCACTCAGTACTTCATTCCAAATAAGAAAAAATGAGAAAGCACTCATTATTTAATAGGTCCACCTTTGTCCAGGTATTCATCTCTAATCCAATCAGCCAAAGGCCAGAGTTTGGAATCATATTGATAACTTTTAATTAGGAATTATGGGTGAAGCAAGTTCTCTGAGAAGGGTTTTGTTAAGAAATCCGTGATTTTCACATCTAATATATTAATAGATTTGCTATTTCTGAAATATGATATACACATAAATCCTGACTAATTTAGGAAACTGCAAAGAATCATTACATTTTGGAGTAAGAAGACACATTTCTCATGTTTCAAATTAGAAAACCAAGGACTAATGAAATTATGTGACTTGTTTAAGTCATATAGTTGGCAATGGTCACACCTATGAGTAGAATCTAGGTTACCTGAGTCCTCATCAAGTATTTTTTCTAATGTAGCTTACCATAGTGAAATAAATTTGAATGGTCAATGTATTAGTCCGCTCTCATGCTGGTAATAAAGACATAACCAAGACTGGGTAATTTACAAAGGAAAGAGGTTTAATTGACTCAGAGTTCAGCATGGCTGGAGAGGCCTCAGGAAATTTATAATCACGGTGGACAGGGAAGCAAACATGTCCTTCTTCACATGGTAGCAGCAAAAAGTGCAGAGCAAAAGGAGAAAAAGCCCCTTATAAAACCATAGATGTCGTGAGAACTCACTCACTATCATGAGAACAGCAGCATGGGGGTAACCGCTCCCATGATTCAGTTACCTCCCACTGGTTCCTCCCAGGACAAGGGGATTATGGAAACTACAATTCAAGATGAGATTTGGGAGGGGACACAGCCAAACCATATCAGTCAGTTTGAGTTGACAAAATATTTGTAAAGAAATGCAGTTACGTTATCTCAAGTAGGCATGCTAATATAAATGAGCCTAAAGGAGTATTGTACAGTTGGTTCCTAGGAAACCTGTTTCAAAGTACAGGTAAAAATTCGTAATAAGAAGCACTCCAAGTTTTGATTTCAAATAACTATTTAAAATTTTTTCAAAGAAACTTGTTTTACTAAGCAAGGTAAACAGTGCCATTCTAATCTTTGGTTCTATATTCGTTTGCTCAGAAACCCTTTTATTTCTCCAAATATAAAGAGAAAGTATGTTACCACACAATATTAGTTTAAATGGTTGCAAATGCTAGAATCCAAATTAAGAAATTTTAACTGTTTATCTCATAAGACATTGTGCCACAAAGTAGTATGAAAAGCAAACAAATTGATATTCTGCAAACACAGGCTGTTATCTATGTATAAATTATAAATGTAATAATAAACCAGGGAGAAACATGTAGTTAAAGTAAGCACAAAACAGTTGTGCAATAAGTATGTATAATACTAATGGCATTAAAACTACATATATTTACATGTCCTATAAATGACACGCTCAAATATTCAGTTGTTTTGCATGCAACATCCACGCTCCGCAAGTAGAAAATAGAAATTTCCTTTGTGTGGTATTTTCTCTCCTTTTTAGGAATCAGGCTAGTAGTGTCAGAAATGTTCTTAATAAAGTGGCTTGACTATAAAGTCTATTTCCAGATGACTGAATATTTTGTCCATACCACGAGATCAAGATTCTAATTTGTGACCTAACAATTTAACCAACAAACAGTTTAAGTCTTTTAATGAGATGACAAGGACTTGCTTATGAAGCCAATTGCCATTTTCCTTGCTCTATCATAGGAAGCAATGCTCGATTACTACAGCTCAAAGTCGGCTTACTTTAAAGCCTATAGGAGTCTCCTATAATCAATCAGTTCACATTATGGTAGGGGCAAGTAGCTCTTCTGTCATCAAAAATAAAACAGAATACCCTCCACCCATGGCACCATATAATGTCCCCAACTTGGATTTACGAATGTTATTAAAATATTGTCTATGAATGAGGATGATCATGTGTGAAAATTAGAAAAGGTGAATTTATTGAAGTAAAGACATAAGTCTATCTCTGTAAATAGCCAATATGGAAGGAAAACACATTAAATTTATCAGTATTACGAAGCTGAAGCATAAGGTGAAAGGTGTATGGAAATAATGCTCACTGAAAAGTTATTCGAACTATCAAATAAGAGCCACACTGTAAATTCTGGAGAACTAGATTACCAGACTACACAGAACATGGGTTGGGAGGCCTTTAAGGGTAAATGGGAATGATAGGATCCTCATTAAAGTTGGAGATTTTCAAATGGAACAATTGATAATGCCTTTGAATTATTAATTCCAAATGGGACAATTGATAACGCCTTCAATTATCAACTCCGAAATGGAAGAGTTCCATAGACTTCCCTTATATAAAAAGCATAGTCTTCACTATCTTCCTATCTTTCCAATAGTTGTCCAGAAATGTTCTACACAAGAGTCTCCTTCTCTCACCAATGCTAAGCAAGGCAGTACTGTGTTCTTTTCTCTCTCTCTCTCCTCTATCCTCATTCACCTAATTTTAACCTGCACCGGGGTAGGTTAACACAAAAGACTCTTGGAGATTGAAGAATTACAATTCTCAATCACTGACTAGTTTTCAATCTCCATTCTGTTCCTAATTAAAATAATCTATAACAGGCTACATAAGTAATATTAACTAACATTCTGATATTTTATTCCAAAGCAATAAAATTAGACCCTTGTTCTAGAGCCTTTGATAATAAAACAGAAACAACAGAGTACTTAAAGCTGGTAGTTTATAGACTAATCTGGAAAGAAAAATCAACAATATTTGAAAAGCTCGAGGAATTTTAACAAATGGAAACTAATGCCGCTGAAAGGAAATGCAAATACAAGGGCTTAGGAGTTTCGAAAACAAAGAAGTGAAGATGGTGGTTGTAGGGAATAAAGAGTGGAGGCAGCAATAGGTCAGTGCTAACCAGGCAATATTCATAGAGAGGTTTAGTCTAAATCTCAACTTTCAGGGGATAATTTGTCATTATTCAGAGACAGAAATGAACAAGCCTACAGGATTTACATATTTTTAAATTGCTTTTTATTGAATTGACCAGGATCTCTAGGATCTATAAGGTTTTTGTTAACATTATCTGGAAACCTGCCTCTACATCCCTTCATTTTCTCTCTGAAGTTTGGTCTGGGTAGGCTCCAGACTAACTTGGTCTAGAAGTCCCATTGTCCCTTTCTTATTACTTAGAATTGTTTTTTTTAAACTGACTCAAATAATTCCAAGGGGATGGAGTCAAATGAGACTATTAGCTTTTCTGAGAAGCCATTTGCCAATATTTCAGAAGCCCATAAAATGGTCCTGCAATAGGTCTATGTAGAGGATATTTCTCATACCTCAGACCTTTTTTCTTTTGTTCAGTCTCCCTCTACTACACACACTTTTCTCCTAGAAACTAAAAATATATCACTGTTTTTCTAACTTTTTATTTGTGGTCTTCCTGTTGTAAATCATAAAAAGAACAAAAAAGCATAAATCTGTGATATATAGCATATTTTTGAATAAAAAACAACAACAAAAACCTCCTCTATCTAATCCTTACAATCCTCTTCCCCAAAGGCGTTAATTAAGGATACACAGGGAAAGGCAGAAAATATTGTTCATTTCCCATAAGAACCCAAACTTTGATCTTCCTCTGATAGGCCAGCCCTAAAGGCATTAACTCAACAAATGCCAACAAGGAGACTGAGTCAGAAATAAAACACCTTCCTCAGGCTCATCTCTCCTTTCTGTGTGAAACTTTCACTTCACAGTTATTAATCAGTGCAGTTATAGGGAAATTCTGTTGCAAAGTGACCTAAACCAATTTGATCATGCACAACTCTTAGGTTCTGTTTAGTAGATAAGAATTGTCATTAAGGAAGCTTGAGGTGAGCCAGGTTTATCCACTTTTCTTCAATTTCACTGTCAGGTTATAATGAAAGTAAGTCTCAGACCAAATTCTGCCACATATACATGAATTAAACACTCCCTATCAAACAGGCACTAAATCAATCACAAATCTGTTCTCTAAGCTTAATAAAGGCTTAGCTCTTTGCCCTATTAGTTGCTTCTACCACTACATTGCATGAAAGGAAACTAAAGGAAGACACAATACTACTCTAGAAGCATAACATTATTGTCTTTATAGTTGACCTCAGGCAACTAGAAATCTTCTAAGTACACTAGAAATCTTCCAAGTCCACGAAAAACGGCTGTTCAAACTGAGATCAACTTGACAGTAATGCCTCACTACATACTAAAACCTTTTCATCAAGTTGGGAGAGAGACTCTAAAATGCTTTAGCTGATACTCATATTTGTATCTTCAATGCCTTTCATTTCTCTAGAAAGAGCCCCTTTCTAACAATACAGCATACTAATTAACAAGGAACAAATTTCACCAATAAAAGCCTATTTTCTGACATTTTGTATGCTAATCATCAAAAGCCTCAGATGTTAATAGAAATAGAATAACAGAAGTACTTGAAAAACCTGGCTCTGAAGTCTGGTCTTTCTGAAAGAAGCTGGTTACCAGTCTCTGAAATGTAGATTATCCCTGCCATAATATCAATGATCATTAATAACCTGTTTAATCTAAACAACCAGCTGCTCCTAAAATTGAAGTTTAACCTGAACAAAATATACATAATATCACACTGTCTGTTCTGACATAAATAATGAATTATGAACATCATGATATTCAGCTGACATAGAAATGGCAGACTGTGTTAAAAACTAGATTAGTACCCCCTTTGATAAAGGGAAAAAAGGTTGATCTCAAGACTCAACTTGAGCAGGGTTTGGGGTAGTAAACCTTAAGATCCTTTCAAACCCTTGATTCCAGTGTGAAATCACTGCTCTGAAACTGTATTTTGAGCTATGTTGTCAGGAACTTTTCAGTGGCTCTGGAAAGATAAGAATTCAAGTATTTCTTCAAATAGAGCTCCCTCATTCCACTTTCAGGAGGGTGAATTTGAGTCTTTATTTCAGTGTCAGAGATGGGTACATGTTGATTCTGCAAAAGTGTTTGGATTCTGGGTGTTGTTGCTGTTTTATTATGATTGGCATTTTGGAGGTCTCTATACTATCAATGAGTTAAAAACTACAAATTCAACCACAATGTGTTGTTTAACTGACAATGCCCAAAAGCCCTTGGAAGCATCATGATTCTTCCTCAATTACCCTGTAGGTCATGTCAAAATTTTATTGCCATTGTATCAGTATTAAGAAGTGAGACTCTTAAGCAGTTGTTTGTAGTTCTCCTTGAAGAGGTCCTTCACATCCCTTGCAAGTTGTATTACTAGGTATTTTATTCTCTTGGTAGCAATTGTGAATGGGAGTTCACTCATTATTTGCTCTCTATTTGTCTGTTATTGGTGTATAAGAATGCTTGTGATTTTTGCACATTGATTTTGTATCCTGAGACTTTGCTGAAGTTGCTTACCAGCTTAAGGAGATTTGGGGATGAGATGATGGGGTTTTCTAAATATGCAATCATGTCATCTGCAAACAGAGACAATTTGACTTCCTTTTTTCCTATTTGAATACCCTTTATTTCTTTCTCTTGCCTGATTGCCCTGGCCAGAACTTCCAACACTATGTTGAATATTGGAAGTTCTGACCAGGGAGAGAGAAGCATCCTTGTCTTGTGCCGATTTTTAAAGGGAGTGCTTCCAGGTTTTGCCCATTCAGTATGATATTGGCTGTGGGTTTGTCATAAATAGCTCTTATTATTTTGAGATACGTTCCATCAATACCTAATTTATTGAGAGTTTTTAGCTTGAAGAGGGGTTGAATTTTGTCGAAGGCCTTTTCTGTATCTATTGAGATAATTATGTGGTTTTTGTCATTGGTTCTGTTTATGTGATGGATTACATTTATTGATTTGCATAGGTTTAAGTAGCCTTGCATCCCAGGGATAAAGCCAACTTGATCGTGGTGGATAAGCCTTTTGATATGCTGCTGGATATGGTTTGCCAGTATTTTATTGAGGATTTTCGCAGCAATGTTCGTCATGGATATTGGTCTGAAATTTCTTTTAGCGTTGTTGTGTCTCTACCAGGTTTTGGTATCAGGATGATGATGGCCTCATAAAATGAATTACGGAGGATTCCCTCTTTTTCTATCGTTTGGAAGAGTTTCAGAAGGAATGGTACCAGCTCCTCTTTGTACCTCTGGTAGAATTCGGCTGTGAATCTGTCTGGTCCTGGACTTTTTTTGGTTGGTAGCCTATTAATTACTGCCTCAATTTCAGAATTTGTTATTGGTCTATTCAGGGATTCAACTTCTTCCTGGTTTAGACTTTGGAGGGTGTATGTGTCCAGGGATTTATCAATTATTTCTTCTAGATTTTCTAGTGTATTTGCGTAGAGGTGTTTATAGTATTCTCTGATAGTAGTTTGTATTTCTGTACAATCACTGGTGATATCCCCTTTATCATTTTTTATTGCATCTATTTGATTCTTCTCTCCTTTCTCCTTTATTAGTCTGGCTGGCGGTCTATTTTGTTGATCTTTTCAAAAAACCAGATCCTGTATTCTGCTCAAGGAAATAAGAGAGGACACAAACAAATAGAAAAATATTCCATACTAAGGGATAGGAAGAACCAGTATCATGAAAACGGCCATACTACCCAAAGGAATTTATAGATTCAATGCTATCTCCATAAAGCTACCACTGACTTTCTTCACAGATTTGGAAAAAACTACTTTAAACTTCATATGGAACCAAAAGAGCCCACATAGCCGAGATAATCCTAACCAAAAAGAACAAAGTGGGAGGCATCACGCTACCTGACTTCAAACTTTACTACAAGGCTACAGTAACCAAAACAGCATGGTACTGGTACCAAAACAGATACATAGACCAATGGAACAGAACAGAGGCCTCAGAAATAATGCCACACATCTACAATCATCTGATCTTTGACAAACCTGACACAAACAAGCAATGGGGAAAGGATTTCTATTTAATAAATGGTATTGGGAAAACTGGCTAGCCATATGCAGAAAACTGAAATTGGATCCCTTCCTACACCTTATACAAAAATTAACTCAAGATGGATTAAAGATTCATATGTAAGACCTAAAACCGTAAAAATCCTAGAAGAAAACTTAGGCATTACCATTCAGGGCATAGGCATGGGCAAAGACTTCATGACTAAAACACAAAAAGCAATGGCAACAAAAGCCAAAATTGACAAGTGGGATCTAATTAAACTAAAGAGTTTCTGCACAGCCAAATAAACTATCATCAGAGGGAACAGGCAACCTACAGAATGGGAGAAAATTTTTGCAATCTATCCATCTGACAAAGGGCTAATATCCAGAATCTAAAAAGAACTTAAACAAATTAACAAGAAAAAAAACAAACAACCCCATCAAAGGATATGAACAGACATTTCTCAACATTTCTCAAAAGAAGACATTTATGCCCCCAACAAACATATGAAAAAAGCTCATCATCACTGGTCATTAGAGAAATGCAAATCAAAACCACAATGAGATATCATCTCACGCCAGTTAGAATGGTGATCATTAAAAAGTCAGGAAACAACAGATGCTGGAGAGGATGTGGAGAAATAGGAACGCTTTTACACTGTTGGTGGGAGTGTAAATTAGTTCAACCATTGTGGAAGACAGTGTGGCAATTCCTCAAGGATCTAGAACTGGAAATACCATTTGACCCAGAAATACCATTACTGGGTATATACCCAAAGGATTATAAACCATTTTACTATAAAGACACATGAACACATGTTTATTGCGGCACTATTCACAATAGCAAAGACTTGGAAACAAAACCCCAATGTTCATCAATGATAGACTGGTTAAAAAAAAAGTGGCACATATACACCATGGAATACTATGCAGCCATAAAAAAAGATGAGTTCATGTCCTTTACAGGGACATGGATGAAGCTGGAAACCATCATTCTCAGCAAACTAACACAAGGACAGAAAACCAAACACCGCATGTTCTCACTCATAAGTGGGAGTTGAAATATGACAACACATGGACACAGGGAGGGGAACATCACACAACAGGGCCTGTCAGAGGATGGAGGCTAGGGGAGGCATAGCATTAGGAGAAATACCTAATGTAGGTGATGGGTTGATGGGTGCTGCAAACCACCATGGCACGTGTATATCTATTTAACAAAACTGCATGGTCTGAACATGTACCCTAGAACTTAAAGTACAATAATAAAAAAAAATAAGTTGTTTGGCCAGGAGGGCTCCACCTTCATGAATGAATTAATGTCATTTTTAAGAAAGTGGATTGATTATAAAGGGGTGCATTTGGCTCACGTCTCTCTCTCTCTCTCTCTCTCCCTCTCTTGCCCTCACTCTTCTGCCTTATACTATATGAAGGTGCATCCAAATGTTCTCACCAGATGCTGCCACCACCTTGATCTTAGACTAACCGGCCCCCAGAAATCTGAGAAAAAAAAATCTGTTCATTATAGATTACCCAGTCTGTGATATTCTGTTACAGTGACACAGAAGAGACTAAGACTTAAAATTGGCACCAGAGAAATGCGGTATTGCTATAACAAACACCTAAAAATGTGTAAGTGGCTTTGGAACTGGGTAATAGAGGCTAGAACAGTTTTGAAGTGAATGCTGGAAAAACTTGTATTGCCATGAAGAAAGTGTTGAGAGTGATTAAGGTGAGCACTAGAAAAAGAGTAGATCTGTAGGGAAAGTCTGAAACTCCTTAGGAATTACTTAAATGGTTGTGATAAGAATGCTGTAGAAATTTGTATGGCAAAGGCAATTTTAATGAGGTCTCAGGAATGAATAGCAAGGTATTCGAAACTGGAGTAAAGGTTACCCTTGTTATAAAGTGGCAGACAAAATGATAAACTAGGGTATCTGGCAGAGGAAATATGTAAGCAGCAAAGCCTTCAATGTGCTTGCTATGTGGCTTCTTGTAACTGCACATAGTAAGAGGTGAGGAGAAAGAAATGATTTAAAGACAACTTATAATTAAAAGAGAAATCGAACTTGGGGATTTAAAGGTTCTCAGCCTGGATGTGTGGTAGACAATAAAAGAACATTTTCAAAAAAGGAAGCTAAGTGTTTGGCTAAGCAACTGTTTGATAGAAAGGTTATTATGAAGAGAATGAAGCCAGAGGCTATTTATCAGGACAATGGTAGAATAATCTGAAGGGTATTTTGGAGATTACCAGTGCCACCCCTGCCATTACAAACCGAGAGTGCCAAGGCCAAGGGGAAGTAAATATGTCAAAAGAGAGGCCTCGGGCACACTCAGAACCTTGAAGCTTGCTGCCTAGGGGTGCCTGCAGTTTCTGCACCACACATTCTGGTCCAGTGTTCCTCAGTCACCCCAGGCATGGCCCAAGTGGGCCCAGGTGCCATTTGACGCACAAATCTGGAAAATAGAAGCTATAAATGTTGACAGTGTCCATATGGTGATAATTCTGTAGGCATGCGGAATGCAAGAGCGTTGAGAGCATGGCTTCCTGTATCTAACCTTCAACGGATTTTGCAAACTGCCTGGGAGCCCTGACAGAAACTTGTGGCAGGGTAGGAATCACCATGGAGTCCCTACGAGGGCAATGTCCAGTTAGACTGTGGAGGCAGAGCTAAGACTAGGAGTCCCCACTAGGCCTAGTGGAGCCATGTGGGTGCGACCACCCTTGAAATTCCAGAACTGTAGAGCTACCAGCATGCAACACCAGCCTGGGATAGCTGTAGGCAAAAGACTCCAACTTGTTAGAGTTGCTGCATGGGCTGTGTCTTGCAAAGCCATGCAGGCAGAGCTGCCTGGAGCTTTGAGGGTCCAACCTGCACTTGTGTGTCTGGATGGTGGGATGTGGAGTCAATGACGATTATTCTTAAGCTTTAGGATTTAGTTTGCTTTCCCTGTTGGATTTGGGATTTACTTGGGAACAGTCACTCGGTTTTTCTTGCCTATTTCTCCCTTTTAGCATGGGAATGTCTATTCTATGCCCATCCCACCATTGTATTTTGCAAGTAGATAACTTGTTTTTATTTCACAGGCTCATGGCTGGAGGGAATTTGCCTCAAGGTGAATCATGTCTTGAGTCTCGCCCATGTCTGATTTAGATGAGACTGGACTTTGGACTTATGAGTTGCTGCTCAAATGAGTTAAGATTTTGGGGGCTACTGAGATGGAATAAATATGTTTTGTATGTGAGAAGGACATAAGTTTTCGAGGGTTATGGGTGGCCTTCCGAAATAAAATTTAAATATTTGCCCCTTCCCAAACTCATGTTGAAATTGGATTGCCATTGCTACCGTATTAAAAAGATGAGACCATTTAGAGGTGATTAGGCCAGGAGGGCTACTCCCTCATGATTATATGCCATTATCATAGGAGTGGGTTTGTTATAAAAGGGCAAGTATGATTCTCTCTCTCTCTCTCTCTCTCTCTCTCTCTCTCTCTCTCTCTCTCTCTATATATATATATATATATATATATATATATATATATATATATATCTGTCTCTATCTCTATCTCTGCATTTATCTCTATCTCTCCCTTCCTCTTTCCAGTATGTGTGTACACAACATGAAAGCCTTCTTTACTAGATGGCAGGGACTTAAATTTGAACTTTCTAGCTGCCAGGTATGTGTGAAATAAATTTCTGTTCATTATAAATTAGTCAGTTGGTAGAGCTTTGTCAGAGCAGTACAAAATGGACTAAAATATTAAGCAAGTGTTTTCTTGCCCCTCTCTCTTTCCTATCTATTTGACCCAGAGAAGCACAGGGAGAGGTCGAAGGCTACTTAATCAACTCTCTACCAACTCACATACTGCTGGAGAGAAAATGCATTATCTACAAAGGGCAGTAAGGTCCAAGCAGCTGGCTAGATATGTAGGCAGGTAGAACTTCAAGGCAAAGCAATTCTAGAAGGCATTCTACCTAAGTGATTTGTTGGAACATTTTACCTACTCCACTAGGTATACACATAGACAGAACCTAAATCATTTCCCAACTGTCAAACCTTCTGCTAAGAACAACGCCCTTACTTTGATTTGCCCCACACCTCCCCGCAGAACTCTGCTGATATCCTGAGCACATGGTTCTTACTATTTCTGAAAATTTATCTTTAAAAATTGTCTCAGTCCCTAAGATAAACATAGTATTTTTTTTTTTGCTAACCTATTTTTCTGGTACCAAACTAGTAGCATAGACAGACGATAAGCTGATCCTTGAACACATGTGATTGAACTGTGGGGGCCCACTTATATGTGAATTGTTTTCAATAACTACAGTCAGCTCTCTATGTCAGCGGGTTCAGCAGCCATAATCAAACACAGATTGCAAATACAGTATTTGCAGAATGCAAATGCATATTAATGCAAATGTATATGGAGAGCTAACTTTTTGTATTCATAGCTTCTGCAGAACTTGAGAATACACAGATTTTTGTTATGCGTAGGCAGTCCTGGAACCAATCCCCTGAGAAAACTGAGTAAAGGGTCATACATACATGTATATGTGTATATCTGTGTGTGTGTGTGTGTGTGTGTGTGTGTGTTGTTTCTAATATAAATAGCTTTCTAGTTGATAATCTTTTCCTACAATAATACATACTCACTGAGAGTACTTATACAGCATTCCTAAATGAAAGTACAATGATCACAAATACTATACATAATAGTTGGGTCTTCAATGAGTAAGAATTTAAAACATGCTTTTTTCTGATGAAAGAAGATGAAGTTTAACGTATTTTCACTTGCCCTACTGTTAAACAGGTTAATACTCACTCTTCTATTCATCTCAGATATTTTTCACTCACTTCTGTCTCTGCCATTCCATTCCTCCTACCTTCCCTAGACTCAGAGTGTAAGATTTTTGGTTCCTCAGTATAATTATAATCTTATGAGAAAATGGGAGGAGAAAGCTGGGGCTACAGCTTTCTGTAATTCCTTGAAAGATTCCTCTAAACAAAACTTCAGAACTTGCTTTTGAGGCATGTTTTGAAAAGAATTATACTTCTAAATTAATAACTCCTTTGATAATTACTTGTAATCCTCATTTTAAAAACTTTCATGTAAAATGTATTACCTCCATTGTACAGATGAGTAGACTAAATAGTCAAAGAAATTACATAAGTCTATCTCATTTCAAAACCCGATTGTTTTCTTTCTTCCATACCTCCGTGCCTCTAATCACTTGCCCTTTCAAAGTACTTTACACTTCCCTCTTCTCAGAAGGCCAGCTGCCAGAAGCTCAGCTTACTGCCTCTGAGATTCCATAGAATGCCTTATATACCTCCTATCAGAGTTGTTACTACACTCTGTTTCATCATGCATTTATTACCTGACATTCTCTCTCATTCTACTGAACTCCTCAAAACCAGCAATCATGTCTTAGTCATCTTTTTGTGTCTAGATTTCACATAATTTCCAACACATACTAGAAGATGTTTCAAAAATGCTTTTCTGAATAAATGAATAAATCCTGGGGAATTTCAAGAGGAAGAATGAAACATTAAAGAAGCTAGATTCCCATTTATTTAGCCATTAATTGCAACACAACTAAGCAATTTGTTATTTAAATAAATGAGGACTATCAGAATGTAAATAGTTGGCACATGGTAGTATCCCACAGGAAAAAAAATCATATTACCAACCTCTCTTTTGTAGGTAAAGCAAGAAAATCATGAAAATGACCATGGCAACAAGTACTATTAAATCGTGTCAAGAAAGGTAAGCTCTCAAGACTTTCCTTTGAACATTTTACCTTCTTGAGTGCTTCAAGAATATTGTTGCTGTGTTGGTTCAGTCCTATGTGTAGGTTAATTAAGCATTATCTAGAGGATATGACATGAAGAATGTCAGGAAAAACCTCCCCGAGTAAAAACGTTTCCCCCTTGTCCCTCATACTACATGGAATTAGGAATTTTCACAGTAATCATTACTTTAAGTTATGGCTCTGAAAGCCCAAGCCAAAATGCACACATGCCAAGTAGGAAAGTAAACATATAAAACTGCTGTTAGTCATTGACATTTAGACATCCATTAATTTCTCAGGAAATTTTCACCCAGTCATTCAGAGACAAGACCCAGGAAAATGGAGTTCTGATGGATATGGTTAAACTGAGGATACGTAAAATAAAAAAGAGATTTTGAAGTGGACACATCCAAAGGGACTCTATGAGTATTCTTAGAGAGGGTGGGTCAAAGGACAGAAAAGGAAAGCAGAAGAAAAAAAATAGTTCAACTGACTTTGCAACTTGAAAATATTACCAAGGACCATCCGTTGCATTTCATCATGGATTGTGACTGTGACTATGAACACAACGGGTTACCCAAAGAAGAATAATTATATCTCTGTAGTGCATGAAGCTTGGTCTTTTTTAAAATAATATTTGCAATAAAAACCATGTGGTTCTTAATAGAGTGGAGAATATGCAGAAAGCCTGAAAAGAACTAGAGCCTCTGCTCTCTTTTCCATTGAGAATGGGCTGCTACTTAGCGTGTCCATGCTAATTGCAGCCTCATATTTCACTGTACATGTTATTTCTTTAGAGTGACCTAAGATGTTAATCAAGCTTTGCTGTAGAATTTATGTTTAAACTCTCTACGCATCTTTTTAATGTGTCAACTGACATTTGTTATTATTTTGTTGTGAACTGGCTTTGAATATCTTATGAAATATTTATAGCAGCAAAGAATGTGGGAATCATATGAACAAAGCATATATAAGTAGCAAAAGATTAATGACAATTACTGACAGGGCGAAATCAGTAATCAGGCTTCATTTTCCACTTGCTTATTTTTAAGTGTGCTTGATTTGTGGAAGGTGGATATGTCTTTCAATCTCAAGTTGCAGTCTGTTTGAAGACATTTGCTTACTGAATGGAAAGTTCAAATAAAATCTGGATTTCATTAAAACTTTTGTAAATTAACTCTCCTTAACCAGAAAAACCTATAACATTTGCTTCCAAGAAATAATTTAATGTTTCCCTTCTGTGATTGACAGCAGATATTAAAATGAAAAATGAATCTCAGACGAGGAGCTTGCAAATGGGCCTGAAGGGGAGAAGAGGCAAAATGCAATGTGGGATATAATTAGGATTCCAGAACCAGAATATGGGCATTTTGCCTTGAAAATGCTGAATGTGACATGCATCCCAAGCCACCAGCAGGGCTATTAACTATTTCAAACCTCCAAAAGTATCTTGACACTCATGTAAGGCTACATGCCAGTGTGGAAGAATTGGAATTTGACCCTTATTCCTAATATGCCATGACCTGTGCTTTCTTATTATGCTTCAGCTCTTAGGTCATATGACTGCCATTTTCACCAAGGCGAGAACAGAAGCCCATAGGCAAAAATGAGCTAATCCCTCCCTTGTTCTTTTCTTATGTTTTAGAGCCTTCTATGAAAGCATCTAGAATACCTTTTTGTACTACTTTCCTAGCACCAAGTTTGTGTCATTTGGCACTGCTGTCATCTGCAAGTAACAGAAACACAGAGTTTAGCTGCTTAAACAAAGAGGGGCTTATATCTCTTTATAAAACAAAAAGTCTGAAAATAGGTTATTGGTAGCACAGTGACTGACATTGGCTTAACAGTTCAGTGATGCCAAGAACACCGTTCCTGAAATTTTCTGGGTGTTTATTCCAGGGCCACAAGGTGATTGCTGCATGAGTTAATGTCCAGGTTCTCCAGAGGCCAAAACACTTCCTTGTTCCCTAGAGCTCAGTGTCACAATAGGGCACTGGGAACTATAATAAGTTGGAGAAAATTGTTACACAGGGTAATTCAAGAGTCATGAAGTCAAATGCCATCCTTTTGCAATTCTGCAAAGATTCAAGTTTGCTACTAAAGTAGTTACAGAATTAGAGATTTAAAGCCAGTGTAAGTACCTTGCTTTGCCTTTCAGGGTTATATTAAAATGCACAGTCTAAAAAATATTTTCATCTTGCCCTGGAGAGACATTAGAAGGCTGGAAGAAGGAGGACTATTTACTTCCTGAAATTTATGTGATAAAAATAACACACTTTAACAGACAATCGGCCAAAGGCCTCTTTCAACTGCTAAGAGAGTGGGCTTGCAGTCTTTAAATATACAGGTAAGGCAAAAAAGCTGAATTTCACAAATTTCTCCCATACTCATTCAGAGGGAATAGCTTGTCAAGTGTATTTAGTACACCTGGTGTAGTACTAACTAAAAAACAGTTAAAACAATTAAGGTCCCATAGCAGAGAGCAGGAAGTGAATATAGGAATGGGATCTTGTCAATTAAAACACGCACACACACACGCACTCAAGAGATTACTTTGTCACCAAGGGGTAACAGTTACACAATGCAAATATATGATGGATGATGTCTAGGTTCAGTAATTAGGATCTAGAAAAACAGCACCTATATCAATCAAATGCATTTATGTACTCTTGCTTTCTGTTGGGAAAAACAAAACAGTATCAATTGAAATAAAGCCAGTTGTCTATACTTCCTATATGTTTTTGTATATTAACAGGACATACTGGATATGCTGCTAGGTGCTGAAGATTCAGGCATGGAAGACAACACCTGCCTTCAGGTAGCTCACAGTCTAGTGGACTGGTGATCTTCCTCTTTCATTATTTTATCAGCTCTGACAAATGTGTCTATAACCCCTAGGTGCTTCTTGTCATTGAAATAGGCTTGAAAGTACAAGACATAATTTGGTATTCTTGTCATTTTCAGGTACAGGGCAGTTCTCTTCCCAAGAGTGATCATCTAACTCAAACATTTATACTTGAATATGCCTTTTGTTGTTTAGCAAAGCTATTTATTTAAGACAGCCACAACATTTATTATTTTTGTCTGTAAGACAGCATGTTACTGCCTAGTTAAAAAAGAATGTAAAAGATCTCATCTAATTGTTCCTTCATTACCTTCAGAATGAAGTCCAAACTCCTCATCATGTCACCAAATGCCTTTCACAATGTGTTTTCAGTCTTACTTTACCAGATATTCTCACAAATACCTTATGCTCCAACCAAACTGAACTTATGTGAAACCCTGTAGTAACATGCCCTGTAGTAAAGTCAATTTGGATCTAACCAATTGTCAACTGGCTGACATCTTCTGTGCCGGCTCAATGGCAAATGCAGTGATGTTAAAGCTCTTATCTTGGTCCAGAGTGGTAAGCAGCAAGATGTAGAGGAGCGAAGGGGTGAGTCAAGTTTGAGAATAAGCAAGCAATCCAAATTTGGGAAGCAGAGAGGTGTAGGCCACATCCCATGCTGCCAGCCTCATCCTATCTCCATAGATCTGGCTGGTGAAACATGAGCCAAGTGTTGGGATATTCTTGTAATTACTGTTTCAGTCCTGAAAGAATATTGCCAGTTACTAAGTGTTGTCAAACCACAATCTGGGCAAATTTGAATTATTCAACCAGACACCTAACAGACTAGCTGAATAGGCCAGTTTTGGTTCTTCCATTAACCACTCAAAAATGTAACTCTCCATTGTACAAAATTAGGTTTTTTAGGGACATCACTCATTGTATATTATGAACTTTACTGTAATTCAATTTCCATGAATGAATACACCCAGGACTTTCTCATATCACTGCTTTTGTTCATACCATCTCCTGCTAATACTGCCCTTCTCTTTGTTAGAATCATTCTAGGCCAGTCTCAAATATCATTTTTGTGAAAATGTTCATACAGAAAATTGTGGGCATTGTGGCCATACAGTCTCTGTTATAACTACTCAACTCTGCTGTCATAGCATGAAAGCTAACATAGACAATACATAAATACATGAGCATGACTGTGATTCAAGTAAAACTTATTTATAAAACAAAGTAGTGGGCAAGATTTGGCCCTTGAAAACTATAGTTTCTTCACCCTAGTCTTAGATGATTCCTTCTGTGATGCTCTGGATAGAATTAATCTCTCCTTCTTCTGGGATGCATAGAACATTGCTTAGGCCTTTCTAACAATGTTAGATTCTGCCTTGTAGCTTTTTCTTAATTTTTAATTTTTGTGGGTGTATAGTAGGTGTATATATTTATGCATTACATGAGAATTTTGATACAGGCATGCAATGTATAATAATCATATAAGGGCAAATGGAGTATCCATCTCCTCAAGTATTTATCCTTTGTGTTACAAACAATCCAATTATACTCTTCTAGTTATTTTTAAATGTACGAGTAAATTATTTTTGTCTATAGTCACTCTGAAGTGCTAAAAAATAATAGGTCTTATTCTAACAATTTTTTTTACCTATTAAACATCCCCACTTCCACCCCACCATCCCCTTCTGAGCCTCTGGAAACCATCCTTCTACTCTCTACCTCCATGAGTTCAATTGTTTTTATTTTTAGATTCCACAAGTGATAACATGCAATGTTTGTCTTTATGTGCCCAGCTTCCTTCATTTAACATAATGATGTCTAGTTCCATCCATGTTATTGCAAATAAGATGTTCTCATTCTTTTTATGGCTGCAGAGTATTCTATTGTGTATATGTACTATGATATATTTATCTGTTCATATGTTGATGGACACTTAGGTTGCTTCCAAATCTTGGCTATAGTGAATAGTGCTGTAAGAAACATGAGAGTGCAGACATCTCTTGATACAATGATTTCCTTTCTTTTGGGAATATAGCTACGAGTAGGATTGCTTGATCATATAGTAGCCTGTAGATCTATTTTTAGTTTTTTGAGGAAGCTCCAAACTCTTCTCTGTAGCGGTTGTATTAATTTACATTCCCACCAAAAATGTTCAACGGTTCCCCTTTCTCCACATCCCCATCAGCATTTGTTATTGCCTGTCATTTGGATAAAAGCCATTTTAACTGGGGATGAGATGGTATCCCATTGTAATTTTGATTTGTGTTTCTCTGAGGATCAATAATGTTGAGCATTTTTTCACATACCTGTTTACCATTTGTATGTCTTCTTTTCAGAAATGTCTATTCAGATATTTTGCCCATTTTTTAATTGTATTATTATTAATAGATTTTTTGCAATAGAGTTGTTTGAGCTTCTTATATATTCTGGTTATTAACTCTTTGTCAGATTGGTAGTTTTTAAATATGGTCTCCCATTCTGCAGGTGGTCTCTTAACTTTGTTGATTATCTCCTTTGCTGTGCAGAAGCTTTTTAAAATGATGCACTCTCATTTGTCTACATTTGCTTTGAAGCCTGTGCTTATATGGTATTACTGAAGAAATATTTGCCCACTCCGATGTCTTGGAGTTTCCCACAATGATTTCTTTTAGTAGTTTTATAGTATTGGGTCTTAGACTTAAGCCTTTAATCCATTTTGACTTGATTTTTGTATATGGTAAGAGAGAGAGGTCTAGTTTCATTCTTCTGCATATGGATAGCCAGTCTTCCCAGCACCATTTATTGAAGAGATTGTCCTTTCCCCAGTTTATGTTCTTGGCATCTTTGTCAAAAATGAGTTTACTGTAGCTGCATGAATTTATTTCTGGGTTCTCTCTTTTGTTCCATTGGTGTATGTGTCTGTTTTTACACCAGTACCAAGCTGTTTTCATTACTATAGCTTTGTGGTATAATTTAAAGTGAGGCAATGCAGTAACTCCAGTTTTGTTCTTTTTACTTAGGATAGCTTTGGCTATTCTGGGACTTTTGTGGTTTTATATAAATTCTAGGATTATTGTTTCTATTACTGTGAAGAATGGAATTGGTATTTTGATAGAGATTGCCTCTGTAGATTACTTTGGGTAGTATGGATATTTTAATAATATTGATTCTCCCAATCCATGAACATGGAATATCTTTTCATTTTTGCTTGTGTCCTTTTCAATTTCTTGCATTGATGCTTTATGATTGTCACTGTAGAGATCTTACACTTCTTTCGTTAATTTACTTTCTGGATATTCTATTTCATTTGTAGCTATTGCAAAAGGGATTACTTCCCTGATTTCCTTCTCAGGTTGTTCACTGTTGGCATATAGAAATGTTGCTAATCTTTTTTATTTTTTAATTTTTGTGGGTAAATAGCAGGTGAACATCATAAATAATGTGGTATCCATCCCCTCAAGCATTTATACACTGAGTTGCAAACAATCCAATTACATACATTAAGTTATTTTAAAATGTACAGTTAAGTCATTATTGACTATAGTCACCCTGCTGTGCTATCAAATAGTAGGTCTTGTTCACTTTTTATAACTATTTTTGTACCCTATATTGCTCTTCAAAGTTCCACAGATATCTAGAGCAGGGGCAAAATGCCACCATCTCTTTGCTAAAGCATAGCAAGAGTGACCTTTACTCCAGTTCCCAATCAGTTCCTTATCTCCATCAGAGACCACCTCAGCCTGCACGTCATTGTCCATATCACTATCAGCATTTTGGTCACAACCACTCAACAAGTCTCTAAGAGGTTCCAAACATCCCCTCATCTTCCTGTCTTCCTCTGAGCCCTCCAAAGCGTTCCAACCTCTGCCCATGTCCCAATTCCGATGTCGCTTCCACATTTTTAGTTACCTTTATAAAGTACCCCACTACCCCAGTACCAATTTTCTGTATTAGTCCATTTTCATACTGCTTTAAAGAACTACCTGAAACTGGGTAATTTATGGGGAAAAAAAGATTTAATTGACTAACAGTTCCACATGGCTTGAGAAGCCTCAGGAAACTTACAATCCTGGTGGAAGGTGAAGGGGAAGAAAGGCACATCTTACATAGTGGCAGAAGAGAGAGCGAGAGTGTGAAGGGAAAATGTCACACTTTTAAACCATCGGCTCTTGTGACAACTCACTCACTATCACAAGAACAGCATGGGAAAAACTGCCCCCATGATCCAAACACCTTCCACCAGGTCCCTCCCTTGACATGTGGGGATTACAATTACAGATTAGATTTGAGTGGGGACACAGAGCCAATTCATATCACTGGGGATTGCTGCTAGTTATTCAGGGCCCAAGGGCTCTTTAGTCAGCAAGTGATGGATCCTGCCAGGACTGGATCCTTTCCTTCGAAGCAGCGAGTTCTCTTCTGACCCATGGTGTGTCTAGAAATGTCATCTGCAAGCTAGGACCTGGAATGGGAGCCTCCTGACTCTGACAGATGCCTTATCCTACTGTGGCTGAGCTGATATCTAACATGAAAGACTAAGTCCACTTTCCTCTCCTCTACTCAAGTGGAAGGAAGGGGTCTCCATGTAGTTGTGAGCTATGCTGCCTATGATTGGGAGAGAAATGGCACAAGTACTCCCTTAGCCACCCCAGCTGGTGTCTCAATAGGTTGCATGTCCCCAAGTCCACTGGCTCCAAGCCCAGCGCAGCACAAGGACTTGCCTAGGAGCTGCAGTCCTTGTGGCCTATAATGCCTTTCAAGTTTAGTTAGAGCCCCAGAGCACTTTAGCTTGTGGTGGTGAGGGATGGGTGATTCTCCTCTGGTTAGTGCTGGTCTAAATAGTCCTTCGGTGGGTGTCACCTAGATTCAGCCCCAGTTTCCTTTCTGCTGTGAGGGACTAGCACTAAATTCAATGAAATGGCTCACAACTGCTGTGCTTTCCCTCTCCCATGCATGGATAGATTCTCTGTGCCATGTGGCCACTATCTGGGGGTGGGGGAGGGATAGCATCAGTGTTGCAAGACTGTTTCTCCTACTCTCTTCAGTGCCACTTTTAGCAAAGTGAAGTTAAACTAGATAGTCAGTGCTCACCTGATTTTTGGTTCTTCTTAAGGTGCTTTTTGTGTAAACAGTTGTTAAATTTGGTGTTCCTGCATGAGGGATGATTGTTAAAGGCTTCTATTTGGCCATCTTTCTCCATCCCTCCCCTAGTAGGTTGTTTTTGTTTTGTTTTGCATGTTTACTCTCATCTGGATTAAAATTTCCTTTATTCATTTAAAGTGCTAAATATGCTATTGTTGAGTTGAATTTACCAAAGAAACAATAAAGAATACTCTTAGGTATATTTTATAATTTGCAATACATTTTTTAATCTGTCAATCCTGTGCATTAATGTTGTAGGCAACAGAGACTCCTAGTTTGCCTAATTTCTATTCTATTCTTGTTCATTAGCTATTTAACTACTGAGGTAGAAATGTGGTTCTCTGTAATAAAGACTATAATTTTCAGTCTCCCTTTAAGTTAGATGTGGCTATATGATCGTGTTTTGGCTATAGAAATATAAAACCAACTGTCATGTGCAATATCTGAAAAATGTCCTTAAAGAAAGCAGGTTTACCCTTCTTATCCCATTGATTTGAACAGCCATGTTGGATCATGTGGTGAGAAGCTCACAGTAATACAGCAGAACAAGAGACATAGAAGGAGACCAAGTCTTTATGGTGGTGGAGCTGAGACATCCTTGAATTACTGTCTTCAGATTTCTTTAAACAGAAAATAAATTAATTCTATTTCATTTAAAACACTTTAATGTGGGTATTCACAGCTAAACCACTCCTCACTGGCATAACTAACAGCTCTCTACTTAACAAAATTAAAGCTATGGCCCGACATTGAGTCACTTTCCAAGGTCAGAGGCATTCTTTGGCTGATCTCATTGATTGCATAATTCTTTACAATCATAGGACAGCAAGAGGAAGAAAATCTGTCACTTAGACACACCTCTTCCCCTTTGATGTAGCTACACCCAGCATTGACATTGCTCTTCTCTTTTGTCTCTAGTTTTTCCCTAGTACAAACCTTGGCCTCAGTCGGTGCAGCTTGGCTCCAATTGAGCCATTGTTGACATGATCTTTCCTCTTGTTAGTCACAGTTTCTCTCTCACTAAGTAGTTCCACCAAATAAGCACAAAGCCTCAACTCGCTGTTTTCTCCATGCCTCTATTCCTTGAGTATTTTCCCCTAAGTCATAAGCAATAAACATATATATGTATACATATATACATATGTATACATATATGTGTTTATTGCTTATGTATACATATATGTGTTTATTGCTTATGACTTAGGGGAAAATATATGTATATTATATATGTATACATATATGTATATATATAAACATATATTTGTATACATATATGTATATATATAAACATATATTTGTATACATATATGTATATATATAAACATATATTTGTATACATATATGTATATATATAAACATATATTTGTATACATATATATGTTTATTGCTTATATATATTATGTTGCATATGTATGTATGTGTGTGTGTGTATGTGTATATATATATATATATATATATACATACACACACACAGAAAGATTAGGTTAATCCTCTTCTCTCTCCCTTCTATTTAACAATCACAGTCCCTGACAACTACCTTTATGTAAGAAAAGCTATGGTTACCTGGGCAACTAAATTACCAGCTTGGTTAACTTCTATTCTCCATCTGACTTCCAAATCTCAATTCTCCTCTCTCCTTCTTGTCTAATGAATAGCTAATCAATTCTGAAAGGTTAAGCTAAAGTGCATTTTGTGACTCTTGTCCTTTCTATAATTTTCAAGCTACATCTTGCCTGAGATTATCTTGAAGGGGCCTGAACTCTTCTATTTCTTTGAAACACTTAAAGCATTTTCAAACATAAGAAAACAGAAGAGTTTTTAACATAGTATTTCTTCATTGACTACATGATAACGTCACTCTTCTCACCTCCATTTATTCATTCCTGTGCATTTTGTCATTCTCTTTCCTGTAAAAGAATTATCTGTCCAGTAAAAGAATGTAAACACTTTAATGTACTTGGGATGTACCTGGAAAAAGAAACAAGGTTTTATAAACTGAAGCATACTTTCAGAATTACGAATGACTGACACACATTTCTCTCGTTTATCAGGTGGATTTTAGCTTATTGTTTCTAAAAATCCATATACATTATTCCCGCTTTTTGTCTCTTCCCTCTTTCATTGTTTTCAGTTATAGGAAGATAAGGATGCAGCATCAGAGTTTCATGCTTCAAGATTTCCTTCCAGTGATATCAGTTGTTTATAAAAATCCAGAAAATATTAGCAATTAAAGAAATAAACAAGGATTTCACATGGCTAAAAATACCAAGGAAACAAGGGATTCATGAATTCAAAGAGTGTGAATACATGCAAATAAAAAGTCATCACACTATCTGGAGATGGTTAATTATACTCTTCTTATAGCTGAAATAATCTCAAAACAGAAAACTGTTGCCTACATTGGATTCTAATTTAATATTCAATACTGTTTTAGTTTAGTGAAAGAGAAAGAAAAATCATTAACAAACTAATATATCTTCTACAGGTAAATAGCAACTTAAGGAAGCCACTTTGCTTACAGGATGAAGACAATATCAGAGAGCTCAAGGGTATAATAAAACAATAGTCACTGCTTCCTACAGTGTGCCCATTCTAATTTGGATAAAACCAGAGGGTCAAATAATCCCTAGATTGTCAGTAAATCTTCCAATCTTAAAGTATAAAATGTTCATTAATATGATATTATTATCACTACCAAGATAATATCACACTAATATAATTATTATCTCACTATAGTAATAATAATATCATATTATTGAACATTTTATACTAGTAGTAACAGTAGGAGTAGCAACAGTAGTTTTTCTAGCCTCTGGGAGAAGTTGAGAACACAAATATATTAGGAAAATAAAACAACAATTTACAAAGGACTTTAACAACGACTTGTTTCATAAAAAAGCCCTACAAACTAGCTCAAGCAGGTACTTTTACCCCACTTTGAGTTTCATTTCTACTTTCTGCCTCCTAGATCACCAGTGACTCCAGCCAGAACACTTTACCTATAACTCTGCTACAAGCTTACCCAATAACCTTGGCCCAGGCAGAGGTATTTTTTTAAAGTTCCTCAGCTGATTTTCATGTGCAGCCTGTGTTGAGAATAACTAAATTCATGTTAATTTATTAATGATTAAATAACTCAAATAACAATTGACTGCCAACAGGCACCTTTGGGAAAACACATTTTACAATACATAAGAATCACCTAGAGAGCTTGTCCAGTTTCCTTGGCTCCGTCTCCAGTGATTCTGATTCAGTGAATCAGGTTGAAGCTACTGAATCTGCATTTCTAACAAGCTCATGGGTGATACCATGGAACCACACTTACAGACCACAAACTTATACCAGAGAAATGAGTTTTGTGGTATAAAATTTTAGGTTTTCTAGCAAGCCAAGAGTGGATATTTGGTGGAGAGTCTTAGATTTGTACCTACAGAGGCAGCTAAATTAATTATATTACAGAAAATATGTGGCCTGTATTTTCATATAGATTATGTTTAGCTACCTTTACATACAATCCAACATAACATTGGTTTAAATACAAAGGGTTTATTCTTTTGCATAAAAATATCTGATAGGCAATCAAAAGTTGGTATGGTTGCACAATGAGGCAATCAATCACCTGGAATTTTTGTATATTTATGTTCCATCAATGTTTATACATGGCTTTATCACTGACAGCACTTCATGTTCTAATATGACTGCCATGGTCTAGAAATTGCATCAACATTCAAAAAGGTAGGAAATACTTTTTAAAATATTAGGGAATGGGGTACTTTTCCTATCTAGTTTATCTCTGTTTCAAGAGATTTTGTAGAAACTTCTTCCAATAAATTATACGTACATATCATGGTTCACAACTGTATCATACGGCCACACCAATCCACAACAAAGTTTAAATATAATAGAATATAGGTAAAGATATTGTAATAAATAGACCCAATGCATATAACTCAAAAACAATAGAAGTTTATTCTCACCACCCAACAGTCTTAGGCAAATGTTGCTGGTTAGTGGCAGTTCTCTTCTACATGGTGATTCCAGAATTTAGATTCCTTCCACATTATGACTCTGTCATTCCTTAAAGCCTCATCACCAATATTACATCCACCAGGTGGAAATGGATAAAGAGTGGGGACAACCCAGCATAGAGAAAAGAGAAATGTTTTAGGTGATAGATATCCCAAATACCTTGATTTGATTATTATACATTATATGAATATGTCAAAATATCACATGTACCTTCAATATATGTATATGTATTATATATCAATAAAAATGAAAGCTAAAAAAGAATATGAATGAAGATATCATTTTGTTAAAAGCCTTGGCCCAGAACTGACAGGCCTACCTTCTATTTATATTCGCTAGGCTATAATTTAGTCAACATGACCACAGCTTGTAAAAACAGGCTGTAAAATGTAGTACAGCTATGTGCCTAGGGACAAAAGAAGCAGATTTTTTATGAAACATCTCTTACACAATAGAAACTATAATCTTATAGATGGGAATATGATGACACCAATCAACGAAAGAGTTCTGTTACTAAAGAAGATGGGAAGAATGGATGTAGTATAGGCAGGCAACAGTCTCTGTCACCTTAACTTTTTTTTATTTTTAATTTTCATAGTACAATATAGAATTGCTAGGTTCATCTTCTTAAAACTGTAAGAAAGAACCTGTTGTAGAAGTGAGATGACCTACATTCTCATCTATAATTGTTTTCTTTTTATTGAACTGAATGATCAGGAGGATATCACTTAAACACTTTGCTTTAATTTCCTTATCTATAAGCTGGGAATAACTGCCTTTTATTTGGCCTATACCTGAAAAGTGTTGTGATAATCTAATAATAATATTTATGCCAAAGTGTCTAAAAAAGACAAAGCAAGCATATGATTGCCAGAAAATACATTTTCCTTTTTAGGCTATCAGTATAAAGTGAAATGTATCTCCGTCTGTAAGTCAAGATAGAATTCAGGGAAGGAGAATGAATAAAGTGAAGAGCTATGAAAACTGACTCAAGCTTTACAACAGAGAAAAAGCTAACAAGATGGCTTGTCACTGTAGACTTGTAATTCAAAATAAAAGACCAATCATTTGATTTCACAATAACATATTGGTTTGTGACAGTAATGGTCATCTTTATAGCCATAAAATGGATGGTCATGAACACTGATAAAAGATGGCAAATGCAGAGTGGCAACTAATGTGACAAGACAAAATTACTCCAAAAGGCTAAAAGGCAGTGTCTGCCTTAGTTTCAGGCCATGGTCGAAAAGGGCATAGACATTACATTTGGGCAAAACAAGTGAGAAAACTAGAGTGCTCATTCCCTCCTACAAAGTGCAATTTCACTTCTGAAGCAAAAAGGTGCTGCTCCTTTCTTGAATTCATAAATTTATTCAAGTATCCTAGGGAGAGCAATTTACACCTCTTTTAGGGGGAGGTAAGAGGCAGTACTTGAGTGAAAGGAATGACAGCAAAAAGAAGGAAAAAAATGAGGAAACCTGACTTGAAAAGTCAACCTATACTTCTCAAAGTAAATACTCTGATGACAGAGATTTGATGGTGTGCACTGACCAGTGTGCCAACTGTAAACTGATGTGGTCCATGGAGAAGTACTAATATTGGGGATCAGGGGAAGGAGCTACCTAATGGAGTCGTGAAAGGTTTGAATTGAACTACTATCCCTTGATCCACAATTATCACATGCAACCACAACCCACTCATTTCTCATTACCAAAGCCTAGCTATATGAAAAAGGCTAGCTGAGTTAGGGCTATGGCCTGAAATATACTTTTCTTTTGTTCCTGTGTGTAAAAATACGCCTCCTCAAGAACATAGAAAAATTGTTATATAAAGTCTATATTTTATACTTACTTTCCACCCCCACTTCCAAGTGCAAAAATGTCTGGCTCATTGTTATATACAGGACAGATACTCATTGAATGCCTAAGGACTTAGGTATAAAGAATACCAGGCTCTTCCAGGGATTCCCAAGGCCTCATTTCCACCATTCTGGAATCCATTGGTTTCTAAACACTAGTAGTCAAATTGGCACCTAGCTGTACAGATTGCTGGGCCTGCTGCAAGATCTATTAAATCAGAAGTGTAGAATAGGCAAGAAACTTGATTTTTACATTTTTAAAAAGCTCCTTTGGTATTGCTTATGAAGTGCATAAGACAGTGGTTGTTAATCTGTGGTGCAGAAAAGAATCATCTGAAGAGCTTATACACTTTTTAAACTAAAATATTTTTCCCTGGACATCTTAGTAAGTCTTGGAAAAAATTTAGGCGATTTGTGTTTTGTAACAGCTCCTGAAGTAATTCTGATACCCAATCCTGGTTAAGTAAAACTGCTCTGAACTAAATATAACTCTCCCTTTTAACAGAAACTGATATTTAACACCCTTGTTGTCATTCTCCCACCCATACACACTTTCTTGAGGAAATCCAAAATCTTCCCTTCCGAATTTTAACACTAACCAATTTCCACAAGGCTCAGGCTCTCTAGGTACCAACTCTACCTCCACAACCCCAGGGGAGAAATTAGGCTTGGTGATGCATAATTTAATGATCTGCACTGTTTAAAATTTACAACTGTTTTGATCATTTTACTAGAGGTGGTAAGAGGGGGCTTACTCCAGGTTCATTGTAATACATTTGTTTATCGAACTACAGCCCAGGCATACTCATTCTGACAGTTTGACGTTTATGTACCTCTTGATGCAAATATATAATCCATGTCACTGTTGATGGGAATAGTAGCTTTCCAAAGAGGAGGAAAGATACCCTAATAATCTTGTAATAATGACTTAGGAGAGTATATTGACAACATAAATGTTAGTACAATTATGTACAGTCTCCATCTGCCTCCTCGCTTGGTACATTTAGGTGTTCTATTTATAAAACAAGTGCATCTGCATTCACATATTTGGGGAGGCTGTTGCAGAAGTAGATGTTTCTATCAGGTCTCTTTAACTGAGAACATAGCAAGTTTGATCTTTATTAGGCAGTAGAGCACTATAATCAAAGCTCTGTTTTCCTGTCATTGTTTCCAAGGGTTAGAATGAACAATACAATAAAACAAGAGTTCATAATGTACAATTAGCATAGAGTTTTAACTTACTTCTCTTTTCCCCTCATTCTACTGAAAATGGGCTGATGGATGTCAACTAGATAGTTAATAATGGAAGATGTTGAGCAGATACCATACATTTTGGAAGTGTCTTATGTGTACTTTTTAATTTCCATTTCACAACATTATAAAATGAGTGTACTGGTATTATTATCTACTCCATCCACATTTTACAAGTGAGGGAACTGAAGCACAAAAAATTAAAACAATTTTTTCACAGTCAGTTAGTCGATAGACCAGACTTTAAACCCAAACAATCTAGATACAGAGTCAGAGCTCTTAATCATTTCAGTATATGTCTTCCTAAGAAAGACCATTATAGTGGAAACAGGATGTGCTTTGGAATCAGGCTGGAACCCACTTTCGTCATTTCAAAGCCAGATGATTTTAGGTAAAGGCAAGTGATCTAACGTCTTGGAGTCTCAATATCATTATCTGTAACATGAGAAAAATAATAATAGAGCCACATTATATTTGTGCACTTAAATTAGAAGCAAACTTTAATAACCTAACACCACAATGACCCCAAAGTGCATTCATAATAATTTGTGTAATCCTCTTACCAAATTGAATATCATATATTAAAGTTATAAATACCTAATATAACAAGTGTGGAGTAAACTGTGCAGACCACCATGAACACTTTAGTATTCTCCAACCCTCCATTTTCCCCCTAGGGATTTGATACTTATCTTTCAGGCAGTATGGCTGAAATTTTTTGGCATCTGCACATAGTGATATTTTTGTCCCTTCCCTTAGTTTAGCTAAGGAACTGTCAAACTTTACTGTGCATGAGAACTATCATACAATAGAACATACACAAAGTTGTGCAGACTTTTTTTTACAGGCATTTTAGGAGATTTTGATGGATCACTTTAACTCTTACAATCTTTACATATTTGTGTGAAGTGCAAATATCCAAGTACCTAATACGTCTCTCCCTACCTCAGAGGTGTTTTGACACCTCTGTTTTGAGCTCTCTGATATTGTCTTCATCCTGTAAGCAAAGTGGCTTCCATAAGTTGCTATTTACCTGTAGAAGATATATTAGTCTGTTAATGATTTTTCTTTCTCTTTCACTAAACTAAAACAGAATTGAATATTAAATTAGAATCCAATGTAGGCAACAGTTTTCTGTTTTGAGATTATTTCAGCTACAAAAAGAGTATAATTAACCATCTCCAGATAGTGTGATGACTTTTTATTTGCATATATTCACACCCTTTGAATTCATGAATCCCTTGTTTCCTTGGTATATTTAGCCATGTAAAATCCTTGTTTATTTCTTTAATTGCTAATATTTTCTAGATTTTTATGAACAACTGATATCACTGCAAAGAAATCTTGAAGCATGAAACTCTGCTGCTGCATCCTTATCTTCCTATAACTGAAAACAAAACTCATGCTTTTCCAGCATCTCCCTGTCTATTTGGTCTCTAACAAGCCAGTATGTAAGAGACTACATAGCAAATAATTAATAAACCCTTAGAGCCTAAAAGGGTAGGAAGGCACACCCCATGCCTTCTTTCTCAACTTGTCTCAGCAATAATTCCTACCCTATAATCTCCTTGGAAAGAGATTGGAGGCCTCATCCAGCAAGAACAGGTGGGATGGCACTCCCTATACCTGCCTCCCTGGCTTGCTCCTGAAATATATTTCTGCAAACTCTCATTGGAAAGAGGTGGAGGGATCCCCATATCTGAAAAAAAAAGGGGGGCACTCCCTATACCTTCTTTCCTGGCTTTCTTCAGAGATAGATCCAGACCAGAATGATTTCCTTGCAAGGAGGATGTGAAACTTCTGTTACTCTGAAAAAAATAAATGGACACCCCCATGTCCCTTCCTCCTCAGCTTACTCCAGTGATAATTCCAGTCCTACAGTCTCTCTGTGGAAACAGATTTCAGGCCTCTGCTGGCAAGAACAGGAGTAAAGGGACTCTGTAGCTTCTCCCCTGGCTAGCTCCTTAGATAAATTCCTACAATCTCTTATTGGAGGGAGATGAAGTGATCTCCTTGTGCCTAAAAAAATGTGGATACTTCCTTTCCCCTCTTTTTCAGCTTGCTTCAGTGATAACTCCAGACCAGAAGCCTTCCCTTGCAAGAAGGTCTGCGATTTCTGCTTGCTTTAACAGGAGAGTTGGCACTGCCCATGCCTCCTTCTCCAGCTTGCTCCAGTGATAATTATAGCCTTAAATCTCTCAATGGAAAGAAGTTAGAGGCCTCTGCCAGGAATTACAGAGGAGAGGGCACAACTCAAGCTATTTTTCTCAGCATGCTCTAGAGATAATCTCCTGTAATCTCTCGCTGGAAGACGGCTCAGGGACATCTCTGTTCCTGAAAGGGAAAGTGGACATCCCAATATGCCTTCTTCCCCATCTTGCTCCAGCAATAAATCCAAACATACAGACTCTTTCTGGAAGTCGTTTCTGTATACATCAAGCATCCCAACTTTTATAGCCTTCACCCAAGGGAATGACCCCTACATCACCTAGCCCTGGAAGTTCACAGAGCTCTGCACTCTCAGATCTTTTAGACCACAGAGGACAAAACGTTGGCTTTTAAAAGTACAAACATTCAGTAGTTATTTCCCCATGTTCAAAGTGAGTAGTCGGACCAAGAGTAAAAGCATGTGCTTCAGACACTGGCCTCAGTATAGGAATGGGTAAAAGATGAATTCTGGCTCTCAGCTGCTCTGTAAGTAAAGAAGAAACTGGATCATACATCTAACACTCCAAACTCTCTAGTTGCATACAAAAGGACTGGTTTGATCCCACCTCTCTCAAAGCAATAGCACTACTTGACACTCTAATTTATTGGGAGCCACTCAGAACAAAAATAGTAGGTTGGGCAAGCACATAGTTTGGAGGTGCATAGAATGTCTGGCCAGACTAGTTAGGAAGGAAGATTTTCTACTGGAGACAATTCTAGCAGGACTAGAAAAGGTGATGCTCTTATCTGATGCACATAAACCAACATAGAGGGGAAATAAATTTTTTTAAAAATCAAAAAAAGTCCTAACTAAAAGAAAAATATAAATAATCAGAAACCAAGTCTAATACAATGGAGATATGTTATTAACCTAACATGGAATTATAACCTGTAGTCATAAATGTAAAACCCAAAATTATAAAACCCCTAGAAGATAATCTAGACAATGCCATTCCAGATACAGGAATGAGAAAAGATTGCATGACAAAGATACCAAAAACAATTGCAACAAAAGCAAAAATTGACAACTGGAATCTAATTAAACTTAAGAGCTTTGCACAGTAAGAGGAATTATCAACAGAGTAAACAGACAACTTACAGAATGGGAGAAATTTTTTGCAAAGTATGCATCCAACAAAGCTCCAATATCCGGGATCTATAAGGAACTTAAAGAAATTTACCAGGAAAAAACAAACAACCCCATTAAAAAGTGGACAAAGGAAATGAACAAATACTTTTCACAGGAAGACATACATGGAGCCAACAAGCATATGATAAAAGCTCAACATCACTGATCATTAGAGACATGCAAATCTAAACCACAATGAGATACCTTCTCACACCAGGCAGAATGGCTATTACCAAAAAGTAAAATATATATATATATATATATATATATATTAATAAAAATAACAGATGCTGGCTGCCTTGCAGAGAAAAAAAGGAATGCTTATGCACTATTGGTGAAAATGTAAATTAGTTCAACCACTGTGGAAAACAGTATGGCTATTTCTCAAATACCCAAAAACAGAAATACCATTTGATACAGAAATCCCATTACAGGGTATATACCCAAAAGAATATAGCTCATTCTATTATAAAGGCACATGCATGCATTATGTTCATAGCAGCACTATTCACAATAACAAAGACATTGAATCAAGCTAAATTTCTATCGATGGTAGAATAGATAAAGAAAATGTGGTACATATACACCACAGAATACTATGCAGCTATAAAAAAAACTGAGATCATGGCCTTTGCAGGAACATGGATGGAGCTAGAGGCCATTATCTTCACCGAACTAACACAGGAACAGAAATCCAAATACCACACGTTCTCACTTATAAGTGGGAGCTAAATGATGAAAACATGTGGATACATAGAGGGGGAAAATCATAGGATGAGTGAGAGGAGCAGAAAAAATAACTATTGGTTACTAGGCTTAGTACCTGAGTGATGAAATAATCTATAAAACAAACTCACCATGACACAGGTTTACTTATATAACAAACATGCACAGATACCTTTGAATCTAAAATAAAAGTTATTAAAAACAATCTAATCTGAGGAGGAAAAAGACAAGAAAAAAAGAATAAAGACAGACTAAGGGACTTATGGGACACACTAAGTGAAATAATGTACACATTATCAGAGTAATAGAAGGAAAAGAGAGAGAGAGAAAAGAACAAAAAACACATTCAAAGAAATAATGGCAGAACACTTCCCAAATTTGGGAGAGGAATTAGAACTCCAGATCCAGGAAGTATAACAAACACCTAATAGAATGAATTCAGAGACCAACAGCAAAACACATTATAATCAAATTGTCAAAAGTTAAAGACAGAGAGAATACTGAAAGCTGCAAAAGAAAAGCAACCTGTTACATACAAGGAGGCCCTCATAAAACTATCAATAGATTTTTTTTAACAGAACCCCTACAGGCTAGATGGCAGTGGGTAATATATTCAGCTGCTGAAAGAAAAAAAAAAAATAAAAGCAACCACCTAGCAGCCAAGAACACTATACTCAGCAATCTTGTCCTTTAAAAATAAAGGGGAGATACTGCCCAAGGTAATTTATAGATTCAATGCCATCCCCATCAAGCTACCAATGACTTTCTTCACAGAATTGGAAAAAACTACTTTAAAGTTCATATGGAACCAAAAAAGAGCCCACATTGCCAAGACAATCCTAAGCCAAAAGAACAAAGCTGAAGGCATCACGCTACCTGACTTCAAACTACACTAGAAGGCTACAGTAACCAAAACAGCATGGTACTGGTACCAAAACAGAGATATAGACCAATGGAACAGAACAGAGCCCTCAGAAATAATAACCACACATCTACAACTATCTGATCTTTGACAAACCTGAAAAAAACAAGAAATGGGGAAAGGATTCCCTATTTAATAAATGGTGCTGGGAAAACTGGCTAGCCATATGTAGAAAGCTGAAACTGGATCCCTTCCTTATACCTTATACAAAAATTAATTCAAGATGGATTAAAGACTTAAATGTTAGACCTAAAACCATAAAAACCCTAGAAGAAAACCTAGGCAATACCATTCAGGACATAGGCATGGGCAAAGACTTCATGTCTAAAACACCAAAAGCAATGGCAACAAAAGCCAAAATTGACAAATGGGATCTAATTAAACTAAAGAGCTTCTGCACAGCAAAAAAAAAAAAAAAACAAAAAAAACAAACAAAAAAAAACTACCATCAGAGTGAACAGGCAACCTACAGAATGGGAGAAAATTTTTGCAATCTACTCATCTGACAAAGGGCTAATATCCAGAATCTACAAAGAACTCAAACAAATTTACAAGAAAAAAAAAACAACCCCATCAACAAGTGGGCAAAGGATATGAACAGACACTTCTCAAAAGAAGACATTTATGCAGCCAACAGACACATGAAAAAATGCTCATCATCACTGGCCATCAGAGAAATGAAAATCAAAACCACAGTGAGACACCATCTCACACCAGTTAGAATGGTGATCATTAAAAGTCAGGAAACAACAGATTCTGGAGAGGATGTGGAGAAATAGGAACACTTTTACACTGTTGGTGGAAGTGTAAACTAGTTCAACCATTGTGGAAGACAGAGTGGCGATTCCTCAGGGATCTAGAACTAGAAATACCATTTGACCCAGCCATTCCATTACTGGGTATACACCCAAAGGAATATAAATCATGCTGCCATAAAGACGCATGCACACGTATGTTTATTGTGGCACTACTCACAATAGAAAAGACTTGGAACCAACCCAAATGTCCAACAATGATAGACTGGATTAAGAAAATGTGGCACATATACACCATGGAATACTATGCAGCCATAAAAATGATGAGGTCATGTCCTTTGTAGGGACATGGATGAAACTGGAAACCATCATTCTCAACAAACTATCGCAAGAACAAAAGACCAAACACTGCATGTTGTCACTCATAGGTGGGAATTGAACAATGAGAACACCTGGACACAGGAAGGGGAACATCACACACTGGGGCCTCTTGTGGGGTGGGGGGAGGGGGGAGGAATAGCATTAGGAGATACACCTAATGTAAATGACGAGTTAATGGGTGCAGCACACCAACATGGCACATGTATACATATGTAACAAATCTGCACGTTGTGCACATGAACTTAAAGTGTAATAAAAAATATATATATATATAAAATAATAAAATAAAGGGGAGATAAAAACATTCTCAACCAAAAGCTGAGGGAATTTATTCATCACTAGGCTTGCGTTACAAAAAATGCTAAAAGGAGTTCTTCAAAGTGATTAAAAGTTTACCAAGTGGCAACACTGAAATATAAAACTCACTAATGAAATTATACAGTCAAGCTCAGAATACTCTTATACTACAGTGGAGGTATGAAAATCAGTTTTATCTCTAGTGTAAAGGTTAAAAGCAAAATTATTAAAACAATGGCTGCAAAAAATTTCTAAGGGACATAAAATATAAAAATTACAAAACATCATAAAAACAAATTGTGGGGTTAAATTAGAAGTGTACATTCTGTGCAAGTAATCAAAGTTAAGTCATTTTTGCCTTAAAATAGACTGTTATTAGTATAAGATATTTTATGTAAGCCTAATGGTAACCACAGGCACAAATCCTTAGTAGATATACAAAATATTAAAAGAAAATATTCAAAGCATACCACTACAGAAAAATCATCAAACTGCAAAGGAAGATAGTAAGAGAGGAAGAGAGAAACAAAGGATCTATA
Source organism: Homo sapiens (assembly GCF_000001405.40). Classification (NCBI taxonomy): domain Eukaryota; kingdom Metazoa; phylum Chordata; class Mammalia; order Primates; family Hominidae; genus Homo; species Homo sapiens. Next base: position 128,378,924 of record NC_000023.11, read on the forward strand.
AATTAAACAGAAAATAATTAACAAAATGGCAATAGCAAGTTCTTTCTTCTCAATAATTACTTTTAGTGTAAATGAATTAAATTCTCCAATCAAAAGACATCAAGTGGGTGGATGGATTTAAACAAAAAAAAGACCCAAGAATATGCTGCCTGTAGGAGATTAATTTCACCTATTAGGACACAAATAGACTAAAAATGAATGGATTAAAAAAGATATTCCATGTAAACTGAAGCAACAAAATAGTAAAAATAGCTATACTTACATCAAACAAAATAGACTTTAAGTCAAAAATTTTAAAAAGACAAAAAAGGTAATTATATCATCATAAAAAGTCAATTAATTAGGGAATTATAACAATTATAAATATATATTTACCCAACACTGGAGCATATATATACATATATATATTTAATAGACCTAAGGGCAAGATAGACTATAATACAATGATCATAGGAGAATTAATTGTCCAACTTTCAACATTGGACAGATCTAGACAGAAAATCGATAAGAAAACCATGGACTTGAACTACACTCTAGACCAAATGAACCTAACAGATGTTTACCAAATATTCCATCCCAAAACAACAGCCTACAAATTTTTCTCAAGTGCACACAGAACATTATCTGGGATAGATTACATGTTAGGCCTCAAAACAAGTCTTAACAAATTTAAGAACATAGAAATCATATTAAGTATCCTTTCTGACCACAATGCCATAAAACTAGAAATCAATAACTAGAGAAATTTTGGAAAACTCACAAATACGTATAAATTAAACAACATGCTCCTTAACACCGATTGGTCAAAGCAAACTTTAAAAGTTATCTTGAGACAAATGAAAATGGAATGACAACATACCAAAACAATGGGATGCAGCAAAAGTTGTTATGAGAGAAAAGTTTATGGAAATAAAACTACATCAAAAGGGAAGATTTATAATAAACAGACTATTATTACACCTCAGGGAACTAGAAGAAGAACAAATTAGTCTCAAACTTATCAAAAAGAAGAAAATAATACAGATCATAGCAGAAATAAATGAAATTGATATTAGAAAGAAACAACAGAACACATCTATAAAATAAAAGTAGTTTTCTGGAAAAGATGAACAAAATTGAAAAAACTTTAACTAGACCAAAAAAGACAAAAGAAAAGACTCAAACAAAATCAGGAATGAAAGAGGAGACATTGCAACTCATGCCACAGAAATACAAAGGATCATAAGATACTAATATGAACAACTATACATCAAAAAATTCAATAACCTAGACAAAATGAATGAATTCCTGGAAACATGCAACCTACTGAGATTAAATTAGGAAGAAATTGAAAATTGGAACCAATAATGAGTAAGAAGATTTTAAAGGTAATAAAAAGTCACCCATCAAAGAAAAGCCCAGGAACTGAAGGATTAACTGCTGAATCCTGCAAAGCATTTTTGAAAAGAACTAACACCAATTATTCTCAAACTCTTCCAGGAAATTAAAGAGGAAGAGAAAACTTTCCAACTCATTTTATAAGGCCAGCATTACCCTGATACTACAGTCATAGTAGGACACCATAAGAAAACTACAGGCTGATACATCTGAAGAACATCAATGCAAAATTCCTCATCAAAATACTAGCAAACTGAATTTAACAGCACATTAAAAAGATCATTTGCCATATTCAAGTGGGACTTATCCATTGGATGTAAGGATAATTTAACATACTTAAATTAATAAATGTGATATACCACTTTAACAAAATGAAGGACAAAAAATATGATTATATCAATAGATGCTGAAAGAGCATTTGATAACATTCAACACCTGTTGATGATAAAAAAAACAACTCTTAACAAAATAGAAACATAAGAAATGTGCCTCAACATGATCAAGTTCACATAATGGCAAGCTCAAGCTAATATTATTCTCAAAGGTTCAAAGTTGAAAGATTTTCCTCTAAGATCAGGAATAAGACAAGGATCCCAACTCTAGGCACTCTATTCAACATAGTACTTGAAGTTTTAACCAGACCAATTAGGCAAGAAAAATAAATAAAAGGTATTTATCTAGGAAAGGAAGAAGTGAAATTATCTGTTTGTTGATGTCATGATCTTATTTACAGAAAATCCTGAAAACTTTATCAAAAAAACTGTTATAACCAATTAACAAATTCAATACCATTAAAAGTTACAAAATTGAGATACAAAAATCAGTAGCATTTCTATGAAGTAACAACAAACTATCTGAAAAATAAATTAAGAAAAAATCTCATTTTTAATAGTATCAAATAATAAAATACTTCAGAGTAAACTTAACCAAGAAGGTGAAAGGTCTGTACACTGGAAGCTATAAGACATTGGAGAATGAAAATGAAGACAAATAAATGGAAAGACATAACATGTTCATAGGAAGGAAGAATATATATTATTAAAATGTGCATACTACCCAAGGTGATCTATAGATTCAATGCAATCTCTATCAAAATTACAATGTCATTTTCCACAGAAATAGAAAAAATATCCCAAAATGTGCATGGAACCAGAAAAGACCCCAAATAACCAAAGCAATCTTGGGCAAACAACAAAGCTGGAGGCGTCAAATTACCTGAACTCAAATTATGCTAAAAGGCTATAGTAATCAAAACAGCATGGTGTTAGCATAACAAAAGACACATTGACCAAGAGAACAGGATAGAAGACCAGGGATAGAAATAATTCCAAGTATTTATATAGTCATTGGATTTTCAACAAATGTACCAAAAACACATTGGGGAAAAGACAATCTCTTCAATAACTGGTACTGAAAAATTTAGACATTCACATGCAGAATAAAATTGGACCTCTATCTCACACCATATAGAAAAATCAGCTCAAAATGGCCAAAGACTTAAATGTAAGACCTGAAACTGTAAAGCTACTAGAAGAAAACATAGTGGAAAAGCTCCATGACCTTGGTCTGGGTAATAATTTTTTAATAGGATTTCAAAAGCACAAGCAATGAAAGCAAAAATAGACAAATGACACTTTAGCAAACTAAAAACCTTCTGCAAAGAAAAGAAATAACAGAGTGAAGAGATCACTCATAGATTGGGAGAAAATATTTGTAAACCATGTATCTGATAAGGGGCTAATATCTAAAATATATAAGATACTCAAACAAGTCAACAGCAGGAAAACAAAAAACCGAATTAGAAAATAAGCAAAGATCTGGACAGATCTTTCTCAAAAGAAGAGATACAAATGGCCAACTAATATATGAAGAAAATGTTTAACATTTCTAATAATTAAGGAAGTGCAAATTAAAACTGCAATGAGAAATCACCTCATATCTGTTAGAATGGCTATTATCAGTAAGACAAATGATAACTAGTGTTGGTGAGGATGTGGAGAAAATAAAACCCTTTTACACTGTTGGTGGGATTATAAATTAGTACAGTAATTTTGGAAAATAATGTGGAGGTTTCTCAAAAAACTAAAAATATAGTTATAGAATATGATCCTGCAATTTTACCATATGATCCAATAATCCCACTTCTCGGTAAATATCCAAAAAATTGAAATCAGTATGTCTAAAAGGTCTGCACTCCCATGCTCATTGCAGCATATTTAAAATATCCAGGCCGGGCGCGGTGGCTCACGCCTGTAATCCCAGCACTTTGGGAGGCCGAGGCGGGTGGATCATGAGGTCAGGAGATCGAGGCCATCCTGGCTAACAAGGTGAAACCCCGTCTCTACTAAAAATACAAAAAATTAGCCGGGCGCGGTGGCGGGCGCCTGTAGTCCCAGCTACTCGGGAGGCTGAGGCAGGAGAATGGCGTGAACCCGGGAAGCGGAGCTTGCAGTGAGCCGAGATTGCGCCACTGCAGTCCGCAGTCCGGCCTGGGCGACAGAGCGAGACTCCGTCTCAAAAAAAAAAAAAAAAAAAATATCCAAGATATGGAAGCAGCCTAAGTGTCTACCAATGGAGAAATGGATAAAGAAAACATGTTGTACATATAATGGATAACTATACCATCTTTAAAAAGAAGGAAATTCTGTCATTTGTGACAACACAGGTGGAACTGAAAGACCTTATGCTAAGTGAAATAATCCAAGCAGAGAAAGGCAAACATTGTATGATCCAACTTATATGTAGAATGTAAAAAAGTCAATCTCACAGAAACAGAGTAGAAAGGTATTTACCGGAGACTAGGGGGACAGTAAGGGATGAGCATAATCAAAGGGCATAAAGTTTCAGTTAAACTGGAGGAATATGTTTTAGTAATCTGCTGTACTGAATGGTGATTACAGTTAATAATAATATATTGCATATTTCAAAATTACCAAAATAATAGATTTTTAATGTTCTCACCACAAAAATATAAGTTGGTGAGGTGATAACATATATTCGTTTGATTGACCCTTTCTACACATAGATCAAAATATTATATTGCAACCCATAAATATACACAATTATTATCTGTGAATTAAAATAAATTTAAGAAATAAAGAAAAATCATGGCAGACGGGAGGCAGGACTAGATTGTAGCTCCGAACAGAGCAGCATGTGGAGGCTTGCATTCTGAATTTTGGCTCCAGATCAATGGCAAGAACAAACCAGCAATCCTGAGAGGACCCACAGACCCTCTGAAGGAAGTGGACTGCTTCTGCAGGACTTGGGAGATACCCCAAATACTGTGAGTGCCCCAACTACGGAAGTGGAAGAGGGAGAACCTCATCTCCCAAACACACATCCCCAGTGGAGAAGCTGAAGGTCTGTTTGTGGGAGAAGTTTCCAAATTTACCTGAAGCTGAGTCAATTTAGAGAGATGAGCAAAATACAGGGGTAAAGGAATCAGCAGAAAGGCCCTGGGAGCTCACTGCATCCCCTAGCAGGCCATTCCTCACAGGGATCCATCGGGAGGGTGGCCAGAGGAGCAGGGGTTAAAACTCCACAGGGAGAAGGAAATCTTTAGCTAAACTTTGTGACGATTTGAACAAGGCAAGAAGCCTAATGGCCAGAACTCAGGGGAGGGCACAAATCCAGTGTGCAGATTCCACAGGCAAGGGAAGAACCAAGCCCTTTTCTTTCACATTTGGGAGGCAGGTAGCCTGGGGCAAGTTTTCAAGCCTGTCTTGCCCTCCACCTGGAAACAGACTCAGGGCTGTTGCCGGGGCATGTGGTAGTGAGGCTGGCCCTTCGGTTTTCATGGGAGCTGGGTGAGGCCTGTGACTGCAAGCTTTCCCCCATTTCCCTGACAACCTGCATGACTCAGCAGAGGCAGTCATAATCCTCCTAGGTACACAACTCCAGTGACCTGGGAATCTCACTCCCATCTCCCACAGCAGCCACAGCAAGACCCGCCCAAGGAGAGTCTGAGCTCAGACACGCCTAGCCCTGCCACAACCTGATGATCCTTCCCTATCCACCCTGGTAATGGAAGATAAAGGGCATATAATCTTGGGAGTTCTAGGGTCCCACTCACCAGTGATCCCTCTCCCTACAACTACAGTTGAAGCTTTCTGGAAATTGCCACACCTGGCAGAAGGCCAACCAGCACAAAAATAGAGCATTAAATCACCAAGCTAAGAACCCTCACAGAGTCCATTGCACCCCCACCACCACCTCCACCAGAACAGGTGCTGGTATCCACAGCTGAGAGACCAATACATAGTTCATATCACATGACTCTGTGCAGACAACCCCCAGTACCAGCCTGGAGCCAGGTAGGCTCACTGGGTGGCTAGGCCCAGAAGAGAGACAAAAATCACTGCAGTTCAGGTCAAAGGAAGCCACATCTGTAGGAAAAGGGGGAGAGTACTACATCAAGGGAACACCTTGTGGGACAAAAGAATCTGAACAACAGCCTTCAGCCCTAGACCTTCCCTCTGACAGAGCCTACACAAATGAGAAGGAACCAGAAAACCAATCCTGGTAATATGACAAAACAAGGCTCTTCAACACCCCCAAAAGATCACAAAAGTTCACCAGCAATGGATCTAAACCAAGAAGAAATCCCTGATTTACCTGAAAAAGAATTCAGGAGGTTAGTTGTTAAGCTAATCAGGGAGGGACCAGAGAAAGCAGAAGCCCAATGCAAGGAAATCCCAAAAAAAAAAAAAAAAAAAAAATCATACAAGAAGTGAAGGGAGAAATATTCAAGGAAATAGCTTAAAGAAATATCAATCAAAAATTCAGGAAACACTGGACACACTTTTAGAAATACGAAATGCTCTGGAAAGTCTCAGCACTAGAATTGAACAAGCAGAGGAAAGAAATTCAGAGCTCAAATACAAGGAACAAAGACAAAGAAAAAAGGACAAGAAAAATATGAACAAAGCCTCCAAGAATTATGTCTGGGATTATGTTAATGACCAAAGCTAAGAATAATTGGTGTTCCTGAGGAAGAAGAGAATTCTAAAAGCTTGTAAAACAAATTTGGGGAAGTAATAGAGGAAAATTTCCCCAGCCTTGCTAGAGACCTAGACATCCAAATACGTGAAATACAAAGAATATCTGGAAAATTCATCACAAAAAGATATTCACCTAGGCATATTATCATCAGGTTATCCAAAGTTAAGACGAAGGAGAGAATCTTAAGAGCTGTGAGACAGAAGCAACAGGTAATCTATACAGGAAAACCTATGAGATTGACAGCAGATTTCTCAGCAGAAACACTACAAACTAGAAGGGATTGGGGCCCTATTTTCAGCCTCCTCAAACAAAACGATTATCAGCCAAGAATTTTGTATCCAGTGAAACTAAGTATCTTATATGAAGGAAAGATACAGTCCTTTTCAGATGCACAAATGCTGAGAGAATTCGCCATTATCAAGCCACCACTACAAGAACTGCTGAAAGGAGCACTAAATCTTGAAACAAATCCTCAAAACATATCAAAACAGAAACTCTTTAAAGCATAAATCACACAGGACATATAAAATAAAAATACAAGTTAAAACAAGTTAAATACAAGTTAAAATCAAAAACAAAAAAAAACACAAAGTACACAGGCAGCAAAGAGCACAATGAATGCAATGGTATCTCACATTTCAATACTATCATTGAATGTAAATGGCCTAAATGCTCCACTTAAAAGATACAGAACCACAGAATGAATAAGATCTCACCAAACAACTATCTGCTGCCTTCAGGAGACTCACCTAATGCATAAGGACTCCAATAAACTTAAAGTAAAGGAGTGAAAAAAGGCATTTCATGCAAATGGACACCAAAAGCCAGCAGGAGTAGTTATATCAAACCAAACAAACTTTAAAGTAACAGCAGTTAAAAGAGACAGAGAGACATTATATAATGGTAAAAGGCCTTGTCCAACAGGAAAATATCACAATCTTAAACATATATGCACCCAACACTGGAGCTTCCAAATTTATAAATCAATTGCTAATAGACCTAAGAAATGAGATAGACAAGAACACAATAAGAGTGGGGGACTTCAATACTCCACTGACAGCACTGGACAGGTCATCAAGCCGGAAAGTCAACAAAGAAACAATGCATTTAAACTATACTTTGCAACAAATGGACTTAACAGATATATACAGAACACTTTATCCAACAACTGCAGAGTACACATTCTATTCAACAGTGCATAGAACTTTTTTTCCAAGATAGACCATATGATAGGCCATAAAACTAGCCTCAATAAATTTAAGAAAATTGGAATTATATCAAGCATTCTCTTAGACCACAGTGGAATAAAACTGGAAATAAACTCGAAAACGAACCTTCAAAACTATGCAAATACATCGAAATTAAAATAAACTGCTCTTGAATGAGCATTGGGTCAAAAAGAAAATCAAAACGGAAATCAAAAAATTCTCCAAACAGAATGACAATAATGACACAACCTATCAAAATCTCTGGGATATAGCAAAGGTGGTGCTTAAAGGAAAGTTCATAGCCCTAAATGCCTACATCAAAAAGACTGAAAGAGCACAAACTGGCATTCTAAGGTCACACCTCAAGGAACTAGAGAAACAAGAACAGACCAAATGCAAACCCAGCAGAAGAAAGGAAATTACCAAGATCAGAGCAGAACTAAATGAAATTGAAACAAAAAAAAAATACAAAAGATAAACGAAACAAAAATTGGTTATTTGAAAAGATAAATAAAATTGATAGACTATTAGTGAGATTAACCAAGAAAAGAAGAGAGAAAATCCAAATAACCTCACTAAGAAAAGAAACAGGAGATATTACAATTGATACCACTGAAATACAAAAGATCATTCAAGGCTACTAAGAACACCTTTACACAAATAAACTAGAAAACCTAGAAGAGATGAATAAATTCCTGAAAAAAGACAACCCTTTTTGCTTAAATCAGGAAGAATTAGATACTCTGAACACACCAATAACAAGCAGTGAGATTGAAATGGTAATTTAAAAATTACAAACAAAAAACATGTCCAGGACCAGACGGACTCACAGCAGAATTCTACCAGACATTCAAAGAAGAATTAGTACCAATCCTTTTGACACTATTCTACAAGATAGAGAAAGAAGGAACCTCCCTAACTCATTCTATGAAGCCAGCATCAGCCTAATACCAAAACCAGGAAAGGACATAACCAAAAAAGAAAACGGCAGACTGATATCCTTGATGAACATTGATGCTAAAATCCTTAACAAAATGCTAGCTATTCGAATCCAGCAACATATCAAAAAAAAAAAAGTCCACCATAATAAAGTAAGTTTCATACCAGGGATGCAGGGATGGTATAACATATGCAAGTCAATAAATGTGATACACCATGTAAACATAATTAAAAACAAAAATCATATGATCATCCCAATAGATGCAGAAAAAGCATTCAACAAAATACAGCATCACTTTATGATTGAAACTCTCAGCAAAATCAGCATACAAGGGACATACCTTAATGTAATAAAAGGCATCTACGACAAACCCACCACCACTGAATGGGGAAAAGTTGAAAGCATTCTCTCTGTGAACTGGAACAAGACAAGGATGCCCATTCTCACCACTCCTCTTCAATGTAGTACTGGAAGTCTTGGCCAGAACAATCAGACAGGAGAAAGAAATAAAGGGCATCCAAATTGGTAAAGAAGAAGTCAAACTGTCACTGTTTGCTGATGATATGATCGTGTACCTTGAAAATCCTAAGGGTTCCTCCAGAAAACTCCTAGAACCAATAAAACAATTCAGCAAAGTTTCCGGATACAAGATTAGTGTACACAAAAAAGTAGCTCGCTATACACCAACAGTGACGAAGCAGAGAATCAAATCAAGAACTCAACTCCTTTTACAATAGCTGCAAAAAAAAAATAATAAAATATTTAGGAATATACCTAACCAAAAAGGCAAAAGACCTCTACAAGGAAAAGTACATAACACTGCTGAAAGAAATCATAGACAACACAAATGGAAACATATACCATCCTCATGGATAGGTAGAATCAATATTGTAAAAATTACCATAGTGTCAAAAGCAGTCTACAATTTCAATTCAATCTCTATCAAAATACCACCATCATTCTTCACAGAATTAGAAAAAAAACAATTTTAAAATTCAGATGGAACCAAAAAAGAGCCTGCATAGCCAAGAATGACTAAGGAAAAAGAACAAATCTGGAGGCATCACACTACCTGATTTCAAACTATACTATAAGTCCAAAGTCACCAAAACAGCCTGGTACTGGTATAAAAATAGGCACATAGATCAATGGAACAAAATAGAGAACCCAGAAATAAATCCAGATAGAGCCAGCAGAACTTTGACAAAGCCAACAAAACCATAAAGTGGGGAAAGTACATCCTTTTCAACAAATGGTACTGGGATAATTGGCTAGCCACATGTAGGAAAATAAAACTGGATCCTCTTCTCTCACCTTATATAAAAATCAACTTAAGATGGATTAAGGACTTAAACCTAAGACCTGAAACCATAAAAATTCTAGAAGATAACATTGGAAAAATCCCTTCTAGACATTGGCTCAGGCAAGGATTTCATTACCAAGAAACCAAAAGCAAATGCAATAAAAACAAAGATAAATAGCTGGGACCTAATTAAACTAAGGAGTTTTTGCATGGTAAAGGAAGAGTCAGCAGAGTAAACAGACAACCCACAGAATGCGAGAAAGTCTTCACAATCTATACATCTGACAAAGCACTAATATCCAGAATCTACAATGAACTCAAAGAAATCAGTAAGAAAAAACCAAACAATCCAATCAAAAAGTGGGCTAAGGACATAAATAGACATTCTCAAATGAAGATATACAAATGGCCAACAAATATATGAAAAAATGCTCAACATCACTAATGATCAGGGAGATGCAAATCAAAACCACAATGCGATATCACATTATTCCTGCAAGAATGGCCATAATCAAAACATCAAAAAACAGTAGAATGTTGGTGTGGACGCGGTGAACAGGGAACACTTCTACACTTGTGGTGGAAATGTAAACTAGTACAGCTGCTATGGAACACAGTGTGGAGATTCCTTAAAGAACTAAAAGTAGAATTACCATTTTATCCAGCAATACCACTGCTGGGTATCTACCCAGAGGAAAAGAAATTACTTGAAATAGATAATTGCTCACACATGTTTATAGTGGCACAATTCACAATTGCAAAGTCATGGAACCAACCCAATGCACATCAATCAATGAATGGATAAAGAAACTGTGATATATATGGGTGTCTGTGTGTATATATATATATATATATATATATATATATGATGTGATATATATGTGTATATACATATGATGGAATACTACAATAAACTGTGCTATGTGTGTGTGTGTGTATATATATATATGATGGAATACTACACAGCCATAAAAAGGAATGAATTAACAGCATTTGCAGTGGCCTGGATGAGATTGGAGACAATTATTCTAAGTGAAGTAACTCACTTAGAATCTAAGTAACTAAACATCATATGTTCTCACTGATATGTGGGAACTGAGCTATGAGGACACAAAGGCATAAGAATGATACCATGGACTTTGGGGTCTTGGGGGGAAGATTGGGAGGGGGGCGAGGGATAAAAGACTACAAATATGGTGCAGTGCATACAGCGTGGGTGATGGGTGCACCAAAATCTCACAGATCCCCACTAAAGAACTTACTCATGTAACCAAAAACCACCTGTACCCCAATAACTTATGGAAAAATAAAATGAATTTAAAAAATTATTTCCCCTAAAAATATTTACAATGCATGTGTTAGTATAAATGCAGTGCAGAATAAATTCATCATAGCCTCATGGTATGAAGGTTAAAAACTTGAGGTCTAGAAACAGACTCCCTGGGTTAATAGCTTCCTTCTTCCACTTACTAGCTATGTGATATGGACAATTATTATTATTTTTTTGAGACGGAGTCTTGCTGTCTCCCAGGCTGGAGTGCAGTGGTGTGATCACGGCTCACTGCAAGCTCTGCCTCCTGGGTTCACGCCATTCTCCTGCCTCAGCCTCCCCAGTAGCTGGGACTACAGGCGCCCGCCACCACACCCAGCTAATTTTTTGTATTTTTAGTAGAGATGGGGTTTCACCATGTTATCCAGGATGGTCTTGATCTCCTGACCTCGTGATCCACCCACCTCGGCCTCCCAAAGTGCTGGGATTACAGGCGTGAGGCACCACACCTGGCCATATGGACAATTTTTAAATCTCCCTGTGACTAGTAACTTTCTCTTTAAAAAAAAGAGAATAATAATAATATTACTGAAAGAATTAAATGAATTAATATATATAAAAATATTTTGGACAGCTCCTACTACAGTGTATGTGCTAATTATTATTACTATTTATCTCAGAAGATAATTTCTGAATTAGCTCTTGAAGAAAGTCATGGACAGAGATTGCCGGAAGAAAAGAAGACAGCCATGCCTAGATCCTGGTAGGTATGGAGGTCAGACTCAGCAAAGTGGTTATGACTTGAGTGCCTATAATCAGGGACACCATTAAGCATAAGGGTAGAAAGTCACTCACTGCATGAGTGAACTCCCATTCACAATTGCTACAAAGAGATTAAAATACCTAGGAATACAACTCACAAGGGATGTGAAGGACCTCTTCAGGGAGAACTACAAACCACTGCTCAACGAGATAAGAGAGGACACAAACAAATGGAAAAATATTCCACGCTCATGGATAGGAAGAATCAATATCGTGAAAATGGCCATACCTGCCCAAAGTAATTTATAGATTCAATGCTATCCCCATCAAGCTACCATTGACTTTCTTCACAGAATTAGAAAAAAAAAACTAGTTTAAATTTCATATGGAACCAAAAAAGAGCCCATATAGCCAAGACGATCCTAAGCAAAAAGAATAAAGCTGGAGGCATCATGCTACCTGACTTCAAACTATACTACAAGGCTACAGTAACCAAAACAGCATGGTACTGGTATCAAAACAGATATATAGACCAATGGAACAGAACAGAGGCCTTAGAAATAATGCCGCACATCTACAACCATCTGATCTTCGACAAACCTGACAAAAACAAGCAATGGGGAAAGGATTCCCTATTTAATAAATGGTGTTGGGAAAACAGGCTAGCCAAATGCAGAAAACTGAAACTGGACCCCTTCCTTACACCTTATACAAAAATTAACTCAAGATGGATTAAAGACTTAAACATAAGACCTAAAGCCATAAAAACTCTAGGAGAAAACCTAGGCATTACAATTCAGGACATAGGCATAGGCAAAGACTTCATGACTAAAACACAAAAAGCAATGGGAACAAAAACCAAAATGACAAATGGTCTCTAATTAAACTAAAGAGCTTCTGCACAGCCAAAGAAAGTATCATCAGAGTGAACACGCAACCTATAGAATGGGAGAAAATGTTTGCAATCTATCCATCTGATAAAGGGCTAATATCCAGAATCTAAAAAGAACTTAAACAAATTTACAAGAAAAAAACAACACCATCAAAAAGTGGGTGAAGAATATGAACAGACACTTCTCAAAAGAAGACATTTATGCAGCCAACAGATATATGAAAAAAAGCTCATCATCACTGGTCATTAGAGAAATGCAAATCAAAACCACAATGAGATACCATCTCATGCCAGTTAGAATGGTGATCATTAAAAAGTCAGGAAACAACAGAGGCTGGAGAGGATGTGGAGAAATAGGAACGCTTTTACACTGTTGGTGGAAGTGTAAATTAGTTCAACCATTGCGGAAGACAGTGTGGTGATTCCTCAAGGATCTAGAACCAGAAATACCATTTGACCCAGCAATACCATTACTGGGTATATACACAAAGGATTATAAATCATTCTACTATAAAGACACATGCACACGTATGTTTATTGCGGCACTGTTCACAATAGCAAAGACTTGGAACCAACCCGAATGACCATCAATGATAGACTGGATAAACAAAATGTGGTACATATATACCATGGAACACTATGCAGTCATAAAAAAGGATGAGTTCATGTCCTTTGCAGGGACATGGATGAAGCTGGAAACCATCATTGTCAGCAAACTAACACAGGAACAGAAAACCAAACACCGCATGCTCTCACTCATAAGTGGGAGTTGAACAATGAGAACACATGGACACAGGGAGGGGAACGTCACACACTGGGGCTTGTCAGGGTGTGGGGGCTAGGGGAGGGAGAGCATTAGGACAAATACCTAATGCATGTGGGGCTTAAAACCTAGATGACGGGTTGATAGGTGCAGCAAACCACCATGGCACATGTATACTCGTGTAACAAACCTGCACGTTCTGCACAGGTATCCCAGAACTTAAAGTAAAATAAAATTTAAAAAATCTAAATCACAATAAGTTTCCATTGCATACCAGTCAGGATGGCTATTATTAAAAAGTCAAAAAAAACATAGATTCTGGCAAAGCTGCAGAGACAAGTGAACGCTTTTACACTGTTGGAGGGAATGTAAATTAGTTCAGCTACTGTGGAAAGCACCTTGGAGATTTCTCAAAGAACTTGAAATGGAAATACCAATTGGCCCAGCAATCCTAATACTAGGCATATATCCAAAAGAAAATGAATTGTTCTACCAAAAAAACACATGTACTCACATGTTCACTGCAGCATTATTCACAATAGCAATGACGTGCAATCAATCTAAGTGTTCATCAATGGTGGATTAGGTAAAGAAAATACAGTACATATACACCATGGAATACTACACAGCCATAAAAAGGAATGAAATAATATCCTTTGCAGTAACATGGATGCAACTGGAGGCCATTATCCTAAGCAAATTATCACAGGAACCTAAAACCAAATACCGCATGTTATTACTTGTATGTGGCAGCTAAACAATGGATTCGCATGGACATAAAGATGGCAACAAGAGACACAGGGGAATGCTAGAGGGAGAAGGGGTTGAAAAACTAACTATGGGTTACTATGCTCACTTCCAGGGTGATGGGTTCAATCATATTCCAAACCTCAGCATCATGCAATATACCCATGTAATAAACCTGCACATGTATCCCCGACATCTAAAAATAAATGCTGAAATTATAAAGAAAAAAATAGAAAATTTTAAGAAAAAAAGAAAAATGCATATATATGAATATATATTATATAAATATATATATAATATAGTATATAAAAATATATATAATAGTATATAAATATAATATATATACTTTCATATATATGTATATACGAAAGTATAAACTATCTTCCAGATCTCTAACCTCATAGAGTTTATGGCCTTCTCAATGAAATGACACACCTATACACCAAGATTATAATGCAGGATAGCATATATTCAACTACCCGGCAGTATGGTAAAGATGGGTCAACGATATAGAAATTCAGAGAAGTGAAAGATTACATTTTAGAGTTATGGTCTTTAAGAAAATTCTCATGGCAGAGGATATTAAACGTTTGTTATGTTGCATGACAATGTATTAATTCTATAGTTTAATGAGCAAACTTCTTGGTGTTATTTTCCCACCATACAAAGAGAGGAGGGTATTAGAGATCTAGGGTCTCCTTAACCTCCAGAGTGGGAACAAATAACATTTTATATATTAGAGGAAGTGAGAAGGGGTTGCCATTCTAAAGATAACTTTGTTTGGGGGAGGAAGCCTCATAGAAAGAATGATAATTTAGTGACTGTTGTGAATTTAATTGTGTTCTCCTCCAATTCATATGTTGAAACTCTAACTTCTAGTACCCCATAATATGACTATATTTAGAGATAAGGCCTTTAAAGAGGTGATTAAGGTAAAATAAGGTCTTTAAGGTGGGTCTTAATCCAAGATGACTGGTGTCCTTAAGATTAGGATACAGACACAGAGGGAAGACCATGCAAAGACACAGGGAAAGTAGGGGCATCTACAAGCCAAGGAGAGACACTTCAGAAGACACTAACCCTGCCAACAGCTTGATCTCTGACTTCCAGCCTCCTGAACTGTGAGAAAATAAATTTTTGCTGTTTAGGCTACCCACCCTGTGACACTTTGTTATGGAAGCCCTAGCAAACTCAAACAGACACTTAAAATGAAAAAAATTATTTAGCTCCTGTTTCTGCTGGGCACTTCTTTCGTGTTGGGCTGGCTCAGCTAATGCTGATTGGCTTTGCTCATGTGTTTGAAGTTCCTCATCAGGTGAAGGCTGAGGTAAAGGCTGAGTTCACTCTCATATGGAAATGGACGGTCTTTCGGCTATGAATCCTAGTTCCCTCCATGTAGGCTCTTTATTCTCCAGAAGGCTTACCTGGGCTTCTTTGCATGCTTCTTGGGATGGCATGAGCAGGAAAAAAAAAAAGTGAGCTCCATAGTGAAAGCACTTTTCAAGCCTCTTGCTTATGTCACATTTGCTAATTCATATTAGCCAACACGGGTCACATGACCAAACCTAGATTAAAGCAGCAGAGAAAATGACCTCTTGATGAGCATAACATCAGAGTTACCTTGCAAAGGGTGCATGTGTAGAGGGAAGAAAATAATTTGTGGCCGATTTTAAAATTTACCACAGAGAAAATAGGCTTTTGGTGTTTCAAATATTTAAGGGAAATGAACTTATTTCCCACAAATACCTATATCCTTGGAGACTGGTACAAGGACTGTACCAGAAGTAGAGAAAATTTGATCCATGTAGAACATAGTGCTTTGAATGTAGGCCCTAAACATCTATAGCTTGGGAGTCTTGCTGGTTCCTTGTGACCAAGTTTGGCAGAACAGAGTAAAATTTCCAGGAGAGAATCAAGCTTCAAGGGACCATGATGGGCAAAATATAAAACTAAAAAATTAAGAAATGCTTTAAGGAGTCAAGCCATAGGATAGATAATGGAGAATCACAGTCAAATCAGCATCAGGTAACTATAAGAAAAAGCAACAGGCAAGAATGACTCTTAGTGGGACACCAAAAGCCCCTGAAACTTTAACACAACAATAAGGAGCAAGAAAGTACTCCTGTATAAACTTTCAAATGTTTGACTTTGAACGTTTCATCAAACTTGATAACTGTGTGCTCAAGCTGGATTGAATTTGATTTAAAATCATAAATAAATGTGGTTTATACTGCATTCCAAATATAGTGATAAAAAATTGATACCTACAAGTAAAAATCAATATGAAAGAGAAGGTAATTTCAAACATGGTTAATGGCACTAAAGAAGACGAAGAGGAATATGGAGTGTCTCTGAGTGTTTGTTGTGTGTATATGTATGAATGAGAGGCAAAAGTGGTACTACAGGAACTCCAAAGTACCTGAGCAGAAGACATGATACGTATTATGGATCGCCTTAAATGCAAGAACAAGAAGTTTAGATTATATCTGTTTAGCTGTAGGGAGGCACTAAACAAGAGAAATGTCAAAACAACAACAACATTATTTTAGGAAGATGGAAAATCCCCAAGACTCCTCCGTGTATTCTCAAGAGTGTCAAGAAATTTTCATTAAATATCACAAATCAAAATGTAGTTTGATTCCTTTAAATTTAAGATAATAACACCTGCCATTTCGCACTCTTAGGAAGATGTAAGAGACATGACATGAACTCAGATGTGAAATAATAGAGATGTGCTGGCTCAGAATTTTTACCTAGCTAATGAGAAACCCAGTCTCAGTTGTAATCGTTGCTTTCATATTTTTTTCAGTGCCTATATGTGCCAAGGAATATGTGAGTCGCTGGATCAATCATGCAGCACAATTTATTGGAAAAGTAAGGGCTTGGAGTCACACAGGACTGATTTTTCATTCTGTCTCTGCTGCTTATAGCGATGACACTTGGACGGTGTTTTTTAAAATCATTTTGTGCATCAGAGTCCTTATATGAAAAATTTAGGAGGGGTAATAATGTACATATCTTATAGCTTTTTGTGATAAATATATGAGAAAATGTATATAAAGCACTTAGCACGGTAAGTACTGGTAGTAGGTATTTACTAAGTGTTAGAGCTAGACACAAAATAAGATGGCATTCCCCCTTATTCTTATCATTCTTCCCACCTGGGCCGAGGCTCACTCCTGATATTACTAATCATTGCAAGAATTCAGACCAAGCAAAGTGTTCAAATGGGCAGTGACAAGTCAGATTTTGTGTTTGTTCATGCTCCATTGAGAAAGGAGTTAGTTATGGAAGCAGTTACTTGAGAATTCATTTTTTTTCTCCAAAAGATGAGGTTGTTTCAGACACTTTTTCAAAAACAATTCAGTCTGTGTCCTTGAGACAGTTAATGAGATATGCTAATTTGGTATAAATAGGTCTGCTATGAATTCTTTATAAGAAAACATCTGCTTGGCTCACTGTGTTTTGCTTTCTAGGGAGGAAGTCAGACTTTAAAGACAATAAGATATGATAAGGTACAAGACACTGCCTTAAAAAAAACACTTAAGTAACGAATTGTTTCTCAATTCAAGCTCTAGGAGAACTAATGATTAGACAACACAAAGCAAAGAAAGATGACTCGTAGAATTCCAGTGAATGAGACACTAGACATGTAGGCAAAAAGGTTAAAAGGCTACAATAACAACTTTGAATAGTTGAGTGAAGTTGGAAAAAATCATGCTTGCCTGAGTTAAACCAGTGTAACCCAATGAAACGATGCTGTTTCTAACTATGGCTCAGGGCCCAAAAAAAATTTTGTCCTTGAGAAATATGTCAAAGAACCATGTTACGAGGTTTTAGGTTTTTTTCCCCTCCCCTCCCCTCCTCTTGCCCCACTTCCCTCCCCTCCTCTTGCCCCCCTCCCCTCTCCTCCTCTCCTCTCCTTCCTTCTCCTCTCCTCTTTTCTCTTCTCTTCTCTCTCATTTTCTCTTTATCCCTAATAGCAATTTTTCAGAAGCAGGAACAGCCAAGAAAATGAGAAATTTATTTGCTAGCTAAATTCTTGGGAGCAAGACAAAATTGCATTTGTACAGAAGTACAAACCAGAGTTTTTACTTTCGTTTCCCTGGTTTAATACAATCATACTAAAGGAAAAAAATATTTAATGCCCTCAGTTGCTATACAGACAATTATAGCTGAGTTGCTTATATGCATCTCATTAGTTATGCTTGTGGAAGAAACACAGCTTATATAAATGGAGAGAAAAAAGAGTAACCAAGATAGTTTGGTCATTTGAGAAATACAAGCTATAGATGAGCTATCTCCAGACTTCTAATGAGAGGTAAAAAGTGAAGCTAGATATCTAACTCTGCTGGGAGAAGCAATAATGCCCAATACAAGGTTTAAAGCAGTGGGTGGGAAACTAAAATGCTTCCAACCCTCAGACCCAATGATGTCCACTTACCCACAAAAAGAGCTCCCTCACACATCTATCATACTAAACTATGGAGGAGGAATGATCAGAGATAAGAAGGACTAAGAAATCAAGAACAAAGGATGGAAGATACTGAGTAGAGAAGATAGGAAAGAAAGAAATAAAAAGAGAAAGAAGTCAAGAAGAGGATGGGATGGGAAGAAAATGGAACATGCAGAAGAGGGAAGAGAAAAACAAGAAAGAATTGTGAAACAGCAAATAAAGAAGGAAAACTGGGCTAATCTGGAATTATTACATCATTTAGTAGCAAGAGAATGAAATTCAAGCCTCTTTGTATTAAAACACAGTACCAAGGTATACAAGGCCCTGTATGCTGTCACCCTTTCCTACCTCTCCAGCCTCATTTTTGTACCTCTCTCCATGGGCTCTAGCTGCAGTGATTTTCTTTCAGTTTCTCCAACATACTTTGCTATTGACTTCAAAGGCCATTTAGTGACATATTATGTACTTTAAAGATATATGGGAGTTTTTAGGCATCATTTTGTTATTGGTGTCTAAATGATCTAAATGAGAGAACATAATTTTATATGGTATTATTAGATGTAAATAAATTTTATTCATAATTTCTCACATGGTCAATTTCTATAAGTGATGTCTAAGCATGAAAGAAGCATACAAATTTTTGACATAAATATGAGTTTACAAATATTTTTGGATGTCCTCTGTTTGTTTGCCATTTCTCTGCCTGATATATCAGCTTTTGAGAGGAGTATGTTAAAATCTCTAACTATGGTTATAAATTTATCAATTTGGCCCAGCAGTTCCATCACTTCTTTAATTTTGAAGCTACATTTTAGGTATATATATATATATATTCCTGATGGCTATATTTTCTACTATTTCTACTATATTTTCTACTATATTTCTACTATTTCTATCACAGCACCCATTTTTTTCTTTATAATATGCAATGCCTTGAACTACATTTTTATAGATATTAATTTTGAGCCTGGAAATTAAACAACACACTACTAAACAACCAATAGGTCAGAGGAAAACAAAGGGGAAATTTAAAAAAATCTTAGCATGAAGAAAAGTGGAAAAACAATCTATCAAAATATATGGGATGGATAAAAAGCAGTTCTAAGGGGGAACTTTATAACAATAAATTCCTACATTAAGAAAGAAGATATCAAATAAACAATCTAACTTTATACCTCAAGGAACTAGAAGAAAACACTAAGCCTCAAATTAGCAGAAAGGAGAAAATAATAAAAATTGGAATAGAAATAAATTAAATATAAACCAAAGAACAATATAAAAAGTTAATGAAACATACAGTTGGTTTTCTGAAAAGATAAAAAATAAACCTTTTGCTATACTAAGAAAAAAGAGAGAAAATTCAAATAAATGAAATCATAAATTAAAGATGAGACATTACAGCTGATGTTTCATAGATGAAAATGACTATGACACAACTATGAACAATTATATGTCAACAAATTGGAAAGCCTATAAGAAATTGATGAATTCCTAAAAATGTACAAATTATCAAGACTGAATTATGAAGAAATAAGAAATCTGAACAGACAAATAATGATTAAGAAGAATGAATTAGTGATTTTTTTAAAAAGCCTCCCAACAGAGAAATGCTCATGACCTAAAAGCGTCACTGGTGAATTCTATCAAACATTTAAAGAAGAACAAATATCAGTTCTTCTCAAAGTCTTTCAAAATTTGAAGAGGAGGAAAATCTTACC
This sequence comes from Homo sapiens, assembly GCF_000001405.40. Taxonomy (NCBI): domain Eukaryota; kingdom Metazoa; phylum Chordata; class Mammalia; order Primates; family Hominidae; genus Homo; species Homo sapiens. The sequence goes on from NC_000023.11 coordinate 128,399,364, forward strand.
TAGTTATTTTACAAGGTTAACATTACTCTGATATGAAAGCCAGAGTAGGATAAAAGCAAGCAAATAAAAGTAGAGACCAATATCCCTAATGAACATAGATGCCAAAATCCTCAAAACAAAACAAAACAAAACAAAAAAAGCACTTGCAAACCAAATTCAACAGCACAGTGAAAAGATCAGACACGATGACCAAGTAGGATTTATCCATGGAAGGAAAGGATGTTTCAATATGTGCAAATAATTAAAAATAATATACCACATTAACAGAATAAAACATAAAAATCACATGATCATTTCAATAGATGCAGAAAAAAATCATCTGACAAAATTCAACATCGTTTCATCATAAAAACTCTTAACAAATAAACTGTAAAATTAATGTACCTTAACACAATGAGGGCCGCATATAACAAGCCAGCCCCACAGCTACATCATACTCAAGGTGAAAAATTGAAAGCTTTCCTCCAAGATCAGGAGCAAGACAAGGGTGTGCACGCTTGCCACTTCTATTCAACCATAGTCCTGAAAGTCCTAACCAAAGTAATTAGGATAGAAAAAGAAGTTAAAGTCACTCAAATCAGAAGGAAAATTAAAATTGTCTCTGTTTGCAGATAACATGGTGCTATATATAGAAAACCCTCAAGATGCCACCAAAAAACAATTATAACTAATTAATGAGTTCAATAAATTTGTAGCATAAAAATCAACATAAAAATCAGTTGTGTTTCTGTACAGTAAGAATGCACTGTTCAAGAAAGAAATTAAGAAGATAATTGAATTTGTAATAGATCAGAAAGAACACAATGCTTAAAATAAATTAAACCAAGGAGGTAAAAGACCTATACACTGAAAACTGTAAAACACAGATAACAGAAATTGAAGAAGACACAAACAAATGGAAAGATATTCCATGTTCATGGATTAGAAGAATTTATATCCTTAATATCTCCATATTACTCAAATCAACTCACAGACTCAATGCAATCCCTATCAAAATTCTAATGGCAATTTTTAACAGAAATTTTAAAAATCCAAGACTTCATATGGAACCCACAAAAGGTCCTGAATAACCAAGTGAATAGCCAAAGCAATCTTGGTCAAGAAGAACAAAGCAAAAGGTGTCACCTTAAATGATTTTAAAACACACTACATAGATATCTAATTAAAACAGTGTGGTACTACTATAAAGAAAACAGACATATAGACCAATGGAAGAGAATGGAGAGCCCAGAAATAAACCTACTTACTTACAGTAAAGTGATATTTGACTGAGAGCCAAAAATACACAATGGGGAAATGCTAATCTCTTCAATAAATGATACTAGGAAAACTGGACCTTTACATTAAAAATAATTAAATTAAACCTTTACACCCCACCATTTGCAAATATCAAATCAAGTGGATGAAAGACTTGAATGTAAGACCTGAAACTCTAAAACTATTAGAAGAAAAAACAGGGAAATCACCTCTTAACATTGGTATGGGCAATGATTTTTTTGAGTATGACCCCAAAAGTACAGGTGACAAAAGCAAAAGTATCAATCTGAGAAGCTTCTGCAAAGCAAGGGAAACAATCATAGATAACACACGCACCATGGAATGTTATCCATCCTTTAGAAAGAAGGAAATCCTGTCATTTGCTACAATATGGAAGAAACTGGAGGACATTGTGCTAAGTGAAGTAAGCCAGGCACTGAATGACAAATACTCCATGATCTCAAAATGTACAGAATCTTTATAAATCAGTCTCATAGAAGCAGAGTCAAATGATCGTTGTGAGGGTGTGGGGATTGAAGGAATGGGAAGATTTTGGTCAAGGGGTACAAAGTTTCATTTAGGCAGGATAAGTAAATTCTGGAGTTGTAATGGACAGACAACATAATTACTATAGTTAATAACACTGTATTGTATACTTGAATTTGCTACGAGAATATATCAAATATTCTCACCACATAAATGTTACATACGTGAGTTGATGAATATATTAATTAGCTTGATTTTGGTAATAATTTTACAATGTATACATATATGAAGACATCAAAATATTGTGCACTTTAATTATATACAGATTTTATTTGTCAATTTTACCTCAATAAAGCTGGAAAAAAGTTAATTTTCTGTTACCCTGTACCTATTTCTCATTCTGGTATGAGGCCCACTCTCAGAAAGAGAGAAGATGAAATACAGTAGGAGCAAATAAGTCATTTCTAATCTTTCTCTGTCAGCTTCAAGTATCAAGCCTTCCTTGCTTTTCCTCTTATTTGAAGTATACTATTTAAAGCCCTTTTATTAATCTTAGTTCTTAGTGTAAACCCACATTCACTCTGCATCTTAGTCTTTCTCACACTCTTCTTATACCTCATGCCATTCATATATGTGTTTGTTGATATTTATCCTTTTCTTCTTCATTTGAATAATTTCTTTCTATTCATAATTATACCTTTGAGAGTTCTCAACACTGTTAAATCTTTCTCTTCTCTGGTTGCAGGAAATAGAATCAGACATATCTTTTATTTGGGTTTTTTTTTGTTTTATTCTACTTGTTTTTTTTAGCTTTTATTATTAATTTTGTGGCTACATAGTAGGTGTATATATTTATATGGTACATGAGATGTTTTGATACAGGTATGCAATCTGACATAAGCACATCATGGAGAATGGAGTATCCATCCCCTCAAGCATTTATCCTTTGAGTTACAAACAATCTAATTACACTCTAAATTATTCTAAAATATACAATTAAGTTATGATTGACTATGGTCGCCATGTTGTGCTATCAAATAATAGATCTCATTAATTCCATTATTTTTGTACCCAGTAACAATCCCCACCTCCCACCCAGTTACCCACTACCCTTCCCAGGTTCTGGTAATTATCATGCTACTCTCTATGTCCATGAGTTCAATTGTGTGAAGACGAAGTTGTCCCCAGTCTTCCCTCTCCTCTCCTCAGGCGAAAGGAAAAGTTCTCTTTGGGAGCTTTTAGCTGTACAGACGGGGGTTAGGGGAGGTGTGCTGCCAGTGCTCCCTTTGCTGCCCCAGCTGGTGTCTCAGTATGTCACATGCCCCACCCCCTTATTCCACAGTCTCTGGGTCCAGTTTAGCCCTAGGACTTGCCTCAGAGTTGCAGTCCTTATGGCCTAGATCGTCTTTCAAGTTTACTTGGAGACAGAGCGCTGTAACCCTCAGTGGCAAGGTTTGCAGCCACTCAAGTTCGGACCTCTGGGATTGGTAATTCCCCTCAGGCTAGGGCTGGTTTAAATGTTCCCTCAGTGGGAGAACATCCACTGAGTTTGTTCCAGTTTTCCTTTCTACTCTAACAGGACAGCACTGAGTTTAATGCCTCCCAATTGCTGTGTTCTCACTCCCCGAGCACCCACGGATGCTCTACGCACCATGCCGCCACTGCTGGAGGGCAGGGGGTGGCATCAGAACTGTTTTTGCTCTCTTCAGTGCCTATTTCAGTGATATAAAATTAAAACCAGGTACTGTGAGTGCTTACCTTATTTTTAGTTCTTAAGAATGTGTTTTTTTTTCTGTGTAGATAATTGTTATCTTGGTGTCCTTGCAGCAGGGATGATCAGTGGAGCATTCTATTCTGCATCTTGCTCTGCTTCCTCCCTACATACCACACATATCTTTTTCTTCAAATTTATAAATGTACTTTTCGATAGTTAGCATAAACACACCACTATTTTGCACAGGTGGCACATGTTGAGGATAGCATTTTAGAATATCCTGAATGATTATCTCCTGAAAGGAGATAGTAGTTGGAAATACAGTTGCAAGCCAGGGACTGTGGGCTCAGGATAGTGGTGTATCTGGGATTGAAAGAACTCGCTAACACACACAGAAAAAAAATACTTTCATTCTTAAGTTTGCTTCAGGCTGGCCTTATGGGATATCTCCTGTTAAAACTGCCCCATTACTAAATAGTGCATCTAGTTATCTGGGTTTAAAATACACTGTGGGAAACTGTCATGTCAGATTGTTTTCTAAGTTGAGCTACATGCTTCAATTCAGATTGTAGAGGAAGCTCTGTAGTCTAATGCTGTCAGACACTAGCCTCTGGCTATTCTAACAATTTAGATATTAGACCCATATTCACATTCATAAAATGAATTCAAAAATGCATGCCAATTATCTTTTCTTAGTTATGTAAAATGCTATTTCTGGTAGATGGGAAGCTGTGGTTGTCATATTCTAGGGTTGGTTCTTCAGCATAATTTCCTCTCTTCAAACAGATAATCTACTTACTTATACTAAACTAATTTGCTCTATTCCAGAAAATATTCTATCAGTAAGATTTATTCATAGAGTGAGATATACCAGAAAATTGAAGAGAATGACACTGTTTTTCTATTCTTGAGGTTTCATCTCATTTCACTTTTACAGAGACTGTGAAATTCAATTCACTGTAGCTTTCACACTTTTTTCTACCATTTGCCCCATCTCGTCTTCTGCATTCATATTTCCTCTAATTTCTCCTGGAGATAGAGAATAACAAAGTTGGAGAATGAAGGCAAGAGGGTGGTGGAGGATTAAGAGTAATTGAGGACTAGAACTATCCAGTTGCTCTTTGTTTCATCACAGTTACTAGCATCAGTGGTTTTCAAACATTATTCTGAAGATATCCCAAGCTCTCAGGAGAGACTTAGAGTTCCACATAATACCCAAAAATGGGATCTGAGGTTTTAATTTTTAAAATAATGGACATTTGTTTATTAATTCAATAAGTATATATTGTGTACCTATTATGCACCAGGCACAATTGTGGAGACAATGTTAAACAAGACCAAAAAGAATCTGGTTTATTGATACACAGTAATTATTCCAAATTGATTAAAATACTGCTTATTTCTGCAGAATCATGGAAAGGAGGGCTTCTTTTCATTATACCAGGCATGAACGTAGGAATACAATCCTTCTATCGGGTTTGGACAACTAGAAGTGTGATTGGTAGGCCTGGAAGTAGACTAATTACTGCGCTAAACCCTGGACTATGCCTCGTATGTGTTTGCTTACACATACGATCAGATAGTCTCTGATTCTCTAATTTTCACTTAACTCGAATTGATGCTACTATAATTTTCACCTTCATAGTGCAATCAATACAGTAGGACCCTTTTATAAGGCTGGCATCAGGAGAGAGTATAAATATCAGCCTCATACCCTATTCTCATTCAGGATGTTACACTTGGAGAGACATGATTTAGCCTACTCAAGTATTGTTGAGTGATTTTCTTATAATAGAGTTCTAATGTTGAAAGACCAATTCTGAACATTAAATAATTCTTTTTAAGATTCATTTTAAATGTCTAAAGTATATAATTCCAAACTTGATGGGACCTTTGGCATTAAGGCATTTAGTGAATAATTCAAAGTGTCTATTATGTCATGACATCAGTGACGTGGTAAGGTGATTTTTCACTTCTGTTTTCAAAAAGTAACCTGAGGATATATTGTGTCCCCTCCACATCAGTCAGATAACTGGTATCTTTCTGTATGCAGAAATAATACATTGCCATTGCTGCAGCTGAAAATATTAAAATGTAAATTACATTCCACCCTGCTGTCAAGATTGTATTAACCAAACTTAAATATACTAAAAATGACAGTATAATAAAATACAGAGTATGATAAATCACTGTGCTTCTCTATTTCATATATGTGGAGAGAAAGTTGAATTAAGTGCTTGAATCTCCCTGCCCAAACTTTTCTCAATGTTTCAACGTTAGTAGGAAAAAAAAAAAAAAAAGAATTTAAATTAGCATCCAGTTCTATCCTTAGAAGATATTCCTTGCTCAGGCAGAAATTATCATCGCAAGTAAAACTAAAATCAATTTAAACTTTATATTTTTCATGGGCCAAGTGGGGTTGGGGGTAGGATACGTACTGAAGAATTTAATAGTTGTTCTAAAAGTAGAATATCCAGAGTCACACTGATTAAGGAACAGGAATCAATTTTAAGATGTCACCCTTTTCCCCCAAAAATGAGAAGTATAGAAGCAAAAACAAACTTCTACCCATAATCATAATGGGAAATTTTATATGTAGTACATCATGGCAGATAAACAGATAACTTTTAGAAAATCTGCAAGTGGGCACTGGTTCTCGGCAGCCAAATAAAATATCACTTTAATGGATAATAAGGCATAAAATGTTTCTTAACATATTTAAAATATATTTATGGAGTACCTACTATACGTCTGTTGCTGATCTATTTGCTGAGGAAACAGATGAATAATAATGATAGTGACCACCATCGTAACAGTTAGCACTCAAATAATGCTTACTATGTGCAGTCACTCTGCTAGGTGTTGTTTTATACATAGTCTCTCAATTACTCTTCACAACAGCCCTATAATTTAGAGACATTTACTACCACTAATTTACTAATGAGGCATGAATGCTGGCTTAAGAGACTTTCTCACAGGTACATATGCAGTAAGTGGTGAATCTGAGATTCACACCCAGGAAGTCTGCTTCAGAGTCTGCATTGTCATGAAATTTATATTCTAATTGGAGGAGACAGATAATGACATATAGATAAATGTATTAATCAGCAAGACAGCCTCAGCTATCAATAACTGTTATAAAGAAAATAAAACAGGACGATATACTAAAGAGTCACTGGGGAAGTAATATTAGACAGGCTGGTGAGAAAAGACATACATTGCATTCAACAAATATTTATTGAGCATGCACTATGTGCCAAAAACTACTAAAAAGAATCCATGGTGAAGAACTGGACAAATTTCCTATCTTCATGGAACATACATTACGGTAGGGAAGATAATTAATAAAGGATCACAAAAATTAACATGTAATTATAAGTTATAGCAATAATTTCATAAGTGTTACAAAGAAAATATAAATAAGTGGGATGAGAGATGGTAATAAGAAGAGCTTGTTGTCAAGATTGAGAGTAAAACGCTGGGCACGGTGGCTCATGCCTGTAATCCCAGCACTTTGAGAGGCCAAGGCGGGAGGATCACCAAAGGCCAGGAGTTCAAGACTAGCCTAGCCAACAGGGTGAAATCCCGTCTCTACTAAAAATACAAAAATTAGCCAGGCTGGTGGCAGGCGCCTGTAATCCCAGCTACTCAGGAGGCTGAGGTAGGAGAATCACTAGAACCCGGGAGGCGGAGTTTGAAGTGAGCCAAGATCGCGCCACTGTACTCCAGCCTAAGCGGAAAAAAAAAAAAAAGATTGAGAGAAAGTGATCAAGGGAAAACTTTTCTAAAAAATTTCCACTTAAGATGAGTCCTGAAGAAATAATGAAATTTAACCAGATGATAAGAAGAACAGTCCACAGTAAAGGGAGAGAGTAGGTAAAGTCACTGCAGCATAATAGAGCTTGCTGCTTTCAAAAAACTGAAAGAAGGCCAGTATGACTAGATTGACTAGATTGTAGAAAGCAAGGAAGGAATGATAAGAAATGTCAAAAGATCACGAGTCTGCTGTATGAATAAATGATTGGAAGGAACAAGTTTAGAATTAGGGAGACCCAGTTAGGAAAATATTCCTGTAATTTAGCTTAGGATTTATCTTGCTGCCATTTAAAAACAGGTGTAGATTGGGTCTTTGTTGCTCCATATTATATTATAGCATCGGAAGAGGTTCAAAAAAGGGGGACTCTAGTAATCTTAAACATGGAGGAGAAAGACAAAGGTTCAAGGGAAAAGAATGCTTTATTTACTTCTGTACTATATCTCCAGTGCTTCAATCATTGTAGATACTCAGTAATAGTTTGGCAAAGTAAGCTAAATGGAAAAAGCTTGGAGACAGTGAATGCACAGTTGTTTACCAGACTCTGAAATATAAGGCCTAGGGAGATTCCTCACTTCACATTGAATCTTGAAAACAGTTTATGTAACTCTATGTTTCCCAGCTTTTTATGTGCATGAGAATCACCTGGGGATCTTGTTTAAAATGCAGATTCTTATTCAATAGTTCTGGAAATGGGCCTTTGATTTTACAGCTCAAGCAAGTTCACAAGTGATGCTGATACTGTTAATCTATGGACCACACTTTGAGAAGCATTTAACAAAGGCCCAGGTCAACATTAAAGTTTGAGAATCACTGGTTTCCATGACCTCTAACTAGGCTCTCTTTTAACTCTGGTATTTGATAATTTCAGTAAGTAGTTTCAAGACAAATCAAAATATTAGAAGTATTAAATTATTATTCACAAAAGAAGAGATTAGCTGAAAATAAAAACTAGTTCAAGGTGAATTTAGGTAAATTCAGAGGAAAACAGATTCACACATAATGGACTGTTAAAAGAAGGTGGAGATATTCTATAGCTACCTAACCTCTTTGGCAGAAATTATTGCCTGTGGCAGGGACATAGCACAGCTCTAATTTAATGGTTAAATATTCCATTTGTCTATGATTTATCTATTTTGATTGCTTTTATTTTATAGAGACAGGGTCTTACTATGTTGCCCAGGCTGGTCTTGAATTCCTGGTTTCCAGAGATCCTCCTGCTTTGGCCTCTCAGAGTGCTGGGATTACAGGCATGAACCACCGCACCCAGCCTTGATTGCTTGAAATGCACAACATAGCTCTCTGTTCTGTGTTCATCATGTTCTCAGCCAGACTTCCCTATGGGCCCAATTCTGCTACAGTCACTGGTGGCTGAGTTCTGACTCCGGGAGGCAGCCAGATGAAGACACCAATGCCTTTGCCAGCTGTTGCTCATCTGAATAAAATTAACCCATACATTTCCTTAACTTGTTCTGGGACTAAGCACAGTAGTCCATCTTGTGCTTTGGTGACTTTATTTCCATTCAAGACTACCTGATGTTAATTTAAAACATCAGGTAGTTTCCCCATCAATAAAACTGATCTACAAATAATTTATCCAGGCTTAAAATAGCATTTATTTGTGTGTGGATGTATGGGTGTAGGGGAGGAGCTGAGAGTTGGCAGAGGATACAGGGAGTGTTTTCCAGAATATACGGTGTGGTCCAAAGTAATTCCTAGCCAAGATCTTGTCTGGGAGGCTACCAAAATTAATTGTCAATCAGTTTATATCTACCATTTTCTTTCCAGGGAAAGTCCACTGCCAGGCACATAGTCCAGGCCCTCCCATCTTGCATATTGTTAAGCTTCTGACATAAGTAGCTATTCAATGTCCATTTGCTAAAGGGAGGCATACAGAGCAGTGATTCTTCAACTTTATTGTACAGTAGAATCACAGAAAAAGCTCTTAAACATCTCAATATTCAGACCATACCTAAAACATCAAAGTCTCTGTGGGCCATGCAACTAGTTCAAATGCCACCAGTCCAAACGGACCCCATAGGCTTAACTTAAGGGTGTATTTATAATGTTGGTTATATACTTATTACAGCCCATTTAGTGTGTGTGTATGTGTGTGTGTGAGAGAGAGAGAGAAAAAAAAGAGAGAGAGAGAAAGAGAGACTATTAATGATTTAAATAGGTCAGCATAATTATGGTATTTGGAATGGGTAGGAGAATTTGCCCTAATTTGAGATCTCACTTCTATTAACACAAGAGAATTTGTGGAAAGGTGAACAGTAGTACGCTTCTCTCATAATTTCCTGTGATTTTTCTGTTGAAATGTTGGTGTCAGATTATATAACTCCCACTGGGCTGCAAATAAGCTACACTCAAAAAAGTGATGGATGTGAGCACGTGAGCTGTCATGTAATAAAGATAAAGATTTCTTTTTCTAAACTTGTATAGCATTATGAGGAGACATAGCCTGCATGAACTCGTGAATTATTATGAACATTCTGTAAGTGATAGAAAACAGGCCTGTGATCAGCTTTATAAATGAGTGCCAGTCCCTAATAACTAATGCACATTGCCTGCAGGAAAACTCTCTTGAAGCATGGTTCCTGGAATCAAGCATTCAGTATTCATAACCAGTGAAATTTTCTTCACTGGGAAATGGAAAATTATAGACTCAAAGATCTAAAAATATTAGAATTGTATATACATTATTTATCTTAGATACAGACAGGGTCACTGCAGTATTATAAAATCATTGAGCTCTCACCAAAAGGCATCCCTCAAAACTTCAGTATCTCCCATCTGGGTGTGGTGAGTGAAAAGGGAGTGACCATAGAGAAAATAACAAAATAGGGAAACAAAGGGAGGGGAAAGGGGGAATGTCAATCTCGAACTTTATTTATCATAATTTTGCCAAGGGCTATCCGTAAATACAGCTTATAGTAACAGTTAAAATTTATTTAGTTATTTTCACATAGTATCAACTGTGGAAAGTGATTTGCATGTATTATATTATAATTTTGTGAGAAAGGTATTATTATGCCCATTTTACAAATAAAGAAAATAGAGGTTTGGGGAAACCAAATGACTTGTCCAAGATTATATAACTATAGGGTGATAGAATTGCTCCTCTAACCTAAGTCTATCTGACTCCAAAATCCACGTACATAACAAGTCTCCAATACTGAAACTATAAAGGAAAAAATAAGAAATACTTTGGGTTTATGGAATTTTAAAGCTTAGAGATAAAATAATTTAGTTTTCCTTTTTTAAAAATAGAAAGAAACCAGTGTCCAGAGTGATAGTGATTTGATTAAAGAAATTCAACTCCCAACTGATTCTTTCACTATACTATCCTGAGTTAAGTGTATGTTCCTTAGAATGATGCAATATTACGCCCCCACTATATACGGTCCTGTAGCCCTGAAGTAGGTACCAGAGGAGATAGAGGAGACAACGATTGTATTATTTCCAGAGTTAAGGAGCTTTCAGTAGAACTTGGAATAAAGGTAATCTTGTGTTTTGGTCAATTTATAGTATTTCTAAATAAGGCAAGTTCATGCAGCATAATCTATCTTCATAAGAATGGAAAGAAAGTGAAGGAATGCTGTGATCAGAGCCAAGGAAGAGGAAGGAATGCTTCCTAGATGCAGTGGATACATTTTCTTCACCTAAGCCCTCATCCTGTCTAAGGTTAGAGACGTGAACTAGTTGGAGATTAACACTCCCCTTTTTCCCTTCCTTTGTTTCCTTGTTTTGTTATTTTCTCTATGGTCACTCACTCATCACACCCAGGTGGGAGGTACTGAAGTTTTGAGGGATGCCTTTTGGTGGGAGCTGAATGATTTTATAATGCTGCAGTGACCCTGTCTGTATCTAAGATAAGTAATGTATACACTATTCTATATAGGTGATAACAGGAAAGAATTTGCCACACCCAAAGACACCTAAAGGTATGTAAGGTTATGCCTGAAGATATTGATTTGACGTGGAGGATTGTACTTATTTATTTACAGGCTACAAATCCTAGGACAAATCATTTTACCTCCATATCTTAGGTTTTCTTTTTGTAGTTCATAACAAGATCATCTTACTTAATGGATCTTACAAGGGCACCGCCAGGATTATAAGTAAATATTTACAAGATACTTGGAGCAGTATGCAAAACATTATACTCGTATAGAGTTAACTGCTTTTTTGAAGTCTCCAGTAGTTCACCTTTATTCTAAAATATCACTGCAGAACACGAATGTTGTATTTTTAACTGCAAAGTTTAATACAATGCATCTGCCTATTTTCTAGTATAAGTTTACATAGTGTCTACTAAAAATAGGCCTTATACCTTATAATGTCTTTGCCAAGCCAGAATTTTGATAAACATATAACTAGATTCTTTGTATTAATTTTTATATATTGCCCTGCCTCCACCACACAAAATATACACATAGAGAGATGGGAAGGAAATAAAATATTTGAAAATGACTTTGCTAGGAAAGCAGAAATATAAATATAGGCCATAGGTTGTATATTTTAATCACAATCTCTTTGTGCCTTGTCCTAAAGGTGTAAGGATATGGAGTAATTTTTAAATTGAAAACAGGACAGGAATTCAGAAGAAATTATTATTTCCCCACATTGTGGGGTTAATCTTCCTAGTGGTCTTTTACATGAAAGCCATTCTTTCTTTTCTCAAACAATAAGGAAAAGACATGCAACCCCTCAGCATACTTCTAGCAGGCTGGGTGCAGAGAACAGAGAGTGACAATTAGGATGAGAGGGTCTAGGGAGACCAGAAGTGTCTACTATAATTTATATTGTCGGTGAAGACCACAGAGATTAATTGGTCAAGTGCAGCATAATACTATATTGGGAGTATGTCATTATGATTAGTGGAATTAGAAAAACAAAGGTCAATAACCCCAGTCAGTACTGTTCCTTAGGAGTCCAGGAAGCCCAAAGTTATCCTTACAGTACGGTAATCAAAAAGAAAGGCTAAATCAGGCATTAATAAAAAGAAAAGGACATAATGTAGTATAGCCAATTTGTTAGCACACCATGAGGAAACTAAGTTGATCACAAATGAGAATAGTACACCAAAGCAACAGAAAGAGGAGTCACAATTTTTCTGGCTTTATAGAAAAGCATGTCTCCCACTGAGCAGTGCAAGACCACATACAAATATAAAGACACAGAGATATATGAAAAACTATAAAGACAGCAGCAGCCACAACAATGGCAACAACTGTAGTTAAAGCAGAATTTTTAATACATGTCAAACTGGACTGATGTAAGTACAAAGGAAGCTGGAGAGGCTCCTAGAGTGAACACACTTCTAGAGCCATTACTTGCAGGTGCTAGACTCAAGGGCAACACCTCTAAGAGTAGTGGAGATGCATTCACATTTTTAGAGATTTAGCTTCAAAAGAAGCTCTACTGAGCAAAGAAGGTTTATTCAATAAATGATGTCAACACAATTGGTTGATCACTCGTTGGAAAATATGGTAAGTCCTCTATTCCAAGCCTCTCACCAAAATTATTTCTAGATGATTTAAGAAGGAGTCATAGCAATTAAACCATAAGGAAACTAGAAAAAAACAGAGTAAATAGTTACCTGTTTTTATAGTGGGGAAAAACCTGACTAAGTATAAAAGCACATACAGAAATGAAAAGGAACATAATAACAGCTTTGAATATATAAAATTTTAGAACAAATTAGGAGGCATTTCTAACAGATGACAAAGGTTTAATATTTTTAATATATACAGAACTTTTCAAAACCAAAAAGAAAGTGATAATTATCTCCAGCAGCATAATTAACTAAATCGGGGCTAGCAAACTACAGCCCATGGACCAAAACTGGCACATCACCTGTTTTTGTAAGTAAAGTCTCATTGGAACACAGCCATGTCTATCCATATACATTGTCTATGGCTGCTTTTGCACTGTAGGTATGACAGAGACCATATCACATATGGCTACGAAGCCTAAACTGTTGACGCTCTGGCACTTTACAGCCATGTGTTACAGATTCCTGAACTAAAGAGAAGAATAGACAATTCACAGAAGAGGAAAGACACATGGTCAATCTACATATAATTATCAATTGGTTGATCTACTAGTCTTCAAAATTGCAAATTAGAAAAATAAGACACTGGGTTCACCTATCAAACTAGCATTATTTGCAAAGGTTCAGGGAAAGTTGTGCTCTCAATCAGCCTTGAATGAAATGTAAACAGATAAGTCTTTTGGGGAATATTGTGGCAATCTGTACCAAAGGCATTGGAAATGATTATAACCCTTGGGCACAGTAATTCCACTGCTAAAATTTTGTCCTAAGAAAATGAGAGATATGTACAAATATTTGTGCATAAGCATATTCATGTAAACATTAACAATAATGCAAAATGGAAAAGAATTATAGAAGAATACTTTAATGGCATGGAATAATATTCACAATTTAATTTTAAATAGAAGAAAAAAGCCAAATAAAGGTAATGCAGCTTGAATACAAACTTTGTGTTTTGTTGCAATTCAAACATATCTAGTCTCAGATAATGAGTGATGTTGAGCCTTTTTTTTCATCGTTGTTGACCATTTGTATCTCTTCTTTTGAGAATTGTCTATTTTGTCCTTTGCCCACCTTTTGATGGGATTGTTTGTTTATTCTTGATGATTTGAGTTCCTTGTAGATTCTGGATATTAGTGCTTTGTTGGATGCATAGTTTGTGAATATTTTCTTTTGCTCTGTAAACTGTTTGTTTACTCTGCTGATTATTCCTTTTGCTGTGCAGAAGCATTTTAGTTTAATTAGGTCCCATCTATTTATCTTTGTTTTTGTTGCATTTGCTTTTGGATTTCTGGTCATGAACTCTTTGCCAAAGTCAGTGACTAGAAGAGTTTTCCAGATGTTATCTCCTAGAATTTTTATGGTTTCAGGTCTTAGATTTAAGTCTTTGATCTATCTTAAGTTGATTTTTGTATAAGGTAAGGGATGAGGATCCAGCTTCATTCTTCTATATGAGGCTTGCCAATTATCCCAGCACCATTTGTTGAATAGGGTGTTCTTTCCCCAGTTTATGTTTTTGTTTGCTTTGTCAAAGCAAACAAAAGGTCAGTTGGCTGTAAATATTTGGCTTTATTGGTTCTCTATTCTGTTCCATTGGTCTACGTGCCTATGTTTATATCAGTACCATACTGTTTTGGTAACTATAGCCTTGTAGTATAGTTTGAAATTAGGTAATGTGATGCCTCCAGATTTGTTCTTTTTGCTTAGTCTTGCTTTGGCTATGTGGGATCTTTTTTGGTTCCATATGAATTTTAAGATTTTTTTTCTAGTTCTGTGAAGAATGATGGTGGTATTTTGATGGGAATTGCCTTGAATCTGTAGATTCTTCTTGACAGTATGGTCATTTTCACAATATTGATTCTATCCATCCTTAAGCATGGGATGTGTTTCCATTTGTTTGTGTCATCTATGATTTCTTTCAGGAGTGTTTTAAAGTTTTCCTTGTAGATGTTTTTCACCTCCTTGGCTAGGTATATTACTAATTATTTATTTTTTGCAGCTGTTATAAAAGGGGTTGAGTTATTGATTTGTTTTGCAGGTTGGTTGCTGTTGGTGTATAGCAGTGCTACTGATTTGTGTACATTTATTTTGTATCCCGAAACTTTACTGAATTTATTTATCAGATCTAGGAGCTGTTTGGATGAATCTTTATGTTTTCAATGTATACATTCATATTATCAGCAAACAGTGACAGTTTGACTTTCTTGTTATGGATTTGGATGTCCAGTACTATGTTGAATAGAAGTGGTGAAAGTGGCATCCTTATCTTGCTCCAGTTCTCAGGGGGAATGCTTTCATCTTTTTGCCATTCAGTATAATGTTGGCTGTGTTTGTCATAGATGACTTTTATTACTTTGAGGTATGTCCCTTCTATGCCCATTTTGCTGAGGTTGTTAATCATAAAGGGACACTGGTGTTTGTCAAATGCTTTTCCTGCATTTATTGAAATGATCATATAATTTGTGTTTTTAATTCTGTTTATGTAATGTATCACATTATTGACTTGCTTATGTTAAACCATCCCTGAATCCCCAGTATGAAACCCACTTGATGATGGTGCATTATGTTTTTGATATGCTGTTGAATTTTGTTAGCTAGTATTTTGTTGATGATTTTTTTGCATCTATGTTCATCAGAGATATTAGTCTGTAGTTTTCTTTTTCTGTTATGTTCTTTCCTGGTTTGGGTATTAGGGTGATACTAGCTTCATAGAATTATTTAGGGAGGATTCCCTATTTCTCTATATTTTGGAATAGTTTCAGTAGGATTGGTATCAATTCTTCTTTGAATGTATGATAGAATTTAGCTGTCAATCCATCTGGTCCTGGACGTTTCTTGGTTGGCAATTTTTAAATTACTGTTTCAATCTTGCTACTTGTTATTGGTCTGTTCATACCACTGTACTCCTGCAAGAATGGCCATAATTTAAAAAATCAAAAAATGACCAATGTTGGCATGGATGTGTTGAAAAGGGAACACTTTTACACTGCTGATGAGAATGTAAACTAGTACAGCCACTATGGAAAACAGTGTGGAGATTCCTTAAAAAGCTAAAAGTAGAACTATAATTTGATCCAGCAATCCACTACTGGGTAACTACCCAGAGGAAAAGAAGCTCTTATATGAAAAAGACATTTGGACATGCATGTTTATAGCAGCACAATTCACAATTGCAAAAACACAGAACCAGCCTAAATGCCCAACAACCAATTAATGGATAAAGAAGATATGATATATATAACACATTTGTATATATATAAACACATTGTGGAATACTACTCAGCCATAAAAAGGAATGAAAGAATAGCATTTGCAGCAACCTGGATGAAGGTGGAGACCATTATTCTAAGTGAAGTAACTCAGGAATGGAAAACCAAGCATTGTATGTGTGATGGTTAATACTGAGTGTCAACTTGATTGGATTGAAGGATGCGATATTGATCCTGGGTGTGTCTGTGAGGGTGTTGCCAAAGGAGATTAACATTTGAGTCAGTGGGCTGGAGAAGGCAGACCCACCCTTAATCAAGTGTGCACCATTTAATCAGCCGCCAGTGAATATAAAGCAGACAGAAAAACACGAAGTGAGAGATAGGCCTAGCCTCCCAGCCTACATCTTTCTCCCATCCTGGATGTTTCCTGCCTTTGAACATTGGACTCCAAGTTCTTAAGTTTTGGGACTTGGACTAGCTCTCCTTGCTCTTCAGCTTGCAGACAGCTCATTGTGGGACCTTGTGATTGTGTAAGTTAATACCTAACAAACTCTCCTATATCTATATCTATATCTATATACAAAGATGTGTGTGTGTGTGTATATATATATATATATATATACCACTAGTACAACTATACATACATACACATCTTATTAGTTCTGTCCCTCTAAGAAAACACAGACTAAGGAACAGAATATTAAGGATGGAGTTCTTTCGCTAGTTTGGGAATTTCTAGAGTTGGCTGCTTACTATGATTGGACCCAAAAAATGCTAAGGACTCTACTTCTAATAATAGGGAGAACACTGATAGTACATGGAGGAGACTGTTTAGAGAGTTATGCAAAATAAATGCATTTGACACTCCTGATTCACTGCTTGTGAGAGGCAAGGAGTTTAGTGACTCTATACATAATACCTTTGACCATATGTGGAGAACCAAGGAACATAATGAAGCTGGTTGGTTGCTCCTAAGTTCAGTGAAAAAAGCAATGAAAGAAGATGATGAACTCAGGAACTCTGTCTCCCAGCTTCAGAAGCAGATACTGAGCCTCAAATCTGCTAAGATTGCCTAGAATAAGAGTCTTATTTCCTGTAGAGAAAGAGCTGAAATTGTGGAAAAACAGAAACAAGCTCTTACATGTGAATGGCTAACCTGCAATGAAAGGTGCATGCACAGTCTTGCCAGGTGTCTACTGTTAAAGTGAGGGCAATGACTGGAAAAAATGAGATCCTGCAACTTGGAATGGGGACATGTGGGAAGACCTGATGAAGCTGGGGACACTGAGTTTGTAAACTCTGATAAACGTTTTTTGCCAGAAGGAACAGCTTCCCCATCCACAGTAGTGGCGACATCCCCTCCCTGAACCATGCTGCCATCAGCCTTTCCACATTGGTCTGAGGAGATAAACCCTACACTGCCTGAGGCAACAGTGATGGCCTCCCCTGAGGCAGTTGCCAGACAAGATAATGTTGATTCTCCTCAGGAGCCACCCCGAACACCTCTGTTTGCTTCTAGACCTATAACTAAAGTCCCAGTGAGCCCCTAGAGGTGAGGTTGAGAATGTGATCCATGAGGAAGTGCAATACACTAGAAAAGAACTGTTTGAGTTCTCTAATATATATAAACAGCAATCTGGAGAACAGGCATGGGAATGGATATTAAGGGTATGGGATAATGGTGGAGGGAACATAGAATTGGATAAGGGTGAATTTATTGATTTGGGCCCACTAAGTAGGGACTCTGCTTTTAATGTTGCAGCTCAGGGAGTTAAAAAAGGTTCTGACAGTTTATTTGCTTGGTTAGCTGAAATATGGATTAAAAGATGGCCCACTGCGAGTGAGCTGGAAATGCCTGATCTCCCTTGGGTTAATGTAGAGGAAGGGATCCAAAGGCTGAGGGAGATTGGCATTGTGGAGTAGATTAGTCACTTTAGATCTACTCATCCCAGCTGGGAGGGTCCAGAAGCTATACCCTTGACGAATGCCTTGCAAAATGGATTTGTGAGAGCAGCACCTGCATCTTTGAAGAGCCATGTAATTGCTCTTCTCTGTATGTCAGACATAATGGTGAGAACTGCAGTCACTCAACTACAAAATTTAAATACAATGGGAATAATTGGATCCCGAGGTGGCAGGGGCCAAGTGGTGCCACTCAACCATCAAAGGCAAGGTGGGCATAGCTACCATAATGGACAGCAGAAGCAAAACAGCAATCAGGATAGTCAGACTCATGTAGAGCTCTGGCATTGGCTAATCAATCATGGTGTTCCTAGAAATGAAATTGATAGGAAGCCTACCGCATTCCTACTTAATTTATACAAACAGGAAACTTCTAGGCCGAATGGACACATGACTAATATGAATTACAGAAACAGAGATTCATGGCCCTCCAATCCATTTCCAGACATGAGCCAGTTTACAGACACAGAACCTCCTGAATGAAGGGGAGCCCAGGTCCCCTTGAGGAAGGACCCCACTACATTACTGACAATTTATGCAGTGAATCTTTCTCCCATCCTTCCCTGAGGAGACCTCCAGCCTTTTGCGAGGGTAACTGTGCATTGGGGGAAGGGAAATGATAATATGCAAGCGATAATATGCAAGAAGGTAAATAAATATATGCAAGTGTGGAAAGAAATTTTGGGGACTAATGGACAGTGGCTCTGAGCTGACATTGATTCCAGGGGACCCAAAACGTCACTGTGGTCCTCCAGTTAAATAAGGGCTTATGGAAGTCATGTAATTAATGGAGTTTTAGCTCAGGTCCAACTTACAGTGGGTCCCTGGACTCATCCTGTGGTCATTTCTCCAGTGCCAGAATGCATAATTGGCATAGACATATACAGCAGCTGGCAAAACCCCCACATTGGCTCCCTGACTGGTAGGGTGAGGGTTATTATAGTGGGAAAGGCCAAATGGAAGCCATGAGAGCTGCCTCTATCTAGAAAACTAGTAAATCAAAAGGAATATCGCATACCTGGAGGGATTGCAGAGATTAGTGCCACCATCAGGGACTTGAAAGATGCAGGGGTGTGATTCACACCCCATCCCTGTTCAACTCTCCCATTTGGCCTGTGCAGAAGACAGATAGATCCTGGAGAATGACAGTGGATTATTGCTTAACCAAGTGGTGACTGCAATTGCAGCTGCCATACCAGATGTGGTTTCATTGCTTAAGCAAATTAACACATCTCCTGATACCTGCTGACTTGGCAAATGCCTTTTTCTCCATTCCTGTCCATAAGGCCCACCAGAAGCAATTTACCTTCAGCTGGCAAGGCCAGCTGAATAGTCAGACAAGTCAGTCTACCTTTGCTGTCTAACCTCCGGGGTATATCAATTCTCCGAATTTGTGTCATAATCTCATTTGGAGAGACCTTGATTGCTTTTTGCTTTCACAAGATATCGCACTGGTCCATTACACTGATGACATTATGCTGATTGGATCCAGTGAGCAAGATGCAGCAAACACACTGGACTTTTTGGTGAGACATTTGTGTGCCAGAGGATGAGAAATAAATTTAACTAAAATTCAGGACCTTCTACCTCGGTAAAATTTCTAGGAGTCCAGTGGTGTGGGGCCTGTCGAGATATTCCTTCTAAGATGAAGGATAAGTTGCTGCATTTGGCCCCTCCTACGACCAAGAAAGAGGCACATCTAGTGGGCCTATTTGGATTTTAGAGGCAACACATTCCTTGTTTGAGTGTCTTACTCTGGGCCATTTATTGAGTGTTCTGAAAGGCTGCCAGTTTTGGATGGTGTCTACAACAGAAGGCTCTGCAACAGGTCCAGAGTGCTGTGCAAGCTACTCTCCTACTTGGGCCATATGACCTAGCAGATCCAATGGTGCTTGAGGTGTCAGTGGCAGGTAGGGATGCCATTTAGAGCCCTTGGCAGGCCCCCATTGGTGAATCACAGCAGAGGCCTCTAGGATTTTGGAGCAAGGCCCAGTCATCTTCTGCAGATAACTACTCTTCTTTTGAGAGGCAGCTCTTAGCCTGTTACTGGGCTTTGGTGGAAAATGAACGTGTGTCTATGGGTCAAGTCACCATGCGACCTGAACTGCCTGTCATGAACTGGGTGCTTTTTGACCCATCTAGTCATAACATGGGGCATGCACAGCAGCATTCCATCGTCAAATGGAAGTGGTATATATGTGATAGGCCTTGAGCAGGTCCTGAAAGCACAAGTAAGTTACATGAGGAAGTGGCTCAAATGCCCATGATCTGCACTCCTGCCACCCTGCCTTCTCTCCCCCAGTCTGCACCAATGGCCTCATGGGGAGTTCCCTATGATCAGTTGACAGAAGAAGAGAAGACTAGGGCCTGGTTCACAGATGGTTCTGCACGATATGTAGGCACCACCCAAAAGTGGACAGCTGCAGCACTACAGCCCCTTTCCAGGACATCCCTGAAGGACATTGGTGAAGGGAAATCTTCCCAGTGGGCAGAACTTCAAGCAATGCACCTAGTTGTGCACTTTGCATGGGAGGAGAAATGACCAGATGTGCGATTATATACTGATTCATGGGCTGTAGCCAATCGTTTGGCTGGATGGTCAGGGACTTGGAAAAAGCCTGATTAGAAAATTAGTGACAAATAAATATGGGGAAGAGGTATGTGGATGGACCTCTCTGAGTGGTCAAAAACTGTGAAGGTATTTGTATCCCATGTGAGTGCTCACCAACAGGTGACCTCAGCAGATGAGGATTTTAATAATCAAGTGGATAGGATGACCCGTTCTGGGGACACCACTCAGCCTCTTTCCCCAGCCACCCCTATCATCATCCAATGGGCCTATGAACAAAGTAGCCATGGTGGCAGGGATGGAGGTTATGCATGGGCTCAGCAACATGGACTTTCACTCACCAAGGCTGACCTAGCTATGGCCACTGTTGAATGCCCAATTTGCCAGTAGCAGAGACCAACACTGAGCCCTGGATGTGGCACCATTCTTTGGGGTGATCAGCCAGCTACCTGGTGGCAGGTTGATTATATTGGACCTCTTCCATCATGGAAAGGGCAGACGTTTGTCCTCACTGGAATAGACACTCCAGATATGGGTTTGCCTATCCTACATGCAATGCTTCTGCCAAGACTACCATCTGTGGACTCACGGAATGCCTTATTCACCATCATGCTTTCCACGCAGCATTGCCTCTCATCAAGGCACTCACTTTATGGATAAAGAAGTGTGGCAGTGGGCTCATGCTCATGGAATTCACTGGTCTTACCATGTTCCCCATCATTCTGAAGCAGCTGGATTGATAGAACAGTGGAATTGATAGAACAGTTGAAGTCACAATTACAACACCAACAAGGTGATAATAATTTGCAGGGCTGTGGCAAAGTTCTCCAGAAGGCCGTGTATGCTCTAAATCAGCATCCACTATATGGTACTGTTTCTCCCATAGCCATCATTCACGGGTCCAGGAATCAAGAGGTGGAAGTGGAAGTGGCACCACTCACCGTCACCCCTAGTGATCCACTAGCAAAATTTTTGCTTCCTGTTCCCGCAACATTATGTTCTGCTGGCCTAGAGGTCTTATTTCCAGAGGGAGGAACGCTGCCATGAGGAGACACAACAACAATTCCATTAAACTGGAAGTTAAGATTGCCACCTGCACACTTTGGGCTCCTCCTACCTTTAACTCAGCAGGCTAAGATGAGAGTTACAGTGTTGGCTGGGGTGATTGACCCAGACTATCAAGATGAAATCACTCTACTACTCCACAACACAGGTAAGGAAGAGTATGCATGGAATACAGGAGACCCATTAGGGCGTCTCTTATTAGTACCATGCTCTGTGATTAAGGTCAATGGGAAACTACAACAGCCCAATCCAGGCAGGACTACAAATGACCCAGACCCTTCAGGAATGAAGGTTTGGGTCACTCCACTACGAAGAAAACCACGACCTGCTGAGGTGCTTGCTGAAGGCAAAGGGAATACAGAATGGAGAGGAGAAGAAGGTAATCTTCAATACCAGCTACAACTGAGTGACCAGCTGCAGAAACAAGGACTGTAATTGTCATGAGTATTTCCTCCTTTTGTTAAAAACATGTTTGTGCATGTATACACTTGTAGTAAGACAATATCTTCATTTTATTTCCTTTTCTTTTATCATGTGACATAAGATTTATTGACTTCATATCAGCATTTAAATATTGTTAACTTTATGTAGCAGTATTTGGGTTGGGGATCAGTGTGTTTCCGGTTGTACGAAGGATAGTTGTATTATGTTAGGCATAATTATAACCTTATTATTGTCTTTATTTGAAGATTATGTACGATCTCAGGAGATGTTTATGGGTTCAAGTTGACAAGGGGTGGACTTGTGATGGTTAATACTCAATATCAACTTGATTGGATATAAGGATGCAATATTGATCCTGAGTGTGTCTGTGAGGGTGTTGCCAAAGGAGATTAACATTTGAGTCAGTGGGCTGGAAAAGGCAGACCCACCCTTAATTGGGTTGGCACCATCTAATCAGTTGCCAGTGAATATAAAGCGGGCAGAAAAACGTGAAGCTAGAGACAGGCCTAGCCTCCCAGACTATATCTTTCTCCCATGCTGGATGCTTCCTGCCCTCGAACATTGGACTCCAAGTTCTTCAGTTTTGGGACTCACACTAGCTCTCCTTGCTCCTCAGCTTGCAGTCAGCCTACTGTGTGACCTCTTGATGGTGTAAGTCAACACTTAATAAAATCCCCTATATATATACACACATATACATTTATATATATAATAGGAATATATATGTATATATATAATTAATTCTGTCCCTCTAGAGAACCCTGACTAATACAGTATGTTATCAATTATAAGCGGAAGCTAACCTATGAGGATGCAAAGGCATAAGAATGATACAATGAACTTTGGGTACTTGGGGGGAAGGATGGGAGGAGGATGAGGAATAAAAGGCTACACATTGGGCACAGTGTACACTGCTTGGATGATGGTTGCACCAAAGTCTCAGAAATCACCATTAAAGAACTTTTCCATGCAACCAAACAACACTTGAAACCCCTAAACAATTGAAATTTTAAAAATAAAATAAAAAAGAAATAAAAGAGTTCTGTTATCTCAATGAAGAAAATATCCAAACATACATAGTCTCAGCTGACAAACTGTGGGATAAACCCACCAGAGTATATTTGCCTAAGAGAATGAGTAGTTCCCTTAAGCATAACCCATCTTGTGACTGTTATATAGGGCAAATTTGTCCTAGAATAACTATGTTATACAGGGCAAATTTGTACTAGAATGACAACTAAATGAGAATGACAACTAAAACAAGGCCTTTATCATAGGAGACGCCTATGAATCTTCATCCCCTTCACCATAAAATGGAAACAGCAATACCTTCCTTGCCTGACTCACCAACTTTTTAGTTCAATTAAGATAATAGATGCTAAAATAATTTGAAAACTACCATGTGCTATCCAAATATGTTGGTCTTATTAGTCTAGTTGATCAGAAGCAATTGCTCAGAAACTTAGTTTACTTAAGATGGATTTATCATACACTCCTAGTGTTTCTCTCAACCATGGCAAATACTAATGCAATCTATTGGATTGAGATGAATTTTTTTGACATTATTTCAGGTGGAACAGATTTTCCTCACAAGGAGCTTAGTTTTTAATTTCCAATAAGGTTGAAAGGCAAGCATCTAAGAGCAGTAGGGCTTCTGATGTAGACCAGTAAATGCTGCAGTGTTTTATTACTTCCATTTGCTATAATACTGCTTTTATTAATATAGTCATCTTCTGGACTCATGCTATCATAGAAAACACATGTGCATGTATTTAAAATGAACTTCTACAGTCCTTCCATTTTCACAGGAGCCTTGCATCAGTTTTTTTTTCTTTTATGCTTTATTGTACTACATGCTTCCCAATGCTGCCACCCCCTCCTGCTTACCTCAGTGCAGAATACAAACATGTTGACGCTTTGCTTTAACTATTACGATAGTTGGGGAAGCAGTAATGAAAATAACCTATCACTCACTTCTAAGTTGTTTTTGTGTATTCTGAATGCATGTATCAAAAGTTGCCTAACATCAAATTACTGGAGAAGCAAAGGGCAAATCTTTCTCTTTTCTTCTATGTCACCACTATTCTTCCCATTGCTCATGCTTCAAACATGGGTAACAATTCAATTCTAACATTCCCCATAACCTCTCCAAATCATGTTAACTTTTTTCCCTTGCCTCTCATCTTCTGCTATTGCTTTAGCCTGATGGTCCTAAAATTTCAGTGAGCATCAGGATCTCCTGGGAATATTGTTAAAACAAACATTGCTGGGCCCCACTCTCAGAGCTTCTGATTCAGTAGGACTGGGATGCAGCCCAAGAATTTGTATGATTAACACAATTCCAGGTGATGCTGATGCTGCCAGCCTGGGGACCACACTTTGAGAAACACTGTCATAATCTACTCCTTCTAAATTACTGTAATAGCCCTTTAACATTTGTTTTTCCTTCAATATGCTGTGCATGCCTACTCCATACAGGAGATAAAGTGGTTACAAAAACAGGTGCTGGAGTCAGAGTTACCTGTGTTTCAATCCTGGTTTTCACTAATTTACTATGTAATCTCAGGCAAATTACTTATAATCTCTGATTCCTTAGCTTCCCTATCTTAAGTGTTGGATAATTGTAATAATCAAATAATGATAAAATATCAGGTAATTACAATGTAATATAATCAAGGAGTGACTATTGAATCACCTTTGCCATATCCCATTGGTAGAAGCAAGTCACAGCCCACACCCATGCTCATGGGACGATATTACACAAAAGTGCAGACATCAGGGGGCAGAATATCATTGGAGCATACAATAATATCTACTACACTGTCCATATTCAAAATTTCCAATAATGTCTTTCTATAATTCGGGATCTTATTCAGAAGTACATGTGTTTTTTACTTGTCATATTTCTTCCATTACCTTTAATAAGAACATTTTTCCAAACGTGTGTGTGTGTGTTTGTGTGTGAGTCTTTGATGATGCTGACAGTTTTGAGGATTGCAGGTTATTTGTTTTGTAGACTATTCTACAATATACGTTTGTCTTATTGTTTCTCCCTGAGTGGATTCAGGTTGAACATTTTTGCAAGAATATTACATAGGTAATGTACTCTTCTCCTCTCAGCATCTTATTAGGAACTACATAATGTCAGTTTGTTCCATATTGACGATTTTCTTTGTTCATTTAGTTAAAAGTGGCTTCAGCCATTTTCCCTAATGTGAAGGAATTTTTTTTCATTGAGAGTAATCTTTGAAACAATGTAGTATCCTACTCCTCAAAACATTTTACCATAGAGTTTTAGCATTATTGATAATCCTTTCCATAACCAGTCATTAAATTGGTGATTGCAAATCAAGATTTTCTAATTTTATCTTTTCTTCTTTAACATAATTTGATATTCTTCTATAAAGAAGATATATCCCCTTCTCCTCCCATGCTACCTTTTTTTCTGTGAATGTGAATACTCTTATGAAGTCAGAGGTTTTTTTAATTCAATGTGTTATAAATCAGTTTTGTAAATTTTCCTAACTTTGGCCCCTGAGGGCCTTATTATGTTGGCCTCTACATTCTTTTGTTATGTTTCCTCAGTTTTTAAGCACTTCCTTACTTTCTCCCATAAGTTATTTGCTCCAAGCTGACCTTGCACTTTGCCTGGAATTAGATATTTCCTCAAGGATCACTGACTTCTGGTAGCATGTTATATTTGGACAGAAAGATATGGTTGCTGTATGTGTTCATTGCTACTTGGGGTGTTACCCCATTATTACTTACCAGATTTCTCGAAAACAAACGTGTTTTGTATTCACACCTGTAGCTGTTCACTACACCCACTTGAAATAGACTGAACCTGACTAAAATGCCTGAGAGAAATATGACAGTCAATCTCTTTGCTTCACTGTGATCTCTAACAAACAGGTTATTGATAACTTCTGTCTCAATTATCACAGAAATTTTAAACCCAGTGATGGAATAAGTGGTGGTAAAGAAGAAAAATGAGATAGGAAGAGAGGCAAGGGAGAGGAAGAGAAGGAGAAATAAATATATGCAAGTGTGGAAATAAATTTTGGGTGCACCCCAGGTCTCTGCCTTCAGATAATCACTATTTCTAGTGGCTGGTAGGTGATCTAATCTTAGATACATGGTTCTGCCTACTATCTCTATCTCCAGCCCTGATTTGTCCCTGGAAATTTAGACTTGTGTATCCAACTGCCTCCTTTTCATCTCTACTTGAATGGTAATAGGCTTCTTAAACATAACAGGGAAGAAACAAAAATATTTCCTC
This sequence comes from Homo sapiens, assembly GCF_000001405.40. Taxonomy (NCBI): domain Eukaryota; kingdom Metazoa; phylum Chordata; class Mammalia; order Primates; family Hominidae; genus Homo; species Homo sapiens. Next base: position 128,425,723 of record NC_000023.11, read on the forward strand.
CAGCTTCCTCATCATAGCAAAATACAAGTCTTTCACCTGTTGCTCATACTACAAACTTAGAAATAATCCTTGATTTCTCTTTCCTCCACCTCCTATATTCAATTCAGTAAGATTCCTAGCAGCACTATCTCCTAAATATACACTTAACCCTGCCTCTGAATTTAGACTTAACCCTGCCTCCACTGTTAAAGCCTATTCCAGTAATTTAGATTATGATCATCTTTCACCTAGAATTCTCTAGTTGTCTCCTAACAAGATTTCCAGTTTTCTTTCTTGTTCACCTAAAATCCATTAGCCACAAAAATATAGTAATTGATTAAAAATATAAACTGGACATTATTCTCTGACTTCAAACTTTCCAATGGTTTTATTGTTGTCCAATCAAATTCAGACTGCTCATCTTGGCCTACATGGCTATACGTGGCCTCATTGTTCTTCCTTTTCTTCTTGTTTGGTACAATCCAGCCAAAGTGATTTCTTTGATTCCTTAAACATGCCTGTTTCTCATATCAGAGGGTCTCCCTGTTTCCTCTACCTCTACTCCTATTTCTCTGCATGGCTGAATTATTCTTACCATTTAGACCTTAGTTTAAATATCACCTTACCAAAAAAGCCTTTGACCATCCAATATAAACTAGGGACTTCCAGCCAATCTGTCTTGTCATTCTATTATTTTTATCATAGCTCTTGTCAAAATCTGTACTTGTTTAACTTTTTACAGTCTGATTCACCCCCACTACAACGTAGGGGCCACAGGAACAGAGTCTTCGTTTGTTTTGTTCTCTTTTCTATCCCCAGTACTTAGAAGAGTGTCTCATACATAAAGGTGTTGAGTAAAATATGTCAAATAAATACATGGAAAAACTAAATTAAAACAGCAAATATGTGAGGGATGAAGTAGAGTGAAGAACAACTTCTGGGTACATATTATGTAAATTGTGTTGTCAACTGAGATGCATATATATATATATATATATATATATATATACACATAAAACTTACTTTTCTCTTTCCTCAAGATTCTTCAGAAACAAGACAAGAGCCATCACTAGTATATCCTGGCACAGTTTGATATATATATATCAAGGGGAGTTTATTAATTATTCACTTACATGATCACAAGGTCCCACAATAGGCTGTTTGCAAGCTGAAGAGCAAGGAGAGCCAGTCCAAGTTCCAAAACTGAAGAATTTGGAGTCTGATGTTCGAAGGCAGGAAGCATCCAGCATGAGAGAAAGATGTAGGCTGTAAGGCTAGGCCAGTCTCACCTTTCACATTTTTCTACCTGCTTTATATTCACTGACAGCTGATTAGATTGTGCCCACTAGATTAAGGGTGGGTCTGCCTTCCCCAGCCCACTGACTCAAATGTTAAACTCCTTTGGCAACACTCTCACAAACGCACCCAGGACTAATATTTTCTATCCTTCAATCCAATCAAGTTGACACTCAGTATTAACCATCACACCGTATAAACAGATTCATGTTAGGCAAAGGGGGCAGGTGGCAGTGGCTATTACGATGAAAATTCTTGAGGTAAGGTGGGCTTTTTGCCAGCTATTCTCAAATTGCATCACATAGATGATCACACTTACATCACCCACTGTCCCTTGCAGCCCTACATGGTAATCAGGATGCCCCACTCTCTTTTGGAGAGCTATTAATTTTATGACTAACAATTAGCCAACCTGTTTGGGAAAAGAGTCTTTTGTGACTATTCTTCAATTGAATTCATTTAGCATATGCTCAAGATCATCTTTCAAAATAAGTTTGCCCCAATGAAAAGTACAGAACAGGAGAAAACAGGGAGGAAAATATTTATCCCGTTTACCTTTAAGGATAAACAGAAACACCACCCCAAAAAATATACATTGTAGAGACCTAAGTATTTGTTATAGTGACATAGATTTATATTTCATTTATATATTTATATCTCATTTATTCTGAACTACCCCACAGAATCAGTAAAGTTATTTGCTATTTACAGAGAAGAAAATAGAGTCCAAGCTGTTAATTTATTTCCAAGACTTCACCCACATCTACTTGTCTGCACAGCCGTGTTTCCAATCTGTATGTTTTGCTTAAAAATTTTTGCTCTACCAGCTATACTATACTGCTTCAATAAGGGGTAGCAGAATATCTTTAAGGTGGATGAATATATAATTAAAAGGAAAAAATGGATTTTAACTTTCAAGGAAAAATTTTCTCTTTCCTCAGGATTCCTCAAAAATGAGACACGAGCCATCACTAGTATATCCTGGCACAATTTGCCTATTGGTGGGCTCTAAACTTGTCAAATCTCCTCCACAAAACACATTTACCATGACCAATTCTTTAATGATTCCACTCTGAATGTCAAGGATTTGGGACAGTGAAGTAAGTCAGACTTTGCTCTAATACAATGAGAGAACAATACAGAACTCAGCATAAAAGGGACTGTTTCAGACCCATCTAGAAGAATTTGGTTGCTGAAGTAGCACAAAGATCTTACTGGGAGGTTATCTGTCCTATGAGAATGGCATAGCCCCAAGGACTAGATTTGAGTGAGACTCTGGAGGATATCTCAATTTCATTAAAAATATGTTTTATAGTCTTATAACTTTCCAACGTTCAAAAACAAAAATTCATTTCTAGCTGAAACTTGATGTCATTCTTTTCTGGCTGGAAAGTGAAGATTTGGGGAATGGGTGAAAGAAATTTATTAAGTTGTTAAAAATATATGATCCAGGTCTTGTCTAGTTTTCACCTCCCGTGCTCATAAACACAGTTGCTCTCTTCCATGCTTCATTTCTGTCAATCACTGTGACAGGAATAGTGGAATTCCCTTCCTCTGCCTGCCCAAACAATAGCAAAATCGACAAATATTTTGAAGCAGAACCCCAGCATTTTAGTGAAGGTGAATTATTTTCCATTTGCAATATACCTTGAGACCTGTTCTCAGGTTGAGGGGCATGGCGACTGCAATGGTATTTCTTAGCAGGGTTAGCAGTGTGGAATGCATGAGGGTGGGCATTAGTCTGAGCCAGTGGGGAAGGTGAAAGAGCAAAGACCTTATGTAGTATGCTTGATGAAAATGCCTCTAGCAGATGTGCTTAACTCTTCCTTCCAGATGAGAATTCGGAAAACAATTTAAGAAGGAACTTGACAGAAATGTTGACATTTGGGGCATAGATGTTCAAAAACAAAATGAATCGAAAGTGAGCCAACTTAAGATCTAGCAGGGATGGCTTTACTATCCACCATTATTCACTAAGTACTCTTGTAGTAGTTGGTTTGCATTTGGGGAGGGCAAAATGTAAGAAACTATTGTTACTTATAAATATAAGCCTTGCTGAAAAGACTCCATGACACAGAATGAGCAAACAAATGAGAAGATGGAGTCTGGAAGAACGGTATTTGTACACCCTCAGAATGTCTGCTCACTGTAGGAGAACTACCCTGGACAGTGATCTGCCATAGAATGCTGCCCTGTTCTGATCAGGGTGTACAAGCAATGTCTTATTGGCTTGTAGTTCTCAACCCATTGTTGCATAAGAGCCTAATCAAAGAAGACAGCTGTAGATTCAACAATTTATATAATAATTTAAGAAATACCAAAAAAGTTCTGTTTTTCATATATATATAACTTTCTCCCTGATCTCATGACCAACATTCCCACCAGATTTCCTCAGAACCTACATAATATATGACAAAAAAAAAAAAATAGAGGCCAAGGAAAGACTCACCAAGCACACAAGTTTAACCGTATATAGATACACCTAGAAGTCAGTTAAGGCCCTGCAAATAACCAAGTGCAATGCAAGCCACAATGCATATTGTTTAAAAGCTGGAATCAAGTTGCTCAGGTTCAAATCTTGGCTTTGCCACTTATTAGTTATGTGAGTTTGGACAAATTACTTTACCTCTCTGTGCTTTATTTTTCTCACCTGTAAAGCTTTATAGAGTTATGAGGATGAAATAAATAAATAGTTGTAAAGTGGTTGCAACAATTCCTGACATACAGCAAGTGCTATATGCATTTTCTAGTATTCTAAACTACAATCTAAATCTATACAGTATTCCTGCAGTAAGGTACACAAAAAGGAGAGTGTGAGTAAATAAACCTATACTTTAATGTAGGTTATTGTCATAATTCACATTAAAACAAACAAAAATGGCAGGCCAGCCCCATTATCAAGCTGGTCTTCTTCATCTCAGGAAATATTCTTTATCTTCCCCTCTTCTCTGTTCACCATCTTTCCTTCTAGTAACTTAAAATATTTAACTGAATATGCATTACTTAAACAAAATGAAAAATGACCATTCAGCCTCTAGCAAGCGAAAGCATAGTACAAACCCTCAGGACCTGACTAGTACATTCAACTCCTGGAGAATGTTGTCTTTTTTTTTTTTTTTTTTTTTTTTTTGAGTTTTTTGAGATGGAGTCTCACTACGTTGCCAGGCTGGAGTGCAGTGGTGCGATCCCTACTCACTGCAACCTCCACCTCCTGGGTTCAAGTGATTCTCCTGCTTCAGCCTCCTGAGTAGCTGGAACTACAGGCACGCACCACCACACTTGGCTAATTTTTGTATTTTTAGTAGAAACAGGGTTTCACCATATTGGCCAGGCTGGCCTCGAATTCCTGAACTCGTGATCTGCCCGCCTCGGCCTCGAATGTTTTCCTAAATACCTACTAGCCTCAGCCCTCAGTGATCTCTACTTTTCCCCAATTTACACAACAATATATTTTGTAGCACATTCCTAGCACTCACAATTGGAAAAATTATCTCATGATTTTGACTTTGAGACTTGTTTTTTCCCCAAGAAGATTATAAGGTTTTTTTAAGGTCTGTGAATAGAGTTCTATTTTGTTTTACCTTCTGTAACATCTAGCAGAGGGACAGGCATGATATAATAGCTCCACAATGCTTGCTTAATGACTGACTGATTGAGGACTGATTAATTTTTCCACAATTCACGCAACAAACAATCTGACCTTAGGCTACTTCATCTTATTTGAGGCCAAGAAATGAAGTTCAGGGGTAAAATATTAGTATAGTCTCACCATTCCAGAAAAATGTCACCAGTCAACACTCTGAAGCTGTTTTCTTTCCTTCTTTTCACAACCAAACTACTCAATTATTGAAATGTCATATCTCAAAGAACTATACCATTTCCTTTACCAAAATATTGGTATTAAGATTTTGGCAGAAGCACATTACAAACCATAAAGATACTGTGGTTTTCGATATCATTTTGTACACAGGAAAACACTGGAATTTTGGTCAAGCTAGGAAATCTAGAAAAGCTAATAGTATTGTGAATAAAAACAAAGCAGAGGACACCTCCTTGCTTCAAGCAGATAACCAAATATAAATCAGTTTCTTCTGTTCCTATTCTTTCCCGGCACCTTGTCAACTGCTCAATTGCTTAGCTTGGTTGATTCCTCCTTTGCATCATCATTTCTGTTCAAGGGCCACAGTAGCATAAAAAACAGCCAGAGATAGACTTGGGCAGCTGACAGCAAAGTAAAATGTAACAATGGGGTTTCTTTGCAAACAGCATGCCCTACATTGTAAATAAATGGCACCGTCATATTGGGTGGCAATAGTTAAGGCTGTTAACTGCATGCATCTGAAAAATACCTAATGTGAATAAATCACATTGTAGATATCTCCATTCACACTGCTCCAAACTGTTGGCAATTTTCAAATGCTTTCTTTTTATTTATTGAAGAGATCAGCAAATAGGTTGTTTTTGTAATTTCCCTTTGTTTTCTTTTTAATTTTTGGAATTAAAGTTGAACAACTCTAACAATCTAGAGCGAAAGAGACTTACAAAGAGAAGATCTAATTTGTACAGATTACATCAAAAGCAAATTAGAGGTGTTGTTGACCTTTTAGTTTGTGACACAATGATATCTTCTTATCTTTCCCCCATTGTCAGACTGGCTTTTGCTTAGGATTTCCAAGAGAATTGTGCAAAAAATATCATAAAACATATACTAAAATAACAAAATGTCATGTGCAATCATTTATCTATTCAGCAAATGCAAATGTTTATCAAGGATATACTATCTGGTAAGTACTATTAAAAAGAAAATGATGAACAAGAAAGACATAGCCCTTACTTTAAGAGAGATCAAAGTTCAGTAAGAGACAAAGACTCAACAGACATTTACTATACAGTTTTGTGGGTGTTTTGATGGGGAAAAATTGCAGAGTGCCCTGAGATCACACAGAAAGGACATTCAATTCCTGATCTATATGAGGAGTGGGCAAAGACCAAGAACCCCTTCACAGAAAAAATAACACTTTAAGAACTGAAGCCTAAGTAGAAATTAACCAAGTTAGTGTAAGAGTAGGGTCTAGGGAGAATGTTCAAGAAAGAAAGAATAGAATGTAAAAAGTGTCAAAGATGACAGAGAATAATCCATTCAGGAATCTGAAATATGGTCAATACATATGTAACAAAGAAGGCTTGGGAAGCTGTGAGAGATAAGAGGTAACCATTCTGAACCCGGGAGAAGGAGGTTGCAGTGAGCGGAGATCGCACCACTGCACTCCAGCTTGGGCGACAGAGCGAGACTCTGTCAAAAAAAAAAAAAAAAAAAAAAAAAAAAGAAGTAACCATTCAACTCTTGAATCCTACTATGTCTAGCTTGTTTTCAGTGTTTGAGGGCTTTAGTACCAATTCTATCAATTCTATTCATTGTCTTATAATATCAGTATTTGAGCCACAAAAATCTTGTACACCTTCAACAATTTGCCTAGATTTTTTTTTTATTTCCTATGTTTCAGAATTCCTTCATGTAAAGGACAAAATCTCAAATGCACTACCTAGGAATACCTCTGACAGCTTGATTAATTGAAAGAAGAGAGATTCTCAGTATATAACACACTTAGGATTCTCTCCCTAATTTTCTGTTTCTGGTGTTAAATAGGCACCCCCTTTTCTAGGGGTTAGGCATCAAGGATGACTTCATATTTCAAGGGAGACCTTGCCATAAACCACATAGATACGTAGCTTTATTCTGGTAGGCACATCAGCATAAGTAACATTCAATCTAATCCAATGGACCAAAAAGGAGTTATATTCAAACAGCAACAAAGAAGTCATTACCCCACAACTGGAATTTGATTAAGCTATTAAGGTGAATAAGAATAATGGACAGAAGACATACAAATTGCCTCTGCTAATGGAATTACAGGAAATAAAAGACTAACTTTTCCAGCCTTCAGCTCTTATAAATACGAATGTCTAATATCCCTGAATAGATATGTATTTATCTTAAAAGTTTTAGGAATATTTATTCTTCTCATGAACAAAAATGTTCAGAGAAGATTTACACGTCGATAAGATGAAAATGTCATTAGAATAACTGAGCAACTGTGATGTGCAAGACTCTTTTTAAGAGAAGGTAAAACAGGTCTTGGCGTCTGTAAGTTTCCACTCCAATAATATTGACTATGGCCATATTCACCATCAATTTTTCTTGGATTCTTTTAGTTTTCAATTATAGTATAACTATGGAAGAAAAAAAGGAGTGATGTGTTTAGTAGGAGAAATGGGAAGATTGCTTTCCATTGTGCAAATTGTGTTTCACATAAATATTAGCATGCCAGGAGAAGTTTAACAGGTGTTAGAATTTAAAATAAAGAAAACCTGAGTTTAACAAGCTTGAACAAATTTTCTTTTTACAGGAATTTTCAGAGCCTTTTATTTACTATGTGCTCTATGAATCTCCAAGAAAAGGATATCATATGCAACCTTTCCCAAGGGTGTTTGCCCTTGTTTTTATGAAACTCCTCCCACAGAGTCTAGAAAACACTGCAATAAAATGTTAGAAGCTATTTATTTTCAGAAACTTTGGGTATCACCATGAGTTTAAAAATAACACAAAGTGTCATGTGTTGTAAGTGTTCTTTAATATAAATAAATATCATAATTCTAGTATCTCACCTCAGTAATGACATTTTTCCTTGAGGCCTTTGGAGAAAATTAATCTTTTGAATCTCTCAGGTTCCATAGCTTTCTTTACCTGTGCCACAGTTTAGTATACACAGCATGCTGTGGTGGAGAAATCACTGGCAGTGATTGTGGAATGCCAGAATTTTAGTCCTAGCTAGGGAATCATAGAAAGTAGCATTATCCCTGGGCTTTAATTTTTCATCTGTGAAATAAGGAAAATAATACTAGCTCAAATAAATTGACTTATATGTGAACTGTAAAATGCTATGTAATTATGTTATTAGTATAAGTATGAAAATGAGAGAGAACATTCTAGGAAGAAAACTGTATTCACAACTTGGGTCGATAAAATTCTGCTCACAAACAAATTGTTTAAAATATTTGTCAATACCAAATCTCAGCAATATGTATTTCAAATATTTGAGGTAGAAGAATTATACCCAGAGGAGTTATTACAGAATATTAATATTTTTGTATGCCTTACAATGTCTTCGTACATAAGATTTCCTCTCTCCCTTCCTCCTCTGCCATGCCCAATCAATCTGCTGGAAATGAGAGCATTTAAGTAGTTCACTTTGCTCTTTACTTTGCTGGCTGCACAGATGAGAAGTAGTATATTTCAAAGCCAACCTAGTGTTTCATTTCAGCAATTTGCAAAATCCTGCACCTACAGCAATTCCTTGCATATACTTACCTTGAGAGAGTTATACATAGCAAGTCAGTTATCCAAAAATTCTCTTTCGGGAACACAGCAAGTAAAATTTGATTTTTAGAAACTGAGACCCAGTCATGATGGAAGTTTCTCAAGGTGACCCAGCATACTAGACAAGGGAACAAAACTCGAAACTCTAATTTCCTATTCTGACTCCCTCTGATTGTCCAGGCACCCTCCTTAACACAATCAGATTTTACCTATAACAATACCGGTTAATATCTCCTGGTGCTAAAATGGAATTGTAGGCTTGAAAATGGAAATTGCTTACTTAATTCACTCTAAATCGATGTCTCTGTTGATAATGCATCTGCCAATGTAAGTATCAGGGATCCAGCTGGGTACTGGTGCATAGCTCCTCAGCCATTGTCTCAGGATGTCCTTGTGACATTAGGGAGAAGATCAGATTTTAAATCAGGCTTCAGCTGTGCTGCCCTTTCTTCAGCACACATTAAAAGGAATTAGAGTGACCTCCCTGTAAGAGACAAAATGGTAAAAGCATTCTCAAAAGAGATTATTGAGAGGTTCAGGGACTAGTTTAAAGAATAAATTTGAACGACAACTTATAATGGACCCACAGGACCTTTAGATATTCTGTATGGGCTTTGACAAAGGTCTTAAAATGTATGGATGTTGCGTATATGTTTGGGTATGTGTGTTTGCTGAGATGAAAAATATACTGCATGAGAATGTTCTGATTTATAAATCACTGAAATGAATTACGGGTTATGTGCAATTAGACTATGGGAGGACTCTGTGAGGAAAGGAGGCACATCTTAGACATCTCTGAATTGCTATGACTCAGCATGGTACCTGGAACATAGTATGTATTTGGTAAATGCTCATTGGATGAATGAATGAATGAATGCCAAATAAATGAATGACAAAATGCATCTGTATTCATAGACACGATTTTCTTGGCAATTGTCCACAAGTTCCATACCTTGGCTTCTGAGTTATATTAAGATAATATATTCTCATCATGCTCTGTCACAGTAGTACACATATGAGTCCTCTACATATGAGTAGAGAAAGAAGTCAGACATCACTCAACTTAGGATAATTTGATTCACAGGTTTGCATGTGCAAATACAGTAAATTGCTACTCATCCAAGGTAAGTGAGTAACAAGATATTCAAATCAAGTGAATAATCACTTCAGGAAAGGTTGGAAAGCATATTTAACCACTTCTGTACACCGGCTATATTCTATATATTATGGTTGCATCTCGTTTATTTAATCTAATCTTAATCTTTTTAACAACAGAGTGAGGTAGGAATTATTTTCCTCATTTATTTTTAGAAAACTGAGGCTTAAACATGCTAAATAATTTGTCCAAGGCCACAGAGTATGCAGTAAACCAGAGATAGTTTATATATATATAATGCCATCATTCATAATTTTTTCTCATCTCTTGACTCTAGCCACCACCACCTCCTAACACACACACACACACACATACACACACACACACACACCATTGTTAATAAAGCATCCAAACTTCTTCACAATTTGTGATCTTTCCCCTAGTCTTTCCATTTTTTATATATACTCGGCTCTGGCCACAACAAATTATATGTCCTTTTTCTGAGACGTGTCTTCTCTTTGGATATACCTTTCTGACTGTTTGTTCATGATATTTTCCCTGAATGGAACTCCCTTATCCTATTCTTTGCTTAGCATTATTACTGGTATTATCACATTATCGGTTCTACTGGAGGTGTCACCACCACCCAGTGCTCTGAAATCTCTCTGTTCAAGCTGATACATGGCCCTTATCATATTGTAATAAATATAATATATTACATAACATTATACATGGGATAAGATATACACTGCTAAGCCAGAAAAAACTAGAAAAAAGCACTTAGTATCTTTCAGTGTTTCAGAGTCACAGGTAAAACAAAAACTGCTATTCTGGGCACAGTAATATTGTTCTTAAGATCTGATGTTCCACAGCCATAAAGACTTGAGTTTAATATTTCGCCTACACTAATTACTAGGGCAGATCTTGAGAAATTCACGCCAATTCATCATTTCTTCGTTCTGCAAAATTGGAATACAATAATAGTTCCACTCCAAAGGGCTGCTGTGAACATTCAAGTAGACCTTATAAAGTGCCTGGCACATAATGGACACCCAATTGATATCAGCTATTATAATTCTTAAGCTCTAGATGTTTACAGTTACTGATTCATTTAGATGCTATGCTATCAAATATCTGACTAATGAAAGTTTACATTAAGATTCCATTATGCTGAAAATAAATATAGGCCAAGGGCAAATTCTATCTCTTTTGAGTATAAGCTAAATTTGTATCCATATGCAAAGGCCTATGAGCGGTCACCAGGAGCTGTGGGAGTTTAGACAAATTCCTATCAGGAATGTGGACTCCTCATAGTAGGCATCAATTCTGATCAGAATACTTTTGGACTGAATACCAGCCAGATCACCTTCAGAACTAAGCATTGGTCTGTAGTCTAGACCTGTTAGATAGCTGAGCCTAACAGGGCTGGCAGCTGCAAGACCTGACATACAGCTTTGGCCAAACAGGAAATGAGAAAGCAATTTTATAAGCTGCTTCAATAAATTCATGGCGGAGAAATCTTAAACTGAGCCAGCTTAGTTGAGAACTTAGCAGAGAGAGTAACCTGGACTGTCAGATTAATCAGTTAGTGAGCTATCTCTGGTTATAAACAAAAGCCAATTCATTTTTAAAGTAATCAGCTGATCAGCAAATTTAAAAATCATAATAGCTTTGTGGGGTCGGGGGAGGGGGGAGGGATAGCTTTAGGAGATACACCTAATGCTTAATGACGAGTTAATGGGTGCAGCACACCAGCATGGCACATGTATGCATATGTAACTAACCTGCACATTGTGCACATGTACCCTAAAACTTAAAGTATAATAATAATAAAATAAAAAAAGAAAAAGATAAACACCACAGGAAAAAAACATAATAGCTTAAATTACATTTTTAATGAATTTTAAAAATATTTTAACAAAAATATTAGAAGTACTTTTATTTCTTCTTTGAATGCTCATCTGGGAATCTTTTATTGTTTCACACCCTGAAGCCTCTCATGCCCTGTGCTGCCAATTGCTTCCAGCCACTAGAGTTAGAAGCCATTGGAATCTTTGCACGGTACTTTTTTAAAAAATTAATTTTAACTTCCAAGATACATGTGCAGGACGTGCAGTTTTGTTACATAGGTAAACATTGCACAGTACTTTTAAAAGGTTTACTAATTCCAGTATTCAATCCATAAGAACTACACAAACACATCAGTACTTATTGGTTGTTCACATGGTCAGGCATATTCTGTTTGGGTGATGTGATGGAGATTATGTACACAATGGGCAGTGTTTTCTACAGAAGTAGATATGGATGGGTTAATTTATTGAGGTGGATCTTTGATTAGTAATGTGACTTTTAGAGCATTTAGTACAGGTCATGCTGTTTACTAAGCACATTTCATGCATCATCTTATTTAGTCTTCATGCAGATCTATGGGGTAGGTACTTTTTTGTCTCAATTTAATAGATCAGAAAACGGAGGCTCAGAGATGTAGGTAATTTGGTCTAAATCACTCAGCTAGTAAGTAAAACAGTAGAGATTTAATCTCTACTTCTTGAACACATTTTTAAAAATTAAAGAGTTTCAGGTTTTAGCTATGATTCAAGCTTTTCTTGGCGCTTAGACAAGTATAATTAACCAGTCTTCAGGTAAATAATTATGTACAAAGGCTTGAATAGGTAGGTAGATAGATACTATCACAGGAAGATTTTAGAAAATAAAAGACAAATGCACTTTCAGAGACTGCAATGGAGGGAGTTGGATTGGCTATACACACATATATATATATATGAAAAAATTCTGAAAAATTGTCAAATAAGCAATTTTACATTAGTCTTTTTAGGGTGAAAAAGAATAGCATCTTTTTCCCGTTATTTTTTATGTTCACAATGGTCACGACATATTTTCAGTCATCAACATAGCAAACAGAAATACATTCGTTTTTGTTACAGAGTCTAGATTGGGGACCAGGAACACAGAGAATGGCCCTATTATTTTTGGTAAATACATCCCAGGCAAGCCATATAGACTGTAAATCTTCATTCTGATCCTGCACGCGTCCTAATGAAAATGAGCTGGCAAAGTAACACTTCTGTGTGCTTTCAAGTTTTAATACGTATGTTGTAGTATCTACAATTGCTTCAGGTCTCCTTGTCCTTTCACAAGCTTATGTGGTGACCATATTAAGAAGCCAGTTTATTTTCAGCAAAAATGTTCTGTTTTGAAACACACACACACACACACACAAAGTGGAAACAGAAAAGTGGTCGTTGGAAAAAAATGCTCAGCAAGGCTGTTAAAAGTAATTGATGTGCCTGGTAAGTAGAGAATTATAATACTACCTTTACTATGTGAACTCAAATCATGAAGATGTTCTATGACTGTTCAGTGTTTCCATAAATTCAGAGGGTGTTGTTAGTTCTATTTTGGTCTTCTATTGACGGTTCCACTTTGACATTGCTCCTCCCTGTACTTCTCCTTTCCTCTTCACCCATCTATTCCTCTGCCATCTCCTCATTCATTCTTTCTGTTTCCCCTCTATGTCTCTCCGTTCTCTATTTCTCTCTCTCCCTCCCTCCTCCTTTTCTCTTCATTCTCTACCTTCTTCTAGAATAGTAAGCCACCATTAAAATTTTTCATTTATGTGATTAAGCTAATTTTGTTTCTTCCACTACACTGTAAACTCCAAGAGGGGGCTATGACTATGTATACTTTGTTTACTACTCTATTATGAGAACTTATCTCAGCTTCTGGCACGAAGATACTCAATGAATATTTGCTGAATGGATTGATTAAATAATGCCCCAGTTAGCAGTTTTAGACATGTTTTTATGCCCCCTCTTCAATCCTGATCTTTACACTGAGGTTCAGTTGCGTAAACATTAAGCTGGCTTAGGAAACACAAACATAAGTAAATACAGGGAAAGTAGTAAAAATGAGTGACGTGACCCTGGAGTAAAACCAACAGAGAATAGTTGGGACTGTGGAAAAATAGAGAGTATATGCAGTGTTAAAAGGCATTTAAATAGAAAAAAATACATTAGCCAAATGAAACGTGGTCAGTGGGTTGACAGTTTGTGACCACTCTTCTGGCTCAAACAAAACTGCTGTCACTCAATACTGGAAACTAGCCACCATCTCGTGAATCAACCATGGCATGTAAATACTTGTTTATCCGAGGGGAACTGTTTGTTTCAAGGAGTTCATAGATGTATCTGCCAAAGGGTATTCATTCATACCATCACCAGAGAATTAATTTAGGTAAACATCTTTGAGAGAGTTCCAATAGTAAGAGAGAATAAAATTGAACAAAGCAGCAACACAGTGTCTGCCATAAGTTTATCAATTTACTTCCCTTAGGAAACGTTCCTCTGGATGTTAAATGATCTATGAAATTGATTGACTCAAAAGCAAATAAACCCAAAACAAACAAAAATAGGAGAAAACCTTTAAAAAATCTGCAATGCATAATTGTGTATTTTAAATTACATTTAATAGTATATGTATAAAACTGAAAAATTAATGGCAAAGAGTGACAAAAGGGGGACAAAATAAAATCAGGGAAGACTTTCTGGAGATGAGTAACATATTCACCAGATTTTAAAATGTGATAGTAGGAAAGGATTTAATATACCTAATTATATTGAGGGGTTCTTTCATGCCAAGAGCTGTTGTAAACATGCTATGTTATAATGCATTTACTCCTCTCGACAACCCTGCCAAGTTGGTATTATTATTATTACTTTACTGATGAGGAAATGGAAACATAGTGACTTTGTTGAATTCCCCCAATATCCTATAGCTAGTAAACAACAGAGTTGGGACTCAAAACCAGGTTTTACTCATTCAAAGGCCTAAAGCTATTTCATGTACTATATTTTAATAACTAAATCACATAGCTATCTATCTTTTGATAACTAACCAAATATTTTCATATATATCCTTAATATCTATATATTATATAAATTGATGAAATTAATGAAAAGAAATATGACCTATACATTACCTTTTAATATCAAAAAGGAAAATTTCTATAACTATCTATTCCAACAAACCAACAAGAACATAAGAAAATCATAACAGGTTACTCCAAAAGTAAGTAAATACCACTTTTATTTTCCATCTCTTCCTTAACTTCAAAGGCTGAGAAACAACTGAACAATGGCTATGGAGTTTGAGGGAGAAAGAAAATGACAAGATAATTGCATACCCAGCCAAGCTATTATTCACCTATGAGAGCAGCAGAAATATATTTTTAGATATTTAAGGATGATAAAGTTTACTACTTTTCAACTTAGAAAAAGAATAATTCTGGTTGATCAAAATAGCAGACAATGGTTCTCAAAGTATGATTTTTTATAAGAAAGAAAAAGATAATAGTCAAAATAATAATTTTGAGAAGGATCAGTGTGTGATACAAAATAAATCATTGTGAGGAAAGACATTGGTGGTTGGTGACTTATCATGGCAACTGTGATGACCGTGACCAATGTTCCAGAGATCTATGATGTGAGGAGAACTGAGCATAGAGGTGTTCACTCCCACATCTGAGGACTGGGGCTGGATGATGCTTTGGAGGCTCAACAGGCTTCCCAGGGCATGGTGGGTCAGCTTTGCTGCACAGCAGGCAGCTCGTGTGGGGCTGGAGATGATCCATAAAGGGAAGATTGTCAAGTGGGCAGTCCTCATTGCTGGTCAGCTGGGCAGAGGGAAGACAGCCATCGCCCTAGGCATGGCATAGGCCCTGGGACCTGACACCTTGTTCATAGCCATCACCGGCAGTGAGATCTCCCTGGAGATGAGCAAGACCCAGGCACTGACACAGGCTTTCTGGCCATCTTTTGGCATTCACTTCAAGGAGGAGATGGAGATCATCGAAGGGGAAGTGGTTGAGACCCAGATTTATAGACCAGTGACAGGAATGGGCTCCAAGGTGGGCAAACTGACCAACAAAACCAAGAAGATGGAGACCATCTATGACCTGGGCATGAAGATGATTGAGTCCCTGACCAAAGACAAGATCCACGCTGGTGACATGATCACTATTGACAAAGCAATGGGAAAGATCTCCAAGTTGGGCCACTCCTTTACATGGTCTGGTGACTACAACCCCATGGACTCCCAGACCAAATTCAGGCAGCCCCCATATGGGAAGCTCCAGAAATGCAAGGTGCATACTGTGTCCCTTGCACAAGATCAACATCATCAACTCCCACACGCATGGCTTCCTGGCTCTCTTCTCATGTGACACAAGAGAGATCAAGTCAGAGGTTGCCAAGCAGATCAATGTCAAAGTGGCCGAGTGGATGGAACGAAATAGAGAGTTTAAGAATCTATATCTATATCTGTATACCTACCTTTTGAAATGTATTATATGATAAAGGTGACAATAATAATCAGCAAAATGAGAATATATTTTATTTCTAATTGGTACACTTTAAATACTTTTGGCCAGATATATTTTCTTTGTGTGATATTACAACACATACTTCATAATATAACATTCCTGATTATAAGATTCTAAATGTCACTACCACCCCTCAGTTATTGTGACACACAAAAACACAAGTACACAATTACAAATTGATCTTAAAGGAGAGATACTGCTCATAGTTGAGTAGAACTGGTATAAAAGGTATGAGAAAACTCTGCTACCCATCTGTAGTAATGATGCTAAAAACAAAATGAGGTAATATATTAAAGACACCTTCACAGGAACTAAAGATTTAAACATTAAAAATAAAAATCACACTAGAAAAGTATTGTGAATAATTATTAATATTGGGCTTTGAAAGCATGACCACAGTGGGTCAAACTATAAAGACAATCACTGGTAGAACTTTATTTGATAATAACAGTAACAAATTCTAAAGAAACATTGAAGGTAAATGACAAATTGGGGGAGTATTTACAAAATAGAAATAAAGTAAAAGGTAAATATGCTTACATTAGAAACAGGTTTGTGAAAATGAATTTTAAAATATGCAAATAATAAACTTAAGAAAAATATTTAACTGCACAAGTAGTAAAGTAAATGCAAATTAAAATAATATATTGTATCTCATTAACTGACAAAGATAAAAACAAAAGTAACAATACCTAGAGGCAGTGCAGACATGGGAAAATTAGCACTCTTATACATTGCTAATGGCTTACTTGGAAATATGTAACAAATGCCTCAAAATGTGTATGCTATATGCATAAGAATTTCTACTTCAGGGAATTTATCTTAAAGAAATAATCAGAAATTTACAAATACAGAAGTGATTATCATAGCATTGCTCATATAGTGATTTAAGTTATAGGTTATATATAAAAGAGACCCCTTAACATATGGCATGAAAAATAGATACAATTGTGTCTTTCTAATGTAAACAGCCCTTCTAATCTCAACGTGTAGTATTCATCCTTGGATCTAAGGCCACTGCTCCAGTTCTCATTAACTTCCAGTCAAGAGGAAGGTAGAAAATCCCAGGGTAGCACATAGCATTCATTTATTTTTAGGGACAGAACTAAGAAGTGGAACATGCCACTTCTGCTCAGAATTCACTGACTACAATAATCACATGGCCAAAATTGCAACGGCATGTTGTAAACATAGTTTTAGGATGGACATCCATGGGTCCAGCTAACCTTAGGAGTTCAATTGTTAAGTAAAAGGAGAATGGAAATTGATATACATTTATCAGCTTCTGCAGCAATGAAACATTATAACAAGTAAACACTTCCAATGTTTTGATTAAACAGATACATAGGTATCCACATGATGGACTAGCCTCTAGCCATTAAAATTAATGCTGAGGAAGAGCATTTAGTTACCTATGGAAAAAAGTTCTTGCCCAAATCTTGTTCCAGTTGTCTTTATGACACTGCAGATAGGAATCTGACAGCGAAAACACAGTATCTTTAGTAGTCCATGTTCTTATTTGACTATGTTGTTTTGGATTTAAGGCAGAATCAGGCTTCAATAGATACATGGAATGTATTTATCCAAATTACTTACCTAACCCCTGCTACATTTTTTTGATTCCTCAGTTTCTGGGTAATCCTAATTAGTACTTCCATTCCAGTGTTTGATGCAATAACTACTTTTGATTGAGTGCATAAGAATCATTCACAATGCCAAGCATTTTTCTTCCATTAAGCCTTTTATCCTCAAATATTCCCAAGAAGTAGATACTAGAATTATCATCACTCTTGCTCATAAATAAGGAAACAGGCACAGAGTAGTTAAACTTGCCCACATGTACCAGCTAATAAGTGGCAAAGGCAAGGTTAAAATCTCAATCTCACTCTTAAGCCTGTTTTCTTTTTATTATTATTATTATTATTATTATTATTATACATTAAGTTCTGGGTTACATGTGCAGAATGTGCAGTTTTGTTACATAGGTATACACATGCCATGGTGATTTGCCGCACCCATCGACCCGTCAACTACATTAGGTATTTCTCCTAATGTTATCCGTCCCCTAGTCCCCCAACCCCCACAGGCCCCAGTGTGTGATAGTTCCCGCCCTGTGTCCATGTGTTCTCATTGTTCAACTCCCACTTATGAGTGAGAACATGTGGTGTTTGGTTTTCTGATCTTGTGATAGTTTGCTGAGAATGATATTTTCCAGCTTCATCCATGTCCCTGCAAAGGATATGAACTCATCCTTTCTTATGGCTGCATAGTATTCCATGGTGTATATGTGCCACAGTTTCTTTATCCAGTCTATCACTGATGGACATTTGGGTTGGTTCCAAGTCTTTGCTATAGTGAATAGTGCCGCAATAAACATACGTGTGCATGTGTCTTTATCGTAGAATGATTTATAATCCCTTGGGTATATGTCCAGTAATGGGATTGCTGGGTCAAATGGTATTTCTGGTTCTAGATCCTTGAGGAGTCACCACACTGTCTTCTACAATGGTTGAACCAATTTACACACCCACCAACAGTGTAAAAGCGTTCCTATTTTTCCACAACCTCTCCAGCATCTGTCGTTTCCTGACTTTTCAATGTTCGCCATTCTAACTGGCATGAGATGGTATCTCATTGTGGTTTTGATTTGCATTTCTCTAATGACCAGTGATGATGAGCATCTTTTCATATGTCTGTTGGCTGCATAAATGTCTTCTTTTGAGAAGTGTCTCTTCATATCTTTGCCTATTTTTTGGTGGGGTTGTTTGCTTTTTTTCATGTAAATTCGTTTAAGTTCTTTGTAGATTCTGGATATTAGCGCTTTGTCAGATGGATAGATTGCAAAAATGTTCTCCCATTCTGTAGGTTGCCTGTTCACTCTGATGATAGTTTCTTTTGCTATGCAGAAGCTCTTTAGTTTAATTTGATCCCATTTGTCAATTTTGGCTTTTGTTGCCATTGCTTTTGGTGTTTTAGACGTGAAGTCTTTGCCCATGCCTATGTCCTGAATGGTACTGCCCAGGTTTTCTTCTAGGATTTTTATGGTCCTAGGTCTTACATTTAAGTCTTTGATCCATTTTGAGTTGATTTTTGTATAAGGTGTAAGGAAGGGGTCCAATTTCAGTTTTCTGCATATGGCTAGCCAGTTTTCCCAGCACCATTTATTAAATAGGGAATGCTTTCCCCATTGCTTGTTTTTGTCAGGTTTGTCAAAGATCAGATGGTGGTAGATGTATGGTGTTATTTCTGAGGCCTCTGTTCTGTTCCATTGGTCTATATATCTGTTTTGGTACCAGTACCATGCTGTTTTGGTTACTGTAGCCTTGTAGTAAAGTTTGAAGTCAGGTAGCATGATGCCTCCAGCTTTGTTCTTCTTGCCCAGGATTGTCTTGGCTATGCGTGCTCTTTTTTGGTTCTATATGAAGTTGAAAGTAGTTTTTTCCAATTCTGTGAAGAAAGTCAATGGTACCTTGATGGGGATAGCATTGAATCTACGAATTCCTTTGGGGAGTAAGGCCATTTTAACGATATTGATTTTTCCTATCCATGAGAAAGGACTGTTTTTCCATTTGTTTGTGTCCTCTCTTATTTCCTTGAGCAGTGGTTTGTAGTTCTCCTTGACTAGGTCTTCACATACCTTGTAAGTTGTATTCCTAGCTATTTTCTTCTCTTAGTAGCAATTGTGAATGGGAGTTCACTCATGATTTGGCTCTCTGTTTGTCTGTTACTAGTGTATAGGAATGCTTGTGATTTTTGCACATTGATTTTGTATCCCCAGACTTTGCTGAAGTTGCTTATCAGCTTAAGGAGATCTGAGGCTGAGAAGATGAGGTTTTCTAAATATACGATCATGTCTTCTGCAAACAGAGACAATATGACTCCCTCTCTTCCTATTTAAATATGCTTTATTTCTTTATCTTGCCTGATTGCCCTGGCCAGAACTTCCAATGCTATGTTGAATAGGAGTGGTGAGAGAGGGCATGCTTGTCTTGTGCCAGTTTTCAAAGGGAATGCTTCCAGTTTTTGCCCATTCAGTATGATATTGACTGTGGGTTTGTCATAAATAGCTTTTATCATGTTGAGATACGTTCCATTGATACCTAGTTTATTAAGAGTTTTTAGCATGAAAGGCTGTTGAATTTTGTCGAAGGCCTCTTCTGCATATATTGAGATAATCATGTGGTTTTTGTCGTTGGTTCTGTTTATGTGATGGATTACGTTTATTGATTTGTGTATGTTGAGCCAGCCTTGCATCCCAGGGATGAAGCCAACTTGATCATGGTGGATAAGCTTTTTGATGTGCTGATGAATTTGGTTTGCCAGTATTTTACTGAGGATTTTCGCATCGATGTTCACCAGGGATATTGGCTTAAAATTCTTTTTTTGTTGTTGTATCTCTGCCAGGCTTTGGTATCAGGATGATGCTGGCCTCATAAAATGAATTAGGGAAGATTCCCTCTTTTTCTATTGATCGGAATCATTTCAGAAAGAATGGTACCAGCTCCTCTTTGTATCTCTGGTAGAATTCAGCTGTGAATCTGTCTGGTCCTGGACTTTTTTTGGTTCATAGGCTATTAATTATTGCCTCAATTTCAGAGCCTGTTATTGGTCTATTCAGAGATTCAACTTCTTCCTGATTTAGTCTTGGGAAGGTGTAAGTGTCCAGGAATTTATCCATTTCTTCTAGATTTTCTAGTTTATTTGCGTAGATGTATTTATAGTATTATCTGATGGTAATTTGTATTTCTGTGGGATCAGTGATGATATCCCCTTTATCACTTTTTATTTTGTCTATTTGATTCTTCTCTCTTTTCTTCTATATTAGTCTTGCTAGTGGTCTATTTTGTTGATCTTTTCAAAAAACCAGCTCCTGGATTCGTTGATTTTTTGAAGGGATTTTGTGTCTCTATCTCCTTCAGTTCTGCTCTGATCTTAGTTATTTCTTGTCTTCTGCTAGCTTTCGAATTTGTTTGCTCTTGTTTCTCTAGTTCTTTTACTTGTGATGTTAGCGTGTCGATTTTAGATCTTTCCTGCTTTCTCTTGTAGGCATTTAGTGCTATAAATTTCCCTCTATACACTGCTTTAAATGTGTCCCAGAGATTCTTGTACGTTGTGTCTTTGTTCTCATTGGTTTCAAAGAACATCTTTATTTCTGCCTTCATTTCATTATTCACCCAGTAGTCATTCAGAAGCAGGTTGTTCAGTTTCCATTTAGTTGTGTGGTTTTGAGTGAGATTCTTAATCCTGAGTTCTAATTTGATTGTACTGTGGTCTGACAGGGGGTTTGTTGTGATTTCAGCTGGTAAAGTTTCCGCTAAGAAATATATTGTTAGTCTGATGAGGATCTCTTAAATGTGACTTGACACTTTTGCTATTTATAGAATTCTTTTTGTCTTTGACTTTTGATAGTTAGACAATAATATACCTCAAGGAAGACCCTTGTGCATTGAATATATAGGGGTATGTTTGAGCTTCCTGTATCTGGATGTCTATATCTCTTACAAGACTTGGGAAGTTTTCTGCTATTTTATTAAAAGGTTTGCTATGACATTGTGCATCTCTTCTCTTTCTGGAACACCCAAAATTCAAATATTTGGTTGCTTTATGGTGTCTCCTATGTTAAATAGGCTTTGTTCTTTGTTATTTTTTCTTTTTTATCTGAATATTTCAAAGATTTGCCTTCAAATTCAGAAATCAATTCTTCTGCTTTAATCTACTGATAAAACTCTTAATTGCAATTTTTATTTTATTCATTGAATGTTTTCTATTTCAGAATTTCTTTTGGTTCTTTCTTATGTTGTCTATTTTTGTTGAATTTCTAATTCAGAACAGGAATTTGTTTTCCTGATTCATGTGTACCATTTTTCCTTCTTCTCTTGTATCTCACTGAGTTTGTAATATCTTCATTTTGAATTCCTTTTCAGGTATTTCAAGATTTTTCTTTTCATTAAAATCTGTTGCTGGATAATTATTGTATTCCTTTGGAGGTGTCAAATTTTTCTGCTTTGTAAATGTTTCTCATGTTTTCAATTTGATATTTTCACATCTAATGCAATGGTTGCTTCTTTGGTTGTATGGATTGACTTTCATAGAAAAAGACATTTTTCTATACATGTATCTACAGTGTTAGTTTGGTATGGGTGCTTTGGCTTTGATTCTGTGTGGGCACAGTATTGTAGTTTCCATATGTGTATTGGCCTGCTCTCATGCTGCCAATAAAGACATACACAAAACTGGGTAATTTATAAAGAAAAGAGGTGTAACTGACTCACAGTTCATCATGGCTGGGGAGGCCTCAGAAAGCTTACAACCATGGCAGAAGGGGGAGCAAATATGTCCTTCTTTACATGGTGGCAGCAAGACATGCTGAGCAAAAGAAGGAAAACCTCCTTATCAAACCATCAGATCTCATGGGAACTCACTATCATGAGAACAGCATGAGAGTAACCTTCCCCATAATTAAATTACCTTGCACTGGTTCCCCCTCATGACACATGGGGATTATTGAAACTACAATTCAAGAGGTTATTTGGGTTGGGACACAGCCAAACCATATCATTCCATCCCTGGCCCCTCCCAAATCTCATGTCCTCACATTTTAAAACACAATTATGCATTTCCAACAGTCCCCCAAAGTCTTAATTCATTCCAGCATTAACTCAAAATTCCAAGTCCAAAGTCTCATCTGAGACCAGGCAAGTCCCTTCCACCTATGATCCTGTAAAATCTAAAGCAAGTTAGTTACTTCTTAGATACAATGGAAATACAGGCATTGAGTAAATACACCCATTCCAAATGGGAGAAATTGGCCAAAATGAAGGCACTGCAGGCCCCATCCCATTCTGAAATCCAATAGGGCAGTCATTAATCCTTAAAATTTTGAAATGCTCCACTTTTACTCCATGTCATACATCCAGGGCATGCTGATGCAAGAGGTGGGCTACCACAGCCTTGGGTAGCTCCACATCTGTGGCTTTGCAGGGTACAGCCTCCCCTACTGGCTAGTTTCACGGGCTGGCATAGAGTGCCTGCAGCCTTTCCAGGTGCACAGCACAAGCTTCCAGTGGATGGGGTCTGGAGGATGGTGGCCTTCTTCTCATGGCTGTACCAGGCAGTGCACCAGTGGGGCCTCTGGGTGGGGGCTCCAAACCCACATTTCCCTTCCACAGCAGAGGTTCTCCACGAGGGCTCTACCCCAGCTGCAAAATTCTGCCTGGACTTCCAGGCATTTCCACACATTGTCTGAAATCTAGGTAGAGGTTCACAGACCTAAATTCCTGACTTCTATGCACCCAGAGGCTCAACACCACGTGGAAGCCACCAAGGCTTGGGGCTTGCACTCTCTGAAGCAATGGCCTTAGCTGTACATTGGCTCCTTTTAACCACAGCTGGAGCTGAAGCAGCTAGGATGTAGGACAACCTGTCCCAAGGCTGCATAGAGCAAGGTGGCCCTGGGTTTGGTCCAGGAAACCATTTTTCCCTCCTAGGCCACCAGGCCTGTGATAGGAGAGGCTTCCATGAAGGTCTCGGACATGCCCTGGAGATATTTTCCCCATTGTCTTGGTGAATAACATTTGGCTCCTTGTTACTTATGTAAATTTCTGCCACAGGCTTGAATTTCTCCCCAGAAAATTGTTTTTTCTTTTCTATCACATAATAGGGTGCAAATTTTCCTAGCTATTATACTCTGCTTTCCTTTTAAACATAAGTTCCCATTTCAAAACATCTCCTTGTAATGCACAAAACTGAATGCTTTCAAAATAATCCAGGTCACATATTGAATGCTTTGCTGCTTAGAAATTTTTTCCACAAGATACCCTAAATCATCTCTCTCAAATTCAAAGTTCCACAGATCTCTAGGGCAAAGGCAAAATGCTACCAGCCTCTTTACTAAAACACAGATAGCAATATTGACCTTTACTCCACTTCTCATCCAGTTCCTTAACTTTATCTGAGACCACCTCAGCCTGGACTTCATTGTCCATATCAGTATGAACATTTTGGTCAAAGCCATTCAACAAGTCTCTGGGAAGTTCTTTTTTTTTTTTTTTTTGAGACGGAGTCTCGCTCTGTCGCCCAGGCCGGACTGCGGACTGCAGTGGCGCAATCTCGGCTCACTGCAAGCTCCGCTTCCCGGGTTCACGCCATTCTCCTGCCTCAGCCTCCTGAGTAGCTGGGACTACAGGCGCCCGCCACCGCACCCGGCTAATTTTTTGTATTTTTAGTAGATATGGGGTTTCACCTTGTTAGCCAGGATGGTCTCGATCTCCTGACCTCATGATCCACCCGCCTCGGCCTCCCAAAGTGCTGGGATTACAGGCGTGAGCCACCGCGCCCGGCCGTCTCTGGGAAGTTCTAAACTTTCCCACATCTTCCTGTTTTCTGAGGTCTCCAAGTATTTAGGAAGTCCCAAACTTTCCCACATTTTCCTGTCTTCTTCTATGCCCTCCAGACTATTCCAACCTCTGCCTGTAACCCATTTCCAAATGCACTTCCACATTTCCTGCTATCCTTATAGAAGCACCCTACCCTGCCAGTACCAATTTACTTTTTTTATCTGTTCTCATGCTGCCAATAAAGACATATCCAAGACTGGGTAATTTATAAAGGAAAGAAGCTTAATTGACTCACAGTTCAGCATGGCTGGGGAGGTCTCAGGAGACTACAATCATGGCAGAAGGGGAAAGAAACATGTCCTTCTTCACATGGCAGCAGCAAGGAGAAGTGCCGACCAAAAGGGGGAAAACTCTTATAAAACCATGAGATCTCATGAGAACTCAATCACTATCATGAGAACAGCATGAGGTAATTGTCCTCATAATAAAATTACCTCCTATTGGGTCCCTCCCATGACATGTGGGGATTATTGGAACTATAATTTAAGAAGAGATTTGGCTGGGGACACAGCCAAACTGTATCTATATTATTTCTTCAGCTATAATCAGTGTCAGTGATGTCTGAGTTTCTCATTGGCCTATGCTGTCATTGTTAGTTGAGGCTGTGGCAAGGCTTTGTTGGGATAGGGTAACCAAGTCAGTTTGTCTTGAGGCACCAGTAGTGGTGGTGGTGGTGGTGGTGGTGGTGGTGGGTTGGGCATAGCAGTTCTCGGGCCCCTGGGTACTATATATGGACACTGGTGGTCTGGACAAGCTGGTTTTGGGCATCCAGATAGCTTTCTCTAATCCTGGCAATGGCAGCAGTGGGAAGGGCAGGTGGGGGAAGTCCTTGGGCCCCTAGGTAGTGTACATGGTGTTGGTGGTGGCAGTGGCTGTGGTAGGTGAACCTTTGGACCCCCAAGTGGCAGATGTGGACATCAGCTGTGGTAGCAGTGGGCTGAGCCAGCCAGTCTATAGACTTCTAGGAGGTATGTGCAGGTGAAAATGGCAGGAGCATCATGCTCATCCTCAGGTATCTGGAAGGCATATGTGGACCCTGGTGGTGGCAGGTGGGGTGAGTCAATCCTCAGGCCCTTGGATGGCACATATGGGCACCAGCAGTAGTAGGTGTGGGCAAAGTCAGTCTCTCCTTAGGCCTCTGGATGATGTGTACAAACACGCACAGTTGTAGACAGTGTGGGTCAATACCCAAGCTCCTGGATTACATGTTTAGGCACTGCCAGCATGAGTTGGGAAGACCTGTCCTCAGGCCCCTGGATGGTTATGTGGGTGCTGATGGTGGTGGTCAAGGTGAGCCTGTCATCACACTTCTTGATGTTGTGCACAGGTGTCAGCAGTGGTAGGTGGGGTGAGTTGATCCCCACACCCCATAATGGCACATGCTGATGCCAATAGCAGCAGGTCTTGGAATGGTATGTGGGTTAGCCTGTCCCCAGGTACCCTGAAAATGTGTGTAGCTATGTGGCAGTCCTGCCACTAAAAGGGATGGTGTTGCTCTCATGGCAGCAATCTCAGGCAGGTGGCTCTTAGGGTCCAGGGAGCACATATTTCAGCTCCCTTTGTCCTGGACCCAGCCTCCCTGGTGCACTGCACTGTCCAGTCCCTGGGGAGAGGGTCTTTGTGTGTGCTAGATTGCTGGCAAACCAGCTGCACCGTTAGTTCCAGCTGCTGTCATGATGCTAGAGCTTTTTGGATAAATGTGGAAGGATGTGAATGGAGTTCTTGGCATGTGAAGGTGCAGGAACTGTTAAGAATCAAGAAAAAATACAGTCTGGTGGGGTATGGGCCCTCAAATGTCACCATAGTACAATTGTATGGGTCTTCAGTGGAGGTGTGTGACACAGTACAGACTCACTCTTTGGAAAATTGTCATTGAGTGGACCCTAGGCAGTTCCCTATACTAGTATCAGGATTTGCAAGGGTGAAGAGGCTCTCCTATAGCTAGGGCTGCAGGCACTCATGATGGGAATGTGCAACACTGGGGATCTCTCACTTACCTTTTCCCCACAATAGGGAGCTCCTCCTGGCTACAAGCTGATCCTGGCTTAGGTAGCTGCTTCCTGCTTTGCTTACCTCTCTTTCCTTGACTCAGATGGTCCCTGTCACTTTACTGCTGAATTTCAATGTTCTCTCTTAGAAACTTTATTCTGCATGTGGTTATTTAATTGCTGTTTTTGGTCCTTTCATTGTAGAGAAGATGACTGCCAGGCACCTCTAGCCAGCAATCTTTCACCAAGAGATTTATTTAATCATATGATATGAATGTAATTCATTATCTACACAGTTGGGTATTTTTAGAAAGATAAATAGATTGGAGTAGAGAAAAATTTTGCATACAATGTGTTCCAAAGTCAAAAAAGGTGATCTGGTTTTTTTTCCGGATTACTGTTCCTCTCCACTAAGGCTGTTGATTGAGGTTTGTGATTAATTATTTAATAAGTTAAGACTGAAGGTAATTTATATTTATTTCATCTGCATAGAGTATTACACTCTAGCAAAATGAAATTATTTAACACAACAAAAGAGAAACAATGTATTTAAAATAACATAACTGGAAATACCTAGAAATACTAATGCTTTATATATCATCACTGTCACATTATCTTGACTATAATGGAAAAATAGAAAATCATTTAAATACCTCCACAAGCAATGAAATGGCAGATGGCAGCCTTGGGCTAGGTCTGGAGAAAAGAAAATTCTACTTGTCTTATGCGTCTGGCTTTTCCCAACCCCATGACCTCCCCTAATCCTACACAATGTACAAGCAAAGAAGCTAACTACCATCACAATTCCATATCTTATCTATTGTGACTTTCTGAGGGGAATTATTTCTCCCTCTCTATTTGACTGACTGAGAAATTAATGAAACGTGGTTATAAAAATGAAATGTCATTATACAATGGAAATTTCATGGAAGAAAATTTCATTGGTTTTAAGACTCATAGAGGCAAACATCACAGTGAAATATGAACATAAGGTATAAATCCAGCTTGCCTTGTGAAGCTGCAATGTTGGAAAACTTTAACAACGATCTGTAAACATGGTGCTTACTTACTATCTACTACACCCTCCTTTGGCAATAAGTTAACCCACCTTCATCACTACCACTAATGTACTGCATCTCTCTGTATTCTCTGTCCCTTCAAGACTATTGTCTTTGTGAATGAGTGGTGCTCATGAGTTCTTGGGTTATTCTACCCCAAATAACCTCATTGTCTTTAAGCAGTGGCCTCCTGGAGATGGTGCCATAACCTCCTTCAAGAGAATTTAATAGAAATTTCAAGTATAATGGCAGACTGGTGAATTCCATTACATCAAATGGAAATGCTGAAGAAAGGTTCAGCCCATTCTTTCTCATCCTTTCTTCACTTTCTTTTCCATAGCATATATTGGTTATATGTGAATAAAAATCTAATTCATGTTCATTGTTGAAAACCTGGAAAGCATAGAAAAGCTAAAAGAGATAATTAAAATCAATAAATCATATCAATATTTAATATTACAGAGTATTACCTGGTCTTTTATTCCACATGTATTTGTATACATGAATATATTTATTCAAAACTATAACTATAAGCTGCATATTGTTTTGTGATCTGATTTTTTTCAAGTAACAATATAACAGGGATGTTTTTTATGGATGATTAACAATTTTTCTGCAGCATAGCTTTTCTCTTTACTTGGCACCTTCTTCAAGCCAATGGGCTTAACTAGGCATTCAAGCTGGCACATATAAAAGATGTATTGATGTATTAGTCCATTCTCACATTGCTGTAATGAACTACCTGACACTTGGTAGTTCATAAAGAAGAGTTTTAATTCACTCACAGTTCTGCATGCTGTACAGGAAGCATGGCTGGGGAGGCCTCAGAAAACTTACAATCATGGTGGAAGAGGAAGCAAGCACATATTCACATGACCAGCAGGAGAAAGAGAGCAAAGGGGGAAGTTCTACACACTTTTAAACAACCAGATATTGTGACAACTCACTCACTATCTCAAGAACAGCAAGGGGAAAATTTGCCCCCATGATTCAGTCACCTCCCACTAGGTTCCTCCCCAACATTGGGAATTACAATTCAACATGAGATTTGGGAGGGAACACAGAGCCAAACCCTATCATTCCACCCCTGATCACTCACAATTCACAGTTCCCTCTCACGTTTCAAACACAATCATGCCTTCCCAACAGTCCCCAAAAGTCTCAACTAATTCTAGCATAGGGTAGTCATTAAATCTTAGAGTTCAAAAATAATCTCATTTTACTTCACGTCTGACATCCATGCCATGCTGATGCAAGGGGTGGGCTTTCAAGGCCATGGGAAGCTCTGTCCCTGTGGCCTTGCTGGGTACAGCCCTGCAACTGCTTTCACAGGCTGGCATTGAGTGCCTACATCTTTTCTAGGTGCACAGTGCAGATTGTTGTTGGATCTACCATTCTGGGGTCTAGAGGACAGTGGCCTTCTTCTCACAGCTCCACTAGGCAGTGCCCCAGTGGGACTCTGTGTGTGGGCTCCAAACCCACATTTCTCCTCTGCACTGCCTTAATAGAGGTTCTTCATGAGGGCTCTGCCCTGCAGCAAACTTCTGCCTGGACACCTAGGCATTTCTATACATCCTCTGAAATCTAGGTGGAGGCTCCCAAGCCTCAACTCTTGCCTTCTGCACACCCGCAGGTCCAACACTATGTGAAAGCTGCCAAGTCTTGGGGCCTGCACCTTCTGAAGCAATGCCCTGAGCTGTACCTTGACTCCTTCTAGCCACACTTGCAGCTGGGGCAGCTGGGATGTGGAGTGTTACGTCCTGAGGCTGCACAGAGCATCAGGACCCTGGGCCTGGTCCAGGAATCCATTTTTTTCCTCCTAGGCCTCCAGGCCTATGATGCAAGAGGCTGCCACAAAGGCTTCTGAAATGCTCTAGAGGCATTTTCCCCATTGTCTTGAATATTAAAATTTGGCTCTACTTAACTTATGCAAATTTCTGCAGCAGGTGGCTTGAATTCCTCCCCCAGAAAATGGGTTTTTCTTTTCTACCGCATTGTTGGGCTGCAAATTTTCCAAACTTTTATGCTCTGCTTTCCTTTTAAATATAAGTTCCAATTTCAGACCACCTCTTTGCAAACACATGATTGTCAGAAGCAGCCAGGCTACATCTTGAATGCTCTGCTGCTTAGAAATTTCTTCCACC
This sequence comes from Homo sapiens, assembly GCF_000001405.40. Lineage (NCBI taxonomy): Eukaryota > Metazoa > Chordata > Mammalia > Primates > Hominidae > Homo > Homo sapiens. Next base: position 128,455,458 of record NC_000023.11, read on the forward strand.
AAATACTCCAAATCATCTTTCTCAAGTTTAAAATTTCACAGATCTCTAGAGCAGTCTCTATGCTAAAGCATAGCAAGAGTGACCTTTACTCCCGTTCCCAATAAGTTCTTCATCTCCATGTGAGACCACCTTAGCCTGGACTTCACTGTCCATATTACTAGCAGCATTTTAGTCACAACTATTCAACAAGTCTCTAGGAAGTTCCAGACTTTCCTTTATCTTCCTGTCTTTTTCAGATCCCTCCAAACTGTTTCCACTCTGATCATTACCCATTTCCAAAGTCACTTATACGTTTTCAGGTAACTTTATAAAAATGCCCCACTGCAGGAACCGATTTTCTGTATTAGTCTGTTCTCACGTTGCTGTAAAGGACTACTTGAGACTGGGTAGTTTACAAAGAAAGGAGGTTTAATTGACTCACAGTTCCACAGGCTGTACAGGAAGCATGGCTGGAGAAACCTCAGGAAACTGATAATCATGGCAGAAAGTGAAGGGGAAGCAAACACATCTTCACATGGCCAGCATGAGAGAGAGAGAGCAAAGGGAGAAGTGCTAAACACTTTTTAACAACCAGATCACATGAGAATTCATTCACTATCACAAGAAAAACAAGGGACAAATCCGCCCCCATGATCCAGTCACCTCCCACCAGGTCCCTCCCCCAAAACTGGGAATTATAATTTGACATGAAATTTGAGTTGGGACACAGAGCCAAACCATATCATTTGGTATGTGTATATCTCATTCCTTTTATATTGTCTGATTTTGTGGCTTTTCAACTGTCAAAGTTTTAGAGAAGGGACCCTCTTCCTGTATTTTGCTCTTAGAAATTCCAACTGGCAAAGATGACTGGCTTTAGTAGTAGAGAGACTTGTGTTGTCATTAAGCCATTTGAAAACAAAAAATAATGGAAAATTAACATTTTTATCATTCATTCAGCTCTAGGATCCTCCTCATTTTTGGCTTAAAAAGAAGGGACAGAGGCACAGAATATCGGTATTAGGATGGGTCTTAGCAATTTTGAAATCCAACTCAGAGAATTTTTCATGTATTGAAAGCAATGCTCAGTAAGGTATTCCATGTTGCTCAAAGTCATACAGCATGTTAGGATCAGAGCTAATATTAGAACTCAGTATTTCTCACTCCCTAAAATTCAGTGCTTTTAAAATATATCCTACTGCTATATTGTCACCATAGGCTCTGGGTTTTATTAATAGCAGATAACAAAAAGCAGCATGGGACTTTATTTGGACTGGTCTAGTCCTTGAGGATAAAGGGGAAAAAGCCCCACTTTGATCTTCCTGTTTTCTAACGGCAACGAGAACCAAAACCAGCCACACTTACATTCTGCTAAGACTAGAACACTGTCTAAAATGAAATGGGTTTGATATTCCACTGTATTTCCACTGTATTCATTAGCACTTTTTTATTCTTTTGAGAATGTCTTACCCAAACAAATAGTTTGATTGTTCATTATAGGACCTTCCTGAAAGATACATCAACTCTTCAATGGAAAACATTAACAGAAAATTTCACTATAAGATTCTTTCAATCCCTGATCCCCAAATCCTCACCTTGCTATTTTCACCTATCTTGGGCTGTTGTATTATGATGTTTGCCATTCCTAATCAAGTTCCTATATTGAAAGACACATCTTAAACCACACCTTTAATTCTCAATAAATTCTGATCCTTTCTTCCTCTCATCTGAGACACTGCTGCAGCTTTGCAGAGGCGGTAGTCTCCCTTCCTGTGGGTAACAATCAAATCAGCTTTGTCTTATCAACACGTTGTGTTAGCGATGGAGCCAATTTCTTAACAGCAACTTTAGAGCTGTGGAAAGGACATCAGGATATCTTTTCACAGGGGGTATCTGTGTCTGTAAAGTTCTTAATGTCACCACATAGCATTTACAAGAGCGGTACGGGGTGACAAAGACTCTCTCCTTGACCAAATTTTAGCAAGGCTTCTTTGAGCCCCTTTCTTAACTACACACTAACGTTGCCTCTCCTTCACCCACGCTGTCCTGTACTTGTCAGCCCTACATTAACCAGTTTTTGCAAGAATCCTGCAAAGTTAGTTTGGAGAAAATCTCCCATCCTTGATGTTTCCTCTTAGTAATTTTCCATACACTGATTTCCTCACTCTGCTCATTGGCTATAAATCTCTAGTTATCTTTGCAGTATTCAGAGGTGTTAAGCCCACTCTCTCTCTCCTATTGCAATAGTCTTAAATTGCAATTGTACTAGACCTATTGTAATAGTCCTAAATAATGTCTCCCTTACTGTTTTAACAAGCACCAGAATAATTTTTTCTTTAACAAGCGGCAGGATGCTAATGCAACAGCATTGTCTTAAGAATTTCAAGGGAGGCTGGCTGCACAGGGATGTTGTTCTGGCTTCTGTGGTATGGGCTATCCTTTTAGTGATAGAGGATCCTGTTTCAACTTGTCCAGCATGGCACTGCCAGAGAAAAAGGGCAATCTCATCCTGAACACTAGACAAAAGCTATAAAGTACTAGAAAAGGACAAAAGGAATGTTTATTCCTTCGACAGCCAGTACCAAAGAATGCTCATTTTTAGCACTCTGGCTTGTGGAATCAAACTTGAGACAAAACAGTAATGCTATTTTCTCGTCCTTGAGTGACTGTCAGATGCATTATTCTGGGTTGGGCTGCTGTTGCCAATATACTGAGTTATTACCTGTCTCCGGGATACCAGGCATATTTTAACACATTCTAAGACCAGAAATTTTTCTCTTGATTGAACAGCAAAGCCCATGAGACCACTGACAGGCTTCAGGATCAGGGGCAAGAGTGAGTGAGGCGAGTCTTAATGGTAAGGAGAAATAACAACAAATTTCTTTCAAAGCAATCAGCTATACTGGCATCTGCTGTGAAAAACATGCAAAAAAGACCTGTTTCAGTGTGTTTTTTCTTTCTTTTTTTTCCCCGTGCTGAAGAAACTCCCATGGACTGGGAAAAATATGATACGGTGTGAATGAATGAATGTGAATTAATCCTCCATAGGTGGTGAATACCCTAAGCTTCATTACTCAGAGGAGAGTCTAAGTTAGTATATCATTCCCCACACCCTCACCCAATAAATAGACACACTGAAAATTAAGGATAGTTGACTTTGCCAAACTTCCTCTGTAGACTACTTATTTAATCACTATCTCAGCAGGTCACTATCCCTACACTTGCTATAGCCAGACTTAGAAGACAGTTTGAGAATGCTGAACTTCTAAATGGGCCCGAATCCTGATGCCTCTGTTTCTTCATTTGGAAATTGGTACAATACCTGACTCATATTTTTTGTGTATGTGAAGATTAAATAAAATAACATAAGCAAGTCCCATAACACATGGGTACAAAATGGAAGTTATTAAAATAATAGTCTCCTCTTATTTACCCACTCTTAAGAGAGTGAGCATAAGACTATTTCCCCAAACTAATTAAATATATTATCTATTATCTATGCACTGTAAATTGAACATAATCACACTTTTTTTTTACCAGTGTGTAAAACATGCCTTTGGAGCAGAAACACCTACTTCTAGCAAAACAGATGGAATCCTGAAAGCATTTTCAACTTGCATCACTCCAATGCCATCTGAGTCTATCCCACAGAGATGAACATCGCATTAGTCATCTTGCAATGGTGTGGAGCTCACATATAACCTTCCATGAATCATAAGAAGAGAAAATCTCTCTCAAAAGTTTTATCCAGAATAAAATATTAAAATGTCGACTCAAATTTCCTTATTGCATTTTTCCCTTACCAACTTTCTCCCTTCCCCACTGCATGACCAATTGTGGCTAGGCATTGCTGAGGACTCTTCTCTACCACCCACCCCCCACAAAAATTCCTAATATTATTTTTAATACAGCTATCTTTAAATGAAGGCATTAAAATTACCCTCTGAATCAGAAGTAAGAACATACATTTTCACCTCTAAATTAACAATACTTTAACAGATTTTGATTATTTGGGGGTTCAAACAAAGCAGCAAAATTTTAAAAATCATCTACCATGTGATGTTTGATGCCAAGCTTGGGCCATAAGGTATTTGAAACAGTTGAAGTAGTAAATTTAAGGTAAATACTATTTATGATGGAAACAGTCACAGGCACTTTAATATAACACTATCAATAGGACTGAGCTCTGGGAGTGTAAAAATGGTAGGTGGTATAGAAAGCATTAAGACTTATAAGTCTGTGTGTACTTGAGAGATGGGGATGGGGGTGTACTCACAGTGGTTCAAATTTACTAATACTGCGAGAGGATATTTTAAAGAGGAGAAAGCTGTTGGGAAACATTTTTTAATGGTACAGAAGGAGTAAGTTCCACATACCACTGTGGAGCCTACTCCTTCCTTCTCCCTTACTCTAATTTCTGCAGCATCTCTCCCTTGTCTACTCTTCACCTCTTGCAGTCCTCCGAGGGAATCTAGTAAGCCAAGAGTTATTTTTACAATTGTTCCTAAAGGTGAAATGATGAGCATAATTAAGTCCCTCACTTCCCCCTTCCTCCTCCCTATTTCTTCATTTTATATAGTCTTCCAAATACTAATTAGATAATCTGAGAATTAAATCTTCCAATTTCTACCTAAGGTCTTTTCTCATAGCAAATCCCCAGGAGAAGGGAAAGGTTTTCTTTTCCTTGTAATTTTTGAACAATCACTGATTAGTCAGGCTTGGCAGCTGTTAAAAAATCTCGCTGTAGCCTGAACCTTCCTATTGATTAGCTGATACACGGCCTAAGAGCTGGCTGGGCTGATTGCTTTATCACTAAAGCATTGGAGAAGATTAGTTAGGCATCGTTATAAACTCCTATTTATCTAGAACTCAAATCACCAGAAAGTTCAAAGAGTCAGAATTATTTCTAGGTGTTGTACAAAAGAAGTAAGTGCAAGGCAGGAGCCCAAAGTGTTGGCTGAATAGCCTATTTCTGCCTCCCTTTCTTCCTCCCTCTTTTCTTACAATGGGTATTAACTGAGTGCTTACTATGTTTCAGAGCACTGAACTAGGTTTGAGGGATAGGAAGATCCATAAGGTATTGTCCCTGCACTTGAGGAGACTGACATTAAAAATATATTAATAAACACAATTAACTAAATATAGTCATACAAAGTTGCACATGCGGCTGTGGCAATGCAGAGGAGATAGCATGCTTTTACTCAATTGAACTATTAGAATCATTTGATTGAACTCCCATCTTTGGAAAATAGGTGATAAGTGTATCATATGGAAATGAGTGCTGGTGTGGGAGCTAACTATGACTGGTTTTATAGTCTGACTCTGATATGTACTAGTTGTATGAACCAAGCTGTCACTCAATTTTTCTGAAAGTCATTTATCATTTCTGAGCTTTGTTTTCATCTTCTGCCATTTGCAACTCGTAATACTTCACGTGTGTTGTCTTTCTGGTTTCTTATAAGGGCAGTAATATTTATCTCTACAAAAGAAGAAATCGCAGTCCACAATAAGTTAGTGACTTGCCTAAGTACATCCAGCTGATTTGTAGCAGATTGGCTGATGCCAAGTGCACCGTTCTTTCCCTGCCTTTTCTCGTCTAACCCATAGAGGTCACTAAATTACACTTAGCAAGAACGCAGACATCCTTTTAATAAGATTTTCAACCCTGAGAGGTAAAACTCATGGGATTTCTGTTTATGAGACTATCTCATTAAATAGCATCCCTTAATCAATGGAAACCCTTTCCCATGATACACTCAAACCTTGGTCCTTCTGGTTAATTGAATTAGTGATATATTTAGTATGATCTTTATAACTTTAAAGCAGAACTTTCAGTTCTATCTTTGGTCTATAAGCCCAGGCAGTGCACAAAGCCTGTTAGCCAGAGGTTTGGCAGACAATTGTATCAGCCACGCGTTGCTCTCTGCCTTTCACTGTGCCTGAAAGAAATTGAATGGGAGATACCTGGAGTTTCTTTGATCACCTTGTCTCCTAATGTCTAGCAGCTGACTACCTACTTGGAAAGTGAAAAGTCAGAAAAAAAGCTGCCTTAATTTTTATGTACCATACCCCTAAGCTTAAGAACAGACTAAAACCTGAAATAAAACTCCTTAGAAATGTTATTGTATCAGAAACCAAACAGTATCTTAATATTGGTAAAATGATAGCTATAATTTTAGTTTAGTGGGCTGGAATGAGGAACACCTGATTTGCCTCTAATAATCCTGGCATTTGGGAATAGTGATAAATGACTGAAAGTTATTAGACGTGTCCTGCAAAATGGTGCTGGTAGGTGGGAACTTGAAGTTTGTCATTCGTTAAATGGAACTGACTTCCCCAATTGGACCTAATTATGACAGCCATGATAAATAGCCTTTCTGTGTTGGCATGTTTATTTTTCAGGAGCCTGAACAGGGAAATTGGTTTTATGTATTTGTGTAGGTGGGAATAATTACAATTTTTATCATTTTTTATAACAAATTTATCACCTGATAATCCGAAGGTAAGATCAAACTGCAAAAGCAGATAACTTTACAGTCTCCTAAGCATTTGGGTGTTTGTTAAGCAAGGAGAATATTAATCAGAAATTGAAAGAGAAGTTTATCTTCTTTTATATTCACTATGATTATTCACTAGGTAAACCTCTCTCTAGCGGTCAAATGAGTATATTCTTTGCTTTATACTTAACAACTTCATATTTACCAATAGGGTTCATCAGGACACAGACAGAGGGGAGAGAGAGGGAACAGGTTTTGGTTTTCAATAAATTTTTCTCCATTTGGTTAAAGGAACTTGCAAGTTCATTTATCAGTGCTTTCAAGTTTTTCATTCTCACTAAATGGAAAAAATGAATTCCTTGGAGATGTCTATTAAATATGGCAACAAGTCTTCACTCCAGTCTTTGATTGATTAATAGTTTAGTGTTAATGATAGAACGATAGCTAGATAATAGATATATAAAGAGATAGATGATAGATAGATAGAATCACTTAAAACTTATTGAATAGGCCAAGTATTATGATAACACATTGACTCAAGAGACCTAGGAGATACGTAAAATCCCCACTTTATAGAGTAGTAAAGAGATCCTAGGAGGGTTACTGTTTTTGATTATATGTCTAACTACAGGATTTTGCTGTTTTGCAGGGTTTGTTCTATACTTATGAAGGTCCCAAGATTATAAGGACCAAAAAGTAACATGATTATAAATCTTAGTTATTTAAAGAGTATAAGTTGACATCCCTTTGTCACAGAAAGTTTCACGCACCAAGATCCATCAGGAACTATAAAATGTTTGTTGTAGAATCTGGCACTGTACATACCCACTAAGGCAAGGCAGATATGGAAGAGTCTGAGATGACAGTAGAAATTTAGACTGTTGGTCAAGGCATGTTGTCTCCAAGGTAAAATAGTTTTCGATTAGGATATAGGAAAATAGAACTATGTGGCGTTCTGAGAAGAGTGAAATTCCCAGCAGGTGGTAAAGCCTAGAGATGCAGACTCTAGATGGGCAATTTCCACGTTCAGTGTTTTAGTCATATCTCATTTAATGATCAGAAGCAGGAAGTCATGAAATCTAGCTTAAGTATAAATCAAAATAAGAGTTACGTTGAGGCCGGGCGCGGTGGCTCACGCCTGTAATCCCAGCACTTTGGGAGACCGAGGCGGGCGGATCACGAGGTCAGGAGATCGAGACCATCCTGGCTAACACGGTGAAACCCCGTCTCTATTAAAAATACAAAAAATTAGCCAGGCGTGGTGGCGGGCGCCTGTAGTCCCAGCTACTCGGGAGGCTGAGGCAGGAGAATGGCGTGAACCTGGGAGGCGGAGCTTGCAGTGAGCCGAGATGGCGCCACTGCACTCCAGCCTGGGCGACAGAGGGAGACTCCGTCTCAGAAGGAAAAAAAAAAAAAAAGAGTTACGTTGAAAGATTATGCTTCATTCTATTCTCTAGTGACTGACTTACTCTATTTGTTGTGTGCTGTGACTCATGCATTTTTATTAATAATTTTAAAATCAATACTTGAAGTAAAACTGAAGACATCACAAAACATCTGTTTCACAATACCCCTCTTCCACCTCCCCAAGTCCAAAAAAAGTTTGATAAATTTTGAATAAATCATATCCTGACCTATTTTTCATTGCTCATTTATTCATTTATGCATTTATGCATTAATCCAACCAATATTAATGTAATAATTATTTTTTCTCAGGCATTGTGATAGATTGTAGGTATGTGGTTGTAAACTATACACACATATTATCTGCCTTCATGGAGTTTATAGCTGAGTGAGAAAACAAAGTATATGTAAATAAACAATTGAAAATACATACAAATTCATTTTGTGCTAAGCAAATAAAAGGATAAAATAGTGCAATTTTGAAATCAGCATTATAGAATTTACTTCATTATTATTATTTTTCTTTCCAACTTGTATTTTAGGTCTAGGGAGTACATCTGCAAGATTTGTACATAGGTAAAATAGTGTGTCACAGAGGTTTGGTGTACAGATTATTTCATCTCACAGGTAATAAGCATAAAACCCACTAGGTAGTTTTTTAAATCCTCACTGTCTTTCCACCCTCCACCCTCAAGTACATGCTGGTGTCTGTTGATCCCTTCTTTATGTCCAGAGTCTAAGTTAGAATATCATTCCCCTCACCCTCACCCAATACACAGACACACTGAAAATTAAGGATAGTTGGCTTTGCCAAACTTCCTCCGTAGACTACTTAGTTAATCATTATCTCTGCAGGTCACTATCCCTACACTTGCTAAAGCCAGACTTAGAAGACTGTTTGAGAATGCAGAACTTCTAAACGGGCCCGACTCCTAATGCCTCTGTTTCTTCATCTGGAAATTGGTGCAATGCCTGACTCATATTTTCTGTGTATGACTCAGTCTCCAGCACGTCTTTATTAGCAGCATGAGAACAGACTAAGACAATCATCTTTGTACTGGTTCTGTCTCATCTGTGCAGGTTCATATTTCTTTAATCTTTGAAGTCTCTGGCCTCTTGGTAGAGCCTTTTCCTTTAACATTCTTTGATGTCCTTGAGGTTACGACTGTGGTAAAAAATTGGGTTTAATCGACTGGATTCATTTATGAACAATTTCACGTGGCCAAAGCTCAGCTCAGCACTCCTGGGCTGCATGTTCTAATCCTGGCAGGCTGAGCCATGTTCACAGCTTTGTTCTCTGGCCCCTCTACATTAAGCACCTGCTTCATTGGAGGGGCCAAGGTGTTCCCCAACTGCTGGCAACAACACTTTGATGGGGAATGCCAGCAAAAGTGATTTTTTAGGGTGGTGACAGCAGGGTGCACACTCACATGTGGTGCACTGCCAGTGACAGGGTGGTGGTGGTGGTGCGGTGGGATCTGTGAACATGCATACCAGTGCTGGCAGGAAGGCACCACAGCGGGATCCATGCATGCGCATGGTGACGGTATGACAGGGCGACAATACAGTGGGGGTCCACACGTGCGTGACTGTGTCAGTGGGAGTAGTGCAGCAGAGTCAGTGTTCATGGTTTATTTTCTCATAATATCTGTGGTATTATCTGAATGTTGATCTCTCCCTAAAATTCATATATTGAAACCTAATCACTAATGCTATGGTATTAAGAGATGGAACCTTTGGGAAATGATTAGGTCATAAGGGCTCTACCCTCATGAATGGGATTAGTGCCCTTATAAAAGAGGCTTGAGGGCCTTTTTTCTCTCTGCTGCCATGTGAGGATACATCAAGAAGGTGCCATCTATGAGGAACAGGTCTTCACCAGACATCAAATGTGCCAGTGCCCTGATTTTTTACTTCCCAGCCTCCAGAACTTTGAGCAATACATTTCTGTTGTTTGTCAATTACCCAGTCTAAGGTAATTTGTTATAGCAGCAAGAATTTAACTCACACATTTTGCTTTCTCTTAACTCAGCTCCCACATGTCTCAGATGACTCTGTCACAACTTCTTACGACTTGTGTGGGCCCCATACTCTCTTGTGATCACAGTTACTATCTCTTCTTTCAAATTTTCAAGAAAAAGTTACTTTCTATCTACCTAATGGATTCACTGACCCTTAATCAGGTGCATTTTCCTTTCAAATCAGCTATGGTCTATATCACATGGCCGATTTACAACTTGTTAAGTCTCCAGGTATGAGGAAACTCTCTGAGAAGGTGGTATGAACAGGCTAGGTAAATCATTATGTATACGATATGTATGCATGTGATCAGTGGTTATCTGGGTGCAGGGCATCAGGCACAGTACTGAAAAAATGGAAACTAGGAAAACAAATGAAGACGTTAGCCCTTGAGGAAGAACTAGGGAAAAAGAAGAACATGGTCCAATGCTGGACCTATGGATCAGTGCAAAAATGGAGGAGAATTCAGCCTTTGGAAGTCAAAAAAGGAATTTCCTTATCAGAACAAAGGTGTGTGTTAGAGGTGCAATGATGGCATTGAAAGGGTAGAAAAAAACAGTGAGCATAAACTCAGGAACTACATAATAATTTATTGGTCAAAACCAGGAAAAAGCCTGTCAAAGGCTGTAAGTATACATTACTGACATACACATACCCTTCTGCACTCACCAGCAATGAAGCTGGAATTTTTTAAGTTAGAGATAGCAAATATATAGCTCATGTACTCTTTCTTCCCATGCCTATTACAACCATGAATAATTGATCATAACAACTGGTCCTGGATACCACTACATAAGCCTTCTCAAAAAGTTGTCAAAGTATTTACTGCCAATCTACCAGTGGGATTAAAATAATTGGCTATTACTGGATTTAGCTCTTCTTATGCTGTTTTTGGGTCAAAGCTTTTACTATAGGTAGAGAGATTAGTGAACCAAGCTCTGGACAAATCGAGGCAAAGAAAGGCAACGCAAATGAGGTGAATAGGTTAAGACGGAGAGGAAAACAACATATATGTATTATGCTATGTCACTTTGTCCTCTTTTTATTCATTCTAACCCACTGCAGATATTGGTATGGCATGTGATGGAATGGGCACACATTTTGGAATTAGATATAAATGGAAATATAGATTCCATAATTTACAAGCCTTGGGACCTTAGAAAAATTATTCCAATTTTTTGGTATCAGTTAATTTATCTGTAAAGTGAGAATACTCAGACCTACCACACAGGATTGACAGGATGATTATACTATGTAATATATTTGCAAGCATGATGCCTGGAATATGGGTGGTCCTTGATCAACTCTAAATAAGAAAAAAATGCAAAATAAATTAAAACTATCAAGCACAAGCAAAAATGTTGGTGTTCATCATTCTTTCTGTCTCTGAGATCTTGTGAGTACCCAGAAAACAGTGGATAAAGCAGCACAGAGCCCAGAAAAGACATTATCATAGGTTGATTTGATCTTACCCAAGCTCAGTTCTAAAACTAAGAAAAAGCTGGAGGATGTGAATCCCATCTCACATTTACAGGTGATGCCTGTGATCCCTGGATTTAACTCTAGCCTAGATTGGGAACAGACTCTATGTTGCCTCTGAAATTTCCCGGAAATATATTATTTTAGATGTTGGGGATCCCCAACTGATCTTGACGTCATACAATAGCACGCTTCACTAATGGCTGAGAAAGAAAAGCTGCAGGTATCCACCCTGCTTCCACAGGAAAAAATAAAAATCATATCAACTTCCACATTTCTGCCTCAAGTAAGTGGCACCCAGAGGCTGACTGTTGTACAATCACTTTTGCACCTTGAGTGTAACATAAGACTGTGCTTTTCCAGACACGTTTCTCAGGTTGCCCACAGGACCACAAGGTCAAAACTATTTTTTTCCAAAAGGTACCTGGAAAGTCTTATTTCACTGTGTTTCCAAGAGAGAAAGTAGCTTACTAGTATGCCGCTGTAATAAATTGGGAATCCTTCAATGCTCTTCAGAAGCTAATGGGACAGGATACTGCGTTTGCATTAAAGATCATATTAGTTAAAGTCTCAGCTATTTGCAATGCATTTTAATGATTTCCTCTTTATTTGATGAGGCTCATTCTGCATGCCAAATAATCCTTGATTTTTTCTTGGTGTTGTAGGAGAGTCACAAAAATTCTGAAATAGCCAATAATATTAATTCATTCATATTTTGCTTTGAGACGTATGATATTTTTACATATATTTTTTGTTTGCTGCTGCTTTACCTCATGGGATTTTACTTGGCTTAATAATAACATGAGTTTATTTGCTAATGAGAGTCATGGGGTTACAAGACTCAGAATGCTGGAATTGGGACATTCTAAATTAGCTGTAGCTAATCCACAGAATGAACAAGACACGTGGAAGCAGTTGAGAGGTAATAGTATTCACAAGAGGATGTGTGGAGGACAATAAATAAGCCTTCCATCTTGTGCGAATACTTTCTGATCCCTCATTTTGGGTTGCCCAAAAAGAATCTTCATTTAGATGTCATTCATTTTCAAGAATAATTCTCGGCCTTTTTTTTTGCCATATTTCTGGAACTGCCCTGTTTGGGATCAGGGAGCATTTAGTAAGATTCTCTGCTATTTCCCTTTTGAATGCTTCTTCCTGCCTTACTTCACCCTCTTACCAACTCAGTCCAGTTGGCCCTTCCAAGTGAGACAAATGATCTCAGAAAATGTTCTGTGCTTTATTGAGAAGGTTGCTAAATAATATAGGACATAGAAGACCTGAAGCCATATGAAGTGAGGACTTCATTGCTAAGCTACACACAGTGACTGCACTCCAGCCTTTTTACTGGCTGGAGTGCAGCCACTGTATGAAGCTTAGCCACTGTTTCAGACAGAAACAGCCTTTTCATAAAGATTCTTAAACAGAACAGATTTTGGTTTCTTTCTCATTATAATCTGCTATATAAGAATTCCTTCCAAGTCTACCCACTATGCCCCTAACCCCTCCTGCATAGTATCCAGATCAAAGACATAACACTTAATCTTACCCAGGTCATTGCTTTTCACACCAGGAGTTCCTTCAACTCAGTACAATTCAACTTCACTAAATTCCTGCCTTAACACATAGCTTAAACGGACCATAAGATTTCTTTCCCTTCGCATCACGTCCCAGCACCCCAGGCCCTCTTTCTTCCCATGTATACTGCTGGGATTCGCTCTCACTCTGGAAAAATGAATAGTTTAATACAAGGTCTATTCTTACAATGTGAAGTTGGGGTGGAGGTTAGTCTGTAATGTATATCCTTGTTGCTAAGGATGGGCCCTCACTTTGACTAACTGTTGGACAATTTATCACCCAAAGTCATGGGTCAATGTTAAATTAGAAAGTCAGTCTTTTCTCCTTTATATAATTTTAGTCTCATGGATAAGACACAAACATTTTCATGGTGCATATACTATCTGTATCTCATCATTAGCTGATTAAGAAAATTTCAAATTCCTATTTATGTTCTAGTAGAATTAATTAGAGCTCAAGCCTGGGAGGTACAGTAGTAAAGGAGTACACAGAGCCAATCTCTGCAAGGAATCAGGAAGAAATTGTGCTGGGGTTTTCTCCATCAGCCCTTTCCTCCTTTTCCTTTGACTTTTCTCATGCCACTGCCCATTTCTTATATCTTTTTCTCTTGCACAGATGCAGTGTCTCCTGCAGTACTGTTCTTGTGTCCTTGGTTGAATCTCTTCATTTTCCATACTGCTTCTCAGCATTCCAACCCAGCTACTATTAAGTGTTGAGACTGCCTTGACATCAGACCTAAGCAAGCCTAGATCACAGATCAATTCTTGGAAAATAGGTTAAGGATCACCTACTCACAGATAACCACAGCCCATCACATTCACACTTGGCCTCTCACTCATTCTTTTATGTGAATATGTGTAAGTGTATGTATGTTTGCACGCCTGATCTGTCCTATATTCTAAAGTGGAGGAGTACAGTATAGTAAGGTGGTATAGCACAGTGGCTAACAATGTGGGTTTTTGAGTCAGGCAGACAAGAATTTGCATAATGGTGTTGAAGTTTCTAGTGATGCAAAAGTAGAGAAGTTACTTAAACTCTCCTCTGAAAATGGGGAAAATAATGATATACCATTATCACAAAAGGCTTTGACAGAAGCCTTTTGTCACATATACCTTTCTTATACCATCACAGATTCATGCTCACCCAACACATTAACAACAACCAGGCAAAAGAACAAAATGTCCAAAGTTGTAGTGCAATGTAAGTTCACAAAGACTGAGTGGACTGATTCAAAAAACAAGAACAAAAACTTTACAGCCAAGAAAGCTTAACAGAGGATGACTACCTAGAATGGAAAGACGTGAAGACTCTATTCTTGCATTAGCTGTACTAAATACCTTCCTAAACATTTAAGCATAAGAGGACACCACCTTTTTTTGTTTTTTTGAGACAGAGTCTCGCTTTGTCGCCCAGGCTGGAGTGCAGTGGCGAGATCTCGGCTCACTGCAAGCTCTGCCTCCCAGGTTCACGCCATTCTCCTGCCTCAGCCTCCAGAGTAGCTGGGACTACAGGCGCCCGCCATCACCCCCGGCTAATTTTTTTGTATTTTTAGTAGAGACGGGGTTTCACTGTGTTAGCCAGGATGGTCTCAATCTCCTGACCTCGGACAACGCCCTTTTTATCCCACCAGAACCTGTTTTAGCCTGATGGGATTCATTTACAAAAGAGACAAAACACATATCTAAATCTCGGTTTCTATGTTCTCTAAAGACAAGCTTTCTGTATCTGTTCAGCTTTCATGAAGCTTCCTAAGTCCTCATTCCACACATTTACCGCAAACACCATTACCACAAAAGGCTTTGACAGAAGCCATTTAGTTAAAGTGTAATTTCAGCTGCCAAAAATACAATGCAAACTACCCTGGCCAACTTCTCATTCCTAGGGATGATGATCCTCCCCCAGCTTTCCTATAGTGAGGTGTCAGACTGACCCTTGCCTCAGCAGGCTGAATGGAGAATAGACGGTAGATATCAGTAATGGATCAGTTCCTCTCCTCAGAATGCCTGATCTATAAGGAAAATGAATTACTGGGTTTTAGTTCACTCAAAATAACCAATTATGGATCAGTCTTTGATTCTGACTTTACAGATGCACAAATCCTATTGTCTAAGGCCTTAGCAGGACACTGTCATGTTTCAGGTCCGGATATGCAAAGGGAGCTCTGCATAGATTAGCCAAATGTCCATTTATTTACTTACATGGCAGAATTCAAATGATACGTCTTCCAAAACAATATGCCCTAGTCAGTCTCCTTCTCAAACACATACTTCACAGTTACTAGAGCAGTGTTCTTAGTAGAGCTGCAAAGCAAGAAAAGTTTCTCTACTGGTTTATTGCATCCAACATGTAAGTACCCTGTCACCATACCAGAGCATTCAAGGTGCTTCTACTGTCCTGCTGTGATGTCCTACTTGGACTCCAGGCAATGCCTTTAGCCCAGCACTCTCCCTGTCTCATGTCACAGCCCAATATCCTTTACTATTTTATTTAATCCAGTAAATACATATTGAGCAGTTACTCTGGGGAAGCTTGGATGTTGCCCACTATTTGCCCCTCCAGGGAGGAAAATGTTTTAGAATCTTAGGCAAGATGTGCAACTGGAAAGACAGGCAAAAATCATATTGTGAAGAGCTTTGAATACTAATATTTGAAAGTGCTTGGACTTTACCATTCAGCTGGTGGGCTTCTATGGGAGGTTTTAATATAGGAAAATAACTGTAAGATTTAGAAAAATCACACTGAAGACAGTGTGGAGGACATGGATCTGGTGATTAATACTGAGTAGGGATGCAAAGTACTGTTCCTGGGTATGTCTGTGAGGGTGTTGCCAAAGGAGATTAATATTTGAGTCAGTGGACTGGGAGAAAGAGACTCATCCTCAATCTGGGTGGGTACCATCTAATCAGCTGCCAGCATGGCTAGGATAAAAGCAGGCAGAGGAACATGGAAGGACTAGATTGGCTGAGTCTTCTGGCCTCTATCTTTCTCCCATGCTGGATGCTTCCTATCCCCAAACATCAGACTCCAAGTTCTTCAGCTTATATACTCTTGGACTTACACCAGTGATTTGTAGGGGATCTTGGGCCTTTGGACACAGACTGAAGGCTGCACTACTGGCTTCCCTATTTTTGAGGTTTCAGGACTCAGACTGGCTTCCTGGCTCCTCAGCTTGCAGACAGCCTACTGTGGGACTTCCCCTTGTGATCGTGTGAGTCAATTCTCCTAATAAACTCCCTGTCATATATACATCTATCCTATTAGTTCTGTCCCTCTAGAGAACACTGACTAATACAATGGGTGACATTCAGTATGATCATTACAAAGAGCGTAGTCAAGGACCAAAGCCAGGGTTCCTGGAGAAGTAGAATCAATGTTCAAACTCATGCCAAATCTAAGATCCAGGCCATGGACTGGAAAACAGAGAAACTATCACAGAATCATTCAAAAAAGATATCATTCACTAACCTAAAGTGACCTCTGGCCTCACTTTCTAGTAAGGGCAGTTCAAGCAAAGAGTTCAGATCTTTGGTGTGGCTTCATTAGGCACTCTTAGTGAATCAATGAGGGCTTTATTTTTACTTATTAGGTGAGAAAATGGAATAAAGGAAATGAAAAGAAAATAAAATGGACAAATTTGAAGCAGTTTGACAGACAGGAACACATTTGAGAACAACTTCTACTCATATAATCATCCCAATCACTCTTGCTCCCTGAACCTACAAGGAGGTACCTTGGTATTATTGTCCAGTGGGACGTTCCTAGAAAAATTACCACAGATTTTAGAGCTGTCATGTTTTAATTATTTCTCAATTACTCTTTCTTTATACAAAGTGAAAGAGGGCAACCATCCTGAGTAAGGCTTATCATAAATACATCTTTATATCTACGTATTTCAGCAAATAAGGAACATATGGAACCACTCAAATTTGACAATCACAACTTATGATGTATCCCAGAGGATAGAGTTGTAGTCATAGGTGTTGCAATGATCTTGTGCTACTGTTTTCCTTTGTATGTAGTGTCTGGGTCAGTCATAAATGTGAGAAGTTTAGGTATTTGAGTTAGTTTGCTAGGGCTGAAGTAACAAAGTATGGCACTCTGGATGGCTTAACAACAAATTTGTTGCCTTATAGTTCTGAAGGCTAGAAGTCCAAGATAAAACTGTTAACTGTATTGATTCCTTCTATGGACTGAAAGTGAAAATCTGCTTAATGCCTATCTCCTGGCTCTTAGTGTTATGCTGGCAATCTTTGATGCTCCTTGGTTTGCAGATGCATCACCCCAATCTCTGCTTCATAGGCACATGGCTAAGATCTTCATATGTGTCTGTTTGTCTCCATGTCCAAATTTCCCTTTTTCATAAGAACACAATCACATTGGATTAGTATACACCCTAATGACCTCATCTCAACTTCCTCACCTGCAAAGATTGTGTTTCCAAATAAGGTCACATTCACAGTTACTGAGCATTAGAACTTAAGCATCTCTCAGGGGGACACAATTCAACCCATAACGGATTTCTCCTAGGTTAGTATTGTTACTCAGGCGCATGTGATTAAAGGATAGGCCAGAGTCCAGGTTGACTCACTGAGTCAGATGAAGAAACGGCATCTATGCATGAGAAAAAAAAAAGCCATGCATTGTTTATTCTACAATCAAGCATATAATTATTTTCATAATGAATATAAATCTGAAGTAGGTCCAGAATTTAGAGATAGTACATATAAAAGGACAAAACAACCCAAAGACCATAAGAAATTCTAACTCAGTCTTATTTCACGATACAAACATGTCTCCATTCTTGTAACCAGTGGAAATACAAGCAGCAATGACACAAAAGTGAAATCTAGTAGCCTAGATCAGAGATTACTGAAAAATGGAGATTTGGGTCTAGCCAATTAAATGTGATGTGATCCTGAAAGAGAGGCTGCTTTTTGGTGCTTTGATGTTCATTTAAGATTCACTTTACATACACACAGGCATACACACACACACACATATAAATGCATATAATACACATATATACTTATGGGAAACATACAGGAGACAGAATTGCATAGTGGGTTAGCACAAGGACTCTGTAGCCATATGGTCTCGGTTTCAATCCAGGCTACAATACTTCCTTGTTGTGTAACCTTAGGCAATTCACTTAACATCCTTGTGCCTTGTTTTCCTTCCTTGTAAAATGGGTATAATTGTAGTACCTTTATCTTGGAGTTTTAATGAGGATTAAGTAACTTAATATATGTAAAGAGCTTATAAAATTCATAGTATGCAGCAATAATTCAATAAATGTTTACAGTTGCACATAAATATGTAAAATACATAGATTCATATAAACACATATGTAGTAGAGCCTTGATATTCCCAAAGTATATGTCCAGAGACTTCCACATATAAGAAATTTATTAACAGCTGCATTATATATTTTATAAACAGTTACAAAATAAAACTTTAGACATTTTATGATTCCATGACAACAGGGAAATAATTGGTTATAAAGCTAGAAAATATATTTGGCCACTAAAATAATATTTATACTGTATAATTTTGTAGTATTAACTGATAACTTACATAAACCTTCAAACCCGAACCAAAGGTGGTGAGGAAGATCAGCTCATGTAGTAATCTGGGATTCATGAACAGTAAAAGAAATGCAAATACAAGCTCATGTGTGCCATTCCACTAGAAACAAATATTCCACTTGAAATTAGGTAGCAAAATATCCTTCACCTTTTTATTAGGCTGTCCCATGATTCAGTAAATGCACAGATGACCACCTAGTACATAAATATATCTTTTGGAAGCAATCAGAGGGCTTTTTCTTTCCACCGTCCCAATATTAATATTTTTTTTCTGCCTATATCCAGAGACATAAACTCCCAGAAAACACTTGGTTAGTTCCCACAAGTAACATGTCATAGGCAAGCATGAAAACAAGATACAGAGAACAGAACTCCAACCTAAAAATCATGGAGTTTACTGAGGAAGATACCAGAAGCAATAACCAAAGACATGATTAAAGAAACCTTTTCTGAACTTGTGAAAAAGGCAATGAAAAGTGACTTGCACTTAGACACATCTTGACCAAAAAGTTGTATTAGGAAGATGAAGAGAAATTTCTACAACCATTCACAGAGAAAATAAAATAGGTTATCTATGAAGCCACAACATTAAGCCAGTTTCAAATATCTTAGACACATACTATGTTCCAAAAGGCAACAGATAGACCAATTTTGACAGAATTTTCAAGGAAAATATTGTGGACTAAGAACTATATACTAATCCAAATTATCTTTCATGTGTAAAGGAACAAAAAAGTCTCAGGTATTCAAAGGCTCATCAGACTCATAGTACTGTACAAAGGCTCAACTGTACTATGCTGTATGATTCCTCAAAATAAATATTTGGACTATTTGACTACTGCCCATGGTATGAATAAATATTAAGGATTCAGAAACAGAGCAGTAACAATATGAAAACACTGATGTCTTCACTACCATAATCAAAGAGTTTAGGGACCAAGCATTAACACTAGCAATGCAGTAAAGTATAGTAGAAAGGATATTGGACTGATTGGGAAATGACCTGTGTTGGAACCTCAACTATATCACGATATTATTTGATTGCAAGTATCAGTAACCTGGCTCAAACTATGTTCATATACCTATTCATATTTATATTTACATTAAGCTAGCTTAAGCTACTTTGAGCTAGATTACTTTCCCTGAAACCGCTCTGAGTCTTAGTTTCTTTTTCATAAAATAACAATAACAACAACAATGATATCTACATCATTGTCTTACAGTGAGGGAAATAACTAATGTAAGGATATAGAGGCACAATATAATTTTAAGAAATTGTCATAAGTCAGCTGGAGTGCTTGTTTTAAATTCTCAGGCTAAAGTGATACCAAGGTTTGTAGTGCGTCCTGTTGAAACAATCTCATTCATGTCATTTGGTACCTTACTTCTCTACAATTCTTGTTAAAACAGCATGTCACATCAGACAACATAGTGCTCTTTACACACCGTAAACTAAGAAGCCCTAGATTTATTCAGGTGTTTATATGCACCTCATAGTTCTACAGAAAAGGAAATCTTTTGTCTGATTTACAAGATCCTCCAAAATCAAACCATCTTATATATCCACTCTTATTTCTGATTAGCTTTAATAAACCTTCATTCTAGCCTTGGTTTCTTCATGTAGAAGATGATTCTCACATTTACATCAGAATATATGTGAACTACAATTCTCTTGGTCTAGATTACCTGATTCTCTCCCTGTCCCTAAGTCATACTCTATCCTTCTATACATTTCACCTTTGCTAACATAAATTTCCTGATTTTCTAAAACTCCATTTTAAGCTGAAAATTTAAATAACACAATCACATTATTTATAATATAATCATATTCTCATATTGATTTTATTATACAATTTTGTACTGTATAATTCATTGTTTCATGTGTATTTGTATCACATTGAATGTGATACAAAGTGTAATTTCCTCAGCAAGAAAAACATATTCTTCATGAAGAGTTGTAAATGATGTGGGAAAATGCTTATTATTTGGTGTTGAATGAAAAAGAGCTGGACAAAAGTTATATATATACAGTGTGATCTCAACTATACAAAAATGGATAGAAAGACAAATAGAAGCAAATATGCTAAAATAATGATACTGTTTTCCTCTGAATGGTAAAGTTATAGGTGACTGCTGTTTTCTGCCTTAAATTTGTCTATTTTACTTTTTAAAATATGGGTATGTACCTTTATACTCAGGAAAAAAGGTGCTTAACACACATTTTAATTATTCATCCAAAATTTACCCATGGTGAAGATCTGCGCAAGCAAATACTTTAGTGATTCCTTTAACAGTTGCATTATAGACAGGTTTGAACAGTTTCCTGGCTTTCTCTCAAGTCACATTTCCATTAAGAATTACATGTTTCCTGTGCATATTCTCAAACCTCATATTAATCACCTCTGTTGGTTAGGATACTTTTGATTTCTGGTGAGAAAAAAAAAAACCCTGACTCAAAATCTAAACTGTCTTGACACAATAAGGTATCAATGGGTTTATAGGACAAAGATACCCAAAGTAGGGCTTACTTTGGACTAAGTTTGACCCAGAAATTTAAGATAATTTATCAGGTTTCCAGCTCTGTTTTCATGCAAATTTCTCATGTTCTCCTCTACCCTCAAACTTTGTCTTCAGGCTAGCTCTCCTCCTGGTGTCAAAAATGGCTGCAATAATAATCCCAAGTTGAATTTTCAGAGTAATAAACCCAGTGGAAAAGAGAGGCTTCACCCAGCTTCCCAGTAAAACTCCTAAGGTTCATGATGATTATACTGGATTATATCATGTGCCTAACTATGTCCCAATTATTAGGTGAGTGCCATACCCGGATTGGTTTAGGCCAATCTGTACTCACCATAAACTGAATGTAGAATCAATTTTATATAAATTGAATGGTTAAAAATATGAGAGGGCATGGAAAGGATAATTTCTAAAGGAATTTCATGGTATTGTTATATGAAAGAGATAATAGATGCTAGAAAGCAAAGCTAGGTATCCACTATGCCACAGTTTTTTAGCATACAATAATTTTTCTCTCTTTCTTGAACATTTTTGCACTGGTGGAAACAATTTCAGGAGTGAAATTTTCTTAGTTCCACATCGAGCATAAGGGGTGAATTATTCACATCATACATTGAGCTAACACATAATGTGATGCTTTATTTTTTAATTTACCAAAAACCTATTGTCCAATCAAGAACTATCACTTTCTTCACTTTCATCTGTCTTTTTGCCATATACCTCTAGCAATAATAGTATGAGTTTTTTCACTTTAAATAATGATTTTTTTAAAAAGCTAATTAATACTGTACATAATGACTATGGAATTCATTAGTTAAGGACTCACATATATTTTCATCATAGAACATGCGATTTAAATTGTTGCTTCAGCAAAATAAAAAAAATCGCTAAAGGTAATGACTTTTAGGATGATCCATCAATGATCAAAACTCAGAACACTGTAATCACCTACAATACTTTCAATTAAACCATATGAAATTAATAATATTTGACCATTTTTGATCTACAAGAAGGCATTTCACATGGCTCAGCCTAAAATACAAACACATATCTGCACACATATATACTTCTATGTGTGTGCACACGCATATACACATGCATGCTGGTACTTAGGAATACAGTAATATAGTTTGGAAAGCTATAAATGCCAATTTGATCATTTGATCATTTCATAGTTTATGCCATGACTGATGAAAAAGAAAAGAATGTGTATGCTCATGGATATACAGAAGAAATGATGCAGTGCAATCCTTTTCATACAAAGGTACTTGATAACGAAGCTTTGGTGCTTTTGGTACTTGGTCTTCTTATCTTCCTCTAAATTCAAATCTGCCAAAGCACTTCTTGTGTTTTGTTTTGTTTTTTCAGTACATTCACTGAGTGATCCTAAATAATCTCTACTAACATCCTCAATTTCCTTCCCTGTCAAAGCAGATAGGCAGTCAGCAGCTGATGACTGGGTGATTCTATGATCCCAGCAACAGAATGACAAATCTAGTTTTCTGAGAACGGACAAGCTGATGGAAAGGAATAATTCACATCTGTCCATTGGAAACAAAAAGAAATTACCAACACGTTTCCCAAAGCTGTTCAGCTATTAATGATATAAATAGAATCTGACCTGAATGAGAAAGATATATTCAACCAAGTATTTTTAGATATTTTGCCTGAAAAACACTACAGCAAAAGTATTTATTGCTTCTGTGTCTGGTTTCTGTTTTGGTGATTCAGTTTATCCTAGCCCACAATTTTCGTATTTCCCCTGTCCTTAGAATCAAAAGCTGGCTAAGTAGGTGTAAAAAGGGATAATTTCTTTGCAAAATTATTTAACAAATACAGCAATCAAATGATCTAGGTAAGAACTAGTTTTTTACTCATCTTTTCAAGATCTCAAGCAGCCCCAAACTTTAGTGAGCTGCCTTCCTTTCAGAACAGTCCAAAGGAAGAAGTCCCTCTCCAAATTCTTATAATTATGAGCCTTCCCTTTAAACTAGCTGTGACTTCTGAGGAGTATCATAGGGAAGACAGGCACCATCCCGGCTACATCGTCTTGGGAAACTTTAATGACCACATGATGCCTGCCAGCATCAAAGGAGTAGGTAATGTAGAACTTCACATCCTATTCAAATAGACAACATTTACAGATGTTTATGTAGGCTGTCCTCTTTTGCACATTAAAAATGTTTCCTGGTCCTCTCCTAGTACATCATTCCCTCTCCTAATTACCATAAAAATCAATATATCATAGAAAGCTGCATGAATTTTATCTGGAGTGATGAAAGTAAGCACACCTTGATTGCAACATTCATTCAATTTTAGTGATATTTTAACCAAATCACAGCTGTGACTGATATTTTGACTTAACCACTGCTAAAGGTTCACAGAGAATATAAATATCTGATTGTTGGTCTCCTTTGCTTTCTTGAGCTAAAACCACTGAAAATCTATGATTGAAATTTATGTTTTTCTTCTGTTTAAGAGTTGTTTGAAAATTACTTCCTCCGATTAGAGACTAGACACTTAAGGAAATCGTTTATTGCTTAAATAAGATTTTCACAACTTCGAGTACTACAGGCAAGTTTTAAAACATTAGTAAAGTAAATAAAAATGATGGTGTGATTTTTAACATCTCTAAGATCCAGGTAAAGATGAAAATACTTAAAGAACAATTGAGGAGAGGGATTATATTGTACTTTATCAAAACTGACAGGGAAACGTCTGATTGAAATAACAGCAAATATCCCACTTATAGTGGCAGACCAAAACTATATCACAGGATTTCTTTTCCTAGTTAAACAAATAAATTAACAAAAGAAATTTCATAGCAGCATCAATACAGAGACAACAAAACAAACGCTATAAATTTTGAAACGTGGTAGCCATTGAACTAAAGAAAACATTATAGCTTAGGATTGTCTTGGCTATACGGGCTCTTTTTTGGTTCCATATGAAATTTAAAGTGTCTTTTTTTTTCTAATTCTGTGAAGAAAGTCAATGGTAGCTTGATGGGGATAGCATTGAATCTATAAATTATTTTGGGCAGTATGGCCATTTTCACGATATTGATTCTTCCTATCCATGAGCATGGAATTTTTTTCCATTTGTTTGTGTCCTCCCTGATTTCCTTGAGCAGTGGTTGGTAGTTCTTCCTGAAGAGGTCCTTCACATCCCTTGTAAGTAGTATTCCTAGGTATTTTATTCTCTTTGTAGTAATTGTGAATGGGATTTCACTCATGATTTGGCTGTTTGTCTATTATTGGTGTATAGGAATGCTTGTGATTTTTGCACATTGATTTTGTATCCTGAGATTTTGCTGAAGTTGCTTATCAGCTTAAGGAGATTTTGGGCTGAGACAATGGGGTTTTCTAAATATACAATCATGTCATCTAAAAACAGAGAAAATTTGACTTCTTCTCTTCCTATTTGAATACCCCTTATTTCTTTCTCTTGCCTGATTGCTGGAGGCATCATGCTACCTGACTTCAAACTATACTACAAAGCTACAGTAACCAGAACAGCATGGTACTGGTACCAAAACAGAGATATAGACCAATAGAACAGAACAGAGGCCTCAGAAATAATGCCACACATCTACAATCATCTGATCTGTGACAAACCTGAGAAAAACAAGCAATGGGGAAAGGATTCCCTATATAGTAAATGGTATTGGGAAAACTGGCTAGCCATATGCAGAAAACTGAAATTGGACCCCTTCCTTACACCTTATACAAAAATTAATTCAAGATGGATTAAAGACTTAAATGTAAGACCTAAAACCATAATAACCCTAGAAGAAAACCTAGGCAATACCATTCAGGACATAGGCATGGGCAAATACTTCATGTCTAAAACACCAAAAGCAATGGCAACAAAAGCCAAAATTGACAAATGGGAACTTATTAAACTAAACAGCTTCTGCACAGCAAAAGAAATTGTCATCAGAGTGAACAGGCATCCTACAGAATGGGAGAAAATTTTTGCAATCTATCCATTTAACAAAGGGCTAATATCCAGAATCTAAAAGGAACTTAAAGAAATTTACAAGAAAAAAAACAAACAACCCCATAAAAAAGTGGATGAAGGATATGAACAGACACTTCTCAAAAAAGACATTTATGCAGCCAAAAAACACATGAAAAAAAGCTCATCATCACTGGTCATTAGAGAAATGCAAATCAAAACCACAATGAGATACCATCTCACGCCAGTTAGAATGGCAATCATTAAAATGTCAGGAAACAACAGATGCCGGAGAGGATGTAAAGAAATAGGAAGCTTTTACACTGTTGGTGGGAGTGTAAATTAGTTCAACCATTGTGTAAGACAATGTGGCGATTCCTCAAAGAACCAGAAATAGCATTTGACCCAGCAATCCCATTATTGGGTTTATACCCAAAGGATTATAAATCATTCTACTATAAAGACACATGCACACGTATGTTTATTGCAGCACTCCTCACAATGGGAAAGACTTGGAACCAACCCAAATGCCCATCAATGATATATGGGATAAAGAAAATGTGGCACATACACACTGTGGAATACTATACAGCCATAAAAAAGGATGCATTCATGTCCTTTGCAGGGACATGGATGAAGCTGGAAACCATCATTTTCAGCAAATTTACACAGGAACAGAAAACCAAACACTGCATGTTCTCACTCATAAGTGGGAGTTGAACTATGAGAACATGTGGACACAAGGAGGGGAACATCACACACTGGGGCCTGTTGGGTGGTAAGGGGTTAGGGGAGGGATAGCATTAGGAGAAATACCTAATGTAGATGATGGGTTGATGGGTGCAGCAAACCACCATGGCACGTGTATACCTATGTAACAAACCTGCATGTTCTGCACATGTATCCCAGAACTTAAAGTATAATAATAAAAAGAAAGCATTATAGCATGACTCTGTGGGGCTTGCAAAAAAATCCATTCTCAGTAAGATGGCAGATAAACAAAATCCAGACTATTTTCATGAATAAACTCCAATCTGAAGAAATGTGGGTTGGCGAATCCTAGATAACAGTCAATGTAAAATCCGCAAGAGTAGGAGACCATACCTACCATCGTTAAGAATGCAGCACATGTAATCAAGAACTCAACACAGACAGGAAATCCTTGTAATTTTCCAGGGTTTCATGATGAAGCCTAGGATTGATCTAAAGCCCAAGTATATCCTGACAGAGGAATATGATATATTCCCCAAGTTGGTGAACTGGGTACAGACATAGGATATACTATAACATCATAAAACAAACAGCAGAATCTAAGCCATCCACACTTTTATATCCCAGCAGTAGTGGAGTTCTTCATCCTTTATCTACCTAAATCTTCTATGCTGCACTTCTCAAAATATACTTGGGGATAAGAACAATATATACTTGGAAGACAAAGAAGAAAGTTTTAAATACAATAGGAAAGGAATGAAACACTGTCCATTTGCCTTGTATAGGAGTAAATGAAACATATGGACAGAGTTTACCAAGCTCATTATGAGCAATATCAAAAGAAATAGCATAAAAATGACAAAACCTCCTTTTAAAATGACAAATGAAAGTAATACAACAAGTGTAGCAGACAGCGTTAGTGCTCCTCCCAGATTCCCTCAAGTCCTTTTTTACACGTTTTTGTGTGTCCTTGGTTTTGATGTGAATTTGCTTCCAACAACCAGAATAATAAAATTTGGAAGTCAAAATTACTCATTAGTCCATGGACTGCAGAATGGGTATTGTATTAGTGGGCATGAAAACATTAATCTCTTTGTACATCTTCATTCGAGTTCTTGAGTGACTAGGAGCATTCTCAATGAGCACTAATATTTTAAAAGGAATCTTTTCTTCTGGGCAGTAAGTCTCAGCAGTGAGCTTAAAATATCCAGTAAACCACGTTATAAACAGATGTGCTGCCATCCAGGCTTTGTTTTACTTGTAGAACATAGGCAAAGGGATTTAGCATAATTCTTAAGGACCCATAGATTTTTGGAATGGTAAATGAGCATTGGCTTCAACTTAAAGTCACCAGTTACATTAGCCCCTACCAATAGTCAGCCTGTCCTTGGAAGCTTTGAAGCTTTGAAGCTTTGAAGCTAGGCATTGACTTATACTCTCTAGCTATGAAAGTCTTAGTTGGCATCTTCCAATAGAAGGCTGTTTAGTATGCATACAAATATGTTGTATAGGGCAGCCATCTTATCAATTTTCTTAACTACATCTTCTGGATAACTTGCTGCAGATTACACATCAGTACTTGATGCTTCACATTGCACTTTTATGTTACAAAGAAAGCTTCTTTCCTTAAACTTCATGAATCAACTTCTGCTAGCTTACAACTTTTCTTCTGCAGCTTTCTCACCTCTTTCAGCCTTCATAGAATTGAAGAAAGTTAAGGTATTGTTCTGAAGTAGGTTTTGGCTTAAGGAAATATTGTGACTGATTTGATCTTCCACCTAGACCACAAAAACTTTCTCCATATAGGTAATAAGGCTGTTTCACTGACTTATCATTCATGTATTCAATGGAATAGCATTTTTACTTCAAAACTTTCAGAGATACAATCGGTGGGGCAGTCAGAACACACATAACATTTATTGATTAAATTTGCTGCATTATATGGGATGGCTCATGGCACCCCAAAACAATTAAAATAGTAAGACGAAAGATCACTGATATAAGACTACTATAATATTAACAGATATAATAATAATAAAGTTTAAAATATTATGAGAATTATCAAAATGTGACACAGAGATATGAAGTGAGTATATGCTGTTGGAAAATGGTGTTTGTAGGTTTGTTAGATGAAGGATTGCCACAGACATTTAAAAAATCTTCATTTATTTGTTGGTATAAATTTAAGGGACACAAGGGCAAGTTTTGTTATATGCATGTATTACAAAGTCGTGAAGTCTGAGCTTTTAATGTAACCATCACCTAAATAATGTACATTGTACCCATTAAGTAATTTCTTACCCCTCACCACTCCCTCCCTCCCAAATTTTTGAGTCTCCAATGTCTACTATTCCACACTCTATGTCAATGTGTACATAACATTTAGCTCTCACTTATAAGTGACAATATATGGTATTTGACTTTCTGTTTTCGAGTTATTTCACTTAAGATAATGGCCTCCAGTTTCATCTATATTGCTGTAAAAGACATGATTTCATTCTTTTTATGAGTAGTATTCTGTTGTGTATATATGCCACATTTTCTTTATCCAGTCATCTGTTGATGGTCACTTAGATGGATTCCTTATGTTTGCTATTGTGAATAGTGTTGCAAAAACTATGCAAGTGCAGGTATGTTTTCCAATATGATTTACTTTCCCTTGAGTAGATACCCAGTAGTAGGACTGCTGGATCAAATGGTAGTTCTATTTTTAGTTCTTTGAGAAATTTCCATACTGTTTTCCGTAGAGGTTGTACTAATTTATTCTTAGCAAGAGTGTATATGTGCTCCCTTTTCTCCACGTCCTCACCAACATTTGTTATTTTTTTGACTTTTTGATAAAAGCCATTCTGACAGGTATAAAATGATATCTCACTGTGGTTTTACTTGTGTTTCTCTGATAATTAGTGGTATTGAGCATTTTTTCACATTCTTTTTGGACATTTGTATGACTTCCTTTGAAAACTTTCTATTCATGTCCTTTGCCCACTTTTTTTAACTTTTATTTTAAGTTCAGCGGTACATGTGCAGGTTTACATAGCTAAACTTGTGTCATGGGGTTTTGTTGTACAGATTATTTCAACATCCAAGTATTAAGCCTGGTACCCATTAGTTATTTTTCCTGATCCTCTCTCTCATTCCACCCTCCTCCCTCCAAAAGGTCCTAGTGTGTGTTGTACCCCTCTATGTGTTCATGTGTTCTCATCATTTAGCTCCCACTTATAAGTGAGAACATGCGGTATTTGGTTTTCTGTTCCTATGTTAATTTGCTGAGGATAATGACCCAATTTTTGATCAGGTTCCTTGGGGGTTCCTGTTTTTGAGTTGTTTGAGTTCCTTGTAGACTCTGGATATTAGTCTTCTATTGGATGCACACTTTGCAAATATTTTCACCCAATCTGCAGGTTGTCTGTTCACTCTTCTGATTATTTATTTTGCTGTGTAGAAGCCTTTCCATTTAATTAAGTCCCATTTGTCTATTTTTGTTTCTGTTGCTTGTGCTTTTGAGGTCTTGGTCATAAATTCTTTGTTTAGACCAATGTCCAGTAGTGTTTTCCATTGCTATTTGCTGACGATATGATCTTACATCTAGAAAACCTTAAAGACACTTCCAAAAACATCTCTTAGATTTCATAATGAATTCAGTAAAGTTTAAGAATACAAAATCTATATATGAAAATCAGTAGCATTTCTATACACCAATAATAATCAAGTTGAGAAGCAAATCAAGAAAGCAATCTCATTTTCAATAACTATAAAAAATAAAATACCTAGGAACATATTTCACCAAGGAATTACAAGATCTCTAACAGGATAACTACAAGACACTGATGAAAGAGATTTTAGATGACACAAACAAATGGAAAAACACCCCATGCTCATTGATCAGAGGAAATAATATCATGAAAATGGTCATACTGCTCAAAGCAATATACAGATTCAAGGCAATCCCTATCAAAATACCATCATTTTTCACAGAATTAAAAAAAAAATCCTAAAATTCAGATGAAACAAAAAAAAGCCCACATAATCAAAGTAATCATAAGTGAAAAGAGCAAAGCTGGAGGCATCACAATCCCTGAACTCAAATTATACTACAAGGCTACAGCAGCCAAAACAGCATGGTACTGGTATCAAAATAGACACATAAATTAATGGAATACAATAGATATCCAAGAAATAAATTCACATATCTACAGCCAACTGATCTTTGACAGAGTCAACAAAAACATACACCGGGAAAAGGATACCCTTTTCAGTAAACGGTGCTGAAAAATTTGGATTACCATATGCAGAGGAATGAAACTCAAACCCTATCTCTCACCACATACAAAAATCAACTCAAGATTGATTAAATACTTAAATTTGACCTGAAACTATAAAAATACTACAATAAAACCTAGAGAAAATTTTCCTGGAATTGGTCTAGGCAAACTTTTAATTTGTAAAAATAGTGTCTGCAAAGTGCAATAAAATATAGTTCAATAAAATGAGGTATGCCTGTATTTCTGTCCTTCCTCACACCCCAGTCAATTTGTGTTTTAACCAACAACTGATGTGTGGAAAGAGTACGAAAAGCTTTTTCCTTGACTTGATATGAGGCAACGCTTAGGTGTAATGTTCATTTCAGAATCATCATTCAGATTCAGTCTGAAGCAACCCTCTGGGGCTTTGGCTAAGACACATTTTTGCATGGCTTTTCCCCTTCCCCATCTTAATTCCTCTGGGATTTCCCTGGAAATACTTCCCTCTTTAATAAAATATTTACTCAGGTATCCTGTGATCAGTGGCTTCTGGAGTTCCCAACTTAAGACATGCAAAGAAGTTTAAATAATCCAGTGTAAAAAAAGACGTATCCCAATAAAAAAAAAATTCCCATAAGTACTTTATGCAATGGAAGAATTTAATAAAAATATAATTTCAGTAAAATAAGATTTTAGAGACAAGAAAATAAAACACAAGATTGTAATGACAAGGAAAATTATTGAAATAAAAAAGCAAACCAAAGTTCAAAAACAACACCATTACAGAACTAATAAACATTGATATTCATAATACAGACAAGATATGAATTAAAATCTAATTAATGAAAAAGAGTAAGTACCTGAGATAATCACAGGGAATCCAGGAAAAAGAAAAATAATAAAGCAATCAGAGGTAAGATTATGGGTATGTATACATGTGTGTGCATTAGGCAAAGACAATCTAATCAGGAAGACTAAAATACACGCGCGCACACACACACACACATCCTTTTACAAGACAATCCCTCTGAATAAAGAACTGACATGGCAGAATAAGATAGCATACCATGTTTTATGAAAATTAATAGAAAAATTGATACAGGAGACTCAAATCAAGGCATAGTCTGGTTGAGTCATAGAATTTCAATGTTAAAAAGGGAATATTTTTGCATTTAGGCATTAAACAGATTACGTACATGAGGAAAGGTTTGGTTGATATCAGAATTCTCCACAGCAATATTCAATGCCAGAAGATGGTAAAGTAATATCTACTAAGTTCTGTGTGGAATAAAGAGTGAGCTAAGTATTTGAAACCTAGCCAAATTGCCGAGCAGAATAAAGGCTACAGAGAGGCTTAAGCAGGCATGAGCTTAGAGATTCCAGCAACTATTTGTTTTTCTTTTAAAAAAGTACTTGAGAATAAAATATCATTAAATAAAGATGAATAAGATTAAATATATCAGGAATGTAGACACTGTGGAAAAAGTATTGCTGGTGAAAATTAAGTGAGTAACATAGAACTAAGACTAAAAACTATGGAAATTATTGTTACAGAGTTCAATTTTTAAGGGGATTTCAGTCTAGAAAACTTGGTTGAATCACAGTCGTAATAATCAAGGTACCAAACTTGTCTGGGAGCAGGACATGGGAGGAATCCTTCTCATAATGACTTATGTTGAAAATCTTAAATTCACAGTCATAACACTATGGTGCCTCTCAAGCTTCTGTAGTTAACAGAGAATCATTTTGCATATGTCTATCCTTTCTTCAGTTCATTAAATGTCATATGTGAGATTATAGTACAGTTAATGAATAAGAACTTCAAAAATTATGTAATCCATGTTACTCTGACCCTTGTTTACACCTGATTATGTAGGATTTTAGTAAATATTGGTTGGATTCTTCCTCTAACATCTCTCCTCCCTTTCTCAAAAATAATTGTATATTCATAGTGATTTTGTAGCCAAAAATAGAATAGGTTCTTTTGTATCAATGTTTTTGATATTCACAATAATTCCATAATTTACAGATAAAACAGACTCAGAGAGGTTAAGTGAGAAAGAGGCAGGAAATCAGATTCAAATCCAATGTCTTCTATTATGAAATATTCTGTCTCCTTTGAAGCTCCGGGTATCAGGCTTTAAATAAAAAGAATCTATTGCAAATGCTCTTTCCCACATGTCTTCTACTTACTTCCCAATGTCACCAATGAAACTCTCTTAATTCTGAATTTCCAGTACATATTAAGTCACCATGTACATTGTCTGAGTATATCAGAGATATCAATGGGGCCATGCTGAAGTACAGAAAAATAGAAGACAAAATGAGTAGGCCACAGAAACTGTGGCCATTATTAAACTGAGTCAACTATGAAGCTTTGCTTTCTTCCTCTGACTCCAACTTCAGATTCTGTGATGGCAAAATTGGCAAAATAGAAATTTAGGAAGTTAGCACCTGTATGTGTGTTCATGGAGTGTAAGTTGCATGTGCGTTTGTGCATGTGCATATGTATATGACACGTGTGTTTTGCAGGCAGGGAATGTACTGGACCACACGGCTATATTTTTATTTGAGATTTTTCTTAATAATTACCAAGTAGGAGGTGATTTGATTAAATGGGCAATATCTGTGGTCAACTATATGCCACAGATATTGTACTAAAACCCCAGATTTCTCAGGCTTACTGTTAATTTAGCCATGCAACTTACCATAAAGGAAGCAGTATCCACCTGTTTTTTCTCACTCTGAAAGTTCAGAAATGAGAAAAGGTGATTCCAAAAAGAGAAATGCAGACACACTTAAGCTGGAGCCAGGAAAAAGAAAAAGTCATTCTCCTCTGATTAACTCTTCCTCACCCTATCAGGACAGAGAATAGTATTTTCTCATCCTTTATGTCTAGCTGAAGCGTGAGAAGGTGACACAAGACTATTCACCAGCTCTGGAGAAGAGAGATACAAGATTAGAAGATTACAGCACAATATTGTAACCCAGGAAACAGACCATAGCCTGCAGTTAAGAGCCTAGAGGAGACTGGTGTTTGAAATTCAACCTATTGAGTCAGAAACACTTTCTGTCATATTGTCTCCATCCTCCAATTTGTTACAAGCATGGTATAAGTCTTTGGAAAATGCATCAACCTCACTGCTACCTAAAAAGTGTCATGGCAGAGCAGGTAAGTATCTATATACAGTGTTCCATTCCACTGGATTGTCACTGGAAAACCCATTTGTTCTAAATATCTTTGCTTCCCCTCTCCCAGTTCAGTCAGCCTTGATGCATGAATTTAACCACATCCAAACCAACATATTATACTTTTATTTTTCATGTCATGCACATTTCATCAGGGTTAAGGCATTATGTTACCTGAGATTGGTAATATCCTAGCTGGCTAACTTAATTGTAGAAACTAATTTACCTTTCACATGGCAGAGAGCAGAACCTCAAGTTGCTATTTGTTGCCCTGAAAGAATTAGCCTAAGGGAATATACAAACTATGGAACCCTGCCTAGTCCAAGTGGGACAATACAAGGAGGTCCCTAGAGTTTCAAAATTGGTATGAGAGGTCTGGTCTACTTGTAGTATGAAGTGGGAGAAGGAAAAGCCCTGACAGCAACTAAGGGGGTACTGAAAAGTTTCTGTTGCCCCATCTATAATGAGAGGTGTGGTATGAAGGGTACATAAGAATTAGGAAGATTTATAAATAATTAGTATATTGTAAGTGTGAGGAAGATGGAGAACAGTAAAGTTGCTGAGGCAATTTTAACACAGATTTAACCCACAGTGAGTATATTAAATAAACACATCCTCTAGGTGAACATGGAAGTGAATCCCACATGAATATCTCCCTATTGGAAAGGTTCAAGAAGTATTTCTGGGAGGGGATTAAACTCCAAGCAAGATGTGGAGACTTTAAGACAGCAGCACCAGGTTAATATAAATAAGATTCCACTGAATTCAATTGTGTTAAGAAGGAAGAATATGTATTTACAAGTGCTAGACTACTTTATTTGTTGAGAAATGACTAGAAATGATAAAGGTAGCAGAAGACTAGAGGTGGATAAGTAGCTTGATTTTCAAAACCAAAAAAAAATTGTATTCTAGAATTAAAACCCAGAGATAAATGGTGATTTCCAACAAGATTCAAGAATTGATAATTAAGCAGATGGCTTTTAGGCATTTATGAAAACAGCCAATATCAGTTCACTAAAAATTCATATTCATTTCTTTTTTCTATACTGTTACATAACTGGCAGCTTAAAATTAGAGTTCATATATATTACAAAAAGGGATGCGATAACTCTGGCAACTACATAGAATGATGATAACTGGATTCAGCTAAATAGATACTTATAAAGTAGAGATTTATAAAGTTGGATCACCATTGCCAGAGAGGGCACCCCAAAGAATAAATCAGTGACAACCTAGATGAACAGGTTTTTGTCACAGGTCTTATCTACTCTATCAGTAACTTGGAGGAGTCCCAGAAAGTTCACTGATTGAACACATTTACAGATTAACAAAAGCAGGAACAGATAGTTAACGTGACAAAATCGTGATTCAAAAACATCTCAACAGATGGAAATAGTAGATCAAATGATATAATATTATAACAAATAGTTCTGCACTTGGGAAGAAAAAATCTGCTCTAATGGAGGAGTAGGGAGCCTAATCGACCCCCGACTCTCTGGCGTGATCA
This sequence comes from Homo sapiens, assembly GCF_000001405.40. Taxonomy (NCBI): domain Eukaryota; kingdom Metazoa; phylum Chordata; class Mammalia; order Primates; family Hominidae; genus Homo; species Homo sapiens. Next base: position 128,490,124 of record NC_000023.11, read on the forward strand.
AGCCAACCCAGAATAAGGTATTTGGATGTAGGCTTCACATTTTTAGATGGATACTGACAATTAGGAGAAAATTCAAAGGACAGGACTAAGTATCTTCAAAACCATGACATTTAAAAAATATCAGTAAACCTGACAATGTCTAAGTGGCAAAAGCAAATAAAAAAAAATGGAGGCAGAAGTTGAGAAATTATGGCAGTTACCCTTTGAAGAGCTATCATGTGGGAGAAAATATAAACTTAATTTGCGCGTGCCCTGGAGGATGGTTAAAAGGAGACAAATTTAGTTCAATGTAAGAAGGTCCATCAACAGAATGGAATGGGTTGCCTCGAATAATATTGAGCTCCTTCACTCTGTAAATGTTTAAGCTGACCAAATACCTAACAAAAATATAATAGTGTATACTTCTCAGTTGCTCACGCTTATAATCCCAGCACTTTGGGAGGCCAAGGCAGGCAGATCACCTGAGGTCGGGAGTTCAAGATGAGCCTGGCCAACATGGAGAAACCCCATCTCTACTAAAAATACAAAATTAGCTGGGTGTGGTGACACATGCCTGTAATCCCAGCTACTCGGGAGGCTGAGATAGGAGAATCGCTTGAACCCGGGAGGCAGAGGTTGCAGTGAGCCGAGATCACACCATTGCACTCCAGCCTGGGCAACAAGGGTGAAACTCTGTCTAAAAAAAAAAAAATAGTGTATATTTCTATACTCAATGGAAGCTAGAAGATTGGATCAGATGACCTCAAAGGCAAAGGTTCTTTCCAACTATAAAATTCTATGACCCTGTGATTCTATATCTAGACAATGTTTTACGATCAAATTTCTTTAAACAGTGGATTTTTTAAGGAATTGGGTATTTGCTTACAGATTACTACATGTGAGAAAGCTAGTGTTCGTTGCAAAATGAAAATTTAGCAGGTATATAAATCAAGCACCTACAGAATAATGATGACAGCTGTTACTGGTAATCAAAATAGGGTTTGAGCTACAAATATCTGATGCAAAGATTTTAGAAAATCAGTAATTTTCTAAAATGAAAAGTAATCAGGTGAAACATGCCTCACTTTGGGTTGTTACTGAGGAAATATAGGCAGGGATGGCCCTGCCTATGACAATTCCTCTTCATTATGAGAGTCAACAAGCATACACAGAAGACATCCTACAAAACTTCCTTTGCTATGCACTGGGTATTATGCAGAGGGTCTCTATTTCCTCAAGGAGCTCAAAGTCCAATGGGAGTAGTAGACATAGGAATAAGGAGAGTGTTCTGCTTGAACTTAGCTTGCAGCTTCAAGCCTGAGCAGCGGCAGCACTTGAAACATACTGAGGAGCTCCAGAGAGAAGCACTACTGCCTCAGTACCTATCAGTACCATGACTAAAATTACCCCTTCGCACCTTAATACTTCAGCATAGATTGCATTAAATTTTTCTTTCTGTGACCTTGACCACTCATTATCACCTACCTGACAATCCAGGCATGGAAGTGTGAGATATTAAATGGAAGAGTTGTTTTGATGAGTGTGGGGAATATGTATTACATACTGTGGAGAAAGGTCAAAGCACTGGGGGCCAAGAGCAAGACCACTCTCTGAAGAATAAGGACACAGACCGGTGTTGAACTCGTGTCCAGGACACGGTTGGTACTCAATAAACATATGTTAGCTAAATGATGGAGTGAGTGAATGAATGGGCAGAATAGATGGAGCAGTGTATGCCTCTATTTGCTACTAAAATGCTGTCCATGTGTGATGACATTACCATTAGCTACTAAAATGCTGTCCATGTGTGATGACATTACCATTAGCTACTACACCAACAAATATTTAAATAATCAATAAAGTTATATATTTTTTAAAAATTAATATCAATAATTCAATAGTGTAATCTTAGAAAATTTAATCAAGAAAGGTTTGTCTCACTTTTTTCCATTTCATTTTCTTAAATTACAATGTTTTTCCAAAGCTCTTTCTCCATTTTGATGCAAGCTGTTTTGCTAGTCCCACCTCATGAAAACTACCATAAGGAAAGGATCAAAATAGCATTTAATTCATTTCACTTACTATGTTAGGTTCCTGGTCTCCATCAGGTAACTTTTTGTGCTAAAGGTGATTATATTTAATTGTCTACTGAATGTAAACACATGTAATTATATAATTACAATCTGCAGTTATATAATTATGATGTATAATTAAGTAAATATTACCAGAATGATGTTATAAAGATCTTCAGAGAACTGTTAGAAGGAGGTATGATTTAGTCTCTGGCAGCCCACAATGCTCAATTTCAAGGTGTGCATATGCACACATATGGGTGTGCATGTACTTTTTTGGAGATGAGAGTTGCAGAGCATGGCAAAGTCCAATATTATTGGTCTTGACTGGAGAAGAGAATAAGGGCAAACACAAATAACTGTTTCTGAGGGGTTTTCCACTCTGGTTGCAAATCAACATTTTCATTTTCTTGAAGTATTTTAAATATGCAAAGAGGTATCCCCAAGCTGAGCCTAATTACATGAAGGGTTATATACAAGGATAAATATGAATTAATTTTAAAAAGCACTTTCCAAAATTAATTATTAACTATATTACATATGATCATATAGCAAAACCAGTTCATAAAGGATTGAAAGCAATTATTTTCATAATTTTACATATGCTCAATATTCATTACTTATGCCACAGGGAAAATGCCAGTCCTATAGCAGTTTTTCTCAGTCTGTCAATGTAAGAATATCATCCAGGTTGTATTCCTTGATTTCCCTAAGCCTTCAAGAAAGTGGTGGTATAAAACATGAGATTTTGCAAATATTCTCACAGGAAGAATGATTTGCAAGATATGATAACTGGGGAACTGGGTGGCCATTGGTCTCTAGGTAGGTCAAATTTGAACACTATGTCCAGTCTACCACCATGTTAGCTGTTTATCAGGCGACCTCCAGAATTGTTATGGAAGTGAAATAGAAATGTATCCTTTTGGAAAGTGAAGTGAAAGTAGGCAACCTGTAATTGTGGAGAAAAACCTCATTCCATCAACGTGTTTCATATGGGAATCCTGTCATTGTAAAAAAAAAAAACAAAAACAAAAAACAGACCAAAGGCATATGTGCAAGAGATGGCACAAAAAACATTAATTTTCATAACTCTTTTGCAAGTGTCATATTAATTTTCATTGTCTCTTAGTAAATTGTGGTGGCTCACTTTTTCATGTAAGTGAAATGCAGCCTCTTCAGTGAATATGAATATGCAAAATTGATTCATCTCAATATGATTCTGAAAACTGAGCTACAGAAATTATATTATTTTGCCTCATCTGTCTCCATTGGAGCCTTCATCAGGTGTAAAGGGCCAGGTATCGTCTTTAGTAGCTTATGGAAAATGTGCCAGACCAATGGCTGAGGGATGCCTGGTTCACTGCTAGCTTTTCCTGAAACTTTGCTGAATGGTGACACCAATGTGATTTGTGACTACCTCAGACATGCTTAGCCACCTTGTGCTTGTGCCTCGTACAGATGTACATTTTTCACCCTATCTGTTTAGAGCAGCAGTAAATATTGTTAGATATTGTTAGGATCTGGTCGTTTATTATATAGTACACAGAATGATCTTTGCACTACCGTCACAAAACCATCTTTAGCAAGCTCTAACCCACAAAACTGACAAATATATCTGTATACATTGGTGCATACTACGTGTAAAATATATAATATAGTTACCAAGAAATGAATCTATAAAGTTTTCAGTTATTTATGCATCACTTGTATTTTTTTAAAGCTCCAGAGATTATTCTGGGTTGAGAGGCAGTCTATAAGTAGGACTGTTCATTCATCTAAAGTAGATGACTTATGTCTTCACAGAAAACTCACATTATTTGCTCTCACATGCCAGCATATTTCTACAATTATATTCATTTAATAAGGGCCTTTCTAGAGATTAGTGTATTGTAAGCAGATAAAGTTGCCTTTTATTTAAGAGTGCTAGCACATAAACCAGTTTACATACTCTTTTACCTGATTATTCTATCAATAGTCATTTTGTGCTAAAGATCACAGATGCCTGAAAGGATAATATGAAGCTTAGATGGATTTGATTTTCCTTTCCTATTTATGGAGCAACAATTCTGAGTCAGATATTGTACAGGTCTTGTGGAGGGAAATACCTAAGAGTATTCAGGGAGGAGTTTACAATCTTGTAGGGGAGACCTATTTGCCTGAAAAACTATTACATGGGTAGAGAGAGAAAGGAGGGTTTCTGGAGCCAGATCACTGCTAGCAGGTCCACTGCCAATTTCCCTCAATTGACCATGGAAGGAGATCGTCCCCAAAATAGAGAGATCACTATCAGAGGCAACCAAAAGGAAGCATCTGTTTCTGAGTTGAAGGCACATAAAAAAAACTTCAGTATGCTTTTTTCCAGATTTGATTGTTGAACAAAAAGTATGTTTTTATTCCTTATTTCTTGCTTAATTTCCTTGGCAAATATCCAACTGAAGAAGAAAGAGACAACAACTTCATGACAGTAATAGGAATTGAAGATTCTCGACCTGGAAGAATACTCGACATAACCATCTGTAATGTTGTATTCATTTCTCTAATTACTCATGTCTCTCATATTATTAGATATACACCAATTTGTTAATTTTATAACTACACCAAACTCAACTAAAGTTTCTTGTTACTGTTGCTCTGTTGATAAGATATTTTGCTGAGTACACAACAATGCACACCTTTTCCTGTACGGAGCCTTCTCTGACCACTTCAACCTAAGGAACACAGTTTATATCTAAATTATTTATTAGATTCTGTAATACCTGGAGAGTTCTTTATTGCATACTATCTAGGATCATTTTATACTTTTTATGAGTTAAATACAGCCAAGCCAAATAAAGCTCCTTGAAAACAATAAACTTGTGTGTGATTGTTAATATTAAGTATCAACTTGATTGGATTGAAGCATGCAAAGTATTGTTTCTGGGTATATCTAGGTGTCTGTGGGTGTATCTGGGTGTTTCTGGGTGTTGCCAGAAGAGTTTAACAAGTGAGTCAGTGGACTGCCAGAGAAAGACCCACCCTCAGGAAGATCCACCCACAATATGGGTGGGCACCATTCAACTGGCTGCCAGCGTGGCTAGAAAAAGCAGGCTGAAGGTGGAAGAAGCTGACTTGCTGAGTCTTCCGGCCTTCATCTTTCTCCCATGCTGGATACTTCCTAACCCCAAACATCAGACTCCAGATTCTTCGGCTTTTGGACTCTTGGACTTATACCAGTAGTTTGCAAGGGCTCTCAGGCCTTCGGCCACAGACTGAAGGCTGCACTGTCAGCTTCCCTACTTTTGAGGTTTTGGGACTCAGACTGAGTTGCTACTGGTTTCCTGGCCTCTCAACTTGCAGACAGATTATTGTGGGACTTCACCTTGCTTTGATCGTGTAAATCAATTCTCCTTAATAAATTCCTGTTCATATATACATGTATCTAATTAGTTCTGTTCCTCTAGAGAACACTGACTAATTCACTGTGTTATAGCTCTATGTAACCTACCTCCACTGTATTCCATCTTCAGTATAGAACAGATTTATAGCACAGTCTCTGTCCTCACATAATCTGGCTAATTACCTGATTATTTTATTTTCCTTAAAAAGGGAAGTCAGAATATACATGGTTAGTTGTTAATACGTAACCTTAATCAAACTTGAATCAACTAGTAGATTCCGTAAGAGGCCAGCCGAAGAGATGCAATTGCTAGAAGTTTAAGTCAAAGTGCTCCCTCCCTCTGTTCATAGACTACCCACAACACAGGACAGTTTTTATCCAACTCTCACCAAAACACTGAAAATAGGTGTTAGGGTAGTTTAATCTTGACAAGGTAGTTCTCACCAGATTCTAAATAGCTTTGAAGTGTTATTAGGGCCTCATAAAGACACTTCTAAGAATAGATAAATCAGTCTGGGCTCCTTTAGTTCCCCAAAATCTCCTTTAGTGACTATACTGATATAAATCCTTTCTCAACAAGTCCACCACATCAACCCCAAATACTCCTTAGCCCCTTACTCTTGCATTTTACCTTACTCTGTTGATGAAAGATTGTCCAAGGGGCAAAATACATTGGTTCTCAGTCAATGTTTCTCAAACATGACTATCCATTTGGATCACTTGGGGATCTTGCTAAATGCAAATTCTAATTCATTAGGTCTGGGAATGTGGCCCAAAGATTCTGCATTTCTAATGAGTCCCCAGGTAATACTAATGTTACTTCTCCACACACCACATATTTCTTTTACTAGGTTTATTTACAAACAGCAAAATTTATACTTTTTATTATACAGTTCTGTAAATCTTGACAAATGCATAAGGTCAAACATTATCACAACAATCAAGCTAAAAAACACTTACTTCTATTATCCCCAAATTTTTCCCATGTCCCTTCCTAGTCAACCCTCTCCAGACCCCAGGCCCAGGCAACCACTGATTTCTTTTTCATCTCAATATTTCTTACTTTTTCAGAATGCTTGTAAGTTGAGTCATAGATACAGTATGTAACTTTTGCATTTGGATGTTTTTAATGCATCTGACATTCAATCATGTTGTTTCATGTATCAGAAGTTTTTTTATTCATGGTTGAGTAGTATTCCATTGTATGAATGGACTAATTTGTTAATCCTCTCACTGGTTGATGAAGATTTAAGTTGCTTCATAACTTTGACGGTTATGAATAAAGCCACTGTAAACATTCATATGTTTGTTTCATGTGAATTATCTTTTCATAATGTAAGTGTATACTTAAATTTATAAGAAACAGCTTAACTATTGTCCAAAGTGATTTTACCATTTTACATCACCACCAGCAATGTATGAGCGTTCTAGTTGCTATGCATTCTCCCCAAAAGTTGCTGTGATGAGGGTTTGTTGGTTGGTTTGTTCATTTTGGCCATATTCTGTTAGTTTCATTGTAGTTTAATTTTATATTTCCTTAAAGACTAATAATGTGGAGAAACTTTCAATGTGCTTATTATTATCCCTATATGTTCTTTAGTTAAGTGTCCGTTCTAATCCTTTGCCATTTTTTAAAATGAATTGTTTGATTAGCATTAAGTCTTAGAGTATTTTGTGGTTTATGGATACAACTCCTCCTCTATCAGACATGTGTTTTGCAAATATTTTGTCCTAGTCTATGGCATGTTTTTAATTTTTTAACAGTATATTCACAAAAAGCATGAGATTTTAATGTTGATGAAGTCTAATTTCTCAAAAAAAATTTAGGGATCATAGTTCTATTCATTAAAGAAGTTGTCTTCTAAGCTGAAATTACAATTTCTTCTGTTTTCTTCTGTATATTTCATTGTTTTTGCTTTTAAGTCTATGATTTATTTTAAACAGCTTTTTGTACGTGGTATGAGGTGCAGATGTGTTAATGTATCAGAACATTTTCTTCTACACTACAATACCTTGATTACTGTACATTTATATTAAGTTTTGAAATCAAATAACATAAGTCTTCTGAATTCGTTCCTTTTTTTCAAAATTTTTTCGGCTAGTTTCTTTGTTTTTCCACATAAATTTTAGAATTTCCTTGTGATTATCTACAAAAAAACTATCTGGGAATTTAACTGGGATGACACTGCATCTATACATCAATTTGAGAAGAAATGACATATTTACAAAATACAGTTTTCCAAATCAAGGAGACAGCATACAACTCAATTTATTTAAATATTATTTTTATTTCTTTTATTTAGTTTTTACCACAGAGGCTTTATTTTGTTAAATTTATTTATTTTATTATTTTGTTAAATTTATAACTATTACATGGGTTTTTGAGGAGGAGCAGGGTACTATTTTAAATTACACAGTTTTTTTATATTTCAATTTTTCAATATAAAATTGGATTATCAATAAACAATTGATATGATAGTTGAAACGATATGTTTCTGTATATTGGTCTTGTTAGATAAACTTACAAAACTCATTTTCTAGGTAGAATATATTTTTGGTAAATTTAGAAGATTTTCTGTAGACACATATGTCATTTATGAATCAAAACAGTTTTATTTATTTATTTTTAATCTGCATGATGTTATGGGGTATTTTCCTGTCTTTGTATGTCTACGACTTCCAGCATAATGTTGCATAGGAATAGTGACAGTAGATCTCATTGCCCCAGGTCTTACTTAAGGATAAAACACTCAGAATTTAATCACTAATGATAATATTAGGTGTAGGGTATTTTATTGATGGCTTTTATCATTTAGGGGATGTTCCCATCAATTGGCTGAGATTTTTATCATAAATAATGTCAAATTCTTCCAAATTTGTTTTTGCATTTGTTAAGAGGAAATTATACTTTGTTTTTCTTTTTATCTGTGAGTGTTGATAAATTTTAAGAGGTTGAACAAACTATTCTCAAGATAATCTCCACTGCACTTGGTCATAATGTATTACTCTATAGTGCTGAATTAGATTTGATGTTTTTGAGAATTTTTATATCTATGCTTGTGAAGGCTGTTGTTCTCTACTTTTATCATAATACTGTTCCTTTGTTTTGGTGTCAACATAATGCTGACTGCATAAAATAAGTTGGATAGTGTTTCATATTAATTTCTGAAATATTTTGTAAATAATTGACATTATATCTCAATTTAACGTTTGGTAGAAATCACCAGTGAAGCTATCTGGGCTGGAGTTTTCTTTGCTGGAAGGTTTCTAATTTAGAATCTTATCTTTAGATAGGTATAGAATTATCCTGATTATCTATTTCTTCATAAGAGAGAATTATTAGTTTCTTTCAAAAGATTTGTTCATCTAAGTTGATATTTTTATGTATGCAAAATTAATCATAATACCCCTTTAATATCTTACAATGTCCATAGAATCTGAAGTTACTTCACTTTCATTCTTGATACCATTTTTGCATTCTCTCCTTCTGCCTGGATTAGTCTGACTAAAAGTTTAGTAAACTGATGTATGAAAAGAACGAGCTTTTAGTTTCACTGATTTTTTTCTACCGTTTTCCTGTTTTAAACTTAGTTGATTTCTGCACTTTGTTGTATTACTTCACTTGTTTTATTTATGTATTTTTTGACCTGGGCATTTTTCTCTTATTTTACTTTTTTGACTTTTATTTTAGGTTCAGAGGTACATGTGCAGGTTTGTTACATAGGTAAACCGGTGTTATGAGGGTTTGGTGTTCAGATTATTTCATCACCCAGGTAATAAGCATAGTACCTAATAGATATTTTTTTCTGCTCTTTTTCCTCCTTCCCCCTCCTCCCTCAAGTAGGCTCCAGTGTCTGTTGTTCTGCTCTGTTTCCATTTGTTCTCATTAATTAGCTCCCACTTATGAGCGAGAACATGCAGAATTTGGTTTTCTGTTTCTGCATTAGTTTGCTAGGGATAATGGCCTCCAGCTCCATCCATGTTCCTGCAAAGGACAGGATCTTGTTCTTTTTTATGGCTGCATAGTATTTTATGGTGTATATATACCACATTTTCTTTATACAGTCTACCATTGATGAGCATTTAGGTTGATCCCATGACTTTGCTATTGTGAAAAATGCTGCACTGAACATACATGTGCATGTGCCTTTATGGTAGAACAATTTATATTCCTTTGATTATATACCCACTAATGGGATTGCTAGGTCAAATGGGAGTTTCCCGTTCTTTGAGAAATTGCCGAATGCTTTCCACAAACGTTGAACTAATTTACACTCTCACCAGCAGTGTATAAGCCTTCCCTTTTCTTCACAACCTCACCAGCATGTTATTTTTTGACTTTTTAAATAGTAGCCATTCTGCCTGATGTGAGATGGTATCTAATTGTGGTTTTGAATATGCATTTCTCTAATAATTGGTAATATTGAGCATTTTTTTCATGTTTGTTGGCTGCATGTATGTCTTCTTTTGAAAAATGTTTTCATGTCCTTTGCCCACTTTTTAATGGGGTTGTTTTTGTTTGTAAATTTAAGTTCCTTATAGATTCTGGATATTAGACGTTTGCACAGTTCGCACACATTTTTCTCCATTCTGCAGGTTGTCTGTTGGCTCTGTTGATGGTTTCTTTTGCTATGCAAAACCTCTTCAGTTTACTTAGATCCCATTTGTCAATTTTTGCTTTTGTTGCAATTGCTTTTGGCATCTTTTTCACGAAATGTTTGCTACTTTTCTTCTTGTTCGGGGTTTAATTTGTTCTTTTAATAATTTTCTAAGGTACAAGCTTAGCTCATTGATTTGAAAATTTTCTTTTCTTATGTAATCAGTTAATGCTATATTTTTCCTCTAAGAAGTGATTTAGCAGCATCCCACACATTTGGATATATTAATATTTCGTTTTCATTGCATTAAAAATTTATAATTTCTCTTATGAGTTATTAAATCTATTTTTTATGTTTTGTTGGATTTGTACATAATTTGGAATTTTCAAAATATCCAGCTATTATTTATTTCTACTTTAATCTCTTTGTGTCCAAATCATATATTTTCTGTGATTCCAGTTATCTTACATTTGTTTAAGTGTGTTTTATAGCCCAGAATATTATCTATCTTGGTGAATGATTCATGTGCAGTTGAAAGGTATATATTAAACTCTTGTTTTGTCTATTTGTCTAAATGTTAATTAGTACATGTTAGTTGTTAATGTTGCTCAAGTTCTCTATATTTTTGTGGGTTTTCTGCCTAAAATCCCTATGAAATATGAATGTGTCCATGTACATATTAGTTTCCATTCTTTTACTTTTAACCTCTGTCTTTATATCTATAATTGATTTCTTGTACACAATCTAATCTGACCATCTCTGCCATTTAATTTGTGTGTTTAGACCATTTCTATTTACTATAATTATTTACATAATCACGTTATGACATATTCTGTTCTGTTTTCTTTTTAAAATTTTTCTGTCTTCTTTTAGATGTGTTGAGTATTTTATATAAGCATTTTTTTCTCCCACAAAAAGAAGTGTTTTTCAGCCACCTACTCTACTCCATTTCTCATGAATACCCATTACTCACTCATGGAAAGAGCTTACAAGTTTATAACAATTTCTCTTGTATTTAGTAATCCCAAAGGTTCTATACTTTCACATTAGCCATTATCAAGCCCTTAAACATTTTACTTGCATTTTTTACTTACATGTATAGCTTTTCACTTCTTGTTCTAGTGTTCTGTCACAGGTGAGTCAGTACTTACATCTCACTTCTCCTTGGAGAATCCTGTATTTCCTTAGATTTCAGGCTATTTGGTTGTTCTTCAACTTCCATTATCTGATATATTCTAATAAAGTTATCAGTAACTTATCTATCTTTATTTTTTTAATTGAGGGAAAATCCCTCTCTAGTTTTCTACATCCTGAGTATAAAAAGAACTCTTCATGGGCCATACTTTGAGTAGAAAAATTCTAGATAAATTAATGCAAAAGAAGAAGAAAAAAAGTAAAATATCTCACCAAGATTTTTAATAATTATTGCATATGTTGGAATGATGATATTTTGGGTATATTGAGTTAAATAAAATATATTACTAAATTTTAAAAAATGAAAAGAAACATTCTTAAAGCAGCCAAATATCATAATATCCTAATTTCTAGTTAGAGCTCTTAACTTCCTTTTGTTGAGTTCTATATTCATTAAGAAATACAGTTTATCTTAAGAAGATACTACACAGACACCTGACTCTTAGGCTATATAGGTATCTATATTATTTTCTTACTACAAATCAATTTAAGATAAATTTTGAGGAAATGACTGACTATTCTTTGATAAGGCAATTGTTCATCTTTGTACAAAAAGCAGCTAGCAGAGCTAGCTACTCACCACGGGAAGTTGTGACTTTTGGTTGAATGAATAAATACAAAATTTGGTTCTAGACCTATCTAGATCTAATCAACTAAATCTAATCAAACTAAAGTCACAAACTTGTTTCAGGCTAACTTTTTTCATTAGTACAGGACATGTTAACACTGCACTTGACTGAGTTTCCTGCACAGTGGCTTTGATGTTGAAATAGATGTAACCTACTGGTGACTGATCAGTGGAGCTCAGATGTGGCTACTCTGATTTATTAAGATTGATTATTGTCTCTGAACTGGTCTAATACAAGGAAATTCTTCTGAGTACCCCTCCATCTAATATCTCAATAGATATTCCATAGAAACAAAGTACTAGTTAAATGTTACTTAGGTCTTTGAAGGTTAAAAAAGTGTTCTATTCAAACCTTTTTTAAGCTTCACTAACATGTCAGTGCTTTGTTCAGGTTCTTTCAGTTAGAGTAGCTCAGTAAGACTCCACTTTTGAATTTCTAACTGGGTCTTGGAATTAAAGTACAGACATAATGACCTACTTTGTATATCAAAAAATAATAGTGACCTTTTTATATGCTCTGGAATTCTTTATTTCATCCTTTTGACCAAACTCCCATTCTTAAAATCTCAGAATTATTTAAAAAAGGAAAAAAAAATGACTGTCTTGGTTGCTTAAGTACTAAAATTTGAGTAAAAATGTTAGGAATTCTAGTCCACAATGGAAGAGATTCTCCTTTGGTCAACCCCGCCAAATTCATGTAACCTTACCAAATTCAAGAATTATTCACTAAACATCTGTGCTCAAAAATTTCCTAACTGCTAACAGAATATATAAAGAAGAAAGACACTAGTATCTGTCCTGAAGTATTGTATCAAACTTGAACAAAACAAGACAGGCACACAGAAAACAAGAGAAGGTTAAATGTAATCAGTATTGTGTAGTAGAGATATTAGATGCCATGAAACTTCAAAAATATAAAGAATGCTCAAATAATTAATCAGATTTCCTGGTGGTTAATGGGCAAATCTGGCCTAAGGATCTGTTTTGTTTAGTAAGAAGAGTGTTGTCTATTTGTTTAGTTTTATTGATCTCATTGCTTTTTATCTTTTTCATTTTTTGAAGTCTTCTAATCTATGTAAGTTCTAATGACAAAAAGATTGATCCCCTGTACCCTTCACCAAATTTCACCAAAGGTTAACATTTAATATCATTAGCCTGCATGTGCTCACATACATTCATTCCCTCTCTCTCACTCTCTCTGTCTCTCTCCTCTCATTACAGATCAAGAGAGAGACAATGAATATTTAACCCAAAATACTATAGTATACATCACCTAGGAACAAAGACATCCTTTCATTCTTTAACAAAATGATGCAAAATTTTTAAATTTAGACAATTTAACTCCACACACTATTATTATTTAAAGTAAACCAGGTATTTAATTATTGCCAATATTTTCTTTTATGGAAAATTTTTATGATCAAATATCCAATCTAAAATCATGGATTGCATTTAGCTGTCATGTCTCTTTCATATATTTTAAACTGAAATAGTTTATCAATTTCTGGCTGTCTATATTTACAGTGTTCAGCTATTTCTTTTTAATGAATTTGTTTAACTTTTAAGTTCAGGGGTACATGTGCAGGTTTGTTACATGGGTAAATTATGTGTCACATGGGTTGGTGTACAGATAATTTTGTCACCCAGGTGATAAGCATAGTACCCAATAGGTAGTTTTTCAATCCACACCCTTCTGCCATGCTCAACCCTCAAGTAATCCATGGTAACTGTTGTTCCCTTCTTTGTTTCCATATTTACTCAATGTTTAGCTCCCACTTACAAGTTAGAACATTTGGCATTTGGTTTTCTGTTACTGCATTACTTCACTTAGTATAATGACCTCCAGGTCCATCTATGTTGCTGCAAAGGACATGATCTTGTTCTTGTTATGGCTGTGTAGTATTCCATGATGTATATGTATCACATTTTCTTCATCCAGTCTACTGTTGATGGACATTTAAGTTGAATCCATGTCTCTGTTATCATTAATAGTGCTGTGATAAACATATATGTTGTGCATGTGTGTCTTTATGGTACTTTTTAATAAATTTGAATATCTTATGTTTTAACATGGACATTTCAGATCTTCATAATAAGTGAGGCAGGGTTACCATCATAATCTACATGAATTATATGCATAAATTAAGCTTAAATAGTTCACTTTTGAATTAACTTTCAGGCCAATGGAAACATTCAAGTTTGAGATCCAGTTATGAAAGAATTTCTGGATAAAGTGGAAAGATTTGAAGAAAAGAATGAGGGCATTTAAGATGTGGAGAGATTTGTCAGGGTATATGATTATGGCATAAGAATAAGGTAGTTAAAAGAACGGCCTAAGTGTGCTAGATTACTCCAAAGGAGTATGTAGCCTATGGTTATGATTTGCAAATAATATTTTTACATTTTAAATCTAATAAGAGTATCTCTGCAGTTAATCTTGAGGAATCCTTAGCAAGAGAGTTCCTGATAACTGTGCCAATCAATTGAGATACAAAGACAATAGTAAGCAGCAAACTATGAACTGACTTTCACTTCTGATTATGCTGTAGTAACAAGGATCAGGCAACTTCCCAATATAAACAATTAGAAAACTGGAAAAAATATGTGAAACAGCTGTTTTCATATATCTCAACTAACAGCATAGGCCTGGGATTCCTGTGAGAAGGTAAACAAACATGATAAGCCCCACAGGAGGTCCAGCTTTCAACCTGGAGACAATTTCCACAATGAGGGGATAATGGAGAATCTAAGCAGAGCTGATGGCCTTGCTAAGTTGGAGAGATAGAGACCAGGGTCAAAAGATACTAAGGATGCAGGAGTATGTGATCCCAGGGATGTTCTGTGGAGGTAGTATAGTTGAACTATTCCTAGAATAAAGGCTGACCTAGAACTCCCTTAGTGTGAAGTGGGATCCCCATGCACTGGTTATCAATCTACTTGCACAAGTGTGGTAACAAAAAACACTCACTCAACAAGTTAAGCAAAGCAATTTTGTTATTCACCAATAGGCAGCGAGGGACAATAAGAGCTTAAAGTTCAAGGTGAACCAGTCTGCCAAAGCTCAGAAAAGCTGTTCAGGGCAGGTGTAGTCTCATCTGTGCATGCCCCAGGTGAAATCATTCTTCTCTGGGTTTTATATCTCAGGGGAGGGGTGACTTGGATCACTAGGCTAAAGTGTTTCAGGACATTCTGTCCTAGAAGGGATGGCAACAGAGCCCAGGCTTTTCTGAACAGTTTCTCCTTGTCTCAGAATGTTGTATTCCCAGTACATTCTACAGTTATTTTAAGAACTGCAACTGAGAAACAGGGGAAGAGCTGGATTAGTCAAGGTTATCTGGGCACCTGTCCTGCACCTTAGAAAACATTAAAAATGGTGGATCAAATCAATCTGCAAGTAACTTGTTTTGGCTACATTAAAATTCAACACCTTTCAAGGAAGATGACAAAATTCAGACAACCAACAATGTAACATTCACAATGTCCAGTATCTCAGTAAAAAAATAAACAGATATGTCAGTAAGTAAAATATCATGACCCATAGAATGAAGTTGTCAATTTTCCCCAAATTGATCTGTAGATTTAATGCAGTTTAAATCAAAATCCTCACAGAATTTCTGGAGATGTCGATAAGTTTACTCTGAAATTTATTTGGAAAGGCTAAAGAGCAAGAAATTTTGTTCAAAAAAGAATAAAGTTAGATGATTCACTTTACCTGATCTTAAGATTTTCAAAAATAAACTACAGTAATTAAGACAGAGTGGTAGTGGCAAAGAATAAACATACTGATCAGTGGAACTAAAAAGAGTACAGAAATAGACTCACACAAATATGGTCAATTGATTTTTTATAAAAGTGCAGAAGCAATGCAATGAAGAAGGAATAGTCTTTTTAAATTATTTATGTATTTTATTTAACAAATACAAATTTTATATACTCAGAGTGTACAACATGATGTCTGATACAGATACACACACACATGCACACACATTGTGAAATGGCTAAATTAGGCTTATTACCACAAACATTAGCTCACATATTCATGTTGTGTGAGTGTGTGGTGTGAACATTTAAAATCTACCCTCTCACAACTTTCAGTATATAATACATTGTTATTGACTATAGCCACCATGTTGTACAATAGATCTTGAACTTATTCTTCTTGACTAAATAAAAGATTTTATCTTTGACCTGTGTCTCTCCAATCCCTCCTTCCACAGCCCCTGTTAACCACCATTGTACCTTGCTTCTATGAATTCAACATTTTAGTTTTCTTATATATATTGTAAGATCACATAACATTTGTCTTTCCACGCCTGGTTCATTTCTCTTTTGTTCTGCATTTTCTTTTTTGAGAGGGCCACCACTCCCCGCCAGTTCATTTCATTTAACATAATGTTCTCCAGGTTCATCCAGTCACAAATGACAGAATTTTTTTTTATTAAGGCTAAATAGTATTCCTTTGTGTACATATACTACATTTTCTTTATCCATTCATCTACTTATGAGCACATAGCTTATTTCCATATCTTGGCTATTGTGAACAACGCTGCAATAAACACGAGGATGCAGATATATATATATTTTTAAGAGATACTGCTTTTATTTCCATTGGATATATACCAAGAAATAAGATTGTTGAATCATATAGTAGTTCTATTTTTAATATTTTGAGAAGGCTCCACATTGTTTTTCATAATGGTTGTACTAATTTACATTCCTACCAACAGTGTATAAGAGTTTTCTTTTCTCCACATCGTTGCCAAGACTTTTCTTTCTCTTTTTGAACACAGTCATTGTAACAGGTGTGAGGTGATTTCTCATTACAGTATTAATTTTTATTTCCCTGATGATTACTGATTTTGAGTGCTTTATTGTAGAGAGAGGATAGTGTTTTAACAAATGGTGTTGAAACAATTTGGCATCCATGTGCAAAATAATAATAATAATAGTCTCATTATGGACATCTGTTATGGTTTGAATGTATATCCCAAAGTATAAGTGTTGGAAACCTAATGCATAATGCAAGAGTATTGGGAGGTGGGGCCTAATAAGAGATTATTAGGTTATGAGGGCTCTACTCTCATGAATAGATTATTAATGGGAGTGGCTTATCAAAAGAGTGGGCTTATTATAAATGTGAGTTTAGTCTGCTCTTTCTCTCTTGCTCCAACCCTCTCTTTCTCTTCTGCTTTTCACCATGGGATGGGGTAGCATGAAGGCCATTGTTAGATACCAGAGCCATGGTCTTGGACTTCCAGTCTCTAGAACTGTGAGCCAAATATACTTCTGTTTATTATAAATTATCTAATCAGAGGTACTTTGTTATAGCAACATAAGACAAACTAAGACAGAAAATCGGTAACACAAATTGGAGCTATTGATATTACAAATATATGAAAATGTGGAAGTGGCTTTGGAATTGAGTAATGGGTAGAGGCTGAAAGAACTTAGATGAGCAGGTTAGGAAAAGCCTAGATTGCTATAAATAGAGTATTAAGGGCAATTCTGGTGAGGATTTAGAAGACGAGAGCTGTTGGGAAAGACTAAAACTTCTTAGAAATTGCTTAAGTGGTCATGATCAAAATGTTGGTGGAAATATGGACAATAAAAGGCCATTCTGATGAGGGCTCAGGCAGAAAAGAGATATATCTTATTGGAAACTGGACTAAATGTCATCCTCGTTATGAAGTGGCAAAGAATTTGGCTAATTATATCTATGCCCTCAGGCTTTATGGAAGTTGAAATTTAGAAATAGTGAACTAGAATATTTGGCAGAAGAAATATCTAAGCAGCAAAGTGTTTAAGGTGCCGCATGGTTCTATGGCTGCTTACAGTAAAATGAGATAATAAATAAATAATTTAAAGATAGAAAGGGAAACAGAACAAAAATATTTTTAAAAATATCAGCCTGGCCACATAAAGAATTTAAAAAAGCTTGTTTCGGAGAGCAAACCAAGGATATGGTCACATGACCTTTGCTAAGAACATCAGTATGGATAGAAGGCATCATCAGGACAATGAGAGAATGAAGATGACAGCATTTCAGAGATCTTCAAGGCTGCGCCTCCCATTACAGGCCCAGAGCTCTAAGAGGGGAGAATGGTTTTGCGGGGTGGGCCCAGGGCCCCCTCTATGGGTTGACTGCCCAGAGCCATCTTGGGTCTCTGCTCCCTGCATTGGGCACAGTGTTCCTCAGTTGCCCTAACCATGGCTCAAATGGGCCCAGCTGTGGCTCAATCCATCGCTCTAGAAGGTACAAGCTGCAAATTTTGGTGGCATCTGTGTGGTGCTACTCTGCAGGTGTGCTAAATGCAAGAGCTATGGGGACATAATTTCCTCCACATAGATTTCAAAGGATGGCATGGATGGCCTGGGGACCCAGGCAGTGACTTATTGCATGGGTGGAGCCACCACAGATAACCTCTAATAGACCAATGTCCACCAGAAATGTGGGGTCAGCGCTGCTACAGAGTTCTCACTAGGGCAATGCCTAGTGGAGCCATGGGAGTTGGGCCAAGACCCCAGAACTGCAGATTTACCATTGTGCAAAATGAGCTCGGGAGAGGTACAGGCATGAGACTCCAGCCTGTGAGAGCTTCCAGGTGAACGGAGCCCAGCAAAACCATGGAGGTAGAGCTGCCTGAAGCCTTGAGGGCCAAAACCACACTCCACTGTGTGCAGGACATGGGACATGGAGTCAAAGAAAATTATTCTAGAGCTTTAAGACATAATGTTGTTTTCCCTGTTGGGTTGTGGATTTATTTGGGACCAGTTACCCCTTTCTTCTTGCATATTCATCCCTTTTGAAATGGGAATGTCTATCCTGTGCTGTCCCACCACTGTACTTGGAAAAAATGTCACTTGTTAATTTTAAAGGCTCACAGCTGGAGAGGAATTTGTCTCAAGATAAATTGCGCCTTGAGTCTCACCCATATCTAATTCAGATGATTCTCTTAACTTTGGACTTTTGAGATGATGTTAGAACTAGTTAAACTTTTGGGATTATTGAGATAAAATGAATGTATAATCACTCACCAAATAATAATGCTGTGTTCAAGGACAGACAGCATATATGATGGTGGTCCCATATGATTATAATGAGCTGAAAAATTCTTATTGCCTAGTGATGTCATAGCCATCATAAGATTATAGCACAATGTGTTGCTTATGTGTTTGTGGTGATGCCAGTATGGACAAATCTACTGTGCTGCCAGTCATCCAGAAGTGCAGCATATACAATTATGCACAGTACATATAATTGATAATGATAATAAATAACCATGTTACTGGTTTATGTATTATTTTTATTTTTATTTTAGAGCGTATTTCTTCTACTTATGAAAAAAAGTTTATTGTAAAAGAGCCTCAGGTAGCTCCTTCAGGAGGTATTCCAGAAAAAGGCATTGTTATCACAGAAGATGAGAGCTCTGTGTATGCTACTGCCTCTGAGGACTTTCCAATAAGACAAGATGAGAAGGTGGAAGACAGTGATATTGATGATCCTGACCCTATGTGGACTTAGGCTCATATGTGTGTTTGTGGGTTTTTTTTAACAAAAAAAAAAACAGTAAAAAGTAAAATAATTTAAACATATAAAAAAACTTATAGAGTAAGGATATAAAAAATATTTTTGTACCAATGTACAATAAGTTAGTGTTTTAAGCTAAGTGTTATGAAAAAGTCATAAAGTTAAAAAATTAAAGTTTGTAAAGTAAAAAAATTACAGTAAGCTAAGATTAATTGAAGAAATTATTTTATAAATGTAGTACAGTCTAAGTGTACAGTGTTTATAAAGTCTAGCATAGCATACAGCAATGTTCTAGGCCTTCACATTCACTCATCCCTCAATCACTGACTCACACAGAGCAACACCCAGTCTTGCAAGCTCCATTCATGGTAAATATCCTAAATGGGAGTACTATTTTGTATCATTTATATGATATTTCTATTGGAGCTTTTCTATGTTTAGATATGTTTAGAGACACAAATACACGCCATTGTGTTTCAGTTGCCTACACTATTCAGTACAATAAAATGATATACAGGTCTGTAGCCTAGGAGTACTAGGCTACATCATATATCCTAGGTGTGTGGTAAGCTATGCTACCTAGATTTGTGTAAGTACATTCTATAATTTTGTACAATGAGGAAATCACCTAATAACTCCTTTCTCAGGACATATTCCTGCTATTAAGTAATACACGACTGTATTTTGCATTGTGAGAAAGACATGAATATGGGGGGTGCTGGGGTAGAATGTAATGGTTTAAATTCTTCACTTTCAACAACAGATAGATCATCCAGATGAAAAATCAACAACAAGGATACAAAAAGTAAAAGGAAATACTGGCCAATAATTAACATAGATTAAAAATCTTCAGCCAGGCGTAGTGTCTCACACCTGTAACCCCAGCACTTTGGGAGGGTGAGGTGGGAACATCATCTGAGGTCAGGGGTTCAAGACCAGCCTGGCCAATATGGTAAAACCCTGTCTATTAAAAATACAAAAAAAAAAAATTAGCCAGGCATGGTGGCAGGCGCCTGTAGTCCCAGCTACTGGGGAGGCTGAGGCAGGAGAATTGCTTGAACCTGGGAGGCGGAGGTTGCAGTGAGCCAAGATCGTGCCATTGCACTCCAGCCTGGGCAACAAGAGCGAAATTCCATCTCAAAAAAAAAATTCAACAGAGAATTATCATACTGAGTTCAAGAGCATATTAAAAGAATTGTACAACTTGTTTAAATGGGATTTATGTGTGGAATGCAAAGATAGTTCAACCTGTGCAAATCAATAAATATGATACACCACATTAACAGAATGAAGGACAAAATATTATATACTCCTCTTAACATATACAGAGAAAAGCATTTTACAAAATTCAAAATCCTCTCATAAGAAAGAAAAACTCAGCAGGGTACAGTGACTCACGCCTGTAATCCCAGCACTTTCAGAGGCCGAGGAGGGCAGATTACGAGATCAGGAGATCGAGACCATCTTGGCTAACACAGTGAAACCCCGTCTCTACTAAAAATACAAAATATTAGCTGAGTGTGGTGGCAGGCGCCTGTAGTCCCAGCTACTCAGGAGGCTGAGGCAGGAGAATGGCGTGAACCTGGGAGGCGGAGCTTGCAGTGAACTGACATTGTGCCGCTGCACTCCAGCCTGGGCCACAGTGCAAGACTCCATCAAAAAAAAAAAAAAAAGAGAGAGAAAGAAAAAGAAAAAGAAAGAAAGAAAAACTCTCAACAATTAAATATGGAAGAAATGTGCCCCAACATAATAAAGACCACATAGGACAAGCCCACAGCCACCATTATATTTAATGGTGAAAATCTGTAAGCTTTTCCTTTAAGATCAGAAAGAAGTCAAGAATGCCCACTCACACTACTTCTGTTCAACACAGTATTGAAAATCTTAGCTAAAACAATTGGGTAAGAAAAAGAAATAAAAGGCACTCTAATTGAAAAGAAAGATGTAATATTGTGTCTGTTTAAAAGTAACATTATATAAAAAATCAAAAACTTCCAGAAAAAACTATTAGAAGTAAAAATAAATTCAGTAAAGTTGCAGGATAAAAATCAACATATAAAAACACACTGCATTTCTAGATACTAACAATGAATTATCCAAAAATTTAAGAAAACAGTTATATTTACAATAGCATCAAAACTAATAAAATACTTGGAAATAAAATGTACTCTGAAATCTAGAAAACACTGATGAATGAAATTGAAGAAGAAACAAATAAATAGGAATATATCCCATGTTCTTGAATTAGAATAACCCATATCTTTAAAATATCAATACTACCTAAAGCAATCTACAGATTCAATGCAATCCCTATCAAAACTCTAATGGCAGTTTTTACATAAATAGTAAAAACTATCCTAAAATTCGAATGTAACCACAAAAGACTCAGAATAGCTAAAGCTATGTACAGAAAGAACAAACCTGGAGGCATCATATTTCTTATTTCAGATTGTATTACAAAGCTACAGCAATCAAAAAGATATGAAATAGGCAAAAGACAGACATACAGATGAATGGAACAGATTTGAGAGCCCAGAAGTAAACCCATGCATATAAGGTAAATTAACCTTTGACAAAGGTGCCAAGAATATTCAATGGAGAAAGAATTGTCTCTTCAAAAACTAGATAACCACATGCAAAACAATAAAATTGGATACTTTTCTTACACCATATATAAATATAATTCAAAATGGATTGAAGATTTAAAATGCAGGACCTGAAATCATTAAGCACTTAGAAGAAAACAGGGAATAAACCCTTTGACATTGGTTCTTTTTAATGATATTTTAGATGTGACACCAAAACTAAAAGCAACAAAAACAGAAGTGAACAAATGGGCCTAAAACAAATTTAAGGTTTCTGCATAGTAACAAAATAAAAATTAACAAAAAAAAATTAACAAAAAAGCAACCTACAGAATGGGAGAAAATAGTTGCAAATCATATATCCAATAGGAGATTAGTCTTTAAAATATATTAAAAACTCATACAAATCAATATAAAAAATCAAACAACCCAATTAAAAAATGAGAAAAGGGATGAAATACACACTTTTTAGAAGAAGACATAAAAATGGCCAATGGATATATGAAAAGATGCTTAACTTCTCTAATTATCATGAAAATACAATTCTAATTATCTGGAAAATACAATTCAAAACCAGAATGAGATGTCACCTCATATTTCCTAGAATGGCTATTATCAAAAGAATCAAAAGATAACAAGTGTTGATGAGGATGTGAAGAAAAAGGAATCTTTGTACAGAGTTGGCATGAATACGAATTTGTACAGCCACTATGGAGGTTCCTCAAAAAGTTAAATGTAAGACTACCATATGATCCACGAATACCACTTCTGGGTATACATCCAAAGGAAAGGAAATCCTCTCATGAAATCCTAATCCAATCTTGAAAATATATCTACACTACCACATTCATTGCAGCACTAATTCACAATAACCAATATGGAAACAACTCAAATGTCTGTTGATGGATGAAGGAATACAGAAAATTTTTTATATATTCATATTATATATATAAAAACATATTCTTTATCCATTCATCTATCAACGTATATTCCATATATAGTATATATATATTTTATATATGTGTATATATATTATATATACACATATATATGATGGAATATATTTCAGCCTAAAAAATTAGAATATCCTAACATTTGCAACAACATGGATGAACCTGGGGGGTATTATGCTACGTGAAATAAGCAAGACACAGAAAGACAAACACTGTATGATATCACTTACATTTTGAATCTAAAATACTTGAACTCATAAAAACACAGAGTAAAACTGCAGTTACCAGGGGTTGGAGTACGAGGAAAACAGGAGATTTGGTCAAAGGGAACAAAGTTTGAGTTTTAAGATGCATAAGTTCTGGATATATAACGTACAACATAGTAACTAGAGTTAATAATAATGTATTGTAGACTTGAAATTTGCTGAGTTTAGATCTTAAGTGTTCTTGCCACACAAAGGAAAGGTAACTGTGTAAGGTAATGGATATGCTAATTACCTTGATTTTGGCAAACACCTCACAATGTATAAGTGTATCAATTCATCACATTGTATATCTTAAATATATACAATTTTCATCTTTCAATCATACTTCAATAAAGCTTGGGGTTGGGGTGAGGGAAAAGAATAAGGAGAAAATAAAGGGAAACAAAGCAGTGGAAAAAGACAAAATGTAGATGACAGCCCAGTAAAAAGGAAATAGCCAGAAATCTGGGTGTTAAATTTAAAAAACAGATAAACTGCAAAGTAAAACATAAAATCACTATCAAAATTTTTGACACTTCATGAAATAATTGTCCTAAAAAATGTGGCACTTCCAATACCTGCAGTCCTGCCAAAGCTCAATACTTACTGCACAATTTTAAACCCATGGCAACCCTAAAAAACTGACGAGGGCTTGAGATAACACAAATTAAGAAACCAGCCGGGTAATCAAGAGATCAACACACAACTGTTAAACTCTGAGCTCACAACTTATTCTTAGAGCATCAAGGATATAAAAACAATTCACCAATAGCATTTACCTTCTGAAACCAGAAAATCCACATATCTAATAAAAAAGCAGTGGTAAAAGAGATAATCAAAAAAATTTTTAGCTGGAAGGTTCCCTCCAGAAGAGCTTCAGTTTATGAAAGGAAAGAAGAAAAGAATGAGTTTTAACATTTTGCCTTTTATTTGAGTTCCCTTCCACTATCTCATTTTGTATTAAGAGAATTTAATTTTGAATGTAAAGACCCAAATCCTGAAAATAGATAACAAAGTTACAATTGGCCTTACAGAGGTGATTTTTCCCTTCACAAAATAATTCATAGGAGCATTTTTAAATTGTGCATTTAAGTGTTGGTTTACAGAACATTAACTCCATTGCAGAGAGGGTGAGAGCTAAAACGTAGCGCCACTGTTCTCTGAAGACCAACTCAATATGAGGATAAATAATTGTAGAAATAAAATGAAAATCAATAGAAAAAATAGAATTAAATTTATCAAGACGTGATTGCAAATGTCCATTCAAAGTCTTGAGAATGAAAGAATGAGGGAAGCTGCTATATGGCTAATCACTAACGGAAAATAGTAGGAAAAAGAGAAGAGAAAATAATGATAATGCAAGCTTTAGAAAAACTTTGGGGTGGCTACCAATATCTATCAGCTCTTCATCTTCTTGCCTTGTATCATTTGTAACTGCACAAAAATATCTTACCCAGTGCTACAGACATTTTTATTAGGTATCTGAATTTCAGGCCACAGGGAAATAATTCAGAAAAGTTTAAGTGAAAACACAAAATATAATTGGTCTGCACTAATGTATCAAATAGTTCTTGTTTCCAGGAGCTTTGGCCATTTGTTACAGCCCCAGCTACCAACAGAAAAAGCCATTCTGCATAATCTCTGATCTACTCTTTATGGGCAAAGCAAGGACACTCTTGGAGCCCATTTATGCGCAACTCAGTGGATAATGAAAGCCCCATGGGCTTAACTTTGAACAAAGGGAGGTGGTTTCTGGAGAATAAATTATTTCCCTTTGCTTTCCTGGACCCACTGTCAAGTAGTTATTTATACAATCATATATGGTAGTTTTTTTAATACAGCCTCTCAGAAAATAGTCCCATGAACTCAAGCAATCAGTATCAACTTTCAAGTAGTGAACTTGATATATCAAGTAGTGCTTTCAATATCAAGTAGTGAACATTTTAATATTGCATTGTTGTAATATTAAAATGCCTCACTCACATTTTCTTTCACTCCATCTCCCTGAAATTGCATTTGCTAATAAAGAATTTGCCTCAGGTTATATTTTCTGAGGAATCTAACCAAAGACAGCCCTTAAAATCCTAACAGACTATTTTAATGCAATATTTATATATTCAGGAAGCACAAAAAATGGTGCAAAATAAGGAGAACATAAAAGTCTGGAGCAGGCTGACATTGAAGCCAACCCAGGACTCCCTTCTTCACTGATAGTTCTCTCTGGTGTCAAATGTCACAGAATTTGTTTCTTTTAATAAATAATGTTTAAATTTCTGACTTGTTTTATCCATTGAGTGAACTGATCCATAATTTACTCCCTAGCATGTAAAATAGCTCTTATTCAACTAAGCAACTGAAAAACTGTTATTAAATTGAACTATATGCAAAGCAATCCTTTCAAGTATTTTTTCTCATTATCCATTCCCTATTGCTAGGGACATTTGACCACACAAACCCCAATCATGCCTCATTCTTGCCTTGCTCTTAGTGACTTTGTCTCTATCTTAATAATTTTAGCAACCTCAGTCTGGGAATTGCCTTTTATTCATGAGTTCTTATAACATGAAATTCTTCATATTCCTGCACTTCATCCTAAGTCCCTGCTGCCAAAGTTTCCTGATACCTGCTTGGCTAGGGGAATCTATGAATATCAGCTGCTTTGAGATTCTTTGACACAATTCTTCACCCACTCTTCAGGATACCTCCATTACTTCATGTTAGAAATTGCTTATTAGTGTGTTCTGCTATTTTCTTATTGATATCATGTTCTATAAGAGTAGCTTCTATTATGAATGTCAACCTTGAATAATGAGATTCAGAAAATATGAGTAAGTATAAAATTTATTCAAGCACAAAGCTTGAGGATGGCCACTCAGGACTCCAAATGGATTGGGTCAGCATTTCCAAAGTGGAGAAGTAATGATTTCACTTATGTAGGCCGAGACAGAAAAGTTCCCGCCGGGTTTCAGTTTCCCTTTTAGGGCCAGGCCCCTCAAGGTGCATATGCCCTTGCAATTTGATTGGTTACAGATTGCTACATTCCAAGATTGGATACTGTATTACTTTGTGAAAAGTGGTAGTGATCTGAGGGTGTCCTATCTTTGGCACTGTTTGGTTGTAATTTTTCCCCCAAAAAAAAAAAAAATCAGAGGCAGAAGAGGTTGCAGTTGCATGCATGTGACTCAGGTTGCATAGTTACATTTCTTCGAGGCTCAGGATAATTTAAAGTTCCAACAACTTTACATTTAAATTTTGTAAGTTGAACCATTAAGTTCGCATTCTCCCCTTTTCATCAAGATCTTTTAAAGAAAGCTTCGCAGATACATACAAATGGTTTGGCTTCTTTTTTTTGCTCAGATTAGTCCTGCATTCCTAGGAAGGCTCATTCTTAAAGTTTCATGTCCCATGGTAGGGAAAATTTGTCACATTATAAACTGATGGGGAATAGGCCAATTAAAATAACATGAGGGAAGTGATTTTGTGACCTGAGTCAGACTACTTAGTTCCATCTTCAACTAATGCAGTTTTTGAGTGAACATTAGTTTAGTCTTTCTGGTCATGTATTGACTCCACTGGAAACAAATACTGCAGCAGCAGTAAAGACAAAAACAGGACAAAATGCAAAAAAAGATTTAATTCCTAGAATTGGCATTTACTACCAAGTTTCTCAAGATCCAAACCAGCTGCTTAGCCAATCATTTAGAAAAGATGTTGATCTGAAAGATTAGTTATTTGTGTTTTTATATTAGCCATTAACTTAGTGATGTTATCCAATTCATCTGGGATACAGACACAGCAATCAGTGTTTATGGTAGGGCAGGTTTCTCCTTAGGCTGCAGTGAGTATGTCTATACTAACACATTTCTGTAACACAGACTTTCTCATAAAAGTGATTTAATTGGAGCGATAAGACAGCTGACTAGACACAGTCAGGAAATGCCTCTCCCACTGAGATAAACCATAATATTGAGTAAACCATCACACTTTAAACATATCTTTTGAGAAAAAACAATGAAAGTCAATACAGAGGCGAAGCAAACATGGATACTGAAGACAGAGGAAGCTGGGAAGCTTGCATGGAGTCATTGAGTGCCAGGACCAGCTCCTAGTCCTGAGCAGGTCCGAAGGAAAGGATAAGTGAAGAAACTACAGGGCACCACTCTCCCGCTGTAGACCTCTGATTTCCTAGCTATAAGAGATTTCATGACCCCTATACACATTTGAATTGGCAGGGGGAACAGCCCAGAGAATACGCAGAGGCCCAGTAGGTTTAACACACGGGACAGCTGTAGCAAATCGTGATCATAGGTGCTCATCCCCCAAGGCTCTCCAACTTGTTCTGAATGATCACAGCCTCTGCTGAATGCCTGGCTGAGAGAGAGCAAGACTGCCTTTCCTGCAGGACCAGAGCACATCTGATCTGCATTCTCCCTTGTTTTCCAGCCCCTGCCATGGTTACCTGGCTGCTCCTGCAAAAGCATACACATAGCATAACCTCTATTGCCCCAATTTTGTGTTCTACTGGTGACCTAGGAAAAGAATGGTCCCCGAAGTACAGCTGGTGCTCAACCCTGAGGGGCCAGAGGACAAAGCCACAGGCCTGATCCCAACCAACCCCACCCCGGGTCTGAGCACACTTCTCAGGGGTATTGAGCTGAGATCTGTGCCCTGACCTCCAGTGAGAGAGGAGCCCCCATTCCCAGAACACTGAGAAGAGTGAGTCACAGATTCGAGTTCTGGCATGGGAACTAGGCATTCCTCCCCCTGCAAGACTGGTCCAGGAATGGTGTAGCCTGTTTACCAACCATAGCCTCTGCCTGACGGAGCACTGAATACCTAACAGCCCAGTGATCTGGGTGCAGAAGGCTTGGGACAAAACTAGCTGGCTGGACCTGATCCTGGGATAGACATCAGAGGAAGACCACATTGGGAGAGTACAAGCTGGATGGTTCCTACAGTCATTTGATGGGCAAAAATCCCCAGGCCCCAGGTACCACACAAACTGCAAATCCACAACACCACTGCCCTGCCAGGGAATCCTTTGCCCTTAACCCACTGCCTCAACAGACCACCCAGCAACATACTCCACAACCTGCTCTGACTCTGCCAAGCTCAGAGGACCAGCAGACCCCTGGGAAATTGTAGGCCTCCTAGTGACCTAACCTTCAGCTCAGGCTGCCTCCAAAGGAGAGGAGGGTGTGCAGCTTGCCAGAACCTCCACTGGGGCTAAGGAAACATGGGCATGGTGTTGGAGTGATTGGAGGGGGATCCCCCAAGACCCAGTAAAATACTTGATGAGGGAGTCATCGCTCACCTGCTCCCCATCTCCATCTCCCCAGAGTACTGTTGCCAAAACACTGAAGTACAAAAGAGATGCACTGCTGAGTAAGAGCCTATCTGCCAGACCCTACCCTTAAGCACCATCTACTGGATCACAGCCTGAATTACACCACCATACCAAAATAAAATCCTTCAGCACACATCACCTCTGAAACCGAAGCAGAAAACTAGCCACAGCTAGGGAACCCGTACAGAGCCTTTACTCTCTGAAACCACCAAGAAATGAAGCCAAGAAACTGTACACAACATGCACCACAGTCAAATCCTTAAGGGAAACAAAGAATAAAAACACAAAAATCTCCCTTCAAACAACAGCAATTTCTAAAAGATAAAGAAATACCAGCTCTCTTAGATGGAAAAGAATCAGCAAAAGAACTCTGTCAATTCCAAAAGTCAGACTGTTTTATACCTTCAAAGAATTGCACTAGGACCCCAGCCATGGATCCTAACAAAATTGAAATGTCTAAAATAACAGATATAGAATGCAGAATCTGAAAGGAAACTCAATGAGATGCAAGAGAAAGTTGAAACCCGATACAGGGAAGCCAGTAAAATGATCCAAGTATTGAAAGATGACATAGTCATTTTAAGAAAGAGCCAAACAGAGCTTCTGGAATTAAACAATTTACTACAGGAATTTAAAAATACAGTTAGAAGTCTTAATAAAAGATTAGGGAGGAAGAGGTGGAGCAAGATGGCAGAATAAAAGGATCCACTGATTGTCCTCCCTGCAAGGACACCAATTTAACATCTTCTACACACACACACACACACACACACACACACACATACACACACACACAAATAAAAAACCTTAATAAAAAACAAAAACCAGGTGAGTACTCACAGTACCTGGTTTTAACTACATATTGCTGAAAAAGTAGAAAAAAATAGTCTTGAATTGCCAACGCCACCCCTCCCCTACACCCCAGCAGCAATGGCATGGTGTGGAGAGCATTTCTGTGTGCTGGAGAAGAAAGAGTGCAGTAATTGTGAGGCGCTCAACTCAGTGCTGCCCTGGTAGAACAGAAAGAAAATAATAGACAAAACCAGCTGATGCTTGCCAGTGAAGGGAGCATTTATACAAGCTCTGGGCAAAGCGAAATTGCTAATCCCAACAGTCCAAACTCCACTTTCAGGCAAGCATCGCCACCATGAGATAAAGTATTCTGGGCTTCTAAGTAAACTTGAAAGGTAGTCCAGGCCAAGACCACAAATCCTAGGAGAGTCCTAGTGCTGAATTAGGCCAAGAGACAGTGGACTGGGGTCGGGAGGTACATAACCTACTGAGCCACAAACTGGGGTGGCTAAGGAAGTGCTGGCATCACCCCTCCCTTATCCCCAGCCTGCACAACTTACAGCTCCAAAAGAGACCCCTTCTTTCTGTTTGAGGAGAGAAGAGAGAAGACTGAGGAGGACTTCTTCTTGCATCTTGGATACCAGCTCAGCCACAGCAGGATAGGGCACTTGTCAGAGTTTTGACGCCCCCTTTTCAGGCTTCAGCTCAAAGATGACATTTCTAGACACACCCTGGGCCAAACAGGGAACCTGGTGCTTTAAAGGGAAAGAACCAATCCTGGTAGAATGCATCACCTGCTAACTAAAGATCCCTTGGGCTCTTAATAATCAGCAGCAATACCCAGGTACTAGGTCAGGAGCCTTCAGTAAGACCCTGAGACTTACTGGCTTCAGGTGAGACTTAGCACATTGCCAGCTGTGGTGGCTAAGGGGCGAGAATCCGTTTGATTGACAAAGGCAGAGGAAAAAGTAAAGGGGATTTTGTCTTCCACCTTAGGTACCAGCTTGGCCTCAGAATGGTAGAGCACCAAGTGAACACTTGGGGTCACCAATTCAAGGATGTGGCTCTGGGATGACACTTCTAGACCTGCCCTGGGCCAGAGGGGAGTCTACTGCCCTGAAGGATGAGTCCCAGTACAGGGAACATTCAGCAGAAGCTGACTGAAGAGCCCTTGGGCCTTAAGGGAGCATTGGCGGTAGTCTGTCAGTAATCCCCATGGGCCTGTGGTGGCAGTGGCCACAAGGTGAGGCCCCTCTGCCTTGAAAAGGGGAAGGAGTAGAGGGAAAGACTGCATCTTGTAGTTCAAGTGACAGCTCAGATGGAGTACTATAGAATACCAGGTGAACAGCTAAGGTTTTTGACTTTAGTCCTAGGCTCCCATACAGCACTTCTGAACATGCCCAGAGCTTGGGAGAATTTCCCGTCCTGAAGGGAAGGACATAGGCCTGACTGTCTTTATCATCTGCTGATTGTAGAGGTATCGGAGCTTTGAACAAACATAGGAGATAGCCAGGGAAGTGGTTGCATCAGTCCTTGGGCAAGACCCAGTAATGTGCTGGCTTCAGGTTTGACCCAGTGCAGTCATGGTGCTGGTGGCCACAGGAGTGCTTGTGTCACTCCACTCTCAGATCCAGGTGGCTCAGAATAGAGAGAGAGGGAGGAAGAGAGAGATTCCGTTTGCTTGGGGAAATGTAAGGGAAGGGAACAAGAATCTCTGCCTGGTTGGAAATTCAGAGAATTATCGTGGATCTTGTACAAGATAATCAAAATGATGCCTCCAATGAGTCTGCAAGAACCACAGCATTAGTGGGATTGGGGTGCTTCCTAAAGCAGACATGTCTTAGATCACAACACCCAATTCCTTTAGAACTAGAAAGCCTTCTCAAAAAGGATGAATACAAACAAGCCCAGGCTGCAAACACTATAATAAATACATAACTCTTCAATGCCCAAACACAAGAACATTTACATGTATCAAAGAAGACGAGGAAAACATGACCTCACCAACTGAACTAAATAAGGCACCAGAAAAAATTACTGGATAAACATTGATATGTGACCTTTCAGACAGAGAATTGAAAATAGTTGTGTTGAGAAAACTCGAAGAAATTCAAGATAACATAGAGAAGAAATTCAGAATTCTATCAGATAAATTTAATGAGGAGACTAAACTGATTAAAAAGAATCAAGTGGGAAATTTCTGGAGATGAAAAATGCAATTGACATACTGAAAAATGCATCAGTCTTTTAATAGCAGAATTCATCAAGCAGAAATAAGTAGTGAACTTGAAAAGAGGCTATTTGAAAATACAGTCAGTGGGGATGAAAGAAAAAAGAATTTAAAAAATGAAGAATGCTTACAGAAGCTAGACAATACCCAAAATGAAAAATCTGAATTATTGGCCTGAAACAGCATGTAGAGGATGGGGCAGCAGTATTATTCAAAAGGATAATAAAACAGAACTTCCTAAACCTAGACAAAGACAACAATATCCAAGTAAAAGAAAGTTATAAAACACCTAGAAGATTCAACCCAAAGAAGACTACCTTGAAGCATATAATAATCAAACTCCAAAAGATCAAGGATAAAAAAGGGATCCTAATAGCAGCAAAAGAAAAGAAATAAATAACATACAATGGAGCTTCAATACATCGACAACAGACTTTTCAATGGAAACCTTACAGGCCAAGAAAGAGGGGCATAACATATTTAAAATGCTGAAGGAAAAAAAAAATTACCCTAGAATAGTATATCCAGCACAAAAGCTGAAGGATTTTTATCAACACCAGACCTGTTTTGCAAGAATTGCTAAAGAGAATACTTCAATCCAAACAAAAAGGACATTAATGAGCAATAAGTCATCTCCTGAAGGTACAAAATTCACTTGTAATAGTAAGTACACAAAAAAACAGAAAATTATAACACTGTAACTGTGGTGTATAAATTACACTTATCCTGTGTAGAAAGAATAAATGAAGCATTCAAAAAAAAAAAACCACAACAACTTTTCAAGACATAGACAGTGCAATAAGATTTAAATAGAAACAACAAAAAGGTAAAATGTAGGGAATATGGATAAGGCATAGAGTTTTTATTAGTTTTCTGTTTACTTGTTTGTTTATGCAAACTGTTAAACTGTCATCAGCTTAAAGTAATATAAGATACTATTTGCAAGCCTCATGGTAACCTCAAACCAAAAAGTATACAACTGATACACAAAAATATATAAAGCAAGAAACAAAATCATATCACCAGAGAAAATCACCTTCACTAAAAGAAAGACAGTGAAAGAAAAAGAAAGAAAGAAAGAGAGAGAGAGAGAAAGAAAGAAAGAAAGAACGAGCGAACCACACGACAATCAGAAAACAAATAAAAAATGGCAGGGGTAAGTCTTTACATATCTACAGTATCATTGAATGTGAATGGGATAAACTCTCCAATCAAAAGACATAGAGTGGCTGAATAAATAATAGAACAAGACTCATTGATATGTTGCCTACAAGAAACACACTTTACCTATGAATACACACATAGACTGAAAATAAAGGAATGGAAAAAGACACTCTATGCCATTGGAAACCAAAAAAGTGTAGGAGTCACTATATTTATATCAGAAAAAATAGATTTCAAGACAAAACTATATGAAGAGACAAAGAAGGTCACTATATAATAATAAAGGGGTCAATTCAACAAGAGGATATAATAATCTTAAATATATGTACCGAACACTGGAGTACCCAGATACATAAAGCAAATATTAAAAAGAGAGATAGACTCCAATACAATAATAGCTAGAGATTTCAATACTCTACTCTCAGCATCAGACAGATCTGCCAAACATAAAATCAAAAGAGTCATTGGATTTATTCTGCACTATAGATCAAATGGTTCTAATAAGTATTTACAGGATATTTCAATGAACAAATGCAGAATACACATCCTTTTCCTAAGCATATGGATTATTCTCAAGATAGACCATATGCTAGATCACAAAACACATCTTAAAACATTCCAAAAATTGAAATAATATCAAGCATCTTCTCTGACCACAATGGAATAAAACTAGAAATCAATATCCAAAGAAATGTTGGAAACTATACAAACACATGGAAGTTAAACAATATGCTCCTGAATGACCAGTGGGTCAAAGAGGAAATTACAAAGGAAATTTAAAAATGTCTTGAAATGAATGATAATGGAAACACAACATACAAAACCTATGAGATACACCAAAAACGTACTAAGAGGGAAGTTTATAGCTATAAGTGTCAACATTAAAAAAAGAACTTCAAATAAACAACCTGACAAAGCAAGAACAAACAAAATCCAAAATCTGTAGAGGAAAAGGAATAATAAAGATCAAATCCAAAATAAGGGCAAATGAAATGAAAAACAATATAAAATATCAATGAAACAAAAAGCTATTTTTGAAAAGTGAAACAAAATTGACAAATGTTTACCCAGACTAACTAGGAACAAAAGAGAGAAGATTTGAATAAATTAAATCAGAAATGAAAAAGGAGACATTACAATTGATACGGCAGAAATTCAAAGAATCATTAGTGGCTACTATAAGCAACTATATGCCAATAAATTAGAAAAAAATCTCAAAGAAATAGAAAAATTCTGAGACACATAAAATCTATCAATATTGAAGCAGGAAGAAATCCACAACCTGAACAGAACACTAACAAGTAACAAGATAGAAACCATAATAAAAAGTCTCCCAGTAAAGAAAAGCCCAGGACCTGATGGCTTCACGGCTGAATTCTACTAAACATTTAAAGAGGAACTAACACCAATCCTATTCAAACTATACCAAAATATAGAAGAGTAGGAAAAACATCCAAACTAATTTTATCTGACTTTTATTCTACAGAGCTATAGTAACCAATGTAACATGGTACTGGCATAAAAACAGACACATAGATGAATGGGACAGAATAGAGAACCCAGAAACAAATCTGCATACCTACAATGAACTCATTTTTAACTAAGGTGCCAAGAACATACACAGGGGAAAAGATATTCTCTTCAATAAATGGTGCTGGCAAAACAGGATATCCATATGCAGAAGAATGAATATAGACACATATCTCTTGCCATATACAAAAATCAAATAAAAATGGATTAAAGACTTAAATGTAAGACCTCAAACTATGAAGCTACCATAGGAAAACATTAGAAAAAAAAATCTCCAGGACATGTGCCTGGGCAAAAATTTCTTGAGCAATATGCCACAGTCACAGTCAACCAAGACAAAAATGGACAAATGCGATCACATCAAGTTAAGAAGCTTCTGCACTTCAAAGATACAATCAACAAGTGATGACACAACCCACAGAATGAGAGAAAATATTTGCAAACTACTCATCTGCCAAAAGATTAATAACCATTATATATAAGGAGCTCAAACAACTCTATTGAAAGAAACTAATAATCTGGTCAAAAAAATGGGCAAAAGATTTGAATAGACATTTCTCAAAAGAAGACATACAAATGGCAAGCAGGCATGTGAACAGCTTCTCAACATCATTATGATCAGAGAGAGGCAAAACAAGACTACAATGAGATATCATCTCATCCCAGCTAAAATGGCTTATATCCAAAAGACAGGCAATAACAAATGCTGTTTGAGGCTGTGGAGAAAAGAGAACCCTCATACATCATGTTTTTTTGGAATGTAAATTAGTACAACCACTATGGAGAACAGTTTGGAGATTCCTTAATAAATTAAAAGTAGTGCTACCATATGATCCAGCTATCTTACTCCTAGGTGTAGTCCCAAAAGAAAAGAAATCAGTATATCAAAGGGATATCTGCACTGTCATGTTTTGCAGCACTGTTTATTATAGCCAAGATTTTTAGACAACCTAAGTGTCCACCGAAAGATTAATGGATAAAGAAAATGTGATGTATATATATACAATGGAATACTATTCAGCCATAAAAGAAAGAATGAGATTCTGTCAATTGCAAAAACATGGATGGAACTGGGGATCATGATGTTAAGTGAAATAAGCCAGATGCAGAAAGACAAACATCACATGTTCTCACTTATCTGTGGGATCTAAGAATCAAAACAATTGAGCTCATGGAGATAGAGAGTAGAAGGATGGTTACCAGAGGCTGGGAAGAGTATTGAGGGGATGGGGGGAGGTGAATATAGGTAATATGTACCAAAACAATGTTAGAAAGAATGAATAAAACCTACTATTTGATAGCACAACAGGGTAACTGTAGTCAATAATCATTTCATTGTACATTCAGAAATAACTTTAAGAGTATAATTGGAATGTTTATACCACAAAGGATAAATGCTTGAGGGATGGATACCCTATTCTCCATGATGTCATTATTTCACATTGCATGCATGTATCAAAACATCTCCTATACAGCATAAATATATACACCTATATACCCACAAAAATGCAAAAATTAAGAAAAAACAGATTAGAACAAGCTAAGAAAATAATTTCAGAGCTCAAAGATTTGTCCTTTGAATAAATCCAGTCAGACAATAACAACAAAAAAGAGTTTGAAACATAAACAAAGCCTCCAGGAAATAAGAGAGCAAACCTATAACACATCAGCATTCCTGAGAGAGAAGGAGAAAGTAAACATTTTGGAAAATATATTTGAGGATATAGTCCACAAGAATTCCCCAATATTACTATAGGTTGACACATACATTTAAGAAACTCAGAAAATCCCTGTGAGATACTATAGAAAATGACCATCCCTAACACTAATACACACAATCATCAGACTTTCCAAAGTGAATGCAAAAGAAAATTTTAAACCCAGCTAGAGAAAAGGGTCATATCACTTACGAAGGAAACCATGGCACGCTCACAGAAGACTTCTCTGCAGAAACCTTACAAGGCAAAAGAGATTGGGGTCATATTTTTAGCATCCTTAAGGAAAAGAAATTCCAACCAATAATTTCATGTCCAGCCAAACTAAGCTTCATAAGCAAATGAGAAATAAAATATTTTCTAGACAAGCAAAGACTAAGGAAATTTGTTATCACTAGACCAGTCTTTCAAGAGTTTCTTAAAGGAGTTCTAAACTTGGAAACAAAAGAATGATACCTGCTACCACAAAAACACACTTATGTACATAGCCCACGGTCCCCATAAGGCAACTACACAATCGAGACTACAAAGCAACCAGCTAACAACACAATGAAAGGAACAAAATGTCATATATCAATATTAATCTTTAAAATAAGCTCTTCTGAATGTCCCACTTAAAAAGCACAGTGACAATTTGGATAAAAAAGATAAGACCTAAGCTTCTACTGTCTTCAAGACACCCATCTCACAAGTAATGATAGCCACAGACTCAAAACAAATGGATGGAGAAAGATCTATCATGCAAATGAAAAACAAAAAGAGCAGGGATCCCTATTCTTATATAAGGTAAAGCAGATGTTAAACTAACAACTGTTAAAAAGGACAAAGAAAGTCATTACACACTGATAAAGGATTTGATTCAACAAGAAGGCTTAAATATATATTACATAAATATATATACATATATACATTTATATTATATATAATTCTATATAATATATAAAATATATAATATATAATATAGTATATATAAAATATATATAAAATATATATAAAATATATATTATATATAAAATATATATATTATCTTATATATAAAATATATATTTTATATATATTATCTTAGATCCCACAGATAATATATTATATATAAATATATATAATATAGACTATATTATATAATATAGACTATATTATATAATATACTCTATATTATATAATATACTCTATATTATATAATATAGACTATATTATATAATATAGAGTATATTATATAATATAGACTCTATATTATATATAGAGAGTCTGTATTATATAATATAGTCTATATTAATAATATAGACTATATTATATAATATATACTATATATTTATTTATATATAATAAAATATATAATATAAATAAATAAACATACACACACACACACACACACACACACACACACACGTACACACAACCAATAGTGGAGCAACTAGATTCAGAAAACAAGAATATCTAGACCGACAACAAGACAGCCACACAATAGTGGGGGACTTCAGTACTCCACTGGCAGTGTTAGAAAGATTATCAGGGCAGAAAACTCACAAATAAATTCTGGACTTAATTTCATACTTGACCAATTGGACCTAGTACTCATCTACAGAATACTTTACCCATGAACCACAGAATACACTTCCTTCTCATCTTGTATTCTAAAACTGGCCACATGTTCATCCATAGAGCAAGTCTCAATAATCTTTTTAAAACAGAAATTATATCAAGCATACTTGCAGAGAACAGTAGAGTAAAAATAGAAATCAATACCAAGAAGATATCTCAAAATCACAAAAATACATGGAAACTAAACAACTTGTTTCTGAATGTCTTTGGATAGACAGCAACATTAAGGCTGAATTCAAAACATTATTTGAAATTAATGAAAACAGTGGTGCAACATATTAAAATCTGTGGGATGCAGCAAAAGCAGTGGTAAGAGAAAAGTTTAGAGCACTAAATGCCTACATTGAGAAATTAGAAAGGTCTCAATAAACATTCTAAATTGTACCTAGAAGAGCTAGAAAACTATAAACTAACCGCAGAGCTAGCAGAGGAAAAGAAATTACTAAAATCAGATGAGAAATTAACAAAATTGAGATCCCTGCAAAAAGCAAAGGATCAACAACAAAAAAGTTGTTTCTTTGAAAGAAGCAATATCAACAGACCACTAGCTAGATTAGCAAAGAAAAAAAGAAAGAAGATCCAAGTAAGCATAATCAGAAATGACAAAAGATGACAACACAATTGATTCCACAGAAATAGAAAATATCCTTAGAGACTACTACAAATATTTCTACACACACAACCTAGAAAATCCACAGGAAATGTATAAATTCCTGAAATCATATGACCACCCAAGATTGAACCAGGAAGAAATTAAGCCCTGAACAGAACAACGAGTTACAAAATTGAATCGGTAATAAAAAACCTACCAGTAAGAAAAAAGGCCTGGACCAGATGGATTCACATGTGAATCCTACTAGACCTAAAAAAAGAGTTGGTACCAATCCTACTGAAATTATTCCAAAAATGAAGAAGGGAGGATTCTACCACAACTCATTCTACAAAGCCAGCATTATCATGACACCAAAATCTGGCAGACACATGAAAACACACACAAACACACACACACACACACACACACACACACACACACACACACACACACACCAATATCCTTGAAGAACATAGATACAAAAATCCTCAACAAAATGCTCGCAAACTAAGTCCAGCAGCATATCAAAAAGTAAATTCATGAAAATCAAGTAGGTTTTATTCCTGGGATGCAAAGTTGGTTCAATATATGCAAATCAATAAATGTGATTCACCACATAAACAGAATTAAAAACAAAAAAAGATCATCTCAACAGATGCAGAAAAAGCTTTTATAAAATCCAATATCCCATCATAATAAAAACCTTCAACAAACTAGGCATCACAAAGCATACCTCAAAATAACAAGAGCCATCTATGACAAACTCACAGCCAACATCATACTGAATAGGCAAAAGCTAAAAACTTTCCCCTTGAGAACTGCAACAAGACACAAGGATGTCTGTCCACTCTCCCCACTCCTATTCAAGATAATACCAGAAGTCCTAACCAGAGAAATTAGGAAAGAGAAAGAAATAAAAAGGATACACATATGAAAAGAAGTCAAACTATCTCTTTTCTGACTATATGACTGTATAGCTAGAAAAACCTAAAGAGTTCACGAAATGCTTCCTAGAATTGATAACTTCAGTAAAGTTTCAGGATACAAAATTAATGTATAAAAATCAGTATTATTTCTATACATCATTAACATTTAAGTCAAGAGCCAGATCAAGAATGGAATGCAATCCCATTTATGATAACCAAGGAAACCTTAGGAATACAGCTAACCAAGGAGGTAAATGATCTTTATAAGGATAACTACAAAATATTGCTGAAAGAAATCAGAAAAGACACAAAGGTCTTGTTTCATGCTAATGGATTTCATTTTCATGCTAATGGATTGGAAGGTCCAGATCATTAAGAAGGCCATACTGCCTAAAGCAATCTATACATTCAATGCAATTCAAATCAAAATACCAAAGTCATTTTTCACAGAATTAGAAAAAAAAACCCTAAAATTTGTATGGAACTATAAAAGAGCCCAAATAGCCAAAGCAATCTTACATTTAGAAAAAAAGCTAGAGTCATCATATTACCTGACTTTAAAGTGTACTACAAAGCTATAGTAACCAAAACAGCATGGTATTTGGTAGAAAAAAAAAGACACATAGACCAGTGAAACACATTATAGAAACCAGAAATAAAGCAGCACACCTACAACCATCTGCTTTTCATCAAAGTCGATAATAACAAGCAATGGGGAAAGGACTTTCTTTTCAATAAATGGAGCTGAGATAACTGGCTAGCTATAGGCAGAACAATGAAACTGGACCTCTACCTATCACCATATACAAAAATTAACTCAAGGTGGATTAAATACGTAAATGTAAGACCTTAAACTAGAAAAATCCTAGAAGAAAACTTAATAAATATGCTTCTCCACACTGACCTTGGCAATAAATTTATGGCTAAGTCCTCAAAAGCAATTGCAATAAAAATAAAAATTGACAAGTGGGATCTAATTAAACTAAAGAGCTTCTGCACAGCAAAAGAAACCATCATCAGGGTAAACAGATCACTTATAGATGGGAGAAAATATTCACAAACTATGCATCCAATAAAGATCTAATATCCAGAATCTATAAGGACCTTAAATCAACAAGCAATAAACAAATAACCCCATTAAAAAGTGGGCAAAGGACATGAACAGACACTTCTCAAAAGAGAACATACAAGCAGTTAACAAACATGAAGAAAATGCTCATCGTCACTAATTATCAGAGAAATGCAAATCAATACCCTAATAAGATACCACCATGTTACACCAGTCAGAATGGCTATCATCAACAAGCAG
Organism: Homo sapiens; assembly: GCF_000001405.40. Taxonomy (NCBI): domain Eukaryota; kingdom Metazoa; phylum Chordata; class Mammalia; order Primates; family Hominidae; genus Homo; species Homo sapiens. The sequence continues at coordinate 128,530,486 of NC_000023.11, forward strand.
AAAAAACAAAACAAAAACAAAAACAAAAAAAAAGAAAAAGAAACAGATGTTTGCAGGTCTACGGAAAATAGGGCATGCTTATACACTGTTATTGGGAATATAAATTAGTTCATCCACTGTGGAAAGCAGTTTGGAGATTTCTCAAAGAACTTAAAACAGAACTACCCTTCAACCCAGCAATCCCATTACTGGATATATACCCAAAGGAAATAAACTTTTCTATCAAAAAGACTCATGTGTGCATATATTCATTGCAGCACTACTCACAATAGCAAAGGCATGGAATCAAGCTAAGTGCCCATCAATGGTGGGTTGGATAAAGAAAATGTGGCATATATACACCATGAAATAGTACACAGCTATAAGAAGAATAAAATCATGTTTTTTGCAGCAACATAGATGTTGTTGGAGGCCATTATCCTAAGTGAACTAACACAGAAAAAGAAAATAAAAGACCACATGTTCTCACTTATAAGTGGGAGCTAAACATCGGGTACACATGGACATAAAGATGAGAACAGACACTGGAGAGTACAAGAAAAGCGGGGGAAGGAAGGGGTAAGAGTTGAAAAACTACCTATCAGGTACTATCCTTACTACCTGGGTGATGAGTTTAATCATACCCCAAACCTCAGCATCACACCATGTACCTTTGTAACAAAGCTGCACATGTACCCTTGAATCAAAAATTAAATATGAAACTAAAAAGTGTCTCCCATTTTATCACACACAATACTAAAAAGACATGTCCTTCGGGGGAAAATATTTAATTTAATTATTATCCTAAATAAAACTCCTGATTTTCCCATGAATGCATATCATTGAAGAACAGAAGCTTGTAAAGTCAGGTACCACCATCATGATTCATGCCAAGTCTCTGCCAATTTAACCACTACTGCCTCCTGTACCATTTGCATAAATGCTGATACTGTGATAAAAGACCAATACTTAGTATTATTAACAGTAACCAGGTCAGAATTATTTTCTTTAAGACAGCATTGTATTTTAACATTATAATACTCTTATTAAAGGTATTATTATAAGTACTGTGTATAAGTAGTATTATGATGCTTAATATTTTCTTAATATACCTAATAAATTATTTTCTTAATAATTTTTATCTTGTTATCCTCCTGAAATTGGTCACTGGCACCCGAGAAGTCCATAGAACATACTTTGAGAACTGCTGCACTAATGAATATAGCAATTAATAATAGTCAAAGACCAAGTAATGGAAGAAAATGGGGTCTGAATAGAACGATTAGTAGGACACTACTGCATTTTGAGATTTGGAAATAATAAAAATGTTGAACTTCCTTGGATGGCAATAAAAACAAATAAATACCAAAATTAAAAGAGGTTAATACAAGAAACTCACGCAGCTGTCATTTAGGGCTGTTTCGTATAATTGATTAGGACTTTTACATGACAAACAACATCCTCAATACCCAGTTGTGGCAAAAAGATGGAAGCTAAATTATCATACTAACAAAATACAGAAGAAACCCAATAAGACTGTACATAAAGAAGATTTTCAGGCTTTGGAAGATTTTTGACCTTGTGCCTGGGCACAACCTAAAGAACACCATCCTAACCATGCTGAGGTAACCACAGCAATAGATTCGTGCAGCACAACCAAGCTGTTCCATTTGGAGATAGCCAACAAACACCTGGTCACTGTTCCCATTCAGTGGCATGCCAATTAGTACATTGTAACATAATGGTGTGGATACATAGTTCTTTGGATATCTGCTACATATCTTTAGTGTTATTGGGCCATGTATCTTTTGTGTGATTCTTCTGTTTTCAACATAAAGGGGCCTGCTGACTAAGCTGACCAAAAGAGGGAGTAAGCCAGATAAAACCATACCATATTTGTATTATACAAGCACCGAATTGAGTTATCTTATCTCTCAATTGTGGCAATGCCAGAGTGAAGGTTAATGAATTTGTTTCTTTTACTGAAAAGCTCTTCCCACACTCTTTGCTTTGCAAAATATTATTAATAAGTCAAAGATGTATATCATCCTTAGTCATACCAGTGTTAAGCACTTGACTTTTCTTGAAAAGCATAGATATGTTTCTGATATGTTATACAATCTTGTTCTTGGAGAGGAGATGCCCACTATGGAGGCTAAAGCCACTGGAAAAGGGCATGAAGTTGCATACCCAACAAGTATTTTTATGTAACCTGTTGGCATAATCCTGAGCCTATTGTAAGAACAGGTTTGTTTCATGGGGAAAAGCTGGTAGTAGTATCAACAAAACATAAGAGCTAGGTATGAAAAGAAAGAAATTTAATGAGAACTTATAATACCTTCCCATTTATTACCCATTATTAATATGAAGCATTCATTTAGATACAGGCCTGGTCTGGTGACTTGGGAAAGCTGACTACTTCAGATGTCATCTTCTTCTCACCCTTGTTGATTCTTGAGGATTTCAATTTTAGATCACTAGTTTGAGATGAAGTCAAATTGGCAAGGTAGATTTCTTTAAATGAGTGATATGTATGCAGGAATCAATTCCTTTTAGCTTGGTGACACACGGGTTGCTTAAGAGCACCTAAATAAGGTCCCTGTCACCTTGGCTGGAGAGAGTCTTTTTAAAAATGTCATTTCCAATAGACAATATCTCCTAAAGTCCATGGTCTGAGTTTTTGTCTCCCGGGAGCCCACCGTAGAAACAGTCTTTTACTAAATTAGTTTTTAGTTAGCTGCTTTATAAAGCCACTGCAATAATAAAACATATTTAATTTTAATATCATAGATTCCAGATTTCCTGAAGACAATTTCATAGGTCTGCTCATTATAATTTCAAACAGAGACAGTTGGTGCTTACCAAAAGGGGACGATCTTAGGTTAAGCAAGACCAATGGAAGAACTTTTGGCCAAGGCATTTTTAAAAACCTCAGTTAATTTTGCCAATTGAGTTTTGATTATTCTGTTCGTACATTCCAATAACTCAGATGTCTGGGAACGATAGGCACAATTGAAATGTTGGAGAATGGGTCAGATTTTGCATACTGACTGTATTATTTGTTCAGTAAAATGATTACCTCTGTTGCTCAGAAGTTCTAGAGGAACTCCTCAAGTCAGAATAATTTTCTCTATGAGAATTTTACTTACTGCTAAGGTTGTTGCTCTTCTGAATGGAAATGCTTCTGCTCAATGAGAAAACATACAAACCATCACTAAAATATACTTGTATCCTTGTGGTGGTTGTAGCTGAATAAAATCTAGTTGCCATACCTTAAAAGGGACTTCTAGTAAAGGAAAATACCTTGAGAACTATCTAAAGGTTTCCAATAATATTGTATTTCCCAATCAACTATCTTATCTGGGCTCCAGAGAGTTATACCTTGGGCATAAATTAAGAAAGATGACTGTAATTTAGTTGGAAGTATGGGTAGATCATTTGTTCCATACCACAGCCCAGTCTTTGAGAAGTGTGGTCCCACTTTTATTTCCCAATTTTCTTGTTCTGTTTTCAGAGCTTTAGATTGAGCTAATTTTATATCATAATCAAGTGCTTTCTTAAAAGCTAAAATGGGTTGATTTTCTTGTACAGGTGCATTTAGGGTGGCCCTTTTTGCTATATTATGTGCTCATTGGTTTCCCTTGCTTTCTGGAGTGTCTGGCTTTGAATAGGCTGGAATATTGATAATGGTTAACGACCTTGGCAATATTTTTACTTCTAATAACCTAAGACAAGCTACCCATTTTTTTATGGACTGACCGGAAGAGGTTAAATATCCTGTTTCTATAGCATCCTAAAGACATGAGATACTACAAAAGCGTATCTTCTATCTGTATAAATATTAGTACTTATTATTTTGCCAATTGAAAGGCTTTAATTCATGCAATTAACTCTGCTTACTGAGCTGAGGTTGCTGCTGAAAAAATCAGCACTTTCCATCTCTTCAGTCAAAGATGCTATAGCACAATCTGCATGATAAATTCCAGATTCATTCTTTAAGTAAGATCCATCTGTAAAGTATATAACATCAGTATTAGTAAGGGAGGTTTCTTGCAGGTCTATTCTAGGACAGAGAAGCTGGTTAGTTAAGATTATGCAATCATGTATCATTTTATCTGAAGGCAGAGGAAGAAGTATAGCAGGATATAGATTATTACATATGGAGATGGTAATATGGGGAGCAAAGAGAAGAACTTCATAAGAAGCCAATCTACTAACTGAATAATATTGAGTGTGGTGCGAGTTTAGAAGTGCTTCTAGATTTATTGTAAAAGTTACAACTTTTATTAACATGGTGGTAGCAATTTTTGCTCTCACACAAAGCGGCAATCCTTTAGCAACAGGGTCCAGTCATTGACTATAGTATCCTACAGGTCTATTTGATCTCCATGTTTTTAAGTCAGAATGCCAAAAGTGTTTCCCCGATTTTCATAAACAAGATGAAAGATTATAATTTGGATGTCCTAACACTGAGGCATCTTTAAGACTCTTTTTAATTGTTTCTAATGTCAACTGATTTTTCCTTGTCCATTCCAGAATGTCTCACTTATTTTGTTTTCAAAGATTATATAAAAGTTGAATTTTTAAAGAGAAGTTCGGAATCCAATTTCTACAGTATCCTGCTAACCTTAAAAACCCTCTCAGTTATTTCTTAGCTTTAGGAGTAGGGAAGGACAATATTCCTTTTATTTTACCCAGGTTGATAAAAAGGTCCTTCTTTGATCTCAGGTGACCTAAATATCTTATTTATTTCTGGCGGAACTAAAGTCTTTCTTTTGAGACCTTGTTTCCATTTGAACCTAATTGTTGCAATAAATAAATTCCAGCATCTATACAGGTTTGCTTATCCTCTGAGCAAAGAAGTAAGTTATCTACATGCTGTATCGGGGCGGATTTCTTAAGGAACTTGATATCTGAAAGGTCTGAATTTAGTATTTGTTAAAAATAATTTAGGCTCTCAGTATACTGTCCACATATTATCTGTCTTCCCAAATGAAGATGAAGAGAAATTGACTATATTTACCCACAAGAAAGCTAAAGAATGCACTATGTAGGTCTATTACAGTAATAATTCACTTTCAGTTGAGATGGCAGTCAACAACATATGGGGGTTTGGTCACTGGATGTTGAGGAATGACTATGTTATTCATTGCTCTCAGATCCTGTACCAAGCTCCATCTTTTGGGTTTGGTTTTCTCATGAAGAGAACTGGAATGTTACATGGGCTTGTACAGGAATAATGAAGCCTCTTTTACATAATTCAAAACTATAGGTCATATACTTCTCAAGGCCTCTGATATTATTTAAATTTTAGAAAAGCTTTCGATTGATATATTTGAATTTTCATTGGAACAAATGAGATAATTTTCTGAAAATTATCTCAAATTTATTGAGATATTTTAATTAGTAGTTAAATTATTATTTTGAGATATTTTCTCCAAAATTATTGTTAGTGGAGGATTTTGACCACAATTGATCAGGTACTATATTTAATAGCTCTTGTAATTATTCATTATTTAACAATTTAGTTTCCTGCATGACAATATGAATTGCAATATGTGAATTAAAAGAATCAGATTTTGAAAAATTTTTGAACTCAATTTTATTTTAATTCTAAGTACAATTCCCCTTTCCAAAGAAAGAGATAGAAGTATTGTATGATTCTAAAAAATCTCCCTTATCAAATGGATGGAGGCTGAGGAACTCGACGAAAATATGTGATCCATGTGGGGGATCTAACTGAAAAACAATAGACTGAGATTTATACACTGATATAAGGGTATGTGTTTCACTCATCATTTGTATATTTTTTTGACTCAAAAGAGTAGGACCTTGTAATAAGGTGAAATTTCTCACTGATAATGCAGCTGTAGTATGTATAAGAACTTGTATTAGTTCTCCATTTAACTTCAATTTCCCTTAGGGCATTAGTGAGAAGGAAAAAAAATGTCCCTTTGATTTTTTTGCAGCACCCCTATTTTTCTTTTTCTCTGACCTGCTGCTATTCTACCCATTTTAATTTTCTAAAATCTTTTAAAAATGTCCAAGATTTTTGCAGTAATTGCAAAGTGGAGAATTGGGCCTGTTTTCAAACTTATTAGGTTATCTAGGAATTACAAATTGTGTGGACAATCATTATTAGTTGTAAACTCATAATCTCAATTTTCCTTTCCTTTACCTCCTTGCTTAGGGTACAAGACATTTGATTACCAAAATTAATTAGATCATAAGTTTGAGAGGTAGCCCAACTGGGGTGTTGTTTCTTTATAATAATTGCCAATTCTTCATGTAAGGCATTTATATAGTTTGAGTTATAATGTCATGTTGCTGATTGGCACAACTGTCTGCTGACAGGCCTGAATATCATTTAAACATTTTTAAAAATCTTTCATAGTATGACAATATAGGCTCAGCAAGATTTTGTTAGCATTGTTATACCTTATTTCAATAAACTACTCTTTAGAAAACAAAGAGGATAGCATTTTGTACATCTTTGGCAATATCACGGGTTCCTTCATGATCTGCTTCAGAAAATTTATGGAAGTCTTCGAAAGGATTCAACCAGTTTGCCTTTGCTATACAATCTTTGGCTTTCTAACACTAACTTGTGAACCAATTGATATAAAGCAGAGCATCTAGGGTCACAAGATAAAATGTTTAATTTGAGTTCTTTAGCAAATCCATTAGGGCTCTGGAGAGGATCCGATAATTCTTTAATTATGCTGTTAAGTTCTTCTTTTGACCACATTAATAAGCCAAGGCAGGTCTCCTCCACTGGACACAGGGTTTTCCCAAAATGGAGCCATTATGCCAGAGAAGGAAGAGAAGGAAGAGGAAACATGTTTGGACAAGGAAGTTTTGAGAAGAGAGCTGAAAAGGGGTGGGAATTTTTTAATTTTAATTTCCGGAATATATGTTCAGAACATGCTAGTTTGTTACATAGGTATACATCTGCCATGGTGGTTTGCTGCACCTATTGACCCGTGCTCTAGGTTCCCCCCACTCACCCCCAAATCCTCAATATGCCCCGGTGTGTGCTGTTCCCACCCGTGTGCATGTGTATATATTGTTCAATTCCCACTTATCGTTTTCTGTCCCTGTGTTAGTTTGCTGATGATGATGATTTCCAGCTTCATCCATATGGCTGCAAAGGACATTACTGAATTTATTTTATGGCTGCATAGTATTCTATGGTGTATATGTACCATGTTATCTTTATCCAGTCTATCACTGATGGGCATTAGGGTTGGTTCCATGACTATGTGACTGTAAATAGTGCTGCAATAAACATACAAGTGCATGTGTCTTTATAGAAGAATGATTTCTATTCCTTTGGGTATACACCCAGTAATGGGATTGATGGGTCAAATGGCATTTCTGGTTCTAGATACTTGAGGAATCACCATACTGTCTTCCACAATGGTTGAACTAATTTACATTCCCATTCCCACCAACAGTGTAAAAGCATTCCTATTTCTCCACAGCCTTGCCAGCATCTATTGTTTCTTGACTTTTCAATAATCGCCATTCTGACTGGCGTGAGATGGTATCTCATTGTGGTTTTGATTTGCATTTATCTAATGATCAGTGATGTTGAGCTTTTTTTCATGTTTATTGGTAATATAAATGTCTTCTTTTGAGAAGTGTCATTTCGTATACTTTTGCCCACTTTTTGATGGAGTTGTTTCTTTTTTCTTGTACATTTGTTTAAATTCCTTGTAAATTCTGGATATTAGACCTTTGTCAGATGGGTGGATTGCAAAAGTTTTCTCCGATTCTGTAGGTTGCCTGTTCACTCTGATGATAGTTTCTTTTGCTGTGCAGAAGCTCTTTAGTTTAATTAGATCTCATTTGTCAATTTTAGCTTTTGTTGCAATTCCTTTGCCATTTTCGTCATGAAGCCTTTGCTCATGCCTGTGTCCTGAATGGTGTTGACTAGGTTTTATTTTACAGTTTTTATAGTTTGGGGTTTTGCATTTAAGTCTTTAATGCATCTTGAGTTAATTTTTGTACAAGGTGTAAGGCAGGGTTCCAGTTTCAGTTTTCTGCATATGGCTAGCCAGTTTTCAAAGCACCATTTATTGAATAGGAGAACCCTTCCCATTGCTTGTTTTTGTGAGGTTTGTCAAAGATCAGCTGGTTGTAGATGTGTGGTGTTATTTCTGAGGTCTCTATTCTGCTCCATTGGTCTATATATCTGTTTTGGTACCAGTACCATGCTGTTTTGGTTACTGTAGCCTGGTAGTATAATTTGAAGTCAGGTAGCATGATGTCTTCAGCTTTGTTCTTTTTGCTTAGGATTGTCTTGGCTATACGGGGTTTTCTTTGATTTCATGTGAAATTTAAACTATATTTTCTAATTCTGTGAAGAATGTCAATGGTAGTTCGATGGGAACAGCATTGAATCTATAAATTACTTTGGGCAGTATGGCCATTTTCACAATATTGATTCTTCCTATCCATGAGGATGGAATGTTTTCCCATTTGTTTGTGTCCTCTTTTATTTCCTTGAGCAATGATTTGTAGTTCTCCTTGAAGAGGTCCTTCACATTCCCTTGTTAGCTGCATTACAAGGTATTTTATTCTCTTTGTAGCGATAGTGCATGGGAGTTCATTCATGATTTTGCTCTCTGCTTGTATATTGTTGATGTACAGGAATGCTTGTGATTTTTGCACATTGATTTTGCATCCTCATACTTTGCTGAAGTTACTCATCAGTTTAAAGACTTTTTGGGCTGAGATGATGGGGTTTTCTAAATATAAAATCATGTTGCCTGCAAACAAAGACAATTTGACTTCCTCTCTTTGTATTTGAATACCCTTTATTTCTCTCTCTGGCCTTATTACCCTGGCCAGAACTTCCAATACTATGTTGAATAGGAGTAGTGAGAGAGGTCTCGTGTCGGTTTTCAAAGGGAATGCTTCCAGCTTATGCCCATTTGGTATGATATTGGCTGTGAGTTTGTCATAAATAGCTCTTATTATTTTGAGATATGTTCCATTAGTACCTAATTTATTGAGAGTTTCTAACAGGAAGGGATGTTGAATTTTATCAAAGGCCTTTTCTGCATCTATTGAGATGATCATGTGGTACTTGTCATTGGTTCTATTTATGTCATGGATTACGTTTATTAATTTGGTTAAGTTAAACCAGCCTTGCATCCCAGGGATGAAGCTGACTTGTTAGTGGTAGATAAGCTTTCTGATATGCTGCTGGATTTGGTTTGCCAGTATTATATTGAGGATTTTTGCATCAATGTTCATCAGGAATATTGGCCTGAAGTTCTCTTTTTCTGTTATATCTCAGCCATGTTTTGGTGTCAGGACGATGCTAGCCTCATAAAATGAATTAGGGAGGAGTCCCTCCTTTTCAACTGTTGGGAAGAATTTCAGAAGGAATGGCACCAGCTCCTCTTTGTATCTCTGGTAGAATTCGGCCTTGAATCTGTCTGGTCCTGGGCTTTTTTTTTGTTGGTAGGCTATTAATTACTGACTCAATTTCAGAACTTTTTATTGGTGTATTCAGGGATTCGACTTCTTCCTGGTTTGGTCGCGGGAGGGTGTATGTGTCCAGGAATTTATCCATGTCTTCTAGATTTTCTAGTTTATTTGCATAGATGTGTTTATAGTATTCTCTGATGGTAATTTGTATTTCTGTGGGGTCAGTGGTGATATTCCCTTTATCATTTTTTATTGTGTCTATTTGAGTCTCTTCTCTTTTCTTTTTTATTAGTCTAACTAGCAATCTATTTTGTTAATTTCTTCAAAAGCCAGCTCCTGGATTCATTGCTTTTTTGGAGGGTTTCTTGTGTCTCTATCTCCTTCAGTTCTGCTCTGATCTTGGTTATTTCTTGTCTTCTGCTGGCTTTTGAATTTTTTTTTCTCTTGCTTCTCTAGTTCTTTTAATTGTGATGTTAGGGTGTTGGTTTTCGATCTTTCCTGCTTTCTCCTGTGGGCATTTAGTGCTATAAATTTCCCTCTAAACACTGTTTCAGCTGTGTCCCAGAGATTATGGTATGTTGTCTCTTTGTTCTCATTGGTTTCAAAGAACTTCTTGATTTCTGCCTTAATTCATTATTTATGCTGGAGCCTTTTGGGAGCAGGTTGTTCAGTTTCCATGTAATTGTGTGGTTTTGCTTGAGTTTCTTAATCTTGAGTTCTAATTTGATTGCACAGTGGTCTGAGAGACTGTTTTTATGATTTCAGTTCTTTTGCATTTGCTGCATTTACTTCCAATTATGTGGTCAATTTTAGGATAAGTGCCATGTGGCACTGAGAATATATATTCTGTTGATTTGGGGTAGAGAGTTCCATAAATGTCTACCATGTCCACTTGATCCAGAACTGAATTCAAGTCCTGAATATCCTTAACTTTCTGTCTCGTTGATCTGTCTCATACTGACAGTGGGGTGTAAAAGTCTCCCACTACTGTTTTGTGGAAGTCTAAGTCTCCTTGTAGGTCTCTATGAACTTGTTTTATGAATCTGGGTACTCTTGTATTAAGTGCATATATATTTAGGATAGTTAGCTCTTCTTGTTGAATTGTTCCTTTACCATTATGTAATGCACTTCTTTGTCTTTTTTGATCTTTGTTGGTTTAAACTCTGTTTTCTCAGAGACTAGAATTGCAACTCCTGCTTTTTTTTATTTTTATTTTTATTTTTATTTATTTTTTTGCTTTCCATTGGCTTGGTAAATCTTCCTCCATCCCTTTATTTTGAGCTTATGTGTGTCTTTTCATCTGAGATGGGTCTCTTGAATACAGCACACTGATGCGTCTTGACTCTTTATCCAATTTGCCAGTCTGTGTCTTTTAATTTGGGGCATTTAGCCCATTTACATTTAAGGTTAGTACTGTTATGTGTGAATTTGATCCTGTCATCATGCTGCTATTTGGTTATTGTGCATACTAGTTGATGTAGTTTCTTCATAGTGTCATTGGTCTTTGTATTTTAGTGTGTTTTTGCAGTGGCTGGTACTGGTTTTTCCTTTCCATATTTAGTGCTTCCTTCTGCAGCTCTTGCAGGCCAGGCCTTGTGGTAACAAAATCCCTCAGCATTTGCTCATCTGGAAAGGATTTTATTTCTCCTTCATGTGTGAAGCTTAGTTTGGCTGGACATGAAATTCTGATTTGAAAGTTATTTTCTTTAGGAATGTTGAATATTGGCCCCCAATCTCTTCTAGCTTGTAGAGTTTCTGCTGTGAGTTTTGCTGTTAGTCTGATGGGCTTCCCTTGATAGGTGACCTGGCCTTTCTATCTGGCCACCCTTAACAGTTTTTCCTTTATTTTGACATTGGAGAATCTGATGATTATGTGTCTTGGGGTTGATCTTCTCATGGAGTATCTTAATGTTATTTTCTGTATTTCCTGAATTTGCATGTTGGCCTGTCTTGCTAGGTTAGGGAATTTCTGGATAATATGAAGTGTGTTTTCCAGCTTGTTTCCATTTTCCCCATCTTTTTCTGGTACTCCAACCAATCATAGATTTGGTCTTTTTATAAAGTCCAAATTTTATTGGAGGCTTTGTTTATTCCTTTTCATTCTTTTTTTCTCTAGTCTTGTCTGCATACTTCATTTCAGCAAGGTGGTCTTCAAGCTTCGATATCCTTTCTTCCACATGGTCAATTTGGCTGTTGATACTTGTGTATGCTTCAGGAAGTTCTCGTGCTGTGTTTTTCAGCTCCATCAAGTCATTTTATGTTCCTCTTTAAACTGGTTATTCTAGTTTGCAATTCCTCTAACCTTTATCAAGATTCTTAGCTACTGTGCATTGGGTTAGAACATGCTTTTTTACCTCAGCGTAGATTTTTATTACCCATCTTCTGAAGCCTACTTCTTTTTTTTTGTTTGTTTTTGGAGTGTCGCTGTGTCGCCAGGCTGAAGCTGGAGTGCCGTGGCGTGATCTCAGCTCACTGCAACCTCTGCCTCTCGGGCTCAAGCAATTCTCCTGCCTCAGCCTCCCGAGTAGCTGGGACTACAGTCACGTGGCACCACACCTAGCTAATTTTTGTATTTTTACTAGAGACAGGGTTTCACCATGTTGGCCAGGATGGTCTCGATCTCTTGACCTCGTGATCTGCCTGTCTTGGCCTCCCAAAGTGCTGGGATTACAGGCGTGAGCCACTGCGCCCAGCCCTGAAACCTACTTCTGTCAATTCGTCCATCTGATCCTCCATCCAGTTCTGTGCCATCGATGGAGAGACATTGCAATCATTTGGAGGAGAAGAGGCACTCTGGCTTTTTGGGTATTCAGCATTTCTTCATTGATTCTTTCTCATATTCATCAGTTTGTCTAGTTTCGGTCTTTGAGGCTGCTGATGCTTGGATGTGGTTTTTGTGGGGGCTTTGTTGTTGTCGCTGTTGTTGATGTTGTTGATGCTTTCTACTTATTTGTTTTCCTTTCAATGGTAAGGTCTCTCTTCTGTAGGGCTGCTGCAGTTTGCTGGGGGTTCACTTCAGGCCATATTCATCTGATTCACTCCCACACCTGGAGATGTCAGTCAAGGAGGCTGGAGAACAGCAAAAGATAGGTGCCTGTTCCTTCTTCTGGGACTTCTGACCTTGAGGGGCACCACCCTGATGCCAGTAGGATCGTTCCCTGTATAGGGTGTTTGACAACTCCTGTTGGAAGGTCTCATCCAGTTGGATGGCATGGGGAACAGGACCTGTTTAAAGAAGCACTTTGTCCCTTGGTGCAGGGGATGTGCCTTGCTGGGGGGAAACCCACTTTTCTGGGCTGCCCGGATTCCTCAGAACTACCAAAGGAAAGGCTAAGTCTGCTGGCCCACAGAGACTGAGTCAACCCTCCCCCTAGCGGCTCCGGCCCCGGGAGATACAGGTTCTGTCCCTGAGCCTCTGGCTAGAGTTATTGGAGCTCCTGCAGGGAAACCCTGCCCAATGAGGAAGGATGGGCCAAGGTCAGGCCTGAAAAGGCATTCTGGCCACAGACTGCCACAGCAAGTGTGTTGGGCTTGGGGGACAAGTTTTGGAACCAAGCCGTCCAGCCTCCCTGGCTGCAGCAGGGGAAAAGTGCAGCCTGGAGCTCTAGAGGTGGATGCCACCCTTCCTTTGCCCAGGGCACTTAGCATGTTAGGCAGTTGTGAGTCCCACTGCTGGCTGTTGCCCCCCCAGCCAAGGAGTTCAAATGGCTTAGACAACAGGCAGCTGCAGCTGTGGTGCTGGTCACCCCTTCCCCTGGGAGTTCCCTAAGCTTAAGCAGATACCAGCTGAGAGACTGTTGAGAATGTGTACATTCCTGGGTTGGGACGCTAGGCCCCGGTGGCATGGGCTCACCAATGGAATCCTGCGATCCATGGGTTGCACAGTTCTATGGAAAAAGCACAGTTTCCCCGACTGGGTAGCCTACTCACCACCTCCCTTGGCTAGGGGAAGGGGGCTCCCCTGCTCCATGTGGCTCTCAAGTGGGCCGCCTCACCATACTGTTCTTCCTTCTCTTCATGGGTCACGCCAGCCTCCTAGTCAGTCCTGATGAGAGAACCTGGAAACCTTGGTTGCTGGTGAAGGATTCAAACATTATTTTTTTTTTTCAATGGGAGCCTCCGAACACCACCCTTTCTAGTCAGGCATCTTGGCCCCGCCCCAGTTTACTTTGCTGAGGATTTTTGAATCAATATTCACCAGAGATACTAGCCTGTAGTTTTCTTTTTTGATGTATCTTTCTCTGGTTTTGCTATCAGGGTAATACCAGCCTCATAGAATGAATATGGAGGTATTCTTTCCTCCTCTATTTTTTTGAATAGTTTAGTAGGATTGGTATCGTTTCTTATTTAAATGTTTTGTAGAATTCAGCAATGAAGTCAGCCAGTCTCTGGGTCTTCTTTACTGGGAAAACCTTTATTAAGGTTCTGATCTCATTTGTTATTAGTCTGTTTAGATCTTAGATTTTGTCCTAGTTCAATCTGGGTAGGTTGTATGTGTCTAGGAATTTGTCCATTTCTTCTAGATCACTCATTTTGCTAGAGTATAGTTGCTCATAGTAGCCACTAATGATCCTTTGATTTTCTGCAGTATCTGTTTTAATGTCTCCTTTTTCATTTCTCAAATTGTTTACTTGTATATTCTTTCTTCTCAGTGAGTCTGGCTAAAGGTTTGTCAATTGGGTTTAACTTTTCAAAATAATTTTGTTTCACTGACATTTGTATTGTTTTCTCCATTTCCATTTTATTTATTTCTGTCCTGATCTTTAATATTTCACTTCTATTCATTTGGGCTTTGGTTTGATCTTGCTTTTCTAGTTAAGATGCATCATTAGATTCTTTATTTGAAGTTTTTCCTCTTTTTTGATGTAGGCACTTGTAACTATAAACTTCCCTCTTAGTACTGCTTTTGCTATATCCCATAGGTTTTGATAGTTGTGTTTCCATTGTTATTTGTTTCAAGAAATTTTTCAATTTCCTTCTTAATTTCTTCATTGACCCACTCATCATTCAAAAGCATAATGTTTAATTTCCATATATTTGTGTAGTTTCCAAAATTCCTTCTGTTATTAATTTCCAGTTTTATTCCATTGTGGTGAGAGGCAATGCTTGATGTTATTTCAATTTTTTGAATGTTTTAAACTTGTTTTGTTACCTAACATGTGGTCTATTCTTCAGAATGATCCATGTGCTGAGGGGAATAATGTGTATTCTGCAGTCTTTGATTAAATATTCTGTAAATATCTATTGCATTCCCTTTGGTCAATGATTAAGGTCTATCAGACTTAATCTGATGACTGTTAATTTTCTATGTGAAAGATCTATACAATGCTGAAAGGGGGTGTTGAATTCTCCAGCTATTATCTTATTGGGGTCTATCTCTTTCCTTAGCTATAATAATATTTGCCTTATATATCTGAGTGTTCCAATGTTGGGTGTCTATATATTTAAAATTGTTATATCCTCTGGCTGAATTAACTCCTTTATCAGTATATAGTGACCTTCTTTGTCGCTTCTTATAGTTTATGTCTTAAAATCTATCTTTTCTGATGTAAGTATGGCTACTCCTGCTCTTTTATGATTTCGATTCGCATGGAATATCTTTTTTCCATCCCTTTATTTTCAATCTATGTGTGTTTTTAATAGGTGATGTGTTTTTTCTTGCCGGTAACTAATCAACAGGTCTTATTTTTTTAATCCATTCAGCCACTCCATGTCTTTTGTTTGGAGAGTTTAGTCCATTTACATTCAGTGGTTTTATTGATAGATAAGGATTTACCCTTCAGATTTTATTTCCTTTCTGGTTGTTTTTTGGTCTTCTCCTCATTTTTTCTTCCTTCCTGTCTTCCTTTAGTGAAGATGGTTTTCTCTGGTGATATGACTTAGTTTCTTGTTTTTTTAATTTTTTTGTGTGTGTGTATCCAATGTATGCATTTGGTTAAACATTACCATGAGGCTTGCAAATACTCTCTCATAATCCATTATCTTAAACTTATGACAACTTAACGGTTTGCATAAACACATAAACAAGCAAAGAGAAAAATAAACACTCTATGTCTGAACTTTGTCCCCCTGCTTTTTAACTTTTTGTTGTTTCTATTTATGTCTTACTGTACTGTCCATGTCTTAAAAAGTTGTTGTATTATTATTTTTCATTGCTTCATCATTTATTCTTTCTACTTAGGACAAGAGTAGTTTACACATCACAATTCCAGTGTTATAGCATTCTGGCTTTTTCTGAGTACTTACTATTACTACTGAGTTTTGTAACTTCAGATGATTTTTAATTGATCATTAACATGCTTTACTTTCTGATTGAAGTACTCCTTTTTTGCATTTCTTGTAGGACAGATCTGGTATTGATAAAATCCCTCAGCTTTTGTTTGTCTGATAAAGTCTTTATTTCTCCTTTACATTTGAAGGACATTTTTACCAGATATACTATTTTAGGGTAAAAGCCTTTTCCTTCAGTACTTTAAATATGTCACACCATTCCCTCCTGGCCTGTAAGGTTTCCACTGAAAAATGTGTTGCCAGACATATTGGAGTTCCATTGTATTTTTTTTTCCTTTTATCTTGCTGCTTTTAGGATCTTTTCTTTATCCTTGACCTCTGGGAGTTTGATTGTTAAATGCACTGAGGTAGTCTTCTTTGGATTAAATCTGCTGGGTATTTTATAATCTTCTTCCTCTTGGACATTGATCTCTTCCACTAGATCTGGGAATTTATCTGTTATTATCTTTTTCAATAAACTTTCTACCCTTATCTCTTTCTCTACCTCATCCTTAAGGCAAATAACTCTTAGATTTGCCCTTCTGAGGCTATTTTCTAGATCTAGTAGGCATGTTTCATTGTTTTCTTTTTCCTTTTTCTTTTGTCTCCTCTGAATGTGTATTTTCAAATAGCCTGTCTTCAAGCTCACGAATTCCTCCTTCTGCTTGACCAATTCTGGTACTAAAACACTGATGCATTCCTCAGTATGCCAAATGCAATTTTTGGCTCCAGAATTTCTGCTTGATTCTTTTTAATTATTTCAATATCTTTGTTAAGTTTATCTGATATTATTCTGAATCCCTTCTGTGTTATCTTGAATTACTTTGAGTCTTCTCAAAGCTGCTATTTGAATTCTCTGTCTAAAAGGTCACATATCTCTGTTTCTCTAGGATTGGTCTCTGGTGCCTTATTTAGTTCATTTGGTGAGGTTATGTTTTTCTGGATTGTCTTAATACTTTTTTAGACGTTCTTTTTTGTCTGGGCATTGGACAGTTACATATATATTGTAGTCTTCACTGTGTGGGGTTGTTTGCACTCGTCCTTCTTAGGAAGGCTTTGTGGTTATTCGAAAGGACTTGGGTGTTTTAATCTAAGCTGTATCTGTTTTAGGGGGCACTTCAAGCCCAGGAACACTTTAGTTCTTGCAGATTCATAAAGGTACTGCCTTCATGGCCTTGGAAAAGATCCAGAAGAATTCTCTAGATTACCAGGCAGGGATTCTTGTTCTCTTCCTTTACTTTCTCTGAAACAAATGGAGTCTCTCTATCTCTGTGCTGAGGCTCCTAAAGCTGGGGGTGATGTGACCGAAGCACCCCTTTGGCCACCACCACTATGACGGTGCTGAGTCAGACCTGAAGCCAGGACAGCACTGGGTCTCACCCAAGGCCTGCTGTAGCCACACTCTGGTTACTGCCTGTTTTGTTTGCTCAAGGTTCTGGGGCTCTACAATCAGCAAGTGACAAAGCCATCCAGGCTTGTGTCCTTCCTTTTTGGGGCAGCAAGTTCCCCCATGCCCTAGGCGAGCCCAGAGGTGCTGTTCAGGAGACAGGAACTAGATTCAAAACCTTAGAAGTCTACCTGGTATTCAATTGTACTGGGGCTGAACTGGCACTCAAACTACAAGATGCAGTTCTTCTTTCCAAAGGCAGAGGAGCCCCACCCTGTAGCCAGTACTTCACAGACCCAGGAGGATTACTGCCAGATGACCTTCAATATTCCCTTAAGGCCCAAAGGCTCTATAGTCAGTTTGTGATGAATGCTGCCTGTCCTGGGACTCACCCTTCAGGGCGGTGCACTCCCCTCTGGCCCAGGGCAGGTCCAGAAATGTCATCCAGAAGCCATGTTCTGGAATCGGAGACCCCAAGAGCCTGCTTGGTGCACTACCCCTCTGTGGCACAGCTGGTACCTAAGGTACAAGACAAAGTTCCCTTTACTTTTCCCTCTGCTTTTCTCAAGCTGAAGAAGTCTTGCCCTTAGCTACCACAAGTGGGGATATGCTGAGTTTCACCTCAAGTTGGCAAATCTCAGAGTCTCAACCAAGGCCCTCGACACAGTACCTGGGTATCACTGCTGATTATTCAGGGCCCAAGGGTTCTTCAGTTAGCAGGTGATGAATCCTGCCAGGACTGGGTCTTTCCCTTTAAGGTAGTAGGTTCCCTTCTGTCCAAGGGTATGTCTAGAATTGTCATCTAGGAGCTAGGGCCTAGCACGGGGGCTTCATGACTCTGATTGGTGTCGTATCTTGTTGTGGCTGAGCTGGTATCCAACATGCAAGAGAATGTCCTCCCCAGTCTTCCCTCTTCTCTACTCAAGCAGAAGGAAGGGGTTTGAGGAGACAGTTTTTGGAGCTGTGAGCTGTGCAGTCTGGGGTTAGAGGAGGGGAGATGCCAGTATCCCCTTGGTTGCCCCAGCGGGTGTCTCAGTATATCATGTGTCCCAACCCAGTCCACTGTCTGTAGGCCTAAATCAGCACTAGGACTCACTTAAGAATGGCAGTGCTTATGGCCTAGACTGCCTTTCAAGTTTTCTTAGAGGCCCAGAGCACTATAGCCCATGGAGTCCAGGTTTGTGGTAACTCAATTTTGGATGGCTAGGGCTGGTTTAAATGCGTCCTGCATTGGTGGGTGTTAGCTGAGTTTGGTCCAGTTTTCCTTTCTGCCCTAACAGGAAATCACTAAGTTCAATGCTTCACAATTGTGGTGTTCTCCCTCCCCCAGCACCCAGGTTTGCTCTCTACACCATGCTGCCGCTGCTAGGAAGGGAGCAGTCTCAGGGGAAGGAGGTGGCTTTAGGGATTCAGGACTATTTTTTCTATCTCTTTAGTGCCTCTTTCAGTGATATAAATTTAAAACCAGGTACTATGAGGGCTCACCTGAGTTTTGGTTCTAATGAAGTTGTTTTGAGTGTGTAGATAGTCATTAAATTGGTGTGCTTGTGGGGAAGAGGAATAATTGAGCCTCCTATTTTGCCATCTTCTCTGCCTTTTTCTGGTAGAATTTGAATAAAGTCTGTTGACATGATCCAGTGAAACATGCTAGGAGCCATTGTGTACTACAGTCAGAGTTCAAATTATGGGGTAACAAAATAAAAGCTTCTGAAATTCATATATAAGTGTCAAATTAAGCAGAATCTAATCTAGTTCCTTTCTTCTTTTATGTTTTACAATCTTCTAGTTTACCACAGTATAATAGGTGTCAAGTTGAAACAACTATGATTCTGGTTAGCCTGGACTGGAAAGTAACCCCAATATTACAGCCTCACACATCAGCAGCATAAGGTTGAATGGGAGAATTCAAACAAGCTTTAGTATAAAGACATTGGCCAGGTACGGTGACTCACGCCTGTAATCCCAGCACTTTGGGAGGCCGAGGCGGGCAGATCACTTGAGGTCAGGGGTTCAAGACCAGCCTGGCCAACATGGTGAAACCCCATCTCTACTAAAAATACAAAAATTAGTTGGGCATGGTGGCGGGCACCTGTAGTCCCAGTTACTAGAGAGGCTGAGGCAGGAGAATCCCTTGGACCCAGGAGACGGAGGTTGCAGTGAGCTGAGATCACACCAATGCACTCCAGCCTGGGTGACAAGAGTGAGACTCAGCCTATAAAATATATATATATACTATATATACTATATATAGTATATATACTATATATAGTATATATACAGTATATATATAGTATATATATAAAATATATATACTATATATATAAAATATATATAGTATATATATATAAAATATATATACTATATAGTATATATATATAAAATATATATACTATATAGTATATATACTATATAGTATATATATTGTATATATATACAATATATATACTAATACAATATATATACTATATAGTATATATAGTATATATATACAATATATATACTATATAGTATATATATACAATATATATACTATATAGTATATATATAAAATATATACTATATAGTATATATATAAAATATATACTATATTATATATATAAAATATATACTATATAGTATATATATAAAATATATATACTATATAGTATATATATAAAATATATACTATATAGTATATATAAAATATATATATACTATATAGTATATATATAAAATATATATATAATATATACACACATACATTTATGTGCATATATATACACATACATTTATATGTGCATATATATACACATATGTGTGTGTATATATATGTGTGTGTATATATATATATAGACTTCATGAACTTCTCATCCAAGTGTTTTCAGTGCAAATATTCAAAAATAATTGCATGTTGTTAAGACAGAAAGCTACATTTCCTGTGAGTCTTCTATTTTGATTATTGTGTATTCCTTTTTGAAAACTGACTAAATATATTAAGCATAAAAAGGAAGATGAAGAATAATCAGAAATACCTTTATAAAATATGGTAAAATAAAGCCTATTATAGGAAATAAATGTGGACTTATTGAAAAGATAAGGCCACGTTTGCCTATACCAAACAAAAGTCAATTTTGAGAAAAAGAAAAGGAAAACCTTGATTCAACAAAATACAGGACATAAATCTGTAAAAGCCAAATAAGATACACAATGAAAAGATCCTTGTTCAGCTAGCCAACAAGAAAACAGAAACAATAACATCAATAGATAATGACATACACTTTTGTACATTCGTCCCTACAAACATGCAGTGCAGTTCCACAGCAGAGTCTATCCAGCCTCTCCACATTCTGGTGATGAACTTTGCTCTGAATATTACAACTACACCACTCATTGGCCTATCTCACACTTTGGTTTCTGCTAAATATAATTTGAAAATACATCTAATCCTAAATAATTAAGGCAATGATGATCACTGTCCTCTCAAATAATACAACTGCATTTTCAATGAGCCATAATGCCTACTGAAATAAAATCTAAATTCCTTAGCATAAAATTCAAAGCTATGGAGCCCCACGTGTGCTGTTCCTAACCAACTGCTCCAGTTTCATCTTCTAAATACTCCTTGTTTTATCTTAATTTAAGGTGTACTTCTTGCTGCTCCTCAAGCAGACCTCTCCTGTTCCTACCTCCAGGATTTTGTTCATTATAATCTCACCTTTTACAATGACTCCTCCTCCAGCTACCTATTAAGATTGTATTCATCTTTCACAGTATGGCTCAAATGCTATCCCTTCCATAAAGAATTCCCTAATCATTCTAGCTTGAAGAGCTCTTGACCATCTGTGAATTCAGCATTTTGAAAATATCATTCATATATAAAATTCATGTACATCCTCATTGTCTTGGGTCAGTGATGCTATTACCTGTTTTATTTATTAATAGTCCTCCTTTCAC
The DNA here is from genome assembly GCF_000001405.40 of Homo sapiens. NCBI lineage: Eukaryota > Metazoa > Chordata > Mammalia > Primates > Hominidae > Homo > Homo sapiens. The sequence continues at coordinate 128,551,496 of NC_000023.11, forward strand.
TCTCAAAAGCATTCCAGTTTAGACAGTATCATACAGTTTAGACAGTATATGACTATCATACTTACATTACTGTGGCATTCACCATATTCTGTTTTATTTGTAGATTTATGTGTATATATTTTATTCCCCATACTATGTTGTAACCCTCTTCGAGAAGACAAACCATATCTTTTATATATATGCACGTGTGTATGTGTATATATATGCACACATAAAATGCAAACATATATGTAGGTGCATGTGTATATATACATATATGTATGTGTGTATATATACATATGTGTATGTGTATGTGTGTATATATGTATACACATACACATATGTGTATGTATACATACACATATATGTATATATACACATATATGTGTATATATACATACACATATGTGTATATATGTATATAATACACATATATGTGTATATATGTATATAATACACATATATGTGTATATATGTATATAATACACATATGTGTATATTTGTATATAATACACATACGTAGAAAAAGTGTCTTTCATATGGTTCAATATGTGTTTATTAAGTTGATAAACAGTAGAGAATCTGATGTTTATTAATAGAGTTCTAAGTCTTAAAATACTGAAAGCTTTTTCTTTTGAAGGCCAATGATTACTCATTATTAAACTAATGCTGATCCTAGATGTCCTTCAGAATCTTAATTATGACCAATTACAGATCCAACATAACTTGTCCACTGCTTGAAGGTTGGATTAGGATGTTAATTGGGTCCCTTTGAGTTCTCATACTTGTTGATCATGAGAAACAGATCTGAGAGTGATACACTTTCTTCTTCAAGCTCTAATTTGACTCTGTACCTTTAGCTGACTCAGATGATGAACCTGAAATAACCCCATGTATTTCTTCCAGAAACAAAATTATACCAGGAGAAAGTCCAGGAGCAGAACCCCTCTGCCCAATACATGATACGTTTAGGAAGCAATCAAATGGCTTTCATAAGATAGGTAAACTTAATATCTAGCTTTTCATTTTCTCCCAAATCATATTTAATTTTCCCTACTTCCCAAAAAAGTGAGGGAAGGTTAACAAAGTTTGCTATGTTAAAATAAATTAACCAACATAAAAGCCTGTAAGCTTAGAGAAAATGCATCCAGACAAGTGCTACTGTTGGTTTTCAGTTTTGGAAAAGCAAATATTAACCCAAATTCCACCACTAGTTATCAAAGGAACCTAATTACCCAGGAAGTGCTCAACAGACCCAATTCTTGACTTGAAGCTTGTCAATAAATAATCCAAATAAATGTTTAGGTCTCTGCTGCCCTGGTTTTCAAATTTATGATGAGAAAGCCATAAGGAAAAAAAAAGCAAAGTCCGTTAAAGTAATTTACCAAAACAAGTTTGGTTTCTTTTCAGCCCACTTTTCTTTTTATGTGGGCTGAACATAGCAATTGCACATATTTATGGGGTACAGCAACACGGATGAGCCTGGAGGTCATTATGTTAAGTGAAATAAGCCAGACACAGAAAGACAAATACTACACGATTTTACTCATATGTGGAATCTAAAAACGTTGGCCTTATAGAAATACAGAGAAGAATAGCAATTACCATGGGCTGGGGAGGGTAATGGGGAAGGGAGATGAGGAGAGGTTGATCAATGGGTACAAAGTTACAGTTAGATATGAGAAATAAGTTTGAGTGTTCCATTGCACAGTAGGGTGACTCTAGTTAACAATAATATATTGTATATTTCAAAATAGCTAGAAGAGCAAATTTGGAATGTTCTTACCCTTTTCCTTTTAATATAGTAATCTCCACAGCAAGTACAGATCACAAAGTTCTACTTTTTTCCTGCCCTCATCCATTATTTCACTTTTCATGAATTCAGTGAGGCAGTGTTTGGTAATAGTGTCAAATTAGTAGAAAATGTGAGGTCTAGCAATTTGACAATGATATAACTGTCACAATGGGTCTACTTTCAGCATGTGCCATGCATAATTAGAATCAAATATATACCTCTTACCATTTCTCTTAGGTTCACCCAACTCTGAAAGCTCTCAGGTCATTAAGGCATATCAATTAGTAATGATTTTTTCTACCCCACCCCACCCCTGCAGCCAGGAAAGCATACATTAAAGGGGATATCTGCAGTCAAAATTTTAATGTGCACAATTTGAAAATATCTACTTTGACACACAGAACAGTATCATCTGAGAAACTCATTTGCTTAAAGCTTTATATTGCAGCCATTAAAAAATATGTTATCTCCTTGGATGAATGTCCTAAGAATATTTCCATACCTATTAAGTAGTATTAATTGTATAAAGGTTTGGAAAACATACGAATCATTAAAAGTATAAATGAGATGTGCAATAGCCTGGAAGAGCTAATGTTATCACTTTTGTGGCCAGTTTAACATCTTCTTAGTACGATCATTTTTAAATAAGTCATCATGACCCAGGGAAAATTACTTCTTTTGGCAGCAGAAAAGTGGGGATAGAGGAGATAAAAAGGGGATATCACAGGCTCAGCATATTTTAAATATTCACATTAGGTATCAGTCATGTTTTCATGAACTTGGCTAAATATATCCTAATAGACACTGTTTGTAGAAGTAATCTTTTATGGATTTTATTACCTGATAATCCTGCTGTTTCCTGGTTAGATGGCAGCATGAAAAATGTGTTGTTCTCCATCATACTGAATGGACAAAATCTGGAACCATTCCCCTTGAAAATGGGCACAAAACAAGGATGCCTTCTCTCAGCACCTCTATTCAACACAGTATTAGAATTTCTGGCCAGGGCAATCAGGCAAGAGCAAGAAATAAGGGGCATCCAAATAGGAAAAGAGGAAGTCAGACTATCCCTGTTTGCAGATGACACGATACTTTATACAGAAACCCCATAGTCTCAGCCCAATAGCTTCTTAAGCTGATAAACAACTTCAGCCAAGTCTCAAGATATAAAATCAATGTGCAAAAAATCATTAGTATTCCTATATACCAATAACAGTCAACCCCAGAGCCAAATAAGGAATGACGTTCCATTCACAATTGCCATAAAATAATAAAATATGCAGAAATACAGCTTACTAGAGAGGTGACAGATCTCTAAAAGGAGAACTATAAACCACTGCTCAAAGAAATCAGACATGACACAAACAAGTGAAAAAACATTCCATACCCATGGATAAGAAGAATCAATATCATTAAAATGGCCACACTGCCCAAAGCAATTTATAGATTCAATGTTATTCCTATTAAATTACCATTGACATTCTTCACAAACTAGAGAAAACTATTTTAAAATTCATATGGAACCAAAAAAGAGCCCAAATAGCCAAGACAATTCTAAGCAAAGAAAAAAAAAAAAAAAAAAAGCTGGAGGCTGGAGGCATCATGCTAGCCAACTTCAAACTATACTACAGAGCTACAGTAACCAAAACAGCATGGTACTGATACAAAATCAGACATGTAGACGAACAGAACAGAATAGAGAACTCTGAAATAAGACTGCACATCTACAACCATCTGATCTTCAACAAACCTGACAAAAACAAGCAAAGGGGAAAGGATTCACTATTCAATAAATGGTGCTGTGACAACTGGCTAGCCATATGTAAAAGATTAAACCTGGAGCCCTTCCATACACCATATACAAAAATTAAATCAAGATGGATTCGAGGCTTAAATGTAAAACCCAAAACTAAAAAGCCTAGAAGGCAACCTAGGCAATAACATTCAGGACATAGGCATGGGCAAAGATTTCATAACAAAGATGCCAAAAGCAATTATAACAAAAGCAAAACTTGACAAATGGGATCCAATTAAACTAAGGAGCTTCTGCACAACAAAAGAAACTGTCAACAGAGTAAACAAACAATCTACAGAATGGGAGAAATTTTTGCAAACTATGCATGTGACAAAGGTCTAAAATCCAACATCTATAGGGAACGTAAACAAAATTTACAAGAAAACAAACAACCCCATATAAAAGTGGACAAAGGACATGAACAGACACTTTTCAAAAGAAGACATACATGTGGTCAAAAAATATAAAAACTACCAATCATTAGAGAAATGAAAATCAAAACCACAATGAAATACCATCTCACACCAGGCAGAAAAGGCTTTTATTAAAATGTCAAATATAACTGATGCTGGCGAGATTGTGGAGGAAAAGAACACTTATACACTGTTAGTGGGAGTGTAAATTAGTTCAGCCATTGTGGAAGACAGTGTGGCAATTCAAAGACTTAAAGACAGAACTACCATTCAACCCAGCAATCCCATCACCGGGTATATACCCAAAGGAATATAAGTCATTCTATTTAATATTACCAAGAAACATACATGTGTATGCTCATTGTAGCACTATTAAAAATAGTGAAGACATAGAATCAGTCTAAATGCCCATCAATTATTGACTGGATAAAGAAATGTGGTACTGGAACTATGGAGCCATAAAAAAGAGCAAGATTGTATTAGTCCATTCTTACACTGCTATAAAGAACTGCCTGAAACTGGGTAATTTATAAAGGAAAGAGGTTTAATTGACTCATCATTCAGCATGGCTGGGGAGGCCGCAGGAAACTTACCATCATGGCTGAAGGGAAAGGAAATGCATCCTTCTTCACATGGAGGCAGAAGAGAGAAGTGCTGAACAAGGTTGGGGGGAAGTCCCTTATAAAACCATCAGATCTTGTGAGAGCTCACTCACTATCACAAGAACAGCATGGGGTAACAGTCCCCATAATTCAATTACATCCCACTGGGTTCCTCCCATGACACATGGACATTATGGGAACTACAATTCAAGTTGAGATTTGGGTGGGGACATAGCCAAACCATACCAAAGAGTATGCACTTTGCAGGCACATGGATGGAGCTGGAGGCCATCATCCTTAGCAAACTAACACATAAACAGAAAACCAAATACCACATGTTCTCCCTTATAAGTTGGAGCTAAGTGATGTGAACACATGGACACAAGGAGGGGAACCAGAGACAGTGGGGCCTTTCAGAGGGTGGAGGGTGGAAGGAAGGAGAGGATCAGGAGAAATAACAAATGGGTAGTAGGCCGAATACCTGTGTGATGAAATGATCTGTGCAACAAACCTCCATGACACAAATTTACCTATGGAACAAACCTGCGCTTATACCCTTGAACTTAAAATAAAATGTCAAATAAAAGAAAAATGAGTTGGTTTCTATCCAGACCAAAACAGAAATAAAAACGAAAGAACGACCTTACTAATGCTGAAATTCCCTGCTCTTAATTACACATTGCCTTCAACACAAATATACATGCACGATATTATTATTATTTGCTATATATTAAAGGTATGTTCAATGTCTAACAGATTGGCTGGTGGTATCAGTGGTCAACAGGGACAGCTCTACTCATATGATGATTTATGGGAAAGGCATTTAGGCCAACAAGAACCTTTCACACTGAATTGCTTTGGTACTGAAATTATCCACATTTTAATGCCTCAAAATGATTTATTTGGAAGCCTAATTTATGGTATAAATGTTACATGTGATGGGAGGCACACTTAGCTCACGTGAGCAATCTAATTTAATTAGTTAGGGAAAATATCTAATTTGGTAAGAAACAAAGTGAGTAAAATCTCAAGATCTTCAGGGTGAGTCAGCAAGCTGGAGACCCCAGAGGAGCTGATGGTTTAGCTTCAGTCCAATTCCAAAAGACTGAGAACCAGAAAAACTGATAATATAGTTCCAGTCTGAAGGTTGGCAGACTCAAGACCCAGGAAGAGCCAATGGCTCATTTCAAATTTAAAGGCATGAAAAAAGAGGTGATATCCCAGTTTGAAGGCTCTTGGGCAAGAAGAATTCTGTCTTACTTGGGGTTCAGCCTTTTTGTTCTATTCTGGCCTTCAACTGACTAGATAAGACCGACCCATATTATGGAAGGTCACCTGCTTTATTGGTCTATACATTTAAATGTTACTCTCATCCCAAAACACTCTCTCAGAAACACTCATAGCAAATGTTTGACCAAATATCTGGGCATCTTGTGGTCCACTCCAGTTGACATGCAAAATTAATCATCGAACTCTTCTTTCCTCATTGAGTTAGCTTATGCCAAACAAAGCAAGTAAATCCTGAGAAAATTGAAGAAAATGCATTCTCAGTAAATATAAACACATCATTAAAATTTATGGACAGCACTTTTACATGAGAAAGTAACCATAACAGGGTTTCATACCTAGGTATGGGGAATAGGAAAGAAATCATTGTAGGCTCTAGGATAGTTGAGGCTATGTCTGCCTTTCTGATCACTACAGTCTCAGTGCCTAGTAATACATCATTCAATAATGTTTTTGGCTAATCAAATAGATGAACAAAGTTCAAAGGATTTAGATTAGCTAGAAAGTAGCACAAACCTTTAAAATCAGAGTAGGTGATATGTTAAAATTGGAAATTCAGATAAAGCTAGAAATATTAAAGGTCCAATCTTGTATAAAGTAAACGTCCAGAGAATTTGGGACAGAGGCTCTACTGAGCACAAATATTTCTGTATATGTAGTAGTATTCAAAAATATGTAATTGAAAATAAATAAATTAATGACCATAGGATAGAAACTACCTGCTATTCATCTCAATTTTTTTGTTGTTGCTGTTGTTGTTTTTTCATTTGTTTTTCTTATACAGTTACCTCCTTTGATACCAATTGCCTTCTTGGAGTGTTGCTCACTACCTTTCATGACACTGTCAGATACTAACTAAGGTTTATTCCATCATGGAAAACAATGTCTCCTCAAGCATCTAGACTACACAAATGGAAGTGTCTGGTGGCTAAGTATCATACCTCTTCATTCTAGTACATTTTACTGCCATCCAGACTCAAATGTTCTATTCTTCCATGTCTCCTGAGTTACTAACCTCAAAATTTTTTAAGTTAATAGATTTAGAAGGTGCTTAGTAAAGATTGAAGCAAATATTAGATAAAAAAAAATTCCCTACCCAGCAATGGAGGCTAAAATATGCATTCCTCTTTTAAAGATAAGGATTGGGCCGGCCGCGGTGGCTCATGCCCGTAACCCCAGCACTTTGGGAGGCTGAGGGGGGTGGATCACCTGAGGTCAGGAATTCGAGACCAGCCTGCCCAACATGGCAAAAACCCATGGCAGAGGTAGTGGAAACAGTCAACAATACTTAATGGTTTTATTCCCATTCCAGCATTCCAAATGTCTTTCCCATTTGTTCCTGTAAATTATGATCTATAATTTATCCTTCTGAATCCATATTTGACCACAACCACCAGCAAATATGCTATAGGCTTTCCATACCAATGCATACATTTCTTTTTTCTTTCCAACGCGTTCATTTCTAACTGAAACATAAACTGATTCCTCCTTGTCCTTTTCAAATGCTCTTGGCCCCACCCTCTCCAAAGAGGCCATATTTCTATGTTGAGTAACATAAGTGAGAAGGAAAAAATAGAGATGTATTTAAAAGAGACACAATCCAAAGAAAATAAGTGGTTTAAATAAAATATGTGGGTACGGTGTGATATGCTATAAAGTTTTTATTGCCACTTACTTGGGAAGACTGGCATAACTCACGCATAGTGCTGCCACTTATAAGTAATGCAGTCACTGCAAACTCACTGCAGTAAAAACTTCAAACATCTCCACAACCACATATTATACACATACACCAGTAATTCAGTAACTTTTCCAGCTGTCTTCCTCCCTGATAGGCTTTATTTCTTGATGTCCCTTCTTAATGGGACAAATTCATTTTTAGCATAGTGCATGGCTGATTAAACACAGATATTTGATCTTTTTAAAAAAAAATAGGACTGCAACAATTAATTCACCACATCTAACACTGAGTGTTTATTGTGGTAGGCAATAAATACTTTGGATGAATCTTCCCTGTGTTAGCCACTGGTAAATAAGTCCATGATTTCTCCTATAGTGGTGAATAAAGATAAGGTTCACCGTAATTGGGTCATTTGGACCTGTTGACTCAACATTGCAAAGTCAAGGAATCATGGAAGATCAGAGTGATGACGGGCCTTAAATCCTGACTAGTGATTTTTAATCTGTGTTCCAGTGAATGTAATGGCTGGCATGTGATTGAAACAAGTTTGATGAAATGGAAGTAGTTTCAGAATAGTTCTATTTTATTCTGTTCTAAATGTGGAAGTTTATATAAGATTTTATTGGAATAAAAATTATGCTGAGAAAATACATACATAAACACACACATGTATCTGTTTTTCAATAGGGCAGATAGGAGGTAGTGCTAGCTTGCCTCTCCCACTTGAAGAACAAAACAGTGTGTAGAGATTCACACTGTGAAATTCTGTTCCAAGAACCATTGCAGGAACTTACCAGGAAAACCTAAATAATTCACAGATTCTTTGAAAGAAGTGGCACACCACAGCAAACTCCATGGGACGGCTGAAAAACTGAGTTTCCAGAGTGGGAGAAGGGGAGAGTCTGTCTTCGAATACACATCCCCACTGGGGAATCTAAAAATCCAGATCATAGAAGACTTTAAACTTACCTAGAACTAGAACAGATTAAGGGAGTGGTGCAAAATATAAAAGTAGAAGCAGCAGCGAGAAGAGCCTTATAGGCATTCCCAGTCTCCAGCTTGAACCCAGAAAAGCCATCCCTGACTATATCTTACAGGGTCCCCATGGGGAAGGTAGCCAATCAACTTCGGGAAGGGCTGCAGGGTGAAAGAAGCTCCCAACTGAATTTTGCGATAATTTTGAGTGGGCACGAACTCCCTTGAACAGAATCTGGGTGCAAATGGGAACTGCAGCAGATAGGAGCACAGGAGCTGGGGACCTAGCATTGCTGGCAAATGGGGAGGGGTGTGGCCTGAACGTGGTTCTTGCTTTCTTGTGGGGAAGCTTACGGCCTGGGATAAGTCCAAGTTCTGTGTACAGGTTGCCTGGAATTAAACTCAGCACTATTAGTGGGGCACTGTGAGAGCGAGACCAGCCTCGCCAAATGTGTGGGAGCTGGGCGAGGCCTTTTGCTACCAGCTATCTCCTACTCTCTGCAAACTTTCCTGCACAGCAGAGGCAGCCATACTCCCCTCTGGAACATTACCCTATTGGTCTGAGAACCACCCTTCACCCCCAACAAAGACCAAGGCAAGCCCCTCGCAGGGAGAATCTGAGCTCAGACCCGCCTAACCCTGCCCCGACCTGATAGTATTTCTCTACTCTGGTAGCTGAACACAAAAGACATAAACCCTTGGGAGCTTTATTGCCCTGCCCATCATTTGAGAAACCAGACTACTTCCCCTGGACAATTTAGTGCAAGCTCAAATCACACTACTACCACGGCAGCTTTTGCTGTCTTGCAAGCACCACCTCCTGGCTAGAGGCCAACCAACTCAGGCCATTAGAGCAACTCTTGGCAGAATAATACTGTTCCCAGGTAGAAGAAAACAACACCTAACACCACAGCCTGCAACACCCTGGCTAACCAGAGTTCCTGAGTCTGTTCACGTGACAACTTCATTGCTAGCAAAACCAGCATTCCAGAAAGCCAGCACACTAAGCCTATCCATGACCAAGGAATCTCACAGAGTCTACATCACTCCCCTGCCACCTCCATCAGAGCAAGTGCTGGTATCCATGGCTAGGAGACCCAAAGACCAGTCACATCACTGGACTCTTTGCAGATATTCCCCAGCACCAGCCCAGAGCCTGGTAGCCCCACTTGGTGGCTAGACTCAGAAGAGCAGTAACAATCACTGCAGTCTGGCCCTTAGGAAGCCCCATTCCTAGGGGAAAAGGGAGAGCACCACATCAAGGGATCACCACGTGGGACAAAAGAATCTGAACAGCAGGACTTCACTTCCAGATCTTTCTACTCTGGGAAGTTTCTCACAGCAGAGACACAACTGCAGTGCTGACTGCAGTACGGAAAGTCTGTACCTCTACCCTAACAGGCTGGCTGCCTCTGTGATCATGACAGGCCTTGGATAAGGAGTCCTTGTCTTCCCGGCACTCCACTGCAGACACAGCTGGAGCTTCCTCCACAGGAATGCAGTGTGGAGGCACCTATAGACAGCCTTCCTGGAACAATCCAGATGAGCGCAGCCCCACAGGAGCAGTTACCCCCCAGAATCAGGCTTGCACAAGTTACAGAGTCACAATTCCTCCATACTTGGAACATCAACATTTCAACATTTCTATAGATGAAAAGAGGTGTCTGTCTGAACAGCCAAAACACTAGGACAGGAGTGAGGCTTTGTGGTGAATACATTTCCTGCTGTCGTGGCAGGGCAGCTGAGGTAGCTCACACTCAGCACATCTAATTGAGAGCTCCCCCGGGCCACCCTTGTCAAGGCTGTGACCTTGACCCATGGTCGGATATTATATCTACCCACCTGCCTTAGCTACAACCAGTGCTTACCCAGGGATACTTCCTCTATTGGCCTGAAGTCTGAAACACCAACTAATTAAAGAAAATACTGGGGAGAAATTAAATAAACAAATAAAGTGTACACCACAAAATCACAAAATAAGTTTCAAGAGATCCCTGCCATTCCAGCTCCATGGAAGACAGTAAACACACCCATACAGGAAGAATATAACTACTGCAACTAGCATCGGGGAAAGCCAGCACACAGAAACTCTATAAGTAAGGATCTCATAGAAACTTCACCCCTAGAAGCACCAAGAATCAAATTAGGCTAAAATAAACATTAAAGCCCAACCCTTAACAGGGAAAAAAATAAGAAATTTTAAAAAACACACAGTCCAATCAAAAATATATTCAAGAACAATTTGAAAAAAAAATAGTTTACCCAAATGAGAAGGAACTAGAAGAGTAATTCTGGTAATATGACAAAACAGGGATCCATAATACCCCCAAAAGATCACACTAGCTCCCCAGAAATAGGTTCAAACCAAGAAGAAATCTCTGAGTTGCTGGATAAAGAAATTCAGACGGTTGATTATTAAGCTACTCAAGAAGATACTAGAGAAGGTGAGAACTAACTTAAAGAAATTTAAAAAAACAATACCAGATGAGGATGAAAAATTTTCTAGAGAAATAGATATAATAAAGAAAAACAATTACAACTTCTGGAAATGAAAGGGACACTTATACAAATACAAAATGCAGTGGAAAGTTTCAACCATAGATTAGAACAAGCAGAAGAAAAAATCTCAGAGCTCAAAGGCAAGGCTTTTGAATTAACCCAATCTGACAAAGTCCAACAAAAAAGAATTTAAAAAATGAATAAAGTCTCCAAGAAGTACAGGATTATTTTAAATGGCCAAAACTAAGAATAATTGGTATTCCTGAGGAAGAAGAGAAATCTAAAAGTTTGGAAAATTTATTTGAGGGAATGATTGAGGAAAATTTCCCTGGCCTTGCTAGAGATCTAGACATTCAAATACAAGAAGCTCAAATAACTCCTGGGAAATTTATCACAAAAATATCATCACAAAGTCATCAGGTTATCTAAAGTCAAAATGAAGGAAACGATCTTAAGGGCTGTGAAGCAACAGCATCAAGTAACCTATAAAGGAAACCTATCAGATCAACAGCAGATTTCTCAGCAGAAACCTTACAAGCCAGAAGGGATTGGGATCCTATGCTTAGCCTCCTTAAACAAAATAATTGTAGCCAAAAGTCTTGTATCTAGCAAAACTAAGCTTCATAATGAAGAGATAAAGTCTTCTTCAGCCAAACAAATGCTGATAAAATTTGCCACTACCAAACCAGCACTAAAAATGCTAAAAGAAGTTCTAAATATTGAAACAAAACCTCAAAATACACCAAAGTAGAACCTCCTTAATGTATGAATCTCACAGGGCCCATAAACATTAATGCAATGAAAATAACAAGGTATTTAGGCAACAACTAACATGATGAATAGAACGGTACCTCACATCTCAATACTAACATTGAATGTAAATTGCCTAAACACTCCACTTAAAAGATACAGAATGGTGGAGTGAATAAAAATCTACCAAGCACGTAACTTCTGTCTTCAAGAGACTCACCTAGCCCATAAAAACTCACATAAACTTAACGTAAAGGGGGTGAAAAAAAGATATTTCATGCAAATGGAAACCAAAAGCAAGCAGGAGTAGCTATTCTTAGATAAAACAGACTTTAAAGCAACAACAGTGAAAATGACAAAAAGGACATGAATGACAAATTGACAAAAAAGGACATGAATAAAGGATTAGTCTGTGTAATCGAGAGATCGAGAGGCTAAGGTAGGCAGATCACCTGAGGTCAGGAGTTCAAGACCAGCCTGGCCAACATGGCGAAACCATATCTCTACTAAAAATACAAAAAAAAAAAAAAATTAGCCAGGTGTGGTGGCAGGTGCCTGTAATCTCAGCTACTCTGAAGACTGAGGCATTAAAATCGTTTGAACCCAGGGGGCAGAGGCTGCAGTAAGCCAAGATCATGCCACTGCACTCCAGCCTGGGTGACAGAGCGAGACTCCGTCTCAAAAAAAAAAAAAATTAGTTTAACCGGAAGATACAATCCTAAATATATATGCACATAACACTGGAGATCCCAAATTCATAACACAATTACTACTAGAGCTAAGAAATGAGATAGAAGCAGCACAATAATAATGGGGGACTTCAATACTCCACTAACAGCACTAGACAGGTCATCAAGACAGAAAGTCAACAAAGAAACAATGGACTTGAACTATACCCTAGAGCAGATGGACTTAACAGATATTTACAGAACATTCTACCCAACAACTGCAGAATATACATTCTTTTCATTAGCACATGAAACATTCTCCACGATAGACTATATCATAGGCCACAAAACAAGTCTCAATAAATTTAAGAAAATCAAAATCATATCTTCTGAGACCACAGTGGAATAAAATTGGAAATTAGCTCCCAAAAGGAACCCTCAAAACTATACAAATACATGAAAGTTAAGTAATCTGCTCTTGCTATGAGGATACAAAGGCATAAGAATGATATAATGGACTTCGGGGACTTGGGGGAAAGGGTGGGAGGCGGGTGAGGGATAAAATAGCACATATTGGGTACAGTGTACACTGCTCGGGTGACGGGTGCATGAAAATCTCAGAAATCACCACAGAACAGAATAACTTATCCCTATAACCAAAAACCACCTATTCCCTAAAACCTATTGAAATAAAATTTTTAAAAAGAAAGTTACACACACACACACACACACACACACACAAACACATCACCTAGAAAATCACTAATCTGGACCAATATTCCCACTCCCCATTTTAGGATAAAGAAAGTGGATCTCTGGAAAAGTTGTGATAAACTTACATTCATACGACATTTTGGAGGTGTAGGTGGTACCAGTGCAGTTATGGTTCCTGAATCTGAGACTGTTTTCCACTCTGTGGCACTCGAATGAATAGTGCAATCATTATTAATACTGTTTATAGTATAAGTCGTGCTGGAGTTGGGCCCAGCACCACATATGAAATAAGCTATATTAGATACAAAACCTTGCTAGGGCAAGTACATTTTGGTCACTCTTTTTCCAGAATAAGGAGGAGGGTACATGCTAAAGAAGAAGTCTTCCAAATTATACAGATCTTTCAGAAAAACGTGGCATCCTGGGAGGTAAAATAATGAGTATAAAGGATGACCCTGTCTAAATATATCATTACCCATTCCAGTTGATTCTCTACCCAGGTCCCAGCTTGAAGAGAAGTCCCTTCATAGAACCCTAAATTCCGTATGTGAGAAGAACCTATTCTTTATATATTTACCTCTGTATTTTCATGATTGAGCCCCAAATCAAATAAGAATATAGAACCTGCTGCATCTCACTGGAACATGTATACTCAGAAGATCATTGTATGTTGTCAGGGAAGAGATAATCATTATTGCCAAAAGGTAGAGTTGACTCCAAAGGGGAATTTTACTCCTAAAAATGCACTTTTTTTTTTTTTTTTTTTTGAGACGGTGTTTCACTCTTGTTGCCCAGGCTGGAGTGCAATGGTGCGATCTTGGCTCACCACAACCTCCGCCTCCCGGGTTCAAGTGATTCTCCTGCATCAGCCTCCCAACTAGCTGGGATTACACACAGCTAATTTTGTATTTTTAGTAGAGATGGGGTTTCTCCATGTTGGTCAGGCTGGTCTCGAACTCCCGACCACAGGTGATCCACCTGCTTCGGCCCCCCAAAGTGCTGGGATTACAAGCGTGAGCCACCACACCTGGCCTAAAAAATGCATTTTCATAAATAAATACTTAGATTGATATTGACTGTTAGGATTATACTATCTCATTGTAGGAAAACACATTTTTTTACATATAAAGTGAGATGTAGTATATGAAATCACTTCAATGCAGAAATTTAGAAGGAATATAGTTGAACATAGGTTCTATCCAATGATGGTCGTATTTTAGTTGGTTTCTCAAATAACACCTTGTTATTTGTGTGAATATGGTGAACAGACGCTAGGGTGCAAAGCCCAGGCTAGGACTTCTAAATGAATCTTGAGGTTATATTCTTAAGAGAATTATTTCCAACATATCTCACTTTCCACTCTAACTCTAAAGGTTGTCCTTATTGTTGCATTATCTGACCTTGACAACCTAATTGTGCTTGTATCTCTGGTGGTATTGTCCAAGTGCCTGAATATGTATCCCAATGCGCAAATGAACACTCTGCCTCTATCTTTTTTTTGTCAACTCTTTTGCAACTTCTATCCTTAGGATGAACTGTGCCCTATGCTATATGCTTCAAGAATCATTCCCAATCCTCCTTTATTTGCTAGCTGCAAAAGGTAACCTGGATTTAGATGAACGATCTGGTTCAGCTGCCCACACTGATCAAAATCACAGCTAACTGGCAGATGCCCACATCCCTTAGACTGCACAAATAGAATCCAAAGGGTATACCATAAGGAGCTGATTACAGTTCCTCCCTGTACATAAAGGTATTTGTTCAGTCTCCATAATATATAGCTGCCTTTTTAGTTTATATAACAGGGAATGGACATATGGTGCACATTAAAAGCATAAAAAGTTGAAGAAGTGCTTTGAAAAATTTGTGTACAGTAGAACTATTGATCACTGATGGAGGTTAGGACAGAGGGACAGCCTAGCTGTCTGATGTTTCAAAATATAGGAGAATGACCATTCTACTTCTCTTTAAACCATTCCTGGGTATTTCCATCAGAGATACATCCTGAATTCAACAAGAAGAAGAGCAGTTAGGCACTTCTCATTTTGCTTGTTTAATATAGATAGTAGTCTGAGAGGATTTCCACCTTAATATTATGCTAAAACCATATCAACTGAAATCCTTTTTTGAATATCTGAGATTGGTATAAAATGTTAGTAAGATTAACAAATATAGTCGCAATGTTAAAAGAGTTTTCCAAAATTAATCAAACAGATCAAGATTTTATCCATATTTTGGGTACATATGAAATTTACCCAACTAACTGAAAAATGTTGGCCTGTATTGGTGGGTAAATGAATGGAAACTTTGGCTCTGAAAGCTTCTATTTTAATTTGCAAGTTGGAAAGAGCATGAACACTTTATCACCTATACAATAGGCTGTAAATTATTTGCATGACATCTTCTTTGCATTACATGCCATGGGTCTGTAACAGGTTGGCATAATATATAGACCATTTAAGTGACAATAGTCATAAGTTACAGATGGGAAGCTCTATTTTGTCCAGCCATTGTGCTCCTTCTTTGCTCAATTTTCAATATAAAAAATGACCACCGGATATCAAAAATGACTTCTTGGAACATCAGTTCTGATCTACAAGGTTCATCCTGTTGTAGCTCATCCATTTCAAGAGCACTTCATTCATTTGTTACATATTACCAAGACTGAGATTTCACTGAATAATTGATGAAAAGAGAAAACAATGAGCTACCTTGCACTCAGTCATTATGGCTTTGACACCACCTTTGTGGAAACTAACTACAGCATTAGCCAACAGCCATACAGCCTAAATGATATATAAGAGGCAATTTCTCAAATGGTCTGATGTTTAAGAATCAGGACACTGACCTTTCAGCTCTGACCATTACAGCAGACTTTAGTTATGCAAATATGAGAAAGGAAAGGGATCTTCAAAGTAGTGTGTGTGTGTGACATGTATGTGTGTATATCAGAGTATTTTAGAGTGTTTCTAATCTTCTGATTTTTAAGAAAAAAAGACCAACAATAAAATAACATTATGCATTTATTATGATGTGCAAAGAACTATGTATAGAGCTACTCTTTCAATAGTCATATCACTCTTGATGTAAATATTATTGTAATCATGATACCCCCCCCACCAGATCTACATTGCTAATTCCCAAACCAGTATTTAATATTCCTTTGGATGGATTAACTCAACATATGCAATTGACCTTTTCAGCTTCTGCTACTTGAGGTATGGGCGACAAAAACGTGGCTGGTCAGGAGGTACTAGCACTATAATTTCCATTAAGTAAGTGGGAGATCCATAAGTCTAAGCAGGTAAGAAAAGGCCTATGTCCAGGTAAGTTTGCTAAGGTGCAAAATGGCAGGCAGGACATTAAATGGCTCAGTAACCAGACAAGATTCAGAGTTGAGAAGACTGTAGAAGTCAACAAAATCAGCATCAGTAGGCAGATTTGAACTTTAACCCTAATACAAAGATGATTTGTTCTCTGCCCTATTTTATACTTCCTAACAGGTATCAGGAGCCTTGAGTCCGTAACTGGCCATCATTGCCAGAAAAAAAAATCAATTTAGTTGAACTCTGCCCGGATAAAAACTGAATCAGACATACTAAACTTCACAGCTTCCAGTAAATGTACATTTTAATACCATTTCTCCACACACTGCGTCCCTACCCCTTGCTTTGCCTGACACATTGTGATTCAGCAGTAAGTTTCTCCCTCTCTTCCATTTCCCTCTTCTTCCTTCCCTTTTCTGATTTAATCCTATTAAGACATTCAGGAGAAGTAGAAAATGTATTCATTGAATTCAAGGACTTTAAAATCTAAATAAGGAGAACAAATATGAACAAGAAAAACAACTAGTATAAGACTATAAATAAAATACACAATGTCATGTAAAATAAATGTACATGAGCACTATTGTACAAATGGAGTGATGAGAGATGTCTGATGCACACATTACCATACTAGAAGGCATGGTTTGGATATCATGAATTTCTAATTTTCTTCAATGTATTCAGTAGCTACTTCCTCTCTGTGAGAAGGTATATACTGTTAAAACAAACAAATAATCATTTCAACCACAAGCTCTTTGTGAGACTGCACATTTTCAGAATAATCAGTGAAGTTCACAAAAAAATATCTTTTAGGCAGGGAAAAAGAAGAGGGGTTTAAAAGATGAGGATAAAGTATCTTCAAGATTGGGAGGGCACCCAGTTGCCCAGAAATATCCTCTACACTTGGCAGTACAAATAACCATTATTATTTTTTGCCTCATGGTATACTTAGTAGACTTCCATCTATCATCACGAAGTCATGACAGCCTAATCAATTTAAGCCCAGTTCACTTTCACTTTTGGTTGCCTGAAGGTTGAGGTTTCCTATTCAGATGATCCATATTGGATTGTCATCATCATCTTTTTTGGTGACAAGGATGAGCTTCCCCTTGAGTTGACTGACCTGCAGACACTGAAGCACTCCAACAAGAGAGTCACATCACAAAATTACATCAGGCTGTTAAACGAATATAATCATTTTCACATTGATTTCAGCAAACATAGGTTTTGCCAATGCTGAATTATACCTTATTTTTCCCACTTGAGATCCAAAATAACTACAAGGTTATATCAGATTAAATGACCTCATTCAGTTTTGTTTGCTTGCTTTTTTCCTCCCAAAGGCAATTTGAATTAGCTGCTTCAGGATACAATTATCAACATTATTGTCTAATTCTTAGTCACACAGGAAATTTTGCAGTCAATTACTGTTACTTACATAGACTGAATTGAATAGGTTTAGTGATATATATTGTACATGCCTTTTTATACTATACACACATATATATGCACATACATGTAAATACATGTATATGTACATGTGTGTATATAATCATATACACACAAAATTTTATAAACACATACATACATATATATGTACCTGTACACACATATAATTTTTTCATAATCATAACTATAAGTTTCTTACAATATTGCCTGGGTATCAAAGCAATAATTTCCAACTCAGTGTTAAGGTACTCTACTACGCTAACCAAACAAGATGATTTTGGAAAAGAGATCTACAAATACATGCTTTGAAGTGTCTCTATTACAAAAGTACAAAATAAAATTTTACATTCCATTTAAAAAAAACATTGCCCTAGAAATTTGTGTCTCCTAGTGTGTGTGTGTGTGTGTGTGTGTGTGTGTGTGTGTGAGAGAGAGAGAAATGAAATTTTCAAAGAGATCTACCACCAAATATGTACATCCAAGGCTAGTTTTCAGCCAATCAATCAATTTTGACCTTCAGTTCAGGCCTAAATTTTTCTATTCTTCTCATCTCATTTGAAAAATACCAAGAGAAAAGCCATTCCTCAGAGAAGAGGAAGACAGTGTATCTGCAAAAAGCTATCTCTTTTTAGGTGTGCAAAGAGAAGTGTCAATATAACAAATTGCTACAGTTCAAGCCCATCAACTCAAATCAAGCATTTGAAAACTTGCCAAGATGACTCAAAATACTATGTACCAGCCTCTGTTCTAGATGCTTTCATCTCTTATCTTAATCTTCCCCAAAACCTATACACAACATACTTTGTTTCTATTTTACAGGAAAATTGAGGGTAAATAGCCCATATGGTCAGATACCTGAAGAAAGAAAGAATAACATCACACACATTAGTGCGGCAGTCCTGCTTGTATTAGATATGGGCTCAGTCCTTTCCTAATGGTTGGAATTAAACTGCTGCTTCACTCATTGGTTTATCACCTCAGCCAGAGAGCTTAGAAAGAGGGAAAAAGGCAAGTCAGAATGTTGTAGGAAAATTCATGAAAGACTCCAATTGTTAGGAATGGACTCACTTATTTAGGTAGTAGGTAGATTTTATGTGACCCATTTCATCTTGGCTAAAAATACACTACTTCCGAATCCCCACATTGCTCTGTTTTCCTTAGAATCTTCAATTTGGCAAAAGTCAAAAGAATGAACTATCGGTTTTACCAGTTATGAACTCTTGCCTTGACCAGTTGGTTTGCTGAATAATTATGGCTCTGGAAAGTTACACTATGCTGTGGAGAGTTTGCAAATGATGAATTGCCACAAATCCCATAACAAAAAACCATTTCATTTATCACTAGGCAAGTAAAGGGTGGGAAATGAGAATACCTATATGACTGCCCACTCTTCTGTGGAGACAGCACAGTTCAGATCAGAACAAAATGCAATAGGGAACACTAGTTATGCCTCTCTGAGCCTTTACACACAAAGAAAGTGTGTTGTGTACACAAATACGTATAAATACATTTAAACATAAGAAAATTGAGCCACTGATGATGGGGTAAAAGTTGCCCAGGAGACATTTGGTATAGACATAGTTGATACTTTCTACCAATAGAAAAATTCATCCCACATCCATCTGTATTTGAAGTTGTTTGGGATGCTTCATCAAGCACTAAAACTTGAACCAATCTTGGAATACTTGCATTTTCTCATGCGTTGTTTGCCTATTAATGAGCCAACCGTAAAACTATATTTTTCAGATTAAATTCAATCAAATTTAACTCGATAAATCTTAACTTACCATGCCTTGTGTCTTTAGTTTTATGTAGGTATTAAAAAATAGAAGTCATAGTTTCAGTCCTAGAATACCTTATAGAATAATTGAAATATTCGACTGTGAGCTTGAGGACGGGAACCAAATCTTACACATATCTGTATCCCCAATGCCCAGATAATAGATTGTGGCAAAATAGGCATTTAATAAATGGATGTCGAATAAATGAATGAATGAAGAAGGGAAATGTAAGCATTGCCTAATGTGAACAGTAGACCACTGATAATTAAGTGCTAGAGTGCATGGGTTAGGAAAAGGATGAAGAAAAATGAGCCCACTTACTGAAGTAAAAGATGCTTGTATCAACAGAATGCCACAAGTTCAGACCTTGATATATTCCTAGAACATATTAGACTGAGTTGCTAAATTCATCTGGAACCCCCAGCGAGCTCAGAAAATAGCCTCAGGTGATGATTTTCACCTTCTCACTGAAGTAGTGTGAACTATTCAAATGAGCCCTTTAAAAGAAAACATCTTTCTTTCTTTCCTCTCTGTTCCAGCACAGCATAAGGAAGGGACAGAGGGGCAAGAAAAGAGAGGTCATCAACCTCGACTATTTGGATAGCATGCCAGGAATTTTTTTGGTTCCTTCCCATCACAGAAAACCAACTCTATTTCCATTGCATTTCAGAAAAAGCCTAGAATTTCAGGAGTTAGGTATTATGTCCTTTTCTGGTGTTCTTCCAACACCTTTCCAAAAAACTGTTAACCTCAGAGCAAGACATAAGCTTACCCAGCACTGAGTGGCTGATATTTCATGACAAACTTTCAAAAGTCATCAGCTTGGCCAGCATTTTAGCTTGCCAACACATTGGTAACCTCTACTCTTTTCTACTGGAATCACTCATTTTTGAATCAAAAGGTCCTATAAGAAGCTGAACAAATTTTTAGAAAGTCAGTCAGGCCTGGACACTCCTCTCTTCCTCTTCTTTGACCTTAGCAGCTATCTCAAGATTTCAAGCCTGATTAAAGATGCTGCACCTTTATTTCCAGCCAGACTTGAAAGAATCTGACACTAACCTTCAAGAAGGAGAAATGGGCAAGTGCTTGACTGCCATCATAAACAAATAGGGTTAATTCTAACGTACCTATCATGCATGTGCTCACTTTAAAGCACTGACTTACTGACTTTTCCTACATGGTAATAAAAAGGTGAATAAAAAGCCAAGGTCATAGGTTTGGTCTTCTATGGGCCAGATACTCACAGTTTTAAATCTTATTCTCAAGCTCTACTCAGATCCTGACCAGATGTCTCAGCTTTACATAATGCTAAGTTCAAAGTGTCCTAGACCCAGAGTGATTCATTTTCACAATGACAGAAAGAGCATATCTTCATACATAAAGAATGATACATTTTTACTTCAAAAGGAACTACCAAAGAAAGGAAATAGAAACTAAAGTTCACTGAGTACGTGCTATGTACCAGGCTCTGTTCTAGATTCTTTCATCTCTTAATTCTTCCCCCTAAACCTATACACGACATACTTTATCTCTATTTTACATGAAAATTGAGGGTTAGAGAGGTTATACGGAGTTATAAACAAGTAAGCTCCATTCAAGAGGATATTAAAGGAGTCAGAAGAATGTTAACAAGATTTGGGAAAGAATGGATTACTAAACTGTTTTATCTACTTGAAAGATTACAAATATTCAAGAGAAACCATCAGCAATGTTTGGTGAGTAATAAAAAAGGGAGAACATCTCTCATCCCGTGTCCTTGCAGTCTGGATATGTATGAATAAAACAACTTGAACAGGGAGGAAGAGATTGAATTCAGACAAATTGGTTACTGTCATTCATAAAACATGAACATCTGTGTAAATCACAAAGAAAATATCACCATTTTATTGAAGAAGAAACTGGGGCTTAGAAGAGTAAAGTGACTTGACCAAGGTCACACTTACTCCAAAGCTACTTACTTAGTCTCAGAACACTTTGTATTCCATTATCCACAAATGTTCCCACTGAACCAGTTTAGGGTCAGGGACCCAAAATAGCAGCTTTGACAGCACAGCTTCTGCTAGGCTATGATAGTTAATATTGCTGTTTTCTAATCCTTCCTCAAAAAGTGTCTCTTTCTCTACCTTCACAGATTCTCTTCCTTTTCTGTATCAGAGGGCATGGGGATCTGCTTCACTACCTGGGGCTGGCAAGATAAGCAAAAGTGGAGGCTGTGTCCATTTCTACCCACTCCTACTTGACACTTTAGATGAATCTCTTTACTTTCACCCCAGGAAGTAGAGTGACATTACTTTCTTTATCTCAGTGGCAGGAAAGGATGAAACCTCTCCCAGCAAAATACACCTTTGAGCTAGTGAAAAGTGAATGATTAATAAAGAATATAAATCTTCATTCTTCTGAGACAGATCAGAAGAGAAAAAAAGAAGAAAGAAAGGGAAGGAAGGAAGGAAAAAAGGAAAGGAAAGAATCTATGAAGAATAAAAAGAGAAGGAAGGACAAAAGAAAGAAAGTTGTCATTTTAGCAGGAAGGGATGGGGTCTTTTTCAGAAGTAAAAGCTATCTTATACCTACAAGAAGACGTGAGAGATTTCAAAACAAGCAGACACGAAGTGTATCACCGACACTTTTGTGTTCCTCCTACAATTTAGGAGTTCCAGGATTCCTCTCCAAATTAAATGTTGTACATTTTAAAACCAGACTCTTGACATTTTAAAGTACATTTTATGGTTTATTAATATGTATTTGGGGTCTTTTAAAATGCGTATTCTAACAGTGGATGTAAATCTGTATTTGGAGATTTTTCACGGGAAAAAGAGATTATATCCAACCAGATATGCCCTCATGCCTCATATTCCAAGTTGCAATGAGCATTTGGGGATTTGAACATTCACCAGGTACTCAGATGTTGCCTTTCATAGTTTACTTCACCTGCTAAAACTGATATTTGGTTGAAAATAACTTGTGTACATAGGGAAATGCTTCACTTTTCTTAACTCCTGATTCCCTCTGCTCTATCAAAAAGCTGGAAGAAAGTACACAGGAAATAATCCACCCAAAACACATGCCAAGTATGGAAGGGAAGCAGGAATTTACCTGTAAAGAGTGAGATGCTGGTCACTAAACTAGCTCAAAAAATAGTTCCTTCTTGTAAAATTACCTACAAATGTGACCAGTAAGAAAAGGGCAGGCCCCAAGGGATTGTGGAGATATGAATCTTCTCAGACTATCCAGTACTAGTTTTTCTCCAGCATAACAACCTCTACTGGGTACCTGGTTTCATATACACACACAAAATCATAAGTTATAAATTATAAATTGTTAATATACATATTGGGTTCATTCATTCATTCATTTATTACATACCTACCCTTTTCCAGGTATTTTAGTTTGGATAAACACCACTTGGAAATTTAACAGGTATCTGGCCTGTTTTCATTTACTTATAAATTTAACAGGTATCTTTCATTGGTGTGGCTGTAATTACGTATTGCTTCACAACAAATTGTGCCAACATTTTCTGGCTTAAAACAACAACCGTTATATTACATCTTATGATATTGTGGGTAAGGAACTCAGGCAGGGTTAGGCTGGATGACTTCTCTCCTCCACATGGTGCCAACTAAGGTCATTTAATGGTGTTTACCAGATGGATAGATTGCTCTGGATGGTCCAAAATGGCTTTACTTGTACAGACGGTACCTCGTCATGAATGACTGGAAGGTTGAACTCGGTTGAAACTATCAACTGAAGCTTCTACAACTGGAGTCTCCAACATGGAAACCTCAAAGTAGATGTACCATGTACACGGTGGCCCAGGGTTTCCAGAGAGAGTCTTTCAAGACACAGAAGTGAAAACTGCCAGTGTCTTGTGGTCTAGGCTCAGAAATAATGCCGCATATCTACAACCATCTGATCTTTGACAAACCTGACAAAAACAAGCAATGGGGAAAGCATTCCCTATTTAATAAATGGTGCTGGGAAAACTGGCTAGCCATATGTAGAAAGCCAAAACTGGATCCCTTCCTTACACCTTATACAAAAATTAATTCAAGATGGATTAAAGACTTAAACGTTAGACCTAAAACCTTAAAAACCCTAGAAGAAAACCTAGGCATTACCATTCAGGACACAGGCATGGGCAAGGACTTCATGTCTAAAACACCAAAAGCTATGGCAACAAAAGCCAAAATTGACAAATGGGATCTAATTAAACTAAAGAGCTTCTGCACAGCAAAAGAAACTACCATCAGAGTGAACAGGCAACCTACAAAATGGGAGAAAATTTTCACAACCTACTCATCTGACAAAGGGCTAATACACAGAATCTACAATGTACTCAAACAAATTTACAAGAAAAAAACAAACACCCCATCAAAAAGTGAGTGAAGGACATGAACAGACACTTCTCAAAAGAAGACATTTATGCAGCCAAAAAACACATGAAAAAATGCTCATCATCACTGGCCATCAGAGAAATGCAAATCAAAACCACAATGAGATACCATCTCACACCAGTTAGAATGGCAATCATTAAAAAGTCAGGAAACAACAGGTGCTGGAGAGGATGTGGAGAAATAGGAACACTTTTACACTGTTGGTGGGACTGTAAACCAGTTCAGCCATTGTGGAAGTCAGTGTGGCAATTCCTCAGGGATCTAGAACTAGAAATACCATTTGACCCAGCTATCCCATTACTGGGTATATACCCAAAGGATTATAAATCACGCTGCTATAAAGACACATGCACACGTATGTTTATTGCGGCACTATTCACAATAGCAAAGACTTGGAACCAACCCAAATGTCCAACAACGATAGACTGGATTAAGAAAATGTGGCACATATACACCATGGAATACTATGCAGCCATAAAAAATGAAGAGTTCATGTCCTTTGTAGGGACATGGATGAAACTGGAAACCACCATTCTCAGCAAACTATCGCAAAGACAAAAAACCAAACACCACATGTTCTCACTCATAGGTGGGAATTGAACAATGAGAACACATGGACACAGGAAGGGGAACATCACACTCGGGGGACTGTTGTGGGGTGGGGGGAGGGGGCAGGGATAACATTAGGAGATATACCTAATGTAAATGACGAGTTAATGTGTGCAGCACACCAACATGGCACATGTATACATATGTAACAAACCTGCACATTGTGCACATGTACCCTAAAACTTAAAGTATAATAATAATAATTTAAAAAAAGAAACTGGTACAACATCCCTTTTTCCCATATTCTTTTGGTTAAACCAGTTGCAGTGCTGGTTGAGGTTCCTGAGAAGGCATAGACTGAATCTCTCAATAGGAGGAGTCTCAATCTGTGGCCATCTTTCATCTGTGGGTTCTTTATATTTCAGGATTAATGGAGCCTATCGAGCTTATTGGTTAAGAGCAAGAGCTCTAAAATAAACTGATTGTATTTGAATCCCAGATCTGTCACTTAGTAATCTTTGGCAACTATGTAATCTTTCTGTGTTTCAGTTTCTCTGTCTGAAGATAGTGATAATAATATTGTGTTGTGTGGTTGTGAGGATTAAATTATATAATGCATATAAAGTGTACATAATACTACCTAGCAATACCAAGTCTCAATAAATACCGCTATCATTGCTTATAAAACCCAAACTTCTTAGCTGAGCAAAAAACAACATTCACTATATAACTTCTGCTTTCCTCTCAAGTCTCATATTACTGCATACCTCACAGACACTCAATCCCAGCCATACTCAACTACTGGCTGTTCTCTGAACATGCCATGTTCTTACACCCAGTTGTCAAGAGATCTGCCTTTCAGCCAGGGCTTCACTGCACATGCTGCCCTGTCTGCCTAGAAGAATGATCTCCCTCTACTCCTTCTTCACCTGGCTAATGTTAACTCCTACTGCTCCTTTAAAACTCAGCTCATAAATTACTGTCTCCAGGAACCCATATCTGAACCTCCAGTCAGGGTTAGATGTCCCTCCTCTGTGTTTCCATAACATCTTATACGTATCTTTATTAAATAATTTAACACCATATTATTTGTGCTGATATATTGTGCCATATGCTAGACTAGACTATATATTTCTACAGGCAAACACTGTAGGAATATTGGGCTTTTGGTAAAGTGCTTAACATACACTAGGAACTCAGTAAATGGTTTTTGGAAACACAGAAAAATGGTTAAAATATGAATTGATTTATAAGGAAATCAAGATAAATACAATCTTTTCCCCATAACCCAGGCTTCAGCAACACGACAGTTGTGTAAAGTGAAGTACATCTGAGAGGAGAATTAGCCTTCACTGAGTTTTATCATCAAGAATTCAACAGCCTTGAAAAGGCATTTACTAGGTAACTGAATGCAGAGTGCTCACATAGAGCTGAGAGAAGATAGACATAACTGCATTCCGCCCCCCTCCAAAAAAAATAGTATAGTTCATTTCAGTTCTTTTTTCAAAAACATCCAAGAAGTGAATCCTCATTCTGGATTAATGATCTATCAATTTTTCATAAGGCGTAATGGTTCCCTCATTAAAAGTTATATTATTATTCTAGAAAACAAACCTCAAATCAGGAAAAGGAACAGAAGATAAATAGAAAGCAATGTGTGTCTGGTAAAACATCAAATGAGTCAATGGGTATCTCTGTGGCTTTGCTGCACAGTGAACATTTCTTGCTTCCCTGGAAATAAATCCAGCTTTTTACATCTATGTGACAAAAACTTTTCATTTTCAATGCTTTATTTCCTAGTAAGGCTTTAAAAAATTTCCTAAGTCTAAAGTACCCTGATGAATTACATATTCTCTCCTTCTCTTACATCCCACATCTAATTCATCAACAGATCTTTTTAGTTTTTCCTTGAATCAGAATATGACCTATCACCACCTCCATCTTTACCATAGTAGCCAAGCCATCATCATCTCTCCTCTGTATTATTGCAGTAGTCTCCTAATAGTTCTCTCTGCTTCTGCGTTGGCCCTGTATCACTCTACCCACTACGTTATTTCCATCTTCAAATAAACTTGTGGAGTATTTAGGGTATTGATCATTCCCTTCTTTTACTAACAAGAAGACACACATATAGAGGTGAGAACTCACCGAAGGTCAGCCATATATTAATATCAGAGCCATAACTGAAAGGTAGATCTCCTGACACCTAATTTTATCTATTTAGCCTTATAACAGCAAAGTGGCTATTAGTAAACTATAGCCAAATCATATTTCCCATTTTTAGAACCTCCTTCTTCATGTAGATAGACCCACTACACTAGGAAATTTGGAAGTTAATCAAGGAATACTCATATTAGTATCTAAATATGTCAAAGTATCTACCTGAATGTTTCATTGCCAAAGGCAATTTTATTTTTAAAATTGGCCCAATTGAATGATCTTCATCTTGAGTAATACTGGATTTTTATTCGCGTTTTTGTGTTTTTAGTAACCAAAACCTATTTTTTCCTCTAAAAGAACTTATACAGGACCCCACTATATTAAGAATATAGAAGTATGCGCTGGGCACGGTGGCTCATGCCTGTAATCCCAGCACTTTGGGAGGCCAAGGCGGGCGGATCACGAGGTCAGGAGATTAAGACCATCCTGGCTAACACGGTGAAACCCTGTCTCTACTAAAAATACAAAAAAATTAGCTGGGCATGCTGGCGGGCACCAGTAATCCCAGCTACTCGCGAGGCTAAGGCAGGAGAATGGCATGAACCCGGGAGGCGGAGCTTGCAATGAGCCGAGATTGCGCCACTACACTCCAGCCTGGGCGACAGAGCGAGACTCTGTCTCAAAAAAAAAAAAAAAAAAGAATATAGAAGTAGAGCATATTTTTTTAAAAAAAAGAATGAGGGAAGAACTGCTCAGAGTTTCATGTTCTTGGCTACACATTCACCCCATTGAGTCAACCCTTAAGGCACCGTCACAGAATCTTTGGATCCATGGATTCCAGTTTGAGCACACCTTCTACAGAAGACTTTTCCAATACAGTGTGTTCCACAAACCAGTGGTATCTGCATAACCTAGGAGCTTGTTAGAAATATAGAATCTCAGGCCCTATCCCAGACTAACAGAGTCTACATTTACATTTTAACAAGATACTCCAGGTGATTCAAATTTTAGAAGCACGAATTCCTTGACTCTATCTGAAAAGGTCTTCTGGTTAAGGTTTAAATGTGGTTTTACAAATACAGGTCCAAACACCAAGAAACAGTATAGGAAGATATATACCCAGATATCTAACTAGATGCTTCGTGTTCTTTCTCTGTGTTTTGCTATATGCTGAGCTTAGCCTATGGATTCATCATTATGCCTAAGTAGATTAGGCAGCTACCACTATGGGATGAGTTGATGAATTCTAGAAAGATATTCCTGACTGCAAGTTTCCTTCCCACCAGCTCTACCACAGTGACTGAAAAACCCACTTGACTCACTCCCATGAGTGGACAGTGTAAATGTAGTTTTTGGAAAGACTATTACATTGAGTGATTATGGGTTATCAACAACCTTATCTCAAATATATTCAAGAAGAATCAGGCCTTAGGGTGATGATACCCTGGGCAGGTGTGACAGGAGGCACAGTACAGCTAAGTGAAGTACTCTTAGATGTTCAGAAAGGCATTGGGGAAAGCAAAACAAGGGAAAGGGGCACAGCACTCAAAGCACACTTCTATTTATTCGTGTTCTCTGCAATGGGCTCTGCTTGTTTTGTACATATATCTTAATCTATTCACTGCAACTTACAAAATAAAGAAAGAAGCAAATCAATTTATCCCTGTTGAGAGCTATTAAGGCCAGTAAAATCACTGCCCCTTATTCTCACCCAAAGAAAAGAGTGGTTTTCTCTCCGCTCGTATTTTTATGTGCAACCATCATCTTTATTATAAGTCTCATTCTTCTTTTCTAAGGAAATGGTGCTACATTTCAACATTAAGAGGTTTCAACATGGCACTACAAGGAAGCTTGTAAAAGCAATGTGGCACCAAGGCATATAAGCATTTTTTCCATTATGCCTGTGACAGATGTAATGCTTACTAGATTCAAAGCCTCAAGGGCTCCATTGTCAGAGATAAATGTTAAACTGAAGAATTTATCCAAATAATTCAAGCCAAAATATGGTTTCACCTGAAATGTGCAGGAAATAGAAATGATTGAAATTTATTGATTTGGATGGTCTAGATAATTAACTTGGTTCATCACTTTCATTTTGCTAGTGTAGAACTGGTCTGATTAATCCAACTAGCTATAAAATGATGAATTATCCAGATTAAATCTATACTCCTTCTTCAATAAGCTTTTGTAGAATTTACCTCAAATACTTCATGGCACACAGGTCTGGATGATTTAAGAGGAGCGCCACATTCTTGATGTCAGTGTCCAAATACTCCAGAGATATCTACCTAAACATTTTACTGGGAGAGGCAATTTTAGCTTACAGAGTTGTCCAGTTAAATGGCCTTCATCTTCAGAAATACTTGAGACAGTGGTTCTTGTAGTGCAAGGTAGACTTAGAAAAGTGGTGAACGCTCAGGCTCATTTACTTTTACTTAGGAAGCCAAGGCAGCTGGGCGTGGTGGCTCATGCCTGTAATCTCAGCACTTTGGGAGGCCGAGATGGGTGGATCTCCTGAGGTCAGGAGTTTGAGACCAGCCTGGCCAACATAGTGAAATCCTATCTCTACTAAAAATACAAAGAAAAAATTAGCCAGGTGTGGTGGCGCATGCCTGTAGTACCAGCTACTCAGGAGGCTGAGGCAGGAGAATCGTTTGAACCTGGGAGGCAGAGGTTGCAGTGAGCCGAGATCATGCCACTGCACTCCAGTCTGTGCAACAGAGTGAGACTCAGCCTCAAAAAAAAAAATTAAATAAGAAAATAAGAAGCCAGGGCAAAGGCCTACTACTAGGAGAAATAACATTTCTAGGCATCATATTGGATTAAATTGTCTCTAATTATTAAAGCATCTAGTAAGAAAATAAGCTCCAGCTAGGAAGTCTGAACTGAAGTCAGAGAGACTTGACTGAACTAGAAGCAGTCCCCTCACATTCACCACAGGACCCTGTAAAGCAGAGCAGACTCTCAATTATTTGGCCAAAGCCTGAAAATCTAAGTTTGCAAAACACAGTAAGGACCTGAGAGACAAAATATTTGTTCTCCTGTGAAGAAGGTTGGATTTTGTGAGGGCGGGGGGACAGGACAAAAATCTAGGCAACTTGGAAGAGGGGGCTGTGTGGAATGAAAGGATAGGTGAGTAATGAGTAGAGAGGAAGGTAAAACAGGAACATTTTCCTCTTCAAAAGCCCAAACCTAGATAGAACTTCCCCGTTTGGCACAAGGAACTACTAGATTAGAGTTCCAATCTCTGTTCCTCCAAACTATACTATTGTTCTAAGAGCTACTCTATACTTCATCAAGAAACTTCGACTATCTAGTTTGTAATTTGGTCTGAGGGAGATTGGTGGAGCATGAAGTACTTGGAGAAGGATGTAGCCATTGGATGAAAATCTTGCAGGAGCTCTGAAGACTGAGATAGCATCAAACTCCATGTAG
Organism: Homo sapiens; assembly: GCF_000001405.40. NCBI lineage: Eukaryota > Metazoa > Chordata > Mammalia > Primates > Hominidae > Homo > Homo sapiens. The sequence continues at coordinate 128,581,748 of NC_000023.11, forward strand.
ATTATTGAGCACAGTCACCAACAGTAATTAACAACTTATGCATAGGTCCATGGACTAGCAGTGGCAGAGGAGCACACCCATCCACAGGCATGAAAGAAAGGAAAATGAGACTGCATTTCCTATTAGCAAGAATCATCCTTTAAAAGAGTTCTGCTCCTCTTGAATATTCTGTATATTTTACAAAAATTACCAAGCTGTATTTACCCAGGAAATAAGGAGGCAGTTTGCATTTGAAAGCCCGGGAAGGAAGAAATCACTCAAATAGGCGGTTAGGGTGGGTCCTTGGTAAAACTCCTTCAAACAGAGGACAGCCTGAAAATCAAACTGCAGGCCCCAGATAAGAAAGAGCCCACATCCCTGAATGGAAACACCTACTCTGTGAAACAAGATGAACAAATTCTATTCCTCTTCTGGTTCTTACTTTTCACCTATTTTACATATGCCTACCTTTCTGTGATTGGCTGCAGGCCAAGTCTTCATTCACTCGGGCGAATGAAGTCTTCATTCGGGGTGAATCATCATTTCAGCCCCGATTGGTCTCTGCCCAAGGTCCCGGGCCAAGCTTTCACATCAGCCCGATTGGTCCAGGGCCAAGTTCCTGGGCCAAGCCTTCACCTCTATCCCTAAATGCTTTTTTTTTTTTTTTTTTTACAATATCATACCTCTCTCTTAATGGTGCTTTCTCCAAGACAGCCTACAAGCTAGTCAGCACATTCCCCCCCTTCCAGTCCATAAAAATGCCAGACTCAGCCTCATAGCTGGCAACCTTCTCAGGTCCCCTCTCCTTGGTGGAGAGCTTTCTTCTTTTGCTTATTAAACATTTGGTCCAGCCTCACCCTTTGTGTCCATGATCCCCAATTTTCTTGGTTGTGAGACAAGAACTCCAGATAATACCATAGAAAACAAGACTGCAACACTGTGACAGAAAGACTAGTGACTTAGGTGTCAGGAGATCCGTATTCAAGTCATTAATTAGTTCTGTGACTTTGGGAAAGTCACTTCTCCTGGGCTTTAGTATCCTCATCTTTAACATGAATTCCCAAATATGATGATGATGATGGTGATGATGATGATAGTAATAGCATTTATTAAGCCCTTGTTAAGTGTGAGAAACCATTTGTTCTCATTGTTTCATAGGCGTTAATTCTTCTAATTCTGGCAATGATCCTGTGAGGCAGGCACTATTTATAATGTTCTGTAGGTATGAGAGGATAAGCTAGTTGCCCAAAATGTCACTTCACTAAAATGTATTAGAGCTAAGGTTTGAAGACAGATGTCTATAATGCCAATATATTTTGGCATTATAGACCAAGACGATGCCTGATGCTTCTTCATCTTGATACTAATTCATTCTTCTGACCATCATGTCAGAGCTTCTTTCCCTAAAGCCATACATGTTACAATGGCACAGCCAGGACTCAAACAGGGGCATCCTGGCTTCTAGGCCAAAGTATATCTACAATATCTACAATACTTTCTGAGCAGGGGAAGCCTGAGAGTTTCCTTTAGATCATGCCAATGACATAACTTATGTAGTAATAGAAAGAATAATAGATAATCCTCATGTAGGTCTTATTCTAAGCTTAGTACTAGTCTAAGTACATTACAAATGTTAGCTCAATCTTCATTAAACTCGTATGAGGTAGAAACTATTATTTATTCCAATTTTATTGGAGTGGAAACTAAGGCATAGACAGGTTAAGTAAATTTACCAAGGTCAATTAGCTTATAGCAGAGCTACAATTTGAACCAAGGCAATCAAGTTCCACAGTTCTCTGATCCTAAGCACTATGCTAAACTGCCTCACAAATCAAATATCAAATTATGGATTTATTTCTCTTAACTTACGTGCCTGCTTTCCACATCTCACCATCCTGGGAATATGCAGATTCATGCCGAAGGACCCTGCATAGTTTGTCAGCAAATCGGATGGTGCAACTTCTATATGGGGCAATAGAAGAATCAAATAAAAACACTGACTCTTCTAGATAGAGTAAAGACAGACTCATTCTAACCTTGATATTATACAGTGGAACATGGAACATGGCATCTCTTTGCCCAAGGACTACTACCTACTTGTCAGGGGCTCATAAGGTGTGCTACGTATCAGAAAATTAACTGTAACTACATTTTTGGAACAATTCGAACACTTAGAGCTCACATTGACAATCTTCAAGGGAAGTGAACTGTTTCAAGTATCTGCATTCCCAAAAGGGACATCTTCAAGTCTTCCTAAGAGTGACAGATTTGGAATTGAAGAAGATGGAGGAGAGGGATCAAGTAAGAGAGGTTAAGATTAAATATCAGAAATGTTTTACCAGCCAAACAAAATTTATACCTCTACATACAGAGAGAGAGAGAGAGACAGAGAGAAAAAGGAGGAGGAGGAGGAGGAGGAAGGAGGAAAGCTTAAAATGGGATGGAACTTCCACTTGACAATAAACTGAGCTTTTTTAGCCTTTAATCCAATTCTTTCTTCACTTAAGATCAGCCTGATCTCCAAACCTCCTATATATCTTCTTGTACAGGATACTGCCCTGTACTGGACTTAGCACAGTACTTCTGGGATATCTCAAAATCTTCAGGCAACAAACTAGTAATTTGAATTGTAGTTCTACCATATATCATCTATGTGACCTTGGCCAAGTCATTTAACTTTTATGAATTTTATTTTATTCATTGGAAAAGTGATAATTGATGCAAGCAATTCAATGAAATCTGTATCAAATGGGTTAGAACAGTGTGTGGCACACAATAAATATTTATTAAATTAAAAAGTGGGCTGGGCGTGGTGGCTCAGGCCTGTAATCCCAGCACTCTGGGAGGCCGAGGCGGGCGGATCATGAGGTCAGGAGATCGAGACCATCCTGGCTAACACAGTGAAACCCCATCTCTACTAAAAGCACAAAAAATTAGCCAGGCGTAGTGGCGGGCGCCTGTAGTCCCAGCTACTAGGGAGGCTGAGGCAGGAGAATGGCGTGAACCCAGGAGATGGAGCTTGCAGTGAGCCAAGATCGCACTACTGCACTCCAGCCTGGGCAACAGTGCAAGACTCTGTCTCAAAAAAAAAAAAAAAAAAAAATTTTAAAAGTGATTAAATGAATAAGTTGATTTTAGAAGATAGTTTTAACCATAGAAAAAAGAACTAGATCTTAATTGTTTTCCTTTGTACCCACACAAAAATGGCCTGATCATATCTCCTAACAAGATAATTTAATAAAGATCCAAGTCTTCAACTAACATATATGGAATTCTAATTATTCATGATCTATGGTCCTACAATTTTAGCAATAGAGTACATTTTTTTCCCAAAAGAATAGCCATAATTATGCCCTGATCCATAAATTCCAATTGCTGGACCTATATGGACATAAATCCTGGAGAAGATGCCCTGTACATTCCAGTCTCTGATTCTTTGATCCATGCCCTTCATTTGACCTCCTTCTGTTATAATAATGGTACTCTCGATGTCATCTCTTGACATAAGAGAGTCATTAGATCCATTGGAACACACCTATGGGTCATCCAATAGTTTTCATATTTATGTTCAGACAAGACTAGGCAGTTTTGATTTCATTTAATAGAAAGTGGAATGAGGCATGAAAGATAATTAATGAAAAGATTATAGTAAAAATTCATTTGGTCTATTCCAGGGTTTTGCAAACTGTGACCCATGGACCAAATTTGGCCTGCCACTTCTTTATCTTTGGTGTGCAAGCTAGAAATTGTTTTCATATTATCAAATGGTTGAACAATCAAAATAAGAATAGTATTTAATGACATAAACTATTATATGAAATTCAAATTTTATTGTCCATAAATTTTCATTATAATAGAACCACACATTCATGTATGTATTATCACTGCATTCATGCTATAATGGCAGAAATAAGTATCTGGAATTAATGTAGATAGTCTACCTGTCATTCAAATCTAATTCATTCTATTAGATAAATTGATTTTTTTTTTCTTAAATTTAGGTTTGACTTCAAGGGAATTTTTCTCTATTCCATTATTAATGAGGCACACTTTAGTTCACATGCTCTTTTAAAAATGAATAATTATGTTATTATAGCATGTTTTCCTTTGTTTCTCAACAGTTATTGTGAGTGTTTTGACACTTGGGAAGTCATGCATTCAAGTAATTGTATGAGAGTAAAAAATATTTAGAATTACATTTAAAACTAGATGATGGCCCAGAAAGCCTAATCCTTATTATCTCGCCTTTTACAGAAAATGTTTGCTGACCCCTAGTCTAGTCTCTTGAGGGAACTTTCAGAAGTGATTGTTCCAAAGCTCATTTCTGATAGAAATCTGTGAATTTGTCTTTGGCCAACCAGAAGACTTCTATGAAAAAGCTTGTTGTGCCTGCTATTTCCGAGCTGAAAAAAAAAATCAAGCATGATAAATAAGGTACCAGGATTCTTTCTCCCAATTTGAAGGAGTAGACAATGGTCAGTTTTCTATGTTCTTTCTTATTTTCCTAAAAGTGCAGCAGAGCCTGGATCATTTCAAATTTGGTTCACAAACAAGTATTACCAGTTTCAGAGAGGAACACCACCCCAGAATTTCTTTGAGAAGAATTCATGATCACATCAAAGTTCTCTGCCTACCTAACTCTACTTCTTATCTGGCCTCAATATCACTGACTAAAGATCACATCCACAAAAAAGTACTGCCCACAAAAGGTAAAATTAAGCAAAGGTTTGAGGGCACTAGGATTTGCCACAGTGGTGGAAATGTAGCAAATGTAAAAGTTTCTCCCTCTTTGGAGTAGATTTATGTCCTGTAAGTTGCCCACAAGGCACAATTCTAGATAGAGAACCTTATTTTTCATTGATTTTCATTGTAAAATTGATTACATGCTTAATTGGAAAATAATTTCATTCCAACCATGACCAAATTACTCCTTTTAAAAACAGCACATTATTTTTTGACTACAGAATATTTGTAGGGAACAATATTTCTTTTTAATAAACTATTAATAATAAATTTATATAAAATCGCTAAAGACAAACACACAGCAACTAGAGTTGTTTGCAGTTTTATTTCAATGGTTTAAAGTGAAACTCACAATGATTAAACAAAAAGGACAAGTAGACTGAAAATTTCCTCAGCTCCAAGACTACTTTCTTAACAATATCTATAGCAAAATACATAGTGCTCCCTTTTTACCAGGCAGAAGCTTGATCCAAGTTTCCAGAATTTAGGATTGAGCAAGGTAATCTGGGCTGAAGAAAAGGGAAGACACTGAATCTCAACAGAAGCAGTGATTCCAATTATGACCTCAAGGAAGCAATGGTGGTAAAATAAGTGATTATATAGCTATTTCTGAAATGCATGGAAGAAAGACTTTAGGTAGAATTTTAGTTTCCTGAGGTAGAGAATCTGGAAAGCATAAACTTTGGCAAGCTGACTTTCTATATAAAATTGTGGTTTTTATATTTCAAGAAAATTGTGTCCAAAAAGTATCCAATTAGGAGGCAGTTTAGAACAGAATTAAGTTTGAATCTAGACTGCCCAGATTGACAGCACAACTCCTTCATTTTCTGTCTAAAATCTTAGGCACATTACTAAATATCTTTTTGCTTTAGTTTATTCGTCCATGGCAGAGTGATTGTAATAATAACTACCATGTCAGATGGTGATTGTAAGGATTAAATGCAAAACATGTAACAGTATTTGGCACATTATGGGCATTTTAAAAATGCCAGCTGCTGTTACTCCTCCTCCTCTTCTTCCCCTTCCTCCTCCTTTTTTTTTTTTAAGACAGAGTCTCGCTCTGTCACCCAGGCTGGAGTGCAGGAGTGCAGTGGTGCGATCTCGGCTCACTGCAGCCTCTGCCCCCTGGGTTCAAGTGGTTCTTCTGCCTCAGCTTCCTGAATAGCTGGGACTACAGGCCCACGCCATCATGCCCAACTAATTTTTGTATTTTTAGTAGAGATGGGGTTTCACCATGTTGGCCAGGATGGTCTCGATCTCCTGACCTCCTGATCCGTCCACCTCGGCCTCCTAAAGTGCTGGGATTACAGGCGTGAGCCACTGTGCCCAGCCCCCTTCCTCCTACTTCTATACCTACTGTGACAATTCGTCATGATCATTACTATAAAATTCCTGAAATATTTGCGTGTCTTAGTATGAATTGTTGTGGGTGCTTTGCCTAGCACACATTTTCGATGTGGTATACCCTGGTTTGAAAACAGAGGATCCCCAAAACACACCTAAGCTCCAAGATATTTATCTCTTAGAGACAGTAGTCACTCCATTCCTGCTATAGACTGAATGTTTGTGTCCCTTCCAAATTCATATGTTGAAATCCTAACTCCTAATGTGATGCTATTAGGAGGTGGGGACTTTGGGGGGTAATTAGATCTTAAGGGCAGAGCTCTCATGAATTGGATTAGTGTTCTTATAAAAGAGACCTCAGGCCGAGCGAGGTGCCTCACACCTGTAACCCCAGCACTTTGGGAAACTGAAGTGGGCAGATTACTTGAGCCCAGGAGTTTGAGACCAGCCTGGGCAACATGGTGACACTCTGTCTCTACAAAAAAGAAAACAAAAATTAGCCAGGCATGGTGGTGTATGCCCATGGTCCTATCTAGTCGGGAGGCTGAAGTGGAAGGATCACTTCAGCCCCAGGGACGAAGGTTGCAGTGAGCCAAGATAGCACCATTGCATTCCAGCCTGGGTGATAGAGCCAGACTCTGTCTCAAAACAAAAAACAAAAAACAAACAAACAAACAAAACCACAAACAAAGAGAGAGAGTGAGAGAGACATTAGAGAGATCAGAGAGTTCTCACCCCCATCACAGCAAGAAGATGGCCACCTGTGAACCAGGAACTGAACCAAATACCAATTATGCTAGGGCCTTGGTCACGGACTCCCCAGCCTCTAGAAGTATGATAAATAAATGTTCTTTGTTTAAGTCTGTGGTAGTTTGTTACAGCAGTCTGAAATGACTAAGACAATCCCTTATTCCCACAAGTAGTCTTGAAAATAACTAGAGTTGTACAGCTCTAAATCCAAAAATCGCTGAGTCCTCAAGCCCAAATCCATAACTCCCAATAGGGCTTTTAGAACAATATTACAGATGAAAACTAGAACAGTTAGGTAGCCTATTAACTTTCAGGAGCTCTTATATGTCTTCTAATGTCACAAGTCACCGATCTATATAGCAGCCTATTGCTCCTGAATACCCTGCAATGACCAATCTGTCTTAGCGATTTCAGTTTGGTTACTGATGAAAAAGAAATAATCGACTTGAAAAAGTCAATCTCATTAAAAAGATATCCCACAAGTGAGATATAATCTTGAATTTAATTTTTTTAAAGGTACTAATTTGCTGATTTTCTTCAAAGGGATTTATGATTGATTAAGTCTTCTACAAGGTACAGAACACTATGCTTAGTGCTGAGGATACAGGAGTGAATAAACTAGATATGGTCCCTGCTCTCATGAAGCTTACAATTATGCTATTGTTTCATTTTTATTTATTCATTCAGTAAGTATTTATCCGACCCATTCTAGGTGTGAATTGGAGATGAAAGTGACCCAAACAAACATGCCAAAGCTAAACAAGAGTTATTAGTTCTGTTATCTTGGATATAACAATTTACTCCTTAATATTTTTTTCTAAATGCCAAAATTAATGCCTTTGGAAATCACGTTATTTCTGTGCTTACCGTGTAACTTCATAGTACGCTAGTAATGGAACTGGGCTTAGAATACTGACCTCCTGACATCAAATTCCAAGCATCCCTGGTTCAGGCTAAATCTAAAATCAAAATTAAAAATTTCACTTCTAATATCTGAGGGTGACATTCTATCAACTCCATTTATTGTTACATGGAATTAATGTAGTCTACCTCTCACTCAAATCTAATTTATTGTATTAGATAATTTTTTAAATTTATGTTTGATTGCAAGGGAATTTTTCTTTATTAATGAAACACACTTTAGTTCAAATGCTTTTTTAAATGAATAATTATAGCATGTTCTTTGTTTATCATCTGTTATTGTGAGTGTTTTGACATGGGAAGTCACGCATTCAGGTAATTGTATAAAAGTAAAACATATTTAAAACTTATAATTGAGAGGGACAAATAATTGAGCAGCAAACAGTGGTATGTATTTTAATTCAGTATTACAAGTTATAAATTATCCAGACAAGGCAGGCCGGGTGCGGTGGCTCACGCCTGTAATCCCAGCACTTTGGGAGGCCGAGGCGGGCGGATCACGAGGTCAGGAGATCAAGACCATCCTGGCTAACACGGTGAAACCCCGTCTCTACTGAAAATACAAAAAAATTAGCCAGGTGTGGTGGCGAGCGCCTATAGTCCCAGCTACTGAGGAGGCTGAGGCAGGAGAATGGTGTGAACCCAGGAGGCAGAGCTTGCAGTGAGCTGAGACTGCGCCACTGCACTCCAGTCTGGGCAACAGAGAGAGACTCTGTCTCAAAAAAAAAAAATTATCCAGACAAATAATAATTTTTAAACTGGATTTTAGTAGTAACTTCCAATTAGTCTTCCTATACTACCATATCTTTCACGTTCCAATATATCCTACACACTGCTTCCGGATTATTCCCTACAGTACCATTTCCATTTTGTCACACCTCATCTCAATAAACTCTGGTGTCTCCCCAGTGCCTAAAAAGACTAAATATAAACTCCTGAGTCAGAATTCAAGATCTTTCATTATTTAATTCTATTTTTCTACTATTAGTCCTCTACTAGGAATTAAATCACCCATTATTGGTTTTGTTGTTTTGCCTTTCCTGAATCAATGTCTGATAATTTGAACATGGGCAAAGAGGTGGAAAGAGGTATGACCTCTATCTCCTGTTATTTTTTACCTGAATTGGAGATGCATGTGTATAGAAAATATATAATTTACCACTTACTACATGGCCTAATCATGGAAATGTAGACACTCAAAGTATTCAGCTTTGGGTTTATTATGTGAAAGGCAAGTAACAGTCTACAAAATAAACTACACTAGATGGGGAATCTTTTCCTTAGAGCTTCCTATATCCATGTTATGAACTGAGCGATTTTCTACTAAGTTCAAATAGGTTTTCCAGGTGGCCAGTTTTCTATCTACACACACCACAAATTTTACAGTATGTAGTGACCAATCCCATAAGCCATAGACGAAAAGGATAGAATATAAAAGTCACCTTATTATCTCAGGAAATATCAGAACAAGTACACCTTTGGACAACAGTATGGGATATAAATTACAGCCCCATTTGCTTTTTAGTCTCAGATTTCTGTAATTCTATTCTCCACAAAATCTAAATCATAATAAATATTTAATGTACAAGATAACTATCCTCCTTAACACCAATCTTTTTTCTTTTCTTTTCTCTTTTATTTTAAGTTCCGGGATACATTTGCAGAACATGCAGGTTTGTTATATAGGTAATCATGTGCCATGGTGGTTTGCTGCACCTATCAACCTGTCATCTAGGTATTAAGCCCCGTGTGCATTAGCTATTGGTCCTGAAGCTCCCCCTCCCCTCAACTCCCCCGACAGGCCCTGGCGTGTATTGTTCTCCTCCCTGTGTCCATGTGTTCATCATTATTCAGCACCCACTTACGAGTGAAAACATGCGGTGTTTCTGTTCCTGTGTAAGTTTGCTGAGGATGATGGCTTCCAGCTTCATCCAAGTTCCTGCAAAGGACATGATCTTATTCCTTTTAATGACTACATAATATTTCATGGTGTATATGCACCACATTTTCTTTATCTAGCCTATCATTGGTGGGTATTTAGGTTGGTTCCATGTCTTTGCTATGTGAATAGTGCTGCAATAAACATACGTGTGCATGTATCTTTATAATAGAATGATGTATATTCCTTTGGGTATATACCTAGTAATGGGATTGCTGAATCAAATGGTATTTCTGGTTCTAGATGTCTGAGGAATAGCCACACTGTCTTCTACAATGGTTGAACTAATTTACATTCCCATCAACAGTGTAAAAATGTTTCTATTTCTCCACAGCCTTGCCAGCATCAGTTGTTTTTTGACTTTTTAATAATTGCCATTCTGACTGGTGTAAGATCATATCTCATTGTGGTTTCTATTTGCATTTCTCTAATGCTCAGTGATGATGAACTTTTTTCGTATGTTTGTTGGCCACATAAATGTCTTCTTTTGAGAGGTGTCTGTTCATTTCTTTTGCCCACTTTTTTGATAGGGTTCTTTGATTTTTTCTTGTACATTCATTTAAGTTCCATGTAAATTCGATTGCAAAAATTTTTTCCCATTCTGCAGGTTGCCTGTTCACCCTGATGATAGTTTCTTTTGCTGTGCAGAAGCTCTTCGTTTAATTAGATCCCATTGTCAATTTTACCTTTTGTTGCAATTGCTTTTGGCAATTTCATCATAAAATTTTTGCCCATGCCTATGTCCTGGATAGTACTGATTAGGTTTTCTTCTAGGGTTTTTATGGTTTGGGGTTTTACATTTACGTCTTTAATCCATCTTGAGTTAATTTTTGTATAAGATGTAAGGAAGGGTTCCAGTTTCAGTTTTCTGCATATGGCTAGCCAGTTTTCCCAGCACCATTTATTGAATAGGAGAGCCTTTCCCCCATTGCTTGTTTTTGTCAGGTTTGTGGAAGATCCGATGGTTGTAGATGTGTGGTGTTATCTCTGAGGTCTCTGTTCTGTTCCATTGGTCTATATATCTGTTTTGGCACCACTACCATGCTGTTTTGGTTACTATAGCATTGTAGCATAGTTTGAAGTCAGGTAGCATGATGCCTCCAGCTTTGTTCTTTTTGGTTAGGATTGTCTTGACTAAACGGGGTCTTCTTTGATTCCATATAAAATTTAAACTGATTTTTTCTAATTCAGTGAAGAATGTCAATGGTAGTTTGATGGGAATAGCATTGAATCTTTAAATTACTTTGGGGAGTATAGCCATTTTCACAATATTGACTCTTCCTATCCATGAGGATGGACTGTTTTTCCATTTGTTTGTGTCCTCTCTTATTTCCTTGAGCAGTGGTTTGTAGTTTCTCCTTGAAGAGGTCCTCCATGTCCCTTGTTAGCTGTATTCCTAAGTATTTTGTTCTTTTTCTAGCAATTGTGAATGGGAGTTGATTCATGATTTGGCTCTCTGCTTGTCTCTTGTTGGTGTATATGAATGCTTGTGATTTTTTTTTTTTTTTTTTTTGTGAGACAGAGTCTCGCCCTGTTGCCCAGGCTGGAGTGCAATGGCACAATCTCAGCTCACTGCAACCTATGACTCCTGGGTTCAAGCAATTCTCTTGCCTCAGTCTCCCAAGTAGCTGGGATTACAGGTGCCCACCACCACACCCAGCTAATTTTTTGTATCTTTAGAAGAGACAGGGTTTCACCATGTTGGCCAGGCTGGTCTCGAACTTCTGACCTAGTGATCCACCCACTTCGGCCTCCCAACGTGCTGGGATTACAGGCGTGAGCCACCGCACCCAGCCCGCTTGTGATTTTTGTACATTGATTTTGTATCCTGAGACTTTGCTGAAGTTGCTTATCAGCTTAAGGAGCTTTTGGGCTGAGACGATGAAGTTTCCTAAATATAGAATCATGTTGTCTGCAAACAGACAATTTGACTTCCTGTCTTCCTATTTGAATATCCTTTATTTCTCTCTCTTGCTGATTGCCCTGGCCAGAACTTCCAATACTATGTTGAATAGGAGCGGTGAGAGAGAACATCGTTGTCTTGTGACAGTTTTCAAAGGGAATGCTTCCAGCTTATGCCCATTCAGTATGATATTGGTTGTGGGTTTGTAATAAATAGCTCTTATTATTTTGAGATATGTTCCATCAATACCTAGTTTATAGGAGTTTTTAACAGGAAAGGATGTTGAATTTTTATCAAAGGCCTTTTCTGCATCTATTGAGATGATCACGTGGTGTTTGTCATTGGTTCTGTTTATGTGATGGATTACGTTTATTGATTTGCATATGTTGAACAAGCCTTGCATCCCAGGGATGAAGCCAACTTGTTAGTGGTGGACAAGCTTTTTGATGTGCTGCTGCATTTGGTTTGCCAGTATTTTATTGAGGATTTCTGCATTGATGTCCATCAGGGATATTGGCCTAAAGTTTTCTATTTTTATGTCATATTTGCCAGGTTTTGGTATTAGGATGATGCTGGCCTCATAAAATGAGTTAGGGAGGAGTCCCTCCTTTTTAGTTGTTTGGAACAGTTTCAGAAGGAATGGCAGCAGCTCTTTTTTGTACCTTTCGTAGAATTTGGCTGTGAATCTGTCTAGTCCTGGGCTTTTTTGGGCTAGTAGTCTATTCAGTACTGCCTCAACTTCAGAACTTGTTATTGTTCTATTCAAGTGTTCGACTTCTTTCTGGTCTAGTCTTGGGAGGGTGTATGTTTCCAGAAATTTATACATTTCTTCTAGATTTTCTAGTTTATTTGTGTAGAGGTGCTTATAGTATTCTCTGATGATAGTTTGTATTCCTGTGGGGTCAGTGGTGATATCCCCTTTATCATTTTTTATTGTGTCTATTTGATTCTCCTCTCTTTACTTCCTTTTTTTGAGACAGAGTTTCGCTGTCTCCCAGGCTGGAGTTCAGTGGCACAATCTCGGCTCACTGCAAGCTCTGCCTCCCGGGTTCTCGCCATTCTCCTGCCTCAGCCTCTCCAGTAGCTGGGAACTACAGGCGCCCGCCACCACGCCCGGCTAATTTTTTGTATTTTTAGTGGAGACAGGGTTTCACCGTGTTAGCCAGGATGGTCTTGATCTCCTGACCGCGTGATCTGCCCACCTCAGCCTCCCAAAGTGCTGGGATTACAGGCGTGAGCCACCGCGCCCGGCCTCTCTTTACTTCTTTATTAGTCTATCTTGCTATTTTATTAATATATTCAAAAAACCATTTCATTGATTTTTTTAAAGGTTTTATTATTTATTTGTTTTTTTTTTGTCTCTATCTCCTTCAGTTCCACTCTGATCTTAGTTATTTCCTGTCTTCTGTCAGCTTTTGGATTTGCTTCCTCTTGCTTCTCTAGTTCTTTTAGTTGTGATGTTAGGGTGTTGATTTGAGATATTCCTAGCTTTCTGATGTGGGCATTCAGTGCTATAAATTTCTCTCTTAACACTGCTTTAGCTGCATCCCCGAGATTCTGGTATGTTGTCTCTTTGTTCTCATTGGTTTCAAAGAATTTCTTGATTTCTGTCTTATTTTCATTATTTACCCAGGAGTCATTCAGGAGCAGGTTGTTCAATTTCCATGTAATTGTATGGTTTTGAGTGAGTTTCTTAACCCTGAGTTCTAATTTGATTCCACTGTGGTCTGAGAGACTTTTATGATTTCAGATCTTTTGCCTTTGCTGAGGAGTATTTTACTATCAATTATGTGGTCAATTTTAGAGTAAGTGCCATGTGGTTATGAGAATATATAGTCTGTTGTTTGGGGGTGAAGAGTTCTGTAGATATCTATTAGGTCCACTTGATCCAGACCTGAGTTCAAGTCCTGAATATCCTTGTTAATTTTCTGTCTCATTGATCTAATATTGACAGTGGGGTGTTAATGTCTCCCACTATTATTGTGTGGGATTCTAAGTCTCTTTGTAGGTCTCTAATAATTTGTTTTATGAATCTGGGTGTTCCTGTATTGGGTACATATATATATTTAGGATAGTTAGCTTTTTTTGTTGAATTGATTCCTTTGCTATTATGTAATGCCCTTCTTTGTCTTTTTGGATTTTTGTTGGTTTAAAGTCTGTTTTGTCAGAGACTAAGATTGCAACCCCTGCTTTTTTCTGCTATTTGCTTGGTAAATTTTCTTCCATCCCTTTATTTTGAAACTGTGTGTGTCCTTGCACGTGAGATGGGTCTCTTGAATACACTACACAGGTGGGTCTTGACTCTATCCAATTTGTCAGTCTGTGTCTCTAATTGGGGAATTTAGCCCACTTGCATTTAAGGTTAACATTGTTATGTGTTAATTTGATCCTGTCATCTTGATGCTAGCTGCTTATTTGGCACACTAGTTGGTGCAGTTTCTTCATAGTGTCATTGGTCTTTGCATTTTGGTATGTTTTTGCAGTGGCTGGTACTGGTTTTTCCTTTCCATATTTAATGTTTCCTTCAGGAGCTCTTTCAAGGCAGGCCTGGTGGTGACAAATTCCCTCAGCATTTGCTTGTCCGAAAAGGATTTTATTTATCCTTCACTTATGAAGCTTCGTTTGACCATATATGAAATTCTGAGTTGAAAATTCTTTTAAGAATGTTGAATATTGGCCCCCACTCTCTTCTGGCTTGTAGGGTTTCTGCTGAGAGATCCACTGTTAGTCTGATGGGCTTCCCTTTGTAGGTCCCCTGGCCTTTCTCTCTGGCTGCCCTTAACATTTTTTTCTGCATTTCGACCTTGGAGAATCTGATAATTATGTGTCTTGGGTTTATCTTCTCGCGGAGTATCTTACGTGGTTCTCTGTATTTCCTGAATTTGCATGCTGCCCTGTCTTGCTAGGTTGGGGAATTTCTCCTGGATGATATCCTAGGTGTGTTATCCAACCTGGTTCCATTCTCCCTGTCTCTTTCAGGTACTATAATCAGTCGCAGGTTTGGTCTTTTTACATAGTCCTATGGTTCTTGGAGGTTTGTTTCATTTCTTTTCATTCTTTCTTCTCTAATCTTGTCTGCCTGCCTTATTTCAGCAAGATAGTCTTCAATCTCTGATATTCTTTCTTCTGCTTGATTGATTCAGCTATTGATATTTGTGTATGCTTCATAAAGTTATCGTGCTGTGTTTTTCAGCTCCATCAGGTCATTTATGTTCCTCTCTAAACTGGTTTTTCTAGACAGTAGCTCCTGTAACTTTTTATCACGGTTCTTAGCTTCTTTGCATTGGGTTAGAACGTGCTCCTTTATCTCAGCCAAGTTTGTTATTACCCACATTCTGAAGCCTACTTCTGTCAATTCATCCATCTCATCCTCCGTCCAGTTCTGTGTCCTTGCTTGAGAGATGTTGTGATCATTTGGAAGAGAAAAGGCACTCTGGCCTTTTGGGTTTTCAGCATTTTTTTCATTGATTTTTTCATCTTCATGAGTTTGTCTAGTTTCAGTCTTTGAGGCTGCTGACCCTTGGATGAGGTTTTTGTAGGGATTTTTTTGTTGTTGATGCTGTTGTTACTTTCTGTTTGTTTTTCTCTCAATAGTCTGGTCCCTGTTCTGTAGGGCTGCTGCAGTTTGCTGGGGCCCTACTCATCTGGTTCACTCCCGCAGCTGGAGATGTCACTTAAGGAGGCTGGAGAAGAGCAAAGTTGGGTGCCTGCTCTCTGGGATCTCTGACCTTGAGGGGCTCCCACCTAAAGCCAGTAGGAATGCTCCTGTACAGGGTGTCTGGTGACCCCTGTTGGGGTGTCTCACCCAGTTAGGGGGCATGGGAACCAGGACCCATTTAATGAAGTACTTTAGCTGTCCTTTGGTGGAGGGGGTGTGCTGTGCTGTGGGGTAACCCACTCATCTGGGATGCCCAGATTCCTCAGAGCTAGCAGGAGGAAAGACTATGTCTGCTTGTCCGCGGAGACTATGGCCACCCCTCCCCCTAGGGGCTCAGGCCCAGGAAGATCAGAGTTCTTTCCCTGAGCCCCTGTCTGGAGTTGTTGGAGTTTCTGCAGGGAGGCCCTGCCAAGTTAGGAGGGAGGGATGGGTCAGGGTCAGGCCTGAAGAGGCTATCTGGCCACAGCCTGTGTGCTGCACTGTGGGGAATACCTCTTGTGACCAAGCAGTCTGGCCCTGGCTCCAGCAGGCAAAAAGCAGGACCTGGGGCTATAGTAATGGCTGCCGACCTTCCCTTCCCCTTGCCTTCCCCGCCAGGAGCTTCGTTTCTTAGGTAGCTAGAAGCTGCAGTGTTGGTTGCTGCCCCTCCCCCAGGGAGCTCAGATGGCTTAGACAACAGTCAGTGGCAGCAGTGGTGATGGCCACCTCTCCGCCTGGTAGCTCAGCAGGCTTAGGCATATTCCAGCAGAGTGGCTGTTGAGAATCTGTTGAGAATCAGCGTGGCTCTGCGGTTGGGACCCAAGGCCCTAGTGGTGTGGGCTCACAAGTGGGATCTTGCGATCTATGGGTTGCATAGTTCCGTGGAAAAGCACAGTTCCCCAGGCTGGGTAGCATGCTCACTCACTGGCCACCTTGACTGGGAGTGGGGGCTCCCCTGTCCTGTGTGGCTTTCAGGTGGCTGCCACACCACCCTGCTCTTCCTTCTTCTACGTAGTCATGCCAGCTGCCTAGTCAGTCCTCAACACCCACCGATCTTTTGCAAGGACTTTAATTTGCTTACCTGTATCATTCAATAGATGCTCAGAAAATAAAAACGAATGAAAATGCCATCACAGTATTACAAATAGGCCAGAAGTACTTTTTTTCAGTAGCAGGATTGCACATAATGATCATTAGTGTTTTACTTTAATAATAAGCAAGCTACCAGGCCGGGCGTTGTGGCTCACGCCTGTAATCCCAACATTTTGGGAGGCCAAGGCAGGCGCAACACGAAGTCAGGAGATCGAGACCATCCTGGCTAGCATGGTGAAACCCCGTCTCTACTAAAACTACAAAAAATTAGCCAGACGTGTTGGTGGGCGCCTGTAGTCCCAGCTATTTGGGAGGCTGAGGCAGGAGAATGGCATGAACCCGGAAGGTGGAGCTTGCAGTGAGCCAAGATCATGCCACTGCACTCCAGCCTGGGCTAGAGAGCGAGACTCTGTCTCAAAAATAATAATAATAATAATAAGCAAGCTACCATAAATTGGGGAAATCAAAAGACTAATAAGAATTATGCCACCACTCATTGATTATAGTTTTTATAGATGAAGTGTGTGTGTGTGTGTGTGTGTGTGTGTGTGTGTGTGTGTGTGTGTGTGATTTTTATTCCACAACATTTGGATTTAATATCTTACTCTATTACATTTCCAGATTGTGAAATCTGCCCAAACTCTGTACCCACCAGGATGCTAGTCATTTTAGAGACATCTCCCCTACCCTCCAGAGGATTATACCAGAATCACAGGCTTAAGTGGTACTCAAAATTGAGGAGTGATGCAAGTCCTTATTATATGATGGTTATTGTATTTTAAGGGTTTTTTAGACAGTATTATTATTCTATCAAGCAGATCCTTCAAGTTCATTTAGTCATTCCACTCTAATGGGATTCAGAATGCCTCTTAAAATGGTTTGCCTAACTGGCCCAAGATTCATTCACAAGGAGCCTTACCATTATTCTCTCAAGTCCATGATACATATGGTCAAGCTCCTACAGGCATTCCTTAGTAATTCCCCATCTGGAGCCTTGTAAGTGAGTTTCCATTTTTCTGTTCTCCAGGAAACCTTAAAAAAAAAGACTCAGGAAAGCCTTCCCCAAATACTCCAATCTCCAGGTTGCCTTATTCCACCTCTTCCATATCTTAGAACTCTCCTCTTTGTGAATAATCCTTCCAAAAGACTATGTTTTTAAAAATCAAAAGGCCTGGATGGGGTCACCTTCTGGATTTCTGGAAACTACTGCTTTGGTGAATCAAAATTTAAGTCTTCCACTTCTGCCTCTGCCATAGCAGAGATACAAAATGTTTTAGCTACTTTTTCTAGATGGAGAAGGAAAAAGATATGTCCACTCCAGTGAGAATAATATAGAAATGAATATCACAATAAATTATTCTGTCACATAAAAGTCAGCAGAAGTCACAGACAAAAATAGAACTCAGTTTAATGTCTGTTACATGGAAAAAATATTTGCAAATTCATGAGTTATGCTTTAGCTTATGCTTCTGTCCCCAAAGTGGTTTTTATTATTGTTGTTGGTTTAAGTAAGAAAGATCCTGTCTTGATTGGAATAATTACTATAAAAACTGCTTGCTTTGCCACAAATAGATTTAAATTTCATATCAAAGAGGTCAAGCTTGACAAATATGTGTATTTGCTGACACCTGATAAATTCTAAAGGTATTAGTTGCACAGACATATAATTAGTTTTAGAAATAGAAGTGTAATCAGGAGTATTTGCTGTGGATTTCTTGCATGCACTAGTGTTTGATCTTTAAAGTTTAAACAGCTGTGTACATATATACATATCTATGCATGAAATGGGGTCAGTGAATATGGCAGGGATATTTACATTTATAAGTCAGATTATATCTCAGGATCTCACACTCATGACTTAACATATTTTGAACATTACAATTATACCCCTTTAAATTGTTCAACTATGATAAAGGCAGCTCTTGTAACAATTTTTATCACACACACACACAACAGTCTTTTCGCTAAATTATGCTAATAACACCATCACACAAATTATGACCCCTAGGCAAGATTTAAACCAAACCAACTCCACAACTGAAAGTCTGTTTCACTGATGTGTCATACTGCCCATGTGAACATTTAGAGTAGTAAATTTTGCTTAAAACTACCCAGCTGTCATAGAAACCAATAGGTATGCATAATTGTATTGGAGGTGATAAAACCTGAGCCCTTCAAATAGAAGAAAATGCCCAAAGGGTAAAGTAAACAGGTCAACCAGAAATGCAAATAAGACCAAGGCAGTTTGTTCTCACCTGGGATGATTTTAAGCCTGAAGGACAGAGCTGTGCAAGTTTCTTGTACATTTTAGCAAGACAAAACAACAGAGCATCAAGGATTCCTCAGTTGGGGCTTGAAGTCTTCCAAGTTCAAAAAAAGCTCTGAAGCCAGGCAGCCAACTATAGGGTAGCTGAAAAGGGAAAAATGAAGACAGATCAAAGGAGTGGCTGAGTCCTAGTTTTCAAGGTTTCATTGTTAGAAAAGGGAAAAGAAGCAGGCCAATTACATGAGGAATGCTCGTACTCATGCCCAAGCTTTCTCTCTTACTCACGCTTACTCTTTTCCTCTTTATCAGACATACCCCAGTGTACCATCCCTAAGGAAAGGAACCCAGGGTATTCAACTATAAAGTCCTGGACAAGACTCATTTATATTCTTTGGCTTGACACCAGGCACGGCAGCCATGATCAGAATTCTGGAGGCAGATACAGGGCTAGAAAGCTAACAGGGAGAAGGGAGAACTTAGGGGATGAGCAGCCTGATTATTTTATGATGTGAAAACATAGCAGGGACTTCCTGTAAGCATGACCAGAGGATGGCATGACTGTCCAATTTTGACTTTCACAACCTAGCAAAGAGAAATACAGTCTAAACAGGTTTAAATAGAGAAAATGACAAGGAAGTAGATAAGGAAGATGAGAGATGGAAAATGATTGTACACAAAGAAAGGGCTATCAATTTGGAGAGAACGAACAAAATATACTTAACAAGAAGTGAGGGTTACTAACTTTATTAAATAATTGGTTGTTTTAAGCAGGTATAAATTTCAGTTTCACATAACCACAGCCAAAATGAAAGCATCTCTTCTATTGTGCTGTATTAATCAAAATGTGTTACATAGGCCAACTTTCTCAAAATATCCTGGGGTGCTAGTAAAATACACATTACTAGATTCCTTTTCTGAACTCTTGAATTGGAATTCTTGGAAGTTTGCCCACCCTCACCCCCCAAAATCTGCACTTTTAAGACATTCTCTAGGTAAGGAATTCTGAAAGTATGGTCTGCAGAGCCCAGGGGTTAACTGGTTCAGGGAGTTCCATGAGTTAAAATCATTCTAATAATAATTGCTATTTGCTTTTATCGCTGTGCTGATATTTGCTTTGATGGTGCAAAAGCAATAAAGCATAATACTGCCAATGGCCTAGCATTAATCAAAGCTGGGGCAACACATATTACTATTGTCGTTGTATTCTTTACCACCATTAATTTGTAGTAAATGAATAACAACAAGGCCAGTTTAACTTTAAAATGTCCTTGGTGAAGCATTAAAATTATTAATTTTATGTCTTAACCCATGAGGATGTGTTTCGTTAATTTTCTGTGTGACAAACGCAAAATCTGCATAAAGCACTTCTGACACATTCTCAAGTATGATGGTTGTTTTAAGAAAAAGCACTGTGTTACTGTTAGAGTTCAAGCTGAAAGATGTTTTTCTCATGGAACACTATTTTCACTTAAAAGAACAACTAATAAACTATGGTTATTCAGACTTAGATATTTCTTGACATGTTCTTGAGAAATTAATGAAGTGAGCTTGTCACTTAAAGGAAAACAACTGACCGTATTTGCTGACACTGGTAAAACTCAAGCTTTCAAGAGAAAATTCAAATTTTGGAAAATTGGTATCTGCGATCATAAGCATGACAGTTTTCTACCATTAAATATTTTTCTGATAAGATCAGCATTGATATTGAGTATGATTTTTGTATTGGATTTTAAAAAGGCAACATTTCAAAAATCTGTATAACTCAGTGAATTAGAATTTTCCAAATAAGTTATTATTTAAAAATCCATTCAGAGTGCAAGATAGACCAATGCTTGTTAATGAAAATAAGTATGAAAAGAATGAAAATTAGTATGAAAAGTTAGTTAATGTGGTTTTGTTTCCAATGCAATATTGCAACAAACCTTTAAACAACCACTACTTGTTGAATTTTAGTGTAGTATCAGAGAAGAATATCCACTATTATCTGAAAAGGCTATTAAAATATCTCTTCCCTTTCCAACTACATATCTGAGTGAGACTGGATTTTCTTCCTGTACTTCAAATGAAACAACATATTGCAACAGATTGAATGCAGAAAAATATATGTGATAATATAGCTGCCTTCTGTTATGCCAGATGATAAAGAGATTGGAAAAAATCTAAAACAATCCCATCCTTTTCATGACATACTTTTGTTTTGGAAAATAAGATTAGTTTTCCTAAAATTATGTTATTTAGGTAATTATATAATGGATTTGTTGTTATTTTAAAATAAGTTAATAAATGCGTATTTTAATTTCTCATTTTAATTTCGAATATAGTAAATATTGATGGATATAACCCATGTAAGAAAAAACTCTTTGGGATTCTTTATAATTTTTAAGAGCATAAAGGGATTAAAAAAAATTGAGAACTGCTCTGTTAGGTTATTCTATTCTTGATTACATTTGCAAATCATTACTAATAAAGGTAGGTACACATGGAAATGCTTTAATAATAAGACTAATATAATTTCTTCCCAACTAGTCTTAATGATCATGTAACTCATCAGAGATTTTTCTAAAGTTTAGGCACAGTGCTATTCAAAGGTAAGGTTATAGGGGATGCCTACGTGAATTGTTAAGATTCCTTCCACTTGTTTTACTCTAAATCATTCTGTCTAAGATAATTTAATCTAAATTTCATTTCAATTTGATCCACTTTATATTTCCTAAACATCTATCAACCACAGATTTTTTTCAAAGTAAATTATATATCTTGATCATGCTTCACAATGGATCAGATATAATTCCTCTTGTGTACAGAAACTTTCAAGAATTGCTTGGTAGACATAAACATTACATTTGACTCTCATTTTATGCTGCTGTCTGCAGAGATGCTTAATTATACTGTTAGCCACAGTCAACAGGGGTTGAGGGTAAATAAAACTCTGCTGAGAAATAAAAGAGAAGAACTCAGTCCAATTCAACAAACACTCACAGGATACCAACTATGTGCTAGCCTCTTTACCATGCATATGTTCTCTGACTTCTAAGATTTTAAAGTCAAGTGAGCGAAAGTTGTTTCAAGAGTTTTCTCTCTGAGTATCTGTTTTTTACTTTGTTAAATCTTCTCCTATAGTTAACACAGAAACTAGGGAACAAGGTGATTCCTAAGATTTAAGAACCAGCACCCCCACCAGATCTTTTTACCCCTTTTCCTACACACAGTAAAGCCCAGTTAACTATGATTGTTCATCTGCAGATAGCTGTAAGATAAACTAAAACATCAAAATTAAACAAGCTTAGATCAAGATTATGAGGCCCAATCACATTGTGGTTAAAATCATGAGGTTTTCATTAAGCCCAAATTTAAAATCTATCCCTCTTCTGCTCACTATCTGGTTGTTCTAAAGCAAGTCTTGTCATCTGTAAAATTTATCTAATGATAATACTTAATGTTGTGACTATCAAATAAAATAAAACACATAAAATGGTGTTTGGCATACAGTAAGCACCAAATTACTGTTAGCTCTCATATTTCTCTTTTAATATAAGCTAACTTTCTGTAAATATCTTTAATTTAATACCTAAATCCTGCCAGGTCACCAAACATTATTTATTATGTCTTTCAGAGAATAGCAGCAAAACCTTTCACATTTTTTTCCTTTATACCTTCTAAATATGTGCCCAAACTACCAAATATATGTGTATAATGTTTGGAAATTGATAAAATACATTCCTGATTTGAAAACCACATCAAGCTCAAGAGAAAAGCAGAATGTGTATAATTGTATACGTTCATCGATAAGGAAACGGAGACCTCCAAAAAATTAAGTGACTTAGCTAAGGTCACACAGTTAGTAAGTGATGGAATCAAGAGTCAAACCTACCTTTGTCTGATCCTGCTAACATATTCTATAATCTTCAACTGACAATGATCAATAAAGCTCCGAATAATGGCACCAAGTTTTGAAAACACCATTCATCAAAAGAAACATCAAAGGGCAATTCAATTTGATTCACTAGTGCAGACATGCTTTGACAATAATGTATATTCATATAATCTAAACAAGATTTTCAGTAAAAAGAACAGAAATAAATAACTTTCTAATAGTTTTTGGAAAAGTAACTAGAAAATTCCACCAATATGAACGCCTCCCTCCCTCATCATTTTGTTTACCCCAGGCTGTCCCCCACCAAGTTGCTTCCTGGATTGTGAAAAGAAGCTCTCAGGAAAAAACAGGGAAGTATAGAACTTGGTGCAGGGCAACAATCACAGAAGCACTTTAATCAGGAGACACATTAAACTTTTATCTTGAAAAGCTGAGAAAAAGCAGTGAGATGTGTGATTGGGGTAAACAAGCCTTGATTTTGTAGGGCCTTAAGAAGCCATTTGAGATACCTTCATGGAGGAAGTAAGAGGTAGGCAGTAATTGCTTTGGCATCCTTCAGAAAAAAAATCAATAATGAATATGAGTGAAGGGTCATGATAAAAATAACAGATCCACTCCGGGGGTAACAGAGAATGTGAAAATCAAACTAAAGAGAATTTGATCAATTGTAAAGTGGAGGATTGCTTCTTGTCACCTTGGCAGTGATGAGGGAAACGTGATGCATTTTTAAAATAATGAAGGCCAAAGCAACAGTAATATCATCGAATATCTGACTCCTGGATAGATTTATCTTTTAAGTACAACAAAGCCTCAATAAGGGAGCTACTCAGGGAATGGTAGGTTCAGGCTAATTAAATTGCTGTGCAAGTGAAGCTTTATCTGGAAGCTTCTTTAATCAATCTGGTCTAGTGAACATACTTGAATGTTTCTTTGCTAAGTGTGGCTGGTGCAAAATCTTAGAGTCATTCTAAATGTCATTGGTCAAAGCCCAAGTCCTGAGGAAATGTGGTCTTCAGCTCCAAGTATTTTCATCATGTACAAAAATTAATTTATCTTTTTCCTCATGTCCTGTCCTGCTAGTTCTCTTATCATCCTAGATACCTCCCTCTCCCTCAACTCCGAACTCTAAAAATTCACTGTGTCTTGTCCATTCAACTTCATAAATCTTTTTCACTATTTAAAATATACCTTCTCCTTTCAATTCCCACTATTACCTCCTCATTGCTTATCTGGTCTAATACAACTTACCACTAATTGCTTACTAATTGTTTTTGCCTCCTGTCTTAACTTCTCCAATCCAGCCTCCACCCTGCACCAGAGGTAGCTCTCTAAACTGCAAACACAGCCATAACCCTTTGCATCTGAAAATTCTTCAATGATTCTCTATTGCCTTCAACATTCAATCTAAATGTTTTAACCTGATATACAAGTTCCTTAATGATCTGGCTTCTGCCAACCAGTTCAGTTTTTCTGCCACATTCCATGTTTTACTGTGTGTTGCAGCCATACTCTGAACTATTTACAGTTCTTACTATATGCCTTCTTCCCTTATGTTTCTTCTTTTGCCTGGAGTGCAAAGTAGTTCTTTTACTTACAGTTATTTTCCCTTTTACTACCATTTCACTTGGCCTACTTCTAGTCGTCCTTTGAAATTAACATCATATGTCACCTCCTCAGGAACCCTTCCTTGTTATCTCCCTAATTGTCTATCCTATGAATTCTAAAACATCCTGTGCTTATGTGTACACATAATATTTAATTGAAATCATTCATGTATCCATTTATGTTTCTATTTGAATGCAATAACTATGTCCCTTGTCACTATACTCAGTACCTAGTGTTGAATAAATGAATGAATAAATAAGTCATTCAATAGATGCTTGATGTGGAATTGTTTCTGATTATCTACATTTTTCCCCTCAAAGTAAAGCATCACTTAAAAACCCCAATTAATTGAAGAATACAATTAATTGGACTCTAGTTTGATGTTTTAAGGAAATGTTCCATGAAAATATCTTTTTCTAGTGACATAAACACTCTCAAACATAGTACTGATCCTTTGCCTAAGCAGTAACTAGCATGACCACTAAATCAGTCCAAGGAAATATGCAAAAAATGTAATAACTGAAGTCCAGATATTTAAGAAGCATATCTAAGGAGAAAACTTCTTACTTCTTATAAGAAGTGACAGCTCTCTTATTGAGAGGTCTATTAATAAGAGTGTCGCCTCTCTTATTGAGAGGTGACAGCATGCTGGCAGCCCTGGCTCGCTCTTGGCGCCTCCTAGGCCTCCGTGCCCACTCTGGCCGCGCTTGAGGGGCCCTTCAGCCCGCCGCTGCACTGTGGGAGCCCCTTCCTGGGACGGCCGAGGCCGGAGCCGGCTCCCTCAGCCTGCGGGGAGGTGTGGAGGGAGAGGCGCGGGAGGGAACCGGGGCTTCCCGCGGCGCTTGCGGGCCAGCGAGAGTTCCGGGTGGGCGTGGGCTTGGCGGGCCCCGCACTCGGAGCGGCCGGCGGGCCCGCCAGCCCTGGACAGTGAGGGGCTTAGCACCCGGGGCCAGCAGCTGCGGAGGGTGCGCCCGGTCTCCCAGCGGTGCCGGCCCACCGCGCTACGCTCGATTTCTCGCCGGGCCTTAGCTGCCTCCTGCAGGGCAGGGCTCGGGACCTGCAGCCTGCCATGCCTGAGCCTCCCCTACCTATCCCCCCTCCCCTCCCCCTCCCGCGTGGGCTCCTGTGCGGCCTGAGCCTCCCTGACAAGCGCTGCCCCCTGCTCCAGGCGCTGGGCCCCACCTACCACCCAAGGGCTGAGGAGTGCGTGCGCACCGCACGGGACTGGCGGGCAGCTCCACCTGTGGCCGTGGTGCGGGATCCACTGGGTGAAGCCAGCTGGGCTCTTGAGTCTAGTGGGGACTTGGAGAACCTTTATGTCTAGCTAAGGGATTGTAAACACACCAATCAGCACCCTGTGTCTAGCTCGGGGTTTGTGCATGCACCAATTGGCACTCTGTATCTAGCTAATCTGGTGGGGACTTGGAGAATCTTTATGTCTAGCTCAGGGATTGTAAACGCACCAATCAGCACCCTATCAAAACGGACCAATCAGCTCTCTGTAAAACAGACCAATCGGCTCTCTGTAAAATGGACGAATCAGCAGGATGTGGGTGGGGCCAGATAAGAGACTAAAAGGCTGCCTGAGTAAGCAGTGGCAACTGCTTGCTCGGGTCCCATTACACACTGTGGAAGCTTTGTTCTTTCACTGTTTGCAATAAATCTTGCTGCTGCTCACTGTTTGGGTCCATACTGCCTTTATGAGCTGTGACATTCACTGCGAAGGTCTTCAGCTTCACTGCTGAAGCCGGTGAGACCAGGAACCCACCGGGAGGAATGAACAACTCTAGACGCGCCGCCTTAAGAGCTGTAACACTCACCGCAAAGGTCTGCAGCTTCACTCCTGAAGCCAGCAAGACCACGAACCCACCAGAAGGAAGAAACTCCGAACACATCCGAACATCAGAAGGAACAAACTCCTGACACGCCGCCTTTAAGAATTTTAACACTCACCGAGAGGGTACGCGGCTTCATTCTTGAAGTCAGTGAGACCAAGAACCCACCAATTCCGGACACAGTATCTCATCCTTTCCTCCAGCTCCAAGTCTGTCTGTCAATCTGGAGTTATAGCTCAGGAAGGCAAAGTCATGTCTAGTTTTGTGTGGCACTACAATCAAGCTTAGTTCACATCAGAGGATAAAAATAAAATCCTGAACTGGTGTAGCCAGAGGGGAATGTTTAATAGTGTTAAATAGGAAATGCTATAGCATGCAAGCTTCAGACATTACAACTTAGATTCAATCTGGAAGTTAATTTCTCCACCAGGATATGTGGTATTTAAAACACTGTTTCTACACAGTGTGGACAGAGGCTGCTAGGTAGAAAATACATTCACAAGAAAGAGAATTAGAAAGCTAAAGGGCCGAAGAAACATGGAAAATATTCCCAACGTAATAAGTAACGCACAGCAGATGTTTCCGAGAGAATCCATAATTCTTTAGGAATAAAACTGATAATATTCCAAACTGAAAATGATTTTTGAGCAAGTATTTAATCAGAGGGGCTGAAATAATGGGACCTAGTATAGAATACCCCTAGGGCAGAGCAGCACAGGGCAAGAACAGCTCAGGCCACTTTAACAAGGTTCAGAAGAACTTGGACAACTCAAATTAAACCCAAATTAAACCCAAATTAAAGAAATGTGGATCAGATAGGACCATAGAAATGTTCTTTTCCTCAAGTGGTTAAAGCTTTTAAAACACACGCGTGCACACACACACCACTTTCTGCAGGAAAATTAAATATTAGTATCAGAGCACTAAAAATTTGCAGTATGTGTATGCATATATGCTTAACAATTTAGAAAACTGTCATTCTATAGTGTTTCTTCAGTAATTCCAAGTTAATATTTTTGTTGTCTCCATGAAGTTATATGTTTAAAGAGACCCTGTGACATTTTTTATTGAAAGTGATCTGGGACAGATCAACGACACTTGATAATTAGTCAAAGTTCCGGTTCCCAGAGTAACAGACTAGTTATGTTACCAAAATGCCAGGTATTTGGTCTAGGTCCTGCTGGTCACACAGCCAGCCAATCGCTGAGACAAGTATTGCCAGAGAAGTCTTTAATTGGTTGCTGCAGCCTAGGAGATGAAAGATCAGTCTCAAATCCATCTCTCTGACCAACTGAAATTAGAAGTTTATATGGCAGGGAACAAATGTAACTACGTGTGGGAAAACAGGAACTTGGGAGGGGCAAGAGAGCAATCATGATGAATGAGGGGCCTGGAATCTCATTGTCTAGATGTGGTGGCCTGGTGAGTTTCAGTTTCTTGATACTTTTTGAGAGGCCTGGGGGTCCTTTCTTGAGGAAGGAACTCAGATAAAACAAATTTAAGTTTCAGCAGGGCGCAGTGGCTCATGCCTGTAATCCCAGCACTTTGGGAGGCCAAGGCAGGCGGATTGCGAGGCAGGCAGATCACGAGGTCAAGAGATCAAGATTATCCTGGCCAACATGGTGAAACCCCGTCTCCACTAAAAATACAAAAATTAGCTGGGCATGGTGGCACGTGCAGGAGAATCGCTGGGAGGTGGAGGTTGCAGTGAGCCAAGATCGTGTCACTGTACTCCAGCCTAGCGACAGAGTGAGACTCGGTCTCTAAAAAAAAAAAAAAAAAAAAAAGGAAGTTTCAAGCTTTAGGACCGGAAGGGTCAGTTTCTGTTTTTCCAAGAAAAAAACTCTATAGGAGTATTGGGTTGGTGGCAGTTACACAATATACCTGACACAAAAAGGCCTTAACAGGCCATGCACGGTGGCTCACGCATGTAATCCCAGCAATTTGGGAGGCTGAAGCAGGCAGATCACTTGAGGTCAGGAGTTTGATACCAGCCTGGCCAACATGGTGAAATCCCGTGTCTACTAAAAAAAAAAAAAAAAAAAATACAAAAATCAGCCAGGCATGGTGGTGGGCACCTGTAATCCCAGGTGCTGGGGAGGCTGAAGCAGGAGAATCGCTTGAACTCGGGAGGCGGAGGTTGCAGTGAGCCAAAATTGTGCCACTGCACTCCACCCTGGGTGACAGAGCGAGACTCCATCTCAATAAATAAATAAATAAATAAAAACAAAAAGGCCTTAATAATGGTTTTCCAAAACAGGGTATGCTACCCTTTTCACAAATGTGTTATTGACACTCAAGCCACACAAATAGATGGCAAGACAATTTTTATCTGAGAGGGAAACTAATCTTTTCTAATACTTGTACTAGATAAGGCTTCTCTTTATTGACTTGCACTACAATTGTTTTAGAGAGATTTGAGAAGTCTTTAGTATAAAGAAGGGAAGGAGAAAAAATGGTAAATGTCTTAGGACTGACTCTAGCTGATAAAAGAAATAAGTTGTCACACCTCTATGAGAGTAATACGGACTAAGATAAGATATTTATTTTTAGCTCTAAATCATTCAAGCGGCTCCAGGCCTTTATATAATACCATAATAATCATCGTATATAATCATGTTTTTCTTTCATACCCTATTAGCACCATCTAAGGGAAGGAAATAAGATTCATCAAAAGGTGTTATACAATCTGTACACAATTGTGAGTTCCTTCCAATATGTTGTGACAGATGAGGCACAACACATCTCAGCTTTATCCAACCTCATTTTCAGAAAAATCATTTTGAAATTAAACATGACAGGGGGAAAAGAAAAAACAAAAGGCAGATAATTACCAAGAAGCTCTTGGATTTCTGTGTTTACAGACAAATCAAAAGAAGTAGAAAGCAGAATTTCTCACTGACCGTGAAAGAGTATTTTGAACTCAAAAGTATTTAGAACATAAGATGGATGGTGGAGGGTGGAGGGTGGAGGGTGGGTGGGGGGGCGCTTACAGGAGGTCCTTTCATTTGTACTTTGTCTCAACGATTCTGATCTTCAGTGTATCACTGTTTCCCAGCTAGTGTATGTACACAATAAAAGGTATACCAAAGAGTTCCTATGTGGATCATGATGTCTTGAGTCCTCCATTCATCCAGAGATAATATTGGACATAATGGAGAAGAAAATACCTGGTACATATATGTCTACATGTGTTTATATGTTTTTAATGACTTCACCGTCTAAATACTGCATCCTTTTGTTTAAGCTTGTCTCAGTTTACAATAATCTCAGCATGGTTGTCCACTCTCTTCTAAAAATGTTCATGTCCCAACAGAGTATTGTATCATCTTCATTGTTCTTCCATTTCACTGACAATTCATCCTCTTCACTTAGTTTTCTCTCTATTCCCCCATTTCTGTTGTTGTCAATATCATTTGCCTAATCAGATCGGACACTTTTAAGACAGCTTTGACTCTTCCCTCTCATCTACTTTTCTTTTTTTTTTTTTTTTTTGAGACGGAGTCTCGCTCTGTCGCCCAGGTCGGACTGCGGACTGCAGTGGCGCAATCTCGGCTCACTGCAAGCTCCGCCTCCCGGGTTCACGCCATTCTCCTGCCTCAGCCTCCCGAGTAGCTGGGACTACAGGCGCCCGCCACTACGCCCGGCTAATTTTTTGTATTTTTAGTAGAGACGGGGTTTCACCGTTTTAGCCGGGATGGTCTCGATCTCCTGACCTCGTGATCCGCCCGCCTCGGCCTCCCAAAGTGCTGGGATTACAGGCGTGAGCCACCGCGCCCGGCCTTTTCCTAACTTTCAATCAAGTTCTTTACCATTTCACCATGCTTCTCTGGCACAAACCCCTAGTCAAGAACATCGTGTGTTACATCGACTATCTAACATGTCCTAGACTTCCATTTTCATTAAATTACTCTGCCTTTCAAAAACTTCGTTACCTCATTTCTCATTAAAACAGGCAATTCTGTTTAACTTTGAAGCCCTATTGCAAATCCTCTTTCTTTAAAAAGCAATTTCTGTGAACTTAGTTTCAATGCCTTGGCTCTACTTAGTGACTAATAGTGGGGAATTACACACTTATTGGCAAGGAAAATGAGAGTGAGATTTTGAGATTGACCCTAACTCTCATAGTAGTCTTTTCATTGTGCCTTCACATAAGCTTGGTCCTATTTCAGATTCACTTGCATTCGAATAAGCAGTCTTCAATGTAAGTTACTGCTTTCCAAGAACATAATCTAAATGTTCTGTAAGTTTATATTAAAAGAACTTTAACCAGTATCCAAAGGCTGAAAGAAAGTAGACTTGGGACCAACTATACTACTGGAAAGAATGGCAATGCCACATCCTTGAAAAATCTTCATTACCTACTGAGCTAAGAGAATAAGTCAATTATGACAAGAGATGAGAAATATATGAGGTAGCAACCTATGGGACATGCTAACAAGTAGTAAGGCTACTAATACTCTGAAACTCTTAGTTTTAACCTACTCAAGAAGCCTTTGAGGAGCGGTAGGAAGGAGAGTACAGTGACTACAAAAAAAAATGAAGAATTAAGGAAGTTGAGGATAAATGATGAGGCATAGGAATAAAGGGACAAGTAAGAAGGCTCTGAATGTAATGGCCTAAGTATTCCTACCAGCATCTCAAATATATAGGTGCATGTAAAGAACAGAAGCAGCAGCAGCTAATATATATGGAATACTTTGCATTTTAAAAAACATTTTTCTATCAAATATCTTATTTTATCACAACTAGTCTGTGAGGCAGTATTTGTTATTTCTTTATTAGGAATGAAACAAAAAAAACCCTGAGGTTCTAAGAAGGTAGCTTATCTAAGTACACAAAGCTGACATGTGGCCTGGGCTTAAAACTCATCTCGAACTTGTCTGTAGTAATTCTAAAAGCATGTGTATTTATTTGACCCATGACTGTCTTCCTACCAAACTTAAAATCCCACAAGAGATTTAAACCAGTATCCAAAGGCTGAAAGAAAATAGACTTAGAAGCAAGTATACTACTGAAATCATACCTGGCTTGTTTACCATGATATCTCTAGTGCTTAGTACACTGTTTACCCCAAAGAAAGTGGTTTAAAAATATTTGCTGAATAAATAAAAGAACAAGCACTGGTTGGTTGGCTTTTTCTTCACACAAGATAGAGCACGCATTGAAATTCTAATTTGAAAACTCCACCTAGGACTTCAGGTGACTTTATGTTAGCTATAGAAATATATTTGAAGATCCCTTAATATAGAGTTATCCATGGTCCTGACTTATTAAAATTTGAAATAAAATTAAATATAAAAAGATAATTCAATTTAAAAATCACATATCTTCTGACTCAAAACAAATATCATTTGGTTTGTAAAACTATACTGGCATGAGATTCAGAGTTATTTCCTGAACCTGCAATAAGTGATGTTGCTCAGGCGATTGTTCCCATAATTAATATTTTCTGTGAGCAAGTTCTATTTTCTTGGACTATGAGTATATTTTACTCTATATTATCTTCCACCACTATGATTTAGGTCCACTCTTTTGTATTATATAATACAATTGTTATTTCTTTTGTGATGATCATAGAAATTTATAACGTAATTAAGAATCATAATGAATATCCAGCCTTGAGAAATGCAAGTTATTTGATGACAAAGAAAATAAATTAATTTTTATTAAGCTAAAGATTGGAGGAGTCAGTTTTAAATTCACAAAGAAAATGCTTCATGTATTGTAAATGCAGGTGATTTAGGAAAGAAATGAAGACAGGGTTTAGATTTATTTTTTCTTTTACTTGCAGCTTTTTTTTTTGTTTTTTTGTTTTTTTGTTTTTGCAATTCTGGTGCTCAAGTCAGCCTGGCACTTAGTGTCACCAAGGAACTGGGCAGATTGGACCAATTCCTGGAATAGTAGTCTCACTCCACAGCCCTGTGGTGCTTGAAAGAGTGAGTTTTAAGAAAAAGGAATTAGAACTTCAGTGGAACTCATTACCCTGAAGGCCAAAATATAAATCAGTTACAAAAGGGCATAGATAAATTCATGAATGAAAGGTCTGTGGAGGGAAAAAGGAAACCAAAGAGGAAAGATTACAATCTTAGACCATAAATTGGGAAGGGAACCTCAGGAGAGTATCTGGTCCAGCTAAAATAAATCCCCACTTTGCTGATGAGGCAACTGAAACAAAAAATCACCGGCTTAAGCTGAACAGCCAGTCAAATGAAAGAGACTTATAAACAAGGATTCTTGCCTCATGGGGCAACATATGTTTCACCATCCTGCCATACTGTTTCCCACTCACTGTGCCCCAAACTGTGTCCTGGTGAGTCACCCAGTGGTTTCAACCTGGGGGAAATTTATTTTGCAATGAATCCTTCTTTGAATGTTATCTGTATTCATATACTATGGCAGTCTAAAAACAATAGAAGTGTTTTTCACAATCACCTTGTTTTAATTAATTCCATTTGACCTGCACTACAAATCTTGTTTCCTATGACAAATATCATTCCATCAAAAATGAAAGTGAATTTCTGCTATAATTAAAAAGCCTCCATATAATGCTTCAAAATTTCTGCATTCCAGGCTCTAAATTCAATCTGGACAATCATCTGGAGTTTGTTATAATGACATATAATGAGTGCTATGGTTTGAGTGTTTGCCCCTTCAAAAGTCATGTTGAAATTTAATCCCCAGTATGGCAGTATTTAGAGATGGGGACTTTAAGAGGTGAGGTCATGAGGCTCTGCCCTTATGAATGGATTAATCCACTCATGGATTAATGGATTAATGGGTTAATTAATTAATGGTTTAAAATGAAAGTGGGACTGGCAGCTTTACAGGAAGAGGAAGAGAGACCTAAACTAGCACTCTAAGCTTTGCCATGTGATGCCCTGCACCATATCTGGCTTCTGCAGGGAATCCCCACCAGCAAGAATGCTTTCAGCAGATGCAGCTTCTCAACTTTGGACTTCTCTGCCTCCATAACTGTAAGAAATAAATATTTATTCTTTATAAATTACCCAGTCTCTGGTATTCTGTTATAGGCAACAGAAAATGTACTAAGACAATTAACGTTTCAGTTTGAATTACCAAGGAAACAAAATGCACTAGCAGTGCCTATACACAGAGTATTTATTGTTCTTGGTAGGCATTCTGTATGAATGCACGTTGACATGTACAAAGTAGAAACAATTTTGAATCTCAAAAAATGTGTGGCGGAAATAGTCAAGGGTCATGGAGTTTGAGAATAATCTTTCCAACTTAACATAGTCTGTGATTTTGGATAAGTCATTTCACCTTTCTGAAGATCTGTTTCCTCATGTGAAAATAAAAAGGAAATGTAATCTTTAGTTCCTTTCCAGCGTGCATATGTGCTTTATAAACTGTGGGACACTATACAAATGTGAAGATGTACTGTTATTAAGACAATAACATCCAAAATTTTCTAAAGCAACTACTTGTAAAGAGGAGTTACCACAAAATATGTAGGGCTGGTCCTTGAGACATAATAATGAGTAAGTTAATCTTGCTTTTTGCAAACCCACTCTTAGACAACCAGTATTACTTGGCTATTTTCAACTGCTAAGAATTATCCCTGAGATCACCACCTTGGGCTGACTTTCTCAATTACTTGTCCCTAACACTTGGGATTTATCTCTCATTCATGAACCTTTCTATTTAGGCCCTCTTCTCTAGTACCTTTCTGCTTTCCAAAGGCTATGGAAAAGTATCTTACACAGATATCTGTTCTGAGTGGCCAACGACTAATAATAGATCCCCATCCCATTTGCATTAGTTTCTTCACTGCTCCAGGCCCCCTATATGGAGGATGTTTTGTGCCAAAGCAATGATTCAGATAAAAGGAGTTTCAAGACAATAAGGCAGACTTGTTGGAAGATATCTTGGAGCTAGAAATATTTTATGGCATCCCCTATCATAGCCCAAAGGTGTGCCTTGGGCAAAGATGATTCCTGTAAAGACCTCTGGCTTCCATACAATAGGCATCAAAGGATGTCAATTGTCTGTTGGTCATAGCAAGAGTCATTTTAAGGGTAAATATTGAGAATATGCCTAGGTATCACTTTTTTGTTTCTCTCATATATGAAACATTTTCCTTATAGTGGGTTACAGTAAAACTATATGTTTCAGTTGGTATTGCTCCATAACCCACTATCTCAAAACTTAACAGCATAAAACATATATTTTATTATATCTCATTAATTCTGTACATCAGGATTTCAGTTGACTGGATGATTCTTTATTCCATGCAGCACCAACTGAGGTAACTCAGTGGTATTCAGCCAGAGGATGAGGTTTTTTAGAGGAACAAAGATGACTTCACTCACATATCTCGCATTTGGGCAGAGTGTGGAGGGCATGCTTAGCTGGAACTGACAAGGCATCTCCAACATTGTGGCCTAAGGGTGGTGGAACGTCTTACATGCCAGCTGCCTTACTCTAGAGTGAATTTCCCAAGATAAGCATGAGGAAGCTGCATTGCCCCTTAAGATTTAGCCTCAGAGGTCATATAGAGTCACCTTAATCAGATGCAATTGGTTGAAGTCATAAGCCCACTGGACTCAACAGGAGACACAGACCTTGACTCTCCATGAGAGGAATATCAAAGAATCTGAAACCAGTTTTTTTTCTTTTTTTTTTTTTTTGAGACAGACTCTTGCTTTGTCACACAGGCTGGAGTGCAGTGGTGCCATCTCCACTCACTGCAAGCTCCGCCTCCCGGGTTCACGCTATTCTCCTGCCGCAGCCTCCGGAATAGCTGGGACTACAGGCACCCGCCACCATGCCCGGCTAATTTTTTGTATTTTTAGTAGAGACGGGGTTTCACCGTGTTAGCCAGGATGGTCTCGATCTCCTGGCCTCATGATCAACCCACCTTGGCCTCCCAAAGTGCTGGGATTACAGGCGTGAGCCACCGTGCCTGGCCAAATATCTAAGAATCTGAAACCATTTTGTAAAGCAACCACAGTGCAGTCAGTGGACAGAAACTATATTCCTTACATATGCCAAATACACTCAATCCATCTCAATACTGACCAAGAGTTTTATCTAATTGGGGCATCAGGCTCAGGATCTGAAATCTGAGCCTGTTATTGTCTTAATAAGGGGGCTTAATAACAATATTCTTTACTTTTCAGACAGGACTTTGTTATCTTTATCAGGTTCAAGTGAAGATAAGGCTCCATGGATACAATTCCTACGGTATGAGACCTTTCAATCGAAAAGTTTGTGATGTAAGAGACAAATTATCTTCCACTCAACATACAACTGTGGACAGACATAACAAAATAATAGGAACTCAAATTTAAAGAGGAAGGCAGGAAACACATAGCAGTCGGGGGTCCAGGACAATTTTGAAATTCAAAATTTCCAGACACTTTCTTTATTAGGACTCAGTTTTACTCCCTGGATCTTGGCTCCACTCCATGATCTCTTGATCATGTCCTCTGAGTCATCCTTCTCAGCCTATTTCCAGATCATAGAAGTTTGCCATTCCAGGGTGTATTAGTCTGTTTTCACACTGCTGTAAAGAAAGTACCTGAGACTGGTAATTCATAAACAAAAGAGGTTTAATTGACTCATAGTGCTGCATGGCTGGGGAGGCCTCAGGAAACTTACAATCATGGTGGAAGGGGAAGGGGAGCCAGCATATCACATGGCAAGAGTGGGAGCAAGGGGAGGGGGAGGTCCCAGACTCTTAAACAACCATATCTCACGTGAACTGAGTGAGATCTCACTTATCATCAAGGGAATGGTGCTAAGCCATTAATGAGGGATCCGCCACCATGATCTAATTACCTCACACCAGGCCCCACCTCCAATGTTGGAAATCACATTTCAACATGAGATTTGGAGGGGACGCACATCCAAACCACATCATCTTTCTTTAGTTCATCTCTATCCACCCTGTACAATATATAACTAAAAGAAACCATTGATGCCTTCAACATTCTTCATAGAAATCTATTTAGCCAGGCCCATCACTTCAGGTACGTTTTCTTTTTTTCTTATTGCTACAAGGTGACAATTATGTTAAACTTTCTGCCACTACATACAAAACATCTCCTTTCCTCTAGCTTCCAATAACATTTTCCTTGCTCTTCTTTAAGCACTCACTAATAGATTCAAGGAGAGGGAAGCTAGATTCAACCTCTCAAGGTGAAGCCATGCTTTACCATCCTATATAATCCATTTCACTATTTTCAGATTTGTAAAAATGGTGATAATAATAACAGCTACCTTGTATAGAAAAACTTCTATGTTTTAGACATAATCTAGGTGCTTTACATTTATTATCTCATTTACCCTACACAATTACCCTACTTTGTGGAAAGTATTGCTATCCCCATTTCACATTAAGGACAAAGAGGATGAATAATTTCTCCGAAAGTCCACAGTTTACAGGTGACAGTGTCAAGTAATGAGATATACCTAGCTATACTGAGATCAAACTCTACAGCTTATACTTTACTTCATGTAATTTCATGCTGAGAAGAGATCATTTATACTCAATGTACTTGCAAATTAAATCAAAATGTAAATGCATCAGGGGAGAAAATTTAATAACTTTTCCTCATAACCAAAGAAATATTATTTTATTGTAACAAATGAGAAAATAAAGACAAAAAGAAAATAAATACTACATAGTGATTGGAAAGAAATATAAGAAATTTATTATTTTGTATGCTTCAGGATAAGAGAGGTGGAAGAAAAATAGTGATACTGATATTATCAGCAATGTTTTATTTCTGTTATTTACGAAAAGGATTTGAAATAAAGTAAAATAATGTTAATAATTGTAAGTTTTAGGGGCTTATACAAAGATAGATGGTATAGTTTTTAACTTCTTAAAAATTTGGAAAAATTAAATTTTCCAGTAGTTTCAATGCCCAAAGAAAATAACTTCAAATATTTTGGCATATATCGATCCAGTCACTAGACACACACACACACACACACACACACACACACATACGTTCACACTATACGATGCTTGTAGCCTATATTTTCGCTTAACCCTACGTTTGAATATCTTTCCCATTTTAACATTATTTTTAATGGTTTCATATTACTTTACATGAGGCCCCTATTATTGGATATTTATAATTTTTGAGATTTTTCAGTTATAAACAATGCTTAAATGAATATTCTTTCAACTGAATTTTGTCCACATAGCCATGATTATTTCATTAGCATAAATTCCTCAAAGTAGAATCCAACAGGCAAAGCATATGTACATTGTCAAGGCTTTTATATCATATTAAAGCAAACTATAATGTAAAATTATAGTGTATGTATACATATATACACACAGACACGCACACACATATATGAAGAAAGAAAGAGAGAGAGAAGTAAATCCCTCTTTAAAGTTTCCTGTTTTATCTTTTGAGGACTCAAAATATTCACATATCACATTGCTTGAAGTTAGGTACCTGCAGTGCTGGCCTCTGACTCTCATGAAGAGCTTCCCCAGGTGAAAGGCAAGCCCTGAAGAAAAGAGGCCTTAAGTAAAATAAAACCTCAAAGCTATAGAGCTATGTGTCCAGATCTACTGGCCTGTCCTAAAATAATTGGCTCATTAACTAGCCATCCTGGTTTAGTACCAATATCAAAGACTAATAGGAGAATAGGCTGTAGGCTTGCATACTCTCTGGACATACCAATTATTCTTTGGATACAATGCTGTGGGTACAGTGTACTTTGATAGCAGAAAAACGTTAAGTGGGCTTTGGGCCTGAAGCTGTGATCTAGGCATACACAGAAAGTGAGAAGGGAGACAGGATATGATAAAGGGCAGTGGCACTGAGCAGAACAGCATGGAAAAGGGAGCACAGCAAGAGCTTATTAAGGACAGAACAAAGATTTGGCTCTTCTCTTTATATCTGTGTAATTTTGGAGTTCATTCGAATGGGTTTTGCAGGAGGATCATTGGTGATATGAATAGACACAATTTCTATGCTTACGGAGATTACTGCCATCATGAAAACCACCTCTGTCAGTATGCATGGTTTTCTACCCCCACATCTCCCACCACCACTTTCCCCCTGCCACACTGCCCTCCGAAGGCAGAACCAGAAAAATGTTGACAAGGAAGCTATTCCAAAGCAATGAGTTTGCTGGGTGGCATAGCTAAAGAAATCTTTCATCAGCCATAGAGTCTGTACTCTGAGGCACATGTAAGGGAGCAGACAGAATCAGATTAAGAGAAAGGCCAGCTGAGCAATTGCTCTGGTACTCACTTATAAGAGATACTCAAATACAAATAGAATAAAATGACAAAATATAAATTGTTCTTACCTCTAACAAGGTAGAAAACAAAGTAAACCAAAACCTTTACCTCTCCTTTTCTTCAGATCTATCTCTGTTGAGTGAATATGTCTACTGGGTCATACAGTTAGTAACCAGTTCAGTTAAAGGAGGTATATTGTTCTTCAAATTCCTATTCCAGTGCTCTTTTCACTGCACTGTATGGGTTCTCTAAAACAATGTATATTCGTAACCAAGTTATCTTTCAAGCTACTACATGGAGAATGGATAAAAAAGTTGTTTTTGTGTTTGTTTTGTTTTAGAAGTCAGCATTGATATTTTAACATGCATACTTGACTTAAAATAAAATGAATCATTATCTTTATGTTATCCCTAAGAACAATACAAGGAACCTTAGTTTGCTTTCATTATAGTCAGACCCTTCCCATTTTACAAGTAATTTGTACACTTTTAGTTATATCTTGTTTCATCCTTTTTGGGGAAAGACATAATCTTTGGTGTTAGGCCTGAGTTCAAATTCTAGTTAAATAAAATGTGGTTCATCCATACAATAGAATACTGTGTATTCATAACAAATTATAATGTAGATACTTCCTAAAACTGTATGAATTGATATGGAAAAGCATATATAATATATTGTGGGGAAATGATAACAGAGAGGTGTATATAGTATGCTATTATTTATATTTTTAAATATATATGAGTATCATCTAGGGATAGAGAAAAAAGGCTGAATGAACAGATACCAAAATATGAACAGTGTTCAGTTCTGAACAACGAGAGTAGGGGTGGTCTTAATTACTTTTTATTTTATATGTCTATTTCATATATTTTTCTGTGTGTGATGATCATAATTTACTTATATAGTTTTAACTCTAAAATTGTTAAAAATTACAAATACTGTTCTTATTATAAAAGAAATCTGTCGGCCGGGCATGGTGGCTCATGCCTGTAATCCCAGCACTTTGGGAGGACGAGGCGGGCAGATCACAAGGTCAGGAGATCGAGACCATCCTGGCTAACACGGTGAAACCCCATCTCTACTAAAAATACAAAAAATTAGCCGGACGTGGTGGTGTGTGTCTGTAGTCCCAGCTACCTGGGAGGCTGAGGCAGGAGAATGGCATGAACCTGGGAGGCGGAGCTTGTAGTGAGCTGAGATCATGCCACTGCACTCCAGCCTGGGCGACAGAGCAAGACCCCATCTCAAAAAAAGAAAAAACAAAAAAAAACAAAAACAAGACATCTGTCTTCTACTCAGAGGACTCCTGTCAGAAGTTATTACCCTGAAGTTTCCCATCTGAAGCCTGGATGGGATTATTAGGCCCAGTATTCATGACTGAAAGTAGTTGCTTTCAAGATAATTAACATATTCCTCAGTTCACAATCTAATAGATCAATCATCTGTTGAATGAGTAATCACTCATCAAGATATTAATATTGACATTCTCTTTTATTTTCTTACTCTCCATCTTAGGTTGCCTACTATATTTTCTAAATTATTGCTAGGATATAAACTCAGTTATACCTATCATATTTTAGATCATTTCTATCCATGTTTTCTGTATCACTCCCCTTCTCCCATTTTGACCTACATGCCTACCTCTAACACTTTGAACATCATCATTTTATTATCTCCCCACCATTCTATCTATTTTGAGTAGAAAAAAATTATTTCTTTCCAGGTGTGGGTGTGATTTTACCTAGTAGGCTTTGTCTGGCCTCCGTCCTCCTAGACACAGAATGGGAGCCTTGATCACTGAAATCTTATTATGTTGGTGACTCCAGAGGCATTGCACATTCTATAGCTACTTAGACATTCCCATTCCCACCTCCCATTATGTACTTGCTAGGTGATAGATTTCCCAACATGTCCCAAGTGGCTCCAGTGTCTCTGAGCAGAACAATGACATTTTCCAGTAGATGTTATGCTCCTCGTTATATAAGCAGTCCCCATAGAAGATTGTTGGTCTCACTCTGAACTCCAGCCAGAGCATACTTCTACATTAATAAAGAGAATAAGGCATTTCTCTGTTGTTCATCTCTCTCTGTTTATGTTTTCCTCAATCTGTCTCTCTTAATTTGACTGTCTTTTTTTGTGGGGAGGGGGTTGTACAAGTGTGCTTCTTTTCTCTTTGTTTCTGTCTTTCCCTCAAGCACATTTTCTTTTTTAAAAATATTCTGTATCCTTTATTTAGACTGTAATTCAAAAAATGCAGGAGTATTGCTGGGAGTTAAGTATCTGAGAAATTGAGCTCCAATAGTGTTCAGAGACTGACTGATTCAATTTCTTC
Source organism: Homo sapiens (assembly GCF_000001405.40). Taxonomy (NCBI): domain Eukaryota; kingdom Metazoa; phylum Chordata; class Mammalia; order Primates; family Hominidae; genus Homo; species Homo sapiens. The sequence continues at coordinate 128,622,209 of NC_000023.11, forward strand.
ACCTTGCTGTTCACTCTCCCATCTGTTTCTTTTGCCTAGAACCTTGTTTGTGTCATGGGATTCTTGGGGTGTTGCTTCACCAGCTGCAAACCTCTGTGGCCAGTGGCACCTTTACCTGAGTTTTGCTTGGGCCCTCTGGGCTCACTCCACCCACTTGACCTGGCAGGCTGCACTCAGCCACACTACTGGCCTGGATCCCATGCCTGCCAAGGGTGAGCCAGGTGCAGAGCAGAGAGGGTTGTGTGAGTGAGTATGAGGAACAGCCACCACACACAGCCAGGAATGCCTTCTGCGGCAGGGTGGGCAGATCCAGGCACTGGCAGTGGGCCAGCTCCCTGCAAGGCTGCAGCTGGACCAGGCATACTGCAAGCAGCTTCTACAGCTGGCACCAGGAAACACAGTGGTCCTCGGAAGCTTGGAGATGCCATGAAACACAGAGATCCAAAGAGGATGTCACAGTTCTGGCTCAGGATGCTCCTAGGTCTGGCCCTCCACCAAAAGGCTGCAGCTCTTCTCCCCTTCTTTCTTCTCTCCTTCTTGTTGCCCACAATGTGATGAGCAAAGGATGTGTTTCAGCCCTGCTTGTGTTACAACTCTTTTAGCCCCAGAATTCGGTGGGACCCGAGTTCTTGTCCTGCGTCCAGAACGAATGAGGTACGTGGACAAGTGGAGAGTAAGCAAGATGAGAAGGAGCTTTATTGAGCAACAGAACAGCTCAGAGGAGGCCCACATTGGGTAGCTCCTCTCCGCAGGCAGGGTGTTCTGACAAGTGTTCAGCTCTCAGCAGAAAGAAGACCCTGGAGTAGGTAGCTCCTCTCCACAGCTGGCCATCCCATTGTCTGTTCAGCTCTCAGCAGAGAGGAGACCCTGGAGTGGATAGCTCCTCTCTGCAGCTGGCCACCCAGTGGTCTGCTTGAGTCTGGCTGAGTCTGGAGTTTCTATGGGTCTCAGAGTGGAGGAAGTGCGTGTTAATTGATCCATATGTGGGCCTAGGAAGGCCTGGAAAAAACACCAAAAGTTCACACTCCAGTCCAGGGAACTGGCAACCCATCCCTCAGGATTTAGGCCCTCCCTGGCTTAAAGGTGGGGCTTCACCAGGTCCCACCCCCTTCCGCCAAGAAGCCTGTCTGCCTCCTGCCATCATTCATGGCACCCAGGCTGTTTATGCCAAAAGGCACCTGCAGGCCAGTGCTGAACTGCCCTCAACCTCCACTCAGCCTCCCTCCCATGCTCCTCCATGCCCGAAGTCTGGAGGACACCAAGGCAGCAAGGGCCTGGTGTGTCAGCACTGCCCTGAGTTTACACACAGCTGGCCAGGCTGCAACAGCATGGCTTGGCCCCAACCTGGCTCTGAAATTGGAGTGGGCACCAGGAGCTGGGAGTGGCCAGGCAGCAGGAGCAGACACCTCTGAGCCTGCAGAGGCAGGGTGGGCCTTCCCAGGCCCCCAAGAGTGCAGAGATGCCCAGGTCTGTAGCCATGGCTTGGGTGGCTGCAGCTGTGCCTGGGAGGACAGGGCTCCTGCCTGCTCCCAGCCCCCAAAACATAGGGAGTCCTGGGTCCACAGCCACAACTTGGGTGGCTGCAGCTGTGCCTAGGAGGGCAGGGCTCCTGCCTGCTCCTGGCTCCTGCTGGCTCCATGGAGCACACAGCCCTGGCCACAACTCCCCCACTGCAGCTGGTATCATGGCAGTGGCTGCTCCATATGGCTGTCACTGACATCAATTACACATAGTGGGCAAGCTAATCTCCTGATGGATATTGCCCAAGGAACATACGTCTTTAGCTATTTTACAACTGTGGCCTCCAGAACCCTGATATAAGTTATAAGCCAGCCTAAACTCAGCACATGGTATGTCAACATCAGCAACTCTCTATAACATCCAAATAGACACTCGTCAACATAAACAGACATTATCTTCCTTCCAGATAAAAGATCTTACCTTCTAAAAGGTCAGAAAAGCCCATCTCTAAAAGCAGAAACCTAATAGTGCCCTTTAAAGAGCTCCTCTTAACAAACGCCCCACATCTGTTTGCTCCAATGAAGGAATAAGTGGTTGAAGAAATAATCATTTAGAAAGATGTAGGCACTGGCCCCAGATTTTGAAGCAGTGTAGTAAAGAGAATGATTTTACATAGAAAACGCAACAGAAAATAAAACAACATTTATATACAGGCTAGCAATTGCTTTTGTTTTTCTTTTTTCTTTTCTTTTCTTTTTTCTTTTTTTTTTTTTTTTTTGGGACAGATTGTCACTCTGTCACCCAGGCTGGAGTGCAGTGGCATGATCTCAGCTCACTGCAACCCCCACCTCCAGGGTTCAAGCAATTATTCTGCCTCAGCCTCCAGAGTAGCTGGTATTACAGGTGCATGCCACCACGCACAGCTAATTTTTGTATTTTTAGTAGGGATAGGGTTTCACCATGTTGGCCAGTCTGGTCTCTGGTCTCAAACTCCTGGCCTCAAATGATCCACCCACCTCAGCTTCCCAAAGCATTGGGACTACAGGCATTAGCCACTGCACCCAGGCAGAAATTGCTTTTAAGTAGTTATAATTACAAGCACATAGCCCTTTTTAAAAATAAAATTACTGACAATAACAATCATCATAAAAATGGCATTTACCTCACCAGGTATACGCAAGGAGCACATAAGAATTTATATTATTGTGCATTACATTTGGCAAAGTATAATACAAATATGAAGCCTTGTAATATAAACCAAAGGATACACATGGCTGACTGACTACTATGTACCAGGCAGTATATTAGATGCTTTACATGCACCATCTAATTTAGTCACCACAGTCAATTTAAGAGGTGGCTAGAGTTATCACCTGTTTTAGAGATAAGGACACAGGCTCAGAGATGTTAAGCACCTCACTCAATGTCACACATCTAATAAGTAACGAGTTGTCTGGCATATGGATTTAAAGACAAAAATATTAATTGCATCTCTATCATGACCAGGTAGAAAGCAAAATGTGAATGAGGTAGAGAATGATGCTCAAATGTCTTTATTGCTTCTTTTTCTGTTTCTTCCAGAAATTAGCCCTCACTTCCTAATATCCTAAGCCCTTTCCCCTTTTAGCATCTACTTGCACAGACTATACCACCACAAATACAAAACAACCCAGCCAATTCCTGACCTCTCTCAGCACCCGCAAACCACTAACCTTGCTTTCACATAGCCATTTGCAGATTGCTTAACAAATAGCAAATCTTGCATTGATTATTTGGCATTCAACTATGAGCCTGGTGAGTCTAAGGAGAATAACTTGTTTTTAGTGAAATAAGCCTCATTTTGCAAAGAACTGGTCATTTTGCTGTAGCCAAGGTTATTTTTGCAGTAACCTTGACTCCTACGGGGGAAAAAAAAACATAAAATATAACTCATTAATTCCTGCTCTAAGATCTTGAGAAGTCTATTTCTTTTCCTTATCCAAAATATAAACTATTTTCTCTTTTAGTTCAAGCCTTTTACCTCTTTCAAAAATCCATCAAAATGCATTGTTTTAAAGAAGCATTCCATATTAACCCATACCCATTCTGACCAGAATTCTTCCTCTCCTTTAAGGATCCAGATTTTATAAAGTTATTTTGCCTTCACTACATTTAGTTTTCAGGCTGGTCTCAAGTTGTTTTATTTCTGTATGTTGAATGTACTTAACCAGATGGTACACTGGCCCCTACTTAGATAAAGATCGCATACAGTAAAAATGGCATGGAACTTGATGTCTACATAAGAATCTGAAGTTCAATGTGCTGCTAACAAAACATAGGAACTTTTGCATCTTAATTTGCCCATGTCTTAAATAACTAAATGTGTTCTCTAAAATATTCCAGGCTTTTTTCAATTTAAGAATTCTATTATTTTAGGATTTCTAACTCCTCTAACCTGATATACTGCCACTAGGGCATCCAAGCTACTCTTCCTTTAATTCACGCTCTAGATTTTGATGAGATATTCAGATCGTCTTCCATTAACTATGACTGATAAAACGTTTTCTTCTGAAAATAGAAAAAAGTAAGTATCATTACTGAAAATATTGAGGTCTAAGATGTTAAGTATCTAATAGTTCTAAGTACTATGACATGCTTTCAGGCAACATCCAGAAAATAGCTTAAACACCATTCATTCAATAAGCATTTACTGAGTACCTACATGGCCAAGCTCTGATCTACTGTATCACTGGACAAAACAAAGTACCTGACCTCAAAGAACTTATATTCTAATGAGGAAGGATGGAGGCAGCTATATTCAAATAAATTAAATCACTTGTTTTAGCTGATGATATTCAATGCTACATAGAAAAAATTCACAGGGGCAGGAGAGTGGGATGCTGATTTGGAGGGGGTGCAGTTTTAAAAATAAGGTCAGGAAAGGCTTCACTGAAAAAATGAGATTTGAGCAAAGACCTGAAGGAGATGAGAGAGTGAACCATGTGGATATCGGGAGGAAGAGTTTCCAGGCTGAGAAAACAGCATATGCAAAGGCCCTGACAAGTGTGCCTGATGTATTTGCGAAAAAGCAAGAATACCAATATAACTGGAGTGGAAAGATTAAGAGAGACACTAAGGAGGGGAGGTAAAAGAGGTTATGGGGGCTTGATCATGAAGATCATTTTAGGCCATGTAAGGACTTCAGGGTTTACTCTGAAATGAAAGTCATTAGTGTGTGTTCAACACTGGAAAGTCATGATCCAACCAAGGTTTGACAAGCAGACTCTCTGGTTGTTGTTTTAAGAACAGTTGGAGCAGGAGAAAAGGTGAATGTAGGAATTATTTGAAGGCTATTTCAATAATCAAGAAAAGGGACAATAGTCATTTGCACCAGTATAGTAGAAGTGGAACTAAAGAGAAGTAGGTAAATTCTGGATATATTTTAAAGATAGAGCCAACAGGTTTTCTAAATGGGTTGGAATGTGAATTAGGGACCTCATATTCATTAATGTATCCGTAAAACACAGCAGGAGAGTAGTATTGGAATTATAGCTAGAATTATAGTAATACTAGAATAAGAATTATAGCTAACACATAGCACTTACTGCCAGCCAGGCATCATTCTAAGTGATTAAACTCATTTAATCCTTATAATAACTCTATGAGGTAGGTACTGTTTTTATACCAATTTATGGATAAGTAAACTGAAGCACAAAGAAGTAATCCACCTAAGGTGATACAGCTAATATATGGTAGAGCTGGAATTTAAATCCAAGTGGTCTGACTTCAGAATCCATGTTGTTAAACTCTATGATATGTTTATTATTGTTCACACTTCACTACTTATACAGGCACACATGAGGATGGAAATAATTTACTATTGCCCACTATTTTATTAAAATATTTTCAATTGGAAGCTCAACTTTTTATTGCCATTGTCATGAGTTTCATTGACCTCTTACTAATGCATTTTTCAGGGTGCAAGATCAAGTGTTATCAGTACAACCAGCCAGGGCAAGCCTAATGGCATGTTGAATAAATAATGCCCTTTGGAAACATCAGAATTGTTCCAATGTATATTTAGAGAAAGCAATGAAACACAACTAACTATTCTGGAAGAAACATTACTACTTCATGTAGGAGACTTACCTCACATCCTATAGGAAATCTCTAAGGATTCTTTAAATGTATCAACCCTCTAGACAACTTGCTGTGGGTAACTTACTGCACCCATTCTACAACTAGTAAGCTGAATTTTCTAGAGTTAACTGGCTTGTCCATAGCTAGGAATTAAATAGAGGAGACCCATCTCCCAAAGAAATCTTGAATGAATATCTAAGAAACCACGTGGCCGGGTGCGGTGGCTCACACCTGTAATCCCAGCACTTTGGGAGACCAAAGCAGGCAGATCACAAGGTCAGGAGATCGAGACCATCCTGGCTAATACAGTGAAACCCCGTCTCTACTAAAAAATTAGCTGGGCGTGGTGGCGGGTGCCTGTAATCCCAGCTACTCAGGAGGCTGAGGCAGGGGAATTGCTTGAACCCGGGAGGTGGAGGTTGCAGTGAGCTGAGATTGAGCCACTGTGCCACTGCACTCCAGCCTGGGTGACAGAGTGAGACTCTGACTCTAAATAAATAAATAAATAAATAAATAAATAAATAACCACATGTACAAAAACAAAAGAAGGTATGACTTATCACCCTGTATGACACTCCTCCCATTAAGCTCAATATGAGTCAGCATTGATCATGGGCTACCAAGAAAAGCTAATGCAATCTAAAATATGGTATTAAATGTATGGTATTTAAGGAAGATAATAAAGCTGGTTCATTATCCTCTGGTCAAACTATACTTGAGGTATTGTATTGACTTCTGGCCACCACTCCTTTATAAGGATGTGCACCAACTGGGAAAGTGTTCGGAAGAGGGGGATCAGGACAGAAGCAATTGAGATCTTGCCAGATAATCATAATGGTAATAATTACTACTTATTAAGCACTTATCATGTAATATGCTTAATGCTTTACATGTATAAGCTCACTTAGTACTCACAAAAAGAGCATGGCTACTCTCTGAGGCTCAGAGGTATTCAGTAACATGTCTAAGTTCAAACAGTAAATAAGAGGTGGTGCCAAAATTTGGACCAATGTCTTGACGATTCTACTGTACTATGTTGGACTTTTAAGAGAGAAAAGATCATTTATCACATGCCAACACTTTACACAGATTATCTCGTTGAATCCTCATAACAGCTGTATAAGGTATCATTTTTACAATCTATATTTCACAGGTAAGAAAACAGAAACTTGCAGTGGTTTGGAACCTAACCAAGGACACACAGCTAGCAAGTGGCATAAACAAAATATGACATAAAGAATGGCTGGAGACACTAGAGATGTTTATCCAGAAGAAGGAAATTCTAGAATATTATTTGAAGATGTAAGTTTGAAGGAAACAAGTTCGAACTATTTGTACCTTCCGACGTTGAAATTATAAGATCAACCTATTATGCTCTGTACATTATTCATTTCCTTTACCACATATGCATACATGTATTGATTTAACAAATTATGTTGCACTACTGCATGCAATAAACTGTGCCATGTACTGAACATGTGGGTGTAAACAAAACAGATAAGGTACCTGCCCTTAGGAAACTTAGATTATTATTCTGCCTTCTCTTACTTCACCTTCTGCCATCCTATATTTTTCACCCCCTTCAAAACTCAAACTCACCTCAAAAGTCACTTTTCCCTACCCCAGGAATCTTCAGTGATAGATTCACTGCTCTTCCGCCCCTGCCCCCTATAACCCCACCCTCACACCACACACACACACACACACACACACACACACACACACACACACACACAATGCTTGCATTCCTTTATCTTTCTTGTATTCTATTACTTTGCTCTTATTGTTATTGGTAATGATATATTTCCCCTCATTCATTCCTTTGCTCAATTGTTCACTAATTATCAAGCACCTAGTATGTGCCAGGTGGTGTCCTGAGGACTAAAGATGCGATGGTGGTCAAGAATGACATTACAGTATTATTTTGCCTTCTCAGATTTATTGTAAACTTACTTTTATCTTTTTGACCTACCTTCCCCACTCCTTATCTAGCTAGCTGCTTCTGATGCTTTTGTGTGGAACACCTTAGGGCCTCTCAAAGCTCAGTTTGAAACCTACTGAAGATGGTAAATCTTTCATCTAGTACAGGAATCACATGTACTATATCCTGGAAAGTTGGCCATCCTGGTTTTTAACTAGGATATGTACAGTAAAGGTGAACTTACTGATTCTTACAATCATCTGTTGTAATGTCATACAGTCATTTTTTTTAGATTAAATTGAACTCTATTTCATTCTGGTTTTCATTCATTAGTTCTAGTTCTGTCCAACTCAGATATAAAAGTAAGTTACATCTTTCTATCAGCATCCTTTTAAATATTTGAAGACATCTATTATATCTTCCTTTTGTCTCCTTTTCTTGAGGTTAAATATTCACATTCCCTCAATTAAAATGTTTTTTTTTAAAAAAAAAAAACTGTTAAATGTCCTTATTAGCCCTCTCTAGACACTTTCAACTTTAGCAATATCTCTCAACATATAGTTTATTTTGTTGTATTTGTCCATTTAAAGAAAAGAGAATATCTACCGAAGTAATTCTTTCCCTCAGGACTTTGTGACCCATATCCTGATGGGAAGAAATATACACTTAAACATTCTATGTCTTTCAACTTAGCGCTGATTATAAATTTGAAATGTTTGCCAAGAAGTCTTCCGAGGGTTGTGAGGTAAGAGCTAGAGGCCAGGGGAGCAAATAGTTTTATAGTATGAACCTAAAATGGGATTCTGACATTCACTTTGTCATGCCTGGGGAACTGGTGGAGTAGACCTACTTACTTGAGGGTCTGAGAAACCGTCTAGGAGATAATTTTTCCTAAGCTAAGGAGTAACCAGACACAACAAACTTAAATTGAAAACAAAGAATGGATGAATCTAAGTACAAAGGATTTGTGTCCTTCCCCAGTCCATATTGAATTCACATTTGAGGCTTACAGAGAACATGTAAAAACTAAAATGTTTTGGTAAGATCGCTGTAAGATCCTGGGCATAAGCATCAATATGTGGATATACCTCTAATACAGGGGAATATACCTCTAATACAGGGGAATACAAAGGGGACAGGAAGAATCTGTTCCTACTTGCCAATGAAAAGCAGTGTAGATTTGACATTTTGAGGGCTCTGGTTTATCAGTTTTTGCAGAAGACAGTGGTGCCTGGCAGATAAGGCCATACCTGGTAGATGTCCAGTGGAAGAGATGGTACTTGATGGGCAAGAGGATACATACTGCATATTTATTGATAATGGGTGGCAAGTAGTAATTAGCAATGGCAAACTAATTCAAGAATAAACATTAAAAACCCCTGAGAACTCCCAACAATAACTTAGATGTGACTTTGGAGGGGATATGTAGATCCTAGGTCAGCAATTAGGGAAGAATTAGTTAAATGTGTTGCTATTTTTAATGTGACTCAAATTGTACCCATAAGCTATGGTTCTAAGTCAAAATGTCCCTAGAGAACAGTGCTTCCTAATGAAGGTATATTAGTATCATCCATCCCGTACCTTTTTTTTCATAACACCAAGCCCAAGGACCACCCCCAAGTGTTCTTATTTAATAGGACCAAGATAGGGCCTAGCAATCTGTATTCTGAAAATGCTTCTTCTGCGGTTGCATTACATAGCTCAAAAAACCAGTGTTATAGACCAGATGTCATCAACCTTTTTCTGTAAAGGGCCAGATAGTAAATATTTTTGGCTCTGTGAGCCACAATCTCCATTCCAACCACTCAATTACGCTCTTATAGTGTGAAAGCAGCTATAGATGGTAAATATAAACAAATGAGCACACTGTGTTCAATATAACTGTACCAAACAAGGCAACCAGACCATGTGCCATAGATAGTGTGCTTACTTCTGATATAGATGATCAATGATTAAGTTAATGGCAGATCCCCTATGTCAAGTTGGCCCATACTACTTAGATACAATAGACAACGAGAAGCTATTTATCCTAAGTGTTAAGCAGAGAGAAGTGACACCCTGAGATAGTCTGAATGGATATTATTGCTATTCATTCCTGCTCATTAGTCAGAAGGAAAAGATACAAATATTCCCAGAAGTTTAAATCTGAGCTTCCTTACCACATTCCAAACTTGAAACTTGAGGAAGATAGCCTAGGGACCAATAAACTGGAGTTAGAATAGACAGTTTTCCAATCTAGGAGGCAGGTGGATAATGCAAACTGGTTCAAGAAGAGTTTCAGTAATTCAGAGCGTCAGCTCTCAGATGGGTTATAAAGGGAAACAGGTTGTTTAGGAGGTCCTTAAACCTTGTGGATGATGTCAGGAAGGACAAGCAGGTCTACCTGCAAAATATCCTTTGGTTTTGGGTCCCAGTTTTTGTAATTTTAGACTGGTTGAAACCCAAGTGAGAATTTTTATGTTCTTATACAAGAATACTGATTGGATTGAAAAGCTTCACTGCTCATAGTCTGGCTAAATTTTCAGTTCTGGAACAATGTGAAAATCTTCTGAGGCCCATTTCAGCTTTAAAATTCAATGGTTCCATTATTCATTCTCTTTTCACATTCATTTTAAGGGATTTCTTATATCAATAGTAAGCCATCAGGCTGAAACACAATCAGGAAGCACAACTGAGAAAATGGCTCTCTGCACACTCCTCTTTCTTAGGAAGGAAGTGCCAGGCAGTTGGCTAAGCCTTCACAGGGCTACTCTGTTGCTTTTTCCCTTCCATCTAAAGCACTTGAGGAATGTAAGGGATTATATAAAGTCAGGATCCAAAATCATTATTAAATCAATAACTAAAGTCCATATCAGAGGCAACTTGGTCAGGAGCTACTCAACTCCAGGGAAGACACCTTCCTTTGGACATCAAAATTTGTCCTCTTCCTAATTGAATTAATCACAAATGCATCATTTTTTACTATAGCCTACCCATTTAGGCTGTGTAAATAACTGTCATTGGAGGGGGAAGGGTTACAGGAAGCACTTTAATGGCTTTCTTAAAAAGGAAACTTTGTTTGAGGAGTAATTGTGGCATTTTTTCGCTTCCCAGCTATTACTTTTCTGCATTTAAATCTTAATGTCTCATCTGGATGAGCACCTTATCACTAGCCAACAGGGAAATGTGATGTTTGTATTTGTATTTGCATTTATATGGCATTTTCATACAGTGTATCTCACACTGCTGACAGAGCAATGAATCGTAGGCCTATAGCACCCTCTCTACATGCATCATGGGAACAGCCATCTTCCACATGCTCTACAGCAGCAAACTAATTAATCTTTCTTAATTTTTATTTATAAGGAAGATGCTTTGGCAAGGGAAGCATGGAATAGTGTGTGTGTCTGCCTGTCTGTTTCTCCCAACTTTCAGGAGGCACTAAGAGGACATCACACAAGTAGCCGTGTGTCCTCAGAATCTATCCTTTGCTGACACCGTTACTGGTAGAATCCTAGGCTGGATGGGTCGTTGCAGCTTTTGTGTTACTTAAAATGTTTGCCTTTTATAAACTTGTAGCAGAGGAGAGGCAAGCACATAGATCTGGCACACAATTGCTACAGAATCACCCAGGGAATTAAGATTGGATATCACATCGGTCCGCCTTCAGAAACAGTTCTCATTCAATAGATATTCATGCTCTTTTTAAAAATCATGTTCAAGGTTCTATGTCATTAGCAAGACACTACTGGTGATGGAAACTACTGTGGAGTTAGCTCTATGGAAAGCTGAGTCTGTTTAGGAGCTTTGAAGTGGGCATTAATAACTCATTGCTCAACACAGAGGTGCCTACAACATGAGATCAATTTCTCTTAACTCGGAGAGCACCACTCTTTTACAAACTATTCCAAGGGCCCTGTCAGAGGCCTGCTGGAAAATCCACTGAGCTGGATTGTCCAAGCTGAATTGTTCAGGCAAAATTTTTCCCCAGCTTTATTGGAGTACAGTAAATTTTTATTGACAAATATAAATTGTATATATTCAAGGTATTCAATGTCATGTTTTGATATATGTTTTGATGTAACATTCACCACATTCTTATATAAAGCTAAATGGTCAGCAACCCCCAAACACAAGAAGTAAGTACATACATAAGCTACAACCCTCACAATGTTAAGAGTCTCTCCTTAGTTTCATGGAGGATGTGGCCCAGGAATTCTTTTGAGTTGCCAGTAAGATACAGCCTTACAGTGATTAAGGAACAACTGATCTCCATCTTTATGGCAGGTCCCATAGATTTCCTCTATCCAGAAAGCACATAATGTTACAGTGTTTAGTAAAATAAATAATTAGTTACACATGAGGTATACATCATGCCTACTCCTAACCTCCCCTACTCCCTCCATTGCCTTGTTGCAGATGACCTGCCTAGAGGCTCTATTATGGTTGCTTGAGTGAAACATGGCCCAGGTATAAGTCCTGCAGTGTGAGGCCAAGAAACATATCTGGCGGGGTACATTTGTAACTCTCAGGCCCAGTGCAAAGATTATAAAATGATCTCCAGAGCCTGTGGATGTCATTTAAATCAGGGTCCATGATAGGAAAACAAATGGTTGAATGAGATAATAGGGGCTTGTGTGATATTCTGAATTCCTCAGTCTTTACTTTTAGCCAATTAAAATTAATTCCTTCAGCCTCACAGCCTGGAAATCCCAAGTTCCCAGACATGTCAAGTTGTGGTTCAATTTTGAGACACAAGCAATTCCTCAAGAAACTCCAGCCTGACACAATCAAATAAGCTTTGTCAAAGTCCACCTAATCAAAAACCCCACACTTAATCACATCAGCTTCTTCAGCTCAAACTAGACAGACTCCCATCAGGGTATGGGAGCTCTCAGTCAATGCTGCCTGTTATTCAAATAATCTGAGCTGCAGCACTCCAGAACTGCATCCCAGTTACGGGAAATCAGCTGCAGCTAATTAAAAGCAGTTTATTGTCTCCCACACTCTAGTCCCAGCCCGTCTTCATAACCAGGTACAGCTTGTAGTGCTTCTCCAATCACAGCACTGCATCAGGGACCTGGGCCAGGCAATTAATGAGATTGTGAAATGCAGAAAGCCAGTGAGTAAAAGCAAAGGTAAAGTTTGTGGCAGAGGAAGGGAGTCCACAGAAAGGTATAGCACTCTGAGGGAACCTGGTAAAACAGCCTCCAGATTCACACACTAGTTAGCACATTGGCAGACTGTGCTTCAACAGCCCAGTGCTTCCTGTTTCCAACATCAGTAACTTCCTCAAAACATTAGGCTTAGGGAGACTAGGCCTTTGTCCATAGCAGTATTATGTTAGATAGTGGCCTGTTAGCATTCCAATTCAAATTGACAGCTCAGGAGTCTTTTACCATAGCTTATTAAAATGTAGAGAAAAAGACGTTTTGGTCATGTATTCAATGTCAACTGGGCCAGACACAGTGGCATAACAGTTTTTGTGTAATGAGGTCTGGAGCTAAGCAAGCTCTCAATTCCTGTCTCCACCATTTACTAGCTGTGTGGTCTTGAGCACTTCCTATGCATCTCTGAGCCTGTTTCTTTATGTGTAAAATAAGGATAATGATAGAAAATAATGCATGTAACTATCATTAAATTGTAAATGCTGCATACATTTTAGGTAGATAGATAATGAGGAAGGGAAGGGAAGAAAAGGGAAGGGAAGTGGGAAAAAGGAAGGAAGGAAAGAAGGAAGGAAGGAAGGAAGGTACGCCGGCCCAGTACAGTGCTTGGAACATAGAATTCATTCAACAAATGCTGGTTTTCCTCCTTTATTCTATCAACAAACCACCCCCAGGCAGAATCTAATAGAAAGAGGGTGTATTAGTCCCTCTACTGGTACCAAGTTACTGTATTAGTCCATTTTCACACTGCTGATAAAGACATACCTGAGACTGGGTAATTTATAAAAGAAAGAGGTTTATTAGACTTACAGTTCCACATAGCTGAGAAGGCCTCACAATCATGGTGGAAGACAAGGAGGAGCAACTCACTTATTATGTGGATGGCAGCAGGCAACAAAAGAGCTCGTGCAGGGAAACTCCCATTTTTAAAACCATCAGATCTCATGAGACCCATTCACTATTACGAGAACAGCACGAGAAAGACCCACCCACATGATTCAATCATCTCCCACATGGCCCCTCTCACAACATGTGGAAATTATGGGAGCTAGAAGATGAGGTTTTGGTGGGAATACAGAGCCAAACCATATCAGGGGGACTAGATAAGAACATGGATGGCTCACTACAAACTCATTTACTAGGAATATCACACAACGCTCAAATCCTGTTAATATGGGATAAACTATGCCATTTCATTGAAAGAAGTACAAAACTGCTTGTGAATTCATAGTGTACATTTTTCTTTTCTGTCTCCCCTAAAAATATTACACCATTGCATGAAAGAAGGGGCTTGGTTTTGTTGACTACTATGTCTCCTTCCCTAGAACAGAGTGTAAAAGCCAAAAAATGCTAGATATGTTGAATGAATGATAAATCCAATTGCAGGTATGTCTTTCATTACACAAAATCTGTCTTCATGAAAACTGTTTGTAAATAATATGTTTTAAATATTCCTTAATTCTTAGGAGACTCCTTATGGTGGAGCAATTCTTTTTACTTGTTTATTTAGCAAATACTCATTGGGTGCCTGTGATATGCCAGGCACTGTTCAAGGCATGGGAAATTAACAGTGAAAAAAGACATATGTATGCCCTACCCTTGTGGTGTTTAAAATATAGCGGGAAATTGACATGTTAAAAAATCCTTCTGAGCAGTATGAATGCCTATTTGGGATGTTTCAATCATTGTATAATATGTTTAGTTAGAGTAGAGTCTAGCTACACTAAAATAATCACAACCAATGATGGGCTTTTGACATTTGGGTCTGTGTTAACTAGTTCTGATGTATTCAGTGGGCTGAGGTTATTGAGGCTATAGGTACACCCTCCTATATTTCCCAAAGAGCCTGTCTGAATCTGAACACACACAAACTCTCACTGCACATTTAAATTTCCCTGTTGCACTATTCACTTTCTATGTTTCCTTTAGATTCACAAGAAGATACAGTCCTCCTTTTCAAGGCACACAACTCCATTGGTGCCTGTATTTATTTCCTATCATTACTGCAACTATTTACTATGACTTAGTGGCTTAAGCAGTACTAAGTTATTATCTTATTGTTCTGGGGAAGTCCAACACAGGGCTCACTGGTTTGAAATCAAGGTGTCAGCAGGGCTGTACTCCATTCTAAAGGCTTCAGGGAAAAATCTGTTTCCTTGTCTTTTCCAGTTCCTAGAAGCTATATGCATGCCTTGGCTCATGGCCCCCTTCCTCCATTTTCAAAGCCAGTGGAATAGCATCTTCAAATATCTCTCTGACTTTGACACTGCTTTTCTCATCACATCTTCACCTCTCACTCTTTTACATCTCCTTGTGAACATACTGGGGTCACCCAGGTAGTCCAGGCTAATCTTATGTCATGGTCCTTAATTTAATCACATCTGCAAAATCTTTTCTTCCAGGTTTCTTACTCCATTTGAGCTGCTATAACAAAATAGTATAAACTGGATAGCTTATAAACAACAGAAATTGATTTCTCACAGTTACGGAGGCTGGATAGTTCAAGATGGAGGTACCAATAAACTTGGTGTTGGTTGAGGGCCTGATTTTTTGTCCACAGGTGGTGCCTTCTTGCTGTGTCCTCACATGGCGAAAGGGGTGAATGAGCTTCCCTTGGGCCTGTATTTTAAGGGCACTAATGCTATTAATGAAGGCTCTGGTCTCATGATTTAATCACCTCCCAGAAGCTCCTACCTTTTAATACCATCACCTTGGTAGACAGAATTTCAGCATATGAATTTGGTGGGAACACAAACATTCAGACCATAGAACCAGATAAAGTAACATATTCACAGGTTCCAGGGACTAGGGTGTGGACATCTGAGGGGGTCATTATTCTGCCACCACAGTACTTGTGGCCCCTTTTTATCTAATATGTTTCTGCCATATAATCCTTTCTTCCCTTGCCTCTTATTTCTTCTTGATTTTTGAATATGAATATGAAAATGTTCATGTCTTCACTCATTAAAAATAACCCTTCTTTCTGACATTATATTCCTTGGGTCCTATTTCTTATATACTCAAACCATCAAACATCTTGAAAGGGAAAGCTATACTTGCTGCCTCTACTTCCTCAACCCCAATTGCTTTGTTCTTCTCCATAGTTCTCATCCTACTTCTTTGTCATTTCTTTCTCAGCTTTTTAATCAGCTTTTTCTATCTGTAAACATGTGTAAAGCCCTAGGCTCAGTCCTAGGTCCTGTATCCTTCTCTCTATATACTTATTCCTACACAAGCTTTAGTGAATACCTTGACTCATTCACTCATTAATTATTTGTTGAATATCTACTCTGTGCCACTTATTTTTGTAGATATTGGATGGAGACAGTTTCAAAATCTATACCTTAGCTCTGATATATCATAAATCAGTCCATTTATCTGCATCCTCACTGCCACTGCCATCAGTTGGACAATTAAAATCCATCTTATTTTCCAGCCTCTTCCCTTGCCCCAGCCAAATCTCTTCCATACCCAGCACCCAAAGTGCCTTTTCTAAAATAAAATGATCATGTCACTTTCTTACTTTAAAGTCCTTCAAAGGATCCCCATTATCTTCAGGATAATATTCAGACCCATTAGCATGGCATACAAATCCTTCCATATTCTGGGCCCTAATTTCCTTTTCAGCTTATTTTATTGCCTGTGCCTACCCTTGTAGTCTATGCTTTAGCCATACCAAATTAATTTCTGTTCCCTAAAAGAGCTCAAGGCCTCTGTACATTGTCTTCCTGTTGTTTGAAACACCTTTCTCTCTGACACACACACACACACACACACACACACTCTCTCACTCTCACTCTCTCTCTGTCCCTCAACCTGGCTCACTCCTACTCAATCTGAGAACATCTCTTAGAAGAGAGTTTGTTCAGAAGCCTTTCCTGAATATCCAGGCCTAAATTTGATATTCCTCTTCTATGTTTTTCCTATCAAAAGAAAGGATAACATGACATGATATCATAATGTTTATTTATTTTTTCTCTCTCCTTTCCTAGCTTCATACTCCTTGAGGGACAAGTGTGTATTTTAGTCATCAATACATCAATATAAGCAAAGCAGCTAGCACTATGCCTAGAAGTATAAGGTAGATGCTCAGTAATGATTTAGTGAATGAAAAAATAAATTAATGAATGAGCAAATTAAATTAAAACACAGAACAAAGACCTCACTAGAGTATCAGAGGAGAGCAAGAGAATATTTCCAGCCATTCCATCTCTATTCTTATTCCTTTACTACTATGTCTATCTTTGTCTCCCAGAGTCCACACTAGGATTCAAAAGGGGAGATAGTTTCCTATCATATGAAGTGGGAAATTCCATATAAACCCACCTTGGCCCTTTTCATACCCCAAACCTCCCAGCTTTCATTATTATTTACTTATATAGGTTAAATTATTATATAACAATGAGGCAGAATTTCCAATTCCAACTTCAATTTCAATTTTACCAGAATAGAGAACCTTTCCAATCATCTACAGTTTTGCACACTATCATGAGTCTCGATGTATCACCGAAGCACAGCAGACAAAACAGAGCTCTAATGGGATGAGACTTCAGCCACTACCATTTTGCCTGGGTCTATGGAGTGCAAGTGGTAAATATTGGGAACTGAGAAGAAGAGAGAGCTTAGAAAAGACAACACCAGCATTAGCTAGAAGGAGCTTGAAGGCATTAGATTCTTGAGATGGGCCTGGGAAGTAAAATGCTACCCCTAGAGAATGAGTTGGGCACCAAAGCCAAATGTAGCCTCAGCCTTAGTTCTTGGGACCAAGACGTTTAAGATAATATGGCTTTCAAGAGGACCAAGGGGTAGAGAGCAAAGGTATGGATCAAAATATTTCTTGGATATTTCTAACAATACTAGTTAATGGAGGGCCTATAAGAACAAAAGAGAATATCTACGTTGGATTTAGCCTTCACAATTAATAAATCTTTCCACAGCTCTAGAGATTAAATAATTATTTCATTCCAGCTTTATTAAATAATACAAATTCAGCTCATTGGTAATGAAAATAATCATAAGTCACTGGAGGAAGATGAGAGATCTGACCTTTTAATTAAAGATCAGCAGTCTCTAGCAACAGTATGCTAAAATCATAAAGGCAACATGACCTTTAAATATCTTCCCTAAGGATGATGTAAATGGGGAAAATTGCATGAGTGATTGTGTAAGTGTGTGTTTACAGACACATACACATATGTGTGTACATATACACACATACATATCTAAAATGTACTACCCTACAACAGTTAGACTGAAGATGCACTGATCCCATGAAATGTAGAAAAATCAACATAATTCTCAATAACATTAAGGTACAAAAGTAAACTGCACATATATTTTGTTTTTAATAGTTTTTACAAAATGGTCATGCATTAAGTTCAGTTACTTATATCATCCTAACCTTGTAAACACTAAGCAAATTTTCAGTATAAAATACCCATCCAAGTGTTCCAATATTCATTTTATCTTTTGTTTTTTCCATACAAACCAAGATGAAAATCAAGTGGCTATCTTATTTAGAGTTCTTCTGGGAGTATGGAGCAGGGAGCAAGAAGTTAATTAAGCTAGCTGAGACCAAAAAAAAAAAAAAAGTGGTGGTGGAATGCATTGGAAGAACATGGTATTATGTCACAGATCCTAGGTTGGGAAACATATTCTGAGGATCTGGAATTACGAACTGCAATGCTGGTCAAAGCAAAGACAGCCACTTCTATTTTCTATCTCTTTTGCTTGATATCTTGTCTCTTAATCTCTCTGTTTCTCTGCTTCTCTCTTTTTTTCTCTGCCTCACTCTCTCCCTCCCTCCCAGCTTTTCACATACCATGTGCACATAGCCAAAACAAAGCCACCACACTCCCAGCCACATATGACCCCCAGTTTGAGTGTGCAAAGAGACCAGTTGCAATCTCTTGTCCTGATTTCAATTTCTCAAAAACAAGGATTTTTTTAACTTATTCTGCCTCTACTATGAACACTCTAGTAGATACCATGTGGGGTGTCAGCCTAGACCGTACCCTATTCTCTAAAATCTTCTCTCCCAGAGGTGAAGAGCTACATCTCAATTTTTACTATCTCCTGGGCTCAGCTGGTTGAACAAGAAATGGACACTTGAGTCCAGAAACACATTATAACATTTAATGTTATAGTTACCATGCAAAAGCATATTGCCTAGAAAAAATAACTAATCTCCCCAAAAGTGGCCTTAACCTATTATCTGGAGTTATGCTCATTTAAGTAAGAAGTATCTATTTCATATCAAGAAACAGCATATTATGTCATTCACAGAGCTTAATATACATTGTAAGACACTTTTCAAAATTTTATATCCAATTGAAGTAAGAGATGATCAACTTGAACTATAAAAGAAAAAATATCTGTAACACATAGATGAAAGCTGTAAGAGTTTTTCAATGTTGACTAGAAGGAGAAAGTGGCACCTGATCACTTGGTGGCATTGCACTTATCTGGCACCTTTCTCAGAGAGGCAGAGGTGTGATTCAAGTATCATTTAATTATCCTTAAAATAATTCCCTCTGAAAGAAAAGAAACAGTATCTAGGTTTCTAACTTTAAGGACTGAAATCATACATGGCATGCTATTTAAATTTTACACAATAATCCTATTACTGTCATCAGACCTGTTTAAAGAAATCTGTTTTCTGGCATGGTCAAGGGACAGGGTTAATCTAAGATTCTCCTTGATAATTACTATTCTACATGAGACAACTTTCAAAAACGAACAAGAGAAAATATATTCTATACTGAAAGAAGACTGAATAGAGCTTGAACTTTCTTTTGATGATTCAGCAGTCACTTCATAAAGCCACAGGGTCCCAGGGCTCATGTTATGAACATCAGTTCTCTTTGTATAGTTACTGTGGAAAGGGACCAGTTAATGGGGAATTATTAATGATAGGAGGCCAAGTAAATCGGCTTTTGTTTATACAATGAAATATGGCTACTGAAATATTATATATTTATTTATACCGTTTTGCAGGAGGCTGCATTCTTTGAGATTTTGTTTCAAACTAGATAGCATACAATAATTCAGAAATCTCCAGAGGCTAAAGAACAAAGGGCTATTAAAGAAAAATGTGTGCTTACAGCAGTGTTCCCAGTAATTTGTTTAAGTTGTAAGCAGACAGCCATGCTACATCAGCAACAAACTATGAAGACTGAGCAAACTGATAGAGATATCATTGCTGCAATCCAGTGAAACTTTCAGCAAGGCTGTTATCCAATGTACATCCAATGGCCTACATAATAATTACTACAACATGAGTTTGCAACATGCAAACTCATGTTTTTAAATCATATTTACTGAGTATTAACTCTGTGCTAAACATCATGCTGAGTATTATGAGTACAAAGATAAATAAGACACCATCCTGGTCCTCCAGGAGCTTGAAGTATGAAGAAAGAAGCCAAACTGATCAAATGATTTACAAGTACAGTGGTACAAATATGTGCAATATGTTTTGAGAGCCCAATTTGGTCTTGAGGATAGGGAGTAGAAAGCAGGTCAATCTCTTTGGAAGAAGTGATACATGACTTGATTCTTAAAGGAGTTAGAAGTGCACTAAGAAAAGGATGGGACTGCAGTCAGTACAAACAGACCTCGTGAGCAAAGATGTAGTAGCAGCAAAAACTTTGTGGACTGTGTGCAAAGAAAAGGCAAACAACTTATCTCTGCTGGATTATAAAGTATGAAGCAAAGAAAAGGCTGGGAAATGAGGGAATAGCAGATCAGCAAAAGGCTCAAAAGCAGAGAGTACTCGCAATGACTTTATCATTTTCCCTTTGCAATTTTAGTTCTTTAGCATTATTGTGGACATCTTATATTGACCCCATTTCATTGTCATTCTCACTATACAAACAAGTGGAAACAGATCTCAGATTTTAGTCCCTGGCATTTGAAGTTACCCTGCACCCAACTGTACTTCCCTGCCTTGTTCCAGAACCAAATTTCCCCGTGCTTCACCTACTAACAGAAACTAACAGCCAAAGTGCCTGGCTTCCCTCATACCCTATCCCCAAACCTGGAAGACCTCAGTCAAATAACCTAGATGCAGGATGTCCTGATGTACCTGATGCTCTGGACCATAAGATTTTTGAATTGCTTTCCTGGTCTGGGGTTTGTAAAAGGGTATGAACCTAATTCTGGGAGGAATGGTCCTCAACATGGAAGCATCCTGAAACAGAGCAATATAAAGGGTAAGATCAGTGTTAATACAGTTAGGGAAAAGAACAGTAATGATGACAGATTTGTATAATGGCATTCAGTGAGCTTATATATGTGTAACACTCTGCTAGGAGATTGATAGATATCATCTTGGATAACCCTGTAAGGTACATATCATCTCCACTTCACAGAAAAGGATACTAAGGCCCTGACAGGTTATATAAGTCACTCAAGGTTTCACAAGCAGTAGGTAGCAAGATTCAAACTCAGGCTTTCTGACTTTGAATTTGAAGCACTCTAAAACATAACACTCTAACAAGTGAAAGAAAGAAAACTGTAGGAACTGTTTTATTCCTTCTTTGATCCGAGCTCCTAAGCATAAAGAAGCTACCACCAGGGATATCAAAAAGGGACAAATGAGAAGTCTCTCCAGCCCCCAAATACCCTCATTCCCTCACCCTACTCTCACCTAATATCCCTTTAACAGTAAGGAAGACAATATGCCTCATTCTGCTCCTAAAGACTTAAAGTAAGAGATAGTCAGACAAGGGTTTCAATCTCAGCTCCCCTTCAAACTAGCTGTGAAACTTCCAGAAACTTTTCTGAGCCAAGGCTTCATTACCTGTAAACTGGATGCCATAATAACAACCTCATCTTCCTGGTATATCATGATATTTAAATTATTAGAAGATGAAAAAAAGCATCTATTGCAGTGAGTTTGGCCTAGAAGATGCTCAACAATCTGGAAAAGTATATTCAATCATGTTCTCTACCACCAGTACCCTTGATTTCCTCACTCCTTCATTTTTCAAGTATGTTGTTTCTACCAATATCCAAAATTAAATTGTTTACTAAGATAATTCAAAAGCACATTTACTTTTTTCTTACTCCTGGGAAGCTAAGCATTGCAGGGGAAAGTTATGTGAATACTATGCTCAATTTTTTACATGAATCCTTATTGTTCAGCCTTTTTGCAGATACTGCTCTAACCAGATTACCAATGAATGACCTCTTTATCATCTCTTCCAGTGCCATTTCCAGGTGCAATTTTATTCAACTGGGCCTTACAAGTTGATTGACAATGCTTTTACTTTTACCAGTTTAGACCACTTGGGGACGTTCTCAAGGTCACATACCAAAGATAATTCATGTTTCTCAAAGCCTCCAAGCCTTAAACTGTAGCAGATAACCTTTTCTATCCCCGTCTCTGAGGAGGAAAAAGCCATTTCATATAAACTCTTTCAACTCTGAGTGATTCCACTTCAAAAGTTTTTTTATATTTTTACTTTTCTTTCCTTGCATTCTTCTTGTTTCAGAGAAAGAATTGTCCACTTCTTCTAAGACTAATCTCTGAATTTCTTCTGCCCCTTCAGCCTTCTGGTTGTCATCAATATTTTACTTTGTCACTGCAGCCCTTCTGCCTCTTATATTTTCAGTTTTTTTTCTTTACATCACTTCCCTTTCTTTGGCCTGCAAACCTGTTCAAATCTTCTTTTAATTAACTAAAATTTTAGCATCCAGCAAAGCGTGTAGGAAATGGTAGACAATCAATTGATATATATTATATGTACAAATCTTCTTGTGAAAAATCTATTCTGTGGAAAAAAATTCTATATAAAAAATTGTTCTCAGCCGCGCATGGTGGCTCACGCCTGTAATCCCAACACTTTGGGAGGCCGAGGTGGGCAGATCACGAGGTCACGAGTTCGACACCAGACTGACCAGCATTATGAAACCCCATCTCTACTAAAAATACAAAAAATTAGCCAGGCATGGTGACACACACCTATAATCCCAGCTACTCTGGAGGCTGAGGCAGGAGAATTGCTTGAACCCGGGAGGCGGAGGTTGCAGTGAGCCAAGACCGTGTCACTGCATTCCAGCCTGGCGACAGAGCGAGACTCCGTCCCAAAAGGAAAAACAAACAAACAAACAAACAAAAAACATTGTTCTCTTCACTCCAAATAGGTGTTGAAGGAGTAGTTTATATTCAGCTCTGCTTTCTCACGTCCAATTCCAATTCCCTACTCAAATTAGTGTAGTCTGGTTTCTATCCTCACTTCCCCATAGATATTGCTCAGACTAGATTAGATTATCAACAAATGACCTCTTCTTAATTTTTATTTGAATATTGTTGGGGAAACAGGTGGTGTTTAGTTGCATGGAAAAGTTTTACATTTTTATTAATATTTCAATAAGTTTTGGGGGAACAGGTGGTGTTTTGTTACATGGATAAGTTCTATAGTGATGATTTCTGAGATTTTGGTGCACCCCTCACCCAAGCAGTGTACACTGTACCCAATGTGTAGTCTTTTATCCATCACCCCCCCCCACCCTTCCCCCAAGTTCTTGAAGTCCACTGTATCATTCTCATGCTTTTGCGTCCTCATAGCTTAGCTCTCACTTATGAGTGAGAACATATGATGTTTGGTTTTCCATTCCTGAGTGACTTTACTTAGAATAATGGTCTCCAATTCCATGCAGGTTGCTGTAAATGCCATTATTTTGTTCCTTTTTATGGCTGAGTAGTATTCCATGGTATATATATATTTTTTCCTCTGGGTAGATATCCAGTAGTGGCATTTCTGGATCAAATGGTAGATTTACTTTTAGTTCTTTAAGGAAACTTCACACTGTTTTCCACAGTGGTTGTAATAGTTTACATTCCCACCAGCAGTGTGAAAGTGCTCCCTTTTTTACCACATCCATGCCAACATCTATTATATTTTTGATTTTTTTTATTATGGCTATTCGTGCAGGAATAAGGT
Source organism: Homo sapiens (assembly GCF_000001405.40). Lineage (NCBI taxonomy): Eukaryota > Metazoa > Chordata > Mammalia > Primates > Hominidae > Homo > Homo sapiens. The sequence continues at coordinate 128,645,806 of NC_000023.11, forward strand.
GGTATTGCATTGTTGTTTTGATTTGCATTTCCCTGATAATCAGTGATGTTGAGCGTTTTTCCATATGCTTGTTGGCCATTTGCATATCTTGTTTTGAGAAATGTCTTTTCATGTCCTTGGCCCACTTTTTGACGGGACTGTTTGTTTCTTTCTTGCTTATTTGTTTGAGTTCCCAGCAGATTCTAGATATTAGTATTTTGTTGGACACATAGATTGTGAAGATTTTTCTCCCACTCTTTGGGTTGTCTGTGTACTCTCCTGATTATTTCTTCTGCTGTGCAGAAGCTTTTTACTTTAATTAAGTCCCATCTATTTGTTTTTGTTGCATTTGCTTTTGGGCTCTTGGTCATGAAGTCTTTGCCTAAGCCAATGTCTAGAAGGGCTTTTCCTATGTTATCCTCTAGAATTTTTATGGTTTTACGTCTTAGATTTAAGTCTTTGATCCATCTTGAGTTGATTTTTATATAAGATGAGAGATGAGGATCCAGTTTCATTATTTTACATATGGCTTATCCTAGCACTCAATTTGTTGACTAGGGTATCCTTTCCCCAAGTTATGCTTTTGTTTGCTGTGTCTAATATCAGTTGGCTGTAAGTATTTGGGTTTATTTCTGGGTTCTCTATTCTGTTCCATTGGTCTATGTGCCTATTTATATTCAGTACCATGCTGTTTTGGTGACTATAGCCTTAGAGTACTGTTTGAAGTCAGGTAATGTGGAGCCTCCAGATTTGCTCTTTTTGCTTGGTCTTGCTTTGGCTATGGGGCTCCTTTTTGGTTCCATATGAATTTCAGGATTTTTTTTCTCTAGTTCTGCAAAGAATGATGATGGTATTTTGATAGGAATCCCATTGAATCTGTAGATTGCTTTTGGCAGTATGGTCATTTTTACAATATTGAAAACCATACAAATACATGGAAATTAAATAACCTGCTCCTGTATGATCATTGGGTCAACAATGGAATCAAAATGGAAATTAAAACATTATTTGAACTGAACAATAATAGTGATAGAACATATCAAAACCTCTGGAATACAGCAAGAGTGGTGCTAAGAGGAAAGTTCATAGTACTGAATGCCTACATCAAAAAGTCTGACAGAGCACAAATAGACAACATAAGGTCACACCTCAAGGAACTAGAGAAACAGGAAATAACAAAGATCAGAGAAGAACTAAATGGAATTGAAACAAAAAAATACAAAAGATAAATGAAACAAAAAGCTGGTTCCTTGAAAAGATAAACAAAATATATGGACCATTAGCAAGGTTAACCAAGAAGAGAGAAGATCCAAATAAGCTCATTAGAAATTAAATAGGAGATATTACAACTGATACCACATACATAGAAAAGATCATTCCAGGCTACTATGAACATCTTTATGTGTACAAACTAGAAAATCTAGAGGAGATGGATAAATTCCTGGAAATATACAACTTTCCTGTATTAAACCAGGAAGAAATAGGAACTATGAACAGACCAGTGACAAGTAGCAAGATTGAAATGGTAATTTTAAAAATTGCCAAAAAAAAAAAAGTCCAGGGCCAGGTGGATTCACAGCTGAATCCTATCAGACATTCAAAGAACTTATACCAATCCAGTTGACACTATTCCAAAAGATAGAGAATGAGGTAATCTTCCCTAAATAATTCTATGAAGCCAGTATCATCCAAATACCAAAACTAGGAGAGGACATAACAAAAAAAAGAGAACTATAGACCAATATCACTGATGAGCATAGATATAAAATTCCTAAACAAATTACTAGCTAACCAAAACAAACAGCATATCAAAAAGATAATCCACTATGATCAAGTAGGTATCATACCAGGGAGGCAGGGATGGTTTAACATATGCAAGTAAATAAATATGATACACCACATAAACAGAATTAAAAACAAAAATCACATGATCATCTCAATAAACACAGAAAAGGCATTGGACAAACTCCAGCATCCCTTTATGATTGAAAACCTCAGCAAAATCTGCATAGAAGGGACATACCTCAAGATAATAAAAGCCATCTATGACAGACTCACAGCCAACATTATACTGAACGGGGAAAATTTGAAAGCATTCCCCCTGAGAACTGGAACACAATAAGAATGCCATGCCCATTGCTCCTATTCAACATAGTACTGGAAGTCCTAGCCAGAGCAATCAGAAAAGAGAAGGAAATAAAGGGCATCCAAATTGGTAAAGAGGAAGTCAACCTGTTGCTGTTTGCTGATGATATGACTGTATATCTAGAAAACACTAAAGACTCATCCAAAAAGCTCCTAGAACTGATAAGTGAATTCAGTAAAGTTTCAGGATACAAAATTAATGTACACAAATCAGTAGCACTGCTATACACCAACAGTGACCAAGATGAGAATCAAATCAAGAACTCAACCACTTTTGCAATAGCTGTAAAAAAGATAAAATACTTAGGAATATACCTATCCAAGGATGTCAAAGACCTCTGCAAGGAAAACTACAAAACACTGCTGGAAGAAATCATAGACGACACAAATGGAAACACATCCCATGCTCATGGAAAAGTTCTTTCTTGGTGATTTCTGAGATTTTGGTGCACCCATCATCTGAGCAATGTACACTGTACTCACCCCCTCTCATCTTTCCCCTCGAGTACCCAAAGTCCATTATATCATTCTTACGCCTTTGTGTCCTCATAGCTTAGCTCCCACTTATAAATGAGAATATAAAATGTTTGGTTTTCCATTCCTGAGTTACTTTACTTAGAAGAATGGTCTCAACTCCATTCATATTGCTGCGAATGCCATTATAGGTTTCTTTTTATGGCTGAGTAGTATTCCATGGTACATATATCCCACATTTTCTTTATGCACTCGTTGGTTGATGGGCATTTACGCTGGCTCCATATTTTTGCAATTGTGAATTGTGCTTCTATAAACATGCATGGATGTGGTGAAAAGGGAACACTTGCACTGCTGGCGGGAATGTATACTAGTACAACCACTATGGAAAGCAGTATGGAGATTTCTTAAAGAACTAAAAGTGGAACTACCATTTGATTCAGCAATCCCACTACTGGCTATCTACCCAGAGGAAAATAAGTTATTATATGAACAATGAATGTCTTCTTTATCATCACTTCCAGCGCCATTCCCAGGTGTAATTCTATTAAACTTCAGACCACATTTTACAGCATTTATCCCTGTGGCAAGTAAAGTCTTCCCTATTGGCTTCTGTGACATTCATCCACTTATTTCACAAATACTTCTTGGGCAATTACTATGCTGAGATAAAATAATGAATACAGAAAAGCTTCTAACCTCAAGGAACATATGGACTAGTGAGTATGCACTTATCTGATTATTAAATCTTTTTGATTACTCTTGCTTGATATCTTTTATGAGCTCTTCTCCCTCCTCATATTTCCTGAATATAAATAAGAGTTTCACAAGGAAATGTGCTCAGTCTTTTCATACAAGACATCCACTCCCCACAATGCCACTAATCCCATAGAGTAATTGGTCACACCTATGACAGTATCTCCCAAATCCATGTTCTTCACTGACTTTCCTCCTGAGGATCACACTGCATGCATTTCCAGCTGCCTGTTGCTTACATCTAGCTGAATATTCAAATAACAATTGAGCTCAATATGTTGCAGCCTGATTTCATCACCTGTCTCATCTAACAAATTGCTCCAGTGATTTTGACTTTGATTTATGAGCTAACATTGTCCCAGTTGACCAGAATTCACATCATATCATCTTTAAGGCCTCCTCCCTTCTATCACCTCTAACAAGTTGATAAAATTCTGTAGATTTTCTTCTCCCTATCTTTTACCTGTTGCAGCCATTCTCTTTCTCTGCTATTAGAATGGTTTAGAGCATCATCACATATGACCTAAATAATTACGGTAATTTCTTAACTGTTTCTCATCCTTCAGCTTCTCTTACTTCAACCCAACATTCTTAGATGTGCCTTCTTAAATTAAAGCTCCTCTCTTCAAAAATTATCAATGGATTTCTGTTCCAAAAGGAATAAAATTTAAACCATTATTCCTAATCATCCAAGTTTCTTAGTATCATCCCTCATAGTACACTTTTCACATACTCTACGTTCTAGCCACATGAAACTCTCACTGTTCTTGAAACATGTCCTGCACTTTGATTTTAGTGTATCTTTCCTTTGCTTTTTTTCTCCCCAGAATGCCCTTCTCCAACATCCCCATTTGCTGAGTAATCAACTTTCAAGTCTCAATGTAAGAACAACCTACTTCTAAGAAATCTTCTAAGAACAGTCCACTTCTCATATATGATACTTCTATTATATTTTGTCTGGATTTTATTTATGGCATTTTTTACAGTTTTGTTTCTGAGTTATCCTAGAGTTTGTCTTTCATATGTTTCATTTAAATATTAAGTTGTAATTTTTTGAGAATGGGACTATGAGCCATTAGCCTTTATATCTGCCACATCTAGCTCAGTCAGTGCCTTGTATGCAGTAGATGCTCTGCAGCCATTGATTTGAAATGAAGTGCAAACAACACCTGGCAGAAAAATCCCCATCACAGAACTGTAGTGAATGTAAAGTGATCAAATTATTTTCTGTTAATTAAGGGAGGCAGGTAAAAAGCAGCAGGGCATTAAGAACTTGAAAGATAAGTACACTTCAAGTGGCAAAGGGAACGGAAAGGGAAGGATGAAGATTCCAAGAAAACTTGGCAGACTGCACAATTTTGCCACCTCTCCCCTCCAGCTTGGCTTATCTTCACTTCAACAGAGAGAGAGAAAAAAAGTGGTGTACCAAGTTTGGCTGCCACCCCAAATGGGCAAACACATGCATATCTTAGACTGATAACTTAGTCCCAACTTGAATCCACATCCCTTGGATCTTCCAAATTGCAATTTATGCTGTTTGCCACTAAGGGAAATTGTTAAGATATAGTTATCATTATAAGGTGATCTAAATTCCTTCAAAACATGACCCAAAATGCTGTTTCCACATGTACATCATATTTTACAATATAGCCATATTCCTGAAGTGCCCTCTGCAAATCAAACTTCTCAATACCCTGCTGCTTTTTATGGATCCTACTTTAACTCCACTTGCCACTGCCTCAGCACATTCTCTGCCATTTTCAGCTCTATCAGGAACTGCCTGTCACTCCAGCTTCTCACTCTCCACTCCTGTCAGCAGCTTTTGATTATTTCTACCTCAACACCTAGACTTAGAAAATGGGCTCAGTCTTCATAGAAAACATATGAAAGTTCTTAGGCTGACTCAATTCTCCATCTCATGGCACTGGTGCTTTGAACTGAGTCTTCCTCTACCTGACTCACTGTTTGGCTGCCTCTTATTTCTGACTCCTAACTGCTTGGCTAACGTTTCACCATCTGCTTTCCTCTGTTTTTCCAACTCCTGGAGATTACCTACTATCCAATCTGCCCAGGGTATGAGCCTACCACTTTATTTAGATCTCTGATGGTTCTATTACCGTGTACTTGTCTAGGTCACTTCCAGCTCACAACTTGCCCAACTCTTCACTTACCATACCTATTCCAACACTGACTTTTTCACCTGATTCTGACCTGCAGTTTGTGCTAACTGATACCTACTTGACCATGACAACCCTAAGAAAGAACTGCTGGGTTCCTGTCTTGGTGCACTCAATCTTCTTCTACCACTTCTCTCATTTGTTTTATCCTCAGGCATTTTTTTTTCTTTAGGTCTAAAGCAATCCTATGTATAGGGAATGCAGTTAACTACATATTTAAAGTTCAAGAAACTTCTAAGGTCTTAAAAACCTATAAATATTTCCTCAGCTTATTCCCTCAGTGTTATTCTCTTCTGTACAAAAATCCCCACTATCTTAGCCAGTTTTTTAGCTATAACTTAAAGGCAAGAATATTATCTCTGTGAAAGTATAATTTACTTATAAGGCACACTACTGTAGCAAGGCTCTGTTCCATTAATCTGTTTATCATTTTAATCCTGGGTCCTCATCATGATCAGTTTTATATATTTTTCTAGAATTGTAGGACATTAAGTCAATTTATGCAAGTATCTCAGGATTTATGAGACTTGTGAATGGTAATCTTGTTATACCTCTTACATCAAAGTTGAGATAATTCCCGAGAAGGAGGTAACCAAAGGAATACTATAACTTCTAAGGCCATATAAGAACTCATCCCAGGCAAAGTGAGATCTGTCCCTCATAAATCCTGTCTCAATTCAGTCAAACTCTCTTGGGAGAGCTCAGCAGAGCCCTGAGTGGTGTCCCTGACAAGTCTCAAGACAATGTTAAGGTATGAGAGTTGAGAAGCCTTATAACTTCTAGCAGTTAAAGATGTATAGCCCATTGAAGAACAAATGTACAGTAGAGCTCAACACAAATTTAACTGTCTATGTCACCATCCACAGTAATAGCAGGGTCATGAAAATAGCAGGGTGGTCCCAAGGGAGACTAGAGTGGCCTCCAGACAGTTCTGACATGAGAAGAATTGACAGTACTTCTGAATTGCCATGATTGCTTAGGCTAGAGAGTTTGAGGACCAGGTCTCTCTTCAGTAAAGAGGACATTCCACTGCAGAGAAGCTACACCTTTATACCAGGCAACGGGTAAAGGGAGTGAGCCAAGCCAAAGGAACTCACTATGGACATAAACAGCATGGCATGAAGTCTCTAAGCCACAGAGGAAAGACATAGTGTAATCAGAAATCCTGGTATGTAAAAGGTACCAAAGGAAGAAACAAAGTAAAATATAAAGAATAGAGCCTATATATAGTTCCCAATTTGGAGATAGGCTTTCTTATGGCAATCATTTTAGTAGAACTGCTAACACATTAGGTCCTGGAAGGGAAATCTACATCTGCTATGTTCTTAATGTATTCCCCAAAACCCACATGTTAAAATTTAATCACCAACATAAAAGTATTAAGAAGTGGGGCCTCTAGGAGGTAATTAAGTGATGAAGGCTCTACCCTCATCAATGAGGTTAGCAATTTTTTTTTTTTTTTTGAGACGGAGTCTCGCTCTGCCACCCAGGCTGGAGTACAATGGGGTAATCTCCGCTCACCATAAGCTCCGCCTCCCGGGTTGAAGCCATTCTCCTGCCTCAGCCTCCCGAGTAGCTGGGACTACAGGCACCCACCACCACACCCGGCTAATTTTTTGTATTTTATTTTATTTTTTAGTAGAGACGGGGTTTCACCATGTTGGCCAGGATGGTCTCGATCTCCTGACCTCGTGATCCGCCCGCCTCGGCCTTCCAAAGTGCTGGGATTACAGGCGTGAGCTACCGTGCCCAGCCGGGATTATAAAAGGGCTTGAGGGGACTAGCTAGGCCCTTTTGTCCTTCCATCTCATCCAACATATGAGGACACAGTTCTCAAGGCACCAACTTGGAAGCAGAGAGCAAGCCCTTACCAGAAACCAAACCGGCCAGCACCTTGCTCATGAGCATCCCAGCCTCCAGAACTGTGAAAAATAAATTTCTGTTCTTTGTAAGATACCCAGTCTCAGACATTTTGTTACAGTGGCCCAAATGGACTAAGACAAGGTCATTCGCTTTCCTGAATGTTTTCCCAATCTAATTCAAACATCAAACATCCCTTACCAAGTCTCTGAAAACCACAAAGCAATAAGCCATTTTGTTGGTGAAGTTAAAACAATGCAAAAATCTGATCAACAAGTTCTTTGCCCTCCTTTAGCAAGTTCAGATTCTGAAATATTGACAAGGAAAGCTGGGAGAGGAAGGCTGCAGTAAAGGGAAGAAAGAAAATGATTTCAGTCCCCAAGTCTCTGCTTGCCAGCCTTTATCCACCTAACCCCAAAGTCAAAGAATGCATTTCCACACACTTTCCCACATTTGTTTCCCCTCCTCAGTCTCCCAGAAGCTCTTCAGTCTCAAATGGGAGATAATCTTCAGATCAATGAGGGCTGATGTCAAACTCTTACTAAGCCGTGTTTTCCCAGCTGGGGGTAAATTCCGCTTGCCTGGATGTAAAACTTCCTAATTAGAAATGTCAAGTCTCTGTTTAAATATCAAGGAAGGAACTGGGAGTAGGAAGCACCAGGCTATAAAAATGTTTAACTCTTTCTTAAATCTGAATTTGAAGGCTTTGGTTAGTGCAACCTGCAGAGTTAAACTCTGGGTTAATCTTTCATTCATTTTATACTTGACGGTGCTTTGCGGAGGGGGTGGTGAGTGGGGGGTTAAAGAATGTGGTGTGACACAGGAGGCGTGGTAACTAGAGAACGTCTTAAATAATTGACTCTTGAGTAGCTAGAGAAGACAGTGAAAAATCCTTTGTTCCAGAATACTGCCATTCCCAGACCTTACTGCACTGACTAGAAATTTCCAAATTTCTTACTTTTCTATGTTAAGGCATGGAAGTCCCAACAAAAAGGTAGAAAAATACCTGAGAATAGGAATGAACTGTTATTATCAGCCATTAACTCCTTCATGTAAATGTGTTTATCATAATAGCCAAGCGGGTTGTGTTAAAAATATCACCCCATTCTTGGGGTAGAAGAAAATATTGGGCAAAGTGACGCAAATTGATCATATCACCCTATATTACCCCCGTTCAAAAAGGGCTGGGTGTCTGGAGTTAGCAACTTGCTTGTTAGCTTTTATAGTTCTCAGGACGGCTGAGAATGATGAGCTGGAGGCATTTCTCAAATTCAGAAAGTGGGGAACTTCTCTCCTCCTTGTGTATCTCACCTCTCCAAGTTGTGAGCCCATGTCAGAGTGTGTATAGGTTCAATTACCAGCTGGCTTTTACAATCTAAATTCCTTGTTTGTGGAACATTGGAAGTAACAGGTCAAGTTGAAATGAATGAGGAATTTTTCCCAAAAAGCTAAAGAAAGTTTCTGTCTCATGTTTCAACTTTTTCCAGAAATAAAATAGAGTTTGCCAGGTGACATATCCAGGTTGTAATTGAGAGCTGGGTAAGTAACATTCATCATAATTAGTTCTGTCCCCGGTACCAGCCCCAAGCAGCTTTTCAGTTGAGTCTGTGGCTGAGGTAACCATGCCAGGGAGAATGGGAGGCCCCCAGCCATCACAAAACCTCATTTTATGCCAGGTCCACCTCATCTGCTCAGAAATATGGAAACCCACACAATTTTGAATGCATGACAGAAACTTCCTGTGCTATTGCTTTGTTTTAATGGGGCAGCTTAACCAGCTCTCTCAGATCAGATATATTAGAAATGTTGAAGAAGACGGTGTGCTGCCAGAAGCAAAATGGCTTGCTGCTTTCTTCCCATAATGTGACTGTCCCAACACTGTCCCTGAATGTGGCTTTTTCCTTTGAAAAGTATTCAGGAAAACTAGGAACTCAAGTGGAGTTGTTAGCACTAGTGCTTCTTTTCAAATAGGTGACACATGGATTTTGCTACATCTGGGGACCAAAGGACATTCAGCATGGCAAGAGCTAGGTGGCAATTATACTACATGCTCAGTGTTAGAGATTTGAGTGTTTCTGTTACATTTTTTTTTTGTCACTCTATACACTGCTATTGACTCTGAGTTGCAAGCTTTAATGTACCTGGCTGAATAATGAGAAATCACAGAGAGACTCTGTAGCTGTTCTTCCCAAATGAGTGATAAAGGTCTGGGAAAGGGTTACATAAACACGAGAAAATGTTTCCAGAGATGTATCAATGTCGGTGAGTAAACCAGTGTTGTACCCTAAGAACCACATCTGGAAGCCACTGGCAAATTGTATGTTGACCTACACAGCTGGAAGTCAGGTCGTGAGACCCTTAAGGATACTGTCACATTAACGTACAAAATGGGAGTTAAGTACCACATTCCAAGACCTAGGTATAATTTGCATGTAGACTAAAAAGAGAAAATTGTGTACTTCCTGATGCTGTTGTGTGGCTTTCCATAATCAACCACTGAGGACTTTTCCTTTTATTTCCTGGGGACTTTTCATTTGCACAGAAGTCAGTGTGGAAAAAAAAAATGCCTACAATCAATGGGCAACTGAGGCCAGAAACTTAAATGTGATTGAGGGCTCAGAATCTAGGCTTCATTGGACCCCAGAGTTGGACTCTAGACTTTGGCAACAACACTGATTGCTAAGAATAAAATTCATGTCTCTTAGAGGAATTTAGTCCCTACTTATGGTCAGCTGCAGGAAATATTAGTGGAGAAAAATTGTGAAGCAAGCCTCTCTAAAACAGCTACCCTGGCCCATCTTTATCAAAGGAAAAGGGACTTTGCACACTTTGAGGTGACAGAGCTCTGCAAATGACCATGCCTAAGGCTAGGTTTGTGATAACAGAACTACTATTACTGGGTTGATTTATTCCAATATTTGGCCAGCCGCTGCCCAGGAGAAAAATGGCCTATCTTTGATGTCCTTAACTTCACCTAAGCCCTCCCAGAAGCAGAGGACCAAGGAAGGCAAAGCTCTTGACCAGAGTCACGTAGTTTATTCCTTTAAAAAACTAAAAGCTGAACATTTGAATTGATAACTTTTTGATTTAGTCTTCCTCACTAGTTTTGCTACCAGACACCAAATTCTGGTTGTTCCAGAATTCCCTCATGCTAGGCTAAAAAGAAAAGTACCTAGAATGGCCTTTAGTTTCCCCACACTTATTAAACTAGCAATTGAATGGCTATGTGTGTTTGGATGAAGCTGGTGTGCTATATTTAGAATTACAAAGGCTTTTTGGCATCAGCCACCTATAAATGATTCAGATCAAAATTTCTATGGGGCCTTTCTGTAATAAATTGCCTCAAATAGTCAAAATAAACATTTCACTTATATTTAGAGATGTACAGATTGCTGAAAGTTGTTTTAAATTATAAATGATAAATGTTAAAGCATTTGAGAGGGAGGTAAATATATACTGTGGTGTTCTGTTCAATTATATGCTGTACACCTGTACTGTCTAAATGATAGTGTTTGTTTGCTGGAAACACTTAACTATAGACTAAAGGGCATGTCAGCTGCATTTAGTCCTTGGAACGTTAGAAGTTCCATCCTTTTAAGGTTCCATCATTGGAAGGAACCCAGCAGTGTGACTGGTGATGATTTGTCATGACCTATGTTGACCAGTTATATCCAGTAATGTATGGCCAAGAGTATGGTGACCAGCCAAGACTGGCTGAAACCAGGGATGACTGGCTGTGATCAGCCATGACTGGCAACTGACTCAGACAGTGGATATTGGCCATGATGAGCTGAGACTGACTGTGACCAGCTGTGACTGGTGGAGACCAGCAATTACTGGCCATAACAGACCAAGACTGGCTGTGACTGGCAGAGACCGGCCATAATAGGCAGTGATTGGCAGAGATAGACTGTGAGTGGCTGTAATCAACAAAGATCTGTCGTGACAGGCCAAGGCCAGTGTGAACAGCAGAGACTGGCCAAGATTGGCCAAAAGCAGTGGAGACCAGTCAAGACTGGCTGCAATGGGCTGAGATCAGCAGAGACCAGCTGTGACCAGTTGTAATAGGCCAAAACTAGTGGTGCCCAGTGCAGACCAGCTGACACCAGCTGCAACCAGCCAAGACCAACACACACCAGGCATGATTGGTTGTAACAGGCCAAGACCAGCAATGACTGGTGAAGAACAGCTGAAACAGGTTGTAATAGGCAAAGACTGGCCACAGTCAGCCACAATTGTCCAAGACCAGCCATGACTAGTTGTAACAGGCCGAGATGATGGTAATCAGCTGAGACTGGCCAATACTGGTAGAGACTAGCTGCAACTGGACATAACTGGCAGTGACCAGCCATGACCAACTGCAATCATTTGAGACTGGCCACAACTGGCCAACACCAGCAGAGACCAGCTGCAACCAGTAGTTTCTGGCTGTGACTGGCAGTGACAGCTCTCTGTCAGGCTTATACTAGAAGGGCCTTGGGGGATCCCTTTCTCTTGTAAATGGGGAAACAGGCCATGGGGAATCAACTCAGGTATCAGGTCTGTTGTCAGAGTAGGGAGGCATGGATGCCTCGGTGTCCAGAGTAAGCTGGGGTGAATTCAAATTCTCACTTCTTTGCTCCTCCCCCAGCCCCGAAACCTTGAGCTTCTGAGTCCCATGTGGATGCACGGTGATCCACAATTCAGAGAATGGGTAGGAGCAGCAGGACCAGAGAAGGAGAGGACAATGTGGGGGTATAGTAGAGAGTCCAGCTATTAGCCTGAGGGGGATGCTAAGTTAACCCACAAAGTAATGGAGAGAGAAGGAAAGATAAAAGCAAAACAAGCTCCACGCAGTCCAGAGTAAGGGTGCAGAATCCTTCCACATTTGTGAGGGAGGTAGGTTATGTGGGCTGCAGAGAACACCCTATTCAAGACTTGCCTACCTGCAAGGTGATCCTTAGCTCTCACACCCTCCCACCCATCTCTCCCTAGCCTTGTGAGATACTCAAGCCTTGTCATTCAGTTGTGTTTCTTGTGATTCAGGGACTGTAGCTGCAGGGTGCATGGGAATTGGGAAGTGGGTGGTATGTCCTGTTCTAACACCTGTTAAAGAAAAAATTATTCAAACACTTGTTAAAATGGATGAAAAGGCAGACTTTATTCTAAAGGGGCTAACTGCAGTTACGAGAGAGATCCAGCTCAACTCCGAATAAAAATGAAGGAGTTTGTTGCTAAGGAGCAGCGGGAGTTGGGGGGAGGGACAAATGGAAAATTACTAAAATGAAACATTAGAGGTAAGTATCCTGTTAAACAGACTTCACAGGATTTTTGCTGAAGGCAAGCAAAGGTGGTCAGATACCAGGAGTTGGTGATGAGGAATATAATCAAATAGCAATGGTGGGGGATTTTCACTAAACTTACTAATTAGCATTCTTGCTTCAACTAGACCAAACTGGCCAATGTCAGGGGACTAGTTAGAATGACGGTTCAGAGGAGCCTAACTCAATTTGGTCAAAAAAGAAGAGAGGTCTTTGTCATCTTTCATGAGACAGGAGTGATAAATACATGAAAAACAGTGAAAACATAGGTCATATTAAAGTCATTTATTTATATACCAATATTACAGTATTACAGTACTCTATGCTTGTTTATATATTTACTTTTACTAGTGAGCTTTATACTTTCACATGCTCTCATTTTGCTATTTACCATCCTTTTTGTTTCAACTTGAAGAATTCACATCAGCATTTCTTCTCAATCAGATCTGGTGGTGATGGCCTCCCTCAGATTTTGTTTGTCTGGGAAAGTCTTTATTTCTCTTTCATTTTTGGAAGACAGTTTTGATTGGTGTAGTTTTCTAGGTTAGTAGGTTTTTTTTTTTCTTTTTTTTTCCCCAACACTTTGAATATATTATTTCTATCCCTCTGGCCTCCCAAGTTTCTGCTGACAAATTTGCTGATAGTCTTACTGTAGCTCTCTTGTACATAGTGAGTCATTTTCTTCTCTTGCTGTTTTTTTGTTGTTGGTTTTTTGTTTTTGTTTGGTTTTTGTTTTCTTGAGACAGAGTCTCACTCTGTTGCCTAGGCTGGGGTGCAATGGTGTGATCTTGGCTCACTGCAACCTCTGCCACCCAGATTCAAGTGATTCTCCTGCCTCAGCCTCCTGAGTAGCTGGGATTACAGGCACCTGCCACCACACCCAGCTAATTTTTTTGTATTTTTAGTAGAGACAGGGTTTCACCATCTTGGACAGGCTGGTCTTGAACTCCTGACCTCGTGATCCACCCACCTCAGCCTCCCAAAGTGCTGGGATTACAGGCGTGAGCCACTGTGCCCAGCCCAATTTTCAAACCTCTTTGTAATTGACTTTGAAATTTTGATTACACTATGTCTCAGTGAGGACTTCTTTAGATTCTTCTTATTTGGGCCTTTGTGTTTCATGAACCTGGATGTCCATTTTTCTTCCAGGTTTGAGAAGTTATCAGCCACTATTTCTTTAAATAACCTTTATAAACCTTTATCTCTTCTCCTTCTGAGATTCCTTTGGTGTGTATGCTGGTTCACTTGATTGGGTCCTATTAGTCCCACAGGTGTTTTTCACTCTTTTTTATTCTCTTTTTTCTTTTTGCTTCTCTGGCTAGATAATTTCAAATGACTTGTTTTCAAATTTTCTGATTCTTCTGCTTGATCAAGACTGCTGTTGAAGTTCTATTGAATTATTCAATTTATCATATTCTTCATATCCAAAATTTCTCTTTGGTTCTTTTTATGATTTTTATCTCTTTCTTGATATTTTCATGTTATTTGTGTATCATTTTATCGATTTTGTCCAGCTGTCTTTTTTTTTTTTCCTTTTTGAGATAGAGTCTCACTCTTTCGCCCAGGCTGGAGTGCAGTGGTGCAATGTCGGCTCACTGCAAGCTCCACCTCCCAGGTTCACGCCATTCTCCTGCTTCAGCCTCCTGAGTAGCTGGGACTACAGGCACGTGCCACCACGCCTGGCTAATTTTTTTGCATTTTTAGTAGAGATGGGGTTTCACCATGTTAGCCAGGATGGTCTCAATCTCCTGACCTGGTGATTCCCCTGCCTCGGCCTCCCAAAGTGCTTGGATTACAGGCATGAGCCACCGCGCCTGGCCCAGTTGTCTTTTTTTTTTTTTTTTTAGCTCACTTAAGATGATTATTTTGCATTCTTTGTCAAGAAATTTATAGGTGTCCATTTATTTGGGGTAAGTTACTGGATATTTCTTTTGTTCCTTTTATGGTAGGATAGTTCTTTGATTCTTCATGTTCCTTGTACCTTTGCAATGGTGTCTGAGCATTTGAAGAAGTGCATAAAAGAAGTCTTTATGGATTGGTTTCAGCATGGAAATACCTTCAATAATCAGCCCTGCAAAAGATTCTGGGAGCCTCTCAAACATTTTTTGTGGTTGTGCCCACTTTATTTCTCTGCTTCCCTCTCGGGGTAAAGGTCTCAGGTTTGGCTTTATTATTTATTTTATTATTATTTTTTAAATTCCTCTCAATCACACACAGCCATGCAGGCCACGATATACCTTTCACCCCATTTCTCTAGGGCAGTGCACTGAAATGTCAGGATGCTGAAAGCAAGCTCCACTTCTCTCCCTTCCTCCTGAAGGAGAAGTCTCAGGGTTGTGTGCCTTTTCTCAATCTCACAAGGCCTCGCAGGCTGTTGAGAGCTATCTGCTCCTTTTCCCTAGTGGAGTTACTGGAATGCTGATAGTCGGGGTGCAAGTTATACTTCTCTCCCTTCTCCCTGAAAAAAAAAGTCTCAGGATTGTGTACTTTTGTTCAATTCTGCAGTGCCATGCTGGCTGCTGAAAGTCATCTGTCCCTTTGCCGTAGAGGAGTGGACTGCAATGCCAGGAGGTTGGATGAAGTTCCAGTTTTCTTCCTTCCTTGCGAAGGAGAACTCTTAGAGTTGTACACTTTTTCTCAGTCCTGAAATACTGTGTAAGCTTCTGAAAACCCCTGACTTTTTTCTTTATTCTTGGCTGCCTGCGGGCATTTTTACTATGCTGGTTGCCTCAGCAGTCTGAGTGAGGTGAGACAGTAGATCTTTCAGACAGTGCTATGAAAGTGTGGAAATGTCAGGTGCATGCTTCACTCATTCCTTATCCCAAGGGAGAAATGGATGAAATGGATCTCTTTCAATGCTGTGTTGTATGCCAGCTTAGGGGAGGGACTGACATAGACAAAGTGAAATTATTGTTCTTTCCCATTTCAAAGTGTTTTTTTTTTAATCAGTTTTGTGTTCATCTGAGGTGCTACAACATATTAACTGGACTTAAGAGTCTTCATTAAGTTATTTTGGCCCAAATATCATTATTCTATTGATGTTTCTGTAGGAGGACAAGGATTAGGACTTCCACAATCTTGCTGATGTCATTACTGCAGTGTTACAAATTTTATTGTTGACATAATTCTTCTAAGGATTAACCTAATCTGGTATAGCCAGATTCCTTAAATCTGGGACTTTTTCATAGTTTCTGAGTTGAGCAGATATTTCTTGAATGCCTACTATGTGCCAGGTATAGTAGGAATGAATTCAGAGAAATGTATCCTTTTACCTCACTTCAGAATCAGATGCACACAGCTCAGCAAAGTATTTATTTAAATGCAGGATACAATTAGTGTATTAAGGAAGATGACTTTTGTTGGCCATTTGCAATTTATGCCATTAAGAGATTAAATGTGTAAACCAGTAAAGCTGAAAGAAATAACTCAGGTTCTCTGGCTGAAAGTGATTTCTGTCGGGGCAGAAACAGTATTTCTTTGGTGTTTATGATAGGATAATCTAGGCAATGCTGCAATAACAAATAACCACCAACTCTTAGTTGCTTCTAACAACAATGGTTTATTTATATTGCATTCATGCAAAATGCACAATAGATCCAGGTGACTCTCTAGGGCATCTGTTGTCATGTGATGGCTTATTATTGGACTTCTATATTAACACTTGATTCCACAATCTTGTTAGCAGTGGAAAACAGAGTTGGAGAGTCAAGTGCCAGCAACTAAATACAATTATGCTGAAGTGACACATATCACATCTGCTTACATTTCATTGCCTAAAGAAAGGTACACGATAGTTTGCTGAGAATGATGCTTTCCAGCTTCATCCAGAAATGATGAGTTAATGGGTGCAGCACACCAACATGGCACATGTATACATATGTAACAGACTTGCACGTTGTGCACATGTACCCTAGAACTTAAAGTATAATAAATAAATATATATATATATATATATATATATATATTTTAAAAAAAGAAAGAAAGGTACATGGTGATGCCTAATGTCAAGGAGAATGAAAGCACCCTCTTTCCATGTGCTCAAAAGAGGGAAACCAGATACTGAAGAAGAGCAGTAAATACTACCACAATAATTACTTTAATGACAGTAAAAAAAAAAAATCATTGGTCAATAAAAATACCCCCGAATATTTTGCTCTGTTTCACCTTGAGAGATAACTAAGTACTGAGTCTTTGTACATATGGTGTTTTCCTAGCCATCAAATATGTTTCCAAGTCCTGCTGCATCCTGGAGGACAGGTATAACTGTTAAGCCATGTAGATTTTACTCATTCTCCCAGGCTCAAGTCAAATCTTGCTTTGTCTAATAAAATTTCTCAACCTTCCTGGTCGACACAGATCTCTAGTCTATCTTCATAACACTTATATCTTCAATATGTAAGGCATAAATAGTAGCACAGTAATACTGTCTGATTTAATCTTGGCAAGTGCCCATGAGGTAAACATGATCACCACCATTTTGCGGATGGGGAAATAGAGGCTCCATATGCTCTCTCACAGTTTCTAGACAGCAGACCTGAACTAAAAATCTTCTCTAAATAGCAAGCACAATTTGGTGCTTAGGTTGCTTTTAAAATGTTGGACACATTTAACTATTGATTCCCAAACCAGTTGGTATAAAACTTTTTAACAGAAATGGTCAGCTCCCCACCCAAATCCTCTCAGAATGCATCTGGTACCCACAAATGGTGTATTACTACAAGCCTCTGCAATTCTTCACCTGAGGTTTTCTCTCAGTCCTCTAGATGGCTTCTGTATTGACCTCCTTCCCTTTCCTGTCTCAAGTTCCTATTCTTCTATATGTGTATCCTAATATCACTGCCTAAATAAACCATCTGTACTCAAATCATAATGTCAAAATCTGCTACTGAGGAGACAACCCAGACTAAGGGTGAATTTGGCTTGAGGCAGATACAAAGGTATGGATGTTGTTCTAATGTTTCTCCCCCAAAAGTGCCAAGTTCAATACTGCTGTCATCACACAAGTTCAATATCATCTATAGATTCACTGAAATGGGAAACTGAATCATTTTGGCTTTGGGCATACGCTGTAAAATAGAACGTAACTCACAATTTCAGTCTTGTGTGAAATAAGAATTATGAGGTCTTTAGGATAAATCCTATCACATAAGTTTAATGGATATAGAAAACATCAACATGCAATGCAATTTTGTTTCTGTAGGGATTTTTGAGAGGCTGGAAAGTCTCTTCTCTGAGTCCAAATTCATATTCTGCATTACAAAAAGGCAGAAACATGTTTCACTTGTCCCATACCATCAGGGTTAGGTAAAGGGTTTCTTTATGAACACAGACACTTACCTGAACCAAAACAAAGATGTCTAGAAACTCTGACATTGGTGAATAAAACATGCCCTTAGTTCTAAAAACAACTCTTAAGCTTCAAAGGAGATCGTGATTCAGAAACAGAATGATATAAAATGTGTTCTAGTTTCTGGCCATAAGTGAAAAATTAAAAGCAACACTATGTATTTCCCACAGCAACTGGAAACTCTGATCCAGAATCCTTTCTTTTCCATGATCCTTTCTTTTCCTTGAATAAACATCCACACCTCCCAAAAAAGAAGAATAAATATAAAATTTCAGAAAGGACAAAGCAACTTCTCTCACCCTCAAAGTTCATATCAAACAAAATATTAAAATGCAAGATTTGAGCTTCTGGGTGTGAATTTTGTTAAAAGTGCAGGAAATTAACAGTGCAAGATAAAGAGTGCACTTTCTTTAGCAGTGCTTTCAATATGGAAAGGCAAGCATATGTGCACACACACATACAAACACACACACCCCTACATATTTGGCATGGCTTTTTGGCTTTAACAACTCAAATAGGGAAAAATGGGAAAATTGATATTACAGAGATGGGTGATTTCTCCTTGCCAAAAAGCCTTTCTTAAAAAGGTTTTAAATCCATCGTAAACTTCAGGCCCTGATTCAAGCCAGAAAGTCTGTAAGAGAGTCTGCTTTTATTCATTCCCTTTTTACCATGTTGAATTTTCATTATAATTGCACATCTACTCAGGACCCAAAACTCCCCATTGCAACCAACAGTAATGTATTGGTTAAAGTCAGTCTGCTATCTTAGCCAAATCAATTTAACAAACATTTACTGAGTGTGTACTATATGTAGGACACTGTGCAATGTGGTGTGCAAAACTTAAAGAAGATAGGATTTTCCTCAACCTATAGTTCTCACTGTCTAACATTAGTTGCTGAGAAGACTCATCTCCAGATGCCTGGTAGGGCTAGTCAGTGCTTTAGATCAGAGTTCAGAACAAGAGAAGGGCACACTCTTCCAGCTTCAGTCATAAAGAGCTTTTGGAAAAAGATGAGAATTGCACTGCGCTTCCATCAATGCGTCTGGCCCTTGTTAGGGAGAGGGAAAGGAAATGGACAGCCTATTATCAGGAAAGTATGGAAAAAGGCACTGAGATGGTAAACTAAAAGTTGGCCCGGGGAGTAGAAGAGATTTGTGATGATTTTTTTTTTAATCTTCCTCTTCCCCTTCCATAATCAAAATCTCTGGAGATGTAGAGGGATTTCAGGAATTTGTTTTCATACCATTAATATCAATTCAAAATAAATTTGGTGAACCTTTTCCATACACTATTATGTCTTTGTTCTTACTGATATCTCTTTCCAGAAAGCCTTTTTCATTCCATGTTTTCCACCCAAGATAGGTAGATGAGTCCTCTACTATTCTTGTGTGGTGGAAGATATGGGGAGATATCAGAGCTGGGCTATAAAGGAATGCTGGAGGCTCTAGAAAATGGCAGACTTAGAGGGAAGAATCACAGGTTTGCACTTGGAGTTTTGATCATTTGAGTTGACATTGCTATGCAAGTATAAACTAGGGGGTAAACCAACAACAAAATAAAATTTTCTAGGTCCAGAATACGATGTAGCATCTATATTACATGCGTTATATGGCTCCACATCAAAATGATTTTAAAAAAAACCCTGCTACTTCCTTAATGCCTGGAACATTGCAGGCATTCGATATATTTTTTAATTGAAGAATGAATTCAAAATCAAGGACATGCTGTTTTTGAAGTCATTGCTGTATCTAGCATTATGCTGGTCTGCAATAGACAGGCCATTTGAATAATGTCTTACATTTAATTTCCACAAATGCTTTTGGATACCTCTGTGTATCAGACAATATTGGGAGGTTTAGAGACCTAGAGATGACTAGGTAATTGGCCTCCCTTCAAGGACCCAACAATCCAATGGAGGAGAAAGACAGGTATAGTGATATAAGGTATAATGAGATTTCTGCTAAACAGAACTCAAAGAAAGTACTCTGAGTACTGAGGGAGGGTGATTTCTTGTTGGGAAAAATAAAGAACTGAGTAGTAGTCTTTTCATGTCAGTGTGAATTTGAGATGCATAGAAACTAGTGTTTCTCTATCCTTGGTAGAGTCTAACCTTTTAGGCCCCTTGTGACTCAGAGAGAGCCTATGCTTTCTACTTCTGCAGATACTAGTATGAATTTGTAGAGAAATACAAGTAGGACTCTTTGTTTGATCTAATTTTGGGAAAGAGAAGGGCTATGACACTCCCAATTGTGGCTGTGGAAAATAGAAGCAAGCAAGAGGAAGCCACTCTCTGATCAAAATCCCAATAGGAGTGTGGCACTGAATATGGGGCCTGTGGCTGGTTGTGGGAGAGATGGCAAAAATAAAGAGAAGTACTACAGTGATTAATAGAAAAAAGGAGTTAAAGGAGATAAGATATTCCTGAGATTAATTTAGCTTGAACCATTTTCCTATACTATTTATTATTTGGCTTCAGTTCCATCACCAAACTTGAGCCTATGAGGAGAAGTGTGCCAACTGCAGGGTATCTCACCTACAGAATGAGGGGGTAGATAAGCTGATCTCTTTAATGTATTCAGTCTCCAATATATTATGGTCCTGTGACATAACTTTTGAGTTTTCCAGAGCCTACCAGGAGAGTAAGAAATAATGCTGACTGGCCTTTGGATTGTAAAGAAAAGACAAAGCAATAACCTGGTCACCTAGCAACCTTGAGAGGGCCATGGGAAAGAAAGGGGTAATTAGGAGTTACAAAACATCTGCAAAATCTTAGTTCATGTCTTCAGAGCAGCCTAAGCCCTGGAGACCAATAGTGCAGACAGGAAATCAATTTTAAATACCTTTGCACATCAACTCTTGAAAGTTCACTATCAACTTCTGAAAATGATTCTCTACAAAAGGCAGCTAAATCTTGGGCAACCTTCACGTAGCTTGGTGACACAGAGGCTGAAGGATCCTCAAGGGACCCATGTACGTCAAAGCATAGGAGCTATAGAAGATTTTTACAGTGTGGCATTGTGGCTCTATGAGGGGTCCCTAACCCTCAATTTGCATACAATAACCACTTCAGCTACATCCTTTGTGAGAGGTACTCATTTGCTGGAGAACTATTAAGTCAGCTTGGTGAAAGTTAAGATCAGATCTGTAGGGAAGAAAGTTGAAAAGGCAATGGAGAATAAGGAAAAGGTTGAATTAGTAAGATGGTTCATATTAGATGCCTCCCTCATTCCTCCAGGAATACAGATTTTTATCCCAAGCAGCTGGTAGACTGCAGCAGAGAGGCACAGGAGGATATTCCTCTGTGCTATAGATCTGACACTGGGCACACACTCTTGTCACTAGGTCCTGATATCCCCATCAGGCTAAGTTTGGCCACTAGATGTTAAACAGGTTTTGTGTATTTGCATGTCTATATCCATGTAGGTGTGAGCTGTTGTGCTTGGGAGAGCACGTGTGAATGTGTGTGAAACAAAATAGGAAAATAATTGACGCTTAAGGAGTCTCCCTGAGATTAATTTGGCTTTAAATCTTCCAAATCCTGAAGCCAAACTTCATGCTAAAGTGTCCCATATGCATTCTAAGCTTATTGCTTAGCAGATTGTCTCAGAGTAATATATACATATTTATTATATATAATTAATCATATATCGATGTATGTTATACATTGCATATAAATCATATATCGATGTATGTTATACGTTGCATATAAATCATATATCGATGTATGTTATACGTTGCATATAAATCATATATCGATGTATGTTATACGTTGCATATAAATCATATATCGATGTATGTTATACGTTGCATATAAATCATATATCGATGTATGTTATACGTTGCATATAAATCATATATCGATGTATGTTATACGTTGCATATAAATCATATATCGATGTATGTTATACGTTGCATATAAATCATATATCGATGTATGTTATACGTTGCATATAAATCATATATCGATGTATGTTATACGTTGCATATAAATCATATATCGATGTATGTTATACGTTGCATATAAATCATATATCGATGTATGTTATACGTTGCATATAAATCATATATCGATGTATGTTATACGTTGCATATAAATCATATATCGATGTATGTTATACGTTGCATATAAATCATATATTATATAATATATAATATAATATATAATGTATATTATAATATATATTATATATCATATATATTATATATGATATATATTATATTATATATATTTTCATATAATATATTAATATATACTAATATATTAATATAAATAATATATACTAATATATTAATATAAATAATATATACTAATATATTAATATAAATAATATATACTAATATATTAATATAAATAATATATACTAATATATTAATATAAATAATATATACTAATATATTAATATAAATAATATGTTAATATATACTAATATATTAATATAAATAATATGTTAATATATACTAATATATTAATATAAATAATATGTTAATATATACTAATATATTAATATAAATAATATGTTAATATATACTAATATATTAATATAAATAATATATTAATATATACTAATATATTTTTATATATTATATAATATATTATATATTTATAATATATAATATATTATAATATATAAAAATATATATATATTATATATTATATAAAAATATATATTTTTATATATATATGTATGTATGTATAACCTAATACTTGGCTGTTATCAGCTAAAGAACCACTGACTGTTGCCATGGTACATGTATCATCCAGTTGCCTGGCATCATATATATTCCAAATATTCACATTTGATTGAAAACACAGAAAAAGCTGTCTCATACTTCAGAAAGAAGGGTGGGAAAGCTGACTTTCTAGTCATCTTCTCCTCAAATCTATGTGTTTCTGCATCCCAAAATACTTACTGGTATCGTTCCCTGCAATAGCAAAGGAGACTATATGGCAGAGTGTGCTTGTTAAGATTAAATGGCATGGAAATAAGGTTTGCTTACATACCAGTTTATGTCTACTGTCTTGACTTGATTAATAGTGCCCCCTTTCACTCCCCAAATTATCAGAGTTTGAACTATGCATAATACGGTTACCTGAGATAAAAGGATTTGTTGAATCAACTGTTTTGGGGTTGTTCTAACTTAATTAATGTTTGGATTTCCGTCTGTGTATCCACTACTAGACATTTTCCTTTTTTATATATATTATACATTAAGTTCTGGGATACATGTGCAGAATGTGCAGGCTTGTTACATAGGCATACATGTGCCATGTTGCTTTGCTGCACCCATCAACCCATCATCTACATTAGGTATTTCTCCTAATGCTATCCCTCCCCTTGCCCCCCTCATGCTCCCACAGACCGCGGTGTGTGATGTTCCCCTCCCTGTGTCCATGTGTTCTCATTGTTGAACTCCCACTTATGAGTGAGAACATGCAGTGTTTGGTTTTCTGTTCCTGTGTTAGTTTACTGAGAATGATGGTTTCCAGCTTCATCCATGTCCCTGCAAAGGACATGAACTCATCTTTTTGATGGCTGCATAGTATTCCACGGTGTATATGTGCCACATTTTCTTTATCCAGACTATCACTGATGAGCATTTGGGTTGGTTCCAAGTCTTTGATATTGTGAATAGTGCTGCAAAAATCATACTCGTGCATGTGTCTTTATAGTAGAATGATTTATAATCCTTTAGGCATATACCCAGTAATGGGATTGCTGGGTCAAATAATATTTCTAGTTCCAGATCCTTGAGGAATCGCCACACTGTCTTCCACAATGGCTAAACTAATTTACACTCCACCAACAGTGTAAAAGTGTTCCTATTTCTCCACATCCTCTCCAGCATCTGTTGTTTCCTGACTTTTTAGTGATTGCCATTCTAACTGGCATGAGAGGGTATCTCATTGTGGTTTTGATTTGAATTTCTCTAATGACCAGTGATGACGAGCTTTTTTACATATGTTTGTTGGCCGCATAAATATCTTCTTTTGAAAAGTGTCCGTTCATATCCCTCACCCACTTTTTGATGGGGTTGGTTTTTTCTTGTAAATCTGTGTAAGTTCTTTGTAGATTCTAGATATTAGCCCTTTGTCAGATGGATAGATTGCAAAAATTTTCTCCTATTCTGTGGGTTGCCTGTACACTCTGTTGATAGTTTCTTTTGCTGTGCAGAAGCTCTTTAGTTTAATTAGATCCCATTTGTCAATTTTGGCTTTTGTTGCCATTGCTTTTGGTGTTTTAGTCATGAAATCTTTCCCCATGCCTATGTCCTGAATAGTATTGCCTAGGTTTTCTTCTAGGGTTTTTGTGGTTTTAGGTCTTATGTTTATGTTTTCAATCCATCTTGAGTTAATTTTTGTGTAAGGAAGGGGTCCAGTTTCAGTTTTCTGCATATGGCTAGCCAGTTTTCCCAACACCATTTATTAAATAGGGAATCCTTTCCCCATTGCTTGTTTTTGTCAGGTTTGTTGAAGATCAGATGGTTGTAGATGTGTAGCATTATTTCTGAGGCCTCTGTTCTGTTCCATTGGTCTATATATCCGTTTTGGTACCAGTACCATGCTGTTTTGGTTACTGCAGCCTTTTAGTATAGTTTGAAGTCAGATAGCATGATGCCTCCAGCTTTGTTCTTTTTGCTTAGGATTGTCTTGGCTATATGGGCTCTTTTTTGGTTCCATATGAAATTTAAAGTAGTTTTTTCTAATTGTGTGAAGAAAGTCAGTGGTAGCTTGATGGGGATAGCATTGAATCTATAAATTACTTTGGGCAGTACGGCCATTTTCACTATATTAATTCTTCCTATTCATGAGCATGGAATGTTTTTTCCATTTGTTTATGTCCTCTCTTATTTCCCTGAGAAGTGATTTGTAATTTTTCTTAAAGAGGTCCTTCACATTTCTTGTAAGTTTTATTCCTAGATATTTTATTCTCTTGGTAGCAATTGTGAATGGGAGTTCACTCATGATTTGGCTCCCTATTATAGGTATATAAAAATGCTTGTGATTTTTGCACATTGATTTTGTATCCTGATACTTTGCTGAAGTTGCTTATCAGCTTAAGGAGTTTTTGGGCTGAGACTCTGGGGTTTTCTAAACATGCAATCATGTCATCTGCAAACAGAGACAGTTTTACTTCCTCTCTTCCTATTTGAATATCCTTTTTTCTTTCTCTTGCCTTATTGCCCTGGTCAGAACTTCCAATATTATGTTGAAGAGGAGTGGTGACAGAGGGCATCCTTGTTTTGTGCCAGTTTTCAAAGGGAATGCTTCCAGATTTTGCCCATTCAGTATGATATTGGCTGTGGGTTTGTCATAAGTAGCTCTTATTATTTTGAGATATGTTCCATCAATACCTAGTTTACTGAGAGTTTTTAGCATGAAGGGTGTTGAATTTTACAGAAGGCCTTTTCTGCATCTATTGAGATAATCATGTGGTTTTTGTCATTGGTTCTGTTTATGTGATGGATTATGTTTATTGATTTGTGTATTTTGAACCAGCCTTGCATCCCAGGGATGAAGCCAACTTGATCGTGGTGGATAAGCTTTTTGATGTGCTGCTGGATTGGGTTTGCCAGTATTTGATTGAGGATTTTCGCATCGATGTTCATTAGGGATATTGGCCTGTAATTTTCTTTTTTTGTTGTGTCTCTGTCAGGTTTTTCATATCAGGATGATGCTGGCCTCATAACATGAGTTAGGGAGGAGTCCCTCTATTTCTATTGTTGGAATAGTTTCAGAAAGAATGGTACCAGCTCCTCTTTGTACCTCAGGTAGAATTCAGCTGTGAATCCATCTGGTCCTGGGCTTTTTTTTTGTTGATAGACTATTAATTACTGCCTCAACTGCAGAACTTGTCATTGGTCTATTCAGGGATTCGACTGCTCCTTGGTTTAGTCTTGAGAGGGTGTATGTGTCCAGGAATTTATCAATTTCTTCTAGATTTTCTAGTTTATTTGCATAGAGGTGTTTATAGTATTCTCTGATGGTAGTTTGTATTTCTGTGGGATCAAATGCTGATATCCCCTTTATCATTTTTTATTGTGTCTATTTGATTCTTCTCTCTTTTCTTATTAGTCTGGCTAGAGATCTATTTTGTTGATCTTTTCAAAAAACCAGCTCCTGGATTCATTGATTTTTTGAAGGTTTTTTTTTGTGTCTCTGTCTCCTTCAGTTATGTTCTGATCTTAGTTATTTCTTGCCTTCTGCTCGTTTTCAAATTTGTTTGCTCTTGCTTCTCTAGTTCTTTTAATTGTGATGTTAGGGTGTCAATTTTAGATCTTTCCTGCTTTCTCCTGTGGGCATTTAGTGCTATAAATTTCCCTGTAAACACTGCTTTAGCTGTGTCCCAGAGATTCTGGCATGTTGTGTCTTTGTTCTCTTTGGTTGCAAAGAACTTATTTATTTCTGCTTTAATTTTGTTATTTACCCAGTAGTCATTCAGGAGCAGGTTGTTCAGTTTCCATGTAGTTGTGCAGTTTTGAGTGAGTTTCTTGATCCTGAGTTCTAATTTGATTGCACTGTGGTGTGACAGACTGTTGTGATTTCTGTTCTTTTGCATTCATTTGCTGAGGAGTGTTTTACTTCCAATTATGTGGTCAATTTTAAAATAAGTGCAATGTGGTGCTGAGAAGAATGTATATTCTGTTGATTTGGGGTGGGGAGTTATGTAGATGTCTCTTTTGTCCACTTGGCCCAGAGCTGAGTTCAAGTCCTGGATATACTTGTTAATTTTCTGTCTGATTGATCTAGTATTGACAGTGGGGTGTTAAAGTCTCCCACTACTATTGTGTGGGAGTCTAAGTCTCTTTGTAGGTCACTAAGGACTTGCTTTATGAATCTGGGTGCTCCTGTATTGGGTGCATATATATTTAGGGTAGTTAGCTCTTCTTGTTGTATTGATCCCTTTACCATTATGTAATGCCCTTCTTTATCTTTTTTGATCTTTGTTGGTTTAAAGTCCGTTTTATCAGAGACTAGGATTGTAACCCCTGCTTTTTTTTGCTTTCCATTTGCTTGGTAAATCTTCCGCCATCCCTTTATTTTGAGCCTATGTGTGTCTTTGCATGTGAGATGGGTCTCCTGAATACTGCACACCGATGGGTCTTGACTCTTTATCTGATTTGCCAGTCTGTGTCTTTTAATTGGGGCATTTAGCCCCGTTTACATTTAAGGGTAATATTGTTACGTGTGAATTTGATCCTGTCATTATGATGCTAGCTGGTTATTTTGCCCATTAGTTGATGCAGTTTATTCATAGTGTCGGTGGTCTTTACAATTTGGTATGTTGTTGCAGTGCCTGGTACTGGTTTTTCCTTTCCATATTTAGTGCTTCCTTCAGGAGCTCTTGTAAGGCAGGCCTGGTGGTGACAAAATCTCTCAGCATTTGCTTGTCTGTAAAAGATTTTATTTCTCCTTTGATTATGAAGCTTAGTTTGGCTGGATATGAAATTCTGGGTTGAAAATTCTTTTCTTTAAGAATGTTGAATATTGGCACCCACTCTCTTCTGGCTTGTAGGGTTTCTGCAAAGGTCTGCTGTTAGTCTGATGGGCTTCCCTTTGTGGGTAACCCAACCTTTCTCTCTCACTGCCTTTAACATTTCTTCCTTCATTTCAACCTTGGTGGATCTGTCGATTATGTGTCCTTGAGTTGCTCTTCTCGAGGAGTGTCTTTGTGATGTTCTCTGTATTTCCTGAGTTTGAATGTTGGCCTGTTTTGCTAGGTTGGGGAAGTTCTCCTGGATAATATCCTGAAGAGTGTTTTCTAACTTGGTTCCATTCTCCAAGTCACTTTCATGTATACCAATCAAACATAGGTTTGATATTTTCACATAGTCCCATATTTCTTAGAGGCTTTGTTTCTTTTCATTCTTTTTACTCTAATCTTGTCTGCATGTTGTATTTCATTAAGTTTATCTTCAATCTCTGATATTTTTTCTTCTGCTTGATCAATTTGGCTATTGATACTTGTGTATGCTTCACTCAGTTCTCGTGCTGTGTTTTTCAGCTTCATCAGGTCATTTATGTTCTTCTCTAAACTGGTTATTCTAGTTAGCAATTCCTCTAACCTTTTTTCAAGGTTCTTAGCTTTTTTGCATTGGGTTAGAACATGCTCCTGTAGCTTGAGGGAGTTTATTATTACCCACCATCTGAAGCCTACTTGTGTCAAATCATCAAACTCAATCTCTCTCCAGTTTTGTTCCCTTGCTAGTGAGGAGTTGTGATTCTTTGGAAGAGAAAAGGCATTCTTGTTTTTGGATTTTTCAGCCTTTTTGTGCTGGGTTTTCCTCACCTTCGTGGATGTATCTACTTTTGGTCTTTGATGTTGATGACCTTCAGATGGGGCTTTTGTGTGAACGTCCTTTTTGTTGATGTTGATGCTATTCCTTTCTGTTTGTTAGTTTTCCTTCTAACAGTCAAGTCCCTCTGCTGCAGGTCTGCTGGACTTTGCTGGAGGTCCACTACAGACCCTGTTTTCCTGGGTAGCTCCAGCAGAGGCTGCAGAACTGAAAAGATTGCTGCCTGTTCCTGCCCCTGGAAGCTTCATCCCAGAGGGGCACCCGCCAGATGCCAGCTGGAGCTCTCCTGTATGAGGTATCTGTTGACCCCTGCTGGGAGGTGTCTCCCAGTCGGGAGGCACAGGGGTCAGCGACCCACTTGAGGAGGCAGTCTGTCCCTTGGCAGAGCTTGAGCGCTGTGATGGGAGATTCGCTGGTCTCCTCAGAGCCAGCAGGCAGGAACATTGAAGTCTGCTGACTTCAATGTGGGCTGTGCCCACAGCCACCCCTTCCCCCAGGTGCCCTGTCCCAGGGAGACTGGAGTTTTATCTATAAGCCCCTGACTGGGGCTGCTGCCTTTCTTTCAGAGATGCCCTGCCCAGAGAGGAGGAATCTAGAGAGGCAGTCTGGCTACAGCAGCTTTGCTGAGCTGTTGTGGGCTCTGCCCAGTTCGAACTTCCCAGTGGCTCTGTTTACACTGTGAGGGGAAAACTGCCTACTCAAGCCTCAGTAATGGCAGACGCCCCTCCCCCCACCAAGCTCGAGCATTCCAGGTTGACCTCAGACTGCTCTGCTAGCAGTGACAATTTCAAGCCAGTGGATCTTAGCTTGCTGGGCTCCATGGGGGGTGGGATCTGCTGAGCAAGACCACTTCACTTGACTCCCTGGCTTTAGCCCCCTTTCCAGGGAAGTGAATGGTTGTGTCTTGCTGGCATTCCAGGTGCCACTGGGGTACGGGGAAAAAAAAAAAAAAAAACTCCTGCAGCTAGCTCGTGTCTGACCAAATGGCCACCCAGTTTTGTGCTTCAAACCCAGGGGCCTTGTGGTATAGGCACCTGAGGGAACCTCCTGGTCTGTGGGTTGCGAAGACCAGGGGAAAAGTGTAGAATCTGGGCCAGATAGCACTGTCCCTCACTGCATGGTCCCTCATGGCATGGTCCTTCACTGCTTCCCTTGGCTAGGGGAGGGAATTCCCCACCCCCTTGTACTTCCTAGGTGAGGTGACACCCCTCCCTGCTTCTGCTCACCCTCCGTGGGCTGCACCCACTGTCTAACCAGTCCCAGTGAGATGAACCGGGTACCTTAGTTGGAAATGCAGAAATCACCTGCCTTCTGCATTGGTCTCACTGGGAGCTGCAGACCAGAGCTGTTCCTGTTCGGCCATCTTGCCCCTCAACCATGACTAGACATTTTCAAGCCCAGTTGCTTCAAATGAAAGTGAGTGATAATTTTTCAGTATACAAAACTGCATTAAATGTCTTCAGGACACCTCTACAATTTGGAACCTCTCCTGTAGTAGAATATTATTTGCAGCATCCAATTAAGCATGCTTTGCACATGGCCCTGGAAGCCAGGGTGTGTCCCAAAATGACATCATCCTGCACCCTTACAGTACATTGACAACCTTTAGCCATTACACTTGAAAATTGAAATCAATTTCCCTTTCCAAACTGTGCCTTCAGGGCCAGGTGTTTGTAAGGTTATTTTGGAAGTAAAAGTGTCTCCACAGTTCAATGGAGCTGATGAACTAGGATGTAGAAAACCATCCCACTGACAAGCCTATGCACTTGAGGCTGAAATGAGAGAGTTTCTGTTAGTGAATGGGTTATAGGCTGGCATTCAGATCTACTTATAAGGCCGTCCTGTGCATGCTGGAGGCAACATCCACACATTTTCCTCTTAAGTACCTTGCACCCCTCAGGGCATGGGTGAAATACAGTTGCTTTAATTACCTTGATGGCTTCAGAATATTACTCTTAAATGACTAGCAGTTAACTCCTGGGTACATAAAAGATCCTCTCAAGCATTTCCTGGAGACACTAAGCTGCTCTGGAAATAGGAAGCAGAAAGATCAAAGAGGACTCAGGTGTCTGAAATGGAGGAAAAAAACAATTAGAGCAAGGGTTCTTTAACATCAGTGTGATAAATCTGCAGATTGCGAGGCTCAATGTTTAGGAGATTTCAGTTCCATAAGTTTGAGATGGAACATAGGAATCTGCATTTTAACAATAATTGTAGGTGATCCTGATGCAGTGGTTTCATGACCACTCTTTGAGAAGTAAATGGAAAAAGAGTTTTAATTCAGAAAATTCAGGAAAAAAAATGGAAATTAAACTATCTGAAAAGGCAGACATTATTTACCCTGCTGAAGAATAATAATAAGTAGCCTAGGCAATGGTGGTCAAAACTTGGCAAAAAAAAAAAAAAAAAAAAAAAAAACCAAAGAAGTTGGCAAAAGTTGCATATATTACACTAAATATATCATTAAATATATAAAAAGCCCTACTTTTGTAGAGATTAGTTCCCTATCCTAATATCACCACCTTCAGTGCATTAGTAAAAGCAACAATCAGAAAGACGAACTTCAGTGTACAATGTGTGATTGTCTGCACACATAGTGGACAATCAATAATGGACAGATTCACGGGTAGATGGACAGTAGCATGAGATTTTTACATGGGGGAGCCTCAGGAGAGAGTTGGAGGCAGGGAGAGGATATGATTCATAGTCTATAACCACAAAACTCTCTAGTATCTTTGGATGGGACCACAGGCAAAGAATAAGAAGTGCACTGGTGGTACACCTCCCCATTATGCTCGCTCCTAAAAGCAGTTATTTTTGGCAATTACACTAAGTCCTGCACATTTTCTGACCCTCCCTCAAATCCTTTGTTTTCTGTCCCTTACCTATTTATTACACACGCAGTGCAAGTGGGCCGGGTGGATTTCATCAAACTCAGGTCTTTGCCTCACATACAAGGCTAAATTGGTATACTAGCTACCCAGAAAAGAAGTTGCAGTACATTCCATAGAAAAGAAGATACTCTGACTGAGGATAGATTCTGGGAAAATAAGCCCTTTCCACAGACCCCTGGAACTCTGAAATATGAAGAAAATGGAGTCAATAAACCTAGGAACGCAGGGGTCAGTGAGGCAAAACCAATGAGCACGTGAGATGAAATAAAAAAGACCTGGATCTGAATCCAGGCACTACCATGGGGAAACTGTCAGACCTTAGGAAGGGAATGCAATTCCTCTGAGCCTCAGTTTTCAGATCTGTACGTTGCGAATGACAATAATTTTGTCTTCTACAGGATTATTCTGAGGATTAAATGAGGTTAATGTAAAGAATATAACACAATGCTTGGCACACAGTGAGTTCTCTACACAATAAATCATCTCTATACCTATATGCCACAAGCCATAGCATATGAGGAGATCGTGTCCGTAAGAAAAAAGAGAAGCAGACTTACCTCTGTCCCGTCCACGTTGCCTTGGTGATAGAGGAAGGTGGGCTGGGAATTGTGTACTGATGCTAAGTATATATAAATACCTCAGGTAGTGTTTTTATTATTATTGCCAGCTGCTGGAGGCTTTTATTTCTATCGCCTTCTCTTCTTCCCAGGTGCTGCCTCTTTATTCTTCTATCTCTGATGGTAAGACTGAGCCTCTTGGAAAGTGGCATCATTTTCTCTGTATTCTGTATCCAGATCGACTTTGGCCAAAATGCAAAAGCTAACTAACATCAGGCAAAAATCTAGCTAATGCCAGGTAGTAACTGGAATAACTAGCAAGTGAGAGGGTTATAACAAAGTTGACTTTCACACACACACTTTTTCAAACATGCTGGTTCACGAATGTCACTGGTATTGACTGTCTGTATTCCACACTCTCAACAAATCAAAACATGTTTTGTAGAGCCTGTCAGGAGGATTACTCTGGTATTTTCTGGTTCTCATGAATAACTGTTGGGGACTTTATACACTTTCAGAACTAGTAGTGATGTCACCTTACATTTGTATAAGGATAGTGGTTTGCAGATCATTTTCATGTAGACATTCCTCATGATAACTTTGTGGTAGAGGCTGTGTGGGTGTTGTTATCCTTCCCCTCATTTTACACTTGAGGAAACCGAGGCAAGGAAGGAGCATGAGTGTTTATTGTACAACTAATATCTGCCAGACATTTTACATGAATTATCCCACAGAAATTCCTATCATCACTGGCAGGCAGGTGTTATTCTTTCTCCATTACAGATGTGAAAACAATACTGAGAGGGGAAGTGCCATGGTCAAAGTCACATAGCTAATAAGGAGCACTTCAGGGGTTTTAACACAGCACCATTTCATTTCAAAACACATACTCATCTCAGCACTACACAGTACCTCCCAGGTGGGTATACTTAGGGGCAGAACCAGTGTTCTTTCCCCAAGACCAGTGTTTCTCAAACATCAATGTACATGTGAATCACCTGTGGATTTTGTAAAAGTGCAGATTCTGATTCACTAGGTGCAGAGTGGAGCCTGAGCTTCTACATTTCTAATGGGCTCCCTAATGATGCCTATGTGGTTGGTAGCTAGTCTGTGGACCAAACATTGAATAGCAAGGTCCTAAGTCACAGCAGCAGCTCTCAGACAAAAGAGAGGCTTACACAGGCACAACATACTCTTTCCTAGTTTTGGACAAAAAGGCAAATAGAAAGTTATAGTCTTGTTTAAAATAGGGTCATTTTCTATGTTTGTATGCACATATGGTCAGCTAGGAATCTCTGGATTTAAATTCCTGATCTGTGCAATGGGCGCATTTTCAGCATTTTCCTAATTTGCCTCATCACAAGAACCTGCTTGTTGAAAATGCAGATTAGTGTTCACACTCTAGAGAAACTGAATGGGTATCTTTGGTGATGGGTTCTAGAAGGCTGCATTTCAATACTCTCCCCACTGCTGTGGCAAACCCCTATCAACTCCAATGTGGATGGCACCAGGTTCAAGAGGCCAAAGAAGAGACCCAGATCCAGCAAATGAGACCTAGGGTTTTAGTGGGGGCTTACATACAGGGAAAAGAGACCAGTTGTGGAGGTCTGGGCAGGATAACCACACGGCCCGGTGATGGCAGGCTGGGCAGAACTGCAACCGCTTGAAAAGAAAACATGTAGTTTATATAGCATTTTTACTTAGTACCTTCTCCCTAACAACCTCCACCTGGCAAGCTTCATTCAACCCAAAATTCAGGGCTTTGATCCCCTGTACAGCCAGTTTTCCACTGGATAGGCCATAGATTTAGATGTTCCTCATAGACAGGGAATGCTTCTCTGGGTTGGCTACTCCCAGGTTCCCTAGCTCAGAACACACTCTCAGGTGAGTCTGCCGTATAGTGTCATTCTCAGGGTATGCTGAAGTTATTGCTATCAGCTGCATTTACCCTACACCCATGCAATTCTGATGCCCACTAAAGCATTGGTTAAGAAGGGAAGCAGCAAAGATTTCTGTAAAGGGCCAGATAGTAAATATTTTACAAAATTATATTTACAAAAACAGGGCCGGATTTGGCATGCAGGTCTCAGTTTGCCAAACCTTGGATTAAGAGATCTTATGTTTGGGGAAGGCAAAGGAGTGAGTAGGTACCACAGACAAGTGAAACATCACAGTTCCCTCTCTTACCCCATAAAGTATCTGAAGTAACTAAGAAGCTTGGAGGGTCGGAGAGGAGATTTTTACATGAGGTTGTGTATAGAAGAGTGATAGAGACATAAATAAAAGACCCAGAGAAAGACAATGATTTGAAGAAATGAGAGACAGATGAGGTTAACACACCAAGGAAAGAGACAGACCCCAATAAAGAGAAACGCAGAGGCCAGAATAGTGGCACATGCTTGTAATCTGAGAACTTTGGGAGGCCAAGGCAGGCAGATGGCTTCAGCCCAAGAGTTCAATACCAGCCTGGGCAACATGGAAAAACCCTATCTCTACAAAAAATACAAAAATTAGCTGAGTGTAGTGGCACAAAATTGTGGTCCCAGGTACTCAGGAGGCTGAGGTGGGAGGATCACTTGAGACCAGGAGGTCGAGGTTGCAGTGAGCCAAGATTGCACCACTGCACTCCAGCTTGGGCAACAGAGCAAGACCCTGTCTCAAAAATAAATAAAAAAATACAGAGACAAGCAGGCACGCACGGAGACAAGACACTGAAAGAGGTAATCTGAAGTCACCAAATGCAGGGTAACAGAATCAACGACAAGAATATTAAACAAGGCAGAATTAAAGCTCAAAAAAGGGAGAGAGCAAAAAGGCAAGGGGAAAAAGCAAACACCTTATGAATAAATAAACCCTGAGCTCAGCTTGTTAAAAAAGGCAAGGTGCTGTCAGACAAGGCACTCTTCCTTCATTCTCCTGTGCAGAACATGGGTAAATTCAAAGCACCACTAGTGAGACGGAAAATGCATGAGACATAAAGCTGATATTTTCTGTCTGCTTTTAACTCTTGGCTCCTTCTGATAAACACAAAGCATAACTTTTCCCTTTGTTGTGATAAATCCTCTCAGGGGGTCTTGCCACCTGACCATTTGAGACTCACTGATATAAGGAAGCTAGTGTGTGTAATACTGATTTCCATCAGGCAAGAAAAGCTTATCAATCTTTACTTTCATCATAATATGGAATTTTTTTCTAAAGTATACATACCCCTTGCCCTATTTTGATATAGTCTTGTCCTCACACCACACC
This sequence comes from Homo sapiens, assembly GCF_000001405.40. Taxonomy (NCBI): domain Eukaryota; kingdom Metazoa; phylum Chordata; class Mammalia; order Primates; family Hominidae; genus Homo; species Homo sapiens. The sequence continues at coordinate 128,680,844 of NC_000023.11, forward strand.
CCTTCCCGTCCATCCCCCAAACACACACACAGCAACAAACTTCTCCATTTCTTGAAACTCACTGGCCTAGACAGAAAACACCACACAGGGTGCAGGGTGCAGAATATAAAGCAGGACAAACACTCGAAGTGAAGAGAATGTTGTTTCTTTATAAATAGTAGAAGTAGACAATGAAACATTTCCTATGAGGGCAAACTCGTCATCCCCCTCACTTGTCTTCCTGGGATCGCCTTCTTCACAACACTTTTCCTTCTGCCATCAGTACTCCGGACCTGAGGTACTATGTACTGCTATGGCAGAGGCTATCATGAAGGAGATTTGATGCCATTTTTAACGCCTGAAAAACTTTTTTTTCTCTCTGAAAGCCCTGGCCTTAATGTTATAGTGACTAAAAGAATACGCTGCTGCTGCTTCATAAAACCAAGACAGCATGCTGATCTCAGCCCATCCTCAGTGGGTTAAGGGGTCCACTGACAGCGAAGTACAGCTTTCCTAATGTCAAAGGAAAGACATTGGAAATAGCAGCTGGGGGCATGCAAAGAGCAGTTTCCAACTGAGCTCAGCTAAGATCCCCTCGTGATAGATTGGGCAATAGTTCTGTTGGGGGTGGAAAAGGGGGTTGGTCTCTAACTTTGATAATGATATAACTTTGATCATGTAAAGTATTTAATACTTAGCACAAAATACTGGTAGTTATTGTAGTTATTATCATTACCACCTATTACTGTTACTCAGTTATCTTCAGGATTACCAATAGAGTGTAGGATAGGATAGTGACTATTAAGAGCTCAGGTTTGGCAGCCACACTTGAGTTTCAAAATGTGCCCTACCACTCCTTTGTAAATGTTACCAGGTCACTTGGGTGAGGACCCAGAGCAGTGGTCAGAGGATTTATATAAGATAGATACTAATAGTCAAGTGTCTGGGATGCCCTACACTTGCCTTGTCTCACTGCACCAACAGGGAGTCGCTGACTGCTGTGTGTGAGGGAAATAAAACAGATTCATTTCACTGCACACTTCACTGAGGGGTAGAAGTGGCAAGGAACTCACATATATGGCAGCAGGTGGGAGCAGGAAAGACCATATTGAGCAATTTGAATTGCATTGCAAATGACACTAAGACTAGAAAATTGAAGTTTCTGCTGCCTCGCCAGGAACTGGCTAAAGGGCAGGACAATTAAGATAAAGGTATAGTCCCCCAGTGAGTCAATGAGTTTTGCTCTTATCCTCATCACTGCCACAGACCTTCACCTTGGACAAGGCAGGGATACTTAACCCTGACCACAGCCTGAGCACCTAATCTTGACCAGCTGTTTTTAAAATCACAACAGGGACCCCATAAAATAGAAGGCATCTGTTTGCTTTATCCCTACAGAAAGAGAAACAATTCAAAGTAACATTTAGGGGCAGTGGGCGGGTTGCATTATCTTTGTATATGAAAAACAGCAAATAACAAACTGGGGTTGTATAAAGGAAAAAGAAGTCTTGCCTCAGTTACCTTTGGACAGAAGTTTCTTCTACAGGGCCCAAGTGTTAGGCTGACGGCCACTTTTGACTTATTGGCAGGATTGTGGAATGCAATGTCCAACGTGTATACTCTGAGGCTCCACCTTTATAACACAGCAAAGGGAGAGTGAGTTACTGATCTTTCCCACTTATCAGGGAGCCTCATTGTAAGACAAAGGAATTCTTTGCATGTTGGCCTTACGGGCTAACTTTAGCATGACCCTATGGCATAACCATTTGACTTTTTTTAGGAACCAGGTTCAGAGAAACCTGGGTTCAAGTCCTGGCTGTCCTACTTCCTAGCTACAAGATCTTAGGCAAGAGAATGTACACTCTGAGCCTCACATTTCCCATCTACAACACAAGGATTCTAATGGCACTTATTTCACAGAAGTACTGTGAGGGTTAAATAAGATCATGTAAAGTATTTAATACTTAGCACAAAACACTGGTAGTTATTGTAGTTATTATCATTACCACCTATTACTGTTACTCAGTTATCTTCAGGATTACCAATAGAGTGTAGGATAGGATAGTGATTATTAAGAGCTCAGGTTTGGCAGCCACACTTGAGTTTCAATATGTTCCCTACCACTCCTTTGTGCCTTTGGGTAATTTGTTTATCTCCTCTGTACCTCAGTTTCCTCTGTAATTTTATAATAGCCGTGCCTGCCTCACAGGATTGTGAAGATTAAGTGAGCTAACATATGTGAAATACTTACAAATGGTGCCTGGCACAGAGTAAGTGCCATGTAAATATTAGCTACTTTTAGTAGTATTTTCATAACATCTTGAGGGCTTGGCTCACAGTTCCCAATGGTGACTGATTTTAGATAACAGCATGTTCTCAGTCTGTGTTTCTAACCTTACTATCCCCACTAAAAGCCTAAATCCATCCACTAATGCTTCATCCCACAAATTAGGGCATGAAACCACATCTGGTCATTAAGATTCTGTCAGCAAAGGCACGTGCCATCACACTTCTCCAGAATCCAACCCTCTGTCATCTCCCATTTGAGAATCACTAAGATACTATAGTTGCATGTGTCATGGTAAATTATGTTATATCAATAGGTATATCAATAGGACAATGCAAAAACAGACACAACTGGTTGTGGCATGTAAGAAAATGATAAATAAGTCCCACGAATTTCAAAAGACAGTTTTCTGAAGAGAGGGCAGGTGGTAAACCTGGAAGTGAAATGAAAACTGTTCACAAATTGAAAGACAGAGTTTCTTCATTCCGGATTTGACACTTGGCCAAGTTGGAGGTCCACACAATTTATCTTTAGAGGGTTCCTTCTACTCTCTCAGTGTACCCAATGTAGGGATTGGCTCTTGTGGCACCCCAGCTAGGCCCATCTTCTCTAGAAATGATCCTTTCCCCAAAATGCCACCCCACACCCCCCTCAGCCCCACCCACACAGCTCCCTCCTATCTTTCTCCCAAAACAAAATTCTACTTCCTCAATATCTGACCTGGGATATACAAGCCTGGTCAAAGCTTAAGGCATTGCACTTCCCAGGGATATATTCCATTTTTAAAACCTCTAAGAACATGGTAATGCTTTAACCTAGGAAAATGTTTCTCTGAGAGAAAAAAAAATTCAGAGAATTTTGATAGACAGAGAGATATGAAGAGATTAGACTAAAAGAGACCTTTGGTAATGCCTATTAAATTTATTTGGTTGTTTTTCAGCAAATATATATTGACACTATGTGTTAATTCTTTCTTAGACCTTGGAACTTTAGCAATAAAAATAAGATAAGGTTCCTGCACTTAGGGAGTTTACATCCTATAGGAAAAAAATAACCAAGAAAATATAATTTTAGATTATGTGAGCAATATGAAGGGAATTTATTTAGCAGAGTGATGGGATAAGGGGTAACAGGCATGAGAGTGATTGAATATTTATTTAGTATGGTAAGAGATGATTTATTTGAGGTCATGACATTCGACTTGAGATTTGAATGATGAGAATGGAATCTGCCAGACAGAAGTCTGAATTATGATGGAAACCATTCCAGACAAGGAACGCAGCAAGGTCAAAGGCCATGTAAGGGGAATTAATTTGGTATTTTAAATGAACAGAAAGAAAAGTCATGTGGCTGAATTATAGGAAACTGGGAGCGGAGTGATAGGAGATGAGATTAGAGCGGGGACTGGGGCCAGATAATATAATAGAGCATTTGGACTTAATTCTAATGGGAAGCCTTTGGAGGGTTTTCAACAAAAGGGTGACATAATCTGACTTAAATTTTTGGAATAATAAAGCAGAAATAATATGATAGGAGACATAGGCAGGGGGTAGGTCATATAGAGGCTTCTAGAGTAAGGTGAATCATATCACATTGGTCCACAATTCTTACTTTCTTCGAAAAGTGGAGGAAAGCTTCTGAAATGTGTATATCGTAGCTTTGATAGCTTAATCTTTTTGTGGGCAAAGAACACCTTGTTTCCTTAAAATCAATTTTTTTTCATTTTGTTTCTACTTTATTTACTCTCCCCAATATCATAAATGACTTCCTCCCTGCAAACCATTTTTTTCATATGTTATGTCCTTGAAATTTATGTATCAATGAACCAAATAACTTAGCATTTGAACTCGTTTCTTATTATTTCGTAGAGAATCATTGTTCGTTCGTTTTTTTTTTCTTTTTCATCTCAACCAGTCTTTCACCCAGTGTGGTCCATAGACTACCTGCTTCAGAATCACTGTATGAGCCTATAAAAGCAGCATATTCTTGGACCTCAACCCAGACCTACTAAGTGAAAATCTCTGAGGGTAGAAGCTTGTTACTTGCATCTTTCAAAAGTTATCCAAGTGATTCTGATTCACAATAAAGTTTGAGAACCACTGTCCTATGTTTTTCATGTTTTTGCTCCTACTTTTGCCTCTTTCTGGGATACAATTTCTCCAAACCTGTTTAGAAATTCCGCATGTGCTTCAAGGCTCACCTCAAATGTAATCTTCTTTACAAAAACCTTCCTCTCCTGCTTCCTCTTATCCAGACAAATGTGACCTTTCCTATTGCGATGAGTATGGAGCAGGGTACGGCAAGATGTTAATACTGGGGTTCAGAGGACTGTTAAATACACTGATAGAACAGCTGCCATGGAGCTGGAGGAAAATTGCTGACCTGAAGTCTGACCTTACTCAGATTTATTTTATGACAGTGGAATCACAGACTTACGAGGCTTGCTTACTGAATTCCCAGAGACTCTGGGCTAGAATAAATCTTAAGGGCCATAGTGTATTTTCCTTGACAGTCCATGCTATATGCATGTCTAAGACAGGTTTCTCTAAGGTTCTCTGCCTGAACATTCTGTGGACACCTAGGTCATACACACTTTGTATCTCTTTTTTTTTTTTAATGTAGATTGTTAGGCTTAATGTCAAACCTACTGAATTGGATTATCATGGGGTGTGGTCCAAGAATTTGACTCACTTTCATTAATGGTTGATTATGTTATTTCACTATGTTGTTCATTGAGAGCAATTAGAAAAAGGGGACAAAAACAAACAAAGCAAAAGCTATGTAAAGACACCGAAACAATACCAAGGGAGAATATTCAGGGCCAAGATTGGAAAGAAGGCAGAAGGCAGAAGAGGTGAGCCTAGCATTTGGGGTTCCTCTTTCCCTCAAGACAATTGTTAATTGTGAAAGAAAATGCAGCAGTTTGTCGCTCAGAAGCTAAGAAAAGTGCACTAGAGTCTCACAGGGCTGGAATGAATATAAATTGAAATTTAGATTCTGCCAAGGTTTTCTGTTAAATGTTGCAGATTTTCTTTTTTTATTATTATTATTATACTTTAAATTTTAGGGTACATGTGCACAATGTGCAGGTTAGTTACATATGTATACATGTGCCATGCTGGTGCTCTGCACCCACTAACTCGTCATCTAGCATTAGGTATATCTCCCAATGCTATCTCTCCCCCCTCCCCCCACCCCACAACTGTCTCCAGAGTGTGATGTTCCCCTTCCTGTGTCCATGTGTTCTCATTGTTCAATTCCCACCTATGAGTGAGAATATGCGGTGTTTGGTTTTTTGTTCTTGTGATAGTTTACTGAGAATGATGATTTCCAATTTCATCCATGTCCCTACAAAGGATGTGAACTCATCATTTTTTATGGCTGCATAGTATTCCATGGTGTATATGTGCCACATTTTCTTAATCCAGTCTATCATTGTTGGACATTTGGGTTGGTTCCAAGTCTTTGCTATTGTGAATACTGCCGCAATAAACATACGTGTGCATGTGTCTTTATAACAGCATGATTTATAGTCCTTTGGGTATATACCCAGTAATGGGATGGCTGGGTCAAATGGTATTTCTAGTTCTAGATCCCTGAGGAATCGCCACACTGACTTCCACATTGGTTGAACTAGTTTACAGTCCCACCAACAGTGTAAACGTGTTCCTATTCCTCCACATCCTCTCCAGCACCTGTTGTTTCCTGACTTTTTAATGATTGCCATTCTAACTGGTGTGAGATGGTATCTCATTGTGGTTTTGATTTGCATTTCTCTGATGGCCAGTGATGGTGAGCATTTTTTCATGTGTTTTTTGGCTGCATAAATGTCTTCTTTTGAGAAGTGTCTGTTCATGTCCTTCGCCTACTTTTTGATTGGGTTGTTTGTTTTTTTCTTGTAAATTTGCTGGAGTTCATTGTAGATTCTGGATATGTCAGATGAGTAGGTTGTGAAAATTTTCTCCCATTTTGTAGGTTGCCTGTTCACTCTGATGGTAGTTTCTTTTGCTGTGCAGAAGCTCTTTAGTTTAATTAGATCCCATTTGTCAATTTTGGCTTTTGTTGCCATTGCTTTTGGTGTTTTAGACATGAAGTCCTTGCCCATGCCTATGTCCTGAATGGTAATGCCTAGGTTTTCTTCTAGGATTTTTACGGTTTTAGGTCTAACGTTTAAGTCTTTAATCCATCTTGAATTGATTTTTGTATAAGGTGTAAGGAAGGGATCCAGTTTCAGCTTTCTACATATGGCTAGCCAGTTTTCCCAGCACCATTTATTAAATAGGGAATGCTTTCCCCATTGCTTGTTTTTGTCAGGTTTGTCAAAGATCAGATAGTTGTAGATATGCAGCAGATTTTTCAATTGGTATCTTCAAATGGCTATACCCTAACAATGAGGGTGAAGCAGAAACAGCTGAAACCTCAAATGGCTAAAGCCCAGCTTTGAATCCCTTTAAAGTAATCTGCCCCTAGCCTAACTGCATGGCAGAAACAAAAAACAAATTATCTCTAGAGGAAGAATAACAGTATTCAGAATTTTGACTATCTTTATAATTATTCATACATGAAGTGTGATATTTAATCGAAACATAACCATTAACTCTAAAGGATAAGAACTACCCAAAAGCTAAGAAAAGAAAATTGAAAGAGATTTATAGGGGATCCAGATATTGAAGATATCAGGCTGAGAATCAAAGTAATTATGACTAATATGTTTATGGGTTTAAACAAAAAGATGGAGAATTATGGTAAATAGCTGGAAATTCTAAAATAAAATTAAAATTCTAGAAGTAAAAAATATAATTTATCAAATTAAGGACTAAATCCCTGAGTTTAAAAGCAAATTAGACAACACAGAAGACATTAAGGTAGGTAATATACAGACCTGTCCAAAGCATGTAGAGGCAAAAAGTGGAATGCAACTAAAGCCATGCTTAGAAAGACAAGTACTTTTCAGTGCACATATTAGAAGAGAGGCCCAAAAATCTATTATTTTGGCATATATCACAATACATTAAAAGAAACATGAAAACCAGAAGAAACCTGAAGGACAAAATGGCAAAGATAAAAGCAAAAACAGAAAACATCCTTACCAAGGCCAAGAGTTGTTTTTTTAAGACTAATAAAATCGATAAGCCTCATTACAAAACAGAACCAGAAAAAAAGAGAGACTACCGGGAGTGGAAAAGAGAATGTGATCACAAATATTTCAGACATTTGCAAAGAAATAAAATATCATGAACAACTTTTTGCCATTAAGTTAGAAAATTTAGATGAAATGAAAAATTCCTTAAAAAAATTATAAAAACTGACCCAAGAAGAAAAATAATATCTGAATTCTTCTCTACCCATTAAAAACATAGAGTCTTTAAAACCTTTCAGGTCCAGATGGCTTTGCTGATTAATTACACAAACATTTAAGAGAGCAATAATTCCAATCTCACACAAATTCTTCCAGAGAATAAGAGAAGATATAATTTCCAATAGTTTTTTTTTTTTTCTGGTGGCAAGCATGACCTTGATAACAAAACTTGATAATTACATTACAGGAAAAGAAATCCATAATCCAATCACCCATGAATATAGACATAAAATTCCAAAATTCCTCAACAAAATCTTACCCAACTGAATCTAGTCATATGTCAAATGAAGAATCCATAAAAAACAAAACCAAATCATTGTATTTCAATATATAAACAGAATCAAGAAAAAAAAATAATCTCAAATGAGGCAGATAAAGCATTTTATAAAATTTAGCATCCATTTATAATTTTAAAAACACTTTGCCAACTAATAGTAAAAAGGAACATTGTTATTTTAACAGAATACATCTACATAGAGTTTATAGCAAACATAATACTTTATTTATTATTTATTTTTTATTTTTTATTACACTTTAAGTTCTAGGGTACAGGTGCACAACGTGCAGGTTTGTTACATATGTATACTTTAAGGTGAAATGATGAAAGCTCTCTTCCTGAGATCAGGAACAAGTCAAGAATGCCCCTCATCACTGCTCAGATTCAGCATTATACTCAAGAAACTCACTGGAGCAAGAGATCAAGGAAAAAAACAACAAAAGTTGAAGGACTAAAAGGAAGAAAAAAACCTCTCAATATCTTCACATGAAATAATTATATATTTAGTAAATATAAAATAATTAAAAGTAAATTATAATGAATTTAGCAAGGTGATTACATATGTCAATATACACAGATTGATTGTATTTCTACATACTATCCACAAATAATAAAAATACAGACTTTTAAAGCTAATATGTATAAAAGCACAAAGAAAGAGAAAAGAAAAAGACTAAATACCTAGGAATAAACCTAATGAAAGGTGTTCTATTTTAAAAAACTCTAAAGCATTATTGGTAGAAATTAAATAAGACTGAAATGGAGAAATTAAGTCATGGATTAGGAGAGTCAATATTTTTAAAATGTTGATTTTCCCAAATTGATCTGGCTACAGATTTATCATAATTCCAGTTAAAATTATAATATTTTGGTGGATATTAGTAACATAAATCCAACATTTAATTGAAAACATAAAACATCAAGAATGGTCAAGGCAATCTTGAAAACAGAGAACAGTATTGGAGCACTTATACTACCAGATAATCACTACTTATTATGAAGCCACATTACTTAAGACAGTGTGTTATTGGGACAGATATAGATAAAGAGATCAATAAAACATAATATGAAGTCTAGATACAGAACAATACATATGTGGATACTTGATTAATGACAAATAGGTCTGGAATGCCATGGAATGAAGTTCTGGATTACTTGTATATACATTGGGAAATAGTGAAACATGATACTTACACCATGCACAAAAATAATTTCAGGATGGATTATAGATCAATATGTGAAAGATAAAACTGCAAAGCTGTATTAATAATATAGAACAATATTTTTGAGATCTTGAATAATTCTTTTTATTTTAATTATTATTATACTTTAAGTTTTAGGGTACATGTGCACAATGTGCAGGTTAGTTACATATGTATACATGTGCCATGCTGCTGTGCTGAACCCATTAACTCATCATTTAGTATTAGGTATATCTCCTACAGCTATCCCTCCCCCCTCCCCCCATCCCACAACAGTCCCCAGAGTGTGATGTTCCCCTTCCTGTGTCCATGTGTTCTCATTGTTCAATTCCCACCTATGAGTGAGAACATGGGGTGTTTGGTTTTTTGTCCTTGCGATAGTTTACTGAGAATGATGATTTCCAATTTCATCCATGTCCCTACAAAGGACATGAACTCATCATTTTTTATGGCTGCATAGTATTCCATGGTGTATATGTGCCACATTTTCTTAATCCAGTCTATCATTGTTGGACATTTGGGTTGGTTCCAAGTCTTTGCTATTGTGTATAGTGCTGCAATAAACATACGTGTGCATGTGTCTTTATAACAGCATGATTTATAGTCCTTTGGGTATATACCCAATAAGGGGATGGCTGGGTCAAATGGTATTTCTAGTTCTAGATCCCTGAGGAATCGCCACACTGACTTCCACATTGGTTGAACTAGTTTACAGTCCCACCAACAGTGTAAAAGTGTTCCTATTTCTCCACATCCTCTCCAGCACCTGTTGTTTCCTGACTTTTTAATGATTGCCATTCTAACTGGTGTGAGATGGTATGTCATTGTGCTTTTGATTTGCATTTCTCTGATGGCCAGTGATGGTGAGCATTTTTTCATGTGTTTTTTTGGCTGCATAAATGTCTTCTTTTGAGAAGTGTCTGTTCATGTCCTTCGCCCACTTTTTGATTGGGTTGTTTGTTTTTTTCTTGTAAATTTGCTGGAGTTCATTGTAGATTCTGGATACTAGCCCTTTGTCAGATGAGTAGGTTGTGAAAATTTTCTCCCATTTTGTAGGTTGCCTGTTCACTCTGATGGTAGTTTCTTTTGCTGTGCAGAAGCTCTATAGTTTAATTAGATCCCATTTGTCAATTTTGGCTTTTGTTGCCATTGCTTTTGGTGTTTTAGACATGAAGTCCTTGCCCATGCCTATGTCCTGAATGGTAATGCCTAGGTTTTCTTCTAGGGTTTTTATGGTTTTAGGTCTAACGTTTAAGTATTTAATCCATCTGGAATTAATTTTTGTATAAGGTGTAAGGAAGGGATCCAGTTTCAGCTTTCTACATATGGCTAGCCAGTTCTAACCTGAAAAAAAATATGATGAATGGGAGTTTACCAAATTTAAATAACTTCTGTTTAAAAAGAGATACTACAAAGAAAGTGAAAATACAAGCCACAAAATGGCTTTTGCCATATATAACTGACAAAGGGTACATATACAAATTAAGAATATTATCAACATTACGTTGAATGAAATAATCCATATAAAAGAGTGTACAGACTAGATGACACAAATTTTATAAAATTCAAAATATGCAAGTCTAATCTATGTTGTTAGATATCAGGATAGTGGTTACCTCTGGGGAAGCCGATAGGGATAATGAATACAGGAAGTAAAGTGGGGCTTGGGGGACTTATAATGTTCTTTCTTTGTTTATTTATTTTTTTTGAGACAGAGTCTCGCACTATCATCCAGGCTGGAGTGCTGTGGCACGATCTTGGCTCACTGCAACCTCCGCCCCCTGGGTTCAAGGGATTCTCCTGCTTCAGCCTCCCGAGTAGATGAGACTACAGGTGCCTGCCACCAAGCCCGGCTAATTTTTGTATTTTTAGTAGAGACGGGGCTTCACCATGTTGGCCAGGCTGGTCTCGAACTCCTGACTTCAGGTGATCCACCCGCCTCAGCATCCCAAAGTGCTGGGATTACAGGCGTGAGCCACTGTGCCCGGCCTTGTAATGTTCTTTATTGACTTGTGTAATAATTATAACAGGTGTGTCACTCTGTGGTCGTTCACTGTCATGTTTAAGTCTGGGTCATGAATGCCACTTCATATTACATTGGAACTTTTAATGGCTTCTTGGTTGACTCAGCCCTCTCACTACCATGCCCATATCTCTGTTGTAAGCTCACTTGCACAAAGCTTAACAATTCAAAGGGTGACTAATATTTTATTGACATGAAAAAGAACTAGGTGTGTCTGTGGGGCGGGCAGAGAGAGATAATAAGGAAAAACGTAGGGATATGAAAAATGGGGTATCCTTCAATACCAGACTATTTAGGAACCACATTGTCAAAAAGCACAAGAAGCCAAAACTTGGAACAGCCATTCCCATTGCATATCTATGCACCTACCACATATAATCAGATATAACAGAAGTAAAAACCATGTACATAAGATTATTCTCCAGCTTTTTCCTTATATGTTTTTAGACATTTGCCTACGCACATAAATACACACTAACATAAGTTTATCACCATCACCATCCCTGCTCCTAATATTCCCTTCTTTAGTATCTCAATGTTAGTATCTCTATTTCCTCACTGATAAAACAATTAAAACAGTTTAGGTCACAAGCTATAATACATGACCTTAAAGCCCAGGAAAGACAGGCAAGAAAGATTCAAACAGAAAAATATCTAGTCCAGTAGTTCTTGAAAACTTTAGTGTAAATTAAAATTACCTGGAAGACTTTGTTAAAATACAAATTCTTAGGCCTTTCTCATCAAGAGTCTACATTTTAAAAGCATCACAGGTGTTTCTGCTGCAAGTGGCTTATGGGGAGGAATACTGATCAAACTGAACATCCTAACTCCCCTCAGGATTATTATATTACCATGCCATATATATTAACTCTGGATCTATTTTTAAAATTTATTTTCTAGGAAAAGAAAAATCTATAACATTTACCAGGCATCATAATAATCGCCTATTTTCTAAAAACTTCCACTTAGATTTGATTTTTTTAATAATACAATACCATTGTAACATACACTAAGGGAACCAGCTATTTAAAGGAACCCTATGGTGAATCCTTCTGTAAAGTGAAAACAATTCCCTTGATTTATTGTTGCATAAATCCAGATTTTCATATCTGAATTCACCTGCTGGGGAGAAATGTTCTCCCCATTGTCTAGGTCCTCTTTGCTAGCCTTCTTTCAATATGTGGCCTTCTCACAATTCTATGATTTATATGGAGCAATTTAGAGAAGTAAACAAGTAGTGCTGCATGTTTAACTAGACTGATTGGATTGAAGGGCTGCCAGTAGCTAGCAAGACAAAAGATAAAAGGGGCTTGGGCTTCTGTATAGAAGGAAAACAAAGTAAAAAGGAGGAGGCTACCACCAAAAGAAGATGTGTACAACGCTGAGAACCGTAAAGAGATAGAGCTATGAAGCTCAAGAGCCCTAAGCTTCAGATATTGTTTTTCATAAGCTGGAGAAGGAATTACCTGCAGGATAGAGTCACCAGTCCCTTCAATGGCAAGGTAAACTTAGAGAAATCTCTAATCTGATCTGGGATATGATCACAGAGGAACTAGGAAGTGGAGACTTGTTAGAGATGCATGAAGGGAAAGATGTGAGTCTGAAAGAGGCTATCTTTCAAGGCTATTTCACACCTATAGAACCAAGGTTATTTGTATGTTTGTTGTCTCTTTAACACTCTATGACCTATAATAACAACATACCTATAGCAAATGAGATCTCAAATCCAGTGAAAATAGTCAGAAAATATGGTATATAAACTCACTACTGAGGACGGAGTTGAAGTTGTATCCCTCTGGCCACAGCCCATAAAGAAACCCTGATAACATCATAGCAGCAAAGACAAAATGAAACTTTTTGAATCATAGAGTCTACATGTTAGAATGAACAGGAATCCAACACTATGTCTTCTTTGCCAAATACCTAAGACACAAATGCCTATCATGAAACCTAAGACATTGGTATATAAGCACAATAAATGAGATGATTTGGACAGGATTCTGAGGACCACGTGTAGCATATTGTTAATTTATAAAATTGTCAATTCCCTTCCTCTTTATTTCCTACCAGTCTGAACTTATTTTCAACAAGATACCTTTCTTAAAACATGAAATGCCATAATGGGCTAAGGTCCAATTTGCCACCAATTAAATTAAATACATTATTTCTGCACATTTAGTACCTGCCAGTACTGTGGAGGACACAAACATGAATCAAACAGGACCTTTGTGTTAACCGGAACAGCCTTTTCCTTTCAATATGGAGTTGCAAAATTACCTTCCTTATTGATCACACCCTTAGTAATATACCATTAGAACTCCTACTTTAAAGGGAAAAACAGTTCATAAATGATGTAAGATGTGCACAAATGACCTCAATGTGAAGAACAAGTCAAAATGCCACAGATTTCTGGTAAGTCCTATGAAATTCACCAGTTGTTTTAAAATTAATCACAACAGTTAATCAGAAGAAGAAATGCATAATTCATAAAATTTTATTTTTCTTAAATGACAGCAGTATATATCAAACCCACCCATCTGAGAGGCAGCTGGAGTCCTTTCTCACATTGTCAGGCACAGTCAAGATCAGGGGAGTATATGAAGCATGGGAAAAATGTAGCATGGCATCAAATACTAAAATCATCCTATACTCAAAAGCCAAACTGTTCATCATTCACATCCAGGGGAAAATAAATATAGGAAACTAAGAGCTGAGTTTCTGAAGTATAGCTCTATCTTTAATTGCCCGCTTGGCAAGGCTTCCTGTCCCATGCAAACACTATATACCAGTACTCCAAAGTCAGCCACAAACAGAAAGGGCTTCTCTTCCCAGAAATGCCATCATGCCCTGGAGTCTAAATTAACAAGAATTTAGCCATCATAGGATCTGATTATCTTCCTTTTTGTCAACCTTGGGGAATTGCCATAACCCCTAAACATTTTAATTTTCTTTGAATCATTTTCCAATGAATATTGTAGATATGACACCCTTGATGTTCTTTTTCTTCTTTTGAAACATATTTATATACATCCAGTTCATGCTATCTTTTAGGGCTAACAAGTTTCATCTATTAAAGCAGTGGTTTTCACATTTTATTTTAGGAATGGAAGCTTTTCTTTTTACCCCAAATGGTCATGAAATCAAATATGTAAGACAGATCAAAGTGAAGCTAGTCTGGTTGAAGCAGGGCTGTGGATGTGTGGAGCCCTGCTGCCTGAGCCTCCCTCTCCTCCCCAGTCCCTTAGTGGCTCTTCGGGGGGGCTTTGCAGAACTCCTAGGTAAAAGGTATCCTTTTAACTATTATTATATCAGGGAGAAAATGTTATTTTAATAACTGGACAGAATTTCTCAGAGAAGAAGCAATAATATTTGTTACAAAATAACTTGATAGTCGATTGGGCATAAAAGGTGAGATCAGGAGAACCTGCATTAGAAAGAAAAAGCTTAAAATAGAGCAAGTTTAACTTTCCTGCATAAAAATTTAATAAGAGTTTGTGGTAAGGGAGAGAGGTAAAAGGACATTTGTGATGCTGTGAAATAAGCCTCCTTCAATTCCCCAAACACAAAAAGCTCATATGGGTGTGTATGTGTTGTGAAAATCAATGAAATGTGGCTAAGCCCCCAATTCTGGGCTGGCGTGGAACAAAGGAAAGAAAAGAACAAGGGAAGGAGAAAGAGGCCAGTAAGAATGAAAACTCATTAGACGCAAAACATCAGAACTGAAAGAAATAATAAAATGTGAGTCCCTTTTAATTTCCAGGAAATAAAATGGGAGGGCAATGAACTTCCAACAGAATATGGGCTAGGCTTCGGATATAACATTATCTAAATTTCAAAAACTGCAACTTAAGACTTAGGTCCAAAATGCTTCTATTTGGCACACGAGGGGACTGTGATAGCTTTCTGTCTGAGGTTGAAATGAAAAATAACTGAAAAGATCCCTCTCTTCTTCCTAAGTCTTCTTCCAAGTCGTTAGCCCTTACACAGAGAGACAGAGACAAAGGAAGAGACAGAGAAAAAGAAAGACTTTCTTAACACTCCTAGAAAAAAAGTGGAGAAAAGGAAGAGGAAGATGAAGGAGGAAACAAAAGTAGAAGGGGAGAAAAGATAGGAATAAAAACAACAAAAAAAAATAAGTGTTATGACATAAAATGAGGTAAGTAGGAGACTAGGAACAGAAGGGAAAGAGTAAGGTATGGGTAAATTTCTATTCAAGTAAGGAAAGCCCATTTTACAAATGAACTTTTCTCCTCACCCAAAGCGTAACTTAGAAAGTCCAAAGTCCTGAGAAAGCATGGCTTATCCTAATTCCCTTTATCACCCAATTTGCAATTTGGAGAAGAAGGGAGCTTAGGGTTCTCCATTATTTTTCCCTCTGAGGATTTCCCTTTGGGAGTGGAAATTGGAGGAAATCTTGGAAAAAAAATAACTTACCCTTGAAAACATCTAAGGCTTGGTATCAGCCTATCATTGCCTCTCCAAATTACCATCTCATTCTTCTCTGCATGGAGTTTCACCTTCTCTTTAGTTCTTGAAAGAGTTCTGAATCACTTTCTTCAACTTGAAGAGAAAATATTACCTTTTATAAGAAAAAAAAATCATGCTATTCTCCCTTTCATGTTTGCTTATGATTAACTTGGTCATGAAAGCTCTTTCCTCTGAGATATTTACTGTGACATGTCATCTATGCTGCTATAATAAACAGTATTCCAACAATTGTCTCTTTGCCATATCTCATTATCAGGCCAGTACCCAGCCAGAGCCACACAGAGCAGTAACATGGAGAAAACATTACTCTTCTGCTTCCCTAAAACCTGTGGTTTCCAATGTTTTAGAAATCTAAAGACCTTTAACAACACATTTGTGAAACTATTCTCTGCTGAATACCATTTAATTGAGAAAATCTATGCTAATAAATAGCGATTGAACTGAATAATACTTTCCCATCAACTTGTACTTTATTAATCACAGAAGCGACATGAATTTATTTAATCAATGGTAGCACATAAAGTAACCATATATGTTACTTATTCAGTCCACAGACAGTGCTTGGTCCTCAAATACATCCTTGGTCCCTTGCAATAATGCAATGCTTTTCCTCTTCCCAAGATGTCTATGGCTTACACGTTGGAAACCACTGGGCATTTTCTAATTGGAACAGCCTTTTCCTTTCAATGTGCAATTGCAAAATTACCTTTTCTACTGATCACACCCTTACTCATACATCTTCAGGACTCAAACTTTCAGTTTGGGCCACACATGCATATTATTATTTATATGCCTTAGTTGTTTTTCTCTCCAGAAGCAGACTATCACCTTGAGAGTAGGGTTCCACAGCAATTTCTTCTATTTCTCATGCCTCCCACATATCACACTTCAGGGCCCTGCAGAAATTTATTAATTCTGGTTATATGAAAAAAATCACTCTCTGTTTTCTCAATGTGTCCAGGTACATTCTTTGTCACCTCTTTCACCCTCGAAGTATGGAACTACCTATAAATCCCTTAACACATCAGGCTATCTCAGATCTTTGTGAATTCGCACATTCTAGGTTTCCTCACCAACTGGACTAGGAGATTTAGGAGGCTAGGTAAATGTCTTTCTCAGACAGTATAATAGTCACAACGCTTCATTCCTTTATTCAACAAATATTTGTTAATTATCAATAGCTGTTCTTCTAAGACAATCTGTAAACTCCTTAAGAAAAACAACGGTATTTTTAACATCTCTAGATGACTAGGACACAGTTCCTGGCGCATAATAGATGGTCTGAATATGGTGATTGAATTGATTTATCACAGCTATTGTAAATGCAACCCACCTCTGCCTATAATCTGAATATCTTATGTGTAGAAGACCAGCCAGTTAAAGATTTTGGCATAGACTTTACACACACACACACTACTCCTCCTGGAGCTACTCATCTGGCCTCAGAGAAAGATTGTTTTTTGCTTTTGCATGTTAGTCTTAAAAGTTTTGAAATATTTCCCATTAAAAAGGCAGCTACTGAAGTAGTTAAAAGACAATGGAATCGGACAAATCTAGGTATAAATTCTGACTCCATCACTTATTACTTGTGTGACCTTGGGGAAGTCACCTGATTTTTCTGAGTCTCAATTTTATCACCTACAAAATGTGGAGGAAAATAATCCCTATTCTCCATGGTAAATATGTAGCAAATAATTTGGCAGACAGTAAGTGCTCAATTAATATTAGCTAACAATATTGAAAAGTATTGTTAAGGTTTATTATATATCCCTAAAAGAATGCCACAGGCCCTGAATAAAACACATTTATCACTTAAATGTAGCCCTTTAAATCCTTACCCACTCCTCTCCCAAAGTCCTTCCCTAGTCAGGGACCAGGACTAAACAACTGCTTGCAAAACGTACAGGAATATTCCCTTGAGCTTTCAGAGGCTTTGGGATACTGATCAGTGTCATCAGGCCTACCTCTGCACTTAGTGCAAAATATCCCACAGGACACAAGGCAAATGAGGCAGTTCGTTATCTGGAGGCTGGCTTTCTGTGAAGAATCACCTTCTCTTCTCCATTAAAATAAATATTGTGACATTTTGAATATCTGTGTTTTTTAAATGTCTTGTGATAAAAAAAAAAAAAGGACGAGGAGGCTTTAAAAAATCAGAAGCTAGGCTAAGAGTGAACAGAAATCTTGCTAGAATTATTACTAAGGAGACTGATTGTATGCAGATGGCCTGGCAAATGGTAGGTAGGGGGAGGTGTTAGCAGCCTGGAGTGACTTGGAAGTTGGCAAGCAAGGAAAGGGCTAATTGGAAAAGGGCCATTTCAAGGATTCACTGTGCTGGCAGGAAGTCACAAAACATGTCATCACCCTCACTTTCCTCACTTTTTTGTTTCTTCTGATTCCATGCAGTTAGTGGTTAGAGGTAAGAGAAGGCATAGACTGTCTCAGTTTGGCTAAGTTAGAACAGACTCTAGGCTCCAGGTCAGTGGTTGGCAAACTTTTTCTGTAAACAGCCAAGTAGTAAATAGTTTATGCTTTGCAGACCATATGGTCTCTGTCACAATTACTCAACTTTGCTACTGTAGTGCAAAAACAGCCATAGACAATAAGAAATGAATGGCCATGGCTGTGTTCCAATAAAACTTTATTTACAAAAACAGCCTGCTATCTGAATTTGGTTCATGGGCCATAGTTTGACCACCTCTGCTCCAGAAGTATACATCTGAGGGAGCCAAGAAAAGATACCCAAAAAGAGTATTTTTGGAAAATAGGAACAGCATGTGCAGACCCAAGATCATGAGATTATAGCTATTATCTAGCTATATGACCTTGGGTAAACTCTAAATCTGTTTATATCTTAGTTTCCTTATCTGTGAAATGAGGTAGTTAGAGTTGATTATGATAATCAAGATGATTAACATATCTATCCCTTTACATAGCTATCTTTCTTTTTGTGGCAAGGACACTTAAGATTTGGTCTCTTAGCAATTTCAACTATACAATACAGTATTATTAACTATAGACCTCATGTCATACTTTAGTTTTCTAGAAGTTATTCATTCTACTAACTGAAACTTGTATCTTTTGACCAACATCTTCCCATTCCCTACCTCCACCCTGGCCCCCTTTACCCCTAGTAACCACCAATCTACTCTATGCTTTCATAAATTTACCTTTTTTAGATTCCACATATAAGTGAGATCACATACCATTCATCTTTCTGTGTCTGGCTTATTTCACCTAGCATAATGTCCCCTGGGTTAATACAAAGGCCCGCCATGTGTTTCTACAATCTGCCATCAATTGGCTGGAAGTTGAGCTCTTCTCTTGCACCAAAGATGGCTTGAGATATGTTCCCTATATATATGATGATGTTTTGGCTTTTCTCTTCTTCTGTGTGAGAGAGAAAGAAGGGGAGAGAAAGAAGGAGGGAAAGAGATTTCATTTGCTGAGAAAATGGAGGAAGAGAAGAAGGGAGGGGAGTTTTTAAGAGACAGCTGAGTCATAACAGCTTCTGCAAAATCACTGGAGTCAAATACAGCAAAATTAGATCTAAACTGGGATTTTAAAAACCTACTATTATCTCATCTGTTATTCTGAAAACCCTCAAAAAGCTGATAACATCACGGCTAGCTAGCATCTACAGGGCAATTTTATCCAAGCCAGCTGGTTTTTTCTAACAGCACCTGCAAAATTAGACTAAATTAACTGAAAGACTAGCCTGAATTATTAGCACTGCCCCGGGGACTCAAGCAGTGGTGTAGGATGGTTTCATTGACCAAAAATAAAGGGAAAATATGATAAAACCATCTCACTTCAAATAATTTTACCATTCATAATGGCCACTAAAAGACAAATTAAAGGATTTATGCCTTAGTGAGTATTTCCTTTCTTTCTGAGATCTTACATACAGAAGCAGATAATACTGCACCATACCGGTTGTGTAGCAAATGTAAAGGCAGAATATATATGTCAAATGTGAGGATTAATTTAAAGCAAGAAATAGAATTTCTTGAAATAGTGTATTATGGAATGGAAGGAACAGTTAAAAAGCCAGAACCTAAAGGAACAGGAACCCAGTTAGTTCCAGGGATCACAATAACAGAAGGTTTTTGACCTCTCTGACCCCCCACCCCCGCACTGAGGTAGCCAGTATCCTAAAATTTGTCGATCATCATTTCATTCCTTTAAAATTTTACTAAATTCATATGCAGCCCTAAAAATACATTTCAAGTTTTACAGGTTTTAATTTATGTAAATGTAATCACATATGCATTCTTATGTGACTTTTTTTACTTATATTTGTAAGATTCATTCATGCTGATATGTATTGTCATAGTTGATCCTTTTTTTTTTTTTTACAACTGTATAGTATTTTACTGTGTGAATACACCATGTTTTATTTACCATTCTCCTGTCAATGGACATTTGGGTTGTTCCCAGATGTTTGCTAATAAAACAATGTTGTTGGAGGAGGGAAGGATAAATAGAGCATTGAGGAATTATAAGGCAGTGAAACAATTCTGTATAATACTACAATGAAGGATACATGTCATTATACAGTATTGAAACCCATAGAATGTACAATATCAAGGGCAAATCCTAATGTAAACTATGGACTTTGGGTGATAATGATGTGTCAATGCAGGCTTGTCGATGGTAACAAGTGTACCATTCTGGTGAGGGATGTTAGTGGTGGGAGAGGCTATGCATGTGTGGAGACAGAGTGTATGGGAACTCTGTACTTTCTGTTCAGTTTTTCTGTGAACCTAAAACTGCTCTAAAAATAAAGATTATTAAAAAAGCAATACCGTTATACAAGCATTCATTCAGTAGAGAGTCATTGAGCTCTTACAATGGACCAGAAACTAGTCTGGGCCCATGGATTTCAGTAGTAAAGCAGCAGACAAAAATGTCTGGCTTCAAGGAGTTTATATTGCAGTGGGGGAAAACAGCATATTAGATGGTGCTAAGTGCTATGGATAAATTTAGAGCGGGAAAAGGGGTTAGGCAGTATTGGCAGGGTATAATTTTAAAAGAGAGTGGTCAGGGTAAGGCTTACTGAGAAAGTGATATTTGAGTAAAATCCTGAAGTAGATGAGGGAGCAAGTAATTCTCCTCTTGGTGAAGAGTGTTTCAGAGATTAGCAACAAATGCACAAGTCCTAAGATAGAAGCATTTCTGGAGTGTTAAGAAAACAGCAGGGAAGGTCCTGAGGTTGGAGCCGAGTAAGCAAAGAAGAGAGTTAAAGGACATGAAGTCAGACAGGTAATGAGAAGGTGGGCAGAATAGATTCTGTAGAACCTTTTAGGTAATTGTTAGAATTTGGGCTTTTATTCTGGGAGAGGTGAAAAACTACTAAACATGTATTTCTAGAATATATGTGGCAGTATTTCTAGAATATATGTGGCAGTATTTCTAGAATATATATGGTAGAATTATTGGATGACAGGGTACACATATCTTCAACATCACTAATGAATACCAAATTATTATCAAATAAAACCATAGCAATATACACTTCTATATTTATGAGTATATAAAAGATACTCATAGCTATACAACTTCACCAACAGTGACATTATCAGACTTAAATATGTTTGCCAATCTGTAGATTTAAAATGATGTCTAATTGAGGACATAGTTTTTATTTTTCTGATGACTAATGAGACTGAGCTTTTATTCATTTTTTCATGAAATAATTTTATTTCAACTCTTCACGTCATTGGCATATTTTTTTTTACCAAAACCAAGCCATTTTTTGAGTCACATTATATTTTCTTCTAAGTTGTTTAAGATCCAGTTTTTTAAAAATCTGTGCATGATGCTTTCACTGAAATTTTTATCCTAAGCCTCAAGTAACTTTTTGATTTTTTTTTATTTCTGCAACATAATCACTTTCAGCATTTATAAGACTTTAAAATTGGGGAATAATTTACATGCAGTAAAATGCACAGACCCTTAAGTGTAAAGTACTTTCATTTTTGACAAATGCTTACAGCTGTGTGACCCAGATCCCTATCCAGATATAAAACAGTCTATTGCCTCTGAAAGTTTCCTTTTGTCCCTTTTGAATCCTCTCCCCAGTCCCTGCACCCAGTGCCAGAAGTAACCACTGATCTATTACAATAGATTAGTTACAATAGATTAGTTTCGCCTATTGTAGAACTTAGTGTGAATAAAATCGTACAGTATATATGCTCTCATATCGTACAGTATATACGCTCTCATGTCTGCCATTTTTTTACTCACTATATTTTTGAGATTTATCTGTGTCTTGTATATATCATTGATACTTTACTTTTTAGTGATGAGTAGTATTCCATTGTATGAAGACAGTTTGTCTATTCTCCTATTAATGGATATCTGGACTATTTCTAGTTTGATGTTTTTATTAATTAATCTGCTGTTATGGACTGAATATTTGTGTCCCCTCAAAATTCATATGTTGGAATTTTAACCCTCCATGTGGTAATATTAGGAGGTGAGATTTGGAGGAGGTAGTTGGGTCATGAGGGTGGAGCCTTCATGATTGGCATTAGTGTCCTCATAAAAACATGCCCAAGGAAGCTGTTTAGCTTCCTTTTGGCTATGTGAGGATACAGTAAGAAGTCAGAAGTGTGCAACAGAGAAGAGTCCTCATCAGAATCTGATCATGCTGGCACTGTGATCTCTGATTTCCAGACTCCAGAATTATAAGAAATTAATATTTTATGTTTAAGCCAACCAGTCTGTGGTAATTTTTTATAAAAGCCCAAAAGGGCTAAGACAACTGCTAGGACCATTCTTATACAGAGCTTGGTGTGGACAAATGTTTTTATTTCTCTTGCATAAGTACCTAGTAGTGTAACTGCTGGCTGAGGGAGTAAAATCTGCCAAAAAAGTTTCTAAAGTCATTTTATACTTCACACTCTTACCAGCAATGTATGAGTTACAGTAGCTCCAAAGTCTTGCCAACATTTTATGGTGTCAGACTTTTTCATTTTAGGCATTTCAGAGGGTTGTATCTCATTGTGAACTGGTATCTTATTGTGGTTTCTTCATATCTTTATTTGACTTTTGTTTTTCCTATCCTGTGATGTGTCTCCCTAACTCTTTAGCCCATTTTTCTATTGAAATGTTTGTCCTTTTCTTTCTTAATTCGGGACAATTATTTATATTTCTGGCGTCTCATATTTTGTCAGTGTAGTGTGTTGCAAATATATTCTCCGGTTTAGGGCTTATTATTTTATTTTCATGAAGATGTCTTTTGATGATCAACAGTGATTTTTCCCCAGTTTTATTGACGTATAATGGACAAACAAAAACTGTATATGTTTAAAGTAAGTATACAACATACTTCATAAAATGTTTTAATATGCATATACATTGTGAAATAATTACCACAAACAAGCTAATTAACATATCTATCACCTCACAAAGTAACACTTTTTTTTGCAAGTGGTGAGAACATTTAAGATCTACTCTGCAATCTATCCATCTGACAAAGGGCTAATATCAAGAATCTACAAGGAACTTAAACAAATTTACAAGAAAAAATCAAACATCCCCATCAAAAAGTGGGCAAAGGTTATGAACTTCTCAAAAGAAGACATTTATGTGGCCAACAAATGTTTGAAAAAAAGCTAATCATCACTGGTCATTAGAGAAATGCAAATCAAAACCACAGTGAGATACCATCTCACGCCAGTTAGAATGGCGATCATTAAAAAGTCAGGAAAGAACAGATGCTGGAGAATGTGTGAAGAAATAGGAACACATTTACACTCTTGGTGGGAGTGTAAATTAGTTTAGCCATTGTGGAAGACAGTGTGGCGATTCCTCAAGGATCTAGAACAAGAAATACCATTTGACCCAGCAATCCCATTACTGGGTATATACCCACAGGATTATAAATCATTCTGCTATAAAGACACCTGCACATGTATGTTTATTGCAGCCCTATTCACAATAGCAAAGACTTGGAACCAACCTAAACGCCCATCAATGATAGACTAGATAAAGAAAATGTGGCACATATACACTGTGGAATACTATGCAGCCATAAAAAAGAATGAGTTCATGTCCTTTGCAGGGTCAAGGATGAAGCTGGAAATCATCATTCTCAGCAAACTGACACAGGAACAGAAAACCAAACACCACATGTTCTCACTCATAAGTGGGAGTCGAACAATGAGAACACATGGACACAGGGAGGGGAACATCACACAACGGGGCCTGTTGGGGGGTGGGAGGCTAGGGGAGGGATAGCATTAGGAGAAATACCTAATGTAGATGACAGGTTGATGGGTGCAGCAAACCACCATGGCACGTGTATAATTATATAACAAACCTGCACGTTCTGCACATGTATCCCAGAACTTAAAGTATAATAAAAAAAATTACATGTTAGAAATGTGTTCTATTCCTTGGAAAATATGCTGTTATATGAAAAAGGCATGTTGCAAAGAGATGTTATAAGATTACCTTTTCCTTTGAAAATGTATCTCTATATATTATATGTGCATACCTCACACAAACATATGTGTGTATACACACACATGCAAAGTTATTTCAGCTGAGACTGTAGCTGAAGGGAACATGCTATGGTTTAAGACACTGTATGCTGTGGAGGAAAGTCAATTCCAATAATTTGTTATAAGAGCTCACATATTTCGAATCAAGGCATTCTGGTAAGAACATGATTTATTTAATGTTTCACTTTTCTAAATGTATAGATCTACATATGAAACATGTTTTGCCTATGGTAACTAAAGAATTCATCCCTATTTGTATTATCTATGTTGACTGAAGTAGACAGCCCTCACTTTCACAATTAAATTGCATTCAACTTCTTCAGGCAAGAAAGTCAGTGGCTCATTCTTTTCATAATTAAAGACATAGTACCTGTTTTACTTCCAGTAATGGCAAAGTAAGTCACATTGAACCAAACCTCCCATAGCTAGCAATTATAAACTCTGGGGAAAAAAATAAAATAACTATCTAAAAGCACTTGAAGACACTAGAACTTATTTCTTCTATCTAACTGTATGTTTGTACCCATTAACCATCTCTCTTCATTCCCCCAACCCTCCCCAGCCTCAGCTAACTACCATTCTACTGTCTACCTCCATGAGATCAAATTTTATAACTCCTACACATAAGTGAGAACATGAGAACATGTTGTATTCATCTTTCTGTGCCTGGCTTACTTGATTTAATATAATGACTTCCAGTTCCATCCATGTTGCTGAAAATGAGAGGATTTCATTATTTTGTATGACTAAATGGTATTCCATTGTGTATATATACCACATTTTCTTTGTCCATTCATCCATTGATGGGCACTTGGGTTGATTCCCTAGCTTGGCTATTGTGAATAGAGCTGCAATAAACATAGGGGTGCAGGTTTCCCTTTGATATAACAATTTCCTTTCCTTTGGATAAATGCCCAGTAGTGTGATTGCTGGATCATATGGTAGTTCTATGTTTCGTTTTTTTGAGAAACCTCCATACTGTTTTCATAGAACAGTAGGCTGACTATAGTTAACAATTTATTGTATATTTCAAAGTAGCTAGAAGAGAAGATTTGAAATATTCCCAACACAAAGAAATTATAAATGTTCAAGGCAATGGATATTTTAAATAGTCTAATTAGATCATTACACATTATATGTATGTACCAAAATATCACATGTACCCCATAAATGTGTACTCATTATGTGTCAATAAAACTTTTTTTAAAAAAGATCTACTCTCTTAACAGATTTCAAATATACAATACAGTATTGTTAACTACAGTTACATCAATATTTATTAAGTCCCCAGTACTTATTCATCCTGCAAAACTGAAACTTTGTACCCTTTGACTAACACCTCCCCATTTCTCCCACCCGCTAATCTTTAGTCACCACCATTCTACTCTCTGCTTCTATTAGTTGAACTTTTTAAGATTTCACATATAAGTGAGATCATGCAGTATTTGTCTTTTTGTGTCTGGCTTATTTCACTTAGCATAACATCCTCCAGGTTCATCCATGTTGTTTTAAAACACAGAATTTTATTTTTATTTTGTAAGACTGAAAAATACTCCATTGTGTGTGTGT
Organism: Homo sapiens; assembly: GCF_000001405.40. Classification (NCBI taxonomy): domain Eukaryota; kingdom Metazoa; phylum Chordata; class Mammalia; order Primates; family Hominidae; genus Homo; species Homo sapiens. The sequence continues at coordinate 128,706,541 of NC_000023.11, forward strand.
GTGTGTGTGTGTGTGTGTATTATTCTGCAGTATCAATTGTAATGTCTTCTCTTTCTTTTATGATTTTATTTATTTGAGTCTTTTCTTTTTTTCTTAGTTTGTCTAGCTAAAGGTTTGGCCATTTTGCTTGTGTTCTCAAAAAAGCCAACTCAATCTTATTGATATTTTTCTATTGTTTATTTTTCTCTTTCATTTATTTCTGCTCTGATCTTTATCCCTTTCCTCTGCTTACTTTGGGCTTAATTTGCTTTTGTATGGTTCCTTAATGTGTAAAATTAGATTGTTTGTTTGAAACCTTTCTCTTTTTTCTCTTAATAGAACCATTTATCACTATGGACTTATCTCTTAGAACTGTTTTTGCTGCGTCCCATAAATTATGGTATGCTGTGTTTCTGTTTTGTTTCTCTCAAAGTATTTTTAAATTTCTCTTTTGACTTCTTCTTTGACCCATAGGTTGTTCAAGAGTGTGTTGTTTACTTTTCACTTATTTGTGAATTTTCCAATTTCCTTCTGCTATTGATTTCTAATTTCACACCATTGTGGTCTGAAAAGATACTTGGTATGATTTCAATCTTCATAAATTTGTAAAGACTTGTTTTGTGGCCTGAAACATGATCTATCCTGGATAGTGTCCTGTATGTGCTTGAAAAGAATGTGTATTTTGCTGTGTTAAATTGAATACTCTATATATGTGTGTTAGGTCTATTTGGTCTATAATGCTGTTCAAGTACACTGTTTCCATATTGATTTTCTGTCTTGATGTTCTATCCATTTTTGAAAGTGTAGTATTGAAGTTTCCTACCATTATTGTATTGATGTCTATTTCTCCCTTACATGTGTTAATATTTGCTTTATATATTTAGGTGCTCTAATATTGGGTGTATATATATTTACAAATGTTATATCTTGTTGATGAATTGAACCCTTTATCATTATATAATGACCTTCTTTTACTCTTATGACAGATTTTAACTTAAAGTGTATTTCTTACTTGGTTACCATTTGCATGGAATACCTTTTTCGTTCAGCCTATGTCTTTAAAGTGAGTCTCTCTTAGGTTATATATACTTGCATCATGTTTATTTAACTATTCAAACACTTTATGTTTTGTGATTGAAGAATTTAATCTGTTTACATTTAATTATTAATAGGAAAGGACTTATTACTGTTATTTTGCTAATTGTTTTCTATTTTGTAGTACATTTGTTTCTTTCTTCCTTTTCCAAGTCCAGCCTGGTGCTAAGGTAGCCCTGCAGGCTGGGTCTGCAGCAGGGGGGCCTGGCAGTGGGGTTCATTGAAATGGGCCTGGTGCTGGGATCTTTGGAGAAGTTCGGTACTCACTGTGCTCTGTTTCACCCACAAAAAGGGTATCTCTCTCTGCGTTGCCCAGGCTTGGGAAGAGGATGATGTGGTTAACGTAAAAATGTTCTCCCAATTATTTTTAATGCATTTTTTCTTATTTCTATGCTTTATCCAGGTGCTTGTAATATTTCATCTGGATTCTTTAGTGCTTGTGAAGATTTTCCTATGTGGTTGGTTGTTCTAATTGATGTTATTATGAAGAAATTAGCACTGGAAACTCCTACTCAGCTAGCTAACATTAATTCAGTGATCCAAAGTTCTTATTTTAATGTCACCAAATGTATCAATCTTCTTTATGATTTGTGTTTTTTGTGTCATGTTTAAAAAAATCCTTCCCTATGCCAAAGTAAACAAAATCTATATATTCTTCTGGGAGTTTTAAAGTTTTCTTTACCCATTTAAGTCTTTAATATAACTAGGTTTTTTTGTGTGTGAATTATGTAAAGGATATAATTTATTTTTTTCCATGTAAAGATTCAAATGTTCTAGCACCATTATGTGAGTACCCTCCCACTTTTACTCACCAATGTGAGTATAATGCAGCTTTGCCATAGATCAAGATCATATGAATCCGGGTATATTTCTGGATCCTCAGTTCTGTTCTATTGGTCTATGTGATTACCCTGTACTGCTACCAAAAGGTCTAATTAATACACTTTTTATAATACAAATCTTGATGCCTGGGTAGGAGTATAATCTCCACTTTCTTTTCCTTCTTGTTCAAATGTGTCTTGAATATTCATATAACTTTTTCCATATCATTTCCCATAATATATTATTCCATATAAATGTATACTCAGCATTTTAGGTTCCATAAAAACATCTTGTGATTTTTTTCCTGGGTTTTTATTGGGATTGATCACTTTGGAAAGAAGTGAAATGTGTACAAAACTGAGATTTCCTTTCCATCAACAAGAAGATAAATCGCTCAATTTAATGACTAAAGCAAATCCTAAATTTGTTGTAAATATATTACACATTTTTAATTAGATTCAATACAAAATTTTAAATAAAAGTCACCATTTTAAATTGTAGATTTATTTTAATTAATCACATTTCCTAATTGTTTGTTGTTGGTGTCTGGAAGTGCAGGTGTCTCGATTTTTGTACATTGATCTCGTGTTCAACAACCTGGCTAACTTCTTGTTAATTCTGATAAATATATTCTTCTTTTTCAAAGAATTAAATAGATAATCATTTTACCTGCCAATAATGACATTCTTCTTTTAATCTTTCTAATCCATATAACTTTATTTATATGCTTTATTGCACTGGGTAGGATCACCTGTATAATTGATTAAAAGTGGTGATCATGGGCATCATTTATCTTTTATTCTGATTTTAAAAGAATGCTTCTAGGCCGGGCGCGGTGGCTCACGCCTGTAATCCCAGGACTTTGGGAGACCGAGGCGGGTGGATCACGAGGTCAGGAGATCGAGACCATCCTGGCTAACACGGAGAAACCCCCTCTCTATTAAAAATACAAAAAATTAGCCAGGCGTGGTGGCTGGCGCCTGTAGTCCCAGCTACTCGGGAGGCTGAGGCAGGAGAATGGCGTGAACTCCGGAGGCGGAGCTTGCAGTGAGCCGAGATAGCGCCAATGCACTCCAGCCTGGGTGACAGAGCGAGACTCTGTCTCAAAAAAAAAGAAAAAAAATGCTTCTAATGGTTCATGATTAATTACAAGTTTTGCTAAAGGTATTTTGCAGATACTCATTATCAGGTGGAGAAAGTATCTTTATATTCCTGGTTTGCTAAGAGTTATTTATATTGAGCTTTTATTATAAATGGAAATTAAATTTAGTCTAATTCTTTGATCATGTGGCTTTAATTCTTAAAACTGATAGTGGTAAATTGCATTAAAAAAACTATCATTGAATTCCTAGAAAAAAACTTAAGGTTCTTATGATGTATTATTCTTTTTATACATTGCTTAATTAAATTTACTGATGTTTTGTTTTTTATTTTTATATCTATGTTAATGAGTGATACAATCTGTAGTGCCTCTTCCTTATATTATCCTTATCTCTTTTCCTGATGAGGTTATGAATAGCCTCATAAATGAGTTTGGGATATTCCTTATTCTTCTATTTTCTGTGAGAGATTGCAATTATATGGTGCTTAGATATTTCATAGTTTACAATTTTAAGTTATGTGGGTATGTGTGTTTTCTTTTGAGGAAGACTTTAATAATTCAGACTTTCTATTACTACCTGAGCCTTTTTGATAAGTTTTATTTTTATAGAAAATTCTGCTTTTCATCCACATTTCAAATTCATTGTCATGAGGTCATTCACAATATTATTCAATTTCATTTCAATATATACTGAATCTGTGGTTTTCTCTAGTTTTTCTGTATTTTTACTGCATTCTGTACCTTCTGTCTTTGTTTTTAATCAATATTGGCAAAAATCTGTCAATATTTTTAGTCCTTTTGAAATTACCACGTTAGTCCTTTTAAAAATACCATAGTCTCAGTTTATTCTCTTTATTCAGTTGTTCTCAACCATTCCTATACACTAGAATCAACTTAGGAAGCTTTTTAAATTACTGGGTATATACCCAAAGGATTATAAATCATGCTGCTATAAAAACACAAGCACACGTATATTTATTGTGGCACTATTCACAATAGCAAAGACTTGGAACCAACCCAAATGTCAAGAAAATGTGGCACATATACACCATGGAATACTATGCAGCCATAAAAAATGATGAGTTCATGTCCTTTGTAGGGACATGGATGAAGCTGGAAACCATCATTCGGAGCAAACTATTGCAAGGACAGAAAACCAAACACTGCATGTTCTCACTCATAGGTGGGAATTGGACAATGAGAACACTTGGACACAGGATAGGGAACATCGCACACCGGGGCCTGTCATGGGGTGGGGAAAGGGGGGAGGGATAGCATTAGGAGATATACCTAATATAAATGACGAGTTAATGGGTGCAGCACACCAACATGGCACATGTATGCATATGTAACAAACCTACACGTTGTACACATGTAACCTAGAGCTTAAAGTATAAAAATAGCCATGTGTTAAGGCATATACATAGAAGTTCTGATGTAATGGCCTGGGATGAGGCCTAAATATTTGTATTTTCACTCGTACATTTATTTGTTCTCTACATATCCTATATTTGCTTTTGTTATAATGTTTTTTAAAAATTATTAATTTGGATATTTAACTTATTAGTTTTCAGCCTTTTAAGAATTTGTATTATAAGCATTTTTACTATATACTTATTTTTATCACTTTATCTATAATCCCCCACTATACATAGACATGCACTAATTTTTCATTAAGTGCTAGATGCACTTTCATTTGTATAATTTCTTCTTTGACTCATGAGTTAAATAGCAATGTGCTTTAAATTTCAAAATATAAGGGAATTTACATTTTTGTTACTTATTTCTTATCTAAATGTATTTTGGTTAGAGAATATAATCTGTATGATACTGACTCTTAGATATTTGTTAAAATTTGTTTTATGGAATAAGACATGATCCATTTGCTGTATGCTTGAAAAGAATCTCTATTCTCTGTTAGTTGGGAACAGTATTCTAATTATATATGTCCACTAAATTAAGCTTATTAATTTTGTTATTCAAATCTTCTGTATCCTTACTGAGTTTTATCTGATTGATTTATTGTTTACTTGGGGAGGTATATAAGATTTTCTTGCTGTGATGGTGCAGCGGTAAATTTCTCCTAGTATTCCTGAAAGATTTACTTTATTCTTCTCTATTTGCTCCCTTTTTACAGGCGATCCAGAAGGGGACACCTAATCCATAGAATCCAGAACAATCACACCTGAGATTCACACTTGGGATAGCACCTTGCCTAGTTACAGTGTTATTTGAAATTTATTGATTCAGGTGAAATGTCAAAGCTCATATTAGAGAGCGGGGGTGGTCTAAGTGGGCAATTCAGGGTCTTTTAGCAGTTACCCACAAACCATAAAGAGAAGTCTCTATCTGCATCACTAGCTGTGAAAATTCAGGACCCAAACTGAAAGTAAACTCCACAGTATTTAGTCAGTACTACTTCAAATAAGGATCATCCTCTCTTTTAAGGTGCTACCAACAATCCAAGAGATAAAAATAGAGGAAAACTAAACCAGGAAGACCAAGGTGATACCAATGTAGAAATCTAAAAATACATAAGGACCAAAATAACCAGAGTGATTGGTGATTTCCATAAAATAAAGATAGAATGCCTTCTGCACGTGCGTGTCAAGACATCAGCTCAAACATCAGGCACCCCAGTTTTGATGATACATTTAGCTACTGGCAGTCTCAAATTAAGTACAAGCTGCTCATCCCAAAGAGAGACAGCCAATTTTAAAGGGCACGTTCCAAAATTCATGGAGGAACTAAGGATATGAAGATGAAACTCTGGCTAGTGCTGATGCTGGTACACACACACACACACACACACATGCACACACATGCACATGCACACACACACACACAATTGACCCATAAATCCTTACCCCTTCTTACTTGACCTGAACCTTTGACTTTCTTTCCCCGTCAACATTACCCCCTCAGGTGTCATGTGCCATACATGTTACGATGCATGAGAATGGCAGATAAAAACCCCATATTCCAGCCACATTCCTCCCTGACATCAGGTTTAAAGGCAAGAAATTTAGCATTAACTGCTTTTCCTGGGGAAAAAAAATCACTTTCATTTTGCTCCCTCCCAATATAGTTCAGCCACTGTTATTAGAATCGACTTTTTTTACTCCACTTGAACAATAAAACCATTGATAAGCAACCTCTCGTCATCCTCATCTCCTCTCTACCATTCCCATTCTCTAATATTCACAATTGTACTTTCTATTTCCATGAGCTCAAAATTGTTTCTTAGCTCCCACAGATGAGCGAGAACATGTGCTGTGTATCTTTCTGTACTTGAGTTATTTCACTTTACATAATGTCCTCCAGGTTAATCTATGTTGCCATGAATGATACATTGTGTGCACAAGTGGAAACATTACTCTGTATCCCATAAATATGTACAATTATTACATGTGAAGTAAAAATAAAAGATTTTTTTTAAAAAATAGGGCAAAGACCCAGAGATTATTTAAAAAAAAAAAAGAAAAAAATCTACTGGAAAATAATTTAACACCTCACACACACACCCACAAAATCGGATTCCAGCAAGTTTCCTTTTACCCTTCTGGGTGAAACTGTTTGGACGAATAACTGTGAAGAACTGAGAGGCTGGATGTCCAATACTCAAAAGACTTGATTTTGTCTCCCTCTGGAAACAAAAGCAGAGTAGAATGAGGCAAGCAGGGAGTAAATGGTGCTGCTGCAGAGAAGGGAATAGCCCACACAGCCTGAGAAGCCTCACTAATAGAGCTCTTAAGCTAATAGGTGTCATCCTCCTGCTGGAAGTTTAATCAATGGGGACCAGTTCCTCTTAATATCCCAAGTTCTACAGATTGCCAAATGCCCTAATTAAAATCATCTCTCAGTAGATTCTCTGCAGATTACTGTGACACTGAAATACAGAAGGGAAACTGAAACACTGGCTATTGAAGTCATCCTTGCCTCTTATTTCTAAAGATCTTAATTTTTACTCAACAAATATTTACTGAGTAACTACTACATGCAGGCATTGTGTTCGGCAATGCAGTGAATGAATTAGATATGAGCCTTGCCTTCAAGGAGTACGCTGAGAAAGAGAGAAAAGCCCATAATAATTCAGAATAGAAAGAGATGATGGAATCTGTGTTTAAAATGAAGAAGAAAAAAGGAACCATGATAGTATATGTAATAACCACTTGCCAGGTAAAACACAGAGTGCCCAGTCAAATTTGAATTTCTGGTGAACAATTGTTTTTTAGTTAAAGTGCGCCACATGTATTATTTGGGAGAATTTATACTTAAAAAATCACTATTTATATGAAATTGAAATTTAACTGGGCATCCTGTATTTTTATTTGTTAAATCACCCAACTTTACTCCCTACCATTTTTCTTTGTGATAACCCCAGCAGAGATTTCACTGTATAAAGACTCTGAGAGAAGGGGCATCAAACCAGTACTTGGGGCCTCTTTTGAACTTTATCAGCACCAAAATTCCTAGTCAGAGCCATCTTTTAAATCATATAGCAAATCACACCATTCTCATGTTTAAAACCCTTCCTTGAATTCCTGTCTCACTCAGAATAAAATCCAAACTCCTTACCAAACCCTGTCAGACAGCACATGATCTGACTCCTGTTTACCTTTCTAAATTTTATAACAGCCCTGTGAAGATACCGCTATTAGTCTCATCCTGCAAGTGAGAAAGCATACAAAAGGAAGACATGCTCTACCAGACATCAAAACTAGTTATGTTATACAAAACCTATTATAGTATTAATGGGGAGAGTAGAAAACAGATTGGAAAATGTAAAATAATAATGTCCAATACTGGTAATGATGCAGAGCAATGGGCACTTCTAAACAACATTGAACAAACTGGTCATGGTGTTTTTGAAGAAAATTTGGCAGTGTTTATAACCATTAGAAATATATCCTCTGGGTCAGCAAAACCTGAGTCCTCTCCTCTCACTCTCCTCCCCGGACAGGGTGAGCTTCACCACTCACTCCACCACCTACTCCATCATTTACCTGTCCCTGGGCTCAGTCCAGCTGCCCAGCTGCGGCGCCCTGCCAGTCAGCAGCACAGCCAGTGTCTATGCAGGTGCTGGGGCCTCGGGTTCCCAGATCTCCGTGTCCCACTCCACCAGCTTCCGGGGCGGCTTGCAGTCTAGTTGCCTGGCCACGGGGATGGCTAAGGGTCTGGTAGGAATGGGGGGCATCCACAACGAGAAGGAGACCATGCAAGACCTGAACAACCACCTGGCCTCCTACCTGGACAGAGTGAGGGGCCTGGAGTCAGAGAATCAGAAGCAGGAGAGCAAAATCCGGGATCACCTGGAGAAGGGATCCTAGGTCACAGACTGGGGACATTACTTCAAGACCCTGGAGGACCTGAAAGCCCAAATCTTTGCAAATTCTGTGGACAATACCCACGTCATTCTGCAGATTGACAATGCCCATCTTGCTGTTGATGACTTTAGAGTCAAGTATGACATAGAGCTGGCCATGCACCAGTCTGTGGAGAGCGACATCCATGGGCTCCGCAAGCTCACTGATGATACCAGTGTCACTTGGCTGCAGCTGGAGACAGAGATCGAGGCTCTCAAGGAGGAGCTGCTCTTCACGAAGAACCATGAAGAGGAAGTAAAAGGCCTAAAAGCCCAGATTACCAGTTCTGGGTTGACCATGGAGTTAAATGCCCCCAAATCTCAGGACCTCTGCAAGATCAGACAGACACCTGGGCCCAATACGACAAGCTGGCTCAGAAGAACCCAGAAGAGCTGGACATGTACTGGTCCCAGCAGATTGAGGAGAGCACCACAGTGGTCACCAAGCAGGCTGCTGAGATCGGAGTTGCTGAGATGATACTCACAGAGCTGAGACATACAGTCCAGTCCTTGGAGATTAACCTGGACTCGATGAGAAATCTGAAGGCCAGCTTGGAGAACAGCCTGAGGGAAGCAGAGGCCCACTACACCATGCAGATGAAGCAACTCAGTGGGGTCCTGCTGCACCTGGAGTCTGAGCTAGCACAGACACGGGCAGAGGGGCAGCACCAGGCCCAGGAGTACGAGGCCCTGCTGAACATCAAGGTCAAGCTGGAGGCTGAGATCACCACCTACCACTACCTGGGGGAAGAAGGAAGGACTTCAATCTTGGTGATGCCCTGTACAGCAGCAACTTCATGCAAACCATCCAAAAGACCACCACCCGCAGGATAGTGGACCACAAAGTGGTGTCCGAAACCAATGAAACCAAAGTTCTGAGACATTGAGCCAGCAGAAGCAGGGTATCCTTTGGGGAGCAGGACACCATCAGCAAACTAACACAGGATCAGAATACTAAATACCGCATGTTCTCACTCCTAAGTGGGAGTTGAGCAATGAGAACACATGGACACAGGGAGGGGAACATCACACACTGGGGCCTGTCGGGGGGTGGGGGGAAAGGGGAGGGAGAGCATTAGGACAAATACCTAATGCGTGAGGGGCTTAAAACCTAGATGATGGGTTGATGGGTGCAGCAAACCACCATGGCAGATGTATACCTATGTAACAAACCTGCACGTTTAACACAAGTATCCCAAAACTTAAAGTAAAATAAAAAAATAATAAAAAGTTCAGAGATCATTGGAGATATATATATATATATGCACACACACACATATATATTCTCTGACCTAGGATTCATATTCTAGGTGTTTTCCTAGTTATATGTGTGCATATATTCACCTATGCAGGTAAATGTATAAAATAAGATCAGTGAGGATACAAACCATCCTCTTTTCAATGGCCATCTCTATCTCTAGGATAAAGGAGTGGAAGTGAGACAGCTGGGGTCAAAAGGGACTTTTATTTTTCTATTCTTTATTAAAGATTCATGGCTATAATGTATTTGTGATTTTCATATGCAATTAAAAATATATATTTTTAAAAGACACAAGGTTAGATAAACACACTCCAAAAGTTTTTAGTAATGTCAGAATTATGAGTAACATTTATTTCTTTTTCTTCTTGAAATAAGATACCCCTTATCCTGACTGTAAATTGGCTTTATGATTTTAGAAACCTTGATGGACACAAGAGGGAAAAACTGTCATGTAAATGCTGCAAGCCATTTTCTTTCTTTCAAGTGGTAAGAACTTGAATCACCTTTGGGGCAACCTGTTCTTCAGTTTTGGAGAAAGTGCCTTGAATGGCCCTTGTTACATAAATTTAAAAAAATCTATTATTCTTCGAGGAAACTATATAGTACTCTGAATGTAGATGTTTTAGTCTCAAAAATAACTGTTCTCTTTGGTAATGTAAATTGCTGTATATGATTGAGTCAGGGCTCTATCTGCAGACTTTATTGCTTTGGAGTGGTGGAGTGATGGCTTTCTATGAATTTAGACTACACTGTGCTGGGACTGTCGCTTATTCACTTGGAGTTGTGGGAGGTTTTAGCAATTTCTCACCGGATAGTTTTAGCTGAGACCTAGAGAACTACAGAAAGATACAAAGGTATGATCTACATCTGCTGTATAACTTTCTTACAAAGGCAAACCACAATAGGTTTACATGGTTTAAATTTGACTAGCATGGTAGTGTTCTTTACATTGTACTTTTTAATTTGAAACCAAATGACTGAAACTTTGAAAAATACACTGCTGCTGAATAAATCACCTTCCGATGTTACTATCTTTAGGGCTAAAGAGTACAATTCAATAAGGCTACAATGTAGAGGGTGTGGAAGTTGTTGTCTCAGAAGGGTTGACATTCTCATTAGCAATAATCCTTAAAAATGACAGGGCCTGGGTGTAAAAATAAGAACATGGGAATTGGTCCTCATTTGGGAGTGTTAACTTAAAAAAATGCAATTTATAAATTTAGAAAAGAAGATTTTATTTCTTGTAAAGGATTACAGCCTGCAAGGTGGCCATCCCACAGGCTGGGAAGTGTGCCTCCGGCAAAGACCGAAGACAGACATTTCAAAGGAAGAGGGGTTAGAGTAGGAGCTTTATGCTGAAGAGGTTGGCTAAGTATATGTATTCAACAGATTACTGGATGAGCTAACAAAAAAATCATGAAGGTAGTCCTGACGCATGCATATTGAACAAACATGCATGTAACATATGACCTATGTTCACCTTGGAGCGGAGACTTAACATTTAAATGTATTTTAATTAGGCCCTATACATCAAAAAGTCTTTTCAGGATACAAAGGCACTCAAGTGCACAGCTTCTGTAAACCAGCCAGAACCAGTCCATGGTCAGTGGTCTTCTTATCAAGATAAAGTCACTGAAATCAATCTGTTGTCCAATTAATCCAATTAAAGCTGTGTGTGTGGTTACGGCTGGTGGAACAAGAGTTCAGTTAGTCAGTGTCTGTGAGCTGGATGAATTGTAATTGGTTTAACATTGCTTATCTTGAGGCCATTGCTTGTTTAGCTGCTAGAGAAAAAGAAAAACCTTGTGGCAGTTAGGACATAGTTTATTCTTTAATTATAGGGGTGTGTAACTTAACTTTTGCCTGGCATGACTCTAAGTCCTGTTTATAATTTATGATCTTATGGCCACAAAGAGTCTGTTCTGTCAGTCATATGGTCTCTATGTTAACATTAATGCTGGTCAGTTGTATCTAAACCACAAAAGGAAGGGGTTATGTCCAACTTCCCACCCCATCGTGGTTGGGAATTTGATTTTTAGGTTTTTATGTAATCCTCTTGGCCAAGAGGGGGTTCTTTTAGTCTGAAGGAAGGCTTAGTTAGGAGTTTATTTTTAATTTACAGGAGCAAGGAAAAACTTTTCCTCTCTCAGGGCATGAAAGGAGCCGGAGCTTGATCTGGAACCTATTGTGTAAATATACTCACAAAATTTGTTGGGTGGGGCAGAGAGTAGCAGTTAGCTAGCTCCAGGCCACACAGAAGCAAGCCAAGAGGTAGGCAGAGAAATGCATTTTATGAAATCCTCATTATGGATTTGTCCCTATGAGCTCTAAGAGTAGCCACATATACTACTAGTGGTGATGACAAAATATCCTCAATGTTGTATTTCCCTTCCATGATCCCCAAACTGTCAGTAAAGTGTTCTGAAAGGAAGGGTTGGCTTCATGGGTATGCAACATGTGCAGCTGCACAGGGTTCCACCCTTAATAGGGTCCCTAGGAATGGTTTTTTTCTCTCTTTTTAAAATTTATTCTAAAAAATAAAATAAAATACATGTGCAGAACGTGCAGGTTTGTTACATAGGTATACGAGTGCCATGGTGGTTTGCCGCACCTATTGACCCATCCTCTAAGTTCCCTCCCCTCACCCCTCCACCCCCCAACAGGCCCTGGTGTGTGATGTTCCCTTCTCTGTGTCCATGTGTTCTCATTGTTCAGCTCTCACTTATGAGTGAGAACATGCGGTGTTTGGTTTTCTGTTCCTGTGTTAAGTTTGCTGAGGATGATGGCTTCCAGCTTCATCCGCGCCCCTGCAAAGGACATGATCTCATTCCTTCTTATGGATGCATAGTATTCCATGGTGTATATGTACCACAGTTTCTTTATCCAGTCTATCATTGATGGACATTTGGGTTTGTTCTATGTCTTTGCTATTGTAAACAGTGCTGCGGTAAACATACGTGTGTATGTGTCTTTATAGTAGAATGATTTATATTCCTTTGGTTATATACCCAGTAATGGGATTGCTGGGTTAAATGGTATTTCTGGTTCTAGATCCTTGAGGAATCACCATAAAGTCTTCTACAATGGTTGAAATAATTTACATTTACATAAAAACCCTAGAAGAAAATCAAGGCAATACCATTCAGGACATAGGCATGGGCAAAGACTTCATGACAAAAACGCCAAAAACAATTGCAACAAAAGCCAAAGTTGACAAATGGGATACAATTAAACTAAAGAGCTTCTGCACAGCAAAAGAAACTATCATCAGAATGAACAGGCAACCTACAGAATGGGAGAAAATATTTGCAAGCTACCCATCTGACAAAGGTCTAATATCCAGAATTTACAAGGAACAATGAATGCTTTAATATTCTGTGATCTCCACCTTGAAATTCATAATAAGTTTTTAAAAATGGGCTCATATTTTATTTTTGCGATGTGTCCCACAAATTATACAGCCAGGCCTGCTCAAAGGTTTCAGCCTTTTATCAGCCGTAAAGCACAGAGTCATCTCTCAGAGTCTTCACTCCATGGTTGGAGTAGTGGTAGCAAAGGTGGATATGAGCGGAAAAATCCTACAATGACAACTTTAGAGCAACTTTGAAAATTCTCATGAAGTGGGGACACATTTTTTGTTCTGTTTTAATTTTGTTATTTCAATAGCTTTTGGGGTACAAGAGGTTTTTGGTTACATGGATAAATTATACAGCAGTAAAGTCTGAGATTTTGGTGCACCTGTCACTAGAGTAGTGTACATTGCACCCACTATTTAGGTTTTTATCCCTTGTTCCCCCTCCTACCATCCTCCTTCTGAGTCTCCATAGTCCATTATACCACTCTGTGTACCTTTGTGTACCCATAGCTTAGCTAATACATATAAGTGAGAACATACGGTATTTAATTTTTCATTCCTGAGTTACTTCACTTAGAATAATGGCCTCCAACTATATCCAAGTTGCTGCAAAAAACATTATTTTGTTCTTTTTATGGCTGAGTAGTAGTCCATGGTATATATATGCCACATTTTCTTTATCCACTCATTAGCTGATAGGCATTTATGTTGATTCCATATTTTTGCAATTGTGCTGCAGTAAACATGCACGTGCAGGTGTCTTTTAGATATAATGACTTCTTTTCCTTTGGGTAGATAACCAGTAGTGGGATTGCTAGATCAAATGATGGATCTATTTTTAGTGGTCTTTTTTTGTTTCTGAGACAGAGTCTCACTCTGTCACCCAGGCTGGAGTGCAGTGGCATGATCTCGACTCACTGCAACCTCCACCTCCTGGGTTCAAGCGATTCTCCTGCATCAGCCTCCCAAGTAGCCGGGATTACAGGTGCCCGCCACCACGCCCAGCTAATTTTTGTATTTTTAGTAGAGACGGGGTTTTGCCATGTTGGCCAGGCTGGTCTTGAACTCCTGACCTCAGGTGATCCACCCGCCTCGGCCTCCCAGAATGCTGGGATTACAGGTGTGAGCTACAGCACCCGGCCTCTATTTTCAGTTTCTTAACATATTTCCATACTAATTTACATTCCCACCAGTAGTATATAAGCATTCACTTTTCACCATACCCACAACAACATAAGTGGGGACACTTTTGAGAGGACCTAGGCAGATGGAGGTCTCAAAGTCCCCATAATTTAATCAAGCAAAGGAAATGTCATTGTCTGGAATTATTGGTTGTGTTCCCTTGGTTTTTTTTGGAATTTTTTTTTACATTTTCCAAATGGCCATAGATTAATCATCAATTATAAGAATTAGGGGGAATCTTAATATATATTTAGCCTAGCATTTCCCATATTATGTGTTAAAAACCCTTAGGTAGGTTGCTGTCACAGGAATCTGTATGCACCAGGGTCATTTGTAGTCACGATAAATAACATAACTTGCTGTCTCCTCAGCCTGAAATGCCTTTATCCCACTCTTTCCTGGCTAACCCTTCCTAATGCTTTGGGCCTTAGCTAAGAAATGACCTCCAACGGAAAGCCCTCTCTGATAACCCCAGGCTGCATTAAGTGTTTCTCCTCTTAGCTGCCAGAGCACCTTGCACTTCCCCGGCCATAATACCTATCACCCTACAATGATCTGATAACTTTCTTGTCTCCTCTGCAGACCATGAGTCTTAAACAGAGACATTGGCTCATTCATCTTTGTTTTTTTTTTTTTGAGACAGAGTTTTGCTCTTGTTGCCCATGCTGGAGTGCAATGGCGCAATCTCGGCTCACTCAATCTCTGCCTCCCGGATTCGAGCGATTCTCCTGCCTCAGCCTCCCGAGTAGTTGGGATTACAGGCATGTGCCACCACACCCGGCTAATTTTGTATTTTTAGTAGAGACGGGGTTTCTCCATGTTGGTCAGGCTGGTCTTGAACTCCCGACCTCAGGTGATCCGCCCGCCTTAGCCTCCCAAAGTGCTGGGATTACAGGCGTGAGCCACCACGCCCGGCCCGGCTCATTCATCTTTATATCCCTACCACTTAGCAAGGCTCCTGCCACATCTTAGATGCTAGTAAAAAATGGGTAAATAAATAACTGAATGAATGAACGAAGTATTATGCTTTTCAAACCATGCAGATGATGTAATTATTAAATATATTAATTTTATAGTCTTAGTATTTTTAAGTAGGTATTCAACTCACAGATACATTAAGCATACATTATCATAGCTGTAAAACTCTTTGATAATAATAAGGGTTCTTCATAATTGAATATAATGAGAACCACTTATCTAGTTCAACTCCTTTATTGTGCAAATGAAGTTGCAAGGGATAGACTGCATTCACTTGTCCAGTGTCTCAAATTTTACCAAGGGCAATGGAGCCAACAGCTAGCACGTCGGCCTGTATTTTCTTGAATTTCCTAATTCTTTGTTTTCTTTCCCAAATTTGGCAATGCAGTCTGCACAACCAAGGTTGATGCAAAATAACTTTCTTGTACTAGTGCCTCCTGCAGGTCTGCAAAGCAGCAGTAGCAAAGTGGCCCATGTCTCAAGGCCCATGTCTGGGACCCAGGAGGCTTAAATGCCAGGATGAGGCAAGCCAGTGACCAAACAGGCTGAGTGGGTCAGTCTGAAGGAAAGTCACAGGGCAGGGCAAAGTGGTCAGGTTCTTTGTCCAACATAGGGTGTGGCAACATCAGATGCTGGGCTAAGGGGTGAAGACATAAGAAACCTCTGAAGCCAAAATTTCCAATAGTATATGGCCTCCTAAAGGTTTTTGCCAGTCTTGTTCACTACTGTATCCCTTCTACCTAACATAGTGCCTGGAACTGGAACATAGCTACATCTTAATAAATATTTACTGAACAAATGAATAAACTAAAAATATGAATTGACCTCCTCCAGTTCTAGAAGGAACTGCTGAAAAAGCTACCTAAAGCAGCAAGCCTTGAAGATTCACCTGTCTGATTCTAAATGGGCAGTATATGATCTTTAATTATGTTCCCTCAATATCCAAAATATCAGGCAAGGCACGCTTCAAGGAAAAAGGGGTACACCTTAGGGGAGATATATCTTAATGATATAGCTTAGGGGAGAAGATAGATTCCACCTTATGCTAAAATAAAGAAAACCAAGTCAGAAGCTCACAGACATAAAATAGGCTTTTAAAGCTCATCATCCGGCTGGGCGCGTTGGCTCATGTCTGTAATCCCAGCACTTTGGGAGGCCGAGGCGGGCAGATCACGAGGTCAGGAGATCAAGACCATCCTGGCTAAAATGGTGAAACCCCATCTCTACTAAAAAAATACAAAAAATTAGCGGGGCGTGGTGGCGGGCGCCTGTGGTCCCAGCTACTTGGGAGGCTGAGGTAGAAGAATCGCTTGAACCTGGGAGGCGGAGGTTGCAATGAGCCGAGATCACGCCACTGCACTCCAGCCTGGATGACAGAGCGAGACTCTGTCTCATCAACAACAACAACAACAAAAACTCATCATCCAAGTAAAGTGAAGGGACTGCTCCAACTCCCTGGAGCTACACCCACAGGAATGGCCTTTTATAAAGATTTGATTTTGTTTTCCTTTTAAGTTTTCTTTAATGCTGTTTTCAATCTGGTTCCTTTTGTATAAATTGGGAGAGGGAGATCAGTAATATATGATAGGTAGATAGTGCTGTGATTCTTCCTAGGCTTCACAAACTCCAGAAATGAACCTTGAGCCTCGTATACCTTTGGGAAGTCCTAACTGTTCTTACACATTTATCTTTATCCATAATGGGGTTGGAGACCTTGAGATGTTAAAACAATTACGTCAACTCTCCATTTCCCTTTGCTTGTTTAGACACAGATTTAGTGGCCACTTCAAAATGGGAGTTTTCTGATCTCTTCTACCTGCCTGGCTGCCATTTCGTGACATCTTTTAATGCAAATTTTCATGTCATTAATCCTCCCTCTTTAATTCTGTTAGGAGTCACTGTCCTTTAATGTCATCCATTGAATTTTTCGAGTGAACACTTTTTTCTCATCTTGCAAACATCTCCTAATTAATGATTACCACCGCCTTCTCATTAATGCTCAATACATGAGGTAATTAATGATCACTCATGCACCAGATGAGATTTTCAGGTACAGCTTACTCCAATAGTGCTGTAGCTTTTGTGACCTCAGTTAAAATTTCATTTCTATGTCCTTTCTATAAAGAAAGGGATGTCACAACCTCATTTTCTAAACTTCTCCCAAGCAACAGACTCCTTCCCTCGGCCAAACATGTTCAAGTCTTATACATATATATTTTTTTAAGTCAAAAAACAAAAAAGGTACCACACTCTCAATTTTCTATCTCCCTCTAGCTATTATCCCCTTTCTTCACCTCTTTATAGATTAGCATCTTCAATGAGTAATCTACATTCATTGGCTCTACTTTTCCTATCTTGACTCAGTATAATCTAGCTACTGAAATATTCTTGCTATTGAAATTATCTCACTAAACTCAGCAATTACCTCTAAATGCAAAATCTTTGATTTCTGTGTGCCATTGACTATTTATATTTCCACTGACTACCAAGTGTTTGTAATTCTTCTAGTAATGTTTGTAACATCATGTTTTTCTTGGATCTCATCACATTTGTAATATCGTTTCTCTTCATTCTCCTTCACTGGCTCATTTTATCTCATCTGTCACTTAAATATTGATATATTCTAGGTTTATTCTTTGGTGCTTTTTCTTAAAATCATCCTGGGAAATATCTACTCTTCTGCCTTTTGCTAGTCATTTTCCAAGTTGATATCTTCTGCCCCATTATGTTTCCTGAGCTCTAGATTCATTATCTGCCTTTCTACTGAAAATTTCCACTTAGATGATGCACAGGTAACTCATAGTCAACATTTCCAAAACTAGACTTATCATCTACCATCACCTCAAATATACTCCTCCTCCAGTGCTCCCAGTGAATGGCACCACTGTCTATACAATTGTTTATGTCAGAAATGTGGGAGTCATTCTTAATTCCTCCATTATTATCATCCCTTCAACACAAGCAAATCTTATCAACATTCCCTCCTAGTTATCTCTTAAAATGTTATCTTTCTCTCCGACTCACCACTAATCGTTTGCTACCAACAATATGAAATCCAAAGTCCTTATCACAGCCACCCAATTCTCATTTATTTACCCAACATTTATTGTGTTTCCAACTCTGTTCTAAATGTGGTACAACATGCTTTGCTTTTCATGTTTCAGCCCTTGGCTTCCCCTGTAGTGTCATTTTATCACTTTTGACAATATCTAACCTTCTTGCCACTTTCTATGCCTGAATCATAACAATTTAATTACATTTCACTAAATACATACTGCTCTCTTGCTTTTCTCCATATCTTTACAGAGACTGTTTGCTGTAACTGAGTATTTTCAAATATTCAATGAAAGTAATTTTACAGTAAGTGACTCTATACTACTTGTGGCCACACCAGGGTATCCAGATATATTATTTGATTTTCTTCCTGAGCACAGTTCATCTGTATTTTTATCAGTCTGGCCCATCACCACTTACAGCTACAAGAAAATGACTAAATTAGTCAGATGTGTTTTTGTTGGGGTAGGGAATGGTGGAATAGATAGGCTTGAGGTGAGGAAGGGAACCAAGGGCAACATGTCTGCCCAGGAGGTCGTCCAGCCCAGCTAAAAAAAAAAAAAAAAAAAAAAAAAAAAAAAAAAAAAAAAAAACTAGACTAAATTGGGCTTGAGTTACTTAAACATTTTTGTAGTACACTTACTCAATACTTTAATCCAAATAAATTATTCTATGGTAAAGAATCCAAATCCAGAGTTAGGTCAGCAAGAGAAAGATTTTGAGGCTCAAAATTTTTAACCTTCATTACAACATGAGTTGGGCCCCTTGTCTTTATGAGTTGTGTTCTACCAATGAATCTGAGAGGGAGAAAAGCAAGGGATTCAAATGCCTCTTTGTAGGTACTTTTCATGTGTTTCTTTAAGCTCCTCATTACCTAACACTTTCTCAAGTTCATCCCCTTTACTACAACTCAGCTTGTTTCTTCAACATATCCTTCAATGAGTCTTCCCCACCTGCTGCAACTGCTGTCTTTACAGAGATTACTTTTCAATCTAATTTTCCAGCCTAATACTCCCCTCTGACCATTCCTGACTCTCTTATTTTGCTCCACACTCACTTAGGACATCTCCCCAGGATTTGAAACTCAGCATGGAAATAAAACATACCATTTTTTTTCCTCTCTGCAGGAAAACTAGACACAGTCCCAAGTGTAAGACATGCAATCTGATTTTTGGTTCTTTTCTCTAACATATCACAGGTATTCGAATTATCATCAAATCAGTATCTCTTAAACCACTGTTTCTGCTACTCATAATTTATAAAAACTGCATTGCTGGTGGACAATTGCCCTAAAATCCAGTTTCTAAAACACTATCTCTCTATTTCATAACAGTGACAACAAACAGATATATAGGACGTACTATGTACCAGGCACTGCTTTAAATCATATATGCAATCTCATCTAATCCTCTAATGAGATTTACCTATAAGTCAAGCACTCCTATCACCCAAACTTTACTTATAGAGAAACAGGCACACACAAAAAAGCAACTTACCCTAAGTCATGTAGCTAGTAAATGTCAGAGGTGTGATTTTAACCCAGGTTACCTGGCTTTCAAGTTCATGCCCTTAACCACTTTTTGTACTTGTACCCTTTGGACTATAAGGCCAAAGATAAAATTTATCTGCCATTCCATCCTCTCCTCAGCAAACTTCAGCTGCTATAATTAAAGAGATCTTATAATATCCTAGTCTAGACCCCATATTTGAGCTATCCTATGTAGCAGCCACTCAGCCACTTGTGGCTACTGAGCTCTTAAAATATGGGTAGGGTAACTGAGCAACCAAATCTATAACATTATTTAATTTTAATTAATTTTAATTTTAGTAGCCAGATATGGCAGTGACTATTATATTGTACAGTGCAGTATATTGGCAGTGTCTTTTCTGTATGATCAGAAAATGGATTTTGAGTGAACATCTATCTACTTGCCACTAAGAAGAACAACAAATACATAAGAGCATGACCTTTACTTCCTAATAGGACATAGTCAGAAATATAAGACATAGGGAAAGTAAATAATATTTAAATGTTGCTGTTGAATTGAGGGTGAAACTAGGACAAGGCAGGCCAAGAGAAATCAGGGCACTGAGCCAAGCTTCAGATGGTTCATGTTAGGTTTATGGCACATAGATACAAGGTTACAGCCTGAGGGCCAGGAGGCAAGGTCAAGAGACTATAGGTTGACCAAGAGGAAAAAGCATATATCATTCTACCAGCTGTGAATTTAAACAAGAAGGAACAGATCAGCTATGATATCTAAGCTGGGACAAGTCAAGGGCTCAGGTGTAGCATAGTGTGAGTGTATATGGAGTGATTAGTTCAAACTGGGCACAAGGCAACAAAAAATAAAGTAAAACAGGAAGATGGATACTCCCTTTAAAAGGAGAACAAGGCAAACAAATGGGTCTACCTACAGGTAGACCAGATTAATATCTTTGATCCTAATAATACCAAGTGCCATCTAGTGGATATCTACCATGAGCCAGACACCATACTAAGCCCTTTATACATATATTATATAATTTATTCTTGTGAGGTAGGTACTATTATTCTCTTCGCTTTATAGATGAGAAAACTGAATCTCAGTGAGCCTATTACCTTCCAAAAATCACAGTTATTAAGTGGAAGAACCAGGATTTGAATCAAAGTCTGTTCAATTTCAAAGTATATCTAATTTGCACTACTTTCTATCTATAAGACAAGGCAGATATCTTTAGCCCTAAGCAGAGAGAGGGAGAGGTCTTTGCAGGGAATCTGCTAGGCTTAACAGGGAAGAGTAATTCTCTGTTAAGTTCAAAGGAATCAAAGCCTGAAGGATATGTATATATTGGAATACTGAACGGAAAAGGAGAGTTTTCACTGCATGAGGATTGATAGTATGAGCAGGGACAGAAATATGTAAGTGTAGGGGCTGTTCTGCTGGCAATAGCCGAATGTGATGGAATGTTATAGTATTAGCTCCAGTTTACTCACATACAAGTCACTGAACTGGTTGTTTCCCACAGAACTGGATGATTTATATCTATTATCGATAATCCTCACTTCAATTCCTTATTGGAGCTTGTATGAGCTCCATTTCACAGATGAAGGACTAAGTACCTGAAGAGGCATGAATTATAATGAGGACCTGTCTGGTTCCAAAGCCATAATCTTTTCTTACTAACTAATGGCTTCCATGAAAATCCACATGGAAGGCTTTGATCTCTCCCTACCCATTACATTTTCATTTGAGACTTTCTTCTATTCCTTAGAATCTCTTTTAGATAGGTGCATATTTCAATAGCCAAGTAAGGCCAGACTATGCAGGGATCTCTTGGCCTCTGAAGAGCATGTTCTCCCGCTAATTTCCATTGGAATCAAGCCAGTGGAAACTCCAGTGTTTCCGTGTGGTGAAGGAGGTTAGGTGATCCGGTTGAGAACTTACCTAGGAAAACTATCTTGAAGCTGCATCTCCATATAAAGCTGAGCACATTGTTGTTGCTTTGATTATACATTAAAGGTTTTATTTGTTAATGATTGGTCTATTTTTTTAAATTTTGTTTTTATCGAGGTAAAATTTATCCATAGAGAAATGCACATGATTAAGGGTACAATGTAATGACTTTTGACAAATGTGCACATCCCTGTAACCAACACCCAAATTGAGATATATAATATTTCTGTCATCTCAGAAGAAAGTCCCCCTGGTATTCCTCCTTAGTCAACCCCTCATCACAACCCTTGGCCCAGACAACCACCATTTTGATTGTTTTGTCTATTATTGAGATGTATTTAAATGAAGTTATACAGTATGCACTATTTTGTGTCTGATTTCTTTTACTCAAAAATGTATGTATAAAATTGATGTTTGCTGTAGCATGTATCAGAAATTCATTCTTTTTGCTGAGAACATAGCATAACTTTTTCATTCTCCTGTTGAGGGATATTTGAGTTGTTTCCATCTTGGGGGTATTATAAATAAAGTGGCTTTAAACATTCTTGCACAAGTATTTTTTGTGCACATATGTTTTCATTTCTCCTGGGAAGATTTAGTAGGAGTCAAATGCTGGGCCACAGGGTAGGTGTATGTTTAATCAGAAGGAAACACCTAACAGTTTTCCAAAGTAGTTGCAATATTTTATATTTTTGCCAACAAAGTACAAGGATCTCACTTGCTTGACATACTCAAAAATACTTGGTCTTGTCAGTTTATTTAATTTTAGCCATTCTGGTGGGTGTGTAGTGGTATCTCACTATGGTTTTTATTTGCATTTAACTGACGACTAGTGACAGTGAACATCTTTTTCATGTGCTTAGTAAGGTTGATCTATTTTTATAGTGGTAGACTACACATTTCTTCCACCAATTAAGCTGAGACACTATTAGCCTGAAGTGCTTTTGGAATGGGCAGGGCAGAGCTAACAGGAATTATGGGATGGCCTAATGCCCTTCTGTCAAGCAACCTCTTGCCATGGTTACTATGTTTACCCAAGGGAAGGACTCTATTTGCTGCTACTGTTGCTGCTACAAGTGCCTTTAAAAACTGCCAAATAATGGTCTTTTTTCATAAGCCATTCCTTTCTCAGGACTCAGAATTGTTCTATTTTTAAATTTCTTAAAAATCTACCTAAAAATTACCATTCCTCCTTCCAAGACTTTAAACTTTAGTTTTCAGTCAAGAAGAAAGGGGAGTAGACATTTTAAAATCCACAGTTCAAAAAAACATATTTTCATAGCCCACAACACTGGAGATGGTCTTAATACTATATAACCGTATTGTAATTTAAGACTTGCTGAGTTTGAATAATAGCATCTTCAAAAAATGATTTAAAAATCATGGGAGAAGGAAAGAGCGGCAGACGAAAATATAGAGAACAATCAAACAGATGAAGACAAAGCAACACAGTTACCTGAAAAATGCAGAAATGTCTATATTTTGTGTGAAGGAATACAGATCAAGCTAACTTGGTGTGATTTTTGTTCTCTTCCAGCCAAATGAATTTTGTATAGTGAGCCTGAAGATGACGAAAGGATTAACAATCAGCTGGATACATTTCAGAAGGTTGATTGTTGTAACTTAAAGGGATCAAGGTCATCTAATACAACTCCCTACAAAGTGCAGGAATCAGCTCATAGAACACATACATGTTTCTATCTTTTAAAGTCTATCGATTATAGTAAGAGCCCCCAAAGCTATACAAAATAAATCTGTTGTCTTCTACATGTCAACAGGTTGTAAGTTATATAACAGCTGTTAAGCCCTCTACCCTCAACTGAGCTTTCATACCTTCAGTTCCTTTAAACATTGCTTATAGAAACTAAAAACTTCTGGTCATCTTTACTTATCACAGCCATTTGTCAATATTCTCCAATGCTCCCTCCCCCTCAAAGAAAACACCACCGTGTTATGTAAGTGACTGATCAGCACAGAGAATAGTGGGACTATAACCTTCTAGAAAATATACAATTTACCCTGAGATTACATTACTTTTTTGGTTGCAACATAGTGTTGACTAGTTTTGCCATTATAGTCAACTAAAACCCTTGTGCTTTTTCAGAAGCAATAATTTAAACCTTGGCTTCCTCACCTGGGCTTTTTGATGTGGGGGTAGGGAGGAGTTGAGTACAGAACTTTTCATTAGTCCTTATTATACATATTATATTATTTTTATACTTATTACTGTACTTATTATATTATCTTGTTAGTTTCAGTCCATTGTTCTAGCCTTCTAAGATTCTGTCATACATGTGAAAATCCTTTATAATTTCATCTTTTATTTTAGTTAAAAAATCTTTCCATAATATTTCAGTATACATCTCTGCTTTAGAAACTAGAATCTAAATGATAAAACTGAATAATTTCTTGTTGCCTCAGGCTCTTAAAGGAACACTGTTCTTAATTATTTACTGCCCAGGACCTTATGAAAATAATTCCAAGAGATATAGTTGCAATTGTATTGAATTGAGGGGGTCCTATGGAGATATTTTTGTTTTACTAAATACCTGATATGACATCATTTTTACTTATTTTTTCTTCAGGAAGAGACAGGCAACAACAACAAGCCATAATTCAATATAACTAAGAGTCCAAGTTAATTAACTTTAATGTAATTGGGACTTTACTAGAATATAGCTTAGTTAAGTTACTATTAATGTAACATATTTGAATTTCAACTGGTAATATTATTTACTTACCAAGAAAAATATGGTTAAAAAGAAGTCCTATCAGAAGCCAATGTCCCCACTAGACACTTGTAAGGAGGGGAGTAGAGTAACATTGCTCTTTGATTAGTCTCATCACTCCCTTAACATCAGAACTTTCTGAAAGGGTAATTTTGTACTTTAGTTTACTACAATAAGGCAGATAAGTGAGGATTTACTGAAAAGACGTCTATTAGGAAAAGATTTAAAATGCTATAATGCAAATGTTCATGGAGATTTGATGTCTCTCACATTACTACTCTAGAGACTGCATTACCAAAAGAGAATTTGTGATGAATATGTCAACACTCTATAGCTGCTTTTCATAAAAGCTAAAATATACCCCTGCCCCACACACTTAAATTTTAACTCTTTGTCTGGAACTCTAATTTCTTGAAACTAATCAGAAATTCTCTCCTAGTTCACAGTTCATATATACTTTATGTGCCCCCCTCCTTTACTCTTACCTTAATCCAAACTTTTGGTTTGAGTAAAGGTCCAGTAATTACATGTACTCAACCAATGAGGTTTAAATCCAGCAAAAACAAACAAACAAACAACAACAACAAAAACCCGCTCTCTGATGAATACTAATGAAGCAAAAATTTCACTGCAAAAATTTAACTCTTTAATCAGAAATAACCAAAGACCTAGGTAGGAAAAGTTCATTCAAAGCAAATCCTGACTTAGCTTAAATATATTGCTCTCCTCAAACTTTACTCATTGTTTGTAATACTTGTCATATATCAAAATAGTTTTTAAAATAATTGAGCCTTTTTTTTTGCCCAATGTGTTTGGAAAGCTCCAGTGGTCACACCCCACTCTCAATGGTCAGAACCTAAATATTTCAATGTGGCTACATACTGTGATATGTTAGAAGCATGGGGTTCTGAGTCAAATCTGATTTCCAATCCTGTATCAGCCTCAGTTATCTCATTGTTAATATTGAGATAATACACATCTCACAAGATCGTTCAAAGGATAATTTCTACAAAGTGTATGGTATACAGTAGGGACTCAATAAAGACCAGTTTCTTTACCTCTTGCCCCTAGTCTTCTCCTTGTGCCAATGTTAAATAATAAATAATAATACCATACGGAGGAAATTCAAGAATAAGATTCACTTTGCACCACTACTGTGAACTGAACATTTGTTGTAAGTGAAGTAATCTGTCATCATCAAAATTATCAAAGTCCACATCAGATAATAATAATATTTGAAGTTCAGTACAGACTGCATTATGTAAGAGAAACTCAAGTGCATCTAGCTTCCTCATTTAACCAGGGTTTATGCGTTCATGAAATACTTTTAAAAATAGCAATATAAAGCCCCAATTCATGGATTTACTCATTGCAGTTCTTTGCTGTATATATGTGACAATTTGATATATGTGTATGTAACTGTGATATATGTGTCTCTGTGTGTGTTTTTCTAATATATGCTTATGTTTTCTGGTTTTCCTTTTTCTTAAATCAAGCTAGAAACTTTTCAAGATCAAGTATTATATTGCTATTACAGTAAGACTCACGTCATGAGTAACATGTATATCTTCCCCATTAGACAGAGCTTTCCTGGCAAACCAAGACAAAGTTTTCTCCAATCCAGCTCCAAGTCTTACCCACAAATGTTGCTGACTGTCAATTCCTTATTGATTAATTATGTGAGCATAGAGCAGAGCCTGGAGTTTACTAATAGATGCTAAGAGCAGCTGAATATTTAGCTCACAGAACTGTTTCACACAACGTTGGCCCCTAGATTTAGAATATCCATAATAAACCATTCCTGAGGTGCTTAAATGGCTAAAGAAACTACAGATGTTGGGGAGGAGCCAAGATGGCAGAATAGGAACAGCCCCGGTCTACAGCTCCCAGCGTGAGCAACACAGAAGACAGGTGATTTCTGCATTTCCATCTAAGGTACCGGGTTCATCTCACTAGGGGGTGCCAGACACTGGGTGCAGGACAGTGGGTGCAGTGCACCCTGCACGAGCCGAAGCAGGGCGAGGCATTGCCTCACTCAGGAAGCGCAAGGGGTCAGGGAGTTCCCTTTCCTGGTCAAGGAAAGGGGTGACAGAGGGCACCTGGATAATTGGGTCACTCCCACCCGAATACTGCGCTTTTCCAATGGGCTTAGGAAATGGCGCACCAGGAGATTATATCCCGCACATGGCTCAGAGGGTCCTATGCCCACGGAGTCTGGCTGATTGCTAGCACAGTAGTCTGAGATCAAACTGCAAGGTGGCTGCGAGGCTGGGGGAGGGGGGCCCGCCATTGCCCAGTCTCGCTTAGGTAAACAAAGCAGCCAGGAAGCTCGAACTGGGTGGAGCCCACCACAGCTCAAGGAGGCCTGCCTGCCTCTGTAGGCTCCACCTCTGGGGGCAGGGCACAGACAAACAAAAAGACAGCAGTAACCTCTGCAGACTTAAACGTCCCTGTCTGACAGCTTTGAAGAGAGCAGTGGTTCTCCCAGCACGCAGCTGGAGATCTCAGAACGGGCAGACTGCCTCCTCAAGTGGGTCCCTGACCCCTGACCCCCGAGCAGCCTAACTGGGAGGCACCCCCCAGTAGGGGCAGACTGACACCTCACACAGCAGGGTACTCCCCTGAGACAAAACTTCCAGAGGAACGATCAGACAGCAGCATTCCCAGTTCACGAAAATCCGCGGTTCTGCAGACACCGCTGCTGATACCCAGGCAAACAGCGTCTGGAGTGGACCTCTAGCAAACTCCAACAGACCTGCAGCTGAGGGTCCTGTCTGTTAGAAGGAAAACTAACAAACAGAAAGGACATCCACAACAAAAGCCCATCTGTTCATCACCATCATCAAAGACCAAGAGTAGATAAAACCACAAAGATGGGGAAAAAACAGAGCAGAAAAACTGGAAACTCTAAAAGGCAGAGCGCCTCTCCTCCTCCAAAGGAACACAGTACCTCACCAGCAACGGAACAAAGCTGGACGGAGAATGACTTTCACGAGTTGAGAGAAGAAGGCTTCAGATGATCAAACTACTCCGAGCTACAGGAGGAAATTCAAACCAAAGGCAAAGAAGTTGAAAACTTTGAAAAAAATTTAGACGAATGTATAACTAGAATAACCAATACAGAGAAGTGCTTAAAGGAGCTGATGGAGCTGAAAGCCAAGGCTCGAGAACTACATGAAGAATGCAAAAGCCTCAGGAGCCGATGCAATCAACTGGAAGAAAGGGTATCAGTGATGGAAGATGAACTGAATGAAATGAAGCAAGAAGGGAAGTTTAGAGAAAAAAGAATGAAAAGAAATGAGCAAAGCCTCCAAGAAATATGGGACTATGTGAAAAGACCAAATCTGCGTCTCATTGGTGTACCTGAAAGTGACGGGGAGAATGGAACCAAGTCGGAAAACACTCTGCAGGATATTATCCAGGAGAACTTCCCCAATCTAGCAAGGCAGGCCAACATTCAGATTCAGGAAATACAGAGAACACCACAAAGATACTCCTCGAGAAGAGCAACTCCAAGACACATAATTGTCAGATTCACCAAAGTTGAAATGAAGGAAAAAATGTTAAGGGCAGCCAGAGAGAAAGGTCGGGTTACCCACAAAGGGAAGCCAGTCAGACTAACAGCAGATCTCTCGGCAGAAACTCTACAAGCCAGAAGAGAGTGGGGGCCAATATTCAACATTCTTAAAGAAAAGAATTTTCAACCCAGAATTTCATATCCAGCCAAACTAAGCTTCATAAGTGAAGGAGAAATAAAATACTTTACAGACAAGCAAATGCTGAGAGATTTTGTCACCACCAGGCCTGCCCTAAAAGAGCTCCTGAAGGAAGCCATAAACATGGAAAGGAACAACCGATACCAGCTGCTGCAAAATCATGCCAAAATGTAAAGACCATCGAGACTAGGAAGAAACTGCATCAACTAACGAGCAAAATAACCAGCTAACATCATAATGACAGGATCAGATTCACACATAACAATATTAACTTTAAATGTAAATGGACTAAATGCTCCAATTAAAAGACACAGACTGGCAAATTGGATAAAGAGTCAAGATACATCAGTGTGCTGTATTCAGGAAACCCATCTCATGTGCAGAGACACACATAGGCTCAAAATAAAAGGATGGAGGAAGATCTACCAAGCAAATGGAAAACAAAAAAAAGCAGGGGTTGCAATCCTAGTCTCAGATAAAACAGACTTTAAACCAACAAAGATCAAAAGAGACAAAGAAGGCCATTACATAATGGTAAAGGGATCAATTCAACAAGAAGAGCTAACTATCTTAAATATATATGCACCCAATACAGGAGCACCCAGATTCATAAAGCAAGTCCTTAGTGACCTACAAAGAGACTTAGACTCCCACACAATAATAATGGGAGACTTTAACACCCCACTGTCAACATTAGACAGATCAACGAGACAGAAAGTTAACAAGGATACCCAGGAATTGAACTCAGCTCTGCACCAAGCAGACCTAATAGACATCTACAGAACTCTCCACCCCAAATCAACAGAATGTACATTTTTTTCAGCACCACACCACACTTATTCCAAAATTGACCACATAGTTGGAAGTAAAGCTCTCCTCAGCAAATGTAAAAGAACAGAAATTATAACAAACTATCTCTCAGACCACAGTGCAATCAAACTAGAACTCAGGATTAAGAATCTCACTCAAAACTGCTCAACTACATGGAAACTGAACAACCTGCTCCTGAATGACTACTGGGTACATAATGAAATGAAGGCAGAAATAAAGATGTTCTTTGAAACCAACGAGAACAAAGACACAACATACCAGAATCTCTGGGACACATTCAAAGCAGTGTGTAGAGGGAAATTTATAGCACTAAATGTCCACAAGAGAAAGCAGGAAAGATCCAAAATTGACACCCTAACATCACAATTAAAAGATCTAGAAAAGCAAGAGTGAACACATTCAAAAGCTAACAGAAGGCAAGAAATAACTAAAATCAGACCAGAACTGAAGGAAATAGAGACACAAAAAACCCTTCAAAAAATTAATGAATCCAGGAGCTGGTTTTTTGAAAGGATCAACAAAATTGATAGACCACTAGCAAGACTAATAAAGAAAAAAAGAGAGAAGAATCAAATAGACACAATAAAAAATGATACAGGGGATATCACCACCGATCCCACAGAAATACAAACTACCATCAGAGAATACTACAAACACCTCTACGCAAATAAACTAGAAAATCTAGAAGAAATGGATAAATTCCTCGACACATACACTCTCCCAAGATTAAACCAGGAAGAAGTTGAATCTCTGAATAGACCAATAACAGGATCTGAAATTGTGGCAATAATCAATAGCTTACCAACCAAAAAGAGTCCAGGACCAGATGGATTCACAGCCAAATTCTACCAGAGGTACAAGGAGGAACTGGTACCATTCCTTTTGAAACTATTCCAATCAATAGAAAAAGAGGGAATCCTCCCTAACTCATTTTATGAGGCCAGCATCATCCTGATTCCAAAGCCTGACAGAGACACAACCAAAAAAGAGAATTTTAGACCAATATCCATGGTGAACATTGATGCAAAAATCCTCAATAAAATACTGGCAAACTGAATCCATCAGCACATCAAAAAGCTTATCCACCATGATCAATTGGGCTTCATCCCTGGGATGCAAGGCTGGTTCAATATACACAAATCAATAAATGTAATCCAGCATATAAACAGAACCAACGACAAAAACCACATGATTATCTCAATAGATGCAGAAAAGGCCTTTGACAAAATTCAACAACCCTTCATGCTAAAAACTCTGAATAAATTAGGTATTGATGGGACGTATGTCAAAATAATAAGAGCTATCTATGACAAACCCACAGCCAATATCATACTGAATGGGCAAAACCTGGAAGCATTCCTTTTGAAAACTGGCACAAGACAGGGATGCCCTCTCTCACCACTCCTATTCAACATAGTGTTGGAAATTCTGGCCAGGGCAATCAGGAAGGAGAAGGAAATAAAGGGTATTCAATTAGGAAAAGAGGAAGTCAAATTGTCCCTCTTTGCAGACGACATGATTGTATATCTAGAAAACCCCATTATTTCAGCCTAAAATCTCCTTAAGCTGATAAGCAACTTCAGCAAAGTCTCAGGATACAAAATCAATGTACAAAAATCACAAGCATTCTTATACACCAATAACAGACAAACAGAGAGCCAAATCATGAATGAACTCCCATTCACAATTGCTTCAAAGAGAATAAAATACTTAGGAATCCAACTTACAAGGGATGTGAAGGACCTCTTCAAGGAGAACTAGAAACCACTGCTCAATGAAATAAAAGAGGATACAAACAAATGGAAGAACATTCCATGCTCATGGGTAGGAAGAATCAATATCGCGAAAATGGCCATACTGCCCAAGGTAATTTACAGATTCAATGCCATCCCCATCAAGCTACCAATGACTTTCTTCACAGAATTGGAAAAAACTACTTTAAAGTTCATATGGAACCAAAAAAGAGCCCTCATCGCCAAGTCAACCCTAAGCCAAAAGAACAAAGCTGGAGGCATCATGCTACCTGACTTCAAACTATACTACAAGGCTATAGTAACCAAAACAGCATGGTACTGGTACCAAAACAGAGATATAGATCAATGGAACAGAACAGAGCCCTCAGAAATAACGCCGCATATCTACAACTATCTGATCTTTGACAAACCTGAGAAAAACAAGCAATGGGGAAAGGATTCCCTATTTAATAAATGGTGCTGGGAAAACTGGCTAGCCATATGTAGAAAGCTGAAACTGGATCCCTTCCTTACACCTTATACAAAAATTAATTCAAGATGGATTAAAGACTTAAACATTAGACCTAAAACCATAAAAACCTTAGAAAAAAACCTAGGCATTACCATTCAGGACATAGGCATGGGCAAGGACTTCATATCTAAAACACCAAAAGCAATGGCAACAAAAGACAAAATTGACAAATGGGATCGAATTAAACTAAAGAGCTTCTGCACAGCAAAAGAAACTACCATCAGAGTGAACAGGGAACCTACAAAATGGGAGAAAATTTTCGCAACCTACTCATCTGACAAAGGGCTAATATCCAGAATCTACAATGAACTCAAACAAATTTACAAGAAAAAAACAACCCCATCAAAAAGTGGGCAAAGGATATGAACAGACACTTCTCAAAAGAAGACCTTTATGCAGCCAAAAGACACATGAAAAAATGCTCATCATCACTGGCCATCAGAGAAATGCAAATCAAAACCACAATGAGATACCATCTCATAACAGTTAGAATGGCAATCATTAAAAAGTCAGGAAACAACAGGTGCTGGAGAGGACGTGGAGAAATAGGAATACTTTTACACTGTTGGTGGGACTGTAAACTAGTTCAACCATTGTAGAAGTCAGTGTGGCGATTCCTCAGGGATCTAAAACTAGAAATACCATTTGACCCAGCCATCCCATTACTGGGTATACACCCAAAGGACTATAAATCATGCTGCTATAAAGACACATGCACACGTATGTTTATTGCGGCACTATTCACAATAGCAAAGACTTGGAACCAACCCAAATGTCCAACAATGATAGACTGGATTAAGAAAATGTGGCACATAGACACCATGGAATACTATGCAGCCATAAAAAATGATGAGTTCATGTCTTTTGTAGGGACATGGATGAAATTGGAAATCATCATTCTCAGTAAACTATCACAAGGACAAAAAACCAAACACTGCATGTTCTCACTTATAGATGATAATTGAACAATGAGAACACATGGACACAGGAAGGGGAACATCACACTCTGGGGACTGTTGTGGGGTGGGTGGAGTGGGGGAGGGATAGCATTAGGAGATATACCTAATGCTAAATGACGAGTTAATGGGTGCAGCACACCAGCATGGTACATGTATACATATGTAACTAACCTGCACATTGTGCACATGTACCCTAAAACTTAAAGTATAATAATAATAATATAAAAAAATAGCATTTTAACTCCTCGGCACTCCCCTCTCTTCTTATCTGACTTTATTTTTTCTTCATAGCCTTTATCATCACCTGCCACATTATGTATTTTTAAATTTATTATATTTGTCTCTTCACAGTAGAATATAATTTTTATTTTGTTGTTTTTGCCATATTATCAACATCTGGGACAGTGTCTGGCATTGTGCGTCCAATAAACATTTGTTGGATAAATGCAAAAAAAAAAAAAAAGAAACTGCAGGTGTTCCTCTTGCATTAATAGCTTCATAGTCAAATGGTCAATAAAATGCAGCAACACAGAAGCACAATGAGAATGTGACTGATGGGGAAGTTTTTTATAACATAAACAACACTGGGCTAAAAGTCAGAGACCACCTGGGTCCCTGTCCTGACTCTGCCACTGACTATTCTGTGACTGTGGCCAGTTTACTTTATCTCTCTGGGTATCAGATATTAGATATTTATGAAATGAGTAGATAAGACTCGAAGTTCCTTCCCAGGTCTAAAAGTCTACAGGTGAACATTATATAAAAATTAATGCTTCCGTGTTAGAATTCATGCCAAAATTAGAGTATATATTATCCAGGTTGTCATGTGATTAATTGCTGCTCTTGTCTGAATTGTTTCTTCTACATTCAGTTTATGTCCCTGATACAGGAATCATGAATTACATTTAGGCCAAAACTTAGGCCATGGCTGCTCAAAGTAGTACATGCTTTGGAAAATATCTGTGATGATTGCTTGATCTAGAAAATGACAAATCTGACTACTGATTTGGCCTCACCGCTGTGATGTTGAGATTAGTAAGGTAATAAAACATTAACATTGGCACTGCTTTCAGCTTGTTAAATAAGAGATGGCATAAGTCCAGAGTAAATGCACATATCAGGATCAGTTTTCTATTTCCTTCCAAACATTTCCAGTGCTCTGCAAATATGAAGTAACATGATGGGGTCTGCTAGTTACTTTGAAAACCTTTTTCAAGAAGTCTGGCATTTATATGTCTGACCATAAAAGGATAGTTTAAAAAGACATTCTCAGAAACCTAGCTCAGTAGTAGCCACTGAGATTATTCCTATGTTTAGTAGCAAAGTGGTTCCCACATGGTTATTGTGAGGGATTCCAGAGATACTCTTAGCCCCTAACCCTGCTCTACAGCCTGCCCTTACAATTTTGCAAGGTCACTGACATTCTCACCTTGGAGTCACCTCTCTGGACAGAGGAGGCAAGACATAGGGAGTTTGAATGATGGGAAGAAGAAGAAAAACGTATGCAGGGCTTTAGTAAGAACAAGCCCAAGAAAGGGACAGGCAGAGGGTACTTAAGGAGAAAAGAGATACTGATGGCTTTTTTATTAAACAATTACACCAGAGCTAAAGTCGAAGTGGGGTAGAGGGGTGGGCAGAAGATAAAACATACTTTCTCTCCTTCAGGTGAAGCAAAATGACAATTCAAATATGACTTCTAAAGTAACCGTTGTCATTTCATTAGGCCCTGGGCACAGCACTTCATTATTTAGCCTTCAGCTTTCTCACTGGAACTCAAGCACTTTTCACCATCTCTACTGCTACAAACCTAATCCAAGTCATGATCATCCCTCATCTGGATCTTTCATCAGTTTACTGACTGGTTTCTTTGTTTCCATTTTTGTCTCTTATATCCATTGCACAGCAGCTACAGTGATCATTTCAAAGCATAAATTAGATATTGTGAGTACCCTGCTTAAAACTTTCAAAATGCTTTCCATTAGTAGTGGAATAATACCCTACAGCTTTTTCATGATCCCTTGCCTATTTCTGTGACCTTACATCTTATCACTCTTTCTCTCCCTTTCTGGCTCACCTACACTGACCTTCATTCTATCCCTTGAACCCCTTGAGATTATTCTTATCTCAGAACATTTGCATGCACTCTTTTGCTTGGAACTTATCTCAATATGAAACTGCCTTTTTAAAAACACGTTTGTTTTCCACCTTCCTTCGCTAAGTGATACAGTCCATGAGGGAAGAGACCTTGTCAATCTTCATCACCATTTTATCCTCAGTGCTTTGGCCATAGTTGGCATGTATAATAATTGTACTAATTGTATAATAATTGTACTCATTGTATAATAATTGTAATAATTGGCAAACAAAAGTTTGTCAAAAGAATGAATGAATGGCAAAGAAAGCCAACAAGTGATGAAAAGACATGTAAATGAACATCCTAGAAGGCCCAGCTGAAATTAGCTATCATGGCTATAAGGAATCAAATAATCATAATTTTATAGTTTTCCTTAGAAACACTTAGCACCTGGTAAGCAAACGGATTTGTTAGAAGAAGTTATGCAGGGCTTGCAATGGCAAAGCAAAAAATTTGACAGAGTTTTCAAGGGGCTAAAGAATCCCAGGGTATTAGTGAGCATATAATCAAAATGGCCGCCCATAGAGCCCAGTGAGTATGGAGGCAAACCATAGTGGGAGGCAATGGGCTAGAAAATTGGAACTAATTAAGAGTTTGGAGGTGATGATGGGACCAAAAATAGAACATTCAGTGGAAGGTAAGGGGTAGGGAGCCAATGGTTAAAGAGGAGGATCAGAATTTAGTATCATGGATCAAGGTACATTATGGTTGAGATGAAGGGAATATGGAGTTGGGGAAATGAGTTCAGGAACAAAATGGAAAGAATCTTTAATTACTTAGCATTGTCTTCCTTCACTAAAGTCTTCCCTGACAACATTATGAAACTAATGGGCCTTTCAGCTTTACAGTGGATTTCCTATACCTTCTCCTAGTCTACCGCATCATACAGGGCCTATCTGGAAAAGTCCCTGATAGCATCTGATAGCTGATTTTGGAGAACCCAGGCCAGAATTAAGAAGAGAGGATCTCTCTAGCTTTTTTTTTTTTTTAAATCTGGCTTTTCTCCAGCTCTTGGGCCCTATGCTTGGTTCTAAATCTGTCTTTTTCTACATGAAAAAGGAACCAACCTTTATCACAAGGCCTAACTGGGCTGATAACTAATCTAATTAACAGTAAAATGAGAGTGGCAGAGAACGGCTTAAAGCCTCACTAATCCTGGGTTGCATGAACGTTTTGACAGTGCCCTTTCTGTCTTAAATCAATGAATAGTAAATAACATGAAATTTAGGGCTATTGTCAGTGTCCAGTTTTGCTAGGTTGAAGGTCATCTCCAGTAGGCAACATCTCCAGGCTCCTCTGTTGTGCTATTGAATATTCATGTGGAATTAGGATCTGTTGGCAGCACTGCCATCTATTTAGATTAAACCTGGATTATAGGCCCTCTGAATATACAGGATCAGGAAGGGCAATAAAATCTCAGGGAAAAGAAAGTAACTCCAATCCCCACATATCTATTTGGCTATTGACATGTCCTCCAAGGAGAAAGTATCCCTCCCTGGAGCATGAGGCCTTTCGGAACAGATTTCCCAGTGCAATCATTTTTAGATCCATTAGCACTAACATGCTTGGTGGCTGCTAGGATGCTATATGTAAATCAAGAAATTAAATATCACATAATGGTAGTTGCAGAAAGGCAGGTGGTGGGCTGTTTTGCAGCCTATGCATACTGGGCCGTTACTTATTAGCATCATGATTAGGAACATTCCCAACAGTTCCTGTCTATTTTCCTTCTGAAAGCTGGGATGCTATTGCATTTCAATTGGTAAAGAGTGTTTATAATTCATATTTTTTGAGTAGTATTGAATTTGTGAAAGTTGAGCCTCATAATTGCTACTGAGGAATCTATTAATGAGTAGGAAGGAGGTTGGGGTATGCTTGTGTATTTTTTCCCTGACGATTAAATGGTAACTTCAATTTGGGAATGAAATCACCCTCCATTGATTTCCAGTGTATTCTGCCATCGCCCAGATAGCACTTTCAAAGAGTTCTGAAAATGAGATTTGTAGCTGAAGTAATTGCTGCTGCAAAAGCGTGCAATAGAAGGCAAGCTTTATAACTGCCACTTTCTTCATGTTGTAACTTAACTACCTCCTTTCCAAATCAAAGCTGAGTGGATAGAAGATGAATTTCTGTTTGATTTTTTGACCTTGCCTCTTATCTCCTACAGGGAAGAGACACTCCAGACTCTTTGATCCCTATCTCACTTTATGATATTAATTACCCAACTGGAAAAAAGTCAAAAATAAATTTTTGAGCAAATTGCTTGGTATTAATGATCACAGCTTGATTACTATGAGATTTGGGGACCTTTCCTTAAAAACTAGCAAATGTCAACCAGTCCTTTTGCAATGATGTTTCAGTGGTGTTGCCCAAGAAAAGATAAGTAGCTCCATCCCAGATGGGACTCAAGACTTCCAAGAGCAGTGCATTGGTGGGGATGGCAGCTGGAGGAAGAATAAAAATGATCTCCATAAATTGACCATGCCTACATCCAGAGTCTAAATGCTAGTCATTGACAATGGCCACCCTCAACCTGAGGCAGTGCTTGAAAAGTAGGCTCTCCACCAACCACCAGCCCTTGTGTCTGAATGCCTAGTGAGGACTCATTAGGATAATATTATGCACCTGGTACAGGTTCCTATCTGCCACCAACATTATAGTTAAAACCCTGGGGTAGACTGGTACAATGGTGGGTCTATATCCTACCTCCTTCATTCACTCACTTATATTATAAATAATTAACTCATTTATATTATAAATAATTAATGGCCGGGCGCGGTGGCTCACGCCTGTAATCCCAGCACTTTGGGAGGCCAAGGTGGGTGGATCACGAGGTCAGGAGATCGAGACCATCCTGGCTAACACGGTGAAACCCGTCTCTACTAAAAATACAAAAAATTAGCCGGGCACGGTGGCGGGCACCTGTAGTCCCAGCTACTTGGGAGGCTGAGGCAGGAGAATGGTGTGAACCCAGGAGGCGGAGCTTGCAGTGAGCCAAGATAGCGCCACTGAACTCCAGCCTGGGCGAAAGAGCGAGACTCCGTCTCAAAAAAAAAATAATAATAATAATTAATGTCTGTCTCTCTATTTTCTACCACTCACCCCAGTTAAAGATTTTTTTTCTTTTTTTTGGAGAGAGAGCATATGTTATAATTTGAATGTGTCCCCAAAAGTTTATATGTTGTAAACTTGACTTCCAATGCAGCAGTGTTGGGAGGCTGGGCCTCATAAATGGAGATTAGGTCATGAAGGTTCTGCCCTCATAAATCAACTAATGTCCTTATTACAGGAGTGGATTAGTTATCAAAAGTGTGGCTTTGTTATAAAAGCAAGTTTGGCTCTCTCACATTCTCTTGCCCTTCTGCCTTTTGCCTTGGGATAATGAGCATGAAGGCCCTCACCAGCTGCAGCCCCTTGACCTCGGACTTCCTAGTCTCCAAACCATGAGCCAAATAAACTTCTGTTGTTTATAAATTACTCAGTCTGTAGGATTCTGTTACAGCAACACAAAATGAACCAAGACAGCACATATTAATTATTTCTTCAACTTCCCACAGTCCCAGTAGATTTTTGCACCTAGCAAGTACTTAATTAATATTTGTTTAAATAAAAATGTTTTGTCACTATAGTAAATAAGAATCAGGTAAAAGCACTGTAAATGCCTTTGCTGTAATTTGAACATGTTTGGAGGAGTTGGGAGTTCCTGTAATCCAAAATTCAAATTTTGTCAGTTTTCAAATCATTGCCATTTTTTATAAGGAGGAAGAAGAAGACAACATGTTTTTAAAAATAAATGTAAATGCTCATGGATGATGGCTAAAGATCTTCTCTCATCTTTCCAGATACAGATTTCCTTTCCACCTAGACCCTTTGCTTGCTGTAACTTAAAATTCTAGCATGCTCTCTTTCCTGTCAGAATTAACTGAGTTGGATTCCCTACAAAATCTAGTACCTTAGTATTACTTAACAGGAAACTTCTCCTAAGGAACTTGTATAGCCAGAGCAAGGAGCCATAAGAAATGGAACAGAAATGTCAGCTTTGAATTTTTGTGTCATAGTAAGCTATCTACCACAAATCTTGCCAGAGGAAGGAGGAAAGACCAGCCTCTCTCTTTCATTTGTTTTCTTCCATTATTTGTATGAGCCACTAAGAATGACTAAATACTCCCAGTATCTGAAAGTCATTGGAGATTACTATTGATTGTCAAGTATTTAGGAATGATTCCATTCACCTTTATATAAGAATGGGACAGCAGCCTGACTGGAGAATTTTCTTCCTTATAAGTGATCCAGAAGGTATCCTTATTATCTTCTATTTTATTAAACTTCATTCTTATTTCTTCCCCCTAGCAATCCCTGACCATTCACCTAATTTGCTTGGCAAACTTTAAGTGAAGAAAATAGTTTTATAAGCAGATAACTACAAGCCCCACCAGGCTGAGTCAGGAATACAGAGGTCATCAGAGGTCATAAGAAGGAATTCACGTTGTAAGAAATCATGGGATAAACTTAACCTTGAATCAGAAAGAGCATATCAGCATATCTTGGGGACTTTGACGGCTCTGTTTTGTTGTTGTTGTTGTTGTTGTTATGTTTTGTTTTGTTTTGGGAAATGCGAATGGTATCTGGATGTGGGCACAGGCATCCTAGTGAACCAAATTTGTAAATTTGTAAGTAAGGGAGTCAGGTGGCAACAGATCAATCATGATCTGGGACATAGGTGAGAGCTGAGATTTTAGAAAAGTGTAATTGTTAATTTTTATTTTCAGCAGTTTTCAAAGTGTGGTCCATGGACAACTGGTGGTACCTGAGATCCTTTTATGGAGTCTCCAAAATCAAGACTATCTTCATAGTAATACTAAGACAGTCCTTGTCTTTTTCTCTGGGCTGCCATTTTTTACTTATTGTGCAAAACCAATGGTGGCAAAACTACTGGCCCTTTAGCATGAATTATGGGAGTGGCACAAAACTATATTTGTACTATATCGAGTATGAGTTGTCTATAATGCTAATAATAAGTAATACCTATACGAGTTCATCAATACACTTTTCTTTTCAAAATATACATTTATCTTCAAACTATGTATGCCCATAAAAAATGTTTCTGAGTTTGTCAAGAATGTTTCATTTTCATGCATCTTTCATGTCACAACAGTAATCTCAGATACAATCTTCTCTGTATTGACGTGTATATCAAAGAACAATTAATAGTCACAATGATGATAACAGAATTATTCCTCATAATTAAGCTATTAACATGTATACATCCTATGGATAATGACAAAAAAGTCCAACCAAGGAACAACCATTTTAAATTCCTTAAGTAGAGGCAGAAGAGCTTAGTAGTTGGGTTCTACTACCAGCAGGTCTGAGTTTGATTTCCAGCTTTGCCACCTCCTACCAGAGTTACTTTGTGATTTAGTTTCCCCACTTTTCTTAAAGGGTTATGATGATTAAATAATACAATAGTTAATATGTGCAAAATGCTTCAAACAGTGCCTGGCACATAGCAAATGCCATAAGCATTAATTATGATTATGATTGGTCAATTGTTTGAAACTGAGATCACTTGTGAGGACCGGACAGACATAGCATTGTTAGAGATATTTGATGTGAGTTTGTGAAGGCCAAGCACATGTCTTGTACTTCAGCATATATCAGTAAAATCTAATTAGCTTATGTCTCTGAGCTAAGAAAGTGTTACTTTCTGTTGGTCTGTCACATTTCTACTGAGGTTTTTACAGTGTACAACTGAGCCTTTGTCATTGTATTGGGGGGTGAGGGAGAAGGAGAAAGTTCAGCATTCAATAATATACGAAATTTTCCTCTGCCACCAGATTTAAGTTTCCAAGTTAAGTCCCTGAAACCTACTTCTATAATATACTATTTTCTAAATCTTGTTTAGAAACATCCCCCTTTCTCAACAATTTTTTTATTTCTAGAATTGTCACAAAATCACTAAAAAAATTAATCTCAATGGACTCCTTAAAAGGAAAATTGAAGGAGGGCTTCCGGGGTGTTGTCAATGTTCTATGTTTGACTTGGGTAATGGTTACCTGGGTGTTTGATAATTTATTGAGTTGTACATTCATGTTTTGTGCCTTTCTCTGTGTGAGTTCTACTTCACAATAAAAAGAGATTTAAATGGAAATGGAAAGAAACAAATAGAAGGGAAACATCATGTATGTTACTTTAGGAGGAGATTGAATCTGGTTATAATTTTTTTAATTTTTAAATTATGAATTATGTTAGGACATCCATTTCAAAAATACTGGGAATCATTGCTTCACCCTCTGACAAGGTTCTAAATCTATCACACAAATGGCTCTACTTCAATGAAGAGTGATTTGTATCCATTGTTTTGAAACTCCATCAAATTGGGCAGCTCTTTCCAGAAGACAGTCTCAAGACAAGGCATAGAGAGGAGTACCACATTAACTCAAACTGTCTCAGCAGCAGCTTAGGCTGGCAGGCTTTTTCCTCCCAGTATTGCCCATGGTCACTGAAAAAGGTGACTCTGGTCAGAGCCAGATACCTAAGATTAACACCATCTGGTTGGGGAGATTGTTGGTTTTGGATTTCCATGGCTTGCTTAAGCCCCCCTGAAATGCTGACTTTGAAGTCCAATATGATGATATGTAAATAGCAAATGAAAGCTGGCATTTGCCTAGTATACTTCCATGTAAATCCATTAAGAAATTCATTTAATACTTCAATAATTTTACCATCCTCTTTGATCATCTTTTGCATTTCATCCTGTAATGTTCTAACTTCTGCCTTGACTGATCTCTGGCCTTTTTACAGTTCTGAGAAACTGTATATTTAGATGATGTGAGCTGTTTTGGAGGTAGCTACTTTTTTTTTCAATATGTTTTCTTCCTTATCTTTTACTCATTTGCCTTGATGTCCTTCACGTCTATTTTTGAGAAAAAAATTTTAGGCAGATTTATTCTGTGAGTCTTGTGCTTTCATGATTGTACATTTACTTATCATATCTTATGTCCTGACCCTCTTCCACATGCAACTTTCACTTGCAATCAGTTTTCAGTCATGTATTTTAAAAAATATTTTGAGCAGTAACCATGCTACATAAACTAGAAACTATATATAGACTGGACCAGATAAGCGGAATGACAAAACAAACAGATGACATCAGCAGGAATTGCAAAATAAATAACTTTAAACATCTTTTCTTCCACAAAAGTAATGAGAGCATTGGCAAAAATTGTAAGAATAGACTTTCTTTCAGAAGTCTGTAAATTAATAATGACAGTAACCATCTGCTGAGCATTTACTTAAGAAAAATAGTTAAATATTGGTAACAGCAGCAAGCTTTGTGACTTTTTTTTAGAATTTCCACAGGTTTTTGGGGAACAGGTGGTGTTTGGTTACATGAGTAAGTTCTTTAGTGGTGATTTGTGAGATTTTGGCGCACCCATCACCCAAGCAGAATACGTTGCACCTTATTTGTAGTCTTTTATCCCTCAACGCTTTCCCACCCTTTCCCCGAGTCCCCAAAGTACATTGTGTCATTCTTATGCCTTTGCATCTTCATAGCTTAGCTCCCCATTATGAGTGAGAACATACAATGTTTGGTTTTCCATTCCTGAGTTATTTCACCTAAAGTAATAGTCTCTAATCTCATCCAGGTCGCTGCAAATGCCATTAATTCATTCCTTTTTATGGCTGAATGGTGTTCTATCATATATATATAATACATATTCACATATGCTATATATATTCATATATAATACATATTCACATATGCTATATATATTCATATATAATACATATTCACATATGTTATATATATTCATATATAATACATATTCACATATGTTATATATATTCATATATAATACATATTCACATATGTTATATATATTCATATATAATACATATTCACATATGTTATATATATTCATATATAATACATATTCACATATGTTATATATATTCATATATATAATACATATTCACATATGTTATATATATTCATATATATAATACATATTCACATATGTTATATATATTCATATATATAATACATATTCACATATGTTATATATATTCATATATATAATACATATTCACATATGTTATATATATTCATATATATAATACATATTCACATATGTTATATATATTCATATATATAATACATATTCACATATGTTATATATATTCATATATATAATACATATTCACATATGTTATATATATTCATATATATAATACATATTCACATATGTTATATATATTCATATATATAATACATATTCACATGTTATATATATTCATATATAATACATATTCACATATGTTATATATATTCATATATATAATATATATTCACATGTTATATATATTCATATATATAATATATATTCATATATATATATCACAGTTTCTTTATCCACTTGTTGTGGATATATATATATATCACAGTTTCTTTATCCACTTATTGATTGATGGGCATTTGGGTGGTTCCACATTTTTGCAATTGCAAATTGTGCTGCTATAAATATGCGCGTGCAAGCATCTTTTTCGTATAATGACTGTGGCATTTTAAGTTGACTTATTTCCATCCTCTTTTCCCAGCTTCACAGCACCCTTGAAACCCAATTGTATGCAATCATAATGAGAACCAGCAGCCTAACAGTCACTAGAGGGGACAGAATGGGGCTGGACCTCCTTCAAAGCCCCATTCCCAGGGAAAAATCATTATTTGACCAGTTCAGTGATTTCCTGGAATATCTCACTTGCAACTCTTATCTTTAGTTGACCCGACTTAGTGATCACTCAGTAAATGCCTTTTCATGAAGGAGATTTGTTAAAAACTTTATTAGCATTGTTTAACACTGAAGCTTCCTGGTGCAGTGGTTAACAGTTGGGTGAATGGTAGCCTAGCCAAAAAGTTTAAAAGTAAAAGCTAGGGAATTAGATATCCATGGAGACTTTGAAAAGCTCCTACATAGTTCCAGAAATCTATGAGGCCATGATCATGTGTAAGCCTGTGTACATGCTCCAGATTGCACACGTGCTCAGGAAAGGC
This sequence comes from Homo sapiens, assembly GCF_000001405.40. Lineage (NCBI taxonomy): Eukaryota > Metazoa > Chordata > Mammalia > Primates > Hominidae > Homo > Homo sapiens. The sequence continues at coordinate 128,749,860 of NC_000023.11, forward strand.
CTGAGAAGGTCCTAAGTCATCATCTCTTGCTGACCATGAGGCTCTACATAAGCAAAAAGTGGACACTAGTCAGAGTTATAAACTGCCTGGCTGTTTATATATTAAAGATGCACCCCAGCAAGCATACAAGGCCACTCAGCAAAGACTGGGAGTCTTATTGGTTCCAGGCATATAAGGAAATCTGTGTCTAATCATTAGCTGACCAGTAAGCTAACTGAGCAGAGACTTCAGCAGCCACTCAGAACAAAGAAAACAGACTTTTAGCTCAGAAAAGTAACTAAATAAGCAACAATCATCAACAATAATAAACCTTGGGATGAGGGGAAATCTAATTCCCAGAGTTTCCATGTTGTATTATTGAGAGTCCAGAAATAAACTCCTACATTTATGGTCAATTTGTTTTTGACAAGAAGGGCAGGATAATTCAATGAAGAAAATAATAGTTCCTTCAACAAATGGTGCTGGTACAACTGAATATACACATGCAAAAAAAAAAATTGAATTTGAAATCTTATTTCACACCATAAGAAAACAGTAACTCAAAATGCATGAGAGGCCTAAATGTAAGAGCTAAAACTATAAAACCCTTTGAAAAAAAATAAAGGAGTAAATCTTCCTGAATTCGCATTAGTAAAAGTCTTCTTAGATATGACACCAGAAGCACAAATGACCAGAGGGCGAATAAATGAACTTCATAAAAATTAAGTCATTCGTGTTTCAAAGCATGTCATTAAGAACATAAAAAGATAACTCACAGAATTGCACAAAATATTTGCAAATCATGTGTCTGACAAGGGATTTGTACCTAGAATCTATAAAGAATGCTTAAAACTCAATAAAAAGACCAAAAAAATAAAATGGGCAGATAATCTGAATAGACATTTCTTGTAAGAAGAAATGGAAGTGACCAATACACACATGAAAAGATGTTCAACATCATTAGCCATTAGAGAAATGCAAAACAAAATCACAATAACATACCATTATTAAAAAGGACAGATAATAACAAGTGTTGGTGTGAAGACATTGGAAATTTCATACACTGTTATTGGGAATGAAAAATTAGGAACTGCTTTGAAAAATGTATCCAAGTTCCTCAGAAATTAAACATGCATTTACCATATGACCCAGCAATTCCACTCCTAGGTATACACCGAAGAGAATTAAAAGCATATATCTACACAAAAACTTGTATGTGAATGTTCATAGCAGCATTATTCATAACAGCTAAAAAGTGAAAACAACCCAAATGTTTATCAGCTGATTAATGGATAGCCAAATTGTGGTATATATATACAATGGAATATTAATCAGCAATTAAAAGGAATTAAAAGAAATGAAGTACTGTTACATGCTACCACAAGGATGCACTTCAAGAACATTATTCTAAGTTAAAGAAGCCAACCACAAAGGACCACATAATTTATAATTCCATTTATGTGAAATGTTCAGAATAGCAAATGTATGCCGACAGAAAATAGATTAGTGGTTGCCAAAGGCTAGGGAGAAGAGTGGAATAAAATGAAGAGTAACTGTTAATTTGTATGGAGTATCTTTTTTAGTTGATGAAAGTGTTCTTAAACTAGATTATGATGTTATGATGTAGTTGCACAGCTCTGTGAATTACTAAAAGCTATTGAATTTACATTTTAAATAGCTAGATTTATGGAATGTGAATTATAATATATCTCAACGTAGCTGTTTAACAGGTATACTGGATACACAGCCTACAATTTACTAAAAGAAAAATCAACAAAACACAAAAGTAAGACCACATAGGTTTTAAGTAACAAAGCTAGTATTCAAAGCCATATATGTCTGGTTCCAATGTTTATGTTAATAACCAATGTGATATAACACCAAAGACAAGTAGAGCTATAGGATTGACTTAATTGTTTGATACAGGTGGGATTATGATTTAAAAGTATCTGGAGAAACTTTTTCATGCAGGTGCAAGAAGACTAAAATTCTGTTATTAACATGGCATGAATTTGGGTTAAGCATAGCTCTCTCCATAGAGGATTTCTTATAATAGCTTAGTAAATTCTAACTTCTTAGCATAAAAATCCCCAAACTAGTGGTAGCAAGACCTGGTTCTTGTCCCATTTCCACCATTAAATTACTGTACTCTGTTGGCTAAAACATGTCACCTCTGTCTCCAGTTTCTTCACCTCTAAATGAAAGTTGAACTTGATAACCTCTGATGTCACAAGTCCTTCCAGCTCTTACTCTTTATTAATTCATGTTATTCAACAAATATTTAATGACCACAATATAAGTGCCAGACATTGTGTTACATTCTGGGGATAGTGTGATAGGACAAAGACCCTGCCTTCATAAAGGTTACATTCTAGTAACAGGAGACAGATAATGCTATGCTGTGAAGGAGGTAAAATGCAGTAATTGGTGGGGAGTGACTGGGGGCTACTCTACGCTGAGGGTGGGGTATCAGAAAAAACTTCTCTAAAAAGATAACATTTGGCTGACATCAAAATGGTAAGGAAGAACCAGCCATTTTAAAATTTTGGAGGAAGAACAAAGGTTGTTCCTGGCAGAGAAAAAGGCAACCATAAAAAACAGCAACCATAAAGATAACCTCTTCCAGAGGTAAGAAGAAACTTGGAGAATTACAGAGAACCAAATAAAAAAAAAGATGGCCAATGTGAATGGATGTGGTGAGCAAAGGGAAGAGTGGGACTAGAGGAGAACAGAGAGCTGGTTATAAGTCAGATCATGCAGTCATTTATGCCACAGGTACATAGGTTTATTATGTAAGTTACAATGGGAAACCATTAAGATGTTATAAGAAGGGGTATAAGATCAGTTTTGTATTTTTAAAATGCATTACTCAAGCTGCCATGTGAAAAATAGATTGTCAGTAGGAAAGAGTGGGAGAGGAACACCCAATATGGAGACTATTGCCTTTAATATACTAACTTTAGGATATTATTTGCCAATTTTTTTAAAACTTTTATTTTAGGTTTGGGGATACATATGAAGGTTTGTTACATACATAAACACATTTCATAGGGGGTTGTTGTACATATTATTTAATCACCCAGGTATTAAGCCCAGTACTCAATAGTTATCTTTACTGTTCATCTCCCTCCTCCCGCCCTCCCTCCTCAAGTAGACCCCAGTGTCTGTTGTTTCCTTTTGTGTGTTCATAAGATCTTACCATTTAGCTCTCACTTATAAGTGAAAACATGCAGTATTTGGTTTTGTGTTCCTGTGTTGTTTGCTAGGGGTAATATATTTGCTAATCTAATAATCAAAACTAGTTAATATAACTTTCTAAAGGGTGTAACTCTTCAAGATGGCATATGTAATTGATATGAATCCAGCTGATGTTACACATAATAAAATTGCATCCCATATGAAAAGAAAAAATGTTTATATTATGTACTTTATAAAGAACTTTAGCTTTATCAGTCCACTGGACTACTTTTTATAATGTGTATATACAGCTAAACTCCAGTCAGAAATACAAAGTCAGAACATCATGATGATGTACAGTTTTCTGTTTCTAAAACAGTGTTAAATCTTAGACTTGGGAACAAACGAAGCAGCAGAGTTACAATTTATCAGTCATTTAGTAATACATTAACATCCCTGACTAAAAAGCAGAGCCCTCATGGTGTTTATTGCTTCAATAAACATGCAATTAGGTTGGGGAAAAAAGATAAGCTCAGCTGGTATCTATAGAGATACTAGTCCTCAATTGTCATTAGCCAGAATTTCACCTGCTGTCAACAAAATCTCTCGGGTAAATTTCAATTGCCTGGAAGATTCACCTTTATGGAATAACTGGTATGCCAAGAATGCTTTACATTCCTATCCTGATAGTAAAACAAAACAAGCACACTAAAAACTGAAATATCATTGACAGTTAAAATATTGACTAACAATATTAGGCGTAATTTATCTCTACAGAAAGAAAAAGATGATACTAGTTCTATTTTGTTTACCTCTCTCAGTGTGGGGTGAAAGTTAAAACCAGAAAACAACAGAAGGAACACTACCAAGACTCTACCCCACAGCTGTAATATAATACTACGAAGGGAAAAGCACTGATAGCAACCAAGCAACATGCCCTATGTGCCTATTTTGGAAAAAGAAAGTGTTTCTATTACAGATTATACATTTTGTAGTTAATCCTCGTGATTTTCTAACCATTCCATATTTTAAAATGGAAGGTAAGATTTCAGCTAAGAATCAAAATAATAGTGATATGATACAGAGACAAGTTACCCATACTGTGGTAACTATGTAATATTGCTCAGTGGAAAAGCATTCCATAAATGATGCTGGGAACAAAGCTAAACTTGGGTTTCACCAGGAGTTAAAAGGGCTACTGAACTTCAATTGGGAATTCAAAGAATGAGGCAGCATGTTTGCATATATTCAAAGGGCAACAAAACAGCATGCTGCCTTTGAGAACAGTGCCACTTAATGTATGTTTAAGCTAGAATGTTGCCAACAATTCAATTTGTGAAAGACTGTCAATAAGTGTGTGTGAAAAAAAAGCCAAGAGAAGGGTCCATTATTGATTTTCCCAATTTGTGGAAATTGCAACAGCTGTTTACTTTTGTGAGGCTGCTCAAACTGGGAGAAGTTGTTAAACATTGTATATATATCTTGGAAATTATTGGTGATACAATAAGGTTTCACAAAACAGGGATTTATGCCCTTAAATATCCATGTCTTTGCTTTTTTTTTTTTTTTTTTTTTTTTTTTTTTTTTTTGCCTGGCCATTGTCTCTACCTGAATGCCCAACTAACTCAAATGTAATCTCCTCTTTCTGAAAGTGATTGTCCTGATTCACCTGATCTTCCTCTTCTACAAGTAAATGATTGTCACCTTATATACATTAATATAAACTTCATGCTTATGTCTATTACCAATTCTTTCAAAAAAAAGTAGTATAACTTAGAAGTTAAAAATATCAATTTTGAAGATAAGCAGAGCTGGACCCAAATTCTATCTCCAGAATTTACTACATGTGTGACTTAGGGAAAGATGCTTAATCTCTCTGAGGCTTGCTCCCTCTAGCTTGAAACATGGATATTTCCAACACCTACCTCATGATGTTTCCTAAATGTTTTATGCTGTTTTATACCACTAGGCAATCCCCTCTGTCAGTTCTTCCAATGTTCTACATACTTAACTATTTTTATAGTTATCTCCTCTTTAAATAGTCAAGTGTAACTTTTTCCAGGAAATTACCCATGATTACTTATTTACCTCAAATCTATTGTCCATGCTGTGCTCCCAGAATATTTTTAAAAGATACTATAATAATTCATATTACAAAACCTTGTGAAAGTATCCATGTTTTTTCATGTAGTTAGTTCATCTCCACTGTATAGTATTTTATTTTGTGAATATACTGCAATGTATTTATCCGTCGTACTGTTGATGTATATTTGGGAAGTTTCCAGCCTTTGCTTATTATCCATAGTGCTGCTGCAAACATTCTAGTACGTTTATTTTGATAAACATGTTCACATTTCTGTTGTGGATATACCTAGGAGTAGAATTGCTGGGTCATAGGATATACATATGTTCAAATTGGTAAAAACTGCAAAAGGTTTTCCAAAATAGTTGTCCTAATGTACCCTCATACTACCAATGTAGGTGCATTTCAGTTATTTCACATCCTCACCAACACCTGCAATTATCAAGTTTTTTCCTTTAGCCATCCTAATAAGTGGACTGTACTTTAACAGATGGAACATAATCAGAAAGATGTGGGATATATCTAAGATGTAATAAGAGAACAAGAATGGGAATTGAATAGCACATATTTGAAGGTAATGGTTAGGAACAAGTAAAAGTAATTCACGTTTGTAACCCCACTGAATTAACAGTGTTTAATAAAGCAGTTGCATTTCTCTGGTTATACTCAATATAATCAGATTATACTCAATATATTCAGACAGCAGAAACCAGACACTACACTGTGCAGACTTACACAGGGCCTGACAAATATTAGGCACTCAATGTTTGATGAAAGAAAAAATAAATGCTTAAATACCTCCTGTTGTGAGAGACTTACTACACCTCAAGGCCGGAGAAAGGAAAGAATTTAAGTATTTCATGGAGCAAGAGCATCTTAAGGATATAGGAAGAAGAGAAGAAATAGTAGACACAAAAATTAAAAATAAGAAATATGTGAAGGAGAAAGCAGAGAGCTAGGTCTGAAAAAGATGAAGGATCTAATTTTATTAATTTATTTGTATTTTTTAATTATATTTTTTATTTTGAGGTAATTATAGATCCACGAGCAATCAAAAGAAATAACAGAGATGCTTTTTTTTTTTTTTTTTTTTTTTTTGAGACAAAGTCTCGCTCTTGTCCCCCAGGCTGGAGTGCAATGGCATGATCTCGGCTCACTGCAACCTCCACCTCCCGGGTTCAAGCGATTCTCCTGCCTCAGCCTCCCGAGTAGCTGGGATTACAGATACTTGCCACCACGCCCGGCTAATTTTTTTTGTTTGTTTGTTTGTGTTTGAGATGGAGTCTCGCTCTGTCGCCCAGGCTGGAGTGCAGTGGCACGACTTGGTTTACTGAAACCTCTGCCTCCCGTGTTCACACCATTCCCCTGCCTCAGTCTCCTGAGTAGCTGGGACTATAGGCGCCCGCCACCACACCTGGCTAATTTTTGTATTTTTAGTAGAGACGGGGTTTCACCATGTTGGCCAGGCTGGTCTCGAACTCCTGACCTCAGGTGATCTGCCCACCTTGGCCTCCCAAAGTGCTGGAATTACAGGCGTGAGCCACATGCCTAGCTGCCATATATTGTTTTTTCAATCTCATTTTATTTGTTATTATTTTTTAATTTTTGTATGTATTTAGTAGGTATATATATATATGGTTTCTGTATGTATATCTCTATATATTGGTGAGTCCATGTATATATACACACCTATATATCGGTGTGTGTGTGTATATATATATAGGTGTGTGTATATATATAAGGTATATATATAGTGTATGTATATATATATATATATATATATGTGAGTTGCATGAGATATTTTAATACAGACAGACAGTTCATAATAATCACATTAGGGTAAATGGGATGTCCATCACCTAAGGCATTTATTTTTTCTTTGTGTTACAAACAAGTCCATTATACTCTTTTAGTTATTTTCTTTTATTTTGTTTTTTACAGACATACAATTTGTAATAAACACATCAGGGTAAATGAGGTATCCATCCCTTCAAGCATTTCTTCTTTGTGTTACAAACAATCCAATTATACTCTTTTAGTTATTTTTAAATGTATAATTAAATTATTATTGACTGTCGTCATCCTTTTGTGCCATCAAATAGGTCTTATATATTCTTTCTATTTTATGTACCCATTAATCATCCCCACTTTCCCTGCTGCACCCCCACTACCCTTCCCAGCCTCTGGTAACCATCATTCTATTCTCCTTCTCCATGAGTTCAATTGTTTTAATTTTTGACTCCCACAAATAAGTGAGAACATGTGAAGTGTGTCTTTCTGTGCCTGGCTTATTTCATTTAACATAATGACTTCCAGTTCTAACCACCTGGTTGCAAATGACAGGATCTCATTCTTTTTTATGGCTTAATACTACTCCATTGTGTATATGAACCACATTTTCTTTAGCCAGTCATATGCTGATGGACACTCAGGTTGCCTACAAATTTTGGCTATTGTGAATACTGCTGAAATAAACATGGGAGTGCACATATGACTTTGATATACTGATTTCCTTTCTCTCCAAAGATTATCTCTCCAAGGAATATCTATTTATCTATCTATCTAATCTGTTATATATATATGTATATATGATCTGTTATATATATATATAATCTGTTATATATATAATCTGTTATATATATATATATATATATATACACACAACAGATGTATATAACAACAGATGCTGGCGAGACTGTGGAGAAATAGGAATGCTTTTACACTGTTGGTGGGAGTGTAAATTAGTTCAACCATTGTGGAAGACAGTGTGGCCATTCCTTAAGGATCTAGAACTAGAAATACCATTTGACTCAGCAATCCCATTACCGGGTACATACACAAAGGATTATAAATCATTCTACTATAAAGACACATGCACATGTATGTTTGTTGCAGCACTATTTACAATAGCAAAGACTTGGAACCAACCCAAATGCCCATCAATGATAGACTGAATAAAGAAAATGTGGCACATATACACCATGGAATACTATGCAGCCGTAAAAAAGAATGAGTTCATGTCCTTTGCAGTGATGTGGATGAAGCTGGAAACCATCATCCTCAGCAAACTAACACTGGAACAGAAAACCAAACACCACATGTTCTCAGTCATAAGTGGGAGTTGAACAATGAGAACACATGGACACGGGGAGAGGAACAACACATACCAGGGCCTGTCAGTGGGTTGGGGGCAAGGGGAGGGAGAGCATTAGGACAAATACTTAATGCATGCGGGGCTTAAAACCTAGATGATGAGTTGATAGGTGCAGCAAACCACCATGGCACATGTATACCTATGTAACAAACCTGCACGTTCTACACATGTATCCCAGAACTTAAAGTAAAATTTTTTAAAAAAGAAATTAATGGGTAATGAATTTCCTCCTACACTGATATGAAAAGACACTCTTTGTACTGACAGAATTTCACTAGCTGGGGTAATAAATACAAATCCCTTTACCAAAAAAGGAAGGAAGGAAGGAAGGAAGGAAGGACAAGCAAGAAAGGAAAGTGATATGAATAGAATCATGCAGTATGTATTCTTTTGGTATTGGCTTTTTTCACTTAGCATACCTCCCCAAAGACTGATATATTAGTTTAGTTATTGGATATATCAATAGTTTGTTGTTGTTTTTTAATTTCTAAGTAATATTACATGGTGTGGATATAGAACAATTTGTTTAAGAATTCACCCACTGAAGGATATGTGGGTTGTTTCTAGTTTTTGGCTATTACAAATAAACATGCTATGAACATTTGTGTACAGGATTTTGCATGAGCATAATTTTAATTTCTCTGAGATAAATGCCAAGAATGCAACTGCTGAGGAATATGTCCGTTTCATTTTTAGTTTTATAAGAAAATGCCAAACTGTTTTTGAGTGGATGTGTCATTTTACATTCCCACTGCAATGTATGAATGATTTTATTTCTCCACATCCTCACTAACACTTGGTTGTTTTTATTCTAGTCATTCTGATAGGTGTGTATCAAGAACCAAAACTTTTGCTATGTGTCAGACTCTGTTAACGGGATGAAAGGTTAAGCTACAGATTGGGAAAAGATATTTGCAAACCACATATCAAATAAAGAGCAAATATATAGAGACATGTGAAGAAATCCCAAAACTGAACAGTAAAAACAAAAAAAATCAAATTAGAAAATGGGCAAAAGCCATGAGGAGACATTTCACTGAAGAGGAGATACAGCAGGCCAATAAGAAAATGAAAATATATTCAGTGTTCTTAGCCACTAAGGAAATGCAAATTAAAACCACAATGTGATATCATTACATACCTGTCAGAGTGGGTCTACATATAATAGCATGGTACGGAGATCCCTATTGAGAGAGAGAGAGAGAGAGAAGGAAGGAAGGAAGGAAGGAAGGAAGGAAGGAAGGAAGGAAGGAAGGAAGGAAGGGAGGAAGGAAGGGAGGGAGGGATGAAGGGAGAATGAGAGAGAGACAGAGGGGAGAGAGAAAGAGAGAGAAAAAGAGAGAGAGGTTAAGTAGCAGCAAAATACTAAAAATCTTCTTGGAAGAAGATAGAAGAAAAGGGGAACAACAACCTAGACAAAACCTTCAAAGCAGCCAGCCCCAAGGCATTATCCACTTGAAATATTGATAGCCTTAGCCAGACACAAGTTTCAGCCAAAGTTGGGTTTCAGTACTCCAATAGGATTCAGACTAAAGATTTTCCCATTCTATTTGCTAAGAAACCATTTGTCATCTTCCCTTTAAGTCAACAGCTCAATACCACAATGTCACAGGCCCACCCAGTCTAAGCTAACCTGAGTCATATCCGCAAGCAGAGTTTGATGCTGACCTTTTCATATTTGGTATTTGACTGCCTGGCCCATCAATGGGTTTCATATCTCTCTGTTTACATCTTCACTAAACTGTAAAGAGGGGACTGTCAGTCAAAATACCAAGTGCTGAAAGGTCACAGCTGACAGCTTACTATTTGCCAATGGTTTTTAATCATTCACTCTGCAATACATCCGAGACTCTACGGTTAATTCCATTTGTTATTGACAGAAATAATTTCAACCAGCCCTCATTTCTGGGGTTTACCAGAAACCAGAAACAAATACGACAGAATCCCACTATATTGTAGGGATTGGGGATGATTCAGTTCAACAGGCTTTTCTTCAATATCTTTTACATGTACAGGAATGTGTTGATTGCAGTAGGAACACAAAAGAAGCAAAAATCATACCCCTTACTTAACTGAGTTTTAGAAAAAAATGTAGAGAGATAAGACATACCCATGTAAACCATGTTTTCAAGCCCTTCATAACTCATGGATATTAACTGAAATTATCAAAGCACATTGAATAGATTTGATAAGATGTAATACTGTCTTAGAATGTAACACTCTGTGTCCTTCATTAGGGTTTCTTAACCTCAGTGCTATTGTCGTTTGGGGCCAGATAATTCATTGTTAAAGAAACTGTCCTGTACATTGCAGGATATGTAACAGTATCCCTGACCTCTATCCAATAATTGCTAGTACCATCTTTCCCAGTTATGACAACCAAAAAGGCTTCAAATATTGCCAAATGTCTCCTGTAGTGCCAAATTACCCCTGATTGAGAACCACTGCTCTAAAAATAAAATAGATGTATGCTTGTCAATATAAGTGAAATTTGCAAGATACAGAAGATTCTTTCATATATATCTGAGACAAAAGTCTATATCTTCTACATCTTGTGCTTTTCACTAATAATATATATTACATGTATATATTATGTATCTATATATTAGAAAGCCTAGACCAGTGTCTCTCACTCAGCTTGGCTACATATTATAATTGCTGGAGGAGCTTTATCTCTGGAGGTAGGACCTGTGCTCTCGTATTTTTTCAGAGTTCCACTGGTGATTCCATTGTTATTTGGCTAGGGTTGATAACCACCCAGAGGGCTTGTGAAAACACAGATTGCACAGCCTCATCTCCAGAGTTTCTAAATCAGTAGGTCTGGGGCAGGGCCACATAATTTGCTTTTCTAACAAGTTCCCAGGTGATGTCCATGGTACTGGCCCAAGGAACAAAACTTTTAGAACAACTGTTATAGAAGGATTTACCCCAAGTTATTGTGACAGTGTTCTTTTCTTCTCAAGTAAAATTGTAGACCAGAGGAAAAGGGAAAGTTGACATTTTTATCTTATATTATTATATATTGTTTGAGTGTTTTTGATAGGCATATATTTCTTTAATGTGAGTTTTTAAATTTCCAAAACGAAAGAGTACACTGACAATATTTGAAGCACCCTTTATGTCCCTACCTTCTGAATTGCCTCCCTATTCTTTCATCAAAGATATTCACTATCCTTAAAATTTTATTAACCATTCTCTAGCTTTTATTATTTTATTATTATTATTATTATTATTATTATTATTATTATTATTGAGATGGAGTTTCATTCTGTCGCCTAGGCTGGAGAGCAGTGGCATGATTTTAGCTCATTGCAACCTCTATCTCCCAGATTCAAGGATTCTCCTGCCTCAGACTCCCAAGTAGCTGGGATTACAGGTGCCCGCCACCATGTCTGGCTAATTTTTGTATTTGTTTTTTTTAAGTAGAGACGCAGTTCTGCCATGTTAGCCAGGCTGGTCTCAAACTCCTGACCTCAGGTGATCCTCTCACCTCAGCTTCCCAAAGTGCTGGGATTACAGGCATGAGCCACTGAGCCCGGCCAATTCTCTAGCTTTTTGAAAGTAGCTGTTCCACCTATACCCATATCACTAAGCAATGTATTGTTTGGTTTTATCTACTTTTTTAAAACTTTGTAAAACTGAAATCATATTATTTGTATTTATCTATGACATGATATTTTTGGGTAAATGTCATGTTTTTATTTTTAAATTTACCTATGTTGATGTTTATAGTTATGGTTTCTTCATTTTCATTCATTGCACGATATTCCCCAATATACTTATACATATTTTATATGTATAAATTCATGTTATTTGTAGTTTTTCCCCTTAAAAACAATCCTGCCATGAACATTCAAGTACATGCACATGTTTATCTTTACTCGGTATATAGATTATACCAATCCACACTCCCAACAGCAGTAGATAAGTATTCCCATTATATTATATCCTCACTAACACTTGGTATTAACAGATTTTTACTTTCTTCCCCATTTGATTTTTGCAAAATGATATCTCCTTGTGGTCTTAATTTGCATTTCCATGTTGCAAATTCATTTCCAAAGAAGCCAACTTAGCACCTCAATAAAACATGTATAATCTCAGAGGCACAAAACTTTAAGGTCCCTGAGAAACTCCGTGGGGCATTCTTCACAAACACCCACAAGCGGGAAGGAATAAATTCTGTGTTTGCTGAACGGGCTTAATGAATTTTATTACAGAAAAATGACACTGACCATAGGTCTGCACTCGAAAATTTTAAGATATTTTTACATTCATTTAGATTCTTGCAAAAAGGAGTGCTTGAAGGTGGCTAGACAAATTTTCTTATCCCAAACTCACAGAAGAGACCATGGAAAGTCTGCATTTAGCAAACCTTCCTCAATAACACCATTGACTTTTGACAATGCTGGGGTCACAAAATAACCAAAAGGCAAAACTAAAAGCAACCTTGAAATTTACCTCTCTCAATCCTTCACTTTCTAGTGGAGAAACTAGAAGATTACAGAGCAGAAGTGATATATTCTAGGTCATATAGCCAGTTTGTCCCTGAGCTGAGAATAATAATGCAAATTTGTCCTCTTTTCAGTGCACCTCCCCAACATCCTGAAAAGAGGTCTGTGAAAGAAATTCAGGATAAGAATCCCTGATATGGAGGCATAGAGATATAGGAATGGGCCCTTAGGTGCAGGAAGTTAAATGGGAGTGCTCAGGCCAAGAAGGCCATTCCTTAGGGGGGGTTTTGGCATCATTGAGGGATGCTCTCAATGCTCCCACCCAGTTAGAGCAATCATTCCCCAGGATGGTGCCAGACTAGATGAGTTAGCGCACACTAGTGCTTTCTAATGGGGTAGTCCCCAGCTATAGAGTAACCTGCCAGCCACCTTGACATGGGCTTCCGGAAGTCATTGTTTTAAAGCAGGCACCATTGCGCTGGCTGAAAATACCTCATTCAGATTATCACACTCTTAATTAGCTGTGCATGATGGCAATCAATTAAGGATGGCATAAAAGCCAATAGAAATAATACAACTCTCATTAGGGATTTCTCATTTGTTATATGAGTGTGTCTACTGGGTAAATTCCCATTAAAGCAAACTGGGGCCTATTATTTAAGCCATTTCAGGAGAGTGCTGGGTTATCTTTCCCTTTGACATTTATTGTACCTGGCATAAAGGTTAAAAACAATTATGTTCACTAGGAATATTTATTATCTTGTGAGATTCAAGCAGGGCCATTATGTTTGTTTTCTTCTCTTTATCAAAGCTGGTCAAGGGGAGACTTTTTAATGAGCTTGAGCTAAATATTAAGGAAATTTTTCCTTCCCTGCACTCAGAGAGATAAACCTGGAAATAAACCTGAAAATAGTGATACTCTGTAAAAGCCATAGCTCTGAGACGGCGTTTATCATTTGTATACTGCTACTGCTGCACATGCTTTAGGCCAGCTTCCATTGTCTAAGAGTCATATCAGCATCCCCAGGAAGCCCAGTCATATTAGTGAAAGAACACTAGATTGGGAATTAGGGGAGCCTGGTTTCAAGACCTTGCTCTTCCACCAACTTCCTGTATGACTTTGACAACTCCATCTTTTCAGTTACTCAGGCTAAAAGCCTGGATTCCCCACTTTCTCTTATACCCAATATCCAAATCTTTAACAAATCCTGTTAGTTGCACCTTCAAAGTAAATCTGGAATTTGATCACTTCTCACCTCTTCCACTGCTACCAAGATGGTCAAAGTCAACATCATTGTTAGGCTAGATTACTAGCATAGCTTCCTAACTGGTCCCCTGCTTTCACCCTCATCCCCCTAACAGTCTATTTTTAATAGTAGAGCTGGCCAGATGAGGTGGCTCATGCCTGTAATCCCAGCACTTTGGGAGGCTGAGGCAGGTGGATCATGAAGTCGGGAGATCAAGACCATCCTGGCTAACACGGTGAAACTCCGTCTCTAATAAAAATACAAAAAAATTACCTGGGCGTGGTGGTGGGCGCCTGTAGTCCCAGCTACTCAGGAGGCTGAGGCAGGAGAATGGCATGAACCTGGGCGGCGGAGCTTGCAGTGAGCCTAGATCTCACCACTGCACTCCAGCCTGGGCGACAGAGAGAGACTCTGTCTCAAAAAAATAAAAAATAGTAGAGCTATAAATATCCTTTAAAAAATCTGTCAGATCATGTCACTCCTCTGCTCAAAATCTACAGTGGCTCCCCATTTCATTCATAGCCTTCCCAATGACTTTACAAGTCCTATGACATCTGGTACCCCCATTACCTTTCTTCCTTCATCTACTACTGCCCTTCTTGTCACTCACTTTACTCCAAACAAACTGGCCTTCTTGCCGTTCTTGGAATGTATCTGCCTCAGGCCTTCACATAAACATTTTCTTCTGCCTAGCAAGGTCTACCCCCAGTTGTCTCCAAGGTTCACCCTCACTTTCTTCAAGTCTTTTCTCAAAGCTTGACTTCTCAGTGAAACCTACTCTTATCAGCCTATTTAAATTCAACTCCTCTACTTATTCCACACTCCTTACTTTCCTTTAATCCACTATCCTTTTGTTTGTCTCTTTCTGTGGCACTATCAATTGCTAACATTAGTATAATGTCAGTATAATTGTTAGTATAATTAGTATAACATTTTGTAATCTGTTTTGTTCACTAATGTACATCAAGTGTCTTTAATAGTGCCCAGCACAGAGTAGGGATTCAATAGATATTTGCCTAGCTTAATAGAATTTCTCTAATTTGGGCTTCAATTTCTCTATCTGTGTAATAATATAATTGAACTAGTCTAATGGTCAGCAAACATATTTCTGTAAAGGGCCAGATAGTGTTTTTGCAGGTATATTCTCTGTCACAACTACTGAACTCTCCATTGTAACATGAAAGCAGCCATAGACAATATATAAATGAATAAGCATGACTCTGTTCCAATAAAACTTTATTTACAAAAACAGGCAGAGAGCCAGGTTTGGCCCCCAGGCCGTAATGTGCCAACCCCCAAACTAGATGATCTTTAAGGGATTATTTGGTTCGGGTGTTCTGTGGCCCCCCAAGGTGTAAGAAAATAGGTTTGATGTTAGGAAATTTTTTTCTTATATCTCATGTCACAGCACATAACTACCTATTCTATTCGTACTTAGACCTGGACAGCCCAGCAGAAAAAGAAGAGTAGGCCAAGCAAAGTGTCATAGAACACCGAACAGTGTTCTATGGGCTTAAGTCACTACCTCCCTTCTAAAACATAAATCATAGTATCAGCTTCCTCAGTGGTTTCTTTCACAGCATGCCACATGCTAGAAGAGAATCATCAAGGGAAGGTCTCCACTGAACAGGGTATCTGTATAGTAAAGAATTTACTTTGCCCAGAAAAAGGGCTGGCCTTTGATCTTGGCTTCTGGGAAGTAATAGCTAAGGCTTTGGCATGTCATGCCTGATACAAAGTGTATTTGTTTACTAGGCGGCCTTGACTCGAGACAGTAAGACAATACAATTTATGACAAGGGCTTTGGGCCATGCAAAGTTCACTCCACTTTAAAGAAATGGAGACTATAGGCCAGCCACATGGTAACAGCTCTACCACTAGAGAGTATGGAAACTAAGGATCAGTCATATAGGTAGTCAACCATGGAGCTGTAATAAAAACTCTGGACACCAAGGCTCAGATGAGCTTTTCCAGTTGGTAATACACTGCATATTGTCACACACTGATACTGATAAAAATAATGCTGCCCATAACTCCTTAAGAAAGGACAACTAGAAGCTCTATATTTGCAACTTTTCTTGACTCTGCCTTATGCATATCTTCTCTTGAATGATTTTAATCTGTATCCCTTTGCTGTAATAATTCATAACCATGGATATAACAGCTTTCGGTAAGTTCTGTGAGTCCTTAAACATTGCACCTGAGTGTGGTTTTAAGAACTGTGTTGCCTCAAACTCTGCAGTACCCTAGTCTCCTAGCCAAGAAAAGGAAAAATATCTTCTTTTAGCTTCCCCTGCCTTCTTATTAAAATTTCCAGGGTTTCTCAATGCCAAACTTTGATTCCATGTTCTTCCAAATCCCACCAAAGGCAAACTCTCAAATACTATGAAGACCAAAGGGGAAAGTCCATGCCCTTATATCGACCATTAATATCCATGAGGTCCTAATGTTGAGGTCACAATATAGTTATGCCGAGAAACTGATAGACAAGTGATCACCAAAGGGAATCTTGGGGATATTATTCTCAGCATTACATAACAGAATCAGATATAACCAGATCTAGTGTCTCTCTCTTTTTCTCTCTCTATTTCCTTTCCTTCCTCTCTCCCTCCCCCTTTCTTTTCATTTCTGCCTTCCTCCCTTTCTCCCTCTGTTTTTCTTGCAGTCAATAAGTCTTTTAAATAAACTAATTAATAGATGCAAACTCAATTGTTTGTCTATCCTAAACATTTCAAAAATGTTTACTGTTTGAAATCTTTGTTAATTGGAGAATGGTTGAGTAAAATATGATGTATCCACAATGGAATGCTACTCAGCCATTAAAATATTTGTGGTGTTTTAATAATATAAAAATTATTTAATTTACTATAAAAATACAGGATTGAAATATATACAGTGCGTCAACTAATGTTTACGTACATCTATGTAATACAAATGAAAATGAATGAAATAATAAAAAATTAATTATTTCTTGTGGGATTATAAATAATTCCCTTTGCTATATTTTTATATTATCCACATTTTTAGCTTTTGTCACTTTTAGAGATAAAAATAATGTGATTTTACAAAGTACAAAGTTTACTGATGATCATAAGGGAGACAGTACCTCTTAGTGCCACAAACTCTCCTCCCTTCAAGAGAAACATCTCATACTGTGATATGTGGTGGTCAGCCATTTATGTGTCTTCTTTTTAGGGGTCAGAAGCCACTGCCTTTTTTCACTGCTGAATTCTCATCACCTCAAACAGAGCATAGTATAGAATCAGCATTTCCTCAGTAAATGTCTGCTGAATGGCAGTTACAGTGGTAAAGAATGGCAACTTAGTTTGCAAAGGACAATACATAGGGTTTCTCTTTTATCTACAGTGACACTTCTCCAAGAACCTCTCTACTGCTCTGCTGGCCTGAATAGATCCAAGATGACTACTTGTCAATCTATTTAGTGAGAGATGATGCATTGCACAAAAGAGAAATATACAGCTTTTTACCACACAACTTAGTGCAGGCCAAATTCCTTCCTTCTGTTCAAAGCATTGTGTCTCTCTGGACTGCCCAGTTACCTTCTTCCCCATTACCCAATTAACAATGTGTTAAACACCATTCCTCTAATGGCTTTAACCTCAATCACTTACTGCCTCGTGGCTTTCAAATCCTTCCACTTACACGAATGCCAAGTCCTATTGCTCTATTTCTTAGAACAACTCAAGCAGAACAGAATTGGTTTACTGCTATGGAAGCCAATTCTCAATATTTCCTATGACCCCTTGTGGATCCTGGCCCAGACAGTGACGTCACACATATACAATGTTGCTCATTTGCAAAGCCCTCTGGTACCCCCCAAAAATCTGTCCATCTTCCAAAGCACTATTCAGCCATGTGTTCAAAACAGGCACTATTTTCTAGGGGCCTGAGAAATTCTCCAGCAAACTCTCAGCTGTTATCAGTTCTCCCTTCTCTAGAGAGGCAGCAGAAAGTACAAGGACTGTTTTTGCAGCTTTACTTGAAGAATCTGGCAGTACACTAGGGATATAACGAAATGGCAGTTAATCATTCAACTTTCCCTGAATGACTGCTGTGTGAAAAGTCAATTTTAGGTACTTTAGAGGGGACATGAAGAAAATATGGAAAGCTTTTTTGTCCATACTTCTCAGAATCTGACCATCTAATTATTGTCCAAACACATAAATGCAAGACAAAAGTTTACTGACCCTCTCAAAGAGCTGAAAAATATATAATTACAAAGTCAACTGAACAATATTTTATGAGCCAATGAGAAAGAAGAATAAGCATGGAACTAATTAAGACAGGTTTCTTGGAGATATGACTCCATGGACAGAGGTTGAGAAGGGAAGGGATACGGTATGATGGTATGATAGTTAATAGTATGTGACTTGATACGTATTGATCAGGTAGGAAAAAAACGTTGAATTGAAAATATTACTGCCCAGAGAGATCTCATGGAGTGGCATAGGTAGAGACAGGGCCCAGCATCAAACAGCAGCAATTCTAGAGATTTTCTAGAACTTAAAGCTCAACAGTAAGGCCTAAACAAGATTGCATGAGATAACTACACCACCCCCAAGGCTAAAAGAAAACCTACTATACTGGCCAATATCCTAAAGGTTTACTGAAAGCCATTATCCTCTGTAATTGCTAATCTGAACGTGCCCTTGCATATCTCAGCCCACATGGGTCTTAACTGTATCTACTTCTCATGCCTCTGACTCCTCACGGACCAATCTATGTTTTGCTTGCCAATATGCTGCTACTATTATTACTAATCATAATACTGCCAGCTCCAAGATAAAGAAGTTTACACTAACGTTTTCATTGACTCTTCACAACAACATTTTGAGGCCCCCATTACACAACTGGCTTAAAGTCACACAGCTAGAGGTACAAGGACTGGAACTTGAATCTAAGTCTTTCTGACATCAAAGTTCATTCTGTTATCCATTATTCTATAGGCTTTTAATATGTACATCGAGGAAACATTATTTCAATATCTTGCTATTTCTCCTTTTAGAAATCATATAAAATAAAAATGAAACAAAAAAAATTCCAAACTCCATTTTCAGACAAACTGGCATGGCAGAGACTGCAATGTGTTCACCAAAATCTGTTTCCTTTCCTTTAATAAAACAAGCTCCACTATATTTCTAAGACACTTACTTGCAGTGTGATAGTCTGGACATTGAAATGTGGGTAGAATTAACATGAACTACTTCTAGCCCTGAACCACAAAATCCTCCCATGTATCCTCCATTCTTTCTTCCCATAATTGCCAGCAGAGGCCAGATGATCTGTTAGAAGACTCAGAGGCCCTTGTAGATGGATGGAAAAGCCACATGATAGAATGGATATACTTAGCTAATTCCCTTCCATAGCTAACGATTCTACTAACATCATGAGTGGCACTAAGCATTGTACCAATGAACACATAAACCATACACACATACACACACACACACACACACACACACACACACACAGACACACATGGGTGTGGCCATGTGCATTGAATAATTGTACCAATATGCCTCTTAATATATGTTTAGGTATCTACGAATAAAAATTTGCAAACAACACTGTGTCATTTGAGCTGGGACAGACAGTTTGTTTGGTTAGAAACCAATATTAACAAAGCTAATGTAGAAGGTTGACATATACAGAGAAAAACTGTTTAAGCAGCTATAGCTGCTGCTCTAGCTCAGGCCACTGACTAAGTCCTAACCTCAGTTCAGTGAGTCACCACACTAAGGGAGACTTTGGCTTAAGTAAGATTATGAGGATGGCTCAGTACAAATCCACCCTGACTACTGAAGAAAAACTAAAAGAAGACAGCTATTGGGTCCAAAGTATGTCATTTTTTTAATACAAAGGACAGTTGGCCCATTCTTTTCTTCGTTCAGCAAAATGTAAACATCCCACATCTCTCCTTACTTCTAGAAGCTCAATCTGTTCTCTCTGCTCGTAAAGACCTTGGCTCTTGGGATTAGCACAGCTTTAAGGCTACTGAGTTGGTTTATGTCTGTTTTATTTCCCCTGGAACCATGCAGAATGTACACACAGAACACAATCCTGATCGCTGAGCTTTTATTTTACTTTTATAATCAATGCCACAGGAAGTGCATGGATTTATCATTTCTAAAGCTTTAAAAATTATTATACAATCTATTGGTAATGTTGCTGCCAGCCTGCCCAACAAGTTCTAGACCTGGGCAAGACTATGAAAATAAAAGAATTGAAGACATGACTACTGGGTCTATATGCAACAGTCCTCTAGTATCTTTCTGGAAAAAAAAAAAAGATAAAAACCTGACAGAAGCCCCCATAATCAAAGTTTTCAGTGCCAGCTCATTTGATTTTCACAGCCAATTATGAGGTATTGAGGGCAGAATTTAATTGTCTTCATTTCAGAGAACAGAATAAAAAAATAGAGAGAGGAAGTGACTTGTCCAAGGCCACACAGCTGCTTGTTGATAGGGCTGCCAAGACTCTGTACTGGATCTTATGATTCTCATGTTTCTCATTTCAGCATACATTTTCTTGGTCTGTTTGGAGCAGTTGCCCAGATAAGATGGGCTCTCATTTGAAATTAGTCAGCTGTATTGACTTGTTCTCGGGATGAATGCATCCTTAAGGATGACCAGGTTCTTGTTTATGTTAAGATTCTTGGAGAGAGTCTGAGTCAGACAACTTGCCTTTTTCACCCCTACATGTTCATTTCCTTATTTCTCCTTTCTTCCCTTTTGTTGTTCCTTGGTTAGCAAATAAACAAGTCAATTTACTTTCCCCTCATTTTGTCTCCCATCACCTTTAGCTATCTGCTTCAGTGTTCCGGCTTCCAGGAACATTGTGTAATCTCTCTCTGATACATGGTTAAGTCTTTCTTCCTGCTCACATCTATTTTCTTCATCATTTCTTAAAGAAACCCATTCCAATTTATCACCTTCTGCTTACACCAGTGAAAGCCACCAACCCTACACCTAGATTCCACTCTTTCTTCAGCATCTAGAGATTTTTGTGTCTACAAGCTTTGAAATTTGTTGATCCAAAGGTTTTCAACTAACTTTTTCTTAGAATTCTTTCCTAAATTCCTATATGGAAGAGATTATATCTAATTTCCATTGCAAATGGCTTGCAAGCCAGACAGGAAACAGTCCAGTTGTAAAACCAAAGAGTAAAAAGGGCAGATCTTCAGAAGTGGGAAGGAGGCCAATATGTCAGCAAAACTGGAAAACAAAATACTATCCTTCACCTATCCCCTCTCCCCCAGGAGAAACACAAAAGAAGATTATTGATCTTTACTCTGTTATCTGAAACCTTTAGATAGAAAGGTAATAAAAATAATAATTTATCATAATTGTCAAGTACTTCCCAAGATATACTAGGCCTATGGCTTGTTAAAATAGAACCCTACGGCTGAGAGGGGACTTGAAGTGTGACCCTTGTCCATCTCCTGATCTTTACACAATTTGTTCCTATATATTTTAGGATTATTTGCCCATTTTCAAAGATACACAGAAAGGGCCATTATGCAACTTTTCTCTGGGGTTGTCTGCAATTGAGCAAAGACATCAAAGTTGACTTAAATCATATCAGCTATGTAGACATAAATCCTAAATATAAATCTTATCCAGACTGGTGAAAACTAATTTTAGAAATACAATATGTTTATTTGTTGAGTTACAGGCTCAGTTATAGGACCCAGAAATAATGAAGAGAAGCAAAACATATCTTTGATCTTAGGGGCTCAGAATCTACTTGGGTATATCCATACTAACATTGTGATAGGCATTGCCATAGTGATTTGCATAAACTTCTGTGGGAGCAAAAAGGAAAGAAGAATCAAATATGGAAAACAGAGTTGGGAAAGAATTTATGGCTGGATTTTGATGGTTCACCAGGTAAAGTGGAAGAAGACGCACCATGGTTCAGAGGAACCAGAATGTGGTGTGTTTGAGGAAAAAGCACACCTATGTGTATGTAATCCTATTTTATGAGCTATTTCAGTGGCAGAGATGAAGTTTGAATATGATGCTAGGGGCAATATTATGGAAAGCCTTGTATTCTATGATGAGGATGTAGGATTATATACTATAGGTAGGGTTGTGAGCAGACAATTATATGGCAATATTTGCAATTTAGTAAAAAATCACTATGACTTCCAGACGGAGGAAAGGCTAAGGGAAAGAGATTAAAGGATGTGTCAGCAGAGCCCAAGTTGTCAAGTACCTGCACAGAGCTATCCAGTTGCTGAGACAAACTAAGAGTGCTGAAGAGTGGAGTTTAATACTGATGAGAATAAGAGGCAGGGAAAAATAACAACACATAAAAGAGAAACAAAATATGAAAGAAAGAAGAAAAAGAGAAAAGAATGTGAATGTTAAACATAATTGTTTATTATGTAACAGGTACAGCACTAAATATTTTATGCACATTATCTCAATTTTAAAATTTGTTTTTAAATTTTTTATTTTTAATTTTTGTGGGTACATAGTAGGTGTATATGAGGTGCATGGCATATTTTGGTATAGGCATGCAATGTATAATAATTACAACATAGAAAATGGGTTATCCATCTCCTCATGCATTTATCCTCAGTGTTACAAACCATTTAGTTATAATATTTTCATTATTTTAAAATGTACAGTTAAATTATTTTTACTAGAGTCACCTGTTATGCTGTCAAGTACTAGGTATTATTCATTCTATTTTTTGAACCCATTAAACATCCCCACCTTCTCTCAACCCACCCCCCACCCACTACCCTTCCCAACTTCTAGTAACCGTCCTTCTGCTCTCTATCTCCATGCGTTCAATTGTTTGGATTTTTACATCCCACACATAAGTGAGAACATGCAATTTTTCTTTCTGCACGTGGCTTATTTCACTTAATATAATGGCCTCCAATTCCAACCATGTTGTTGCAAATAAAAGAATCCTATTCCTTTTTAGGGCTGAATGGTACTCCATTGCATCTAAGTATCACATTTTTCTTTACTCATTCATCTGTTGATGGAAACTTAGGTTGCTTTCCAATCTTGGCTATTGTGAACAGTGCTGCAGCAATCATGGGAGAGAAATATCTCTTCGATATACTGATTTCTCTTTTTTAGGGTATGTACCCAGCAGTGGGATTGCTGGATTTGCTCTATTTTTATTTGTTTGAGGAACCTCCAAACTGTTCTCCATAGTGGTTGTACTAATTTACATTCCCACCAACAGTTTATGAGGGTTCTCTCTGCATATCCTCGCCAGCATTTTTTACTGCCTGTCTTTTGGATAAAAGCCATTTTAACTAGGGTGGGATGATATCTAATTGCAGTTCTGGATTGCAGCTGTCTGATGATCAATGATGTTGAGTACTTATTCGTATGCCTGTATGCCATTTGTTTACCTTCTTTTGAGAAATGTCTATTCAAATCTTTTGCCCAGTTTTTTGATCAAATTATTAGATTTTTTTCCTATAGAGTTGTTTGAACTCCTTATACATTCTGTCAGATGAATAGTTTGAAAATATTTTCTCCCATTCTGTGGGTTGTCTCTTCACTTTGTGGATTATATCCTTTGCTGTGCAGGAGGTTTTTAACTTGATGTGATCCCATTTGTCCATTTTTGCTTTGGTTTCCTGAGCTTGTGGGGTATTGATCAAATGTTTGCCCAGACAAATGTCCTGGAGATTTTCCCCAATGTTTTCTTGTAGTAGTTTCATAGTTTGAGGTCTTAGATTTAGGTATTTAATCCATTTTGATTTGATTTTTGTATAGGGGTCTAGTTTTATTCTTCTGCATATGGGGTATCCAGTTTTCCCAGCACCATTTATTGAAGAGACTGTCCTTTCCCCAGTGTATGTGTTCTTGGCACCTTTGTCAAAAATGAGTTCACTAAAGGTGTGTGGATTTTCTTCTAGGTTCTCTATTTTGTTTTATTGGTCGATGTGTCTGTTTTTATGACATTACCATGCTGTTTTGGTTACTATAACTCTGTAAGTATAATTTGAAGTCAGGGAATATGATTCCTCCAGTTTTGTTCTTTTTGCTCAGGATAGCTTTGGCTATTCTGGGTCTTTTGTGGTTCTCTGTAAGTATAATTTGAAGTCAGGGAATATGATTCCTCCAGTTTTGTTCTTTTTGCTCAGGATAGCTTTGGCTATTCTGGGTCTTTTGCGGTTCCATATAAATTTTAGGATAATTTTTTCTATTTCTATAAAGAATGTCTTTGGTATTTTGATAGGGATTGCATTGAATCTGTAGATTGCTTTGGGTCATATGGACATTTTAACAATATTGATTCTACCAATCCATAAACATGCAATATCTTTCCATGTTTTGGTGTCCTCTTCAATTTATTTCATAAGTGTTTCATAGTATTCATTGTAGAGATCTTTTACTTCCTTGGTTAAGGTAATTCCTAGGTATTTAATTTTATTTGTGGCTATTGTAAATGAGATTACTTTATTCCTTTTTCATATTGTACACTGTTGTCATATAGAAATGCTACTAATTTTTACGTTGATTTTGTATCCTGAAACTGAACTGAATTGATCAGTTTTAATAGTTTTTTGGTGGAGTCTTTAGGTTTCTCCAAATAAAAAATTATATCATCAGCAAACAAAGATAGTTTGACTTCTTCCTTTCCAATTTGGATGTCCTTTGTTTCTTTCTCTTGTCTGATTGCTCTAGCTAGAACTTCCAGTACAATGTTGAATAACAGTGATGAAAGTGAGCATCCTTGTCTTGTTCCACATCTTAGAAAAAAAGGCTTTCAGCATTTCCCTATTTAGTATGATACTAGCTATGGTTCTGTCATGTATGTTAATTTGTTGAGGGATGTTCCTTCTATGACCAGTTTTTAAAGATATTTTTCATGAAGAGATGTTAAATTTTATCAATGCTTTTTCAACATCATTTGAAACGATCATATGGTTTTTGTCCTTCATTCTGTTGATATGATGTAGCACATTGATTGTTTTGGGTATGTTGAAACATCCTCGCATCCTTGGGGTAATTTCCGCTTCATCATGATGAATTATCTTTTTAATGTGTTGTTCAAATCAGTTTGCTAGTATTCTGTTGAGGATTTTTGAATCAATATTCATGAGAGATATTGGTCTGTGGCTTTTCTTTTCTTTCTTTCCTTCTGCGTTTTTGTCTGGTTTTGGTATCAGGATGATATTGGCCTCATAAAATGAGTTTAGAAATATTCTCTCTTTCACTATCTTTTGGAATAGTTTGGATAGGATTGGTATTCTTCTTTAAATATCTCATAGAATCCAGCAGTGAAGCCATGGGCTCCCAGGCTTTTCTTTGCTGAAAGACATTTTATTATGGCTTCGATCTCATTACCTATTATTGGTCTGTTTAGGTTTTGGATTTCTTCCTTGTTCAAGCTTGGTAGGTTGTACATGTCTAGGAATTTGTCCATTTCTTCTAGATTGTCCATTTTATTGGCATATAGTTGCTCATAGTAGCCACTAATGATCCTTTGAATTTCTGTTGTATCAGTTGTAATATCTCCTTTTTCATCTCTGATTTTATTTATTTGTGTCTTCTCACTTTTATTTTCATTAGTCTGGCTAAAGTTTTGTCAATTTTGTCTTTTCAAAAAACCAACTTTTTGTTTCATTGATCTTTTGTGTTGTTTTCACCATTTCAAATTCATTTATTGCTGTTCTGATTGCGACTATTTATTTTTTTCTGCTAACTTTGAGTTTGGTTTCCTCTTGCTTTTCTAGTTCTTTAACATGTATCACTATGTTATCTATTTGAAGTTTTTCTTCTTTTTGCATGTAGGCACTTATAGCGAAAAATTTCCCTCTTAGTACTGATTTCACTGAATCACAGAGGTTTTGGTATGTTGTGTTTCCATTATAATTTCTTCTAAAAAGTTTGACAATTTTCTTCTGATTTTTTTGACTCACTTATCATTCAGAAGCATATTGTTTAATTTTTATGTATTTGTATAATTTCCAAAATTCTTCCTGATGCTGATTTCTAGTTTTATTCCATTATGGTCAAAGAAGATGCTTAATACGCTTTCAATTTTTTTAAATATTTTAAGACTTGTTTTGTGACCTAACATATGGTATATCATTGATAATGATCCGCATGCTGAGAAGAATGTGTATTGCACAGTCTTTGGATGAAATGTTCTGTAAATATCTATTAGGTTCATTTGTTCTATAGTGCAGATTATGTTTGATGTTTCTTTGTTGTGTTTTTATCTGGGAGATATATCCAATGCTGAAAGTAGGGTGCTGAAGTCTCCAGCTATTATTGTATGGAGGTCTATATCTCCTCTTTAGCTCTAATAATATTTGCTTTATATATATGTGTGCTCCAGTGTTGGGTGATTATATATTTACAATCATTATATCATGTTGCTGGATTGACCCCTTTGTCATTACATATAAATATAAATATATTTATATTATATATAAATGGCCTTCTTTGTCTCTTCTAACAGTTTTTCTCTTGAAATCTATTGTGTCTGATATAAGTAGAGCTACTTCTGCTCTTTTTTGGTTTCCATTGTCATGGAATACTTTATTCCAGTCCTTTATTTTCAGTCTATGCATATGTTTATAGGTGAAGTGTGTTTCTTGCAGGCAGGAGATCATGGGGCCCTGTTTCTTCATCCATTCAGCCACTCTATGTCTTTGATGGGGGAGTTTAGTCTATTTATATCAAATGTTATTATCGATAAGTAGCAACTTACTCCTGCCATTTTGTTATTTGTTTTCTGGTTGTTTTGTGGTCTTCTCTTCCATTTTTTTCTTCCTTCCTGTCTTCATTTTAGTGAAGTTGATTTTCTCTGGGGGTATGATGTAATTTCTTGCTTTTTGTTTTTTTTATGTATCTATTGCATGGTTTTTGATTTGAAGTTACCGTGAAGCTTGCAAATACTATCTTATAAGCCATTATTCTAAACAGATGACAACTTAACATTGATTGTAGACACAAACAAACAAACACATACACACAAAGAAAACTAATAACAACTCTGAACTTTAACTCCATCTCCATCCACTCATTTTTAAATTTTTTTTTGTTTCTCTTTATGTCTTATAGTACTATCTGTGTCGTGAACTGTTCTTGTAGTTATTATTTTTTATCAGTTCAGCATTTAGTCTTTCTACTTAAGCATAGTTTACACACCAAAATTACAGTGTTACAATATTCTGGGTTTTTTTTGTGTACTTATTATTACCAGTGAGTTTTGTACCTTCAGATGATTTTTTTCTTGCTCATTAACATCCTCTTCTTTCAAATTGAAGAACTCCCTTTAGCATTTGTTTAGAACAAGTCTGATGTTGATAAAATCCCTCAGCTTTTGTTTCTCTGGGAAGGTCTTTATTTGTCCTTTATGCCTGCAGGATATTTTTGCTGGATGTACTATTCTGGGGTAAAAGATTTTTTCCTTCAGCACCTTAAATATATCATGCCACTCTCTCCTGGCCTGTAAGGCTTCCACTGAAAAGTCTGCTGCCAGATGTATTGGAGCTCCATTGTATGTTATTTGTTTCTTTTCTCTTGGTGCTTTTAGGATCCTTTCATTACCCTTGACCTTTGGGAGTTTGATTATTAGGTGCCTTGTGGTAGTCTTCCTTGGGTTAAATCTGCTTGGTGTTCTAAACATTCCTGTACTTGAATATTGATATCTTTCTCTAGGTTTGGGAAGTTCTCTGATATTATCTCTTTGGATAAACTTTTTACCCTTATCTCTTTCTCTACCTCTTCTTTAAGGCCAATAACTCTTAGATTTGCCCTTTTGAGCCTTTTTTTTTCTAGAGCTTGCAGGCATGATTCATTGTTTTTTATTCTTTTTTTATTTTGTCTCCTCCGATTGTGTAATTTCAGCCTGTCTTCAAGCTCACTATTTCTAGTGATAGACAAATTCTGCTATTAAGTGACTCTGATGCATTCTTCAGTATGTCAATTGCATTTTCCAACTCCAGAATTTCTGCTCTACTCTTTAGTTATTTCAACTTCTGGGTTACAATTCTCTGAAAGAATTCTTAATTCCTTCTTTGTGATATCTTTAATTTCTTTGAATTTCCTCAAAATAGCAATTTTGAATCATCTGTTTGAAAGGTCACATGTCTCTGTTTCTCCATGATTGGTCCCCAATGCCTTATTTAGTTCATTTGGTGAGGTCATGTTTTCTTGGATGATCTTGATACTTGTGCATGTTTGTTGGTGTCTGGGTATTGAATAGTTAGGTATTTATTGTAGTCTTTGCAGTTTGGGCTTGTTTATGCCCATCCTTCTTGGAAGGTGTTCTAGGAATTTGAATGGACTTGGTCCCCAAGCCCAATATTGTTGTGGTTTTTGCAGATTCATAGAGGTACCATCTTGGTGGTGTTGGTTAAGATCTGGAAGAATTCTCTAGATTACAAGGCAGAGACTCTTGTTCTTTACCCTTATTTTCTCCCAAATCAACAGTTTATTTGTGCTGAGTTGCCTGGAACTGGGGGTTTGATTATGCATGAACCCCTCTGGCCACTCCTAGAGCTGGGTCAGACCTGAAGCCAGCACATCACTGCGTCTTGTCCAAGGCCTGCTGTAACCACTACTGGCTAACAACTATTATTACTCAAGGCTCTAGGGCTCTACAATCTACTGATAGCAAATCCAGCAAGGTTTGTGTTCTTCTCTTCAGGGTGGAGAGCTCCCCCGGGCCCCAGGTGGGTCCTGAGATGCTTTCTGGGAGCCAGAGATTGGAATCAAAGACCTTAGAAATTTGCCTGATATTCTATTCTACTGTGGATATGCTGGCATTCAAATCACAATATAAAGTTCTTCCCACTCTTTCCTCTTCTTTCCAAAGGCAAAGGAGCCCCTCCCTGTGGACATCACCACCACCCCACCAGGAGTGTTCTGCCAGGCCACTGTTGGTGTTCACTTAAGAACTAAGGGCTTCTCAGTCAGTTTGTGGTGAATGCTGCCAGGCCTGGGAATCACTCTTCAGGACAGTGGGCTCCCCTGTGGCTCAAGGCAGGTCTAGAAATGCTGCCTGAGAGCCTAGGCCTAGTTTTGGGGACCCCAAGTGCCTGCTTGTTGCTCCACCCTACTGTGGGCACGTTGGTACCTAAGGTACAAAGCAAAGTCCAATTTACTTTTCCTCTGCTTTTTTCAAACAGACAGAGTCTTTCACCATCACCATCACAGCTGAGAATGTGCTGGATCACATCTGAAGTAAGCAAATCTCAGAGCCCAAGGGTCACAGTATACTACCTGGGTATTGCTGCTGGTTACTCAGGGCCCAAGGGCTCTTTCGTCAGTAGGTGATTGATCCTGCCAGGACTGGCTTCTTTGATTCAAGGTAATGAGATCCATTTTGGACCAGAGTGTATCTAGAAATGTCATCCAGGAGCTAGGGCCTAGACTGGGGGCCTCATGATTCTGCCTGGTGCCTAATCCTACTGTGGCTGAGCTGTGTTTTTCATGATACAAGGTGAAGTCCTCTATACTCTTTGTTCTCCTCTCCTTAAGCAGAAGGAAGGAGATACTGTTATTGCTATGAGCTGCGTTGCCTGGGGCTGGGGGAGTGGTAGGACAAGCACATCTTTAGCTATCTTGGTTGGTGTCTCCTTAGGTCATGAGCCACCCTAGTCCTCTCCTTCTGAGCCCTGTCCTGCACTAGGAGCTGTCCAGGAATTGCACTCTTTGTGTCCTAGACTGCCTTTCAAGTTTACCTACCACCCCAGAGTACTTTGGCCCGTGATGGTGAGGATTGCTGAGAAACTTTATGGGATAGGTAATTCCCCACTAGATAGGATGGTCCAAATACTCCCTCCATGTTTGGATGCTGGCTGAGCCCAGGGTGACTTTGCTCTCCACTGTGACAAGGTAGCACTGAATTCAATATAATGTCCCCCAGTCACTGTGCTCTCCCTCCCCTAAGTGCACAGATACTTTTCACTGCAAGGCTGCTGCTGGGGGATGAGGGAGGGGTGTCATTAGTGATTCAAGACTGTTTCTCTAACCTTTCTCAATGCCACTTTTGGCGATATGAAGTTAAAAGCAGATACTGTGATTGCTCACCTGATTTTTAGATATTGTGATGGCGCTTTTCTCTCCCCTTCAGGGAGTACAAATGGTGTAGGCTTCTATTCTGCTATCTTGCTCTGCCCTTGCATTATCTCATTTAATCTTTTCAACAACCGGATGAAGTTTGTATGACTGTCCAAGTTCACAGATGAAAAATCTGCAGCAGAAAGAGATTGTGCTGTCCAGGGTCATATAAATGTGAGTGGTGAATGCAGGATTCCAATTTCCATTCTTAACTATTTAGCTTGAGAAAGCAAGAGCAAGAGTGTGAGAAGCAGCACAAAAGGAGAGCAGCAGAATAGAGAAAAAGAAGAGAAACAAAAGCGAAAGTGAAAGAAAAAAATAAAACATAAAGAACAAAATGGTGAAAGGGAGACAGGTTATATTATAGAGGATACTGTAATGCACAAACACTAGAAAAGATTTCACTGCTGAAGGTGCCAAGATGGCTGACTAGAAGCAACTAGTGCATGCCACTTTCACGGACAGGAGATAGGGTGGCCAGTAAACACAAGTTCTTCAATGAGATTTTCCCAGGAGGACATGTTGGGATTCACCAAGTAAGCAATGTGACCCACAGAGAGCAGAGAAGAGTGAGGCAAGACAGTTGCCCACCTGGGATTGTCACAGAGGCAAGAGAGGCTCCCCGCAGCGGGGAAATGGTGAGTTGAGTCAGTGAGAACCCCAGGAGACCTACACTTTTGCCATGGCTTGTTTCAATCCTGGGCACAGGAGAGCCCCCAGTCCCCTCCCCCTGGGGCCTCCAAGCTGACATGGAGAGGTGTATGTAGTGTGGGCAGAGTCACCTCTCAGGCCTACGTGTAGCCCTAAGGGTCATGGATCCCTGAGCACCGCAGCACCAGCTGCCATAGCTCAGCCAACAAGGAAAGCCAGGTTCTCTCACATGTCCCCATGGCGCTGAGGAGCAGATGAACCACAAACCTCACTTCCTCACCTCTGTTACTCCTCACCAGGCAAAGCCCACTGGCCTGGAACCCCGGCACAGACACCCCACACCCGCGTGAACACTCAAGCTAGTAGTAGCTCTGCATTTCTCTGGGACAGAGCTCCCAGAGGTAACCAAAAGGCCTGCAGCTTTTGCCACTGCCTCAGCCCCCGCCCCTACTGCCCTCAGGCTGGGGAGGGAGAGAAGAGCCCAAGAACTATCACAGGCCTCCAGTATATCGCAGCTGCCTTGTGGAAAAGCAGCCAGACTGTTTTCCACATGGATCCCTGCCCCTGCTACTCCTTACTGGGCAGGGCCTCCTGATCTGGGCCACCAGCAAAGACACTTTCCCCTCACCTGAGTACTTCAGTCAGTGGCAGCTCTGTGTTTCTCTGGGGATGAAATTCCAGAAACAACACAGGCTCTCTGCCATTGCCACTGCAGTGGTATCACCCTTGCTGCCCTCAGGATGGAGAAAGAATAAAGACCCTGATTACTTTGCTGGCACCCCCAGCATGCCACAACTGCCAAATGGAGAGGAGCCTAGTCTCTCTTCTCTGTGAGACCCCAATCCCCTGATCTTCACCAAGCAGGCCCGCTGACTTGGGCCCACAATGCAACTGCCCCATTACAGGCTGAACATACCCATTGGCAGTGGCTTTGTGTCTCTCTGGTTTGGAGTTCACAGAGGCAAATGACAGCCCATCTGCCACTGTCAATGCAGTGGTATCAGCCATTGCTGCCACCTGGTGGGGGAAGAAACAAAAAGCCTCAGAACTTTACTCACATCTCCAGCATGCCACAGACACCCTATGGAGAAGAGACCAAACTGTCTTCCCTGTGAGCTCCCTGCCCCCACTGCTAATCACCAGGCAGGGCCCCTGGCTTGGGCCCATAATGCAGCCACCCTACACCAAGATAATTTTTCTGATTGGCAGTGGCTCCTCATTTCTATAGGGTGGGGGTCTCAAGGGACAAGTAAGAAGCCCTCTGCCATGGTCACTGCCAAGGTCCTTGCCCTGGCTTTCCCCAAGCTTGAAGGGAACAATAAGCCTGAGTTAGCCCCAGGGCTTCAGTGTGCAGCCTAGGAGTGCCAGGCTGAGATCTGTGGCCAGCACTTGAGTATGAGAGGAGCTCACATTCTCAGGGCAAAGAGAGAGAACATGAGTGGAAACACAAGAAAACGCTGAGGAGCCATGTGGCTAAGAGCCCAACTACAAGCCATTATCCTTCCGCGCCATCTACTGGGTTGCGGCCCAAGCTTCAACACCAAAAATACTTTGCTAATATACCCTCCTGTGAAGACAAGGAGAAAAATTCAGCCACAAATAAAGATCATGTACAAAGCATCGCCCCTCTGAAAACATCCACAAATGAAGCCAACTGATTATACTCAAATTACACCAGAATTAAAGGAACATTAGCCAGCACAGATGAGAAATAACCAGTGCAAGAACACTGGCAACCCTAAAAGCTAAAGTGTCTCCTTATCTCCAAATGACCACATTGACTCCCAGCAATGCTTCTTAACCAGAATGAAATGGCTGAAATCACAGACATAGAATTCAGAATCTACATGGCAATGAAGACCATCAAGATTCAGGAGAAAGTTGAAGTCCATTCCAAGGAATCTAATGAATTCGGTAAAATGATTCAAGAGATGAAAGATGAAATAGCCATTTTTAAGAAAGAGCCAAGGGGAGGAGCCAAGATGGCCGAATAGGAACAGCTCCAGTCTACAGCTCCCAGCGTGAGCGACGCAGAAGACGGGTGATTTCTGCATTTCCATCTGAGGTACCAGGTTCATCTCACTAGGGAGAGTCAGACAGTGGGCGCAGGTCAGTGGCTGCGCGCACCGTGCGCGAGCCGAAGCAGGGCGAGGCATTGCCTCACTCGGGAAGCGCAAGGGGTCAGGGAGTTCCCTTTCCTAGTCAAAGAAAGGGGTGACAGACAGCACCTGGAAAATCGGGTCACTCCCACCTGAATACTGCGCTTTTCCGACGGGCTTAAAAAACGGCGCACCAAGAGATTGTAACCCGCACCTGGCTCGGAGGGTCCTACGCCCACGGAGTCTCGCTGATTGCTAGCACAGCAGTCTGAGATCAAACTGCAAGGCGGCAGCCAGGCTGGGGGAGGGGCGCCTGCCATTGCCCAGGCTTGCTTAGGTAAACAAAGCAGCCAGGAAGCTCGAACTGGGTGGAGCCCACCACAGCTCAAGGAGGCCTGCCTGCCTGCCTCTGTAGGCTCCACCTCTGGGGGCAGGGCACAGACAAACAAAAAGACAGCAGTAACCTCTGCAGACTTAAATGTCGCTGTTTGACAGCTTTGAAGAGAGCAGTGGTTCTCCCAGCACACAGCTGCAGATCTGAGGACCGGCAGACTGCCTCCTCAAGTGGGACACTGAACCCTGACCCCCAAGCAGCCTAACTGGGAGGCACCTCGCAGCAGGGGCAGACTGACACCTCACACGGCCGGGTACTCCAACAGACCTGCAGCTGAGGGTCCTGTCTGTTAGAAGGAAAACTAACAAACAGAAAGGACATCCACACCAAAAACACATCTGTACATCACCATCATCAAAGACCAGACAAAACCACAAAGATGGGGAAAAAACAGAGCAGAAAAACTGGAAACTCTAAAAAGCAGAGCACCTCTCCTCCTCCAAAGGAACACAGTTCCTCACCAGCAACGGAACAAAGCTGGACGGAGAATGACTTTGACGAGCTGTGAGAAGAAGGCTTCAGATGATCAAATTACTCTGAGCTACGGGAGGAAATTCAAAGGCAAAGAAGTTGAAAACTTTGAAAAAAGTTTAGAAGAATGTATAACTAGAATAACCAATACAGAGAAGTGCTTAAAGGAGCTGATGGAGCTGAAAGCCAAGGCTCGAGAACTACGTGAAGAATGCAGAAGCCTCAGGAGCCGATGCGATCAACTGGAAGAAAGGGTAACAGTGATGGAAGATGAAGTGAATGAAATGAAGCGAGAAGGGAAGTTTAGAGAAAAAAGAATAAAAAGAAACGAGCAAAGCCTCCAAGAAATATGGGACTATGTGAAAAAACCAAATCTGCGTCTGATTGGTGTACCTGAAAGTGACGGGGAGAATGGAACCAAGTTGGAAAACACTCTGCAGGATATTATCCAGGAGAACTTCCCCAGTCTAGCAAGGCAGGCCAACATTCAGATTCAGGAAATACAGAGAACACCACAAAGATACTCCTCGAGAAGAGCAACTCCAAGACACATAATTGTCAGATTCACCAAAGTTGAAATGAAGGAAAAAATGTTAAGGGCAGCCAGAGAGAAAGGTCGGGTTACCCACAAAGGGAAGCCAGTCAGACTAACAGCGGATCTCTCGGCAGAAACTCTACAAGCCAGAAGAGAGTGGGGGCCAATATTCAACATTCTTAAAGAAAAGAATTTTCAACCCAGAATTTCATATCCAGCCAAACTAAGCTTCATAAGTGAAGGAGAAATAAAATACTTTACAGACAAGCAAATGCTGAGAGATTTTGTCACCACCAGGCCTGCC
This sequence comes from Homo sapiens, assembly GCF_000001405.40. NCBI lineage: Eukaryota > Metazoa > Chordata > Mammalia > Primates > Hominidae > Homo > Homo sapiens. The sequence goes on from NC_000023.11 coordinate 128,784,490, forward strand.
CTAAAAGAGCTCCTGAAGGAAGTGCTAAACATGGAAAGGAACAACCAGTACCAGCTGCTGCAAAATCATGCCAAAATGTAAAGACCATCGAGACTAGGAAGAAACTGCATCAACTAACGAGCAAAATAACCAGCTAACGTCATAATAACAGGATCAAATTCACACATAACAATATTAACTTTAAATGTAAATGGACTAAATGCTCCAATTAAAAGACACAGACTGGCAAATTGGATAAAGAGTCAAGACCCATCAGTGTGCTGTATTCAGGAAACCCATCTCATGTGCAGAGACACAAATAGGCTCAAAATAAAAGGATGGAGGAAGATCTACCAAGCAAATGGAAAACAAAAAAAGGTAGGGGTTGCAATCCTAGTCTCTGATAAACCAGATTTTAAACCACCAAAGATCAAAAGAGACAAAGAAGGCCATTACATAATGGTAAAGGGATCAATTCAACAAGAAGAGCTAATTATCCTAAATATATATGCACCCAATACAGGAGCACCCAGATTCATGAGGTAAGTCCTGAGTGACCTACAAAGAGACTTAGACTCCCACACAATAATAATGGGAGACTTTAACAGCCCACTGTCAACATTAGACAGATCAATGAGACAGAAAGTCAACAAGGATACCCAGGAATTGAACTCAGCTCTGCACCAAGCGGACCTAATAGACATCTACAGAACTCTCCACCCCAAATCAACAGAATATACATTTTTTTCAGCACCACACCACACCTATTCCAAAATTGACCACATACTTGGAAGTAAAGCTCTCCTCAGCAAATGTAAAAGAACAGAAATTATAACAAACTATCTCTCAGACCACAGTGCAATCAAACTAGAACTCAGGATTAAGAATCTCACTCAAAACCGCTCAACTGCATGGAAACTGAACAACCTGCTCCTGAATGACTACTGAGTACATAACAAAATGAAGGCAGAAATAAAGATCTTCTTTGAAACCAACGAGAACAAAGACACAACATACCAGAATCTCTGGGATGCATTCAAAGCAATGTGTAGAGGGAAATTTATAGTACTAAATGCCCACAGGAGAAAGCAGGAAAGATCCAAAATTGACACCCTAACATCACAATTAAAAGAACTAGAAAAGCAAGAGCAAACACATTCAAAAGCTAGCAGAAGGCAAGAAATAACTAAAAGCAGAGCAGAACTGAAGGAAATAGAGACACAAAAAACCCTCCAAAAAATTAATGAATCCAGGAGCTGGTTTTTTGAAAGGATCAACAAAATTGATAGACCGCTAGCAAGACTAATAAAGAAAAAAAGAGAGAAGAATCAAATAGACACAATAAAAAATGATACAGGGGATATCACCACCGATCCCACAGAAATACAAACTACCATCAGGGAATACTACAAACACCTCTATGCAAATAAACTAGAAAATCTAGAAGAAATGGATAAATTCCTCGACACATACACTCTCCCAAGACTAAACCAGGAAGAAGTTGAATCTCTGAATAGACCAATAACAGGATCTGAAATTGTGGCAATAATCAATAGCTTACCAACCAAAAAGAGTCCAGGACCAGATGGATTCACAGCCGAATTCTACCAGAGGTACAAGGAGGAACTGGTACCATTCCTTCTGAAACTATTCCAATCAATAGAAAAAGAGGGAATCCTCCCTAACTCATTTTATGAGGCCAGCATCATCGTGATACCAAAGCCGGGCAGAGACACAACCAAAAAAGAGAATTTTAGACCAATATCCTTGATGAACATTGATGCAAAAATCCTCAATAAAATACTGGCAAACTGAATCCAGCAGCACATCAAAAAGCTTATCCACCATGATCAAGTGGGCTTCATCCCTGGGATGCAAGGCTGGTTCAATATATGCAAATCAATAAATGTAATCCAGCATATAAACAGAACCAAAGACAAAAACCACATGATTATCTCAATAGATGCAGAAAAGGCCTTTGACAAAATTCAACAACACTTCATGCTAAAAACTCTCAATAAATTAGGTATTGATGGGACGTATTTCAAAATAATACGAGCTATCTATGACAAACCCACAGCCAATATCATACTGAATGGGCAAAAACTGGAAGCATTCCCTTTGAAAACTGGCACAAGACAGGGATGCCCTCTCTCACCACTCCTATTCAACATAGTGTTGGAAGTTCTGGCCAGGGCAATTAGGCAGGAGAAGGAAATAAAGGGTATTCAATTAGGAAAAGAGGAAGTCAAATTGTCCCTGTTTGCAGATGACATGATTGTATATCTAGAAAACCCCATTGTCTCAGCCCAAAATCTCCTTAAGCTGATAAGCAACTTCAGCAAAGTCTCAGCATACAAAATCAATGTACAAAAATCACACGCATTCTTATACACCAACCACAGACAAACAGCCAAATCATGAGTGAACTCCCATTCACAATTGCTTCAAAGAGAATAAAATACCTAGGAATCCAACCTACAAGGGATGTGAAGGACCTCTTCAAGGAGAACTACAAACCACTGCCCAAGGAAATAAAAGAGGATACAAACAAATGGAAGAACACTCCACGCTCATGGGTAGGAAGAATCAATATCGTGAAAATGGCCATACTGCCCAAGGTAATTTACAGATTCAATGCCATCCCCATCAAGCTACCAATGCCTTTCTTCACAGATTTGGAAAAAACTACTTTAAAGTTCATATGGAACCAAAAAAGAGCCCGCATCACCAAGTCAATCCTAAGCCAAAAGAAAAAGCTGGAGGCATCACACTACCTGACTTCAAACTATACTACAAGACTACAGCAACCAAAACAGCATGGTACTGATACCAAAACAGAGATATAGATCAATGGAACAGAACAGAGCCCTCAGAAATAACGCCGCATATCTACAACTATCTGATCTTTGACAAACCTGAGAAAAACAAGCAATGGGGAAAGGATTCCCTATTTAATAAATGGTGCTGGGAAAACTGGCTAGCCATATGTAGAAAGCTGAAACTGGATCCCTTCCTTACACCTTATACAAAAATCAATTCAAGATGGATTAAAGACTTAAATGTTAGACCTAAAACCATAAAAACCCTAGAAGAAAACCTAGGCATTACCATTCAGGACATAGGCATGGGCAAGGACTTCATGTCTAAAACACCAAAAGCAATGGCAACCAAAGCCAAAATTGACAAATGGGATCTAATTAAACTAAAGAGCTTCTGCACAGCAAAAGAAACTACCATCAGAGTGAACAGGCAACCTACAAAATGGGAGAAAATTTTCACAACCTATTCATCTGACAAAGGGCTAATATCCAGAATCTACAATGAACTCCAACAAATTTACAAGAAAAAAACAAACAACCCAATCAAAAAGTGGGCGAAGGACATGAACAGACACTTCTCAAAAGAAGACCTTTATGCAGCCAAAAAACACATGAAAAAATGCTCATCATCACTGGCCATCAGAGAAATGCAAATCAAAACCACAATGAGATACCATCTCACACCAGTTAGAATGGCAATCATTAAAAAGTCAGGAAACAACAGGTGCTGGAGAGGATGTGGAGAAATAGGAACACTTTTACACTGTTGGTGGGACTGTAAACTAGTTCAACCATTGTGGAAGTCAGTGTGACGATTCCTCAGGGATCTAGAACTAGAAATACCATTTGACCCAGCCATCCCATTACTGGGTATATACCCAAAGGACTATAAATCATGCTGCTATAAAGACACATGCACACGTATGTTTATTGCGGTATTATTCACAATAGCAAAGACTTGGAACCAACCCAAATGTCCAACAATGATAGACTGGATTAAGAAAATGTGGCACATAGACACCATGGAATACTATGCAGCCATAAAAAATGATGAGTTCATGTCCTTTGTAGGGACATGGATGAAATTGGAAATCATCATTCTCAGTAAACTATTGCAAGAACAAAAAACCAAACACCGCATATTCTCACTCATAGGTGGGAATTGAACAATGAGAACACATGGACACAGGGAGGGGAACATCACACTCTGGAGACTGTTGTGGGGTGTGGGGAGGGGGGAGGGATAGCATTGGGAGATATACCTAATGCTAGATGACGAGTTAGTGGGTGCAGCGCACCAGCACGGCACATGTATGCATATGTAACTAACCTGCACATTGTGCACATGTACCCTAAAACTTAAAGTATAAGAATAATAAATTTAAAATAAATAAATAAATAAAATAAAGTAGGAACTGAATGATGGGAACACATGGATAAATGTGGGGGAAAAACACACATTGGGGCTTGTCAAGGAGGGTATTGGGGGAGGGAGAGCATCAGGAAGAATAGCTAATGGACCCTGGGCTTAATACCTATGTGATGGGGTGATCTGTGCAGCAAACCACCATGGCACACGTTTACCTATGTAACAAACCTACGCATCCTGCATATGTTCCCCTAAATTTAAAAGTTGAAGGGGGATAAAAAGAACAAAAAAGATGGCCTAAAGGTGGTTGTCTAAACAAGAATTTTATTCATTATCATGGGCAAATAGGAGAATTATTATTATGAGTATAATGTATCTTTAGTGGAAGGCTCAAAGCAGCAACTAAAAAAACGACTGGGCTTTTCCAAGAATATTTATGTATATGGCAGTATTTCCCAACTATAATTCTGGTTTAATAGATGTTTTATTAAAAAAAAATCTGGGTGGGCAGGAGCTCCAAAAAAAAAAAAAAGAAAAAAAAAAAAAAGAAAGAGCCAATCTGAACTGATAGAGTTGAAACACTCACTTCACGAATTTTATAACAAACACAATCAGAAGTATTAACAGCAGAATAGACCAAGCTGAGGAAAGAATTTCAAAGCTTGAAGACAGGTTCTTCAAATTAACTGAGTCAGACAAAAATAAAGAAAAATGATTAAAGAAGAATGAATAAAACCTCCAAGAAATATGAGATTAGGTAAAGTAACCAAATCTACAACTAATTTGTGTCCCTGAAAGAGAGGGAGAGAAAGCAAGCAACTTGGAAAACACATTTGAGGATATTTTCCACATAAGTTTCCCCAACCACAATAAAGAGGTCAACATTCAAACCCAGGAAATTCAGAGAACCCCTTCATGATACAATACAAGATGACCATCCCCAAGATACATAGTCATCAGATTCTTCAAGATCAATGTGAAAGAAAAAAATTAAAGGCAGCTAGAGAGAAGTGACAGGTCACCTACAAAGGGAATCCCATCAGGCTAACAGTAGACCTTTCAGCGGAAACCCTACAAGCCAGAAAACTGGGGGGCCTATATTCAGAATCCTGAAAGAAGAGAAGTTCCATCCAATAATTTTATATCTAGCCAAACTAAGCTTCATAAGTGAAGGAGAAACAAAATCCTTTTCAGACAAGCAAATACTAAGAGAATTTATTACCACCAGAACTGTCTTATAGGAGGTCCTTAAGGGAATGCTAAACATGAAAATTAAATACCATTACTGACCACCATAAAAACCCCATCCAAGGGTCAGCAGCCTCAAAGATTGATACTAGACAAACTCATGAATCTGAGAAAGAATGAACAACAACAACAACAACAAAAACGCTTGAAAACCCAAAAGGCCAGAGTGCCTCTTCTCCTCCAAATGATCGTAATGCTTCTCCAGCAAGGATGCAGAACTGGATGGAGGATGAGATGGATGAATTGACAGAAGTAGACTTCAGAAGGTGGGTAATAACAAACTGCGCTGAGCTAAAGGAGCATGTTCTAACCAAATGCAAAGAAGCTAAGAACCTTGATAAAAGGTTAGAGGAGCTACTTGGAGCTGAAAAACACAACACAAGAACTTCATGAAGCATACACAAGTATCAATAGCCAAATTGATGAAGCAGAAGAAAGGATATCAGAGTTTGAAGACCATCTTGCTGAAATAAGGCATGCAGAGAAGATTAGAGAAAAAAGAATGAAAAGGAATGAACAAACCTCCGAGAAATATGGGACTATGCAAAAAGACTGAACCTATAATTGTTTGGAGTCCCTGAGACAGGGAGAATGGAACCAAGTCAGAAAACACATTTCAGGATATTATCGCAGAGAACTTCCCCAACTTAGCAAGACAGGTCAACATTCAAATTCAGGAAATACAGAGGATACCACTAAGATGCTCCATGAAAAGATCAACCCAAAGACACATAATCATCAGATTCTCCGAGGTTGAAATGAAGGAAAAAATGTTAGGGGCAGCCAGAAAGAAAAACCAAGACACCTACAAAGGGAAGCCCATCAGACTAACAGTGGATCTCTCAGCAGAAAACCTAAAAGCCAGAAGAGAGTGGGGGGCAATATTCAATATGATTAAACAAAAGAGTTTTCAACCCACAATTTCATATCCAGCCAAACTAAAGCTTCATAAGTGAAGGAGAAATAAAATCCTTTCCAGACAGGCAAATGTTCAGGGATTTTGTCACCACCAGGCCTCCCTTACAAGAGCTCTTGAAGGAAGCACTAAATATAAAAAGGAAAAACTGGTACCAGCCACAGCAGAAACACGCCAAAATATAAAGACCAATGATACTTGTAAATTTGTTTAAGTTATTTGTAGATTCTGGATATTGGCCCTTTGTCAGATGAATAGATTGCAAAAATTTTCTCCCATCCTGTAGGTTGCCTGTTCACTCTGATGATAGTTTCTTTTTCTGTGCAGAAGCTCTTTAGTTTAAATAGATCCCATTTGTCTATTTTCACTTTTGTTGCATTGCTTTTGGTGTTTTAGTCATGAAGACTTGGCCCATGCATATGTCCTGAATAGTATTGCCTAGGTTTTCTACTAGGGTTTTTATGGTTTTAGGTCTTATGTTTAAGTGTTTAATCCATCTTGAGTTAATTGTTGTATAAGGTGTAAGGAAGGGATCCAGTTTCAGCTTTTTGCATATGGCTAGCCAGTTTTCCCAAGACCATTTATTAAATAGGGAATCCTTCCCCCATTGCTTGTTTTTGTCAGGTTTGTCAAAGATCAGATGGCTGTAGATGTGTGTTGTTATTTCTGAGGCCTCTGTTCTGACCCCATCAAAAAGTGGGCAAAGGATATGAACAGACACTTCTGAAAAGAAGACATTTATGCAGCCAACAAACATATGAAAAAATGCTCGTCATCACTGGTCATTAGAGAAATGCAAATCAAAACCACAATGAGATAGCATGTCACATCAGTTAGAGTGGTGATCATTAAAAAGTCAGGAAACAACAGATGCTGGAGAGGATGTGGAGAAATAGGAACGCTTTTACACTGTTGGTGGAAGTGTAAATTAGTTCAACCATTGTAGAAGACAGTGCGGCGATTCCTCAAGGATCTAGAACTAGAAATACCATTTGACCCAGCAATCCCATTACTGGGTACATACCCAAAGGATTACAAATCATTCTACTATAAAGACACATGCACATGTATGTTTATTGTGGCCCTGTTCACAATAGCAAAGACTTGGAACCAACCCAAATGCCGCTCAATGACAGACTGGATAAAAAAATGTGACACATATACACCATGGAATACTATGAAGCCATAAAAAAATAAGTTCATGTCCTTTGCAGGGACATGGATGAAGCTGGAAACCATCATTCTCAGCAAACTAACACAAGAACAGAAAACCAAACACCGCATGTTCTCACTCATAAGTGGGAGTTCAACAATGAGAACACATGGACACAGGGAGGGGAACATCACACACTGGGGCCTGTCGGGGGATAGGGGGCTAGGGGAGGGATAGCATTAGGAGAAATACCTCATGTAGATGACAGGTTGATGGGTGCAGCGAACCACCATGGCACATGTATACCTATGTAACAAACCTGCACATTCTGCACATGTATCCCAGAACTTAAAGTATAATAAAAAAGGAAAGAAAAAAAAAGGCCAATGACACTATGAAGAAACTGCATCAACTAAAGTGCAAAATAACCAGATAGCATCATGATGACAGGATCAAATTCACACATAACAATGTTAACCTTAAATGTAAATGGGTTAAATGTCCCAATTAGAAGACACAGACTGGCAATCTGGATAAAGACCCATCAGTGTGCTATAATCAGGAGACCTATCTCATATGCAAAGACACACATAGGCTCAAAATAAAGGTATGGAGGAAAATTTACCAAGAAAATGGACAACAAAAAAAGAGGTGTTGCAATCGTAGTCTCTGACAAAACAGACTTTAAATCAACAAAGATCAAAAAGACAAAGAAGGGCATTACATAATGGTAAAGGGATCAATTCAACAAGAAGAGCTAACTGTCCTAAATATACATGCACTCAATATAGGAGCACCCGGATCCATAAAACAAGTTCTTAGAGACTACAAAGAGACTTCGACTCCCACACAATAAGAGTGGGAGACATTAACACTCCTTTGTCAATATTAGACAGATCAATGAGACAGAAAATTAATAAGGATATTCAGGATTGAACTCAGCTCTGGAGTAAGTGGAACTAATAGACATCCACAGAACTCTCTAATCCAAATCAACAGAATATATATGCTTCTCAGTGCCACAAGGCACTTATTCTAAAATCAACCACATAATTGGAAGTAAAACACTCCTCAACAAATGCAAAATATGTGAAATCATACCAAACAGCCTCTCAGACCACAGTGCAATCAAATTAGATCTCAGGATTAAGAAACTCACTTAAAACCACACAACTACATGGAAATTTAACAACGTGCTCCTGAATGACTCCTGGGTACATAATGAAATCAAGGCAGAAATCAAGAAGTGTTTTGAAACCAATGAGAACAAAGAGACAGTGTACCAGAATCTCTGGGACACAGCGAAAGCAGTGTTAAGAGGGAAATTTATAGCACTGAATGCCCACATCAGAAAGCTACAAAGATCTCAACTCGACACCCTAACATCAAATTAAAAGAGGTACAGAAGCAAGAGAAAACAAATCCAAAGCCTAGCAGAAGGCAAGAAATAATTAAGATCAGAGCAGAACTGAAGGAGATAGAGACACAAAACACCTTCAAAGAATCAAGAATCCCACTTTGGGAGGCCGACGTGGGCGGATCACGATGTCAGGAGATCGAGACCATCCTGGCTAACACGGTGAAACCCCATCTCTACTAAAAATACAAAAAATTAGCCAGGCGCGGTGGCAGGCACATGTAGTCCCAGCTACTCGGGAGGCTGAGGCAGGAGAATGGCATGAAACCTGAAGGCAGAGCTTGCAGTGAGCTGAGATAGCACCACTGCACTCCAGCCTGGGCAAAAGAGGTGAGCTCCGTCTCAAAAAAAAACAAACAAACAAGAATCCAGGAGTTGGTTTTTTGAATAATTAACAAAATAGACCACTAGCTAGAATAACAAAGAATAAAAGAGAGAAGAATCAAATAGACACAATAAAAAATGATAAAGGGGATGTCACCACTAACCCCACAGAAATACAAACTACCAAGAGAATATTATAAACACCTATATGCAAATAAACTAGAAAATCTAGACGAAATGAATAAATTTCTGGACACATACACCCTCCCAAGACTATACCAGGAAGAAGTCAAATCCCTGAATAGATCAATAACAAGTTCTGAAATTGAGGCAGTAATTAAAACCTACCAAGCAAAAAAAAAAAAAAAAAAAAAAAGCCCCAGACAAGATGGATTCATGGCTGAATTCTACCAGAGATATAAAGAGGAGCCAGTACTCCTCTGAAACTGTTCCAAACAACTAAAAAGGAAGGACTCCTCCCTAACTCATTTTAAGAGGTCAGCATCATCCTGATACCAAATTTAAAAAAAAAGGGACACAATTAAAAAAAAAAAAAAGAAGAAAACTTCAGACCAATATCCCTGATGAACATCAATGCAAAAATCCTCAATAAAATACTGGCAAACCAAATCCAGCATCACATCAAAAAGCTTATCCACTACAATCAAGTTGGCTTCATCCCTGGGATGCAAGGCTGGTCAACATATACAAATCAAAAAACGTAATCCATCACATAAACAGAACCAGTGACCAATACCGCATGATCATCTCAATAGATGCAGAAAAGGCCTTTGATAAAATTCAACATCCCTTCATTTTAAAAGCTCTCAATAATACAGGTATTGATGGGACATATAAGAGCTATTTATGACAAACCCATGGCCAATATAATACTGAATGGGCAAAAGCTGGAAGCATTCCCTTTGAAAACTGGCACAAGACAAGGATGCCCTCTCTCACCACTCCTATTCAACATATTATTGGAAGTTCTGGCCAGGGCAATCAGGCAAGGGAAAGAAATAAGGCGTATTCAAATAGAAGGGGAGAAAGTCAAATTGTCTCTGTTTTCAGACAACATGACTCCATATTTAGAAAACCCCATCATCTCAGGCCAAAAGCTCCTTAAGTTGATAAGCAACTTCAGCAAGGTCTCAGGATACAAAATCAATGTGCAAAACTTACAAGCATTCCTATACACCAACAATAGACAAACAGAGAGCCAAATTATGAATCAACTCCCATTCACAATTGTTACAAAGAGAATAAAATACCTAGGAATACAGCTAACAAGGGATATGAAGGACCTCTTCAAGGAGAACTAGAAACCACTGCTCATGGAAATAAAAGAGGACACAAACAAATGGAAAAGCATTCCATCCTCATGCATAGGAAGAATCAATATCGTGAAAATGGCCATACTGCTGAAAGTAATTTATAGATTCAGTGCTATTCCCATCAAACTACCATTGACTTTCTTCACAGAATTAGAAAAAAATACTTTAAATTGGAGCCAGAAAAGAGCCTGTATGGCCAAGACAATCCTAAGCAGATAGAACAAAGCTAGAGGTATCACACTACCTGACTTCAGACTATACCTCAAGGCTACAATAACCAAAACAGCATGGTACTGGTACCAAAACAGACATATAGACCAAGGGAACAGAACAGAGACCTCAGAAATAACACCACACATCTACAACCATCGGCTCTTCGACAAATCAGACAAAAACAAGCAATGGGGAAAGGATTTCCTATTTAATAAAGGGTGCTGGGAAAACTGGCTAGCCATGTGCAGAAAACTGAAACTGGATCTCTTCCTTACACATTATAGAAAAATTAACTCAAGATAGATTAAAGACTTAAATGTAAAACCCAAACCCACAAACACCCTAGAAGAAAACCTAGGCAATACCATTCAGGACACAGGCATGAGCAAGGACTTCATGATGAAAATGCCAAAAGCAATTGCAACAAAAGCCAAAATTGACAAATGGGATCTAATTATACTAAAGAGTTTCTGCACAGCAAAAGAAACTTTCATCAGAGTAAACAGGCAACCTACAGAATGGGAGAAAATTTTTGCAATCTATCCATCTGACAAAGGTCTAATGTCCAGAATCTACAATGAACTTAAACAAATTTACAAGGAAAAAACAATCAAAAAATGGGCAAAGGATATGAACAGATACTTCTCAAAAGAAGACATTTATGCAGCCAGCACACACGAAAAAAAGCTCAACATCACTGATCATTAGAGAAATGCATATCAAAACCACAATGAGAAACCATGTCATGCCCATCAGAATGGCAATTATTAAAAAGTCAAGAAACAATAGATGCTTAGGAGGCTGTGGAGAAATAGAAATGCTCTTACACTGTTGGCAGGAATGTAAATAGTTCAACCATTGTGGAAGACAGGGTGGTGATTCCTCAAGGATCTAGAACCAGAAATACCATTTTACCCAGCAACCCCATTACTGGGTATATACCCAAAGGAATATAAATCATTCTACTTTGAAGACACATGCACACAAATGTTTACTGCAGCACTACTTACAATAGCAAAGACATGGTACCAACCCAAATGCCCATCAATGATAGACTGGATAAAGAAAATGTGGTACATATAAACCATGGAATACGATGCAGCCATAAAAAGGAATGAGATCATGTCCTTTGCAGGAACATGGATGAAGCTGGAAGCAATTATCCTCAGCAAACTAACACAAGAACAGAAAACCAAAAACCACATGTTCTCACTCATAAGTGGGAGTTGAACAATGAGAACACATGGACAGAGCAAGGGGAACAACACACACTGGGGCCAGACAGGGCGTGAGGTGTAAGGGGAGGGAGAGCATTAGAACAAAGAGCTAATACATGCAGTGCTTAAAACCTAGATGACAGGTTCATAGGTGCAGGAAACCACCACGGTGCAAGTATACCTATGTAACAAACCTACACATTCTGTACTTGTATCCCAGAACTTAAAGTAAAATTTAAAAAAATAAAATAAGAAATAAAAAATAATAAAGGGTATTCAAATAGGAAGAGAGGAAGTCAAACTATCCCTGTTTGCAGATGACATGAATCTTTACTTAGAAAACCCCAGAGTCTCTGTCTAAAACTCCTTGATTTGGTAACCACTTCAGCAAAGTTTCAGGATACAAAAGTCAATGTACAAAAATTAGTAGCATTCCTATACACCAACAACGTCCAAGCTTGGAACCAAATCAAGAACACAATTCCATTCACAATAGCCACAAAAAGAATAAAATACCTAGGAATACAGCTAACCAGGAAAGTGAAATATCTCTACAACGAGAATTATAAAATGCTGCTCAAAGAAATCAGAGATAACACAAATGGAAAAACAGACCATTTTCATGAATAAAAAGAATTAATATTGTTAAAATGGCCATACTGCCCAAAGTAATTTACAGATTTGATGCTGTTCCTATTAAACTACTACTGACATTCTTCTCAGAACAAGAAATAACTATTTTAAAATTAATATGGAACCAAAAATGGGTCCAAATAGCCAAGGCAATCCTAAGCAAAAAGAACAAGGCTAGAGGCATCCCATCACCTGACTTCAAACTATGCTACAAAGCTACAGTAACCCAAACAGCACAGTACTGGTGCAAAAATAGACACATAAACCAATGGAACAAGTTAGCAAACCCCAAAATAAAGCTATACGCCCAGAACTATCTGATCTCTGACATGGCTGACAATAACAAGCAATGGGAAAATGACTCTCTATTCAATAAATGGTTCTGGGATAACTGGCTAGTCATATGGAGATGACTGAAAATGGACTCCTTCCTTACACCATGTACAACAATCAATTCAAGATGGAATACTTAAATGTAAAACCTAAAACTATAAAACCTTGAAAGAAAACCTAGGAAATACCATTGTGAACATAAGACCTGACAAAGATTTCATGACAAACATGCCAAAAAACAATTCCAAAAAAAAAAAAAAACCAAAAACCAAAATTGACAAATGAGACCTAATTAAACTAAAGAGCTTCTACAAAGCAAAAGAAACTATCAACTGAGTAAAGAGACAACCTACAGAATGAGAGAAAATATTTGCAAGCTATGGATCCACAAAGGTGTAATATTTAGGGTCCACAAGGAACTTAGAAAAATCAACAAGCAAAAAAACCAACAGCCCCATTAAGAAATGGGCAATGGACATAAACAGACACTTCTCAAAATAAGACCTCCATGTGGCCAACAAACATATGGAAAGATGCTCAATATCACTAATCGTTAGGGAAATGCAAATCAAAACTGCAATGCAATACCATATCACACCAGTCAGAATTATTATTATTAAATTAAAAAGTCAAGAAACAATAAATATTGGTGAGACTGTGGAGAAAAAGGAACACTTATATACTGTTAGTGGGAATGTAAATGAGTCCAGACACTGTGGAAAGCAGTTTGAGGATTTCCCAAAGAACTGAAAATAGAACTACCATTCAACCCAGCAATCTCATTACTGGGTATATACCCAAAGGTATACAAATCATTCTACCATAAAGACACGTGTACGCATATGTTCATCACAGTGCTATTCACAATAGTAAAGACATACAATCAACCTAGATCTCCATCCATGGCATACTACATAAAGAAAATGTGTTACACAATTCACAGCCATAAAAAAGAAAGAAATCATGGCCCTTGCAGCAACATGGATGGCGCTGGAGGCCATCATCCTATGCTAACTAATGCAGGAACAGAAAACCAAATATTGCATGTTCTCACTTATAAATGAGAACCAAACTTGGAGTACACATGGACACAAAAAGGGAACAATAGACATCAGGGCCCACCTGAGGGTGGAGGGTAGGAAGAGGGTGAAGATTGAAAAACTACCTGTTGAGTATTATGCTGATTACATAGGTGACAAAATTATCTGTAAACCAAACCCTCATGACACATGATTCACCCATGTAACAAACCTGCACATGTACCACTTAAACCTAAAATACAAGTTGAAATGAAAAAAAAAAAAAAACAGTTCACTGAACCTGCCATTCAAGACCCTGTCCATTGTACCAAAGAATAGTGACCAGTGCCATGAATGAACATTTCCCTGCCAAGTAGCCAGTGGTGTGCATCTGGACCCAGGCCTAACTGTTATTAGGTAAACTCATATAAAATTGTCAATATCTGACCATTTTTACCTATAAAAACAGCATCCTAATAGCTTCCCACCACATTACCTTTAAGGTGAAATATGCTTTCAATGAAAAGTTACTTCCTTAACTTCGAGTCTTGTCACTCTGAATTGTCCTAACACCTTAAACAGAGAAGTTGGACATATGCCAAGCTGCAGTGACTGTTGATCAGCCTTTATGGGTCCTTAGGAGGGATTCACAAGTGAAGCAATCAAGTTTTAAAAGCCAAGGAGAGGTAAAAACTGGGGAAATATATACCTCCTTTCACTTTATTTTTGCTGTGGTGGGTGGGGATTGTAGAAGGAGAGAGAGTTGTCAGAGTTTTAACTAAATTGAAAATATAACCTGGGAATCATTGAGATGTGCATGTCTCTTTCATCAGGGCTAATAACCGGATGTTATTAAATTCTTGTAAATGGTAACTGCATTCAAGCTCACTTCAATCTTGTTTTACAGGTCTTAAAAAGAAAGTGATTTTAAAGCTTCACATCAATTAACAAGTTAGTTAATAAAACCTTCCCCTCCAAAAAGAAGATTCCTCTTTGGATAGACTGCATTTTTAATTACATGAAATGATCTCCAAGTAAAGTTGCACTGAGCTGAATCTCTGCACTAGACAGTCACCTCTGCTGTTTTGCAACCAGTGGCTTTTAAGAATTCTTGTTTTTGAGGGCTTTCATTTTCTTTAACAGTGGTGAAATGGCAATTGGAAGACAGATCAAAAGTCAAGGGATGAAGCATAAAAATGAACACATTTGATTATTTTCTGATTATCAGAAACCAATGATAAAAGGAGAAGAAAAATCTCTCTTGGCAGATATGAATTACATTCTTTTCTCTTTCTCTCTCTCTCTCTTTTTTTAATAAACCATCTCTTACTGGGGAAGAAGCTTGTATTCAATATTGAACACTAGCATTTTAGAGCTGGAAGGAACACCATATATTATTTAGTTCCACACTTCATTTTATAGTTAGGAAAGCAAGAATCTGAGAGGCTATATGTGTTGGCCAAGGTGAATGAGTAGCAGTCAGGATACAACCCAAGTCTTCTGACTCCCCAGCTTTTGTTCATTACACTAGGCCACACTATCTTATTTTATATTTTTTATGTGATAATACCATTTGTAAGCACTAACTAAGCACTCTATGTGTAGTAACTCATTTAACCCTTATGATAACCCTTTAAGATAACTACTATTGTTGTTATTCCCTTTTGCATATGAGCATTTTGAATCCCAGAGAGGTAAAACAACATTTCCAGGATCACCCAGCTAGGACATGGTGCAGGGATGATTCAAAGCCAGCCAGTCTGGTTCCAGAGTCTTTTTATCTTAAAGATTATGCTATATGTTATGGTATCTATCTTTCTAGGTGCATAGTCTGTCCCCCCAACTAGACAGAAGTAACAGCACCACCTACAGGACAGTTAGAAAGCATGGAATATATGTTCGATCCTGAGATAGGTAATAATGAAGATAGAAACAAAACGAAACTTGGCAGGTGACAAGGTGAATTTACATCATAAAAACCTCATTGGCTAGATCTGCAGGCTCCTATTGCCTATTCTGGGCCTTTCTCCCAGCAGTGATGGACATATACTTTGACTCAAGTTTTCTGCAAACCTCCCTTTTCAACACACTAAGCTGTTCTTGTAATAACTTTCTAATAAATGGTGCCTGATGTCTTCACAGAGAAACGTTAATAAGTGTTCAACAACTTGGGTTTTTCAGCCTGATTGCTCCATACAGGAAGGAAATATCTTGACCCTCTGCCTGTGACCTCACTGGCAGAAATATAGTTGGTGGCCACAATAGGCAAGCCATCACCACTTGTATCACAAGGGAAAACTGAGGAATCTATCAGTTCAAGTCACCAAGCATTCATCACGTACCTCATCTCGGCCAGTCACTGTGTGGTGTCCTGTGGAAGATTTACAGATGAAAAAGACACAGCCCTTGTCTTTGAGGGTTCCTTACAGACTAGTGACAGACTTGTAAATAACAAACTAACACTTGAGGCAGAATAACATAAATGTCAAATATTGGTGCCAGCAATATGCTATAGGCACACATAGAAGTAATTCCTTTTCACTTGGAGAGTCAAGGAAACCTCAAAGATCAAATACAAGTTGGGCTGAGACTTGAAGAATGAGTAGATTTCACAATGATTAGGGAGAGGTGAAAGAAAGAAGAGCATTCAGAAGAGAGCAGTGAGAGCGAAGGCCTGAAGGTAAGATATTCCAGAGAATATTCTGACAAGACTTCAGTTGGTTATTTGGTGGGGGCGGGGGGGCAGATAAGTAAACTAAAAAGGTAATTAGAGACCCAAACATGGAGAAACTTAAATATATAGCTAGCAAATTTGGTTTTATTATTTTAGAAATTTTGGATGATTTAATAATTTAGAGCAGAGGAATGACAGGAGTCATACTGTTCTTTTAAAAAGGTAATCTGGCATTATTTTGCAGAATGGATTGAAAAGGAGAGTTTAAAGGCAGTGAGAATATTTGGGAAGCTGTTACAATGGAAAATAAAATGATAATATATGACCAGAGTTTGTGATAAGTAAAATCTGTCCTTGGGGATCTTTCACAAGTACCCTGACCTTCACCTGCTCCCACCAACAGCTTTCTCACTCTCTGCTCTATTCCCTAAAGATTCTGCTGGGTAAACAGGAGGTGGGTATGAGTTGATCATTCAAGTTCCAAACCTAAATATATATATAAAAAAATCTTCCTCACTACTGTAGCCAGTAAAATCACTGAAATGTATTCCACGAAAACTGGATGTCCATAATCCCCATGGGCGAAAATGAGACTGTGATGGTAGGCTTTAGATGGTTCACCAGAGTACAGGCTAACAAGAAAGAAGCAGCAAATGACTTGTGAGCTGTTTCTTTTCTTGTTCTAAAGTGAGCAGACATTTCAAATATTCCACTGGAATTAAAGCCATTCCAAGGGAGAAAATATTTCTCTAATATGCACATATGCTTCAATTTGCTCATTCTTACATTTCAGAATGAGGATCCAGGCCAGAAACCATCCTCATTCTCCCCAGAAAGTAAAACAAACTTATTTACACATTTTCCTGTGCTGTCCTCATGCTCTTCTCTTATAGATGTCACCAATTCCGGTTGCTCAGAGACCAGAGAAAAGGTCAGAGTTTCAATAATATTAGGGGTGAGATTATTTTATTAACATTGCCATGGGTCTCTCTTCTTTCTAAAGAGGTAGGAAGGAGAACATTTGAGGTACAGCTGCCTTAAAGAAACATTTTTTCACAGTGACTTGTGTTGCTCATGTGGGGCATTAGAAGAATTATGGCAGTTAAAATTTGTTTGCAAATCTGTTGTTTCCTGGTTTGCTTCTAAAAAAACATACCACCATCTGTCTCACTGGTCTTAATCAAATCCTGTCACTGTACTACTAGTGCTGTCTGCCTCTTTGTATTCTGCTTTCTGATTTAGTCTCTGAAGAAGCCCCAAAATTGTATGTTGAGCATCCATATTCCCCCAAAATCACAAGCAACCCCAAATCATTTTTTAAAGACAAAGACATACGCTTGTGTTCCAGAAGATGCCATTTGTAAAGGCTACAATGTGAATGGTGACACCTGAATTCGGATGACACTGCCATCCTACTATTGCTTATGTTCTCCCAGACCTTGATCTGAGAACAAAAGGGAATTAATAGTCACTATGTGAAGCTTTTTGCCACCTTCTTCATTATGCCTTCTCCCTACCTTCTGTTTTCTCTGCTGGCAAAGGCAATGCTATGTGCCCACCAAAATCTATGTTCTTTTTTTCTTCCTGAATACATCACTGGACTATTCTTTGCAAGGCCCTTGCATCTAGATGGACCATGTAACTAATTCTCTGCAATGAGGAAAAGTGACTTGGGTCACCCCCTGGGTTAAACAGCTTAAGAGTGGATACGTCTTCTGTGTTTCTTAAGTTGCCAGAAGGATGTAATGGAAGATACTGAGGCCCCAGAAGATGCAAAAGTCACTAGATGGAGGTGGTTGAAACCCTGATGACTGAGTGGAGCAGAGCTCTCCTACAGTTCTGCACTGGAGAATGACATAAAAAAGACATACTTTTGATGTGTTATGCCAGTGAGAAGTTGGAATTGTTTCTTATAGCAATTACCATAAGTTGGCTTATATACCTTCCTGATGTCTCAGATTTAACCTTTGTCCCACTGCTCAAGGAATTCTATTAGAGATCTCCAACAAAGCCTGACCCACCCCCCACCCCTACATCTTCTAATCAAAGTATGTGTGCTCCCAGTCCCATTCTATCAGGACTCTGCTCTCTGTGACCTGATAATTTTTTATCAAGTAACCCAGAATCTCATGTAATAGCTGTTAATGGGTTAGTGAATGCCAGCCCTCTTAGAGATAAGGGAATCTGGATGAGGACAGAGCTTAGGAAGTCTCATATCTGTAACAGTACTGTTGGCATTTAGTAAGGACTATCAGGCCAGAAACGAAGAGATGATCTAATGGTTTTGCAAATCAGATACACTAGACTGAGAACTCTATGAAGCCAGGAACTGGGTCTGCCTCAGGGAGGAATGAGTTCAAGTCACAGCTTTGCCATCTACCAGCTGTGAAGGTAAATTTCTTCTCTGAGCTGAAGTTTCCTCATTTTTAAGTGGGAATGGAAGGTAATACTAGCTTCTTCATTGAGTTGTTTAAGGATTCAATGAGATTGGGTATGCAAAGTGCTTAATGTACTGTCTAGCACATAATAATCACTCGGTAAGTGATAGCTACTATAATAGGATGGATACAACGTTAGAATTAGTCAAAACCTTGGGGATCATCTTATCCACCTCATGTATAGATGATGAGCTAGAGGCCCAGATAGGAATTTTTTCCTTGTCTGAAAACTCAGACCCAAATTAACTAGTTCCCTGAAACCCTCAAAGATTGTTCCCACTTGAATTTTCTTGGCCCTTGGACATGAGATTTGGACGGTGCTCTCTGGACTTGCCCCTTTGTTGAGACGCTGCTATAGTAATGTCCTCCTGAATATCCTATTGGAGTTGGATGGGGAACAGACTTGTCCCAATTTTAACCTTCCCAACAGAACCATGTGCAACTCAAGGGAGCACAGCTCCTCTGTCTCTAGCGCCCTAGTGCTCCAGCCAATCAACAGTGGACTCTCTGGCCATGTTCTCCACTGGCTAGACTAGTGGTCTTAAGACATTTGGCCGGGCGCGGTGGCTCATGCCTGTAATCTCAGCACTTTGGGAGGCCGAGGCGGGCGGATCACGAGGTCAGGAGATGGAGATCATCCTGGCTAACACGGCGAAACTCCGTCTCTACTAAAAACTAGAACAAATTAGCCGGGCGTGGTGGCTGGCGCCTGTAGTCCCAGCTACTTGGGAGGCTGAGGCAGGAGAATGGCGTGAAACCGGGAGGCGGAGCTTGCAGTGAGCCGAGATCGCCACTGCACTCCAGCCTGGGCGACAGAGCAAGACTCCGTCAAAAAAAAAAAAAAAAGAAAAGAAAAGAAGACATTTGAAGCCGGCACGGTGGTTCACGCCTGTAATCCCAGCACTTTGGGAGGCCGAGGTGGGCAGATCACGAGGTCAGGAGATTGAGACCATCCTGGCCAATACGGTGAACTATCCTTGCCAACACGGTGAAACCCCGTCTCTACTAAAAATACAAAAAAAAAAAAAAAAAAAAAAATTAACCGGGTGTGGTGGCAGGCGCCAGTAGTCCCAGCTACCCGCAAGGCTGAGGCAGGAGAATGGCGTGAACCCGGGAGGCGGAGCTTGCAGTGAGCCGAGATCACGCCACTGCATTCCAGCCTGGGTGACAGTGTGAGACTCCGTCTCAAAAAAAAAAAAAGACGTTTGAAACTGTCTGGCTGTCTAGTTTCACTTTTATTTCCAAAGAAAAATAATCATGGCATACTTAAGTCAAACCTTAATGAACTGCTTAGTTAGCATCAGAGGAGTCACTGGATATGACACATGAATCTGACCTTTTTTTAATTCTTCACAAGTATCTCAATTCCTGTATACTCTATCAATTATTCAGGTTTCTACTCCGGATCAAGGTTAGTCATGGCACTAGTTCCTAATCTAACAGCTGTACAGAAGCTTTCCTACCCTCTTTCTTCCCAGAGCTGTAATCAAATCGATAACCACAACTCTGGCTTCCTGGCCTGGGGCTGATGCCACCATCCCACCACAGCCACTAGAAGAATGGCAATGCTGAGGGCTTTATTTTTCACAGAAAGAGATCTCACTATTGATCACTAAAGCAAAGAAAAGCTGGTGGCAGGATGGGGGAGCTAATGGAAAGAGATGAGATAAAATCCAGCTGGGCGTCCCTGAGGTCATTCTGTGGATAACTGAAGGAAGTTCAGGTGAGAATCTGAGAAGGCAAATAAAAGAACCCCATTTCTGCAAGCACTGCACGGAATATCTGACAGCCCTTGCTGTCTTGGTGCATGTTATCTTTTTTCCAGCTGAACTACCTAATGATCAAACATGACACACCTCATGCTTACTAGCCTTTGTTCAGGAAGTATTCTGAAATTTGCTACCCAGCTGGAGGCTAAGACTGTGTACATTCTTTTCACTTTACTAGGAAATGCTTTTTTTTTTTTTTTTTTTTTTTTTTTTAGCAGAAGTGCCTGTATGTGCTATTACTGCTGTGCCTATGTGCCTTGCTTTATGCAGGTAGGTTCAAGAACAGTTCCCTCAACTGTATTTTTGTAAATCAAATTATATTTCCTCCTTGCAGCACAATACAATTACAGAGCAACTTTATCCTCATTTGGGCTCTAGCCTCAACTAATAGAGGCTTGAAGATTTGTGTCTGCTTCTGATTCCCAGTCCAATAGTTAATGCTGTGAAAACAAAGGCTTCCAGCACAAGAGACCCTGATATTTTGGAGGACTCTTTTAGAAATAACAACAATGTCAACAACTGCAGCTGTCATTTTGCTGATCACTGCCTATGCATCACTTTGGGCAGGTTACCTGTGTTATCACATTTAATCCCAGGAGTTTTTTTTTTTTTTTTTGAGTTAGGTGTCTTTATCCACATTTCACAAGCGCAGAAACTGGGTCTCCCAGAGATTAAGTAATTTGACAAAGCTCATGTGGCTACTTAGCAGTAGGACAGGGCTACCATCCCACAGAAGCCTGTTTGACTTCAAAGGTTTGCTCTTTCATATATTCCACTACCTCTCTAGTTTGGTGTAGCAAGGTGAAATTTGCTGTCACTTTATCTATAGTTGTAAAATGGGGGAGGGATATCTAAATGAAATGCTATAATCACTGCCTGGAGTTTAGTCTTTACTCTGTACTAACTTGCTGTGTGAATTTTGGCAAACAGCTTTGTTTCTCTAGTTCTCTTAGTTCTGTCATCTGTAAATTTAGGAGATTGATTCAGGTAATATCTAATGTCATTTTTTTCCTCTGGAAGTTCATTGCTATATATGCTTTCACATTCCTAAGAGAAGCACATTAATCTTTAAAATCCACTTAGGTGCCTTTTGCTGCCACAAGTCTTTTACAAGTTTTTCCAAAATGGGTTATATTTTGCTGCATCGATCAGCTATGATGTAAAACTGATCACCATGAAATCTACACATGCAAACCCTTTGTCCTGATATTTTAAGCTAGCACATTTTGTTATAGTCTCAGTACAGCCAAATGAACATTTTGACTGAAGTTTTCACTTTTCAGCAGATCATTTTGACTTCCTTGTCTAAATGTCTTGTCTTTGCCAATACAATGATATCCTACCTGGAAAATGGCTTTTTGTTTCCAATTGACCTTTTTGAAAGCAACAAAGAGGCTCTGGCAGGCCTGTCATTAACCCTGAAGTAGTTAAAAGCAGGATGCCAGGAGCATCTCAAGCATCACAGATGCACTGTGCCTTGGGTTTGATTTTTCTCCCAGCTCTGCTGCACTTTCAGGAAACGATCTGGAACACCAGCCTCTAAAAGGAGCTGTGCTCCTGCATACCCAAATGTGGTTCAAAAACCATGTAAATAAATATACATGAACTGAACTGAAACAGCTGGGGAGTTCTCAGCAGGGACCTCTAATGACCTCTGAATTGGAAGGGACACAGCTGATCAAGGAATCATTACTAAGATTAAAGGCTTATACCAAAACCACTGTGAGACTTAAGCTACTGAATTTACAATGTTGATGGCATATACTGGAAAGCACTAACTAGCCATATTAATGTGCTGCTTGAAAGTCAGAAGAAGCAGAGAAAACTGAGTTATTTTTCTACCCTTTGCTGCGCTTGCAGTAGAAACATGACAGTTGAGCTTTATGAGATGAATTGTTTTGCTTCACAGTCTCCATTATTATTGACGCAGGGAAGTCTTGCCCTTTGCATAGGTTGTTTAGAGCACAGTGAAAAAGAAGTAAGTGTTTGAGTTCAACCAAAAGTGTCCATGTCAGGAATCTTGACCATCAGGCATGCCAGGATCTTAGGAAGAAAGCAGAGAAGACTGGGACAGGGGAAGTTTGAGGACAAGGGAAATGACTTGGTGTAAGGGAGAAGGCTGTGCTTTAGTCAGGAGTAGGCCAAGGCAGCCTTCCAGTGCAGCATGACTCAGCAGGTTTGGAGTGCAGGTGCACAACCTCACACATTATGTAACCATGCCACATGAGACGCATAGGTAACCACTCACGTGAGCTCATGGTTGGCTCGGAGCCACTATTGTCTGCAAAAAGTATAACTACCCTGCTGACACTGTACACATGGCTTGCTTCCACCCAGAGAGAGAATAAAGCCATGTCAAAACTGCCTATGATTCATAGAGTGTTTTTCCAGTTACCCACCACTTGCCCACCCACTCCCCTCGGACCTCAGCTTAGGCTGGAACCTGACACTTGGCTATGTGGTTTGGCTTATAAATGGTGGTTGTAGAGTAGGGGGATGCTCACTAGTCTAATAAACTTTCAAACTTCAGCTCGATTTGGGCAGGAGTTGCCATCTTGGAAACGATGGGAAGTCAAGTCCACAGAATAGGGTACAACATCAGAAATCTCCAGGTAATGGCAATACCCACAATTAAAGATGTAGTATAAGGAATTATGGTTCCAGACAGTTTGAAGAAAAGATTTCACAAAACCTAGGAGTTGAGTGACAGGTTTCAGCTCCCAAGAGAATAGAGCTAACATATGGGCTAGGGAGGCAGGAGATAAGGGTCACAAGGTAAGATGGAATTAGGGAAGGTGAGTGCTAGTGGGGTACTCAGCTCTCCCTTCTTCCTCTGACTTTCAAGCAGCACATTAATATGGCTAGGTAGTGCTTTCCAGTTTATGCCATCAACTAGACAGGAATCATGAGGTCTGCAGATTGAGTACACCTGGAGAAAGTAGGAGCAGCTGAGGTCAGTGGGCATGAGAATGGGCTTACCACATGCACACTGAGTTTTTGCACTGTCAGGATTACATAAAATACTGAGGCAGGCAGAAACTTGAAAACATCAGCTGAGAGAAAATTGAAAAAGCTCCCAACCAGAGGGAGCAGATGAGAGGTGCAACCCATCCCTGGCTACTGGGCAAAACACTGCTCAAAGTCCTAGCCTCACCTCACTGCATACAACACATCCTGTTACCATTAATTAAATTTTCTCTGGGCCATAGATACATCTGTTTTAAATCATTATTTCAATAATTAAGTCCAAGTATTTCTTACATCTTCTTCTACATATGTCCAGTCATACTAGTGTCAGGAATCAACTTTTCTGCATGACCTTGAGCATAATCCTTTGCTCTTCTGAATTCCTTTAAAGTAACAACAGGATGTTAGTAACCAAACTAATCTCATAGGGTTACTGTGAAGATTAAGTGATATAAAGTAAAGCACTAGTATAGTAACTGATGCGGAGTAAGTTATACAAAAACAATATTTAAAAAGAACTCCTTAAGCTTTTAGGAAAACCCTCTTCCCCTGGAAAATGGGTTTAGCAAAAGCTAACAATCTAATAGGAAGCCTACTGAGGCTAGTAATCTGCCATCAAGCATTCGGGACATATGCATGGAATAAAATAAGGATTACCAAAGAGAAAAGGCCTTTCTTGTCAACAATACACACCAAAGGTAGAATAGCAAAAAGAGGTATAATGTGCATCTCTCACAGTCAGAAATTTTAAAAAGCAATAAATGAGAAATAAAACTGGTGCCAGAAAATATGTACAAATGTTAAGAAGTGGGTTAAGTTTAGTGCTCTGGCAGGGAGCAGTCGGGAAGAGATGCTCTGACAGTCTTCTATTGGGACATATTGAGCTTCTGATCTTGGAGAAAATCAGGGAGAATAGAATATTCCTCCTACTCTTGTCTTCTATCAAGACCAGACCTCTAATAACCTCAGCAGCACCAACAATGGGCTTATCTTTCATAGAATAGTAGTGCTCCAGGGAATGAAATGAAGTGGAGTTGCATGGGGCAGATAGATCAGGATCAATCCCAGGCTATTTTTCTGGTCTCCCCTGTAACCTCAAAAGGTCTAAGATTTGCCTTTTGTTTCACAGCACTGATAAGCCTATTGAGATTTTACGGGACCCTTGATCCCTTCAAAATCTCCATATCTTCTTGCTGAGGCCTGAAATCCCTTTATACATGGAAAAACTCATTGTGGAATTAAAAAGCAAATGTCTATAGTCAAGGGAACATTTTGGAGTAGGTAAATTTCTCAATCCCAGATTCTAAAGAATGACATCCAGTTCCTTTCCTATTTGGATAAGGGAGCAAGTTGGTTATCCAGTAAAATGGCAGAGGGACCCTATGGGGTGGTAAGTCTACCTCTGAGTGAAAAAAGAATGGTCCAGATGGACACATTTCTAGTTGCGCCATATCATAATGTATCCTTCAGCTAAAGGGGAGGATTGTATTAGGATTGTATTAGGTAGTGGGGAATGCAAAAAGAGAAGCTGTGCACCAAGACATTTCTATCATAAGATTGCAAAGCAAACTGTTTCATATGCCTTATAAAACCTTAGGTATTTTTATTTTTAATTAGCAGCCTTCAAATAATAGAGAAGCATTGCTGGAAGTTTTCTTGATAGAAGTGTCCCTGGGGATGCAAACAGAAACCATCATGGCCTCTGGGGCAATCAGAGCACTACTAAAATGCAGAGATCTTCAGTCCTGATGAGACTATCCTCTTGCATTCACATGACTCATGCTGTTTCAAGTACAATGTATGATCTGGAGCAAGGCCTAGAAATCTGTAAAAGCCTTGGGTAAGTGCAATGAGCCCGGTATCTACTCTACTCCTAACAATAGGAGGCTCAAAAAATAAAACATGCTATAAGGTTCTAGTATGGGGTAGGGTAAGGAGGGGCTTACACCCAAAGATTAAGGGACAAAGAAGAGAAGGCCAAAGCAGTTAGTTCTTCTTTGGTTGTAAGTACCGACTCCAGGAAATGCCAAAATAAAGAAGAGGCAGTGACATATCTACAGTTTTGCCTACATTTCAGTCATACCTTTCAGTTTGATTTTCCTCCTAAAAAGTGCATTTGATGGGTGTACCACTGAGATAGCATCTGAGTTCAGCAACATAATTTCTTGCATAGGGTTTCATATGCATTTTTGCTCATGCTGCTTTAATGTGAATTTGTGTGTGTTTCCTGTGCTTACATGATATTTTACCCTGGTTGAGTTGGTGAGATGTTCACTGTGAACAAACCACGGCCTAAAAAGAAGCTGAGAACTCAAGCTGGGTTGTGTTTTGTTTTGTTTTTGTTTCTGTTTTTTAACTTTTATTTTAGGTTCAAGGATACATGTGCAGGTTTGTTATACAGGTAAATTGCGTGTCACAGAGGTTTGGTGTACAGATTATTTCATCACCCAGGTAATGTGTAGCACCTGATAGGTACAACTAGCACCCGACAGTTTTTCAATCCTCACCTTTCTCCCACCCTCCACCCTCTGGTAGGCCCCAGTGTTTGTAGTTCTCCTCTTTGTGTCCATGTGTTCTCATAATTTAGCTCCCACTTACAAGTGAGAACATGAAGTATTTGGTTTTCTGTTTCTGTGTTAGTTTACTAAGTATAATGGCTCCAGCTCCATCCATGTTGCTGCAAAGGACACAATCTTGTTGTTTTTATAGCTGTGTAATATTTCATGGTGTATATGTACCACATTTTCTTTATGTAGTCTATTCTTGATGGGCATTCAAGTTGATTCCATGTTGTTGCTATTGTGAGTAATCCAGCTAGGTTTTGTAAGCAACATGATTTCTGTACCCAGAACTGATAAATGCCTGTCCAGATGAGGCCCACTTTGGGCTCTAAGCCTTACATACAGCTGCAAGATAGTTTAACAGATGGTTTTTTAAACTATAAGTCAGGACCAGCATTTTTAAATGGAGTGGAATGAAAAAGAATGGACTATCCTATGGAAAATCCAAGAGTCTGTCACATAGGGTAAGGCTAAGCTTTTCTGGGTAAAAATTTGTTTCAGTTAAGTGTACATATATAATATGTACATAGATATATATGTATGTATATAAAATACAGGTCACAATACTAGGTCACAATGAAGAATGTATTTCTTACTGTGAGTCGCAGTTGAAAGTTTGAAAAACACTGGTTAAAGTTAAACTACCAAGTATGGTGGTGCCAAAATTGTTATCTCAGCCATTTCCCTCTGAAGACCTTTCTGAACCACTATCTCGCATAAAACATTTCAAAATCAAATATTAAATTAGAGAGTTCCCCTCAAAAGAAGATAATACTGCCGGAATCCAAAGACATCAATGGGAACATACTGGCAAAGACATATCCCTCCTCATAGATTTGTGTGTTCCTTTGTTACTACAGTAAACATTTGTCTACCTACTTAATAGAAGTTTCTTGCTTCAGAAGTGCTTTGATCTCTGGCTCACAGTTATCCCATATACAAAATGAAAATAATAGTAGTATCTATCTCAAAGAGTTGTGAGAAATGTATAAGACAGTGTGATGATGATGATGAAGATGATGATAGTTAACAGTTACTAAGCTTATGTTAAATGTTAAGCACTGGAGCTATATGGCATATAAGATAGGCACAATTACTGGCACATGGTAAGCGATCACTAATTTTAGTCACTTCCACTTGCCCTCCCTCTAAGGTCATTTCCAAACTTAATAGCTTATGATTCCAGAAGAACCAATTAATGGTGAATGCAGACTTGTCATCTGAGGACCTCAGACTCATGCCAGGCACCCAGTTGCTTAGTGGGCAGGAATCTGTTATAGTAAACAATGAGATATCAGTGAGAGCAGACAATCTTGGATGGTGGTGCAGGAGAGACCATAGTAAGAGAAATTTAATCATGATGAGAGTAGCTATGGAGGGTTTTACTAAGTCCTGACCATCTATAGCAGGAGCCTGACCATATCACCGTCCCGCATAAAATATTTCAACACCTTCCCATTGTCCCTGAGAGAAAACTCAAGGACCTTAACATATTCTATAAAGCCCTCCTTGTTATGACTCTTGCTTGCCTTTCCAGCCTCAGCTTAGCCACTCCCATTCAGGTACCCTATAGGCTAGACACAACATGCCAAGGCCATTTCACCAACACACTATGAATGTTCACCCTCCATGACTTTCTTCATATTGATCTCTTTAACAGAAATGCCTTTCTCAACATTTATGTCCAATGAACTCAAAATATTTCTTCAGGACCTGGCTGCAAAACATGTTTTCTATTGAGTTTTCAGCTGCTATTATCACCTCCAAGGCAGCCTACACTCTTATATTCTATGTTCCTATAGCACTTTGCCCCCCGCTTTATTAAAGCTATCATCTAGTATTGCAATTGTTTATTTTCATGTCTGTCTCTCCCACTAGACTAACGTCTATTAGGACAGAGATCAAATCTGACTTAAGTATCATTGCCTCCTTGACAAGATGTCTGGCTTTGAGTAAGTGTTGAGTGAATGTCTGTTGTATGAATAGACATGCAGAATTGTGGTTTATAGAGGCTGAAAGGAGCCTATTATAATCGGTGATAAATAAAAGGAACCTATTGTTACTTGTTTATTTTCTGTCTTCCTCATTGTAAATTCCACGACAGCAGGCACCATGTCTGTCTTATTCATCACTGTGTCCCCAGCACCCAGCACAGTGTCTGGAACACAGTAGGTACTCTGAATGGCTTAATGCATGAATAATCTAAAGCAAAGTTTCCAAACCTCAGCACTATTTTGGGCTGGATAATTCTTTGTTACAGAGTGTCTGTCCTGTGCATTGTAGAATGTTTAGCAGCATCCCCAGCCTCTATCCAGTAGACACCAGGACACTACTACCACACAGTCCCAGGTGTGACAACCAGTAAGGTTTCCAGACACTGTCAAATGTCCCGTATTGAGCAAATTTCCTCTGCCTGAGAACCATTTACCTGAAGAAAGAGCTGTTAGTGGACAGCAAAAATAAATTCTACCTGCTACTCAGAGGGTGGGCCTTTTCAATATCCAAATTAGCAAATCCCTTCTCTTGTCTATCTTTCAATGACATTAAAGAGAACAAAGAGGGAGATGAGAAACAGCCAAAAATCCCAGGTTCCTGGGACCAAAGCATGCCTATGTCTATTCTCCTGTCTTGACAGCCAGCTGTAACCCCAATTGACCAGCACAGTGTTTCTTCTGTTCACCTTCCACCTCACTTCACATTGCCTATGAAGACAATTCCATAGTGGCTGCAGATATTAGTCTTTATTCCAGGTAACTGCCTAACATGCATTCAGTGCTCCATAGGACATTGATTAGCATTGTGTTTGGTACGCATCCACAGCATTCATTAAGACATGACCTGTTGGAGGCAGTTGCTATTCTGCGGGTGTAGAAACAATGAATCATCACAAGGGTTTCCTCCCATTGCTTTACTAAGTCCCCTGACACCTTGGCTTTTATTCAGGCTTTCTTGAGTTTCTCATTCCTGAGACCCCCATTCTTGAGATTCAATCCTTCAAAAGATAATCAGAAAATGAAAGCCATAACAAGAATCACGTTTGCTTATGTTCTTCACTTTATCTTCAGTGTCCTCCCCTTTCAAATCTAATATTTGGTGAATGAATGAATAAATTATGGTCAGTTCTTTAACCAAAGATTAATCAAACTGGAAAAAAATAATGGTTACCTGGTCTAAGCCATTTATCTTTTAAGAAAAAAAATAAAACCCAGAAAATATATATGATTTACCAAAGATAATAATCAATGAGTGGTAAAGTTGGAACTAGAACTCAAATCCTCATACTCCTATCTGGTACTGAATCAGGCTCATAGGTTATATACAAAAGGGAGTACAGGTGCCCCTATAGGAAATAAGTGAGACTTATCTGCTGATATCAGGCTGATCCTTGTAATAGGCCAAACAGGCAAAGTTTTGATACCTAGTACAGTTTTTTGTACATGGAAGGTGCTCAACAAATGTTTGTGGAATAAATAGTTGAATGAGATACAACGTGGAATGGTGTTAAGGGTCCTGCTAAAAAGTTCTATGTTGCAGGGAGGCATCCATTGTGGGAAGCCACAGGCAGCTACCGAGACAAAATTAAGAAGATTCCTTGAACTAGGAGTCCAAGGAGATCAAATTTTGTGGGTGGCCTGGGGACCTAAATTTTGTCTCCTCACAATTTAGCAGAAGGTTAATCCAGTGTCTGGTAAAGAGAAAAGTGTTCACTTGTTAATAATCAAGTTACAGAGCATGAGTCTGAGGCAGAATTTACCTGTAGTTCTACATGGGCATCCGTGTCTATGGCTCTGTGTACCTTTCTCTCCCTTTCCACTAGAATGTTTTCTGTCCTTCTTCAGCTCTCCTCCAGTGCCCATAATTCTCAAGTCTAAGATAAAGCCCCCAAAATCCTGAAGGTATTTACTCTGCTTATGGTGTGGCCATTCTGTTCTTGGGGGCTTTTTTGTCCATTTTGTAGCATATACGCTTTTAAAAGAAGTGACTCCAATAACAAAATCATATTACTAGGTCTCTCTCTCTCTCTCTCTCTCTCTCTCTCACACACACACACACACACACACACACACACACACACACACATACACAGCCCATACTAAATCAGTGACTAAGCAAATTTATTACATTACTCTTGATAGATAGCCTCATTAAATTTTCATAAAGGATCTGCATTAATAAAGTCACTACCTTCTTCACAGGGGAAATGGTGTTCGTGGTGGCAGAGGCTAGGATAACGTACTCACTTAATGAAACGCACTGTGCTAAGTCCCATTTTTAAAGAGGGAGAGGAGTAATGAAGTAGGTGACCTGTTTTGAGAAAAGCATGAAACCAGAGATCTTGCAGGAAGCCCTTAGATGAGTGCCCCATGCCTAATGTTCAGTTCTGCTCCTCCTGTGTCTGGAAGTGTTTGTTGTTTGGTTGCCTCATCCCTAAAATATTATTTTTATATTTCTTTCTTTTTTTTTTTTTGAGATGGAGTCTCACTCTGTCGTACACAGGCTGGAGTGCAGTGGCGTGATCTCGGCTCACTGCAACCTCCACCTCCTGGGTTCAAGCGATTCTCCTGCCTCAGCCTCCCAAGTACCTGAGATTACAGGCACCCGCCATCACGCCTGGCTAATTTTTTATATTTTTAGTAGAGACAGGGTTTCACCGTATTGGCCAGGCTGGTCTTGAACTCTTGACCTCAGGTGATCCGCCTGCCTCTGCCTCCCAAAGTACTGGGATTACAAGCGTGAGCCACCGTGCCGTGCCCAGCCCTTATTATTTTTATCTTGAAGCTAAAAGCCCTAGACTAAATCAGATGTGGGTAAAGTTGCTAGCTTTTTAAATATCTTCTACTCTAGCACCAGACACTCAGCGGCCTTATGTCTTGGGTGCTTCAAGCTCCACACTGTGGTGCCCCATCTAGATTTGTTCATCACCCTAAGGCTAGAGTCTAGCTTTTTTCCTTATGCTCATCAAAATTTTTCTCTCCTGTATCAACATATCTCTGGCCCAGTGTTCTGTGAAGTCTGTACTTATAAAACTGGTGTTAACAAACGTTTTGGTGTGGCAGAGTACCTGAAAGTCACAGCTCGCTTTATGGAATGCCATGGAATGCTGATGCATTAAACCTAAATGTAGCATTTTGTGCAAAATATAACATGTGGGTTACCAAAGAATTATAGCGTTTTCTGCACATTCTGCCTATATAGAGTTAGCTTCAGGTCACAGGATTGTTTCAAGGCAGTTCTGTAACAGAGAGAGGACACAGTCTGGAGTAATGACAATTTCCCGAAAGAGAAAGATCCACAGAAGACAATATCCCTTCCTTTAGTTCTCATTGTACTTGAGTTCCGGCTAACGTATCCTTTCTTTCCTCCATGTGAACAAAAGCTGAGAGGCTGAGGTCCTGAGTATCCTTTGTCTTCTACATAACGAGTTTAAGACTGTATGGAATCATTATTTTTTTAGACAAAAGTAGAAAAGCGAAACCAGGGACTGACTAATGAGTGAAAAGCAAAAAGAAAACATACAGAATAGCAATACATGCTTTGTAGAGTAGGAGCAGGTCATGGCCAGAGTCAGAAAGATGCCTTGAAAAATTAAACCTCAAATTCCATGCTGTGCAAGGACTAAAGTAAATGTCTGTAGGTCATTTCAGTGTCAAAGGCAGTGGGAATAAAAAGGACAAGGCCCAAGAGCTAAAATGAGAGAAGCAATAGAGTAAGTGGCTATGAGGGAAATCTGCATGTTCATTTGTGAGTGTGTGTGTTCATTTTATAAAGAATAACAGTAGAAGTAGTGGAGGAAAAGTAGTATTTATCCAAAGCACAAGTAATGGCTAATGTTCACAATCCAGAAGACCAATTAACTAAAGCACAATTCGCGTATCCATGTTTTATGCTAAGTATGAGGATGTATAGCTACATAACCTTGGGACAGTTATTTAACCACTAAGTTTCCTCATCTGTAAAATGGGCATAATAAGTGTACCATATTTCCAGAATGGTTATGAGAATTAAATAAGACAACATAGATAAAGCTCCTAGTGCATTGCTATTGTCTGAATGTGCCCCCAGAATTCATCTGCTGAAAACTTAATCCCCAGTGCAACAGTGGTAGGAGGTAGGGCCTAAAGGTAAGTGTTTAGGTAATGAGGGCTTCTCACCCATAAATGGATTAATGCCATTGTGAAAGGGGCTTGAAGGATTGGGTTCACTCTTTCCCACTCTTCTGCTATGTTAGAAAATAGTGTTTCTCTCCTCTAGAGGGCGCAGCCTTCAAGGAGCCCTTTTGGAATTAGAGAGCAGACCCTCCCCAGACACCAAACGTTTTGATGCCTTGATCTTTCACTTCCCAGCTTCCAAAACTATAAGAAAGAAATTCCTGTTCTTTATAAATTACCCAGTCTGCGGTATTCTGTTATTGTAGGATGGTGTCTAAGATACACAGTGTCAAGTACATCACAGATGCTCAATATATAAAAGGATATTATTAGTACTGTCATTATAAATGAGTTTAGATAGGATGACGAATTTTGATTATAAGTCTTGACACAGAAAACCATTTGCCCAGCCTAGAACACTTTTAAAACCATATCTAAAAATCAAATGTATCTTTCAGAAGTCAAGTATTTTCATTTATTCATGGACAATTGCAGATTTAAGATGAGGGGGAAACATTTTTTTTAATATTAGCTTCAGCAAAAGAAGTTTGGATAAGACCCTAAAGTTACCTTGAAAATATTTATTTTACATATGTAAGGATCAATCGGGCTGTCTCTGTTATTTATCATAACACCTCCTCCCAAAAAATCCTAGTTCAAAACTCAGTCTAATTGACTGCTTAGAATCAGAAGGTCAACCAGAAAAAGGAAGAAAGAAAAAGCTACACTTACTTGACCAAATTCAAATTCCTTTAGGGTTTGTTCGTATTAAGTTTTCTCAAATTGTATACAAATCCACAGCTGTAGCAAACCCCAGAGTCTGAAAAGAGGGCTGTTAAAAGTTCAAATTAGAAAGAAGCTTAACTAATTTGGCAGTCTCTGAAGTGCCAAAAGTGTCGTTGAGAAGCAATAGTACTAAGGGCCTGTCAAAATATCAGAAGTCAGACAGTGAACTATGTAGGCGACAAGGTTAAATACCATCAAAGAGAAGGACTGAAAGAAGGTCAATAATTGCCTGGACAGGAAAAGAAGATGAATAGAATTTTCTTTTCCTTGCCCACACCACCACAGACCTCTGCCAGATGGAAAGGTATTGATAGAATTTGAAGTGACCAGGAAAAATGCAGAAGGTGTGCCCTCAGCTTCACAACTTGAACCATGAAATGTAAAAAGAACCAGTGCGGGGCAGGTTTTATAACTCTTAGCTCCCTAGTCTGAGCATAGCCAACTGAAAATATAGAGCTCCTACACACAAGACATGTTTGATGCACACGACTGATATTTAACATGTGAATATAAATCATCATAAAAAGGTTTATTAAACCATAAGGGACAGGGGTTGAGTTTAATTAAATGTGCTAGATAAATGTTTACACCTAAAACCATTAATACTGAAAATCCTTCAAAAGTTAATTTGTCAGTTTTTTTGTATGTGTGCTATATTTCACAATAGATTAAAAACATAAAAATTATATATATGTGTGTATATATTTGTGTGTATATATATTGACAATGGATTAGTCCTATAGTCTTTTATCGTGTCTTAGTAAGTTTTTGAATAAAGCTTGTTGCACCTCTATTGCTAGAGAATTTTATGGAGTTTCAGAGTTATCATTCTGCAAATCACTGATCCCTATCCAGGCATCTTTGTGAAAAGTAGAGTAAAGTAGTCCTCCCTTATCCAGTTTTGCTTTCCATGGTTTCAGTTACCTGCCATCAACCACGGTCCAAAATTATTAAATGGGAAATTCCAAAAACGAATTCATATATTTTAAATCGCACACTATTCTGAGTAGTGTGATGAAATCCTGAGCCAAACCACTTTGTCCTACCTGGGGCATGAATCATCTCTTTGTCCAGTGTATCCACACTGTAAACACTACCCATCCATTAGTCAGTAGCCACCATCTATGTTATCAGATTCGCTATTGCAGTATTGCCATGCTTGTGCTATGTAACCCTTATTTTACTTAATAACGGCCACAAATCACAAGAATGGTGATGCTAGCATATTGTTATAACTGTTCTATTTTATCATTAGTTATTATTGTTAATCTCTTACTGTGCATAATTTATAATGTAAGCTTTATCATAGGTATGTATGTATAGGAATAAATATTGTATATTTAGGGTTCAGTATTATCCATGGTTTTAGGCATCCGATGGGGTCTTGGAACATATCCCCAGCAAATAAGGGGGAACTACTGAGCTAAGGAAACCAGTACCTCCCTTATAGTTATTGTGAAACTTTATCCTAAAAGCTGAAAAAAAAATTAAAACCACAAACAAAAAAAATAATAATAAAACACATACACACAAAGAAACAACAATCGCTGTTTACAATGTATAGTGATGAACAATAGTCGATCCATCTTTTATTCCCCTTTCCTTCTCTTCCCAAAACTGTAATTCTTGTCACCCTATAGATAAAAGTCAATTCATATAGCAGACGTATATGGAGTTTCTATTTTCTTTTAGACACTGTGCTAGATGTCACAATGATTACAAACATAAGTCACTATCCCAGCCTTCATTGAACTCATGATATCTTAGCTGAATCATTAGAATCGATTATACTGACTAAATGCAAAAGGCTAATGGGGTTATAGTAACAACTGCTATCATCTATTGGGTACTTAATGGATGTTGAGTCATACATTAAATCCTTTAACCTTCTCAATAACTCTATGATATGAATATAATTAGCGTCCCAATTTTACAGAAGAAACTCACACACAAAGTAGTTGAATGAAGTACCAAGCTCACCCAGTAAGTGGTGGAACTGGGAATCAAACACAGCCTGATACCAAAGCCTGTGTTTTTCAATTTTCTTCTCTACTGCCTCCCATCAGGAGAATTTAGTTTGATTCAGAAAACAGAGGGACCCATTTGTTCTAGAAGTTCAGGGAAGGTGGTCTAGAGACATATTAAATGTTGTCTAGTAGCACTCAGAGCAGCACCCATGGTTGGACAGCTCTCACACTGCACAAAACGTATTCTGCCATGCTACAGCCCAACCTTCATTTCAAGTCTGCCTTCTTTTGACCCATCTTGGGCAAGGTCCTTTCTTTCCCACCTTTGAGCATTCTCCTAGGCCATCTCAAGTATCCAAACTTTAGATTCTAAAATAATTTTCCTTATTTTATTTCCAAACATTTCTTTCACAATGGACTCTACAATCACCCTTCACAATTATGCAATGTGGCCAAAACAGTTTCAGTAAAGCCAAAAGGAGGGAAAAATTGATCCAAGATCCTCATAAAACTATACCTAAATGAATATTCAGTATCCTAATAGGAACTAAATCCCTGGTCTACCAAGACAAAGCTTTAAATTATGATAACACTTTATAACATGCTGTTTTTATAAAACATGTCATCATTATTCAGTCCCTTTGTGCTAAATTAGGTGGGGATCTTGAACCCATTTCTATAAATTCCTGTTGTCAATCTCAGCTTCCCCATGATCACACATTATCCAGCACTTATTAGTTGCCCTTTCTCTGTGTAAGAATATTTCATAAAAGTCAGGGTTTTCTGGCAGCCACAAATAGCTACCACCAATGCTATGGGAACAATCTTATAGAAACCACACAGCTAATTAACAGGATGCTCATAAAACAGGAGAGTCCTAAAACACTGAAATAGAAAACACTGGCTGCTAAACTAAGAAACATGAGGCAGGGGTAGGGGGAGGAAGAAATTCTTATATGGCACCACACCTTCTCCTCTCACTGCATTATCTCAGAGTTTATCAATTCTGTTTTGGAAATTTTTTAATAATTGTTTTTAAAATATCTTTCACTGTAATAAACTTCCCCTACTCTTATGGCTTTCTTCTAACATATTTTTCAACATGGATGAACCTTTAGTGGCTGAATTTCAAAAGATATGTAAACCCTATAAGTGTCGGGCAAAATTCTGCATGTCTGTGAATGCGTAGGAGGTTCAGGGTTGGCTTTTCTCAGATTTTCAACATGGCCCTCTCCTAGATTACTGCTCTGAGAGAGGTTGTGAAGCCTAGTAAGAGAACATTTTCTAGATGATATTTGTGACCATGTCTAGCTAGGAATCCAGATTACTTCTGCTGGCATCATTTTCTACATCTTTGCATTTGCTGGAATGGAATTTCAAAGTCACATTAAACATGGGACGTTTTACTATAATACATTTCCTTATAGTAAAATTTTACTTCTGGTATTTCAGTCATTGTGGCAAGACTAGGATAAACTATCAAAAAGTCATCAAAATTGTCTTTAAAATACCAGACAGAAATGAAACTCCTGGAGCAAATATTGAGTCCAATGGACCATTGTTCTCTTTGATTAGAGTCTTCTTTCTTCCATGGTTTTCCACATGCTTTTGGGATGTATCCTAGAACCTCCTAAAGGACGCTCAGATAAACGGCCAACTAAAGATATTTGCAAAGATTAAGGAAGCTCAGCATTTGTTTACAGGGCATTATTTGCACCACACTGTATATTCACTGCCATGAAAGCAGAAAATAGTTGAATTAATCCTCACAAAGCAAATTAAGACAATATTGTGCTGGGTCACGTTTGTGGATTATCAGATTTCCATCCATCAATCTTGAGCTATTGCTCGGCAAATACTCAAAACCTAATTTTATACTCTACATAAAATTTGGACAAAGCCAATTGGATTCACTCTCATTTGTCAGGATTTCATTCTTCTTAACAAAAAATAAAGAAACTAAGACGTTTACATGATATAATGCTTATAACTGTGATTCAATGATAGATTTTATTTTTAGGTGCAATCACTTTTTAGTCATTCATGTGTAAAGAAGTGCTGAGGGAAAAATGCCATAGCTCATTGGGTTAGGGAGGACTGCATTCAGTTTTCCCTGGAACACAGCATGGTTGTCATCAATTTTATCTCAGGAGGAGGGTACACCATCAGTTTACACATTGATTGCAGCCACTCTTCCAGAGGGAGAATCAAACCCCTATTTTATTCTATTGTAGTTGGTTACAATAGAAGATCAGGTCAAAGAACTGCCTTACAGTGAAATTTGGTAGGCAGTCAACAACCAATATTGAGCACCCACTGTGTGCAGAGCATTAGGACAAAAGAATAATACAAATAGTCTCACTTGCGAGGGTATGGTCATTGACACTGACTATTGACTCAAACTTCACAAGAATGAAAGCAGGGCACATGATTTAAGTCATCCTTTCTTCTCATCTAAGGGTAGTACCTGTCATTGTTATTCCTCCAACTCAATGCCTCTCCTAAGTTCCCCAAGCCTGCTACTTTGAACATTATTACTTCTCCTATATTAGAAATGACAGCACTCTAATAAGGTAAGTGTGATTTTCCCACATGCAAGGCAGATAAATAGAGTGACTGCCATCTGGGATCTGAATGGAATGTAGGCCCTAAGAAATAGAAAAAGTCTAGAAAGAAAACTCATCTAGTTGTGGAAAGCAATGTGGTAAAGCTCATTGGGATTCATCTGCCTTTTCATTTTTCTACCTCCTTTCTCATGTAATTCTCCCCCACCCCTAGCCTCCCAGAGTCACCATCATCAACACTGCCTCTGAGCCCGGAGAGTCAAAATACTTTCCAATCATGTCATGGAGTGATCTCAACCCCTTCCCTATTATACACAGCTTGGGCAGGCACAGGGAGAAGGGTGGTTATTTTTAACGTCCTCTCTCTCTGTTTCAGCCATTTCAGAAAATGCTCAGGAAACAGGCCAGGATTTGCATAGCTCTGTGGAGAGTTGTTTAAGTCAGGCCAGACTAAAGAAAAGTATAGAGATCTAAGTTTATCTAAATATGTGCAACTAAATATGCAATTATTTTACATTTTATGTTACGTATTTCTCTATGTGCACAAGCATGATAGGAATAAAGAATTTTTTAATAAAATCTGAAGCACATTAACAAGGAAGTCAGTACATAATGAAGAGTATAACACAATAATGTTAACTGAGCTGGGGACTAGATGCTCAACCATAGGTAACTCAGTGAGAAGCGTTACAGTGCTGTTTGAATACCTTTCTAATTTTTATTTTTCTCATATGCAAAAGATACGGTCTTTCCCAATAATAATAACAATATCTTATTTCACAAGGATTCTGTGAGTGCATGTCCAATTTCATTGCATACAATGTCATTATTACAAATATTGTCCTTCAGAAAAAATAAAAAGAGGAGGTGGTAATAGTTCCCTTCTTTCAAGTATTTTTGCATTCATCCAGCTGTCTACTATGCAGGCAGCTTCACATACAAAGACCGTGTAAGTTTCCCAACCTCAAAGAACTTGGAATATCTCAGCAGGGAAAATTTGAAAAAAATTATAAACCAGCATGAGACAAATCTCCTGAGAGTTGTACGAAGAGGTTTAGGAATTCAGAAAGGAGTTATATCTTCTCTGTCTAGAGTAACGACAATGAGAACAGCTACCTTTTACTGAGTGATTAATATATCCCAGACATGTGGTAAGTCTTTCATGCTTTACACTTTATTTTTTCCTCACAATATCTACTTCACAGAGCTTTCCCCATTTTTCAGTTTACGGAACTGAGACTCTGAGAGGTTGGTAACTTGCTCAAAGTCACAGGGCATATTTAATAACTCACCCTGGAGTAGTTGAGCCACAACTCCAAAGTTCATATGTGAAGAGACGCCATTTGAAGTTCCCTCTAAAGGATGGGAAGGTTATTGTTGGGTGGGGATATGAAAGATGCTTCCGGGCCGGGCGCAGCGGCTCACACCTGTAATCCCAGCACTTTGGGAGGCCGAGACGGGCGGATCGCGAGGTCAGGAGATTGAGACCATCCTGGCTAACACGGTGAAACTCCGTCTCTACTAAAAATACAAAAAATTAGCCGGGCGTGTCGGCGGACGCCTGTAGTCCCAGCTACTCGGGAGGCTGAGACAGGAGAATGGCGTGAACCTGGGAGGCAGAGCTTATAATGAGCGGAGACTGCACTCCAGCCTGGGCGACAGAGGGAGACTCCGTCTCAAAAAAAAAAAAAAAAAAAAAAAAAAAAAAAAAAAAAAGAAAGATGCTTCCATATGGAAGGAAAGCCTTAAATAAAGCCACAAAGATAGGAAACAGCAAGATGTATTCTGAAAAGGATGAAAGAGGATTTTGACTTAAGCCCATAGGGAATCAGTAGTAGAACAGATAAGGTCTGGAACAGATTGTGGAAGGCCTTGAATGTCAGTGTATGGCCCATTCAGTGGGCAGCTAGGATCCAGCAAAGCTTTTGAGCAGAGAGATAAAGTAATCAACAGCAGTAGCTTAGGCAGATTCATCTGGAGAGGTGACAGGATGCATTGATGTGACAGAGGCAGGGAAATCAGTTAGTATATGCCAAAGCATATAAAATGGCAACAAGGGTATGAAGTGGTGACTATTGAGAGGAAGAAATACAAGACACCATCAAATAACAGTCAATAGACTTGGTAACTAGGGAGAAAGGGAAAGCTGGAATCAAAAGGCACTTAAGCTGCTGGACACAGCAATAAGAAAACAAAAAGAGTAGTTTGAGGAGAAGATGACAGGCTTGTTTTCAGATAGGTCAGACTTGAGCCATCTGGCACAACTAAGAAATCCAAAGCAGTAAATACATTTCTACTAGCCCTTGGACTAGACTTGCAGATTTTCACACATACAAATTAGGTGTCACAGCCCAATCTCCTTCAGAGCTCTTTGAACAAAGTATTTGTATTTCAGGAAGTGATGCTTAAGTAGGAAATGAATTGTCTCCCCACAAATCCACATTCAATCAGTTTACTGTATAGCCATTTTAAGCAATATCCCTACCAGAGAATCAAAAAAGAGATGCTTGTCTCACAGAAACATTCCCTTTTGTTAGCCTAGTAACAGTGAGTCATTACTTATTACCAACTTTGTCTTTGTCAGGACACAATGTAAAGTTGGCTGGGCATCGTTGCAGCAATACCATTCTGATTGGACTTACATGATTTCCTTGGCATTATAGTTGCTATTGAACATTCTTTTATCTTATCTAAAACATCAAATAATAACAAAACTCCCAAGTTTGTATAGTACATTATATTTCACAAAGAACATTCACACACTTATGATGTCATTTTATTTTCACAGCAATCCTGTTGATACAGATGTTATTATTATTATTTTATTAATGTAGAAATTGAGGCTCAGAAAGTTTCATAATTTCCCCAAGGTCACAAATTTAGTAAATTACAGAACAGGGATGTGAACCCAAGTCCTCTGACCTGCTATTCTTTCTTCTATACCACAAATCATCCTTCTTGTGTAAATAAATGTAATTACTTTCTATCAAAAGAATGACTTCCAACCACCACCACAATCCCTGGAAGCTACTGCAAAATCAATAGAGCTCTAGTTTATCCTCAGTGAAGTTAACTACAGCGGTTCATTTGAATTATCCTTAGTGTGTCATTAAAATAAAGAATTGACTTTGAGCAAACATTGGGAATCATTAATTACTAGCAGTTTATTATCAAATCTTTCATAACTCAATGCTAATATTAGCTAATATTTACTTAGTCATCCATTGGTCAAACAGTGAGTGAGCACCTACTATGCCCATGCACTGTGCTAGATGCCTGGGATGAGATGGTGCCTATGGTTAAATAGAGAGAACACTGAATTGAGAGTCAAGAGCTATGACTTCCAGTCTAGCTCAATCACTAATTATCTCTGTTCCCTTGGGCAAAACATTAAATGTCTTCTGAGCCTCATTTATTTACATGACTGTTGTATAATTCAAATGAGAAGAGGCATCTGAAAGAATTCTGAAAACTGTAACATCTGGAAAAATTTGAGGTGCAATAAAAGAAAGAACCACAAACTTGCAGAGTAAGACAAATAAGGGATGGGGTGGCAAATCTAATTAGTGAGTAATTTAAATAACAGAGTGCTTTTAAAGAACTTATGTTCCATTACTCTTGAGTACACACAGTAACAATTACAGTGACTGACTGTACGCTCAAACACTGGCCACACACACACACACACACACACTGAATTGAGACACACAGAAATATCCAATTTCTTACTAATATTTTCAAAACAGCGTCTTCATTGAATGACTGCAACTGCTGCATTCTTTTCTAATTTTTGTGCAGACAAAGACATTGCTAATTTATAACATAGTTAAACCAGAACTGTTTTCATGAATTTCTGGACATTTTAAAAGTAGAACACTAATTTTTCTTCCCAAATAATTTCAGATTTGGCAGGGCACAGTGACTCAAACCTGTAATCTCAGTACTTTGAAAGGCCAAGGCGGGAGGATAGCTTGAGCTCAGGAGTTCAAGACCAGCCTGGGCAACAGTGGGACCCGTCACTATAATTTTTTTTAAAAAAATTAGTCAGGCATGGTGGTGCACACCTGTAGTCCCAGCTACTCGGGAGGCTGAGGTGAGAAGATTGCTTGAGCCCAGGAGGTGGAGGCTGTAGTGAGCTGTGATGGCACCACTGCACTCCAGCCTGGGTGACAGAGTGAGGCTCTGTATCAAAAAAAAAAAAAAATAAAAATAAAATCTCAGATTTAACCCCTGTTCTCCATCCGCACTGTATATGACCTAATTCAAATATGTGTTACCTTTGCCCTCAGCTACCACAACAGTGTGGGCTTGGAAATCAGACTTCCATTTGAGTAAAAGGCGTACTAGCCACTAACCATGTAACTGTTGGTGAGTTAATTCACCTTTCTGAGCCTCAGTTTCCTCTTCCGTCAAATGGACAGGCTAACTAATACAGGCATACCTCTTTTGTTGTGCTTTGCTTTATTATGCTTCACAGGTATTGAGTTTTTTACAAATTGAAGGTTTGTGGCAACCCT
This sequence comes from Homo sapiens, assembly GCF_000001405.40. Lineage (NCBI taxonomy): Eukaryota > Metazoa > Chordata > Mammalia > Primates > Hominidae > Homo > Homo sapiens. Next base: position 128,826,859 of record NC_000023.11, read on the forward strand.
GTGCCTAGCAAGTCTCAGTGCCGTTTTTTTCAATAGCATGTGCTCACTTCATGTCTCTGTATCACATGTGGGTAATTCACACAATATCTCAAACTTTTTCATTAATATCATATCTGGTGTGGTAATCTGTAATCAGTAATCTTTGATGTTATTATTGTAATTGTTTTGAGGTGCCATGAACCATACCCATATAAGAATGCAAACTTAATAATTATGTGTGTTCTGACTGCTCTATTGATTGGCCTTCCCCTCCCCTATTTCCCCCTCGGGCCTCCCTGCTCCCTAAGATACAACCATATTGAAATTACTGAAATTAGGCCAACTAGTAACCTTACAATGGCCTCTAAGTGTTCAAATGAAATAAAATGTCACACATCTCTCACTTTAAATCAAAAGCTAGAAATGACAAAGCTTAGTGAGAAAGGTATATTGAAAGCTGAGATAGGGCAAATGCTAGGCCTCTTGCACCAAATAGTTAGCCAAGTTGTGAATTCAAAGAAAAGGTTCTTGAAGTAAATTAAAAGTGCTTCTCTAGTGAACACACAAATGATAAGAAAGTGCAACATCTTTAATGCTTATATGGAGGGTTTTAGTAGTCTGGATAGCAGATCAAACCAGGCTACAGAGTTCCCTTAAACCAATGCCTAATCCAGCTTTCTTCAATTCTGTGAAGACTGACAGAGGTAAGGAAGCTGCCAAAGAGAAGCTTAAAGCTCGCAGAGGTTAGTTCCTGATGATTAAGGAAAGAAGCTGTCTTCGTGATATAAAAGTGCAAGGTAAAGCAGCAAGTACTGATGGAGAAGCTGCAGCAAGCTATCCAGAAGATCTGGCCAAGATAATTAATGAAGGCGGCTATACTAAACAACAGATTTTCAATGTAGACAAAACAGCCTTCTATTGGAAGAAGACACCATCTAGGACTTTCATAGCTAGAGAGGAGAAGTCAATGCTTGGCTTCAAAAGACAGGCTTACTCTCTAGTTAGGGGCTAATGCAGCTGGTGACTAAGTTGAAGCCAATGCTCATTTGCCACTCTGAAAATTCTATGGTCCTTACAAATCCTGCCAAATATACTCTGCTTGTACTCTATAAATGGAATGACAATGCCTGGATGACAGCACATCTGTTCATTGCATGGTTCACTGAGTATTTTAAGTCCACTGTTAAGACCTACTGATATTATTTTCAAAATATTACTGCTCATTGATAATGCACCATTTCACCCAAGACTCTAATAAAGATGTACAAGGAGATTAATGTTGTTTTCATGCCTGCTAGCACAACATCCATTCTGCAGCCCATGGGAATGAATAATTTTGCCTTCCAAGTCTTATTATATAAGAAATATATTTTGTAAGTCTATGGCTGCCATGGATAGTCATTTTTCTAATGTATCTGGGCCAAGCAGATTAAAAACCTTCAGGAAAGGATTCACCATTCTAGATGCCATAAGAACATTCATGATTCATGGGAAGAGGTAAAATATCAACATTAACAGGAGTTTTGAAGAAGTTGATTCCAATCTTCATGGATGACTTTGAAGGGTTCAAGACTTCAGTGGAAGAAGTCACTGCAGATACAATGGAAATAGCAAGAGAACCAGAATTAGAAGTGGAGCCTGAAGATGTGACTGAATTGCTGCAATCTCATAGTAAAACTTGAATAGACGAGGAGTTGCTTCTTACGGATGAGCAAAGAGTGGTTTCTTCAGATAGAAACTTATCCTGGTGAAGATTCTGTGAACATTGTGGAAATGACAACAAAGGACTTAAAATATTACATAAATTTAGTTGGTAAAGCCGCTGCAGGGTTGGAGAGGATTCACTCCACTTTTGAAAATTTTGCTCTGAGTAAGATACTATCAAAGAGCATTGCATTCTGTAGAAAAATCTTTCATGAAAGAAAGTGTCATTTGACTAAACAAACCTCAATGTTATTTGAATAAATTGCCACAGCCACCCCAACCTTCACCAACCACCACCCTGATCAGTCAAAAGCTTTCAACACTGAGGCAAGACCCTCCTTCAGCAAAAAGATTACAACTCGCTGAAGGCTCAGGTGACTGATAGCACTTTTTAGCAATAAAGTATTTTTAAATTAAGGTATGTACATTGGTGTTTTTTAGGCACAATGCTATTGAATACTTAATATGGTATAGTTTAAATATAACTTTTATATGTACTGGAAAATTGAGAAAATTCTTGTGACTCACTTTATATTGATATTTGCTTTATTACAGTGCCCTGGAACTTACCCCACAATATCTCCAAGGTATGACTATACCTATCTGATGAGGTAGTTATATGATTTAAATGGGAAATGTATATAAAGGATAAATGAATATAATGTCTGGCATGTAGTATGTACTTTCTAAGATATTGAGATACTTGGAGATATAAACTGAGCAGTAGTGACTTAAGAATTTCTTTCTTTTCTTGTTATGTTTTTTATTTTTAGTGATATAATTGTACATATTTATTTACAGAGTACATGTAATATTTTGATGAATGCATACAATGTAAAATGATCAAATCAGGGTATTTAGCATGTTTATCACCTCAAACATTTGCCATTTCTTTGTGTTGGGAACATTTAAATTCTTCTAGGTATTTTGAAATATACAATAATTGCTAACCATAATCGTCACTCTACTATGCTATCAAACACTAAAACTTATTCTAACTGTATGTTTGTACCTATTAACCAACCTTTCTTGGGATCTGGGAAAAGCTAACTGGTTGGAAATGGATTGGAAGCTGTTCGCATAGCACTGTCTTTTGATTGCAGAAATGACCACCAGAATTGGAGCTAAAGGAGATGACAGAGGGGTTAAACCTCTCCCCAGCCACACCTCAGTGCAGCCACTGATACAGACATAAAGACATAGAAACATGATCACAAGGGTAACACCTCACTCTCTGCCTTAAAAGCCTTTGATAACTCATCATTGTATATTGGTTAAAATGCATACTTTTTAAATGACTTTAAAAGTTTCCTAAATTTAGTCACAAACTATTCTAATTTCTTTTTTATATTTCACTCTTAGTTATATGAAGGACTATACACACCCATACCATAGTTATATTAAACTTCTCAGTTTTCCCAAAATATGATATGCATTCTTCAGTGTTGGTGATCATGTTATCTCTTCTATCTGTATTACCTATCTCCTTCCATGTGTGCCAATTCTTGCCATCACTGAAACCCCAGATAAAAATATCACTTTCCCAAAAAAAGACTACTATAATTACTGAAAATAAGGATAACCTGAATCATCAAGAAAAGACATATATTTGGTGTATTCCAGCTTAATAAGGTAGGATCACATTAATCTAATTTCTTAACTGGGAAAAGTATCTCACAAAATAGTGAAGTCATAACAAGTTTTGCATTTCAAAGGAGTAAATTTCAGTTACTTGGGAATTCGTTTGTGTGTACTCCGTGATTCACTGATTATTGAAAATAAATGTGACATCAACAGAAAATGCTTGCTGTCTCTCTCTCTCTCTCTCTCTCTCTCTCTCTCTCTCTCTCTCTCTCTGTCTCCAGAGATTGCTTCATTCGTTCAACCAAATTATAGTCATTTATTCCACATCCCTGGCTCCCAAAGGACCTCAAAGAGTTAACATGTTTGTTTCACACTCCAGTTCAGAATGCCACTCTTCTTTCCACTATTGGAATTCTGCTCCAGCATTACGTTACAGAGCTTCCCTAATGTCTGCCTATGGGGATGTGGGTAATGGTGCCATCTGACACTTATCATAATTTCATTCAAACTCATATTGCTTTTACATTGAATTTCTCTTTGCCATTCTGGCTCCTAACTGCCAGCAGCAGGCTCAAATTTTACCTAAATGGGAGCATTTTGACTTCGGGAAAGAACATTGCTCAGTACCATTTGCTTAATCGTATACATTACTACAGAGAAATTGTTCTGACCCAGGGCCAAATCCCCTGCATCCAGAGCACAGGAAGTTTCTTTTTTATTATTATGATTATACTTTAAGTTCTGGGATACATGTGCAGAACGTGGAGGTTTGTCACATAAGTATACATGTTCCATGGTGGTTTGCTGTACCCATCAACCCCTCACCTACATTAGGTATTTCTCCTAATGCTATCCCTCCCTTAGCCCCCACCCCCGGCAGGCCCCAGTGTGCGATGTTTCCCTCCCTGTGTCCATGTGTTCTCATTGTTCAACTCCCACTTATGAGTGAGAACATGCAGTGTTTGCTTTTCTGTTCCTGTGTTAGTTTGCTGAGAAGGATGGTTTCCACCTTCACTCATGTCCCTGCAAAGGACATGAACTCATTGTTTTTATGGCTGCATAGTATTCCATAGTGTATATGTGCCACATTTTCTTTATTCAGTCTATCATTGATGGGCATTTGGGTTGGTTCCAAGTCTTTGCTATTGTGAATAGTGCTGCAATAAACATACATGTGCATGTGTCTTTATAGTAGAATGATTTATAATCCTTTGGGTATATACCCAGTAATGGGACTGCTGGGTCAAATGGTACTTCTGGTTCTAGATCCTTGAGGAATTGCCACACTGTCTTCCACAATGGTTGAACTAATTTACGCTCCCACCAGCAGTGTAAAAATGTTCCTATTTCTCCACATCCTCTCCAGCATCTGTTCTTTCCTGACTTTTTAATGATTGCCATTCTGACTGGCATGAGATGGTATCTCATTGTGGTTTTGATTTGCATGTCTCTAATGACCAGTGATGATGAGTTTTTTTCATATGTTTGTTGGCTGCACTTCTTTTCAGGAGTGTCTATTCATATCCTTCGCCCACTTTTTGATGGGGATGTTTGTTTTATTCTTGTAAATTTATTTAAGTTCCTTGTAGATTCTGGATATTAGCCCTTTGTTGCAGGAAGTCATGGACCCCTAATGGAGGGACCAGCTGGAGCTGTGGCAGAAGAACATAAATTGTGAAGATCTCATGGACATTTACCAGTTCCCAAATAATATTTTCATAATTTCTTATGCCTGTCTTACTTTAATCTCTTAATCTTGTTATCTTCGTAAGCTGAGGATGTACGTCACCTCAGGGCCACTATGATAATTGTGTTAATTGTACAAATTGATTGTAAAACATGTGTGTTTGAACAATATGAAATCAGTGCACCTTGAAAAAGAACAGAATAACAGCGATTTTAGGGAGCAAGGGAAGACAATCATAAGGTCTGACTGCCTGCAGGGTCAGGCAAAATAGAGCCATATTTTTCTTCTTGCAGAGAGCCTATAAATGCACGTGCAAGTAGGAAAGATGTCGCTAAATTCTTTTCCTAGCAAGGAATATTAATAATTAATACCGTGGGGAAGGAATGCATTCCTGAGGGGAGGTCTATAAATGGCCACTCTAGGAGTGTCTGTCTTATATGGTTGAGATAAGGACTGAAATATGCCCGAGATAAGGACTGAAATATGCCCTGGTCTCCTGCAGTACCCTCAGGCTTACTAGGGTGGGGAAAAACCCCGCTCTGGTAAATTTGAGGTCAGACTGGTTCTCTGCTCTCAAACCCTGTTTTCTGTTGTTTAAGATGTTTATCAAGATAATATGTGCACCACTGAACATAAACCCTTACCAGTAATTCTGCTTTTGCCCTTTGCCTTGTGATCTTTGTTGGACCCTTATCAGGAGTTTCTGATTTTGCCTTTGTCCTGTTTCCTCAGAAGCATGTGAGCTTTGTTTTCCTTTTTGCCCTTTGAAGCAAGTGATCTTTGTGACCTACTCCCTGTTCTTGCACCCCCTCCCCTTTTGAAATCCTTAATAAAACTTGCTGGCTTTAAGGCTCAGGTAGGCATCACGATCCTACCGATATGTGATGTCACCCCTGGAGGCCCAGCTGTAAAATTCCTCTCTTTGTACTCTTTCTCTTTATTTCTCAGCCAGCCGACACTTATGGGAAATAGAAAGAACCTATGTTGAAATATTGGGGGCAGGTTCCCCTGATACCATTTGTCAGATGGATAGATTGCAAAACTTTTCTCTCATTATGTAAATTACCTGTTCACTCTGATGATAGTTTCTTTTGCTGTGCAGAAGCTCTTTAGCTTAATTAGATCCCATTTGTCAATTTGGGCTTTTGTTGCCATTGCATTTGGTGTTTTAGTCATGAAGACTCTGCCCATGCCTATGTCCTGAATGGTATTACCTAGGTTTTCTTCTAGGGTTTTTATAGTTTTAGGTCTTACATTTAAGTCTTTAATCCATCTTGAGTTAATTTTTGTATGAGGTGTAAGGAAGGGGTCCAGATTCAGTTTTCTGCATATGGCTAGCCAGTTTTCCCAACACCATTTATTAAACAGGGAATCCTTTCCCCATAGCTTGTTTTTGTCAGGTTTGTCAAAGATCAGATGGTTGTAGATGTGTGGTGTTATTTCTGAAGTCTCTGTTATGTTGCATTGGTCCATATGTCTGTTTTGGTGCCAGTACCATGCTGTTTGGGTTACTGTAGCCTTGTAGTATAGTTTGAAGTCAGATAGCATGATGCCTCCAGCTTTGTTCTTTTTGATTAGGATTGTCTTGGCTATACAGGCTCTTTTTTGGTTCCATATGAAATTTAAAGTAGTGTTTTTCTAATTCTGTGAAGAAACTCAGTGGTAGCTTGATGGAGACAGCATTGAATCTATACTTTACTTTGGGCAGTATGGTCATTTTCATGATATTCATTCTTCCTATCCATGAGCATGGAATGTTTTTCCATTTCTTTGTGTCCTCTCTTATTTCCTTGAGCAGTGGTTTGTAGTTCTCTTTGAAGAGGTCCTTCACATCCCTTGTAAGTTTTATTCCTAGGTATTTTATTCTCTTTGTAGCAATTGTAGTTCACTTATGATTTGGCTCTCTGTTTGTCTATGATTGGTATATAGGAATGCTTGTGATTTTTGCACATTGATTTTGTATCCCAGAGCACAGAAAGTTTCAAGGGCAAGAAAGCTGCCCCTGCAGAGATATGAAAATCATTGCTAAGCAGCAAAATGGGAGGTGGGGTGGAAAAGAGTCTTAGTGGAACCTGTTACCCCAAATCAAGGCTGGGCCTGAAGCATTTGGTTAGAATGAAGGGAAGAAAGAAAATAAGCATCCCTACAGTTACCAAATATATGCATCTTACCTGTTCCTCCTCCCATATGTCCTCTGCACATGTAATGCTAAGTAAATTGTAAGTCCTAATCAAAGAGACAGTATGAAATAAGATTTTGAAGAAGGCAGGTGATATATGTAGGATAACAAGACCCAAGGGACAGATAAATGGTTTTAATTCACCAGAAGATATGTTCTAAAAGGTCCTGGAAACAGAGATGTCTCTATAATGAGGGAGACAATAAGCCAGTCCTATGAGGAGGTGTAATTGAAGATGTAGAGGAAATAATGACACAATCAGAGGTAAAGAGGGAAGGGTATTAAACCATGAATTGTCAGGAAGCATTTAGACATCTTGCTGTCAAAGAAGCCCAGGATATTTTCAGTGCTGATGTAAGGAGACAAGAAATCAAGTCTGCAGAAAAAAAAAAATTAATTTTTGGGGCAAGTGGGGGTGGGTGCAGGGAGTAGAGTGAAGAGGGAATATAAACAAAACAATATTCTTACATGTGGGAAAAGTGTGCTATCAAGTCACATAGCCCCTTTCTCTTCAGGGCCTGTCCACATTCTGATCAATAACTAGCCAGCCTCTTGACCAGGACTTTCATGGAGGATGATAGCTTTTGTCAGAAAGGTCTTTCAGAGTCTTTTCCTTCTCATTCTATAGGTAGCTGTAAAGCTCATCCCAGCTCCGGATATAGGGCTGCCAAGATCAGGCTAGGATCTGGTTAAGAAACCAAACAAACACAAAAAGAAAATAAAAACTAAAAAACCTTGTTCAGAGCTTTTGCAAGGATGGATTAGCTAAAGATTTTCACATAAAATTTTCTCAGGAGCCCCCTCCAGGATTTCCAGGCATTCCAACATAATTTATATGATTTATAGTCTTCTCTTCTGTATTTCTCTGGGGTTATACATTTCTACTTTCACTGCAGCTTCTTGCAGTCCTTCTTGGATCTCGAATAGACATGTATATTAACTTTAAATCTGCAAGGCCACAAGCTGAAGCCATCCAAACAAGCAGTATGTATCTCTCAACCCCTTGAACTCTAAATCTGGGTCATCTGCTGTAAACCAGCACTTCATCATAACTTTCATAATTTTCAAGTACTTAGTTACAACAAAATTAAGGAGATTAAAATCTCTCTTTTTGTGGTTTTAACATTTTATTCTCTTATCAAGCTAGCACCAAGAGACTAATCCAACAAAGACCTAATGAAGTATTATTAGATTGAAATAACATCCTCAGTCATCTCCATATTTCTCAAATAGTCATTATTGATTTATCAAGAAAACCTATTCTTTTCTCTCAAAATCCAAAATCCCTAGCACCATACTCAAGGTCCTCCAAGATTTTGATCCATCAAAATTTTCAGCCTTTATATTTCATAGCATCCCTTTACTCAGTCTCTGTTATAAACCTTGAACTACTTACAAATTCATAAATTTTAACACCTCCCTTCCTTTTTCGTGCCTTCCTTCTGGTCAGTATGCTCATCCCCACATGCTATGCTTACTGAAATGATAATCATTTTTCAAGTCCCAGGTCAAATGCCACTTCATAGAATTTACCTGATCCCTGAGTGAGATTTAACACCTCCTTTCTCTGTGCCACAGTGGTAGTTTTTTGCTTATAGCTCTACTGAACACATACTGCCTTGTGTACTTATCTGGATCCTGCCTACCAATAAGTGGTAAGCCCCAGAAGGTAGAGGACAGCTCTGGTTCATTTCAGACTACCTACCACAGCCTCATGAAAACACATCTTTTAAGTGTGGATCACTGACCATAACCATGCTTGTTTCCACTTATGATGAGGACAGCTTAAAAACAATGTGATTTGTATACCTGATTGTATATCAATCTTGAAAAACACTGTTGCTACTTATGCCTTAATAATTTGGGAGGACTGGGCAAATCCTTTGGTCATCCTGGAACCTTATTGTAATGGATGCACTATTGGCAGAGGCATAGAAAGATCCGATGTGGAAAAGTTTGTAATGGGACTAGACCGTATACTGTGAAATTCATCTTTTGTTTGTTTTTTCAGGGGATGCCTCAAAAGTTGATAATGTACAGGAAGAAATTGCTTTTATCTTTTCCCTACTACTTTAAAAAACAAATATTTTAACTTTGGAAATGTCACTTCATCAGCTGATATAGCTATACACATAGAGTCCCAGTTCAAAGAAAAAATGCCCACAGATTGAGTCAGTTATACAGAAACTCACTTAAAATATAAAGTATTTGATCAACTCAACATTTTTGTGTAGCTATGTTATTTACTTACATATTTATTTATACCCTATTTTACTCAATAAAGATTGTTTAACAATGAGAACACATTCAGTAAACTAATGATAAATACAAACAGATAATCAGGACCAGGACAAATACAAATTACATGTATTTATAAGTTTGTTTATCCATTTATTATCTGAATCTTGCATTAGACTATAATCTTGATGGCAGTGTTTGTTTCATTCATCACTATGTACTCAACACCTGCCATGTAGTAGATATTCAATAAACGTGTTGAATTAATGCATTTTAAAATAACATTTTATGTAGATCATAAACCAAATTAATTTGCTGTAATTGAGCCTTCAAGTTGGATATGAACTTCCTGGCAGCCAAAGAAAAAGTGAAGATAGATGTAGTTCTCAAAAAAAATTATACAAAATTTTTAGGTATAGGTTACCTCTCCTTTCTCTAGAAACAAACCTTTCTCTAGAATTCAGTTCTAAATAAATTGCTTGCATGGGGCTTATAAGAGGCACTGGGTAGGCCGGGCGCGGTGGCTCACGCCTGTAATCCCAGCACTTTGGGAGGCCGAGGCGGGCGGATCATGAGGTCAGGAGATCGAGACCATCCCGGCTAAAATGGTGAAACCCCGTCTCTACTAAAAATACAAAAAATTAGCCGGGCGTAGTGGCGGGCGCCTGTAGTCCCAGCTACTTGGGAGGCTGAGGCAGGAGAATGGCGTGAACTCGGGAGGCGGAGCTTGCAGTGAGCCGAGATCCCGCCACTGCACTCCAGCCTGGGCGACAGAGCGAGACTCCGTCTCAAAAAAAAAAAAAAAAAAAAAAAAGAGGCACTGGGTAATATATGAAATGACAGCCATAACAGTACTTCTACAACAAATATAGACATCACTGTACTTAGCTGTTTCTTGTCACATACTTTGATAAAAGTAAAAGCCAGAACAGCAAAACACAAGTTGGGTAGAAGAGGTGGCTCCTGTGAGAAACTAAAAAACATAGGGATATCTTGATATACAGCCTTTTGGGAGTCTGGTGTGACTCAAGCATAGAATATTATATTTCTTTAGATCCACTATAGTGCCAACACAGTATCTTGTATATAACATATGTTTACTGCTAACTGAGAAATCATTTTTAAAATATCCAATTGCATTTAGTGAGTCCCATTCTTTCTTCTTCCCCACCTCTGTGCCTTTGCTTTTGTTGCTCACTATATCTGGAAAGTCTTCTCTATCTTCTTTCCATCTGTCAAAAATATAACCTGTCTTTCAAGATTAACCAGAAATGCTACTTTTTTAATTTTTTTATTTTTATTTATTTATTGATTGATTTATTTTCAGATGGAGTCTCGCTCTGTCGCCCAGGCTGGAGCGCAGTAGCGCAATCTCAGCTCACTGCAAGCTCTGCCACCCAGGTTCACACCATTCTCCTGCCTCAGCCTCCTGAGTAGCTGGGACTACAGGTGCCCGCCACCACGCCCAGCTAATTTTTTGTATTTTTAGTAGAGACGGGGTTTCACCATGTTAGCCGGGATGGTCTCGATCTCCTGACCTCGTGATCCGCCCGCCTCTGCCTCCCAAAGTGCTAGGATTACAGGCGTGAGCCACCGTGCCGGGCTGAAATGCTACTTATTTTTGTGAACACTTCCTGATCTGCTCAACCAGCTATGATCCTTTGAAATCAGAAGGTATAGGCTACCTCTCCTATTTTACATTTATTTTATTCTGCTTTGTATTACAATCATTTAGAATTTTTGTCCTAATGGCAGGAATAGTGTCTCACTCATCGTACATTCTCCAAAGGGCCTACTATTCTACTTCATACTAGGTATTTACAAAATCTTCAGTTGAATAACAATGGATTGGGAATTTTGAGATTCCATCCATCTTATCGAGTTAATCTCATTTGGTTAATCACTTTGGCAATTTAGCCTGAAACCATAAGTCATAGAGATTCTTAAAAAAGATATTTTTAAAAGTAATAATAGTTGGGATGTTGTGTGTAAACAGGGAATAACATTTATGAGTATGGGAGCTGTAATGTACAGGACAAAATTCAAGGGTCAACTAAAACCTTGAATTTAATTACTGTGTGAAACAATTAATATTACCCAGTTTTGTGGTCACAAATTATAATCCTGATCCTGACCCTGGCCGTTTGTCTTATTTGGGAGTTTACAGGGCTAGCTATATAAAATACATAAACAGTGCAATGGGAGCTGCTGTTCATTTTCCTCAGATCACAGTCTGGCATTAGCTTTGGTGAAGGTAATGGCTAGACAGACTGCTCTTTGCACAATGACTTAATTTTTTTTGGAAGAAATGTTGTGTTCAATCTGATCATAAGAAAATTTGTTACATATCATCATTCTCAGCTCCTTGACATTGTGCCCAAGTATTTCCAGAAGCCTCTGGGCAATATGTGCTCAGTTTTCATGTTGCTCCTACAACCAGTGTTGGATATCAAAGTCTGACCTTTGCATCTCATACTCATCCTGTCACCAGTGCCTCCAAGTTTCTTTCAGGGAGGCTTAATTTTGACGTAAGTTGTGGACTGTGACCAGCTGAATGTCTTGTTTCTCTTTTTTGCAATCTTAGGTTTCATGAGAAGTCTAAGAGTGGTTATGAGGCCAGACAGAAGATAACGTTACCTCAAAAGACAGTACTGAGGAAAAAGGAGAATAATGATTGCAGGGGTTGAGGGACTCAATTACATTATTTTTAAATTAACAGTTTTATTGAGATATATTTCATATATGATAAAATTTACCCTTTTAAAGTGTACAGTTCAGTAGTTTTTAGTATATTCACAGAGATGTGCAACCATCACCACAATCTAATTTTAGAATATTGTCAATGGCTTTTTGATAAATGCTTTTTATCATAAATGGGACTAGGAAAGAGAATATCCTATGTAGGCTTAGCCCCACTGTAGGAGATATAAATTAAAGTGTGAACGATCATGAATATCAATATATATGAAAGCAGCAGTTTATACACTAGTACTAAATTATGTCCTTTTATATTAAAGTGACACACTATCATTTTTTATACCTGAATACAATGTAATTATGCAGTACTGATACATTCAAATATCTCAATGTGAGTAATTAAAACCACAAAGAATATGAGCTTACTTTGGATGCTAAATATAGCCACTGAAAATTAGATTCGTGCCTGGTGCCACCCACACCATTTTATATTGATCAGAAAAATAAAAATGTATCAATGGGATCATTTTTCTTATGTTTTCTGGTCATCATTCCAAATTACCACATGCATTATTTTTACTAATAAGTATCTTATTTTACCTCTATGTTAAGAATCCTAGTTTTGATCTCCAGCTTTAAAATTCAGTTTTTATGGTTGCTAGGGAACTAACATATAATTCTTCAAGCTATTATAATATAAAGGTGTAATTATACACTTGTTTTCAGAAAAAAATACATCCAAAGATTATTTTTTCAAAAATGAGATTAACTAATAAAGCTACTTCTACATGGAAAATAAATAAAAATTAAACAGGGAAATAGCAGTATGCATGATAATAGAGGAATCACCCCAACTCCCTATTGTTCTCCCCTACCTGCCACTTCTTTACATCTACTCTTTGTAATGAAGTAATCTTGATTTGTCTCCCAATGCAAAACATAGTCTTCTGTTTCTGCCTTCAGTAATATTTCATTTAGCTCCCCTCCAAAATTAGAAACAAGAAACTCATTATAGTGGGTTATGAAATTTACTCCTGATAGATTCTCAAATTTGTTATTAATATTTCATTATTATGATTGCTGATGGTCTTAGGTTCATGGGGAAGCTGTTCTGGGATAATCAATCTCCTGTCTTTATGAGAAACATTATTCATAAACTTATGTAAAAGGTCTGCTCTTTCATTATAGTATAACCAGCTAACAATCTATCTGTGTATGCCCATCTGACCTTGCAATTACTGGCTTATCTTTATGATCCATTGCAATGGAGTTATTAATTCCACTTCCTTAAGACTTTTATTCTTTTGCTCTGGAGGTCAGCTAGGAAGAATGATAGAGATACCATTAATAATAATTATCATCAACTCAGGTGGCATATGGAAAACATTCTTTCAAAAGATTGGCATTTGCTCTTGAAGACAAGCAATGGTAGATGCCTCCATTTCCAGGAAAACATTGTCTCTAACTCAGGAACATCAATTCAGTGATAGCAGTTACTGGCTGAGAAAATGAGAACACGACAATTCAACAGCATGGAGGCTCTCAGCTGTAAATGGACTGATTTGTTTTTTATAAGCCTTCTGGCAAAATCCCCAATTATTACCTTTGTCCCTTTCATAATGGTCCTGCTTGTTGCATGATTTACCACTGTTAGTCTGTTAGTAAAAGAGAGAAGGGAGCACAAAGTGCCAGCCATACAAACACTAAAGTTCCCTGTTCCAACAGTGCTAGAACCTAATTCATGAAAATGTATTTACAGTCTATTTGTCTCAATCAAAAATGCTCTTAGAATCCCTCCTGTTTCAGGGAAGCATATTTTGTTTGGAAGTTAGGGATGGTGAAATCACAACATTATCACATCAGATTCTTGAAAGGGACTCATAAAGATCATCTTGCTCAGCAAACCATTTGAAGGCAGGTTGTTGAAACCATTATGAGTTACTTATGCCCATGTTCTCTTACATCTCCTTGGGCAGGAAGAATGGTGAGAGTAGGAGTAATCTTGCAGAAAGTGATGGTGAGATTACACCAATGATTCTGGATTTCCATTGTTCTCTCCATTTATTCTTACTACTATCCAGGACCAGGCTCTATATTTTTGCCCCATGACAGGATTACTGCAAGAGTTCCCTTAGTGGCTTCATCCAGTCAGGCTATCATCACCACCATCAGAATTATCAATGCCTCAGACTATTTCATTTTGTCACAATTTAGTAATCTAAATCAACTCCCTTCCTGGTTTCCAGTATAATTATTTTTTAAGGACAAGTACTTATTGGACATCTACTATTACCAAGCACCATTCTAGGCACTGCGGATAGCACAGAGAACAAAACAGACAAAAATACTCACTCTAATAGAACTCATTCTAATTAGGAGAATGAGATAATAAATAAGTAAATATCTGATATGTCAGATGGTGGTCCAGGCTATGGACAATAATAACATAAAGAAGCAAAATAACAGTTGTTCGGGTGGGGTGACAGGAGAACAGAGAAATAGTTATAATCTCACATTTTTGTAAAATAGTTTTTCACCTCTCTTCTGAAATTTGCCTTTACCATCCTGTTATGTATGTTTACCTACATGCTTTTTGGAGGGAATTGGGCAGGATATATAGTAGGTAAATACATATATTTATCCCATCATAATAATTCAAAAGTCTTTTGACTGGTTTTCAGGGTACTCTGTGATGATTAATTTTAGGTGTCAACTTGACTGGATTAAGAGATTACCCAGATAGCTGGTAAAGCATTATTCCGGAGTATGTCTATGAGGGTGTTTCCAAAAGAGACTGTCATTTGAATCAGTGGAATGAATACGAAAGACCCACCCTCACCCAATATTGGTGAGCACTGCCAAATCGGCTGAGGGCACAGACAGAAGAAAAGTCAGAAGAAAGGTAAATCTATATGTACTCTCTGTCTTCTGGAGTTGGGACACCCTTCTTCTCCTGCCCTTGGATATCAGCAATCCAGGTTCTTTGGCCCTTGGACATCAGCAATCCAGGTTCTTTGGCCCTTGGACTCTGGGACCTATACTAGTCTTCTCAGGCCTTAGGCCTCAGACTGAGAGTTAACACCATTAGCTTCCCTGGCTCTGAGGGCTTTGGACTTGGACTGAGCCACCCTACCAGCTTCCCTGGTTCTCCAGCTTGCAGACAGAACATCACAGGAATCCTCAGCCTCGATAATTGCATAAGCCAATTCCCCTAATAAATCCCTTCTCATATGTATGTGTGCATGTGTATGGGTATATGAGAGGATGTGTGTGTGTGTGTGTGTGTGTGTGTGCATGTGTGTACAGACACACACATAGAGAACCCTGACTAATACATCCTTCATATTCTGATCAAAATACACCTTTTCTTATTGCTGGTGTTTTTTTTTTTATTATACTTTAAGTTCTGGGATACATGTGCAGCACGTGCAGGTTTGTTACATAGGTATACATGTGCCATGGTGGATTGCTGCACCCATCAACCCGTCATCTACATCAGATATTTCTCCTAATGCTATCCCTCCCCTAGCACCCCACCCCCCAACAGGCCACAGTGTGTGATGTTCCCATCCCTGTGTCCATGTGTTCTCATTGTTCAACTCCCACTTATGACTGAGAACATGCAGTGTTTGGTTTTCTGTGTTAGTTTGCTGAGAATGATGGTTTCCAGCTTCATCCATGTCCCTGCAAAGGACATGAACTCATCCTTTTTTATGGCTGTATAGTATCCCATGGTGTATATGTGCCACATTTTCTTTATCCAGTCTATCATTGATGGGCATTGGAGTGGTTCCAAGTCTTTGCTATTGTTAACAGTGCTGCAATAAACATACATGTGCATGTGTCTTTATGGTAGAATAATTTATAATCCTTTGGGTACATACCCAGTAATGGGATGGCTGGGTCAAATGGTATTTCTAGTTCTAGATGCTTGAGGAATTGCCACACTGTCTACCACAATGGTTGAACTAGTTTACACTCCCACCAACAGTGTAAAAGCATTCTTATTTCTCCACATCCTCTCCAGCCTCTGTTGTTTCCTGACTTTTTAATGATAACCATTCTATCTGGTGTGAGATGGTATCTCACTATAGTTTTGATTTGCATTTCTCTAATGACCAGTGATGATGAGCTTTTCTTCATATGTTTGTTGGCTGCATAAATATCTTCTTTTGAGAAGTGTCTGTTCATATCCTTCATCCACTTTTTTATGGGGATGTTTGGTTTTTTTCTTGTAAATTTGTTTAAGTTCTTTGTTGATTCTGGATATTAGCCCTTTGTTAGATGGATAGATTGCAAAAATTTTCTCCCATTCTGTACATTGCCTGTTCACTCTGATGACAGTTTCTTTTGCTGTGCAGAAGCTCTTTAGTTTAATTAGATCCCATTTGTCAATTTTGACTTTTGTTGCTAATGCTTTTGGTGTTTTACTCATGAAGACTTTGTCCATGCCTATGTCCTAAATGGTATTGCCTAGGTTTTCTTCTAGGGTTTTTATGGTTTTAGGTCTTACGTTTAAGTCTTTAATCCATCTTGAGTTATTTTTTGTATAAGGTGTAAGGAAGGGATTCAGTTTCAGCTTTCTGCATGTGGCTAGCCAGTTTTCCCAACACCATTTATTAAATAGGGAATCCTTTCCACATTGCTTGTTTTTGTCAGTTTTGTCAAAGATTGCATGGTTGTAGATATGTGGTGTTATTTCTGAGGCCTCTGTTCTGTTCCACTGGTCTATATATCTGTTTTGGTACCAGTACCATGCTGTTTTGGTTACTGTAGCCTTGTAATATAGTTTGAGGTCAGGTAGCGTGATGCCTCCAGCTTCATTCTTCTCGTCCAGCATTGTCTTGGCTATGCCGGCTCTTTTTTGGTTCCATATGAAATTTAAAGTAGTTTTTCTAATTCTGTGAAGAAATTCAATGGTAGCTTGATGGGGATAGCATTGAATCTATAAATTACATTGGGCAGTATGGCCATTTTCACGATATTGATTCTTCCTATCCATGAGCATGGAATGTTTTTTCCATTTGTTTGTGTCCTCTTTTATTTCCTTGAGCAGTGGTTTGTAGTTCTCCTTGAACAGGTCCTTCATATCCCTTGTAAGTTTTATTCCTAGGTATTTTATTCTCTTTGTAGCAACTGTGAATGGGAGTTCACTTATGATTTATATGATCAAAATATACCTTTTAAAACTTCAGTTTCTCAACACAGATTGAAAAGACTATTTAAATCTGTCACATCATTGTTGCTGATGGGTCTTGCCATAAAATTTTCTCTTCAAATTCCCTGACAAGTTTATCCTATGGTAATATCATACACAACAGGTCCAGTGCATTATGATACTTTATGTAAAGATGCTCCAGATCAAGACCTGCCCATAAGGCTGTGGATGGTAGAGTGGAAGAAATAAGAGCCCCATCCCTATCATAAAAACAGTCTGACAGAATATGACTTAAGTTGTATGTAAGAGGTTGTGAAAACCACAAGCTATAGCCCAACATATAGCATAAAGAATACAAGTATTTTCATTCCCATCCTGGGGGATCAGCAGGCATTAACTATAAGGGAACAGTAAGAATAATACTCAGGATGGAATATTTCACTTTATACAACATCTCATCAAAGTGTACCAAATTTGGACCCAAATCACCACATACTAGGCATGTTTCTTGCTCTCAGTTGAACTCAAAGTATACTAAGTTGAGGCTAGAAGCAAAAGACAGACATTTGAGGCCTGCTGAGAATTAAGCCAGCCCTTTATTGGAAACATAGAAATAAGAAGGCATACAGCAAAGGGAAAAGGTACACTTATTAGTATAAACCATTTTCTTCTCCCTAATCTGTGCCCCAGAAAAGGATAGTTTATAAAAGAGCTTAGAGATAAAAAAAATTTATTATAGACAAAATATCACAGCTTGTATAAGAAAGAAGAGTTAGAACTTGACTTACCAATTCCAAGACTAGTAAGTCAGTTAAGGGAGAGGATTTCACTAATACCTCAAGTCTAGAAATATATGTATGGTGGGTGTGTGTGTATGTGTGGGTGTATATACATATATATATATATATAGAGAGAGAGAGAGATTGATTGATTGATTGATTGTCTGGCAAAACTGCAGTGGAAATACCTGATTGTACATGAGCTAGCATATATGGATGAGGAAAGGTATTTCAGAAGGGTGTTATCATGGCCAGAATGCTCACTACGGTTTGAATATGTACCCCAAAGTTTGTTTGTTGGAAACTTGGTCTCTAATTCAGGGATGTTTTGGTCATGAGGGCACCACCCTCACAAATGGATTAATGCCACAGGAGCAGACTCATTATTGTATTCTGTTACAGCAACATAAAGACAATGCTCTATGTTTCTGAGATTAATAGAGATAGCAGTTAGAATGAAAGAAAATGTATTGTTGTGATACACTTGTATCCAATCATAACTGTTTGATAATTCATTTGCCAGTAGAGTTTAGAGTATGAGAAAATGGTATCAGATTTTTTCAGCACAGGAGAAAACTAATAAGGGTCAATTGACCAAGGGCAATAAACATTTTCCACTTATATCCAATACACCCCAGAGGAATTTTGTATGGAGTGGGAGTTTGTATTAGTTTCCTAGGGTTGTCATAACAAATTATAATTTTTGGCTTAAAACAAGAAATTATTCTCTCATAGTTCTGGAGGCCAGAATTCCGAAATCAAGATGTTAGCAGGGATGGTTCCTGCCGGAAGCGCTGAGAGAGAATCAATTCCATGCCTCTGTCCTAGCTTTTGGTTACTATTGGCATTTCTTGGCTTATGGTGGCATCACCTCGATTTCTGTATCTGTCTTCACATAGCTTTTAGTTCTGTCTCTCTGTATCTCAAATCTCTTTTTCTCTCCCATAAGGACACTAGTCATTGGACTTTGGGACCCTCCTAAATCCAGGATGATCTCAGCTCAAGATTCTTAAATTAATTACATCTGCAAAGACCCTATTTCCAAATAAGGTCACATTTACAGGTACTAGGGGCTAGGTCTTGGACATATATTTTGGGGGGACACAATTCAACCCACTACAGATTCTCAGAAAAGGGGAGGTAAATCTTCAACAGCTGTCCAGAGGGGGCCATTCAACAACTGAATTTTTTCTTTTCAAAGAGCTAGGTATCTGTTGGTGTAGAAGTTCTTAATTTCTTAGGGGCTTGCCTTTTCCAAGGACTTATTACAAAAAAAGAGCTGCTAACTTTAAAAATCTACTTTATTAAGAGCTCTGTCCCTGAGGCTGTTACATCTGCATCTCTCTGGTTCTAAGAGTGCATACCTTTATTTTGCCAAGGCTCATATTTTACTTCATAACACCTAAAACACAAATCCTAATTTGTCCATACATCCTGGTGTTCTGGAAGTAAACAAGTGTATGGTGGTAACATTATCACCTTAAATAAAACTAAAGGTCGTTAGACAATACATCCAATAATGTCTTCACTTTCTGTTCGTGTGAAGCGGTCTGGCATATAGTAGGTTTTCAATAAACATGTATTAACACTCATAACTGAACCATGAATGTAGGTTTAAAGACAGATTACTATGACCACAGCTATAAATCAGATTACTAGGCAGGCTGGGTGATCACACTCAGAAAAGTTACACCCCACTAGCAAACAAAACCTCTCCCACACCCTACTGCTAAGAACAACATAATCAAGGATGTCAATGACTGCACACAGGAACCAATAAAACTGAACGGTGCTTTTGGCTACTAAGCTATAGAAACCTCAGGAATATGGAAGAAGGAAAAGTATATCCCAGAATATGGCAGAAAGCCAGGTATAAACATGCCTGGTTACTAGAAATATGTTCCTTTCACATTATATTTCATATTGGCAAGACACACCCATTTCCTCCACTGCCAATGACACATGTTATGTATGAATCTAGCATATACACACATTTTACTCTGGAATAACAGTATTAAAGGGAAATAGACAATAGTCTTCATAGTTCCTGTTATACTAAAGCCTCAAGAGTTGCATTACCTTCTCAAATAGGATGGCTGTGATAGAAAACAAAAGTTCTGACAAAGGGCTAATATCCAGAATCTACAATGAACTCAAATAAATTTACAAGAAAAAAACAAACAACCCCATCAAAAAGTGGGAGAAGGATATGAACAGACACTTCTCAAAAGAAGACATTTATGCAGCCAAAAAACACATGAAAAAATGCTCATCATCACTGGCCATCAGAGAAATGCAAATCAAAACCACAATGAGATACCATCTCACACCAGTTAGAATGGCAATCATTAAAAAGTCAGGAAACAACAGGTGCTGGAGAGGATGTGGAGAAATAGGAACACTTTTACACTGTTGGTGGGACTGTAAACTAGTTCAACCATTGTGGAAGGCAGTGTGGCGATTCTAGAACTAGAAATACCATTTGACCCAGCCATCCCATTACTGGGTATACACCCAAAGGATTATAAATCATGCTGCTATAAAGGCATGTGCACACGTATGTTTATTGTGGCACTATTCACAATAGCAAAGACTTGGAACCAAGCCAAATGTCCAACAATGATAGACTGGATTACGAAAATGTGGCACATATACACCATGGAATACTATGCAGCCATAAAAAATGATGAATTCATGTCCTTTGTAGGGACATGGATGAAGCTGGAAACCATCATTCTCAGCAAACGATCGCAAGGACAAAAAACCAAACGCTGCATGTTCTCACTCATAGGTGGGAATTGAACAAGGAGAACACATGGACACAGGAAGGGGAACATCACACTCTGGGGACTGTTGTGGGGTGGGGGGAGGGGGGAGGGATAGCATTAGGAGATATACTTAATGCTAAATGACGAGTTAATGTGTGCAGCACACCAACATGGCACATGTGTACATATGTAACTAACCTGTATATTGTGCACATGTACCCTAAAACTTAAAGTATAATAATAAAAAAAGAAAACAAAACGAAATAGCTCATTATCCCTTTCCTGTAACATTCTGTGACATAAACCAAAACATTCTCTATTCCATACGCTGCAAGTCTTAAATGCAGGAGAAACTCTACAGAGTCCCTTATCAAACTCCTGTCATTTTCTCTTGGGTGTAAATAACAATAAAGAAGAAGACCTAATCACTCCTTTATAACTATATGATTTATGGGATAGCTCTTCTTATGGCTTCTGTGTAAGTAAAAATGTGTAAAAAATTAAATGAGCCCACGTTAACCTGGTGAAGAAAATTGCTTGCCTGGTATTGAAAAATGCCCTTCTGCATTACCTAGGCTGCACTGTAAACACTTGGGCTTTCCTTTGGAATGCTTGCAGATCAAAACAGATTGACTAGAAAAGTTACTGATCCATAGCTAGAAGGCAACAAAATGTAATCAAATGTTCCCATGCCCAAGAAAAGTGTGTGTGTGTGTGTGTGTGTTGGGGGTAGATGGTGATACTTGATTGAGCCCTATAGATCCTGCTGAGAAAGTGGTGTAATGAAACACAAATTATCCTGCCTTTGAGCAATAAACTGGAGGGCTGACACCTTAACTTGCCTGTTTCTAGGTGTGTTCCTCTTTCTAGCAATTAACCATGATAGTTTTATTATGGTCCACAGAACAGCTAATCAATAGGGTGGGATGCTAGTTACAGTCCACAGCTGGCTCTGTGTGCCTGCAAAAGGCCCACGATTTCGCTCCCAGCTGTTCAGTCTAATCCATTTATGGTTGTTTATGGCTCACAGTCAGAGGAATCTTCTATTTACAGCTCATTCATCATTCTTAACATTTTCACAAATCCAGGCCGAATGCTTTGAGGATGGGAAATAAACCCAGACTTCCCCAGTCCCCTTTGCTTTCTCAGCATATTGAATTTCCTTCTTCCTCTGAAAGGCTCACGAACCATATTTTGTTACACTCCAAAATTACATAAAACTTGTTTCACCTGACCCATGAGATTATGCTACTAGAAATTTAAAAGGCAAATATATAACTCTAATTTCTATTGTGCTTTACAGGAAGCTATATTGTTCTAAAGTGAGAGTCCTAGTTCTTTGGGAATGGGATAGGGTGGCCACGAGTGAAAGTCAATAACCAGTTGCAAATATTGCTACAATATTTATGGAAAACCAGACCAGAGAATGAATATCACGTAAGAGTATCACCAATATGGTATCAACTAAGTCTCCCAAGGTAGGCCAAGTCCAGTCCTTTCCCCCTTTTTTGAGCATGGAGTACCATCACATTACCATCTCTATGTGTATCATTATTGACAATAAACCATAGAATTTTCAGATCCATTCTTATTGAAACAAGTGCTCCCAAAGCTGGTTGAGAAATTTTGATAAAACTCCTAAGTCAAATTTGTCTTACTGGGGGGAAAATCCAGTTCTATGTCACCCAGGAATCAATGTCCTCCAGCCGAAGATCACCAGAAACACAACTTTAGTCAAACAAATTTAAGTGTATTGATTCTTTTCAATTAGGAAACACACATCATGGGGAATCATGGGGATTTTTCAGTGAAAGGAGCTTGTTGCAGGATTTGGGCTTATGTCGGGTTACTCTGAGGAGAGTTTAAGTTAAGTATGGTTTTGCTCTGGATTAGGTTCTCTTAGGAAGTAGTGATAATTCTATGCTTATCAATAATTTTTATTGAGGGGACATGAGGAATGCAGTGGGGCTAAAACTATAATTGATGAAGAAGTAACAGCAGCTCATATTCACCAGGGTTGGGGGGCATTTGGTCATCTCAATAGTTTGGGAATTGTTTTTGTCTGCATTCAGACATGATTACAAAGTAGTCTTGTTTTGTCTTGCTTTCTCATGGTAGCAGAGTGACCTTGTTTGATGTTACTGTACCGAGAAATTTTTATGTCCAACAAACAGAACACCAAGGTCCACCTGTGAGTGCCTTGCTAGCCCTAAGCAGGTATCAGTCAGGGACCACAATTTTCTATCTCCTAGGTTTTGTAGAGGAAATAGAACCGTCATGCCCAAAGGCAATGGTAAAGTCAAGCTCCCTCCAACCCCCCAAAAAAGGTATGCACCACTGTACCTGGCACAAAGTATAGCTCATGCTCTCTGGAGAAATCCTCCCGTTTACATTGTCTCTGAAAAATTAACACAGTTGTTTCTAGTTTCTATAGCTATGATTTCTCAGGACTTGTTTCTGGCCGCTGCTAAGAGCTTCTATTTACCTGATTTTTTTTTTTTTTTTTTTGTGTAGAATTAAGCCAAAGAGTAAAAATATAAATAATTAAAAGGTACATGTCAAAAATATTAATAAATCACATTTTAAAATTAGAAAGAGTAAAGTTTTTTCCTCATACTTATTCTACTTCAAAGAACTTTATACTCCTATAAGTGTTTTAGTACTGCTTACAACATTCCTTATTAAACCTATAGCAATGAGAAAGATACGGACACCTAAGAGTGAGTATTTCAGGGGAAAATACTGAAAAAACAATCCCCACCCTGGATACATCTATCCCAGGATTCCGGTACTGAGCTTTACTGCCCATTTTATAAAAAAAAATTCTCATCTTCCCTGACATCATTCTTGTATTAAATAAGTATGTATTAAATACCTAATACACACAAGAACAGACTCCACTTTCATCAGTGTGGCAGAATAGATCATCTGAAAAGCCTTCTCCTTTAAAACATTTACATTGTGGATAAACCACAACAAATATAGTTTTAAATGCATTGCTGAACTCATGAGAAATAAAGGAAATCCTGAAGGGGAGAGGGCAGAGATGATGAGAAAGAGAAGTAGAATGCAAGAGAGAGAGGGAGAGAAAGGCTAAAACCAGACCAGTAAGCAAAAGCAAAAACCGGGGTTGGCTCAGGGACTATGCAGATACCAGAAACCCAGATTAGAGGATTAGTGTATTCCCTAGCTACTGAAATTAGGCCTTGGGCTAAAGCAAGAGCAAATTGAGCACCTAAATTGAAACCACTGCCCAGCCATGAGGAAGATCACACCCTTAGTGAACACTATGAATTTTAAAAACAAACAAACAAACGAACAAAAATACTGCCTGACAGCAAAGGAAACCTATGAGAAAAACTGCCTCTTTTTCTGTAGTTCCAGATGTGGATAAATGATCTCTCCTGAGATTGCTAGCAATAGGCCTACCCTCAGTTACGTCTGGGGTTTACATTTATACTATCCTCAGGAAACTCCAAAACAAGAAGTAAGATTAAAGATGTCTCAAGTTGGTAACAACTCTTTGCACCTAGAAGAAGCAAACACAAAACCCTCTGGAAGAAAGCATCATTAATTGCAGGCCCTTAGAACTCATACAAAATAAATTTAGCCAAAGTAAAACCATACTTAGAAGTAGCAGAAACAAGAAAAAATACTTATTTCATCTCTCAAACATTTTAGATATTAAAATTTTATGATACAGGACAAAACAGGAAGATTTGCAAAGGAACAAGGTAGAATACCTATAACTTAAAATATGAATGAAATTAAAAACTCAGTGGATAGGTTAAACAAAAGATTGGATAAAGCTGAAGAGACTAAGTGAACTGGAAGATTAAATAGAAATAAATACCCACAATTAAATTAAAAGACACAAAATGTAGAAAATATGAAATAGAAATTTAAAAATATAGAAGGTATAAGTGGGATGTCTGAATGTATGTCTACTTAAGGCTCTAGAAAGACAGAATGAAGAAAATAGTGGAAGCAATAAAGAGATAACGGCTGAGAAGATTCCACAATTAATGACAGACATGTATCTTCTGCTTTGGGAAAAACAATATATCCCAAGTACACTTAAATACATTGTGGTGAGATGGTAAAACACCAAAGACAGAGAAAATATTTTAAATGCAGTCACAGAGAAGGGAACATAGATGACCTACGAAGGCATTTATACTGTGAATGGGATTCTCCACAGCAACAATAAACTCAAGAAGAAAGTAAAACATCTTCAAAGAGCTGAGGAAAACAAATGGATCTAGAACTGTATCTGTGTCAAAACTATCTTTTAAGAATGAGAGCAAAATTTTAACAAAAATTGCGTGTACCATTATCAAACCCTTTCTAAAACAAATTGTAGAAGATGTTCTTCAGGAAGAAAGCAAATTAACCCCAAAGTATTTCTGAGTTACAAGAGAGAATAGTGAGGAGGATGTCAGCAAGAAGGAAAATTAGAAGGTCCCAGCTCCAGTTCCCTTCACAAAAATACTGACAGCAGCAACTATCCCCAGCCAAGAATACCTTTGTGAAAATTTCAGAACCCGAAAGAGACTGAAGTACCTCCATGGAGCTAAAAAAAAAAACAGGAAAAGCGGCATTAGAAGGCTAAAAGGAGTGGTTTTACACTGACCACTCACCTCTTCTCCAGGCCACACCATGAGACACCAAGAAGAATCCTCTGGAGCTGTGGTTTCTCCAACAGAGAAAAGAGAGTTCGAGGTGGACATCCATCTTCCTCAGAATTCTGGGGCACTCCCAGGGAGGCCCACTTCTGTCTCGCTCCATGGAGAACACTATGTGAATTGGCAAGACTAGCTAGACCACCTGGAATCAGCAGGGAACAAAGAAGGACAGGGGAAAGGGCTCACAGCAACCAGTCTTTGGATCTTGGTGGTGGTACTGTGTCCCTGCTAGAGGCCTCACCCAACCAGAGATCCCAGACCAAGGCTCTGCCCACATGCAGAGCCAACCCAGTGGCCCCATCTGCCCAGGGAGCAAGGTTGGCTGTTCTTCCTAACTGGGGTCCCTAGCTAGTAGTCTGGCCCAGCCACAGAACACAGAAGGTGGTCCCACCTTGTCCGGAAGCCCAGCCAGCAACCTTGCCCAACTGCAGGGTATATAGCTTGTCATTCGGTTCAACTGTGAAGCCTGGCCAGCAACCCTGCTGAACCACCCAGGACAACCAGTGACCCCACCCAACTGTGGAGCACAGCTTGAGGCCCTGCCTGAACATGGAGTCCAGTCAGTGACACCACCTGTCCAGGGATCACAGAGATCACAGGGATCTCCTGCAGTCCAGAGAAGATTGCAGAGCCCAGCCTGTGACCCCACCCAATCATGGAGCCCACCCAGCAGCAGCACCAGACAATGAAGCGGAGTCAGTGAAATTAAATAAACCCACTCATATATGTTCACCTAATATTTGACATGCAGAAGAATGAAACTGAACTCCTATCTGTCACCACTTATACAAATTGATTCAAAGTGGATGTCTTATGTAAGACCTGAAACTGTGAAACTACTAGAAAATAAAACATAAGGGAAACACTTCATGACATTGGACTGGAAGAGTATTTTTTGAATAAGACCTCAATAGAACAGGCAACGAAAGAGAAAAATAGATAAATGGGATTACATCAAACCAAAAGGCTTCTGCACAGCAAAAGTGTTGCAGGAAGTCAGGGACCCCAAACGGAGGGACCAGCTGAAGCCATGACAGAAGAATGTGGATTGTGAAGATTTTATGGACATTTATTAGTTCCCCAAATTAATACTTTTGTAATTTCTTATGCCTGTCTTTACTGCAATCTCTAAACATAAATTGTAAAGATTTCATGGACTCTTATCACTTCCCCAATCAATATCCTTGTGATTTCCTATGCCTGTCTTTACTTTAATCTCTTAATTCTGTCAGTTGAGGAGGATGTATATCCTTCCAGGACCCTGTAATAATTGCGTTAACTACACAAATTGTACAGCATGTGTGTTTGAGCAATATGAAATGTGGGCACCCTGAAAAAAGAACAGGATAACAGCAATTGTTCAGGGAATAAGAGAGATAACCTTAAACTCTGACTGTCGGTGAGCCGGGCAGAACAGAGCCATATTTCTCTTCTTTCAAAAGCAAATGGGAGAAATATCACTGAATTCCTTTTCTCAGCATGGAACGTCCCTGAGAAAGAGAATGCGCACCTAGGGGTAGGTCTCTGAACTGGCCCCCCCGGGGCGTACCTGTCTCTTATGGTCGAGATTGCAGAGGTGAAATAAACTCCAGTCTCCCATAGCGCTCCCAGGCTTATTAGGAAGAAGAAATTCCCGCCTAATAAACTTTGGTCAGACCGGTTGATCTCAAAACCCTGTCTCCTGATAAGATGTTATCAATGACAATGATGCCCGAAACTTCATTAGCAATTTTAATTTCGCCTCCATCCTGTGGTCCTGTGATCTGGCCCTGCCTCCACTTGCCTTGTGATATTCTATTACCTTGTTAAGTACTTGATGTCTGTCACCCACACCTATTCGTATACTCCCTCCCCTTTTGAAACTCCCTAATAAAAACTTGCTGGTTTTTGTGGCTTGTGGGGCATCACAGATCCTACCAATGTGTGATGTCTCCCCCGGACGCCCAGCTTTAAAATTTCTCTCTTTTGTACCCTGTCCTTTTATTTCTCAAGTCAGTCGACGCTTAGGAAAATAGAAAAGAACCTACATGATTATCGGGGCAGGTCCCCCGATACAAAAGAAACAATCAATAGAGTGAAGAAACAACTTACAGAATGGGAAAAACTATTTGTAAACTATGCACTGGACAAGGGATTAATATCAAGAATATGTAAGGAACTCAACTCAAAAGCAAACGAAAAAATCAAATAATCTGATTTAAAAATGGGCAAAAGTTCTGAATAGACATTTCTCAAAATAAGACATACAAGTGGCCAACAGGTATAAGAGAAATGCTCAGCATCACTATCAGAAAAATGCAATTCAAAACCACATTGAGGTACCACCTCACAACTCTTAGGATGGCTATTATCAAAAAGACAAAATAAAGATGCTGCAAGGAGAGAGAGAAAGAGGAACTCTTATACACTGTTGGTAGAAATTTAAATTAGTGCAGCAATTATGGACAACAGTATGGAGGTTCCTCAAAAAATTAAAAATAGAACTACAATATGATCACACAATTCCACTACTGGGTATAAGAAAATGAAATTAACATGTCAAATATATATGTGTACCCCCATGTTTATTATATCACTATTTACAAATTGCCAAGATATGGAATCAACCTAAGTGTCCATCAACAAATGAATGGATTAAAAAATCCACATACACAATGGAATACTATTCAGTCACAAAAGAATGAAATCCTGTCATCTGTGACAAGATGGATGAACCTAGAGAACATTATGTTAAGTGAAATAAGCCAAGTAGAAAAGGACAAATAGCATATTATCCCATTTGTATGTGGAATCTGAAAATGTTAATCTCATGGAAGTAGAGAGTAGAATAGTGGATACTAGAGGATAGGCAGGGTATGGGGGAGGGGCAATGAGAAAAGGTTGGTCAACAGGTACAAAATTATAGTTGTATAGGTGGAATAATTCTAGTATTCTATTGCCCAGTAGAGTGACTATAGTTAAGAACAGTGTATATTTCAAAACAGCTAGAAGACGGAATTTTGAATATTCTCACCACAAAGAAATGACCAGTGGCTTGAAGAAATGGATATGTTAATTACTCTGATTTGATCATTGTACAATGTGTACATGCATTGAAACAGCACATTTTACCCCATAAATATGTACAATTAACATGTGTCAATTAAAAATGAAATATAACCTTAAAAATTTACCGCGGTGGCTCATGCCTATAATCCCAGCACCTTGGGAGACTGAGGCAGGCGGATCTCAAGGTCAGGAGTTCGAGACCAGCCTGGCCAACATGGTAAAACCCCGTGTCTACTAAAACTACAAAAATTAGCCAGGCGTGGTGGCAGGCGCCTGTAATCCCAGTTACCCAGGAGGCTGAGGCAGGAGAATTGCTTGAACCCAGGAGGTGGAGGTTGCACTGGGCTGAGACTGTGCCATTGCACTCCAGCCTGGGCAACAGAGTGAGACTCCATCTCAAAAAAAAAAAAAAAAAAAAAAACTTTTAATCTTATAAATAGCCCAATTACCTGTCACTCATAATAAAAGTTATATTTAGAGACAATTCAAGCATATATGTTTTTGAGAATAAGATATATATCTAGTACTTTCAGTAATAAAACATTGTCATCACCTAATAATAATAATAATCACTAATTATGGAGATTACAATTAACTCAAATACTGGACAATAACAGTATGTAAGGCTGGAGGGGGTAATGGGAGGAAAACTGTTGTAAGATCTATGTATTGTTTGGTGTTAAGGGGTTAAAGATACTAATTATGTTTAGAATTATTTGATAAGTATACATGATGATACTTTAAGGTGAATCATTTATACAGAACTAAGGGTATAATTTTCAAACAAGTAGAAGGGACGAAATGATTTTTTTAAACAGTCAATCCAAAAGAAAGCAAAAGAAAAAAAAAGAGAGAGAAATAGGCATAGAAAAGTAGGACAATAGAAGGTTTAAAATAAGATGGTAAAAATTTATCCAAATTGATCAGTAATCACAATAAAAGTACACAATGTAATGAAACAAAGTATTTTAGGAATACAAAGTAATTATAAGAAACATGCATGTTGTCCTCAGTTATTTATTCTAGACTTGTCGTTGACCTGTTTATGTCTCATTTTGGATTGTTTTCTGACTCACTGACTTATCAGAGTACAGAGCTCAGTAAGTTTGTCTCCTGCTGTGTGAGGAAGGTTTGCTTTTCATTTATCCTAAAATGACCTTTTGAGACTCAAGAGATATCCACTGAGGACTAGTACTCTGGGGGTTGAAAATAATTGTTTGATTCCCCTTTTCAACTGCTTCATGATTCCATAGACATCAATCTTACTGCCTCTCAGCTTTCCCCTTATGTATGTGTTCTGTCCGGAGAGTTAGATGCCCACTCCAACTCCATCTCATTTTGGGAACCAGGGAAATAACTCAGATGTTGAATCTTTGAGTAATATTCAAGTTCAGAAAATGAAGCCTCATAAATCTCAGAAACAAATATGTCAATTACAGAGACGATTTCAGCCACCAAATAAATAAATAAAACACAATTAGTCAGACTGGTTTCTTATATAATTTCTTCTAGAAAGGTGTTTTCTTTTCTTTTTTTTTTTGAGACAACATCTTGCTCTGTCACCCAGGCTGGAATACATTGGTGAGATCTGAGCTCACTGTAACCTCCACCTCCCAGGTTCAAGTGATTCTTGTGCCTCAGCCTCCTGAGTAGCTGGGACTACACGCACACGCCACCACGCCTGGCTAATTTTTTGTATTTTTAGTAGAGATGGGGTTTCCCCATGTTGCCCAAGCTGTTCTCGAACTCCTGACCCCAGGTGATCCACTTGCCTCCGCCTCCCAAAGTGACACGATTAAAAGTGTGAGCCACCGCATCCGGCCCCACTCCTCTTTGATCTAAGAAATCACTAAGGAAATTTTTAAAGATACTTTTTGTTGGTTCTGTATGGTAATAACGAAAATATTCTAGGTTAAAAAATACTGTATTTAGGCCAGTATATTATTATACATTTTAGTGTGAAAATTATTTCTAACAAAATGTTTAACTATAATCATAATTTAATAAATAAGTGATGATAATTAGCTTGTGTAAAATTAGCATAAAATCAACCTATAAATTCCTAAATGATATACTGTTTTCAGTTTTGGAAACCAGTTGTTTATACCAAGGAAAGTTGAACTGTTGCTAAATACTAAAGATTAAATGAGATAAAGGATAGAAAAGTGGTTGTCCAAACATTAAGTGCTATCAAATGAAGATGGTTAATATAATTATGTTTATTAAAGAGGTACATAAACATTGTTGAGCAGAAATTGATGGCTCTGGAAATAGGACATATATAATAAGAACATGGGAAACAAAGCTTCATTAACCAGTTGGATCATCACCACCACCACTATCAAATATCATTTTGTAACAGTGTAGTTCCAGAATACATGTTCCCCTCAGAAACCCCGAAATTTCAGCAGCTTGCAGAGTAAGACCTCAACTCAGCTAATGCTCTATTGGCAACACAATATCTTCTAATACTCTTTCATGTTCAAGTGCTATAATTTGCATTTTAAAAAGTCTGTACCTGCTTTTACTGCAGTAAATACAACACAAAAGTCTACCATACCTTTATAGGAGCCTTTATTTACCTAGCATTAGTTATCCTTGATAAATTCGAACATGTTCTTAGAAGAGATAGGTTTTTAGTTGCAACTCGTGTAATGAAAAGAATCAGAGACAACGCAGGATACTGATTGTGTCATGGAAGTGTCACCATTCTTTCTGAGAGCCACCATAAGCTGAGGCACAGCAGTAAAATGCTTGAGGGACCCTGGCTGATCCCATCATAGCTGGATGGTAGTTTGCTCTTCGATTTGTCATTTCTTGTTTTCCTACGTTTTAACGTGGTGCTTTGTTGATACCATATTGCCACTTTCTTCCTTTTCAATTTCCCTCACCCATTTCATATACCATTGTCCTCTTTTATGAGAAATTCCTTTTCTGAGAACCCGGCTTATAATCACCTTCCCATTTCTATGCCTCCTTTCTGACATGTAAAATACCTACTATCAGTTCACCCTCATTCATTTCTGCAGTTTCTCCTTTTTGCCTTAGATGCTCATTTTCTATGCCATCTCCCATTCTCATTTATATGGGATTTCCCTTTCTCTTTCACTAAATGTGGCTTTCATTTATTTCAATGACCTTAAGAAGCCCTTTATCCTGACGTTTCTATGATTGTGAGCTGTTTATTCCATTTTTAATATAAATAATTTTGAAAGTTTAGCAGGGAGCCTTTTTTCATCTCAGGCAGTTAACTGCTTTTTTTTTTTTTTTTTTTTTTTGGCTAAGGTTTAAAAGAACCTCATTTTGCCAGAGTGTTTTGAAAATAGTCATCCCAAATAATACAGGAAAACATCCTAGTTCAAGAATTTGTTGGAGAATGCAAGCTTGAGCCAAAAAAAGAATTGTTATCATGTGTAGATTCAATATAGAACCTACTGGCTTTGCAAAAAAAAATTTAATATTTTCTAGTTAACAATGGTTCCAATTTTATCCAAAGCACCATTATTACTGAGTATACTTATATTTGACCAAATATTGCTTCTATGGCTCTTGCAATTGAAGATGCCATCAATCATGGCACTATCCACAGATGTAACACAAAAGCTTTGTCACTGAAATACTATTTATTTCATGGTCTTACTTCAAGTTCTCTGATAATTTTATGTGTTGTTTTTCAAAAATATTCAGACATCATTTTCTTCACATTGGATGAACTTTTGTCACTGACAATTCTGGGTAATGATAAACCTTTACTGTAGACTTAAGGTTCACCTTTAAGAAAGCTTTGAATCATTCAGAAAGTGTTCAATATGCTATTGAGCCCTATGAAGGTAGTCATTGAGAATCATCATTTTCTACTCACAATCTGATTCTCTCAGAGAAATTGTGCCAGTGCCTTGATAGATTCAGTTAAATTCATATAATAGCTTTTACTTGATGGTAAATATATATAAACCACATGATATTATAACCCAAACAAATCCCAATTGAGGGACATTCTACAAAATGTCAAACCAGCACTCCTCAAAACTGTCAAGGTTATGGAAAGCTAAGAAGGTCTGAAAAACTGTCACAGCCAAGAGAAGCCTAAGGATGCTGGACAATTAATTGTTATCCTGGATGGGATTCTGGAACACAGAAAGGATATTAGGTGAAAACAAAGGAAATCAAAATAAAATACAAACCTTAGTTAATGATGTATTAATCGGTTCATTAATTGTGACAAATACACCATTTTGACTTAAAATGTTAATAATAGGAGAAAGTGGTTGTGGAGTATATGGAAACTCTCTGTACTATCTGCAGTTTTTCTGTAAATCTAAAAACTGTTCTAAATTTTGTAAAGAAAAAAAGTTTACTAAAAAAATAGTGTCAAGCAAACAATCAAAATAACTAGGCACCAAAAGAAACTGATAACATGAAAAATAGACAGCATAAACAACAGATAAAAGAGGAGATCCAAAAATCATAGAAAGTAAGACTAAAAGCAATGTCTATAACACAAATATCCTTAATATTTTCATGTAGATAAAAGCTGAGCTTGACTGAGCTTGAAAATGTTAGCAAGAAACTTGACACTATAAAAATAGCATGCCAGAACCAAATGGAAAACCTAGAAATGATTAGTTCATTAACCAAATTCAGGAATGCAATGAATGGGCTGAACAGCTGAAATTCATGAAATGGAAAATAGTTCATATTTTAAAAAACTTATCCAAGATGAGACAAATAGAAAGGAATAATGAAAAGTAAGTAAAGGCAAGTGATAGAAAGAAAGGATACTGTAAGAAAATCTAACATATGTATAACCTGAATTGCAGAAAGCTAAGAAAAATGAAACAGGAAGGGTATTTGGGGAAATAAAAACTGCAAACTTTCCAAAACTGATGACAGATATCTAATCTATACATTTGGGGATCCCAAAGGATAAAAAAAATCCACAACAAGACACATAATGATAAACTGAACATAAACAATGAATAAAAGAAAATCTTTAAAGCAGCAAGAAACAGCAAGAAGAAAAAAGTTCTTTCAAAGGAGAAACACTTAGACAATAATAGCATATATGTCAGGAACAGGGAAAATAGAGTTAAACTGTTCTGAGATCTTTGAGTTTTCAGAGGAGAGTTAAACTACCAATTAATTCAGGCTTTAGTAAGTTAAGGATGAGGTAATTTCTAGGCTAATTACCAACAGAATAACAAAATAAAAAATAAATACCTGTGGGAAAATAGAGATAAAAATCAATCAACCCAAAAAAAAGTTTAAAAAGGAAAGAAAATTGAGAAAGAAGAGAAAAAACAAAAAAAAGCACATAGGAAGATAGTAGATTTAAACACAAATACATCAGTTATTACATTGCATGTTAATAAACTCGGCATTCCAATTGAAAGAAAAAGATTCACAGGCTGAATTTCCAAAAAAACGAATATGCTGTGTGCAAGAGACATATAAAAACCATAAGGATACAGAATTGTTGAAAGTAAAATGATTGGAAAAGATATACTATTCCAGTAATAGCCAATAGAAACTGGATGTGCCTTTATTAATATCAAATATAATAGATGTTTATACAAAAATATCATTAAACAATAAGTGATATGACAATTCTAAACTTATTTATACTGTAAAACTTGGCCTTTAATATGCAAAGCAAAAGTGACAGAACGCAAGCAATTCATACATACACAAAACAGAAATCCAAATGGCCAGTAAACATTTTTAAAATGCTTAACTTCAATGACAACCAAATAAATTAAGATTATAATGAAATACTGCTACACACCCACAAGAAGACCAAAACTTTTAGTTTTTTAAGATTGAAAATAAAGAGTGTTGATAAAGATGAGGAGCAAGTGAAAATCTTATACATTGCTGGTAGGGCTGTAAATTGGTACAATCGCTTTGAAAACTCATTTGGCACTATATTAAATTTTAACATTAAAGTATATCTCATGATCATGTTGTCCTATTTTATTATCCAAACAAAGACATTTTTGAGAGTGAAATGGGACACTATAAATAATTACACCAGGACAATAGGTAACAACCAGGACTGAATCAAGCAAACCAGGATATAATGCCTCCCTACTATGACCCCACAATTCTCACTCTTATCTCCAACACAAATGCATGTGTTTATATACCAGGAGCAATACTGATAATAGCTGAAAATTGGATTGAACCCCAATGTCTGTCTACAGAAGGAAATGTGGTATATTCACAGAGGGAGAGAGAGAGAAAGAGAGAGAACAAACAATATAGATGATATCTCATAAACATAATATTGAGCAAAAGCCAGACACAAAAGGATACATACTATAGAACTGCATTCATATAAAATTCAAAAAAGACAACAATATGGAGTTTGAGAATATAAACAAATGATAAAACTATAAATAAAATTAAGGAAGTAACAATTATACATGTTAGAAGAACTTCTAGCATTAAAAATGTTAGAAGATAACTTCTAACATGTATAATTGTTACTTCCTTAATTTTAGGGAAGGTAAGGAGGAATGAGTACTTTCAAGAGAGTGTAGGGGTTCTTCTTCAATCACTTCATCTATGCTGTATGGTGGTTATATGTGAGTGTTCACATTGTAAAAATTCATGAGCGCTATATTTATTTTCTTTGCTCTTCTGTATGTTTACTATGTCTTTCAACAAAAAAAAAAGTTTTTTTAAAAGAGAATACCAGATACTAACCAAGGAAGTACTAACTAGTAATGTACAGAGGGAGCCAGGGGCTGGCACTGCAATATGTAGTATTCAAGCTGAACAAAGAAGGCTTTTTGAACAACAATATCTCAGCTCTACTTTTGCTTAAAAGAGAAGTTGCAAAACAAAAGCATTTGTAAGACAAGAACACCGCTAGAAAAAAAGAAAAAAGAACCCTACTAGAAAGAAAGAAACCTTGTGAAGCTCAGTTCAATATTACACTGGAGCACTGAGAATCCCCTTTTCCAAGGTTCTTTACCAAACAAAAATATTAAAGAATCCTATTTATAATATAACCTGACCCTTCAGAATGGAACCCCACAGCCATGCTAGAATGAGACATAGGTGTGCTTTTCCCATCTTTCTGAATAAACGGTATTATACCTTAATATTTTCAGTTGTGTCGCTAAATCTAAATAAACCAAAGGAATGCAAAAAAAATGGGACTATTTCTCTTATATATCTCCCCCTCCATCAGGCTCAGACAAACCTCTGAAAGTGTTCCAAGAGATGGTCCTATCAACCTGTCATTTGCTGAGTAAATAGAACAGATTTGACCTAGGTCTTGATTTTATGAGTTTTATTTGTCTGTTTTCAGCAGGAGGTAAAATGTGCCAAGTTGTTACTTCATTTTCACTCTAAGGTTTAAACACAAATAACCATTCATCTAAGTGCTGGACTGCACAGTACAGAACCACTTAAATCCCAGGAACATGTCACTTGTGCTAATGGCTTCCGCTAGTCTATGAGGAAATGTTACTTGCATCTTGCTGACCACTTTGGATTGATTAAGGCAAGGAGAAATAAAGAGATCTCAAAGGAAAATTCACCCCCTGTCTTAAATGCATGGAATCAGCATGTCGAGGAGTTTAGAAACACATTTCATGAGGGAATCTTCAAAGCCTGCAAGGGACAAATCCCCCATTAAAAATTAAATTTGCACTCTCAAGGACTCAGTCAAGAAATATTTTTGCTACAAACGACATAAGTAGGACAAATGATAATGTCTGGATAAATATCATAGAGTAAATAATACTATGTCAGTATTTTTTATTTTAATAATTGCACTGTGATTATGTAAGAGATTGCTCTTGATTTTATGAAACTCACACTGAAGTTTTAGTGGTAAATGGATGTCATATTTGCAACTGGCTCTCAAGTAGTTTAGGAACAAAAAGCTTATTCAAATCTGTATCTGTAGAAAGAGAAAGAATACGAGAGAAAAGGAATGTGGTAAAATATTAACATTCAGAAAAGCTGAATGAAAGCTATATGGGAATATTTGTACTATTTTTGCAACTTTTCTATAAACTCTGAAATTATTTCAAAATAAAACATTAAAAGTCAACGAACTCATGGGTTAAAGTCTAGAATTAGGAATCATTATGTAACTCTTTGATAAGAGGAACATATGCAGGCTCAGACAATAATAAACTATCACTGTGGACAAAGCACTTGATTTTCCTGAATCTCAGTCACAGCATCTTTAATGAAAATGAGCTGATTAGATAGTGTTTGAGCACAATTCCAATTCTAAAATGTTATGGTTCAAGGTTTTATTATTTGTCCCTCATCCTCTCCTCCTTTTCAACTGTCTAATAACCTCTCTCAAGGAATTATAGAAATAATGACAGCAGTTAACATTTAGTGAGTATGAATTCTATTGTAGGTAACTTTCTAATTTATACATTATACATAATGTATACATATAATTTATACATTATATATAATGTATACATATAATTTATACATTATATATAATGTATACATATAATTTATACATTATATATAATGTATACATATAATTTATACATTATATATAGTATATATACATTTATATACATATACATAATTATATACATTTATATACATTTTATATATGTGTATAAATTAGAAAGATTATATATATATAATCTCATTTGATCTTCACAACAAACAGATTTGTAGGAACTGTTATCATTCTCATTTTGTAGAGGAAACTGGGGCATAGAGACACATCAAAATATACCTCAGGTGATACAATTGGTAAGTGGACTGAGCTGGGCCAAGAGCTTATGCTCACATTCTTTATACCAGAGGTCATAAAACTTTTTCCGTAAGTGGCCAGATGGTAAATATTTTAGGCTTTGCATACCACATAGGTTTCTGTCACATGTTCTTCTTTGTTTTGTTTGTATAACTCTTTATAAATAGGAAAAAAAATTCTTAGCTCAGAAATTGGGCCAGATTTAGCATACAAGATGACTGTTACCCATACCTGAACCTTGAATGGGGACTGATCAGTCACCAAATGACATAACTGGAAAGAGACCCGAGTGATTAACTCATCTAACTGTATTATATAGATGAGGCACTAAGATATCAAGTTATTTGCCCAAGTCCATGTTGGTCATTAGAGCCTGATCAAAGATTAAAACCCTAGTCTTCTGACTCCTCATTCAGTGCACTTGCAGTCACAGAACAATCAATTCTAGATGCATACTGGAAAAACCTAAAGTATGCTATTAACTTATATTTTCATTTATGGCCACAAGCAACTGATGATCGACTTTAAATCAAGCTGGAAAGCAAGACCTACATAAAAGTTTTCAATGACAACGAATATTACATAATTAAGTACTTAGCTATTGAAATTGATTCAAATCAACTCAATATTTTTGAGGAACTGCCATGTGTCTAATACTGTGTGAGAACAAAAAGAACTAAGTGAACTCTGCCTTTAAAAGAAAGCCTTCTGGAGAAACACAAAATTGTGAGCAAAAGACAAGAAATCAAGATAAGGAAATAATCAATGAGGGCTGCAGCTATACCAGGAGTTTCTGTGAGAAATAGATCTGCAGATAGAGCTTGAAGAAATGGGGTAAGCCCTTTGGAGAAGTCTTCTGCTTTGCAGTTGCATGGACTTCAACTGAGCAAACATCAAACAAAGACTAAGTGAGAACAAAAGTTATGGGACATGGTGATTAAAAAGGCATTGCATCTGTGCTCAAAGACCTTAAAATCTGATGAAGACCACACAATTTCACTTGTGAAATCCTTAAAGATTTGAACACGTCTCATGGTAGCTCTCCCAAGAGCTATTAACTTGACAGCTAACACAGAAGACACGGTGCTAACAAAGGAATGAAAATTGATGATTGCATAGGAAAATGGCGACTTGATTAACTAAGTTCTCAATAGTTACCTCCAGGGTAACTTCTCCCTGACTTCTCTACATGACAGTTCTCTCTGGGGC
Organism: Homo sapiens; assembly: GCF_000001405.40. Lineage (NCBI taxonomy): Eukaryota > Metazoa > Chordata > Mammalia > Primates > Hominidae > Homo > Homo sapiens. The sequence continues at coordinate 128,865,320 of NC_000023.11, forward strand.
AGGAAGAACAGTGTTCAGGTAGTAGAAAAGTCAAGTATCCAGCCCATTTGAGCTGAATCTGTTATCTTTGTCACTGTAAAATTTAATATGACACATATTTGCTGTTTTATTTGTTTACCAGTACAAACATCAGTGGAACATATTAATTTGTACCAAAGCAAACTTTGACCATCAAAGTCCATGAGCTTTCTTCAACCTTACCCTATTCAAAACTTTATCCTAAAATTATAAGGTATCATAATGTTGGCTATAAAATTGATGTGATGTCAAATTCACTTGAATATTCACCAATAGTTCATGCCTGCATATTACTGTCAAGTTCTTACAGCCTTACAGTAGTTCTTGTAAGCTATGGATATGATACCAATATTTTTACATAGTGGCACCAGGAGCTAAAATAAGACAGCTAATCTGGTGGGTAACAGAGGGAAGGGAGGAAAAAGTCTTAAGTTCTTTGAAATGACTACTATTAAAGTGTGAGAGTGAAATACAAAAATAACTAGATGACAATTAGAATATCCAGGTTTTGCTTTTGGTTATGCCACTAATAAGATATGAGATGGTGAAAAAGTAACTTCTTTGGCCTTCAATTTTTTTTTATATGAAAATGAAGGGCTGGATGAAATGACCTCTAAAGGCCCCTTTAATTTTAACTCTATCATTCAATGGATTACACATATTTTACTGTAAATATAAAAGTTTATTTTATGTATTTTAATTGATACATAATAATTTTACATATTTATGAAGTACATGTGATTTGTAATACATGCATACAATGTGTAATTATCAACTCAGGGTAACTGAGGTATTCATCACCACAAATATTTATCATTTATTTATGTTGAGAACATTTCAAATATTCTCTTCTATTTCGAAATATACAATAAATTATTCTTAACTATAATATTGTACTGTGCTATTGAACACTAGATCTTACTCCTTCTATCAAACTAACTGTTTCAATGGAAGTAAAACCAGGAGTCAAGAAAGAGCGTAAGACTGGGATTTAGAAAACTTGACAACTAGTCCTGACTCTGTTTTTCATTAGCTTTGTGACTATACACAAATAACTTAACATTTCTGGGCCTTAATCTTTTAAATTGATATTCTATGACTAGCCAGGGCCTCGATATGGTATCCATATCCATTCCTACCCTTTTTCCAGACAGTATCTTTTGAATGAGACTTGCATTCTCTCTCCTCTACATTTTGTCTAAACTTAATCACCCAGCATCTCTTTCACTCAAGTCATATTTCCTATAATAGAATAAACTTAATCTTACCATTATGAGAATGTGGGTTACTGAGACAAAGTTGTTCTGTTTCAGTTGGATCTTTCTCTATATTCTTAATGATAATGTTAACATAATAACCTTAAATTGTCACATACTTTGAAATATCACATTTAATCCCCCACAAAATTCTATTAGGCAAATATTACTATTATTTATTTTATATGTGAGAAAATGACTAAATGTGAGTGCAATGACTAAACTCACCCAGCTATTAAATGGTGGAACAAGGATCTGAAACCAAGTCTGTCTGACTCTAACCTTCTTAAGCAGTTGTGTTTGTAGATTCAGAGCAAGTTGGTGACAGAAAGGTAATAGAACATGTCAAAAGGGACAGGTTCTCCGGAAACCCCAGGCACATCAGAAGTAGCTCCAGTTTATTTCCCTTAAGAAAACATCAATAATGATTCTAGAACTTAGGCCTGAGCAGTTACTTTGTCACCCATGCCTCCAGTCTGTATTTTCCAATCAATATGGCAGCTTCAACAACACTGGATATCCCTAGTCTAACACAAAGCAGTGATGGATCATGATGGCCTTCAGAAATAGAGTGAACTAGGTCACATAATAGAACATCCATCAATTAAAATAGGAGGTTCTAGCCAGTGCAGCATTTGGAAATTAAAGAAAACCACTGAGCATGTGGTGAGAGGTACTTGATCATTCCCATCTAATGTACACATTTAATCATCTTCCCAGGTGGGCCATACACAGTGGACACAGTAGAGAGGGTCTTCTTGTTTGCAGAGGAACATCGTACCCTGTGGTACCGCTCTTCATCAAAGCAGTCACTGCCAGACATCTGTTACCTCTAAAGCCCTCAGGACCTGCTCCTGAACATCTGTTAATAAGGAATTCATCTTAATTGATTACTTGCTTGTTTAAATAAACATGTAACACCTAAAATTGCAAGTACCATTCTCAGTTTATCACTTTCATGATACATTGGAAAATATACTGAGCTAGAAATCAGAAAGCTTCAGTTCTCTCTAGCTATGCTGTAAACTGCCTGGGTAACCTTGGGTAAGTTATTCTCTCTGAGTCTCAGTTTCCTCTTCCGAAAGAGAAAAGAGATTCAACATCTTCCAAAATTCTTGGAAAGGCTTCTCCATTATTTTATAGATGTATGTCCTTCCCTTACTCTAGAACCCTGCCCCCTATGGACGAAATAAATGCAAACTTGACATTCAAGCCTCTATATGAGATTCACATGTACTCTATAAATATGTACAACTATTATGTATCAATTTAAAACAAATTAAAAGCTAAATCTAAAAAAAATCTCAAGCTTCTATATGATTCAACCTAACCTTGCTTGTCCATTTTCCAAGTTTTCCATCTCCCGTATTTTCTTTAAAACACATTGGCTGCAAGACATCTGTCAAGCCAGATACTCTGCTTTCTTCACACATGTGTTATTTCCATGGCCATACCTTCATTTAGTCCCTTTTCCCAGCCTAAAATGTCTGATATCCTCCAAAACCTGTCCCATCCTTTAAGATCCAGCTCATTATTATATTCTCAAGGAGGCTTCCCTTCAGGGGAGAAAAAAGGGAAAACATAATAGTTAAATGATCCCTAGTGCAGAATGTATTAAGAACCCTATATCTACATAATGAGTTGTTTGTAACTCAACCTTCTGAGAGCCTATGGTAAAAAGTAAACAAATTATAATTGTAGACACATTCTATATGGCGATACCCTGATCTCACAAAGTTTCCTAAAGACTAATATACTTTTAAAATATGAGATGACTAATCTTGAAATCCTCTTCAATTTTATACATCTATAAGAATACTAGGTTGCAGTTATAATATTATATTCTCCTTAGACCTTGGATATCATAAAATATCAGAGTTATAAGGATTTCTAGAGGTCATCAGGTCAATGTTCCCACTTAATTTGGGAGCTTCTTGATATATAACCTTCTGATCTCTGCTTCATGTCTCCTTAAACAGATGCAGGGACAGGAAACTCATTACTTCACAAGACAGCTCACAAAACACCTATGATTTATTCAGTTTATTAGTTCATCCAATATATAATTATTGAGAACCTACTATGTACCAGTACTGTTTACCATAAGACAAAGACACAGTGGTAAACAAGACAAACAAGGTCTTTACTCTCATGGAGCTTTCATTCTATTTGTAAGGAAATAAATAACAAGCAAGTAAATAAGTATAAAAATAAGACAATTTCAGATAGTGATAGGTATAGTAAAGTAATAAGATTATGAGATAAAGAATAACAAACAGTGGGAGGTGTAGGGGCTAATTTTATTATTTATTTATTTATTTATTGACATGGAATCTCACTGTTTCGCCCAGGCTGGAGTGCAGTGGCAGGATCTCAGCTCACTGCAACCTCCGCCTCCTGGGTTCAAGTGACCCTCCCACCTCAGCCTCCCAAGTAGCTGGGATTACAGGCGTGTGCCACCATGCCCAGTTAATTTTTGTATTTTTAGTAGAGACGGGGTTTTGCCATGTTGGCCAGGGTGGTCTCAAACTCCTGACCTCAAATGATCCACCCGCCTTGGCCTCCCAAAGTGCTGGGATTACAGGCATGAGCCACCATGCCCGGGTGAGGCTAATTTGGGATTGATGGGTTAGGAAAGACTTTTCTGAGGAGGCAGCATTTGAACTGAGACATGAAAAACTAAAAGGAGCTAACTATGCAAACATTTTGGGAAAGAGTGTTCCATGAAAGAAAAGGGAACAATAAATACAAAAGCCCTGAAATAGAAGTGGGCCTGATATGCACAAAGAACAGCAAGGGGGCCAATGTGGCTGGACTATAGTGAGCAAGGGGAAGTGGCAGAAATGAGGTGAGAGAAACAGACAAGCCAATCATGTTGGGCCTTGTAGGTCATAGTTAAGAACTTGTTTTTTATTCTCAAGGCAATGGAAAATTCTGCCTTCTGGGATGATATATACCAATGCTATCCCTCTTCCATGTGACAGCTCTTTACATATTTGAAGACACTGCTTATACCACCCTTAAGTATTCTCTTCTGCAGTCCGAAAATCACCAGATTCTCCAACAATTTCTCTTAGATTGTTTTCATTCTTCACTATTCCCATTTTCCTAGTCATGTTGGGCTACCATAACAAATTACCGTAGAATGGGTGGCTTAAACACCAAACATTTATTTCTCGCAGTTCTGGAGGCTGGAACTTCCGATCAAGGTACTTGCAGATCCAATGTCTGGTGAAGGCCTGGTTCCTGGTTTGCACAAGGCTGTCTTCTTGTTGTAGCCTCACATGGCAGAGAGTGAGATTATCTCTCATATGCCTCTTTTTATAAGGGTACTAACCCCATTCATGAGGGATTTACTCTCGTGACCTGATTACCTCCCAAATGTCCCATTTCCAAACACCATCACGGTAGAGATTTAGATATCAATACATGAATTTGTGGAAGAGAACACAAATATTCAGTCAATAGCATCCATTGTGTACTTCTGGTCATGCTCCAGTTTGCTATGTCCTTCCTAAACTGGATAGTGACATATATTCGATGAAAAATAAACATTAGCTAAAGGAATTAATAAACAACATATCACACTCAATGAAAAACACAATAGGATCATTTCTTTCATTGAACTGGATATTATGGTTCTACTATTATAACCCAAATAGCATTTGTTTAAAAGTCCCAAACTTCATTTATCAAGGCATCAGCAGCCTGTATTATGTATGTCAAAGATGCCATGGAAGCTGATTTTCACTAGTATATGGAACAGCAACCATATCTGTGGACTCTCATCACTTTTGCTTCAAAAGATGTTATCCTTCATTTGGGGCTTGGTCACATAACTTCTTTCCATAATTAAATGTTAGCAAATATGACATAAGCAGAGTGTTTGTTTGAATATTCTTACTCTATGAGACCTCTACCATTACCATATGGACATACCCCTGTTAACCTGCTAGGGAGATGCAAGAGAATGTGGAGAAGAGCTGAGTCATCAGATGCACTAGTAAGACCAGACAAGACCAAAAGAACTGCTTGGCCAACTCATTGACTAACAAGCAATAATATATAGTTGTTTAAAGTCACTAATTTGTAAGATAGTTTATTATGCAGCAATAACTTGCTGACTCAAAGAGCCATCAGTTTATGGTGTTCAACCATAAATCCCCTTCCCCCAACACATATATGCACATACATACATGAACTGGCCAGACAGTTCAAACCTTGGTGCATCAGTTTTAGAAGGCTTTAGACAGTTATTCTAAAACATCACAGGTACAATGGGGTTTTGTGTCTATTATAATATTGTTCATATTCATTTAGCTACCTAAATATCACAACCTCTCTTGGATTCAACTGAACCCTTATTCTGCACAGCACAGAAACTTGCATAGCATGCAAAATGCCAGCTCAATCAAAATCAAAGCAAACGTTACATATGCAATGTCTACACCTGCTTAAAATGTGTTTTTCCTCTATTTTCCCTCAGAACTATATGAAATTATGGGCCAACTGCAGAGCAAAAATGATTTCTTGGTAGATCTGGATTTCCTATTATGTCTAATGTAATAGAAAGGATATTACCACTCTGCTTAATCTTCCTGCAGTTGACTTGCTGTGAATTGCTATAGTAAAGTAAAAGAAAATCATTATTAGGGTTCAAAAATACAAGTTGGTTTAAATAAAGCTTACATTTATCTGCAGGCATTACACACCTAAAATCTCATTTACAATTCCAAATAATTGGTCAGGGCTTATTAGCCATTTCTGTATTTGGATTTACACAGTTTAATATATTTTTCTTTTAGTTGTTTATGTATTTTGTCTCATTGGGTGGGAAAGTAATTTAGGACAAATTAAATATAATATTTTTGCCAGAAATGTGTCTGGATTGCAATAACTGACTTTTTAAAATCTGTATGTTACAAGAAAACCAAATACCTCCATCTTGAAAGTTCTTTCTGGCTATAAAAATTTGAATGTGCCATACAGAAATAAAGACAGGTGTTCTTAAACATCTTGGGGAATAGTATATGCATTTTAAAATCTAGGATCTTAGGATCACATAGAGCGTCAGGAGTATGATGCTAAGAGAGGCTCTTGAGAAGGGCTTAGAAGTTAATAAATCATTAATTAAAACAAAAATATAGAGTGTGGAAGCGGGTACCTAGGCTCATTTTAGAGCTCTCCTGCCACAGATTGATGAATGCTGGAAAAACTTCAGACAAGAGGATACAGTAAAGATGAGAACATAATTCTACTTACCATTCTGTCAGGCATAATGACTAGGCTGGTTCCCTAAGCATTACCCTACACTTCTTGCAAGCTCAGTCCTAGAACCCAAGTTATTCCTAATCAGGCAAGATTTAAGAACCCTAGTTTAGTACTCAAGTGTCCCATAATTAAACCACCTTTACTTCTAGTCATGTTCTGAGCACATGCCCCATTCTAGTAACTGAACTTTGTGCTAAACTTCTCTAGCCTTAGTTTTCTCACTCCCTCCAAAAATGAGATGGTGTGAGACTTAAATGAGATAATGCAAGTATTTAACACATAGTGAGCATTTGATAAAAGTCACTTGCTGCTACCTTATTCATATTATCAATGTTGTGCTGGTAAACTGACTTTCCAGAGGGGAAAAGAGGTCTGATCTATAATATTTTCTCATTCCCATGGTGCAAATACTCCTACCATAGCTGATAGCAAACAATCAACATGAAGTCACTGAAGGTAAAGTTAGGAAGAGAAGTATACGCAGTCAGCTCTCACAAGCCAGTATGCACCAGCTCCACCAGATCACTGCATGACCAAAACTCTACCTTGTAACCCACTTCAAGTAATTGCCCCTATTGCTTCCTTCTGTATCTTAATACTAATAATTCTAATACTTTGGACCTATTTTGCTCTCAAACTAAAGTCCCATTCCTTATACCCAGAAGTAACCCCAGAACTGACCCAGAGCATGTTATCATCCCTCTCTGATCTGACAATGTCATCAGTTCTCTCATCTGAAAATCTCTTTGCTCACCTGAGTCTTGGAATACCACCTACACCCAGAATTTGTATCATCAAGTAACATTTGCCTGACACACCATTCTGTTCTTGAGGGACTTCTCTAATTAAATTCATCTTCTTGAGCTGTCATCATCTTCTAATTATGGGATGGTTAAAGTTCTGTCTGGGGCCAGAGACAGGGCCTATTGAAATAGAGGTACAGTTTGTGAGCAAGAACCAAAGAGCTCACTCATCCATGGAAATAAAATTTATGCCTTTGGTCTAGCTAGCACTTTATTTTCTCTATCTGGATACCAAACCCTAATTCTATGTACTAGTGGTTGAGTAGGGCCACCATAAACATACCAGGGTTTTCAGGATGCTATAGACACATTTAATGAGTAACTCGCAACATACAATCCTACCCAAACCATGAACTCTGGAGTTGGTCCATCATATAGAATAAGTAAGTTCTAATACTTTGCTCATAGTCTCATATGGCTATTGGGTATGCTACTTGGTAGCTGGCAAAGCTGGCAGCAAATGGAAGCAATTATCTATGCAAGTGAGCATGTGATCCAATTATGTGTATAATTATGATGCAGCATTAATGCTGATAATGATGATAAAGATCATCCCATAATAACTGAGCCAGAAAAGAGAAAAGGGTAATTTAATTGGAAAAACATGAAGCCACCTAGAGCATCTGTGGGGAACTGAAAGCTCTTGGCTGTTCACCTGACAGGGATGAGAGAGCAGAGAAAAGGACTATCCCAGTGAATTTTATATTTCATTAAATAGAAAGTATAAACCTCATATAGATTATAAAATAAGAAAGAATTAAGACACAGTGAAATTCATGCAGCAGGAAATGTGAATCTGATCATGCATAGTTTTGTTTTAAAATTTCCCAATATCTCAGCGTTATCTTATGCTATGAGTTTACCCCTTAACTGTAACTGTGTGGAAATGCTGAGTGATTAAGAGGCTTGTGAATTTCTTTCCCTCATGGGGATGTATGCATACATCCAGCCTGGGGCATATCTCTCAATATCCTACAATAAAAGTGATAGAGCTCACCAAGGTCTGCATAAAAAGAAGGCTCCTATAGAAACACAATGGCCAAGTCTCACCAAAATCATCCAGCTTCTCCTATATACACTACAATTTACTGTTTGCACATGTCCAATCTCCCTTTTCATTTTTCTAGCTAGCCACCTTAACCCTGAGGCTGAATCATTCTCTTGCTTCCTCATTCTTTTATCTGCCTTATCATTCATTAAATAATCATTATTGAACATCTACTATGTGGTGGGCACTAGATGTTTTGAGTTAAATATATACACACATGTGTGCATGTATGACAACATCTATATCCTCAAATCACTCACAAATCTAGCAAGACACACAGGTAAACAGCCAATCACAAAAGAATAAGAAGAGTTTTATTTTGGTGTTATCAGGAGGGTAAAATAGGAGCCCAGAAAGGAAATACTAAATCAGACTAAAAGAGTCAGAAGTTTTCTGGAGGAAATAACTTCTGAGACAAAGGACAGGTAGGAGGTAGCTAAACAAAGAAACCACAGTGAACAAAGCAAAAACCCTGTTCCCATGCATCTTCAATATAGGAAAAGACATACAATACAAATAATATTTGTGTAAGAATGCATCATTTAGTAACTAGTGTAAAAAAAGTATATCAGGGTGTAAAAACAGAGTAATGGGGTACTTTCTTTTTTCTTTTTTTTTTATTTTCGGGGTGCCACTTAAATAGGATTTTCAGAGACACCTGGATGAAATATCTGAGCAGATTTGAATGACATGAAGGAGCAAGAAGTGTGGTTATCTGAGGAAAGAAGGTTCTTGGCCCTGAGACAAGAATATGTTTAAAGAGTTAAAGGATCAACAGAAAAAGCGGTGTAGCTGAAGCTCAGTGAACAAAGAGAAGTGGAAACTTAAAACAGAAAGCAATTCAAAAAGAGATCACGTGGGACCTTGCAGACTATGACATAGAGTCTATTGTTTTGGATTTTTCTGGAACCTCAGATGTACAGAACTGAAATAATCATAATTCTTAATTCAAGTTATACTACCATTGACTTATAAATCATCCTTTTCATCTATTTATTTTAATGTCCTAATAAACATCCATGAACCCATTGTCCAACTCCCAAACTAGAATATTACCTATGTTCCTCTACTATACTATACCCTACCTCCCCCAGAGGTAACCACTGTTCTGAATTTTATATTTACCATTTTCTTCCCTTTATATTCATTTTATCACATTTATGTATTTTCCTTTCAAATGCTTTGTTTTCGAATTTTACAAAAAAAAATTGTATGCTGTCTTTCGAGTCTTGCTTTTTTCACTCAGCACTATATTACTAAGGTTCATTTATGTTGTTGCTTATAGCCGTAGATCATTCATTTTCACTTATATAATATTCCATTATGTGAACATTTCACAACAATTTACTCATTCTCTTTTTAATGGTTATTTTGGTCATTCCCAAGTTTTTGCTACTATAAGCAATTCCACCAAAAATAGTCCAGTAAATATCTCCTCAGGTAGATATGCTAAATTTTTTCTTGGAATACACCTACCATTGCTGCTAGGTGATAGAATGTGCAAATTTTCAACTTTAAAAGATAATATCAAATTGTTTTCCAAAGTAGCTACACCAAATTACATTCCCAACAACAATGTATGAGAGAGCTCACATACTACACATCCTATCTAAAACTTGGTATTGTCAAGTTCTGTAAATTTTACCTGTCAAAAAGATGTAAAATGATATCCATTGTGGTCCTGTCCCTGAGTATAAGTGAGACTGTATCTTCTCATATTTTTATTGATCATATAAGTTTCCTTCTCTCCAAAGCATCTAATTCTTTTTTCCCCCATTTTTAAATTAGGCTATTTTTCTTTGTCCTGTCAGTTTGTAGGATTTCTTTATATATTCTTTATATTAAGGCTTTTTTGATTGCATACATTACAAATTCATATTTTTCTCCCAGTATGTAGCTTGTCTTTCAACTTTGTTTATGGTATTTATTGATGACCAAAGTATTTTTAATTTTGGGAGTGAAGTCAGCAAGATAGCAGAATAGGACCTTCTGGCACTTGTCGCCTTGCAGAAATGTCAATTTGAACAACTATCCATGCATGAAAGTAGCTTCAAATAAGCTAAGGAATCCAGGTAAGGAATAACAATATCTGGCTATAGCACAGAAATAAGAAAAGGTGCATTAAGGTGGGTAGGGAAAACAATTTCACATTCCCCATTTCACCCCCTACCAAACCCAGCAACACCGTATGGAGAGAGATGCCTTCCATGTGAGGGAAGGAGAGTGAAGTGAGTACCTGACTTTGCCACGAACTCAAGCACCAGGCCCACACCAGTGAAATCCAGCCCGAGGCCAGCCCCCACAGTCCCAGTCTCAAGGCCCACTCCTGTGCCAGGTCTGCCTTTGTGGACCCAGACTTCAGTGTGATCCCACAGACACAGGATCCAAGATTCAGGGTGTAGGCCCACCCTAGTGAAATCTGGTACTGTTCCAGCTGACCCCCATGGACTCAAAATCCAAGCCTTTTGCAGCAGACGCAAGCTTCAAGCCCACCCCTGAAATAGGACATCTTGATCAATGGCATAGCTAGAGAAAAGATAGGGAGAGGCATTTTGATTTGCTTTGGTGGGAGTAGGGAAAGGAGAACAGGGAGCAAGGGTAGTTTTGTTAGGCCTAACTCTGGTCTTCCCAAGCTAAGGAGAACTTTTGTAATCAGACATCATATGTCACTCTCCACTGTAAGGAAAGTAGATGGTACAGATGCAAATAAAAGGATAATCATTTCAGAACAATTCTCCCAAGAAAAGGTAATCTCATAATGACCAAAACATTCACAATCAAGTGATAGAAAAAAATGCACAATTCTAACTGCCCCATCTATGTATATCTCTAAAAATTGCTGATTTCTAGACTCCCCATTGCAGTGACGTTATTACCTTTTCGCCTGTGGCTGAATCCCCTATACCAATTGCTCACCTGGATGCCAGTGTGTTGCCTACCACTATACTTGTTTGACACCATGCCTGTTAGACACCTGTCAGCTCTGTCTTGTTGACACTTGCTACATACCATCAGAGTCCAGTTCCATCTTTTAGACCACCTTGCCTCCCCTAGTCATAGCTGACCCTTATATATGTGACCTATAGTACCAAGGTATAAAATCCTCTTTATTATTTATAGAAATCTTATCACATTTGTCTCTCACATTTTTTTTTCAGGCAAGTGATCCTGCTCATCCTATACAGGAGAAGAATAAAAATATCTTTGTATATAAGGTGATGAACTATTTATTTTATTCAGGGAGCAATTGTGAATACATTGCTCTTTATAGTGTTCAGGACTACCACATACATTTATGCAATGAACAACATGGCCAACTGTAGAGACCCCAAATTGCCTACCAATATACCTGCATGTTAATGTCCAATGGAACTAAAAAACCTCAGAGAGATAATCATGAAAATAGTTAGCTCTAATTAGGCAAGGAATTTCAAGGGATCACTGTTAATAATAGTCAAGATGACTATGGCCCCCTGCTGTTTAAGTGAATGATATGTTTAAATATAAAGCATCAGAGTCATTAATCACAGCAGTAAATTTATTAAATAAAATTAATTATGTTTTCAATAACATAAGATTCTTAATGAAATAAACTAACTCTAGGAGGACCCCAAAACACAGCCAAATTGCAACTGAACTTATCAATATATGTGTGTGGGACCCAACTGGTCCAGGCTATAAGTGGTATGGAATTTAAAAAGTACAGTTCATGTAATACCCTTAAGAACTTCTGATTAACAGTCCCCTGAAAATACTTCTTTTTTTTCTATCCTACCCCTAGCTCATATGGCTTTTACTTCCCCTCAACTTCTCTCTCTCTCTAGTTCCTTTATCATATAGCTTGGTTTAACCTCACTTGATAATGTATTCCCCTTCTCCTCAAATCTCTTTTGTTCACTCTTTCTCTTTTGCCCACTCCATGATTATGCATCACAAAAATCTAGGAACCAGTCTAGCAAATGTAGGCTCCAAGAGGATATGGTGCTTAAGAAAAGGAAGAAAGTATCTGAAGACTCTTATGTTCATAACATTTTTCTTCATCACGCATGCAGTGCAATTCAATGTAGTTCTTAGAGAGTGACATGGAGCACTGTGCCTGCATGTAACTGCTGGACAAACTTGAGCCCAGTTAAGCTAGGGTGTTGGTAGCAGCAGCCCAAATAACTATCACTTGACCAAAGATAGCCTTGCATTTTATGTATTCTATTTGCCCCACAGTAACTTTTAAAGAAGTTGAATGATTTTGAATAAATTTTTACACTATTAAATAGTATGGAGTTATAAAATAAGGAGGTGCCAAATGGCATCAAGCATAATCAAAGCTTTATTTTGGGGGGAAAATGTTAATAACTAAACATGCTTTCAGATTTATTGCTGTAAGGAGGTAGGATCAGTTTTGATCTGGACAAATAATTCAAGTCTTGTTTTTCATTATAGAATGTCAATTTGCCAACTTTACTCCTATAGCAGAGACTACTAAATGTCCCCCAATATCCATTTTCCCTTTTTCCTTTCTTTAGTACCTCTATGCTTTGACTGGGCACATGGTGATCCAGAATTAAGACTACGTTCCTTGGACCCTCTTGCAGCTAAATATGGACATGTAACTGCACTATGGCCAAATAGATGTAAGGAAAAGTGGTGGAAATCTTATAAGAAATACCCTTTCAAAAAGGGAAGGTTGTTCTCTTCTTTTTCCCTTTCCTTGCAGTTTAGAATGAGGATGCATTGGCTAGAACTAAAGCAGACCCCGCCAGGAATAAAGAATGACCTTGAGAATGAATGGTGGACATAACTGAGCAATGAAATGGAAGGATCCTGGGTCTTGAGACTGGAGCTAATGCACAGTCTAATGACAGCTCTGTAACATCTAGCTCTGGTATCTTATATTAGTGAAAAATTAAGCTTCTTGTTGAAGCCACTCATAGGTTGTATTTTGTCACTGACAACCAGACCTAATCTTAACTAAAACAATTCCCATTAACTAAAACTTATGTATCTTGCTTCAATCAGCAATGCAAAATCTCTGCAGTTGAGTCACTTGCCAGATGGCTGAAGCTTAAATCAATAGCTATCCAATTCCTGCCAAAGGCCAAGTTAAAACAACTAATAGTTGAGAACTGAATAAAAGACATGCTATTCACCCATTCCTTGAGGTCTTCTATACAATTTACATCCACTTAAATTATCAGAAAGCAGTACAACTTGGCTGAAATTTTAGTCATCTGACAAAATGCTTTAACTGAAGTGTGATTTGATATGGTCTTTCACCTAGGAGGTGGGAAAGATCAGATAGAACTGTATATAAGACTTTATGAGAAAGTAAGAGGGTTAACTGAATTCCTTGCAGATTATTTCTATGTTGGCTGAATCAGAATTGCCTGTAAAACTGACAAGTAGTGCAAACATAATTTATTTTCCAAACAAGGACACTTTTAGGAGTGAAAGAAGATGCTATAATGCATACATCAGGAAAACAGGCATAAACTAGGACTATCCTTGGAAAATCGAGATGTATGGTCACCCTGCATAGATAGGGAAGGAATACATTTTTGGTTTTTACTAAAATACCAATGAAACTACCTTAAATTTTAATATTGTCAGCAAACTGCTGGAAACCGAAACTACCAGAAAAAGTGATCTGGTCAGTCAGCAAAGCCCAAATCAGACAGATATTTAATTACAACTATTAAATATAAGGAGATTGTTCCAAAGTTGAGAAAAGAGGTTAATATATGTATGAATTATGCAGTATCCTGATTTCAATATTTATTGTCTCCAACAAATTACATAAATTCATTTAAACATTTGCACACTCATTTGGTTGATATATGTGAACTCATTTGGAAGCTGCTTCTCCATAGTGCATAGGTGCTCATATCCATGTATGATAAAAAATAAAGAGGGGTTCCACAATTCTTAGCAGTTATATGTGTTCATGAAATAACAATTTATTCTTTTTTCTTCTTCCTTTTTTCTCTTCCTCTTCTTCTTTTCTTTTTTCCTTCTTCAGACAAGTCTAGTTTGAACTTGGCTTACTTTATACTATCAAACACTAATATGTTTATGGCAATTTATCACTTTTATCTTCACAGAATAAATACAGGCTTATCAGATATGCTGAATGGGTTATCTGACTTTAAATTTGAGCTCCATAGACTTCTGTCTCACTTTGTCTTCCTCTTATTCTCCAGTAGGGCAGAAGCTCATTGATAAGCATTAAATGCATTTTTCTGCTAATGAACCTATCGACAACAGATATGCAGTATTGTTGACTTTTATACTTTGTTATGAGCAACGCTTGATTCTATTCATGTATCTTTGGTACTCATATTCTTTAACTATAAACACACACACACACTGAGTATTCCCTATGCACCATGTTTTCAATTAGTCTATATTTAATGTAGCCTTATAGAGGCCTGTAAAACATACTAAATTGAACTCACAATTGAAAACACCACTAGTTTATTTAGCATCATTTAGCCAGTATTGACGCTGGGTGCTAACCCAGTTGATAGCTTAAATCTTACTGTTTGGAAATGAGAGGACTTTACAGAGCACAGGCTCCAGATCAACATAAAGAGAATTTAATGGAAAGTATTTCCAGATGCTTTAACTTTAAAATGCTCTCCCATCAACCCCAGCCTGTCAAGTAGTTAATGATCATAAACAAATGCTTGAATGCACTAGAAAAATTGCTATTTAAAGCAAAATTACAGTCAATCTTCTGGTAGAGCAAAATTTTTTCTTGAAATGAGAATAATCATCCCCTAATTCATATGTTTTGAAAAAGTTTTTCATATATGGTTTCTGAAAGCTTCACCCATCCTTCAATTCAGGTCAACAGGTATTTACTAAGTGCTTAGAATAAGCATTCCTCTCTTTTACCAGGGTTGGCAGAATAAATTGGCCCACTTTGGGTCAGATGCCGATTCCTCACACAATTCACTGTGGAGAAGAGGTGGGATCATATTGTACTAGCATAGCGACTCTTGTGGAAATCATGTGGATTTTGGGTAAGGTATGGAAAAGAATGGATCCTGAAAAAGGGAATGTTCTTACATAACACAAAAGGTGTCCAATATAACATAACATAGCATAACATCACATTACATTACATTACATTACAGAAGAAGCTTGAAGAGAAGACCTTGTCTTTAAGAAACTTACCATTTCATTTCCACATTTCAGAGATTTTAAAATTAAAAAGCCACTATAGAAAAGAGGCAAGAATCAGGATCCTTTCATTAGGAGACTTTTAACCAAGTCCAGACCCTTACACTACTGAACTAGGTGGCTGTTTTCTGAGGGCTTTTCTTCCTCATCTATCAAAATAAGGAGGTTGGAACAGAAAATTTTTTAAGAGTGTCATCTTTCCCACCTAAGGAAATTGTATCACCATCCATCCAATTGCTCCAACCAAAAATCTAGAAGTCATTCTGAATTATTCTTTCCCCCTCCACCTCCAAATCTAAAACCTCTTGTTACCGAAACAACTCCTCACAGTCTCCCTCATCTCAACATGTGGTAACTCTAATTCCTTTCAGTTGCTCAGACATTAGGATCATCCTTGACTCCTTTGTCTCACAACCCATGTACAATTGATTTGTAAATTTTGTCGACTTCAAAATTTATACAGAATCCAAGCACTATGCAATATAGTCTAGCCCAAACCATCATCATCTCTAGCATAGATTACTGAAATAGCCTCTTAAATGGTCTCTATGCTTCATCTTTTGCCTCCTTATGGTCTATTATCAACACAGTAGCCAGAATGATCCTGTTAAACATAAGCTGGATGATGTGACTCTTCTACTCAAAACTCTCCAAGGGATTCCCGCGTTATCTTACAAATCAAAGTTCTTACAATGCCCAACATGAGCTTCCCCGTTGCAGAACCCCTTTAATCTCATTTTACTATCACCCTTGTCCATTCTACTCTAAGACACACTGGTTTCCCCACTGTTCCTCAAACTACCAAATACATTTCTACCTCCTGATGTTTTATTTGCCTAGAATACTTCCCCCAAATAACCACATAGGTTTCTCCTCTATTTTCTTCAAGTTTCTGCTCAAGTGTAACCTTACTAGAAAGCTTTTTTCCTTACCACTCTTTATAAATAAGGTTACATTTTAAGGTTCATATGTAACCTTATTAGAAAGCTTTTTCCTAACCACTCTTTATAAAACAGCAACCTCAAACCCATCCCAGTACTCCCTTCACATCTTATCCTGCTTCATTATTGTTCATAGTTCTTATCCCCATTAGTCATATTACATTTTTCTTCTTTATTATATCTATCTTTCTGCTAGACTACAGGTTCCATGAGGGCAGAGATTATATTTTGTTCACTGCTCTATTCGCAGCACTTACAATAATGCCTAACACCGGGGGTAGGACTTAAATATTTGTTGGAAGAAGGAATGAATGAACAAATCCAGTTCATCAGCAAGTCCTATCATTTCAACCACCAAGATGTAAATTAAACTGGCTTATTTGTCTCCAACCCACTGTTGCTACCTTAGATTAAGCTTCCATCATTCTCACCAGGATCTATGCAGCAGCCCTCTATGTGGCCTTCCCACCTCCACTCTCACCCTCCTACATCTGTCAGAGTAGTCTTCTAACAATGTATATCAGATAATTTCCTCTCCTACATAAAATACCCCAGTGGCTTCTCATAGCTTTTAGGATCAAATCCAATCTCCTACAAATCCCACCATGACCTAGTTTCTACCAACGTCTCCAACCTCATTTTTTAACCACACGTTTCCACATTTTCCATTCCTAGTAGGAACCATCTCAGTGCTTCTTCTGTGCTATTTGCTCTGCCAAGATCTCTTCTGACCTTTCATGTTTCAGCTTGTCTCCTCTACAAGAAATATCTTCCTTTTCTGTATAAAGCAGGGCTCCTGTTATCACCATTTCACAAAGAGCCTTCTTCTTCTCCTTTGAATATATTAAAATTCATAATAACAGTAATATTTGTACATTTATTTGTTTAATGTCTGCCCAGCTACTCTAAGTTCTGTAAGGTCCTTGTTTGGTCCCTGTTTATTTTGTTCACAATATATCCAATGCTTAGCAAAGTATTTCTAATATCCTGAAAAAGTATTAAATAATTTTATCTAAGCCAATGAAATTTAAGTCCATATTATAGTTAATGTATACACCTTACTTTCTTATTAAGTTTCTACTTTGGGGGTTGAGCTCCAAATAATATCACATAAACCAAAAGGAATTACAGCTTTCTTATTTGACTTTGATCTTTGGCAGATAGATAAAGACCCTTTCTGGGAAAAAAAAAAAGAAGTTCAGTACAGTCATGTAATACATAATGACATTCCGGGCAACAATGGACCGCATATACAATTGTGGTGCCATAAGATTATAATACTGTATTTTTAATACACTTTTCTATGTTTAGATATACAAATATTTACCTTTGTGCTCCATTTGCCTATAGTATTCATTATGGTAACATGCTGTACAGGTTGGTAAACAAGGAACAATAGGCTATACGATATAGCCTAGGCGTGTGGTAGGCTACACCATCCAGGTTTATGTAAGGACACTCAGTGAGGTTTGTACAATGATGGAATCATCTAATGATGTTCACACAATGATGAAATTGCCTAAAAACACATTCCTCAAAACATATCCTCTTTGTTAAGCAACACATAACTGTATTTGTGGTAACAAGCAGTTTATACTTTTAACTCTTCAGTTACTGCCACCTCTAGGGTGGGGACAACCCTGGGAAATATTTTTGTGGAACTCTTTACTGTTTATAAAATTAGGTTTTAAAATGAACTGCAAAATTCATGGGCCCACTTGAGGTATATACAGTGAGTTAATAAAGATTTAGAATGATGGGTCGAAAAGCAATGCTTATGTATTTGTTTCTTGTCTGATCTGTGCATATAAATATTATTCATGTTCAGGGACCATCTCTTTTTGCACTTTATTGTAAATATGCCATTCTTGGCTAATTTTATGTTGGCCACTATGAGAAAAACAGCGATACTGTTATTCACGAGTTATGGCTTTTCAGAGCCCATTTAATGAAATGATATAAATCTTATCTCTTCAGTTCTGTAATATCATTTACTTACTGTTCATTACATCATTCCTCATGATGCTGCAGCATCCACGCCTCACTCTCCATTAATACTGGCCACAAATGTAAGCCTTGCCTAGGGTATGCAGGAAAATGTGAATAATAATTTGTTTTCTGGTCATGTTAAATTTTTACAGTTTGGGGTTTTATAGCATAAAGGTAGAACAACACATCCTCCAATCATGTCTTCTCTTCAATGCTTTGGGCCACAATTATTACATTCCTCAAATATGGTTGCTTTCAACATTGACTACACCCCCTGACTTCCATACAGTACCACCAGCTGGGAAGATAGGCCAGGGACCCATGGGCAGAATGAAAAGGGTGGTACTACCCATGCAAGGAACATCTGTCCCTCTTCTGGCACAGTTTAAGATCAGCCTCAGAAAATGTGATATCACCACATCAATTGAAGGCAAGAGAGGACAACAAGAAGAACTTTTGACATAGCAGCAGAATAGTCTTGAAAGCCTTTAGGGAACATAAATGCGACCATCCACTGTCTGAGAAAAGACACAGAGCCTGTGCAAAAGAATGTGGTGACTGTCCTGGGTGCCAGTAGTGCGAAGGTGAGGGATTTAAAAAATGCCAACAGCTGCCCCCACTATCCTCTGGTGCTATAGGGAAATGGCTGATACGCAGTTGGAATGCAGATGAAAAAGAGCCAATACTTAGGTCAATGATGCCCTAAAATTTTCATGTATTTAATGTGAATGAGAGTTGTCCAAAATCAATATCTCAGTACCTATCTGGCAACCCAACATTGCACAATCACTGGAAAATATTCCATCAGCTAGTGGTAGCTATCAATTTACCAGGCTGCCCTCTTGGAACAGGGTCCCATTTAAAGATCCATGAAAGGATTTCACAGGAGTGAGTCTTGGGACTCATTAATGCAGCTGATTGACCCCATATTCAGAACAGAAGAACAGATAGTTCTCTGAAGAAGAGAAACTGGGACTGAGATCCACGCAGGTACCAGTCCACACTAAGGGCGACCTAGTGGAAGAGCTTTAGAAAATTTTGAGGAAGGCTTCTTTGCTCACAAAGTGCCGAGGACATGAGGACAATTTGGTGAAAGGCATCTACCACAGTTGAAAAAAATTACAAAAGCTAAGCAAATCAGCCAAAATGCTTGGGCATTCCAATCAGATAGCTTTCTATACAAGATCATCACTTTCACGGTAAGCTTATTTTTATAAAATGTTAAGATTAGCAGAAAATCAAGCTGTCCTTTTGAGTGCGTTTTCCCTTCTTGTCTAAAGCTTGTGAATTAAAATCACTATTTTTGGCAGATTTGAAAATAGGATGTGGGTATTAGAAAAGATGACATGGTTTTTCTTCTTGAACCATTTGAAAAAGAAGTGCTGAGGAAGGCATCATTTTTAGTGTGCTCTTTTAGCGACTTGGGAAGAGTTAGACTGCTTTATTGCTTGTGAACACACAGGCTCCAGGGCCCTATATTCTTAGGATAAAATGAGCTTTGGGACCTGAAGAGCCTCCACAGAGGCCTCTTTTATTGCTTACAAACTTCCTCTGTGATTAAGATCCATCCCAGACCGCAGCAGTTACGTGGCACAGACCCCCACATCTGCATATCTGCTAGCCAATTTCCTCTCTGCATAGGGGTTCCCAGACAAGTGCTAGAATTGGATGATTTTATTCCTTTTAGAAACGAATTGTAAAGCTGACATCCGGAACAATTATAGTGAACACCTTATGTCTGCTACACAATGGTCCTTTGCAAAGTGGTTTCCCTTTTAAGTAAAAGCAGTCGTGGCTTTAGAAAGTTCTTTTTTTTCTTCTGTATATGTTCTTCAATATACAGTGAGTACAGAAGAAAAGTACAAACCTTCTTCCAATACAAATGAAGGAAAGGGTACCAGGGTGGTGGGAGAGGGGTAGGGAACCTACACTTTCTCATACAGGCATTCAGATTCCATTCCATAGAAATCTTACACAGTTCCAAAAAGAAAGAAGAAATATGTGTTCCATATGTATTTTTATGCCACACATGTGAATCAGAGATATTAAGAGGTAACAGCTTTCCTCAGGAAGAAAAATAGAGCAGCACATTTTTTAAAAGTACTATTCAGAGATGAAAATGCTATGTTTCATTAAAGGAAGATAGAATTTACTAATCTATGATTAAATTTTAACAATGATAACCAAATTGAATTATAAATTAACAAGATCATCTCTTCTGAAACCCCTAAAATCTTGTTTCTTAGACTGTATCTACACAATGACTGAGTCACTGTGTTTGCAAGGATCATCAAACTAAGCCACAGACCTTACTGCCTATGATATAGTTGCTCTGTGAGAGCAGCAGAGCATTTGGTTAGATATGTGTACGAGACTGAAGTCTTAACTCTTTCTTCCAAATTTATGGTTTATGATATCCTGGGTGTATTAGTCAGGGTTCTCCAGAGGGACAGAATAAGATATATATGAAAGGGAGTTTATTAGGAGAATTGACTCACACAATCACAAAGTAAAGTCCCACAATAGGCTGTCTGCAAGCTGAGGAGCAAGGAAGCCAGTAGTGGCTCAGTCCAAGTCCCAAAGCCTCAAATGTAGGAAAGCAGACAGTGCAGCCTTCAGTCTGTGGCCAAAGGCCTGAGAGCCCCTGGCAAACCACTGGTGTAAGTCCAAAAGTCCAAGGGCTAAAAAACCTGGAGTCTGATGTTCAAGGGCAGGAAGCATCCAGCACGGGAGAAAGATGAAGGCTGGAAGCCTCAGCAAGCCAACTTATTCTACCTTCTTCCACCTGCTTTTTCTAACCATGCTGGCAGCCGATTGGATACTGCCCACCCAGATAAAGGGGGGGTCTTCCTCTCCCAGTCCACTGACTCAAATGTTAATCTCCTCTGGCAACACCCTCACAGGCACTCCGAGAAACAATACTTTGCATCCTTCAATCCAATCAAGTTGACAATATTAACCATCATACTGGGTGACCTCATCCCCTTTGCTAGTTATAGAGCAGGGTGGCTAAGAAGGTCAAGGTGAGTATTCAACCCACGCAATCTGGCTTCTACCTTCACTTCTCCAATAAAACAGCTCTGGTAAGGTTCCCAGCATCCTCTCAATTTCAAATTCAATTATACCTCTCAGCTGAATTTGAGACTATTTCCCACTCCTTCCCCTTTGAAACTCTCATCCCTTGCTCTGATAACACTCCTAATTCTTTGCCTTCTATACCTTTGATGGTTCTTTCTTACTTTGTTCCATTTTCTCTGCCTCGTCCTAAAAACTGGTGTGCTCGGGGTTGTGTTCCCAGTCTAAATATACTTTCTATTTAGATCATATTTTCTATTTAGATAATCTCATCTACTACTCTTTCATCATCTATAATTTCATCGGCTAACACCTATTTTCATCTGCTTGCTAAATCAATTGATAGGTAGATAGATATTCCACAGACATAAATGTAACAAAACTCGCTGCAATAGTCTCAATAATTTTCTTCCCCGAAATCCCCCACTCTCCCCAAAAAACCACACCCATCCTCTGGTAATCCACTTTTCAGTTAAAGGGATCACCCTTCCTTCCAATCACTCATCACCTTCTTTGATTACATCTTTGACCTCAACTGTCTCTTCCTACCTCTGCAAATCAAGAACTAAGAGAACAATCCCCTAAATCCCATTCAACTCTATTCCCTTGGACTCTCCTCCTCCCTTGATTCAATTTTATTCAGGACTTTTTGTCTCTTTCCTGAATTGTCGCACTAGTCTATTAACTATTAACTATGTGCCCTGCGTCTACTCTCTAACCCCTAAAATCTCTCCTTCTTTCTCAAGACAGAGTGGTTTTTCTGAAATACATCTTTGATCAAGTCACTTCCTTTCCTTATGAAGAATTCAGCTTAAGCAGATTCCCATTGCCTACAGATGCGATTCAATCACTTTTATAGAAGAACAGCAGTTACAAATTATTGAACACTTACTATGTCTCAGGGCTTGTGCTAAGTACTTGACAAACATCATACTTTACATAAATTAATCCTCACTCCGATACCATAGGTTGTTTCAATTATTATTCCCATTCTATAGGTGCAGAAACCAAAACTCAGAAAGATCAGATAATTTGCCCAAAGATTACATAACTAGTAAGTGGCAGAGCCCAAATTTGAACCTGTTCCATCTGATCCAGAAACAGGGTTGTACAGCTTGTATCGTATACTATCTAGCCTAACTTGTCTTTCGATCCTTATTTCCATGATGCTCCACTACATAATTGTCAGTACTCCAGACACTCCAGACTACTTGCCATTTCTCAAAGACGCGATATGTCCATCTTTCATGCTTTTGTGTCTTTACACATGATATTCCCTCTGACTAGAATGCTTTTTTCCATCCCATGGACTTGATGAATTTCTACTCATCCTCCTAGATCTAGCTCAAATATCATGACTGTGTAGCCCTGCCCACCTTCTCAGTCAAATCATTCCCTCCTGTATCAAACTGTACTGCCTTGTATATGGAATAGAATGTAAGCTCAATGAGGATAAAGACTGGTTTGTTCACTGCTATTTCTCTGGTTTCTAGCACAGTGCTTTGCAGGTAATAGGCAGTCAATAAACATATTTTGAATGAATTAATTAATAATACCTTTTTCATAGAACTTATTATGATACTACACTAAAATTATTTCACATGCCTATTGCTTATATGATACTGTAAGCTCTTTAGGGTGGAACCACATTTTACTACTGCATATCCATTGTTACTAATGCAATGTTTGACTCATAGTAGGCACATGTTAAATATTTATTAAAAGAATAAATGTCTGACACATGAAAAAATGCTCATCATCACTGACCATCAGAGAAATGCAAATCAAAACCACAATGAGATACCATCTCACACCAGTTAGAATGGCGATCATTAAAAAGTCAGGAAACAACAGGTGCTGGAGAGGATGTGGAGAAATAGGAACACTTTTACACTGTTGGTGGGACTGTAAACTAGTTCAACCATTGTGGAAGTCGGTGTGGCGATTCCTCAGGGATCTGGAACTAGAAATACCATTTGACCCAGCCATCCCATTACTGGGTATATACCCAAAGGATTATAAATCATGCTGCTATAAAGACTTGCGGCACTATTCACAATAGCAAAGACTTGGAACCAACCCAAGTGTCCAACAATGATAGACTGGATTAAGAAAATGTGGCACATATACACCATGGAATACTATGCAGCCATAAAAAATGATGAGTTCATGTCCTTTGTAGGGACATGGATGAAGCTGTAAACCATCATTCTCAGCAAACTACCGCAAGGACAAAAAAACCAAACACTGCATGTTCTCACTCATAGGTGGGAATTGAACAATGAGAACACATGGACACAGGAAGGGGAACATCACACACCGTGGCCTGTTGTGGGGTGGGAGGAGAGGGGAGGGAGAGCATTAGGAGATATACCTAATGTTAAATGACAAGTTAATAGGTGCAGCCCACCAACATGGCACATGTATACATAGGTAACTAACCTGCACGTTGTGCACATATGCACATGTACCGTAAAACTTAAAGTATAATAAAAATAAATAAATAAAAAATAAAATAAAATAAAAAAGAATAAATGTCTGAAATTAATGCCATAGAGAATCATTCCTTAAAATAGGTTTTGTGGTCCTAAAAGTTTCTTTTTTAAAATGCAAATATGCCTGAGGGGAAGTATAGAGGCCACACTTTGGCAATTATTAGGTATTAGGACCTTAGCAGAGATTGATTTGCTAGATAGATTCCTAACATGACAGCTGCCAGCAGGTGGGATAGGACAGAATATGGTGCAGTACAACGGTTCCATAATAACGGACACAGTAGCGGTCTCTGAGCTGTCTAATGGTTGCCTAAAGGCACCCAGTGTCTTGAAAAAGAAGAAACACCTTTGTACTTGTAAATGTCTCTATGTATGAGGTGCCTAGAAGTGGAGAGTAAAGCAGATGGTCAAATAAATAGGTTGCTAGTTGGATGAGCAAAAGGTTAGTCTGGGAAATTTACAGATGAAAGTTTTCCCACGATTTTACTATTCTGAACAGACAACTCTGACATGGAAATACATAGACAGCACTCACTTACCAAAGAACAGATATTAAATGGATATCTTGAGTAGAAAGTAAGGTATCTCCATTTTGCTTAGAGCTGGCTCTCGACAGCAATTTGTGACACTTTAGGCTCTTTGTATTATGAGCATGTAAGCCTGTTAATTGCTGGCAAGAGCCTCAGACATTGCTTGAAACCAACAAGACCATTTTCACAGCCCCCACTCCTAGAAGACACATATCAAAAAACCCACTTTGACATTTGCATTCTTTAGGGAGCACCTAGGGTTCTTTGGCTGGAGGAAGGAAAATGGATGGAAAAATCAGGTTTCAGCCTGTTCAAGAATTAGATTTACCTGACTAAATAGTTTTTCATGCAGAGTTAAAACCACTTAATGGGTCTATTTTCAAAGCTTCTTTGCATTGATTTTAGGAAGAAGTAACTTTCTAAGACCCTTTGCAAGATTTAGCTTACTTATGCCTCAAGCAAGCTAGAGTATAAAGTTTCTGAGGAAGAGAAAAAAAATTACCACACAATCCACAGAGGCCTCAATAAATGGGATAGAGAACAAAAATATAAGCAGCTGCAAGTCATTGTACCCAAAAGTTTGGGGTGTCATTATTTTTAGGCCACAGGAAACCAGGGCTAACCCCAAGTGCTCTGGAAAACAAAATCAGTTCCTTGCTCAATGAAACCTCCAGAGCTAAATGTCTTGCTGATTTAATTTGAGGGCCAGGAAGCCCTTCCATACCTTCCTTCCCCTACTTTCGAGCTTTCAATTCCCATAGTCAGTTTTTTCTTTGGGTTAAGATACTCAAATGAAATGGAAAAAAACCCTGAGGGTATGAAGACACTAATTTATTCGATTTAACTACCTTAGCACTAATTCACTTGTTAGCTACCAGGGAAACATCCTGGGAAGAGGAGAGTAAGGCCTTGAAAGCACATGATCAAGTTTTTCAAATAAGGGAAGGGGAAAGTTTAGAGCAGGACTGGCTACTATAAATCACCCTGGTTAAACAGGAAATGGTGCAAGAGCCCTAAACACAGTGTGGGCAGGCAGCAAGCAGTGAGGGCACCTAAAGGCAACGTAGGGAAATACCAAGTACCATGAACAATTCTTCTGTGTCACAATTTTCCAAAGCTGCCCCCAAAAGCAACCTTACAAATTGATTTTGGCTCCCTTTCCTCACTCCCATGCCCCTGTACATCTGAAAACATTCATCTAACAAATGCATAGGGAGGCACTGCCAATCCACAGAGATCGGGAATCCACTTGTCACCAGAAATGGGATTGGGGGACACTCCGTGCTTCTCTTTGAATCAAGGTCTTTGACATGGGATGCCACAACTCAAAAAATCTGTGCTATCCTCATTATTCAGGAGCCCAGGTAAGCATATTGATGTATCTCTCAACTCCAGCACAGCCCTCAGTCTCAACAATATGTCATGGGGAGTCAAACTACCTCTAGTCAATCATGCCAGTTTTTTTTCCTCCTAGGGTAGGAATGCCTGCCCCTCGATTGGCCTCAGTTTGAAGCCTTCAGGCCTTGCACCTTTCATACCCCATTACTCGCCATTACCTTTGCTCACAGAATAAAACCATCAAATCTAGTTTTGCTTCTTTTATTTTCAGCACTCTGCAACTCAGTCCATCTTCTTTTGTGGCATCTGTCTCTACTTTCGACACTCCCCGATCCCTTTCTTCTATGTTCTCTGGAGCTGTGTTCCACTATCAGTTGCATTCCTTATATTTTCTACCTATCCCCAGAGGATTCTCTCTACCCTCTGATTTACCTGCTGTCTGCTGGCTTTCCCCTGAGAGTTCTGCCTCCCTCGTGACTATTTCAAAAGGAAGCCTCTCTTCCACTTCCTCTTCCTCTTTTTCTGTGTACCAAGAGAGTTCTGCCTTCTCTTCACTCATGTCGGTTGCCTGTCTTCTATTTTTCCAACACCTTCCTTTATCTAACTCTCTTCCATCGAAGCCCGTACTATAATCCAAGTACACCTCCACCCTCCCTTCCTCCACGATGGCATTGCTCACCCCCAAGTCCTCTTCCATTTTGTGCTTCTAACAATATTTCCTCCCACACAGACTCCTGTCTAAGATGACATTAATTTCTCTCTGCATTAATCCATATGACACCCTGACCTAGGAATTTCTTGACTCCTTCTACTCTGAAGGCCTTCATTTCCACTCCTTTCCAGTTTCTTGACCAAAATTTATAACTTCACCTCACCTGGAACTCAAACTAATACCCTGCCCTCACCCTTCTAGGAACAACCTGCTTTGCTCCCTCATAACATTTCTCCATTTTCCTGGTCTGTTTCACCCCCTCCATTGCCATCCCCTAACCCTCCTGTCCTCAGGTAACATAAACCAGGGAAACGTCATAAGATAAATCCATGTTAACTTTTCTTAGTTGAACCCTCAATGCTGCTGGTTATTTTATTTTATTCCTTACTTTCTGCCTATCCTAATCCTCCTAGCCAATGTCTTTACCTCAAGCCCCCAGTTTCACCTGCTCTACATGCAAAAACAAAACCAGAATTTTTAAAACACTTTGGTCCTTCAATGTTCTCAAGTAATTCCCCATTCATCATTCCTTTTACTGGCAAAAAATCAATGAGGTTTTATTTTGTACGTCTCTTCACCGCGCATCCCCTTATTAACTCTTAGTACTGTACAAATTGCTCACTTAAAAGTAACTAATGATCTCCTAGTTGCCAAATACATCAGCCTCTTCTCCAGCTTCATCCTACCCCAACTCTCGAAGCATCTTATAGTTTATTAAACCCTATTTGTTAAATAAATAATGAATACATCTATATATACCTTCTGCCTTCACTGTCACCTCTCCCATTCCCTCTTTCCCACCAGAAATATCCTTTGATGTCACTATGACAACAAGGCCCCCAACTTCTCCTACCCCTCTCAGTCATTTTGCCCTCCTCCTGACCCAGCATGCAAGCCCTCATCAACAACACTTCCACTAGATCTTCATTTATTTTGTCCCCTTTGCATTCTGCTGGTTTTGCCTTGCCAAAACCCATGCTTGGACAAACACAACTCTCCATTTTCTCTGCTCTACTTGCTGGCTGAAGTCACAAGACAGGACTAAATGCCTCAATTACACATGCATTGTAGGATTGGGTACCTAGGTTCTCAATATACTTCATCAGTTTTTTTATTTATCTCAAATCAACCCTCTATATCAGCATTCCCTGAAATGCATTCCCTGGAACACTGATGATATAGGATATTAATAATAACTATGTGAAGAAATGGCTACTAACTGCCCTATAAATAAATTGGAAAATGCAAGACAAATGAAGGTAGGTAATTTCTGTACTACAGAAATACTAAGAATCTTTAATATTCTCATATATAATGTGAAATGCATACTGTGATTAATTTCCCAGTACGTTTTCCCTAGAAACATTTTTCTATCTCCTGAAATAATATTCTGAGGGACATCATTTGGTAAAAATATTTTAATTTCACAGTCAGCCATTTCTATTTTCTCTTCTCAAATCTTCCCCAATCAACCCATTCACAAAACTCCAATGACACTCTAGGTCCTTTCATTCTTAGCTGATGGTTTTTGTCTCCTGCTCCACTAAGAAAAACATGTCCATTGTATGTGAACTGCCATTCTAGTTTGTAATTCTCTTTATTATATACACATAGCCTTCCACTGCTATAAAGCTAAACCTTGCTTTGTGCTACTGATCTCTCATCATCCCCATAATCTTGCTCTCTCTGCCACTGTCACCTTCTTCGTTCTTCATTCTCCCAGACTTGCACACCTTCACCCAGACATGGGCTCACTAAAGTCCTTCTGTCCTAAAATAAGCAAACCTACACCATCTACAAGCTACTATTTATTTTCTGTCATCCCCATATTGCCAAAGGGAATGTCTGCCAAACCTATTTCCAGTGCCCTAGTTTAAGTCTCCATCATTTCTTGCATTATGTGAAGGCACCTGAATTTAGTTTCTAGTGGAATGCTGTGTACATTATAGGTACTCAATACATGTCTCTTAAGTGTGTTGTGCAACAGAAGTCAATGAAAATCCCCAAAAGCACAATCCTGAATACCATAATCCCAAATTGTTAAAATTCTGAAAGATCAAAATCCCAAAAATATAATTCTGAATAAAATATCTATTAAATTCTTTAAAAAATATTTATTTACATTTATAAAACAGGATTTATTTGAGAAATATAAAAACATGATACTTCACAGGCCACTTTACACAATACAGTAGGCAATAATAACATACATATTGTTCAACCATAAACACTCAGATATACCGTCACACAGATATAACAGTTATGAGCAGACAAATTGCATTTATAAAGAAATAGGTCAAAAGGGAAATGTATAAATGCATATCACCATGGTTGGTAATTTTGTGCACCCAGGATAATAACTGCAGTCATCTGAAATACTGTGATGAACAACCTGATTGGCAAGATCTATCGGAAACTGAGGTGGGTCACCATCACAGATGCAGTTGCCCAAAAAGCCAAGATGAGGAGAAATTTTATCAGTCACAAATACAGATGTACAAAAAGGACACGTCTTTATTAAGGAATTGTCAACAATTCCTTACAACATGAGGAATTTGGTTTAAGCACTATTTGTGCACAACAACATGAACACATAGTGCTTACACCAAAGTCAACATTTGGATAATGTATTTTCATGGTGTCAAATTTGCAAAAAAAATGCATAAAATAAATTAGAACTCTCTAAAAGTCTCACACAATTGATATGTTCAATATTGGAAATGATGCGAAGATGAAATACATAGCATGGTGAATTGTAAAAAATAATGCTGACAATTTAAAATAGTAGAAAAAAACTAAAAAAGAAAAAGAAAAAACTAAAATTTGACATATGAAAAACTGTATTACAGGGATAGATTACGGGCAATTGCACAGAGATAGTCCACAAGAGCTGGCAGACATTCACAATCGTTAACTATATGTTGAAGTCTTGCCTCATGACGAATAGCTGCTTTTTTTCTTTTGGGACATGGCTGTCCTTGGAGAATATGTTCACATTCATTTTCTACATGGTGCTGTTCTTTTTGAAATTCTTCTATGATTCAATATACACCAACATGAGCATTCCCTATTAAATTTTCCCATATTCTGTGCCATGCTTCTATGTTGTTTTGGGTATAAAAAAATCTGTTCAGCATGTACTCATATACAGATCACAAATTTGGCAGAAACAATACTAGTGATCAAACAGCAACATCGTTGAGTGAGTATCTTCTTATCCTACCATACACATAACTATTCTCAAACCAGTCAGTAACTTTGCTGGCTTCTTTGGGCAAATGTGGCTTTAATTCATTAAAAGCTCCTGGAATGTCATCAGCTGGAAAGAATGCCAATGCTGGCAAATGATGCATTTTTAAACTGAAGTTTGCATTGTTGCCATATCGCATGGTAAATCTACTTAAGTGAATTTTCTTACAAGTGAAAATAAAGACAATAACAAGGTAATAA
Organism: Homo sapiens; assembly: GCF_000001405.40. Classification (NCBI taxonomy): domain Eukaryota; kingdom Metazoa; phylum Chordata; class Mammalia; order Primates; family Hominidae; genus Homo; species Homo sapiens. Next base: position 128,895,425 of record NC_000023.11, read on the forward strand.
TTCTGTCTAACATGATGAAACTAACATGATGGAACTATTCTGCATACAACTGAAAACTACTCACCCCTTTCCCAGAATTCAACTTTCAGGATTTCAACTTTTGAAATTTCAATCTTTTGGGATTGTGATTTTCAGGATTTTAGACTTTAAGGATTTAGATCTTTCAGGATTTTGACATTCAGGATTATGGCATTCAGAATTGTGTTTTTTGGGATTATGATTCAAACCCTTGTACAACATTATGAAACTAGCCTGCAAACAACAGCCTGTCTAGTTAAAAGAGCAGGCTTGGGACCCAGACTTGCCTGGATTCATATTCAAGCCTTAACTCTTACTAGCTCTTTAGTTTGGGCAATTTAAATAACTACTTCTTTGGAAGTCAGTTTCCTCATCTGGAAAATGCAGATAATAATGGTAACTACCTCATAAATGTACATGGAATAAATAAGTAAATACATGAAAAATGCTATAAAAAGTGTCTGGCAACTAGTAAGCAACCCAAAAATGTTAATGGCTGTTAGCAGAATTACCTTGTTACATATTGATTATGATATAAACCGATTCAACAAACAGCTTCATAGACTTTCCAGTTCCTACATTCCCTGGCACCAGCACATGCTTTAACAGAAAAGGCCTTCTCTGGATCAGGCTAATAAAAGATACTGTTTCTGTCAACAAATCACTGAAAGTGACAACATCAATACTGATTTGAAAGCAAGATTTGGCCCAGATGATTTCTAATCCACTCAAACTACCTCTAGAGAATTCAGGGTTGAATGTCATAAGGGATCTGATTATTCTTTGTGTGATGTTGTTTTATCACAGACTAGAGTAGGACATGGCCATAAAGGCCCATAAGCAAGTGATAGGGCATAGAGGATGGAAATTAAGGACAAGAAGCCCAGTGGTGTAGCACCAATCTATCCAAGTCCAGAGATGAAACTTGAGGGCAGAGACAGAAATTTAATTGTTAGAAAAGTATACAGGTTAGTGGTTAGAATTAAGCTCTGGACTCAAATTGCCTAGTTTCAAATCCCAAATCCTTATTCCTCCACTTGCTGAAGTATGACACTGAGCAATTTGCTTCACCCAAGTCTCAATTTCCTTGTAATCAAGGGATTGTGATATAACAGTACCACCTTTATAAGACAGTTGTGAAGATGAAATGTCAAAATCTATGCACATGGTTTGGCACAGTGCGTGGATCAATTTTACTTTTTTTTTATTATACTTTAAGTTCTAGGGTACATGTGCACAGTGTGCAGATTTGTTACATATAGTTCAACCATTGTGGAAGACAGTGTGGCAATTCCTCAAGGATCTAGAACTAGAAACACCATTTGACCCAGCCATCCCTTTACTGGGTATATACCCAAAGAATTATAAATCATGCTGCTATAAAGACACATGCACACATATGTTTATTGTGGCACTATTCACAATAGCAATTTTACTTTTATCATCATCATCATTATTCTTATTAACAGAGCCCAAGTCCAAGATACCAGCCCATAGTTAGAGACCCAAACCAGAGTCAAAGGCAAGGAGTAGTTGTAGGGTTCCCATGACAGAACATCCTAAGTCAGCCTGTATTGGACTTATTTTATTCTACTTTGTTTCCTGCCCCATCCCACCCCCCAGTTTTTCTCCTGGGATTAGAATATTTTCCCCACAAATGACTACATGGATTTGTGCTCCCCATTGGAACTACAGAGAGTTCAACTTCCTTAAACAAGGTCCTCCATGACCTACATACCCCTTTCCTCTTCAGTCTCATCTGCCATTGCTCTCATTTACATTTCACCTTCCAGGTGCATTGAATTACTCATAGTCTCCACATATTCTCTCATGTCTCTGTGCTTTTGCACAAGCTGTTCCACCTGCCTAGGAAGCCCTTATTCATTCAACAAATAATTGAGCATGTCTGGCACTGTTTCAGGCACTGGGGATATAGCAGTGAACACAACAGATTGAATTCACTTACCTTTGTGGCACTTACATTCTAGTCGGGGCATTGATAATAAGTATGTAAACAAAAGAACACAACTACAGAGTGTGGCAAGTGCTATTAAAAATGAAGAAAGAATAACGAGATAGAGAAGAGGGTGTTATTTTCAACAGGATGAATAAGAAAGGTCTCCGTGAGTGGTCTCATGTGAATTATTATTATTATTACTATTCTGTTTATCCTTCAGGTTTCAGCCTCAGCCTCTAACTCTCCAGGAAGCCTACTCTGAATCACCAGTTTGGGATAAATATTCTCTCTTCTCGGCTCTCATAGCACCCAGTGTAAGCCCCACACAGTGCGTGACTCATAATAGACATTCAAAAAAGTAGGGGTTCCTAACCACGGGACCATAGACATTTAGAGAATCCACAGGAAGACTAAATTGCACTCAAAAGTTACCATATATGTGCATTTATGTATTTTTCTGGAACCAGTATTCATAGTTTTTGTCATATTCTCAAATAGTAAATGATCTCATCAAAGATCTACTGCTGAGTTGATGGTCAGTGAACCACCAAATTTCACTGCCTCCTTGTGAGCACTGCATTAGCTCTCCTTGGATGAGCTCTGTCCCAGAGGTATGTGTGTGGTTTAATGCCAAATTAGTGCCCACACTAACTCATTTCTTTAATGTATTTAACATCCCTTTATTGAGTGGCTAAAATACACCAGGAACTATGTTAAGCTCAGTGGGGGCTAAAGAGATAAGGTCTGAATATAGAGCAGAGCAAAGGCCTCACACCACTTCCTCACATATAGCCATTATCTTCTATTTGTTCATAAACTCCTGTAAAGACAGAAACCCTTGCTGTGCTTTCCTCTATATTTCCCTTTAGCTCTTAATGTGAACTTTTCATGTAGTTGGTGCTCAGTAAAAAGCTGTTCATTTTGTGGTCATTTTTGTCAGAAGACAGGGCAGTGAGCTGAGTTCCATCATATCCAGTTAACAAGGGGTTTGAGTGTACTTTCAGAAACTTGATTACTTATGATTTATGAAATGCCCAGAAAAGACAAATTCCCCTGAATCAATGATTTGGCCCTCTCCTGAAGTTGAGCGGTTGTACCTATGTTGTGTTCCATGAGAAAAGTTAGGCTCCTGGGTAGGAACTAAAATTGCCATAAAAAGATATCTTAGGGCTAAATTTGTTACCATCAGAAGCCACAATAAAGCAAAAGGGAATAATTCAGAGAGCAACAGGATTATACAAAACAAGGACAGCTTTTTGGAGAGAACTTAACACCCAGAGAAAGGAGGAAGGTAGAGGAGTGAGGGAATAGGAGAAAAGAAAACCTGTGTTGCCAGTGGCCTCTGAATGTCATTTTGGTTCTTTGTCAAATGGGAAATTGTTTCATTACAGTCAGTTGAAACTGTCTCTGAAGTGATAAATTCTAAACTCTTCTTCCTTCCTCTGCCTAATTCCTTTTGAACACATTGGATCATACCTAGCCTAGCTGAATAAACAAATTACATTCCTTCTGCCATAAGTAGTATTCCTTAGAAGAATAATTGAAACCGGTCTATCATTCTCTAAACCTGCACGTTGTGCACATGTACCCTAGAACTTAAAGTATAATTTTAAAAAAGAAGAAGAATTGAAACCATGTCTCAAAATATTTACCTTTTTTCCTCAGACCCTACTAAGACATCACTTTTATCCTTTCTGTTTTGCTAAAAAGACAGTTGGGGAAATACAAAAAATTGAATATTCAGATTCTCTTTTATGAAAATAAAGCTTTACCAAATCAGATTATTTGGGAATATAATTTATCTGAATTTGCTCAGAGTCTTTTACACAAAGGTTAAAGAAAAATAATTATATCAAGTATTTTGCACAAATGTAAACTAATTGCTAATAAACTGCTTTAGTAAAAAGACTGCCTTGGACAAGCTTTAATTAAGAGATATGACATATTAGTAATTAGAATATTATTTGTGAGAAGGCAGATGTAAAAAAAGAATGGGTATTTCAAAAAAGAGTTCATTCTGTTAAAGTAGACTTGGCATTCGTCCTACAGTCTTGTTTTACTATCTGTTTTTGCATGTAAAGATAAAACAAAGCCCAGTATTTTCCAAATGATCACAAATTCTAAATTTGGGGGAGTGGGGTTATAAAAATGAGTGCTATGTTGTACACCTGAAGAAGAACTTGGAACCTAAATGTTCAAAGAATACATAACCATCCGTGGAAAAACAAGCTTCACATAAATGGCAACATCTCATACTGGATCCCACTGACAGCTTTCCAAGTGTAAAATTCACATACAGGGGATGGGTGTGGCAAATGTTACAAACAGACAAATGCCTCACTGCTTATCTACATATATTTCTGTAATTCATTTCCAGTCTAGAACAAACAATGCCATCTATAGATATTCTAATTCTTTAAACATATAAATCACAGTTATTTTAAAGTCTGTATGTAATAACTCCATTACCTGAGGCCCTTGCAGATCTTTTCTATTACCTGTTGATTAACCTCAGTTTTGGGTCATACAGTATTATCTCTTCCTATGCCTGATTGTTTTTGACTGAATGTTCGAAATATCATATGTGAAAAACTGTAAAACTAATTCGAAGCTTTAGATGAGGTTATCTTTCTCCAGAGATGATTCATATTTTTGTTTTGTTTTGTTTTGTGGCAGGCACTGAGAGTCTAAGGGCATGAACAACTCCATATCACTTTAACCCAATCAGATATTAAAATGACTATATGCCAGGCTTCAGTCCCTGCAAGAGCTAGTCTATTTCTGATTTGCCTTCCCACCTAGGATGTTGCCCTTCAGAGTCTCAATCTAAAACCAGGGGCTTTACCAGAAACCCTCCTCTTTGATGGACCCTGACCTTTAAATATTATCCCCTAGAATTGTAAACAGCTCAGCTATACCGTTGGAATCAAGAAATACGTTGAAGGAGAAAGTGACACCAAATGTTAGATTAACCTCTCTGAGCTTCTCTCTTCTCTCTGACTGACCTTGAGTCTCCCAATTCTTCACTCCCTTGTTAGATCCCCAGTGTCTTAAAATGGACATTAGTTCTACTTTGTCCAGCTTTTCTCATTGCCCTCAGTTGGAGGGCTGGTCCAAACCAGCAGGATTGATTGATTTGGTAGACATGGCAGACACCATGCCTAAGGCCCTCAATATTTTTAGGAGCCCAGAAATATATCTTAATACATTTTAAAAACAAAATAAAAAAGGAATTTTAGGTTGAAGATTTTTTAATACATAACATTAATATATCAATCTTTATACCAATGCAGTCATAAAACAATTTTGAATATTTTTGGGCTCATGAAGGCAAAAGCGCCTAGAGCCCACAAGAGTCATAATGTGCCCCTTAAAACAAGTAGTCTGCATTGCTAAAAGCAAAACTCTTCTGGGGATATTTTAAAACCGTCAATACTACTATAATCTCATCTCCACAACACTTCACACTTTACAAAGTACCTCTTGTCCACTATCTTGTTTGAGACTTCTAAGAATTTGGCGAGCTAAACGAGGCAGGTATTGGTTTACTGTTTTGGCAGAGAAGGTAAATGAGACACAGAGAGTTTAAGTGATTTGCCCAAGGTCACACACCAAGTCAATGATAGATTCAGAATTAGAGCTCGCATCTGGAGACAAACGGTATTTGAGAAATATGTTGTACAATATAGTCACAGACCCTGTGACTATTTTGAAAATAATATGACACAATAATTTATGAAAAATTTATGAAAACACTTCCTTACATCAATGAGCATACCATTTTAGGAGTCATAAGGTCTGAGTTCTAATCCTGACTCAGCACTAATTTATTGTGTGACCTTGAACAAGTCTTCTTTCCAGCCTGGCCATCCTCATTAAAATTAGTACCTGGAGAGCACAATCTGAAATTCTCTACTGGCTCTATTTTCTTTTAAATTCAGTGAGCATACCAAGCCAAAACACTCATCCTGGACATTTTTTTAAAAGGATGCCAGAAGTGAAGTGACCCACTGTGATTCTCCATTTAACATAAATAACCTACCTCATAATAGCCAGTCTTCTTTGATGTAACAAACCGAAGCATATAGGGAAAAAGGAGCCACAGCAATGAAACAAGACCATGTCAAATAAATGCCATTTCCCCTATTGTCTGAAGGGTCTGAGAGACAAATCAATAAGTGTGGAGCCAGGTCCCTGTCCACACTGCCACTGCCTTTATTAATATTGCTTTATTCAATTTCATTAATACTGCAAATACTAGCAAACAATTTGTGTTTAAACCTTCCTCACTCTCTTTTACTAAGACATGACAGTTTAAAAGCAGAGTTGTATTTGTCTGAATCCCATATACTTAGATTCTAGAATAATCCTTGACAGCAAAACCATTTCCTAGCTAGCTAAGTGAGTTGTTTAGATCACATTTTGACCTAAGGAGGATATAGAGTATACAAGTGGAAATTAAACCCAAGGGACAGGGCTTTAATAGCTGCTGCCTAAGGTGATAGTTTTACACAATTCCATTCAGACCCCTGAAATTGCCCATGGTCATAAGATAGGGGAAATAACACTCCCCTGGGAGTTAGGACACCAGGGTTTAGGGCCTGCTGTGCCACAGACTGAATTGTTATTTAAGGTTAGTAAAGCACTTTCCTCTCTAGACCTCCATCTCCTGTTTGCACAAAAAACGAGGTTACATTAATTATTTCTGGGACTGCTTTTAGCTTTAAACATTTATGGTTCTGTCCTCAACTGGTATTGCACTGTATGGGCTCTTTGCAGTCTTTCCCAGCTTCTGGGCCACCAGAATTGCTTACACTCCCTATCTCTCGTTTTCACTCAGCGTTTCTGGGTGACACCAGAATGCTAACACTGCTAACATGGACTGCCCAACATTTTGCCAATTGTACTGCCCACATGGGGGGCTAAAAGGATTTTAAGAGCATCATCTACTGACAAGTGAAGATCTCTGGAGGTATTGGGGTCAGAGTGGAGGAAGGAAAGAAAAACCTCAAGATACCGTGCTTCATTTTACACAACATACAAGCCACACGTCTTACTTTCACACTATCAAAGCCTTGCTTTGTTAGGAGCACAATGCTGCTGGAGCACCTGGTAGCCCCTTTTACAAGAACACATTTTCTTTCCATGATGATTGCCCTTTATCTTCTGTAAGGCCCAGACAGCATGGACTGTCCACTGCCATGGCAGGGAACTGGGGCAGTTCCTGGGATGGAGATGTCCAAGATCATATACGTAAAGAATTGAGTAGGTCTGCAACTGCTAATGGGGCTACAATGCTGAGGCAAACTGCAGTAACAGTGCAGAAGATGAGGGGGAAGAGGAAGGGAAGAAAAGGCAGGAAGCGGGAGGGAGATAGGGAGGTGGGCAGAGAGTGGAGGGAAAAATAAAGAAAATGGTGTAGAGAAATATGAAAGCAAACATGAACTTGATTTTCTGTTAATGAATTTAAATACCTCTTTATGTTCAAATTAAGGGATTTATTAAATGCAATTTTCTGAACCAGAAAGTTGATTGTAAAGCATATTAAAAGTGTTTAAAATTTCGACAGGAAAATAACTCATTCCTGGCACACAGCACTAGACCATGTATTATTCTCTTTCAGATTTTCAACTGATTGCTACAATCACTTTAGGCGACTGGCTGTTTTGAGGATTGGTAGTAAGGCCTCCAGTGCTTCATGTAACTTGTATGTGTATTGTAAAATTACTCAGTGGATATGTGTTCAATCTAGTAAGGGGTGATTTTATTTTCTTTCAAGGCCTCTGTCTGCTTTAAAGGTGGTGGATCCAATAATATAGGGATTCACATATGGAAACGAGTTAATGAGCTTCACTCTTCCACATCTTCCAGTGCTATATCAGTGCCCCCATAGCCTGATGCTCTGGGCAGCTACCTGGCTGATCTGCTCCTCAGTCCAGTTCTGCTTTCAGAGAATTCCAAGCACATTACCTCCGCTGCATGATACTTTTCTGAATGGGCAGTATAGTCTAGTTAAAAGAGTATGTGCTTTGGGTTGGGCACAGTGGCTTACGCCTGTAATCCCAGCATTTTGGGAGGCCAAGGCAGGCAGACCACCTGAGGTCAGGAGTTCGAGACCAGCCTGGCCAACATGGCAGAACCCCGTCTCTACTAAAAATACAAAAATTAGCTGGGCGTGGTGGCAAGTGCCTGTAATCCCAGCTACTTGGGAGGCTGAGGCAGGAGAATTGCTTGAACCTGGGAGGTGGAGGTTGCAGTGAGCCGAGCTTGCATCACTGCACTCCAGCCTGGATGACAGGGTGAGACTCTGTCTCAGAAAAAAGAAAAAAAAAAGAGTATGTGCTTTGGACAGAAATAGACTTGAAGTTCAATCGAACTTCTCCAATACTTTTGCTGTGCAGCATTGGGCAAGTAAAGGATGATTATTCATACTTTGCAAGGTTCTTGTAACCATTAAATGAAATAATGAATGTAAAGCCCCTAGCACAGAGTAGGTATTCAAACAATGCTAGTTGTCATGATAACTGTTATAACAACAATAGTAAATATTGCTGATGTTATTTTGTTATCCTCTCACCAGCCTAGTTCAGCTTGTTCATGTGGCCTACAGTTAGGTCAGCCTCAAAGCCTCTGCCTTACCAGATGGGGATTGCTAGTTTCCAGATCCCCTCTCTACCCACTCGTACCATCCTACTACCCACTGTGTGCTCGAGGCTTATGTTCTGACAGACAAGCCAGCCACAGGCCAAAACTCACCAGCAGGGACAAGGGACTAATGGCCCTACCAGCTGTAGCACCTAACCCCAGGGAGGAAAGAAAAATGAGGGCGCCAAATATATAAATGGCCCCTGTCTGGACAGCTCATGAGACTTATCAGTTAAGGACTGAGGATGCGTTGTGTGCTCATGTCTTCTTGGTTATGGGAATGATGGTTGTAATGTAGTATATCACGCTTAATCACTTCAGCCCATCAATTACCTGCAAGGGAGAAGAGAAAGCATGGCCTGTTGCCAAGAGAGACCTGTAACTGATGATCACCTGAACAGCATAGATCAGGTCTTGCATCAAGTATGAGCAATTAGAAAGAAAGTTGCACTAGAAATAGGCAGGTGCTATATCAGGTTGGACTCTCTTTCATTTCAGAATTTGACCTTAGCCTTGCAATATGGCAAGGCCTTATTTATATACTTATGGGCAAATTCACCCTCACTTAGGAGGGGTTGGGCAGTCACCCTCAGGCCTCAGGTAGAAAGGTTCCTGCCCCTTAGAAAATCTTGGGCCCTAAGGTTTCACCTTAAGTCATGCCTTTGGAAGGAGTTGCTGAGAAATAAGAGATGCTACATATTAAGATGTCCACTCACCCATTCCTCTAAAGCTAACAAGCCAGGCTGTGCGATAAACTCCTATCTGTTACAGTTATCTATACTAGGGCATTAAAGGCTCATGGCCAGAATCCCATGGCAAGCAATGTACTCTTAGATTCCAATTCCCTACCTTGACTGATATCATGATGTCCCATTAAATGTTGTTACTTGATACCTGAGCCATCATGCCACTACTTTCTTAGCCTTATCTTTCCTTTTCCATCTTTGCTATCTCCTTTCTCCTTGGTCCTGGGCCTTTTCCCACTCCATTATTCACCAGTGTGACAATAGATAGGACAAGGTCTCAGCCCAGGCAGCAGTAGCAACTTGAGGGCATAAAATTCCCTTATAGAGTTACTTTAGCTTCTATCACATAGACCTGCTGTTTTCCCTCCTGGGGCTACAAGCTCCTTGAGGGCAGGAACCATGAGTTACAATAGTAACTGCTACAAAGTGTCGTGGTAAGCCTTACCAGTAAATCCGAGATTTCACATAAGCACTTCACAGCTCCCAACATGGAGTGAGTATTCTATAATTGTTAGCTGCATCAACTTCATTCTCATTTCTAGTCGCATTCCCAGCACCTAGTACAGTGCTTGGCACACTAAAGGGACTAAATATGTATTTATAGAGCCACAATCATATATCTAAAAACCTTGGGTCCATAAGTGCTTCAGAATTTAGAATGTTTTCAGATTTGAGAAAGATAATGTGGGCTATATACTATAAATTGCACCCCCAACAAGATCTGGGGTATCATCTCATAATTTAACATATTAATATATCTGTAGTGGATCACATAAATACTCACTTCATGTTGCATTAATAAAGCATATAAAATGCCTCATATATTAGATAAGGACAGATTTTGCTGTCAGTGAGTTGGGGGACCAAATTTACCAGAGAGAGAGAGAGAGAGAGAGAGAGAGAGAGAAAGGTCAGGTTTCAGACCTCGGATTTTGGAATTGTGAACAGGAGATTGTAGATCTATATTGAGTACATATATGAGTGAAAAAGGACTGTCTTCAGCCTCAGCACCCCTTTTGGAGTAGAGAGATGTTGCTAACTATTCCCCTCTAACTCCTTGATCCAGTTTGCCTTCTGTGTTTTACATCAAAATTGAACAATGTACACTATATGGTAATGAATGCTCCCTATTCAATATAACTTCTAAGGGGGGCAGTTCTCCTACCTTATCTCATTCACTTAGCTTCAAATAATACACTGGGAAAGGATAGTGGGTGCATTTGTAGAGCTGGCAACTCTGCATTCACAGGGCTGCAACCTTGGGCGAGACTCTTTACCTCTCCCTTAGTTGCAATCTCCACATCTATAAAATTATGAGTGGTAAATTTAGGGAGTGGAGAGCTAATACTTAATGAGAAGCTTCTAGGGTATGATTACAGTCCATATCTCACAGATGAGGGAAGTGAGGCTCAAAGAGTTATAAAACCCCATCCCTTTCCCCTTAGTTGAGAAACACTTGAGAAAATAGAAGGGGAAACTCTAAAAACAAGCCAAAGCACTAGCTAACACACATGCTAAATAGTATAAAGATGATAATATTGTAACAAATTACAAACCTGATGCTTCTGCTACTTGCTAACTTTTTATACCACATCAGCCCATAGCAAGGGCAGAGTGTAAAATTAACAACTAAAAGGGGAAACCAGTGAGAAGGAAACACCTAAATATGTGGGAGAAGCAAAGACCACTTAATTGCAGAGATCCAAGATGCTATATTTTACTCCAGTTGAAAATGCAAATGATGCCATCATCAACTATTCCTTGGCAATATTTCTTACTATTCACAGTGCAGTTGTGTGGTCTGAAAACAATTTATACTGAACAAAAACTACTGCTTCTTTGACTGATTCTGATATTGGATTCTTCCCTTTGCCTCCCTCAAATACAATCTCTTCTATGAATACACAGTGAGTCAATCTGGTATATCTTGATGGTTGAATAAGCTCTTTGATTTTTGAATTATTTTGAGATTAACTGAATTTGAAACATGGGCTGCCTGCAATGTCTTGCTGGCACAAAAAGATGAGCTTTGTTATTGACAGAGAAGACTTGCAAACGACATTTTTTATCATTATTCGCCTGTGCAGAATTCGTGTTCACTTCAGCCTGGCCCAGCTGCCTGGATGAGCACTTCGAGGCCAGGTTCAAAGTGCAATTTACAATCTTCTCTCTCGACTTCTGTGACATGCTGCACAGTACAGGGTGACTCTTCAGCCTGAGAGAACAGACATATTTTTTTGCCACAATCAATGAACATTGTCCATTATATTAGGGTTTTTGAGAACTTTCATGATGTCCCAAGTTGAATCAAAATGTCACTGCTTCAAGGGTTTGTATGTGAGCCCTACAATCCTGTTCTTGGTTCCAAAGGAAACTTAGCAATTTCATATCAGCCTTACGGTCTCAGTCTGTGGACTACAAGATAATCAAGCGTTCTTTATCTATTTCTTATTCTCTTAGTAACTCCCACTCTTCCTCATTTCTCCTCTTTTCTCCCTCTATTTATTCTCTTAAAACCACACTTTGCTATCTACTTAAAAGAATTACTTGTCTATCAACACTGCCACCTCTAACAATCTATAATCTCTTCTTTGTCTCTCACTCCTAATTTTGATGCTCTCTTCCTTTTCTTATTCCTTTTGGGCCAGCTTGTCCTATCCTTTAGTTGTTCTTCAAATTCTTTTCTCCAGTTTATCATTCCCTACTTTCATGTTAACAAAAAGTTCACTTGGCCTGTCCTATAGACATTGGCACAACACATATGAAAGCACCCATGGGATAGGCACAACAACTAGTTGGTTTATACAGTCACTGTCTTAGTCTGTTTTCTATTGCTGTAACAGAATGGGCCACAGACTGGGTATTTATAAAGAAAAGAAGTTTATTTTCTCATGATTCTGGAGGCTTGGAAGTCCAAGAGCACAGTGTCATCATCTGGCGAGGGTCATCTCATGATAGATAGGTGATAAGGCAAGAAATCACATGCAAAAGAGACCACAAGAGCAAGCCAAGCTGACTTTTAAAACAACCTGCTTTCTTGGGAACTAACACACTCCCATGATAATAACATTAATTTTTTCATGAGCTCTTCACCCTCATGACCCAACCACCTCTTAAAAACCCCACCTCTTAATATTGTTACACTGGCCATTAAGTTTCCAACATATGAATTGTTGAGGGAATCATTCAAATCATAGCAGCCACCTACTAGGAATTCTGCTTTAATGCATAGATAAGAATGATTTTAAATGACTATGCAGTAATTTGAAGAAGCTGGTACTTCTGAAGTGCTCACACTTTTTGCATTTCTATTATACTGAGCAAACCCTATGTACCAAATGTTTATAGGACCAGTTGTGAGGACACAATTGTGAAGAAAGACAAGAAAGTGAGAAAGTGAGAAAGGAAGTGAGAAAGTGAGAAAGGAAGTTAGAAAGCAAGAAAGGAAGCAAGAAAGCAAAAGAACAAGGGAAGAAAGGAAGGAAGGAAGAAAGAAGAAAGAAAGAAAGAAGAAAGAAAGAAAGAAAGAAAGAAAGAAAGAAAGAAAGAAAGAAAGAAAGAAAGAAAGAAAGAAAGAAAGAAAGAAAGAAAGAAAACCAGTCAATAGGCCGCCTCATAAAAGTCCATTGGGAAGCAAGACAGCAATCAGTCAGGCAGCCTTTAAGCATGATGACAAGAAAGAGGGCAGCCCAGTTACAAACACAACAATCCGAAGACCTACTAAAACTCCAGCCCTTCCAAATCACTCCATCTTTCTCAAATTCAGAGTCAGGAAGAGTAGTGATGCCCCTGGGCAACCGACAAACAATAATCTTGCATATTCCCATAAGGCCTCTGTGCCACCACTGCTGCCCAACTAATCTGCAGACCACTGCAAAATACTTCCTCCTTATTATCTTCGCTGTCAATCCCAATAAGCCCCAAGCTGAAATAAGTGAGGAGAAATCCTCCTTCTCCACCAGTTACATTCTGCCTTTAGCTAACACGGCAGCAATTACTTATGCTCCTAGGGCTACACATAAACTCTGTAGATATGACTATTTTTGCAATTATCTTTACCATTAGTATAATTGCAAGCAGCTTGAGGCAAGAGCTGTGTCATTTATGTATCCCCTGGTGCCTCTAACATGATGCCTATCACACAGTAGATGCCCAATAAATATGCATTGGATTGAGTTGTATCAATCAGCACCACTATCCACATTAAATTATTCTCCTGTTTTCCACTTTATACACTATAGACATCTGCAGCCCTTTCCTTCCATTTGGTCTTTGCTTTATTGCTAAAGACAAGAATGAAACTATCACTTTAAATCCAGTGGCCTTCCCCTTATTGAAAGCTAATCATCTACAAGGATTTTCTCTCCCACTGATACCATATGAGGAAACAATTAGCAATATTTTTTCTGATGCCAGCAAATGACCTCAGTATTAATCTTATCAGGCTTGCCTCTTTGAGGAGTTTATTCAGAAATCAATTCAGATTACATTATAAATCAAAAAGAAGAAAAAAAGCAATTCCTAGCTTTCTATTCTACCAATGCGAATATATCAGTTAGGTAATATTCTGATTAAAATGTCAGGACTATGTCACAAATGTTCTATTCTAATTTTCTTTTTCAGCTGTATACTTAATTTGCTAATCTGTTGAAATCATTTGTTCCAATAACTGCTTCTGTATTTCCTGTCTGTTTCCCCGATCATAATTTCACATATTCTATTCCTCCAGGATACTGGACACATAGAACATTATCTTCATTCTTGCCTATGTGCTTGCCACCCAATAATGAGTACACTTTCAAAATTCAAACTCAGTTCCTAAATTAGGCAGTTCATTAAACATATCCATTGGAAACTCCATTTTCTTCATCTTCCTTTCAGTAAGTTTTCTTTGAATTTTTGGGGCACGATCATTTTTTAATTTTTTGAGAAAATGTTTCTCAGAGTTTGTCACTAACTCAGAATAAGTTATAATTGGTATTTTGTTGACATGAACATGTCAACTTCTTCCCAGCTTAAGGCAAAAGATAAATACTTTTTAAAGCCAAAATAATTCTTTTTTGCCCTATTTGTAAACCAGCAGGTATAGAGGACAGCATTGCTGTAGGACAATAATAGATAAAATAGGTATCACTTTTTAAATTCTTACTATATGCTAGGAACTATTGTAAGTGCTTTATATATGGTATGAATGATCTAGCTCAAGCATGAAGAAGAAAATCTACATGGGAAAAAAGATGAGGGATAACAATAATTATTATACTATAAAAATAATAACAACAATAATAATACTTCTTGAGCATTTACTATGTGCGAAGCATTGTTCTAAGTATTTTGTATGAATTATCTCAGGTAATCCTCACAACAACCCTATAAAGTAGGAACTATTATTATTCCCATTTTACACATGTGAAAAGCAACCCTTTGAGATATTAAGTGACTTGCTCAAAAGGTTACAGATAGAGAGTTGTGAAATCAGGATTCAAAGCTAGACCTATATGATTCCAAAACCTAAATAAACTCCTACCCATTCCACTACATTGCTTCCCTTTTAGGAGAGCTTTCATTTCATCCTGAATCTGACTGTGTTGATTCAAATAAGACAATATGTAGAAAATAACTTTATAAACAGTACAATGCTATAGAAATAGAAGTGGTTATTGTGATTATTAATTTTTTTAAACATTTATTGAGTTACTGTATAGACACTATAGATGGTGTTGGATGCAGAGGATACAGCTGTGAGCAAGACAGGCATGGCCTGTAACCTTAAGGAGCACACAGTCTAGGGGATGAGCAGATATATAAACAAAGAATTACAACAATATGGGGAAGGCAAAATGAGAGATGTATACACAATCATTATGGTATTATGGGACCACACAGGAGATATTAGCCAACCTTGGTAGTGGAGAGGGCAGACGGACTATTTCCTAAAGAAGACAGGCCTGGCCAGACACGGTGGCTCACGCCTGTAATCCCGCACTTTCGAAGGCCAAGGCGGGTGAATCACTTGAGGTCAGGAGTTCCAGACCAGCCTGGCCAACATGGTGAAACCCCGTCTCTACTAAAAATACAAAAAATTAGCTTGGCGGGGTGGCAGGCACAGTGGTGGGCACCTGTAATCCCAGCTACTCAGGAGGTTGAGGCAGGAGAATCTCTTGAACCCGGGAGGCGGATGTTGCAGCGAGCCAAGGTCGTGCGCCATTGCACTCCAGCCTGGGCAACAAGAGCGAAACTCCATCTCAAAAAAATAAATAAATAAAAATAAAAATAAAAAAGAAGATAGACCTAAGCTGAATCTTAAAGATCCGTCAAATCCTACAGATCAATTAGGTATAGGGAGAGAAAGGCATTCTAGACTAAGTGGTAGTATATGCAAAGTAGAAAAGCAAGAAATGGCATGGCATAAGGAAGGAATAAAATACATTTCTAAGGTAAAGCTGGAAAAGTAGGCAGGATACAGACTTGGAGGGCCTTATATGTCATATGAATTATGTTTAGCTTTATTCAGTAGGTAACAGGGAAGCTTTGCACAGTTTTAACCAAATAAATGACAAGGTCAGATTTCATAACAGAAAGGTCTGCCTGGTAGTTGCATGGAGAATGTACTGAAGGGGAGAATATCAGAGGTCTATTGGGAAACTACTATCAGTTCAGAAGTTAAAATGAGAGACCGTTAGTAGGGATAGAGTAGAAAGGACAGATGCAAGAAATATTTAGAAGAGAAAGCCAACTAGATAGTGATTTATTAGATGTAGAAAGTTAAATGAAGAAAGGAGTATAATACGACTTTTCAACTGGGTAACAAAACAGGACATCAGAAGAAGGAACAGATTTGATGGGAAGGAATGATGAGCTCCATTTTGGACATATAGAGTTTGAATTGCCTGTGAGAGATCCCACTGAAGATACTGGCAGGCCATCAAATATATAAGGCTGACATTTCAGGGAGATGTTGGGGCTAAAAATATAGATCTGGGAATCATCATCACATAGATTATGAGTGGACAATGCCTGGTGAGAGGGCTGACTTTTGCAAGTGGAGTTTCTGTGGATAATGACAGCAGAAGCCAATTTACAACAGAATGAAGAGGGAATAGAGGTGTGAAGGTGGAGACAATAAGTGTAATCTACTTAAGAAGTTAGGATGAGAAGAAAAAGAATGAAAGAATAGGACTGTGGAAATCAAGGAAGAGATTTTATTTGTTTTTAGAATAGGAAAGATTTATGTTAAATGTTACTTACAATCTCTTTCAAGGTCACCATTAAGATGGAAGCTTATTGGCAATGGGCCAGTCAGATCCCTAGTAGTAGATCGTAGGAAAGAAGCCTATGTCCCCAATATTCTGAGAAATTTAGTAATGATAATTCTGAAAGATGAAGTTGACAGAAAGGGAGAGTAATTATTTATGAATAAGACAAACAAATTGGTGATCCACTTATTGGTAATTTTGGATTGCTAATAAACGTTTAACAAAAGGGGGTTCAATAACTCAACATCACTTTAAGCCAAAAAAAATATTTTAAAGCTGTCTGTAGCTGCTCATAAATTGAATTTTGTAGCATGTGATTGACTTCCTGCCAAGAACATTTGCTTGTTCCAACTTAGTCTGCTTTATCTAGATACAGTAATTATTTCATTTTGGCAAAGACACTTATTTGAAATCAACACATACCAACCCCCATATTTTACCCCTTCTGAGTTGTCTTCATCCCCCATTGTCTGCCTAATAAGTCTGTTAATGAAAAGGTCTCTACAGTAAAGGCCTTCCAGAAAACATTTGTCTCCAGATAGAGGCTCACTAGAGGGGAGCCATAGTACTGGTCACACTGGGTCTGGTACCCAGAGAGCAAAGGGTGATTCAGCCAAGCATCTAATCTACCTGCAAGAAGATGGTAACTGCTGCTCTTCCAAACCCCATCCCAGGTTCTGAGCCTAGTCACATCAGGTCACATAAATGGGGCAGACAGTATTGGAAGGACTGTAGCAAGCCATACCACCTTGATATAGTTTCGATCATTTGTTGCCACAAGTTAACAGTCATTTCTGCATCCATCTCCTGACCTCATGGAGCAGGTTCCAGATAAGAGTACAGCTTGCCTGATCAGAGGACTATCTCTTAGTATTCACAAACCCCCAAATTACCAAATGACACCTTTTGGTTCCATGCAGAAAAGAGGAGGGTGCTCTTCTCCCCAGGTGTGTATTGTATTTTATCAGCTGGACCCAAAACAGAATTATTAGTATTCGGTCTCACAAAGATGCTTCTAAAAACAACTTCAGCTTCTGTCTGTAGTTTTTAGGTACATAGGGGCTAAGAAAACCAGTCCATGGGATCAGTAAGGGCAACAGACCCCATAATTGCATTAGCTAACATATTTTGAGGTAATTATCAGACACTGCTTTAAATGTTTTGTATATATTGATAGATTTAATTTTTTTCTATAACCCAATGAAGTTAGTACTTATCTGCATTTTTCATGTAAGGAAAGGCAGTCACAGAAAGGTTAGATAACTTGCCCAAGATCACTTAGCAAGTAAGTGGCAGAGTCAGTATTTGAATCCAGGTAGCTTGACTTTAGAATCTATGCTCTTAGTTGAAATGATCTATTGCCTTTCTGGGCATACTGCCCTTGCCATTAACCATTCTCTATCTCTGATCCCTAGTCACCTAAACACAGCAGCCTACTTCTCTTAGGTCTCTTTCCTGTTAGATGCTTCAGTTAATGTAGTTTGATACTGTGTGAGCCACTGACTCAGCACACAGCTAGATTATGAATCCAAGATCAGGCTTAGCTAGGATATCCTGCTATACTTAATTGAGATAACGTATATAAAGAACCCCAAAGCAATGTTTGGTAAATAGCAAGCACTCAAACATATTCATTTTTTAGATTTTTAAAAACAACCAAAAAAGAACCATCCAGTGCCCAGGCAGGCCAAAAAAGAAGATAGCTAATCAGTCTAGAATTATGATTTCAAGGAGTTGAGAGGAAGAGGGCAATCAGGTCATTCTAGGTGGTCCCTTTTACTTTTGTTTCAACTCCTCCCTACTCATCCACACACAAATAGTGCCATGGGTAAGGGCAATCTGAGCCTTTCCCAGGCCTGAAGCTCAATCTATGTTCCCTTAAGAAGATTCAATGGAGCAACAGGAAATTTGCACAGAGAAAGAAGGTGGGGAGAGAGAAGAAAATTGACCCAATCAGTAACAAGAACTCTTCTGTTATACAAAGCAAGCCTCCATAACTACCCTCTTGTAGGGTTAAAATAATGAAACCTCAGCTTTACCAATCATTCACATCTTAATAGGAATGATCCTTTCCAAAAGGTGAGCTCACTATAGGTTGGTTTCCCTGAAAAGTAGTCAATAGCTGGGGGACCTGATGACCTAAGGTTGAAAGAGAAAGAGCAATAAAAACAATCTTCCCAAGCTTCATAATTTTGTCTAATGCTTGGTACGCAATTGGCTCCTACCACAAGTAGGGCCAACATATCCATTAGGCATAGTAGGTACAGGGCCTGGGATCCACAAAAAAAATGTTTTGCTTTGCTCTAAAATAAGAATAAATAATTAACTCTGAGGTAGAAAAAAGTGTTTTAATATATAATATCAATATATTCATTCTTATACCAATACAATTATAAAATATAATTTTAACATTCTTATGGAAGAATAGGTAAATGAAGGCAAAAATGCCTAGGGCTCATAAAAGTCATAATATGGCCCTGGTCCCAGGTTATGTTTCCATGGAAGTAGATACCGAGAAAGAGTTTAGCGTCCAGGATGGTTATTAAGGAGTACCTGCAGTGGCAGCACTTGTTGAAGAGAAAGAAAGGAAGCTGAAAGGAACAGAAGGAAATGTCAAGCTGCACTGCAAGCTAAAGGACAGACTTGGCCAACCCCACAGGGAGCTCTGGAGCTAGAATGGCCCTTCAGAGTCGTTGCAGGTTGGGCTGGGATGATCAGGCCTTTTTATCCCCCACCTTGGATATGGATGCTCCAAGAAGTAGTGTGGCCTAGGGTGAAGTGACCCCGTGCAGCTGACGTAAACCTTGAAGGGACTGGCAGCTGGAGGCTGTCTGTTAACCTGATTCTCAGTACCTGTGCGGCATAGTCCCTCCTTGAAGAAGGAACTGACTGGTGCCTCATACCATCCCCCTGTATCTATTATACTCACTGTGGAGGAAGAGCCTTCAGTGGGAAGGAATCAACACCAACTACCTCTGCTGGCTGAAAGCAGGGCCCAGTGGCATTATAGCCCCATTTCCTTCCAATCTGTTAAGAACAGCCACAGGAAAGACATCATAAATTACATCAAATACATTATGTAGAGCATTTATTTTTATCTTAGTCTACAGCCCTTGAGTTATTTTTATCACCTTTTAAAAAAGAAAATTCAGCTCTCCCTGGCCATCTCATCAATTTGTCAGGTTTGAATTCTGAAATCTATATATCCATATAAAATTTAACCCGTCCAAGCATATTTTTATCCCCACATAAAATTTATGTCAGCAGTGTTTTGCCAATATGGCTACCATAAAAGTTTTGTTTAGACCAAGAGAGTGAGCTCTATATGTCGTGGATAACAATTTCCTTGGTGCAGAACAGTCAATAATATAAGTTATAGGATAGAGTGCCTGGATGACTGCCTTGTGTACACTTTTACTAGCATAAACGTGTTCATCTTCTGATTAGATACAAAATGGGCCAGGTACCATCTTATCTACAGTTCGTTTCCCACACCTATATTGCATAGGTAGCAAGACCCAGAGAAGGGAAGAAAATCAGCATCAACCCAAATAGAAGAGTTAGTTGAATAAAACCTATTTGAGAAAAGGAAAAGACAGAAGAGGAGGGGTTGCACTTGGGAATAATGGACTAAAGTGGAGGTTTTAGGAAATACTACCTATTGATTTCTCACTCACAAGTGGTGCAAGCGAGATCTTTAGTAGATTTTTAAAAATTATTATTATTATTATAATGATCATTTGAGGGAAGAAACAATAACATAGAAATGCTTATTTTCTTCTTTAGCAAAATGTCCATTACTTCCCACTTGGCTCCTCTTCTCCCTAGATTTGATTATTCAGAGATAACTTATGAAAGGCAATTTCAAACTCTGTATAGTACCTTGCTCATTTTCCCAAGTAGTTCTTTTAATGGGTTTTGCACATCCTGGGTTTCAGATTATGTAATCTTAGGCGAACTCCATGATCTGACTCTAGCAATTGACAGATACAGATTTGATTATACAATCATGAATGGCTAGGGAAAGCTTTCATTCTTCTTTCAAACCCATAATTGCCTGAGCTTTCCTTTGCAGCTGCCTGCCTCTCGGCAACCCAGTTGGGTTTCATTTTGCAGACTGCTAACTCCTAATCACAAACTCCACTTTTTGTGATGGGGAAAACAACCATGCAGCACCAAAACAACAACAAGGACCATTCTTTTCTAACATAGAAATTTGTCCAAATACCAAATCCTATTTCTGCATCACAAAGGCCATCTCTATCTGGACTTTGCATGGCCCACATATTCTATATTAAGGAAATTCACTATGAGAAAATCTAGATTTATAAAGTATTGGGGTAGGGATTATTTGAATAGACATAGGTAAGAGGGTGGAAATACACAGGAAATATCAATTCATGTATTTGCTTTAAATAAAGGATTTCATAATGGTCCTCTTGAGCATCAACTTCCCCAATATTCACACTTGCTACACTTAAGTACACCCACATTTCTCGACTGCTCAAGGAAATAAAAGAGGATACAAACAAATGGAAGAACATTCCATGCTCATGGGTAGGAAGAATCAATATCGTGAAAATGGCCATACTGCCCAAGGTAATTTATAGATTCAATGCCATCCCCATCAAGATACCAATGACTTTCTTCACAGAATTGGAAAAAACTAAAGTTCACATGGAACTAAAAAAGAGCCCACATTGCCAAGTCAATCCTAAGCCAAAAGAACAAAGCTGGAGGCATCACACTACCTGACTTCAAACTATACTACAAGGCTACAGTAACCAAAACAGCATGGTACTGGTACCAAAACAGAGATATAGATCAATGGAACAGAACAGAGCCCTCAGAAATAATGTCGCGTATCTACAACCATCTGATCTTTGACAAACCTGAGAAAAACAAGCAATGGGGAAAGGATTCCCTATTTAATAAATGGTGCTGGGAAAACTGGCTAGCCATATGTAGAAAGCTGAAACTGGATCCCTTCCTTACACCTTATACAAAAATTAATTCAAGATGGATTAAAGACTTAAATGTTAGACCTAAAACCATAAAAACCCTAGAAGAAAACCTAGGCAATACCATTCAGGCCATAGGCATGGGCAAGGACTTCATGCCTAAAACACCAAAAGCAATGGCAACAAAAGCCAAAATTGACAAATGGGATCTAATTAAACTGAAGAGCTTCTGCACAGCAAAAGAAACTACCATCAGAGTGAACAGGCAACCTACAGAATGGGAGAAAATTTTTGCAACCTACTCATCTGACAAAGGGCTAATATCCAGAATCTACAATGAACTCAAACAAATTTACAAGAAAAAAACAAACAACCCCATCAAAAAGTGGGTGAAGTATATGAACAGACACTTCTCAAAAGAAGGCATTTATGCAGCCAAAAAACACATGAAAAAATGCTCATCATCACTGGCCATCAGAGAAATGCAAATCAAAACCACAATGAGATACCATCTCACACCAGTTAGAATGGCGATCATTAAAAAGTCAGGAAACAACAGGTGCTGGAGAGGATGTGGAGAAACAGGAATACTTTTACACTGTTGGTGGGACTGTAAACTAGTTCAACCATTGTGGAAGTCAGTGTGGCGATTCCTCAGGGATCTAGAACTAGAAATACCATTTGACCCAGCCATCCCATTACTGGGTATACACCCAAAGGATTATAAATCATGCTGCTATAAAGACACAGGCACACGTATGTTTATTGTGGCACTATTCACAATAGCAAAGACTTGGAACCAACCCAAATGTCCCACAATGATAGACTGGATTTAAAAAATGTGGCAGGGTCAAATGGTATTTCTAGTTCTAGATCCCTATACCCAAAGGACTATAAATCATGCTGCTATAAAGACACATGCACACGTATGTTTATTGCGGCATTATTCACAATAGCAAAGACTTGGAACCAACCCAAATGTCCAACAATGATAGACTGGATTAAGAAAATGTGGCACATATACACCATGGAATACTATGCAGCCATAAAAAATGATGAGTTCATGTCCTTTGTAGGGACATGGATGAAATTGGAAACCATCATTCTCAGTAAACTATCGCAAGAACAAATAACCAAACACCGCATATTCTCACGCATAGGTGGGAATTGAACAATGAGATCACATGGACACAGGAAGGGGAATATCACACTCTGGGGACTGTGGTGGGGTCGGGGGAGGGGGGAGGGATAGCATTGGGAGATATACCTAATGCTAGATGGCACGTTAGTGGGTGCAGCGCACCAGCATGGCACATGTATACATATGTAACTAACCTGCACAATGTGCACATGTACCCTAAAACTTAAAGTATAATAAAAAAAAAAACATTAAAAAAAAAAATGTGGCACATACACACCATGGAATACTATGCAGCCATAAAAAATGACGAGTTCATGTCCTTTGTTGGGACATGGATGAAGCTGGAAACCATCATTCTCAGCAAACTAATGCAAGGACAAAAAACCAAACACCGCATGTTCTCACTCATAGGTGGGAACTGAACAATGAGAACACTTGGACACAGGAAGGGGAACATCACACACCGGGGACTGTTGTGGGGTAGGGGGAGGGGGGAGGGAGAGCATTAGGAGATATACCTAATGTAAATGAGGAGTTAATGGGTGCAGCACACCAAGATGGCACATGTATACATATGTAACAAAACTGCACGTTGTGCGCATGTACCCTAAAACAAAGTATAATAGTAATAAAATTTAAAAAAAAAAAGAAAATAGAGTGAGCTGCAACCAGCTCACTACCCAACCCAGGAGATATCACTGTTTAAGAAGATATTTGCAGTTTCTCAGACAGTAGAAATGATAACCATGTATGCTCTCCCAAAGACTGGATTTTCTACAATGTTTATTCAAATTCCAAGATAATATAACAATATTCAGCTGTCATAGCCTATGTAAAGGAACAAACAAGAGACAGAGATTTTTCAGATCTGCTGATTCACTAAATTAATGTTTTTATGATCCTTAAGATAAGGTTGGCTAGTTTCTTTCCTAGTTGTAAAACTACAAAGATTGATGAGATAAACTTGATGCTTAACCTTGACATTTGTAAGAATAAGTTAAGTTTGAAGCTTGTCAAAATATTGACAGTTCCTCTTTAAAAATGAATTGCCTAGAATATTAAATGGTGTTTTATGTACTGGTGCATTCAATTTGGTTTTGCAATATTGTAAAAATTATTAAATACAGTGTTAGAGTTTTAAGGACAAAAAACATTTCAGTCTTTATTCTGAAGTTGGATTCTGAATCCCTGAGGGTGACACCTCTTGAGAAATCTTTCCAGTTATAAAGGTCTTAAAGGCTCCATTAATAACACTGCTTTGAAAGCATAAAACATCTTCCTCTTGACCTTGAACCTCAGACTCTCAAAAAATTGTTAAATTGTGCTGTGACTATGGCCCTTTTGAAGATTCATTATATGGGGAAATGGAAAGGGGACCTCTTGGCTTCAAAAATTAGAGACCCAGTAAGAAGCTTTATTATAGCCTTTTTTATTATATAGTTCAGTAGAAGAAGCAAGCTCATCATAGAAGAGACAGCATTGGAGGACCAGTGCCAGTGCTGACAAACCAGATGATTATTGATGGCAGTGCTCCAGAGTGTTAAAGCCAAAATGAAAGCAAGGAATGTAGGCCTCTGGAATGTGGATGGGAGAGCTTTGAACCAATCTAATGTTTATTTTATTGTGATACTTGAATCACTGCATCAAAATCACCTGGGTAGTTGTTACAAAAGCAGATAACTGGGCCACACTCCAAACCTACTAAACCAGAATCTCTATGGAACAGATACCTTGGAAACTGTGTTTTTAGCAATCACCCCAGGGGATTATTATGTACAATGAAGTTTGGGAACCACTAAATTAATGCTTCTGAAAGTGGGCTAACACCGTAAGATATAGATCTTTTAAGGACTCTTTGCATTTGAATAAAGACTTTATTGTCTCATAGATCAAACCCTGAAAATGGCAGCCTAAACTGTAGAAACACATTTGAATATACACAGGAGTTTGGAAGAAACTTCAGCACCACAAGTTTTCTTCTCCTCATTGACAGAGGCTATATATTGCCCAGTGTATTTTTAAATGCTTCTGCCCATTTCAGCAAATACACTCAGGACTGTGACTGAAAGTAGCCACCCCATGACCCTGGCCTCACTCAATCACCTAGTGGTCACCTGTGAAAACTTGACGAAATGGATATTGGAAAGTGAGGGCTTAGGATCATTTATAATTTCTGGTTAACTATACAGATTAAGAAAGAATTTGGATTCAACCCCCAATATGGAAAATCATCCTAAAATGATTCCCTCTTTTTGTATCTGAAAAAGTTTAGCTGGTGAAACATAGCAGAATTCCTCTTTGAGTACCCACAAATCTGTTGCACCTCAGGGTCTCCTGAACATACAGCACAACATGATATCTACAGTAATGATAAGACACTGGGCTAAATGTATTCTAGCCCAGTGAATTCCATGAAAATGTAGTTGTGGAATTTATTTTAATTCTTAAAATTCTGATGTTTTATATCCTCTATCTCAGCCTATTTTATTAACATTTACCTCTTTTTCCTCAAAGTGGGTTGGGGACAGGGTGATGGAAAGGGGAAGATTCAGCGCAGACATTTCTATACTTGTGGGTTCTAAGTAATTGGGTTCCAGTTAAAGAGGGACCTCTCTGTATTTGAGACATTGCAGCTATCCTATCACATTTTTCCAGAATTTCTTTACACCTCCTTCCCTGGGGTATGAATTACACACAAATGTCTTTGAATATATTTGAAAAACACTAGGGTATACAAAGTTAACTACTTTCTTTTCTGTGGAACTTGCAAGAGCCTTTACTACATTAATCTTCATTTAGAATCTCTGAGATAAAAATATAGCATTCAGTAGCTCACAAAAATTATATAACTGGAGATTACCTTCTTCATAGTGCATCTTATGTGACTATTTTTTCACTCCCACTCACATACCACCAAAACACCGAAACAAGCTCTGCTTAAATGTTACTTAAGCAGAGAGACTATCCGGACCATTTTACCTAAGGTAGCCCCCAATACCACTTCATCACTCTATCCCTTTAATCATCTTTATTTGTCCCCAGTACCTGATAAAAATGTGGTCTTTCTTTTGTCTGTTTTTGTTATCTCCCTTACTAAAATATAAGCTCTAGAAGAGCAGGGGATATTTTCCTTTGATATAAATGCTATATTTCTAGTATCTAGAACAGAGCCTAGCATATAGAAGGCACCTAATCAAAATTCATTGAAGGAATAAGCAGACAAAGCATCTGACGCAACTTTCTTTTGGTCATTTATACCAAGAAACATTAACCTTGAGGCCAAGTGAACATCACTGCTCAATATCATCCAGAGAAGAATATAT
Organism: Homo sapiens; assembly: GCF_000001405.40. Classification (NCBI taxonomy): domain Eukaryota; kingdom Metazoa; phylum Chordata; class Mammalia; order Primates; family Hominidae; genus Homo; species Homo sapiens. The sequence continues at coordinate 128,921,472 of NC_000023.11, forward strand.
ATCTGCAAATTATTTTAAGGGATAGAGGTAGCCTTTCCTAACTCCTCTGTGGGCAGATCTGAACTAAACTTTTCTGAAATGTCAGTTGAATTACCACATTTTCCCAAGTCATACCTTTGAGGTTTATTTTATTCTAAAAAGTTGCCTGAAGTATTTTTGTGTCTTACATCCTGGTAGAAAATATGACAATAGAATATTCTATGTTTTGCAACAGAATAACAAATTGAACTGCCTATACTGTTAATTTCTTTTTCTTTTTCTTTTTGTTTAGACAGAGTTTTGCTCCATTGCCCAGGCTGGAGTGCAATGGTGCAATCTACGCTCACTGCAACCTCTGCCTCCCAGGTTCCAGCAATTCTCCTGCCTCAGCCTCCCAAGTAGCTGGGACTACAGGCATGTGCCATCATGCCCGGCTAGTTTTTGTATTTTTAGTAGAGACGGGGTTTCACCATGTTGGCCAGGTTGGTCTACAACTCCTGACCTCAGGTGATCCACCCACCTCGGCCTCCCAAAGTGCTGGGATTACAGGCATGAGCCACTGTACCCGGCCTATACTGTTAATTGCTTGTGGCTAATTCTCAAAAACAAGGCCATCCTAGTATTGGAGTAAATACTCTAAATCACATCACAGTTTAGAAAATATAGGCTTTTGGACACCCTAGACCAGGGGGGATTGGGGAAGACACAGAACCAAGAATTACAGCACTTTATGAATACAAATGAAGCTGATAAATAAAGACGACACGGATGAGCTCTAAGGGTAAGAGGTTGTAGTGAAGCTAGTTCAAACAAAGTACACTCCCAAAATTTAACAAAAAGAATAATAATAAATATAAAATATGAAAATTAAGCAGCAAACATGCAAAGGCTCATACACCACAATCTTTGAAAAGTTGCAGTAAAGGAAATGAGAAACACAGTTTTCATTGATATAGCTCTAATCAAGCCCCTATCTCCTATGAATTAGTACAGTGAAAATAATGTAAGTGGATTTTTTAAAGTCCTGAAACTAGATTGAAAGGAAAAGATTTGGAAAATTTCTCACAAGAAGAGAAGCCACTCTTTATGAACCTCAATATCTCAGCAAAGACCAGAAGTCGGTGAACCTTCATTTTGGTTTTTGCAGATTTGGGCAGATCCTGCTGTAAGAAGACATAACAATTAGAATCATCCATAGATAATTTTCTTTAGCAATAACTGAGAGTAGACAAGATAATAAACAAACAAGGAATTAAATAAGATAAAATTATTTGAAAAAGTAAAGGGCTCAAAAACAAGAAGCTCATGGCCATGTGCTGCTGAATTCTCCCTTCAAGCCTGCGGGATAATAGTACTGTGGCAAAAACCCAAAGGTTTTATAGTGTTTTTTTTCTCTACTCCCTAGAATGGGTGGATAAAATGGGAAAAGTTGACTTCTGACATTAATTGTATTTGTTGGAAAGAAAGGTTTGAGGACTTCATTTTAAACAACTTGAAGCCTAAGATACTCTATGTGCAATAGGTGGTGTCACTATTTGGGTCAGTGGTTCCCAGTCCTAACTTTGTATTAGAGTTACTACATGGGGAGCTGCTGAAACATGCCAATTCCTGAGCCTCAAGCTAGATCACATGAATTAGAATCTTTTAGAGGGTGAAGTCCAAGCCTTGGTACTTTTTTAAAGTTTCCTCAAACTGATTGTGATCATAATAAGGATCCTAGTAAGGATAATCATTGAACCAAGTGGGATGAATCTTGTTACAGGCATTTTAAGGAAATTACAGAGAGGAAATCAGAAATCCACAGATTGTGACGGCCCTTGGGCAGCAGAATGTGGCTAGAACACCCAATGCCTAGCATTCAAACTGAGGCTCTTAAGGAGGTACAGAATGCCAAGGGAGTGAAGGGAAATTTATCCCACTATGTTTAGAATTTCTCAGAGAATTCTTTAATTTAAACATGAGTACAATAAAAAGATATAGAATGACAGATTTGCGAAAAGATTATAGAATGACAGCTTTGCAAAAATACTACAGGAATGAGCAGGAGAGTGGGAGAAAGCAAGGGAGAGTAGGAAGAAATGGGAATACAGATACTGAATCCACACTTGAAAATAACATCCCTTGGTAAGGAAAAGAAAAATTTCAAGAGAATATGGAGTCATTGAGACAAGACATCAAAGACAAATGATAAAACAACGGAATGAGAAGAATAAGATGAAAAGGGAGATTACAGAGGTAAAAAAAAAAAGCTGTGAATCAAAACAGCACTACTGAACTATAAAACATATTATATATCATAAAAATGATGAAAGAAGAAACCAGAGGTCATGATATTAATATCAGAGAAGATTGAATTCAAGGGGGGAAGGGGGCTTTGATAAAGGACACCATCCACAATGAGGATATAACTGCCATAAATATTCATGTACCAAATAACAGAATCAGAATATATAGCACATAAACTGCATAAAATGCAACGAGAAATCTTCAAAAACACAGTAGTAGGAGTTGATCTTAACACATTTCTGTCATCTGTAACAGACAAGGTAGACAGAAAATAAGCAAGAATAGCCAGAAAAATTCTGAAAGAGGAGCATAAGGGAGCAGAATTAAGAGCACTGTGAACCTGCAAAGACTAAGAGTTTGATAGTAGAGAAGAAATAAGTGGACCAACAGAACGCAATAGAGTCCAGAATTAGACTGCTATACATATGGAAATTTCATATATGACAAAGGTAGCATTTCATATCAGCAAAGAAAATATGGATGATTCACTTGATGATGTTTGCACTTGTGACTGTTTCACAGAAAAGCTGAATTCATTCCTCATTTATTATACCAAAATAAATCCTCAATGGACAAAAGGTTTTAATAGTAAAAAAGATGCTAGATGAAAACATAAGGGGATTAATTTATACCCTTGATTTGAAACCAATTCCTAAGCAAAATACAAATGTCAGAATCCAAATGTAAACTGTGCTTACTACAAATTCTGAAAATGTCAGAAACAATGACAAAAGACACATTGACAAAGTGTTTGCAGCATATATGACAAATGACTTTGTTTATTGTTTACAATAAGCTTGTACAAATCAGTGACAAAAGGATGAACAACACCCCCACCACCACCACAAAAGACAGGCAAAGAATAGCAACAGGCAGTTATCAGAAAAAGAAATACAAATGGCCATTAAACACATGAAAATATGTTCGACCTTATTCATGATTAATGAAATGCAAATAAAAACAGCAATGAAGATGTCTTATTCACCCACCTGATCGTCAATAACTCAAAAGTTCACCAAGATGAGTAACAGGCACTCTCATACACTGTTGGTGGAAATGCAAATTGATGCCACCTCTGGGGAAGATAATTGGGCAATAGAGGCAGTCCATGTATCCAGAAATAATCGCTACTGGAAAAAGGGTCACTTAAAGGAAGTCTACTTAAAATAGGAACCACAATATCATCATTAATTTTTTGAATGTTTGATTGAAATTTTTTTTTTAAAAATTTAAACCTCCAAAAAGGTGTCTTATCTTATAATTTTTAAAAAGGTTTAATGCAACTACAAGCACATCCTTTGAGCAATACATAAATCAAATATTGGTTGTGGGGTTTTTTTGGTATGCCTTTTCTGACAAAATTGCATAATAGTGCAAAAAGGCATTGTTCTCATTATTTCATAGCAGGATCATAAAGAGTAAGTTTTACAAAATATCAACGGGCTTCATCAGTTTTCCCAAGGACCTCTCATAGTTCCTGATATTCCAATCATTCTCTTTCATCCTAGCCATCTTGTCACTATATGCATGGGTTTGTTCTGTCCCTCAAAAGATAACTATGCCAAGTCTCACCTGCCAATGGCTTTGTGGAATTCAAGCAAATCTCCCTCACTTTCATCAGCCTCATTAAGTCTTGTGTCTTTTACAATATTTAAAATTTCACATTGCCATTGATTTACACTCTCTTTCTATTGTAGAGATTGACAAAGACATTTATGTGTTGAGCAAGGATAGACTCCAGTGTTAAGTAGAGATGGCTGAGTAGGGAAAAAAAATGTCCTAAATAGCCAATTAAGTAAAAAATATTGTTGTGCTTTAGTGTATTAGTCCATTTTCACACCGTTATAAAGAACTACCTAAGACTGGGTAATTTATGAAGAAAAAGGATTTAATTTACTCAGTTCTGCATTGCTGGAGAGTCCTCAGGAAACTTACATGTCCTCAGAGAAACTTTTAACTTCACGACAGAAGTTAAAGGGGTAGCAAGGACCTTCTTCACATGGTGGCAGGAGAGAGAGAGAGAAGGGGAAACCGCCACACACCTTTAAACCATCAGATCTCATGAGAACTCAATATCATAAGAACAGCATGGGGGAATCAGACCCTGTGATCCAATCACCTCCCACTAGGTCCCTCCCTTGACACATAGGGACTATAATTTTAGATGAGATTTGGGTGGGGACACAGAGCCAAACCATATCATTTAATGCATTTTGCTCCTCCATAAAAATCTTTATTTTTATTTTTTTACTAACTCTAGGGACTCAGATAGGTATTTGGTTAATAAGGATTTCCCATTTTATACTGAAGTTTAAAATGCATCTATTCTTTTTTTTATTATACTTTAAGTTCTGGGGTACATGTGCAGAACGTGCAGGTTTGTTACATAGGTATGTATACATGTGCCATGGTGGTTTGCTGCACTCATCAACTTGTGATCTACATTAGGTATTTCTCCTAATGCTATCCCTCCCCTAGCCCCCCACACTCTGTCAGGCCTCAGTGTGTGATGTTCCCCTCCCTGTGTCCATGTGTTCTCATTGTTCAGCTCCAACTTATGAGTGAGAACATGCGATGTTTGGTTTTCTGTTCCTGTGTTAGTTTGCTGAGAATGATGGTTTCCAGCTTCATCCATGTCTCTGCAAGGGACATGAACTCATCCTTTTTTATGGCTGCATAGTATTCCATGGTGTATATGTGCCACATTTTCTTTATCCAGTCTATCATTGATGGGCATTTGGGCTGGTTCCAAGTCTTTGCTATTGTGAATAGTGCTGCAATAAACATATGTGTGCATGTGTCTTTATAGTAGAATGAGTTATAATCCTTTGGGTATATAATCAGTAATGGGATTGCTGGGTCAAATGGTATTTCTGATTCCAGATCCTTGAGGAATTGCCACAGTGTCTTCCACAATGGTTGAACTAATTTACACTCCCACCAACAGTGTAAAAGCATTCCTATTTTTCCACATCCTCTCTAGCATCTGTTCTTTCCGGACTTTTTAATGATTGCCATTCTAACTGGTGTGAGATATTATCTCATTGTGGTTTTGATTTGCATTTCTCTAATGACCAGTGCATCTATTCTTTGTATGCTGCCTAGAATGCTCTTTTCTCCTCTTTGTTATCTCATACTCATCTTTCAATAGTCAGCTCAAGCATGAATTCCTCAGGGGAGCCCTTTAGGGCCTCCCTGACTAAGTCAAATACTTTATTACAGGTTCTTAAAGCATCTTTGGAGCATGTGTCACAGTTGCAATTCAACATTTCTGTAATTTAATTAATGACTATCTTCCCCACCAGACTATTTACTCCACAGAGGCAAGGATTACCTCTGGCACAGAGTAGTCCCTCAACAAATATCTATTTAATGCATGAATAACAGAGAGAAACTGAAAACTACCTAAATCCCTCAATAAGAGAATGATTAAAGTAGGCTACATCCATAATGGAACATTGTATTATGTAGTCATTAAAAAGGATGAGGTTTGTCCTGATATAGAATGATTTCCACAATATATTAAAATTTAAAAAGCAAGGTGCAAAACAGTTTGTAAGATTCTGTGTATGTAAATTTACAAAGACTACATATATACGCTGATAAGTGCAAACAATATTGTTCTAGAAGAAATTACTAAGAGTTTACCGATGGGGAAATTGACTAGGGTGGATGAGGGGGGAAATTTTTAGTTTTCTTTTATGCATTTCTATACTGTTTTAATTGTTTTACTATATTCATGTGCTATTTTAATTTAATAAAAATACATTGTTTTTTGATAGAGGGCACCAGTACTGACCAGTAGAATGAGGCCAGAAGTTCAAAGTCCATTGTAAACAATCAGCAACCGGAATCCATGCCAGAGTTGAAATAACCTATTATATTTCTTATTTTGGTTGGTGGCCCACATTTTCTCACTTACTAAGCCAGAAAACCAAGTTATTCTCCAATCCTCCCTCTTTGTTAGCCCTCAGATCTAATCAGTTATTAAGTCATATTGATATTACCACCTAAACAGCTTATCCTTCCATTCTCTCTTCACCATTCCCACTGCCATTGCCCTTAATCAGGACCTCATCATGTCTCCCTTGGATTGCTGCAATACTCCTTCTTCGCACTTCCACTTTTCACTTCCAAAATGCACTCCCTATTCTGCTGCTAGAAACATTCTTCAATCTAATGAAATCAAAACAGAATGGGCGTGGTGGCTCATGCCTGTAATCCCAGCACTTTGGGAGGCCGAGGTGGGCAGATCACCTGAGGTTGGGAGTTTGAGACCAGCCTGACCAACATGGAGAAACCCCGTCTCTATTAAAAATACAAAATTAGCCAGGCGTGGTGGCGCATGCCTGTAATCCCAGCTACTCTGGAGGCTGAGGCAGGAGAATCACTTGAATCCGGGAGGCGGAGGTTACAGTAAGCCGAGGTCGTGCCATTGCACTCCAGCCTGAGCATCAAGAGCGAAACTCCATCTCAAATAATATAATAATAAAATCAAAACAATCAAAGACTAACCAACCAACCTATCCTCATCTGCTACTCTTTTCCTATGGCCTTTCATAGTTCAGCCACCCTGGTGTTCTTACATTTACCCTGAAACAGCTTGTTAGTTTTTCCCTCAGGCATTTTGTGTATCTCCCTCCCTCAGTCTTTGGGATGTTCTCCCCTTCCCCATTTGCCTAGCTAATGTCTACTTACATTTTGTTACTTCTTCCCCATCCCCACACCTCTAAAGTAGATTAGTTCCCTTTACATTCTGTTCTTCTTCAGTGCACTCATCATTTTTCTATTTGTTTTTACCATATCTGTCTTCCCCCACTTGACCTTAAACTCCATCAAGAGAAAGACCATACCCACAGTGCCTGACAGAGGGCCTGGCACATAGCAGTGGCTCAATCAATTCTCATTAACTGACACCCTGAATGAGTAAATTAATGTAAATTGGTTTACATAACTCTCTTACTTAAATCCCATCACTGGCTCCTTACCATGTACAAAATAAAGTGTATGAGGTACTTCATAGTTGGGCTCCTGCCTGCACAACCCAAGCCTTAACATTTCATGCTCTAGCGGTTCTGAATCATGCATAGTTCCTGGAACAAGCCTTGCTGCTTCTCCTTGCCTTTGTATATGCTGTTCCTGCCACATAGATTACCTCTCCCTCCTTCTGCCTTATGTCTATCTGGTGAATACTCATTCATTCATGAAGAACAGCCAGAAGTTCCCGCTTCAGAGAAGTCTTCCCTGACGTCCTAAATAAAGTTCACCCATGCTTCCTCTGTGCTCATTCTGTAGCTTATATCTTTTTGCTTTTTATTGCATTTATCATACTGTGAAGATTTTCTGGTAATGGAGACTTTGTCTCACATTTCTAGGAATTCAGGCATTCCTGAATTCCTAACATATAACTAGAACACAGTAAACACTAAATGTCTGAAGTGAATTGAACATAGGTTGTGTGTTAGTATAAACTATTAACGGTATATCATGCTTGCATACTTATGTACAATTTTTTCTGGGAAACAAAATATTATCGAGATTTTATATGAAGTAACTCCATTAACTGCCCTGAAAGAATAGCAAATGCATTTTTTTTTTTACATCTAATAAACCTTCATGCTGCTGGTTGAAAGGCTGCGTAAAACTTTGCCTCCCTGGGACACAGCCAAAATCTAAGGCAAACAGACCTTTTTCCTCTTAGATCTAATGTTACAAATCTATGTGGCAAGAAAGGCAAAGCAAATAAATGGCCTTTACAAGCCATGCAATTTAACAGCAGTGAACAAATCAGCCATTTGGTACTTGTGCAAACATTCCGTGCCATCTTCTCAGGTCACATGAAGGAATTGGGTCTAGCATATCTAACAACAACAAAAAAATAAAGCAGAAACATCTTTTCTTCCCCCACCCTCTGCACAGGGACTTTCAAATTCACAGATACTAATTCTGAATTAGCAAACTCTAGCTAGCCACTGCCGCTTTAGTCTCAACATTTAGATTAAGAATCACTACAGTTGTTCTTTTGGTATACAGTGGTAAGTGGTTAATAAAATAACAAATCTAAGTTTTTTAGCTTCCTAGGGCCCCTCCAAAATGTACCAAGTTATTCATCAACATTAGGCCCAGTCAGCATTTACTAACTTCTCCTGAAATGATAATGAAATCATTTGAATATTATATGGTTAAGTGTTTTTTAAAGAGGAAAATTTATAATGCTATTGGAGCAGAGAGGAGGGACCTGGGAGTTAAGAGAATATTATTGAAGGAGATAGAACCTGAGCTGAAACTTGAAAAAAGGGAGTTAGTTGGGAAGGGTATCCCGAGCAGAGGGGCATTATGAATAAAGACAGACACGTACACATGAAATAGAATAGTATGGGTGAAGATCTACAAGCAGCATAAGAGACATAACATGTTGAAAAAGAGGCTGGATAAATAGGCAGGGGCAAGACCAAGAAAGACTTTAAATGCCATATTAGGAAGACTGGTTCTATGTAGGATGTGCTATAATATGATTAATGTTCTAGAGCATTCTGGCAGCTGTGTGAAGAATGGATTGGGAGATAAAGGACACCCCACAAACCCAGTATAAAGCATACATTTGGACACACTATAATAAAAGCATGTTGAATGAATGCAATCCATGACATTCTGTTTCCAGCAAACAATTCCCCAAAAGACTTATATTTCATTGTCACTTCCTTCCCCACTTCCCACGTTCCATGAGGGCATATGTTTTCCAGTAACTATGTTACTATTTTTAGGTCCCAAGCTGTTCTGGAGACCTCTATATGGTACAGAAAAGTCGTAATTAGGAATCAGGGACCTAAGACTTGAGAAAGAATTCCCAGCCTGGGATGATGTGAACTGAAGTTGAGACTAGTTAGCCTGAAGCTTAAAAAAAAGCTTGTCAGGTCACTTGGTAAGATTGGGTAAAGAAAAGCCACATGATTCCTAAGCTTCCCCTTCTTCCAGCATTTTATGGATATATTCTCAGCTATCTTTCTATCTCTTCTTCCCACATGATATGGTTTGGCTCTGTCCCCACCCAAATCTTATCTTGAATTCCCACGTGTTGTGGGAGGAACCTGGTGGGAGGTAATTGAATCATGGGGGTAGGTCTTTCCCATGCTGTTCTAGTGACAGTGAATAAGTCTCATGAGATCTGATGGTTTTAAAAATGGGAGTTCCCTGCACAAGCTCTCCCTTTGCCTGCTGCCATCCGTGTAAGATGTGACTTGCTCCTCCTTGCCTTCCACCATGATTGGGAGGCTTCCCCAGCCACATGAAATTGTAAGTCCAATTAAACCTCTTTCTTTTGTAAATTTCCCAGTCTCAAGTATGTCTTTATCAGCAGCATGAAAATGTACTAATACACCCCACTACAACTCACTTCATCTACTGAACCCAGCCTGTGAAACAGCTACCCTTCCTTCAGCAATGATAATCTCTGACTTGTCAGGGTGACAAGAAAGGGGGAGTGTCAATCCAACTGAAGTTGTTATAGAGCCAGGTAACATTTGCCCAGACCACGCCTGTAGAACAGGCTTTTGAGTACACATAACTTTGGTATCATTCTCTCAATCCTGTCAGCTAACACCTTCAGTGACAGATATCATTTGGGAACTTGTTTTAGCAAAGCAAACCTGGCCCTGCAGCTCTCCCTGACCACACACATGTTTTCAGGATCTCATTCTCTCTCTCTCTCTCTTTCTCTCTCTCTCTCTCTCTATCTCTCTCTCTCTCTCTCACACACACACACACACACACACACACAGGGAAAAACATTTTATTTGAGAAAAAATCAACTCAGACTGCCACTAAAGTTTACTACTCAAGAGATACACTCAAAAGTTCTGTCACAGAAAGTGGCTTTCATGTGGAACCATGCAGAGTTTTTAGGGGCTGGCACTGTCCGTGATCTGTAAAATCCCCATTTCCCAGTACTAGAGTCCTGGAGTCCTGAAGATATGTGTCAGAGTTCAATCCTCTGCCTGATTGTCCTTTATTACTCTACCTCCCCTTCTCTCCCAGTGTAGTCTACCCACTTGTGATTGAGGCATCTGAGGACATTCCTTCCACATACCTCACATTAATTCTCACAATCCCATGCCCAGTCATTCTTTTCCTTTCTGCCTACTGCCGTAAGTTCTCTAAGCTAAAACAGACCTCTCTCAGCAGAGGGGCTTTTTCCTCTCAAAAGATAATCAAGAGAAGCTCTCTACTAACTTAGTAGTAAAACTGAAAGCTAAATAATTAGACCTTTATGACACAAAAGGATACACACATATAGCCATACAAATATGGCCCAGAAATAATGATTACATATATATGCATGTATATACTCACACCAACACACGATCCTTATTTCTATGACTATTTCATAGCCAATACATTAAGACCTGATTTAGAGAGAGAATTAGACTAGGCCAATGTATGGATTTGGAGTCTTACAATGGATAGTGATTTATTTTCAAGTGAAACCTTTGTGCAGAAAGAAAACACATCTCTTAGTCTACACCCTCTTCAATAGAAGGTGCAGGCATCTAATCGGTTAGTAATTCAAATGTCTGGAGTTGGGTGCTGGCTCAAACTCAAAGCCAGAAGCAGGCAGAGGCTTCTTGGCAAGAATCTCCCTCTTCTTTCTTCTTCCAGAGTACCTTTTCCCCTTCTCGCTCAGGCACTCTATACTCTTGGGAGAACCTCTGCTCTGAGGGAATGAAAAGAACTAATGAAGACCTTCATATTGAAATCTTAATGACAACGTGTTACTCTTTGCAGGGCTGTTTCCATTTTAAAAGAGAGCAGAGAGTCTAACCCTAAGAAAGAAATCCCTAATAGTGGAATTTCAATAATATGATACTTGAATAAGAAAGTTATAAGTGGTGAGGAAATAGGGCCACAAGGGCTTTCCAACATCCCTTAAATTATACCTAGCCTTTTACGTGTATGTAAAACTAACATGATGTTGACACTCACCTGCTCAACGTACTTCATTCATCTCCACTATCTATAAGATCAAGTCCATAGTTCTTAGTCTAACATTTAAATCTTCTCACTCTTTCCCAGGCTCACCTTCACTTTTCTCCTGTGAAACTTCTTCACTGTACCCCTTATCTCTTGAACATACCTTCACTTCCAATTTTTTGCTCATGAGGCCTCTTCTTGGAATTCCCTGCTCCTCTACAGTATTTAAACATCAACCCCATTCATTCTTCAAGGATCAGCTCAAATCCTAACCTCCTCTATAAAATTTTCTCTAATCTTCCCACACAGAAATAATATATTCCTGCATTATAACCCAAATCCAGAAAAATACAATACCACCGAATGATTGGAGTTGGACAGGTTTGGCTTCATAATCATCCTTTATTATTTTCTACTAACTGTGTAAATATGAATAAGCAGCCTACCTCTTTGGGCCTTACTTTCCTCATGTTTATGGTGGTGATAATGGTAACTATCTCACAAAGTTGTAAGCATTAAATATGATAATTCAAAAAGGCACTAACCCAGTGCCTGAATGAATAACGCTATTATTGTATATACACATTCACAAAAACTATGAGAACACTGGACTACTTCATCAAGCCCTCTTTTCTTCTTCCTTTATCTACTGCCTACATATGTCTTCCATCTTGTTTTTCTAACATGAACTATCAGAGTATGTAAGATGTTACTAGCTGCCCACCAAAATCTGTTCTCCACTTTTTTTCTGAGCACACAGAGAGACTGTTTCCTAATCTCCCTTGCAGTTAAGTGTGGCTATATGACTATCCACATAAGAGACTTGTGTTTTAGCTTTATCTTTTTCAATAAACTTTTACACAACCTTGCAGAAGTCGCTTTACTTCCCTTGATCTCAATATTGTCATCTGAGAGACAGGGATAATAAATTATAGTGAATAAAGTATCTGAAATGAATCTTCTTTCCATATTACTCTGCCCTCAAATGCAGGGACTGGGTCCCCAATTTCTGATGTGTTCTCAAATACATACAAATATTTAATAACCATTAGGGCTCAATAACCTTGGCCAAATAACCAAAAAGGCCCTAAATGACACATGTGACCTCAGGTAACCAGGAAAGAAAGGCAAGAATACCCTTTTCACCTATAAAGTCCCACAAAAACTCTGTTGTATCGTATCACAATGCATATCCCCAAAGGTCATCCTTAATTATAATTAAAATAAATGTTATTATTATATTCAAATTGCCTTAGGATATCATTAGCAAGATGATGGGCTAGGAAGCCCTGGACCCTTTATTCTCCAACAAACATATCTATTTCATCAATGAATGAATGGATGCAGAAAATGTGGCTTATATGCACAATGGAATATTACTGTCCTAAAATGGAGAAGATCTTGTCATTTGCAACAACACAGAGAAACCTGGAGCACACTATGTTAAGTAAAATAAACCAGGAACAGAAAGACAAATATCACATTATCTTATTTATATGTGGAATCTAAAAGAGAGTCCATCACCTAGAAGCAGAGAGATGGATACTAGGGGCTGAAGTGGTTGTGTGTGTGGGTGAAGGGAGGGGAATGAAGTTGTTGGACACAATATAGAAAATTTCAGCTAGATAGGAAGAATAAGTTCAAGACATCTACTATACAATATGGTGACTACAACAAATAACAGTATGTTGTATTATTAAAAAAGGTATGAGAGTGGGTATAAAGTGTTCTCACCACAAAAATAATAACTATGTGAGGTAATGCATTTGTTAATTAGCTGGATTTAGTCATTCCACAATGTGTGTGTGTATATGTCAAAATATCATGGTGTACACAATACATATAATTTTATCTGTCTATTTAAATACTTTAAAAAGAAAACATTTCCAATTACAATAGCATCACAAATCAATGCTGTGTGTAGACTTTTTTTTTTTTTGAGACAGGGTCTCACTCTGCTGCCTAAGCTGGAAGGCATGGGGAAGATCACAGCTCACTGCGCTCTTGATCTCCTGAGCTCAAGTGATCCTCCCACCACAGCCCTTCCAAGTAGCTGGGACTACAGATACACATCACCACGCCCAGCTAATTTTTTTAAAAAAAATTTGTAGAGATAGGGTCTCATTATGTTGCCCAGGCTGGTCTCAAACTCCTGGGCTCAAGTGATCTTCCCACCTCAGCCTCGCAAAGTGCTAGGATTACAGGTGTGAGCCACCACGACTGGCCTGTGTGTAGAAACTTTAAAAAAATGGCATCATAAATAATAGCATCATGTTCATGGATAAGAAGGCTTAATATTGTTATTGAATCTACAGATCAATGCAATATACATCAAAGGACCACTTTGCTCTTTTTGCAGAAATGGACATACTTTTCCTAACATTCATTTTGAAATTCAAGGGGTCAAAAATAGAAGAAAAAAAAAGAAATCTGGAAAAAGAAAAACAAAGTTTCAGGACTCAGAGTTCCAAATTTCAAATTTTACTACAAAGCTACAATAATCAAAACAGCATGGTACTGACATAAAGATAAACATATAAATCAATGGAATAGAATTGAAAGTCCAGAAATAAACCCTTACATTTGTGGTTAACTTTATTCAAGGTTACCAAGACAATAAATGGGGAAAAGGTAGTCTCTTCAATGATAATGCTGGAATAGCTGGATATCCACATGCAAAAAAATGAAATTAGACCTCTACTTTATACCATATACAAAAATTAAGTCAAACTTGATCTATGACTGAACTATAAGAGCAAGCCCCACGAAACTCTCAGAGAAAACACAGGGATAAACGTTTATTACCTTAAATTTGGCAATGAAATGTAGCTACGACAACAGAATCATAATAAAAACTTTGACTTTATAAAAATTAAAATTTTTGTGCTTCAAAAGACATCATCCAGAAAGTTGTGACAATCCATCCACAGAATGGAAATGTTATTTAGCGATAAAAAAGAATGAAGTATGGAACATACTGTAAAACAGAGGAAACTGAAAGCATGGTAAGTGATAGAAACTTATGACAGATGACCACATACTGAATGATTCTTTTAATATGAAATGTTCAGAATACGCAAATTTATAGAGACAAAAGATAGATTCATGATTGCCTTGAGCTGGGGAGCAGGGTCTATAGGGGAATAGAGAGAGATGCTGAAAGGGCACAGGGTTTCTTTGTGGGAGGATAAAAATATTCTAAAAGTAGATTGTGCTGATAGTTGCAAAACCCTGTGAATATACTGAAAACATTGAATTGTATTCATTAAATGGATAATATGGTATGTGAATTACAACTCAATACAGCTGTTAAAAAACACACACTATTTAATACAATTCAAGAGGTGATTGTTTCTAGAAGCAAATGATACAAATTGTACAGCCTTCTTGGCAGGAACATTTCTGCCAGGTCACCTATCCCTAATCATTTCAAAATTGCAGACTCTTGGAGATAGATTTTTCAGTTTGGAAAATTCAGCTTTTTTGGCCAATTTATTCATCATTTGTAGAAGATTTCTGATAACCTCTAAACTGACACTCTCAGAACTCAATAATATATAATATTTTGGAGCTTGATTGTTCCAAAGAAGTAAATAAATAGATCTATATAGTCCATATTTATTTGAAGCCTATCTTCATCCTTTGGCTTATTGCATCATTGTAATAATCATTACTTAACCACAGAATAGATCATAGATCCCGTAAAATGTGGGCTCACCATGATAAAAATTGAAAGATTTTTCCTATGCAGAGTGAGGGGAGAAGGTGGCACAATAAGTGGGTATGGAGGTTGTCTTAATATATTTTTTGGAGGCTGGGTGCAATGGCTCATGCCTGTAATCCCTTCATTTTGTGAGGCCAAGGCGGGTGGATTACCTGAAGTCAGGAGTTAAAGACCAGCCTGGCCAACATGGTGAAATTCCATCTCTACTAAAAATACAAAAATTAGCCAGGCATGGTGGCGTGTGCCCATAATCCCAGCTACTTGGGAGGCTGAGGCAGGAGAATTGCTTGAACTGGGGAGGCAGAGGTTGCAGTGAGCTGAGATCGCACCATTGCACTCCAGCCTGGGCAACAAAGCAAGACTCTGTCTCAAAAAATATATATATATATATATATACATTTTGTACATATATATATGTGTGTGTTATATATGTGTATATATACACACATATATGTGTGTATATGTGTATATATATATGTGTGTATATGTGTATATATATGTGTGTATATATACACACATATATGTGTGTATATGTGTATATATATGTGTGTATATATACACACATATATGTGTGTATATGTGTATATATATGTGTGTATATATACACACATGTGTGTATATGTGTATATATATGTGCGTGTGTATGTGTGTATATACACACACATATGTGTATATATGTGCGTGTATATATGTGTGTATATACACACACATATGTGTATATGTGTATATATGTGTGTGTACACACATATATGTGTATATGTGTATGTGTGTGTGTATATACACACATATATGTGTATATGTGTATATGTGTGTGTGTATATACACACATATATGTGTATATGTGTATATGTGTGTGTGTATATACACACATATATGTGTATATGTGTATATATGTGTGTATATATGTGTGTATATACACACACATATATACACATATATATATACATATATATATATATGAGAAATTCACAAAAAGCTGGTATGCAGACCTGAGTTCCCAGTTCTGCCACTTATTAGCTGGTAATGGTGGGCAAATGACTTAACATCTCTGAGCCTCAGTTTCTTCATTTATAAAATGGTAATACAAATAACATTATATCATGGTATCATTGGAAGGATTAAATAATACATGCAAAGTTTCTAGAATGCTACACAGTAAAGATTTAATTAATGCCCACTATTATTATTATGTGCACATGGAATGTCTTTTAGTGGCAACTTTAATAATTGCAATACTAATGCAAGATATTACAATATTTGTGTAAGCCAATGCAATCATTAATTCAACAAATGTTAGTACCTGTGGGGGATAACAAAACAATTAACACAGCCTCAGCCCTCAAGGAACATTTACTAGAGCTGAAGAGAAACAAAAACTACCAGAAACAATGTTAAATAACCACAAAATAAAAGAAAATAGGAGAGATAAAAAGGCAACTAAATGGTACAAGATTACTAGGAGCTGAGGTAATGATGATAAGTCATCAGCAGTTATTATTCTTCAACCCAGTGCTCTATCCAACTACATCAACTGAACAGAATCTGAAGTTCTAGTAGACCACAGTGATGGCAGAGGAATGGAAATGGCAATGGCAAAGGAATGAAATGGCAATGGAAAATCTCAATACATAGACTGTAGTCATTTTCCAGAAGAGCAGTAATAGGAAGTTACATAAGATGCACAGAAAGTCCTGAAAAATAGAAAAATATGTGATTAGCTAACTAGGGGGAGAGACATAAATCATGTTTCAAGCCCAAATATCTTGGTGGTTGCATTTTTTAATGTAAACTGTGCAAAAAGGGAAATGTAAAACTTCAGTGAATCGAGCCTTAAATATTACTCCTACAGGCAGTTTCAACAGTTTACTGGTAATATACCAAGCTCTATAGCTAACGTAAAATATAGAGCCTGTGACAGACATTCTCATAAGGGAACCGAATTTATGAGCCAACTTGCTATTTAAAGGTGAATGAACTTCAGCCTTTACTATGGTATCTCCCTAACTAGTAAACACCCTCCCCTCGTGTTAATTGTGCTTATTGTCAAAATAAAGATCCTGCCAGGTCTCCAGCCAGCAACGTACTGTGATATCAATGTCCGTCATATCAATATCATCCAACCACCACATTTAGAAAAGAAATGTGACTCATTCTTCAGCTGCCTCTAATCAATAACTCCAGAATTTACATTCAATAAACATCCACACTTTGCTTCTAAACAAATAATTTCATCATAAGCTAGTTCTCTGTAAAAACTACAATAAGTTTTCACAATATATTATGGGAGCTCAGGCCATTCAGTTCTAAATAATGGCTCCTTTTGCTGGACAAGTAAATTGAAATTGATTTGTTTCAGCCGCCTATGCTAGAACACACAATGCCTGCTTACAACAAGCCTATTGACTTCTGCAAACAGGACTCCAGCCTGCTTCCTCAAGGACTCCTGGCAAGATTTTTAAATCATCCTACCTTCTCCCCACTAACCCCAAGAACAAAGCATCCATTTAAATAGGAAATCTGCACAATATGTCCAAGAAAAGGCATGTGAGAAAGCTTCTTTTGAGATCAACTGAGCAGAGACCAAGGTGAGGAGTAAGCCCTCAGATGAAAGGAAAATGACACAAAGAAGAGGCTGATTGAAAGTCAAATCAACTCCTCCTTGTAAATCACAAGGTGGGGGAGAAAAGAGAGAAAGTCCCACTCTTCTGCTGTCTCCTGCTCCCCTCCGCTTTCCCCTCCCTTGGGACAGTGCCATCATGGAGACAGTTGAGGATTCACAGAAAAAATTGTAAGATAACTCTCATCTTTGGAGGGATGGCTATAAGCAGCTGAAGAGACAATACAGACATCTGGTCAATGGCTTCCAAAAGTGTTTCATGTGAAGTCCACAATGCTTCCAATGCTTTCTGTCACTTAGAAGAGAAAAGCCAGCAGAAAAGAACAAAAATCTGATTCTTACACTGCTTACACAGGAGTCTGAGAGTGGATCGTTGGCAACACAGGGGTTTCTTTGTAAGAGGATGCATCTAGACCAGAGGCTGGCAGTAGTGACCCTCCATTATGAGATCCAGGGATATATTTAATTTAGCAAACATCAAAATGACTGTCCTTGTTCAGCCCAGGACATTTCTGTGGATTTTAGTTTCCAAAAGGATTATTTTTTATATATACATATTGTTTCTCCCACAATTGTGCAAAAGAGGCAGGACAAGTATGATTATTTCCATTTTATTGTATATTAAGAAAATAAGGCCCAGAGAGAGTCAAAAATTTACCAAAGGCCCAACAGTCAAATTTCTGACAGTCTAGAAATTTGAACTCAAGCCTTATGACTTTAAATGTAGTGCTTTCTTCAGACTATTTATATTTTATTTATTTATTCAATCATTTATTAGTATATCCAACAAATATAGACTGCCAACACTGCACCGGGCATTAGGAGCTCTCAATTTTCCTTCAGTACCAACTTTTAGGGCTACAAAAGGACCCAGGGGAAGTATGGTCCTCTGCATATATTAATCCTGGGGTCCAAATTTTTTTCCCAGTAATATCTAGCAGGTTGTTTATCAGCCCAGCAGAAACATATCATTGTAGTATGAATCGATGCTCTCTTCCCAAAAGCCTGAGGCGTGGCAAGATGCCTCTTAAACAGCACAGGCCACCAACATCTGTGAAATAGAAAACTACCACTCACCAGACCTTCCAATTAAGACTGTCTGAAGATTGCTGCTCCTTAGGAGTGGGGGTGCCATGGGCTGATCCAGAAACACTTACTGTACCCAGCAGTGGCTCTTGGCTACCTAGTGCCACTCACATCCATATTGAGAAGACTTCTCCCAACATGGTGTCATCATCCAGAACTTTTCGCTTCCCCTCACTATAACTTCCCTGTCCTATATCCCTATTCACTTGAGGCTCTTTCCATGATAAGGAGGTAGTAAAAGCAATCTTTACTGGCTTAACATATTTGCCTTTTCACAGAGTCCTGTGCCTTAAAGTGACTTGCACAGTAGGCATTTCAGGCCCCACTGCACACTAATGATTAGAGAAACTTAAGACAGAGGAAGGGGCTTTTCAGTGCTGCGTTCAATTCACAGCCCAGGAATAGGGGCACATGTCACTTACTTTTCTGAACAATGAAGCAAATCCTGAATGATTGTTATGCTGTGGGGATACAATGCAGTTATTGGAAAGGGCAGAGGAACATCTGGCCAGTCAGGCTTGGGCCTCACAAATGCTATAAGGACAAAGCCCAAAATTATTTCTTCCTCTTAACCCTTTATTCCCACAGCATATAAGGCATTGTCCTCAAAGGGCTTCTAGATGAAATCAGTGTTTATAGCTGAACTCTTGTCAGTATGGTCTCCAATTACACATACCTTGTAAACAAAATCCAACCAAAATTGCTTGCTTCATTTCTAGCTTCTCCAAGGTCTATCTATGACCTGGTGTTTCATCAGTAGTTACTATCTCACAAGGATTATTGGCATCCATTTGTCCTATCCTTTCAGAATTTTATATACCATTTAGAACATCACCTTTCAGCCCCTCTGGCAATATCATAGAAAGTTCGTTCTCCCACAAGGTCACAGCAACCAGCTCATTTCACAATCTGATTTTCAGGAGTTTAACAAGAGCTTTAGAAATGCACTAGTCAGATAAACCTTGGCCTCACAGCCTCTTAGTCTTTCTGGATGAAGTAATTTGAAGGAGGGGGACCTTCAGTCAGTCACAGAGTGTTACTGTTTCCCAGTCTGATGACTTTTTTTCCCCAAATCTTCTACTGCCAGCCTGATACAGGGCTTCATCCCCTCACATCTATCTTACTGCAATTGATATTTTACCTTCCTCCAAGGTTCTCTTCCATTTGATTCATCCTATGTAGTGCTGTAAGATTAATTCACTTGAAGGTACAGCTTTCAGTATGTTATTCCTCTGCTCAAAATCTTTTGTTGACTCTGTTTATACCAGGATGAAGCCCAAATTCCTCAGGCCAGCATTCAAAGCCCACCATGAAATGGTTCCACTCTATCTACCCAACCCTAGCTTCACCATCTTCCTCAAATAAGCTTTTTGTCCTGCAAAATTCGACTTCTCCTTGTTCTGGGCATATAAAATGCTTACCCCATCCTCAGTGCTTTTATTTCAGACTGCCTCTCCTACCCCTGAACCACAGGACATCCCCTAGCTTGCTTCACTATGTAGCCAAACCTCATCTTATCATTCAGTGGCCTGCTCAAGACCCACCTCCTCCTTAAGCCTTCTCCAATCACCCCCACCTATACCATGGAATGCAGAATACTAGACCCCTTCCTAGACATACAGAATCAGAATCTGTATTTTAACAAGATCCTCAGGTGATTCTCATATACATTACAGTTTGAGACATCCTGTCATAAATAGCACTATGATTTGTGCCATGAAAAAAAAATCTACGACTGCAAATTACAACAGACAACAAGATTTTCCTTGAACTTTTTTCCCAGCTTCTGCTACTTCCCATCTTATGTTACCTATTCCTTCTAGCTTGTGGAGGTCCAAGGAAATGGGAGAGGTTTGTACTTTCCCAACCATCTACACCCACAACCTGTCCCTTCCACCACTTTTGTGCCATTTGAGGACCCATATTCCCTAGTTTTAATTGGGCTTTCCTATTCTGGGGCCACAATTTTCTATAATTAATTTTGCTGTCATCTAATTATAGGTACAGTTGCCTACATCGACGCCACTCCCCCAAAGGCAGGGCAAATGGCTGAATAAACCTATGGGCCTTGGAGAAGGGACAGGGAGGTAGAGAACAAGATGGGTTAACGTGCTATATGCAAAGAGTACAGCTACCCCCAGAGGTAGCACAAGGACAGAATTGGGATGCTGATGGAGAATGGGCTGTAGAAGATTTACTGGGGTTGGGCTACCTTCCATCTGTATCTCTGTTTCCAGATCTCCCTATGTACCATGAACTTTGTCTGGACATTAAGAGGAGGTCATTGATGGAGAAAGTTGACAAAGTCCCCAAGACATCACCAAAACGAAAGAAATCCGAAGACCTCAGAGGCTTGTTCAAACTCAGTACATCCTTTGGACTCTCTTTAACCCTTTCTTAGTTTCTCATTCCCCACCCCTTTGCTCTCCCTCCCTCTTTTCTGGCTTTTAATGCTTTGGGCTTGATGAAAAGAGGATTTTCCTGGGGGAAAAACTGCTAGTGATCTCTACATCCAGCACAAAAGTCCTTTATTTGAAGTCTTTCTTTTTTGTTATTATTATTATTATACTTTAAGTTTTTGGGTACATGTGCACAATGTGCAGGTTAGTTACATATGTATACATGCGCCATGCTGGTGTGCTGCACCCATTAACTCGTCATTTAGCATTAGGTATATCTCCTAATGCTATCCCTCCCCCCTCCCCCCACCCCACAACAGTCCCCAGAGTGTGATGTTCCCCTTCCTGTGTCCATGTGTTCTCATTGTTCAATTCCCATCTATGAGTGAGAACATGCGACGTTTGGTTTTTTGTCCTTGCGATAGTTTACTGAGAATGATGATTTCCAATTTCATCCATGTTCCTACAAAGGACATGAACTCATCATTTTTTATGGCTGCATAGTATTCCATGGTGTCTATGTGCCACATTTTCTTAATCCAGTCTATCATTGGGGGACATTTGGATTGGTTCCAAGTCTTTGCTATTGTGAATAGTGCCGCAATAAACATACGTGTGCATGTGTCTTTATAGCAGCATGATTTATACTCCTTTGGGTACATACCCAGTAATGGGATGGCTGGGTCAAATGGTATTTCTAGTTCTAGATCCCTGAGGAATCGTCACACTGACTTCCACAATGGTTGAACTAGTTTACAGTCCCACCAACAGGGTAAAAGTGTTCCTATTTCTCCACATCCTCTCCAGCACCTGTTGTTTCCTGACTTTTTAATGATTGCCATTCTAACTGGTGTGAGATGGTATCTCATTGTGGTTTTGATTTGCATTTCTCTGATGGCCAGTGATGGTGAGCATTTTTTCACATGTCTTTTGGCTGCATAAATGTCTTCTTTTGAGAAGTGTCTGTTCATATCCTTTGCCCACTTTTTGATGGGGTTGTTTGTTTTTTTCTTGTAAATTTGTTTGAGTTCATTGTAGATTCTGGATATTAGCCCTTTGTCAGATGAGTAGGTTGCGAAAATTTTCTCCCATTTTCTAGGTTGCCTGTTCACTCTGATGGTAGTTTCTTTTGCTGTGCAGAAGCTCTTTAGTTTAATTAGATCCCATTTGTCAATTTTGGCTTTTGTTGCCATTGCTTTAGGTGTTTTAGGCATGAAGTCCTTGCCCATGCCTATGTCCTGAATGGTAATGCCTAGGTTTTCTTCTAGGGTTTTTATGGTTTTAGGTCTAATGTTTAAGTCTTTAATCCATCTTGAATTAATTTTTGTATAAGGTGTAAGGAAGGGATCCAGTTTTCCCAGCACCATTTATTAAATAGGGAATCCTTTCCCCATTGCTTACTTTTCTCAGGTTTGTCAAAGATCAGATAGTTGTAGATATGCGGTGTTATTTCTGAGGGCTCTGTTCTGTTCCATTGATCTATATCTCTGTTTTGGTACCAGTACCATGCTGTTTTGGTTACTGTAGCCTTGTAGTATAGTTTGAAGTCAGGTAGTGTGATGCCTCCAGCTTTGTTCTTTTGGCTTAGGATTGACTTGGCGATGCGGGCTCTTTTTTGGTTCCATATGAACTTTAAAGTAGTTTTTTCCAATTCTGTGAAGAAAGTCATTGGTAGCTTGATGGGGATGGCATTGAATCTATAAATTACCTTGGGCAGTATGGCCATTTTCATGATATTGATTCTTCCTACCCATGAGCATGGAATGTTCTTCCATTTGTTTGTATCCTCTTTTATTTCATTGAGCAGTGGTTTGTAGTTCTCCTTGAAGAGGTCCTTCATGTCCCTTGTGAGTTGGATTCCTAAGTATTTTATTCTCTTTGAAGCAATTGTGAATGGGAGTTCACTCATGATTTGGCTCTCTGTTTGTCTGTTATTGGTGTATAAGAATGCTTGTGATTTTTGTACATTGATTTTGTATCCTGAGACTTTGCTGAAGTTGCTTATCAGCTTAAGGAGATTTTGGGCTGAGACGATGGGGTTTTCTAGATATACAATCATGTCGTCTGCAAACAGGGACAATTTGACTTCCTCTTTTCCTAATTGAATACCCTTTATTTCCTTCTCCTGCCTAATTGCCCTGGCCAGAACTTCCAACACTATGTTGAATAGGAGTGGTGAGAGAGGGCATCCCTGTCTTGTGCCAGTTTTCAAAGGGAATGCTTCCAGGTTTTGCCCATTCAGTATGATATTGGCTGTGGGTTTGTCATAGATAGCTCTTATGATTTTGAGATACGTCCCATCAATACTTAATTTATTGAATGTTTTTAGCATGAAGCATTGTTGAATTTTGTCAAAGGCTTTTTCTGCATCTATTAAGATAATCATGTGGTTTTTGTCTTTGGCTCTGTTTATATGCTGGATTACATTTATTGATTTGCATATATTGAACCAGCCTTGCATCCCAGGGATGAAGCCCACTTGATCATGGTGGATAAGCTTTTTGATGTGCTGCTGGATTCGGTTTGCCAGTATTTTATTGAGGATTTTTGCATCAATGTTCATCAAGGATATTGGTCTAAAATTCTCTTTTTTGGTTGTGTCTCTGCCCGGCTTTGGTATCACGATGATGCTGGCCTCATAAAATGAGTTAGGGAGGATTCCCTCTTTTTCTATTGATTGGAATAGTTTCAGAAGGAATGGTACCAGTTCCTCCTTGCACCTCTGGTAGAATTCGGCTGTGAATCCATCTGGTCCTGGACTCTTTTTGGTTGGTAAGCTATTGATTATTGCCACAATTTCAGATCCTGTTATTGGCCTATTCAGAGATTCAACTTCTTCCTGGTTTAGTCTTGGGAGAGTGTATGTGTTGAGGAATTTATCCATTTCTTCTAGATTTTCTAGTTTATTTGCATAGAGGTGTTTGTAGTATTTTCTGATGGTAGTTTGTATTTCTGTGGGATCGGTGGTGATATCCCCTTTATCATTTTTCATTGTGTCTATGTGATTCTTCTCTCTTTTTTTCTTTATTAGTCTTGCTAGCAGTCTATCAATTTTGTTGATCCTTTCAAAAAACCAGCTCCAGCTCCTGGATTCATTAATTTTTTGAAGGGTTTTTTGTGTCTCTATTTCCTTCAGTTCTGCTCTGATTTTAGTTATTTCTTGCCTTCTGCTAGCTTTTGAATGTGTTTGCTCTTGCTAGGTCTGTCTTTCTTTACAATTCAAATACGATTCTCCCCTTTGCACTCCTCACTTCATGACCTTTAATTCTACTGTCATCAAAAATTAGTCATTTAGATAAGTTGCATGGAAGTCAATCTGAATTGCGTGCCTTGTGTGTATGTGTATGTGCGCATGTACGAGAAGCAGATTTTTATTATTTCACTCAATATTAACTTAAAGTTGCAAAAGCAAACATTGTATATTAAGAGGCCTTTATGAAACTTACCACAAAGAAAGGAAAAGACTTATCAGAAATGTACATAGAGTACTAATTTGTAGTACACAAAACAATAATCCAACTGTGCTTGCAAACATCTGGTTCTTGTAGAATTGGAGTATTCTTTTATACAGCTGAGCCATTCTCCCTATTTTGAACTTGACTGCAGTGCTCCACTGTTAAAGCAACCCTTTTGTCACAAACTCCAACAGAAATTTCAGCTCAACTCATATCAGAGCATCCACAAGGCCCAATTCAAAGAATCTGAAATAATGTATTGTTACTGCAACAGTTGTGAGTACCAGTGGCATCAGAGCTACCTGAGGCATTTGTTAAATGCATATATTCCCTAGCCCCTAGGATGGAATGAATTAAAATCTCCATGTTTAGGCCATATGGAATCTCCAAGTGGTTTTGGAAATCACCGTTTTAGTGCACTCATAAGCTACAGTCCTCTTGGACTCCTGATTCTTCACCAGTTCCTTGTTAACCTAGCTGCCATTGCACCTGCTTTCCAGAATATGTTCCCTGGCAGACACCAAGGGCATTTCCTGTCTTTTTTACAAAGCTGCACTAGGCATCTCTGGTGACATTAAAGTTGAATGCCTTTAAAAGGATTTTCCTCTGAGACCTTTTACCTTCCCTGATTATCACATCCAGAAGTACATCCAGCAGCCTGTGAAAAACTCTCCCAAGCGAAAGGCCTCGCAGCAGGCTCAGACCTCCAGGTTAAGCAACATCCTACGTGACCAGACTGGAGGTCCGCACATACAGAGGTCCTGACTACCAACGGGGCCAAGAGATTGCTCAAGGTGGTTAACACTTCAAAGGTAGCCCATGGTTTCAAGGGTGAAGGAAACAAACATCATAGCTGTCACTCCATATGTCTTATTCCAAAATATCTCCTTTAAAAACCCCTCCAGACCAAGTGCTGGATTCTATAGACGGTGTCAAAGACAAAGTTGTAAATCAGGTGAGGTTTGTCTCATGGGCCCTCAGCCTCCATGTTCTCTTCCTGCACCGTCTATCCAGCAAGGCCTGATGCCCTTGAGCTTCCCACAGTGGCATGTGGGAAGCTCTGCTGCATGTGTTACCCCAGCCTGGACTTGCTTCTGACTTCCCCTCCTCTTCCTTTGCCCTCCACCTTCCAGTTCAGGGATCCCTTCCCTCAGAGCTGTGTTTTCTGAGTAGAATGTGGTAGATGGTGGATCATAAAAGTAAATATCCTTCTGGGTTACAGAAAAAGTTCAAGAGAGGATGAATCCGAACTAACCATTCACTGTGTCCCCTGGCACCTAGCTAACCCTGGCGCCAGACTGAACCCCTAACATTGACCACAGACTGGGCCCTCTAACTTTGGCCACCATATGATTGTTATTTGTGGCCGGACGCTAAGTAAGAAGATTTTTTAGGGTGTGTTTTTTTAATTATATTTTAAGTTCTGGGGTACATGTGCAGAACATGCAGGTTTGTTACATAGGTATGTACGTGCCATGGTGGTTTGCAGCACTCATTGATCCGTCATCTATGTTAGGTATTTCTCCTAATGCTATCCCTCCCCTAGTCCCCCACCCCCAGACAGGCCCTGGTGTGTGATGTTCCCCTCCCTGTGTCCGTGTGTTCTCATTGTTCAACTGCCACTTATGAGTGAGAACGTGCGGTGTTTGGTTTTCTGTTCTTGTGTTAGTTTGCTGAGAATGATGGTTTCCAGCTTCATCCATGTCCCTGCAAAGGACATGGAACAGCCCTTCATGCTAAAAACTCTCAATAAACTAGGTATTATTGGAACATATCTCAAAGTAATAAGAGCTATTTATGACAAACCCACAGCCAATATCATACTGAATGGGCAAAAACCAGAAGCATTCTCTTTGAAAACTGGCATAAGACAAGGATGCCCTCTCTCACCACTCCTATTCAACATAGTATTGGAAGTTCTGGCCAGGGCAATCAGGCAAAAGAAAGAAATAAAGGGTATTCAATTAGGAAAAGAGGATTTTATTTAAAAAAAGTTATTATTGCCACAGAGAAATCTTACCATGCCCCATCAATAGAGACATAATTCAAAGGACACATCTTATCTAACTGATTATAAATCAACACTATCACCTTGCTTTAGGAAGGACACCAAGTTGCCAACTGTAATTTATAATCCATCAGTAAAAGATAGGTGGGTGAGAGGCAGGGAGGAGCAGCAACAGAATCTCTTATGTAGGTGAACAAATAAATTGAAATAAACAGAGCCTACTCCACCTGGACCTCAGAACCTCGTGGTCCACAATATCAACATGCTTTTTATTATGTTTGCTAACATAACCCTGTCTCTACTCATAATGAGAAAAGAGGAACTGAGCCATGATGCCGGAATATTCATGAAAGTAAATATTTATAAGCAGAACAGACAATAAATGTTTGAGAACTGTAACCTTACAAGCACTCAAATATGAAACATGCAACCTCTGCCATTTGTTGTAGCTTTCAGTTGTGAAGAATAGTTTTAAAAATAAAATTTAGTCTCCTAATGATATCATATTTGAAATACAAAAAAAAAAAAAAAAAAGATCTGAATGGCCTCAAGGTGGTTCACTCTAAAACAACTAAGTCCTGCATGCTATTAATTGTTGGAGATTCATTCATGTGTCTTTTTCTAAGAATTTCTGAATCAAGCCATTTCTCAATTATTCCCTCGGTGCTGATTACTCCTCCCAGCTGACTTCTCTTATCATCCAACATGCAGCCAAGAAGCCCCCTCTAGGTATCAGGTACACCCCTATTTCCAGCAGCTCCACATGCTGACTCTTTGTAAGTAAACTCACTCCAGATAAATGAGACACAGTGTTCTGGGACAAGAGCAGCAATTGTAGTCCTTAGCAAAATTAAGAGGGAGGCAAAACCTGGCTTCACTGGCTTCACTGTCTTCCTCTCACTCTTCTCTGCCCGTCTCCTGGACCAACAACACAAAGTCTTCCCGACCACCTCCTCAACCAGCTCCTGCACCAGAGCAGGGGGGTTTCTAAGCATAACCACAAATAGAGCAAGGAAACAGGAGAACTGAGTTCTAATCTGGATTCCACCTAGCTGTATATTCTTATGATGACATTTCTCTCTTAGTCTCAGTATTCTGAGACTCAGTTTCCTAAGTATGTCATTTTAACGCAATGAAAAGAAAGAGCTCAAGGAAACTAAAATTTACAGACTCCTTACCATGTGCTAGACACTGTGCTCCAGGCAATTTACATCAATAATTCCTTTAATCTTCCCAAATAGTTAGTACAATGTTTATTTTACGTATAAGGAATGTTAGTTTCAGAAAGGTTACATCACTTGCTCAGACCACAAAGCTTGAGTAGTAAAAGAGGGATTTTCATCCATGTCTGTGTGTCTGACTGCACTGCTTCCAGAGGCTTGACACATGTGATCCCTAAGGCCCCTTCCAACTTTAACACCTTATGAGTCTGTGAAGTCCCATCATGTGCACAGTTGTCTATTCTACCTATGTAAAGTGCTAGCTCCATAAACATCTGTGAAAAGAATAAAGTTAGGTATCATAAATGAGAGATACTGAAAAAATGGTACAGATGCTTGAGTGTAACTGTGAGTAAACCAAAGAAAGGAGACTTGAATTGGCCTAAAAAAAAGTTAAAGGAATCTGTTGGCCAAATTTAAAAATAGGTGAGACATGCCCACCTCTTCCCTATAAGAGGAAGGGAAACAGCTATATCAAAACTAAGATTCTATAAATCATTACCCTACACCACCTTCGATAGAAAAAAGGAACTGGCCTGTCTCCAGGCAGCTTAATGAACCAAAAATGAGTGCAATCTTTTGCCACAAACTGAGATGAGATTGCCAAACACTTCTCAAACTAACTTTGTTTTCCCTGTATTATAAAGACACTGGGGCTCAGATGAGTTATAACTCATCTTATACCACTCTCGTCCCTTGTTCTCTCAGCCTTCCAGGCTATAGTGTGGAGTTCAGATTGGAAGGGGATAATAGGATTATTGCAGTGGCCTGAGCTTGGATGGTGGCAGCAGGAACAGAGAGAGATTTTGGAAGTACAGTCTACACAACTGGATGTCAAGGATTAGAAAGGGGTAGGTTTCTGACTTGTGTGAATGGAAGGATGGTAGTCCCTGAGATTGTGAATACTAGATACAGAGCCAAAGTTGGAGGGAAGTTCATAAATTGTCACAAAGGAGGATTTTATCCAGAAACCTTTCCCCATCTTGGGTATCTGCACTGAAATGACTGCTAAGTCATCTCTCACCTAGTGTTTAAACCCATAATTCAGATCTGCATCGTCTTGCCCCTAAACTATTATAATAATCTTCTAACTGGTCACTCTGCCTCTAGCCCTGCTCCCTTCAAATCCACCTTCCACGCTGATGCCAGAGGGTTCTAACTCAAAGGCAAACTTTTCCATACAACTTCCTTGTTTATAGCCCCTCAATGGCTCCCCACTGCCCCTAGCATAAAGATCCAGTACCCTCAAATGCCATATGAGCCACTTCATGAGCCATCCCCACTAACCTCTCCACATTCATCTCTCCAACCACACCAATCTACTTGGAGTTCCTAAAGCACTCTAGACTGTGCCTTTGTTTATGGTGCTCCCTCCACCTTAAATGCTCTTTCCTGTACCATCATCTGCCTGGTGAACGCCTACCCAACATTCACAACTCAAATCATGCTTACCTTCTCTCTGAAGCCTTTCCTAATATCCATACCATGATCAGATTTGTGCCCCTACAACTAGGACATTCTTCTACCATAATACCTATAGCACTTTATAGCACTTAATTTTATACATGTTTGTTCCCCTACTAGATGTTGTACCCCTCAAGAACAAGGACCTTGGCAGAGTTCACGCTTAGTAAAAGTCTATTGAATTAATGGATGGATGAGTGATTAAATGGATAAGTGAATGAATGGATTTATGAATGAATGAAGAAGTAGAGGCAATACTAGAAAAAATTAGATATAATACTTAACATATTCATATTACCTCACAGTGCATAACATTTTACAAAATGCTTTAAAACCTTGTGTCCTATTTGTCCCTGATAATATTACAAAATAGAGAAGGCAAACAGATGACATTACTCCAGAAGGGCTAGAACTCAAGTCACCTGGGTTACTCCAGAATTGTCCCTTCAGTTGCTAACCAAATGCCATGAGAAAGAAAATTATTAGGTAATAAAGGTTTTGTTCTCTTGCCTGACCTTTTTTTCCCCCAAATCAACTTTTTCTCCATGCGTTGAGTTAGCAGCCACCTCCACCATGCCATTTTATGTTTAAACTTTTTGACGTTCAGCACAAAGTCAGGTCAGTGTTCCCTGGCCTTGTCAGCACTCCCAGAGCACAGCAGCTCAGGGCTCAGGAGGAACCTTGAATGTTAAAAGCCCAATTGCAAGACTCATCAGAAAATCAAATACATTTAAACTCTAAAAATATCCCCCGTGATCTATGCATATAGCCATGGTGTCTGACAAATTCAATTAAATCTGTCATACATCATTCTCCACAGTGTTATTGAGAGAGACATAGTAGTATCGAATTTTAATTATTCGGCTCCTATTGATCCCACCATAATCTGGTGAGAATCACTTGCAAACTGACAGTCCCCTCAAGAGACAGCCACTATTATCTAATTATAAATCTCACAGTGTCACTTGATAAAAGGTTAGGATTTGTCTTCCCCACAAGAAAAGCCCCAAATTTTGCCAAAAAATTCTTGTATAGAAACCAAAACAATGTACACACGTTGTAATGTAAGCTGAGCTATAAATGGAGCCTGGCTTGTGGCATCACTGCCTCTCTCCATCCCACCCACACCTTGGCTCCTCAATTCCCTCATATCAAGTGTTTGGGCACCACCTTCACACTCCCTCCCCAGAGTTTATGCTGAGGGATCTCTCTTCCAAGGTCCCTCTTCCCATAACATCATAACCAACTAGACTAACTCTCAACCCAAAAGCCTTGTGATCTAGTCTAACCTCTCTTTGCTGGGAACAATCAGTGGTCACTATATTTGCATTCTAACAAGTATTCTCAAAGCTTCAACACAGAGGAATCATAGGAATTTCAAGTCCTTAGCAGATGGCTGGGAGACACTGGGAAAAGAAAGGCCTCAAGGTCCAGTACAATTGTACCATCAGAGCAACCTGAAGGACTAGCACAAGAATAAGCAGTCCCATACAGTCAATGAGTCAGTCAACAAATATTTTTTGAACACCAATGGTATGCTAGGAACTGTGCTAGGCTCTAAGAGATACAGTGGTGAACAAAATATAAATGTAGCCTAATAGAACTTAAATAAATGGCTACAATTAGTTCACTGATTGATTAAAATATGTAACAGGCAAACACAATGGGCATATCATATGGGGCCCCAGCCTATTCTGAAGGGCAAAAGATTAAGCTGAGAGGAGAAAGGTGAGCTGGTCTTGTTTATGTAAAGAGTGAGGCTGGTGGAGACAAGAGGATAGAAGCACTATAGGCAAAGGAATGTGTATGAGCAAAAGCAGCCCAGAAGGTAAAGAGGTCAAGGTAGGGAAGAGGTGATAGCAAGGAGGGGTACCGAATATGGTTGGTGCTGGGTGGAACCAGTGGTGTGGTTACTGCTGATGGATACTTGCAAGGCAGCTTGCAGTAGGTATGGCTGCTGGTGACAGGGATTGTCAATGAATATAGTTGTTGATGATAGGCATGGAGTCTGGGATTAGAGTTGAATAGTGGTTATGGCTGCTAGTTGGTATGGCAGTTACTGGTAAACATAATAAGTGTATCATGGCTCTGATTGTAGACATCTCTTATGGCAGTTAACATTACTGGGGATATAACCTATGCTGGTAACTGTGTTCACTTGGCATAGATAGAAGGAAGAATCCAACCTTATTTTTGGCTACCCCAAATCATCACCAGATAGCTACCCAGGTGACCCAATACCACTTGTTGAATAATCCATCTTTTCTCCTCTGATTTGAAATATTATCTTTGTTATATATGAATTTCCTCTATATATTTGGGTCTATTTTTGGATTAATCTATACTTTTGCATTGATTTGTGTGTCTGTTTTGTGCCAATATCTTAAAGTTTTAATTACTATAGTTCTATGATATTTTAAGATTGATAGGGACAGCTCCCCACTAATAAATTTTTCCAGGTTTTTCCACACTATACTTGCATGTTTAATTTTCTATGTGAACTTTAGTTTTCTATAGTTATTCTTATTCAGATAATATTAAAATTGTCAAATTCACATTTATGATATTCAGTGTTCAAACCCAAGAATATGATATAGGTTTTCCATTGGTTCAAGTCTCCAATTAGATTCCTCCTCGTTGTGTTCCAATTTTTCTTCTAAAAGATCTTGTACATTGCTGATAAATCTATTTCTAGGCCATTACCATTTTTCTTACACTTGCAAAAGGGATTATTTTATTATACAAGCATATATTTGATACTTTTCAGTTGTATATATTAATTTTGTTCTGAGAAGTCTGAATTATCTTACTATGTACTATATTTTTAACTTGATTCTCTTGTGTTTTCTAGATATTTAATCATACCAGTAAAAATTTGATAATTTGGCTTCCTCCTTTCCAGTTTTTATACTTCCTACTTCTTTGGCTTATCTAATTGTACTGACTAAAACCTCTAGAATAAAGTTAATTCTTACCATCTTCCTGCCTTTCATAGAAGTCTTTCACTACTAAAAGTTAGTGTTTCACCATTTAACATGATTTTGGCTTTTGGTTATTGTATTAGTCCATTTTCACTGTACTGATAAAGACATACCTGAGACTGGGTAATTTATAAATAAAAAGAGGTTTAACTGACTCACATTTCCATGTGGCTGGGGAGGCCTCACAATCATGGCAGAAGGTGAAAGGCACAGCTTAAATGGTGAGAGACAAGTGAAAAAGGAAACCCCTTATAAAATCATCAAATCTCATGAGACTCATTCACTACAACAAGAACAGTATGGGGAAAACTACACCCATGATTCAATTATCTCCCACCGAGTCCCTCCCACAACAAGTGGGAATTATGGGAGCCACAATTCAAGATGAGATTTGGGTGGGGACACAGGCAAACCATATCATTCTGCCCCTGGCCCCTCATAAATTTCATGTTCTCACATTTTACAATGAATCATGCCTTCCCAACAGTCCCCCAAATTCTAAACTCATTTCAGCATTAACTCAAAAGTCCACAGTACAAAGTCTCATCTGAGACAAGGCAAGTTCCCTTTGTTTATGAGCTGTAAATTCAAAATCGAGTTAGTTACTTCCTAGATACAATGGGGGTACAGGCACTGGGTAAATGTACTCATCCCAAATGGGAGAAATTGGCCAAAATGAAGGGACTTCAGGCCCCATACAAGTCCAAAATTCAGCAGGGCAGTCAAATCTTAAAGCTCCAAAATGATCTCCTTCCTGGCTGCTTTCACAGGCTGGCATTGAGTGTCTGCACCTTTTCCAGGCACACTGCGCAAGCTGCTGGTGGATCTACCATTCTGGGGTCTGGAGGATGGTGGCCCTCTTCTCACAGCTCCACTAGGTATTGTCCCAGTGGGGACTCTGTGTGGGGGCTTCAACCCCATATTTCCCTTCTGCAGTGCCCTAGCAGAGGTTCTCCATGAGGGCCCCACCACTGCAGCAAACTTCTGCCTGGACATCCAGGCATTTCCATACATCTTCTGAAATCTAGGCAGAGGTTTCCAAACCTCAATTCTTGACTTCTGTGCACCCACAGGCTAAAAACCATGTGGAAGCTGCCAAGGCTTGGGGCTTGCACCCTCTGAAGCCATAGCCTGAGTTGTACC
The DNA here is from genome assembly GCF_000001405.40 of Homo sapiens. Lineage (NCBI taxonomy): Eukaryota > Metazoa > Chordata > Mammalia > Primates > Hominidae > Homo > Homo sapiens. Next base: position 128,954,801 of record NC_000023.11, read on the forward strand.
TTGGCTCCTTTTACTCACAGTTGGAGCAGCTGGGATGCAGGGCACCAAGTACACAGCAGGGGAGTCCTGGGCCTGGCCCATGAAACCATTTTTTCCTCCTATGCCTCCAGGCCTGTGATGGGAGGGGCTGCTGTGAAAACCTCTGACATGCCCTGGAGACATTTTTCCTATTGTCTTGGGAGAGAGGCCACACAATCATGGCAGAAGGCAAAATGCACAACTTACATGGTAGCAGGCAAGAGAGAATGAGAGCGAAGAAAAAGGGTTTTCCCCTTATAAATCCATCTGATCTCATGAGACTTATTTACTACCATGAGAACAGTATGCAGGAAACTGCCCCCATGATTCAATTATCTCCCACCAGGTCCCTTCCACTAGTGGAAATTATGGGAGCTACAATTCAAGATGAGATTTGGGTGGGGACACAGCCAAACCATATCAGTTATACACACACACACACACACACACACACATATATACACATATACACACACACACCCATATACTTGTATATTTTATACAGTCATTTTAAGCCTTTTTAAGTCATTTTAAGAACTATCCAATAATTCCAATTTTATTGAGAGTTACTTTTTAGTTGGGAATACATATTTAATGTCATATTTCTTTTCAGCAGTTCTCATATGAATTTTTTCTCTGTTTTCATTGAATATGGTGGAAGAATGGCAAGGGAAAGAGTAATTCAAATGACTTTATGGAGTAAGTCATGTTGCACAGAGATCTGGAGAATAATTAATATTTCTGGTTTCAAATGGCAGACTAAATACACATGATAGTTTTCCTACCTTCTGACTCCATACCATTTTCTCCGCCAAAGCTAAAATGAGAGGGAGAAAGAGAAAAAGAGAGAGAGAGAGATAAATACTAGACTCAAAATCAAGAAGATACATCATTAGGGGACTAAAATCTGAGGAATCTCTGCAAAACTGAAAACCAACAAATCAAACTAAATAGGAAAACAGCAGCCTATGACATGCACAGATTAGGTACCAGGATCTGTTTTCACAAAGGGTAGAAGTTACACAAAGGGTGCTTCACACTTGGAGGTCATGAAATCTGACAAGGGTGTGGCATAGAAGAAGCCAACAAGGAGATTAAAAGGGTCACTGAAGTGATTGTAGTAGACACACTGGCTAACCTCTGTGCATTCCCCTGCTCTATCCCCACTGTGAGTCAGGCAACAGCAATGGGGTTATCTGTCTTCAGGCAGAAGCAGTGCTTGAGTCAGGGAGAGAGAATAGTGTCCCCAGAGGCTGATGACTTCTGGAAGGAAAGGGGAGTGACCATGTCCTGATTGCCAAATGTTAAAATATCCTACCCATTGACACATTAAAAGCATCTCTATCCATCTTCTACTCTCACTGTAAAGAGGGCACAAGCCCCAACAGGCACCTCCCAGGGAACTGCATAAACAGAGGCACCAATCTGGCAGGAAATCTCATCAATAAAGGAAACGTAATAATCAAGAATCACAAAATATTCGAAGAACAGCACACACAACCAACTGAAGGATGAGCAAGGTTTTACCAGGCAGTGATAGAAATACATTACAGGCAGAAGGAAATATGTGCATGAACAAAGGTATAAGAGTGACAAAGAATAGTATATGTTTCAAATATAGAGCATAGCCTGCCTGAGGACATAAGCTTGAGGGGGTAGCCTGGGCCAAATTGTAGAGGGTTTCAGATGCCAAGCAGAACCATTTGTGTTTTATCCTGTAGGCAATGAGAATGGAGACAGTGGCAGTTGAGGGGGAGAGTGACATGATGACAGCTATGCTTTAGAAAGATTATTCTAATGGGAATATGAAATGCAGATAGAAGTGGAAAGAGTAGAGCCATTTGGGGGGCTGCTGCCACAGAGTAGAGTAAAAAAGACTGACGTCTGCTTGAGAGCAGTGGCAATAGGAGATGAAAGGAGAGGAAAGAAGTGAGAGATGTAAGATATCTGTAATTGATTAGGTTTAGGGATTCTGCATTAGGGAGACAAAGGAATCACAGGTAATTTTAAGTTACATGTTTCATGTAACTGAGTTAGGGAACAATAAGATAACTGCATTTGGTTTTTGTTCATTTTGTCATTGTTATTTTTTGGAGATGAGGAGTTCATTTTGGAAGTTTGAGTTTGAGGTGACTGCAGGATATATCTAAGTGAAAATATTCTATAAGCAGTTGGAAGTTCAAATCCAAATTTCAAAAGAGAGGCCAAAACTAAGAGACATAGGTTTGAGCAGTATTTTGCAATAGTGGGTTAGATCACTCAATACAGCGAATGAAGGGAGGAAGGAATGAGGAGATTGAGACAAAGCTTCCAAATACAGATCAGCTATCTTAGGAACTGACTTGAGCCATTTTTGATAAAGTGCTATGTGAAGCAAAATGATTTCATTTTTTTTGTTTTGTTTCTACTAATCAGAACCAAATAAGTTGGCCAAGTGATCGTAGGAGTAACTCACTAGAAACAAAATGGTGTGAGAAAGAGTATTTTCTCTCAGCAAATAAAGATGTTTAGGTTGAGTAATGTTGACAAATAAAAAATCACACACAATGTTAGAGTTAAATGTTTATTTTGCAGTTGGGGAAATTTAAGTACAAAGAAGTGAAGTGACTCCTCCAAAATCACACAGCTAGTGTCAGAGCAAGACTAGAATTCAGTTCTGCTTTATAGCCCAGTGATTCATCTTCTCCCACCATCACCACCCCACTAACTCATATACAGCCAACAACTGATATCGTTGATTACTACATTTGATTCCAAGAATTACAACCATAATTCAAGGTGTTTGGCAGGGGGCAAGACATCATGAGTCAGGCTGATAGTCTGTCTATTTAATGTGTAGTTAATTGTCAATTACATCTGCAAAAAAGCAAGCCATGGCAAGGACAGTCCAAACAATGAATACTTTTAAAAATCATTTGTTTTGAATTTAATATGTATTTCAATTTCATGTCATTTAAAGAAAATTATGCACACCCAAAATGTTGTCTGCAAAAATACACGTTTGTAAAGTAAATCATTTTTAGTCCCTTATTTATAATACCATTTCTAAGATATATTCTCAGGAAAAAAAAAACATATTGTGTTTTCAAGATAGTCCAATCCTTTTACATGATTAATAAGTCTTTAATGCATGATAAATATAAGAAAAATACTCCTCAGAGCCCATGAAATCAAATCCATACCCTTTAGCATGCCATTCAAAGTATCCTACCTCAGGGCCCCTACCTAGCTTTCTATATTTGTCTCCCTTTACATGCCTATATCAATCCTCTCTCCTAATGACACTAAACTATTAGCTCTACCCCAAACATTCAATGTACAATCAACCTTACCTCTATGTCTTTGCTCATACTGTTCCTGGGGTTTAAAAATGCTTTCTCCACAATCACCTAGCAAAAGTCGTATCTGTTTTTCTAAATCTACCTCAAATTCCACTTCCCTGTGAAGCCTTCCCTGATCACTCCAAAGGAAGTACTCTCTTCTTCATCTGCACCACCCTCAGGAATAGAGAAGAGAATCTGAGGGCGATCTTGGTGTAGTTTTGGAACACACTTAAAATACTACCTCCTCTTAAAATGTAGGCTAAATTTGCATTTATTCATATGTCCCTAAAATGTTATGTGCTAGAAATCATGCTCACCATTGAGAATATAATGATAAGAAAAAAAAAAAAAAAAAGAGTCCTTGCTTTCAAGGAGTTCACAATCAAGCTAGAGAGGCAATTAACTAAGCAGGCAATTATAATTAATTTATGATGAGTGCTGAAATACGGGTAAGTCAAGGGTGCTACAAGACGGCAGAGGAGAGTCACCAAAACCAACTTTAAGGAGTATATTAGTTTGTTCATGCACTGCTATAAAGAAATAAACGAAACTTGGTAATTTATAAAGAAAAGTGGTTTAATTGGCTCATGCTTCCACAGGCTGTACAGGAAGCATGTCTGCAGAGGCCTCAGGAAACTTACAATCATGGCAGAAGGCAAAGGAGGCAGGCACATCTTACATGGCTAGAGCAGGAAGAGAGCAAGAGGGGAGGTGCTACATCCTTTTAAACAACCATATCTCATGATAGCACTAGAGAGATGGTGCTAAACCATTAGAAACTGCCTCCATGATCCAATTACCTCCAACCAGGCCCCACCTCTAACATTGGAAATTACAATTAACCACGGGATTTGGGTGGGGACAAAAATCCAAGCCATATCATTCTGCCCCTGGCCCCTCCAAAATATCATTTCCTTCTCACATTTCAAAATACTATCAGGCCTTCACAACAGTCCCCCAAAGTCTTAAGTTATACCACAATTAACTCAAAATTCCAAAGTCTCACCTGAGACAGGGCAAGTCCCTTCTACAATGGGGATACAGGAAATGGGTAAATATTCCCTTTCCAAAAGGGAGAAATTGGTCTCAAGAAAGGTATTACAGGCCCCATGCAAGTCCAAAACCAGCAGGGCAGTCATTAAATCTTAAAGCTCCAAAATAATCTCCTTTAATTCCATGTCTCACATCCAGGTCACACTGATGCAAGGAGTGGACCCCCAAGGCCTTGGAAACTCCACCCCTGTAGCTCTACAGGGATCAGCCACCACAGCTGCTCTCAAGGGCTGGTGTTGGGTGCCTGTGACTTTTCCAGGCACACAGTACAAGTTGTTGGTGGATCTATCATTCTGGGGTCTGGAGGATAGTGGCCCTCTTCTCACAGCTCCACTAGGCAGTACCCCAGTGAGGACTTTGTGAGGGGGCTCCAACCCCACATTTCCTTTCTGTACTGCCCAAGTAGAGGTTCTCCATGAAGGCTCCACCTTAGCAGCAGACTTTTGCTGGGACATTCAGGCTTTTCCATACATCTTCTGAAATCTAGGTGAAGGTTCCCAAGCCTCAACTCTTGCACTCTGTGCACCTGCAGGCTTAACACCACATGGAAGTCACCAAAGCTTAACGATTTACACCCTCTGAAGCAACAGCCAGAGTACCTGGGCCCATTTGAGCCACAGCCAGAGTTGGAGCTGCCAGGATGCCAGGAGCAGTGTCCTAAGGGACTGTTCTTCCCTCCTAGGCCTCAGGGCCTGTGATAGGAGGGCCTGCTGTGGAGGACTCTGAAAAGCCTTCTGGGCCTTTTCCCCATTGTCTTGGCAATTAGTACTTGCCTTCCTTTTACTTATGCAATTAGTCTGGTCTCACACTGCTGTAAAGAAATACCTGAAACTGGGTAATTTATTTTAAAAAAAGAGAGATTTAATTGGTTTATGGTTCTACAGGCTGTACAGGAAGCATGCCTGGGAAAGTCTCAGGAAACTTACAATCACGGCAGAAAGTAAAAGAGATGCAGGCACATTTTACATGGCTGGAGCAGGAGAAAGAGAGCAAGGGGGGAGATATTATATGCTTTTAAACAACCAAATCTCATGATGGCACTAGGGGGATGGTGCTAAACCATTAGAAACCGCCTCCATGATCCAATCACCTCCCATCAGGCCCTACTCCCAACACGGGGGATTACAATTTGACATGAGATTTGGGCAGGGATACAAATCCAAACCATATCAGGGAGTGAGTAGTCTTCATGGAAGAAGTGGCACTTGAGATGGAATCTTAAGGATGAGTAGAAATTATCTAGACAAAGTGGTGACCATCTGGGAATGGCAAGAGATGAAACTGGAGAGATAGGCACTGTCAAGATCCTGCAGGGCTTTATCGACCCTGATATGGAGTGTTGATTTTATTTACAAAGCAAGAGCAAAGAAGAGTAATAAGGCTTTAAAGCAGATAATGCTATGATTTGATTTTCATTTTTTTAAGGACAGTTTTGGCTACTGAATTGAGAATGGATTGGGAGAAAAGTAGGATAAGAGTAGAAGTAGGGAGATCACTTAGGAGGCTCTATAGTAGTTAAGGCAAGAGAGAATGGTAGTTTAGTTTAGAGTGGTAGCCTTGGCCATTAGTGCCAAACTAAGGAGGTATCCAGGGAGACAGTAGAAAGTGGACAGTTTCAAAGGTATTAAATAAGTACAACCTAAAAGACTTGAGGACTGATTGAATGGGAATGGGACTGCTGAGAGTGAGTAGAGGCTCCAGTGAGAAACACTATTTAGTCTCCCCATCAAGGGTGGAAAAGATAAAAACCTTTACATAGAACTTGTACTGATATGTAGTTTAGTCAGGGTTGCCCCTCCCTCCATTCAGATTGCCTTGCCCTGGTAATATTTTATAGACATCACTCCCTGTTATCAGGCATGAATGTAAGGTGGGCATAGTGAAGGAGAGGGAAAAATGAAGGATTATTCCCAAGTTTCCAGGTAGGACCACTGGATAGCACTTATTGAGATAAGAAACATAGGAAAATAAGGTCAGGGTAAGAAGTGAGGAAAGATGATTTTGGTTTGATGTGTACTGAGTTTGAGGACCCTGTAACACTTGGCACTGCATCTAGCATCCAGGGGAAGTTCAATTAATATTTGTGAAAAATACTGAAATTAAAGAGACAAGTAGAAGAAAATGAAATAATTAAGTAGATTGAGAAAAGTTGCCAGAAAGCTTGGAGAAAAACCAAGATATGTAATTTTTGCAGAAGTCAAAGGTAGAAACTATTCTGAGATCAAAGTCCTATAAACAGAGTCAAATGCTTCCAAGAGGTAAATAAGAGAATTGGAAATGATCCATTCAATTTGTCAACAAAAAGTTCTTGGTGACCCCTGTAAGGGCAGTTTCAAGTAGCATGAGTATGAAAGCGAAATTTGAACATGTTTAAAAATAAATGTTTGTGGAACTTCCACTTCTGGCCAAGATGGAATAGCAGGGACTAAGCTTACTCCCCTGCCTGAAACAACTAACAAAAAGGAACAAAATATATGAAACAATAGTTTTCAGACACTAAGCATCAAGCAACAAAAAACAATATTTACTGAGATAAAGGCAATAAATGATCTTTAATTATAGTTGGGATCTATAATATCTCCCTCTCAGCAACTGATAAAACTACTAAACAGAATATCAGCAAAGATAGAGAAGAAATAATAACATATAATCAGCATAGGACATCCCACCCAACAACAGAAAAATACATATTCTGTTCAAGTATACATGGAACTAACAAAAAGGGACAAAATATATGAAACAATAGTTTTCAGACACTGAACATCAAGCAACAAACAACAATATTTATTGAGAGATAGGAAACAAATGATGTGATCTTTAATTATAGTTGGGATCTATAATATCTACTTCTCAGCAACTGATATAGAACTACCAGGCAGAATATCAGCAAGGATAGATAAGAAATAATAACATATAATCAGCATAGGACATTCCACCCAACAACAGAAGAATACACATTCTGTTCAAGTATACATGGAACATTTTATCATGATAGACAATAATCTGGGCCATAAAACAAGTCTCAATAAATTTAAAATTATTTAAGTCACATAAAGAATATTCTTTGATCACAATGAAATTAAGTTACAAATCAATAGCAGAAAAACCTCTGGAAAATTGCAATTTTTTTGGAAACTAAACAACACACTTATAAATCATGAATAATTAAAACATCAAAAGGGAAAATAGAAAGTATTTTGAATTTAATAACAATAAAAACACAGCTTATAAACACTTGTAGGATGCAGCTAATATGGTACTTACCAGGAGATTTATAGCACTAAATAAATATATTTGAGTATAAGAAATGTCTTCCATCTATGAAACTAGAAAAAAAGCAAATGTAACCTAAAATAAACAGAAGAAATGAAATAATAAAAATCAGAGTTGAAATCTATGAAATAAATAAAGAAAAACAATAGAGAAAAATCAGTGAAGTCAAAAACTGGTTCTTTGAGAAAATCAATAAAATTGATAAATATATAGCCAGGCTGTATAGGAAAAATGAGAAGAAACAAATTATCAATATCAGGAATGAGAGTGGTAACATCACTACCAATTCTACAATTATTAAAAAGCTATTAATATTATAAACAACTTTGGCTAATAAATATTACAGCAGATGAAACTGACAAATTTCTTACAAGAAAGAAACTACTCAAAACGGCTCAAACAGATACTATTATTACTCAAGGATAGATAACCTAAAAAGCCCTATATCTATTTTTTAAATTGAATTTATAGTTTAAAACTTGCCCAGAAAGAAAACTCCAGGCCCAGATGGTTTCACTAAAGAATTCTATCAAACATTTAAATTCAATACAGACTCTTCTTGAAAATTAAAAAGGAAGAAATATTTCCAACACATTCTATAAGGCCAGCATTACTGTTACCAAAATATAACAAAGACATTACAAGAAAAGAAAACTATAGACCAATATCCATCATGAACAGATATGTTCTTAACAAAATTTGATGGCGCAAACTCAACAATGTATAAAGGGATACTACATCATGACCAAGTGGCTCAATAGTTATCCTATTATTACAAGGTTAGTTTAGTATTTGAAAATCAATCAAAATAACTCATCATATTAATAGGCTAAAAAACCATATGATCATCTTAAAAGGTACCGAAAACACACTGGACAAAATCTAACATCCATTCCCCCAAAAAATTTTGGCAAGTTTTGCAGAAGGGAATTTCTATAACCCAATAAAGGGCATCTGCAAACAATCTACTGATATACACCGTGACATGGATGAATCTCAAAAATGTTACGCTTTGTGAAAGTCAGATATATAAGAATAAAAAAAATGCTAACTCATAAAACTCAATAGCCAAAAAAGTCCCCAAATAACCCAATTAGGAGATAGGCAAAGAACCTGAAGAGACATTTTTCCAAAGAAGACATACAAATGGCCAATAGGTATATGAAAAGATGCTCAACATTACTAATCATTAGAGAAATGCAAATCAAAACCATAGTGATATATTTTCTTATCCCAGTTAGAATGACCAGTATCAAAAAGACAAGATATAAAGAATGTTGTTGTGAAGAAAAGGGAACTCTTGTAAATTGTGGGTGGGAGTGTAAATTGGTACAAACATTATGGAAAACAGTATGAAAATTCCTTAAAAATTAAAAATATAACTACCATATGATCCAACAATCCCACTTCTGCATATATTTTCTAAGGAAATTAAATTGATATTTTGTAGCAATATCTATACTCCTATGTTTATCACAGCATTATTCACAATAGTCAAGATACGGAAACAATCAAAGTGTCCATTGGTGGATGAATGGATAAAGAAAATTTGGTATATATATTGTGTGTGTGTGTGTGTGTGTGTGTGTGTTTGTGTAGCAGAATATTAGTCAGCCTCAAAAAAAGAAGAAAATTCTGTCATTTGTGACAATTTGGATGACTCTGGAGAACATTATGCTAAGTGATGTAAGCCAAACACAGAAAGACGAATATTGTATGGTCTCACTAATATGTCTAAAAAAGTTGAACTCACAGAAGCAGAGAGTAGAATGGTGGTTGCCAAATGCTGGGGGCAGGAGTGAGGGGAGGGAAGAGGGAGATGTTAGCCAAAGGGTACAAACTTTCAGTTATAAGACAAATAAGTTCTGAAGATCTAATGTAATGCATGGTGATTACATTTAAATTTGCTAAGACAGTAGATCTGAAGTACTCTTACCACAAAAAAGGTAACTCTGAGCACAATGTGTATGCATACCAAATCATCATGTTGCACATCTTAAATTTATGTAATTTTTATGTGTCAATTATACCCCAATCAAGAGGAATAAAAATTATCTGAAAAGAAAATAAATTAAAAATTGTAAGGTACACATTATACTCGATTGATAGTAACCTGCCCCCCCCCCCAAAAAAATTAATCTATAGCAACAAAAAGAATATTAGAGTTTTTCTGGGGTTCCCCCCCCCAAAAAACATTAATCTATAGCAACAAAAAGAATATTAGAGTTTTTCTGGGGCTGAGAGGTAGAAAATTAACTAGGAAGAGGCAATTGACTTTTGGGGTGATGAAAGTGTTCTATAGCATGATTGTGATGATGGGTACATAGGTTTATGAATTCTTCAGAACTCATTAAATGTACACTTAAAATGTGTGCATTTTATTGTATGTAAATTACACTTCAATAAAGTTTAAAGTAAAAACTAAGTGCAGCTGAGGAAGTATAGATGGTAAGCTCACCCTATTTGATAAATTTTGGCTAAGAAGCACAATATGGGATTGAAGGATTATTTTTGTTGTGTTTTACAGTAAGAAGGCAACTTGAGATTGATTAAAAACTGATAAGAAAAGAGGGAGAGATTGAAGACATATATTTTTTATTTTTATTTTTTATTATACTTTAAGTTCTAGGGTACATGTGCACAACGTGCAGGTTTGTTACATATGTAGTAGCCTTCTATAGTACCGCCATCTTTTACAGCAATCCACATATCATGCTTCCCTAATAGATAGGAGTACCTTATAATCAGAAGTGTTAAGGTTTGAAAATATTTGCAAGGATATATACATTTTCAACTAGAAATTTCAAGCAGGTCAGAAGTTTGTCTCTGGGCAGCATATGTGAAATACTCTACCTTCTAGCAAACTTTGATCAGTTACCTAGGATCAATTACTGCCTGGAAGTGGAGAGTCACCCAATCTTCCCCTGCTTTTGATACGACTGCCTTTTAGGTAACTAATGTTAGCTACCAACTTCTCCCTATACTTGTATGGATGTTTGAGGCAAAATTTCAGACTTGCATTAAATATTTTTTAACTATCAAGTAAGATTTACTCCATTGTAAGTGTTATTTTTCCAGTTTGTATTTAAAACTCTTGTACACTTTACCAACCAACTTTTGGACTGATTTGAACGCTGGAAACAGTTTATTTTGGTTACTCAGAATAGACTCATTTTCTAAATGTATTTTAATTATCATTATCTATATATGGGAAATAACCCAAATAAGATCTGCAATAAAATAGAAGCTACCCATGTCAAAACCCAAAGAAGTGATTCAAATGTTGGAGACTTTAGATGCTTTGGTGTGTCAATGAGGTAAAGGATTCAGGAGAGAAATGGGCTTTAAGTACTAGGTGCATTTTCATAAATTGCTGTCATGGCATTGCCCTTGGTATCTTAAACATGAGAGAGTGGAGCAAAACAAACACCAGTGCTGTCTTTTTAACAAAAGAAATAAAATGGCAGATACATTTTCAAAGAGATTTTATCACATCTATCCTAAATTCTATCCTCAAAGTTAGAGGCAATAGTTCCCATATTCTCACTCCAGCAAGCTTCTCCCTGTGGCTTCTAGTAAATAAAAACATGTATATATCATTTGTTATCACAGGAAAATAGGTTACTCATGTCCTATTAATAGAGTAAGTTCCTTTTCTTAGTAGAAATAATGGAGATACACTACAACATCTTTACCTTCTTTCCTGATCCCTTTGATGCCCCATAATACATATATCTGAGGTAGCTAGCCAAGGTCAGGGGCTCAACCTATGGCTGGGTTTAAGAGCTCAACCTATGACAAGGATTAGAGGTCAGCCTATGATCAGGATTAGGACCTCAGCCTCTGGCCAATGATAGGGTTCTACCTGTGACCAGGTTTGAGTTTTTTTCTGGGATTAAGGCTAGGCTCAGGCTGAGACTATACATAAGGTTAAAGCTTATGCCCTGGGTTCCATCTGTAGCTGGGGAACAGAGTTAAGCCATGAGACCCAAATTAGAAGAAACCCACTACCTTGGTTCTATTGCCACAGGGTTTTGACCAGCTAAGTTAACCAACCAGAGTCTGCTTTGGAAGCAGGCATGCGAGAGTACCCAGAGAGACACCAGTTGTGGGTCCTTCAACTACTGCTGACAATTAGCTGAGAAAGTCATTTCCTCTCACCATGCTTCCCATTACCCATTCTTCCAAGTGTGGAACCTGATCATTATTTCTCACCATGGGACAAGGAGCTAGGGTGAGAGGAAGGCAAGGAAGGGGAAATGAGCTTTGAATTAACATTTGCTGTTGTTTTCTCTCTTGTCCTACTAACCTCTGTCTCTTATTGAAAACAAAGCCAAGCTTCCAATTTTATCCCTCCGGGTATCAGTTTCTTTCTGTTGCTCTTACCCATAATTTGAGTACTTATTGGTTTTTTTGAAATTGAATATTTCCATTGGCCCCTATACTAGACTAATTGATTCATTTCTCTCTATCTGTTGTTTGCATGCCTTCTTGACGCTCCTCCCTATGTGAACACTTCTATGTGTATATACACAATTTGCCATCTGAAGTATTAAGATTTGAAAATATTTGCAATATCTGGACTTCTAACTAGCAATTTCATAAAAGCCAAGAAGTACACACACTGCTGTTTCAGGATGTCTTAGTTTTTTGTTTGGTTTTGTTTTGTTTTGTTTTGTTTTTGTTTTTGTTTTTTGCTGCTGTAACGGAATACCACAAACTGGGTATTTTATAATGAACAGAAATGTATTGGCTCACGGTTCTGGAAAGTCCAATATAAAGGTGCCAGCTTCTGGTGAGGGCCTTCTTGCTGCATAATAACATGGCAGAAGGCGTCACATGGTGCAAGGGCCAAAAAAAGAAAGAGATCAAGGAGGAGCAAACTAATTCCTGTGATAACAATAGCAAACCCACTCCTGTGATAATGGCATTAGTTCATTCATGAGGAAGGAGCCATCATGATTAAACACCTCTTAAAGGTCACATATCCCAATACTGTCACAATGGCAATTAAATTTCAACATGAATTTTGGAGGGGACAAACATTTAAATCATAGTACCCCTTAAAAATGAATTTAGTAAACAACATCTTTATGCAGAGTAATGACTGTACTTGACACTAAACGGGGAGAGGATACGGACAGTTTGGCTATGGGGTGCTCTGCCTAGTTTCCAGGCAACAGACTGCCCCTGGTGCCAAATCCCAGAATCCCAGCAGCTCCAGGGAATAAAAATGGTATGATTAGCTGCAGAAAAGCTTAATTTTATTACTGGAGAAGTAACTCAAACTGCACATAATAGGTCAAGAGGAGTATTTAGGTAACAAAGAATACTGATGATGATGTTGATAATGGTGGTGGTGTTGGTGATGATGATGATTTTAAATCATTTAGATTTTAGATCAGGATAATATTATTTGAAATGATTTTTTCTCCTAGTAGTCCACTCCGTACCCCAATGACCACCACTCCCTTCCCAATTCCATCAGTTCCACAATTTTGTGTTCATTGCCTCGGGGAGGGATATGACTGAACAAAAGCAGAAATAAAAGAGTTGATCAGTTTGGGTGTCCAAAAAATTAAGTTCTGAGGGCACTAGAGAGGACAGAGAGTAAAGTGAATGTGTTTATTGAGGAGGATAGGAGAAAAAGAGAAATTTTGAGACTATAGGCATAACTGGAACCCAGCAAGAGGGTCTTTGCAAATTGCCTCCTGGCAAAAGCCTTGGGGAATGAAGAAGGAAATAAATTTCTGTGCCTGCTTATGGCCAGGAAGGTGCAGAATGACTTCCAAGTCCTCAGATGAAGCATGGAAGTATCAAAGAGAGCCATTAGAGCTGAAGGGGACAGGTGGAGGGATATCAAAGCTGCAACTTACCTAGTAGATGACATTAAGGATCAGATGGCTCACCAGTGCATACAACCCTAGGGAAAGGAGAGATCCTTGCATAGAATGATATTGAGTTTGGCCATCCTATGGGTTTAGGAACCCAAGCAGAAGTTGAACTATAAAAACCTAAATTTGTGGACTGAGACTTAAACCAGCCTCTTCAATATGTAAAAGAAGACTATGTCCTGAAGTAAGGAACCTTTCATGGTTTCCTTAAATTTAGCTGAAAGTTGCTTTTGGAGGGGATGTTATTAAATGGTGCCAACTCCAAAAAATGGTATCACACAGTTGGTTAGGAAAACAGAGGGCCTCAAATGGTACCTCACAGGTGCACATAATATCAACTTCTAACTGCAGGTAAAAATTAGTCTCAAAAAAAAATTAGACAGCAATTAAATGAGGATCATGATGCCTGTGGATGGCACAATTTTCCCCAGGAGAAGCTATCTGTCAAAATTTAGCTATATATATGGAGGTGACATCATATACTTACACAGTGTAACTCATTTTCTTGTCAAACATTTGATCTTAGACACACGGTAGTATTTAACTTACATTTCTAGACACACAGAAGCGCGCGCGCGCGCACACACACACACACACACACACACACACACACACACACACACACACACATCATAATGCTTAAAATGAAAGCCTCCAGGTGAATACAAATGTTCTCTCCTCCACTTCTTAGCTTAGGTAGTCGCAGATATGCTTTTAAACTGTTAACTGGAATATTAACCACATATGACTTTAGATTACATGTTTGTCTAAGACTTCCTCACCTAACTCTTCAAAGGGACTGCCTGCTGCCATCACTCTCCCACCTCACACCTGCCTCTAAGCTTTCTTGAGTTTTCTGTCACTTCCAGCTCAGAAGTGATTCAAGGTTCACCTCCTCTGAGTCCTCCCCAATTTCTAATTTATACTTTACATTTCCTTATTTCTGATTCCCAGCCACTTTGCTATTCTTTTTCCACTGTCAATTTGTCAATCTTCCCCCCACTAAACTACCAGCACTAGGCATTGTGTGGTTCATAAGTTTCCTTCATTGGTTTCATATATATATATATGAAATATATAGATGTAATTTTTTCCTAACTTATAAGGTTTAATCTAAGGAGGTAGCATAGTATAATGACAATGACAAAATGCACTGGACTTGAAGTGTTTACACTCCAAAATCTTAAGTTTGAGTCTCTTTCCGCCACTTACTAGCTGGGTGCATTTTGCAGCTTTGGTGTATCAATGAGGTAAAGGATTCAGGAGAGAAACGGGCTTTAAGTACTAGGTGCATTTTGCAGCTCTCAAGTTTTAGTTTCCTCATTAATAGATTTGAGGGCTGATTTAGATAAAGGTACTGCACACTGGAGACTGTATAGTGAACTGGGCATTCTAATATGCTTTGTTTGGTCTGGACAGTGTTCAAATATTTTTAATGATTTTAGATGGAGAATACATGCTCTGCTTCTCCAAAGTCCCACTCCCTAATGCCTTCCACTCACAAGCTACACCTACGGGCATTTGTGTTTAGAGCCACAAGATTAGGTGCTTTGTAAGTAACACTCTTGCATCTCCAATGGCACTTTATATCTTTTACATTTTTTGCTCTTCCAACAGATACCTCCCACTCCACATCTCCCGGCCACAGTAACATTTCAGTAAAGCAAATTCTCTGTGTCCTGCACTGTGGTTTGAACAATAAAGGTTAAGAAATTGAAGAAGATAAAGTCTAAACAAGAAGAAATAAAGATTCATTGAAACAGCTAGGACTCAAATTTGGTTTTAACAGGCAATATTTGGGACTTCAGATGTCTGTCTGGTCATGATGCACAAAGAACGTGCCCCATCCACATTTGATCCACAACCCTCTTCATCCTCTTGCCTCTCCCAGACGCCCAGTCACTCTACAAGATGCAGGCCATCCCAGGATACCCTCTACTATTCCAGCAGTCTCTGGCCATCTGAGGCTGGAAACAACAAAGAGTACCACCCAGGTTTCAATCCCTTCAAAGAAAAAGGCTTTAAAATGTTCATAAAAGCAGCTCAGCAGGCTTCTTGGATATCAAATCTCTTACAAAACAACATTTTGATGTGTTAAATGTAAATCAATTGGAAGCACATGCATTCAATAGGGCCTGAAATGTGCCTAGGCTTAAAAATAAAGGAAAACATCTCAGTGCAGCGTCTGGGGACATTTGGCAGCTGCAAAATTTTGGAGGGTAAAATGGTTTTTGATATTCCATAGAAACTCAACTATGATGAGGCATCTGGACCCTACCTGCTCCCATCCCTTTTCTGCCTTCTCAATCTAGCTCAATCCAACTATAATACCAAGACATTAACCAGTAATAAAATGGAGATTGCTATTATCTTATTCCACTCAAGAACATCATGTACCAAATGACCACCTGTGGGCTCTAGATGAAAGTATCTATGTCCTTGGAGAAAACTAAAATCCACTGTTGGAGGCTCGCACCCAATTTTCAGGCTGCCTCGTATCTGATGGTAGACTCTACAGTAGAGCTGGGAAGATGTGATTCTCTTCCATAGCAAGTTTCTAATTTGGTGGGAATGAAATCCCTGCTTTCAGGGAAATCCCTACCCAGACAGTAAGACAGAAGTAACATCCAGAGCATATTCAATAGGAAGGTCACAAGAATTAAGCTCCTAACATTGGTATTGACAAATAAAACATAACCACTATTTAGACTGTCCCTAGATTCATATATTTTTGCTACTTAGAACAACATATTTCACGGGTGCTAATAATAAGATAGTAACAATACTATTACTCCAACCAATAAGAATAATATCTTCCATTTATCAGTGCTCTTGGGTTAACAGGAACTGAACAAGACATTTTATATCCATTTATATATATTTTTTTATTTAATCTACCCAACAACCCTGCAAGGTAGGTATTAATAGTCCCATTGGGAAGATATGGAAGATGAATCTCTGATAACAGGACTATATGCAGTCTATAAACATTTAGATGCTTTCTGGCCATGCATGCTTCTGTCTAATGCTGTACTTTTCTTCTCTTCCTCCTCGACACCATTAAATAAAGACTATGTTCTTCCCCTATACTGTATTCCCTTGCTGATAAAAACTCATGTTTCTTACTCAGCAGAAAACCAAGCACTGGACTGTGAACACCATGGGTGTACAACCCATATTGGTAACTAAATGACTGACTTTGTTATTCAGGTTTGATTCTGTTAGAGCCACACTTAAGCAGCAATACTGGTGCCTAGGTGTCTTATGGAGTTTTGCATGAACCAGTGCTCTTAGGTTTTATGTGCATGCCTCCTATTCACAGCACTGAGTCAAGAGTCCATGGTGGTCTTGGCTAGGAGACAAATCTGAGAGACAGACAACCATGTTGTACAGTGATTGTTCCCCTCTACTCTGATGATGAGGGCTTTCTCGCAGGGTCAGGCTCATCACTCCTGATTGGCTCCTTCTTTTTCAGGGAAGTCTTTCCTGAGGAGGTTCCTGAGGCTTACATGTTCCACCAGTTCATTGTGTCCAGTGAACCTTAATCCCAGTTTATGCTCAAGTTGGGTGGGACTGATGGATGGTTTCTGTGTGTAGAAATGTTATGGACCCAACCACAGCACTGTAAGCTAGAGAGCAAGTTCAGAACTGGGAGACCAAGTCAGGCTGTGGCAACTTGCCAGTCTATAGGTACAACCATGGCCAAACCTAGCAAATTCTGGCTTAACAAAGCTAAAAGAAAGATTCAAGTCCACAGTCAGAGGCTGAAGCCAAGGTCTTATCTTGGTAGAAAGTGTCACCAGAGGTTCTTGACCGTCTCAACCCAGAGAATGATTATTGAACCAATGAAACTTGAAAACTCCATAAAAGACAGCGATTTTCAAAAATTTCAATCCATATCACTCTTTATTCATATGAATTCTTTCAAAGAAACTCAGTATTCCTAACAAAATTGAGAAGATGGTTGGCATACTGCTTATTGAGTACAGGCTCTCATGCTGGGCAGCCCTGGGTTCAAATCCCACCTCCACTTACCCAACCTGTGTGACCTTGGACAAGTTTCTTTGTTTCTCCATGCCTCAGTTTTTGTTTTTGTTTTTGTTTTTGTTTTGCCATCTGTAAAATGGGGGTAATAACAGTACCTACCTCTTGGTACTGTTGCAAATGATTGAATAAATGAATACATGGGAAGTTTATGCAACAGTACCTGGTAAATGCTCAATAAATGTTGGATTATCGTTTCAGTAGATGAACTCTGAGTGGCTTTGATTGAAGAAGATGTGGGGTAGGCACCCCAAGGCCCACCCCGTCACTTGGCACTCTTTGGAAATCATTGCTCTGGTACAATATTCCACCCACTCCAAGAATCTCCTCTACAATATCTATACACTGCTTAACACTGCCTGTGATAGAGACCCTGTTACCAGCTCTAATTATTCCAAACATCAAAGTCTTCTCTTATATTGACTCAAAATGTACTACACAGTGGAGTGGGAGATGCCACTAATTCAAGAAGCAAAACAGAAACAGTACAGCACACAAAAACAGTTGTCCTTTAGTCAGACAGACATAGACTCTTATCTCTGCAACTTCTTAGTTGTGTAATCTTGGAGAAGTTACTTAACCTCTCTGAGCAGGTTTTCTCTCATCTGAAAAACAGGGATAATAATCTAAGATATAAGGTTGCTGCTATGGACTGAACTGTGTGCCCCAAAAAATTAATATGTTGAAAACTTAATCCCCAGTTTCTGTTTCTGGAGATAGAATCTTTAGGAGGTAATTAAGGTAAAGTGAGAGCATAAAGGCAGGGCCCAGTCTGATATAACTGTGGCCTTATAAAAAGACGAAAACTCTCCCACTTCCCCTTTCCATACACAGGTACCAAGAAAAGGCCATGTGACCATACAGCTAGAAGGCAGCCGTCTGCAAGCCAGGAAGAGTGCCATCACCAGGAACCAAGTAGGCTGGTACCTTGATCTTGGGCTTCCTAGCCTCCAGAACCGTGAGAAAATAAATTTCAGTTATTTAAGCCACCCAGTCAATGGTATTTTGTTATGGCAGCCTGAGCAGACTATTATAGTTGCTATAAGGATTAAATGAGACAATATGTGTTAAGTGCCTGGTACAAAGGCAGAATTCAAAAAGTCGAATTATTTTTATTCTTAATTCTTTGCTCTGACTTGAATGGTTATGGAGAGCAAATCAAACCCTTCTTCCACATGAATTTGGTCAGATAATTAAAGACAGATGGCATAGAGGACTCACCACAGAAGTTTGCCAGACGTATCCAGTATTTGTCTCTAAATTTAGACTCATTAAATGTGCCTGTTTCCATGACTACACTGTAAGCTCCCTGAGGGCAGAAACCTTGTGTTAGTCCTTTCTGTAGTTCAATTGCCTAGAATTCTGTAGATGCTAGGTGTAAACATTGGGTGGATGTATGAATCAACATACAGCCATAACCTATTAGTGGGCATTTGGAAGTCTCCTGGCCACTTGCTTCTCATATGCAAAAGCTTGAGGATGATTTGCATTTATCCTAGGCTCTTTAGCTGACAGCAAGCTTACTGCTCCTCATCCACAGAGAACACTGTGGCACTGAGTGGAAAACACCCAGCAGCAATTGCCAGGAGCTTTTTGCAACTGAGCTTATGAGCTTCCTACAGGTGGAGGCCCCAAATTTGCAACTTTTCACATTCATTGGGAGACGTAACTTGCTCCTACTCAGAACATTTTCTCTGTCAAAAGAGGTAATTACAAACAATGGTAAAAGGACTATACTGGTTCAATGTTAACTTTGCTAGGCAGGCCTTGTCAGATTTATTATCTTAATCCATTACTTTGAGTGAAATGACCACAACTGTTTTTCACAGAACCATGTCAGAGCTGATGGGTGCATATTAGAAGTAATTGTACTAAATAATTTTCTAAATCTTTTAGAAGAACAGAAGTCCAATGGGACATTTATTTTTGCATATGTGTAGTTAAATTACTCTTCTTGGTGTGAAGTAGAGTTAGGTTTGGAATGGTAGGCAATGAAGTTGTAGCCAAATGGGCTTAGTAATATAACACGAATCCTTTAATAATAGAACTTGTTACTAAAAAGCAGACATTTCACAGCATCTCAGGAAAATTCCCCCAGAATACAAGAGGCAGAAGGGAAGGAAGGAGGCAGAAGAAGAAGGAGAGGGAGAGGGAGAAGCAGAGGAAGGGAAGAAGGACGGAGGGAGAGAGAATTCACTATCATTAGCACAGCAACAGCAGTTTGATGAGAAGAGCTGTCCATTGCTAGAAGAAATAGGATGGGAATATGAATGTTTTCTCTAACAGTAAGGAGCTGATTTTCCCAGACTCATTCAAATTCTTCCGCCCAGTTCCCCATATGATCTATGACAAATGTGGAAATATGATGATAAGATAAAAAGCAAGAAAAATAGTTGGCATTTATCAAATCGTTACTATAGACCAAGAACTTTACAAAAGTTAGCTCATTTAATCCTCCCAATATCCTTGTGAAATGTACATTACCATTTCCAATTTACAGACAGGGAAACTGAAGCTCAGAGAGGTTATGTGAAGGGTCTAAAGCAGCAGTCCCCAACTTTTTGGGTACCAGAAGGCAGTTTTTCCATGGACAGCAGTGGGGGAGGGGAGGTGGTTTCAGGATGAAACTGTTCCTCCTCAGATCATCAGGCATTAGTTAGATTCTCATAAGGAGCACACAACCTAGATCTCTCGCATGCGCAGTTCACAATAGGGTTTGAGCTCCTGGTCCTACGAGAATCTAATGCCACCGCTGATCTGACAGGAGGCAGAGTTCAGGTGGTAATACTCACTGGCCCACAGCTCACCTCCTGCTGCGCAGCCTGGTTCCTAACAGGCCACGGTCTGGACCAGCACAGTTGCAGCCCGGAGGTTGGGAGCCCCCAGGATAAGGTCAAACAGCTTAGGAGCAAAGCCCTGATTTGTGCCCACATTTGACAGACTAAAGAGAGGCGCTATATCTATTGCCTCTCACCTCATCTACTGATCAGGCTGAGGCCAGGAATAGTTTTTGTCTGTCTTCTTCCAATTGTCAGTGATTTTACAAACTCTAAATCATATGTGTTCTTTGCCTTTAAAAAGATACAGCCTCTTCAGTCTGGAATCTGTTTTTATAAGGCTGGGCCTAAACCTTTGACCATTTCCACTAAATGTGTAGGGGTGTGGACCTGAATGGGTGGGTGGTATGTGTGAGAGGAAGGGGTGAAAGAGAAAGGGAACATTGCAGGGGAAAGCAAGGCTGTTCAGAGGCTGGCTTGGAAGCGTAGCTTTGTGGCTGCATGTTGCACCACACTTCTCCTTCTGCTACACAACCTTCTCTTGTACAGACCCCCAACCCCCCAGGGTCTGCAATAGTGAAAGCAGAGGATGAAATGGCATGGGAGCACCTGCAGCCTGCTCCACCGGATGGGAGATTGGGATTTAGGGCGCAATCTGAGGCTCCTTGGAGCCTTCCCAGGTAAGAGCCCTCCCTTCCTAAGATAGCTTGTTCCACTGAAGGGCGCTGGCTCCTCCTGCAGGCCTGTCCTGGGAATTACCGCGGTTTTCGTGTCTGCCTCTGTTCTCATCTGGGATGAAAGATCCACCCTAGGCAGTCATCCTCACCCTCCCAACTCAAGGCCCCCTCCAGAGGGGAAGAAAGAACCACTGAGGAAAGGGCCTGCCCTGCTCCTGCTCCTGGCCAATTACTCTGAGCCTAAGCAGCAACCCTGTTGGAGGAAGGTTTGATGAACTATTCATCACACTTCTAAATAATTCATTTCCCTTTGAGGGCAAGCAGCCCACAGGAGCTGTGAAGTTTTCTTAAGTTGACACCTTTTGAGAGATGAAAAATAAAGCAAAAGCCCCCTTTTAGAGAAATCACAGTTGCTTTATATGCCGTTTCCTGCATCTCTCTTCCGATGTTACAGGGCTCTTCTGTTCTGCCCCATTCCTTGGAATTGGTCTCCTATTGTTTTCTTTGCTTTTTGTTGTTCAAACGACTCCACTTTGTAGGATCTGCTGTGCTGACGCTTCCAGCGTTATTCTTGTCTCTCCTGGCCCTATGGGCTTCCAGTGTATAACAAGCCAACCAAATAGCCTTTAAATTGAAGGTACAGGAGCGAGAGATGGGCGCAAGCCTTTTTGGGGAATGGTTCGTTGTGTCAAATGAGATGCACCCAGAGCATTTCTGAGAGTTCAAGGTCTCCCCTTTGTTCTGACTTTGGCTCCCTGACAGGGCTTACTATCTCTACTTGCCATTCTGTAAACATCTTCTTTCCCCTTCCCTGATTTTTAACAAAACCTCCAAAGAGCTACCCTCTTGGCCAGCTAGGGCCAAACACATTGCATTGTATGAGGCCTCTTTTACTCTATCCCCAGCCACCCATACACCACAGATACATATTTAATATGTGAGAAGCAGGCTACAGGGGATTGTGAGGTTGGAAGATCACAGGCTGTGACTAATTATCTTTTCTGATATTAACCCTGCCTCCTCCTGCTCCCCGTACAGCTATGGGTCTCTGACTGCACCTCAGCAGCAATGGTGCCCCTCCCCATCTGCCATACTCCAGAGGAGACTAAGCAGAGCATTTCTGAGCAGGACTCTCATCCCCTCCACCCACATTGACCTTTGCCTAGTATATTCTCATTTATCCTACCTACACATCTTCTGGAAAACAGAATAGGTTCAGAACCAGAGTTAATAAAAGGATTTAGGGGGAAAAATTAAAAGGACAAATGCCCCTAGATAGTTGGGCTTTCAACCTCACTCTGCTTTGACATAGCATCATACAAGAAAATAAATACAATTAGTAATTTCCCTTACTTAACAAGTAGAAGTCCTCATTGATCAAGGGGAATGAGCAAGCAGCTCGAGCTATGCCTCCCTTTAAGCAAACATAATAAGGAAATGAAGATTTCTAAAATCCTTGTCTTTTGAAGCCAGTTGCCCTATTGCATTTCAGAAATGTTTCAATGTGCATGTATTTGTTGACAAGCTTCTTTTTTTAAGAATTGCTTTAATTAGCAAAATTGGTTGGTATAAAATTATTTTCACAAAACTAAAGATCTAAAACCACTTTAGAATATAGGGTACAGTGAGGTTTCCCAGGGCATAGAATGTGGCTTGGGGCATGCTACATGCAGACCTAGAAAGTTCCAGACATTGGAAGTCTACCAGCACCTCAATGCTACAATTACACTTCAGTTTCAAGATAAAGATAAGATTTTGCAACAGCACAAAGGGATAAACAAAGGTTTAACTAATAAAAACAGTCCCTGCAATGGTTAATTTTGTTTCCATCTGATTGGGACATGATGTACCCAGATATTTGGTCAAGCATTACTCTGGGTATGTCTGAAAGTGTTTCTGGATGAGACTAACATTGGAATTGGTAGATTAAGTAAAGCAGATGGCCCTCCCCAATGTGGGTGACCACATCCAATCAGTTGAAAGCCTGACTAGAACAAAAAGGCTGATCCTTCTGTGAGTAAGAGAGGATTCCTCTTCCTCTTGTCTGACTGCCTTTAATGTGGGACATTAGTTTTGTCCAGCCTTCTGACTTAAGCTGAAACATTATCTCTTCCTAGGTCTCCAGCCTCCTGGCTTTCAGACTAGAATTTACATCATTGGTTCTCCTGGGTATCCAGCTTGCCAGCTGCAGATCTTGGGGCTTGTTAGCCTCCATAATCACATGAGCTAAATCCTTATTTTATTTATGTATATATTTATCCTATTGGTTCCCTGGGATAGAAAGGTCCCTGGGGAGGCCTCGGGGAGCTTTCAATCATGGCAGGAGGTGAAAGGGTAGCAGACATGTCACATGGTGAAAGCAGGTGGAAGAGAAGAATGAAACTGGATCCTCATCTCTCACCTTATACAAAATCAACTCAAGATGGATCAAA
Organism: Homo sapiens; assembly: GCF_000001405.40. NCBI lineage: Eukaryota > Metazoa > Chordata > Mammalia > Primates > Hominidae > Homo > Homo sapiens. Next base: position 128,978,292 of record NC_000023.11, read on the forward strand.
GACTTAAATTTAAGACCTGAAACCATAAAAGTTCTAGAAGATAACATCAGGAAAATTCTTCCAGACATTGGCTTAGGCAAAGAGTTCATGACCAAGAACCCAAAAGCAAATGCAACAAAAACAAAGATAACTAGATGGGACATAAACTAAAAAACTTCTGCACAGCAAAAGAAACAATCAGCAGAGTAAACAGACAACCCACAGAGTGGGAGAAAATTTTTGTAAACTATGCATCTGACAAAGGACTAGTATCCAGAATTTACAAGGAACCCAAACAAATCAGGAAGAAAAAAATAATCTTATCAAAAAGTCAGCTAAGGACATACATAAATAGATAATTATCAAAAGAAGATATATAAATGGCCAACAAGCATATGGAAAAATGCACAACATCAATAATTATCAGGGAAATGCAAATCAAAACCACAATTCAATAGCATCTTACTCCTGCAAGAATGACCATAATTTAAAAATAAAAAAAAATAGATGCTGGTGTGGATATGGTGAAAAGGGAACACTTTTACACTGCTGGTGGGAATGCAAACCAGTATAACCACTATGGAAAACAGTATGGAGATTCCTTAAAGAACTAAAAGTAGAACTACCATTTGATCCAGCAATCCCACTACTGGGTATCTACCCAGAGGAAAAGAAGTCGTCATGTGAAAAAGACACTTGCACATGCATGTTTATAGCAGCAAAATTCACAATTGCAAAAATATGGAACCAGCCCGGCACAGTAGCTCACACCTGTAATCCCAGCACTTTGGGAGGCCAAGGTGGGCAGATCACCTGAGGTCAGGAGTTCAAGACCAGCCTGACCAACATGGAGAAACCCCACCTCTACTAAAAACACAAAATTAGCCAGGTGTGGTGGCACATGCCTATAATCCCAGCTACTTGGGAGGCTGAAGCAGGAGAATTGCTTGAAGCCGGGAGGCGGAGGTTGCAGTGAGCTCAGATCGCACTATTGCACTCCAACCTGGGCAACAAGAGTGAAACTCCATCTCAAAAACTATATATATATATATGTGTGTGTATATATATATATGTGTGTGTATATATATATATGTGTGTATATATATATGTGTGTGTATATATATATGTGTGTATATATATATATGTGTGTGTATATATATGTATATATGTATATATATGTATATATATATGTGTGTGTGTGTATATATATATATATATGTATATATATATATGGAACCAGCCTAAATGACCATCCACCAATGAGGGAATAAAGGCAATTATACACACACACACATATATATTTATATATATATATAGATTATGTATACATATACATATATATACACATATACATGCATATATACACATATACATATATATACACATACATATATATACACATATACATATATATATACATATACATACATACACACACACACACACACACACACACACACACACACACACACACACTGTGGAATACTACTCAGCCAGAAAAATGAACAAAATAATGGATGCAGCAACCGGGGTGGAGTTGGAGATCATTATTTTAAGTGAAATCACTCAGGAATGGAAAACCAAACATTGTATGTTCTCACTTATAAGGGGGCACTAAGCTATGAGGATACAAAGGCATAAGACTGATACAATGGACTTTGGGGACTCGGGGCAGGGGAGGATGGGAGAGGGATGAGAGATAAAAGACTACACATTGGGTACAGTGTACACTGCTCAGGTGATGGGTGCACCAAAATCTCAGAAATCACCACTAAATAACTTATCCATGTAACCAAACACCACCTGTTCCCCAAAATCTATTGAAATAATTTTAAAAACTAAAAATGGGCTAAATATCTGAATAGACATTTCTGAAAAGAAGACATACAAATGGCAAACAGGTATATGAAAAGGTGCTCAGCATCAAAGATCATCAGAGAAATGCAAATCAAAACTACAATGAGATATCATCTCACCCTAGTTAAAATGGCTTATATCCAAAGGACAGGCAATAACAAATGCCGGCGAGGATGTGGAAAAAAGGAAACTCTCGCACCCTGTTGGTGGGAATGTAAATTAGTACAACCATTATGGAGAATAGTTTGGAGGTTTCTCAAAAAAACTAAAAGTAGAGCTACTGTAAAATGCACCAATCTCACTCCTAGGTATACACCCAAAAGAAAGGAAATCAGTATATTGAAGAGATACCTGCACTGCCATGTTTACTGCAGCACGATTTACAATAGCTAATATTTGGAAACAACCTAAGCATCCATCAATGGATGAATGGATAAAGAAAATGTGGTACATATACACAATGGAGTACTATTCAGCCATAAAATAAGGAATGAGATTCTGTCACTTGCAACAACACAGGTGGAATTGGAGGTCATTATGGTAAGTGAAATAAGCCTGGAACAGAATGACAAATATTGCGTGTTCTCAATTATTTGTGGGATCTAAAAATAAAAACAATTGAACTTATGGAAATAGAGACTAGAAGAATGGTAACCAGAGGCTGGGAAGGGAAGTGGGGATTGTTAATGAGTAAAAAAGAAAAAAAATTGTTGGAAAGACTAAATGAGACCTAGTATTTGCTAGCACAACAAGGTGACTATAGTAAAAATTAATTTAATTGTACATTTAAAAATAAGTAAAAGAATATAATTGGCCAGGTGCGGTGGCTCACTCCTGTAATCCCAACACTTTGGGAGGCCAAGGTGGGCAGATCATCTGAGGTCAGGAGTTTGAGACCAGCCTGGCCAACATGATGAAACTCCATCTCTACTAAAAATACAAAAAAATTAGCCAGGCATGCTGGTGTGTGCCTGTAGTCCCAGCTACTCTGGAGGTTGAGGCAGGAGAATTGCTTGAACCCAGGAGGCAGAGGTTGCAGTGAGCCGAGACCACACCACTGCACTCAAGCCTAGGTGACAGAGGGAGACTCCATCTCAAAGAAAAAACAGTAAAAGAGTATAATTGGATTTTAACACAAAGGATAAATGGTTGATGTGATGGATACCCCATTTACCCTGATGTGCTATGTGCTTATTATATTACACATTGCATGCCTGTATCAAAATATCTCAGCTAACCCACAAGTATATATACCAACTATGTACCCACAAAAAATAAAAATAAAAAATTAATGTAAGAAAGACATACAAATGGTCAAAAGGTATGTTTAAAAATGCTCGAGACCAGCCTGGACAACATAGTGAGACCTCATCTCTACAAAAAATAAAAATATTGGCCCAGTATGCATAATCAAGCAGGTTTTATCCCTGTGATAAAAGGTTGGTTCAACATACACAATTCAATAAATATGACTCATCACATAAACAGAACTAAAGACAAAACTCACGTTATTATCTCAATAGATGCAGAAAAGGCTTTCAATAAAATTTAGCACATTTTCATGTTGAAAATTCTCTCTTTTTTTTTTTCTTGAGATGGAGTCTCACTGTGTCACCCAGGCTGGAGTGCAGTGGCATGATCTCGACTCACTGTAACCTCCGCCTCCCGAGTTCAAGCGATGCCCCTGCCTCAGCCTCCCAAGTAGCTGGGATTACAGGTGCCCATCACCACACCCAGCTAACTTTTTGTATTTTTAGTAGAGATGGGGTTTCACCATGTTGGCCAGGCTGGTCTTGAACTCCTGACCTCAGGCAATCCACCTACCTTGGCCTCCGAAAGTGCTGGGATTACAGGCGTGAGCCACCACACCTGGCCGAAAACTCTTAAACTAGGTATTGAAAGAACATACCTCAAAATAATGAGAGCTACCTATGACAAACCCACAGCCAACACCATACTAAATGGGCAAAAGCTAGAAGTATTCCCCTTGAAAACTGGCACAAGACAAGGATGCCCTCTCTCAACATCCCTATTCAACAGTGTACTGCAAGTCCTGGCCAAAGCAATCAAGCAAGAGAAAGAAATAAAGGGCATCCATATAGGAAGAGAGGAAGTCATACCATCCCTGTTTGTAGATAACATGATTCTTTATCTAGAAAACCCTGTAGTTTCATCCCAAAAGCTACCTCAGCTGATAACTTCAGCAAAGTCTCAGGAGACAAAAATCAATGTATAAAAATAACTAGCATTCTTATACAACAACAACAGTCAAGCCAAGAGCCAAATCAGGAATTAACTTCCATTCACAATTGCCACAAAAAAAGAATAAAATGCATAGGAATACAGCTAAGCAGGGGGGTGAAAGATCTCTACAATGAGAATTACAAAACACTGCTCAAAGAAATCAGACATGACACAAACAAATGGAAAAACAGTCCATGCTCATGGATAGGAAGAATCAATATCATTATGACGGCCATACCACCGAAAGCAATTTATAGATACAATGCTATCTCTATGAAACTACCAGTAACATTCTTCACAGAACTATAAAAAAAAATTTTAAATTCATACGGAAGCAAAAAAAGAGCCAGACTAGCCATGGCAATTCTAAGCAAAAAGAACAAATCTGGATGCATCAGGCTACCCAAACTCAAATGGCATTACAGGGCTACAGTAACCAAAACAGCATGGTGCTGGTACAAAGACACATAGATCAATGGAACAGAATAGAGAGCCCAGAAATAAGGCCACACACCTACAACCATCTGATCTTTAACAAAGCTGATAAAAACAAGCAATGGGGAAAGAACTCCCAATTCCACAAGTAGTGCTGGGATACCTGGCTAGCCATATGCAGAAGATTGAAACTGGACCCCTTCCTTACACAATATACAAAAATCAACTTAAGGTGAATTACAGACTTAAATTTAAAACCCAAAACTATAAAAACTCTGGAAGACAACCTAGGCAATGCCATTATGGGCATAGGAACAGGCAAAGATTTCATGGCAAAGATGTCAAAAGCAATTACAACAAAAGCCAAAATTGTTTAATGGGATATAATTAAACTTTAGAGCTTCTGCATAGCAAAAGAAACTATCAACAGAGTGAACAGACAACCTACAGAAAGGGAGACAATTTTTGCAAACTATGATTCTGACAAAGATCTAATATCCAACATCTATAAGGAACTTAAACAAATTTACAAGAAAAAGCAATGAACCCCATTAAAAACTGGGCAAAGGACACAGACAGTTTTCAAAAGAAGATATACATGCAACAAACAAGCCTATGAAAAAAGTTCAATATCACTTATCATTAGAGAAATGCACATCAAAACCACAACAAGATACTATCTCACACCAGCCAGAATGGCTATTTCTAAGAAGTCAAAAAATAACAGATGCTGTCAAGGTTGCAGAGAAAAAGGAATGCTTGTACACTGTTGGTGGGAGTGTATATTGGTTCAACCATTGTGGAATACATTGTGGCAATTCCCCAAAGACCTAAAAACAGAACTACTATTTGACCCAGCAATCCCATTCCTGGGTATAAACCAAAGGAATATAAATTATTCTATCATAAAGAAACATGCATGCATATGTTTGTTGTAGCACTATTCTCAATAGCAAAGACATGGAATCAACCTAAATGACCGCCAATGATAGACTGGATAAAGAAAATGTGGTACATTTACCCCATGGAATACTATGCAGCCATGAAAAGAATGAGATTATATCTTTTTCAGGAACATGGATAGAGGTGGAGGCCATTATCCTTAGCAGACTAATGCAGGAACAGAAAACTAAATACCATATGTTCTCACTGATAAGTGGGAGCTAAATGATGAAAACACATGGACACATAGAGGGAAAAAACAGACAGTGGGGCCTATCTGAGGGTGAAGGGTGAGAGGAAGGAGCGGATCAGGAAGCATAACTAATGGGCACCAGCTTAATACCTAGGTGATTAAATAATCTGTACAAAAAAACCCCGTGACACAAGTTTACATATATAACAAGCCTGCACTTTTACACCTGAACTTAAAAGTTAAAAAAGTTAGCCCAGTGTGGTGGCACGTGCCTGTAGTCCCAGCTACTCAAGAGGCTGATGAGGGAGGATCACTTGAGCCAGAGAGATGAAGGCTACCGTGAGCCAAGATCATGCCACTGCACTCCAACCTGAGCAACAGAACGAGATTCTGTCTCAAAAAAAAAAAAAAAATGCTGAACATGTCTAATCATCAGAGAAATGCAAATCAAAACCAAAATGAGATATCATCTTACACCAGGAAGAATGGCTATTAAAAAGACAGAAAAAAAGAAGTCTGCAAGAATGCAGAGAAAGAGTAATTACTTTTATTGACACAATATTTGTACATATGGGATATATTTGATATTTTGTTACATGCATAGAATATATAGTGATCCAGTGAGGGCATTTAAGGTACCCATCACCTCAAGTATTGATCAGTTCTATGTGCTGGAAATGTTTCAAGTCCTCTTTGCTAGCTATTTTGAAATATACAATATACTGTTAACTGTAGTCCCCCTGCTCTGCTATCAAACATTAGAACTTATTCCATCTAACTGTATGTTTATACCCATTAACCAACCTCATCTCATTCCCCACCAAATATATGCACATCCTTCCCAGCTTCTAGTTTCTACCATCCTACTCTCTACCTCCATTTGAGCAACAATTTTAGCTACCACATATGAGTGAGAACATGCAATATTTGTCTCCCTGTGCCTGGCTTACTTCGTGTAACATAATGACCTCCAGTTTTATCTATGTTGCTGGAAATGGCATTATTTCATTCTTTTTAATGGCCAAACAGTATTCCATTGATGTGGTTTGGCTGTGTCCCTACCCAAATCTCATCTTGAATTGTAACTCCCACAATTCCCACGTGTCATGGCAGGGACGTGGTGGGAAGTGGTTGGATCATGGGGGTGCGTCTTTCCTGTGCTGTTCTTGTGGTGGTGAGTGGATCTCATGAGATCTGATGATTTTAAAAAGGGGGAGTTTCCCTGCGCAAGCTCTCTTCCCCTGTCTGCCACCATGTGAGATGTGCCTTTCACCTTCTACTATGATTGTGAGGCTTCCCCAGCCATATGGAATTGTAAGTCCATTAAACCACTTTCTTTTGTAAATTTCCCAGTCTCAGATATGTTTTTATCAGCAGCATGGAAACAGACTAATACAGTAAATTGGTACCAGTAGAGTGGGGCACTGCTGAAAAGATACCCAAAAATGTGGAAGCAACTTTGGAACTGAGTAACAGGGAGGGGTTGGAACAATTTGGAGGGCTCAGAAGAAGAAAGGAAAGTGTGGGGAAGTTTGGCACTTCCTAGAGACTTGTTGAATGGCTTTGACCAAAATGCTGACAGTGATATGGACAATAAAGTCCAGGCTGAGGTGGCCTCAGATAGAAATGAGGAACTTGTTGGGAACTAGAACAAAGGTGACTCTTGTTATGTTTTAGCAAAGAGACTGGTGGCATTTTGCCCCTGCCTTAGAGATTTGTGGAACTTTGAACTTGAGGGAGATAATTTAGGGTATCTGGCAGAAGAAAATTCTAAGCAGCAAAGCATTCAAGATATGACTTGGGTGCTGTTAAAGGCATTCAGTTTTATAAGGGAAACAGTATAAAAGTTCAGAAAATTTGCAGCCTGACAATGTGATAGAAAAGAAAATCCCATTTTCTGAGGAGAAACTCAAGCTGGCTGCAGAAATTTGCATAAGTAATGAGGAGCTGAATGTTAATCCCCAAGACAATGGGGAAAATGGTATGTCAGAGGTCTTCATGACAGCCCCTCCCATCACAGGCCTGGAGGCCTAGGAGGAAAAAGTGGTTTCTTGGGCCAGGCCCAGGGTCCCCATGCTGTGTACAGCCTAAAGGCTTGGTGCCCTGTAGAGCTCAGGTTGTGGCTTCAGAGGGTGCAAGCCTCAAGCCTTGACAGCTTCCATGTAGTGTTGAGCCTGCCAGTGAACAGAAGTCAAGAATTGGGGTTTGGGAACCTCTGCCTAGATTTCAGAAGATGTATGGAAATGCCTGGATGTCCAGGCAGAAGTTTGCTGCAGGTGTGGGGTTCCAATGGAGAACCTCTGCAAGGGCAGCGTGGAAGGGAAATGTGGGGTCAGAGCCCCCACACAGAGTCCCTACTGTGGCACCACCTTGTGGAGCTGTGAGAAAAGGGCCACTGTCTTCCAGACCCCAGAATGGTAGATCCACCAATAGCTTGTGCCATGCACCTGGAAAAGTTACAGATACTCAATGCCAGCCCATGAAAGCAGCCAGAAGGGGGGCTATACCCTGCAAAGCCACAGGGGTAGAGCTGCCCAAGGCTGTGGGAGCCCACTTCTTGCATCAGCATGACCTGGATGTGAGACATGGAGTCAAAGGAGATCATTTTGGAGCTTTAAGATTTGACTGCCCTGATGGATTTTGGACTTGCATTGGGCCTATAGCTCCTTTGTTTTGGCCAATTCCTCCCATTTGGAACAGCTACATTTACCCAATGCCTGTACCCCCAGTGTGTCTAAGAAGTAACTAACTTCCTTTTGATTTTATGGGCGCATAGGCAGAAGGGACTTGCTTTGTCTCAGATGAGACTTTGTACGGTGGATTTTTGAGTTAATGCTGAAATGAGTTAAGACTTTGGGGGACTGTTGGGAAGGCATGGTTGGTTTTGAAATGTGAGGACATGAGATTTGGGAGGGGCCAGGTGTGGAATGATGTGGTCTGGCTGTGTCCCCACCCAAATCTCATCTTGAATTTTAACTCCCACAATTCCCACATGACATGGAAGGGACATGGTGGGAGGTGGTTGGATCATGGGGGCAGGTCTTTCCTGTGCTGCTCTTGTAGTGGTGAGTCAGGCTCACAAAATCTGACGGTTTTTAAAAAGGGGAGTTTCCATGCACAAGCTCTTTTCTCTTGTCTGCCACCACGTGAGACATGCCTTTCACCTTCTGCCTTGATTGTGAGGTTTCTCCAGCCACATGGAACTGTAAATATATTAAATCTCTCTCTTTTTTTTTTTTTTTTTGGTAAATTTGCCAGTCTTGGGTATGTCTTTAGCAGCAGTGTGGAAATGGACTAATACATCCATTGTGTATATATACCACATTTCTTTTATCCATTCGTCCACTGATGAACACTTAGGTTGATTCCATATCTTGGCCATTATGAATAGTCCTGCAGTAAGCATGGAGGTGCAGATATCTTTTTGATATACTGACTTATTTTACTTTGGATAAATACCCAATAGTAAGATTGCTGGAGCACATAGTAGTTCTATTTTTTGTTTTTCGAGAAACCTCCATACTGTTTTCCACAGTGGCTATACTAACTTAAATTCCCACCAACAGTGTTATAAGAGTTCCCTTTTCTCCACATCCTTGCCAGCATCTGTTATTTTTTGTCTTTTTAATAACAGCTATTCTAATTGAAGCAGGATGATATCTCATTGCATTGGGCTTTTGATTTGTATTTCCCTGATAATTAGTGTTGTTGAGCATTTTTAATATACTCGTTGGCCATTTGTATGTCTTATTTTGAGAAATATCTATTCATGTTTTTGCCTACTTTATAATGGGGTTATGTTTCTTTACTGTTCAGTTGTTTGAGTTCCTCATATATTCTGGATATAAGTCCCTTGCCAGATGAATAGCTTGCAAATATTTTCTCCCATTCTACAGGCTGTCTTTTCAATTTGTTGTTTCCTTTGCTGTGCAGAAGCTTTTTAGTTTAATATAGTCGCATTTGTCTATTTTTGTCTTGTTCCCTGTGTTTTGCTGTCTTAGCCATAAAATCCTTTCCTAGACCAGTGTCCCAAAGTGTTTCCCCTATGGTTTCTCCTAGTACTTTTATGGTTTGGCATCTTACATTTAAGTATTTGATTTATTGTCAGTTGATTTTGTATATGGTAAGAGGTCCAATTTCTTTCTCCCACATATAGGTATCCAATTTTCCCAACACCATTTATTGTGGAGGTTGTTCTTTTCCCAGTGTAAGTTCCTGGCACCTTTTTTGAAAATCAATTCAGCTGTACATATGTAAATTTTTTTCTAGGTTCTCTATTATATTCCGTTGATCTATGTGTCTGTTTTTATAACAATATCATGCATTTTGGGTTACTATAACCTTATAATATATTTTGAACTTATGTGTTGTGATGCCTCTAGCTTTGTCTTCTTGCTCAAGATTGCTTTCTCTATTTAGGCAGTTTTGATTCAGTAAGAATTTTAGGATTGTCTTTTATAGTTTTGTAAAAAAAAATGACATCTGTATTTCAATGGAGATTGTATTGAATCTGTAGGTTTTGGTTAATATGGTCATCTTAATGTTAATTCTTCCAATCCATGAACATGGGATGTATTTCTAGTTGTTTATGTCTTCTTAATTTCTTTCATCAGTGGTTTATAGTTTTCCTTAAAGAAGTTATTCACCTCTTTGGTAAATTTATTCCTAGGAATTTCTTTTTTTTTTTTTTTTGTACGTATTGTAAATGGGATTGTCTTCCTGATTTCTTTCTCAGCTAGTTCATTATTGGTGTATGGAAACACTACTGGTTTTTGTAGGTTGATTTTGTATCCTGATACTTCACTGAATTTATCAGATTTAAGACTTTTTTGGTGGAGTCTTTAGGTTTTTCTAGATATAAGATCATGTTATCTGCAAAAAGGGAAAACTTGACCTCCTCTTTTCCAATTTGGATGCCTTTTATTTATTTCCCTTGACTGATTCCTTGGGCCAGGGCTTCCAGTACTCTGTTGAATAGGAGTGGTGAAAGCAGGTATCCTTGTCTTAGAGGAAAGGGTTTCAGCTTTCTCCATTCAGTATGATGTCAGTTGTATGTTTATCATATGTGATCTTTATTATTTTGAGGTCTATGCCTTCTTTGTTAAGAGTTTTTATCATGAAAGTATGTTGAATTTCATCAAATGTTTTTTCTGCATCTATTGAGTTTTTCATGTTTTTTGTCCTTCATTATCTTTGTGTGATGTATCATGTTTATTGAATTGCATATGTTAAAACTTCCTTACAACCCTGGGATAAATCTCACTTGATCATGGTGTGTTATCTTTTTTATGTACTGTTGGATTAGGTTGGCTAGTACTTTGTTGAGGATTTTGGTATCTGTGTTCATCAGGGATATCTGTAGTTTTATTGTTTTGTCGTTGTTGCACCCTTGTCTTGTTTTGATATCTGGGTAATGATGGCCTTGTAAAGTGAGTTAGAAATAATTAAGTCCTCTTCAAATTCTTGGAATATCTTGAGGAGAATTGGGGTTAGTTCCTTTTTATTAAGTTTGGAAGAATTCAGCAGTGAAGCCCTCTGGTCCTGGATTTTCTTCATTGGGAGACATTTTATTATAGATTTAATCCCATTACTCATTATTGATCCTTCAGGTCTTATATTTATTCCTGATTTAATCTTGGTAGGTTGTAATTGTTCAGGAATTTATCCATTTCCTGTGCATTTTCCAGTTTGTTAAAATATTACTGTTCATAATTTTCTCATGATCTTTTGTATTTCTGTGGTACCAATTGTAATGTTTCTTTTTTCATTTCTGATTTATTTGGGTCTTCTCCCTTTTTTCTTGATTAGCTATCTTTTTATGAATTTTGTTAATCTTTTCAAAAAACTAACCTTCATGTTATTGATCCTTTGTATTGGTTTTTATTCTGTTTTTTGTTTGTTTGTTTGTTTGTTTGTTTTAGTTCTGCTCTAATCTTTAGTATTTTTTTTTCTTCTACCAATTTGGCATTTGGTTTGTTTTTGTTTTTCTATTTCCTTGAAGTTCACTGTCAAATTGTTTACTTGAAATGTTTTTAATTTTTGGATGTAGGTGTTCATTGCTATAAATCCCCCTCTTAGCACAATTTTGCTGTATCCCACAGGTTTGGGTATGCTGTGTTTTTATTTTTATTTGTTTCAATAAATTTTTTGAGTTTTTCTTTAATTTCTTCCTTCACCCAATGGTCATTCAAGAGCATGTTGTTGTTTAATTTCCATGTATTTGTAGAATTCCCAAAGTTGTTCTTATTAATTTATAGTTTTATTCCATTGTGGTCTCATAGGATACTTGATATGATTTTGATACTTTTTAATTTGTTAATGCTTGTTTTGTATCCTAAACTATGCTCCATCCTCGACAATGTTCCATGTGCTGATGAGAAGAAAGTGCATTCTCTGTGGTTGGATGAAGTGTTCTGTTCATGTCTGTTAGGTCCATTTCTCCAAAGTGCATTAAATCCAATGTTTCTCTGTTAATTTTCTGTCTAGATGACCTGTCTAATGTTGACAGTGGGATGTCGAAGTCCCCCACTATCATTATATTGGAATCTTTTTCTCCTTTTAGATCTAATAATATTTGCTTCGAATATCTGGGTGCTCCAGTGTTGGGTGCCTATATGTTTAGAATTGCTATATCCTCTTGCTGAATTGATACCTTTATCGTTATATAATGACCCTGTCTCTTTTTACTATTTTGTCTTAAAGTCTGTTTTATCTCATATAAGTGTAGCTATTCCTGCTCATTTTGGTATCCACTTATAAGGATTATCTTTTTCCATCCCTTTATTTTCCATCTATATGTGTCTTTACAAGTGAAGTGAGGTTCTTACACATATGATATGGTTGGTTCATTTTTTTTATTAATATCTATTCAGCCAGTTTATCTCTTTTAGGTGGAAAAGTCAATCCATTTACCTTCAAGGTTATTATTGCTATGTGAGGGCTTATTTCTGTCATTTTATTAATAAATCCCTGGTTGTTTGTATATTCTTTGTTCCTTTCTCTCTTATTGTTTATCATTGTGGTTTGATGGTTTTCTATGATGTTAATATTTGATTCGTTTCTCTTCCTTGTGTGTTTGCTTTACCAGCGTGTTTGATCATTTCATTTTTTTACGATGGTAGATATCATTCTTTCACTTTCACATGTAGGACTTCCTTAAGCATCTCTTGTAGGGCTGGTCTAGCAGTGATCGATTCCCTCAGCTTTTGCTTGTCTGGGAAATATTTTAAGTCTCCTTCATTTATAAAGGATAACTTTGCTGGGCATAGTATTTTTGATTAGCAGGGTTGTTTTTCTTTGAATATTTTGAATATATTATGCCATTCTCTCCTGGTCTGTAAGGATTCTACTGAGAAATCCACCGTTAGTCTGATTGGGGTTCCCTTATCAATGACTATACAGTTTTCTCTTCCTGCTTTTAAAATTCTCTTTGTCTTTGATTTTGACAGTTTGACTATAATGTGCCATGAAGAAAACTTTTTTGAATTGTATATTTTGGGGTATTTCTGAGCTTCTTGTATCTGGATGTCTAAATCTTCTGCTAGACTTGGGAAGTTTTCAGCTATTGTTTTGTTAAATCAGTTTTCTATCACTTTCATTTTCTGCTGCCTTCTGGGACACTGAAAATTTGAATATTTGGTTGCTTTGTGGTTTGCTATATGCCAAATAGGATTTGTATATTCTCTTTTATTCTTTATTTTTGTCTGACTGGGTTAGTACAAAAGATTTGTCTTCAAGTTTAGAAATTATTTATTTTGCTTGATCTAGTCTATTGTTGAAGCTTTTGAATGTGTTTTGTATTTCATTCAATCATTTAATTCTAGAGTTTTTATTTGGTTCTTTTTATGATATCTATCTCTTCAGTAAATTTCTCATTCATATCCTGAATTGTTTTTCTGATTTCTTTGTGTTTTCTTGTTTCTCTTGCACCTCACTGAGCTTTGCTAATATAATTATTTTAATTTCTTCTTTAGAATTTCATAAATTTATATTTGATTGGGATGTGTTGCTAGATAATTACTGTGTTCCTTTGAAGGTGTCTTATTTCTTCTCATTTTCATGTTTCTTATATTCTTCCATTGGTATCTACACATGTCATATAAGTTATTTGTTCCAACTTTTTGAATTTGCTTTCATAGGAGAGAACTTTTTCATAAATATATATCTATGGTGTTGACTGAATAGGGCAATTTACCTTTGATTCTGGGTGTGTGCAATAGTATAGTCTACATATTATTTCTTCAGCTGTAAGCAGCATTAGTAGTATACGTAATTTCTTCAGTGGTTTAGGGTGCACTTGTTAGTGGAGGCTGTGGTTAAATTTTGTGGGGGATGGGGATGTCAGGTGAGTCACTCCTTGGGCTCCAGTAGTGAAAGCATCAGACCAAGTGTGCTTGTCCTTGTGACCCAGGGTGGCATACACTGGAATCAGTGTTAGAAGGTCCAGGCTAGTGAATTCTTGAGCCTCCAGGCAGGTTGCTTGAGTACCAGCAGTGGGCTAGGTTAGCAGGCAAGTCCTTGGGTCACTGAGCAGTGGGAATGGCATAGGCAATGGCAATGGCAGTGGCAGGATAACCCTCTGGCTTCCAAGCAGTGTGCACTGGTGTTGGCAGTAGCTGCAGTGGAGTGCATGGTCCAGTACCTATGCCTGCAGGTGGCAGATGTGGGTGGGTTCCAGCTGTGGTGGTAGCTTCAGTTTTGGTGCACCTGTCCTTAGGCCTTTGGTTAGAGTATGCTGCTGGTGCCAGTGGTGGTGGATAGGGCAGGGAAATTCCTAGGACCTGGATGGCAGGCTTGGGCACTGGGTGGGGAGTGGTGGCGCCAGGCCAGTAGTGCCCCCTAGTGGTGTATGTGGGAACCCGGTGTGGTAGGCAAGAGCAGAATGATTCCCAGGTTCCTGGCGGAATGCTTTGGTGGGGATATCAGTGTTTGCACTGTGATCCTACTTCTGGGGAAGTCTGTGTTGCTTTCAGTAGCAGCAGCCATAAACAAGTGCCTGGGGAGTATGCAATTCAGCCCCAAGGGGTGGCTATAAACCAGGTGGCTTTTCCTTAGTGTGCTTTTAAATGCATGGCAGCCCTGCCACTGGGGTAGCTGGGTTGCTGCCCATGGCTTATGCTTGAACTCTGGAAGCAGCAGCCAGCAGCAGCACCTGGCTGTAGGTAGGGAATTTCACTGGGGCTCCAGGGATGTGAAGATACAGGGCTGTTGGGCCACAGGGCAGGGTGCAGTCTGGTGGGGACTGGGCTCTCAAAATGGCACCCTGCTGTAGTTGCTTAGGACTCAGTGGGTGTGTGGGACCTGGTGGGAGCTCCCTCTCTGGAGCAATGCCATCACACAGTCTCCAGACAGATCCCTACATAAGTCTCAGGACCCATATGGGTCGAGGGGCTCTCCTGTGGCTAAGTTTGCAGAGGTCCACAGTGGGAACGTAGACTGCTAGAGGTCACTCACTTATACTTTTCCCACACTGGGGAGCCTCTCCAGGTTTCTAGCCCATCCCAGCCAAGCAGGTTACCTCACTTTTATTTCCTTCCTTGCTTTAGATCACTTCTGTGTTGAATTTTAGCATTCTCTCTTAGGTGATCTATTCGTGTGTGATTATCTACTCACTATTTTGGTTCTTCTTTGTGGAGGAGATGAATACCAGATTCCTCTAGTCAACCATCTTCTTTTTTTTGAGATAGGGTCCTGCTCTGTTACCCAGGATGGAGTGTAGTGGTATGATCAAGGCTCACTGCAGCCTCCACTTCCCAGACTCAAGCAATCTTCCCACCTCAACTTACTGAGTAGCTGGGACCACAGGCACATACTACCATGACCAGCTATTTTTTAAAAAAATTCTGTGAGATGGGGATCTCACTATATTGCCCAGGCTGCCCTCAAACTCCTGTACTCAAGCGATCCTCCCACAATCAGCCTCCCAAAGTGCTGGAATTACAGGCATGAGCCACCATGCCTGGCCTAAGGAACCATCTTGAAGCCCATTGATAAGGGAGCTCTTATATGGTCTTGGTGGGAATGTAAATAAGGATAGCCACTATGGAAAACAGTATGGAGATTTCTTAAAACACTAAAAATATAACTACTATATGGTCCAGTGATCTCACTACTGGGAATTTATCCAACAGAAGAGAAATCAATATATCAAAGGGATACCTGCACTCCCATGTTTATTGCAGTATTCACAATAGTAAAGATCCATATCAATCTAAGTGGATAAAGAAAATATGGCACATATACCATGGAATACTATGCAGCCACAAAAAGAATGAAATCACATCATTTGCAGCAACGGGGATGGAACTGGAAATCATTACGTTAAGTGAAATAAGCTAGGAGCAAAAGACAAACTTTGTATGTTCTCATTTAGGGGAGCTTAAAAAGTTGATCTCATGGAAGTAGAGTAAAATGATAGATACCAGAGGTTTGGAAGGGTGTGGAAGGGGGATGAGGAGGGTTTGGTTAATAATGGGTACAAACATACATCTAGATAGAAGAAATAAGTTCTAATGTTCAATAGCAGAGTAGGGTGACTATAATTAACAACAATATATTGTATATTTCAAAATAGCTGGAAGAGAGGACTTGAAATATTCCTAACACACAGAAATGATCAATACTCGAGGTGATAGATACTCCAAATACCCTGACTTAATCATTACACATTCTATGCATGTAACAAAGTGTTACATGTACCCCATCAATATGTATATTATGTATCAATAAAAATAGTGTCATGAAGGCAGGGATTTTGTCCTGGTCATAGATGTATACCCAACACCTAGCACAGTACTTGAAACATAGTGGGTGCTCAATAAATATTTGTTCAGTTCACTAAACAACTCTGAGTTCTAACAATGACTCTGTCATTAACTGGCAACTCTGTGGCTTTGGGCAAGTTCTTTCCTCCCCCTTGAGCCTCGGTTGTACCATCTAGAAAATGATGGTGTGGAACTAAACTATCTCTAAGGTACTTATCAGCTTCATAATGCAATCAATGATTTTATAAATTGACATATATTGCAGCCATTTTCCAAAAGCAGAAAATAAGGGAGCAGGCATCATCATCGTCACTATTCTCTATCACACAATAAGTATTTATTCAGACCCACCATCTGCCATGCTGTATGCTAGTTGTTGAGAATACAGCAATTAATTTAAAAAACACACCCTTCCCTCAAGGAGATGGTAATCTAATTAGGAAATATTCTATATACATGCAAATCAAAATAACAATACAAAGTACAATGCTCAGTGCCAAATGAGTTGAAATCATAATGATAAACAATTTTGATAGCTAAAATTTATTGAGATCTTACTATATACCAGGAATTAATCTAAAAAATTTACTTATATTAACTTATATAAGCCTCACAACAAACCCATGGGAAATATACTATTATTACAACCCTAGGAAACAGGTACTGGTACTACTGTATCTATTAATGGATAGTAAGTGCTACTGGCATGCAGAAGATCTCACAGAGGACTGAGTACAGGCAGTCTTGAAGGAAACAGGAGCTGAGCTGAGCCCCAAATGAAGGATGGAATTTAGATAATCAAAGAAGAAAGAAAGAGACCATTTCAAAAAGGAACAACTTGAGCCAACACATTGAAAGGGAAATGTATATTGCAAATTCAGGGCATAAGAAGTTGAGTGATTTCACTGGACTAGAGTTGCCTGGTAAAACTATCGAAAGATAAGTTTCAAAAGAAAGGTGACAACTGATTTGTGGAGGAGTTTAAATGTCATGCTAAGGAATGTGGCCCTGTTCTTGTATATATTGGGGCTCCAATGAAATTTTTGAGAGTGGAGTTTCATGATCAAAATTACCATCTATGAAGATTAATGTGGCTATGAAGAAACCACTAAAACCTAGGTGTGAAGTGATAACGGTTCATATTTGGGTTGTTACAGTAGGAGACAAAGAAATTAGGGCTGTAACAGAAACTACAGAAAGAATTAACTATAATCAGTGACTGATTTGATTTTAGATGATGATACGGTTAGGCTTTGTGTCCCCACCCAAATCTCATCTTGAATTGTAATCTCCATAATCCCCACATGCCAGGGGAGAGACCAGGTGGAGATAATTGAATCTTGGGGGCAGTTTCCTCCATGCTGTTCGCATGATAGTGAGTTCTCACAAGATCTGATGGTTTTATAAGAGGCTCTTTCCCCTTCACTCAGCACTTCTCCTTCCTGCAGTCTTGTGAAGATGTCTTGCTTCCCCTTCTACCATGACTGGAAGTTTCCTGAGGCATCCCCAGCCATGCTGAACTGTGAGTCAACTAAACCTCTTACCTTTATAAATTACCCAGTTTAAGGCAGTTCTTTATAGCAGTATGAAAATGGACTAATACAGATGACAAGATGCATATGACAAAGATGACCCCAGTTTTCCAGTTTTGGGTATTTTTACAGAAACGGGTAAGTCTTGAGGAGTGGGAGATAAAAACTTATAGAACAACTTTAGAAACATTTATAAATAACTTAACCATCATCCTGAGAAGACTTACAGTAATATAAATGTCAAGTTAACTCTGACTTAAATTCAACAGAATAAAGAAAATACTGACTGCATTATCAGGTGCTCATGAGACATTAAATGATAACTTTGCTATAACCATTTAGAAAGGAAGAGAAGTCACACTTCATGAAGGGTTCTTATTTTCCACTCAGCTAAAAATTGTGAAAAGCTACTTGAACTTATACAGAGCACATTGGTAAATGAGAATATTTATTAATGCATGGTATGATGGATATCCTCCATTTGCCCATTTTCACTCTCCACCCTTTGCTTTGCTCCTGCCTGAGAAGCTCACCTATATGGATCTTATCAATTGGCTTCTTTCTCTATGGCTTCTGAATGGACTTGGCCAATTGTGAGCCCAGTAAGGGATCAGAGGGAGGGAGAAAATAAAGTCAGAGTATTTAATCCTAAGGTTGTTCTGGCCTGGCTGTGCCCCTAATCCAAAAGACACTGCCCTTCTCAAGTCAGCCTCCCTTACATGACTCTCTCCTTCTTGGTGCCAGTAACTGCTCCCTCTTCTTGTCCCTTCAGCTTAGAAATAGTAATAGCTGCTTGTGCTATTACTATGCTATACCTAGTATCCCTTATGCCCACACCTCTGTAAATAGTTTCTTTATGAATAGATCCTCTTCAAATTATTCTAATCTAAATGTATTACATCTTTTCTATTAGCACATTCTGACTGACACACTTGAAAAGTGGGTTTTACATATATACTACATAGTCTAGGTCAATGTAGTATCATGGTAAAGAGCTTGGGTTCTAGGGTCAGCCTAACCTATCTTTGAGTCACAGATCTGCCATTTGCTAACCTATGTGGCTTTGGGCAATGTTTTTGATCTGTGAATCACAGTTTCTTCCTCTGCAAAAATGGGAATAACAATAGTATTTTCCTCAAAGTGCTGTTATAAGGATTAAATGAGACAGTATATGTAAAGTGCCTGACACAGTGCTCAGCACGTATAAGTACTCGATAAATATTAATTATTCTTCTCATTCTTTTTATAGCTCATAGCATCCACAGAGGTGGGAAGTACAGTTTGAAAATTCATTAATTAGGGTCCTGTTTACAATTTTATTGTTAACCATAATTGCATGCTTAAAATAGTCTCCTGACTTCATTCAAGTAATTATAGCCTGTCAGTAAATGATGGGTTTAAATTTCTGCACATATGCTAGAATTTTACGCATCTTGCACTTCACAGCAGGGACCCAGTCTTAGTCGACACTTTCTTGCTCTGACATCTGCACTCAATACGTAGGGTCTTACTTAAGCAAAGACATAATTGTCCTTCAAAATAAAAGTGTAAACAGGATTGTGGATCTCAGATTTGTTAACTTCCTCCCTTACTGTGAACATTCTAGTTACACTATCTGCACTGGACTGTCAGCATTGCAGAAAGTCAGCAAGTTGTTATACAAAATAAGAAACTAGAACTCCAAGAAACTGAGGCAAAGCTACAGGTGAAGGGAAAGACCCAGGCAGAGGAGCTTACTAGCCCTGTGAAATTAACCAGGAGTGTGAGTTCAGTACAAAGTTAGAAGTCAGAAATCAAGGGCTTGGGTCGTAGAAGCCATAAAAGGATCATGGAAGTGAGAAGCAGGCAATGTATCTAATATTTAAGATATATCTATTCAATACCTACTATGTGCAATAATTCATAACAGGCAGTGAGTTAGGTCTTCGTGGGAATGTAAATAAGGATAGCCACTATGGAAAACAGTATGGAGATTTCTTAAAACACTAAAAATATAACTACTATATGATCCAGTGATCTCACTACTGGAAATTTATCCAACAGAAAAGAAATCAATATATCAAAGGGATACCTGCACTCCCATGTTTGGATATAGAAAATAAAAACAAGACAGAGATGTAAAATCCAACATCTAGGCAAACATCCTGAACCGAGTCCTTTGTAGGAAAAGGCATGAGTTCAAGTATCTGGACAAGCAACTGAGGCAGGAGACATGGAGTTCTAGCAACAAAAAGTCTTGGTAACTGAAGGCAAGTCCCCCCTTTCTAATCACGGAGTCGCTTCTGTACTTCCATCCAAGGCAAGCTTCACTCCTTGGACATGGCCACCCTCAAGCTCGCAAATGAAAGAATCTTAAAAGCTGCAGGTGACTGAATGGAAGAATAAAGTTAAAATGAGAAAGATAAATAAATTCTGGCACACATACATAAAAAGTACAAACATAAAAAGTGCATGTTGTAAGTCCTCCATAAGCCGAACAGTTTTGTTGCTTGTCTGTTTTCGCTTCTCATATTACATTATTCATAGATTGAAATACTCCAAGTCGGATAAAAATCAAATGACTTCCTCACCACCAATAAAGGGAAGAGAGATATATATGCACTGGGTTTATGAGGCTGCAAAGGGAAATGTTGGAGAGCGTCTCTATAAAACTAAGGGTAAGATTCCATTCAAGACAAAGGAAAACAGACACATGCTGAGGATGAAAGAAAACAGCAACAAAATGAAAACAGAAAAATGAAACAAACAGAAGGGAAAGTTAGCTTCGGGGTATGTTGTAACCACCCAGCCCAACACTCTATCACTATCCTTGGAAGAACCGTGCTATGGGAGGAGAAGAGGCGGGAAGCAATTAAAAGATGTGGCCAGATCCTAAAACAAGCTTTCACAATATTAAAGGGTACCAGCTGCTTTTCTTAAAACTCCAATAGACAAAACTGTGAAATTACCTGGCCAAAAATGGGGTTCTATTATACAAATTGGAAAAGAATTTTACTTTTTCTCAAATATAATGATTTCATCAAATACACTTCATTACCTAATCATTTGTATCAAAAGGCTTGAGAAAAATAAATGATCTAATATTTTGTCCGGGAATGAAAACCATGTATTTTACATTATATACAATTTTCAAAATAAATTTGCCCTTGTCTTGCCCTTGAATATACAATTCCATCATGTATTCTTGGCAGCCAAGATTGATTCATGACTTAGGTTGGATTCCTCCCAGAAGCTGACGCTGACACAAGAATGTGAGTGCAAGTGGTGTATGTGGGAGATGATCCCAGAAAGCACTGGTAGAAAAACAGGGAAATGTGGCAGGTTAGAAAAGGAAGCCTATACAGGGTGCAATACTGAACAGGTCACCACTGAGTAACTGGTATTCTATCCCACTAGAGAAGTCTGCGAGAGAGTATAAAACACCTCAGAGCTATCCCAATAGAAGGACCAGGAGCTGGGAGTATTTATCTCTCAATTCCCCCCAGTACTTAGGTGAAGGCCGCTTCACTTGGGGGAGGGGGTATATTAACTCCAGCATAGATCCTACAGGCTCCAGAGACCAGAGAAAGCACACAGCTAATGAGTTGCAGGTGCTTGCAGTTAAAAGCTGTCAGATGGGTGTACACAGAAATGGTGAGGGCCCAGGAGATATGGGTGTGGCCACAACAGTATCTGCTGCAACACACAACTTCTTCCAACTACCTGAAGGATGAAGGAATAAGTTCAATGGCATTTCAAGGCATCTTCCAACTTTATAATTCTTTGATTATGTAAAGAAAACATGTAAAAGTGTTCTAATTACTATAATATAAAAATATACATGAACACCTGATGATTTAAGTTTAAGAAGGCAAGGACCATGAGTATCTGGTTCAGTACTATAGCCCCTTGTTTGCACTGTGCCCGTGCTGTGTCTGGCACATAGAAAGCTTTCTAATCAGTCAATGTTTGTTGAACAAATGAGTAAGTAGGTAATTATAATCAAAAGGTACGCAATTCAGTTCACATTTACACTTCTCTGGTCAACTAGTCATCTACAGCCTTTTGTTTATTTGAACAGAAGCCTCTTCTCTAACAAAGGTCAGCAAATATTCTACAGAATCAGTTTTCAGTGAGGGAAAGAGTTCCTCTTTAAGCTAACAAATGACTTCATTTTACAATAGCACGACAGACAGGTTCTTAATTAATTTGCTAATAGTTTTTCCCTATGTATGGTTATTAACTCTAGATGAATCTTTAGCCATGACACAATGTGTGCATATATCTATGCCACATACAGATGTATTTGCATACATATGAATAAAAGGAAGACCATACAAATGGTTGACTTTATATATATCAATTGTATTTTATGGAACACTCCCAGGTTTTGACAATTGGTTTAGCACAATTTAGCTACAAGTGCTTAAAATATTCTTGAATATGAAGAAGTAAAATGCTGCCTTTCCACAAGATGCAGGAAGAAAGTTCGCAAGAAAAATCAGGGCAATTTTGCATAGCAACTTCTATATTTACATATCAACAATCTATTTAATGAGGAACATCAAAAATAGCAGATCAAGTAAGTCCAGAAGCTGCAAACACAACGCATCCTGCAAAATTCAAAACAATAGCAGTTGAGCAAGCCTGACCTGTGTTTAAATATTGGAAAAATACAATGTTGCTTTAAAGCAAAACAAAGCAAAACAAATCTCCTGGCTTGCCTTCTTCAAACTAGAAGAACTGTATGCTGATCACATGGGATGTGGTCCTTATCTGCAAATCTCAGCTATGCTAGTGAACTCAGTTCTCTTCTGAAGTACTGTCCTGGTCCTGTCAGTGAGTCAATTAGTCATCAGTGAACAAGTACCCACTGTGAGCTGAACACAGAAATAAACATTATTGAGGGGCAACAAAAGAAACAAGACCCAATTTCTGTCCTTGAAGAGTGAGGACCTGGTTGCTTACATAGAACACACATTTTAAAATAATAATAATAACCCTTAAAAATGCTTACAAAGAAACATCAAGCAGTGCCAATTAAGAGTGGAGAGAGGAAGAGTAAAAGAGATTGTGGATGAAGTCTAAAAACCCATAAAGTGGGCGGAGGGGAAAATAAATACTTATTGGCAAATCTTAAAATAGTTGTATTAGCGAAAGAGTTACAAACCAGTTGTGTCAGATGGAAGCACTTTGTAGATTATCTAGCCAGCCAGTATGTTTTAAAAATGTGTATTTGAATGACTGTAAGTTCTATCATGCCCTATTCATACCAACCCTGATAGTTTCACACATTTATAGTCAGTTGCTTGCCTGCCCAGTGAAACCATTTAAATTTGCTCTCCCTGAGTTACAGGGGAAAAAATATCATTTAGTAACTTGCTACTAAAGCATGGTCCATGGATCAGCAGCATCAGCATCAGCATCAGCATGATCTGGGAGTTTGTTAGACATGTAACCTCTCTTTAAAGTTCATATGGAACCAAAAAAGAGCCCGCATTGCCAAGACAATCCTAAGCAAAAAGAACAAAGCTGGAGGCATCACACTACCTGACTTCAAACTATACTACAAGGCTATAGTAACCAAAACAGCATGGTACTGGTACCAAAACAGAGATATAGACCAATGGAACAGAACAGAGCCCTCAGAAATAATACCACACATCTACAACCATCTGATCTTTGACAAACCGGATAAAAACAAGAAATGGGGCAAGGATTCCCTATTTAATAAATGGTGCTGGGAAAACTGGCTAGCCATATGTAGAAAGCTGAAACTGGATCCTTTCCTTACACCTTATACGAAAAATTAATTCAAGATGGATTAAAGACTTAAATGTTAGACCTAAAACCATAAAAACCCTAGAAGAAAACCTAGGCAATACCATCCAGGACATAAGCATGGCAAGGACTTCAAGACTAAAACACCAAAAGCAATGGCAACGAAAGCCAAAATTGACAAATGGGATCTAATTAAACTAAAGAGCTTCTGCGCAGCAAAAGAAACCACCATCAGAGTGAACAGGCAACCTATAGAATGGGAGAAAATTTTTGCAATCTACCCATCTGACAAAGGGCTAATATCCGAATCTACAAAGAACTTAAACAAATTTACAAGAAAAAAATCAAACAACCCATCAAAAAGTGGGCAAAGGACATGAACAGACATTTCTCAAAAGAAGACATTTATGCAGCCAACAGACACATGAAAAAATGCTCATCATCACTGGCCATCAGAGAAATGCAGATCAAAACCACAATGAGATAGCATCTCACACCAGTTAGAATGGCGATCATTAAAAAGTCAGGAAACAACAGATGCTGGAGAGGATGTGGAGAAATAGGAACACTCTTACACTGTTGGTGGGACTGTAAACTAGTTCAACCATTGTAGAAGACAGTGTGGAGATTCCTCAAGGATCTAGAACTAGAAATACCATTTGACCCAGCTATCCTATTACTGGGTATATACCCAAAGGATTATAAATCATGCTACTATAAAAACATATGCACACATATGTTTATTGTGGTACTATTCACAATAGCAAAGACTTGGAACCAACCCAAATGTCCATCAATGATAGACTGGATTAAGAAAATGTGGCACATATACACCATGGAATACTATGCAGCCATAATAAACGATGAGTTCGTGTCCTTTGTAGGGACATGGATGAAGCTGGAAACCATCATTCTGAGCAAACTATCGCAAGGACAGAAAACCAGACACCGCATGTTCTCACTCATAGGTGGGAATTGAACAGTGAGAACACTTGGACACAGGGTGGGGAACATCACACACTGGGGCCTGTCGTGGGGTGGGGGGAGGGGGGAGGGAGAGCATTAGGAGGAATACCTAATGTAAATGAGGAGTTAATGGGTGCAGCACACCAAGATGGCACATGTATACATATGTACCAAACCTGCACGTTGTGCACATGTACCCTAGAACTTAAAGTATAATAATAATAAAAATTTTTAAAAAATTAAAAAAAAGAAATGCAGCCTCTCAGGCATCACCACAGACCTACTGAATTAGAATGTTAATTTTAACAGATTCCAGTTGATTTCTATGCATGCTAAAGTTTGAGAACCACTGGTTTAGTTTAGCACACATGAAAGAAAGCCCTACTTCAGCCAAGAGTAATTAGAAATAGGGACTGTGCTACTCACCAAGTGATAGGGTAAAAATAAACTTCAAAAAAATTGAGATCAGTCAAAAGGTAAACTAAATACAAACAAAACATATCTTTTAAAGCAGTGGTTTTCAAACATCAGTGTCCATCAGAATTACTTGAAGTACTTGCAGACTCTGGCTGGACCCTGACTGAGACTCTGATTGAGGAGATGTGGGATGGGGCCTTTCAAATAGGCACTTACAGGTGAGGCTAATTGCTATAGATTGAATTGTGTCCTCATAAAATTCATACACTGATACTCTAACCACCAGTGTGACTGTATTTGGAGTGAGGCATTTAGGAGGTAATTAATATTAAACAAAGTCAGAAAAGTGGGGCCTAATGCCATAGAATTGGTGGCCTTGCAAGAGGAAAAGAGAAAATGCTCTCTTTCTCTACTCCTCCCTCCCTCCATCTCTCCCTCTCTCTCTCCATTCCTCTCCCCATCCCCTGGCCTTCACTCTTTCCCTGTCTTCCTCTTCCCCTTTCCCTCTCCCCATCTTTTTCCCAGTCCCACCCTCTCTCTCTTCCACTCTTCCTCTCTTCCTTCCCTCTCCTCCCCCTTTCTCCTCTTATCATCTCCCTCCCTTCCACTTCCCACTCCTCTTTTCTCACTCCTTCTTTTCATTCCCCCCTCCCTCTCCATGCTCCATGCTCTATATGCACTCAAAGGAAAGGCCATATCAGGACAAAGTGGCTATCTGCAAGCCAGGAAGAGGGCCCTCAGCATAAACAGATGATGCCAGCACCCTGATCTTGTACTTCCCAGCCTCTAGAACTGTAAGCAAGCACATTTCTGTTGTTTAAGCTACCCAGCCCATGGTATTTTTTCTAGCATCCCAAGCTGTCTAACACAACGAGGCAGGTCATCCCCTAACCTCACTTTTTCCTGGACAGACCTCCCTATATCCTGGGCCTCCTAACAAACATGGATTACTTCTGCTACTACTATTTTCTACCCCAGCGCCTCTGAAGGTTTCAGTGGCAAAGCCCAGGAAAAGTACATCATCATACTCTCAAATGAAAGGGGCAGGAAAGCATGAGGGATCAGTTGTTATTGTCAGAATGGGGTGGCCCAAGAAGCCTGGGAAGGCAATTGTGATGTTGAAGATGGGACAGAGTTTCCACAGGCAAAGATGGAGAAGAAGGAGAGTCTAGGCTGGTTCCTCTTCCTTCCCCCAAGTGCAATTGTCAGGTGGCTGGCATTTTGTCTCATTTTCCACTCTAGAATTCAGCCCTAACAAAACCTCCAATCTTCATCTCTAAACATGATTACCATGGTGGTTGAAGTCACAGCTAAGACTAGCGTAGGTAATTTTGTTGTTGTTTTTTCATGGGTTTCCTACCTTTTTTCAACCTCAGTTCAAGTGTAAACATTCCAAGTACAAACTCTGGGTCCCTACCACAACCTCCAGTCAAGCTACTCCATCTTAGTACTCCAACTCTCCCTTGCACTCCAGCCATGATATCTCCCCATATTTCCTATCCCTATAGCAAAAGAAGAGGCCACATCTGTTGGGATTGGAGCAAATGGATCAGAGAAGGCTGGGACTCTAGGGATAAGCAAGATTTCCATAGTCAGAGATAGAGGGAAGGTAATTCCCAGTAAGAGCAAAGACATACTGTAAAATACTGTCTTTCAAACTTTATTATACCTCAGTGTCACCTGGAAAGCCAGTTATAATTAAGATTTGGGGGAAGCCATTCTAATTCAGTAGGTCTGAGGCCCAGGAATCTGCATTTTAACCACCATTTTTTAGCTTACTCAGGTGGAGGCAATCAAAATATCACACTTTGACAACAACTATTTGGATCCACTGGTTCAGTAGCACAATCCTTCACACAGATGTGACATCATATATCTGAGTTCTAGTCTAAATGGGAGAAGTGAGCTCTTTCCTTGCGATGGACAAGGACAAGGGAGAATAAACAGTCCTCCAAAGTATTTTAAAATAAAGGATGAAATTTGCTAGAGGAGAGGCCTGACATTGGAGTTTCAGGGACTGTAACCACGCATTTCAGATTTCCAACTTCTTCCCTAACACCTAAAAGCAGAACATGCTTTTAGTTTCCTGCCAGTGACCTGTTATTTTGCCCCCTCTACAACAGTTTTTAAGTTGCTTTTCCTATCTGAGTCCATATTTTGCTTCAGGTCAGAAAACCTCCACATCACCACCAGATGTTTCTTAAAAAAAAAAAAAAAAAAAAAGGTCTCAACAATACTTCTTCTTTGCTTAATATTTTTATGATAATTGTTCCCTAACTTCTGTGTACACTATTTAAAGAGCTTATTTTTAAAATGCAGATTCTTGGGCCTGACATCTGTTCCCCCCCCCGCCCCACCCACACACACACATTTTAATATTTTAATTCTGTAGATTAAGGGTATGGCCCAGGAATATGCATTGTAACAAGCTCCCCAGGTAATTCTGATGCAAACTCTGGATAGATGCTCATAAATTTATGTAGGATCTATCCCAGGAACAATTTGCACTGCTCACTGGGGCCTTTAAGAGATACCATTCAACTCTTAGGACTGTCAAGCTCTGCAGTGGATGCGTGGGAGAAATGTTTGGGGCCTGAGAATCTTCCCGAGTTTGGGAAATCCCACAGGCTTCGAGGTTCCTGACCAGAGGAGGAATATGATAAAAACACAAAGTGATTATTTGAAAAACTACATACAAGCACAACCGTAGAGGAGATGGGATTAGAGACTGAGAAGAACTAAGCCAAAGGTTGAGGAGCTTCACAAATAAACTCAATGAGTCTCCTAATAGAGTAACTTCATTTTGTTTTTTGTGTATTTCTTTTTTGATTGTTTGGTTTTGGCCTTGAAAAACTTTAATGAAAGTGGAATCCTGGAAAAATATGGCAAAAGAGAAAACAAAAAACAAAAACAAAAGGCTTCCTCAGAAAAGGAATGAATGGATCTCAGGAATTAGCTGCTTTGTGCAAATCTAGGCTCAGTGTATGCAACCTTGCTTCATTTTCCTGCTGCACTTTTAAGTCAGAGGAGAAAAAGTGTTTAGAACAGAAAAGCAAAAAGAAAGGACAAGCAAGAAGCAAAGCAGAAAATACATTCAGTGCCTAGGGGATTGGCACGGGGGTGGGGTTGGGGAAAGGTGGGGAGAAACAGACGAGAATTTAGAGCAGGATTTTTTTTTTAATTGAGTAAGGAAATAATTCCACAGCACTAAGAGCCACATCACACTAGAGACTGAGCAGAGCAGCCCAGACCAATAACGCATGCCATATGGTGAGTTAGAAGCCAAGTGTGCCTGGCGCCCTCAGCTCAGAGAAAAGTCTACCTTTCAGAAGCTGATAATTTTGCCGACCACCTGGGGTTCTTTCACTGTGGCATCCCTGGGGACATGAGACTGCATTGTTTCCCCCAGCAAAACCTGGTAGATATGTCAAGCATAGGAGGATTTTTCAAACTACATGTTTCAGTGCAGCCAATAATGAGGCAGTCAGTGTGCTTAAAAGGAAGAGTTTGCACTGATTTCAGTCATTGGGCCAGTAAAACGACTTTATTAGAAATTATCATTAATAACACCTAATGTCAGGGATTTTCATGATGGCCCTGCTGATATCCCACATCGCTATCTTAGATTTTTTACTACTGTACTTCAATAGATGAGGTGTAGAACCTTGCTCTGGACTTATTCTTCTATTTTCATGTGGGCACACACGCTTCCCTCACACACACTGAGCCCCCACAGTAAAACTCCCGTGTCCTATGTGCCATTAACTCAGGCACATGGATGAGTGACTGCTAATCTGATAACCATGTCCAGCCTACTGTGTTAATGAAAACGAATATCCTAATGATCATATAAAAATGTGTCAGGTTGGTAGCATAGTGGTTAGGAGTCAACTACAGCTGGTTTCTAATGCTGGCTCTATCAGCTATTAGCTGCCTGACCTTGAGATGGTCATTAAATCACTGTGTGCCTCCATTTGATTTCATCTGCAAATCAGAAGTTTTGTCAGGGGATTTGCCAGTATTCAATGAGATCATGTATGTCTAGCATTCAGCACAGAGCCTATCTTATAACAAATGTCCAAATGTTTTTAGCCATTTTGATGTTGCTGCTGATTCTACTCCTCTCCAGGACTGTTCAGATTTCAATAGGGAAGTTCTAGAGACACGTTAGCAACAGTCATCCTGGGTATTTATGAAGGAGTAGGAAGGGGAGTTGAGCTTGGGGCCTTATTAATTCCAGCACAACCAGGGCAGAACTCATCAGATTTCCTGAATCGTTCCTCACTGATGGCTTGGACCATGCCTCTTAGTGTTTCCATTTCTGGTCCACAAAATGGGATTGTACTGAGGCCAAATTGTCTCCTCTATATGAAAGGAAAGAAAGGGGGCCTAAAGAAAATACGAGGTGGGACTGCTGTAGTCCTTTGTATTCCTCAGTGTGCTATTTTTGGCACTCTGTCCTCACAGTATGTCTCTGTTTTTCATTCCTTGCCAGAACCAAATTCCAATTAGGAGTTCATCAACAGTAGGAATTCTGCCGCAGAGAATAAAATAATTGTGACATGTTTGTTTTAAAGCTGATTTTTAGTTAATAAAACATCTGTTGGGGATAACTGGTGCCTTACAAAAATTCTTTTATAAATAAATCAGGAAGTTGACAGGTCCAAAAGCAATATCTATATATAGACAATACTAATGATAGAGAGTATATATATATATATATACACACACACACACACACATACATACACATTTCAGACTACATGTACAGCAGCTGATTAGGTATCTAATTAAACTTCTACTCGGGGCAGTCAGGAAATGTCCTAAACCTCATTTATCAATGAGATAAACTGGAAAAGACTAGTGCAATAGAAGGTATCACATGTGCAACATTAATAAACAAGCAAACTATAACCACACAGGGACAAAAATTCAATAGGGACTCCAAAGGACTCTATCTTCTAGAGTGAAGAAATTATACCCTTAAGATCAATGGCCTTTTCAAGCAAAAGGAAAAAATAATAATTTAATACATAGAAACAGAGAGTAGAATGTTAGTTACCAGGGGAAGGAGGTTGGGGAGATATAGGTCAAAAGGTGCAACGTCTAGGAATGTAATGTACAGCATGAGGACTATAGTTAATAATATTGTATTGTATAGTGAAAATTTCCTGAGGGTGGATTTTAGGTACTTTTACCACACGCGTACACACACACACACACACACACACACACCCCTACCCCTTCCCACACACACAAGCTAACTATATGAGACCAGAGATATGTTAATTTTTTTGACTGTAGTAATTATTTTACTATGTACAGTCATGCATCACTTAATGATGGGGATTTCATCATTGTGAAAACATCATGGAGTGTACTTACACAAACCTAGGTATAGCCTAAGACACACTTAGGCTATATGGTATAGCCTATTGCTCCAAGGCTACAAACCTGTACAGCATGTTACTGTACTGAAAACTGTAGACAATTGTAACACAATGCTAAGTATTTATGTGTCTAAACATATCTATACGTAGAAAAGGAACAGTGAAAATACAGCATTATAATCTTATGGGACCATCATTGTATATGTGGTCTGATGTTTGGTTGATTAAAACATCATTATGTGGTGGGGGGCTGTATATGTATATCAAAATATCATGTTATACACCTGAAATATATACAATAAAAATGTTTAAAACCCAAGATGTCGCAAGGTAGAGCACAGAAAAAAGATCTAAGCAGTGTATTAACAACTCTTAGTGAGTATTCCCCGAAGCTTCCATTTATCCCACCACCCCCATTCTAATCTTGGTTTAAGTTGATCATGATTAAATTAATCTGATCATTAAATAACGCTAATGAGAGAAGAGGTGATGATCCAGACACATTTATTTTTACCATAGCCAGGACTCATTGCCCCTATAGCCATGGCATCTAGGATCCTGGGGCAATAAATGCAAATGGAATCAGAGAACAGAGACTGACCAACCAGAATCTATGTAAGTAATATGGACACATAACAAATTCCTCATCATAAATATCAACATCCACACCTCAAGACTGTTTCAGGGAGAAAGGCTTTCACAAAGCTTTTATAGGCTCCACTTCTCCAGTCCCCTTCTCCTAAATCTGTCCCCCTCCCAGATACAACAGGCATATAACCAAAGTGGGTGGTAGTGGAAAGATCATAAGAAACAATATAAATTAGTTTGAGGCTATATCCTTCAATTTCTGCCCATGGCCCATGGTAGTCTTTGATTATATATATATACATACATTTTTTTTTTTGAGACAGTCTCGCTCTGTCACCAGGCAGGAGTGCAGTGGTGTGATCTTGGCTCACTGCAACCTCCGACTCCCTGGTTCAAGGGATTCTCCTGCCTCAGCCTCCCGAGTAGCTGGGATTACAGACATGCGCCACCATGCCCAGCTAATTTTTGTATTTTTAGTAGAGACGAGGTTTCGCCATGTTGGCCAGGATGGTCTCGATCTCCTGACCTCGTGATCTGCCCACCTCGGCCTCCCAAAGTGCCGGGATTACAGGTGTGAGCCACCACGCCCAGTCAATACTATGTTTTTTACTGTCTTATCTCATCTGTTGATTTCCGAACCAGGCCAAGACAGCACTCCTTGATAATCATGCCAAACTTCAAAAATTTTGAATTCTTGATTTTTATGTACCAGGCTTGAGAAACATACATTTTCCTCTTTTCCCACCTTTATTCTTGTTTACAGGGGTTCTATAATGGGGTCCAAGCCATGAGTGCGTGACAGGTATTTCAGCTCAATTAGATGGGGAAGGAAGAAAGAAACAAAGGAAAGCCATAGGTGGATGGTCACTCAAAATCTTTAAGACTTTCTGACAATTAGGATCCTGACTGAGAATGGGGCTGGGAGCAAAGTTTGTTTCTATACCCCCTTCCTACTTCACTGTTAATTCTATATTAATGTTTGACTTTTCTATGATTAATATTGTGATTAGCAATCATAACAATAGCATTATTAATATTAATTATTGGGATGATAATGTAGTGGTGGCCTTTGGAGAGATCTCATCTAGGTTTTTGCTTTATAATTTATCAGTAACAGGAATGGTGGATATTCTAGGAAAAGGAATACAGTACACTGCTGTGAGTTTTCTATTGTCCATCAAATAGACCCCAGTGTGGTACCTAACCAAAACAAAGTGGTGCTCTCAATTCCATGCAACTCATCAGGCATCTTGTGGGCCTTACCATGCTACCCAGCCTCAAAAGCAAATGCCAACTGAAAATCCCATCATGTTTTCTCAAAGTGACTGAGCCAATGTTTTTCTGTCAAATTTAAGAGCACACAATGTCAGCAGACAGGTCCACATTGCACCTCTGTCACTACATTTTAGACTCTCTAAGTTCCTATAAGCTCTGTGGATGTTCAGATCATGCTGTGACCCGGCTGAGGGTTGTTCCATTTGCCACAATTCTCCCATTAAGGTTTTCCCTGCCAGGCTTTCAACATGCAGACATTAACAAAAAGCAAGATCCAACTGCAGCTGTATCACCTATTGTCCCTCAACAATTGGAAACTAACACATAGTTGGCAGAGGTTTAATCTCTAGCTATGGCAACCCTGTGTGTGCCCCCAATTACCATGACCCTCAATTACTCAGAGGCCCAGCTCCCCAGGAAAGGAAAGCACGATAAGGCAGGTCCCCTTAGTGCCTTTCCCTGTGATGTGATCTCTGTGGCCCAAAAAGAGACAGAGGGATCCATCAGGAACCTAAGAGCTATTAATCTCAGGACATTCCTTCCAACCTGAAGAATGCCCCTTCACTTGTTCCTGTTATTAATGTATAGAGCTGATTCAAAACACTGTGCTTCCATGCCAAGATTTCACTTTGGGATTTCTTTATCTTTTCTAGCCTGCTCTGTGCCTTACATCAGATGGTGTGTTATGGGGGAGGGAGGAAGCAAGGAGCCAGAGAAGGGAATAATAGGGAAAGGAAAAAAGAAAGAAGAATCTATGGTTTTTGTAATGAAAGCCTGCCTTATGTCAACTAAGTAGCTCTCTCTAGCCTGCAACAAAATCTGAAATTTCAAACAGCACTTATACTTTTGACATTATTTCAATCCAACCGAGATATATAGGACATCTACTTAAAGTGAGGCACCATGCTAGACTACGTAGGAGATGTGGTCCCCAGGCTTTAAGAAGATTTAGTATACAGGGGAAATGAGAAGGACAAAAGTAACTGGGAAAGACTAGGAAATGCAATGGGTACTCTAGTAGAAGCACAAGGAAATAAAAGATATGAAAGCATAGACATTTCTTGGGAGAGCACAGGGAGTCTCCACTAGGATTTCAGAGTATTGCTGAGTGGCAGGATGCTAAGAAGCATGAGAGAAAGCACCAATACCATTTCTTGAGCTCCTTCTCCAAACTGTAAGACTTTAAAACATGTCAAATGTGGTTTCCGACCTAGCTTAACATATGGAGTCAGCACTCATCTCTGTCCCATCGTTTGAGGAGCAAAGAACACCTCCTCACCTCAAAGTCCATCCCTGACCAGGAAATTCTATAAACTGAGATAGCCTACCTAGACATGTCCCTTTCTGCTGCTTTTTTCTAGCTCCCATTTTTCCTCCAGAGGAGATAGATAGATGAAAGTCACATCAAGTACAATGCCAGAAAGGCCCTGGAGAAACCTGAGGGTCCCAGGTACCCAGGTGGAGCCGAGATGGAGACTCAGGGGAATAATAAAGGATGGATAATACCACTTGGGCCAAACTCTGCCAAATAGCCTCTGCAGGGAGCTGGTTAAGAGAAAGCTTCTGGAGTCAGGCACCCTTAGCTTTGACTCCTGACTCTGTCACTTAATCTTAGATAATTTACTTTACCTTTTTGGACATTAATTTCCTCACCTACGCAACAAAGATAATGATGCCTACTTCATAGGGATGTCCCAGTGTTTAAATGAGATAATGTTGGTATAATGCTGGGAGATCATGAATGCTCAATAAGCAGTTCACAATTTGGTTTACAGCTAACCCAGACAGTGAAGGCATATACTAATGAGGAAATGATACGTATCCACTGTGTAATAGTTAGAATTCCACGATAGTGGAGGGGGGGTGTAAAGGGGGAAAATACAAGGTTGTCTATCAGATTACAGAAATCGATTTTTTAAAAAACACTTCCAAAGGAGAATTTGAGCAGAAGGCTGGGCCTGTGGGGCAGAGAAACCTGAACAGGAGTAGTTGGAGTGTCTGACAGGAGGAGGCCTCCTAGGAGTGGTCAAAGATGGGTGATGGAGAGATCAGTGAGGTACCCTTTTCCCCTGAGTATTTGTCAGAGATGAGGACTGAGGATGAAACTTTCAGGAATGGGAGTTGTAGAATGAACACAAATCAAAAGATTACTTTGTATATATGTATGGAAGGAAGGGACTCTGAGGTTGCAGGGGGTGAGGTCTGCTGTTACAGGCTCTAATGATCATTTCACAACTTGCAGACAGATGGAAAAAGCCGAATGGAAAAGTTGGGAAGGCTGGGGAGGGTGAGGGGGTGGGACTCTATATTTCTCCTTACCCCCTTCTCTTTTTGTAATGCTATTTCTTGGTTAGTCAGGAGCACAGTATTAATGTCTTTCTATAGAAGTTTCACAAAACTTCATACCTTTGACTTCCCAAATGAGATGACTTAGGTGGCAGACTCTAGGTGTGGTTACCATAAAATTCAAAACAAAAAGATGCAACTAGTTTCAGGCAAGAGAGTTGCTATGGTCTGAATGTTTATATCCCCCCAAAATTAACATGTTGAATTCCCAATCCCCAAGGAAATGTTATTAGGATAGGGGACTTTTGAGAGGTGATTAGGCCCCAAAGAGATCCCTCACCCCTTCTGCCATGCGAAGACACAGTGAGAAGATGGCCACCTATGAACCAGAAGTGGGCCCTCAGCAGACACTGAATCTGCCATCACTTTGATCTTAGACTTCCTAGCCTCCAGAGCTATGAGACATAAATTTCTGTTGTTTAAAAGCCAAAATGTTATATTTTGTTGTAGCAGCCAGAATGGACTGAAACAATAATCTTTTAAAGCAAACAAAGCTCCACGTGAGTGAGTACAGAAAATGAGAGGAACTGAAACAGTTAGGAAAATTAGAGCAATGCCTCTGAGGTAGAGACTGAGTGTGCAGGCTCTGAGGGCAATTCCATGGCTGATGAACTGCAGCTTCTCTGCCACCAAGTCTCTCACTCCTCTATCAACTTCCTTCTTTTTCCTCCTTGGAGTTATATGTCTTGGTTAGACAGCACTGCTGTGTTAGATCATAAAGCTTCATGCCTCACACCTCCCAACCAGATGACCTTTTATGATAGACACTGACAGGAAAGCCTAAGTCAAAGCTGTGCCTAGGGGTCGCTCTGCTAACATCTAGCTAAGAACGCAGCAAAAGGGTTGCACTGGAGCAGGTGCTTTGGGGAAAATGGATTCCAATCTAAAGGAAGGAAGCAGGACTGAAACTTCTGACAAGGTATAATGCCTGTGGATGAAACCTGAATTTGCTAGCTCTGGAGAGGATCTTTGGTCTCCGAAGGAGAGAATCTAGGGAATAGAGGCTTCACTTCAATTATAGAAACACCTATCTGTTTTCCAAGGGAGCAGAATAGAAAAATGTGCTCTGCTACCTGGCTTCTCTTTTTTGTGCTTATCACTTTATGTTCATAGTGTTTCTCATAGTTGAAGGCTGAGCTTTATAGTACATATAGAATACAAGCCCACAGCTATTTCAATTGTTAGATTATTCTCTGTCAGTGCATGTTACAATGATTCCATGTCTTTTTGCTAAACTATTTTGAAATACTGTTTCATCAAGTTAAAATACTAAACATTTAGTTGTGCCATAGCATGATTTTTACTTGTTTTGTGACTCTTGTCGGATACTTAAATGATCACATGTGATGTGACAAGGAAGATACCATGGTCCAATCACCCACAAAGTAGTAGAAAAGAGATAGACAGCAAGACAAAAAGAAGCAGAAATAGCAGGGACACAATGTGGTGGGAGGTTTGAAAGGGAAAGAGATTTATTTAGGGAAATAAGCTTTAGCAGATCCATGTACCGAGTTTCCTAAGCCAGCAGGGTCAGTTTAGAATTGATCTGCAAGACAATGTTTGAATGCATTCTATACTTTCTTTTGCTCCCCACCAGCATACTATATTTTGATGATTGGTCTTTTGGCACAAGACTAGAAAATGCATAACTGTGAGGGCAGAAAGCATTGCACACATTAAACAGTGGTTGGTGCAACACACATTTAGTGTATCTCACAGCGATCTGCATTTGCTCAATTTCAACCCACTGGACTGCTAGGTAATGGGAATTGCAGCCTGAATGTCTAGGCTGGGGTAGAATAGATCCCCTGGAATGTTTTTCTAATATCTATTTATCAAGCTCCCTAACTGATGTAAAAATCCATACAGCAGAGACAGCGTCAACATTTTATTTTTCTTCCAAAGGAAAATACTTTTTTTATTTCAGGTAGCTCATCCTCTCTAGGCTGCAGACTGAATACATTCTTTTTAAGTCTAAGCATTAATTAGACAGATAAAGAAATGTAGCTCCCTTTGTTCAGAAGGAGAATTCTATTGAGCCTTTGACAATGAAGCTGCTTAAGGGACAGCCTGAGTTGCTGTTTCTGCAGAGTTTCTGTAGAAGGAAGATAAAGAGGCTCACTAGTGGAGGACTCTGTCTTTGTGCCATCTTCTTGCTGCTT
The DNA here is from genome assembly GCF_000001405.40 of Homo sapiens. Lineage (NCBI taxonomy): Eukaryota > Metazoa > Chordata > Mammalia > Primates > Hominidae > Homo > Homo sapiens. The sequence continues at coordinate 129,015,141 of NC_000023.11, forward strand.
CTTCTGGGCTCCAGTGGGAAGTAGAGCCCTAAAAAGTAAATAAAAGGTCCATGAAGGCCAAAATGAATCCTGTGACTTAAAGCCAGAAACCAGAATGCACCACTGGCGCACCTAATAGCCTCAGAAAGTGTTTGAGTGGTTGTTCCCATCTTACGCCCTGCTACTTCCCACTAGCATCAGATGACAGATTATGGTGAGCTCACAAAAAAGCCCCTAAGGAACCCAGCCAAGATAGGTTTCTTACAGGTACAGAAGGCTCCTTGAGGCCACACTACCAGTTTACCAGGTGCTTGGGAGGGGGAGGTTCATTTTGCGCATCCACAGTTTGCTTTAAAAACTGTCTTATGTAACAGGAGAGAAGCCATAAACACCAGCACTCTCAAGGTCACCTCCACTGAATGCAGGGCTTGGGGAACACTGTATAACTCCTGAAAAGGTGCCAAGTGCCAACCCTAGGCAGCTCTCTGGCTGCAATTTTGTGTCCCTACTTTGAACAGATTATCCAGCTGAACCACTCTACTACAGTCCTTGCTGCCCTTAGGCCACTGTCATACATCTCACTTTACCCCAACAGTCAAAACCTTGGCTTTTTACTTTTCCTTTTTCTGTTTTTGGACTTAAAAGCTTTTAATTGCAGTAAAATATACATACAAGACAATGCACATATCATAAGCATCCAGCACGGTAAATTTTCACGAATATGTCCATGTAACCGATTCCCAGGTCAAAAAATAAAACACTGCTAGCACCACAAAAGCTCTCCAGCTTTTATCCAGTCACCATCACCCAAGGGTAACAACTACACTGACTTCTAGCGTAAGTTCATTTTTATATTCTTTTTTAACTTTTTAATTTTTAGATTTTTAAAATTTGTAATTGCCATAACAATTATGTATATTTATGGGCTACAATGGGATGTTTTGATATATGTATACATTCCAAAAAGATTCAATCAACCTAATGAACAGATCTATCACCTCATCAATTTATCATTTAGTGGCTAGGCACGGTGGCTCATGCCTGTAATCCCAGCACTTTGGGGGACCAAGGTGGGTGGATCTTCTGAGTCCAGGAGTTCAGGACCAGCCTGGGCAACATGAGGAAACCCTGTCTCTACCAAAAATACAAAAAAAAAAAAAATTAGCTGGGCATGGTGGCACACCTGTAATCCCAGCTACTCGGGAGGCTGGGGAATGAGAATCACTTGAGCCCAGGAGGCAGAGGTTGTAGTGAGCCAAGATCACGCCACTGCACTCCAACCTGGGTGATAGACTGAGACTCCACCTCAAAAACAAACAAACAAACAAAAAAACACATTTATCATTTTGTTGTAAGAATGTCATAAATCTATTTTAGATAATTTGAAATATACATTATTAGTGCCATATTTTAACTTTTTAATAGCTTTAAGGGTACAAGTAGTTTCTGGTTACATGGGTGAATTGTATAGTGGTGAAGTCTAGGCTTTTGGTGCACCTGTCACCAGAGTAGTATACATTGTACCCAATAGGTAGTTTTTCACCCCTCATCCCCCTCCACCCCTACCCCCTTCTGAGTCTCCAATTTCCATTATACCACTCTGTGTGCCTTCATGTACCCATAGCTTAGTTCTCACTTTTAAGTGAGAATATATATTTGATTTTTTATTTCTGAGTTACTTCACTTAGAATAGTGGCCTCCAGTTCCATCCACATTGCTGCAAAAGGCATTATTTCATTCTTTTTATGGCTGAGTAGTATTCCATGGTGTATATGTTATATATATATATATATATATAATTTTCTTTATCCACTCATCAGTTGATGGGCACTTAGGGTGACTCCATATCCTTGCAATTGTGAATTTTGCTGCAATAAGCATAGGTGTGCAGGTGTCTTTTGATATAATGACTTATTTTCCTTTGGGTAGATACTCAGTAATGGGATTCCTGGATTGAATGGTAGATCAAATTTTTGTTCTTTAAGGAATCTCCATACTGTTTTCCATAGAGGTTGTACTAATTTACATTGCCACCAGCAGCATTAGAGCATTCTCTTTTCACCACATCCATGCCAACATCTATTGTTGTTGGACTTTTTAATAATGACCATTCTGACTGGGGTAAGGTGGTATTTCATTGTTTTTTTAATTTGCATTCCCCTGATGATTAGTGATGTTGAACATTTTTTCATATATTTGTTGGCCATTTGTACATCTTCTTTTGAAAAATGTCTATGCATGTCCTTTGCCCACTTTTTAATGGGATTAGTTGATTTTTTTCTTGCTGATTTGAGTTCCTTGTAGATTCTGCATATTAGTCTTTTTTCAAGTGCATAATTTAAAGGTATTTTCTCCCATTCTGTGTGTTCTCTGTTAACTCTGATAACGATTTCTTTTGTTGTGCAGAAGCCTTTTAGTTTAATTAGGCCCCATCTATTCATCTTTATTTTTGTTGCATTTGTTTTTTTGTTTGTTTGTTTGTTTTGTTTTGTTTTTGTCTAGTCATAAATGCTTTGCCAAGGCCAATGTTCAGAAGAGTTTTTCCCAGGTATTCTTCTAGAATTTTTATGGTTTCAGATATTATATTTAAGTCTTTGATCCATCTTGAGTTGATTTTTGTAGAAGGTGAGAGATGGGGATCCAGTTTCATTCTCCTACATGTGTCTTGACAGTTTTCCCAGTACCATTTATTGAATAGGGTGTCCTTTCCCCAATTTATATTTTTGTATGCTTTGTGAAAGATCAGTTGGTTGTAAGTATTTGGCTTAACTGCTGGGTTCTCTACTCTGATCCATTAGTCTATATGTCTACTTTTATACCAGTACCATGCTGTTTTGGTAATTAAACCCTTGTAGTATAAATTTAAATTGGATAATATGCTGCCTACAGATTTGCTCTTTTTGCTTAGGATTGCTTTGGCTATCTGGGCTCTTTTTTGGCTCCATATAAATTTTAGGGTTTTTTTTCTAATTTTATGAAAAATGATGGTGGTATATTTATGGGAATTGCATTGAATCTGTAGATTGCTTTGGGCAGTATGGTCATTTTCACTGTATAGATTCTTCCAATCCATGAGCATGGGACGTATTTCCATTTGTTTCTGTCATCTATGATTTCTTTCAGCAGTGTTTCGTAGTTTCCCTTGTAGAGATCTTTCACCTCCTTGGTTAAATATATTCTGAGGTATTTTAATTTTTGTAGCTATTGTAAAAGGGACTGAATTCTTGATTTGATTCTTAGCTTGGTCATTGTTGGTGTTTGGCACTGCTACTGTTTTGTGTATGTTGATTTTGTAACCTGAGACTTTACTGAGTTTATCAGATCTAGAAGTTTTTTGGAGAAGTTTGAGGGTTTTCTAGATATAAGATCATATCATCAGCAAACAGTTTGACTTCCTCTTTTCCAATTTGGATGTACTTTATTTCTTTCTTTTGCCTGATTGCTCTGGCTGGGACTTCCAGTTCTACATTGTTTAGAAGTGGTGAAAGTGGGCATCCTTGTCTTGTTCTACTTCTCAGGGGGAATGCTTTCAACTTTTCCCTATTTAGTATGATGCTGGCTATGAGTTTGTCAGATACGGCTTTTATTATTTTGAAGTATGTTTCTTCTATGCCTAGTTTGTTGAGGGTTCTTATCATAAAGAGATGCTGGATTTTATCAATGTTTTTTCTGTGTCTATTAAGATGATCATATGGCTTTTGCACTTAATTCTGTTTATATAATGAATCACATTTATTGACTTGTGTAAGTTGAACCATCCCTGTATCCCTAGAATGAAACCCACTTGATCATGGTGAATTATTTTTTTTTTTGATGTCCTGTTGGGTTTGGTTTGCTAGCAATACCTTATTATTAACTGTGGTCATCATGTAATGTAATAGATCACTAAAGATTATTCCTACAATCTAATTGAAAGTTTGTACCCTTTAATCAACATTTCCCCATTCCCCATTCCCTCACCATCCTCTCTCCTCTGCCTCTGGTAACAAGCTTTTTATTTGGTTTCTATGAGATCAACTTTTTATAGTTTTAATTTGTCTTGTTATGGATATATGACAGCTATAGATATATTTATGGGATACATGTGATATTTTGAAAAAGTATACAATATATAATGATCAAATCTGGATAGTTGTGATATCCATCATTTCAAATATTTGTGTTGAGAACATTTGAAATCCTCTCTTCTAGCTATTTTAAAATATATAATACATTATTGTTAACTATATTTGCCATATTGTGCCACTGCATACTAGATCTTATTCCTTCTATTTTTGTATCCATTAACCAACTCCTTTTTATGTCTCCCTCCTCACTACCATTCCCAGCCTCTGATAAACATCATTCTATTCACCAACTCCATGAGATCAATTTTTAGCTCCTACATGAGTGAGAATACGTGACATTTGTCTTTCTGTGCCTGGCTTATTTTACTTAACATAATGACCTCCAATTCCATCTACACCGTTTCAAATGACAGGGTTTCATTCTTTTTATGGTGGAATAATGTTCTGTTGTATATATATGCCACATTTACTTTATTCATTTATCTGTTGATGGACAACTAAATTGATTCCATATCATAGCTACTGTGAATAGTGCTGAAATATATAAAAGTGCAGGTATCCCTTTGATATACTGATTTCCGTTCTTTGCTTATATACCTAGTGGTAGGATTGCTGGATCATGTAGTTCTATTTTTAGGTTTTTGAGGAACCTTCATGTTTTCCATAGTGGCTGCACTAATTTACATTCCCACTAACAGTGTAGGAGTGTCCCCCTTTCTCTGCATCCTTGACAGCATTTGTTATTTTCTGCATTTTTTAAATAGTCATTTTAACAGATTATGACATTTTTCAATTCCACAAATAAGTGAAACCATACAGTATGTGTCTTTTCTTGGCTTATTTAACTTGGCATAATGTTCTTCAGTTCTATCATAAGGGGCTAATATCCAAAATATATAAGGAACTCAACTCAATAGCAAGAAAACAAATAACCCAATTAAAACACGGGCAAAGGATCTGAACTGATATTTCTCAAAAGAAGAGATACAAGTGACCAACCAATATATGAAAAATGTTCAGCATCTCTAATCATCAGGTAATTGCAAATTAAAATCACAATGAGATATCACCTCACACCTGCTAGAATGGCTGTATCAAACAGACAAATGAAAACAAGTGTTAGTGAGGATATGGGGAAAAAATGAACCATAGTATACTATTGGTGGGAATGTAAATTAGTACAGCTATTTTAGAATATAGTATAGAGGTTCTTCAAAAAACTAAAAATAGAATTACTCTATGATCCAGCAATCCCACTTCTGAGTATATATCCAAAGGAATTGAAATTGGTATGTCAGAGATATCTGCACTCCCATGTTAATTTCAGTATTTTTCACAATAGCGAAGACATGGAAGCAACCTAAGTGTCCATCAACAGATGAACAAAGAAAAGGTGGTATATATACACAATTTTAAAAAGGAAATGTTATCATTTGCAACAGTATAGATTCATTTTATGTGTTTTTGTGCTTTATACAAATTGAACCCTTCAGTATGCATTCTTATATCTAGTTTTTCTCAATATTATGTTTTAGATGTTCATTCATATGGTTGAACATAGTTTTAGAATGTTCACTTTCATTTCTGTTTATTGTACATTCATTCAAAGTAATACTAATTATATCCAATCTACTACTGAGGGTAAATTGGATAGTTTCCCTATTTTTTAGCTGTCCAAAATACGGTTGCTATAAACATTCTAGCATATGTATTTTGAAGAACATATATATGCTGTCATGAACTTTAGCTTCCCCATCTCTGCCAAGCTCAAAGCTCTTCCTGATTCAAAATTTTACTAACAGAAGACGACAGGATTAATTGTGATTTTTCAACATCAAGTATGGCCAACAGAACTTAGGATGGCCCCCACCTTCACACCCTGTATAATGTCCTTCCCTTGAGTGTGGCAATGATCTGTGATTTGCTTCTAACTAGTAGAAGATGACAAAGATGATTGGATGTCACTCCTGTGATTACATATGTGCTCACACACACAAACACACATGCTGTAAAAGGGCCTTCAGAGAGGGCCACATGGCAAGGAACTGCAGACAGACTCTACTTCCTAAAAGCAGACTTTGATCCACAGTTGGCAAGAAAATGGGAACCTGAATTCTACAGCTGTGAAGGGGATGAAGCCTGTAAACAAACTGAATGAGCTTGGAAATGGATTCTTCCCCAGTGGAGATTCCAGATAAGAACACTGGCTGGCAGCTTGATTGCAGCCTTGTGAGACACCATGCAGTAAACCTACTTAAGGCACACCCACACTTCTGACCTATGGAAACTGTGAGATAATAAATGTATGCTGTGTTAAGTCACTAGCTTTGGGGTAATTTGTTACACAGTATATTTTTTTCCTATTGCTGCTGTAACATGTCATCACAAACATATGACTTAAAACAATCCACATCTATTGTCTTATTCCAGAGGTCAGAAATCCTAAAAACCAATGTGCTAGCTGGGCTGGGCTCCTTCTGGAGCCTCTAGGGTAGAGATCACTTGCACTCCTTAACTCATGGCTCCTTTCTCCACCTTCAAAGCCAGTAGTACATCAACTTCAGGTTTTTGTCTGTCTCTATGACCTCTGCTTCCTTCATCATACCTTTTTTTTTTGACTCTGACCTTCTCACCTCCATCTTATCAAGACTCTCATGATAATACTGGGCCCACCCAGATAAATCAGAATTCTCTCTCCATTCTTAAGTTAGTCACATCTGCAAAGTTCATTCTGTCTTGTAAGGTAACATTCACAGGTTCTGGGGAATGGTTTGCAGATATCTTTGAGGGGGTCATTCTGCCTACTACATACTGCAATAGAAAATGAATGTAGGTGCTCAACTTATGATGGCGTTAAGTCCTGATATAGCATTCCAAGTTGATAATATTATAAATCAAAAGTGTGTTTTTGCACTTTCATGTTAAATCATTGTGTTAAATTTAAATGGAGTCCTGGAAATCAGGGCATACATATATACCATTTAATTTATTTTTTATTTCAATAGGTTTTTGGGAACAACTGGTGTTTGATTACATAAATAAGTTCTTTAGTGGCGATTTCTGAGATTTTGGTGCACCCATCACCGAAGCAGTATACACTGTACCCAATGTATAGTCTTTTATTCCTCACCCCCCTCCCACCTTTAGCCCGAGTATCCAAAGTCTATTGTATCACTCTTACAGCATACATATATACTTCTTGACTGTTTTGAAAACATCCTAAGATCTTCTCTTTCCTCCCCTCATATCACATTAGTCTCTAAATTATTTTGGTTTTTATGTTCTTTAGGTTAGTTTCCTTGTTTTTCATTGTTAATGCCATAATAAAACCTCATCAGCTCTAATCTAGATTATTGCAACAGCCTGAAAGAGGTTACCAGAGACATCATTTCCCTCTCATCATTCCTATTCAACATAGTGTTGGAAGTTCTGGCCAGGGCAATCAGGCAAGAGAAAGAAATAGAGGGTATTCAATTAGGAAAAGAGGAAGTCAAATTGTCCCTGATTGCAGATGACATGATTGTATATTTAGAAAACCCCATCGTCTCAGCCCAAAATCTCCTTAAACTGATAAGCAACTTCAGCAAAGTCTCAGGATACAAAATCAATGTTCAAAAATCACAAGCATTCCTATATACCAATAACAGACAAACAGAGAGCCAAATCATGAGTGAACACCCATTCACAATTGCTACTAAGAGAGTAAAATATCTAGGAATACAACTTACAAGGGATGTGAAGGAACTGTTCAAGGAGAACTACAAACCACTGCTCAATGAAATAAGAGAGGACACAAACAAATGGAAAAACATTCCATGCTCATGGATAGGAAGAATCAGTATCATCAAAATGGCCATACTGCCCAAAGTAATTTAAAGATTAAATGCTATCCTGATCAAGCTATCATTGACTTTCTTCACAGAATTGAAAAAGACTACTTTACATTTCATATGGAACTAAAAAAGAGCCCGCACAACCAAGACAATCCTAAGCAAAAAGAACAAAGCTAGAGGCATCATGCTACCTGTCCTCAAACTATACTACAAGGCTACAGTAACCAAAACAGCATGGTACTGCTACCAAAACAGATATATAGACCAATGGAACAGAACAGAGCCCTCAGAAATAACGCCACACATCTACAACCATCTGATCTTTGACAAACCTGACAAAAATCAAGAAATGGGGAAAGGATTCCCTATTTAATAAATGGTGTTGGGAAAACTGGCTAGCCATATGCAGAAAGCTGAAACTGGACCCCTTCCTTACACCTTATACAAAAATTAACTCAAGATGGATTAAAGACTTAAACATAAGACCTAAAACCATAAAAACCCTAGAAGAAAACCTAAGCAATACCATTCAGGACATAGGCATGGGCAAAGACTTCATGACTAAAACACCAAAAGCAATGGCAACAAAAGCCAAAATAGACAAATGGGATCTGATTAAAATAAAGAGCTTCTGAACAGCACAAGAAACTATCATCACAGTGAACAGGCAACCTACAGAATGGGAGAAAATTTTTGCAATCTATCCATCTGACAAAGAGCTAATATCCAGAATCTTCAAAGAACTTAAACAAGTTTACAAGAAAAAAACAAACAACGCCATCAAAAAGTGGGTGAAAGATATGAACAGACACTTCTCAAAAGAAGACATTTATGTGACCAACAAACATGAAAAAAAGGTCATCATCACTGGTCATTAGAGAAATGTAAATCAAAACCACTATGAGATATCATCTCACACCAGTTAGAATGGCAATCATTAAAAAGTCAGGAAACAACAGGTGCTGGAGGGGATGTGGAGAAATAGGAATGCTTTTACACTGTTGGTGGGAGTGTAAATTAGTTCAACCATTGTGGAAGACAGTATGGCAATTCTTCAAGGATCTAGAACCAGAAATACCATTTGACCCAGCTATCCCATTACTGGGTATATACCCAAAGGATTATAAATCACTCTACTATAAAGACACATGTACATGTATGTTTATTGTGGTACTGTTCACAATAGCAAAGACTTGTAACCAACGCAAATGCCCATCAATGATAGACTGGATAAATAAAATGTGGCACCTATATACCATGGAATACTATGCAGCCATAAAAAAGGATGAGTTCACGTCCTTTGCAGGGACATGGATGACACTGAAAACCATCATTCTCAGCAAACTAACACAAGAATGGAAAACCAAACACTGCATGTTGTCACTCATGAGAATAAGTGGGAGTTTGAACAATGAGAACACATGGACACAGGGAGGGGAACATCACACACCAGGGCCTGTTGGGGGGTGGGGGGCTAGGGGAGGGATAGCATTAGGAGAAATACCTAATGTAAGTGATGGGTTGATGGGTGCAGCAAACCACCATGGAACATGTATACCAATGTAACAAACCTGCACATTCTGCACAGGTATCCCAGAACTTAAAGTATAATAATAATAATAATAAAATACTGCCAACCAACTTAACCTAATTTATAGAGACAGCACTCTACCCAACAGCAGAATACAAATTATTTTCAGGTACACATAGAACATTTACAAAGACAAACCATATTCTGGGCCATAAAACAAGTCTCAATACATTTCAGAGGATTCATGTCATAAAAAGGATATTTTGTGTCCACAGTGGAATTACATTCTAAATAAGTAGTAGAAAAATATCTGGAAAATCCCCTAATATCTTTAAACTAAATAACATACTTCTAAATAACCCATGAGTCAAAGAAGAATTCCAGAGGGAAACTAGAAAGTATTTTGACCTGAATAAAATTGAAAACACAATTGATCAAAGTTTGGGGTTACTGCCAAAGTAGTACTTGGAGGGAAATTTATAGCACTCACTGCCTATGTTAGAAAAGATGAAAGATCTCATATCAATGACCTCACCTTCTACCTTAAGAAACTAGAAGAAGAGCATATGAAACTCAAATTAAGGAGAAGAAAGTAAAAAACCAGAGCAGGGAAGACAGGGAGGGAAGAAATACAAAGAGGTGCAAAGATACTTTTGGAGGGTGTTGGATATACTCATCATCTTGATTGTGGTGATAGTTTGACAGGCATATACATCCGTCAAAACTTATCAAAGAATATACTTTCAATATGTGCAGTTATATTATATATGTCAATTCTACTTAAATAAAGTTGCTTTGAAAACACAATCCAGATAGAACAGTGTTATCTGTTTTAATTTAGCAGTTTATTTCTTTAAGTATCTACCCAATTTCTTGAGCCTTTTCCCTGCTTAAGAATGATCCACCACAAAAGTGAAGAGGATAACAATGCAGGTGGCTATTTGCCAAATGGATGTAATAAAACCTGACTCTGCTAACTTCACAGGGTTCTGTGAAGATCAAAAGTGATAACGAACAGAGCTCATTACAAAGTTAGAACGTGTTATAAAAATGTAAGGGCTTATCTCTCTAGTTTCAGGTTTCCTGGTGAAGTGAATAATAAAACTAACTACAGCCAAATTTGGAAGTGAATAAAGTTTGTCTTTGATCTTCTCTCTCCCGGCCCCGATGCCCTCATGATGTAACTCCCAAAGCCAGGGAAAGCCTAACCAGGGCCTTGTTCTGCCAACTCTTTTTCCTTTTCTTTTTGCTAAACTCGTGTCAAGCTTTTGGTCTCTCCTGGAGATCCTGCTCTCGATTAAATGACAGGGGGTGCTAAATGAGCAACTCAGATAAGTGAATTTCTTAAAACCTATTTACTATACATTATCTTTGTCTCCGATTAGCTTACTATGCCTTAACACTGGCTAAATATCAATATTAACAAAATTCTTTATGAAGTCGCCCTTACTAGGGGGTAGCATTTGGAGGTAGATGGCCTCTTAATCAGTTTATCCTTTCAGAGACTGAACACTTCTTGGAAACTCCTTCTGTTGAATGTACAATGCCGCAGTTTTCTGCTCTAGTTATTTTATTATAAGCCAGGGATCTATTACATGAGCATTCCTAGAACGCCTATAAATCTCTTCCCTCTCCCCCAACCCATGTGTGCACACCTTTAAAAATAATAAGAAAACAAAGAAGCTCCAATCAGTAACAGCATTGCAATGTTCAATTTCATCCCTTATATATTACATTGGGATTATAATTAAATCGTTAAAATGCATTGCTAATCTGTAAATCTGGACTAATTAGCATAAGTGCACTCCGTAATTACTAAGCACAGGGCGTGTGCTTGTGACTTGCATAGACTTTTGGACTATTAAGCCTGTCTGAATGCTACTCCCCACGTGATGGCTCAGGAGCTTCCAAAGGAGCTTTCGCCAATTTTGTTCTGTATACCAGGATAGTGATATTGGTTTTACTTCAAAAAAGAAGCAGGTAATAGGCTCACACAGGTCACTACTAGATCTCCAATAAGCTCTCTTAACCCGTTTTTGTTTTGTTTGTTTTCCCTCTGGATCTAGTCTGAGATATTCTAGCTCCATCTTTTGGAATAAAATATAAAATATGGACTTACTGATAGGATCATTATTCTGGAATCTTTCTGAGAAAATTATCATAAAAGATAATTTAGTCAGCTGGTAACTTCACTTGCCTAAATGGCCTTCAATCTTTCATCACCCAGATAATGTTGGGGGATGCTACAGTCACAGGTTTATTGCATTGAGAGTGGATGGATTTTGTTTGCTTTCATGCCATTAAATTTCAGTATATCATTATTGTTCTAGGATGTAGCCATTCCTGGACACATCCAAGAATTTTTGACAGATATGCAATGTATTGTGCACTGCACAGCTACATTGTGACATAAGTGTCCACATCCTCATTAGTTAGCCATGCCTTGCCCCTCCCTTGCATTACTCTGTACTGCACGCTCTTCTCTGGAGCCATAGGATTTGCTTACAGGTGCTTATTCCCCTTCACCAGGGTCCTAATTCACCAGCCTCCACATCCCTGATCACAAAACTGAATGGGAAGAAAGCCTTCTCTTCTTTCTTCCTGTCTACCTTTTGTCATCTCCTACATTGGTATTCTTCTGTCCTCTCTCTAGGCTCATGGTCTGGCAATGGGCTTTGGGGGAGACAGTAAGGTAACATGGAGATCCTCACAAGTTGGAAATAGCTCAATACCTCATCCTGCCCTCTGCCCAAAGGTTACTGGATGGGTAAAGTGAGATTTTAAAACTTGGTTTATTTTCTTCCAAAACATCACCAATAACTAGGGAATCCTCTCCACCACTTCCTCCAAAAGAAGAAATTACAATGGAGGGGAAAAGTGGGCTTTGGGAGTAGTAAGATGCTAAATACAACTTCTAAATTCAGAAGCAATAGACTTCCCTAAATTCCCCCTAAACTGACCAGCCAATGTGCTCCTTCCTTTCTTATATCTAAAAGGCTCCTTCTAACACTGTTCCTACAAGATCTTTGGGACCAATAAGCACCTTGATTAGTTTTGGCTGTTATCAGATGTGGTCCCTTCCTATAGCCTTCATTTTCTAAGGTCCTGGGCTTTGGTATGCAGCTGTGAGAGTTTTTTAAATATTATTATTGGCCAGGCGTGGTGGCTCACGCCTGTAATCCCAGCACTTTGGGAGGCCAAGGCAGGCAGATCGCCTGAGCCCAGGAGTTTAAGACCAGCCTGGCCAACATGGCAAAATCTGTTTCTACTAAAAATACAAAAAAAAAAAATTATCCGGGTGTGGTGGTGGGCACCTGTAGTCCCAGCTGCTGGGGAGGCTGAGGCAGGAGAATTGCTTGAACTCAGGAAATGGAGGCTGCAGTGAGCCGAGATCATGCCACTGCACTCTAGCCTGGGTGACAGAGCGAGACTCCATCTCAAAAAAAAAAAATATATATATATATATATATAATTATTATTGGTATATATATATAATTATTATTGGTAATCTACAGGGTGGGAGTAGATTCATCCTGGCATTTCCCCCTCTCCCTTCCCTTTATTCAAACAAGTAGCTCTTTGCTTACTCTCAGGAGAGGTGTGCGGCAGAGTAAAAAACATAACTAGCTGGCAAATCATTCTGGTTTTTAAGTTCCCAAAGCTGAAACACTTAGGAGAAAGGGATTCTCTGGTAAAAACAAAATGTCTTAGCCTGAAGTATGAATGAAGACCATTTTCCCCAATTTGGGGGAAGTAAGATAGGAGAGAGGAGTGCTCTCTACCCTACTTCTTCACCCTGCCTGCAGGGCAGCAGCAAGATGCCAGAGAGTGAGATCTACGGGTCTGCCGAAAAGAGGAATCCAGAACTCCCAACTTTCTGGTTACAAGTGAGGAAACAGCAAGTCCTTACAGAAGAAAATGCAACACAGACCCCAAATGATGGATGAGATGTTGGCTGAGTGCACACCTACTAAGACCTCATCCTCCCTCCTCACCTCCCCTCCGCTGCCAGGAACGCTTTTCAGTTCAGAAAGGCTTTGTCATTTCAAGTAGGAATCTACACTGTCAGTGTAAGTTTGTAGTGAATACTCTCCACTAGGACCTCAAAAATATGGGTGTAGTCTTCTGTCTCTTAACTAGGTGCACTGCTTATGGGTGTTTCTCAGTCCAAGGGACAAGAAGAGACAAATATCCCACATTTCAGACAGGAAGTACCAAAAAAGCAGAGACAAACCATGAGACATAGACAAAATCTGTACATTGCAAGATTCTTTCTAATCTTAATGTGTCAGTTCATTTTAAATTTCTTATTTGGTATAAAATATTCATTTTTGAATTTTGTTTTTTAAAATATGTATAATTTATGTTGGAATCTAGTATTGAGTAGCTTTTAAATTCTAAAAGATTAGTGAAAAGTACATTGTATAAGAAAATAGGAAATGTTTTCAGTTTACCTTAATATTAAAAAATGCGGCTGGGTGCAGTGGCTCACGCCTGTAATCCCAGCACTTTGGGAGGCTGAGGCGGGCAGATCACAAGGTCAGGAGTTTGAGACCATCCTGGCCAACATGGTGAAACCCCATCTCTACCAAAAACACAAAAATTAGCCAGGCTTGTTGGCGCGCTCCTGTAATCCCAGCTACTCAGGAGGCTCAGGCAGGAGAATCAGAGAATCGCTTGAACCCAGGAGGTGAAGGTTGCAGTGAGCCAAGATCGCACCACTGCACTCCAGCCTAGGCGACAGAGAGAGACTGTCTTAATAAAAAAATAAAAAATAAAAAAAATGCAATTTTGTGCAGTACCTACAGAAAGCAAAATTGGGAACGAGGGCATAGCATATTTAATCTGATGCAAGGATTAGATTTCTGCCCTTAAACACAATACTTAAAGCTTTATGTAAATGAAATATAAACCATGGAATCTCAGTAGAAATTGCTATAATTCTAAAAATGTCCTCTTTTATAAATTGTAGAAGAAACAGATAATCTGGGAAAGTTTCAAATCTACAGAAAAAGTCAACTTAAAGCTTCTGAAAAAATTTTAAAGATGTATTTTTTTCAGGAATTACTATATTTTAATATAATCTGGTTCTATTTTCTTACATTTTTAATTGGCTTTTAGCAGTTTGAATTCATATAGCAATAAGGTATTTATCCAGAAGCCTCTAAGAAACTGAAATTCTACAACGGTAATGTATACAATTAAAAGAAAGATACTGGTACATATATGCAAAGTAAAATCAGAGTGATGAGCCAGGAATCAAAAGAGGGTTTGGGGGCAAAACCTTCAGAACTTATATTTACAAGTACTGCTTTTATTAATTATATGGAATTCTAGGTATCATCTTGATTTCCAGCAGGAAGAGTAAAGACTATGAATATCACTGCATTAAAATAATACTAATTAGAAAAATCATGTCATAAACTGCAAACTGGTTATCAGTACATAGTATGATATACATAGTTTTTAAGGAATCATTGCAATGTTATGAAAAAGAGAAGAACATGTAGCTCAGAAAATAAGAAGTTAAGAAGTTTTAAGATAAATATAGAATTCAGTAGAGTTCAACTGAATATGTGAAAATGTGAGGTTCTAATGTTACTAGAAATTAAATAATACGAGTCAGAATTATTCAGCCAAAAATCAAATAATCATGTACCATTATACATGAAACAGAACCTTGAAAACAGCATCTGAATTTTTACTGCCAGAGCCAGAGATTTAGGTGTGGAGGCTGACTGGATTTTCATTCATGACCCTGATGGGACATCCTGAACCCTATTTATGTTGTTTTAAGAGTGATTCCATAACCTCAGGGGGTGAAGTAGTCAGTGATTTAGCTCATTCCCCCGGGTTATATTAAACAGAACCTTGAAAACTGAGCATCTGAATCTTTTTATCATCTCCGTCTAGACAGGTAAGGGGACTCCTCCATTTTCTTTGATTCCTACCTCCACCGGGAAAAGCCTTCACTTTCTGAAAACTAAGAAATATCAACTAATGGCCGGGCGCGGTGGCTCATGCCTGTAATCCCAGCACTTTGGGAGCACTGAGGCAGATGGATCACCTGAGGTCAGGAGTTCGAGACCAGTCTGGCCAACATGGTGAAAGCCTGTCTCTACTAAAAATACAAAAATTATCCAGGCGTGGTGGCACACACCTGTAATTCCAGCTACTCGGGAGGCTGAGGCAGGAGAATTGCTTGAACCCAGGAGGTAGAGGTTGCAGTGAGCCAAGATCGTGCCACTGCACTCCAGCCTGGGTGACAGAGCGAGACTCCCCCTCAAAAAAAAAAAAAAAAAAAAAGAAAGAAAGAAATATCAACTACTAAAAGACAAAGCCTTCAAATTGAAAGCAAACAAATAATTGAATGAAGATATCAGATACTTATTTAACCATACAGAATGAGGAGTTATGGATGATTCGGATAAAGAAAGCTGACCATACATTCTTAGTGGGATGCAGCTAGGAACAAAAAGAACTGTATAGAAAATCTTGAACTTTACTTTGTAGGTTTATTGTTTAATATTATATTGTTATTTTTAAACAATTCTTTTTTTAACCAGATTAATCAAATAAGTAACTATATTTACTGTGTTCAAAATCAAAAATTTAGGAATTCTGCACCATAAGAGATAAATGTAAAATAACAATATGAAAAAAGAAAAATCACAAACCTTTTCTAGCTCTGTTCATTGAAATGAGCCAAGAGCAGTGATACCCATACAGTGCCCCCTTAGCATTCAGATTCTGGTCTCTGATACTATTCTTTCACTGAAAGGAACCATGACTCCTTCAAACATGAGTGATTCCATGTCTGGGGCAGAAAGGTACAAGGGGAGCGGGGAAAATATGATTGTACCAGAAAGCAACAAAACTTTCAATGAGTAGTGGGTCATGTTATAAGGAATGGAGCAAAAGTTTTTAAAGTCTTCCACATTAAAAAGAAAATAATTACTATAGGTGACTGAAATATAGTAAGTCTATGAAAAACCATGCTCCCATAATGATACACAAAAAGAAACCATAAGAAATGATTTCAAAAGTAGGTGAATAGAACAGAATGGCCGGGCACGGTGGCTCATGCCTACATAATCCCAGCACTTTGGGAGGCCGAGGCAGGCAGATCACCCAAGGTCAGGAGTTCAAGACCAGCCTGGCCAACATGGTGAAACCCCATCTCTACTAAAAACATAAAAACTAGCTGGGCGTGGTGGTAAACGCCTGTAATCCCAGCTACTCGGGAGGCTGAGGCAGGAGAATTGCTTGAACCCAGGAGACGGAGGTTGCAGAGAGTCGACACAGTGCCACTGCACTCCAGCCTCGGTGACAGAGTGAGACTCTGTCTCAAAACAAAAACAAACAAACAAAAACAGAACAGAATGCATTTCTATGGAGTTTTATTTCTCATTCATGAGGCATTATTGATTAATTTATTGTATCAATAGAGAATATAGAAACTAGTAAATACATCAGTTGAAGGGCAATTTCTGATGCCAGGGGAATATCAGAATGGCCAATAAACTGCGATCTCAAGTCAGACAAAGCAAAATGAAATATCTGGAATTCAATTGTATATAAATGTAAGTATTCTTAAGATATGTATGGCCCTAAGAATATGAATCAATGGGAAAAGTATTAACATATCTCAAGAACCCATCAACTTCCAAGTTCTTTAGAGTGTGGAGAAATACAATACAATATCGTAAGATTTTATCAACTCGGATGGAAACTACAGACTTATTATGTAATGTAATAACATTATCCCAGGGAAATGGGCTAAGTCACTGATCACTTACCTCTTGAGGTTATGGAATCACTCTTAAAACAACATAAATGGGGTTCAGGATGTCCTATCAGGGTCATGGATGAGAATCCAGTTGGCCTCCATGCCTAAGCCTTTGGCAGCAAATATCCTCATTGATTTGGTATGATAATTCTTCCCTAGGTGGAATAATATAAAATTAGGTATAGAGATGTTTAAAAGAAGTAAATTATTGTATTTATATGTTTGTATTAAGAAGGAAGTTCTGTATATCTGATTATATATTTGTGATACATGAGAGAATTCACCTTGTGACAGCCATGTAAATATAATATGGAATGTGTAATTAACAGTTATGATTTCAAAGTGCAATCTTAATAAATTTTCAGTACTGAAACATCTAAGATCTTCAGGCATGTTATTTTCATAGATTTAATTTTTAAAAAGTATTTAGTTCCCAGGCAGATTTGCTTAGTAGACCACTAAAATACTTAAAAGGGCCACGCTCAAGGTGGGGCAGCTGCTAACACTGCTTTTTGCACAGACACATGGACTGTCAGCCCTCTATCCTGTCCCCAGTCCTATCTGCCCCATCCCCACAATGGGGCCTCACCAAGAGGAACACTGCTTGGACAGTGTTCACTGCTGACAGTTCCTCAGCAGCCTGCCTTCACTAGCCTGTTTACCATATCCTGCCAGGAATCCTGTGGCCTCTGAGTCCTTCCTCCCATCTTAGCCCAAGCCTCCCCCCATAGGATACCCATGAATAAAGGGCAGCGGATGATGGAATAAATAGAAAATACCAAATTTATACTGGGATTTTAAAATATTACCTCTTCTCAGTATATGTTAGCTAGTCTTTGTGCTACTTGTAATGCAGGGAAATTGCAACAAATGTGATATAGGACACAACTGGAGTTGAAGGCCCTTTACCCACCTGCAAATTGATTTTATTGGCTGTTTTCAGATAGTGGGATACTCCCATGTCTAACTTGTAATGTGCCTTTTTTTTTTTTTCTGGATGGCCCAAGGCTTTCCTCTGCAATAGGAGGATAGTGCTATTACTGATTTTTTCTTTTAATGCTTCAGGAATACATTTTTTCACTGGAAAATTCCTCTTAATATGAAATCAGACCAAAGCTTCTATTTTATGGAACAAAATTTTCACCACGTATCTAAAGCTGTAAAAAACAAATTTCAGACACACACTCTTTACCACCCTCAAAACTCTTGCAAAGTGGAAGCAAAGGCAAGATGTGCAACATTAAGCAAGGACTAAGTACATTCTGCCATGAAACAGGCCTTAATAAGAGGCCTAAACCCCTTCAAATTTTGAATATTTAAAAGAAGTAAACTTCCTGTGGGCTGCAAGTCACTGAACTGTGCACTAAGCCTTCATGAGATTGTCCTCTAGCTAGTAGTCCAGCGATTGCCCTCAGTGTTGAAGGATACATTGCAGTCTTAAAGTTGAGAGCTAATGTCTACAGTTCCTTTCAGTATGTGTTCAGGCTACAGACCAACATGGGAATTCACACCAAGATATCCATGTCAGCCAGGGGACTAGGTCTATGCAGGAAATTCTGGAGAACAAACCACCTCAAACTCAGAAGTGCTGGATCCTTCAAAGTTCCCTGGACCCACCTACATACACAGCTGTGTGGACTGCAGACCACCCAACAGAAACATATACCTAATTGCAAGCTTTTCCCCACCTGTGAACCATAGAGGCAAGGATTCAAACCACAACCCCCGCCAAAACAGGGCAAATCTAACTCCTCAGCAACATACAGATACAAATTAAGATATTAAAGGCTAGATGAGAATCCTTAGGTTCCAAAGCCCTGTGTCATCTTTAGTCTAGAAGGAATAAGGGAGTCATTTTTGGCACCCATGATTCACTGAGGTGAAGACCACAATGAAGTCTCAAAGAAGTGCATGGACAGATAACTCCAGGACTAATTATATGAACTGGGAACCAACTGAGCTAATACCAGCCAAGTCTTCTTAACAGTGCTCACCTTGCTTACTATTGTATTTTGCCATCATCTACCAGGAAGGTGTTTCTTTCCTGCATCCCACCACGTTCATCTCCCTGGAATGTCTCTCATGGTGATGATGAACAAGTGTAATCCTTGGCAAGGCACATTCATAGCCAAGTTCATGTACAGGTAAAAATGTGTGGACTCACAAATCCACAGAGGATAGACTATAAGAGGAAGTTAGCTCCTATAATAAAAGACATCACATGTCAATGATTAGAAGAGAAACAGTGTCAGCAAAATGAGAGGTCCCTAATGTTTCACCAGACAAACACAGTGACCTCCTTTCCTTTTCAAATGAATGTTATCAGTACCACTTTTAAATAACCTTTTGGAAGTTTGTTAACTAATGTCTATTTCTTGCACTTTGCTGAGTATCACAGCGCTTCACCTTTTCTAGCTGAAGATTACAAAAATACCCATCCCCCACTATCAGGAGACAATGCTTGCAACAGAATCTTAGCTTATACTCATGTATAAAAGACAGCCTGCAATTTTGACGCAAGGATCTAGAGTGTAGTGTGGCCCAGCCTCTAGCTAGTGAATAGTTCTCTACATCTTTCACATAATACACTTCTTATAAACAGTAAAGAATTAAATATTCTGAGTCCCCACTCTTTTTTACCACTACAACTTCAAGAAAATTAAGAAAGCTACATTTTATGCACACCTGAGTTTAAGACCGAGATTCATTGCTGCCGCAGGTGCATACGAACAGCATTTCTAAAGTTGGAAGCATGGGGCAATTCCTACTGGCGGCTTCTATGGGAACCAGGCTACCAAGTCTAAAGAAAGCAAGGTGAGAAAGGAGAGCCAAGACAGAAACCCAAGGGGTGTCTGAAAACACAGATGCACACATAGCAAGGCACAGTGCAGGCAGTGAGAGTGCAGGAGGAGCCTGAAAGGTTTAATTCCCTGAGCCAATGAATACAGTGCATTTTTAGCTGCTTTCTGCAGACCTGAGCAGGGAAGGCCTGAGACTTGGGATTGCTTTGGACATGCCTTTCAAAAATCTGTTTAACATTAACAGGGGTGGGAAAACTGATTCTTTATTAATAAAAACAGTCATTTAATAATTTACTTTCACTGTGAAGCTATTTTAACAGCATGTTTCCTGCTAGTCTTCATTCATGTTCTCCATTTTTCTTTTGCAAACTTCTGAGCCAAACAATTTCCTGGGAGTCACACTAAAGGATTTTAAAGTTTAATTAATGAATCTTTTGCTGTTATTATCAGCACTATGCCATACATTATTAGGTGTCAAAATTAGGTGTCAAAATTTCAACTGATTTGGACTGTAAAGTGAGTTTGTGGTAGTGTTGTTTGTTTGGTTTTTCTTTTTAATTTTCACTTGAGGATGTTATCAGTTTTGGAAAGCGCAGAACCAATTTACACGTCACTAGTTCCGTGAAGTCGTGTATGGAAACCTGAGTAAACTGGCACGATATTGCTAGTTTATTCCAATAATGTTTTAGGGCCCATCTAGATTGGCACTGTGGAAATCCTTCCAGCTGGCTGCCTCTTAATTGGCTCACTGGCTGACTGGCCTGGGTGGGAAAAGAATGCTCCATGAGCTTAAGGGTGGACACATCTCCCAGATTGGCCTTATGAAAAAAAACCACTACATTTTCTGGCATATTTCTGCAGTGGGAGGCAAGTGTCCATGACTGCTCCTGTAACTGGTGCTTGTCTCAGTGGACCACATGCTGGAATTGACAGTGGCATTACCATATGCTCAGCACCTCCCTAAATCTGAATTCTGGCCCCTATACATGTAGTGGTACTTCGTGAGAGGAGGAGATGGAGTCACTCAGGCATGGGAGTGAAGGGCAGGTTTGCCATGGAAGAAAGGAGGGAAAGAAGGCAGTGGGTGTGCATAGAGGAAGTGGGTTACAGTAGATAGGAGGACTTAGCGCCAAAAGCAAATTAATTCCACCTGATCCATTCAATCTAGGCACTGATTGTAACTTTCACCTGTCCTCTGTCATTTTTCAGTGATACTTTGACATTCTCAGCAAGGAGAGGGGCATGAGCAGAAGCTGCTGCCTAGTCCCTACTCCCACCCCGCTCCTTAGTGATGACATTATCTGAATCCCTCCACCCAATTCTTTCACAGCCTGGAAATAATCTCAAGTCTCTAAGAGAAATGAAAATCAGATCTCTCTCTGGAAAAGTTCAGGAATTTTGTATAAAGGCCAGGGAATGGGGCATTAATCCTAGGTGGTTAAATGAACTGTTAAAACAAATTGGGCTTTTGGGCTTATTATTGGCCTAGTCCAAGACACAGTACTTAGTACTTGGGGACAGAAAATATATATATGTGAAGCATGAAACACGGTCATATGCTAGAAGTTGTGAGAAACTCCTCATGGATACTTTTGTCTTATGTATGTGGTCCCCAAGACAAATAAAGAAGAGATGATTCTAAAGAGGAAAGGGAGGGTGATTTGAATCTTCTAATTCAGTGTTCTCAACCAGAATGATCTTATCCCCCTTGGGACATTTGGCAATGTCTAGAGATGTTGTTGGTTGTCACAACTGGGGGGTGCCACTGGCACCCAGTTAAGACGGGCCACTAGGCTAAGCACTCTACAATGCACAGGACAGCCACCACCACAAGGAATTATTTGGCACAAAATGTCAATAGCATCGAAGCTGACAAACCCTGGACCACAGCAATGGTTCTCACACTTCAATGGGCATCAGAATCACCTAGAGGATTTCTTAAAAACAGTGCAGGGGCCGGGCACGGTGGCTCATGCCTGTAATCCCAGCACTTTGGGAGGTCGAGGTGGGCGGATCACGAGGTTAGGAGACCAGCCTGATCAACATGGTGAACCCTGTCTCTGCTAAAAACACAAAATATTATCCAGGCGTGGTGGCGCACGACCGTAATCCCAGCTACTCAGGAGGCTGAGGCAGGAGAATCACTTGAACAGAGGATGGGGAGGTTGCAGTGAGCCGAGATCGCGCCACTGCACTCCAGCCTGGGTGACAGAGTGAGACTCCGTCTAAAAAAACAAAAAACAAACAACAACAAAAAACAGTGCCGGATCCCACTCCACTTTCCAATTCAGTAGATAGGGGTAGAGTCTGAGAATCTGCATTTCTAACAAGTTCCCAGGTGACACCAGGGCTGATGTTCTGAGGAGCATACTTTTGAGAACCCCTGCCCTAGTTCTTCCCCCGAGTTGCCCTTTAAATTATCCCCCTGCTTGAGAATGTGGTTAGACCGACCTTAGCCTGGAGCGTTGATGCTATCACAAAGGAGGAAGCAAGAAGCTCCCTTTTAAGCAAGGAGACTTCCCAGAGACTTAATTAAAGTTTGGGAAAATATCCCAGGAAGTGGGGGTGGGAGGGGGTCAATAAAATTGATCCAAATAAATTCTTTGCACATACAAAATAAAACTCACATGCACAAAAAGAAATTTGATCAATAAATTAGTAAATTCAGAGTGAGGAGGGAGTAATTAACAGGCCCATTTAAAGTGTGGAATACATTAAATAAAGAATGAGTGACTCCACCGGGACTACTGAAGCAGGAAACACCGATGCGTTTGAGAGGCCTGGAAGATTGGAAACATATTTCAACAAGGAGAAAAGAGGAGAGAGAATGGAGAGCCCAGAATGATGAAGATGCTGGGTGGGGGTGGGGACGGAGGTGGGGGTGGGGGTTGGGGGAGGGATATGTATCAGAGCCTTGGGAGCCTTGGATTTTGAACTCCTACAAAGTTTAACAAAATTGCAGCTTTGCTCTGGTGTATCTCCCGGGCATAGGAAACTTTTAAGTAACCTGCTGCAAGAGCTATTCAAGCCACACCTGGTCTTGAGCAGTTAATATGTCGAGTCTCTTTATATTGGAGTAAACGAAAGGTTTAATCCCAAGTCATTTGGAGCATAGCAAAACCTTATTGATTGAGAACAATCCCAGGGTTATCTTGGGCACCTTGCCAATCTACAAGATCCCCTGCCAGAAAAACTGAGGCAAAGCGGACTCCACTACCAGTTTAAGCCAGAGTGGAGGACCATATAGACCATGGTTGAGGGAAGTAAAGTTGAGACAATTCACTATTGAAGGCAAATAAAAAGCTGTCCTATTTCATATAGACACTCACATACTAAACATTTTCCCCAAAGGGTGGGACATGAAGGAAACCAAATGTATGACTCATGGCAGAGCCATAATTGTATAAATTGCTGCTAAGATAATCCAAGTTATACCTAACTTTTAGGCTCTCAATAAATGTTCGATAGCTTGCTTTGAGCTTGATTTCAGGGTCCAGTTCCCCATTTCACCCCCAAAAGAGTCCCTGGGGGGAACCTGTTGGCAACTTGGCAATGGAAAGCTAAACTGGATCAGCCGTGAATATGAATCATTGTAATAATTCCTTTATATGTGGCGAAGAACAAGACCGTGGCCAATAACTGCATCAGCAAGAAGCAGAACTCTTCTCTGCCTCTGTCATACCCCCTGAGACCTCTGAAATTTAAGTACTAGTTTATCATATAATGGTGCTCAGTCTGGCTCCATGCATTTCACTCTGGATTTGTGAAGGGCTGGAAGGTGATTTTTGCTTTCATTAGAGCCGTGGTCCCCTGAGACCATTAAGAAGACTCTTTCCAAGCCTGGGGAACATAACTCTAGTACCAAGCCCACAGTGCAATTCAGAAAACCTTAAAGCAGGTGTCTTCAAATATCTCTGAGCCTCATTTTCCTCACAGGTATATTAGGACCCAGCTTAGCCTTAGTGAAGCAGGTGAGAGGTTGCTATGTTTAAAGCTGCTTCCTCTGTTTTTTAATTTCCCGCTGCCATTTTCAATCAGGCCTTCCTCATTAGCTGGATGGGAAAGTTTGCAGAGCCAAACCTGCAGCAGATTCCCTCAGGCGGTGTTTTAGTTCTAGTGCTTCCCCAGGCTTTAGGCATAAAAGCGCCTCCCAGGGTGAGGTGACTTGCCACACATTTGGCTGACACCTGCCTATGAAGAGAGACGTCTGAAACCACTTTCCCAGAGCAGCCCTGAAGCAGTCAAGTCAGTGAAGTCTTTAGCAGGCTTTCTTCCTAGTCAGACACAGATCCCGATGCACAGCCCGAGGATGAATTCTTAGTCTAGTAAGCACTTCCAACCTGTTGGTCGAGCCTTTGCTGTCACCACGTGTGGCTTACATACCTCTCAAAATGTGAGGTCAGTTAAAAGGCATAAAGCTGCAAAGTCTCAGACTCTAAGAGGGAGCAGGCCATGCAGTCTAAACTCCATTTAGACTGCAGCATCCCAGATAAAGAGGCATCCCACCTTGGAACACCTCTACTGGGAGGAAGCTCAGCACCCCACGAGGCAGCCTCTTCCACTGTTGAACAGATCTAATAATTAAAAGCCCATCCTTTTACCTAATCTCCATCTGCCTCCCAATGTTTCCTGTGGAGCTACATGGAATATGTCTGCTGATCCTGCTACCTGATGTTATTTCCGTTGTGTGCTGTGTCTTAGCAATTATACCAGATGGTTTGTGAGGGCATGGACCATGTCTCCTGCTTCTTATGCATCACTATAGTGTTGGTGACCAGCTCTAAAATTACTGGGTAGTGTTCTTAGTTGTGCTCAGTCTCTTCATTTGTGATCATTGTTTCTTCCCAAGCCCGCCCTGTGAAGCCTGAATTATGCTGATTCTAACTTTACCCTTCAGCTCATACCAGGGCACTATCATCCAGGGGTAAAGTTCATGGGCATGCTTGAGAAATGCCCACAGTAATGAAAACAATCTGCTCAAACTCCACATCATTCTTCCAACATACATGTGCATGTGTGCACACACACACACCACCACCACCAGTCTTTGTATCTAGGTGAATGCAAACACAAATGAATTTTAAGGGCATCCTTGAAGGGGGAAACAAATATCAAATACAATATGGAGTCCGAGGAGGGTGAGTGAAAAAGAGGAAGTGACAGCATATTACACTTCTTGCCTTAGGGTATTACCAGCACAACAGCAGCCAGCATCTCTCTCCCGGAGCCATTTGTATCTGTGAGTCAGGTAGAAAGTGCAGCAACGTGGATCCCACCTGTGGGAGGCAACCTCCGTCTCCTGGGTTCAAGCAATTCTTCTGCCTCAGACTCCTGAGTAGCTGGGATTACAGGCATGCACCACCATGCCCGGCTAATTTTTTAAACCAGCAAAATAGTTTGATTTTAAAATAGTCATCAATGTGAAAATTTCGGCCAGGCACGGTGGCTCACACCTGTAATCCCAGCACTTTGAGAGGCCGAGGTGGGTGGATCACGAGGTCAGGAGATGGAGACCATCCTGGCTAACACGGTGAAACCCTGTCTCTACTAAAAAAAAGAACAAAAAAAGTAGCCGGGAGTGGTGGCGGGCACCTGTAGTCCCAGCTACTCAGGAGGCTGAGGCAGGAGAATGGCATGAACCCGGGAGGCGGCGCTTGCAGTGAGCCAAGTTTGCACCACCGCACTCCAGCCTGGGCGAAACAGCGAGACTCCATCTCAAGGAAAAAAAAAAAAAGTAAAATTTCCTAAAGCTGGGAGTAACAGTCTAGAGCCAAGGTTGGGGGGAGGGGGGCAGGCCTCACCCAGAGCCCAGCTTGAGGACCCTGAACCCCACCTTCCCTTCCAGAGGGAGGGAAGAAACAGCTGAGGAGAGCCCTCAGTCAGTCCTCTCCCTCCTCCCTGAGGCCAGCTGTGCCAAGGCCCCTTGAGGCCAACAGCCCATGCAAAGAATTGGGGGGAAGGGAGACAGGTAAGAAACAGAAATTAGAGGTTAATAACTCCAACAACACCCACCCCCAAGAAAACAAAATAACAAACTTGACTATGAAAGGAGGATGGAAGATGAATACTGATAAACTCCTCAGCTCCCCAGAACAGCTCAGTTTGGGCTGGGTTGGGCTGATTGGAGGAAAGCTCTTGAGACCCAACTGCATGTTACCTCTGGAGAATAAGTATTCTAAGAAAAGGGGAAAACCATGAGGCAAGCCTCTGTGTCACAGTCAACGCAGCTGACAGGCCTGGTGCAGCCCACCGCCCAACCCCACTCACACAGGGAACAGCTGTGCAGGTCTGGATAGAGAAGAGGTCAAGGGCTTGGACTGGGGACCCTGAGCTGCCAAGGTGTGGGGCCTCCTTGCAGTCCCGGTGCAGCAATGGCAGGAAGGCCAGCAGAGGCCCTAGTAGAGCTGGTTGCCCTGCTGCTGGGCCTGCGTCAGGCTGTCCTTGCAGTGCAGGTGGTGAACCCCCATTCTTTTGGGGCTGCACTGGGGGTGGCTGGAGCTGGGGAGTGGCCAGGCCCTGCGCTCAGTGTGGGAAGTGCCAGGACCCTCCTCTGTGACACTGTTAATGAGCAGCAGGCTCTGGCGCTCTTCCTCAGGGCGGATGGGCAGGTTCAGCTCTTCTTCCTCCTCCCTGGGAAAGCCAGAGTCAGGTTCTGTGGGAAGCAAAAGCCCACTCTCTTTGGTTCGGGGAGAAGGTGCCTGGACCACCTAATCTCTGTCAGCGGAGTTATGGGCAAAACGGTGCTGCAGCTCAGGGAGGGTGTCACTCTTAAAGGCTGTGACCTGGGCCACAGCAGCAGGTGGCAGAGTATGGTCCACAAATGCCCACTGCCAGCTGACCAGCAGGTCCTTTTCAGAGCTAACAGACCTGGCTGGGGCACTGAGTGTTGGGAGCACTGAGCTGGGCTGGTGGTTGAGTGAGGCCTAGGCTGAGGCAGGGGCACTGAGCACTGGGCTGGGGCAGGCCCACTCACTCCCTTCCCCCACCAGGCTCAGCGAAATGGCCTGGCGGGTGGTGTAAGTGCAGTTGGGCAGGGGGCTGTTGCAGGGGATCCAAACTTTATCCTTGGAGAACTCTATTACCCTGCAGCCAGGATACAGTGGGAGTGGTGGAGATGGGGTGGGGTAGGGGCTCAGCTTCTCAAAGGCTGGCAGGGGCAGCTCTTCCTCTGGGGAGCCCCCAGCAGTATCCAGAGAGTGACACTCCCCATTGGGTTGGGGGGTGGGGCTGCCAGGGGCCGGGGGACTGGCTGGATCGCCTGGGGCACCCTCACTGATGTCCACATGCACAAAGACATCTTCAGCCATAGGGTGCCCAGCGCTGCCTGACCGGGCTGAATTCAGCAGTAGAGACTCTGGCTTCTCTAACACTCGGGCAATGACCAAAGTAGGCACAACAGCCGCTGGGGCTAGGCTGGGAGCAGGACCCGGGCTGGCGGCCTCTTGTCCACTATGCAGATGTTTCTGAACCATGTCGTGTAGCTCACAGGACAGATCGGAGAACTCATAGTTTCGGAAGTGGGACTGGCTGCACTTGAGGAGCTGCACAGCCAGGTTGCAATCCCCCTGGTACCGCTCGCTGAGCTCCTCCAGCTTGTTGATGGTGTTCTTGGCATCCAGCAGCTTGTTGGTCAGCTCCACGATCTCCCAGTCCAGCGTCTGCCTATCCATCTCAGCCTTCTTGAGCAGTGTGTGCAGCTTGTCCTCCAACTCCTGGTTGGTCTGCTGGGAAGCCATGTAGCTGTTCTGCAGCCTGCAGAACTTATCCTTAAAACTTGTCCAGCTCCTTGCGGCTCTGGCGCAGCTCCAGCTCTAGGCAGTCCTGCCCAATTTCCAGCTTACATTCCAGGACCTCAGTGCATCTCGTGGCCGAGGCCAGGCACCGACAAAGCTCTTCATTATCCTGCTGCGAGAGCTTCATCCTTTCCAAGTCAGTCAGGGATTCCTCCTGCTCAAACCTGGATCCAGGAATTTCCAGTCGCAGCTCCCAATGCTCTGGTGGTGCCTTACGGTAGGGTTTCTTAGCAGGGGCTGCACTGGTTATTCTGGGAGGTGACACCTCCTCCACCTGCGACTGTTGTCAGCAGCTCTCTCTGTTCCACCATCCGGGAGTTAGCCCCCAGCTCTCCGCATCCCACGGCCCCTCCACTTCCTTTAGCCAACAGCTCTTTCTACCACTGCCAGCTGCGTTCAGGCCACCATCTCGCTGTGGGGCAGGCCGCATAGGAGCCAGGGCTGCGGGAATCCCCATGCACTTGGCACCTGGCGTCATCGGGGGTGGGGCCCCTTTGTAATTGTTAAACATATTTATGTTTTGTCTCCTCCTGCAGACTGCAGTCTCCTCAAAGGCAGGGACTGTGATGGTGATACTTCTGCATTTACTTCAAGGCCTAGTATAAAAAGGGGCACACGGCTAGGGCTTACTTAAATAAACGTTTGGTTTAGAAACATCTAGAACTGAAGACTAGCAGTGAGTCAGGTAGACAGCTTAACCTAAGATCCTTACATTATTAAGACTTTTTTGGAACACTTACTAATTGCAAAGTATGCATCATCAGAGTGTGATGGAAACCCTTGGCAAAAGATGCCCAAATCCTCTTTTCTTGCAAACCCAAGACACACAACCTATTGCTCACTATGCTGTTTTTCACACACAAAGCTCCACCTGGGCACATCATGGTGGTCTCTTATCAGTGTGGCCCCTGTGAGCTGTGTCTCCAGCAGTGGGGATGGGTTTGGCTGAGCCATCCACAATCCTATACTTGGGTCACAATATTTGTGAATATTACAGGTGAAGCTAGAAGCATAGCTTGGAGAGAAATGCCCACCTTCCACAGAAACCATGCAAAGTTCTCTTGAAGAATCGCCTGGTTTCTAAGGGCCTTCCTATAGCAAGAAGGAAATGAACACATTTTGTAAGAGAGTTTTTGTATATGACTGGCATGATAGTGTGACAAGTCCTGATAAGACCTCCTCAAGCATCATGAGGATCTGTGTGTACAGAACATGGCTCCCAAGCACATGAAGTAAGTGGGATAGGCAACGATCTGTGTACTGCGAACATGCCTCGAGGACTTTTGTACATCCTCTACCTGGTCTGGTCTCTTCCTCCCACCCCTCATTACTAGGTCCTTCTCAGTTTTCAGGCCTCAGCCTAAATGTCACCATCTCCAAGAGATCTATAAGAAAAGCTCCCTTAGTGCCAGACAGTGGGCGCAAGTCAGTGGGTGCAGCGCACCCTGCGCAAGCCGAAGCAGGACGAGGCATCCCCTCACCCGGGAAGTGCAAGGGATCAGGAAGTTCCCTTTCCTAGTCAAAGAAAGGGGTGACAGACGGCACCTGGAAAATCGGGTCACTCCCACCCGAATACTGCGCTTTTCCGACAGGCTTAAAAAACGGCGCACCAGGAGATTATATCCTGCACCTGGCTTGGAGGGTCCTACACCCACGGAGTCTCGCTGATTGCTAGCACAGCAGTCTGAGATCAAACTGCAAGGCGGCAGTGAGGCTGGGGGAGGGGCGTCTGCCATTGCCCAGGCTTGCTTAGGTAAACAAAGCAGCTGGGAAGCTCCAACTGGGTGGAGCAAACCACAGCTCAAGGAGGCCTGCCTGCCTCTGTAGGATCCACCTCTGGGGGCAGGGCACAGACAAACAAAAAGACAGCAGTAACCTCTGCAGACTTAAATGTCCCTGTCTGACAGCTTTGAAGAGAGCAGTGGTTCTCCCAGCATGCAGCTGGAGATCTGAGAACAGGCAGACTGCCTCCTCAAGTGGGTCCCTGACCCCTGACCCCTGAGCAGCCTAACTGGGAGGCACCCCCCAGTAGGGGCAGACTGACACGTCACACGGCCGGGTACTCCTCTGAGACAAAACTTCCAGAGGAATGAGCAGACAGCAGCATTCACGGTTCACGAAAAACCACGGTTCTGCAGACACCGCTGCTGATACCCAGGCAAACAGGGTCTGGAGTGGACCTCTAGCAAACTCCAACAGACCTGCAGCTGAGGGTCCTGTCTGTTAGAAGGAAAACTAACAAACAGAAAGGACATCCACACCAAAAACCCATCTGTACATCACCATGATGAAAGACCAAAAGTAGATAAAACCACAAAGATGGGGAAAAAACAGAGCAGAAAAACTGGAAACTCTAAACAGCAGAGTGCCTCTCCTCCTCCAAAGGAATGCAGGTCCTCACCAGCAATGGAACAAAGCTGGACGGAGAATGACTTTGACGAGTTGAGAGAAGAAGGCTTCAGACGATCAAACTACAAGCTATAGGAGGAAATTCAAACCAAAGGCAAAGAAGTGAAAAACTTTGAAAAAAATTTAGACGAATGTATAACTAGAATAACCAATACAGAGAAGTGCTTAAAGGAGCTGATGGAGCTGAAAGCCAAGGCTCGAGAACTACGTGAAGAATGCACAAGCCTCAGGAGCCGACGCGATCAACTGCAAGAAAGGGTATCAGCGATGGAAGATGAAATGATGAAATGAAGAGAGAAGGGAAGTTTAGAGGAAAAAGAATAAAAAGAAACAAACAAAGCCTCCAAGAAATATGGGACTATGTGAAAAGACCAAATCTACGTCTGATTGGTGTACCTGAAAGGGATGGGGAGAATGGAACCAAGGTGGAAAACACTCTGCAGGATATTATCCAGGAGAACCTGCAGGATATTATCCAGGAGAACTTACCCAATCTAGCAAGGCAGGCCAACATTCAGATTCAGGAAATACAGAGAACGCCACAAAGATACTCCTCGAGAAGAGCAACTCCAAGACACATAATTGTCAGATTCACCAAAGTGGAAATGAAGGAAAAAATGTTAAGGGCAGCCAGAGAGAAAGGTCGGGTTACCCTCAAAGGGAAGCCCATCAGACTAACAGCAGATCTCTCGGCAGAAACTCTACAAGCCAGAAGAGAGTGGGGGCCAATATTCAACATTCTTAAAGAAAAGAATTTTCAACCCAGAATTTCATATCCAGCCAAACTAAGCTTCATAAGTGAAGGAGAAATAAAATACTTTACAGACAAGCAAATGCTGAGAGATTTTGTCACCACCAGGCCTGCCCTAAAAGAGCTCCTGAAGGAAGCACTAAACATGGAAAGGAACAACCAGTACCAGCCACTGCAAAATCATGCCAAAATGTAAAGACCATTGAGACTAGGAAGAAACTGCATCAACTAACGAGCAAAATAAGCAGCTAATATCATAATGACAGGATCAAATTCACACATAACAATATTAACTTTAAATGTAAATGGACTAAATGCTCCAATTAAAAGACACAGACTGGCAAATTGGATAAAGAGTCAAGACCCATCAGTGTGTTCTATTCAGGAAACCCATCTCACATGCAGAGACACATATAGGCTCAAAATAAAAGGATGGAGGAAGATCTACCAAGCAAATGGAAAACAAAAAAAGGCAGGGGTTGCAATCCTAGTCTCTGATAAAACAGACTTTAAACCAACAAAGATCAAAAGAGACAAAGAAGGCCATTACATAATGGTAAAAGGATCAATTCAACAAGAAGAGCTAACTATCCTAAATATATATGCACCCAATACAGGAGGACCCAGATTCATAAAAGCAAGTCCTGAGTGACCTACAAAGAGACTTAGACTCCCACACATTAATAATGGGAGACTTTAACACCCCACTGTCAACATTAGACAGATCAATGAGACAGAAAGTCAACAAGGATACCCAGGAATTGAACTCAGCTCTGCACCAAGCGGACCTAATAGACATCTACAGAACTCTCCACCCCAAATCAACAGAATATACATTTTTTTCAGCACCACACCACACCTATTCCAAAATTGACCACATACTTGGAAGTAAAGCTCTCCTCAGCAAATGTAAAAGAACAGAAATTATAACAAACTATCTCTCAGACCACAGTGCAATCAAACTAGAACTCAGGATTAAGAAACTCACTCAAAACCGCTCAACTATATGGAAACTGAACAACCTGCTCCTGAATGACTACTGGGTACATAACGAAATGAAGGCAGAAATAAAGATGTTCTTTGAAACCAACAAGAACAAAGACACAACATACCAGAATCTCTGGGACACATTCAAAGCAGTGTGTAGAGGGAAATTTATAGCACTAAATGCCCACAAGAGAAAGCAGGAAAGATCCAAAACTGACACCCTAACATCACAATTAAAAGAACTAGAAAAGCAAGAGCAAACACATTCAAAAGCTAGCAGAAGGCAAGAAATAACTAAAATCAGAGCAGAATTGAAGGAAATAGAGACACAAAAAACCCTCCAAAAAATTAATGAATCCAGGAGCTGGTTTTTTGAAAGGATCAACAAAATTGATAGACCACTAGCAAGACTAATAAAGAAGAAAAGAGAGAAGAATCAAATAGATGCAATAAAAAATGATAAAGGGGATATCACCACCGATCCCACAGAAATACAAACTACCATCAGGGAATACTACAAACACCTCTTCGCAAATAAATTAGAAAATCTAGAAGAAATGGATAAATTCCTCAACACATACACTCTCCCAAGACTAAACCAGGAAGAAGTTGAATCTCTGAATAGACCAATAACAGGATCTGAAATTGTGGCAATAATCAATAGCTTACCAACCAAAAAGAGTCCAGGACCAGATGGATTCACAGCCGAATTCTACCAGAGGTACAAGGAGGAACAGGTACCATTCCTTCTGAAACTATTCCAATCAATAGAAAAAGAGGGAATCCTCCCTAACTCATTTTATGAGGCCAGCATCATCGTGATACCAAAGCCTGGCAGAGACACAACCAAAAAAGAGAATTTTAGACCAATATCCTTGATGAACATTGATGCAAAAATCCTCAATAAAATACTGGCAAAACGAATCCAGCAGCACATCAAAAAGCTTATCCACCATGATCAAGTGGGCTTCATCCCTGAGATGCAAGGCTGGCTCAATATATGCAAATCAATAAATGTAATGCAGCATATAAACAGAACCAAAGACAAAAACCACATGATTATCTCAATAGATGCAGAAAAGGCCTTTGACTAAATTCAACAACCCTTCATGCTAAAAACTCTCAATAAATTAGGTATTGATGGGACGTATTTCAAAATAATAAGAGCTATCTATGACAAACCCACAGCCAATATCATACTGAATGGGCAAAAACTGGAAGCATTCCCTTTGAAAACTGGCACAAGACAGGGATGCCCTCTCTCACCACTCCTATTCAACATAGTGTTGGAAGTTCTGGCCAGGGCAATCAGGCAGGAGAAGGAAATAAAGGGTATTCAATTAGGAAAAGAGGAAGTCAAATTGTCCCTGTTTGCAGACGACATGATTGTATAGCTAGAAAACCCCATTGTCTCAGCCCAAAATCTCCTTAAGCTGATAAGCAACTTCAGCAAAGGCTCAGGATACAAAATCAATGTACAAAAATCACAAGCATTCTTATACACCAACAACAGACAAACAGAGAGCCAAATCATGAGTGAACTCCCATTCACAATTGCTTCAAAGAGAATAAAATACCTAGGAATCCAACTTACAAGGGATGTGAAGGACCTCTTCAAGGAGAACTACAAACCACTGCTCAAGGAAATAAAAGAGGATACAAACAAATGGAAGAACATTCCATGCTCATGGGTAGGAAGAATCAATATCGTGAAAATGGCCATACTGCCCAAGGTAATTTACAGATTCAATGCCATCCCCATCAAGCTACCAATGCCTTTCTTCACGGATTTGGAAAAAACTACTTTAAAGTTCATATGGAACCAAAAAAGAGCCCGCATCACCAAGTCAATCCTAAGCCAAAAGAACAAAGCTGGAGGCATCACACTACCTGACTTCAAACTATACTACAAGGCTACAGTAACCAAAACAGCATGGTACTGGTACCAAAACAGAGATATAGATCAATGGAACAGAACAGAGCCCTCAGAAATAACGCCGCATATCTACAACTATCTGATCTTTGACAAACCTGAGAAAAACAAGCAATGGGGAAAGGATTCCCTATTTAATAAATGGTGCTGGGAAAACTGGCTAGCCATATGTAGAAAGCTGAAACTGGATCCCTTCCTTACACCTTATACAAAAATCAATTCAAGATGGATTAAAGAGTTAAACGTTAGACCTAAAACCATAAAAACCCTAGAAGAAAACCTAGGCATTACCATTCAGGACATAGGCATGGGCAAGGACTTCACGTCTAAAACACCAAAAGCAATGGCAACAAAAGACAAAACTGACAAATGGGATCTAATTAAACTCAAGAGCTTCTGCACAGCAAAAGAAACTACCATCAGAGTAAACAGGCAACCTAGAAAATGGGAGAAAATTTTCGCAACCTATTCATCTGACAAAGGGCTAATACCCAGAATCTACAATGAACTCAAACAAATTTACAAGGAGAAAACAAACAACCCCATCAAAAAGTGGGTGAAGGACATGAACAGACACTTCTCAAAAGAAGACATTTATGCAGCCAAAAGACACATGAAAAAATGCTCATCATCACTGGCCATCAGAGAAATGCAAATCAAAACCACAATGAGATACCATCTCACACCAGTTAGAATGGCAATCATTAAAAGGTCAGGAAACAACAGGTGCTGGAGAGGATGTGGAGAAATAGGAACACTTTTACACTGTTGGTGGGACTGTAAACTAGTTCAACCATTGTGGAAGGCAGTGTGGCGATTCCTCAGGGATCTAGAACTGGAAATACCATTTGACCCAGCCATCCCATTACTGGGTATATACCCAAAGGACTATAAATCATGCTGCTATAAAGACACATGACACGTATGTTTATTGCAGCATTATTCACAATAGCAAAGAGTTGGAACCAACCCAAATGTCCAACAATGATAGACTGGATTAAGAAAATGTGGCACATATACACCATGGAATACTATGCAGCCATAAAAAATGATGGGTTCATGTCCTTTGTAGGGACATGGATGAAATTGGAAATCATCATTCTCAGTAAACTATCGCAAGAACAAAAAACCAAACACCGCATATCCTCACTCATAGGTGGGAATTGAACAATGAGATCACATGGACACAGGACGGGGAATATCACACTCTGGGGACTGTTGTGGGGTGGGGGGAGGGGGGAGGGATAGCATCGGGAGATATACCTAATGCTAGATGACGAGTTTGTGGGTGTAGCACACCAGCATGGCGCATGTATACATATTTAACTAACCTGCACAATGTGCACATGTACCCTAAAACTTAAAGTATAATAAAAAAAATTTAAAAAAAGAAGTTTTAAATCCTGCTGCTCTGATAACATCCAAGTGTTTATTAATTTTTGTTTAATATACTACTATGGACATACCTCAAAAAAAAAAAAAAGAAAATGTGGCACATATACACCATGGAATACTATGCAGCCATAAAAAATGATGAGTTCATGTCCTTTGTAGGGACATGGATGAAGTTGGAAATCATCATTCTCAGTAAACTATCGCAAGAACAAAAAACCAAACACCACATATTCTCACTCATAGGTGGGAATTGAACAATGAGAACACACGGACACAGGAAGGGGAACATCACACTCTGGGGACTGCTGTGGGGTGGGGGGAGGGGGGAGGGATAGCATTGGGACATATACCTAATGCTAGTTGACGAGTTAGTGGGTGCAGCACACCAGCATGTCACATGTATACATATGTAACTAACCTGCACATTGTGCACATGTACCCTAAAACTTAAAGTATAATAACAATAATAATAAAAAAAGAAAAGCTCCCTTACCAACATTCCTCATTTCCACTTGCTTTCACAGCATTTCCCATAATTTGTAATTTTAAAGATATATTTATTAACTCATTTTGTCTGTATCACCATACTTAGAGTTCAATAAACTCCAGTGAAGACAAGGCCATCCATGCCTGTTTCACTCACCTACTATATCCCGCACAGGACTTGGCACAGCTAGTACTCCAAAAATTCTTGGAATAAAGTATTATAAGACCATGTGACAGAGCAGAAAACACAGAGAATTTCAAGTCAGCTGAGCTGGGCTCCAGTTGTAGTGTGGTCATTTCCTAGCTGTGTGATGTCAGACAAATCACTTAACCTCTCTGAGCCTCATTTTTCTCATTCTTATCTGAATTAATATCACCCACCTCACAGTGCTTCTTAGGGGGGGGAAATAAAATAATTAATGAAAAAGTATTTGGTAGAGTCCTGAACAGACATGAATTATTTTGGTATTATGAAAGATGCCTGAAATAGTACCCGTGCTTTGTCTCTAGGATGCCCTAGAAGCACCTGAAAACTGTACCATCAGTCACACCTTTGGATCAATGCTATGGAAGACACATACTACATTGAAAACTATTGTGTACCTTTAATATGGGCATTTGACCTTATCATTCACCTGTTGTATTAGTCCAGTCTCACACTGCTATAAAGAAATATCCAAGACTGGGTAATTTATAAAGGAAAGAGGTTTAATTGACTCACAGTTCTGCATGGCTGGGGAGAGCTCGGGAAACTTACAATCATGGCAGAAGGCAAAGCAGAAGCAGGCACCTTCTTCACAAAGTGGCAGGAGAGAGACGTGAGAGTGCAGGAAAAAGCTACCACTTTTAAAACCATGAGATCTCGTGAGAATTCACTCACTGTCACAAGAACAGCATGGGGGAAACCACCCCCATAATCCAATCATTTCCCTCCCTTGACTTGTGGGGATTACAGGTCCCTCCCTCAACACGTGGGGATTATAATTCAAGATGAGATTCGGGTGGGGGCACAGAGCCAAACCATATCAGCTGTCTTAGCATTGACTTAGCTGACAGCAGGGCCCGGGCTAGGCAATTTGAGGAAAGGGGTGATGGGAAGACAATCTTGAGATGCCTTAAGCTTGCAAGACTTCTAGAGAGTAAATTCAGGCCAGAAGAGGGGCAACTACATGGTGTGGGTGGGGGGGCGCCCTGGTGAGGCCTAGGGGAAGTCAAGTTGTTAGGCAGAGGGAAGACATAGAAAGGGAGGTGGAGGGGTCAGCTACAAACTTTCTCTACTTGGCCTGTGTGTATATCAGAGACACTTAACTTTACAAAAACCATGTATGTGCATTGGAGAGAGGGGAGGAATGCCAAAGAGCAGGAAACGGACACCAAGGGAGCTGTACTTAATCATAATAACCATTAGTATTGACTTTGGTGCCATCTTAAAGGAGCCATTTGTTATAAGAACCAACAGTCAAAACCCCAAGCCAGCCAGGCTTTGTCTTATGAGCTCTAAAAATAATGGTATTTTGCTGTTCATCTGTTTTAATTTTCCAAATTCAAATGCAATTTGAAATCCATTCAAAAATTGATTTCTTTCTTCTAAACAAAGAGACATTAAAAGGAGAAAGGAAGGAAGGAAGAAAAAAGGACAGACAGGCTAGGCTTTTTAGTGACTCACATCATAATACCCCAAAAGCCGGAGCCCAAAGCAGTAATTATTTCCCTACCTAAGAAGTATGAAAGGAAAATGGGTGATAATTATGAACACACGAACAATATATAAAACCTCTCTAGAGCCGGGGCCAGCAAATCACTTACCTGCAGTTTCAACAACAACATATAAAAGCAGAAAGAAACACAGTTAAGGTCAATTGGCTCCTGGTTTTTAAAGTACCATCTCATTTTAATCAGCTCCCCATGCTATTCTGTGTCTTCAGCTGGAAAACTGGCTAAGAGAGATTAGAGTTGTTTGCTCTTTTTTAAGCAGCTTCAAAACAAAGTGGAAACAGTTGAGTGATCTTGCAGTTAAGACAGCTTGGAAAAGGTCAGCAGACGATTTCCCAGCCAGGCCTTTTGAGGGTGTCTGCATTTAGGTAGAGTCACCACAATCCAAGTTCTGGCATTCTACCTTACAAGATCTTGCTTCTGTCAATTTTCCCAGCCTCCGGGCACTGATACAATAGCAAAACTCACAATAAACAGACATAACCTGGACCTCCAAGATATTCATACATGATGGTGGGATGAATCTATCCAACAACGAGAATACTTGGGCCCACTATTTAGTTCTTCAGGAAAGAAACTGAACACATAAAGCAACTCTATAGAAGTGAAAATGAAGATGAACTGCATCCATATAAACCTAGGTTCAAGGATTCATGTAACTTAATTCTTTGGACCTTGGTTTTCTTACCTGTATAAAAGAGAATATTGATCACTTAGCATTGTTTTGTATATTTGAAATCACTTTCATGAGCTGGAGAGTATAGTACAAATGGAAGTGGTTGTTTTTGGCAATAAGAAGGCAGTTTTGTGCACATAAAATCTGAGAAGAGGGAACTGGAGAGTTCTATGGGGAATTTTATCCCACTCCACTAGATCCTCAAAAATTCCATACTGCACTATAGAGATCACCTTTCTAAGGACTCAGAGTCACCACACATAGTGTTTGTCCTTTGGACCCAGCTGAAGATGTTGAGAAATCTCTGATTTGTATCTAGCTTGCCTTTTTCAAAATTTCTTATTAGACACCAACAGCTTCCATCATCCTGATATCTCATGAAGCATATGTGGAAATCAGTGATATTTCATATATCTCCCATGAATTACCTCTGAGATGGAGGCCTTCCTGGGGACTTTTCCCAACCTTGGCAGCTTACACCTTCATGCATCTGTCTGAGGGGTGCTGCTGCAAGAATTACACTTACCTACACTGGGAAGATTCATGTGGCCTTTCATTTAAGGGGGATCCGTTTTCTTACCAGATCCACAAATTCTGTATATGTCCCTCTGTTGAGAGCAACAAGGAATTCTCCCTTAGAGCCAGGAGAGGGAGAGGTGAAATTGGGGAGTGGCAGTGATCACACAGAAAGGATGGTTCTAGGTCACTGGGGAGCTAATCACTTCTCTGGGCCAGTGAAACCCGGGCAGGGTTTGCTACAGGAAGAAGCAGAATGCCAGGAAACAAGAAGGCTCGGAGGCAAATTTCAGAAACCAGAGTGATAATCCCAACAGGAACTTCCCACTTTCCTTGGAATCAAATTTAAGCTTCCTATCATGGTCCATGAGACCCTGAGTGATCTGAACTCTGCTTGCTTCTCCATCTTCAAATCATGTACTCACGCCTGCTCCATTCACAATGGCTTTCTTTCTGTTCCATAGACCTGTCCACTCATTCCAGGCTTAGAGCCTTTGTACCTTACTTCCGTCTGGGGTTCTCTTCTCCCATATGCTTGCCTGAATGAGTCTTTCCCATCACTCAGGTTTCAGCTCAAATGTCACCTCCTCAGAGAGACCTTCTTTGATGACCTTTCTACTAATGTTGCCCATTCCATCAGCCACTCTCTGTCCCATTGCCATGTTTTATTTTCTTAATGTCACTTACCTGACATTATAGTACTTTTTTTTTGTTTATTATCTGATCTCCTTCAATGAGAGATAGAACAAGAAACCACAATAGGTGAGATTAAGGAACTGTAAGTCAAAACTTTTAATAGACTGTCGGGATAGACAAATGCTGAAAGCCAGGGAAGAAATGTCTTGTCTTGTGCATGTGTATAAGCAGACTGGATCGATTTAAATAGACTGGGGTCAACAGGATGTAACCTGCATCAAATACCTACTATATACCAGCCACTTTTCATATATTATCATCACAGGTTTGCAAAAGATTGAACACCATGTTGATGGCTCCAAGGAATACTCATTCCCTGCTTCCTTATGTCCATGGAGGAGAGGGACAACGGCTCCAATGCCTAGGAGGGAACTGAGCTAGAATTCTACATTTGCTGCTCTCCACGACAGGATGGGCAAACTTAACCAGAAGGTAGTGTCATTTCATTGAAAGAATAAATGCGGGTCTGTCTCTTTTCTTTCTAGCATTTTTCAGCTCCTGATCTCCATTTTGTAAGACCATCTGAGTGAGGACTCTCAATTGCAAAAGAGGTCTTCCATTCTCCAGCTTCTAAGACTACAGCTAATTTTAATTTGGGGTAGTCAGAAGTCTCATGCCTAAACCTTAACCTTGGGTCGATCTTTAACAGAGAATCTTGTCTTTTAGATATAAGCAGAGAGATGGTAGAATGTGTGGACTTAGACCACTAGGGTTTTCATCCTGGCTTTGCCACCTACTGTGTGACTGTGGATAAGCTGTTCAAGATTTCTGTCCCTAAATTTCTTCCTCTCTATATTGAAAATATTAATCATATTTACCTCATAGGTATAAAGATTAGGTAATATGATACAAATAAATATCTAGAAAACCATTAATAAATTTTAGTTATTGTTACTAATACAAATACTAAAGAGGAGACATTGATCTACATCTAATTCCTTGTGTTTGTTCTCAATTGGTTAGAGCCAAGCAGGGTAGACAGGTAGACAGACTAGCCTCAAAAATCTTCAACATGGCCCAGAAAACTTAGTAAATAAACACAAAGAGTGTTATTTGTGGACCAAAGCATTATGTTAAGAGACCAAATTTCGTGGTGAGCCTCACTAGCACTGGGGTTTGGAGCTTTAAATATGGCTTCGTCTGGTCTCTCAGGTTTCGGTATGGGTCCATGATATGCAAGTAAAGACTTTTATTTGGGGTGTCTGGGGCCTTACCGGGATTTAGCCTTGGACAGAGATAAAAGTGAGCTCCAGAGTCAGAAGAAGCACTCTGGGGTCTTTAGACTACAAAAGAAGTAGAATTTTTATGAGTTCAAGAATCCCATGGGAAGAGGGCAAAGTCCTTACTAGAGTTAGGTATGGCTTACCTGGAAACCAGAAGACCACTGAAGCTAGTATAAGCATTAGCTGATCTCTAGTATGTGAGATTAGGCAACAGATTCTTCTTGTTTACTTGTTTAGGAGGAATTCCCCTTGTTATAATTCTCAGCTAGGAATATAGCCTAAGGCTTTAAACCACAATAGCAGCTAGATTTCTTATGAGTTAAAGAGAAATAATGTAAAATTTGGGGGCTTTAAATTGTTAGTGTTGGGTGGCTTTATATCAGCTGCCAAATTCTATCCCCCTTGATCTTGACTGAAACAGCATGTAGTACCAGGGAAGCCTCAGAGGGACAAATTTTGGATCTGTTTGGAAGGTCCACAGAATCCTGGGAGTCTCTTTTTCCACCTTCCATTCAAATTACCTATTCAGGAGGATGAGGGCTTCTTGTTTTATAATTAACAAAGATAAACGGTCTTTTTTTGATATGTTCTCCAAGAGCCCTACTATCATAGGTAGTGAGTGGTGGCCAGTTACTCTAGCACTGCTTCTTCCTTGTTCTTCTACCTCTCCCATCTCTCTTCCCAGCCTTTGCCATCCACTTACTCTACTGATCCCAAACTGTGAATATTCCTCAAGTATTTGGTTTTGTTTACTTTGCTATTTTCTGCCTTGTGCTCAGTAAGCTTAGCCACTCCCAAAGGTTTAGCTCTCTCCATCATGCAGATGACTCTCCTATTGGGTCCTACCTGCACTGTGTTTCGGATCTGCATTCACACCTTCTACATGCAATAATATGCTGTTAAGTGTTTAATAATTGGCTCATGGCAGTGGGTGCAAGGCAGACTCTGATTTCTAGCTTTTGCCAATTTCCATGCTATCAATATTCCAACCGTGGCCAATTTCAAGCTACTAATATGAGGACACCGAACACAGAGTTGAAAAGACATGTGCACAATTGGCTCTCCTGAGCCAGAACAACCCAGATCCCCACATCACTGTGGCTATAGGTAACCTCCACTTGGATGTCCTGCTGTCTCCTCAAACTCCACACCTTCCAAGATTAGCATCTCTCCGCCAACCTTCTCTTCCAAATTACTTTATCTCTGTCAGTGGTATCTGTTAGAAGGAAATTGCATTCCCCAGGCCTCCTGTTTTCCTGATTGAGCCACCACTAGCATAACACGCCTGGCTTTTCTGGGGCCCCTCATTCCCTTTTCCTCAAGGTGTGACTTAACTTACTAGTGAGGCTGATGAAGAAACTATACAACTCCATTCCATCTGTTGAGAGGTCAGAAGACTTCAGCCTGTGAACCAAATCTAGCTCATCACCTGTTTTTGTAAATAAAGTTTTACTAGAACACAGCCACGCTTGTTCCATTACCAACTGTCTGTGGTTGCTTTCACACCACAGCATCGGGGGCAAGTAGTTGTGACAGAGATCAACCATTTAGCCTGCAAAACCTAAAATATTTACTATCTGGCTTTTTGCACTAAAGGTTGGCTGATCCCTGTTCTGCAGCTTTCTCTTTCACCTCTGCCTGCCCTGAAAGAGTGTTTTAGGTTGCTCTCAGCCATATGGGAATCTTACAGGATGACCTGTGCTCCTGGAGGGGGAGGCTACAGTTGTCCTGGTGTGCCAATTACTATATGGGGAAATCTGCATAATTCACAGGACACTAATAATCACATCTTGAACTTCATTTACTTACTGTCTCAATTCTCACTTGGTTCAGAACTCAGGAGAGGAACAAAGAGGTATTACTTATTTCTCCCTAAAACCTAACAATACTGCCTATTTTCTGATTTTCCAAGTTCAAAATCCTGATGTACTCTTATATTCTTCACCCTTTCATCCATGTTATCCTGGCATGTGTCCCTACAAAATATCCCTCAGATCTTGTTCTCATCCCAGCTTCCATCACCACACATAACTGGATTACCTCAGCCTCCTCCCACCCCTACTCCTACATCCTTAATTGATCTTTCTGCCTGTAGCCTTTCCTCACTCAACTAGCTCTGTAGTAGGCACTGGAGGTAGAGATGAGTAAGTGATTGTCCTACAAGGAATTTACATTCTTTGAGGGAAAAAGGCAAAGGCAAATAAACAGGCAATTGTAGCACAGTGTGAGAAATACTAGGTACGGTATTGCCAGATCAATCCTACTGTAATACCACTTTTATCATGCTGTTCCCCCGCATAAAAACTTATGCCACCTACTGCCTGCTAACTAAAGCCTATTTCTGTGCAAACAAGGGAAGAGAGATCACTTTTGGGTTTGGGGCTTTTCTGGGGGTTGGGGTAATTGCTGTTTCTTAGAACTTTAAATTCTTTTTGAGAACAGAGATACACACACTAAT
Organism: Homo sapiens; assembly: GCF_000001405.40. Taxonomy (NCBI): domain Eukaryota; kingdom Metazoa; phylum Chordata; class Mammalia; order Primates; family Hominidae; genus Homo; species Homo sapiens. The sequence continues at coordinate 129,058,177 of NC_000023.11, forward strand.
GGGAAGAACGTTTAAGTGTTGACTTTTACTGGGTGGGAGCCAACTTGGGGCAATGCATACATTGTTATCGCTGCAGAAGGTACTCTAATATGGCTATGTATAATAAAAATGAGAAATAAAAAGTACAGGGCAGCTTTCTGTCCCAGTTTGGTCACTTTAATCAAAGTAACTCTCTGTATAGAACAATTTCAGAAGCTTAAGAAAGGGGGCACACATGAAAGACAGTACCAAAAGATTCAAGGGCCAAAACTTCCATCCTACTGGGACCAGGTGGCAAGAATTGGAAAAGCAGCCTCACACAGATGCAGAGGTAAGATTTTTTGGAGTCTTCACTGGGTTCTTCCATTAAAGGAAAGAACAAGGCTACTGAGTGACCACAGGCTGGATTACTAACCCTCTTGGGTAAACAGAGCAATAAATTGTGGTGCAGTAGTGACTTTGACCTATGACCTCAAAGGACAGCTCAAGGTTTTCTCTCCAGTCTCTTAAGTCTAGGACACAGAAACTCCTGTTAAGGCTGAAAGTTAAAATGGCCTCTAAGAACCCAATCTGTCTACCTTGTCAGAAGGTGCAACTCCTAGTGGCGGAGTGAGGTTCTAATCTTAATTATGCAGAGACTTGAAAATTACTGTTAGTCAGGCACATCTCCACATTACTCCCTCTTCATCTTCTCAATTCCATCCCTTTCAGTGTTATTTCTCACTACTGGAAATGTCTTCTCCCTCCTTCATCTCTACCTATCCAATCCTAGCACAATTCCACCTCCCCAGATACCAGTGTACTTACAATCAATACTATGCAATTTAACATTTAATTGTTCTCTAATCCTTTCATGATGCCTACATTAATCACTCCCAGGAATTAAGACATTAATGTTATTTTTAAGATGAAAATTATCTAGTTTATTGTAGGTGCTCCATAAACACTTGACAAGTTAAATTACAAAGTTGGTACTTTGGAAAAAGATTAGGAAATCGTGCAAATGTGCCTCAACAACTAGGCCATTACCAGTCATTACAAACAAAACACCATTGTCTTACAATTTGGTGGTTTGTAGACCATGGATTTTACTGCCAGACAACCTGGATTCAAATCCCAGTTCCACTGCTTGCTAGCTGTGTGAGCTTAGAAGGTCACTTAACCACTCTGGGCCTTGGCTTATTCATCTGTATAATGGGTGTAAGAAGAACTATCAACCTCATAGGTTATTGAGAGGATTTAATACATATGTATAAATTATTTAACAGAATGACTATAAGTGTTGGCTTACATTGTAAGTGTTGGCTGGTAATATTATTTTAAATTGTTTTATCATATCAACTAAACAGGGCCTCCTAGAAATAGGACACAAAACATATACAGTATTCTGATGGAAGGAATCACTAAGAAAAGGGCAAAACACAGACAGAAGCATGGAAAGGGCAAGTTCAAGGGAGGAGCCATACAGAGGGGCCCTAGAGGTCTGTGAAAAGACATACTATGAATGAAGACTCCTAAATTTGGAGCACTTAACACAAATTTCTCCAGCTTCACAGGTTTATCTTTGGCTGGTTCTCACAGTGACTGGAGTACTTCAGTTTGGTCCAAGTTTTACTCTAAGATAAAGAAAAGCTAACACTGCACTTTTGAAAGACTCCATTTGGTTTATTAAGTAATTAACTTCCTGATGCACAAAGGACAAAGCACTGAGGGGCCCTATGAAGCCAATTAAAGCCCAAATGGCTGGATTGCTGCAAAGAATGGGTACATGGGGAAAAGCCTTGCCTTTCTCATGCTACCTCCCACCAATCTACTAATTAGACTGGGGAGACAAAGAGCGGATGATGAGGAAGCCAGGAAATGCCAACCTGAAAGATGCTGGGAGGCCTGGGAACCAAAAGGAAATAAGGTAAAGCTCAGGGCATTCCTCAGTGAGTGTTAAGCAGGAACCAGGTGTTATAGTTTGGATATTTGTCCCCTCCAGATCTCATTTTCAAATGTGATCTCCAGTGTTGGTAGTGGGGCAGGTGTTTGGGTCATGGGAGAGGATCTCTCATGAAGAACTTAGTGCCCTCTCCATGGTAATGAGTTCATGGGAGAGCTGATTGTTTAAAAGAGCCTCGCGTCTCCCTTGCTCCCTCTCTTACCACGTGACATGATGGCTCCCCTTCCCTTCTGTAATGAGTAAAAGCTTCCTGAGGCCTCACGAGAAGCCAAGCAGATGTTGGTGACATGCTTGTACAGCCTGTAGAACTATGAGCCAAATAAACCTCTTTTCTTTATAAATTACCCAGCCTCAACTATTCCTTTATAGAAATGCAAAATGGACCAATACACCAGGCAGGTACAAAGCAATTTATTCCCTTTCCATATTATTTGAAATTATATTTTGATACATATTGAAAGCTCTTTGAGTTGTGAAACCATTTCTTATTCATTTCCCTTTTTTCACTCGTGTCTAACACAATGCCTGCAGAAAGTAAGTGTTCAATATGGGTTTTTGTTGTTATTGTTTTCTTTTTGTTTGTTTTTTAGAGACGAGGTCTTGCTATATTGCCTAGGCTGGTCTGGAACTCCTGGTCTCAAGCAGTCCTCTTACCTTGGTCTCCCAAAGTGCTAGCAGTGCAGGCATGAACCACTGCACCTGGCCCCAGTACAGGTTTATTGAATTGAAATATGTTTGCATGTCAAAAATGGATAAGGATGGGAGAAGAACCTCTCTGAGTCTCTATTTTCCATTTGTAAAATGGCAGAATAGGCTGGGCGAGGGGTTCACGCTTGTAATCCCAGCACTTTGGGAGGCTGAGGTGGGCGGATCACTTGAGGTCAGGAGTTCAAGACCAGCCTGGCCCACAAGGCGAAATCCTGTCTCTACTAAAAAATATACAAATTAGCCGGGCATGGTGGCACGTGCCTATAATCCTAGCTAATCAGAAGGCTGAGGCAGGAGAATTGCTTGAGCCCAGGAGGTGAAGGTTGCAGTGAGCCGAGATTGTGCCACTGTACTCCAGCCTGGGCGACTGAGTGAGACTCCATTTCAAAAATTAAAAATTAAAAAAAAAAAAAGCAGAATACCAATAGACCCTACCTCATTAGATTTTGAGACCTAGTCAAGTTAACACTTATACTTAGGAAACATACCTGACAATAGTAAGCACTTTATACATTTCAGGAATTATTTCTAAGAGAATTAAATAAAATTAAATGAGATGGAATGTATACAGCAGGGGCCACAGCATTTCTAATTAGGACTCAGACACATTTGGGTAAATCTGGTACGAACTTTAAAAATTCCTAAAGGGCCTATTTTGATGTGGTCTGGGAAGGCTTCTGGAGGAGAATCATGGTAAGGGAAGGAATAAGGTATATTGACCTTGATAAGGGATGGAATGGGAGTGTTGAAACAGCTTAAGTCATCAGGGATCCTAAGCACTGTGAAGTATCTGCCATTTGGCTCTATTTCCTAGCCCAATCCCACACGGCCTATGACAGAATAGGGAGTGATGGAACAGTTAAGGATGTTCAAGAGTATTAGTGAAAGCTGTGAAGGGGAAAAGGGTGCTGAGATAAGTAACTTTGGAGGTGAGTGGGGACTGTAAGAGTTAAGGCAAAAGGAACTGCACAGGAGCACCATGCTCTATTAGTTGTTTCCCATGGGGTATGGGTTAACAATTCTGATACTGCTGTACATGTACAGTATACTAGAATTGAACAATTAAGTAAATGAATAGCAGATGGTAAGAGCCAAGTTTCTTGCTGTTGAAATGGATGGTCACAGATGAGCAAGTGGAGAGGCTAGAATAGAGTTGGAAACATCAGTTTAAATTCATGTTTACCTTAACATAGATTTACCAACAAAAAGTACAAAAATTGGAAAAACATGAAAATCAATACACCAAAAAAAGAATACTTGTTTACAGGATGAGAGCCGCAAACAAGAAGGTAGAACATCACCTTGTTCCACCTCAGCTGAGAAGGTTTATATCAGACTACTCAAAGTTTTTGCCACTCTGCACATGTCTGCAAATGAACATGAAGGCACCATAAGTATTGATTTGCAGTTTACAAATAAATTTTAGTAAGTAGGCAAATTCACAAATATGAAATCCATGAATAATAAGGATCGACTACATTAGAGTATAACTTGAAGTTCAAAGTAAATATCCATGAATCTATACTGATATAAATTATTGAATAAATAAATGGGAGGAAACAGACAAATCTCCCATGCAGAAGATTCCAAAAAATTTATGGAGATACTCTACCCTCAAGATACTACCCAATCAACCCAATGAGTTGTACATAGTGACTTCCTTCCAAAGACCACAGTATAGAAAGATATTTTTAAAAGAGTGACTTTACACCAGAGAAGTCAGGTTTCAGTTATTACACTGAAGAAACTTGAAAACTTCAGTCAGGTGATCAAGGTCAATATCAACTTTGATAAGTCATATTGATAGTTTGTACCCTTGATATGAATGATAAGAATGGCACTGCGCCTCTGTGGTTTTCCTTCCCCATACCCAAGTCTAACCATGAGACAAACATTAGACAAATCTCAATTGAGAGAAATTCTACAAAATAACTAACTGGTAGTCCTCAAAATTGTTAAGGTCTTCAAAAGCAAGTAAAGTCTTAGAAACTGTCACAGCCAAGAGGAACCCAAAGAGACACGATAATTAAGTGTAACTTGGTATCCCGGGTGGGATCCTTGGATAGAAAAAAGACATTAGGAAAAACAGGAAATATGAATAATGCATCAACTTAAGTTAATAATAATGCATTAATATTGATTTATTAATTGTGACAAATGTACCATAATTATGTATTAACAATACGGGATACTGAGTATGAGGTATGTGGCAATTCCCTGAAGTAAATCTTAACTTTTCTGTAAATCTAAAAAGATAACTACTCTAAAGTAAAAGGATTATTCAAAAACATTGTAAGGTAATCAGCAGTCCTGCTTTCGGACACTTTCCAATAAAATGTAATTCAAATGAAAAAGACGTATGCTGTTCCTACTTTGAGAAAAATTTTCCAGGTGTTCTGGGGCCATGAACACACCTGTGCTTTGTTGTCAGCACTCAGCAGAAAGGCAACAGGGTGAGAAGGAGAAATCAGATTCCAGCAGAGCAGGAGCGGCACCCAAGAAACAACAGTGCCTCAATGGGAGACAGTAGTTCCAGATGAATGTGTGGTTAATGTCCAACAAAGCAGCAACAGCACATGGCAAGCAAACATGTTCATGATCACATAGGGGATACCCACTAGAGACTGCCAAGAGTTTGAGAGACACAACAGGGTACTGGGATCCTACAAGAAGCAGATGGAGCAAGAGCCAATGATATTGGATTATATACTATTATTAAGACTGTTGAGAGCTAAGGAATCTTACAGGTTACACATGCAATGTCTAGCCCATAATAGGTCCTTCATAAGTTTGGTTGCTTGCCAGTGTGCTGGGAGTTGATATATCCTAGCTCACAAGAGCCAGTTTTTATATCTTCAAAAATTCTGTAAGCTGGTTTTTAAACACAGCCATTATTAAAAATTCAATTGTGTCTACCTACAATGAAATTATATTAAAACCAAAAGTAATAGTCAAAACACATCACCTTCTAATTCTTGAATTACATTACATTTTGTCTATCTATGCCCTTGAGGTTATTTATAGCTATAGTATCCTTAGGGTGGAAATACCCTATAATGGTATGCTTCTGTGCATCTCTTCCCACTATTTACCCAGTAACATCGCAATTGTAGCTTGACATCAACTATGGTAGGGATTATTTACAGTATGAAAATTGTGAAATGCTTAAGATCAAGGCTTAATTTATTGTTTTGTTGATAGTCCAAACTTTAAAAAGTGATGGAGAAAGCATTAATAATGCAGATTAAACTTAAAACTGTTATATCTATAGGCATTACATTTTGACTAATCAAGAAAAGAAGAACAATGTTCTTCCAATCTTCAAAACCTATTATTTGATTCAACAAAGGAGTTGCCCACATCACTGATGAATAAGTGAAATTCTGACATGCATCTTTGTTGTTTCACTTTCATTAATCATTAACATAAATGAGAATATCAGTCACGTTTATGTAGGGACTACATTCATTCATCAATCACAACCATAGATTGACTATGGATAAAAGAACTTGCAAAAATCAACAAAAGCATTCTGTAAGAATAAACTGGTTTGTGGAATTTAAAATAAGGAGTAACGCATGCTATTTTTTAATTGTGTACTACTCATCCTTTATATCAATACAATGTAAAAATGTGCACGCACATGCATTTTTTTCTGGAAAGTTTTTTTTTTTTTAATTATACTTTAAGTTTTAGGGTACATGTGCACATTGTGCAGGTTAGTTACATATGTATACATGTGCCATGCTGGTGCGCTGCACCCACTAACTCGTCATCTAGCATTAGGCATATCTCCCAATGCTATGCCTCCCCCCTCCCCCCACCCCACAACAGTCCCCAGAGTGTGATGTTCCCCTTCCTGTGTCCATGTGATCTCATTGTTCAATTCCCACCTATGAGTGAGAATATGCGGTGTTTGGTTTTTTTTTTTTTTTTTTTTGTTCTAGAAAGTTGGTTGTTCATGTTTTACCAGCACACCCCGCAGGTTCCTTGTCCCTTTGTTCTGAGGGAGACTATATAGAATATATAAATATATATCAGCAGTCACTAGACTCCTGGTTTATTGCTTAGATTTTTTCCAAGTTTCTCCAGGTGAGATTTGTTGGGATCTAGCCTGAGAAACAAAGACAAGAAAGGAGGGACTGTGTGAGGAAGCTGGGCAGAGGCTGAGGAATGAGCATGTAATACCTAGGAAAACTGAAGGAATTAAGACCAAATCTCACACATGTTAAGCAGGTTGGGTCAAACTTAGCTCTAGCTGTCTCTCTGTTTCCCACTCCTGGACTATTTGCAAGAAAGCATAACTCTTTTCACTCATCCATGTCTTCCAAGCTAGAGTAAACACATTCAATTTTCAGAAGCTTCCAATGGCAGCAGAAATTGATGTATTAAATTAGGAAGAAGCATTGTTTAGCATATGTGAGAACATGAAAAAAAGCTAAAATACAAAAGTAAATAATGTACTGGGCATGGTGGCTCGTGCCTGTAATTCCATCACGTTGGGAGGCCTAGGAGGGAGGATAGCTTGAGGCCAGGAGTTTGAAACCAGCCTGGGCAACCTAGAGAGACTCTGTCTCTACAGGATCACCTAAGGTCAGGAGTTCTAAAGCAGCCTGGCCAACATGGTGAAACCTTGTCTCTACTAAAAAAAAAAATACAAAATTTAGCCAGGCGTGGTGGCATGCACCTGTAATCCCAGCTGCTCGGGAGGCTGAGTCAGGAGAATTCCTTGAACCTTTGAGGCAGAGGTGCAGTGAGCCAGAATCACATCATTGCACTCCAGCCTGGGCAACAAGAGCAAAACTCCATCTCAAATATATATATATATATAATATATATACAATATATTATATATTATATGTATTATATATACAATATATTATATGTATTGTATATACAATACGTTATATATTGTATGTATTGTATATACAATACGTTATATATTGTATGTATTGTATACACAATACGTTATATATTGTATGTATTGTATATACAATACGTTATATATTGTATGTATTGTATATGCAATATATTGTATTATATATGCAATATATTGTATGTATTATATATGCAATATATTGTATGTATTATATATGCAATATTATATTATATATACAATATATTACATTATATATTACATATACAATATATTATATATTACATACACAATACATTATATACAATATAATATATATGCAATATATTATATGTAAAATATACACCATATTATATATGCAATACATTATATGTAAAATATACACTATATTATATATGCAATATATTATATGTAATATATACACTATATTATATGTGTGATATATTATATGTAATATATACACTATATTATATGTGCAATATATTATATGTAATATATGCATTATATTATATATGCAATATATTATACTCGATATAATATTGTATGTATGATATATACAATATATAATATCATATATATTATAAATAATATATTGCATATTATATATATACAAAAATTAGCTGGGCATGGTGGCATGCACCTGTAGTCCTAGCTACTCAGAAGACTGAGATAGGAGGGTCACTTGAGCCCAGGAGGTCGAGGCTGCAGTGGGACTATGATTGCACCACTGCACTATAGCCTAGGCAACAGACAGACTCCATTTTTTAAAAAGTAAATACATAAATAAAATGAGTATAATGGAGTACTTGCTTACATTTTGATACTACTGCTCCCTGTTGGCTTCGCCATAGCTGACGGAGAGAGGACCGTCTGTTATAAAAGGTGTCTCAGGGGACCTACTATCATCAGAACTGAAGCTTGACTTTCAGAGAGGCTCTTGTCAATTCAGAGAGTATTACAGAACAACAAAACATAGTCTTTCTTGCTGTTCCTTCCCTAATCAATACATTAAGTCTTCACTTAACATCCTTGATGAGAAAATAATGTTTTTTTATGTCATTTAACTTAAAGTTGCAATTTCCAAGAACCTGTCAATGACATTGAGGACTTACTGTACTAAAAATTAGCAGCTAGCACACATCCTTGACACAACCTTGATTTCATAGTGTATATGTTAAGTGTGCAAGAAACACTTTAACATTTTTTGCCATGTTTGATTATTAAGAAGAAGCTTTGTAGTTTAATTTGGGTATTTTAGCTATTATTGTATGTGTGTTATAATGGGAAATGGAAAGAAAAAGGATCAGGAACAAAAGTAAAAAAAAAATGTCAGAGATCAAGGCAATAGGATTCTGGAGCTAGCACAAACTGACAAATTGGTTTACAAGAGCCAATCGTGCACATCTCTTCTGAACACAGAATTCAGTGCCCTCAAGCTGGTAGCTTGAAACTGGCCTTGGTGAGTGTATTTACATCACAGAAATAATATCCAAAATATATAAAGAACCCTTACAATTCAATAGCAAAAGAAACCAAATAACCCAACTTAAGAATGGGCAAAGGGGACAGGCGTCGAGGCTCACGCCTGTAATCCCAACACTCTGGGAGGCCAAGGCAGAATCACTTGAGGTCAGGAGTTCGAGACCAGCCTGGCCAACATGGAGAAACCCCCTCTCTACTAAAAATACAAAAATTAGCCAGGTGTGGTGGCAGGTGCCTGTAATCCCAGCTACTCAGGAGGCTGAGGCAGGAGAATTGCTTGAATCCGGGAGGCAGAGGTTGCAATGAGCTGAGATTGTGCCACTGCACTCCAGCCTGGGTGACAGAGCAAGACTCTGTCAAAAAAAAAAAAAAAAAAAAAAAAAAGAATGGGCAAAGGAATTGAATAGAGATTTCTACAAAGAAGCCATTAAAATGACCAACAGGTATATGAAAAGATGCTGAACATCACCAATCATCAAGGAAACACAAATCAAAACCACAATAATGCTACATCACAACTGTTAGAATGGCTATTATCAAAAAGACAAAAAGTAAGGGTTAGCAATGACGAAGAGAAATTGGAACCCTTGTACACTGTTGGTGGGAATGTAAATTGATGTAACCACTGCAGAGAACAGTATGGCAGTACCTCAAAAAACTAAAAATTGGACTACCACATGATCCAGCAATTCCACTTCTGTGTATACATTCAAAGGAACTAAAATCAGGATCTCAAAGAAATAGCCTGCACTCTCATGTTCATTGAAGCATTATTCACAATAGGCAAGATCTGGAAACAATATAAGTGTCCATGTATGGCTACATGGATAAGTAAAATGTAGTATATAAACAAAATAGAATATTATTCAACCTTAAAAAACAAGGAAATCCTGCCATTTGAGACAACACAGATGAACCTGAAGGACATTACACTAAGTGAGATAAGCCAGTCATAGAAGGACAAATACTGCATGATTCCACTTACATGAGGTATCCAAAATAGTCAAACTCATGGAAAAACAGAATAAAATGGTGGTTGCCAGAGGCTGGGGGAAGGGGGAAATGGGAGGTTGATGTTCAATTGGTATAAAGTTTCAATTACGTAAGATGAATAAGTTCTAAAGCTATGCTGTACAATATTGTATTACTTAACTAATTACTGTAATTGTACAATATTGCTATACTTAACAATACTGTATTGTGAACCTAAAATTTGTTAAGAGGGTAGATCTCAAGTAAAATATTTTTACCACAATTAAAAGGAGACTTTTAATAGAGAAGTCACTGATGGGACTCATGGCTGCCAACTTTATGTTTCAATCCAAGGATCTAATTTCAAAGCCTCCATCAATCTCCTGACCCAACTTTTCACTGAAAAACAGCTTCTCAACAGTCTGTTCCTGCAATCATGGTTGTCACTTAAACTTTCATAAACCCTGGAAAATAAGGCGTCTGTATTAAAGAGTAATGCTAAGATGCTAATGGAAACTCACTAATTGAAGTGCTGGTCAAATCCATATTGGGAAGAGGCCCCTGGATTCCACAGAGACTGGTGGCCAACCGGGCAGCTCCCAGAAGCACTGAAGTTATCAAGACCCAGGAGGCCTGCTAATTACTTAAATACCTTCCTATTTTACCCCTTCATTTAACATTTAAGACCTTGAAAGAATCAGATGAACCAAGCAGAAGTTGAATTTTAAGTGGAGTGTAGATACTACCAGGTAGTTTTGCATCTACCATAACATAATACTTTTCAAAATATGACACTGATTCTGGGCTTCTTAGTTTTTATATATAAAAACATTTTGGTCTCTGTTATGTTCAAGTGCTCTTGTATCCTCATTATCATGAATGGTCATTTATTGAAAACACAGAGAACCTTTTTTCTCTTATGCACTTTGCAAATTTTCCTCAGCTTCTACAACACATTTTATTTCATCATCAAATCATTTATTTTAGGGCAATGAGATGATAGAAACAAATTACATAGGTGAATTCTTCTTCGGCATCAAGTCATGGATAATGCCAAACTGCGCTGAATCCTGGACAGACAGCAACTCATCTTAAGCAACTATTATACAAAGTATGGTAAAGCTATGTCAGCCAACAAAACTTGAAAGGCAGAAAATAGGGCATACTCCTTTATGCCTTAAAGGAAGGGAAATAGACTATCAGTAGCTGGACTCATCTGTTCTTTGTTGCTATTGTCAGAATAAGCCTAGAGATGCATTAGCTCAGAAAAGAATTGTGCTGCTTAACAAGATGGGGGAAGGGGGAGAGGATAAAAGGAAAATGTGAAGTACAATGTAAGCCCCGTATCATTGAAATATAGATCTTTCTTCCATCAAAAAAATGAAAAAAAAAGAAACCTGAAAACCTACTTTATATTTTTTAAAAAAAAACATAAAAAATTCTTTGCAAAGAAAATATCTGATAAAGGACTATTACCCAAAATGTACAAAAACTCTTAAAATTCAACAGTAAGGAAACAACCCAATTAAAATATAGTCTAATACCTTAATAGACATGTCACCAAAGAAGATATACAGATAGCAAATAGGCATATGAAAAAAATGTTCCATGTCATATGTCACAAGGGAAATGCAAATTAAAACAAAAATGAGATACCACTACACATCTATTAGAATGTCCAAAATCCAAAACACAACACCAAATGCTGGCAAGGATGTGGAGCAATAAGAACTCTCATTCATTGCTGATGGAAAAGCGAAATGGTACAGTCACTTTGGAAGACAGTGTGGCAGTTTCTTACAAAACTAAGCATACTCTTACCATAAGATATAGCAATTGCACTCCTTGGTATTTACCCAATGAAGTTGAAAACTTATATCCACACAAACACCTGAGCCTGAATATTTATAGCAGCTTTATTTATACTTGCCAAAACTTGGAAGCAATCAAGATGTCCTTCAGTAGGTGAATGGATAAATAAACTGTGGTACATCTAAACAATTGAATATTATTCAGTGCTAAAAAGAAATGAGCTATCAAGTAATTAAAAGATATGGAGTAAACTTAAATGCACATTACTAAGTGAAAGAAGCCAATCTGAAAAGGCCACATATTTTATGATTCCAGTTATGTAACATTCAAGAAAAGGCAAAACTATGGAGACAGTAAAAATATCAGTGGCTGCCAGGGAGTGGGGGAAGGGATGAATAGGTGGGGCACAGAGGATTTTTAAGAGAAATAAAACTACTCTCTATGATACTATAGTAGTGGATACACATCATTAAGCATCTATCGAAACCCATAAAATATACAGTAATGTAAACTGTGAGTTTTTGGTGATAATGATGTGTCCATGTAGGTTCATCAATTGAACAAATGTACCACTCTGATGGAAGATGTTGATAATGGGGAGGCTCAACACATGTGGAGGCAGAACATATAAGGAATATCTCTGTACCTTTCTCTCACTTTTGTTGTGAACCTAAAACTACTGTAAAAAATAAAGTCTGTTAAAGTCAGGTAGTGTGATACCTCCAGATTTTTGGTCACGATTGCTTTGGCTATTCAGGACCTTTTGTGGTTCCACATACATTTTAAAATTGCTTTTTCTATTTCTGTGAAGAATGTCATTGGTATTTGATAGGGATGGCATTGAATCTATAGATCATTTTGGGTAGTATTGTCATTTTCATAATATTAATTCTTCCAATCCATGACCATGGAATATCTTTCCATTTTTGTATCCTCTTCAATTTCTTTCTGCAGTGTTTTATAGTTTACCTTGTAGGGATCTTTCACTTCTTTTGTTAAATTTTCCTAGGTACTTTATATTTTTTGTAGCTATTATAAATGGTATTGATTTCTTGATTTCTTTTTCAAATTGTTCACTGTTGGCATATATAAATACTACTGATTTTTGTAGGTTGATTTTGTATTCTGCAACTTTACTGAATTCATTTATCAATTTTAACAGTGTTTTTGATGGAATCTTTAGGGTTTTCTAAATATAATACCATGTCATCTGTGAACAAAGTTGATTTGAATTCTTCCTTTCCAATTTGAATGCCCTTTATTTCTTTCTCTTGCCTGATTTATCTAGCTAGGATGTCCAAGAAAATGACAAAAACATCCTACTTATGTTGTGGATGTCATGAGTGTGGTTTAAAGCAATGATTGGATAAAAAACTGCTACCAGTAAATCATTTCAATTAGCTATACAGATCAAGAAAAATTTTTTAAAAAATAACGTGGTATATACGTTTGCCACACACAGCTGAGAAAATCAAGTTATGTGTACTAAGATGAAAACAAGAAAAACTAGGCAGAATGAACTGGAGGGGTGGGACTAATTATGCCTGGAATGCAGGAAAAAGAGAAAAGGGTGGGGAGAAATGGAGGGAGGGAGGGGGAAAAGAGGGAGGAAGGGAATCAGGAAACACTACAAAGCTACAAATCAGGGCTTTTTTTCCCCTAGAGAGCCAATTTACCAGCACACCACAGGCTCGAGGATCTTAGTGATCATCAAATGTAACCCCTTGGAGAATACTAAAGAGGGCAAGTGGGGTTGGGACACTGGGAAATGAGCAAAAAGCCAAAAGGTGTGAATTTGTGCAGGATGTGCAGGAAAGGGATGTTGAGAAAACCTTGCCCTCTTACCTTCTCCTAGGTTTTGAGACTTGTTCTGTATTCTGGGCCACGCAGTGTGTGTGTGTGTGTGTGTGTGTGTGTGTGTGTGTGTGTGTGTGTGTGTGTGTAGCAGGAGAGCAATTGTCATAAATACTTTCACAAGTAGAGAGCCACTCACAGAGCTAAGCCCGCCTAAGTGAACGTATAGCTTTTTATGCCTTTAGTTCCAGTCCCCAGAGCAACTAAAAGACAAAGCGGTCACAGGTCCCCACCTGGTAGCCAGGAGAGCAAAACCTCAGTACAGCTCAGCACAATGATCTCTGCTTAACAGATTAGCTACAAATAATTCACCCACTGCTCCAAATTGCTAGGCTAGGCTGGAGTGGCAATTCTTGAGGAATAGAGGAATTAAATGACCAGGTTGGTCCATACCCACTTCCTTGGCCCTTCTCGTTTTCCCTGGGTCATTCAAATACCCACTCAGCAGGGGCAGACAACACAAAAAAGCTCCTGCATTGCCCCGCTCCTCTTGTTTAATTGTTAGATTCTAAAACCACTCACGACAGGATGCAGTGGCTCAAGCCTGAAATCCCAGCACTTTGGGAGGCCGAGGTGGGCAGATCACCTAAGGTCAGGAGTTTGAGACCAGCCTGGCTAACATGGCAAAACCCTGTCTCTAATAAAAAATAAATAAAACATCAGCCAGACGTGTTGGTGCACGCTTGTAGTCCCAGCTACTCGGGAGGCTGAGGCAGGAGAATTGCTTGAACCCGGGAGGTGGAGGTTGCAATGAGCAGAAATCATGCCACTGCACTCCATCCTGGGCGACAGAGCAAGACTCCGTCTCAAAAATAATATAAATAAATAAAAATAAAAAATAAAACCACTCAGAAAAGAAGCTATTAATGCTCTATCATAATCAGCTAACAGTCTCTGCAGTCACTGCATTTACCAATCAGGCTCAGCTCTGCACTCTTACTGTCATCTTCTTTTCCAGGTAGACTTTTCAACCACAGATTATTAGAGGGCCTACTATGTGCCAGCGATATATAGATGTATTTATCTACAGTGATACATGGGTAAGTAAGACATGGACCTTACCCTCAAAGAGTTTACAACTAAACAAAGAAGACATACGTACCTTACCATATCATGAGGCAAAATAGAAGCAGGGGCACAGTGATGTACAAGTGCCTGGAATCTGGAAAAATTAAGGCCAGGGGGAGTTATAATGAAAAATACTAGCTGATGTTTACTGAACATTTACCATGTGTCACACTCCACAATAAACCTTTCATATAAATCACTTCATTTAATCTTCCCAACCAAATATAATACGTAGCATCTTCCCCACTTCACAGCTAAAATGATAGACGTATAAAGAGATTAAATAATTTATCCCAAATTATACAGCTAAATGTTGGAATGGGGGTCTGCTATCATGTGAATATTTATGTTCCCCCAAAATTCATATGTTGAAATCTAATCCCTAAGGTGTTGACATTAAAAGATGGGGCCTTTGGGAGGTGATAAAGTTGTATGGATGGAGTTCTCATGACTGGGATTAGCACCTTTATAATAGAGGCCCATGGGAGCTTGTTTGCCCTTTTCCTACCACGTGATGACACAGAAAAAGGCACCATCTAAAAACCAGAAAACAGACACTGAACCTGTCAGCATCTTGGCCTTGGACTTTTCAATCTCCAGAACTGTGAGAAATAAATGTCTGTTCTTCATAAGTTACCCAGTGTGTGGTATTTTGCTATATTAACCTGAATGGACTAAGACAGGGTCTATCCCAGTCTTTCTTATTTCAGAACCAAAGGCAGAGTTCAGGGGAAGCTGAAATGAGGTACCACACTCTTATAAGGATGTGGAGATAACTGTATTAATTTAAGGGCTACTAACAGAATTTATTCATTCATTCTTTCAACATGACCCAAGTATTGTTTTAGAAATAGTGAAGAAAACAGATGAAATTCCCTGTCTTCACGAAGTTATATTGTAATGAAAGGTAAGTCCTTTTAGGGAGAAAACTGCATATATTGGGACAAATACTTTAATAAATGCTTGCAGCAGAAGGTAGTAAAGCCCCTCTGATGATGACCAGCAGGGACACCCCTGTAGTCTGACAAAGTTAAGTTTATTAACTTCCTAAAGCAAGGGAGACTGCACATCAGAGGAAGCATGGGGCAACTCGTGAAACAAATGAAGTGATAGGGATATTTGAGATTGGGAAGAAGAGGGGAGGTAAAATTTAAATGAAGCAGCATTTTGATAGTCTCAAGGTAGAACAGGGATATGCGTAAAGGCATCAGCATCAGGCCTTAGCTCAGAAGTAGACCCAGCCTAAGATACTTGAGAGCAAGGCTTTTTGGCTCTATGTTCATTTGTTAATTAACAAAAAGAATCTGAGTTTATTTTTACAGATTCAAAAAGGTCATCCCCCAACTCTAATGACCTTAGTGTTAAGTGGCAACAAGGCCACATAAAAGTAAGGAGGCTGCTCTATCAATGTAGAAGGAAAAGAATTTAGCATTCTCAGGGAAAGCTGAGAGGCAGGGGTGAGGAGCTGTGATGGGAAGGGCACAGTCAGAGTGAGATGCACGAAGCCTGGTGGCAAGGGGAGGGGTAATGTGACTGGGGAAAGTCTACTGAGCTCATGGATGGATTGCGAGTGAGAGCAGTAGTAGGAGTGAGAGAGAGAGAAAAAGAGAGAATGAACGAGAGAGAGAACCAGATGGAGAGACAAAGGCTATGTTTCATACAAATATAGTGTGGGACAGGGACAGCATGAGTGCCCGGGAAGTATTAGGCTCCTCTGGAAGTTAACAGAAGTTTTTGGAATGTGTTTGAACTTACACAGGCCATGAAATAATTTCACATCATAGATCACAAGAGCAGGAAAACTTCAAGCTAATTTAAAATATATACGACACAGGACAAGTCAAAGAAGTCTCACTTCAACCTACAAATAATAAATTTGCAGAACAAATTCCCTCAAGAAATAGACACCTGGATTCAAGTTCTACCTCTATTAGTCAACAACTGACAGATTCAGAAACAGGCAAACAGAAGTCACAATGACCATGGAATAAGCAGTTGAGACAAGCAAGATATTAAAAATGTAAGAAAGCCAAGCTGGTTAAGACAGCACTATTTCCATGTACGTACTTCTTCCTCAAGAAGCAGGTGGTTCCATGGGGCCCCTGTGGCCTCACTCTAAAGGTGAAGGTAGGACAATCAGTTACATCTGGCTAATGGAAATCAAGTGTCCACTGTTGTGTTATGCCGATAATGTAGAGAGTGAGCTAAGACTACAGGCAGGCGGGGCCACCCATGTGCAGTGAGACAAAGATAATTGTAAACTTAACTGTCTAAAATACAATTTAATATCTTGGCATCTTAAGAATACACAACTTTAGTATTATTGGCTGAGCCATTAAAAGTCACCATGTGAATCCAGAGTTATGGTCCTGAGCAAGGAATCACAACTGGAAAGGAGTCAGACTTCAAGACTTAGTGAGGCAAATCTGTCCTTTAGGGATATTTTATTTATCCCACACAGTGACTTAAAATGTTCTTAAGCTAACTTTCCACAAGTTAAAAAATGGGAGCCATCATGTTATTTAAAAAATCAAGTTACCTGCTTCTCTTGAAGAATCAGAAGATCTAACAAGATTTGGCCCATATTCCCATGTGACAAAAAGCAGCTGCAGTGGATGATAAGTGCATTCTCTGTTTCCCTGGAGTCCCTACCACTCCTGATTGTCTCATACCCAGCCAGTTTCACTGATTTCTATTACTTGGCAGACTCCTGGAGGCGTTTGTAATTCCTGACTAAAGTACCAACGTTCATAGCACTTTGCTGAAAAAAAGATGAATATATCCCATTTGTTCACTCATATTCTTAAAAAGTGGTTTGGGGGATTTTGTCCAGAATATAATATTACACTTTAGTAAGGTTCTTTTTTTCTAGGCTGTGCAAAGGGTCATGCTTCCCCTCACTCCAGATTTCCTTCTTCATTCACTGTATGGTCAGTGTGGTGTCTTCTGTTTGGTTATCAATATTTGTTTGTGAAGAAGGACAGTGTGACCTCTCGGGCAGGAGGACCCTTAGAGTGAAGAAAGCCGTTAGCAAATCAATCCTAAAGTGATTTATTTCCAAGCAATAGATAGCAAGGAGGCAGTGTATATATATCATTTGGACAAGGCCTTAATAAAGATAAATTCGGAGTTTGAGTTCCTCTAAGGAAGTGGCTTTAACTTCCGACATATGCCAAAATGCACTTCACAACTAATTAGGTGGTATTCACATATGCCTTGCAAGTGAGTATAGTTAGGCACTTGGATAAGAGTGATGCATTTGTCTACATTTAGATGTGCCATTGATGGTCTGAAAAATCAGGGGACTTTGAGACCATGGAGCAACAGCAAGAGTTAAATTCAAGGAGATTCTCAAAGCCAATAATTAATGCATGCTCATTAAAAAATCTATGTCAAGACTGTTTTGCTGCAGCACAGAGGGCAAATAAACATTGAATGTCAGTCTTACCTTCATGTGATTAATAAAATCATGATTGCAGAATTCCATTTTTATTGTCTCATATATACATTTGTAGGATCTCTGCAGTCATGCATACACACGCTTACAAGTTGGGGTAAAGGACTAGGGCTGACTCAATCGTCCAAATGATCTTAGCAACTAGTACTTTGAGCTCTCTGATTTGGAACTCAGGACCCAGACTAAAATAAGGCAAGCTAGGTGCCTAGGGCACAAAATTTAAGGAGGTGCTCACTTCCAGGGCATGCGTATGCAAGTTAGTGCCTCCTTAAATTTTGCTCCCTTGGGGCCTGCTTTGCCTCACCCTAGCTCTGTTGAGAATATTTTCATTCTTGAATTGTGATGCTAAAGTTCTCACTAAGGGAATAGGAAGGCCAAAAAATGTGGAATACCTACAAAATCAAGTGCAGACATGAGCAATAACAACTTACCGGACACACTGGGCAGATAATACCATAAACCCTTATATCTAGTCGACAGTAAGGAAAGAGAGGGGTCAGTATAAATTAATGGCATGTCTGAATATCCATTTCTCAATTCCAAAGCCTAGTAATGGAACTAAGGGCTAAAAAGAAACTGCCAAGTAAAGAGCCTACAGGTAAAAAGTGAAGGATCCCACTGTGAAGTTCTGTGGTTTGTGATTGGTGCATTAGTCGATTGTACCAGTGGGGCTAATAGAAACTAAAACTCATTTTTTCAACTAGGCTAAGAATCTGTAAAATCTTAATAATGTGATTAATTTGCTTGTGAAACCTTTTACATACAGAGTCCAAAAGGGAAACCTCAGCTCTGTCTCATTTACGACAAAGTCCAAGTACAAAATAGTTCCAGTTAGGAGTTCCATCACGCAGGCAGGTGTGAGGCAGGAGACCTCAGGTCTTCTTACTTTGCTTCATAAGACTTAGGCTAGATTACAAACTAGCCTCTGTTTTAAACCCTAACCCACTTTATCTTCTCTTCCTTCTTCCACCCTAATCTCCAAGGCCAACACATGACTACGTATGTTAGGACTGAGAAAAGAACAGGCTAAAATGGTGCCAACTTGAGTCATTATTATCCAGCTTTAATTGGTACCCAACTTGAGACTTTCCAGATAGAAGATCACTGAGTGTTTCCAGGTGGGGAAAAAAAAAAGCCACCTCGTCAACAAAATTGATAAAATTGGCTTATGAAGCTCTGTGGGCATAAAGTCACGCTTGTTAAGCAGAGAAGCTCTCTGGTAATGAATTCCAAACATAGGGATTAGCATTTCCTTTGAAATAGTTACAGCACATGGGAAAAAAAGTCCTCAATAAAATGTGGTTTCCATTTCCTGAATTTCACTTAGCTCAGCTCTCTGGCTGGTGTTCCCTTAGTTTGGCTGGGCTATGTAGGAGTGGAGTTTTCAACACACAATTTTCAAATGGGTAATTGCACTAAGCATAGTCCAGAAACTAACATAAGTAGTGTTGCCCTTCAAAAGCTTATGTTCAACATTCTAAATTAGTTGAAGCCACTCATCAATTATTCAAATATTTATTAACCATATCTAAGTGTGCATGCTCTATTCTTAGTGCTGTAGGGAGGCAGGGTGAGAGTGACAGATCCAGGTTCTGCTATGGGAGTTAACTGTCTAGTAAGGAGGTTAAGTTATGCACATGAATAGCTAATATGAAGTAGAAAAAATTACATTCCACAAGAGAGAAACAGACAGTGGGCTGGAACACTCAAAGTGTATTCTTCAGACCAGTGCATAAGTATCACTTCAGAGCTCATTAGAAATGGAGAATCTCAATTCCCAATGCTGACTGACTGATTCAGCCTCTGCAGTTTAACAAGATCTACGGGTGATTCTTGTACACATTAGTTTCAGAAGCCCTCAACTAAAATAGATCAGAGGAAGGAGAAATTGCTTCCAGCTGAGGGGCTCAGAAAAGCCTAAAGAAGGAAGATGGCATGTGAGCCAGATTTCAAAGTGTCATAAACTTGGTTGACCACCAAAATTTTTTCTCTGCTTCTTCCATACATATAGCTAGACTACATTTCCTAGCTCCCCCCTTCACAGTTATGTATGAATGTGCCCACTTCCAGACCCAGACCCTAAGAGAGTGTACATGTCTTATTCACCCTTTCCTTTTCCTCTAGCTGGAACGTGAATGAGGTGGGCCACTCTTCATCATTCAGATTAGGATGACACTCTAGGGGATGGTAGAGCAATAACTTTTTGACCTGACAACTTATAAGGAGGCTATGATCCTGAATGACCACACAAAGCAGAGTCATTGCATTCTGAAACACAACAGAGCTGTTACACGAGAGAAAAAAAAATGAAGTTCTGAATTTTTAAGCCACTCTACTCTATGGTCTCTTTTTTATAAGGGCCTATGGTTACTGTAACAAATGCAGACATATAAAATGTCCATACAGAGAGATGGTGAGAAAGGTGTTGCTCATTAAGGGAGCAGCATATGTAGACACAGGTATGTGCCAATGCTTATGGAGCATTCGAGGAATCACAATCATTTGACTGAAACATATGGTATATGAAGTTGTAAAAGCAAATAGAATTAGAAAGGTAAGTTGAAAATTAGATTATGGGTGATGTGGCACTCCAGGCCACTGGTGACAGGGAGCTACTGAAGATCTAACATGGGAATGACACAATGTTTGGGGGAAAACATTCTGGCAATAGTGTGTGTAATGTGTTGAAGTGGGGAGAGAAGAGGTGTAGAAAGTCCAGTTAAGCTTTTGCGATAGTCCAGCTGAAGAATGGCAAGAAGAACCTCAATGAGGTGATTCTGGTAGAAATATAGGGATAAAAGTGTTCATATTTTCAATTTAGGTACTTCTCCAATAAAATCTAATAAGGAGCTTTGAGCTTTCAGAGGCAGAACCAACAACCGGGTATCTATTGTAGACTATAATTAGTTACTCCAATTCCACAGAAATACAGTAAGCCACCACAGATCTTTGAACGTAGACGTAGGCAACAAAAGAAAAAATATATACGAATATGGGAAAACTTTCATAACCAGAAAAAGCTAATTATTATGTGGCAATGTATCAAATATATTTCTCTTCATTTATATTTCTAGAAGTTAAACTAAAAGTGACTTTTTTGTGAAATATTATCTTCCAGAGCTCCTCTCACTTCTAAGCTAAAGTTTTCTCTTTGACTAATTGTCTACAGTAAACACCTAACATCTGACCTTAGTTTCTTTACCTCAGACTCTATTATAACCCTAGAGGCAATCATTTCAATACACTCTTCATTAGAGCCAGAGTTAGAGTTGTTAACATTTTAAATTTAAAAATACTTGTGTAATTTTGCTTTTACGAAAATGTATATATTTATGTATGGGGTATGCCCTAAAGCATGGCTCAGCCATACTAGAAAATAAGTAAGCTTCATGATAAAGCTGGTACTGGTTACAACTCCAGGATTGTAATGGGATCCAAATGAAGCACTCCTGAGGGTGTGAGCACACAAATATTGAACTTGAAAATTACAGGCTTTCAAGAGTGTAGAGAGTGTACTAATGAAGTTGATTGAAATCAATTACCCTTCTGAAAATTGGGAGGTATTCAGAGAACAATTAGGAAGACTCCAATCCATATTCATTAATATAGAGTGGGTCCCCAAATGACAGAGATAGCTGCTGTGATTAACAAAGAGGTTTTAAAAAAAGACAGCCTCATAAAAGAAATAGACGTGGGAAAGACTTCCAGTGCACAATGGACAGTAACATACTTATATTAGAAAGAAGTTGCAATCTAATTCACGATTAAATGTATTTCTTAGTAATAGAAGTAGAATGAGGGAATTCAATTCAAGTGTGCTACACAACACACAGAGAAAATGAAGAAGACTTTTTTTGCTCCCACCCATGGCCTATTTGATAACTTGGTATTTGTCTTGGTCCATTCAAGCTGCTATAACAAAATACCATAGACTCAGTGGCTTATAAATAACAGAAATTTATTTCTCACAATTCTGGAGGCTGAGGAGTACAGGATCAAGGCAGACTTTGCATCTGGTGAGGGCCCACTTTCTGGCTCATAGATGGTGCCTCTTATTATATTCTCACATAGTAGAAGACACAAGGCAGCTCTCTGGGGTCTCTTTTGTTTAGGCATGAAACTTACTCATGAGGGCTCTGCCTTCATGACTTAAACACCTCCCGAAGCCCCCACTTTCTAATACCACTACATTGGAAGTTAGTGTTTCAACTTATGAATTCTAAGGGGGAACACAAACATTCAGACCATAGTAATAATATAACATGTAATAAGTCAGGGCCTAAACATAGGAGAGGAAGAAGGCAGCTGCCTGTCAGGAGATCCCTAGCCAGAAAGCTCTCCCCTGCTGGGCTGCGTTGTACAAACAGTCTCAGAATTCATCTTAGCCCTTAAGAAATGAATTCAGGTTCTAATCAAAGGCCTACCACCTATTTGCTGAGGTTTCTTGAGGGAATCATCAACCTTTCTGTAAAACGTTGATGACAATACTTTATTCTGTAAAATGTTGATGATAATACTTTGTTCTACCAACCTCACAAAGTTGTTTATAATCAAATATGACTGCATATGTGAAAGGTGATCATTCCTGCAGAATATAATGAATTTTTATTGTTTTACTCCCTTGTTCACAGTGACAGCTTACTATGTTCAAGGCACAGTGCAAAGCATTTTATCTTCATTAATGATTTACTCTTCACAACTACTCTATGGAAATGGGTTCTATTATTATCCCATTGTACAGGTAAGTAAACTGAGTCTCACAGAGTTTAACATGCCCATGGTCACACAGCTAGTAAATGGCAAAGCCACAATATGAGGCCAAGCAGTTTGATTTCAGAGCCCATATTCTATACCACTGCACTCTACTGACTCCTGACATTAATATCTGACATGTTAATATCTGCAATTTACAGGTTACAGTATACTTTCATATACGTACTCATTCGATCAGTACCCCAATCCTGTGAGGTAGGGAAATTATCTCCAGTTGCTTGGAGAGGAAACCAGATTCAGAGGGAATTACTTAACCAAGGCTGAACAGCTAGTGTTAAGTGTTATTCCCAATATGCAAAAGCTGCTTTACCAATTTGTACTGTTTTCCTAAGTACATGGGGATCAGTAAATGTTCTCTTGGTTAGCTGGCATAAGAATTCTATTCTCTGGGGAAAATATATGTTTATGTGTGTGTATATATACACATATATACACATACACGTGTATAGTTTTTTTATTAATAGGAGACAAGGTATACAAATTTATTTAATATGTGTACACAAGAACTTTCAGAATGAAGACCCAACTTCCTAGTAAGGTACAGAAGCTTATATACTATAAATGCCCAACAGGTTCTTCCTGCCCACTGCAGAAACAAAACCAATTCACTGAGATTATGGCACTGCAGTAAAGAAAGAGTTAATTAATACAGGCTAGCCATGTGGAAGATGGAGTTATTACTCAAATCAGTCTCTTTGAAGACTCAGAGGTTAGGGTTCTTCAAGGATACTTTGGTAGATAGGGGACTAGGGAATGGGTACTGCTGACTGGTTGCAGATGCAATCATAGGGGTGTAGAAAATGGTCTTCACATTCTTTTACAGAAATGAATGCACTGAGTCAGCCTCTGGGTTGAGGGGGCTGAGCACAGGACAAGCTGAGTCATGAGTCACAACTCCCAGTGGAGTCAGTCAGTTACCAGAATGCAAATATTTGAAACACATCTCAAAAGACCAATCTTAGCTCTACAATAGTTATGTTATCTATAGGAGCAATTGGGGACATCACAAATCATGTGACATCTGGCAACATGACCCTTGAGCAGTAAGGCATTATAAAAACTATGCCTACATTTTAGCATAATTCCGGCCCCTCCCATAATCCTAATCTTGTGGCCTTTCATTAGTCAAAGGCAGTTTAAGCCCCTGAACAAGAAGGCAAACAGTTTTAAGAATAGACTGTTATCATCCTTGCTTGGAAGTTAAACTATAAGCTCCTCCCATGGTTAGCTTGGCCTACACCCAGGAATGAGTGAGCATAGCCGGCCTGTGAGGCTAGAAGCAAGATGGAGTCAGCCATGCTAGATTTCCCTCACTGTCAATAATCTTTGCAAAGGTGGATGCAATACCACTTCAAGGTTATAGAAAGAATGGGGGTTTGAATCCTGGTAAAACAGATTATGGGATGGGGGAGAAGAGGAATTCTGTTGAGGGGATTACCAAGGAGAATGAATGGATATGGGAACTTGTAAATACTTCTCTTTGGAATTTAAATGATCTTTGGAGATAGACATTATACTTGTAAAAGTGTCTGTTCAGGTGTAGTCACATGTTGGTCTTCTTTTCTGCAATAGATAAAGAGATAACAGGAAATGGAAGAAAAAAAAACAATTGTTCTCCTTGGTGGGTCTGGATCTTAGGCAGATAAAGGAATTTCAGCTTCTTTGGGAGAGACAGTCGGGGAAGAGGGAAGGTCAGAGAGAGCTTCAACCTTCTTCATCTCAGAGTGTGTGTGTGTGTGTATATATATATGTGTGTGTGTGTTTATATATATATGTTTATATATATACGTTTCTATATATATGTTTCTATACATATATATGTTTATATATATATACACACACACACACACACACATATTAATCTGATAAAGATCCATGGAATTTAGAAATAGCATGGCTCCTGAGGTGTAAGAGCACAAGACAACCATAGCTAAAGATTAAAGCCTAGGTCAAGTTCTAGTGAGGTGCCAGGATGGGGGCTCTAAGCATCCAAATGCATTTGCTAACTGACAATCCTAGAAACAGGTTGAAGATCTAAGCCATTTTTGATAAACTGTACCTCATAAGCCCTTCAAAGGTAAATCTATTGACAAGTATGATTCATTAGTATACTAAGCACAGCTTACAAAAGAACTCATCTGTGGAGCTTTTAACTGCAAAGAGTAATTTGTTTGAATGCAGAATTCAGTATCAGTCAATGAATGAAGGTCAGGATTAGGTGACTTCTCTTTAGCAGATTTCAAGTCAACCCTGAAACTCAGCCATCAGTGCATTTCCCATCGCCACCCCCACTTTCTCTCAAAGGCAAATGAAGTACACATATAAGGCTGAGAAATAAGAGACTCTTGCTTGTGGTATGCTTTCACTCTCTTCCTGGCTCTCTGCTCTCTAGACACCCAGTGACCTCATGCTGCCTCCCATTGCTGTGTACCATCTGGTGATGCCCTCACTGCAGTATCTCATGTCTCTCACCTACACTTATCTATTCGAGTAACCTACGTGACCCCTTTCCTTCGGATATCATGTGGGATTACAAGTGGCTCTGAGAAATTAATTAGTACTAATTTGTTAATGGCCGAAAATAAATTTTGTTGTTTAGACCCACACCTATCCCACTCTAGGTAATAGAAGGCAGCGGGTACAGCAAATTAAAGCTGGCCTAAAAATCCACCAGACTGAAAGACACGACAACAGAATCCTAGCTCAACTTTTCTACAACTGGGCTGTGGGATTTATTCTCTTTGGGTGTCACTTTCTTAACCGTAATCAGAATTCGTTTGTGGATTACCAGTACTCTCCTGCATGCCTCCACAGTCTATCCCTGCCTACCCCAAAGTGAAGAGGACTTATTTTGGAATTCGGTAGGTTTTTCTACAAAACAGGACTGACTCTACTTGTGTTTATACACAGCTCATTGCTCTCCAGAAGAGGCCCTCTCCTTTCCTTAATTGAATCTGACTCTATATTTTGAAGAATGGATGAAAAGAGAATGTTAGAAGCATTCTTAGAGTATTTTAACTTAAGGTTCAATCTTACAGAGTTGTAAATGCCAAGATAAGACTTTGGAACTTGATTCTCCAGGACAACAGGGAATCATGGAAGTTTTCTGAGCAAAGGAGTGACAAACAAGGTTGTGTTGTGTTTGTAATACTAAATAGTTAAATTATCACTCTGTGGAAAAAAATCAAAATATTTCTTTGCCATATTTTGACATGGTTGTTCAAAGGACCTGCAAACAGAAGTAGCCCTGCAAAGCTTTCTTTTGTGTGGAAGATTTGTACCTGTAGAGAATCTGCATTGATGAAGCCAGGTTTTCTCTGAGGCCTTCCCTTGTCCAGATCTAGGAATGATTAACTGAAAGTGTGACACCCTTAAAGGCCCGAAAGAAATATTTACCATCGTCAGATGAGTAGGTTGCGAAAATTTTCTCCCATTCTGTAGGTTGTCTGTTCACTCTGATGGTAGTTTCTTTTGCTGTGCACAAGCTCTTCAGTTTAATTAAATCCCATTTGTCAATTTTGGCTTTTGTTGCCATTGCTTTTGGTGTTTCAGACATGAAGTCCTTGCCCATGCCTATGTCCTGAATGGTATTGCCTAGGTTTTCTTCTAGGGTTTTTATGGTTTTAGGTCTAACGTTTAAGTCTTTAATCCATCTTGAATTAATTTTTGTATAAGGTGTAAGGAAGGGATCCAGTTTCAGCTTTCTACATATGGCTAGCCAGTTTTCCCAGCACTGTTTATTAAATAGGGAATCCTTTCCCCATTGCTTGTTTTTCTCAGGTTTGTCAAAGATCAGATAGTTGTAGATATGCGGCATTATTTCTGAGGGCTCTGTTCTGTTCCATTGATCTATATCTCTGTTTTGGTACCAGTACCATGCTGTTTTGGTTACTAATATCCAGAATCTACAATGAACTTAAGCAAATTTACAAGAAAAAAACAAACAACCCCATCAAAAAGTGGGCAAAGGACATGAACAGACACTTCTCAAAAGAAGACATTTATGCAGCCAAAAAACACATGAAAAAATGCTCATCATCACTGGCCATCAGAGAAATGCAAATCAAAACCACAATGAGATACCATCTCACACCAGTTAGAATGGCAATCATTAAAAAGTCAGGAAACAACAGGTGCTGGAGAGGATGTGGAGAAATAGGAACACTTTTACACTGTTGGTGGGACTGTAAACTAGTTCAAGCATTGTGGAAGTCAGTGTGGCGATTCCTCAGGGATCTAGAACTAGAAATACCATTTGACCCAGCCATCCCATTACTGGGTATATACCCAAAGGACTATAAATCATGCTGCTATAAAGACACATGCACATGTATGTTTATTGCGGCACTATTCACAATAGCAAAGTCTTGGAACCAACCCAAATGTCCAATAATGATAGACTGGATTAAGAAAATGTGGCACATATACACCATGGAATACTATGCAGCCATAAAAAATGATGAGTTCATGTCCTTTGTAGGGACATGGATGAAATTGGAAATCATCATTCTCCGTAAACTATCACAAGAACAAAAAACCAAACACCGCATATTCTCACTCATAGGTGGGAATTGAACAATGAGAACACATGGACACAGGAAGGGGAACATCACACTCTGGGGACTGTTGTGGGGTGGGGGGACGGGGGAGGGATAGCTTTGGGAGATATACCTAATGCTAGATGATGAGTTAGTGGGTGCAGCACACCAGCATGGCACATGTATACATATGTAACTAACCTGCACAATGTGCACATGTACCCTAAAACTTAAAGTATAATAAAAAAAAAAAAAAGAAATATTTACCATCTATTCTTTCTGAGGGCTGCTACCTGTGAGGTTTCATCTACATAACAAGACCACCTTGCTAGCCAGGACTCCTCTTCTCCCACTCCCATAATCGATTTTGCCACAAGCTAAGCCCCCATTGTTTCTTTAACCTCAAGATGATATATAATCTTCTGTGCCCCATTGGGGTGTTGGGGTTATCACTCTGTGGTTCTTCCCCATGTGAATAAGTTTGTGTGCTGGAGAGAGAAATCAGCAAGATGATCCACTAGAGACACCAGGTGCTTGTCCCTCACCCCCCACAAGAAAGGACCAAGGCAATGAAAAAACAAATAATATTTAACTGGAGTGTCAAAAGAAGAGTGCTGCAGTGCAGATGCACCTTTGTTGACTAGAAATCCAGAAGAGCAGCATGGAAGCACCCAGCCTCTACAGCCCCTTCTTCCTCACCTGGATCAGATCTGCCTGGAGCCAGAAGGGACTTCCCATCATGGGGCAAAGGCAAGCAGAAGAACCCCACCAGCCTCCATTGCCTCACAAAAACCTATAGTCCTTACTACAGGAAAATCCCACAGATTTTTCACACCTACCCCCTGTGAACTTGAGACTAGACCCGCTGCTAAAGTCTACTGTACCTCCCCAACACTAGGGCTCCATCTTCATTCCACTAAGCCCACACTGGTAGCTGAACACTACAACCCCAGCTGTGCAGAGCTTGGACCCAGGATCAGCTATGACCTTGCTCCTGCACAACAGGGAAACCAACTCCCACCATAGACACTTCCAGCCAGAGGAACAGTCTGGCATTCCCACCCAGTGCAAACCCACCCTTGAGCCAGCCAAACTGCTGCATTCCCTCCCTCATGCAGGAAAGGCCCTCAAGCCTCTGAACAGCTGACGCACTCCCAGAAGGTGGAGTAGCTATAGACCCACTCCCAAGGCCTGAGAAACAGACCCACCCCTTACAGACAAGCCCCTGGCCTGACCAATAGCCATGCAGACCCTAATCAGGGCCTGAGAAAAGCTCCAGGGCCACCACTAGCAGATATACCCCCGTCCAATCAGCAGAGTGCCCATGCCTTGGGACTGAGAAACAGCCCCGCGGGCCACCCTGGTGGGCAAGCCTCCAGGCCAGCCGAGCAGCCTTGTACTCGCATCCCGGACCTAAGAAGCAGCCCTACGGCCACCCCTAGCAGACATTTACCCATGCCAGCTGAGAAGCCATGGGACTGTATCCTGGGTCTGAGAAATATCCCTGTGGGCTGTCCCTGGCAGACACACCCCAGGTCAGCTGAGCAGCTGTGCACCTGCATGCCAGGCCTGAGAAACAGCCCCATGAGCCACCCCAGCAGACACATACCCAGGCCAGGTGAGAAGCCATACAACCACATCCCAGGCCTGAGAAATAGCCCCGTTTCCTGGCAGGCAAACCCCCAGGCCAGCCAAGCAACTGCGTGAGCGTGCTCCCAGCCAGAGTGTAACAGCCCTCATAGAACCAACCCAAGCCCCAAGTTGGTTGACTCACCATGGCACACACTCTCCCCCAACCTGAGAAATGCCTTGCAAGTCTACCCCCAGCAAAGCCACAGCACCACAACCACAAACTCTTCACTGTCTAGGCCCTGAGACACTCAAAATGTCACTAGCATGGATTACACATGGAATATTCTCCAGGATTGATCATGTGTTAGAACACAAAACAAGTCTCAACAAAAAAAAAAATTAAAAGTGGAAATCCTATCAAGTATCTTACCTGGTCAAAATGGAATGAAACTAGAAATCAATAACAAGAGGAACATTTTAAACTATACAAATGCATGGATATTAAACAACATGCTCCAGAATGACCAATGGGTGAAGGAAGGAATTAAAAATGAAATTTAAAAATTCCTTGAAACAAATGAAAATAGAAACAAAACACACCAAAATCTATAGGGCACAGCAAGAGCAGTACTGAGAGGCAAACTTACAGGATGAATAAGTTTTAGGGAACTAATAAAAAAGTGAATACTTGACAGATCCTTACATAAAAAAAGAAAACATGAAAGATTTCAAATAAATAACTTAATGATGGCCGGGCACGGTGGCTCACGCCTGTAACCCAGCACTTTGGGAGGCCGAGATGGGCAGATCACGAGGTCAGGATATCGATACCATCCTGGCTAACACGGTAAAACCCCGTCTCTACTAAAAATTCAAAAAATTAGCCAGGCGTGGTGGTGGGCGCCTGTAGTCCCAGCTACTCGGGAGGCCGAGGCAGGAGAATGGCATGAACCTGGGAGGCGGAGCTTGCAGTGAGCCGAGATCGCACCACTGCACTCCAGCCTGGGCAACAGAGTGAGACTCCGTCTCAATAAAAATAAAAATAAAAATAAAAATAAAAATAATAACTTAATGATATATCTCAAGTAATTAGAAAAGGAAGGACAAACCAAACCAACCCCAAATTAGTAGAAAGAAAGAAATAATAAATCACAGAGCAGAAATAAATGGAATTGATACTAAAAAAAGTTTTAAAAGATCAATAAAACAAAAAGTTGTTTTTCTTAAAATATAAAATTAACAAACCATTAGCTAGACCAAGTAAAAGTCATAGAAGTCCCAAACAAAATCAGAAGCACGGAGATGTCACAGTGGATCCCACAGAAATACAAAGGATCATTAGAAACTATTATAATCAACTATACATCACTAGATTTGAAAACCTAAATGAAATGGACACATTTCTGGACACATACAACCTAACAAAATGGAACAAAGAAGATGTAGGACATATGAACAGACCTATAACAAGTAACAAGATTGAATCATTAGTAAAAAATCTCCCAACAAAGAAAAGTTCAGGACTGGATGTCTTCACTGCTGAATTCTACCAAGTCTTTAAGGAAAAATTAATACCAATTCTTCTCAAATTATTCCAAAAAACTAAAGTGGAGAAAATTCTTCCTAAGTCATTTTGCAAAGCCAGCATAATCCCGATACCAAAACCAGGCAAGGACAAAACGTAAAAAATAACTACAGGCCAGTATTCCTGATCATAGATGCAAAAATCCTCAACAACATGCTAGCATACTGAATCCAACAACACATCAGAAAGATAATACAGCACGATAAAGTGGGATTTATCCCAGAAATGCAAGGATGTTTCAGCATATGCAAAGCAAAAAACATGATACATTGCATCAACAGAATAAAGAATAAAAACCATATGATCATCTCAAAAGAAGCAGAAAAAGCATTTGATAAAGTTCAGCATCCCTTCATGATAAAAACTCACAATAAATTAGGTATCGAAGGAAAAGCACTTCAACACAATAAAGGCCATATATGACAAACCCAAGCTAACATCCTACTGAATGGAGAATAGCTAAAAGCTTTTCCTCTAAGAACTGGAACAAGACAAGGATGCCCACTTGCTCCACTCCTATTCGACATAGTACTAGAAGTCCTGGTCGAGAAATTAGGCAAGAGAAATAAATAAAGGGCATCTAAGGCATCCAAATTGGAAAGAAAGAAGTCAAATTGTCCCTGTTTGTGGATGACATGATCTTATACATAGAAAAACCAAAAGACTCTAACAAAAATCTCTTAGAACTGATAAATGAATTCAGAAAAGCTGCAGAATACAAAATCAACATACAAAAATCAGTAGCATTTATATACACAAACAACAAACTAGCTGAAAAAGAAATCAAGAAGGCAAGCCAATTTACCATAGCTACAAAAATGTTTATTGCAGCACTGTCCACAATAGCCAAGACATAGAATCAACCTAGGTGTTGAACAATAGATAAATGGATAGAGAAAATGTGGTATATATACACAATTGAATACTATTCAGCCATAAAAAGAATGAAATCCTGTCATTCACAGCACCACGGATGGAACTGAAGGACATTATGTTGAGTGAAATAAACCAGGAACAGAAAGTTAATCACCATGTGCTCTTACTCATAAGTGGAAGCTAAAAAAAAGGTTGGTCTCACAGAAGTAAGAAGTAAAACAGAGGATACTAGAGTCTGGGAAGGGTGGAGGAGAGAGATTTGTTAAAAGACAAAACTACAGCTAGATAGGGGGAATAAGTTTTAGTGTACTACTGCACTGTGGAATTACTATAGTTAATGATATATAGTTTCAAATACCTAAAAGGAGGACATTGGATATTACCAAGACAAATAATAAATGTTTTGGCTCAACTGGCCAAGAAGATGGATATCTAAATAGTATTGCCCCCGCTTATGGCATTTGCAGCTTCTCTTTTGTCATTTCTTCTCCTAGACCTCACTCCTGGCTCATATATCCCATCTTCAGCAACTTCTGAACAGACTACTGGCAACTGTATGTAGCTTGTTTCCTGATGTTTTGCCTTTCTTTAGAAAGATAGTGATTACTCCTGGGACTAAGTAAAAGAGGGATATAAGGGTCCTAGAGCTGCCTCACCTGTTCAGGGCATCCAGACTCTTAAAGCATAAGAGACGCCTCTTAAACCTCAGCTAAGCACAACCCCCGCAGGGTAGAGAAATAACCAGAAAAGAAGTGTGTGTGCACATGCTAGAAAGAGGATGAGGGGGGTGGGGGCAACATCGAAACAATCATCTCATTCATCAAAGAGAGAGCAGAGACCTGACGCAGTGATACAGAAAAGACTCTATGGCTGTTATGACTTACCTGAGTGGCTGGATCTTATACACTCTTTGGACTCCAGTAGAGTTATGTAAAATTTCCCTTTTACTGTTGTAAATTCAAAAACCTTTTATGACCTTTTACTATTTGCCAAGCAGGCACTGAGAGAGACATGAGACCACAGAGGTGAAGAAAACACAATCCCCCATAACCCCACTTTATGCCTATACCCTACCTTATACATATCTCTATTATTTGACCCACCACTTCCTCCCAAATGAAAAGAGGAGAATCCTTGTATCTCCAGTGCCTATTACAATGTCTGGAGCATTGTAGAAACTCAATACAGGAGGCAAACAAGAACAATTATGAATAAAGTGAATTCTATTTTTTCACTGACTCCAGAGACTGATGTATTTTCCTAATGGATCTTCAATGATCGCTAATTGCAAACACTTTAGTTTTTAGTCCTCTCAATCAATGCTCTATGATATGTTAACAAAGCATAAAAGAACTAGGGAAGCACCTTCAGATTTAAGGAACCCCTTTGTACTCTAAATATAACCACCCCAATAATGTAGTTGATATTTTAGGTGAGTTTGATATGCCTGGGCTTCTTAAGCAGGACCACCTACCTGCAGCAGCAATTTCTTTCAGCTCCTCTCCCAGAAAGCAAGCTCCCTGATTTAAATATAACCCCAGGGGAAAAAATGTTCCTTCCCAGCAATTGTTGAGTGAACCCACAGCTGCTGCCTATTGTTAGGCACCAGCTCAAGCAATCAGGCTTTCTTTGTATTAGCTGAAAAACAAGGAAATCGCACATCCACGCCTAACTGCCTCACACCTGTGCTTGCAAAAGTGGCAGAAGCACTGAGCATCTTGTGACTAATCTGGAAAATTGTCTACTTCAAGCAAAGTGACTTTCAGTGTTTCAGGTAAGCTTCTAACCTCTTTTCCAGCTACATGTGTGATTTGGAATGCACATATTTGTTCCTTCTTCCTGGTAATCTTTCAACTCTAAGCTCTGCCAGGTACAGGACTTTCAGATCATGGCTTTATGCTGAGATCCAAGGAACAGATTACAATGGTCAGTCTGAAAATTAGCACATAGGACCTCTCTAAGTGCAGAAAGACCGCTAGAGAGAAACTGAAACTCAACTCATTGCCAGACTCTGATTTTCAAGTAATAATAGCAACAATTTATTATTTGCTTACTATATGCCAGGCACTGTTTTAAAGCCATTATCCTGTTTTTCACAGGTAAGGGAACTGTGGCACATATATGCTAAGTAACCTGTGCAAGATTGCGCAGCTAACAGATGTGAACTCAATTAACTCTATGTGGTTTTTCAAATTAATTTATTCATTAACTCACTCCCCTTAACACAATTCAAAATACTTATGTTAAACAAATTATTATAATTTGTTGATTTCAAATCAAGAGCCTTTTAATCACTATCATTTTTTTTTAATCTTCATCATAGCACTTACAGTTGGCTCTGCTCCCTAGGCATGGCCAATGGCCAAGAATCATTCCAAGTCTCTGCTCCTGCTCTTCTCTCAACCCCATCTCTACCTATCAAAATCCTAGACACCTTCAAGGTCCATATCAAACATTCTCTTCTTTCTGAAACTTTCCTAGTCATCTAGCTAGATACAATCTCTTATCCCTCATATTTCTCTGTTGGGAAACTGTTATGGTCTAGCTTTTAGTAGATATTAGGGTAATTATTTTATCCTCACCTTCTACTCAACCATAAGTTCCCTAGGGGCAGAAATTAAGACACACTCCTCTTTGGATCATCTGCAGGGCCTAACATAGTGTCTTGCAAATAGTGGATGCAGAATATATGTTTACTGAATTTTCAGTTGAGAACTCTGTGTACACGTTGCCAAGAAACAAAGAACAGCGAGAGATGGTGAAAAAAAATGTAAAGAGGAAGAGAGGTTAGAATTGTAAAGAGCTTAAGAAATCAGCCAGAAGGAAATATGTACAAGTACCCTTGCATGGCAAGGGAAGCTAGGAAGAGTGTGGAAGCTAGGAACCATGTGAAAATCTATTTGATCAGAAAAACTGTTAGTGTTTTACAAAATGAAGCTACTCCTCTCCTATCTTGGAAGACAGAGTCAATAATGTTCAGTCTTCCAAAATTATATACTTCTCCCAAATTTCTGCTAAAATAATTTGACACTAATCCAGCTGACCATTTACTATACAGCATTAGATATTTAAGCTTTCTGTATAGATCTGACTCTTCTCTTGCTATTAGTTGAATCTTCTTGACCTTATGTTCTGCCATTTACCACCAATCTAAATTATTTTATTATGTTAACTATCATGCTGGATTCCCATTGTTCTCTTGACCCTGTGATAGGAATATTACCAGCTATATGCTGTCCTCTTTATGAACTTGTGGTTTTCCTCCTGGCATGTTCTCATGCCACATGGTTCCTACCCCATTTCCTATAGCTGGGTTCAGCCCAAATTCTCAATCAGTATGGCTTCCATATGCCAGCTCATGAATTAGTGTCAGTCTGTGATGGAGTTTACTCCTGCTGGGGATGAAATTTAATTATATTTTTGTAATTTTTCTGTTTGTCTATTTCTCTTAATTTATATTTATCTTTTTTTACAGAGACTAAATTAGTCTTAT
Source organism: Homo sapiens (assembly GCF_000001405.40). Taxonomy (NCBI): domain Eukaryota; kingdom Metazoa; phylum Chordata; class Mammalia; order Primates; family Hominidae; genus Homo; species Homo sapiens. The sequence goes on from NC_000023.11 coordinate 129,093,167, forward strand.
AATTCAATATATTCAACTGAAAGGGTTGTTTTTATATTAATACTCTGGCCTTTCTGCTTGTATTTAAATTCACTTTTATGGTATAACAGTGATAATTAGTTGTTGGTAGTTGTGTGTGTGTGTATGTGTGTTCTTATGTGTCAAAATAAAATGCTGGCAATCTAATATTAGTTTTCCAGGTATTTATCTACATTTATCTATTTAAACACACACAAACACTTTCTTCTCTTTTTTTAACTGACCTGGGAACCTCTGCTCAGAAGGATGCTGATAACCTTAATGAGTGCATGCAAGGATTAGAGCAAACCAATTCCAATTAATGGTCTTATTCTGCTGGTGGTGGGCTGCCATTTTCTTCAAGTATAAAAGCCAGTAGGTTTTATTTAGTTCAGTTGCACAATGGTGTGAATTTCTTCCAAGAGTCTACCTAAGGAAAATCTATGTATTTATTAAGGTAAGAAGTCTATTAAGCCACACCATTTATAATCATTCCACATAATGTATAGAGTGTGTAAATAGTGCTCCTGAACAGTCTATAGAGAGATACATTCATATATTTACCCTTGAATCAGACACTCCCGTATTGCAGCATATTTGTATTTATAGATTTTTTTTCCTTTGGAACTCAGCCTCACAGACACTTCAGTGCAGTCTCTCACCATCCTTTTGCAGCTTCCTGGTGGAGATGACATTTGCTCAGCTAGAGAATAGACACTTTCTAGCTGAGTTGCTCATCACACTGATACCCTAAGGCCTGGCTGATTGGCTGTCAGAGGACTCCAGCTGTTTAGCTGCCGTGATATGTCTTTCATAGGAAAAGACATTTCCTGGAACATCAACAGCTTGTTAAGGACTGGGGAGTGCAGGGGAGAAATTTTAAAATTTTGGAGGAACTGAGTGTTTTGAACTTGGAGGAGGCATGAAGATGAAACAGAGAAAGGGATGAAGGGGAGACTTTTCCCTCTTCTGTGTTTGAAAGACTCATTTTCAGAGCTAACCTTACAATTTATGATGAGCAGCCCTCCGCAGCTTAGCAGGTCAAGTGTTGGTAGGAGAAGCAAATCTGTTACCCACCCTAGGGGTGCACAGACCATATGAAGATGTAAACTCATCAAAGAAGCTGGAAAACTCCTCATGAAATTGTCAGCAATTTCATTTCAATCTGATTTTCTTTGTGCCTTGATTTCCCCTTCTGAAAATCAAGGTTGAAGAACACTCTTGGACATGCTTATAAGATCCCAGAGAGCAAAACGTTGACCAAAGATACCTGGATTCTGAAGGTCCCTTTGGGAAGCCAAGTTGGTAGCCAGAGCACACAGAAGGGAGGACCACAGTGCTAATGAGGCCATGCTTGCCAATTTGAAGCCCATGTGGGCCAATTAGCTCTGCTTTCTTCCGCTGCCATCAACTGACCCCTGAACTCTGGCCACTCACCTCACAGATCTATGCCACTTGTCACTGGGGTCAGCAAGAGAGTGCGTGGTTGTCTCAGTGAAAATTTAACAGAGCATGTTTCCAAGTGTCACCTTGATGTGTGAGGGGCAGCACAGGAACTCCTCAGGGTATCAAGTACTGTTTAACGGTCTCCTGGAGTCCTCCTGCCATCTGTGCTTCCCACTCTGACATATCTTATCACTCTCTATTGTCTTTGTCTGCTTGCCTATTTGTTTTCTCCCACCAAACTGTGAGCTCTTTGAGAACTTATATTGGCTTAACATAAGTATTGTATCTTACTTAATTCTGTAACCTTGGCAACTCACACAGTATAGACACATAGCAAGAGCTCTGTAAACCTTACGTGACTGAATGAAGGAATGTAAAGGGCCTATCTCCAGCATTCCTCAACAAGGTTTGACAACAGCTCAGTGGGTCAGCAATTCCACCATAAAAATCTGCAAAAATTTCCTAGAATAAATGCATATAATTCACTCCAAACATTTTAACAGGTAAATGCCTTTGCAAAAATATTACCTATGAGCCAAGGGACAGATGTGGATAGCAACAAATCGGTCTGCCAGGGTAATATAAGCACCTAAAGTTTGTAAATCAGTAACCTAACGCTGGCTTATTCAGTGGCATATGCAACAAAGCAAAGCCCTTTTGAATAAAAAATAAAATCATCATCTGAGTTTACAATGGAGAGTCGCTCCTTTGGATTGGAGGTTCCTAGAAGGTGAAGATGGTGCTTCATCAAAAGGCCATACACATCAAATGCACTAGGGAAGAAATAGGAGCACTTTGAGTTCTGATTTCAGCAATAAGTGAGCCGTACTCTCTCATCTAGCCTCCCTGTGTCTCTGAGGCCTAAAACATACTACCCTCTACTCATGACCGTCCATGCTTGTCAGGATTACTTTATTAGTTGTTTAATGCTCAATTCAGATGTCACTGCCTCTAGGATGTCTTCACTGACCACCATCCCCAAGGTGGATTCTGTGCCTTTACTATATACTTCCATGGAGACCATGATTTCTTCTTTTATTGGAACTTTATGTTTTATTGTAATTTTCCCTTTACCTATTTATCTTCTCTGATAGACTGTGAGTTTGTTGACAATAAAAATTCTATGTCAGTAGGTCTGGGGTAGAGTAATTGTTATGACCAAGGAAGATTGGGATATACTGTTCTAATTCATTGTGTTCACAGTCCTGGATGCATAATTAAATATAAAACACTGCCACTAGCCAACCCAATCAGAAACATAGTTTCGATTCCAAAATTAACCCTTTGCTCCCAAATATCAGTTGGAGAAAGGCTAAGGAGTGAGGAATACCCAGTGAGGTAGCTACTATTCTATGACCATTTTATGGAGAGATAAGCTGAAGGTTTGACAGTTTATGTGATTTTCCTAGTTACTTACTATAAGTGCCAGAGCCAAAATTCAAAGCCAGATCTGTTTTTTTTTTTTTTTTTTTTTTTTCAGAATTGTATTTTGAAAACGTTTAAAATACAGGAAAGTTTAAAGGGGTTGAAAATCATATACCTACCACCTAAATTCTGCCATTAATATTTTACTCTGTTTTATCATGTATACATCATCTACTTGTCTGTCTACTCATTGATCAATTTATCTTAATTTTGATGCACTTCAAAGTAATTGCAGATATCAATATACTTCAACTATATACTATATGATTATAGCATGCGTATCATCAACTAGGATTTAATATTTGTTTGCAGTGTTTTCTTTTGATGTAAAACTTACGATGAAATGCACAAATCTTACATGTATGTTTGCTGGACTTTGATAAATGCATACACCTCAGCTACCCAAACCCCTATAAAGATTTAGAACATTATAATTCCCCTAAAAAGTTCTCTCATGTCCTTTTCAGTCAATGCCACCACCATATCCAGAGGCAACCACTGTTCTGAAATTCTTCCATCATAGTTTAGTTTATTCTGCTCTAGAGGGTATATAAATGGAATCACAAGGTATGTACTCTTTTGTGTAAGCATTTACCAATGTGGTTTTATAAATCAGTATTGTGTCCCATTCCATTATTGAATTGTGCTCCATTATATGGAGATACCCCAGTTTGTTTACTTATTCTCCTATTGATAGATAACATTTCTACTTTCTGTCTATTATGAGCACTGCTGCTGTGAAAATTCCTGTACAAGTCTTTGTGTGGATATATACTTTCATGTCTCTTGAGTACATACCTAAGAATGGAATTGCTAGGTCATGGGGTGTGTATGCTTAGTTTTATAAGAAATTGCTATACATTTTTCCAAAAGTGGTTGTACCATTTTAACACACCTATCAGCAAAGTTTGATAGTTCCAATTCCTCCACATTCTCATCAACACCTGGTTTTCTTGATCTTTTACATTGTAGTCACAGTGATGGGTATGTGATAGCATCTCATTGTCTAACTCAGACTTTTTGAATTTCAAAATTAATGGCTTTTTTATCCTGATCACATTACAAATGTATGTAGGTATATAAAAATAACAAGAAACTCATAGTACAAGTCACGACATGAGAAGTGCAATATAAATGAAGTGCCAAAACATCATAGAGAGATAGAACTTCCAGCTGAGATACACAATATGATGTCATATATTCATTTTTTCATTAATTCAAAAATATTTATAAAGAACCTATTAGGTAGTGGGGATATAACAGTAATCAAAACTACAAAGGTCCCTGCCATCATAGAACATTAATTCTTTCGCTGTTGTTGTTGTTGAGACAGGGTCTCACTCTGTTGCCCAGGCTGCAGTGTAGTGGCATGATCATAGCTCACTGCAGCCTTGACCTCCCAGGCTCTAGTGATCCTCCTGCCTCGGTCTCCCAAGTAGCTAGGACTACAGGTGTACACCACCACACTTGGCTAATTTTTAGAACGTTCTTTCTAGAGACAGGGTATCACCACATAACCCAGGCTGGTCATGAAACATAAATTCTAATGGAGTGAGGGAATACAATAAACAAACTAGTAAAATGCATCTCAGATGGTGATAAGGGCCATTGGGTAAAATAATACAGGGAAGATGGGGAATAGGGAAGGCTGGCAGGAGGAGACTATTTGATATAAAGTAGGCAAAGCATTTATTTAAGATAGATCTTGAAGAATGACTAAAGTTCAACCTAAAGCAAATAAATAGAAAAACTTCAAATAGGGTGAGGGTGGACACAAAGATAACATTGATCAGTGAGAAAGAACAAGGACTGAGTGTGATAGGAGCCTCAGGTCTGTCTTGGAGCACATTGGGAAACAAAGCTGAAAAGACTAGGGAGAGAGCAGTTTATGGAGCTTGTGCCTATTTCATCAGGCAACAAAGAGCTACAGACTGGGTTTAAGCAAGATGGACCCAATAATGGACCTAGAAAAAAACTGAATTTGTGGCATTTCATTTGGTTGAATAAACATTTTTCAGTGCCTACTGAAAGGATTGTAGGAGGGAGAAACTAAAGATGGTGGAGAGAAGTAGGAAAAATAATGAGTTATCTGCTGCCATTAATAAATAACTAAGACTGTGGAAAGTAATTGAAAGACAGAAAATTTATCGAGGAGATAGAATTAAGAGGCTTGGTGACTTAAGGTGGCAGTAGGAAGGGTGCTAATCTCTTTTCTGCTTGGAATAGCATATATACATCTTCCAGTAGCAACAAAAATAAATGAATATTGGCAGCAGTACCCATACAGAATCAGGCCTTCCTTTTGAAGAATTGGGACTTTTTCCATTGCCTTTGCTAGAGCATCGCCCTCCACCCTCTAGTCCAGAGTGGTTGCGCCTATTTGAACCTGTGTTTCTATACAGTGTAAGAGGAATCTCAACCATTTGGGCCATGGCATCCAAGGGTATGAAGAATGCTCACCAGAATTTTTGCACATGGCTGAGAAGGTGGTTCTTTCCAAGAAAAAAAAGAAAGAAAGAAAATACCAAAGAACAATACCACCACCACCATCTAAATTTCTTTTACTGGCTTGTCAAATGCCTGAAAGTTTCACCATTCAATGGGAGAGTTCAGAGTCAAAGATTCAATATTTAGGCTCTTCTGGAATCATGTACATTGAAATTAATTGAGAACTCTTGCTTGAGAGAAACAACAGATTCACATGGATTCATGTGTCTCATGCCTCAATTACCCTTCATTCATTGAGCATAATGGGAAACTCAAAAGAAGAGGTCTCATGACATAGTTAACTGAGGATAGGTGATAGGGATAGTAAGAAGATCTACAGTTAACTGAAGATGGGTGGTGGAGATATTAAGAAGATCTGCAACAGAAAATAGGCCCAGGCAGAGCTCCAACTGACGGGCGTGTGTGAGCCTAAGTCAGTTGTTTAAGGGTGTGAATGAATGGGAGAATGAGCCATCAAAAGGCAATAGCAGCAGGATACCTGCTTCAAATATTTTCCTGTCATCAAATTGCTGGACTGTGGAAAGTTCAAAAGGTTAAGAATCACTGGCTTTATTAAATTGTATCTGCAATAAACCAAAGCTCTGAAACTTAAAAATGTCAGTATCACAACGGAGGTTCCCAGCCTGGGACACCTCACCATCCTCTGCATACAATCTCAAAGATGTCCTCTTTCAGGGCCTTCCACTCTCTCTCAAAATACAGTACTGACTGAGTCATCACAGTGGGCCCCCATTTAGCACCTGCTGCATATATGTCACTTTACTCAGTGAATTCCTGCTACTTGGTTAAAGACACTGCTGCTTTTCAAAGCAGTGAGTAGGGTGGGGGAAGGTGGATCTCAACTCACCAAGTGTCAAAGTAATGAATGGGGGAAGTGAAGCGAAGTGAAGCCAATGATCATCAGCAGCAGGAGCTACAAAGAAGGCTTCAACCAACCTTCACGCCTCTCACTTTAACTAAAGGTTTGGTAAAGAAAAGGGCCTTGTGAGGCATAGGACAAAAGATAGTGCCTGGGTAGAGTGGGCACTGGATCAATGAACGTTGAATGAAAAAGTCAGAAAAGTAGCATGAGGCCAGGTAGAGGTGCCCAGTGCCCAGAGGTAGATATTTGCTTTTTTAAGAAAAAAATCCTGCCTCCCTCTACATATCGTGACATCCATTTTTTTCTTCTAAAATGCATAAAGCCATCTATCTTTTGTGCCTTTATAGATACAAGATGCATCCCTTTGCATGGGATCTGGGTGTGTGGGTGTACATGTAAATGACTGTAGCATAATTGTAATCCATGGAATGAGCCTGGTTCACATGAGGGAACCACTAATTTGAACTCTACACACACGGAATTGGTGATGACTTAACCAGTGGGTGTTGTAAACAAGATAATAAGGGAGATGCTTCATCTATTCAAGGAAATATTCAAGTAACCACTTATGTCAAACACAAGAATAATTCTTATTAATATTTTTAAGTGACTCCTCTAGAGACCTATATCCGAGGCAATACAACATTAAAATGCTTCATTAATTCAGACTGGTCTCTGCTCACCATCTCAATCAGTTATTCCAAATCATCAGTGTTATATCACAGTTTAAGAAATATGGAAAATGATTTGGCTGTGAAGGTATAGCTAATGTTAAATGCTCCCTGAAAAGCTTGGGGTTTGAACTGAGACACTGAAAGCCCTAAGAGGCCTGCTCGAAATATGGAGGGTTCTCTGAATTCAGTCAAGGATATTCTTATGAATTTGAAAAAGGCAGAATCTTTGTCCACTTCAGTTACACTCTATCACTCTACAGTTTCCACTTGTTAAATACCACTAGAGTATGTAGAGTATGCTCTACCTTGGGGAAAAAAAATTCTTTTAGGTCTCTAGAGATGTGAAAGAATGAACTAAGTATCTTTTAAAGTGAAGTGTTTACACTCTATACTGTTTATCTTCCCATTGACAGACAAAGAAGCCTTTGCTGAGAGCTTGCTCAAAAGTCTTTAAAACACATTTCTAGGGGAGAAGAACGAGAGAGGCAGATTGAGTTTGAGCTCAAAGAAGATCTGGGAGTGAAAACCCAGATATGAAAGCTGGAAATTGCAGCTCCTACTTGCTAAGGTACACCTAGGTTGAGATTAGCAGAACCGCGCAGTGGGGAGGGTCTCCAGTTTAATAAAGGTAATCCAACTAATTCGATTTCAGATAAGATTGGAAATAATGAAATATTTGGGAAGAAAGACAGAACAGAGTTCATCTCTAAAGAACCAACAATAGCTTTGGCTCGCAAAACAAACTATCAGATGAGCAGTCCCAGCAATACTGGTATAATTAGCAAATAAAAGAATAAAAATTAGTAGACTATTTTTCTCCTTACCCTGGAGTATGGGGAGAGAAACTGGTAACACTGACAGGTCCAATCTGAACTCAAAGGAAGAGAGAACAAGCTAAAAGGACAGTCTCTGACTTTGCATTTACTTTCCAACCCCGCCTGCTTTTAGTGCCTTAGAGAACAGAGGAGACATACACAGCAGGGCAAATGCTTTAGTTTTTTAATAATGAAACAGCATAATCTAATAGGCAAAGTTGTGCACTGAAAGTCAGGAGAGCTATCCTCTAGTCCAGCTCTGTCCTTTCCTGGTTGTGTGACCTTAGGCATGTCATTAAACCTCTCATGCCTCCAGTTAATTGGTGTACACATTGTGAGCCTGGGTTTGTGTAATTTTATATACAATGCACTTGTGTAAAATTATCTCTGAAGTCCCTAAATATTATTTTAAAATTATATAGTATCACAAAAGCTTTAATAGTCTATAATTCAATGATTTCATCTACCCAAGAAAAAATTGTAGCCCCTAGAGATTTAGCTAAGGAGAGTATGTACATGCGTGTGCATGCACAGAAGAGAGGAGGAGAAAGGCAGAGGGAAATGATTCATTATGAGTGCACAATAAAACCAACAAGAAGAAAATAGATGGTTTAAAAATAAATTGATGTCTAGTTATTTTGACTTACTCTAAACAAGCCTGCAACAGGGATGGGTTGCAGCCTGAAAAGTCTGTTTTGAAAGCTCCCTCAGATTTTTAACCACAAATCCTGTCTCAAAGTCATGCAAAGGAAAATCTCTTGTGAGTCTTTAAATCTCCATCAGCTGATACATGAAAATGAGGGTAGGACCAGCTACACGCTGGGGAATAAACCAACATGACCCTACTTTTATGCCATACAAATGCCTTGTAATTGTTCTTGGAGTGCAACAGACAGCTTACTTTGTTATTAGCAAGCTGAGTATTATTTTTACAAGATAAACAACAAATCCAGACTCAGGACGGGCTGGCAAACATTTTGCACAAAAAGCCAGATAGTAAAGATTTTAGGCTTTGCAGGTCACATACTGCGTCTGTCACATATTCTTCTTTTGTTTGTTTATTTTTTTTGATTTTTTTTTACAATCCTCTAAAATTGCGAGTACAGGCTGGGCGCGGTGGCTCATTCCTGTAATCCCAGCACCTTGGGAGTCCTAGGCGGAAGGATTGCTTGAGCCCAGGAGTTCAAGACCAGCCTGAGCAACATAGAGAGACCCTGTCTCTACAAAAAAAATTTAAAAATTAGCCAGGCATGGTGGCACACACCTACAGTCCCAGCTACTCAGAAGGCTGAGGTGGGAGGGTCACTTGAGCCCAGGAGGTTGATGCTGCAGTGAGCCAAAATCATGCCATTGCACTCCAGCCTGTGCCACAGAGGGAGACCCCATTTCAAAGCAAAAAAAAAAAATCTTGAGTACAAAAACAGGCCGTAGGGTGGATTCGACCTGCTGGCAGTAGTTTGGCTACTCCTGCACCAAATTAAGCAAGCAAGTAACAGTGGTAGTGTGGGCTCAAATCTACCAGGTCAAATAGTCAAAGTCAAATAGACTTAGACGAAGTAAATCTATTAAGCTATGTTCCAAAAGAGCTGTGGCAGAATGTATAGGCAAGGAAGTACACTGGGGCCCTTGGAGAATAGCCACAGCATTTCTTCAAGGTATTACTATTGACATTATTTATAGCTAGGATTTGAACCCTGGCAGACCAACTCCAAAGCCAATGTTGTCACCCACTGTGCATATTCTGAAATAGCACTTTGTGAGTGGCTTTGTAGAGGCATCTCACATTTTAGATAAACAGGGTGTTCCTTGCTCTTTCTGTAAATCAACTCCTATTTTCTCAGTGATTTACATGAAAATTTCAGATGGACTGTCAATATATACTTTTTCCTAACAAATTAGTCTTAAGCTTCACTGCCTCCTCCCCCTTCCCCCAATCTTCCTTGCCAAAGTACTAAATGTTGTATAAACAAATACTTAAAAATACAAACGACAATTCTGATATATATAGGATTCCTTTAGGAATCATTTTATAAGCTAAAGAGTCCTTTCAAAATATGAGTGATTCCTCAATGGAACAGCCTAGAAAGTCCAGAACTAAACCCAAACACACACAGGAGCTTAGTATATGCTAAAGGTGGTGTTTACATTTATGGGGAAGAGATAGTTGATTAAATAGTATTGAGACAATTGGGCAGAAACCTAGAAGAGTAAAGTTGAATCCACAACTCACATCTGACCCAAAACAAATTCCAGATGGGTCAGTGTTTTAGCATAAAAAATAAAACTATGAAAAAGAGTAGAAGAAAGGTCATTTAAAAATAATCTTGGAATGGAGAGAAGTTTTTTCTAAGTATGACACAAAATCCATAAGCCAAAAAAGAAAATAAATATTTTTTCAGGGCAAAAATTCCGTGATGTTAAAAAAAATTCACAGACAGAAACATTTGCAATTTATATTACAGAAAAGGAATTAACTTTCTTAATATAAAAAGATCTCCTGTAAATCAATTTTAGAAGATCAACAGGCAAATTGCAAACGGTCAAGGATAATAAACAGATTATTTGTAGGAAATGAAATACTAAATTAAATGTAGTATAGTTGCTCAACTTCATCCATAATAAGAAAAATGTAAATTAAAAACTTCATTGAGATGATTTTCCACCTGTCAGATTGGTGATGATTAAAAGAAAGTTTCCTAACACCTTGCGCTGGTAAGGCTGTGCGGTAACAGTCACTCTTATGAGTTGTTGAGGGGAATGTAAATTGGCACAACCTGTATGGACAGCAAGTTTGCCATACCTACCAAAATTTGAAATGCACTTACCTTTGGACCTAGCAATTCCACTTTTAGGAATTTATTCTATGGAAGTGTTCATGCATAATAAATGACAAATATATAAAGGTATTAATTGGAGTATTTACTGAAAAAAAATTCAAATGTTTATCAATAGGAAACATTTTTATAAATTATGGTAGATCCAAATCGACATCTGTATGTTACTGGTAGAAAATCCTTTCCAAAATATATACTTAAGTGGAAAAGCAAGGAATATAACAATGTTTATAGTATATAGTATGCTACCATTTGTCTAAAAGCTGGGACAAAATAATATATATCTGCATGTGAAAGGCAGCAGAGCATAATGGTTAAGAGCATGGATTCTGAAGCAACCAGCCTGGATCTGAATCTTGGCTCTACCATGTAATAACTGGATTTCTTCGTGCCTCAGTCTCCTCATCTGTAAAGTGGAATTAATAACAGTACCTACCTCACTGAGCTGTTTTGAGGATTAAATGAGTCAATATTCTCAAAGTCTTAGAATAGTACCTCAGACACATAGTAAGTACTATTTAAGCATTTGTTAAATAAATAAATAGCAGAGAATATGCCTGGGAGGTTACATATAAAAAGTTGCATCTAGCTAAAGGGCAAAAATAAAAGGAGATTTATACCTGTTGAATATTCTACCAAATGCTTATATAATACCTATTTTTTTTAAGTACATGATATTTAAAGTGTAAGTGAGTTCTATTCCCTAGCACCCTCAACTTACCTGGACTCATCTCCTCTCTACCCATCCTTTGTTTTGGCCCATCATCTTCACTTTCCATGCCTTCCACTATTGCTTCTTATTAAGTTTACTATCCCGTTCCTTTCTTTACCCCAGTCCCTTTACTTGTCTCTAACTTTCTACACTGTTTCATGACTTCACAGCCTTCACAGCCTTCTTTCTGCTGCTCACTCCCTAATCCACCTTTCACGGATGCCAACACCACATTCTCAAAGTTTCAAATCTAGATATCCCGTTGCCTCAAACTCAGCACATCAAAGTGAGCATGTCATCCCCCTCTCATCTCAACCTCTCTATTTTTATCTCCCAAGCTAGAAACTTGACACTTAACTTTGACTCTTCTATCTATTTCATACCCTACACCCACCAAATCCATCAATGTATCCTTTCACATGTCTCTTCTTGACTATTTGCTATTAACAGGTATATTGGCTTAGACCAGCACTTCTCAAACATTAATGGGCATAATGTGCATACGTATCAGCTGAAGAGCTTGTTAAATACAGATTCTGAATCAGTAGGTATGGTAGCCGGCCTACAAAATAGCCTTCAGTGACCTCATGTCCTGGTATCTCTTCCTGTGTAGTCCTCTCCCAAATTGTATCAGGGTTGGCCTGCATGATCAAGAACATAAGGTCAGAAAGTGATAGTAGACTATCTGTGAGATTAGATTATAGAAGACAATGTTGCTTTTGTCTTGGTTTCCCTCTGTCTCTTTCTCTCTCTCTCTTGGATTACTCACTCTGGGTGAAGACAGTTACCATGTTGAGAATTCACTCAGGCAGGCTATGGAGAGGCCAACATAGTAACAACCTGAAGCCTCCAGTCAACAACTAGTGAAAACTGAAGCCTCTTGCCAATGGCCACATGAGCAAGTTTGGAAGTAGGTCCTTCAGCCCCCAGTCAAGTGTTCAGATGACTACAGCTCTAACCAAAATCTTGAGTACAACCTCATGAGAGAACTGTCTCTGAGCCAGAACCACCCAGCTAAATTATCCCTGGTTCCTGACCACAGAAACTATGAGATATACATGTCTGTGGTTTTAAACTATCAAGTTTTAAGGTGGTTTGTTAAGCAGCAGCAGATAACTTAGACCAGTGGTCCCCAACCTTTTTGACACCAGGGACCAGTTTCGTGGAAGACAATTTTTCCATGGACTGGGGGGAAGGCGGGCTGGTTTCAGGATGATTCAAGTGCATTACATTTATTGTGCACTTTATTTCTATTATCATTACATTGTAATATATAATGTATATACATGTATATATTATTATATGTAATATATACAGTGACAGAACATCAGGCATTAGATTCTCATAAGGAGTATGCAACCTAGATCCCTCGCATGTGCAGTTCACAATAGGGATCATGCTCTATGAGAATCTAATGCCACTGCTGATCTGACAGGAGGCGGAGCTTGGGTGGTGATGCTGAATTGCCTGCTGCTCACTTCCTGCTGTGTGCAAGTTTCTAACAGGTCACGGATCAGTACTGGTCTGTGGCCCAGACAGTACATCTGGGATGGAGCCTAAAAAAATTCTGCATTCCTAATAAGCTCCCAGAGGATACTGATGTTAATGCTGCTGGACCTTGCTTGAGTAGCAAGCCCTGTACCATTACAGCAGCCTCCCACCCAATCCCTACCCCGAGTATCTCTCTGCTCCAATCCTATTACGTTCCTATTTCACAACGTATAATGATTCCCTGTCACCTATTGTATAAAGTCAAAGTCCTCAGCCTGTCTGTCAAAATCCTTTGGCAGCTGGCCATATTTATGCTTTTAGTAATATTTCTTACTGCTCTCCACCGGGCACCTTCTGCTCCTGTCAACCTGATCTCCTCCCAACCTTCTGCACACATCACATTTATTCCTTTTCCTGGGCTTTCTATTATCACTATGTCCACTTATTTCCAACCGTCACCAATATACATATAACTAACATGTCTTGCACCCTCCTCTGCTATCCAAACTCAACCTCCAAGGCCTAGCTCAGCTCTTATTTCCCCCATAAAATTTTCCCCGCTTTATTTTTACCTAACAGTTTTATGAGTCACAATCTCAACTTCCAAGCTTAATTTTAAGCAATTTTAGGTCAGGAATATATCTCATAAGTCTTAATAGCTCTGGGGCACCCAGCACAGGGTTGGACACAAAAAAAGTAAGTAAGTGTCAATTGACTGAATCTGCCTGTCACATTCAATGTGGCCACATGCCTACAAGCACTGCCAAAATTTACTCCCAGGTTTTACAACAACAGAGAGAATCCCTGAAAAAATCCACTCCCCTCTTCCCTGCCACCTTCCTCTATACCAAGTTACTCTCTTATTTATTCTTTCCACATCACCGGCAGGTAAGAAGGTAACATATTGAGAGGACAGCTTTTATTATGGGCAGCAATAGAAGGGGAAATAATGTCACAGCTAATCCAAAAGCCGTTTCATTTTGGATTTGAAATCCCTTCTTTGATCAGGAAGGCAGATGTGCTGTGAACTCATTAGGGTTTCCCTAAGCAGTGTGAATCATCTACAAGAACACATTGAGAAGGCAGCCAGGGGAGATAGACCTGAGAACACAATGGCTGATGAAGGAAGATCATCTGAGAAAGATAAATACCCCACGACAGATAACACACATTGAAGGTAATGAACAAAACAAGTAACAGAGAGATGAAGACAGACCAAGACAGACATGATCCTGAGGCTTGCGTATTCCACACATCAGACCATAAAGACCATTTTACGAAAGAACAAAATCCACTATATTTTGAATGTTTACTATCTGTCAGACGTTGTACTGTTCACTTTGCACAAATCAACTCATGTTAATCCATACCACAATCCTGTGAGTTAGATGCTAAGGGTAGTCCCATTTCCCTGATGAGGAAGCTGAGGCTCAGAAAGGTTAAGCGACTGCTCCGTGATCAAACAGCTAGAAATTGGTTGAGCTGGGACTTGAACCCAGTACTATCTGAAGCTAAAGCCCTTATTCTCAATCTCTATATTCTAGGTCTAGCCCTCATCCTCATTTTGGTAGATAATGCATGAAAATATCTGTGAAAGATTCATGGAAATTTAGAAAGCAGCAGAAAGTTACTATTCAGTTCCTATCCACACCTAGATACTTCAAAACCTCCTGCCCCTTGACTGCCCTAGGCTATCCAGGGCATCTCATCAGGTGGGGAAGGAACCCCAGCATTATACTTCCAAGGAAGTATGCTCATTCTATATACATATATGTGTGTGTGCGTGTGTGTATATATATGTGTGTGTATATATATATATGTGTGTGTGTGTGTGTGTATATATATATATATATATATATTTTTTGAGACGGAGTCTCACTCTGTCACCAGGCTGGAGTGCAGTGCAGTGCAGTGGCGCAATCTCAGCTCACTGCAACCTCTGCCTCCTGGGTTCAAGCGATTCTCGTGCCTCAGCCTCCCGAGTAGCTGAGATTACAGGCACATGCCACCACACCCAGCTAATTTTTGTATTTTAGTAGAGACTGGGTTTCACCATGTTGGCCAGGATGGTCTCAATCACCTGACCTCAAGTGATCTGCCCACCTCAACTTCCCAAAGTGCTGGGATTACAGGTGTGAGCCACTGCGCCCAGCTGCTCATTCTACATTTTAAGCCCTTTATTCCAAAGTCTGCAGGGTGGCAATGAGTGTAATTAAATAATCAAATTCTGTTACCAGGTAACTAATGGATTACCCCTCCCAGGTAATACAAAGCATTCGCTATATTAAAACAGAACACCCTAAACAGGCAATCTAATGACAGGAATTGGGGCACTTTGCCAAGCCCAAGGGAAAGCAAGTTTGGAGCCAAAAAACCTTTTCATGCCCCCCCTAGTATGCCTCTTCTTCCTTTGGGTTTGATATGCACCTTAAACACATCATTGCTTGCACTTTTCTTATTTAACAACAAGCAGTAGAACAGAATGTGGCTTCTTTAAAAAAAATTCTAATGAAGTTTCCAATTCTCAATTAAAAGAAACATCTTTCCATCCATCTATTTATCCCTGCCAAGCATTTGCGTTTTGAAGCTGGAAGTTTCATTATCTGAAATTTGCAGGCAATTACTAGGTCTAGTAACTCCCAAGATGTGAGCATTTTTTCCAACAGTCTGAAGTGAAAAGTGATTTTGAGTGTGTGTGTGTGTGTGTGTGTGTGTGTGTGTGCGCGCGCGCGGCGGGGCGGTGGGGTGGGGTACGGTTACGGAGACAGTCCACTTAGAAAAGAAAGATGTAATGAAGGCAGGCAGGAGAAGAGGCAATGGAAACCAGATCCAGCCATATATTTGTCTCATCTGACTTTGCGAGCTCCAGAAGTATTAATGAGCAGCCTTCCAAGTCCCAGGGGAAGCTTTTAGATTTACAGCTTTAAACAACAACTTGCCCTCATTTTGGCACAAAGTCAAACCAAAATTTGTCATAGCTCATAATGCTTGTTAACGAAGAACATCAAAAATTAATGCTCATTAGGGTGCTTGTTAAAATGCACGGTACTCTCCAGTTTGACTTAAGTATAAAGCACCACTTCACAATAATATTACGGCCCAGCAGAGAGAGGAGGCTGTTCAAGTCTGAAGGGTGTTCCCTTGGGACAGCATTAGCCGCAGTGCAAGACTGGGCACCTGTCAGCCTCTTCCTGAACCTTCCAGACAGGTGAGAAAACAGGAAGCTCTCAGAGAACAAGTGACTGTGGCTCCCACTGGGATGTCTAATTCCACACTCCAGTTTTCCTGTTCTACAATGTTATTTGGTGAAATGAATTGAATTCAATTGCGGTCAGTGGTACAATCAGGTCTTGGCCAAGAAAGAAACCACTAAAGAAAGAAGGAAGCTCAAGAGCTTAATTTAAGCTCAAAACAAATAAATGGCAGGGGCCAGGACGGTGGGAGGCAGTAAGGAGAGAAGATGAGAAAAAAAGACACAGCAAATAAATTGTTTTAAAAGATAGGGATCAAGGGATAAATAAGAGTAAGACAGATATCCAGATACTGTCATATTCCAAACCAGAGAACACACAGCGAGGATATTACTATTTGTGTGATGATTTATTAATTTTTTTCTTTGCCAATTTGAGGTTTTTAAGACTATTCTTAAAATGTCCAGCAGCATTTCAAAATCATTTGTTCCAGTGGGCCACTGTACGTAAAAACTTGTACTTGAACTCTGGAATTTGTGGCCAGTGCTTTTTAGAGAATCTTGAACTTGCAACAAAGGTACAGAGCAAGGGAGAAAATGAGAGTGAGACAGGAGAATTTGAGCCCCAGCTCTACTACTTAGTGTGGAAATGAATGACCTTGGAGAAGCCACTTCATCTTGCTAAGCCTCAATTTGCTCATCTGTAAACTATTAGAGTGAGCTGTATGAAATTGCCATTTCATTTCTGTAGGTCAAAATGCTCAAATATCAGCAGCTTCACGTGGTTCAACCTAATAAAAGGATTAAACAGGATAATATATTTGAAAGCAATTTTTAAAGTCTAAAATGCCAAAGATCATTTAAGATCATCCATAACTGTTGCTACTTCAAGAAAAACATATGCATATGCACTATATTATGCTTCACCAATAGGAGCAGCTAAATCAAATGAAACCTTTCCTCAATATTGCCAAAGGCCTTTCTGATGCAAGATTCAGGATTAGGATAGCTGCAGCCCAAGTCTATCACTGTAAACCAATATTATTGACACTGTTTAAGATTATTTTAAAATGTCCTGTCTTGCTGCAATAGGTATTTAACAAAAAGTATTCAGAGTAACTTCCAAATGGCTACACACACACACCCTCCTCAGCCATCCTCCTCTCTCTCCCCAAATTGACTCAAAGCCTTACTAGCAAGAAATGGTATGGAGTTGTACAAGGAAAAGTCCCCATAATAGCGTCATTCCAAAGTATTGATTATAGCAGGTCAAAGTAGTACCTAGGACAGAAGGCAGCCCAGATAAGTAAGGAAATTTGACAGAGATTATGCAGGTTCTAGAAATCAGAGCAGGTAATGGGACTAGGCCAAGTAGGCAAGCTAGAGCCAGAGCAAAGGAGGGCAGGAAAAGTGAAGGCAACTAGTGGGTCCAAAGCCTGATAAACAACCAGTAACCAAAAGGCCACAAATGTTTGAAGACAAAAAGAGGCGGAAGTTGGGAGCTCTCTAAAAGGCAGAAATGCAGAGGAAGGTAAGTGACCAAATTTCCAGCAACCAAGAGATATAATAGGACAAAGTACAATTCAGATAAAATAGAAATACCCATCCGGGGAAGGATCTAATTTAGTGGCGCAAAATGTTGTTGCATCTCTCATCTTAGGAGATTGTTATGCTTCCTGTGAAGGCAGACATCAATTCTGGCATTGCCAGGCTGGGGCTAACAGGGAGAAACATTTAGACTATATGGCTGTTGTGAAAAAAAGAGAAGGTTAATCAAAAGATTATTTATGATGATGGGGAGTGGGGCGGGGGTATTGGTGGGAAACAGGGCTCTGTATGTAGCAAAAAGAAAGCAATTAGCATTAGAGGAAGTATACAGAAAGCCTGCACACACACATACTCCTCTGCCAGTCAAGCTGTGAAGACTCCGAATCTCTCTGAGGAGCAGAATATGATATTGTATTAGAATAATTGACTTTCCCGTTCAACCTAGATAAGAAACGAATGGCATATTGTACTGGGCACACATCTCTAATAGAGATAATGCCGCCTCCTTTGATAGGTGTATAGCATTGTGTCTGTCCAGCAGGCAATCTGAGGCATTTTTTTTTCTTGTCTTCCTAAGTCTGAGCTTCATTCTCAAACTGACGGTAGGGAATTTCAGTAATGACTTGCTGCCCTGCGTTAGCCCTTTCCTGCTCTGAAAACGCTCCCTCTTTGCGCTTTTTATTCAGAGACAGTAGTCTGAATTTACATTTGCTGGATTTCATTGTTTCTTCACTCATTGTTGCCCTTCAGAATGTAGCATTCTCCAAACTTGGGATTTTGCTCACTGCATCGTCTTCCAGCTCATTAATGTAAATAATAAAGAGACTGGTTTCCAATGCTGTTCCCTTTCAGAGCCATATTAATAATTCATTTCCAGCTTGACAAAGTCCTTTCGGCAGCCGCTTTGTTTGAGGCTTTGCTCCTCACCGTGGCGATAGGTCAATTGTCTTATGGTGAAATTGAACCTGAGGGCCTGAGAAGGGCATTTGTATTCCCTGCACGTGACCATAGGGGATTAATATTGTGGGGGGGAAAAGCACCAAGTCCACTTCTAAGGCTCCCTCTGGAGACTTAGCCTCTCGTTCCCGTGTTCTTTCCAAATCTGCTCTTTTTAGCATTAATTATGAAGACAACGAGCTCAGCGCCAAAGTGTAGAAGCTGGATCCTCAGTTATGCACAGGGAATGAAAAGTCTGTCAGTCAAGAGAACAGTATTTGTTCTTTTTCTAGAAGAGAACTTAATGACCAAGTTAGGTCAGCTCAGATTGCCTAGGGCATGCAGTGGTTTATCCAGCATCCTGCACATGGTAGGTGCTTAGATTTCTGCTAACTGACTAGCTTAGTTATAGTATCTAGCCATGAAAGTTGTTCCAGGGACAAAGACCAGTGAGGTGGTACCCACCGAAATCATCATGCCCCTCTCCTTTTCCACCAGATATTCCTCTGGAACACCCAGTGAGACATACAGTCTAATACAGGGGTGTCCAAACATTTGGCTTCCCTGGGCCACATTGGAAGAAGAAGCATGGTCTTGGGCCGCACATAAAATACACTAACACTAACCATAGCTGATGAGCTAAAAAAAAAAAAAAAAAATCACAATAAAATCTCATAATGTTTTAAGAAAGTTTACGAATTTGTGTTGGACCACAGGTTGGATAAGCTTGGTCTAATACAAGAATTGAAGATTTGAAGAGCCACAGATAGGGATTGTAAAAGAGCCAGCTATACACTGAAAGCCATGGGCTATGTGACATCAGGTGAAAACATTCTGCAGAGACAACAGTGGCCCTTTTTCAATGGTGTAAGGAAGAAGCTAGATGGGAAAAAGCTAACAGGAGCTCTGAGTGATCAGAGAGCACTGTCCAGTACCAAATTATCCATGGAAAAGTCAGGCAAGAGGAAGTAATCCTATCAGAGCAGCCTCCATGGAGCTGTCCTGGGACAGCAAGACGCATTAACTCCGACTACAGAACCAGAAAATGGTTTTCATATGGTTACCCATGGATTCCCAATCAGCCCCAACCATTCTTTGTTCCCTGAGTAGATGGGAGTCTACCTAGTGTCATGTTCAGCCTATACCACCTCCGAGCATACTAAATACAGTTTTTTAGAAAAGAGATGAAGTGAGGCATGGTGGCTCATGCCTGTAATCCCAGCACTTTGGGAGGCCGAGGCGGGAGGATCACTTGAACCCAGGAGTTCAAGACCAGCCTGGGGAACATAGGGAGACCCTGTCTCTACAAAAATAAAAAAAAACATTAGTTGAGCATGATGGCGTGTCCCTGTGGTACCAGCTACTTGAGTGGCTGAGGTGGGAGGATCGCTTGGGCCTGGGAGGTTGAGGCTGCAGTGGTCTGTGGTCATGCTACTGCACTCCAGCCTGGGCAACAGAGTGAGACCCTGTCTCCAATTCATACAAACTAGAAGATAGAGATAAAGCACTTTTCCTTGAGTGATGCATGTTTAGGGAGACTAAGTGCTGGGGGGATCTAGCCCTTTAACAATACCCTCATCCTGATACCCTCTTCCCCGCAGTAGTCTCATCAGGACCTCTTATGCCTCTTCCCTTCAAATCATTCACAGTCTTGCTGCTCTTTACTAGGTGGAAGGGGTAATAGTATGGTTAGGTTAATAAATTTCTGCTAGAATGGGTTACACTTCCCCCAAATCAATGTAACATACTATGCTATAAAAGGCAGTGTAGAATAATGGTTAAAAGTACAGACTCTGGAGCCAGTCTGCCTGGGTTTGTAATATTGGCTCTGCCATTCACTAGCTGTGTGTTCTTGGGCCTCTCTCTCTCTCTCTCTGTTTCCTCATCTGTAAAATGAGGATACTAAACATAGTATCTTCCTCATAGGGTTGTTACAAGGAATAAGTGTGTTAATATCTATAAAGCCTTTAGAATAGTGCCTAGTGTATAGTAAGTGCTACATAATTGCTTATTAAATAAATTTAGTTTATTATAATTGCTTTGAAAGGTTTTCAAAGGGTGATCTTTAATGATGGGATTTCAGGCCCTGCAAGACAATGATATTTTGGAGCACGCCTCACATCACATTACATGGATAACTGTCTATACTAATGAGGCCCTTAGACCCTTAGAAATCTATTCATCCAGAATGGATTGACTGCCTGTGACTCTCCACCGTCAATGATTCTTTTTTGCTGCCCAGTGAACATATCCAGGACACAAGCTAAAAAGCAAAATCGATGGTTTCTATGCCTCTGCATCTCCAGACCTTTGCCTCCCATCTACCTTTGCAAAGTGCTTACAGGCTAAACACAAATCAGATTCAGCTCCATTAACAGCTCTGCAGATAACAACCTCCAGCCTCCCACTCACCTCCCTGTTCCCTTCTGAACCAACTCATGCTCTGACCCAACTAGGTAAGAATGTGTTGGCCGGTCACTGGCATGGGTCAATCTCTCACAGTCTATAGGGCTGTGGAGGAAAAGAGGACATAAATGACCTAGAGGTCAGTCCTTGTTTGTGTAAAGTGGCATGTCCAACAGGAAACAGAACCCATTCCTATATGAAGAGATTTTGCTTCATATATAATAAGGCTCCCAGTGGGTAGCCTGACACCAAATGAATAGCTGTAAGAAAACTATCCTTTCATTGTGACCTGAGCAAAGACCAAAGAATGGTGAAATTGATGGGATTTTAATTCTTCTGGTTTTGTACTAAGTTGAACAATCTTATAAGATCAGGAACCTGGTGGAATACACTAAGAACCTGGGCTTTGGGAGTATTCGGCTCCCTCTCTTTCACAAAGACAGATGACACAGAATTAAATACAACACTGGATTATTCACATTTTGAAGACCCTCACCTGGCAAGCATTTTGAGTGTAGAAGCAAGGCTAACCTGAAACAAACTGAGACATCCTTTTCATCTTTACTTTGTTTCTATCCCCTTGTCTCTCCTGTTCCCAGTACCCTCACATTGACCCCTTTCTTCCTTTCTTTTTTTTTTTTTAAGACAGAGTCTCGCTCTGTCATCCAGGCTGGAGTGCAGTGGTATGATCATGGCTCACTGCGGCCTCCACCTCCCAGGCTCAAGCAATCCTCCCACCTTAGCTTCTATAGTAGCTGGGACTACAGGCAGGCGCCACCATGCCCTACTGATTTTTGTATTTTCAGTAGAGATGCAGTTTCACCATGTCACCCAGGTTGCTCCCAAACTCCTGGGCTCAAGTGATCCACCAGCCTCGGCCTCCGAAAATGCTGGGATTACAGGCATGAGCCACTGTGCCCGGCCTGACCCCTGACTTTCTAAGAGTCCTATCTCTGCAAATTTTTCACCTCAAATCTGACCTTTCCATTCAATGAACCATGTTTGGCTATGTATTCTCTACACTCCTCTACTTTGTTCCCCTGGCCTAGCTCATATCCTATTATTTTGTCATCTGTTTTCCAAGATATTAGCAATTTAATTAGCCAAACTGTGTCAGGGCATTAAAGACTGAAAACAAGTTAGCATGTTATGCTTATTTGGTATGGCAGCAACTGTTAGCTGTCCTCCAAAATCTATTCTCCCATATTTTTCCTGGCAAAATGACTAGACTACATTCCCCAGTCTCCTTTGCAATTAGATGTGAACATGTGATTGAATCTTGACCAATGGCATGTGAGACTAGGTACAGGGCGCCACCTTCAGGTCAAAGCTTTTAAGAAAAAGGTCTTACTCTCCAGTCTGGCTCTTTTCTTCCACCAGCAGTGTCTAGATGCCAATGAGGCCCTAGGGAATTGAGGGGCCACAAAATGGGGAAAACCTGAATCTCAAAATGACTGTGGGGAGGAGAACCACCCTGCTGACTTGAGAACCCACACGGGATTGCTATGTGAGCAAGAAATAAACTATTATATTGAGCTATTACATATTTGGGTTTACTCATTACCACAGCTTAGCCTAGAACACCCTGAGACACCTGGAATATATGCATTCTTACAGACATTACCTATAGACAATATCCTATGTCAAAGTACTGAATCTCTAATAGCAAGAAATTTCAGGTATCATTGATGGAGATTTTGGAGATAGGGCTTTTTGCAAAAACCCTCACATCATCTACAAAGATAAATCATGGATGGATTCAGCCACAAAGCATGAAGGGAGAAGAAGTTGGACCAAGCAAACACCCATTAACTAGAATAGGTTTTGAGGGAGTCTGACCACAATTTGCAGAGTGGGATCTCAGCCAGGACAGTTGGGAATATCTAGAGCAGTGTTTATAGCCTCAAACAATAGTCAGAGGGAGGAGAGCCAACTCAGTAGCAAGAACTTCTAGAAAGGTTTCAACCCAGAAGTGAAGCACAGTGTGCATCATCATCATGATATGTCCATATCTTACCAGCTGATAAGGTATCAAAGAAATGGGCTGGGGCAGACTCTAGGAAGAGAAATTTGGCAGGAGTTAGGCAAGGTTCTGCATGTGGACTTAGCCCTAGAGGGAAACAAGGCCAAATTACCAGACAAACTGTACAGTGGGATATCAAAGCAAAAGTAACCTAGAAAGGGGGCAAGGAGCACTGCAATTCAGGGGTGTAACGAACACACAAAGCTCACTCCCAGCTCAGTGTTTCAAGCCCTGTTAAATTAGTCTGAGGTTGTTGATATATTTTCTGCCATTTTAAACATTGATTTAGGAAAGGGGTAGGGGGTGATCTGGGCCTGCAAACAGGGCTCATCGATTCAGTTGAAAGGCACTAGGGAAAACAAAAGCAAGGAAGATGTGGGAGGAACTGACAATTTAAAGATCCATTTTCAGCTAATGTCAGTTCTGGCCAACAAATCTTCATATTAGAAAGGCATGGCTAATGTCAAATCATAGGCGAACAATTAAAAATGCATAACATCATCTTCATTAAGTCGGTACCATTAAAGACCAGAACTATTAGCACATTTAAGCATGCATGACCAGTACCTCTCTTACCAGTTCGTGAGCAAATCCTCTTTGTCCTTGCAAGATTCCACATTAGCCAGATTCAAAGAATTATCCAGCTAATTTTGGCCATGGCCAGAGGTGGGACTGCATCTGTAGAAATTGCTAAAAAAAAAAAATAGGCTTTCAGTCTCATTTTGCAATAGTGATCATTTCTGACATTGGATTGTTGTACATTTATTATCTGTCTCCCTCTGAGCCCTTTCACAGCAGCTAAAGTACTCCCTCTGATGGTCTGTAGATTTCACTCACAACTAACAACAGGGCATTGTTCTGTTGAATTTTTCCTCAGGATGCTTCTAACAGCCCCCCAAAGCTGGAACCCTGACAGCACTTAGTTCAAGCTTTGATTGAGCTCTTTTGGTCCTTTTTTTTTTTTTTTTTGCAAAGGAAAAAAAAAAGAAACTGGTATAATCTGCTTTAGAATTTGGAATACACACACGCGTACAAATATACTATGTACATATAAAATATGCATAATTCAGCAACTTTGCTCTCCCTAATTCTGGAAGACTTTGCTTACAGAACACTTTGCAGAATTCAAATCAATAAAAAATGCTGTCTTGCCAACCCAAAACGGGCTTATATCAGTGGTGCTTACAGAGGAAGGGGAATTGCAATATCCAATCACTGCAACAAGGAAGCTGGCTGCACAGTGTGATATGGCCAGCAAAAGGCCAGCCGCACCATACAAAGTCCTACAATTCTAACCATTCATGTCAAAGAGGTTGTAAGAGCCATGGGAAGAACCTATAGTCATTTCCCCTTGGGTAGCCATGTTCGTAAAGCCCTCGTGACCCTCTCCAACATGCTTCCCCGCCGATAGAGCCTTACTTGTCATCCCTATATTCCATGCATTCTTTCTACTTTACCCCAGAGGCTGTTGTTACTGTCTGATCCCTAAGATGAACCTCCTAGCTTCATCCTGCTGTGTTCCATAACTATAATTTACCCTACCACAGAAAATCAGTACCCCTTCCCTTTGCAACATCAAAGCAGTTTTCAGACATCAGTTTACAAAATAGTCCTGGGCTGTGATAAAATTTGGCTTTTTTTAAAAACAAAATTAGAAAAAATAGGGTCAATGTAATGAGAGTTTGTCAAAAAGGTAAATGTATTCAGTTAAAAAGCTGTCTATTTTTCTGAGATGATGTCCTTCCTCCTTTTATTTGGGGGCTGGGAGGCATTAAAGCGCCCTTCTTTTTATAAAACTATGGTGATAGTAGATGGTGGTTGAGATTCGGCTTGGTTTTTTATTTTTTTTACTTTGCAAAAAGAGAAAGAAAGTATCTGGGAGAGGTAAGGGATAAAGACATTAACGAGCTCCTTTAAACACATCAGGAATGAGATTAGAAGGGGTCTGTTTCAGTGTGAGGAGGAAACAGAGAGAGGGACAAAAAGGTCAGATGCAGTGCCAACAGCGCTGTAAGGTGAGGAACAAGATGGTAGTAGCAGAAGAGAATCTGGAGAATGCTGAAGATAAGCTCTTTTTAAATTCTATACTGAAGTCCAGCCCCAACTGCAGCCCTCCCATTTGCCTAATTACAATGACTCTCAAAAATGCACATCGGGATACATTGCATTGATATCATTTTCAAATAATACTCAAGTTTTATCCTGATAGCAATTAAATTCCCAATTACCTGGAAGGCAAACACAGTCATGCAAATCATAGATGCAGACTGATTCATATTAGAACTCCAATGTTTATCACTTCAGAACTAGGTAATTTGCATCTCCTTTCCTTTTTAGAGGCTGCAGTGAAATTTACTTCAACTGGACTTTGTGAGTTACAGGACTAAACTCCATTAATTTTCTGAATATAAAATGTTATTTTAGCTTATCTGAAAATTGATCTTCTCCCAAGACTATCCCCTTAATCTTTTTCTCCCTCTACTTCTTCATAAATGTATTATCTATTTCAGTCCCTATATTATTTATCATCTATTATTATTTATTAATTCACTAACACTATCATATAATTCAGCAATGGAATTTTTGCCACAATGCTTTTCAATACATTTGCATACTGAATAAAACCATATTGATTCTTAAGGATTTTTATGTGCTAGAAATGCTTGCCACAGACAAATTTGCAAACAAATTTTTATTTGGTTTCTGGAGACAGTATTTCGACATGATTTCAACTGACGCCAACAAATCAAACCAAGTTCTGCAACAAATGCCTTCTTAATAGGTTTTGCACTATTTGTTTTAGTTGACACAATTTATTATAATTTAACAGTGTTTCCTTCCTAGGAAAGTCCAAAATCAATAAAAAATGGTGACATATGTTTGTATTTATTTGGAAATACAAATGCATCCAAAGGGCTCTGTCAGCGTACGATTAATAGAGTACAAGATGTTGTGGTTTGGGGCATCTGATTGTCTGTCTTGTAATATGAATTTTGAAACAGCTTGGGATTCCCGCTCCTTGGCTTTCAGGTTAGGATAGAATTTCACATTAATGATAAATCACCCTGGATATGTGGTTTTCTATTTCAATTTGCTGCAACTTAGCTTCAACAGTTCACAAGGGGGGACATGGGACCACACGTGGGATGAGAAGAACTACAAGCTGGTAATAAAATGTTAAGACAAAAAAAGCGAAGACATTTGAAATGTTATTACTGAGAGAGATGCCAAAACTGGCATTTCTGTCTTTTCTTCCAAATATTATGGTGCACAGGCTGGCAATGGAGAGCCCAAAGCTCAAGGCTGGGCACAGAGGTTCAACATCGAGTTCTCTTCACGACAACCCTCTGGCCTTTTTAGATAAATTTTTCTCCATATTGACAGTTGGGAAATATGATTAAGAATTCCAAGGAGAAAAAGTACTCTGCTCTGGGCCTGACTGCCAACCCTTTCACAAACAGATTTTCAGGATCTGCCTGTCTCTTGACCTAGGTCCAGTCCCTTGGTTCTGTTCTGCGGTCCAGGTACAAGTGAAATTCTATCACAGAATTAAAATATCTCATGGTTAGAAGGATCTGAAAATTCATCTACTTCAGTGGCTCCCAAAGGCTAGTTTCAGGGACTTGTGCAAAATCCTAATGAAATCTTGCAGGTCTGTAAAACAATAAGGGCAATGTGGTAGAAAGCTAAATGTATTAAAGGACTTTGCCTCACTCTGAGATTATGTCCTTTCTACTTTTGGGGTATGAAATGATGGTGTTTTAAATGATAGTTTGTTTTTTCTTCTCTAGTGTTCTCCTTAGAGGGTGAATCTTCATTTCTGCCTCATATCTACATGGAAAGAGAGCTCCACTAGGAAAATAGAATTGTTATATGTAGCCACATAGGACAAATTGATCCCTCCTCTAAAAACTAACCCTCCCTAAGTATTTTTTACTCCTAATTAAACATCCTGGGTTCCTTATGTCATGACTTGGAGTCCCTTCATCTCACTAGTAATCCTCTTCTGAAAAGACTCATTTTTCAGACTGCAGTCTGAAACCATCCTTTTAAGAGACAGTTTTCAAAAAGGAATCTAATAGTGCAAGTGAAATGTGGTCAGTAACTATTAGAGCAGGCCCATTCCTTATTAGTTTGGGATTCTACACTTCTATAAATATCTTCCCCTATTAGCGATTTTGTCAGTAACTGAATCATCTGGAAGCATATGGCCCAAGCCACAGGAGTTTCCCAACTGTTATCTTGAAATCAAGTGACCATCAAGGTCAAATGTCATAAAAAGGTCAGAGAAGTCACACCCTCATATATGTTTGATACCACCTGGTCCTTAGCTCCTGATTCGGGTCTGCCACCAGTTCCTACATTTTTTTTCCATGGTTATTGAAATTTGATGCTGACCTGATCTGATAATTGGTCTTGCCATGCCCTTTGGTTTCCCTGGAAAGGGATCTTCTGGAATGCCAGGGGAGCTTGACAGTACCCTCAGGCCAAACTGTCACAAACATTTTCCCATTCAGTTTGCTTGTTTGGTGTGTGCCTTTGGCTACATCTATAAAATGCCAAAACATTCAGCTTACTCTGTCAATAAATCAGGCAATTCAGTGGATAAATTTTAGTCAAATCAGTTGTTTATCAGCATGTAGAAAAACATAGTAATCCAAATGAAAAATATAAGAAGGTTACAATGATGTTAACAAAAATTATGTATGACAGATCCTTAATGAGTGGAGAGTAGTTAAGGTTATTAGGAATCAAAGGATACAAAATTTTATTTAGACAGGAAGAATAATTTCAAGAGATTTATTGTACAACATGGTGACTGTAGTTAATAGCAATGTATTGTATACCTGAAAATTACTAAGAAAGTAGATTCTAAGTGTTCTCACCACAAAAAAATGATAAGTCTATGCGGTAATGCATATGTTAATTAGCTTGATCTAGCCATTGCACAATGTATACATATTTTAATTATGCTGTATACCACATATGTATATAATTTTAATTTGTCAATTTAAAAATAATAAGAACAATTTTAAAACATGGGCAAAAAAGATTATTAGGGATTGTTCCTAAGCTTTTAAGGTTGCTGTCATGAAAAGCAAATATATCCATCTTACCACAAAATTTATCTTACTGCCACAGTTGAAGGTAGAATCTTAGGCTATAGGAAACACTGGCATGATCCAATCTGGCAGGTCTTAAATTCTTATAAAAACATGAGAAAAGGACAAAGTAATTCAGAGAAAGGAAATAAAAATTCAGAAGTCATAAGCTAGTTATATCATTGTGTGCCTGCTAGACACCTTGAAACAAAAGCCAGATTCATCCAGAAAGCATTTTCTGATTATTAATCCATAAATTCATATAATACTATAAGAAAACAGGACAGCGGTAAGTTATTATTTTAAATATAACAACCCAGAAGTTATAGGCCTAGTCTAAGGATAACAAACTTGGCATTTAGAAACTGAGACACATGAAAGAAATTATCATTCCTGCCTTTTAATCAATTTATAAAGGCTGTACGCCCTCAGTTGCCTCAAAAACAAATCAGTAGCTATTTAGGGTTAAGTATTGGGCTTTTTTCTAACTATAAATGAAACCATAAGCCACATGAAAGCATTTTGACAATGTCATTTAGAAGGAGGTGATAGAAATCTGAGCTTTAACTAAAATGTTCCCTTGTTTTAAATAAATTTACCTTACTCCTTGTTTTAAGTAAATTCACTTTACCTGAGTTCTAATTTAGATATTGATAAAGAAGTTTCATTTACCTTACTTTTTAAAGTAGCTAAGAATATAATGTAAGGAATTTTCATGCTGGAGTAACTTGTATTAAACCATAGCACTTAGTGGTGAGATACAGCATCACACCTATACTTTCGAGATACTATTTAGATCCATAAGAAGAGTGAAGACAAACAGGTTTAGAATAACAGGTTTAGAATAAATTATTTTCCTGAAAAAGGGTAAGAGGAACAGTAGACCTATGGCAGAAGAAAGAACCCAAAGAAAACACCTTTCCCCCACCCCCAAATAATCATGACATCAGTGCCATCTAAGAAATGTCTTCTTGATACCTACCTTTCTCCGTATTTTTAACATTCCACTCAGTGGGGTACAAGGAGGCAGGAACTCATGGGAACACATCTTCAGCATTCTAATGTAAGGCAAAAGCAAAATAGCATTTATCTTATAGCCAACATTGTTGGAATATATCTATTTGGTCAAGCAGCGGATACTGAGAGAGTGTTAACATTAAAGACATTTGCTGTCCCAAAGCCTTTTGTGTACTGAAAATGAGTTCCATTCCTAATGGGTTGCTAAGTGTAAAGCCAGAAAAAAAAAAGTGGCTGACAGAATTTGGAGCAGAAGAAATAGAAATGACTACAATAGAAAGATGCTTAATAAAACTGTTGAAAAAAATATTTTGAGAATAATTATTTTACTGTCAATTTGCTTATAATTTTCATGGTTGAATGGGCTATGATAATTGTACCTTTGCTTCTGTTCCAAAGTAATGCCAATTATTATGTTTTGCAGCTATTCATCATGTTTACCATTCACGTGTATCAGTCAAATTGGCCCTTTTGATTTCAGTATAAGTTATGTGGAAATCAAAGTTTGGGATTACCAAAAGGTTTTTTCCTTTCCCACCTGGAAACCACTTACCTACAAGCTTGATTGAATCCTAGTGAGGTCACTTGTTTCTCAATAAGACCCTACGAAAGACTACTTTGGCCTGAGGCCCTTCCTGCTCTGCCCTGGCTCCTGGCACTTTTTCCTTCAACTGCCTTTTGTTCCCTGCACTTTTTGAGCTTTTACCTCTCCCGGTTGTTCAGGAACCTAACCTCCCCTCCAAACCGAATGTTTCAACAACCCTTTCCTCTTTAGTGTTCTCTTCCCTCAGGGTCTTGCTCTCTGATTTTCAAGATGAAGACAAAATATTCTATAATAGAACTACCTAGTAAGGGGAATTTAGCATAACAGTTAAGAGTTCCAGCTCCAGAGTTAGATTGAAATGTGTTAGAATTTCTCTTGTAGTGTCCTTGTAAGGTATGGGCTTAGAAAAAAAAGGAAAAACAAATAAAAAGAAAAAAGGAAAATTTAAAAATAAACTTTAAAAAAGTGTCTTGTAGTAGCTGAGGGATTTATAGACAAGCTACTTGAGCACTCAGCCTCGGTTTTCACATCTCTAAATGACATGTTTATTGACAGGAATAACTACAGAAAGGTAAGAAAGTGCCTGATTCTCTGATTTTGGCTTGAGTATCTGAGTTGTGGGTGGGGAGATAATGAGTTTTGAAGATTCATGGTTTGTGGTGCCTGTGCGTCATCAAGAGCGCTGCCCCTGTGTCAGTTGAAAATGCTGATTTGGAGCTCAAGAGAGAGGTCAGAGCTGGAGATACAGGCTAAAAGGTCATCAGCCTATGCTGATTATATAGAAGTAGATGGGATTGTCTGGGGTAAAGGTGCCAAATGAGAAGCACAGATGGCCATGGTCAGGGCTCTGAAGAACAGCAACAATTAAGTGGTGATTAGAGGAAGAGGACCCAGCACAGGAAACTGAGAAATGGCCATACAGAAGAAGAACCAGTAGGGATGTCATGTTGGTAACCAAAGGAGTAGATAATTTTGAAAATGAGGTAGTCAACAGTGTGAAATGCCATAGAAGTGTCAGCTGAGATGACAAAAAAATATTAGTTTATTGAATTTGACAGGTAGGAGTCAATGGCATTTGCCACTCTTCTAGTTGGGTGGTGGGGGAGAAGCATAACTCTTAGACGCACATTTTGAGGGACTATAAATTTCTTCTAACACATATGGAAAGCGGTTTCTCAGTAGACTCCAAGAATATGTTGCCATTAGAAGTGATCAACAGGTGCTAAGCAGACGGCCCTGGAGATGAGAGCCCAACAGTCTGAATTGGCTACGTCCACAGAAAACATTTAAGAAGGGAGCTTTGTTTAAAAAGATTAAGCAATAGCTAATGACTCTGGGAATGTTGCCTCTTACTATGTAAAAGGAGAAGCTGGTTTGTGTACAATGTGGTTAATAATGAATTAAAACTTTAAGTCTCTTGCTGAACACGCTGATTATAATATAGTACAGGATTAAATAATCGTGTTTGTTTTAACCTCAATTTTAGCCCACCCAAAATAGTGAAGTCCATTATGTAAACTTCAGACTGCTAATTTAGACTAGAACAAGTAGAAAGTACCTTTTCCTTAATTCAATGGAATCAATTAAATATATAGGGCTGCAGGCAACATTGCTGAATCTCATAGCCTCGAGCTCTTTTCCACAGGGTTTCCTGTGTGAACTAATACATGAAGCTAGGTTAAGCTTGTTGAAATGAAGAAACGGTCTTGTGGGGAGTAATTGAAAGAATTGGAGATATTTAAACTGGAGATGAGCTGACTCCAAGGAACATGACACATCTTCAAATACGTGACATAAAAAAAATTTGAAGGTTCTTTGTGACCCAAAACCATTCAAAGACCCTTAAGTACAATCTTAATAAATATAAATTTGCAGTCAGTTAAGAAAAGTTCTCATTAGTAATAGCTGTTCAAAGATACATAGGCCACCCAAAGAATTAGTAAGTTTCCCACCACAGGAAGTATCCAAGCCAAAGTTAAATGGCCATTTGTCTCAGATGCAATAAAAATGATATAACTGGATTAGTTAGGATTAGATTCACTTGTATATAATAGAAAGAAAGCAAAAGATCAGAAAACTCAACAACGATGGCTAAATAATATAGAAGTTTATTTTTCTTTCATGTTAAAAGTGATTTGGAAGTGGGCAGTCCGAAGCTACAGGGTAACTCTCTAGTGTCATCACGGACCTGGCGTCCTGTCTTTCTGTTGTATCATCCTATCCCATGTCTTCTACCCGCAAGGATACTTCATGGGCCCATGGAGTTCCAACAACATGTCTTTACTATAGGCCTCAAAAAGGAGGAAAGGAAGAAAACCAAAAGAAGCCCCTCCTGAATGTGTCCACTCCCTTTCAGAAACCTCCCTGGAAGTCCCACATGACACCTTTGCTTACATATTATTGCCTAAAAGTTAGTCTCATGGCCTTGGCTAGCTGCAAGGAAGGTCAGAAAAACAGAATTATCTTTGATTCTGGGTAGAAATGTGTTCATCTAAAAATAGCCATTCTGTGCCTGAGGAGAAAGAGAAGAAGAGATGTTGGAGTAGGCAATAGCCATCTGTGGCACAACAGCCATCTGACGAGTTGGAGCTTAACAAAGTTTAAGATTCTTTCCAACCCTTAGATTGCGTGAGCTCATAACAGGATTATGCATCAAGAGAACTGCTTTCAACATACTCTTGATCTGGGAGGCAAGACTGTCCTTATATGTATCCCCACCATCTGTGTAACTGGTTCCCGGCATTAAATATCCTCTGTTTTAAGCACTTACAGTGGTTTTCTATTTTTCTGGTTGGCCCCAGATTAATTCAGTGCCTGAAACTATTAATCTTATTGTTAAAATCTGCTCTCTTTAGAGAGTCTCTGAGGGAATAAGATATAAAATAAGCAGGTTTTAGTGAAAATAATTGGATAAGGAGAGATACAGAGACTGGAGGCAATTTCTTAGTAGGGGAGGAAAGCCACCAGAGCTTTCAAGGCAGCCAGGAGAACAACTATTTGTTCAAATACCAAATATTTACTGAGCAGGCACTACATGCCAGGCACTGTTAGATGCTAGAAATAGAATGGTGAACAAGACAGACATGGTTTCTGGCCTCGCGGATCTCATGGATCATAGAAAAATGAGAGATTTAAGAAGTATAAGACAATTAAGAAATTAGAGTTGACACTGAGGACGTTAGGCCATAAGCAAACTTCAAAAAACTGATCCTTTGGCCTTTGCTTTGATTCATAAAACAAATTAGGAGCATGGGGGCTATTCCGAAATGTCTGAGGAACACTGACCTTGAAACTGTTTTCCTCCCTCTTCATGCCTTCCTTTGTGATTCCTTAAAGGCGGTGTTCTTCCATGTTCACAATTTTCCTTTCCTGCTTTCCATAATTCTTCCCTCGCCTTGTATTGGGTTATGTAGCTCTGTGTCAACCCATTGTAAATATTGCTGCATTTGCAAGTATAATAACAAATTCCATGCAACTTTGCCTTTCCATATTGTCTGACAAGAGGCCATTATTGTTTTAAATTTGTACTTACATACTGTAATATTTGCATTTTGCATTTAATCACTGTCACATTTTAGTGACGGGAAGTGGAGCTGGGGACAACAATTGATATTATGTATCTCGACCTGAAATAGTACCCGCAGATGGGATGTTGCCTGGACCCATATAGCCTTCAGTGATTTATAACTCAATGATCATAATGTGTCTGTTGACCTTCCAGACAGTTCAGTAATCATTGTTTTGTACCTAACTTGCTTGAAATCTAAAACTACTTCATCCAAGCAAAAGGAAGCAAGCACTGTATTTAAAGGAAGTCTCCATTTTAAATGGCTTTGACAACCTCCTCCCAGTAGCCTTTTCAAAGTTTCCCGACTCCTCCCTTGCTTGTTTCTTGTTTATCTTCCTCAGTCATAATGCACAGTTTGGACTTGACTATTAGTATTGCTTATTATATTCTGCCCTGTATCATGAGTTCCTCATCTTTCTGCAGGTGAATTGTAACCAATTTAAAGACAGGACCAGGTCTTTTAATTCATGTTTGGTTAATGACACCATATTCCGCCCCCCCCTCCTTTTTTTTTTTTGCCTCTGTTTTCCTTTTGGTAGGCCTTAGATTTTATCCAACCCCCTACTCCTCCCCACACACAACACTCTAGCTTTCCTACTCCTAGGGTCTGCCAGCAACTAACCTTGTGACCTTGGTCAAATTGCTTAACCTCTCAGAAACTGCTTTTCTATCCATAGAATGGAGTTGACGCCTACCTACCTCTTGGTGCTAAGGCTGGAATGAGGAAAGGTAACCTTTTAAATAACAGTTAGAAGAGAACCTAGCACATAGAAGGAATTCAGTTAGTCTACTTCTCTTCTCCCTGACCCACAGTCTACCAAAAAACTCGATCTATTCTGAGACCCATGCCCTCAGAGTCCTATCCTCTGTGAATGTGACCACCCTAGTAAGTTAGTGCATTACCCCTGCTACATGGTATATGTGTAGTTTATTTATATTTTTATTTTTAATTTTTTTGAGATGGTATGTTGCCCAGGCTGATCTCAAATTCCTGGGCTCAAGGGACCCTCCTGCCTTGGCCTCCTGAAGTGCTGGGGTTACAGGCATGAGCCACCACACCCAGCAGTATGTGTACTTTAAATGGAGTTCCATCTAGTAGAATGTAAGTTTCAACTGAGGCCAGGCATGGTGGCACATGCCTATAATTCCAACACTTTGGGAGGCCAAGGCAGGAGGATCACTTGAAGCCCGGGGTTCAAGACTAGCCTAGGCAAAATAGTGAGACCCTATCTCTGCAAAAAATTTAAAAATTAGCCAAGTGTGGTGGCACATGCATGTAGTCCCAGTTACTTGGGAGGCTGAGGCAGGAGGATCGCTTGAACTCAGGAGGTCGAAGCTACAGTGAGTTATGATCACGCCACTGCACTGCAGCCTGGGCAACAGAAAAAGACCCTGTCTCAAAAAAAAAAAAAGTTTCAACTGAACTGACACCTGAGCACACTACGTAGATCCCTTCCTGGTATCTTCTGTCATGACACCCATTGCATTCATATTTATCATAGCACATAGCACAATTTAAAGTGAATCACTTCTGTGTCTCTTTACATGTTTATTGTGTCTCACCCAATAGGCCGTACACTCAAAGGCAAAAGCCACATCTGCTTTAATTATCAGTGAATTTCCAGAACGCAACAGAGTGCTTGGCACACAGCAGACAATATTTTTTGATAGATTGGTGGGTAGCTGGAAGGATAAACAGATGTAGTAAGTAGATACAGTTAGAATAAATGAAACATGGTGGAAATTTCAGGCTCAGTAGCCAGGTGGTGGAGTAATACTGGGCGGCGGACAGGTTATTTGCCACCTCAAATTGGGTGGAGATACACTTCCTTGAGGAGTAAGCATTAGGAATAGGTTAACTAAATGGAGCAAATGGGTGTATAGAGATGGTAGGCAAGATGCTGAGAATTTGCCAAGACATTGTGTCTAAAGGCACAGGAACTTTCAAAATATAATGTTTATTATCAAATGCATTTTATGCAAAAGCGCCAGAACAGACCTGCCAAATATTTCATCTTGTTTTTTCCTTTGTCTTCTCTGTGCAGAATCTAGCATTAAAGCCCAGTTACTCTGGCCTCCATATTCTAGCAAAAGTTCTTAGCTTCTGAAGTGAAAAATACACCGCCACCAACCTGTCACAGCTGAGGAATCAGAAAACAAGTTAGGTTTTTGAGCTGTCAGGTTGAAAAGGATTTGCAAGCCCCTTCCCACCTACTCTCTGCTATGAAGATGGATTTCCAGAGGTTTGAGAGAGATTTGTACTATGGCTTTGAGGTTTACAAAATGCCAACATCCAAGGAGTTTGAATTATTCCTCTCCTGTATTTCATTTGTAATGTACCCTTGCCAGCATAACGAGTACTAGAAGGGCATTTGAACAGTAATAAGGCCCTTAACACTTGTGAGCAGCTATTTCCCTTGCAATGCAGTTGTTGTGCTGAAGGAAAATAACCAGTAGCAAAATGGGTTAAGCCCGTTCTTCCAAAATCTAATGCCACTTGGTTTGTAGTTAGGAACCAGTGCCCTGAGTGATTCATTCCTGAAAGATATGAAATTTAGGATTTTCAGTTAAATATTATGAATCTGCTCTTTCTCTTCCCGATTTCCCTACTCCCTCCTCACTGTGAGGGGGGAATAATTCACTCAAGAACTCGCAAATTGGAGAACCCAGTGGAGCCAGTTTTTATTTCATCTCCATGTATCGT
Organism: Homo sapiens; assembly: GCF_000001405.40. NCBI lineage: Eukaryota > Metazoa > Chordata > Mammalia > Primates > Hominidae > Homo > Homo sapiens. The sequence goes on from NC_000023.11 coordinate 129,128,969, forward strand.
CTGTGAGACCTCTGGCAAGTCACTTAGCCTCTCTGAAACTCAGTTTTCTCAAACATAAAATGAGAACAATACCAATACCTACTTATTAGGAATTTTTTAAAGGTTTTAAAAGAACATCTGTGAAAAGTATATAGCACGTTCTGGCATAATCTAAGTACTTCACAAATGTTAGCTAAGTTACTGCTAATTTAACCAAGTACTTCTAAGTAGAGTTACTTAAGAGACTGCTTTTGAATGGTTGTTCCGAGACTATTTAACATCCTGCCTTATTAGAGAATGATTTCTAATTGGTATACTAATATTTACTTATAAATGAGTATAACTAAAGTGCTTGAAATGTTGTCCTTTTGTTAACATTATTCTTCATTTGCTTTCTTTATAAATAGAATAAAAGAAAACTTCATTCAGCCAACAGTCTTAGTATCACCACAAATACCAGTTAACAATATTGTACTAAATTTTGATTTTTCAAAGTACTTTTGGGCGTTTAAACAACCAAAATGTTCTTTTCATGGTTTCTTGCTCAAATGCAAACAAGAATTTTCTCGAAAGGGGTCTACGGACTGCCAGTGGAAACTTGACACTCAGCCAAGTCTTAATTCAGAGTCAATAAGTAATACCCCTATGCCCAGGTAGATGTGTAAATTTTCTCCACATGATAAATAAGCAGACTGTGATTTCTATCAAATCAATCTTGGTTTGAGTCAGTCCTTCTCTAATCAATAAATCTAGATGTGCACTGAAATATGAAGTCAATATATGCAGTGTTGTATTCACTTTAAACTCCTTCATCAAAAGTACCTAGCAATTTTTCTATTATTGCCATAAATTCAAAATACCAGGTTTTTTCTTTTTCGCTTAACTACCACTCTAAAGGGCAATAAGTTTCTGGGTCCTGAAAAAGTTCTTGCTTGGCTCTGGTTAGAAATCCACATAGATTATCTGACCCAATCAATGCAGTAGCTACAATTACATTGGAACTGCACTATAAAGCCGAATTGGGTATGAGGCAATATCAGCGGAAATTGTGGTGTTTGAAAGTTATTGCTGGGATATTTGCAGTTTTAAACTAGAAATTCTAAGAAGTTGGAGGCTTCTGGGTAATGTAGGAATTATAGAGAAGGGATCTGCCATTTTCCAGAAAAGGTCATGGGCCTTCCACTGCTTCCCTTAATAATACTCCTTTTCATTGTATGTATGTATGTACAGAGCCAGGCTCATCAATGCCTGCAAATCTTGACAATTTGATGTTTGTGCAACTTCCTCAGAATTTTTAAACTGATGGAAGATCCCTGCCTGCTCATTCCTTCTCTGCGCTTCAAACAATCAAATTCAGCCCTCTTCACTTCCTTCTACACTTGTTTCTATTTAGTAGCTGCTCCTGACACCCTTTAGTAGGGGCTGTGGGATATTGTGGAGATCAATTCTTGCCATCAGCCAATACAACCACCACAAAGCTATATGTGACCAGGATCTGGGTCTATTCTAAACTTACTCAACTCAGAAGGGATTGTCATTCATTCTAAGTTAAATCTTACTCTGTTGTTAATACGTGTATTTTGAACTGTTAAGACTCTTAGCTCAGGGGTTCTTATACTGGGGTCCATGAAGAGATTTTAGGGGGTCTGTGAATTTGGATGGGAAAAATTACATCTTTATTTTACTGACTTTTAACTATAACTTAGTGTTTCCTTCAACTATGAATGTATAAATCATAGTTAATATTAGCAGCACCTGTGACTTTGTCACCAACAAAAATCATAAAATTTTTTATATCACATTACAGGTGTTGTATTAATAGATATCTCAAAATATCATTTAGGATCACTGCCACTTCAAAATCATCATAGTTATTAAACCAATCAGTAGACCTTATTACTTGGAAAACTGCCTGCTGCCTGCTTTTGTAGCTCAAGTTTTATCGGAAGATAGTCATGCTAATTCACGTATATATTTTATCTTTGGCTGCTTTCATGCTACAATGGCAGAGTTGAGTAGTTCCAAGAGACTATATTGCCCACAAAGCTAAAAACATTTATTATCTAACCCTTTAGAGAAAAAGGTTGCTGACTTCTGATTTTAACATACTAATATAGAGGCACATATATTATTATGTTACAACCTTTAAAAATTATTCTAACTATATTTCAAAATAATTGGTCTCCTTTTAATTCTATGGATTTCATTTTATTTATTTAAAAACATTATTCTGAACAGACTTCCATAAGCCTCACCAGACTAACAAAAAGGTCCATGGACTTAAAAAATGCGAGGACCTCTCGACTAGCTTGAGAATCAATCTCAAATTTTATTAGTGAGCATATAGACTTAGTTTGTGGACACCTCTTTGCCCCCGAACTAAAGGCAAATAGACTTAACTACTTACCTGGATTTTCCTTTGCTCTTCATTTTACTTGGATGCCTTGTTACCCTAATCTTGTTTTATTATGTGTTATTTTGTCAAATAATTCATTTACTCAACAATTATTAACTGAATGTATACTATGCACGAGGCACTGGAGATATGGCAGTAAACAAAACAGATCAATCCCTGCCCACAGAGAGCTTGCTTACATTCTAGCTAGGGGAGATATACACTAAAAGAAGTAAGTAAAACCATAATATTTAAGATGATAAGGGTATAGATGAACATAAAGCAGAAAAGGTTAATGCACTTTGAAATGGGAAACGGGAAAGGCTTCATAGAGAAGCTGCTTTTGTGCAAAGACTTGAAGGAGGTGGGGGAGTGAGCAGTCATGGGAACTGGGGATGGACATACTAGGCAGAAGGAGCAGCTAGTGCCAAGACTCTGAGGGAAGAGCATGCCTGGCATCCTCCAGCAAGCAGGCCAATGTGATTGGAATAGAAATAAGCCAGGGATAGTGAGTAGTAGAAGATCAAGGTATAATGAAGCCAGGAACTCTCAACCCTTTCTGGTTCTCAGAATCACCTGAGGAACTATGAAAAACTGCAGACACCTGGGCCACACTACATATTATCACTCCTGGAGATATGGCTTCATTTTATTTGGGAGTGAGGACCAGACATTTTTTAAAAAGTTCTCCAGGTGATTCTAATGTATAGTAATGATTAAAAACTACTGGGGTAGGGCCATAGGCCATTGTATAGACATTAGCTGTTGCTTCAAATGAGATGAGGAGCCATTGCAGAATTTTGATAAGAAAGGTGGCATGCTCTGACTTATGCTTTAACAAGATCACTCAGGCTGCTGTGGGTTAGAAGGTTAAGGGTGAACAGGGAGACCCATTAAGAGGCTTTTGCAATAATCCAAATATGCCACAATGATTGCAGTAAAGTTGGTAAAAAGTGGTTAGGGTCCAAATATATTTTGAAGGTGAAATCATTAAGATTGAATGTAGACTGAGGTGAGGGAATGAGAAAAAAGGAAGAGTCAAAGGTGATGCCAAAGTTTTTGGCCTAAGCACTTGGAAGATTGCATGTCCATTAATTGAAATGAGCCAGACAATGAAAAGATCAGATTGTGGGGAAAATATCAGCAGTTTGGTTTCGGACATATTAAATTTCAGATTCCTATTAGACATCCAAATGGAATGACAAGTAGTCAGTTGGATATACAAATCTGGAGTTTGGAAGAGAGATCTGGGCTGCAGATATAAATCTGGGGATTCAACAGCATGTAGGTGGTATTTAACGTCACAAGACAGAATGATATCACTGAGGGAGTGATTATGAATAGAAGTGAGAAGCTGTCTAGGACTCTGACATTAAGAAGTTGGAAATATGAAGAACCCGCAAAAGGAAACTGGAGCAGCTAGGGAAATAGGAAAAAGAAAAACAGGGATAATGTCCTGGAAGACAAAGGAAGGATCTGCTATAGGAAATAGTGCTAAAAGGTCAGTGAGAGCTGAGAATTGACCTTGGCATTTAGCTATGAGGAGGTCACTGGTGACCTTGACAAGAGCAGTTTCAGCAAAGTGTTAGGAGTGTAAGTCTGACTGGAGTGGATTCAAGAAACAATGGGAAGAGAGACAATAAGTAGAGATAATTATTTTAATGAGTTTTTGCTGTAAAGGAAGACAGGAAAATTGACTTTTTAAAATAATACAAATGATTACAGCACATTTGAAGGCTGATGGGAATGATTGCGTGAAGAGAGAAAAATTGTTGACATGAGAGAGAGGGAAGAATTACCAGAGCAAGTCAATATATTTAAGGAAGAGTCAGGCTGCCTTGGTTCAAAACCTGGCTCTACCCATGTTAAGCTCTGAGACTTTGGGAAAATTACCTTCTCTGTAATTCTCTGTGTCTCAATTTCCGCATCTAAAAATAGAAATATAATAGTACCTGCCACAGGTTGTTCTGACTATTGAGTTAGATATTATCTAAAATATTTATTAGCACATAGTAGGGGCTCAAAAAATGTTAGCTAGTAGTAGTTATAATTACATTCCTCTCTTAAAACACTGCTTAAGATTTATTTAATTAATTAATTTATTTATTTTAAGATGGAGTTTCACTCTTGTTGCCCAGGCTGGAGTGCAATGGTGCGATCTTGGCTCACTGCAACCTCTGCCTCATGGATTCAAGTGATTCTCCTGCCTCAGCCTCCCAAGTAGCTGGGATTATAGGCATGCACCACCAAGCCTGGCTAATTTTGTATTTTTGGTAGAGACGGGGTTTCTCCATGTTGGTCAGGCTGGTCTCGAACTCCTGACCTCAGGTAATCTACCCGCCTTGTCCTCCCAAAGTCCTGGGATTACAGGCGTGAGCCACGGCACCCGGCCTAAGATTTATTTTTCTGTAGACCTTCCTGACGAAGTAATCCCCACCCCATCCCAACCCCAAGTTCAGTAACTCTAATCACTCAACCTATCTCTTGGCACTTAATGGATATATGGCCATACAGTCATGCTGATATTTGCTTCTGTTTTCTCTTCTCATATGTCATTTCTGTACCTACATTTCCACAAAGCCCTTCTTTCCCCAAGGGAGAAAGTACTGACTGTAGGAGTTAAGAGCACGGGCTTTCAAGTCAACTGGTCTTGACTTGGATTCCAGCTCTATTACTTGCTGACTGTAGTAAAGTCTGTCTGTAAGTCTGTCTTTACTATCTGTAAAGTAAGAATAGTAATATTACCTACCTCACAGAATCATTGGAAGAATTAAATTAGTTAATACACAAAAAGCACTTACAACAGTATTTGGCACATAAATTAATGTACAACATATTTTTGTGATTACTATTATTCCTAGAAACCAGCAACTACATCTTCTATTTGACACCATTCCCTACCCAACATCCTACCATGAACACAACTTGGTCCAAATCCACTCTTTCCTCAATCAGGGCTTTGTATTCAGGAACATTTTTGATATAGTATTTACATCTTGACTAATGGCCCTACCTGCCGGCTGGGGACATCTGTGCAAAATGTAATAAAAGCCCTCTTTTTCTCCAAGTGACTTGAAAGAATTTTACCAATGGGCCATTCATTCCCATCTCAGTAGTGCAACTATATCCAAAAAATTTTTTCAATTGAAACAAAAACAAGAATGGCTCTATTTAGATACCCAGAATTTTAAACTTAATGTTTACACCAATTAAATTTGTTAAAACAATATTTCCTTTATATTTTTCTCCCTTTCTTTTTTGTGGAAGGTAAGAGGGACTCTACATAGCTAACTTCCATTCACCGTTTAAATCTCAACTTAGACTTTACTTACTCCAGGGAGTCCTTATTTCCTGTTAAGCACCCCTTGTGTTTGTGCTCACCATGGCACCAATCACAATATTTCCTCTGTACCCATGGATTCAATCAACCACAAATTGAAAATGTAGTTAGGTCTATGATAGTTGCATCTGTACTGCACATGTACAGACTTTTTTTTCTGGTCATTATTCCCTAAACGATGAGTATAATGACTATTTACATAGCATTTACATTGCTTCATTTCAGTGAAGTGGTAGGGGTGTAAGTGTGACTGGAGTGGATTCAAGAAACAATAAGAGAAGAGACAATAGCAACAGTAAGTAGAGACAATTCTTTTAACAAGTTTTTGCTGTAACAGGAGACAAGAAAATTGACTTTTTAAAATAATACAAATGATTACAGTACATTTGAAGCCTGATGGAAATGAGCCTTCAAATTAAGTTGCATTAGGTATAAGTAATCTAGAGATGACTTACACTGCATTTGGTATAAGTAATCTAAAAATGACTTAAAGTATACTGGAGGATGTACATAGGTTATATGCAAATGCTGCATCATTTTGTATCAGGAGCTTGAGCATCCTTGGATTTTGGTATCCACGAGGGTTCTGGAGTCAATACCCCATAGATACCAAGAGACAACTGTGCTAGAGTTGCTTAGTTACTGGTCAGTCTTCCTCACTCCATAAGCATAAGTACTATGTTAATCTCATTCCCTAATGTCTACAACACTGAACACATAATATATACACAATAAATATTTGTTTATTTGTTATTATAGTGTTTTCCCGAACAGCCATTTTGGTAGGACTTTCCCCTTCTCAACCAGAAACTTTAATGTTGTGTAGGTATAATCATAGTTCAAAATAAAATGCAATGTCATCAGGGGAAACCTTATGTATAATCAGGTTAGAAAGCTATCTACACAGTGGTTATATACAATTTTTATGTGTCATCCATGCATTCATATAGACAAAGGGAAATTTAAAAAATAAAAGAAAGCTATCTACACAGTGAGATTTGAAGGAAAATTGGAAAGTCCCTATACAAAAATATCTGCTCTACCAGACCATCTACTTCAAGACTATAGAGTACTACTGGTTCACAGATTATAGGGTGATAGGAAAAAGAAGGCAACATTCATCAAATGCCTCCTATGTACCAGGCATGTTATGTATGTTATCTAGTTTAATCCTCACAATGACTCTATGGAGTGCATATGATTACCCACGACTTAAAGATGAGAAAATAAGCTCATAGAGGTTGAATAAATTGCCCAGGAATACACAGAGAATAAATAAAGAGCCAGAGATTAAGCAGAGGTCTGCCTGACTCCACGTGTGTGTGCTTTCTGTTATTCCACATTGACATCCAGGATACAGATCCAAGACAATTAAGTAAGGATGGAAGCAAAATATTAAAGACAGTCTGAGACTGTGTTTGTGGTGGCTACAAGTCTGTAATCAAGGTGTCAGCAGGGCTGCACTTCCTCTGGAGGCTCCCAGGGGCCTTTGTCCTTGCCTTTTCCAGCTTCTGGTGGCTGCAGGTGTCCCTTGATTTGTAGCTGCATTACTCAGATCTCTGCCTCTATGACCACATTGCCTCCTCTTCTCTGTGTCTTCTCCTCTCCCATCTCAAAACTCTACCTGCTTTTCTTTTATAAAGACACTTTTCATTGGATATAGAGTCCAGCCCGATCATCTGAGATAATCTTCTCATCTCAATATGTACAATTACATCTGCAAAGAACTTTTTTTCCAAGCAATGTAACATTCATAAGGCCTGGGGATTAGGATGTGGACATATCTTTTGAGGGGCCACAATTCAACCCATATGGTTTCTTCAAAGTGGAGAACATTTCCCAGCTATGGTAGAGGGAGATATGACTATGGAAGAATGTTCAGGTAAATGCAATGTTCCTGGCTTTGAAGATGGATGAAGAGGGCTATGAGCCAAGCAATGAAGGGTCCTCTAGAAGCTGAAAGAGGCAAATAAGTGGATTATCTTCTAAAGCCTCGAAAAAAAAATACAGCCCTACCTGCATCTTGATTTTAGCCCAGTGAAATTCATTCTGGAATTCTAACCTCCAGAACTGTAAGATAATAAATTTGTGTTGTTTTAAGCTGCTAAATTTGTGGAAATCTGTTACAGCAGTGGTAGACAACTTATACAGGCACTGAGGAAAGTTGAGCAGATGTTTGGGTCAGAACAAGTGTGGAAGCCAGAGTCAAGAGGGCAGGTCAAAGACTAAACGGATATAAATTCCAGAAGGCAGAGCAGGGCAGACGGCAGGAATTAGGAAAGCCACAGGAGGGGGAAGGTCAGGACAAAGAAAGTAGAAGAAATGTTATGCATTAGTAATATCAAGAAGCACGCTTGATAAGTTCTCTACCAGGCTAGAGAACTAATCTTAATATGGGGAGCCCAGGCCTTGTAGGGTGGAACATAGTTGGAGGCATGCTGCCCAGTTAGAATATGTGTGAGAAGGAAAGAGTGATATTATCTGGCAGGCATATATCTACATAAAGTTGCCTACAATTTTCACACACTTACTATTTTAAGTTAAGATAGTTAAGGTCCCCCTTAAAGTTCAAGTAGCGTACTAAGATCATCTATTTAACACAGAGAGAACTTGTTAGAAAAAATGTACTAATCATTCACCTAACAGGGTCTGAGGGAAAGACCCCCAGACTGAATAGACAAGAAACAATAAGACAATAAGAATAGACAAGAAAGACTATAAGAATAGACAAGAAACAACTAGGAAATGTTTACAGAATGGAGCATTGGCCAGGGACAAGTACTCAGCCTGGCACATGGTATAAAGCAACAAATGTTTGCTGAATGAAGGAATGAATGGATGAGTGAATGAAATCACTAAGGACTCTGGAAGTCTGTAGGACATGATGACTTAAAGAAAGGAGGCTGGGAGCGGTGGCTCACGCCTGTAATCCCAACACTTTGGGAGGCCGAGGCGGGCGGATCACGAAGTCAGCAGACGGAGACCATCCTGGCCAACATGGTGAAACCCCGTCTCTACTAAAAATGCAAAAAAAATTAGCTGGGCATGGTGGCGTGTGCCTGTAATCCCAGCTACTAGGGAGGCTGAGGCATGAGAATCGCTTGAACCCAGAAGGCGGAGGTTGCAGTGAGCTGATATCGAGCCACTGCACTCCGGCCTGGCGACAGAGTGAGGCTCTGTCTAAAAGAGAAAAAAAAAAAAAGAAAGAAAGATGGATGGAAAAAGTTGGCAGTGAGACTCCAAAGGCAAGCTCATCAGTGCCAATACTTACCCTAACTGGGCTGATGTGTCTTCTTTTTTTGAGATGGAGTCCCACTCTGTCACCCAGGCTGGAATGCAATGGCGAGATCTTGGTTCACTGAAACCTCCACCTCCTGCATTCAAGTGATCTCCCACCTCAGCCTTCTGAGTAGCTGGGATTACAGGCACGTGCCACCATGCCCGTATTTTTGTATTTTTAGTAGAGAGGGGGTTTCACCATGTTGGCGAAGCTGGTCTTGAACTCCTGACCTCAAGTGATCCACCTGCCTCAGCCTCCCAAAGTGCTGGGATTATAGGCGTGAGCCACCGTGCCCAGCCTGATGTGTCTTTTTAATAGGTAATTGTTATAGTTTCTATTTCCCTATCTCAAAAGTAATACATCTCAAGGGAAAAGAAAAAAAAAAGTCTCATGCCTGTTATCTCTCACCCCAAGATACTATTTTGAAATATTTACTTCTAGTCTTCTCTATGTCGTTGTCTATAATTGTCCATGTCTGTGTCTCAATCACTCTCTTTCTTAGTGTGTGTGTATGTGTATAAAATATAGTATCTTATTCTATTTACCATTTTGTAAATTGCTTTTATTTTTAGTTTTATTTATTTACTTATTTTTCAGAAAGAGTCTTGCTCTGTTGCCCAGGCTGGAGTGCAGTGGCATGATCACAGCTCACTGAAGCCTCAACCTCACGGGCTCCAGTGATCCTCCCACCTCAGCCTCCCAAGTAGCTGGGACTACAGTCATGCACCACCACAGCTGGCTAATTTTTTATTCTTTGTAGAGACAGGGCCTCGTTTTGTTGCCCAAGCTGCCCTGGAATGCCTGAGCTCAAGCAATTCTCCTACCTTGGCCTCCCAAAGTGCTGGGATTACAGGTGTGAGCCACTGTGCCTGGTGTTTTCATTTTTTTAAACACAGCGTGGATTGTGGTTGCTTTTTCAGGTCAAAAATATTCTATTACAACGCGATTTTATATGACTCCATAATCTTTCAATCTACAAGTATAGATAATTTATTTAACCAATCTATTACCGTCTTTTTCTTCTAATTTTCCACCATTAAAAACAGTGGTATAATGAACATTTTTATGACCACTGCTTGTCACACATTTCTAATTATTTCCTGAAGGTAACTTCCTACAAGTAGAATTGAATATTTTGGCAGGTGCAGATACATATTTTCATGTTACTCCATAAAGAGATTTACCTATTTGCATTCTGACTTCAGTATATGAAAGTTCTGTTTCCTCAAACCTTTGTCAACACGGGTTATTATCAATCTTTTGTAAATTTGCCAATGTAATGGATGGATTTTTAGTTTGTATTTGTTTGATTGCTAATGAAGATAAATATTTCTTCATTTATTTATTGGCCATTTTTATTTCTTCCTTTGTGATTTACATATTTATGTTCTTTGTCCATTTTCCTACTCGAGTTTCCATCTTTTTAAAATTAACTTGTAAGAACTGTTTAAGTAGACCAATTATACTTAATATCTGCTGCAAACATTTTCTCATTTGCTGTTTTCCTTTCATTTTTATTTATCATGGATTTTTAACATACAAAAAGTGTTTAATATGTTTGTTTCTTTCTGCAGCATCAACAACTCAATCTTTTCCTCCCTGATTTATACCTTTGCAGTTATGCTTACAAATATGTTGCTACTATAAGAGTGTATAAATAAAATAAATACCTATATTTTCTTTTCATTATTTTATAGTTTCATTTTCATATTTTAATTTTAATCCACCTAGCAAGTTTTTATTGAATGGTATAAGTTAAGGGTCTGGTTTTAGTTCATTTTTATTAGATAGTCATTTATGAGATGGTGAATTTTCACTGGAAACTTGCTTGAATAAATTCAGAAGAGTGTACTGAAAGTCAAACTTAGTGAAATAATTTTTTAAACCTACATTTTCCATATTGCATCTTAGGTCTCAGCAAGTAATGGATTCTGATCTGCAAACACAACCCAGCATGCCAGCATTTGCAGATGTACCCATGAGCCAACCAAATAGCAAGTCTCCTTTGCAAGCAAAAGGTCAACTTCTCATTGTGAAGTCTCCAGTTACAGACTCACATTCATTCTCAAATCACCCTAACACACAGAAAACAGACATATTTACTTTTCTCATGATTCATGGGAGAATTTTGCTCTGAAACAAAGTCAACAGCCAAATCTCTCCTCAGCAAGCTGAAAAGCACATCCCATACTGGTCTCTGGGTGAAAGACCCTCTAGTAAACTTGGTGAGAGTGACAAGAAAAAAAGGGATTTTTTAGATTAGAAGAAAATGTTCCTATTTCACTACAGTGTCCTTTGGACCTAAATACTCTTCATTCTGAGTCACATTTCCTATGAGATGTTACCAAGGCAAATGTTCAGGGAAATAGCAGCTGGAGCCATTTGAGGGTTTCTAATTACAGGGCATTACAGGTACAATTTGTAATCCTCCTTGACAGATGTGACCCATTACATTAAGCATTGTTGGCATGTTCTACAAAGCCAGATGCAAGCTGGGATGTTGGTCTTTTGGTAGCACAGCTTTCTGGCAAGCTTCATCATTACCAGTAGCTCTGTATATAGGTAGGAGAAACAACTGTTAACATGATATAATTGGAGGATCCTTTAAAATGGCCAGTGGATTTAAAAATATCTCACTCCACTCCATGAGGTATTAATACGCAAAGACATGTCCAGATAGTTCTGTTAGATTATTAACTCTGCCGATATTATCCTATATTATTGATTTCAACATTTGGGTCAAAAAGATTTTTGGAGTCTGAGCCACAATGTTCTGACTGAAATATTTTAGAAATTAAAAAAATATTCCCAGTGATTTTCCTTCAGCCCATGCTGCAGCTGAGCAATATCTATCTGTGTGATATAGAAATGAATGCTCAGTTCAAAGCATTTCAGGAAGAAACAGAAAAATATCAAAACAATCATCATTTCTGTAAGCAAAACAAATAACTGATCAAATGACTTTTAGACTTGCCAGTCATTGCTGAGATGTCCTGGAGGTATGGCCAGAATGCTCTGCAGTCACCAAATACAGAGAACTATTGTACCTTCCACACGAGTAATGAAAAGACTTAAAGAAGAATCACATACACCTTTAATTGTTATTATTTTTCTAAGCTCTTCCTTAAAGATAGAGAAAACAAAAGGATAATTTATGTTTACAGTTCTGTGACACATAAAAAAATATAATTAAAGCACTAAATCTCTACCAAGAAATGTGATGTACAGAATTCAATTCAGCATTTAGCTGGAAAGGAGTCCCTTCGGGGAGATCAGGTTGATATGTGAGGAATCAGTTTTGAAGTCCCGTTGCTGATTTTTTTTTTTCAAGGGATGGTAGTTTGGTCAGCCTTACTCTGATTTCTCCTCACAACTGTCAGTCAGAATGAATTACAGGACATATTACCTGAATCCCAACATCTAGCTACATTAACAGCCCTTGATTTTTGTTCTTTCAAATGTCATTTAGATATATGGAAGTCATTTTCTTCCTATCATATTTCCAGCACCCTCCGACAGGCAGCATTTTACATTTCCCACACGAGAGGGCTTTTTTTTTTCCTCTGCATTGGACTTCAGAATACAGAAAGTTGCAGAGTTTGTTTATTTTTTAATCTTCTTTATTAGTTGCATAAAACTGTCAACAGCCATGCTAGTCTTGAAAGTATCAGGCTGATTTAAGAGAAACTTTCCTCAACTGGGTGGAGAGTGGGGCGAAGAGATAAGCAAATGGAAGAATATAGGGAAGGGGGCAGTACTTTTTTCCCTAAAATATTTCAATCTAATTTTTTAAAAGCATAGTTCATCCTTCTAACACAGTATTGGCTCTAATAAGGATACTGCAGACTCAAAGGGTCAGAATATAAGCTTTAAATATTGGGTATGTTATTTACAGACTTGAGCACTGACCACATATGCATGCATGAATCTCGAAGAAGCATTTTTGGCTTTTCTCATGAAAAATCTACTGGGAGGCCATACATCTGAAAGCGCTGTCTTCCCTCCCTATAGGATGGGAGCCCCAATCAATCTTTTGTGTTATGACCAGATGTAAGTCTTAAAAGGGCAGTTATTGCAGGTTTTATGGAGCTGAAAGCCCGGATATTCATGAGGAGGATAAGTTCGTAATAGCCTTAAAGAGTAAACTATTCTTCAAGGTCCTAGGTTTCCACAGAGTGGCTGCTCCAGCAATCTGTAGCCATACTTTAAAAAAAAAAAAAATTCTTACCATTAGAAAACACTTCAACATTCACCAACCCAGCTAGAAAACAAGTATTTATTGTATTTAGAGCTTTGTATACTGGAGGGGTATGTAGAAGAACCTGGTTTCCTTCAACTTGTAACTTGTCAGTCTCCCAGGTTAGAGATATTTGAGGCTCTTTAAGCATGAAAATGCCCCTCATTAACACAATGTCATTTCTTAGCCATGGCTTTGAACTTTTCCAAAAAACTATATGTTCAGAAATCCATACCACACCTTTTGAGGTATTCTCTTTGTTCTAAATTTGCCTCTTCCAAATGTTCAAAAAGGGGTCCCTGTCATTGAAGCATGTTCTCTACTCCACCACCCCAAAGGGACCAATTATTCCCTTGGCCTGCTGTCTCTAGCTCAGCACCTTAATACCACATCATGCTAAGACACTGAATGGATATATGTGAAGTCCAGAACTTCTTTCATTTCCTGTAGTTCATACTGTCGACCCATACTAGAACAGTAATGGAAGAGGAATGAAGGAGACTACGGGAAATTAGCATAGATGTACTTCTTCTGGGACTTTCTGGAGAAAGTGTCCCCACTTTTGTTGCCTAGTTTACTTATGATAGAGAAGCCCAAGACAGGTTGGAGAGACAGGCGATAAGGTAATCAGAGTAATACATGGGATAATATGTAGCCTCTTACAATCTATGTCAAATTACACCATGTAAGTAGCCACCTATTCCACGTCCTTTCTGTGAGCTCCTAGAAAGCAGAGACCAACATGTGACCTAATTAATTAGCTATTTAAACATATAGCTTTTTATTCATATAATGACCACTTCATTTAACAAACATTGGCTGACCTCCTTGCCCTGTGGACCAGGCTGTATTGGGTGCTGGATGATTTACAGCAATAAATCAGAAACAGGTGGACCTTCTGGAGGGAGAAACAATTATTGAAGCAGACACTCACTAGACCTGAGGGCACTGCACTCAGCTGAGAAGCACTAGAAGCAAAGGTTTGTAGAGGAGGTGAGTTCCACATGGGGTGACATTTAAGACAGAATCACTCTGACTTTGGGAAATATATCACTTAAAGCAACAACAAAAAGTTATGCTGCCAACTGTGAAATGAAAGGAGATGTCCTTCTGTTTGAAGGGAATTTTGTATGTAAAGGAAGTTATTCGTGGAAGTCCTAACAAACCCATGACAAATAGCACCAAACTGAAGTAGCCAAACTTTGAATCAACCAGAGCAAGAGTGTCTCTTAGCATTTCTGTGGCCTGGGAATTTTTTTTTTTTTTACACATTTGCCAGTTTTTATTGAGAGATCATTAACGTACTATAGCATGCACAGATTATAGGTTTTCAGTTAGGTGAGTTATGACAAATGTATACACCCCTGTAACTACCACTCAGAACAAGTTGTAGTCTATTCCTACCACTCTAGAAAGTTCCTATTGTCTCTTTTCAGTCCTTTCCAGGTACAGATACAATCACTGTTGTGAATTCCCCTATCACTATGGATTGGTTTTTGCCCATTCTTGAACATCATATGTAAGGAATCATATAGTATTTACTCTTTTGCATCTGGGCTAACACACTAGCATTCATTCAGGGCAGCACACTTGAAGAGATTAAAAGACTCACAACAGCATTAAACAAGTGAGCAATAAATACAATACAATCCCCACTACAGTATTTCAGTATCACACTGTGTTTATAAAAATACATAGAGTTACATATTCCTTTGACTGCCCTTCAACCCTAAGTGATTTGAGTTAAACTGTTTTTTCCACAAGAAAAATTTTCCTATGTTTCAAAACACACACAACACAATTTTTCCTTGATGCCAGGCTGACATGTTATGCCTATTATGTCTTCCTCAAGCAGGCTGTACGTGGCTCTACTTTCAAGCAGCACACATAACTCTCAAAGTAGGATCTTTCAATTGTGGCATAAATACAATCTACATAATGATTAAAATTTCATCATGGAACTGGGAAGGCTTCAAAGATACCACTGTACCATAACACACTGGGTGAAAACTACTGCATAGAGGCAGCCATGCCAAGGGAAACAAATGTATCTGCCTCCCTATCCCAGCTTTTGTTTTACCCTCATTTCCTTACGAGGTCACTGAATTCCACTGCCTATCATAACTGGTTGCATCAGTTGGACTTTCCCTGCCCCATTCAGCCCAGATGCTGCTGTTGTATCCCACTCTTTAATCAGAATACAGAATGCCACATGCTGTGTGCATCAGAGAGAAAACAGAGCAGAAAAGACAGTTCAATAGTGGAGTTTAACTGGACAAGGAAAAAAGAATGTCTTATATCCATGACTCAAGCCTTATATATTTCCTTCTTTCAACACTGGAAAATTGTCACGTTTATGTGATATTCTGCATATGTGCAACAGTGCAGAGCTATTATGTGTATACGCTCAAATATGTACACCATACCTATGACCAAAAGCTGGTTCAAGATTACAAGGAAGGAGAATGATTCTCAGATATGTGACTACTGTTTTCATTCATATTTTTGTTCTCAGTGGCTTATTCGTTAACAAGAGCCTTGCCTCACTTTCTACCACCTCTTTAATGGATTACTGATTAACTTACCTATCTATAGGGAAATCTGGCTACTGACAGACAAACACACGTTTTCAAACATTCTTGGGAAACCTAAACATACTTCCGTTTCTTCTGTGGCTACAATCCTCTAAAAAAATAGTTTCAACTTAACCCCAGTTTAGCAATTTGCTCTCTGCTCTTACCTGCCAAATATTGGGCAATGCTAGGTCTTTTTTGTCTCAATGTATACACAGGAAAGATGGGGATGTCTAAAGCTAGCCTGATGAAGAAGCACAGTTCACAGAATCTGGAAAGGTAAGGGAAAAGAGTGGCCTTTGCCTTGAAAATTACAAAAGTCTGTTCAAGGCAGAATTGTCCCGGATCTGGAATTTGTGGGAAGATCCTAGAGTTAAAATGTGTTTTTAAACGTATATTTTGTAGAGCAGCAATTCCCTACAGATATGAGTTACTAGATTCATTTGTAGGAGACAGAATCTCTTCTAGTTTTGACCATAATTGTGTTAAAAAATAAAAAAGAAGAAGAGAGGACTTCATGATAATCTCAGCACCCCCCTCAGTCCCACCCTGGATCTACAGGAATGAGGACATCATCACTTAACATATTCCACTTTGTGCTAGAGTCCAGTTAGCCCATTTTGCTTGGGCCTGGAGGCTCAAAAGAAGCTAGTTCTGAGGATGTCTCTTCCTTATCCCATCACCAAAACCTGAAGAGAAGTTCAAGCCCTGTTTTGTCTACTTAAGAGATCCAGGCTCACAGAATTGAGCTTCTCAGGAGTCTGTCCTTGTACAGAAATTTTTGGTGTTTCTCTTCTACTAATTACGACAGTGCTGAGTCCCTAGGGGCAGGGTGGAGGGTGGCAAGTGGTTGGTGGCTGAATCCAAGGTTTGTCAAAAGGCAAGCAAAATTTCCCCCTGCTGTAGGTCCAGTCAGCCTATCTCGCATTTTTCTGCATTTGGTCTCAAAGGAGAATGTAACTAAATATGCAAATTGAAAGAAATCTGGAAGAAGACAGGAGAGAAGAAACCTGGGCGCCTTTTACCATTATCTTGATAAAATGGCAGTGACACGCACTCTGCCTGCCACAATTAGGGTGATAAATGCTAGTTTCTTTCAGGCTTGTTTGAAAGTCAATTATGTAGATTATTTGGAGAATACTGACAGATGGCCTTCTTCCCCATATGAGATAAACAAGCTGAACTTTGATATGTGCATAGAAAACACTGTCATTTCTCAAACATCCAGGGCCCACCAAAAGACTGCCATTGGCCACTTTTGATGAACCCGGCCCTCAGGCCTTTCTTTTTTTTCCCCAGATCTCCCTCTTCTCCCACCCTCATGGAAGCTTTGCTTCTTTTCATCTTATAGTCAAATATTGATCCACTCGACCTGTCCTCGAGGTTTTGATTAACACAGAAGATTGCCACGTAAGCAGCTTTTTGTTTGTTTTCAGCTAATTCGTTTTTTATTATTCACTTGCTGCAGTAAAGCTTACTTTTATTGTCCAACCACTGAACAGAAAAAATGGATTGATTTCAGTAACTAAATAATTCAGGCTGCAATGTGTGGTGGAGGGTGGAGGCAATGAGGAAGAATTAGGGGGAGTCTGAAAAAGCTTGCTGCAACATTGCTCTTCTGTTTTCGTAGTCCTCCACTGATCCCCTGCCCAGGTTGCAATGATTTTGATTAGATGGTGAGGAGGTTGATGGAGATGGCACTGTGTTGCTGCAGTAGTGATTTAAATTAAAAAAGGTTTAGAAAATGATTGTTTAAAAAGTCTTCCTTCACCAAAAAACAACAGAGATTCGCCAAATGAGATCTGTTGCTTGTTATTTTTTTATTATATGAAGTAACTCATTGGACACAATTATTTCAATTCTGAGGTGTATTTATTCATTTTTTATCCCTAAAGTCACAAACCACTTGTCTCCACTGCCATTTATGACACCAAATAGATGAGAAGATATTGAATAAAGCAGCCCAGCAGACCAGAGCCAAAGACATCTTGATGTAAAATTGAACAAATCACAGCAGAAAGCAGCCTCATTTATTTGATAGAGGCATTAATTTCAGGATGGGGAAAAGGAGAGAGATGATGGGAGAAGAAAGAGAAAAAGGAGAATGAAGGGGAAGTTTGTTTCCGTTCTCCATCATCTGCCCATTTAGCCCTCTTTTCTCTCAGGTATTTCGTGTGCTTAGGCTTCCTTAAACAAAACTCAAACACATAAGCTATAAATTTCAAAGTGGATAGGTTTCACTTCATGAAAACTTAAAACTTCTGTACTACAAAATACGTCATAAACACATTAAAAAGAAATTGCTGATTGGATTTACATTGTATATAACTGACAAAAAGTAGAGATCCAGAATATATAATGAATTTCTACAAATCTTTAAGAGAAACAATATAATAGGAAAATGGGTAAAAGACTTGAACAGGCATTTCACAAAAGAGGAAATACCAATTCCCAGTACAAATATGAAAATATGGTCAATGTCAATACTTATCAAGATAATACACATTAAAACAGCAAGGTACCATTTCCACCTCTGGCAAAATGCGAAGGCTGACAATGCAGAACACTGTCAAGAAAACAGAGAAAAGAGGAATTTCATACACTAGCTATGGAAATATACTTAGGGACATGACATGGGAAAGCAATTTGGCAGTATCTAGTGTATTTGAAGATGTACCTTCCCTAAGGCCCAGTAGTTCCACTTGTAGTCATTTATATTAGAAAACTTTTGCACACATGAATAAGTAGCATATTCAAGGATGTTGCCACAGTATTGTAATAGGAGACAATCTAAGCATTCACGAAAAGAGAAATAAGTACATTGTTTAATAGTCATATAGCGTAAGACAAGACAGCAAGTAAGATGAAGGATCTAGATATGCGGGCATCAACAATGATACATAAACTTTAAAAACAACAATAATATATATAATCTGCATATATATTTACATATATTATATTGTAATATTATATAGTATATGTTAATATGTGGTTTTAAATACACTAACATGCATGGGAAGCATACACACCAACTACAGGATATAGGTTACCCCTAAGGAGAAACAGGAGAACAATGTAATCAGTGAAGGGTGGAGTACAAGGAGGGGGTTACAGCTCTACAACGGTTTATTTTTTACAAAAAAGCAAGACATTAGCATTTATTTACTTTGGGTTATGCGTCATGGGTGCTCATTAAGTTGCTCTTTATACTTTTCTGTTTGAAATGTTTCTTTTTTTTCTTTCTTTTTTTCTTTTTATTTTGAGACAAGGTCTCACTCTGTCACCCAGGCTAGAGTGTAGTGACACAATCACAGCTCACTGCAGCCTTGACCTCCCTGATTTAAGCAGTCCTCCCACCTCAGCCCAGCTAATTTTTTAAATTTTTTCGTACAGAGAGGGTCTCACTGTGTTACCCAGGCTGGTCTTAAACTCCTGAGCTCAAGTGATCCTCCCACCTTGGCCTCCCAAAGTGCTGGGATTAGCGGTACAAGCCACCACACCTGGTTGAAATTGTTTATAATCCCTTTTTTTTGAAACAGGTTCTCACTCTGTCACCCAGGCTGGAGTATAGTGGTGAGATCATGGCTTACTGCAGCCTCAACCTCCTGGGTTCAAGCGATCCTCTTGCCTTAGCCTCCCCAGTAGCTGGAACTACAGGCATATAGTTCCATGCCCAGCTAAGGTTTAAAAAAAATTTGTAGAGACAGGGTCTCACTATGTTGCCCAGGCTGGTCTCAAACTCCTAAGCTCAAGCGATCTTCCTGCCTCAGCCTCCCAAAGTGCTGGGACTACAGGCAGGAGCTACCATGCCCAACTAATTTCATAATCCAAAAAGAAATAAAACAAAATAAAGTAATTCTATTGTGTTCTATCCCCATAAAAAAGCCCATCTAATGCACTTCTCTTATAAGCAAATTCCTACTAAAGTGTTTATTCACTGAGCAAATAAAGTGCCCACTATATACTAATTTAATTGTATTTTAGAGCACATTGTGCCTGAATCCAAATGAATAAACCTCTAATATTGGAGTTTCAGGTACAAGGTCAGACCAGTGGTTAAGATTTACATAAGAGCAGGAGGAGTCTTCATGGTATCTCTCAAATACTAACCCAAATCTGGGCAGAAGAGAGAAAAGAGAGAGGAAAAGTGGGCAGTGGAAGGAAAACAATGAACACCTGTGAGCACCTAGCACTTACAATGTTGTCGCTAGTTCGTGAAGAACCATTTTCTATACTCGAGTGGTCCCCATTCCTGCATTGTATAGATACACCCCAATGCTTCCATAGTTTGGCAATTATAACCTAGGTGTTACAAACCTAGGCCTTTGGATAGCCTATGGAACTGCCCATGTCAACCACAAAGCGGGATTCCAAATTACATGACATTAAAAGATAAACACTCTATAAAGCAGCAGTGGACAATGTAAATCATACTAACAATTTTGTAGTGAGGAGGAGGAAACGGTTAACATCAAACAGCAAACAACTAATCAAAATCCTCAGAAGGCATTTATCTCCCAAAGTTCCTCTTCAGCTGCCAATTTGCCAGTTTCTTCCTTTCTTGTTCCCATCCTCATTCAACTTTCTTCCCGTTTCTTATCAAGATCAATCTAGGCTGGGCATGGTGGCTCATGCCTGTAATCCCAGCACTTTGGGAGGCCAAGGCAGGAGGATTGCTTGAGCTCAGGAGTTCAAGACCAGCCTGGCCAACATGGTGAAACCCCGTCTCTACTAAAAATACAAAAATTAGCTGGGCGTGGTGGCACACGCCTGTAATCCCAGCTACTCAGGAGGCTGAGGCACAAGAACCGCTTTAACCCGGGAGGCAGAGGTTGCCATGAGCCAAGATCATGCCACTATACTCCAACCTGGGCGACAGAGTGAGACTCTGTCAAAAAAAAAAAAAAAAAAAAAAAAGAGCAATTTAGCTCCATCCCACCTCTCTAATCCTGGGCAGCAACTAAATTGATAAGCTCCCAGCTGTCTTATCAAAACATACAACAAAAGTGGGTCTCTCTATAGACTGGAAAGACATTAGCAAGTGTTTTCTCAAAGAGATCATAATGAAGTACCCCAAAATACCTGAAACACTCTGGTAAAATTAGGATGATTGAACAGAAGTCAATTGAACCAGTAAGCTATTGCTAGTAAAGAAAAAGAAATAAACAAAACCACCTCAAACTCAGTATTTTAAAGAACATCTTTCATTGTCATTCATTAATCTGCAGATTGGCAAGAGGTTGGCTGATCTAGGCTGGGTTTGGCTTGGCCAGCAGTTCTACTTCAGGCTGCATGTCCATCTGGGCTTAGCTCCTTGCTAAAGGACAGGCTGAAATCTGCTTACATATATTTATTCTGGATCCCAGGCCGAAGGTGCAGCTCTTCTTATGGAGATAGCAGAGACACAAGAGACCAAGCTCAACTACACAAGCATATTTCATGTCTCTGCTTACGTCACATCTGTCATTATCCCATTGGCCAAGGTAAGTCACATGGTTGAGTTCAAAGTCAAGGGACTGGAACATCTTATCCTCTGGGGTTGAGAGAAGGAAGAGGATGTTTTTGAATAATAACCAAATCTACCATATCAATCAAAGTATCTCTTAATTCTGTGCTGGAGGTCTTTTGTCTGTTACCTTTGTGGCAAATATTTCCACTAAATCTCCCCAATAAACTTCTGGAAATCCTAAAAGGCTCTCTTTGGGGATATTGTATCATATCCTTCATTTAATGGAGGAGATAAATGGTATTATTTGACTTGCAGAGAAATGGGTCCAGGGATAGAATATGCAGGCAATTTTTGTCACATTGATGGATCAGGAATCCCACAAATTACCCAGTGGATCCTCCAACCAACCAAAAGTTATAAAGAATTCAGGGGTTCTAGGAAGGTAAGGGGAGGCATTTTTATCTATTGGAAACTGTCAACAGGGAGTTTTGTTTCCTTGTTTTATGCATTCATTCATTCACTAAATATTTTTATTGAGCATCAACTGTGGGTCAGGCATTGTGCTGAGGGCACATGGTGAATAAAACAGCTGAGATACAACTGTGCAGTGCCATAAAAGAGAGGAACATAGTGCTGCAATTGAGAGCACTGGTATGGGAGGGGAGAGGATAACTTATAGTGATTAGAGGAGGTCTCACTGAAGAGGTAGCATTTAGGCTGAGATCTGAAGGGTGAGAAGGATCTAGCCACATGAAGAATTAGAGAAATTACATAACCATGAGGCATATCAGAGTTTATTACCTATAACATTGATGAGAAATGTTAAAGAACCAAAAGGCATTATATGATGGATTTCATTGTAACTGCTTTAGAGAAAAATGTCATGAGAAAGAAATCTGTGGCAAATAAAAAGGGAAGTAAAGGGGATAGAATAGAAATGCACTAACACTTTGTCCTGTTGTTACCCTCAATATCATACACTTCACTGATTATACCCTCCAAAGTGTATTGCACCCAGCAACAAAAATTGACATACAATCGAAGCTCTGCTACAAAGGAGCTAGCAACTTTGGGTAAGTCACTTTCCCTCACAAATCCTTGGTTTTCTAATCAGTAAAAAGAGAGATTGCCTAAATCAGTTTATCTCCCAAAGTGTATTCATCAAAAATCTTGTTTGCTAGAATGTTAGTGTTATGCAAAGATGAGGGTTAACATTGGATGGAATTAAGCAGGTTTCTTACTACAACGCTTCTCAGAGCCCTTAAGTGTACTCACTTAGATTGGAAACCTCTCTGAAGGAAACAGACTATGCTATGTGTCTCCAAAACTTAATTGATCAAGTAACTCCTTTTCACTGGTGATAGTCCAGAGATAGTATTCCAAGGAGCACACCCTGACACTCAAGGAAATGGTGAACTGGGGGCTCTCTAAGGTCCATTCCAGCTCTGAAAGTTTCTGTGATGAGCATAAGCACCTAAAAGGGAAAGCCTGTTGGTAACAGATTTTCTACTAAATAATACATGTATGTAATCATACCTCAATTAAACACAAAATATTAAAATAAGGAAGGCCAGGTGCAGTGGCTCACGCCTGTAATTCCAGCACTTTGGGAGGCCGAGGCGGGTGGATCATGAGGTCAAGAGTTTGAGACCAGCATGGCCAACATGGTGAAACCCCATCTCTACTAAAATTACAAAAATTAGCCAGCCGTGGTGGCGGGTGCCTGTAATCCCAGCTACTCGGGAGGCTGAGGCAGGAGAATTGCTTGAACCTGGGAGGCAGAGGTTGCAGTGAGCCGAGGTCACGCCATTGCACTCCAGCCTGGGTGACAGAGAGAGACTCTGTCTCAAAAAAAAAAAAAAATTAAGGTACAATTCTGGTTCACTTAACACTAAAAGCTACTCTTTAGTGAACACTGTTATAGCAAAATTATACAGTACAATATATATGTGGAAGATAGGCTATAATTAAAAAGATAAATAATTATCAATGAGATAATGATGACAAGAATACTTTTGTGCTGAAGTTTGAAGGGATGATATATAAAAAAAGAGAGCTGAAATAGAACTATGCTGAAAACCATAAGAATGGCATACTTTTTTTTTTTTTTTTTTTTGACAGAGTCTTGCTCTGTCTCCCAGGCTGGAGTGCAGTGGCAGGATCTTGACTCACTGCAATCACTGCAACCTCCGCCTCCTGGGTTCAAGCAATTCTCCCTGCCTCAGCCTCCCAAGTAGCTAGGATTACAGGTGCCCGCCACCATGCCCGGCTAATTTTTTTATTTTTAGTAGAGACGGGGTTTTGCCATGTTGGCCAGTCTGGTCTCGAACTCCTGGACTCAAGTGATCCGCCCGCCTGGGCCTCCCAAAGTGCTGGGATTACAGGTGTGAGCCACCATGCCTGGCCTAGAATGGCATACTTTCTTATTTTAAACACTTCCTTGTTCATGTATTCTGAAATCATGCCAGAAGTTTAGGAAACAATTATGATTAAGTGTAATTAAGTGAGGAGCATGGGATTAGTTATTCCTTGTCCTCTTCAGGAGACCATCACCACATTGATCATTTCAGGATTATTTATTATCTTTTCTCATTTTGCACCATTTGGCCAGAAAAATTGTTAACAAATTTCTTTAAGCCACTTATAATTTACCATGTCAATGAGTGTGTCAGCTTTGTCATTTTGCAGGCTATTTCCCAGGTAATAGACATACATTCATTTTACCTTTCTATGCTTCTGCCATTCTTAACAAATAAAACCAGGGTACTGGAGCAGTACATGTGCATCCAGATAACTGAGAACATTCATTTGTTTTCTCAGATTGTGTAACTTTGAGAAAGTCCTTATCCTGACTGGACCTCAATTTCCTCATCTGTAAAATAAGTGGTTTGGACTAGATTTTTGTTAAAGTCCCTTCTAGCTCTAAAATTCTCTGATTCTATTTTGTATTCTAATTCAAATTACTAGCAAATTATACACTTTATTTTAAAATCCCTTTCCCGCCTACCTTCATTCTATTTTCTAAATATATCTTTTAAATTCTTAAGCTATCAAATTTTAGATGCATAAAAAGATAAGTAATTAAATACCCTAGAACATCCAGACTTACAATCCATTCATTAATTAGTGTAATTTCAGGTAGAGGATAAAAAAATGAAATAAACAAAACCTGAGTTGATGACAACTTAATAGCATATAATTTTAAGTGGACAGATATGAATATGAGCTTCTCTGGCTTCTCATGTATGCTTCAATTTTCCCAATATCTTTGTTTCTCATGAACAATATTTTAATCAATCACTGATTCTTATTAAACATCCACAATGTGCCATTCTTGTACTAGTTGCTACAGAGGGTTAAAATAGTCTTCATTGACTTCAAAAACCTTCAGCTGGGGCTGGTGAAACAAAACTTAACCCCAAGGAACAATTAGGGAGAAATATCAGACAACATATAGTCAGGGGGCTAAATTGTGTGGTATAAGCCAGCAGTTCTCAATCTTGTTCCCCACTACAACACATATAACGAATAATGTTTCCTATACTTGAAACAGTGTAGTACTCAGTAAATATTTATTGAATAAATGTGTGAATGAATCTTCACATGCTTAAGATAATCATACAGTCGTATCCAGGATTCTAATAATCTCAGCCTTTCTCCCCCACCCAAGATAACACACCTATCTGAATACAGGTGATTGAAAGACATGTCTATTATTGGACTAATCAACTTGAATATATATTATTTAAGTGGCTACCGCACATATATATACACACACACGTGTTTATTCCAGCACTTTATGTGTGTGTGTATATATATATATGGGTGTATATATATATGTATATATATACACCCATATATATATGTATATATATACACCCATATATATATGTATATATATACACCCATATATATATGTATATATATACACCCATATATATACACCCATATACACCCATATATATATACACCCGTAAATATGTATATATATATACACCCATATATGTATATATATATGCAATATATATACACCCATATATATACACGTGTGTGTGTGTATATATGATAGCCACTTAAATAATATATATAATTATCTGCACCAAATTAAAACATATTTCAGAACTAGTATTGTAACACCGTGGTTAAGACTTGTCAGAGACTTTAGGTGCTATAGGAGCTCAGTGAAAACAGAGATTATTATGAGCTGAAGTATTACCAAGGGCCTTCATAAAGGCAAAGGAAGAAAAATTAAGAAAATAGATTGAAAAGCTACAGATAAGCCATGAGGAGTAGGAAGGGAAGAATAAGTATAGAGTGGGCAGGAAGCAGTGAGGATGCAGACCTGAAGTGGAGGATCATTGCTGGGGAACAAAGGGAGGCAGGCTTGGGAAGACGAGGTAGGATTGGTTTATTGCAGGCTATAGGAACCAGTCTGAAGCACTCAGAGTGATCCAGAGGGCAACAGGGAGCTATTGTAGAGACTCAAGCAAAGTCCAGTGGAAAAGGTGTTTGTGAGATCTGTGTATGTATGAATGAATATAAAAAAGACAGGGTGAAAAAGATGAGCAGGGCAAGATTTATCTTTTTTATAGACCTTTTCTAAAGAGGTGGCAACTGAAGCCTGGCATTTTAATACCATTTTATGAGGCTTCATACATTTTAATTAATGTTAAACTGATTTATACCCTGAGGAGTTATACACAAATGGCACAATCAAATAAAATAAAGGAAGACACATGTGCACAAGTTTGCATGTGTCTATATGTGTTTATAGACACATCTTTCAACTACATTTGACTGTGCTTCTGTTAGAAGTGCCAGGTTCTACCCACATCCCAGCCTACTGGCTTCAATCAGAAAGGCAGAATTAACAACACAACAATTTGGAAGGGTTTATTGCCCATTATTTGATCTAAAACAACTTGAACAGTATGAAAAAGTGAGGCTCTAACACAAAAAGGGAGATTAGTCACGTAGCCACTTTGCTGGCCCCCCTGTTGTGTTTCAACTGTGGGCTGCATTTATTTTTCCCATCCTAAAATCAAGTTTCTTAAAAGCTTGCCATGCATTTTAATGCAATTGCTTGCATTTCCCCTTTGGGAAGGAAGAAAACAAGACTTTCCTTATTGCTGAGCTGGAAATGTGTATGTATACATTTGGGGGTGGAGGGGTGAGGGAACAAGGCATAATAAGAGAAGGAAATGGTTGGCTTCTTAAACCTCATAATCCCAACCCTAACTACACACAGATCTCCCAGATTCAGTAGTGGCAGGTGGCAGACACGTACTCACCCATAAGCAATGGAGACAAATTAGAAGCATACAATAAATAAGCCTTTGAATTTGTAAAGCCTTTTATGCTTTATAAATTTTATCACAGTTGATCTTCATCCTACCCTTGCATGGTAGAAAGGGCAGGAATTGTTTTCTCCTTTACTTGACAAAAGAAGAAACCAAGATGAAGAAAGCTTGAGTGACTTGCCTAAGATCTCACAAATAAGGTGATATACTTTTAAATCACTTTTATTGAGATATAATTCACTACCATAAAATTCACCTTTTTAATTTTTTTTTTTTTGAAACAGAGTCTCTGTCTCCCAGGTTGGAGTGCAGTGGTACAATCTTGGCTCACTGCAACCTCCACCTCCAGGGTTCAAGCGATACCCCTGCCTCAGCATCCTGAGTAGCTGGGACTACAGGCTCCTGCCACAATGCCTGGCTAATTTTTTGTATTTTTAGTAGAGATGGGGTTTTGCCATGTTGGCCGGGCTGGTCTGAAACTCCTGGGTTCAAGTGATCCGCCCACCTCAGCCTCCCAAAGTGCTGGGATTACAGGTGTGAGCCACCGCAACTGGCCAAATTCACCATTTGAAGTGTATGCGTTAGTGTTTTTGCACAAGCTTGTGAAGGCATCACTGCTGTCTAATTCCAGAACATTTTTATTACCCCCTACAAAAGAATTCCATATCCATTAGCAGTTACTCCCCACCTCTTTACTCCTCCCAGGCCCTAGAAAACAATAACCTCTGTTTCTGTAAATTTATGCTCTGGACATTTTATATAAATGTAATCATACAATACGTAGTCTTTTGTGTTTGGTTTCTTTCATTTTGCATAAGTTTTCAAGGTTCATCCATGTTTTAACATTCATCATGTTTTTCTATGGCCAAACAATATTCCATTGTATACATACAGCACATTTTATCTATCCATTCATTGTTGGACATTTGAATTGTTTCCAGCTTTGTGGCTATTATGACTAATGCTGCTATGAACATTCAGGTACATGTTTTTGTGTGAACATGGACTTGCATTTATCTTGGGTTTACACCTAGGAGTGGAATTTCTGGGTCATATGGTAATGCTATATTCAATTTTTTGAGGAACTTTCTTTATTTTTATTATACTTTAAGTTTTAGGGTACATGTGCACAACGTGCAGGTTAGTTACATAAGTATACATGTGCCATGTTGGTGTGCTGCACCCACTAACTCGTCATTTAACATTAGGTGCATCTCCTAATGCTATCCCTCCCCCCTCTCCCTACCCCACAACAGTCCCCAGAGTGTGATGTTCCCCTTCCTGTGTCCATGTGTTCTCCTTGTTCGATTGCCACCTATGAGTGAGAACATGTGGTGTTTGGTTTTTTGTCCTTGCGATAGTTTGCTGAGAATGACGGTTTCCAGCTTCATCCATGTCCCTACAAAGGACATGAACTCATCATTTTTATGGCTGCATAGTATTCCATGGTGTATATGTGCCACATTTTCTTAATCCAGTCTATTATTGTTGGACATTTGGCTTGGTTCCAAGTCTTTGCTATTGTGAATAGTGCCGCAATAAACATACGTGTGCATGTGTCTTTATAGCAGCGTGATTTATAATCCTTTGGGTATATACCCAGTAATGGGATGGCTGGGTCAAATGGTATTTCTAGTTCTAGATCCCTGAGGAATCGTCACACTGACTTCCACAATGGTTGAACCAGTTCACAGTCCCACCAACAGTGTAAAAGTGTTCCTATTTCTCCACATCCTCTCCAGCACCTGTTGTTTCCTGACTTTTTAATGATTGCCATTCTAACTGGTGTGAGATGGTATCTCATTGTGGTTTTGATTTGCATTTCTCTGATGGCCAGTGATGATGAGCATTTTTTCATGTGTCTTTTGGCTGCATAAATGTCTTCTTTTGAGAAGTGTCTGTTCATGTCCTTTGCCCGCTTTTTGATGGGGTTGTTTGTTTTTTTCTTGTAAATTTGTTTGAGTTCATTGTAGATTCTGGATATTAGCCCTTTGTCAGATAAGTAAATTGCAAAAATTTTCTCCCATTCTGTAGGTTGCCTGTTCACTCTGATGGTAGTTTCTTTTGCTGTGCAGAAGCTCTTTAGTTTAATTAGATCCCATTTGTCAGTTTTGGCTTTTGCTGCCAATGCTTTTGGTGTTTTAGACATGAAGTCCTTGCCCACGCCTATGTCCTGAATGGTAATGCCTAGGTTTTCTTCTAGGGTTTTTATGGTTTTAGGTCTAACATTTAAGTCTTTAATCCATCTTGAATTAATTTTTGTGTAAGGTGTAAGGAAGGGATCCAGTTTCAGCCTTCTACATATGGCTAGCCAGTTTTCCCAGAACCATTTATTAAATAGGGAATCCTTTCCCCATTGCTTGTTTTTCTCAGGTTTGTCAAAGATCAGATGGTTGTAGATATGCGGCATTATTTCTGAGGGCTCTGT
Source organism: Homo sapiens (assembly GCF_000001405.40). Taxonomy (NCBI): domain Eukaryota; kingdom Metazoa; phylum Chordata; class Mammalia; order Primates; family Hominidae; genus Homo; species Homo sapiens. The sequence goes on from NC_000023.11 coordinate 129,157,950, forward strand.
TCTGTTCCATTGGTCTACATCTCTGTTTTCGTACCGGTACCATGCTGTTTTGGTTACTGTAGCCTTGTAGTATAGTTTGAAGTCAGGTAGCGTGATGCCTCCAGCTTTGTTCTTTTGGCTTAGGATTGACTTGGCGATGCGGGCTCTTTTTTGGTTCTATATGAACTTTAAAGTAGTTTTTTCCAATTCTGTGAAGAAAGTCTTTGGTAGCTTGATGGGGATGGCATTGAATCTATAAATTACCTTAGGCAGTATGGCCATTTTCACAATAATGATTCTTCCTACCCATGAGCATGGAATGTTCTTCCATTTGTTTGTATCCTCTTTTATCTCATTGAGCAGTGGTTTGTAGTTCTCCTTGAAGAGGTCCTTCGCATCCCTTGTAAGTTGGATTCCTAGGTATTTTATTCTCTTTGAAGCAATTGTGAATGGGAGTTTACTCATGATTTGGCTCTCCGTTTGTCTGTTATTGATGTATAAGAATGCTTGTGATTTTTGCACATTGATTTTGTATCCTGAGACTTTGCTGAAGTTGCCTATCAGCTTAAGGAGATTTTGGGCTGAGATGATGGGGTTGTCCAGATATACAATCATGTCATCTGCAAACGGGGACAATTTGACTTCCTCTTTTCCTAATTGAACACCCTTTATTTCAAGCTGTTTTCCAAAATGGCTGCACCATTTCACATTCCCACCCTGGAATGATTGAGAATTCCAATATCTTCAAATCCTCACCAACACTTGTTAGTATCTGCCTCTTTTACTATAGCCACCTAGTGGACATGAAGCAATTTCTCATTGTGGTCTTACATTGCATTACCTTGACCGCTAATGATGTTGAGCATCTTTTCATGTGCTTCTTAGCCATTTGTATATCTTCTTTGGGGAAATGTTTATTCAAATTCATTGCCAATTTTTAAATTGGATTTTTTTTATTGTTGAACAGTAAGAGTACTTATGTATTCAGTATACAAATCCCTTATCAGATATATGATTTGCAAATATCTTCTTCCATTCTGTGGGTTGTTTTTTCACTTTCTTGATGGTACTCTTGAAGCACAAAAGTTTTCTTTCTTAATTTCAATGAAGTACAATTTATCTCTCTCTCTCTCTCTCTCTCTCTCTCAGTTGCCTTTGCTTTTGTTGTCATATCTAAAAAACCTCTACCTAACCCAAGGTCATGAATATTTGCCCTTATGTTTTCTCATAAATACGTATAGTTTTAAGTGTTAACTTTAGGTATTTAATTCATTTTGAGTTAATATTTGCATATGGTGTTTGGGAGGGAAACAACCTCACTCTTTTGCATGAGGATATCCAGTTGTGTCAGCACCATTTTTAAAAATAATGTTATTTTCCCTATTAAATTCTCTTGGCATCCTTGTTGAATATCAATTGACCATAAATGTGTGGGTTTATTTCTGGACTCTCAGTTCTATTCCATTGACCCACATGTCTATCCCTTTGCCAATATCACACTGTCGTGATTACTATAGCCTTGTGCTTAGTTTTGATATCAGAAAATGTGAGCCCTTCAACTTTGTTCTTTTTCATGGTTATTTTTGCTATTGTAGGTCCCTTAAATTTTTATATGAAGTTAATGATCAGCTTGTCAATTACTGCAAAGAAGCCATCTGGGATTTTTTAGGGATCACATTGTATCTATCAATCAGTTTGGAGGGTATTGCCATCTTAACAATATTAAGTCTTCTGATCCATGAACATAGGATGTTTATCCATTTATTTAGGTCTACTTTAATTTCTTTTAATGACGGTTTGTAGTGTTTAGTATGCAAATTTTTCACTTCTTTTGTTAGATTTATTTGTAAGTGTTTTATTCTCTTTCATTCTATTGCAAATTGAACTGTTTTCTTAATTTCATTTTTGTATTATTTACTATTGGTGCTTAGAAATATAATTTTTTTATATTAACCTTGTATCCTGCAACCTTGCTGAACCTGTTTAATATTTCCAATAGACTTTGTGGATGCCTCAGAATTTTCTATATAGAAAATTACATCATCTGCAAGGGGAGATACTTTTACTCCTTCCTTCCAATCTGTATGCTATTTATTTCTTTGCCTTGCCTAATTACCCTGGCTAGAGCCACCAATACAGTGTGGAATAGAAATTTTGACAGTGGACCACCTTGTCTTATTCTTGATCTTAAGGGTAAAGCATCCTGTTTTCGCCATTAAGCATAATGTTAAATGTTATTTGTGGATTTTTCAAAGATGATCTTTATCAGGTTGAGGAAGTTCCCTTCTAATTCTAGTTTGGCAGAAAGTATATTGAAGACAAAGTAGAAATCAGGATGTGCTTTCTGCTAATACACACTGTCTTCTCACTTTTTTCTGTCCCTGTCGCCTGCTTTAAGAACAGATTGAGATACAAATTTTGGGGACTTTAGTTGAATACAGCAAACTGTGGACCAAATATCTAGATAGACAGACAGACACACACACAGACAGCTAGATAGATACACACACACACAATTAAATAAGCAAAGATAAAATGAACTTGATTCCAAATAAGGTTTCGCTTTCTGAAACAGGATGATTTTAGAGCCCCTGCCTGAACTTATTTTCGTTACAGCTCAGGTGGACAACACTAGATAGAAACTACACCAGGTCCTTTGAAGCAGAATAAACTGATACCAAGCAGACACAATCATCAAGGATTCCGACCCAGCATAGAGCCTAACTTTAGATTCTGGGTTCAGAGAGCATACCTTTATGACAGACAGCAAAGCAATCACAGGATAATGGTCTTGACGTTCAATGAAGACATCTCTTGAGCCAGGATTCAGGTTGTAATTCTAATACTAGGGGAAGTGAGGACTACACAGTAGTATTAGACAGTATAACCAGAATTTTGTGAATGATGGCTAACCTAATTCCAAGCTTCACAAAACTTTTTAGGGGTGTTCAGGAGGTGCAGGAAGACACCACTAATAAATACCTTGACTTTGACAGAATTTACTCAGGACTATAACAATCATGATAAAGCCATAGACCCAATTAGGGAGATCTGGGAGAGACAGAGAAAAGTGGCTAATAATCTTTACATATTTCAAAGAAATTGTCATTGAGAAAATAGTTTATCCTGGCTCCACGGCTTTCAATAAATGTTTCCAGATATCCAAATATTCCTCTTTGCCTTATTAGGCACATCTCCCTTCTGCTCATATCTCTTGATTACCTCCCACTGTTAATTCTCAACCTAAATAATATATACTCTACTCCAGCCCCCACCTCACATTTATATGCCCAACAGTTGTCAAATTGGGGAAAAAAAAAAGGGTTTGAGCCTTGCTGACAAGTAAAAACCTATTCAGTAAAGTGAAACATTGCACCAGCAGAGGGCCAAGGGGCCTTCTGAGTTGCTGTTGGTCATTGGGTTCCACCCTAATGGAACTCTCAGTACTTAAATACATCCTATATTGACATGGTAGTCTCATTTCTTTCACAGGTTTAAGAAAGAACTCTAGGGTTAAAGAATCAATATATAAGAATATTTTGAAAAGATCAAGACTATCAGCAGATCCAGAATAGAACCAAGTATATACTGCAACAGAGAGTATTATTAATCTCCATGGCCAAACACACTCTGCAAAGGTACAGTTAGCACCACAGAAGTAAAGCATTTCCTGATATGCAAAGGACTGGAAGAAATTGTTTAAAGGTCATTTTGTTGCCTAGGAAGCACTGGGAAAATGAAGAGAAAAAAATGTGATATAAGAAAATATTAACAAAATACCAAAAGCATGAATTTCATTTAACAAAATGAATTTTTAATATGTTGCAAGTAAACTGAACTGAAAACCAAACTCTACTTTCTTCACTTAACTTTTCAAGACATTTTATCTTCATTTTGGATGGAACTTCTATGGGCATTTGATCCTAATTTTTTTTTTTTTTTTTGATATGGAGTTTCACTCTTTGTTGCCCAGGCTAGAGTACAGTGGCGTGATCTCGGCTCACTGTAACCTCCGCCTCCTGGGTTCAAGCGATTCTCCTGTCTCAGCCTCCTGAGTAGCTGGGATTACAGGCACACCCCACCACACCTGGCTAATTTTTGTATTTTTAGTAGAGACGGGGTTTCACCATGTTTGCAAGGCTGGTCTCGAACTCCTGACCTCAGGCAGTCTGCCTGCCTCTGCCTCCCAAAGTGCTGGGATTACAGGTGTGAGACACCATGCCCAGCCTATCCCAACATTTTTGTTCTAAAGTTTGGTGTCTCCTTTGGTCATTTTCTCAAGTATTTATGGTCTCACAAAAAACACTTAAGTATGTTAAGGAAGCTCTACACTTAAAATAGCCCAGCACTGAATCCTTTGGTAAACCAGATCATCACTTTATCATGGGAATAATCTATCCCTAATTTATGCATCCCCTCTGGTTGGATTAGTATAGTATAGTTTCTTAAAGGAGTACCAATCTAAGTGAGTGTAATAACCAAAGCAATAGCATGGGGTCCTGAAAGCAGTCTCTTTTTGAGGCACCCTAACCAAACACAGAGGTAGAAATCCACGGACCAGACTTTTCCATCCCTGCCCCAACATTAAGACCTTGCTGATCCCATGTCACTGTTACTCAGGATTCTACTCTTTGTTGGAGTACATAGGAAACAATGGATTTGATAATCAGATTAAACCAACCCTTAATGATATATTGGTAGAATATTATATACCATAACGTTTTCACCCAGTTTAAATGCATTTTTCCTTGAGAAGGGCCTTATGGTGAGATACTGATAATGCCAGTCTCAGGAAGGCTGATCAGGGAACACCCTTTAGATTGAAGAAGGACTTCTGATGCCCTTAACATTACACATCAATTCTACCTAATTTATAAAGCAAATCCTGCTCACAGATTGCAGTGTTTCCCCAAAGTTAGTTATCCATATGTACCTCCACAATTTTTTCCATATTCATGAATTGCCAATTGTATTAGTCCATTCTCACACTGCTAAAGACACATCAAAGACTGGGTAATTTATAAAGGAGAGAGGTTTAATTGACTCACAGTTCAGCATGGCTGGGGAGGCCTCAGGAAACTCACAATCATGGTGGAAGGAGAAGCAAACACATCCTTCTTCACTTGGCATCAGGAAGGAGAAAAATGAGTGTGCAGCGAAGGGGGAAGACCCTTATAAAACCATCAGATCTTATGAGAACTAACTCACTATCACAAGAGCAGGATGGGGGAAACTGCCCCCATAAATCAATTATTTCCACCTGGTCTCTCCCACAACACATGGGGATTATGGGAACTACAATTCAAGATGAGATTTGGGTGAGGACACAGCCAAACTCTATCACCAGTACTGTAAGTTTCCATGTGCAGATTGAGTATCCCTTATCCAGAATGCTTGGGACCAGAGGGTTTCAGATTTTTATTTTTTTTCAGGTCTTGGAATATTTAGAGATACATAATGAGATATCTTGGGAATAAAACCCAAGTCTAAACACAAAATTTATTTATGTTTCCTATATGCCTTATATACAAAGCCTGAAAGTAATTTTATGCAATATTCTTTAAAATTTCATGCATGAAACATAGTTTGTGTACATGAGATCAGATGTGGAATTTTACACTTGTGGCATCATGTCAGCACTCAAAAAGTTTCGGATTTTAGAGCATTTCAAATTTTACATTTTTGGATTAGGGATTTTTAATCTGTATTACATTTCAGTAGTACTATTATTTATTCAATATTTTATTTAAATTAACTTTTAACTTTTATTTAAATATCTACTTTAGCCTAGTTATGTGCCATAATATCTATAAAATTATGGATATTTGTGCTATATATATTTTTATAATATACATTAAAATAAATCTGTAAATATTGAAATAAATATGTTCATCTATGTGTTACCTAAAAGAATTTATTGTGCTACTAGTGGCACACATATCACACTTTGGCAAACACGTACTAGTCCAGCCCCATCATTTTGAAGATCATGAGATTCATCAAAGATAAAAAATATGCAAATACTAAAAAATGTATACAATTCAAAAAGATCTTGAGGATGGTTTCTCCAAGCCCAGCATTAGAAACAATGACACTGTATAACCAGGCACAGTGATATTCTATGGCAAAATATCAGCAACGATTAGCTAGGCATCTCTGAAGGCTCTAGCACACCAGACTCTGAGGGTTGGTTAAGCATGTCCAGTGTCAACTCAAACCCCAACTCATATAATAAAGTTTACATTAAAAGTCAAGGTTTTGATAAATGTCACACTTGGAAGCCAACTAAACGGGCTGAAAGGAAGACACAATTTCCCATTGTCTAATTGGCTTGCAGCACCTTCAAGGTAATAAATTTGTCACATTGAATTATTAATGAGAAATGAATATTTGACTGCTGCCTTGAATAGAAAATAGTTCATTATTAGGTAGCATTGTTCCTTCCAAATAATGAGTCTGGCACTAGGGGAGTTTAGGTACAATGTGACTGAAAATTGTATTTTTCTTCATCACTATATTTCCCATACCATACAATTCTTTAAAAAAAAATCTTATGAGCATTTTATGAGCAGAAATAATATCTTTTATTTAGAGCTTAATTTTGCATTAGTTTTTGTGATCATAGACTTCATAGGTTTCCCCAATATTTTCAAATATTTAAACATATGCTTGTGATTACGAAAAAGAGTTCCCTAGAGCTGTATTATTATTTAATCAATATTTTCTTTAAATCAATCCACTTGTTTACTTTTTATACTTGCTAAGCCATAATATCCATTAAATCATGGGTTGATATATGGGTTGCAATGCTTTTCAACTTTGTATCAAACTAAACACATGAATCCTAAAAATATAAAATATTGGGCTGTTGGCCTGTGTACTGTATATAAATGTCATCTACATACTTGGGGGTGACACTATACATACCACATTTTTGAAACACTGCATTAAATAATATGTACTAAAGTGGGTTTCATAAGAAAATAAGGGAGGAAGAAAGTACATAATCTACAAAATCAAAATTTCAAAAACATCCTTTTAGGGAAAGACCTGGAGTCCTACTTAATCTTTTACTTTTTTATTAATAAGTCCACTACAACCACCCCCTCCACTCTATCAAACCCCATTTTATGCTTATTTAAAGCCATGCCTGCTCTTCCCTCTTAAGGCCTTTCCTGATTACCTCTATCAATTCTGATCTTGTTGTCCTCTGAAATCCGGTAACATTTTCCATTCCTCTTAATGCCTTTATCATATTCTGATATCAGCTGTAGTTATGTTTACACCAGACCTACTCCTTTCATCAGACATTGTATCCCTTGAGGTGCCAGCATGGTACTTTATACACAATAGGTGCTTAATAAACATTAATTGAGTTGGAAGAGTATCACACAAACTAGGATACTTTGCCAAGTCTAACTAACTTTATGGACCTTTGTTTATTGAGAACCTTGAATGGTCATTACCTGAGCACCAACTCTCAGTGTGCAGACATAGATAATGATGATAAAGTTATAGGAGATTTGAGTGAACATATAGAGACTGTATATCATGTGCTGGATGCCGAGAGCCTCATTTCAGCTTCTGTTATAAGCAGCATAGGGTGGCTTATCGCAATGCTCTTTCCATAAGGCTGCCTAGTGGGACAACGTATCTTGTTTGATGGGTTCAGCAAGTAACAATTAGATTTTTTTTTACATAGGCCACATTTCTTGATCGTGTCTGTGCAGTGTTCATTATGCTCACTCCCTTGACATCAATACATCAATTTTAAAGAGCATCCAATGCTTTACAGGGTATTATGGAAAGCCCTCTTTGAGTAATGCAGTTTTTTTTATTGTCCCTGATTATGTACAGCTCTTCCATGGAAAATAGGATATCATATTTTCTGAATATTTGTTCTTCTTATCCTCCCTCAGCCTGGACTCTTAAACCTAAGGTCCATACGTAGAAAAAAAATGGTATGTATCTAGAATAATCAGGCCCAGTTATGATCTAAGAATTTTTAAGCATTCACAATCAGGAAAGCTATTTCATGCTCTTTTTCCTCCCTAAGCTAAAGGGCTGAAGAAGTCATATATAATAAGTACCATTTACTCTACAAGCAGACACGCTAAACCCACTCTAGCAGATGGACAGTGCTAAGATGATATTTATTCTTCCCCAGTGAAGGTGGAATATGAGTTGTGGAATTGGTACCTGCATACAGGTATACAGAAGGACACTTTGCCAAAATATTCATCACTGCTCTTTTCCCCATTATAGGCACTAGTGAATTATTTTTTTCTACCGATTTATTTTTATATTTGGTAAAATATTGAGACCTGTTATAATTAAAATTATATATAGATAGAATGAACATGAACTGTTGAAAACCAGAGTAATGGAACTGATGTTTCATAGTAAAGAAAGAGAAGATAGAGCTATTTGCAGAAGAAAATATATATTAGTAATAGGTAAAGTAGTTGTGCACAATTCTGAGCATCCTGGCAGCCAAATGCAAGAGTAATACGGAATAAATTATGCAATATTTATTATCTAATAACAAGGAGAATCAGAAAAACTAACTGTCCTAGCACTAAACTCTAAGAATTATTTGGATGAAAAACTTTGAAAAAAAAATAAACAGCATAATTTATCAAATATTTGCTTATCTAGGGGCCTGAAAATCAAAAACAAATAAGACTCAATCACTGACTTTAAGGTACAAACAGCCAAATTAGTGGAGTATACATGTGTGTGTGTACATATGTATGTGTACATATAGATATGATTCAGTGTCTTTGAAGTGAGTTCCTAAAGGAAGGGTTCCGAAGAAAAATTCTCTTACTGTTTATTTTTGGCTAGAGCCAGTGAGGGACAAGGCCTTCAAAGCGTGGTTCCCAACAAGCAGCATCTGTATCACCTGAACTTGTTCAAGGTAATTTATAGATTCAATGCCATCCCCATCAAGCTACCAATGACTTTCTTCACAGAATTGGAAAAAACTACTTTAAAGTTCATATGGAACCAAAAAAGAGCCCGCATCGCCAAGTCAATCCTAAGCCAAAAGAACAAAGCTGGAGGCATCACGCTACCTGACTTCAAACTATACTACAAGGCTACAGTAACCAAAACAGCATGGTACTGGTACCAAAACAGAGATATAGATCAATGGAACAGAACAGAGCCCTCAGAAATAATGCCGCATATCTACAACTATCTGATCTTTGACAAACCTGACAAAAACAAGCAATGGGGAAAGGATTCCCTATTTAATAAATGGTGCTGGGAAAACTGGCTAGCCATATGTAGAAAGCTGAAACTGGATCCCTTCCTTACACCTTACACAAAAATTAATTCAAGATGGATTAAAGACTTAAACGTTAGTCCTAAAACCATAAAAACCCTAGAAGAAAACCTAGGCATTACCATTCAGGACATAGGCATGGGCAAGGACTTCATGTCTAAAACACCAAAAGCAATGGCAACAAAAGCCAAAATTGACAAATGGGATCTAATTAAACTAAAGAGCTTCTGCACAGCAAAAGAAACTACCATCAGAGTGAACAGGCAACCTACAGAATGGGAGAAAATTTTCACAACCTACTTATCTGACAAAGGGCTAATATCCAGAATCTACAATGAACTCAAACAAATTTACAAGAAAAAAACAAACAACCCCATCAAAAAGCGGGCAAAGGACATGAACAGACACTTCTCAAAAGAAGACATTTATGCAGCCAAAAGACACATGAAAAAATGCTCATCATCACTGGCCATCAGAGAAATGCAAATCAAAACCACAATGAGATACCATCTCACACCAGTTAGAATGGCGATCATTAAAAAGTCAGGAAACAACAGGTGCTGGAGAGGATGTGGAGAAATAGGAACACTTTTACACTGTTGGTGGGACTGTAAACTAGTTCAACCATTGTGGAAGTCAGTGTGGCGATTCCTCAGGGATCTAGAACTAGAAATACCATTTGACCCAGCCATCCCATTACTGGGTATATACCCAAAGGACTATAAATCTTGCTGCTATAAAGACACATGCACACGTATGTTTATTGCGGCACTATTCACAATAGCAAAGACTTGGAACCAAGCCAAATGTCCAACAATGATAGACTGGATTAAGAAAATGTGGCACATATACACCATGGAATACTATGCAGCCATAAAAAACGATGAGTTCATGTCCTTTGTAGGGACATGGATGAAATTGGAAATCATCATTATCAGTAAACTATCGCAAGGACAAAAAACCAAACACCGCATGTTCTCACTCATACTTGGGAATTGAACAATGAGAACACATGAACACAGGAAGGGGAACATCACACTCTGGGGACTGTTGTGGGGTGGGGGGAGGGGGGAGGGATAGCATTAGGAGATATACCTAATGCTAGATGACGAGTTAATGGGTGCAGCACACCAGCATGGCGCATGTATACATATGTAACTAATCTGCACATTGTGCACATGTACCCTAAAACTTAAAGTATAATAATAAAATATAAAAAAAAGAAATGAAAAATTTTAGAGCCCACTCTGTTACAGTAGGTAGCTAGCCAGGCATGAGTGGGGCAAGAGAGGACTCCCCCAACCCCACCGAGAATGTGACGACCATCAGGTTATGGTCAGGCAATTGTCACACTGTCTCTCTAAAATAATAATTGGTCGCATCCAGCACTAGGGAAGGTTTCCAAATAGAAACACCTGAAACTGGTGATCAGCAGCTTCCCAATAAGATCTCAGAAGTTGGGCAAGTGGGCTCAAGCATGCACATTAAGAGGCCAACTGGCAGAGTTTAGCTTGTATATGACCTTCTGGGGGCATTCCACTGGAAAAGGGAAGAATCCCTCAGGTGAGCACGCCTAAAACTCTAGTAAACATACTAGAGTAGGTGTGCATACTCTCCTCCCAAGTGCTAGCAGGCCATTGAACATGCAGGCAGCTCACTTCAAGGGAAGAATGAAGGGAATAAGGACACAAGACATAGGAAGTATGCCTGCATATAAAACCCTAAGTCCAAGGTCAAACAGGGCACTTATTCTCCAAGATGCCTGCTTGGCCCTCTTCCAAGTGTACTTTACTTTCTTTTCATTCCTGCTCTGAAGCTTTTTAATGAACTTTCACTGTGGCTCTAAAGCTTGCCTGGGTCTCTTCTTCTGCCTTATGCCCCTCTGTTGAATAGTTTCTTCTTAGGAGGCAAGAACTGAGGTTGCTGCAGACTCATATGGATTCACCACCAGTAACTCAGAAAACTTCCACCGCTAACAACTCCTGACTTAGTCAACCAGAAATTCTGGAGCTAGAACCTGGCAATCTGTGTTTCAACAAGCCCTCCGGGGGATTCTGACACACCCTAACATTTGAGGTCCACTGGCTTAGTAATACTCACCCCTAATCTTTGTCTCATGTATCCATCACTGGGATCCAGGTCTTGATATCTTTCTCATGAGCTGGAGACCCAGGTTGCCTAGATGTTCAGACATATTTGGCCTTTCAATCCCTACTCCTCTTCCAGAATGCTTCCTAAAGCACAGGAAAAAAGACATAGCCATAGTCTAAAACAAATTTCCCAAAGCCCACTCTATACTTCACACATATCAAGCTTTCAGAATTACCTGGGGTAGTAAATCCAAATCCAAAAATTTATTGATATGTTTTGAAGATAAACGTATAGCTGGAGATCAAATGGTGTAAATGATTCTAGCAGTAGTATAACAAATTTTGGGATTTCTTTAGACTGAAATAACTGTCAAACAAATTGTTCTATAAATGAAGGCCACAGAAATATAATAATATCATGTTTCATTCAACCAGAGATCACTTTTCCATAAACTTCATCTAACTGCAATAACAGGGAAAAGGGGAAAATGAGCAAAAATAAAGCTAAATAAAATAACAAAAAAAAATAAGTTTCCAAGAAGCAAAACTGGATGTCACAATGTCTATCCTCTAATCTGATTTACTCATACAGTAATTTCTTAAACTGATATTCAGATGCAATTTTTATTCTAGACATAGCTTTAACAATCATGGTTTAGTGATTTTTCTCAGCCCACAGTTAAGAAGGGGTGGAGAAGTTGTTTAGGGTTTGCCCATTACAACAGCAAGAAATTTACACCTGGGGGACAGAGAAAGCCAAGAAAGAGGAGATAAACTCCCCAATGTCAGCACAAATACATGTCGTGTCCCTCTACCACACATACAACTCTTTTCCATACAAATCTAAGTCAAATCACCAAAATTTGCCAATCATCTTCATGATCAACTTGCTAACTGACCAGTTCACTTACATTCTTTGTTTTTTTAACCTATTTAGTTTTAGTTAATTTTTTATTTTGTCTTCATAACAGCATTTTGAGAAATGTTCAATTTATTTCTGTCTCAGCTTCCTACTGCTACAACTGAAGAATGAGAGGCAGAAAAAGAGAACGAGACTGAAGGGATAGAGAAAGTGTTAAGATGGCAATAATCCTCAAACTGATAAACAGATTCAACATGATTCCTAGCAAATCCTAGCTGGTTTCTTTGTTGCAATTGACAAGCTGATCATAAAATTAATACAGAAATGCAAAGGACTATGTGTAGCCAAAATAATCTTGATAAAGAAGAATGTAACTTGGACCACTCAAACTTCTTGGTTTCAAAACATACTACAAAGCTACAGTAATTGAGACAGTGTGATACTGATATAAAGACAGGCATATAAATCAGTGGAACAGAATTTAAAGTCTAAAAAAATTATACATTGCAGTCAATTCATTTTCAACAATGGGGCCAAGATCATTCATTAGGGACAGAATAGCCTTTTCAACAAATGGTGCTGGTACTACTGGATATCCACATACACAAGAATGAAAGTATTCCTCTTCCAAATACCATACACAAATACTAAGTCAAAATGGATCCAATACCCAAATTTAACAATGACAACCATAAAATTCTTATGAGAAAAAATAAGAGTAAATCTTCATAACCTTGCATTAGACAGTGGTTTCTTAGATATGACACCAAAAGCACAAGCAACCAAAGAAAACCAGACAAATTTGACTTCATCAAAATTAAACACTTTCACACTTTAAAGAGCACCATCAAGAAAGTGAAAAGATTCTCTAGGAAGCAGACTCAAAGAAGAAAACAAAGAAAGTGAAAAGATAACCCACAAGATGGGTAAAAACGTTTACAAATCATATATCTAATAAAGGACTTATATCTAAAATATATAAATGACTGTTACAACTCAGTAACAAAAAGACAAAAACCCAATTAAAAATGGACAAATGATATGAATACTTATTCTTCCAAAGAAGATATACAAATGGCCAATAAGCACATAAAAATATGTTTAACATCATTGGTCATTAAGGAAATGCAAATCAAAATGACGATTGCTAATATGAAGATGACAGACAATAAAAAGCATTGGCAAGGATGTGGAGTAATTGCGATTTTTATAAATTGCTGGTTAGAATATCAAATAGTAAAATAATTTGGAAAACAATTTGGCATTTCCTCAAAATGTTAAACATGGACTTACCATATGACCTAGCAGTTCTACTCCTAGATATATACCCAAGAAAATTAAAAACATATGTCCACACAAAAAGATGTACATGAATGTTAACAACAGCAACATTCATAATGGCCAAGAAATGGAAACAACACAAATGTCCATCAACTGATTATTAAATAAATTGTGGTATATTCATACAATGCAATATTATTTGGCAATAAGAAGGAATGAAATATTGATATGTGCTACAATATTGAAATATTGATATGAACCTTAAAACATTATGTTAAGTGAAAGAAGCTAGTCACAAAAAGAAACATATTGTATGATTCTATTTATATGAAATTTTCATAATAGGCAAATCCATAAAAATAGAAAGCACATTAGTGGTTGCCCTGGGCTGGAGAGAGGAAAGAATGGGCATGACTGCTGATGGACGTGTAATTTTTTTTCTGTGACTAAAATATTCTGAATTTAAATAGTAATGATGGTTGTGCAACTCTGGGAATATATTAAAAATTACTGAATTTTACACTTAAAAAGGATGAATTTTATGGTGTGTGAAGTATTTTATGATATGGTACAGTACCTCATAAAGCTGTGTTTTTAAACAAGCTGATTATTTAGAAACTCATATAATATTCTCAATAGTTGCCAAAGAAGCATGTTTAAAAGTTTGTACCAATTCATGGCCAAAAACTCTCAAAGCATTCTAGAAACAGAAGAGAACGTCCTTAAATTGAAGATTATTTATCAAAAACCAACAGTTAACATATTGATGTTAAAACACTAAAAAATTCCCATCAAAGATAAGGATCCATATTAATGCCTTTAATGTTCAAATTGTTCTGGAAGTCCTAGCTAAGACAATAAAAAAAGGAAAAAGATAAGGTTGACATGTTTAATTTTTTTTTTACTTTTTAAATTCTTTAATTTTTAATTTTGGTGGGTACAAAGCAGGTGTATATATTTATGAAGTACATGAGATATTTTGATACAGGCATGCAATGCATAATAATCACATCATAGAAGATGGGGTATTCATCCCTTCAAGCATTTGTCCTTTGTGTTACAAACAATCCAAATACACTCTTTTAGTTATTTTTAAATGTACAATTAAATTATTATTGACTATATTCATGCTGTTGTGCTGTCAAATACTAGGCCTTATTCATTCATTCTATTATTTTGTACCCATTAGCAATCCCCACCTCCCCCTCGCACCACTCCCCACCCCGCTACTATGCTTCCCAGCCTCTCGTAACCATGTTTCTACTCTTCATGTCCTTAAGTTCAATTATTTCAATTTTTAGATCCCACAAATAAGTGAGAATATATGATGCGTGTATTTCTATACCTGGCTTATATTTCACTTGACATAATGATCTCCAGTTCCATCCATGTTGCAAATGACTGGATCTCTTTCTCTTTTATGGCTGAATAGTACTCCATTGTGTATATGTACCACATTTTCTTTATTCGTTCATCTGTTGATAGACACCTAGGTTACTTCCAAATCTTAGCTATTATGAACAGAGCTGCAACAAACACGGTGTAGAGATATCTCTTTGATGTATGGATTTCCTTTTTGGGGAGTATATACCCAACAGAGGGATTGCTGGATCACATGGTAGCTCTATTTTTAGTTTTTTAAGGAACCTCCAAACTGTTCCCCATAGTGGTTGTACTAATTTGCATTCCCACCAACAGCGTATGAGGGTTCTCTTTTCTCCACATCCTCGTCAGCATTTTTCATTGTCTGTCTTTTGGATATAAGCCATTTAAACTGGATGATATCTTACTGTAGTTTTGATTTATCTGATGATCAGTGATGCTGATCACATTTTCATATGTCTGTTTGCCATTTGTATGTCTTCTTTGGAGAAATGTCTATTCAAATCTTTTCCCCACTTTTTAATCAGATTATTAGATTTTTTTCCTACAGAATTGTTTGGGCTTCTTATGTATTCTGGTTATTAATCCCTTGTTAGATGGGTAGTTTGGAAATATTTTCTCCCATTCTGTGGGTTGTCTCTTCATTTTGCGGATTGTTTACTTTTCTTTGCAGGAGCTTTTAAACTTGATATGAACCCATTTGCCCATTTTTGCTTTGGATGCCTGTGCTTATGGGGTATTACTGAAGAAATCTTTGCCCAAATCAATGTCCTGGAGATTTTCCCCAATGTTTTCTTGTAGTAGTTTCATAGTTTGAGGTCTTAGATTTAAGTCTTCAATCCATTTTGATTTGATTTTTGTATATGGTGAGAGATAGGAGTCTAGTTTCATTTTTCCTCATAGAGATATCCAGTTTTCCCAGCACCCTTTATTGAAGAGGCTGTCTTTTCCCCAGTGTATGTTCTCAGCACCTTTGTAGAAAATGGGTTCAATATAGATGTCCGGATTGGTTTCTGAGATCTCCAGTCTATTCCATTGGTCTATGTGTCTGTTTATGCTAGTACTATGCTGTTTTGGTAACTATAGCTCTGTAGTATATAATTTGAAGTCAGGTAATGTGATTCCTCTAGTTTTGTTCTTTTTGCTTAGGATAACTTTGGCTATTTTAGATCTTGTAGTTCCATATAAATTTTAGTATTTTTTTTCTATTTCTATGAAGAATGTCATTGGTATTTTGACAGGGATTGCATTGAATCTGTAGATTGCTTTGGGTAGTATGGACAATTTAACAATATTGATTCTTCCAATTCATAAACATGGAATATTTTTACATTTTTTGTATTACCTTCAATTTCTTTCCTCAATATTTTATAGTTTTCATTGTAGAGATCTTCCTTAGTTATTTCCCAGGTATTTAATTTTACCTGTAACTATTGCAAATGGGACAATTTTTTAAATTTCTGTTTCAGTTAGTTAACTGTTGACATATAGAAATGCTACTGAAAATCATATGTTAATTTTGTATCGTGCAACTTTTCTGAATTTGTTCATTAGTTCTCATAGGTTTTTTATGGCGTTTTTAGGTTTTTCCCAATATAAGATCATATCATCTGTTAACATGGATAATTTGATGTCATCCTTTCCAATTTGGATGTGCTTTATATCATTCTCTTGTCTGATTGCTCTAGCTGTGACTTCCAGTACTTTGTCTAATAACAGTAGTGACATTGGGCATCCTTGTCATGTTCCAGATCTTAGAAGAAAGGCTTTCAGTTTTTCCCCATTCAGTATGAGACTACCTGTGGGTCTGTCAGATATGGCTTTTATTATGTTGAGGTATGTTCCTTCTAAATCCAGTTGCTTGAGAGTTTTTATCATGAAGGGGTACTGAATTTTACCAAATGCTTTTTCAGCATCAATTGAAGTGATCATACAATTTTTGTCCTTCTTTCTGTTGATATGATGTATCACATGTGCAAATCATATGATTAATTTGCATATGTTGAACCATTCTTGCATCCCAGAGATAAATCCCACTTGGTCATGATGAATGATCTCTTTAATATTTTGTTGAAGTCAGTTTGCTAATATTTTGTTGAGGATTGTTGCATCAATAGTCACCAAGGATATTGACCTGTAGTTTCCTTTTCTTTTAAAGTGTCTTTGTCTGTTTTTGGTATCAGGGTAACACTGGCCTCATAGAATGAGTTTGTAAGTATTCCCTCCTCCTCTATTTGTTGGAACAGTTTGTGTAGGATCGATATTAATTTTTCTTTAAATGTTTGGTAGAATTCAGCAGTGAAGCCGTCGGGTCCCGGGCTTTTCTTTACTGGGAGAATTTTTATTATGACTTCATTCTTGTTACTTGCTATTAGTCTGTTCAGGTTTTGGATTTCTTCCTGATTCAATCTTGGTAAGTTTTGTGTGTCTAGGAATTTGTCCAATTCTTCTAAGTTTTGGCATATAGTTGTTCATACTAGCCACTAATGATCCTTTGAATTTCTGCGATATCAGTTGTAATGTCTCTTTTTTAATCTCTAATTTTATTTATTTGGATCTTCTCTCTTTTTTTCTTAGTCACTCTGGCTAAAAGTTTGTCTATTTTGTTTAACTTTTAAAAAACAACTTTTTGTTTCATTGATCTTTTGTATTATTTTCTTCATTCAATTGCATTCCTTTCTGCTCTTATCTTTATTATTTCTTTTTCCCTACTATTATGGACTTAATTTGCTCTTGCTTTTCTATTTCTTTAAGGTGCATTGTTAGGTTGCTTACTTGGAGTTTTTCATCTTTTTTAATGTAGACATAGAGCTATAAACTTCCCTTTTATTACTGCTTTTGTTGAATGCAATGGGTTTTGGTATGTTGTGTTTCCATTATCATTTGTTTCAAGAAATTTTTCAATTTCCTTAGTAATTTCTTCATTGACCACCACTGGTCATTCAGGAGCATATTGCTTAATTTCCATGTATTTGTATGGTTTCCAAAAATTCTCTTGGTATTGATTTCTAATTTTATTCCATTGTGGTCAGAAAGGATGCTTGATATTTTTTCAGTTTTTTTGAATGTTTTAAGATTTGTTTTGTGATCAACATATGGCCTATCCTTGAGAATGATCCATGTGCTGAGGAAAAGAATGTGTATTCTGTAGCTGTTGGATGAAATGTTCTGTAAATATCTATTGGATCCATTTGGTTTATAGTGCAGATTTAGTCTGATGTTTCTTTGTCGGTTTTCTGTCTAGAAGATCTGTTCAATGCCGAAAGTGGGGTGTTAAAGTGTCTAGCCTTTATTGTATTGGGGCCTATTTCTCTTTATAGCTCTAATCATATTTGCTTTATATATCTAGGTGCTCCAGTGATGCGTGAATATAAATTTAAAACTGTTGTATCCTCTTGCTGAATTGACCCCTTTATTATTATATAGTGACCTTTTTTGTCTCTTCTTATAGTTTGTCTCGAAATCTATTTTTTTCTGATATAGGTATAACTACTCTTGCTTTTGTTTTTTGTTTGTTGGTTGGTTGGTTTGTTTCCATTAGCATGGAATATCTTTTCCCATCTCTTTATTTTCAGTCTGTGTGTCTTTATAGGTGAAGTGTGTTTCTGGTAAGCAACAAGGCAATGGGTTTTTTACATCTATTCAGCCACTCTATGTCTTTTGGCTGGACAGTTTAGTCCATTTACATTTATATTATTCTTGATAAGTAAGAACTTACTCTGCCATTTTATTATTTGTTTTCAGGTTGTTTTGTGGCCTTATCTTCTTTCTTTCCTTCCTGTCTTCCTTTTAATGAAGGTGATTTTCTCTGATGGCATGATTTAGTTTCTTCCTTTTTATTTTTTGTGTATCTGTTGTATGTTTTTTTGGTTTGAGGTTACCATGAGGCTTACAAATATTATCTTATAATCTATTATTTTAAGCTTATAACAACTTAATACTTCTTGCATAAGCAAACAAGCAAAAAGAAAGCCAATAAAGACTACACCTTAACTTCATTCCCTGCTTTTTTAACTTTTTGTTGCTACTACTTACATCTTACTGTACTGTCCATGTCTTGACAAGTTGTTGTAGTTATTATCTTTGATTGCATCATCATTTAGTCTTTCTATTTAAGATAAGAGTAATTTACACACCACAGTTACAATGTTATAATATTCTGTGTTTTCTCTGTACTTTCTATTACTAGTCAGTTTTGTACATTCAGATGATTTCTTATTGCTCATTAATGTTCTTTTCTTTCTGGTTGATGTACTCTCTTTAGCATTTCTTGTATGACAGATCTAGTATTAATGAAATTTGTCATCTTTTGTTTGTCTGGGAAAGTCTTTATTTCTCCCTCATTTCTGAATGATAATTTTGCTGGATATACAATTATAGGGTAAAAGTTTATTTCCTTCAGCACTTTAAATTTAACATGCCACTATCTCCTGGCCTGTAAAATTTCCACTGAAAACTTTGCTGCCAGACATATTGGAACTCCATTGCATGTTATTTGCTTCTTTTCTCTTGTTGCTTTTAGGAATTTTTTTTCTTCAATCTTTGGGAGTTTGATTATTTAGTGTATTGAGGTAGTCTTATTTAGGTTAAATCTGTTTGGTGTTTTACAGCCTTCTTCAATATTGGTATCTTTCTCTAGGTTTGGAAAGCTCTCTGTTAGTGTCCTTTTGAATAAACTTTCTACCCTTATCTTTTTCTCTATCTCCTCTTTAAGGTCAATAACTCTTAGATTTACTTGTTCAAGGCTATTCTCTAGATCCTGTAGGCATGCTTCATTGTTTTTTATTATTTTTTCTTTTGTCTCCTCTGTGCACTTTCAAATAGCCTATCTTCAAGCTCCCTAATTCTTTCTTCCGACTGATCAATTCTGCTATTAAAAGACTCTGATGCATTGTTCAGTATGTCACTTGCATTTTTCAACTCTCTAATTTCTGTTTGATTCTTTTTAAGTATTTTAATCTCTTTGTTCCATTTATCTGATAGAATTATTAATTCTTTCTCTGTGTTATCTTGGATTTCATTGAGTTTCTTCGAAACAGGTATTGTGAATTCTCTGTCTGAAAGGTGACATATCTCTGTTTCTCCCACATTGGTCCCTGGTGCCTTATTTAGTTCATTTGGTGAGGTCATGTTTTCCTGGAGGGTGTTGATGCTAGTAAATGTTCTTCAGTGTTAGACAATGAGGAGTTAGGTATTTATTGTAGTCATTGCAGTCTGGGCTTGTTTGTACCTATCCTTCTTAAGAAGGCTTTCCAGGTATTTGAAAGGACTTGGTTGTTGTGATCTAATCTATATCTGCTTTAGAGGGGGCTCCAAGTTCAGTGGCACTGTGGTTCTTGCAGACTCAAAGAAGTACCGCCCTGATGGACTTAGACAAGATATGGAAAAATTCTCTGGATTGCAAGGCAGAGACTCTTGTTCTCTTTCCTTACTTTCTTTGAAACAAACAGAATCTCTCTCTCTGCTCTGAGCCACCTGGAGCCGGGGGTGGGGTACAACAAGTACTCCTGTTGCCACCACCCCTAGAATATTACTGGGTCAGACTTGAAGGCAGCACACCACTTGGGTCTTGCCCAAGTCCTGCAATAACCACTTGCTAGCTACCACCTATGTTTGCTCAAAGCCCTTGGGCTTTACAATCAGCAGGTGGCAAAGACAGCCAGGCCTATGTCTTTCCCTTAAGGGAGGTGAGTTCCTTCAGGTCCTGCATGGGTCCAGAGGTGCTGTCTGGGAGCTCAGGACTAGAATCAAAAACCTTAGAAGTTCACCTGGTGTTCTATTGAACTGTGGCTAAGCTTGTAATCAAATCACAAGATGCAGTCCTATCCACTCTTCCCTCCCCTTTCCAAAGGCAGAACTTCACCCTGTGGCCACCATCACTTCAGGCCCACAGGGTATACCACCAGATTACCATAGATATTCCCTTTAAGGCCTAAAAACTCTTTAGTCAGCTTGTGGTGAATGCAGCCTGGCCTGGATCTCAGCTTTCAAGGGAGTGGGCTCCCCTCTGGCCCAGGGCAGGTCCAGAAATGCTGTCCAAGAGCCAAGTATTGGAATCGGCGAACCCAAGCGTCCACTTGGTACTGTACCCCTCTCTGGCCGAGCTTGTACCAAAAATACAAAACTAAGTCCTCCTTACTTTTTTCTCTGCTTTTCTCAAGCAGAAGGAGTCTTGCCTTGTAGCCACCATAGCTGGGAATGTGCTGAGTCTCATCTTAAGTCAGCAAGTCTCAATGTCTCACCCAAGGCCCTTGGTGTAGTACCCGGGTACTACACCAGTGGTACTACAGCAGTGATAACTGCTGGTTATTCACGGTCCAAGAGCTCTTCAGTTAGCAGGTGATGAATCCTGCCATGACTGGGCACTTTGCTTCAAGGGAGCAGGTTCCCTTCCATCCCAGGGTGTATCTAGAAATATCTGGAAGCTGAGGCCTAGAAAGGGGGTCTCACAACTCTGACCAGTACCCTATTCTGCTGTGGCTGGGCCAGTATCTATGATGTAAGACAAAGTCTTCCCCACTCTTCTGTCTCCTCTCTTCCAGCAGAAGGAGGGGCTCCCTTTAGGATCTGTGAGCTGTGCAGCCTGGGGTTAAGGAAGGAAACGGACGATGCCAGAATCCCCTTAGCCACCCTGGCTGGTTGTGTGCCTCCCCGCAGTCCACTGTCTCTGGGTCCAGTGCAGCCCTAGGACTTGCCTAGGTGTTGCAGTCCTTGTGGCCTAGACTGCCTTTCAAGTTTATTTGGGGCTCCAGAGCACTTTAACCCATGGTAGCAATGCTTGCAAGAACTCAATTTCCAACTGCTGGAATCAGTGATTCTCCTCTGGCTAGGGCTGGTTTAATGCATCCTCTGTGGGCAGGTGTCAGTGGTATTTGGTCCAGTTTTGCTTTCTGGTACAGCAAGGGCAACACTGAGTTCCATACCTCACAACTGCTGGCTCTCCCTCTTTCCAGAGCACAGAAACACTCTGCAACACACTATCACAGCCAGAGGGATGTGGGAGGGGTGGCGTTGGCAATTCAAGGCTGTTTTTTTTCTACCTCTTCAGTTCCTCTTTCAGCAATATGAAGCAATATGAAGTAAAAACCAGGTACTATGAGTGTTCACCTCATTTTTGGTTCTTACAAAGTCGCTTTTTGTGTGTAGATAGTTGTTAAATTGGTGTCCCTGTGGGAAGATGATCAGTGGAACTTTCTATTGCATCTTGCTCCACATCCTCCCTAAAAGGAAATTTAAATCATTATTATTTGCAAATTATGAGCCCATGTAATTACAAAACACAAGAAATAATGACTAGGAACTTAATTGTGATACCTAAATAATTTGAGAGATATACTTTCTTCCTAAATGGGATGCGAAGCAAGAGAATGCTCATACCTACTAGTGGGACTTTAAATTGGTATGATTTATTTGGAAAACTGACAGTATGTGTTAAATTTGAATATATACATATTCTTATCACTTAGCAATTCCACTCCTATGTGTATACCTAACAGAAACAAAATACATTTACAAGAATGTTCATAGAAGCATAAATTTTAATAGGCAAAACCTGCAAACAACCCAAATATCTATCAAGATTATTAAGGATAAATTATGGACATTACAATGATAAAAATGAATACATGACTGTTCCATGAAACACTGTGGATGAATCTCACAAGCATAATATTGAATGAAAAAAACTAGACCCTAAAGAATGTATACCATATGATTCCACTTATATGAAGGACAAATAGTAAGGCAAACAAATCAATAATTTTAGAAGTAAGGACAGTATTTGCTTTGGGGAGGAAGAAAGGAATGGTGATCGAGAATACATGAGAGGAACTTCTGGGTGTTCTAGTGATGTTTTAGTTCTTAAGCAAGTATGTGGTGATATTGTGATGTTTTCACTTTGTGATAACTCATTGCACTATATGTCTATGACGTGTTCTCTTTCATACATGTATATTAGACTGTAGGAAATGTTTATTTTTTTAAAATACTTTTGAAATGGTTATCTATAGGGAAAGGAGGGAACATAGCAGAGGGGACAAGGATAGAAGTTAGATTTCTCTAAATATACCTTATTTTTTAGAATTGTGAGTCTGGTTCTTTGTAATATCTTATATAGGTATAAGAGTAAATTAAATTTTTAAAAATAATTACTATAAAACAAAATTAAATTAAAAGAAATGAACCTGCTTACAGAATTGATGCCATAACAACCCAGAGAGCAACTATTTCTAGTGATTTTTAAATGCAGCTATTTGACCTTCCATTCCTAGTGGGATACATCTTAAGGACAGGATTAATTTTAAAAATCTTAAACTGTTTTCACTAGCCTTCTAATTGATTTTTAGCATAGAAAAAGGGATATACAGACATTGGATCAATGGCATCAAGTAAAAACCCTGAAGTCCTAAATTTGAGTTAGAACTATCCTAAACACCCATGATGTGTTTCACATTTTAAAAATATTTCCGGCCGGGCATGGTGGCTCACACCTGTAATCCCAGCAATTTGAGAGGCCGAGGTGGGCATATCACTTGAGGTCAGGAGTTCAAGACCAGCCTCGCCAACATGATGAAACCCCACCTTTACTAAAAATACAAAAATTAGCCGGGCATTGTGGCAGGCACCTGTAATCCCAGATACTCCAGAAGCTAAGGCAGGAGAATTGCTTGAACCCGGGAGGTGGACGTTGCAGTGAGCCAAGATTGCACCACTGCACTCCAGCCTGGGTGACAGAGCAAGACTCCATCTCAAAAAACAAACAAACCAAAAAAATTTCCCCCTGTCTCTACTAAAAGTACAAAAAATTAGCTGGGCATGGTGGCACACAGCTGTAGTGCCAGCTACTCAGGAGGCTGAGGTGGGACGATCACCTGAGCCCGGGAAGTTGAGGCTTCAGTGAGCTGTGATCCAGTCACTATACTCCAGCCTCGGCGATGGGAGTAGGATCCTGTAAAAAAAAAAAAAAAAAAACCCTAGTTCTGTCCACTGAAAAAGCCCTAGAAACACTGACTAGCCCAATAGCAATGAGCAACCCTAGCACCAAGATTGTCATCTCTAAATATCCTTTATCACTAAAAGGAATCAGGGCTCCTTGGAGAAAGTAGAGGTCTGGGACAAATGTTCAAGTTGAAACTGGATCACCTTGTCATATCAGATAGCAAGGAAGCTATCAAAACAGAGTCATGTAAAAGGACTTAAGAGTCAACATGAAGGGGCTCCAAGTGACCAAAGTTGAAACAATTTTATCATCAGTAGAAATAATAACTGCAATGGATTGAAACACATAAAGTTCATTAAAGGTATGAGTTACTGATGACAGTAAAACAAAACTCACTGGTCACTGTTGGAGAATGCTAGTGAACCAACTCGTTCTTTCAAAAACTAGTAAATAAAGAGAAAGAATGAAGAATTCATCCTGCCATCCTTGCATGATGTGTACTCCACTAAAACCAAACAGCTGATAAGGGCAAATTTGTATTTATAAAAGTATTCCAACTAATAATTGAAGAAGTTTTGATAGTACTAGCATATCTCCGTCTCATAATCCCTATGGATCTAGGCAATGAGCCTCAGTGGCTGCTGACATCACAAAAAGAGCGACAAATAGACATTACATGCTTTCTGATAGAAGCACATAACCTCACCTATCAAGTATTCTTGTGAAAAGATGAAAGCTGAATTTGTCTAACTGCCAATTTCTAGCAAATAGAGGGTAAAGGAATATTTTAAGTGATTCTACTAGGATGCAATCAGCAAAATCCAGACTGAGAGAGAGAGATAGAGATAAAGATAGAATAGAGAGATAGAGAGATAGATGATAGATAGATAGATAGATAGATAGATAGATAGATAGATAGATAGATATAGAGTTAGAGAAAGTTAGAGATAGAGATAGAAGAGAGAGTTTATATGCCTCTTAAGTCTCATTTAATTTTTAGGTTCCTCTCTCTTCTCTAATTGCAATATTGCAGTGTAGGAACCTTATTTGGATCTTTATTCCAACAAATTTAAAAGAAAATTTATGAGAAAGTCAAGATAATGTATATACTGCCTATATTATTTGATGATAACTTAATTTTTCAGGCATGATAATGATATTGTGAATATTATTTTTGTAATGAGCTTATATATTTTAGAAATATATACTGAAACATTTAAGACAAAATTATGCCTTGGACTTGCTTCAAAGTAATTCTGGGTATGGGAGTGAGGTTATATACATGAAGCAAGATTGGCCATGAACTGATATTTGCTGAACCTAGGTGATGAGTTCATGGGGGTTCATGTTTTCTACTTCGGTAAATGTTTGAAGTTTTCCATAATAAAAAACATTTTAAAGAATGGGACAAAAAACCAAAGTTTATTAAAATGGACAGTTTTCCCCAATTAATCTGTAAACCTGAGAATGCCAAGATGCTTAAAGATATAATCAATTACACTTATAATATAAGTGCTTTCTATGAAAGAGAGGAACAGGTATAATGAGAGATTGATTATGAATGTACTTATTTATAATATAACTGTTAGTGAATACATACTTTTTATTTGTTTATTTTAAGTTGGTCATTTTATTCACGTGCAAACTATTCATTATGAAAAAATGAGTCAAATGTATAATTTAATGTAATAAAGGGAGTCAAATAACAAAGAGAGACAAGTAATGACAATATATAGTTCATTAATTTTACTTTTAGGGAGTTGAACAGTGGTTTGATAGCATCATTAAAAAAAAAGTCTATGTGAAACTCAATCCATTTAGAACTCATCAGGAGTACCGTGTTTGGCCTGGATTGTACATTTTAAAAGACTGGTCAACTACTGTGGTACAGCCAGAGGAGAATGACCATGACTGTGAGGTGATCTAGAAATCCTGTCAAATGACAACAAGTTGAAAGTACTAGGAATGTTTAACCTGGACCAGAAAAATCTTGGATATACACGCAAACAGTGTTTAAATGTATGAAAAGCCCAGCAACCAGTTGGTGAACCGATTTACAATATGTCACTCGGGAAAACCAATAATGAGTCAAAGTTGCAGAAGAGTAGGTTTTCTCTCACTGTGGAGAACTTTCCAACCATGAGAGCTATCCAGCCGTGGACTCTGCTACCCTAGATGATAAAAAGCTGCCCCTGGAAATGGTCAAACAGACAAGGCAACACAAAATTCCAGGTCTCTCCTAGCCCTAAGGTTCTGAGTTTTAAGTTGTTCAGCAAAGAGCTACTTAAAACCAAGGAGGAAGCTTCCTTAGCTTAAAAAAAGTTTTTCTTAACCAGGCAGGTGCTTGTTTATTCAATAAGCACAAATATAGAGGAGATCTTTTCGGGAGGAAATCAATATTTTTAAAGATAAAACCCATCAATGTTACTTGTGTCAAGTGCCTAGAGTAAATTAAGTTTACAACTTCAGCAGACTGTCATGTGAAAGTGTGGCAGTGACTAACAAATTGAATTACCATAGTACTACATCACTCACAAAAGTATTATTGATAGTGACAGAGTGATATTGAATTTAAATTATTCAGTTTTATTGATTGAACAGCACATCTTAACTACGAAACAAGAGGGAAAAAGCTGAGATGTTAGACTTGGATTTTACCTCCCATTGAGAACGATCCCCCAAAAAGAATATGTGTATATGCAGTTGAGCCCTATAAAAAGTATCAACCCACTGAAGTATTTTCTGGGTACCTTTCCAGTCCTGTCTTCTCTGTCCATGTTCATCTCACCCTCACTTAGCTATCCAGAGCCCAGTGTTTCAATGATCCCTGCTTCTTGAGTTCCCTTTTCATCCTATTTCCCAGGTCCCTTCCTGACCTAGTTTCATTGCTTATTTTGAAACCACGTATTGAATACTTCTTCTGTGCTAGACACCATTCTGGGCATCAGAGATTAACAGATGAGTATGGCTTTCTCTCGAGGAGGACATAATCTAATGGACAGAAAGAAATGTAAAGCAAAACAAAACAAACTGAAATAAAGTGTTGTATATTTCTCTACCCTACCATTCAAAACCCCCTGTCCTAATCTCTGTTATCTGCATATCTAAGAAGATTTTTAATCTGTGGGGAAACACAGACCCCATCTGAGAATCTTCTAAAAGCTATGGAATCCCTCCCTGGAAAAAAAAAAACACAACACACACACACACACACACACACACGTATATACACACAACTTTTATGAAATTTGGGGGAGTTCAAAGTTTCCCTGAAGCCTGAACAAGAAGCCCTAGAGGTAAAAGCCCCTGCCCTAAGGTGTTCATGACTGTAAAGTAATTGATGTTTTCCTAATTTGGGGCCATTTACATTGTCTGAGTGAACTTCTGGAATCTAAATGCATTAAGGCGAAAGAATTAAGTGACAGTGAAAATTATTTTTGTCTTGCCAAAATAAGCAGAAGACAGTGGGAAATTTAGGATTCTTGAAAGGCTGGAAAAGGTGAAGAAGGCATTATCCTCCCAATCAAATTATCGCACACAGGTAGCCTAAATTAAGAGTTTTACTGTGCCTAAGTCTTGCTCAATTAACAAAATTATTTCATCCAAGATCTCTGTAGCACTTTCAGGCATCTATCTGTCACCTATGAAGCCTCCTTTCTTTCATTTTTTAATTAAACTAAGACACAAACATTATTCCGTCTCCCTCAGAAAAACAACACAATTTACATCCATGAATGTTACAGTCGCCCTAAATGCTCTATCTTAATTGTTTGAGGGTCTTTTTAATTAAAACATGTATAGTTGTTGGTAGAGCTTGAAAATTAGGCAGCTTCCACTGAGCCTCGGGCAAAAAAAATTTCTCTGCAGCAGAGGAGCAAGTAGCCCCGGGCAAGCAGTAATCATCTGGCTAGCTAAGCCCACTATCCTTTTTTAGCTTAAATCCTTGCTATTCAAAGTGCAGTTGATGGGCCAGCAGCAATGGCATCACTAGGATTTTGTAAGCAATGCAGAATCCCAAGCATATCCCAGGCCAGTGAATCAGAATTTGCAGTTTAACAAGATACCCAGGTGATTCCAGTACCTGTTAAAATTTGAGAAGCACTGTCTTAAAGGATAACTTAGTTCACATTATAGCAGCACTGAGTAGACTCCCAGGCCTCAGGGACTATTGTTGGACAAATAAGTGTAAAGTTTAAGGTGCTTCCACTAGGGTGATCTCATCATCTCTCAGAGTGCCTGGAAACTAAGAAACTGCAATTACTATTTGTTCATTGATCCATTTAAAAAATTGTTGATGAGTATCTACTATGGGTGAAGCACTAAGCAAGGCATTGCAACTACATTATTGAGAAAACCCTCATGAAGCTTACAGTCTAGTGCAGTGTTTCTCAAAGAGGTGTCACCTTACCATTTGTATCAAGTTTACAATGGATGGGTGCATGTTTTAAAAAAGTAAATTTCTGGGACCCACCCAAGATTAGTTGAATCAGAATCAGAATGGATATATTCCCAGGAAACAGCATTCACAGCATTCAGGTGATTATTAGGCACAAGGAAGTTTGAGAATCACTGACTTCAAGGATTATGGAATATTAATAAATGAAGTCATTCATTCAACAAATATTTATCAAACTCCTACTATGTGCTAGGCATTTTTTTTTTTTTAGATGGAGTCCCACTCTGTTGCCCAGGCTGGAGTGCAGTGGCACGGTCTCAGCTCACTGCAACCTCTGCCTCCTAGGTTCCAGTGATTCTCCTGCCTCAGCCTCCTGAGTAGCTGGGATTACAGGCACGAGCCACTGTGCCCAGCCATGCTAGGCATTCTTTTAGGCACAAGGGAAATAGCAGTGAACCGAATTCCATATTTTTATGGAGTACACATTCCAAATGGAGGAGGCAGGTAACAAACAAACACGTATGTCAACTAGTGATAAGTGCTATGAGAAAAACTAAGGCTGGTAAACGGCTAGTTAGTGATGGGGGTCCTATTTCATATAGGATGGTCCAGAAAAGCCTCACTACAAAGGCAGTAACTGAGGCAAGACTTGAATGAAGTGAGGGAATGAGCCATGCAGCTGTGGAAGGTTTTCCCAGGCAGAAGGAACAACACAGGCATAGTCCCTTTGGTGAGAATGTGTTCGACAGGTTCAAAGATAGAAAAGAGACCAGCAGGAAAATGATTGGGGAAGAGTCAGAGAGGTAACATAGGAGCTTGGTAGGAGCTTGGACATGTCATTCTATGGACTTTGGCTTTTACATTGTGAGGAACAGGGAGCCATTAGAGGGGTTTAAGTAAAGAAGCAACATGATATGATATGTTTTTAAATAGTTTATTCTGAATGCTGTGTAGAGAACAGACTGTATGGAGTATACTAATTAGGGTAAAGTTAGGGTGTTATCACAAAAGGACCCAACCTTATGGTAGCTTAAGAATAAAGGAGTTTGTTTTCTCTCTTACTTAACAGCCCTGATGCAAACTGTTCTAATCTATAGCTAAGGTCCCTTGCTCATGGTGATTCATGGGCACATATTATTTCCAAGTTGTTTCCAAGACCATCACCTAGGGCCTTGTCATGATCTGCAAATTCAAAGCCATATTGTCAAGATATCCAGGTTCTAGCAGAGAGAATAAGAACAGGGTATAGAGGAAGCAAGCCCAAATGTCACAAGTCACTGACTCAGAAATGGCACACGTCATTTCTGCTCACTTCTATTGATGAAAACTTAGTCGCATGGGCATATCTAACAACAATCAAGGCTAGGGAATGTAGTCCAGCCAGACAGATGTTCATTCAGGTGTATTTATTTGAAGAAGGGCCAAATGAGTTTTTATAGACAGCTAGCAATGTCTGCCATAGAGGACTAGAGCAAAAGAAGGCAGATGTTGCCGTCATCCAGATAAGAGATGATAGTAGCATAGACCAAGGTGGTGGCAGTGAACATGTGGAGGAATGTTGGCTTTTGTATACGATCTATTTTGAAAGATTCACTGATATACTAGATATGGATGTGATGATGATGATTACTCCAAGAGTTCTGGCCTGAATGACTTGAAGAAAGGAGTTGAATGAATGATTGGATAAAAAAAAATATTCCACTTGAGCCGGATATTTCTCTCTTCTCCCCATCTTCCTAAACCCAATACTACATCTTAGTATGAATACAACTCAACTTCTTCCTTGAAAGCCAGATTTCAAATTTCAGTTCTACTACTTTCTACATGTGTGACCTTAAGCAAATCCTTTCATTCTGATATGGCTCCAATGAGTAGAGGAACACCAGGGTTCTTGGTCCTCATGCTGGTTTAGATAAAATGACATGGACATATGTGGAGTGGTTTCAAGGAGCAGAGAATTTAACAGGCAAGAAAGAAGGGAAGAGAAAGAAAGAAGAAGCTCCCCTGTACACAGACAGAGGGAGGGGGGCTCCAAAGCCAAGAGAGGAGACCCCAAGTCGGGCAGAAACCAGTCAGGTATATGTAGAGGCTGGAGGAGGCGGTATCTGATTTGCACAGGGCTCAGGGGATTGGTTTGACCAGGTATGTCATTCACATAGCCCAGGAAAAAACTGGCCCTCCCACCCCAGCCTATTAATATGCAAATGTAGGGCGCCATGATGTTCTACACACGTGGGGATATGTGGGGGCAGCCATGTTGCCAGGCACTTGTCAGCAAGTGCAAGAAGGCTGCGGGAATCGCCATGTTTGGGTGGACCCAGTTTCTAATAGCCTACATTTGCATATCAAAGGTTGCCAGCTGGGCTCTAAGAGCCAGGGCTTTACAAGAAAGATGCTTTAAAAAACGAAAACTTCCCAAGGACCCCTTTTCCTCTCTATCTGCCTAAAATAATTTCTTAATAACTCCTACAACAATTCCACCGACTCTTAGTAACCTTATCTATAAAATAGAAACAATAGTAACACCAATCTCATAAAGTTACTGTGAAGATTAAATAAGGCAAGGTACAGGAAGTACATAGCACAGGATGCACTCAATGAAAATGGCCCATCAGACTTGTGATAAACATTACATGTGATTATATATGACTGGGTAAACCATATAACACACTTCTCAGCACATGGAAAATGCTCAATATGTGGTATTTATTATTTTTAAAAGGGAGGGCTAGAGTTACCAAAGATAAATGTAGTCACTTCCCAAATTATCTCAGAGACAGCACTGGGAAGAGTATGTCATCTCACCACAATGCAGAAACTAAATGAATGTGCCTATAGAGTTGCTGGACTGTTAGAAATATTTCTCTGAGACCCTCAGCTTATAAGTATCAGTCACAGTTTCTCCCTATCTCTGATGTACAGGACCCTGACATCCTCCATCTACTAGTGTCAGAGAGGAATATAAATGATCTGCATTCTGTAGGGGTGGCAGGAAAGCTTCCTCTTCACTCACTGAAGGTTTGTTGAAAATGAACTGACAAAAAGCAGATTAATAGGAGAGAAATGCATACAAAATTTATTTAAAGTGCATAGCATGGAGGAATCACGGGAGAATGATTACTCAATAACCCAAGGAGGTCCACATGCTTATATACCCTTCTTCATAGGGGAAGGGGAGAGGGAGATGTAGAAGGAAATGATTTTCAGGGGAAATGAATAAGCCCAAAGAACAATGGCCTGAGACAATGGAAAGATGAGGGGCAAAACTTCACTATAAACGAAGTTTGTCTCATTATGCAGATGAAGTTCCCCCAGGTAATCTCTCAGAACCACCCTCTGAAGAATAGGGAAAGAGGATCAGGGAGACAGGGAAAGGTCAGAGAGAGACCTTGAGGCTGCTTCTTTAGTTTGGCATGTGAAAGTGCCATATTTTGGGTATCATTTTCTGAACACCAACATTCCCCTGACTGAAACTTCCCTAGAAATTTCATACATTTAAAGCTGAGTTGGTGGCTGTAGAGAGAAAAATCGAGTTTGTAGCTAAATGGCAAAGGGTCCCTTAAACCAATCTCCCATTGCTGGGAATAGGTCAATCTAATTAAACAGTTGTGTCTCAATTCAGGAGGTGGTGTTTTCCAGGATCCCATAAAAGTTTTATCTCTATATAGTGTAGGCAAAGAGGTTTTTTAAATAAGACACATTTTTATGGAAACAGAAGAAAAACAAAAGTTAATGTCTAGAGCAGTCTATAAGCTAGTTTACTTAGAATCTGGAGGGCAGTCAGTGGAGAAGATTACTAGATTTGGGATTCAAGCATCTATAGTTGGAGCAACATCAGGTGGTGGCAATTTGACAGATTTTTCTGGTTTATAGTTTCCCTGTCACAAAGTTTGTCCAAATAGAAGCTGTCGTGGTGATTTTTCTTTAAAGCCAAATTGACCAGCTTTGGCTTGTGGGCCTCAGGGAACAAAAGGCAGTTTTTAATTTCTAGTGATTTCAAATCAGAAGGATGAGAGAAAAATTGAAAATGTTACTTTGGGGACTTATGGTGAGATTATTAGAACAAACTAAGAATTCAGAATTCAGTCCAGATAAAAACTCAAAAATAATGGACAGGAATAGAATCTAATAACAGGTGCACTATAGTTTTCTTCTGAAACATAATTTTCTCTCTCCAGTCCCCCTATTTCTGACAACTATAATCACAGTAAGACCAAGTTGTTTGTAAAAATAAAATTAGTTTCATAAACTTAGCCTGATTATTTGCACAAAGTACAGCAAGAATAGTGATTGATCATATAGGCTTTTTTTTTAGCTGGCTTTGCTGGAATATTTTTATAAGGAACCTCAGCTTAATCTCTTAGAGCTGCCCTCAAAAGAATAGATGAAAAGTCTACTTGGGTGGGATAATGACCTCTAGTCTCTTCTGTTCTCACTTGGTTAATCTTTCCCAGTTATTTGATAAGATTCCTAGGGAGGGTAACTTAAGACAATTGCATTTCTTTTGGAAAGAAGTTTTCTTAATCAGCTAAGGAAATTCCGGACAGAGTCCTTCCCAATGCTTTGGGAAAGAGGACAGAGAGACAGGGAGGCAGGGAAAGGTCAGAGAGAGACCTTGAGGCTGCTTCTTTAGTTCAGCATGTCAAAGTGTCATATTCTGGGGCATCATTTTCTGATCCCCAGCAATTCAAACTATAGCACTGCTGCAGTTTCCTTAGCCACTCATAATGTTTGCATGTTCCAGAGAAACAAAGCTTCCATCAGAAACCAAACACAAGCCAGTTTACATGAGTGTCTGCACTTGAGAGTATATAAAGACTTGCACAGGCTAGGCGCGGTGGCTCATGCCTATAGTCCCAGCACTTTAGGAGGCTGAGGCAGGAGGATTGCTTGAACCCAGGATTTCAAGACCAGCCTGAGCAACACAGGGAGACCCTGTCTCTACAAAAAATAAAAATAAATTAGCCAGGTGGGGTGGTTCATGCCTGTGGTCCCAGCTACTTGTGAGGCTGGTGTGGGCGGATTGCTTGAGCTGGGAGGTCAAGGCTGCAGTGAGCTGTGATTGCACCACTGTACTCCACCCTATGTGACAGAGGGAGAAGCTGTCTCAAAAAAAAATAAATAAATAAAAATTTAAAAAAAGACTACTTGCATAAACCAAACAGAGCAGGAAGACCTGTGAGAGCTACTAGTGTCCTTTTCCTTTTTGATCCTTGGTGTCACTCATTGAATTCAAGCAACAAAGTATATACCTGATAAAGAAATGGGATTTCTATTATGACCCATCTGTTATAATCTGCATATCTATATATCTTCCTGCACAGTTTACAAAGCACTTTCACATACACTGATACTTTCAACAATTCTAAGAGGTATTATTAACTTCATTTTACAGAAGAAGAAAACTAAGAGTTAAGAAATAAAGTGGTTTACCCTTAGTCATACAATTAGCAAACAATCTTAATTCATCTGTAACAGAGTAGGGAGCTCTTACAGCTTGGATTTAAGATATTTACAGTGAAATTCTGCATTTGCATCATCATATTTGGTTTTTTCCCACGATTTACAAGGTTTCCTGGTGTAAGTGCCCAACCCAACCTGGGTTCTGTGAATCCTGAGCCCACTCCCCAAATTGATAAGACTTGTAGCATTTGAGTTTTTCAGTTTGTTCATGTTTTCCCAACCAAGACTGGAAGCTGAGCCATACATGAACAAAATAATCTAGAAGGGAATGTTTGTTCCATGCCTACTGATCAGATTGCTTCCCCATGGAGTACTTACCTCCTACTTGACTTGGGCTAGAATTCATACCTTCTCTTTGAGAAACACTGTGTAAATTACTTTGCTTTCTCTGAGCCTCAGTTTTCTCACCTGTAAAACTGAGATAATGGTGGTATCCACTCCACAGAGCTATTGTAGGGAATGAAATAATGTCTGTAGAACACCAAACACATATTAATCATTCAATAGGGAGTGATGGTGCAATAGGGATAGTAGTGATGGGAATGGTAGTATTCATTATAATTACAGTTTCCAGACCATTCTCTTGCCACTTTCCACCAAAGCATGTATCACATTTCTCCTTAAGGTCTTATCTGCTTGCTTAATCTCTTGAACTATCTCCTAACCTGCTGATGGTAGTTTAAAGCATTACTCACCCCACCACTAGATAATAGATATACATTTTGACAAGATACTTAAACTACATATTTCAAAGAATAATAAAAACAAAAGAGCTATACCTCCAAAACAAGGAGATTTGGGGGCTACTCCCACATTCTGTAGGCAGACCTTTATTTTTCTGGTATAGAGCCAGGCCTGACTGGTTATATTTGGCTCCAAATGTAAAAGAAAAAGAGAGAGGATGGGTTTTGCCAGGTATTTCAGAAATTGACTGTCAGGCCAAGCTACTTGAATATATTATTAAAAAAAAAAAAAACAGCAGCAAAAAAGTTTTTGTCACTTCAACCTCCCTAGTTCCCTGACTCCCTGTACCCTAGCTCTCCATCCCTTAACACAAACACACACATAAAACAAATATCTCCAGGCACCAGGTAAGCTGTATCGAAGATCATAACATTCTGTCACAGTGGGGCCAAGGGTAAACATTGTGTTGGGTTGTAGTCAAATGCATTTGGTAAGAAATAATGCATGAAAGCAGAGCCCAGGTGCTGTTGGAAATGTGCAAAAATACCTCTGTGCTTCTCAGAATTGGTAAACATTAAAAGGCTGAACACAGAGCAAAACCAGTCAGAACTGTCTCTTCCTGAGAATATTGGATTTGCTATGGCTATTTGTGAACACCCTCATGGCCCATAAGAAGTGATAAAATCTTTCAGATATGAGTTGATCTTTTCTAGAGGAGCAGAAGATCCTGGCTAGGGTACCTAGCTGTTGAAGATTTTTAAATTTCAATCAAATAGCAGTAAATCTTTTTGTATAACACAAAGGGCTTATTATATATTCATCCAAATGAAATTCACAACACAGAATGCTACCCTCTTCCTCAATTTATCATCTCTTCCAGGAGTGTTTGTCATCCTTGTTAATTTCCCAGAAAACCGAAATCTGAATCCTCTTGGCTGTAAGATACTGCAAGCCTTCCCAACAAGAAATGATTTTCCCTTAAAAAGAATTGGAATTTTCCATGGATCCTGGCTAAGGTCTGCTTCACAAGTCAAAGATACTAAGTCAGACAATAAGACAATTCAGAAATTTTTAAGTATAAACTAAGGCCAGCCTCACCAGAAGGTCATTGTTTACATGTATAATTTCTCATCAGCTTGCCAGATAGTGTCATAATGAGACAGCCAGGTGGGAAGGGCTCCCTGGCAAAACTCCAACTGGCCTGCACACTGGGAGGAATGTGCACTGGGGTGGAGCCGCAAAGTTCACCCCGTTTGCAGTGGGGAGGAGCCTGGCCCCTCCTCTTCCTGGGTGGAATCTGGGATTCAAACTGGGAGATGGGAAGCACAACAGCAGGGCCTCCAGCTTTGCGGAGTGTCCCTGTTTTCCTTTTTTTCCCTTTTCACCCAATAAAACTGTGACTTACTCACCCATCAAATCACCTGCGAGCCTAAATTTTCAGGGCCATGTGACAAAGACCCTCCCTTTAGCTGAACCAAGGAAAAGTCCTGCAACAAAAATTAATTCCTTTGGAATAAGACACAAAAGTTACTGGTTAAAAGGTATTTCCCCCAAAAGAAGATTATGCATATACTGGTTTATCAGGAAGGAGAGCTGGGTGTATACTTTGATAGAGCCAGAGCATTTGGGTGTTACCATACTGATGGAGAGTAGGTGTGAAGAAGGTAGTGGCTTCTGGAGTTGGAGGTGGAGTGGGGGTTGGAGCAGGTCCTGGAAGAACTTGTGAGAGGGCACAAAATCACATAATCACTAAATAGTTTTGCCAAGAGCCAGTCCTCTGGGCCTTTCCCATTTCTAAGTGTCACACAATTCCTTCTTATTTTATACTCGACCCTGAAGGACTCTGAACGATAACTAGGCATTATTACCTTGATAGGGTTTTAATCGGCCTTTTCTCATAATTGTGAAAAGCAGAGAAAGAGAGACACAGGAGGAGATGGGAACGTAAGAAAGGTATGGGGACAGGAGAGAACACTTTTTCCTCACTCCCGATGTTGCTTTCCATGATTCTATCTCCTCATTTATTTCTTCCAAGGGAGGTGAGATTTATGAGTGGTGAGTCTGGTCAAAAAACCTGTCCCTGTCGCATTGGTCACAGCTCCTTATCTCCTCTTATTCTTGAGACTAAGGCTGTTGTCAGAGTGTGTGTCTTGCTCTGCTCTTCCATGCAGAGAGTTTTTACAGAGACATATATAAATATCCATGGGGATGGGAAGGGCAATGTGATGGTCTGGTGCTACCTCTGAGTGGGTGAACAAATCTGAGATACAGTGTTATAATCGCCTGATGGGTTCTTCCTGCCCACTGCACAGACAAAACCAATTCACCAAGACTATGACATTGCAGTAAAGAAAGAATTTAATTGATGTGAGGCCAGCAATGCCACATGAAAGACAGTTATTACACAAATCAACCTTGCTGATGGCTTGGATATTAGGGTTTTTCAAGGAGAGTTTGATGGGCAGGGGACTGGGAAATGGGTGCTGCTGATTGATTGGGTATGCCATCATAGGAGTGTAGAGAATGGTCCTCATGTGCTGAGTCTGCCTCTGGGAGGGGGCCATAGGGCTGCCTCTGGGTCACTCCGAAATGCAAAAGTCTGAAAAGGCATCTCAAAAGGCCAATCTTAGGTTCTATAACGGTGATGTTATTTACAGGAGTAAATGGGGGAAGTTACAAATCTTGTAACCTCTGGAACAATGGCTGATTATTGGTTAACTATGCCTACACTTAGAAGAATTTAGGCCTCTCTCATAAGCCTAACCTTGTGGCATTTCATTAGTTTTACAAAGGTGATTTAGTTTTTGGAAGGGCTTATTATCATCCTTGCTTTAAGGTTAAACTACAAACTAAATTCCTCCCATGGTTAGCTTGGCCAACGCTCAGGAATGAGTAAATATAGCCAGCCTGTGAGGCTAGAAGCAAGATAGAGTCAGCCATGCTACATTTCTCTGACTGTCAAAATCTTTACAAAGGTGGTTTCAGTATTAGGAAGCTCACTTATCCACAGATATAAACTACATTCTTATCAGTTTAGTTGGGAATAAAGGGGCTATTTTCATCTCCCCTTTGTCTTGCTCATTTTTTTTCAATATCTGTTGGTTTAGAATTCAAGGTGTTATTTATTGGACTTCCTCTAATCCAAACACCTGATGGATTGGTCCAAGAATACAAGGAAATAGACAAGAACTAGAATTAGCAGACTCAAATAACAACAGAAATATCTCTGGGTGGGGCTAGGGGCTATAGGTCTTGGACTTCAATATATAAACAGGATATTTTGAACTTGGCAGTCTATAGAAGCTTACATTGGACCAAGAGTCTGTTTTATATAATTATACAATTGGCTTTTATTAGGCCAAAATTAGGCCTAACAAGGCCAAAATTAACTTCTTGGTGAGAAATTTCTCCAAATTGAATTGAAGTTCACAGATCATGGACTCCAGCCATTTGGGTAGACTGGCATCCCTGGTACAGCTAAAATCAAGATTCTTTCTGTCTGTCACTTTTCCTTCAGATAATATTGAGTCTTTAGCAATTCTGAGTACTGAATATGGATAATGAAATTTTACCTGGGAAAAAGTCCCCTAGGGACTATGGATTGGTCTACATATTAGCTGTCTGTTGCTACATAACAAACTATCCCAAAATACAGTGGCATAAAATGGAAAACATTTATTATCTCCCAGTTTCTATGGGTCAGGAATCTAGGTGAACCTTAGTTGGATCCTCTGTCTCAGAATCCTTCACAGGCTGCAGTCAAGATGTTGGCCATGACTATGGTTATCTCAAGGCTCAATTAGGAGAGGACCTGCTTCCAAGTTCACTCACATGGCTGCTGGGAGAATTTAGTTCCTCAAAGACTGTTAGACTGAGTCTCATCCCTTGCTGGCAAGTTCCTTGTCACATAGGCCTCTCCATCAGGCAGCTCACAACACAGCAGATGGCTTCATCAGCACAAACAACTGAGAACAGCCAGAGAAGAAGAGAATGCTACAAACATGGAAGTCACAGTCTTTGGTAAACTAATTCTAGAAGTGACACGCCACCATTTCATCATATTCTATTTGTTAAAAGCAACATAGTAGGTCCAGCCCAAACCCAGGGGAAGGGATTTCACAAGGAGTGAATTCTAGGAGGCAGAGATCAATGTGGGCCATGAAGGGACTACCACCACCTATTTGTTTGTTTTCTAATTGGGAATATGTGGGGCCAGTGATGCAATTATCTTGTAGGTTCTATTAATTCCTTGAACTGTAGGAAACATCAGAGACTTGGCATTGAACCAACACACACTCAGAGGCTCTGAAAGAACTACATCCATTCCAGTAAGAGACAGTACAGACTAAAACTGCTGAAGAACCCCAAGTCTGCACAGGCCTTGAGAACTTTTCTCATTAAAGTTGAGCATAGTAAGAAGCTAGGGAGGATACATTTTGGTCCTTAATTTTTGGAACTTTTACTCCCAAGAGAAAGAAAACTTTATTTTGAACTTTAAAATCTTTGGAGGTAAAAACTTTGGACTTTCATTTCTCTAGACTTTAACTAAAAAGCATGAGGGAGTTTGAATTTAAATGTCCTCCTGCAAATGTGATAAAAGAAGATTATATTCAAATGAGTAGCATCTTATTGATGCACATTATTTTCATAGTGTCTTAATGTTATCCTTTGGTCTCACTGCACATCCTCTGATAGTATACTTATGACAATTCAGCTGGTCATTATTTGAGAAAGGAAATAGAGTAGGTGATAAATTTGCATCCTTACACAAGGCACAGTCTTGATATTAATTTAATTAATATAGTCTTCAGGCACATTTCAGAGCCTTCTGCAAATATCACCATCTACATTGCCCATCAGCAATCCCAGTGGTTTCTACTGGGAGGTTAGCCTCACGAAGGTGGGAGTCAGACTGTCCTCATAAACTGCTAATCTTCCCCCTTCATGGAGATGGCTCAGTGGTTAAACTCAGTGGGTTAAGAGAAAAATAAACTGGGAAATTCTAGAGTAGATTATTCTTCCCAACTCTACATGTTTCTTTCCATGTGGGGGCTGTGATATTCTTATGAAGAGGAGGGGGATTGGGATGATTTACCTGGTTGATGAGCTTAGAACAAGGAACTGGGGCATGCATAGCTCTGACCATACTGCTTCTTCACGGGATATGGCTGACTACAGAGGAGTTGTGTTCTGTTCTGATTTCTGCCAAACAGTGAGAGGGGCCTGGCCCTGTAAGAGGGTTCTGTGGTGGTACAGCATAGTTTGTGACAGAGGAGGTAAGCCTCTCTAACACAGGGCCACTATATTGGGAAGCCCGTTTGCTCATACATATAAACTGTGTCCCCACTCTAACCTTTATCCAATATTAAAGGTGATATTTTACTTTATTGAGACAGGGTCTTGCTCTGTTGCCCAGTCTGGAGTGCAGTGGCATAATCATGGCTCACTACAGCCTCAACCTCCCAGGTTCAAACAATCCTCCCGCCTCAACCTCTCAAGTATCTGGAACTTACAGGTACACACCACAATGCCCAGCTATTTTTTGATTTTTAAAAAATTTTGTAGAGACAGAGTCTCGCTATATTGCTCAGGCTAGTCTCGAACTCCTGGGCTCAAGTGATCTTCTCACCTTGGCCTCCCAAAGTGCTGGGATTACAGGATGAGCCACCACACCTGGCCTAACGGTGATAAGACTCCACCTTCAGATTCCTTTGAATTTCTCAATTGTTCAGAACTCAAGCAAGTAAAAGTGCTGTGCTATTGGTTGCCTTCCCACTTGTCACAAACAGAAGTGGTCTGGATATGAAAAAAATTTTGGTTCTCAAGATGACAGGTGGGTACAGAATTCCAATGAGGAAGAAGTGGAGGGACCTGCACAGACCAAAGAAAACATGAAAATCTTGAGGGCTTGTTACCCGAAACAAGGAGTAAGACTCCCAAAAGGGAGATGAATCTTAACCAATGGGCTGAGGGTCAGATTTTAGACCCCCAAATAATAAGACTCTTCTCAGAATTTTACTTTCAAACTAAAAAAAAAAAAATGCTTTAAACCCTACAAACACCCACTTTAAAAAATTCTCCTGATTCAACAAGGTCTGAAGGCTGAAGCAGGATTGAGTGACTGTGATAAATAGCAATATGATCAGTGGCTTATTTGTTCTTACAAATTCCTACTGCTTGTGGGGATCTACCTGATAGTGGGGGATATGAATTTGTAAATAATGTATTTCTCTGGGTTTGAAAGAATTTCTGTCATTTTCTTCATTCTTCTTGACATTTCCCCAATAATTTATGAGCTTCCCTTGATAGGTGGAAGGATCAATAGCTGAGTGTGTCTTCGGGAACTAAGTGACAAAACAACACTAACATACTCCAGTGAAAAGCACCACATTTCTCTAGCCATGGTCAATATTTGAAGGTGGCAAAACACAGAGGTGAGTCCTTCTTTGGGCATATCTATGTCCCTTCAAATATTCTGAAGCATGGATCCCCATCTAAATGCCAAGGGTACGGTAGTTTTTCCAAAGAGCTAAGAAACAGTGCTAGACGTATAAAGGAGTCCTGTTAGAGGCTGCCATGGAAGTAAAGAATGAACAGGTAGGCTCCATCTCCTCCCCACCTGTACTTGAAGGATTTCGGTTTTAATCTGTTTTATACATCAGAATTTTCTGAAATACATCATTTGAATAACAGGTCCAAGGATTTAAAAAGCTTGCAAATCAAACAACAAAAAGACAAGCAGCCCAGGCAAAAAAATGGGCAAAGGAGTTGAATAGAAATTTCTCCAAAAAAGATATAGAAATGGTCAATAAGCACATAAAAAGATGTTCAACTTATTAATCATTAGGGAAATGCAAATCAAAACCAGAATGAGATACTGCTACACACCCATTAGCATGGCTATTATTTAAAACAACACACACAAAAACCTAAACCTTATACATTACTGGAGAGAATGTAAAACAGTACAGCTGCTATGTAAAATGGTATGCTAGCTCCTTGAAAAATTGAAAAATAGAATTATCATGTGATCTAACAATTCCACTTCCAGGTACATACATGAAAGAATTGAAAATAGGGACTTGAACAGATATTTGTACACCCATGCCCATAGCAACATTGTTCACAATAGCCAATGATGAATGGATAAACAAAATGTGGTATATACACACAATGAAATGTTATTCAGCCCTAAAATGGAAGGAAATTCTGACACATGCTGCTACATGGATGAACCTTCAGGATATTAAGCTAAGTGAAATAAGCCAGTCACAAAAAGACAAACACTGTATGATTCTACTTATATGAGGTACTTAGAGTAGCCAAATTCATACAGACAGAAAGAAGAATGGGGGATTGGAGGGTCTATGGGGAGGGAGTAATGGGGCATTATTGTTTAATGTGTACAGAGTTTTAGTTGGGAAGACGAAAAATTTCTGGGGATGGATGGATTGTAGTGATGGTTGCACAACAGTGTGAATGTACTTAATGCCACCAAACAGTACAGTTAAAAATAGTTCAAATGGTAAATTTTATCACAATTTTTAAAACTTTGAAAACATGTTCTGTGAGACCTTACAGCTTTGTTGATAATGAGAAGAAATCTTTTGCAATTTATGAGGCAGGACACCCTTCATGAAATGGTTCCAATATGCCTTTTAGGATCAAAAATTTATGATTTAAAATTTTTTTTAATTAATTAATCAATTTTGAGATGGAGTTTTGCTCTTGTTGCCCAGGCTGGAGTGCAATGGCGTGATCTCGGCTCACCGCAACCTCTGCCTCCCAGGTTCAAGCGATTCTCCTGCCTCAGCCTCCCAAGTAGCTGGGATTACAGGCAAGTGCCACCACCCCTGGCTAATTTTGTATTTTTAGTAGAGACAGGGTTTCTCCACGTTGATCAGGCTGGTCTCGAACTCCCAACCTCAAGTGATCCTCCGGCCTTGACCTCCCAAAGTGCTGGGATTACAGGTGTGAGCCACTGTGCCCAGCCAATTTTTTTATTTTCTAAGTGTAAACACTTTGCTTGGCATGAACCACACAGAAACACACTGGGACCTCAGCACACATTCAAGGATCAAATTCATCCTAGGGGAGAGCTCAGAAAATAGGACACAAAATATGTTTGAGTATGGAGAAAGGCCTACAGCTTTGAGGGCTGGATGGTACCTAGCTTCACCCATTGGGGTCAAAATTGTTGACCTGTGTTGCCAGTAGCTTCCATGATGGTTTACTACAAGTACACATTGATATGTGGGGCCAGACAGAGGCAAGAGAGAAGAGTAAAAGGCAAGTGAAAGATCTAGTTTCCCATATGTGTGTCAGGTTTCCATAAATGAGATGGTTTATGAAAGAGTCCCTAGACCTCAGGACCCATCACTTAGCTTGAAGTCCTCTCAGTCCAGAGCTGCACCAGTCTTTCAAATCAGCCAGTCCCATCTTCCCTGGGCAAGGCCTGTGAACAGAAAATTAATTACATTCATGTCCCCAACAGATACATTGAAGGACTTCCACTCCACATTGTGAGAAAATGACATATTTTGATAACCCAATAAGTATAGCATGAGCCAATAAGTCACAGCAGAAGGAGCAATTTAGGAGATTGTTTTTAAACATGTGACTGAATTATTGAGAAATGGATAATAAATTTATTTGCTAATGTAGACAGAAAGGGAAAAATCCACATTGCTTTTTCAGCCCATTACTGAACTAACTTCTGAGTTTCAAGACATCTTTTTCTTTTCTAAAAGGTGACCAGGAACATAGATTTCTGGGCCAGTCTAACAGGAGCCCAAAGCACCCTTGGCCTAGGCCCCAGATGGCCTCTCCTAAACACTTCACAGCCCTCATATACGGAAGCCCCATTGCAGCAATGATTAGCCAACAAGCAGAATGATAAGGCAAAATGAGGACATTTCCTCAAGACTTTTGGTTTTGGGGGCCTGCAAATGTGAGATACAGGCTTCAGAAGCAGCCTGAGGGCTCTGGGGCTTAAAGAAAAAGTTGGACAGTTAGCTCACCACTGACAAGCCCTACTCCCCTCTCCATCCTCATTTAACACTGGGCCTAGCTGGCTACTGCCTGCCTAAGGCGACAGGCAGTTAAGTTGTTTCTGAATGGAACTTGTTGTTTCCAGGAATCTGGTAGTAAATCCTTCTTTGAAGGAAAAAATACCCTATAATTCTGCACATCCGCACTGTGTCAGTTTTCTATTTTCTCTCTGTGTATTTTTAACTATATAAGTACTATATGGATATACTCCTGTAATAACACAATTGGTACCTATAACGTAAAAAGACTTTCTTGACCACTGCCTTCTCATTCTATTCCCCTCCCCAGAGACAACCACTAAGATCAGTTTGCTCTATATCCCCCAATGCCTTTTCCTATTCTTGTTTCTTATTCTTGCTTCCATTCTTGTGTATGTATATATCTAAATTTATGAAGTTGTTGGGTGGGATTTTTCTTTTATAGAAATAGTGTCAAGCTACATATAGCATATTTTCCACTTGCATTTTCTTCTTAACAATGTGTCTTAGAGATTTTTCATGTCAGTAGATACAGAGCTATTTTATTCTTTTTAAACAGATATGTGATATTCCCTAATAGGGCTGAACCCTTCTTATTCAGTTACCTTTGGTTGGGGAAGAGGTGGTGGATTAGGTCAATTTGAGGCAGCAAAGAGCATTCTTGTCATACCTTGTTGTGCATACAGGTTGAGTATCCCTTAGCTGAAATGCTTGGGACTAGAAGTGTTTTAGATTTCGGATTTTTTGTCAGTTTTTTGGAATATTTGCATTATTACCAGTTCAGCATCCCTAACCTGGAATCTGAAACGCTCAATTAGCATTTCCTTTGAGCACCACGTTGGCACTCAAAAAGTTTCTGATTGTGGAGCATTTTGATTTCAAATTTTTGGACTAGGGATGCTCAACTTGTATTTTCAAACATTTCCCTAGGCTATATATGTAGAAGTAGAATCGATATAATGAAGAGAAAGCACATATGTTAGATTTTAATAGATATAGCCAAAGTACAT
The DNA here is from genome assembly GCF_000001405.40 of Homo sapiens. Lineage (NCBI taxonomy): Eukaryota > Metazoa > Chordata > Mammalia > Primates > Hominidae > Homo > Homo sapiens. The sequence continues at coordinate 129,202,354 of NC_000023.11, forward strand.
TCCAAAAAGACTGTGCCAATTTATACTTCCCAACAGTAAACTAGAGTTTCCATTTCTCTTCACTCTTATTAACACTGGATATTCACCATCTTTTTCCATTTTGCCAATCTGATGGGTAAAATAATCTCACCTTTTCAATTTGCTGGGTTTTGTTTGTTTGTTTGTTTTTGTTTGTTTCTTTGTTTTTTTGAGACAGAGTCTTGCACTATCACCCAGTCTGGAGTGCAGTGGCGCGATCTTGGCTGACTGCAACCTCCGTCTCCCAGGTTCAAGCGATTCTCATGCCTCAGCCACCCGAGTAGCTGAGATTACAGGTGTGCGCCACCATGCCTGGCTAATTTTTTTGCACTTTTAGTAGAGATGGGGTTTCACCATGTTGGCCAGGCTGGTCTCACACTCCTGACCTTAAGTGATCCACCCGCCTTGGCCTTCCAAATTGCTGGAATTACAGGCGTGAGACACCATGCCCAGCCTCAATTTGCAATTCCATGATTACTACTGAAGTATATTTTCAAAAGCCTAGTGAGCTTTGAAGTGTCTAGTCTTAACTTGTCCACTTGCCCGTATACACAATAACATCTTTTCCTTTGTCAGGTTAACCACTCAGGGGTTCAGTTTTGGTTTATTATCCTAAAACATATTTTATCCAATCCACCGTTGATGGGCACTGGGATTGATTCCATGTCTTTGCTATTGTGAACAGTGCTGTGATGAACATGAGAGTTCATGTATCTTTTTGGTAGAACAATTTGTTTTCTTTTGGATACATACCTAATAATGGGATTGCTGAGTTGAATGATAGCTCTGTCTAAGTACTTTGAGAAACTGCAAAACTACTTTCCACAGTGGCTGGACAAATTTACACGCTTACCAACAGTGTGTAAGCATTCCCTTTTCTCCACAGCTTCGCCAACATCTGTTGTTTTTTGACTTTTTAATAAACACTATTCTGACTGGTGTGAGATGGTATCTCATTGTGGTTTTGATTTACATTTCTACGATGATGAGTGGTGATAAGCATTTTTACATGTAGTTATTGGCTGCTTGTATGTCTTGTTTTGAGAAGCATCTCTTCACATCCTTTCCCCATTTTTCAATGGGGTCATTTGGTTTTTGCTTGTTGATTTGTTTAAGTTCCATATAGATCCTGGATATTAGACCTTTGTTGGATGCATAGTTTGTGAATATATTCTCCAATTATGTAGGTTGTCTGTTTACCCCATTGATAGCTTCTTTTGCTGTACATAAGCTCTTTACTTAAACTTGGTCCCACTTGTCAACTTTTGTTTTTGTGGCAATTGCTTTTGAGGACTTAGTCATAAATTCTTTCCCATGGTCCATGTCCAGAATGGTGTTTCTGAGATTTTCTTCTAGAATTTTTAATAGTTTCAAATCTTACATTTAAATCTTTAGCCCATCTCCAGTTAATTTTTGTAGATGGTGAAAAGTGGAGGTCCAATTTCATTCTTCTGCATATGGATAGCCAGCTATATATACCAACACCATTTATTGAACAGAAAGTTCTTTCCCCATTGCTCAATAATATGCTTTTAAACAGACTTTGGGTTTCCTACGGGTGGTTAACATGCTTTACACTACTTTCTAATTTTTCCCTACTAATTTCCCATTTTGGGCACAGTTGCCTTGACTAGAACTGAGGGACTTTGGGATACACTGTTCTGATTTTCCCTCTTTCACCAGAATTTTGAACTTCATTTTTCTATGGCTGGCACACCAGTGTGACTTATCCACAACCACTCTCTGTATCCTTTCCTGTTTATGTCTCAAAGCCAAAGTCAGTTTATTTCCTTTTCCTGTGGTTTCTAAGACTACTTGTTTAAAGAAGCAATCATTCATAGCCTCCAGAAAATGCACCACTTCTCAGGGATATTATTCAAAATATTTAAGAACCATATGGCCAAGACACAGACCAGTATGACTGGATGTCTGAATAGGGCAAACACTGGTCTTAGCATCATGCTAACATCAACTGGCTAAACACCACTCTTTCCTGCAATTGCTTCTCCATGACTTTGTCTGCCAAGCACTGTCTCTGCTATCAAATCAGCTTTGTCCCCAAAACTTTATTCATTAATTCAACACACATTTATCAAGAGGCTCCACAATTCCTTATATTAAGACATTGTGTTAGAGCAGGCCTTCTTGACCTCAGCACCACTGAAATTTGGAGCAGGATAATTCCTGCCCCCTCGTTGGAGGGAGGGACATTCCTTTGCATTGCAGGATTTGTAGCAGCAACCCTGGCCTCTATCAGCATCATTATAATTAGTCATGATGAGCATTTTTTTAAGTTTTAATTTTTTATTGTTTTTTAATCCAATTTTTTTCAAATTTTTTTTATTTCCATAGGTTTTGGGGGAACAGGTGGTGTTTGGTTACATGAGTAAGTTCGTTAGCAGTGATTTGTGAGATTTTGGTGCACCCATCACCCGAGTGGTATACACTGCACCCTGTTTGTAGTCTTTTATCCCTCACCCACCTCCCACCCTTTCCCCCTGAGTCCCCAAAGTCCATTATGTCATTCTTATGCCTTTGCATCCTCATAGCTTAGTTCCCCCTTATGAGTGAGAACATAGAGTGTTGTTTGGTCTTCTATTCCTGAGTTACTTCACTTAGAATAATAGTCTCCAATCTCATCCAGGTCACTGCAGATGCCATAAATTCATTCCTTTTTATGGCTGAGTACTATTCCATCAAATATATATGTTTCTTTATCCACTCGTTGACTGATGGGCATTTGGGTTGGTTCCATGATTTTGCAATTGCGAATTGTGCTGCTATATACATGCGTGTGCAAGTATCTTTTTCATAAAATGACTTCTTTTCCTCTGGGTAGATACCCAGTAGTGGGATTGTTGAATCAAATGGTAGTTCTACTCTTAATTCTTTAAGGAATCTCCACGCTGTTTTCCACAGTGGCTGTACTAGTTTACATTCTCACCAGCAGCGTAGAAGTGTTCTCTGTTCACTGCATCCACGCCAAAATCTACTACTTTTTTATTTTTTTGATTACGGCCATTCTTGCAGGAGTAAGTTGGTATTGCATTGTGGTTTTGATTTGCATTTCCCTGATCATTAGTGATGTTGAGGAATTTTTTTTCATATGTTTGTTGACCATTGTATATCTTCTTTTGAAAATTGTCTATTCATGTCCTTAGCCCACTTTTTGATGGGATTGTTTTTTTTCTAGCTGATTTGTTTGAATTCATTGTAGATCCTAGATATTAGTCCTTTGTCAGATGTATAGATTATGAAGATTTTCTCCCACTCTGTGGGTTGTCTGTTTACTCTACTGACTGTTCCTTTTGCTGTGCAAAAGCTCTTAGATTATTTAAGTCCCAGCTACTTATCTTTGTTTTTAATGCATTTGCTTTTAGGTTCTTGGTCATGAAATCCTTGCCTAAGCCAATGTCTAAAAGGGTCTTTCCAATGTTATCTTCTAGAAGTTTTATAGTTATAGTTTCAGGTCTTAGATTTAAGTCCTTAATCCATCTTGAGTTGATTTTTGTATAAGGTTAGAGATGAGGATCCAGGTTCATTCTCCTAGAGGTGGCTAGCCAATTATCCCAGCACCACTTGTTAAAAAGAGCGTCATTTCCCCACTTTATGTTTTTGTTTGCTCTGTTGGCTGTAAGTAGTTGGGTTTATTTCTAGGTTCTCCATTCTGGTCCATTGGTCTATATGCCTATTTTTATACAGTATCATGTCATGCTGTTTTGGTGGCTATGTCCACATAGTATGGTTTGAAATCAGGTAACATGATGCCTCCATATTTGTTCTTTTTGCTTAGTCTTGCTTTGGCTATGTAGGCTCTTTTTTTGTTCCATATGAATTTTAGAATTGTTTTTTCTAATTCTGTGAAGAATGATGGTGGTATTTTGATGGGAATTACATTGAATTTGTAGATTGCTTTTGGCAGTATGGTCATTTTCACAATATTGTTTCTACCCATCCGTGAGCATGGGATGTGTTTCCATTTATTTGTGTCATCTATGATTTCTTTCAACAGTGTTTTGTAGTTGTCCTTGTAGAGGTCTTTCACCTCTTTGGTTAGGTATATGCCTAAGGTTTGTTTTTTGTTTTGTTTTGTTTTGTTTTGTTTTTATTGCAGCTATTGGCAAGGGGGTTGAGTTCTTGATTTGATTCTCAGCTTAGTCGCTGTTGGTGTACATGAGAGCTACTGATTTGTGTACATTAATTTTGTATCCAGAAACATTGTTGAATTCTTTTATCAGTTATAGGAGCTTTCTGGAGGAATCTTTAGGGTTTTCTAGGTATACAATCATGTCATCAGCAAACAGCAACAGTTTGACTTCCTCTTTACCGATTTGGATGCCCTTTATTTCTTTCTCTTGTCTGATTGCTCTGACTAGGACTTTCAGTACTATGTTGAAGAGGAGTGGTGAGAGTGGGCATCCTTGTCTTGTTCCAGTTCTCAGAGGGAATGCCTTCAACTTTTCCCCACTCAGTGAGTTAGTCATATATGGCTTTTATTACACTGAGATAGGCCCCTTGTATGCCAATTTTGCTGAGAGTTTTAATCATAAAGGGATGCTGGATTTTGTTGAATACTTTTTCTGCATCTATTGAAATGATCATGTGATTTTTGTTTTTAATTCTGTTTATGTGGTTTATCTCATTTATTGACTTGTGTATGTTAAACCATCCCTGCATCCCTGGTATGAAACCCAATTGATCATGGTGGATTACCTTTTTAATATGTTGTTGGATTTGGTTAGCTAATATTTGTTAAGGATTTTAACATCTATGTTTGTCAAGGATATTGGTCTGTAGTTTTCTTTTTTATTGTGTGCTTTCCTGGTTTGGATATTAGGGTGATACTGGCTTCATAGAATGATTTAGAGAGGGTTCCCTTTTCCATTACCTTGTTGAATAGTGTCAATACGATTTGTACCTGTTGTTTGGATGTCTGCTAGAATTCTGTGGTGAATCTGCCTGGGTCCTGAACTTTTTTTTGTTGGTAGGTTTTTAATTACCATTTCAATCTTGCTGCTTGTTATTGGCCTGTTCAGGGTATCTAATTCTTCCTGATTTAAGCTAGGAGGGTTGTATCTTTCCAGGAATTTATCCAGCTCTTCTAGGTTTTCTAGTTTATGCACATAGGTGTTTCATGGTAGTCTTGAATGATCTTTTGCGTTTCTGTGGTGTCAGTTGTAATATCTCCTGTTTCATTTCTTATTGAGCTTATTTGGATTTTCTCTCTTCTTTTCTTGGTTAATCTTGCCAGTGGTCTATCAATTTTATTTATCTTTTCAAAGAACCAGCTTTTTGTTTCATCTATCTTTTGTATTTTTTTTTTGTTTCAATTTCATTTAGTTCTGCTCTGATCTTGGTTATTTCCTTTCTTCTGCTGGGTTTGGGCGTGGTGTGTTCTTGTTTCTCTAGTTCCTTGAGGTGTGACCTTAGATTGTATGTTTGTGCTCTTTCAGACTTTATGATGTAGGTGTTTAGGGCTATGAACTTTTTTCTTAGTACCACCTTTGCTGTATTCCAGAGGTTTTGATAGGTTGTGTCACAATTGTCATATAGTTCAAAGAATTTTTAAATTTCTATCATGATTTCATTTTTGACCGTATGATCATTCAGGAGCAGGTTATTTAATTTCCATGTATTTGCATGGTTTTAAAGGTTTCTTTTGGAGTTGATTTCCAGTTTTATTCCACTGTGGTCTGAGAGAGGGCTTGATATAATTTGTTTTTAATTTGTTGAGGCTCGTTTTTTGGCCTATCATATATCTATCTTGGAGAAAGTTCCATGTGCTATTGAATAGAACATATATATTCTGTGGTTGTTTGATGGAATGTTCTGAATATATCTGTTCAGTCCATTTGTTCCAGGGTATAGTTTAAATCCATTGTTTCTTTGTTCACTTTTTGACTTGATGACCTGTCTAGTACTATCAGTGGAGTATTGAAGTCCCCCACTGTTATTGTGTTGCTGTCCATCTCATTTCTTAGGTCTATTAGTAATTGTTTTATACATTTGAGAGCTCCAGTGTTAAATGCATATATGTTTAGAATTGTGATATTTTCTTGTTAGACAAGACCTTTTATCATTATATGATGTCCCTCTTTGTTTTTTTTAACTGCTGTTGCATTAAATTTTGTTTTGTGTGATATAAGAATAGCGACTCCTGCTCGCTTTTGATGTCCATTTGCATGAAATGTCTTTTCCCACCCCTTCACCTTAAGTTTATGTGAGTCCTTACGTGTTAGGTGAGTCTCTTGAAGGCAGCAGATATTTGGTTGGTGAATTCTTATCCATTCTGCAATTCTGTATCTTTTAAGTGGAGCATTTAGGCCATTTACCTTCAACATTAGTATTGAGATGTGAGGTACCATTGCATTCATCATGGTATTTGTTGCCTGTGTACCTTGTTTTTTGTTGTTGTTGTTTTTTGTTTTTGCTTTTTAACTTGTATTTTTGTTTTATATACCCTGTGTGATTTATGCTTTAAAGAGGTTCTGTTTTGATGTATTTCCAGGATTTATTTCAAGATTTGGAGCTCCTTTTAGCAGTTCTTGTAGTGGTGGCTTGGTACTGGCGAATTTTCTCCACATTTGTTTGTCTGAAAAAGACTATCTTTCCTTCATATATTACACTTAGTTTTGTTGATACAAAATTCTTGGCTGATAATTGTTTTGAGGAGGCTGAAGATACGGCCCCAATCCCTTCTAGCTGGTAAGGTTTCTGCTGAGAAACCTGCTGTTAATCTGATAGGTTTTCCTTTATAGGTTACCTGGTGCTTTTGTCTCACAGCTCTTAAGATTCTTTCCTTCATCTTAACTTTAGATAACCTGACGACAATGTGCCTAGGCAATGATCTTTTTGCAATGAATTTCCGAAGTGTTCTTTGTGCTTCTCATATTTGGATATCTAGGTCTCTAGTAAGGCCAGGGAAGTTTTTCTCGATTATTCCCAGAAATATGTTTTCCAAACTTTTAGATTTCTCTTCTCCTCAGGAATGCTGATTATTCTTAGGTTTGGTTGTTTAACATAATTCCAGACCTCTTGGCAGGTTTGTTGATATTTTCTTATTCTTTTTTCTTTGTCTTTATTGGATTGGATTAGCTCAAAGACCTTGACTTTGAGCTCTGAATCCCTTTCTTCTACTTGTTTGATTCTATTGCTGACACTTTCCTGAGCATTTTGCATTTCTATAAGTGTGTCCATTGTTTTCTGAAGTTTTTATTGTTTTTTATTTATGCTATCTATTTCCTTGAATATTTCTCCTTTCAATTCTTGTATCCTTTTTTTTTTTTTTTAATTTCCTTACATTTGGCTTCACCTTTCTCTGGTGCCTCCCAGGTTAGCTTAATAACTCACTTCCTGAATTCTTTTTCAGGTAAGTCAGGGATTCCTTCTTGGTTTGGATCCGTTGCTGGTAAGCTAGTGTGATTTTGGGGGGTTGTTAAATAACCTTGTTTTGTCATATTACCAGAGTTGGTTTTCTGGTTCCTTCTCATTTGGGTAGGCTCTGTCAGAGGGAAAGTCTAGCGCTGAAGGCTGTTGTTCAGATTCTTATGTCCCATGGGGTGTTCTCTTGACATAGTACTCTCCCCTTTTTCCTATGCACGTGGCTTCTTGAGAGCCAAGCTGTAGTGGTTGTTATCTTTCTTCTGGATCTACCCACCCAGCAAGTCTACCAGGCTCTGAGCTGGTACTTAAGGTTGTCTACACAGAGTCCTGTGATGTGCACCATCTGTGGTTCTCTAAGCCATGGATACCAGCACCTGTTCTGGTAGAGGTGTCAGGGGGGTGAAATGGATTCTGTGATGGTTCTTAGCTTTGATGGTTTAATGCACTATTTTTGTGCTAGTTGGCCTCCTGCTGGGAAGTGGGACTTTCCAGAGAGCATCAGGTGTGGTAGTATGGGGAGGAACAGGTGGTGAGTGTGGCCCTAGAACTCCCAAGAATATATGTCCTTTGTCTTTAGTTACCAGGGTGGGTAGGAAAGGACTCTTGGGTCAGGGTAGAGCTAGGCATGTCTGAGCTCAGATTTTCCTTGGGCAGGTCTTATTGCAGCTGCTGTGGAAGATGGGGGTGAGATTCCCAGGTCAATGGAGTTATATTCCTAGGAGGATTATGGCTGTCTCTGCTGTGTCATGCAGGCTGTCAGGGAAGTGGGGGAAAGTCAGCAGTCAAAGGCATCACCCAGCTCCCACACAATCCAAAGGGCTGGTCTCACTCCCACTGTGACCCCGCAACAGCACCGAGTCTGTTTCCAGGCAGTGGGCGAGCAGGGCTGATAACTTGCCCCAGCATATCTGCCTCCCAGCTGTGAAAGCAAGTATGGCTTTCCTTCTTGCCCCACCTGTGGACTCTGCTCACTGGATTCATGCCCTTTCCCAAGTTCTGACCAGGAGATTTCTTGATCAGTTCAAATCATTACAAAATTCAGCTGGAGATACCCTTCTCCCTGTGGTCTTTTCCCAGTGCCTCTGGCCACCCTCCTGAAGGACCCCTGTGAGGCCGGGCAGAGATGGCTTGTTAGGGAACCCAGTGAGCTCACAGGGCTTTTTCCGCTGCTTCCTTTACCCCTGTATTTCACTCATTTCTCTAAGTTGACTCAGCTCCAGGTAAGATCAGAATCTTCGGTATTCTAGACCTTCAGTTTCCCCAGTGGGGGGTGTGTGTTCAGGGGCAGATGGTCTTTTTCCCACTTCCACAATTTGGGCACTCACAGTATTTGGGGTGTCTCTTGGGTCCTGCAGGAACAATCTGCTTTCTTCAGAGGGTCTGTGGGTCCTTTCAGGTTTCCTGATTTATTCCTGTAGTCATTCTGGAGCAAAAATTCATAATGCAAGCCTCCATATGCTGCTCTGTCTGTCAGAATCAGAGCTGCAATCTAGTTCTGTCTCCTGTCTGCCATAATCCTGAGCCTATTACTCGGATGAGCATTTTTTCACATGGTTCCTGGCTGCTTGTATGTCTTCTTTTGAGAAGTGCCTATTCGTGTCCTTCATGTCCTTCATGCATGTACATTTCCCCACTGAAGGAATTTAATAGCTCAGTATTATTTTATTTTCATCTCTATCTGATTCTAAATAGATACAGGCTCTTCATACTTTAGGCATTGATTAATATTTTGTGTATAAAGCAACTAGCCCAGGTCTAAGTGCTCTTCAAGGATTACGTCATTCATTTATCATAACAAGCCTCTGAGGTAGGGGCTGTTATAATCTCAGCTTTAAAGATGAGAGGACTGAGGTATGGAGAGGTTAATATTCATACCAATAGCATCCCTCCAAGTCATGACATCATGATGACAACCAAAATGACTTCAGACATTGCCAAGTATCCCCCACAGGGGATGAGGTGGTGAGGGGGAAAGACAAAAATTCCTCCTGGTTGAGAGCCACCATATTAGATGCTAAGGCAATACAAGAGAAAAAGACAAGATCTCTGCCCTTGGTGAGATTACAGTCTCACTTAACATTTCATTTAATATACTGGTCAGGTAGCCTAATGTGTTTTTGTTGTTAGAGTTGTATAACTTAAGTATTCAATCTTCACCCAATGTCATATAGAAGCATCTTTACCTTAATAATCTTGGTCCTAAGAGTAAGAAATGCTGGTAATGAAAAAATGGGTCAATGTCTATAAGCTTCATAAATAGAAAAGAAATCACAATTGCAGCTTTTTAATGCAATGGCCGCGTGTTAAGGAAATGTGGATAAATGCATGTACATTTCCCTACTGACAGAATTTAATAGCTCAGAATCATTTTATTTTCATCTCTATCTGATTCTAAATAGATACAAGCTCCTCATACTTTAGGTATTGATTAATATTTTGTGTATAAAGCAACTAGCCCAGTTCTAAGTGCTTTTCAAGAATTATTCATTCTTTATAACAAGGCTGCGAGGTAGGGGCTGTTACAATCTCAGTTTTAAAGATGAGGAAACTGAGATGTGGAGAGGTTAAGTAAGTGGCCCAAGATCACACACCATTTAGTGGTGGACCCAGAGCCCAAATCCTCAATGGCTACACAGCACTGCTTCAATGAAGAGAAAGAATTATGAGGAAGAGGAAGGGAAATAAGTGATCAAGCTTGTCTCCTGCCTCTCCCAATTCAGTCAAATGTGGTCCCAGTGGCATGAGAAAGTTGTTCCCTGTTGGAAATGCCCCAAACCACTTTGGAACTTGATTCTGACCCCTCAGCATCAGGTGCCACAGACCCAAGGTCAAGTGCCACTGGTGGGTCATAAAGTTGTGTTCCCAGAGGGGATATGAAGTCAGTAAGAACTAATAGCCTTGTTCAAGGTCAGAGATGCAAGAGAATAAAGTCCAAATTCTTTAACAGTATTGCACTATCCATTCACGGCCCTATGTGCCAAAGAAACAAAACCACTTGCTGAGGAAGAGGATGCTCAGGTTCAGAAGAGCAGGAAACCCAGAAGCCAGAATAATAAACTATTAGTGAGAAAATCCACCCAAGGTTAGTCTTTAGATAGAAGCTCTGAATGGTCCTCCACCAAAGAGAGGCATCTCCACTGAATAGTGAATACTTGTAGGTTTCTCTTCCTTATTCTTTTTGATTCTGCAATACAGAATCTTTGATGACTTTATTTTCATTGCTTGCCAAATCCACAAAAGTTCACTATGCTAGGTAAGAAAAAAAAATAGTCAGTTTTCCTATAACATGACATATTCTTTAAAAATTACTCTAATTTGGAAAATTATACATTAAAAAGTGCATGGCTTATGAGGAAAATGGGGTTGGGGGAATAACAGTAAAAACATCAGTGACACATTTAAAACCAGAGAGTAATGGCAGGACAGTTTTACATGTGTTAATGGTTAAGAAATACATAAACTATACAATAAGTATGGCACTGTGCCTTGGAAAGACCTAAAGTTTGTTTGTGGACATGGGCGTTGCAGTTTGTGGGTTATTGTGAAGTGATGGAAAGAGGGTTGTCTGAAATCAGATGGAAAGTTATAACACTAAATGTGGATGGGTGTGGTTGATAGATGTTTGAGGCATGTGTTTTATGTATTACCACACAGCTCGGTTGAACTAGGTGTAATTTTCTGCATTCACCTGGTGTTTCTTGCTGATGGAATCATGCTCAAGCAAACACGAAATTCATGTCATGCTCAAATTGTTCCCTGATACATCAATCACATTGGAACAAATTCACATTTTCAAAACAGACATTATAGCAGAACTGAGTTACAGTGCCTTAGCTAGTAAGAAGATGGAAGACGGTGGCAGAATGGAGGATTATCAAGGACAATCAGCCTCTAATGAAATCTCCAGGCCACCTTCCCATGCTACTGTGAAGGCATACACCTACAACTAATAAAAATTGTTTTTTTTATATTTTCCTTTTTGTTCCAAGATTCTAAAACAAAATACTGTGGGGGCTGTAGGTCATTTTCATCCCCTACTGTGAGAGTACTGTCCAGGACCTGCTGCATTCCCCAGACAGGACAAATAAAGGAGGAGGCTCCGATGGCCATTTGACACTTAGAGAAACTTCCCATCAACCAGTGCTTAAAGAGTAGCCCAACAGAACTGGATAGACAGAAACAGCCTCAAATGTCCATTTTTAATGCTTTCCCTTGATTTTGTACTTTTGCATACCCGATTCCCTCCACCTAGGATAATCTCTCCCCACTTGTGGTGGTTTTAAAAATACAACCACAAATTCTTGGGTATCCCTCCACATCAAGAGGTGGAGTCTAATTCCCTTCCCCTTGGCCTGGACTTAGCAACTCACTGAGCTATTACGTCCAAGATTAGGTTATGAAAAAGACTGTGGCTTCCAGTTTGGTTTTGTCTCTCTCTCACTTGGATCACCTGCTCTGAGGGAAGCCAGCTGCCATGCTGCAAGGTGCCCTAGGGAGAGGCCCACATGGCAAGGAGCTGAGGTCTGCAGACAACCATGAGTGAGCTTGGAAGAAGAGTCTCCAGTCCCAGCTGGGCCTTGAGATGACTACACTCCTTCTGACAGATTTGACTGCAATCTCATGAGAGACCCTGAGCCAGATCCACTCTGTTAAGCCACTTTTTGATTCTTGACTCTCAGATACTGCCTGCATGAGATAATAAACATTTGTTGTTTTATCCTGACACATTTTGAGGTCGTATGTTATGCAGCAATAGGTCACCTATACAACTCTTCCCCACTAGATTCCCTTCTATTTGTTCTTAAACAAGCCCCTGAAGTGTAACCTAATCCATGAAATCATCCTGACCATGTTCTGCTATTGAGCCCATGTAGTGATTTTTGTTCTTTACTTTCAGTTATTGTATGTTTTCAGTTCTTAAACTTCCATTTGGTTTTTGTTTATATTTTTTTACTTCTTTGCTGAGGCTTTCCAGTTTTCCCTGCCTTTCCAGGGTTGTGTTCTTACTTGCTGGCATATTTTTTAAAATAGCTGATTTAAAATCTTTTCAGATAAGTCCAACATCTGTCATGTTGGATTGGCATCTGTTTACTGTCTTTTCTCATGCAAATTGAGATTTTCCTGATTCTTCAAGTGCCTAATAATTTTGGATTGTATCCTGGATGTTTGACTAGTACTGTATGGATCTCAGAAATTGTTTAAATCCTATCGAGAATGTCGATGTTTTGTTTTAGCAGTCACATGTTCCAATCCACCTTCTGTGGGTTGTAGTTCCAAAGGCCATTCCATTTTTAAGACCTTTACACCACTATCCAGCTATGCCCCACATGCCCACCACTCATTAGATGGTCTGGGACCTGAGTGGTCTATTTTTTCAGTTCTCAAAGCCTTCAGTCTGCTATATAGAGTCAATCCATACATATTTACTCAGGAGTGAGCTCAGGAGTTCATAAACAATTTATATGAGGTCACTTATAAAACTTATCAATTTCTATGATCTCTTTATAACTTTCTGGTTCCCTGAGATCTTCTTTTTAGTCCTCAGGCCTGAAAAGTGGGCTTTAATTACCCTGCTTTGCTACACAATTTTACAACTGTGCCCTTGTTTAGTGCCAAGTGGTGGGAGACAGAGACAAGAAAAAAAGCAATGGGATGTGGTCCAACCCTCTTTGAATCACAGATACACCGAAAAGAGAAGAAAATTCCGCACCCACAGAGTATTAGCTCCCGCAAGCTCCAATTTTCATTAGCTGCCACTGTTGCATGGGATTTCTCAGGAGGTAGAGTACAAGGAATCATAGAAAAGGAGGAAGAAAAAAAATGGGAGATTCCCACACTAAGTGTTGGGAGTTCACTTTTCCATTCCTTGAGCCAGAATTACATTGCTTCTCCTATAGCTCTCTCTATCTAATCCCTGGTGCCCACTCCCAAGTTGCTGGTGTACTGAGTTCAGGCCAGGGTATACCAGAGGGGAAAACATGGCATACTTGCCGCCAGTTCAGTGACACTTTTGAATTCTGGTTCTTTCTCAATATGCTAACATTTGCTTCTCAGACTCCTCCATGCTCCATTCATTCTGATCAGGTTTTATAGCTATATTGAAGGGGGAGACAGGGTAGGATGTGCTTACTCCATCTAATGCATAACTGGAACCCCATGGTTGGTGCTATATTAAAATTATCTAATTTTGCTTTTTTATTTCCTCCTGGGAGCTCCTTGAGAACAGGGGTTTTGTATATCCCTCACACCTAGAACAGAGCTTGGAATAACATTGGTAATTAGTAAATTATTCTGCAATGAGTGAATGAATGAAAGACTAACCAGGGAAACCTACCCATTCATAGAGTCCAAAATCACGGAAACCAATGTGGCAGCATGAGTTATAAAGCATGACTGGAACAGAACTTATACCAGTGGGAAAGGGTTCCAATGTCCTCTTCACTAGAGTCACTTTCTTCCACAGAGGCCCTTTGATGGCAATGGCCCCATCTCTGCAATTTAATCCATCATTAGTTGCATAGCAGAGACTTTAGACATAGTAATAAAAGGAGAGGTATATATAAAAACTACCATCAATCAAAACATTTTAATGAACAAGCTTATGCAATGTCCTTTATGCTAGGCACAGAGGAGAACAGAAAAGGATGCTGCAACTGCCCCTATTCTCAAGGAACCCACAGTTACAATACAGTTACAATTTATAAGACTCACTTATACAGAGTGTATTAATTCATTCTCACGCTGCTATGAAGAATACTCAAGACTGGGTAATTTATAAAGAAAAGAGGTTTAATTGACTCGCAGTTCTGCATGGCTGGAAAGGCTTCAGGAAACTTACAATCATCGCAGAAGGCGAAGGGGAAGAAAGGCACCTTCTTCACAGGGTAGCAGGAAGGAGAAGGGCAAGCAGGGGAAATGCCAGACACTTACAAAATTATCAGATCTCCTGAGACTCACTCACTGTCATGAGAACATCATGGGGGAAATCACCCTTATGATCCAGATACCTCCACCTGGTCCTGCCCTTGACACATGGGGATTATGGGGATTACAATTCAAGATGAGATCTGGGTGGGGACACGAGCCAAACCATATCACTGAGCGATAGAATAAAATTCAAGACATGATATAAGGAAATATTTAATAACTGTGCAGAGTATAAATTCAAAGCAGGTGCAAAGGAGCTTCAAAGCAATTCAAAGGAGGTGCAGATCAGTGTAGGCTAGCACAGTTGTAACAGAGAAAGAGGCAGGGCTTAAGATAAGTTTCGAACTGTGGGTTTTGATGTAGTAATTGGAGGTCTTTTTGCAAAGATTAAGCAGCACAACCAAAGGTGTGAAGACAGGGAAGGACATGAAGAACAGATGGGCCTCTCTAGAGAAAAGAATACATTTGATGAGCCAAGGAAAGCATCGTACTCTCTACTTATTGCTGTATCCTGGCCATATTATCAAATAATATTAAAATTCCAGAGATGGCAGAAATGTTCACTTACTCAATCCTATCCAATCCAATGCCTGAGGCCTCTATTGTTTTGTGCATCTAGTTCCCTTGCCCTTCTCCCAAAAGACACACACTCTCTCTCTCTCTCTGACCACATTGACCCATTTAAAATTGTGCTAATCAGTGTTTCTCCCAGAACTTTTTTGGGAAGTGTCAGAAAAAAAAGTTCTCTCTCTGTTGGGGTTGTTAGGACACCACATGGAGAGGGCCTGCATGCAGAATAAAGCAAAGGCAAACAGAGCCCCAAAAAATGGAGAGACAGAGTCTAATGATGTAAATTGATCCCCTGAATCAGCCCTTCCTGAAGTGACTTCCCTGTTATATGAGACAATCAACTGCAATTTTAAGCTATTTGAATTAGGTTTCTTTCATGTGCCACCAAAAGAGTCTTGAATAACATAAGCTTTCTCCACATTCTCCTCACCAACTGGTCAGTCAAATGGCTTGGAGTCCCCAAATTATAGGGTAATCATTTATTTCTGAGGCTGCCCATTATATCATTAACAGCCCCTATAGAATGATTTTTTGTAATTGAGTTAAAATGTATGTCCATGTCACTTGGTTTTCTTGGTTGTAGTTCTCATCTCTGGAGCCAGAAAGGATAAGGGTAATCTCTCTGGCACACTCATTTGAGAGCAGCTTTTATTTCTTCCCTGAGATTAAGCATTTAACGTTTCTCACATGGCATGGTTTGCATGATTTTAAGTCCCCTCACCATTCTTGTCACTCTGCTCTAAATGGGCTCCAGTTTGTAAAAGGTGTTGTGTAAGATTAATTGAAATATTCCAGGGATAGTTCCATCAATAAACATTACAATGGGATTATCAATTTCCTCAGATTCTATCATCACAGTGGTTCTCAATCTTGGTTTCTTATTGGACACCTGAAGACCTTTAAAAATACTGATTCCTGGGCCTCAGCCTGAGAGTTTCAGGGTTGAAGCTTGGGAAACCAAGTGTGTGAACCACTATATTAATGTATCTTAAAATTGCATAGCCTTATCTCATAGCTAACTTACATTTGAGCTCATTGTGCACTGAAACCCTTAAACCTTTATTACACAAGCCCTGCTTATCCATACTCTGTATTTTGTTAATGTTTCTTGATTATTTCCACCCCCGATAGTATTTTATTCCTACTTCTATTAAATTTTATCTTGCAGATTCAGCCCATTCACCAAACATGTCAAAATCTATAGAATCTTAATTCTGGTTTCTATTCTGTTTACTATCCCTCTATAAATCTGATGAGCCTGTTTTTTAAATAACTTCAACCAAGTGATTAATAAAAATGTCTTACAGGACAGGCTTGAAGATAGAACCCAGTGAGTTATGAGTAGAAACTGTCATAGTAACACTGTCCAGATTTGTTCCCATACCTTTTGGGTGTGTTACTTCAACAAACTACTGCTTGACATAATTGTATAAGTGAGGCCACAGATCTTCATACATTCCACAAAGATGTCATAAAAAATCTTGTGAAATGATAGAATAGCAGTGACATACATAGTATATGCTACATTCCCCAGGGCTATCACTCAGCTAACCCTATTAAATAAGTGAATGATGTTTGTATTACATGACTTCTTCTCAGTAAACCCATGTAAACTCCCACTTATTGCTAGTAACTCTTCTTTGGATTATAAGCCATCATTTAATAGCAATTTCTAGAATCATTGTCTAAGACTGACATCAAGCTTGCCAGTCTATGGTTCATGCAAACCATCATTACTTCCTTTCTAAAACCTGGAATATCAGTCCACTATTTCATGTCTTCCTGTAAATGGGTAAAATTCAGTGTCCAACTTCTTTGACTTTTTGAATCTGCAGAAGAATCTAGAAATTAATGTTTATGATGGTATCTGACATGTGAGTTTCGCATGTAAGATAGGTATGTCCTATTGAGAACTGAGATACCGGAATAACTAGCCTCTCCTTCCACTCCCACTTTCTTCCACAAAATTGAGCACTATAGCCATTAGCAATCATCAAAATATCTCACTGGGGAAGCAAAAAAAGGCTCTCTTCCCCCACATGGGCTCAAATGTCTTTTCCTTCTTTGTTCAATATATTCTCTATCATTGTGCTTCTCTAGTAGGTGTTGCCAAAGTGGGAGTAGGAGGAGGGAATCCATGTCATCAACTTTTATCTGTGGCCCTACTGTAACTTTGAGTGTTTTGCTGCTTTACTATTCTCTTTGAGCTGGAGCAAAGAGAGAGCCTACATTATTATTTAGTAGGAGTTGCAATTGAAGAGTCTGGGCAGCACGCAGCATAAGGAGCAGCAGAATATTCTTTTGTTCTTACACAGCTGCTTGCTTTTTACCTCTATATTTTATATGTTTAGATTTTGCC
This sequence comes from Homo sapiens, assembly GCF_000001405.40. Lineage (NCBI taxonomy): Eukaryota > Metazoa > Chordata > Mammalia > Primates > Hominidae > Homo > Homo sapiens. The sequence goes on from NC_000023.11 coordinate 129,219,611, forward strand.
TGTGAAATGCTTTCATATCTCTATCCCTCCCTCTCTCATATTCTCTCTCTCTTTCTTTTCCTCCACCTTCTGTTTCCCAAATATATTGCTGTATTATATTCTTAGAGTGGAGCTGGGCCTTTTAAATTGATCTTAGTCCATTATTTTTGTCAGCTGCATCCCAATTAGGTGACATTTCTTGAGAATACTTGGAAAAGGAAGTTGAGATGAGGAGAGGTAAAGGGAAGTTGAGATGAGGAGAGGTAAAGGGGAGTTGAGATGAGGAGAGGTACTCTCATGAGTATGGCTGGTCTTAACAGAATTGGTTGATAAGTGAAGTCTATCTCAGGTGCCACTGCCCCTCAGCTCCTACTCTCAGGCATCTGCTCCTTACATACAACAGCTCCCCTTCATCCCTGGACCTGCTCTTGCATATCTATTGCTGACCTGCTCTGTGTTCAGGACTTCAGCCTGCTGTGATACCTATTCTACAGCTTGGCCCTCAGATTACAAGTCAAAGGGCCTATCAGCTGAGCTATCCAGGTTCACTCTACAGCTCTTAGGAAGGAGGCTCTGGTGTAGGAGCATAATCACTGGCCTTGGTCAACTCAGCTCCATCACTGATTTTCTGTATCTGTTGGTCCAGCTATTCAGCTTTTCTGAGCCAACTGGAGATAATAACAGTAACCACAACAACAATAATAGCAATACAAATGCTAACTCCATGAGATTGTTATGATGATTTAAGATATGTGAGAGATTTCCAAAAACTTTCATCAACGAACTAAGAAGAGTGGGCTACAGAATTTCAAGGCCTTCATATTTGCTGTGTATGCATAGAATATATTATCAGTAATAATAATGATAGCTAAAATGTTCGAGGGATAACTCAACAGTAGGAGTGCCAGCCACTGTCCTAAGCACTACACACACACACACATCATGTGTGTACATGTATACCCACATACATATATACATACATATAAAACAGGGGGCTTCTGGAAACCATACCTTCTGCCCATGCTGTATTAACCTATACAAGACAGACAGTGTGGTACACTAGAAAGAACACAAAGCAGGGCATCAGGATCTCTGGGCTATAGCCCTCATTAAGCCATGAACTCACTCTACAACCTTGGGCAAGTCACCCCCACTGGTAGTGAACTAGAAGATACCTACAAACACTTGCTCTTATATGCTGAGACTAATACTAGGAAAAGACACAGCACCAACGACAAGGCAGGAAGAGTTCTTGTCTCAATGCCTCACTGTAAATACTAGTTGAAAAGAATTGGTTCCCACGCCAATTACCAAGACTGGCCCACCCTTTGTGATCAGGCAGTATGCTGGTTTCTGTACTGATAAGAATGGAGGGAACGATGAAAATGAGCACCAGCTACTTTGTGACCACTGGATTCTGTTGCCTTCAAAGGAATGGCCAGAGATGCCCTTGTCCTTGATACTAACAGGATTACTCTTGCTGATTTTATCCAGATTGAGACACATCTCAATACCCATCCCATTAAATACTCTTTAAAAGGTTTCAAATACCAACCTCCAGCCCCAGAACCCAAGCAGGATAGGCCCCATCACTAAGACCTGAGACAAATTCTACTTCTGCCACTCAACTGCTACAAAAGGCTACCAAGGCAAGGCCAAACTTCACTGTAGCCCTAAGAAGACGTTCCATTTTTTTCTAAGGAGGCTCCAAAAGATAGATATTTTCCAAGTGACTTATCCAGGTGGTGTGAGAAGAGAGTCCACCTACTCAAATTGCTCTCTTCTATAAGCCTGCATCTTTATGCATGAAATCCCTCTGAATATCATTCCTATAAGGGAAGGCTTCTGTTAATATGCATATGATATGTGGGAAAAGCTACTACATTAGACCATTAACACCTTATAGACATCAGTCTATATTTTACTTTATCAGGTGAGTTTGACAGACAACAGGTCCCAAAAGGAATGGAACACAGGGCAAGGAAGTTTTGACAGTAATGATTGCAAAGAGGGTAAGGAGATTTCCAGAGAAGGCAGACTCTCCTTGAATTGCAGTCCTGGCCTGGGAAGCACCAGGATATGTGGAGTGTGGGAAAAGGGAGCAGCCTAGAGGAAATGTATGTTTTTCTAATCACAAATACCTAAAATCTCATTTTCTCCTTATAAATCCCAGGTCTGATAAGTAGGAAGATAGAGATCATTGCCAGTTTTCAAATGGATAAAGCAAGGCCAAGAAAGATGAAATTCTTTACCCAAAGTCAGTGACTTTATCATGAGACCTTGTGTGTTGCAATTGGAAGTAGTGGAGGACAACACAAATCCAAGTCACTCTCGTACTCTGAACCTCAGTTTCACTACATGAAAAACAAGACGTATGGACTAACCAACCCTAGATCCCTTCTAGTTCTAAACTCCTGTAACTAAGTTCTGAAGAACCTGCTAATGTCCTGTAAAAACAAACAGAAGAGATTTTTTGCTCCAATGGTACTTCTGCTTTGAGACAGATGACTTTTTAGCCAATATGTATTGAGTGTTTTCTATGGGTCAGACACTATGGCAGGTGCTACACAAGTTCCTTCACATGTATCATCTCATTTAATCCCCCCAAAAAACTATTATTCCCATAAGGAAACTGAGACTTGGAGAGATGAAATGAGTTTTCTAAGATCACACAGATAATAAATGATAGGGCCAAAACACAAAGCCAGGGCTGTCTGGTTCCACATCCTGACTCCAACCACTGTTCATCAAAATGATGGTAGAGCATATATTACCATACTCCTAGAATGACCAAAAACAAGCAATATGCAAATAGTGACTGTGTGATGTCATGAAAAGTACAAATGTTGGATTCAGAAAAATGTAGGTGTATCTTCTGAATGTGTTGATCATTAACTCTAAGTTTCCTGATCTGTAAAATGGGTATAAAAGGACTGATGTGAGGACTAAATAAGAATAAATGATATAAAGAATGTAAAGTACCTGACACTTGGTAAATATTCAATAACAAAAGAGTTCCCTTCCACTGTAAAGCCCTACCAATTAAGCCCGTGAACCAAAGGGTAAATGCAATCATAATTATAGTAGTTATAACCAGGGTCCACAGGTTGGCTGATTCTAAAAAGACCATCAAGAGTGAGGTAGAAGAACTTCTTTATTTTTGCAAAACAACGTTAGGGCCTTTGCCACTGGAAGAAAGCAGCTAGGCTACATAGTTTTTTTTGTTTTTTGTTTTTTTCTTTAGTTGATCGGTCACATACACACTGTGCGTTTGAACAACTAGTGGGAACAAACACAAGAAGCCAAAAGCAATGTAGAGACAAGGGCAGCATCCCTGCTACTGTTGTGGCTCTTCAAAGCTGGCTTGCTTTGACACCTGCATTCCTGTTGTCAAGGAAACAGAATTCTCTGGATCCTAGGCATATGGTGAGTGTGGTTAGGATCCTCCTACTCAGGTAGTAGAAGAAGGGTGCAGATGGAGAGTGAGACTGCCTAGCCCAGGCTGTGTCAGAGCCAGAGGTGGTGAGATGGAACTGCCAAGCTCCAGCTCACTGAAAACTCCCTCTCCTAAGGAAGACAAAGAAGAGAGCATGTTGCAATTGCAACATGAGTGACTGTTCATGGTGACTGCTTTGAGCTAATAGCTGAACATACCCAAGGTAGATAACAAAAATCATAAGATCTCCTTAATATTGAGCTCCTGGAACTTACAACAATGCCATGAGGGAGGCTAGACAGAGATTATCATCCATTTCACATTTAAGGAATCTAAGACTCAAGATGGTATGTAGCTTACCCTCAGTCCTGCAAACATTAAAGCATAGAAGTAATATTCAAGCCTAAGTCTGTCCAAATCCTACACTTCATTACACCACTTGGGAAGAAACAGAGTCATGAGAAGTACACCAGTGCACAGACCTGTGATCTGCAGTTTCTTATCAGCATAAACCATGCAGAGAGACCTATGGGGATGCTGATGCTGCATTTATAAAGGGGACTAAGGGAAATAAGCCCAGTTTAAGGAAGTATAAACTGTGGTTTCTCACTCATTAAGTCATTACTTATATTCTGAAGCCCCAAATAAACTTGGTGGAATTTGGAAGAACCACCAGAGATGGAGTTAAAGGGAGGGGGAAGGGAAGGGGGAGCTCATTCCTTAGTAAGAACTCTCTTTTAGGTGAAAATAGAATAAGAAGTCAACAGAGAAGAGATCAGAAATGTGTCTATTCCTAGGTATTGAGATTTAAGTCAAAATCCTGTGTTCATTTAAATTTCATATGGAAACATGAGAAGTCCTCGATTAAATACTTACATGGTCATAATTAGTCTATCAGTTGCCACAATAATTCTGCATAGCAAACCACCTCTAAACTCAGAAGCTTGAAACATCACTTTTTTTTTTTTTACTCACATGTCACTCATCTAGGTTGGCTGCAGCTGGGCTTGGCTGCAAGCTGTTGGTTGGATCCAGATATGTCACACATTTCTTTTACTCTCTTTGAAATGGCAGGATCCTTGGGCACGTTTTTCTCACGGTGATGGACGAAGGACAAGAGGGCAGGCAAGGCCAACCACAAAAGCATATTCCAAGCCTCTGCTTTTGCCAGTTCCACCTAGTCACACGGTTAAGCCCAGAGTGGGGGACCACACTCCAGCCACCACTAGGTCAAAGCAAATCACATTGCCAACTCCATCATCAATGGGGTAGGAAAGTATACTCCTCCCACAGAGGTTGAGGGGAAGGGTCAAGGGAATGAATAATAATGTACCAGTCAGTAAAAAAAAAAAAAATGTGTGTTTGGGGCAGCATGTATTTAAATTAAGAAGGCAGCATAATATGGTGGTAAAAAAGCTTAGGCTATGACATTAGTCATATCTGAGTTCAAATCCCAGTATTTCCAGTTAGTGTACTGGCTTTATATGCCCAATCACCATCTTTTATGTGCCAAACTTGGGAATTATGTGTGAGGATATACTCAAAATTAAGCAGAATGTTTGCCGAACTTAAGGCATCACCCCCCAAAAATCTTAAACTTGCTGTAGCCAAGAAGAAACAACATTTTTATGTACTGAAGAGTTCCAGTTAATTAAGTTTTTACTTTTTTCTTTCTTCCAAAACAAAAATGAATCATTTCCTATGACAACTAAAATTACTCTAAAGAGCAGAATTTAGTTTTGGACCCAGGTAATTTGGAATAAGCACATGCTAGACTTTTTTCTCTCACTGAAATTAATCATAAAACCTGGACAGAATGCATGAAACATCTACTTAAGGACTCTGAAAAGTAAATAACTGCAGGGAACACAAGGAAGAACACTAGAATTTAATATACCACCAACCCTGTGGTGAGTTTACCACATTCCCCCTCCTGTACCCACTGGTCAGAAATCAAGCCAGCCAGAAACCCAAAAGTGAGTATTGTGGTACAGATAGAGAAAGCCCCAGAAGCAGCTCTCTAATACTGGCTCAAGAACAGGAAACTCCTAACACTCATAAGGTGGAAGAAAACTAGCCTTCTTTCTTATTTTTATTGTGTCCCATCCTCTAGGCAATCCTGCAGCTGTAGCAATGACAGTGGCAGCAGCAGGTACTGGAAAACTGCTGGGGCCAAACTCTAAAAGAGGGGAACCTTTCTCTCCATTTGGTTAAGCTGCAGCTCCAAGAGAGTAGGGCCAAGTCCCATTACTTTGTATTCTCTCTCTGCCTTCTTGCTGCTTGGCTCTAGCAATAGTACAATCATGAAAGTAGATATTTTCTGGCCAGAAGACAAAAAAAAGAGAGCCCCAGGAAACCATAAAGTACTGAGGAGATTGAAGAGAAGGAGGAGCTCAGGAAAGCAACCCTAAAAAGTTGCTTATGAACACCCAGGTTCACCCCCAGACTGTGCATGTGTGGCTCTGATCCAAATGAGCATACCAATGACTTTGAGAACTAAACTAACAGATATACCACTACCCAGATGCCAGTCTGGCCAGTGGGTAGCACACATGCAGGACAGATTCAAATAGCATGGCAAAAGTTTTGAAATTAAACTGACATAGAAATCTCAGCATACAGATGTGTTGGAACTTGAACTTTGGTTTGAACTGAACCACATTAATTGCCTGATAAAACAAAAATATTAGCATGCTTCATAGGATTTAAATAAGACCCAGAGTCTCATAAGGTAATATTCAAAATGTCCATGATACAATTCAAAATTACTAGGCATATGAAGGACCACATGAATCTTGACCCATAGGAAAAGACAATCAAGAGGTCAGTAATGAGATGAAGACACAGGTTTTGAAATTATTTGATACAGATTTTGAAGAAGCTATTATAAGCTCAAATGAACCATTATGAATACTTGAAACAAACAAAAAATACAAAGATACCTGCAAAGAAATAAAATATATTTTAAAAAGGACCAAATGGAAACTTTAGAACTAAAAATACGATAACAAATAAAACTTCACTAAACTCAAAAACAGAATGAAGAAAAAAGACGAAAGATTCTGTGAACTTGAAGATAGTTCTAAAGAAATACCTACTATGAAATGCAGAGACTAAAGAAAGGCTTATTAAATTGAATAGAGTTTCAGAGACCTGTGGGATAGCAACGAAAGATTTAACAAGAAAAATAGTGGAGTGATAAAAAAATATTTTTGAAGAAATAATGGGTGAAAACTTCTCAAGTTTGGCAAAAGACATAAACCTATAAATTCAAGAAGGAGGAAGAGCCAGTTTGGATAAATCCAATGAAATGCATGTCTAGAGACAACATATTCAACTTCTAAAAACTAGACATGAAAAAAAAAATCTTGAAAACAAAAACTGCATTACCTATAGGGGAACAGTGTTATGAAGAACTGTAGATTTCTCATTAGAAACGATGGAGACTAGAAGCAAGTGGCATGGCACTTTTAAATTGCTGAAAGAAAATAATTGTCATCCCAGATTCTGTGTCCAGTGAAAATATCCTTCAGGAATGAAGGTAAAGTTTTAAAAGGAATCTCAAAGGAAAATACATTCATAAACATCTGACCTGCTCTTAATTGTTAAAGGAATTTCTTCAGAAAAAAAGGTAAATAATACCAAAAAGAAACTTGGTACCTCAGGAATAAAGGAAAAGCCAAGTAATTGTAAATATCTAGATAACTATAATAGAAAGGAGCAGAAGAAATAGTTGACATAATAGTGGCTGAGACTTCCAAAATTAATGGCAGACACCAAACCACAGATCCAAGAAATTCAGAAAATATCAAGCAGGATAAATATAAAATTTACAAGTTAGCATATCATATTCAAACTGAAGAAAACCAAAGACAAGGGAAATTTTTTGAAAGAAATCAGAGGAGAAAATTCAACTTACCTATGTATGGAGGAACAAAGATAGGAATTACATTGGACTTCTCATCAGAAACCATGCAAGCAAGAAAAGCACGGAGTGAAATATTTAAAGTGTTAAAAGAAAAACAAAACACCATCTAGAATTCTGTATTCAACAAAATTGTCCTTCAAAAAACTCTCGGACATCTCAGCCCAAGTCCTCTGACTGGGCAAATGTGTGCTCTGGGATATAAAGACTGTGAGTAAAAGGCAAATGTGCTGACTAAACTTTGCAACACCCCAGGACCCAAATGGCCACGCTATGACACTTCCCTAAGGAAGCATAATGCAGGAAGGAGGAACTGATGCCCCTTCTGACCTTGCAGTTGACTACCAAGGTCTCATTGCTCCATAAGGATTGACAGCATCAATATCCAGGACAATCAGCAGGGCACAGCAGGCTGGCAAGGCAGCAGCACAGAGAGTCTGGGGCATAGTAGCAGTAGCAGTGATGGTGGTCGGGCTAATTCATAGCTCATATAAGATAACCCCTAGAGACTCCCATAAATACTTTGGCAGGGTCTTTTTGAGAAAGACATGCTTAAAATCACTGCGTGAGCAGATAGGGCCAGAGCCAGGGCCAGCTAGTTACAGCCATAAATCAGACAGGCTAGCACAATGAAACATGATACAAAAATAACCTTCACACTACAGTGACTATACTACCATTATTTACTCCCTGACAATAGCAGTTGTTCTCTTGGTACTATTAACTGACTTGCTAGCATTAAAAACCTAATAATTAAAATGACAAACTCAGACAAGTCAATTAAAGTCTTTGGCTAATCAATTTCCTTCTCAATGCATGTCACTGCACTTCTAGAAAATCTGCTTCCACTTGGGCATATTTAGTGAACATGTTCTTTATCAATTCCAGGACAGAAATGACACATTGCAATAGGGGTCCTAAAACCACACACAAACCCAAGGAAAAGGAACATAAAAAATGGGATAAATACAGAACCCAACTAGATGTCATAGGAGATGTCAGTCATCTCATTGGCTGGGTTCTTAGAGACAGAAAAACACTCCTCAAAATGCTTTTGATGTAATTAGATCAATGCCATTTTTTCTAAAGAGCCATATACAGTCAGCCTTCCACATCTATGGTTCCACATCCCTGGATTCAACCAACTACAGGTAGAAAATATTCAAGAAAAAGAATTGCATCTGTACTAAACATGTACAGACTTTTCTTTCTTGTCATTATTTCCCAGACAATATATTACAACAACTATTTGCATAACATTTATATTCTATTAGGTAATATAAGTGATCTAGAGATGACTTAAAGCATATGGGAGGATGTGCACAGGTTATATGCAAATACTATGTCATTTTATGTCAAAGACTTAAGCATCCACAGATTTTGGTCTTCACAGGAGGTCATAGAACCAATCCCCCAAGGATATCAAGAGACAACTGCATTCCATTTTGAGCCATACTTCAGGAATACCAGAGTCCAGATCAGCATACAGGAGCTAAAAGGAATAATGGCCAACATTTAACATTTATTAAGGGCTTACTATGAGCCAGATACCATTCTAAGTATTTACATGTAATAACATATTCAATCCTCCCCAAATCTCTATTAGGAAAGTACTTCTTATCCATATTTTGTAATTGAGCAAATTTACATTCAGGAATTTTACCTATTGAATGGTAAAGCTGGTATTCCAATTCAGGAAACCTGACATCAAAGATAAAGCTCTTAACTTTGAGTGCTTTCATACACACTTAAAGCTGCCATCCCACCTCTGGCTTCCCAGAGTCTCCCAGAGTGGTATTTCACCACAGCCTACACCCTGATAGGTAATCCTTATACAACACAGAAAATAGGCTACACAAAATGCATCTGTTCATGAACTTGTTTTCCATCCCACTATCTCAATAGGGAAATAAGTAGATTGTTTGATTGGAAATACATGCTCCTTCACCCTAAGCAAACAAATGGGCAGCATAATCATTCTTCCTTCCATCCCACTCTCTCAATGGGCAAATAAATAGATTGTTTGATTAGAAATACATGCTCCTTCACCCTAAGCAAATGAATGGGCAGCATAATCATTCTTCCAGCACCAGTGTAAGGTACTTAGTCTGGCTCATAGATAAAAAAAAGTGCTATGTCCCACAGCTGGATATGATCCCCATGACTGCGTATTAGTAGGACATTCATTTTAAGTTGGTTCTTTAGCATAGAGATGGCTGTTACCAAGTCATCCACATTCTCTACTCTAGTCCAAGGCTCGGTCTCACAAAGAAGTAAGCCACAAAGGGTAAATAAGTCTTGAAGACAAATTTTAACCAGTTCTTAAATTGTTTCTTCTATTTATCTTGCTTCATATCATTTTATATTGCACACCTGAGGATCTAATCATTTTTCATTTTCTGTTTCATACAGACAGAACTAACTTAGAATCCCAGCCCTACCATTTCTAGCTCCATAGGTGACCTTGGGAAAGTTACTTCACCTTTCTGTGACTCAGTTTTCTCAGCTTTAAAATGGATACACAGATCTCTCTTCACAGGGGTCTTAGTAAGAAAAAAAATAGCATATATGTAAAAATGTTGGGCAAAAAAGACGCAAAATAATATATTAACACTTTGTTTAAATTGTGTAAATTCTCAGAAGGGCAAAGAATTGAAAAAGACATGACACTAAAATAATTTCATAAATCCAAGAAGACAGTAGTTTTGGTGGATTACAGTTTCCAATTGTCTGTCTATCCCCCTTTGCTGTTCAATATTAATAATCTCTATAGCTTATAATTTTCTTGGCATTCGAAAAAGACTGGAGCTCAACCAATCTGCAAGTACATTATCCAGTAACTACACAGGCAATTTCAGCCGGCATAAATTCATTTCCTAGGATCCACCATTTTAACGAATGCCTAAACTAGAAACTCAGGCTTCTGGCTGGTGGAGGTGGTTCATGCCTGTAATCCCAGCACTTTGGGAGTTGGAGGACAGCCTGGGCAACATGGCAAAACCCCATCTCTACAAAAAATACAAAATTATCAGGGCACAGTGGTGCATACCTGTAGTCCCAGCTACAGGGGAGGCTGAGGTAGGAGAATGACTTGACCCTGGGAGGTGGAGGTTTGCAGTGAGCCGAGATGGCACTGCTGCACCCCAGCCAAGGCCACAGAGCCAGACCCTGTCTCAAACCACCACCACCACCAGCACCACCACCACCACAACCACAACAACACCCTCAGGCTTCTTTAAGAACAGTGTCTAAGGCTAATTCTTGGCCCAAATTTTCAAAGAGTAGGTTCAAATGCCAATTATAGTAGACCATAGGGAATCATTAGTGGTTCATTTAGCTGCTCCAGACTGCCTCAAAACATATTATTAGTCCTTCTCTCATCCAAGGACATTCAGGAATAACAGTCTAGATCAGCATATGGAAGTGTGCTTTCAAAAAAAAAAAGGAATATTCAAAACGAGAAATTACAGAAGGAAATTGAATCCACCAGACAAATTCTCAGCAAGAAATTAACATATGCCATGTTTGCAAAAAGAATAAAACAACCCACTCCCCCAAATATCCATATTTTAAATTAAGCCTTTATTAAATATTGAGATCAGTTGAGTTCCCATCAATATTACACATGTCCTGCATTATTGCAATCATACATATTTCATTAACTACATACCCATAGCTTTCTAATAACATTTCCATTTGGACTTCCTGTCATTTGGGTTTCTATTAGCATATAGGCACTTGGAGTCTATGAGGAAGGGAAGGAAAAACATAATAACCAAAATGTGCTTTCGTTCTCCCCGTCAGCAGGAACTTCAGCTTGAGATATATAATTGAAAAGCAATGCCTGCCTGAAATACTGCATTAGACAAGAAAAACTGCAGTGGCAGATTTAGAACAGAGAAAAGAAAGCATAACATATTGCTTATCACAGGTAATTATAGGTTTTCAATACTTTTTCATCCATTAGTTATCATTTCACCAAATTTCCTGTCTTTGCTTGCATAGAAGAGTTCTGACATTTGCTTCTGCAAAATGTTCATTATCTGGTAGAATGTTGAAATCTAGAGCACAGACACAGTAAGAGGCACAGACAGGCAGCTGTCATGTTACAAACCAATGGCTCACAGTGTTCTGTTGTTTACTTGCTTAATTTCTGACACTTGCCTCTCAAGCCATCTCTTCGATTTGAACGGACGCTGCATGCACTTAACCTTCACCTCTATTTTTTTCTCAACCATTTTTCAGGTCATGCTTGTCTTAACTTGACCAAGTAGAGCAGGGCAGGGTCGCTGTGAAATGTCAATGCCAAAATAGATTTGCAAAAACAAAACCAGAGATAGGATGGGATTTGTTTGCTTGGAGAGCATGGGCAGGCTGTCACAATCTGGCCTTTGAGCTAAAGATAATTGGGAGCAGAGGCAGGATCACATGTAGGGTCACCCCCAGCAGGAGATGACAGATCCAAGTGGACGAATGTGAGAGTCATCATCTATGGGCAAAACTGAGGCCAAAGCTATCAAAGGCCTGACAACAAGAGTGTATACAGGCAAATCCTTTTGAGCCACATTTCCTTGCTATCAGGCACCTTTTGAAGGCACAGGACCCCAATCCCTTAAATATACTTCTATCAGTATGAAAAACACAAATCTCTGTGTACATTAAACTCCTCTTATGCCTCACAAGGACAGTTTCTTGGTGGTTTGAATCACAGTCACAATAAAGAAAAGTAGGAGCAATCAATGCAAATTTTGAGCAGATGAAGTTGGCTTACAGTATCCTGTATGTACTTTGCCTCCTCTCCCCTGTAGGTACTCCTTGCTCAAGGGCCCTGATGCCCCAACCATGCATGAATGCTTAGAAATTGTCTAAATGTTATGCTAAAATACAAGTCCACAATCCTTTATATGCAATTCCAAAATACAAAGGGATCTGAAATGGAAAGATTTTTATAACTCATTTGGTATCAAAATTTGATAATGCAAAATTGTGAGGTTATTTATGGTCTTTATTTATCTGGCTTAGAGTGAACATTTATATGTTTTACTGCAAAAATATTATTGTGTTTGATTATGAAGCACTGCCCCACGTTCCACTGAGGATAAGATCTACAGTACACATATTTGATTACCTTACTAAAATCTGAAAAAATCTGAATTCCAAAACACAATTGGCTCCAAGGACCAGATAAGGGATGTGGACCTATGTTAAAAGCAGTTGTTTCTGAGGGCTGGAATCATACACTTCATTTCTTTTTTTGTTATTGTTATACAAATGGGGTCTTACTATGTTGCCCAGGCTGGTCTTGAACTCTTGGGCTCAAGTGATCTTCCTACTTCGGCTTCCCAAAGCACTGGGGTTATAGGCATAAGACACTGTGCCCAGCCACACTTCGTTTCTTTAAACTGTTTCATATTTTCAATACTTTCTATATAGTGCATACATTATTTTTATAATTATAAAAATATCTTAATAAAATAATTACCTATTAATCACAGATATGCCAAGACATCTACCTACCCATATTCTTTTAACAGTTAATTCATTACATACACCTGAAAGAAATAAAACTTAGTTCTCTAAAAATTATACGCTAAATCAGGCTTGTCACCAATGGCAACTGTCTTCTATTTTAATTATCCCAAATAAGAATGGGGTATTACATCTGAATTTTTCTCCCCCAGCCATTTATTTCCTTAAAGGAATAAGTTGAAGCCAGCACACTTGTTTAGAGGGAATTCATGTATCTGATGGCACTGCTTTTCAAACTTTTCTGCCAAGGCAGAAGAGAATGAAGAGGACTTCCAGAGGCCAGAGGGTATAACTCGTGTTTGCAAGGTTCTCCCTTGTAGCATAGGTGCTCAATTAAGAGTCTGGTAGGAGTGAGTAAAAGAGTGAAAAAAATGAATAAGCTAATAACTAATTTTCCTTGTAGAACATTATCTAAATACAATCTTGCTTATAATACTTTAAGGATCAAAGAATCTCCTTATGGGCAAACACACCTTATTTACATGTCTCTCTGGGAGTTCATCAGTAACTCCCAGAAGCAGGAGTTTTCTCAGTGGTCAATCTTGCATTTCCCAAATGCCCTAGAACTTTTAAGGCAGAAGTGATGAGAAACATACCGGGAAGGGAACACCAGTGGTTTGAGTCTTTGTACATTTGTCCTTGCAGTCAAGTCATGCCTTGCAGATTAGAAACCTGGAGGAGAATCACGGACCTGGGCCTGGCTCGCCTGAAAGGTGTAGGGGTACGTGTGTGCGTGTGTGTGTATATGTGTGTGTGTGTGTACTTTGAATTTTCGTTTATACAAATTAGCTTGAAGCCAAAGACTCAAGACCTGAAAGAAACAGGCAAAACCTGAAAGTAGTTAGTCTCCATGCAAATAAAAATCAGAACTAAAACGAACATGATTTTTTCCTTCCAATATTTCTGGAATCCCAGTAGGTCTGTTGAAAATGGAGTAGGCCAGGTAAATTAGATTCTTTATTAACAAGGCTGGATTAAGGCAATCTGAAAGTGGGTTTAAGAAGCTGCTGCTTCTCCTAAATGGAAGGAAAAGCTTGCTTCTGCCCATTCTTCTTCAACTATGATGGAACAGAAATCAGATGCTTCTTGAGGGCCATAATGCTCAGCAAAGAAGTGTCTTTCAGTGAACCCTGACCACAAGCTGGAGGCCTGGACAATGCTCTGGGCAGCATAATATTTCTCTGCTTGGAGGTGCTTCTCTTTATGTTCAGGGTCTAGCTTGTAACATAGACAGAGCTACCACTGTGAGGTTATCTGCAAAAGACCCTCCTGCCCATTGCTTCATTCAGTCATTCAAAGATATTTATTGAGAGCCTACCATTGGTCTAGGCTCTTGCCTGGTAGGTTCAAAGCTGAGTCCAATAAGAGAAGAACACAGAAAAGAACCACTCACTTATTGTGATTTGATCTCAGAATATAACAGGAAGGAACTAAACTCTTCCATCCCCCCTCTACCCCTGACCTCACCTCCAACTAGCATATGACTCAATGTCTGATGGTAATACTTCATCTCATTAGCTAAAAGTCAGGTTTCCTGCTGCAGTGCACTTAGCTGCATCAGTCATTTCCCCCTCATGTTGCAGCGGTTCCCCATCATTCCAAAAGCAAGATTTGACAGGGGTGGAATGGAAGAAATCTGAAGAGGTTTGGGAACCTCTCTGGGAATGCAAGGGAGTGGGAAAAAGAGGAAAGGCTGGCCCATCAAGGGAAAGAAAGGAATGAAGCCTGCCGGCGGGAGTAAAGAACACCAAGAACAAACTGCTAGCTTTAACAATTTTGCCAATGATTGACTTGACAATAGAGTCCAGAGCCAGGAAATAGGTTGGGGCAGCAAGGCACCCGAGCAAGGAAGGGGTATCTACAGGGGAGATAAGACAGGAAAGCACATGGAGGATACTGCAAGTCAAGTTCATCTGCTCAAAATTTATGTCGTTGCCCCTAATTTTCTTTACAGTAACTGTAATTCAGACCACCAAGAAACCGCCCTTGCCAAGATCTCTTTTCTAGTCTGAAGACCACTTGGGACTGCAGGAAGGCACATGGGGTATGGTGCTTGCCCTTTAATGAAATTAAGGCCACAAATAATATCTATTAAAAGATTCCTGCATAGAATTACTATAAGATGTAAAGGGTCACTTATGGTCATAAATTTGTGTCATTATATAAGAGATTAATTCACATTTGGAGCTTGATGTTGATGGATCATACTTTCTCTAGGATTAATCCATATTTGGAGTGTAACGTTGATGGATATCTCTCTTGCTGTCTCTCTCATGTGTGCACATGTGCACACACACACACACACACACCATACATTTCTCACTGTCATTCTCATAAAATATACCTAAAAACACCATGTGCCTATCCAAACTGCATCTTGCATCTGGAAGCATCCAAAACATCTTTTGAAAAATAATTAGAAAATTATCTCCACCAAAGGCCAATTATTTTAAAATCAAGAAAAACTCTAGGGCTGGGCACAGTGGTTCATGCTTATACTCCCAGAGCTTTGGGAGGCTGAAGTGGGAGGATTTTTTGAGCCCAGAAGCTCAAGACCAGCCTCGACAACATAGCAAGACCCAATCTCTACAAAAATTAAAAATATTAGCTAAGAGTGGTGGTGTATGCCTGTAGTCTTAGCTACTCATGAGGCAGAGGCAGGAGAATCGCTTGAACCCAGGAGCTCAAGGCTACAGTGAACTATGATCACGCCACTGTACTACAGCCTAGACAACACAGTGAGACCCTGTCTCTAAAAAAAAAAAAAAAGAAAAACTCTACACCCCAACTTTTGCTTGCAGCCTGACCCTGGGCACAAACTCAGTATCTAATTTTAATTAGTCATCTTACAAGTGTGTAATAAAACTTATAAGAGGATATCAGTGTCAGTGTGGATAACATAGAACAAACACATCCCCAGTGATGAAAAATCCCTGGAAAGCTCTCCGCCATCCCAGAAGGTCATATTCACATTACAGTGGATAGCACACTTTGCTTTTTTTCAGTGAGAGAAACACAACTGTCAGGCCAGTTTTAGAGCATGCCAGTGACTTCAATGAGCGCCTCCCCCATAGAAGATGCTCATTGCACACTTTCCATGCCCCTCAGCCACAGCAAGAAGTTTTAAAGCAAAATCCAACAAGTTCAATCATTTTCAGTTTCATAAAGGCAGAAAAATACTCAGCTACATTCGTCTTTGTGGGATAGTACCTTTAGAGTATGCTTAAGGTGTCTTTTTTTTTTTTTTTTTTACAGAATCCTGTTTGCATCTGATCTGCTCACTGCAATATAACACGTGCATAAAACAGTGCAACCGTATTTGTTTTAATAAGGCCATTCTGAGCAGCTGTTTAATGATCCATGATGTTAAATGAAAACTACAGGTGTTCCAAATGCAAACCTTATGGCCCAGGGCCCCCCTTATTACCGTTCTACAATTAGCAGCCAACTGCTCTTAGGCTGTGCAAAGAATTACCACCATCATCATTACATTATTTCTTAATTTCATTCTCTGCCTAAGTGTCTTCCCCCAAAGGAAAAACCTGCTTGGCATGGGAAAGCATAAGAGTGAAAAAATGAAAAGGGAAGGAGAACACAAAACACTCCCTGTCCAACCACAAGGAGGCCTCAGTGAAGGGGGAAAGAGCCAGCCAAAAGGCTCAGCCCCCTAAGGAATCTTCCAGAGTGACTTTCTGGCCAAACTTAACAAAGTCTTGCTGAAACTATTGGTGTTCATAAGGATTGCATTAACCCTTTCTTCTTCATGATTCCCTAAGCTTAATACTGTGCTAAGCCAAATTGCCAGAAAGCTGCATAGCTGGATTCCATCGCTCTGTCTTGTAGAGGGCTAATTTTATGCAAGTATAATTTTAACATCACAACAGTTTTCACTTAAGGTACATATAATAAACTGCAAAGAAGGAAGTCTTCTGTATCACTTGTGAAATTGCTGTCTGTATCATTATCCATTACATACCTCAATACCTCTTACATAAAAATGCCAGAGACAAATTTAATTAGAGCTCGGGAACAAGTTTATCTTTCCATGTCAATGGGTACACTTTTTTCTGCAAAACTAGTAATTCTCAATTCTGGCTGCATATTAGAATCACCTAATAGTAAACACATTTATTTGCATCCCAGCTCCTTCCCAGACCATTTAAATTCAAATTTCTAGGAGTGGGCACTGGGCAGGACCATCGAGTTGCAGTTCCAGGGGTCACCATTCACAATGTGCTTGGCCAAATTACAGTATTATACTCTGCTGCCAAAATTGAGAACCACTGCCCCAGAAAATGAGAGTTTTATAACTCACTGATTTTGCTTCTTCATTTTGGTTACTAAGAAGCTCAAAACTAATTATACTGAATTGCAGTTTTCCTCTGCCAAAATTTCTCAATACAATTTTCCCTCTGCATCCCCTCATATTAATGCTTTTACCAGTACTTTCAGTGTAAGCTACCAAATATTCTTTTTGTAGGTAAAGTAAAATAAAACAATAAATAAAATAAAGATCTATTGGGAGGCACAAGTAGATCTATATACAAATTTATATACAAATCTCCCATAATCACCCCAAACGTAAGATGGCCAAAGATGGGCCGGGCGCAGTGGCTCATGCCTGTAATCCCCAGCACTTTGGAATGCCAAGATGGGCAGATCATGAGGTCAGGAGTTCGAGACCAGCCTGGTCAACATGGTGAAACCCCTGTCTCTACTAAAAATACCAAAAAAAAAAAAATTACCCGGGTGTGGTGGCACATGCCTGTAATCTCAGATACTTGGGAGGTTGAGGCAGGAGAATCGCTTGAAACCAGAAGGCGGAGGTTGCAGTGAGCTGAGATCGCACCACTGCACTCCAGCCTGGGCAATAAGAATGAAACTCCATCTCCAAAAACAAAACAGATGGCCAAAGATGAATTCCTGGTTCCACCTATACTTCCTCTTCCCCAGGTCTTCCCCGTTGCAATAAAGGATGCCCCATTCACCCAGTTGCTCCAAAGTCATCCTTGACTCTTTTACTTCTCTTTGATCCCACAGCTTGCAAATATCAGTGTCTTGTTAATTCTGTCTTGAAAATACATATAAACTCTAACTACTTCTCACCACTTCCACTGCTACCAGTTATTGGTAGGCTCAAACAATCCCAGAATCTCTGGGTTTCCCAGAAATAAATATTTATTTCTTGCTCAAGCTCCATGAAGGCTGCAGCTCAACTGAACTCTGCTGGACTATCCTGGGACAACTTAGCTCCACATGTCTGCTAAGGACCTAGGCTGAAAACCATGCTATTCTTATGGTGGAGAGCAGAAACTCAGGGTTGGCAGAGCCAAACCACTACAAGTGAATTTGAAGCTCTGCTTAGAAAGGATATAGGTTACAACTTCTCACATGTTATTGGCCAAATTAAGTCACATGGTCAAGCACAAAGTTAATGGGGAAAGACAATATACTCAGCCTACAGAATATCTTGGCAAGGGAGAAACAAATAATTTTGAACAAATATGCAATTACCATAGCGTTCTAACCACTATCAGTTTCTACCCTTGTTCTTTTTATTCTTTTATCAACACAGCACCCAGATGATTTGTATTAGTCCATTCTTGCATTGTTATAAAGAAATACCTAAGACTGGGTAATTTATAAGAAAAGACATTTAATTGGCTCATGGGCTCATGGTTCTGTAGGGTGTACAGGAAGCATAGCACTGGCATCTGCTTCTGGGGAGGTCTTAGGAAGCTTTTATTCATGGTGTGAGGTGAAACGGGGGCAGGCACATCACATGGCTAGAGCAGGAGCAAGAGAAAGAGAGTGGGGGCGTGGGGAGGGAGGTGTCACACTTTACAACAAACAGATCTCGTGAGAATTCCTCATTGAAAAGACAGTCCCAAGCCATGAGGGATCTGCCCCCATGACCCAAACACCTCCCACTAGGCCCCACCTCCAGCATTGGGGATTACAATTCAACATGGGATTTAGGCAGGAACAAATATCCAAACTATATCAGGATTCTTATTAAAATTCATAACTGATCATGTAACTCCCTTGTTTAAAACCTCCCATCACATTTGGAATGAAATATAAATACTTTTTGTATGTTTAAAATTCCCTTCATGATCTGATCCCTGGCTACATCTATAGTTTCCTTTTCCCAAAATCCATTCTAGTCACATCCATCCTCAAACATACCTTGTCCCTCAGGGCCTTTTCACAAGCTATCTCCTTTCCCTGGAATGTTCTTCCCCTTAGTCTTTGCAGCAGGTCTCCTTCTTCTTATTCAAAACTAAATTTAAGTGTCACTTCCTTAGAGAAATCTTCCCTGATCACCTAATCTAAGGTTGTTCTATCATATAACCCTACTTAAATTCCCTGCATACCATGTATCCCAATAAGAAATTATCTCTATTATTTTGCTTACCTACTATGGGTCTCTTTCTATTGGAATTTAAGCTCTATGAGGGCAGACACCTTGTCTGTTTCATTCGCTGTTGCATCTATAGTACTAGAACAGCTTCTGAAAAAATAGCAAGGTATTCAATAAATGACTGAATACCTTGAATGACTCAATTGCCCCCAAGTTAATGCTTATTTATGATTGTAAATCTTTAAGTAAATAAAACAACAGATTTTTTAAAGCATAGGACAAAAGATTGGACTAGCTAACCTTTAAACTCTTATCAAATCTTAAGATTCTATGGTTTTCTAGCCAAGTCCCTACATTTGTACAGCTTTTTCCGGTTGCAAAGACAGTCACAATTATTATCACTTTTGATCTTTTCAAGAACTCTCTGGAGTTCCCAGGGCAAGATATTAATATAGATGAGGAAACTGCTTTATACTTTAGGTCAGGATAAGGCACATGCAAATGGAGAGAAATGCCTTTGACAACTCACCCTTTAGCACACAGAGATGTATGCATGGCTGTTGGGGTTGGACTTCCATATCCTATACCCTTTCACTCAGCTGGGTCTATCAGAGAAACCCCTGTTACCGGAATGTGACCTTTTCCCAAAGCAGTTTCCTTGTAAAAGGAAACCATCTTCAGAAATAAGTGAGGTAAGATTCTCTGGCTAGCATAATGCATTGGAACAAGCCCAAACCGTGATGAGTGGTATGTCTGACTATTTCCATGTCTACAAGTGAGCAGGGAGAAAAACAGATGGGCCAATTTTGCCCTCTTACAAAAAATTAAAAAAAAAACCCAACAGTGTTTTCTATATGGTCTCCAATATGAATTTCTGTTTGGGGACTGAACAGCCAAAGAAATCATTTCAGGAAGACAACAATAAACTCAGTTATAAGCAAGCAGCATGCTTTTTGATTGATAGCATTCATTAAAGTGTGGACCAACAAATGAGCCAGACTTCTGCAGTTTATAACTGTCCTTGGATAAAACTTCAGGTAGAGACTGAACCTGTTGAAGCATGCCCAAATCTTCCACCTCCCATCTGTCAGTGCTAGGAGGTCTTCCCAGAGGGTCTTGTCCCTGTTGGTTCTACTAACAGAGTTGGTGCTTGCCTCTGGTCCCTGAAGAACCCTGCTTCACTCTGGAGAAGAGTACCCTCCCTGGCCTTATCTGGTCTAACCACAAAGAGGGTTAAAAGAACAGAGGAAAAGAACCCTGCTCTATGAGAAAGCAAGACATCAGTGGGGTTCAGAAAACAATTTTAGTCTTTAAGTTTGGGAAACATCATGCTTGATGAAAAGTAAAGGGAAATTCAGATAATCACCATGTGACCCTATTTAGAAAATAGGGAATGCATAATGATGGAGGACTTTAACAGTGCTTTATTTCACTCCTGGATCTCCCACTCCTCAACTACCACCACCCCCTTATGTAGATCCCTGTTTACTCCCTTAGTTCCAAATGAAAATTCCCATTTTTGTTACATCAGCTAACATAACATGTTAAGGTATAGGTTTATAAGATAAGCATAACTGGAACAGAAAGTTGTGTGTGGGTGCAGGGGAACTGAAGTTTAGAGAATTAAAGAGGAGTCCAACCACACAAGATGTCTCACAAAAGGCTGAGAAGTTTGGACATTCGTTTAAGAGCAATTTCTAACTTGGCCAGGAGAAGTCGGTGGGCAGTGGTTAATATAACAAAGAAGGAACTATTTGTCAATCCTAGCTCTGTCATTACACATAGGTACAATAAAATATTTAGCGATAGGAATTTGAGCCATACCAGCAAGGCCTCATGACTTGTTGAAACCTCTTCACATGGACCCAGCCACTACCACACCCTGAAATCCCAATAACAAAATAACGAGAATAACAATATTAGTCACTAACCTTTACTGAGCATTAATTATATCACAGGATTTTTCCAAGCATATCACACAAATTATTACTCCTCTAATTTAAGGCATTATAAGGGTTGGAGCCAAGATGGCCGAATAGGAACAGCTCCAGTCTACAGCTCCTAGCGTGAGTGACACAGAAGACCGGTGATTTCTGCATTTCCGACTGAGGTACCAGGTTCATCTCAATGGGGAGTGTCGGAAAGTGGGTGCAGAACAGTGGGTGCAGTGCACCGAGCGTGAGCCGAAACAGGGTGAGGCATCGCCTCACCCGGGAAGCACAAGAGGTCAAGGAATTCCCTTTCCTAGTCAAAGAAGGGGGTGACAGACAGCACCTGGAAAATTGGGTCACTCCCACCCTAATACTGCACTTTTCCAACGGTCTTAGCAAACAGCGCACCACGAGATTATATCCCGCGCCTGGCTTGGAGGGTCCTACGCCCACGGAGCCTCACTCATTGCTAGCACAGCAGTCTGAGATCAAACTGCAAGGTGGCAGTGAGGCTGGGGAAGGGGCGCCCACCATTGCTGAGGCTTGAGTAGGTAAACAAAGCAGCCAGGAAGCTTGAACTAGGTGGAGCCCACTGCAGCTCAGGGAGGCTTGCCTGCCTCTGTAGACTCCACCTCTGGGGGCAGGGCATAGCCAAACAAAAGGCAGGAGAATCATCTGCAGACTTAAATGTCCCTATCTGACAGCTTTGAAGAGAGTAGTGGTTCTCCCAGCATGAAGCTGGAGATCTCAGAACAGACAGACTGCCTCCTCAAGTGGGTCCCTGACCCCCGAGTAGCCTAACTGGGAGGCATCCCCCAGTAGGGGCAGACTGACACCTCACATGGCCGGGTACTCCTCTGAGACAAAAGTTCCAGAGGAACGATCAGGCAGCAACATTTTCTGTTGACCAATATCTGCTGTTCTGCAGCCTCTGCTGCTGATACCCAGGCAAACAGGGTCTGGAGTGGACCTCCAGCAAACTCCAACAGACCTGCAGCTGAGGGTCCTGACTGTTAGAAGGAAAACTAACAAACAGAAAGGACATCTACACCAAAACCCCATCTGTACGTCACCATCATCAAAGACCAAAGGTAGATAAAACCACAAAGATGGGGAAAAAACAGAGCAGAAAAACTGAAAACTCTAAAAATCAGAGTGCCTCTCCTCCAAAGGAATGCAGCTCCTCACCAGCAATGGAACAAAGCTGGACGGAGAATGACTTTGACGAGTTGAGAGAAGAAGGCTTCAGACGATCAAACTACTCCGAGCTAAAGGAGGAAGTTTGAACCCATGGCAAAGAAGTTAAAAACATTGAAAAAAAATTAGACGAATGGCTAACTAGAATAACCAATGCAGAGAAGTCCTTAAAGGACCTGATGGAGCTGAAAACCAAGGCACGAGAACTACCTGACAAATGCACAAGCCTCAGTAGCTGATGTGATCAACTGGAAGACAGGGTATCAGTGATGGAAGATCAAATGAATGAAATGAAGTGAGAAGAGAAATTTAGAGAAAAAAGAATAAAAAGAAACAAACAAAGCCTCCAAGAAATATGGGACTATCTGAAAAGACCAAATCTACGTCTGATTGGTGTACCTGAAAGTGACGGGGAGAATGGAACCAAGTTGGAAAACACTCTGCAGGATATTATCCAGGAGAACTTCCCGAATCTAGCAAGGCAGGCCAACATTCAAATTCAGGAAATACAGAGAACGCCACAAAGATACTCCTCGAGAAGAGCAACTCCAAGATACATAATTGTCAGATTCACCAAAGTTGAAATGAAGAAAAAATGTTAAGGGCCGCCAGAGAGAAAGGTTGGATTACCCACAAAGGGAAGCCCATCAGACTAACAGCTGATCTCTCGGCAGAAACTCTATAAGCCAGAAGAGTGGGGGGCCAATATTCAACATTCTTAAAGAAAAGAATTTTCAACCCAGAATTTCATATCTGGCCAAACTAAGCTTCATAAGTGAAGGAGAAATAAAATCCTTTACAGACAAGCAAATGCTGAGAGATTTTGTCACCACCAGGCCTGCCCTACAAGAGTTCCTGAAGGATGAACTAAACATGGAAAGGAAAAACTGGTACCAGCCACTGCAAAAACATTCCAAATTGTAAAGACCATCGAGGCTAGGAAGAAACTGCATCAACTAACGAGCAAAATAACCAGCTAACATCATAACGACAGAATCAAATTCACACATAACAATATTAACCTTAAATATAAATGGGCTAAATGCTCCAATTAAAAGACACAGACTGGCAAATTGGATAAAGAGTCAACACCCATCAGTGTGCTGTATTCAGGAAACCCATCTCACGTGCAGAGATACACATAGGCTCAAAATAAAGGGATGGAGGAAGATCTACGAAGCAAATGGAAAACAAAAAAAGGCAGGGGTTGCAATCCTAGTCTCTGATAAAATAGACTTTAAACCAACAAAGATCAAAAGAGACAAAGAAGGCCATTACATAATGGTAAAGGGATCAATTCAACAAGAAGAGCTAACTATCCTAAACATATATGCACCCATTACAAGACCACCCACATTCATAAAGCAAGTCCTTAGAGACCTACAAAGAGACTTAGACTCCCACACATTAATAATGGGAGACTTTAACACCCCACTGTCAACATTAGACAGATCAACGAGACAGAAAGTTAACAAGGATATCCAGGAATTGAACTCAGCTCTGCACCAAGCAGACCTAATACACATCTACAGAACTCTCCACCCCAAACCAACAGAATATACATTCTTTTCAGCACCACACCACACCTATTCCAAAACTGACCACATACTTGGAAGTAAAACACTCCTCAGCAAATGTAAAAGAACACAAATTATAACAAACTGTCTCTCGGACCACAGTGCAATCAAACTTGAACTCAGGATTAAGAAACTCACTCAAAACCACTCAACTACATGGAAACTGAACAACCTGCTCCTGAATGACTACTGGGTACATAACGAAATGAAGACAGAAATAAAGATGTTCTTTGAAACGAACAAGAACAAAGACACAACATATAAAAATCTCTGGGACACATTTAAAGCAGTGTGTAGAGGGAAATTTATAGCACTAAATGCCCACAAGAGAAAGCAGGAAAGATCCAAAATTGACACCCTAACATCACAATTAAAAGAACTAGAGTAGCAGGAGCAAACACATTCAAAAGCTAGCAGAAGGCAAGAAATAACTAAGATCAGAGCAGAACTGAAGGAAATAGAGACAGAAAAAAACCTTCAAAAAATCAATGAATCCAGGAGCTGGTTTTCTGAAAAGATCAACAGGATTGATAGACCACTAGCAAGACTACTAAAGAAGAAAAGAGAGACGAATCAAATAGACGCAATAAAAAATGATAAAGGGGATATCACCACCGATCCCACAGAAATACAAACTACCATCAGAGAATACTATAAACACCTCTATGCAAATAAACTAGAAAATCTAGAAGAAATGGATAAATTCCTCGACGCATACACCCTCCCAAGACTAAACCAGGAAGAAGTTGAATCTCTGAATAGACCAATAACAGGCTCTGAAATTGAGGCAATAATTAATAGCTTACCAACCAAAAAAGTCCAGGACCAGATGGATTCACAGCCGAATTCTACCAGAGGTACAAAGAGGAATTGGTACCATTCCTTCTGAAGGTATTCCAATTAATAGAAAAAGAGAGAATCCTCCCTAACTCATTTTATGAGGCCAGCATCATCCTGATACCAAAGCCTGGCAGAGACACAACCAAAAAAGAGAATTTTAGACCAATATCCCTGATGAACATCGATGAAAAAATCCTCAATAAAATACTGGCAAACTGAATCCAGCAGCACATCAAAAAGCTTATCCACCATGATCAACTGGGCTTCATCCCTGGGATACAGGGCTGGTTCAACATTCGCAAATCAATAAACGTAATCCAGCATAGAAACAGAACCAATGACAAAAACCATATGATTATCTCAATAGATGCAGAAAAGGCCTTTGACAAAATTCAACAATGCTTCATGCTAGAAACTCTCAATAAATTAGGTATTGGTGGGATGTATCTCAAAATAATAAGAGCTATCTATGACCAACCCACAGCCAATATCATACTGAATGGGCAAAAACTGGAAGCATTCCCTTTGAAAACTGGCACAAGACAGGGATGTCCTCACTCTCCACTCCTATTCAACATAGTGTTGGAAGTTCTGGCCAGGGCAATTAGGCAGGAGAAGGAAATAAAGGGTATTCAATTAGGAAAAGAGGAAGTCAAATTGTCCCTGTTTGCAGATGACATGATTGTATACCCAGAAAACCCCATCGTCTCAGCCCAAAATCTCCTTAAGCTGATAGGCAACTTCAGCAAAGTCTCGGGATGCAAAATCAGTGTGCAAAAATCAGAAGCATTCTTATACACCAATAACAGACAAACAGAGAGCCAAATCATGAGTGAACTCCCATTCGCAATTGCTTCAAAGAGAATAAAATACCTGGGAATCCAACTTACGAGGGACGTGAAGGACCTCTTCAAGGAGAACTACAAACCACTGCTCAGTGAAATAAAAGAGGATACAAACAAATGGAAGAACATTTCATGCTCATGGGTAGGAAGAATCAATATCGTGAAAATGGCCATACTGCCCAAGGTAATTTATAGATTCAATGCCATCCCCATCAAGCTACCAATGACTTTCTTCACAGAACTGGAAAAAACTATTTTAAATTTCATATGGAACCAAAAAAAGAGCCCGCATTGCCAAGTCAATCCTAAGCCAAAAGAACAAAGCTGGAGGCATCACACTACCTGACTTCAAACTATACTACAAGGCTACAGTAACCAAAACAGCATGGTACCGATACCAAAACAGAGATATAGACAAATGGAACAGAACAGAGCCCTCAGAAATAATGCCACATATCTAAAACCATGTGATCTTTGACAAACCTGACAAGAACAAGAAATGGGGAAAGGATTCCCTATTTAATAAATGGTGCTGGGAAAACTGGCTAGCCATATGCAGAAAGCTGAAACTGGATCCCTTCCTTACACCTTCTACAAAAATTAATTCAAGATGGCTTAAAGACTTAAATGTTAGACCTAAAACCATAAAAACCCTAGAAGA
This sequence comes from Homo sapiens, assembly GCF_000001405.40. NCBI lineage: Eukaryota > Metazoa > Chordata > Mammalia > Primates > Hominidae > Homo > Homo sapiens. The sequence goes on from NC_000023.11 coordinate 129,245,895, forward strand.
AAACCTAGGCATTACCATTCAGGACATAGGCATGGGCAAGGACTTCATGTCTAAAACACCAAAAGCAATGGCAACAAAAGCCAAAATTGACAAATGGGATCCAATTAAACTAAAGAGCTTCTGCACAGCAAAAGAAACTACCATCAGAGTGAACAGGCAACCTACAGAATGGGAGAAAATTTTTGCAATCTACCCATCTGACAAAGGGCTAATATCCAGAATCTACAATGAACTCAAACAAATTTACAAGAAAAAAATTAACAACCCCATCAAAAAGCGGGCAAAGGATATGAACAGACACTTCTCCAAAAGAAGACATTTATGCAGCCAAAAGACACATGAAAAAATGCTCACCATCACTGGCCATCAGAGAAATGCAAATCAAAACCACAATGAGATACCATCTCACACCAGTTAGAATGGCAATCATTAAAAGGTCAGGAAACAACAGGTGCTGGAGAGGATGTGGAGAAATAGGAACACATTTACACTGTTGGTGGGACTGTAAACTAGTTCAACCATTGTGGAAGTCAGTGTGGCGATTCCTCAGGGATCTAGAACTAGAAATACCATTTGACCCAGCCATCCCATTACTGGGTATATACCCAAAGGATTATAAATCATGCTGCTATAAAGACACATGCACACGTATGTTCATTGCAGCACTATTCACAATAGCAAAGACTTGGAACCAAGCCAAATGTCCAACAGTGGTAGACTGGATCAAGAAAATGTGGCACATAAACACCTTGGAATACTATGCAGCCATAAAAAATGATGAGCTCATGTCCTTTGTAGGGACATGGATGAAGCTGGAAACCATCATTTTCAGCAAACTATTGCAAGGACAAAAAACCAAACACTGCATGTTCTCACTCATAGTTGGGAATTGAATAATGAGAACACATGGACACAGGAAGGGGAACATCACACACCAGGGCCTGTGGTGGGGGGGGAGGGGGGAGGGATAGCATTAAGAGACATACCTAATGTTAAATGATGAGTTAATGGGTGCAGCCCACCAACATGGCACATGTATACATATGTAACTAACCTGCACATTGTGCACATGTACCCTAGAACTTAAAGTATAATTAAAAAAAGACATTATATAAGTCTCTGGGGGTAATTAAAACATTATAAGTTATCTGGGGGTAATACATTTATCCATTATCAATCACTATCATCTAAATATTCATTAGATCATCACATTAATTAAAAATTGTATACAGAGAAATAACATGATGAAAAAGTTTCTGGAAGATTCATTTGACATCTGTGTGGAAAACCAATTAGGACTAGAAAGAAGCCAGAGCCCTGCCCACAAGTTAAGAGGCTGTTTTATAGGAAATTCTATTGCCAAATAAAAGAATAAGTTGCAACTGATACATCTTATAAGTTTTATAAATTTGGAAATGTATGTGTGTGTTTGTGTGTGCCTATGTGTCTCTGTTCATACTAGAAAACAAATCCAATCTGAAGGGCTCTGTTAAGCAATAAACATAAAGCTGTAGATATACAAAGGGAAACCCAGACTTCGTTTTGAAGTTGCTGCTAGAGAGAGCTGAATTACTCTGCATAAGAATATTCATATTTGCATAATACATTTATATTTCTCCTGGGAGGACAGGAGCAAAAGGAAAAGAAAAGGGAAAAAGCCACCAAGAGAGAAAAAGGAAACTGAGCCACATGGTAGGAGACTAGAGCTTGGGTTGCAGAAATGGCTGAAGGACTTTGAATGACAGAGATGGCTACCACTTTATTTGAAGTTGTTTGCATGCCTGTAGTAAAGATCCCTCCATATCCCCTATGCTTCAGTAAAATATGCTGTTTGTTTGAGTCAACATAGTGTAGAAAAGAAATAGCACACACACCATAGTGAGAAGATCTTGAAATAAAACAGACTCAGCAATGTCAAGAGCTCAGAGCTAGAGGTGACATCATTAACATTAGCGCCCTGGAAACTCACAGCTTGAAAAGAGCTTTGGACTGCCCGTAATCTCTAGGATGGAAGTTCGAGCTAATCTTATCTAGATTTTAAGGATGATGAGGGTAATCCTAGTTGACTTCTAGATTACATATGTATAGGATTTTCCTAAAGTGAAATGCAAAAGCAACAGGAGCTAGGAAGTTTTCCAATCCAATTTGGTTGCCATAGGCCCCTGGACTATATTTTTCCTTTTCTTCTTCTTTTCTTTATTTAAAATATTTTTCTGTTTTCCTAGTTTTTCTGTTTTCCCCTCTCACTCAAGGCTGGAAACGGTAAATTGCCAAAAAAAAAAAAAAAAAGGTACAGTAATTCCAATCCCAGCTAGATCACGCCTACAATCTGCAATCTGAGATGTATTAAGAAAGAAAACTGATCAACGTATAAGAATATTGCAAGCCATATGCCAGTGTCAGGCGGCAAAGCTGCAGCTGCGCTATCAATTAGAACATTCTAATACCCAGTTATGAAGACTGACACCTTGGAAGTAATTAAGTACTGGATATTTTTAGGTAATTGCTGTTGCAGGACCACACAACCTGTGCATTTGGGAGACCAAAGGCTTGATAGTGGCTTCTTCCTCGGAGGCTGTACTATCTTAATTGTCCCTAATCACTTCAACACCTATGGTGTTTAGTGATTGCCTCAAGCATAGCAATAGGTCAAACGTGAACCAAGGGGGAACCATTGCCTTATTTTTTTCCTTGCTAAGTATCATGAAAAGCAGCAGGGGCATATTGGAATATCAGACTAAACCACAATGACAGAAATAACCCATTGACATGCCAGATTCCCATTAAGAGTATACACTGCTACAGCTAATTTCCTATGGCCAGTAGGGGATTCTAGGAGGCAATAATCATTCTGTCAAGATGCTAAAATTGTCAAAGATGTCTTTCTAACAGAAAAAAAGAGAGAAAATCTTAGCTAATTATTATTTAGTTAGCATATCAGTAGTGTGTGTCCCCACCATGTCAGTCATCAAGCCCTAAGCCACACATTGTAGGGGCAACAGAAAGGGGCTTAATGCCAATAACAAAGAATTCACAGCAGCACTTTTGCATGGAATCAGGATTGTCAAACTAGAAGCAGCCTTGGGAATCAGCGGCCTGCGTGTTTCTCAGCTTGATCTACACATTGAAATCACCTGGGAGCTTTTAAAAACTGCCTGGGCTTCAACTTCAATTAATCAAATTAAAATCTGGGGGGGAAGGGGTCTCTGGACATTGATGTATTTTATAGCTCCCCAGGCAATTCTGATATGCAGTCAAAGTGGAGAACCACTTATTCATCCAACTCCCTAATGTTACAGGTTAGAGATCTGAGACCCACAGAGAAGAAATGCTTTATCCAAGGTCATACACTGCGTGGCAATTCTAGACCTAGAATTAATCCTCTGGACTCTCAGTGGGTGCTCTTTTTCCCCTAATGAAATGAGGCTTCCAATTCAAGGAACTGAGACTTAGAGAAGGTAAAGAACTTGCTCAAGATCACACACCTTGTGGCAGAACTGAGATTTGAACCCAGGCAGTCTGATTACACAGTCTGTGCATTTAGCTGCTACAGTGTTTACATCCCAAAACAAAGCTTATCAACAGGATCAGGCTTAGTGCCAAATGATATGGAGACCAGCAGTGCTAGAGGAATGCAGAGAAGGAGGAGGCTAAATCTGAGCAGGACCTAGAGATTCAGGCAGGATTTGGAGAAGTTGACTTGCCAGGTTGAGGGGAGTTGTGGCAAGAGTGACGTCAGTGAAGGTGTAAATATGGGAATCCACAAGGTGTTAGAAGGAAGTAAGTGACAACTTTTTAAAAAATTAATTTCAAACTTAAATGTTGCATGAATAGTACAGAGAACTCCTGTATACCCTTTATGCAGGTTCAGCAATTTTTAACATTTTGCCTCATTTGCTTTCTCTCTGCCTCTCTGTCTTCTCTATTACACACACACACACACGTTAATCAGCGTTGTTTGGGGATGCAAATAGCATGGTAGCTAAATGTACTGACTATATATATATTTAAATATATATACACACTCATATATATGTCACATATAGAATTTATTATATATAATTAATTGGCATATATGACATAGAAATTTATATATCATGTTTGATATATTTATATATGATTTATTTTTATGAACCTGTTAAAGGTAGATCACATACATCAATTCCCTTTACCCCTTAATACTTCAGTTTGTATCTCCAAAGGACAAAAATATTATTTTAGATAACCACAATACAGTTATTAAATTCAGGAAATTTAACATTGTTATTTTATCTTATCTACGGTCTATACTCTAATTTTTTCCCAATAATATCAGTTACCGCATTTTTTTAGCATTCTTTTTTTTCCCATATGTTATTGGGGTACAGGTGGTATTTGGTTACATAAGTAAGTTCTTTAGTGGTGATTTGTGAGATTTTGGTGCAGTATACACTGCAGTATACACCAAGCAGTATACACTGCACCCTAATTGTAGCCTTTTATCCCTCACACCCTCCCACTCTTCCCCCCAAGTCCTCAAAGTCCATTGTATCATTCTTATGCCTTTGCAACCTTGTAGCTTAGCTGCCACATATCAGTGAGAACATACAGTGTTTGGTTTTCCATTCCTGAGTTACTTCACTTAGAAGAAGTCTCCAATCTCATCCAGGTCACTGTGAATGCTGTTAATTCATTCCTTTTTATGGCTGAGTAGTATTCCATCGTATATATATACAACAGTTTCTTCATCCACTCGTTGACTGATGGGCATTTGGGTTGGCTCCATGATTTTGCAATTGTGAATTGTGCTGCTATAAACATGCAAGTCCAAGTATCTTTTTTGAATAATGACTTCTTTTCCTCTGGGTAGATACCCAGCAGCGGGATTGCAGGATCAAATAGTAGTCCTACTTTTAGTTCTTTAATGAATCTCCACACTGTTTTCCACAGTGGATATATCAGTTTACATTCCCACCAGCAGGGTAGAAGTGTTCCCTGATCACTGCATCCATGCCAACATCTACTGTTTTTTCATTTTGTTATTATGGCCATTGTTGCAGGAGTAAAGTGATATCACATTGTGGTTTTGATTTGCATTTCCCTGATCATTAGTGATGTTGAGTATTATTTCATATGTTTGTTGGCCATTTGTATATCTTCTTTTGAGAATTGTCTATTCATGTCCTTAACCCACTTTTTGATGGGATTGTTTGTTTGTTTCTTACTGATTTGTTTGAGTTCATTGTAGATTCTGAATATTAGTTCTTTGTCAGATGTATAGATTGTGAAGGTTTTCTCCCACTCTGTGGGTTGTCTGTTTACTCTGCTGACTGTTCCTTTTGCTGTGCAAAAGCTCTTTAGTTTAATTAAGTCCCAACTATTTATCTTTGTTTTTATTGCATTTTCTTTTGGGTTCTTGATCATGAAATCCTTGCCTAAGCCAATGTCTAGAAGGGTTTTTCCAATGTTATATTCTAGAATTTTTATAGTTTCAGGTCTTAAGTCCTTAATCCATCTTGAGTTGATTTTTGTATAAGGTGAGAGATAAGGATCCAGTTTCATTCTTCTACATGCGGCTAGCCAATTATCGCAGCACCATTTGTTGTAAACGGTGTCCTTTCCCCACTTTATGTTTTTGTTTGCTTTGTCGGAGATCAGTTGGCTGTAAGTATTTGGGTTTATTTCTGGGTTCTCTATTCTGTTCCACTGGTCTATGTGCCTATTTTTATAACAGTATGATGCTGTTTCGGTGACTATGGACTTATAGTATAGTTTGAAATCAGGTAGTGTGATGCCTCCAGATTTGTTCTTTTTGCTTAGTCTTGCTTTGGCTATGCGGGCTCTTTTTTTTGTTCCATAAGAATTTTAGAATTGTTTTCCTATTTCTGTGAAGAATGACAGTGGTATTTGATGGGGATTGCATTGAATTTGTAGATTGCTTTTGTCAGTACGGTCATATTCACAATATTGATTCTGCCCAATCCATGAGCATGGGATGTGTTTCCATTTGCTTGTGTCGTCTATGGTTTCTTTCAGGAGTGTTTTGTAGATTTCCTTGTAGAGGTCTTTTGCCTCCTTGGTTAGGTATATTCCTAAGTATTTTATTTTTTGGCATCTATTGTAAAAAGGGTTGAGTTCTTGATTTGATTCTCAGCTTAGTCACTGTTGGTGTATAGGAGAGCTACTGATTTGTGTACATTAATTTTGCATCTGGAAATTTTGCTGAATTCTTTCATCAGTTCTAGAATCTTTTTGGAGGACTCTTTTGGGGTTTTCTAGGTATACAATCATATTATTCAGCAAACAGCAACAGTTTGACTTCCTGTTTACTGATTTGAATGCCTTTATTTCTTTCTCTTGTTTGATTGCTCTGGCTAGGACTTCCAGTACTATGGTGAAGAGGAGTGGTGAGAGTGGGCATCCTTGCCTTGTTCCAGTTCTCAGAGGGAATGCTTTCAAATTTTCCCCATTCAGTATTATGTTGGCTGCAGGTTTGTCATAGATGGCTTTTATTACATTAAGGAATGTCCCTTGTATGCCGATTTTGCTGAGCTTTAATCAGCAAGGGATGCTGGATTTTGTCCAATGCTTTCACTGCATCTATTGAGATGATCATGTGATTTTTGTTTTTAATTCCGTTTATGTGGTGTATCTCATTTATTGACTTGTGTATGTTAAACCATCCCTGCATCCCTGGTATGAAACCCACTTGATCGTGGTGGATTATCTTTTTGATATGTTGTTGGATTCAGTTAGTTAGTATTTTCTTAAGGATTTCAGCATCTATGTTCATCAAGGATATCCATCTATAGTTTTCTTTTCTGGTTATGTCCTTTTCTGGTTTTGGTATTAGGGTGATACTGGCTGTATGGAATGAATTAGGGAGGGTCCCTTCTTTCTCTATCTCGTGGAATAGTGTCAAAAGGATTGGTACCAATTCTTTGAATGTCTGGTAGAATTCTGCTGTTAATCCGTCTGGTCCTGGATTTTTTTGTTGGTAATTTTTTAATTACCAACTCAATCTCGCTGCTTGTTATTGGTCTGTTCGGGGTATCTAATTCTTCACAATTTAAGTTAGGAAGATTGTATTTTTCCAGGAATTTATTCATCTCTTCTAGGTTTTCTAGTTTATGTGCGTAAAGGTGTTCATAGTAGCCTTGAAGGCTCATTTGCATTTCAGTGGTGTCAGCTGCACTATCTCCTGTTTCGTTTCTTACTGAGGTTATTTGGATTTTCTCTCTTCTTTTATTGGTTAATCTTGCTAATGGTCTATCAATTTTATTTATCTTTTCAAAGAACCAGCCTTTGGTTTCATTTATCTTTTGTATTTTTTTTGTTTCAATTTCATTTAGTTCTAATCTGATCTTGGTAATTTCTTTTCTTCTGCTGGGTTTTGGTTTGGTTTGTTCTTGTTTCTCTAGTTCCTTGAGATGTGACCTTAGAATGCCAGTGTGTACTCTGTCAGTCTTTTTGATGTGGGCTTTGGGACTATGAACGTTCCTCTTAGCACCACCTTTGCTGTATCCCCAAGGTTTTGATGGGTTGTGTCATTATTGTCGTTCAGTTCAAATAATTTTTTAATTTTCATCTTAATTTCACTTTTGACCCAATGCTCATTCAGGAGTAGGCTATTTAATTTCCATGTATTTGCATGGTTTTGAAGGGTTTTTTTGGAGTTGATTTCCAGTTTTATTCCACTTTAGTCTGAGAGAGTGCTTGATATAATTTTAATTTTCTTAAATTTATTGAGGCTCATTCCATGGCCTATCTTGGAGAAAGTTTCATGCGCTGTTGTATAGAATGTGTATTTTGTGGTTGTTCGGTGGAATCTTCTGTACATATCTGTTAAGTCCATTTGCTCCAAGGCGTAGTTATATCCATTGTCTCTTTGTTGATTTGCTGTCTTGATGACCTGTCTAGTGCTGTCAGTGGAGTATTGAAGTCCCGCACTATTATTGTCTTGCTGTCTATCTCATTTGTTAGGTCTGTTAGTAATTGTTTTGTAAATTGGGAGCTCCAGTGTTAGGTGCAAGTATGTTTAGGATTGTGATATTTTCCTGTTGGACAAAGCCTTTTACCATTATATAATGTTCCTCTTTGTCTCTTTCAACTGCTGTTGCTTTAAAGTGGTTTTATCTGATACAAGAATAGCTACCCCTGCTCGCTTTTGGTGTCCATTTGCATTAATGCCTTTTTCCATCCCTTTACTTTAAATTTATGCGAGTCCTTATGTGTTAAGTGAGTCTCCTGAAGGCAGTAGATAGTTGGTTAGTGAGTTTTTATCCATTCTGCAGTTCCGTATCTTTTAAGTGGAGCATTTAGGCCATTTACATTCAATGTTAGTATTGAGATATGAGGTACCATTGCATTCATCACGCTATTTGTTGCCTGTGTACCTTGTTTTTTGTTTTTGCTTTTTAACTTGTATTTTTGTTTTATATATCCTGTGTGATTTATGCTTTAAAGAGGTTCTGTTTTGATGTGTTTCCAGGATTTGTTTCAAGATTTAGAGCTCCTTTTAGCAGTTCTTGCAGTGGTGTCTTGGTAGTGGTGAATTCTCTCTGCATTTGTTTATCTGAAAAAGACTGTATCTTTTCTTCAAATACGATGCTTAGTTTCACTGGATACAAAATTCTTGGCCGATAATTGTTTTGTTTGAGGAGGTTGAAGATAGGGCCCCAATCTATTCTATCTGGTAGGGTTTCTGCTAAAAAATCTGCTGTTAATCTGACAGGTTTTCCTTTATAGGTTACCTGATGCTTCTGTCTCACAGCTCTTAAGATTCTTTCCTTCGTCTTAACTTTAGATAACCTGATGACAATGTGCCTAGGCAGTGATCTGTTTGCGATGAATTTCCCAAGTGTTCTTTGTGCTTCTTGTATTTGAATGTCCAGGTCTCTAGCAAGGCTAGGGAAGTTTTTCTTGATTATTTCCCCAAATATGTTTTCCAAACTTTTAGATTTCTCTTCTTCCTCAGGAATGCTGATTATTCTTAGGTTTGGTTGCTTAACATAATTCCAGACTTCTTGGAGGCTTTGTTCATATTTTCTTATTCTTTTTTCTTTGTCTCTGTTGGATTGGCTTAATTCAAATACCTTGTCTTCGAGCTCTGAATCCCTTTATTCTACTTGTCCAATTCTATTGATGAGACTTTCCACAGAATTTTGCATTTCTATAAATGTGTCCATTGTTTCCTGAAGTTTTGATTGTCTTTTATTTATGCTATCTATTTCCTTGAATATCTCTCCCTTCACTTCTTGTATCATTTTTTGGATTTCTTTACATTTGGCTTCACCTTTCTCTGGTGCCTCCCTTATTACCTTAATAATTAATCTCCTGAATTCTTTTTCTGGTAAAACAGGGATTCCTTCTTGCTTTGGGTCCATTGCTGGTGAACTAGTGTAATTTTTGGGGGGTGTTAAAGAGCCTTGTTTTGTCATGTTACCAGAGTTGGTTTTCTGATTTCTTCTCATCTGGGTAGGCTCTGTCAGAGGGAAGGTCTAGGGCTGAAGGCTGTTGTTCAGATTCTTTTGTTCCATGGTGTGTTCCCTCGATGTAGTACTCTCCCCCTTTTCCTATGGCTGTGGCTTCCTGTGAGCCAAGCTGTAGTGATTATTGTCTCTCTTCTGGGTCTAGCCACCCAGCTAGTCTGCCAAGCTCTGGGCTGGTACTGGGGATTGTCTGCACAGAGTCCTGTGATGTGAACTTTCTATGGGTCTCTCAGCCGTGGATACCAGCGCCTGTTCCAGTGGAGGTGGCAGGGGGAGTGAAATGGACTCTGTGAGGGTTCTTAGCTTTGGTGGCTTAATGCTCTATTTTTGTGCTGGTTGGCATCCTGCCGGGAGGGGGCGCTTTCCAGAAAGCATCAGCTGTGGTAGTATGGAGAGGAACTGGCAGTGGGCAGGGCCCTAGAACTCCCAAGATTATATGCCCTTTGTCTTCAGCTGCCAGAGTGGATAGGAAAGGCCCATCAGGTGGGGGGTAGGGCTAGGTATGTCTGAGCTCAGACTCTCTTTGGGCAGGTCTTGCTGCGGATGAGTGTTTGGGTTATCTCCCAGGTCCTACAAGAGCAGTCCCCTTCCTTCAGCGGGTCTGTGGGTCCTCTCAGGATTGATGATTTATTCTTGCAGTTGATCTGGAGCTACAATTCATGATGTGAGCCTCCGCACGCTGCTCTCTACATCCGAGTCAGGGCTGCGATCTAGTCCTGCCTCCCATCTGCCATGATAGTATTGTGTCTCTTCAGTTATCACATTTTGGTTCCTCCAGTACAAAAACCAACCTAGCATCATGCATTACATTTAATTATCATGCCCCTTTAGTTTCCTTTAATCTCAAATGGTTCTACAGCCTTTCTTTGTCTTTCATAACACTGACATCTTTGAAGAGTATAGGCCTGCTATTTTATAGATCATTCCTCAATTTTGGTTTCTTTGATGTCTCCTTATGATTGGATTCAGGCTATGCATTACCAGACAGAAAACTACATTAATGACATGTTCTATTCAGAACACCATATTTAGAGGACACAATATCTACCTGTGACATTGATTTTGATCACCCAGTCAAGACATTGTCCAGTTTTTTCACTATATACTCTCTTTCATTTCATAATTAAAATGCAATCTATGAAGAAACACTGAAACTATGCAAATATCTATTTACTCATCAAATTCTCCCCTGCCATAGTTAGGATTTATTGATGATTCTTGCCTCAAGCCTCTGTACTACGATGGCAGCAAAATGGTGATTTTCAGCTCTACTATTCCTTCCACAGATATCAGTCAGCATGCTACCATAAAAAAGAGACCTTCCTTCTCATTTGTTTATCTATTTATTATTGGTGTACACTTTAATGGTTCCTACACCTGCCTGTGCCATTCACAATAGGGACTAGCTAAAATATTATAACAGACGCCTTCAGAGGTTTCAAACATATGCAAAAAGCTTTAGCTTTTGTAAGAGATAAAGAAAGCATGAGTATCCAGAGGTAAAGGGAAAAAAAGCTAGTAAACCTATAGAAAATCCTGGTGGTGTGTTAAATCAGACATAATGCCCATTAAATGCAGTTATTTGTGGTAATAAACCCAAAATCCAAACAAAACCACTTTGTTGTTTGCTTGAAAGCACTGTACCTATTTACATGTAGCACCTCAATTTTCAACCACTAGCTCAGCAAGGATTGTTCCAGGAACCTAGTTTTGTCAAAAAAAAAATTGAATTTAGCTAAATGCATCATGACAGTTGGATTTCTCACAGCTCCAGAAATAGATATACATTCTTGGGGTGGGTTGGCAGAGAGTGAGGGATTGGACTGCAGGAGGTGGTAATTAATCTGATAAAAATCATTCAAACTGTGAAAAAATTAATCCTGCTGAGATTTCAGGGTGTGCTCACAGTTCAGTTAGGGGTTGTACAAACCACATCAGCCACACTGAGATACTTTAACAATTAAGATCTGATGAGGCCCGGGGGAGACTTTGTTATCTTTAGATTTAAAAATCAGGACTGCAAATCCAAAGAGCACTTTACAGACCAGTAGATTTGGAATTGGGTTTAAACAAGTCACGTGAGGACTATGCACAAAATTTCTTCATTAAAGCATACAGAGAAGGCCACATCTTTTCCCAAGTGTCTTTATTTTTCCTTTTTATTTTACCCCCTTCCTAAAGCTGGTCTCAAATGTGAGTTCCTTTGGTCACAGCCAAGTTTGGGCAGGCCAGGTAAATTTTGGATTGCCTTCTGCTGAATCCCTCTCAAAGAAAGGCTCCAAAGCAAGAATTACCTTACACTTTCTGAAACTGAAAATGTCATTTATGGTTTAAAAAGGCCAATACCAACTTTGACTCATGCTGTCTTACAAAGGAGTTTTGTGCTACCTAAGATGAAAAAAGCTTTCAGGAAGACGTGATCTGTATAAGAAAATGTTGAAATGCTTTGGAAATATCAATAGTTTATGGGCCTAAGAAGACAGTTTTTTAAAAGATCTCATCCCAGAAAATTGAGAACACAGGACTGATATAAACATATAAAAAACAGGGATTTCTTGGCACTTATTTTATCAGACTTTGGTTATATTTTTAAGCTTTTTTGGGAAAGGGACAAATGCTGCTTGTAAGGTAATAATTATAACAGGTTTACATGAAGGGTTCAAGTTTTAAAAACCAAAAGTGAATTTTCTAATTTCAAACCGTATGATGGATCAGTCAATCCATTGAAATGATTCTTTTGCACTAACAAAGCCTGACTTTCTGAGTTCTTCCACGATAAGAACCTTGAACATTTAGTTGGTAACCAAGTAGTGAGTTCATTGCCTTTTGGGGAGAATTTCAGTTTTGGTCCCTGCCAGGTCTAAAACAGAGGAGTACTGGCTGTTGTGCACAAACCACCCACAGGGTGCTTTAAAGAACTCTTGACATGTTGGAGACACAAGATTCAAATTTGCTATTACGCTGCTATAATATTGTTCAATTTCTGAAATGACTTTGTGATCTTTAGAATGATGGGATTTCTCATAGAACTCTTTGGCCTTGAAACATACTTATTCACAACATTTGTCATATGCAGCGACATTCAACTACAGCAGAGTAAATAGGTTTAAAACCGTGAGTTCCGCCTGCTGGAATGCTTTATCATTATGCCTTGGCATCCTCAAATGCAATAAATGTGGAAATTCGGAATTGAAGGGCTTGATTTCTAGTCTCATTGGCCTCTCTCCCTTTGAATTAATGTGCTGCCATTGAGTTCAGCAATAAAGTACCTCATGCTAACAGAGAGAAAATATCAACTTTCTTCCTGTGCATATGTGAATTTGGCAAAAAAGCAGTAAGAAGGCAATATAAAAGTAAAAATGATTTAGCTGTCGTGAATATGAGAAGGTGAATTTAATGCATAACTAACATCCTGCAGAATTTGTGGTTCTGGCATATTGGGGGAGGTAAAACATTAATTGAGTTAAGCTTTGGAAGAAAACCATTTTTCAAATGATAAAAGCAAAGCAGAATTCCGGATACTTTTCTCAATATAATGTTACATTTAAATCACCTTATCATCATCATCATCATTAACAACAAAGAATTGCTGTTTAAAATTTTCTGTTTCTAGTCATGAAAAGCATAGAGAAGGCATCATCTATATTATCCCCATTACTAGCTCGAATGGTCTTGATTGGTTCCTCTCTTCTTCCAGTGTGCTACTCCTGACAGCTGAAGCCATCTGCAGAGTGAGCCACAAGCTCTGAGACCAACTTGTTCCTCATCAAGGAAGGAATTGAAGGAACATTAGTTCCAAGGGTCCAGCTGATGATCTTGCTGGCTCCAACCTTGTTTGACAAAAATGTCTCATCAATCGCAACTTTCGTTTCCCCTTCTTCCTTTAAGTTTCAAAACCACACAACCCAGTTGTCAGTTACCAGGCTTCCACCTCACCAAATAGCTTCTTGTGTCCATGTATGCATATTTCCTGCTTCTAAACTATACAGTGCTATTCTCCTCCACCCTTCCAGGATAATTGTGCCCTTGATGGATATCCCTGAGGCTGGCCATTTATCCGAACTGCTTCGTGCACTAGCTCTTGCTGGACATGGAGTTGAGTCTGTTGCTGAGTTGGGATCATCCCAACATGCTGGCTTCATTTCCAGTTCCTGATCTCTCTTGCCTGGCCCGTCCTGCTGCCTTCTAACATTTCTAACACCATTTCATATATTCACGACTTTGGACATAAGCTGGCTTGCATGACCAACTATTTGCCTTATGTATTCTGGGGAAAAGTCACTTCCTAGTTTTTCTTCCTCTACCACTTATTAAGCAAAATTTCCCTTGTCTTTTTTCCCCAGGCCCTTTTTCTTGCCACCAATCCAAGTTGTGATTTTATTCCCCTGTAAGAATATGAGCTCCATAGGGTCAGAAATCTTGTATTCCCGAAACTTAGCATAGTAGGTACTCAATAACTATTTGTCAAAAAATAATTTGTTTTAAGCAATTTTGGCATATTTATTGATTTCCTCTCTGTCTTATCCACTGAAAAGATCTTTTTACAATTATAAGCCTAGACCAGCACACAGTGCCTGGTATATAATAAGAGCTTAAAGAATGTTGAATGAGTAAAAATAAATTTTTCCAATGAAATACACCTCAGATGGGTAGAAATATGCATTAATATACAAAAGGTTAGAGTAGGTGGCCTAAGAAAGCCTGTATTTCAGGAGAATTACAGGCATGTAAAGTGCATAAAACGTATTTCTAAAATTCCTACAGGTTATCAAAGGCCAGGGCTGGGACAATAGTGTGACAAGCAAGGCACTTCCCTTGGACACAAAATATCAGGGGCAGCAAAAGACTCAGAATTAAGATGACTAGCATTTTAAAACAATATTTTTTAAAATCAAAATTAATGTAAAAATACATAGTGAACAGAATATAAAAAATTTAAATAAAAATAGTAACAATGTAGTGCCTAGCCATATTAGAGCCTGTGGCAAAATAAAAAAATAGGAAAATTGATTATTATCTATAGTGTCTCCTGACTTCTAAAGATGATGGATCCCAAACAAAAGGTAAAACTAGGTTGCGACATGAGAATGTAAATTGTACAAGCCCAGAGAAAAGTAAAATTGCTCTCTATAAGAAAGGGGGCAGACGTGGAATAGAATCTAGGAGAGGGCAGGAGGGCAGAGAAGCTGGAGAGACAGAAATATTAGAGGAAAGAGGAAGGGAAAAAACAGGGGAAAATCAGATAGGAAGAAGACTTTGGGTGAGATATGTCCAATAAGGGAATCAGATTAAATTTCCCTCTGTTATGCACAATGTAACCCAGTCTTCCATTTCCCCATGAAATATTCAGCAAAATGCACATTTCCCTTCAATGCTTTGGGAAGTGGATTTATTTGGGGGGATGAATGACAGAGTTCTGTGTTTTGTCTCAGGAAGGGCAAAGGGCAGGAGCAGAGACTATGCAAGGAGTTTCAAGGAGGATACAGTCTGTTCCTTCTTCATTTAATCAGTCACCAAGTTCTAGCAATGCTACCACTTAAATATTTCTTGATTCTGTCTACTTCCTTATGTCTCTACTGCTACCATCACCTTACCTCCTAACTAATTTAAAAGGTCTCACTTTCCCTGCTCTTCAATTCATGCCCCATGCTGCAGCCAATGAGCTTTCCAAAAATCTCATGTCAATCCCACTGCTCCTGGAATAATCTAAATGCTTCAACATGGCTTCAAAGTCCTTCATGATCTTGCCCCAGTATTATCTTTTACCATACTTCATTACACCCAATGCACCAGATGCATGAGACTTCTTTAAGTTTTTTGAGTGAATGAAAGATGATAAAGTGGGAAAAATTAAGAAGCATAAAGGTAGTACATAAGAAAACAGTTGCAAATTAAAGAGCTAGACATCAAAATTACAATCATTAAAAGAACAGGGGGATAAAGCCAATCAAGTATAAGATCTGCTTCATCACACCCAAACTCTTCCCAAAGAAATTCATTTGGTTTACGGCACAGTTATCCCTCCGTATCTACAGGAAACTGGTTCCAAGTACCCCCACAGATACCCAAATCCAAGGATGCTCAAGTCCCTGATATAAAATGGTGTGATATTTGCATATAACCTGCATACATCCTCCTTTATACTTTAAATCATCTCTATATTACTTATAATATCTAATACAAATTAAATGCTACATAAATAGTTGTTATGCTGTATTGGCTTTTTATCTGTATTATTTTTAATTGTTGTATTGGTTTTGGTTTTTATTGTTTTTTAAAAAAATATTTTTAATCTGTGGTTGGTTTAATCCACAAATGCAGAACCCATGGACATGGAGACTCAACTGTATATCATTATTTTCTTATTTTATTCTGTAGTCCAAGTCACCAATAGTGTGATATTGAAATAGACATTAAGTTTATTGGCTTTGACTGAATTATATACATCCCACATAAAGACAGAACTCTGGTTATTATATCCAGAGCAGAAAAAAAAAATAGCAAATTCTTTAATAAAAATCCTAATTACATTTCTTTTGTAAAATATTCATTTATCTGCTTAAAACAAGATGGATTACTTTCATTAAAGTTATTAATGCCCATTAGTAAAGAATAATGTGTTTGAACTTTCCGTGTTCTTAGATTGACCACAGGGACACACACTTCACCAATGCTGGCATGCTGTCATTTAAAATCAAGGTGCCAAGTCTATCTAAAACTAAAAGGCTATTCTTCTCAATAGAGGTAAAAATTGAGCACAGACATATGGATTTGCTGGTTGTTCTCTTTTCTCCTTGGGCTTTTCTGTTGCTCTTAGATATGGAGAATTACCTAAATTCTAGCGCTGTGCTGTCCAGTATGGTAGCCACTAGCCACTTATGGCTATTTAATTTTAAATTTATTACAATTAAATAAAATTTAAAATTATGTTTCTCCATCACACTAGCCACATTTCAAGTGCTCAATAGCCACATATAGCTAGTGGTCGCTGTACTGGACAGAGCAGATATAGAATATTTCCATAATCACAGAAGGTTCTAATGGACCGAACTGTTCCAGTACATTCCAAAGCCCCCACTCCCAGTACAAGGATTCAAATGGAGCTCTAATATCTCAGCTTCCCCCCTCCTGACATTCTGAAAAGATTTAGATATTGAAATAAATCCCCTATTACACCTCAGCCTCAGTCAAAGTGGAGACTTTGACAGTTTCATTACTGCCTTATCAAGTCACTTCATGATTTTTTAAAAATTATTATTCTAAAAACCCATTTATCCAGACCGGATTTAGTAGCTGTTTGAAGTCTATTCATTTAATAGAAACTGACTTCCAGCACATGATTCCTGGCTTCCTTGCCCCCTAATGTGCTCTATACCTAGCAGCACTCACAGTTATGTCCTTTCCAAGAAAGGTTCCTTCCATCAAGCCACATTTACAGATCCATTTAAACTCATGTTCAGGCATTTGCTTTATGTTTTCACAGTCACAGGAAATTACTTCCTTCACTCAAGTTTCATTTCTTTCTTTCCATTTTATTTTTATCTTCTTCAGGAAAAGACTGTCTACCACGGCAATAAAGTATTTGTGCTCTCTGCAGCCAGACAATTGAAGAAGAAACACTGACAAGCATATTGCTATATCAATAATGCACTGTCCTTCACAGACAAAAGGCACAGCTACTGACCCACCTCTAGTAAAGCGCAGGCCTTGAACTGTGTCGCCAGAGGTGAGAATGTATTTGACTTAATCCATCTGATAATGATCATTTGTGTATTAGCTGCCTGGACTTAGGGTGCCATCTGTGGCCACACTGGGGCTTAATCTGTGACCAGGGCCAGGACTCAGACTTGACTACAGTTAGGAAATGATTTTGTGGCCAGAATCAAGGCTCAACTTAATATCCGATTCTGATGGCTAAAACATACATGAGGATTAGGGATTAGAAGCCCTGTGTTCTAACCACTTAACCTAGGCAAGTTGCAGATAATAAAAGTTTTTGGCAGAAGTTTTTAACTTTTTCCTGTATCCCAAGAATAGTACATTTTGGGGCCATGCATGCTGTCAGTCTCCTACCCCCTACCTATAGAGCAGACATCATTAATCAGCCATGGCCTTCTTTCCTGCTGTGTTCAGATGAGGCTCCAAATGACTTCTCACCACATTGCCCTATGTGGCCACTACTATTCAATCAGAATTGGCCCAAAAGATTAAACCTATTTATCATCTTTGTTACAGAGGTCCGTGAACCAAGCAGCAGATTACTTCTGGAAATAAGACTTATGATTCTGACCATTTTTGAGGTCAGAGGAAGGTAGGGAACAATCAACTTAAGGGTAGGACCCAAGGCAAATCAAAATTTTACAAGCACTCCCCTGACTCAAAGGTGAAGAGTTGGCACAGGTAGCCTGAGGAGAGATGGGGAAAGGCAGGAGTGTTACTGTCAGGCCACTTGCTCTAGTCTTAACTTTACATACTGCTTGAAATAACAAGGTTTTATGTCAATTGGATAGATACATTTGCACTTCTTTCCACCTTTTGCTGCCTGAGTGAGTGAATAATTTTAGTCTCCTTCTTACTTTGAGCAGCATGAGACACCCCCAAAATCAAAGTCCAAAAATATTCAACTTATTTTACCATTTCCTAGAAATGACTGACTTACAGCAGAAACTGAGTCTATCTAGAGTGGAATCATTTTTTTCCAGGTATGCCTTTAATTCTCTGGAGAGCATACTCCTGGGTTGTCTCTTTTCAATTTCAGGACCACACATACTTACTAGATTTACTGTCTTTCCAGAGACGTGGTCCACAACCCTACCAAAAGCTTTAAGTCCACCACACTTGAGAACAGGGTGCTACTCTAGTTCTAAGCACTCGAACTTTTTCCAACCATATCTCCAAAGAATCTCAGTGTTGGAGTGACCCTTAAAATTTGCCTAGTCTAGCCACCCATATATTGCTTGAATCTCCTTTACAGCATCCTCAACAAGTTGTTATTTAGCAACTTTGGGGCAATTCCAGAGCCAGGCTAACCACTATTCCCCAAGGCATTCATTCCACCAACATCTGTGGAGTGCCAGGATGAAGTGCACTAGGCACAGCACAGTTCTCATTTCTATATATTTTTTCCTTACACTGTGCCCCAAACCTCTCCCCTGGTTCCTTCCACCCATTGGCCCTGGTCTGCTTCATGATACCTTACAAAAAGAAGGTATTTTTTTCTTTCTTTTTTATTTCTTCCATATGACAGCCTTTTAAATATCTGAGGACAGTTATGCCCTTCCCTGCATTTTCTGTTCTCCCAGCTAATCAGGCTGTGTTCCTCTGGCTGTTAGCCATAAAGTCTCTTTAACATCCTACTCGTCATTTTCTAAACATGTTTTGCTTTATTAATCTCTCTCTTCAAGTTGCAGAACTGAATGTTTTAAGTTTGGCTTGATCAGAGTTGATTAAGGCAAAGCTTTAATTTTCATTTCTCTAGAAAAAAGTTCCATTGATAGAAATAGAAAAAAAGTCTATTGGTTCATAAGTCTACATTCCCTTTCTTTGGATATCATCTCATACTTTTGACTCATTGGGCTTCCTACCCTCTTTTATTCCTCCTCCTCATTACTGCATCTACTCTATCAGGTCTTCCTTTAAAATATTTCTTGGGTCTATCACTTTCTTCTATTGTAATAATTCTCATCCACAACTTAAGTCCTAATCACCTCTTGCCTATATCATTACAATGATCTCCTAACTGGTCTTTCTGTATCTATTCTTCCTATTTTAGTTCATCCTCTGTCCAACTACCACTTTGTAATGTATCACTCCGATGGTAGTTTAGTATAATCATTCAGGGCCTGGACTGTGGAGCCAGACTATTGGGTTCAAATCTCAGCTCTACTATTTATGAGAATTATTTTACCTAATATCTAAAGCTCTATATAATCTGGCCCCAAACTACTACAAACCAGATAGCTTGCTTTGGATAAGTTACCTCTTTCTTCACCTATAACATGAGGGAGTGGATTAATTTATCTTAAATGCCCCCTTCAAGGCCAGACATTCTATAATTCAACCTTTCTAGTCATTTGCCCCTTCCTATCCAACTGTACTATGTACAGTTGCCTGAAAAAACCTTGTTCTTTCTGGCATCTATGTCTTTGCTCATGCCAAGAGAAATGCCTCTGCCTACCTATCCTTTAAGATATAGCTCAAATGTCATCCTCTCCATGAATCTTTTAATCAGAACAGTTTACTTTCTTTTCTGACATTCCCAGGATGATAACTTTCTTTGGCTCTTGTGATACTGATCATATTCTACCTTATGGACACATGTCTTATATCTTCTGCCAGGCTGTAATACAGGGACAATATTTTTTTTCAGCTACGTGTCCAGCTCGCTGTGTCCAGCACAGTGCCTTTTACATTGTAACATATTATAATACTTATTGAATAAATCCTTACTTACATGTGACAGAAAAGTTTAACCATGTGTTAGGGTATCTTCAACTAATTCACATTTCTTCGACTATATTCTCAAAAAATATTCAAAAATCAGCAAATACCCACTCTGAGCACTAATTGGGCATGCCTTATTCCTCTGGAAATTGCTGAAGTTTTTAAAACAAAAATTTGTTTTAAAATTAAATGATTTGTTCCTTAAAAATTAGTATGTCCAAACAGTTAAAATATAAGAACTATATAACTGTAAAGTCTAGGAACATTTAAAATCTAGGAAATTTAATGAGAGGATTGACTAAATCAAGAATGCCGAGAGAAAACGAGGAAAAGCCACTCCCCTACCTATGAAAAATGGGCAAAAGGGCCTGCTCAAGAAGATGGCCTGGGTGCTCTGTAAAAATCTCATGTGACAAACTTCTTTAGCTATTATGATATCTTTAAATGTCAAAATAGTGAGCTTGACTATCCCTTCCTACACACATAGAGGAAGTGACATGAAGGGCGCAGTCCAAAACTTCCCTTACATAAAGTTTTCTGTCCCACCTGCCAGTTTGTCTTGCATAGACTCTCAGAAATCTCCACCATTATTTGATTTCTTTTGCAGTGACAAAGATTGTATATATTTATCAAGTGCAACTTGATGTTTGGAAACACATATACATTATGAAATGGCTAAATAAAGTAAATTAGTATATGAATTTCCTCACATAGTTATCATTTTTTGTGGTAAGAACCTTAAAATTTATTCCCAGCGATTTTCAAGAATGCAATAGATTGTTATTCACTGTAGTCACCATGTTGTAAAATACGTCTCTTGAACTTTTTCCTCCTATCTAACTGAAACTTTGTATCCTTGACAAATATCTCCCCAACACCCCCACCCCCAGTCCCTGGTAAACACCATTATGCTCTCTGCTTATATGAGGTTAACTTTTTTAGATTCCATGTATGAATGAGAGCATGTGATATTTGTCTTTCTGTGCCCAGATTATTTCACTTAACATGTCCTCCAGTTCCATCCATGTTGTTGCAAATGACAGAATCTCATTTTTTTAATGGCTGAATAGTACTCCATTGTGTATATGTACCACATTTTCCTTATCCATTCATCTGTTCATGAACACTTGGATTGCTTCCAAATCTTGACTATTGTGAATAATGCTGTAATGAACATGGGAGTATAGATATCTCTTCAACATAATGATTTCATTTCCTTTGGATATATACCCAGCAGTGGGATTGCTGGATCGTATGGTAGTTCTATTTGTGTGTGTGTGTGTGGTTTGGCAATTTTATGGGCAGTGGTAAGTAAAAAAAAAAGGGGGGGGAAACATGGAGAAAAAAGTTTTAGGAACCTCCATACCGTGTTCCATAATGGCTGTACTAACTTACATTCTCACCAATGGTGGACAAAGGTCTCCTTTTCCCCACATCCTTAACAGCACTTATAATCTTTTGTATTTTTGATAATAGCCATTCTAACAGGCATGAGGGAATATCTCATTGTGTTTTTAAAATTTTCTTATTTTTATGGGCATATAGTAGATGTATATATTTATGGGATACATGAGATATTTTGATACCAGCAGACATGAGTAATAATCACATCAGGGAAAATGGGGTATCCATCACCTCAAGCATTTATTCTTTCCTTGTTTTGTAAACATTCCAATTACACTCTTAGTTATTTTTAAACATACAATAAATCACAAAAAATGGAAAGATATTCCACATTCATGGATTGGAAGAATCAATGTTGCTAAAATGTCCATACTATCCAAAGCAATCTACAGATTCACTGTAATCTCTATCTCATACCAAGGACATTCTTTATAGAAATAGAAAAAAACAATCAAAATGTATACGGAACCACAAAAGACTCAGGATAGCCAAAATAACAAAAACGGAGGAATCATATTACCTGACTTCAAATTATACTACAGAGCTATAGTAACCAAAACAGCATTATCTTGGCATAAAAACAGATAGATAGACCAATGGAACAGAATAGAGAACCCAGAAATAAATCCATACATCTACCATGAATTCATTTTTGACAAAGGTCCCAAGGACATACATTGGGGAAAGAACAGTCTCTTCAATAAATGGTGCTGGGAAAACTGGATATCCATATGCAGAAGAATGAAACTAGATCGCTATCTCTTGCCATAAACAAAAATCCAATAAAAGTGGATTAAATACATCAACCTGAGATCCCAAACTATGAAACTACTAAAGACAACTTTGATGAAACTCTCCAGGACATTGGTACTACTTTTTAAATTTTTTTTTAGATTATTTGTTGGCATATAGAAATGCTACTGATTTTTGTATGTTGATTTTGTATCCTGCAACTTAACTGAATTTGTTTATCAGTTCTAATCATTTATTGGATGAAGTCTTCAGGTTTTTCCAAATATAAAATTATATCATCTGCAAACAAAGATAATTTGAATTCTTCCTTCCCAGTATGGATACACTTTATTTCTTTCTCTTGTTTGATCACTCTAGCTAGCAATTCTAGTATTATGTTGAATAACAGTGGTGACAGTGGGCACCCTTGTCATGTTCCAGATCTTAGAGGAAAGGCTTTTCAGTTTTTCCCCATTTAGTATCATACTAGCTATGGGTCTGTTGTATATGGCTTTCATTGTGTTGAGGTACATTCCTTCTATACTGTTTTTTGAGGGAATTTATCATGAAGGGATGTTGAGTTTTATCAAATGGTATTTCAGCATCAACTGAAATGATTATATGGTTTTGTCCTTCATTCTGTTGATATGCTGTATCACACTGATTGATTTGCATATGTTAAAACATTCTTTAACCATGGGATAAATCCCACTTGGTCATGATGAATGATCTTTCTAATGTATTGCTGAATTTTGTTTGCTAGTACTTTGCTGAGGATTTTTGCATTGATGTTCATCAAGGATATTGGCCTGTCGTTTTCTTTTGTGATGTGTCTGTCTGGTTTTGGTAGTGGAGTAACACCAGCCTCAGAGAATGAGCTTGGAAGTATTAATTCTTTCTCCATTTTTTGGAATAGTTTGGTATTAGTTCTTCCTTGTTGGGTAAAATTCAGCAGTGAAGCCACTGGGTCCCGGGCTTTTCATTGCTGGGGGGCTTTTTATTATGGCTTCAATCTCATTACTTGTTATTGGCCTATTCCAGTCATGGATTTCTTCATGGTTCAATCTTGGTACGTTACATATGTCTAGGAATTTATTCTTTTCTTCTAGGTTTTCTTTTTTTTTTTTTTTTTTTTTTTTTTTTTGAGACGGAGTCTCGCTCTGTTGCCCAGGCCGGACTGCGGACTGCAGTGGCACAATCTCGGCTCACTGCAAGCTCCGCTTCCCGGGTTCACGCCATTCTCCTGCCTCAGCCTCCTGAGTAGCTGGGACTACAGGCGCCCGCCACCGCGCCCGGCTAATTTTTTGAATTTTTAGTAGAGATGGGGTTTCACCTTGTTAGCCAGGATGGTCTCGATCTCCTGACCTCATGATCCACCCGCCTCGGCCTCCCAAAGTGCTGGGATTACAGGCGTGAGCCACCGCGCCCGGCCTTCTTCTAGGTTTTCAAATTTATTGGCATATGGTTGTTTGTAATAGCCACTAATGATACTTTGAATTTCTGCAGTATCAGTTGTAATGTCTCCTTTTTCATCTCTGATTTTACTTGGGTCTTCTCTTTTTTTTTTCTTAATCTGACTAAAGGTTTGTGTATTTTGTTTGTCTTTGCAAATAACAAACATTTTGTTTCATGGAACTTTTGTAATGTTTTCTTTGTTTCAACTTCATTTACTTCTGCTCCATTTTTTAAATTATTTCCTTTATTCTATTAACTACAAGTTTGTTTGCTCTTGCTTTTTTCTGCTTCTTTAAGATGCATTATTAGATTGTGAATTTGAAGTTTTTCTAATGTTTTGATGTAGGCATTTATAGCTATAAACGTCCCACTTAGTACTGCTTTTGCTATATTACACAGGTTTTGTTATCTTGTGTTTCCATTTTCATTTGTCTCAAGAAATTTTTCAATTTTCTTCATAATTTATTTATTGACCCATTGATCATTCAGGAGCATATGGTTTAATTTATCTGTGTTTTTATCATTTCCAAATTTATTGTTGTTATTCATTTCTAGTTTTATTCAATTGTGGTTAGAGAAGATACTTGATATGTTTTCAATTTTTTTAATTTTTTGAGACTAATTTTGTGGGACAACATGGTGTTTCCTTGAGAATGGTCCATGTGCTGAGGAAAACAATGTGTATCCTGCAGCCATTGGATGAAATATTCTGTAAATATCTATTAAGTCCATTTGGTTTATAGTGTAGATTAACTTCAATGTTTCTTTATGGATTTTCTGTCCAAAAGGTCTGTCCAATGCTAAAAGTGGGGTGTTGAAGTCTCCAGCTATTATTGTATTTGGTCTACCTCTTTAGCTCTAATAATATTTCCTTTATATATCTGGGTGCTCCAGTGTTGGGTGCATATATATTTATAATTGTTATACCTCCTGCTGAAGTGACCCCTTTATCATTGTATAATGACCTTCCTTATTTCTTTTCATAGTTTTTTGTCTTGAATTCTATTTTGTCTCATACAAATATAGCTACTTTTGCTTTTTTACTTTCCATTTGCATGAAATATCTTTTTCCACTCTTTATTTTCAGTCAATGTGTGTCCTTTTCTTTCTTTTTTTTTTTTTTTTTTTTTTTTTTGAGACGGAGTCTCGCTCTGTCACCCAGGCTGGAGTGTGGTGGTGTGATCTTGGCTCACTGCAAGCTCTGCCTCCTGGGTTCATGACATTCTCCTGTCTCAGCCTCCCGAGTAGCTGGGACTACAGGCACCCACCACCATGCCTGGCTAATTTTTTTTTTGTATTTTTAGTAGAGATAGGGTTTCACCATGTTAGCCAGGATGGTCTCAATCTCCTGACCTCATTCATGATCCACCCACCTCGGCCTCCCAAAGTGCTGAGATTACAGGCATGAGCCACCACGCCTGGCCCAATGTGTGTATTTATTGGTGAAGTGTGTTTCTTGTAGGCAACAGATCGCTGGGTCTTGTTTTTAATCCATTCAGCCACACTGTCTTTTGATTGAAGAGTTTAGTCCATTTATATTCAACATTATTATTGATAAGTAAGGACTTACTCCTCCCATTTTGTTATTTTTTGTTTCTTGTAGTCTTCTCTTTTTTCCTTTTTACCTTCCCATTTTCCTTTTTGTGAAGGTGACTTTTTCTGGTGATATGATTTAGTTTCTTGCTTTTTATTTTTTGCGAATCTGTTGGATTTTTTGATGTGAGATTACCATGAGGCTTGCAAATAACATCTTATAGCCTATTGTTTTAAACTGATGACACCTAGCATGTATTGTGAAAGCAAACTAACAAGGAGAAAAGTAATAAAAACTCTATACTTTCAGTCCACCCTCCAATGCTTCTTAACTTTTTGTTGTTTCTCTTTATGTCTTATTATACTCTCTCTGTCTTGAAAAGTTGTATTTATTATTTCTATATGTTAACCATCTATTCTTTCCACTCAAGGCATGAGTAGTTTACACACCACACTTACAACATTATAATAATCTCTGTTTGTATGTGCACTTACTATTATCAGTGAGTTTTGTACCTTTAGATGATTTCCTATTGCTTGTTAATGTCCTCTTATTTCAGACTCAAAAATTCTCTTTAGCATTTCTTGTAGGATAGTTCTGGTGTTGATTAAATCCCTCAGTTTTTGTTTGTGTGGAAATGTCTTTACTTCTCCTTCATGTTTGAAGGATATCATTACTGAATATAGTATTCTAGGATAATTTTTTTCCTTGAGCACTTTAAATATGTCATGCCACTCTTTCTTGGCCTGTAAGTTTTCCACTGAGAAGTCTGCTGTCAGATGTAATGGAGCTCCTTTGTATGTTATTTGTTTCTTTTCTCTTACTGCTTTTAGGATCTTTTATCCTTGATTTGTGGGAGTTTCAGGTAGTCTTCTTTGGGTTAAATCTGCGTGGTGTTCTATAACCCTCTTGTACTTGTATATTGACATCTTTTTCTAGACTTGGGAAGTTCGCTAATATTATCCCTTTGAATAATTTTCTAACTCTATCTCTCTTTCTACCACCTCTTTAAGTCCAATAACCCTTAAATTTGCCTTTTTGAGTCCATTCTGTACATCTTGCAGGCATACTTCTTTCTTTCTTCTTTCTTTCTTTTTCTCCTCTGTGTATTTTCAACTAGTTTGTCTTCAAGCTCACTATTTTTTTCTTCTGCTTGATCAATTCTGCTATTTAAAAACTCTGATGCATCTTCAGTATGTCAATTAAATTTTTCATCTTCAGAATTTCTGCTTGATTATTTCTAATTATTTCAATCTCTTTGTTAAATTTATCTGATAGAATTCTGAACTTCTTCTCTGTGTTATCCTGCATTTTGTTGAGCAAAGCAGCTATTCTGAATTATCTTTCTGAAATGTCACATATCTCTGTCACTGCAGGATTGGTCACTGGTGCCTTATTTTGTTTCTTTGGCAAGGTAATGTTCTCCTGGATGATTGCAATGCTTGTGGATGTTCATCAATGTCTTGGCATTAAAGAGATGGATACTTATTGTAGTCCTTGCAGTCTGGGCTTGTTTGTACCCATTCTTCTTGGGAAGACTTTCCAAGTATTCAAAAGGAATTGAGTGTTATGATCTAAATCTTTGGTCACTGCAGCCATATGTGCATTAGGGAGCACATCAAACCCATTAATGTGGTTACTCTTGCAGACTCAGAGGTACCACCTTGGTGGTCTTGAGTAAGACCTAGAAGAATTCCCTGGATTACCAGGCAGAGACCCTTGCTCCCTTCCCTTACTTTCACTCAAAAAATGGAGCCCCTCATTCCATGCTGAGCTGCCTGTAGCTGGGAGAGAGAGGACTAAATCACCCCTGTGGCCACCACCACTGGGACTGCACTGGGTCAGACTTGAAGCCAGCACAGCCCTGGGTCTTGCCCAAAGCCCAAAGGCTGAAATTTCAGTAAGCTTGTAGTGGATGCTGCCAGACTCAGGTCTCTACATTCAGGGCAGCAGGCCTTCCTCTGGCCCAGGGAAGTTCCAGAAATGGAAGCCAAGTGTCAAAGCCTGGAATCGGGGACCACGAGAGCCTGCTTTGTGCTTTAAGCCCCTGTGGCCAAGCTGGTACCTAAGCTGCAAGACAAAGTCTCTTTTACTCTTCCCTCTCCTTTTCTCAAGTAGAAGGAGTTTCTCATGCCCACCATATCTGGGAATGCACTGGTCACATCTGAAGTGAACAAGGCCCTGGGTTTCACCCAAGGCCTGAAGCCCATGGTAAGTATTTCCTGGGTACCACTGATGTTTACTCAAGGCATAAGGACTGTTTAGTCAGTAAATGATTAATCCTGTCAGGACCAGGTCCTTCTCTTCAAGGAAATGAGTTTCCTTCTGGCCCAGGGTGTATCTAACAATGTCATCCAGGAGCTAGGGCCTGGAATGGGGGCCTAAGGACTCTCCCTGGTGCCCTACTCTACTGTGGCTGAGCTGATATCCAAGTTATAAGACAATATCCTCTTTACTCTTCCCTCTCCTCTCCTCAAGCCAAAAGAGGGATTCCCTCCTAGAGCTGGGAGCTGCACTGCCTGGGATTGGGGGAGTAGTGATGCAAGCATTCCTTTGGCCACCCTGGCAGTTGTCTCATTGTGTCATGTGCACCCCAAATCCACTGGCTCCAAGCCCAGCACAGCACCAGAACTTGATCAAGACTTGCAGTCCTTGTAGCCTAGACTGCCTTTCAAGTTTATTTAGGACCCCAGAGTGCTTTAGGCCTCAGTGGTGGGGCTAGCCAGAACTCAAATTCCAATTGCTGGGATGGGTGATTCCCCTCTGGTAGGGCTGAACTAAATGCTCGCTCCATTGGTACTGGCTGAATTCTTCTCTGTGTTGCTTTCTGCTGTGATAGAGCAACACTGATGTCCAATGTAAAGTCCCACAATCACTGTGCTTTCCCTCTCTCAAGCACAGAGATTCTCTCTCAGTGCCACATAGCCACTGCTGGAGGATCAGGGAAGAGTGGTGTCAGCAGTTCAAGACTGTTTTTCCTACCCTTTTCAGTGCCTCTTTACTTGATGTGATGTTAAAATCAAGTACTGTGCTCACTCACCTGATTTTTTTGTTCTTATGAAAGTGTTTCTTGTGTGGATAGTTGTTCAATTTGGTGTTCCCTCAGGGGAAATGACCATTAGAGGCTTCTGGTTGGCCATCTTGCTCCATCTTCTCCCATGATTGCTTCATTGTAGTTTTAATTTGCATTTATTTCCCAGATTATTAGAATTGTTGAGCATTTTTAAATTTACCCATTTGCTATTTGCATCCTTTCTTTTGAGAAATGTCTGTTCAGGTCCTTTGCCCATTTTTTTTTCTTTGAGACACAGTCTCGCTCTGTCACCCAGGCTGGAGTGCAGTGGCACAATCTTGGCTCACTGCAACCTCTGCCTCCCAGGTTCAAGCGATTCTCCTGCCTCAGCCTCCTGGGTAGCTGGGATTACAGGTGCATGCCACCACGCCCAGATAGTTTTTGTATTTTTAGTAGAGATGGAGTTTCACCATATTGGCCAGGCTGGTCTCAATCTCCTGACCTCATGATCCGCCTGCCTCGGCCTCCCAAAGTACTGGGATTACAGGCATGAGCCACCGTGCCTAGCCATCCTTTGCCCACTTTTAAGTGAGGTTATTTGGTGTTTTTATTGTTGCTGTTGAGTTGAGTTCCTTATGTATTATGGATATTAGTCTCTTATCAGATATATGATTTGCAAATATTTTCTCCCATTCCATTGGTTATCTATCACTCTTGTTTCCTTTGCTGTGCAGAAGCTTTTTGGTTTGTTGTAATCCCATTTGTCTATTTTCACTTTTGTTGCCTGTATTTTGGAGTTCATATCCAAAATATCATCACCCAGATAATGTTATGCACCTTTTTGTTTATGTTTTCTTCTAGCAGTTTAACAATTTCGTGTCTTACATTGAAATCTTTAATCCATTTTTAGTTGATTTTTGTATATGGTGAGAGATAAGGGTATAATTTTACTGTTCTGCATGTGAATATCCAATTTTCCCAGCACCATTTATTGAAGAGACCATCCTTTCCCTATTGTGTATTCCTGGCATCTTTATCAGGAATCAATTGACCATAAATTCATGGATTTATGGAATCCCCACCATTACTTACTTTGTCCTATGATGATACTGAAGGCCCTGGGTTTCTGATTTGATACTGCCAAAGAGGAGGACAGGGGGGAGATTATGGGAGACAGCACAGAAGAAACTACTTAAACCACATTTTTTGTCAAAGGCCAGATATGCTATAGCACTGGGAGTTTGGGGGAAACTCTTATAAGGGCATTGGCATCAATGCCCTTTGCTCTACCCTCTCCTTATAGAGGGAACCCTCCCCTTTATGTGACATGTCTTGGGGATGAAACATCTCAGAGTTTAGGAGATCTTTCTCTCATACTCAGTAGTATCAGAACAAGGCCATAATATGTTTCAGTATTTATCAATTACCTCTCAGTCACTTTTCACTCTTTGAAGCACTTACACATACATTTTTATTTAAGTTTCAAATATTAGATATAATGGGCAGTCACTCTCCTGAGCACTTAACATGAATTACATAATTTAATCCTCATTAAAATTTCATGAGGTAGGCACTATAATCCCCATTATACAAATGTGCACAGCAATACACAAAGAAGTTAACAAATTGCCCAAAGCCAGACAGCTAGTAAATAGTGAAGCTAATGGTCATACTCAAATTTGCTTGACTCTAGAGTCAGTGCTGTTGAACAAGTTATATATATATATATATACGCAAACACATACATATAATTTTATATATATATTAGTGTATTTATACTTTTTAACCTGCTTTTTCACTCAATAAATATTTTAGAATCTTTTGATGTCAGTAAATGTAACTTTACATTACCATTTTAAATGCACTTTACTGTTCCATTATAAGGCTGTACTAAAATTTATTCAATCTCTTATTGATAGAAATTTTTCTTATGCCTATTTTTTTACAATTTAAATGGTATTGTGATGAAAACCTTGTACATACATACATTTTCATGCATGGGTGCACTGTTGACTCAGAATAAATTCTCAGAAGCTCTGTGCCACTTTTGGGATGTGACAAGAGTGACCTGAAAAAGGCCTTTAAGAAAGGCTTCAAGGAAACCTCTTTAGGGACAGAGCTAAACCAATGGCTTCATAAAGCCAAACACAAATTCCCAAAAGCAGATACGTTTAATGGAGAGTACACAGGAAAAGAAAAAAAGCAAAGTAGCAAATATCAAAGAATGAATAAAAGGAAGGTGTAAACAGACAGTCAAGGAGATAAGTGAAAAAGAGTATGCTAAGGCAAAACTAAAGTCAGGACTTACTAACATCTGAGAATGGCTGAGTAAGAGAGAATGTTTGCTAATGGTGTCCTTTGTAGTCAAATTGAACAGATTGACAATACAAAAGAAGAAATTTGGATTATGGTACTCTTTCTAGAATTGTTTTAGGAGCAAAGAAAAAAGAGAGGCCATGGTCTTTTGTTGAGGTACCAATCAAAGGAAAAAGATACAGCTGATAGAGAAGCTGACATGACAGCTCCAGAAGTGAGCATCAAGATGCAGTTGTTGAAGAAGAGAGGTGCTCCCAGCCCTGCTAGCCTCACTGCTGAGTTCAACAGACTCTGGACGACAGCAGCTTCAGCAAAGCTCTGAAGGCTGCTGTTTTCAGTGGCACCTGGAAGAAAAGGGAAATGGTCTTCAAGGGTGACACACTGAATCTAATTGCAGAAGGTGCTGAGGCTGGCAAACTGCATACTCCACAAGGTGCTACAACCAGCAATAAAGGGATAGGCATTACTTAAGTGACAAGTACTAGGATTTCTCTAAAATTCTTTAAATGTCAAAGGCTGTGAAATGTGTCTAGATCAAACTTTGGTATATGATTTTCTTCTCAAAATCTTGCAGAGAAATAAAATGCCAGACATACTGATGAAGCTGAAGAAGGTAACACGTAGCAGTGGGTGGGTAAGGAAAGAAATTGAAGTGATAGAGGAGCAACGAAAGACTACCCTTATATGTGGTCTGCTATGCCTCCTTATGGACACTGATATCATGTTTAGGAGAAGCAAAGTGTAAAAATGAAGAGGAAATGGTTGATATGTGGCCAGTTACACAGTTTTCAGATAAAATCATGCTGGCAGTATGCACAGAAAGCCAGAAAAGCTGGAATAGACAAAGTGAAGAGTTACAATTCCAGAAGCCAACAGGATATATGTTAGTAGCAAAATTCTGTAAGTTGTGAAAATTCTTGACATCTACTTTATAGGGAAATAAGATACAGGAAGAATTTGAGAAATAAAATAAATCTCAGCAGAAATTAAAATAAGTTTGGAGAGTTTGGAAGTTATTAGAACAGAGGGTAAGACTGAGCAAGCAGTTTTAGTCATCCTGATAGGAGCCATTGGGGTAGCTGTCTGGAATAGTAAGTCTAACATTCAGGAAGCTCACGTTTCAGTACCTGGAAGATGACAAGCTGGACTTGATCAGGGTGGAGTCATTAGAAGAGCTAATGTAGTCCAGAAAAAAGAATTAGGTTTATGTATCAGACAGACCTCAGCTTGCATCTCAGCTCCAAAATATATTAGGTATATGGCCTAAGACACATTATCTCATCTCTCTGAGCTTTGTTTCTACATTTATAAAATGAGGGTGATAATGGTATCTACCACAGAACTATTGTGAGGAACTGATGAAATAATATATGAGTTTCTGGAATACAAAAAGTGCTCAATAAATATAGAGCTATCAGAAAAAAATAATCAGTGAGAAAATAAGTGTTTACTTTTCCATTCCCGAGTCACTTCACTTAGAATAATAGTCTCCAATCTCATCCAGGTCACTGCAAATGCTGTTAATTCATTGTTTTATGGCTGCATAGTACTCCATTGCATATATACCACAGTTTCTTTATCCACTCTTTGATTGATGGGCATTTGGATTGGTTCCAAGATTTTGCAATTGTGAATTGTGCTGCTATAAACAAGCATGTGCAAGTGTCTTTTTCGAATAATGACTTCTTTTCCACTGGGTAGATATCCAGTAGTGAGATTGCTGGATCAAATGTTAGTTCTACCTTTAGCTCTACAAGGAATCTCTACACTGTTTTCTAAAGCGGCCATACTAGCTTACATTCCCACCAGCAGTGTAGAAGTGTTCCCTGTTCACCACATCCACACCAACATTTACTGATTATTTATTTTTTTATTATGACCATTGTTGCAGGAGTGAGGCGGTATCACACTGTGGTTTTGATTTGCATTTCCCTGATAATTAGTGATGTTGAGCATTTTTTCATATGTTTGTTGGCCATTTGTATATCTTCTTTTAAGAATTGTCTATTCTTGTCCTTAGCCCACTTTTTGATGGGATCGTTTTTTTCTTACTGATTTGTTTGAGTTAATTGTAGATTCTGGATATTAGTCCTTTGGCAAATGTATAGATTGTGCAGATATTCTCCCACTCTGTGGATTGTCTGTTTACTCTTCTGACTGTTCCTTTTGCCATGCAAAAGCTCTTTAGTTTAATTAGGTCCCAGCAATTTATCTTTGTTTTTAACGCATTTGCTTTTGGGTTATTGGTCATGAAATCCTTGCCTAAGCCAATGTCTAGAAGGGTTTTTCCAATGTTATTTTCTAGAAGTTTTATAGTTTCAGGTTTTAAATTTAAGTCCTTAATCCATCTTGAGTTGATTTTTGTATAAGATTAGAGA
Organism: Homo sapiens; assembly: GCF_000001405.40. Classification (NCBI taxonomy): domain Eukaryota; kingdom Metazoa; phylum Chordata; class Mammalia; order Primates; family Hominidae; genus Homo; species Homo sapiens. The sequence goes on from NC_000023.11 coordinate 129,278,640, forward strand.
TGAGGACCCAGTTTCATTCTCCTACAAGCGGCTAGCCAATTATCCTAGCATGATTTGTTGAAAAGGGTGTCCTTTCCCCACTTTATGTTTTTGTTTGCTTTGTTGAAGATCAGCTGGCTGTGAGTATTTGGGTTTATTTCTGGGTTCTCTATTCTGATCTGTTGGTCTGTGTGCTTATTTTTGTACCAGTACCACACTGTTTTGGTGACTATGGCCTTATAGTATAGTTTGCAATCAGGTAGTGTGATGCCTCCAGATTTGTTCTTTTTGCTTAGCCTTGTTTTGGCTATGTGGGCTCTTTTATTGTTCCATATAAATTTTAGAATTGTTTTCTCTAATTCTGTGAACAATGATGGTGGTATTTTGATAGGGATTGCATTGAATTTGTAGACTGCTTTTGGCAGTATGAACATTTTCACAATATTGATTCTACCCATCCATGAGCATGGGATGTGTTTCCATTTGTTTCTGTTTTCTATGATTTCCTTCAGCAGTGTTTTAATTTTCCTTGTACAGGTCTTTTGACTTTTTGTTTATGTATATTCCTAAGTATTTTAATTTTTGCAGCTATTGTAAAAAGGGTTGATTTATTGATTTGATTTTCTGCTTGGTTGTTATTGGTATATAGAAGAGCTACTGATTTGTGTACATTAATCTTGTATCCGGAGACTTTGCTGAACTCTCTTATCAGTTCTAGGAACTTTCTGGAGGAGTCCTTAGGGTTTTCAAGGTAAACTACCATATTGTCAGAAAACAGTGACAGTTTGACTTCCTCTTTACTGATTTGGATTCCCTTTATTTCTTTCTCTTGTCTGATTGCTCTGGCTAGGACTTCCAATACAATGTTGAAGAGAAGTGGTGTGAGTGGGCATCCTTGTGTTTTTCCAGTTCTCAGAGGGAATGCTTTCAACTTTTCCTCATTCAGTATCATGTTGGCTGTGGGTTTGTTATAGATGGCTTTTATTACATTAAGCAATGCTCCTTGTATGCCGATTTTGCTGAGAGTTTTAATCAGCAAGCGATGCTGGATTTTGTCGAATGCTTTTTCTGAATCTATTGAAATGATCATGTGATTTTGGTTTTTAATTCTACTTATGTGGTGTATCACATGTATTGACTTGCATATCCTAAACCATCCCTGCATCCTTGGTATGAAACCCACTTGAACATGGTGGATTATCTTTTTGATATGTTGTTGGATTCAGTTAGCTAAGTATTTTGTTAAGGATTTTAGCATCTATGTTCATCAAAGATATCGGTCTATAGTTTTCTTTTTTGGTTATGTCCTTTCCTGGTTTTGTTATTAAGGTGATGGTGGCTTCACAGAATGAATTAGGGAGGGTTCCTTCTTTCTCTATCTTGTGGAATTGTGTCAAAAGGATTGGTAACAATTCTTCTTAGAATGTCTCGTAGAATTCTGCTGTGAATCCATCTGCTCCTGAACTTTTTCTTTGTTGGTAATTTTTATTTATTTATTTTTTATTATTATTATACTATAAGTTTTAGGGTACATGTGCACATTGTGCAGGTTTGTTACATATGCATACATGTGCCATGTTGGTGTGCTGCACCCATTAACTCGTCATTTAGCATTAGGTATATCTCCTAATGCTATCCCTCCCCCCTCCCCCCACCCCACAACAGTCCCCAGTGTGTGACGTTCCCCTTCCTGTGTCCATGTATTCTCATTGTTCAATTCCCACTTATGAGTGAGAACATGCGGTGTTCGGTTTTTTGTCCTTGCGATAGTTTGCTGAGAATGATGGTTTCCAGCTTCATCCATGTCCCTACAAATGACATGAACTCATCCTTTTTATGGCTGCATAGTATTCCATGGTGTATGTGTGCCACATTTTCTTAATCCAGTCTATCATTGTTGGACATTTGGGTTGGTTCCAAGTCTTTGCTATTGTGAATAGTGCCGCAATAAACATACATGTGCATGTGTCTTTATAGCAGCGTGATTTATAATCCTTTGGGTATATACCCAGTAATGGGATGGCTGGGTCAAATGGTATTTCTAGTTCTAGATCCCTGAGGAATCGCCACACCGACTTCCACAATGGTTGAACTAGTTTACAGTCCCACCAACAGTGTAAAAGTGTTCCTATTTCTCCACATCCTCTCCAGCACCTGTTGTTTCCTGACTTTTTCATGATTGCCATTCTAACTGGTGTGAGATGGTATCTCATTGTGGTTTTGATTTGCATTTCTCTGATGGCCAGTGATGATGAGCATTTTTTCATGTGTCTTTTGGCTGCATAAATGTCTTCTTTTGAGAAGTGTCTATTCATATTCTTCGCCCAGTTTTTGGTAATTTTTAAATTACCACTTCAATCTCACTGCTTGTTATCGGTCTGTTCAGGGTATCAAATTCTTCCTGATGTAAGCCACGAGGGTTGTATTTTTCCAGGAACTTATCCATCTCTTCTAGGTTTTCTAGTTTAAGTGTGAAAAGGTGTTCATAGTAGCCTTGATGATAGTTTGCGTTTCAGTGTGTCAATTGTAGTATCTCCTGTTTCATTTCTTAGTGAAGTTATTTGGATTTTCTCTCTTCTTTTCTTGGTTAATCTTGCCAATGATCTATCAATTTCATCTGTTCAAAGAACCAGCTTTTTTTTATCATTTATCTTTTGTATTGTGTGTGTGTGTGTGTGTGTGTGTGTGTGTGTGTGTGTGTTTCAATTTCATTTAGTTCTGCTCTGATCTTGGTTATTTCCTTTCTTCTGCTGGGTTTCAGTTTGGTTTGTCCTTGTTTCTCTAGTTCCTTGAGATGTGACCTTAGAGTGTCAGTTTGTACTCTTTCAGTCTTTTTGATGTAGGCATTCAGGGCCATGAACTTTCATCTTAGGGCTATGAACTTTTCCCCTTAGGGCTATGAACTTTCCTCTGGGATACCTTTGCTGTATCCCAGAGGTTTTGATAGATTGTGTCATTATTGTCATTCAGTTCAAACAATTTTTAAATTTGCATGTTGATTCCATTTTTAACCCCAATATTCATTCAGGAGCAGATTATTTAATTTCCATGTATTTGCATGGTTTTGAAGGTGACTTTTTGAGTTGATTTCCAGTTTTATTCCACTGTGGTCTGACAGAGTGCTTTATATAATTTCAATTTTCTTAAATGTATTGATGCTCGTTTTGTGGCCTATCTTGGAGAAAGTTCCATGCACTGTTGGGTAGAATGTGTATTCTGTGGTTGTTGGATGAAATGTTCTGTATGTATCTGTTAAGCCCATTTGTTCCAAGGTATAGTTTAAATCCATTGTTTCTTTGTTGACTTTCTGTCTTGATGACCTGACTAGTGCTGTCAGTGGAGTATTGAAGTCCCCCACTATTATTGTGTTGCTGCCTATCTCATTTCTTAGGTCTATTAGTAATTGTTTTATAAATTTGGGAGCTCCAGTGTTAGGTGCATATATGTTTAGGATTGTGATATTTACCTGTCAGACAAGGCCTTTTACCATTATATAATGTCCCTCTTTGTCTCTTTTAACTGCTGTTGCTTTAAAGTTTGTTTTATCTGATGTAAGAATAACTATCCCTGCTCACTTTTGCTCTCCATTTTCATGATATGTTTTTTCCACACCTTTACTTGAAGTTTATGTGCATCCTTATGTGTTAGGTGAGTATCCTGGAGGCAGCAGATGGTTGTTTGGTGAGTTCTTATCCATTCTGCGGTTCTATATCTTTTAAGTGGAGCATTTAGGCCATTTACATTCAATGTTAGTATTGAAATGTGAGGTATCATTGCATTCATCATGCTCTTTGTTGCCTGTGTACTTTGGTCTTATTGTTTTTGCTTTTTAACTTGTATTTTTGTTTTATAGGTCCTGTGCAATTTATGTTATAAAGAGGTTCTGTTTTGATGTGTCTCCAGGATTTGTTTCAAGATTTGGAGCCCATTTTAGCAGTTCTTGTAGTGGTGGCTTGGTAGTGGTGAATTCTCTCAGCATTTGTTTGTCTGAAAAAGAATGTTCTTCCTTCATATATTATGCTTAGTTTCACTGGATACAAAATTCTTGGCTGATAATTGTTTCGTTTGAGGAGGCTGAAGATAGGGCCCCAATCCCTTCTAGCTTGTAGGGTTTCTGTTGAGAAATCTGCTGTTAACCTGATAGGTTTTCCTTTATAGGTTACCTGGTGCTTCTGTCTCACAGCTCTTAAGATTCTTTCCTTTGTCTTAACTTTGGATAACCTGACAATGTGCCTAGGCAAAGATCCTTTTGCAATGAATATCCCAGGTGTTCTTTGTGCTTCTTGTATTTGGATATCTAGGTCTCTAGCAAGGCTGGGGAAGTTTTCCTGGATTTTTCCTCCAAATATGTTTTTCAAGCTTTTAGAATTGTCTTCTTCCTCAGGAACACCAATTATTCTTGTTTGGTCATTTAACATAATTCCACACTTCCTGGAGACTTTCTTCATTTTTTTTTTTTTTTTTTTTTGAGATGGAGTCTCACTCTGTCACCCAGGCTGGAGTGCAGTGGCACAATCTCGGCTCACTGCAACCTCTGCCTCCCGAGTTCAAGCAATTCTCCTGCCTCAGCCTCCTGAGTAGCTGGGACTACAGGCGTGTGCCACCACACCTGGCTAATAATTTTTTTGTATTTTTAGTAGAGACAGGGTTTCACCTTGTTAGCCAGGATGGTCTCAATCTCCTGACCTCACAATCTGCCTGCCTCAGCCTCCCAAAGTGCTGGGATTAGAGGCGTTAGCCACCACGCCCAGCCTGTTTATATTTTCTTATTCTTTTTCCTTTGTCTTTGTTGGACTGGGTTAATTCAAAGACCTTGTCTTCTAGCTCTGAATTTCTTTCTTCTACTTGTTCAATTCTATTGCTGAGACTTTCCATAGCATTTCACATTTCTAAAAGTGTGTCGAAAAAATTCCTGAATTTGTTATTTTTTTTTTCTTTAAGCTATAAGCTATCTGTTTCCTGGAATATTTCTGCCTTCACTTCCTATATCATTTTTTGGATTTTCTTGCATTGGGCTTTGCCTTTCTCTGACCCCTCCCTGATTAGCTTAATAATTAACCTCCTGAATTCTTTTTCAGGTAAATCAGGGATTTCTTCTTGGTTTGGATCCATTGCTGGTGAACTGGTGTGAATTTTTGGGGGTGTTGAAGAGCGTTGTTTTGTCACATTATCAGGGTTGGTTTTCTAGTTCCTTCTCATTTGGGTAGGCTCTGTCAGAGGGAACATCTAGGGCTGAAGGCTGTTGTTCAGATTCTTTTGTCCCATGTGGTGTTCCCTTGATGTTGCACTCTCCCCCTTTTCCTATGGATGTGGCTTCCTTTGACCTGAACTGCAGTGATTTTTGTCTCTCTCTGCATCTAGCCACCCAGCCAGTCTACCCAGCTCTTGGCTGGTACTAAGGATTGTCTGCACAGAGTCCTTTAACATGAACCATCTATGGGTCTTTCAGCCGTGCATACCAGTGCCTGTTCTGGTGGAGGTGGCCGGTGGGGGTTGGGGGGAAGTGCGGGGGAGGGGGAGTGAAATGGACTCCCTGAGGGCTCTTAGCTTTGGCAGTTTAATGCTCTATTTTTGTGCTGGTTGGACTCCTGCTACAAGATGGTGCTTTCCAGAGAGCATCAGCTATGGTAGAATGGGAAGGAACTGGCGGTGTGTGGGCCCTAGAATTCCCAAGATTATATGCCCTTTATCTTCTACCACCAGGGTGGGTAGAGAAGGACCATCACGTAGGGGCAGGGCTAGGCAGGTTTGAGCCCAGACTCTCCTTGTACGGGTCTTGCTGTGGCTGCTGTGGGTGATGGGGGTGAGATTCCCAGGTCACTGGATTTGTGTACCTAGGAGGATTATGGCTGCCTCTTCTGAATCATGCAGATTGTTGCAGAAGTAGGGGGAAACCAGCAGTCACAGACCTCACCCAGCTCCCATGCAAACCAAAAGGCCGGCCTCACTCCCACTGTGCCCCCCCACCCCCAACCAACAGCTCCCTGTCCGTTTCCAGGCAGAGAGAAATATGGGTTTGAAAACCTGCCTCAGGCTACCCACCTCCCAGCTGCAAAAGAAAAGGGCTTGTTTCTTCTCCCCATGTGGATTCTGCACACCAGATTTGCACCCTCCCCTGAGCTCTGGCCAGGAAGCTTCTCACCTGGTTCAAATTGTGACAAAGTTCAGCTAGAGATTTGCTTCTCCCTGTGTAGTTTTAACCCCTGCTCCTCTCCTGTTGGGTCCCTGTGGTGCCAGGGAGGGATGGCCTGCTAGGGGACCCAGCGAGCTCCCAGGGCCTTTCTGCTGCTCCCTCTAACCCTGTATTTTGCTCAGCTCTCTAAATTGACTCAGCTCCAGGTAAAGTCGGAAACTTTTCCCACAAACAGACCTTTAGCTTCTCCAGTGAGCGTTATTCAGAAGAGGAGGGTCTCCCTTTCCCACTTCTGCAGTTGGGGCACTCACAGTTTTGGGGGGGAGGTCTCCCAGGTCCTGCAGGAACAGTCTGCTTCCTCTATTTTACCTTTTATTTAAAAATTCCTTCCATAGGTAGATAGTTTATTTGAAAAACAATGGTCAATATGAGAACATTGCAGATTCTGGAAGCCATAGATAGAGGTTCCTAATAGAAGTACCTTTGGTTATGAGTCTGTTTTTTATGGTCTTTCAAGTTCAATCCCTCACATGCACATCCCACAGTAGCCAAACTTAACCTGTCTCCTAAACATAATAAGAAGGACAAATGAAAGAAATTAAGACAAAGAAAAAGATACTCTAGACTATTGTTAGTCAATGTGTTTCTTGTCTGGAAGCTTGTTAATAAATGCAGAATCTCAGATCCCACCTAGAACAACTGAATCAGAACCTTCACTTTAACAAGATTTGCTGGTGATCTTTGTGCACATTAAAGTTTGAGAAGTACTATTCTATAAATACATTAGAATAAAAAAATGGGATGCAGCCATAAAAAAGAATGAGTTCATGTCCTTTGCAGGGATATGGACGAAGCTGGAAACCGTCATTCTCAGCAAACTAATACAAGAACAGAAAACCAAACACCGTATGTTCTCACTCATAAGTGGGAGTTGAATAATGAGAACACATGGACACAGGGAGGGGAACATCACACATTGGGGCCTGTCAGGAGGTGGGGGGCAAGGGGAGGGAGAGCATTAGGACAAATACATAATGCATGCAGGGCTTAAAACCTAGATGATGGGGTGGGGCCCGGTGTGGTGGCTCACGCCTGTAATCCTACCACTTTGGGAGGCCGAGGCAGGTGGATCACGAGGTCAAGAGATCGAGACCATCCTGGCCAACATGGTGAAACCCCATCTCTATTAAAAATACAAAAATTAGCTGGGCGTGGTGGCACGCACCTGTAGTCCCAGCTACTCGGGAAGCTGAGGCAGGAGAATCACTTGAACCCAGGAGGCGGAAGTTGCAGTGAGCCAAGATGGTGCCACTGCACTCCAGCCTGGCAACAGAGTGAGACTCCATCAAAAAAAAAAAAAAAAGAAACCCTAGATGATGAGTTGATAGGGTGCAACAAACCATCATGGCACATGTATACCTATGTAACAAACCTCCACGTTCTGCACATGTATCCCAGAACTTAAAGTAAAATGTTTTTAAAAATGGGAATAGATAGAGAATTTTTAAGTATACTTATTTCCTCATCAGAATTGAAGGACTCAATAATGGTAATTAGAACAGAAGAGACATCAGCTGATAAATGAATTCAAGAAACTTTTTTAGAAGTCAGAAAGTAGGTGAAGAAATAGTCACTGATTTGACAAAGTGAAGAAGCTCAAGACCTAAAGTGTGAACAAAGGGAGATTATAATTAAAAGATGCCTGAAAAGCAAAACCAGTCCACAGAACCGAGGAGAGGCTCAGAACCTGGAAGCACCATTTTTTGCAGAGAGTAGGGATGGAGTTATGAGGTAAAAAAAATGGGGGATTGATTAAATATTTTTATAAGAAATAATCAGATTTAATTACCATACACACAGATACTACTCCTCATACTCACAGAACATTATCAGCCAGAAACTACCTCATAAGCCAGAAGCCACTGGGTATTTATTGGCTGGAGAAACTAAACTGGGAGTCTTCAAAATCAGCAACAGCAAGCAAGATGTCAGGTGAAGGTGAATTGCAAAGCTGAACATAAGACGATCTATTGAAATTCTGCATATGGAACAGTCAGACACCCATGCACACCTCTCCTCTACACCATGGGCAGAAAGCCTTATGATTAGATTACTATCCCAGGGCAAAAAAATGAAATAGCCTTTTCTGGAAAAAATTAGCTTGAAAAAAAAAAAGCCTCCACATGGTGACATTTTGGGTCCCCAGTGAACCATCAAACACTCGATAGTGAACCTCTTCTCCAGGCTGCATACCATGTGCATGCCCAGAAAGCTCTCAATCTCAGCATTTTATGCATCAAATATACATATGAACACCTAACCTATAATGACCAGATCACTAAGGAAAGCTCTCAATATAGGAGAAAAAGAAACTAAAGAGAAAGAAGAAAACAATTCAGGGAGTGGGAAAAAAAGTGGCAAGATATAAGAAAGCATTGCATCCATAAAATAGATATTAAATGTTATTTTTAAAAGCAGGAAAAAGTAAAAAAACAAAAACTTGGAAATTAGAACTTAATGAAATGTAATATAACTCATTTTATTATATAAAATTAAAATAATAAATATAACTTAAAAATATTAAATAGAAAGTGAGAAAATAAAGCAAAAGAAAATTCTCAAAAAGTAGAATAATAATGATAAGCAGTGACAAAACAGAAAAAAGAATATTAGTCAAATAGAATCCATCCAGGAGGTCTAATAACCAATTAATTAATGATAGCTTCTGAAATAGAAGAAAAAGTGGAGAGAAAATTATCAATAAATACAATAAGAGAATTACCCAGATTTGAATGACATGAGTCTAACAAGAGTCTACAGATTAACAGTGCTCACAAAGGGTCCAACATAATGAATGATAAAAGGCCCTATACCAAGGCACAGCACTGAACTATCAGAACATCTTTTTAAAAAGAGGGAAGATTCCAAAAGCTTCCACAAAGGAAGAGGAGGGGTATTACACTAAAAAAAAAAAAAAGCATCAAAATGACATGGGGCTTTTTTCTTCCAAACATTGTGTTTTGAAAATTTTAAACTCACACAATAGTGGAAAGACTAGCAAAAGGAATATCAATATATCTATCATCCACCTAGATACACCAATTGCTAGCATTCTGCTACATTTGCTTAATTTCAATAGATACGTAGGTAGGTATATTATGCCACTGTTGCATTGCTATAAAAAAATACCTAAGTCTGGGCAATTCATAAAGAAAAGAGGTTTAATTGGCTCATGGTCCTGGAGGCTGTATGGGAAGCATGGCGCTGGCATCTGCTTGGCTTCTGGGAAGGCCCCAAGGAGCTTTTACTCATGGCAGAAGGCAAAGTGGGAGCAGGTATTTCACACGGTGAAAGCAGGAACAAGAGAGCAAAAGTGTGGGGGTAGGGGTTGGGGGTTAGATGCCAGACGCAAACAATGAGATCTCATGAAAACTCACTAACTATTGCAAAAGCAGCACCGAGCCATGAGGAATTAAATCCCATGACCCAAACACCTACCACCATGCCCCACCTCCAACATTGGATATTACAATTTAACATGAGATTTGAGTGGAGACATATATTCAAACTCTATCAGTAGGTGTGTGGATATAAGCTATTCTTATAATAAGCAGGAAGACTAAAAGATGAACAAATCAAAAATAATAACTCCAAATTTCAAGACAGATTCAGTATAATAAAACATAAAGAGAGACAACAGAAAGTTTAAAAGCAGGGAAAGAAATTAAGATCTAGAGTTTTTATTAGTCTTCTTTTGCTTGTTTGTTTTTTATGCAAACAGTGCTAAGTTGTTATCAGCTTACCATAATGAGTTACAAAATAATACTTAGAATATCATGGTAACCTAACATCAAAACACACACAACAAATGCAAAAAAAAAAAAAGCAACAAATGAATTCATACCACCAGAGAAAATCACCTTCACCAAAAGAAAGACAGGAAGATAGGAAAGAAGGAAGTAACAAAAACATCCAGGAAACAAATAATAAAATGGAAGGAGTAAGTCTTTACTTATCAATAATAACACTGAATGTAAATGGACTAAACTCTCCAATCAAAAGACATACAGTAGCTGAATAGATGAAAATCCAGGACCCATTGATCTCTTGCCTACAAGAAACACACTTCACTTATAAAGAAACACATATACTGAAAATAAAGAGATAGAAAAGAATATTCCATGTCAATGGAAACCAAAAAAATAGCGGGAGTAGCAATACTTACATCAGACAAAATAGGTTTCAAGATAAAAACTATATGAAGAGACAAAGAAAGTTATTACACATGACAAAAGGGTCAATTCAGCAAGAAGATATAGCAATTGTAAATAATACGCACTCAACACTGGGGCACCCAGATATGAAAAGTAAATATTATTAGAGCTAAAGAGAGAGAAAGACCCCAATATAATAATAGCTGGAGACATCAACACCCCATTTTCAGGATTGACCACAACTTCCAGACAGAAAATCCACAAAGAAACATCAGGCTTAATCTGTACTATTGATTAAATGGACCTAATAGATATGTAAAGAACATCTTATCCAATAGCTGCAGAAGACACATTGTTTTCCTCAGCACATGGATCATTTTCAAGGAACAAGTCTTAAAACATTTAAAAAATTGAAATATTGTCAGGTGTCTTCTCTGACCAAAACAGAATAAAACTAGAAATCAATGACAGGAGTAATTTTGAAAACACAAATACATAGAAATTAAACAATATGCTCCTGAATGACCACTGGATCAATGAAGAAATTATGAAGAAAATTTAAAAATTTCTTTAAACAAATGATAATGGAAACACAACATACCAAAACCTATTGCATACAACAAAAGCAGTGCTAAGAGAAAAGTTTGTAGCTATAAGTGCCTACATTGAAAGAGACAAAAAACTCTAAATAAGCAACCTAACAATGCATCTTAAAGAAATAGAAAAGTGAGAACAAACTAAGCCCAAAATAGTAGGAGGAAAGAAATAATAAACATAAGAGTAGAAATAAATGCAATCGAATGAAGAAAACAATACAAAATATCAATGAAACAAAAAGTTGGTTTTCTGAAAAGTTACACAAAATAAACAAACTTTTAGTCAGATTAAGAAAAAAAAGAGAGAAGATCCAAATAAATAAAATTAAAGATGAAAAAAAGAGGAATTACAACTGATATTGCAGAAATTCAAAGGATCATTAGTGGCTAGTATAAACAACTATATGCCAATAAATTGGAAAATTTAGAGGAAATGGACAAATTGCTAGACACATACAACCTACCAATATTGAATCAGGAAGAAATCCAAAACCTGACCAGACGAATACCAAGTAACAAGATTGAAGTCATAATAAAAATTCTCCCAGTAAAGAAAAGCTCAGGACACCATAGCTTCACTGCTGAATTCTACCAAACATTTAAAGAAGAACTAATAACAATCCTACACAAACTGTGCAGAGACACACGTAGGCTCAAAATAACGGGATGGAGGAAGATCTACCAAGCAAATGGAAAACAAAAAAAAGGAGGGGTTGCAATCCTAGTCTCTGATAAAACAGACTTTAAACCAACAAAGATCAAAAGAGACAAAGAAGACCATTACATAATGGTAAAGGGATCAATTCAACAAGAAGAGCTAACTATCCTAAATATATATGCACTCAATACAGGAGCACACAGATTCATAAAGCAAGTCTTCAAAGACCTACAAAGAGACTTAGACTCCCACACAATAATAATGGGAGACTTTAACACCCCACTGTCAACATTAGACAGATCAACAAGACAGAAAGTTAAAAAGGATATCAAGGAATTGAACTCAGCTCTGCACCAGGCGGACCTAATAGACATCTACAGAACTCTCCACCCCAAATCAACAGAATATACATTCTTCTCAGCACCACACCATACTTATTCCAAAATTGACCACATAGCTGGAAGTAAAGCACTCCTCAGCAAATGTAGAAGAACAGAAATTATAACAAACTGTCTCTCAGACCACAGTGCAATCAAATTAGAGCTCGGGATTAAGAAATTCATTCAAAACCGCTCAACTACATGGAAACTGAACAACCTGCTCCTCAATAACTACTGGGTACATAACGAAATGAAGACAGAAATACAGATGCTCTTTGAAACCACGAGAACAAAGACACAACATATCAGAATCTCTGGGACACATTTAAAGCAGTGTGTAGAGGGAAATTTATGGCACTAAATGCCCACAAGAGAAAGCAGGAAAGATCCAAAATTGACACCCTAACATCACAATTAAAAGAACTAGAGAAGCAAGAGCAAACACATTCAAAAGCTAGCAGAACGCAAGAAATAATTAAGATCAGAGCAGAACTGAAGGAGATAGACACACAAAAAAACCCTTCAAAAAATCAATGAATCCAGGAGCTGGTTTTTTGAAACCAGTTTAACAAAATTGGTAGACTGCTAACCAGACTAATAAAGAAGAAAAGAAAGAAGAGTCAAATAGATGCAATAAAAAATGATAAAGGGGATATCACCACCGATCCCACAGAAATGCAAACTACCGTCAGAGAATACTATAAACACCTCTATGCAAATAAACTAGAAAATCTAGAAGAAATCGATAAATTCATGAACACATACACCCTCCCAAGACTAAACAAGGAAGAAGTTGAATCCCTAAGTAGACCAATAACAGCCTCTGAAATTGAGGCATTAATTAATAGCCTACCAACCAAAAAAAGTTCAGGACCAGACGGATTCACAGCAGAATTCTACCAGAGGTACAAGGAGGAGCTGGTACCATTCCTTCTGAAACTATTCCAGTAAACAGAAAAAGAAGGAATCCTCCTTAATTCATTTTATGAGGCCAGCATCATCCTGATACCAAAGCTTGGCAGAGACACAACAAACAAAGAGAATTTTAGACCAATATCCCTGATGAACATCGATGAAAAAATCCTCAATAAAATACTGGCAAACCGAATCCAGCAGCACATCAAAAAGCTTATCCACCATGATCAAGTGGGCTTCATCCCTGGGATGCAAAGCTGGTTCAACATACACAAACCAATAAACGTAATCCAGCATATAAACATAACCAAATACAAAAACCACATGATTATCTCAATAGATGCAGAAAAGGCCTTCAACAAAATTCAACAGTGCTTCATGCTAAAAGCTCTCAATAAACTAGGTATTGATGGGACATATCTGAAAATAAGAGCTATTTATGACAAACCCACAGCCAATATCATACTGAATGGGCAAAAATTGGAAGCATTCCCTTTGAAAACTGGCATAAGACAGGGATGCCCTCTCTCATCATTCCTATTCAACATAGTGTTGGAAGTTCTGGCCAGGGCAATCAGGCAAGAGAAAGAAATAAAGGGTATTCAATTAGGAAAAGAGGAAGTCAAATTGTCCCTGTTTGCAGATGACATGATTGTATATTTAGAAAACCCCATCGTCTCAGCCCAAAATCTCCTTAAGCTGATAAGCAACTTCAGCAAAGTCTCAGGATACAAAATCAATGTGCAAAAATCACAAGCATTCCTATACACCAATAACAGACAAACAGAGAGCCAAATCATGAGTGAACTCCCATTCACAATTGTTTCAAAGAGAATAAAATACCTAGGAATCCAACTTACAAGGGATGTCAAAGACCTCTTCAAGGAGAACTACAAACCACTGCTCAATGAAATAAAAGAGGACACAAACAAATGGAAGAACATTCCATGCTCATGGATAGGACGAATCAATATCGTGAAAATGGCCATACTGCCCAAGGTAATTTATAGATTCAATGCCATCCCCATCAAGCTACCAATGACTTTCTTCACAGAACTGGAAAAAGCTACTTTAAAGTTCATATGGAACCAAAAAAGAGCCCACATTTCCAAGACAATCCTAAGCAAAAAGAACAAAGCTGGAGGCATCATGCTACCTGACTTCAAACTATACTACAAGGCTACAGTAACCAAAACAGCATGGTACAGGTACCAAAACAGAGATATAGACCAATGGAACCAAATAGAGCCCCCGGAAATAATACCACACATCTACAACCATCTGATCTTTGACAAACCTGACAAAAACAAGAAAGGGGGAAATGATTCCCTATTTAATAAATGGTGCTGGGAAAACTGACTAGCCATATGTAGAAAGCTGAAACTGGATCCCTTCCTTACACCTTATACAAAAATTAATTCAAGATGGATTAAAGACTTACATGTTAGACCTAAAAACCATAAAAACCCTAGAAGAAAACCTAGGCAATACCATTCAGGACATAGGCATGGGCAAGGACTTCATGTCCAAAACACCAAAAGCAATGGCAACAAAAGCCAAAATTGACAAATTGGATCTAATTAAAGTAAAGAGCTTCTGCACATCATAAGAAACTACCATCAGAGTGAACAGGTAACCTACAGAATGGGAGAAAATTTTTGCAATCTACCCATCTGACAAAGGGCTAATATCCAGAATCTACAAAGAACTTAAAGAAATTTGCAAGAAAAATCAAACAACCCCATCAAAAAGTGGGCAAAGGATATGAACAGACACTACTCAAAAGAAGACATTTATGCAGTGAACAGACACGTGAAAAAATGCTCATCATCACTGGCCATCAGAGAAATGCAAATCAAAGCCATAATGAGATACCATCTCACACCAGTTAGAATGGCAATCATGAAAAAGTCAGGAAACAACAGGTGCTGGAGAGGATGTGGAGAAATAGGAACACTTTTACACTGTTGGTGGGACTGTAAACTAGTTCAACCATTGTGGAAGACAGTGTGGCGATTCCTCAGGGATCTGGAACTAGAAATACCATTTGACCCAGCCATCCCATTACTGGGCATATACCCAAAGGATTATAAATCATGTGGCTACAAAGACACATGCACACATATGTTTATTATGGCACTATTCACAATAGCAAAGACTTGGAACCAACCCAAATGTCCAACAATGATAGACTGGATTAAGAAAATGTGGCACATATACACCATGGAATACTATGCAGACATAAAAAGGATGAGTTCATGTCCTTTGTAGGGACATGAATGAAGCTGGAAACCATTCTGAGCAAACTATCGCAAGGACAGAAAACCAAACACTGCATGTTCTCACTCATAGGTGGAGATTGAACAATGAGAACACTTGGACATAGGGTGGGGAACATCACATACTGGGGCCTGTCCTGTGGTGGGGGGAGCGGGGAGGGATAGCATTAGGAGATATACCTAATGTAAATGACGAGTTAACGGGTGCAGCACACCAGCGTGGCACATGTATACATATGTAACAAACCTTCACGTTGTGCACATGTACCCTAGAACTTAAAGTATAATAAAAAAAAATAGAGGAGGAGTGAATACTTTCAAATTCGTCCTATGAAGCCAGTATTATCCTGATACCAAAAACAGACAAAGACACATTTAAAAAGAAAGAAAGAAAGAGAGAAAGAAAGAAAGAAAGAAAGAGAGAGAGAGAGAGAGAGAGAGAGAAAGAAAAAAGACAGAAAGAAAGAAAGAAAGGAAGGAAGGAAGGAAGGAAGGAAGGAAGAAAGAAAGAAAGAAAGAAAGAAAGAAAGAAAGAAAGAAAGAAAGAAAGAAAGAAAGAAAGAAAGAAAGAAAACTACAGGTCAATATCCCTGGTGACTATTGATGCAAAAATCCTCAACAAAATATTAGCAAACTGACTTCAACAAAATATCAAAGAGATCATTCATCATGACCAAGTGGGATTTATCCCTGAGATGTGAGGATGGTTCAACATATGCAAATCAATCATATGATTTGATTAAACTAAAGAGCTTCTGCACAGCAAAAGAAACTACCATCAGAGTGAACAGGCAACCTACAGAATGGGAGAAAATTTTTGCAATCTACCCGTCTGACAAATCATATGATTTGCACAAGAGAGATTGATTTGCACATGTGATACATCATATCAACAGAATGAAAGACAAAAATCACACTATCATTTCAATTGATGCTGAAAAAGCATTTGGTAAAATTCAGCACCCCTTCATGATAAAAACTATCAAGAAACTGGATATAGAAGAAACATACCTCAACATGATAAAAGCCATATCTGACAGACCCACAGCTAGTATCATATTGAATGGGAGAAACCTGAAAGCCTTTCCTCTAAGATCTAGAACATGACAAGGATGTCCATTGTCACCACTGTTATTCAACATAGTACTGGAAGTCCTAGCCAGAGTAATCAGACAAGAGAAAGATCACATCACGTTCAAAAGCTTCTGCACAGCAAAGGAAACAATCAACAAAGTGAAGAGATAATCCACACAATGGGAGAAAATATTCACAAACTACACATCTGATAAGGGATTAATAACCAGAATATGTAAAAGGAGCTTAAACCGCTCTATAGGAAAAAATCTAATCTGATTTTAAAATGGGCAAAATATCTGAATAGACATTTCTCAAAAAGGCATAAACATGGCAAATAGGCATATGAAAAGGTGTTCAACATCATCGATCATCAGAGAAATGCAAATCAAAACTACAAGGAGATACCATCTCACCCACATTAAAATGGCTTTTATCCAAAAGACAGGCAATAACAAATGCTGGTGAGGATGTGGAGAAAAGGGAACACTCATACACTGTTGTTAGTGGGAATATAAATTAGTACAACCACCATGGAGAACAGTATAGAGATCCCTCAAAAAACTAAAAATAGAGCTACCATATGAGCCATCAATCCGACTGCTGGGTATATACCCAAAAGAAAGGAAATTAATATATCGAAGAGATATCTGCACTCCCATGTTTATTCCAGCACTATTCTCAATAGCCAAGATTTCGAAGCAACTTAAGTGTCCATCAACAGAGAACTAAAGAAAATATGGTACATAGGTACATATACACAATGGAGTACTATTCAGCCATAAAAAAGAATTAGATCCTGTCATTTTCAACAACATGGATGGAACTAGAGGTATTATGTTAAGTGAAATAAGCCAGGCACAGAAAGACAAATATCACATGTTCTCACTTATTTGTGGGAATGAAAATTAAAACAATTGAAGTCATCAATATAGAGAGTAAAAGGATGCTTACCAAAGGCTAGGAAGGGTAATGAGGATGTGGGGCAGAAGTGGGGATGCTTGGGGATGGTTAGTGGTACAAAAAAATAGAATGAATAAGACCTAGTATTTGCTAGCAGAACAGGGTGACTATAGTCAAAGTAACTTAACTGCATATTTTAAATAACTAAAAGTATAATTAAATTGTTTGCAACAAAAATGATAAGTGCTTGAGGGGATGAATACCCCATTTATTCTGTTGTAATTATTACACATTGCATGCCTATATCAAATATCTCATGTAACCCATAAATATATATCTACTACATAAACATACCCACAAAATTTTTTAAAATTTTAAAAAGAGAAGTCAATGAAGTTGAAAACAGAGAAACAATAAAGTCATTGAAACAAAGAGCTAGTTCTTTTAAAAGATCAATAGAGTTGACACACCTCTATTGTTTACCTCTGACCAGGTAAAAAGAGAAGACACAAATTATCTAACAGGCACAGTGGCTCACGCCTGTAATCTGAGCATTTTGGGAGGCCTGGGCAGGTGGATCACTTGAGCCCAGGAGTTCGACAGCCACTTGAACAACATGGCAAAACCCTGTCTCCACAGTAAGTACAAAAAATAATTAACCAGGCGTGGTGGCACACACCTGTACCCCCCAGCAACATGGGAGGCTGATGTGGGAGGATTGCTTCAACCTGGGAAGTTGAGACTGCAGTGAGCCACGATTGCATCACCCAGCCTGGGCGTTGAAGTGAGACCTTGTCTCAAAAAAAAAGATGAATTATCAATATCAGGGATAAAACAAGATATCACTATGGACCCCGCAGACATCAAAAGGGTAAAAAGGGAACAGTACCAACATCTCTACATACATAAATTTGGCAACATACATGATATGAACCAATTTCTCAAAAAAAATACTACCACAACCTCACCCAATATAAAATATATCATTTCAATGGCATTATAACAAAATTAAATTCATAATTTTAAAACTTCACAAAAAGAAATCTTCAGGTCCAGATTGTTTCACCGGAGAATTAAATGAAATATTTAAAGAAGAATTAACAGTAAGTCCACACAATATCTTCCAGACAATAGGAGGGAACACTTCTCAATTCCTTTTATAAAGCTAATATTATCCTGATAAGAAAATCAGACAAAGACAGTACAGAAATGTACCAAACAATATCCCTCATGAATATAGATGCAAAAATCCCTAACAAAGTACTAGAAAAAAACAATTCAGCAACACATAAAAGTAATTAAACAACATGCTCAAGTAGGGTTTAAGCCATGGATGCTGATGTGGTTTGAATGTCCCCATCAAAACTCATGTTGAAATTTAATTGCCACTGTGATGGTATTGGGAGGTGAGGTATAAAAGAGGTGAGTAAGTCATGAGGGCTTCACTCTCATGAATGGATTGTCATTATGACAACGAGATAGTTATACAGGAGTAGGCTCATAATAAATGGATAAATTTAGCTCCTATTTTCTCTCTGTCTTGCATGCTCAATTCTGCCTTCCACTCTTCTACCATGGACTGACCCTCACCAGATGGCACACCATGTTCTTCTCAGCCTCCAGAATTGTAAGCCAAATAAATTTCTTTTTCTTTTTTATAAATTACTCAGTCTAAAGTATTCTGTTATAGCAGCAGAAAATAAATTAAGACAGAAATCTGGTACCAAGAAATGGAGCTATTGCTATTAAAAATGCCTGAAAATGTGGAAGCAGCTTTGGAACTGAATAATTGTTAGAGCCTGGAAGAATTTGGAGCAGCAGGCTAGAAAAAGTCTAAATTGGCATGAACAGAGCATTAAGTTTCTCTTGAGGGCTCCTAAGGGGAGAGCTACAGAGGAAGTCTAAATCTTCTTAGAGATTACTGAAGTGGTCATGACCAGAATGCTGATAGAAATATGGACAGCAAAGGCCATTCTGATGGGGTCACAGAATGATTTGAGAAACAAAATATTAGAAATTGAAGAAAAAACCTTCCTTGTTATAAAGTAGCAAAGACCTTGGCTGAATTGTGTCTGTGTCCTAGGACTTCATGAAATGCAGAACTTAAGAGCAATGAACTAGGATATCTAATGGAAGAAATATCTAAGCAGCAATGTATTCAGGCTGCTGCATGGCTACTTTTAGCCACATACAGCGAGATGTGAAAGCCAAAGAATGACTTAAAGATGAAATTTATACTTAAAAAGATAAGCCAAACAGAAAGATAAGGAAAATTCACAGGCTGGCCATGTAAAGACTGAAAAAGCATACTCTGGAATATGAAGAATAGGCCAGGTGCAGTGGCCCACGCCTGTTATCCCAGCACTTTGGGAGGCTAACGCAGGTGGATTTCTTGAGCTTGGGAGTATGAGACCAGCATGGGCAACACAGCAAAACCCTGTCTCTACAAAAAATTCACCAGGCATGGTGGCATGCACCTGTGGTCCCAGCTACTCGGGAGGCTGAGGTGGGAGGATTGCTTGAGCCTAAGAGGCAGAGGTTGCGGTGAGCCAAGATTGCACCACTGCACTTCAGCCTGGGTGAAAGAGCAAGACCCTGTCTAAAAAAAATAGTGCTAAGAATATAATACTAAGATTGTGACCAAGCAATCATTTGCTAAAGAGATTAGTATTGATAGAACAGAGCCAGGTGCTATTCATGAAAACAATGGGAGAAAAAGACCCTGAAGGAATTTTAAAGATTTTTGAGGCTGCCCCTCCAATCACAGGCCCAGAGCTATAGGAGGACAGAATGATTTCAGGGGACAGGTCCTGGGTGTCTTCCATGGGCTCACTGCCCAAAGCCTCCTCAGGACTCTGCTCCCTGCATTCTGGTGCAGCACTCTTCAGCTGCTGCACTCATGGCTCAGTGGGTCCAGGTATGGCTTGACTTGCTGCTCCAAAAAGTCTAAGTCATAAGCCTTGGCAGCATCTACATGGTGTTAATTCTACAGATACACAGAATGCAAGAGCTGTGGAGGAATGGCTTCCTCCACCTAGATTTCAAAGGATGCCACAAAATGCCTGAAAGTCCAGGGAGAAACCTACTACAAAGGTAGAGCCACCATAGAGAACTTCCCCACTAAGGCAATGCTTAGTGGAGTTGCAGGGGTAGGGCTGCCCTTAAGACTTCAGCACTATAGAGGTCCAAACATGCAATGCCAGCCTGGGAGAACTGCAGACATGAAACTTCTACCAATGAGAGCTGCCGGATAGACTGAGCCCTGAAAAGCCATAGGGGCTGTATTGCCTGAGGCCTTCGGGGCCCAACTCCCACCTCAGTGCATCCAGGAAGTGATACATGGAGTCAAAGCAGGTTTAAGACTTAATGTTTCCCTGTTGGGTTTTGGACTTACTTAGGGCTTGTTACTTCTTTCTTTTTGCCTATTTCTCCCTTTTGGAATCAAAATGTCTATCCTATACCTGTCCCACATTGTATTCTGGAAGTAGATAACTTGTTTTGATTTCACAGGTTCATAGCTGGAAGGAATTTGCCTCAGAATGAATCATGCCTTAAGTCTCACTCATATCTGATTCAGATAAGACTTTGGACTTTTGATTTTTTGTGTCAGGTTTGAATCAGCCTAGTTGTTCTAAATCCAAGAATGGGGAAAGGTTTCAAAGTGGCTCAGTGGCCAATTAAGTGCTTTCAAATTTAAGGTTTATTGTGAGGCTTTCACACACCAATAATCATGCAAATATATTTAACACATAAAGGCAGTAATAAGAAAGAAGAAGAACAAACCATGGCGAGTAATTCAGGAGACCAGCACACTGATAGACAAACTGGGCAGCTCTTGATTTCCTTCAAAATGCTGACCAGTGAGGGAAGTCACTGCTCTTCTAAGGCAGTTTCCAGCAGCCATTACCAAGAGGCCTTGGAGTTCTCATTGGCAGAGTTTCTTTAGGCATCTTAGTCATGGTCAGTTTCTTTTTTTTTTTATGGCCCTCCACAGGAGTATCCATGGTCACTATCTCAGCCTCACTTTCCTGTCAGGTCTGGAGTGTGCCTGGCCACAGTAGGTGTTATCACCTCAGTCCATTATATATATGTTTATCACTTTGATGTGTCAGCAACTTCACTGTGGGCTGAGTCACTTTTTGTAAGTGACTCTATTTCGAGACATTTAGGATAACAAAACATTATTATATATCAGGACATTTGAGTTGATGCTGAAAAAGTTAAGACTTTTGGGACTATTGGGATAAAGTGAATGTATTTTACCTGTGAGAAGAATATGAATTTGGAGGGCCAGGAGAGAATACTATGGTTTCATTGTGTCCCCCATAAGTTCATGTACTGGAAACTTAATTGCCACTGTAACAACATTAAGAGATGGGGTCTTTAAAAGGTAATGGATTAATGCTGTTATCACAGGAGTGGTTTAGTTATCATAGGAACAGGCTCCTAGTTTAAAAAATAAGTTTATCCCCCATCTTTTCTCTCTGTCTTTCCTGTGTGCTTCCTCATCATGTGATATCTTCCACCATGAGATGACCCTCACCAGATGCCAACACCATGCTCTTGGACTTGCCAGCCTCCAGAACCGTGAGTGAAATAGATCTCTTTTCTTTGTAAATTACCTAGTCTATAGTATTCTATTATAGCAACAAACAATGGATAAAGACAGAAGCAAAGCTGGTACAATATTACAAAAATCAATCAATGTAATTTACCATATTAAAAGATTAAAGAAGAAACCTTATATGAACATATTGATCAATGCAGGAAAAGTGTTTGAAAAAATTAATACCAATTCACTACAAAAATTCTCAGAAAAATATAGAGAGGAACTTTCTCAACTTGATATAGAACATCTACATAAATCCTAAAGTTAACATCATACTTCATGATGAAAGACTGGATAGTTTCCCCTTAAGATCAAGAACAAGGCAAGGATGTCCATTTCACCACTCTTACTCAACATAATGTTAGAAGATCTAGCCAGTCCGATAAAGAAAGTAAAGAACATAAAAGGCATGCAGATGGAGAATAAATAAAACTACCCAGATTTGAAGATGCCTACAGAGAACATCCAAAGAAATCTACAAAAACCTCCAAAACTAGTAAATGAATTCAGCAAGGTTGGAGGACAGAAGATAATGATACAAAAATTAATTGTATTTCTATATAATAGTAATGAAATGTAGACACTGAAGTTCAAAATATAGTACCATTTAAATTCCTTTTAAAATCCAATACTTAAGTGTAAATCTAATAAAACACATGCGGAACTTATACACTGAAAACTACACAATGCTAATGAAAAGAAATAAAAAATAATCTAAATAAATAGAGATACATAACATGTTCTGGATTGGGAACTCAGCACAGTAAGGATGCAAATTCTCCCCAAGTTGATAAACAGATTTAATGTAATTTCTATCAAAATCCCAGCAAGACTTCTGTAGATATAGAAAATATTATTCTATCTGGTCCTTTACAGAAAAGTTTGTGCATCATTCCTCTACTGCAAGACAAGTAGGAGTCTAGTTGCTGCTCAGAAGTTTCTTTTTCTGTTCCTAGGCCCTTCTTTCACACAAACCCCAATCCAATATTTTCTATGTCCAGTAACATAAGATCTCTTCCTTCAGTCACAGAGAAAATTGAGGTCATCAAATAAGAATGTTTCAACTACATTTCCAATGTTTCATCCCTGCTTTTATGTATTTGCTCTTGTACATACTTCATTCTTTCTGGAATGTAAGTTCCATCCAGGCAGGGATTTTTGTCCTGGTTTTTCAAACTGCTACATCTTCAGTACCTAGAACAGTATCTGGCAGGGTACAGAGGCTACATAAATCTTTGTTAAATGAAATTATCTTCAATTTCCATAGAAAAGGTGCCATTTCTTCTATCTCAAGGCTAATCCTTCCACCTATTCTCTGGATCTCTTCTATTTCCACCTTTCCAGGGACCTCAGCTCTTCAACAGATCCTTCTCATTCTTACATCTTCAACTTCATCCTCTCTCTTTAGCATACAAGTATGCTCATGTCTCTCCCAGTGTATATGTACAGATAAATAGCCAGCTGCCACCCAACTGCTCACCTCACATTCACAACCAAATTTCTTGAAAGACTTGTCTATACTCACAGTCTCCACTTCTTCTTCTCCATTAAATCCTCAGCCCACTATAGTTTGGCTTTAGCCCCCACTACACCACTGAAATGGCTTCATTTCAAGCTAGCAATCTCTCCATGGTACAAATTCCTATAGAAAGTTCACAATCTTGATCTAAGTCTGTAGCATTCAACACAGTTAACCATTCCCTGCCTGAAAATCTTCTTCTCCTCTTGCTTCCTGGACACCATACTCTGGTTTTCTTTCCATCTCCCTCTCCTTTTTCTTCTCTCTCTCCCTTCTCTCATTCTTCTCCCTCCCCAACCTGGAGTGGAGTATCTGCTTGTTTTTTGTGTTACTCCTCTGGACCTTTGTCCTTGTCCTTTTTCTGTACTCTATATATTCCCCCTGCATAAAAGCTACATCTACTCTATATGCATACGTATGTCTCAAGTATGGAAAATTGGCTGCTTGAAGATTCATACAGCCTGCAGCTGGGTTTTGTTTGGCTGGCTTACCAGATTTTTTTTCATTTTCCCCGGTGAAACCTCCAACATTTATTTCTAACTTGAATGTCTTTGGGGAGGGCTTGTGCTCATCTCTTCTTTTTGTCTTAGGCCCATATCAGCCCCAAACAGAATTATTCATGTATGTCACCTATCTGGATACTGTAGACATTCAGATTTTTAACTCCTAATGCTGATGACTTTCAAGACTATATCAGTAGCACAAACTACATTCCTGCACCCCAAATAATATATCCAATCTTCATTTGGGTATCTGACAGGCACCTCACACTCAACATAGGTAAAACTGAGCTCAGGACTTCCCCATCAAGTCTTATCCTCCTGTGTTTCCCCCTCAATGAATGGCACTTCCTGACACCAAAGTTCAATCCTGAGATTCGCACTCACTCTCCATTACCCACCTCATCACTTACATGCAATTGATTAGCAAATCATGTAAATTCTACCCCCTAAATATCTCTCAAATGTATGCCTTCTTCTTCTTCTTCCCTGTTACTATATTTTTAACTCAAGGTCTTGTCATTTCCAACTGAATCATTGCAATAGCCTCTATAGGGTATTTCACTATCAGATCCCTTTTTGACCCCTTTAGCATTGACTCTCTACAACTCAGTTCACACCCTAGGTTCAAGCCCAGCAAGACCAGGAACTCTCTGGTTCTCTACACCTCAGTGATTTGACAGGTTCCCTCTGCTTGAAACACCTTCCTACCATCTTCATTCCAGAAAAGCCTATGCTGTCCTTTATATTTCAACTCAGACATTTCCATCTCTAGAAGGCGTGCCTTTCCTGACACCTCACATCCTGTAAGAGAGGGGCCCTCACACCTCTCAACCAGCTCCTGCACTAAACCCATTTCCCTATGGGCAGGAAAGATATCCGCAACTGTATTCTACATGCTGGGTACACAATAGTCCATCAATAATTTTTTAAATGAATGATTCTCTGAGTAAAGTCTGTCTTCATTGGAGTGGTGACCAATCATCTTTGCAATCCAGCTGCAACTTCCACTGTCATCTGAAATGGTGTGGATCTGTGTCCTTACCCAAAACATATGTCGAAATGTGATCCCCAATGCTGGAGGTGGGGTCTAGTGAGGGGTGATTGAATCATGGGGGCAGTTTCTACCCGTTTCACACTATCTCCCTAGTGCTGTTCTCATGATAGAGTTCTCATGAGATCTGGTTGTTTAAAAATGTGTGATATCTCCCCCTTCTTGCTCTCTTCCTCTTGCTCTTGCCACGTAAGAAGTGCCTGCTTCCCCCTTCACCTTCTGCCATTATTGTAAGTTTCCTGATCTTTCCCCAGAAGTCAAGCAAATGCTGCCATGCTTCCTGCACAGCCTGCAGAATGTGAGCCAATTAAACCTCTTTTCTTTATAAATTACCCCATCTCAGGTATTTCCATGGCAATGCAGGAATTAAATAATACATCATCCATATCTCTCACTAGACCCCTACATGAATCTAATGCTCCAAACAATATCAAGAATATCATATTATAGCTTTTGACTGAAAAGAAAGTCTGTAAACCTTAACAATTGTATTCACAAATTTAAATAAATTGCCACAGTGACTGTTGAATAAGGGAACAAACTACTTCATTCCCTGAAGACCCTGTGCTGGTTTCCCACTTATATAATTGATCATGGGCTCCTCAATACCTCCTCCTATAATAAATCTATCCCTTATCCACCAAATTAAATACTATTTTCTTGAAATCTTACCTGCTCTACTTAGCCAAAAATAGAAATGATTGCTCCTTCCTCTGAGCTCCTCCACCTTGGATTCTCTGATAACTATCTAATTTTGCCTTATATTGTATTTTTTGTATGCATAGCTTCTATCCCCTTCCTGACTGTAATCACCTTCAGAGCAGAGAACATGTCTTTTTTGACCCTTTGATGCCCCGTAGCATCTGGAACTTAGCAAGTACACAATGCATATTTTAAGTGACTATTAGATAAGATCAGATTAGGAGTATTTCAACTAATTAAAATGCATTTAGTATTTGATTATTATCCCTAAAGCCAACTGCTTTGTGAATTTAAATAAATAAAGCTCATCCACAGTAATAATTAATTACCAATTATCATGTTAGTGTTTCCTGTTTACAAATATTAACCTAGGGAAACAGGGGTTTTCTAAGTTACTGAGAGGAGTAGACACTTTGGTTTCCATTCTAAAACCAAAGCTACAGATTCCATTTCCATGTGGTCTGCTTGGACAGTGAAGTGATTGCTTCAGGTTTCAGCTGAAACTATATTGGCAACTCAGGGGTATATTTTAAAAACCCTCAGTAGGTCCCATGGAGACTTCCTGAGATAAAGAGCTGTAATTTAATTTGCTATTGCATAACCCAGTCACGAAAGGCACAAAGGAGCCCACGTTTTCATTCCCTTCATAGTAGACATTTAATTATATGATAATAACTTACAGCTTGCTACTCGGCTTCTACTTTTATGAAATGTAAATTACACTTCACTCAAAAGTGCAAGATGAGCATTTAAAATACTTCACTAAATGAGTTTAAAGAATTTTCTGACATTTTTTTCCAGGCTAAGAATTAGGAAGGTGATATACCTTTAAAGGATACTTTGATTTAGATACCAGGAAATTTGAGTTCTTAATGAATATCTGAAAGAGAGAAAAGCTTCCAAGAAAAAAATGAATAGTGTGTTCTAAGCAAGCTCAATGGCTTCAGTAAAGCCAAAGCCTCATCTTTCAGAATAAGTCTACCACTTTTTCAACTGTGTAGATTCATTAATGGAGTTTTACTGGTAAGGCTAAGGAAAAAAGAAAGTGATGACAATGATAAAGGTGTTGCTATTTGAATGACTACATTTGGAAATGAATGCTAAATGTACTTTATTTGTCTTTTATTGCACCACTTTCTCCTAACATTAAAATTGACTCCTAACGGAGGTCAAGTGTTTGGGAAAATCATTATTATTTCCACTGCTGCATTATGCATTGAAGTAGAAAACATAGTCTGGGGAACCCAAAGCCACAGATGACTTAAAGGAATCCTGAAGCATTCTCCTTAAACCTTGCATTTTGCATTCAGGGGCTTTGCCATCATTCTTGCCAACTCAAACTATACGAGTAATCAGGATTACTCTCCATGGTATTTGCCTCTGGTGGTTCATTCAATGTCTTCACCAAAAAATTCCAAAGAAACTAGGAAATGAAGAAGATCCAGAAAGGGAGGTAACTTACATTTTCATATGGGAAACAAAGATATAAAACTTTAAGCAAATTATTTTTCATGACTTGATCAGGAAATCATGAGGAATTCAGGGTCAACTACCACTGATAATCATAAAAGACCTTATACTTGTCAAGGATTTTATTATTTTCAAAAAATTTTCAAACATAAATTCATAGCATGTTAGAACTAGAAGGAACATTAAAATTCATCCAGTGTCACTCTCTCTTTTAATGCATTTATTCTATCTATTGTTATAAACTTTTATTGAAATATAACATACAAAAAATGTAAATCTTAATTATACAGATTAATTTTTATAAAGTAAGCACACTTATGTTACCATCACCTAGATCAAGACTCAGAGCATTATCAGTATTCCAAAAGTCTCTCTCATGTTTCTCTTGGTCTTCTATCATTATTCTAATTTCTATCACCATAGATTAATTTTGCCTGTGCTTGAACTTGATATAAATGTATTCTCTTTTATCTCTGGCTTCTTATTCAATCTTATATGTGTGAGATTCATCCATTGTGCTTGGTGTTGTAGTATTTTTTTCTTATTAATTGCTGTGTGATATTCCATTGTATGAATATACCACAATTTATCCATTCTAATGTTGATGAACATTTAGATTATTTTTAGTTTGGTGCCATTACAAATAATGCTGCTGTGAACATTTTGCACATCTTTTGGTGCAAATGTGTGCATTTCTGTTGGGTATATGCATAGTAATGGATTTATTAGGTCATTGGGTACACATATATTCAACTTTAATTGATACTGCCAGTTTTCCAAAGTAGTTGTACCAGTTTACACTGCAGTCAACAGCATATGAGAGTTCCACTCACTCCACTCCTTGGCAATACTTGCTGTTGTTTGTCTTTTTAATGATAACTATTCTGATAAACGTGTAGTGGTCACTCATTGTGGTTTTAATTTGCATTTCCCCAATGACTAATGATGCTTGCTAAACATGTCAGTATACTATTTGATGAAATACCTGATCAAGTCCTTAATTTTTAATTAGGTTATCTGTCGTTTTTTATTTATCCGTGGGAGTTATTTATATATTCTGGACACAAGTCCTTTGCAAGTTATGTATATTATAAATATTTTCTCCCACTCTAATTTGCCTTTTCATTATCTTAATGATGTTTTAGATGAATATAATTACTGTATTTCAATAAAGACCAAGAGAGAAGGCTCAAATTACCAAGATGAGGAATGAAATATCAGGAATGAAAAAGGAGACATCACTACAGATATTATGTGTTAAAAAGATAAGAGGAAGATAGTACAAACAACTTTATGCCAACTCTTTTGCTATGATAGTGCATGTACTATCTATTTTCATTGTACAAGCTATCAACACCATATAAATTTAAAGAATGAAAAATTAGAAAATCATTTCTCTGTTGTTACTTCTAAAATATGGAAAGATATCACTTCATTTATTCAACATTTGTTTACAACATCTAAATGTCAGATATTTTATGAGGGGATAGGGACATAACAATGAACAAAAAAGAACAGTCCCTTTTATCATGGAGCTTACAAACACATGGGAAAAAAACAAACATTAACAATCACCCTGATAACTCATTACCATTATGGCAAGTGCTACATAGAATAGCTACAGGGTGCTATACATGTGTATAAAAGGGACTATTTAGAGTAGAGGAGCATGACAAACTAATCTGAAAGAACTACATATAAGCTGAGACTTGAAGGATAGTTATAAGTTTGCTAGGTGTAGGGGGTGGAAGAGAAGGGAGGATGAGAAAGGGAAAACTCAGAAAGAATGAGCACCCCTCCCCATAACACACACATATACTTGCGTACATGCACACAGCCTACCTGGTGCAATATGACCCAAAGATTCGACTGCTCCAGATCAAAGTTAAGAGGATGCAGAGTTCTAAAGCCAAGGCAAGAGGAAACAAAGAGCTAAATTACTGTTCTACAATGGAAGTGGCTCTGAGGTTTGGAAAACAGAGATATAGAAGTACCTATAAGAGCTTCAAGACAGTATTCTCAAAACAGACAGGGTTACTGGAGTTTTACAGATTCTACAAGTAGAGTATATAGACACCCTGTTCTTTGACAGTGCCCAGGGAGGTGACAGGACATCGGAGAAAAATGGCAATGTGATATCCAAGAAAGACTAGACCCAAACCAGTTCAGGACTCCCAGCCTGGACAGAATCCCCTGTGCCTCAGCTTGGTCCAGAAGCAGCAGAGCTGCTAGCCTTGAAGAGACCATACAGGCTTGGACAATGAGTATGTCAGTGATGGCCAGTGTGAAAAACTGAAGATCTGAGGATTCCCTGTGATGGTCCAAATGCTTAGTACTTAACATGGACATGGAGGCCTCCACAATGACTGAGATTAAATGTTCTATCAAATCTGGGGGGAGGGTATGGTCTCTGAGCAGATTGATATTTAGAGAATAAAAGAAATATTTATTTCACTCTATATTTTGGGGTAAAATGCATGCCCACTACAATATTTAATATTGGGAGAAAGTAGTGGAATCTACTCTGGGAGAAAGTAGAGAGAGTCTCAAAGCAGTTTGGGCTGAGCTATAGGTATCTTTGATAGGACTACCTTGGTCATGAGTGGGGATGGAGCAGTTAAAGGCACAGGGCCAGAGCAGACAAATGCTCACTGAATGAAAGAATGAATGGTCCTCGCCCTTTCAGGAACCCATTCCAATCTTCAGAAAGTCAGTATTTCTATCAGATCTCCTCTCCCACAAGAGGGACCCATAGAAAGTTTGGCTGCCTTACCTTTATCTATTGCTTCCCAGCAACAGAAGTAAGCTGCCCAAGTGGCCGCCAAGGTTGTAGGGGCAAAAATGTGCTTCATGCTTAACTGGGAAAGAAGCAATTCCTTGAGTTATGTGTCATTAGTGAATCCTAATGTCATTAGGTATAAGAATCAGAATTTGCATAGAAATCATTGCAGGGAATTGTTCCTTCCCCATACCAGTATTGATTTCTCAGCACCATTAGCTGCTTAATGCTACTGCTTTTAATTGATTACTTCAGGGGAGTCCCTCAATAGCAAGCTTCTTCAATTGAGATGGAAGGACATTCGCTGAATGTGATTCAACAACCCCAATTGACTCTGGAGACCTCTGCCTATCTACAGCATAATCATGGCAGCCTCACACAGTTTAATAAATAACATGGTCCTTCCGAATACAATATTCAGGCTATAACCTAGTTAAAAATATGAACTTGTCTGGTTCTGTTTACCTTCTAAAAATCAATGATCAAGTCATACATTTGTAAATACATGTACAGTTGGGAGTCTGGGAGTTATTTTAAAACTTCTTGTTTCAATCTCTGAATATGTATGAAGACTCTGAAATGCTGAGTTAACTCTCCTGCCTTAGTAAGTAGTTGAGTAGCTATAGCTAGACTCTACTTTGCCTAACTAGGTATAACATAGTATATGGAACACCACTGTCACTATCAAGGACTAGAAAAGTTGAGAAGTGTTGGGTTAAAAGCATATTGAGGCAAAGACAGCTCAGGGAGCACTTCAATAATTTA
Source organism: Homo sapiens (assembly GCF_000001405.40). NCBI lineage: Eukaryota > Metazoa > Chordata > Mammalia > Primates > Hominidae > Homo > Homo sapiens. The sequence goes on from NC_000023.11 coordinate 129,309,169, forward strand.
CCCAATTCCCCAGCAGGAGCTTCTATTTTTGTTTTTGAGACAGGGCCTTGCTCTGTTGCCCAGACTGGAGTGCAGTGGTAGTGGTAGTGGTATGATCTCAGCTCATTGCTCCTCAACCTTCCAGGCTCAGGAGATCCTCTCCCACCTCAGACTCCCAAGTAGCTGGGACTACAAGTGTGTGCCACCACACCCAGCTAATTTTGTTTATTTTTTGTAGAGACAAGGTCTCACTGTGCTGCCAAGGCTGGTCTCAAACTCTTATGCTCAAGCGATCTTCTTGCCTTGGCCTCTCAAAGTGGTGGGATTACAGGCGTAAGCCACCACACCTGATAAGCTTTTTGTTTTCTGATTCACTTTTCTCCTCAATGTTGTCCTCAGGAAAAAGGATCTTGTTCATCAATTCAATCCAATTGACCAAATATAGTGTGCCTTGATAGAATTGATAGAAATGTGGGCCGGGTGCAGTGGCTCATGCCTGTAATCCCAGCATTTTGGGAGGCTGAGGCAGGTGGATCACAAGATCAGGAGTTTGAAACCAGCCTGACCAACATAGTGAAACCCCGTCTTTGTTAGAAATATAAGAATTAGCCAGGCATGGTGGCGTGCGCCTGTAATCCCAGCTACTCGGGGGGCTGAGGCAGGAGAATCGCTTGAAACTGGGAGGCAGAGGTTGCAGTGAGCTGAGATCGCGCCATTGCACTCCAGCCTGGGTGACAGAGTGAGACTCCATCTCAGAAAAAAAAAAAAAAAAAGAGAGAGAAGAGAAGAAAAAAAAAGAAATGTCAACTCACAAAATCAGATGCACAAGAATGTTTTTCTAATATCTCGGTCTATTTTGAGCACCTATTCCTCCAAGTAGTATAAACCTTAACTCCAGTCAATTCAAGCACTCCCCACAATCTCTGGGATTGTGGCTAAGACAAGCAGAAAGTGTTTGATCTTCAGTTGCCTGCTGTTGTTCACCCTGGAATCCACTGAGAGGTGTATTGTCATGTGTGGCCTTGGTTATCTCTCTGCATGTGTTCTAGGGATATTCAAATTCCACCCAGGCATCAGTTACAGAAGCACTCAGATCACTGCTGTGCCTCCTTAGCCTTGAGATTAAGATCTCTCAGGTCTCGAGATGTCCTTGTGGGTATTTAGAAAACACTCGGTTCTTCCAATACCTCCCCAGAGTCTAGGGAATTGTGAGGTGGTCTCAAGCCCTGTCTCCTGACATAGAATACATGCAGTCAACACTACTGCTCTAGTGTCAGGCTAGGTTCAGGGAAACTGTTCAAAAACCTCTATATGGGGAGAGGCAAGAAACAGTCTCATCTGCTCTCAGATTTCTCTACTCCCATGCCCCATTGAGGGTTGTATTATTCATATTTCTTCAATTTGGGTCTTAGTCCACAACATCATGTTACAGCACCTCTGTTAAGGGACTCACTAAGGACTCACTCTTTTGTTCTAATTCTCACTTTTCTCATATCTGATAGGATCTTCATCTAGTTTGGGGAAGAGGAAAACAGGCTTTAACTTATCCTGTATCCTTTCAAATCTAGTGTGTATGTCATGAAGTGCATTTTCTGGGTTCTTTAGGACTCGGGCCTTTGAAGCTCAAAAGCTCTAGTTCCTGAAATTCTAAATAGGCTTTTAAAACTCAAAGGCTACAAATTTACTTTTTTTTGTCTTCTGCTCTTCTACTATAACAGCCTTTCTCTTAGGTGATGAATGTGTTTGCTGAATATGGAAAGGACTAGGTATAAGCACACACACAGACACACAAACACACACAGGAGAATTTATTAAAACATTATCCCAACATCTTACTATATATTAAGGCCATGGTAGAAACTAGAAGAGGAAAAAGAAAAGACACAGTCCATGTGCTAAAGAGAATATAGTTTCATTATGGAGACTATGATTTATATATCTGAGACACTCAAAAAATGCATCATCACATATAATCCAAGGATAGCTTAAGTGATACACTAAATGCTGCAAAGAAGCCAAATAAGAGGGCTATCAATATGAACCACAGGGGTCAGAGACGATCTTTTCATAGAAAAGACTGACCTGAAAGGAGGAGTGGGAAAGGAGAAGGTAATAAATAATTTCATTTTGAAAACTTTTCTCCAGGCAAGTGTCATGTCCCTTATATTAGGCTTTCAATGGTATTTTCACTGTCCCTCTGTGGTTTTGATGAAAAAAAAAAAACCCTACTCATGTCTTTCAAAATCTAGTGTACCCAAGAGCTCAATTCACTTATTCAACACATACTTATTAAAAACCTATCATATACTGAGCCCCATGCTAGGTAGCATTAGGGCTATTTGCATAGACCGAGAACAACATGGATCTTTTACCAAGTGGAAACCATATAATGGGAAATGTCATGTAGAGCAGTGGTTCTCACACTTGATTGGGCCTCAGAATCACCTGGAGGACCTGTTAAAACACAAAGTGCTGGGCCTCACCTGCAGGGTTTCTGATTCAGTAAATCTGAGGCAGAACCTGAGAATTTGCATTTCTTTTTTTTTTTTTATTATACTTTAAGTTTTAGGGTACATGTGCACATTGTGCAGGTTAGTTACATATGTATACATGTGCCATGCTGGTGTGCTGCACCCACTAACTCATCATCTAGCATTAGGTATATCTCCCAATGCTATCCCTCCCCCCTCCCCCCACCCCACAACAGTCCCCAGAGTGTGATGTTCCCCTTCCTGTGTCCATGTGATCTCATTGTTCAATTCCCACCTATGAGTGAGAATATGCGGTGTTTGGTTTTTTGTTCTTGTGATAGTTTACTGAGAATGATGGTTTCCAATTTCATCCACGTCCCTACAAAGGACATGAACTCATCATTTTTATGGCTGCATAGTATTCCATGGTGTATATGTGCCACATTTTCTTAATCCAGTCTATCATTTTCTAATGAGTTCCCAAGTGAAGCTGATGCTGCTGGACTGGCAAAAACCATTGATATAACGGTTAAGAAACCACAGGATTTATAGTCAGCCAGACCTGGGTTTGAATCCCACCTCTGGCACTTAGACATCCAACCCTGAGTACATTATTTAGCTGATTAGAGCCTTGGGCTTTTTAATCTGTAACACTTGATACAACAAGATTCAGCATTATTTTTTTTAGATATACTGTGTGTCTAGGTACAAGGGAAATAGCAATGAATAAATAGACATAAACCTGTGAGGGTGATGACCACTAAGCACAGTTACCTAAAGTACTGTATGATTAGCATTGTGATCAGAACTATGAAGAAGAAGGGCAGGGAGGGGGCTATGAGAAGTGAAAACAAGGAAACCTTATCCAGACTGAATGGTCAAGGAAGACATCACTGAAGCTGGCTGATGCCTGAACTGTAAGCAGGAGGGCCCGTGCTCATCAGGAGAGGTGGTGGGGTAGGGCTGCTAGTGTTTGGAACTGCTTGATGAGGAAAGGATGGCGTGGCTGATGGTAATGTGTGGGGCTTTTGAGTGTGGCTAATCGGGACTGGTAGAGAGATGGGCCAAAGGGGAGCATGGGTTATAGAAGGGGTGGATGAGGTTGGTGGTGATGGGTGGAGCTAGAGGGTGTGGTGATGTGCATGACAGTGGGGAATTGTGTTGAAATGATGAGGATATTGGGGAGGTAACACTGATGAAAGTGGTACACAGGAGGTGGTGAGCTCGCTGGTCCTGGTAGGCAAGGTTAGTGGGTGTGACTTGTAAGTGTAAATGATGGTGGTCAGTAGAACCATTATAAAGAATAAGGGGTCATTTCTTTAGACAAACAAATCAGAGAAGACCTTCCTGATGTTGTGACATTTAAATTGAGACTGGAAGGATGACAAAAGGGGTAACATACACTCTGAGCAGAAGAAATTACAATGTGCAACAGCTCTGAGAGACAGTAGAGACCTGAGGATTTTATAGAAAACCAGTGCAGCTAGAGTGCCAAGAGTGAAAGGAGAAATGGTGGGAGATGAGGCTAAAAATGCAGGCAAGAGCCAAACCATGCAGAACCTTCTAGAGATTGATAACGCATCTGGTCTTTATCCTAAGAGCAATTAAAACAATGCGATCAGCTTAGAGTGTTGAAAAGCTCACTCTGGCTATATTGTGAATAATAGGCTGGAAGAGGCCACCAATCAGGAAGCGTTTGAAGAAAATAATTCAGCAAAGCAGCACTGAGTCATATTTTTCTACTGACACAGAATATATGTACCTTCATAACTGGAGCCCTTCCATGTCTTTCCTCCCCGATGTCTAATTCCTTGCCTGGTATCCTAGTATTAGGACTAGATTTCCTACACACAAAAAAATCTGTTTCCTAATCTGAATCTGGAACTGAATCCCTAATACCCACTGCCATCATTCCTTGATAATTCACCAGCTGCTAATCTGAACTCCGGCAATTGCCAGCTACTTAGATGGCCATTGGTCAACTGCCTCACTCCTGCTTGGCCAATAGCCAGGTTCTCGGTTCAGTTTGTCACCGTGGAAACTTATTCTCACATTTTACCTGCTCTTATCCCTCTTAGGTCTGATATGATTCTGAACCTACTTTTGGAGTCAAACCACCATGTACTCAACCCTGTAATAACCAAATCATTAAACCTTGGAATTAAATCCTTACTATAAAGGAATACCTGAGACTGGGTAATTTATAAACAAAAGAGGTTTAATTGGCTCACATTTCTGTACGCTGTACAAGCATGGCATCAACATCTGCTTGGCTTCTGGTGAGGGCCTCAGGAAGCTTACAGTCATGGAGGAAAGCAAAGCAGGAGCAGGCAAGGTATGTCACATGGTGAGAGCAGGAGAAAGGTGGGGGGAGGTCTCAGACTCTTTTAAACAATCAGATCTCATGCAAACTCACTGAGCAAGAACTCACTTATCACCAAGTGGATGGTGCTAAGCTATTGATGAGGGAGCTGCCTCCATGATTCAATCACCTCCCATCAGGCCCCACCTCCAACATTGGGAATTACATTTCAAAATGAGATTTCGAGGGGACAAACATCCAAACTACATCATACTTGTCCCAGCCGCAGACTTCTCCTGACCAAGGAAAACTTCCTGAATTCCCAGGTCTTGTCTATGCCACTGTGGCCTGTTCCACCACCACCCAAGCCCTGGTTCTAATAGCAGGTATTGTCAAAGGGCTAGAACATCATTTAATAATAAACGTGGCCTGGGAATTGAGAACATATCATGTCTGGCTGTTTGAAAATTTGATGTGGATTATTTGATATTCTTGGGCTCTTGTGATTGTGCAACTTAGACCTGGTAAACAAGTCATAGGTGCTCCTTTACAGTACCTGAGCTCACTTGTCCAGTTCCTAAGAAGTCAGCACTCACATTTGGATGGATTTGCCTCAGGCGTCCTGACAGCATAATAAGTGAATCTGTTATATATCCTAGGCTACAGATCCTTTCTTGGATGGTATCACTGTATTGACTCTGAGGCAAGGGACTTGAGAAACAGAAACTCTCTCCTTTCTGGGTTGCTCGAAGATCATATTATTCATGTGGATCTGACATGCATCTATAAAGGCCCAACTGATCAGATCCATGCTTCTCATTTTCATCAAACTACAAGTGGATATGGGGCTTGGGGAGCTACTAATGGGTTCAAAGACCCTCACTTTTCTGGACTTTCGTTGCAGTGCTCTGGGAGTGAGATCAGAGGTAGGGAAAAGCAAGTGATGGAGTATGTTCGTTGCAGACAGAGAGAGCAGGTTTTGGGATTGAAGATCCTTCATCTGTAAATCTGCTACTTCTTATTATAAAGGCCAAAGTACTCTGGAAAGTGTGCAGTGTGGAGGATAATTGCCTCTCAGGGTCATCTCATAAAGAATCTGAGAGGTCTCCTAATCAGGGTCTAATGGTGGCTTTGGTGCCAGGGGCTGGGAGGCAATGGTTTACAGGTTAGGGCAAAGAATTCTTGGAAGGAGGACACTCAAGCCTCTGAGAAAGAACAGAAATGTGCCTGGCAGGCAGCCCAAAGAGCTGAAGTTAGAGGAGACCAGGAGTCCAAAATAGGCAGTAGAAGTTGGAAGACATTGGAATACCAAAAGGAGACCAAATCCTACAAGGGTAGACCAAAGAGAAGTCAGTCTCAAGTCAGAGAGTTTGTGAGTCTAGATAAGCGCAAAAAGCTATTTCTTTCTTTAAGCTTACCAGGAGCTTTATGGAACAGGTTTGAAGCTGGATTAGTGACAAAGGTGATGCTCACATCCGAAGCATTGAGTTTTTCACTGGGTGAAAACTCAAGAAGAAGTGTGATAAATGGGATTTTGTTTTCAGGCTCTCTCCCTTGTGGCATCCTCTCATCCCAGGCATCACTTGCTGCATCCAGCCACACAGATCCCACCCATCAATTTCATGCCCCAAGGCCCAGAAATCCCTGCATCTTGGGTCCTCTTCCGTGCTCTCTGCCAGCCAGTCAGATCAAGGCATAACAGGTTGAATGTTGCCTAACACATTTCCCTTTGCATTTCAGTGGAAGCTTTTTAACAATTGTGTCCTTCATTGATATCATCCAAAGCAATACTTCTAATTTGGGAAATTTCCAGCTCTACAGCATATCTGGGAGTATTTGGGAGACAGTTGGCTTAAAACAACACAGATTTATTTTCTTATGGTTCTGGAGGTCAGTAGTCTGAAATGGGTCTCACTGGGTTAAAGTTGTGGTGCAGGCAGGGCTAGTTCCTTCTGGAGGCTTGGAAGGGAAAATCCATTTACTTGTCTCTTTCAGCTGACAAGTGGCTTCCTGTGCCTGCCTGTATTCCTCGGCTTTTGGCCCCTTCCTCCACCTTCTATGTCGTCACTCCAATCTCTGCTTCTGTCATCATATCTGCTCCTCTGCCTCTGACTCTTTCCTCATCTCTCTCATTAGGACCCTTGTGATTACACTGAGCCTACCTGGATAATCTGGGATAATCCTTCTGTACCAAGATTCTTACCTTATTCACATAGGCAAAGTTTATTTTGCATGTAAAGTAACATATTCAGTCTACGGATTAGAACATGGACATATTTGGGGTACCATTATCCACCCTACCACATGAAACATTTCAAATTGTATCATGGTTCTGACATTTTCTATTCCTGCATTCAATTTATAGATTATAGATTTTAAAAAGATGTTAAATAGTTCAGTGTTATCTTTGCCCAATGATCATCATCTTTCAAAGGCGGTGTGAGGGTGGAAAGAGGTGGTTAGGGGCAGAAAGTAAAAGAAGCAGGGAGCGAGTTTTAAAAGTTCTGCAATGGGACATCTGGAATTGGCCTCTTACCCGATTAACTCCACTGCCAATTAGGATGAGGCTCTGCCTTGTGGTTTCATTTAAAGCCTCATTTAATGACAATTCATTTTAGTCAGTGGTTCTGCTTCTTTTCCAATACAATTTGCTCTTGAGCTCAAATGGTGCTCTCAGCCTGGTTGGAGATTGAAGGCCAGCTTCCTTCAACTCTGGCTTTGATCGAAGAAATGGGAAGTGGACATTTGGAAAATTTATCTGAGAAGGTAGGGAAATTAAAACTGAAGGGAATCCAATTGTTCTTCAGAACTGTCTAAAGAGATTAGAGCAGCAGTGACTCAAAATGACATCCTACTTAGCTTACAAGCTCCCACTTGTTCCGCACTCTGTGGGCCAGGAGACAGCCTGAGTCTCTGTGCCCAGGGCATCTTCATAAGCCTCAGAAGCTGAGCACAAGGACATGATAGTAAGAGAGACACTATCCAGGGCCATCACTTCCCAAAGTTTATGTTCAAGGAAGAAATTTATATAATAACTACCAATAATTGTATACTTATTATATGCTAAGCACTGTGCTTAAGCACACTACATGTGTTTTGTCATTTAACCTAACCTTCATAACAGCCATGTAAGGTAATTTATATTAGCCTTTTTTACAGGTTAGTAAACTGAAGCACAGAGAGAGATTAATTGACTTGCCCAACATCAAACAACAGAGGTAAAATTTGAGCAGTCAGTAGTCCCAAGCCCTCACACTTATCCACCATGCTATACTGCTCCACGTGGAACCTCCCTGGGAAATTCTGTGTTAGATATGTGGATGTTTATGGTGCCAAACAGGTCTTACTAAAGCAAGTAAACAAGTGACTAAGGTCATACTTGCTTACTAAAACAATCGTCTTCAAGGATTTCATTTCTGCATTAGGGGAAGTGCACACAGGACACTTTCACCAGATATTCATGAATTATAATATTTGGGTAAAGATTGAGATCTGGGAGTGTGTATCTTGAAAAAAGTAGTCATGTGAACATATACTAGCCAAGGCCAAAGATAACATAGCATGCATGTTATCATGCAGGAGTAAACCCCTTTCTGGAGACTGTGTCTAAGGTATTAATTTCAGCAAACATCTTACATAGAACAATCCCCAATTTTCATATGCATTTTTTGAAAGCCCTATACAGTCATTCCCTATACATCTTACGAATGGAAAGAACTCTAGATCTCTCATCCTCCAATCAAAAGCTTCCAGAGGTCATCTGTTTCCAACCACCCAGACTTGTTCAGAGGTATGAAGACATCAAGAGCCTTGGAAGGGGAGAAAGAGGAAGAGGAGGAAGAAAAGGAGGGAGTAGAGGAAGGAGAGGAGGAGGGAGAAGAGGAAAGAATGGAGAAGGTAGTGGAGGAGGAAGGAGGGGGCATGTAAGTACCTTCCTGAGAAGATTTGGAGAAGGTTCTAATTTGGAAGATTGATCATAGGAGCCAGCTAAAGTTGTGCAAGGCATCAGCTTGATAGAGGCAAGACACTGTCAAGGCTTGCTCATTAGGAGCTGCCCCTGTGCCTCAAGCCAGCACCCCTTGCCTACACTATATATTGTCTCAACTCTTGCAGGTTTGGGTCATTCATGCAGACCTTTATTAAGAACCAACTATGTGCCCAGCACTACATTAGACACTGTGAGGGATACAAATATATACAAGACAGAATCCTGCTCAAGATAATGCATCTATCTTGGTATTTGTAGTCCCTAATAAGTACAAGAACCATAGGAAGTACAGAAACAAAAGATGAAAATTGTTTCAGCGATCAAGTTCTCTTAAATCTGGGTCATTTTCCCTTTTTCCTATTATTTCTCTGTTCCCTCTACTCCACATCTCCTCTAATCCTGATCTCATTCTTTGGACACATACTGCCCTTCCTCTCCCCTCCTCAAGTTACAGCCCATTTTTATTTTTCAATATCTTCCTGCTGTTTCATGAAGATTTGCCCTAATTCCCTCTAATACCTGATACCTTCAACTATTAATAGGCATTCACTATCCCAATCCTGACACATACACCAACAACAGCAATAGAAACAGTGCAGCCTGCAGTTTGAATTATGAGACCATGTTAATCAAAGAACGGGCAACCACTTGGTGGCAGCATACTCAAATTCAAATAAGAGGAAATATTTTTAAGTGAGAAGGAACAGCCTGAATTAACAAAACTAAAGTTAGAAAATGCCAGATTAGCAAAGCTAAAGTTAGAAAATGATGACCATGCCACATCTGTAAAATTGTATCAGTTGCACTCAGGAAGACTGAATTGAGAGTGTGTTGCAGTCCTGACAACAAGAAAGAAAAAAAGAAAACAAAAGAAAAGAAAAGAAAGAAAAGAAAAGAAGAAAAGAAAAGGGAAAGAAAAGAAAAGAAAAGAACACAATGTTATGGAGCTAAGGAGTGCATCTTCAAGGCTATAGCCATAAGAAAGAGCCCTAAGTTTTAATGTTTTAGCACTAAAGACAGACAACTCTTGTGTCTCCATATTCCCTCAAAGAAAACTGGATTGAGACTAATCGAATAATCCAGACCATTGGAAACAATGACAGACTAAATGAAAATGCGTATATAGACATTTTTGTTTCTGGTATAATGGGCCATTAATAATAGGATACTTACAAGAAAACAAGAAGCGAGCGTGTGCCATTGGGAAATGCACTCAGGGATTCATATCCTCTTCTGGGATTGGTATCAAATGCCAAATAAGCTCCCACTGATGTTGCAGACAGTAGGCTGGTATAGATAACCTCCTGGGGCCATTGATTTCTACAAAAACAGAGACTATATTCTAGTTCTTCAGCTGCCAAAACATGATAATTATTAGCAGCCCAGCACAACAAACATCTTGGGAAATGTGGGACTCAGAATAGCTTTGTAATTGGCCCCTTAGTCAATGATGTCCAACTGATTAAAGAATGTATATGCCTTGCATCCTAGAAGCCTGAAAAATGGTTTCTTCATCTCTCATTAGAGCTTTTCTATTTCTAGGAGAGTACATCTATTGTTTTCAACTATAAGAAGACATCCAAGGCAAGTTCAATGATAAAAAGCATGGAGTATTTTACTTCAGCTGGTATGCATATAACCAAAGTAAATCAAAAATATATATTGAGCCCGTACTATGTACCCATGCCTGTGCCAGCTGCTACAGGGTAGACAGAAAAAACATTGGCATGGTGCCTCTCTCGCATGCTTATGATCTAGTTGGGAGATAAAATTAACATGTAAAACAATTCAACAAAAGACATAATGTGTTTTGAGTTGGATTGTTCAGAGGCTAGGTGCTATAGTGGTAATAAAAGAGGAAAGTGACTGTGGACTAGGGTTGTCAAGGACCTTGAAGGGTCTGAGATTTTACTCTACTTTCAAACTAGCAAGTTGGCCTACTACAGTTTCATGGATACCAGTAGTAAATACGAGACTCCTAGATGACAGATGAAAGAAAATTTATCACTCACAGCAACAGCAGTGGCCAGAGTATCGTCATTTTTGCATTGGTTTTGGAGTGCAGATTCCAACAGGGCAATGTGAGGAGGACCAAATGTCATCTGTGCATGAAGTGGGTTGCATTACAGGAGAGGCACCCTGAACTTAGAGAACTTGAGCTTATAGAATCATTCATAATAGGCAGTAAGCATGCCTTCCCTTTGTTCCATAGACATTATCTCCATATTGCCAAGCTTTTCCCTATATAAACATCCTAAAGAAAATAGTCCAGAACAACAAGCAGTCATTGTCTTGCTTGCAAGACATTCAGAAACACAACTCAATTGTCAGACAAGGTTTTGTGGAGCCATGGTTTTGGTATGGAGTGCATATCACAGCACAAATGGCTCATGCAAATCCATCTCCATTACAAAGCACATGTCCTAAAGATGGGAGATTTCTTAAGATTACCGAGAAAATACAAAACAGTTCAGAGCTTCAAGGGCCTTTGTTTAACCTGCTCATCTTACAGAAATGGAAACTGAATCCTAAAGAAGTCAAACAATCATAGCATTATTGTAGTATACAACTGGCACATTTCTTATGTCTGATTAGACAGTTATATTCTATGCCCACTGAGCACTATCCTACTTTTCATAGTAGGATGCTGCTTGGGAACCTCATTAGAAACCAAATTACTACCTGAACCAAGTTTACACTAATGTATTGACCTCTACAACACTCATTAAATGAACTGTAAATCCAATACACTGAAGTCATTTTCCACTGAATCAAATAAGGCTTCAGTCAAAAGAATTACCATTGTGATATACTTAATGCCCGGCATTTTCAGGGAGTTTTAGGCTGGATCATTTCAGATAAAGAGAGAAAATTGTAGAGTCGTAAAATAATGCTGACTAAATAAGTCACACTGCAAGCAAGCATCCTAATTCAGAACTGGGAAGGCAATAATCGACTCGAATTGATTAGTTGGTGGAGCCATCTAAGGATTCACAGTTCTTTGTTTACTAATCTGTCTGTACTTCACTTTCTCCCAGATTCAAAAGTGCTGTAAATACTACTACTTACTTTATCTAAGAATACCTTTGGTCCTTCTCAGTTTGCATAGCAGCTGAACTGTGGGAATAAGTGAGGGGGAAATGTAACTACTATCAAAAGTACTAAAACAGAACACAAAGTATAGACAGACCTTCTTGCATCTGTGGGGAATCTAGACAAGGATAATAATCCCCAAGCAAGAAAGTTCACTGGATTTAAATATATTTTCTAGTTGGGTTTCATTAAATCTGGCCCAGAAAGTCAAGAGCAAGTGTTGAACAAACAGAAAATCTGCTTGTGAGTTTCTGATTTTGTATGCAAATCCATACACGCCACAGGATGAGAAAATATAACTATTTTCAAAACTAGGTGTGTACTGGAACATTAAAGCCAAATATGGAATAAAGTTAAGTGTGTCTCTCAACCCCAATCATCATCCCCCACCTTCTAGGGCTGCAATGCCCTAAGGTTGACTAAAAAGTCATTGCCACTTGTTACTGGCTTGGGAAGAAATAGTTTGTACTTGCTTTGTGAACTACCTTAGCAGAAGACTAGTTGAGATCAAGTGAGATGATGATCACATTGCACCAGACAGCCCACACCCAAAGTATCTGTGTGCAGTTGTGAGCACAATATGTAACAAGTAACCTTAAAAATTGTAGTGTGTCCAGAAAAGAGCAACCGATATGATTAGAGGACTTGGAGTTTTGGCCTTTTAGGACTAGTTGAGAAACCTAAGGATGGTTAGCCACGAGAAGACTTAGTGGGAAAACATTAGTACTGTTTTCAAACCTTCGGAGGGTTATTTTTCTTTTTTTCAGGTTCATTGAGGTATTATTGGCAAATAAAATTTGTATAAATTTAAGATGTACAACATATTTTGACATACATATACATTATGAAATAATTACTACAATCAAACTAATTAGCATATCTATCACCTCACATTTCTTGTGTGTGATGAGAACACTTAAAATCTACTCTTTTTTATTTTATTTTTTTATTTTATTATTATTATACTTTAAGTTTTAGGGTACATGTGCACAATGTGCAGGTTAGTTACATATGTATACATGTGCCATGCTGGTGTGCTGCACCCATTAACTCTAAGTATATAAGACCTTATTATCTATAGTCACCATGCTGTACATTAGGTCTCCAGAACTTATTCGTCTTATAACTGTGAGTTTGTACTCTAACCGGTATCTCCCCTTTTCCCCGAGGTAACTACACTTCTCCTCTCTGTTACTACACTGGTAACTACACTTCTCCTCTCTGTTACTATGAATTTGACTTTTTAAAAAAAGATTCCACATAATAAGTAAGATCATGCAGTGGTTGTCTTTCTGGGTCTGGCTTATTTCACTTAGCATAATGTGGGATAGTTACTATTTGTAATAAATTACTTAATCTGGGTGGCTCCAGAGAACAAAGATGGGACAATTGGCATGACTGACGGCTAAAAAAAAAGAAAGTAAAAGAAATAACTTTCAAATATTTGCAGCTGTTTAAAATGGCGTGGGAACAAAGTAGGGCAAGATGAATCTTCTCAATGAAATATTCTGTTTACAATGTTACCCCTCCCATAGGGCTCAGTACGTTCCCAGAGTCTGGGAGTCAGGACCTTGAAACAGCATGCTTCCACTAGACACCAGACCCTCAACCATCTGGCTGTGAAGTCTCTGACTTTTTTGACCTATTAGATGAAGAGCAACCCATCTCTGAGCAGAAGAGTCAACATCCTACAATAAAACTTCTTGTATTTTTTTTTCTTAGAAACTTCATATCATAGGATCATAGGACACTGGAGGAAAGGAACCCCTCAAATCATCTAAGCCTTCAATTAAGTCCATAGTTCAGACCCTGTAAACTGAGGATGCCCAAGAGGGATGCAGAAGAAACACTTGTGGACAATGTGATATCTTACCCCATCAACTGTGATCATCTTGACTTTAATTCTGTACACTCATGAATCCCTTCAAAAATAGAATTTTAACTTTCTTTGTGCCTGTCTGACAGTGTCAGTGGTTTTACTCTTTGTTTCCTCTAGCATATTCTATCAGCTCACTGGAGAGCCAAGCTGGGTTGTGGCCAAAATCATAGCATCAACTTTTTATGTTCTACAAGCAAGAGTCTCTGACACAGGTAGCATAAATAATGCTCCCCATAGCTCCTGCTGAGCTAGGGCTTTTCTGAATTATCTCTCATGCCCTTCTTTCCACTCTTCGTCCATGCAGTATGTCGCAAGCTTCCCCCAGCCCCATTACAAAGGGCCCCATTGCAGGTGTAGTAGCTCTAAACCTACTGTTTACACCACAGGAAACCAAAGAAGTAGATCTGTCTTGCTACATTTTTCACCCACTTAAGTAAGCTGAGTCACTCCATATTGGCTCAGAACCCACTGCACAGTAAAGAGGAGAAACTGGGACGTTATGGCCTCTTCTACCTCTCTGAATTTTTCTCACAGTGCAGACCTCAGAGGGAAGAGCTTTTCTCCTTACACTTTTGATTCTCCAAGCCTGGATTCTGATATGCTAAAAAGGAGATTTGGGTAGTTAGAAAAATCTTCTCCTAATAATGTATAGCTTTCAAAATATTTTCCTGGGATAGAATTCTATTTTAAATGTCAAAAGCTAAAAGTTATTTATTTATTTATTTTTTTTTTTTAGAGACAGACTCTGGCTCTGTCACCCAAGTTGGAGTGCAGTGGCACCATCTCAGCTCACTGCAACCTCCATCTCCCAGGTTCAAGAGATTCTCATGCCTCAGCCTCTTGAGTAGCTGCTATTACAGGCATGCACCACCATACCTGGCTATTTTTTTTTCTATTTTTAGTAGAAACGGGATTTCACTGTGCTGACAAGGCTGTTCTCAAACTCCTGACCTCAAGTGATCTGCCCACCTCAGTCTCCCAAAGTGTTTTCTTTCATTTCTTATTCTCCATCTGATTTCCTTAGAAGTAAATGGATGTCTTAAGCTAAGAAAAAAAATGTACCCCAAAATGCAAACGGAAAATCATTTATGTTTTTTCAAATAATTTCTTATATTACATGTATTATCATTTATTCAGTACTATTCATGCTATGTGCATTTTTATTTTTATGTATATGAATTTTATATATGCTATAACACTGTACAAGTCACGATTATTTCAAAAGTACTTAAGAGAAACCCAACTCAAACTATTTAAGCAAAAACAAAAGTGGGGTGGGGGACTCACAAATTGGAAAGTGCAACAGGTAACCTGCTTCAGATACAGGAGGATTCAGGAGCACACTTCTCTCCCCTCAACTCCTTTCTGTGCATTGGGTTCATTCTGTAGACAGATTCTTTCCATGTGCAAGGGAAGATGACTGCCCACACCTCCAGGTTTACATGCTCCCAGTTTAGAAAGCCAAACAGAAAAAAAGCTTATATTCTCCCCAGCACCCAAAAGTTAATCCAGAGAAGGCATCTTATTGGTCATGCTTAGATCTGGTGCCAACCCCTGGACCAATCACTGTTGCCAAGGGATAGATATTATAAAAGGCCCATTCTATATTATATGATTATCACTATAGCCAAGGTTGAGGGGCATCATAATTAACAACCCCACTAGGATCACATGGAATGAGGGAAGGGACAGTCCCTCAAAGGACACAGAGGGCTGGACATACCAAAACATCAGATTTCAACTTTACAAACATCACCTCAATCCTTAAAATTCCTTAAACTTATTCTCATTTAATTCAAGTAAGCTAAATAATTTTCTCAAAATCACAGTCGTATAAAAGAACAGGAATCTAAAGCCAGTCTTGACTGATTCACAATGCCCTTGTTCTTTCCACTATATCTTCTACTTTTTTAATGCCATCCCATCCTTGAGTGATATCCAGTGCCTTCTGCTTCCATTCTTTAACCCCAGTCAAAACATGCTCTGAAATGAGTTGACAAACTCAGTCATACTCAGCTGTCTGACACTGAGTGACTGAGATTCAGGTATTCCTCCGAGGGAAAATTATAATTTAGCATTTATCAACTTTGGGGAGAAGAATGACTTGACAATTAAGGAGATTAATTTAAGAGTCAGACAGACATGAATTGCCTTACCTCCAACACTTGCTAGGTGTGTGATCTTGGGAAAGTTTTCACTTTGAGCTTTAGGCTACTCATCTATAAAATGGAGATAATAATTCATAGGAAAACAGAGATGTTGTGAAGATTAACTGAGTTTGTTCTGTTAAAATGCCCAGCCCAGGACCTTTCATGCAGCTGATGTTAAATAAATATTCATTTTTCTGCTATTCAAAAAAAAATCCAAGTTTTGTTATTAACCTATAGATGAGGGAAGTTCAAGGAGGGCCAAGGGCCCTTCTTCTTCCTCTGAAATCATATCATATAAATGCCTTATATGTGTATAGCTTTACCACCTTAATTTTTTTCAAGTATCTTAGAGCTCTTGATCATTTTAACAATGCATCAGGGAGGCAAGGCAGGCCTTGTTAAGCCCTATTTCACTGATTAGAAAACACAGGTTCTAAGAAAGTTGAGTCACTTTGCTAAATATTACTCAGCTAATACCTGAGATAACTGGAGCCAGAACTGAGAGTTTATGTCTTCTAATCCAGAACTATCTTCTGGTGGATAAGATCATGTCTCTTAGTAGTCATGGTGTGGGAGAGAGCCATTTCTTTTCTATTTCCCCACATGGAATTTTTTCTCCTCCTCCCATTTTACCTACCACTAGGTTGCCAATGGCTCACCCAGGTTAGAGCCAAGAGAGGAAGAACAGGTATGGAACAAGATAAGTCTTACGTGACTGGTGTATAGGGTTCTCCAGAGAAACAAAACCAATAGAATATATTTTTTTCTATTACGTACATATATTACATATATAATATACTGTAATATGTACATATAATATTATATATCCAATATACTTGTTATAAGGAATTGACTCACCTAATTATGGAGTATGACAAGTCTCAAGATCTGCAGGATACCCAGGAGAGCTGATGATGTATTTCCAGTCTGAAGGCCAGTAGGCCCAAGACAAGGAAGAGCTGATGCTTCAGTTCAAGTCTGAAGACAGGAAAAAATTAATGTCCCCATTTGAAGGCAATCAGGCAGGACGAATTCCCTCTTACTCACAGGAGGGTTAGTATTTTTATTTTATTCAGGTGTTCAACTGATTGGATGGGACTCACCCACGTTAGGGAGGGCCATCTTCTTTATTCCATCTAGGGATTCCAATATTAATCTCATCCAAAACACTCTCACAGATACACCTAGAATCATGTATGACCAAATGTATGGGCCCAGTCAAATTGACACATAAAATTAACCATCACAACTGGTAAAAGACGCTAGCTGATCTTGGTGCATTATGGATGTGATGAATTCTTCATCTTATGAGGCAAATACATAGGTTCCTCAGAGATAACTGCTGAGGCCTTTCAACTTGTTTTTGCATGATGCATTTTCTCTGGCTGTCAACTTACAGTTTCTACCCTCAGTTCCTGGGCATTGGACTATTCCAGCCCACAGACTCTCCACTGGGACCTACCATGAACCCAGGTAAATTCAATTATGCTTGGGCAAAATTCAAAATGGCGCCAAGCAATCACCTTCACATGTGTTTCAAATTTGGTCACAGACAATACACATTCTTGCCCTCTTGTCAGTGAGAAGCAATTTACTCTGTATGTAGCTTTTTCTCTCTATAATCTTCCACTCTAGTTCAACACAGCCAGTTTCTCTTGCCAGAATTTATGCAGCCCCCTCAAACTCCAGGTTCACATGCCAAGCTCTCTTAGTGGTTTTACTAAAGCACCCTTTCATACTTGGCTTAAGGTGAATGATAGAACCTTCTCTCTTCCTCCATTTTAGTGGTAGAAGAAGTTGCATAGTACATCAATTTTTCCCACAAAAAATTGCTCTCTCGGGCTCCTTCAGTCTCGATACATTAATATCTTCCAGGTGTGTGTTTAGATATGCATCACAAAATCAGTTTCCTACCACCCTCTTTGGTTAAGATGGCAAATTTTATGTTATGTATTTTTTATGACAATCAAAAAAATTTAAAGACAGAGAACATAGAAACCCTCGGAGCCACTGCCATCCCAATGAATTTAAATTTAGTCTGGGGCTATTTGTCATGGTTTTGTCACAGGTTCCATGAAGAAATTTTTTTACATACAAAAGTATAATTTAAAAACTCACTTCAGTGAAACAAAACAAAAGGGCATCTCCTTTCATTTCATAGTTGGTAACACTGCTTTTTGTTGTTGTTGAAGTGATATATTTCCCAAAGCAGGGTGATTCTGTCTTAAATGTCACCCCATTTGGAACTCACTTCCTCTGCAAATCTTTGCTTCTAGTGCTTCTCAGCTGAGTGCAGTGCCCTCAGGGTCTAGTGAGTCTCTGCTCCATTGATTTTTCCCGTACCAGAAGGTCCACCTGAGGGATTGGCATGTGACTGATTTATTGCTGTATTACCAGCACCCAGCACAGCCTTGCCAGCACAGCCTTGCCCACAGGGCAAGGAGCTCAGGCAATGTTTGTTAACTGATCATTATAGGAAGAGAAAGCTGTGTGTTTAATTTACTCAATGACAATTAGGGGATGGTTCCCTATCCTCCAGGAATTCAGTGTCTACTTGGGAATGTTTTCTTTCCCTCATTATAAGATCCTGGAGATCAGGGCCTGTGTTTTAGTCATCTCTGTATCCTCATCATCTAGCATAATTCTTGGCACACAGAGTTCCCAAACTGGCCCACGTAACTACTCCTAATGGCAAAGGAGAAGAGACACATATCCGTAAAGGGATATGGGAGACCTCATTTGAAGTGCCCTTCACAAGCAGAAACTTCTTTTTTTTGTAAGCGTTTTGTGTGATTATATTATTAAATTTTACAGCAACGTTATTAGGTGCAATTATTATTCCCATTTTATAGGCAGAAAAACTGAGATACAGATGTTAAAGGACTTGTTCATTCTCCCACAGCTAGATAGGCTGCAAACCTAGAATTCAAACTCAAATTGAAATCCAAACTACAAAAATAAATCCCCAAAAGCAATACCGATTTCAAAATTCTGGTATGTGGTAGGTGCTCAATAAATGTTTGTTGAATTAATGAATGGTTCTGAAATTATTTTTTTCATTTTTTTATTATACTTTAAGTTCTAGGGTACATGTGCACAACGTGCAGGTTTGTTACATATGTATACATGTGCCATGTTGGTGTGCTGCACCCATCAACTCATCATTTACATTAGGTGTATCTCCTAATGCTATCCCTCCCCCCTCCCCCCACCCCACAACAGGCCCTGGTGTGTGATGTTCCCCATCCTGTGTCTAAGTGTTCACATTGTTCAATTCCCACCTATGAGTGAGAACATGTGTTTGGTTTTCTGTCCTTGCAATAGTTTGCTCAGAATAATGGTTTCCAGCTCCATCCATGTCCCTACAAAGGACATGAACTCATCATTTTTTATGGCTGCATAGTATCCCATGGTGTCTATGTGCCACATTTTCTTAATCCAGTCTATCATTGATGGACATTTGGGTTGGTTCCAAGTCTTTGCTATTGTGAATAGTGCCGCAATAAACATACATGTGCATGTGTCTTTATAGCAGCATGACTTATAATCCTTTGGGTATATACCCAGTAATGGGATGGCTGGGTCAAATGGTATTTCTAGTTCCAGATCCCTGAGGAATCGCCACACTGTCTTCCACAAGGGTTGAACTAGTTTACAGTCCCACCAACAGTGTAAAAGTGTTCCTATTTCTCCACATCCTCTCCAGCACCTGTTGTTTCCTGACTTTTTAATGATCGACTTCAAAGAAGTCTCTGCTTGAAAAGTGACACAAGCAGAAACTTCTTTGAAGTCTTGTGTTCTATCTTAAAACTTCATGTGAGTATTATATTCCACAACATAGCCATCTTTGCTATTAAAAAATGTTTTAGATCACTTAACACTGAATAAAAATATGCTCCAGAAAGATGCCCATGCAACACTAACTCAAACACCCAGCTAAGCAGGTAGGAGGTTCTAGATTCTACTTATCAAGCCCACTGTAAGGCTTGATAGCAGTTTTCATGAAGGACCTGGCTTTTCCTGAGGCTAACTGGCACAATTAGTAGTGAAGATAAATTGTGCTTCAATTTTTGTCTAAAATGACTTAACAAAATCATTCTGCCCCAGATGTGAAGAGTGGTAAGCTAGGCTGCACACCAGAAACAGGGGGACAGAATTTTTCATAGGGGAGGAGTGTAAGGAAATGGGAATGATGTAGTAAGGGCTGGCCTGCCTGGGAACATTTTGCTTTGCATCAGATTTGGATAACTCCAGTTTTTGATCACTGGCTTCATCCAAAAGTATCTGCTCTGACAATGGTGGGCCTGCGTGTGTCGCAGTAACACATTTGGACTAAGGGTGAGGGGACTTGTAAAATGAGAAAATAATTTAAACTGACCTAAAAACAAAGAGGTATGTATAGGATGGCATTATTTTAAATCATTGTTCCACAGGGGAGCAGGGAGAACAGTTGGGGTGAATTGAAAGACAAATTAAAGAAAAATTTAAATTGTTTTCAGGAAGCTAATGCCAACTATTCCAAGGCCATTTTTTATCGTTCTCTATTTTACAGCCCTAGACTGAGCCTTTATTCTGGTGCTTCCTGAGTTCCCGACCCAGGTTATAGTTGGAATCCCAACCCCAAGAGCCATGTCACAAAATGAATAAATAGTTGGCCACAAATGGGACAGCTAAAATAACATGAAAGATGCATAATAGACCAGAGCTTCTCAACTTTAATACGCATATGAGTCACTTGGGAATCTTTTTAAAATGCATGTTCTCATTAAATAGGTCTGGAGTGGGACCTGAGACTGCACATCTAACAGGTGATCGCCATGCCTGATAATCTAGACCTCTTTCCACTAATGCCCACCTCCTGAGTTCACTCTTTCAACTTTGATAGTCTCTCTGTGGACTCTTGAGATTTCAGAGGAAAGGTGCAATTTGAATTCAAGGCAATCAATATTTGCTTCATGTTATCATTATATTAAGTGCTTTTTGTTGAACACTGTGGACCACAAATAATCCTGTCTCCCTAGGCCAAATAGAAACACATCCGGACCCAAAGAAATCAGGCAATAGGCAATAAAAAAAGGATAACTGGGGTAAAAAAGTTATCTCCAAGTTACTGATGCTCCATGACCCAAGATACTAATATAGGTCTCACACAATTATGGAGAAAAAAAAAAGAATAAAATTTATCTTACTTACTATTTTGCAAGTACTCTATTAGGAATGTTGAAAGAGGTAGCTCAGTTATTACAACTAAGGGAGGTAAGTGGAAAGACTCTAAGCATGCTTCCTGGCACACAGTAACTGCTCAGTAAATAATAACCTCTCAGGAAATCTTAAAACTGCCAATGGCAGTTTTCAGAAAGGCAAAGGCTGGTTTTGAAAAAAGCAGAGACACATAATCAGAACCAGAAACCCTTAGAAATACAGAGAAAGACTGTAACAGTCAGAGTTCTCCAGAGAAACAGAACCACACTCACACACACACGCACACACACACACATTATTTATATATATATATATAAATATATATATATACACACACACATACGCACACACATATACGTATGAGAGAGAGATTTTTAAGGAATTGGATCACATGACTGTGGGGGCTGGCAAATCCATAATCTACAGGCAGGCTGAGAGGCTGGAAAGTCAGGCAGAAGTTGCTGCTTTAGTCTTGAGGCAGAATTTCTTCAGGAAACTTCAGTTTTTGATCTTAAAGCCTTCAACTGATTAGATGAATTCCACTCACATTATTGAGCATAATCTTTTTTACTTAAAGTTAACTGATTGTAAATAATAACCATATCAACTAAGTGCTTTCACAGTAGCACTTAGATTAGTGGTCAATTAAATAACTGAATACTACAGTCTAGGCAAATTGACACATAAAGTTAACCATTAGAGAGATCATTCTAGATTATTGGTTCTCAATATTGACTTCACATTAGAATCACTTGAGGGCTTTTTAAAATACTAAAGCCAGGCCTCATTATCAAGAGGTTCCAAAATTGTTAATAGCTCCCCAGCTGATTCTAATGTGCAGTGCACATATGGTGAAGAACCACTGATACAGAGACCAATGTACCTCATTTTACACATAAAGAAACTGAAGCCAAGAGAAAATAGGAGATTTGCCCAGCATCCTTTAATAATCAAAAGCTAGATCTGGGTTTCCTAATTCTTAACTCAATATGTTACTAACATCTACCTCTGCTTGAATAGATGAATTTCTGAAGGTATTCCATAATATAATATCTGGAAATTTTTTTAATACTTTGGTGCTGAGGTGGTAAAGAGTAGGTAGGGTGGTATCAATAAAACAAGAGTCATCATGAGGTGATGATTGTTGGAAGCAAGTAATAAGTACATGGGGGTTCTGGTACTATTCCCTTTACTTTTGTATAAGTTAGCAATTGTCATTAATACTGCCTATAAAATCAAAAACAAAAACAAGTAATTCCATGCCTCTGCCAAACTGCATCAGGCTATCAACTATATCTGGCTTTCACTGAGTTTGAAGAAACCTTCCCTACTTTTCAACTCTAGCTGGAAACATGAGAATGGCCTGTCAGTTCTAGTGACTTCCCTAAAACTGTAATGAGTTATGATTCCTGGGCTGTAAACATCCCTAAAATAAAAACAACAAAGCAAAAACTTATTTTAATATGCTCTATAAATATGTTGCTAACAAATACAAAGTTGTCCATTAAACAGCCCCAAGTTTTGATAAGCCAACTGTGAAACACAGGCTTAACCTTGGTGAGGTTGCAGAGCACATGAGACTGAGTTGCCCAATATTAAGCATGGAAAGATTATAATGCTGTTGTTGAATAGGGTATTCTATAGATGTCACTTATGTCGAGTTGGTTGATGGCACTGTTCAAGTTTCCTTAACCTTTTCTAATTATTTTTCTTGTTGCTCTATCCATTATTAAACATGGAATATTGACATCTCCAACACTTACTGTTGAATTGTCTATTTCTCACTTTAATTCTGTCCATTTTTCTTGATGTATTTTGACACTCTGTTGTTAGATCCATATATGTCTATAATTGTTATTTTTTGATAGATTGACTCTTTTATCATTATAACTTGCCCCTCTTTATCTCTAGTAATATTTTTGTTTTAAATTCTATTTGTGTAAGATTAATAAAACCACTCCAGCTTTCTTAGGATTGTTGTTTGCATGGTATTACATTTTCCATATTTTTACTTTTAGCTCATTTGTATCTCTGAATCTAAAGTATCTTTTATGAACAGCAAATAGTTGAATCTTGTTTTCAAAATCCAATTTAACAATTTCTGTCTTTTGGTTGAAGTGTTTGATCATTTTACAGTTATTGTAATTACTGTTTTGTTTTTTTGTTTGTTTTTTTTTTTTTTTTTTTTTTGAGGCAGGGACTCACTCTGTCACCCAGGGTGGAGTGCAGTGGCACAGTCTTGCTCATTTCAACCTCTGCCTGCTGGGCTCAAACAATCCTCTCACCTCAGCCTCCCAAGCAGCTGGGACTATAGGCACGTGCCACTACCCGGCTAATTTTTGTGTTTTGTTTTTTTATATAGAGAGAGAGACAGGGTTTCACTACGTAACCCAGGCTGGTCTTGAACTCTGGGACTCAAGTGATCTGCCCACCTCAGCCTCCCAAAGTGCTAGGACTACAGGCATCAGCCACTGCACCCGGCCTGTAATTACAATTAAAGTAGGATGTATGTCTACCATTCTGCTATTTTTCTATGTGGATATATTTGTTTCTCTGTTTTACTTTACTGCCTTCTTCTGTCTTAAGTGATTATTTTCTACTATACCATTTTAATTCATTTAATAATTTTTTATTATATTTTTAATTTTCCCAGTGGTTATTCTAGGGGTGGCAATATACATTTTAACATTTCAAAATCTACGTGTATATTTATACTAACTTAATTCAGTAAAATACAGAAACTTTGCTCCAACATAGCTCCCTTCTTTCCTCCTCCTTTGTGTCATTATTAATGTACATATTACATCTATATATGTTATAAACACAACAATACAGCATAAGAATTGCTTTATACAATCTTTATCTTTTAAATGAGTTAAGAAAATAAAAGAGAGAAATATAGGGTCTTTTATTAGCCTACATATTCACCATTTTTGCTATTTTTTATTTCTTGCTCTGGACTTGAGTTACCACCTGGTGTCATTTTCTTGCTCCTATATAGATCTGTATCCTCTCCCCTCCTTTGTGCTATTATTGTCATATATGTTACATCTTTATATATTATAATCCCAATACAATTTTATAACTAGTATTTTATGCAATTATCTTGCCAAGAAAAAAAAGATTAGATACATATAGATAGTTAACACTTGAACAGCACAAGGGTTAGGGGCACTGACCCCACACACTGTTGAAAATCCATGTATAACTTGACTCCTCAAAAACTTAACTACTAGTAGCCATCTGTTGACCAGAAGCCTTACTGATAACATAAACAGTTAATTAGGACACATACATCTGACCAAGCAGGTGAAAGATCTCTACAAAAAGAAACGTAAAACATGGGTGAAAAAAAATCATAGATAACATAAACAAATGGAAAAATAGTCCACACTCATGGAATGGAAGAATCAATTTCGCTAAAATGGCCATACTGCCCAAAGCAATCTGCAGATGCAATGCTATTTCCATCAAACTACCAATGTCATTCCTCACAGAATTAGAAAAAACTATTCCAAAATTCATATGGAACTGAAAAAGAGCCCCAACAGCTAAAGCAGTCCCAAGCAAAAAGAACAAAGCTAGAGGCATCACATTACCTGACTTCAAACTATACTACAAAGCTACAGTGACCAAAACAGCATGGTACTGATACAAAAACAGACGCATAGAACAATAGAACAGAACAGAGAACCCATAAATAAAGCCACACAACTACAACCAACTGATCTTTTACAAAGTCAATGAAAATTAGCAATGGGGGAAAACACCCTGTTCAATAAATGGTGTCAAGATAATTGGCTAACTATATGCATAAGAATGAAACTAGACCCCTACCTCTCATCAAATACAAATAATAACTCAAGATGGATTAAAGACTTGAGGGAGAGGTGGAGCAACATGATAAATAGAAAGCTCCATCAATCGTCCCCCAAACAAGGACACCAAGTTAACAACTACCTACACAGAAGAAATAAAAAATAAAAAATAAAAACACCTTCAGAAGAACCAAGAATCAGGTGAGCACTCACAGTATCTGGTTTTATATCACTGAAAGAGGCTCTGAAGAGATAGAAAAAAACAGTCCTGAATCATTGGTGCCACTCATCCCCCACTCCTGGCAGCCATGATATGGTGTGGAGAGTATCTCTGGGAATTGGGGGAGGGAGAACACAGCAATTGTGAAGCATTGAACTCAGTGCTGTCCTGTTAGAGCAGAAAGGAAAACCAGACCAAACTCAACTGAGGCCTGCCCACAGAGGGAGCATTTAAACCAGCCCTAGCCAGAAGGGAATTGCAGATTCCAGTGGTCTGAACTCTGGTGCCAGCAAACCTTGCCACCAAGTGTCAAAGTGCTCTTGGTCTCTAAGTAAACTTGAAAGGCAGTCTAGGCCATAAAGATTGAAAGTAGTAGGCGAGTCCTAGGGCTGAACAAGGGCCAGACAGTGGATTGGGGAGGATTGTTACAAACTGAGACACCAGCTAGGGCAGCCAAGGTAGTTCTGGCATCACCCCTCCCCTAGCCTCGGGCTGCACAACTCACATCTCCAAAGGAGACCCCTTTCTTCCACCTGAAGAGAGGAGAGGAAACCTGGGGAGGACTTGTCTTTCATCTTGAATACCAGCTCAGCCACAACAGGATAGGCACCAGTCAGAGAAGTGAGGCCCCTGATCTAGGCCCTAGCTCTCAGATGACATTTCTAGACACACCCTGGGCAGGAATGGAAGCTGCTGCTTGAAGAAAAGGACTTAGTCCTGCCCGCATTCATCACCCACTAACTGAAGAGTCCTTGGGCCCTGAATAACCAGCAGCGATACCCAGTGATATGGTCTGGCTCTGTGTCCCCACCCAAATCTCATATTGAATTGTAATCAGAATTGTAATCCCCACGTGTTGGGGGAGGGACGCTGTGGGAGATGATTCGATTATGGAGGCAGTTTTCCCATGCTGTTCTAGTTGCGAGTGAGTGCTCACAAGATCTGATGGTTTATAAGGGGCGTTTCCCCACTTTGCTCAGCACTTCTTGCTGCCGCCATGTGAAGGAGGACATGTTTGCTTCCCCTTCCACCATGATTGTAAGTTTCCTAAGGCTTCCTCACCCTGAAGAACTGTGAGTCAATTAAACCTCTTTACTTTATAAATTACCCAGTCTCAGGTACGTCCTTATAGCAGCATGAGGACAGACTAATACAGTAAATTGGTACCAGAAGTAGTGGAGTGCTGCTGTAAAGAGACCTAAAAAATGTGAAAACAACTTGGGAACTGGGTAACAGGCAGAGGTTGGAACAGTTTCAAAGACAGGAAGATGTGGGAAAGTTTGAAACGTCTTAGAAACTTGTCGAATAGTTTCAGCCAAAATGCTGATATTGATATGGACAATGAAGTCCAAGCTGAGGTGGTCTCAGATGGAGATGAGGAACTTGTTGGGAACTGGAGCAAAGGTGACTCTTGTTATGCTTTAGGAAATATCCTGGTGGCATTTTGCCCCTGCCCCAGAGATTTGTGGAACTTTGAACTTGAGAGAGATGATCTGAGGTATCTGGAGGAAGAAATTTCTTATTGTTCATATCACTATCAGCATTTTCGTCAAAGCCATTCAACAAGTCTCTAGAGAGTTCCAAACTTTCCCACATTTTCCTGTCTTCTTCTGAGCCCTCCAAACTGTTCCAACCTCTGCCTGTTACCCAGTTCCAAAGTCACTTCCACATTTTCAGGTATTTTTTCAGCAGCATCCCACCATAGTGGTACAAATTTATTGTATTAATCTGCTTTCATACCTGAGACTGGGAAGAAAAAGAGATTTAATGAACTTACAGTTCCACATGGCTGGGAAGGCCTCACAATCATGGCAGAAGGTGAAAGGCACGTCTCACATGGTGGCAGACAAGAGAAGAGAGCTTGTGCAGGGAAACTCCCATTTTTATAACCATCAGATCTCATGGGGTTTATTCACTATCATGAAAACAGCACGGGAAAGACCTGCCCTCTTGATTCAACCACCTCTAACCAGGTCCCTCCCACAACACATGGGAATTCAAGATGAGATTTGGGTGGGGACACAGCCAATCCATATCAGATAACAACACCCAAGTCCTTTCAAATATGCATAAAGCCATCCCAAGAAGGATGGCTACAAAGAAATCTAGCCACTGAAGACTACAATAAATACATAGCCCCTCAATGCCCAAACACTGAAGAACATCCACTAGCATCAACACCATCCCGGAAAACATGACCTCACCAAATGAACTAAATAAGGCACCAGAGACTAATACTGGAAAAATGGAGATACGTGACCTTTCAGAGAGAGAATTCAAAACAGCTGCTTTTAGGAAGCTCAAAGAAATTAAAGAAAACACAAAGAAAAAAATGCAGAATTCTACCAGATAAATTTAACAGAGACTGAAATAATTTAAAAGAATTAAGCAGAAGTTCTGGAGCTAAAAATTGCAATTGACATTCTGAAGAAAGCACCAGAGTCCTTTAATAGCAGAATTAATCAAGCAGAAGAATTAGTGAGCTTGAAGAAAGCCTATCTGAAAATACAAAGTCAGAGAAGATAAAAGAAAAAGAGAATTTAAAAAATGAAGCATTACTACAGGATCTAGAAAATAGCCTCAAAAGGGCAAGTCTAACAGTTATTGGTCGTAAAGAGAAGGTAGAGAAAGAGATGGAGGTAAAAAGTTTATTCAAAAGGATTATAACAAAGAACTTCCCAACCTAGAGAAACATATCAATATACAAGTACAAAAAGGTTATAGAACAACAAGCAGATTTAACACAAAGAAGACTACCTCCAGGCACTTAAGAATCAAACTCCCGGATGGCCGAATAGGAACAGCTCTGGTCTACAGCTCCCAGCGTGAGCCACGCAGAAGACGGTGATTTCTGCATTTCCATCTGAGGTACCGGGTTCATCTCACTAGGGAGTGCCAGACAGTGGGCATAGGTCAGTGGGTGCACGCACCATGCGCGAGCCGAAGCAGGGCGAGGCATTGCCTCACTCGGGAAGTGCAAGGGGTCAGGGAGTTCCCTTTCCTAGCCAAAGAAAGGGGTGATGGACGGAACCTGGAAAATCGGGTCACTCCCACCCGAATACTGCGCTTTCCCGACGGGCTAGAAAAACGGTGCACCACGAGATTATATCCCACACCTGGCTCGGAGGGTCCTACGCCCACGGAGTCTCCCTGATTGCTAGCACAGCAGTCGGAGATCAAACTGCAAGGCAGCAGCGTGGCTGGGGGAGGGGCGCCCGCCATTGCCCAGGCTTGCTTAGGTAAACAAAGCAGCCGGGAAGCTCCAACTGGGTGAAGCCAACCACAGCTCAAGGAGGCCTGCCTGCCTCAGTAGGCTCCACCTCTGGGGGCAGGGCACAGGCAAACAAAAAGACAGCAGTAACCTCTGCAGACTTAAATGTCCCTGTCTGACAGCTTTGAAGAGAGCAGTGGTTCTCCCAGCACGCAGCTGGAGATCTGAGAACAGGCAGACTGCCTCCTCAAGTGGGTCCCTGATCCCTGACACCCGAGCAGCCTAACTGGGAGGCAACCCCCAGCAGGGGCACACTGACACCTCACATGGCCGGGTACTCCAACAGACCTGCAGCTGAGGGTCCTGTCTGTTAGAAGGAAAACTAACAAACAGAAAGGACATCCACACCAAAAACCCATTTGTACATCACCATCATCAAAGACCAAAAGTAGATAAAACCACAAAGATGGGGAAAAAACAGAACAGAAAAACTGGAAACTCTAAAAAGCAGAGCACCTCTCCTCCTCCAAAGGAACGCAGTTCCTCACCAGCAACGGAACAAAGCTGGATGGAGAATGACTTTGACGAGCTGAGAGAAGAAGGCGTCAGATGATCAAATTACTCTGAGCTACGGGAGGACATTCAAACCAAAGGCAAAGAAGTTGAAAACTTTGAAAAAAATTTAGAAGAATGTATAACTAGAATAACCAATACAGAGAAGTGCTTAAAGGAGCTGATGGAGCTGAAAACCAAGGCTTGAGAACTACGTGAAGAATGCAGAAGCCTCAGGAGCCGATGCGATCAACTGGAAGAAAGGGTATCAGCGATGGAAGATGAAATGAATGAAATGAAGCGAGAAAGGAAGTTTAGAGAAAAAAGAATAAAAAGAAATGAGCAAAGCCTCCAAGAAATATGGGACTATGTGAAAAGACCAAATCTACATCTGATTGGGGTACCTGAAAGCGATGGGGAGAATGAAACCAAGTTGGAAAACACTCTGCAGGATATTATCCAGGAGAACTTCCCCAATCTAGCAAGGCAGGCCAACATTCAGATTCAGGAAATACAGAGAACACCACAAAGATACTCCTCGAGAAGAGCAACTCCAAGACACATAATTGTCAGATTCACCAAAGTGGAAATGAAGGAAAAAATGTTAAGGGCAGCCAGAGAGAAAGGTCGGGTTACCCTCAAAGGGAAGCCCATCAGACTAACAGCAGATCTCTCGGCAGAAACCCTACAAGCCAGAAGAGAGTGGGGGGCAACATTCAACATTCTTAAAGAAAAGAATTTTCAACCCAGAATTTCATATCCAGCCAAACTAAGCTTCATAACTGAAGGAGAAATAAAATACTTTACAGATAAGCAAATGCTGAGAGATTTTGTCACCACCAGGCCTGCCCTAAAAGAGCTCCTGAAGGAAGTGCTAAACATGGAAAGGAACAACCGGTACCAGCCGCTGCAAAATCATGCCAAAATGTAAAGACCATCCAGACTAGGAAGAAACTGCACCAACTAACAAGCAAAATAACCAGCTAACATCATAAGGACAGGATCAAATTCACACATAACAATATTAACTTTAAATGTAAATGCATTAAATGCTCCAATTAAAAGACACAGACTGGCAAATTGGATAAAGGGTCAAGACCCATCAGTGTGCTGTATTCAGGAAACACATCTCACGTGCAGAGACACACATAGGCTCAAAATAAAAAGATGGAGGAAGATCTACCAAGCAAATGGAAAACAAAAAAAAGGCAGGGGTTGCAATTCTAGTCTCTGATAAAACAGACTTTAAACCAACAAAGATCAAAAGAGACAAAGAAGGCCATTACATAATGGTAAAGGGATCAATTCAACAAGAAGAGCTAACTATCCTAAACATATATGCACCCAATACAGGAGCACCAAGATTCATAAAGCAAGTCCTGAGTAACCTACAAAGAGATTTAGACTCCCACACATTAATAATGGGAGACTTTAACACCCCACTGTCAATATTAGACAGATCAACGAGACAGAAAGTCAACAAGGATACCCAGGAATTGAACTCAGCTCTGCACCAAGCGGACCTAATAGACATCTACAGAACTCTCCACCCCAAATCAACAGAATATACATTTTTTTCAGCACCACACCACACCTATTCCAAAATTGACCACATACTTGGAAGTAAAGCTTTCCTCAGCAAATGTAAAAGAACAGAAATTACAAAAAACTGTCTCTCAGACCACAGTGAAATCAAACTAGAACTCAGGATTAAGAATCTCACTCAAAACTGCTCAACTACATGGAAACTGAAAAACCTGCTCCTGAATGACTACTGGGTACATAACAAAATGAAGGCAGAAATAAAGATGTTCTTTGAAACCAATGAGAACAAATACACAACATACCAGAATCTCTGGGGTGCATTCAAAGCTGTGTGTAGAGGGAAACTTATAGCACTAAATGCCCACAAGAGAAAGCAAGAAAGATCCAAAATTGACACCCTAACATCAACATTGAAAGAACTAGAAAAGCAAGAGCAAACACATTCAAAAGCTAGCAGAAGGCAAGAAATAACTAAAATCAGAGCAGAACTGAAGGAAATAGAGACACAAAAAACCCTTCAAAAAATTAATGAATCCAGGAGCTGGTTTTTTGAAAGGATCAACAAAATTGATAGACCACTAGCAAGACTAATAAAGAAAAAAAGAGAGAAGAATCAAATAGACGCAATAAAAAATGATAGAGGGGATATCACCACTGATCCCACAGAAATACAAACTACCATCAGAGAATACTACAAACACCTCTACGCAAATAAACTAGAAAATCTAGAAGAAATGGATAAATTCCTCCACACATACACTCTCCCAAGACTAAACCAGGAAGAAGTTGAATCTCTGAATAGACCAATAACAGGATCCGAAATTGTGGCAATAATCAATAGCTTACCAACCAAAAAGAGTCCAGGACCAGATGGATTCACAGCCGAATTCTACCAGAGGTACAAGGAGGAACTGGTACCATTCCTTCTGAAACTATTCCAATCAATAGAAAAAGAGGGAATCCTCCCTAACTCTTTTTATGAGGCCAGCATCATTCTGATACCAAAGCCAGGCAGAGACACAACCAAAAAAGAGAATTTTAGACCAATATCCTTGATGAACATTGATGCAAAAATCCTCAATAAAATACTGGCAAAACGAATACAGCAGCACATCAAAAAGCTTATCCACCATGATCAAGTGGGCTTCATCCCTGGGATGCAAGGCTGGTTCGATATACGCAAATCAATAAATGTAATCCAGCATATAAACAGAGCCAAAGACAAAAACCACATGATTATCTCAATAGATGCAGAAAAGGCCTTTGACAAAATTCAACAACCCTTCATGCTAAAAACTCTCAATAAATTAGGTACTGATGGGATGTATTTCAAAATAATACGAGCTATCTATGACAAACCCACAGCCAATATCATACTGAATGGGCAAAAACTGGAAGCATTCCCTTTGAAAACTGGCACAAGACAGGGATGCCCTCTCTCACCACTCCTGTTCAACATAGTGTTGGAAGTTCTGGCCAGGGCAATTAGGCAGGAGAAGGAAATAAAGGGTATTCAATTAGGAAAAGAGGAAGTCAAATTGTCCCTGTTTGCAGACGACATGATTGTATATCTAGAAAACCCCATTGTCTCAGCCGAAAATCTCCTTAAGCTGATAAGCAACTTCAGCAAACGCTCAGGATACAAAATCAATGTACAAAAATCACAAGCATTCTTATACACAAACAACAGACAAACAGAGAGCCAAATCATGAGTGAACTCACATCCACAATTGCTTCAAAGAGAATAAAATACCTAGGAATCCAACTTACAAGGGATGTGAAGGACCTCTTCAAGGAGAACTACAAACCACTGCTCAAGGAAATAAAAGAGGATACAAACAAGTGGAAGAACATTCCATGCTCATGGGTAGGAAGAATCAATATCGTGAAAATGGCCACACTGCCCAAGGTAATTTACAGATTCAATGCCATCCCCATCAAGCTACCAATGCCTTTCTTCACAGAATTGGAAAAAACTACTTTAAAGTTCATATGGAACCAAAAAAGAGCCTGCATCGCCAAGTCAATCCTAAGCCAAAAGAACAAAGCTGGAGGCATCACACTACCTGACTTCAAACTATACTACAAGGCTACAGTAACCAAAACAGCATGGTACTGGTACTAAAACAGAGATATTGATCAATGGAACAGAACAGAGCCCTCAGAAATAACGCCGCATATCTACAACTATCTGATCTTTGACAAACTTGAGAAAAACAAGCAATGGGGAAAGGATTCCCTATTTAATAAATGGTGCTGGGAAAACTGGCTAGCCATATGTAGAAAGCTGAAACTGGATCCCTTCCTTACACCTTATACAAAAATCAATTCAAGATGGATTAAAGACTTAAACGTTAGACCTAAAACCATAAAAACCCTAGAAGAAAACCTAGGCATTACCATTCAGGACATAGGCATGGGCAAGGACTTCATGTCTAAAACACCAAAAGCAATGGCAACAAAAGCCAAAATTGACAAATGGGATCTAATTAAACTAAAGAGCTTCTGCACAGCAAAAGAAACTACCATCAGAGTGAACAGGGAACCTACAAAATGGGAGAAAATTTTCGCAAACTACTCATCTGACAAAGGGCTAATATCCAGAATCTACAATGAACTCCAACAAATTTACAAGAAAAAAACAAACAACCCCATCAAAAAGTGGGCAAAGGATATGAACAGACACTTCTCAGAAGACATTTATGCAGCCAAAAGACACATGAAAAAATGCTCATCATCACTGGCCATCAGAGAAATGCAAATCAAAACCACAGTGAGATACCATCTCACACCAGTTAGAATGGCAATCATTAAAAAGTCAGGAAACAACAGGTGCTGGAGAGGATGTGGAGAAATAGGAACACTTTTACACTGTTGGTGGGACTGTAAACTAGTTCAACCATTGTGGAAGTCAGTGTGGCGATTCCTCAGGGATCTAGAACTAGAAATACCATTTGACCCAGCCATCCCATTACTGGGTATATACCCAAAGGATTATAAATCATGCTGCTATAAAGACACATGCACACGTATGTTCATTGCAGCACTATTCACAATAGCAAAGACTTGGAACCAAGCCAAATGTCCAACAGTGGTAGACTGGATCAAGAAAATGTGGCACATAAACACCTTGGAATACTATGCAGCCATAAAAAATGATGAGCTCATGTCCTTTGTAGGGACATGGATGAAGCTGGAAACCATCATTTTCAGCAAACTATTGCAAGGACAAAAAACCAAACACTGCATGTTCTCACTCATAGGTGGGAATTGAACAATGAGAACACATGTACACAGGAAGGGGAATATCACACTCTGGGGACTGTTGTGGGGTGGGGGGAGGGGGGAGGGATAGCATTGGGAGATATACCTAATGCTAGATGATGAGTTGGTGGGTGCAGCGCACCAGCATGGCACATGTATACATATGTAAGTAACCTGCACAATGTGCACATGTACCCTAAAACTTTAATAAACAAAAAAAAGAAAAAAAAAATGAGTCTATATTAAAATTTCCAAATCAAATTTAAAAAAAAAAAATCAAACTCCCAAAGGTCAAGGATTAAAAAAGGATCCTAAAAGCAGCAAGAGAAAAGAATCAAAAAACATACAATAGAGCTCCAATACATCTGGCAGCAGACTTTTCAGTGGAAATCTTATAGGCCAGGAGAGAGTGGCATGACATATTTAAAGTGCCAAATGAAGAAAAAAAACGTATACCCTAGAATAGTATATCTGGTAAAAATATCCTTTAAACATGAGGGAAAAAAAGACATTCCCAGACAAACAAAAGCTGAGGGGTTTCATCAACACTAGACCTGTCCTACAAGAAATGCTAAAGAGAGTACCTCAATCAGAAAGAAAAGGGCCAAGCATGGTAGTTCATGCCTGTAATCCCACTACTTTAAGAGGCCAAGGCAGGTGGATCACTGGAGGCCAGGAGTTCGAGACCAGCCTGTCCAAAATAGCAAAACCCACTCTCTACTAAAAATAAAAAAAAATACAAAAATTTGCCAAGCATGGTGTCACATGCTTGTAATCCCAGGTACTCCAGAGGCTGAGGCAGGAGAATCACTTGAACCCAGGAAGCAGAGGTTGCAATGAGCTGAGATCGCGCCACTGCACTCCAGCCTAGACAAAAGAGCGAGACTCCATCTGAAAAAAAAAAAGGTGAAAACTGCCATATATTTTTGGCTGGGTGTAGTGGCTCACGCCTGTAATCCAAACACTTTGGGAAGCCGAGGCAGATGGATTACTTGAAGTCAGGAGTTCGAGACCAGCCTGGCCAACATGGTGAAACCCCATCTCTACAAAAATAGAAGGAAAAGGACATTAATGAGCAATAAACAATCACCTGAAGGGGCAAAACTTACTGGTTTATAACACTGTAACTGTCGTGTGTAAACTACTCTTATCTTAATTAGAAAGACTAAATGATGAACCAATAAAAAATAATTACAACAACTTTTCAAGACATAGTACAATGAGATATAAATAGAAATAACAAAAAGTTAAAACACAGGGGGCCAAAGTTACGGCAAGTTTTTGTTTTCCTTTTGCTTGTTTGTTTATGCAAATAGTGTTAAGTTGTTATCAGCTTAAAATAATGGGTTATAAGATAGTATTTGCAAGTCTCCTGGTAACTTAAAACCAAAAAACATACAATGGATACAGAAAAATAAAAAGCAAGAAACCAAATCATATCACCAGAGAAAATCATCTTCACTAGAGGAAGACAAGAAGGAAAGAAAGAAGGAAGAGAAGCCCACAAAATAATCAGAAAACAAATTAAAAAATGGCAGAAGTAAGTCCTTACTTATCAATAATAACATTGAATCTAAAAGGACTAAACTCTCCAATCAAAAGACACAGACTGGCCAAATGGATGAAACAACAAGACCTTTTGATCTGTTGCCTACAAGAAACACGCTTCACCTATAAAGACACACATAGACTGAAAATAAAAAGATGGAAAAAGATATTCCATGACAACAGAAACCAAAAAAGAGCAGGAGTCACTATACTTAGAGCAGACAAAATAGATTTCAACACAAAAACTATAAGAGACAAAGAAGGTCACCATATAATGATAAAACAGTCAATTAAGCAAGAGGATGTAACAATTTTAAATATGTATGCACCCAACACAGAAGCAGCCAGATATATAAAGGAAATACTATTAGAGCTGAAGAAAGAGATAGGCCCTAAAACAATAATAGCTGGAGACTTCAATACTCTACTTTCAGTATTGGACAGATCTCCAAGACAGAAAACCAGCAAAGAAACACCAGACTTAATCTGCGCTATAGACCAAATGGATCTAATAGATATGTACAGAACATTTCAAACAAGAGCTATGGAATACACATTCTTTTCCTCAGCACATGGATAATTCTTAAGGAGAGACCACAGGTCAGGTCACAAAAACACATCTTAAAACATTCAAAAAATCTGAAATAATAACAAATATCTACTCTGACCATAATGGAATAAAACTAGAAAGCAATAACAAGAGGAAATTTGGAAACTGTACATGGAAACACATGGAAATTAAACAGTATCTTCCTGAATGACCATTAGGTCAATAAAGAAATTAAGAAGGAAATTGAAAATTTTCTTGAAACAAATGATAATGAAAATACAATATACCAAAACCTATGGGATACAGCAAAAGCAGCACTAAGAGGAAAGTTTATACTTATAACTGCCTACGTCAAAAAAGAAAAACTTCAAATAAACAGTCTAATGATGCATCTTGAAGAACTAGAAAAGCAAGAGGAAACCAAACCGAAAATTAGTAGAAGAAAAAAAAATAAAGATCAGAGCAGATATAAATGAAATTGAAATGCAAAAAGCAATTTAAAAAATCAGTGAAACAAAAATTGGCTTTTTTTAATGTTTCTTTTTTTCTTTTTGTTTCTTCAACTTTTATTTTAAGTTCAGAGGTACATGTGCAAGTTTGTTACATAGGTAAATGTGTGCCACAGTGGTTTGCTGCACAGATCATCCCATCACCTAAGTACTAAGCCCAGCATCCATTAGCTGTTCTTCCTGATGCTCTCCCTCCCTCTACCCCCACCAACAGGTGTTCAGTGTGTGTTGTTCCTCACCATGTGTCCATATGTTCTCAACATTCAGCTCCCACTTACAAGTGAAAACCTGTGTTGCTTGGTTTTCTGTTCCTGGGTCCTGTTGGGGGGCAGGGGAAAGGAGAGCATCAAGATAAACAGCTAATACATGTGGGGCTCAAATCCTAGGTGATAAGTTGATAGATGCGGCAAACCACCATGGCACACGTTTACCTATGAAACAAACCTGCACATCCGCACATGTATCCTGAAACTTAAAATTAAATTAAATTAAAATTAAAAAATAAAGAGGCCTATTTCACATTCAGTTTTCACCATATTGCACTGTTGTTTACCTCTCACAAGCCTCAGACCATAGGATATGAGAAAAGTTAGCCCTTATTAGGAGAACCACGCTGCTATTTATGGAAGACCAGAGGATAGTATTGCAAAAGGGAAGGTGGATGGGGTATGAGGCTTTAGATACATAGTATGCGCTTGATAATAATTGTGGAAAGGATGAAGAGAGGAAGGAGCAGGAGAGGCAGAACCAA
The DNA here is from genome assembly GCF_000001405.40 of Homo sapiens. Taxonomy (NCBI): domain Eukaryota; kingdom Metazoa; phylum Chordata; class Mammalia; order Primates; family Hominidae; genus Homo; species Homo sapiens. The sequence goes on from NC_000023.11 coordinate 129,346,202, forward strand.
ATGAAAATGTAGAGTCACTGATTACATATTATATTTCAATAAGAAAACAGTAATAAATTTCCTTTATGTGAGCAGCCTTATAAAGTCTTATAAGGTGCTTAGAGGAATGTCTGGCATAGAGTATTCACTATATATGTTTGTTAAATATGTAAATGTTCAGCTGGGAAACTTACTACCTTACTTACCCCTTACTTACTTACCCCTTCCCTTCCCTAGGCAGTGGCAGTGTGGTGTACAGAGCATCTCTGGAAGCTGGAAGAGCAAGAGCGGAGCAGTTGTGAAGCACTGAACTCAGTGCTGTCTCTTACAGGAGAAAGGAAAATCAGACCAAACTTAGCTGATTCCCATCTGGGAAGGGATCATTTAAACCAACTCTAGCCAGAGGGCAATTACCCATCCCGGTAATCAGAACTTGAGTTTCTGCAAACCTTGCCACCAAGGGTGAAAAAACTGTTCCAGGTTTCTCAGAAAACCTTAAAGGCAGTCTAGGCCATAAGATCTGTAACCTGTAGGTGAGTTCTAGCACAGAATTGGGCCCAGAGGCAGTGGATTGCGGCGGGTATGTGGAGGGGTGCACATGACCTACTGAGATACCAGCTGGGGCAGCCAAGTGAGTGCTGGTGTCACCCCTGCCCTAGCCCCAGACTGCCCAGCTAGCAGCTCCATAAAAGGCCCCTTCCTTCCACTTGAGGAGATGGAATAGTGAGGAACATTTTTTTTCTTGCATCTTGAATACCAGCTCAACTACAGCAGGACAGGGCACTGGTCAGGGTTGTGAAGCCCCTGTTCCAGGCACCTGCTCCTGGATAACATTTCTAGACACACCCTAGGACAGAAAGAAACCTGCTGCCTTGAAAGAAATGACCAAGCCCTGGCAGGATTAATCACCAGCCGACTGAATAGCCCTTGGTTCCTGAATAGAAAGCAGTGATACCCAGGTACTACATCAAGGACCTTGGGTGAACCTCTGAGACATACTGGCTTCAGGTACCAGCATGGTAAGAGGGGAATAGAGTAACAAGCAGGCTATTGGGTTCCCCGATTCCAGGACTTGACTTCTGGACAGCATTTCTGGACGTGCCTGTGACCAGACAGGTGCCCACTGCCCTCAAGTGTGAGTCCCAGTCCAGGCAGCATTCACCAGGAGCTGACTTAAGAACCCTTGGGACTTAAGGGAGCATCAGTGGTAGTGTTGCAGTACTCTCTATGGCCTGTAGTAGGGGATGCGACAGGGTGAGGCTCCCCTGCCTTTGAAAAACGGAAGAAAGTATGGGAAAAACTGCTTCTTGTGGTTTGAGTGTCAGCTCATTTGCAATACAATATAACACCAGGTCTTTATCTCTAATCCCTGACTCCTGGATGACACCTCTGAACCCACCTGAGGGAACTCACTGCCCTGAAAGGAAGGACACAGGCCTGGCTAGCTTTGCCACCTGCTGATTATAGAGCCTCAGGGCTTTGAGAAAATATAGGCAGTAGCCAGGGAGTGGTTACAGCAGGCCTTTGGCAAGACCCAGCTCCGTGCAGGCTTCAGGTCTGACCCAGCACAGTCATAGTGTTTGTGGATACAAGAGTGCCTGTATCACTCCACCCCTAGCTTTAGGTGGCTCAGAACATGGAGACAGAGACACACAGTTTGTGTGGGAGAAAGTAGGGGAAGGGAACAGAAGTCTCTGCCTGATAACCCAGAGACTTCTCCTGGATCTTTTCTGAAACCCTCAAGGTGGTACCTCCAGAAGTATGCAAGAACTGCAGCATTACTGGGCTTGGGGTGCCCCCTAAAGCAGATACAGCTTAAAACAAAAGCCCCAAGTCTTTGCAAAGAGCTGGAAAATATTCTCAAAAAGGATGGTTACAAACAATCCCAGACAGTGAAGGCTACGATAAGTAACTAACTCTTCAATGACCAGACACTGAAGAATATCTACTAGTATCAACACCATCCAGGAAAACATACCCTCACCAAATGAAGTAAATAAGCCACAGGGACCAATTCTGGAGAATCAGATATGTGACCTTTCAGACAGAAAATTCAGGATAACTGGGTCATGCCTGTAATTCCAGCATTTTGGGAGGCCGAGACAGGTGGATCACCTGAGGTCAGGAGTTCAAGACCAGCCTGACCAACATGGTGAAACCCCATCTCCACTAAAAATAGAAAATTAACTAGGCGTGGTGGCTCATGCCTGTAATCCCAGCTACTAAGGTGGCTGAGGCCAGAGAATTGCTTGAACCCAGGAGGCAAAGGTTGCAGGGAGCCAAGATCGTGCCTTTGCAGTACAGCATGGGCAATAAGAGTGAAACTCTGACTCAAAAAAAAAAAAATAGGTGCGTTGACAAAACTCAAACAAATTCAATGTAACACAGAGAAGAATTCAGAATTCTATCAGAAAAGTTAAGTTTCAAATAATTAAAATGAATCAAGCAGAAATTCTGGAGCTGAAAAATGAAAGTGACAGGCTGTAGAATCTCTCAATAGCAGAATCAATCAAGCAGGAGATAGAATTAATAAGCTTGAAGAGAGGCTATTTGAAAATATACGGTCACAAAAGACAAAAGAAAAACCAAGTAGAAAGCAATGAAGCATGCCTACAGGATCTAGAAAATAGCTTCAAAAGGACAAATCTAAGAGTTATTGGCCTTCAGGAGGAGGTACAGAAACACATATGAGTAGAAAGTTTCTTCAAAGAGATAATAATAGAGAACTTCCCAAACCTAGAGAAAGATACAAATATCCAAGTACAAGAATGTTATAAAACACCAAGCAGACTTAACTCAAAGAAGGCTACTTCAAGTCATGCAATAATGAAAATCCCAAAAATCAAGGATAAAGAACTGTTCTTAAAGCAGCAAGATAAGAGAAACAAGTAACATCCAATGGAGCTCCAATATGTCTGGCAGCAGACTTTTCAGTGGAAAGCTTACAGGCCAGGAGAGAGTGGCATGACATATTTAAAGTGCTAAAAGAAAAAATTTTTAACCTTAGAATAATATATCTGAAACAACTATCCTTCAAACGTGAAGGAGAAAATAAAATGGTCCCAGAGAATCGAAAGCTGAGGGATTTCATCAACACCAGCCCTGTCCTACAAGAAATGTTACAAGGAGTATTTCAATCAGAAAGAAAAGGACGGTACTGAACAATAAGTAATCAACTGAAGGTACAAAACTCAGTGGTCATTGTAAGTACACAGAAAAACAGAATATTATAACAAAGTAACTGTGGTGTGTAAACTGCTCTTATTCTAAGTAGAAAGACTAAAGGATAAACCAAACAAAAATAAAAAGCACAACTTTTCAAGACATAGTCAACACAATAAGATACAAAGAGAAACAACAAAAAATTAAAAAGCAGTGGGACAAAGTTAAGGTGCAGCTTTATTAGCTTTATTTTTGTTTGTTTGTGAAAATAGTCTTAGGTAAATATCAGATTAAAAATAATGGTTTATAAGATATTATTTGCAAGCCTCAAGGTAACCTCAAACTAAAGAACATGCAATGTATGCACAAAAAATAAAAGGCAAGGAACTAAATCGTATAACCACAGAAAAATCATCCTCACTGAGAAAAGACAGGAAGGAAAGAAGGAAGATAAGATCACAAAACCATCTGAACATAAAAATCAAAATGACAGGAGTAAGTTCCTACTTATCAATAGTAACATTGAATGTAAATGGGTTAAACTCTTCCATTAAAAGACATAGACTGGCTGAATGTATGAAAAAACAAGACACATTGATACATTGCCTACCAGAAACACACTTCACCTCTAAAGACACACATAGACTGAAAATAAAGGGATGGAAAAAGATGCTCCATGCCAATGGAACCAAAAAGAATCAGGATTAGCCATATTCATAGCAAACAAAATAGATTTCAAGACAAAAAAAGTAAGAGGAAAAAGAAGTCACTATATAATAATGAAGGGATCAGTTCAACAAGAGTATATAACAACTTTACATATATGTGCACCCAACCCTGGAGCACCAAGGTATATAAAGGAAATATTATGAGAACTAATGGGAGAGATAGCTCCCAATACCATAATGGCTGGAGGCTTCAACACCCTACTTTCAGCATTCAACAGTTCTTCTAGACATAAAATCAACACAGAAACACCACATTGAATCTACATTATAGACCAAATGGATCTAACAGACATTTACAAAACACTTCTTCCAAGGACTGCAGAACACATCTTCTTTTACCCAGCACATGCATCATTCTCAAGCATAGAATATATGTTAGGTCATAAAGCAAGTCTTAAAACATTCAAATAAATTGAAATAATATCAAGCTTCTTCTCTGACCACCAAAAAAAAAAACCCGGAAAATAACAGCGGGAACTTTGAAAATTATACAAATACATAGAATTAAAAAATAGATGCTCCTGAATGACCCACAGGTCAATGAAGAAATTAAAAACTAAATTGAAAAATTTCTCAAAATAAATGATAATGGAAACACAACATACCAAAACTTATGGGATACAGCAAAAGCAGTATTAAGAGGGAAGTTTATAGCTATAAGTGCCTACATTAAAAAAGAGGAACACCTGAAAATAATTTTATGATGCATCTTAAAAAAATACAAAAATAAGCTCAAACTGAAACCAAAATCAATAGAAGAAAAGATATAATAAAAGACCAGAGCAGAAATAAATGAAAGTAAAATGAAGAAAATCAAGACTATCAATGAAACAAAAAGTTGGGTTTTTTTAAAAGCTACACAAAATTGATAAACTTGTAGCCAGACTAAGGAAGAAAAAGGAGAGAAGATCGAGATAAATAAAATCCAAAATTAAAAGGAGACATTACAGGCTAATACTGCAAAAATTCAAAGGATTATTGTGGTGACTATGGGAAACTATATGTCAATAAATTGGAAAATCTCCCTGAAATGTATAAATACTTACCTGTACAACCTACCAAGTTTGCATGAAGATATCGAAAACCTGAGTAAACCAATAACATGTAACAAGATAAAACCATAACAAGCAGTCTCCTAGTACTGGAAAGCCTAGGACTTGATGGCTTCACTGTTGAATTCTACCAAACATTTAAAGAAGAACTAATACCAATCCTACTGAAACTATTCCAAAAAATGGAGGAGAAGGAAATGCTTTCAAAGTCATTCTAAAAGGCCTGTTTTACCCTGATACCAAAACCAGACAAAGACATATTAGAAAAAAAAAAAAAAAACGTAGAGTCCAATATGTCTGATGGATACTGATGCAGCAATCCCCAACAAAATACCAGGAAATCAAATTAAAGAATACATTAGAAAGATCATTCATCATGACCAAGTGAGATTTATTGCTGGGATGCAAAAAGGTTTTGACAGGTACAAATCAGTCAATGTGATTCATCATATCAACAGAATTAAGGCTAAAATCATATGATCATTGCAGTTGATGCTGAAAAGACATTTGATAAAATTCAAAATACCTTCATGGTAAGAATCCTGAAAAAAACTGGGTATAGAAAGAACATACCTCAACATAATAAAAGCCATATATGTCAGACCCACATCTACTATCATACTGAATAGAAAAATATGAAAGCCTTTTCTCTATGATCTGGAACACAATGAAGATGCCCACTTTCACCACTCTTATAAAGTGCTGGAAGTTCTAGCTAGCATAATCCATCCAGAGAAAGAAATAAATGGCATTCAAATTGGAATGGAAGAAGTCAAATTATCAGTGTTTGCAGATGATATGATCTTATATTTGGAAAAATATAAAGACTCCACAAAAAAACACTCAGAACACATAAACAAATTGTTCAAAGCTGCAGGATACAAAATCAACATACACAAATCTGTAGCATTTCTATATGCCAACAGGGAACAACCTGAAAAATATATTTAAAAAATCATTCCACTTACAATAGCCACACATAAAATTAAATACATAGGAATTAACTTCACCAAAGAAGTGAACGATCTGTATAATGAAAAGTAAAAAAACACTGATGAAAGAAATTGAAAATGACACCAGAAAAGAACACAGCAGTCTGAGATCAAACTGCAAGGCTGCAGCGAGGCTGGGGGAGGGGCACCCACCATTGCCAAGGCTTGAGTAGGTAAACAAAGCAGCCAGGAAGCTCGAACTGGGTAGGGCCCACTGCAGCTCAAGGAGGCCTGCCTGCCTCTGTAGACTCCACCTCTGGGGGCAGGGCATAGCCAAACAAAAGGCAGCAGAATCCTCTGCAGACTTAAATGTCCCTGTCTGACAGCTTTGAAGAGAGTAGTGTTTCTCCCAGCACGAAGCTGGAGATCTCAGAACAGACAGACTGCCTCCTCAAGTGGGTCACTGACCCCCGAGTAGCCTAACTGGGAGGCACCCCCAAGTAGGGGCAGACTGACACCTCACACGGCCGGGTACTCCTCTGAGACAAAACTTCCAGAGGAACGATCAGGCAGCAACATTTCATGTTCACCAATATCCGCCGTTCTGCAGCCTCCGCTGCTGATACCCAGGCAAACAGGGTCTGGAGTGGACCTCCAGCAAACTCCAACAGACTTGCAGCTGAGGGTCCTGACTGTTAGAAGGAAAACTAACAAACAGAAAGGACATCTACACCAAAACCCCATCTGTACGTCACCATCATCAAAGACCAATGGTAGATAAAACCACAAACATGGGGAAAAAAACAGCAGAAAAACTGAAAACTCTAATAATCAGAGCACCTCTCCTCCTCCAAAAGAATGCAGCTCCTCACCAGCAACGGAACAAAGCTGGATGGGGAATGACTTTGACATGTTGAGAGAAGAAGGCTTCAGATGATCAAACTACTCCGAGCTAAAGGAGGAAGTTTGAACCCATGGCAAAGAAGTTTAAAACTTTGAAAAAAAATTAGACGAATGGCTAACTAGAATAACCAATGCAGAGAAGTCCTTAAAGGACCTGATGGAGCTGAAAACCAAGGCACAAGAACTACGTGACAAATGCACAAGCCTCAGTAGCCGATTCGATCAACTGGAAGACAGGGTATCAGTGATGGAAGATCAAATGAATGAAATGAAGCGAGAAGAGAAGTTTAGAGAAAAAAGAATAAAAAGAAACAAACAACGCCTCCAAGAAATATGGGACTGTGTGAAAAGACCAAATCTACGTCTGATTGGTGTACCTGAAAGTGACGGGGAGAATGGAACCAAGTCGGAAAACACTCTGCAGGATATTACCCAGGAGAACTTCCCCAATCTAGCAAGACAGGCCAACATTCAAATTCAGGAAACACAGAGAATGCCACAAAGATACTCCTCGAGAAGAGCAACTCTAAGACACGTAATTGTCAGATTCACCAAAGATGAAATGAAGGAAAAAATGTTAAAGGCAGCCAGAGAGAAAGGTCAGGTTACCCACAAAGGGAACCCCATCAGACTAACAGCTGATCTCTCGGCAGCAACTCTACAAGCCAGAAGAGAGTAGAGGCCAATATTCAACATTCTTAAAGAAAAGAATTTTCAACCCAGAATTTCATATCCAGCCAAACTAAGCTTCATAGGTGAAGGAGAAATAAAATCCTTTACAGACAAGCAAATGCTGAGAGATTTTGTCACCACCAGGCCTGCCCTAAAAGAGCTCCTGAAGGAAGCAATAAACATGGAAAGGAACAACCGGAACCAGTCACTGCAAAAACATGCCAAAGTGTAAAAACCATCAAGGCTAGGAAGAAACTGCATCAACTAACGAGCAAAATAACCAGCTAACATCATAATGACAGGATGAAATTCGCACATAACAATATTAACCTTAAATGTAAATGGGTTAAATGCCCCAATTAAATGACACAGACTGGCAAATTGGATAAAGACTCAACACCCATCAGTGTGCTGTATTCAGGAAACCCATCTCACGTGCAGAGACACACATATGCTCAAAATAAAGGGATGGAGGAAGATCTACCAAGCAAATGGAAAACAAAAAAAGGCAGGGGTTGCAATCCTAGTCTCTGATAAAACAGACTTTAAACCAACAAAGATCAAAAAAGACAAAGAAAGCTATTACATAATGGTAAAGGGATCAATTCAACAAGAAGAGCTAACTATCCTAAATATATATGCACCCAATACAGGAGCACCCAGATTCATAAAGCAAGTCCTTAGAGACCTACAAAGAGACTTAGACTCCCACACAATAATAATGGGAGACTTTAACACCCCACTGTCAACATTAGACAGAACAATGAGACAGAAAATTAACAAGGATATCCAGGAATTGAACTCAGCTCTGCAGCAAGTGGACTTAATAGACATCTATAGAACTCTCCACCCCAAATCAACAGAATATACATTCTTCTCAGCACCACACTGCACTTATTCCAAAACTGACCATATAGTTGGAAGTAAAACACTCCTCAGCAAATGTAAAAAACAGAAATTATAAAAAACTGTCTCTCGGACCACAGTGCAATCAAACTAGAACTCAGGATTAAGAAACACATTCAAAACTGCTCAACTACATGGAAACTGAACAACCTGCTCCTGAATGACTACTGGGTACATAACGAAATGAAGGCAGAAATAAAGATGTTCTTTGAAACCAACGAGAACAAAGACACAACATACTAGAATCTCTAGGACACATTCAAAGCAGTGTGTAGAGGGAAATTTATAGCACTAAATGCCCACAAGAGAAAGCAGGAAAGATCTAAAATTGACACCCTAACATCACAATTAAAAGAACTAGAGAAGCAAGAGCAAACACATTCAAAAGCTAGCAGAAGGCAAGAAATAACTAAGGTCAGAGCAGAACTGAAGGAGATAGACACACAAAAAACCCTTCAAAAAATCAATGAATCCAGGAGCTGGTTTTTTGAAAAAGATCAACAAAATTGACAGACCACTAGCAAGACTACTAAAGAAGAAAAGACAGAAGAATCAAATAGATGCAATAAAAAATGATAAAGGGGATATCACCACCAATCCCACAGAAATGCAAACTACCATCAGAGAATACTATAAACACCTCTATGCAAATAAACTAGAAAATCTAGAAGAAATGGATAAGTTCCTTGACACATACACCCTCCCAAGACTAAACCAGGAAGAAGTTGAATTTCTGAATAGACCAATAACAGGCTCTGAAATTGAGGCAATAATTAATAGCTTACCAACCAAAAAGTCCAGGACCAGATGGATTCACAGCCGAATTCTACCAGAGGTAAAAGGAGGAGCTGGTACCATTCCTTCTGAAACTATTCCAATCAATAGAAAAAGAGGGAATCCTCCCTAACTCATTTTATGAGGCCAGCATCATCCTGATACCAAAGCCTGGCAGAGACACAACCAAAAAAGAGAATTTTAGACCAATATCCTTGATGAACATTGATGCAAAAATCCTCAATAAAATACTGGCAAATCGAATCCAGCAGCACATCAAAAAGCTTATCCACCATGATCAAGTGGGCTTCATCCCTGGGATGCAAGGCTGGTTCGATATACGCAAATCAATAAATGTAATCCAGCATATAAACAGAACCAAAGACAAAAACCACATGATTATCTCAATAGATGCAGAAAAGGCCTTTGACAAAATTCAACAAACCTTCATGCTAAAAACTCTCAATAAATTAGGTATTGATGGGATGTATCTCAAAATAATAAGAGCTATCTATGACAAACTCACAGCCAATATCATACTGAATGGGCAAAAACTGGAAGCATTCCCTTTGAAAACTGGCACAAGAGAGGGATGCCCTCTCTCTCCACTCCTATTCAACATAGTGTTGGAAGTTCTGGCCAGGGCAATCAGGCAGGAGAAGGAAATAAAGGGTATTCAATTAGGAAAAGAGGAAGTCAAATTGTCCCTGTTTGCAGATGACATGATTGTATACCTAGAAAACGCCATCATCTCAGCCCAAAATCTCCTTCAGCTGATAGGCAACTTCAGCAAACTCTCAGGATACAAAATCAATGTGCAAAAATCACAAGCATTCTTATACACCAATAACAGACAGAGAGCCAAATCATGAGTAAACTCCCATTCACAATTGCTTCAAAGAGAATAAAATACCTAGGAATCCAACTTATGAGGGACATGAAGGACCTCTTCAAGGAGAACTACAAACCACTGCTCAATGAAATAAAAGAGGATACAAATAAATGGAAGAACATTGCATGCTCATAGATAGGAAGAACCAATATCGTGAAAATGGCCATACTGCCCAAGGTAATTTATAGATTCAACGCCATCCCCATGAAGCTACCAATGACTTTCTTCACAGAATTGGAAAAAACTACTTTAAAGTTCATATGGAACCAAAAAAGAGCCTGCATCACCAAGTGAATCCTAAGCCAAAAGAACAAAGCTGGAGGCATCACACTACCTGACTTCAAACTATACTACGAGGCTACAGTAACCAAAACAGCATGGTACTGGTACCAAAACAGAGATATAGACCAATGGAACAGAACAGAGCCCTGAGAAATAATGCTGCATATCTACAACCATGTGATCTTTGACAAATCTGACAAAAACAAGCAATGGGGAAAGGATTCCCTATTCAATAAATGGTGCTGGGAAAACTGGCTAGCCATATGTAGAAAGCTGAAACTGGATCCCTTCCTTACACCTTACACAAAAATTAATTCAAGATGGATTAAAGACTTACATGTTAGACCTAAAAACCGTAAAAACCCTAGAAGAAAACCTAGGCAATACCATTCAGGACATAGGCATGGGCAAGGACTTCATGAGTAAAACACCAAAAGCAATGGCAACAAAAGCCAAAATTGACAAATGGGATCTAATTAAACTAAAGAGCTTCTGCACAGCAAAAGAAACTACCATCAGAGTGAACAGGCAACCTACAGAATGGGAGAAAAATTTTACAATCCACCCATCTCACAAAGGGCTAATATCCAGAATCTACAAAGAACTTAAACAAAATTACAAGAAAAAATCAAACAACCCCTTCAAAAAGTGGGTGAAGGATATGAACAGACACTTCTCAGAAGAAGACATTTATTCAGCCACAAGACACATGAAAAAATGCTCATCATCACTGGCCATCAGAGACATGCAAATCAAAACCACAATGAGATACCATCTCACACCAGTTAGAATGGCGTTCATTAAAAAGCCAGGAAACAACAGGTGCTGGAGAGGATGTGGAGAAATAGGAACACTTTTACACTGTTGGTGGGACTGTAAACTAGTTCAACCCTTGTGGAAGTCAGTGTGGCGATTCCTCAGGGATCTAGAACTAGAAATACCATTTGACACAGCCATCCCATTACTGGGTATATACCCCAGAAGATTATTAATCATGCTGCTATAAAGACACATGCACATGTATGTTTATTGCAGCACTATTCACAATAGCAAAGACTTGGAACCAATCCAAATGTCCATCAATGATAGACTGGATTAAGAAAATGTGGCATATATACACCGTGGAATACTACGCAGCCATGAAAAAGGATGAGTTCAGGTCCTTTGTAGGGACATGGATGAAGCTGGAAACCATCATTCTCAGCAAACTGTCGCAAGGACAGAAAACCAAACACCACATGTTCTCACTCATAGGTGGGAATTGAACAATGAGAACACTTAGACACAGGATGGGGAACATCACACATCGGGGCCTGTTGTGGGGTGGGGGGAGGGGGGAGGGATAGCACTAGGAGATATACCTAATGTAAATGATGAGTTAATGGGTGCAGCACACCAACGTGGCACATGTATACATATGTAACAAACCTGCACGTTGTGCGCATGTACCCTAGAACTTAAAGTATAACAATAAAAAAAAAGCCTTCAAGCTGTTTATGGAGGTTTAGTTGAGAATATGAGTCCCTGAGCCCATGCTTTTCTTTCACCACTTTGTCCAAGGATATTAGGACCAACCAACCAACCTTATTAGATTTGTTAGTTGTCAAAAATCTCCCAAAGATGTTCCAAAGGTATGTACAACTCACCCAGCTCCTTTCTTTTTATGAATGGTTGACCTGGAGTATCCAACACAGACTTTTTTGTTTATCTCCATTGCCAGATCATGCATGAAATATCAATGCTCTCTTTACTACTGGAAATAGAGTCATTAGTGTCTTTAAATCTAACAAAATTTAAGAGCCAATCCCAAAATTCCAGAACTAATTCAGAAAACTCATCCTTAGAATTCTGTTCCTCTAGAATCACTCTTGGTACAAAAATCTGTATTAGTCAGAGTTCTCCAGGAAAATAAAACCAAAAGGATGGAGATACATATAAAGAAAGAAAGAGAGATTTACATATTATATCTGTATATATCTATCTAGTTTAGATAGATAGATAGATGATTAGATAGATAGATAGATAGATAGATAGATAGATAGATAGATAGACAGATATGGATATAGATATAAAGAGATTTACTATAAGATGTTGGCTTATGTGATTATGAAGGCTTAGATGTCCCATGATCTGCCATCTGAAAGCTGGTGACCCAAGAATGCCAGTAGTGTAGTTTGAAGACCTGAGAGCCAGAGAGTTGATCGTGAAGATTCCAGTCCAAGTCTGAAGGCCTGAGAACCAGGAGCACCAAGGGCAGCAGATCAATGTCCTAACTCAAGCATTTTTTTTCTGTTTTGGTCCTCAAGAGATTAGATGATGCCCACCCACACTGGGGGCAGCCATCTGCTTTACTCAGTTCACCAGTTCAAATGCTAATTTCTTCTGGAAACACCACAACAGGCACATCCAAAAATAATGTTTAACCACATATATGGGCATCTCTCAGTCCAGTCTAGTTAGCACATAAAATTATCACATATGATTTTAATTATGTTTGATAAAATGTTTATTTTTTAATTATTAAAATTTTAAGAATGATTGAGATAGAAAATTAAGGTTTTTTCTCTTTTTGCCATTTCAAAACTTTTTAAAAATGTAGATTTAAATAACACTGTTCACTACCCTGTCTGCATGACAGGCTTAATTTGAAGAGTAAATGTGACTATGATGTGCATGGAAGCACTCTGAAAACTCTCACGTAACAATATGATGTAAGGTGGTATTTAATGGAGTGTTACATACAGACCCACATATGCACTAAATGGCACTTCTGTGTAGTGCTTCCCACATTTTCACATCAGGACGCAAATAGAAAATGATAATAATTGTCAACACACTAAGAAAAACAGATAAGTTGCTTGCAGCCAGAACAATTTTCCAGGGCTCTGGCCACTGCCAGCTCTGCCCCACCTGAGGATAAGAAGACTAGTATTTCTGCACACCAGATGGCAATCTCTGTTCTATTGGCCTAACACTTCCCTTTACCCCCACCTCCCCCACAGGAACTGACTCAGAGCAAGAGGACAGCTTCAATTCCCCATGATTTCATCTCTAGCCCAACCAATCAACACTCTCGACTCACTGATCTTCCCCTACCTACCAAATTATCCCTAAAAACTCTGATCCCCAAATGATCAGGGATACTGATTTGAGTAATAATAAAACTCTGGTCTCCCACAAATAATAATAATAATAATAATAATAATAGAAGCCAAGAAATGTAGAGTCCAAAGATCCAACACTGTGTGACTCTAGATATTTTACTTCACCTCTAATTTACAAATAGAAATATTTGTAAATATTTCTTTTCTTCCTGGCCTTAGAGAGTAAAGTAAGGATCAAGTGCTTTGTTTAGAAATAAAAAAAGATAAGGACACAGGGTAGATGCTATTATTCTCTCCACGTTTAAACCCTAGGTAGAAGCATTGACACTAGGGAGACTAGAAGGCAATATGTTTTCAAATGATACACATATGCTGCTCTTTGATTCTGCAAGTATTTACTGAGTGCTCCCTGCTTGCAAAATACTGTGCTAAGGTGCTAGGTGCTGAGAATAGAAAACTCTTACTCTCCTAAGAAAATATCTATTTTATTTTATTTTATTTTATTGCTATAGCAACAAGTAATCTCCTCTGCCAGTTTTCAATACATTCTTCAGTCAGTGACACTTTGTACTAGTAATTATGCTTCTGAAAGCTAACCCATAAGTGATAGGCTCATGCCCCAGAATGTCAACCAATCGACAGTAGACATGCACCAGTCACCATGTTTCTATAGCTAAGGTTAAAGTCTCTCCCTTTCTGGGTGGTGGCCGCTGCACCATGGCCTTTGGAAGGTCTCATACTGTGAGGGACTTTTGCCTAACCCTGCAAACCTGTCGAAGTGGCACCTAAATAAAACTTGTTGTGTGCCACTGCCACCTTGTGGTCATATATTTTATTTCGACCAGGCCCAGTATGTCCTCCAATTCACTACAAAGGTCTGGAAATTAGACTGGCTTGACTTTCTGCCCTCTAGTTCTCAGTTTGACAGAGGAGTTACGACAAATTCATTCAGGTCAGTGCTCAGTTGATGTATATGAACTATAAGTGGTCAGATTTGGGAAGAGGAAAGAGGTCACTGTGGGCAGGGATGATTCAGGATCCCAGAGGAGATAGAAATTGAACTGGATAATGAGATAACCAGGCAGAGCAAAGGAGATAGAAACCAAAAGATTAAACCAAGAGGAAGCAGGTTAAACCACTAGTAAATGGGGTGATTTTTAAAATTCTAAATCTTCTTCAAGGACCTAGTAGAATTAGGTTCCATGAGATAGGCCGAAAACTGAAAGCAAGTTTCTACCAAGTGGATCTGTATCTCACTAGTATTTCAAAGGTGTTTGTACTCTCCTAATGGTCACTAGACTAAGAATGCTACCCATGAAAATGATTACAGGCTAGTAATGTATGGATTATGATACAGAACAACTTGATGACCCTCTTTGTCCCTGGGTCTAAATAACCCCAGAGAGAAATAACTTTTATAAACACAGAGGAGCTATTATGTCCTACCATGGCTTTTCAAACATGAAATATGCTCATAGATATTCTTTGATTTCACTGGTAAAAGCAGTTGTTCACAGGAAAATAAAACCATCCTTCCCCTGCTGCCCTATCCTTCCAAAGGTATCCCACTGCCCTGATCAGGTTATCCTCCTTGAAACAAAGTAACTTTTAATAAAGTGGGCTGGTGGCAGGGAGAACCTGATATGATCACACACCTGTTATAATAGGATTTAATTCTGCTTCAGATGTGCTAGTTTTAATAAAAAAGGATTGAGCAAATCGAAAATAAATTACACTGAAAGGTCAGGCTTATTGCTTGTACAGTTAGGTTAACTCCCCCCACTGACACTTTTAGAGACTGTATTTATGAGACCTTTTGATTTGGAAAGGAGAGGTATAAAATACATCTACAATTTCCCCATTACTTGCAGCAGTATTTCATTTTCAAGTGTCAATTCCAAGCACTTAACTATGGCATTCTTTAACAGGAGTAAATCTAAAAAGTATGAGTTGTTTACACAATGCTGTTATTCAATATATTAATAAAACAAGCTTTTCTATCCAGTGGAAAGTTAGAAAAATCCTTCCAGAGCTTACGCAGCACAGTAATTCACTTTATTGCATGTGGAACATTTACTAAGAATGTGTTGGCTCCTGATTTGAATGAGCACATTCCTCTGACACAGCGTCTCCTCTACCAGAAGGAGAGTCCGTTTGATTTACTAAGTAGGGATGGATGAACCAATGACCCACCCAGGTTTACTTTCCCAACATATTTAATGAGACATTCAAGTAGGTACAGTGTGTTTGTTTCTTTGCTCAACTCCAGCTTTGCTTTGCTCAGCTTATAGTAACTAGAACTGTTACCATAAGCGATTCCAAATGTCTTTCCTTTCTCTTAGGCTGGTTTCATGATTCATCCATCAAACATAACAGAATGCGGAAGGGGACTTCTATTACTGCAAAATTGGTGACAATGGTCCAAAGCTGAAGACAAAAAAAAAGTAAGAAAGATAATAAACAATGAACACTTGCATGGCATTTATTATGTACCAGGCTTTGTATTAAACATTTTACAACCCTTAATCCAATTAATCTTCACAATAACTCTATGATATAGTTACTACTATTATCTCCATCTTAGAGATGAGAAAACTGAGGCCCAAAAATATAAGTGAGTTGCCCAGTGACATACAGTTTATAAGTGGAAGAGCGAGGATTTGAACTCAGGCACTCTGTGAGCTGACACATAGTTTCTAAGTGGAAGAGCTAAGATTTGAACTCCAGACTTGAAGTGTCTTGTAGCCTAGACTCTCATATTCTAAAGAGAGCCACCAATAAATGGGACCAGATATTTTCCACAAGGCTTACTGGACATACTGTCTTCATCTATCCTCTACCACTCTCCACGTCCAGTCTACTCCCCTGAGACCTGGAGGAGGGGAAGAAGCTATTGGAGTTTTCAGCCTGTTGCAAAAGAAGAAGAGGTTTTCCTCTCCAACACCAAAGCCAAATGAGGTAGGGGTGAGCCTCAAGATAATCTCTCGTAGATTTGGGAGAGCCTGTTAGAAAAGGAGACTGGCATCTTGCTCCCTAGCAGTATACTCATGACCCTGGAGACCCTGAAGATTTACTCAAAGATACCTTTGAGTGGAACAAAGAGATAAGAGAGAATGATATATGTTCTGTAAAGGCAGGTGAGTATGTGTAAATATTGAGGCTGGGCCTGCTTCTCACCTGGAGATTTCTGAAGGCAGGATACTTGCTGTAGTAGACCATTCCAGCAGGGCATGAAAGGGCTATAGTATAATGTAAATGTATAGTATAATGTAACCTAGAGAAGAACAGGATAAAACTGAACTCCTGATCCCTACTGCCCTTAAAAGTCACAGAAAAGGATCATAGCAGTTCTGACTCCACATACAGGAGCACAGACTAGAAGAGTAAAAGCCTTCATGCTACCCAGGCAGCTTGAGGGCTGATAGTCATGGCAACCCATCTAGTGAAGGGATTGGACATTTGGAATTTTGGGAATGACTGAGAGAAACCAGGCTGCTCCTCTTTGACAGTGTCCTCAGTAACAGTGAACACTGCAAATGAAGCTAGCCACCACTCCTGTGACAGCCACATAAGCCACCTATGTACACAGAGGGTAGCCCAACAGCAGAAGCTACCAGCAAGAGCTGGAAACAAATCTAACCAGAGTGAGGCCAGGAGCAATCTCCCTACCCCTAACAGACTGGCTAGAAAGTAACGCCAGAGGAGCTAACTTACAAGAAGGAGGGGGAAGAAGAATAGAGAATGTCATACCCCTGCATCTACACCTAATACTCCTACCCACCTATCTAGAAAGCAACATGGTATGGAGCAATCTTCGAATCTGATAAGACATTGGGATTTTGTAATGGACTAAATTTTGATAACTGAAAAGGACCAGAAGGTTATGAATTTTGAAAAGGGAATTCAACAAAGCAAAGTTGGAATCAACGTTTGGAAAACATAAAACCTTTACAAGTTAATGCCCCAAATAACTTAATATTCTTCAGTAAATCAGTTACGTCAGAATTCCACTGTGGAGGACAGATGCCTCTGTAGCAGGCTGTAGGGGTGTGGCAATTATTTTTCATGCCCTTAACTTCAGAGGTTACAGATCCACAGAAATATTCCAACTTTCCATGGTTTATTTTCAGTTTATCACTCATGGATTTATGAGCAGCAGGTATTGCCCAGACCACCTGGCTAGGGCAGAATACAATCATACACAAAGAAACAGTAACGAAACAGTCCTGTGGCTCAGTTTCCACTTGCAGAATTGGAGGAACTTTAGCCCCATCCAAATCCCTCCTTCTGGCTCTAGTTGGCTATGGTGGAGGATAGGTGAGGAAGGATCATTGGGGTGTCTTGCAACTTCTGTCTTAGGCCTTATTTCCACATAATTCCTGCATGCCCGGTCCTGACCACACTCTCTGGAGCCTAGCCCATTGTCACTACCCAAAGACTCTACTGCTGTTTCCTGTCATAACACTCCACCTTCATGATGCGGCTAGTGCCATCGCCACCACTGCAGCAGAAGGCCTCTTCTGTATTGCTGCTCTTAGTCTCATACAGAATACTAAACCAGAATGTGCTGGTACATTTCAGATACATGGGAGTCCCTTTCCCTTAGACTCTGATATTTGTCCCAAAGGAGTATGTCAGAAGCCTATATGAGTGTCAACATATCACAATACACTTGGGGTCCCTCTCTACACAACCTAGTATTATTCCTGCACCAAGTTGATGGACCCAAACTCCCTCTACTACCAAGGTGAGTTCCTATTAAGATTAGATATGTATTGTGCAAGTGCTCTATGTTGAAACAGTGTGATAATTGTTTATTATCACACTTAATCCTCAAGTGTGACAGGAATAGTTTTTTCGGACAAAAATTAATTTTATCAGGTAATTTCTGGTTAAGATTAGTTTTGCCTGAAAAGAAACATAAAATGGAAATAATAATTCCTTAAACAACACAGGGGCTTTGTTTCCCCTCATGTTCCAGTAGGATTGCTGTGATACCCCACTGTGTCAGAGACCTGGACTTCTATTTTATTCCTCCATCTTGTGGGGCTGAGGCTTTAGCCATGATGATCCTGTTCATCATGAAATGAGAGAGACATGCTGCCTCCCTTTAAGAACACTTCTTAGAAGTTGCACACACCACTTCTGCTTACAATTCATTGTCCAGAACTTAGTCACATGGTCACACCTAACTGCAAGAGTGGCTGGGAAATGTAGTCCTTATTCCTGATGACCATGTGGCCAGCTAAAGAATTGGGGTTCTCCAAAAGCAAATGCAATAAAAACAAAGATAAATAGCTGGGACCTAATTAAACTAAAGGGCTTTTGCACGGCAAAAGGAACAATCAGCAGAGTAAACAGACAACCCACAGAATGGGAGACAATCTTCACAATCTATACATCTGACAAAGGACTAATATCCAGAATCTACAACGAACTCAAACAAATCAGTAAGATAAAAAACAAACAATCCCATCGAAAGTGGGCTAAGGACATGAATAGACAATTCTCAAAAGAAGATACACAAATGGCCAACAAACATATGAAAAATGCTCAACATCACTAATGATCAAGGAAACGCAAATCAAAACCACAATGTGATACCACCTTACTCCTGCAAGAATGGCCATAATCAAAAAACAGCAGATGTTGGCGTGGATGCGGTGAACAGGGAACGCTTGTTGGTGGGAATGTAAACTAGTACAGCCACTATGGAAAACAGTGTGGAGATTCCTTAAAGAACTAAAAATAGAACTACCATTTGATCCAGAAATCCCACTACTGGGTATCCTAGAGGACAAGAAGTCATTATTTGAAAAAGATACTTGCACACACATGTTTACAGAAGCACAATTCACAATTGCAAAATCGTGGAACCAATCCAAATGCCCATCAGTCAATGAGTGGATAAAGACACTGTGATATATATATATATATATATATATATATATATATATATATATATATATATATATATATATATATGTGAATTAAGAGCATTGGCAGTGACCTGGTTGACACTGGAGACTATTATTCTAAGTGAAGTAACTCAGGAATGGAAAACCAAACATTGTATGTTCTCACTGATATATGGGAGCTAAGCTATGAGGACACAAAGGCATAAGAATGATATGGTGGACTTTGGGGACTTGAGGGGAAGAGTGGAAGCGGGGTGAGGGATAAAAAGACTACAAACATGGCTCAGTGTATGGTGAGTGTATACTGCACCAAAATCTCACAAATCACCACTAAAGAACTCACTCATGTAACCAAATAACACCTGTACCCCAATAACATATAGAAATATAAAATTAATTAATTAGATATAAATGAATAAAAGAAAAAAGAATTGGGGTTCTATTGCTGATCAAGAAACGGGAATATTGCTGGGTGCGGTGGCTCATGCCTGTAATCCCAGCACTTTGGGAGGCTGAGGTGAGAGGATTGCTCAAGGCCAGGAGTTCGAGACCAGCCTGGCCAACATGATGAAACCCCATCTCTACTTAAAAAAAAAAAAATACAAAAATTAGCCAGGTGTGGTGGCGCTTGCTTGTAATCCCAGCTTCTTGGGAGGCTGAGGCATGAGAATTGCTTGAACCCGGGAGGCAGAAGTTGCAGTGAGCCTAGATGACACCACTGCACTCCAGCCTGGGCAACAGAGTGAGACTCTGTCTCAAAAAAATGAATAAATAAAAAAGAAAGAAAGAAAGATAGGGGAATATATTTTGGAGAACAATTAGCAATCTCTACCACAGATAAGTATAAGGCTTCCACATATGATTGTACATTTTGTGGATTTAAGAAGGCTGAGAGAAAGAAGGGAGATGAAATCTAGTTTGTGTCCACTATCCACACCAGTGCACCCTAGCTTAAGGTTTAGTCAGCCCAGAAGAAGGGCTATACTAGTCTGCTTTGCATTGTTATAAAGTAATACCTGACACTGGGTAAATTATAAGGAAAAGAGGTTTATTTGGTTCCCAGTTCTGCATGGTGTCAGCATCTGTTGAGCTTCTGATGAGGCCTCAGGAAACTTTTACTTATGGTAAAAGGCAACGGGGGAGCACTCATGTCACACGGAGAGAGAGAGAGCAAGAGAGAGAGAAAGAAAAGGAGGAGATGCCAGGCTCTTTTAAACAACTATTAATAGCTGTCACATGAACATAGAATGTGAACTCCTTCATCATCAAAGGGAAGGCACAAAGGGACCTTTGCCTCCATGAAGGATCTGCCTCCATGACCCAAACACCTCTCAGTATGCCCCATCTCCAACATTGGGGATCACATTTCAACATGAGATTTGTTGGCAATAAATATCCAAGCTATATCAGGTGCCTTTTTGTATTGAGTTGGGCCATACAAAATTGTCATTTTCATAGATCAAATATGATAAAAAGTCAGCAATTTAATATGGTTGGACCAGTAATTCATCAGCCCAGAAAGGACACCTTTTTGTAATTCTCACAAACGTACCTGTGATAGAGCAATTGTACAAATGTCTCCAATTGTCCATCTTCATCTTCCCTGTAGCTATGTCTTTTGTAATGTGGCTTGCAGCCTTTCCCATCAAGAGGTAGAGTCAATTTCCTCAACCCTTGAATCTGAGCTGGCCATGTGGCTTGTTTGACCAGTGGAGTAAGATGGAAGTAAAGATGTGCCAGTACTGAATCCAGGCCTCAAGAGGCCTCACATGCTTCTTCTCTCACTCTTTCAGAACCTTGTCAGGACCATGTGAAAAAGCCCAGGGTAGACCATCGGAGGAAGGCCCTCCTAGACCATCCTACAGCCAGCCAACCCGCAAACATTTTCGACATTTCAGCCAAGATCAACAGATCTGCCTATCTGACCCACAGCTGATCACTGACACATGAGTGAGCCCAGCTAAAACTAGATTCATCCAGCTGATTCACAGACTCATGAACGATAATAAATAAATACTCTTTAAGCCTCTAATTTTGGGGGTGGTTTGTTAGATAAGCAATAGTTAACTGCTACAGTGTCATATGTACTAACAACATCCCTGTGTAGCTATTAGTATTCGCCTCATTTTATAGCTAACTGAGCTTAGTAGTTAAGTGATTTGCCTAAAGTCACACAACTAGTTAATACAGGGACAGCCAGGATTCTAAACCAGCCTGTCTATAGACCCTGTGATCATAACCATTACTCTATATGACCATAGCACTACTCTAACTAATGAGGAAGAGGCAGGCCCCATTTGTACCCAGTGGCTAAATGCTAGATGTTTAACAATCAGCTCTCTGGCAAGAGGACGCCCTGATTTGTAGTACTTGCTGATTTCCATGATGTAAATACTCCCACCATGGCCAATCTCAAATCTACAACTTGACATCACTGAACACACAGTTGAGAAGATATATGCAATAACACACCATTATAGTACTTCCACCATACAAATATAAGTAAACAATCTCGAGAGCATAGATAATAGTAAAATGTAGTAAAAGAACATTTTACTGTTTTGAGTTATAAGTTTTGAGTATGTGTTGCCTTTGTTTCAATGTAATTTAACTGTACATTTATATATTAATTTATTTTTAATGGCTGTGTTTAAAAACCGGATTGCAAAATTTTCTTAAAATTTAACATTTGGCTCTTGTGAGCCAGTATGAGCCATTTCTAGCACACCCTTTGCTAAGGGTCATAGTCTAATCATCCAGCCATTTGACCTGCTCGGCAAATTTGTTGCTTCCTCCTATAAACCTACACCTATTTGCCCACCCCTCCAGCCCTCCAAATGTGTATGAATTAGCTGAATATTTATAGCTTGGCCTGTACCCTGGGACCTCGGTCCATATGTCAGCATTTCTTTAACCTCTTCTATTTGTCTTTTCAGTCTATACCACACTTTTGGTTAACAAAATCTATGTCTACTCCCCCACTGGGTGAAGTCCATATTTCTTTATTTATTCTACAGTGATCTCATTTGTATTCTAGCTTCAGAAAAGGCCCACTACCTACACTTTCAAGGATGCGGCATTTAGACAATAGCTGCATTTTCTCCTTCACATCATACCCCCTCACCTTCCTGATAGCAAACATCTCTGCCCTGTCAGCCATCCCCTCGTCACACGGAGAGAGCCTAATACTTTTGTCCTTGTGGTCCAATTTATCCACCACCCACACCCCCTCCCCCCAACAGTCCAACAGTCTTCCATGCGATATCTGTACATTTCACAAATAAGCAAGTATTAATGTGGTGATCTTCGGCCCTTCTGGAGTTGACACAGGCAACTTTGGTCTAGGATCAGCTTCATGCAGTCGTTTGAAGAGGCTTCCAGAAGAATTGATTCCATGAATTTTCTCTGCTATACAGCCCAAGGCTTAACTGGGTTTAAAAATTCTCTCTCTCTCTCTCTCTCTCTCTGTGTGTGTGTGTGTGTGTGTGTGTGTGTGTGTTGTTTAACCTTAATCCTTGGGCTCAAATCCATTCCCATATTCTCCTTGGCTAACGTCATTGTGGGATATAGAATAAACATTTAAAAGTCCATATAAGGCCCTTCATGAAGCCCACATAAGTCTCTTTCCAGGGACTTCAAATCTTCTCAATCTCTACCTCACATTTGACATTTCAGCAGCACTGAAAAGCCTGGAGTTGCTTACACTCTCCAGGGTGTTTCTTGCCTTGTGCTGCTGCTTTTCTCTCTGCCTGAAATGCCCTCTGCTCCTCTCTCCACCCCAAACAAACATATTCACCTACCAAATGCTTGTGCCTCTCTTCACAACCTCTGTGAAGCCTTCTCTGATATTTTGAGATAGAATTAATCAATTCTAACATGAAGAATTGCACTGCACAACGTCTCTATTATGTATATACTTCTACTATCACGTGACACATAGGGTTGCCAGATTTAGCAAATAAAAATATGGGACACCCATTTTAAAGTTGAACTTCAGATAAACAATGAATAAGTTTTAGTATAAGTATGTCCCATGTGCTATTTGGGATATATTTAAGCTAAAAATTATTATTTATCTTAAATTCAAACTTAACTGGGCATCCTGTATTTTATCTGGCAATTCTAGTGACACACCATGCTAGTGTTTCTCTTTGGCAGCTCAGCTATGAGTTCCTTGAGGGAAGGGCTTTTTGAATTTGTTCACCTATGTATCCTTAGCACAATTCAGTCCTTAGCACACAGTAAAACTCACAAAATGGTGTTGGAACAACATGTGGGTACTGTTTAAACCATTTGAACTAGTTTATGTACATCATCTTATTGAGTCTCACAAAAACCCAGTGAAGGCGGGAAAAAATAGTGTGATGGTTAATACTGAGTGTCAACTTGATTGGATTGAAGGATACAAAGTATTGATCCTGGGTGTGTCTGTGAGGGTGTTGCAAAGGAGATTAACACTTGAGTCAGTGGGCTAGGAAAGACAGACCCACCCTTAATCTGGGTGGGCACAATCTAATCAGCTGCCAGCATGGCTAGAATATAAGCAGGCAGAAAAATGTGAAAAGAGAGACGGGCCTAGCCTCCCAGCCTACATCTTTCTCCCATGCTGGATGCTTCCTGCCCTCGAACATCGGACTCCAGGTTCTTCAGTTTTGGGACTCAGACAGGTTCTCCTTGCTCCTCAGCCTGCAGGCAGCCTACTGTGGAACCTTGTGATCATGTGAGCTAATACTTAGCAAACTCATATATATATATTCCATTAGTTCTATCCCTCCAGAGAACCCTGACTAATACAAATAGGTATTATTATCTTCATTGTACTAATAATGAAACCAGGGGACAGAGAGGAATGACTTACCCAAGACCATGTCATATGATCATGACAGAGCCAGAACTCAGCCCAGGTTCTCCTGACTCCCTAGTTCTTTCCACTTAAACCACATTGCTGTTTTTCTGTGTGTGGCCACAGATTTTATGCAACTTTGCAATTTTCAAAACTATTCCTAAGCTTTAAATAAATGATCATACTTGCTTTGGCTTTAAATGATATTATGACTCCACTGGTATAGCAGTGGTTTTAATATAGCTTGAGGTGTTTGAAGTTGAGCCTAGTGAATTTTTAATTAGGTATCAATCAAATCGAGAGACTGGTTATAAAGCATCGTTTTCCAGTAAAGTCAGCAACATGGTAAATGATTTTATTGGTAAACCATGAGCTTTCTTTACATATTTATTATTATTATGTCAATATGGGTTTCCTCTATCTGCGTATGTATAGCAGTTGACAATATCAGCCACATTATTAGTTTGGTTTCCTCTGCTTGGCTAGCTTTTCAGTTGGGGTAAGTCTGCATTTCCTGTCTCAGCACTTATGAAGAAGTGGCAGTAACAGTAAAACTTATATTAACTTGTGCCCAAGTAATAAGCCCTCTGTTAATTGAAATTTTTCTGCACTTAGCTCTTATGGGAAAAAAAGAGGCAATTATGTAAAGATGATGGACTGACAAACATTTTTCCCCAGAAGCCTCTGGCACTGGTCTATTCAGTCCAATTTCCTGTACTACCTATTTCCATGTAGAGTTCTAGAGGTAATGAGAAATCATCTCTTTGACCCTTGAAAAGGGCCCAGCTCTCTACTAGGTGCTATGAGGCCCAAAAGGGGTAGAAAGCAACTAATATTTATGACGTGACTACTATGAATATTTCTGGAAGAATACTCAAGAAGCTGGTGACTGTGGATTTCTCCTGGGAGGAAAGCTGAGTGACTAGGGCACAAGAGTGAAAAGGAGGCTAGCTCTGCACTGCATCCCCTTGTGTACATTTTGAATTTTGTAACGCAAACTTGCATTACCTAATCAAAGAAATTATTTTTCAATGCCCACCATGTTTTTTGCATGATCTAATTAATTCTCATAATGACCCTTTGAGGTAAGTATTGTTAACATTCTTATTTTATAGAGGGAAAACTGAGGTTCTGAGAGTTTAAGTCACTCACCCCAGCTCATATTATTCTGAACAAGTCCAATCAAGGTCATCAGAACCTCCCAGCTAATCTCTGGGAGGTCAGAGATTGAACCTGGCCAGAATCTGAACAGGGTCTACATCCCTCCAAAGCTATGCTAGCTATCCTGCTCCCCAAAGAAGATGAAAACTGAGTATTCAATTGCAAGAAGAATCTTGTTGTAGAACTAAGACATACAATTCTAAACAGTTAATTATATTTCATTAATTGTAAGAAATGCATTTTAAATTTTCTGAAATTAAGATATGTCTTCTAAGGGATAGTGTGCTGTAGTATATTTGAAGGTGTTTTGTTTTTCTCAGTGATTCATAAGATAATGGTACGTGTTCCAACCAATGGCTTCTTGAGGTCAGTGAAATATGGTGCCAATATAGTGCAGAAAATCAAAAAGTCTAAACCAGCAGCACAAGCAGTAAGTGATGTAGGAGCTCTGAAGAAGTAACATCCTCTTCTGTAAGAGTTGCTAGGGTAGGCTTTATGTTGATTTGAGCTAAGCCTCAACGATTGGGCAGTGTATCTGTTATCTATTGCCACAAAGTACTGTACAATAAACAACCCCAAAACTCAGTGTCTTAAAACAGCAACCATGTATTTACTATTGCTCTTGAGTTTAGAGATTAGCTGGGAGGTTCTGATGATCTTTATTAGACTTACTCACTTGTCTATGGTCAGATGAAGGTCAGCTGACTGGTCTTGGCCAGGCTCACTCATGTCTGCATATCAGCTGACTGTTGGCTGATCTAGAATGCCCTCATTGAGGAAGGGATGGTGTGGCTCTGTTCCATTTGTTTCTCCCATACCCCCAGCAGGCTAGCCTAAGCATGTTCTCATGGATATAGCAAGAGAGCAAGAGCAGAGATACAAGAGTGAGCAGGAGGAAAGCTGCAAGCATTTTTCTAGCCTTTGTTTGCAACATGTTTGCTAACATCTTGCTGACCAAAGCATGGCATGGCTTAGCCCAAAGATGAGGCAGAACACAGCACCTTTAATGAGAGAAGTGAAGCAATCAGTCTGTCACAGGTAAGCTTCAGATCTGCAGGTTGAAGAAAGGAGGGCTTTCGTTGCTGGCTAGGAGAGATCTTGCAGGGAGAGAGGAGTCATCCAAATGGACTCTGTGTGTCTTTGAGAGAGTTGTTACATTAGCAAAGATAGTACCATTCAAGGTGATAACTGAGATTTTGTAGCAACTATGTTAGCAATGACAATAGGGAATAGTTGTTTGAAACCAGGATAGAGCAATCATCTCGTAAATCTGACCTCTCCTGCCTCTACCCCTAGAAGTTCCTGAAGCTCAACCATTGAACCCTAAGTTTCTGCAAATTATAGTTTGAAATACACTGCATGGGCATTCATAGCCCCAGCAGCAGGCCTAGCCTGTCTTTTTTCAGCTTCCTAGAGCAAGCATAATGATGAATTCATTATTTTCTACTTTCCTCATTTTTTCTTTATATTGGATGCGATCTTTCCCTGTTCTAATTGCCCTCACCAGAAAGCATCCTGAATGTCCTTAAGATCCTTCTTCTTATCTACTAATTCAGAATCATTTGTTTTACCATCAGAATTTAATTTTGGGGAATCCCCCAGTCCTCTTCAACGACCCAAGTGTTGCATCCCAAAGCTGTGGCTTTCCCTTAGTCTCCTTTCTACTTTATGTGTATGAAAGAGGAACTTGATAATTTTTTCCTGTCATTTTTTCTGCTCTCTGGGAAATGACATTATCAACGAGGTAAGAAAAGCAAAGGAAATAACATATTACACACATTGCTTTTATCTGAATAAGCTTCAGGAATTGAACAAGCCCAGTAAAAGCTAGAGATAGACAAGGCTTTCTGGGGAAAGTAAAGTCTGAGCTGGACTCTCAAAACAGTGTGGGTTTAGAATGACAAGAATAAATGTGTAAGATTAGTTTATGACAACCTATTCCAAGCTGAAAAGTCTCTGCAAGCCCTGACAAACAAACTATGACATTCTTTCAGTAGCTCTGTGAATTACCACCACTAAACCAACCTAGTGATGTTTCTTTGGGAATCATCATATATAAAACTGGCATTTGACATAGTGACTACAGCTTGGAGTGTGGGCGCTCTGGCCCTAGGAAGTCACCCTCTAGCTCAGCCTTCAAGGTATCTTCCTTATTGATCATGGCAACATTCCTCATGTTTAACTCCCTCCAAGGCCAGAAAAATATCTCCACTTCTCCAGATGAACTTTAGAAACGACACATGAACAACCTCCACTAGGATTTCAATTTGCACCCTAGTTATTTTTGCAGGACTTTCTTCTTTGTGAAATTGCTGGATAATTAACCAGCTTTGAGCTCTGAATCACACTGAGGATATCCAGAGCACTGAGAATTTTTCTTTTGAAAACAAAAGGGAAATCAATTTCAGCTAATTCAGTTGTTGCCATTTTATGAAGTTAAGGTGCTCAATGTAAATTAGTGTTTTGAATGTATGCCTTTGATCAATAGGTGTAATTATTGATTGGAATCACACAAAGCCAAAAGCAAACCAATCATTCTTGACATATAGGTTTTATACCATGCAGATAAATCCCCAACACAACTGCAGTGAGCTCGAGGCTTATGTGACCCTCCAATGTTACAAGTCAACTCATGAAAAGAATGCAACCATGTTCACTCTTTGCCTCCCTTACTTTGCAAACTCCTCTGGATTTTTCATTAAAAGGATCCATAGCCAGAATAGGAACAGCTACTCCTAATTGGTTACTTGTTCAGAACGTGACTAAAACAGTTCCTTATGCTTAGTAATCATAATGCTACTAGGAGGTATAAATTAAGCAGAATATACTTATACATAATGCTACTAGGAGGTATAAATTAAGCAGAATATGATGCAGACCCTTCAGGCGAAGCTAGACTAATTTGATTATTGAATGGCCACTGCAACTGCAGCTCCCCCAACCCTCCACCATTAGAACGATTTCCCCATGAGCTTGTCACTGTGCCCAAAATTGTTACTATTTGTCAAAGTCAGGGTGCCCAAAAGCCTTTTCCTTCTTAAGCCCCAGGTTCCATTCTCGGTCCCAGGCCAATTTCCTATGCTGTCATGAACACTATCTAATGCCCATTGAGCACTTACTTATGTGCCAGACACTCACCTGAGCACTTCATATGTGTTACCTCGCTGAATCTGTTTCTTTTTGTCAGTCTGGTAGTTTTTAATTATCATTAATTTTTCAGATAGAATATTCTTTTTTCCTTTATTTCTTCTAAAATAAAACCGGGATACATGTGCAGAACATGCAGGTTTGTTACATAGGTATACATGTGCCATGGTGGCTTGCTGCACCTATTGACCCACCCTTTAAGTTCCCTCCCCTCAACCCCCACCCCCAACAGGCCCTGGTGTGTGTTGTTCCCCTCTCTGTATCCATATGTTTTCAATGTTAAACCCCCACTTATGAGTGAGAACATGCAGTGTTTGGTTTTCTGTTCCTGTGTTAGTTTGCTGAGAATGATGGCTTCCAGCTTCATCCATGTCCCTGCAAAGGACATGATCTCATTCTTTTTTATGGCTGCATAGCATTCCATGGTGCACATGTACCACAATTTCTTTATCCAGTCTATCATTGATGGGCTTTTGGGTTGGCTCCATGTCTTTGCTATTGTAAATAGTGGTGCAATAAACATACATGTGCATATGTCTTTATAGTACAATGATTTATATTCCTTTGGGTATATACCCAGTAATGGGGTTGTTGGGTCAAATGGTATTTCTGGTTCCAGATCCTAGAGGAATCGCCACACTGTCTTCCAGAATGGTTGAACTAATTTACATTCCCACCAACAGTGTAAAAGTGTTCCTATTTCTCCACAGCCTCGCCAGCATCTCTTGTTTCCTGACTTTTTAATAATCGCCATTCTGACTGGCATGAGATGGCATCTAATTGTGGTTCTGATTTGCATTTATCTGATGATCAGTGATGTTGAGCTTTTTTTCATATGTTTGTTGGCCACGTAAATGTTAGAAAAAACTATTTTAAATTTCATATGAAATCAAAGAACACCTCATATAGCCAAGACAATCCTAAGCACAAAGAACAAAGCTGGAGGCATCAGGATACCTGTCTTCAAACTATACTACAAGGCTACAGTAACCAAAACAGCATGGTACTGGTACCAAAACAGACATATAGACCAATGGAGCAGAACAGAAACCTCAGAAATAACACCACACATCTACAACCATCTGATCTTCAACAAACCTGACAAAAACAAGCAATGGGGAAAGGATCTCCTATTTAGTAAATGGTGCTGGGAAAACTGGTTAGCCATATGCAGAAAACTGAAACTGGACCCCTTCCTTTCACCTTATACAAAAATTAACTCAAAATGGATTAAAGACTTAAATGCAAAACCCAAAACCATTAAACCCCTAGAAGAAAACCTAGGCAATACCGTTCAGGACGTATGAATGGGCAAAGACCTCTTGACAAAAACACTAAAAGCAATAGAAACAAAAGCCAAAATTGACAAATGAGATCTAATTAAACTAAAGAGCTTCTGCACAGCAAAAGAAACTATCATCAGAGTGAACAGGCAAACTATGGGAGAAAATTTTTGCAATCTACACATCTGACAAAAGTATAATGTCCAGAATTTACAAGGAAATTAAACATATTTACAAGAAAAAAAAAACAACCCCATCAAAAAGTGGGCAAAGTATATGAACAGACACACCTCACTGAATCTTTACAAAGCTCTGTGAAGCAGGTAATAGTACCCTGCTTCTGAATCCAAGATGCCATTGATTTTAAGATTCACTATCAATTTAACAAATTGTGTATGAACTGTACATGCTGATTATAACACATATCAAATATAGAAGTGTTAAAATACTCAAGTCAGGAAAATAGGTAATAGCCCCACTTTACGGATGAGAAAACTGAAGCCATAGAGGAGTTAAATAACCAGTCACAAATTACCAAGGTCACAAAGCTAGTAAATGGTAGCGAAAATTCAAACCCAGATCTCTGATTCTAGTGCCTATACCAACCTATAGGCACATGATTGCTTTACTTCCTTTGCCACAGGGGTCTCAGCTGCCTTTCTTCTCCCTTCCCTAGATGCCACTTTCCATTCCATTTCATAGGGTTCGGCTTACCTCAAGAAGCTGCCTGCAACGGTAATACGAACTACTCAGTTTTCTTCTTCCATGAGACCTCAAACAAACAGAAACTAATGATCATGCCAGGAAATAGACATAGTAAAGTCTGGTAGATGAATGTGCAGGAACACTGATTTCAAGATGAAAGACTTAATATATGCTGTAGTCTCTCCATCCAGCACCAAATTCACTGAACTATAGAGGAATTCTTGAAAGGCATGAAGTAAGTGGAATAGTATTGAAGAGAGAACTATAGCCCAGGTCATAGGCAGTAAAACTCCGCAGTAGTAGATGAGAGTAGTATAAAACATGCTTCGTACCCTCAGGTGGTAGAAATGGGAAGAGCTCAGGGATAACTATGAGACGGTTATGCAAGATCAGATAGGGTTATGCAGATCAGATACAAAGAACTCAGGAATATCTATGGGACGGTTATTTAAGATCGGATAGGGTAATTGGCCCCACATATACCCTCCCACCTTCTCCAGCTGTGGGTCAGGTAGTAGCCACAATAGCAACAGTATTGCCCATGTCTGAATGGGAACAATACAGCAATGCTTTAGGTGTAGGATTGTCAGAAAAAACATAGAACACCCAGTTAAATTTGAATTTTAGATAAGCAATGAACTTTTTTCATATAAATATATCCTAAATACTGCATGGGACATACTTATACTAAATAAAGCATGTTGTTTGACTGAAAATTCAAATTTAATTAGAACTCCTTTATTTACCAAATCTAGCAACCCCTGAGAGAAACAGGGGGCATCTATATCCAGAAGAACGGCCACTCGTGTATCTCAGCCAGCAATATGCCCTACCCTCCCTAAATATAGTTACAATACACAGTAGCAACTTCCATATATTCCCTTAAGTAGACTGTGCAAAAAGAGGCAAGACTGTCAAACATTTAAGAAAACCTCACACTATTGAGTAGATACTAACTATAAAAAAAGATAGTCCACATGTGTTCACTAAAAAAATGTAAAATTATTGTATTAAATTCCCCTCAAATTAAGAATTAGACTACCACAGAAAGACTAAATTTAACACACGCATGCACACACACGTGCACACACCTATGACAGTTATAGTTTTTTCTTCATTTTCCAATTGCTCTATAATATGGTAATATAACCTTATATCTTTTGGCAAAGTTTAAAATAAACATGTTTTTAAAACTAAAAAAAAGAAAGAGAGTCTCACACTATTGAAAAGAAACAACAAACTCAATAAATGAAAGAATTTAACTAAGAGGAAACAAAATAGATAAATCAGAATAAGACCTTTACATAGTTTGATTCATTCCCTCAGAGAGATATGAAAGATATCACATCCTTAAACAATAATAAATGGTTTTGAATAAGTGAAAGTGACTTTTTAAAAGCTAATTCAAGCTCTTGAAAGTTAAAATATAATTATTGAAATAAATAGCTCAAGAGATGGGCTAAATAGCGGATTAGATTCAGGTGAAAAGCAAATAAGTAAACTGCAATAGTGAACTGAAAAATTATCCAGTAGAATCCAAAGAGTTTATAACATAGAAAGTATGAAAGTAAAAAAACATAGAGTACAGACCCAGAAGTTTTAACTTCAATCCAATATGAGTTCCAACAGAAAAGAACAGATAAAATAGACAGGAGACAATAGAATAGCCAAAAATTCCCCAAAATGGAAGAAAGACATAAGTCTTTGACTGAAAAGGCCTATCAAGTGCCAAGCAAAATAAATCTCTCTCTCTCTCCCTCTGTCTCTCTCTCTCTCTCTCACACACACTCACACACGACACATTTTAGTGCAATTTTAGAAACCAAAGTTAAAGAGCAAGTGCTAAAAGCTATCAGTGAGAAGGGAGAGAATTTAGATTACCAGAAAGGAATGAGAATATTAAGTTTGACGTTAGGCTTCCATCTGCAACACTGGATACAATGTTGGAGCACTTCATATTGCAAAGAAAAATAATTATGAACCTGTAATTCTATCAATCAAAAGTTAGGGTAAAATAAAGATATTTTCAGCCATGGAAATACTCAGAAATTTTACTAATCATTAACCCATACTGAAATACTCATTGGTGGATATATTATAGAAGAAGAAAATTGAATCCAAGAGGAAGCAGTGAGACTAAAATCCAAAACTGTCAATATGAGAATTGGGGATGGAGAGCAGAGGGTGTCAAAAGCATGCTAAGATTATTATCATTTTAGGAAGATAAATTAGATATTTACTAATTCTAGTGTTAGAAATATATAACTTCATGTATGTGTTTCAAAATTAAGGGTGGTTATAAAAGATAGAAATAAAATGTATACCTTTCCAACCTGAAAGAGAGGAGGGGGAAAAATCTCAATCCATTCTACAAAAAGTAGAAAAGAAAATATAAAGAAAGTGAAAGCGTAAGTTAATAACAAGTAATAAGAAAGCAGGAATAACTGCATACACATCAGTAATCACAGTAAATGTGAATAAATTAAACTTATCTATTAAAAAACAGTAAAAATTATTCAACTAGATGTTATGTACAAGAGACATACTTAAAACAAAATCACTCACAGATGGAAAATAAAGAACTAGAAAAAATAACACAAGACAAATATCAGCAAAAGGAAATCTGGTGTAGCAATATTAAGAGTAGACAAAATATAAATTCAAGGCAAAACTGATTCAGAGACAAAAAGAGAAACATCACTTTAATAAAAAGAAAGAACACTCCATCAAGAAGATATAACAGTTATGAACCTTTGTACATTTATGAACATAGGCTCTAAATATAGAAAACATAAACTAATAAATGTACAAAAAGAAATGGTGTTTTTTATAAATAACAATCACAATGGGAGAATTTAACACATTTCTTTAAGAAATTGAGAGATCAAGTAGAGAAAAATTAAGAATACAGACAATTTGAATAATTCAATATACAGAACTTCGTATTAAACAAATAAAGAATATACCTTCTTTTTAAACATACACAAATATTCATCAAAAAATAATCATTTACTAGACCATAAGGAAATACTGAATTCCAAAAACATAATGTCTTTTAGGCCACGTTCACTTTTGACAAAATTAGAAATCAACTACAAAAAGATAGTTCCTCATAAACTTTACATCTGGAAATGTTTAAAGAACACAACTCTAAATACTCTTGGACTACAACTTCAAACTACACTACAAGGCTACAGTAATCAAAACAACATGGTACTGGTAGAAAAACAGACACATAGACCAATGGAACAGAATAAAGAACACAGAAAAAAAGCCACATGACTACAACCAACTGATCCTCAACAAAGTTGACAAAATAAGCAATGGGGAAAGGACCTATTCATAAATGGTGTTGGGATAACTGGCTGTACATATGCAGAAGAATGAAACTGGACCTATCACCATATACAAAAATTAACTTAAGACGGATTAAAGACTTAAATGTAAGACCTCAAACTATAAAACTCCTAGAAGAAAACATAGAAAATACCTTTCTCAATAACAGCCTGGCAAAGAATTTATGGTTAAGTCCTCAAAAGCAATTGCAACAAAAACAAAAATTAACAAGTGGGATCTATTAAACTAAAGAGCTTCTGCACAGCAAGAAAAACTATCAAAAGAGTAAACAGATAAACTACAGAACAGGAGCATTCCCCTTGAAAACCAGCAGTGGATAAGAATTCCCTTTCTCATCACTCCTATTCAACATAGTATTTGAAGTTCTGGCCAGGACAATTAGGCAAGAGAAAGAAATAAAGGTATTCAAATAGGAAGAGAATAAATCAAACTATATTTGTTTGCAGATGACATGATCCTATATCTAGAAAACCCCATCATTGGCTGGGCCCAGTGGCTCATGCCTGTAATCCCAGCACTTTGGGAGGCTGAGGCGGGTGGATCACCTGAGATCGGGAGTTCGAGACCAGCCTGTCCAACATGGAGAAACCCCGTCTCTACTAAAAATACAAAATTAGCCGGGTGTGGTAGTGCATGCCTGTAATCCCAGCTACTTGGGAGGCTGAGGAAGGAGAATTGCTTGAACCAGGGAGGCAGAGGTTGCGGTGGGCCAAGATTGCACCATTGCACTCCAGCCTGGGCAACAAGAGCAAAACTCCATCTCAAAAAAAAAAAAAAAGAAAAGAAAAAGAAAAAGAAAACCTCATCATCTCAGCCCAAAAGCATCTTAAGCCGATAAGCAACTTCAGCAAAGTCTCAGGATACAAAATCAATGTGCAAACATCACTAGCATATACACCAACAACAGGCAAGCAGAAAGCCAAATCACGAATGAACTCCCATTCACAATTGCCACAATAAGAATAAAATACTTAGGAATACAGCTAACAAGGGAAGTGATGGATCTCTACAAGGAGAACTACAAACCACTGCTCAAATAAATCAGAGAGGTCACAAACAAATGGAAAAACATTCCATGCTCACGGATAGGAAGAATCAATATCATGAAAATAGCCACACTGCCCAAAACAACTTATAGATTCAATGCTATTCTCATTAAACTACCATTGACATTCTTCACAGAACTAGAAAAAAATGATTTTGAAATTCATATGGAACCAAAAAAGAGCTTGAATAGGCAAGGCAATACTAAACAAAAAGAACAAAGCTGGAGGCATGACACTACCAGACTTCATACTATACTACAGGGCTACAGTAACCAAAACATCATGGTACTGTGACAGCCACAGACACATAGACCAATGGAACAAAACAGAGAACACAGAAATAAGACCATACACCTACAACCATCTGATCTTCAACAAACCAAAACAAGCAGTGGGAAAAGGATTCCCTATTTAATAAATGGTGCTAGCAGAACTGGCTAACCATATGCAGAAAATTGAAACTGGATGCCTTCCTTACACCATATACAAAAATCAACTCAACATGAATAAAGCCTGAAATGTAAAACCCAAAACTGAGCCAGGCACAGTGGCTCATGCCTGTAATCCCAGCACTTTGGGAGGCTGAGGCAGGTGGATCACCTGAGGTCAGGAGTTCAAGACCAGTCTGAACGACATGATGAAAGCCCGGATCTACTAAAAATACAAAAATTAGTCAGGCGTGGTGGCAGGCACCTGTAATCCCAGCTACTCGGGAGGCTGAGGCAGGAGAATTACTGGAAACCAGGAGGCGGAGGTTGCAGTGAGCTGAGATTTCACCACTGCACTCCAGGCTGGGAGACAGAGCAAGCCTCCAAAAAAAAAGAGAAAAAAAAAAACCCAAACTGTAAAAACCCTAGAAGAAAACCTAGGCAATACCATTTGGAACATAGGTACAGACAAAGATTTCATGACAAAGATTCCAAAGGCAATTTCAACAAAAGCAAAAATTGACAAATGTGATCTAATTAAACTAAAGAGCTTCTGCACAGCAAAAGAAACTATCAAAAGAGTAAACAGACAACATGCAGAATGGGAGAAAATGTTTGCAAACAGTGCACTTGACAAAGGTTTAATATCCAGCATCTATAAGAAACTTAAATTTACAAGAAAAAAAACACCATTAAAAAGTAGGCAAAGGATATGAATAAACACTACTCAAAAGAAGACATACATGCAGCTAACAATCATATGAAAAAAGGCTCAACATCAGTGATCATTAGAGAAATGCAAATCAAAAACACATTGAGATACCATCTCACACCAGGCAGAATGGTGATTATTAAAACATCAAAAAATAACAGATGCTGGCAAGGTTGTGGAGAAAAAGGAACACTTTTACACTGTTGGTAGGAGTCTAAATTAGTTCAACCATTGTGGAAGACAGTGTGGAAATTTCTCAAAGACCTAGAGACAGAAATACCATTTGACCTAACAATCTCATTACTGGGTATATACCCAAAGGAATAGAAATCATTCTATTATAAAGATACATGCACACATATATTCATTGCAGCACTATTCACAATAGCAAAGACATGGAATCAACCCAAATGCCTATGATGATAGACTGGATAAAGAAAATCTGGTACATATACACCATGGAATACTATGCAGCCATAAAAAGGAACAAGATCATGTTCTTTGCAGGGACATGGATGGAGCTAGAGGCCATCATCCTCAGCAATCTAACACAGGAACAGAAAACCAAATACTGCATATTCTCACTTATAAGTGGGAGCTAAATGATGAGAACACATGGACACATAGAGGAGAAAAACACACACTGGGGCCTCCCAGAGAGCAGAGGGTGGGAAGAGGGAGAGGATCAGGAAAAACAACTAATGGATACTGGGCTTTATACTTGGCTGATGAAATAATCTGTACAACAAACCCCCTTGACACATGTTGACCTATGTAACAAACCTGCACGTCCTGCACATGTATCCTGAACTTAAAAGTTAAAAAAGGAAAACTAAATCCCACTTATAAGTGGGAACTAAACACTGGATGCACATGGACATAAAAATGGGAACAGTAGACACTAGGGAACTACTAGAGATGGGAGATAGGGAGGGGAACAAACTACCTATTGGGTACTATGCTCACTACCTGGGCAACGGGTTCAATCATACCCCAAACCTCAACATCACACAATATACATTTGTAACAAACCTGAACATGTACCACCTGATTCTAAAATAAAAGCTGAAAGAAAAAAATAACTCTTGGCTAAAGTATAAGTAAAATGGGAATTATAAACTATTTAGAATAAAACTAGAACAAAAGCACTAATCCAAAAACTTTAGGAATGGGTGCTCAACTTCATTAGTTATCAGAGAAAAACAAATCTAACAGCAATGTCATATTATTACATATCCACTAGAATGGCTAAAATGAAAACAAGACAGAAAATACCAAGTATCGCTCAGGAGGCAGGGCAAATGAAAACCTCACACACTGCTAGAGGAAGTGTAAATACATAAACTGGCACGAGTTTCTATAGCTGAACACATACATACCCTACGATCCAGCAATTCCAAACTTATGCATATATGCAACAGAAGTGTATCTATATCTAACTAAAGATACGTATAAGAGGGTGGCTTTGTTATAGCTAAAGACTGTAAACAACCCAAATGTCCATCAATGATAGAATGGATAAATAAATTAACTGTAGTATATTCACACAATAAATATTATGTAGCAAGGACAATGAAAAATTTCCCACAATAATATAGATGAATCTTATAGATATAATGTTAAGTGAAAAACATCCAGACTCAAAGGAGTATATACTGTATCATTCCATTCACATAAAGTTCAGAAACAGGCAACACTAATCTATATGGCATTAAAAATCAAGACAGTGGTTATTCTTGGCAGCAGGGACTGTGATGGTTGGAAAGGGACACACCTGGGCACTTCTGTGATGTTGCCCATGTTGTTTCTTGATTAGGGTGCTGGTTACATAACTGTTCGGTTTGTGAGAATTCATTGACATGTACACTTTTGATTTATACATATATATACATATATGTATAAATCAAACATATATACGTGTATATACATGTGTATATATATACGTGTGTATATACATGTGTATATATATACGTGTGTATATACATGTGTATATATATACGTGTGTATATACATGTGTATATATATACGTGTGTATATACATGTGTATATATATACGTGTGTATATACGTGTATATATATACGTGTGTATATATACGTGTGTATATACGTGTATATATATACGTTTGTATATACATGTATATATACGTTTGTATATACATGTGTATATATACGTTTGTATATACATGTGTATATATATACGTGTGTATATACATGTGTATATATATACGTGTGTGTATATACATGTGTATATATATACGTGTGTGTATATACGTGTGTATATATATACGTGTGTGTATATATATATACGTGTGTGTGTATATATATATACGTGTGTGTGTATATATATATACGTGTGTGTATATATATGTGTGTGTGCGTATATATATACATATATATGTATGTTGTATGTTATGCTTCCATTTTTTTTAAACTTAGGGACATGGCCAAATAGTACTCAAAAATAAATTTAGGCTTAAGTGCATGTATTAGGAATAAAGGTTGAAAATAAATTAACTAAGCTTCAACTCAAGAATGTGGAAAGAAAATAATAAAATAAATTCAATGAAGATAACATAAAAATGTATCAACAAAAGCATACATTTATAAAATATTAAATAAAATTCAAAAGGCAGATAATACAAAGTGAGTACTCTGAAATAATTAATAATATAAAGAAAATTTTGGCAAACATGATCATTTAAAAAAGAGAGAAGGCAAAATAAGCAATATTAGTAAGACA
Organism: Homo sapiens; assembly: GCF_000001405.40. NCBI lineage: Eukaryota > Metazoa > Chordata > Mammalia > Primates > Hominidae > Homo > Homo sapiens. The sequence continues at coordinate 129,384,928 of NC_000023.11, forward strand.
AATGGAACATAACAAGAGATAATGTGGAGACTTTAAAAATTACAAGAGAACACTATCGGCCGGGTGCAGTGGCTCACGCCTGTAATCCCACCGGCCAAGGCAGGCGGATAACTAGGTCAGGAGATGGAGACCATCCTGGCTAACACGGTGAAGCCCCTTCTCTACTAAAAATACAAAAATGTTAGCTGGGCATGGTGGCGGGCACCTGTAGTCCCAGCTACTCGGGAGGCTGAGGCAGGAGAATGGCATGAACCCAGGAGGCGGAGCTTGCAGTGAGCTGAGATAGCGCCACTGCACTCCAGCCTGGGTGACAGAGGGAGACTCCATCTCAAACAAACAAGCAAACAAAAAAGAAAGAAAGAAAAAAAAAAGAACACTATGTACAACCTAATACCATTTTGAAAACCTAGAAAAAATGGACACATTTAAAGAAAATACAAATTATGAACATTGGCCCAAGAATAAACAAAATACCTTGAATGGACCAAAAACCATAGAAGAAATTTTAATAGTAGTCAAAATGTTCTAACATCCCCCCTCCAAAAAAAGTCCCAGTGGTTTTACTGACACATTCTACCAAAGCTTCAATAAATCAGTACTTAAATGTAAATGAATAAAAAGAGTTCTGGAATTATGCAACCAAACTGATAACAGTGGTTCATTCTGAAGAAAAAAAAGGTGAAAATTATGGGTAACAAAGAGATAACATTTTCATTTTTATAAGAAGAATGTATTCGTGTATTACTTGTATAATTTGTAATTTCCTAAGAAATTTTCCTACAAATTAAACACAAAAAGTCTTAATTCATATTAAAATTAAATACCTAAATGAAATGGACAATTTCCTACATAAATTAACAATGTCAACTCACAATCTACCACTTACCAGATGTGTGACCTTCGACAAATTATTTAACCTCCCTGAGCCTCAATTTATTTTATAAATGGTGGATAAAGTACATTCCTTATAGCGTTGTTATACAAATTAAAATTAAATGAGTTAGACAATGGGAAGTGCTTAGCACATAGTATGCGCTCAACAACTGTTAATTTTCACCATTACTAGTTATTAATAAAATAACAATATTTAGGAATTACAGAGGCCATAGGACCTTATGGGGATTGCACAGTCACCATCTGTATTCTGTAATTTCTGACTCCCTCCTGAATCAGTGTTGACTGGTAGTGCCCTTGAGATTCTGTCCTCTGCTTTCTTTCCTGCTATGGGTCTCACTCTCTCTCCCCACCCACAATTCTTATCCACTTCAGGGAAAGTCACATGGAGTCTCCTTTTTTTTGTTGTTTGTTTGCTTGTTTGTTTCTCTGGGTTTTTTTTATCGTGGTAAAATATACATAACATAAAATTTACTATTTGAACCATTTTTAAAGTATATAATTCAGTGGCATTAAGTATATTCACATTGCTGTGCAACCATCATCACTACCCATCTCCAGAACTTTTCATCACCTCAAGCTGAAACCCTTTACCCTTTAAGTAATAATTCCCCACTGGGGAACCTCTTTTTCCTGAAGTTCCCTCTTCCCTGCCTAAAGACATTAAGCCTTTGTCTTCAAGGACACTTAGCCTTTCTGAAGCTCTCTAGACTGGGTGGCCTTGAAGTCTCCAGGCCGCTAGAATGATGGTCTCTAGGGTTTTCCTCACATTCAGTACCTTCAATGAAAGTATAGAAGGCTACTTTGGGAACAAAAACATATTTACAGGGATACTGAGCCATTATAAGTAATTACCCCTATCTTACTGGGCTAGACAGAACCTGTTATGGGTTGAATTGTATCCCTCCAAAATTTTAACATTAAAGTCCTAACCCTTAGTACCTCAGAATGTGACCTTACTTGGAAATCACTTTATGGCATATGTAATTATTAATAGTTAAGATGAAGTTATATTGAGGTAGGGTGGGCCCCCTGCTCCATAATGACTGACATCTTTATAAAAAGAATACCATATTGAAGAGACACACACACACAGGATGAATGCCATGCAAAGACTGGAGTTATGCTGCCATAGGCCAAAGAACTACCAGAAGGTAGGAGAGAGGCCTGGAAGGAATCCTTCCTTCCTTAGCATCTTTAGAGGGAGCATGGCCCTGCCAAGACCTTGATTTTGGACTTGTGGCACCCAGAACTGAGAAAATAAATTTCTGTTATTTGAAGTATTTCAGCGGTTCTTTGTTACAGCAGCCCTAAAAAACTAATACAAACACCTACTCAACACAATAGGATTGGGAAGTTTTAAAGGGCAATGGAAGATTGGTAGTGTGTATTCATTTTCTATTGTTCTGGGTATAGGGCACTTCTGGGAAAGGTCAGCTCAAGTAGAGGACATAAGTTGGAGGCCATCAAAAGTTGGGGGAATTATAAGGGTCTCGGGTTCGTGGAGGACTCTGAATGTCTACAAAAGCCAGGCCAGCTTACTGCCATTTTCCTAGTGCCTCCAAGGATACATTTTCTAGGCATAGCCAGTGGTTCTCTCATTTCCACAAGATGCACAATTTCTCACTTTTGGAACTAATTTTTGTTAATCCAAAAAGAAGACCTCTTGGAACCAGATAGGCACTTGAGTGGAACCATTAGAGGGAGGAAGCCTCTTCTATTTCTAAGCTGCTCAGGCTGGCATCATAAAGCACTGCTTAGGGCCTAACTCACATGTTGTTCAACTAGAGGTTGATTTTTGTCTTTTAAAAGGCAGCAGGCTTCCCTGGGGTGTTGGGTAGAAGCTTTGAAGATATGGCACATGGAATGAGTTGACATATTCAATCCATTTTTCCCAGAAGAACGAAAGGCAGGGCCACTTCCCTGTTAGCCTTGGTGTGATTTCCTCACTATACACCACAGACTCAGGAATCGAAGATCTTTCAGCTAGAGGTTGTTGTCTAAGAGTTGGGACTGAAGCCACAGAGGGCAACCAGAAAGCTTCCTGTAACCCTGCTGACCTGCCTGGCAGTTGGAAAGGCAGGATTCTTTCTCCAGGACTTGAAATTGCCTCCCCCTTTTCATTAAAAATGAAATCTCATGAAATTTAGACGTTCATAAGGTTGCAATGTTTATTTGCTGAATTGGCCTTTAATGGTCTCTTATTTCTCATCTGTGCTTTCCTGTGTTCCAGCCTCATGTCAGTGTGCTATAACACAAAGAAAATATCCCCTTCTCAGCAAAAAAGTTTGAGGCTTATAAATGACAAATAGCTGAGAAGGGAGAGAAGCTGTGCCTTCATTGGATACATAAGTTTACAGTGTGTCAACACTTACTTCAACTGGAAGAAAGGGTATCAGCAATGGAAGATGAAATGAATGAAATGAAGTGAGAAGGGAAGTTTAGAGAAAAAAGAATAAAAAGAAACGAACAAAGCCTCCAAGAAATATGGGACTATGTGAAAAGACCAAATCTGCATCTGATTAGTATACCTGAAAGTGACAGGGAGAATGAAACCAAGTTGGAAAACACTCTGCAGGATATTATCCAGGAGAACTTCCCCAATCTACCAAGGCAGGCCAACATTCAAATTCAGGAAATACAGAGAACACCACAAAGATATTCCTCGAGAAGAGCAACTCCAAGACACATAATTGTCAGATTCACCAAAGTTGAAATGAAGGAAAAAATGTTAAGGGCAGCCAGAGAGAAAGGTCGGGTTACCCACAAAGGGAAGCCCATCAGACTAACAGCGGATCTCTCAGCAGAAACTCAACAAGCCAGAAGACAGTGGGGACCAATATTCAACATTCTTAAAAGAATTTTCAACCCAGAATTTCATATCCAGCCAAACTAAGCTTCATAGGTGAAGGAGAAATAAAATCCTTTACAGACAAGCAAATGCTGAGAGATTTTGTCACCACCAGGCCTGCCCTAAAAGAGTTCCTGAAGGAAGCACTAAACATGGAAAGGCACAACTGGTACCAGCCACTGCAAAATCATGCCAAAATGTAAAGACCATCGAGATTAGGAAGAAACTGCATCAACTAACGAGCAAAATAACCAGCTAACATCATAATGACAGGATCAGATTCACACATAACAATATTAACTTTAAATGTAAATGGACTAAATGCTCCAATTAAAAGACACAGACTGGCAAATTGGATAAAGAGTCAACACTCATCAGTGTGCTGTATTCAAGAAGCCCATCTCATGTGCAGAGACACACATAGGCTCAAAATAAAAGGATGGAGGAAGATCTACCAAGCAAATGGAAAACAAAAAAAGGCAGGAGTTGCAATCCTAGTCTCTGATAAAACAGACTTTAAACCAACAAAGATCAAAAGAGACAAAGAAGGCCATTACATAATGGTAAAGGGATCAATTCAACAAGAAGTGCTAACTATCCTAAATATATATGCACTCAATACAGGAGCACCCAGATTCATAAAGCAAGTCCTGAGTAACCTACAAAGAGACTTAGACTCCCACACATTAATAATGGGAGACTTTAACACCCCACTGTCAACATTAGACAGATCAACGAGACAGAAAGTTAACAAGGATACCCAGGAATTGAACTCAGCTCTGCACCAAGCGGACCTAATAGACATCTACAGAACTCTCCACCCCAAATCAACAGAATGTACATTTTTTCAGCACCACACCACACCTATTCCAAAACTGACCACATAGTTGGAAGTAGAGCTCTCCTCAGCAAATGTAAAAGAACAGAAATTATAACAAACTGTCTCTCAGACCACAGTGCAATCAAACTAGAACTCAGGATTAAGAAACTCATTCAAAACTGCTCAACTACATGGAAACTGAACAACCTGCTACTGAATGACTACTGGGTACATAACGAAATGAAGGCAGAAATAAAGATGTTCTTTGAAACCAACGAGAACAAACACACAACATACCAGAATCTCTAGGACACATTCAAAGCAGTGTGTAGAGGGAAATTTATAGCACTAAATGCCCACAAGAGAAAGCAGGAAAGATCCAAAATTGACACCCTAAGATCACAATTAAAAGAACTAGAAAAGCAAGAGCAAACACATTCAAAAGCTAGCAGAAGGCAAGAAAGAACTAAAATCAGAGCAGAACTGAAGGAAATAGAGACCAAAAAAACCCTTCAAAAAATCAATGAATCCAGGAGCTGGTTTTTTGAAAGGATCAACAAAATTGATAGACTGCTAGCAAGACTAATAAAGAAGAAAAGAGAGAAGAATCAAATAGACGCAATAAAAAATGATAAAGGGCATATCACCACCGATCCCACAGAAATACAAACTACCATCAGAGAATACTACAAACACCTCTAAGCAAATAAACTAGAAAATCTAGAAGAAATGGATAAATTCCTCCACACATACACTCTCCCAAGACTAAACCAGGAGGAAGTTGAATCTCTGAATAGACCAATAATAGGATCAGAAATTGTGGCAATAATCAACAGCTTACCAACCAAAAAGAGACCAGGACCAGATGGATTCACAGCCGAATTCTACCAGAGGTACAAGGAGGAACTGGTACCATTCCTCCTGAAACTATTCCAATCAATAGAAAAAGAGGGAATCCTTCCTAACTCATTTTATGAGGCCAGCATCATCCTGATACCAAAGCCTGACAGAGACACAACCAAAAAAGAGAATTTTAGACCAATATCCTTGATGAACATTGATGCAAAAATCCTCAATAAAATACTGGCAAATCGAATCCAGCAGCACATCAAAAAGCTTATCCACCATGATCAAGTGGGCTTCATCCCTGGGATGCAAGGCTGGTTCGATATACGCAAATCAATAAATGTAATCCAGCATATAAACAGAACCAAAGACAAAAACCATATGATTATCTCAATAGATGCAGAAAAGGCCTTTGACAAAATTCAACAACCCTTCATGATAAAAACTCTCAATAAATTAGGTATTGATGGGACGTATCTCAAAATCATAAGAGCTATCTATGACAAACCCACAGCCAAGATCATACTGAATGGGCAAAAACTGGAAGTATTCCCTTTGAAAACTGGCACAAGACAGGGATGCCCTCTCTCACCACTCCTATTCAACATAGTGTTGGAAGTGCTGGCCAGGGCAATTAGGCAGGAGAAGGAAACAAAGGGTATTCAACTAGGAAAACAGGAAGTCAAACTGTCCCTGTTTGCAGATGACATGATTGTATATTTAGAAAACCCCATTGTCTCAGCCCAAAATCTCCTTCAGCTGATAAGCAACTTCAGCAAAGTCTCAGGATACAAAATCAATGCACAAAAATCACAAGCATTCTTATACACCAATAACAGACAAACAGAGAGCCAAATCATGAGTGAAGGACGTGAAGGACCTCTTCAAGGAGAACTACAAACCACTGCTCAATGAAATAAAAGAGGATACAAACAACTGGAAGAACATTCTATGCTCATGCGTAGGAAGAATCAATATCGTGAAAATGGCCATACTGCCCAAGGTAATTTATAGATTCAATGCCATCCCCATCAAGCTACCAATGACTTTCTTCACAGAATTGGAAAAAACTACTTTAAAGTTCATATGGAACCAAAAAAGAGCCCGCATCGCCAAGGCAATCCTAAGCCAAAAGAACAAAGCTGGAGGCATCATGCTACCTGACTTCAAACTATACTACAAGGCTACAGTAACCAAAACAGCATGCTACTAGTACCAAAACAGAGATACAGATCAATGGAACAGAACAGAGCCCTCAGAAATAACGCCGCATATCTACAACTATCTGATCTTTGACAAACCTGACAAAAACAAGCAATGGGGAAAGGATTCCCTATTTAATAAATGGTGCTGGGAAAACTGGCTAGCCATATGTAGAAAGTTGAAACTGGATCCCTTCCTTACACCTTATACAAAAATTAATTCAAGATGGATTAAAGACTTAAACGTTAGACCTAAAACCATAAAAACCCTAGAAGAAAACCTAGGCATTACCATTCAGGACATAGGCATGGGCAAGGACTTCATGTCTAAAACACCAAAAGCAATGGCAACAAAAGCCAAAATTGACAAATCGGATCTAATTAAACTAAAGAGCTTCTGCACAGCAAAAGAAACTACCATCAGAGTGAACAGGCAACCTACAAAATGGGAGAAAATTTTCACAACCTACTCATCTGACAAAGGGCTAATATCCAGAATCTACAATGAACTCCAACAAATTTACAAGAAAAAAACAAACAACCCCATCAAAAAGTGGGCAAAGGATATGAACAGACACTTCTCAGAAGACATTTATGCAGCCAAAAGACACATGAAAAAATGCTCATCATCACTGGCCATCATAGAAATGCAAATCAAAACCACAATGAGATACCATCTCACACCAGTTAGAATGGCAATCATTAAAAAGTCAGGAAACAACAGGTGCTGGAGAGGATGTGGAGAAATAGAAACACTTTTACACTGTTGGTGGGACTGTAAACTAGTTCAACCATTGTGGAAGTCAGTGTGGCGATTCCTCAGGGATCTAGAACTAGAAATACCATTTGACCCAGCCATCCCATTACTGGGTATATACCCAAAGGACTATAAATCATGCTGCTATAAAGACACATGCACACGTATGTTTATTGTGGCACTATTCACAATAGCAAAGACTTGGGACCAAGCCAAATGTCCATCAATGATAGACTGGATTAAGAAAATGTGGCACATAGACACCATGGAATACTATGCAGCCATAAAAAATGATGAGTTCATGTCCTTTGTAGGGACATGGATGAAATTGGAAATCATCATTCTCAGTAAACTATCGCAAGGACAAAAAACCAAACACCGCATGTTCTCACTCATAGGTGGGAACTGAACAATGAGAACACATGGACACAGGAAGGGGAACATCACACTCTGGGGACTGTTGTGGGGTGGGGGGAGGGGGGAGGGATAGCATTAGGAGATATACCTAATGCTAAATGACGAGTTAATGGGTGCAGCACACCAGCATGGCACATGTATACATATGTAACTAACCGGCACATTGTGCACATGTACCCTAAAACTTAAAGTATAATAATAATAAAAATAAAAAATAAATAAAAATAAATAAAATTCTATTTTGTTTTTTAATTTCCCCAGTGAATCTTTGCATAAGTTAGGTAACCCTAAATACAAATCAAAAGTAAGGCCCTCCCCACAGAATAACTAGCAAGATTTTCAGCCATAATCACTTTGACCAAATAATCATCATATGCAAGAATGCCCTTGGTATTTGCAAATTTTCCAAGATCTAAAAGTGTATCACTTTAAGAAGCCTTATTAAATGGGGAATGATGGCAAATTTAGCATTGTCACTATATCCTGTCAAGCTTTTTGGAAGGTAGTATAAGCTTTGATGCATGATGTAACTAATTCATTTATTTATTCACTCAGTAGATATCTTTAAGAACCTACTGGGGTGATGTCAGCAAGAGGGTAGAATAGACTAGGAGATCCCAGGCTTTACTCCCTGAAACAGAAAGTCCAACTAGCAAACATCCACAGAAAAGAATACCGTTTTGAAAACCCCAAAACATGAAAATGAGACTCATCCCCCTGAGTGGACCATGGAACCAAATAAAAACTACATTAGAAGGGTAAGAGAAATAGTCTCACTCTGCATTACCTCTCCTCTCCAAGTTGGCACTGTGCCACACACAGGATTCCCCTTCCCTCAGTTTCTACAGTGGGAATAGAGAACCACAGATGGACATTCAGTTTCCCTATCATTCCAAGACACTTTCCAGGAAGTCCATTCCTGGCCCACTTTAAGGAGAACACTGAGGTAATGATATGGCTAGAACGCCTGGTGTCAAGTAGAAACAAAGAAAGGAGACAGAGTTTACAGTGACTAGCACATGGATTTTGGCAGTAATTCTGTGTTCCAGCCAGTAGTGGCACCCAATCAGAAATACCAGAAAATGACACAGCCCACCAACAAAGCCAAGCTGGTCACTCCTAGAAACATAGTGGAAAGTTCAATCTGGCTTGAGTTCCTAGATGGCTAACCTTTATGCCCAGCCTCAGAGTCTACCCCAAGGCCCCACCTAGGCATAGAGATGTTCACGTCTGCATATTTTGGCAGAGCACAGGGACTAGATTTACCAGACCCAAGAGTTCAAACAGTGGCTCTGCTCAGCCTTAGAGCTGATTCCAAGGACCTGCCCAGGGAGGGAAATGCCCACCACTCAGCATTTCAAAAGAGCACAGAGGCAAAGGCCAAACCTGCCCAATCCAATAATCCAAATAGTGGCTCTGCCCAGCCTCAGAGCCCACACCAGGGTCCTTCCCAGGCAGGGAGACACCTGCCACTGCACATTTTTAATGATTATAGCTTCTGGACCCATCCATCTCAAGCAGTGACTCCCCCTAATCTCACAAGCCAGCCTGTAGCCTTGCCCAATTGCAAAACCCAAATAGAGGAAACAGCCAGGAAATATACCCTGTGACACTGCCTAATCAGAGGTGATGGCAGTGCCCAGCCAGCAGCTCCACCTAATTATAAGAGCTCAGCCAGTGGTCTCAGCAGACAGTGAAGCCCAGCCAGCAACTCTACCTGACCTCAGAACTAAGAGAGCAGCCCAGCCAACTAGAGAGCCCAACAGCAAGCTCTGCCCACCAGGATCATTAGCAACTGGCCAATCCAGAATCACAGGCTATACTCCATAATGAAGATTGATCTCTGCCAAACACCTGTAAAGGCTGAAAAAGGTGGCTGTCTCCTCAAATGTGTAGAGACAGCAATGTAAGGCCAAAGGATTATGACAAATCAGGGAAATGTGACACCACAAAAAGAAACAAACAAAGCCCCAACAATGGATCCTAAAGAAAGATCTACCATGACTGATGAAGAATTCAGAATAATCCCCTTAAGTAAATTCAGTGAACCACAAAAATATAGGATAGAAAATTAAATAAAATTTGGAAAATAATACATGAACAAAATGGGAAATTTGACAAAGAAATATAAATAATTTTAAAAAATAAAAATCCTAGAGATGAAGAAGATGACTGAAATAAATTCCACGGAAAGCTTCTGTAGCAGACTCAATTAAGCTAAATAAATAATCAATGAGCTAGAAGAGCAAATATTTGAAATTATTCAATCAGAGGAACAAAAAGTAAAATGAATGAAGAAAGCCCACAGGAATTATGGGATGCATCAAGAGAACAAACATTTTCATAATAAGAATTTCAGAAGGAGAAGAAAGAATGAGAGCCAGAAAGCATGTTTAAAGGAATAATGGCTGAAACCCTTCCTTAAATGGGAAAAGATGCTAACATTTAGGTATAGAGAATATAGAGGTTTCCAATCAGATACAACCCCCCTCAAAAAGGTCACCATGACACACAAACTATCAAACTATCAAAAATCAAAAACAAAGAAAAAATTCCGACAGCAGCAATAAATTTTTAAAAATCACATACAAAAGAGTTCTAATACAGCTATCAGCGGACTTCTCAGCAGAAGTCTTACAAAGCAGGAAGGAGTGACATGATATAGTCAAAGTGCTGAAGGACAAAAAAATCTGCCAACCAAGAATACTGTACCTGGCAAAGCTGTCCTTCAGAAATGAGGGAGAAATAAAAGTTTTCCCAGACAAACAAAAGCTAAGGGACTTCATCACCACTAGTGCTGCTTTATAGGAATTGCTAAAGGAATTTTGTTAAGCTGAAATAAAATCCACTAATTAACAACATAAAACATATGAAAGCCCAAAATTCAATAATATAAGTAGTACAGAGCCATATTCAGAATATTCTAGAATTGTAATGGTGGTACATAAAGCAATTTGATCTCTAATACGAGGTTTAAAAAGCAAAACTATTAAAAACAACTATAGCTAAAATAAATCATCAATGGATACAAGTTACAAAAGGATGTAAATTTTGACACCAAAAACATAAAATGATGGGGGGTAAAGGTGTAGAGTTGTTGTACGAGATAGAGTTAAGTTCTGATCAGCTTGAAATAGCCTATTATAACTACAAGATAGTTTTTCTAAGCCCCTGGGTAGCCACAAAGCAAAAATTTACAGTAGATACACAAATGTATATAGAAAGGATTCAAAGAATACCACTACAGGCTTGGTGTGGTGGCTCATGCCTGTCATCCCAGCATTTTGGGAGGCCAAGGTGGGCAGATCACTTGAGGTCAGGTGTTCGAGACCAGCCTGGCCAACATGGTGAAACCCCATTTCTACTAAAATACAAAAAGTTAGCCAAGTATGGTGGTGTGCACCTGTAGTCCCAGCTACTCGGGAGGCTGAGGCAGGAGAATCACTTGAACCCAGGAGGTGGAGGTCGCAATTGCAGTGAGCTGAGATCATGCTGCTGCACTCCAGCCTGGGTGACAGAGCAAGACTATGTCTCAAAAATAAACAAATAAATAAATAAACAAACAAACAAAGAATACCACTACAGAAAACAATCAAACCACAAAAAAACAACAGCAGGAAAGGAAGAAACAAATAATCTACAAATCAACCAGAAAACAAACTACAAAATGGCAGTTATGTAAGTCCTTACCCATCAATAATTACTCTGAATGCAAATGGATTAAATTCTCCAATAAAAAGATATGGCTGAATGGATTTAAAAACAAATCTCAACTATATACTCCCTTCAGGAGACTCATCTCTCTTTTAAGAATACACATAGACTGAAAGTGAAGGAATGGAAAATGATATTCCATGCAAAAAGAAACCAAAAGAGAGCAGGAGTAGCTATACTTATGTTGGACAAAATATAGACTTCAAGGCAAAAGATATAATAAGAGACAAAGGACATTATATAATGATAAATATGTCAATTTATCAAGAGGATATAACATTTTAATAAATATGCATCCAACATTGGAGCAACTAAATATATAAAGCAAACGTTAAAAGATCTGAAGGATGAGATAAATCGCAATACGATAATAGAAAGGGACTTCAGTAATCCAATTTCAGCAATGAACAGATCATCCAGACAGAAAGTTAAAAAGGAAATATTGGACTTAAACTACACTTTAGACCAAATGGACTTAACAAACATATATAGAATGTTCCATCCAACAGCAACAGAATACACATTCTTCTCAAGTGCACATGAAACATCCTCCAGGACAGAACATAAATTATGTCACAAAGCAAGTCTTAGCAAATTTAAGAAGATTGAAATTATGTAAGTAACTTCTCCAACCATGATGGTGTGAAACTGGAAATAAATAACAGGAGAAATCTTGGAAAATTCACAAATATGTGAAAATTAAACAATATGCTTAAACAACTAATGGGCCAAAGGAGAAATCAAAAGGGAAATTTTAAAATATATTTTTAAAAAATTATGTTCTTTGCAACAACATGGATGCAGCTGGAAGACATTATCCTAAGCAAATTAACTCAGGAACAGAAAACCAAATACATGCTCTCACTTATAAGAGGGAGCTAAACACTGGGTACTCATTGATATAAAGATGGCAACAATAGAATCTGGAGACTACTAGGGGGTGCAGGAGAGCAAGGGCTGAAAAACTACTATTAGGTACTGTGCTCATTACCTGGGTGACAGGATCGTTTGTACCCTAAACCTCTGCATCACGAAATATACCCAGGTAACAAACCTGCACATGTACCTCCTGAATCTAAAATAAAAGGTGAAAAAAAGAAATAAAAATGTTTCCAAGCCACAAATAGGGTATTTCAGAGTAAAGTCTCAAAAGTCCAGCAAGATTAATGAATCAAAAAATAACTGGTAGATTTTTCTGCACACTTTTTTCAGTTAAATATAAAGACAATGACCCATGTGGCTGTTAGAATATCCTTATATTACCAGTGTTTTAAAACTGCCACCTTGACTTATAAGTAACAAAATTATGATTTAGAGAAAAACCCACTTTTTGGTAGTAAGAGTAAATAAATACTTTGAAATACAGTAGTCAGAGACTCCACCAAAAACTGTTATAACTAATAAAAGTTGCAGAATACAAAATCAATACACAAAATCAGTAGCATTTCTATACACTAATAGTGAACTATCTAAAAAAGAAATCAAGACAACATTCCCATTTGCGATAGCTACAAAAAATAAATAAAATAGGAATAAATTTAATCAAGGAATTGAAAAATCTGTACTCTCAAACCTATAAGACATTGATAAAAGAAATTGAAAAATACACAAATAAATGGAAAGATATTCCATGTTCATGGATTGGAAGAATTAATATTGTTAAAATATCCCTACTACCTAAAGTGGTCTACTGATTCAGTGCAATCCCTATCAAAATACCAATGTCATTTTTCACAGAAATAGAATAAACAATCCCAAAATTCATATGGACTCACACACACAAAAACAACCCAAATAGCTAAGGCTTGTTCTTCTTGAGCAAGAAGAACAAACCTGGAGGCATCATACTACCTGACATCAAACTATATTACAAAGCTATGGTAGTTAAAAAGGCATGGGACTGGCATAAAAAATACACATATTGACCAATGGAACAGAATAGAGAGCCCAGAAATGAACCCACACATTTACAATCAATTGATTTTTGACATGGGTGCCAATAACTAACACAATGGGAAAAGAACAGTCTTTTCAATAAAGGGTGTTGAGAAAACTAAATATCCACATGCATAAGAATGGAATTGGACCCTTATATCATACACAAATAAACTCAAAATGCATTAAAGACTTAAATGTATGACCTAAAGCTGTAAAACTATTGGAAGAAAATATAGGGGAAAAGCTCCTTGACATTGGTCTGGACAATGCTTGTTTTTACCCTAAAAGCTCAGGAAACAAAAGCAAAAATAGACAAATTGGATTACATCTAACCGAAAAGCTTCTACACAAAAAAGAAACAATTAACAGAGTGAAGAGACAACCTATGGATTGGGAGAAAATATTTTCAAGCCATACATCTGACAAGACGTTAATGTCCAAAATATATAAAGAACTCCTACAACTCAACAGCAGAAAAACAAATAACCCGACTTTAAAATGGGTGAAGAACCTGAATAGACATTTCTCAAAAGAAGACATACAAGTGGCCAACAGATTTATGAAAAATTGTCAACATCACTAATCATTAGGGAAATACAAATTTAAAACCACTGTGAGATATTCTCTCACACCTGTCAGGATGGCTATTACCAAAAAGATGAAAGATAAGTGTTGAGGATGTGCCAAAAGGGAAACCACAGTACGCTATTGCTGGGAATATAAATTAGTACAGTGCAGCCATTATGTACAACTCTATGTACATTCCTCAAAAAACTAAAAACAGAACTACCATATAATCTAGCAATCCCACTTCTGAATATATATCCAAACAATTTGAAATCAGTATGTTGAAGAGACACTTGCACTCCCATGTTCATTGCAGTGATATTCACAATAGTCAAGATATGGAAGCAACCTAAGTGTCCACTAATAGATGAATGGATAAAGAAAATGCAGTACATATACAGAATGGAATACTATTCAATTTTTTAAAAGAAGGAAATTCTGTCATTTGTGACAACATGGATGAACCTGGAAGAAATTACACTAAGAGAAATAAGCCAGGCACAGAAAGACAAGTACCACATGATCTCACTTGTATGTGAGTCTAAATCAAACTCATAGAAGAAGCAGAGAGGAGAAAGGTCGTTAACAGAGGTTAGGAGGTGAGGGGAATTAGGAGATGTTAGTCAAAGCATACAGTTTCACTTAGATAGAAGGAATGAGTTTTTTGAGATCTATTGCACAGCATGATGACTATCGTTAATAATGATATAATGTATATTTCAAAATTGCTAAGAGAGTAAATTTCAAATGTTCTCACCACAAAAATGAATAAGCATTTAAGGTGATGGATATGTCAATTAGCTTGACTTAAGCATTTTACATTGTATACATATATCATAACAACACTTTGTACCCCATAAATATATACAATTTTTAAAATTAACAAAATAAATATTTTGGTTATAAAACATACTTTTTATGTAAAAATTTTAAAAAATAAAAGAATCTATTACATTTTAGGCACCATGCTACACACTTAGGATGCAATAATAGCCAAGACAAACCCTGCCCTCACCAAGCTTAAGGGCTAAAATTTGGGAGACATACAATTAAAACAATTGCAATAATGTGTGATACATTTTGCAAGAGATTAACCTCTCAAGTGGCTGTGACAGTATGGTGGAGGGACATTTATTCTGGATTTAGGAAAGGGTGTGAACTTAGGAAAAATTCACAGAGGTGATAAAATTACAGCTAAAACCAGAAGGATGAGTTAGCCTAGTATTGTGCAGGCTGTGAACATGGCATATATTGGAAACTGAACCAATTTCATTACAGTTGGAGTATTAACTCAAAAGAGAGAGATCTGGTTTAAAAAAAATAAGGGTGGATAAGTCGACAAACACCAGGTCATGAAAGGTTTTCTAAGACGCGTTAAGAAATTCAGACATTTTTCTTAGGCAATGGGAAGCCACTAAAGGCTTTTGAGGAGGGAAGTGACATGATCAGATTTATAGTTTAAAAAGACACTATAGCTGCTACATACAGAGCAGGTTGGAGGAGAGGGCAAGAGTGGAAGCAGGAAGACCAATTAGGAGGTCATTGCAGTTGCCCAACAGAGGAATGATGGTAGCCTGGAGGAGAGTGGTAGTCCACAGTGCAGTGGTGGAAATGTAGAAGAGTGGAGATATTCAAGTGATATTTAGGAGATAAGATGAACAGGACCTGGCAATTGACTGAATGTGGAAGAGGTGAAAAAGGAAGGTGTCAAGGATGAGTCCTTGATTTAGGACATAAGCAACTGGGTGATTCGTGATGACATTCACTGAGATAAAGAGCACTGGAGAAGGAGCAAACAAGGGTAGCTGGAGGAAGAGAAAAAAGATGAGTTTAGTTTTGGAATTCTTTTTTTCTAGAAGTTGTACAATTTTATTTTTATATTTGTCTCTGTGATCCATTTTTTTTAATTATAAGTTCTGGGATACATGTGCAGAAGGTGCAGGTTTGTTACATAGCTATACACGTGCCATGGTGGTTTGTTGCACCCATCAACCCATCATCTACATTAGGTATTTCTCCTAATGCTATCCCTCCTCTAGTCCCCCACCCCCAATAGGCCCCGGTGTGTGATGTTCCCCTCTCTGTGTGCATGTGTTCTCATTGTTCAAGACCCACTTATGAGTGAGAACATGCAGTGTTTGGTTTTCTGTTCCTGTGTTAGTTTGCTGAGAAGGATGGTTTCCAGCTTCATCCACGTCCCTGCAAAGGACATGAACTCATCGTTTTTTATGGCTGCATAGTTTTCCATGGTATATATGGGCCACATTTTCTTTATCCAGTCTATCCTTGATGGGCATTTGGGTTGGTTCCAAGTCTTTGCTATTGTGAACAGTGCTGCAATAAACACATGTGTGCGTGTGTCTTTATAGTAGAATGATTTGTAATCCTTTGGGTACGTACCCAGTAATGGGATTGCTGGGTTCAATGGTATTTCTGGTTCTACATCCTTGAGGAATTGCCACACTGTCTTCCACACTGGATGAACTAATTTACACTCCCACCAACAGTGTAAAAGCATTCCTATTTCTCCGCATCCTCTCCAGCATCTGTTGTTTCCTGACTTTTTAATGACTGCCATTCTAACTGGAGTGAGTGGGTATCTCATTGTGGTTTTGATTTGCATTCTCTAGTGACCAGTGATGATGAGCTTTTTTACATATGTTAGTTGGCTGCATAAATGTCTTCTTTTTTTTATCTCTTAAAATTTTTTTTCTTTTTTTTTATTATTATTATACTTTAAGTTTTAGGGTACATGTGCACAATGTGCAGGTTAGTTACATATGTATACATGTGCCATGCTGGTGCCCTGCACCCACTAACTCGTCATCTAGCATTAGGTATATCTCCCAATGCTATCCCTCCCCCCTCCCCCCACCCCACAACAGTCCCCAGAGTGTGATGTTCCCCTTCCTGTGTCCATGTGTTCTCATTGTTCACTTCCCACCTATGAGTGAGAATATGTGGTGTTTGGTTTTTTGTCCTGGCGATAGTTTACTGAGAATGATGATTTCCAGTTTCATCCATGTCCCTACAAAGGACATGAACTCATCATTTTTTATGGCTGCATAGTATTCCATGGTGTATATGTGCCATATTTTCGTAATCCAGCCTATCATTGTTGGACATTTGGGTTGGTTCCAAGTCTTTGCTATTGTGAGTAGTGCCACAATAAACATACGTGTGCATGTGTCTTTATAGCAGCATGATTTATAGTCCTTCGGGTATATACCCAGTAATGGGATGGCTGGGTCAAATGGTATTTCTAGTTCTAGATCCCTGAGGAATCGCCACACTGACTTCCACAATGGTTGAACTAGTTTACAGTCCCACCAACAGTGTAAAAGTGTTCCTATTTCTCCACATCCTCTCCAGCACCTGTTGTTTCCTGACTTTTTAATGATTGCCATTCTAACTGGTGTGAGATGGTATCTCATTGTGGTTTTGATTTGCATTTCTCTGACGGCCAGTGATGGTGAGCATTTTTTCATGTGTTTTTTGTCTGCATAAATGTCTTCTTTTGAGAAATGTCTTCTTTTGAGAAGTGGCTGTTCATATCCTTTGCCCACTTTTTGATGGGGATTTTTTAAAATTTTACTTCAAGTTCCGAGATACAAGTGCAGAATATGCAGGTTATTACATAGGTATACATGTGCCATGGTGGTTTGCTGCACCTATCAACCTGTCACCTAGGTTTTAAGCCCCACATGCATTGGCTATTTGTCCTGATGCTTTCCCTCCCCTTGCCCCACCCCCGACAGGCCTCACTGTGTGTTGCTCCCCCACTGTGTCCATGTGTTCTCATTGTTTGACTCCCACTTTGGAGTGAGAACATGTGGTGTTTGGTTTCCCGTTCCTGTGTTAGTTTGCTGAGGATAATAGCTTCTAGCTTCATCCATGTCCCTGCAAACGACGTGACCTCATTCCTTTTTATGGCTGAAAAGTATTCCATGGTGTATATGTACCAAATTTTCTTTATAGTTTTAGAAATTTTGAGTATGCAGTACATGCGATATATGCAGATGGGAATGCCTAGTCAATAATAGAGTCAGTAACAGGGCCGGAAATGTAACTTGAGAGTTATCATGATATAGAAATTATACTGTACTTGAAGCCATCAAATGAGATTGCAAAGGCAGAGAATGTAGGATAACAAGTAAAAAGGTGTGAGGCTCAAGTCCTGAGAAATCCAGCATTTAAAGTTTAGGTGTAAGAGAATGAATACCCAAATGAGACTGAGAGGAAGAGGCCAGAGAAGTAAAAGGAAAACCTGGAGAGCTGTATCACAAAAAACATGTTAAGGGAGTGTGTTGGGCAATGGGGAGTAGTCAACAATGCAGTATGCTGCTGAGAAGCCAAGCAAGATGGGGACTAAGTGCTTCCTGGATTTAATGACATTAAGATAATTTTCTATTCCTGGGTCTCAGTCTTCTCACTCTTAAAATGTAGTGATTGCTCTGAACTTGATTTCACTCAAATGCAATCAAAGTACTTTCACTTGGCCAGGCGCTGTGGCTCATGCCTGTAATCCCAGCACTTTGGGAGGCCGAGGCACACGGATCACTTGAGGTCAGGAGTTCAAGACCAGCCTTGGCCAACATGGTGAAACCCCATCTCTACTAAAAATACAAAAATTAGCCTGGCATGGTGGTGCATGCTTGTAGTCCCAACTACTTGGGAGGCTGAGGCAGGAGAATCATTTGAACCTGGGAGGCAGAGGTTGTAGTGAGCTGAGATTGCACCACTGCACTGCCTGGGTGACAGAGTGAGACTCCGTCTCAAAAAAATAAATAAATAAATAAGCAAGAAATACACAAAAAACAAATTACTTTTGTCTGTTTTACATATTGAGCTTCTTAACATATGATTCCATCTGATGAAAGAATTCCATAGATTTTTTTTAAATCTAATGAAAACTATAGGATACTGGACTAGATATTCCAGTTCCAGCTGGAATGTTAGCAATGCCCTTCCAGCTCTAATATTCTGGATTCTATCCATTCAAGACATACCCCAATCTAAACTTACCTTACTTTAATAATATCTCCAAATGGCTCCTAGTATGGAACTTCAACCCTATCAGTCCAGCCTCCTTATAACTGCCAACCTCATGTTAGTTTCTGTGCCTCTCTTTTACTTCTATGTCCATCAAAATCCTTCCAAATAAATCATGAGACCTCATCCTCTCTCAAAGGCTTTTCTTGATGCCAATTCACACTGACTGTATGTTCCCCTGTCCTTGTTTTAGCAATTATTCTGTACTACCTCTAACTTAATAGTGCTCTGTTTGAGGTACATTAGTCTTATCACCCCAGTGAGATTGTAAACTCCCCTGGAGCACTGACCATGTATTTGCTTGCCTATCCCTCATCCTTGACACAGGCTACATGCTCAGCAAGTACCTAATAAATACCATTTGGCATGCAGCCTGTCTTTTTATCTGTTAAGGCAGCAAGACCAAGCTCTACACTGTTATTTGTGGTATGCTTATTGCAAAGAATTTTTATCACTTTCTATGGTATTTGCCATGGTTAGTGGGGTAAGACAAGGAAATGTCAATATTTTAATTGCAGTAAAGCACAAAAAAAAAACAAGCAAATGCCACAGGAAAGAAAGCAACATTAGGCACTATGCTCAGGAATCTGAGACCTTTGTTACAAACCGTCAAACCCCAGCATGAGCCTAGCCTTGAAAATGAACATTTCACACCGAGAGGCACTCACTTTTAAAGAAAGTCATGTTTGAGGTCATAGCTAGTGGACTGTATTGCTTTAATAGGGACTATATAAAAATCATACATTTTCTAAACAAGGGCTGTGGGAATGACTTTGCCTTGACTTGTGGTGCATTTACCCTGAAAGGAAAACAAGTCAACATGGTTGAGGCTTTCATCAAGCTATAAAAGTTGATGGGGCCAATTATCTCCCTTCTGAAACTCAGCCAATATAAAGAGAAGAAAAGAAATGGTTTGGAAATGGAGATAAGGCGATGATAGAGGAATGAGTGGCATCCAGGCAGTCTCTGACTTTCACAGCAGCTCACAAAGAAGAGGACGCCTTTCTGGGAGAACAAAATTCAACTGATGCCAGTCAGCTTTTATGAAGCATTTTGTGTTTTGATAAGCCTTTGTGTTGAGCCTTGTTGGGGATGAAATTAAAACACAGGTTTCATTAATTTTTTGAAGGGTTTTTTGTGTCTCTATTTCCTTCAGTTCTGCTCTGATTTTAGTTATTTCTTGCCTTCTGCTAGCTTTTGAATGTGTTTGCTCTTGCTTTTCTAGTTCTTTTAATTGTGATCTTAGGGTGTCAATTTTGGATCTTTCCTGCTTTCTCTTGTGGGCATTTAGTGCTATAAATTTCCCTCTACACACTGCTTTGAATGCGTCCCAGAGATTCTGGTATGTAGTGTCTTTGTTCTCATTGGTTTCAAAGAACATCTTTATTTCTGCCTTCATTTCATTATGTACCCAGTAGTCAAAAATTAATGAATCCAGAAGCTGGTTTTTTGAAAGGACCAACAAAATTGATAGACTGCTAGCAAGATTAAAAAGAAAAAAAGAGAGAAGAATCAAATAGACGCAATAAAAAATGATAAAGGGGATATCACCACCTATCCCACAGAAAGACAAACTACCATCAGAGAATACTACAAACACCTCTACGCAAATAAACTAGAAAATCTAGAAGAAATGGATAAATTCCTCCACACATACACTCTCCCAAGACTAAACCAGGAAGAAGTTGAATCTCTGAATAGACCAATAACAGGAGCTGAAGTTGTGGCACTAATCAATAGCTTACCAATGAAAAAGAGTCCAGGACCAGATGGATTCACAGCCGAATTCTACCAGAGGTACAAGGAGGAACTGGTACCATTCCTTCTGAAACTATTCCAATCAATAGAAAAAGAGGGAATCCTCCCCAACTCATTTTATGAGGCCAGCATCATCCTGATACCAAAGCTGGGCAGAGACACAACCAAAAAAGAGAATTTTAGACCAATATCCTTGAACATTGATGCCAAAATCCTCAATAAAATACTGGCAAACCGAATCCAGCAGCACATCAAAAAGCTTATCCACCATGATCAAGTGGGCTTCATCCCTGGGATGCAAGGCTGGTTCAATATATGCAAATCAATAAATGTAATCCAGCATATAAACAGAACCAAAGACAAAAACCACACGATTACCTCAATAGATGCAGAAAAGGCCTTTGACAAAATTCAACAACCTTCATGATAAAAACTCTCAAGAAATTAGGTATTGATGGGATGTATCTGAAAATAATAAAAGCTATCTATGACAAACCCACAGCCAAGATCATACTGAATGGGCAAAAACTGGAAGCATTCCCTTTGAAAACTGGCACAAGACAGGGATGCCCTCTCTCACCACTCCTTTCAACATAGTGTTGGAAGTTCTGGCCAGGGCAATTAGGCAGGAGAAGGAAATAAAGGGTATTCAACTAGGATAAGAGGAAGTCAAATTGTCCCTGTTTGCAGATGACATGATTGTATATCTAGAAAACCCCATTGTCTCAGCCCAAAATCTCCTTAAGCTGATAAGCAACTTCAGCAAAGTCTCAGGATACAAAATCAATGTACAAAAATCACAAGCATTCTTATACACCAACAACAGACAAACAGAGAGCCAAATCATGAGTGAACTCCCATTCACAATTGCTTCAAAGAGAATAAAATACCTAGGAATCCAACTTACAAGGGATGTGAAGGACCTCTTCAAGGAGAACTACAAACCACTGCTCAATGAAATAAAAGAGGACACAAACAAATGGAAGAACATTCCATGCTCATGGGTAGGAAGAATCAATGTCATGAAAATGGCCATACTGCCAAAGGTAATTTACAGATTCAATGCCATCCCCATCAAGCTACCAATGACTTTCTTCACAGAATTGGAAAAAACTACTTTAAAGTTCATATGGAACCAAAAAAGAGCCCGCATCACCAAGTCAATCCTAAGCCAAAAGAACAAAGCTGGAGGCATCACACTACCTGACTTCAAACTATACTACAAGGTTACAGTAACCAAAAGAGCATGGTACTGGTACCAAAACAGAGATATAGATCAATGGAACAGAACAGAGCCCTCAGAAATAATGCCACATATCTACAACTCTCTGATCTTTGACAAACCTGAGAAAAACAAGCAATGGGGAAAGGATTCCCTATTTAATAAATGGTGCTGGGAAAACTGGCTAGCCATATGTAGAAAGCTGAAACTGGATCCCTTCCTTACACCTTATACAAAAATCAATTCAAGATGGATTAAAGACTTAAACGTTAGACCTAAAACCATAAAAACCCTAGAAGAAAACCTAGGCATTACCATTCAGGACATAGGCATGGGCAAGGACTTCATGTCTAAAACACCAAAAGCAATGGCAACAAAAGCCAAAATTGACAAATGGGATCTAATTCAACTAAAGAGCTTCTGCACAGCAAAAGAAACTACCATCAGAGTGAACAGGCAACTTACAAAATGGGAGAAAATTTTCGCAACCTACTCATCTGACAAAGGGCTAATATCAAGAATCTACAATGAACTCAAACAAATTTACAAGAAAAAACCAAACAACCCCATCAAAAAGTGGGTGAAGGACATGAACAGACACTTCTCAAAAGAAGACATTTATGCAGCCAAAAAACACATGAAAAAATGCTCACCATCACTGGCCATCAGAGAAATGCAAATCAAAACCACAGTGAGATACCATCTCACACCAGTTAGAATGGCAATCGTTAAAAAGTCAGGAAACAACAGGTGCTGAAGAGGATGTGGAGAAATAGGAACACTTTTACACTGTTGGTGGGACTGTGAACTAGTTCAACCATTGTGGAAGTCAGTGTGGCGATTCCTCAGGGATCCAGAACTAGAAATACCATTTGACCCAGCCATCCCATTACTGGGTATATACCCGAAGGACTATAAATCATGCTGCTATAAAGACACATGCACACATATGTTTATTGCGGCATTATTCACGATAGCAAAGACTTGGAACCAACCCAAATGTCCAACAATGATAGACTGGATTAAGAAAATGTGGCACATAGACACCATGGAATACTATGCAGCCATAAAAAATGATGAGTTCATGTCCTTTGTAGGGACGTGGATGAAATTGGGAATCATCATTCTCAGTAAACTATCGCAAGAACAAAAAACCAAACACCACATATTCTCACTCATAGGTGGGAAGTGAACAATGAGAACACATGGACACAGGAAGGGGAACATCACACTCTGGGGACTGTTGTGGGGTGGGGGGATGGGGGAGGGATAGCATCGGGAGATATACCTAATGCTAGATGATGAGTTAGTGGGTGCAGCGCACCAGCATGGCACATGTATACATATGTAACTAACCTGCACATTGTGCACATGTACCCTAAAACTTAAAGTATAATAATAATAAATTTAAAAAAAAAGAAATTCGTCATTCGAAACATAGTGGAGGCCACAGCAGTCAGGGACATTTCTGAAGCGAGAGTCTTTGATGCCTACGTGCTTCCCAAGCTTTATGTGAAGCTACATTACTGTGTGAGTTGTACAATTCACAGCAAAGTAGTCAGGAATCGATCTCGTGAAGCCCACAAGGACTGAACACCCCCACCCCTATTTAGACCTGCGGGTGCTGCTCCACTTCCCCCACCAAAGCCCTTGTAAGGAGCTAAGTTCTTAAAGACTGGAGACAGACTATTCTCTGGAGAAAAATAAAATGGAAATTCTACTTAAAAAAAAAAAAAAAAAAAAACACAGGTTTCCTGGTCCTTGCTCTAGAGAAACACAGTGTAATTGGTGAAACCAAGACAAAGATATATAAAATAACAAAAGGACATTTACAAAGTGATATGAACTGAAACAAAATATAAATTAGCTTCAAGTATTCAGGAAATGGGAAGTCAAGGAATCACAATATGTTGTGTATGTGTATTCACATGTTTAGTGTGACCACTTGTGTCTGTTGGGGCGACAGTGGTGTAGTCATCTGGGAAACAGAGCTTTACCCTAAGGAAGCATATGAGCTAGACTGTTGGAGGAAATGGGGCATTCTCTTTAACATTATGAGGAATAGGTGCAGAGGAAAAAATCAAGGTATGTGATGAAAAGGAAATAAATCATGCTATTAGGCTAGTGGGCCTTTGTGAGCCAGGCTAGGGTTTGGGAGTTGGACAATGAGCATTCAAAGATTGTCGGTGGGAAAGAAGTTGGATAGATCAGTTGAGACTAGTTGAGGAAGAGCTTCAAAGCCCCCAGAGAACATTATACTTATGGTGAAAGAATGAAAACTTTCTCTCACAGGTCAGGAACAGACAAGCATGCCCACTTTCACTTCTATTCAACATTGTACTCTGGTTTCTACCTCAAGCAATCAGGCAAGAAAAAGAAATAAAAGGCAACCAGACTGGAGAGAAGGAAGTAAAGCTGTTTCTATTCACATAAAAAATGATCATGTATATAGAAAATTGTAAGGAATTCACTAAAAACCTATTAGCACTAATAAATCAAGGTTGTAGGATACAAGTTAAATTTACAAAAATCAATTGTATTTCTATACACTTGCAATGAACAATCCAAAAACGAAATTAAGAAAACTATTTCATGTATAATAGCATCAAAAAGAATACTTAGGAACAAAGTTTAAAAGAAGTGCAAAACTTTACTCTAAACACTACAAAGAAAGCATTGTTGAAAGAAATTAAATATCTAAATAAATGCAAAAACATTCTGTGTTCATGGAGTAGAAGACTTGATATTGTTAAGATGGCATACTGCCCAAATTGATGTATAGATTCAACATAATCTCTCTCCAAATCCCAGCTGAATTCCTTGTACAAATTGACAAGCTAATTCTAAAATTTATATGAAATTGCAAGGCTCCCAGAATAACCAAAACAATCTTGACAAAGAAGAGCAAAGCAGGAAGACAGGAAGACTCATGTTTTCTGATTTCAAAACTTACTGAAAAGCAATGATAGGACAATATCAGTATTGGCATAGGACAGACACCTATATCAATGGAATAGAATTATGAGTCCAGAAGTAAAACCATACATCTAGGACTAGCTGATTTTCTACAAGGATGCCAAGACCATTGAATGGAGAAAAATGTTCTTTTCAATAAATGGTGCAGAGACAACCGGATAACCACATGCAAAAGAATAAAGTTGGACCCAAGCCTCACATCCTACACAAAACTTAACTCAAAATGGATCAAAGACATAAATGTAAGAGCCGAATTGTAATATTCTTAGAAGGAAACATAGAGATAAATCTTCATGAACTTGGATTTGGCAAAGGGTTCTTAGATATGACATGAAAAGCATGAGCAAAAAAAGAAAAAATAGATAATTAGTACTTCATCAAATTTTAAAACTTTTATGCTTCAAAGGACATGAAGATAAAAGTGAAAAGAGAACCAACAGAATGGGAAAAAATATTTGCCAGTCACATATTTGATAAGGGACTTGTATCTGGACTGTACAAAGAATTCTTATAACTCAACAATAAAAAGCAAATAACTCAATTAAAAATATGGTCAAAGATCTGAATAGACATTTCTCTGAAGGAGATACACAAATAGCCACTAAGCACATGAAAAGGTGCTCGATACCATTTGCCATTAAGGGAATGTAAATCAAAACCACAATGAGATACTACTTTACACCCAGTCTGACAGCTGTAACGTAAAAAAAAAAAAAAAAAAAAAAAAAAAAAAAAAGGTGAACAGTAACAAAATGTTGGGATGATATGAGAAATTGGAACATTCATACATTTCTGTGGGAATGTAAAATGGTACCGTCACTATGAAAAACTATCTGGCAGTTCCTCAAACAGTAAAATACAAAGTTTCTATGTGACCTGGCAATTCAATCCCTGGCAATATACCCAAGAGAACTGAAAACGTATGTCCACACAAAAGTTACAGACCAATGTTCATAGTAGCATTATCCATAATTACCCCAAAGTGGAAACAACTCAAATGTCCATCAACTGGATAGACAAAGTACAGTATATCTACACAATGGAATATTATTCAACCATAAAAAAGAATAAAAGAGGGTACTAAAACATGCTAACATGGATCAACCTTGAAAACATTTTTATAAGTGAAAGAATAGTCACGAAGAACCACATATCACATGATTCCATTTATATGTAATGTCCAGAGTGGGCGTATATACAGAGACATAAAGTAGATTAGTGGTTGCTTAGGGATAGAGCAGGAAGGGGGAAAATATAGAGTGACTACTGATGAGTATGGAGTTTCTTTTAAGGGGAATGACAATTTTTAAAAATTATCTTGTAATGATGGTTGTACAAACCTGTGCACATACTAAAAACCATAAGTTGTATACTTTAATGGGTGAACTGATATGGTATGTGGTACAGTATATTTCAATAAAGCCATTCTTGTGAGTTGAATTATGTCTCCCAAAAAGATATGTTGAAATCCTAAACCCTGGTACCTATGAATGTGAACTTATTTGGAAATAGGGTCTTTGCAGATGTAACTAAGTTAAGATGAAGTCATTAGGTTGATCCCTAATCCAATATGACTGGTGTTCTCATAGGAAGAGGGAAATCTGAACAAAGACACACAAAGAGACTGCCATGTGAGAATGGCAGCAGAGACGAGTGATGCAGCTGCAAGCCAAGAAACACCAAGAACTGGTCACCACCAGAAGCTAAGGAGAGGCAAAGAAGTGTTCTACCTAGAGTCTCAGACGTAGCGTGGCTCTACTGAATCGTTTACTTCAGACTTCTACTCTCCAGAAGCATGAGACAATTAATTTCCATTGTTTTAAGCCACCCAGTTTGTGATATTTGGTATGGCAGCTCAAGGAAACTGATACAGCTTTTTAAAAAATACAACAACCCGTTGAGTTTTAACTTGTATGAGATATCAGAAATAACACCGGACTAGGAGTTAAAGGACCTACATTTTTGTCCCAACTCTCTTCTAACTCACTGACACTGACATTGGGCAAGTCACCAACTTTCTCTGTTTTTCCCCTTTTACAAAATGCAGGGATTGGCTTGCATGTTCACTAAGGTCCCCTCGAGGATGACACGCCCCATTAATAGAACTCTTCATTTTACAATTCTGAAAATGTTAGCATAGGACCCCAAATTCAAATGACACCAATAAAAAGTAAAATATTTTCCAAATAAATTAACTTCTTCCGTTTTGAAATTCTTTTGCTCATCTTGACATCTCACTGGAATGAAATCACTCCATTTCTTCTTAGCTCCTATAGGAATATGAAGCCATTCCCCAAGCCTCGTGGGGACTAACTAGCAACTGGGACATAACATTGTTGCTGAGACAATGTAAATTAAACTCCATTTGTCCTTTCTCTTATGCCTTATAAATGTAGAACTCCTTTTCAAGAATTGTGCTTTTATAAAACCTGTGTGATGCCAACAACTAAGCCTCATTTAACCAAAGAAAGAAAAGTAGCATTGTCCTAGTTTTTGCTCTGCCTTGTATTCAAAGATGCCTTATATAATGTGTAAACCATTGGTTTTTATATAAAGAAATTTCATGTCGATCTCTCCTTTGCTATTAAAAATGTACAGCATATTGTTGCACAACACAGCAAGTGCTCAAAATGGCTTCTCCCTTCCATGTTTTTAAAATGTGAAACATAATACTCTTTCCTTTATGTCTCTTTTTTTTTTTTGACCTTCCTTTTATCTCTCCGGTGGTGTATTCTCTTTGCAACAAAATTCACTTGACACACTTGACACTGTATTGTAGCTCAAGAAATGAGTATACATCAGTTGCTGAATTGTGTACATGCCATAAAGATGTCTTTTCTTTAATACCCAGCCCCATGTGAAGTTTAAATTAACTTCCCCAATCACCACAAACCAGATTTTTTTTTCACTAGCTGAATATTCAGGAAGCAGTTTGGTATTTAGCTTCAAAGTAATGAACTCTTCTATCCTAAGTGCCAATCATTGGCTTTTTGGTATCTCATTATGCAGAATACCAAAGATAAAACAAAACAAAACAATTCTACAAGAGAATGACTATTAGATTGACAATGGAGGCTCAAATAAAATGGAATGATAGCTTCAAAGTGATGAGGAAAAATATCTTCTACCCTGAAGCCTATGCTTAGCTAAACAATCATTAAGAAGTGAGAGTGAACAAAATGCATTTTCAGACAAACAAGACTAAAAGCAGTTTCCTTTCAAAGACCCTTGCTGAAAGGCAACAAAAATATCTACTTCAGAAAGGAAAAAATAATAATTTCAGAATAAAAGTATAGGACAAAACAAACAATGGTGAGCATCGAAACTGAAAAACACGTTTACAAATTTAAAAAGCACTGAGTATAAAAATAAACAATAGTGATAGTTGAGGATGATTTAATAACAAAGTTAATACACTAGACAACAAGATGGAAGAAGGGGTGATGACGAGTATTTGTTTTCTTGCATTGTTTAGAAAAATACAGAGTGATTGATGTTAGACTTCGTTGTAACATTTATCTATAAACATTTAAGGGGTCACATACTGATTTAAATCTTTTTAAGTTACTAGAAGATCAGAAATAAAATGTATGACTTCCAAATGAGTAAAGGGTAAAAATAAAAATAGAGAAAACTTGATTCATAATAAGAATCATCGTTGGCAGTTCCTAAAATAGTAAAACACACAGTTACAATATGACCCAGCAATTCCACCCCTATGTATATGCCCAAGAGAACTGAAAACACAAAACCTTGTATGTGAATGTTCATAACAGTGTTATTCACAATAACCAAAGAGTAAAAACAACCCAAATGTCTATCAACAGATAAATGGACTAACAAATGGCACTATGTCTATACAACGGAATATCATTCAGCCATAAAAAGGAATGAAGTTGCCTATAAGCTGACTGAGAGAAAAAAAAGGAATGAAGTGCTGATTCTTGCTACAATATGAATGAACCTTGAAAACATTATGCTAAGCAAAAGAAGCCAGATATAAAAGCCCACATATTTTATGATTCCATTTCTGTGATGAGTCCAGAACGGGCAAATTCATAGAGACAAAAAGTAGATAAGTGATTGCCATGGGTTGGGAGAGGGGGGAATTGGAAGTGACTGTTAATGTGTATGAAGTTTCTTTATGGGATGATGAACGTGTTTTAAAATTGGATTGTAGTGATGTTTGCAAAACACTGTGAATATAACAAGAGCTATTGAATTTTACATGTTAAAAGTAGGAATTGTATAGTATGCAAATTATGCCTCAATAAATCTGTTATTAAAAAAACAATAATGTCCAAATATATCAGTAATCACAACAAAAGAAAATGAATTAAACATAGCTGTCAAAGGCCCATATCGTTTTAGAAGCAAGTTTAACCAAATGTTCAAAAATATATAATCCAGATTTTATATAAAATGCTCCAGAAGAAAAAGAAGTTAGAATTTCCAAATTATTTTGTGAATCTAGTATGCCTTGATACCAAAACTCGAAAAGAACAGTGTAAAAAGAGGACAAAAACTGGAGAATCCAACATATGATCATTAATGTAAAATCCTAAATCCAACATTAGCAAACCAAACTTAGCAATATATTATAATTTTTAAAACATTATGACCAGGTAGTATTTATCCCAGAAATATAAGATTAGTTTAACATTAGAAAATCCATGTAATTCACAAAATTAAGTGTCCAAGGGAGAAAATACACCAAATTTCGCTAGATGTAGACAAAGCATTTGATAAAATTCAACACTCATTCATATGATTTTTTAAAAAACACATCTTAGCCGACTCAGAATGAAAGGAACTTCCTTGACTTGACAAAAGGTAGCTAACAAAAATCTGCAACAAATATCATAGCTAATGGTGAAATATTAGAATCATACCCTTTAGAATCAGAAAACAAATCAAGTATCTTCATCACTATTTCTATTCAATATATACTGGAGGCACTTGTCAGAACAATAAAACAAAAAATAAAAATAAATGAATAAATGAAAGAGAATATTGTAAAAAAAAAGAAAGAAAATTGCCATTTTCACAACAAACTATTGGCACTAATAAGAGATTTCAGCAATGCTGCTGGACATCAAATCAACATACAAAATTATATATACCAGCAATAATCAATTAGAAAATATATAATACATTTTTAAATATCATTCACAACAGCAACAAAACCTGTAAGATTCTTAGAAAAAAAAGTTAACCAAGTATGCGTAGAATTATAATAGAGAAAATTATTATTCAATTATATTCCAACCAAAATCCCAACAGTGTATTTCCCACTGACCTTGACAAGCTAATTCTAAAAGTGATATGGAAGAGTATCAGGCCAAGAACAGCCAAGAAAATTTTGAAGAGAATGAGGGAAGATTCAACCTACTAGATATCAATTTATTAAAAACATATTAATTGTTAAATAATATGATACTAACATAAAAATAATCAAATAGATCAGCGGTTGGTAAACTTTGTCTGTAAAGGGCCAGAGAGTAAACATTTTAGGCTTTGCATGCCAGGGGGAAAATTTGAGGATATTGTGTACATACTTATATAACAAGAGAGGAACTCCTACCCAG
This sequence comes from Homo sapiens, assembly GCF_000001405.40. Classification (NCBI taxonomy): domain Eukaryota; kingdom Metazoa; phylum Chordata; class Mammalia; order Primates; family Hominidae; genus Homo; species Homo sapiens. The sequence continues at coordinate 129,415,530 of NC_000023.11, forward strand.
CTTCACCCCATTTGCCTGGGGTGGATAGTTCCACACAGTGAACAGGCTTTGTATCCTCTGTTGGAGACATTTTTCAGAAGATCTACTGTCCAAAGGCTAAGGTGACTATTGACCAACTATTTCAGTTTGCCTGGGACTGCCCTTGTTCTAGCCCTGAAAGTCTCAGATACTGAGTATCCCCTCCATCTCCAGAAAATCAGCATGGTTGATTGCTCTACCTAAGCGGGAAGGGAAGACAAGAAGGCAACCACCACAGTCAGTAACATCTTCAGCCCCAGCCACACCCAGACCCCAGTACATCCATCCTGCTCTCCTCTCAGAGAGCTTGGCCATCTTAACTTGGGCAGGTGGCTGGAGGCAATGCAACTCACTAAGTCACTGACTCCCAGACTGAGATTCCACTGGACTGATTCCACTGCTCCATGGGGGCAGCTGCCAACAGCAGAGCCTCCAACAAGTAGAAGGAGACTATGAGTCCTGCACAGCAGTGAGGAGTGGCTGCCATAAGGGGAGGCAAGCACTGGGAACAAGGAGGAGGACATGGGCAGAGGAGTATGGCCAAGGTTTGGCCTCCAACATTTATATTGCTAGCCTACTTGAGCAGCGCTTGTGGGCCAGATTTGACCTGAGGGATATAGTTCACTGACCCCTGAAATATGTCAGTGCTTCACATTACAGTGCCCAAAAGCAGATGTACATACATATGGGAACTTGGTATATAACAGAAGTAGCATTATAAATTAGTTGGGGAAATAATGGAGCATTCAATAAATGGTGCTGGGACGATTTGTTATCTGCAAAGGTAAGGGGAAATAAAAATTGATCCCTACCTTATATCCTATACAAAAATAAATTCCAGATGAATTAAAGACTTAAATGTGAAAAACAAATTTTCAAAAAATCTAGAATTAGAAAAGGGAGAATATCTTCATGATATAAAGGTATAAAATAAGTTATTAAACAGGGCACAATAAGCACAAACAAGAAAGAGTATCGACAAATTTGACTACATTAAATAAAAAACTTCTATATGATAAGACATCTTTAAAAAGTCAAAAGATATTCTACAGACAGGAAGAATATATTTTCAATGTATAAAATTAATAATAGATTAATATACAGCGTATATTTTTAACTTCTACAAATCAATAAGAAAAAAACAACAAACAGCCCAAATGAAAAGAATTAGACATGTAATGAATAGGCAGTTCCCAGAAGAGGACATCCTAATGGCTAATATAGGAAATATAAACAAGGATGTACAAAAATGTTAATCAGAATAAGTTGGACTTATACTACAGTAACAGATCATCCCCAAATCTCAATGGCTTAACACATAAACATTTCTTATTCATGAAAAGTCAACTATAAATTAGGCACCTCTCCAAGACAGTAGTTCTCCACGAGGTGACTCAGGAATTAAGGCTGCTATGATCATGTGGCTCCATTTTCTCCATAGCCAACTTCCATGCCCCTGATCCAAGGGCAGGGTGGTGGAGGAATGAGAGAAGGGAAGGATAGGATAGGACAGGACAGGACAGAACAGTAAAGCATAGCATAGCACAGCATAGCATAGCACAGCATAGCATAGCATAGACTGCCTCAGCCAGGAGGTGATCCACATCACTTCTGCTCACAATTTTATGGGCCAGAACTAGTCATGTGGCCCTGCAAGGGGACTGGAAAGTACAGTTTTCTGTTGTTTAGGAAGGAGAAATATGAAACAGAATTTGGTAAATGCATAGCATTGTCTCTAGCATTGTCTCTGCTATAAATGATCACTACAGTTTCCAAGACAAAAACAATATAGTTTGTAATGTAAAAAATTGAGAACGATATACCTGTCCATCAAAGTGTTAAATAAAGTAGCAAGTATATTCATTGGAATACCACAGGGAAAATGAATTAACTAGATCCATATTTCTAATATGGGTAAATCTCAAAAATAAAATGTTGAGAAAACATAAAACCATAGATAGGAGGGATAAGCACCAACCTCTAGGTAATGGCTACCTCTGAAGTGGAAAGGAGGGAGGGGAATGGCATAGTGAGAGGAGGGGGTGATGAATCTTCAGAGGTATGATGTGACATTTTGTTTCTTTTTAAAATGATATGTAGAGTAAAATGGTGGTTATCAGAGCGTGGAGGGTCTGGGGAATGGGGCAACACTGGTCAAAGGGTAGAAAGCCTCCATTAGAAAGGAGGGATAAATAATAGGTATTGAAGTTAATGGATAGTTAATTCATTTGATTCAATCATTCCACACTGTATGCATGTATCATAACATCACTGTATATGCCATAATTATATATGATTATAATATGTTTACAAATAGAAAATAAATAAGTAATAAAAATGATCTGTAAAGGCAAATTTATAGAGAAAGGAAATTGATTAGTGGTTGCCTGGGGCTGAGTGTGAAAATGGGGAGTGACTACAAATAGACACAAGAGATTTTAGGAAGGTGATGAACGCCTTCAAAAATTGGATCGTGGTGATGGTTGCACAGCTCTGTAAATCATTGAACTGTACACACTTAAAAAAGTGAATTTTATGGTATTTAAATTGTACCTAAGTAAAGCTATTTTATATCTATAGTCATACAGCAGAACATTTCTATATCTGTAATAAATCCATATTTACCTGTAATAAATATTCAAAAATGTTCTATTGTATGACTCCATTAACATAAAAATAGATGTGTACATATACAATAAAAGCTTTATTTTTCGATGAGAGGGCATAGTAGCTGGTTTCTGTCTAAAGGTCTGATGGCTCAAGTAAATTGCTTTTTGGAAAGAAAAGAACGTGAGACCTAAAGATGACATTGCTAAAGCAATAATAATAACTACTTAATATTATTCGATTTATTAATTTAGATAAAAGCATATTTAAATTTTAAGTCAGCCACGTTGATTACCCACTCTCATTTCATAAAGCCAAATCAGTGTTTTCATCTCACTAGATCACTTTTTGCATCATCTAACATAATTTTCCAGAGCACATAATTTTCACTTCCAAATAATAGCAGAACACACATTTTTTAAATGCTTCTATGATGCTCTCTCTGGAAAAAAAGTTCCCAGGCAACAAATACCTATAGGCATAACATGCATAACACTTAGACCATTTTTTCCATTAATGGTTTACTATAATGATTAAAAGTATAGCTCTGAAGCTTGACCAGCTAACATTTATTGAGGAATTTCTATGCACCAAGCCAATCAACTTTCAAAGTAACCCTCTGGGATAAATATTGTTATTTAGCCCATTTTTTAGATGGAAAAACAAGGCTCAGAGAACTTGAGTAACTAACAGCTAGTGAGAATCTGATAGCAAACCCTGAGTGCCTCTACTTTAGCTGTTCCTATCAAAAGTCTCTACCCAGGGATGTGTTATAACATTAACCACAAGGATCTAGTGGAAGGAGAGTGTTGTCCAGAGTCCTTGTCAATGTTGTCAGAGCAAAACTTTCTGCTTTGAGTTTATTCAGTGACTTCAGGTAATTTTAACACATGGAGTTGCAGAGAATTCAGATGTTTTTGCAAGAGTTTTTCAGATTGTCTTTTTTATTGATACACAATGTTTGTACATATTTATGAGATACATTTGATATTTTATTATACGCATAGCATGCATAATTATCAAGTCAGGGTATTTAAAGTATCCATCACCTAGAATATTTATCATTTCTATGAGTTGGAAACATTTCAAGTCCTCTTTTCTAGCTGTTTTGAAATATACGATGCATTGTTGTTAACTACAGTCACTCTACCCTGTTTTGAACATTAGAACTTATTCCTTCCATCTAACTGTATATTTGTACCCATTAACCAACCTCTCTTCATTGACTCCCCTACACAACCCACACATTCTTCTCAGATTTCTAGTATACATCATTCTTCTCTCTACCTCCATGAGATCAATTTTTTTTCTCCTATATGAAAACATGCGATATTTGTCTTCCTGTGCCTGGCTGTCTTGTAACAGAATGACATTCAGTTTCATCCATGTTGCTGAAATGACATTATTTCATTCTTTTATATGGCCAAATAGTATTTAATTCTATACATATATGCTATTATATATATATATATATATATCGCTTTTTTTATTATACCTTAAGTGCTGGGATACATGTGCAGAATGTGCAGGTTTGTTACATAGGTATACATGCGCCATGGTGGTTTGCTGTGCCCATTAACCTGTCATCTACATTAGGTATTTCTCATAATGCTATCACTCCCCTAGCCCCCCAACCCCGACAGGCACCAGTGTGTGATGTTCCCCTCTCTGTGTCCATGTGTTCTCATTATTCAACTCCCACTTATGAGTGAGAACATGCGGTGTTTGGTTTTCTGTCCTTGGGTTAGTTTGCTGAGAATGATGGTTTCCAGCTTCATCCACGTTCCTGCAAAGGACATGAACTCATCCTTTTTATGGCTGCATAGTATTCCATGGTGTATATGTGCCACATTTTCTTTATCCAGTCTATCACTGATGGGCATTTGGGTTGGTTCCAAGTCTTTGCTATTGTGAACAGTGTTGCAATAAACATACATGTGCATGTGTCTTTATAGTAGAATGATTTACAATCCTTTGGATATATATCCAGTAATGGGATTGCTGGGTCAAATGTTATTTCTGGTTCTAGATCCTTGAGGGATCGCCACACTGTCTTCCACAATGGTTTAACTAATTTACACTTCCACCAACAGTGTAAAAACGTTCCTATTTCTCCACATCTTCTCCAGCATCTGTTGTTTCCTGACTTTTTAATGATCACCAAACTAACTGGCATGAGATGGTATCTCATTGTGATTTGCATTTCTCTAATGACCAGTGATGTTGAGCTTTTTCTCATGTTTGTGGACCACATAAATGTCTTCTTTTGAGAAGTGTCTGTTCACACTCTTTGCCTACTTTTTGATGGGGTTGTTTGTTTTTTTTCTTGTAAATTTAAGTTCCTTGTAGATTCTGGATATTAGCCCTTTGTCAGATGGATAGATTGCAAAAATTTTCTCCCATTCTGTAGGTTGCCTGTTCACTCTGATTATAGTTTCTTTTGCTGTGCAGAAGCTCTTTAGTTTAATTAGATCCCATTTGTCAATTTTGGCTTTTGTTGCCATTGCTTTTGGTGTTTTACTCATGAAGTCTTTGCCCAGGCCTATATCCTGAATGGTATTGCCTAGGTTTTCTTCTACAGTTTTTATGGTTTTAGGTCTTTCGTTTAAGTCTTTCATCCATCTTGAGTTAATTTTTGTATAAGGTGTAAGGAAGGGGTCCAGTTTCAGTTTTCTGCATATGGCTAGCCAGTTTTCCCAACACCATTTATTAAATAGGGAATCTTTTTCCCATTGCTTGTTTTTGTCAGGTTTGTCAAAGATCAGATGGTTGTAGATGTGTGGCATTATTTCTGAGGGCTCTGTTCTGTTCCATTGGTCTATATCTCTGTTTTGGTACCAGTACCATGCTGTTTTGGTTACTGTAGACTTGTAGTATAGTTTGAAGTCAGGTGGTGTGAGGCCTCCAGCTTTGTTCTTTTTGCCTAGGATTGTCTTGGCTATATGGGCTCTTTTTTGGTTCCAAATGAAATTTAAAGTAGTTTTTTCTAATTCTGTGAAGAAAGCCAATGGTAGCTTGATAGGGATAGCATTGCATCTTTAAATTACTTTGGGCAGTATGGCCATTTTCACGATATTGATTCTTACTATCCATGAGCATGGAATTTTTTTCCATTTGTTTGTGTCCTCTCTTATTTCTTTGAGCAGTGGTTTGTTGTGCTCCTTGAAGAGGTCCTTGATATCCCTTGTAAGTTGGATTCCTAGGTATTTTATTCTCTTGGTAGCAATTGTGAATGGGAGTTCACTCATGATTTGGCTCTCTGTTTGGCTATTATTGGTGTATAGGAATGCTTGTGATTTTTGCAGTCATTGATTTTATATCCTGAGAATTTGCTGAAGTTGCTTATCAGCTTAAAGAGATTTTGGGCTGAGACGATGGGGTTTTCTAAATATACAATCATGTCATCTGCAAAGAGAGACAATTTGACTTCCTCTCTTCCTATTTGAGGTCCCTTTATTACCTTCTCTTGTTCAATTGCCCTGGCCAGAACTTCCAATACTATGTTGAATAGGAGTGGTGAGAGAGGGCATCCTTGTCTTGTGCCGGTTTTCAAAGGGAATGCTTCCAACTTTTGCCCACTCATTATGATCTTGGCTGTGGGTTTGTCATAAATAGCTCTTATTATTTTGAGATACGTTCCATCAATACCTAGTTTATTGAGGGTTTTTAGCATGAAGGAGTGTTGAATTTTATCCAAGGCCTTTTCTGCATCTATTGAAATAATCATGTGGTTTTTGTCATTGGTTCTGTTTATGTGATGGATTACGTTTATTGATTTGCGTATGTTGAACCAGCCTTGCATCCCAGGGATGAAGCCAACTTGCTCATGGTGGATAAGCTTTTTGATGTGCTCCTGGATTCGGTTTGCCAGTATTTTATTGAGGATTTTCGCACTGATGTTCATCAGGGATATTGGCCTGAAATTTTCTTTTTTTTTGTTGTGTCTCTGCCAGGTTTTGGTATCAGGATGATGCTGGCCTCATAAAATGAGTTAGGGAGGAGTCCCTCTTTTTCTATTGCTTGGAATAGTTTCAGAAGGAATGGTAGAAGTTCCTCTCTGTATCTCTGGTAGAATTTGGCTGTGAATCCGTCTGGTCCTGGGCTTTTTTTGGTTGGTAGGCTATTAATTGCTGCCTCAATTTCAGAACTTGTTATTGGTCTATTCAAGGATTCGACTTCTTCCTGGTTTAGCCTTGGGAGGGTGTATGTGTCCAGGAATTTATCCTTTTCTTCTAGATTTTCTAGTTTATTTGCATAGAGGTGTTTATAGTATTCTCCGATGGTAGTTTGTATTTCTGTGGGATCAGTGGTGATATCCCCTTTATCATTTTTTATTGTGTCTACTTGATTCTTCTCTCTTTTCTTCTTTATTAGTCGGGCTAGCGGTCTATTTTGTTAATCTTTTCAAAAAACCAGCTCCTGGATTCCTTGATTTTTGAAGGGTTTTTCGTATCTCTTATCTCCTTCAGTCCTGTTCTGATCTTAGTTATTTCTTGCCTTCTGCTAGCTTTTGAATTTGTTTGCTCTTGCTTCTCTAGTTCTTTTAATTGTGATGTTAGGGTGTTCATTTTAGATGGTTCCCGCTTTCTCCCATGGGAATTTAGTGCTAGAAATTTCCCTCTAAACACTGCTTTAGCTGTGTCCCAGAGATTCTGGTACGTTGTGTCTTTCTTCTCATTGGTTTCAAAGAACTTATTTATTTCTGCCTTAATTTCGTTATTTACTCAGTAGTCATTCAGGAGCAGGTTGTTCAGTTTCCATGTAGTTATGCAGTTTTGAGTGAGTTTCTTAATCCTGAGTTCTAATTTGATTTCACTGTGGTCTGAGTGACTTTGTTATGATTTCCATTCTTTTGCATTTGCTTAGGAGTGTTTTACCTCCAATTTTGTGGTCAATTTTAGAATAAGTGCAATGTGGTGCTGAGAAGAATATATATTCTGTTGATTTGGAGTGGAGAGTTCTGTAGATGTCTATTAGGTCTGCTTGGTACAGAGCTGAGTTCAAGTCCTGAATATCCCTGTTAATTTTCTGTCTCATTGATCTAATATTGACAGCGAATACCACAGTTTTTAATCATTCATCCATTGATGGACACTTAGGTTGCTTCCATATCTTGACTGTCGTGAATAGTGCTGCAATAAAAATGGCAGTGCAAATATCTTTTTGATATACTGATTTATTTTCTTTTGGATAAATACCCAGTAGTGGGATTGCTGGATCATAAGGCAGTTCTATTTTTAGTTTTCTGAGAAATCTCCATACTATTTTCCATAGTGGTTGTCTTAATTTACATTCCCACCAATAGTGTATAAGACTTCCCTTTTTTCTACATCCTCGCCACCATCTGCTATTTACTATATTTTTAGTAATAGCGATTCTAACTGAGGATGATATCTCATTGTGGTTTTGATTTGCATTTTCCTAATGATTAGTGATGTTGAGCATTTTTAATATGCCTATTTACCATTTGAATGTCTTCTTTTGAGAAATGTCTATTCATGTCATATGCCCACTGCTTAATGAGACTATTAGGTGTTTTACTGTTGAGTTCCTTGTATATTCTAAATATTAGTCCCTTGTCACATAAGTAGTTGATAAATATTTTCTTCCAGTCAACAGGTGGTCTCTTCACTCTGTTGATTGTTTCCTTTGCTGTTCAAAACCTTTTTTGTTTATTACAGTCTAGTTTGTCTAGTTTTGTTTTTGTTGCTGCCTGTGCTTTTGAGCTCTTGGCCATAAAATCTTTGCCTAGATCAATGTCCTAAGATGTTTTCCCTATGTTTTCTTTTAGTAGTTTTATACTTTGGAGTCTTGTGTTTAAATCTTTAATCCATCTTGAGGTGATATTTGAGATAAGGGTCCAGGTTAATTCTTCTGCATATGGATATCCAATTTCCTCAGCACCATTTATTGAAAAGTGTTCTTTCCCCAGTGTATGTTCTTGGTACCTTTGTAAAAATCAGTTGGCTACAAATAAGTCCATTTATTTCTGGGTTCTCTGTTCTGTTCCATTGGTCTATGTGTCTATTTTTATACCAATACCATGCTGTCTTGGTAACCATAGTTTTGTAATATATTTTGAAATCAGGTAGTGTGATGCCTCCAGTTTTGTTATTTTTGTTCAGGATTGCTGGCTATTTGGGTCCTTTTTTGTTTCCATATAAATTTTAGGACTGTTTTCTCTATTTATGTAAAAAATGAAATTGGTATTTTGATAGGGATTGCATTAAATCTGTAGCTTTCTTTAGGTACTATGGTCATTTTAATAATGGTAATTCTTCTAATCCATGAGCATGTAATGCCTTTGCATTTGTCTGTGTCCCCTTTAATTTCTTTCATCAGAGTTTTGTAGATTTCCTCGTAGAGGTCTTTCATCTCCTTTATTAAACCTATTCCTAGGTATTTTAATTTTTATACCTATTATAAATGGGATTGCCTTCTTGATTTTTTCTTTAGCTAGCTCATTATCGATGTAAAGAAACACTACTGATTTCTGTGTTTTGATTTTGTATCCTGCAACTTTACTGAATTTATTTATCAGGTCTCAAAAATTTTTTTGGTGGAGTCTTTAAGTTTTCTATTTATAAGATCATGTCATCTCCAAAGAGGGACAATTTGTCCTCCTCTTCTTCAGTTTGGATGCCTTTTTTTTTTCTCTTGCCTGATTGCTCTGGCTAGAATTTCCAGTACTATGTTGAATAGGAGTGGTGAAAGTGGGCATCCTTGTCTTATTCCAGTTCTTAGAGGAAAGGCTTTCAGCTTTTTGCCATTTAGTATAATGTTGGCTGTGGATTTAACATATATGGCCTTTATTATATTGAGGTATGTTTCTTCTATGCCTAGTATGTTGGGAGTTTTTATCATGAAGGGATGTTGAATTTTGTCAAGTGCTTTTTCTGCATCTATTGAGATGATCATATGGTTTTTGTTCTTTCTGTTGATCTGATGTATCACACCTATTGATTTGCATATGTTGAACCATCCTTGCATCTCTGGGATAAATCCCACTTAATCATGGTGTGCTATATTTTTCTTGTGCTGTTAGATTCAGTTTACTAGTATTTTGTTTAGGCTTTTTGCATCTGTGTTCATCAGGGATATTGGCCTGTAGTTTTCTTTTTTATTGTTGTGTCCTTATCTGGTTTTGGTATCAGGATGTAATGCTGGCCTCATATAATGAGCTAGAGAGAATTCTCTTGTCTTCAAGTTTTTCAAAATATTTTGAGGAAAACTGGTGTTAGTTCTTCTTTGTGAGTTTTGTAGAATTCAGCAGTGAAGCCATTCAGTCCTGGGCTTTTATCTGTTGGGAGACATTTTATTACTGCTTCAATCTCATTACTCATTAATGGTCTGTTCAGGTTTTCTGTTTCTTCTTGGTTCAATCTTGGTAGGTTGTATGTGTCCAGGAATTTATCCATTTCCTCTTAAGTTTTCCAGTTTGTTGATGTATAGTTGTTAATAACAGTGTCTGATGATCTTCTATGTTTCTGTGGTATTAGTTATAATGTCTCCTTTTTCATTTCTTTCACTTATTTATTTATTTATTGAGATGGAGTTTTGCTTGTATCGCCGAGGCTGGAGTGCAATGGCACAATCTCGGCTCACTGCAAACTCTGCCTCCCGGGTTCAAGTGATTCTCCTGCCTCAGCCTCCTGAGTAGCTGGGATTACAGGTGTCCACCACCACACTCAGCTAATTTTCGTATTTTTAGTTGAGACAGGGTTTCACCATGTTGGCCAGGCTGGTCTTGAACTCCTGACCTCAGGTGATCCACAAGCCCACCCCAGCCTCTCAAAGTGCTGGGATTACAGGAGGTGCCCGCCCTCCTTTTTCATTTCCGATTTTGTTTATTTGGACTGTCTCTCTTTTATTCTTGGTTAGTCTAGCTAGTGGTTTATCAATTTTGTTTATCTTTTCACAAAACCAATTTTTTATTTTGTTGATCTTTTGTATTTTTTTAAGTCTATTTTATTTAGTTCTGCTCAGATCCTTGTTATTTCTTTCCTTCTACTAATTTTAGGTTTTGGTTCTTCTTGCTTTTCTAATTCCTTGAGATGCATTGTTATATTGTTCCTTTGAAGTTTTTCTACTTTTTGATATAGGCATTCATTGCTATCAACATCCCTTGTTAGCACTGCTTTTGCTGTATCTCATACATTTTGGTAGGTTGTGTTTCAATTCTTGTTTCAAGACTCTTTTTTAATTTCCTCCTTAATTTCTTCCTTGACCCAATGGTCATTCAGGCTCATATTGTTTAATTTCTACATATTTTTAAAGTTCCTAAAGTTATTCTTATTATTAATTTCTAGTTTTATTCCATTGTGGTCTGAGAAGATACTTGATATGATTTCAATTTTTAAAAATGTGTTGACACTTGTTTTCTGTCCTAGCAAATGATCTACCCTGTAGAATGTTCCATGTGCTGATGAAAAGAATGTGTTTTCTATAACTGTTGGAGAAAATGTTCTGTAAATGTCTGTTAGGTCCATTTGGTCTAAAGTGCAGTTTAAATCCAATGTTTCTTTGTTAATTTCCTTTCCAGATAATTTGTCTAATGCTGAGAGCAGGGTGTCACTTCTTCCACTTTTTTGAATTTGCTTTCATAGGGGAGGACTTATTCCTGAAGATGCATTTATGGTGTTGGTTGGTAGGGCACTTTGGCTTTGATTCTGAGCATGTGCAGTAGTGTAATCTCGGCATAATTTCTTCAGATGTAAAGAGTGTCAGTAGTGTCTGTGGTTTCCTCAGTGGCTTAGGGTGTGGTTTTTAGTGGTGGCTTTGGTGAAGTTTCACTGGGGATAGGTTTGTCAGGTGGGCCAGTCCTTGGACCCCTGTGGTGGCAGTGGTGGACTGCGCATACCTTTCCTTGGGCCCCAGTGTGACATATGCTGGCACTAGTATTAGTAGGTCGATGCAGGCCAATCATTTGGCCTCCAGGCAGCTTGCTTAAGTGTCAGCAGTGGCAGTGATAGACCAGGTGGGAGGGTGGGTCCTTGGGCCCTTGGGCAGTGGGTGTGTTGTGACCGACAGCGGTAGCAATGGTATGAAAATTTACTGGCTCCCAAGTATCTGCACAGGTGGTGGTGGTGGCTACAACAGACTGAGTGGGCCAGTTCCCAGGCCCACAGGTGATGCATGCTGATGGGTTCCAGCTGTGGTTATAGCATCATGTTGGGTGGGCCTGTCCTCAGGCCCCTAGGAGGAGTGCTCAGATGCCAATGATGGTGGATCAGGTAGGGCGATCCTCAAGCCTATAGATGGCATGCTTGTGCACCAGGGGAAGTGAAGCCAGGCTGAGTGGACATGTCCTCAGGCCCCCTACTGGTGCATACAGGTGCTGGCTGTGATAGGCAGGAGCAGGGAGATCCCCATGCTCCCAGCAGAATGCTCAGGTTGGGGTGGCAGCTGCTGGGGAGGGTGGTGTTATTTTCAGTGGCAGCAGCCATGAACAAGTGGTTGAGGAGCACACACTTCAGCCCCAGGTGGTGGCTGCAAGCAGGATAGCCTTTCCTCAGGGCACGTGTAAATGCAGTGGCCCTGCTACTGGTGCCAGCAGGTTTGCTGCCAATGGTTTGCACTTCAGCCCTGGAAGTGGCATCTGGCTGTGGGTGGAGATGTCAATGGGGCTCTAGGAATGTGAAGATGCAGGGGCTGTTGGGCCTGAGGGCAGGATGCACTCTGGTGGGAGCTGGGCTCTCAAAATGACACTATGCTGCAGTTTCTTGGGACTGGAAGGGGGTGGGGCACAGCAAGGTTGAACTCAGTGTGAGCTCCCTCTCTGTAACAATGCTGTTGCACAATCTCCAGACAGTTCCCTGGGTTAGTCTCAGGGCCCACATGGATCCAGGGCTCTCCTGTGGCTAGGACTGTGGGAGTCTACAGTAGGAACGTGAACCACAGGAATCACTCACTTACCCTTTCCCACATTGGGGAGCCTCTTCAGGCTCCCTGCCAATCCTGATGAGCAGAGCAGGCTGCCTCTTTCCCTCTTTTTCCTTGCCTTAGGTGTTTCCTGTCACTTATCTGTTGAATTCCAGCATTCTCTCTTAGGTGATCTATTTGAAGTATGATTATCTACTCACTATTTTGGTTCTTCTTTGTGGAGGAGGCAAGTACCCAATCCCTAGTCAGCCACCTTGAAGCCCCCTCCAGACTGTCTTTTTAGGAAGGTTCCAAATTTACTAAATCATGAATAATTTCCTGGGTGCTTCAGCTCCATAGGTGACCTGGGAGTGTTGGCTGACTCAATGACCAGGAAGCAGGATGGCTGATGCTGTGGCAGCAATGGAATTTTTTTTAAAAAAAGGTATAAACTCCCAAATGAGGACAACAGTAAAGAGACCATCAGTATACCAGAGAAATCGGTGAATTTCTGACGATAGAAAGCAGATGCAGGCATGGTAACTGATGAAGAAGCAATAACCTAAAGAATGCATAGAGAAGTACAGCCAAGAAAAGAGTCAGCATTTCCTTTAGGATCCCAGAAAAGCTCAGAGTTCAGAAGCACCAGGTATAGCAAAAAGTAGAAGTGAAGCGTGGAACTGACAACACTGAGATTAATTAAAAGTCTGTATATGGAACAGTTGTCTCTCCTCACCCTCCAATTCCCCACACAAAAGAATATAATTACCAGGCTTCTATTCCAGGCAAGAGAAAGGAGGATTACTCTCTGGAGGAATTAAATAGTCCTAGAGCAAACGCCTCTGCCTTATGTTCCTTGAGGGATCCCTACCAGATCAGCCTAAAGTGACCCACTAGTTGACAAGCTTTACCCAAGCACAGAGCTCTCAAGCAGTTGTTTATATTTTATTGCATTATTGTTATATATGAAGACACATAGGGATCACCAGGCATTTGAAAAAAAATTTGTAATGAAAAAGAGATCAATAATAAACAGAAAAATGACCCCAAGAGCAACTGCAATAGTTCAGGGAATAAAGAGAACTTAAACAGCAGTAAAACAAAACAATTTTAAGTAGTGTTATCAGAGAGATTCAACATATTGCATCCCCAAAACATGGACGAAATGCTATGATAAAGGACCAATCAGAGAACAAGAAAGAGGTTGTGTAAATTTAAAATGTGATTTTCAAAATAAAATTTAGTAACAAGTTTGAGCATAAGGGTGGGGACATTTCCCAGAAAATAGAAGGAAAAGACAAAGAGATGGGAAATCTGAGCAAAAAGATAAAAGACATGGAGGGTCAATCCAAAAATTCCAAATCTAATTAACAGCAGTTTCAGAAAAGAGACAGAGAAAGCAGAGAGGGAGAAATTATTGGAACAAATTATACAAGATAATTTTATAGAATTGCATGAAGAATAGAGTTTCTACATCAAAGGGATCCCCCTCAGTGCTCAATGCCACAAATCAAAAACACCCAACAAGCCACATCACTATGAATTCCAGGACACCAAAAAATAAAGCAGTGTTAAAAGCTTCCAAAAAGAAAAAACAATGGTGATCTATAAAGGTACAATAATCAGATTGGCATCATATTTCTCATTTGCAACATTGGATGCTAGATGACAATTGAGCCATTCCTTCAAGTTCTGAAAGAAAAGTATTTTCAAATGAAAATTTTGCGCCCACAAACTTATCAATCAAGCGTGAGAACAGAATCAAAACATTTTCAGAAACTTAAAACTCAGGAAGTTTATCTCACATATTCTTTCTTATGAAATTACTTGAGGCTCTATTCCAGCCAGAAAAAGTAGTAAACCAAAAAAGAAAACAATAAGATCCAAGAAACAGTGGTTCCAACCAAGTACTGCAGTTAAGAGAAGTCCTAGGATGACTAGCATCCATTAGGACTAGAGTGCAATCAGGCCAGATTGCAGCAAGATGATGGAGGGTTCCAGGAGTAAGGTACCCATAGAAAACAATAGGAATCAAGAGCGTTTACACTATCCTTTAAAAACTGGAACAACCTAAGGAGATGATAAAGGCAGACAATTCCTGTGAATTAGGAAAGCAACCAAGCAAGCAATAATTTGGGTAATATAGTTCCCATGGAACCCTCTGGAAAGAACTGCCTAAGGATAAAATCCATCCAGGAAAGAGATAAGCAAAATAAAAAATTTATAAACAAAGATTCTTGGGTAAAATGGATTGCTTTTCCAGGCATTAAATCTATGCAAATATAAAATGAGAACTAAGCAACTTCGGAATTTGAGGTCACAGGAGCTGCTCACCTTCGGCAATGTGCTCAGTGGAAAAACCATATTCTTCAATCTACCCTACAGATGAGGGATGTAATGAAATACAAATAGCAGTTGGGGCTGCTGGAAGTCTTTCTGACCTTCTCCCCCTTCCTTCTGTTTCTTGCCTAGAATGTAGACATGATGAGTAGAACTCCAGCAGCCACCTCATAACCTTTAAAATCAAAGTCACACACTTAGCCTGGGAAATAAGGAAACCAGAGGAAGCTGGATCCCTATTGAGTTCATGGAACCTTCACCATGACTGACTCCCACCTCCAGTCTTCCTTCAGGTGAGAGACTAGATCCTTAAGTGTTTGTCATTATTGTCAGGTCTCTATTAACTGCCAGTCAAACACAATTTCTAACTGATTCCTGAACAGAAAGTACATGTTATTGACCTTGACAATGTAAGATAGGGAAAACATGTATGATTTCCTCATCTTTCATAGCAAAGTCAATCAATATTACTTAAAATTGGAAAAAGAAGAAAAAATACAATAACACCACCTCAATGTTTTTTTCATCAATTTTTTCCCCTCAACCTTAGAAGGATCTGTTAGAAACTGATATTTTTATGAGGAATAAATATTTTTCCAAAGTTTACCATTCCTTCCACTTTACCTCATTTTCTCCTTATTTTGTGAAATTCTACTAAACATAAATTGAATAATTTTGATTAAAAATAAAGAAAAAAATTAGCCGGGCATGGTGGCGGGCGCCTGTAGTCCCAGCTACTCAGGAGGCTGAGGCAGGAGAATGGCATGAACCCGGGAGGCAGAGCTTGCAGTGAGCCGAGATAGCAGAACTGCACTCCAGCCTAAGCGAAAGAGGGAGACTCTGTCTCAAAAAATATATATATGTATATGTATATATATGTATATATGTATATGTATATATGTATATGTATATATGTATATATGTATATGTATATATGTATATATGTATATGTATATATGTATATATGTATATGTATGTATATGTATGTGTATGTATATGTGTATATGTATATATGTATATGTATATGTATATGTATATATGTATATATGTATATGTATATATGTATATGTATATATGTATATATGTATATGTATATATGTATATGTGTATATGTATATATGTATATGTGTATATGTATATGTGTATATATGTATGTGTATATGTATATATGTATATGTGTATATGTATGTGTATATATGTATGTGTATATGTATATATGTATATGTGTATATGTATATGTGTATATGTGTATGTATATAAGTATATATGTATATATGTATATGTATATATGTATATATGTATATGTATGTATGTATATATGTATATGAATGTATATGTATACATGTATATATGTATATGTATACATGTATATATGTATACATGTATATATGTATATGTATATATGTATACATGTATATATGTATACATGTATATATGTATATGTATATATGTATACATGTATATGTATATATGTATATGTATATATGTATACATGTATATATGTATATGTATACATGTATATATGTATACATGTGTATATGTATATATGTGTATGTATATATGTATATACGTATATACGCATGTATATGTATATACACATGTATATGTATATATAATATTGCCAGGTGCAGTGGCTCATGCCTGTAATCCCAGCACTTTGGGAGGCTGAGGCAGGTGGATCACTTGAGGTCAGGAGTTCGAGACCAGCCTGGCCAGCATGGTGAAACCCCATCTCTACTAAAAATACAAAAATTCACCAGGTATGGTGGTGGGCACATCTAATCCCAGCTACTCAGGAGGCTGAGGCAGGAGAATCACTTGAAGCTGGGAAGCAGAGGTTACAGTGAGCTGAGATCACACCATTGCACTCCAGCCTGGGCGTCAGAGTGAGACTCCATCTCAAAAATATATATATATATATATATATATATATATATATATATTCATCTATCACGTGTGTGTACATATATATACACATATGCATGCAATGAGATATCTGGAACACTACGAATCTCATGCTAATGGACATTTATCAGGGTGGTGAGATTTGAGACGGTTTTAGCTCCCAACTTCTTACTTTGAATCACTAGAATTTTTGGTAATGAGCTTGTATCATTTTTAGAAGAACAATTAAAGTCCTTTTGAAATAAGATGTATAGAGTCAAACATCTCCAAAGATCTTCAAGCTCTAATACTTTATGATTTAATATTCTACGAAGCAAATGCATATCCATAATTCAGTAACAAAAGGCTCCACATTCTTTTTTTAAAAACAATAATATCTCACTAAGTCATCTGAGTCTCCTTTGATCACTGACCTTTGTTGAGGCTCAAGGCCTGGTGGAAAAATACTAGATGACTTCAAATAACCTTAGAGGACAGTGTGTTCTCATTAACCAGAAGCAATTTTTTTAACACAAATGAAAATTTTAAAATGGGAAGCATGCTAGCTAATCTAAGAAAAATGAAAAAACATTAACTTACACATAAAGTAGTTTTTTGTTTGTTTGGGATTTTTTTGAGACAGGGTCTCGCACTGTCGCCCCCCTGGGCTGGAGTGCAACGGCGCAATTTTGGCTCACCGCAACCTCTGCCTCCTGGGTTCAAGCGATTCTCCTGCCTCAGCCTCCCGAGTAGCTGGGATTACAGGCTCCCGCGACCACAACTGGCTATTTTTTGTATTTTTAGTAGAGACGAGGTTTCACTAACTTGACTAGGCTCATCTGGAACTCCTGACCTTGTGACCCACCGCCTCGCTAATATTTTTTGTATTTTTAGTAGAGACGAGGTTTCACTATGTTGGCCAGGCTGGTCTCGAACTCCTAACCTTGTGATCCACTGCGCCCGGCCCACATAAAGTGGTTTTAATATTTAGATGTAATTATGGTAAACTGTATACTTAAAGAGTCTATAAATATAACTTACATTGTCATCACTTTCTTCAATACCAAGAGTCCAAATATATTGTCTGGTTGGAAAACCCACTATTCCTCTAATCTCTCCCAGTTCTTTCATACCTCTCTGTCTTTGCACACATGCTAAGGCTTTCTCCTTCATCTCTATTTGGCCAAATGCCATTTATCCTTCAAAACTCAGTACCTCCTACCACTACAGGCCTATAGCACCTGGGGTATACATCAGTTATAACGTTCTCAGGGCCTTGTGTAATTGTGTAGGTTGTGCACTGCACAGGGCACACAGATGAGGGAGTAAGGGGGAGTTAAAATCCACCCTGAGCTCAGCTGCTAAGCAAGCTGTACCTGCCTAGAGGAGAACTCTACTAAATCTGCACAAATGTTGACCTTACAGGTTCATGTTGACTCTCAGGGTTGTTTGGATTGAAATCAGAAGTTTACTGCTCCTCCTAGACTGTGAATGCATACAAGGTAGGGACAGTGCCATCTTCACCCTTTTACGCCCAGCATCCTCAATGCCTAGCATAAAGTAGTAACTTCATATTTGTTTAATAGATCCTGAATAAATATAAGATATAAACAGTTCCTTAACCTCTTAACATCACAGTGATAACAAGTGCCAGAAATTTTTCTCTCACCTTTAGGTTGAAAAACAATTTTTTAAAGTCATACAGGAAAATAAATAAAACTAATATTAAGTCAGTCGCATTTGTATGCCAGGAATTCCACATATATCATTTCATTTTATGCTTCCAATAACCCTACCCATTAAGTCCTATTAATAGTGATAATCAACATACTTAACAACCAGTACAACATAGGCACCCACCAATCAGAGTGGACTCTGATAGAGCTCAGCTATAAACAACTGTTCCACCCACGCTGGTATCAACTCAGTGTCAGCCCTGAGTATGTCATCCTCACGTCAGAGTTAGGCAAATGCATGCTCAGGAAAGTTAGATAATGTGTCAAGCTCACCTAGCTAGTTAAGTGGAGAAACCAGGCCTACAACCTGGTTGATTCCCAAAACCTATGCTCTTTCCCCCATACCATGATACCACTACATCATCTGTATATAGCCTAGCAGGAGTGTGGCAACTTCACCTGTTTCCTGACATCTGGTGCAATGTCTATTCACCAGACTACTTCACCTCCCCAAAGAGGTATAATCATAGTTTATAACGCTAAAGTAATTACCTTGATTCCACAAGTCACACACAACTACTCATGTGGCTTTATAGTCATGCTTCATATCTTAATAAATCTGAGTGGTACATTTTTATTGCTTCATACATTGAAGGGGTTAGGAACAGGAGACAATTCTTGATTAAGGCTCCTGGCTCCCTCTGAATTTTCTAAAGTTAATTTTCTTTAAACTTGGACTACATAATGTAGTTCCTTTCCACAATTATACCTCAACTGCTTAAGATTATACCCAATGTAATTTTGTTCTGTGAAAGTTCGGGGCAATACTTTGCATCCTACACATTTTATTATTGGTTAATGAATTTTAGCTTGTTTCAAGACATCATAGGTTCTATGAACATACGTTCATTTGGGGACCCTGTTATTTACTCAATTCTTGGATCATCCACCGTATAGCCCTATGGCCAGACATGATACATAATGCCAAATCCCTACTAGGAATTAAAACATTGAACAGTGCTTGGTTTGTTTTGAGTTTGTTTTCCATTACAGCCCTGCAGGGGATTCTAATACATTAGTGTATACTATTAAATCAGTTCTTCTCTGTAAAGTAAAGGGGATTTTTTTTTCCTTAGCTTAGTTTTACTGGAATGTAGTACTAACCTACAGGCAATCTAATCATTCTGATTTGTGACCAAAATTTATTTTACTTGCAGGAAGACAGTGAACCTAAGGAAAGATTATCAGTTTTAAAATGCTTTTTAAAAGACATGCTTTCCTTTTCTTTTTTAAGCAAGACATGTTGAAATTGCTTTAGAACAAATCAACCAAACTATGAAATGTTTTATTTACAACTACATTGATGCAAGTACACATAGAAAATATTGTACACATGCCTTCTGTAATATAAGTTTTGGATCCTCTTTCCATCCAAGTCATGGGGTGGCATTCAAAATAATTAGCAACCAGAATGGCACAGACATAAGCCAATCAAAATGGAGGAGGCCAACCCTAGCCCTGAAGCAGAAGCCTGGAGTTCTCTGCTATGCCACAAAATAACCCTTTAGTTGTTGGGTAGTAAGAAGGTGTTGGGGGTCTCAGGAAGGGATCAAGTCAGTTGGGGTAAGAGAAGGCATTCGAAAGGTTCAGGGAAGGAACTATTTACCAATAACTAAGAAGTATTCGGTATTCTAATAAAATCAACTTTACCTGGTTATTAAATAATTGCCAGTATTGTTATATTCTAATTTATATTATATTTTAATATTATAGTAATAGCAGTATAATTTAAAATAAACAGTATGGTGAGTACCATCTAAAAATCAATCTGCTAGTCAATACACTGTACTCAAAATGTCCATCAACGCCTGCCAGACCCCAGGCCCTTTGTCTACCTACTCTACTCTTAGCCCCTACTGTCTAGCAGCCATGTTATGTATTATATTAGTCTGCCCTTCATTGGACACAGCCAGTGAGACTTAGGATGAATTCACAACTCAAGGGCTGAAAATCCACAAGCCAGCCAACCTTTGACATGGCTGGCACAAAAATAAACTGGCCAGCCAATCAGATTCCCAGTCTTGGGAATTTGAGTTGGGAAGCATGGAAAGATTCACGCATGGGGCATTAGTCCTTCCTGGCAGGAAATGAGAATGCAAGAGGTGATCATAGAAGTATCACTATATAAAAAGAAGATGGGAGGAGCTAGCATTGGACACAAATGGCAACAGTTAATCCCAGGTGAGTATGGACATCACAATCAGCATATGAGGAACAGTGGCAATCCAGGTGCCAGGAGGGACAACACAGGGAGACCTCTGTTTTGAGTTTACAAATCAAGGGCTGCTAAGGATCACAACTGTCAGATGACCTAGTGAAATTCTCCTGGACTGAAACTACCATACAGCGATACAACAAAGCCCACTTCAGCTCAACCACCAAACGCCTGGATTCAAATTGGCACCCTAGAAACAGCAGTTTTCAAAGTGTGATTCCTGGACCAAAAGCATCAGCGTCACCTGGGAACTTGTTAGAAATGCAAGTACCTACTGAATCAGAAGCTCTGGAGATGGAGCTCAGCATTCTGGATTTTTTTTAAATTAAATTTAAATAATGCCTACAGCACCCGTATTCCCAGGGGGTCTTCCATCCAAGTACTAACCAGGCCCAACCCTGCTTAGCTTCCAAGATCAGGCAAGATTGGGCACGTTCAGGGTGGTATGGCCATAGACCAGTTTGAGTTTTAACAAGTCTTCCAAGTGATTCCAATCCAAGTTCGAGTTTGAGAACCAACCCCTCAAGTTGGCTTTTCCCAGAGTACCAACATTACCTAGAAGTGGACTGTTGCTGCCCTTAGATCATCTCAGGGATAATCCTCCCAGAGGCAGATTCCCCAGTTGGTCAGATTTGCTGATGAAAGAACTCCTCTGCAATAGTTTATGCTTACTGGTTTCAGTATATAATTCATCATTCCCAAGCAGCTGCAAGGATGCAATATATACTCTGAACCAAAGACCATAAGCAGGCCCAGGAACTGAAAAATTTAAGGATGTCCCCTAAAGGTTGCAGACAGAGACTGACAGGCAGCTTTTAATATGATCCTTTCATATGGCTTCTAGATGAAACTGAGTTGTGTCTCTCCTGGAAGCACGTGTTTGTGGTTGAGGTGTAATAGGTAGGTGGTTTTAGGCAGAGACATCTTTAGTATTGTATATAGGAGAAAGGTTAGTGTACTAATGGGCAAGAAACAGACTATATGAAGATGTCAATTACTGCCTGTTAGTCCACTGCCTGCTTGCAACCTCTGCTGCTCTTGCTGCCAAGTTTTATATCACATGACCTCACCCTTTAGCCACAGGGTGTACCCGACCCAGTTGTAGCCAAGTCAGTCGAGTCACTTACCTACAATGTGACCCGATGCAGAAGATGATCTATGCCCATATGATTCTCCCATTCAAAAACGTGAAGGCGGCAGCAGTTAGAAATGAGAGTTAGAGTTTACCAAAAATGTCCTGAGGAAGAGAGGGATCTACGAAGGATCATGGCAAGAAAAAGTAACAATAAAAGCAGAACTCGTGCACAAAATCAGTAGGCCATTGATTAGGGCTATGGACACATACAGAGAGAAGCAGGGATGCTGAGAGAGAGAATGACAATGACAGAGACGTTGAGAGAGACATCATGTAGCCCCAGAGAGAGATGAAGAGCATTAACTGCCTCGATTCCTGCTTGCTGATGTCCTTATAATACCCACCTGTTCTTATTTAAGGTTCTTATTTAAGTAGTCAGCGAGTTACCAGAGTGCCTGAGGAGCTATTTATATTGTTTGAGTGTAAGAGCAAGTGAAAGCAAGTAACAAGATGATAGAGACACAGAGCCAATGAGAGAAGCAAGGGCAATAAAAGAAAGAAAAAGAGACAGACTGTCCCTATGGATACAAAGCTTGAAGGGTATTCTGTAAGAGAAGGGGTCACGGCCACAACCCCTTCTCCCTGGGGTTTAACCTGAGGTGCAATTAAAAATAAAGAATGTTAATAAACAAATGAATGCATGAATATACAAATGAGTAAATAATAAACAGACAAGTACAATTTAAATGAATACAGAAAGTTAATGACATTTGTCAGGATGGACAGAGATGACTATGGCCAAGGTCCAGTGGCAGAAAGAGCAACAAAGCTTCTGAGATCAAACCACTATGAGACCAGAAAGATGACTCAAGCATTTGAATTTCAAACCATTTTTGCTGGAACATCTTTGCCCAACGGTGGACTGAGTGGGGATCTCACTTAGGGACCAGTGAGATGGGAGTTGAGACATTTTGCCCCAGATACATTAATTTAGTCATAACAAGTAACAGGGCACAGTCCAGCCCCATCCACGGAAATAACGGCAATTATGGGATTACAAATCTTGACAACTTTGGTGGCAGCAAAAGTGACAGGAAAGCCTGTTCTGAAGCAAACAGCTTAGGTAGCAAAGGTAAAGGTCTCCTGCCTCAAAAAAGCTTGTCTGAGTTCTGGCCCAGTGACAGAAAAGGGATGGTAGGACCATCCCTGGACCTCAATAAATATGTTGAACCTCAGGGTATTCTCAAACAACACAGGGCATTTTGATCTCACTGCCCAGTTTTGGCCCTACTATTTTGACCTCAAGGCCATTTTTTTTTCTGCATATTGCTTTCTTCTTCTCAGACTATGAACCATTCTGGTTATAAGAATTCAACTTTACTAGGAGTTTAATACCCCTATGTCAACTTATAAGGATTTCTTTGAATGTATAAATAGGAATTTGACACCTTGAAAGAAGCTGAGCCCATGAGGTGCTGAGCCCAACCCAAATTGCTAACCCACAGAATTGTGAGTTGCAACTGGTTGTTTTAAGCCACTGAGTTTTAGGGTAGATTTTTATGCAGCAAAAGGTAACTGACATGGAGCCTAAAAATAAAGCCAAAACAAGTGTAGTTGTCTTCAAAGCCTAAAGCTGAAAATTCTGAATATGACTGAATGTTTTCCTTCAGCAGAGTAAATCCATATCCCTGCATCCTGAGAGATGCAATCACTAGTTCCAGTTCTATGAGGCTTAAGCAGTGCAGCTTGGCATACCACAGCACCTACCTAGCATTGCAGAAGATCTCCACGTGAGGAAAATTATGGCATGCGAACTATTCACATATAGTCTACATTGCTTTTTTAAAAACTACAAAATAAAAACAAATCATTTAAAAACACAGTCCATCCATATTCAAATTTCAGTATATGTGCATTTATAACAGCATATGAAAGTGTCACATTTTCTCCCAGTATCGTAAACAACAGCAAGTTGCCATTTCCCAGAAGACTCAAAATACTGTGACACCATGGTATAGTAAACCATTGTCTCAAGGATTCAAGTTCGCTCATAAAGAATCTCACCAATAATCAAAAAATGTGTTAGAAAATAAGAAATCCCACATAGATGATGTGATTCTCACAGGTTATTGAGTTTGCATTCTATCATGGTACCTCTTTTGATACCTTCTGTATTAGTCAATGCTCCAGCCACATATAAACACAGAATCAAGCACACACTAAAGAATGTACCTGGTTGCCATAGCTAAGCATCTAAGCAAGATAAGCACAGTGTCCATATTGACTTCCAGGCAAAGGAGTTAAAAGTTCCTCTCTAGTCTGCTCCCTAGCCTCCTACCCAAGTAGTGGAGGAGTACTGAATTGATGGGCAAGATTCCTGGGCACTGTAGAACCACAGTTTCTAGTGGGTGGAGCCCTGAGAATATAAACAATCCCATACAGGTAGAAAGCCCCTTTCTGGGTTCATTCTCTCTGAAGCTGGTGGCTGTAACATTTTTTTCTCATTTGAATGGTAAATTTGGAAATTTGACTTTGGCTTAAGAGAAATGTTAAGCTATTCATCCTGTTTTGGTTCTGAGTTCCACACTGTCTCTACTCTAAGCTTCCTTGTGGTCAGCTTAGTACAGTGCTGAAATAGAGTCTGGGGGCTAATGCCCCCAATGTTATTTTGCTTCCTTTGCCACTCTTTAGTCACATGCGTCTCTTGTGGAACATACCAGGGTGACAGGGCCAAGGCAGAATTTAAATATTCCCAAGTCACCTGGCCAATCACTACCATAACTCATCCCTTAATGGTGCCTGGATCTCACCTCTGTCCCTGACACTGACATGATCTCAGAAAACAGGGCAACTGTCTTCCCCAGGGACATTTGGGGAATAAAGTCCCACAAAAGAGATTGAGGTTTAGTCCTCAAACTTGAAGCACTGCTGCTGTAGGGCCAGTATATACTCTCCCATGTGTAACAGGCAGGTGCTGGTATTGGTGTAAACATTCATTTTAGGAGCTGGGATAACCTTGTCCATGACTTCAAACTGCAGGAGCCACAAGGTTCTGCAGCTAGGTCTCCCTGAAATAAACAGAATTCTAGTGTGTAACATTTTTGGCCTAATGGATCATTAGATCCAAATACTCATACACCCAACTTAGATGACAGACCTAGATTCTGTTCCTCTGGACTTTGTTTTAACTTGTATCCGGAGATAGAGAATGATGGTCACATAAAATTCTGAGGTGTCATGGCCTCCTGTAAAGTTTTCTGAGTCCCTTCCCTACCATATGTTCTCATGTTGACTCTGATTTGGACACTGCATAAACGCTAATATAAGAATTTGTGGAGAAAAGATAGAGTTAAAAAAAAATAACCCTTAGTGATTTGCAAGTCCTAATCAAAAGACAAGACACACCTTGCAGTTGCTTTCCTGATCAGGAATCTTCAATAAATATCAGCCAAGAGTCTAATTATGGCTGTGGACTTCAGAGACCTCAGAGTGTGGGTGCAATCACTGAAGGAAGGTAGAGTTCACTCATAAAAAGAGATTAAGACCTTCACTACATGGACACAGTAGCTTATTCTTGGACTGAGGTGAAGAGTAAAAGTTAATGAAAGAAAAAAGATCAAAGGTCAAAAAGGCATTAAATAATAACCATATCCAGAATGCTGTAGGGCATTAAATAATAACTATATCCAGAATGTCGTGGCTTTGAGAATTGGGTCGGCCTGGAAATAAAGGCCCTTGGTTAGGTTAGGTTACATTATAGGATAGGTTAGACTACAGGATAGGATAGGTTAGATTACAGGGTACTTTAAATGAACTAAAAACTCTTGCCCGGGAGATAGTTATTGCTTTGGAAGTGGTGGCAAGCAAGCTAGGAAAGAATTAGGAAAAGAGGCCGGGTGCGGCGCCTCACACCCGTAATCCCATCACTTTTGGAGGACCAAGGCGGGAGGATCGTTTGAACCCAGGAGTTCGAGACCCACCTGGGCAGCATGGCGAAACCCTGCCTCTACAAAAAATACAAAAAATTAGCCCGTCGTGGCAGTGCACACCTGTAGTCCCAGCTACTCGGGAGGCTGAGGTGGGAGAATCCCCTAAGCCAGGGAAGTCAAGGCTGCAGTGAGCCATAATTGCAAAACTGCACTCCAGTCTCAGGGACAGAATGAGACCGTGTCTCAATAAACAAAACTAGGAAAGGGAGAAAGCTTGAGATCTTAGAAACCAGGATAGACATATATGAAAGGAGAAAAGGATATACCTACATAGATACAGCACCCAGATCTCAGACCCAATTGCAATCATTTCTCATGAAGGCAAGGGAAACCATCTACCTAACTGTAAACAGTGTAGCTAACATACATTAGGAAACAGTAGATGAAATACCACGACAATCTTAGTAGAAAGGGGTAAGTTATCATATTTCAGCAGTGATCTTATTGCCAGTACAAAACTAAATGCCAGTACAAAAACAAATGGCATTTGGAAACTTACAGTTGATTTCAGGAGAGGGCTGAATAAGGTATCAATCCTAAATGATGATGATGATGGTCACATAATAAATATTCTAGCAAAGGTGAGACCTTATGCAAAGATCTTTTTTATCTTGGATTAGCAAATAGGCTTTGAGCTCCACCACTGAAGGAGATATGTTAATTCAAAACTATTCATGATGAGAGGTAGACAGTTGGGAGATGAATAGTGCTCACCATCAACCTCCCATAGATATATGGAGACTCTTGAAGACAGCCCACATAATTTGGTAATCCAATATATTGATGAATTCTAGTATCTATATCACAGAAAGATCAGAAATTAACCAAGCATATCTTGGGGGCAATACAGACAGGGAAGAAAGTCAACGGAAAGATACAGCTTGGATCTGACTACAGTGGCCTAGATGAAAGTTTCCTTAGCAGGAGAGCAATGTATCAGGAAAGGGACAAACGATAAAGTCACTAGGCCAACAAATGAAAAGAGCCTGGTATCAACAAGCTTTTGTAATGGTTGCATTACAGTAAGAAAGGCCGATGCTTGGTCCAATTATCTAAATGAAACACTGGTACAGGGAAGGGATACCAGCTAGCATGGAGAACACTTAAAAAGACAATAGCTTGGGCACCAGCTTTGGCCTTACCAAACACTTGAGAACCTTGGAACCTCTGCCTAATAATACTACCCAATACTGGCCGGGCGTGGTGGCTCACGCCTGTAATCCCAGAACTTTGGGAGGCCGAGGAGGGCAGATCACGAGGTCAGGAGATCGAGACCAATCCTGGCTAACACGGTGAAACCCCGTCTCTACTAAAAATACAAAAAATTAGCCGGGCGTGGTGGCGGGCGCCTGTAGTCCCAGTTACTCGGGAGGCTGAGGCAGGAGAATGGCGTGAACCCGGGAGGCGGAGCTTGCAGTTAGCCGAGATGGCGCCACTGCACTCCAGCCTGGGCGACGGAGAGAGACTCTGTCTCAAATAATAATAATAATAATAATAACACCCAATACCATAGCTATTGGTGATACAAGAAAATTTATTTTGTTATTTAGCTTCCAGAGGTCTGGAAGGCTTCTCTAGCCTCTGTAAGGTAGCCTAGAAGAGCTAGGGGTTCCCAGTGCAAAATACCCTGATTCAGTCACACCACCCCCTAACTGTTCACGGAGGGAATAGAATTTATAAGAACAGATTAATAATATGCTATCCAGTCATTACTCTTATTAAACACCCTACGCTTTCTAAATGAATTACTAAGGGGTAAGAAGAGCTATGCACACAAGGTGAGTATCTTAATTTGA
Organism: Homo sapiens; assembly: GCF_000001405.40. Lineage (NCBI taxonomy): Eukaryota > Metazoa > Chordata > Mammalia > Primates > Hominidae > Homo > Homo sapiens. Next base: position 129,443,051 of record NC_000023.11, read on the forward strand.
GTTCCCTCAGAAGCAAATGCTGATACGAAGATTCTAATGCAAGTAGTTTATTCAGGAGCTGACCTAAGGAAATACCTACAGGGGAGTAGGGAAGTGATACAGGGGAAAAAAAGCAGTTAATAGAGTGTGTTATCAAGACAGCCACTACTGTGGGTGGCTGGAGCTTAATCCGGTGGGTAAACTCTGGGGAACCATAAATCACATACCTTAGTTACCTTGCTCAAGAGGTAAGAGAGTTGGGGCATTCATACACCAACTCCCATCAGTTTTTTTATTCAGAGCCACTTCCAGATGCGTTAATCCCTAGCTCTTCCAGCCTACCATGTGGAGGGTAGAGAAGCCTTCTAAGTCTCTGAAAAAGCCTTCAGAAAGAGATAGTGGCAGGCAAAAATCAGTTGGAGCACACAGAAATAATAAGGCTGAGGGATAGGTGACAGGATAGTATAAGCTATGTGTATTTCAACCACAGAAAAATATTACTCCTTGTCTATTAGGCAGGATGGCTTAGGAAGATGAAGGAAACATGAGATGGAATACTCAGAGAAGTCTGAAATTTGGTAACAACTTGAGGATTTCAGGAATTGGTAAGAACACCTGGAGAGAAAGACGTGGTGGCCTTGAAGCTGACCTGGGACTCTTAGCTGCACTGGCTACTGCACCATAGAGGGGGAACAATAGACCACAGAGGGGACCTTTGCCAATAATTAGGAAATAACAGCATTTTATTTTGATGACAGTAGATAGATTCACCAGTTAGGTAGAGGCTTTTCAAACCAAACAGCCAGCAACTAAGATAGCTGCAAATATTTTAGTTCAAAAACTTCTCTTAACTGGGAGTCTTAGACGAAGAACCAAATTTGGAAACATATTTCACGAGAAAACTGTGTAATCTGAAAAGTATCCAAGTATAGCATAACACCTGTAGGCCAGGTAGCCAGAGAAAAAGATAGAACTATACAATAAAGCCATACCAACGGCTACGATGAAAACAAGAGATTACTGAGCTCACCACCTGCCTTCTTTTGATTCTAAGGAAATTAGAGCCTGATTAGCCAATGAATCAAGACAGAGCTTTACAAGGACCTCTGTGGAAGATCTAGGGTTGTTGGGAAATCCCATTCACCCCTTATCTTTTACAGATAGAGGCCTTGAGTGAAGGAAGCCACTCAGGGTCTCTGTTTCTCTGCTCACTTTCCTCCTTGTACATTTTCCAAACAAGGAATCAGGTTGGGTCAGATTCCAATGTAATCCACTGGACCATTTTTGCTGGTGGGCAGAGTCATTATGCTTTATAAGACTGCATTCACATATATAGCACTCTCTTCTGCTTCCTCTGGCCTCCACGGAGCTGATACAGTAAACTGACAATCCAGGTTTCTCTCCCCAACATAGCAGCCATGTCTAGACCACTTGTTTGAAATGGTATTTCCTTCTTGGGATTTTTACATTTTCAATGGGAGTTTAATTTCTCTGTAGAAATTTAACAATAAGAGGGGTTTCATATTCAGACTTGAGGCATTTTTGTACTTCCAAGATGCTATTATTTGGACTAAGCTATCATCTGGTATTCACTGTATGGGTCTGTTTGGTAGGCTAGGTTCAACAGTGTAGCTATACATACTTTAAGATGAGAAGTAGAATAGGTGAATTTTTCACTAAATATATAGTGTGGTCTTTAAGTTAAGTCCTGAATAAAACTATTTCACAAGTTTCTAAGGATGACATCAGAAGCATCCATTGAAGGCCTTGGGGAGCTGAATTTCACATCACTTTGGTCCAAGAAAGACTCATAACAGCCATGATATGGAACAGGGAAATGACTCCATGAAAAGGCTACAAGAACTTACCTGCAGATTTTCTCCCCTAAGGTAGAGAATCACATATTAGCTCAGCTACTGAACCCTTTGGATTACCAGAGAAAGAATGAGAAGTAGAGATTGTTAAATGTCCATGCTGGGGTTCAAAGACCGTAACTGTGCCCACTCCCACCTGCCATCTTCTCTGCTCCCTAGGAAAAGAAAGGCTGAATTGACTGATCAGAGTCCAGACCCTCATTAGGCTGTTTTCTACTGCACAGAACTTGGGGTTATCAGTAAAACTCCCTGGTATCATTTTCTCCAGCGCAGATGACTAACTATAGCTATTCATATCATTGGAGTGGAAAATTCCAAGGTTAGATTTTGGGCTGAAGAGCTCTGGAGTTTGCAGCCAAAGCACCAGCTAGTGAAGTATTACTTTGCTCACCTTAGCCTCCCTTTCTTACAGAAAAGGCAGCTAAGCCAAGGACAGATTTGGGTATCCCTGGGTCCCCTGATATAATATCGTCCCAACCTTGTCTCTTAATAGAACCCCAATTTTACCCCAACCCCCAACAGGGTACAAGAGTCTAAGTGCTAATAGTGGAAACAGAAAAAATAATCCAACCAGAAACATGGCAGTAAGAGATATAAAATCTGGACAATGAATGGAGACTTAGAAGAGTCCAACAGACAGTGGGTTGTTGTTCTAGAAGATCTATTCCTCTGTTGGAGAACTTCTATGAAAAGATTGAGGATGTGAAGAATGCTGACTAACACTCAGGGGCTACCCAGAATTTGCTAGTAGTGCACTAAAAAGAGTCTGATAGGAAATGCAAAAGATCTTGGAAGGGGGAAGAGACAACTCTTTAGTGGTCCAGACCTTGTTTTGGTAACTAACATCATTATCCTGCATTCTCAGCTTTACTTATTGGTTGTGTATTTCACACTAGATTTTGATCCATTTTCCCTGCTGTCTTACAACCTGACCCAGATTCTGATTAATTCCACACTAAAAGTTTCATGTAATAGACCCAGTTTCGTTCCTGAACTGACAGTCTCTGTGACAGAGGCAGTAATGTAAGACGTTCCATTTATTCCCCTACATCTGCCAGCCCTCTTTCAGGTATATAGGACCACATGACTACTTTGGTGGCAATGAAATATAAGTGGATGTGACATGTGTCACTTCTAGGCCGAGGCAGTAAAGAGCCTAAGTGCCACATGTTCCAGATGTTGCAGCCACAAAATAGCAGAGCCTTAGTCATCCTGGAACCTTGAGTTACCGTGTGGAGCAGATCCCTTCCCATTCCCACATCCCTCTGACCTGCATGAGATATGTAGTGTGAGCAAGAAAAAAAAACTCTTGGTGTGTAAAACCTCTGACACTTTGAGATTGTTACCTGAGCATAACTGTATTCCTGACAAACACAGCCCCCCTTCTTCTGCATACATAGTGCTTATTTCATACTCTAAACTTAATTGTTAATAATTCTACATGTTACACCCAGGCCCTTCTGAACTGGCTCTATGGGACAGAAGATCACACACAAGTCAGCAAGCAAAGCTTTAACTTTGAACCAAATACACAGTAGTAAGCAATACAATTCAGTAAACACAACTACTTTCTACTGCACAAAAAAACAGGAAATAATTAAATTTCTTATAGACATTTCTTTATTATATTTTCCCACTTGAATAGAGAATAATTTAAATGTAATGCATACTGACAGCAAGCACAGTATCAAATATTAGCTTTTTTAATATTTTTCTTTCCTCACCCTTTATTCCTTTAGGAAAAAAATATTTAGATGACCTCAAAGAAACAATTATTATGCTAATCACAGTATGCAGTAACACAAACAAGCCCAGACTCAATAGAAAAGAAAGCAACAAAGAAGTGAAAAAGTCTTTCTCCTCAAAACATTTTAATTCGTTTTTCCACAGCCATATAAATTTAAAGTATGAAACAACAATAATACAACTATAGAATCTAGGTTCTCTTTCAAAGCAGCGGCATATAAAACATAGAAAAGCTAAAACCTCAGCACAAGCTTCAAAAGAACAAGGACTGAGAGGATTTTGATGAAGACATGAAATGCACAAAATACAGTACACAAAAATACTAGAATGCCATAAAATATAAAGCTACACATTTCAGGTAGAAAGCATTGTAAAATATATAAAATATGCAAGAAATCAAAACCAAAGAGATTTTTCTTAGAGTACCATGAATACACTGGAACTGGCAATTAGCATTTGAAGATGGGAACAAGAAAATAGCAGTTTCCCATTTAAAACTTTATTTCTAGGCTTTAGGATTTCACCTTCTTGACATCCTTCTTTCCAGAGCTCTCAGTAGCTGACTCTGCTTTTCTTTTCTGTGACTAAAATGGAAACAGATTTAATGTTCTGCTCCAATATGCACATTTTAAATGGCCCAACAATGTTAAATCTAGGATGTAAATGCATTAAAAAAAAATTTTAACATGAATATTCACTTAAATGTTATATTCACAGTTAATGTTCTATATAGCCCAACAAACTATATAACCCAATGTAAAATAACCTTCAAAGATGTTTCTTTTTATGAAAAGACATAAAATACCCATCAAAAATAGTCATCAAGTATCTACTTACACATGGTATTATAAATGTACTCTTATCTTAAAGAACTACTTAATGTTTTCTGGGCAAAATTTTGTTTATGAGTATATATTTTTTAAAAAACTTATGATAGGTTTTAACATACCATATTTCATATCTTCTATGATACACATTTCTTTCACATTTTAGCATCTCTGAAATCAGGATGCAACTTACAACTGATGACAAATTACACCTGGCAGCATTTTCCCTCAGTGGTACATAAAATAATGCTGTGTCTTACAATGGAAGGCATCTTAGATTCGATGAAATATGGCAGTTTACTTAACCACACTCAAATAATACGATCTATTAAAGAATATTTTAAATTACAGCTGTACAAAGCAACCTGACTGGATTAAAATCAAGTTATCCTATCAATTCAACAGTTCACTTATTACCAAGCAAAGCTTTGTTGTCTGCTCAGAGTTCCCATTTGTACTCATAATTCCACAAACATCAGAAAACTTACTTGATCAAATCAGAACTCCTAGTTTCAACTTCAGCCCCATCCCATCCCACCCCTACCCCTCTGCTACCCCCATGATAGCTCTAGTCTCAATTCAAAAGATTTCACTTGCATTATACTTCTGTTTAGATTCATGAGGAATTTTTTAAAATACTGAGCCTAGTTACTAGGGAGTTCCTAACCATATGTTCTACAAACAAATAAGAAACATGGTTGTGAAGCAATTCTTCTTCTGTCCAAAACAAATTAGCATTTCATAAAACCAGCTTTTATTAATAGCTATCACTATGGCATTAAACATAATATAGGCATTTTAATTATGTAAAAAAATGGGATCTACCTAAAAGTTAGGAAAATGCTGAAAATTTTACCATTGGAGTTTTAGTTGCCCGTTTCTTCTTTTCTGCTCTCTCTCTTTCCTCAATTTCCATATTTTCTTTCTCAATCAATGAAATCAGAGTGTTACAGCGTCTCTGGAATTCCTAAATGAAGTAATAAAGATTTTTAATTTCTGCAACCCAATCATTATCTTTAAAACGCTGACAACTATTTAACTGTATGATTTCTGTGGTATAGAATTTCCAAAACTGCTATTTTTCAGGACAATATTCACACAGGGTATTAATAGATTCCACCAGAATTAGGAGTGGGGGTAAATGTCATTTATGGATGACTGGTTAAACAAACCATGATACATCCATATCATATAATATTACTCAGCAATAAAAAGGAAAGAACTATTAATACAGTTAACAATCTGAATGAACCTCAAGGGAATTATGCTAAGTAAAAAAAAAAAGCTAATTTCGAAAGGTTACATACCATATTATTCCATTTATATAACATCCTTAAATGACAAAATTATAGAAAGAGAGAACAGATCAATGGTTGCCGGGAGCTAGGGAGAGGAGAGAGGGTAGGTGTGACTGTAAAGAGATAGCACAATGGAGTCTTATGGTGGTGGAGGTTACACAACTCTACACATGACAAAACTGCATTGAACTGCACACACACACACACACACACACACGAGCGCATGTATAACTGATGAAATCTGAACAAGCTCTATAGATTACACGAATGTCAATTTCCTGGTTGTGATATTTTACTATAGTTTTGCAAAATGTTACTATTGGGGAAAACTGGGTGAAGGGTGCATGAGACCTCCCTGTACATTTTCTTTACAACTTTTTGTGAATTTTCTTATTTCAAAATAAAAAGTTAACATAAATCACATAAACAAAAAAAAATAAGGGGATGTTCTATGGTCAAAATAAGTTTTGGAAGTACCCAGTTTACAAAAGTTAAACAGATTTACTTATTACATGGCTTCTCAGAGCCTTTCAGTTCCCTATGTGCACTGTGAACCACTAGGTGGGGCGTACAGGATGCAGCAGTTGTCAAAAATATTTAACCAACAGACTTTCTTCTCACCGGACATCTTGTGGGATCAGAGTTCTGGGGACCACATCACAGGAAACACTGCTGTATTTGTTAATTCAGAGCAAATAATATCTGAAAAGATTTCTACATTAACCTTGCCACTACCTATATTTCACTGTCAGCAAATCAATGCATGCAAACTATAAATACTTTTTACGAATGTATGGTGAACATTAAACATGATTCATTAATACGGAATATCATATATTATTAACCCTGTATACTTTGCTATATTTTAAAGGTAAATAATGGTTTAATATCAAAGGATAAATAATATTTTAAAATATGATTCCTTTTCTGTATAAGCAAAAATGCCTGCCAGAATAGCTAAACACTCAAGTGAAAATGTAGGTTTACTGGCAATTAAGAACAACCCCAACACACACACACACAAATGGTCAAAGTACAGGAATAGAAAACTCACCAAAAAAAAAAAAGTCCAAACATTATAATCAAGTTTCACTGCAACTAATGACCAAAGAAATGCAAAGTAAAACAATGCCATCTTCATCAAATTAGCAATATGTACATGCTTGTGTGCATGTGCACATATATGGTATACATATCTGACATTGACAATAAGATGCTGAAACGGGAACTTTCATTCACTGATGATGAAATGTCAATGCTACTATCTGCTATGGACTGAGGTATGTCTCCGCAAAATTCATCTGAAGCCCTAACCTTCAATGTGACTGTATTTGAAGATGGGGACTTGTGACTGTATTTGAAGATGGGGACTTTAAGGAGGTAATTAAGGTTAAATGAGGTCCTATGGATGGAGCCCTAATCCAATAGGACTGGTGTCCTTGTAAGAAGTGGAAGAGACATCAAAGCTCTCCCTTTCTCTGCACGCACTCCAACAATGGGCCATATGAGAATGCCACGTGCAGAAGGTGGCCATCTGCAAGCCAGGAGGAGAAGCCACACCAGAAACCAGCCCTGCTGGCACCTTGATCTTGAACTTTCAGTCTCCATAATGGTGAGAAAATAAATTCCTGTTGCTTAAGCCACTCAGTCTGTGGCATTCTGTTATGGCAGCCCAAGCTGACTAATACACTACCTTTCTTGAAAGCAAATTTGACATTTCAACGACGGATCTTAAAATTTTCACACCCTTTGACCTAGCAATTCCATTTCCAGAAATGTATTGTAAGGAAATAAGATGTATACAAATATTTACAAAACAATGTTTAGAGCAGTGTTAAACTGGGAACTAACTAAAATTTTGGTAATCTGGAAACAGAATACACAGACACGTATTATTATTATTATATATATACACAGAAATAGCTAAAAGAATATTAACAATAATGTTACTAGTGGTTAACATCGGCTATCCCTAAGAGTAGGACTACTGATAACTTTTATTTTTCTCTTGATACTAGCCTGAATTCTCCAAATTTTCTGCAATGAACATTTAAGTGTTGGGCAATCTGTAACTTTTTAAGAATGGAAAATTGTTTAAAATTCAGTTTTATCTTTCCAAATAAAATCCAAAAAAAATGGCATACAACATAGGAAATGTAAGATACAAAATAAGATCAACTATCCAGGCAAATGAATTTTAGGCTCTAAATGAAACCCAAAAGGAGGCAGAAAACCAGAGTCTAGCCAGAAAAAAATTGCTCATTAATGAATTATTGTTTACCTATTAAAAATACTCTAATGTAACACTGGCATGTTCAAGTTTCTTGTGTATCTTCAATCACCCAGGGTTAAATAATTTAGAAACAATAACTCTGAAATTTTCCTTACTTACCAAAACAATAGTGATATCTTTAGTATGCAGACCAAATATTCTCCATAGCTTCATTCAATAACACACATACAAATTAAACAGCATGTTATTCAATTTACCTATTATAGAAAAGGCTAAGTTGACCCTGATGAGATTTGATCGTTGGTTTCTAGGGAGACTAAATAGAGTCTTTATGTAAAGCTGACTCGTGAATCATTAAGCTATATCCTCTGGCTATTATTATTCTCAATAAGTAATAGTTGCTTGTGACTGGAGATATCTTTAGATATATATTCATGGTTCATGTGGGTGATTCAGAAAAAAAAACTAATACTTTTGAGACAGCCTCCTAAGCAGGGAAGTAGAATACCTCAAAATGAGTATAAATGGACTGTGTAATTAGTTCATACCTTCATTCCTTTTAACCTGTCAATAACTACTCCAGACAGAAAAATAATCTAAGACGCTACAGAAAGACATCAAGGAATGGACAAGTATGGGTGTTACCTTCCTATCACACAGGTCATGTCATGTTCTCTATAGATACCAGCTCCATTTTTTTTTTTTTTTTTTTTTGAGACGGAGTCTCACTCTGTCACCCAGGCTGGAGTGCAGTGGCACGATCTCGGCTCACTGCAAGCTCCATCTCCCGGGTTCACACCATTCTCCTGCCTCAGCCTCCCGAGTAGCTGGGACTACAGGCGCCCGCCACCACACCCGGCTAATTTTTTGTATTTTTAGTAGAGACAGGGTTTCACCATGTTAGCCAGGATGGTCTCGATCTCCTGATCTTGTGATCCACCCACCTTGGCCTCCCAAAGTGCTGGGATTACAGGCGTGAGCCACCACGCCCAGCCTCCATTTTTTTATTCTCATGCTTCATGACTGCCTAACGCAACATAAGTTATCACAAACAGAACACTAGCTAAAACTAGAAGTTAAAAGGAGAAAGGCTAGATTACCAATAAAAAATGACTCATTTATTGAATAAGTGACTATGAAATGACTATGAGAAATTTCATGATGTCAAAAGCACATTCTTTTTCTATAATTTCTCCTTTCATATATTCTCCTAGATTCTTGTACATCTTTATCTTCCTATTTTGTGGGGGATTACAGGGAATTGTTCATAGGACCTCAAACTGTTTCCACAATTGTATAGTCTAGTTATCTCTTTCTCTCACCATTTCCCCACACTGGATTTAAAAATGAAGTTGGAGAAAAACAGCACACAAGAGGAAAAGAGGAGATGCAAAAACAATAAAGACAACAGAAGAGAATAGGAAAATAACAAACGGAAAACTGCTCTGTAGTGTTAATAGCTGTGGCAAAAAATTCCTATGTTCAAATGTGTATGGGAAATGTTGGTTTTTTAAAATGTTACACAAATTTCTTTATGATAGGACTTCTCAGAGCTTTTAGCATTCTAATGCAGAGTGGAAATGTGAATGGCAGGATTCAGTATAATCAGCACGTCCCAACTCTATCTGAACACAGAACTCTTGTTCTGCATATCATCGATTTGCACACCCTGGAACAACGTTTGGTAGAAATCAACTTGGGAAATGTTGCACAGCATGAGTGATGAATACAGCTAAGTTAGGATCAAAGTACAGGCGTATCTCGTTTTACTGCACTTCACTTTACTGAGCTTCATAGATATTGTGCTTTTACAAATTGCACGTCTGTAGCAATCCTACATTGAACAAGTCTATTGGTGCCATTTTTCCAAGAGGATATGTTTACTTCATGTCTCTGTGTCACATGTTGGTAATTCTCACAATATTTCAAAGATCATTATTATTATATCTGTTACGGTGACCTGTGGTCAGTGAGCTTTTATGTTACTATCATAATCATTGTGAGGTACCACGAATCACAACCATATTAGATGGCTAACTTTATTTATAAATGTTGTGTGTATTCTGACCACTCTACCAACCAGCCATTCCCCCAACTCTCTCCCTCCCTCACGCTTCTATTCCCTGAGACAAAATGATATAGAAATTGGGCTAATTATAACTCTAAAATGGCCCCTAGGTGTTCAAATAAAAGGAAACGACTTACTTTAAATCAAAAGCTAGAAATGATTAAGCTTAGTGAGGAAGTTGAGACAGGCCAAAAGCTAGGCCTCTTGAGCTAAACAACTAGCCAAGTTGTGAATGCAAAGGAAACACTCTTGGAGGAAGTTAAAACTGCTACTCCACTGGAAGCATTCCCTATGAAAACCAGCACAAGAGAGAGACAAGGATGCCCTCTCTCCCCACTCCTATTCAACACAGTATTGGAAGTTCTGGCCAGGGCAATCAGGCAAGAGAAAGAAATAAACGGTATTCAAATAGGAAGAAAGGAAGTCAAATTGTCTGTTTGCAGATGACATGATTGTACATTTATAAAACTCCATCGTCTCAGCCCAAAATCTCCTTAAGCTGATAAGCAACTTCAGCAAAGTCTCAGGATACAAAATCTATGTGCAAAAATCACAAGCATTCCTATAAACCAATAATAGACAGAGAGCCAAATCATGAGTGAACTCCAACTCACAATTGCTACCAGGAGAATAAAACACCTAGGAATGCAACTTACAAGGGATGTGAAGGACCTCTTCAAGAAGAACTACAAACCACTCCTCAAGAAAATAAGAGAGGACACAAACAAATAGAAAAACATTCCATGCTCATGGATAGGAAGAATCTATATCGTGAAAATGGCCATACTGCCCAAAGTAATTTATAGATTAAATGCTATCCCCATCAAGCTACCATTGACTTTCTTCACAGAATTAGAAAAAACTACTTTAAATTTCATATGGAACCAAAAAAGAGCCCGTATAGCCAAGACAATCCTAAACAAAAAGAACAAAGCTGGAGGCATCACGCTACCTGACTTCAAACTATACTACAAGGCTACAGTAACCAAAACAGCATGATATTGGTACCAAAACAGATATATAGACCAATGGAACAGAACAGAAGCCTCAGAAATAACACCACACATCTACAACCATCTGATCTTTGACAAACCTGACAAAAACAAGCAATGGGGAAAGGATTCCCTATTTAATAAATGGTGCTGGGAAAACTGGCTAGCCATATGCAGAAAACTGAAACTGGACCCCTTCCTTACACCTTATACAAAAATTAATTCAAGATGGATTAAAGACTTACACGTAAGACCTAAAACCATAAAAACCTTACAAGAAAACCTAGGCAATACCATTCAGGACACAGGCTTGGGCAAAGACTTCGTGAGTAAAACACCAAAAGCAATGGCAACAAAAGCCAAAATTGACAAATGAGATCTAATTAAACTAAAGAGCTTCTACACAGCAAAAGAAACTATCATCAGAGTAAACAGGCAACCTACAGAATGGGAGAAAATCTTTGCAATCTATCCATCTGACAAAGGGCTAATATCCAGAATCTACAACTTAAACAAATTTACAAGAAAAAAACCCAAACAACCCCATTAAAAAGTGGGCGAAGGATATGAACAGACACTTTTTATTATTATTATTATACTTTAAGTTCTAGGGTACATGTGCACAACATGCAGATTTGTTACATATGTATACATGTGCCATGTTGGTGTGCTGCACCCATTAACTCGTCATTTACATTAGGTATATCTCCTAATGCTATCCCTCCCCCCATGAACAGACACTTTTCAAAAGAAGACATTTATGCGGCTAACAAACATAATGAAAAAGAGCTCATCATCACTGGTCATTACAGAAATGCAAATCAAAACCACAATGAAACACCATCTCACACCAGTTAGGGTGGCGATCATTAAAAAGTCAGGAAACAACAGATGCTGGAGAGGATGTGGAGAAATAGGAACGCTTTTACACTGTTGGTGGGAGTGTAAATTAGTTCAACCATTGTGGAAGACAGTGTGGCAATTCCTCAAAGATCTAGAACCAGAAATACCATTGAACCCAGCAATCCCATTACTGAGTATGTACCCAAAGGATTATAAATCATTCTACTCTAAAGACACATGCACATGTATGTTTATTGCAGCACTTTTCACAATAGCAAAGACTTGGAACCAACCCAAATGCCCATCAATGATAGACTGGATAAAGAAAATGTGGCACATATACCCCCATGGAATACTACGCAGTCATAAAAAGGATGAGTTCATGGCCTTTGCAGGGACATAGATGAAGCTGGAAACCATCATTCTCAGCAAACTAACACAGGAACAGAAAACCAAACACTGCATGTTCTCACTCATAAGTGGGAGTTGAACAATGAGAACACATGGACACAAGGAAGGGAACATCACACACTGGGGCCTGTTGGGGGGGTGGGGGACTAGGGGAGGGATAGCATTAGGAGAAATACCTAATGTAGATGCTGGATTGATGGGTGCAGCAAACCACCATGGCACGTGTATACCTATGTAACAAACCTGCACATTCTGCACATGTATCCCAGAACTTAAAGTATAATTTAAAAAAAAAAAGTGCTACTCCACTGAACACACAAGTGATAAGAAAGCCAAACAGCCTTATTGCTGATATGGAGAAAGTTTTAGTGGTCTGGACAGATCAAACCAGCCACAACATTCCCTTAAGCCAAAGCCTCATCCAGAGCAAGATCCTAACTCTTCAATTCTATGAAGGCTGAGAGAGGTAAGGAAGGTGCAGAAGAAAAGTTTAAAGTTGGTGGAGGTTGGTTCATGAAGTTTATAGAAAGATGCTGTTTCCATAACATAAAAGTGCAAGGTGAAACAGCAAGTGCTGATGGAGAAGCTGCAGCAAGTTATCCAGAAAAATCTAGCTAAGATAATTGATGAGGGTGGCCACACTAACCAACGAATTTTCAATGGAGACAAAATACCCTAATATTAGAAGAAGATGCCATCTAGGACTTTCATAACTAGAGAGGAAAAGCGGATGCCCAGCTTCAAAGCTTCAAATGACAGGTTTATTCATTAGGGGCTAAAGCAGCTGGTGACTTTAAATTGAAACCAACGCTCATTTATTATTCTGAAAATCCTAGGGCTCTTAAAAATTATGCTAAATCCACTCTACCTTAGCTCTAGAACTGGAACAACAAAGGCTGGGGTGACAGCACTATTTATAGTATGAAGTATTTATACTTTAAGCCCATGTTGAGACCCTACTCCTCAAAAAAAGATTCCTTTTAAAATATTATTGCTCTTTGACAATGCACCTGGCCACCCAAGAGTTCTGATGGAGATAATGTATAAGGATATTGAGGTTTTTCATGCCTGTTAACACAACATTCATTTACAGCCCATGGATCAAAGAGTAATTCTGACTTTCAAGTCATATTATTTAAGAAATACATTTCATAAGACTATAGCTGCCATAAATAGTGATTACTCTGATGGATCTGGGCAAAGTCAATTGAAAACCTTCTGGAAAGGATTCATCGTTCTAGATGCCATTAAGAACATTCGTGATTTATGGAAGGAAGTCAAAATGCCAATATTAACAAGAGTTTAGAAGAAGGTGATTCCAGTCCTCATGGATGACTTTGAGGGATTCAAGACTTTAGTGGAGGAAGTCACTGCAGATGTGGTGGAAATAGCAAGAGAACTAGAATTAGAAGTGGAGCCTGAAGATGTGACTGAAATGCTGCAATTTCATGATAAAACTTGAGTGGATGAGGAGTTGCTTCTTATGGATGAACAAAGAAAGTGGTTACTTGGGAAGGCATCTACTCCTGGTGAAGATGCTGTGAACATTGTTGAGATGACAACAAAGGATTCAGAATTATACATAAAATTAGTTAATAAAGCTTTGGCAAGATTTGAGGGGACTGACTCCAATTTTGAAAGAAGCTCTACTGTAACATGCTATCAAACAGCATCACATGCCAAAGATAAATCTTTTGTGAAAGGAGGAGTCAATCAATGTGGCACACTTCATTGTTGTCTTCTCTGAAGAAATTGCCACAGCCACCCCAACCTTCAGCAACAACCACCCTGATCAGTCAGCAGCAATTCACACTGAGGCAAGACCATCCACCAGCAAAAAGATTACAACTTGCTAAAGGCTCAGATGACTGTTAACCTTTTTAAGCAATAAAGTATTTTTTAATTAAAGTAAGTACTTTTTCAGACATAATGCTATTGCTCGCCTTATAGACAAAACTTTTATATGCACTGAGAAACCAACAAATTCATGTGACTTGCTTTATTGTGATATTTGCTTTATTGTAGTGTTCTGGAACTGAACCTGAAATATGTCCAGTGTGTGACTGTGTAAAGAAACTGGGAACTAACAACAAAGAACTTAAAAATTTTACTTAATTCCATTGACAAAAGGATCTTATAAACAATTTTTGAGCAGGAGGAGTGATGTAATCAAAAGTGTACTTTGTACTCAGAAATCTTTTCTTGACACAGAGTTCATAAAATCATAAACTCGCAAGATGAGAAAGGAACTTTTAAGTCATTCAGGTTGATGCTTGAATCCCTACTACTAGGTCCTTGCTAATTAGTTGTACAGCCTGTCTGAATTCTTCCAATGATGGAGTACCCACTACCTCACAAGGCTGGCTATTCCAACTTCAGACAAGTTAAAAATGTTCCTCTATGCAAAGCTACAATTTGCTACCTCATGGTTTCCAAAAATTGGTTGTAGGTCTAACTTTTGTAGACATTAGAGAACAAGCTGATTTCCTATTCCATATGACAATCTTTCACATGTTTCAAGGAAGTTCCCATGCCTCAATCACAGTCACCCCTAGGTCCCCAAATACCCCTCTTTAAGGCTAAATATCCTCTCCCTTTATACACCCATCCTTCACTTAACCCTTTTCTTAAAGAATTGCATAACACTTATATCAACCCTTGGTTATAATTCTTTCCACCTTTCTTACACATACTTTTAAGCCAGGTGTTGGTATATTGTTTCAATAAAGAGCCTGATAGCAAATATTTTTGACTTTTGCAGACCACACAATCTCTGTCACAACTATTTAGCTCTGCCATTGTAGCACGAAAACAGCCAAAGACAATACATAAACAAATGTGTGTCCATTTTCCAAGAAAATGTTACTTATGAACCCTAGAATGTGAATTTTGTATCATTTTCACATGTTGCAAAATATCCTTCTTCTTTTGATGTTTTTAGCCACTAAAAAATATAAAAGTCATTCTTTGCTTTCAGGCCACACAAAAACAGGTGGGGGGCCACAGTTTCCAAGTCCTGTTTTAAGCTACAGACTTAGCTTCACTTTAAACAAAATTGTGTTGCCTTGGTTCTCCATACTTTTTTAATGGTTTATGATTCTATTCAATGCAAAGTCACTCAAGTTTCAATTTTTGAATACTAGGATATGTATCTCTACCTTTAATAAATGATGTAATGTTTGCAGTGAGCAGCACTGCCCCTTAGTGTGTGGTGAATATCAATCATCCTGGGCACTAAGTTCAAATATCCTTTGCTCCAATACTCAGCTTCAAAGCTTCAATTCAAAAGGCAGAGAAAGCATCAGTAGACTTGAAGTGACTTATTGAAAGAGATTAAAGAGACTCCACATTACATTTCCTATGTACTAAAATCCTAGACACTAAGCCTACCTAAGTCTGAATGACAGGTCTGCGCCTGTTATGGTTGAAAGTCAAAAGCAGCTGAATGAGCAAGGGCACACAAAAAACTCCACTCCGCATTTGTGCCTCTGAATTTGTAGGTAAAGTTCTATGAGGTCAGAATTTTCTTCTACAGCTCTTAGTAAAACAAAATGGACATTGCTTCACCTTTGCTCTTTTTTAATCGATGTCTTCACCTATACATTCTGCAGTATATTTCCCAGGTTCCTAGTCACTTTTGAATCTCTATCATACTAACGAAAAGCAATGGCAGTCTATACTAGAATGCACACAGGCAGTTATATGAGAGTTAATATTCAAATAAACATATCCTACATTTCACAAACAAGTATTAAATGTTATGATGCTTTTACGTAACTGCTGCTGCTTAAGCATTGCTATTTAGAAAATACTGTATCACTGGGCACAGTGGCTCACACCTGTAATCCCAGCACTTTAGGAGGCTGAGGCGGGCAGATCATGAGGTCAAGAAATCGAGATCATCCGGGCCAACATGGTGAAACCTCATCTCTACTAATAATACAAAAATCAGCTGGGCGTGGTGACACATGCCTGTAGTCCCACCTACTGGGGAGGCTGAGGCAGGAGAATCACTTGATCCCAGGAGGCAGAGGTTGCAGTGAACCGAGATTATGCCACTGCACTCCAGCCTGGCAACAGAGCAAGACTCCGTCTCAAAAAAAGAAAAAAAGAAAATGTTGTTATCACTTCCTCACAAGATAACGCATAAGAATAAATACCTTAAATGAACTCCTGTTAGTGCATTAATTGTATTTCATGTCAGATTGTTACAACAGTTCAAGGTACCAAATCGAACACTATTGCTGCATAATAAAACATATGACATTTATAACTGGCTATTCAAGCTTATGAATAAATAAAAGCTGCAGGGATGATAGCCAAATAAAGTCTAACCTTAGAAAAAGGTAGATTAAAGGAAAAGTAAAATGAACTCCAACCCACTGGCATAATTTGCTCGCATTCTATCCAAATCTGGTCCAACTGTAGGAGTCTATGGGATAGAAGCAAACTTAAATACAACAGTTCTATGCCCATTTATTCACTGAACGCCTACTCTGGGTCACGTGCTATGCTGGTCTCTTTAAATACAACTATTAATAATTGTGGCCGGGCACAGTGGCTCATGCCTGTGATCCTGATACTTTGGGAGGCCGAGGCAGGAGGATTGCTTGAGCCCAGGTGTTCAAGACCAGCCTGGGCAACACAGTGAGACCCCGTCTTCACAAAAACTAAAAAAGCCAGCTGCGTGCAGTGGCACGCACCTGTAGTCCTAGCTACTCAGGAGGCTGAGGTGGGAGGTTCGCTTGAGTCCAGGAATTTGAGGCTTCAGTGACCCATGATCATGCCACTGCACTCCAGCTGGGCAAGAAAAAGACCCTGTTTCAAAAAAAAAATTTAATAAGAAAAGAACATTTTAGTCTTTTAAGTGCATGAGGAGGTAATAAACTCCTAAGTGCATAAATACGTGGTTTTAAATATTTTAATTCTATAGTCAAGAAGAACCCATCAGTACATTTTACAGTTTATTAATTTTACCAATGATGTATTAATTCATATTTTTCATATTCTACTAAGAATGTAATGCTCTAAAATATCAATATTAGGCCGGGCACGGTGTCTCATGCCTGTTATCCCAGCACTTTGGGAGACCGCGAGGTGGGAGGATCACTTGAGGTCAGGAGTTCAAGACCAGCCTGGCCAATATGGTGAAATCCCATCTCTACCAAAAATATTAAAAATTAGCCGGTCGTAGTGATGCGCAACTGTAATCCCTGCTACTCGGGAGGTTGAGGCACGAGAATCACTTGAACCTGGGAGGCGGAGGTTGCAGTGAGCCAAGAAAAAAAAAATTAGCTGTTATCACACAATTAAGTACTAACATGGAAATTAAAAATCATGAGTAGCTGTCTTTCCTTATGAAATTTCCTAGACTACACTCCATAAGCAGCAAATAGAAGTGTTACTGTGACTATAGAACAAGTTGGCAATTTTTTAATTTGACTGTCATTTTTCTAAAGTATCTGTAAAGAAAATCCATTTCTGACTGGACTGATAATTTATAAAATATCCTGTGCTGAACCAATACTAATTAACATTTAATACCTCCTGATAAGCCAAAAACAGGGAAGTTAATAAAGAGCTAAAGCAATATTTTCTAAAAAGTATTTTTTTCCTACAATTCTAATGGAGAATGTCATTTTCTTACCTTTTAAATAGAAAACACTTTCATTTATAATAAAGCTGTGATTTGAAAACAAGCAGTAATAACACAATTTTCATTACATTGTATACCACAGTATGTGATTCTCTTTCTGAGATGCTATCAGAAAAATGCATTGAAACTACTACAAAAGATATGGTAATTGTAATGACTAATTACTAATACTCGGATTCAACTCTAATATATACAAGGCCACAAGCAATGCACACACAGGCTCTTGAGCTGGCTGGAAAAGGAAAAATCTCCCCAGAGGTTAAAAGGTAAGAATTTTTTTTTTAACTAAAATTAAGAGTCAAAGCAGCCCTGCAAATAATGCAATAAATGGTTCTATCAAGAAATGTTCCTTATTTCAGAGAGTTAAATTCTGCTTTTTCTACTTTAAGTACTTAGAAGGACCTAAGAAGGTACAAGGAATTACTGATTGAATTTTGGGTACTCTTTCCACATGTCCTTTGCAGTAAACTGACTAATGTGCTAGATCTTTTGGACTTCTTAGATTCTTCCAGAATCTCCCAGTCACATTTAGTCGTCACTCAATGAACAGAGATACTCTCCTGACATTCATTTCCTAAAAGGAGTGGCAAGAAAATTAAGCTAATGTTGGTAAAGGGATTGGCAAGCATTATATAAAAGGTACTACATAAATACAAAGTATTACTTCCTCTTATGGTTATTTGATAAGGGTCCTTTTAACTCTGATAAGTTTTTGACTATCCTAAGACTATGACCTCATTCTAAGATGGTTTTCTTAGAAAGAAAATGGTAGGGCAATTCATATGCTCTGAGCTTAAAAAGCTAAGTTGATCATATCCTTCCTACTTGTTTATGTAGTTCAATAGAGACTGATTACTTACTTAAAGACCACACAAATTCTCAGAGAAAGAAATCACAATCCTTTTAGCACAGAGAAATTGAACTGAAACTCATTTTCTCTTTTGTATAGCTAGCATTTTTTAATGAAAAAGAGCCTCAAAGAAATCTGCAACCTTTAGCTGAAGGCTTTCAAAGTGAGGCATATTTAGAAGCGGAAGTTCGTGCCTTTATGACTGTTAGTTAAGTCAGGAGCCATGAATTCAGTACTTTGAGATCTCTGAATCAAATATAACTATTAAGGTTTCTACTTTTTATAAGATGCATTTCACACTATTCATGTCTCTGAGAAAGAAAAGAGTCATCTTTAAGCCAGATCGTTTTTAAAGGTATCTTTAGTAAGCTAAGTTCAATCATTAGTAAGATTTTCATTTGAACACAGTGACACACTCACATAATGAATCAAATTACATTCTCTGTAGTTCTAAGATGGGATTTTTCAATGAAACAACTTCTTTGTATTTCAGAAATCACAAGTGCCTCTTTCAAATGGGGCAGTTTCTCTTCCTAGATTGTGAATGTGATTCACTATACAGAAGAGTTACTAAAAATGAAAGGGGGAAAGAAGATCATCAAGAACCATCAATCCATTTCTATAATTTCCTAATTGTTGAAATTATCATGAAATATTCTAAAAAGTTCCAAATGTATGTGTGTTTTAAAATACATTATTTATACTCTAAATCCAGAATTATAAGCAAAAATTATTATAAGCAAAAATTATCCATTAACTAGAAGGGAAATAAAAATTTAATACGATAGAAAAAGTAATAAATAAAACTTTTCAATTAAAATATTTAAATATAAAATAAACTACTGCATGTTTCTGAAGATTGTTCAGAAATAATAAATTCCACTTTCTAGAAGGTAATTGAAGACAGAAATGTCTTCATTTTTAACAGAAAAAGATTTCATTTTATGATCATTTAAATAGTTAATATGTGCTTTTTGGAAAACATAATTGAGATTTACATTTCTCGGTAAAGAAAGAGTACAGAGGTAAATGTTTTGTAAAAAGAAGATGGAAGAAAAACAGATTTTTTACAAGGGAGTTCAGAGACATCTAGTGGTTGATAATATTATACTGGATTTTTTTCTTAGAAAATAAAATAAGGTTATGTAGTTCCACAGTCGTGTTCATATTATAAATAGTGTTAAGATTTTCCTTGCACTTTGAATGTGTTTCGTCCTACTGGTTTAATGATTCCAGAAACTGAAAACAGCATTAAGCTCTCAACCTTTTAAAAAATTAGCAAAATATCACTGAAATAAAAACTCAAAATTCAATAACTGTTCTATCACAGAAAAGGGTATGTATATTCTAAAACATGATTAACTGACAAATGCAGGTAGGCATTTGTCTTCTACAAGCTGTTAGTGGTGCTCTAAATTAAATCATTACATGTATAAAACCCCAAATGGCTAAAAGATTTATCCTGCATGGCTTTTAAAAGGAGTTCTCTGCTAAACATAGTCATAGATTCACTGTGCTAAAGGGGACCTTAAAAGGCCAAGTAACTTACTGCCAATGTCTTCAGAGAGTCAAAATAGAATTCCACTTTCAAAGGCTAATGAAAAGCTATTCTACATTGTTCTTCAATAATCTATTTCAATGATCCAAAGAACTCTATAAAACAACTCTTCCCTATATCCAACCTCAGTCCTTCAAGCTACAGATTACCTCTTTATCTTTTTTATTCTTTTCTTAATTCTTCCTACTGTACCTTGCTAACATATATATCTTTTCATATTCTTTTGTACAAGTATAGCACTTTACATTTATCCCTATTAAATGTCATGTTTGCTGGGCGCGGTGGTTCACGCCTATAATCCCAGCACTTTGGGAGGCTGAGGCAGGTGGATCACATGAGATCAGGAGTTCGAGACCAGCCTGGCCAACATGGTGAAACCCCATCTCTACTAAAAATACAAAAGTTAGCCGGGCGTGGTGCAGGTGCCTGTAATACCAGCTACTCGGGAGGCTGAGACATGAGAATTGCTTGAACCCGGGAGGTGGAGGTTGCAGTGAGCCAAGACTGCACCACTGCACTCCAGCCTGGGTGACAAAGAGTGAAACTCCATCTCAAAATAAATAAATACCTACATACATACAAAAATAAATAAAATAAATAAATGTTGTGTTGCTGGATTCAACTGATCCATCATTCCAACTACTCTAGCTCCTTCTGGATCATGGCTTGGTCTAAAATATTTGCTAGCTCTCCAAGCATACGCCATTCATAAATTTGATGGACATACTCCACACACTCTAAATTTGTGTTAAAGTTTTAACAAATATGTGATCTTCTAAAGCATCTGCCAAAATTAATGTCTTCACTACAGTAACCCAGATTTTTCCTTTCCTTTTATTCAACTTGAACTGAAAATATAAAGTGAGTCAAGCAAAATATTAAGCATTGTTTCACACTCAGTCAACTTTTGGACAAAAAGATATTTATGATAGGTAGCAGCTAAGAAAAATGTATCCTATTTTATGACTAGTCACAAAAACATTGTTTGCATTGTTAGTTTCTGGTTGCTTTTAATTTTTAGGCTGCATAAATCTATTTTGTCTTAATTACCTTGGCTGACAAAAGATTAACAATGCCAACATTAAAAATGTGTTGCATGTATTTCAAAATCATCATGAACACCACTGCTAAGTAGGACTAGAATAGGAACACAATTCACATTAGAAAGTAATGGAGGAAATCACATAAGCTAAAATAAAATATCTCTTCAACTTAAATATTCTGTTTCCTAATAAAAAACTCAACTTAGGCAACAACTCCTTTTCATTAAAAGTCCATCTTTAAGTCATTCGCATAGTCTCAAGCATAACCTGCTTAATTACAAAGGGGAAAACATAACTCTAAAGCGGAGAGCTCTGAAGATCATCACATTAACAAGTGACCAAACTTAGCATCACCAACAGTGTGACAACATGACATAATGTGCCTTCTGATGGGATGCAATAAAAAATACATAACATCACTTCCACAGCACTCTTGCCAAATACGTTGAACCTGAATCTTACAATGAGTAATGAGGTAAATCCACAATGTGGGACATTCTACAAGACAACTAGCCTGGACACCTTTAAAAAGTCATGATCACGAAAACCAAAAGGTTGTGGATTAAAAGAGATTAAAGAGACCCAACAACGAAATGTAATGTGTGAAACTTGCAGGATCATCAATTTTAAAAAAAACAGCTATAAAGGGGGCATTTTGGGGGCAACTGGAAAAGCTTATACATAGACTGTATACTAAATGACATTACTGAATCAATGTTTTCAGGTGGGATTGTGGTTATGTAAGAAAATGTCATTATTCTTAGGAGATACATGCTTAAGTATTTAGAGATGAACACTCACATTGTCTGTAATTTTCAAATGGTTCATAAATATAGTTAAGTATACTTATAAAATATAGATACGCATTTCAGAATATAGAATATAGATGTCCCCGTATTTTTTAATACAAAATATAGATTCTGCACGTATATATAGGTGCTACGTATGTATACACATACACACAGAGAGAGAGAAAGAGAGAGCGCCAATGTGTCAAAATGTTAATTGGAGAATCTAGGTGAAGGATATATGGCATCTGAAATTTTTCAAAATAAAAAGTTGGAGGAAATCGGTAAGAAAGGAATACATACCATGGCAGTCCTAGACTTGATAAACCAGTCAAATCTAAACTGGGGAGCATTTCGTACACACTGTCTTAATTCTTCATATACATTTTCTCTATCAAAGCCCATTTTGTGTAACATACAAATCAAGAATCTATCTTCTTCCTCAGTATAGTTCTTTCCTTTGCTGGTTCCATACTGAATGCGCAACTGATGAAATGGAGCCTTGTATCTTGCAATCTGTGTATTTAAACAAAATAGTGCTTTTAATTGAATGTGCAGTAAGAAGTCAAAGCTGACCACTATTTCAATTAAAACGATCTAATAATAATTTGACATAAAACATAGTACTTTGGCATCCAGGGCTTTCTTGATACTGATCCTTCGTTGAATTCTTGCTTCTCCACGTTCAATTTGAGCCATAATTTTCTCAATGTCCTGTAATTCATTGCAACGTTCCCAAAATACAGCTGAAAAACAGAGTTATTTCTTTAAAATCCTATCATTTAAGCAAATAAATCCAAGGAATTGTAGAATAAGGAATTAATAGGAAAGAATACAATGAGCTTGTACTTCTTAAAATTAAGATTCAGATTAATCTTATATATATAATATGTTAAATTATTAAATACTACTAACTTTTCACTTAAAAATAAGACCTCAAAACAAGGTTTTAGGTTAGCAATTTTCCTTCATGAAATAGTACGGAGTCTTACGATCCATCCCAAATGACTAGGATTTCAAAAGATGATGCAGATACTGATTTAAGCTAGGCTTTTTACTCAAACATGATAGAAAAGGGACCAAACACATAAAGTGACACAGGAGAGAGTAATATATAAACAGTGAATATAGCTTCCTAGCATGCGAAAACAATTATGGGCCAGGCACAGTGGCTCACACTGTAATCCCAGCACTTTGGGAGGCTGAGGTGGGCAGATTGCCTGAGGTTGGGAGTTTGAGACCAGCCTGGCCAACATGGTGAAACCTCATCTCTACTAAAAATACAAAAATTAGCTGCACATGGTGGTGCGTGCCTGTAATCGCAGCTACTCGGGAAGCTGAGGCGGGAGAATTGCTTGAACCCGGAAAGTGGAGGTTGCAGTGAGCCGAGATCGCGCCACTGCACTCCAGCCTGGGCGATTAAGTGAGACTCCATCTCAAAAACAAACAAATAAACAAAAAACCCAAGCTATTATGAACAGGTTGTTCAAATTTTTTTCTATGGAGCAGCCATTTCTCTTGAAATTGTCATTTGCTTTTGGAATCACTCACTAATCATCTTACGGTATTTCCAATGACCAGTAGTGTGTTTTTAAACTTACTTGGAATACCCTTTTCTCATAAAAAAAAAAAAAAAAACCTCATTGGGATTTTAATTGCATACACACTGAAAAACATTCCAAGTCACTCAACCAAATTTTATAGATGAGCCAAATAATCTGGCTGTATTAATATGTCACATGACTTCAATGAAAGGCCTTTTAATGACATACTCCACATCCTCAAGCTTTTCATTTTTAGAGCCTATCAAGAAAGGTATGTGAGCACTCTGATTTTTATAAGCACCTGTGTTCATTTACTCATTCACTCACATATTCATTCAACAAATATTTAAACACTTGCTATGTACAGGATACTGTATATTCATGGGTGGTCAATTGTACACATTTCTTCTCTTACTGTAACCAACTACAACAAACTCATTGCAATCTCCTCACCCTGTGACATGGCCCCCAACCTGGCAGGCAGCAATTAAATAGTCCTGAGCTAGTCATGCCACCTGGCTTGGTGTCAAATTTGAAAGAAAGTCTGACAGGATCATCTTTTTAAATCACATTTTTTTCTTGCAACTTCACATACACCGATGTTATCTCCCTGCCTATCTTCTGAAAAAAATTCTTCTTAAAAATCTCTCTGCACATACCCTTTTACATTCTTTTCATTCAACTCTTGATGCTAAAATTTCTCTCTTCAATCTATTTTTTCCCCTAAGCCTCCAAATGCCCTAAATTTATGTGCTAAATGTTCAGAGTAATAGTAATATCATGCTGGTATGAAGGAAAAGGAAGTTCATATACTTAATGTTATATTATATGTAATAAAAACTCAATACAACTGACCTCTGAAGTCCCCCAGAAGACTCTTTTAGATTTCCAGAAGAAAAAAAAATCTCTCTAATTAAATCTGGATTTCTTCAAGCACTAGCATGCTAGATAAATTAAAAGCTGTTCCTAGCTATTATTAATCTTTAGTATATTTATTGGTACTGTAATGTTTCTTTCCTACTATTGCAAAAACAGAATTTCAGTGGTAGGGTTAAATAGATTTGGGGCAGGGGCTATCATAGAAACTTAAACCTACTTTGTAAACTTAAACCTACTTTGCCATTGTTTCAATGACAAAAAATGCTCTAGATTCTAAACATCTTGTTTCAAATGATAAGTTTAAGAGCTGAACCTATTTGGAAGTTAGAAAAGTCCCATGTACTACATATAGAAAACTTGCTAGACATATTTACCTATTTTTAATAAGATTTCTGGATAGCTAAACACGAAGAGGTTTCGCCCAGGGAGGGCACCAAAGCGCTGCGCCCTCTTGGCCCATACTTTGCCCTACACGCTTCATCTGTATCCTTTACAATACCCTTTATAATAAACCAGTAAGTGTAAAAAAAATCCATATGCTTCAGCAGCTAAACTGATTCTGGTCGAGCTCAACAACACAGGTGAGTAAGAGAGGGAGAGGATTTGAGGACCAGTTAACAGATTGATTAAAGCAATCTTTTCAGCTCTACGCCCGCTAGCCCCAAGTTAATGGGACCCACAGGAACTCTCTGGAATAGGGTGGAACTCTGAGGGTGTTTGAGCATCTAAATGGGCCTGACAGGAACTCTCTACTTTAAGGACGACCTAGAAAGAAAGGCACGAATTCAATCCACTGAATGTGAATCTCAGAACTGAACCAGAAGACCAAATTCCAGAGGTGGGAAGGTGGGAAACTAATTTTGTCAATGCTTATCCAAGAGCCACCCTTGTTTTATCAGAGCTTTATTTGCC
Organism: Homo sapiens; assembly: GCF_000001405.40. Classification (NCBI taxonomy): domain Eukaryota; kingdom Metazoa; phylum Chordata; class Mammalia; order Primates; family Hominidae; genus Homo; species Homo sapiens. The sequence goes on from NC_000023.11 coordinate 129,468,552, forward strand.
TCTTTTAGCTAGGTGATAGAGACAATAGCAGTCAGTTTGTTAGGATAAATCTTATAACCTTTCTTATAACCTTTTCATAGAAATACAATTATAGTTTATACTCTCATCTATGTCTTATTCATAAAAGTTTAAAACATCTCTGAACAAAGGTACAATTAAATTGATGCTAAATAAATGAATAACGTTAAAATACAACACCATGTTTCAAATTATATACAAACCTGAATACTCCATGACCTCCTCAGGGGATTTGCCCTCTACCTCTCGAGCTATGTTATCAATGTCATCTCTTCCATATTTCTCATTAGCTTTAATAAACTGGTTAAAATCTCGTTTAGTCCAGTTTGTGAAACCCTGTGAACAAAAAGTTAAGCATTATCAATAGAGGTTAAATTAATAAATCCATTTATTGCCCTATTTACTTCTATACAATGATACATTAAAAAACACTTTAAAAGACTTAAAATGTTTCTCCTTATAAAATTGCACATATTTTATGTTGGAATCAAAAGTTGAGTGAGAGTTGTTATAGAAATAACTGCTTTTCTATTACAAAGAGAATGTTGATACATAGTTCGAAGATCTGTAGTTTTTAATTTCATATTTTATAGATGCCTACATTAAAATACAAATGCATGAAAATAAAAATGCTAATATAAATGCTGAAGTCGTGATATTCTAGTACTTCAATGATTTTTTTCACAGATCTGTTCCTACATAAATTAAAAGAGAGAAATGTGGATGCACTAAATCAAAAGAACACTGAGGAATAACCAAAAGATAATGCAAAAAAAAATTGTAGCTCTTTACATCATTCTGAACTAGTGTGAATAAATAATTTCTGTTCTAAATTATGTTCATAAATAGAACTTCTACAAGCAGAACGTTATTGGAGCCACTCAATTTCTTTACTAAAACATAAAACACTTTAGCCAGTGTTTTAAATTCCCTTGGCATTATTAGCATGTCTGTGAAGTCACAAGACCAAGAATTTGTCTTCCACTCCTCGAGCCCCAACTCACATAAATGTGATACTCCAGACACTGCAAAACTCTATCCCTGGCTTTTAGTTGATAAAGATTTCAGATGACCCCACATTTTGTTCCTACGTACTGCCATGGTTTTTTGAAAAAGATTAATTATTTAAGGCAGCAGAGAAGGACAAAAATGAATTCATATACTAGGAGAAGCAGAAAACTGATTATATTTCTAATTACAAACTAAAATATTATCTCAGTTGAGACTGTATATTCATGTTATACCGTACATTCACAATATACTCCAAGTCATGTAGCATTCTAAAGCCATAACTTTACTTTTACATTCAGGAAATACATTTTGAAAATAGAACATGAATATTTAAATGTTTTATTTTATTCTGTGGTAAGTTCTAATATTCAGCCATCTGCCATTATATTTTCAAACTAAACTTTATTACTTCCAGGCATTTGGCTCAAAAACTTATGAATGTAATTTGTGAAAATCCATACAATAAAATTACGTTATAGCAAAAAAAACCTATATAATAAATAATATACAAATATAAAAACTATCTTTCAATAATTAACGTGGAGAATTACCTACTACTATGCATCGCACATTGTTCAAAATTTGTTGAATAAATAAATCTTGCTGGCAACCCTCTATACTAAAGTAATGTCCTACGGTACACATTTTGTTTATTTTGCAAGCCTTCTATGCTGAAATTTTTATCTTCTATAGTTTATTTTAGAAGTAGAACACTCGTAAAACTCATGATAGCAATAATGACTTAAAAGCATTAATATTTTGTTCAAATGGAAACCTTCCTAATTTAATAATTGTTATACAATGATCACCTTAAATAATAATAATAATAATAAAAGCTTCAGAAATCTCTCATCATTGTATGAAAATTATAAAAAAAGATAAAAAGAATTTTGAAAATTATGAAATTATTCCATTAATAAAAAATTAGTAGAATATAACTTCAGGAGACAATTCACATCTATAAACAAAAGAAATTTAAATTTTCAAGAATATGTTAATAACAGGCTTGGCACGGTGACTCACACCTGTAGTATCAGTTGCACTTTGGGAGGCCGAGGTGGGTGGATCACTTGAGGTCAGGAGTTTGAGACCAGCCTGGCCAACATGGCAAAACCCCATCTCTACTAAAAACACAAAAATTAGCCAGGCACGGTGGTGGGTGCCTGTAATCCCAGCTACTCGGGAGGCTTGGGCAGGAGAATCACTTGAACCTGGGAGGTGGAGGATACAGTGAGCTCAGATCGCACCACTGCACTCCGGCCTGGGTGACAGAGCGAGACTGTCTCAAAAAACAAAAAAGAATATGTTAATAACTACTGTCTATCAGAATTCAAATGTGGATTCACTGACCTTATTATAATTGGCAAAATGTATGTCAAATTGCTAATACTTGACACTTATATTTTGCATATACATACTATCCACTATTTCCAAAAGGGCATATTCTATAAGATCAATTTTTAAAAATAAGGAGATTTGGTCTAAACATGTTTACAAAATAGCCCTGAGTTTTGTTGGTGTGTCACACTAGGATACTAGGCCCATACAATAAAAAGTGTGATCTATATTTTCTTTTTTTCTATTGATTGACTGTAAGTATTACAGCCATTGAAAATATTTTACTTGTGTGAGAAGTTTTTCCTTTTCTTCAGTCTCTTCTGGTGTAAGAGGTTCAGCTCCATCAATCTTTTTTTGCTCTTCTCTTTGAGCCAGAGCTGGATTTGGGATATCAGGATTCCTTGGAACCTATAAATCAAGAGATAAACTAAGAGTAAACTGATGAGAAAAATTAATTACTAAGGCTGTATATACACATATCAATCTTTAGAGTTATTTCAAGAGTAAACAATATAAAATCATAGCCAGAATGACACACGGTCCTCTCCACATTTCTGCTACCATGATCCTATTGAAGTAAAAACCATTCTTGTGCCACATGATATTCCATAGTTAAAACTCACTGGCAAATGCCACATTAGATTTCAGATATGATTATACCCTGGAACAAAGTCTACCCTTATACTATTGTAATATACAGAACAAACAAAAAGTTTAGTGGTAAAAAACAAAAAAGAATCCATATTCCCCTGGCAACACAGAGCAGAATGGAGAAGTGGCAACGCACCTGAACATTACATCCAACAGTCTGATCAGTTCAACATGCAAAAAGAAAGGAGTGCTTTTATTGCCTGCCAAGGTATGTAAGGGGAGAGAGCATTTTTACATAAAATGGAAAGTTTGGAAAAAGTTAACAGGATAATGAAGAAAAAAGAGGAAACAGAGAATATAAGAGGGAAGGGTATAGTAGAGCACACAAATAGCTATGATAGGACCAGTGGTCAAGGAGGAAAAGACTACAACAGCAGTGACCAACAGAAATCATATATGGTGTTTTGGGTACAGAACTGCAAATACAGTGAAAACTGAGAAGAGAACTTGAGTTCAAAAGATAAGGACAGAAGCTCAGCTCTCCAAGAAAGCAAGTTGTCACCTGTATCTCAAAACTGTAGCCTGCAGAGCCTCAGTGTATCACAGTGAGCATATATAACCAATGTGGTTCAGCAGTATGGGGCTGAACTATACTGTGTGTATGGAGGAACAAATGAAGTCTCTCAGCCTAAAGCCTGATACCATCGCTATGTGCATCTGCAGCTACAAGGAAGCACATTGATTTAAGAGGGCAAGTACATAACATGTGTACTACACTTTATAGCATTCCATTAAACATGAAAATAAAAGGGCTGGCAGTAAGCCTTCCACTGCTTGAAATGCACACATGACTCATTCCCTAGGGGCATCAGGTAGTCATGGTTTTACTACCCTGTAATTATAATACACATTAGAGTGCATTTTTCTCATTGTTATATGTATTTCATAGAGTTTGGAACTATATCATTGTAACTTAAAAGTAACTTAAAAATTAACTATTAAGTACAATAGTTCTTCAGGTATAAAACCTAACTGAGCATTAAAAAGAAATACTGAGAAATTAGATTCACTTGTAATCATCAGTATCAGGCAATCAAATTAGCAGGTATTGACTAAATGTCTATTATGTTTGTAGAACTATGATAAGTATTGATTGGAATATAAGCATAGGTTTTATCCCTTATCCCAAATGTTTCAGACCAGAAGTGTTTCAGATTTCAGATTTTTGGGGGTTTTGGAATATTTGCATTATACTTATCTGTTGAGCATTTCTAACTTGAGAATCCGAAATCCAAAAAATGCTCCAATGAGCAGCATTTCCTTTGGACGCAATGTCAGAGCTCAAAAAGTTTTGGATTTTGGAACATGTCAGATTTCAGATTTTTGAATGAGGGAAACTCTACCTATATTAGATATGGTCCTTGCCCACAAGGAGCTCACAAACTAGTTGTGGAATTATGAGCTGTACCTTAAGAACTCTAAGGATCTAGGGAGATGGAGAAGGAAGAAAGAATATTCTAGGCTAGGGGTATGAGCAAAAGCATGAAGGCAGAAATGTGCAGGAAGGCGCATATGGGGTTTATGTTGAAAAGAGATAAGAAACAAGGAAGGGTAGAGACAGATTTACAGGGTCTTGACACTACACAGAAGGTGCTGCAGACTTTTGAACAAGGGAGTAAAGTGTCAAAATGTAGTGTTTTCACCCGGAAGCCTTTTGCTGAATGGACTGAAGTGGGGCAGCGACTAACAGGTAAGAGAACCTGCTCTACTATCATAATCTAGAAATGACGCATGATCATCTGGACTAGGATGGTGGCAAATGGAAATGGAAAAGGTGTACATTTAAAATGAAATGTAGCCCAGTCATAGCATGATTAAAAACAACTTCTCTTCAGTAGCTAAACCCAATGTTAAAATTACAGGCATACCAGCAATTCCATTCCTAAGTATTTACCCAAAGAAAGGAAAATGTATCTATACAAAGACTTTGACAAGATTGTTCACAGCAGCTTTACTCATCATAGCCAAAAGCCAGAAAACAGCCCAGATGACCATCAAGAGAATGAATAAGCAAACTGTGGCCTATCCATACAATGGAATAGGTGTTCCACAATCAAAAGGAAGGAGCCACATAGATACATGGGACAACATGGCTGAATCTCTAAAACATTATGCTAAGTGAAACAAGCCTTATACATATTGTATGATTCCATTTATGTGAAATTCTAGAACAAAAATTTAAAAACCTAATCTATGGAGGGAAAGATCAGAACAGTGGTTGCCTCTGAGGAGTGCATATGGTCACTGGGAAAAGGCACTTTCTGGGGTGACAGAAATGGTCTATATCTTTATAGGAGGAGTTCGAGTTACATAAGTGTATGCACTTGTGAAAAAACATTGAATGGTACACTTAAGGTTTATATATTTCACTCTATGTAAATGTTACTTTAAAAAATCATAAACAAAATATGACTCTGGATAATGACATGCATGTTGAAGTGTTTCTGGGTAAAATGTACTTATGTCTGCAACTTTGAGATGCATAATAATAAGATAAATATCCGTATGATAGAGGGCCAGAGAAATGGAAAAATCGGTGAAAAAGCAAATACCATAAGATGTAAATTGTCAAACATATGTGGGGTATATATGGGTGTTCACTGTACAATTATTTCAACATTTTTGTATTTTTAAAAATCCTTCATAATGTTTTTTTAAAAGTACAGATACAGTTTTAAAAGTTAATAGACCCCTTAAATTGCTGGTATGTGAAATTACTTTGGTTTCAAATTTTAATTTTAATTGAAAGAAACCTCTTTGATCTTAAGATATCCTTCTCTTAAACATTTTCAAAATTTCCATGTCCAACAAACCATATTTTTAACAAAATGAAAATATTTTATAAACATCCAATTCATGACAGAAAATAAATATACCCACATAAAATAAAATAAAACTGTTTATTCCCATGCAGACATCCCCATACTAAAAACTTCCCCTTTCAACTTCTAATAAAAGCAAAATCAGAATATTTTATAAAACCATTAGATTTTAGAATCCACTGCAATTTATTCTATATCCAGTGGTCATATTAATTAACATAGCAAAACAAGAATGACTTCATGAAAGCTATGTTTGCTATTTTAATTCTAGAAATTACTCAAATAGCTGCTAAAATGTTTAGAATTAGAAAAGGCTCAAAGTTTCTAAATTCCTGTATCTCCCTCCTGATATGGTTTGGCTGTGTCCCCACCCAAATTTCATCTTAAATTGTAGCTCCCACAATTCCCATGTGTCATGGGAAGGACCCAGTGAGAGGTAATTGAATCATGGGGGCAGGTCTTTCCCATGCTGTTCTCGTGATAGTGAATAATTCTCATGAGATCTGATGGTGTTACAAAGAGGAATTCCCCTGCACAAGTTCTCTCTTCCCTTCTAACATGGAGGACCTGACTTGCTCCTCCTTGCCTTCCACCATGATTGTGAGGCCCCCGAGTCATGTGGAACTGTGAGTCAATTAAATCTCTTTTCTTTATAAATTACCCAGTCCCGGGTATGTCCTCATCAGCAGTGTGAAAACAGACTAATACACCTCCTATAAAAAAAAACCTTAATAGTCATCATTTTAATAAGACATACATTTTTTTTTTTTTACCTCATGAGGTTCGTATCAGCATTAAGCTTCCTGGAATGATTTCAAAGTACTACATTATGAATTAAGCAGATAGGCCAGGCACGGTGGCTCACACTTGTAATCCCAGCACTTTGGGAGGTCAAGGCGGGTGGATCACCTGAGGTCAGGAGTTCAAGACCAGCCTGGCCAACATGATGAAACCCCGTCTCTCCTAAAAATATAAAAACTAGCCGGGCGTGGTAATGGGTACCTGTAATCCCAGCTACTCGGGAGGCTAAGGAAGGAGAATTGCTTGAACCCAGGAGATGGAGGTTGCAGTGAGCTGACACAGTGCCACTGCACTCCAGCCTCAGCAAGAGAGTGAGACTCCGTCTCAAAAGAAAAAAAAAGAATTAAGCAGACAAATTACAGACCAATAGTACTGAACAGATACCCAGGAGGTATTTAAAGTCCTCATACTCTATGTCTCATTATGATCTCCAGCAACACAATATATAAAATGTTATCTTTCTAAAGTAAAAATCTCAATTATTATTTGGATTTCTACTCAGATGCTAAGGAATTTGTGATTAAGAAATGTATTCCATGAAGTAGTGAAAAACTTTTTTTGGCCTTGTTTCTTAGGAGGAGTTTAGCAAGCATTGCATAGGAAATATGGAGTACTGAATTAAATGTGACACCACACAAAATAAAAGCAGTAACCTGAAATCAGCTCACCATTATTTTAGTTCTACCACTGAAAAAGTAGGTGGCCCACAATGACACATTACCAAAACTCACAAAGATTATGGAACTTCCTCCATTTGTCAAATGTTTATATTTGTCCCTAAAGAATTTTTTATTGGGGATAAATGTTAGAATGTTCTATAGCTTTCTTTAGCTTCGAATGTGGCAAAACTCTTGCATTCCAGGTTTTAGACTCAATGGAACGTCCAGATATTCTGGATTTTTTATGCTGTAATTGAAATTTCAATTAAGTCGTCCTCTTCCAATATAAAGGTTTTAGTGACCAAGTGATTGCATGCATTAAATAACAACTCCTTTAAGTCGAAAGAGCAATGCAGCTTTTGAATATGCCTAAGGTCAAAGCTTAGATAGCAGCAAGAATGGGCACATTATGTACTGCTGTCCACCACGTGGTTAGGGCGAAACAAATACTTCTCTCACCTTCAAATAAAACAAAACTCTTTAACTCCAGATCTTATTATCAGCAATATTGCTGTGACCTTGTGCTGAATATGAGGGAGGGAAAGGGGGAGAAAAACAGAAAATAAAAATGCAAATAACCAGGAAGTACAAGGAAACCACTCTCTACCAACTGCTTCAAAACTTGTGGGCCCTTCACTAGCCCCACTCCAAATCACAACAGAATAAGCCTTTGGAGACTCAACATAGATAAAACGTAACCATGAACCACAGTGCCCCCAGCTATGGGCATCACCTATCTCCCCTTGGCTAACAATCCTTTAGGCAGAAAAGGGGGAAAGAGTCCCTTTTTGAGAATCTGTGTACACAGAATACCAGGTAACTCCACTAAAGCAATTTTGTTTTGTTCATTTGAGGATAAACTAGTGCTCTATTTACTTTGTGGCCCTGATGAGTTTTCTGAAGGTGCAAGGGGGAAATAAAGCAATGCTAGCTATGCCTTGAGAAGATATGTCTAACGGTTATATATCACATCATCCTTAAAAGGGAGCTTTTTAAGATGATTAACATGCCTGCTGATCTGTCTATTCTCTGAACTCAAACAAAAAACCACCCAATTAAAGAACCCACCTTAGCTCAGGTCCATAGTTCCTAGTAAAGAATGGAAGAGACAAGGTCCAGAAAGAACAAATATCCAGAATGTATTCTTATTTGTCACCTAAATCCTCAGCTAAGCATGCATAAGGAGGATCAAGGCAAGTCTTAAGACAATACAGAAGCAATCTAGGATACGGCTGAAGAGAGTCCAAGGCTAGGAGTAGAGTAGTAGGGGATTGGTTCTCCTTCCACCACCACCACTGCAGTCCAAGTGGCCACCATCTTCTCTCATTTTGATACTTCAACAGCCTCCTGGCTGGTTTCCCTAGATAAACCTGCCATTCTCTGCATCGCAGCCAAAGTGATCTTTTAAAAATGTAAATCTGGGCTGGGCGTGGCGGCTCACACCTGTAATCCCAGCACTTTGGGAGGCCAAGGCAGGTAGGTCAAGAGATCAAGAAATCCAGACCATCCTGGCCAACATGGTAAAACCCCATCTCTACTAAAAATACAAAAATTAGCTGGGCGTAGTGGCATGCACCTGTAGTCCCAGCTACTTGGGAGGCTGAGGCAGGAGAATCAATCCCTTGAACCCGGGAGGCAGAGGTTACAGTGAGCCAAGATCACGCCACTGCACTCCAGCCTGGTGACAAAGTGAGACTCTGTCTCAAAAAAAAATTGTAAATCTGATCATAATTTACCATTTATAAGTTGTATGACCCTGAGCAAATTATTCAGGGCAAATGACTCAACCTCTCTATGCTTCAGTTTCCTCATCTGTAAAATAAGGATGTAGTTCAAAGGCTGTTAGGAGGATAATGAGCTAACATTTACAAATAACTTGAACAATAAGTAACACATGTAAGGACTAAGTATCTGCTATTAGTATTACTTTACCACCCACCCACCCACCTCCCTGCCTTAAAAACATCTCAGTGGGTTTCCTTTACTCTAAAGCTAAAGTTCAACCTCATTAATATGACCTACAAAGCCCTCCATATGATTTGACTCTACCCACTCACCAGCCTCATCTCAAGTCACCCTGTGTCTCACCAGTCCCTAACAACACTGGCTTTCTTAAAGCTCCCAAAAGGAGTCATCCTCCTTCCCACCTCAAGACCTTTGCATATGAGGTGCCACCTGCCTCAGCTTTTCTCTCCCACACTTCACTTAGCTCATTCACATCTCTGGAAACTCAGCTTAAATGACATTTCCTTAGGGAACACTTCCCTGATCTCCCAGTCCACATGAGATACCCATGTTATACTCCCTCATTAGCACCCCTTGTAAGCACAGAACCACACAAATGCCACCACCATTACATTGTAGTATCTAATGCCTATCTCCTCTATTAGAATGTAAGCTCCATGAGATGAAAGACTTTGTCTTATTCACTGCTTTATCCCAAGTACTTGGCCCAGTACCTGGCACAAAGGATTGCTCAATAAATAGGTATTACACTTTAAAAAAAGGTCCTCCTTTTACTCTTTTTCCCTCTCCTCTTGCTTCTTTCAGGGAAGTGAGGAAGAGCAAACAATAAGGTGCAATAGCACGAATTCCATGCCATCTCCCCTCTCCCTATTCATCCCTTTCCTCTATTCTTATACCTCTCCTCCTCCCCTTCCTTTCTACCACCCTTAACAGCTGTCCCTTCATTCCTCCATCTTCTGAGGTTTCCTCTCTTCTCCATCTCCTTCCAGCTGGCCACCACCCAAAGAGTCACTGTAAGACTTCACCCCTAACCACAAACTGCCTGTAATGAAAGGCACTGTTTATATTCAAACCAGACCGGTGGCCAGAATGTGGTGGTCACTGTAAATTATCATGGGGAACAAAATTTCAGTATCTCCAAAGAAGGAGCATAAAGTTATATCAGAGATGATTTTTTTAATTGTTGCTACTTGACTACCACTTGGCCCAACTCCCAAATGTCATGCCACACCATTGTAAACACAGTCCTTATTTAGGACTGCAGAAAGAAGCAGGGTTACATCGCATGCAGAAAGAGCCCAGAACGTCTGAGCGGAACGAATAGAACATCTGAATACTGAGAAACTGGTTGTGAGACCAGGACCCATGGCAACCCTGTTAGTTCCATGATCTTGAACAAGGTCATTTAACCTCTCTGAACTTCAGTTTCCTCACCTATTAAATGGAGATGATAATAACACCTACTTCATGAGGTTGTTAGGAATCAACGACCTCAGTATGTGTTAAAGCACTTTGTAAATTATAAAATGTTCTATGCAAATATTTGATTTATTACTGAGGTCTAACATTTCAATTAATTCTCCTTTCAAGTCTCACTAACAACAGTTAATGAACGTAACAGAAAATAATATTCTAAACCTCAAATTATTATAAACCTTAATGAGATGATATGTATTTGTTTACCTCACAAGATAACTACTTCATTATTAAACAATTAATAATTATTGTTAATAATTATCATTAATTTTCCTATTTTTATTTTATATTTGAACCTATAACTTACCTGTTTCTTCTGGTGTATCACTGTTTTCACTTTCTTTGAAACTAGTTTTATGTCTTATATGAATGTTCACCCTAGAGATCTACTCTAGTTCCAAAATATAATGAGTTAAGATATAAGTATCTTATATACATGGAGCTTTTCTAGGCACATTCCAGCTACTAATTAAAATAATGGGTCACAGTTCCAGTTGTGACAAAGGTTTACAAAATAAAATTTAAAACACAGCTGTTAATTCATAAAACAGAACACTTCATAAAATTAAAATAGTGTTAATATTTTATTTTATTTTATTTTATTTTATTTTATTTTATTTTATTTTATTTTATTTTATTTTTGGGACAGAGTCTCCCTCTGTCGCCCAGGCTGGAGTGCAGTGGCGCGATCTCAGCTCACTGCAACCTTCACCTCCCAGGATCAAGCGATTCTCCTGCCTCAGCCTCCCGAGTAGCTGGGATTATAGGCGCTTGCCACCGCACCCAGCTAATTTTTGCATTTTTAGTAGAGACGGGGTTTTGCCATGTTGGCAAGGCTGGTCTCATACTCCTGACCTCAACTGATCCTTCTGCCTCGGCCTCCCAAAGTGCTGGGATTACAGGCATGAGCCACTGCACCCGGCCAGTATTTTATAATTTTTTAATGTTAGTGATTATTATACCTTTGGTCATCTCTCTCCATTCACTAGGAAGTCAATTTCAACATACAGAAATTACCTGGTATGCTTACTCTCCCAATATGACAGATTTAGTGTGACAAATATTAAATTTCACTCATGAAAACTAGGATTCTATCTACCTATATAAATAAGAATTCCAAATACCAAAAGATCATTTTAAAATTGTATAATTCACTATCATGTTTATCATTATCTTTAACACCTAAGTGACTACAATCTACTAACCACCAGCAAGGCTTTCAGCAACGTATAGGCAATAAAGACAGAAATACTATTTCTTGGACCTATTAAGGAAATGATCAAAAATTTCCTATCATATATTAACATTCGCTTTTAACCGCATACCTATTGTTCTCTCTACATATTCTTTAACTATTCAAACACTGGCATTATAAAAATAATGTTATTACTATTTCAAAATATTGCATAATTCTTCATTAATCTCATTTAGTGATGACTGTACTGGTGATTCAGTGGTTAGATGTTTTACATCTAGTTAAACTTCCTCTTTGGTTTTAAAAACATCACTGTTGTGATTTGCTGTCACATTCTCTCAAATTAAAATGCAACACCTTCTAGTCTAGATTAACAGATTAAATTATTTTTAAAGATTATATTATATTAATCTTAAAAAATGGAAAAAATACCTTATAGCCTATTGTCTTCCGATAATAAAGAATTTCCTTTTCCAGGAGCTCAAATAAGCGTGGTGGGAAAAATTGAAAATCCTGAACATTTGGCTGTTTTGGAGGCCGTGGAGCCTATGAGGGAGGAAAATGTATTATATATACTTCTTTTCAGTACATGAAGTAAACTTACTTATCTTTTACTATTTCTGTGATATATGGAACAATAAATACAATAAAATCCATTTATATGGCTGGGCCAAATCAGATACTTTTTTGTACTGTTATATTTTAGAGACTATGATTTGGCAATGATACAAGTAAATCTGACCCATAGATCATGTTGCAACAGAAATCTACTTTAGGACATAAAAACTGGCCTTGTACAGTTTTACCTTTGGAATCTTTGGCTCGCTGACACGCAAAGCCTCTCTAAAGTAGGCATCCACTGCGTAGTTTGCTTTGCGTTCTCGTTTAGGAGGTTCAATCCATTCCACCATGCCAAGCTATACACAACAAACAACAACAAGGGGTTTAATGACTCCAAACAACAGTTTTATCAAAATCAAGTACATCGAGGCTGCAGAAACATAAGGAAGCAAAAGCCATCAGGAAGAATCAAAACTTGCCTTATAAATCACAATTTACCTCCAAAGTTCCAAAACATAGTGGTACACCAAGTTTAGATGCAAAGACAGTTTTCTTTATTTTTATTTGAAAGTAGCTTTTAAAGTTAGTTCTTCCTTGGTGATTGAGAAGAATCTGTACAATCTGGTTTTTTTTGGTCAAATTAAATAAATAAAAGGTAGCTAATATAGACGGAAGAGTAACATTGACTGTGGTAACTGTAATACGTGCATGAATTAGAAGACATTTATGCAGCCAAAAAACACATGAAAAAATGCTCATCATCACTGGCCATCAGAGAAATGCAAATCAAAACCACAATGAGATACCATCTCACACCAGTTAGAATGGCAATCATTGAAAAGTCAGGAAACAACAGGTGCTGGAGAGGATGTGGGGAAATAGGAACACTTTTACACTGTTGGTGGGACTGTAACTAGTTCAACCCTTGTGGAAGTCAGTGTGGCGATTCCTCAGGGATCTAGAACTAGAAATACCATTTGACCCAGCCATCCCATTACTAGGTATATACCCAAAGGAATATAAATCTTGCTGCTATGAAGACACATGCACACATATGTTTATTGTGGCATTATTCACAATAGCAAAGACTTGGAACCAACCCAAATGTCCAACAATGATAGACTGGATTAAGAAAATGTGGCACATATACACCATGGAATACTATGCAGCCATAAAAAATGATGAGTTCATGTCCTTTGTAGGGACATGGATGAAATTGGAAATCATCATTCTCAGTAAACTATCGCAAGAACAAAAAACCAAACACCGCATATTCTCACTCATAGGTGGGAATTGAACAATGAGATCACATGGACACAGGAAGGGGAATATCACACTCTGGGGACTGTTGTGGGGTGGGGGGAGGGGGGAGGGATAGCATTGGGAGATATACCTAATGCTAAATGACGAGTTAGTGGGTGCAGCGCACCAGCATGGCACATGTATACATATGTAACTAACCTGCACAATGTGCACATGTACCCTAAAACTTAAAGTATAATTTAAAAAAATTTAAAAAAGAAGAAAAAAAAGAAAGAAACAGATGAAAGGGGTAAATAATAAATGTCAACATGATAAGCATATATCCCTTCAAATCAAGAGAAATATTCAAATGAGACCTTCTGGAAACACAGGTATGGCAGAGTTGGAAAAGTGGTGGAAACAGAAAGACCAGGATTCTGCTACTTCACTAGTTATATAACTTTGGGGAAATTATTTTTTTCCACCTGCAAAATGAGAATAATAATACTTACCTTGAGGATTACATATGATCATATATGTGAAAGCATTAAGTAAACTGCCAAGAGTTAAATGCAAGATATTATTAAACATCCAAAGTAGCATCAACCATGATTTGGCAGCATTACCAATTTTACCCTATTATCAGCTAGAAAATATAATTTAACAGTCAACAGACAAAACTGACACTACAATGTTCTGGAGTCTGAGAAATGGCTTCCTAATTCATATTTTTCTTTATTTCTGTCCTTAGCCTAGTATCTTTACATAAAAGGGGGCATTAATCCACCATTAGTTGTCTCACTCTACTTGATCTAATCTAAGGGCTGAATTCCAACCTTGGCATCGTATTTTAAGAGTGGATAATAAACCAAGATGACCAGTATGGTTAGAGATCTACAAATTCTCACAGTGTCTAGAGAAGTAATGACTAAAGACAGACACAACGGTGACATTCGCATATGAAAGTCTATCAAATAGAAAAGAACACAGTCCTTCATTGATCCATAAGATTAAAATCAATGTGGAAAGTTAGAGAAAGTAGATGGCTACTCAATATAATTTAACTATTCATTAATTACCTACTGTATTATGTGCAAGTCAGTGTCAGTGATATACACATGAATAAAATAATCTCTTTCATCAAGGAACTTGTAACTCAAATAAAAAGTTTTCTGAGAACCAGAGAATATAAAACAGTGAAACAAACTACCCTGAGAGGGATAAGATTCCCAACACTACAGTGTTCAGAGGCTGCATATCTGTCTTGGATGCTAAAGATGAGATTTCTTAATTACAAGAAACTTAACATAAATGACCTTCTAACTCTAAGAGCCTGAGATACCGATATTATAATGAGATTATTAAGTAAAATGAGAAATTCCCACAGCAATGAAACAAATTTCGCTTTTCCTTCAGATGGATTAATGTGAAGCGACAGTAATGAAAGAGATATTTTATAAATAACCAATATTTTATCTTTCTCAATTGGAGTAAAAATAAATTAATAATAATTTAAACCAACATTCTACAAGTGATGTATTTAGCTATTTAACCTATACTTGTTTGATGGTCTAGGCATTCAAATTTGAAACAAACATTGAAGGCCAATTCCTCAACTTTCAAAAAAAAGAATAAATCATACCGAATTAGTTTACTTTACATAAGAGTACATTAATGCTAACTTATCTGGGTTAATTTATTCAGGATCACAGCCATCATGATTTAATTTACCAGGTATGGTTGTAAAAGTAATGCAACTGATTCAACAAACCATATATGAAAATCTACCTCAATGTATAGTTTCCATGATTTAAAAATGATATTCTTTCAAGTTTTCACTTCTCCTCAAAAGATAATTTAAACCTATTTTAAGAACCTATCTAGAAAACACAAAGAGGCAGAAATAAAATATAATCTCAGCTCAGAATATTCAGAAAAAAATGTGATTCTGGACACCACTGTTACTGTCAGACATTTAATTATAAAAATACAAGTCATCATGGTTATTAAAATTCTCTTTACGCATCATTACTTTGCTAAAATTAGAAGCACAAGGAAACCAGTTACAGATAGCCAAGTATTTTACTAATTTTTCTCTAAAAATGTGGATAAGAAGCTCCACTGGTATTTAGACTTCATTGTTTAAAATTTTTCCACTTCATAAAACACTCCTATTATCCATAAGTCTGCAGGAATAATTGTAAAATTAATAAAACTTATATCACATAATGAGATCTCAAAAGCATATTAGAAAGGCAATTTCCACCCTGTGCAGATAGGCCATCACCTCCATCTCAGCAGGATAAAATATAAGCCGTCTAAGTGAAGATTAGAGATAGGACAACCTGACAAATACAAATCAAGAAACTAAAAGCTATCAGAAGCAGTAACAGAAACAAAGCATTATCAGCATACTAGCTACAGTGCAAAACCAAAATGTCTCACCTCTCATTTTTCAGTAAAATAAGTACCTAAGAATGAGCTTTTTTATTTTAAGAAAATTCATTTCTGTCAGTTCAAAAATATAACAGCTTTATAGAGCAATTTGAGCAACAAAATATATAAAGATAGAACTGGATTATAACTCAAAACATCCATGAGTCCATACTGATATAAATAAATAACTGAAGACACAAATAAATTGGGGAGAAGGGGTAGATCTTCCACACAGAAAAATATCAATTAATAAATACATATAGATGGAATGAAGAAAATACAAAATTACCATTAGGCAAACACCACAATAATAACTACTGCAGGCAAGCTCCACCAGTACATGCTAAAATCAGTGAGTAAAAGTCTGAGAAAGATCTCCCCACAAGGTATTTATCAATTACAGAGGGAAAAATGGCAGACAATGTATTGGAAAGCCTGGATTACCAGGCAGAAGCCTGCCACAGGGGCGCTGCCCTGTGGAGCGACTCTACTAAGGCAATGCTGAGTGGAAATGTGAGGTTGGAACTCCTACACAAAGTCCCCAACAAGGGCACTGCCTAGTGGAATTGGGGGTGTTGCAGGGACCCTAGAATTACAGAGCCACCAGCATCAAGCAACTCCTATCTGGAAAAGCTGCAGGCACCATACTCTAATTCATGAGAACAGCCACGTGGGCTGTACCCAGCAAAGCCCTGGAGGCAGGGCTGCCCAAGGGCTCGGGACCCCATTTCTCACACTAGTGTGCCCAGGATGGGGGAAACAGAGTCAAGGGAGATCATTTTGGAGCTTTAATGCTGGGTTTTGGACTTGCATGGGGCTTGGTACCCCTCTCATTAGGCTGATTTATCCCTTTCAGAATGGAAATGTTTACCCAATGCCTATATAACCATTGTATCTTAGAAATAAATATCTTGTTTTTGGTTTTATAGGCTCACAGCTGTAAGGAACTTGCATTGAGACTGAGATGAGACTTTGGACTTTTTAGCTGATGCTGGAACAAATTAAGACTTTTGAGGACCATTGGGATGGAATGATTATAATCTGCAATGTGAGAAGGGCATGAGATTTGGGAGGCCAGGGGCAGAATGCTATAGTTTGGATATGTTTGTCCTCCAAATCTCACATGGAAATTTGATCCCCAGTGTTGGAGGTGGGGCCCAATAGGAAGTGTTTGGGTCATAGGGGCAGATCTCTCATGAAGGGCTTGGTGTAGTCCTCGAGGTAATGAGTGAGTTCTCTCATTCTATTAGTTCCTGACAAAGAGCCTAGCATTTCCCTCCTCTCTCTGGTACTGTCTCTCTCTCTCTGTCTCTGCCATGTGGTCTCTGCACACACCAGCTCTCCTTTGCCTTCTGCCATAAGTGAAAGCAGGCTGAGGCCCTCACCAGAAGCAGATGTTGATACCATGCTTCTCTTACAGCCTGTAGAACCATGAGCCAAATAAACCTCTTTTCTTTATAAACTACCAAGCCTCAGGTATCCCTTTACAGCAACACAAATGTGCTAAGACAGTAGATATACCAGTTACCCTGATTTGATCATTACACATTGTATATATGTAACAAAATATCACTCTGTATCCCATAAATATGTACAATTAGTATGTGTCAACTAAAAATAGAAGGAAAAAATAATAAAGTCTATTTTTTTAAAAATGCACTGTGGGATACTAGATTAGATCCCCTGGAATCTAACACCAGTTAATTAGATAATTAACCAATGTCCTTTTCCTGGCACAGGAAAGGACATTAGGAGAAAAACTGGTGTTAATTTCCTGGTTGTGATCATTATACTAACATGTAAATTGTTAATATTAGGGGAAGCTGAGTGAAGGCTATAGGTTAGCTCTGTACTATTTTTACAACTATTTTGTAAGTCTAAAGTAATTTAAAAATAAAAAGTTTTAAAATCTCAGCCTTAATTTCAGTTTAAAAAACAAGATAAATAAAACCCCCATTTCTTCAACAGACCACATGTAACAAAGTCCTTCTGCATTTAAGTAACTAAATGTTACTAATATTATTATTCATACAGTTAACATTAAGTGTCAGGCATTATTCTAATAACTTTATGAGTATTAACTCATTTCATCATCAGAATCCCTCTATGATGTAACTATTATAACCTCCATTTGATAAATGAGAAAATTGAGAATACCCAGAGTCACTTAATTAGTGACAAGAGTTGAGATTTCAGCTCCAGAATTCAGGAATTCAACCTCAATCCTACACTGCTTCTCAATAACAAAAGTAGTACTAAGCAGTAGTAGTAGTAGTAGCAGCAGCAGCAGCAACAGCAAAAATTGATGATGATGATGATGATGATGATGACGACGACGACGATAAACCAATAAAATAAACGAAAGATATACCTTGCATGAGATATTTAGACCTATATCAAATTTCACTCTAGAGCAGGGTATTATAATAGGTAAGTGCCAGTGTTATTTTATAATTGTTATGGGGAGAAATGCTCATTTGAGGGTCTAATGGTTGAGAGTAAAAAGTTACCTTCTGTTTTTCTCTATAATCTTCTCCCTCAAATTTGTATAAACTTTGTTCAATGTCCATTCTAAAATTTCTTAGAGAAGACTCTCCCATTTTTTGCAGGCGTTCATTCATCTCTGCAGTCTAAAGGTGAAAACATTGAAATGAGAAAATTATCACTGAATTACTTGTAAAAGTCTGTGGATTCTCTACCTTTTTAATAGTCAGGTTTTGACATGAAATATCCAGTCTGCTAATTTACAAGGTATGAATGCAATGCTAACATCAAACCTGAAGTGCAAATTTTACTTGCCCAAGTATTTCAAATATTTAAATGGTGCTTCCCAAGTACTCTCACTTAGGCTTTCTTTAAAATCTTTTGTCAGTGAAGTTGTACCCACATTATAATTGCTCTTGCATAATTTAAATGGGACAAATAGCTAAAGCTAAGAGAAAGGCAAAGATGGACTAAAAATACACATTTTGCATACTGGTATGAAACATATTAACACAAGATCATTTAAAATGCAGGTTATTACCTGAACTACAAAATTCTTCTGAAAAGCAAATTCAACCAGTTTACAAGATATGCAACAAACATAGTAAAATACACCATGGAGATGAAATCAGCAAAATCCACACTGTGATTAACTCAAAAGGCAAACAACCTAGTCTTTTCATCAAATAAATTACAAGGAATACAATACATGGCAGGAGAGGGGGCCTATAGATTTTAAAAGATAGAGATGAAATCTCAACCATGGCAATTTGTATTTTGATTTGCATTCTGATTTAAAAATGAAAAGAAAACTTTTTAAGTATAAATATTTACGACACAATTGTAAATTTGAATACTAACTGGATATTTGGTGTTATTAAAGAATTATTGGGGTTTTTCAGGTGAGACAATGTTATAATGATTATCTTTAAAGAGTCCTTCTATTTTAGAAATACACAGTGAACTATTTACAGCTGAAGTATGTCTGAGATTTGCTTCAAAATAATCCAAGGAGGGGAAAGATAACTGGGGATATAGACAGAACAGGACTGGTTGATGGTTGTTAGAAACAGGTGATAAGTACTTCGGGGCTCATTATACTACTCTGTCTACTTTTACTTATGTTTAAAATTATCCATAATTTGTGGAGAGGGGAAGGTGAACTAAACACAAAATTACAATATTCTGAAACAACTTATTATGCTTTAACAAATAGTGATTTAGCATTTCATGAAATGTTTTATAAAAGATTTTCAATTAACCAATGTATCAGTAGATGATTTCTAGTCCAGTGCAAAAAAAAAAAAAAAAAAAAGATTATAAAAATACAGTCCTGGTCAGGCATGGTGGCTCATGCCTATAATCTCAGTGCTTTGGGAGGCAGAGGTGGGAGGCTCACTTGGGGCCAGAGGTTCAAGATCAGTCTGGGCAACACAGCAAGGCCCTGTCTCTAAAAAAGAAAATTAATTAGATGTGCATGTTGGTACATGCCTGTGGTCCCAGCTACTCAGGAGGCTGAGGTGGGAGGATCACTTCAGCCCAGGAGGTGGAGACTACAGTGAGTTATCATTGCACCACTGCACTCCAGCCTGGGTGACAGAGCAAAACCCTGTCTCTTTAAAAAAAAAAAAAAAAAAAAAAAGCATTCCTTATACATGTGATTAAACACAAAATTTACTTGGCTTTTAGATATAGTATTTTCAATAAAGCATTAGATATAAGGTCACTCAATTTTAAACTCTGGTTCTTAGTCTTTCTCACCAAAAAAAAGTTTTAAAGCCTTAATCTACCCCTGGAAATAGATCTACAAGTTGTTGGAGAGAATATGAGCTACCTGAAACATGTAGATAATGCAGATAAACATGTACAATGAAAATATAAGTATGCTGAAGTATGTTGATATTAAAACAATCCAGCATGAAAATAAAATGCTATTTTAACTAACCTTCTTTTCCCCTCTTTCCAGAATAGTTGTAATGTCTTCATCTGTCAACTCACTCTCTTTAGAAGCAAAAACATGGGTGGCTCCATGCCGTATCATTTGTAACATTTCCTCTTTTGCCAGCTTGTTAGACTGTTGGTCAATGAGTCTTCCTAATGATAAAAATTGAAATTGTACATATTCAATCAATCATATTCCAAAGAAGGCATAATCATTCTAATCAGACATTATCACATTTAACCACACATAAAGCTTTAAAGAACAAAAAATTAGTGAGCATTAAGGTTATTTGTTTAATAAACCCTACAAGTTTTTCTTCTAGCATACTTTCTATTTCTATATAAATTCCCTTCTGTAAAACTCAGTTAAAACCCAGAAGGACAGAAACTTTTTTTCATGTTCAAACTCTGTTTTCAGATCAAACTTCTCTATATGAAAAGGTACCCTCTAATATGTTTTCAAAAATTTAAAAGTAGCCATTTTATCTGCTAAATAATCTCAGGTACTTCAAAAAGCATGCTACTGACATTCAAGAATAAGCTAGTGATGTTCAACTACTCCATATATCAAATGCCAGGGTTTCAATTCAGAAGATTTCAATTAGCATTTTTTGTTCGTTTGTTTGTTTGTTTGTTTGTTTTTGAGACAGTGTCTTGCTCTGTCGCCCAAGGCGGAGTGCAGTGGCGCGATCTCGGCTCACTGCAACCTCCACCTCCCAGGTTCAAGCAATTCTCCTGCCTCAGCCTCCTGAGTAGCTGGGACTACTGGTGCACGCCACCACACCCGGCTAATTTTTTGTATTTTTAGTAGAGACAGGGATTCACCATGTTGGCCAGGCTGGTCTCAAACTCCTGATCTCAGGTGATCCACCCGCCTCGGCCTCCCAAAGTGCTGGGATTACAGGCATGACCTACCTCACCCAGCCTCAATTAGCATTTTTAAATTTTTTCCTTTTATTTTTAGGTGATACATAACAATTGTACAGACTCATGGGATACACAGTGATGTTTCAATTTTTCCTCTAAGTTTTCAAATTTTGGTCAACTTTTATTAAAAGTAATCTCCTTTGAAGAAAACTACATGTGTTTTACAAAAAACACCTAATTAAGTTTCTATGTATAAATACCTTGTTGTATAACAATTGAATCGAGTCTCAGTTTTATCTCAGCTCTTTCTACAATCCTCTCTTCAACAGTGTTGTCAGTGATGAGACGGAATACACGTACTGGTTTCTTCTGACCAATACGATGTGCTCGATCCTAGTAGAAAGAGTTCTAATGTAAGATATTGGATATTCTGGATAAAATTTAGAGCCATCATATGCTATAAAATTCTAAAAATAAAATTAGTTATTTTTCTCTAGATCTGACACTTTGGAAAAGAGCATGATGAATATTGAGAATATCTAAAGACCACTGGGAACAAAGAAATCTGCAAATATTATATTGTACCATTAATGGGAAACTTCCAGGACAAAGGGCAAAGCACCTGTAAGATGAATAAAAGAGGGAGCTGAAAGTTTCTGGATTGAGTTACTAAGTAACTTTAAGCCACTAAATATAAACATCTTCGAAACTAGCAAGGAATTTTATTAAGTAGTTAGGGTTGCTATGGTGGCAAAAGTCTGCTTTATTTCATCATCAGGCACTTCTTTCTGCTTACTGAGGGATATGCAGTAAAGAGTTATAAAAATTAATGGGATATTACTATCCTTACTATTCAGTAGCCTAGGACTGGTCCTATGGTTTATAGTTGGTACAGGTGACAGGTGGCGAACTTCTAGTGGTATAAAACCATCTAGGGAGAGTATTTTTAAAACACAGAAGCTGCTAGAGCAAATAGGTAAAGGGAGGAGGGTGGTAGAGAAAAAAAAAATGTAAGTTCAAAACAGGCCTTGTACTAAATATAAAAACACTAGAGCCTAGTAACAAAGTTTCAACACAGCACATTTTTCAAACAGAATGCAATCCCCTGCACATATTTACATTAAACCTGAACCAGCAAATCCTGAAAGATGGGATGCACACTAAGACTTCTACGGAAATGAAGTGCTATCACTATTAGATTTTCCAGTTCAGTAACACTGTAACTTACTGGGGCTTACTCCTAGTTAGTCATATCAAACAGGTAGTTCAATACCATCGTAATGCAATAATAATTACGCCAAAGCATATTGATTTTGGAATGTCCCAGTGGTCAATCCCTTTCAATTCTCTATTATAAAAGGAAAGCCTTCTAAGTTATACCTCATTGGCATATGACTTTTCATTGCTCCCAAAAAGACACTTATCCATAGCTATATATTCAAAACCTAAGAAGTTATTTTGCATCTTTTTACTTCTAAATTATATTTCTTTATCTGAAAATGTGAGTCACATTGAGAGAAGTTGTAGCTCTAGTTCAATAAATGACACCAAAATATCAAAGGGGTTACCTGTAGTGTCATGATGAAAGGTCAGAGAAACTTTGCTCCCTAAAAAAAAATGTTTTTAAGTGTAGAATAGCTTTTGCATGGTATCATTATTAAGTAGCAAGTGTTTTTCTGGAATATATTCCTTTCTTACCTTTTTGCCTTCTCTCCCAAATTGTTTTTTATGAAAGTTAAAATCCTACCTCTCTTAATTTCAGTACTAAGGATTTTAATATATTTAGTTGTTGAACAGAATAATAACAAGAGATTGTTTTTTAATCCTTTTCATTAAAACAAATTTATGTGTCCTCTTCAATCTGTAGGAATGGGAAAAAACTGACATTTCTATTTCATGAAAAAAACCAAAATCAACACATAAATGCTATAAGTTGGATCTGGGGTGTGTTTGTTGTTCGCTTTCATTTCTTTTGTTTTTGCAATTAGCATAGCAACTGTGTTTTCCAGGATAATCTACTGTAACTTCTATAAAATCTCTCAAAAATTGTTACCTTTTTATCATAAATGACCTTTATGTGTGTAAATAGCAATAGTATTCAGAGCTATGATAAATTTCTGACACCATTAAAGATTACTAACCATAGCTTGTAGATCAACCTGTGGGTTCCAGTCTGAATCATATAGTATAACCACATCAGCACTTGCCAGGTTAATTCCGAGACCTCCAGCCCTGGTACTTAGCATAAAGATGAATTTGCTACTATTAGGAGCATTAAAAGCCTCTATTGCTTCCTTTATTTTTTATTGATAAAGGGATAGAAGAAAAAGAGAAAAATAAAATTAGACCATCAGGGTCCTTAAGAAACAAATAAAAACATTTAAAATACATATAGAAAATCTTCACACACTTTATAATATTCCTTATAAATATACTTTATAATATTCTTCCATCTTCAAAAATATGTAAGCATCTATACATATACTGTACTGTGTGAATTTCTGTAGAAAGTATATTATATAAATGAAGTTCCTAATCTTTAAAAGCTTACATCGATAGATACAAATTTAGAACAATTACATACACAAATTTAACTAAGCAAGTAATAATTCATTTACATTATTTAAAAACAATAATAATGAAAACGTTTTGAGTGAGAGCTGAAATATATCTAGGAGGTAAAATATCAGAAATCTCAACTTCATTTCCATTAGCTTATGAATGATTAGTTTAGAAGATCAACCAACAGAGAAAATGGTTTACAAATGGGAATGAGGGCAACGGATAAAGGGGAAAGTAAGAAGATTTCTATCAGTATGGTAACAAGGAACAAGCAGGTAAGTAATGAAGAAAATCAGGATGACAATCCAGGGATATTTAGTAAAGAATGTTAAAATTAATATGAATATTCTTACTATATAAAGATCTCATACAAATTAATTAGAAAAACAAAGTCCAGTAGAAAAATGAGCAGAAAAAAAGAACAGACAACTCACAGAACAAATACAAATGGTTAGAAAACACAATAATAATGTTCATTCTCGCTAGTAATCAAATAAATGCAAACTAAAACAACATAATAACATTTTTGAAGATTTAAAAAAAATGATAATACTCAATGTTGATGAGGGGGCGGTGAGACGGGCACTCTCATACATTGCTGCTGGGAGTATAAATTGGTACAACCTTTCTGGAAAGCAATTTGGCAATATGCATCAAGAGCCTTAAAAATGTTCATACCCTTTGACCCAGAAATTCCACTTCTAGGAATTTATCCTAAGGAAATAATCAGAGATGTGCACAAAGATTTATGTATAAGGACTTTCACTATAGCATTATTTATAATAGTGAAAATTTTGAAACAACCTAAACGATCAAGAATAGGGGGATGAATTACTTATAGTACATCCATAGGGTGAAATATTATCCTAAAATTACTTTTACAATTATTTTTTATGGACATTAAAAAGTACAATATAATATTAAGTAAATAGTATCAGGATACTGTACTTTACATATAGTATATGAAGTCTGATACCAATTACTTATACATATTACATATACCTAAAAAGATAGGCCAGAAATACTTGTATTTAATTTCAAAACTTCCTTCAGCAGTCATATATTACTTGCATAATCACAAAGTATGGGCAATCTTTTTTAAAATAAATGGATGGCATGGTCAAAGTTTCAGGCAGAGAAGGTAACTACCACCGTCACAGTCAGCAGAGCAGGTAAAGGGGGCAGTATAGAAAGCAGCGTGGTGTAGTGAGAGGCACCTTGGCGTAGAGGAAATAGCAAAAACTTGGGCATGAATCACAACTTCACCACTGATTACATCTGTGATTCTGGGCAAGTATTTAATCTCTCTGAGACACAGTTTCAAATGGAGAAAATTATACCAATACTTTACCGCGCTGCTGGGAGAATTCAATTGGAACTTTAAGTTGCCTAGCTTATAGTAGTTGCTTGACAAATGTTAGTTCCTTTCCCTATAAAAGTGAGGAGGCCAATTAAGCAGAGGTTACAGGAACTGAGTCAGACGATGACCAGTGGCTTTGTTAGCTGAATTTAGCTGTAGTAATGGAGAAAGGGAAAATCTGAGAGCTGTTGAGAAAGAATTACTTATTCACAGCTGGCACACAATCAAAGTAAGGAATCAAACGTGGTCTTCTTCTTATTGGGAAAATAGATGAAATGATGGTGTGGACAACATAAAGGGAAAGCAGGGCATTTCCAAGAAGAAAGGAACAGCTCTGACTTTGCTATATTTAAAGTCAATACATGAAATTCAGAGTCTCTGAGGGGATAACATTGTTTGGAATTTTTAAAAACCAGAACAATTTGGACATAAATAGGTAAACAGTAGACAGCTCAGTCAGAAATGCAAATTGGCTATTTGAGGTCAGAAAGCACGTACTGCTCTGCCATGATATTCTCTTTGTCCTAGGAAGAAGGATCATCCTGAATGGTACCATAGGGCCTTATTTAGTATGGATTCAGGGAAACCAATCCTCAGGAATAAGTCAGCAAAAGCTCAGTAACGCTTCAAGTTGCCATCTCAGAGAGAGTGAAAAAACTATAGCACACGGAATAGTGTAAGCCTTGAAATATCCTCATACGTATAAATGTTATTGCAACTGTTTCCCCATAGAGGTAGCAGTAAGACCTTTAATATGAAAAGGGTCTGTGTGCTTGCTGTGAACACTATGCTATGCTAGAAACAGGCTTCAATAAGGAGGCACACAAGGAACGGAGTGCCCATTGCAGCTACAGAAGGAGAGGGATGCGGGCTAAGAGAGAGTCCTTGTAGCCTGAGATGGGGCCCTAAAGGTGTAAGGGAGAAAGGCCTGGGTGCAATTTCATGACCTGCAGTACGTACTGCAATATGCCGTTTAAAACTGTGCTCATACCTATTATATCCTCACAACATTGTCAGAGAAAGAAGCCTAGTTGTTACTATCCTTAGAATTACAGCTACTGAGGCTCAGAGAATTAAATGGCTTGCACACGCTGCAAAGTGGTGAAGTTGGTGCTAAAATTCAGGTCTTCTGAAACCAAGTTCAGTGCATTTTCCACTATACCATAAAACCATGATCTTTACCCAAAGCATGAGTACAGCAGGTCCTCAAGTAACATCATTTCATTATAAAACTGATGACAAAAAAACAATCAATTCCTGGCCAGGGCCACTGTCCATATGGGTTTTGCATGTGCTCCCCATGTCTGTATGAGTTTTCTCTGTGCCCTCCCACAGCCCAAAGCTGTGCACAAAAAGCAAATTGGCATGTCTACATGGTCCCAGTGTGAGTGGTGTGTGTGCGAGCATGCCCTGTGATGGAATGGCATTCTGTCCAGGGCTAGTTCCTGCCTGGGGTCCTGAGCTGCCAGAAGAGGCTCCAACCACTGTAATCCTGAACTGGAATAAGCAGGTAAATAATTATCTTACTTGTTTTTATTAATCTTTCTTAAACGTATGTATGGCTCACATTTATTTCCATGTTTAATATTATAAGTGTTTTGGTCTTTATTTAGAAGCTTGGTGATGTCTTTGTGACCAGAAATATGCCACAGGAACTGGGGTCTTGTCCTGTCACACAGTTTGAAGTGCAGTGGCACAATCACATCTCACTGCAGCCTCAAACTCCTGGGCTCAAGCCATCCTCCTGCCTCGGCCTCCAGAGGAGCAAGGACTACAGGTGCATGCCACCATGCCTGACTAATGCTTTTTTAAATTTTATTTTATTTTATTTTTGTAGAGACCGGGTCTCGCTATGTTGCTCAGGCTAGTCTTTACTGACTAGCCTCAAGCAATCCTCCTGCCTCAGCCTCCCAATCCCAAACGTTGGTATTACAGGCATGAGCCAACACACCTGGCCAGAACTTAAATCTTGTTTATATCAATTAGCCTAAGATAGAATTGATTTCATCATACATTGTTTTGATTGACGTCGCAGTTTCTATAAGAACCTATCTTTTTTTTTTTTTTAGACAGAGTCTCATTATGTCACCCAGGCTGGAGCGGTGCAATGCCATGATCTTGGCTCAATGCAACCTCCGCCTCCCAGGTTCAAGCAATTCTGCTGCCTCAGCCTCCTGAGTAGCTGGGATTATAGACGCGCGCCACCACACCCAGCTAATTTTTTTTTTTGCAACGACATTAAGTGAGGACTTGCTGTACAGACTTAAAACAGAAGCCAAAGACAGAGCTCTGAAGGATCACAGAAAACAGAAGATAAATTAGCAAAGCCTTCCAAGCAAAAGTGCTTTAAAGGGTATTAAACGCATTAGACCCATGACATTTGTGAGGAATAATCTAAAGATCTGTAAGAATTTCCATGTTTGAGAAAAATACTGCATACTAGATAAGCTTACTCACTAAGTGACTCATTCCTGCAGGCCAACCTTTTAGTGTCCCAATGTTTAAATTCATGATAAATACCTATACCTATTTTGTCACATTTAGTTTTTACAAGAGCTCTATAAGAACCAAGATCATTCCCTTTATGGATTACTATGCTTCATGAGTCTTTAGGGTTGCTTATAAACTGGCAAAATCTCAACCATTAAACTCCACAAATGGCAAAGGTCTGCTATAGCTGGCAAATTAGGAAAAGAAAATGACATGAAATTGGAGGTTAGAGAGTAAGGTGAGAAACTGTTAGTAATTTAAAAGGTCAGAGATAGGCATGATTAGAGAAAATAAGGATGGGATGGTGTAGTGCCCTTTAGATAAGTGGTGATGTCTTTGAAGACCTTGAAAAAGATGATTTGTAAAGAATCAATGGAATGGAAGCCACACTGAAGATTGAAGAGAGAAAGAGATGCTAATGAGAAATTCAATGCACCCACCTAAAGAAAAGGCAAAAGTTCAAAACTACCTAATGTTGATATACATTGCTTAATTGAACTCTGATTTCTGAAATCTTATTTTATTTTCTCTTCCTCACCTCTCTTTCTTCATGCGGGGTTTGTCCATCCAGTCGACAATACTCATAACCACGCCACATGCAATAATCTTCCAAAATATCCAGCAAGCGAGTCATCTGGCTGAAAATGAGAACCCTTGAACCTAAAACATTTCACCAAGAAAAAGTGAGTTGTACAACTTGTGTGAAACTAACTTAAAAGCTACAAAATAAACATATGCAACATAAATGTAGAGCACATGAACACTCCACTAACGCACACACACACGTGCACACACACACACACACACACACCCCCACACACCTTCAAGAGATGCTATATATAGAATTATGCATTTGTTGAGTTTGGCATTTTTTAAGGTCTTCAAAATCCTCCACACATATTGCAACGACTTAAAAGATTGCCTTTACTTTTTCTTAAGGATGAATGATGGGTCCACAGGCTCTCTCACTGGACTACAGCAATAGTCTCCCAACTAGTCTCCTGTTCCTAGTCTCTCATCCTCAATAGACCCCCATACTGCTTTCAAGGTTCTCTTCCTAACATGTAAGAGTGACATACTCCGATTGTCACTCTTCACAGCCAAGTCTTCTCTGACACTCCCTCTGCCTTCAAAATAAAAGTCCTAACTCCTTAAGGCATGGTTTAAAATACCGTTCATAATTTGGCTCCATCCATCTTTCCAGATTCATCAACTGCCACTCTACCCCAAGTACCATATGCTCTCTGTGTTCCCTTGTTTCACGCCTCTGTTTCATTACCCTGGAAAACCCTTCCCCTCCTTTTCCCCATGGTTCACTCCTACACATTGTCCAGTGCTCACCTCAAAGGTCATCTCTGTGAAGACTTTCCCAACTCCCAGTTTCTCAACATATCATAGCACTTATCACAATGAATTGCAACTATTCCTCCTCACTACACTGTGAGCTTATCCAAGGCAAAGATTGTTGTCTTATTCATCTTTGTACACCCAGCCTGTAGGACAATTCCTGGCAAATGGTAAGTACTCAACAATGTCTGCTGAATAAGTGAATGAATGAATATGGAAAATTTTATTTATATACAAGTCATTAATATAAATTTATTCCATGCTAATTTAAAAATTTATTACTCACCCTGTTCTTTGAGTTTGGCCAATAGTTTATCCAGAACTACCATTTTACCACTGTTGCTGACAATATGCTCATCAGTGGTATAAGGTGGACCAGGTTCAGCACCATCAAACAGATATGGATGATTACAACACTTTCGAAGCTGCATCAGAATGTTTAAGAGTCGCATCTTGTCCATCTTGCCAGAAGAGTTTAAAACATCAATATCTTTCATCAGGATTTTTGTATACCTAAAAATTTAAACTATAATTAATCATCAATTACTAGAAAGTTAATGTCATAAACAAATGTTCCTTTGGCCATCAGATTAGATTCCTGTTTAAAGATAAACAAGATTTGATTTGAGATTAAATCTAATGGGCAAAACCTACAAAGTAATGAATATTTGAACATGTGAACTTGTGTGTTGCTTATAAACCTGTTTCCTCCTGCTTTATCCATGACAAGAAACTGCCATCAGTTGACAATTATTTAGAGAATTCTATCTGCTAATTATCAGTAACTACAACATTTGCCTGAATTTGACATCCAACATTTACTTGTTTGAACTAAAAACAATTTCAATTTCTTATACCTGTCTTCACAGGTCATTTTTTTCTGATCCTATAAATATTTTTCATTCTCTTTTCTACAATTCCACCCCCACAGAGACTTACATATATATATACACCCGATCAATGATAATATGTAATTATAATAATTATCAACTTTTGCTGAGTGCAAGTGCCAAGTATCATGTCAAGGGCTTTATACGAATTATGCCACTAAATCTTCATAACAATTCTGAGTATTTACTAGTATCATCCCCATTTTACAGATGGAAATTAAGGCAGCTAAGAGAAGTTAAACAACTTACTCAGGGTCACAGAAGGGACAAAACCAAGCTGTGATCTTAGTCTGAGTCCAAAGAATATACTCTTAATCTCTACCCTATACTGGCTTATGTAGTAAAGAAATCATATATTTTATACATGATCTAATTGTATTTATATACGTAACATTTTGCTCCTATTAGCAGCACTATTACATTATTAACACTTCCCACTTATGATTCCTTGTGACTTCCCTTGTCAATTTCCTGCTTTAAGTGCATTTATCTAACCATTCCAGATTCTATTTTTGTAATATCCACAATCACCAACATTTTCATCAACACTAGTAATATGGTTATAATTATTTTCACTGAAGGAAAAAGCAAGAATGCTTTTTTTTTTGAGACACGGTCTCACTCTGTTGCCTACCCTGGAGTGCAGTGGCACAAACATGGCTCACTGCAGCCTTGACTTCCTGGGCTCCAGTAATCCTCCTGCCTCAGC
Organism: Homo sapiens; assembly: GCF_000001405.40. Lineage (NCBI taxonomy): Eukaryota > Metazoa > Chordata > Mammalia > Primates > Hominidae > Homo > Homo sapiens. The sequence goes on from NC_000023.11 coordinate 129,499,158, forward strand.
CTCTCATGTAGCTGGAAACACAGGTGTGTGCCACAATGCCCAGCTAATTTTATTTTTTATTTTTTGTAGAGATGGGGTCTCACTTTGTTGCCCAGGCTAGTCTTGAACTCCTAGGCTCAAACAATCCTCCTGCCTTGGCCTCCCAAAGTGCTGGGATTACAGATGTAAGCCACTGCACCTGGCCAAAGAATGCTTTTAAAGAATGCTTTTTAACTAACAAGCATGCCACTGACATTACCCCCTTTAATCCTAACACCATCCTCATAAATTAAATATTATTATCCCCATTTTACAGAATGGAAATTTAGGCTATGTAACTTGCCCAAGATAACTAGCTGTTAAGTGGTAATGCATGGAATTCAAACACAGATCTATAGACTCCAAAACCTATACTCTTTTCAAAGGGTTAAATAAAATACTTACAAATTTTCTCTGAAAATATCTGAACTACTTAACTTGCCATTTAAATATAAAATGTAATTTTTGAACTAATGGCATAACTGAACAACTACAAAGCTAATTTTTAGTAAATTCTTACACACAAATAAGTTTTAAAGGAAATGAAATAGCTCACCATTCTCGTTGCATCTTACTCAGCCCCAAGTAAATCTTTATTTCCTTTTTAGGTGGCAGACTCTTCTCTACATCAGTTTTTATACGGCGTAACAAAAATGGTTTTAAAACCTAAAAGGTGATCATTTTTATAAAAGTTTATGAAACATTTAATATGATTAATAATGTATTTCATTAACAACATTAATGTGAAATTTACTTCCCACTGCATAGTCTGACAAATACTACCAATACCAGTTGCGAACTTTCTTGGTAAAGAACCACCAAGTAAGAGTCCATTAGAAAATCAGAATAGGGGACCTAAAGTAGGCATTCATGACTTCATGGCACAAAATACATGAAAAATTAAGACAACAAGACTATTGGTTGCTGAATAAGCACCAAAGAACCCTTAAAAAAAAAAAAAAAAGAAGCTGCTGTAACACAAGATTTTTTTGTTTGTTTGTTTGTTTTTGGAGACAGAGTCTCACCCTGTCACCCAGGCTGGAGTGCAATGGCACAATCTCGGCTCACTGCAACCTCCGCCTCCTGGCTTCAAGCAATTCTCCTGCCTCAGCCTCCTGAGTAGCTGGAATTACAGGCATGCACCACCACGCCTGGCTCATTTTTGTATCTTTAGTAGAGACAGGGTTTCACCATGTTGGCCAGGCTGGTCTCGAACTCCTGACCCCGTGATCCACCCACCTTGGCCTCCCAAAGTGCTGGGATTACAGGCGTGAGCCACTGTGCCCAGCCCACAACAAGATTTTTAAACCTGAGAGGAAATCTGAAGTCAGAATATCGATCAGGGAGTCTTCAAAAATGAAATAAAAATGCAGGTCATTTCAAAGTACCATCATGTGCCACTTAATGATGGGGATATGTTCTAAGAAATGTGTTGTTAAGTGATCTCATCATTGTGCTAAGATCATAGAGTGTTCTTACACAAACCTACATGGTATATGTATTTATTTGTTTTTTCATATAGAAAACCACGTGTCCCAGCACTATTACTCACTATCAATCATTTCCCCTACTTGATCTGCAATGCCAGTATCAAGTGCCATATATCAGGTCTCTATATATGCTCCATTATAATCTGATGGGACCACCATCATCTATGCGGTCCATCGTTGACCATAACGCTGTTATGCCAGTGCATGACTGTAGTTAAATATATAAATGAGGAGAAAATATTCAATATGAAGGAAAATATAGATGAATAGAGAAAAAAAGATAAAATAGTCAGTGTATACCTGGAAGACAGGTTATATCACAAGACAATAGTGCTACAATCTATAGAGTACCTACCTACAATGTGCCAGATACTATACTATGAACTTTACATGTATTATTTAATCCTTACGATAAATCTGAAAGAAATGTTATCATTTCTATTTTAGTAAGGCCATCAAAGGAACTTTGCTAGCAAGTGGTAGATGTGGAATTCAAACCCAGATCAGGCTAATTCTAAAATCAGCTCAGTCCTGACTAGCTGTTGTGAGCCTAGGAAAGTTCTCTAATTTTTCCAAGCCTATTTCCTCATCGGTTCATCCAAAAACAAATATATGATATGTGTATATACCAAACTTTTTTTTTTTTTTGAGACAGAGTCTCGCTCTGTCACCCAGGCTGGAATGCAGTGGGGCAATCTCAGCTCACTGCAACCTCCGCCTCCCAGGTTCAAGCAATTCTCCTGCCTTAGCCTCCCAAGTAGCTGGGACTACAGGCGCACGCCACCACGCTCGGCTAATTTTTCCTATTTTAGTAGAGATGAGGTTTCACCATGTTGCCCAGGCTGGTCTCGAACTCCTGAGCTCAGGCAATCTGCCCGCCTCGACCTCCCAAAGTGCTAGGATTACAGGCGTGAGCCACTGCGCCCGGCCCGCCAAACTTTTTTTGGGGGGGGAGGTGGGGTGGAAGGGGACAGAGTCTCACTCTGTCACCAGGCTGAAATGCAGTGGTGAGATCTCGGCTCACTGCAACCTCCGTCTCCCAGGTTCAAGCCATTCTCCTACCTCAGCCTCCCGAGTAGCTGGGACTATAGGCGCGAGCCACCACGCCCAGCTAATTTTTTGTATTTTTAGTAGAGATGTGGTTTCACCATGTTGGCCAGGATGGTCTCAATCTCTTGACCTCATGATCCACCCGCCTCGGCCTCCCAAAGTGCTGGGATTACAGGTGTGAGCCACCCTGCCCGGCCAAACATTTTTAAATGGGGATAATGATACCTATTTCCAAGTCTGCTGTGGAAATTTGTGGTGGTACATGTGTAGAACTTAAGTATATAGCAGACAATAAACTGTAGCTATTATTATTAGAGATCTATGGGAGGTAAGGACAGGGGAAGAGTAAAAGAAGACTTCTGGCTTCTGGTGTGAGCCTCAAAGTTTTCTAAAAGATATCCTTAAGAGTTTAAACTGCCTGTGAGATACTTAAGCAAAAAGACTCCGAAGGCAATGGGATATGAAAGTATAGTGCTTAGGAGAAGGATACAGAGAGGTCAATTTAGGAGGCGTCAGTATATAGGTGGTAGGTAAAACCATGGGAGTGGATCCCCAGGGAGAGCATGTACGAAAGTCAAAGACAAAGCCTTATAAAATGTTAAACTTTATAAGAGACAGTCAAAGAAAGAAAAGCCCACGAAAGGGACTGATAGGGGTGGACAAAGGGTAAAAGAAAATCCAAAAGAGAACAGTATCCTAGAAACCAAGCAGCAAAGTTTCCAGCAGGAGGAGATAGTTAGCAGCTTCAAAGCAATAGCCAAGATACTGACCAAAAAGCGTACCCTGAATTCAGCAACTGGAAAGTCATTGAAGACACTGTGAGACAAATTTCAGTTGTATGGAATGGATAGAAGCCAGTGGCCAATGGATTCAAGAGTAAACAGGAGACTAGGGAGTAGATATGGAGAGGATAAACTACTCTTTCAAGGAGCTTAGCTATCAAGGGAAGAAAACGGAATCACAGCCAGAGGGACACAGTGTTGAGGGAGCACTGTTTTGCATATGTGTGAGGGTGGATGGGTACGTGTTTGGATTTGGAATTAATAAGGGAGACACCTGAGCATGTTTACACTTAGGGAAAAGACCCAATATGGATGGAGAGGTAGAAAATACAGTCAGTTAAAAAGATAGAAAATATAGTCAATTAAAAAGAGGTAGAAAATATAGTCAACTAAAAAGATAAATCATGGGGGAAAGTCCATAAAGAATAGGAAGAGATGAGATCAAGGATTCACATGGAAGAATTAGCCACTGACCAGAGAAAAGACACCTCTTCCACTCAAACAGAAGGTAACACAGATGCAGACCTCCTTAGAAGGTGGACATCCTTGAAGGACTTCCTACCTAATGTCTTCTTTTTTCTTTTTGAGAAAGGAATGATGTTACCTGATGAGGGAGAAGGAGGGCAGGAGATACCTGGGATAGAAATCTTGGGGAGACTGGGGAAGGTCTGAAATAGTTGTTATAGGAAACAGGAAAGAAGACTGTAGAAGGCCATGCTGAAGGATCACCAGTATCATGACATCTCAGCTTATGTTAGAGAACATGGAATCACAGTGGTTCCAACCTGGACAGTTGTGAAATCTTCTTTACCAGTGTTGGGCTGCCCCAATACAGAGATGTCCACTCTGCTAGTAAGCAGCAGAAGCAAAATTGAAGCCCAGAAGACAGAGAGACAGTTACATTACATTATTCCAGGTTACGGTTTTTAGGCAGGTATGGCAGACGGAGAAGGGAGCAAGGGAGTTTAGGAGTACTAGCCAAAGATGGTTCAAGTGATAGAAAATGAGTTCATTGCTGGATACAGAAAAAAGTCACAACAGAAATAAGCTGATAGATGGGGAGAAAATGCAGAGGTCTGGGGATTAGAGGTCTCTGTGAGGTAACAGGACAAGTACAGAAGGATTAACATGAACGAAAGCACTAGAAAGAGATGAGAAATTGCGATCAAAGAATAGAAAGTTGGGGCCAGGCACAGTGGTTCTCGCCTGTAATCTCAGCACTTTGGGAGGCCAAGATGGGTGGATCATGAGGTCAGGAGTTCGAGACCAGCCTGGCCAACATGGTGAAAACCCGTCTCTACTAAAAATACAAAAATTAGCCGGGCGTGGTGGCACGTGCCTTTAGTCCCAGCTACTTGGGAGGCTGAGGCAAGAGAATCGCTTGAACCCGGGAGGCAGAAGTTGCAGTGAGCCAAGATCATGCCACTGAACTCCAGCAGCCTGGGCTATAGAGCGAGACTCTCTCTCAAAAAAAAAAAAAAAAAGAAAAGAAAAGAAAGGTCGGATGCAGTGGCTCACGCCTGTAATCCCAGCACTTTGGGAGGCCCAGGCGGGCAGATTACCTGAGGTCAGGAGTTCGAGATCAGCCTGGCCAACATGGTGAAACCCCATCTCTACTAAAAATACAAAAATTAGCCGGGCGTGGTGGCACACGCCTGTAATCCCAGCTACTCGGGAGGCTGAGGCAGGAGGATTGCTTGAGCTCGGGAGGCGGACTTTGCAGTGTGCCAAGATCATGCCACTGCACTCCAGCCTGGCATACAATGTGTTAAGGAGCCACCCAATGATGAACAGATTAACAGGAAACAGAATGGGTGGAGGATAAAACTGCAAGACAGCTTAGGCTTCAAAGGAAGAGCTTTATACATGACAGTGGAGAAGCAGTAGCTTAGAAGTGGCAGTGGGTGAACTAGGAGAATACCGATACCATCCTGAGGAACTGTGGGGTGTGGGAGCAGGAACAGCCTCTCTATTGGAGAGGACCACATTATTCACAGGGGAGAGCCAAAGGAAAAAAGCTGTTCTAGAGAGAGGCTGAGGACATAGAGGAATAAAAAAAAAAAAAAAAAAAAAAAAAAAAAAAACAAAGAGGCTGTCAGAAAGGTTAGGAGGGAGAAACAGTGACATTGAGCCAAGAGGCAAACACAAGTTCAAACAGATTCCATAGCATTTTGTTTTCTGGGTCAGTTTGTGTATACTATTTAATTACTGAATGTTCTTGTCTGCTATTACTTACTGCATGAAGTCTTTCCACGAGTTTTTGATCACCAAGACAATTTTTAGTGTCAAACCAAGAATCAAAGTCCTGTAGAGGGGTGGAAATTCTCCAATGAGTGCACAGTTTTTTTAAATATACCCGATATTCTGTAGATTCTTATACAACCAATACGGAAATAATGCATTTAAAAAGTACTTTCAAAAATATTATCAGCTGTGATAGCTACTATTATTTACTTCTGAAAATAGGTAAAATACTGGAGCAGTTAACAAAATTTGAGCCCCACTGTGTAAGAATTCCATCAACTTTTTCCTTAAAAGACATTTATTAGGCTTCCCCATACTGTAGCAATATTATATCTAGTTTGAAAAGTAGAATATAAAATCAAAGACATAATGCTAATAAGAATGTTAATTTTACCAAACAATAAAACAAACAAAAGCAAGATAAAGTGTGCAAAGCAACTTATGGCCAAACTTGCTACTTTTTATTATCAATTAACAGTCATAATGGGGCCAGGTACGGTGGCTCACACCTGTAATCCCAGCACTTTGGGAGGCTGAGGTGGGCAGACCACTTGAGGTCAGGAGTTCGAGACCAGCCTGACCAACATGGCAAAACCCTGTCTCTACTAAAAATACAAAAAATTAGCCAGGTGTGGTGACGGGCACCTGTAATCCCAGCTACTGGGGAGGCTGAGGAAGGAGAATCACTTTAACCCGGGAGGCGGAGGTTGCAGAGAGCTGAGATTGTGCCACTGTACTCCAGCCTGGGGGACAGAGTGAGACTCCCTCTCAAAATAGTAATAATAATAATAATGGGAAAAATCAAGCACCAAAGTTCTTAAATCTTTCCATTTAGTTTGGTGTCCTAGCATAAATTTGTGTTAATGATAAAAATATATATATATAAATAACACATTTACACAATATGCTGTCTTTCAAATCACATACTCTGAGCTCTTTAGCACTCACCAAATGTCAATGCCTACAATAATCAAAGATCATTTTATAGCTTCCACCTGCCAAACTAGTATATAAAAATATGTTTCAAACCCCTTCAACTTAATGAAAATAAAATGGTGAATGCACTACTATGGACTCAGCCTCACATCATAAGTTTTAGGAGTAATGTGATAGAGACAAAATTGAACAGGCAAGTTGATCTCAAAGACAAGAAGCATACTATTTCTCCAAAGATCCTCATTTTAAAACTCTATTAAAGAACTCTTTCCTAAGAAAACCAAAACATGCAGATAAAAAATTACAAATTAAAAAGTACCATAAATTTCAATCTATAATGTTTTAAAACACATGTCAGTGAAAATAAGAAAGTTATACTTAAAACGTATGGCTTAAACTTACATCTGCAGAATTAAAGACATCAGGCAATAAAAAGTTGAGTAAGGCCCACAGTTCATGCAGGTTATTCTGCAAAGGTGTTCCAGTTAGGAGCAAGCGGTTAGTCGACTTGAACTCACGAACAATCTCTGAAAGCTAGAAAATAATACTCATATGAGGATTATTTTACTTATTAGAATGCTCAACATTCAGTTATACTGTAATTTATCCAACCAATATATTTTTGACTACAATATAACTTGAAAATTTTCTATGGAAAAATACCCTAGTTCAGGTGACAATGCTGCAGTGAGGCAAAACTAAACATTTCTATACTTAAAAGAATGCAAGCCAGGCGCAGTGGCTCATGCCTGTAATCCCAGCACTTTGGGTGGCCAAGGCAGGTGGATCACCTCAGGTCTGGGGTTTGAGACAGACTTGCCAACATGGTGAAACCCCATCTCTACTAAAAATACAAAAAAAAATTAGCTGGGCGTGGTGGTGCACGCCTTTAATTCCAGCTACTCAGGAGGCTGAGGCAGGAGAATCATTTCAATCCAGGAGGCGGAAGTTGCAGTGAGCTGAGATCACACCACTGCACTCCACCCTGGGCAACGGAGTGAAACTCCGTCTCAAAAAAAAAAAAAAAAAAAAAAAAAGGAAGAAGAATGCAGATCATATTTATACCTGAGACCCTCCCCCCAACTTCAAAATTTTCATTTCTCCATTTTGGGCTCACAGAAAAAGGTCAGAACTTCTCCATGGAATCCAGGTTAGCCATTTTACACAATAAAATCTCCATCTCCCCACCAACCACATTCATCTACATGCCCAGACACGTTCTAACTTGGCCTGGTCACAATTTTTAAGCCCCAGAATTGAGCCGATTTTCCCAGTAACTTATATTAACTTTCTAAACATAAGACCAGAAAAATTAAGACACAAAAAGCACAAAAGAATGGTAATCATATGAACAAAAATGCACATTTTTATAATGCTCTTAAATAAAAAATTATTCTCTAGCATGTGTCCTCTTATCAGATATTAGTTCCAATTTGAAATTAGTATAATCCACCTGGTGGTTTTGCTCCAGTTCTGTCCCTGTTTCTCCCAAATTAGCCCAGTGATCCAAAGAGAGGTTCATCATAATTGAAGCTTTTCCTACTGTTGATGGAGTTGAATGGCAAGAAATATTGATATTTTTCAGTGTTAACACCACACTCTAATTCACACAAGTCAGATAATTCCAGGAAATTATTTTCTCTCATCCATATAAATATATATAAGGTAGCCCCTCAATAAAAAATAAATCAATACAAACGATATTTGCACACTAAATATTCTCAACAATATTAAAATACTACAGCATAACAGTTAGGCACAGGAGGTATACCAAAGGAACACTTAATTTTCTTTACATTAAAAACTGTGCTCAATTTTAATGTGTCTTGTATTCAATAATTTAGATTTGCATTCACATTCCATGAATAAAATCACAATGTTCCATCTTTTTTCTTGAGACGGAGTCTCACTCTTTTGCCAGGCTGAAGTGCAGGGGTGCGATCTCGGCTCACTGCAACCTCCGCCTCCCGGGTTCAAGCTATTCTCCTGCCTCAGCCTCCCAAGTAGCTGGGACTACAGGCATGCACCACCACACCCTGATAATTTTTGTATTTTTAGTAGAGACGGGGTTTCACCATGTTGGTCAGAATGGTCTCAATCTCTTGATCTTGTGATCCGCCCTCCTCGGCCTCCCAAAGTGCTGGGATTACAGGCGTGAGCCACCACACCGGCTGTTCCATCATTTTTTATTCTGAATACAGAAAAGTGAACAAACCAACCTGGTAATTAAATGTAAACTTTAATAAAGATATTGATAACTTACCTTAGATTTTTCATTCTTTATTCTGTGAGCTTCATCAATGACCAGGTATCGCCAGTGAAACTTTTTGAATACAGATTTTTCTTTAATTACCATCTCATAAGAAGTAACGCAAACATCCCACTCTCCTGGCATCATTTCATCACGAATAAAAGCAGCCTAATGCAAAATAAAATACTTCATATTAGAATATATTTATATTAGAATATGTTATAAGATGATCACAGAATTAAAATATCAAGAAAATATTAAGAATTCTAAGAGACCCTGAGGATCATTTAGTTTCATCCATTTTAGAGATGGGAAAACTGAGGCCCAAAGATAGTTGTGTGGTCAATTATCTGGATGACCTGCTAATATATTCATTAACAGAAGAGAAACAAAGGCTTCCCTTACAGAAATATGGCATATTCAATGACCTAGAAAAGTTCGTATGACCAGAAATCACAAAGTTACTGGGCTTGTCTTCATATCATGGGGCATCCAAAAGAACATAGACAAAGTAACTCTTTCTGAACAACATATTCTTGCCAAGATCCAAGAGTTACCAACATGATACAGTTTCAACAAATAGAACTCAATGTGCATGAATGATTCCAACCTTTGGAGAACTCTTGTATGTCCCTTCTTCATTTTCTAGCTGGGCTGACTCATATACTTTGTTAAAAGGTCATGGAAGCCCACTAATGTTTTTGTGAAGTTCCAGATCTTGCCATGAGGTTACAAATATGATTTCATAAAGGGGACTTGCTCTGTCTAGTACAGGAGGCTATGGAAAACAATGAGACTATTTAAAACTATTTTTAAGTCTTCACAGGCAGTGGCCAACATGGTAGGTAAGTTGACTGAGAGCATTTTTAACTTGTATGAGCTGAATTCCAGATGTTATCAGTCAAAATAAAACCACAAAAGTTAATGGGAAGCAGCAAAATCTATATTAAGAAGAGGCTGATTAGTATTATAAATCTAGCTGGGCATGGTGGCTCACGCCTGTAATGTCAGCACTTTGGGAGGCCAAGGCAGATGGATCACGAGGTCAGGAGTTCAAGAACAGCCTGGCCAACATGGTGAAACCCCATCTCTACTAAAAAATACAAAAATTAGCTGGGCATGGTGGCTCACACCTGTAATCCCAGCTACTTGGGAGGCTGAGGCAGGAGAATCGCTTGAACCCAGGAGGCGGGGAGGCTGCAGTGAGCTAAGATGTCACCACTGCACTCAAGCCTTTGCGACAGAGTGAGAGTCCGTCTCAAAAAAAAAAAAAAAAGTTTTATAAATCTGGAGTTACAGTGCATAAACAAAATTAACTGTTCCCTGCAAAGTCTTTATTTCATAATTCACAACTATGCACTAAACACACTGCAGACTCATTCAACAGATATTTACTGATTGTCTACTATGTATAAGAGAATCACCTGGACTGAAGAGGAGGACAGAAAAAAAAAGGCCTTTTCAGAGATCTCAGTTGCACCCTGGGAAGTGATCACATTTATAAATTTAATTAAGACATTAGGGAATAGGAGACAAAATAAAGAGAAGTAGAGTGCCAGACCCCATTCAGTCGTGCTAACACCTTATCCTTATTTGATTTTGTGAAGCTCTCAGTTTCATGGTTTCGCCTACAAGTTTCATGCAACAAATGCATATTTTTAATTTAAATTAGCTCTGCTTTGAATTTTTTGTAACTATTGGATACATTTAGAGTTAAACATCTCGATAAAACATTAAAGGTGTCACATAATCCAAAAGCTCTCATTTTAGAGGTGAAAAAATTAAGGCCCTTGAAGACTCACTCAACCCTACACAATCAGTAGCAAAGCCACAACTGAAATCAAACCCATTTCTATGTCTACTATCTTTGATACCTCTGGCGTGGAAAAGGAAGGGGCCACAAAGCACATTGGTATCAATCAGACAGGATCAAGAGTATCTCTAATAATCTCCCAACTCAATTAAATGCCTATTATAACCTACATCAAATTTTTATTACTAAAATATTACCTTCATAAAATGTTTACAGAAGACCAGGAAAATACAAAGACCCAACATATCTATCCTATGTTCTACCAAGATTCAAATCTGTCTATATGTAATGATCTGGACTTCCTCTATACATATCCACATCAATCTCTAAGTGCTGAACATGGTACACTTATTATTTATGTAACTGGCAATTATTGGTTTTCAAACTCTTTTGACCATAGCCCACAGTAAAATTACCTTTTGAATTGCAATCCAGTATATACATATATGTTTGAGTGTGTGTACACAGAAAGAGGCAACTTAAAAGTTTCTCAAAGCAATATTTATCCTTATTATAGTATGAAACACTCTGCAATTTGCTATTCCATTCTCTCTCAATGTTGCAGAAAATTGTTTTACCAAGTACTAAGCTAAAGTCACAACCCACTAATGGGTAGCAACTCACAATTTGAAAAACACTAACTTTGAAGACCGGTTTTCAAGATTAAGAAATTTTTCAAAGCCAGGCACAGTGGTGCACACTTGTAGTCCCAGCAACTCAGGAACCCGAGGTGAGAGGATCGCTTGAGCCCAGGAGTTCAAGGCTGCAGTGAGCTATGATCACATCACTGCATTCCAGCCTGGGCGACAGAGCGAGACCCCGCCTCTGGAAAAAGAAACAAAGAAATTTTTCAAGCCACCAGAATCCCAGCCTCCCCAGGAAGTAGAGATAGGGCAGTCATAAATTAAATATACCGAGACATTATGAAAACACAAACCTAGATATTTATCTTTTGCTTTTAATCTTTAAGAAATAATTTTAGCAAAAGCTCAATACTTTAGAAATGCAAAGTTTATATGGAGTGGTATTACATTAGATAACAATGGTGACCAGAAAGAGTTCTAAGTGACTAATTTGCTTTAGGGAAATATTAGGCATAGGGAAGAATCTGGCCTGTAATTGTAAACTTATGAGCTCAGTATTTCAATATTTAAATTATTTGTAAGTTAAATTTAAATAAATTTAAGTAATTTTTCTTCAAGCAAAATGATAAGGATAAAATTATGTAATTCATTGCACTACCATTCTTTTGAGGATATCTTTAGATAACCTATCTAAATATGGAAAACTGAATACATCTCTAAACTGTGTTCTCTGGAGGCAAATAAAGACAAAGTTTAATAATAAGCTTTCTAAGCAGATTATCTGTTTTAGTATTTTTACATAATATATTATTTTTAGATTAATTCTACAGTCCTAAAATGATTGTAGCCTACTAGACTGACAAATGGCTGATTTAAACACCCCCCTAAAATGCCCAGTTTCTAATATTACCTGAGAATATATACAGACATGTATTTTTCTATTCAAACACCAAAACTGAAAGCTGCGTCTATGCATAAACACAAAACACGAGGCTCTCTGTACATATAGAAGAGGTTCCAGTTGTGTACATGCATATGCGTGTGTGTACACCAAGTCAAAAGTCAAAAACTTAAATATAAAATTTTAAGTAATGCAAATTTATATATTGTTGGCTTCAAAATAGCACAAATGAGAGTCACTGGTAAGATATACTGTCAATAAAATAAGATGTTTTTAATGAAAAGTCACTCAAAGTACAATTCAAAAATGCTTAGGTTAATGAACTAAAGCAAATGTAGATGAAGCATAATAATGGATTGTCTATTATTAATAGGTGATATATCTACCTCATGGGAGTGTTGTGAGAATTAAATTAATAGATGCAAAGCACTTAAAACAGAGTCTAGCTTAGAGTACATACACCTTAAGTCTTATTTAGTAGTAGTCAACTCAGATGTTTTTAACAGCAATAATATGTAACTAAACTCCAGAAATGATATTATTCTTAACTGCCTTTTTACACTTGTTTCTCACTTACTCTGGCATCCTTGTCTCCGACAAAACAAATGACACGGAGAGATGGGACCCATCGTTTAAATTCATTCATCCAGTTGTGTAAAGTAGACTTTGGAACTAAAACCATGTGAGGTCCAGGAATATTTCGGTAGTGTTTCAGGTAACCAAGCAAAGCAATTGTTTGTAAAGTTTTCCCAAGGCCCTGCATTATCATCACAAGGAAAAAAATCCATGAACATTTTTTCTGTAAGGAAACATTTTGTTAGGAACAACATAACAAAAGATCTTTGTCCACTATCTCGCAAAGGCAATTATGTTTCTACCAATGAAAAGTAAAAATACCAAATACCTTTTTTTAAAGAAGATAACCAAATCATTCCAATTCAGTATTGTACTTACCGTGAGCACAAACAGAAACCAATAACTTGCAGTCAGAATGTTGCTCAACAAAGCAACTTTCTATTTAGAACATTTTCCTCCTAAAGGAGCAAGCAATCTACTATATAATTTTTCTTCTTGTTCTGAAGTTAGGAATTTTCTGTGTGTTTGTTTTATAAAGACCCGCTTCCTTTGCCAGCCTGCTTAGATACTGGTCTTTCTTTCCTATTGTTCCTAACATTATTACAGCCCAGATATTAAATATTCAGACTATGTGTCTCAAGGGGCTTGTGGCTCTGTACTTGCATCTCACACTCTTAAGAACCTTAGGAACCACAAAACAGAACTTTGCAGCCAGAAAGAACCTGAGAGAGATCACCAACTCCAGAGGACTTTTTAAAAAATAATATATTCAATATCTATGAACCCATACCTAACCCATAAGAAAGGGAACTAAGTCCTTTTTCGGCCTCTTAAAACTGCTTTCGGTTTTATCTCTGAGCAAGATATATACTTCTTTTTATAAATGTCTGCTTAAAGCTATTTTTTTATTGTATCCTATCTGATATGTCACTTAATGAGACAACTTTTATGAATACTATACATCAAAACCTTAAAATGTTTATACTCCTTAACCCAGTAATTCTACTTCTAGGAATCCTACGGAAATAATCTGAGAGGTGCACAAAAACTAAATTACAAGAGTCTTATAGTGGCATTATTTACACTACACATCGGGCAATCCAAATGAACAGCAATAAGAGAGAAGTTGAATAAAATTATGGTACCGCCCAAGGATTATTATGCAATAATTAATTATGTTCGGAAAATGTCTTAATTACATGGAACATATGTATGAATGTAAATAAATCAGAATGCCAAATTATATATACAATATGATTTCAACTATACAAAATAAGTACATCCAGAAGAAAAAGACTAAAATGAAATATGCCAAAATGTTAGCTGTGGTTACTTCTAAGTAGCAGAATTATAACTTAATTTTAATTATTCATTTTTTTCCAAATTTTCTATACTCCTTAAAAGTGTCTATTTTTTAGTAATTAAAACATATCTGGTATCGGCTGGGTGCAGTGGCTCACACCTGTAATCCCAGCACTTTGGGAGACCGAGGCAGATGGATCACCTGAAGTCAGGAGTTTGAGAACAGCCTGACCAACATGGTGAAACCCCATCTCTACTAAAAATACAAAATTAGCCAGGCGTGGTGGTGGGCGCCTGTAATCCCAGCTACCTGGGAGGCTGGGGGAGGAGAACCGCTTGAACCCGGGAGGTGGAGGTTGCAGTAAGCAATGATCACGCCATTGCACTCCAGCCTGGACAACAAGAGCAAAACTCCATCTCAAAAAAAAATTATATATATATATTAAAAAAAGTAAGTATATATTATATATATTTATATATTATATATTATATATATAATACATATATCTGATATCAGCACAAATTCATCACTAAAGATCAGATCCTTCATGTTTAGACAGGCTGAAGCCAAGAGCTGCTTGGGGCAAATAATCCTGGTCCTTCCATTGTCCAATTAACCAAGCTCCTCCCCCTCTGAGCTGACAACAGTCTTCAAACTAGAATACCTAAATATAAGGAGCTACAGACCCTTGCTTTAAGGGATCCTCTGCCACACACCTAACAGTTGCTCAACCAGGGATGAGTACTTATGCGACTGACTACCAACTATACTAGACGCCATAGGGCACGTATCATCATGTGGCTCTTCTGGATAATAGTGATTACAAGTATGGTTTCAGAGTCACATAAATATGAGTATCATTGAGTTATATGGATTTAGAACTTTCCCTGCCCTCTCTTAAATCGCATTTTATTAATTTGGTCTTAAAATACAAATATGGGGCCAGGCACAGTGGCTCACGCCTGTAATCCCAGCACTTTGGGAGGCCAAGGCGGGAGGATCACGAGGTCAGGAGATCGAGACCATCGTGAAACCCCGTCTCTACTAAAAAAATACAAAAAATTAGCTGGGCGCGGTGGCGGGCGCCTGTAGTCCCAGCTACTCGGGAGGCTGAGGCAGGAGAATGGCATGAACCCAGAAGGAGGAGATTGCAGTGAGCCGAGATCATGCCACTGCACTCCAGCCTGGGCGACAGAGCGAGACTCCGTCTCAAAAAAAAAAAAGCCTTCATGTATTCCCCCTTTAGCTGATGAATTAGCATCTTATATGCCTTACTTTTTCCTGTTCAGTTATTTTATTTACACATTTATAACTCCTTCACTGATTTCCAAAGCCCCACCATGCACTGTACTGTATCAAGATTCAACATTACTCTTTATTCGTTCCTTATTCCACCTATGCACTTTTTGATTGTTCACAAGTCAAAATATTGATAATCATTCACACATGCATATATTCAGGCAGTCATTTACATATTGTTTGGTTTGTATACCCCACC
This sequence comes from Homo sapiens, assembly GCF_000001405.40. Classification (NCBI taxonomy): domain Eukaryota; kingdom Metazoa; phylum Chordata; class Mammalia; order Primates; family Hominidae; genus Homo; species Homo sapiens. Next base: position 129,514,604 of record NC_000023.11, read on the forward strand.
TTATTCCCAAAAGGATTTCAGGTAGCCTACAATGAAAACATGGAACATAAATTAATGGCAAAATAGAAATAAAGAGACGACAAGGAAAGTAAGAAAGACAAGTAGATAAAGAATAGGAAAAGACAGAAGGACACACAGGGCAGACCATTAAAGGTTACATAAGGCCAGGGTGGGGGTGGCTCACACCTGTAATCCCAGCACTCTGGGAGGCCGAAGCAGGTGGATCACAAGGTCAGGAGTTCAAGACCAGCCTGGCCAAAACGGTGAAACCCCATCTCTACTAAAAATACAAAAAAATTAGCCGGACGTGGTGGCAGGCGCCTGTAACCCCAGCTATTCAGGAGACTGAGACAGAGAATTGCTTGAACCTGGGAGGTGGAGGTGGCAGTGAGCTGAGATCGTGCCACTGCACTCCAGTCTGGGTGACAGAGCGAGACTCCATCTCAAAAAATTTTAAAAAAAAAGTTACATAAAGGCATCATTTGGGCATCCATCTTGACTCTGTGCTTCCTGGAAGCCAAAATGCAAACAAAAACAAAAGTACAGAGAAGGTTTTTGGACCATTTGAGGAAAGCTCAGTAAGAGTTTTATGGCCTGTGAAAGTCTGTGTTCTAGCGGTGACTTAACGAAACAATTCTAGCTGGGTGCTGTGGCTCACACCTGTAATCCCAACACTTCGGGAGGTCGAGGTGGGAGGACTGCTTGAGCCCAGGAGTTCAAAATCAGTGTGGGTGACGTGGCGAGACCTGTCTCTACTAAAAATAAAAATAAAAATTAGCCCAGTGTGGTGGGCACGTGCCTGGAGTCGCAGCTACTCAGGAGGCTGAGGCAGGAGGATCGCTTGAACCCAGGAAGTCGAGGGTACAGTGAGCCGAGATTGCACCACTGCACTCAAGCCTGGAAACACAAAGAGATCCTCTCTCAAAAAAATAATAATAATTCTAAGACTACAAAATACCTTTTACATGATAACAACTTTTAAAAAGCCTCCAGGCATCAGGGGGGCAGGTAAGCTCAGGTTTTTCAAATTTACATAAAAATCATTGATAACTGAGAATGTGTTTTTAGCTACCAATTCCTTACCATTTCATCAGCCAAAATGCCATTGACTCCATTTTCATATAAAGAGATCAACCAATTCAGTCCTCGAATCTGATAATCTCTCAGTGGCCCCCCTTTCACATCTGGTGAAAAAATGCAAGGACATTTCATACTTTCATTAACATACTCAAGTAAAATTTTTCTAAAACTAAATTGAAAAAGAACTCACCAATGTGATGAAGTACTTACATGAAGGTGACACCTCAAATCTAATACACACATTAGATGTTTTCCGACTCTCAGACAGTAGCTCTTCATCTTCTTCTTGCTCTGTGCGCCTATGGCGGTAGCTGAAATTAAAAAAGGAAATCCCTTCATATTCGACCTAAATGATAAGGTATCAATTAAATCAGTGTACATGGCTATTATCTTTTATAGAAAAAGAATGAGTTGTCCAAGGTCTTGCTTAGAAATCAGTAGAACCAGCCTACATTTTTACTGATCAGCCTCTAGTGAGAAAAAAATATAGTTGTCTTCAAAACATAATTATAATGGCAATATTTTTTGTCACATGAAGGTATACTGAACAATGAAGAGCGAAGGGGTGCATGAAGGGATCAAGGGAGGACAGGAGGAAGAAAAGGTAGGAGAAAGGAAAGAAAGTAGAGAGAGAGGTGCCAACATACTCTCCAGCAGAAATTAAGCTCTGCTTTTCATCTTTCTTTATTCGGGGACGTCCCAATTTCATGTTCAGTGGAGATGTTGGAGATTTCTGTGCTGAAGGCTGAATGAAATGTGCAAAAAGTTCTGTCTGCTTCAGTAAAAATTCAAATCTCTTTGCTCGGTCGGCTTTCTAATTTGCAAAACAAAAGAAAAGTAAGGACTTTCCTTTTCATTCCTTCAAAGTTATTTAACAAATACTTACTTTGAACAACATTCTTAGCACTTGAAACATTAATCCATTCAATTCTCTTAAGAAACCTATGACGTAATTACAAGTATCATCTCCATTGTAACTACATGATACTGAAGCACAGAGAGGGTAAGTAATTTGCCCAACCTTGCACAGCTAATAAGCAGCAGAATTTGAAAATGTATTTTCAAATAGTTTGAAGGGAAGAAAAATTATCTGACAGACAGTAAATTCCCCAATAAGAAATACCCTTCTTAAAGAGTCATAATCATAAAGCAAATCCTCTTTCCAAAACATCATTTTATTAAATAAAATAGTAACAAAATTAAGCATCAAATATATAACATATCCCAAATATTGAAATATAAATTAACTATGATATATATACCATAAACTGAACTCTTAAGAATTTCCAAGTTGTATCCAGAAATAACTTAAATCTTAAAATACAGTATCATCTTGTCTCAAAATATTTTCAGTGTCATGGTATAGTAATGTAATAAACACTCCTCTCTTCACTCACAGGGATCTAGAAAACTGTATTTTGTGCTAGTAGCGTATAAACTTTCTCCCCAAAGTAAGCAGAATTTGGGAAAAATATATAAACATATGCACATATATGTGAAATAGTTTATTAACTATTAAAAGTTGATATGTATTCTAATTTCTCAATAAATTGTAAAAGGTCAGGGAACGTGTACCATATACAGGCAATAAAACTTTGTTTCACTAAAAAAATCTTAAAAGATCAAAAGATATATACATCATTCTAGATAAAGGAAAAAATAAAGACTATTTATTTATTCAAAGTCACTTTCCAACCACAGAGTAGAGAATACTTGATTGCTAATGAAGGATGCATAATTAATAACCCAGAAAACTTACAGAAGAGTTCATTAACATAAACATAAGAGTTAGATAAATTCAGACTACAAGCTGGAAGGAGGCCAAAAACTTTCCATTTTATATTATCCTCACTGGAATGTTATTTTTAGAGTTGTTAAAACATTGCCTACCTACATTAGATGTGGCCTTAAACATTAAGTCTTATAAAATAGCTATCAACAACCAAAAAATATATTTCATCTATACTTATTTTTATAATATTACTGCAAAAACAACCCCTCAGAGGAAAAAAAAATCCATTTCAACCACCTGTTAAATTCTTGAAAGATCCAAGGTTATAAGAGTTTAGTTAAAATTAAAGCTAAAATATGTATTTTAGTAACTAAAAATTAAATAATTAAATGTATTATAGCAAGCAATATGTAAGTATAACTAAGATTATGCTGCTTAAATATGTGATATCTTCATGCATTGGACAAATATTCTTCCCTTTAAAGTGTATTGACATATTACACATTTCATTAATGTGTAGCATTTATTCATATGTCCAAAGAAGGAGAAAGAAACAAAAATACGTCAATCTGGCTTTGTGACTGGATTTCTCTCAGGTCACAAAGCCACAGTGGTATTACCACTGATATTTTCACCTCATAAATAAATATTTCTAGCTTAAAGCACTTTATTATGGGACAGAGAGCACCGAACCAAAATGAGATGTGACTTCTAGTCCTAACTATGACATATAGCTTCCCTGATCCTTTATTTCCTCATCTGAAAATGAGGAGGTTAATTTATTCAACAGAAAATATTGTGATAGATTGTATATTAAATTATTTTCCAATTCTAAAATCAATGATTCTCTATGCATTATATATATACATGTATTTTTTCATCTTTAACATCTCAACTATAAAAATTAATTACAGCATTCACTATCCTATCCAAGACTACATTTACCATTTTCTCTTCATATTCTGGGTCCATTTCCTTTTCAGATTTAGGCGCTTTAGCAGCAAGTTTGAGTTGAAATGAAGAAACGTTTTTCTAGAATTTCAAAGAAAATAAATGTCACCAAATTGCAAAGCAAGGTTCTTAAACTGGTCAATGCTCTCATTAGAAGAAGGCGGAAAGTAATTACATAACTAAATATATAAATCAATGTGGGACATGTATGGACCAATGATGAGAGCATGTCACAAAACAAGGCTTATGATTAATCCAGTTCTGTACACCTGAGGTCCAATAAAAAAAATCTGAAAAATTGTGAATGCCAAAGAAATATTAATTGGAATAAAACCCAAAAGGCAAGACACTGAGCTTTCTCATCCATTCTTTAATTTATAGTGTAAGAAAATGTGTAAACATTAAATAAGAGATTTTAAAATCTAGAAAAGGCTAATATCAACCACAAACCAAATAATTCAAAGAAAGTAAATATTAATTCTAAGAAACACTCCTTTATGTCATGGAAATACGCCACACTTTCAGAAAAAAAAACTGTGGTTTCTGTTCCTAAAACGATATTTTTAAAATTGTTTTCATAGTATTATAAGAATATTTAATTTTTTATGTAATGCAATGTGATCACATATACTTAATATAATAGTACAGTTTTAAACTTTTGGCTTATGTTAATTTTCTCTAACTGGGAAGAAAACTACTTTAAACTATTTATATTGCATAAACATCTTGTAGAAGCAATTTGTCAAGGCTACTTAACTATTAATGTTTGATATTTTTAAATTGTAATTTAGCGAAAACTAACATCAATCAATAACTTAATATAGAGATTATCTGGGGAAGGGGGTTATCTCATGCACCCTATCCTTTGTAAAGACAAGCCTGTACTGGCAAATATAAATACATATATAGAATAAGCCTCCTTCCCTATAAGAAACCAAGAAATAAAATAATAAAAACACAAATCTACCCACCAGAACCAAAGATGAGAGCATTTCAGTTTTAACACATACTTTGCATAAGAGAAAACACAAATTTGTTCGTGAAAACTATCATGGCTTTTGTCAACCTATTTATGAAAACTTAGGTCAAAAATCAACAGAATGTGACCTTAAACATAAGAAAAATATGGCCCCCATTATGTCTTCCAATATTTACTAAAATTTCTATTTTGAGGAAATCCAAACTGAGATTATGGAATTTGACCTTGTCCAGACTCTTACTTTGTAGCACTGATCAGATATCATTCAGTTACACTAACCCAAATAATAACCATCTTGATTTACAGCATCTGATACGTACACATCTATATGGAATGTTTTGAATGTAATCCTGGATGGATGAGAATAGAAAACTGCTAAAGAGCCCCTCAAACTCACACTTTCAGACTGCCATATATAATATAAATCATATTTATTTTCAAAGCAACAAGAAAAATTGGGTATCAAATCCATACGTTTATCATTCATTCCTTGAAAGGTTATATGAAGTGCAGTTTTCCAGTATCAAAACAATGAAAATTACTTTGCCTCATACGCACAAATATATATAATAATGTGGGAAGTACACTTACAGAAAATTAAAGCTTTAATCCTAGAAAAACATTTTACCCATTACTTTTTTGCTTACCTTGCGGTAGACTACCATCAAAATCTAATTATATGCTAATTAAAATCCTAATCTTGAGCAGGGCTATTAAAAGCTGTGGGTAATTACTTAATTGGCACTATCTTCCACAACAAATTTTAAAATACCTACCTTCTAAACCTTCTCTCGTGTGTGTGTGTGTGTGTGTGTGTGTGTGTGTGTATTCTCAAAACTACATTTTTTTCATACAAGAAAAGATGAAAAGTGACTAAGAGACTCTAATGAATTCCTTTGGATTTTGTTATCTGAGTCTAGGTGCCATGAGAATGCAGCACAAGGTCAACAAAATGGCTTGTTTTAAAGACCATGACCTTTTTCTTGACGTTTTCATGTCTACAGTGTTGGGTAATCCAACCGTCACTTAAACCAACTAAATTCAACAACCAGAAAGTAAGCAAAAACACCTTTGAGTAGGTAAATGTCACAGGTCAATTCACTAATTCTCATCTACTGTATTCATCATGAAAGCGCTCTCATTCAGAAACCTATTTTCTTTTTATTTGGTAGACAATTCCACCAAGTTTGAAAATCTGGCTTCCCATGTCACCGAGAATACAAGCAACAGTAAATGACATGGAAAGATCACTAGATGAAGGCACTCTACAAGAAGACACGGCAGAAACCAAGGACGAAAATGTCTTCCACTGCAGTAGCATCACTGATTCTTGGTGTGCACGTGTCATTATTTCCCTCTCCCTGTTTTATCACTGACACTTTTGTATTTTACAGTGGTTTTCAAATGAGTTTATGGTTTTGTTACACCTATAATCTTTATCATAAACTAACATATTATTTCTGGTGAAACTAGAGGTGTTTAAAAAGTGATCGCTAACAGCCTGGCAATTAAGGAAGAAGACAGAAAATTTTTATTTATTTATTTATTTTGAGACGGAGTCTCACTCTGTTGCTCAGGTTGGAGTGCAGTGGTGGGATCTCGGCTCACTGCAACCTGAGCCTTCCGGGTTCAAGCGATTCTCCTGCCTCAGCCTCCCAAGTAGCTGGGATTACAGGTGCCTGCCACCACACTTGGCTAATTTTTTTTTTTTGGTATTTTTAGTAGAGACGGGGTTTCACCATATTGGCCAGGCTGGTTTCGAACTCCTGACCTCAAGTGATCTACCCGCCTCGGCCTCCCAAAGTGCTAGGATTACAGGCGCGAGCCACCGCGCCCGGCTGGAAAAATTATTTTTAAAAATCAACACAACACTGCAAGAGTCTGGTAGGTGGTTACTTAATTGAGAGGGAACAACCTGCGGGATTTCAGGTGCCTTTGTGTCACTGTCAAAGTACACTAACTGATGGCCATGAAGAAGAGGTTAATCTGCACTTTTAGTATGCAATTTAAAGTGTCAAGGTAGTATGTAATGTATTTCATTTTTTAAGGAAAAATTAAAAATAAAAATGGATATCCAGGAAGTTCCTGACATACAGCACCTCATTTCCCTGTCCTGGGTGGACAAATGAAGTACTGGTAGGGCAATTTCTAATGAGGCAAGAGTTGACAAATATGTAGGCATCAACTCAGTGTTTATATTATATAGCTTTTTTATTGGTCTCCCGTTTTTTCACAATACAAAATTTTATACAAAATTCAAAAATTTATACAATCTGGAAATTCGACAACCTCTCCTGCCATACAAAAGGCAGTTTGGCACTCACATTTGCCCAGTCCAGGGAATAAAAGGCACACAGACATTTCCGAATTTCACAACATTTGATTTATATTGATGCTTGGTATTACACCCACTTTTAACCAACAATATTGTCTTACTAATCCAAGTACCGCGTAGATCTTACAATGTGTATGTTTTCTACGGTTTTCATTTAGCACTACAATTGTCCTTCTGTTTAGTCAACCTTGTAATAGTAAAATATGTCACAGAAGCAACTGCTAAATTTAAAATTACTCTTCTCATTTAAGGCGAAAGGTGTTCATTTTCCTCAAAAGCTTTTCATTTGGTCGTATAGTATCATATAATGATTCAGACAAAGCCACTTGAGATCTCTAAAGCATAATTACCCACCTTTTTAAAATTGCGATATGACTACTCGTAAATAGGAAAAAATCCACACATAAACCATTAGTTATGCAATTTTATCATACATCAAAAATGCTTATGCCCCATCCTATTTTTATGTCAATTTTTCAACGTTTTATAGTTTTATTTGCATGTCTCGGGCCACACGAAATGTGCCTTATGGAGATAATACATATTTTCTGGATTGGCTTTAATATGTGTCAGAGCAGTTCCCTTACGTTAGAAGCAGCTCATCTTGGCGACGCTGAGTTTTTTAAAAATTAAAGGAGAAAAAAAAAAAAAACCTGTGTGTGTCCAGGAGCCAGCAGCGCCCACTAGGAGAGGGAGGCGGAAGCCTGGAAAGCTTGGGGCCGGATTGAGGGACCATTGGGGTGGCCCTGGAGTGAAACCCTATACCGTCGGGGGCGGGGCAGAAGAGGGTGAGGGTGCAGATGTTGGAAATTTTCCTAAGCCAGCGTCCACGGTTCCTCAGTTTGGGGGGGCGGGGGGGTACGACGCAGAGAGCTCCTTTCCTCGGGGTGACACCCCCACCTCGGCAGGCGGGGTTCAAACGAACAAGGGATGGTTTTTTTCCTGCCATCCAAAAGACCGACATTGCCAATGAAAGAAAGAAATGTCTTCCCTGTCACCCTCCACCCAGCAACCACCAGCACCTTGAAATTCAAATTACAAAAAAAGCCCCAGCAAAACCCCTTTAGCGCGAGTGTGGGATTGAAGGGCCCAGATTTCCCAGGCAGAGGCCGACGGGAAGGCGGGGGGAGAGGGAGCGAGCGAGAGGAGAGGGAGAGGCGGAGGCTTTTTCCTGCACAGCCCCATCCCCCACCCCGTTACCCGAGTTCCGGGAAGGTGGAGGGGGTCGGGGGCTGTCGAGGGGCTCCCGAGCCCCCAGGCCCCGGGAGAGCGGGCACCCCTCCACCCCGCGCCGCTCCCGCCCGCGCCCAGCCCCGCCCCCGTCCTCCAGGCGGCGAGAAGGAAAGGGGGAGGGGAGCGAACGCCAGGCGGTTCCGCCGCCGACCCCCGCACCCGCCGCCCCTAGCCCCGCAAAGCTCCGCGGGTACCTGTCGGCGCCGAAAGGTCAGGGTTTGGGCCCCTCAGAGGGGCCAGGCACAGGATTTGTCCACCACACACACACCCCCTTCCTATTTACCTCCTTCTTCTTCTCGCCCTTCTCCGTGGCCGCGGTGGCTTCGGTGGCCGCGGCGGCCGCTCCCTCCTCCTGAGAGGTGGACGGCCCGGGCTGCTCGTCCTCTATGACCACGATAGTGGCGGTCGCATCCGCGGCTGCCACGGTGGCTGCCACTGCGGCAGTGTCCTGCTCCATGCCGTGGGAGCGGGAACGAGTAGGGGGACAAGGCAGGGGACGAGGGCTCCTGGGCGGCGGCAGTGGCTGCACTGGAAAGAGCTAGATGGAGCAGGGGTGGGGAATCACTCCGCTTCCAACCCCTTCGCTCAGGCCCCCCCTTCTTTAAATAACCCTCAACCCTGCCCCACTTCCGTCCACCCACCCTACGTCATGGCCTCCCCCCGTCACTCTCCCCCCTTCCTCCACCCCCCCCCCCTCAACGATCGCGAGACTCCCCTTCCCCACCCAGAGCCCGGGCCGGCCCCGCACGACCAACTGTTGCCTGAGTGTGGGGCGCGGACAGGGGTGGAGGCGGGAACCCACAACTCGCGGCCCCCTGAAAATCTCCTTTCCCACACGCCCCCAACAGTGAGCCTGAGCTCCCCTCGCAGATGCGTGCAGAACGAATCCTCTTTCCCTTAAATCTGCTCTTTGTACCTCGGGGCGCTCTCCCCTTCTTGCACAAAGAACTTTTCCTCTGCTCCTAACTGTACTGTAGAAGGTCTTTTTCACCATTTGCAAAGCGCGGAACCCCTCTGGGACTGCCCTTTCCCGGATCCCTAAAGAGGTAGGATTAGCGGTGCTGTTTCCACCTTCCTAAATTCTGCACAAAGAGAAGCACTCCTTGAATCTCTTGATTGCAGCTGCAAACACATTCACTTACAAGGCAAAGTCTGACTCTCAAGTTTTACGTATATTTGCTCTATTTTCACCTCTGGTACCTCTCAGGTAGCCAATGTGCAGGAACACTTCTCTTACCTTCACCACTGCATTTTTAAATTCCTAGGGGACAAGGTTACCCACCGAACCTGGGGCAACATGTGGTAGGCACTCAATATTAGCAATTGAAATGAATTACTGTGATTTTTTGGCACAGGTTCTATTTGCACCTCCATTATTATTTGGTAATAATACAACACATAATATGAATGATCATGGATATAAAATCATTTCGTGATACAGAATCAATCAGTGTCCATCAGCAGGTGAATGGTTAAGGAAAATGTGGTCTGTATACACAATGGAATACTATGTAGCCATAAAAAAGAATGAAATGTCATTTGCAGCAACATAAATGAAACTGATGTTTATTATGTTGCACAAAATAAGCCAGGCACAGAAAGACAAATAACACATGTTCTCACTCATATGTGGGAGCTAAAAAGTTGATCTCATGGAGGTAGAGAGTAGAATGATAGGTACCAGAAGTCTGGGAAGGGTGTGTGGGGTTGAGGCGGATCAATGAAGAGAGGTCAGTTAATGAGTACAAATATACAGTTAGATGGAAGGAATAAGTTATAATGTTCAAAGTAGAGTAGGGTGACTCTACTGAACAAACAATGCAATGTATATTTCGAAATAGCTAGAAGAGAGGACATGAAATGTTCCCAACACATAGAAATGATAAATACTTGAGGCAATGGACACCCTAAATACCCTGTCTTGAGAAGGACCCTTAAGGACAGCAACAGTGGAGGATTTATTTTTCACCATGTTGCAGCTATTGAAAGATAGAATTCCTCTTTCCTTGCATGGGGCTGCAAAGGAGAAAAGCTCAAGAAATATTTGTTGTGTATTGGTGTGTCCCTGCTTTCAAGTCAGTTTTGTTCCACTGTATTTCTCATTGTCAGTGTACATTATTTCAGTTACATCGTGGGTTAAATGCACTTTTGTGAGGAAATCTGGGAAACACATCCCTTTATAACACCTTTTTTTTGTGGGGACATGTGTTCCATGTTCCAAAAAAAGAATTTAAAAATTTATTTGGGGGCAGAACATATTTGTACGTTGGCAATTTTCCATGCATGTATAATGCAATCCTTCCTTTTCAAGATGACGCGGCTGAAAGTGCTACCAAGTATATGAATTTGGCTGGAAAGGTCGATGCTTGGTCAACAGACCTTGCCACAGGATTCATGTAAATATTGCCCTTTGGCTTGTGGCAACAGCTGCTATTTACAGAGCATGTGCTATCCTTATTTGTAAATCTGCCTAAAATTCATGATCTGTAGACTTTGTTCAACAAGAGTCATCTCATTTCTGAGCCTACTCAACACCTTGCTCTATCTGCTACTACTTTCCCCAATTATGTCTTTTCATTTGAAATGGTCTTGGATTGCTCTATTCCATTGGGGTTGGAGAACAGAGCAAACTTTTATAAAGAACTGGCTCTCACGCCTGTAATCCCAGCACTTTGGGAGGCCGAGGCAGGCTGATCACAAGGAGATCCAGACCATCCTGGCCAACATGGTGAAACCCCTTCTCTACTAAAAATACAAAAATTAGCTGGGTATGGTGGTGCGTGCCTGTAATCCCAGCTACTCGGGAGGCTGAGGCAGGAGAATCGCTTGAACCCAGGAGGTAGAGATTGCAGTGAGCGAAGATCAAGCCACTGCACTCCAGCCTGGCAACAGAGCGAGACTCCGTATCAAAAAATAAAATAAAATAAAAATAAAAATAAACTGGGAACCTCAGAACTAATCTTGGTCTACCAGTCAATACGTCCATTTTGGTAGATTATAGAGGTTATTCAACAATCATTCTCGAATAGCCAAACTTGTTTAGTAGCTACTAGAACATGTGTCCACTGGTGATATTAAATGTTTTACAAAATTCATAAAGGAAAAGCCAAAGGCTTCGTGTTCCTTCTCTTATTTTGCATCTGAAATTTGTCATTGAAACCACAGTATGACTTAAAACCACATTGTGATCCGACTGATTAATGTTCTTCAGAAACTGGCAGAAAAGATTCTGGACACACTGTCTTGCTTACAGCTACAGTAACCATTCTGTTCATATCAGTAAGCTTTCTCACTATTTTTTTAAAGACATTTATGATAGTGGCATTTTTGAAAATGTGATATTTCCTTGGTGATCTGTATTTTAAGGAAAAGGTCATGGTAATAACTAGTATATGTCTACCATTTCTTGAGCACCCACTATTGTATTAGGCACTGTGCTAGATTCTTTACATATGATATTGCTAATCCTCCAAATAATTCTATGAAATAAATATTATTATCCCTATTTTACAGATAAGAAAATGGAGATTTAGGCTAAACAACTCATCTAAGGTTCCACAGCTAGTAAGTGACATTCAAACCCCAGACTGTCTAGTCCAAACCTCGTTTTTCATCTTTATTAAGTTCACTGGTCTTCACAGGGCTTCCTCCTTGACAGTAGAAATTATACTGAGAAAATAACTGAAAAATATTTCTGCCATCTATCTCCATGGTGTTCCCTCTAAAGCAGCCGTGTCCGACCCTTTGAATGCAAGAACTTTTTTGCCTATCTGTGGTGGTGGATATCATGAAAATTCGGCATGGACCTTTTTTTTTTTTTTTTTTTTTTTTTTGAGTATCAGCTATCATTGGCATTAGTATTTTATGTGTGGCCCAGGACAATTATTCTTCCAGTATGACCCAGGGAAGCCAAAAGGTTGGACACCCATGCTCTAAAGTAAACTCTCAAAACAGTAATGGGACTCAGGACAGTTTGTGCAAAGAAGGGGAGAGCGTAACAGAAAGAACTGAGATGTCCAAGAAGAAAGGATTGGCAAAACATTGTATAGTACATTAATAAATGGAATGTTATGCAAGCATTAAGAATGATTATGTGTTGACTAGACGCGGTGGCTCATGCCTGTAATCCCAGAACTTTGGGAGGCCGAGGCAGGTGAATCACAAGGTCAGAAGTTCGAGACCAGCCTGGCCAACATGATGAAACCCCATCTCTACTAAAAATACAAAAAATTACCTGTGCGTAGTGGCGGGCGCCTGTAATCCCAGCTACTAGGGAGGCTGAGGCAGGAGAATTGCTTGAATTCTGGAGGGGGAGGTTGCAGTGAGGCGAGGTGGCACCACTGCACCCCAGCCTGGGCGACAGAGTGAGACTCCGTTTCAAAAAAAAAAAAAAAAAATGAATGATTATGTAATCAGGTATCTGTTGACATGAAAATATATTCCTGTATATTGTTAAGTGAAAACATACAGGCAAAAAGTTAGAATGATCCCATTTTCACCACACACACACACTGAAAAACACTATTTACATAAATGTATTTCCACAAAGGACAAACCCTGGAAGGTTCTACTCCAAATGTTAAACCAGTAGTTACATACAGCAAGGTGGTGGGATTGTGTGTAATATTTTTTTCTTATTTTGCTTTTCTATTCTAGTTTTCCTCAATGAAGGTGTTTCTTTATGTAATAGATAAATACCATTTTATAGATGAATCAAAACGTATTACTCAAAACTGAACAAGTTGAAATTAATCCTTAACAGAAGGAGTATGACCTTGTAGATAGGGTGAGTCAAAAACAAAAACAAAAACAAAAAAACAAAAAAAAACAGGCCAGGTGCAGTGGCTCACGCCTGTAATACCAGCACATTGAGAGGCCGAGGTGGGTAGATCATGAAGTCAGGAGTTCGAGACCAGCCTGGCCAAGAGGGTGAAACCCCGTCTCTTCTAAAAATAAAAAAAATTAACTGGGTGTGGTGGCAGGCACCTGTAATCCCAGCTACTTGGGAGGCTGAGGCAGGAGAATCGCTTGAACCCGGGAGGCGGAAGTTGCAGTGAGCCAAGGTCACACCACTGCACTCTAGCCTGGGTGACAGAGCAAGACTTCGTCCCGAAAAAAAAAATGAACAGAACAATTTCACACAGAAGAGACAATGCAGTAGTAATGTATAATGTAGCAGAAGCAATGTGAGTATTATACGGTTCACAATAATGTTACTTGATTGAGGAATGATTTTTGACATTGTTTTAGGCGGTATATAAAATGATTTTTCTACTTTTAAGCAATTTTGCAAAACTAGCTCAGGAAAAAAAATGAGATTTTCTTTCTTTCTTTTTTTTTTTTTTTTTTTTGAGACAGAGTCTCGTTCTGTCGCCCAGGCTGGAGTGCAGTGGCACAATCCCAGCTCACTGCAACCACCACCTCCTGGATTCAAGCGATTCTTCTGTCTCAGCCTCCCGAGTAGCTGGGACTACAGGCGTGTGCCACCACGCCTGGCTAATTTTTGTATTTTTAGTAGATATGGGGTTTCACCATGTCGGTCAGGCTGGTCTGAAACTCCTGACCTCTTGATCCGCCCGCCTTGGCCTCCCAAAGTCCTGGGATTACAGGCGTGAGCCACTGCGCCCAGCAAGATTTTCTTAAATGCTCCCAACCCTGACATTCTACCCACCCATACATGCCCTAAAACACGAAACACATGCTAAATAATCTGAATTGGGTTTGCTAAAGGCCCAATATTTTTTCACTATTTAATACTTTTTATTTCCACTTAAATAAGTCAGAGTTAGTTTCTATTACATGCAAGTAGAAATTCTCATGGATGCACATGTTACCATTGATTTCCATGTATTTACTATGTATGTAAAGGCACAATATTATCCATGGCGGTATTATTAGAGGCAAAATAGTACAATTATTACCAGCTTTGGCTGTAGAGTCAGAAAGACTTGGAGTTCAGATTCTACTAAATTGTTTAACCTCTCTCTCCTCTGATTTGCATCTGTAAAATGGGTATAATAATACCTAATTCAACGTGATCTCATGAGGATTTAATGTAAAATATGTGTATAAAACATTTAACATGATCCCGGCATATAACAGATACTCAGTGGATGGTAGTTAACAAAAAGAAAAAAGCAGGGTGCTGCTTTGAGTTTTGGCTAAGCCAAGGAAAAAGCCAGAATATGATAAAGTAAGTCTGAAAGTCAGTGCTAAACTAAAATAGGAATAAGGCGGAAGTGCTGTTTGCCAAGTTCATTTTCTCTGTTCATTATCATTTATCAGGGTCAGCAATTTGGTGCAGTTACACTTCCCCAAAGGTAAGTTCTGAAGAAAGGCAGTAATGAGGGAGAAGAGGGTTAGGCTACTTCTCTACTTAGACTGTGACTTTTTTGAGGACAGGAGTCATACTCGATTTGTCTTTGTTTAAAAAGAGGCCGGAGGGGCCAGGCACGGTGGCTCATGCCTATAATCCCAGCACTTTGGGAGGCCGAGATGGGAGAATCACCTGAGGTCGGGAGTTTGAGGGCAGCCTGACCAACGTGGAGAAATCCCGTCTCTAATAAAAATACAAAATTAGCTGGGTGTGGTGGCGCATGCCCATAATCCCAGCTACTTGGGAGGCTGAAGCAGGAGAATCACTTGAACCTTGGAGGCAGAGGTTGCAGTGAGCTGAAATCATGCCATTACACTCCAGCCTGGGCAACAAGAGTGAAACTCCATCTCAAAAAATACATAATAATAGTAAGAGGTAGGAGGGAAGGCAGTTCAGGGACTGGCTCCCTAGCTACATCATGCCCTCCCCACTCCACACATATTCTTCAGCTTCTATGTTGCCTTCTGGTTTCTCCCATTTCTCTTCCTTCAATCTTGTCCTGAGTGTCCATTCTTGCCAGATTTCACATGCATAATAATACACTTACATAACATTTTTCAGGGCTCTCCCCCAGCTTACCCACTGCGTGTGGAACAAGATACCAAAAGACAAAAGACAATAATGTCTACATACACACACACACACCACACACTCTCTCTCTCTCTCAAAAAAAAAAAAAAAAAAGGATTGGGTCCTTGTCCTGGGCCTAGATCAGTGGTTTTCAAACTTGAGCACATCAGCATCATCTGGAGGGCTTGTTAAAACACAGATAGTTGGCCCCACTCCCAGAGTTTCTGAATTGGTAAGTTTGGAGTGGGGCCAAGAATTTGTCTAACAATTTCTCCACTGATGCTGATGCTGTTGGTCCGGGGACCACACTTGGAGAACTAGTGACCTAGAACGAGGACCAGCAAACTTTTTCTGTAAAGGGCCAGGTAGTAAGTATTTGAGGCTTTACAGATTATAAAGTCTGTCACAACCGCTAAACTCTGCTGTTGTAACATGAAAGCAGCCATAGACTATAGGTAACCACATGAACATGGCTGGATTCCAATAAAATTGTTTTTATGGAAACTGGAATTTGAATTTCATATAACTAAATATTATTATTCTTTTGATTTTTTTAAACAATTTTAAATGTAAAAACATTCTTAGTTCAAGGGCCATACAAAAATGGGCTTCAGGCTGTGTTTGCTGACCTTTGCCTGAAAGAGACTCATTCTCTGTGGAAGACAAACACAGGTGGATGAAAGAAGACTTAACAAAGCAATTAATATATGAGAATGTCTTTAACCTCAATAGTCATCAGGGAAATGCAAGTTAAAACCACAATGAGGCCCGGCACAGTGGCCCATGCTTGTATCCCCAGCACTTTGGGAGGCCAAGGCGGGTGTATTGCTTGAGCCCAGGAGTTCGAGACCAGCATAGGCAACATGGCGAAATCCTGTCTCTACAAAAATAAAAAATAAATTAGTCTGGCGTGGTGGCATGCACCTGTAGTCCCAGCTACTCAGGAGGCTAAAGCAGGAGGATCACATATCTTTGGGAGGTCGAGGCTACAGTGAGTCATGGTCATGCCACTACACTCCAGCCTGGGGTGACATAACGAGACTCTGTCTCAAAACAAAACAAAACAAAAACAATGCGATACTGCTGCACATCCATTAGAATGGCTAAAATGTTTAAAGACTGACAACACCCAGAGCTTGTGAGGATGGGGACTCTCATAGAGTGCATGTGAAAATGTAAATTGTACAACCACTTTGGAAACCAGTTTGGCAGTATTTATTAGAGTTGAACACATATACACCATTTTGTAGTAACGACACAGAGATGTGCCACCTAGATTCTGCTTTGAGGAAGAACATGCTACTCAGGTATGCAGGGGAGGTACAGTCAGCAGATAGCCTCCAGCTGTCAGCTCCTTGAGACTCTGCCTTAGCTGCAAAGAGCTGCTTCACCCGAAGTCACACTCTTCCTAAGGTGACCATTTCAACCTGACACAGAACACACCAATGGGCTCTACTTGTTCCAAAACTCAGTGCCAAGTTAGCTCAAGCTTTGTCAGCCTTGTATCATAGTTCATCTCTCCTGCCCAATACTACTCCCTCTGCCTTCCTTCCACTGGTATTGATCCCTAACAAACATCTTGCACCCAATATTTAATCTCAGCTTTTGCTTCTAGAGAGCCCAACCTGTGACATCTTTCACCCCACTAGGATAATACACCCCAGAGGTAATCATTCATATATGCACCAAAAACCATGTACAATAATGTTCTAGGCTGGGTGCAGTGGCTCATGCCTGTAATCCTAGCACTCTGGGAAGCCGAGATGGGTGGATCACCCAAGGTCATGAGTTCGAGACCAGCCTGACCAACATGATGAAACCCCATCTCTACTAAAAAAAAAAAAATTAGCTGAGTGTGATGGCACATGCCTGTAGTCCCAGCTACTCAGGAGGCTGAGGCAGGAGAATCGCTTGAACCCGGGAGGCGGAGGTTGCAGTGAGCCAAGATCGCACCACTGCACTCCAGCCTGAGTGACAGAGTGAGACTCTGTCTCGGAGGGGAAAAAAAAAAGAATGCTCTTGTCAGCTTTTGCTTGTAATAGCCAAATGCTGGAAACCACCTAATGTCCATCAACAAGAGAATGAATGAAATCCGAATATAGTCACACAATAGAATATTGTACATCAATGAAACTGAAGGGCATCTATATACGACCACATGCATGACATACTATT
Organism: Homo sapiens; assembly: GCF_000001405.40. Classification (NCBI taxonomy): domain Eukaryota; kingdom Metazoa; phylum Chordata; class Mammalia; order Primates; family Hominidae; genus Homo; species Homo sapiens. The sequence goes on from NC_000023.11 coordinate 129,532,035, forward strand.
GGCTGAAATAAGCAAGATATAAAGAATACATACCATACAATGCCATTCATATAAAGTTCAAAAGCAGGCAAAAGTTTTAATGACTGCATTCATAAGCAATAAAACTATAAAGAAAAGCAAAGAAATGATTATCACAGAACTCAAGATAATGGTTATGTCCAGGGATGACCTTCAAAAATTTTAATGACCACTATGGCATGGACTTTGACCACTCCAAACAGACAGAACCTTTTATACCTCACCAGGGAATGCTGGCTCAATGCGACCCTTGGTTTAATTCCGGGTGGGAGAAGAAGGAATGATCAGAGAAAGGCACCTGTTTTGGGTGCCTGGCCCAGAAGCGAAATTGGAAGCTGAAGTCTTGTATTGTTTGCACTTTCAAAGTGCTAACAATGTTCAATTTTTTAACCTGGGTAGAGGTTACATAGACATTCACTTTATAATTATTTCTCAAACTGTACATACACATTTTATGCACACTAAAAGAAGAAAAATTAGGCACACCATAGAAAAATATAAAGAAGTACTTTATAAATGTTTTTTTCAAAACGTGACTATAAAGCACTGAGGAGATGGTGCTGAGAGTAGCGATAAGAATGATCAGAGCTCATCATGTGCTTGTTCATTCTGTAACAATATTGTACAAAACAGACCTTGAAAAGTTCCAAGAACTTCCCTAAGAGGTACACAGAGACACTGTTATTCAGGAGGGAGCATTCCTTTCCAGCTGAGAGGAGACAGGAGAAAAGCTTCAAAGAAGGAAAAGCTTCATTTGAGGTGAGCATTGAAGAATAGAGGATTCCAGCAGGTACAGTTGCAGAGGAGGTTGGAGAAAAGATATAGCATTAGCACTGAGATGGAGTGAAGAATAAGTGGCATGTGATCAAGAAATTAAATAGTTACATTGGTTAGAGCAAAACTTCCCAATTTGTATTGATGCTTAACACACTTAGGATAATTCTAAATCACTCATTATTTTCTGTAAGGGACAGTTATACACTCCACAGATACCTATCGAAATGCTACTGTGCCAGGTACTAGGTGCTAGGTATACAGCCATAAGCAAGACAGACAAGGTTCTGGAGCTTATGCTGCTTATGTCTGGATTTAATGCCTTTCTAGAAGCAGCATTCTTTCTGATGGCAGAAAACAATCCTCCACTTAAACTCAGTCAATTCATGTTTAAACCCAATCAGATATAGGATTCACCCCCTCCCTCCTTCATGCCCCACATGTTGATTTTGAACTCCAGAGTTTATGCAAGACTGAAATAACAGTGGTGGGGAGGAGGAACCCACTTCTCAGGTTCTTGGTATATTCTGCACTGGGCTTCCTTGGGATGTGCAGTTATCCTGTCTTCCATCCCTGCTGCCATCCATTAGGGTGGCCAACTGCCCATCAGGCCTCTAATGACATGGTCTTTACTTCTCCCAAATGTGGCTTCTTCTCATCATGACCACAAGATTCCAGCTCTCAAATTCTCTTCTGGGCTGGGCGTGATGGCTAATACCTGTAATCCCAGCACTTTAGGAGGCCAAGGGAGGGTGAATCACTTGAGCCCAGAAGTTCAAGACCAACCTGGGCAACATGGCAAGACACTGTCTCTTATTTTTTTTTTTAATTACCTAGACATGGTGGTGCACATCTGTAGTCCCAGCTATTCGGGAGCCTGAGACAGGAGGATCACTTGAGCTCAGGAGTTCAAGGCTGCAGTGAGCTATGATTATGCCACTGCATTCCAGCCTGGGCAACAAAGTGAGACTCTGTCTCTAAATAAACCAAAGCATTCTCTTACTTTCCTGCTCTACTCCTTCTTCTCAGTTCTGAGGCTCTTGTCTACTGAGGGTAGAGGTACTGAGGGTAGAGGTATGGGTTGAGGAACATAACACATCCTTCTCAACAGAGACTCTTTCCAAATCTTCCTGTCTTACACCCTGGACTGAGACTTAAAATGATAACCTAAAAACCAAGAATATATTTTCCCCTTCCTTTGTGACACCTGCATTAGAGATAAGACCAGCCTCATGTCTCCCTAACTGCATCCAGAAGGGTCACATGATTGAGAGTAGCAGGGAGCTCAGGCAGCCTTCATAGGTCATCCCACTATATCCATCACAGTATGGTTGAATGTTACTAGGCCTTGCAGCATTCACAAATAGACAAAAACCCTTTTCAAGACCTGAAATTGGAATTATTGAATTTTGTGCTTTAAAAAATATCAACCTGCTTATTTTAATAATTTTTGCATTTTGTTTCTAAATAATGATATTAGAGATCTCATCATTTGACTTTGTAGATGTGGATAATTTTTTATTCCCAATGAGTGAGAAAACAAATTGTATTTAGCCATAACTCAATTTTCTTTTTAAGGATTTCTGAAGTGCTTGAGAAATTTTTATGAGCTATATAAGAATTTTGATCAGATAAATGCAGCTTCTGGGTCTGATGAGTGTTATGTTGGGAATTTTTAGAATTGTAATCATTTTATGCTCTGATTTCAATCATCAGCATGTCTTTGATTCTTTATGGATATATATTAAACAGCTTATGTATCATTTTTTATAAATTAACACTCCATAAAGGTCAAGACCAAGATGGCAAGCTAGCAGTGTTCAGCTAAATGATCGACTAAGTATTTGAGTCATGGACACATCCATTTGATTGCCACTAACTGCTGCACATGTTCAAATCTGAAGGGAAATGATGGGCAGAGCATAAAGTTTATAAAGAGTTTCCTTGGGAGATAACTCTGGAATGATGCATTCAGGACAGATCCTTGGAGCTTTAATGCCAGGCTGATGCCATATTCTTTCAGTTCAGCATCTCCAATTTCTGAGAGGAAGAGGCAAGCAGGCCTGGGCAATGCTGACCTGCCTATGGGATTCACTAAGCAGAAAGGAGAGCCTAGCCTTGGTGAATGTGATAGGGGTAGAGAATGAAGGAAATTAAGAAACTAGCCCGCATAGAAATAAAGTAGCAAAGGGAAAGAAGGGCCTGGAGGGCATTGTGTGCCGAAGGAGGCCAGTTTTTCCTGCTTGCTGTGCCTGTCGCCATTTCACCAAGAGTATAGGTGATAGGCTGTGGCCCCAAGTAATGAGCTTTTCTCACCCCAAACTCTATAAGGAATGAAAATAGACATAAATAACATAGAAATGTGTAAGTGGAAATATAGAAATGCAAAACAGAAATATGTAAATAAAAATGAACTCTTTATGTTGCTCTGTATGGAAAGCCATACCCATGCTGGATTTGTGTATATGAAAAGGGAGGCTTTTCAACTAGTGGGGATTTAAAAATAAATGAATCATTTATGCCTCCACTTGGCCTGCCTTCCAGCCTCTGGCTGCTGACTCACCTATACAAAATCTTCCTTCCCAGCCTCATCTATGTTAGGCAGGCCTGTTTTTGCCTTCGCAGGCCCTAAACACTGTCACTTGTGGAGACTTCAGCCAACATCATAATAAACATATTAAAATGCATCCACATCCTGCATTAAACATTTATATTTTTGCTATAAATTTTTGAAAATGCTTTGGTAATTTTGCTTTTGAAATTATTTGTCTGTGCATAACTAATTTAATTTACATGGCTGTGATTTCTCCATAAGAATTACATGTACGTGGGAATTCTTGGGAAGTGAGAAGATCCAACCTAAAAATCGTCTTCAAATATAATGGGTTTTTAAATGCATAATAAATTTAACTGTTAATGAACTTGATATACTGTTCTATTTTGTATGCCATTTAATTATTATTTTTGAATTTGTCATTTTAGTATTTTGTAGCCTTTACTTAAAAACAAATTTTTTTAGAGACAGAGTCTCCTTCTGTCGCCCAGGCTGGAGTGCTGTGGCACAATCATAGCTCACTGCAGCCTTGAACTCCTGGGCTCAAGTGATCCTCCTGCCTCAGCCTCCCGAGTAACTGGGACTGTAGGCACATACCACCATGCCCAGCTAATTTTATTTTATTTTATTTTTGTAGAGATGGGGGTCTCGTTAGATTGCCCAGGCTGATCTCAAACTTCAAATGGTCCTTCTGCTTTGGCCTCCCAAAGTGCTGGGATTGTAGTTGTGAACCACTGTGCTCGGCTCTAGTCTTTTTTAAAGATCCTGTTTTTTTTAATTTTGTTTCTGAAAAGCCTGTAAGTTCTAGACACTTAGTGATAGTTGCCTAATAGATAAAAGACAGGCACTGAGCACCCACTGAATTTGTGTGTGTTTGTGTATGTGTGTACACGCACGCATGTGCAGATGGTGGTGGTAAAGGTGGTGAGATTCATGTTTTCTTGAAGCCAGAGTTTCATTTATTTGAATTTTATTCAATTGTCTTTTAACTCTTTGCATTGGAAGCCACTTATATGCAACCATCATTTCCCCTGTGAGAGACCTCAGTTTTTAGTGTCCTTACCTCAATATATTTTAATTTCCACACAACCTCTTATTCTTCACTTAACAAATATTTATTGAGTGCCCACTATGTGCAATGCACTGTTTAGGTGCTGAGGATACTGTAAAGTTGGAGGAAGAAGTATCTCGCCTTTTCCCTAAGGCCGATTCCGCCATCTACATCTTGGATCTTTGTCCCTCTCAATTACTGAGGGATTTTGCTTGCAACCTTACTGCCTCTCTCTTCTAGCATCTTAAAAGGCCCCCTCTGGCCGGGCGCGGTGGCTCACGCCTGTAATCCCAGCACTTTGGGAGGCCGAGGCGGGTGGATCATGAGGTCAGGAGATCGAGACCATCCTGGCTAACAAGGTGAAACCCCGTCTCTACTAAAAATACAAAAAATTAGCCGGGCGCGGTGGCGGGCGCCTGTAGTCCCAGCTACTCGGGAGGCTGAGGCAGGAGAATGGCGTGAACCCAGGAAGTGGAGCTTGCAGTGAGCCGAGATTGCGCTACTGCAGTCCGCAGTCCGACCTGGGCGACAGAGCGAGACTCCGTCTCAAAAAAAAAAAAAAAAAAAAGGCCCCCTCTTTGTTGGTTCCTTCCTCTTTGCTTTAAAGTGGCTTCAGGCTTTGTCAACAACCTCTGTTTGACCCTTCTAACTAATTTAATTAAAATTGTACTTCGTTCCTTTTTATTTCCAAACCTCTTCAATCTGTGGTCTCTTGTCTCCGTTTTCTCACAATACAGTTCCTCCTCAATTCCCCATAATCTTGTTTCTATCCTCACCACTTATTGAAACCAAACAATTATTGGTCTCCAGTGAACTCCTTGACACGTCCAAAGAAAGTCTCTTTGGCCCTCATTTTCTTGTCCTATTTTCAGCATTTGATACTGCTAACCTCCCCTGCATATTCCTTCTTTATCTTTCGTTTTCATTGACTGCAAATGATTTTCAGTGCAGGAAAGTACATGGAATAACAGAACCAATATATGTACCCACCACCCAGTTCTATCAAATCTTGCAACATCACTTTTCAGATTCTGTTTTGAGAAATAAATATTAGATATATTTGATATTCTCTGTATGCCTCCCCCGAGTGTCAATCCTCTCCCTCTCTTAAATTTGGTGATCATGCCCTTTCATGTTTTATATACTATTACAGTACTACTCATCTATGTAGCCATAAGCAATAGATGATATTTTCAGACTTTATATACACAGTATACTGTACATGTTTTGCAATTTGCTTTTCACTCAACATTATATTTTTGAAATTTAGCTGTTACTACCCATAGCTCAAATTCATTCATCGAGAACACCATTATTTATTCATTCACCTGCTGACATTTACTTGGCTTCCATTTTTGAGATTACAAATAATACTGCAATGAACATTCTTTTATATGTCTCTTTGTGCATATAAAAGGTAGAGTTTTGCCAGTGTCTATATCTAGAAATAGAATTTCTAGATTGAGGGGTATTGCCTTTATTAGACATCGTCAAATTGTTCTTCATAGCAGTTCTACCAACTTAAACTCCTTCTAGCCGTAAATCAGAGTTCCACTGCTAGAACTTCAACAACACTTGGGGTTGTCTGACTTTTTAAATTTTCACAAAACCGATGGTTGTGAAATGGTATCTCGTGGTTTTACTTTTCAATTTCCCTGAATAGTAATAAAGTTAGGCATCTTTTCATGTCTTTATTGGCCATCTGGGTTTCCTTGACTATGAATTACTTACTCAGATATTTTGTCAATTTTTCTATTAGGTTTCTTTCTTATTTATAGGAGTTCTTATATATCCTGGATACCAAGTCATTCATTCATTTAATCAATATTTTTCTAGCACCTACTTGGCTCCAAGAATGGTTCTAGGCACTGAGAATGCAGCTATGATCAAAACAGACAAAATCCTTGCACTCATGGAACTCAACATTCTAGCGGGTGAAGGTAAATGACCAATAATATTGATAAATAAAACAGAAGTGGTAGATAGTGATACATAAGCAGGGAAGAGGGATAGGGAACATGTATGTGTGGTGATGGAGAAGGGGATTGTTGAATTACAATTTTCAATAAAGTGGTCTAGGAAGGCTTCAGTGAGAAAGTGACATTTGAGCAAAGACCTGAAGGAGGTGAGAGTGCATGCAGAGTGAACAGCAAGTGTAAAGGCCCTGAGGTAAGAGTGTGCCTGGCAAGTCCTAGCAACAACAAGGAGTCAGTGTGACTAAGCAAAGCTAGTTAGGGAGAGTGGTGGGAAATGGTGGGAGATGTCCGAAAGGTGATGACAGCTTGTCTTTTTTTTTTTTTTTTTTTTTTGAGACAAGGTCTTGCTCTGTCACCCAGGCTGGAGTGCAGTGGCGCCATCACAGCTCACTGTAGATGTGACCTCGCTGGCTCAAGGGGATGCTCCCACCTCAGCCTCCTGAGTAGCTGGGACTGCAAGCACTTGCCACCACATCCAGCTAATTTTTATAGTTTTTGTAGAGACAGGGTTTTGCCACGTTTCCCAGGCTGGTCTTGAACTCCTGGGCTCAAGTGATCCTACCACCTCGGCCTCCCAAAGTGCTGGGATTACAGGCATGAGCCACTGTGCAGGCCAGTTTGTCTTTTAACTTGTTTATATTGTCTTAAAGTACATACATTTTGAAATTTCATGTAGCTAAATGTCTTATTCTCATTCCATATTCCAAGCTCATACTCAATTTTTTTTTCTGAAAGTTATAAAGTTTTGCTTTTCACATTTAGATCTTTAATCCACCTGGAACTGATTTTTCTTCCATGGTTTGAGGTAGGGGTCTAATTTTTATAATTTTCCATATGGATAAGCAGTAGTCCTAGTACCACTTAGTGGATAATCCATTCTTTCCCCACTGATTTGAAATGTCCCACACGCTGCATATCAACCTTCCGTATATGTGTGGTCTGTTTGAGGGGTTTATATTGTGTTTCATTGATTGTCTATCTCCACAGCATACTTTTAATTACTACAGATTTACAGTCACTCTTGATATCTAGTGTATTATAGATTCTGGAGCAAATGAATAACACGATCGAAAAATTACTTTGGGAAAAATATTTTTATGGCTGTCAACAGAGTAAACATGTCAAAGGAAAGAGTAAACCCAACAGGATTTATTTAAAGAAAAGTGCAATAACCCAGATAGGCTATCACAAGGGCTTACAATAAAGTTATGGCAGTGTGAATGGAGAGAAAATAAGGAATCTAAAAGTAATTCCACGTAAAATATTAACAGGGTGTGTTGACTGATTGGATATAGAGATGAGGAGGGGGAAGACGATATATGGCTTTCCAGTGAAATGATAATGAGTTAGTTTTGTGACGCAGTGATGTGTTAACAATGGACTCTATTAGGTAAGAGGTCTGGGCCAGGGATATATATTTGGACATTGTCTAGTTAGAGGTGAACTGGAGGGGACGCAGAGGAGGAGCAAAGGTCTGGGCTTTGGGGAATTCTCCGATTTAGGGCGTGGAAGAAAGAAGAGGAAAGGAAATGGTAGGATAACCAACACGGGACATTATAACCTTAAGAAATATATATATATATATATATGTATTTTTTTACTGAATGATGTGGGTCGTATTGACACAACAGGTTTGAGATCTCCCATAGGTATGACTGTGTTTTGTTTCTGTGGCCTTCAAAGTCCTCAGAACAATTTTGATGTCACAGGTGGCATTTAAAACCCATTCCTTGCTGGACCTGGTAGAGACGCCCCCAGTCCGTCAGGTCTCTCGCTGCAGTTCCGCAGTTTGACCGCAGGGGACGGAATCTGCGGCGGCCTGGAAAACTGGCGGGGGCGCGAGGCGCCGCTCTCTCTTGGGTCAGATTCTCAGCTCCCAGCTCCCCGCTCCCGGCTCCCGGCGCCCGGCGCCCGGCGCGGAGCTGTTCCTCAAACGACACGCAGCCGAGGTGGGTGGGTGTGGGGACGCGGGAGCCAGTGTCGTCGGATCGGCCCGCAGTCCGCTGTCCTGCTGAGCCCGGAGGCCGCCTGGATGGAGCCGCCGCTCCCGGTCGGAGCCCAGCCGCTTGCCGTATCCGCCGGAGAGAAGGGAGAGGGGAGGCCGCGCAGGGCCGGGGGTGGGGGTCGGGGGCCCTGCGGAACACGGTGGGGCGGGGCAACCGGGTGGCCCAGAGGCCGAGCAGAGAGGGGGAGGGGGCCGGCGCGGGAGACGAAGCAGGGCGGGGCGGGGCGGGGGAGGGCGGCGGTGGGGGGGGGGTGGAAGACCCCCTTCGCCCCGCAGTGCACCACTCCTCCCCACCGCGCTTCCGAAGGAGACCCTTGACTAGCGCCCGCATACTGTCGAGGGTATGGAGATGAAGGGTCCTCTCCGGGAGCCCTGCGCCCTGACCCTAGCCCAGAGGAACGGGCAATATGAGTAAGTAACCACCTGATTCCCACAGAGGAGGGGAGCCTGCCATTACCTCCCAACCCCAAACCGCGACGGGTCACCCACTGTCCTCCTACTGAAGCCACGCGGGCAACAGGTTCAGGTCCAGGTGTGAAGTGCCAGTGCTCTCTAACCTCGGGGCTTTGTCCCCAACTTCCAAGCCTCTGGATTGTGCTTGGCAGTGTGGCTCAGTGGAAGGACTGAATGGGCGGGGAAGCAGGAAGCCTGGGTTCTTAGTTCCTGCCCCTGCAACTGACATGTGTTGTGTAACGTTGGGCAAGTCAATAAAGCTTTCTGGGCCAAAGTTAACTCTTCAGTTTAATAAAACCATTAACTGCCTTACCTTACAGCCTTTGGAATTATAACTGGGGGAAAAATAAATGCGAGAGTGGCTTCCAAAAAGTAAAAGTGCTATGGAAATGCTTCATTGTTAACGTTACAGACTTGTCTTAACCCTATTCAGCTGGTTTCTCCAGTCTCCCCGTCCCCTTATCCCACTGGGTTGAAGGCATATTCATTAATTCAGTAATGGTTTAGTGTAGGCCAGAAACTGCCTCACTTACTGACTTTACTGTTAGAAAGAAAAGGTAATGAAATGTGTAGAGATAGAAATGACAGTATTTTATCAGTGTGTCACCTTCCTCTCTGCCATAGGAGCTCCGTAAATACTGTTGACTGATTGATCAAAAGATTATTTTGATAAGCTATCACCATAGCTGCTAACCTCACTCTATTGTCACTAATATCTTATCTCAAAAATATCCATGGTGACCATTACGTATCATAGGCCCCTATCCCTGTGTGCCCAAGACACCTCACTTGGATATTCATTGGCTTCTTGACATCATATTCCTTCCCAGTTTAAAAATTGTTCACTTAAATCTTGCCATCTCCCAACATTGGCTTCTGCCTAAAACCAATTTTCTCAGTCCCCACTTTTAGATCCTCTGTATCTATGCTGTCAGATTTACACGGAAGAAATTCCCACTGGCCCAACCTGCTCTTCTCTGAGACTATTGGTGCCACTCTAACTGGATGTCAGCTAATTCTGTGAAGTAGCTCTTTCATAGGTCCTGCTTAGTCAGCTCTACTGGGAAGTTCATCAAACCCGGATTTCATCAAACCCTGGAAGACTAGTTTAATGAAACTAAACTAAATTCAGAATTTAATAAAACAAAATTCAGCAGAAAAGTGGAACACCACTAACATTTCCAAAGGCTAGAGTGGGTTACAGAGAGGTGACCCTTGGGCAAACCAGTAAAACTTGTGTGCCTTGGTTTCCTCTAATGTAAAAACAAAATCATGAAGATTGAATAGAGTAGCTACATTGTTGAGATGACCACAGCCCAGAATCTAGTCCCTCGGATTAGTAGATTTGGAACTCTGTTGAGCTAATAAGGAAGTCGTGTGTTCCAATTCTGTGTAAGTTATGGGGGTATAGTTGGGGGTATATGTGGGGGTATGGGGCTGCTATATAACTAACATTAATATATAGGTAACACTATATAACAACTATATAACTAACAACTAATATAGTTGTTGCTATATTAGCAGTTTATATATAAACTATGTAAATAGTTTTAAATATATATAAACTATAGTTTTAAATACATATAAACTATAGTTTATATATAAACTAACATATAACTAACAACTAATATAGTTGTTGCTATATAACTAACATTCAATGGCTGCTTATGTGCCAGGTACTGTTCTAAGCCCTTTTCATTAGTTAGTTCATTTAATCCACATGTGAGGGTTACTATAAGATAGTAATATCATCATCCCCCTTTTATAGATACAGAAATTGAAGCACAGACAGGTTAAGTCACTTGTTTGCAATTAGGGAGTAGAATACCTGAGATCTGATCCTATGTAACATGTCTCAGAATTACACTGAGAAGTTTCTCTTGAAAGCATTTGCTGGAGACACCTAATACCATAATACCATCTGTAATCCTCATATTCTTGTCTCTCTGGTGTCTTTTCTGACTCGAGTGTCCAGAACTTTTTACTTTTGGCTTTTTTATCCTAGAACTTGAAGCCTGACTTAAATCTTTAGGTCTGTGGTTCCTACTGTCAACCATAGGAAATTTGCTTGACCAAAATTACAATTAAAAATCAGGGTTTTTTTGGAAACAGGGAATCAAACACTTAAGATTCATATTTTTCAAGGATAATAGATTATGACAAAACCTGTTTGACCTTTAACCTTCCTTGAACAAATCAAAGTGTTTCCTAGGGATAAGGCAGAGTTGGCATTCAGGATTTGTCACTCTTTTCTGTTTGACAACTACCAAATTCTGAATTCCATTGTTTTGCTGTATACCAATTATTTCTAATCTTTATATTCTGAAATGAATAATTACACTCAGAATTTTTATGCTTATTCTTAGCCCTACTCTTTTATTGTAATTTAGTGGGTAACACGTAGTAAATACTCAATAAATGTTGGTGAAATTCACTTAAATTCTCAGTTTATTTGTTTTGTAATAGTTTTTAACAGTACTGTCCAGATGAAGCTTTAATGCTAATGTTCAACACCATTTCTTGTTTATGTATTTTGAGATTTTAGTGGTTTGTGTTTATCTTCCTCAAAGTAAGCTCTTCCTCCTTAACCCTTGATTTCTCAGCCTTTTATCTGGTTTCTGGTTTCCATCTGGGTTTATAGGACTCTCCACTCAACTCATGAACTTTCCAGATGGAAAGGGGCCTGCCCCATATTCCTGTAATCACCTTAGAGTACAAACCCCTGCAAATTAGGCAAGAAGGATCACAGCAGAAAAACAGCATTAATACTTTTATTTCCCTTAGTTCTATCTAAGTAATTACTTATCCTATCCCAGGTTATCCTCTTCAAAGTTAACACATTTGAAAATGCAAAAAGCAAAAGCAACAAGCACCCCCAAAAGACAACAAAATAGAAATCAAACCCTTCAAAACAATGACATTTTAATGTCAGAAGTTGGACAGTTTCATTGAAAAATTCACCGCTGCTTATAGCTTAATTAAGCTAGTTAATTTATTCAGCCAGTATTTGTTGAGCATCTATTAGGCTGCAGACAAAACTGAATATGATCTGGTCTTTGCTTTCAAGGAGCTGAAATCAGTGAGGGGAAATAAATATAACCATAATGGAGTGTGTAAGTGTTCTATTAGAGGGGCAAACAAAGGCGATAAGGCTGCTGGTTCTGCTTGGGGGTACTGAGGACAGTTTCATGGAGGAGGTGATATTTGAGATGAAACTCGGAAAGAAACAGAGTGTTCCTGACAAAAAACTAAAAACAATACTTGAAGAGTGCTTGACTTTGAGAATGCTAGTTGACGTTCAGAATGGCTGTTTACCAGTAGGTCGTACCTTGATTCTGGACCACTAAGGATAAATAATAAATGAAAAATTAATATTTCAGGAGTACGTATGGATTTAGAAGTATGGATTTCATCTGGGGAGTCAGGTTTACTCATGTTTATGTAGAAATACCAGCGTAAACTTGGAAACCAGAGAAGAAACAAGGGATTTGAAGGCAATCCAGTTGTGATATCTGCCACCTTGTTGGTCACTGATATTTTGACCAATCCAGCTGGCTGAGCACCCCCTCTTACTCCTCCATGAACCTGAATGCTTGTTTGAAGAGACAGATCCATTCTTTGGTAAAAAGCCATGGGAATATAATTGGAAGGTTAATTTATGAATTTTCTAATTCATTGATTCCACACACACGAGCAACTCCTGTGTGCCAGGCTTTGTGCTAGGTACTAGAAATTCCGTGGTGTAAAGATAGCTGTGGTCCCTGCACTCATGGACTTCACATCTAGCTGTCAGTTCTTCACTCTGGTATGCATACTCTGAAGCTATATACTCTGTAATTCATGCTCTTAAGCTTGTACACTGTTTTTAGGATATATGGCCTAGAGAACAGTGTGGGTAATCAGATGTTCATCACCACTAGCATCCTTTTAGGCCTAGAGCAATATCTAGCTGTCATGATGCTCAGATCCAGGGAACTAGATGCAGCAAGTCTAGTAAATACAGACTAGATTTGTATAACAGGACAGTGAAGTATTTTTTTGCTAAATGAGTTTTTCAGTGGCTGTTCTTTGATGCGTTCTTCTGTTTCCTAGGTTAATAATCCAGTTGCATGAGAAGGAACAGCATGTTCAAGATATCATTCCTATAAATAGCCACTTCAGATGTGTTCAAGGTACTAGCTTTAATTCCTTAGCTAGTTTTATAATGTTTTTTCTCGGTCATTACTGCATTATGTAATACCATACATATTTAAATTTGTCAGTGCATGTAAAATGAAATGTATTACTCTTTGCATAAAAAGATAACATTGAGGAGATGATACTTTCTCTAAGAATGCTGAAGGGTTATATCGAAATATATTTGTATATGTGTGTCTATAGTCTCACCTGTTTCCTTGGCTTGGGTTAGAGATGTATGTAGATTGTTACCTGTGTAGGTAGTTTTTTATGCTGACTGACCTATATGTGGATTTAAATAACATTCTTGGGCTTAACGGACACAGTGCTCATAAGGTACCAAGGTCACTTGGATTCACACACATTCAGCACTTTCTCCACATGCTATTTGAAATTAAGACATTTGGCAACATGCCTTGCCAGACTGTAATATCTTACACTCAATTGTGCTGATTCTCAAACCTTGACATTGGTGAATCATAAGAAAATTGACTCTGGGGAGGAAATATTTGGCCTCCTGCCCTCAAATTTGGGGACGGAGCATAGAAAATCTGTTGTTTCATCTGCTACAATGAAACTTAAAAATTGGGAGGTTTGTGTAGGAGGTGTTGCTTCTGTCATCTCACATTGCTCTAGAAAGGAAATTGATACTAGAGAACAAATGCATTCTGTTTTCACTAGGACCAGTGGCTTTATCTAGCAGAAGCATTCTGTATCAATTGTAGCTTCTTGGAAAACTTGTTTTTTCAAGACAAGGTCATTTCCCAGGCTCAAGTGATCCTCCCACTTCAGCCTCCCAAGTAGCTGGGACTGCAGGTGCACCACCCCCCAGCTAATTTTTTTTGTAATTTTTGTAGTGACGGGGTTTCGCCATGTTGCCCAGGCTGGTCTCAAACTCCTGAGTTCAAGCAATCTGCCTGTCTCGGCCTCCAAAAGTGCTGGGATTACAGGTGTGAGCCAGCATGCCTGGCCTTTCTTGGAAAACTTAAATCTTACCTTGCATGGATTATTTCTTAAACTACATTGAACTTTTTTTTTAATCACTAAGTGACATGTACATAATGTAATACATTTGGAAAGAACAGAAAAGTGTAAAGAAAATAGGTCACTTAAATTCCCATCCTTTCAGAGATAAACACCTAGCATTTTCCTTTTTTCTACACATACATTGCAGGGTGAGTGATACTCATCTTATACAATTTTTTGTCTCTTCTACATGCTATTGTATTATGAGCACTTTTCCATGCCATTAATGGCTATATACCATACCAGTTTATGAATGGTCCATAATGTAATTATTCCCCTATGTTGACATTTGGGTTATTTTTCACTAGTATCAATAGTAATATGATGAACATCTCTGCACCTAAATATACCTGCACATCTCTTATTTCCTCAGGATGTATTCCTATAAGTGAAAATACTAAGCTAGTGGATATGACTTTTTAAGAATGCATGTGTTAAGAATTAAAAATAACTTCAATGAATAGTGTCCATATTTGTATGGAAGAATGAAGTGATAGCTATTTAGCCTGCCCTATGTGAGAGAGACATACTAAACAAGGTAGCCACGTTCCATAGTAAGTTGCTGTGGCCACCTCACTTTTCAAGGTGTAGGCCTTCACAGAGGGGAAGAGCCAAAGAACATGACTTTAAATTAATATCCTATTAGCTTTGTACCTTTTTACTCTACCTCTAGGATCTCTTTTACCCTGTTTCTCTTAGTATTTTTAATAAGAAATCAATTGCTGATTGTTAGATCGTAGTGCTGCTTCTTAGAACCTGGGAAAATATGTGCACACATGTAACGTAGTTCCCCATGACTAAAGGAAGACTTACTTTTGATTTTCATCTCCTTTCTATTTCCTGACCCCTGCATCTATTTTGTAAACTGTGGCCAGGCGCGATGGCTTGCACCTGTAATCCCAACATTTTGGGAAGCTGAGGCAGGAGGATTGCTTGAGCCCAGGGGTTCAAGACCAGCCTGGGCAACATTGCGAGACCCCATCTGTACAAAAATAAAATTAAAAAAACAACATTTGCCAGACGTGGTGGCAGATACATGTAGTCCCAGCTACTTGGGAGGCTGAAGCAGGAGGGTTGCTTGAGCCCAGCAGTTCGAGGCTGCAGTGAGCTGTGATTGTGCCACTGCATGCTAACCTGGGTGAGAGAGTGAGGCCATCTCTAAAGAAAAAGAAAACCGGCTGGGCGCGGTGGCTCAGGCCTGTAATCCCAGCACTTTGGGAGGCCAAGGTGGGCAGATCACAAGGTCAGGAGATTGAGACCATCCTGGCTAACACGATGAAACCCCGTCTCTACTAAAAATACAAAAAATTAGCCGGGCATGGTGGCGGGTGCCTGTAGTCCCAACTACTCGGGAGGCTGAGGCAGGAGAATGGTGTGAACCTGGGAGGCGGAGCTTGCAGTGAGCCGAGATCGTGCCACTGCACTCCAGCCTGGGTGACAGAGCAAGACTCCGTCTCAAAAAAAAAAAAAAAAAAAGAAAAAGAAAACCATCTGTAAACACTCAGGTTTTACAGAACTAAAAGTTAATGAAGAACAGTAGTAAGCATACAATATCTATGTCTTGATGCCCTAATTCCCCTTGTTTAATCATCCTAATAATAATATCGAGACTACTTTTTAGTGTTAAAGGAGTTAGTTCCTTGCCAGTTGCTTCTGTTGTACCTGAGTAATGGAGCCAAATAAACAATTCAGTCTTGGGAGGGAGGTGAAAAAGGTGAGACTACTCCATTTGACCAAGGTAGATCCAGGCTAATCCCAAGGAGTCAGTACCCAGAGTTCAATTAGCCAGGAGGGTCTGGCAGGTGCACTTGGTCAAATCCAGAGAAATCAGAGGGGAAGAGATAGGTTGGGTCTAGACACTTGTTGTAAAGGAAGAAGTCCAGGAGAACCATTGAGAGATAAGAGAAATCCAAACTTGCAGACTGCTTTGCACCCTGTTTGGTACGGAGGGCCTTGGGCCCACAGGTAGTAGTTGTAACCTGAAGGTATACTCTGCCCCCATGTGTGGGGCAGGGGCAGAGGTGATGAGATCACTGGGAAATTTTCAGAGAATAGATCTGAGTTAAGAAAGTAATTCACCTCTGGGCTTTCAGGGTCACTTCCTTTGCCTTCTGTTATCTAAAGAAGTATCTAAAGGACCCAGAGTTAAATCATTATGTTACAGTTAAGGGGAATTAAACTTGCTTTCGCTGAATTAACATGTTGTTATGTTCTGTACTATTAATTTCTCATTCGTTGATTTGCTTTGAGGAGTTCCATTTGGTTACTTCTTCAGTTCATTTTTATTTTAGTTGATTTGCTCATAGTCTTTAGAACCCAGTGCTATAAAAAATCCCTTTAAAAAATATTAAACGAAAAGGGATTTAAAAAAATATGTTCTAAGACCTAGGAGTAGTGACTGAGAGAAGCAGTTATTTAGTTAGGCATGTATTCTTTTGGTTGTAGTGAGTGGTTTTCTCTTCCCTAATCCTACTCTCTTTTTTTTCCCCTCTCAGAAGCAGAAGAAACTCTTTTGATTGACATAGCTTCTAACAGTGAGTATCTTTCTGAATGTGCTTGATTTTTACTCAACAAATATTTACTTGAACACTCACTACATTTAAGACACCTTTTGGGGCACATTTTTTATTTTACCATCTTTTCCTGTAGTCTCCTGTAGCAGCCATACAAATTAGCACTGTTTCCCAAAAACATGTAGGCTAAGCCTAAGAAAAAGCAGGTGGCTGGTAAGAATCTTTATAAAAATAAAAAATAATGATCTACCTTTCTAATGCTGAACTTCCGTGAGCTACCAGTATTGTTGCTGTCAGTTGAATCATTGCTGTAGAATTGATAATTGTAGGAAGGGCTGATGTTTAAAGCACATAAGGTTTATTGGTGGAGTTTTTTTGGTCATTTTTTAACTGCTATTACATTTTAAGTTTTTTCCCTACCCTCTTTTTAAATTTTGTGTGTTAAGTCATAATATTTTCCTTTATTTGTTGTATTTTTTTGGAAGGCTGAAGAGTCCCTTAAATTGCTTGTCCAGGCATTCCTTTAAAAAAAAAAGTTTAGTCTTTTATTTAAGCCCCATCCCCTCAAGGCATCTCTTTATTAGAGGGAACATGATCTTCTTTTCAATGTTTCCATTCTCTCATTTTTATCTGTTTGAAGCAAATCATCTTTGACTTTCTGTGCAAACTGTTCTTTGTTTATCATCTAATTGTACTATTTTATGGAGTGGAGAAAATGGGCACTCGATGCTACTGTGAGGTTGCTATGGAAAAGAGTATCTGACCACATGAATCTAAATCAAATGGGTTGCCTTATCTCTTGGTTGAGTCCTTGGATGAGTGGGAACTGGCACTGAGCTTGGGACTAGGGGTTTACATAACTTTGTTTAGACAGTCCCTGCCCTTGGCACTATTAATTTGTATTGAACACTTTAAGTAGGCTTTTTTTCTGGCTTGAGTTTTTTTTTTTTTCCCTTTGGTCGTGAATTTTAGAAGTCTTAAAGGCTGTGCCTGAAAGGCCAGGTAAACCCCAGCTGCAAGTATCCAAGAGAGAAAATAACTTAATGTCTATTTCTTATTGTGCTTAGAAAGGAGAAGGCAAAAACAACACTTAAAAAAGCAAAACTAGAACAAAAGCAATTCCATAACAACTGACACTGCTGCTGAAATAAGAGATGGAAATGTCCTGTATTTGATGTGGAGAAGTATTTGATTCAAAGCTGAAAAGTTAAACTGAGCTGTGCCTTTTCTCTTATAAGCACCTAATTTTCGGCATTAGTTTTGTTGTGGCCGCTTCTACATTAGCCATGTGTTGCTATGTCCAGAGTTCTAGTTACTGGCTCATAGGGGGAAAATAGGTAAGTGACCACTTGAATAAAATCCTTTGTTATTTCTACCCATTTAGTAGTATTTGCACTGAAACCATATTTTATCTTGATCCTTGGGCTTCATACATAAACCTTTATGGTACACGGTGTGTTGCAGGAAGGAGATCTTGGGTTTGTTAGGCAGGCCTGATTTTAATGTAAATATGCATTTTCCCATTGTCTGGATATTGGTGTTAAATGCTTTGTAAATAATTTTTTCTCACAGAAGTAATACATCTTCATTATATACAATTTACTAATTCAGAAAAGCTTAAAGTATCAAATTAAGATTATTTTCCTGCAATCTAGAGATCACCACTGTGGTTAACATTTTTATGTATTTCCTTCCAGTCTTTATATTTTTACATAATTGGAATCCTCATATGCAGTTTTTATCCTGCGTCTTCATTTAACATTATATTGTCCCATTTTCTTATGTCATTTACAATTACTTTATAATATGCTTTTTAAAAACCAAATATTTCACCATAGGTCTGTGCCAAATTTTATTAAATTAACTTCTTTATAAAATTAAGTCATTGTCAAGGAACATGATATATCTGTTTTTTTCAGGTCCTCTTTTATATCTTTCAATAAAATTTTATAGTTTCTTAATATATATAGTTTTTAGGTTAAGTATTTCGTGGTGGATTTTATTTGCTGCTATTGCGAGTGGAGGTTTTTTCTATGTCCTTCTAATTGTTTATTACTAGTATACAGAATAGCTGTTGAGTTGTGGATATTTATCTTTTATCCAGTTGCTTCATTGAAATTTATTTTTAATCTTTTTTGCTTTTCATTTTGTTTTTTCATTTTGGTAGCTAACCTTAATATCTATAAATAATAATTTTGTCTCTTTTCTAGTAGCTACTATCGTTGTACACTATACCAGTGAGAATTTTGGGACCAGTGGTAAATGATGATGTTTCTTGTTTGGCTCCTGATTTCAGTGAGAATGCCTCAAGTGGTATTTCACTGTTAATGACATTATTGCTTGTTGATTTGACAGGGTTTTTTTTTTTTTTAATTAAGAAACTGCATTTATTTCAAGTTTGTGTTTTTTAAAATTATGAATGTATACTGAATTTTAGCAAATGTCTTTTTGGTATTTATGGAGATGATTTTATTCTTCCTTATTTGACCAATTGGTACACTGTATTGTACTAATTTCCTAAAATTAAACTGTCCCTTGTTTATCCATTATTCAACAAATATTTGTTGAGTGCCTTCTATTTCTCAGGCACTTTTGTAAGTGCAGAATCAGTACAGAACGACAAAGATAAAGTTGCTGCTCCTACTTTGGTTCTTGCTTCTGTGCAATTCAGTACTAGTGTCACACAGATACCTATAATTCAATCATTCATTCTATAAAAATATGACTATTTTTTATGTGCCAGGAACTACACTAGGCTCTAGGGATATAGCAGAAAGCAGTACAGTCATGATACTTTAAGGATTTTAATATAGGAAACAGACTTTAAACTGATAAGATATAGATAATTGTAGTTTTTTTTGTTTGTTTTTTTGAGATGGAGTCTTGCTCTGTCATCCAGGCTGGAGTGCAGCGGTGCCATCTTGGCTCACTGCAAGCTCCGCCTTCCAGGTTCACACCATTCTCCTGTCTCAGCCTCCCGAGTAGCTGGGACTACAGGCACCTGCCACCATGCCTGGCTAATTTTTTGTGTTTTTAGTGAAGACAGGATTTCACCATGTTAGCCAGGATGGTCTCAATCTCTTGACCTCGTGATCTGCCCGCCTTGGCCTCCCAAAGTGCTGGGATTACAGGCGTGAGCCACCGTGCCTGGCCCAGATAATTGTAGTTTTAATAAATGCTCTTGAGGAAAAGTACTAAGAGTTTATGAGAAGAGTAAGTATATTAGGAGGGTGGTCAGGGAAGACCTCTTTGAAGAATTGACATTTAAATTGAGACCAGAGGGGCTAAGTAAGAGGCAGGTTAAGATGGGAGAGAGAAGAATTTACCAGGTAAAGGGAATCACAAGGCTCCAGGCTGGGAAGTAGCTTGACACTTTTCTTTGAAGTGATAGAAGACCAGGGTGCCTAAAACAGGTCTTGGGCACCAAGGTAAGAAAAACAGGCTAGGGGGCAGATCTGGCAGGATCTTGTAAGCCTTGTCTTAAATCTGAATTTTGAGATTTCAAAAATGAGAATCGTATGAAGGATTTTATGCTGGGGTGTCATCATTTGCATGGAAGCAGAGAGACCAGTTAGGAGGCTGTTTCCATAGTGTAAGCTAGAGAGTGTGGTGGCATTAGTAATGAAGAGAAGCAGTCAGACTTGATAGATGTTTTTGGAGGTAAAATCCATAGGAATTGTTTTGGGTGTAAGGGGTGAGAGGAAGTGTCAAGGATGAATCTCGGGTTTCTGACATGACTGTGGATGATGGTACCATTTGCAGAAATAAGAACACTGCACAAAGAATGAGTTTTCCTCAAGGGGGAAGGGTCATTAATTTAGTTTTAGTCATGTTTAGTTTGAGATTTTTTTTTTGTTTTTTGAGATGGAGCCTCGGTCTTATCGCCCAGGCTGGAGGGCAGTGGCGCGATCTCAGCTCACTGCAACCTCTGCCTCCCGGGTTGAAGCTATTCCCCTGCCTCAGCCTCCTGAGTAGCTGGGATTACAGGCACCCGCCACCACGCCCAGCTGATTTTTGTACTTTCAGTAGAGATGGGGTTTTGCCTTATTGGCCAGGCTGGTCTGGAACTCCTGACCTCAGGTGATCTGCCCACCTCGGCCTTCCAAAGTGCTGGGATTAACAGGCATGAGCCACCTCACCCGGCTGAGATTTTTTTTGAGACACCTGAGTGTAGATGATAAATTGGCAAGTGAATGTATGCATCTGAATCTCAGAAGAAAGTCATCTGGGTCACTAGCACGTAGATGATATTCAAAATCATAAGAGATGATGTGATTGTGTGTGGACTGTGCTATCCAATACAGTAGCCACTGGCTACATGTGCCTATTTAAAATAATTAGAAATAAAATGAGAAATTCAGTCCCTCAGTTGCAGTAGTCACATATCAAATTGTTAGCTACCATATTGGACAGCACGGTTTAGAGCATGCCCATAGTCACAGAAAGTCCCATTGGACAATACTGGTATAGAATGAGAAAAAAGATTTATGTTTGAACTTGAGGAACTCCATTTTTTAAATGTTAGATAGAGGAAGAGATACTTCAAAGGGCACTCAAAATTAGTGATGAGAGAGAAACTAGATGAGTATGGTATCATAGAAGCTTTTGGAAGGGATTATATCAAGCCCTGATTAACTGTTGATTTCTGCTAATAGGTCTAATAAGATGACTGAAGAATATCCATGGGATGGAGGTTATTGGTGAACTTAAAGCAATTTCAGATAAGTAGTGGGTGTGGAAGTCATATTGGAATGGATTCAAGTGAGAAATGGGAAGTCTGTGACTGTGTGTCTTTTAAAGAAACGTGACTGGAGGGGAATATAGAGATGGACTGGAATTGGAGGGAAATCTGAGATCCAGGAAGATTTTTGTTTTTCAGATGAGAAGGACTTAGAACACGATTATATGCTAATGTGGAGGAGCTAGTGAAAGGGAAAGCGTTAAGGATATGGGGGTGTGTCTAGGGATTAGTTGTAAGATTACTGAGAGAATCAGAGGGGTTGTAATTCAAAGTGAAGGAGGTTTGATAGGAGTGATCTTCTTCCTTGTATCAGTAGGGAAAGGATGAGATGAGTACAAATACAGATAAGTTTCCATGTGATAGCTTTATTTTTTCTCTGAAGTATGAGCTGAAGCATTCTGCTTAGAATAAGAGGGCTCAAGAAGATGGGGGATCCAAATTTTGAGGATAAATGAGTAGGTGTGAAACAGTTGTTTCAGATAGTAGTAGGAGACTGATTGACTGTAGGACCTTAGGTTGCTTCCTATGATAGAGGACCCGGTTGAGATTGGCAATCAGGAATGTATAATGATAGCCATCTGGTTGTGGGTGTGCATATTTACCCCCTCTGCTTGTTCAGGTATAAGTACAGAAAGGCAATTAGTTGGATTTCTGAGGGTTGGTATTTAGCCAGGTAGGTGCCACGGAAGAACAGAGAGGCAAGGCAGTTCTGGGTTTTTGCAAGAGTGTAATGATGGCATCTGTTTGATAAAAGGGGAAGTGAGAGCAGGAAGGGGCTGACGGATAGTAAGAAAACAGAGAAATCAATGGGCTGGAGGTTCCCATCAGATTAAAAAAAAAAAACAGTTACAATGGGGATAATGAGCAAGTAAGTTGGAAGGAATAACATGTCAGGGTGGGATATTTGAATTAGAGGTTTATGAAGTGGTGGTGTTTCTATGATGACAAAATCCAGGGTATAACTGAGAGGGTCCCAGTAGCAACTGAGGAAGTGGTGGCTGAGGTGGAGGGGGAATGTCATTGGATGAGGAAGCTGAAGGTGTTGACTGGGTTTTCTGTGCTAATTTTAAAGGGACCCAAAATTAATGGCAGGAGATCGAGTGGAGAGAAAGTCTTATGAGCCAGGTATTGTATCTTGGATTCTGAAGTTTCTGGGAGGATGGTGCATGATCTTGTAGAGGAAAGGGAGGAAACGGTAGATCCCAATGGATGAGCCTCAAAGGAGAAAGGATTTTGCCTGAGGGAGAAGGAGAAAGAGTAGTCTGGTGGTGTTATTAGGACAAATACAGACACCAACTCAAAATTACTTCAGGTGTGAGAGAATATAAACAGACTCCATTAAGAGGGTTAGGCCAGGCCCGGTGGCTTACGCCTGTAATCCCAGCACTTTGGGAGGCCGAGGCGGGCGGATCACGAGGCCAGTAGTTTGAGACTAGCCTGGCCAACATGGTGAAACCGCGTCTCTACTAAAAATACAAAAATTAGCTGGGTGTGGTCGTGCGTGCCTGTAATCCCAGCTACTCAGGAAGCTGAGGCAGGAGAATCACTTGAACCCGGGAGGTGGAGGTTGCAGTGAGCCGAGATCGCGGCATTGCATTCCAGCCTGGGCAGTAGAGACTCCTTCTCAAAATAAATAAATAAATAAATAAATAAATAAATAAATAAATAAATAAATAAATAAAAATAAGAGGGTTGTAGGAGAAGTGCTCCTCCTAGGGACCAGCCAGTTTTGCAGTTGACTCTGAATTTTAATGTGCACATATGGTCAGATCACTCGGAAACTACGAGTGCCTGGGCTTCACCTCCAGAGGTTCTGTTTTAATTGTCCTGGAGTGGGGCCTGGGTTCAATATTGTTTTTAAAGTGCCTCTGGTGGCCAAGCACAGTGGCTCATGCCTGTAATCCCAGCACTTTGGGAGGCCAAGGTGGGCAGATCACGAGGTCAGGAGTTCGAGACCAGCCTGACCAACATGGTGAAACCCGATCTCTACTAAATATACAAAAAGTAGCCGGACATGGTGGCGGGCACCTGTAATCCCAGCTACTCAGGAGGTTGATGCAGGAGAATTGCTTGAACCCAGGGGACGAGGTTGCAGTGAGCCGAGATCACGCCACTGTGTTCCAGCCTGGGCAACAGAGCAAGACTCCGTCTCAAAAAATAAATAAAAACAAAAATAAAGTGCCTCTGGTAATTTTAATGCATGCATAGTTGAGAACTACTGAGAGATGCAGAGAATATTCAGATGAAGTTGAGGATGTAGGAGTGTTTGCAGATCACAGAGGTCCAGAAGGTTTTAGGATGGACAAGAAGAGTAGAAGGTTGAGTCTTGAGGTAATTTGTTTTCTTTCTCAAGCAACATGGTGAGGGAGCATCCAGTGTTATTTTGTGAGCAATTTCTGGAATCTTCTGGCCCATTAAATAGGTCAGTTATATATTTGCTAAAATATGTCTTTCAAGAATTGTGTGTTTGTGTGTGTGTGAGAGATAATAAGGGTTTTTGTTCTAAATTTATGTCAGATAGAAACTACTCTTTTAAAACCACATTTAGTATAAATAATCTGAGAAAGAAAGGACTTGTTAGGCCCTGAAGGAGTTTTCCCTATATCTTCATGGCTGCTATAATTGACACTTTTTTCCTTCCCTCTCTTTTTTCCCCTCTACAGTGGCACCCTCATTAATTTTCTTATCCGTAGTCTATTTGGGTGCCTTCTTTCACATTTTTCTCCATTTTTATCTATTTTCTTCTAATTAATTATTTTATTTTCCTTTTTGTAACTCATTTTACAAAGACAGAAAGAAGAAGAAATGCAGAGGACAAAAAGCTAAAGGTTCAGAAGTGGATTTCCACCATAAAAACTAGGATTTTCATTTCATTTTCTCATGTATTTGTTATTTACACGTGGTAAAGAGTCCAGTTCATCAGTCATTAAATACCTTCTGTCTGTGAAGTCTGATGTTACTGTCACCAGTAGAGTGACCAGCAAGCCTTATTTGCCTGGGACTTTCCCAGTCTTAGCATTGGAAGTCCTGAGTCCTAGGAAGCCTCTGAGTACCATACAGTGCTGGGACAGTTGGTCACCCTAGACTCCTGAAAGTGCTGGGTTCGCTGTATGTGCACCCTGCATGCGTACCCTGCCTCTTGCCCTTAAGGAGCTTGTAGTTTCCAGAGGCATGAGAAAACAACGTATGTAATAAATCAGTTACAATAAGAATAGAAACAAGTACATAGGTTTCCTGGATCACCACATCCAAACAGTTGATATAGATGATAACTATAGGGCATCAAAAAAGGGGAGACAATATGTTATACACATAATAAATTAAAGCCCTAGCTAACTTTGCTTCTAATTCTCCTAGTTTCCAATTGGCTGTACTTGAACCAAACCACTTCTGAGCATAGGTCATTATATTGTTTTTGTATGTTTATTCAAGACATACATTTTAAACTTGAGGTAATGAGTTGTAGATGCTTCTTTTCAGAATACTTCAAACCAGTATCACTATTTTTAAGTTATTTTGTAAATTTAATCTGTGCTTACGGACAAACCATCCTACTTATTTTATTCCCTTCATGCTTCAGATACTCTGACAATGTGATCTGGACTTGAAATGGTAGGAATTTCCAGCTAAGGAATGGGAGGGAGGGTGATTGAGGAATTTACCTTTTGCTGGAATTTGAAGGTCCCTGCTTTGATGTCTGAGAGATAGATCAGAACGCAGGAAAGTATAATTTTAGTATGTGTCATATCCTTAGATCGGGCTGCTCATGGACACGGTTCATCAGCCTTAGGAGTTCTCACTTCCCTTAGGGTTCCCTCTCTGCATCACCCCTTCCACCACCGTCATACTGACTCTCTTGATCTTGTATGTGTGCTTCCTATATTAGAGATCTGGAATATTTGTGATCTGGACCTTCTTCTGTTAACCTGATAAGTTGAGAATATGATCCCAGTAAAACATTTTATCCCATAGCAGTATATGTATGGATTTCAATTCTTTTTAGGTGGCTGCAAAATTCGGGTTCAGGGGGACTGGATCAGAGAGCGCCGCTTTGAAATCCCTGATGAGGAACACTGTTTGAAGTTCCTCTCAGCTGTCCTTGCTGCTCAGAAAGGTAACTAAAGACTCAGCGATTTTCTTTCTTCTATTTCAACGGGAGTGGAATTCTGACATGCTGATACAGAGGAAAGTGGCCATTGGCAAAATACCTCACCCTTTAAGCCCTGATAGCTGATTTTTTTTTCTTCAGGAGTGAACACAGGGATAGGTTAGGGAAAAAATCTGCCCAGCTTTAAGGACACTAGGCAAGTTTTCAGAATATTCAGTGTCATGGCAAGCACAGCTTACCATAGACTATAATTCTCCTTCTGCCCCTAGATGACCCCAGAGCTGCCCTCATTTCCTTAGTTTCTTCCACTGTATCCAAAAATGGTGCTGGCCCCTGCATATAAGGAATGTTGAAAGAATGGCTTTTGGCTATAGTAAATTCTACTCAGTGAAAGACTTCCCAGTTTCTGACCATGAACCTTATCTCTCTAGCTCAGTCACAGCTTCTTGTTCCAGAGCAAAAGGACTCATCTAGCTGGTACCAGAAATTAGACACTAAGGACAAACCTTCTGTTTTTTCAGGTACTAAAAAGTTCCTGGTTTCCTTGTTGCTATGGTCATTGCAGAGTCAGTAGATTTTGTCAGGCCAAATATGGTGATGTAGATTAAAGCTGATGTCAGACACATTCTCCTGCAGAGTAGTTTTATCAAGTCCAGGCCCACTGACCAGTGTTCACTCCTTATCCTTCCTGTAGCATGGTAGCTGTTCAGGAGCCAGCTTAGCAGGGTGGTAGAAAGTACAAGCTCGAGAGCCAGACAGCCTGGATTTGAATCCCAAGTCAAGAACTTACTAGTTGTACAACCTTCATCAAGTTACTCAACAACTCTGAACTTCCCTTTTCCTTTCTGTAATATGGGAAGATTTTTAATAGTACTTACTTCTTGGAGTTTTTGTGATGATTAAGTGAGATCATGATATAGTCCCTTACTCTCAACCAGGCATTGTGCTCAGTCTTCAATAAATGTTAGCTATTACTAGTCTGTTCCAAGTTCTTATAAACTTCTATTGTTCTAGTTAGTATATCAGTGCTTCAGGGATAGGTATGCTTCTTCGAACTCCAATCCAAGTAATTTCTACCCTTATGATAGTTTTCTGTTTAGTAATACCACTGATCAAATTGTGATCAAATCAAAGCCCTGTTACCCTGGATATGTTGGATGTTAGATTTTTTCCCCGTTTGACTTTGGGGTCTGTGTCTTTCAGGGCTTCTTGGATTTGAAGACAATTTTTCTTCTATGAATTTGGACAAGAAAATAAATTCACAAAATCAGCCTACTGGGATTCATCGGGAACCCCCACCTCCACCCTTTTCAGTGAATAAAATGTAAGTCCCATGTGAAAACATATTTGCCTTGTAGGAGAATTATAGTTTAAACAATTTTACTTTTGAATCTCTCATTTATTTGCTAGGCTTCCACGTGAAAAAGAAGCTTCTAACAAGGAGCAGCCCAAAGTGACCAACACCATGCGGAAGCTCTTTGTACCAAATACCCAATCTGGGCAGCGGGAGGGTCTCATCAAACATATCCTGGCAAAGCGAGAGAAAGAATATGTCAACATTCAGACTTTCAGGTTAGTGTCTCTTTTGCTTCCTGAGTCTAAAAAGTTAGTATATATAACAGACAGTGGCCTGTTGATATTTAAGACATTAGCCTAATTAAGAATCAAAATATGATAAAAAGGAATGGTTGCCTGTTTCAAGCTCCTGTCTCTATGCTGGCCAATAACATGCATATCAGAAATAATGCAGATGCTACAGTTTCCCTTGGATTTTCTTTTTTTGTGTGTGTGGGTCAGGGTCTCTCTTTGTCACCCAGGCTGGAGAGCAGATAGATCATGGCTTACTGTAGCCTCAACCTCTCAGTCGTAAGCAATCCTCCCACGCCAGCCCTGCAAGTAGGTGGAACTACAGGTGCACACCACCACATCCAGCTAATATTTGTGTTTTTTATAGAGACTGGGTTTCACCAGGTTGCCCAGGCTGGTCTCAAATTCCTGAGCTCAGGCAATCCACCCGCCTTGGCCTCACAAAGTGTTAGGATTACAGGCTTGAGCCACCGTGCTTGGCCTTCCCTTGGATTTTCTAACTACTAATAATGCCATGTCTACTAATGTCTCTACTGAGTCCTAGAGAACCAAATCAAGGTCACATGTACTAGAGAATTTTCCCCTAGCACATTCCATAAGCAAGCGTGTTTATATATCTGGCCTGTTAAGTTTTTTTTTTTCAGCCAATATTAGAAAATTAAAGTCCATCATTACCACTAGCTCTTAACTTACTTACTTTGGTAAATAAAGAAAGTTTCACCCAGTCCTCTTGATTGGGAGGTCTATCTTGGGTTCTTTTATCTGTATTATTTTTTATTTCATCTTTTTTCTGGACTTGTGTGTGTATGCTGCATGTGAGGTACCATGTGGCATGTATCGCCAATGCATGAAGCAACACCACATTTCTTTGTTATTCATGAGCAGAATGTACCCTTCTAGTCCAAGATTCTAGTCCCATCTGCTATCCTGTCATACCTCATTTATTCTAATTCAGTCATAACTATATCCCTATGCTAAAACTTGCAGTTCCTCATATCCCCCACTATGCTTATATTTGTGTGTAAACAGTTAAGACAGTCATGAGTTTTCCCTTCTGCTTTCCCCCTTAATACTATGTCTGCCTCATCAGAATTTCCTACACAGATGTCCTTGTAATCCTTCAGGAAGTGAGTTCCTGGAGTCAACTATAGCCCCTTATAGAACATTTATCCATATTTGACTAGCTTACAGCATGAAGATACCTCTTTCCCATCCATAAGCTCTCCTATCAAGTATGAGTTTGGATGGAGCTTAATTGAAAGGAAATGTGGTATAGCAATTACCTTTGCATTTTTTAAAAATAAAGACTTGGTTTCCTTCTGTAGTTTTACTTAATGTAAAATTTAGAGAAAATAAGCCCACTGCCTTTGTGTTCTAGATGCAAAAGATCTTTCTTACATATGTGGCAAAACATTTTGAGGAATTATGTTAGCATATTGTGAACATACCTTTGTATGGAAGCGAAAAGAAAGAACTTCTGTTGGTTTATACTTGATCTTTGTTTTCAAATTATCTTTTCGTATTATGTATTAGATTTTTTGTTGGAACTTGGAATGTGAATGGCCAGTCTCCAGATAGCGGGTTAGAACCTTGGCTGAACTGTGATCCCAATCCTCCTGATATCTACTGCATTGGGTAAAGAACACTTCTGGAATTTCCTTTTGGCTATATGTTTGGTGTTCATTTACATGATGTTTTGCCTTTTTTAAAAAAGACTGTTGGTAAAACCTACTGTAGACTATACACGAGAGTTAACTTGCGGGTCAAATTTGTGAGAACAGAAATGAACAGATACCTAAAATGGTGTAAGGAAGCATCTAATTTTCTTGAAACCCGTAGGAATCTATATATTCTGCATAGAAACTAAGACTTGGGGTCAGTTCTAACAGTGACAGTTCCTAGGATATAAGAGCAAAGCTCTGCTGTTATCCTCTGTGGGAGGTATTTTGATTTATTTTTTGCATAGCTTATGAATGTACTTGTGGGAATTCTTTAGAAAAGAAAGCTACTTGTTCTTACTGATAACCTGGGTGAACAGAGCAGTTCTATAAAATTTATCTCTCTCCCATCTTTTTTTCATCTAATGTTTCAACATATGGGACAGGAGGTAGCCAGAGATAATTATGGGATATGTATAGATCTCATATCCCTTTTTTCCTCAGATTCCAAGAACTGGACTTGAGCACAGAAGCCTTCTTCTACTTTGAATCTGTGAAGGAACAAGAATGGTCCATGGCTGTAGAGAGAGGTTTGCATTCCAAAGCCAAGTATAAGAAAGTAAGCCGCATTTAATTATCTTTTTAAGTGTATGACTAAATAGGGCTCACCGGGAGTTATTCCATTATCTACAACTTGTTCCAAAAGAATAGTTTAATTGAATTCTTCTCTGTGTGTAATACTGGGATAGGGCAGATTGATCATTCATCCTTATTTCCTAGAAAAAAAAATCCCTAAGCTTTCTGATACTATATTTTCATTGCTTAGATAGCTTTTAGGGGAAAAAAGAATTTTATTATGCTTATATCAATACTTAGTTTGAAATAATTACATATAAGATTTAGATTACTCACTGACATGGTCAGAATTGAATGCTTTACAGAAAAGCAATATGAAACGTGGGCGCATGGTGCATGTGTTGCAATCAGAGCAAGAATAGAAGTGGTGTGGAATTTGAACGAGTTCTAAACTTGGTTTTAAGTTAAGAGGAGAGTTGACTTTAGCAAGATGGGCCAATTTGTTTGTCTTTAGAAGGTATGTGGTAAAGGCATTTAGCTACCAGAAGAGTTAATTACAGGGCTATCATACTAAGGTCTCTAAAAGAAGTAATGTGAGTAATTTTTCTCTACATCTTCTAACAGTTTATATAGGTAATAAAACTCCTGGGGATGTTATTCCTCTCATATAGGTCCCTGACTAATGTATATCTCAGACATATTTCTAGCTGTAGTTCACAAGTTAAAAATAAGTAAAAAAGATTGCTGTTTGGTTGATTTCAATTTCTTAGAAAATTAGACATCAGAAACTAGGAAGGAAAGGTGGAAGGAACAAGCTGGGATAGTGGCTTTATTATTTGAACTTTTAATGCTGCTTACTCCTGGTAGGCTAAGAAGTGATTAAAAGAATAGATCTAGAGCTGAAAGTACTCATTGTCCCTCCCAGCTTTTAACTCTTATTGGTCAGTGCCAGATTAGAGCCTCCCCAGAGAATATTAGTTTCCACTTGACGGGGTCCACTGAGAAATTAGAGGATATGAAGTCAGATTTGGGCACTAGTATATCATCTTGATGGAAAATTAGTCGTGGGACATTAGAAATGTGGCAAAGATTGGTATTAACATTAACCTTTTGTAACTCCCCGGAACTCATAGGTTCAACTGGTGCGCCTTGTTGGGATGATGCTTCTTATATTTGCCAGAAAGGATCAGTGTCGATACATTCGTGATATTGCTACAGAAACAGTTGGAACTGGAATCATGGGGAAAATGGTGAGTTACTTTGGAAATGAGCTTGATTATTATTCATGTTCATGTAAAGTTCAGTTGCTTGTT
Organism: Homo sapiens; assembly: GCF_000001405.40. NCBI lineage: Eukaryota > Metazoa > Chordata > Mammalia > Primates > Hominidae > Homo > Homo sapiens. The sequence goes on from NC_000023.11 coordinate 129,562,564, forward strand.
CTGTGTACTAATTGAATAATTACTCTTGCTAACAGGGAAACAAAGGTGGGGTAGCTGTGAGATTTGTATTTCACAACACCACCTTTTGCATTGTCAATTCCCATCTGGCTGCACACGTGGAGGACTTTGAGAGAAGGAATCAAGATTATAAGGACATTTGTGCGAGAATGAGTTTTGTGGTCCCAAATCAGACCCTCCCGCAGTTGAACATCATGAAACATGAGTAAGTGGTTAACTCACCTGTAGCCTTTGAGTAGTGGCTACAGGAGTTTGGATAGTGTAGAGATTAAATGTGAGATACTGTAGAGCTGTGAAGAGTGAAAGATTACCAGTGAGGGATTGGGGTCACAAAGGAGAGGGTTTTTGAGTAATAACAGAATCATTGAGGCAGAGAAATTAGACTTGATATCAGAGGAAAAGATAGTTCTATTAGTGGGGCACCTAGAATAATGCTGGAGGGTCTGTAGTTGGAGTCAGTTTTTATTGTTTTTATGATAAAATAGAAATATTCATTGCAAATGTAATAAAAGATAAAATTAGAAGTTAAATTTCCTCATTTCTTATTCTCTACCTAGCCAGTCCCTCTCTCCAAAGGAAACCATTCTTAACAGTTGGGTGTGTAGCCTTTTAGATCTGTACTGTCCAATATGACAACCAGTAGCCATATATGGCTGTTAGGTACCTGAAAGTGACTGGTCCAAATTAAGATATGCTGTATGCATAAGCTATATATTGGATTTTAAAGACTTAGGAAGAAGATGTACGATATCTTGATTTCTAAAATATTGATCACATGTTGAAATAATTTGGATATATTGAGTAAAATGAAATTTATTGATACTCACTTGTTTTTTTTCTTTTTAAATGCAGCTACTAGAAAACTTAAAATTATATTGTGAGGTGCATTATAATTCTATTAAATAGCACTATTCTAGCCTTTTGTCTATTCATATACAAACACACACATAGGTACTTGGTGTATAAGACTGTATTATTCTATTTATTGTGGATTCCTTTCCAAGCCAGTATATATAGATCTACATTATTCTTTTTAATGGCTGTGCTTATTAAAAACAGGGGCAGCAGAGAGAGGTCAGTGAAGAATGGGATTTAATAAGCATAGAAGCAGAGATGTGTTGAGGAGTAGATGTGGTGGTAGAAAATGATTAGTTTTAAAGAAATTAATATACCTAAAACCATGAAAACCCTAGAAGAAAACCTAGGCATTACCATTCAGGACATAGGCATGGGCAAGGACTTCATGTCTAAAACACCAAAAGCAATGGCAACAAAAGCCAAAATTGACAAATGGGATCTAATTCAACTAAAGAGCTTCTGCACAGCAAAAGAAACTACCATCAGAGTGAACAGGCAACCTACAAAATGGGAGAAAATTTTCGCAACCTACTCATCTGACAAAGGGCTAATATCCAGAATCTACAATGAACTCAAACAAATTTACAAGAAAAAAACAACCCCATCAAAAAGTGGGCAAAGGACATGAACAGACACTTCTCAAAAGAAGACATTTATGCAGCCAAAAAACACATGAAAAAATGCTCACCATCACTGGCCATCAGAGAAACGCAAATCAAAACCACAATGAGATACCATCTCACACCAGTTAGAATGGCAATCATTAAAAAGTCAGGAGACAACAGGTGCTGGAGAGGATGTGGAGAAATAGGAACACTTTTACACTGTTGGTGGGACTGTAAACTAGTTCAACCCTTGTGGAAGTCAGTGTGGCGATTCCTCAGGGATCTAGAACTAGAAATACCATTTGACCCAGCCATCCCATTACTGGGTATATACCCAAAGGACTATAAATCATGCTGCTATAAAGACATATGCACACGTATGTTTATCGCGGCACTATTCACAATAGCAAAGACTTGGAACCAAGCCAAATGTCCAACAATGATAGACTGGATTAAGAAAATGTGGCACATATACACCATGGAATACTATGCAGCCATAAAAAATGATGAGCTCATGTCCTTTGTAGGGACATGGATGAAATTGGAAATCATCATTCACAGTAAACTATCGCAAGAACAAAAAACCAAACACTGCATGTTCTCACTCATAGGTGGGAATTGAACAATGAGAACACATGGACACAGGAAGGGGAACATCACACTCTGGGGACTGTTGTGGGGTGGGGGGAGCGGGGAGGGATAGCTTTAGGAGATATACCTAATGCTAAATGACGAGTTAATGGGTGCAGCACACCAGCATGGCACATGTATACATATGTAACTAACCTGCACATTGTGCACATGTACCCTAAAACTTATAATAATAAAATAAAATTTAAAAAATTAATATAGAGAGTAGAGTCATTGGGGAAAGAGGAGGAAAGAGTAGGGATATTCAACTATTTTCCATAATGTCTCAATAATTAGGATCATGTAGAATTCTATTTCACAGTGGTAAAGTGAAGGCCTTAAAATGTATGGTCATGAAGTTGCCATGAAATTCCAAAAATTTATTTTCCCAGATTCCATAAATTTCATGTTGCATTTGAGATTGTCAGAATGACCCATTGGGAACTTGAGCTCACTCAACAGGAGAGTCCATTTTGATGTGTTAATTGCATTGTCTCCCTTTGTGGGGCTCTCAGCACATCTAAGGGCCTGTTGCTGTTATTGGGAGCTGAGGATCCCATGGAATGCCAGTCTCCTTCCTGCCTGTAACTTGGGCAATGGTAGACCAATCAGGCTTCACTAGAGAGCCCTGGACCTACTTTTCTTAGTGGGTCCTGCCTCGGAGAGCTGTCACTCAGACCATGCAGACTTCAGTGGAGAACCTGCAGGACTTCAGGACTCTGAGAGGCAGAAAACGTTCAGATTCTCTTCCCCTAAAGACCTGGCTAGCAGCCAGGCAAAATTTTGAAGCTTGTCCAGCAAATAAACTGCATGCTTCTCAGTCCATTAACTCCTTGGCTTCTAAATCCCATACGTAATATTTCCCAGTTTCATTCTTCATGTACAGAGTCCTCTTCTCCTACCTATTTTGTAATCCATTGTCTCTCTCAGGTGTTGATAGTAGTTGCCCTCAAAGGATTAGTTACAACTTTAAACCCCTTGTGAGATAGTGGTGAGTGAGCCCTTATCAATAATCTACCCATTTTTCTTCTCTCCATCCTTCTCTGTTTTTTTTATGCTAATCGCTACTTCTGTTCATACATTTTTTTGATCCTTAGGGTTGTCATTTGGTTGGGAGATTTGAATTATAGACTTTGCATGCCTGATGCCAATGAGGTGAAAAGTCTTATTAATAAGAAAGACCTTCAGAGACTCTTGAAATTCGACCAGGTAAGTAAAGTTTCATTTTATAGGAACTTTCCTAGATGGGAGATGAGATTGTTAGAGTTATGGGAGGTATATCTTACTCTAGGGAGTGATGGAAACGTCTTACTGTCTTGTGAAAACAGTGTGACTAGTGATGCATTGACTACATACAAGATTTGTAGTACTTTTATTAAGTGCTTGGATGGGAGGAGGGAAGATAACATTAGTGATAAAAAGTAAATACAACATTTATTCAAAACGTCTTTATCATTAAGAGATTTCAGAGATTTGTCTAAATGAGTTGGTGAATGGGTGGGGTTAATTGGGGAACACTTCCTGGAGGAAGTGGGCCTTCAGCTATGTTGATGTGGTTTGGCAGATGGAACAGTGAAAACTGTTCTATGATTACTTGGCAAGCTGAGGAACAGCTTGGAGGTAAAAGAGGGAGGCCCTGTGAGGGGAACTGGGAAGTACAGAAAAGAAGTTTGTCTGGGATCAACAGCATAGGCTATGGGCTCATGGGAACTAGATGATAAGTTGAAGCTAGCTGGTATTTAAAACCTGCAGGAAAAGCATTGAGTTGGTAACATTTACATAAAACCTGATATTCAAGAACCTGGTTTCCATATATTTGAAGCAGTAAATTTGCCTCAGAACCTGGCATGTGACTTGAATTTTTACTTCAACATATGGATACTGGCTGCTAAAAGTGAATGCTTCTTATTGAGGGAGGAAAATGTTTTGACTTCATTCGAATAATCTTTAAATCGTTATGAGAGCCTTTTCAACCTTCAGACGTAGCCAACATTCAGGTGATTTGCAGCAGAATGGTTTTTGTAGTGAGCCATTCTTGTCTATGTCTACCTTCACGTTGTGGTTGGCTGACAAATTTCTTTGCTTTTTCTTTATTCTGCCTCCAAAAGGGGTACATTTAGGATAAATTCTGAGTCTTATATAACTCTGGTAAAATATTTCAGTGAGGATCTTTCAAAACAATTTGAAACTATTCGCTGAATTTGGTTTGCAGAATTATTCATTCAACATTTGTGTGCTTTTTCTTTAAATTAAAATTGTGCTGGGTGGTTTCTGCCCAGCTCCAAGGAACTTACAATTATTCAGATTTCATTTTTCCATTTTACCCTCTGCCACTATTAGCAATAAAAGAATAGTGATGTGCTAATAACAAGCATCCTATCTGAGGGTGAGTTTAGATGCTGTGGGAATGCTGAGATTTAATTCATAAGGTATAGAAATTTCATTTATGTACTCTCACTACAGTTGTAAAGGTTGTGGAACTAGATACTTTGAAATAGGAACAGTGGCTTATCAACCTGATTATCTCTTATATTAAGATAGTGTTATCCTGCTTATTTGATGCTTCTTTCTATCTGTAGCTAAATATTCAGCGCACACAGAAAAAAGCTTTTGTTGACTTCAATGAAGGGGAAATCAAGTTCATCCCCACTTATAAGTATGACTCTAAAACAGACCGGTGGGATTCCAGGTAAAGTAATAAGAACCTTCTCACAGAGAAGGTTAAGGCTTGATCTTATTTCTGACCCTCCATATTGGTAAGGGGCTAGGAATTTTTTAGGCCATGCCATAAGCAGATATATAAACCTAATGGCTCAGTGCCTCAGTGCTATTATAGAACAATAAGAGTGTTTCATTTATCTATACTCAAAGGTGAGCCTATCTTAGGGAAGTTATTACTTATATGTCAAGATTGTTGAAGTTTTATGGGCTACCTACAGTGCCTTATTTCTCTCACCTCAGCAAACTTGCTTAAATTTTTGCCTTCCTGATTTTGCCTTTGTTTCTTACCTATTACCTGTTCTGGCTATTTTTTTTCCCAAACTACCCAGCTATTTAATTCAGGATACCAGAAGGCAAAAACGAAGCCATGAAGGGTTCTTCTAGCACCAGTAGCTCTCAATCCTTAAAAGACTTTAGAATCCCTTAGAGAACTTCAAAAAATACTGATGCTTGGACCTAATATCTGCCACAGCTGGAGAACACTGAGAACCACTGTTTAGTAGACCCTTTTTTTTTTTTTTTTTTTTTTGAGACGGAGTCTCGCTCTGTCGCCCAGGCCGGACTGCGGACTGCAGTGGCGCAATCTCGGCGCACTGCAAGCTCCGCTTCCCGGGTTCACGCCATTCTCCTGCCTCAGCCTCCCGAGTAGCTGGGACTACAGGCGCCCGCCACCACGCCCGGCTAATTTTTTGTATTTTTTTTAGTAGAGACGGGGTTTCACCTTGTTAGCCAGGATGGTCTCGATCTCCTGACCTCATGATCCACCCGCCTCGGCCTCCCAAAGTGCTGGGATTACAGGCGTGAGCCACCGCGCCCGGCCAGTAGACCCTTTTGATTTCCTAATCATCCTAGTAAAGTGCCCCCAGTAAGTTCTTAGTGAGTATTTGTCCTCTACCTACTATCTCTTTCTTTTCTTTTCCTTTCCTTTTTTCTTTTTCTTTTCTTCTTTTTCTTTCTGTTTCTCCTAGCTGGCTGAGCACAGAAACTTGAAAGAGAAAGAATCCCCACGCATGTTCAGCTGTTTTGAACTCTGAGAGTACTGGCATGGGTGGGGAGTCGATATTCCTATGCTCCTAGGTAACTGGCCAGCAAATGAAGTGACACTGTTAGATCTTGTACACTTTGCCATGTTTGTTTCACTCACCTGACTTTAGAGTCAGCTGCAGAGCTACTGATGAGAAATATCTGTGTCACCTTCTGGATCAGGGTACAAGGTGTTGCTTCTTTTAATAGAATGATGAATAGGTTCTTTTTCCCTACCCTTGGTATTCTGTGGACTGACATTTGCTCAGACTTGCATGGTTTGATTTTATTTCGTCTCTATTAGAAGAAGCTAGACTTGTCCATAAATGTCTGGTTTAAAGGAGAAATCAATACTGTTATTCCTCTCCAAAAATTAAGCCCAGTCTAGGAAGAGAAGATTGGAGTTTTAGACTTGATTAGTTATCTATCTGTTGTGAAGTGTTGTTGATGCTCATAGAGTAAAGGAAAAGGAAGTGTTCAAAATATAATCCAAATCTTCTGAGGATATTTTAAGAACGTGCTATTTTCTCCTGTGGTGACATTGTTGAAGATGTACTCCCAATCTTAACAGAACCATTCATTCATTAGATAACTATTCGTTGAGCACCTACTTTGCACCAGATACCATGCTAGGTTCTAGGAGTTCAGTGGCAAACAAGCAAATACAGTCCCTTCACAGAGCTTGCAAAATAGTAGGGAGGATGACAGGGGTTGTTAGGGAAGGAGAAGTACACGGTTCTTTGGGAGCATGTAACAAGAGAGCCTAACCCTGATCTAAACCAGTGTGGTAGGTATTATGTTCTTGTGTGATATGTTCTCTTTATAACTCGTTTCTTTACTTACAGTGGGAAATGCCGGGTTCCAGCCTGGTGTGACCGAATTCTTTGGAGAGGAACAAATGTTAATCAGCTTAATTATCGGAGTCACATGGAACTGAAAACCAGCGACCACAAGCCTGTTAGCGCCCTCTTCCATATTGGGGTAAACACTTGTTTGTACATTCATTTATTTGTGTGTTAAGTATCAATTACTAGAGGATTATTTAGACTCAGAACAGATCAGTAATTCAGCAAGCCATAAATGTTCCATAACCAAATAACCATTTGCAGCATTGAGAGGTTAGTGCCCCCAACCCTCCCAAATGCTGTCCGTATAGCTCTTAATGCTCCAGGCCTTTTAGTGACACAGATGTTTCTCATGCTACATAGTGGTTAGGTGGTAACTTGAGCTTCCTAAAGTAGGTATGCATAATGAAGAGTTAAAAGCTAAGTTTTATCAGATAGTAAAGAAGGGAAACACCAGGAGGGAGATTCTGGGTGGAAGGGTAGAGACAGCAGGAGCAAAGGCACAGACTGATCAGAATACAGCCAACTCTGTATATTGTCTTAAGGGATATAGTGTCATCCCTACACTTATTTTTTCTTTTTTTTTTTTTTTTTTTTTGAGACGGAGTCTTGCCCTATCCTCCGGGCTGGAGTGCAGTGGTGTGATCTTGGCTCACTGCAACCTCCTCTTCCCGGGTTCAAGCGATGCCCCTGCCTCAGCCTCCCAGAGTGCTGGGATTACAGGCGTGAGCCACCGTGCCCAGCGAATTTTTTTTTAACTCTGTTCTATCCTGGGCTGCATTAATGGCCAGTTATTTAATTTTCTGTCTGTATTGTGAGTAAAGTTTTTTTCCCATTGTATTTTTAAACTGTGTGTTATTGGTATGTAGGTCATATCTTGTAATCATGCTGATTTAATTTGTTACAGCCAGTACATTTAGGTTATTTCTTGTGGATTTTTCAGATCTACAGCCCTATAATCTGTCAGAATGTATATAGTGCAGTGCTTAGTAGAATGGACTTTGTAGTAGACTTCTGGGATTTGCATCCGAGTTCAACCACTTTCTAACTGTGTAACCATGGACAATTTATGTAACATATTTATGCCTCAGTTTCCTCCTCTATTAAGCGTGGGTAATATTGGTACATACTCATGAAGATTAATGAGTTCGGACATGTGAAGAGCATAATGGGATAGGTTTCTTTCCTCTGTGTGTGTGTTGATTTAGGGGGCTTCTGAGATAGATATCACCAACCTGTTTTATCCTGCTCCTGTTTTAAGGAAGAAAGACTTTGGGGCTTTTCATTTAAGATCAGAATTATTTATTGGTCTTAGAATAGATTTTAAATTTTATCAAGACAATCATGACTTTACTTTTGTCCATTTTGAAATTTTAAAATAATAATCATTAATAATAGTAACTGTTCCTCAGATAGCAGCTAGTGGCTGTGTGGCAGGGACTATGTGAGGCAATTTGCACACATCTCATTTACTCCTCACAACAACGCTTTGAGTTAAATACAGTTGATCCTTCAACAACATGGGTTTGAACTACACAGATCCACTTATATCCAGATATTTTCAACCAAATGCAGATGGAAAATACAGTATTCACAGGATGTGAAACCCACGTATAAGGAGGGCCAACTGTGGGACTTGAGTATGCGTGAATTTGATTATACACAGGCCATGCCAGAATCAATCCCCCACAGATCTCAAGGGACAACTGTATTTCCCATTTAACAGATGAGCAGATGGAGAACAGCAAGTTGAAATAACTTATTTAAGAGCATTCAACTAGGAGGAGAGCTGAGATTCCAATCTTAAGTTGGCTTAACTCCCAACTCTGTGCTCTTTCTACTACCCCACAATACCTCTATAATTCTATAGAACTTGATGAAATATACCTTTAGATAACTTCTTTTAGCCCATCTAATTTCTAGTTTGTACTTGCAGGCTGCCCCTTTTTCTTCATTTGAATTCTCTTAATCCATTTTGAGAGGGTATCTTTCCTCAAACACTAACCTCTTTGGTTAGATCAGGTATGCCTGGCTTTTTTGTTTACATTTCTTTTCAAAACCTTCAGATTTTTTTGTTTGTTTTTGTTTTTTGTTTTTTGGTTTTTTTTTTTTTTTTTTTGAGACAGAGTCTCGCTCTGTCACCCAGGTTGGAGTGCAGTGGCACGATCTTGGCTCACTGCAAGCTCCGCCTCCTGGGTTCACGCCATTCTCTTGCCTCAGCCTCCCGCCCAGCTAATTTTTTGTATTTTTAGTAGAGACGGGGTTTCACCATGTTAGCCAGGATGATCTCGATCTCCTGACCTTGTGGTCCACCCGCCTCAGCCTCCCAAAGTGCTGAGATTACAGGCATGAGCCACCGCTCGCAGCCAACCTTGGGATGTTTTTAATACTCCATACACATTAATGCAGAGCTTCTAGTGGGATATTTACATTTTTTTTCAGGCTTCCTGTGTATTTATGTATATCTTTAATAAAGATATGCCTTTTGAGTTTTTAATGATTTTTAAATTATACAGCAATGACAAGTGCTTTTAAAAAAATTAAAAGGAAATTTAAGCAGAATTGACAGATAAGGCAGAAGTTCTTCAATCCCTGTTCTGTCTCCTACTCCCAACTTTGCCTAAACCCCCATTCCCCAGCCAGGCCACTACCCTTAGGAGTTTATATCTTTCTAGACCAGTGCTGTCCAATAGAGCTTTCTGTGATGATGGAAATGTCCTGTATCTGTGCTGTCCAGTCCAGTGGCTTCTAGCAGCAGGGGGCTATTGAGTACTTGAAGTGTGGCTAGTGCAACTGAGAACTGAACTTCTAATTTAATTTAATTTAAAGTAATTTAAATTCAAATTCCCTATGTGGCTAGTCACTATTGTACTGGACAGTGCAGTTCTAGACCTTTGTATATGCTTTTTTGTTCACTCATAGACAAAATACTGATTTGTGTGTGTCTCTATATCATAAACGGTCTTATATGTATGTGTTGGTCTGCAACTTGATTTTTTTTTTTAACTCAGCAGTGTGTCTTGGAGAACCTCCCATCTTATTACATAAAGACCTAGCTCATTGTACTTTTTTTCAAATTCCTAATTTTGTCAGTAATTTCCTTTACTAAAATGGATGTGTCAGGTTGTGAAATTCTTTGGGGTTCCCCCCCTCCTCATTATCTTTGATTTGCCATTAAGTGCTGTGATCATGATAACCCGCTGAGAAAAAGTTTGATTTTATTGAGTAATCACCCCATGTTTTGGATTCTTGGGCATGCTATGATTAGAGGCTTTAAAAACCACACTATATTTTCACCACCATTGGCACCAATGACTGTTAACAAAGGAGCCAAGTGCACCGTGGCCAATTAATTTCAGAAGACTTTCTGTGGGCTGGCTGAGATAGAGCTAGGATAGGGTTCCAACCCTGCACTTGGTACTGTGATCTGTTGCATTGGTTCTCAGACTTCAGTGGATGTAAGAATTGCTTAGAGAGCTTTAAAAAAAGTGTGGATGCATGTGTCCTCACCCCTAGAGGCTGTGATTAGTAGACCCAGGCAGCTGTGCTTTTAAGACATACTCAAGTTGATTCTGTCACATATCTAGTATATTGGAAAGAGTCTTAAACTAGTCCAGATGTCACCTTTGGTATTCACTGTAGCAGTGAGCAAGTTTGTTGATTGTTTTGTATCTTAATGTTCTCAACTATCGGAACAAAAATATTCCTTGCTTTGGTAGCCTTCCAGGTTGTGAAAATAAAAAGACATGTGCAAAATACTTTTGGAAATTAAAAGTTGCAAAGTTTTGTAAAAGTATAAAATTCATCTTAAACTAATGCTATACTATGGACCCTGGTGATGGTAAAGTGATTGTTTGATCCTCGGTTCTCTAAGAGTTACAGTTCAAATATGTGAAAAACTTCCCCAGTCTGAGATACTTGACTCAGCTTTGATGTTCTTATTTTCAACATTTTAAAAAATTTTTATTTCACTTCAAGTTGTGGGATACAAGTGCAGAACGTATAGGCTTGTTACATAGGTATGTGTGCCATGTTGGTTTGCTGCACCTATCAACCCATCATCTAGGTTTTAAGCCCCACGTGCATTAGCTATTTAACCTTAATGCTCTCCTTCCCCTCGCCCCACTACCCCGAGTGGCCTGGTGTGTGTTGTTCCCCTCCCTGTGTCCATGTGTTCTCATTCTTCAACTCCCACCTATAAGTGAGAATATGCGGTGCTTGGTTTTCTGTTCCTGTGTTAGTTTGCTAAGGATGATGGCTTCCAGCTTCATCCATGTCCCTGCAAAGGACATGACTTTTTTTATTTTTTGAGGTGGAGTCTTGCTCTGTTGCCCAGGCTGGAGTGCAGTGGTGCAATCTTGGCTCACTTCAACCTCCGCCTCCCGGGCTCAAGGGATTCTCCTGCCTCAGCCTCCCAAGTGACTGGGATTACAGGCACCCACCACCATGCCTGGCTAATTTTTTTTTTGTACTTTTAGTAGAGACAGAGTTTCACCGTGTTGGCTGGGGTGGTTTCGAACTCCTGACCTCTAGTGATCCTCCTGCCTCGGCCTCCCGCAGTGCTAGGATTACAGGTGTGAGCCACTGTGCCCAGCCTGATCTCATTCCTTTTTATGGCTGTATAGTATTCCATGGTGTATATTTACCACATTTTCTTTATCAAGTCTTATTATTAATGGGCATTTGGGTTGGTTCCATGTCTTTGCTATTGTAAGTAGTGCTGCAGTAAACATATGTGTGCATGTGTCTTTATAGTAGAATGATTTATATTCTTTTGGGTATATACCCAGTAATGGGATTGCTGGGTCAAATGGTATTTCTGGTTCTAGATCCTTGAGGAATCGCCACACTGTCTTGCACAATGGTTGAACTAATTTACACTCCTACCAACAGTGTAAAAGCGTTCCTACTTCTCCACAGCCTCACCAGCATCTGTTTCCACATCTTTTTAGAACCTTTGCTGCATGTATCAATTTTTTTTGACATGAATTTTTGTGAAATTTCCTAGTCTAAAAAAGAAACCGATATCTCAAGTTAAAATCTGTTAGTTATGTTAATTTTGGCATTGGTTTGTATGAAGTTTTAATATTTAAAAAAACACAGCTATATCAGGAAGCTGAAAGTGCTGTGTCAGGTGGAAAATTTTTTTATCAGTGGAGATGTGTTTATACGTTGTCATGGTTTTACTCTAGTCTAGGACATTTTGTTTCAGCCATTTTCTAAAATGGCTGTAGGTTCCATTTATTAATATATCTCTGCTATTATGTAATCTGAGCAGTGATATTATACTTCTTGGTATTGTACATAGAATCTAATAGAGTTAAAAGCTTTTTAATAATATTTGCTGCCACCTCACCAAGTTATGATTGTTAGAAACAGTAATTGCTGTGTTTTGACACTGTCATTTTGTACAGTGCAAGCAATCATTTTTACCACAATTATCACATTTTTTCCACTACCAAATAACTTAACAATGAAGCAAGAAAATATTCTTCCCAAATATTTATTATTACCAAGCTTCTTAACGTAGGGGTTTAACTTTTACAGGACGTTAGCCAATTAATCTTACCTTTACCTTAAAGCGTGTGCTTCTATAATGCTTTGTTCAATTTATGTTTGCTTTAGTGACCTTAAAAATTGTTAGAGACTCTTGGAGGTATAAAAGTTGAGAACACATAAAACTAAAGCAAGGATCTGTTTTCTTTCAGGTGCAAGCTGTGGATGAAGCAAGATATAGAGAGTGTTTGAGGATGTTGTTTGCACCACAGTTTATTTTAAATAGTTACTGTAATGACCAGTTTTAAATTGTTAGATAATCTCCAAGGGAGATGAGCTAGAAGGATATAAGACTGAAAAGAGGATACATTTTCTTTCAGGTGAAGGTTGTGGATGAACGAAGGTACCGGAAAGTCTTTGAAGATAGTGTACGCATCATGGACAGAATGGAAAATGACTTCCTTCCTTCCTTAGAACTCAGCAGGAGGGAGGTGAGCAAAAATACATGATCTCCCTGTCTACTGCTCACTGTGGTTAGCACAGAAGAAACTGCTACTTAGAAAAGGCTACATAGCAACGTGGTTAAGCCCATGTCGCTGGAGTCAGACTGCCTCCATTCCAGTTGTAGCACGGCTGTTTAGTAGATGTATGACCTCAGGCAAGTATCTTACCCGCTCAGAGCCGCAGTTTCCTTTCCTGGATTAAGGGGTAGTTGTAAGGATTACATGAGTTAATACATGCAAAGCTCTCAGAACAGCACCCGGCACATAGTAAGCCCTCCGCTGTTAGATGCTCTTATTTAATATTTCAGAGTTGCTAGTTAATTTATATCTCAGAAACCAGGACTTGGTCACAGGATGAATACTCTGAACCAAGGTTGGGTTACCCTCTTAGGATCCTAGGAATGATCAGAGTAGCCTGGAGAAGTAGCAAGAGCCACCTAACTCCTTCTCTGCTGGTGTGAGTATAATAATACATGCAAGTGGATGTTGTGAAGTTGGTTCAGTTGGTGAATGTCTATGGCATTTGCACACCTGCTTAACAATTACCTTACTCCTCATATCCTCTATGGAATAATCCAACTGACTTACTTCCCCTACTAGTGATGCATGTTTGTGTCTGTCTGTTATTCCCCAGTTTGTGTTTGAAAATGTGAAGTTTCGGCAACTACAAAAGGAGAAGTTCCAGATCAGCAACAATGGACAGGTTCCCTGCCATTTTTCTTTCATCCCTAAACTTAATGACAGCCAGTACTGCAAGCCATGGCTTCGGGCTGAACCTTTTGAGGGCTACTTGGAGCCAAGTGAGTTTTCCCTTTACCATTGTCTCTGCTGGTGATGTCATGACTCCCATCCCCTTGGTTTAACTTTCTGTTTTCTAACCACATGTCTCTTACCTTTACTGTCATATTGGTGATACCTCTGGTGTGTGTCCTGTCTCTTCCCCCTCATTGCTTAATGATTTTTTTAGAGGACACTTTTCTGTTGGTTCTTATACTCTTTTTTGCTTTCCCACTGGAGGTTTTCCTATTACCATGTATCATCTCTTACATTTCAGATGAGACAGTGGACATTTCTCTTGATGTGTATGTCAGCAAAGACTCTGTAACCATCCTGAACTCGGGAGAAGATAAGATTGAAGATATTCTCGTCCTTCACCTGGATCGAGGCAAAGATTACTTCTTGACTATCAGTGGAAATTACCTCCCAAGTTGTTTTGGCACATCCTTAGAGGCTCTGTGCCGTATGAAAAGACCAATCCGAGAAGTTCCTGTTACCAAACTCATAGACTTGGTAAGAACTGTCCCAAGACATAAACCTCTTTTACATTTAATTTTCACAATACTTAAGTGACGTCCTCATTATCTTTGTGCTTTCTGTCTTCTTTTGGCCACGGGGGATGTCAAATGATAAAGAAGAATGTTACTTTAGCACTGTTTTGATTAGATTAAGCCTAAGGGGAAAGAGGGGGGACTAATCTGCAGTTGGCTCTTGTTGTGAGTACAATACATAATACTAAGCTCACCAAATAAGATTAAAGACTCCCCTCTCAAAGATATAATGCTTGTTTGTTAAGCTCTTCATACTCTCAAGTCACTTTTGTATAAATTAGCATGTACGTGAGGTATGCTAAGTGGGGCAGGCAGAATTATCCTCATTTGAGCATATGAGAAAACTGAGGCACAGAGACATTGACGTGCCCAGAGTCAAATACCATCAGTTAGTAACAAATCTAGCACCCAGATTTCCTGGCTCCCAGTTTAGTATTCCTCACTAATACCACATTATATCTAATCAGAGTAAAACTTTGCTATTTATGGAAGCATAGAACTATCCTGGAACCCTGGAGTACCTGAATCAGAATCCCTGGGGGTGCTTATTACAGGTACCCTCACTTCTGGCAATGGAATCAGAATCTCAGGATATGGAGCCTACAGATCTGCATTTTATCCGCATTCCAGATGCTTATAATGTACATTGAAATTTGATACTTACTTAATGTGATGTGCTTAAGAAAGAAAAGGAGGTTGATTTTCCCACCTCTCCCTCAAGCCAAGCTATAATATTAATGTTTTTATGAAGGAAGTACTTACTATCTTCAGTAACATAAGTTGATTTAGTAATAAAGTTCATTGTATTAAGAAATTTCCTTCTAAATGAAAATATTGTTGGATTGTATGCAGAATCTCTTTGGGCTACAAAAGTATATTCTTGGTTTTTTTACCAAAGAAAATTAGGTGAGGTGACAGCATACGTTATCCTTACCATTAGTATTCACATGGATCCTTTAGGCCTAGCCAGAGCGAGTGATTGTATCTAGCAGGGAGGTCTAGACCAGCAGGCAGGCTGCTGGCTTGTCTGAGTCCGATCTGTTCTGTTGCCATGGAATTGTTTTAGCTGTGACTCAGATAGCAGATTAAAACACTGAGTCCAGCCCCGGCATTCTTTCTTGGAATTATACTTATTTCCCCAGAGCCCTCATGACTGAGTATATTACCTCTGTTTGAGAGAGAACCATTTTCTTCAGAAATTCATATCCTACCGTTCTGCTGTTTTTCATGATAATTGTTTTTCTCCTAACATTATATTTCTGTCTTTTAGATTTTAGTATTTCACCTTTTAGAATACATTTTGGATGATGAAGTTGTTTTTCTTATTTCTCCTACCCCCTTTCCTTCATCTCAGACATTATTTCCCAGCTTTCTTTGTTTCAGCTTTTTATTATGAAAAATGTCAAATGTGCAGAAAAATGGAAAGAACAGTACAACACACCCCCACATGCCTTCTGTACATATATACACACAGATGTTTTTTGCTGTGTCATGTAAAATTTAGTGGTAATATGTCACTTCACCACTGAACACTTCAGCCTGCATCTCTTAACAAAAAGGGCACACTTAAGCACAATACCATTATTATGTATAAGAAAACTAACAGTAATCCATAGTATCATTTAACATTCGGTCCATATTCAGATTTCTTCAGTTGTCCCAAGAATTTCTGTTATACCTTTTTTTAAACCAAAATCCAATCTGGGTTCATATAGTATTTGGTGAGGTCTCTGAAGTCTCTATTGGAGTAGTACAGTTCCTACTTTCTTTAGTGACATTGACTTTTTTAAGAGTCCAGTACAAATGTCCAGTCAAGGGTCAACCATTTCCTAAATTTTTCTGGTTGTTTCCTTCTTGTTTTTTTTTTTTTTAAACTTATCCCATTTATACTCTCTCCTTCCACCTTCATGTAAACAGGAACCTACCCTTATTTTTAGTCAGAGTCAGTGAAGATATTAGAATATCTTTGCCATTAATATGAAAAACTGCAAAGCCATTAATATGAAAAACTTTGCAGTTTTTCATATTCTGGGATTGGCCAGAAGAGGCTCAACCCTCATAAAGTTTTTATTTTATGTAAAGTATACTATCAGGTAATTTTACCATGTTTGCCCATGAACAGAAAGGAACCAAAATCATTAGAGGAATGAATGGCTCTTTGGGAAGCCTTTTTCCTTCTTTTTGTGCACAAGTGATTGAGGGTTAAAATAATAGAACCCTGATCATTTTTAATTACAGAATTTCTGAGTTTTTATTAAATTGTATGTGTGTGGACATCATTTTTCTTTTAAAGCTTTTATTTTGTAGGATTTAGGGTTCTTTTCACAGTCTGTTGCATTTCAGTGTTATTAAATTCCTGTATCTCATTGATGAGGAAATTATCTATACAGGTTGATTATCCATTATCCAAAATGCTTGGGACCAAAAGTGTTTCAGATTTCAATCTTTTTCAGATTTTCAAATATATGCATTATATACTTACCAGTTCAGCTTCCCTAATCTGGAAATCGGAAATCTGAAATGCTTCAATGAGCATTTCCTTTGATCATCATGACAGTACTCAAAAAGTTTCGAGTTTTGGAGCATTTTGGATTTCTGGATTGGGAATACTCAACCTGCATTACTGTGGAGCAGTAAACAAGAAATCTAAAAACAATTAGTATCCCATCTTTAATACCTTCTCACTCTGTTGTGACTTGATTTTGACCTTCTGAAATGATTCCTCAGGTATAGTATTCATGTTTTTTTTCCCCAAGACCCAATATCGTATTTCAAATCTCATGAGATGATGCTGTTAATAATGGTACCTGCCCTCTGTTGTATTATTTGCTCTAAAATTTTGGTAAAGCCAGAAACGAGTTCAATGTATGTGTTGTCTCTCTATGTACTGTTTTAGAAAGATCCTTATGCACTGTTTTAGAAAGATCCTTATGCCACACCATCTTCCCACCAAATGCAGAATGAAATAACTGACATAATTATTTTTCATCCTTCCAGCCCTTTTCATAATAGTGACTTTGCCACTCCTAGAATAGTTGAGATTAGCACAAGTGGGAAACGGATGAAAATCTACCATTTGTAATCATCTTTATTGTTTTTCAGAATTAAGATAGATTTTTCTGTTATATTAACTAGAATATTAAGTAGCAAATAATCCTCAATATTGATTCATTACACACTGGATACAAAGTATTATGGAGTTTATGTGAGTTCCCATAATTTAGTGGTGATGAAAGTATATTTGCACATAAAATATGGCTAAACTTTAAGTCATGGTTAATAGGGAGTTTGGTTAAAGATAATCTGAACATTAACCACCTTTACTGGCTAATGTCTGGTGTGCTTGGTAAGTCAGTATTTTGGAAAGTCGTTTAAAGTGACTGCTATGAAGGTTGTAGTTTGTATTAACAATAGGTTCCTTTCCTATGTTGTTTATTCAAGCCCTTATATGCTATAAAAGCTTATTGACTGACCAGCTAATCCCTATAGAAATCAGAATCAGCCTGTTTTCATTTTAATGAATATTTGATACATGTAACATTAACATGACTGAGAAATAAGTTTAGCACATAAGAATAAAGTGAACTAGGAAGGTGATTTGGAGTTAGTTATAGAAGTATTTTCAGTCAAGTCCAAGTACTTAAGAAACACTTATTAATATAGTGGGTGAGCAGGCTCTTCCAGGCTTAGAGGACATCTTGAATAAAGGGTAGAAGGTGAAAGTGAAAAGACCATGTATGAAAAACTGTAAGATTTCCCTGGGACAAGTGAAGATCAAGGATAAGAATGTATGAAGCTGGTTAGGGAGAATGGGGCAGGTGGTAGAGAGTCTTGAAGTCAATAGATAAGTTTATGCATGAGCCAGAGGGTATCTAGAACCATCAGAAGGGTTTGCTGATTAGTATGAGGTTGCAAATTGATATAGTTGGAAGAACATTCTGGTGTTACTTGTAGAATGGACTAATTGAAAGGAGACAAGACTTGAACTTGCCAGATGTGGCTAAGTTGTAAATACGGAGATGAAAAAAGTTGAGGGATGGGTAGAGAAACTATATTTGCTTGGGGACATATCTGTTGGGAGAACAATATCAAAAGTTTGAAATAACAGGAATAACTTGTTAATTTGTCCGTAGTGTTTTTTTCACTATGTTTTTACTTTGTCTTACTAATCTAACCATCCATTTCTTACTCTGTTAAGTATATGGCTTGTATTTCTTCTCTATTTCATATGAACTAATCCTTTTTAGAACTTCATTTTCCATTCAGTTTTCGGCTATTTATTTATTTATTTTTGAGATGGAGTCTTACCCTGTCGGCCAGGCTGTAGTGCAGTGGCACAATCTTGGCTCACTGCAACCTCCATCTCCCAGTTCAAGTGACTCTCCTGCCTCAGCCTCCCGAGTAACTGGGACTACAGGCGCGCGCCACCACGCCTGGCTAATTTTTGCCTTTTTAGTAGAGATGGGGTTTTACTGTGTTGGCCAGGCTGGTCTTGAACACCTGACCTCAGGTGATCCACCCGCCTCAGCTTCCCAAGGTGCTGGGATTACAGGCGTGAGCCACCGTGCCCGGCTATGCTTTTTATTTTTAAATTTGCATCTTCCACCTCTAATTGACTCTTTTATTTTAGCTGCATTTACCACGGGGAACAGTCTTCTGAGGGTGAATGTTGGGGTAAAGAATGATTTGCATTGCATTTGCTATGTGCCAGTGTTGTCCCACTGGGGAAATCCTGAACTAAGTTCTCTTTTTAAATGTAATCCATATATAGCCTTTTGCAGAGAATGGGCATCTCTGCTCTTTAAAATTGGTTGAACTAAGTGATTCATAGTAGAAACCTTAGGATTATTATAGGAGTAAGCTGTTTACTAATAAAGGTTAAGTGATGCTTCTGTTTTCAAAATTGAGACCAAGGTTGAATTCAATGTAATTTCTATGTTGTTTCTTTGTGCCTGTACCTAGAGAAGTAAATCTCTTGTCCCTCCATCAGTATTTAATCAAAGTCCTTTTGATTCTTCTTTCAGAATTTTCTCTTGTATTCATTCATTTGTAAGTGTATGTATATACCTTTTATTATATATATATATCCTTTAATATATATACTTAGAAATTATATATATATATATACACACACCTGTGTGTGTGTGTGTGTGTGTGTGTGTATAAAATTTTCCATTATTAAGATGTTTACCTTCTTCTGCTTGACCTACCTCGGTAGCCTTTGAATGATCCCTTTGTCTTTCTCTCTCTCTCTCTCTCTCTCTCTCTCTCTCTCTGTCTCTGTCTCTGCCCTTCATTTTTTCCTATTCAGGGCTGTCAGATTGATCTTTCTGTACTACTGCTTTGGGGCCTATCACTTCCTTGCTTAAAGGTAGTCAGTGGCTTCCCCATGCCTGCTGAATACAATCCAAATGCCTTAATCTGTCATGCAAGGTCCTCCTAAGTCTGACTTCAACATACCTTTTCAGATTTATTTCACACTATTTTTCTTGGCATTCTCCATGCCCCCCACAAACAGATGACTAACTTCTTCCTAATATCAATTTGTGATTTACTGTCTCTGTGCCTTTTGTTTATTTCTGCCTCTTCCACTTGTAATATTCTCTCCCCATCTCTACCCTTTAAAATTCTGTGAGTCTTTTAAAGGGCTAGCAATGATTTATTGAGAACTCGTATTCATGAATTATAACAATACCAGTCTGTAAACTCTGGAACTCCTCACCCCAACTCAGTTGCAAATCAGAGTCAGGGACAAACCAGGTCTTTCTCCTTTATCCTCATTTCTCATTGCCTTCCCCTGCAAAGGCATTTTAGCACAATGCCTTGTACTGGAGGATGGCTGCTGCTTAAAGAAAACTTTTTTGAGAGCCTGGTTCGACAGGTTAGTATACAAAATCTCTGTCTAGTTTTATTCATATCATGTATTAGATATTCATGGGAGGAAAAATATAAAATGTGTCAGATAGATTCTTCATTTGATAACAAGTCCTAAATTTTACAAGAGGTTCTAGTCTAAAATTGTATCAGATGTTGGGCACTCAAAATCAACTTGACATTAAAAGGTATCGTAATTATAGTACTATAAATATGTACCTTATAAAGACTATTCTAATTGCTTTATTTCATGTGATATTTAAGAGTCTAGATAAACCCACAAAAGCATGTTTAATTCGTGAAGTATCTACCAATATTAAAACGCCTAATCCCCATGGATAACAGTAGTGTGGGAGGAATGCATTCAGTATTACCACTAGGAATGCCAGGGAGCACATACTTTTCCTCCTCCCTCTCCACTCCCAGCTCCTGTGCATCTCAGACAGTAAGATTGGGATTTCTCCTTTTACCTAGCAGAACTAAGACATGTAATTTAGACTTGAGTGCTTAGTGGTCCATAGTCAGATTCGAAACAATCCAGGTTGGGAGTCACTGGGGAGGTATGAGGAACTTTGAGGAACCCAGACCTTCTGCTGGCATACTGCCCCATCACCCATTGGTTTTAGGCTGCTTCAAGGTAAATATTACTATCCCTATTTTAGAGATGAAGAAACTGAGGCTCTATGAAGTTTGGTAACTTGTGTGAGGGCTATACAAAATTGCCAAGAGGTGGAACGAAGATTTGTACCCAAGCCTGTCCAACACCAGTGCCTATACTCTTTCCATTAACCACGCTGTCTTTTAAGTGGGGTTTCTCACTGTCCTTAGCCTGTTATGGAGAATACATTCTCACAGTTTTCCTCTACCTCTCTGTCCAGGAAGCAGTCACATTGTCCTTTTTGAATTGTCTAACGGAACATAGTGATAATGACTGTGGAGTTGGTCAGACCTGGGATCCAATCCTGATTCAGCCACTTACTACCTAATAGTGAGTGTGGCCTTGGGCAAATAATTTAAGCTTTCAGAGCCTCAGTTTCTTCATCTGTAAAATGGGAATAATATCTACTTTGCACATGTGTACAGATTAAATGACTGTATATAAGCACTTTGCACAGTTCCTGATACATGACAGATGCTCCCTAAGTGGTGGTGGTAGTTATCATGGCTGCTATTATTATTGGATTGTAATAACAGCATAAAAGATAGGAAGATTAAAAAGATACCTTCTTACCTATCCCCTGCCTCTCTTTTTTTCTCTTATGCCCAATAGGAAAATAAAAATGGGATAATGATGGATCTTCTGATCCGCAAAGGTCTGAAATGAAATTCATTTATAGTTCAGAAGGACCTTCAAATCTGGGCACTCTGGGGGCCTTTGAGGAGGGGATTGGGTACGAGGAGATAGAAAGGAATCTGGGATGCTGCTTAGGAGACTGGCTGGGGTGAGAAGAATGAAAATGGAAAGTAGAGTGGTTTACCATCTCCTTCCAGATGGCCACTGTTGGGCCCACAGCCATATTCTTTCATTGAGGTATATACCTCAATGCACCTGCCTCCAAGCAGCAGACAGGAAGAGACATCAGGGGCATTTGGCTGGGTCAGTTGGCAGATGCCAAAGGGCACTGAAGTCTAGAACTGCACATATTTCTTGAGTGATATTCTCAAACTGCACAAAAATTTAAAATGTATAGTAAACTTTGTGTATGAAAAATGTATTTCATTTTCAACAATCATAATTTATTTGAAGAATTCAAAGCTGTTTAAAGCATGTATATCTGGTAAGATAGTGAGTTCTAATACTGATCTGTTTCTAATTCTGTAAATTAATTCTAATCATATTCTGTCTGTCAATGACTTTCTTTTCCTGCTCCGCTCTCAGGAAGAAGACAGCTTCCTAGAAAAGGTAATGCAATCCATTGGTGGTTATGAGAGTTTCCCTGTGCTTGATTAACACTTAACTGTGGTCCCTGGAATTTGTCCCTAGGCTTTCCCATATCAGAGACCTCTGACTTGGTGAGACTCCCCTAAAGTCCTGCCGGCTGTCCTTAAGTGTGTTTGAAGTACAGGAAAGATATTTACTGTAGCAGTCAAGTCATTGAGACTCAGTACATAAAAACAGTAGGACTCAAGGTTCTAGATTTGTATTTTTGAAATGAGAAGTAACTACAGAGCCGTCTTGATGTATCTGAATGCTCATGAATTGGAGGGGGGTACCAGTTAGCTGTCCTCCATTTCCAATGACAATAAAACCTGAAGAAGTAGCTTTCTGTTGCATTAAAAATGATTTGAGGTTAATGATCATAGCAATTAATTTCAGAAAAAAATACACAGATATGATCAAGAAATAGAGCATAGAATAGAACCGTGGACCTGAACAAGATCATAAAAGATCATCTGGTTCAGGCCTCTACCTTCAGACAGGGTATTTTCTCCATTCTAATAGATGAGACAACCAAGGCCCAGAAAGGTTGAAAAACTTGCTGAAGTCATGCACTGTACCCACTTGGTGGAATTTAATGCCTTTTGATGATGGGGATGGTATACTGTTTTCATGCTTTAGTTATTAACACTAAGTAAGGTTACAGAGTGTGGGCTTATCAGGCGCTGAATGTGTCTTGTTGAAAGAAGACAAAGTACCTTGGTTTTCCTTTGAAAATTAGAGTTCAGGATAATTTGTGAAATTATTCAAGTATTTTCTGTGTATGATCTTTCTCTAGACTTTGGAGACACAACTGTGGCATTCCATATTATCATACAGGAATTTGAAAATGAATAGTGGATGGTGTATATAATCTACTGACACTTTATTAACCTTTTTAAACCACCAAGGTTTGAGACAGCTGTGCTTCCTAGCTCTTCCCTGTTAAGAGCAGTCCATGTTCTGTCTTTTTATCTTAGGCAGTGCCTTGTGTTGCCTTAATGCCTTAGTACAGGAAAAGCTCCAGTTGGATGTCAGACTTTTTAAAAAGTACATGAATCAGTGCTGCATAATTTCTATATGGCAAGTTTGGAGGCATCTGCTAAAGAATCAGTACACGTGCTGCATTTGGTCCAGAGAGTTAGCAGAGTGCATGATGGACAGTGTTTTGTCTCAAATACCATGTGGATGCTTGGATTTGATATTTGTAACTGGAAAGAAGTAAATGGATGAGCCATTGATAGACATTCTGGCAACTATTAGGAACATGAATATCAAGTGATAGAATCCCAGGGAAAGAAAGGAAGCAAACTGAATGTGGGGAAAAAAAAGAAAGATTTTAAATGGTAACCAACTGTCACACTCCCTTCTCTTTCTTATTCCCTTGGAAAGGCACAGCAGCTTTTAAAGGTCATCAGTGCTTGTTAAAGAACACAATGTTAAGAAGAGACCTCAGCTCGGCTGTAGTGTATGTGGTCTCTGTCAAAGTAGTGACATGCTCCTTTTTTTTTCTTTTAAAGCTACGTGACTGGGGGTTGTGGATGGAATTCACAAGTTGCACAATGTTAGGCAAGAATTTCTTAGTTAAACATACAGAATATATATGACCTCAAGCTAGAGGCGGGGGAGGGAGGAGGATGCAAAAAAATTGGTCATGGTTCTCTCCACTGGGATTTTTATGAAGGGTGCCTTCAGGTGCCTTTACTATTTCAAACATTTTTTCATGTAATTTATATTTGATTACATGAACCTAAGATAACTGAGTTTATTTCCTAGCCATTTCCAATTCACATATAGTGATTGATTTGATTTATGTCACTTCTGGGTTTTTCTCTTACAAAATTCTTTCAGAAGAATATAACAGATAGTAGAAAGATAGATGAAAGGAGTAAAAGCCCCTAGAAATCTTGGCTGAGCTATTCCTAGAAACTGTAACTTCTGGACTCAGACCTTAAACTTTTCGTGGTATTTCTGCCTCTTGGTTAGCTGTATTCAGTTTACTATTTTTGGACCTTAAGGCTTACGAGTTTTAGCACCTTAAGATTAGAACTTCCATCAAGCCTGAAGTATTTACATATGTGGGTCTAATGTTGTGGAGAGTTGTCTTTAATTCCTGAAAACTAAAGAAGCTAATTTAAATCAACATTGAAAACAAACAACAGTATCTGTGGTAAGACCTGAAGGAAGAGTAAGTTAGAAATAAACAAAAACCTAAGTGTAGACCTTGATCTCTCAAACTACTGTATTGACAATTGTAATTTAATAGTCCCCAAGTCACCAGTGCTGTATGGACTCCACTGTGACTGTATCACCGGAGCACTGGTTCTCAGTGTCACCTTTGAAAGGATTTAAACACAAGGCATCCACGTAATAAACATCATAAACGCAAATGAAATGCAGAACAATTAAGTGAAGCATTTAGGAAAGGACATCCTTTAACTATGGGACTCGCTATCAAGTGCCTTCTGACCAGGAGTGTCCCCAGTGAGAAGAAATGGAAAATCTTAAGAGATGAAGATCACATTTTACCTGCATGACCAGAATTTGAAGGACTTTAAGTTATACACCAAAGTCTTTATTCTGAGACCCCTTTGATTCTCATACTTTTCCATCTATTAGGAGAAATCCCTTCTGCAAATGGTTCCTTTGGATGAAGGTGCCAGTGAGAGACCCCTTCAGGTTCCCAAGGAGATCTGGCTTCTAGTAGATCACCTATTCAAATACGCCTGTCACCAGGTAAGTGAGAGTAGACCTTCCCTACAACTTTGGAAGGTGTGTAACTACTATAGGAAATCACAACACCTCACGTCAGCATAGCGCTTTTAACTTTCCCAAGCTACCTGCACACAGTGGCACTGTCAGATCGACTGGGTGGGTGGAAGTGTCCTAGTCACAGATGTCACAGCTGAAGCATGTAAAGGTAAGTTATTTACTAAGACAAAGGCCTAAGTGTAGTTGTGGCAGAGCCAGGACCAAATTAAGAGCACCTGTCTCCTGGCTACCCTCTCATTTTCCCTGGACAGCTGCACACCTGAGTCTATAATGCCTACTTTGGCTATGAGTCATGTAGGCATTAGAGATTGTAAAATCCAAAGCAGATTTTAAACCCATTTTTTAACTTGGTCCTAATTTTTCTTTTAAATCCTAACTAAAATGCCACCCCACCTCATTCGCCCCCAAAAGAGATATTTCTTGGGACTAAATTGAAAGGTAATGTTCTCTTACCTACTGACGAATAATGTAACTTGAAAGCAAGGTTTAGTATGAGCATGCGATTTCCTCCTTCCCCAGCGTTCAGTAGTACTAGCATTTGAATGTGGTTATTCTGTTTGGACTCTGCCTTCTGCTGCTTGTCAAGAGGCTACAAGTAGGCCAGGCATGGTGGCTCATGCCTGTAATCCCAGCATTTTGGGAGGCAGAGACGGGCGCATTGCTTGAGCTCAGGAGTTTGAGACCAGCCTGGGCAACACGGTGAAACCCCATCTCTATAAAAAAAAATTTTAAAGGAGGCTAGAATTAGAACACCTGGTTTCCTGCTCTAGCCATCTAGTCCCCTGCCTTATTAGGTACAGGCTAAAACCTTTGAAAAGATCATTTTCCTATTTGAAATAACATTTCACATGGATTAGAGAAATGCTAAAGGAAAAATGTGTTATTTTCACACCTCCATTTGTAATTATTAACACACATACCACCCTTCCCTTTTGCTTCCTGCTGCTCTTCTGATCCTTGGGTAATCATCATAACCTCAGGAGTGATTATCTTGCCTGTCCCTTCATTCTGACTTCTTTGGTAGGAGGACCTGTTCCAGACCCCTGGAATGCAGGAAGAGCTCCAGCAGATCATTGATTGTCTGGATACCAGCATTCCTGAGACAATCCGTATCCTTTGCGACCAAAGCTTAAGAAGCTGGATGAGTACTTGATCAAACTCTTCTTCGCACCTATATTTGATTTTTGTGGTTCTATATTTATTTTCTTTGTAATATCTTTTATTATAAGATAACCACTGACTATCCACTTGTTTCTCATTTCCTTTCAGGAACTTTTGACCTCTTTCCATATCCAGCTCTTACTAAAAGGAAGCAAGGGGTAGATAACAATGACTTAAAAGCATGGGACATAGAAGCCACAGCACTGGTACTATTCTCCTTCAGGTGATCAGTCACTCCTGCCACCACACGTACTGTTGACAGGGCAGGGAGAAGGATGGGAAACATGGGCACCTGGTTTATAGGACTGCTCCAGTGTCAACTGTCACTCTGCAGGCTATATTCCCCTGACCCTGAAGCTGGGCCAAAGCTGCCAAGAGTCTTTGACCAATTCTGTAACAACTCACCTGCAGGGCACTTGAATCAATAAAATATCAAACCCCCATTAGGATCAATGTGCCCTGAATAAGAGGAGGGAAACAGTCCCTGTAGGAGCTTGAGGAAAGGAGCTCGTCGGGGCTCTGTGTGGCCTTTCTCCTGGAGCTCCTTTCCCTTGACTTAAGTTGATTCAGCTGGCAGCAACCACTCTGTGGCTGAAGCACTGCTCATTTTCTTGGAAGCCCTGCCAGAGCCAGTCATCTGTTACGAGCTGTATCAGCGATGTCTTGACTCTGCTTATGATCCCCGGATCTGCCGACAGGTGGGTTCTACTGACCTGGGGATGTGTTTGACGCAGATTGCCCCATAGAGAAGTCGTCAGTTTTACAGAGCCAGATAGGCAGCCAGCTGTCTGGTAGGATGGGTCTGCATCTGTTATTAATGGCAGGACACCAACATTGAGAGTTGCTACCCTTAAATTTTAGGTTGTGTTGTTTCCTACGATATTTGCCACCTTTTTCCCATTGGCCTATTTCTGTTTACAGAAAACATAGTGGGGTGGATCCCTCTACTCTGGGGTAAATTGGTGAAGCTGATTGTACGTGGAATTCTGGCTGACATTACCAGGAAGGATGGGTGACACTTGGGAGCCTTTCTTCTTTTTCTCTTCTTGGTGTGTGTTTTTAATCCTGAAATGATTTTAATGCACAGTAGCTGACAGTACCTGTGAATTGGACTAGTGAGTATTGAGAGGAGTCCCCATCCATGCTAAGTGACATTGTAAAGAAAACCATTCAAACAAAAAAGAACAGAAAACCATTCAGCTTGGTAGGTGCCGTGGCTACATGCCTACGGAAATGGGAAAAGAACAGATGAACACTGACCTATTGTGAGGCAGGGTGTGCGTATGAATGTGTGATGACCACGTGGCCTGGTCATTGAGTGGACAGGGACCAAACAGCACGGCCACTCTTACTTTGAAGTTATAATTTGGAAGGTATTGTGTTGGCCATGAGGAGATAATAGAAGTTAGACAGATGAAATGGGTCCTGCAAGGGTTGGATTATAGACTACTATTACAGCAGCTGTAAGTTCCTCTTACTTTCATCTTCCACCTGTTTTTCTCACTGCCTGCCCCTATTTTTAAAAACAGGTGATCTCCCAGCTTCCGAGATGCCATAGAAATGTTTTCCGTTACTTGATGGCATTCCTTCGAGAACTCTTAAAATTCTCTGAATACAATAGCGTCAATGCCAACATGATCGGTAAGAGTGCTTCATGCAACACGGGGCGTTTGTTGAGAATACTCTTAGTGCATTGTATCCAGTATATACCTTACTGCATATGCAGGCACATGGCAGTCAATAGTCCTTGTCCCCAGGCCCTCCAGCCCTGAGGTTTTGCTTAGGTTATGTCTGACAGAAGTTTCCGCTTGTCTTTCTCTCGTCTTGTAGCTACTCTCTTCACTAGTCTTCTCCTGAGGCCTCCACCCAACCTTATGGCAAGACAGACTCCAAGTGACCGCCAGCGTGCTATTCAGTTCCTTCTGGGCTTTCTGCTTGGGAGCGAAGAAGACTAAGGCTTTTACTGTTCTCTGATATTCTAGAAGCAGACGATCTCGGGCTCCAAGTATTTCAGAATGATTTAAAAAGTCATGCCACAGGAAGGGTCTATTGCAGAATTTCAAGTTCTGTTTATAGTAAAAAGGAAGAGCGTTTCCTAATCCCTCCTTTACCATATCCTACACAGAAAAATACTTTTAGACTTATATTGCCAAGCCAAAGTTACCATATTTTGGTGTTTTTGTGTTTTCTCTTTATAAGGCAAAAAGATCTGTATTTACACTCCTTCACCTAGGGATGTGTTTGTTGCCCTCCTACCCAATTGTCATGATTGTCCTTAGTACCCTAGGCCTAGATTCTGAGATCTTCCCATTCTAGGCCTACAAGCACTACTTGCTGTAGCTGAGACTTGTCTAGAGTCCTTTGTTTTGCACTTTTGACCCACCCCTTCCTGGATCACTCCTTTGCACTCCACTCCCCTCGTTCTGTCACTTTGAACGAAGTCTGAGTGAGGCTAGTGACTCCTTGGGTGTCCTCAACAGTGAATTCACTGTCTGCGTGCAGTTATTACATGCATTTGTGCATTTCTACTACAATGGCATCTTTATGTCTCTGTAACATTGGCCTTTTCATGGCTCCACACTGGGTGGAACCATATTCTCTTAGATCACATTTAGTAGCATAACTGTAGGGACTATTAGAGATGGCATCTCATCGATGAGAGAGAATCACAATCAGAATGGAAGCACTTTGAGTATCTGAAGAGTGAGAGCATTCATGTTTGACAGGTCCTGCTTCCCACTATCCTTTTCCTGTTATTATTCAAATTTTACACAAGGACTAATCCTGGGTGTCTCTGAGACCCATCTCCTGCCTAGACATCCACCTCCAGAGCAACACTGGCCCCACAGTAAAAGAGGAAGTCTTGTACCTCAGGCAGGCCCATCTAGAGCTATTGCTCCTTCCCACAGCAAAGGTATTGTGGATGACCCTTAGAATCCATTCTCTGGTCTTCTGAAATACCAAGGGCAGATGTCACCTCCTTCCTCAGCAGGACTGACTCTGGGCTCTACAACCAGCTCCTTCACATAAAGGGTTTAGAGACTCCCCTTGGCTCCCAGTCACCATATCCAGTGTTGTGTAAAGAGACTGGCCAACAGGACCAACCAAGCACCTTACCTCTCCCATACAAGATGACCCTCTGAGCTTTTCATTTATTCAAGCTCTGTGGTACAGCCTTTTTTTAAAATAAATTAATCTATATTGGTTGACAAACAAGCCACCAACCACTGACTGCAAAACTGCCTGATGCAGTTGGGTTCCTCCTGGTTTTCTTTTGTTACAACCACCCTTGCCTGTTTACATTAATTGCAAGGAGCATAACGTACAGGCTGTATGTACAATCCTGGGCATTGACTCTGTGACATTTCTAGCATATCCAAGGCACCACCAGTGATTTCTCCTGTTTCTTGGTGGGGGTGGGGGGGAAGGTACGTATTCTGCAATATGGCTAAACCCTTTCCTGATTGAGAGTTAAAGCAATAGGAGTCAAGTTACTGGTGCCACAGATCTGGAGGTATGATAGGTCAGGGGCTAGGTGTTGAACTTAGTTAATGGAAGACTGAGAGCAGAACAGGTTTGTCATCTCCGCAAGGCCAGAAAGTGATCACAAAAAGAGGCAGATGATAGACACTGGGGTAGGGTCATACCACAGGGAAATACCTTTCCTGGGCTTGTTTTCTAGCATATCACTGACCTGGGATCTTTGGGTGATCAAGGGTGTGGTTAGTGGAGGCTCTGTGCTGCACGTATGCAGTATCCTATCTCTTTCTACATCAGATCAAAACACTAAGTTGGTGTACTGCCTCGACCTTTTTTCAGCTCATCCTGGAACATATACAGAGTTGAGAGTTTTAGACAATCTCTAGGTAGAGGAGACAAGATGTAGACCCAGACAGAAGAAATCTGCTTCCCTACCATGGCTATTCCAGCACCCCAACCTGTAATTGCCAAGTCCTCTAAGGTACTAATTTGTAGCTGCTCTGAAGTAAGGATTTCGGATTCAGCTGGTAGGGAAAGACTCTGCACCTGCTGTCTTAGGGAAGAAATGGTTCAAATCCATGTGGTGACATTGCATTAGTCTCCCTTTCACTGTTTTCTTATTCTGTAATTGTTTGTTATATTTCCCAAAAACGTCTTGATCACTAAGCAAAGCTGCTAGTGGGATTCTATATTTCGTGTCATCTTTTTTATTATAATTTATTGCAAATTTTTTTCTGAATAAATATATGTTGTGTGAAAAAGCAAAGTGTGATTTTGGTGAGGAAGCACTCAGAAGGGAGGGCTTATGTGTCACTGGGTTCCATTCGACTTGACTGCAGTCCCCATCAGCTGTGCCTGCACTGTCATCACCTGTCTTACAGGGAAATACCATTTATAAGAATTCTTAGTATATTCACCCTCAGAGATGAGAAGAAACCATGCGTTTTCAGAGGCTAATAAAGGTGTCCTGTACTTTCAGAGGCCAGCCAAGTACCCTTATTTTAACCCTAAGGATTCAGGCAACAAAACAACTCAATTAGAGGAAAGGATGTTGATTCTTAATGCATGTAAATGTCACACTAGGTCAGATCTGTGATCCCTCCGGCCCCAGAAACAAACCCTAAGATACACATCTGGGGAGAACCCAGCTACCCCTGCTCAGTAGTCTCAGTAGTTTAGACGCGCTTCCCCAAAGAGCTTGTTTTCACATAATCCTATTTTGCAGCTTTTGAAAACCAGTTTTGAACTTTTATGACTTCTTGGGGTGATCAAGTCCATAAATTTAGTACTTTTTTGTTGTTCTAATCTGAACTGCCTAACACGTTGGGAGGAAACCGCTGATTTGAGCATGGTGCCAATGCTTCCCTGCCAATCTCCATTATGAATTTGTGGATTCTGATTCCATTCCCTTTGAGACTGAAGAAGCCTCAGCTGGAGGTTTCTTCTCTACTAAGGCCCTCTTCCAATTCCCTCCAACTGTGAGCTTGACCCTGATGAATGTGCTGACTCAGTGTTGTCATAAACAACTTTCAAAGCCCCACCCAAAGCCTTGGCAGGAGAAGGTGTTTCTTTCTGAGAGTGATTTTCCCCCCAGCAGATGGAGACTGACACCAGAAGTTTTTACATAGTAGCAGGCAATGAGAATAGCAGGCAGGTGGTCAGTCTTTCCAGAGGTTAGAGAGGAAATGGCATCCCCAGCTGTGAGGCTTCTGTTATAGGAGACCCATTAGGACCTTTCTGATTGCAGGGCAAGTTGAAGAACTGGCTCTTGGTGTAGCCTCATAATGTAAAAGCCACACATTGCAACAGTGGCATCACTAAATGTTAGGGAGAGAACCTTAGTGGTGACCTAATCCAATCTCATTGTTTGGATAGGGAAAGTCTCAGAGGGGACAATGACTGACCTAAGGTTACTTAGGTTAGTGACACTGCATGGCATAGTGGCATTTGTTTTTTCAAGCAGTTCTACTCTGCTTGCCCATTAATTCCTTTGGTGGCATCTTATCAATTTCCGTGGCTGTAAATGTCTGTAATACCCCTGATTCCAAATGTTACGTCTCCACCTCATAGCTCTCTTCCGAGTTCCTGCCCAGTATATCCAATTAGTTAGCTGGCATCTCCCCTCAGATGTCTCACAGGCATGTCAAGCTTCACACGTCCAAAGTGGAATTCTTTTACTTCTGGTTCTTTTACTACCACCCAACCTAGATCCTCTACCTGTCTTCCCTCAGCTCAGAGAATGTCAACACCATCTGCCCAGTTGCTGGGGCTAAGCATCTAGGAGTTAGCCTTGATTTCTCTCTTTCCTACCGACCGACCACCTCAGCAACGTGCCCCACGCGTCTGCTTTTCATCACCCCCACTGCCAATTTTATTGGTCAAGGCCACCACCATCATCCCTTCTTAGGGTGTCGTCATGGCCTCCTGCCTAGTCTTCTTTCTCTCTCTCTCTCTTTTTTTTCTTTTTTGAGACAGGGTCTTACTCTGTTGCCTCAGCTGGAGTGCAGTGGCATGATCGGCTCACTGCTGCAGCCTGACTTCCCAGGTTCAAGCGATGCTCCCACCTCAGCCTCCGAGTAGCTGGGACTGTAGGCGCACATTACCAAGCCTGGCTAATTAAAAAAAAAATAATTGTAGAGGTAGGGTCCCCCTGTGTTGCCCAGGCTGGTCTCAAACTCCTGGGCTCAAGCAGTCCTCCCACCTTGGCTTCACAAAGTGCTGGGATTAGAGGCATGAGCCCACCATGCCCTGCCTGGTCTTTTTAACTTTGCTGCCCTCCAATCCATTTTCCACGCAGCAGGCAGCATGACTTAATTACATCAGTCTCATCCCTCCCCTGTTGATAACCCTTCAGCGACATTTACAATGAAACCTAAGCTTCGCCATGGCCCACCAGGCCCTGCATCAATGGGTCTCAAATCTTCATGTGCAGAAGAATCACCTGGATACATTGTTAAAAAGCAGATTCCTAGGCTCCAGAAATTCTGAGTCAGTTGGTCTGAGAGGAGGCACAGGAGTCTGCATTCTAAATCAGGACCCAAGAGCATTTTGATGCAGGACCACACTTTGAGAATACCACCCTAAAGGATCTGACCTCTGCCTACCATAACCCTTCCTCACCCCTGCCAATATACTCTGATACTGTCCTTTTACTCCTCCCAGTGAGCTGAACTCTTTCCAGCCTCAGGGCCTTTGCATGTGCTGTTTACCCAGAAAACTCCTTCCTCTCTCTTTCTTGCCTCAGTCCCCATCTTTGCTGTGCCTAACCCTAAGTCACCCGCCCTGTCCCATTGACTCTCTGCCCTCATTCCTGGGCTTCCTGGTATAGCATGCTGGCTGACTGCCCCTGGGCTTGCCATGTACTCTTCCACAATCTTCCTCTTCCTCTCTTGATGACCTCACGTACCTGCTCCACGGGGCCTGGGGAGGCAGGAAGCTATAGTGGTTCTTCACATAGGCTCTAATGACCAGACTGCCTGAGTTCAAATCCCAGCTCTGCCACTTCTAGATGTGTGACCCTGATCAAAAGTTAATTGACGTCTCTGTGCCTTGGTTTCCATGTCTTTTCTCTCCAGCTTTATTGGGTATAATTGAGAAGACAAATTGTACGTATTGAAGGTGTTTCCACATCTTAAAAGTAATGATAGCACCTTTCCTCATAGTATCATCATGAGGATGAGATCAGATACTACATTTCCAGGCCTTGGAACAGTGCCTGGTGCCTAAGTGCTAAATAAATGGCAGCTAGTGCAATTATTCCCAAGCCCTCCATGGGCCTCCAGGCCCAGAACCCGCTTCTGCTGCCCTTCAGCTCCCAGCAAGTGACTGTACCCTTTACTTTGTGAAAATGTCAAAACAGCCTTGCCCCCTGCACATCAAAATGTCTTCAGCTTAACCTCATCCCTCCCCCTTTCCATCTGTCTGAGAATAAGCGGTCCTCCTCGCCAAGACCAGCTCTTCCACCTGCACTTTTGAGCCCTTCTCCTCCACCCTCTCTGGACTTTTCCCCATCAACCATCACTCCTCCTCCTACATCTCAGTATGGGTTATTCACTTGACAAGTATTTGTTGAGTGGCTCCTGTGCGCCCTGTGCTGTTCAAGGTGCTGGGGATCTAGAATTAAACCAGACAAGGTTGCCGCTCTCATGGTGCCTTCATCAAGAGGGCAGGGCAGGGATGAGGGTGGACAGACATGCAAATTAACAGTACCCAAGGTCACTACAGATCCTGACAAGTACTGTGGAGAGTATCAAACGGGGATGCACTCGAGGGTACAGCGGGGGGCCTTGGTCAGGAAAAGTTTATTTGAGGAGGTGATGTTTTAGCTGAGACTTAAACCTCAGGAAGCCAAGACACCGTATCTTGATTTGAATACCCCCAAAAAGAGCCACACGTGCAAGATCTGGCAAAAGACATTCTGAGCAAAGGAAAAGAGAAATGCAAAGGCCCTAAGGCAGCAAAACAGCTGGCTGTGCTCAGGGGACAGCCAGGCAGAACTCTGTGAGGGACAGGACTTGCTGGACAACTGATGAGCAGGAACGTGATCACAGAGGGCCTGAGGAACCCCAGGCAGGAGCTTGCATTTCATTCGACACCACAGGGAGCCATGGCTGGCTTTACTCAGGGAAGTGACGTGATGTGACTTCTGTATGCTCCTTCTCCTAACCTTAGGAAGAGTAATAACTAATAACTCTAGCTGTCATTTATCCCAGATACTAATACATTTAACATCACTTTTGCCTTTACGATAGCCTGATAAAGTACTACATTATCCCACTTTTTTTTTTTTTTTTTAAGACGGAGTCTAGCTCTGTCACCCAGGCTGGAGTGCGGTAGCATAATCTCGGCTCACTGC
Organism: Homo sapiens; assembly: GCF_000001405.40. Taxonomy (NCBI): domain Eukaryota; kingdom Metazoa; phylum Chordata; class Mammalia; order Primates; family Hominidae; genus Homo; species Homo sapiens. Next base: position 129,596,651 of record NC_000023.11, read on the forward strand.
AACCTCCACCTCCCGTGTTCAAGCTATTCTCCTGCCTCAGCCTCCCGAGTAGCTGGGATTACAGGCACGTGCCACCACGCCTGGCTAAGTTTTGTATTTTTAGTAGTGACAGGGTTTCACCATCTTGGCCAGGCTGGTCTGAAACTCCTGACCTCGTGATCCACCCGCCTTGGCCTCCCAAAGTGCTGGGATTACAGGTGTGAGCCACCATGCCCGGCCATTAGCCCACTTTTATAGGTGAGAAAACTGAGGCTCAGAGAGACAGCATAACTTGGTACTCGGCTAGTGGCTGACCAGAAAATGACTTCTGAGCCCAAAATTTGTGCTCTTAAACACAGCCATTGTCTCCCCAGCTGGAGTGGGCATGAAGGTGAGGGTGCTTCTTAAAACCCCTATCCCTTCTAGCTACATCCCAAGATTTCATGTCAGCTAGATTGCCTGCTGGCAGGTCAAATTCAACTTCTCTTTGACCTTGACCAGCTTCTCCTGGCATCCTCCTCTCTCCCATCACCCAGGCCTAAGCTTTTGGTTATTTTTGGCCCCTGCCCCACTTTCTAATCAGTTACCAATTGCAATTCAACAAATATTTATCCAGCACCTGCCAAGTGCAGGCTACCATGCAGGGTTCTGAAGGAAACCAAAATGGGTGAGACTGGTCGTTACAAGACAAGACAGACATAATATTTTTGTTTGTTTTGTTTTATTTGACACGGAGTCTCACTCTGTTGCCCAGGCTGGAGTGCAGTGGCGCGATCTTGGCTCACTGCAACCTGCACCTCCTGTGTTCAAGCGATTCTCCTGTCTCAGCCTCCCTAGTAGCTGGGACTACAGGCGCGTGCCACCACACCCAGCTAATTTATTTGTATTTTTATTTTTAGTAGAGACGGGCTTTCACCATGTTGGCCAGGCTGGTCTTGAACTCCTGATCTCAGGTGATCAGCCTGCCTTGGCCTCCCAAAGTGTTGGGATTACAGGTGTGAGCCACTGCACCTGGCCAATATTTTTTTAAAAGAAGGAAAAAAAGGAAAGATGGATGAAAGAAGGGCAGGAAGGAAGAAAAGAGGGAGGAAGATGAGAAAAAGGGAAGAAAGCAAGAAAGAAGAAGGAGGGAGGAAGGAAGGACCTCCACGGAAAAGGGGCCGAGATCAGCTCAACCGCAGTCTCTAGCTGGCCCCTCCTTTCCACTGCGCATTTCCCAGCCCCTCCAACTCCTGCCCCACCCCCCCACCAATAAAATTCAAACACTCATTGCCTCATGTAAGGAGTTAAATCGCCTGATGTATTTAACTCCTTTCTAACTAATTTCTCAGTTGCCAGTTTCTCTCCCTGTACACATCACTGCACTGTTTTGATGTCTCTCCCCTATTCCAGACCCCTGCTGGCCCCCCAGCCCACTTGCCACAGAAGTTCCAATCCTTCTGCCTGGCATGCAAAGCTCTCCTTAGTCTCTTCCACCCACCTCTCAGGCTGAGTCTCCCACTCGACCTTCTCATGCCGTTCCCTTCCCTAAACTCATGCGCACTCTCTGCTTTGGCTCGGTGGTCTGTACCAGCCACCTGGAACCCTCCAGCCCCCACCTCTCCACCTGCCCAAACCCCATCAAACCCAAATGTCACCTCTTCCAGGAAGCCTTTTCCCACAACCCCTGCCCACCACCCCCCTCCCCCGAACTCCTAGAACCTGCCCTCTGTACCACTATTTTAACACACTACATACCAAAGGATGTTGTTGCCCCTTTGGGACTGGAAGCTTCAGGAGAGTGGGAACCAAGCTGGGCGTATTTTAGTTTCCCCACAATGCCTTGCAGAGAGTAAGTGTTCAATGATGTTTGGCTAATAAATAAAGATTGTCTGTTAAAGCATAAGTGTATCCAATAAGTGTTCCTGAAATGTATATACATTTAATTATTCATTCTGAGCTCTATTAACTTTAGAGGAGTTCATGTGGTAGGGGGGGACTTACTGAATTATATTAATGTAATCCAAGAAGATAATAGTTTTTAGCAACCACACAGTACTGTTATTTTCTATTGTTTTGTAGGCAACAAAATCAGCCTTGTTAAATTTGCTTTTTAAAATTGATTCTCAAAGTTTATTAAAAAATTAGAACTAGAACTACCATATGGTTCAGCAATCCCACTTCTAGAGATATATCCAAAAGAATTGAAAGCAGGGTCTCAAAGCTATATTTGCACACCCATGTTCCTAGCAGCATTATTCACAATAGCCAAAAGATGGAAGCACCCCAAATGTCCATGGATAGAAAAACAAAATGTGTTAGTTCTCTACATACAATGGAATATGATTCAGCCTTAAAAAGGAAGGAATTCTGACACATGCTGCTACATGGATCAACCTTGAGGACATTATGCTAAACGAAATAAGCCAGTCCCAAAAAGCACTGTATGATTCTACTTCTATGAGGTCCCTAGAATAGTCAAATCCATAGAGAAAAGAAGCATGGTGTTACCAGGGGCTGGGGATTGGGGAAATGGGCAGTTGTTTGATGGGTATACAGTTTCAGCTTTGCAAGATGAAAATGTTCTGGAGATTCATTGCATAGCAATGTGAATACTCCTAACACTATTGAACTCTACACTTAAATATGGCTAAGATGATCAATTTTATGTTTTGTGCTTTTTTTTTTTTTTTGAGTCTAGCTCTGCCACCCAGGCTGGAGTGCAGTGGCGCGATCTTGGCTCACTACAACCTCCGCCTCCCAGGTTCAAGCGATTCTCCTGCCTCAGCCTCCCGAGTAGCTGGGATTACAGGCACCCGCCACCATGCCCAGCTAATTTTTGTATTTTTAGTAGAGACAGGATTTCACTGTGTTGGCCAGGCTGGTCTCAAACTCCTGACCTCGTGATCTGCCCTCAGCCTCCCAAAGTGCTGGGATTACAAGCATGAGCCACCGTGCCTGGCCCCTGTTTTGTGCTTTTTACCATGATTAACATTTTTTTTTTATCTTAAGTGATTTTCCAAAGGCAAGTCTGATCACATCACCCCTCTCTGGGTCCCAGAATTCTTACCTGGACCCACAAGCCTTGGCTTGTCTGCTTGTCATGGACTCAAGCCTCCTCCCACATCCTGCCATCCCCCATTCTTTCAGATGAGATGAGGCACATTCACGGTGGTATGGCCGTAGACCCATCCCCCATTTTTTCAGACTGGACTTCTGTCCTTGTCTGCTCCTTGCTCCCTCTCACCACAGAGCCAACTCCTCCCAAGGCCTCAGTCTCTGCGAAAACAACACTTTCTCTGAGGAGCTTTCCCTGGCCACCTCCTAGCCTAGGCTGTAACATGTCCTTGTGACACGCTCTCCTTGCACCCTTTCCTCTCCTTCACTTTGTAATTACACATTTATTATTTGATCAAGGTCACTCTCTCCCACCAGCTCAGGAACGCTGCTGAGGCAGAGACCACATCTTTTCCTCCCCTTACTATCATATCTCCAGCAGCTAGCCTGATGCCTGGCATCCAGTAATCTTCATCATTGATTATTCCAGTGTTGGCAAAGGCAAGGAAAAACAAGCCCGCCTGCTGCTTGGACAAGAGTAAATAAGTGTCACCTTTCTAAAAGCAATGTGGCAACATGCATTAAGAGCCTGGAAGCATTCACACTCGTAATTTCACTTCTAGGAAATCACCCTAGAGGAGCGCAATGGCGTAAGTCCACCCCTGTTCATCTCAACATACTCATTAGCACAAAAAACAAAGCAATTTACATAACCTTCATCACCAGAAGAAGGGTAAACACATTGTAGATGTTTATGGATATATTATGGCGCCTTTTCAAATAATGTTTTTGAGGAATTGTGATGTGGAAAAATGTTAGGATATAACATGAGGTGGAAAAGGCAGCATATAAGTAGGTATGTACCTAATGTTCCTAAATTTAAAATATCAGATATAAAGATAATACATAGGCACAAAAATAGTGGAAGTCCATTCTCCAAACTGTTAATAGCAGTCACCCCTAGAGGGTGGCATCATGGGCAGTCGTGGCTTCAGAATGTCTACATAGGAGGGTTTAGAAACCATCGAAAGGTAGGCTAGGGGATTCGTCTTGAAGCTGCAAGATGGCCTTTGCTTAGCAAGCAGGGTTTTGCCTTACACTGCATCTATATTCAGAGTCACTATGGGGGTGCTGATGGAGATTAGGATAAAGCCCCCAAGCCACTCTCTGGAGCCAATCTCAATTTTTTTTTTTTTTTACTCTTATTTATATGTCTGGTTTTCTAAATGCTCTACAATGAAGATGTATGACTTTTATAATCAGAAAAAGATTAAGGAAAACATTATTTCATGAAAGAAAGGCACTTCTGTGTGTTGGGATGAATGAACACAGTGTCCTGCTCAAGCACATAGGCGGCTGGACAGGGCCTTGCCAGCACAGTCGCTCACCGCAGCTCCCTCACATCACAAGCCTGCCCTCTCCCTCGCACCCGCAGGCATCTGTCCTCCAGCTGCTGACACAGCTGGGCAGCAAAGGTCCCATCTTGACTGTGCACCTCGGAGGCAGCACCGTGGAGCATGGAGTTCTAAGGCATGTCCACGGGCCAAGCACACTTGTAAAGGCCATTTGACAACAATGGGCTATACCCCTCTACCTCTAACGGTGGCCCTGGCTTTGAAGAGCAAGGATCGTTTTCTGATTGTAGCTGTGGCCACTAGATGGCAGAGGAGAATGACGGTTTCCAGTTGTATAATAAAATTGGTATTTAAAGCTGCAGTTACTTTTCTTATTTCATGATCATTTCTATTTTGGGAAATTCGGTTGACTTTTCTCCTTACAGTCTCTTACTTATGGCCTTAAAAGTCCACAAAAACAAAAACTTTTTTTTTTCAGAACTAGGTTAAAAGTATCTAAAGTTCATGGAAGTTTCAGCACTCTTCATTGAACACAGGTAGAATTAAATCACATTTTCCTCTCTTGCCTCTTTCACTGTCCATCAATGTTTCAAGTTATTTTGAAAGTGTCAACAATGGTTGGGAGGTGATCTCACTGCTGAAAGGTAATGACTTCGATCTTCTCTGGAGAGGGGTCAGCTGGGAAGGAACGATGGAATCAATCGAGGCAGTTGGAGAGGCGGGGAGAAACACAGTTGTGACCTGGGAAGAAACAGACTAATCCCTGGCCAGAAGATGGCACAGCAAAGTGGAGAGGAAGGAGACCAAAAGGGAATGGGGCTTGTTACAGGTTCAGTTGTATCCCCCCAAAATCGATATGTTGAAGTCCTAATCCCCAGTACCTGTGAATGTGACCTTATTTGGAAATAGACTCGTCACAGATATAATTAGTTAAGTAAGATGAGGTTATACTGGGAGTAGGGTGGGCCCTAATCTAATATAACTGGTTTCCTTATAAAAAAGGGAAATTTGGACAGAGACACACACACAGGGAGAACACTGTGTAAAGGCAAAGGCAGGGATCAGGGTGATGCATCTCTAAGCCAAAGAATGCCAAAAATTGCCAGCAAACCATCAGAAGCTCAGGATGGGCATGAGACAGATTCTCTTTCACAGCCCTCAGAAGGAACCAACCCTGCTGACCTCGATTTCACACTCTGGCCTCCAGATCTGTGAGACAACATGTTTCTAAGCCTCCCACTGTGGTACTTTGTTACTGCAGCCCTGGGAAACTAATACAAGGATTTTGGAGCCATGGAATAGTGGTAAAATCGTAATAGAATTTCTTCACTCACTTCTAGGACTGTTGGACCTGATACGTGGGGGTGATGGCTGAAGGATAGAAGTTTCCTCCTCTACCATTCTATCATCCCCTCCACAATCACATTTCTCATTTCTTTTCTTTTTTTTTTTTTTCTCTCTTTTTTTTTTTTTGAGACAGAATTTCGCTCCTGTTGCCCAGGCTGGAGTGCAGTGGCGCGATCTCGGCTCACTGCAACCTCTGCCTCCCAGGTTCAAGTGATTCTCCTGCCTCAGCCTCCTTAGTAGCTGGGATTACAGGCACATGCCACCACGCCCGACTAATTTTTCATATTTTTAGTAGAGACAGGGTTTCACCATGTTGGTCAGCTGGTCTCGAACTCCTGACGTCAGGTGATCCACCCACCTCGGCTTCCCAAAGTGCTGAGATTACAGGTATGAGCCACATTTCTTGAACGAGTTGTCTCCACTTGTTGTCCCCACTTTCTTACCTCCACTCACCCCTCAACCCTTTCTAGCCCATTCCTCTGACATGATTCTCACCAAGGTCACCAGCAACCTCCATGCTGCCAAAACCAAAGGTCGTTTCTCAGTCCTCACCTAACCCAACCTCTCAGCAGCATTCCACCCCTTCTTCAGGAACACTCCCTTCACCGGGGTGCAGGAACTCCACACTCTTCCCAGAGTTCCTGCTGCCTCACCAACCACTCCATCTCCATCTCCATTGCAGGCTCCTCTACTTTCTTGGCCCCGCCACTAGATGATGGCATGTGCTGAGGTTTAGGCTTGGGTCACTTCTCTTCTTACTCTATACTCTCTCTCTCGCTCCATAAACCCCACTCACTCCTCTGTCTGCAGCTGTCTCCAAACTCTATCTGAAGCAGTCTGTTGCTGCCACCATACACTTCAGACTTGTTTACAGTGGCATTACATCCTATTCAGGTTTACATCCTTTTTTTTTTTTTTTTTTTTTTGAGACAGAGTCTCGATCTGTCACCCAGGCTGGAGTGCAGCTGCATGATCTCAGCTCACTGCAACCTCCACCTCCCGGGTTCAAGCGATTCCCCTGCCTCAGCCTCCCGAGTAGCTGGGATTACAGGCGTGCGCCACCACGCTTGGCTAATTTTTGTATTTTTAATAGAGATGGGGTTTCACCATGTTGGTCAGGCTGGTCTCGAACTCCTGACCTTGTGATCTGCCCGTCTTGGCCTCCCAAAGTGCTGGGATTACAGGCGTGAGCCACTGCGCCTGGCCAACCATGCTCATTTGTTTATATATTGTCTATACTTGCTTTGGGGCTGCAACAGCAGAGTTGAGTGGTTGCTACAGAGACTGTATGGTCTGCAGAGTCTAAAATACTTACTATCTGACCCTTTACAGAAAGTTTGCCAAACTTTGATCTAGACCAAGCTTGTCCAACCAGTGGCCCGTGGGCTGCATGCGACCCAGGACAGCTTTGCAGGCAGCCCAACACAAATTCATAAAATTTCTTAAAACATTATGAGATGTTTTTGTGATTTGATTTTTTCTTTCTTTTTTTTTCTTTAGCTTTTCAGCTATCGTTAGTGTATTTTATGTGTGGCCCAGGGAAGCCAAAAGATTGGACAGCCCTGATCTACACTGTGGTCTCAGCCTTCACCACTGAAGGCTTGGGGTCCCTTAACATAGTCAGACAGCCAGATGGGAAGGGCTCCCTGGCAGAACCTCCCACGGCCTGCGCACTGGGAAGAATGCGAAGTGGGGTGGAGCCACATAAGTTCCTGTCATTTGCAGCCGGGAGGCGCCAGGCCCCTCCTCTTCCTGGGTGGAACCTGAGATTCAGCAAGCGGAGACAACTCTTTCAAGAAATGTGGCTCACGGCCGTGATCCCAGCACTTTGGGAGGCTGAGGCGGGTGGATCACCTGAGGTCAGGAGTTCGAGACCAGACTGGCCAACATGGTGAAACCCCGTCTCTACTAAAAATACAAAAAATTAGCCGGGCGTGGTGGCGTGCACCTGTAATCCAGCTACTCCTCAGGGGATATAGTAAAGACTAATGACCAAAACTCGAGAGAAAGGAGGGGGCTTGCCATTCCTAGGGCATGGCTCACCATCTGCTGCCAGAGGACATTGGAAGTCAAAGGGAGGCACCAGCAGTGGGTCAGTGACAGCTTCAGCCTCTGCACTACATCCTGAGGTGTCCCCAGTCCTCATAGCACATGCCTGCAGTCTGAAGACAAGAGAGGGAGCTGAGTTTCCTGAGCCAGGCTCCTGTTCAGTCACCCCAGACCAGCTTCAAGCTCTGGCCCACAAAGTCATCTGGGGTCTGGTTGTCTCTCAGCTCCCCTCCTTGGGACATGGATCCTCACCTCTTGCCATACACAGGCTCCAGTGTGGAAGGGATACAGGATGGGGCATTTGGGGGTTCTTTCTGACTGGCTGTGACCCCAGAGAGGGAGGTGTCATGCTGGAGAGTTGGACAGCCACCCTCTATGGCGACCAGCCCTACCACCCGGCCTGGAAACATGCCCACTGTGGGGAACCCAATTGTGAGATTCCCCTCTGCCTCACCCCAGTTTTCTGGGCGGAGATGTCCACAGGCAAGTGTGGGCGGGTCCTCTGGCACATTAAGCTTTATCTGTAGGCTGGTACCTATGAAATCTGGAAGGCTGGGGATTTCGGAATCTCTGACCCATTCAACCTGGAGCATCTTGCTGAGTCCCACCAAGAATGGAGACCTCAGGGCCTAGTTGTTTGATTTGCGAAATGTCATTTTAGGCCACCTCCTTACCAGCGGGTCCACTGCACAAATGTCTTGCTCAGATCCTTAAGAGCTGAGGAGTGCCAACAGCACTCCTGACGGATGGGTGGCCAGCAGCAGAGGCAGGAGCCCTGTGCCCTGCCAGGGGAGAATCAGGAATGAAAAGCTTTCCCAGTGCTGGCTGGGCGCGGTGGTTTACGCCTGTAATCCCAGCACTTTGGGAGGCCGAGCTGGGTGGATTATGAGGTCAGGAGATCAAGACCATCCTGGCTAACATGGTGAAACGCTGTCTCTACTAAAAATACAAAAAATTACCTGGGCGTGGTGGCACGCGCCTATAGTCCCAGCTAGTTGGGAGGCTGAGGCAGAAGAATCGCTTGAACCCAGGAGGCAAAGGTTGCAGTGAGCCCAGATCGTGCCACTGCACTCCAGCCTGGGTGACAGAGCGAGACTCTGTCTAAAACAAACAAACAAACAAAAAACAACTTTCCCAGTGCTTACAAATCCATCTTCCATCTCACCTCGGCCTGCAGTGTGCTGTGTGACCACTAAGAGGCACTGTGAGGTCACAAGAAGCTTGGAGAAGCGCGGCCACCATTTCAGTCCCAGCCTCCGGGAAGTGAGAAAACCCCTAGGGAAAGGTGCAGGATTCTGGGACTCTTTGGGACATCCCTCCCTGGCAGAAAGGATCTATTCTAGTCAGCAGTGGGGACCTGGGCTGGGCACCTCATGCTGGCCGTTGCGAAGGGTGGTGCAAAGAGGAAAAGAACAGAGACCTAAAGGGGCCCTAATTCATCCCAGGCACCGGCCACTGGCAGATGACTGGCCCAAACAAGCCCGGAGGGCCACACTGCAGAACCAAGCAGGAGGCGGAGCCGAGCAGGGAAGGCGGGACCCTGGAGGACGTCTTGGCTCCTGGCTTCGCGGGTTCTTTGGGATGTTTTAGGAAGGACTCTTGACCTCCAGATGTGTGGTGGTTGGAGGTATGGGATGCAGTGGAGGACCCAACACGGAACAAACGGGAGACTGGGTGTTGTTTTGACACCTCCCTTTCATGTTCTCACGTCCATGTCATCGCCAAGTTCTTTCATTTCTACCTCCTGAATATCCCTGGAATTTTTCCCCTTTGACCCAAATCTGCTCCCTCCACCCTTGTCTAAGCCACCATCATCTCTCCTTGATGTCTCCAAGATACGGTTGCCGCATAAAATACAGGACACCCAGTTAAATTTGAATTTCACATAAACACAGAATAATTTTTAGTACATCTTGTACAATACTTGGGATGTACTTATACTAAAAAACCATTGTCTATTATCTGAAATTCCCATTTAACTGGGTATCCGGGGTTTGGTTTTGTTTCACTCTTTTGTTTTGTTTCTAAATCTGGCAACTCGACCAAGAGTTTTCCCAGCCCTGTGCCTCTTCAAGGCTTTCTCTACAGAGCAGCCAGAATGAACATACAGAAATTCAAATCTACCCAGGTCACTGCCTTGCTTAAAACCCTGACCACCTCCCAGCTCTCAACTCCATCTTCCACTGTTTCCCTAAGCCCACAGCATGCCCCCAGCAAACCAAATACACTGTTGCCTCTTAAATGTGCCCCACATCCTTCTACACACTCCCATCCCTGTCCAGCCACCTAAAGAATTCAAACATGGTTATCAAACTCAACTACCACCCCTTTTTGTCAGGCTCTTCCAGACATGTCGCCTGCCTCCCCCAAGCCAAGCACGCCCTCTTTGCACTGTATAGTAGCCTTTTGTAGAGCACTTGTTTAGCTGTATCTAAATGATTTGTTTAGGTGTCTGACTTCCCCCACTAGACTGTGTCCTCCTTCAAGGAAGGGGCCCAGTGTTATTCATCTTTGCAACCACAGTGCACAGCACAGTGCGTGGCCCAGAGTGGGGCATTCAATGAAGGAAGGAAAGAAGGAAGGAAGTAAGGAAGGAAGGAAGGAAGGAAGGAAGGAAGGAAGGAAGGAAGGAAGGAAGGAAGGAAAATTCGTGATTCCAAATCTGAAGCCTAGATGGGCCACTGGAAGTGACTGCAATGACAGTACAGGACACCAGGGGGCAGAATAACCTCAGTTTTCTTTAAGGGAGAGGGGCGTGGTACAGAAAGCCGACTTCTTGGCTCTGGGCTTCCTTCTCCAGTTCCAAAGAGAAGAGTTTTATTGTTTTGTTTTGTTTTTAAATCACGGAAACATAAAACAAGAATGGACCTTAAGAGACCATGGGAACCAGTCCTCTGCTTTTTCGTAGTTAAAAAATTCTTTGCATTTCCACTTAACTATCTGTTTTCAGGTGGTGAAAAACATCCTTTGGTTTGTTACAGACAAATCACAGAGAGGTTAGAGGACTTGCTCCAAATTACCCAGCAAGTGAGCAGTACAAGGAGGCCTGGAGCCCAGTGTTCTGCAGACATGATCCCATTTCATCCTCACTGCAGCCCCATGAGCGAGGCACTATTGTTGTCTTACAGGTGGGGAACATAGAGAGGTTGTCATCTGACTGGATCACACCGTGGTAGAGCAGGGAGTTGGATGAATGCAGGCAGGTCTCCAATCTTCCTTTCTAGTGTCCCTACCTCTCTTACACTCTCAAATCTTTGCTTGGCTCTTTTTTTTTTTTTTTTTTTTGACAGAGTCTCACTCTGTCGCCCAGGCTGGAGTGCAGTGGCGCCATCTCGGCTCACTGCAAACTCTGCCTCCCGGGTTCAAGTGATTCTCCTGCCTCAGCCTCCCTAATAGCTGGGACTACAGGCGCGTGCCACCACACCCAGCTAATTGCTTGGCTTTTTTGGGGGGGTTGGGGGGTGGGTGCTAACCCCAGATCCCTACATCCTCAGCACTCAAGCCCAGAACGTCTTCATGGGACTGACAGCTTCTGTGAATCCCGTGGGGAACCACTGGGCATCGACCCAGGCCCTGTGACAGCTACAAATAGGTAAGACAAATGAGGGTATCTGGGATGCAGACTCTAGGGAGGCATTCCTTCAAGGGCAGGGGTATGCCTGAGAGTGAGCCCCTCCTGACACTGTGTGCCCCAGGGTCCTCACTTGCCTCCCTCTAACCTTGGCCCTGGGTGCAGTATTTGAACAGAAACCCTGTTCTCCTTTCCTCCAACTGCTAGGCCAGTCTAACTATGGAGAGGTCTCAAGGAGGCAGGAGCCACTTGAGCTCTTTAAGGAAGGTGAGATGGATGGCAAGTGACCACCAGAGACTGTGTTCCGCCCTGTATAACTGCTTCATTGTAGAGCCTCAACTCAATAGGGTACAAACACACAATGCTTTTCTCTTTCCACAGTCATGAACCATCTTGGCAGGGTTCTGGAGGCTTCCCCACTTCAGAGTTCCCTGACATGGGAGAAGCTATTTGGCCACTACTTCTTCCAACCAACCCAATCCCTACCCACACCTATGCACACACCTGTCCCCAGCAGTATCTACAAAGACCTTTGTTGTTGAGGTCCCCTTGCCCTGAAGCCAGTCCTCTTGAACAGGACAAGGTAAGACAACTCAAATGTGTGACCTTTGGAGGTGTCCCTCTGACCTGAGGAAAGCGCACATGGCTGGCTACACCACTGCCGCCTCTGCTCTTTGCCCTCTCTCCACTCCCCTTTAGTTGTTCTCATAGGCTCAGGGCAGAGTCACAAGGCTGCCACCCAAGCAGATGTCCAACCAGGAATGAGATAACATGTCCCACTTCACAGCCTGACCCCCTATGCCGTCCCAATCTTGATGGCATTCTCTTGGAACCCCTCACTTGGCCACAACACTGGGCCAAAGTCTCCTGATCATCCCAGTGGTGCCCCACCACTACTTTCTGCTTATCTAGACGGGGTGGGAGCAGTAGAACCTGTTTGCTAAGCTCTTAATAAGCCCTGAAGGAAGCATTGGTCCCCTATCATTGGAAGTTCCTTGGCACTTCTTTCTTGGAACTAGTCCTCAGCTTTGGGCCCTTGTTGCCAGTTCTCAGGTCTATAGAAGTCCCACTCACATCCTGTTGAATGTCAATTGCATAATTTTGTATCCCTGTGTTCCAACTCCTGAGGACTGGAGGGAAAATGAGTGTCCCCTCTTCACCTCAGCTATTTTACATTGGATGGAAATGGGGCATAGAGTACCAAGGTGCCAAGAATGGAGGAAAGGATAAGCTGGGAGCCATTCTCAAGTAAAAGGGACCTTGGAGTAGTGGAAAGAGTAACTCATTGTCACTCACTGGATGCATGCCTTGTGCAAGTCACGGAACTCCCTGAGATTCAGTTTCTTCATCTGTAAACTGCAGATAACACAAATGTCCCAGGAATGTAGTAAAGATTAGATGAGATCATGTATGTAGAAGCCTTATATAAACTGTAAAGCACTGATCAAAGGAGTGAAGCTAATTATTAATTAGTTTTAAAGAAGCCATCCCTACCATCAAAGATCTTGCAGGGATTGGGTAGCAATTCATAAGAGATTATGACAGAGGGCTGAGCTGTGGGAGGCAGTAGAGAGCAGTTGTTAAGAGCAGGGACCTTGGTTTCTAGCTCTGGCACATCCTAGCTGTGTGACTTTGAATAAGTCACTGCCCCTCTCTGAACCTCAGTTTCCTCAGATGTAAAGTAAGGATGATAACACCTCCCTCAGGACCTGGGAGGATCGGATGAAATGGTACACAAGAAGAATGAGCTAGCACAGGGCTTAATACATAGTGGTGCCCAATAAATGTTGGCTGTAGCTAGGGTTATTAAGAGATCAGCAGCCATTACAAAGGGAAGGAGGGGTCAGGGAAAATCTCCTATGGGAGATTAGGCTTGAATTTGGCCTTGAAAACAGGAGACAAATTTGGAATGTCAGAAAAAGTTGCATATAAGTAAGTCTTGCCAAGCACTGGGGGAACAAAAAAGTAAGGCCCCAAAGTTTACTTCCATCCTCTCTCCTAGATGGTCTGAAAAGATGGTCATGCAGGTGGCCTGGCCCAAGAGGGGCATGCCAGTGAGAAGCCATAGGGAAACTGACATAGTGACATGGCCCTCCTACTCCTGCTGAAATTCAAACCTCTTCACAGGCAGTCGAGGGAGAACTCTGGGCCAAGCTGTGCGGTCTACCTCCTACTTTGTGACCCAGGGTGGCCCTGAGGCCCTGGGCCTGTCCCTCTAGCCCTCCCCTGATAAATCAGTCCCTAACATGTGCCTCTTGGTTGTCAGTGGATAAATGCATGACTCCTTCCAGGGAACTGGTGTGCATTTCAGTGGGGGCTTTCTAGAAACAATACCTTACCTCCCAGAGTTTCCCAAGAGCAGCTGGAGCTCTTGTTTTCTTACTTGAAACCTCAGTGGATTCCTCCAGCAGTTTAAATCTTCATCGTTTGCTGAATCCCAGGACCCAGGAAGCACAGTTTGCACCTGTCTTAATACCCAGGACTCACTGGGGCCACCTTCAGCCTTGGAGACAAGATGGGCCAGAGGGAGAACAGCTGGTGGCCCACATCTGCTTTTGCTTTTGTTTGGACAAAGATGATGTGCCATGTCCTTTTCTCTGTCACTGTGCATTGGTCAGAATATGTGGAGTTATGCTGCAATAACACAGAAACCCTGAAATCTCAGGGGTTTAACACAAGAAAGGCTTATTTCTGGTTCTCACAAAAGTCTAGTGCAGGTTGGATGACACGTAGTAAGGCCAACCTGAAACATGTGGCCTCCTAGAACTCCACAGCAGGGGGAAAGACAGATGGAGAAGTAAATAGTCTTAGTCAGCATGGGCTGTCATAACAAACTAGCATAGACTGGGTAGCTTAAAGAAGAGGAATTCATTTCTCACAGTTCCACAGCTGGAAAGCCCACAGTCAAGACACTGGCAGATTCAGTGTCAGGTAAGGGCACTCTTTCTGGCTTGCAGATGGCTGACTTCTCGCTGTGTCTTCCCATGGCTGAGAGAGAGCTAGCTCTCTGGTATCTCCTCTTACGAAGGCACTAATCCTATTGGATCAGGGCCCCATACTCATTTAACCTTAATTACTTCCTAACACCAAATACAGCCACACTGGCGGTCTAGTGTTTCAATATATGGATAAGGGGGACACAATTCAGCCCATAACAGCACACCAACTCTTAACTGTCTTGGCCCAGAAATGATGCACATTAAGTTCACTGACTCTCTTGGTCAGAATTAGTCACGTGGCCCAAGCTTAATTGCAAGAAAGGCTGAGAAATGTAGGGGAGCAAATATTTGCTGAGCGCAATCTGTGCCACACACTGTCTTCTAGGCTGAGCCTTGAGGAAGAAGGAAAGTCTCGAAAGTCAGAACAGTGGCTCGGATGTAAAGTGTAAGGAAACACACACCTGGGACTGTCTGCCAGGCAGGTTCAAGGAACCAAGACCAGGAACCTGGTTCTGAATAGAATTCTTGGGGGAAGAGGGGGGAGGAGGGAACTTGTCCCTGTGTTTGGTATATTTCGAGGTTTACTATGTCTTCTGCCCAGGATGTGAACACAAATCCTTCATCACAGATATATCAATAGACACTCAGGAAATTCAGATGAATTAGGCAGAGATCAGAGTTTTTATTCTGTTTTTAAAAATCAACATATTGAATGTTTCCCCCAAAACTACGTGTTTTATTTTATTTATTTATTTATTTTGAGACAGAGTCTCACTCTGTCACCCAGGCTGGAGCACAGTGGCGCAATCTCGGCTCACTGCAAGCTCCGCCTCCCGGGTTCACGCCATTCTCCTGCCTCAGCCTCTCAAGTAGCTGGGACTACAGGCGCCCGCCACCATGCCCTGCTAATTTTATGTATTTTTAGTAGAGACGGGGTTTCACCGTGTTAGCCAGGATGGTCTCAATCTCCTGACCTTGTGATCCGCCCGCCTCAGCATCCCAAAATGCTGGGATTACAGGCGTGAGCCACTGTGCCCGGCCAACGTGTTTTTTTTTTTTTTTAACAATCATTTTCCACTACATAGCAATAGGAAGAGGGTTAACACAATTATGTCAAATAGGAATCTTCAGGAGCGAGCTTTAGTGAATAGATAAGCCTGATATGCAAGCAGCACAGCCATGGTTGATTTCTAACTTGCTGGTGGGTCTGTTTTTTTAAACAGAAGATCCTGGGTTCCTTTGGTGGGTACTGGGAGGCAGTGTATCAAACCCACTGTCTCATAGCCCAACCGCTATATGAACTAGTTCAAAGCTTGAATTGGTGAAGTCCAAAAAAGAGAAGCTTTGCTTTTCCAACATGTTCAGAACTGTGATGGGAAAATGGTTGACTAAGTGCCACATCTTTCCTCTGCTCGAATAGAATGTAGATCATTGAGCCATGTGTAGTGACAAGGTGTTTTTGGGAAAGGTCTCAATGCTATGAATTGTTATTGTGCTCATGACCCTCCCTTAAGATGGCGTAAACGCCCTGGCATGATCAGCCCACACCTGCCTCTTTAACCTTATCTCTCTGCCTAATCCCATAGGGACACCAGCCTCCATTCTGGTCCAAGAGGCCCCAAGTCCTTTGCTGCCCTGGGGCTTTTGTGCTGGCTGTTCTCTCTGCCTGGAATGTTCTTCCTCCAGATTTTTGTGGGCTGCTTCCTTTTCATCTTTCAGGCTCAGCTCAAAAGCCACTAGCTCATAGAGGTCTGACAACCCATATAAAGTCAAAGTATCTCCCCTGGTACCCCAGAAACACATATACTGTTTGTCATCACCCAGTTTATTTCTTTGTTAATAAATATCACAGTCATCCCCTATCTTGTTCATCAATTACTTACTTCTGAATGTCTTCGGAGAAATTTCTTAGGGCTGAGCCTACTAGACTGTGAGTTTCCCAAGGGAAAATAGGGACTGAGGTCTCTATAGCCTTTGTCTCCTGCAAGGTAGGGAAGAGGCAGTGATGACTCATGTTTAAGAATACTTGAGTTCTGGCTGGGCATGGTGGCTCATGCCTGTAATCCCAGCACTTTGGGAGGCCGAGGCAGGTGGATTGCTTGAGGTCAGGAGTTCAAGACCAGCCTGGCCAACACGGTGAAATCTTGTCTCTACTAAAAATACAAAAATTAGCCAGGCATGGTGGCGGGCGCCTGTAATCCCAGCTACATGGGAGGCTGAGGCAGGAGAATTGCTTGAACCTGGAAGGCAGAGGTTGCAGTGAGCCAAGATCATACCACTGCAATCCAGCCTGGGTGGCAGAGCAAGACTCCATCTCAAAAAAAAGAAATACTTGAGTCCTAAAGTAGTAGTAGAGTTATCAAATTCCCAGGTGAAAGACACTCCTGAGGTTTCATTGAGCACCTACTGTGTATAAGTTTAGCATCCACTATGTTCTAGGGCTCTAGGCTGGCATGGTCCTTGCCTGCCTCCATGGAACTTGCAGTTCCAATGGAAAAAGCATAAATCAAGCAATTACTACTTTTAATTATCATCATTTAATAATAATGTACTGATAGTAGTAGCAATGGCTAACTCATATTATGCTTATGTGTTTTGTGCTGGGCACAGGGAGGGGGGTTATAGATCCTCTCTGAAGACACACAGTGTCCAGCACAAAACAAGACAAATAATAAGAGACATTTATATAGTGCTTATTATGTACCATGCATTGTTCCAAACACTTTGCATCTATTAACTCATTTAATTCTCACAGTGGCCCTATGAGGTAGGTACCATTATTATTCCTAGTTTTACAGATGAGGACATTGAGGCTCAGAG
The DNA here is from genome assembly GCF_000001405.40 of Homo sapiens. Classification (NCBI taxonomy): domain Eukaryota; kingdom Metazoa; phylum Chordata; class Mammalia; order Primates; family Hominidae; genus Homo; species Homo sapiens. The sequence continues at coordinate 129,613,747 of NC_000023.11, forward strand.
AGGTCAAACAGGTTGCTCAAGGCCACACAGCCAGTGAGGGTGAAATGAGCTATTATTAGTCACTACCTGGGAATTCCCCTGTTTTTGTTGTGGTTGTTGTTGATCTGGGTTGCTTAGGAAGTGCTACATCAATTCCTACAGCATTTTAGATCCTGTCTGCTGATAGTTGTGGTAAACAAACAATACCCTATTAGATGCTGCTGATTTTTCTCATTGATTTTGTATATGATTTAATAGTTTTGAATCTCAGTCAGAAGTGAAGATTACCTGTCAGACACTATGCTCACTACCTGGGTGACAGGATCATTTGTACACCAAACCTGAGTGGCATGTGATTTACCCATGTAACAAACCTGCACATGTACTCCCGAACCTAAAATAAAAGTTGAGAGGAAAAACAAGAAAAAAAAAGAGAGTGAAGATTTCAAAAAGTCATCTTGGCAGGGAAGTCATGTTGACAAGAATTTTCTTTGTTCTATGTTAGGATCTCGCGCTACCCAGTTTAATGAATTCTATGTAGAAATGTTCCCAAACACCGTGTGCTTCCCTCAAGGAATGGCTGAAAATGCAGTAGAATGTAAATATCATCATGTTTTGTAGACTGCTCACAAATCATCGAAATCAGTGAATTCATTCCAGCAAATTCTTCTTGAGCTCCAACTATGTGGAAGCTACAATTCTTGGTACTGGGATTACAGCAGTGATCAAAACAGCCTAAAGCCCCCTGCTTTCATGGTACATATGATATAATAGAGCGAGACAGAAAATAAAGAAAATGAATAAGTAAAAATTGTCATTTGATGATAAATGCTATTAGAGAAACATAAAGCATAGAAGGGGAATAGGGAGAGTGGGGGTTGGGTGCAACTTTAAATAGGGTGACCAGGGCAGGACTCACTGAGGAAGTAACTCATGAGCAAAGCTCTGAAGGGAGTGAGGGCATTTCCAGTAGTCCAGCTTGAGGCCCTAGTATATGTGAGACCTGAGGCATTGGCCTGGCTTGCCCTAGATGTTCCTCTTCTTTTTGAGCCTGCTTGTGTTTGTCGGCTATTGGGTGAGGCTTGGCACAAGCAGTTGGGCCCAAGGGCACCCACTCATCCCTCCTGGGCTTGGAAAGCTGCTGTGCTGAAATGACCCCACCCCCATGCCCCTCCTGGGGACAGGGGACAGTCAAAGAGCCACTAGAGGCTCCCAAAACTCTCAAAGGGGCAAACCCTCTCCCCAGAACCTTATCAGTTTCCTGGTGCAGGCACTGCTGAGGACCTCAGCTGTTGTCTGTCCTTCTGGGTTTCTATGTTTAGTGTGAAGGCAGCCCTGGCACAGGCCTTCCTTCCCCTTCCAATCCGCAACAGCCTGTGCTCTGCATTGCAGCGTCACTTCCCTGCTGGAGGTTGCAATGTTTGCACCAAAAAGATGGCTTTCAAAGCCCAAGGTGTGTGTGCGGGGGGAGGGGTATGTGCACACACACAATGGAAGGGGGGCTGTATCTCAGACCCTCACATTTCATGGATTCATATGTCTTTTGCTCTGAGCATAAGGCTATTGAAGTCACAGTCATGGATTCCTGTTCTTTCGTTTATTCAACATTACAGCATGGGGTTACCAGCCTGACTACTAGCATCACATTGACTTGACCTTGAATATTAGCCCAACCATCTGCTTGCCATACGACCTTAGACAAGCTACCTGTAACCTCTCTGAGTGTTATTCTCATCTGTAAAATGGGACTCAAATGCAGTACCTTCCTTGTAAGGTTGTCAAGATTAAATGAGATCATCTTTGAAAGGCATTCAGCACCATGCCTGGCACACAGTAGGTGTCTCATAAATGACAGCTGCTATTACTATTAATTAGCCAGGGCTTACTGCACACCCATTGTGTGCCAGGCACAGTGCTAGGTGCTGGCAGAGTTAGCAAGAGGAACTCAAAGATGAGTGAGACAAGGCCCAGCTTGGCTCCATTCCTCACCCACATGTGGCTGCCCCAAGGCAGTCACCTCATCCAAGGGACCTTGCAGCTGAGTGTGCAAGCACCTGGGCCCTGGCGTGGGACCCAGTGGGGTTCAGGCCAGGGAGTGTCACCAGATGGGTGCAACACCCATACCCTTACCCTCACAAATGCCCCCCGCCCCACGCTGCCAGAATGTCACCTGAGTGCTGAGTGCCGGGCCTGCCCCACAGGGCATTGGGACGGAGGGCTCAGCACCAAGGCAAGGAGCTGCTCTGTGGGCTGGTCTGGACACAGTGGAGATCTGGGTCAGCGTTTTTCTGAGTGAATTCTTTTTTTTTTTTTTTTGAGTCGGAGTCTCCCCCTGTTACCCAGGCTGGAGTGCAGTGGTGCCATCTTGGCTCACTGAAGCCTCTGCCTCCTGGGTTCAAGCTATTCTCCTGCCTCAGCCTTCCGTGTTCAAGCGATTCTCCTGCCTCAGCCTCCCGAGTAGCTGGGATTACAGGCATGTGCCACCACGCCCGGTTAATTTTTGTATTTTTAGTAGAGACAGGGTTTCGCCATGTTGGCCAGGCTGGTCTTGAACTCCTGACCTCAGGTGATCTGCTGGCCTCGGCCTCCCAAAGTGCTGGGATTACAGGCATGAGCCACGGTGCCCAGCCTTGGGTCAGTGTTCTTCTGTTTACCCTCTTCAGTGTCTCAGCGGTTGGCAAGGCATCATCACTCTCTACCTTTTCTTGGGAAGTGGATTCCCCTCCCTGTCAGAGACTCTTCCTATTATTTTGGGGCCCCTTTCTCTTTCACACTCATTCACACACTCCCCAATCTATGTCCTCAGTCACTACTAGCCTTAGTGGTCAGTGGATCCCCATGGCGAAGGGGAAGCTCATTGGATCATAGCAATATAGCTCACTCGCCCACAGGGCGTGGCCCACTGGAAGAAGAGGAGAGGACAGGACAGGACTTGGCCTCTGCCTTGCCTGATGGATTGTGTTATCTCATGCAGGAGGGAGTGGGGAAACCCATGTGGCATTCGATACACAGCCCAGTGCTAAACTATGCAGTCTGAGCTCTATGCTGTCTAAGAAGAGGGCAAGGGCAGTGAGGGCCATAGCAAGGAAGGGAGACTTGAGCTGAATCTCAAAGGAGAAGAAGGATTGGGATGGGGTGGCAGACTCCAACCTGGGTCCAGGGGGATGTGCTCAGCTGTCTGATGGCTGGAAGCAGAGACCCATGTGCCATGAGGAGTGAAGATGTCCATTAGGCCCAGGTGAGAGGTGGAGCATGCGAAGTGGGGGTCAGGGCTGGGGGCAGAAGAAAGGCATAGAGGAACCATTGGCCAGAAGGTTGCAGAGGCCATAGGGGTAGCCTTTTTCCTCCAACTCCCATTCTATTCTCTTTTTAGCCTTTATTTTCCGCACCATTCCCCTCCTCTACTCTCTTTCCCTTTTTTGGGGTCTCTTTGTCACCCTCCTCCCTTTTTTCTGAGTCTCAGTTATTTTATCTGCAAGATAAATGTGCTCATCCTGGAAGCTGGTGATGTTGCCTCTCCTGCTTTTCATTCCAATTCTGAGATCTCATTCAGCAAGAACTGCTGTCTTAGGGCTGCTCTCCCAGGACTGGGCCCTGTTGGCTCCTGTGGATATACATCCACCAGCAGAAAAGCCTGAGGGTCCAGGCCTTGGGATCTGTGCCACTGCTTGCTGGGGGTTGCGGGACAAGCCTGTTTTGCTTCTCACTCAGGCTGAAGACAGGTGAGGATGCCAAGTCCAGAAATTGCTTTGCTTCCAGCATCAAATGGCTTCCTCTCAGCAGCACAGTCCCTTTAAGATGGCGGGGGGCGGGGAAGCTAGAAGAAGACCTTTGATGTTGTTCAACTGAGAAATCCATCAGGTGGGAACAAGCCCGGAAATGCCAGAGTGAAGGGCTCCGTGGTTGGCTGCATTGGTGGGTCTACTGCCTGGACTTTGTTTTCTGATGGTAAACGTTCCCTGACATAAACACAGGCAGAGCAGGGAATAACAACATTCAGTCCCCAAACAAACAAAACAGGAATGGGACCTGTCTTGCACGGGGAATGGCTCTTGTTGCAATGATATAGCTCAAGAGGCCTTCACTGTGGAATTTCCTGCCTTGAGCATGATGAATTTTCCATTCTTGTCCTCGAATGAACAGTCGCCATAGAGCTTAGTGGCTGGCCTGTGAAGCTCAGCAAGGCCCTCTGGGAAATGGGCAGCTTCGCCTTGGCTGAGCCTGGTCAGAGGGGCATGCCTACCTTTCCTTGAATCAGTTGCTACTGTACGCCTTAAAGTGCCATGAGAACCATCATCCTCAAATGCTTAAAGACTGAGCTTAAAGCCATCTTCCTTTTCTACCTCATCTTTATTATTATTATTATTATTATTGTTATTATTATTATTTTGAGACAGAGTTTCATTCCATCACCCAGGCTGGAGTGCAGTGGTGTGATCTTGGCTCACTGCAACCTCTGCTTCCCAAGTTCAAGTGATTCTCCTGCCTCTGCCTCCCGAGTAGCTGGGATTACAGGCATGCTCCACCACGCCTGGCTAATTTTTGTAATTTGAGTAGAGATGGGGTTTCATCATGTTTCCAGGCTGGTCTCAAACTCCTGATCTCAAGGGATCCACTCACCTCAACCTCCCAAAATGCTGGGATTACAGGTGTCAGCCACCGCACCACCTATTTCCTACCCCATCTTATTTGACTCCCTTTCATGCACCAGACACTCCAGCCATATCAGATGCATACCCGCTTTCCACGAGTAGGCCATTTTCTTGCATTCCTGACTTTGCTTATTCTATTCCTATTGCTTGGACCACTCTGCCCACATCCCCATTTCTGCCCATCCAAGAGGCAGTATGCACAGTGGTGATGAGCATGGAATCTGTCTAGGTTTGATTCTGGGCTCCATTGCTTACCATCCATGTGGCCTTGGGCAAGTCATTTAACCTCTCTGTGTTTCTATTTCCATGTCTGTTAAAAGGGTGTGATAATGGCACTTACTTTATAGGATTGTGGTAAGACCTAAGTGAGTTACTATTTGCAAGGCACTTAGAAGAGTATGTGGTACATAGTAAGCATTCTGCCAAGCATTAGGAATTAATATTGAAATCCTACCCTCTTTCAAGGTTCAGCTCAAATGCCACCTCCCCAGTGAATCTCTCCTGATCCACCCCAGTGGAAATGTTCTCTCCCTCCTCTAACTTTCCATAGCCTTTTAACCAGATCTCTCCTGGGGAGCTACATGCCTGGTATCATAACAATGTATGCACATGTATCTGCTACCCGAGGGTTGGGACTCTTCCATAACTTCCAAAGGGCCTTACACCCAGTAGTTGCTCAACAGATCCTGGGAGAAGGATTGAATGGAGTTGAAAGGGTGATAACACGACCCAGGAGGAGAGCACAGCTGCTTGTTAAGCCTGGCTGGCCTCCCCACCAGAAAGTGAGGGACTTGACTCTTCGCCAGCGAGTTATGTGTGTCACAGTTGGTACTGGCTCATATAGATCTGTCACTCCTCCCTTATCAGGCCTTCCTGGTGAGCACTGGCAAGGCTTGGGGCAAAGTCAACAGGGAACACAGTGAAGGGATATGCCAAGCAGCAATGTTGTCCCCTGATGGTAACCATGAGGCATCCTGGACCAGATCTGGGCTGCTTTATGCCCACCTGAATCCCAGGATTCTGGCTCTACAGTAGAGCCAGATCAATCTTGAACTAAGAGCCAAAGCCTACACATTCCCTTCCCTCAAAATGCAACCCGCTGGTCCCCTTCTCATATGACTTACCCAGTTGCTGCTGAACTTGGGCCTCCAGATGCTGCCCGCTTGCTTTCCCTTCTTTCCTTCCTGGCCAAAGATTCTAGACATAGCCAGCACTGCCTTGAGTCAGATCCATCATCCATTGAGGCAGGACTCAGCACCCCCACATACCTTTAACTACTCTATTATCTGATTTCTGTTCTTTGCTGGTGCTACTTCTTGCTGAAATGACTTCTCTGTGTGCTGCAAGTGACCATGACTTTTTTGTATACATCATAGCACATAGCATGGAGGTAGATGTTGGCTTTGCCTGTAGTAGAAGCTTCCTTAATTCTTTTTGGTTGAATCAAGGGTTGGGAGATGGGAAATAAAGCTATAGTCATTCTGGTTATATTTTTCTTAACTTTTACGATTTTGATCATGCGAGTGGATCTCTGAGTCATCAGGGCCCTCTATGCCCCTTGAGATCTAAATGACATTGCTTTGAGCCCCCTTCTACCCCTGTGCCATGAACAGTGCAAGTCAAGACCCCAGCCCAAGATATTTTTGAATTTCTAAGTGAGTTACTATTTGCAAGGCACTTAGAAGAGTATCTGGTACATAGTAAGCACTCTGCCAAGCATTAGGAATTAATATTGAAATCCTTGAATGAACAGTTGCCTTAGAGCTTAGTGTTTGGCCAGTGAAGCTCAGCAAGGCCCTCTGGGAAATGGGCAGCATTGTCTGGGCTGGGTCTGGTCAGAGGGGCATGGCTACTTTTTCTTGATCCAGGCCTGGGGTGAGTGTTGCTACTGCACCCCTTAAAGTGCTGTGAGACCCATTGTCCTCCAGTGCTTAAAGACTGAGCTTGAAGTCACCTTCCTTTTCCCACTCTAAGCCACCTTCCCTTAGAGTGGAAGAAGAGGGAAGAGTTATATCCTCATGGCCTTCTTACCACCCACGTTCTGCAGCTCTGAGCTTGGTCTCTGCTTTCACACTGTTGACCAAAGCACCAGACCTAGACCCTTTCTCAGTTCCCACCAAGAAAATGTGAGTAGTGGAATCTACTAAAGATCTTTGGTGGGATGAAATCCTGGGAGGTGGATGTGGTCACCTCACACAGTGGACAGCCTTCCCACACCTCTCTGGCTCCTCTGTCCCCTTTTCTCCCTGCTCCTCTCTTTCCCTCCAGGGTTTCCGAAGTTGCTCCAAATTCTTCCCCTGCCCCCTGAGGCCTTGGCACCTATAAAGGGTATTAAATCAGGGATGGGTATCACTTTCTACTCTTCAGAGCTTATCTAAGTATTTTTTACCAACATAGGTAGTCTTGCCCTGTGCATTCTGGTGCCAGCCCTTAAGCAATATATGAGCAAGGCCCTTCCTGTCTCTGGACCTTAGTTTCATGATCTGTAAAATGGACTGGAATCACTAGACCAGCCCTGTCCAATAGATAATAATGCAATATGTAATTTTAAATTTTCTAGTAGCCACATTGAAAAAAATAAACTGAAGAACTTAGTTATTTTTATCCTTTAGAGTAGCCACGGGGAAGCCACTGAGGAATTTTTAAACAGTGTTATTGAGATACAATTTACATATAATAAGGTGTTCATATCTAAAGTGTACAATTTGACACGTTTCGATATATGTAGACCTCCCTGAAACCATCACCACAATCAAGAGGGTGAACCACATGCAACATTCCCGGAAGATTCCTCGTGTCCCTTTGTAATTATGTATATTTAATAGTATATTTTTAATTTAATTTGGTATATCCAAAATATTATCATTTTAACATGTAATCAATATAAAATATTAGTGAGATCTTTTACATTCTTTTTTTTTTTTCATAGAAAGTCTTCAGATTCCATTGTGTGTTTTACCCTTGGAGAACATTCTGTTTTGTGGTAGCCACGTTTCAAGTGCTCCATAGCCACATGTGGCTCATGGTGACGGTTCTGGACAGCAAGGTCCATGTGATCTGTAAGCACCTTTCCCTCTCTCATGTTGAAGGCCTCCATGTGTCTATATTTCCTGACGTGTGTTCTTATCATTGATTACTACTGCTGTTGCTGCTGTGTGCACAGCCCAGGAGGTGGCCTTGCTGCCTGCCATCTGGTGGGGACCCATAGTCCCCACCACCCCACCTCGGCTGGGGCAATTGCAGGAAAACCACTTGTTGGAAACCCTCTTATACCATCGAATTCCAGAGTAGGCTCTGGATGGGGCCATCTCTGTTAACAACAGAGTTGAGGTAGATCAATTGTAAGGTGTGTTACTAATAAAAAGTATCAAAGTTTGCAAAGAAGTGACTTTGCATCATAAAAGAGGTTAGATTCAAGATTATTCTTATTACAAATAAGGGAGGCGTTATCCCTAGAATAAAGTCACTTTCCCTCTGACCCATATTCTTAAATGGGAGAACAAAGGGGGCAGAGGATGCTATTGCTTCTATGCTGGGAACCTTAGCCTGTCTTCCCTGTGCTAAAATCTTGAGCGACGTGAAGGTTCACTAAGGGAGTGGCCATGATTACTACAAATTTGGAGGACAGGTTATTATCACAACCTATGTCAATGGGAGCATGCTTAGAGGGCGCTGCACTGCAAAAAATATGGAGGAAACATGTAACAGGGGACTAAGGTGAGACAGATTCTCCAGACAGAGAGGCCTCAATTTGCCTGGGGCCTGGTGCTATTCGCTGAAGCACCTATAGAAGACTTGGAGGCTAAGCAATGCCCAGTTAGCCCGCCCTGGTGTGGGCCCAGTGAAACAGCAAGAGGGTAAGTACACCTTCCAGGCCCAGATGCCCTCAGGACCAGCCCTACTTTTGGCAAAGGAAGCATAAGCCTGGGTTCAGGCAGGGAAAGAGCTACAGACAGTTGTCTTTGGCTGGCACAGTAGTTCACATCTATAATCTCACCAATTTGGAAGGTTGAGTCAGGAAGATTACTTGAGACCAGGAGTTCAAGACCAGCCTGGGCAACATAGAAAGACCCCCATCTCTACAAAAAATAAATCAGCCGGGTGTGGTGACACCGGCCTGTAGTCCCAGCTACTCAGGAGGCTGAGGCAGGAGGATTGCTTGAACCAGGAGGTCGAGGCTGCAGTGAGCCATGATCGCACTACTGCATTCCATTCTGGGTGACAGAGAGAGACCCTGTCTGTAAAAACAAAAACAGAAAAAAAGACAATGGCCTTAATCTCCCCCTGCTTTCCCTAGGCCTAAAAGGTACCCTGCCTTTTAGGCAGGGTGAATCGGGTGGGGGCTGCCTGCCTTCCTCAGAGAGAGGGAAGGAAGCAAGGAGTAGGGGGTCTGACTGGGGCCCTACAGCTCCCAACCTCAAGACCTGCCTTTTGAGGCCATAGAGAAGCTGCAGCTTTGCTTTTGCAGCTGCAGCGGCAGTGAAGAAAGCAGGAGGGCATCCTGAGGCGGGAAATGCCTGTCAGTGTCATCCCCAGCTGCTTCCGGCTTCCTCCTTCAAGGATTCCAGGGGCTCCTCTGTAACCTTGCCAACCCCTCTCCCCTGCCCCAGGTTCTGGCAGGCAGCTGTGCGCCCCCCCTCAGGGCCCACGTCACAAGTCCTCAGAGGGGCTGTCAACTCCCCATTGTTCTCGGGGCTTCTGGGGCTTCTCCGGCATTCCTTTGGCTCATGAGGGGAAATGCCTGAAGCTTCGTCTTCACCTCTTCAGATGCTTGACCTAATAGTCACCCGGCCCTCCTGGCCCCTCAAGGGATGCTGTGGTGCGTGGGAGAATCTGGCTAGGCTAGCACTACAAGTACACTTACCTCAGGTCAAAGATGAAATCTGAGGGGGTACCTAGGCCTCTGTGTCTTGAACTCACCTTGAAGGCCCCAGCCAAGTATTTCCCCCTCTCCCTCCTGAGTATTGCACACAGCTACCCGCAGAGTTACATAAACACAGCCATACTCCTCCATTCCAAATTCTACCCATTCCACACAGTTCTGTACATGCTCTCACATGCACACTCCCACCCAACCCATCTTTCCAGGGGAGCCATCAGGTGTGTCAGGGCCAGAAGCTACTTTTGCTGTGGGTACAGGACTGACATTCTTCCAGGAAGCCTCCCCTGACTGACAGGCAAAACTTCCTGGGTAGAAGCTGACCCCAGTCCCCATCTACTATTTAAAATATGGTGGGTAGGGAAGGTTTTACTGGAGAAGGTGATGTTTAAAGCAAATACTAAAGGATGTGAAGGAGTAAACAATGCTGATATTCAAAAGAAGGACATTCAGGGCCAAGGGAGAAACAAATGCAAAGGCCCTGAGGTAGGAATGTGCCTAGTGTGAATAAAGAATAACAAGGAGGCCAGTGTGGGGTGGAGGGCTCGAAGGAGGAGGAGTAGGAGGTGAGGCTGGGGAAGTGATGGAGACCAGATCCTGTGGGGCCTCATTTGCCTTTGTAATAAGAGAGATGGGAGGGAGTTACCAGAGGGTTCTGAGCACAGGTCTGATATGATCTGACTTAGATTGTAAGTGATTATTCCAGATGTTGTGTTGAGAATAGACTGTAGGGGGACAAGGGTGGAAACAGGGAGATTGGTTGCAATAATTTCTTGATCTCTGGCAATAATCCATGTGAAAGGTGATGGTGTCTTAGGCCGTGGTGGTAATGGTGGATGTGGTGATACGTGAGCAGAATATAGATATATTCTGAAGGTAGATGGATTTGTCAATGGATTAGATGGAGGCGGGATGTAAAGAGAACAATCAAAGATGACTCAAAATGTTTCTGCCTGACAAGAGAAAGGCATAAAAGTCATCCAAATAAAAAAGAGGACATCGGGCCAGGCGCAATGGCTCACGCTTGTAATCCCAGCACTTTGGGAGGCCAAGGTGGGTGGATCACGAGGTCAGGAGATAGAGACCATCCTGGCTAACACGATGAAACCCCGTCTCCACTAAAAAATACAAAAAAATTAGCCAGTCGTGGTGGTGGGCACCTGTAGTCCCAGCTACTCTGGAGGCTGAGGCAGGAGAATGGCGGGAACCCAGGAGGCGGAGCTTGCAGTGAGCTGAGATCACGCCACTGCACTCCAGCCTGGCTGACAGAGTGAGACTCTGTCTCAAAACAAAAAAAGAACATCGAATTATCTCTATTCATTGACAATATGACTCTACACCTAGAAAATTCTAAAGATTTCACCTAAAGACTGCTAGATCTGATAAACAACCTCAGTAAAGTTTTAGGATACAAACCAATGTACAAAAATCAGTAACATTTCTATATGTCAATAACATTCAAGCTGAGAACCAAATGGAGAACACAACCCCATTTATAATAGCCAAAAAAAGAATAAAATACCTAGGAACACAGCTAACCAAAGAGGTGAAAGGTGTCTACAAGGAGAACTACAAAACACTGCTCAATGAAATCAGAGAAGACACAAACAAATGAAAAAAACATTCCATGCTGATGGATTGAAAGAACCAATATTGTGAAAACGACCATACTGCCCAAAGCAATCTACAAATTCAATGCAATTCCTATCAAAATGCCAACATCATTTTTCAAATAATTAGAAAAAATAATCTTAAAATTCATATGTGTATTAGCCTGTTCTCACTCTGCTAATGAAGACATACCCAAAACTGGGTAATTTATAAAGAAAAAGAGGTTTAATGGACTTACAGTTCCACATGACTGGGGAGGCCTCACAGTCATGGTCGAAGGTGAAGGAGGAGCAAAGGAATGTTTCACATGGTGGCAGGCAAGAGAGAGCGTGTGTAGGGAAACTCACCGTTATAAAACCATCAGATATTATAAAACTTACTATCATGAGAACAGCATGGGAAAAACCCGCCCCCATGATTAAATTACCTCCCACCAGGTCCCTCCCATGACATGTGGGGATTATGGGAACTAAAATTGAAGATGAGATTTGGGTGGGAACACAGCCAAACCGTATCAATATGGAATCAAAAAACGGCCAGAATAACCAAAGCAATCCTGGGCAAAAAGAACAAAGCCAGAGGCGTCACATTACCTGACATCAAATTATACTACAAGGGCACAGTAACCAAAAGAGCATGGTGCTGGTACAAAAATAAATACAGACACATAGACCAATGGAACAGAATAGAGACCCCTGAAATAAAACTGTACACCTACAACCAACTGATCTTCAGCAAAGTGGACAAAAATAAACAATGGGGAATACCCAATAGGACACCCTACTCAATAAATGCTGCTGGGAAAACTGGCTAACCATATGCAGAAGAATGAAATTCAACCTCTACCTGTTACCGCATACAAAAATTAACACAAGGTGGAATAAAGACTTAAATGTAAGACCATAAACTATAAAAATCCTAGAATCAAACTTAAGAAATACTCTTCTGGCCATTGGCCAAGGTAAATAATTTATAACTAAGTCCTCAAAAGCAAATGCAACAAAACCAAAAATTGACAAGTAGGACCTGATTAAACTAAACAGCTTCTACACATCAAAAGAAGCCATCAACAGAGTAAACAGACAACCCACAGAATGGGAGAAAATAGAGGCAAACTATGCAAACAACAAAGGACTAATTAATATCTGGAATCTATTAGGAACTTAAACTCATCAACAAGGAAAAAAACAAACAACCCCATTAAAAACTAGACAAAGGACATAAACAGACACTTCTCAAAAGAAGACATATGAGTGGCCAACAAACATATGAAAAAATGCTCAACATCGCTAATCAGAGAAATGCAAATCAAAACCACAATGAGATACCATCTCACACCAGTCAGACTGGTTCCTATTAAAAAGTCAAAAATAACAGATGTTGGCGAGGTTGCAGAGAGAAAAAAAACACTCATACACTGTTGGTGGGATTGTAAATTAGCTCAGCTCCTGTAGAAAGAAGTTTGGAGATTTCTCAAATAACTGAAAATAGAATTACAACTTGACCCAGCAATCCCATTACTGGGTATGTATCCAAAAGAAAATAAATCGTTCTACCAAAAAGACACATGCACTCGCATGTTCATCGCAGCACTGTTCACAACAGCAAAGACATGGAATCACATCAGCCTTGGTGCCCATCAGTGTGACTGGACAAAGAAAATGTGGTATATGTACACCATAGAGTACTATGTAGCCATAAAATAAATGAAATTGTGTCCTTTGCAGCAACATGGATGCAGCTAGAGGCCATTATCCTGAGTGAATTAACACAAACAGAAAACCGAATACCACATGTTCTCACTTATAAACAGCAGCTAAATATTGGGTAAACACAGATATAAGGATGGGAGCAATAGACACTGGGGACTCCAAAAGGTGGGAGGGAAGGAGGAGGGCAAGGGTTGAAAAACTACCTACCAGGTGCTATGTTCACCGTTTGGGTGATGGAATCAATAGAAGCCCAAACTTCAGCATCACACAATATATCCATGTAACAAATCTGCACATATATCCCCTGAATCTAATGTTTTCTAAAAAAAGGTTTCTGCCTCAGCCACATGGGAATTGTCATGTACTGCCATTTACTTCAAAGGGACCAGGTATGCAGGAGGAGAGGATCAGGCAATCAGTGCTGGTCACATTATGTTTGAGAAGCCTATTGGACATCCAAAGGGAGATGATGGATAGGCAGTTTAGTACATGAGTCTGGAGCTCAAGGGAGATGCCTATAACTTTCCTATTTTGTTGTTGTTATTGTTTGTTTGTTTGTTTTGTTTTGAGACAGAGTCTCGCTCTGTTGCCAGACTGGAGTGCAGTACCACAATCTCAGCTCACTGCAATCTCCGCCTCCTGGGTAAGTGATTCTCCAGCCTCAGCCTCCCGAGTAGCTGGGACTACAGGGGTGCGCCACCACACCCAGCTAATTTTTGTAATTTTCTTAGAGGTGGGGTTTCACCATGTTGGCCAGGATGGTCTCGATCTCTTGACCTCGTGATCTGCCCACCTCGGCCTCCCAAAGTGCTGGGATTACAGGCGTGAGCCACCACGCCCAGCTCCTGTGTGTTTTTTATACTTGTCCAGTGCATTGTATCTATAAACAATTTACAGGATTGCTTTATGAGTGTTCGAACTTTCCATCAATGACTTCCTGTACGTATCATTTTGCAACTTGCTGTTTTTGCTCAACATCAAGTTTTTGAGATTTTTCACATTGAAACATCTAGCTCTTTCCATTTAACTCCATAGTATTCCATTATATAAATATGTCCCAATTTACGTACTTACTGCCCTATTATCAGGATAATTGGGGTTGTTTGGATTTCCGAATGCTTCTTTATACTCCACAGAGTGTGATATAACGCTTTGTGGTGCTGGGCACACAGATAGTAAATGATTGAGTATTTCTGTTCACCTGCATCTGTGTGCCTGGGATCATTAATTCCCAGGCAACAGGGAACACATCATATCTGTTGATTTCACAAGGACTTATTTACTAAGCTAGGACCAGCTAGATTTCTCCCCGGTGATATTTGGTTAGCTGTGTTGTCCAAGGTGCTGGAAAGTAACAGCAATAGGGCAGGTGCCATGGCTCACACCTGTAATTCCAGTACTTTGGGAAGCTGAGGTGGGCGGATCACATGAGGTCAGGAGTTCAAGACCAGCCCGGCCATGGCAAAACCCCATCTCTGCTAAAAATACAAAAATTAGCCAGGTGTGGTGGCGCACACCTGTAGTCCCAGCTACTCGGGAGGCTGAGGTGGAAGAATCGTTTGATCCCAGGAGGCGGAGGTTACAGTGAGCTGAGATTACATCACTGCACTCCAGCCTGGGCTACACAGCGAGACTCTGTCAAAAAAAAAAAAAGAAAGAAAGAAAGAAAGAAACAGCAATGGTTTTTACTTTGCTAATTATCGCAGACCTTAGTGGCTTAAAACAGTGAGTTTATTATTTCACAGTTTCTGTGGGTCAGGGATCTGAGTACAGCTTAGCTGGACCCTCCGCCTCGGGCCCCCTCACAACCTGCAGTCAAGGTGTTGGCCAGGGCTGCAGTCACCTCAATGCTCAACAGGGGAAGAATCCATTTCCAAGCTCACTCACATGGCTGTCAACAGGAGCCTTCAGGTGCTCACTGGCTATCAGACCAGAGCCACAGTTTCTTGCTGGCTATTGGCTGGCTCAGTTCCTTGCAACACAGAACTCTCCAGAGGACAGTTCACAACATGGCAGCTGGCTTCCTCAGAGCAAGCGAGTGAGAGATGGTGAGTGTGTGAGAAAGGCAGGAGTCAGTCTCACAATTTAATCTTGGAAATGGCAGCCCATCATCTTTGCCATATTCTATTTGTTAGAAGCGAGTCACTTAGTCCAGCCCATATGCAAGGGGACGGGGTTAGACAAAGGCAGGAATACCAGGATGGGGGATTACTGGGGACTATCAGAGAAGCTTCCAAGCATGGAAACCAAAGGACTGAGGTGGGGGCAGGATTGATTGGCTGAAATGCCTGCAGAGACCTTGAGGAGGATGAAGAGTGAGGAGGGGCATAGAGTGAAAGCCAGAGAGCAGGAGTAGGAGGATGGAAAACGTCTGGTGTAGACCATTTGTCTCAGAACTTTGGTGGGGAAGGTAAAGTGTAAGAAATGTCAGTGGAGGGACAGGGGATCTCTGAGCACATTTGAGGGCCAAGGGGAAGAAGCCAATGCAAATGGTGGAGGGGAAGGGGAAATGTGGACGCCAGGCTCCTAGGAGAAGAGGAAGGGCATCTTGTCACCTACCCCTGAACATTTCTACAGTGCTCTGTAGGTAAAAAAGTACTTTTCCATAAACAGTTTACCCTTGAACAATGTGGGTTTGAGGTGCACTGGTCCACTTATTTGTGGATTTCTTTTTTCAACCAAACACACACTGAAAATAGAGTATTCGCATATTGTGAAACCTGTGTACATGGAGGGGTGACTTTTTGTGTATGTGTCTCAAAGGGCTGACTGTGGGACTTGAGTATACATGGATCTTGGTATATGCGGGGTCCTGGAGCTAAACCCCCGTGGATACCAAAGGATGACTATACAGGCTTGCTTGAGCCTCCTATCAATCCAGTGAGGTTAGCAGAACAGGGATCGCTTTGTCCCTATTTTAGATGAAGAAACAGATGCAGAGAGGTGACATGGTTTTTCCTAGGTCATATAGGCAATAAACGGCCAAGCCAGGACTAGAATTCAGGTATCCAATCTCTAAGTGTTTCTAGTCTAGTGCTGGCTTCTCATTAGGCCTCAGCACTTTCAGCATGCTGCTCCTCTGCTCAAGTCCTCTCCCTTGTGTCTGTAAGGTCGAGAACTCTCTTCCCCCACAGGGAACTGAATGAGTTTCCAGTTCAAGCAGGCCAGGCAATGGCTGGAAATGAGTGAGAATTCCTTGACTATCAATCAAGGGGCTGTAACCCAAATTAAGGTTGAAGTTGTGAGAGTGGTGTGGGGAAGCCCCTGCATAGTGGGCTGGTAAGATGCACGCCACGGGTCAGTGGGACTCTAGGCCCAGTGAGGGAGTGTTGTGGGGAGCATCCACGTGGGCCAAGTAAGGGCCGGCATGGAAGACAGGCGGGCTGGGAGCCTGGCTCTCACTGCGAATGAGCTGTCCCCATTATTTCCTCTTCCAGCCACTCAGTCCCGCTGGCTCTCCAAGCAGCTGACAAGCCCAGTAAAAGAGTTTCCATCCAGGCCTGGAAGGCCCCAGTGAGAGCTGGGGAGCTGCTTTTATCCAGCCTTGGCAAGGCCTTTCAGCTGGAGTCCAGCCCACTTTGGGCAACATTTGGAAACTTACTGAGGAAATGGAGGTCTCCTTTTTAGGAATCCTGCCCCACCCCTGCTCCCACCATGGGCCTTAGTTTTTCCCCAGGAAACCTGGAGCACCTTGAGACTGGAGACTGTGTCTACCCCAGCAGGCAGGAAACCAGGGGCTCAAACTTCCAAGCCCTGCCCTTTGTGAGCTCCTAGGATACACACAATTCATTCTGACCCTGGGACAAGGAGCCAGTGAACCAGTCATCTATAACAACCTGAGCTACACAGGGCCCCAGAGAAACCTTCCAGACCCTCATTTACCAGCTAAAGAAATTGAGGTACAGAATGGGGAGGGATTTGGTCCAGGATCACAGAGCCACTGAGTGGCAGAATGGGAGGGCCATAGTTTGGAGGAGACTCGATGCTCAAGAAAAAGGGACTGTCAAACAGTTAAGGTAGGAGTTCCTCTAAGCAGAGTTTAGAGAATCGATCCAAGAAACACTTGAAGCGTGCGAGTGGCATAGACTAGGTGCTCAACAAACGCAGCATAAATAAATAAATGAAACTGATTGTTGCTGCAGGGGAGCTGGGACGGACTAGGCCACGAGAATAAAAAACTCTGCCCTGGTCTGGGTCCTGCTGGGTCCAGATCAGTGACACTAGAATAGCCAGCCTGGGCTTTTTTCCCATGGGAAAGTAGGACAACTCTGACCAGAAACTGGGGTAATGGCAATGAGCGGAGGGAGTAGATTAAAGGGAGAGATGCCCCACCCTTACTTGGGATAAAGAGCTCCCCTCTTGCTTCCCCCTTCATTTTTACTGATTGCTTACTTGGTGCCAAGCATTATCAGAAACACACACACACACACACACACACACACACACACACACACACACACACATAGCATTAACACACATGGTCCCTATGAGGCAGGCACTATCATTGCCTCCATCTTATAGATAAGGAAACTGGCCCCGAGAAGTTCAGTGCCTTGCCCTTAGTCTCCCAGCTGATAAGAAGTAAAGCTGGGATCTGAACTCAGGCCATCTGACTTCAATACCTATGCTTCTAACCACTAGGTTATACTGCCATTTCGCTGAGCAAGGCAGCTTGTAGTGGAGCTGATGCCCCTGCGGATTGAAGGCCCACTCATTCACACACTCACAGCCACCCCTGCTTGGAGGTGGCATAGCAGGGAACAAGTTGGAGTTGCCAGAGGCCCCAAGGTCTCCACCCTACCTCTATCTTGGAGCTTAAAGTATCTCGCTCCTGGCCTCTTTTAGGAATGGTAGGGCCATTAGCCCAATGAAGGCTTTGCCATGAGTTTCTCAGACCTTTGCAGGGATAGCAGGGCCCTAAGGAGACTGAACCAGGGTGGAAAAATCTGAATAGGAGTGGAAGAGGAGGGTACAGGGCAGCCCATTATTATCTCTGGTCATTTAACACTTCTTAAACACCTACTATGTGCCTGTACAGGGGGCTGGAACTACAGCAATGGACCAGAGACCTGTCCCTGCAATTAGAGAGCTCACAGTCTAGAGGGGGAGAGCAACTAGCAAACAGACTACAGAGAGGGAAACTGAGGCCCAGAGAGGTCAAAGGCCTTGCCCAGGAATACTCAGTGGGTGAGTCACAGAGCTGGGCCCAGAGTCAGTGCTCAGACTCCCAATCCAGCATGATCCCTGCTACAGCAAAAGCAAGCAAATGCAAACAAGCTCAGATGAAAGAGGGGTGTTATGAACTAAGGAGAGGCATGAGGCAGGCAGGGTTAGGCAGAAGGGCTATCTTACTGGAGGTGGAGTTCAAAGGAGGGTGCTACAGTCTGAATGTGTCCCCCAAAATTCATGTGTCGAAACGTAAAGCGAATATGACAGTATTAAGAGGCAGGGACTTTCGGAGGTGAGTCATGAGGGTGGAGCATTCATGGATGGGATTAGGGCCCTTATAAAAGGGCTTGAAGGAGTTGGTTTGTTGGCTTCTCCTCTTCTGCCATGCGAGGACACAGCATTCCTTCCCTTTTGCTCTTCTGTCCTTTCCACCACCTGAGGACACAAGTGTTCCTCCCTTCCAGAGGATGCAGCAACAAGGTGCCATCTTGGATGCAGAGAGCTGCCCTCAACAGACAACTGAACCTGCCAGCAGCTTGATCTTGGACTTCCCGGCCTGCAGAACTGTGAGAAAGAGATTTCCAGTTATAAGTGACTTAGTCTCAGGTATGTTGTTATAGCAGCACAAACAGACTAAGACAGGGGAAGGATGCCCTGGTGGAGGGGTGCGACTGGAGAAAGCTCAGTGCTCAGTGAGCCCCAGTGAAGTCCCAGGAAAGCCACTGGCAGCAGCCCACACGCTTGGGCGGTTCCTGGACAGCCAAAGGAGGAACCACACCCACCAGGCCCACCAGCCTTGGACGTGGCCCAGCAAGGCCAAGCGTTTAGTAATTGGCGAAGTGACTGTCTGCTGCCGCCCCAGTCCAAATGAATAATTATGGAATGTTTACATGATGTGGTGTTCCTGACACCTTCTCAAGTTTCCATGGCAACTAGGAACCACCGCCCCACCCACCCCCAACCCAACCCACAAGATGTTCTGTCTGTTGTGGCCAGCAGCTGTGTCATGTTGTGAATAAATAACACATGCCTGGCCTTGGAGACTGGAGTTACCCTACAGTCATCCCTGACAGGGCAGACTTAGTGAGGGGATGGGGCTGCAGCAGGCAGTAAGGCGTCTCTAATGCTTTGAATGCATTCACCTGCCTCAGCCCAATGTCACCAGAGATAGGCCATGGGTCAGCGTTCATCCCAGTGGTCCCTCCTGGAGCTAGTAAGGAGACGTCCCTGCTAAAGAGATGTTCAATGTTTAATACACCCAAGCTTCAGTTTACTCCCCTTGAGCTTTTGTTTTCTCATCTGTTGAAGATACCCATGCCTGTCTCAATAACTTTTTATAAAGAAGAGATAAGATGACAACCAGGGCCAGGCACTGTGGCTCATGCCTACAATCCCAGCACATTGGGAGGCTGAGGCGGGCAGATCACCTGAGGTCAGGAGTTCGAGACCAGCCTGGGCAACATGGTGAAACCCCGTCTCTACTAAAAATAAAAAAATTAGCCAGGCGTGATGGCACACAAGAGAATCTCTTGAATCCAGGAGGTGGAGGTTGCAGTGAGATCGCGCCATTGTACCCCAGCCTGGGCAACAGAGTGAAACCCTGTCTCAAAAAAAAAAAAAAAAAGAAAAGAAAAAAGAAAAAGATGACAACCAACCAGCATAGAAAGCATATCCTACCATAATGGCTAGCACTTAGTAGGTGCTTAAAAATGTCACATCTGGAAGGTTCGTTCTAAACATTTGTGCCTGCCCCCACAACGGAAACTTCTCTCCTCCCCAGATCCCCAGATCCATGAATAAGTGGAAGGGCAGAAGCTCCAGTGGTCTTCTGGAAGTCAGAGAACCCAAGTTAGAGGTCAATAACGTCCTGGTGGATTGGGAGTAACCCTACAAACGTGAGACTCTTGTTTTAGCTCTGACTGTCCTAATGGCTGGCGATGGGGCCTTGGGCAAGTCACTTGCCCTTTCTGGTTCTCAGCCTCTCTGTCTGGACTATGAGATGGAGTGGCCTAGACCAGAGGTTTTTCAAATTGTGTTCCACAGAAGCTTGGGTGCCTCAGGGAACTCTGTGGTAGGGAGAGGGATGAGACTGAATGGGTGGGGCTCTGGGCCCCTGAGCCTGCTTTGATGGAATTTATATGTGCCAAGGCTTTAAAAAAACAGTTTGAGGCCAGGCACAGTGGCTCACGCCTGTAATCCCAACACTTTGGGAGGCCGAGTCAGGTGGATCACCTGAGGTCAGGAGTTTGAGACGGGCCTGGCCAACATGGCAAAACTCCGTCTCTACTAAAAATACAAAAATAAAAATAAAAATAAAAATAACTGGGCGTGGTGGCAGGCACTTGTAATCCCAGCTACTACTCAGGAGGCTGAGGCAGGAGAATCACCTGAACCTGGGAGGCGGAGGTTGCAGTGAGCCGAGGTCGTGCCATTGCACTCCAGCCTGGGCAAGAGAGCGAGACTCCATCTCAAAAAAAAAAAAAAAAAAAGTTTGAAAACTCTGACCGCATGCTTTTGGCTTTGATAGGGAAAGAGAGCTCCTTGGCCACTTCCTCAATCCCAGAGTGCATGAGTTCCCTGGCCTGGGAGCAGATACACCAAGAGAGGCACTGGATCCCAAAGGTACCCCAAAGCTCCATTTTCTCCCACACCACCCATCCTGAGCTGTCTTTCTGTCCCAGAACTCCTCTCTGACAGTTCCAACTGCCCAAAACCAGGCTACTTCCACCAGATGCCCTGAGGAACAGTATGGCAAGGGGCCCTGGGCAGGGAAGAGGCTGAGGAGGAGGAACAGGCCCTGGCCACCTCTTTCCTTTAGGAGGGTACGACAGTTCCCAGTGGCCCAACCTCCCAGGGCGTTCTCCCAGAGTGTGGAGGGCGGGGGCCTAATCTGCATTTGGGACAAAGCCTACCCGGTGCTCGAGTGTTGTTGTCATGGAAACTCAAAAGGTGTTATTAGCATCTTTTCAACTCAGTGGCCCTGTGTGGTCCAGTCCATGCAATCTTAGCAGTAGCACACCATCACCCTGGCAACCCATTAGCCTAGTGTTGTTACCATGGAAACTCCAGTAAGGTCGATCAGTCCGGGAAGTTCCCAGAGGAGATAGGCACTGGGAGATCTGCCCAGCAGTGCCTACTCTGAGGGTCTCCCAGCTGACAGTGACCTGCTCTGCATACACTGACAGTAGTTTAGGATCTTTTCCGGAGCGAGCTAACAGTCCATGTGACAGGAAAGAATTTGGCCCTGCAGACTGGCAGGTCTATGCCTCGTTACCATGGAAATGCTGCTTGTCAGGATCTCAAAGCACAGTGCAAAACTAACTCTTCCAGGAGACTGAGGCTGGCAGGAAAGGAGGCTGTGAGCCTGTTCTTCATTCACATGCCCATTCATTCATTCATTCGTTCATTCAGTATTTAGTGCACGCTCATTAATACAGTGGGCACTGCGTATGTCCGAGGCTCTAACTGGAGCAAACAGGTGGGCTCACCAACTCTCTTCAATTGAAAAGTATATTGAGGTGGAGGGGACCATCTTACTTCCTGTGTCAACCTCCACTGGAGGAAAAGGAGTTGACATGCCCAAAGGAATGGAATCGGGGGGTCTCTGTGTGTCGAGGGGTACAGGGAGAATACTTGCTTTCTGTAGCCTCCTGTTTTTCACCTATCCCCTGCTTAAGCCTTCAGGAAACAGATCTTTGTGTGGTCTGGATCACCAAAGGCTTGGCCAGACATGCTAGAAGTTTCCAGCAGCCACAGCTAAGTGAAGTTAGAACAGGCTACGTTGGGAAGCAATGAGCTCCCCATCACTGGAGATGTACAAGCAGAGGCAAAAAATCCTGCTCAGTGAGGGCCATGTAGAGCCCGCAGAGCACAATGATTCAGAGCTCAGATTCTGGAGCCAGATAGCCAGTCTTCAAATCTTGGCTCAGTTTACCAGCTGTGTGACTTTGGGCAATTCACTTAATCATACTGAGCCTTGATTTCCTCATTTGTAAATGGGAATGATAAGAGTTTCTTCCTCATGGGCTTGTTGTGGGGATGAAATGCGTATAATATATAAAGCACTTAGAACAGTACCTAACATATAATTGCTCAAGAAATGGTAGCTTGTATTATCCCTTGATGGCCCAACTAAAGTCCCTGACAAGCTTGGGATTCTATATGACTATGGGTCACTAATCTTCCTGCACACGGAAAATCAGAAAGGGACTCTGGCAAGGGTAAGATTCTGTGCTGACCAGAGAGCTGGCTGAGGGTAGCACCTCTGAGCTTTGAGCTCATCACCACTTGCGTGCTTCCAGCAATAGTTTTCCTTTCCAAGTACTTTTGGATCCATGTCTCAATTGGGCCTAAAGACAACAGCAAAGGGCACAGTTACCATCCCCTGTGATAGATAATGGGAAGTAAAGCTAAGAGCGGGAGAGTGGCTCACCTACCAAGTGGCACAACTGGGATGGAAGCTTTCTCTCTGTCACACCACCTCACAGTCCCCAGGGCCGCCATAAGGGGAGGACAGCAGTTGGGAAGGAGCAAGTCATGGGCTGGGCGGAGGAGGAGCCCAGCATGACAATAACCTATGAAAATCAGCTTTCCACTGTCTGCACTTCTGCAAGGAGGAGTTGAGGCCAAAGCCAGGGAGCAGAAGGGGGTATTTCCTAGAAATGCGGCGGGAGTGGCTGGTGTGCTCCACCCATGGGCAAAGGACAAGGCTCGGCCTGCGTGTGAGCACTCACTTGGAGCTGAACTTGGAGCCTCCAGAGCTCCCATCCCTCTGAGCTCACTCAGAAAGCTTTCCCTTTGGGCAAAGTCCAAGGGGGTCATTCAACTGTGATCTGACACTTCTGCTTTCAACTTAATAGCTCAAGTATTTAACGGATGGCTCATGGCCTCACCAAGGGATTTTGCTTGCCGAGACTAGCAAGGTGGGCTAGTGTTTTCATGCCATTTGGAGGAGCAATGAGAAAGGATTGTTTAAAAAAAAAAAAAACTTTGCCTGAGAACAAGAGTAACGCCCTAACTCATGGCCTCATGAAGCTCCAGGTTAAAATGCACACGTTACCTGGGAGTATGGGAATTGGACAGGGGCAATAGTGAAAAATCTTTAATAGCCAGCAAGGTCTGGACACCAACTGATTAGAATGTTTGCTGGCCAGAAACACGCTATAGGGATGCACCAGCCCAGATAGAGGAAAACAGCAGCCCTGGATGTGGGCCTTGGCAGGGGCCGGGTGAAGGGAGGGTTTGCTCCCTGAGAGGTCCCATGAGCACACGCAGGAATCAGATCTGCCTATGGCCACCAGAAGGTATGAGATTTCCCACAGCAGCTGGTGGTGGGGGGGTGGGCAGGGTTGGTGTATCTGGTAGGGGGAAAACTGGTGGGAACATGGGGTTCACTGAGGGAAGAGCTCCTTGGGACAGCTCGAGGGCCAGACAGCCTAGGACAGTCCTGTAAGGATGCAAATGGGGCCTGGCCTGGCCTTGGAGACCCAGATGCTGCCCTCTGCCCTCACAGACTTCACCCCTGGTGCCTCTGGGTGGCAACTTCTCTCCCTCTCTCAGTGAACATGCATACGGACTATAATATGCTACACAGCGTGGAGCAAATATGCATACCCATTCGGTGTTCACACAAGCACATGCATGGAGCCCACGTATGCCCATGACCTGTAGAGGCATCCTCTCAAGTCAGTGGGGCACACCCACAAAATTGTTCAGACTCAGAATCTTGGAGCAGAAGCAATTTTAGAGCTGCCCCCATTAAAAAAGTCGTCTTTGATGAACGCCAGTCAGCCACTCCTCTACACACACTTTGGCGTTTGCTCGTTCTCACACCTCCTGCAGAACAGGAAAGAGGAGATGACCTCGGGAACTTTCTTAAAATGGCCTGTGCCTAGACTTGACGCAAGCCTGAAGAAGTCCCTGCAGTTCCAGGACTCAGCCAGCAGGGGGCAGCCTCTCATGACACACTGGGTTTCCCCCAAAGAATAAGCAGGCTTGGAGAAGAAAGAGAGGCCGACTGCAAAGAAAGGGAAACATATAAGAAGTTTCCAGAGTGTCCGGCCATCAAGCTGACCCAGATGCATGTAGCCAGCCACTCCTGTGGGTGAGGAATTCTCAGCCCCTCATATTCAGCTGGTGAATTGATAGAGTCTGGGGCAAGTTATCAGAAGAGGATGTCTTAGTGACCATAGTACATCCTGCTTGCCCAGCCTAGAGCCACAGAGGGAATCAGCCAGCACACAGGAGTTCAGTGGAATCTCTCATTCTGCAAGTCACAGCCTCTCTCAGGGCCTGCTTCGTTGTCTGTGAAATGGGTTTAACAATAAATCACATCTGCTTCCTCCCACCTTGGTGCTTTGGACACAAGCCCTGTGCTCCCTCTGCTGAGACCTCCTTTCTCCAGCTTAACCCCTACTCACTCCTGAGGTGTCAGCTCCCACTTCACCTCCAGGAAGCTTTCTCTGACCCCAGATCGTGCACTCAGTGATAAACTTCCTAGAGGCCTGTTTTTCGCCTCCAGGGCCCTTGCCACAGTTCCTGGTTAGACATTCGGTTGTGATTTTTGAATAACATCTGTTTCCCTCTCCAGGTATTAAGGAATGTGGTACAAAGTAGGCCCTCAATAAACATTCAGCGAATGCTGAGAAATGAATTCCCATAGCTCTTTTACAGATCAAAAAGCACTTTCACATGCAAACAGGGTGGTCTTCATGGTACCCGCTGAGAACGATGGGGTTTTTTCCCCGTTACACACACAGCACTCTCTACTGTACCAAACATTTTAACTTCAGAAACTTCAGTCACTAGAAGCCCGAGAGGGAGCCAGGGATTCTTACTTCCATTTTAGAAAAGGTAAAGCTGAGGCCTAGAAAGGTGAAGTGACTGACCCAGGCTTGGAACTTGGAGGAGTCAGGATGTTTAAGTCTCCGCATCCCATGCTGGAAGGTATGATCATTACATTCCCTCATTATCACTGTCAGCATCGTCACCTCCATTGTGGCTATGGCCATGCCTAGTCTGGTGAGGAGGTGTACAGTTGGCGAGCACAAAGGCTTTTGAAGGTGGCGGGCAGAAGTCTGGGTTCCAATTCTGGCCTCACCTGCAGGTGACCATCGGGGCTAGGAGAGCATCCAGGGAGGATTCATGGGGGAGGGGAGCCTTGGCTGGCAGTTGGAGGACCCGGAGAATTGGAGGAAGGTGGAGAACCTGGGAAGGGAAGTCTGGGGAAACTAGAAGAGCACTGGAAATGGGTTTTGGGTGACTTAGGCTGAGGCTTTCCCTGCTTCTGCTTCCTAAAAGATGGGTATGAAGCTCCCTCCCTCGCAGGTCCTGCTGAGGCCGGTGCGCAGGCTCAGGGCCAGGAGAACATCCCTGGGGTTGCGGGGGAGTGGTACAGAGGGCGCTGTGGCTACAACAGCTAATGAGGGATGTCACACCCTCACCACACACCTTTCGCTGGTGCCTCCCAGAGGAAAGGTGAGGACCAAGTCTTTCTCCACTGTTCCTCCTCCACTGTCCCTTGCATGGTGTCCTGCACAGAGTAGGCGTTTTTTTTTTTTCTTTTGCTGTTGTTTGTTTTGCTTGTTTGTTTGAGATGGAGTCTTGCTCTGTCGTCCAGGCTGGAGTGTAGTGGTGCAACCTCCGCCTCCCAGGTTCAACGGATTCTCCCGCCTCAGCCTCCTGAGTAGCTGGGACTACAGGTGCCCACCACCACACGCAGCTAATTTTTGTATTTTGTAGAGACGGGTTTTTGCCATGTTGGCCAGGATAGTCTCGAACTCCTGACCTCAGATGATCCACCCACTTCGGCCTCCCAAACTGCTGGGATTACAGGCATGAGCCACCACGCCTGGCCAAGGGTAGGCATTTTTTAGCTGATTGTTTTGGGGTAGGGGTAGGCCAAAGAGCTCTTTATAGGCTTGGGTTCTAAAAGTTTGGGCATAGATTGAGAGAAGGGGAGCTCCTTTTGAAACTTACACAAGGCATGGGACCTAAAACTTGACAGGCAATTTGGGAGTGGGAATGGGGGTGGGGCAGGCTGTGGAGCTGAGCTAGAGGGTAGCCCAGAGTAGAGGGAAGGATGAAAGAGGATAATCAGATCAGAAGGTCTCTGCAGTGCTGGAGGTGGAAGGGGCTGTGTGGTGAGATTCCCTCCTCCATCCCCCTGCACTCCTCACTGGGACCTTTTTCCTCCCTGCTTTGTTTATCCTCTCTTATCTTTCCATATCCCTCACATCTGAGGAGTTGGGAATTTCCAAAGGAGAGAGGAACTCCAGGCTTCCAGAAAGCTCAGGAGCCTAGAGACATGGGGGATGAAACCCCCCATAACGTATGCCAAAGTCACCAGCCTCTATCCCTACACCTGCTGGGGAGGGAGCCAGAGATGTCTCTGCCTAGATGGAAAAAGAGGCACCCTCTTTCCAACAGGCCTCTCACAGCCCCCAAATCACAAGCAGTTCTGTTGCCCTGGGACTGAGGGTGCCAAAGCGAAGCCCCTCCCCTACAGACGAGAGGTGACTGCAGCCCTGGAGGGAATGCTTGGCATTTCAGCAGTGCCTTTGCCTTCCTTTAAAGCAATGCCACCTTGTTTCTCTCAGTTCGTTTGCACATACCACAGAAGATCTTTAGACTAATGGCTTACCTTCTCAGTGACTCAGTTTCCTCAGCTATAAAATGGGATTGTGATGGGGACTGACTAAGTCAGGACAGGTGAAGTTCCTCAAACAGTGCTTGGCACATGAGAAGCGCTCTACATGAGTTTGCTAGGACTATCTAGCTATGTTCCTTAAGCGTTCACTTATCCTTTCTGAGTCCCACTTTCTTCATTTGTAAAAATAACAGGGCTTAGGGTACTGAATGATCTCTCAGGCTCATGTCAGCTCTGCCCTTCTATGATTCTGTGTGTTTAAGGTAGGGAAAGCAGAGATTGTCATCCTATGAAAATAGATGAGGGAGAACCAGGACCCCTGATAGATGAACAGACCTGCCTGGAGTCACACAGCCAGTTACTGACCAAGCTGGGGTTAGGATCCAGAGCTCAGAACCCCAAGTTTCACACCACCAGGCTAGCTCTGCAGCAGTGTGCCAATTTTTTAACATTCAGGGAAGATCAGAAAGCATTTAATTTGTGCAAAGGGAGAAGTATGGAATGGAGGTTCCAGCAGGCCCTGGGGTTATGGGAAGCTTGTGCAACCCACGTAACCCAGCAGTGGACTTCCTCACTGGCTTAGGTTCCCATTTTCCTGCCATATGCCTAATTCTTCTCCCAGAGCTCCTCCCTACAGGTCCCTGGGTCAGGTCCTGAATTGCCTCTGGAGGGCAGCCTGAATCACCCCCCACTGTTAGCTGGGACCCCAACAAATCCCTAGTCACAAGCAGGTGCTTCACATCTACCCACCCAGGTGTCCTGGGCAGGTGAGGAGGCTGAGACCCAGAAAGGGCCAAGGAAAGACTTTGCTAAGCTACCCAGCAAGCCCTGGGTAGAAGCAGATTCAGGACTGGAACCCACGTTTCTGAGCCCCTGGCCTTGTGCAGAAAGGAACCCCAATGGCCAAGCAGGTGTGCTGGAACAGGTGCCTGGCTCCACAATTCCAGACAGATCAGGTGCTAATGGTGAGCACTTAACACCTTTGGAGAGGCCTCCTGGGCTGCTGCCCAAGCTAAGCTTCTACAAGGAAAAATGCCGAGGACGTAATCTGTCCCTGGGGAGGCCCTAAAGGTTATCTGGGAGACCGGAAATTTCTAGTGACTGAGGCACACTCATGGTGGGAAAGAGGACCCTTAGCAGAAGCAGGGAAGCTATCATAGTTTGTTTTCTGTAGCCACAGACTGGGTAACTTATAAAAAAAATAGTTTATTTAGCTCACAGCTCTGGAGGCTGGGAAGTCCAAGGGCATGGCACTGGCGTCTGGTGAGGGACTTTTTGCTAAATCATGACGTGGTAGAATGGCATCACATGGCAAGAGGGCAAGAGTGTGCCAGCTCAGGTCTCTCTTCCTCTTCTTATAAAGCCACCAGTTCCATCATAGGGGCACAACCCTGATGACCTTATTTAATTTTAATTACCTACCAAAGGCACCACCTCCAAATACCATCAACATATGAATTTAGGGATTAAATTTCCAAAACATGAAGTTGAAGGATGCATTCAAACCATAGCAGCAGCTGACCTGAGCCGGGGACAGACCCAGGTTTGAAGCTCTACTCACCCATGAGTGGCTCTATGAATTTGAACAAGTGACCTCACCTCCATGAGCCTGATTTTTCATCTATAAATTGGGGTAATGATGGCTGCCCTGTCCAGTTCTCAGGGCTAGAATGAGGCTTAACAGAGATAATAATAGCTCCCACTTGGTAGGCTTGTAACATGGGCCGGGCACTGTGCCAAACACTTTCCCTGCATCATCGCGGTCAATCCTGACCACAGTGCTATAAATTGGGCAGCAGCATCCTGCCTAAAGCAGAAACATGGGCTCATCCAGATCAAGACCCTTGCTGCAAGGTCACACAGGTGAGTAAATGGTAGTGCCAGGATTTGAACCCTGATCTGACTCCAGACTTCCCCTTCCACTGGAATCACTTTGTTAGTATGATTATTATCAGAGGCCATCTCATAACCAGTGTATTAAATCACTTAATTCTACACCTTGCTGCAGAATGTAAGTCTTCCCCTTGGACTCCAGGCAAGGGTTCAGGGGCTGAGTTGAAGGGCTTGCTGATGCTTCATTTGAGACAGGGCTGGGAAGCCACCTGCTTTTATAAAGATTTTTTTGGAACACAGTCATGTCCACTGGTGTATGTATTGTGTATGGCTGCTTTTGCATGTGCCAAAAACTTTACCTGCATCATCACAGTCAATCCTGATCACAGTGCTAAAAAGTAGGCAGCAGCATCAAACTCAAAGAGGTTTGAGTTGAGATAGAGACCATATGGCTCAAAAAGTCAAGAAAACTATCTGGCTCTTTACAGAAAAAGTCTGTTGGCGGCTGATTTGAAACATTCAAGGAAGTGTCCTGGATGCGGCTTGGGCCTTTGGCTGAAGTCCAAGACAGCGGCAAGGGGAGTCCCTTGCTGGGCTCCTTCTCTGAGCACTGGCCACTGCATAGGAAAAGCTGGATTTTCAAAGGAGTCCTAGAGAAGAAGCCTTCCTTTCAAGAGTTACCAAGAAATGCTGGCTGAGTCAGCGGCCCTTCTCAAGCCAGGAGAGGAAGATACTGAGTAAATCTCTGCCATCTCCTTTGGCAGTTAGCTGGCACAGGCACACTCTGGTCAGAAAGAAACTTTGGATTGAGAAATTTCAGTTGAGTAACCTTTAGGCTTGGAGAATCGAATTCTATAAGGACTTCAGAATGGCTGCTCAGGCCAGGCCTCATGGTTCCCTCAATACGGAGGAGCCCAGCCCCTACAGGGGGTACCAAGCCAGCTAGGCCTACAGAAGAGTCTGAAATGTTAGATTTCTAAGCAGTTATGGCTCATTTTACACCACACCTGGGGTCCTGAAAAGCTGTGTGTGGTCTGAGTCTGTTTGCCTCCCTAATCTCTGTCATTTCAGAGGCTGCCTAATTCCGGATGGATTTGAAAGAGTGTTGGTTTTCAGATTCTCTGCCCCCACTCGTCAACCTCTCAGTTCAGGACCTCCGGTCCAGAAACAATCAGTTAAGTGAACTCCTATTTCTTTTCCTAAGCTCTGCATTTTGAAAAGCAATGCCCTACTCTGCTTCTGTTGTATTTATTTGGTCTAGATATCTCCAAAGGGTAGTAGCAACGCATATCATATGTTCAGCCTTCTTTTGGTTTGAGGTCTAATTATCTTTACAGAAGCCACCAACTTTCTTTTCCTTATCCCCTGCCCCAAGGAGGTCACACTTGGATCCACCCAATAGTATCCAGTTGACTACGTAGGTTCCATAGACCCTGGTGGCTGCTCCCCCTTCCTTGTCCCCGCCGTCTCTGCCCATCATCCTTTCACCAACTTAACCAAATGCTATTGTGCCTTCTAGGGCCTGTTTTTATCACTCAGCCTCTATTAGCTTTCCCTGATCCCACCAGTCCACACTGTGCCCTCTTGTACTATGAGTTTGTATTGTACTTACTAAGAATAACAAACATAGCTGGGCATGGTGGCTCATGCTTGTAATCCCAGCACTTTGGGAAGCCAAGGCAGGCGGATTACTTCGGGTCAGGAGCTCAAGACTAGCCTGGCTAACCTGGTGAAACCCTGTCTCTACTAAAAATAATAATAATAATAAAAATAAATAAATAAATAAAAATACAAAAAATTACCCAGGCATGGTGATGGGTGCATGTAATCCCAGCTTCTTGGGAGGGTGAGGCAGGAGAAACATTTGAACCCAGGAGGTGGAGGTTGCAGTGAGCCGAGATTGCGCCACTACCTTCCCTCCAGCCTGGGAGACAGAGCAAGACTGTGTCTCGGAAAAAAAAAAAAAAAAAGAATATCAAATTGTACCTAATTCTTCTTTCTAGTTAGGGGACCTTCTGTAGTACTGTAGAAAGAGTTTGCATTCTGGAATTTGAAGACCAGATTCTAGATTCACTTATCTAATTCACTGTACCCTTATGGGTCAGTATTAAGTTGTCCTGCCCCATGCCCCACTCCCTTCTCCTTGCTTTCACGTGAATTTAGAACTTTGGGGATGATTAGGCAGGTAACAGACTAATCAGCATAAAGCCAGTCCACCTGAAACCTCTGCTTAAAACCAGTTCCACCTGTTTGCCTAAAAGTCAAACTAGTAATTTTAAAATAAGGCATTTTGCACCAGTTTTCCTAAGAGGCACTTCCAATGTAACATCACTTTTTTTTTTTTTTTTTTTGAGATGGAGTCTGGCTCTGTCACCCAGGCTGGAGTACAGTGGTGTGATCTCGGCTCACTGCAACCTTCACATCCTGTGTTCAAGCAATTCTCCTGCCTCAACCTCCCGAGTAGCTGGGATTACAGGCACCTGCCACCATACCCAGCTAATTTTTGTATTTTCAGTAGAGACGGAGTTTCACCATGTTGGCCATGCTGGTCTCAAACTCCTGACCTCAAGTGATCTGCCTGCCTCGGCCTCCCAAAGTGCTGGGATTACAGGTGTGAGCCACCGCTCCCAGCCGTAACATTGCATTTTTAAATCACTATCACAACTTGCAGCATTTTGTCAATAATGAGATTGTTTTGTATGCTTGTGGGTGACTTTTTCTATTTTTCTCTCCTATTGATCATTTTTATGACTTTTTAGGGAGTTTGTTTGAAGACCCTTTCTTTAAAATTGTATATTTCTAGCACTAAATACTTGTCAAATCTATAGGATTTCCCACGAGATTTATCAAATGAACCCATTTTGATCCCTCCTCTCTGCTTCTCACTGAGTTTTGCTCTGTACTGTGTATTCCTGTGTGCACCTAATGGGTTTATTAACCAAATTAGCATGTACCCAATGTTCCCTTCTGTTCTGCAAGATATTGGCATTTTGACAACAAACGTGAAGTGATGAGACAGATGGGGCAGAATTATATTGAACTCTTTGCATTTTATTTTTCAGGCTATCTCATTCATCAAGCAACTCTACTTTGTGAAACATAAAATGATACAAACAAAGTCATTATCAAATGTATTTATTGCTGAAAACATAACATTTTTCAAGAAAGGCAAACTGGCTAAAAAGTCCTGAAAGTGTTCAAAAGTAGATAAAATAGCAGAAGACACCCACCAAGGATACAAAACAATTTTTAGTAGCGATCCTGCATTTAATCAGTATGTTCTTAAATAAACTGCTTTAAAAAAATTCTTCAAATGACACTGCCAAAAAAATTAGGACACCCAAACAGATGCCAGAAAACCTGTAAGTGGGCTGGATTTTATGTGACCTGGTCATTAAGCATAGGGATTCATTTTGTGAGCTCATGGCAAATCAGTTTGAGGCCAGTTGACCTAGAACCGATTTGGGATGCAGGCACTTACCTCCCTGCACGTGCAATATGTGGGCATGGGGACACCCATGACCCCCAGGGGAAAGGAATGCCCCTCCTGAACATGACCTCCAAGAGTAAGGGCGAACTGTCAGCTTTTAACTGTTTATTATAAAGACATATTTACACAGAACAATCTTTACAAACATTGAACACAGGGGAAGGGAACAATTTCTTAATGAACAGGGCCTTAATATCTTTGTATAAATTAGTATAAGAATCATAAACAACCACTTTAAATAAGGCAGCCCCCCTAGCCCACCCACTACCCTCTTCTGTTCCCTATCTCCCAGCTTTCTTAGCCATCCCCCACTTTCTCCCCTTCCCCACGGGGCTGGGCTTGGCTGCAGGTCATGGCAGGCCGATGAGGCAGGAGACACAGAAAGGAAGGGGGAAAGAAGGCCCAATCCCTGATGGGGGCGTCAGTGGCAGAAGAGACTTTCTGGGCACCGACCAGTCCCCACTCCAAGCATGAGCCTTTAAGCAGCAGCAGCAGCAGCAGCAGCGTTAGCAGCAGCATAGGTAAAGGGGCTTGGGGGAGGTGGATAGGCAAACATTGGGGCTATTGTGGGACTTGGGGGGCCCTGACTCCCCCGTCCCCACACACACAAAGTTGGGCATCAGGCTCTTGTCTTCTCTTTCTCCCTCCTGGGAACCCTGCTCAAGCAAAAGGGGAGAAAGCCCCCTCCAAGGAATGGCTGGTGATGGCCCCTCACGGAAGCTAGGGCCTCCCGGGGAGAGGGTGCTATTCCTGCTGCACTTCCTCCCATCTTTCTTTCCTTCCTTCTGTTCCTTTGCTTTCTTTTCTTCCCTCCTTCCTTCTGCCCTTCCCTTCCTTCTTCTCCCCTCTCCGCCTCCCCCAAAGGAAAAGCCCTGGAAGGAAGGTCCGGTCAACACGAAGGGAAGGCCATGGAGTCCAGTGATTGAAGGCTACCTCGGACTCCTGAAAACCACCCTGGGGTTGAGCGGTAGTCTCAGTGCCTGAGCCGCCCCTATTAGAGTACCCTGGGTCTGGGAATGCTGCCAGTTATGGGGGCAGCTGGCCAGTTATGGAACCTTCCAGCCCAGCTGGGGGAATGGTGCAGCAGGGGTAGGTCAGGGAGGTGGGAGCAGCTCCAGCCCCACAACAGGACAGTTCACAGCCAGCTTGCCTCTCCCTTCCCTTCCCCTCCCAGCCACCCCCAGCCCCAGCCTCGGGAAAAGGCACTTCATTTGCTTTGAAAAGACATCATCAAGAGGGAAGAGGGCGTCATAAAGTAGGAGATGGGAGACCTGGTCCCCATCCCGGCTCTGCAATGACTCTGAGCAGGTCACTCCCCTCTCCAGGCTTCTGTTTTGCAGGCGTTTGCCTAAGAAGGCTAAGTGACCTTCAAGGGTCCTGTCAGCTCTAACATTCTGTGATTCTTGGCAAAAACAACCTCTTGCTTGGCTTTTACTCCTGGGAGGGTATATAGCCATGTCAGGCCCAGCACCCTCCCCTCCTGACCTGGAGCTTGGGCTAGCTGGGGATGGGGTGTGGGGGCAGGAAGAAGGGAGTATTGGGAGGCACACTAAGGCAAGAGAAGTGACAAAGGACTTCACGGGCCCCTCTCTACCTCTCCCTTAACTGAGCAAACGCTGATGCTCCACCCACTTCACCAGAGCTCCTGAAAACCACCCTGGCACTTCCATGCCCCCAATGTGCCCTGTCTGGATCCCCGCAGCCAGCACCTCTTAACTAGAGTCTCTCCTTGCTTTTCTCTGCATTCTTCCCTGGAGGCCAGGTGAGGGGTCCAACTGACAGGAAAACAAGGGATCTGCTGGAGCCCACAGAAGGGAGCACTTCCACCCCGCGCTCAGGGCAGACATGAGGAAGGAAGGCCCAAATGAAGGTTTGGGGCGTTAGATGAGACAGGCAGGGACTAGGGCGGAGGGGACCTGGAGAAGAAGGGAGGCTTTCTGGGGCTAGGTCTCCAAAGTCAGTCCAGGGAGGGGCCAGGAAGATGGACTGGACGGATTCTTGTGAGAGAACGGGAATCATCCAAACTACAGCCAGGAGCACGCCACTGGGGGAAGCAGGCAGGTGAGAAGAGCTGGGCCCACTGGTGGCTACAGCAGGTGCGAGGTGAGAGCTGAATGGACGTGAGGCCTCCAGAGAAGCAGACCAATCTATGGAGGAGACATAACCGCCGGGGGTGGGCACTTGGGGGCCCCTTCAGTCCTAAGGAGACAAAAATGACAAGAGAGAAGTCATGGACATATCCTAGGCCAAAGGAACTCCCCAGGAAAGGAGAGGAGAGAGGAGACCGCCTTCTCTTTCCCCCAAACTCCACTCAGCCCAAACCTCAATCCCAAGGCCCCTGAGTTGGTGCCTGCCTGTCCCCACTGCAGTGGGACAGCCAGCAGACCAGGGAAGGGGCAGGCTTCAGCTCTCCTCTCTCTGCTGCCACCTTGGTTCTTCCCTCCTTCTCACAGCTCCGGGCAACCACAGCCACAACTGTCCTCTTGTTCTCTGCCTGAGAGCCCCTAGAGCTCTCTGCCTCCTTCCCCAACTCTGGCGACAATCTACACTGGACATCTGTAGGTTTGCCCTGGGCACCCCTCCCCAGCCATTAAGGTCCACCAGGATGTCTAGAAATCTCTAAGCAGGCCAGCCTCCCCAACCCCAGGCAGCAGGGTGGAAGGGAGACTGGCCCCAAGTATCAAGCCCCTCTCTAGGCCTCAGACGAGGAGATCGTCTGTAAAATAAAGGGGCTAGACAGCTGCCCCATAAGCTCTCTTGCCAGCTCTAAGCCTCTGTGAGTGTGGCGCCAGGACTGTTTGATGGATGTGTCTGGCCAGTGATGAGCGGCAGGATCACCCGGCTTCTAGGCTGTCCTTCTCCCTCCGCTTTAGCACTGTCCACTGAACAGAGGCTCAAGTACCTGCTTCAGAAAGGCATGGGTCCCTTATGGGAGAGGCGGGGCCGCTGGCGGCGGAATTTCCTCCGACCTCCCTGCCAGGGCCCTGGCCCATTCCTTGACCCTCTGGGCTGCACCAGGTGGCGGACATTGCCGTCTTCCAGCCCATTCCCATCGGGAAGCGGCATCAGGGACCCTGCAGGAAGGAGAAAGCCTGTTAGTGAGGAAGGTTGTTGGAAACGGGCAGGGGCTGCAGACCACAGGCCCGCGGGAGGGGTGGTCTGTCCATGTGGTGGCACTTCTCATAGATTTTCTTTGTTTCTTTTTTTCATATTGAGGGAAAATTTGCCATTTCTGCACTGTCCTGGGACAAACGGAACCTACTACTCACATCTTGCCATTGATGTAGCTGACTTTCTGTCCTTTTGACAGTTATATCATGTTTCTGACAGGCACAAGTGGGTTCTTTCTTTGGAACGTCATTGGGGGGTGTGCACTTTGGGTTGTCACGCCTGTACTTGGCTGGGGGGCAGGAGGCAGTAATCACCACGGCACCCCTGCAACTGGTACACTTCAAACATTTCAGACATATGACATTACAATGACCCTCCCACCGCCATGGACCCATCACCCAGATTCAACAGTTATCCAGATGGAGTCACATATGCTTTAGTTATCCCTTTTCTATTTTCCTTGACTGCAGTATTTTAAAGCAAATCCCGAACATCACGTCATTGTACTCCTACATCCTTTGATATGCAGGATGACCCACTTGTGAGTACTAGGGAGCTCATATCTCGCCCCTGGGTGTCTCATCGGTGGTTAGGCATCTCTAGGGCGCCAAGTCCTCCCAGTGGATGGGGCTGGGCCAGGCGGGTTAAGGGGGAGAGGTCTCTGACTCAGCCTGCCTCATGCTGTGACCAGATTTAGAGACCTGAGACCAGATTTAGAGACCAATAAATATTGCATGAATATTTGAGAATGAATAAATGAAACAATGGTCACCTTCAGCAGCATGTCTGTGCACCAGGAGGGGGGTGGGCTGTTGCAGTTGGTACCTCCCCACCAATGCCCTACCTCCTGAAATTCCCAGATCACACCCTGCATCCTGTGTCTCATGTAAATTCCTTCCATTTCAATCCCAGCTGGCTTCTATTCTGCACTCTGGGGCTCCTCTTTACATCTGTCCACATCTGTCAGGAGGCTTAGAGTAGAGGCCTCCTGACACCAGACTGAGCCCTGACAATGGAATCCAAGTGGTGCAGGGTATCCTTGGGTGCAGTGAGGGAAAAGGCATGCAGGCCGACTCTCGTGAAGCCTGCAGTCCATGCAGGGAAGCTGAGCTGCCACCCCCAAGACAAGCCTGGCTGGTGGTGGCAGGCAGTGTGTGGAGATGAGATGGTGCTGGGGAAGAGGCAGCCAGGCAGGGTACTTGTGCAATGTCCAGTACAGGCCTGTGCAGATACAGCATCTGAGGCCAGAGATAATGAATAACAGTCTCTCTCCCCCTGCACACCATCTGATTTGCCTGCATCTAGATCCCTGTCCCTCGAGCCCCATTGCCATCTACCCAGGAATTCCCACCACTTGCTCACAGTTTCCATAGAGCCTCCCATTGGCTGCTCACACCCCAATCATACCCCTGGCAGCTCCCCCTTCCCCTCTGCCTCTGCCTCCAACATCCCCACGCTCTGTTCCTTCCTTGGCTCCTTGGTTTTTGTGAGTCCTCCTCTGCTTGCACACAATTTCCAAGTGTTCAGCCTCCTCTTGGGCCAAAAGTGGGTGGGTTTGGCCTTAGGGCCCTCTTCCCCCAGGCTTCTGAGCCTGCAGTTCTCCCCACTCACACCCAGACATACCCACCCCCTCCACACACACACACATAAACACATATTCTCCAAGCCTGCACCCTCCTTCCCTCTTTCCCCAAGAAAAATTGCCAGGCCCATGAGGACCCCGCTGTTGACTTGGGTCATTTGGTTAACTAGCCACACTTCCGTGCCAACTTATCCCTTAAATTCATAACCTATGAGAATTAAAAGAAGAATTATCTTAGCACTTTGGAGCAGTAAGTATGGATGGAACAAGGGGGCTGCTTCTGTCTGACTGTCATAGAGCTACCCTCTTGGCGCCATCTGTGAGGGGGCTGGGGCTGGAGAGGGAAAGGAAGGAAAGACCTTCACTAAGCTCCCCACTGCAGCTGCTTCAGCCTCTGCCTTGAGTTCTGGGGTCCCCACAAGGCTCACCCTGATCACTGAGGGCGGATCTGAATGATGCTGATAAGGAGCAGGGGAAGGACCTAGGGGCCTTGTGAAGTGAACCAAGTCAACACTTGGCTCTCACCTCTGCACCTTCGACTGCTGGGGGTGCAGAAGGGATGGGGCAGTGGTGCAGGCCATTGTAGCTCAGGGTGGTGGCAGACATGGAGAAGAGAAGCATGGTGCCAGGAGGGGGAGGGCATCATCTCCAGGTGCTCAGATTGTGAGTGTCTGGCAGTCAGAAAGGGAGGGCTAGAGGCCATATGTCAGGATGGGGAGCAGGGTTGGTGGCTCTGGCCAGGAAGATGTCTAGACTCTAGGTCTGCAGAGAAGAACCACTCTGAGCTGACTGAACCCCCAGCCGGGCCCTGGAGAGCAGCCCCAGGCTTCTTGCATCCCTCCCATTGCGTTGGGGACTCATTGTCCTCAGCATCACCGAGATCTGCTGGCTCCTCCCGCACTCTGAGCCCGTCACCCACCTGTTTCCTACTTTTGATTCTGAGTCTGGCTCACCATCAGATAAGCTGACATCTGAAACCCTGGCTTTATGCTGTCCAAAGGAACAAATTAGAGGCTGTTGATTCTCATCACTGCAGAAGTCTTGACTGTAAAAAAGAATTCCCCTTTAGAAATGGAGGCCAGCCCTAATGCACTTAAATATTTTCTTCCAGCTCATTTGCTACGTAAAAGGAGGCTGGAGCAATCCTCCAAACAATCTCGAGCCTAGAGAGATTGGAGCCATTGCCTGCTGAAGTGCCATCAGCCACGAAGCTACAACATCTCCACGCTGAGAACCACAGTCAGGGGGAGGACAGGATTTGACTTTCATGCTATCTGAACTCCAACCCTGCCAATGCACAAAGAGGTACTTGCGACTTTTCAGGAACATGCCAGTCTCATCAGGAATGACGCACCTGTTTTTCCTCTCTCAGTCTGGCCTGTCTTGTGATGACTTTAAAAGCCCAAACGTATGCTCCGGTGGGGACCCTGCTGGCAATGCCCCTCCACTGCTCTGTGGTCCTGCATGTGTCTCTTTGTCTGCCCAGCCCCCCATCCCAGTCGCCTTCTCCAGGGCCCTGTGCTGTCTCCAGTGCCAGCTTTGCTGCCCTGGGATACATCATGCTCTGTCTGGTGGCCCTCTGCTTCCCTTGCCTTAGTTCTTTGCGAGGAGAGGCCTGGCTCAGGTTACACGGGTGCTTAGTGCTGAGGACTGGGGATGGAGTAGAGATGCCCTTCCCTGAGCAGGAGGGGTACAGTAGGCTCTCCTCACACTCCCACTGTGACTGCAGGCTTTGAGCTGGGCCTGCGGAGGGGGAGGAGAAGGGGAAAAAGAGGGGTGCTCAGAGACCGAGGGACACTTGGCCCTGGACCAGGAGTTCTCAGACTCACAAGAGCAAAGTGTATCCCAGGTCAGGAGGCAGTGGAGGAGTGTACGTGGTGGTAGCGGGGTGATGAGAGGCAGCGTGGAGAGGGGTCGGGGGTGGACATTTCAAGTCAGGACAGACTGTGGAGAGGAGGAAGTGTGGTTTTCAGGCTGGAACTTTGACTGGGGACTCTGGCTGGGGACAGCATGCCAGTCCGGGCCAAGGACAAAGTGGTTCTGGGATTCCTGCTTCTAACCCAGGACAGGAGCCAGCGGGAGCAGGACATGTGTACCTGGACCCTTGGCTGGTGGCCACTTCCAGGGACATGCCCTTCCTTGGCTCCAGGAGAAGTCAGGGAGTAGAGAAGTCAGTGAGAGCCCTGAAAGTTTCCAGCACGAGGCTTGAGCAAAATGTGAGGGCAACGAATTTATCCAAATCACAGTGGACAGATGACCTAATGAAGACGGGGGAATTAAAGCACGAAGTGGCAGGCTCTGGACCAGCCACATGGTGTTCGGGCATCCTGGCTGACTTCCCTTCCCTTGAAACCAGCTCTCTCCCCTTTGCTAGTACTGTCCCAATGGCTGGGACCCAGGAGGGTCTGAGTGGTTGTCTATTGGCCAGGGGTCTCCCCACAGCCTCTGGGGGGAGCACCAAGTGTGCAGATCCAGGAGCCCTACCTTCCTCTGGAACACTCTCTGCACCCAGTCTTCTTCTTCCCTGAAGGCACCACCCTGGACTATTTGCCTGTGGTGGTATTGTGCAAGTGTCATGCCTTGCCAATGACACCAGATGGTAGGCTCCCTGAGGATAGGCTGGTATGGTGTATCATTCGTATCTTACATTCGTATCTTTTGCTCCCTCTGTTACCTGCCTGACAGGAGTTTCTGTGGAAAAAGCCTACCCACTTCTTACTGTGGTGGTGGCTCACTTCGTGTTCAGGTCTTGAATAGAGAAATCACCGGCCAGCTACCTGGAGGCAGGAGGTGCCAGCCCCAACCACTGCACCTTTCTGAGAAGCCAGGCAGTGTTCCCAGAGCCACAGCAGGGCCAAAAAGCAAGAGCAGAGAAAGGAGGTGGCCTGCGATGAGAGGCAGGCAGAGCTGGCTGGGCCCCTCGGAGGCTCCTGGGCTGCATGCCATCCTCCTGTTCTGGAGGGTTTGGAACCACTTAGGGCCCTGTGCCCTTGCCCCAGGAAACTCACTGCCCTGCCTTCTCCTTCTTTCTGCTCCCACCTCCCTGTGACTCCAGCCATGGTCCTGGCGTTAGTCCACCTGGTCTTGGCCTTCCCCTTGTGTGGTGCCAGGCAGGCAGCAATGACAGCCAGATCATAGGACTGTGGCAGCTGGAGGTGGGAGCTGGCAGCCCCAGGAGACATTGACACAGAGGACAGGCAGCCTGGGATGGGGCTGCTGGGGCGTGGTTGGGGACCAGGCTAGGGGCGGACATGGGCACTAGTGCCAAGTATTGGCAGGTGAGGGCAAAAGGACTCCCCTTTCCTGAGCTGCAGGGAGGGGTCGGGTCAGGTGCTGTGCTTCCTCCTTTGGTGCCTAGCGGCAGGGAGACTAAAGTGAAGCATGTCCGTGCCTGGGACAGAAAGGAAGGCTGGAGCCAGGATGTAAGAGAACCAAGTCTCTGGGGGTGGGATGGAGGCTATGGGGAGGGCATCCTGTGCAGGGGAGGAGACCAGCCAGGACCTTGGGGTTAGGGAGGAGAAGACCAGCCCAGCCCGGCTGGGCCCGGCCCTGCCTGGGGGAGGCTGCCTCTGCTCACACATGCAGGCCGAAAGGAGCAACAGCTGGGCTCCATGCCGCCACCCCCTCCGCGCACTCCTGCCTATGCAACAAGTGTCACGTCTGCATGTTGGCACATCATCCCCGGTTTCCCGCGCCCCTGGACTGGCGGGAGGCTCCCAGCCTTCAGGGACCAGAAGACGTTCAACATGGGAGCCCAGCCCACTCGACTCTGGTCAGTTCCTTCCATCGATCCACGAGGGAGCGGGCATGTCCCCCGCCTCCACCTCTACCACGCGGGGTGCAGGGCGTGGGACACGCGGCGCACACCTGTGGTCCTGAGCTCCTGGGACTGCGAGCGACGGTTAGGAGGGACAAGGTGACGGGCAGGTGATGCCAAAGGCCGAGTTGAGCCCCGCAAAAGAAGCAGTCCTTGTGGCCAGCCGCCCCATGGCTCGGGGCGCTCTGTCAATCTGCTGCCTGGCGCTGGCCGGCGCGTGGCTGCTACTGCACGGCTCGCGCCGGGCTCCCCGGGAGGCGGGGAGAGTGCGAATAGGGCGGAGGGAAAGGAGCACGCCGGCTGCAGCCCGGGCGAGCGGGAGGGCGCGCACTCACCTCCACACACCGCGGTCAAGGAGAGCCAGAGCAGCAGGAGCGCCTGCACGCAGAGCCGCAGATTCATGCTGCTCCTTGGGCCGCCGCGGCCCCGGCGAGCCGGCGCGGGGGAGGAGAGGTCGGGCGCCCGGAGGCCAAGAAAGGCGCGAGCCGCGGCTGGCGCGTGCGGGCGCAGAGCTCGGGAGGCTCCCCGGCCGCTGAGTGTGCGCGCTGAGCCCCGCCGCTCCCGCTGGCCGCCTCCGCTCTTCTGCAGCCTCCTCTCCCGCCGCGGGGCAGCGCCGCGAAGCTGGCCTCGGCGGCTCCGGGAGCGGCAGCGGCGAGCTCTTTCTTAGCGGCTGGCTGCTCGGCCGCGGCTGCAACTGCCCGTGACCCCGGCTGCCAGAGAGAATGCTCCCCGCTCACTCCAGGGGCTGCATTTTGTAGCTTGTGGCTTGGCCGCGAGCCCACTTGGTCATGTGGTCATCGGGAGGGCTAGAGGGGGGGCAGGAAGAGGGAGAGGGAGCGAGCCTCCCGCACCGCCCCCCTCCAGGCACGCACTCTGCAGCCCCAGCCCGAGCGTGAGCGCGAGAGGGAACCCCGAGGTGGCCCCACAACAAAGGCTGCGCGGCCTCTCTGACAACCTACAACCGCTCCCCGGACAATGCCCGCCTGGCCGGGGGCCAGAGGGTTTGCAGAGACCTGAAGGATTTCAAACACAGGAAGCATTTGGGGCGGTGGAGGGGCACACTTAACCCTTTCTCACCTTGCTTCCTTAACAGCTGTCAGGAAACCTGGGCGCTTAGGGAAGGACTCAGTCTGGGTTGCCTTCACTCACGCCCTCTACCTCTGACCCTGGTCCTTGCCCTTGCCGCTGGCCAGCTTCAAGGGTTTGGTCAAGACAACCAAACACTGGCCCTCCTCTCTCCTCTGCATTTTCAACTGGCTTTGAATTGGGGGTGACTGCCTAGGCTTGTGCCCAAGGCTTGATTAATTGCCCAGGCCCCTCATGTTCCCTGCATCCCCCAGGAGGCACCCTCTACCTGGAATGCCCCCACCCCACCCTTCCGTGAGCAATTCATTCTTTGCAGCAGCACCTCAAATCCCATCGCATCCAGAAGCCTTCTCAGGATAACACTAATCCAGCAGGGGCCGCCCATCAGCTCCTCCCCACTGTTGGGACATGGGACAGCTCCTATGGTCTACCCTTTCTTGTTCCCTGGAGCTGTCCTCATTCTAGTTCCCCATCAACGTAAGAGGCAGGTGGTTTACCCAACTCCACACAGTCAAGGCTGGATTCATTTTGCGTGTACTTGCGATTCCGCTTTAGAAGCGGGTCCTGAAGTTGTTTGCCTTTCCAGACTCGATTGTTAGCTGCTTCTATAGCTTGGGAGCTCCCAAGGCATGGGGCTGCTTCCCTCATTGGACTGGGAACCCCCTAAGGTAGGATACTGTCTTCTCACTCTTCTGGATCTCTCCAAAGTCCCCAATATCTTGCTCTGCACATAGGTGGCACTCAACACATATTAAAAGACTGAATCGAAAGGTGTCTCCACCTTTCAGCAAGCCAGGCAGTTTGCTTGAAGTGTTAAGTCCAGATTTACACAAAAGATACATTGGACAGGGTGCGTGTGTGCCATAAAAGACATGAGAGACCATGGCATATTTAAAATATCTTTGAAATGTTGCAAAAATCCTATATATACACAATGTATTTATTATCAGTCTCTCTCCACCAGAAGGGTTACCTCCACAAGGGAGGGATCTTTGCTTTGTTCACAGCTGTGTCCCCAGACCTAGAACAGTACCTGCGACATGACTGGTACTCAATACATAATTTTGAATATATAAATGAAATTTTCAAAAACATCTTTACTGCCTAAATTCAGGTAGCAGGAAGGGAATAAGATAAGGTTCTCATTAATAGCCTATGGCCCATTAACCACACTCAAGTAAAAAAAAAAAGCATGTGAAGCATGGCACCCCTCTTCATCCTTGAGACCCAGGATATGAGTAGCAGACATGGGTAGCAGGAGACCATTCTCCCTTCACTGTTCCCCTGGAAAGAGTTTGCTTTCTTTCTCTTTTCTTTTTCTTTTTTTCTTTTTTCTTTCTTTCTTCTTTTTTTTTTTTTTTTTTTTGAGACCGAGTTTTGCTCTGTCGCTCAAGCTGGAGTGCAATACCCTATCTCAGCTCACTGCAACCTCCGCCTCCCAGGTTCAAGCGATTCTCCTGCCTCAGCCTCCTGAGTAGCTGGGATTACAGGCATGCGCCACCATGCCCGACTAATTTTGTATTTTTAGTAGAGACGGGGTTTCACCAGGTTGGTCAGGCTGGTCTCGAACTCCTGACCTCAGATGATCCACCCGCCTCGGCCTCCCAAAGTGTTGGGATTACAGGCGTTAGCCACCACGCCTGGATGGAAAGCATTTTCTAACCAGGAGGAGAAACACCTGGCTTCTAGTCTCCACCCTCATTTGCTGTAGGGCCTTGCCATCATCACCTAAACTTACTGGGGTTCATGGAGGTGATAATCTCTGCTCTACCCACTTCAAAGTTGTTATGGGATTAAGTGAGATAATGTGCCTGAAGGTACCGTGCAAATTAAGAATAAGCTCTTGCAGGGTTGTTTTTAGGAAACTTGGTGCTCCAATCCTTGATTGGGCAAGCCCATGCACACCCAAATAAGTGTCCCCCATAACTAGGTTAATAGAAGCCTTCATATTTAATTGCACCTTTACTAGGGTGTGTATGGCATATTGCTAAGTGGTTGGAACACATAGCGCTTTCTAATACAATAGCCACTAATCATATTTCCAATGAAGTTTAAAATTCAGTTCCTCAGTTCCACTGGCCACGCTTCAATTGCCTATATGTGGCTAGTGGCTACTGTATTGGACAGCACAGAATAGAATCTTCAATCACTGCAGAAAGTTCTATTGGTTAGAGCATTCATTCATTCTTCTTTTTTCTATAATCCATTTTCCCACCCTACCTAGCCTTCAAAATGTACAAGGTGAGGGGAAAAAAAGCATAAAAGCAAACCAATAGAAATTCAAGCCAAGCTGAAGGCATGCGTTTAGAGTAAGATTTAAAGATCTGACACTTGGGAGAATCATTTTTTAATTGAATCCTTCTCTTCATTTAACCAAATTACATCCATTTTTTTTTAGAGGCAGGGTCTTGCTCTGTTACCCTAGGCTGAAGTGCAGTAGTGCAATCACAGCCCAATGCAGGCTCAAACTTCTAGGCTCAAGTGATCCTCCCACCTCAGCCTCCCAAGTAGCTGGGACTACAGACATGCACCACCATACCAGGCTAATTTTTAAATTTATTTATATTTTTTGTAGAGACTGAGTCTTACTATGTTTCTCAGGCTGGTCTTAAACTCCTGGTCTCAAGCAATCCTCCCATCTCGGCCTCCCAAAGTGCTGGGATTACAAGTGTGAGTCACCATGCCTGGCCACATCTGTTTTCGTAGTCCCAGATCCAAGATTTCATCTTTCTTTCTCAGGACACCCTTGCCCACAGTGACTTTGCCCTCTCCATAACAGCTATGGCTGTACCTGTCATTGGTAGGTCCTCTCACAGTGCATCAGGAACACTTTTGCATCTGCACACTGTGCTCTACGGGCCTGCTGTAATTCTGCAGA
This sequence comes from Homo sapiens, assembly GCF_000001405.40. Taxonomy (NCBI): domain Eukaryota; kingdom Metazoa; phylum Chordata; class Mammalia; order Primates; family Hominidae; genus Homo; species Homo sapiens. The sequence goes on from NC_000023.11 coordinate 129,658,193, forward strand.
GAGGACCCATCACCACCATATCCATTCAGGGGTCAAGGCCCATGAGGCAAGGAACGCAGCTCTGATTGCCCACTCTGAACCCCTTGTAGGCTCCCAGATATCTTAATATCAGATTGAAATGACCAGTTTTCGAATATCTGTATCTATTTGCCAGACTTTAAGGTCACTGCTGTGATAGCACCTAGCACAATGCCTGGCACATAATTGATACTTCATAACTGCCTGTCAGGTGAGCAACTGTCGGCCCAACACTGTGCTGTCTTTTGTTCAGGATACTATTGAATGAATATCAGCAGGATAAATGTTTTAAGGCATAAGTCTCCAATCCCTGGGCCATGGACCACTATGGCTCCCTGTTCTATTAGGAACCAGGCCTCACAGCAGGAGGTGAGCAGCAGATGGGCCAGCGAAGCATCATCTGTATTTACAGCCGCTCTCCATTGCTCCCATTACCACCTGAGCTCCACCTTCTGTCAGATCAGCAGTGGCGTTACATTGTCATAGGAGCACGAACCCTATTGTAAACTGCATGTGTGAGGGATCTAGGTTGCATGTTCTTTATGAGAATCTAATGCCTGATGATCTGTCACTGTCTCTCATCACCCCCAGATGGGACCATCTAGTTGTAGGAAAACAAACTCAGGGCTCCCACTGATTCTACATTGTGGTGAGTTGTAGCATTATTTCATTATATATTACAAAAAAAAAATAGAAATAAAGTGCACAATAAATATAATGCACTTGAGTCATCCTGAAACCATCCCTCCTAACCCTAGTCCATGGAAAAGTTGTCTTTCATGAAACCAATCCCTGATGCCAAAAATGTGGGGACCACTGTTTCAAGGTATTTCTCTGGAGATGGGAAGGAGGTACATGAAACTGTCCACACTCTCCTGCCCTGAGGCAGCAAGTAGCTGTAAAATTTCTGGAAATGTTGCTGCATTTGGGGCTCAGGACCTGTGGTCAGCAGCAAGACTCAGTTTCCAGTCAAGGTGAGGGACAATCCTGGGGGCAAGGGTAGGACTCAGTGCATTGTTGGGGACAGAAGTGAGATAGCTGACCTATGTGAGTTCAAAGTGTGACTTGCCCCCCTCATCAGAGCTATCCACATGCTATTCAGTTCTGCTTATTGTCCTATGTCACCACCAGCCACTGCTGTTCAGTTGACTCATCCACGTCTCTTGTGGGTTAAAGTGAACAGTGTGAGGCATTAAAAAGAACTCAGCTTTTGGAGTTTCACATAACTGAATTCAAATCCTGCCCCTCAACCCCATTCGTTAGCTGTGTGACCTTGGGCAAGTTATTCAGCTTCTCTGAGGCTCAGTTTTTTCCTCTGTTAAATGAGGATAATAATGGTACCTAATTTTTTAAGTGCTAAGGTTTGAATGTATGTGTCCCTCCAAAATTCATATGTTTAATTTTTTTGTTTTTGTTTTTGGAGATGGAGTTTCACTCTTGTTGCCCAGGCTATAGTGCAATGGTACGATCTTGGCTCACCGTAACCTCTGCCTCCCGGGTTCAAGTGATTCCCCTGCCTCAGCCTCCAGAGTAGCTGGGATTACACGCATGTGCCACCACATCCGGCTAATTTTTTATATTTTTAGTAGAGATGGGGTTTCTCCATGTTGGTCAGGCTGGTCTCAAACTCCTGACCTCAGGTGATCCCCCCGCCTTGGCCTCCCAAAGTGCTGTGATTACAGGCGTGAGCCACCACGCCTGGCCTCATATGTTGAAATTAAAAGCCCAAGGTGATGTGTTAAGAGGAAGGGCCTTTTGAGATTGATTAAGTCATGAGGGTTCCACCCTCATGAATTAATTAGTGCTCTTATAAAAGAAGTTGGAAGGGGCACCCTAGTTCCCTTTTTGCCCTTCTGTCCCTTATGTCATATGAGGACACAGTGTTTGAACGCTCCAGAGGAAGCAGCATTCAAGACACCATCTAGTAAGCACAGACTGGGCCCTCATCAGACACAGAAACTGCCAGCACCTTGATCTCAGACTTCCCAGCCTCCAGAACTGTAAGAAATAAATTTGGATTATTTATAATTATCCAGTCTCGAGTATTCTGTTATAGCAACAGGAATGGACAAAGACATTATGGTTGGGAGATTAAATGAGATAATGTGTGTAAAATACTTAGCACAGTCCCCTGCTCATTGGATGTTAGTTTTCTCCTCTTCCTGACCTGCTTCTCCCCCCACCTTTGGGTCTATCCTCTGGCCTTCTGAAACTGATCAGGAAGAAAGGGCTCTGATATGGTTTGGATCTGTGTCCCCACCAAATCTCCTGTAGAATTATAATCCCAAGTGTTGGAGGTGGTGTCTGGTGGGAGGTGACTGGATCATGGGGGCAGAGTTCTCATGAGACTGGGTAATTTATAAAGAAAAGAGTTTTAATTGACTCACGGTTCCACATGGCTGGGGAGGCCTCAGGAGACTTGCAATTATGGTGGAAGCCAAAGGGGAAGCCAGGCACATCTTACAAGGCAGCAGGAGAAAGAGAGAGGGAGGGGGAACTGCCAAACACTTTTAAACCATCAGATCTTATGAGAACTCACTCACTATCATGAGAACAGCATGGGGGAAACGACCCCATGATCAAATCACCTCCCACCAGGTCCCTCCCTCAACATGTGGGGATTACAATTCAAGATGAGATTTGGGTGGGGACACAGAACCAAACTATATCACTGCCTAACCTCAAAGCCCACACTCTTTCCTCACTGAACATCAAGAAGCAGTTTCTCGGGAGGCTGAGGCCGGGGAATGGCGTGAACCCAGGAGGCGGAGCTTGCAGTGAGCCGAGATCGCGCCACTGCACTCCAGACTGGGTGACAGAGTGAGACTCTGTCTCCAAAAAAAAAAAAGAAGCAGTTTCTCACTTTTTGGGTCCACCTATCACTTTATTTGAACTTCTAGCACCTAACTCATACTGTCTTGAATTAGGAAGCCATGAAGTACATAGTGGTTAAGCACATGGGTTCTAGAATAAGGCAGCTCTGTCTCTTACTACATAGGTAACTTTGAGCAAATTATTAACCTTTCTGAGCCTTAGGTGCCTCATCAGAAAAAAGGGCTAGCACCTAGCTCCCATTGTTACTGAAAGGATTAAAAGAATCAATACCTATAAAGTACTCGGCACTGAGTTTGGTTCTTATAGTAAGGGAAGCATTGTGTAAATGTTACATATTCCCATGGGTATTTGTATATATCTCTGACTTATATGAGATAGTAACACTATGTCTTATTCGTTTTTATATTCTCACCAGCAGTGCTGTTGCCCAAAGCAAATACTCAATAAATGTTTGTTGAATGAAAGAAGGAATTGTATATTCTTGTTAATAATTGCTCTAGGTTTATGATCCATATCAAGTGTCTCTATTTGGGCAAAATCATCACAACTTGTCCAACTGGTTCTTAGATGGGTCAACACTAACAGCTAACAGACATACACAAAGATGTGACCATCTTCCCTCTCCTCATTGTGTAGTAGTTGTTTTTACTGGATCAATGCAAAAAGTGGAGTGGGGAGAGGACATCTGAAGAAGGATGACCCTGGCCAGCAATCAGAGAGATTTCATAACAGCAAGAGCCCCAACCCCCTCATTATGCAGATGGAGAAACTGAGGTCCAGAAAGGAAAAGTGACTTACCCAAAGCTACACAGAAAGCTGGTGGCAAAGTCAGGACGGAGCCTAGGTTCAACTAAATCCCAACTCCTATTTTTCCTTCTGTGTCTTCCCAGCATAGAAGTAGCGCTCACTGGCCAAGCAGTCCCCTAGCTGGCTGCATAGGCACAACAAAATGACTGTGGTTAGGCACAGGATTCTCATTCCATAGGCCAGCGCTTTTGGAGCATCTCAGAATGAGTCTTCCCATTGTCACTCATCTAATTTGTTCCTTAAGACATAAGCTAAATTAATGAGCAAAAGAAGTTCAGTAGCAGCAACATCGGGAAAAAGTATTTAAGAAGAACTTCAAAGCTTACCCTGCCTCTGAAGCTACTTAACAGGAACTTGGGGGAAAAAAGCATGGGCCAGCTGCTAGTTGATGCCTCACTAACTAGCTTCATGACAAATTATCTTTGCTCAGTTAACCACCACAAGAGAACATGAATTTTTCACTCTCTCATTACTGAGTATTTGTCTTTCTGATACTAACGGCTAGAGTTGAGCTTTCTAACTCATCTATAACCACCAGAGCAGCCAGCACAATGCTTGCCATAGAGTAGTAGATGCTTAAGCCATATTCATGGGTTCACTTTCCCATTCTGGGTGTGAGACCATTTAAATCAGAGACATGATGTTCATTATGTGAAACTTAGCCTGGAACTTATTCTGTGAATCAAAAGATCCTAATAATCATTTTGAGGGAATAATCTCTTTGTTGGACTTTGCTGGGGTTTCTTCTTCAGCTAACTGTGTGATTCTTGTCTTGATGTCCAATACCTCTTAATTCTGATCACCAGCTAGGTCCTAAGCCTGGCCACAGACCGAGATCTTGTCTTTCACACTTGCCCTCTTCCCAAGCACACAGAGTCAAATACTAACCATCACACGGTATCAGGTTTGCAAAAATTAGAGAAGTAGCCATTTTGCAGCATAACCACATTATCTCTATTCACATCTCAAGTGTTTAATACTATATTCAAGTCACTACATGCTAATTCCTTCCATGGGACACCTTTCAGCCACTGCCACATGGGCTCCAACTGCCCTGGAAATGCTTATTCCATTTCTCTGTTTCTTCCAACTTCTTTGCAAACTACATACCTTCTCAGATCGTCTGATATATTCAAGGAACACCAGGGGTTCCCACAGATACGCCTTCCTTGACACAACACCCAAGTTCCTGAAAAATGTTGTCAGTGGAATTCAGATAATCAGCTATATTTCAAATGTCTTTGAAGGGTTCACAGTTTATTAGCTGAATAAGTCCTAAGAGAGATTCTCTGAGGTGAAGAACTGTTCCTCTGTTCCTGCCCCCAGCCCAGCCCAGCTCCACAGAATTACCCCCTTTTCCCTACATCCTGCTTCATTCCTTCTGATCCTCTCCCATAGCCACACAGGTCCCCATTCCTCCTGTTTGTCTTTCAGAGCAGTTTCATTTCCTCTGCATATCCTCTATGACGTCTCCCAGGAGCCTCCATCCTTCCTCTCCCCTACGGTCTATAAATACCCTGGTCTCCCAGGGGAGGCATGTGAATTCCTTCCTTACGCAGCAAGGCCCTGTGAGTTAGGATAGCCACTCCCAAAGGAGCAGGTTTATCTCCAAAGTCCATTGAACCTTTCTTCCTCTTGCTTTGCTGGTTAATATTATCTGGGCTTATATCATGTAAGATATTATATGTCTCAAATCTGGCACCTTTGTTTGCAGAGCCAGGGCAAAGACTGTTGAGGACACGGTATTGAGTCTATGACCAGTTCCGTTATGGGCTTAGAGTTCTGGGATAATAAGGTCAAAGTCAGAGAGATAATGAGGTCAGCTTTGTTCTATCCCAAACTCAAGTTTGGATTGACACCAGTCACTACCTGAATCCTAACCATGGCCACAGACTGAGATCTTTTGAGGTTCTTACTTTTTGACTTTCATACATTTCCCATACACATAAAGAGAGAGTCAAATATTGTACTAAAATTTAAAAGGTAACACTTCTGGAGAAAAAAGAAAGAAAACTAGCCATCTTACAGCAAAACTCCATGTGTTAATTTCTCAGGGCTGCTATGACAGATTACCACAAACTTCGTGGCTTAAAACAACAGTTTATTTCTTCTCACTTCTGGAAGCCAGAAATCTGAAATCAAGAAAGCTCTAGGGTGAGAAGTTTATGATAAATTAGTGAAGTGATAGATGTGTAAATTAGTTTGATTGAATCTTTCTACAATGTATGCATAGATCAAAACCTCACATTGTACCCTATAAACATGCACAATTATCATTTGTCAATTAAAAATAAATAAAGATAAAATGAAAGTGTAAGGGAGGATTCTTCCTTGCCTCTTTCATCCCCTGGTGGCTCCAGGCATTCTTTGACTTAGGGCTGCATCCCTCCAATCTCTGCCTCCATCTTCATCTTCACATGACCTGACCCTTTTGTCTATGTGATATCCTTCTGCCTCTCTAGGGTCTCACTCTGTTGCCCAGGCTGGAGTGCAGTGGTGTGATCATAGCTCACCATAACCTAGAACTCCTGGCCTCAAGCAATCCCCCTGGCTCAGCCTCTTCAGTAGCTGTAGCTACAAGCACCACCACAACCAGCTGATTTTTTATTTTTTATTTTTTTTGTAAAGACGGGTCTTGCCGTGTTACCCAGGCTGTTCTCAAACTCCTGGCCTCAAGTGATCCTCCCACTTTGACCTCCCAAAGTGCTTGGATTATAGGCGTGGCTGCCTCACTCTTATAAAGATTGTCAGCAATGGATTTAGGGCCCACTTGGATAATCCAGTATGTCTCTCTTGAGATCCTTAAACTTCTTACACCTGCAAAGACCATTTTTAAATGAGGTGTCAAATTTACAGGTTCCAGGGGTTAGGACATAGACATATCTTTTCGGGGGCTACTGTTCAACCCATTACACCCCACTACCTCCATTTACATTTCTGGCATGCTGGAATCAACACAGCATGAACTTTCTGCCAATTTAACCTCCAAATATCTGTCAAATCTACACGTCTCTATGTTTCTGCTGCCCTATTCTTGTTCCAGCCCTGTCATTCCTCACACATCATTCTCCATAGCAACCAGAATGGTTATGCCAGTTGGCTTGAAAACCTTCTGTGGCTCATGGCTCTTAGGACAAGACCAAACTCTTAACCATGGCATGCAAGGCCCTGCATAATCTAGCCCCTACCCACTTCGCCAGCCTCTTCTCTTGCCTCTTATCCTCTTTCTATCTGCAATGCCATGTCCCTCCTGTCACAGTGCCTTCCCAATACTTTTTCCTCCTACTGAATGATTCTCTGCTCTACCCTGTCTTCTCCTGGCTAATGCCTATCATCAATCAGCTCATCTCTAATGTCAAATCACTCCTCCTCAAGAGATGTTTTCCTTGGCCCTCAGACTGGCTGAAATTCCCCTGTAATCGCTTCTCATAGTTCACAATTCAGTTTGTGTTCAGTTAATGTCTGGCTCACCCCATCCACCCCTCACTGTCCAACTAGACTGAACTCCATAAGGGCAGGGGCCATGGCTGTCTGGTTTCATGACTGTGTCCTCAGCATCTAGCCAGTGTCTAACTCATAGTAGGTGTTCAATCATTTTCCCAATCAATGCATATATGAATGAATGAATGAATAGGTCTGAACATCTGTGCTTTGCTCCCTCAAGTTCTTCTAAAAAATGAGAAAACAATGTTTCACTCCCAGGGTTGAATAAGAATCAAAACAAGAGAATGAAAGGGAAGGAGCTTTATAAACCATGAAACGCCTTACTAATTTGAGGAATCATTACAATACTGGCCAATGTAACCATTCTTCTGGGGGAGTGGGAAGTGCACTGTGCACGACTTAGGGGTAGCAGGAGGAACAAGGGTGGAGGTGGGGAAGGATACTTGAGTTCTACATTCCTCTGGATAAGAAGAATTTCTGTGGCTCTGCTATGTAGGATAAAATTACAAGAACATTCAATTCCCCTGCTTCAGGCTTGAAGCTTATAACTGATCACCCTCTGGGATCAAGAAGAAAATGCCATTCTGCTCAGGTGTAAATATTGCCCGGAGTCACCTCGGGTATTTAGGATTTTGACTGTCTTCCTTTAAAGCATCTGACCCAGGTGCAGGCTGAGGATAGGGTGACAGCCTCCTGGGCTGGATCCCTCTTGGCTGGTGCTTCCCATGAGGTGATCCATCAGCCGTGGCACTTGCTTAAGGCACTGCCCAGCTGACAAACGGCTTTGAAGTGTGCCTTTTGGCTTTGCATTCTTCCACTTCCTGGCCTTCTTGGCTTTCACTGTTAGCAGGCAGGCGGAGGGGTTGGCGGGGCTGGGTGGGGGGGCGGGGGAGGTGGTATCACCTCCTTCCTCTTGCTCCTCTAGCACGTCCATCTAAAAAACATCCCAGGAGGCTTGACATTCCAGGTCTTTAGTTTCTTACATTTGATTTCCCTAGACCCCATCAAGTCATAATCTCCTTCCTGCAGGGAAGGGATACTTCCACCTCTTCCTCCATATCCTCTTAGCTCCTTGCATTTGGGTCAAGAGACCTAAAAAGGCCATTTCTTATTTCCATCTTGTCTTCCATTGTTTTATCCCCTGGGATATCTCTGCATTCATGGCCCTGAGATGCCTCACTGGTCTGGAATGCTCAGGGCAAGCCGATCCTCTGAATCATAGACAAAGAAACTGGAAAGAGGAGTGCTCATTAGGCTGTCATTTCCCCAGTTTCCTCCACTGACCTGGATGTCTTTCCACTGGTTTGGTGGTGTGCTTCCCCACTCTGTCCCACTGGATTTTGAGGTTCAGTCTACACAGCCCCAGAGAGGTGAATAACAAAAGCATGTCTACGCATAATCCAAGCAAAATCCTCAGTTTTGTCTCAATGATTTGGGCATCCCAGTACAAAGGACTACTTCAGTAGCAGGCTTTGGGATAATTTTCTCTAATAGTTACCACAGAATTGAAGCTGGAAAGGACCTTGAAGTTTATCTGTTCAAAGACACCCTCCTTTTTTGTTTATAGCGCTATAGAGGTATAATTGACATACAATACCTGCACAAGTTTCATGCAGTGTACAAAAGTGTACAATTTGCTAAGCTTTTACATATACATACTCTCATGAAACCATCACCACTATCAAGTTTTCATCAATCCCTACAGTTTCCTTCTGCCTCTTTGTAAACTCTCCATCCAGCCCCTCCCCTCTGCTCCATCTCCAAGCAATCACTTGGGGATAATGCTTTCAAGCAGTCACCTGGGGATGGAGGAGAGGGGAGGGGCTGGAGGGAGGGTTTACTTGTTAATATATAGTTTGCATTTTCTAGAATTTTTAATAAACAGAATAACACAATACGTACTCTGTTTTTGCTGGCTTCTTTCACACAGAAAAATTATTTTGGGATTTATTCCTGCTGTTGTATGTATTAACAGTGTTTTGTGTATCAGCAGGTCATTACTTTTGAATGGCTGAGTGGTTTCCACCATATTTTGTTTATTCATTCATGTGTTGATGCACATGGATGGTTTTTTTTTTCTAGATGTTGGCTATTGCCAATAAAACTGCTATGAATATTCATATACAAGTCTCTGTATGGACAAAGACTTTCATTTCCCTTGGGAAAATACCTAGGAGTGGAATGCTAAGCCATATGGTAGATGTCTGTTTAACTTTTATAACACTACCAAACCATTTTTCAAAATGGTCATACCATTTAACATTCTCACCAGTAGTGTATGAGAATTCCAGTTCCTCCATATCCTCACCAACACTTGGTGTGGTCAGTCTTTTGTTTGTTTTCTTTATTGTGGTGAAAGGTATATATAACAAAATTTACCATTTAGACCTTTTTAAGAAGACTTCATTTACATATTTTTTAATTGTAGGTAATTACACATAACAAATTTTAACTGTTGTTAAGTTTATATTTTGTCAGCATTAAGTATATTCACATTGCTCTGCAACCATTACCACCATCCATCTCCACACCTTTTTCACCTTTCCAAACTGAAACACTGTACCCATTAAACATTAACTTTCCATTTGCGCCTTCCCCAGCCCCTGGCAACCACCATTCTACTTTCTGTCTCTATGACTGTAACTACTCTACTACCTCACATAATTGGAATAGTACTTCAGTCAGTCTTTTTAACTTTAGCCATTCGAATAGATCTGTAGTGGTATCTCACTGTGGTTTTAATTTTTATCTCCTTAATGGCTAATGAGGAAAGCATCTTTATATGTGTTTATTTGCCATCCAGATATCTTATTTGGTGAATTGTCTGTTCAAATATTTAGTCCATTTTTTATTGGTTGGTTTTCTTAGTATTGAATTATTTTAACAACTTTATTGAGATATAATTCACATACCATACAATTCACCAGTTTAAAGTGTACAATTCAATGGTTTTTAGTATAGTTACAGAGTTGTGCAACCATCACCATAATCTAATATTAGAACATTTTTATTATCCCAGAAGGAAACTCCATATCCATTACCAGTCACTTCCCATTCCCCTACCCTTCCATCCCCTGGCAACCAATAACCTTCTTTCTGTCCCTATAGATTTGCCTTTTCTGAACATTCGTATGAATGGAGTCATACAATGTTGGCCTTTTGTGTCTGGCTTCTTTCACTAGCATAATGCTTTCAAGGTTCATCCATGTTGTGGCATGTATGAGAAATTTATCCCCTTTTACTGCCAAATCATATCCAATTGTTTGGATATGCCACATTTTATCTATCCATTTATCAGTTGATGGATATTTGGGTTGTTTTTATTTTTGACTATTATGAATAATGCTCTATGAACATTTGTGTACATATTTTTGTGTGGATGTATGTCTTCAATTCTCTCAGGAATATACCTACAAATATGTACTTGGGCCATATGACAACTCCATGTTTAACCATTTGAAGAACTGCTAAACTGTTTTCCATAGCAACAGTACCACTTTCCATTCCCACCAGCAATGTATGAGGGTTCCAATTTCTCTATATCCTACCCAAACACTTATTTCTGTTTTTGTTTTTATTATAGCCATTCTAGTGTGTGTGAAGAGGTATTTCATTGTGGTTTTGATTTTCATTTCCCTTATGACTAATGATGTTTTATGTGCTTGTTGGTCTTTTGTGTATCTTTGGAGAAATGAGCCTTTGCCCACTTTTTGATTGGGTTGTCTTTTTATTGTTGAGTTGTAAGAGTTCATTACATGTTTTGGATACTAGGCTCTTATCAGATATATGATTTGTAATTTTTTCTCTTATTCCATGGGTTGTCTTTTTTCTTTTTCACTTTCTTAATAGTGTTCTTTGATGCACAAAAGTTCTTCATTTTGATGAAGTGAAATTTATCTGTATTTTCCTTGGTGCTTTTGGTGTTATATCTAAGAAACAACTAATCTAAGAGCACACAGATTTATACCTATGTTCTAAGACTTTTATAGTTTGACCTCACGTTTAGGTCTATGCTCTATTTTGAGTACATTTTTATGTGTGATGTAGGAAAGGAGATCAACTTCATTGTTTTGCATGTGGATATCCACTTGTCCCAGCACCATTTGTTGAAAAGACTATTCTTTCTCTCATTGAATTGTAAACAGTATTGTTTCTAAATTTCAGTTTCCAATTGTTTGTTGCTAGCATATAGAAATAAAGTTGACTTATATATATTAATTTTGTACCCAGAAACCTTGCTAATGTCATGTATTAGTTCTAGTAGATTTCTTGTAGATCCTTCTAGATTTTCTATATACATGATCATGTTATCTACAAATAAAGACAGTTTTACTGTTTTACTTCTTCCTTTTTTATCTAGATGCCTCTTATTTCATTTTCTTGCCTCATTGCACTGGCTAGAACTTCCAGTAAAATATCGAATAAGGGCAGACATTTTTTGTCTATCTCCTGATCTTAGGGGGAAAGAATTCAGTAGTCAACCGTTACATGTTAACTGTGGGTTTTTCATAATACACTTCCTCAAGTTGAGATTGTTTCCTTCTATTCCTAGTTTGTTGAGAGTTTTTCTTAAAAAGGATGTTGGATTTTGTCAAGTGCTTTTTCTGCATCTACTGAGATAATCCTATGGTTTTTTTCTCTCCTTTTGTTTATTAATGTGGCAAATTACATTGCTTGATTTTCAAATGTTAAGCCGACTTTGCCTTGCTGGGATAAACCCCACTTGATCGTGGGTGTATCCTCCTATTTCTATATTGTTAGATTTGATTTGCTACAATTTTAGCATAGATGTTTATAAGGGATACTGCTCTGTAGTTTTCTCATAACATCTTTTTCCTTTTTTATTATCAGGGTAATGCTAGTAATAAACATAGCTAAAATGAAAAGGGAAATATTTCTTCCTTTTCAATTTTCTGGAACAGTTTGTATAAAATTGGTATTATTTCTGCTTAAAATATTTTGTAGAATTTACCAATAAAGTCATCTGACCCTGAAGTTATATTTGTAGAAAGGTTTTTAGCCACAAAGTCATTTTTTAAATAGAAGGCTATTCATAGTGCCTGTTCTTCCTGAGTGAGTTTAGGTGTTTTGTGTCTTTCAAAAAATTTTCCATTTCATCTAAGTTGTCAAATTTACTGGCAAAAAGTTGTTCATAATATTCCCTTAGTATTCTTTTAATATTTGGAGAATCTGTAGTTATGTCACCCCTGTCATTCTTCAAACTGGTAATTTGTGTCTTCTTTCTTCTTTTCCTGATTAGCCTGGCTAAAAATATATCAATTTTATTGATTATCTCTAAGAACTTCAGATGTTCTCTAAGAACTTTCAACTCTAAGCTTTTGGCTTAATTCGTTTTCTCTATTGTTTGTTTCTTTTCTATTTCTTTAATTTCTGCTTTGATTTTTATTATTTTCTTTCTTCTACTTTGGGTTTAATTTCTTTATCTCTTTCTAGTTTCTTTTTTTTATTATTATACTTTAAGTTCTAGGGTACATGTGTACACAACGTGCAGATTTGTTACATATGTATACATGTGCCATGTTGGTGTGCTGCACCCATTAACTCGTCATTTACATTAGGTAATCTCCTAATGCTATCCCTCCCCCCTCCCCCAACTCCACGACAGGCCCCAGTGTGTGATGTTCCCCACCCTGTGTCCAAGTGTTCTCATTGGTCAATTCCCACCTATGAGTGAGAACATGTGGTGTTTGGTTTTCCGTCCTTGCGATAGTTTGCTCATAAAGATGGTTTCCAGCTTCATCCATGTCCCTATAAAGGACATGAACTCATCATTTTTTATGGCTGCATAGTATTCCATGGTGTATATGTGCCACATTTTCTTAATCCAGTCTATCATTGATGGACATTTGGGTTGGTTCCAAGTCTTTGCTATTGTGAATAGTGCCGCAATAAACATACTTGTGCATGTGTCTTTATAGTAGCATGATTTATAATCCTTTGGGTATATACCCAGTAATGGGATCGCTGGGTCAAATGGTATTTCTAGTTCTAGATCCTTGAGGAATCACCACACTGTCTTCCACAATGGTTGAACTAGTTTACACTCCCACCAACAGTGTAAAAATATTCCTATTTCTCCACATCCTCTCCAGCACCTGTTGTTTCCTGACTTTTTAATGATCGCCATTCTAACTGGTGTGAGATGGTATCTCATTGTGGTTTTGATTTGCATTTCTCTGATGGCCAGTGATGATGAGCTTTTTTTCATGTGTCTGCTGGCTGCATAAATGTCTTCTTTTGAGAAGTGTCTGTTCATATCCTTTGCCCACTTTTTGATGGGGTTGTTTGATTTTTTCTTGTAAATTTGTTTAAGTTCTTTGTAGATTCTGGATATTAGCCCTTTGTCAGATGGGTAGATTGCAAAAATTTTCTCCCATTCTGTAGGTTGCCTGTTCACTCTGATGGTGGTTTCTTTTGCTGTGCAGAAGCTCTTTAGTTTAATTAGATCCCATTTGTCAATTTTGGCTTTTGTTGCCATTGCTTTTGGTGTTTTAGACGTGAAGTCCTTGCCCATGCCTATGTCCTGAATGGTATTGCCTAGGTTTTCTTCTAGGGTTTTTATGGTTTTAGGTCTAACATTTAAGTCTTTAATCCATCTTGAATTAATTTTTGTATAAGGTGTAAGGAAGGGATCCAGTTTCAGCTTTCTATGCATGGCTAGCCGTTTTTCCCAGCACCATTTATTAAATAGGGAATGCTTTCCCCATTTCTTGTTTTTGTCAGGTTTGTCAAAGATCAGATGGTTGTAGATGGGTGCTATTATTTCTGAGGGCTCTGTTCTGTTCCATTGATCTATATCTCTGTTTTGGTACCAGTACCATGCTGTTTTGGTTACTGTAGCCTTGTAGTATAGTTTGAAGTCAGGTAGCATGATGCCTCCAGCTTTGTTCTTTTTGCTTAGGATTGTCTTGGCAATGCGGGCTCTTTTTTGGTTCTGAAAACTAAGATAATTGATTTAGGAACTGTGATGGTTAATTTTATGTGTCAACTTGACTGGGTTAAGGGGTGCCCAGATAGCTGGTAAACATTATTTCTGGGTGTGTCTGTGAGGATGTTTCCAGAAGAGATTAACATTGGAATTGATAGATGGAATAAAGAAGATTGCCCTCACCAGCACGAGTGGGCATTATCCAATCTTTTAAGGGCCTGAATAGAACAAAAGGGTGGAGGAAGAGCAAATATGCTCTCTCTGCTTGAGCTGGAATATTCTTCTTCACTTGCTCTCAGACATCAGTGGTCCTGGTTCTTGGGCCCTCGAACTGGAACTTACACCATCGGCTCACTCATTCTCAGGCCTTTGGGTTTGGACTGGAACTACATGGCTGGCTTTCCTGGGCCTCCAGCTTACAGACAGCAGATCTTGGGACTTCTTAGCCTCCATAATCATGTGAGCCAATCCCTCATAATGAACCTCTTTTTATATATCTCTATATCTATCTATCTATCTATCTGTCTGTCTGTCTGTCTGTCTATTTATCTATCTATCTCTCTGTCTATCTATCTATCTATCTATCTATCTATCTATCTATCTATCTATCTATCTATCTATCCTATTGGTTCTGTTTCTCTGGAGAACCCTAACTAATTCAAGAGCATTATTGCTTTCTAATATAGGCATTTAGTGGCATCCTATGAATTCTATTATCTTGTATTTTCATTTTCATTCATTTAAAAATACATTCTAATTATCTTTTTGACTTCTTCTTTGACTTATGGATTATTTAGAAGTGTGTTATTTAGTTTCCAGATATCTAGGCATTTTCCAGAGATCTTTCTGTTATTGATTTCTAATTTAAATTCATTATAGTCATAGAATATACTTTGTATATACTTTACTAACTTGAATTCTTTTAAATTTGTTGAAACTTGTTTTATGGCCCAGAATATGGTCTATCTTGGTAAATGTGCTGTATGCTTTTGGAAAGAAAGTATATTCCTCTCTTGTTGGGTGGAGTGCTCTATAAATATCAATTAGGTCAAGTTGGTTGATAGTGTTATTCATATCTTCTATATTCTTGCTGATCTTCTCTTTGCTTATTCTATCAATTATTGAAAGATGGGTCTTGAAATCTGCAATTTCTATTTCTACTTGAAGTACTGTCAGTTTTTACTTCAGGTATTTTGAAGCTCTGTTATTGGGTACATAAGCGTTTAGAAATGTTATGTCCCCTTGATGAATTGACCCTTTCATCACTATGAAATTAACTTCTTTACCTCTGGAAATTATTTTTGCTTTGAAATCTACTTTATCTCATATTAATATGGACATTTCAGATTTCTTTTGATTAGTGTTAGCATGGTATAACTTTTTTCCATACTTTTAATCTATTTCTAACTTTGGAGTTAAAATGTTTTTCTTATAGGCAGTACATAGTTGGCTGTTGCTTTTATATCCAATCTGGAAATCTCAATCCTTTATTTGGGTATTTAAGCCATTTACATTTCATTTAATTATTGATACACTTAGGTTTAAATCTATTGTTTTGTTATTTGTTTTCTATTTGTCCCATCTATTCCTTGTTACATTTTTTTTTGTCTTGGGGATTAACTGAATGTTTTTTATGATACCATTTCATCTCATTTATTGGCTTATTAGCTATGACTTTTTGTGCTGTTTAGTGATTACTTTTAGGTTTATTATAAACATCTTTAACTTACACAGTCTACCTTCAAGTGATATGTACCACATCACATATACTATAAAAACTTTACAATAGCATATACCCATTTCTCCCCACAACCTCTGTGCTATTGTAGTCATATATTTTACATTTACATATGTTACAAACCTCACACTACATTGTTATTATTTTTGCCTAAACAATCCACTATCTATTAAAGATATTCAAATACTTTTTAAAAAATCTGACCTATTTACCTGTGTAGTTAATTATTTCCAGTGTTCTTCTTTCCTTTGTGTAGATTCATATTTTCATTTATTATTCTTCTTCCATTTCTTGTAGCATGGGTCTCCTAGTGATAAATTATTTGAGCTTTCATATAACTGAAATGTTTTTATTTGGCCTTCATTTTTGAAAGATATTTTTGCCTGATACACAATCCCTGGTTAACAGTTTTCTTTTTTCTTTCAGTGTTGTAAAGATTTTGCTTCATCATCTTCTCACTTATATTGTTCACAATGAGAAATCTTGTATTTGTCTCTCTGTATATAATGTGTCTTTTTTCTCTGGTTGCTTTTAAGATATTCTCCTTATCACTGGTTTTGAGCAATATGATTACAATATGTCTCGACATAATTTTCTTCATGTTTCTTGCACTTGGCATTTGTTGAGTCCCCTGAATCTGTGCGTTTATAATTCTCATCAAATTTGAAAAAATTTTGACCATTATTTCTTCAAACTTTTTTCTGGTCCCTTTTCTTTCTTTTTCTCCATCAGGGATTCCAATTACACATATAAGAGGCCATCTGAATTTTTCCTACAGTTTACTGATGCTCAATTCATTTTGTAATTCTCTTTTCTATGTGTGTTTCATTTCAAATCATTTCTATCTCTGTGTATTCAAGTTCACTAATGTTTTCTTCTGCAATGTCTAATCTTTTATTAATTCTATCCAATGTGTTTTTTACCTCACATATTGTGGTTGTCATTACCATAAGTTTGATTTGGCTATTTTCAAAAATATCTTCCAGCCAGGCACGGTGGCTCACGCCTGTAATCCCAGCACTTTGGGAGGCCGAGATGGGTGAATCACGAGGTCAGGAGATCGAGACCATCCGTACCGAAAATACAAAAAAATTAGCCAGGCATAGTGGCGGGCACCTGTAGTCCCAGCTATTTGGGAGGCTGAAGCAGGAGAATGGCGGGAACCTGGGAGGCAGAGCTTGCAGTGAGCCGAGATGGCGCCACTGCACTCCAGACTAGGCGACTGAGCGAGACTCTGTCTCAAAAAAAAAAAAAAAAACTTCCATGTCTCCACCTAACTTTTTGAACACACAGAATACAGTTAGTTGTAATTAACTTTTTTATCATTGTCTGCTAATTCTAACATCTGTGTCAGTTCTGGTTTGATTTCAATTAATTGATTTATCTCCTTCTTATTAGTCACAGTTTCCTGCTCTTTCCATGCTAGGGAATTTTTTACAGGATGCCAGACATTGTGTATTCTACCTTGTTGGTTGTTTATATGTCTAAGTTTCTATAATCAGTGGTTCCCATCTAAAGGCAGTTTTGTTTGTCTGAAGACATTCTTTGTTGTTACAACTGGAGGGTGCTATTGGTACCCAATGGGTACAGGCCAGGTATGATGGTAAACGTCCTGCAATACACAAGACAGCCCCCACAATAAAGAATTATGAAGCCCAAATATGTCAATCATTCTGAGGTTGGGAAACCTTGCTGTAATTATTCTTGAGTTTTGTTCCGGGACTCAGTTAAGTTTGTTGGAAATTGTTTGATCCTTTTGGGGCTTTCTGTTAAGCTTTGTTAAATGAGACCAGAAGAGTATTAAGTTTGGGGCTAATCATTTCACCATACTGAAGCAAGAACCTTCTGTGTACTCTACTTGTCTTAGTTCAATCAGGTTGCTATAACAAAATACCAAAACTGGGTAACTTATAAACAACAGAAATTTATTTCTCACAGTTCTGGAAGCTGGGAGTTTGAAGCCAGGACACCATCATCATCTAGTTCTTGTGAGGGCCCACTTTCTGGTTTGCAGATTGCTATCTTCTTGTTGTACCTTCAGATGACAGAGAGAGAGAGAATGACAGAGAGAGAGAGAAAGGAATGAAGCTCTCTCCTATGTCTCCTTCTAAGGGCATTAATCTCATAATTGGGGCTCCATCGTAGTGACCTAGTAACCTCCCAAAGGCCCCACTTCCTAACACTGTCACCTTGGGGGTTAGGATTTCAACATATGAATTTGGGGGGCGAGGGGTATATAAAGACTCAGACTGCAGCACTACCCAATACTCTAATTTTAGCTGGTTGAGAGCAGGCACTATTCCCAGCCCTGTGTGAATTCTGAGCACTGTTCTTTTAACTATTTGGGATAGTTCCTTTTCAAACATTAAATAGTTTCCTCACGTGAGCTAGTGAATCTACATTGTGTTTGTTCCATCCCCACTTCACTGCTAGTACCCAACCTCAGAACTTTCTAAAGATGCTTAACACTCATCATATCCACTCTCACCCCCACCCCAGACCCACTCCTCCTCCTGTATCTCCAGTAAATGTTGCCAGTCCCTTAAGTTAGAAACTCAGGAGTTGCCCTCCACTCCTCCCTCCTCATCACCCCAATATTCAATCAGTTATCAAATGCTGTCAATTTGAACTTGCCAATGTCCCCTGCACCCTGTCCTTACTTTCCAGCCTCACTATCCTTGCCTTCTTAGACCATCATCATGTCCTGCTTTGGCCCTTCATGTGGCAACCCCAACTTGCATCTCCAACATCCCCCTCCCCCTCCACTATACACCCTCACTTCCAGTGCTACAGAACCTTTCATTGCTTATGAAGCAGGCCGTGCCGTTTCACAACTCTATGTCTTTGCACATGCTATTCCCTTTGCCTGAAATATAGTTTTTCTGTTTTCTGCCTGGCAAATTACTTCTCATACCTTAGATGTCACCTTCTCTGTCAAGCCCTTTTTGATTTCTCGAGGCACCTATTCACCCCTGCCCCTTCGTGCTCCTGCTATGTTCTGTTCACACTGTGTTAACAACATTGGTCACATCTGTTTGCACTGCTGCTTTCCCCATTGCTATAGCTCCTAGGGATCTAACAATCCCTGTAGGTGCTTGCTATGGACTGACTTCTGACAACTTCCAAAAAACTCATATGCTGAAGCCCTAACCCCCAATATCACTATACCTGGAGATAGGCTCTTCAGCAGGTAATTAAGGTCAAATGAGGTCATAAGGGTGGAGCCCTAAGCAGACAGGACTGCAGCCTTATAAGAAGAAGAGATCTTTCTCTCTCTTCCTCCGCCACGTGAAGACATAGCAAGAAGGCAGCCATCTTACAAGCCAGGAAGAGAACCCTCACCAGAACTTCACCATGCTGGCACACTGATTTTGGACTTCCAGCCCCAAAAAGTGAGAAAATTAATTTCTATTGTTGAAGTCACACAGTCTCTGGTATTTTTATTATGGCAGCCAGGCTGACTACTACAGTGCTTAATGCATGGTGAGTGCATTTTTAAATGAATGGAAAAGGAAGAAAGAAACAGAAGAGGAAGAGGTGGAACAAATGGGGAGAAAGATGAAGAAAGCAGAAGTTAAGAATGAGAGAAACTAAGGAAACAGGAGGAAGAAGGTAGAGGATGGGAATGAGCTCATGAAGGAGCCAGTATCTCAGTGGAGACCATGCCAGTGTGAGGGAACTACTGCCAACTAGGAGGCAGGTGGGTGCAGGCTCCAGGGCCAGTGCTGAGCATCCAGGCACAAGACTTTTAAGAGAGAGTGTGTGTGTGTGTGTGTGTGTGTGTGTGTGTGTGTGTGTGTGTAATTTTTTCCCCTAGAGATAGCCTAGAGGGGCCACCTTTGTGCTTTTCTCAGAGGCTATGTGTCCTCATTGGCTGGGTAACAGCTGGGTGCCCTTGCCTCCCCGGCCAAAGGCAGCCGCCGTCCACACCCAGCTGCCTGAGGGACAAGGAGGGTGTTTACCCAATGGCCTGTGTCCTTAAAGGACTCTGCTCTCAGTTACACAGCAAACAGCTGGCCTCGAAGGGGCCTCGTCCTGGCCGCCGCGAGCGGGCGGCTTCTGCAGCGTTTAAGCTTCTATCTACCATGAAGATGCTTCCCCCACCCTCATGCCTCCTCCCGGGGGTGGGCATGAGGGGCACTTACGAGCTGAGACCTCACAGGCGACATTTTTTAAGCTGCTCATTCTGACGGAACAGTCCCCAAGACAAACACAAGGCTTTCTGTCTCCCAGGGCTTGTGCGACTTGGTTTCAGACTCTGCCACCCACTGCCGCAGACAGCGGCCGTCTTCCCAGGAAGAAGACATTTCCTGGCGGGGTACCGGGACTGACGGGCGGCGGCGCAGGGCAGTGCCAGCCGGGCCCAGGAAGTGAACGCGCTGGGCCCGCGAAGGAGCGCGTCGCCCGCCCTGAGGGGGGCAGTGCAGCGCCCACCGCGCGCCTTCGCCAGTCCCCTGGCACCGTTGCCCTGGCCAGGGGCCGGGAGAGGGCGTGGCAGCGCGGCAGTGCGCCTACGCACCGGGGGCACTGGGGATCCCGCCCCCACGCTGGTTCCCGCGCTTTCAAGAGCCTCAGAGCCCCGAGACAAGGGGGTGTCGGCTCTACCCACCTGGCCCAGCCCGAAAGAACAGGGCCAACATTTTGAAACCAAACCAATAATAGAATTGGAATACTTTTGATCACTTTTTATTTTCCTTTTCTGGAGGAGAGTTGTGGGGCGGGGGTGGGGAGCTGGTAGAGAGAATCTCAGGGCGCTGTGGCTTTGAGGGCGGGTTCCCTGCGCAAGCAGCAGTGCTCACAGTGCGAGCAATCATGGCTAGGCCCAGCCCGCGGTTAGTTGGGTGCAGGGACGTGACAGGACCGCGAGGGCTGATTCTTTAGTCTATTGTTCCCACTCCTCAGAAAGGACTCCTAGCAAATATATACTGCTAGTCCCAGCTTTCCCGATGGAATGGAACCCCTTGCTTTGCTTTGCTGTCGCTATTCAGGATGGGGATTTTGTCCATGCAGAAAGACATTTACATTATCTACACTGGAATGCCGGCCCACTAGCCTGGCAAAATGCTGAGCCAGCTATTAGATCTGGACTCGTGGAGGAGTGGAGATTTGCCTCCATTCAAGCAACCACATACTTCCCTGGAAGCTGGGAGGAGCACCACTAAGTCCACCCTCTCCTGCCTGGCTCCTTGGTAGTGCTTCTCAAACATTATCACTTGGACAAATCACCTGAGGTCCTTGTTAAAAGTCTGATTTAGAAAATCTGGGGAATCCGGTGGCACCCGAGACTGCATTTTTAACAAGCTCCCAGGTGATGCAGCTACTGCTGTGCACCACACCTTGAGAAGCAAGGGGTACAACATTGCTCTCAACTGCGGCTGCACATTAAAATTAACTTGGGGAGCTTTAAGAACTAATTAGGCCAGGACCCCCACCCCCAAGATATTCTGATTTAGTTGGTCTAGGTAGAGTCAGGCCTTTTTTTTTTTTTTTTGACGGGGTCTCTCTCTGTCGCCCCTGCTGGAGTGGCGGGATCATGGTTCACTGCAGTTTCAAACTCCTGGGCCCAAGCTATCTTCCCACCTCAGCCTCCCAAGTAGCTGGGACAACAGGCGCAAGCCACCATGCCCAGCTAATTTTTTTTATTTTTTGTAGAGACAGGGTCTCCCTATGTTGCCCAGGCTGGTCTCGAACTCCTGGGCTCAAGAGAGCCTCCTGCCTCAACCTCCCAAAGTTCCGGGATTACAAGCGTGAGGCAGCCACCATGCCTGATCTGGGCTTTTTTTTTTTTTTTTTTTTTTTTAATTAAGCTTTTTGGGTGATTATAATGGGCAGCAGGATTGAGAGCTAATGGTACAAGCAGCTATGAGGAAGGACTTTGGCTGTTGCCAGGCCTATTGATTTCATACTGGGCCCAACTGTAGGGTCCAGTTTATGACCAAGATTAGGAATTCAGTTTGTGATCAAAGAACATAATTTGTCCATCTGGCTTCAAACACTTCATCTTACCTCACATTCATTCAATCATCAAATATTTATTGAGTCACTGTATTGGGCACTGTGCTAGCTACTAAGGATTCAGCAGTGAGTCAGACAGACATGGGAAGGTGGTGACATGTTTAAGCAGGCAGGTGACATGATCAGATTTGCATTTTAAAATGATCAGTCTGGCTGCAGAGTGAACAGATTGGAGGGGGGCCAAGTGGCTGTGTACAGAAGCCCTTGCATTAAACCAGGGGAGAAATGGCAGTGTAGGCCAGGGTGGTGGCAGGGAGGAGCGGAGGAACTCAAGGGCTACTGAAGAGGTGAAATCAACAGGACTTGATAATAGATTTGACAGGGGGAAATGTGAGAGAGGGGGACTGTCAAGGATAACTGCTAAGTTTCAGATTTAGGCAACTGAATGAATGGGGGCACCGCAGAGAAAAAGAGGCCTGGAAGAGGACAGTATTTGGAAGGAAGGTCATATGTTTGGTCCAAGTGGAGCTGTCAAGTATGCAGTTGGATAAGCTGTCTGAAACTTAGAGGAGAGATCTGAGCTACAGATGTAAATTTGGGAGCCATGAGGATAGGGGGTGTGAATCAATCACCTGGATAAAGATTGTAGAATGGCAAAAACAAACAAACAAAAAAACAACTTAGGGTTTGAAGAACTCTATCATTTACTGGCTTGCTCTTCCAAGGTCCCTACTATTGGGCAATGCTAACCTTTCCGCTTCCTAATCACTGTCATTTTTTAAATCTCATTCATTAAAGACTTTTGGTAAAAGAGTTCATGGTTTTCTCCTCTTCCAGAAACCCTGACATTCTCATGGATGACTTCTACATTCATGCAGACATCCCTTCCAATGTCATGTTCTCTCTATTCTTTGACTTGCTCATCTTTACCTCCTGCACTCCTCCTCAAGTTACACTCTGGCACAGTCACACCTTGGGCCTTGACATTGCTTTCAGCTGTGCCACTTTAAAAATCACTCTTTCAAGCCTCCCCGCTCTGCTACCTTCTCATCTTCCAGTTTTCTTGTGTGATTATTCCTGTGAGAACTGTTCTTCAACTTTATTGGGATGGCCAGCCCACTGACCCTTCTACTTCTTCCCACTCTACCAGCTAGCTCTCTGCTTTCCTGACTTCATTATCTAGCCTAAAGCCTTCCGTTTGTCAATTCAATACCAAAGATTGGCAGAGGCTGCCATGCTCCCAACAGATCCTGGATAAGAGGTGGGGAGGCTGAGGTCTTCTGCGAGTGTGCAGAGGGTATTAAAGTTGTATGCTGTGGATTAAAATTTAGATGTGGGTGTTCTGGGTGACATAGGAAGAAGAACCTCTATTTTGTTTTGAAAGTGGGCGTACCTGCCTTTCATTCTTGCCTGGACAGGCCACAGCCCACCTCAAGCTACTAAAGTGCCTGGGGGCCAGAGGCAACATGTTCCTTAAAGAAGCAGCTGTGGGTCAGCTCAAGTGTTTGGGCAAGTGTTCAGATAAAGCTCCAGAATACAGGGTCTTGGAGCATAAGAACATGATATTAGCCTAGACTGTTGGAAGGGTAGGTGTCCCTGGTCATTTACCGTTAGTGACCTTAGATCTGATGTTTGAGTAGCACGGACTTGGGGCTAGGGCTGAAGCTGGGCCCACATTACAGCCAGAGGAAATAGCAGAGATAAAGCAAAGGAGGTGGGATGTGTACAGCACTCCCAGCCAACAGTGAACAATCTAATTGGCTGGTACAGGGTGTCTGGGAAGGAGTTTGAGATTCCATTGCCCATCCGCATCCTACACTTGGCCTTTTGCCATTTGAGAAACTAATTAATAGACACATATTGTGATAGAGAGTGAGATTGTTGGGGATTGGAGGGTCCCCACCCATTCCAGGAATGACTGGAAAGGGTCTGCACTGACCGACTTAGGCTCTTCTTGGAAGATGTCACGTATTCTAGGAGAATTGTGACCAATTGCAACCAGACACACTCTTGGTCCTCTTGGTCCTTTTTTGTGTCATGGACCCTTTAGCAATCTGTTGAAGCCTTTGGTCCCCTTTTCAGAATAATATTTTTAGATGCATAAAATACAAAGGATTTAAATGGAAACCAAGTATAGTGAAATATAGCTATCAACTTTTTTTTTTTTTTTGAGATGGGGTCTCACTCTGTCTCCCAGGCTGGAGTGCTGTGGCACAATCATAGCTCACTGTAACCTCAAACTCCTGGGCTCAAGTGATCCTCTCACCTAGGCCTCCCAAAGTGCTGGGATTGTAGGCATGAGCCACTGCACCCGGTCTCCAACATATTTTTTAAAATTTGTGATGTCTGTGCTTCATTATTAGCACATTATATAACTAAATCTAGCTGTGAGTCTTATAACTATCACAATTTCAAAGCAATGATGAACATATTGCTATTTCAAGAGATGTGCTTCATTCTAATGTGATATGAAAATATGTGTAATTTCTGCTGGTGGCCAAGTCACAGGTCCTCTAATACTATGGTGGTTTATCACCTGCATTCATGATTGAAGGAAATGCTAAAATATAGTTAAAAGATAGCAGAAACAAAGATGTAGTTTTCCCCATCTAAGTTCATGAATCCTCTGAATTCCAGCCACAGACTACTTAGAGGAACAGGGACCCCAAGTTAAAGATCCACATAGCTTCCTGGTGTTCCTTTGTGGAAATTCCCTTTATCTTAGTCCATTGGGGCTGCTATAACAAAGGCCTGCAGACTGGTTGGCTTATAAACAGTAGACATTTATTTCTTACAGTTCTGGAGGCTGGGAAGTCGAAGATCAAGGCACTAGCAGATTTGGTGTCCAACAAGGGCCCAGTTCCTTCGTAGATGGCACCTCCTAGCTGTATCCTCACAAGGTGGAAGGGCCAAGGGTACTCTCTTGGGCCTCTTTTATAAGGTTACTAATACCATTCATGAGGGCTCTGCCCCCATGACCTAATCACCTTCCGAAGGCCCAGCCTCCTAATATCATCATGTTAGGGGTTAGGATATCAACATATGAATTTGGGAGGACACAAAAACTCAGATCATAGCACCTTTTGTCTCAAGTCTCCTTGCTGGAGGGCTCTTTTCCAGGATCATGGTTGGCGATTTGGTTTTTAGAAACAGGCTGAGGCCTGGCCTTCCCTCCACTGCACTCTTAGAGCCTGGGTTGTTTGGGTTTCTCTTGTGGCAGGTAGTACTTTCCACCTCAAGTAGGGTTCCTCTTTCAGCTAATGTCAACTGAACATCTGCTAAGTACAGGGCTCTGTGCTAAGCCCTGGGCATAGGAAGTTACTCCATAAAGAGATAGTTATCAGTAATAATAACTCCCATTTACCAAACACTTTTTACATGTCAGACACCATGTTGACACTTCATTCATTCATTCAGCAGAGATTTACCAAGTGCCTACTATGTGCCACTGTTCTAGAAGCTGTAGGTAGAGCAGAGACTAAGACAAACTCCCAGCTCACATGAAGCTTACACTCTAGTGGGGGAAGACAGATGATATACAAAATAAGTAAGCAAGTGAGTGTGCAAAAATAGGATAAGTGCTATGGAGAAAAACAAAGCAGAGAAGGAGGAGAAGGAATGCCCAGAGAGATGAATGCAATGTCCGATTAGTTGACCAGGGAAGGTCTCCCGGAGGAGGTGGACATTTCAGACTAGGCCTGAATGATGCCACTGAAGCTTTGCAGATATTTGAAGGAAGAGCATTCTAGGCAGAGAAAATAGCTAGGCACGGACCCTGAGGCAGGAATGTGCTTAGCTGTTTGAGGCATGTGGAGGAGGCCCGTGGGGCTGGAGAAGAGTGAGTGAGAGAAGGAGTGGTAACTACGAGAGCAGAGAGGAAATGGGGGTGGGGGCGGTGACAGATTGAGCAGGACCTTGGAGGTCTTATGGTGACCTTGGCTCTTACCCAGAGGGAGATGGGAAGCCCATTGAAGGGATTGAACACAGTCCCCACAACAATGCTGTTGCGTGATAGTATTAGTATTCTCATTTTCAAATGAGGAAACGACAGCTCAGAAAAGTTGAGTGACTTGGCTGGTGAGTGGCAGAGCTGAAACTGGACCACAGACCTTTCTGGAGGTCACATGCCTCCTCCCTCCACCAGCCCGAGGCTCGGAGTGGGGTCAGCATGTTCTCTACTCCCTTCTATTTCCTCCAGACTGTTGTTCCTTTGTCATTTCCCCAAGGACCATACAGTGCTCTCTGTCCACCATTCTTGCTGTATCCACCAACCTCTGCTACTGGACTATGAGCCCTTTACTTACTGAGCACCTGCTATGTGCCAGGTACTATGTTAGATCCTGAGCATAAAATGATGAATAAGAGAAGTCAGCTCCTTGCTCTCCTGGAGCTTTTATTCTAGTGGATGGGAAACACAGGTAGGTCAGAAAATTTTAAAAAGCTTTCTTTTTCTTTTTTTTTTTTTAGAGACAGGGTCTCACTCTGTCACACATGCTGGAGTACAGCAGCGTGATCGTAACTCACTGGACTCAAGTTATTCTCCCGCTTCAGCCTCCCAGGCGTGTGCCACCACACCTAGCTTTGTGTGTGTGTGTGTGTGTGTGTGTGTGTGTGTGTGTGTGTGTGTGTGTAGAGAGAGACGGGGTCTTACTATGTTGCCCAGTCTGGTCTAAAACTGGGCTCAAATGATCCTCCTGCCTCAGCCTCCCAAAGCACTGGGATTATAGGCATGAGCCACCACAACCGCCAAAAATCTTTAGTAATAAGAGCCATGCAGAGAAAAGAGAGTAGCTATTTTGTAAAGAGGTAGGGAAGGCCTCTGTGAGGAGGTGACATTTAAATTGAGATCTGGATCATAAGAAGGAACCATCTCAGAGGGAGAGCATTCCAGGCAGGAGGTATGAGAGCAAAGGCTCAAAGGTGGTCATGAGTTTGGCCTGTTAGAGGAACAGGAAGAAGATGCATGGCAAGGGATGGGAACATGGCAGGAGATCAAGGTAGAAATGCAGGGGCCAGATCAGGCAGGGCCTTCTAGGTCATGAACATATGGGAATCCACTGGAGTGTTTCAAGCAGGAGAAGGAAATGATCTGATTGGTGTTTTAAGATCATGCTGACTTCCTTATGGAGAGTGGATTGGTGGGCAGAGGGATGGTGGAGAAAAGTGTAAAGATTAAGGATATGTTTGGTGATGAAGTCAACCAGATAGCCTGATAGATTAGATGTCATGGATGAGGTAAAGAGAGGAATCAAAGATGGCTTCTATGTGGGGGTTGAACAACTGCATGGATGGTGTCTGTTCAGGCTGCTACATCAAAATACCTTAGATTGGGTGGCTCATAAACAACAGAACTTTTTTCTTATAGTTCTTGAATGTGAGTCAAAGATCAAGGCACCAGCAGATTCAGTATCTGATGAGGGCTCACCCTCTACTTCATAGATGGCACCTTCTTGCTGTGTCTTCACATGGCAGAAGGGGCAAACAAGCTCCCTGAGGCCTCTTCTGTATGGGCACTAATCCCCTTCACCTGGGCTGTCTCCTAAAGTCCCCACCCCTTAATACCACTGCACTAGGGATTAGGTTTCAACATATGAATTTTGGGAGGAGAAGGGGGGCCAACATTCAGACCATAACAGATGGGGATGCCATTTACAGAACTGAGGAAGGCATTGGGGGAGTGAATTTGGAGGAAACGTTGAGTTGTTTTGAACATGTCAGTTTGAGATACCTACTAAACATCCACATAGTAGTGTCAAATAGACAGTTGGATTTATGAGTCTGCAGTTCTTAAGAGTAGTCTAATCTAAAGATATAGAGTCAGAAATATTGTCATTGTGCATACCCACCTAGGCCGAGCACAGTGCCTGGCATATAGCAGCCAGCCTAAAATTTGGGTGGGTTGGTTGAATGAATGAATGAAATTCTTAGAGCTTCAGAATGAGATAGATCTTGGTTCAAATTTAAATCCTGGCTCTGCTACTTACTAATTTAACCTTGAATAAGGTATTAAACCTTTCAGAGCCTCAATTTCCTCACCTGCAAAATGGAGATAGTGATAATACTTATCCCATAGGGTGGTTGTAAGGATTATACTAAATAAACCATGTAAATCACCCAAGGTGCTTAGTACAGTCCCTGGTGCATAGTAAGCACTCAGTAAATTGGTGGCTGTTACAATATTCAAAATATGAGATAGGCCCCAAGAAAGCAAGCCTTGGAGAGACACTCCAGAGGGCAGCCCCACAGGGTGGGACAATGTAGCTCAGCTATATGTGTGAAGCAGTAATGCCTAGTGGGTAGGTGTTGCTCCCTTGAGCCAAACTGTCTGGGTTTATAATCCTGACTCAGCCACTTAGTAGCTTACTTAACCTCTATGTGCCTCAGGGGGGTTTAGAAATTATTATTATTTAATCTCTAAAATAGGGATAATAATAGACCTACCTCATAGGGCTGTTGTGAAGGATTAAGTGAGATAATCCATGAAAAAGGCTGAGAACAGTGCCTGGTTCATATTAAGGGCTCAATCAATGTTAGGAGCTATTATCACAGGGATGTAGGAGGGAGGGGGATGCAAACAGGCTTCAGCTGTGCCCTTGACCTCCCTCCAGAGAAGACAGTATTCAGCCCTGCCAGGCAGCAGAGCCCGTTTCATGCAGCTCTTCTCTCCCAGCACTCTCCTTCCTACTCCTCCCCGGCTGTGGCCTCCCAGTTTTTGCAACTCCCTGAATAGCTTATGAACCTTTGCCAGGGTTGGTGTGGAAAAGGCCAACTCCTCCAGTAGAGAGGGCTGCAGAAGCTCAGCCTCCCTTCACACTGGGGGAAGTGTTAGCCACAGGCTACAGGCAAAGGGAATCCAGATCCCCAAGCTGCCTGAAGTTATCTAGAAGCAGAGAGAAATAACCAACTGAGACAGTCCCAGAGGGCCCCCCAAGCTTCTTTTCCATTTAAATGCTCTCTTTGTTACTAAGAAGCAAACCTAGCCCATCCCCACTGGCACCAGCCTGCCCATTGTTTCCCTAAGAGACCATCCCAAGCCAAGTGCTGGGGCTACCTCTCCCTTAAAGGAATGGCAGCCTGGAGGTTGCACTGCAGTAAGAGCATCATATAACCAAAATTCTCCACAACTAATGGTTCTAGAACAGGACCCAGGTCAGGTGTCATGGGCAGACCCATAAAGGGCCCAATCACTAGAGCATTTGACCTGCCTCTTCCCCCCAGGCTTGGCTACCTGTGGTGATTAATGCTCTGAGGCCTCTGACATCTGAGCAATGGACACAAGGCTAGAGCCTAATCCCACCTACATTTGATCAAAATGGTAGGCCTTGTGGGTTTGTTCCGGAGGTGAGAAAGCATTAAATATTCCACTGGAAAGACACAATGGAGAGATTGCGTAAGTAGACGGTTCTTTGGGCAGAAGAAGATGGATGGATCTGAAGTGGGAAGTGCCAGAAGAACCCTTTCTCTAACCAGGAGGGGCCTCTGGTATCCTTGCAGCTTTTAGCTCTCAGTGTGATCAGTAGACTGTCTGCTTGACTTACCCAAACTCCCACTTCCCCTCCTGTCAGGTATTTGCTTGGGGGCTATTCATCTCCTCTGTGTTCACCTTCCATTCAGCTGAAAAAGAGGAAGAGGATTTCCCAGCTCTGTCTTCATCCATGCATTTTTTTTTTTTGAGACAGAGTCTTGCTTTGTTGCCCCGGCTGGAGTGCAGTAGCACGATCTCGGCTCACTGCAACCTCCACCTCCCAGGTTCAAGAGATTCTCCTCCATTTCACCATGTTGGCCTCAGGTGGTCCTCCCGCCTTGGCCTGCCAAAGTGGTGGGATTACAGGTGTGAGCCACCGTGCCCAGCCCTTATTGGAGTTTTTTTTGTTTGGTTTTTGTTTTTGTTTTTTGTTTTTTGTTTTGTTTTGTTTGAGACGGAGTCTCGCTCTGTCACCCGGGCTGGAGTGCAGTGGTGCCATCTCAGCTCACTGCAAGCTCCGCCTCCCGGGTTCACGCCATTCTTCTGCCTCAGCCTCTCGAGTAGCTGGGACTACAGGTGCCCACCACTGCGCCCGGCTAGTTTTTTGTATTTTTAGTAGAGACGGGGTTTCACTGTGGTCTCGATCTCCTGACCTCGTGATCTGCCCGCCTCAGCCTCCCAAAGTGCTGGGATTACAGGCATGCCTTATTGGAGTTTTATGAGCATATTCTGTGATGTTGAATGTCTAGTCTATAAATGATTGCCTAGAGAAGACAGGGGGCTTAAGGAACCTTTGAACGCCCCCACTGGTTTTGGAGAGGTGGTGAGACTTTTGGACTCAAATAATGGCTACTGTGATGTTAACTGTGTTTATTGATTTACAGAAGCTACGAATGGTGCAGTGTACAAATCACCCCGAACCTTGGTGGCTTAAGACATCAGCAATCATGTTATTACCTCTCATGGTTTCTGTGGGTAAGGAACTCAGGAAGGGCTCAGGTGGTAGTCCTGGCTCCAGGTCCCTCATCAGGTTGTAATCAGGGAGTGACTGGAGCTAAAACAGTATGGGGTGAGGAGAATGGGGCTGGAGCAGCTGGGGACAGGCCAGACACCTCTCACTTCATGTGGTCTCGGAGATCTTCACATGATCTCTCCATGTGAGTCGGTTTGGGCTTCCTCACAGCATGGTAGCAGTCAAACCAATCACAGGGTGGCTCATGGCTTCAAGTGTGATTATTCCAGCAAGCAAAGTGGAAGCTGTATCCTCTTCTACGACCTCGCCTTGGAAGTCATCTAGCTTCACTTCTGCCATAGTCACAAAGCTGCCCAGCTTCAGGGAGAAGGAACATAGACCCTACATCTCAATGGGGGAGTGTCAAAGTCATACTGTAATACGCTCATGCGGAACAGACGATACTGTCACAGCAATTGTGGGAAAATACTCCCTACTACACCAATCCTACTTCCTGCTCTTCCCTCAGCTGAACCTCAGACAAGCCTTTTGCTTTCTTGCTTGCAGCTGTCAGCTGGTCCCTCACTCTGGGTGCCCTTCTCTCCTCTCCAGTGCCTTCAGGCCCCAATTGGAGTCCCACCTCTTAAAGTTTCCCTAACGGCTTCCATAAGCACAACAAGCAGCAGTTTTCCCTTATTCATAGCAAGCAGACACTTACATGTTTGATAGGCCAAAGAGTTGCTCCACATTTGGTCAGGGCCAATCTGACCAGTGGGTAGGTTTCCACATCTGGGCCCTAATACCTGGCCAGGTGGAACATCTAGATTCTGAAACATCCTCCTCATTCTTCCAGGGTCTCAGAACCTCAGGGTGACATAGCTTCTGGCCATAAATGCTAGGACAGAGCTATGTTCATTGTGCAATGTCTCTTCCAAGGTAGGCACATGGGCAGATGAGGCTCTGTGCAGAAGGCCTTGGCAGTCAGATGAGAGGTGGCAGTAAAATGTGTTGGCAAGAGCCTTTGGCTGGGAATCAGGAAGCCAGGGTCCCCGAACCAGCTTTCTGGCTAATTTGATGCATTCATGATCTGAGACAAACCTCCCAATCTCCAGTTGACCTCAGTTTCCCTACCTCTGCAGTATAAAACCTAGAGCTTGTCCTTCCTACCTGTGTGGTGAGCAGACAAGAAGAGAGACAGGGCTGGGCATGGTGACTCACGCCTGTAATCCCAGCACTTTGGGAGGCCAAGGTGGGTGGATTACCTGAGGTCAGGAGTTCAAGACCAGCCTAGCCAACATGGCGAAACCCTTCCCTACAAAAAAAATACAAAAATTAGCTGGGCGCGGTGGCAGATGCCTGTAATCCCAGCTACTTGGGAGGCTGAGGCAGGAGAATCACTGGAACCCGGGAAGCAGAGATTGCAGTGAGCCGAGATTGCACCATTGCACTCCAGTCTATGAGACAGAGCAGGACTCCGTCTAAAAAAAGAAAAAAGAAGAGAGACAGGAAGAACTTCTCAAGAGTAGAACATGCTAATAATTCTTGTACTGTATTTGTTTCTTCTCTCAGCCGCCACTTCCTCTCTAGCATGTAGGCTCCAAGGTAGTGGGTGAGTCCGTAGGCGCATGATTATGGAACAGGGATGGGCCAACAGCCTTTCCCTATACACATACAGTAGGATTCAGGCAGGGGGGTTTGGCAATGTGGCCATTCCCCAGTTGCTGAAGGGCTTACCCTGGGTGGATTTGGTGAGGCTGAGCAAATGGTTAGGCACAGAGCTAACAATTCCACCCTACTCTGCTCCAACACACACCCCCCGCCCCCATTAGAATGTTCTTTATTAGGCTACTAATTGGCTGTGTGGCCTCAGGGGGATTCCTTCCCTTCTCTGGGGCTTAGTTTCCATTGAAGAAAGTGAACATATCACCACCCCTGCTTCTGGAGAGAAGCTTGATTATTTCTTGACCCCCATCATTTCTATTGTGCAAGGGTGGCATGTGATCTCTCCAGGGCTGGGAAGCATTAAGTCAGAATAGCTGTCATCAAAACAATACATGCTTTCCTCAAAATAAAGGGGGCTCCCGTAGGCACCTTCACCTCTTGGGACTTAAAGGCTGGCTGAGGCAGAGTGTGGGCCCAGAAGTTAGCAAATCTGGACGTGTGAAGTGACCTTGGCTAAGTCAGAGAATCCCAAACGCGCAGAGCTCAAAGGCACTGCCAAAAACCTCAAGCCCATCAGCTGTCAGCCTCCAGAATAAATGTGTCCCAGATGACGTTCACATGGCCACGTCAGAGTTTGGGGCAATTCTCCGTCAGCTGAACCTTCATCCCTCTTCCTTCCACTCTGGAAAACATATCACTTCTCTCGACTTCTGAGAAGAACTTGCACATGTGCACAAAGGCTGGCCACCGCAGCACTATTTGTAATACAGAAAACTCAGAACAACCTAAACGTCTCCCACCAGGGGGCTGATTCAATCAATTATGGGACAGCCATATTACAGAATGCTGTGCAGATATCTTTTTATGTATGAGACATAAATGTGTGGATAAAGTTATCCAAGACATATTTTTATTTTATTTTAATTGGCAAATAATAATTGTATTTGTCTATGGAGTACAATGTGATGTTTTGATGTACAGCTGGCCCTACTTATTCGTGGGTTCTACATCCAAGGATTCAACCAAGCTTGGATGAAAAATATTTGGGAAAAAATAATGGATGTTGTGTCTGTACTGAACACGTACAGGCTTTTTTTCTTGTCAGGATTCCCTGAACAATATAACAACTATTTACATGCCACTTACATTGTATTAGGTGTTATACACAATCTAGAGATGATTTGAAATATAAGGCAGGATGTGCATAGGTTATATGCGAATACTATGCCATTTTATATCAGGGACTTGAGCATCCTCAGATTTTGGTACCCGCAAGCAGTCTTGGGCCCGCTATATGTATACATTGTACAAAGATTAAATAAAGTTAATTAGCATATCTATCACCTCCCATATTTATCAGTTTTTTGTGGTGAAAAGCATATTGTTAAGTGGCAAAAAAAAAAAAAAAAAAGCTGTGGGGCTGGGCCTGGTGGCTCACGTCTATAATCCCAGCACTTTGGGAGGCCGAGGCAGGCAGATCACCTGAGGTCAGGAGTTCGAGAGCAGCCTGACCAACATGGCAAAACCCTGTCTCTACTAAAAATACAAAAATTAGCCAGTGTGGTGGCTCGTGCGTGTAGTCCCAGCTACTCGGGGAGGCTGAGGCAGGAGAATCTCTTGAACCCAAGAGGCAGAGGTTGCAGTGAGCCGAGATCACGCCACTGCACTCCAGCCTGAGCGACAGAGTGAGACTCTGTCTCAAAAAACAAAAACAAAAACAAAAAACAAGCTGTGGGACAATATGTATGATACAATATATGTGATAAAATGTACACAACTATATATTTCTATAGGTACTGTACATATACATGTAATGTATGCACGGTATGCAACTGCAAGGACAGAAGTGTAGGATACCCCAAACCCTAACAGTGTTCACCCCCAGTAAAGGTACTAAAATGAGAAACGTGTCTTAAGGAGTTCTTTCCAAATAACTAAATACTTTGGATTTTTGCCAACGTGAGTTGATTCATCAATTTATTTTCTAATTAAAAATGCACTTTCACAGTAAAGCATATGAAAAGGGGCACAGAAACAGATTAGTGGCTGCCAAGGGTTAGGGATGGCTTGGAGGGAACAGGTGGGCATGGGTGGGTAGGAGTAACACGAGGGAGTTTATTGATGGTGGTAGTTATGCAAAACTATACACGCAATGAAACTGCATAAAACTGTGCACACAAACATGCACACACAAATGGGCGCATGAAAAAGCTTGAGAAATCTGAATCAGGTCTGGAGTTCACTTAGTGGCATTGTACTGATGTTATATCCCTGGCCTTGACATTGTACTATAGTTATGTAAGATGTTACCAGCGGGGAAAGCTGCCTGAAGAGGACATGGGACCTCTCTGTATTATTTTTGCAACTTCTCGTGAGTAGTTCTTTGAAAATAAAAAGTTTACTAAAAGGGGGGCACAAAAAGCTTTTTGAATATTTGGAGGTGATGGAAGTGTTTCATATCTTGAATGTGGTAGTGGTTACATGACTGTTTACCTTTGTTTACCTTTGTTAAATCTCATTGAACTTGTACACATCAAAGGGTGAAATTATGCCTTCATAAACCTGACTTTAAAAAGTCTCAGGCCAGAACTGCTCTCATTTGTTAAGATGAAGAAATCATTTACAAGCTTGTGTGCTTTGTTGTTTATTTCAAAATTACATGCAACACACTTCACAATGACCAGTGATGCCTGTGCCCAGTGGGAGGTCCCCGTTAGATGCTCAGCCACCTCCAGCGATGAGGAGCCCATCACTTAATATTGCAGCCCATATCATTGTCAGGAGAATTGTAATAGAAAGTTCTTGATTAGGCCTGTAATCCCAGCACTTTGGGAGGCCTAGGCGGACGGATCATTTGAGGTCAAGAGTTTGAAACCAGCCTGCCCAACATGGCAAAACCCCTTCTCTACTAAAAATACAAAAATTAGCAGGGCGTGTTGGTGCATGCCTGTAATTCCAGCTACTGGGGGTGCTGAGGCACCAGAATTGATTGAACCCAGGAGGCGGAGGTTGCAGTGAGCCAAGATCACACCACTGCACTCCAGCCTGGGCAACAGAGTGAGACCCTGTCTCAAAAAAAAAAAAAAAAAAAAAGAAAAGAAAGAAAGAAAGAAAAGAAAAAATAAAGTTATTTATTAGGCTACTAGTTAGCTGTGTGGCCTTGGGTAGATTACTTCCTGTCTCTGGGCCTTAATTTCCTTATAAGAAAAGATGACCTCTGAGATCCCTTCTCGCTCTAACATTCTAAGTCTCTAAAACTGGGAATTTAAGTTTTGACCTGGTTTTGCCTTCTGGAGTCACACAGAACTTAACCCTGTGTGTTGCCAACAGTCAGCCAGCCCATCGTACACTAGAAGTCAGCTAGCAGCTCAGCTCCCTAGGGCAAACATCATCCCCTGGCCTTTCCCATTGTCCTACCAAGAAATGGAATTGCAGGATCTGGTGATGGTTAGGATCACAGGATCAGGAGTCAAGCAGCCTGGAGTCTGACTGTGGACTTTGCCACTTCCCACCGTGTGACCTTAGGCAGGTCACTTGTGCAATCTTCAGTGTCCTATCTGTAGAAAGGGAATTAGTAGTACCAGCCTCCTGGGGAGAGGGCGTGGGCATTAAATGAGGTAATGTGTGTAAATCAGGATGTGTGGTAGGCAGGATAATGGACTCCCCAATATCTGCACATCCTAATCCCCACAACCTGTGAATATATTGTGTTACAGTGGCAAGAGGAAATTAAGGCTGCTAATCAGCTGACTTTAAAATACGGAGATCAGCGGGGCATGGTGGCTCATGCCTATAATCCCAGCACTTCGGGAGGCCAAGGCAGGTGGATCACTTGAGGCCAGGAGTTCCAGACCAGCTTGGACAACATGGCAAAACCTTGTCTCTACTAAAAATACAAAAAATTAGTCAGGTGTGGTGGTATGCACCTGTAATCCCAGCTACCCGGGAGGCTGAGGCAAGAGAATTGCTCGAACCCAGGAGGCAGAGGCTGAAGTGAGCCGAGATCACACCATTGCACTCCAGCCTGGGCAACAGAGCGAATCTCCATCTCAAAATAAAATAAAATAGAGAGATTGGGGAATAATGATCTTGGATTATCCAGAGAGGCCCAATATGATCACGAGGGTCCCTATAAGTGAAAGACAGAGGCAGGAAAGTCAGACTCAGAATGCTGCAATGTGAGAAAGTCTCCACCAGCCATTGCTGGCTTTGAAGATGGAAAGGCATCGTGAGGCAAAGCATGCAGGCAGCCTCTCGAAGCTGAACAAGGCAGGGAAACAGATCCTCCCCTTGAGCCTCTAGGAGGAACGCAGACTTGCTGACCCCTTGATTTTAGCCCAGTGGGACTCCTGTTGAACTTCTGGCCTACAGAACTGTAAAAGAGTACATTTGTGGTTTGGTTTGTTTGTGGCGTCTTTTAGGGGATTGTTTAGTTTTGTTCTTGTTTTTGTAGAGACAGGGTCTTGCTATGTTGCCCAGACTTGTCGCAAACTCCTGGCCTCAAGTCATCCTTCCACCTCAGCCTTCCAAGTAGCTAGGACTACAGGCACACACCACCACGCCTGGCTAATTGTTTTTAAATTGTTCTGTGGAGGTGGGGCACAGTGGCTCACAGCTGTAATCCCAGCACTTTGGGAGGCCAAAGCGGGCGGATCACTTGAGCCCAGGAGTTCAAGACCAGCCTGGCCAACATAGCAAAACCCTGTCTCTACTGAAAAATACAAAAATTAGCCGGGCCTGGTGGTGCATGCCTGTAGTCCCCACTGCTGAGGAGGCTGAGGCAGGAGAATCACTTGAACCCAGGAGTCAGAGGTTGCAGTAATCTGAGATCAGGCGACTGCACTCCAGCCTGGGTGACAGAGCACGACTCTGTCTCAAAAAAAAAATTCTTTTGTGGAGATGAGGTCCTTGCTATGTTGCCCAGACTGGTCATGAACTCCTGGGTTCGAGTGATCCTCCTGCCTCAGCGTCCCAAAGCTCTGGGATTACAGGCATGAGCCACCATGCCTGGCCCATTTGCGTTGTTTTAAGCCACTAAATGTGAGGCAATGTGTTGCAGTGGCAATAGGAAACTAGTACAGATGGCTGCTGCTCCCTCCTGACTGGTCTCCCTGCACCCACCCTTGCATCTCCCCAGTCCATCCCCCACAACACAGCCAAAGCAATGTTCCCAGGACCTTAGTCAAACTAAGTCACATCCCTTAATACAACTCGTCTCCCTGTACCTTAAATGTGCCTCAGGGCCTTTGAACCTGCTGTTCTCTTTGTTTAAAAGATGTCATGGTCGCCTAAGTAATACCTAATCTACTTTCATAAACTAGCTCAAAGATGAAAATGCTGCTTCCTCAAGGAAGGCTTGAGGAACCCATCTGGGTCAGGTTCTCTAGGTAATAGCACCCTGTCCTCCTCTGTAGCACTTGTAGGTTTTTAAATAAATCCATGTGTTGATCTGCTTCAGGGCTTATTGCCTGCCTTTGCTACCAGGCATGTAAGCTTCCCAAGGGCAGGGACAGTGTTTGTCTTATTCACCTCCCTTAGCCCAGTCGCTGGCACAAAGGAAGCACTTAATAAATGGTAGCTATTATCATTATTTTATTTCTGAATCCTCATCATTCTGATCACCTCCCCAAACACTCCCTAGTTTGAAGCGTCCTTTCTGTAAAGTGGTACTCCTACCTTGGCCCGGTGCTCCAGGGGTGGTATGAACAACAAAATGTAGAAGCTGACAGTGCTGTCCCCACCTACTGGGGACATACCACTTCTATTCATGCTGCTTAAGGCTACCTTCCTTTATCACCAACTTCATCATACTCTCAGCTGCAACAGAGCTGGAGGTCACTCACACCTACACACCCACCTGCTGCAATCAGGACGTCTGCCAAGCCAGCTTCCCGCCATCCCGTTTCTGTATGGTTGCTTTTTGTAACCTCAGTTTCAGCTTTACTCTCGTTCCTATGGGGTCCCATCATTTTCTTGGGCCATTGTTGTAACCTGTCCCAATCTTTCCATGTCCCTATTCAGCCAGCCATTCTATTAACCAACCCTCCTGGCCTCGTGTCATCTACAAAACTGAGCAGTGCGCGTCCCTGTGCCTGCTTCCGAATCCTGGCCAACAATATGGCGCAGGACAAAGGCCAGGAGCAAGGCTCTTGAAAGTGCTACTGGAGAGCTCCTGAGGCCCGGTATCCATCTCAGGGGGCAGCAGAGGGGGGTGTTTAATCAGCAATTCAAACTGTGCCTAGGCCAAGTTCTTACGAGGCTGTGAAATTGGGAATGATATTAGTTTCCTAGGGTTGCCATAAGAAAATACCACCAACTGGGTGGCTTAAAACAACAGAAATATATTTGCACGTATCCCTGTGTAACAAACCTACACATTCTGCACTTGTATCCCGGAACTTAAAGTAAAATAAAGAAAAACAAAATAAAAGAAAGAAAAAAAGAAAAGAAATGTATTTGCTCTGTTATTAGAGGCTACAAGTCCAAAATCAAGGTATCAGCAGGAAAATGCTCCCTCCAAAGGCTCTCAGAGAGAATCCTTCCTTGCCCCTTCCAGCTCCTGGTGACTCCTGGTGTTCTTTGGCTCGTGCAGCATCACTCCAATCTCTGTCACGTGGCCTTCCTTTCTGTGCCTGTCTCTCTCCGTCTTCTTATAACGACACGGATCATTGAATTGAGGGCCCACCCTACTCCAGGGTGACCTTATCTTACTTAACTAATTACATCTGCAAAGATCTTATGTCCCAATAAGATCACAATGTGAATTTTGGGGTGGACATGAATTTGGGGGAAAACGCTATTCAACCCACTACAAATAGCCATTCTTTCTCACAGGAGCTTCATGAGGGACCAGAGGATAAGGTAGCACAGGGCAGGGCTTCTCAAACTATAAGAGCCAAGAAGCACCTGGGGATCGCATTAAAATGCAGATTTGGAGCCAGCCAGCCTGGGGTGGGTCTGCATTTCTCACAAGCTCCCAGGTGACATCCTTGCTGCTTGTCCTGCTTTGAATAACGAGGATGTAAGTGAAAGAAAGTGCTTTGAAAACAGGTGTCAGGTAGGGGGATTACATTTCTTTTGTAATGAGTTTTTCTCACACTCTTATTTCCCCACACCTGAATCTTGTGTGAACTGTGGAAGAACAGAAAAAGTGTTTTCATTTCAGTCCCCTCCAAAAGCAGACCTGGAGACAAGGACTTGGGTTCAGGTAGTTTATTGGGGAGGCGGAAATAGGGAAAGGGAGAAAAGGGAGAGAAGCCAATGAAGTGCCACATTAAAGAGCAGGTTGCCCTTAAGGCAACTGGAGCTCCAACCTGCGGGGGACCACTGGGAAACTGTGGGGACACTCCTCAGAACTGTCCTGTCAAAGGGCTGGGGCATTTGCCCACCAATTCCCCTCCTCCATCAGTTGAAAGTTACCTGGGAGTGTCAACTCCTCCACACTCTCCCAAGTGCTGCAGAAAACCCTCCCTCCAGCAGAGAAGTTGCAGGTGTCCGAGGTGGGAAATAGTGGCATGCTGCAAACAGCCCTGTCCCACAGCTAGGTGACCTCAGCTAGGCTGAAGAGATGGGGGAGGGAGGGGGGTCGTCATCATCTGCTACAAAAAGCTTCCAGGATGTGCACGTCATCTGTGTCTCTACTATTCTATTTTGAGTGCATGAGTGGCTCAGGCGAGCTCTTGCTTACAGTTGTGATTATGACTGTCATCCAGCACCAGTGGACACCTTGCTCATAGGGGTGTCATGGAAGAATCCGTTGATGGCCTGCTGAAACCCACATGTGCCCCCTCTCCGCTAGGCCTGCCTTCCCGTTGGTAAAATAGTTTATACTATGGGTGCATGTGGAGGAGAACCCACCCCAGAGTAATGTAATCGGTGCTTCAGGGTCACCTTAGGAAGAAGATACTTCCCTGTCTCACAGTTCCTACCTTCACCTAGTTCAGTTGATCTGCTCTTGACATTCAGTGTTACCTTTCATCCACATAACGATCCTATGAGGTAGTGGCTATGATTGTCCCCATTATATAGCCAAGGACACTGAAGGCCAGAAAAACCAATGTCACTTATCGAAGGTCACTCTGTAAGTGGCAGAAGTGGGATTCAATCACAGTCTTTCTGATTCACTAGACTCTGTGGATTCCATAGGAAAAACTAGGTGGTAGGTCTCATGAGATTTAAATCACAAATCTAACTACACTTCTAGGGTGACCTGCTAGATGAGAACAGCAAGAACTGCTTTTATTTGTATGCAGCTTCTTGTCCTATTAGAACACAGTGTGTCCATTAGAAGCTGATTCTTTACATTAAAAAAGAATTTACAACAAGTAAAATGTGTGTATGAGTCAGTGTGTATTTACTTTTTATGAGTCAGTGTGTATTTACTCTGTGTTGGTATTTACTGGGAGGGATGGATTCATTGGGATGAATGGATTTTTCTTAGATAATTGGTAAATGAATAGATGCCAACTCTAATAAGCAAAAGATGCCATGGAGAAATGAAATAAATTAATTCAATGATTCAATATCATTAGTTTTCAAAACGTCACCAGAGGATTTCCTCAACTAGGGACTTTTCCCAGCACATCAAAGGTAAGATTCCACTCCCACAAGCATGTCAGGAACACACTTATCCACAAAATACGAAAAATCCATCTTCTTCTATATTTGGGGCCATTTTCTCTCCCTTACTAAGCAGTGAACTTCCCGAGGGAAGGAAGGGTGTAGGTTCTTTAGACTTCCCTACACATTGTGTGGGCAGGGCCACAAGGTGTGTACGCAAAGAAATTTCAACCCCTAAATTCAGGATGCCAGCACTTGAATCCACAAGGCTCTTGGAGGGGGAGGGAAAGAGAGTTTTTCTACATTTCTTTAATTCTTGATGCTTTGGGGGAGGACACATTTATTGCTCACCACGGAGAACCGAGAAAAGAAGAGCCCCCAGTCTCCGCCTTGAAGGAGCTGACAGTCCATTGGAGAAACAAGTGGAACACGCTGGAAACAACCCATGCATGATACAGGAGAGCTGGGGAAGAAGCGGCTCTGACTGTAAGTGCTGAAGGGGCCAAGGGGCTTGGGAAAGGGAGAGATCAGTGTGGCCTGAGAGGAGAGGAGGTGGAATGAAAAGAGCACTGGGCTGGGAGTCAGGAGACCTGGCCTCTAGACCAGTTCCTTGCCTAATTCTCTGTGTCATCTGATGTGTTCACTTCTCTCTCTCTCTCTCTCTCTCTCTCTCTCTCTCTCCCCCCCCTCTCTTTAGACGGGGTCTCTCTCTGTTGCCCAGGGCTGGAGTGCAGTGGCGGAATCTTGGCTCACTGCAATCTCTGCCGCCTGGGCTCAGGTGATCCTCCCACCTCAGCCTCCTGAGACACTGGGACTATAGGTGCGCACCGCCACACCCAGCTAATTTTTGTATTTTTAGTAGACCCTGGGTTTCACCATGTTGCCCAGGCTGGTATTGAACTCCTAAACTCAAACCATCCACCCGCCTCGGCCTCCCAAAGTGCTGGGATCACGGGTGTGAGCCACCGCGCCTGGCCATGTTCACTTCTCTCTTACAGATCACCCTCAACTATCTTGCAGTTTAGTAAGATGGTCAGAACTCCTCCAGATGCATGGCGATCCCCCAGGAGCAAGAAGGTCCATTTATTCGCCCAACATCTTCTGAGCACCATATGTGCCAGCCACCATGCCAGGCACTGAGAAGCAAAAGTCAAACAGATAAGCTGAAATAGTTGCAACTCCCCACCCAGCTACTGTCACTTTTGCATCTTTGCTTGTGTTGTTTCATTCCCCTGCACCACTCTCCTCATTTTGTCCTTCTAGGAAAACTATTGACCCTTCAAACCCCTGGCCAGGAATCACCTTGTTTGTGAAGACTTCTATCTTAGGACATTCAGGTTAAACAGAATACCATAGACTGGGTGGCTTAAACAAATATTTATTTCTCACAGTTCTGGAGGCTGGAAGTTCAAGGTCAGGGCGCCATCATGGCCTGGTTCTTGGTGAAGGCCTGCTTCCTGGTTCACAGGTGGCCATCTTCTTGTTGTACCGTCACGTGTCTCTTCTTCTAGGGGGCTCTAATCCCATAATGGGGGCTCCACTCTCACAACCTAATCACCTCCCAGAGGCCCCACCTTAATACCATCATCTTGGGAGTCAGGATTTCAACATATGAATTTTGGAGAGACACAAACATTCAGACCACGACAACTTCCCCGAGCTCCCGTTCTACCCTCATGCCCAGCAGAGTTACTTCATTCGTCCTCTGTGCTCCTGTCAGTGGACCTGCATCAGTGTCCTTACTGTGCTGGACTGAGATGGTCTCTGGAAACCCCTGGAGGACAGGGACCAAGACATATCTTTGTACCTAGTGCTGGCAAAAGGCCTGGTCCAGAGCAGTGGCTCCTTCAGTAAATGTTTGTCAAATCACACTGAACCAAATCAAACTGAATAGGATCTTCAGCTCCATCAGATTTCAATTTCATTTGCTTTATGGTCACCTTTGGGAAAAAGGGAGCTTAGAAGCATTTGCTGACTGTGACAGAGAGGATGCCGAGAGAGGGGCTCGGAGGTGTTTGATCAAATGGAACATTACAGAAGAGTCTATAAATGGAGATCAGGGCTCTGCTACCACCCCTACCTCACGCTCCAGTTGACAACCCAAACTCCAGAGGGGCCCATTTAATAAGCCAGGACCAGGCATCATTGGTGTGGCAACTGCAAAGTTTCACTGGGCTGGGGATGCCCATCATGCTGCACATAGCTGTCCTCCCTCCCCCCAGAGTTGTGCAAAGCAGCAGACTTGTACCACAGATGAGCAGAGGGGTGAGGCTGATCAGCCCATGGTGGGATGGCCCTTGGCCTCCACCGTGTATCTCTCTTGTACCCAGCCCCACTATGGGCAGAGGGAGAAGGCAGAGAAAAATAATAAAGAGTAAATGGCAGAGTCTACACACTTACATCCCTACTTCATCCTTAGTGACCTTGTAAATTGGCACACAGGGTCCAGGGGAGAGCATGTGTCACAGCTCAGTTCCAGCTCAGCTATTTCCACCCCTGGAGCACAGAAAGCTGGGGCAACATCCTGGGGCACAGAGGGCAACACAGTCTCCATGTTTTGGTCCTACTTTTCTGTGCTGCCTTGGAAATGAATCATATGTGACTCTTCCCAACCAGAGAAGTTGTGAACACCACAGGTCTGCCATCTGTATTCATCCAGGGGCTTGTTGGGGTCAGTGCAGCTGGGATAAGGAGAAGGAGCAGAGGAGAAAGCCCCAGTGGAGGCCTGGCGGCAAAGACCGCCCCTTACCATGAGACACCATAACACTGTGGCCAGAGCCGGAGGCCAGTGCAAGAGTGGGAAGAGGGGTCCAGACTAGACCCTGCTGCACACTGTTAATACTCCATCCTTCCATGCAGAAAGGCCCAGGGCTGATGAGTTAAAGCCCGCAATGAGGATGGCAAGCAGGTGAGTGACGGAGTGGACACCTGGACAAACTTCTAAGCAAGTGTCTTTGCAAGAACCTTAGCTTTTTTCTGGGTACAATGTTCCATGTCCACTGCCACCTCAGAGTTTAGGCCCCAGAGGAGGCCCATGCATAGGATTCAGGCTCAATCTGAAACAGGTCTGGGCTCAGCCTCAGTCTGTGGCTGGCAGCCCAGTCCAGCTCACTGGGCCCGACGTGGCCTGCGTCCATGTGCTTGGCTTCATTAACACCAAGCTCTGACCAACCCCAGTGACCAACCCCTGGCCCAGTCTCTAGGAACAGCTTCAGTTAAAACTTTGTAAGATGCCAGTAAATAGCACAGTAATGAAATCCACAGATGAGCTAAAACTGGACTGTTCAGAATCAGCCAAGGATGAGATGGAGTCTCCAGGGGGCCCGGCAGGCTAGAAATATGGTGAGGAAATAACCATGTGAAACTCAGCCTGGGAAGGGGCCAGCAAACGTCATGTGCATGCTGCCAAATTCTCCCCACAGTTAGCAGGAAGCGGGAGGGCTGCGGGGAGCAGCTGAGCTAAGGGAGCCAGAGAGGCGGGATGTGGTAGGGGCTCGGAGCGGGTGGCCCCAGTCCAGTCATTTGGGAGTGAGTCTGTAGAGACAGTACAGGGACCAAAGAGCAGGCCCCTGCCCATGTGGGCCCAGAGAAACTCCAAGGCAGGCCAGCAGGACCAAGGAGTTCCAGGGGGTGCAGAGCTTTAGGCGGGACGGGAAGGGTATTATGGATGAGTCATGCATGGGACAGCTTTGTGTCAAGGTACCAAGATCTCTGGTGCTCACCTGTCCGCTGTGGAGCCCCCAGCAAGCCCAGAAAATACTAGAGGCAGCAAAAACATCAGTGATCAAGTCAGACAGACCCAGGTCCGACTCCTGGCCCTGTTCTGAACCTTTAAACTAGTTATCTAACTCCCATC
The DNA here is from genome assembly GCF_000001405.40 of Homo sapiens. Classification (NCBI taxonomy): domain Eukaryota; kingdom Metazoa; phylum Chordata; class Mammalia; order Primates; family Hominidae; genus Homo; species Homo sapiens. The sequence continues at coordinate 129,702,433 of NC_000023.11, forward strand.
AGCCTCAGTTTCTTCCTTCCTTCCTTCCTTCTTTCTTTCTTTCCTTCCTTCCTTTCTCTATCTCTCTCTCTCTCTCTTCTTATTTCTTTCTCTCTTTCTTTCTTTCTTCTCACTCTGTCACCCAGGCTGGAGTGCAGTGGTGCCATCTCAACTCCCTGCAACCTCTGCCTCCCGGGTTCAAGCGATTCTCCTGTCTCAGCCTCCCAAGTAGTTGGGATTACAGATGCCCACTACCATGCCCAGCTAAATTTTGTATTTTTTTTTTTTAGTAGAGATAGGATTTCGCCATGTTGGCCAGGCTGGTGTGGACCTCCTAACCTCAGGCGATCCACCTCCCTCGGCCTCCCAAAGTGCTGGAATTACAGGCATGAGCCACTGCGCCCAGCCTAGCCTCAGTTTCTTCATCTGTAAGACAAAATGTTAGACTTTCTTCATATGGTGTCCTGAGGACAAAATAAGATAATGCTTATGAAGCAATAAGCATAATTGTTAGCACACAGCATCAGCCAAGAGAAGGAGGAGGAGGAAACCAATGACCCCTGGTGCTGCTGGAGCCTTGTGTCCTTCCTTGTCCCTTCCCCTCAGAGCCTGACCTCCTTGGGGCTACAAACCAACCTATCCTCTCTTCAGCTGGAAAATAACTGTCCCCTCGAAACACTACTCTCTGCCAATGCCTCATTAACGAGGCATTGCCACTTTAATAGCCAATCATGGTCGACTCTTTTACTCCATCCATAACTCTTGCATGAGTGGAGAGAGCCTTTACCTACAACAAAAATGTTGAACTTTGAGCTTTTCCTCAAAGATTTATAAAACAAGTCCTAATGTGTTATTTGTAATAGACTACATCTCAACATCGAGGCTGGTTAACTTTGGTTGTTGTAGCCCAGTGAGGGCCCACACTATGGATTCCATCTGTGTGGACTACTTTCCTTCATTCTAGCCCTACCCATGGCCTCAACCATAATTGAACCCAAACCTTGGCCTCAGCTTGAGCCCCCAAGCTCTAATCTGCCTGCCTCAGATGAAATGTGAAAGGCTCAGGCCAAACTCATCCCCACCGTAGGGAAAACAACCTAAAGACATCTCATGGCAATGACACTGGCTTATTGGTTCCTTCTCTCTCAATTATGAGCACTCGGTGAAACTGAAGTTGCATAGAATAGACTCCCCCAAGGAATGGGAGACCCTTGGAACCTGCCCTTTAGGAATTTGTCATCTCAAGTTGGTAATGACAACAGCTAGGAATCCAAGGGCAAGCCACAAATGATACGATGTTCTCTCTTGTTGGATCAATACTAAAGGACCTGAGGGGCCTGCTGCCATGGTGAGGAGGAGCCTTCAGGGGTACCCAGGCTGGACTGGATGCAGGGAGTAGGCTGCTGCTCTCTCATAGATCCAAGAAGTGTTTGAGCACCAAGTCTTTCTCCTCCTTCAATGCCCTTGAGTTACACCAACCTCCAGCAAGAGTTTGACCCACTGGTAAGATTCATTTCCTGGGAACTTGGCCCAGACCCCAGCAGAGAGCCTGGCCTTCATCTAGGCTGTTGTTTTCCATGAGCAGTTCTTGTCTGATACTAGGAAGCGTCCTGTTGGATTTTCCAGGCCAGCTCCACTTTCCCGCATCTTGTGCCTTAGTAAGACCTTGTGTCCAGAATTCTGGTTCAGAACATGTGTTCTGTATAAATAGGAAGCCTAGAAAGGAAATATGTAGCCAGCTCTTATCACCTCCATCATGTCAATGTCCCCTCAACACAAAGGCCTTCTCTGGCCAGCTCTAGCTGGCTATGTTCTTGCTATTAACTTTCTTTTAACTGGGTCCTTATGTCTAGCTACTTCACAGAGTAAATCCTAGCTCCCCATCTTCTGCCTAAGGGGCTGTGTCTCCCCATCAGGCTGAGAGTTCTCATGGGCAGGGCCTATCCTTTCCGCCTTTTTGTGTTCCTGTGAACAAGGCTCTTGCACCCAATGGACACTTTTATTTATTCATTCATCCAACACGTATTTGCTGGCCGCCTGCTATGTGCCAGTCTCTGAGTTAGGACATTGCAGTGAAAAATCAAAGTTCCAGCCCTCACGAACCTCTCATTTTAGTGGAAGGCAAAGGGGAAGGCCTAGAAGGGAAAGCCAAGAGGAGGCACTTGTTCAACCATCAAGTCTTGGGCACCCACTGTGTCCCAGGCTTTAGACTAGGTCCTAGAGGCACAATGCCACAGCAGAGCCACTTGGTCAGGAGGAGCCACCAGCCAGGCCAGAGTTCTGGCCACCCTCCCAGAGGAAATGTTTCCCCCCAGGATCCTGGCTGAAGGTGGTGCCACTGGCCCTGGCCAGCTGCCTACTACCATCCCCATCCCTTCACCCTTTTCTCCACCACAAGCAGCACAGTTGGCTGTGCTGTGGAGAGTCGTTCATCAGTACATCCACAAGGAGCCACATTGGTGTTTCCTTGAAAGCCAAGGAGAAGAGGTGGTTCCCAGCTCAGCCTTGGAGAGAGGCAGCAGCATCCTTCCTTTAAGGGTTATTGTTAACATCTCCATTGCCTGCACTGACCAACTGACCAGTGGGGGAGTCAAAGCCCTTGGTCCCTCCCCAGCTGCTCCCACAACCTTCTTGCTCCAAGTGGACAGTCCAGCAAGGCAGGTTTCTGGGAGCCAGGGCCCTACTGTGGAACTGGAGGAAGCCCAGGAAGATTGTCTGGCCTGGGGTTTGGCTGAAAGGAGAGAAACAATTGCCTTGAGAACAAAATACCAGAACTGAGGACTGATCCCAAGCAAGATGGCAAGATAGTGATCCCAGGAGGCTGAAGGGATCATGAGGTGAGCATGGAATTGTGCTGCTCAGATCTCCCTCCAACAGAAACTTCTGCAGGTAGCAGAATTAACTGACAGTCCCAGCTGCCACACTTTTGGATCTACGGTGGTGTTCACTATAGGCTGCTCCCAGCCAATGACTAAGTCCGGCAGGGATACCAGTTCCAGCCCATTCCTGCCTGACATGGGACTCCTCCAACAGGCAACCCTTGCTCCGGGATCTCCCATCAATCTGGCCAGACTTTCTCAGAGCTGCACTGCAGCCCAAGACTCTTCCTACTCCAGCCTCCTCCCTTGCACCTCTCCTTTCTCAAGTGTCAGTCCCACACTGTGGTCTGAAGGTGCTCCCTCCTTGCTCCTGCTTCCATCTTTTATCCTTTGCAGATCCCCACCCCTTCCCCACCACATAAAGGTTTAATCCCATCTGATGTCTACTTCTCAGAGGACCCAAGCTGACCTAGGAAGCAAAGATCCCGTGGATCAGGATGAGCAGGCTAACGGATATGTGTGCCCCCTGCAGCCCCAAAGGACCACTACCCACTGCCAGAGAACATTGTTTTCCCAGGTCTGTGGGAGGAGCTGAGTGTGGGCTCCTTTCCAGTGGCCTAGAAGGGGTCCCAGCCTCACATGGCTCATATCCTGCTGAGAACCTGCACCAACCCTCCCTTCAACTCAGGGGTCTCCATTTTCCTCAAGCAGAAAGCAGTCTTAGAAAATTCTCCCCCAACATTTCCAAATATTTATTCATTTTAATTAAAAAAAAAGAAATCCAAATGTACCTCAATTTACCCAAGAACTGTGTCCTTGAGATGTTAAGTGCAAATTAAATTGGGGGGAAGTAGATCTTCTTGTACATGCTCCATGGGCCTCGCAATTAAAGGGAGCTCTGCAGCACATCAAACGTCAGTTCCCATGCCATGTATCTGAGTTGACAATAAAACTGATGACTATGGGTAAATGACAGTAAAACTGGTTAACTGTACAGAAGTCAAGCAAACGGCAACCACAGCAGGTCCCTGGCCCTGGGGATCTCCCAGCCCACCAGAGAGACCGACAGGATCTACTTGGAGAACAAATTCAATCAGACCTTGATGGTGACAGCATTGCTCATTCACTAGCTCTGAGAAGCAGGAAAGAGTTTAGACAAGAATAACCAGGGATGCCACTGAAGGTGGGTGCCCAGGCCTGGGCTCCAGGCCTCCCTACCACTACTACACAGAGCTACCCTCTTCCTGCCTTTCCCTGTCTGTCCCAGTTGCTCTAGGGTCCTCCTAGTCTGTGCCCTGGGCCTGGCCACATGGTTGGCTGCCTGGGGAGGCCCTGGCTTTGTTCCCAGTACCAGAGGTTGGGGTGAAGACATGCGGGCTGACTGGAGTGTGGCCAGCCCTCAGGGCCCAGCTGCAGGGCGCAGGGCCAAGTTGACAATGCCAGCCACTGGAGACAGAGTGGCAACTACTGCTGTCGCCTCCAAAATACCAGTTGAGGTTTTCTCCTACTGTGGGGTTTAGAAACTATTTCCATTTCTATTATGCCTTTGTTTTGCCCTATTTTCTCTTTTCTTTTTAATAGTGTTGGTGGTTGTGCCTGGAGGTGAGACAGGGGAGGGCAGGACAAGAGCCAAGAGAACGCTGAAGTCAGCAGAGTGTGCTCTGGTGCCTCGCAGCTTCTCTTCCAGCACTGCCCACTCCCACTGCAGGGCCTGGGTCTCAATGGCAGTCCCTCTCAGGGCCTATTCTCCATGGACAAGAATCAGCAGGGCTCTTACTCCACCCTATTTTTCCCCGATCATGACTTCCTGTACCGTGGCCCACTCTTAGCATCCATCTGTCTGCTGGTAAATGAGGATATTCACTCTGTCCTGGGCCACCTTCTCCTCTCATTGCACACTGTCTTCCTAGACAGTCCCACCCACACCCATGGCCTCAGTTACCACTTACATGCCATAAACTCCACATTTATTTCTCCAGCCCCTTCTCCCCTCTGATTCTTAGACCTGCATATCCAGCTGCTCTCTCTCCCTTAGTGGCTCACAGGCACCTCAAACTCCACATGGCCAGAACTGACCTCATCATCACCACTCTACCCAGCCACCAAATAAACACACCCCTCCCAAAAGAGAAAAGTATCTTCTCCTGCTTCAGTCTTCTCCATCTCAGTGAATGGCAGTACCATCCTTCTAGCTGTTCAAGACAGAAAACTGGGGGCGATCCTGAACTCTGCCCTTTACTTCACCCATCAGCTATATCCCATCTATCAGCAGGTCTTGTCAATCCCATCTTCTATAGAGCTCTCCATGGTTTTGATAGCTCCCTAGTCCCATTGTCACTCTTTTAATTAAGACCTCCATCAACTCATTCATAGACAACTTAAATTACCTCTTAATTTGTCTTTCTGCCTCAGTATTTACCTCTTGTCCAGTTAAGAGACCACCAGGTGGCCACCAGATTTTCCTTAGAAACAGATATGATCATGTCTCTCCCCTGTTTAAAAGCCTCTGCTGGAACTTCTACTTCCAACCACATTGGAGTAAACTGAAACAGACTTTTTCTTCTGCCATTTAAAAAAACCCTAAAAAACGTACCAAAATACATAAAACAGCTATTTATAGACATTGGACAATAGGCAGTGCAGGACTGTGATCCCTGAGAGAAGGTGAGGTGAAGTCTATGATGGCCTTTGGTTTCTGCCCAAAGGCACTTTCTGGACCATAATATGGGATGGGGAAACCCCAAAAGAGCATAGTGATCTCCTGGAGTTAATGAGTAAAAATATTAGAGTTTGGGAGACTGAGGCAGCTGGAATTTTCAGGTCAGAGTTCTAGAAAGGAAAGAGCAACATAGAAAAAAAGAGTTCCAGATATCTACATAGGGAGCCTCTTGATTGACTTGCTGAACACTAAGCTATACATACATAGGGTGACACCCTACAAATCCAAGCAAGAACTACCAGGAAGCGATAGGCTGAAATTCCCAGAGTCCTGACAAGTATAGGAGACATACAATTTCCAGCTAGCCAGAGTAGAGAAACCTTATGGAAAATCCAGGGTATTCAGTCAAGGCTGCCAGAAGAGTCACACCTCACCAGTAAGGATAAACTAGACCTAGAATAAATGATACTCTAGACCTTCCCTAATCAACCTTAAAAACAAGCAGTAAAAGGCCCAGGCCGATATACAAGAAACTTAACTGCTTTCTAAAACAAAACTCAAGATTTCTTAAAGGAAGACACAAAATCTAGACACTCAACAATGAAACATCCCCAATGTCTAGAATCCAATTAAAAAATTACTAGACATGTAAGGAAGCAGAGAAAATGTGCTGCTTCCATAGCCAGGAAAGAAAAAAAATCAGTCAATAGAAACAGCCAGAAATGGCAGAGATGATAGAATTAACAAACAAGGACTTTTAAACAGCTGTTATAAATATGCTCAAGGATTTACAAGAAAACATGGATAGAGTGAAGGAAATATAAAATATGTATTAAAATAGCCAAATAGAATTTTTAGTGGTAAAAAATACAATATTTAAAATAAAAATTTACTAGATGGGCGTAACAGCAGATTAGACACTGCAGAAGAAAAGATCAGTGAACTAGAAGAAATAGCAATAGAAACTACCCAAAACGAAGCACAGAGGGAAAATAAAAAGTTATTTTTCTTAAATAACTGATTTAATAGAGGCTGATAAAAAGTTAACAGAATGAATGGGTAAACAAAGTGCAGTATATCCAAACAATGGAATATTATCTGTCCATAAAAAGAAATGAAGTACTGATACATGCTATCACATAAGTGAGCCTTACACTAAGTAAGAAGCCAGCCACAAAAGATCACAATTTATATGATTTCATTTATTTTCATTTGTTGTCCAGAATAGGCAAAACCATACAGACAAAGTAGATCCGTGGTTCCTTAGGGCTAGAGGAGTCAGAGGGATGGGGAATTGCTAAAGGATATGGGGTTTCTTTGGAGGTAGTGAAAATGTTCTAAAATTGACTGTGGTGATGGTTGCACATATTATGAGTATTATAAAAGCCATTGAAATGTACTCATTAAATGGATGAATTGTACAGTATGTGGATTATATATTAGTAAAGCTGTTATTTAAAAAATACTAATGGAGTTTCAGTGACCTGTGGTTCCATATCACACAGTCTAACATATGTGTAATAAGAGTTCTAGGAGGTGCTGGAGGCAGAAAAACATTTGAATAAATAATGGCTGAAAATTTGGCAAATCTGATGAAAACTGTAAACTATAATAATCCAAGAAACTCAACAAGCCTCAAGAAGAATAAAAATGAAGAAAATCAAACCAAAGCACAGTATCAGCAAATTGCTGAAAACCACTGATAAGAGAAAATGTTAGTACCAGCTTTAGGGGGAAAAAAATGACACATTATATACTGCGGAACCAAACTAAAGATAACCACACGCTTCTAAACCAAAACGTTGCAAGCCAGAAGACAATGAAGTGATATCTTTAAACTATTCAAAGACTTAAACTATAAGAAATGTTAAAGGAAGCTCTTCGGGTTGAGGGAAATGATACCAGTTGGAAACACAGACTTACAAAAAGGAATGATGAGTGCCAGAAATGACAAACATGTGGGTAAATAAGAAAATGCTTGCTTTTCTCAATTTTAAAGTTTTTATTTAAAAGACAATTAATTGTTCAATGCCAATGAATTGTTCACTTGAAAATGGCTAATTATGGCCAGGTGCAGTGGCTCATGCCTGTAACCCCAGCACTTTGGGAGGCCGACAGGAGGATCACTCGAGGCCAGGAGTTCGAGACCAGCCTGGCCAACATAGCAAAACCTCTTACTAAAAAATACAAAAAATTAGCCAGGGCTGTTAGTGCATGCCTGTCATTCCAGCTACTCAGGAGGCTGAGGCAGGAGAATCACTGGAACCTGGGAGATGGAGTTTGCAGTGAGCCAAGATCATGCCACTGCACTCCAGCCTGGGTGACAGAGCCAGACTCTGTCTAAAAAAATAAAATAAAATAAAATGGCTAATTTTATATTATGTGAATTTCACCTCAATACATTATTTCAAAAAATATAAATGACTGCTTAAAGCAAAAACAATAACGATATACCTTGGGTTTATATGTAGAAGCAAAAGGTATTACGACAATAGCACAAATGATGGGAGGTACAAAAGTATGCTGTTGTAAGGTTCTTACTTGTCCATGAAGTCATATAATAGCATCTGAGGTAGATTGTGATGGTTAAAAATGCTTGTTTTAAACCCTAGATCAACTGGAAAAAAAATTTTTAGCTAATAAGCCAATGACAGAGATAAAGTAGAAAAGTAAAAGATTTCCGTTATTCCTTGATACTTATCTCTCAAGGAGGTAGAGCTTAATTCCCACCCCCTTGACTGTGGGCTGAATTTAGTGACTTGCGTGTAATGAATATAATTTCTAAAGGGAAAAGCAGTAACTTTACAGTGGGGAAACGTGGCAGACACCACCTTGACCAAGTGGTCAAGGTTAACATCACCAGTAAGTCATGTCAATATCATATACCCCTGATTTGATGGGATGACAAGGGTACATCACCTCAATGGTATTCTTTCCAAAAATGCATATCCACAGACCAATCAAAAGAAAATATCAGACAAACCCAAATTGAGAGACATTCTACAAAACACATGACCAGTGCTTCTCAAAACTGTCCAGATCGTCAAAAAACAGAAAAACCTGAGAAACTGTCATAGCCAAGAGGAACCTAAGTAGACATGATCATGATTAATTGAAGTGGGATCCTGGAATAGAAAAAGGTGTGAATGGGAAAACTGGGAAAATCCGAATGAAGTCTGTAGTGTAGTAGTATTGTACCAAGGTTAATTTCTTATGTTTGAGAAATATATTGTGTTTATGTCAAGTGTTTATGAAAGGTTGGATGAAAGGTCTATGGGAACTCTCCATTTCACAACTCTTCTATAAATCTAAAATTATTTTAAAACAAAAAGTTTTTAAGAAAATACCAGGCCGGGCGCAGTGGCTTATGCCCGTAATCCCAACACTTTGGGAGGCTGAAGTGGGCAGATCGCCTGAGGTCAGGAGTTTGAGACCAGCCTGGCCAACATGGTGAAATCTCATCTCTACTAAAAATACAAACATTAGCCGAACATTGTGGTGCACGCCTATAATCCCAGTTACTCAGAGGTTGAGGTAGGATAATCACTTGATCCCAGAGACGGCGATTGCAGTGAGCCAAGATCGTGCCATTGCACTCCAGCCTGGGCAACAAGAGCAAAACTGCATCTCAACAAAAATAAAAGAAAATACTCAACCCAAAAGAGGGCAAAAATAGAGGAAAAAGTTGACAAAGAATAGAAAGGAAGAATAGAAAACAAATAGAGAAGTGGATGACCTAAATTCAACAATATCAATAACGACATCAAATGTGAAGGGACTCTAAGCAGTACAATTAAAAGTTAGAGATTGTCCTACTGCATTAAAAAGAAAATTGGACTCAACATTTGTTTCAAGCATATGTTTTAAGCATAAAGACACAGATGGGTTAAAACTAAAATGATAAAGATGCACCAGGAGTGGCTATGTTAATTTCAAAGTAAGCTTTAAGACACAGAATATTACCAGGAATAGACATGTTTAATGATAAAACAGTCATCAGGACAATATAACAATCTTAAATGTGTATGTCCCTAATAACAAGCTTCAAAATACATGAACTCAAAACTGACAGAATTGAAATAAATAGACAAATTTGCAACTATAGTTGGAGAGTTCAACAGTTCTTTCTCAGTAACTGATAAAATAAGTAAACAGTAAATCAGTAAGAGTATATAAGACTTAACATCTTGACAGGAGTGGTGGCTCACACTTGTAATCTCAGCACTTTGGGAGGCCGAAGCAGGCAGATCACTTGAGGTCAGAAGTTTGAGACCAGACTGGCCAATGTGGTAAAACCCCGTTTCCACTATAATAAAAATACAAAAATTAGCCAGGCATAGTGGCAGGCTCCTAAAATCCCAGCTACCAGAGAGGCTGAGGCAGGAGAATCACTTGAGCCTGGGAGGTGGATGTTGCAGTAAGCTGAGATAGCACCACTGAACTCCAGCCTGGGTGACAGAGTGAGACTCAGTCTCAAAACAAAACAAAAACAAACAAACAAACAAAAAAACCCACTTAAACAGCACCCTCAATCAACCTGACCTAATTGGCATGAATAGAACACTGCACCCAATATCTGCAGAATACACAGTCTTCTCAAGCACATATGGAACATTCTCCAAGATAGACCATAAGCTGGACCATCAAACAAGTCTCAATAAATTTAAAAGGACTAAAATCATGAATGTATGTTCTCTGATCTCAACAGAATTAAATTCAAAATCAATAACAAAAAAGATATCTATGGAATCCTTAAATATTTGGAAATTAATGACACACTTCAAAATAATCCATGAGTCAGAGAATAAATCAAAAGGGAAATTGAAAAGCATTTTTAAATGAATGAAAATGAAGACAGCATATAAAAATTTGCGGGATGTCACTAAAGCAGTATTTAGGGGGAAGCTTATGGCACTCGATACCTATATTAAGAAAGAAGAAAGGTCTTAGATCAATGACCTCAGCTTTGTTAAAAGAAAAACTCTAGACAAATTAAATTTAACAGAGTTAAATTCAGCAAAGACCAATTTGCAAATCAGGCAGCTTCCTAAACCGGAATAGATTTAGAGTGACTCCAGCACTGCCATGTGGTTGGAGAAAATTTATGTACAGAAAAAGGAAAGTGATGTACAGAAAACGGGAGTGTGGGCTGGGCAGAGTGGCTTACGCCTGTAATCCCAGAACCTTGGGAGATCAAGGCTGGTGGATCGCTTGAGCCCAGGAGCTCCAGACCAGCCTGAGCAACATGGCGAAACCCCATCTCTACCAAAAATAGAGAAATCAGCTGAGTGTGGTGACACACGCCCATAATCCTAGCTACTCAGGAAGCTGAGGAGGGAGGATTGATCGCTTGAGACCCAGGAGGCAGAGGTTGCAGTGAGCCAAGGTTGTGCCACTGCACTCCAGCCTGGGCGACAGAGTGAGACTCTGTCTCAAAAAGAAAAAAAAAAAAAGAAAAGAAAAAGAAAATGGAAGTGAGGTACAGAACCAGCTGGATTAATTACAGCTCAATGTTTGCCTTATTTGAACACAATTTGAACAGTTGGCCGCCTGTGATTTGCCAAAACTCGGTGACTCGTACAAGAGCAGGTTACAGTTTGTTTACACATCCAGTTAGGTTACAGTTCACTATGCACACAGAAACCTTTAGGCCGAACTTAAAACACGTAAGGAGGCAATTTCATGCTAAACTTAACAGTTTCAAGCTTAAAAAGCTAGAAAAGGAAGAATAAATTAAGCCCAAAATAAGTAGAAGAAAGGAAATAACGAAGATAAGAACAGGAATCAATGAACTAGCAAATAGATAGAGAAGATCAATGAAACCAAAAGTCAGTGCTTTGAAAATATCAATAAAAACAATAAACTTCTACCTAGGCAGTATTAGTTATATGATTGTATATATTTATCAAACTCATTGAGCTGTATACCTATAATGGGTGCATTTTATTTTCTGTTAATTGTACCCAAAAACATGGACAAAAGATTTGAACTGAGACTTCACTAAGGTAGATGTAAAAATGGCCAATAAACACATGAAAAGATACTCAACATCATTAGTCATCAGTGAAATAGAAATTAAAGCCATCATGAGATGCTAGTACACATTCACTTAGAATGCCTGAAAATTTTTTAAAAATAACTATACTAATCGGATATAAATCAATGAAAACTCTACAAAGCAATGAAAATTACATTTCTGGCTGGAGTACAAAATGGTACATCCATTGTGGAAATTAGTCTGATAGTGTCTCATAAAATTAAACGTAAGCTAATGCTTTGGCCCAGTAATTCCACTTGTAGGTATTTATCCAAGAGAAATAAAAACATATGCCCACAACACACCTCATAAAAGAGTATTCATAGAAGCTTTATTTATGAAAACCCCAAACTAGAAATAGCTCAGGTGTCTAGCAATGGGTGAATGAATAAACAAATTGTGATACATCCATAGATTGGATCAATGGTATACCAATACAATCATACATCGCATACCTTATAACTTTTATGGACATACAACATATACAATGGCATATTAATACAATGGATATTCAGCAATTAAAAGGAATAAGCTACTGATACATGTTACAACATGGAGAACCTCAAAAGCATTATGTAATTGAGAAGCCAGACACAAAGGCTAAGTACCATATAACTCTGTTTATTTGAAATTCTAGAATAAGTAAAACTAACTTATAGTGACAGGAAGCAAGATAGAGGTAGTCAAGGGTCACGAGTGGGAGTGGGATTGCAAAAGTCTTCAAGGACATTTTTTTGCCATGATGAAAATGATGTAAATCTCAATCATAGCAGTGGCTTCACATACAGGGCCACTCCTAAGGTGCTCAGAACCTAGGAAAATATATTTTGTGCAATCCCTGTCTACACACAATATTTGAGTCATCCAAGACTAGTGTGTCAATACCATTCTGGTTGACCCAATTTCATGCACTTCTGTCAAAGATATATTGCTCTGGCTAGTGGAGCAATCCACTTATCATGCTGCTCTCCTGGAACCGGGTCTCAACCAAAAGTACCATAGACGATCCCATAGGTGAGAATCGTGGAGTTCCTTGGGACATCTGGTGGGCCCCAAGCACAGGATGGGGGATGTCTAGAGACTCAGAGTGCCTGGAAAAACACAGACCAGGTCCTATGTCTACGTGGGACCCATTCTGAGCTAAGGAAAGCCCAACCTGATGACACCACTGATTCCGGGGCAGCAGTCTCAAGCCGCTGAGCCTACGTGAATAAAGTCAAGGCAACTGTAGCATGGTGTGCTGAGACAAAGGCTCTGGTTTCAGACATTGGCAGGAAACCGAAAATTTTAAGGAAAGTGCTGCAAAGTGCAGTGGGTTCCTCCTGAAATGCAGGGCATGGGACAGAAGCCCCATCTGCCCAGGTCTAAGGTAGTGCTGGTTTACATGGGTGCAGACATTTATCAAATGAACTGTACACTGTATCATTGAACTGTACACTTACAATGAGTGCATGTTATTGCATATAAATTATACCTCAATAGAGAATACTTACTACCAAGAAAGAAAACCCTGTAGTCTCAGCTACTCAGGAGGCTGAGGCAGGAGAATCACTTGAGCCCAGGAGTTCAAGGCCATAGTGAGCTGTGATCACACCTGTGAACAGCCACTTCACTCCAGCCTGGGCAACATAGTGAGACCCCATCTTGGAAGAAAGAAAGAAAGGAAGGAAGGAAGAGAGAGTGGGGGGGAGGGAGGGAGGGAAATGAAAGGAAAGGAAAGAGAAAGAAAGAAAGAAAGAAAGAAAGAAAGAAAGAAAGAAAGAAAGAAAGAGAGAAAGAAAGAAAGAAAGAAAGAAAGAGAAAGAAGAAAAAGAAAGAGAAAGAAAGAAAAGAGAGAAAAAGAAGGAAAGAAAGAGAAAGAAGAAAGAGAGAAAGAGAGAAACAGAGAAAGAAAGAGAAAGAAGAAAGAGAAAGAGAGAAACAGAGAAAGAAAGAAAGAAAAGAAAAAGAAAGAAAGAAAGGAAGGAAGGAAGGAAGGAAGGAAGGAAGGAAAAAGAAGACCGTGTATCTCAGATTCCCAGGCCCCATTCCAGACAAAATCAGAAAGTCTTCTGTCTGGACACTGAGAAATTTTCATCTGTTGGTTCTCAGTTGCCTAGAGAATTACATCCAGGGTGCACTTTCCAGCCCAGCCCTGACGTGCCTCCTCATCCTCAGTTCCTGATACTCCTTTTCTTAACGGGTGCTCCAGACACGCTGAACTTAGAACCAGTCCCTAAAAGTGCTCACACCCCTTTGCAAACCAGTGCCTCTACATATTAGGTTTCCCCTGCTTGAACTCACACCTTCTCCCTGCAAGGAATTCCTACACATCGTTCAAAATCCATCTGAAATGTCACTTTTTCTGTATAGCCATCTCCGACCACCTAACAGCGTTAAGATGGATGGAGGTGTTATCGGTGGAGGGTGTCCATGTTCTCCGTGTTTTGAACAAAGAATTGGACAAAACACACAAACAAAGCAGGAAAGAATGAAACAACAAAAGCAGAGATTTATTGAAAACGACAGTACACTCCAAAGCGTGGGAACGGGCCCGAGCAGCCACTCAAGGGCCCAGATACAGAAACTTCTCGGGTCCAAATACCCACTAGAGGTTTCCCATTGGCCACTTGGTGTTCACCCCATGTAAATGAAGTGGTGGTCTGCAACCAGTCTTATTGCAACCAATCAGAGGCTGAAGTGAAGTTACAAAGGTCACACTTTTATGCAAAGATCTGATTGGTTGCTGTCTGCAACCAATCAGAGGCTCAAGTGAAGTTACAATGTTGCACTTCTATGCAAACGAAGACTTGACCCGCAATCAGTCTGATTGGTTGTGGACAGCCTACAGAGGCTGAAGTGAAGTTTCAAAGTTACACTCCTATGCAAATGTCTAACAACCAATCATAGGTACTTTCAATTTCCCATCGGCCACGCAGAAAAGCTGGGAGCTTGCAAAGGGAGTAGCCTCTGGTCCTTTTGTTACTTAGGCATGGAAAGTTAGGGTTCTCCTTTCAATTTAGTTCTAGGAACTCAGCGTGAAACGGCCTTAGGTTCCCTGCCTCCAGAATGTATTCTCCTGCCTCAGAGAGAGGATGATCCCTCTTCAGTGACCCCACAAAGCTTGGGACATACTTTTTATGGCTATGACACTTGTCAAAAGTGGACTGTTGGTACCTGTCTGGGGGCTTTCCCTCATATCTAATTGCAAATTCCTCCAGGGCAGGGAGCATACCTTCTTCAATCCAGCACCTAGCACAGTGCCTGGCAACATAATAGGCTCTTGATACAAGCTGTTCAATGAACGAATGAATCAGTGAATGAATCTCTTCCCCTTTGGGGACTCTTTAGTGGGAGCCTTCATTGAAGAGTGGTTTCACCACAGAGTGACCTATAAGCAAAAAATTTTAAGAGCTGGGACAGCCTGGGTTGGGGGGTGTTATTTGGTCAGGGAAATATTTTAACCCCGAAGATTATGTCCCTGAGGTATTTCAGCCTATCCAGGACTTGTATTTATGAGATGGCCAGGGTCAGGGCTCATTCTGTGGCCAAAATTAGGTGTTAAATACCCATTATCATCACCATCATCATGATTATCCTTTATTTGGCATTTATCATGTGTCACATGCTGGTATAAACACTCTTGTATATTAGCTCATTTAATCTGCACAGTAACTCTGGGAGGAAGGCGCTACTGGGTTGAACCATAAGAAATTGTCAATATTCAATCTTTTTTGACCCACAAAATAGCATTTTCATATAGTTCAACCTAAGTTACCGAATTCTTTTACCAAGGTTCAAGGAGGTGAGTCCCTTGCCCAGATTTCAATGTTCATCTCTCTGGCTCCAGAGCCCTTTTGCTATTTTCTCTACACTGCCAGCTTCTATCAGTTGTAAAATCCCTGCTATAAGCCAGTCCACAGGGTCTAGTAAGTCGGACAGGAGCGGGACTGGCTAGGGTTTCAAATGCTCTTTTGCAGGGAAGATGAACTGACTTGGCCTGAAAATGTTAGTCTTTTAGCGGTCGTGTTTCCAATTTTGTTTTAGTCTCTCACTCATCCAGAATCCACCTCCCTCACCACACACACACACACACACACACACACACACATGCACACACACAGAAGAGCCAAGCAGCTGACTCACACACCATGCCGCAGTTGCCTTGACTTTGTTCACGTAGGCTCAGCAGCTTGAGACTGCAGCCCCAGAATCGGCAGTGTCCTCAGTTGGCACCCAGAGGAGCTGTTGCATTCTCCCCTTTATTGTGGAGATGGCTGCAGCAGGTGCTCTTGTCCTGGGGGAAGACAGCCATTGAGATTGGCAGAGGCTTAAGTATGAAGTCAAAGGCAACACCTGATATCAGAAAGGGCCCAGGCAGCAGTGGGGAAGTCCTCAGCTGGATCTTTGAGCCTTGGACGGAATCAGCAGCAGGTAGGGCAGACCCCAACCCCACTGATATCTCTGCTGCTTGCTTGCCAACCCTGTGAGCTGCCCACTGAGGCAATAGGCCTGGCAGTGCTGGAGGCTGGGAAGGGAGAGACATATAGTACAGTAAGCATTGACCCCCCAGGAAAGGCTCACAGTGACCCACCCCCCTTCATAGTATGAGGGCAATGACAGAGCATTGTCCGGATTGGGGGTGGGCAGGAAATAGAGGCCAGGGAAATGCACATACTCAGAGCCTCAGGCATCAGGTGGGCCTGAGAGGCCTGGCTGAGGAATGGGGGGTAAGTCTGGACATGCAGACAGACTTCCCATGATATTCTACCTTGAGATGAATGTGGTCAGGAGGAGAGTCCAGGCTGGCTGGGAGGTTGATCTGGGGCTACAAGCCCTGGGCCCCAGGAGAGAGGAACTGGAAAGGCTTCCTCCAAGAACCCCAGAAGCCTCTGGCCTTTCCCGGCATAACTAGAAAGAGAAGCAGACAGCCCCAGGATCTTACTCAATGAGAGCTTAAAGGCTTGCCTTCCTGTTTCCTCTCTCATGAAGGGGCAGCCTGAGATGCCACGAAGAGCCCTGGGCTGGAAGTTAGGAGGCCGGAGTGCTAGTCCCATTCCCGCCTGCCAGAGCCATCCTCTCCCTGGGCTACAGTGTTCTCCATCTGCAGAAATGATGAGGCAGGATGCGTCAAGTGGGGAAGGCAGTTGGTTCTACCAGAATCATGGTTTTCAAACTTTTGCAGTTTGGAACACTTTCTTTAAACAAAATCTAACAGGGCAACTCAACGTGTAAGGTGGCAGATGAAAATAGAGCTGCTCTCAACCCATTCCCCTCCCCAGAGGTTCCCCTAGAACCTCCATGGTAGCCCAGAGCCCCTTTTAAAGACCACTGGGTTAGAGCTGTGGGCTTCCAACTTGAGTGTGCACCAGCATCACCTGGAGGGTTTGTAAGAATAGATTGCTGGGCCCACCCCTAAAGTTTCTGACTGTGTATATGGGATGGAACTGAGAATTTGCATTTCTAACAAGCACCCAGGTGATGCTGATGTTGCTGGTCCAGGGACCACAATTTGAGAACTACTAGGTTACATTCTACCCAAGGGCCTTCCTGTGATTCATGTCCAGTCATTCAATATTTACATTAATCCACTTCAGATAGATTTTCTGTGATATTAAAGCATAGGAGAACACCTGGTATTGTCCCTGGCACATAGCAGGCACTCGGTCAAAGCTGGTAGGGTCCGTTCTAAATGCTCTGCCTAGAAGTCTGTTTAGGTGTACAATCATGTTAGCCACTGGTCAAGGGATTCACAGAAGCAGAAGCTTTACTTTTAATAAGTTTACAGTCTGCCATGGCCCCTCCACCCACCAGGAAATAACACCCCCACTAATTCCATCATTAGAAGTTACTCCATGTTAAACATTATCCTTTCCAGATATTCTCTTTTTTTCCAGGTAAACCCCCTGGGAAGGGGTAGTTGTTCAGTCCCTGACCCCTCAGCATTTCTTAGATGTTTTCCCCATGTGAAGGGGACATAGCTTCGATCCTCTAGGAGTTCTTCCAGGGCAAGGACCTTACCTGTATCATTCTCCCCCACATACCCCACGGCTCCTAGCCCAGTGTCTGGTACAGAGTGGACACTCAGTACAAGTTTGCAGAATAGAATAAAGGAAGCATGGGACCCCCAACTTGACCCAGCCCACGTGAGCCACCAGCACCCCCATCATGGCCAAGGCTGCTAACTGGGGAACTTTGGAGGGTACATGGGGAGGGCAGGTCTCCAGCCACACGCACCTGGGATTGCTGCCCGGGAGGTTTTGCAAACTGGCTCCAGGAATGTTCGGGGCCTCCCATTCCCCACATCCTCCTTTTCAGCCTCACCACGTTCTTAAACAAATTGGCACTGACCCTGGTGACAGACTTGATCATTTCCCTTTGCTTCGTGATTGTGTTAAGTGACTGCCAAAGGCCTGTTCCTGAATAGTCAGCACATTCCTCAGGACGGTGAGTGGGAGCCCATCTGCTCCTGGAGCGCTTCCTTTCCTTTATTGTGCTATTTTGGCCTCAATTTCCCATTTGGACAGGAGCATCTTCCAGCCGGTGGGGAAAGGGAGAGGGTGGAGAGGGGCGCCACAGCCTTCCTTCATTTCTCACTCATATCCCTGGTTTCTCTGGAAATAAATCAACAAATATTATACTACGTGCCTGGCGCTGCTCTTAGCTCTCCACATGTGTCCATGGAGCTAATCCTTACAACACCCACTATGAGGAAGGCACAAATATTACCCCCATTTTCCAGATGAGGGAACAGAGACTGAGAGAGGCCAAGTGACTTGCCCAAGGTCGCACAATATGTGATAGAGCTGGGATTTGAACCTAGACAGGTCTGGCTCTGGAGACTGAGTTCTCACCCATTGGCTCTACCAAGGGTGTGGATTCTTGAGGCTGTGGATCTGGGCCCAATGGTATCTGAGGCCATGGCCCTTTCCCTCTTCACTGTGTGTCAGCAGGTTCTAAAGTCACTTAGATTGAACACAGAATTCCAGCCCGGCGCGGTGGCTCACATCTATAATCCCAGCACTTTGGGAAGTTGAAGTGGGAGGATCACTTGAGACCAGGAGTTCAAGACCAGCCTGAGCAACATAGCAAGACCCCATTATTACAAAAAAAATTTTAAACCGGCCAGGTGTGGTGGCGTGTGCCTGTAGTCTCATCTACTCGGCAGGCTGAGGTGAGAGGATGGCTTGAGCCCAACACTCCAGGCTGGACAACAGAGCAAGACCCTGTCTCTTAAAAATTTTTGAAAGAAAACAGAATTCCTTGCAGATCAGAAAAGGTTATCTTCATACCTTGCCACTGACCCACTCGTTTAATGCAACATTTGAACTCACAGATGCTACACCAATGTGGACTCTACCTTTGGGTTATAAAGGGCTGATATAGTAATGCTAAACAGCTCATTGTGTGCTCTTCTCCATGTACCTTGCCTCATTTATGTCTCACATCAACTCTAAAGTAGGTTGTAGGGAGAAGCTGAGGCTCAAAGATCCCCCAGCCAACCACAGACCCAGCATGTGGGCAATTCATTACTACACTAGATGTTAAACAGCCAGGTAGCTTTTGCTAGGTGTCAGGTGTTGTCTAAACACTCTCCCTCATTGATTCATTCAAGCCTCATAACAATCCCATGAAGTAGGTACTATTATTATCCCTGTCTCTATTTCGCAGATGAGGAAGCCGAGGCACAGAGAGGTCAAGTAACTTGCCTGAGGTCACACAGCCAGAAAGTGGGAGATCTGGGATTTGAACCAAGTCTGTCAGCTTAGACTGTGGGGTTCCTAGTGTATGCTCTTAACCACTGCACTGTGCTACCTCTTGGCACTGAGGCCACCTCTGGGCACTTGAGGTACCATGATACCATAACCCCCTCCATCTCTTCTCCTTGTCTTCCTGCTATTCCAAATTGACTTGGTATTTCCAATAACCATAATTCTCAGAGGTTCTGGAGTTCAAATTACAGCACTGCACTCACTAGCAGGGTGACCTCTGTTTCTTTCTGTACCCCAGTTTCCTAATCTGTAAAGTGGGAGTAATATGGTAATGAGCCCATAGGGTGGTTGTGAGCATGTAGGTCAGGCACAGTGGATTCCGCCATCACCACCACCACCTCCGGTTGCATCTTCTCCAGCCCAGCCCCAGCATCCTGAAGGGGGAAATGGTGCTTCACGCCCTTTCACTTATCAGTCTCACCCTCCGTGTCTGTCTCTTCCTGTCTCAAATGAAAAGCAGCCTTCAGTTAAGATTCCCTAGCCTTTTGAAAACTTGGTGATTACAATTCCTCCCAGGAGGTCAAAGAAACCTATTTCCCTAGCATTCTAAGCAGGAATTCTATTGTCATTTGTTAACTCAAACATGGCCAAGGTGGCCCAGCCCATCTCCTTTCGTCCACACCCATAGGAGACATAGAGAATAGATAACTTGACTGGAACAGATCCCACCAGCACCCCATGGCCAGAGTCCCTGAGAAAGAAATTCACAGCAAGGAAATGCACCAATTGCAAATAATTATTTGGAATCTGATGATTCCTTGCAACGTCAGTGACTGCGAGTGAGCCTCTCCCTCTTGCCGTCTTTACAGAAAATGTTGAGGTACTAGACAGGGAATATAAATTTTCCAGTATCTTTCCCTATGTTCCTAAGTGTCCCTGTCCTATAATTCCAGTCTTGCCTCGTTGCTACTGGTGTCTTATGTCCTCAGCTCAGTGGGGTAGAGCATAGCGCTACCTATAAGCAGGCAGTTAGGATTAGAAAATAAAGTCCCCTTCACTTAGCTCTTCATCCACAAAGCAAGCTCTAACCCTGGCCACTGACTGAGCACTAACCCCAGCCTAGAATGTTCCCTAAACCTGTTCAGAGAATGAGCCTAAACCTTGGTAATGGGCTGCCCTTAGTCTCATTCACAGACTGAGTATATAATTGCAGAGTGAAGAAACTCCAACCTGGAGAGGTAAAGCAACTTGGCCAGCATCACACAGAACCAATTCTCTGTCCCAGCCATATATTGACCCTGAATTTTAGCCACTAAGAACAAGATTTTAAGCGTGTGGGTGTATCAGTGCAAGTGACCTCTACTAGTAAGATTCCAACTCAGACAGGTGAGTGGGCACCACATCTTTGTCTCTGAGGGAGATGCCACTGTTCCAGTCTTCACGGAGTACTGGGGTTATTAAAAAGAATTCTTGCCTAGGGAGAGTGATTTGTATGATGAAAGAAATCAATAAATTGCTGTTGAATGCAGTCCAACCTCACTTATTCAAACTAATTGGAGGTAGCCTTTCAAATTAGTGAACCATCTGTATTGTAGGTTACTTGTAAAGTAATGAAGCTTTATTGTTTTGAATAATTCACAGTAGCTCCAAGTAAGCTAACAAGTTGTAGCCTAATCGAGGTCTTAGGAGACTTGCCTTAATGAAATGAAAAGAATCCTCAGCATCAATCATTTGTATGCAAATGGTCCTACCAAGGAAATGATAAAGTTTGCTGCCTTGAAGTATAGAAACTCAGTGCACAGAGTCCATTTATTCAATTCATTTATGACTTTGTTGAGAGTGGACAAAGTCAAGACAGACAGGGCCCAAGCTATCCCCATTTGGTACTCATGGAGTGTCTTCTAATGAGGTTTTACTGTAAAAGGAAACAATTGGAGAGCAGCAGGTGCAATCCATCCACTGATAAAATAAAAGATGGTTTTGGAATACTGTCACTTCCTTTCATTTTTTTTTCCTAAGAAGACATTAGAAAAAAAAGTTACCAATGTAAGTCAAGTACCTCGGTGCTTTGTCAAAACCCGGAACAAACATTAAGGGGAAAAAAATCTGAAGGTCGAGGAAGGGAAATAAACAAGAAGAGTAAGTAAAGCATGAATCATCCATTACCACCTGATGGCTCCTTAAAAATAAAAATAAAACTATGGAAGGAAATAGAGTCCATGCCACAGTCAGGCATGTTGATAGGGAACCTGGCATGGACTCTTATTTCGCAGAAAGAACTGACCTTTGGCTTCTAATTTGGATTGCCTTTTCCTCAAGGCCTTGCAGAGCACAAGGTTAGACGATGCTCGCCTAGCACCGGTTCCCAATTCTTTCTTGGGCACTATAAGTGGAGCCAAGGAAACAATTTTATTTTCATGCATTTAATTTAATTACCCCACCTTGTTTCCCAAAGACTTTGAGGTGGTTAATGACAATGAAAAAATAATGACAAAATAAAAGCAGAGAATTAGGACCAGGGAAAATATTAATAGAAAGTTTTAAATCAAGAGTTAAAGACCTGAAAGGTCATATAAAGTTGCACTACAGGTTTCTAAAAAGAGGCACAGTTGGGATTCAAACCAGCTCAGTCCAATGGACCACCTTCGGAAGGAGCACAGGATCCCCAGATGGACCTATCTATAAGTGTGATCTTGGGCTAGATACACAACTTCCCTGAGCCAATTTCCTCATCTGAATGATGGACCTAATCAATATTGTCTATTTCACAAGCTGTTATGAGGACTCAACGAAATGGTTTCTTTAAGCCATTGAGCTCCACTGGCTAGCAGAGAACATGTGCTTAATAAATGGTAGCTATGAGAATGGATATGAAGTCTCCCATGATGCAATACAAAGAATTTGCCCATAATGGCATGTCATTTAATCTTCGCACCAGCTCAGGCCTTGGGCCCAGGATCACAGAGAAGGGAGAGCAGAGGAAGGAGGGAGTCCTTGGGGAGGCTTCCTACAGAAGGTGGTACCCCAGTCAGAGCTTCTGTAGGATAGGTAGGATATGAGGAGATGGAACTAAAGGTGAAGAATGAGCTGGAAGTGTATGAGGACAGTAAGAAAACCTACTAAAGCAGATGGCCAGGTAGGAAATGAGGTTATAGAGAAGAGGATAGGGCAGGATGGGCTCATGAACTTGCTTGAATCGGGCCAGATGGTGAAGGAATGTGGATGTCATTTGACAGGAAATGGGGAGTCATTGAAGGATTTTGAGCAGGTTGAGCAGGGGAAGGATGTGACATGTTTGAAGGGATGTTTTCAAAGGTGGAGTCTGTCTGCTGCTCTCTGCTGTGTGCAGGCTGTGGTGGGGGTTGGGAGAAACAGGGACTGGCAGACCAGCTGCAGTGATCCAAGGAAGGGACATGATAAGAGCTCAAGCTAAGGCAACGGTGACGGAGAAGATGGGCGGTTCCCAATTTCAGTTAGAGGCACCTGAGAGGGATGATTTGACTTTCTTTCTAGACTCAAAATTCCATGAGGACAGGGACCATGCTCTCCTGGTTCATCACTGTACCCCTAGGACCTAGCAAAGTGCTTGGCACATAGCAGGCGCCCAGCAAGTGTTTTATGAATGAATGAATAAATGAATGAATGCCTCTATGCAGACAGACACTGAATAAGAATGGTTGCTTGCTCAATAACAAGCAATAGTACAAGGAAAACAAAATAGAGAATTTTTTTAAAGAAAACATTACTTTAACTGACTTTCTTTCACCATCCCTGGACTACAGTAACAATGTGGTATAGGAATGCAACTCAGGAGAAATCTAGAGCTGACTGGGAAAGAAGCCCTTTAAAGCAGAACCTGTATCAGCAGTGACGCTCTATAGGAAGCATGCCAACCATATGTCCCCTGGACAGTTCGCACAGTGTAGAAACATCACAATGCAGGTAAATTATAGATAGGAGAAGAAAAATGGCAGTATTTACCTCACAAAAGGATTAACTGAGCTTCCATTTAAAGTAGCAAACTGCCTTTCTAGTGTACTTAATTTGAGACCAGGACTTGACGTACTGAAACTGGGTTCCATCCAAGACAATATAGAGTAATTGTCTATACTGGTAAGAGCCTTGATTTGGGAGTACAGAAACCTAACCTTTGACCTAGGCAAGTAGCAGAATGTGGTGGTTACATTCACAGGCCGTGGAATTGTGCTGCCTGGATTTGCATCCTGGTGCAACACTGACTGGCTGTTTGGCCTTGGGCAAGTGGCTTAGCCTTTCTGTGCTTCAGTTTCTTCTTCTGTAAAATGTGATGATACAACACCTGATCCTGGTTCATGAGGTTATTGTGAGGATTAAGTGAGGTAATGCATGGAATGTGTTCAGCAATACCTAGAACGTTTCAGTAAATATTGGCTTTCACTCTTAATCCTAACTATATGACCTTAGGCAAGTCACTTCCCCTCTCTGGGCCTTGGTTTCCTCATGAGCCTGAAGCTTCTTTTATTCATACCTTAGGGATGTGGCCCCTACCTGTACTACAAACTCATCATCTATCACACATAAAAGCATCTCCACCCTCTGGGGTCCCCAGTTGATAACTCTGCCCATAGAAGGACCATTGGGATTCCTAGAAATGAGCAAAGGCCCAAATAGACAAGACTAGGATAGATTCACTTTTCTTAGTATACTTTGTAAAAGTTCCAACTCACTCACTCAGCTCCCACTTCTAAATCTTAGCCTCCTCTTTTCCTCCCAAGCAGCCTTACTTCCTTAATCATCTTCATCCCAGGCCCTAAGGGAAAGGATGCTCAAGAGCACTGCTATCCTCTGGACAGCTCCTCTAGCCAAACCCCCATTTGGATCCCAAGTTTTTCCTTTAGGTTTCTCCTCCCCAACCCCAACTCCAACCCAGGGAACTGCAATCGCACCAACCTCTGCTGCCCTCTGCTGTCTAGTTCCAGATGTGCTGGCTCCAGTTGGGCCAGTTATGTCAGCTTCCAAGGACCTGTCAGTTTTTCCAGGCCCTAGCTGCCACTGTGACCTCAGGAATACAACTCAGATGCCCTCTGCAATATCTGTGCTCTCCCTTAATCTGGACAAATGCACAGTCTTTCCTATTCAGACTCGACAGCCAAGCCACATCTGGTGTAGTCCATGAGTTCAGAACTGTTATTTTCAGCAAAGAAAGGAAGCTGCTAGAGCCATCCATACTCTCATCTAAGCCCCCTTCTCAAACATTCTGCAATCATTTATTACGCATTTGCTGTGTGCCAGGCACTGTGCAAAATGCTGAGGATGCATTCTTATTGAATCCTGGCATCAACCTTCCCAGTAGGTAAAATTATTATTATTACTTCCATTTTAAAGATGAAGAATCTGAGACTCAGAAAAGTGAATGTCTTACGCAAGGTCACAGAGCCAATGAATGGCAGAGATGGGGCACAAAAACAGATCTACCTAGCCCCAAAGCTGGTGTTCTTAACCACTGGCCATAGTGTGGAGGGTAGCTTGGAGGGGAAGAGAGTGAAAGCAGACTAATCATTTAGGATCTATGGCAATAGTCCAGGGCAGAAAGCAGAGGAAGTGATGATCTTTAGATACATGTAGGAGGTAGACTTGACAAGACATGGTGTCAAGGCAAGGGGGAGGGAGAGGTCTGCAATGACCCTCAGAATTCTGGCTTGGGCAACTGGGTGGACAGGGACATGTTGGGGCATGGGGGAAATGAAGAGATCCATTTTGCACATATGGAGAAAGAGACATCCAGGTAGGGAAGGTCAGTAGGCAATTTTTTTTTTTTTAATCTTGCTGTGTCGCCAGTCTGGAGTGCAGTGGTGCGATCTCGGCTCACTGCAATCTCCGCCTCCCAGGTTCAAGCAATTATCCTGCCTCAGCCTCCCGAGTAGCTGGGACTACAGGCACATATCACCATGCCCAGCTAATTTTTTGCGTTTTTGTAGAGACGGAGTTTCACCATGTTGGCCAGGATGGTCTTGATCTCCTGACCTCGTGATCCGCCTGCCTTGGCCTCCCAAAGTGCTAGGATTACAGGCATGAGCCACTACGCCCAGCCAGCAATTGGTTTTATGAGTCTAGAGCTCAGGAAAGAGACCTGGGCCAGCACCGACTTGGAGATGGGTGAGAGTGGAGTGTAATTCATCAGAAGAAAAGAGGGCTGAGGCCAGGACATCAATATTTAAGGGGAAGGGAGAATAAAAGAAGTGTAGGAAAAAGACTAAGAAAAAGTAGCCACAGATGTAGGAGAACCAGGAACAATTGTCAAGGAAGTCAAAGAAAAGGAGAGGTTCAATGAGGGAACAGTTCTGCTAAGTTGACTACCACAGAGAAGTCATTAGCCTTAAAATGGCCCTTTAGATTTGGGAAGTAGAAGGCTGTTCTCGTTATCTATTGCCATGTAAAAACAAAACAACAAACAAACAAACAAAAAACCTTAGTGGCTTAAAGCAACACAAATCATGGTATTATCCTATCATCTCTTATGGTTTCTGTGGGTTAGAAATTTGGGGTGGGCAAGGAATCTGGCTCAGGGTCTCACCTATTGTTGCAGCCAGAGAGGGGCTGGAAGCTAGAACATTGGGTGGCGGGGAGCTGGGGGCTGGCCTGGGGCTGGCTGGCCTTCTCTCTCTCTCTTCCTGTGGTCTCAGGGCCTTTCCATGCCACTTCTCTGCAGGGGCTACTCTGAGCTTCCTCACAGCCTGGAGGTCTCCGGGGAGTAGACCTGCTTGTATGGCAACTGAAGACCAAGAGAAAGAGTCCCATGTGCTACAGACAGAATGCTCGTGTGCCTCCGAATTCATATGTTGAAACCCTAATCCCCAATGTGATGGTATTTGAAGATGGGGAAGTTTGGGAGGTGATTAGAGGTCATGAGGGTCGAGCCCACCTGGTGGGATTTGTGCACTTATAAGAAGAGACCAGAGAGCCCCATCTCTGTCTACCCCCTCCCTCCCTCTCTCTCCACCTGTCATATCAGGACATAGCAAGAAGATGGCCATCTGCAAACCAGGAAGAGTGTTCTCACCAGACACCTGATCTGCTAGCACCTTGATCTTGGACTCCTCAGCCTCCAGAACTGTGAAACATAAATGTTCATTGTTCAAGCCACCCCATCTATGGCAATGTGTAACAGCAGCCCAAACTAACTAATACACCATGTTTCTGTACATCAGCAATGAAAAATCCAAAAGGAAATGAAGAAAATAATTCCATTTACAGTAGTACATAAAAGAATAAAATATCTATCAATAAATTTAACCCAGGAAGTGAAAGACTTGTATACAGAAAACTACAAAACATTGCATATAGAAATTAAAGAAGACCTAAATAAATGGAAAGTTCACTTTCACCACCTGCCATTGGTCAAAATACTCATAAAACCCTGCCCAGTTTCAAGGGGAGTGGACAAAGACATCCCCATAACCTGCCATCTCTCAGTAGCGAACACCACAAAGGTCATTAATGCCTCTAGCAAGAGCTCCTTTAGTGGAGTGGTCGGGGCTCAGATCAGACCACTATGGGCGAGGATAGGCATAGACAACTTTACAGAAGGGCATACAATACCTGAATCAATGAAAAGATAAGGTATATTCCAGGATGTTTTTAAAAACTCAGACATTTTCCCCAGATTAATCCAAACATCTAATGCAATATCAATTTGAATCATAACAGGAATTTTTATAGGACTTGATGTGCTGATCCTGAGATCATCTAGAGAAGGAAATATGCAATATGACAGAGAAGTGTTTAAAAAATGGGCAGGAAGTCTTCCACTGCCAGCTATCAAAGCACAACACAAGCTATAGTAATTAAAGCAGTGTAATGTTGGCACCGCGACATAGATCAATGGAACAAAAGAGTCTAGTACAACCCCACGTATATGTGAGACTATAATATGCACTACATAAGGCATTGAAAATCAATGAAGAAAAGATATACTCGTCAATAAATGGTTACGGGACAATTAGTGTCAAATTGGGGGTGGGGGGTTAAGGCACAATATTCTTAAATCTGTACCTCATGTCATATCCAAATACAATTCCCAAATGGATTAATGAGCTAAATACACGTGCACTCACAAAAAAATTATATGAAACTGTGAGAATATATAGGACAGTATTTCCTTGTTAAGTAAGTCACAAGTCCCAGAAATTATAAGAGTATCTTGATAGGTTTTTGGCTACACAAAAAAAATTTCAGTCTCTAAAATTAAAAACAAAGTTAAAAGGGAGAAAATACTTGAGGTATATAAATATTTGTCAAACAGATAAATGAAGAATGCACATAATATATAAAAAGATCTCATTTTTAAGTTAATAAGAAAAAAACAAACAACCCAATGAGAACATGGGCTAATGAAAGGAATGGGTACTCAAAGATGAAGAAAAAAATAAAAGGCAAATAAAACATAAGGAAGCATAGTCAACCTTTACCAGCCAGCAGGTAAACACAAAGCAGCAAGAGACCAATTTTCACCCATAAAATTGGTAAAACCTTAAACCATTGATGTTATCCAGTGTTGAAGACATTGTGGAAACAGCTATTTTATTGGTAGAAGTGTGATTTGCTACAGCTTTTCTTGGAGGGCAGTTTGGCAGAATCTATTGACATGACAAAATTGTACGCTTTTCTACTTCTAGATATGGATCCTAGAGCAATGCTTCATGTGCGTGAATTTTCATGGCCCCTGTTTGTAACAATGCAAAGTCAGAAACAACCTGAAGGTCCATCAATCATGAAATGCAAGCAGGGTAGGGATTTGAGGACAAGGATAAAGGTCTGGAATCTCCCACAAGGGCAACAGAAAATACAGCTGACTCAGGACAGGGAAAAGGATTGCCAAGCAGCACCAAGAGGCCTGCCGAGGTTGGACACCAAAAATTTGGAGTGATCCCAACCAACAGGGTTGGGATATATTCTCCTGTAGAGAAGACAGATGGTTCAAATGCCCTGGGGTTTACTTATTTATTCAATAAAAAGTTATGAATGCCTACTAAGCTCCAGGTAGTGTTCTAGGCCCTGAGATATAACAGTGGACAAACATAAACAAATAGGTACACAATATAATGTCAGGAAAATACTCTGAAGAGGTAATAATACAGAATAGGAAATAAAGAGTGACAGAGGCACTGTTTAAATAATGAGGTCAGGGAAGTCCTCTCTGAAAAGGGGACATCTGAACAGAGGACTGAATGAAGCGAAGGAATGAGCCATGTTGGCATCTGAAAAAAAGAGCATTCCTGTTAGTGGGAATGGTATATGCAATGACCCTGGGATGGGAGCATGCTTTACTTGGGGATGGACATTGGCAGGATACATGGAGTGGAAGCACAAAGGAACAGGAGAGTTAAATGTGCTAGCAAAAGCGAGGTTGGAGTGATGGGTTATGTAGTTTGAGCCAAATAGAGAGGGAAGGGAAACCAAGGGTTGCTGATAAGTGGAGAGGAAGAGCGCAGGGCAAGGAACAGGATGTTTTGGTGAAGTCAAAAATCAGGTGCAGTAAGAGTGAAGGAGAGAAGCACAGGAGGGTGTGTTCGGAGAATGGGGGGTTGGAGTTCAGTATGTCAAAGGACAGTGATCCCAAGCAGTGGCAAGGCCCAAGATGCTACTTTGGTTGTGGGAGGCTGAGGAGGAGTGGAGGAGAAAGGGCCTTGAGCTGAGGAGCTTTGGACTTGAAGAAGGAGGACATTAGATGGGTCATTGACAGGAACCTTGATATGACTCATGGTAATGGCAGACATGCTGCAGAGAGGCAGCCATGAGCTAGTTGCTGTGGTCCTTTCCACGACTGAGGAAGTGTTGAAAGGCAGATGACAGGACCTGTGACAAAGGCAGTAACAGAACTAATAGGGGAAGTCAACCTCGCCAGGAGGTCAAGGAAAGCTTCCAGACCAAATGACATTTGAGGCAAGACTGGAAGGAAGAGGAGTTCACAGAGTAAAGAGAGGAAGGAAGGGTGGGTATTCTGGGTGAAGAGAAATGAACAAAGACCCTGTTGCTAGAGGAGACACTGTAAGAGGGACTCAAAGAATGGCATATGGCTAGAGTGGAGATGGCAAGGAGAGGGGCATAAGATGGCTGAGAAGTAAAGAGATCAGGCTCCTGAAGAGGACAGAAGGTTGGGAGAGTGCCCAAAGACCACCAAATGAAGGGTTGAGTGAAATCAACTAGAACCTTGGTGAGCCCCAGTGGTGCTATCGCCATGCATCCTTATGCAGTGCAAGGCCCCTGAGAGGGCAGCATAGGTTTGTGACATGCCTGGCTGGGCTTTGGACTCAGCCAGGGCTCAGGATCTGACTTAGTCTGTGACCACTGAAGTGAACCAAGCTAACTGGCCTACACGGGGCTCTAGCCAGATCCACTGGGTCTCACTAGCAAAGTTCCTGAACCATAATCACTGATAATGTTTGAATATATGTCTCTTTCAAATCTGATGCTGAAATGTAATCCCCAGTGTTGGAGATGGGGCCTGGGTGGAGGTGTTTGGGTCACGGGGCAGATCCCTCATGGTTTAGTGCTGTCCTCATGATAGTCAGTGAGTTCTCAAGTGATCAGGTTGTTTAAAAGTGTGTGGCATCTCCTTCTCCACTCTCTCTGTTGCTCCTGCTCCTGCCATGTGAGATGCCTATTCCCTCTTTGCCTTCTGCCATGATTGTAAGTTTCCTGAGGCCCTCCCAGAAGCAGATGCCAGCACTATGCTTTCCTGTACAGCCCACAGAACTGTAAGCCAATCAAACCTCTTTTCACTATAAATTATTCAGTCTCAGGTATTTCTTTATAGCAATCCAAGATTGGCCTAATACAGAAAATTGATGCCAAAGAAGTGCAGCATTGCTATAAAGATACCTGAAAATCTGGAAGGGGCTTTGGAACTGGGTAATGGGCAGAAGTTAGAAGAGTTTGGAGGCCTCCAAAAAAAGATAGGAAGATGAGGGAAAGTTTGGAACTTCTTAGACACTAGTTAAATGGTTGTGACCCAAATGCTGTTTGTGATGTAGACGGTGAAGTCCAGGCTGCTGAGGTCTCAGATGGAAATGAGGAACTTATTGGGAACTGGAACAAAGGTCACCTGTATTATACCTTAGCAAAGAACTTGGCTGTATCACATCCATGACCTAGGGATCTGTGGAGTTTTGAACTTCAGATTGATGATTTAGGGTATCTGGTGGAAGAAATTTCTAAGCAGCAAAACATTCAAGAGGTACTAGGCTGATTCTAACAATCTATGCTCAGGTGTGGGAGTAAAGGAATGACTTAATGTTGGAATTTTTATTTAAATGGGAAGCAGAGTGTAAAAGTTTGGAAAATTTGCACCCTCACTATGTGATAGAAAAGAAAAGCCCAATTTCAGGGGATGAATTCAAGCAGACTGTGGGGTAACCACTTGCTAGAGATATTTGCATAACTAAAAAAGACATTTCAGAGATCTAAGAGGCAGCCCCTCCCATCACAGGCTCTGAGGCCAAGGTGGTTTCATGGTCCAGGCCTAGGGCCCTGCTGCCCTGAGCAGCCTCTGGACACTGCTTCTCGCATCCTGGCCACTCCAGCTCCAGCCTTGGCTGAAAGGTCCCCAGATACAGCTCAGGTTGCTGCTTCAGAAAGTGTAAGCTGTACGCCTTGGCAGCTTCTGTCTGGCATTAAGCCTGTAGGTGTGCAAAGTGCAAGAGTGAAGGAGGCTTGGCAGCCTCTGCCTAGATTTCAGAAGATGTATAGGAAATCTGGGTGCCCAGGCAGAGCCTGCTACAGGGGCAGAGCCCTCATGGAAAACCTCTGCTAGGACAGTGCAGAGGGGAAACGTGGGGTTGGAGCCCCCATGTACAGTCTCCACTGAGGGCACTGCCTAGTGGGGCTGTGGGAAGGG
The DNA here is from genome assembly GCF_000001405.40 of Homo sapiens. Classification (NCBI taxonomy): domain Eukaryota; kingdom Metazoa; phylum Chordata; class Mammalia; order Primates; family Hominidae; genus Homo; species Homo sapiens. The sequence goes on from NC_000023.11 coordinate 129,733,493, forward strand.
GGCCCCGGTCCTCCAAACCTCAGAATGGTAGATCCACCAACAGCTCGCACCCTGCACCTGGAAAAGCCACAGGCACTCAACAACTGTGAAAGCAGCTACAGGTGCCGAACCCAGAAAAGCTACAGGGGCAGAGCTGCCCAAGGCCTTGGGAGCCCACCCCTTGTGTCAGTGTGGCCTGGATGTGAGACCTGGAGTTGAAGGAGATTATTTTGGAGCTTTGACATTTAAAGACTACCCTGCTGGGTTTCAAACTTGCATGGGGCCTGTAGCCCTTTATTTTGCCCAATTTCTCCCTTTTGGAATGAAAATGTTTACTCAATGCCTATCCCCCCCATAGCATCTTGGAAGTAAATAACTTGTTTTTTATTTTACAGGCTCATAGGTTGAAGGAACTCATTTCCAGATGAGACTTTGGACTTTGGAGTTAATGCTGAAATGAGTTAAGACTTTGGGGGACTATTGAGAAGAGAGGACTATATTTTGCAATGTGAAAAGGACATGACATTTGAGGGACCAAGGTGGAATGACGTGCCCCTGCCAAATCTCATGTTGAATTGTAATCCTCAGTGTTGGAATTGGGGTCTGGGGGGGGATGTTTGAGTCATGGGGGTGGATCTCTCATGGTTTGGTGCTGTCTTTGCATTATCAAGTGAGTTCTCACAAGATCTGGTTGTTAGCCTGACCAACATGGTGAAACCCTATCTCAACTAAAAATACAAAAATTAGCGGGGCATGGTGGCATGCGCCTATAATCCCAGCTACTCAGGAGGCTGAGGCAGGAGAATCGCTTGAACCAGGGAGGCAGAGGTTGCAGTGAGCCAAGATCACGCCATTGCACTCCAGCTTGGGTGACAGAGCGAAACTCCGTCTCAAAAAAAAAAAAAAAGTGTATAGCACCTTCCCTTCACTCTCTCTCTTGCTCCCAGTCCTGCCATATGAGATGCCTGTTCCCTCTTTGCCTTCTTCCATGATTGTAAGCTTCCTAAGGCCTCCCCAAAAGCAGATGCCAGCACTATGCTTCCTGTACAGCCTGAAGAACTGTGAACCAATTAAACCTCTTTTCTTTATAAATTACCCAATCTCAAGTATTTCTTTATAGCAATGCAAAATGGTCTAACACAATCACCAACAGATTTCACAAGAAGAAGGAGGAGCCATGGGCAGCTGTGAGCTGCTGAAAAGGAGCTGACCACTGGATCCACCAACCACAGCGAAGGACGTCCAACCCTCGCCCTGAGGACAGAAACTCCCTTCTCTGATGCCTGGCTGTCTGGGTGAGGTCTTGGGCCTCATAGCACCAAAGATCAAATGCCATGAAATGAGCTCTTTCCCCCTGCTGTGTGACCACACCCTACACACACACACACACACACACACACACACACACACACACACACACAGAGGCAGGGTAGCTTTGTATCAAAGCAGGGCAGATGTGATGGATGAGGCACCCAACAGCACCACAGCAGCCTTCTGGGGCTGGAAAATTGCCCTCCATTCAGAGTATTCCTTTCGGGTTAAGGATGGGGAGGCTAGGCCACACAATGGTGGGGTTTTGCATCAACTCCACAAACTTGTGCTGAGCCCACTCTTTGCTGGGCTCTGTCCTGGATAGGACCTGTTCCAGGTCTAAACATTTATAAAAAGCAAGCTCCTGCCCTTGGGGATGGGTGACCTACGACAGAAGAGTTGTTGAGAAAGAAAAAGGTCAATGTCAGGGTTTGAAAACAGAAGCTCCCATAAAATGTTATGGGAGTCTCCAAGATGAATTTGAGGTGATGAGGGCTTGGTAGACAAGATGAATTTTGAGCTGGACTTTGATGGATGGAGAGAATGTGGACAAGAAGAGATGAATAATGTTAGAGAGGAAGACCTTGGCCACTAAGCTGAAGAGATTGAATTCTGCCCTGAGGGCAGTGGGAGCCATGGAGGATCTTCAGATTGGGGTGACTGTGAGGTCCAAGGGACAGAGCATGGGCTTTTAAGTTCCCCAGACCCAGGTTTGAGTCCCAGCTCTGCCACAGGTCAGCTTGGACCTGGGCAAAGCCACTTTTTTTCTCCAAGCCTGTCTTCTCTTCTGCTTCTGAGAGCCCTGCCTATCTCCCAGCATGAGATGCTGGAACCTGATGGGAGGGTATAACGGGAATTCGGAAGCAGCAATCACATGCTGTGCCCACAAGGCCAAGAGTCCCCAGTCCCTCAGCCTGTGAGGTCACATGAAGAGTTAGATTGGGCATGTGCTAGCTCAAAAGCCTCCTTCCCACCTGCAGAACTGCAGAACCTCAGGTATCATTTCATGATTTCATCCTCAGTAACTTGGGACATCCCCAGGGGATGCTCTGCAGTGCTCATAGCCCCCTTGGGTCTCTGACTTTCCTATTGCCACCGGCTATTCCAGTCCATGGCGCTGTCCACCTGTGCTTCCTCAGGCTGCTTTTCACATTATTGCCGCCAGTCTGCCCCTAGACTGCTGTCCTTCCCTGTGACCACCTCCTGCAATGCCATCTCTGCACCTCTACTGCCAAGATTCACTCCACCTCTCTGATTCCTGGCCTTCCTCCAGGTTCTACCCTTCCCCGGGGCTCCCACAGCAAAGCTGTTTGTATCCCTGGTGCTAGAGTTCCTTGCTTGCTCGTCACTTTATATGCATTTTCTCATTCACACTCATGACATTAGTTGTTATTGTGACCTCAGCTGCGATTCAGGACACCTAGTGGTTGTCACCTGGTGGGAGAACATGTAAGTCAGGAAGGTGTATTCTGATGGAAGTCAAGGAGGCATTGGTGCCCAGAGAGGGCAGGCTCAGGTTGGAAGCCTGGGGTGGCATGAGGGTGCAAAATAAGAGGCACAGACAGGAGGTACTCTAGAGAAGATCACCTCTGATTTCAGAATTTGGCCTTTAGGCTAGCTTTGGACCAAAAAGTAAAACAAGCAGAAGTCCACTGCCTGAGTAGGCCAGAGCGAGACTCCAGTGATGCATGCATCTTCCAAACAACTTTGATGCAAAGACTCGGCCATTCAACCCTCCCCACGTTGAATCATTTCTTTCCACTTCAAGCCTGTTGCCAACTTGGGTTGAAGTCTCTCAACTGATAAGAGTAAAGACAGTGGTTTCGAGATAGGGAGATAAGGAAGGAGCTGATGAAGGCAAGTGAAGTTATCTTTGCCACCAGGGCTAAGGCTGGGACCCAGAGGTATGAAACCAGAGGGCTGAGTATTATGTGGGGACCATCCCTGGGCAGAGTCCGGAAGATGGGGGTGGAATCCCCGTTTAGTTTGTTTGCTTCGGGGGTTGGCCCTTCAGCTCAGCTGATCTTTGCTCTAACAACTGCTATTTCAGCAGTGCTGGATGCCAGGGAGAGAAAGAACAAAGTACAGATGAGACTGGCTTTATTTAGTTCTAGTATGTGAATTAACAAACATTTGTAGAACATTTACTCTTGTCTCTGCGAGGCATGTTCTGAGAGCATCACCAACATTAGCCCATTGAATCCTCATAACAACCCTAAGAAGCTAGTACTATTATTATGCCAACTCACAGGTGAGGACACTGGGGACTCAGGGAGATAAAGTCACTTGCCCAAGATCACACAGCTAGTGGGTGCCAGAGCTGGGATTGAAACTCAGGCTGATTGGCTCCCAAGTCAGTGTTTCAAGGCTCAGTTCACTGACAGAAAGACAGGACCATGTTTGTCCTCAAAGGCTATCTTCAGGGGTCTTCCCCTGCAAAATCCCATCAGCTCTACCTGCTTGCTTGCCCTTCAGGATGGCTACTGCAGCAAACAGAGGAGGCAGGAGTCTTTGAGGGGGCATTTTCCAGTGCTCTGGTCTCTGGGAATAATTTCATTACCAGTCCTGGAAGGGGTGGGAGAGAGGAGCCTGGGGAAAAGGCTGCGGGAGCTTCAGCAGTTATTGAATGACAGCATTCTCATGTTCTCCTTGTCCCTGGTCTGTCCTCTGAGGCTGTGGGCTCCTGCCCTCTGCTTTTATTCCTGAGAATGAAGTTCACTGGGCCACCTCACTCATTTTGACTCTGCCCCTTCAGAGACTCCCATGAAGGTCCGTTTTCCCTCTTCAAAATGGCCTATTTTGTCATTCTTGAATGGATGGTTGAAAGTTGCTTTACACTTGATGTGGACATAAGCAGACTGTAAATCCATTAAAAATAGAAACAAAAGGAATGGTGGCCAGGCATGGTGACACGCACCTGTGGTCTCAGCTACTCAGAAGGCTGAGGCTGGAGAATCACTTGAGCCCGGGAGGCTGAGGTTGCAGTGAACCGAGAACATGCCACTGCACTCCACCCTGGGCAACAGAATAAGACCCTGTTTCAAAAATAAAAATAGAAACAAAAGGAATGGGCAGTTTGCCTCTGGGGCCCTCCAGGCTAGGTGAGCATCCATCCCCATTGGGTCTGTTTGTCTCTCTAAAGCATTCCTCTCTGGGAAATCACCTTCCTCGAACCCAAAGAGCAAGGGTTCTGTAGAGCATTTACTAGGAGCTGCCTTGAAGCTGCCCTCTGATTCAGCTGGGCGTGAAGACAAGGCAGGCCTCAGCTTCTCCATTTCCCTCATTGGGAGTTGTGTTGTTTACGAGTGACTCACACTTCAGGGTAACCAAATCCCTGTTCTAGAAGCTACAGCAGAAACAGCATTTCCAGTTCACCAAATTAGTCTTCTCAGAGCGCCCAAACTCCCCTTTCTGTGTCTTCTTCCCTATTCAGTGGCATCCCCCAAACCCTCCAGATAGGGGCATCTTTGGGCTTTCATTTCCTCCCAGGTGTGAGTGGCTCTAACAGCCTCGGTTCCCCAGAGTGCAGGTTCAGAAAATGCAGGGGAATGGGACTCCCCAGATCCCAAGGGAAGAGCTGGCATCACTTCTTCAGAGTGGGCACTCCTGGGGGGACTCATCCCAGCTCAAGAAAGTAACTCTCCAGTCACAACCAACTTTCCCAAGGGGTACAGTGGGACTTGCCAAGCACTACAAGAAGAGAGGACACTGGCTTTTCCAGTCAGCTTGGAGGAAGAGAGGGAGGAAAAAAGGAGGGGGAGGAAGAGCAAAAAGGAGGAGGAGGAGGAAATGGACAAGGAGGAAAAAAAAAAAAAGGAGGAGGATGAGGAGGGAAAAGGAGGAAGAAGAAGAGGAAGTGGAGGAGCCCAGAAAAGGAGGGGAAGGAGGAAAAAGGAGGAGGAGAAGGAAAACGAGGAGGAAGAAGAGGTGGGGAGGAAAAGGAGCAGCAGCAGGAGGCAAATCTCCATCCCCACAGCAAAAGCAGTGCTGGAGCCAGAGCCCAGAGTGTGGGAGCTAATGGGAATCAGCTTGCTGGAGGGAAGGGGACCGAATTAAGGAATGGCTGGGGCTCTGCCGCTGAGAGGGGGCTGGGAAAAGCAGGCTGATTGAGACCAGCTGTTGTGCCTCTGTCTCTGAGATCTTTGGACTCTGCCCAGGATAGCCTCACACCCTATCCTACACGACTAGGAACTTGCACAGTCCGCCTCGGGCAGCCCAAAGCTCCTCTGCCCACCCTGGCTCCCAGAGCCCTCCAAAACAAAAGACCAGAGAAGCACTCTCCACCCAGCAGCCAGACGCCTCCTTCTTGACGCCAGCCCCCACCCTCTGTCTGCTCGAGCCCAGGAAAGGCCTGAAGGAAGAGGCCGGGGAAAGAGCCCTCCCTCTCTCCCTTGTCCCTCCATCCACCCAGCGCCGGCATCTGGAGACCCTATGGCCCGGGCTCACTGGGGCTGCTGCCCCTGGCTGGTCCTCCTCTGTGGTATGTGCATCCTAGCTTCCACTGGAAGGCAGCTCTGACCTCTCCCCTCTGAGCTCAGAAAGGGTTGGAGTGAGGGTTGGGGCCCGAGTCTCTTTTTCTGTTGCTTCCTCTCTCTGACTTGAGGAAGAGACACCTCAGGGCCAGTGTTGGGGGCCCTCATAACTTGGATCGAGTCTGGTTTGGCACCTTTCCATTCCCCCCGTTATAGAAAAAAAATATTCTGACACTCGTTAAAACGGTAAGGAAAACTTAATTTAAGACTACCGCATTGCAATAGAGGAGAGAAATGGGGCTCAACTCTGATTACAGAAAAGACTTCCAGGGATCTGTAGCCAAGGAGCAGAGTGAGGGGGTCAGTGGATGGAAAAGTATTAAGAGGAGATAGCAAGGGTAGGGGGATTCTTGCTAAACCGACTGAACAGCATTCTTGCTGACGGCAGGCCAGAGTGATCAGATATCAAGGGTGTCTAAACTGACTTAGCAAGATTCTTGCTAAGACTGGGTGATGCAAGCCTGGCAAGGGCAGGACAGACACAGAAGGCCAAGGTCAAGGCCAAGTGGAGAAGAGGCTTTGGGGGAGCCTAACTAAACTTTGGTCAGGAAGAGAGTCTTTCCTCTTTGTCATTCCTGCGGCACCCTCTCTGTCCTCAACTAGGTGCCCAGCCCAGCGCTCCCACCCTAGCCTTCCTTTCTTTGTTGTCTGTCAGCAGGGCCTGATCAGTCACTCAATGTCCAGTTCCTGAGCACCTACCCAGTGCCAGGCCTTGTGCCAGGGACCACAGAGTCATTCAGCTGCAGAGCCTGCTCTTGGGAGCCACAGCCCTGGCCTCAGAGAACAGCATATTCTGGTGTCCAGAGAGACATAAGTTGGCTGTGTCCTCATTCTTATGTTAGCATATCAGTGCCAACATTTTGCCAGGGATCTGTTTCTACAGAAATGGGTGTTTGTTTTCTTAAATGAACAGTATGGGTCGCATCTGATCCTTGAGTTTATGAGACCAAGATAAAATCACACAGGACGTTCATGGTGTTGAACCCCAGCCACCCTCCTTGCATCTGTAGCTCAGCCCACTCGAAAGTGTGGCTGGGCGTGGTGGCTCATGCCTGTAATCCCAGCTCTTTGGGAGGCCATGGCAGGCGGATCACTTGAGGTCAGGAGTTCGAGACCAGCCTGGCCAACATGGTGAAACACTGTCTCTATTAAAATTACAAAAATTAGCCAGGCATGGTGGCGCACGCTTGTAATCCCAGTTCCTCAGGGGGGGCTGAGGCAGGAGAATCGCTTGAACTCAGGAGGCAGAGATTGCAGTGAGCCAAGATTGTGCCACTGCACTCCAGCCTGGGCAAAAGAAGGAGACTCCATCTCAAAAAAAAAAAAAATGCGGGCGCGGGGGGCGTTGGGCGCAGTGGCTCACGCCTGTGATCCCAACACTTTGGGAGGCCGGGGCGGGTGGATCACCTGAGGTCAGGAGTTCGAGACCAGCCTGGCCAATATAGTGAAACCCCCATCTCTACTAAAAATACAAAAATTAGCTGGGTGTGGTGGGTGCATGCCTGTAGTCCCAGCTACTTGGGAGGCTGAGGCAGGAGAATCGCTTGAACCCGGGAGGCGGAGGTTGCAGTGAGCTGAGATCGCCCCACTGCACTCCAGCCTGGGTGACAGAGAGACTCTGTCTCAAAAAAAAAAAAAAGGAGGGGGGGCGGGGGAGTGTAATGTCTCCCCACACTCAGGGCCCCATTACCATCTAGGGAAATCCCTCCCTAAAAGACAGGGGGGTTAGAGGCAAGGACTATCAGAGACCGCTTTGTCTAATTCAAGCCCCTCCTTTCCAGAGGTCCAGAGCCTGGAGAACTTAGTCCAGTGCCTGGCACACAGTAGGCGCTTAGGAGATGGTTGCTCAATGAATATTGGGGGGGGGTCACTCTCGAGTCACTCTAAATTGGGGGCAGAGCCCAAACTAGAAACTAGATCTCCATATATTCTGTCCCTTCTGTGGCATCACCTTTTTCAGGCCCACCTCTCATACTTGGCAGAGTGGGAGGACTGAAAGTGCGCTCACCTCTTTTGTATTAAGATGGCCTGGGTTCAAATCCCTGTTCTACCACTGACTCCTGGTGGCACAAGTTAGACAAGTTACCAAATCTATCTGGGCCTTGACTTCCTCCTCTGCAGAAAGTGAACAATAATTTCCACCTCATAGTGATGTCACAAATATCAAATGAGATACTGTAGATGAATTGCTGCGTTCAGTATCTGGCACATAATAGGGTGTCTTTAAATACTAATTAATCCATCTTTCCCCACCATGGCAGACTAGGATTTCTGTCTAATATATTGAAAATGAGCCTGGAATGATAGGCAAAGATTTGGACTGTAAGAAACAGTGCAAGCAGGCCTTGAATTGAAGTCAACCCAATGTATCATACAATTAGATTTATAAAAGGCTAAAATGAAGGTGGGGTGATTATTTAGCGTGATCTTCTAGAGCATTTCAAAGAAAATTTGATAACAAAAATTTAATTTACACACAACTTTTCTACTTCACTAAACCCTGAAAAGACCCAATTAGATTAGAAGAAAAATTGATTTAATGAGCACTAAAACCCATCCAAAAGTGGCAATCACTTGTCTATGAAACAGATTTCTTTGATTGTGACCCAGGGTGCTATCCAGTTCAGCCTGATTTCCTATGAAATGTGATTATTTTTATCCTCAAGTAGAGCTGGCCAGCTTCGTGCGTTTCAAAGGATGGAGGCCCCGTGGGGCGGGCTGAGAGGATACTCCTTCCCTCTCTAGGAACTAGCTGGTCCCCAAATGACCCTGGATTTTTCTCCCGGCTTCTAGCTTGTGCCTGGGGCCACACAAAGCCAGTGGACCTTGGAGGGCAGGATGTGAGAAACTGTTCCACCAACCCCCCTGTGAGTGCCCCCTGCCCCCCGCGCACGGCCCCCCTGGCCCCACGCACCCCCCCACCCCTGCCCCACGCACCCCTGCACCGCAGCACCCCCGCCCTGCTCTATCATCTTCTCTATCCCTCATTGGGTCAGTTGGTAGCCCCTCCTCCTACCAGGCTTTCTCCTGATTTCCGGACTCTTGGGCCCCTCCCCCCTCCACTCCCTCCCCTCCACATCAGTGCCCTCCCCTCCCTCCCATTCATTCCCCCAGCAGGTTATCTGCTTCCGTCCTGATCTGGGCCTGGGAAACCCCTCTAGGAGGAGGGAGGAGGGCAGGAGGCCCCTAACTGGCCTTTGGCTGAGGCCAGGCAGAGGAAAGAAAAGACAAATTCTAGAGTGACAGCAAAAAGAGAAGCACAGAAGGGAAGAGGGAGGAAGACAGAGGTTAGAAGAGCCAACGGAGGCCGAGCACGGTGGCTGACGCCTGTAATCCCAGCACTTTGGGAGACCGAGCCAGGTGGATCACCTGAGGTCAGGAGTTCGAGACCAGCCTGGGCAACATGGTGAAACCCCGTCTCTACTAAAAATAAAAAAATTAGCCAGGCATGGTGGCGGGTGCCTGTAATCCCCGCTACTCAGGAGGCTAAGGCAGAAGAATTGCTTGAACCCAGGAAGCAGAGGTTGCAGTGAGCCAAGATTGTGCCACTGCACTCCAGTCTGGGCGACAGAGCAAGACTCTGTCTCAAAAACAAAACAAAACAAAACCAAAACCAAAGAAGAGCCAACGGAAGGGCAAGAGAGGGAGGCCTAGGGTGTGCAGACGAGGAAAAGGCCCAGCAGAAGGGGCTTGGGTAGTCAGCTTCCTAGCTGGAGACCAGAGTGATTCTTTCTACAATCAGAGTAGGGCTAAGGGGTAGGCATGCCAGCAGCACTGTAAGCCATGGGAAAAACGCAGTACATCTGCTAGCAATATCAACTTTATGGGACCCCTGGGGCAGGCAGGTGGGTGGGCAAACCACATTACTTTTATATTAAAACAAACATGGATATATCGTGGAGTAGAAAGCAAAACAGCACAAACGGAAACATGCTTTTCGTTTTAAAGCTAAAATGACCTGTAAAGAAATAGAGAACTGGTCTGGAAAGGGTCTTTCTGGGCAATATCTCAAACTGCTGGGGGCATTCATTCACTCTCCTCTGCCATTTGGGACCAGTGGGTGGCAACCTGAAAAAGCCCTGCCAAGGGAAGGTTGCCAGATAAAATACAGGACACCCAGTTACATTTGAATTTTAGATAACAAATAAGAATTTAGTGCAAGTATGCCCCAAATTGTGCATGTTTTAATATAATACTTACATTAAAACATTACACATTGTTTATTTGAAATGCAAACATAACTAGGTGAGTGTCCTGTATTTTTATTTGCTAATCTGGCAACCCTACCCCCAGGTAGCCAAAGAAGGACTGTCTGCATGGCCTGGCCCAATGCCAGAGCTCAGACCCCTGCAGTTCTCACCCACACCCATATCCCAGACTCAGGTCCCATTACTGTCACAAGGGGTCCCTTTCCAAACTCTCCAACACCTCCATCTCCACCCAGCCCAGGCATCTTAATCTAGACTAAGCAGTAACATCAGTTGCCACCCCATCCCTTCCCAAGCCAGGCCAGCCTAACTTCCCCCAACCGCTGCTTCAGGAGAGGCTGGGGGCTCTTCTGGAGGCCAGGGGCCCAGATGTCATTTTCTCTAAGCAACGTGTGTATCTGTTTGTTTGTGTCTCAATGTCTTCTTGTCATCTGTCAGTACCTTCCAGTTACTGTGGTCAATACCACAATGTCACTCACAGCCCTCCGCCAGCAGATGCAGACCCAGAATCTCTCAGCCTACATCATCCCAGGCACAGATGCTCACATGGTAAGAGACAGCTTCTCTCCCCCTTGCCCTCTCTGCTACCCTGGGTCAGAGACCACAAACAGGAGCTGTTAAAACTCAGAAGATGAAGACAGAGAAAGGATCTGATGGGCAAAGGGAGGGAAGTAGAGAGCATGGACACGGTAGTTTTAGGGCAAGTGAAAGAATGTATCCCTCTACATAGGCGGGCAGACATTGCCAAACCTCCTTAACCTCAAGAAATTAAACTATAAACAACTTCAGAATCAATTTTCATCAATTCCCAGAAGGCAGATCCAGAATGAATGTTTAGGGTATCCCTGCCCTAGGAGGTTAGAAGGTGGGCTGGAAATTGGGCTGGAAGAACTCCAAGCTCCCTTCTGGCCCAGGCCTTCCCATACTCTGTGGAATGGAGTAGCAAAATAATCCAAAATCCTGGGTTAAGGGAGCGCGGGGTTGGTTGTGGAGGGGGGCACCCATCCCACCGTTTCCCCTCACTAGCTCCACCCTCCACACCATCCACCTTTCCAACACCAGCCCATTTGGAAGAGAGGGCATTTTTAGTGTCAATGAGCTTGTTTAAATTAATTTTCCCACATGCTGGGAAGGGCTAAGAACGTTGGGTAAGTATCTGAACTTCCCTGAGCCTCAGTTTCCTCTTCTGCAAAGAGAAATGGGTCTGTAATGAGATCTATCTCCAAGGATTATGAGGATCAAAATATGATAATGTGTAAAGCCCTTTGCAGAAGTTATGATGTTCCCAGTCTACTGTGCTTGACTCAGGAGGGAGAAGGATTAGCTGGAGGGGAAAACCCAAACGAGCCAAAAGACAGGACCCTAGACTGCATAGAATTTGCAGGGCAGGGCAACAAGTCTCCTTTGCAGAACAGTCCAGTGTTACACTGAGTCCAGTGTGAACAGTGTGGGGGCGGGGGAGTTGAACTGCAAAAGATACGGTTGCTCAAAGGAAGGGAAGATATTGAAGGCTGGGAGAGTTACAGAGGGCTTCCTGGAAGAGGCACTTGGTGTGCTTGGGCTTGTAGCTGACAAGGGGTTGGAGCCGACAGACAGAAATAACTGGGATGTGGTTGGGGGCCTTTCATGTGGGATCTGATACCACGAAAAAGGCTAATGATGGTGTTGTTGATTTCCTAGAACGAGTACATCGGCCAACATGACGAGAGGCGTGCGTGGATTACAGGCTTTACAGGGTCTGCAGGTGACAATCATTACCCAGCCCCATTGCTTTTGTTGGTAGATCCAGAGGTGGTCACAGAGGACCTAATGTGGCTAGTGTCTCAGCATCTGGGACCCCAGAACCTACTGTAGAGAAAACCCTTCTACTCTCTCTGTCTCCCTCCACCACCCCAAAACCATCAGATTCCCCAGGGCACATATCTCATAGCCCACCAGCCACTTTCTGTGTAGAAATGAGGCAGAGGCTGCCTTCCTGTGCTCATTACCTCTGCTGCAACCAGGCCCAGTCCAGCACTCCCAGGCTCCGTTTCTAAATAGTTGCTACTTCTACCTCTAACCGCTAAGAACCCGCTGATTCCTTTCACATGAGGGCTCATTTGGAGACAAAGTTTTCCTTTGCCGGTTGTTTTACGGACAACATCACTTCACATGGCCAAATGAGACACAAACATATAAGCCCTTGATGAGATCACAGTGTCTGAAGGGGCCTCGCACCGTGATCCTGGCCCATTGAATGAAATCCAAGCTTCCTTTCCTGATCCTCAAACATTCCTCCTTGGGCTTCAAACTACCCTGCCTCGTGCCTCGTAGGCTCTTTTTCCCTTTGCCAAAGTCTCTGGATTATTCTTGCCCAGCAGTCCTCAGCTGAGCCTCTGGTTTAGCCTCCCTATCAGCCACCGAGTCTTTACGCTGAGCCCCATCTTTCCTGAGAGCGCCTACATGCAGCCAAAAGTTGACCTCACTTCTGCTGAAAGTCCACAAGCAGCCCTCAACACAAAGCAGAGGTGCCTGATTCAGGACACCTTTCTGCCAGCTCCCCCCACAGCTCTTTTTAAGATCTCCTTCCTCACTTCTTTCCAATGGAGGAGAGAATCTCTTTCCAGAGGCCCCTTGTGGCATTCTCAGAGCCAGCACTGCATTGCACATCCATCAGCTAATGCCACGTTCCTCCCCTTCACCCTCACCTGCAAGTTTCTCTGTTCTGCCCCAGGAACTGCAGTGGTGACTATGAAGAAAGCAGCTGTCTGGACCGACAGTCGCTACTGGACTCAGGCTGAGCGGCAGATGGACTGCAACTGGGAGCTCCATAAGGAAGGTAGAAGGGCCGCATGGATTTGTTCCCCAAGTCTTGGGACCTGGACTAGGTTCAGGAAGGTATAGGTGAGAGCGTGCATGTAAGACCATGCTGGGCCTCTATGGGGAGCTTAGGAAATTTGAGGCCATCACTGACTTTCAAGGCTGATCTCAAGGAAGACACACATGGTAGGACCATCAGACAGAACCCCTGGCTGGAGAGCCTGGGGCTGGCCCTGAAGGTGACCTCTGCATTGCTTCCTATCTTTCTTTCAGTTGGCACCACTCCTATTGTCACCTGGCTCCTCACCGAGATTCCTGCTGGAGGGCGTGTGGGTTTTGACCCCTTCCTCTTGTCCATTGGTATGCTCTTCCTTCAGTCCCTGAATTTGTCCATGCTAACGAGGGTGACTCAGCTTCCCTAGGATATAAAGAAATGGACCTTGGTAGAAGGAGGGGCGGTGGGACTATAAAGATAGAGCATTTGAAATTGTAGTTGCAGAATGTTTTGCAATGAGGATGTATTCATGGATTGTGTAATTAAAATACATTTAAAAGAATCAGTACAAATATTTTAAAATTCATGAGTGCAGAGACCCAACCTAGAAGACTCAGTGAATCATTAAAGAGCTAGTGGATGAATAGGCCAGGATGTGCTTGAACCCAGAACCATCCTCTGTGCCCTGGAACCCTGCCAATGATGATGCTGGAATCACATGGTAACCCTCTTCTGGAAGGTAGCTTAGAAGGGTCAAAAGAGTTGGGAGGGCTTCTGAGTTTAAAAAAAAAAGGGCCCCTGAGAATACAACTCCCGGAGTTCTGGGGCCTCAGACAGCTGGCAAGCCCATTCCCCCAAAGGGGAGTCCTCATGAATATGTACTGAAAGGCTTGTGCTTTAGAACTGGCTTCTCTGCCAGCCTGTCCAATGGCCTGAACATCACCATTCCTTTTGACTGTGACACTGAAGCCCTGATAAAATAATTAGTGCCCAAGAGAAGGACCACCCACAGCCACTGGCAATGAAAAAGACAAGCTTAGCCAATTTGTGGCAGTCAGTGTTAGAGTAGGCTCAGGGCATTAGGCTTGGAAAGCAGAAAGAGGATGAGAAACATACCCCAGCGTGGGCATACATGCCGGGGGTGGGGGGTGGGCAGGCTGCTGGGGCAGGCTCCGGGCAGCTGGGCTGCAAAGGGAGGCAAAGGGAACCAGGACTAACTTTGCCTGAATCACAATTTTTTCCTGGGGTGTAAATGGGCAAGGGACAAGTGACTCCTTCTTGTCTCTGCAGACACCTGGGAGAGTTATGATCTGGCCCTCCAAGGCTCTAACAGACAGCTGGTGTCCATCACAACCAATCTTGTGGACCTGGTATGGGGATCAGAGAGGCCACCGGTTCCAAATCAACCCATTTATGCCCTGCAGGAGGCATTCACAGGTGATTCAGTAAGCCCAGTTTCCTTCCCAACTTGTAGCAACGCAGGTCCCGGCTGCTATTCCGTAGGTGGCAAACTTCATCATCAGAGGTACCAAAGCAGTGGTTTGCAAACCTTAGCATGCACCTGAGTCACCTGGGATGCTTGTTTAAAATGCAGATTTCAGGGCCCCCTCCCCTTGAGGAGTCTGAATCAAAATGTCCTCCGGCCATATTTAGAAAATGTTGGGTTAAAGAATGTTAGGATTTGAAACAAGATGGAGCAGGAAGGGAGGAAAGAAGGGAAACAGAGAAAGATGAGAGAAAATATCCAACCCCTTTCAAGAGAGAAAAAATCATGATATGATTTGCTTGCCTGGTGGCAGAGACTGATCCATAATGAATCATTCAGACCTTTACTTCTGACCCTCTTGTGATGAAGAATTTAGATTTGTGAGATGGCTGGGGTCAGGTGGGCCAGGAGTGGACAGAGGAAGTAAATAACTAAGTTCAGAGTCATTCTGTAGCACAGATTACAGTTCAGGTTTTGCTGGACCAATCAGGAAGGTTAGAAAAATATAACATCAATAACCTTGACCCCGTTGACACTATCTAAATCCATCACAAAAGAACAGTATGTTGTAAGATTCCTGTAAGTCGTAACTAAAGTCCTGACCAGGACCAGCCTACTGATTATGAATCAGTGTCTTGGCCACCAACCAGTCCTATCTCCCTGGGAATTCTGAATGAGCCAATGAACTTGGATTCCTAGTAACATTGATCAAGCCAAGAGATCCCTTTCCGCATGCAAGTCCACATAATTTCTCACTTAGAAAGGAGCCAATACAGCAGGAGGGAGATTTCAAAATAGCAGCCATGACGAAACAAGTGAAAATTGTGTCCATTTTTCTTTATCTGTTCTGATGTAACTTCCAGAATCATTCTTTCTGCATCTTGACACCATTTTTAAAGAAATTTGTTATCCAAGACTGTTAAATCATAAATAAAACTCATCTTATTCAGATAAAGAAAGTCAAAGTTATGTCGGGAAGGGGAAGGGAAAAAAGAAAAACCTTCCTGGGGCTGGAAGGGTTTTGTCACTTCCCAAAAGTGAGGGGATGCCGAGTCATCACCCGCTGCCAGTCTTCAAGAAAAAGGCACCTGGAGCTTGAGTTTGGAAGCCGAAGAACAGAGTTCAGCTTCAATAAGCTTATAAAGACGAGAGAGACTTTCCAGCCACTTGCAGATTTTAAAGGAGAAAGGAGAGTGCAAAGGGCAGAACATGAAAAGTTCGCTACTCAAACATACCTGTACGCACCAGACCATTGAAATTTGGGTTCATTTGGTTTCTCAGAAAGGTATCATATTCCTGAACCTTGAAAACATAATTGCAAGTGAAAGAAGCCAGTCAGAGAAGGCCACATATTGTACAATTCCATTTGTATGAAATATCCAGCACTGGCAAATCCATAGAGACAGAAAATAGATTAGGGATTTCCTGGGGCTCAGGGGAGGGGGGATAGGGAGTGACTCCTTAGTGAGTACAGGGTTTCCTTTGGGGATGAAGAAAATGTTCTAGAATTAGATCGTGGCGATGGTTGCACAACATTGTGAGTATGCTGAAAGCCACTGAATTGTGCACTTTAAAAAGATTAAAATGATATGTTTTATGTTATGTGTAAAATACACATAACATAAATTATGTGTAAAATATGTAGTAAAATAAACCTACAAAAATGTATTGTACCCAAAGCTTTGGTCATTGTTGAATAGTTTTACCTGTTCACATGAAATATTTTTCACGACATTAAGTTATTTATGCTCATATCTGAACCCAACTAGGACCCTTAATGTTTATGGCCTTCGGCCAGCAAACTCCTAGTCCTGCCTAGGGGTAGACTCTTTGAATATCTTGCAGGGGGCAGGGATAGAAGATGAAAACTAAAGTCATAGAACCCAGATATAAGCATCTGAGAAAGGACGGTGCTGTGACACAGAGTTTAAGGACAGATTTGGAGACTGAGAATGTTATCAAGACAGTACGGTGTCTGTACAGATTAAGAGCGTGGGCCATGCAGTCAGACAGACCAGAGTTCAAATCCCAGCTCTACCTCTTGCATCCATGAAACCCTAGACAAGTCACTTTACCTCTCTGAAGCCTCAGTTTCCTTATCTGTAAAATGGGATGGGTAAGAATTAGAACAATGCACATGGAGTGCTTAGCCCAGTACCCGTGGCTTAGTAAATACTGGGGTTACTGCAGAGAAAGTTGAACACGGCCCCAGCCCTACCCCTTTGTCCTTCAACTAGGACTGCTCTCTTGATCTCAGTCTGCATGATTATTTATTAATCAGAAAGATACAAGAGTTACTACATCTCAAGATACCATTCTGTGTGCTTTACAAATATTAATTCATTCCATCCTCATAGCAGCCCTATTGAGGCAGATGCTTATTATACTCCATCCCCATTTTACAAATGTGCAAAATGGAACACAGAGGGGTTAGGTAATTTGCCCAAGGTCACCCATCCAGTAATGGCAAAGCCAGGATTTGAGCCCCATCTGGGTCCAGGGCCCATGTCATTAATGAGTACACAAGTAAGAGTTTGTTTGAGGAAAGGGTTTCGCTGCTTTTTAAGAGGATGCAAAACTGTTACCCTAAGGCTGACCTTCCAGGAACCGAGTGCCAAAGGCAAGGTCTGTCACTTACACTTTTTTGGGGCTCCTTTGCTTCTAGGGAGCACTTGGCAGGAGAAAGTATCTGGCGTCCGAAGCCAGATGCAGAAGCATCAAAAGGTCCCGACTGCCGTCCTTCTGTCGGCGCTTGAGGAGACGGCCTGTGAGTGTGGATTTGCAGACATGGGTGGGCGCCTGGGTCTCCCCAATGCCCCAAGCCTCCCGGGCCCTGCAGCACAGAGCTAGCTCTTCCCCAAATAACCATGTGCCCACCAATTCTTGAGAACTCCATGGCCACAGCCCGTGGGAACCAAGAAGGGTAAGGGGGCAGGAGCTCATGGCTTCAGAAAAAGGACAAAAGGTAGCCCTGAGCAAGCTGGGACCAGCCCACAGGCCACCAGAGGAACGAACTGACTATGGCAGCAAAGTGCTTCTGTCCCACTAAGGGGAGGAGGACCAGGAAATGCCTCCCAACAACTTAGCCACTACCCCAGGGCACTCACACTCCCAGCTTTAGCACCCAGTGGGACTCTACTCTTTCCGACATGGCTCAGGACTTCTTGTCTGATCCCTATGGCTGGGCTTCAGATATTCCAGGGACCCACTGGAACTGTGTGCTGACTGCTAAGTATCTGCATTTTTCTGGGGGGAAAAGATCCATAACTCTCAACAGCATCTCAAAGACGCCCACTCCCCCACCCCCCCCCCCCGGCAAAAAGATTGAGTAACATGCAGAGGTAGATGATACAAGCATGCTGTTGGTAATCTTTGGAGGCCAAAGGAAACAGTGGGGCAAAAGTGTCAGAAATGCTTGCCTCTGGCCGGGTGCGGTGACTCACGCCTGTAATCCCAGCACTTTGGGAGGCCAAGGTGGGCGGATCACCTGAAGTCAGGAGTTCAAGACCAGCCTGACCAACATGTTGAAACGCCGTCTCTACTAAAAATACAAAAATTAGCTGGGCATGGTGGCAGGCATCTGCAAACCCAGCTACCTGGGAGGCTGAGGCAGGAGACTTGCTTGAACCTGCGAGGTGGAGATTGCAGTGAGATCTTGCCACTGCACTCCAGCCTGGGTGACAGAGCAAGATACTGTCAAAAAAGAA
This sequence comes from Homo sapiens, assembly GCF_000001405.40. Taxonomy (NCBI): domain Eukaryota; kingdom Metazoa; phylum Chordata; class Mammalia; order Primates; family Hominidae; genus Homo; species Homo sapiens. Next base: position 129,751,510 of record NC_000023.11, read on the forward strand.
AGAAAAGAAAGAAAAAGAAAGAAAGGAAGAAAGAAAGAAAGAAAGAAAGAAAGAAAGAAAGAAAGAAAGAAAGAAAGAAAGAAAGAAAGGAAGGAAGGAAGGAAGGAAGGAAGGAAGGAAGGAAGGAAGGAAGGGAGGAAGGAAAGAAGGAAGGAAGGAAAGGAAAAAAAGAGGAAAAGAAAAGCTTGCCTCAGGCAGATCAGCATTAAATATTCCTTGTCAATTCTCTTCCCAGGGCTCTTCAACCTTCGAGCCAGTGACATCCCCTATAACCCCTTCTTCTATTCCTACACGCTGCTCACAGACTCTTCTATTAGGTATGGCTTTTCCTTAGCTTGCTGTTGTGGACTTTCTCCAACTTCCACCCTCTTGATGCCCCACCACTGATCCCGCCTTAATATACAGCCCTCTGGCTGCCCATCAGCTCGGCGCCTGCTGCAGCACGACCCTTTAGAAAACCCCCTGTTGTCTTTTCCTGACTCTTTAAACCTCTGTCCCTATTGAATCCCAAATCTGGCCTGCTTGGCTCCCTGGGGCTGGCTTCCTTTGACCTCCAGGAACAGAGGGACTGTGACTGCCTCTGGTCCTTTGCATCCTTAGCAGATGCTCAGGACCCTCCTTGTCTTCCCACCCCACCCAGGTTGTTTGCAAACAAGAGTCGCTTTAGCTCCGAAACCTTGAGCTATCTGAACTCCAGTTGCACAGGCCCCATGTGTGTGCAAATCGAGGATTACAGCCAAGTTCGTGACAGCATCCAGGCCTACTCATTGGGAGATGTGAGGATCTGGATTGGGACCAGCTATACCATGTATGGGATCTATGAAATGATACCCAAGGTGGGTTTGCCAGGCCCCAGCCCAAGCCAGGCACCAATCCCCACTCTAGGCCTGAGAAGTCTTAACCTAAAGTGAGGTGAAGCCCCTCAGCCATTCAGTCATCTGGTCAGCCAACAACTGTGCAGTGAGTTCCCTTCTTGGCCTAACTGGGAAGAGCCAGAAGAGGAAACAGGGATGGCCATCCAGAGAGCTCATAAAATTGTCAGGAGGCTGGAGAGTATACGGCCTGATCTAGCAGAGACTTTGGAGTCAGCCAAACTTGAAAATGAATTCCAGCTCTGTCCCTAACTAGCTGTGCAGTGACTTTGGACAAGCAACTTAGCCAATCTGGGTCTTTTTCTTCACCTATAAAATGGCAATAAGAGTCCTGACCTCGCAGGAGTCGCTCAGTGGAGATCTAAAGGAGATAGTGTATATGACTGACACATGGTAGTGTCCAATAAATGGTAGCTGTCATGATATGTACAGGAAACTTACACTGTCAGGACAGCCTGTCGAGTGACTCAGGCCAGACTCTGATCCATCCCAGAGTGCTGGTGGGATCCGAAGACAGGGAGTTCATTGCCAAGCAAGGCAGTGTCAATCAAGGAAGCCTTCCTGGAAGGAGAGAGGGTTCAGCTGGACGTGGAAAACTAGGAAAGACAGAAAGCACACACAGAGTAGAGAGCATTGCCACGAAATGGTGGCAAATCTCACGTCTGCTGGGTCCTCCTGCCAGTCCTCTGAAAACACCCCTGTGCCATGGAGACCTCCTTTACTGTGCCCCCAGACCTGTGCCCCCAGACCTCCTTTTCTCCTCCCTGCCCCCAACAGGAGAAACTCGTGACAGACACCTACTCCCCAGTGATGATGACCAAGGCAGTGAAGAACAGCAAGGAGCAGGCCCTCCTCAAGGCCAGCCACGTAAGTCCACGTTCAGGCAGACATGGCCTTTTGGGAGTATCCAGCCTAATGAGTTAGAAAGGAAAGGCCTCCAGAAGAGCCTGAAGAAGACCCTCAATGAAACAAAGAAGCAAGCTGGGCGCGGTGGCTCACGCCTGTAATCCTAGCACTTTGGGAGGCCAAGGTGAGAGGATTGCTTGAGCTCAGGAGTCCGAGAGCAGCCTGGCCAACATGGTGAAGCCCTGTCTCTACTAAAAATACAAAAATTAGCCAGGCGTGGTGGCGATCACCTGTAGTCCCAGCTACTCAGGAGGCTGAGGCACGAGAATCGCTTGAACCTGGGAAGTAGAGGTTGCAATGAGCTGAGATCATGCCACTGCACTCCAGCCTGGGCGAGACTAGGTCAAAAAAAAAGAAAGAAAGAAAGAAAAAGAAATAAAGAAGCAGACACCAAATTATTCCTGGGCGCCCACATGCACCTCATATCCTTGCCCCCAATATAGTACAGTGGTTTAGAGCACAGGCCCTGGAGCTAGGGTGCCTTGAGTTCAAACCACAGCTCCACCCAATTCCTAACTGGGTGACCTTGACCAAGTCATTTTACCTCTCTGGGCCTCAGTTACCCCATCTGTAAAATGAGGATCATAACAGTAATCTTACAGCATATGGTTGTTGTGAGAATTCAATGAATATGTATATTGCTCTGAGCACCACCTAGCACATTCTAAGTGTTAAATAAGTGTTAGCTATAATGATTTCCTCACACTGGCAAGAGGATGGCTCAATTTTTAAAAAAGAATTCTTGTTAAAATTAAGATAAACCACCTCATTTAAAAAAAACTTTGTCTCATAGGAAATTTTAAACACACACAAAGATAAAGAAAATAGCATCATAATCTCCAGTGTCCCTTCATCCAGCTTCAATAATCCTTGACTCATGGCCATTCTTGTCTTGTCTATAACCCCATGTTCATTACCACCACAACCACCCCCTCTGCTGCTGGATTCTTTTAAAAGTAAATCCTAGATAGTGTGTCATTTCTGCCGTCAACACAGAACTCTTTCAAAAACAGGAACACACTATGATCATATATAAACACTAACAAGAATTCTTTGACATCAAATAGCCAGTGTTTTCAAAGCTCCACATCCTGGAGCCGCTATCTGATCTCCATCATCTTGGAGCCTGTGGCTGCAACCAGACCTCACCCGGCTCCTCTGTTTCCCTGCTTCCCCAACTCCAGGTGCGGGACGCTGTGGCTGTGATCCGGTACTTGGTCTGGCTGGAGAAGAACGTGCCCAAAGGCACAGTGGATGAGTTCTCGGGGGCAGAGATCGTGGACAAGTTCCGAGGGTGAAGAGCCACGGCCGTCCTTTTTGGCTGACTGTCTTTTAGTGTGGCAGTGGGGGCAGGGAGGGGGAATTTGTCCCCTTACTTAGCAGAAAGGAAGATCCTCCTCATATGCGTGCTGGGTGGGGGAGGGCTCTGGAGAACAAGGAGTGACAGGTTCTTGGGTGGTCGGGGAGTTGAGCAGGGGGCGTTGGATGATATTTCCCGCCCCGCTGAAAGCAGGACAACTCGAAGGGCCACAACCCAATAGCGTCCCCTAGTGTCTGCTTCAGGTACGGTCTGAATCTCCCTGGGGGGTGCTGTGGCTCAGACCAGGTCAGCCCCTGGACCACTTGAGAATACCAGGTAGGGAGGAGGATTCCCGAAGGCATGCTTGGCCCAGGTCAGGGCCGGATTGTAGGTTTGAGGTACAGGATGCTCTCCCAGGACTGGGGGAGTTTTCAGATACAGAGAGCTGGGTTTCTTCACTCCTATCCGTAAAATGGAGGTGGAGAGGAAATAATGTGTGTCTACAGTGTGTCCTCTGATCTTCCTCTATAAATGACAGGTCAGGGCTTGAGGAGATGGAACCAGGAGGTGAGGGCTGGGAGAGCCAAATGGTGTCCAGTTGAGAGGTAGAGGCAGCCATGACCTTCATTGGATTTGATTAGATATCCCGGGCCCAGCCTAGTCCAGGGGCCCATTCATTGACCATGCCTTGCCTTGTACTTTCCAGAGAAGAACAGTTCTCCTCCGGACCCAGTTTTGAAACCATCTCTGCTAGTGGTCTGAATGCTGCCCTGGCCCACTACAGGTACTTGAGGAAAAAGAATTTTCTAGGGCCCTGTTGGGGCATCCTGTTGTGTGTGTAGAGGAACAGGGTGAGGGGAGGGGGATGTTCTGGGACCTGAGTCCACGTTGAAGGTCCGAGGCCCCTAGCCCTGTGGGGGCTGGGAGAGGAGCTCAGTGTGGAGTAGGGAGTTGCCTTGTAATGAAAAGGCCTGAGAGCTGGAGGCTGGGGGACCTGGAAGGAAGACACCGATGCCATTGGATGCTTTTCCCTGGCTTCCCATGTGTTGCTTATGTTAGCTAATGCTTAAAGCTCACGAGTTCACATGGAGAGAGGTCTGTTCACTCAGCCTGAACCAGCCAAGGTGGGCCCAAGATACAGGCTAGCCAGGTGTTTGGCCCTATAGAAAACAAACCCCTGCAGGCCTGCCTGATGAAAAGCTGACCAGCTGCCTCCGCCTGGCATGGGCACAGCAGGGAGAGGTCAATGCCCTCCAAGGGAGTGCCTGACATGTCCCAGAATTCCCTCCCCTGGTGTCCCCTGGTGTCTCCCACGCCTTCGGCTGCCTTGCCCCAGCCCCTCCTACCCACTCGGGCTAGAGTGGCAGGGTGGGTGCTCCTCGGCTTTACCACCTCTTGCTCAGCAGCCCCACCCTGGAGGTATCCTCCCTTCCTGTGCTCTGCTTCTTCTCAGGGCCCTCTGCTCTCGGAGGCAGCAGGAAGTTAGAGACAAAGGGCCGGAGGGAGCATCTGGGTAGAGGCCCAGCTCTTTGCCGCTTTACCGCGCATCCTCGTGCAAGCCCCTTGGCCTCCATAGGCCTGCTTCTCCTTATGGAAAAGGAGACAGCTGAGCTGGGGGGTCTCTAGGGCTCTCCCAGCTCTCATATTCTGGGCTTTACCCTCTCTCTCCTCCCTGGGGACCAGGGCCTGGCTCAGCCAGGTGCAGGATTAACAGACGTGTGCTGAGGACAGCAGCAACGGAAGCTGAGTTCTCTTCCAGGGCCCTTTGGGATAGAATGACTTCCTCCAGAGGGACTGGCCTGGAAGCCCAGGCCCCAGAGGTCCTCCCACCAAGGCCTCCCACGTGACCCAGTGCAGGGTTAGGCTGCCCTTCTCAACATTCTCTCCCCTTCTCAGCCCGACCAAGGAGCTGAACCGCAAGCTGTCCTCAGATGAGATGTACCTGCTGGACTCTGGGGGGCAGTACTGGTATGTACCCCGACCTCACCCTAGCCTGGATGTCTCTGCTCAGACCTCCTGAGCCTGCCAAGAGTCAGCCAAAGCTTTCCCTTCCTGGGCCACGGATTCTTCGTCTGAAAAAGGAGAGATCTGGAATGAGCCCCGAACATCCTACCCATTTTCACACATGGGGGTCCCTGCACAGTGGGAAATACACAGAGGCTGGAATAGTGGCAGGACCCAGGCAGCACCTCTGTGGGAATTAGGAAAAGACTCCCTTTGCTTAAGTTGCTGTTTTTTGTGGGTTGTTTGTTTGTTTGTTTCTTGACAGAGTCTCACTCTGTCGCCCAGGTTTGGAGTGCAGTGGCGCGATCTTGGCTCACTGCAACCTCTGCATCCCGGGTTCAAGTGATTCTCCTGCCTCAGCCTCCCAAGTAGCTTGGATTACAGGTGTCCACCACCATGCCCAGCTATATATATATATATATATATATATATACACACACACACACATATATATATACACACACATATATATACACACACATACACACACACACACACACATATATATATATGTATGTATTAGTAGAGATGGAGTTTCACCATGTTGGCCAGGCTGTTCTCAAACTCCTGACCTCAGGTGATCCACCTGCCCCAGCCTCCCAAAGTGCTGGGATTACAGACATGAGCCACCATGCCCAGCCTCAAGTAAAATGTTTTCTAAGTCCACGTATTATTACACAGTCTGAGCAACTATACTCAATGTCCCTGCCTGGCCACACAAACACATATACCCTACTCTCATCCACTAGTGCACACCCTGGACACCCCCGCACCACCAACGTCATGCAGACTCCTCAGCCCCCTCTTCCCCATGGCACTGTTCAGGGTGGAGGTGGGGGCAGATGAGAGAAGCAACCCTTTTGATGGGCTACCTTTGTACAGTGTACAACCTGAATGCTCAGACATGACAGCCGTGCAGAATAGACTAACCTGGCCAGGCGTGGTGGCTCACACCTGTAATCCCAGCACTTTGGGAGGCCGAGGCGGGCAGATCACCTGAGGTCAGGAGCTTGAGACCAGCCTGGGCAACATGGTGAAACCCCATCTCTACTAAAAATACAAAAATTTTCCGGGTGTGGTGGAGCATGCTTCCCAAGGGAAACTGAGGCAGGAGAATCGCTTGAACCCGGGAGGCGGAGGTTGCAGTGAGCCGAGATCGTGACACTGCACTCCAGTCTGAGCAATAAGAGCAAGACTATAAAAGGAAGAAAGAAAGAAAGAAAGAAAGAAAGAAAGAAAGAAAGAAAGAAAGAAAGAAAGAAAGAAAGAGGGAGAGAGAGAAAGAGAGAGAGAGAGAGAGAGAGAAAGAAAGAAAGAAAGAAAGAAAGAAAGAAAGAAAGAAAGAAAGAAAGAAAGAAAGAAAGAAAGAAAAAGAATAGGCTAACCCCATTCCTTCCAAACGTGTGACTGATCATTCACACCAGAGTTGAGCTGAGCTGAGCTGACCTGAAAGATTTTCCCTTCTCATTGAGGAAGGAAGTGTGGGAAGCGTGGGGTGGGACAAAAGAAGGGCCGTACTGAACTGATGGAGGAGCAAGGAGTCCTGTGGAAATGGCGAATGTGCTAACGACAGAGGCTCTTTGCTTGTTCTTAGCACAGCTCTAGGGGATCCAGAGTAGCAGGCGCTCAGCTTAGCAGCCTTTGCTGGTCAGGAGTTCGATGCTGTGTGTACTTGAGATGGCCAATGAGCAAAGGGGAAGTGAATTTGTGGGGGCGTTGCTGGAATGGGGTGTGCTCAGAGTAGGGTGAGGCCGGGGAAATAGTCACCTCACTTCCTCTTCTTTCCTTCTGAAGAAGAAGGTCACCACACCCCATGACCCAAGGAGAAGCCCCAGGGCCCTGGGACCATTTCTCCCCTCTCCCTCACCAAGGCATGATCACAGGGGCCATCTGTGGCAACTGCTGCAGCTGGGAGTTGGGAGTCAGACCTTGGGACTGAGGCTTCACCTAACTGGAACTCAGCAAGTCACTGGGTCAGATCCGTGTTTGCCATGGAGAGGACTGTGTGGAGAGGCAGTGCTTGCTCTAGGCCTGGCTTCACTGAGGTTCAGAGAGGGAAACAGCCGCATGGCCTCAATGGCCTCATCTGTGAACTGGGGATAATGAGGCCTCTTCTACCATTCTTCCCAGGGAGCAGCAAAAGTGTCCTATAAATGGTCGACAACTATCTGAATATGAGAGTGTTATGATAATATAATCTCTCTGGACCTCAGTTTCCCCAGCTGTAAAAAGGGGACATTCCCCTTTCTGCCTCCCAGGAAGCCTGGAAGAAGCCTTGCTTTCATAACCAGCTGGACCCAAGGAAACCCAGACCTACAGAACAGCCAAAATGAGTGGGATGGGGGAGGAGTGTGTAGGGTGGGGAGTCACACTTGTCAGACAACTTAGTAACTTTTAACTTGATAGGTTTGCAGAGGCCTTTCACACATAGGTGCTGAAGAGGGGATTTTGATTATGGTAGCTGTCTTCTTCCTTTCGCCGTCCACCCATCCCATCCCAGCCCTGCCACTTGTGGAAAGCACACAGAAAGCACATGGCCCCAGTCCCTAGCCCCAGGCATTTGGCATGTTGGTTTTCCTTCTCCATAGGGACGGGACCACAGACATCACCAGAACAGTCCACTGGGGCACCCCCTCTGCCTTCCAGAAGGTAAGCATGGGCCCAGATTTCCCCTCACCACCTTCCCCCAAGGGGGCACCCAAGCAGTCAAGATCCCTTCCATTTCAGAGGCTAAAACTGAAGCTCAGAGAGGTTAAGTAGTTTGCCCAAGGTGACACCACTGGTGCCGGAAAACCCAGTGCTCCCTGCTGCTTCCCCGGGGATATTTCAGGCCACTGACAAGGCCTCAGCCCAAGCTGAGCCTCATCCTATTCTGGTAAATCAGTGCACAAATATTTTTTTGTTGTTGCCTGTGTGCCTGGCCCTGTACTCAGCAGAAAGGAGAAAGAAAGGCATCCCAAGTGGAGGAAAACGGCACAAGTGAAGCCTCCGCGGTGGAAAGGAGCCAGAGGTGTTCAGGAAACATCGAGGGCTGGCCAGCTGGGGCAGAGGCGAGGGCATTGTCTCTGTGCACCAGAGGGCCCTGGGGGTGGAGCAGCGAGCTGCCGTCATGCTGCATGCAGCAGGCCGACTATGGGGCAGACATTGTGCTGGAAACACAGAGAGGGGAACAAAATGCTGTCCAGGTCTCCAGGAGCTCACAGTTTAGCGGCGGAGTCTGCTGCCTCTGGCTGTCCTGCCCAAAGTGACAAGCCTGTGAACCTGTGTGGTGATGGAGATTGACCACATCGCCTCTGGAAGTGACCAGAAGAGGCCACTGTCAGGCCACCTCCCTCCGCTGACAGAGGAAGGCTAAGCTGCCAAGTCAGCAAACCTCAACCCTCATGAAAGGCCTTAAGAAAACTCAGCAGCCGTCACAACCACAGGAATGAGTGTGCTAAACTTCCGTGAAGCATGCACGCTGTTGGCAGCACCTTCTGTACATTAGTCTGCCTGCCTCTCCCAACAACCTTAGGAGCTAGGTCCTGTTATCTTCCCATCGCAGATAAGGAAACTGAGGCACACAGCAGTTAAAGTCGCCTGCCCAAGGTCTCAGAGTGAGTGGCTAAGTCAGGATTCAGCCCAGGGAGTCACAGCCTCGGTTCACCGCCACCAAGTGTCTCCTGCAGATATTGTAATGATCCTCATAGACCAGCCAGAGGGAAGCACGTGATGGAGCCCCAGCTTTGGGAAGGCCCTCCTCAGCCTCTGCTGGCCATCTTCCAGAACCCGGGCAGCCACACATAACGATGAGACTCCCCCCACCCTGCCTACACACACCCAGGCCTGGGCCCTGCACCGTGTATCCATAGGCCAAGCAGCTGGATACTCCTCTGGCTCCTCCTCCCGTCCTCCATATCACCTCTTCCTCTCCCCATCAGGAGGCATACACCCGTGTGCTGATAGGAAATATTGACCTGTCCAGGCTCATCTTTCCCGCTGCTACATCAGGTGGGTTTCAGAAACCAGTCTGGACACAGCCTCAGGCCCTGATTTCACAGGACTCAGACCATCACCCTGGGAGGCTGGTGGGGCAAGGATTTTGTCATCATCCCATCCCTTATGTAGATGAGAAAATCCAGCCTAGAGAGAGAAAGTGACTTGCCCAAGGTCACACAGAAGGTTAGCGGGAGATCCAGGCCTTGAACCTGAGTTTCCTGCCTCTTAATCTAACACTGTTGCTCAGAGGTGGGAGAGATCAGTGGGCCACAGCAATTATGGGAGGATTCTTAGAGGAATTAGGTGTCAAAGTGCAAAGCCCTGACAGATGGGGAGAAATTACAGTAGAGGCATCAATTCAGGTAATGGATACAATGTATGGTAAGCTGGAGATAGTGATGGGCTGGTCTGGCGAGGGAACCACTAACTCCATCCATCAGCCCTCCTCCATCCCAACCCAACATCATTGCATCAGTGCATGCTTAGCGGCCTCTCAGGGGCCCCTCTTCTTAGGCACCACTCTGATAGTGAAGCAAGAAGGGGCAAGGTGGACAGTCTTCGGTAAAGCCATCTGACTGGGGTCAATCTCTCTTCCCTTCCAGGGCGAATGGTGGAGGCCTTTGCCCGCAGAGCCTTGTGGGATGCTGGTCTCAATTATGGTCATGGGACAGGCCACGGCATTGGCAACTTCCTGTGTGTGCATGAGTGTAGGTGTCTCCTCAGCACTCCCCAGGCCACCCCCCTTTTATTATACCCTCTATGAAGGTAGAGAATTTCACAGGTATGGAAATGACAAAGACCCACAAAGATGCCATGATCTACCCAAGGTTACCCAGCTCCACAGGGTAAGTGAGGAATGCCAGCAGCAGGCCAGTCCTGCTGGCTGCTTGGCATTCAAGAGGGCACCAGAAAGAGGGTCAAGCCCTAGTGACTAACTTATATAGACCCCAGAGAAATAAAAGCCAGAGCCAGCTGCATGTGGTGACTCACACCCATAGTCCCACTGCTTTGGGAGGCCAAGGTGGGAGGATCACTTGAGGCCAGGAGTTTGAGATCAGCCTGGGAAACACAGCAAGACCCCGTCTCTACAAAAGAAATGTTTTAAGTATCCAGGTATGGTGGCATGTGCCTGTAGTCCTGGCTACTCGGGAGGCTGAGGTGGGAGGATCCCAGGAGGTCAAGGCTGCAGTGAGCCATGATGGCGCCACTGCACTCCAGCCTGGGCAACACAGCAAGACCCCTCTCAATACCTAAATAAATAATAAAAGCCAGAGCCAATCTGGTGTGTGCCAGGCCCAGGCAGACAATGATGTGATGGACCTGTGCTCATAGAGATGCTCTGGGATCCTCACTTATCTGCTCTTCCTCGGAAGCTGCTCACTTCCAAGCTGGTGAGTATAGGAGAACTGATACCATGTTTATGTCTTCCTTTCTAGGGCCAGTGGGATTCCAGTCCAACAACATCGCTATGGCCAAGGGCATGTTCACTTCCATTGGTATGGCCCTCAGGCCCCTCTACCTCACCACCCCATCCCAGAGCAGGACTAGCCCAGGACTGCAGTCTAGAGTGTACCAGACTTCAGAGGAGCACAGCAGGCACTAGTACAGCTCGGGACTCACCTCCCCATTCCCACCGCTACGCCCAGCCCCAAATGGCTTGTCCCACCCTAATTCCAGCTCCCCTCAGCCCAGACCCTCTTTTTGCTCTTGGGAGTTGTTTCCCAGCTGTATATTCAGACGAGATCAGGTGCGTTCAGGGTGGTATGGCCGTAGACCCAGCTGTATATTCAGACTCTGGAGTTGCCAAATGCTGGAGTAACAGGACAGTGGCATCCAGGGAGATGGGAGTACCTTCAGGACCCAAGTGGGTTTTTAGGGCTTCCCTGCTGGGCTACAGGGAAGAGAGAGTGAGTCAGAGATGCCCCTGTGGGGGATCTGAGGCCTGACAGGGATGAGTTGCCTCTGCTTAGCCAACAAACATCTAACCAGTTGTGGGGCTGCCAGAGTCAACAGCCAGGGGACAGCCAGACAGCCAGTCCCTCCAGCCACTCATCAGTAGGTACAGGAAGCCTGGGCTTGGGCCCTCTCCCAGCTTAATGCCACCAGCATCTCTGTGTCTCCCAGAACCTGGTTACTATAAGGATGGAGAATTTGGGATCCGTCTCGAAGATGTGGCTCTCGTGGTAGAAGCAAAGACCAAGGTAAACTGCCACCAGGATGGGCTGGAGGTGTGGGCAGCATGTCAGTGACTTTGGGCTGCATGGGAGGAAAGTGGGGAGGAAGATCAAAGGAGAAGGGCATTTAGTGTGCAGGCATGAATTTATCTGGAGTCTTCCTTAGGAATTCCATAAGTCAGACTTTTCAAACTCGCTTGCACATTTGAATCACCCAGAGAGCTTTCTGGTGCTTTAAATGCCCATGCCCAGGCCCCATTCCAGACCAAGTGAATCAGTATCCCTGCCCTATATCATTGGTTCTCAATGCACATAATAATCGCCAGGGGAGCTTGTTAGAAATAAAGATTCTGTATAATAGCAGCCAACAAGATAAAATACCTAGATGTAAACTTAAAAAGGCTTACATGGAGAAACTCTCTACTAAGGGACATAAAAAAGATTTAAGTAAATGGTGCTCTCTGGAGAGAAGCCTCAATATTATGAAGATATCATTACTCTCTAAATTAATCTATAAATTCAAGATAACCTCAATTCCAGTGCTAACTGGATACTTTTGTAACTTCACAAAATGATAGTAAAGTTTATTTGTAAAAATAAACATGCGAAGATAGCTAGGAAAATTCTGAAAAAGAAGAGCAGGGCCAGGTGCAGTGCCTCATGCCTGTAATCCCAGCACTCTGGGAGGCCAAGGCAGGAGGATCGCTTGAGCTCAGGAGTTTGAGAGCAGCCTGGGCAACATGGCAAGACCCCATCTCAACAAAAAATACAAAAAAAAATTAGCTGCACATGGTGTCATGCACCTGCAGTCCCAGCTACTCGGGAGGCTGAAGTGGGAGGATGGTCTAAGCCTAGGGAGGTTGAGGCTGCAGTGAGCTGTGACCACGCCACTGCACTCTAGCCTCGGTAACAGAGCAAAACCCAATCTAAAAAAAAAGCAATAAGAAAAGCCAGTCCTCTCAAATTTGAACACAAACTACCATAACTAAAACAGTATGACACTGGAGATGAAATAGATAGCTGTAACAATGAAACAGAACAATCAGTCCAGAAGTAAACCCTCTTATTCCCATAAACAACATGGGAATTTAGTTTACAAGAAAGCTGATTTTGCAAAAAAGTAAGAAAAAAATGATTATTCAGCAAATGGACAGGGGGAACAAATGGCTAATCATTTGGGGGGATTAAACTGAATAACCTCCAAAATAAAATTCCAGATGGACCAAAGTTTTAAGGTGAGCAATGAGACCACAAAAGATGTAGAGGAAAACCTATATCAATTCATTTATAATCTCAGGGTGGAAAAGAGTCTTTCTGTGCAAGACCAGAAGCCATGAAGGAAAAGATTAATAACTCTGACTAAATAGAAAATGGAAACAATGTTTATGGAAACAATGCCATAAACAAAGCCAAGAGATGTGTGACAAATATCTCTTGGCTTTGTTTATGGCATTGTGAGAGGGTGAGTTTTCTTATTTTACCATGAGCTTTTTACAAATCCGTAAGACAAAAATAGACAAAACAGGAAAAAATAGGGCAAAGGACATGAAAAGGCAATTCACTAAAATTAACACCAAATGGTCCACATGCATGTGGAAAGATGCTCAAGTTCATCCTTAAAGAAATACAAGACCGGGCGTGGTGGCTTATGCCTGTAATCCCAGCACTTTGGAAGGCCGAGGCTGGTGGATCACCTGAGGTCAGGAGTTCGAGACCAGCCTGACCAACACGGAGAAACCCCATATCTACTAAAAATACAAAATTAGCCGGGTGTGGTGGTGCATGCCTGTAATCCCAGCTACTCATGGGGCTGAGGCAGGAGAATCACTTGAACCTGGGAGGCGGAGGTTGCGGTGAGCCAAGATCATGCCATTGTACTCCAACCTGGGCAACAAGAGCAAAACTCTGTCTCAAAAAAAAAAAAAAAATACAAATCAGGGCCAGGCATGGTGGCTCACACCTGTAATCCCAACACTTTGGGAGGCAGAAGTCAGCGGATCACTTGAGGTCAGGAGTTCAAGACCAGCCTGGCCAACATGGTGAAGCCCCATTTCTACTAAAAATACAAAAATTAGCCAGGCGTGGTAGTGTGTGCCTGTAATCTCAGCTACTCAGGAGGCTGAGGCAAGAGAATCGCTTGAACCCGGGAGGTGGAGGTTGCGGTGAGCCAAGATCACACCACTGCACTCCAGCCTGGGCGACAGAGCGAGAATCTGTCTCTAAAAAAAGAAGAAGGAAAAGAAAGAAAAGAGAAGGGAAAAAAAAGTCTCTTTCTTGCTCAGTTTCCTTCCTGAGAACATTTCAGGCACACACAGCGTATGTATCTATCTATGTATATATTTTGAAAATACAAACAAAATGGATTCTACTGTACATACTTTTCTGCACCTTCCTTCCCTGCCCCGCTGCCCCTTACTTAATAGTAAACCTAGGAGAGTGGTCTGCAATAGCGCAGGGAGATCTACCTCATTCTTTTGAAGGGTTGTCGAAGAGCCTATAGTATGTGGATGTCCCATGATTTATTTAACCAACCGTGGATATTGAGGCTGTTTCCAAATTTTTACTATATTTGCCATCAATGCTACAAATCACTGTATAAACATCTTGGTGAGCTTTTGGGACTATATCCAGAAGGTACATATCTGGCGTAGGGATTTCCAAGACAAAAAGTACAAGCATTTTTAATAGGTAATTTGATAGATATTGTCAAACTGCCCTCCAGAAAGGTTGCACCAATTGTACTTTCTCCAACAGTGTGTGAGAGTGCCCATTTCCTCACATACTCACTAGCACTGAGAATCATCGAAGTCACTAATTTTTCCAATCTGATAGGTGAAACATGGTATTCTATTGTTGTTTTGACTTGTATTTCTTTTTTTCTTTCTTTCTTTCTTTTTTTTTTTTTTTTTTTTTTGATGGAGTCTCCCTCTTTCTCCCAGGCTGGAGTGCAGTGGCGAGATCTTGGCTCACTGCAACCTCCGCCTCCCAGGTTCAAGTGATTCTCTTGCCTTAGTCTCTTGAGTAGCTGGAATTACAGGCACACACCACCACGACTGGCTAATTTTTGTATTTTTAGTAGAAACAGGGTTTCACCGTGTTGGCCAGGCTGGTCTTGAACTCCTGACCTCAGGTGATGCACCTGCCTTGGCCTCCCAAAGTTCTGGATTACAGGCGTGAGCCACCACACCCAGCCTTGAATTTCTTTAAGGATGAACTTGAGCATCTTTCCACATGTATGTGAACCATTTGGTGTTAAATTTTAGTGAATTGCTTTTTCATGTCCTTTGCCTTATTTTTTCCTGTTTTGCCTATTTTTGTCTTATGGATTTGTAAAAGCTCATGGTAAATATGAAAATTCACCCTCTCTCTGTGATATGTGCTATATTTGTCACACAACTCTTGGCTTTGTTTATGGCATTGTTTCCATAAACATTGTTTCCATTTTCTGTTTAGTTTAGTCAGAGTTATTAATCTTTTCCTTCATAGCTTCTGGTCTTGCACAGAAAGACTCTTTTCCACCCTGAGATTATAAATGAATTGATATAGGTTTTCCTCTACATCTTTTGTGGTTTCAGCCTCCCGAGTAGCTGGGACTACAGGCGCCCACCACCATGCCCAACTAATTTTTGTGTTTTTAGTAGAGAGTAGAGACGGGGTTTCACCATGTTGGTAATGCTGGTCTTGAACTCCTGACCTCAAATGATCCACCCACCTCAGCCTCCCAAAGTGCTGGGATTACAGGCGTAAGCCATCCATTGCACCTGGCCTCTTTTTTTTTTTTTAGAGACAGGGTCTCACTCTGTTGCTGAGGCTGGAGTGCAGTGGCACGATCACAGCCCGCTGCAGCTTCAACCTCCTGGGCTCAGGTGATGCTCCCACCCTTCCACCTCAGACTCCCAAATAACTAGGACTATAGATGGACACCACCATGCTCAGCTAATTTTTGTGTTTTTTTGTAGAGACTGGTGTATTAGTCTGTTCTCACATTGCTATAAAGATACTACCCAAGACTGGGTAATTTTTAAAGGAAAGAGGTTTAATTGGCTCACAGTTCCCACATGCCTGGGGAGGCCTTGGGAAACTTATAATCATGGCAGAAGGCGAAGGGGAAGCAAGGATCTCGACATGGTGGCAGGAAAGAGAGAGCTAACAAGAGCAGGGAAAACTGTCTTATAAAACCATCAGATCAGCCAGGCGTGGTGGGTCATGCCTGTAATCCCAGCACTTTGGGAAGCTGAGGTGGGTGGTTCACCTGAGCTTAGGAGTTCGAGACCAGCCTAGCCAACATGGTGAAACCTCATCTCTACAAAAAATACAAAAAGTATCTGGGTGTGGTGGTGCCCATCAATAATCCCAGCTACTTGGAAGGCTGAGGTAGAAGGATCACCTGAGCCCAGGAGGTAGAGGCTGCAGAGGGCCGTCATCGTGTCACTGCTCTCCAGCTTGGGTAACAGAGGGAGATCCTATCTCAAAAAAAATAAAATAAAATAATTGAAATTTAGATTTCTGGGCCCTGCCCTAAGGATTCTGCCTCCAGTAGGTTTGGGAGGTGGGCCCTGGAATCTGCATATTTATCATGCTCCCTAAGTGCTGTTGATGTGCGTACTTTGAAAAACACAAACCTAAGTCTAAATTTCCAGAATCAGGAGGGAAGCACCAAAGGTGGAGCACTAAGTGGCAGACAAGGGGGCTGGCCAAGAGAAGGGACTCTAGAAGGCTCAGGCCTAGCCAGGGTGTCCAGGGTTGATGAGGCCCAGCTCCTTGTGTCCTCCGGGTGGAGTGCTCCTTCCTTCCCTTCAGCCCAGTTCCTCCTCCTCCCTCACTGTCCTGCTTACCCGGCTTCTATTCTGGGCTCCCAGTACCCAGGGAGCTACCTGACCTTTGAAGTGGTATCATTTGTGCCCTATGACCGGAACCTCATCGATGTCAGCCTGCTGTCTCCCGAGCATGTGAGTGCCCCTCAGCATTGCCTTCTCCCTGACCCTGGGCCTTTCCTGCCTCTGCTACCTGCCACCACATCCTCTGTCCCTGCCCCTCCTCCAGGAGGGTCCACACTGGTGGCACCTGCAGACACACACTGGGGCATTCCTCCCCAGCTCATCAGAGACCCCAGAGCTTCTAGAACTTTCCAGTCAGACCAGCCTGCCCAACCCCAGGTAGTGAATAACTGGAGGAATCTGAGATTGGGCCTCTGAGCTCGGCCACTACAAGGCCTGGAACTATAAGTGATCCCTTCTATTCTTTTGCCTCAGTCTCCTCTTTTGTAAGCTGAGGATAAGAATGCCTGCCCAGCTTACTCCCATTCCCGGGCCTGAAATCTACCCACCCCACCGCCCATGAACATCACCATGACATGAAACAGCCAGCCAGGGGAACTGCCTCTGAAAAGCCCCAGAGAATTCCTGAAGCCTGATGATGGTGGGGGACCTGTGGCCATCTGGACTATGGTGACAGCTGGAGTACCACAACAGGGGACTGGGCGTCACCAAGACTTCACCTCTTGGCAGCTTGGCTTAGAGAGGCTGTCACCCCTTCTATCCTTCGCAGCTCCAGTACCTGAATCGCTACTACCAGACCATCCGGGAGAAGGTGGGTCCAGAGCTGCAGAGGCGCCAGCTACTAGAGGAGTTCGAGTGGCTTCAACAGCACACAGAGCCCCTGGCCGCCAGGGCCCCAGACACCGCCTCCTGGGCCTCTGTGTTAGTGGTCTCCACCCTTGCCATCCTTGGCTGGAGTGTCTAGAGGCTCCAGACTCTCCTGTTAACCCTCCATCTAGATGGGGGGCTCCCTTGCTTAGCTCCCCTCACCCTGCACTGAACATACCCCAAGAGCCCCTGCTGGCCCATTGCCTAGAAACCTTTGCATTCATCCTCCTTCTCCAAGACCTATGGAGAAGGTCCCAGGCCCCAGGAACACAGGGCTTCTTGGCCCCAGATGGCACCTCCCTGCACCCCGGGGTTGTATACCACACCCTGGGCCCCTAATCCCAGGCCCCGAGATAGGAAAGCCAGCTAGTCTCTTCTCTTCTGTGATCTCAGTAGGCCTAACCTATAACCTAGCACAGACTGCTACAGCTGCTCCCCTCCCGCCAAACAAAACCCCAAGAGAGCAATGCCCCTACCACCCAAGGGTGCCATGGTCCCGGGAGAGCCCAAACCTATCACCACCTGTTGGGCATAGCCAGAGCTGTTCCCACCCAGCCAGGGCATGAAACATCAACCCCCCACATGTGAACCCATCATTCCTAAACCCTGGGTAGGCTCCATGCCAAGTAACAGCAGAGGGAGTTAAGCCATAGGAATTTGGCTGTGGAGTAAGAGGGAATGCGGTGAGGCACTCTGGAATATGACCCTACCAGAGGTTGGAGAACAAACTTGGGCAGCCGGAACCCGTCACTATTCTAGACTTCCCTGGCATTCGAGGAGCCCTTTGAACTTTCCAAAGTGCAGCCACAGCTACAATGCTGTTAAATCCTCCCACATTCTTGGATGCCCCTTCACCTTGTGTGGACAGTGTCTGGTTTCTCCATTTTACAGACAGGAAAACTGAGCTTCAGACAGGGGGTGGGCTTTGCCTAAGGACACACAAATTTGGTTGGGAGTTGATGGGGCCAGATGAGCCAGCATTCCAGCTCTTTCACCCTTCAGCAACATGCAGAGTCCCTGAGCCCACCTCCCAGCCCTCTCCTCATTCTCTGAACCCACTGTGGTGAGAAGAATTTGCTCCGGCCAAATTGGCCGTTAGCCACCTGGGTCCACATCCTGCTAAGACGTTTAAAACAGCCTAACAAAGACACTTGCCTCTGGGTTTTGCATTGTGTCTGCTGTGTTGCCGGAGACTGCTGTCACCTGTGGCTTTTGTGGTGGGGGAGGAAGAAGAGAGGGTGAGGTGGGGGTGGGGACATGAGGCTCCTAGAAGCTCAGTGGGGGAGCACGTGGGCTTGAGAGTATGTGTGTGAGCATGCATATGAATATGTGTGCGCATGTGCACAGATGCACGTGCACACCACGCCCAACCAGCCAACCTCCAGCCTGTCTAAAAAGGTATTGTAACCTTGTGGAAGGGACAGAAAGGAGCCCTACACTGGGGAACTTGTCAAATGTAATCCAGAAAAGTTGGGGCTGGCACCTTTGCCAAGCAGCGCACAGTTGGTGGAAGGAAAGAACCAAGGTGCAGGGTGCCAGGCAAAGGCACCAGGCAGAGAAGTCTCCTGGCCTGAAACCATCAGGCCTAGTCTGCTGAGTGTGAGGGTGACCTGTGATGGTTACCATCACCAGTGCTTGCATCCAGAGGCTCCAGCCCTGACCAAGCCTTACTGAGTATCCAAAGATGGGCCTCTGTTTGCTAAATAATTTGCTCCCTCACCTGCTCACCCCACAAAGACAGGTACTACTAATAAAATTAAAGTCATCATCACCCTCATCATCATCACCATCATCATCATCATGGCTGCCATTTACTGAGTGTTTATGTGCCACCGTGCAAGAAGCTTTACATGCATTTTCTCATTTAATCCTCACAACCTCTGAGAAGGCCCTTTTCTTATTCCCATTTTACAAGTGCAGGAACTCAGTGAGGCCCATAGAGATTTATCAAGTGACTCAAAGTCACTTTTTTCATTGGGTAAATGAAAAAAAGCCAGATTTAAACCAGTCAGAGGACTCTAGAATCCACTCTCAAGAAAGGGCAAGTCCTGGCCGGGTGTGGTGGCTCACCCCTGTAATCACAGCACTTTGGGAGGCCGAGGTGGGAGGATCACATGAGGCCAGGATTTCAAGAGCAGCCTGGGCAACATGGTGAAACCCCATCTCTACTGAAAATACAAAAATTAGCTGGGTGTGGTGGCGCACACCTATAGTCCCAGCTACTCGGGAGGCTGATGCAGGAGAATCGTTTGAACCCAGGAGGCGGAGGTTGCAGTGAGCTGAGATCGTGCCACTGCACTCCAGCCTGGGCAACAGAGCGAGACTCCATCTCAAAAAATAATAATAATAATAAAATAAAGAAAAATAAAGGGCAAGTGGTATGGCTTTCATCATTTTACTGACAAGAAAACTGAGGCTCAAGCAGGAGAAGCAGATCCACACCATAGTGCCTCCCCAGACCCTGCCAGACCTTTGCCTTTGCACCCTGACACTTGCTCCTGGGGTTCTGGCAGGTCATGGGTGGCAAGACCAGGCACCTGACCAACACCCTCACACAGGCCTTTCGGACCGAGGCAGCTCGTGCTTTTTTCCTCAGTGCGAGACCCAGGACTCCACCTCATCTCTGAATCCCCTTAACTGCCCCTTCCAGCCTACCATTCTGGGAGGAAGAACCCAGCCCTGGAACGTGGCTGGAACGAGGGCTCACAGTCACCCCAGCTCTTCCCTCCCCTGGGACCCAGATGGCCAGACTTGACCATTCCTGCTTTAAGGGATTAACTCTGGGTCAGGCAGGGAAACAGGGCACATACACCAGGGCTGATACACAGGGACTCTTGTGACATCGTTAGGAATGAAAGATTGTTAGGAACTGTCCCCTTGGGCTCTAGTACTTTGTTTTAATGTTGGAGGATGGGGCTTAGCAAACCTCTCCTCGCCTGCTGATTGCCTGGGGAGCCGGCCATGTGGAAAAGCCCCTTTTCCTAGGAGTTAAGATTCTGGGGTTTGAGTCCCATTTGTGCCAGCTGTGTGGCCTTGGGCAAGTCACTTCTCCCTGGTCTTCAGTTATCCTTTCTGGAATCTCCCATGCTGCCTTCTTGGTGAGGTTACAGCGAGAGGCTCATGAGACCCGGATGTGGCAGCACTCTAAACCAGGAAGCCACACAGACAAGAAATGATATTGCTGTTATTTGCCCAGCACAAGTTCAATTCAGCTTCACCTTTGCAGGTAGGTAAGAAAAAGGTCTGGAACCCAAGTTTTATATATAAATAGCCAAAATTAGAAAGGCTCTAGAGCAAACATCTAATTTACGTCTTTCCAACTATGCTCCCGGGAGCCTGAGATGCCTCAGAAACACCACAGGGGCTGTCGAGGAAAACAGAGCTGCTGCACGAAGTAGCCCTGACGGGCTTCCCGTAAAATTGTACTTGAAGTAGTTGCAGGGCCAGCTTCACGGGTGTAGGACCTGTGCAGTCCCTCAAGACTTTGTGCTTACAAGGGCCCCATGCTTGGTTTAATGCTCGCCTGTCACTGTCTCAAAATTCTTGATAATTTTTAAGCAAGAGGCACCGGGCATTTTCATTTTGCACAAGGCCCGCAAAATTCAAGAGCCAATCCTGAATAGGAGCTCCATGACCAAACACACACACACACACACACACACACACACACACACACACACACACACAAAACCTGGTGCAGTCCTTTCAGTGTACAGATGGGAAAACTTCAACAGCAACCCAGGAAGAGGAAGGGACTTGTCCAAGGTCACACAGTCCAGTGGGGCCAGAGCAAGGACTAAATCCGCAGCATACTGACTCAGCTCCACAATGGCTCCGCTCTCGCTTTCAGTGTGTGCTTCTGTCACTCCCTTACTGCCTCTAATGACCCACTGAGGCCCAAGGAGACCTGTTGAAGGTCACACAGCTGTGACAACAATGGTGACGGCGGTGTTGAGCCACGTTCCTTCAAGCTTCAAATCTGAATAGAAAAGGGCATAGGTAAGATGATAGGTAGATAGGTACATACACAAATCATCTAAATAGCTCCTTTTGTTTTTTGTTTTTTTTTTTAGAGAGAGGGTCTTGCTCTGTCACCCAGGCTGGAGAGCAATGGCACCATCATAGCTCACCGTAACCTTGAAATCCTGGGCTCAAGTGCTTCTCCCGCCTCAGCCTCCTGATTAGCTAGGACTACAGGCATGCACCGCCATGCCCGATTAATTTTTTTTTTAATTTTTATTTTATAGAGATGATGTCTATGTTGCCTAGGCTGGTCTCAAATTTCTGGCCTCAAGCAATCCTCCTGCCTTGGCCTCCCAAAGTGCTGGGATTACAGGTGTGAGACAATAGTTCATTTTTTAAAATGATAACTAACTCAGCCTTTGCTGGTTTGCCAGTCAGCTGGTTCCAGCTGTGTGTGAGTTGGGACCTCAGAAGGGGCTGGGCTGGCTACTCTTCAGCCAGCTAAACCACGTCAGCAGTGAATTTTACCAACTCACTGGGTGCTTCCTCAAATCAGTGGTTGGGCACTCTTGGCACCAAAAAATATATATATATAGAAGTGCGAAAGATTCAGTAGCAACCGTTTCCTCCCTGTCCGTCCCTGCTCCTCATGGCTCGTCACAGCCAGGAGGGGGAGGTGCTCCCCAAACCCCAAGCCAGCTAGCCTTTGCCCAGAGGCCGGCCCATCTCTTCACTTCCTTGTTTCTTTGTGAAACAGGAACTGAGCAAGCAGCTTAAGTCGGGTAGGATGGGTGGTTGAGAAAGCCCCAGTGGTCCGTGGCAAGTCCACGAAGCTGAAAAGCTGGTTTCTCTCCCAGCGGGTCCCAGGCAGCTTCAGGCCCTCTTGTTTGTCACACCTCTTGTGTTCTAGAACAACTTGGGGTGAGGGATGCACTCTTGACAAGGTGGAGACATAGGATATGGGCCACAGGGTCACGTAGCAGAGATTCAGATGCGGACCTCAAGAGACATAGAAGCAGGTGCCAGGCCGGGCATGGTGGCTCACGCCTATAATCCCAGCTCTTTAGGAGGCCAAGGTGGGTGGATCACCTGAGGTCAGGGGTTCGAGACCAGCCTGGTTTGGCAACATGGTCGGCAACATGGTGAAACCCTGTCTCTACTAAAAATACAAAAAATTAGCTGGGTGTGGTGGCAGGCGCCTGTAATCCCAGCTACTCGGGAGGCTGAGACAGGAGAATCTGGGAGGCGAAGGCTGCAGTGAGCCGAGATCTTGCCACTGCACTCCAGCCTGGGCCACAGAGTGAGACTCTGTCTCAAAAAAAAAAAAAAGAAGAAGAAGAAGATTCCAAGGGGACACTAAGGGAGAAAGCGGCAGCTCCTAACGGTCACCAAGGCCTTCCTGGATTTAGCAAGGGGAGAAACTCCAGGTGGAGTCTGAAGTGAACTGATGTGGAGTCACTCACCAGGTACCCAGCACTTTCCACTAGCTGGGGCACTGGGCTGAGAGCACTCCCTCTATGCATGTCACCTGAGTAGTAACCCTAGTCACACACACCCACAAGAAAGGCCCACATTATCACTGTTACCATCTTCACTAAGGCTCATTGCAGGTGAGGTCACTTGCCCAAGGTTATGCAGCCAGTAGGTGACCATACAACAATCTGAATCCAATCAGGACAACCTGACTCCATTTCTGAGAGGTGTTCTGTTCCTCCTCTTCCCTGGAGCCCTGGACAATTGTCCCCATGGGGGAGGGGCCCACTGATCAGAGAGGTTTGTCCTTGTAACCTTGGGACAGAGATTTATGCAGAGTAGCCCAGCCCCTACTTGTCCCCCATAGAAAGTGCACCCCCCCACCAGTGAGTCATGAGTGTGTTTTAATCTGAGCACCAAAGTCCAGCCTCCTCTTCTGATGGTAATTGACAGAGCTACCAGCAGGTGTTTTTTGTTTTGTTTTGTTTTAAAACCAAGACCTTATCACGAGTTCAGAGTTCCAAAGATCACTGTCTTTCCCTCCCCTCCCATCAGCCCCTGCCACCAGATGCCCACTCTGTGTGTGTTGTATGTGGGCATGAGGAATGGGCGCAAGAGTCACCTGCCCTTGTCTCCTTGCTTTCCTCTGCCCGCCTTCTCCCTCCTGCAATTTTGCTCTTTCTGCCCTCCCTGCCTAAAATGACCACCATTAAATTTGCTAATGGGCCGGGCTACTAAAGTGGGCTTCACCTTGGAAATGTCCAGGTATTTTCAAGAAACTATGTGGCCTCTGCTTGGATATTTCTTTTTCTTTTCTTTTTTTCTTTCTTTTTTTTTTTTTGGTTGTTTTGTTTTGTTTTGTTTTGTTTTGTTTGAGACAGAGTTTCACTCTTGTTGCCCAGCCTGGAGTGCAGTGGCGTGATCTTGGCTCACAGCAACCTCCACCTCTCAGGTTCAAGCGATTCTCCTGCCTCAGCCTCCCAAGTAGCTGGGATTACAGGCATGTGCCACCATGCCCGCCTAATTTTTGTATTTTTAGTAGAGACGGGTTTCACCATGTTAGTCAGGCGGGTCTCAAACTCCTGACCTCTGGTGATCCACTCACCTGGGCTTCCCAAAGTGCTGAGATTACAGGTGTCAGCCACCGTGCCCGGCCTACTTGAATATTTCAAGAGATGGGGAGATCATTACTTACCAGAGCTGAACTAGTGCCATCTGAATAGCCAAAATTTGTTCCTTGGAATATACTAAAACCTTCCATTTATCTGTTCCCCATCATTCATACCACTTGCTTCCCCACCCCAATCACCTAGGCTAAATGTGACAGGAGTTTAGTACTTCACACGTTGACGACTTCCCTATACTTCACCCCCGCTTAATCGACCCTAGCTATTGCAGCTTTGCAGATGTGATGCGACTTCCAGATGTCCTCCCCATCCTGTTCACTCCCCTCTGGGCCTGCTTCAAGGTGGCTCTGTGGCACCTAGTGTGGCACCCAAACCAGCATCAGGTGCCAAGAGAAGGCTGCAAGCCGAGGGCTCCATAATTCTCTCACCTCCCCGTTCAGGAACTCCGCATCAGAGGCACTTCAGCTGAGTGGTTAGTTGTGTGGGCCCTGGCCAAGACCAGACCTGCATTTAACGCTGGGCTCCACTGCTTACTAGCTGTGTGGGCAATTCACTTAACTCCTCTGGGCCTCAGCTTCCTCCCTGGAAAATGGGGATAACAATAGTGCCTGACTTACCAGGTTGTTGTAAAGCCCACTGCCTGCCATGAAGTATAATAATTTTCAGCTAGATGTGGGGACTGGGGGGAATGGAAATAAGAATCTTTGGGGGCCGGGTGCAGTGGCTTACACCTGTAATTGCAGCACTTTGGGAGGTAGAGGCAGGAGGATCACTTGAGGCCAGGAGTTCAAGATCAGCCTGGACAACATAGGCAAAAAAAAAAAAAAAAAATTAGCCAGGAATGGTGGCACGTGCCTGTAGTCCCAACTACCCGGGAGGCTGAGGTGGGAGGATCATGAGCCCCAGGAGTTTGAAGCTGCAGCGAGCTGTGACCACACCACTGCATTCCAGCCTGGGCAACAGAGGGAGACCCTGTCTCAAATTAATTAATTAATTAATTAATTAATTAATTAAAACTTAAAGAATCTTTTGGGAGGTTTTTCCAGATATAAGTATCTCTCACTATCCAAACTCTTACTATCTCAAATTAGAAATATATCCATTCAGAGAGTGAGAGATGCTTTTGTACATGGTCTGGATCTTACCTGCCCCAAATATCCCACTCATGATCATCTACTAAATAAGAATTTCTTGGCTGAGTGCAGTGGCTCACACCTGTAATCCCAGCACTTTGGGAGGCCAAGGTGGGCAGATCACGAGGTCAGGAGATCAAGACCATCCTGGCTAACATGGTGAAACCCCGTCTCTACTAAAAACACAAAAAATAAGCCAGGCATGGTGGCATGCGCCTGTAGTCCCAGCTACCCAGGAGGCTGAGGCAGGAGAATAGCTTGAACCCAGGAGGTGAAGGTTGCAGTGAGCCGAGATCGCGTCACTGCACTCCAGCCTAGGCAACAGAGTAAGACTCAAAAAAAAATTAAATTAAATTAAATTTAAAAAAATACTTGGAGTGTGCTGGTGTGGGAGCTGCTTTATCTGAATGTGGCCTACGATGACCTTTGTGTCTTTGGTAGTCCTACATCCACCCTCTGAGGGTTCAGGTTGATTTCACTATCAGTGGAACCCCAAAACACACACACACACACACACACATACACACCCTGCAATCCTGCAGTATTGGCGCTAAATCAAGGTTCTTCTGCCCCAAATCTATACTTCTGGATACGTCTTTATATTAAACTACTCGCCTCCAGGGGTTGTGGTGGGATTAAACATCTGTCAAGTGCTTAATGTAGTGCTTGGTAAAGAACAAGTGCTGGGTAAATGTAAGCTTGCCACTCCACCTAGGATGTCAGCTCCCAGGTACAAGGGGCCCTGATGGCTATTTATTTTGTACCTCCTCCCGAGGCCTAGCACAAGGCTGTGCCCACAGCAAGTTCCTAGGTTCTGCCTGCCGGCCCATTATCAAGTTTAAGGTGACCTTGTTCCCTGAACTACTGACTCGTATCACTTCCTTAGCTGAGAGCTCTGCGTACCTCAAACAACATAACCTGTAAAATGCAAATATGTTACCCAGAAGGGAAAATCTATTAAACACATGTTTAAGGGTCATTAGCCAGCAAGGACCTGGCCTATTGGGATTCAGCCAGGGCAATCTGTTGGAAGAGAAAAGCTGGGGGAAGGCAAGTCCCGATGGGGGGTCCTGGACACCCCGCCTCCACTGGCCCCGGTCCCCAGGTGGCGGGGAGGAGGTGTTCCTGAACAGAGGAGACAGATCTGAAAAGGAGAACGAAGGAAGCCGTTGAAAACACTTGCTCCCTTCTGTCCTGGGAGCTGGTCACCTCTCCATATTTCTCTCCAAGGCACCCTCACCTCCCTCTCGCTGCCTTTTCCCAAGCCTCGCCAGCCCTGTGCCCTGGTTTGCTGGCCGCCTTTGAAGGTTCTGCGGTTAGTGTGTGATCTTCTGTCGCTGCCGGCGCTGAGCAAACAGGAAGCGGGCACATCCTGCGAGGCGGCCAGGGACGCAGCCGCTGCGCAGGCCCGGAAGATTCTGCGACCTGCTTCCTCCCTCACGGCTCTGGCTCCAGGTGCCCCAGGCCACTACAGCGGCGTCCCCAATCCCAGAACCCTCTGGGGCTGCCCTCCTGCTCCTGGTCACGCAGAGCCCCAAAGGCCCGATGGGTCCCCTACACGGCTGCCAGGCTACTGTATATGCCGAAAAGCCTTAACCAGTTACCGCGCTTGCTAGTGACCCTGGGCCGCCTGGGAGGGACTTTCAGGGTGGAAAACACAGGCCAGTGGGAAGGAGATCTGGGGTGTGGAATCTTTTCATGAGTCTGCCTGGCCGACTGAGTAGGCCAAAGAATGTATGGTTTCAGCTTAGGGAAGAAAGATCTTATCTTCCCTGAGCTCACCCTGAAGGTTGGATGGTCAGAGGGCATAAAGCAGAATCGGAGAGGAAGTCACGAGAACATCTTGGGAACAGGGGTGGACAAGCCTAGTATTTCACAAGTACCACAGAATTGAAAGCCTTAAAAATGTGCATACCTTTGACCCCAGCAATTCCTCTTCTGGATATTTCCCCTACAGAAAAAAAACTATGGATGTGAATATTTACCATAAGTATGTTCAATGAATAATTTAAAAATTTAAGCCAACCCAAGTTCATCAGCAAGGGCTTGGTGAAATAAGCACGGCACATCCACACAATGGGATGTTCCACAGCCGTTATAAATTACGTAGTTGAAGACTATTTCATAGCATGAGACAATCTTGATACTGTGTTCAGCTGGACGTAGTGGCTCACGCCTGTAATCCCAGCACTTTGGGAGGATGAGGCAAAGAGGTCACTTGAGACCAGGAGTTCAAGACCAGCCTGGGCAACATGGTGAAACCCTGTCTCTACAAAAAATACAAAAATTAACCAGGGTGGTGGTACGCACCTATAGTCCCAGCTACTTGGGAGGCAGAGGCACAAGAATTGCTTGAACTCAGGAGGTGGAGGTTGCAGTGAGCCGAGATCACGCCACTGCACTCCAGCCTGGGAGACAGAGTGAGAGACTCCATCTCGAAAAAAAAACAAAAAAGATACTGTGTTTAGTGTGAAAAGCAGACACCAATAGTGTGAATTATGACCTTTTTTAATTAAAAAATTTTAAACAGCTTTATTGAGGTATAATGGAGCTACAATAAACTGCACATATTTGAAGTATACAATTTGATACGTTTTGACATGTGTATTCCCCCATGAAATCATCACCACAGTCAAGATAGTGAACATATTCATCACTCCTAAAAGCTTCCTGTTACCCTGTGTGATGTCTCCCTTCCCTTCTCTCCCCTCCCCTTCTCCCCAAACCAATTATCTGTTTTCTGAGCAGTATGATTTTTGTAAAAAGAAAAAAAATGTTTATAGACAGAGAGTAGATAGATGCTTAAAACAGTGTAGAGGACAATGATGGGAAATTTTGAAATTTTTTTTGTTTATGTGTTTGTGAAATTGTATGACAAATACAAGTTGCTTTTGTAATACCAAGAAGTTATTAAAGTTATTAAAATCTGCCACAGACAACCCACAAATTGAATATACTGCATAGGTGTTTGATAAATGCCTGTTGGATACTTGCTAGAGGTGTGGAGTTGGCTGTAAGTGCTTTTCAGCTGTGGTGGTGATAAATATACTCATGATGGCTGAGGGGTACTGACTGGAGGGGTGACTGCTCTAGTGATGATGGCTTTAGGTGTACTGATGGCTGTAGGAGTGATGGCTGCAGGGCTGATGGCTGCACGGATGTGATGATGGTTGTAGGAGAGATGACTGTAGGGACGATGGTTATAGGGGTGAGAGGGTCATGAGTGCGGTTGGCTGTAATGTCCAGAAGGGTGACAGCTGTAAGGATGATGGCTGGAAGGGTGATAGCAGCAATGGTGATGACTGTAGAGGTGATGGCTGAAGGATGTCAACTGTAGAGGTGATTACCATAGTGACAATGGCTATAGGTGTGCTGATGGCAGCGGGGATGGCTGCAGGCCTGATGGCTGTAGGGGTGATGGCTGTATGGTGATGGCTATTGATAGGAGTGATGGTAGCAGTGGTGATGGTCACAGGGGTGATGGTAGTGGTAGTGATGGCAGTGACGA
Source organism: Homo sapiens (assembly GCF_000001405.40). Taxonomy (NCBI): domain Eukaryota; kingdom Metazoa; phylum Chordata; class Mammalia; order Primates; family Hominidae; genus Homo; species Homo sapiens. The sequence goes on from NC_000023.11 coordinate 129,779,593, forward strand.
CCTTGAAGACGTGAGTTGACCGGGAGCATTGATCCAACAGGCAGCCAGATGGTCCAACTTCTGGTTTCTGGATTCTGGTCAGTGAGATAAAGGGCTTGGGTACGCCATATAATGTCGAGCTGATTGTCCACCTCTAGGAAGATGGAGCAGAAGGACTGATGATGATCGACATGAGACAACAAGGTAGGGACTTTCTCTGACTGTTCAACCCAAGAGCCGTCTGCATCAGAATCTCTGGAGACTGAAGCTTGGACTTCCTTCCTCCCTAGGGGCCGGCAGGGGCTGCGATTGCTGTAAGAGTAGGTCACGTGGCAGGGCTTCCTGTATGCTGCTGCTGCCGGGTGTCCATGGCCCGCACCCCCAAGCTGCCACTGCAGCAGTCAGAGTGGCAGCTGAAGGCTCGGTTCATGCCGTGCCCCCGGGCAGTTCTGGTGAGGCTAAGCAAGAGGCCTCTGCATCTTGACACCTAGGAGAGCAGGGACGGAGTCTCCCAGGGTGGAGGACCATGCTGCGCCGCAAGCCCTCCAATGCCAGTGAGAAGGAGCCCACTCAGAAGAAAAAGGTGAGGAGCATTTTGGGAACTCACATCTTCCTTTCCTCTGCTTGCTCGACCCATCCCTTCCAAGACTCTTGGAAGTGGGAAGAGCCAAAGGCCATATGTTGAGTCTGTAGGTGAGGGCCACTCACCTAGAAGGCAACGGGACAGGGACCCAAAGGTTAACAGAAGTACAGAAGAGATGTTTAAAATTCTGGAGCAACAGAGTTACAGAATAGATCCTTAGAAATCTAGAGTCATGCAATTCAACCCTAGAAGAATGGGAAAAAAGATCTAAAATTAGGGGCCAGAATCTTAGACTAGAATTTGAGAATAACAAAATACAATGCTTAAGCTGAACCCTAAGCTTGTACTTAACTATCTCTCCTCTACGCTGGTCCTGCTGCCACTTCTGCCCCGGCCACGGCCTCTCAGGAGCCATCTCACTCAAAGGGCCCTGCTGGGCTGCCCAGCTTGGAGCCATGATGCTCACAGGACTGCCACCCCCTCCTCCACTTTGGCCATGGCCCAGACCCTGCCCACTTGGCTCAGCTCTGTGGTAGCTCCCAGGCCCTACCCGAGATGGAGCCAACCTGGAGATGGGGGCCTGAGGCCATTCCAGTCTTGGGGGAAAAGGCATCCGGAAGTGCAGTGGGATGCAGGGGGCATACAGGTTCTTCCTGGGTGGGGAATGAGAAATTAAGTTGAGGTGGTGAGTAGGAGTGAAGGCTGAGGAGGGAGGATTTTAAAGGCCAGGAGGAAAAACAGCTGTCATGGATGGCTGAGGTGTTCATCCCCCTGGGGCAGAGACCGGACTGGAAGAATCCTTGAAGGCTGTGCCAGATCTAGGATTTTGTGGTTGAATTTGAGGATTTCCAGATTTCTTTGGTTGGGTTTGAGGATTTCTAGACCTAATTCTTTAATTCAATTGAAGGATTCTCCCAGACAATCAGCAAGTATATCCTACACATCCAATGGGATGCTAGGACAGTCCCAAAGCAGGCCTGAACTAGGTCCAAGAGGCCCAGGCTATCCCCCGCCAATTTTCCCTGGAACTCAGCCCAGGTGCCCTATGGTGGATCCCCCTTGTCAGGGGAGTAGCTCAGAGATGGAGGCCAAGGCAGCTGAAAGACTGAGACTCGGGGCAGTGGGGTGTGCATCCTGCCCCAGCTCTCAGGTCCTGGGGTGGCTGCCACTTCCGGCTGTATTCTCCCCACCCCAGCTGCTTCTCTAAGGTTGCAGTGGTGGTGGGCGGGGGAGGGGGGAGGTTCATGAATCTTCACACGGGCTCTGTCATCCCCGTCCAAACCCTGCAGGGTGCTAGGCCCAGCAGGACTGCCATTGGCTGCCACTCCTAAGAGAGCAGGGCCACTTCCCCTTGCTCTCTGGCTGGTGGGGGTGGGAAACAGAGATTGCTCTATAGACACTGCTAGGCCTCAAACCACAGGGGCGCTGAGCTGGAGGAAAGTGTGAGAAAGAGCTGACACTTTGACACTGGGACCCTGTGCCACATCAGGAAGACGTACCTAGGGGCACACAGAAGCCAGAAGTCCCCTTTTTCTTTCCCAGCTTCAATTACCCAGATTCTGTGTTCGGCAGGCAAGTGGGCCCCTGGGATTTCCCCAGGTCTCTCCCAGGAGAAGGGGTCCTTTCGGGGAGAGTAGTCCAGGCAAACCCCACCCCAACCCCTGCCAGAGCCGGTGCCAGCCTCCAGAGCTGGGATGAGCTTGCCTCCACACACTCTGCTAGCCCCAGACTATGGAAATGTCCCCCAGAAGCCAAGCTTCCAGAAGGTACAGAGCATCTTCCCCAGGCCCAGAGGCAGCGGGCTGGCTGAATCACTGCTAGTCCCTTCTTCTCAGAGGCTGAGATGACGTGGTGGAGAGGAAAGCACAAAGGCAAGAGAGGCCTCTTTCTCCTGCCCCTGCTTCTCCTCTTGGGCCTGCCAATGGAGAATGTGCCAGACAGGGGGCAAGAAAGCTGAGCTGGAATCCTACCACGCTCTAGCTGTAGGACCTTGGACAGCTCATTGACTTTCTTTGGGCCTCAGTTTCCTCGCCTCTGAAAAGGAGGATAACTCCTAATCTGCCCCCCTCAAGAGGTTGTACAGATCACCCAAAAGAATAGATGTGAGAGTACCCTGTCACAAGTGTGCACGTGCATACCACACAAGGGGGTGCCTGCTGTAGGCATGGGTGGGGATAGGGAGACACTGCAAAGAAGAATGAGCCATGCCCCCAGTGCTGGCACAGAGAACACAAGACTTAATAGTACTAAGAGCCACCACAGAGTGAGAGCTCATGGGATGCCAGGCACGGTGCTGTGCATCTCTTACCTTGTTCACTCCCCACGACAACCTGGTGAGGTAGGGGCAGATATTGTCATTATCCCTATTTGACACTTGAGGCTCACAGAGGTGAAGCAACTTGCTGAAGGTCACACAGCTGGGAAGCTGCCGAGCAGGGATCCAAGCCAAGATTTGTCTGACTCCAGAATCTTGACCCCTTCTCTCTCCACTCTCTTGTCCCCTTGTTGATCTCAAAGGCGCTAGAAGAGTCTGATGAGCATAAAAGATTCAACCCATCAGCAGGAGAGCTCCGTGGGGCAGACCCAGATAGCTGTGGAATGAGTGACCTTCCAGCCAGCAGAGCAGAGGAGGGTGCGGGCCCTCTAGAATGGTAGGGCTAGGACATGGCGCCTCCCATGGATCGTGAAGGATTGGAGAGGCCCCAGGGTTGGGAGACAGACCTCTTAGCTGCCCTTTGGAGACTTTCACTTCCTTCAAGTTCTTGCTCTGCAAGCCCTTTGATCTGATTTCACCCAAAGGCCAGTGTTGGGGTATAGGAAGTGGAGAGGGATTTTTCCTGGACTTGGTTCCCCTAAGGATGCTCCTACTCTACCACATCCCCACTTTCTCCATGGCTCCCTTCCTACAGCACACCTCTAGTATGACCCCCACACCCTGCCAGCATGCACTTTGTATTTTCAGTGGCTCCTCACTGCCCACAGGATACATGCCCTTGGCCTGGCGGGCAAGAGCCTTCCATAGCCTTTTCTACTCCCCCACCCACCATCCCATCATCAGGCTCTCAACGTCTCTAACTTTCATTCTTGTTCAAACCCTTCCGAGCTCCACCTGGAGAAATCCTGCCTCCCCTGCATGGCCCAGCTCAGATATACCTCCTCCACAAAGCCCCGCCAGAGCCCTTCCCCCTCTGCACTCCCACCTGCTTTCCTAGGAGCTCTGTTCAAAAACCACCTGCATGCCATCACCACTACACTCAATCCACTGCTAACTTCTACACTGGTGGGGCGGGGCAACAGCATGAGCTCTGAGGTAGCACGAGCACAGCAACATACTTGGGTTTCCAGAGTCATAGACCTGGGTTTGGAGGCTTGCTCTTCCTAAGACCAGCTGCGCCACCCTGCCTAGGGCACTTCATTTCGCATCTTGGTCTCCTCTGCTTCGAGGTGCGAATATGATGCGGGGCTGCGATGAGGCTGGAGTGAGCTGGCACACAGGAAGTGCTTGGCAGGACACGGGCATGCGGGAGGAGTTTAGACCCTCATTGCTGGATTCTCACACACACAGAGGTAGGGCCTAGAGCTCACAGGGTGCTCAGTATATGCCTGATACCCTGAAGGAGCAGAGGGGGTAGCTCAGGAGACCACTGGGGAAAGCCAAGTTTGCTCAGGAAGTAAGGGAAGAGGATGCTGGCTGGGGCAGTGTGGACCTCTGAGAGATTGATCAGGGCATGGTTTCTGCATGGATGCTGCCTTTTAAGCTGGAATTGAAAAATCTTTCCATAGAAGTATAATATCCATACAGAGAAGTGGATAAATCATAATTGCGCCACCGAATGAGTTTCTATAATGTGAACATCCCCATGTAGACAGCACTTAGATCAAGAAACAACACTCTCAGAAGTCTAGAAGCTTCCCTCATGCCCCTGCCAGTTACTACACCCCCCCCTTCCCCCAGGGCAACCGCTATCCTGACTTCCAACAGCACAGGTGAGCTCTGCCAGGCTTTGAACTTACAGGGGGAACCATATCGTGTATATATACTCTTTGGTGGCCAGCCCCTTTACTCAACCATATGTTTGTGACACTCATCCATACTGTTGGGAACAGTTGTACTGTCTCCTACCTGGGTACTATTCTTTTGTGTGACTCTGCCACAATTAATTTATCCATTCTACAGATGATGGGCATTTGCGGGTTTTCCACTTAAATTGGAAGGGTGAGAAACTACGGCTGACAGAGAGAAGGGCAGAGTATTCCAGGTGGGGAAATGCCCAGGGTAAGAGGCTGGAGGTGGGGTGTAGGAAAGAGTAAGCATAAACCTACATTCCACAAGGGACTGCCGTGTCAGACAATGTTCCAAGCACTGTAGGCGTACTCGCTCATTTCATCCTCACAACAGCCAGATGAGGTCGGTGCTTTTGTCTTCATTCCACTAATGAGGAAACAGAAACCTAGAGAAGTTAAGAAACATACCCAGTTTACACAATCAGTGGCAGAACCAAGATGGGAACACTTGCCCTGATGTGAAGTGGGCTTCAGAGAGGTTCGATAACTTGCCGGAGGTCACAAATCCAGAGTTGAACTTCTGAGAAAGCTTCCCTCATGCCCCTGCCTGTCACTACATGCCCCCTTTCTCCCACAGTAACCACTATCCTGACTTACAATAGCATAGGTGAGTTCTGCCAGGCTTTGAACTATAATTATACAGGGGGAACCATATGGTGTATATATACTCTTTGGTGGCCCTACATTTCAAATGTATTGTATATTACATTTGAAATATATATTGAAATATATATTGTTGAGTATACTCAATGTATATTTCAAATGTAATATACAATACAATACATATATACAATACAATACATATATACTCAACAATATATATTTCAATATATATTTCAAATGTAATATACAATACATATATACTCAACAATATATTTAGTATATTTCAAATGTAATATACATTTGAAATGTAGCTCTTTCCAAGAGGCCCACACATTCCCCTGAGCCATGAAGTGAAAAGGGGGCCAACAGTGTATGGTACCACCTCCCCCGTCAGGCACGACTCCCAGGAAGTCCTCACTCCAAAGGGAAGCCAGCAGAAAAGCCAGCCAGGCTCAAGAATTTCAACTCAACCCTGAATGGGGGTCACCTCTCTCTGAAAGGCGGTCAAGATACTTGGGGCTGTCCCTGAGGTTGGAGGTAGGCTTGGCAAAATGCCACCCTGGAGGGCCCTGAAACTCGATCACCCAAAGAACATGTGTTTGTCCTTTCCATCTCCCTGGGCTGAGAGTAGCCAACTGGGCCCAAGACCCAGCACCATCTCTATAGTCCTTTGTGATTATCTCCTCCCACTTTGGACTAAAACTGAGACAGAGGGACCCTCGCACAAGGGTCTGGGAGCCAAAGGCCTTTCCTCCCAGCCCCCAGACTGCAGATTAATGACAGGAAAAGGCCTTGGGAAAGAGCTGCAATTAGAGGGCAGGCAGGCAGTGAATTTACTCTTCCCCAACAAAGCCGACTTCCGGCCCCATGCCTGCCCTCCTGCTTGCTTTCCAGCCTCACCAGTCCCCAGGGTTTCAGGGGCGACTCTTAGCCTCCTGGTCTGCAGATCAGGCTGAGGGTTGGTGGAGAGAAGGCCACAATAGGCCCCATCGGCCTATAAATAGCAGCCCAGCCTGCCCTCCTTGGGCCCAGGCCAGCCCGATGCCCACCCTCTCTCCGTTCCCTCTTTTCCATGCAATAAGAGGAGGAAGTTATCCAGGCAGCTGCATCCTAGCCATACAAGAGGAGGAAATAAATGGAAGGTGGAGGAGAGAAGGGGAAAGAAAGGGAGAAAAAGAGGAAAGAATAGTGGGAGGGGACAACCAAGAAAGGAAGATGGAGGAGATGCAGGTGAACCAGAGTGGTCACCCTGTGGTCATGCTTCCCCTCCCCCACACCCACCTATGGCCCCCTTTTCAGCTCCCCAGGGCAACACAGAGGAGGCTTTCTGACAGAGGCTGCAGGCACCCCACCCATCAGGCCCCAATCGTGCTAGCGTCTGCTTGGCCTGACCACTGACCTAGTTTCTCATCAACTACCTTGCTGTGACTTTTAGGAATGTGTGACCCCTGACCCCCAATTGCTGACTTGGCTTTGGTCAAGACCCATCAAGAGTACTAAACTGCTACACTGCAGTCCCCAGGAGTTGGGGCCAATTATTTGTGTGTGTGTTGGTGGGGGACAGGTGATATTGCCCCTGCCCTGGGAGTTTGTCACTGGACACACACAACCCCTTTAGTAGGAAAGAGGATGTGAAACCTTCAACGTTGTGTGGGTTTGGGGCTTCAGTTCCTCAAGCCCTTATCTCGGGTGTCTGCAGTCTATCCCACTCTATCTGTCTGGCCATCTGTGAACCCTGGTTCCTGTGTGTATCTTCTGGTCTTGACTGTTTATCTTGATACAGGCTCAGCCTTAACTTCTTGTGTCGAGGGCCTGTCCCCCTTACCTGCCTTGCCCTGGTTTCTGGCTGCTACCTTGCATGTGCATGCATATATATTTAAGAAAGCTCACTAGACTGGGCTCGGTGGCTCACGCCTGTAATCCCAGCACTTTGGGAGGCTGAGGCGGCAGATCGCGAGGTCAGGAGATCAAGGCCATCCTGGCTAACATGGTGAAGCCTCGTCTCTACTGAAAATACAAAAAATTAGCCGGGCCTGGTGGCAGGCACCTGTAGTCCCAGCTACTCAGGAGGCTGAGGCAGGAGAATGGCATGAACCTGGGAGGCAGAGCTTGCAGTGAGCAGAGATCTCGCCACTGCACTCCAGCCTGGGTGACAGGGCGAGACTCCATCTCAGAAAAAAAAAAAAAAGGCAAGCTCAGCCGGGCATGGTGGCTCACACCTGTAATCCCAGCACTTTGGGAGGCCGAGGTGGGCAGATCACCTGAGGTCAGGAGTTCGAGACCAGCCTGACCAACATGGTGAAACCCCGTCTCCACTAAAAATACAAAAAATAATAATAATAAAATAAAGCTCATATCCTGAAAAACATCTCATCAACACAGACCACAAACAATAATAGGTCATGCCTAAAAGTCCAAACACTGGCAAACGTCACTATTGCCAGCTCATCACATTAGTGGCTAAGATTAAAAGCTGAGAAGAAAAAGAAAATGGTGTCTTTCTTCTACCAAATTAGCCCCAATCACGTATGTCCTAAATCTGTGGGCCCCTTCTGTGAATAAGCCTCTACTGTGCTTTTCCAGAAAGTGTCATGCCAGGTCTTGCTGGCTTCTAGTCAGATTGTCTTGCTCTTCTTGGGACACAAATTCATCAGGCTGGAGACCCCAGTGTGTTTGTTCCTATCACTGTGACTGGGGACCTGGCTCAGAGTACACCCAGGACATGGAGGCCAGAGCCACGGGTTTTGGGAGGGATTTGCTCAGTTACACACTGGGCGATGTGCTCATGGATGCTGAGGTATGTCTCTAGTAGTAGATACACATTTACTCTGACTCATGTAGTCTTTCACTCCAGGATTCTGGGGACCAAACTTGAGGAACTGGTGGAATTTCAGGCTAAGTCTGAGGCCCGATTGAGGTGTGAAGCTCTTGAGGTCAGGAACTTGGTCTGTGGCCAGGGCTGGGGTGAAGAATGGAATGAAACCAGGTAGCCCCAAGAACATCGAGGTGCGTCACCCATTAGCCTGGGGCTCCCATGGCAATGTGGCTCTGTCAGCTCTGGGCTGTGGGTATTGTGTGGTGGGGGGAGGCGAGTATGTGGGCCCTCGGGCAGCCATTTAGCCCACTGATTGCAACACCCACCCTTTTTCCAGCTCTCCCTTCAGCGCTCCAGCAGCTTCAAGGATTTTGCCAAATCCAAACCCAGCTCCCCCGTGGTGAGCGAGAAGGAGTTTAATCTGGATGATAACGTGAGTTTCAGGGCATCCTTGTGGGATCTGGCTGCAGGCCCTGGGCAGGGGGGTGGGGGTGGGAGGGAAGAGGGTGAAGAGGAGATAGAATTGTTGGGGCGAAGCCCCCTTTAACACAGAGGGTCCACCTCTCCCCACACCAAGCACTCCCCTGCATTCCTTTCAATTATACATTAAATAGCAAACTATTTATAAATTTATAGGGCTAAGGACATGGCTGGGGTTAAGAGGGGAGGGGATGGGGGCCTCTCAGTTCCACCCCCTCCAGCTTCTGCTGTGACCCCAAGGCCTCTTTTGCCTCAAGTCCCGGACCTAGGCAGGACCACCAGGGTCCCTGGATCGCCTCTTTTGTTGTCACAGATTCCAGAAGATGACTCAGGTGTCCCCACCCCAGAAGATGCTGGGAAGAGTGGCAAAAAGCTGGGGAAGAAGTGGAGGGCAGTGATTTCCCGAACCATGAACAGGAAGATGGGCAAGATGATGGTGAAGGCCCTGTCAGAAGAGATGGTGAGGCCTGCAGATATAGGGGATGGGGTGTCCAGGGGGCCTGGGGACCGCTCTGGCAGAATGTGAGCATGACCACCTCAATAGCCACTACTCAGGCCGGAAGGCCCTATTTGATGCAAGAAGGAAGGTCACATGGGAGGGGAAACTCACTTGCAGCCACGGACAGGCAGCCAGGCAATCTTGACGGGGCAGGAGGCTGGCGGGGGAAGGGGTGGAGTTTGAGAAGGGATGAAAGTCTGGGCAACAGGGCTGGACATGGTGGCTCCTGCCTATAATCCCAGCACTTTGGGAGACTGGGGCCGATCACTTGAGGTCAGGAGTTTGAGACCAGCCTGGCCAACATGGCAAAACCCCATCTCTACTAAAAATACAAAAATTAGCCAGGCGTGGTGGCACATGCCTGTAATTCCAGCTACTCAGAGACTGAGGCAGGAGAATTGCTTGAACTTAGGAGACAGAGGTTACAGTGTGCCAAGATCGTGCCACTGCACTCCAGCCTGGGCAACAGAGCAAGACTCTGTCTCAAAAAAAAAAAGAAAGAAAGAAAGAAAGAAAGAAAGAAAGAAAGAAAGAAAGAAAGAAAGAAAGAGAAAAAAAAAAAAAAGAAAAGTCTGGGCAAGGGATGCTTCTTGAGGAGGCGGGCCTGGGACAGGGGCAGCTTGAGAAAGATGAAATGGCCTGAGGCAATCCATCCACCTCAAAGCTTTGCTTTGGAACTTCCCCGGGATTGGGAAGGCCTATTTTCTCTCATAGAATCCCTATGAGAGAAAACAGATTGGGCACAGTGGCTCACACCTGTAATCCCAGCACTTTGAGAGGCCAAGGCAGGTGGATCACCTGAGGTCAGGAGTTCGAGACCAGCCTGGCCAACATGGCAAAATCCCGTCTCTACTAAAAATACCAAAACAAATTAGCCAGGCGTGGTGGCAGGTGCCTGTAATCCCAGATACTCGGGAGGCTAAGGCAGGAGAATTGCTTGAACCCGGGAGGTGGAGGTTTCAGTGAGCCAAGATCACACCACTGCACTCTGGTCTGGGTGACAAGAGCAAAACTCCGTCTCAAAAAAAAGAAAAAAAAAGAGAGAAAACAGAGAAGGCTGGCTTCAGCCCAGGGAGGAAAGTTGGCACAGGCAGCTGTGGGGCAGGCATGACCCAAGAAGCTTAAATCACACAGTGGGTTTGGGTTGCCATGGCTCTAAAAGGAGCCACTGAGGCAGTGGTGTGCTGGAGTTGGCTCGTACTGGGCTTATACCAGCTCACAAGAGCAGTTGGTCAAACTGTCAAAAATTGTGCAAGCCAGTTGTTAAACACAACCATTATTAAAAATCAAATTAAAGAAACTTACAATTCAGTTAATTATATTTTTTTAAAAAGGTAAACTGGGCATGGTGGTGTACACCTATAATCCCAGCTACTCAGGAGGACGAGGCAAGATGATTGCTTGAGCCCAGTAAGAGTCCAGCCTGGGCAACATAGGGAGACTCTGTCTCTAAATAAATAAATTTAAAAAAATAAAATTTTGTAAAAACGAACAAAGGTAATACAGTAAATCTTCAAAACTCATCACTTCCTAATTCTTGTACTACCTTTTACTCTTATCAATGCTGCTGAGGTTACGTGCATCCATAGCATCTTCATGGTGGCAATAGCCTCACCCTCATTTCAGACAACACGTCCAGTGATGTCAAAATGGTAGCTTGACATTGGCCGTGGAGGGGAGTGTTTACAACACAGGAATTGGCAACTCATCAGGGCCAGCTGTTAAACAGTTATCACCTCACTGAGGTGTGGTGAGGTAGGGGGAGCTCTGGAGTCTGGCTTGGTTGTGGGTTGCCTTGGGACTTGAACCTGAATTCCCTTGGCCTGAGTTTACAGATGAGGAGTAAGTAACCCTTGGGCCTTACTCCTCATTTGTAAACTCAGGCCAACAATACCACTTACCTTCAAGTGTCACTGTAAGGATTCAGTGAAATGGCAGGCAGGCCTGGCACACAGAAACACAGGCAAAAGTAGTTTCCTCTCTAGCGACATTGTCTGCCCAGTTGTGCGGTAGCAATGGTTGAGTCCAGGTTGTGCCACCGTGGTCTTTTCTGTATGTACATCGGCACTTGAGGCTGACAAAAGCACATCCACATGGTGCCCTGGTTGAACCTGTTTCTGTGAGGTAACCAGGGCAAGGACTGTCACTCTCATTTTTACAAAAGGGGAAGAAACTAGGGCTCAGAGAGTGCCATTCAGCCTATAAGTGGTAGAGTTGGGGTTTGAGCCAGCCCCTAGCTCTTCACTAAGCCCAGGCCCATTTCTTCAGCTTCATGCACACCCCAGCAAGGCTCCTTAAAGCTTCCCGCCTACCCTCCCTGCAGGCAGACACTCTGGAGGAGGGCTCTGCCTCCCCGACATCTCCAGACTACAGCCTGGACAGCCCTGGCCCTGAGAAGATGGCGCTGGCCTTTTCTGAGCAAGAGGAGCATGAACTTCCGGTGCTCAGCCGCCAGGCATCAACAGGTGAGTAGGGGATGCGGGGGACACCTGCCGAATCTGGAGGAAAGGACTGGGTTACAGCCGTGCTGGTGGCACACTGTCTGGGCGGGGGGTAAGAGAAATGAATGCTTACTCTTTGCCTGCTGGGAACATTCTCAGTCCTCTTCACATTAAATCTTCTCAACAACCTCATGGGGCCAGTACTGTTATCCTTGCTTTATTGATGTGGAAACAGGGTCTTAGGGAGGTTAAGTGACTTGCCCAAGATGACCCAGTCTTGAACTCAGATGTACCGTAGAGGAACTTCCACTTGCTATCCTCAGGCCCCGGAGAGGCCCACGGGCAGAGGAAGAGTCTCAGTCACCCTCTTGGACCAGCCCGTCCCCACCTTTCCAAGGGGAGCTAGAGGCTACAGATCCCTGGGCCTCTGATGCCCCAGTCGGGGGTGGGCGTATGAGGTCTCCAGCTGTGAAGAGTCAGCCTCTTGACCCTAGACCATAGTTGCTGGGCTCAGGGCATCACCTGGCATCTTCTAGAAGTCCATGGGACAGGACAAGAGGTGCCAGCAGGGAACTCGTCCAGGCAGGGGCTTTGGGTTCTGCAGCCCCATTCAGCACCGCCTTTCTTGCCCCTCAAGTCCACTCCAAGTTTCCTGCTTTCTCTGCCTCCACAGACACTTCCCTGCCCCCGACTGAAAATCATTCAAAATGCCCACTACTCTGTACTTCCCAGGGAGAAGGAGCCCAACTGAGTTTCTATGTGACATTGTAACTACACATTGAGTTAAGCAGGGAAAGTCAAATATGAATGCAGGGCATAGCTTCCTGGGTGGAGGGAGCGTTGGAGTGGGTATCAGGGAACATGGAGTCTAATGGACTGACTCAGTGCTGCCAGTTATAAAATGAGAAGCCTTGAGCAGTTCACTTGGTCTGTGTGACCTCAGATTTCCGCATCTGTTCATTGGAGTGTTGGCCCAGTTGTTCTCTAGAGGCCCTCCTAATTTGCCCATTCTTTGGTCAGTGAGCCATTTCTCCTCCCATTGCCAACTCTTTTCATGTCCAAGGGCCCAGAGGTGAAGCCGTGCTCCTGGTCGGTAGCCAAGGGGGTGGTTCAGAATCCCTTCTGCAGTGTAAAGCTTGCCAGAGCCCAGCTGCCTTCCCGGTGTATACCCTTGGGATTTCTAGGCAGGTCCCCTGGAAGGCACCTGCTAGGCACTGTCTCAGCTGTTCTAGGACAAAGGTGAGCCTCCTCCCTGCCCCATCTCCTGCAGGCAGTGAGCTCTGCAGCCCCAGCCCAGGTTCTGGCAGCTTCGGGGAGGAACCACCTGCCCCCCAGTACACAGGGCCTTTCTGTGGCCGGGCACGAGTCCACACCGACTTCACTCCCAGCCCCTATGACCACGACTCGCTGAAACTGCAGGTAAGATCAGCATCCGGGCTTCTCTGGAGCCTGGCAGGCTGTGCCCAAAAAGGAAGCTGGACTGAACCAGGCTATGACAGTGTCAGTGGAGGCCAAGGCCCCCCATATCCTCTCTCCCTTGCTCCCTTCTCCTCTCCTCTCCCCCAACAGAAAGGAGATGTGATCCAGATCATTGAAAAGCCACCTGTGGGCACGTGGCTGGGCCTACTCAATGGCAAGGTGGGCTCTTTCAAATTCATCTATGTGGATGTGCTGCCCGAGGAGGCCGTGGGGCATGCCCGCCCCAGCCGCCGACAGAGCAAGGGCAAGAGGCCCAAGCCTAAGACCCTGCATGAGCTGCTGGAGCGCATCGGCCTGGAGGTTTGAGCTTGGTCCTCACTAGTATCTAGTATCAGGGAGGCACAACTGCCCCAGGGATGGGGACCAGGAAATGACAGCTATGCGTAGTTGGGGAGGACCTAGGCAGGGGTGGCTGGTAAGCAGCTGTGCCGATGGCCTGCCTCTGCCTACAGGAGCACACATCCACCCTCCTGCTCAATGGCTACCAGACACTGGAAGACTTCAAAGAGCTGCGAGAAACACACCTCAATGAGCTGAACATCATGGATCCACAGCACCGGGCCAAGCTGCTCACGGCCGCCGAGCTGCTGCTGGACTATGACAGTGAGTGGCTTTAGGAGCGGCCTGGTGAGGGTGTGTGCCCACCGGCATTCCAGGGAGGGGAGGCTTGCCCTGGCCTTGCCTTCTGTCCACGCTCTGCCCTAGGACTGCTCTGCAGTGGAAAGGTACTTTCCACTTGAATTAGAATTTCAGGGAAAGTGTACGGGAGAAAGGAGTTGTAGGGATGATTGGGCCCAACCTCCTTTGGATCAAAGGGGACCCTTAAGGCCAAAGAAGGCAAAGCCTTACTTGAGGCCTCAAAGCTGAGTAATAACAGAGCCAGGATTCAAGCCCACTGCCTGGCTCCAGCTTAGTGCTAAAGAAGTGTGAGCTCCTGGACTGCAGAGCTGGCCTGGAAACAACTCCTACCAGCTTCTAAGCTGGAAGCAGTGAGGAGAGGGGCAGGGCGGTGGCAGGTGCCCAGAAGGAGAGACTGCCTATGGTGTATTTCCCAAGGTCCCTACCTCCACCCCCATATTCTGTCTCCCTCTCTCGTCCCTGGCAGCTGGCAGTGAGGAGGCTGAAGAGGGCGCCGAGAGCAGCCAGGAGCCAGTGGCACACACAGTGTCGGAACCCAAGGTGGACATCCCGCGCGACTCAGGCTGCTTTGAGGGCTCGGAGAGCGGGCGCGATGACGCAGAGCTGGCAGGCACTGAGGAGCAGCTGCAAGGCCTCTCCCTGGCCGGGGCACCTTGAGGTGGCGGTGGCAATAGGCCAAGGCTGGGACCCAGCTGCAAAGGCTGTAGGAGTGGGCCCAGCCTCCCGTGGTGGCCCAGGTCCTGAGGACTGGCACTGAGCCTGGCCCTGCTTCCCCAGGGACACTTAGGGCCACAGAGGCCAGGCCAGGGCCCTACAGGTTCCAGGCTCAGCTGGAGTGGTTGGGGAGTCGCCCAAGGGCACATCCCACCTGCCTGAGCCCCGCCCTCCACCAGCGACTGACAGCGCAGCCCCTCCTGGCACCAACTGCTCCCCTGCCATGGCCACGGCCACAGCAAGTGGGGCACTGGGAAACCCTGCCCATGTCCCTCACCAACAAGGCCTCCAAATCCTCCTCACCCCCACACCACCTACCCCTGTCGCACTGCTCCTGAAAAGGGGGCCAAGTCAATGTTTCAGGTCAGTCTAAAAACCCTAGGGAAGCTGGCCATTTAAAAGAACCCAAACTGACCATGGGTAAATCCAGTTCCCCTAAATAAGGCCTGAAGAAATCCACAGGTACCATTCCCACTTTCCTTCTCCCTAGCTTTCTTAGAGGTTTGGCCACTAAATCTTATGAGACTTGAACCAAGTGGCTTCCTCTTTCTAGGCTTAGGACGGGTTGGGGTTAGAAAGGGTGATCACTGAAGGCCTTGCCTGCTCTGACATTCTGTGACATTAAATGTCTATTCTCCTGTTACCTGTGGCCTGGGACACCAGTGGGGTTTATCGAGGGGACCAGAGGGGCCTCAGGCTTTCAGATGAAATGGCTCCTCCTACTCACCCACTTTATTCCTCTCCATGTAATTCAGGACAAGCTGCAACTTCCCCCAGCTTAACACAATGCCCATACCTCATACGATATGCGCCCTCCCGTTCCATCCCTGGCCCCCTCAAACGAGACTTCTCACAAGGCTGATTACAGATGGTCAAACCTGGCTTCCAAGGACAGAATTGCCTCTCGGAAGCCAGCTGTGGATCTGAGTCCAGAGTTGGCCACTTGTGTGGGTCCTCACAAGCAAAGAGAGCACTAAACTTGACATTGGGGGTCCACCACTCCAACTTTGCTTTCTGAAGGTTTTGGTGTACATTGAGCCCCAGAAGGAAAGGAGAGTATCTGTGAGTGGGGGCCTCCCTTGACCCCAGTACGAAGTCTATGCCCTGAATCCCCAGAGTAGCCCTTCCTGGTGCCCAACTGGCCTGGGGACAAACAGCGTCCACTACATCTAGGACTGCCGGCTAAGTGGACACACTTCTTGACCTCCTACCAGGAACTTTGGTAAAAGCTAGCTTTGGGGAAGGGGTTGGGTGTAAATATGAGAGGGTGGAGGGAGACCAGCTGGTAGCAATAAACATGGGTAGAACTAAATTACCGTCTCCAGTTATCTTTTCTATGGAGAGAGTGTTGTGGGGAGGGGCAGACCGGTCTCCTTCAAAGCTGGCCTCAGCAAAGTGTCCCTCACTGTCCTTTCAGGTCCATCTTTCCCTTCCCTTAAATGTTCAGTGCCCTTGACTCTGCTGACCTAAAGCTCCAGTCTGAAGCCCTAGCTGGCTCTGCCCTCCCCTCTAACCAGCCCTCCTCAGAACAAGGCTCAAGCTCCCATGACCACGGGCTTTGCTGGGGTCCAAGAGGTGTAGGGGGGAATGGCTATTTCCCTCATCCAATAACTGTTCATTTTAACAGGGCCCTTAAAGACCTTCACCCGTGTGAAGAAAGGCCTGCACTGAGGAGCTGTCCAGGATCTAAGAGGGGGAGATTTGGGGTCAGCATGGCCTTTCCTCTGAAGTCACCTTTTCCTGGCCCCCACCCTGTACCCACTAAAGCAGTGCCATCTCCTGGGAGGTAGGATGGAGATGAAGACCTCTAGCTTCCTTTCTGTTTCTGCCAGAATTAACTGCATTGGGCATTGGGAAGGGGGTTACTGGAGAGAGAGCTGCCACCAGAGTGAGGACGAGGCCACTTGACTTCCAGGCCTTGTTCTCAGTTGCATTCATCCCACCACCCTTAGTGACTGGGGGTGCCAGGAAACTGCAAGCATGATCCTCACCAAAGATATAAGAGCCCTAACAGCCTCAAAGCCCCAAGGGTACTGAATAATTGCAGTCATTTAAGGAGCACCTCCACTTGTGCCAGGCACTGAGCACTTTACATATAGCATCTCCTGTAATCCTCACAGTGTCCCCCTGAGGTGGGTGCCCTCATCATCCCAGTTTACAGAGGAGGAAACTGAGGGTTGGGGAGGTTGAAGAAGTTGACTAGAAAGTAACAGAGCAGGAGTCTTCCTGACTGCAGAACCCATGTTCTTAACTCCTATGCTACAATGCTTCTCCAAAGGCCTCATCCAACAAGCATTCAAAAGTCCTGGGCACTTTGGAGGGCAAGCTGACTCTCTGACCCAGCCATTTCCCTTCTAGAATTTAATCAGCCACATAAGTGCAGAAACAGCCACATAAGTGCACAAATACCTATGGACAAAGATATCTACAACAGCTCTGTCTGTAATAGTAAAAAATTGAAAACAATGCAAATGGGGAATTAAATGCTTTATGGTTTGTTCATATACCACGCAGCCATGACACATGATGTTGTAGAAAAATATTTAATAACATGAGGAAAATCTTTGTGTTTTTTTATTCTTTGATTCTATTTATTTTTCTAGAGACAGGGTTTCGCTCTGTTGCCCAGGCTGGAGTGATGTGGCACAATCATAGCTCACTGCAGCCTCGAATTCCCAGGTTCAGGTGATCCTCCCACCTCAGTTTCCTGAGTTAGCTGGGACTAGAGGCATGCGCCACCACACCCAGCTAATTTTTGTTTAGTTTTTGTAGAGATGAAGTGTAGTTATGTTGCCCAGTTGCCCAGGCTGGTCTCAAACTCCTGGGCTCAAGCAATCCGCCCGCCTCAGCCTCCCAAAGTGCTGGGATTACAGGCGTGAGCTACCACACCCAGCCTTCAATTTCAAATTTGAAAATTACACAAATAATGTATAAACATTTTAGTTGTAAAATAAATTTGTGTTATAGCAAGGGGAAAAGCAAATCCTAAAACATTATTAATAGGATGATTCCATTTTTATTTTAGAAAAGGAGAACATATACATAGAATAAAGACTATGAAGATCTGCACCAAATGACTACTACTGGTGATCTTGTGAGGCGTGTGGGGTGGGACTAGGGGAGTGAGGGAGAAAAATGCTCACTTTCTACATTCTTCTTTTATTTGCACTTCAAAAGTATTATTTTTATATCTATGAAGAAAAGGAAACTGCATTTCAATTTTTGAAAAAAAAAATAAAACTAAATTAACAAATAAATAGGGCCCACGCCTCTGGCCTCCAATACGGGACAGTAGCAGCAAAATCATTATCCTGCTGCCTTTTGGTACACGGTTCTGGAAAGATGAGAGGTGAATAATGGCCAAAGTGCTTAAAATCCATGCATGCCAGGGTGCACCTATCAGAGGAGATTCCTAAACCTTTTAAAACCCCTGTGTAATAGGTATTGCTCTAAGCTGGGGAAAGGAAAAGATCAGAAGGAGATGAATGCCTGGGAACATGATGTTTGGAAATCCTCTCCTACCCTGGGGAGGCAGCTCAGGGGTGGTGTGTCTCAGATATCAGGCCCAGTTTGGCATATAGGATGATTACAGGCTGGAGGTAGGTAGCTGTGCAAGGACCCCAAGGATCACAGTAGTTTGGGAGGGGCAGGTAAGGCGGGGCATCAAGGGAATGTAGAACAGGCCAGGGCCCAAGGGGCAAGAAAGGCAGTGCTGAGGAGGGCCACAGGGCCCAAAGCTCCTCCTCCAGGCAGGGCTGCTGACACCTATTGTCCTGCCCCATGTACTTCTAGAAGATGCCAAGTGGTGCCCTGAATCCAGCAACCAAGGTCTAGGGTGCAAAGAGCTGATTCTTCACAGCTGGAGACCTTACACGCCCACCCCAGCCTGGGATGTCAGCAGCCCAGAGAGCTGTAGCCTCTAGCTGACTCCCCTTCGAAGGGTGGGGACAGGCTGGTCTAAAAGGGTGATGAGGCAAGCTCTTCTTCTGCCCGTGGGCCTCTCCAGGGCCTGGGGAGAGCAAGCAGAAGCTTCTCTAGGGTAGTTGAGGCCTAGCACTTAGGAGCTCAGGCCCACCTGAGTTCAAGTCTTGGCTGTGTCACTTCCTAGCTGGGTCACCTTAGACAAGTCATTTAACCTCCTTGAGCCTCCGTTTCCACGACAATAATGTAGGAATACTAGCACTAGCCCCATGGGGCTGTTATGAAGATTTAATGTACTAGCATAAAGTCCTTTGCACAGTGTCCAGCACAAAATAAATGCTCAAGGAGTGATAGTGTGTCTGGCTGCCTCGATTTGCTCCATCCTGCTACCTCCATTTCACTCCTTTCAAGGCCCATCTGACCTTTGACTCCCAGTTAGTATAGTGAAGTGACCAAAAGCAAAAGGCCTTGGAGTTCAAATAAAGTGTTTTCAAACTCTTGCTACACCACTTACTAGTTATATGACATTGGGTAAAGTACATACATATACATTTCTTTTCTGTGGAACAGGAATAATGATCTAATAATACCTACCTCTTGGGGGTCATGAGAGAAATCAATCAGATAACTCGTACAAAGTTCCTGGCACATAGGACATTAAATGGCGGCTATTCGACTTTTTTGTAAACTCCAAGGCACTGAGCTCAAGACTGGGCACAAAGGCCATGTCGGTACATGCTTGTCTGAGGACTGACTGATGTTCAGACCTGTCATATCCCAGACACCACTGATGTCCAGGTCCCCAGGAGGTGTTGGGATTCAGGGGTAAAGGGTGCCAACTCTGGTACCCAGAGAGGCTGGTGATGAAAGAAAACCCACTTGAGGAGCCTGGGGCAGCCCTGGCTCTGCCCAGTCCACAGCAAGTTGATCAGCCCTGGGCATTAGACTTACTTTAGGCAACTCTCTTGGACTTCCAGGAGCTGCTAGAAAGAAGAGAATAAAGACCAGATTTCAGAAGAAAGAGTTGAGTCTAGCCAGCTCCTCACCAGTTCAGAGTTAGAGCCACCTTCTGTGTCTCCTTCCTATCAGGAGAAGCAGCTGGAGGCACCAGCACAGCCCAACTGAACCATGTCCTCTCTCACTTGCTTCCTCTGTATCTCACAACCTGACCTTAGACTACCCCAGCAGGTTCTGATCCGCCCCCCAAAGGCCTCTGCAAATTCCCTCTCCTAAACCCCAAACCCTATGGCACTGTGATCTGATACATGGCACTGAGGCCCCAGCCCCTATGAGTCAGTTTCTCATTTCCTACTCACAGAGCTCCCCGCCCACAGTTGGGCCATGAGAGACCTAGGCATTAAAACAAAGGCTAAACGAGGTGTTTTACGGGAAAAATAGGCACTGATCACCATCGTCTCAACAAGGCCCAACAAGGCCCTTCCCCCCTCCCAAGTCAGGAAATTCAGGATGAGGTATGAGGTTTCCCACTGGGGAAAAGAAGTGGCTCTCCCACCTCTCCTTCACAATAGAGGCTACCATAGCTTCTCACACAACATTGGCCATATTACATATTATTCAGCCAACAACACAATCAAGTGGGAAGGAACTGCCTCCCCTCTAGACTCAGCCAAGACTCCTCCTCCAGGAAGGACCTAAATAAATGGAATTCTATAGCACTTGATATGTAGGCTTCACCTTTTCCTATAACTTCACAGTAACCAATATAGCATTTGTATACCATTGCCTCTGGGACCTGCCAGGGATAGCGTCAGAAAGAGCCCAGAGCAATGGCCCTCACAAAGGGACAGCCAACTTGACTGTGGGAACTTAGCAAGGCAATTTCCTGACTTTCTGTGCTAAAGAAACCACATCATCAGTTCAACCTAAATGCAGGGGTCTGGAGAGAGACTTAAGAGAGTTAAGTTGAAAACAAAAATCCAACAACCAGCCTCATATCAGCCCGACTATATATAAGTCCTCTGTATGCCTAAAATGGAGAGCTTATCAGTAATATTCATCCCAAATGGCAAATAATCCTAAAAATCATTGCTGTTTCTCAACTTACGAGGGTTGGTACTGCAATTTCTCCTAAAGTTAACCCTAGCATGCAGTCAATCTTCAACAAGTATTTATTGAATGTTAAATAAATGAAAGCTTCATTTCATTCAAGTGTCATTTGCAGTTATTCTAACTCTTTTATCCATCTACACCTGCTTGACAGAGGACCAGTCGGTTATGCCAGAAAGCTCTCTAGACTGGGAGCCAGTACATCTGGGTTCTGGTCTTGGCTCTGACAGTAACTCTCTATGTGACCCTAAGTTACAGTATTTAATTTGAGGGAGAAAGAGAGAGAGAGAGAGAAGCATAGACTACATGATCAATATGTTCCTTTAAGCTATGTCGTTCAACAGAATCTGTGTTTTATGACGAATAATCATCATGTCTCGTATTTGGGCAGAAAACCCCAACCCTTTTAACCAAGTTGGAACAGCTAAACAGCTGGAGATGGGCAGGGGCTGGCAGAAAAAGCAGTGAGAAGGCAAGTGGGGGAGTGAAGAAAGTGAAGGGCTTGGAATGTCAGGGAGGTAATTCTACTCTAGATTCTAAAGTTGTAAAGCCACTTCTAAATCAAGGGCCCCTTCATTTCCTGGCCCGTGGTGAAGTGTGAGCTCTAAGTTCTAATTTATTAATCAATCAGAAAACCCCTTAATGCCTGAAGAAAAATAGACAAAAGATTAGGACAGACAATTTACAGAAGAAATACAAATGGTAATAAACATAAGGCAGAGGAGAGGTGCAGAAAGTGTTTAACTTCACTATTAATCAAATAAATATAAACTAACACTGAGATATAAGTTTACAACTATCAAATTACCATAGGTTTAGGTCGGGCACGGTGGCTCACGCCTGTAATCCCAGCACTTTGGGAGGCCGAGGCGGGCAGATCACTTGAAGTCAGGAGTTGGAGACCAGCCTGGCTGACATGGCAAAACCCCGTCTCCAATAAAAATATAAAAATTAGCCAGGTGTGGTGGCGCACACCTGTAGTCCCAGCTAATGAGGAGGCTGAGGCAGGAGAATCACTTGAACCCGGGAGGGAGAGAATGCAGTGAGCCAAGATCGTGCCACTGCACTCCAGCCTGGATGACAAAGCGAGACTCTGTCTCAAAAAAGCTAAAATAAAAATTCGAAAGGTTTAAATGACATGGGTTGATTAGAGTCTTCTCTGATACACTGCTGGCAAAACAAACAGGGACGGCCTTTCAATAAAGCAATTTGGCCACATTTATCAAGAGCCTTTAAAAGAGCATTCCCTTTGACTCAATAATTCCACTTCTAGGAATCTATCCTAAAGAAATACTCACAGACACACCCATATTTAAGGAAGTTCATCACAGCATTATTTGTAATAATGAAAAATTAGAAACTCTTAAATGCCTGACATGTACACATTACAAAGTCATTAAGAAGTATTTTTGAGCCAGGCGCGGTGGCTCACGCCTGTAATCCCAGCACTTTGGGAGTCCGAGGCAGGTGGATCATGAGGTCAGGAGATCGAGACCATCCTGGCTAACACAGTGAAACCCCATCTCTACTAAAAATACAAAAAATTAGCCGGGCGTGGTGGCAGGCGCCTGTAGTCCCAGCTACTCGGGAGGCTGAGGCAGGAGAATGGCATAAACCCGGGAGGCGGAGCTTGCGGTGAGCCGAGATCGCACCACTGCACTCCAGCCTGGGCGACAGAGCAAGACTCCGTCTCCAAAAAAAAAAAAAAAGAAGTATTTTCGGCTCGGAGTAGTGGCTCATGCCTGTAATCCCAACACTTTGGGATGCCGAGGCAAGTGGATTGCTTGAAGTGCGGAGTTTGAGACCAGCCTGGCAAAATGGCGAAACCCAGTCTCTACAAAAAAATACAAAAAATTAGCCAACTTTGGTGGCATGTGCCTGTAGACCCAGCTACTTGGGAGGCTGAGGCAGGAGGACTGCTTGAGCCTGGGAGGCGGATGTTGCAGTGGGCTGAAATCACGCCACTGCACTTCAGCATGGGTGACAGAGTGAAACCCTGTCTCCAAAAAAAAAAAAAAAAGTATTTTCAAATAATTTCTAATGATATGGAAAATACTAAGTTAAAAAAGCAGGTTTACAAAACTACATTTATAGTCTAATTCCAGTTATGTTTAAAAAAAACATGTGCACAGAAAAAAAGACTACCAAGAAATGCACCAAAACATTAATTAATGGTGATTATTACATCTTGGTGATGAGGTTATGGGTGATTTTTTCAAATCTTACTATTCTGTACTTCTCCAATTTTCAAAAATGAGCTTTAAATTTTTAAAAAAGCACATTAAGGGTGTGAGGGGAGGAGGATGTTTATTTTCTCTCCAAGCTTTCCAAATATTAAGGGTTAGAAAGGGACCCTTGAGATAATCTAGTCCAGTGGTCCTCAAAACTAGCAGCCCTAGCACTCCCTTGGTATATGTCATATTTTGAATGCATCTTTTGCCACCCTGAAATGAACTTTATAGTTAATATGACCTGCTTATGTACATAATTTCAAGAATAGTAATATAATATACTAATTAGACTATAAAATCACTGTGCAAGCAATCTCTATAAATGAAGACTCATACAAGTATGTTATATTGGCAACTTAAATACCCATGAATGGCACTGTCGTCAGTGACATGATTTTCAAAAGTTGTGAGCAACTCTTAGTAAAGTTTTGAACAAAATAAAATATCCTCTTCCGCCAATGTACACAGTTGTTGCATTCCTGGAAATTCAGTGTATATATTAAAACTGTAAAAACATTTTGTGTTCATTTGTAAAATAATTAGGTCTAGCTAATTATACCAGGTTTTTCCACCTACATTAACGTACAGAACATTGAAAGTTTTACTGATGTAGATTTGCAGTTCCCATTGCCCTTTCATATTAATCCCAAATATAAAGTTTATAATGATTCTTTTTTCTGTGAGCTGGGCTTGCATCCTTTAAAACAAATGATATTCAGAGTTGTAGCCTTTGACACTGTTTCTAAAGCCTATCACCAAGAACAGCAAGAGATTCCTAGAATGTATTCTCCAAACTGACACAAATGCTTTTTGAATTACTGGGAACATGACTCTTCTTTAGTAGCACCAAGGCATGAGAACGAATTATCATTTTTTTAAAACCATTTACTGTGCTCCCTTGGTGATTTCCCCTGGCCTGGCCCCAACTCAGGAGTATAAAATGAACTGAGCTGGAAGAAAAGGACTAACAGGGCCAGGCCATGGGGAGAGGGGAGGGGGCTGGGTTGCTAGGTTACTACTAGAGCCAATCCAAGTGGTCCCAGAGGGGTACCAGATACAGGACAGGTCCTTCTCTCTGCCCCCACTAAGTTGAGGGCCCTCTCAGAGGAAGGGGGTCAAAAGGTGGGGGAGGGAGTCCAATCACTCACACTAGGCACAAGTAAAGAAATGAGGCAGAAGCACAAAGAAACAGACAGCCCTGTATTTCTAAAACCATTCAAGGCTCCTTCATTAATTGGCTTCCCCCCAAAAGAAAGATTTCTTTATTAAGAAATACCAGAGAGTGAAAAACCCCCAACACATACACATTTGTAGGCTCACACAAAAGTGCAGAGATTTACATATTAAATTGCATTTAAATTAGAAAATAGATTTAAAAACAAAATACTTTTTTTCTCCAACAAAGTAAAGAGATTTGGTCAGTAGGAACGGGTGCTTTATGGGTAAAGGCAGGATGGTCAGGACAGGGAGAATGGAATTTAGCTGCTACGGAATCAGAATCCACCTCTAACCCAACCTCACTCCTGGGGTAAAAGCAAAGGAGGAGATGATGATCTCAGCTAGGGCCAGGAAGGCCTCAGAGCTGAATGGACATGAAGAAATGGCTCACCACAGCCAATTTCCACCTGCCCCCAGAGGTTTGGGATCAGTGCCAACCATCCTGGCCTGGGAAAGTAGGGTGCATAGGAAGCTTGAGGAAGAAGGAGGAAGGGGAGAGTTGGAGACAGTGTCAGCCATTGAAAAGACCAAACAATTTAAGGCCCTTTTCCCCTGGGAACATTGATTCTTTAATCTCCCCTCTGATCAGATAGGGACAGTCCCAGCTGGTGCATGGTATGAATGGGACAGATCTTCAGGCCAACATCTTAAACATGGAAGATTTATTAAGGAAAAGAAAGAGGGCAGGGAGTATGAAAAAGCAGAAAATCATTTCACACTAGAGATAAGAGATTTCCACTTTGACCCTTCCCATCAGAAAGAGAAAGCTTCTCTGTCTGACCTAAGGGTCCTCAGGAGAACACTTGAGGTAAGGTGAGGGAGGAGAGAGAGCCATCTGAGCCCAGGAGAGGAGATGGGCTGAGTACTTATTAAAATGGGGTTCATATGAGTGCCAAGTTACCTGGGGAAACCTAACAACTTACAAATTCTCCAGGTTTGGCTTTATAACTTCAAGAAAAAAAACTGAGAGAACCAGAAAAAGAAGCAGACAGGAGAGGGATCTGAGTCAGTCTCTCCCCATCTCTCTTCCAATCTCTCTCTCTCTCTCTCTCTCAAGAATGCTCAACTTAAATCCTGTTAAAAGGAAAAAGGAAGACATGGAAAAAGGTCTGGGAGCAGCCAAATTTCATTAATTCCAATTAACTGGGAAGTATGAGATGGGAATTGATAGGGAGTCTTGATTATACACCACCTAGAAAGAAATATATACCATCACTTGTAAAAGACCACTGATCAAATATTTCCAAGGGGGGGCCCTGATGAGCCTGCGTTAATAACTAAGACTTATTAGCAATTAACGGCATCCATCTGCTTCAAAACAATATCCTAATATAGAGCTTGTTCTCTTAAGTAAATATAATCCCTCTACCTTCCTGATCCTGTTCACACTATATCTCCTTGAAAGTCCTTTCTTCATAGTCCAGAATAAGAAAACCTTCAGCCCAGAATGTAGTATAGATCAATGGAGAGTTTGGAACTACCTCTCCAACCCAAGGGTGCCCTGGTTAATGGAAGTTTGGGGAGTAACAAGCAACCCCTTCCAACCCCCACCCCCACCCTACACACAAACATATTCTTGAAATGGAAGGGGGAAGGAGGAGGCAGGAAGTTTGCATTAGACACAGTTTAATCGCCTTCAAATAGATGAAAAGTTCTGGTTTACACTCCCCCACCGCATAAGTCATCCAGACAGGACCCTGGCTTAGAAAGAGGAAAACACAGGTGCTCTAGGAAATATAGCCACATATAATACATAAATCTTCTTCCCTGAAATAGAGCAGGTCCTGAGCAGAGCTGACTGGGGGCCACAGCCCACCCCCAGGGTGAAGTGGCTCTGGGACTCTGCCGGTGGAAGTGCTGGAAGAGCGGGGCTTGGAGGAAGCCCCCAGTGTGGTTACCATAGCCAGAGGTGGGCCGAGGCCTTAGGGTGAGTTACCCGAGAGGGCAGCAGTGCTGGGCTTTCCCTCACTCAGCCGAGGCTTAATGGAAGAACTGGTTAGCATTTTTTTTTTTTTGAGGGTACATCGGGGGAGAGGAGAGGAGAGGAGAGCCTCTCTGTGCCTTGGTTTCCCATTTGTGCATTCAGGGCCTCTGCAGGCCTCACACAGGGAGTCTGAGGGGATAGTGTTTAAGTGAGCACTCAGGCTTCCTCTGAGGAAAAGAAATGACCAAAGTGCAGACTTTTATTACTGCCATTCCTGCTCCTAATGGGAGCAGGAGTCAAAAGGAAAAACAAATTAAAAGGGGCTAATGAGAAAGGAGGAGAGATGAGACAGAGAGTGTGAAGGGCTATGCCGCTGGCATCTCATAAATTCTTATTGAGAATGGCACAGGTATTAAAAAAGTTTCTGGGTAGTCTACGAGAAATGTCAATTATTATCTCTACTACAACTACTTACATATATCTAATGGGAAAAGAGTGGGGCTTAGGTGTCAGAGTGGATGGGAGACAAAGGAGAAGCTACACTAATAAATACAACAAGTGGAAGGTACCTGTCCCATTCCTAAAAGGATTTGTGGGCAATGCTGGCACTTGGTGGCCAGGAGAATCTTCTGACCCCACTCTCCCTCCTCTTCAGTCCTGAAGACCCCAAGAACCCAGTTAGGATCCCCTGGCCAGAGGTCTCTGTGACTGCCTCTGGACTCAGCACGTGCAGCAGCTTGGGAGGATTTGAGCCAGTCTCAAAAACTTTTAGCCCCAGAATGAGACCAGTGACCCCAAGCAGGAGGGCTGGGATCTGGAGGGAAGAGAGGGGGTCCAAGGGGACCCTGTGGCTGAGGCCATGGAGAACCAGTGCCAGGGCCCAAGAGACCCATTTTTCCAGTTATCAGAGGTGACTGACATCTTCTGCCACTGCCTTGAGTTCAGAAATTTAAAAAAGCTTGCAGCAAGAAAATGCCAGTGTGCAACTGGGTGACTAAAGACCAAAGAAAAACAGTTAAAAGGGACAGCTTACTTGCTCTCTGTCTCAGGTTTAACTTCTCACCTGAAATCTCTCATAGCCCTAATTAAACACAAACAAAAGTCTCTTCCATAGATAGGCTACTTCTCAGCTTCAGCTGCCTCCTGTGGTGGCTCTGGGGGCTCTGGAGGTGGCATCTCTTCGGGAGTGCTGCTGTCCTCCGGCATCTCATTTGAGTTCAGGTGTTCTGTGGGGGCCTGAGAAGGAAAAGATATGAGATTCAACACAAAGCTGTTCCTCAAAATCCAAATGCAGATAAACCTTAGACACTGAACTCTTCCTCTCAGCCCCCTGATCACACTGATGCTACAGATATGCAGCCACCAACACCAAACTCAGAACCAACACCAAGCTATCGTCTTCTCGGCAGAACACAACTGAAGTTTATTTGAGTTTGATCCTTAACTGTTGGTTGGGGACAGATTTTTCTATTATTATTAATAGTCATAATAATAGGAATCACAAATAATTACACAGGTCCTCCCCACTTCAGAACAAATGTCATAACATACTTATGTAACAAGGCCTGACCCAATGGTCCTCAATCGTGTTTCTGCCCGAACACACAGCTCATTAGAATAGTGATTCTGAACCAAAGAAGGCCAAGTGTCCAAATTTTCAGCTGGTCATATGTGGTTTGAAAATGTCCCCAAGTGATTCTAAAATACCACCCTTCTCCACTTTGAACCAAGAATAACTAACCTAGATTGTTACAATTTGAGTCCAGACTCATTTAAAAAATAATATTAAAAATGACAACAATAATATATAAACACGGGTTGCTGTACTTTAAAAGGAAATTCAAAATTTAGGAAAGGCAAAGTAGAGAACTATTATCTACCTTATAAAAAGAATTCACTTAAAAGTATGATTCTGGCCGGGCGCGGTGGCTCACGCCTGTAATCCCAGCACTTTGGGAGGCCGAGGCGGGTGGATCATGAGGTCAGGAGATCGAGACCATCCTGGCTAACAAGGTGAAACCCCGTCTCTACTAAAAATACAAAACATTAGCCGGGCGCGGTGGCGGGCGCCTGTAGTCCCAGCTACTCGGGAGGCTGAGGCAGGAGAATGGCGTGAACCCGGGAAGCGGAGCTTGCAGTGAGCCGAGATTGCGCCACTGCAGTCCGCAGTCCGGCCTGGGCGACAGAGCGAGACTCCGTCTCAGAAAAAAAAAAAAAAAAAAAAAGTATGATTCTATTTTAAAACAAAGTTCAAACTACTAAAAATCTATTAGAACTAATGAACAAGGGCCGAGTACGGTGGCTCGTGCCTATAATTCCAGCACTTTGGGAGGCCGAGGAGGGTAGATCACTTGAGGTCAGGAGTTTGAGACCAGCCTGGCCAACATGGCAAAACCCGGTCTCTACTAAAAACACAAAAATTAGCCGGTGTGGTGGTGGGCACCTGTAATCCCAGCTACTTGGGAGGCTGAGGCAGAAGAATCACTTGAACCCAGGAGGTGGAGGTTGCAGTGAGCCAAGATGGCGCTGCCGCACTCCAGCCTGGGCAACAGAGCGAAACTCCATCTCATAAAATAAAAACAAAAACAAACAAAAAAGAACTAATGAACAAGCTTGGCAAGGTTTTAGGGTATAAGATCCATATATAAAAATCAATTGTCTTTCAATACACTCCAAGTGAAAAATCCAAAAATGAAATTAGTAAAACAATTTCACTTACAATAACATGAAAAATAATCAAATATTTATGAATAAATGTAACAAAAGTGTAAAACTTATACTCTGAAAACTACAAAATGTTGTTGAAAGAAATCAAATCATACCTAAATATGTGAAAATACAGTCCATGTAAATGGCTCAGAATATTTAATCTTGTTAGGATGGCAATATTTCCCCAAATTGATCTATAGATTCAATGAAATCCCCATCAAAATTCCAGCTGGCTTCTTTTCATAAATGACAAGTTGATCCTAAGATTCATACGGAAATTTAAGGCACCCAGAAGAGCCAAAACAATCATGAAAAAGAAGTATAAAGTTGGAGGACTCACATTTCCTGATTTCAAAACTTACTACAATGCTAAAGTAATCAAGACAGCGTGGTACTAGCATAAGAACAGACATATTGAGCAATACAATAGAACTGAAAGTCCAGAAATGAACTCTCACATTTATAGATTTTCAACAAGGGTGCCAAGACAAGTCTATGGGAGAAGAATAGTCCTTTCAACAAATGGTGCAGAGACAACTGGATAGCTACAGGCAAAAGAAAGAATGTGGACCCTCTACCTCACACCATATATAAAAATTAACTCAAAATGGATCAAAAACCTAAATGTAAGAGCCAAAACTGTACAGCTCTTACAAGAAAACAAGGGCATAAATCTTCATGACTTTGGATTAGGCAACAGTTTCTCAGATATGACACCAAAAAGTACAAACAACAAAAGAAAAAAATAGACAAACTGGACTACATCAAAATTTAAAAATTTTGTGCTCCAAAGGACACTATCAAGAAAATTAAAAGATAACCCATGGAATAGGAGAAAATATTTGCAAATTGTATATCTGGTAAGAGACTTGCATACAGATTACATAAAGAACTCTTACAACTCAACAATAAAAAAGACAAACAATCCAATTAAAAAATAGACAAAAGCTCTGAACAGACACTTCTCCAATGAGCACATAAAAATGGCCAATAAGCACATGAAAAGATATTCGACATCATTAGTCATCAGGGAAATGCAAATCAAAACCACAATGAGATACCACTTCACATTCACTAAGATGGCTAGACTCAAAATGTCAGATAATAAGTGTTGCAGAGGATGTAGAGAAACTGGAACCCTCAGGCACTGCTAGTGGGGGTATAAAATGGTGCAGCCACTTTGGAAAACAGTTCAGCAGTACCTTAAAGGTTAAACATAGAGCTACCATGTGACCTAGCTATTTTACTCCCAGGTATATAGCCAAGAGAAATGAAAATATATGGCCATGCAAAAATTGGTACACAAATGTTCATAGCAGCATCACTCATAATAATCAAATGGTGGAAACAATCCAAATGTCCATCAACTGATGAATGGATAAATGAAATGTGGTATATCCATATAATGGAATATCATTTGGCCATATAAAGGAACGAAGTACTGCTACATAGTACAACATGGACAAACCTCGAAAACATGCTAAGTAAAAGAAGCCAGTCACAAAAGACCACATATTGTATGATTTCATTTACATGAAATACCCAGAAGAGAGAAATCTGTACTAAAAGGAAGTAGATTAGTGGTTGCCTAGGGGTGTGGCTGGGGAAGTTCAGGGGAAAGGGAGAGTGACTGCTAATGGCTACAGGGTTTCTTAGGGTGGAAGGGTAACGAAAATGCTCTAAAATTGATTGTTATAATGATTGTACAACTCTGTGAATATTCTAGACCAGTGAATCATACATTTTAAATAGGGATCAGTTGGGCGCAGTGGCTCACGCCTGTAATCCTCTACTTTGGGAGGCTGAGGTGGGCAGATCATCTGAGGTCAGAAGTTCGAGACCAGCCTGACCAACATGGAGAAACCCCGTCTCTACTAAAAAATACAAAATTAGCTGGGCGTGGTGGCACATGCCTGTAATCCCAGCTACTCAGGAGGCTGAGGCAGGAGAACCCGGGAGGCGGAGGTTGCAGTGAGCTGAGATTGCACCACCGCACTCCAGCCTGGGTGACAGAGCGAGACTCCGTCTCAAAAAAAAAAAAAAAAAAAATTGGGACCTATGGTATGTGAATCATATCTCAATAAAGTTCTTATTAAAAAAAGAAAGCTCAGCTGGGCACGGTGGCTCACGCCTGTAATCCCAACACTTTGGGAGGCTGAGGCGGGAGGATCACGAGGTCAGGAGATGCAGACCATCCTGGCCAGGATGGTGAAACCCTGTCTCTAGTGAAAATACAAAAATTAGCCAGGCATGGTGGCGGGCGCCTGTAATCCCAGCTACTCGGAGGCTGAGGCAGAGAATTGCTTGAACCTGGGAGGTGGAGTTGCAATGAGCCGAGATCACACCACTGCACTCCAGCCTGGGTGACAGAGCAAAACTCCATCTCAAAAAAAAAAGCTCAAGTAATATTTTTTTTTAGGAAAGTACTTTATATACTTTAAAGATATACTTTATATATCTTAAATAGGACAGCTGGGAGAGTTTCCACAACTTTTGCATATTCCAGTTAGGAAGCCCCCTTCTACCACAGTAACCACATCACTAACTCTAATACAATCCCCTGACCTCTGTCTTTGCCCCTATAGCATTTTATGCTTTCCTCATCAAGGCACTTTTCACAATGTTGAGCAATGGCCTGTTTACTTGTTTCTTGCCCCCACTAGACAATGAGCTCCTTGAGAGCAGGGACATCGTTTGCCTCATTCATTGGTATAACCCTGGCAGCTAGTACAGTGGCTGGCACAGAGTCACTCAATATACACCAAAGAAATGACTAAATCTTAATCTACATCAAGGACACAAAGATCTGAAGGCAACATCAGGGCAGGTGTAGAGGCAGGGAAGCTGGGGTGATTAGAATACAATATTGCCTAATTATATTTCCAAGCTGTAAATTAGCCTCCGCCCTCTCTATATCGACCCAGCCTTAAGTCAGGAACACTTACTGGGCTCTGTGGCAAGAGGCTGCTACTGGTCTCTTGAGTACTGGGAGGTCGACTTCCACTTTCCTCCAGTGGCAAAATACCCCTTCGATCCAGCACACTGAAGGAGATAAGAGAGTTAACAAAGAACTGGGCATTCACCCCTCCACCCACCTGGCCTACGGAATTTTGCTGCATAGACTGGAAAATATAAACCTGTCCTTTGGCAATCTAGCCTGAACACAGCACATGCCTCTTATCTCCCATTCACTTTTTCTTCCACAAACCAGGAAATGTCACATTAACCAGGGAACAAACAAATGAAATTAAGAATGAAAGATCATCCCTCCAAAACAACCAGCCCATGGTCTATGGTCCATGTAGACATGGTACCAAGTGGCAAGCCCTGGAAAGACCTATTTGACACCAAGAGGCCACACTCAGAAAAACACATCAGACAAGGTAACAGGATCAGGTTGAGCTGCTCATCCCAACAGTCCCAGGACTTTTGAGTGCCCTGAGCACCTGGGGGGCAAGGGGCCACACAGCACTTCACAGCAGTTCTTCACAATATTGCCATGGCTGTAGGGATTCTGGACGCGATTCTTCCCTGTCCATGATCCTTTGATCTGCAAGATAAAAACCAAGGCTGACATTAAAAATAATGTTAAAATGAACAAATAATAATAATAAAATTAAAAACAGACACAAAAAAGAAAAATAATAATAATAATGTTGAAGAAACACATGCAGCATGGGATAATAAAAAAGTTCTGGAAATGGATGGTGGCAATGGTTGCACAACAATGTGATGCCACTGAACTGTACATTTAGGATATGAGGGCGATCTGGCTGCAACAACTGTCACCCCATTGATCGCCAGGGTTGAAAGACATTTAATATAGCACACTTTATATCATGTATATTTTATCACAACAAAAAAGAAATACATACACAGCCATGAAAAATACTCACAATAGAGTGAAAAAAGCAGATAACTGAATGATATATACTATTTTTATTTAAAAGTACATAATATAAACACATAAATAAACATGGAAAAAAGTCTAGACAAGTCTAGAATATATAAATCATACTACTAACAAAGGTGATGTCTAAGAAGTAAAGTAAGAGGAACTTACTTTTTTCTTTTTGCTCATCTGTATTTTCTGATTTTCTACAGTGAATGTAGATTAATTGCTAACTTTTTTTTTTTTTTTCCAGACAGAGTCTCATTCTGTTGTCCAGGCTGGAGTGCAGTGGCGTGATCTTTGCTCGCTGCAACCTCCACCTCCCGGGTTCAAGTGATTCTCCTGCCTCAGCCTCCCGAGTAGCTGGGACTACAGGTGCACACTAACACATCCGGCTATATTTTTGTATTTTTAGTAGAGACAGGGTTTTGCCATGTTGGCCAGGCTGGTCTTGAACTCTTGACTTCAGGTGATCCGCCCGCCTCAGCCTCCCAAAGTGCTGGGATTACAGGCGTGAGCCACCACACCCAGCCTAATTGGTAACTTTTTATATAGCAAGGATTCATCCAGTGCAACTGTCCCTCTCCATGCCAAACAGAGGCACCAGCTAGCCTTTAAGGACCTGTGAACAGTTAAAGGCTGTATACCCACCCAACTTTTCAACCTCTTCTTCCTAATGCTCCACAAGCATTCAACAAAGCCCTCTCCTTTCTCTTCCACACATCTGACTTAACAACCTCGCATACCACGTTTCTGCCTGCCTCAACCTCCCAGGCCCTGGAGACTCGGTAGTTCTCTAGCAGGTAGCAAGAGGATAGGCTTTGGGAAGAAGAATATGTGGTGAGGAGAAGAGAAAGTTGACTCACGTCTTCATTGGTTGTCTGGTTGAGAGCCACGAGGAAAGTATGAAATCCAGTCAGTCCCACGACGGACCAGAGTGTAAAGAAGCAAATGAGGACTTCTAGAACAGTGAGGTGTGGTTAAGGAGTATTGAAGAACTCAACATCAGGAGACTTGATGCCTCCGCCCATATTCAGAGCACCAGTCAGACCATCTTTACCTCCTGGAACGTATATCACAAAAAGCCATGTTTCCATATATAACAATAGATGAATTCTGAACTTACTGGATAGATCCCTTATGAAAGAATTTCTAGCGTATCTAGGGTATTTAAGGGTGTGCCTATTTACCCATCATTGGCTCTTGGAAGGGGATGCATGGGAGGGGCCAAAGCTAAACAATGTTGGCCATCACTGCCAATGGAAATTCTGTCAAAAAACAAAATTCATGTAATCCCGGCACTTTGGGAGGCCAAGGTGGGCGGATCACAAGGTCAGGAGTTCGAGAACAGCCTGGCCAACATGGTGAAACCCCCGTCTCTATTAAAAATACAAAAAATTAGCTGGGCGTGGTGGCGGGCATCTGTAGTCCAAGCTACTCGGGAGGCTGAGGCAGGAGAATCATTTGAACCCAGGAGGCGAGCTGGGGCAACAGTACAAGACTCTGTCTCAAAAAAAGAAAATTCATAAATGAAGAACTGGTGGGGGAAAAAAAAGAGGATGTGATTTATAGAAATCTCATCTGAACCCCCTTTGCAGAAATGCAGCCACTGTCCTGAGCAGGGGGTGAAGGAAAGACCTCCCTTTTAGTCCCGGTCATCTTCCATTCTGGTTGCTACCACTAAGACTATATTTTTTTAAATTATTTTAGACCTTGGCACTCTCTGATATCTGAAAAACTAGATAGTGGGAGAACTGTGGGGAAAAAGCATGCTGGAAAGTAGCTTAAGAAGGCTTCACAGGGACATACTGCCAGCGGAGGATATGTTCCAGGAGTTTCTTTCAATGTCTCCAAGAAGCCAATTTTCAAAGATTCTGTGAAATTGGATGGAAGAGTAGAGAGAAAAATTAGTGACTTCAGTCAAAACTACACACTATCCTAGTGCCTACTCACTTCCTTCCCTCCCTCTCCCGTGTTACACACTGGCAAGAGCTAAGCTCTCACTCGGGCAAGGGTGAAGAGCCTCATCTCCTAGCTGGTAGTCTCATGACTAAAGAGTTCACATTTCCAGTGCAGGACCAGGCCCTGGACTAGACAGGCAGGCAGAAGAGCAGCAGGCTCCCTTCCCTTTTCCCTAGCCCCCAACTATGGACATGTTAGGGGGATATTAACAGATAAAAGAAATCAGAAATACCCAAGAAAAATCCTCTCTCCTTGCCAATACGTGTCCCTCCCTTGTTCAAAATCCAGCTCAGAACTCTTCTCTTTCCAGAAAGCTGTCTTAAGACCACTCCCTTAACTCCACATCACATCTGCTCTTAGATTGGCGTGTGTGTGGGTGTGTATGTTTGTGCACATGTACATATGTGGGTGTGCTTTCTATCTCCCAAACTAGACCATGAGCTACAAAAAGACATTTCTCAGGCAAAACCCTTACCCTTTTCTACCCCTTAGCACAAGGCAAGTTTTACAAGGCAGAAGAAGAGAGGATGCTCCGAGACAAAATACATCCCCAGCCTTTGGGATTACCTCAGAAATGCCCCAGTACTCTGGATACAGACCAGTAATTATGGCCCCAGTGCCCAGCAGTTGGCCAAAGAGAAGGCCAACACACTGATTAATACTCATTGATGTGCACTGAGGTTTGCAACCCTGCTCAAGAGCAGATAACTGTGCTCATTTCTAACCTGTCCTAAAGTACCTTTCACAATGGTACCACCAGGAAACCCAACAACCCTCTAAGCTGCCCTTAACTCTTCCCCCACCCAGCCCCACTCCAACAACGGACACTGCCCTGTATACTCACTGAGGGCCACATAGACGATGTTGAAGGCGAAGACATAGATTGTGAGGAGGGAGAGAGAAAGGATGAAGAGGTAGAAGTAGCGGTAGTTCCTCTTTCCAACACAATTCCCCACCCAGGGGCAGTGATGGTCGAAGCGCTCTGTGGGAGAAAGAGAGAGTCCAAAGCCAAAAGCCTCCAGAACAAAAATCAACCCCACCATCCCTATAATACCTAATTCAAAGACCTCCAGGATCATTGTCTATTTCAGTTGTAAAAAATATAGGGTTTTTTTTTTTTTTTACTTTTTCAAAATGTTTTCATAACCATCTCATTTGATCCTCACAATTTCCCTGGAACTTGGGCAAAAGGAGATACTCTTTTCCCCACTTTACAGATGAAGAAACAAAGGCATGGAGAGGTTAAGTGATTTGCCTCACTCAGCTCATTAAAAGCAGAGACACTGCTTTTCCAAATAAAATCTTAATCGGTGGGCCTACTAAGTTCAAGAAGAATAAACAGGTCAAAATAGCCAAGGAAAAATGTAAAACTACAATATTTAAAATGGTATGGCATAGTTCAATGGAATGGAAAGAGCCCAGAAACAGATCTTAGAATATATAAGATTTTGTTGTCTAATAAACTCAGCATTACAAAATCAGAGGTAAAAGGAAGTATTATTCCATAAACAATTACGTGACAATTGGCTATTTGGTGCAAAATAAGGATCGATTTTTTTGTCTTCATACTACTTGTCATAGTAAATTCCAGATGAATTAAAGAACTAAATGTAAAAACAAAGTGAATCCATAAAATAACTATAAAGAATAAATGTTTATTTGTCCTCTATATGCAGAAGGACTTTCTAAGCATAAAAGTACTGGAAGAAAACAGATGACAAGGAAAAATAGATTTGACTCCATAAACTTTAAAAAAGTACTTTGTGGTTTTGATTTGCATTTCCTTGGTGATCAATGATGTGATTATTACACATTGCATGCCTGTATCAAAACTTCTCATGTACACCATAAATATATATACCTACTATATACCAACAAAAAATTAAAAATTTAAAAAATATTTTGTGTATGTTAAAATTACCATAAAGAAGACTAAAGAAAAAAAAACAATGGCAATCTATGTAAAGTTGTACCTGACTATATGAAAAGTTCTTAGAAATCAATAGGAAAATACAAATACTTCGTCAAGAAAATAATAGTCAAAAGTTACTTGAAATTTGCTAAGAGAGTAATCTTAAGTGTCCTCACCACACACACACATGCACACACAATGGTAACTATGTGTGGTGATGAATATGTTCATTTGATTGTGGTAAGCATTACAGGCAGACACCAAAATCCACCCATACTCAAGTCATTCAGCAGCCCTGCAGAACCCACGGATAAGAAAAGTTGCCCCTCATGTACACAGGTTTTGCATCTTGTGAATACTGTACATTTGAACCTTGAACAACTCAGGTTAGAACTGCGTGCGTCCACTTGTACATGGATTTGTTTCAATAAATACAGTTGGCCCTCCGTATCAACAGGTTCTGCATCCACAACTAAACCTAGATCAAAAATACGGTATTCACAAAATATGAAACTCCTGGAGACGGATACAGAGGGCTGACTTCATATCCATGGGTTCCACAGGGCCACTGCAGGACTTGAGAATGCATGGGGTTTGGTATTCAAGGGCAATCCCTGAAACCAATCCCCCAAGGATACTTAGGGACGACTGTATTTTGGATCCGCATTTGGTTGCAGATGAGGAACACACTGATACTGTATTTATTGGAAAAAAAAAACCCTCATTATTAAGTGGGCCCATGCAGTACAAAACTGCATTGTTCAAGAGTCGACTGCACATAAAACAAAAACAAAAAACAAACAAAAAGGAAATAGGGCAAAAACTAATAAATACCATAAAACCTATATTTAATATTTTTCCTAGTCACCAATAATTCATTGTAATACTAGTAAAATAATAGCATATTTTATGCCTATCAAAATAAGAATATAAATAATAAAATCCAGTGCTAGTGAGAATAGGGTAAAATGGACACTCTAACATACTGCTTGTGGGAGCATAAAATGAAAGAACCTTCCCAGAAAGCAATTTGGCAGTACGTATCAAGAGCCTTCATAAAGCTTGTACCCCTTTGGTAGAATAAGTCCATTTTCAGCAATTTCTCATAAGAAAATAGAAATGTACACAGAAATTTTAAGTTCAAATTTTTATTTTTATTTATTTATTTATTTTTGAGACACAGTTTCACACTTGTCACCCAGGCTGGAGTGCAATGGTGCGATCTCGGCTCACTGCAACCTCCACCTCCCAGGTTCAAGCCTCATCAGCTGCCCGAGTAGCTGGGATTACAGGCATCCGCCACCACGCCCAGCTAATTTTTGTATTTTTAGCAGAGACGGGGTTTTGCCATGTTAGCCAGGCTGGTCTCGAACTCCTGACCTCAGGTGAAATGCCCGCCTCAGCCTCCCAAAGTACTGGGATTACAGGCATGAGCCACTGCGCCCGGCCGAAGTTCAAACTTTTAAATTAAATTTTGTATTGTTTGGAAGGCCCAGGCAGGGGAATCATGAGGTCAGGAGTTTGAGACCAGCCTGGCCAACATGGTGAAACCCCATCTCTACCAAAAAATGCAAAAATCCGTGGGTCGTGGTGGTGCACACCTGTAATCCCAGCCAATCACGAGGCTGAGGTGGGGGGATCACTTGAGCTCGGGAGGCGGAGGTTGCAGTGAGCTGAGATCACGCCACTGCACTCCAGCCTGGGTGACAGAGTGAGACCCTGTCTTAAAAAAAAAATCTATTATGGTAAAATATACATAACATACAATTTGCCATTTTAACCATTTTAAGTGTGCAATTCAGTGGCATTAATTACATTCATAATGTGGAACCATCACCATTATCTATTTCCAAAACCCTTTCATTACTCCAAACAGAAACTCTGCACCCATTAAGCAGTAACTCTCCATTTCCCCCTTCCCCATCCCCTAGCAATCTCTAATCTTCTGTCTCTATGAATTTGCCCATTCTAGATATCTCATATAAGCGGAATCACACAATATTTGTCTTTTTGTGTCTTTTTTTTTTTCACATAGCATGTTTTCAAGGTTCATCCACATTGTATCAGTACTGTATTCCTTTTTATGACTGGATAATATTCCACCGTATGTACATACCACATTTTGTTTAACCATTCATCTGTTGATAGACACTTGGGTTGGTTACACCTTTTGGCTACTGTGAATAATGATGCTACGAACACTGGCGTACAAGTAGGTTTTGAGTCCTTGTTGTCAATTCTTTTGGCTATTGTTATGGAATGAACTGTACCCCCACTCCCCAGTTCCATATGTTGAAGCCCTAACCCCCAATGTAGCTGCACTTGGAGGCAGAACCTTTAAGGAGGTAGCTAAAGTTAAATGAGGTCATCTGGATGGGGCCCTAATCCGATGGGACTGGTGTCCTTGTAAGGAGAGGATGAGACACCAGTAGTGTGTGAGCACAGAGAAAAGGTCACGTGAGGACACAGCAAGAAGGCAGCCATCTGCAAGCCAGGGGGAGAGGCCTCACCAGAAACCATCCCTTCTCGCACCTCTATCTTGGACTTCCAGCCTCCAGAATTGTGAGAGAAAAATTCCCATTGTTTGAGCCAGCCAGTCTGAGGTATTTTGTTATGGTAACCCAAGCAGACTAATATAGGTATACACCCAGGAGTGGAATTGCTGGGTCATGTGGTAATTCTATGTTTAACTTTTTGAGGAACCACCAAACTTTTCCACAGCAGCTGCATGATTTTACATTCTCACCAGAAATGTATGAAGGTTCCAATTGTTCCACATCCTTAAGTTTAATAATTATGATTGCAGTGTTACAACAATGAATAAAATAGAAGAATGAATAATGTCTAATGACAGAAGACTGCCTGAATAAACTTGAATAGAACCATATGATGGATTATGCAGTCATTAAAATAATATATTAAAGAAACATTTATTAAAGATGTAGAAAAACGCTCAGGATAGAATGTTAAATGACAAAAGCAGGATTAAAAACTATCATGTTACAGTCCAATTTTGCAGAAACACTAGTAGGAAATATAGCAAAATGGAGAGTGAATTTAGGATTAAGTTTTATTTATACTTTCTGCACTTCCCATATTTTCCACAATGAACATGTGTTATTTTGATGAATAAAAGACTACAAAAGAATAAAATACATCAATTTGGGCCAGGCGTGGTGGCTCACACCAGTAATCCCAGCACTTTGGGAGGCCGAGGCAGGTGGATCACAAGGTCAGGAGATAGAGACCATCCTGGCTAACACGGTGAAATCCCGTCTCTACTAAAAATACAAAAAAATTAGCCAGGCGTGGTGGCGGGAGCCTGTAGTCCCAGCTACTCGGGAGGCTGAGGCAGAAGAATGGCGTGAACCCAGGAGGCGGAGCTTGCAGTGAGCTGAGATCGCGCCACTGCACTCCAGACTGGGAGAGAGAGACAGCCTCCGTCTCAAAAAAAAAAAAAAAAAAAAAAAAAGAATAAAATATATCAATTTGAAAGAAAAGTGAGCTGTGTACTGGTGAAAAAATAAGGCTGTAAAAATGGTCTATCTCCTGCTGAGGAAGCTACATCTTTTCAGGAAAGGGAAGAAAGGTATAGAGAAGAATGGTTATACAGATATATATTTTTTACAGTATTTTAAATCACATTTTTTCTGATAATACAAGTAATACATGCTCATTGTAGAAAACTTGAAAAAAATAAAAGGAAAAATGAAGAAATCACAGTAGTGGAGGATGGCATATGAAAAAATGAAGGAAACAAAATCACTCATAATCCCACAACCTATAGATAATAAACTATAAAAATTGTGGCATATTTCCTGTATTTCCTTGCATATTTCTTTATACATCATTAGATTTTTTAAAAATAGGTAACTGACTTCACACTGTAAATGTAGCCTATCTCCCATTTTGTCATTTAGCTTTCTGGTATGAACTCTTTCCATCAGTCTAATGTACGAATGTCCTATTATTTATTTATTTATTTATTTAGAGACAGAGTCTTACTCTGTCGCCCAGGCTGGAGTGCAGTGGCACAATCTCGGTTCAATGCAGCCTCCACCTCATGGGTTTTTTATTCTCATGCCTCAGCCAGGGTCTCAGCTGGGATTACAGGCACATGTCACCACGTCCAGCTAATTTTTGTATGTTTTAGTAGAGACGAGGTTTCACCATGTTGCTCAGGCCGGTCTCAAACTTCTGGCCTCAAGTGATCTGCCCACCTCGGCCTCCCAAAGTGCTGGGATTACAGGAGTGAGCCACCACACCCGGCTCTATAATTTATTTGGCTACTCATCTATTGGTAGACAATTAGGTTCTTTTCAACTTTTAATTGTCATAATAATCCTGAGTTAAACATTTCCACCCCGAAATATTTTCCCACATCTCTGATTTCATGGGACAGACTCCCTAGAAAGTGAACCACTGGCACCAAAAGGTATAGATGTTTTAAGGCTTTCGATTAATCTTATTAGATTGCCTTCCAAAAAGTTTGTTCCAATTTACACTCTTACTAGTGGAAGAATAAACATCAGGTTTTCCTTGCTAATTTTCTAGATTTAAAAAAGCATATTGGGCTGGGGGTATTGGCTCACACCTGTAATCACAACACTTTGGGAAGCTGCAGCAGGTGGGCTGCTTGAGCCCAGGAGTTTGAGACCAGCCTGGGCAACATGGGGAAAACCCATCTCTACAAAA
Source organism: Homo sapiens (assembly GCF_000001405.40). Classification (NCBI taxonomy): domain Eukaryota; kingdom Metazoa; phylum Chordata; class Mammalia; order Primates; family Hominidae; genus Homo; species Homo sapiens. The sequence continues at coordinate 129,820,421 of NC_000023.11, forward strand.
AATACAAAAAAAAAAAAAAAAATAGCCAGGCATGGTAGTGCATGCCTGTAGTCTCAGCAACTTGGGAGGCTGAGGTGGGAGGATCACCTGAACCCAGGAGGTTGAGTCTGCAGTGAGCTGTGATCGTGCCACTGCCCTCCAGCCTGGGAAAAAGAGTGAGATCCTATCTCAAAACAAAAGCATCCTGAAATCATTTATTTGACTATTAGTCATGATAACTAGCCAATTATATTGTTATGAACTGTTTATATTTCTCCTGGAATATCAGTGCTTTTTAAAAAAATTGATTTGTATGAGTTCCTTATAGTTAAGAGTATTAATAAGGAAAGGAAATACTACCTCACATCAGACCTTTTTATTTTACTTAAGTTCTGGGGTACATGTGCAGGATGTGCAGGTTTGTTACATAGGTAAATGTGTGCCATGGTGGTTTGCTGCACCTATAAAGCCATCACCTAGGTATTAAGCCCAGCATGCATTAGCTATTTTTCCTAATGCTCTCCCTCCCTTCCCCACCCCTCAACAGGCCCCGGTGTGTGTTGTTCCCCTCCCTGTGTCCATGTGTTCTCATTGTTCTCGAAAGAAGACATTCATGCAGCCAACAAATATATGAAAAAATGCTCAACATCACTGATCATTAGAGAAATGCAAATCAAAAACCACACTGAGATACCATCTCATGCCAGTCAGAATGGCGATTATTAAAAAGTCAAAAAACAACAGATGCTGGCAAGGTTGCGGGGAAATAGGAACGCTATTGTTGTTGGGAATGTAAATTAGTTCAACCATTGTGGAAGATGTGGCAATTCCTCAAAGATCTAGAACCAGAAATACCATTTGACCCAGCAATCCCATTACTGGGTATAGACCTTCTTCTTTTTTTTTTTTTTGAGATGGAGTCTTGCTCTGTCACCCAGGCTGGAGTGCAGTGGCGCGATCTTGGCTCACTACAACCTCCGCCTCCCGGGTTCACGCCATTCTCCTGCCTTAGCCTCCCGAGTAGCTGGGACTACAGGCGCCCACCACCACGTCCCCTAATTTTTTGTATTTTTAGTAGAGATGGGGTTTCACCATGTTAGCCAGAATGGTCTTGATCTCCTGACCTCGTGATCCTCCCGCTTTGGCCTCCCAAAGTGCTGGGATTACAGGTGTGAGCCACCGCGCCTGGCCAGACCTTCTTTAAATATCAAGTTTCCTGCTTCACTTAAAATGGGTTTCGACAGCCGGGTGTGGTGGCTCATGCCTGTAATCTCAGCACTTTGGGAGGCCTAGGTGGGTGGATCACAAGGTCAGGAGTTCCAGACCAGCCTGACCAACATGGTGAAACTCCATCTCTACTAAAAATACAAAAATTAGCCGGGCGTGGTGGTGTGCACCTGTAATACCAGCTACTCAGGAGGCTGAGGCAGGAGAATCGCTTGAACCCAGGAGGTGGAGGTTGCAGTGAGCCGAGATCATGCCACTGCACTCCAGCCTGGGTGACACAGTGAGACTCCATCTCAAAAAATAAATAAATAAAATGGGCTTTGACAATAGATGCTGATGAGGCTGTGGAGAAATAGGAACACTTTTACACTGTTGGTGGGAGTGTAAATTAGTTCAACCATTGTGGAAGACAGTGTGGCGATTCCTCAAGGATCCAGTACCAGAAATACCATTTGACCCAGCAATCCCATTACTGGGTATATACCCAAAGCATTATAAATCATTCTACCATAAAGACACATGCACACATATGTTTATTGCAGCACTATTTACAATACCAAAGACTTGGAACCAACCCAAATGCTCACCAATGATAGACCGGATAAAGAAAATGTGGCACATATACACCATGGAATACTATGCACCCATAAAAAAGGATGAGTTCATGTCCTTTGTAGGGACATGGATGAAGCTGGAAGCCATCATTCTCAGCAAACTAACACAGGAACAGAAAACCAAACACCGCATGTTCTCACTCATAAGTGGGAGTTGAACAATGAGAACACATGGACACAGGGAGGGGAACAACACATACTGGGGTCTGTCGGGGGGTGGGGTGAGGAGGGAGGGCATTAGGACAAATACCTAATGCATGCAGGGCTTAAAACGTAGATGACAGGTTGATAGGTGCAGCAAACCACCATGGCACATGTATACCTATGTAACAAACCTGCACATTCTGCACACGTATCCCAGAACTTAAAGTAAAATAAAAAATAATAATAATAATAAAATGGGTTTTGATTTATAAAAATCTTATATACATATAGTAGCTTTTTAGTATACACGCTGCCGAAGAGAGCACCATATAGCTTTTACCATATAAAGCAATATATATCTCCCAACCTTTGCCTAAAGAAATGGCTAGTAAGAGGAAAGCAATGCCCTCAGGATGCCACATGGTATACAGAAAAAACATTATCCAATCATGGGAACTCAAGAAAAAGTAATTTTAAAAAGAACATTAGAAGTATGCCTAGTGATGATATAAGCAATTTCACATATAGGCCTATCAACAGGAATCTTTATGGCCCATTTCTCATCTTGGCCAGGGTTTAGCACACAGTAGGCAGTGATTACAACAAAGCCACATATATGTGGATGGAAGTACAGACCACTGTATTAGACACACATATACCTGACCCTCTTGCAGCAGCAGCAAAGAGAAGAAATAAGCAGTTTGGAATCAGACCTGCTCTAGCTTAATCTCATACTAATTATGTGAACTTACATACTGGTGCTTCACCTATTTCCTCATCCGTAAAATGGGGATAATACCAATCTCATGGGGCTGTTACAAGTCTTAAATGAGAGAAAGGTAAATCACTTAGCACAGTGCCCAATATGTAGTAGAAACTCAATAAATGCTAGCAACTTTCCTCTTCTTGGGTTGCGTCTTAGACAGACCTTCCTTCCTCAATGCTGCCCTCCAGTGGACTAGGTGTCTCCTCCCACTATGTAAGGTGGGTCCCACATGAAAATCCAGTACAGGAAAATCTAAATTTCAAAAATAGGTAAAGTTTATTTTTCTCATTTACTAAAGAGGTTTTTGTAAAGTTTAGGCTAGAGGATATTTAAATTTTGATTTGATCTACACAAGTACAGCTGATTTGCAGTTTTTCAGGAGCTTGTTGCCTATCTAAATTTCCCTATCTAAATCTAGTTCATTTCTCATCTAAATCTATCTTCCCTCCTCCCAAAATTGGTGACCACCCTGACTTTCTAGTTCAACTCAGCCTTTTCCCTAGGCAATGTCCCTGTAGTTTTACTCACCCACACAGTTGTCACAGATGCTGCAATGGGAGGCCCGGGGAGGCCGGAAGATCTTGCATGTGTAACAGTATTTCAGTTTCACAATCTGGTTGTTTATCTGGAAATTCTTGATACGAGGCGGTGGTCGCTGGCCCTGGGGCACCGCACCATTGGTAGCTTCTGTAAATCAATAAAGACAGTTAATATCACAGCTAGCCATCACTTGAGCCCAAAAGTCTCACCACCTCTCCAAAACCAATGGGGGCATTCAAAGGTTCCCCAAGCCCCCTGTCTTTTATAGACTAGACACTCAACATCACAGAATATGCCCATAAAACTCCACTAAGTGCATGCAGTTCTGTTGTATACATAAGAAAAAGTGTTTCTTCGAGGCTTTTTTTTCTGATTACAAAGAAAAACATTCATTTAAAAAAATAGCTAAAAATACATTAAATGAAAACATCCAATTTCACTAATAATCAGAGAAATAAAAATTAAAGCACAAAGATACCATTTTTACCTATCATATTAAAAAACATTACAAACAATAAAAATACCCCATGTTAGCAAGGGTGGGGAAAGGTCATTCTTAGATCTTATCAGTGAGCAATATGGCAGCTGCTACTAAACTTTTTTTTTCTTTTAAGATGAAGTCTCGCTCTGTCGCCCAGGCTGGAGTGCAGTGGTGGGATCTCAGTCTTGGCTCACTGCAATTTCTGCCTCCTGGGTTCAAGTGATTCTCCTGTCTCAGCCTCCTGAGTAGCTGGGATTACAGGGGCCCACCACCATGCCTGGCTGATTTTTGTATTTTTAATAGAGATGGGGTTTTATCATGTTTGTCAGGCTGGTCTCAGACTCCAGACCTCAAGTGATCCGCCCGCCTCAGCCTCCCAAAGTGCTGGGATTACAGGTGTGAGCCACCGTGCCCAGCCAGCTACCAAAGTTTTAAACGTGTATATTCATTTACTGATCAAGTCTACTTCTAGAAACTTATCAAAATTATAATGAGATATACGAAAGATGTTTATATAAGGATATTTGTCACAGAGTTCCTTTTAATAGTGAAAAACTAAAAATAACTTCAATGTCACAATAGAAGGGTGGTTAAGTAAATTATGTTATGTGCATAGAATGGAATATTATGCAGCCGTTAAAAATGACATAGACGAAAGAATGGTGAAAACAGGAAAATACAATATATGGCAAAATGAAAATGTATGTTAAAAAGCAATACGCATAAAACAATACTATCTTGCAAACAAAATATATGCATGTGAAAAGAAAAGACTGGTAACACAGAAACAGTTACTGAAATAAAAGTAATGCTTGCTTATTGTAAAAATTTTGGAAAAAAACAGAATAGGGCCAGGCATGGTGGCTCACGCCTGTAATCCCAGCACTTTGGGAGGCTGAGGCAGGCGGGGCACCTGAGATCAGGAGTTTGAGACCAGTCTGGCCAACATGGCAAAACCCCGTGTCTACTAAAAATACAAAAATTAGCCAAGCATGGTGGCACGCATCTGTAATCCCAGCTACTCTGGAGGCTGAGGCAGGAGAATCGCTTGAACCTGGGAGGCAGCCTGGGTGACAGAGCGAGCAAGACTCCAACTCAAAAAAAAAATTTTTTTTGGAAAAAAACAAAGTATAAATAAGAAAACATAAAAATCACTGACAGTCAGTCTCTCAGCTCAGAGATATTTATATTTTTTGGCGTATTTCCTTCTAATCTTCTATTAACAGGTAAACATTCATAATTTTTAAAAAATTGAGATCATATTATAAATGCAGATTTGTACCATGAAGTATTTACTTAATATTATATGCTGTGAACATTTTCTCATTGTTAATTTTTTTTCTAAAACATAACTACTGGCAATATTCCATCATATACGTGTACTATGATTTATTTAAATATTCCATATTGTTGGGATTTTTTACTATTTAGGTGATGTTTCATGTAAAAATTTAAAACATTACAGAGAAAAGCTTAAATCTCCTTCGATCACCACCTCAATCCTAGTCCCCTCCTCCCTTCCAAGAACATACTCATGTGTTAAAATTAATTTCTAAAACAGAAAGAATAAAGAAAAGAATGGTGAAGTATAAGCAGTAATACATGAAGTTGCCGGCATTAAAATAGCTACTCATATTTAAAAGAAAAGAAAAAATGATGCACCAAAAATCCTTCTACAGTAATTTGTAAAAATCTGTTTATCTCCTTTAGCTAAACCCTCAGAGAAGTAGAACTACTGGGTCAAAGGGTATGACCCTTTAAAGTCCATATTACTTGTTGCCAAACTGCTTCCCAGACAGACCGTATGAATTTGCATGCCTGCCCATCCGCAGCATATGAGAGTGCCTGTCTCATTGCACTCTCACCATGCAGTATAATTCTAAAAACAGAATATTTTTCAATTCACTTTGATTTTAAAAATATCTGCCATATGGAACATTTTTCCTTTTTTTGTGGAGTGGGGTAGATGCTGTGAAATCAAACAATAACAATGTGTCACAAGTCTTAAAAGGATGAGGACAGCTATTCATTAGAGGATAAGTACCAGCATGCCACCTTAATATTCTATGCATATGCTTTCCATGAGGGCACCTGGGAGACAGGGTTCATGGTTCACCTTTCTCAGGAGGCCGTATCAGGCAAGGGCATCACATGACTTCCTCTCTCCCCATCCCCCACCCACAGCATACCCAGTACAGGACTGAATATAAGATGACAAAAACTTGCTAACATAAACATACATATGAACTGAAAAATGTACTCTTCTAGTGAGAGAAACATGCTAAATGCAGAGGCCACAATGTGACTGCTTGAGTCTGAGCCCCAGGCCCAGTGATCAGGCAGAAAAGAGCTAACTTTGTTAACAACCTGCTGTGAGAGGCAGGAGACAAGTCAAGGTACTGCCTTGACCCTCAGTTTCTCCATATGTGAATGGGAAGGGAACTGGAAAAGAATAATCCAGATGGAGAAAAAACAGCACTCACAACTCTTCCTCACCATCTTGCTCCTAACTACTCCTAGTTCTATCGGGTCTCCCCAGAACTCCAGCTGTGCCAGCACACGTCGCCTCTGCTCTCTTCCCACTATCCCCACCCTCACCCCACCCCCAAATAGTTATAGCTCACATGTGCACAAACCCATTTCTCCTTAGCTCAACTAAAACAGGCTGGAATTTTTCAAAATGAAATCCATTAAGAAGCCTAAGGGAAAACACAGCTAAAATAAACAAAAGAAATACATGGGCCGGGCGCAGTGGCTTACGCCTGTAATCCCAGAACTTTGGAAGGCCAAGGTGAGAGGATAACTTGAGGTCGGGAGTTCAAGACTAGCCTGGCCAATATGGTGAAACACCGTCTCTACTAAAAATACAAAAATTAGCTGGGAGTGGTGGCGGGTGCCCATAATCCCAGCTACTCTGGAGGCTGAGGCACGAGAATCACTTGAACCTGGGAGGTGGGGGTTGCAGTGAGCTGAGATCACGCCACTGCACTCCAGCGTGGGGGACAGAGTGAAACTGTGAAAAATAAAAAAGAAGAAAGGAAGGAAAAATAAAAAAGAAGAAAGGAAGGAAAGGAAGGAAAAAGGAAGGAAGGAAGGAAGGGAGGGAGGGAGGGAGGGAAGGAGGGAGGGAGGGAGGGAAAGAAAAAGAAAAAAGAAATACATGGAAGCCTTCAAAGCACCGTCAAAGAACTAAAGGCTAGCCACAGATTGGTGCTCTACTGGCACAGCTTCTTAGTCTTACAAGTCCTGGGTCCCTTTTTCTTACTCTGTCTAGCTTGGATGCTGACTCAAGCTACCTGGGTACCAAACCTGAGAACCATTTAGGTAGGCACTGCTGTTGATCTGGTGGGCTCCCACTCCCTCCTAGTACTTGCATCATAGTCTTCTTTCTCACTGTGAGATCCCAGGATATCTCCTCCTCTGGCCCTGGGATGGTTCTGCTTCAAATCATGAAGCCACCCTGGCTCCTAGATAATGTAGCACTTCATCTCTGTACCAAAGATCCTTATCCTGAGCTGCAGTATGCACTCTACTGAGCCTGCAATTGCTTCTTTTACCCCTCCTAGAATTCTCAGTGGTTCCTGGCACCACAGCTGCCCCCTTTCACATTGCATGTTCCCCTAAAGCAGCGTTTTTTGTTTGTTTGTTTTGGTTTGGTTTTTTGAGATGGACTCTCGCTCTGTTGCCCAGGCTGGAGTGCAGTGGCGCAATCTAGGCTCACTGCAACCTCCGCCTCCCAGGTTCAAGCGATTCTCGTGCCTCAGCCTCCCGAGTAGCTGGGATTACAGGCACATGCCACCATGCCCGGCTAATTTTTGTATTTTAAGTAGAGACAGGGCTTCACCATGTTGGCCAGGCTAGTCTTGAACTCCTGACCTCAAGTGATCTGCCCGCCTCAGCCTCCCCAAGTGCTGGGATTACAGGCGTGAGCCACAGCGCCCGGCCTAAAGCAGGAATTCTTGGTTGGGGGGGACATGAATGAACTTCAGAAGATCTATGAATCCCTGAAATTACATACAAAATTGTGTACATGTACATGCATATAAGAGCATTTTTATGGGGAGAAGGTTTACAGCTTTCATCAAAAAACCAAAAAGTGGCTCTTGAGCCACTTGCTCAAGCCCCCTCCCACTCTGTGGAGTGTACTTTTGTTTCAATAAATTTGTGCTGGCCAGGTGTGGTGGCTCACGCCTGTAATCCCAGCAATTTGGGAGATCAAGGCGGGCGGATCACAAGGTCAGGAGATCGAGACCATCCTGGCCAACACAGTGAAATCCCCGTCTCTACTAAAAATACAAAAATTAGCTGGGTGTGGTGGCATGTGACTGTAATCCCAGCTACTCGGGAGGCTGAGGCAGGAGAATCACTTAAACCTGGGAGTCAGAGGTTGCAGTGAGCCAAGATCACGCCACTGCACTTCAGCCTGGTAACAGAGCCAGGCTCTGTCTCTAAATAAATAAATAAATAAATAATAAATCTGTGCTTTCATTGCTTCAGAAAAAAATGTGTTGGTGACCACCTCCCCCAAAAAAGTAAAAAACCATCCTCCTGGGAACAATACAGCAGGACCTTGGTAACAAATCCTTCCTGAAATGTGACCAAATGCAGTGAAGGACAAAGTCTATGACTTTAGACTGTTGCTAGACCTGCATTACTAAATTCACGGGGTAGTCATGATCTCAGATTCAGGATCTCAGAGAGAAAAGGCTAGAAGTGATTATTAATCTGCAACTACTATTATGATTCCATTCTCTTACTGATTAGGGCCACCCACTACACAGCAGCTTGCCAGCTGGTTGGAAGACTCACCTATCTCCATTTCTATGAAAGCTGCTTCATCTGGTAGCGCCCGAGGAATCACTCCAGGGTCACTGAAGCTGGTCCTCAACAGTGTAGCCATGGAGAAAAGGAAGAGCATGGCAGCAAATACAGGGATGGCAGGAGACAGCTGAACAGCCAGGTAGCGGCACCTGAAGAAAGCAGGCAATTCAGCATTTAATGATACCTACCCTATATTGATCTCCAATTGTTACCAGTATGTCAATCTGGCCCCCACAACAGAATCAGCAGCACCTCAAGGGCAGGGACCATGTTTCTTCTCTTGAATTACCCCAAACCCCTAACATATGGCTTTACCCATAGTAGGAGCTCAACAAATAATTGACTGCTGCCACCTATAACATACAGAAGACACGCTTGAGGACACTCTCTTACCCCCAAGTCCAATCTATCCTATCAACCCACTGGGAGCTACATTTCCTCTACCTCAGGAAAGGTTCACACCTGCTAAGAATAGGGAAGCAACTGAACCTGGATTTCTAAGCAACACAGGTTGATCTCACTCTGGGAATGTCCAGGGCTTCTCATAACCACTGATCTGGCATTCAAGCTGAGCTTGATGAAGAGGGAGAAAAGATGAGGACCAACCAGAAAGCAGGTTCACAGTGTCAGACAGAGAGTATCTCAGCATGCTTCAAGACCAGTGAAAACCTTCAGGGCTGTTGACTGACTCTGCAACATCCATTCCTCTGGTCTCCTCAATTAGCTCAGCTAATAAGTGACTAATGACCATCAGCAAGAAAATAAGAAAATCGTTTATCCTTAGTACCCCTTCCCAACATCATGTTCACTCCCCTCTTTCCTCATAATGCATCTGGCAAGCTATTTCTCTTCCTCTCTGAATATCCCAACTCTACTCATCTTTCAGGTGCCAGAGACATCAATATCATTGTCATCATTGCAACTATAATTTATTGAGGGCTCTCCATAAGACAGGCACTGCACTAAGCTCTTCATCTACATTATCCCATCCAATTCTCACACTAAATCTATGAAATAGATCCTACTATACCCATTTGATAGATGAAGAATCTGAGACTTAGAGAATTCTTACCTCCTCCAAAAGGCTTATGCTAAGCTGCACTAATCTCTCTCTTCTCTACTCCCTGTGGTCCTCACTTCCAGAGCCTTGCATTATTTCCTAGCTATTTCTCAGTATGTTGATGGCATCTCCCTCAACTGGACTTCCTAAGAGCAAGGACCTAGTCTTATTGGACTGGGAATGCTCCGGTTTGAATTCTGGCTCTACCAGCTCCTAGTTGGGTGACTTAGTTAACTTCAGTCTCCTTATCGATAAAATGAGGATAATAACAGTGCTTGATGAGGTCATTGTGTGGATCAAACGCACTAGTATAAATAAAGTGCTTAGAACTGCACTTGACACACAGTAAATACTAAACACTAAGTAAAATGTTAGCTATTAACATTAACACCATGATTCTGTATCTCCCAGAGCTTTAATACAAGTAAGGGAACAAAGAAGCTATCAATAAATACTTGTTGATCTGAACTGAATTTCAAACAAAATAAATAGGAATATGTAAGGAGAGTTATCGCTGACCTATTTTTATCCTCCTCCTCCTGAGGCACATTTCTCCTTGAAAACAGAGTTTTCACTTGGAGGCAGACTATAAGTGGATGAGCAAGGAGCAGAGAGAGAGCAGAGAAAGTAAGCTAAGAAAAACGCTTACCTCATCAGCATGGGAAGTAAGCAAGCTACTGGCCATTCAAAGCAAACGTTTAACTCCTGGTTATATATTCTCTGCAGTTTCGGAACAACCCCCATGAGGTCTTCCCCTAGCTCCCTGCCACACACACAACTTCATGGGGGGACACAAGCCAAGTTTTATATTAGACTAAGCAGTTTTTGATGAAGGTGCACATATGTACTGAACCTGAAGGATGATTTTCGTGACTTTTGTGTTTGCTTGCTTGCTTATTTTTAACAAAATCCTTCATCTTAAGTTGCTTTTTTAATGATTTACTTCCTTCTCCTAAAAGCCAAGGGTTGGGGGAAAACTGGAGAACTGAAGGATCTGGCAGCTGAGTTCAGGGTAATTAAGGTTCTTACATATCACTAGCTTGTGGATTACCCTATTTTCCACTACTCCTTTTCACTGGTACAGATTAACCAAAAAGGGAATTCAGAAGCAAAAATCACCTCCACTTATCAGGAACCCAAAGGATGCAGGAAAAGCATGAGGCTTCATTTCATGAACAAGCCAAGTGAAATTACCACACTAACAGCAAATAGGAATCTTCCTGGCCACTGCCCATCACTAAGATCATTCTTGAAAACAAAGAAGTAATGTCTCCAGGACGCAAACTGCCCTGGATGTATAGTCTCCAATCAAAAGCCTTAAAAATCAGATGTATCTGATTGGCCACCAAAGAGAGCTTAATTTTTTTATTAAAGGGAAAACATACAGAGTGAGTAGAGCAACAGCAAAAAATTCTAAATTAATGCTGCCCCGCTGCACAGAAGGACCCGAGCTTAACTAAGTCCAGTTCCAACACCTGCTTGTAGGCCAGACAAAGGACAACTTAGATTTGAATTACGCTATGCCATCAAGGATAAAGGTCTCTGTAATCTCCACACAGAGCATCTTCTGCACCTGCTAAAACAATCCACTCTGTATGTCAACAAGTACACAACAGGCCTATTGTATTGTTCTCCTCCAGAGATGAGGCTATTGGCAGCCAGTCGTCTCTAGTGAGTGGGTGTGGCTGGGAAGCCAGATGTGGGACTAGCAGGCCTTTCTACTCTGAGTAAGGGGAAACTTCGAGCGCCAGCCACTAAGACTATTGTGAACTACAACCCATAGTGTTTGTCTTCAAAAGTTATGATAAAAAATACCCCCACCGGGGGTATTGGGAAGGGAGGATTGGGAAGATGTTTGTCAAAGGACATAAAATTTCAGTAAGGAAGAATAAGTTCATGAGATCTATTGCCCAACATGCGGACTATGGTTAATAACACTATATTGTATACCAGAAAATTGCTAGGAGAGTAGATTTTAAGCGTTCTCACCATTAAAAAAATAAGTATGTAAGGTAATACATATGTTAATTAGCTTGATTTAACTATTCCAAATGTATAGATGTATCAAAACATCATATTGTATACATATATATCTTTGTATATATATCTTTATATATATATATAAAATATTTGTCAATTTAAAAAATACTTCAAAAATATCACCCTAGACTAATCCCATAATTGCTATAAGCTGGAAGTCTGTCTCTGACAAGAATAAGCTACGTGAAAGTTTGGTGGTAATTCCCAATATAGACCTCCAAAGTCAGGAGTATCCTCAAACATCACTAATTTGTCTTAGATAAAGATTAGATCAGCCAGGCACAGTCGCTCACACCTGTAATCCCAGCACTTTGGGAGGTCAAGGCAGGTGGATCATCTGAGGTCAGGAGTTCAAGACCATCCTGGCCAACATGGCAAAACCCCATCTCTACTAAAAACACAAAAATAAGGCCGGGTGCAGTGGCTCACGCCTGTAATCCCAGCACTTTGGGAGGCTGAGGTGGGTGGATCACAAGGTCAGGAGATCAAGACCACCCTGGCTAACACAGTGAAACCCCGTCTCTACTAAAAATACAAAAAATTAGCCAGGCGTGGTGGTGGGTGCCTGTAGTCCCAGCTACTTGGGAGGCTGAGGCAGGAGAATGGTGTGAACCCGGGAGGTGGAGCTTGCAGTGAGCGGAGATCGTGCCACTGCACTCCAGCCTGGGTGACAGTGCAAGACTCCGTCTCAAAAATAAATAAATAAATAAATAAATAAATACATAAGCCGGACGTGGTGGCATGCACCTGTAATCCCAGCTTACTCGGGAAGCTGAGACAGGAGAATCACTTGAACCCATGAGGCGGAGGTTGCAGTGAGCTGAGATTGCACCACTGCACTCCAGCCTGGTGACAGAGCAAGACTCCACCTCAAAAAAAAAAAAAAAAAAAAGACTAGGTCAGATCTGTCATCCACGAATATAAGCTAATTGTTTCTGAAACTCCCTATATCACTCCATGGAATAATAATATCCATATACTTCTTAAAACAGAACTCTCCTGTATTCAAAGTACCAAGAGGCCTTTCTCCTTCCTGGGGATTAGAGTTCCTTTTCTCCCTTGTGAATTTTATAAATGCAACCATGTCCCAACTAAGTCTTCATTTCTGCCACCTGAAGAGACATCATCATTTTAAACCATCCTCTACTGACTTCTTGACTGTCCTCAGGCTACCATAGCTGGACTAGACAACTGGACTCCCACATGTCCCCTCAGGCGGCACGGTGGTACTGACCAGCAGTAACCATCAGTGCCAGGCTGGGCTCATGTGTCGTGTCCCATCCCCCATCCCTAGCATGCTAGTTCACTGGAGGGATGATGATAATGACACAGACTTCAATTCACATGAAAACACTCAGAAGAGATTCATGAGTAGAATGGGTAAGAATCTAGACAGAGAGCTATGCCTTACGGATTGGCAGCTTGGATTGGTGTTCTGTACAATACACTGCTTCTAAGTCTCCCTAACAGCTTTCTTGCTATGTTTTTTGGTTTGTTTGTTCTTTTATCAATGTAATCAGTCAGCCAACAAGTACTTGTTGGACTAACAAATGAAGAACAAGGGAAATAGGAGTTAATTTTGTTGGGGAAAACATAACTGAAATATGAAACAGCTAAAGAATAAGATGACCGATAATCAAGTGTTAGAATGGTGACTCAGCCTCTAAGGGCTGTAAGTGGTCAGGGAAGAGCTCTGTAGGGGAGCTGCTGGCTGCTTGAAACTGCTCCAGTAGCAGCTGGTAAGTATGGCTTTAAGGAAGAAGGCCCAAGGATCAGAGCCCCATGATACTCTTTGGTCACACATGGGAGAAATAAGCCTTTGCTATAATACCTCCCTGATATGGATGGCCATCTGTCCTCTTACTACCTACCTGCTACTTACTGAATGTCTGTATCCCTGCAAAATTCATATGTTGAAATCTTAACATCCAATGTGATGGATTTTGGAGGTGGGGCCTTTGGGGGGTGATTAGGTCACCTAAGGCTCCACCCTCATGAATGGGATTAGCATCCTTATAAAAGAAATCCTGGCAAGCTCCCTTGCCCCTTTGGCAAGGGAGAGAAGACAGCCATCTATGAACCAGAAAGCAGGCCTTCATCAGTCACCAAACCTGCAGGCATCTTGATCTTGTACTTGCCAGCCTCCAGAACTATGAGACACAAATTTCTGTTGTTTATAAGCCACCCAGTCGATGGTAGTTTCTTACAGCAGCCAGAACAGACTAAGACACTACCTCTAGAAGACAATAAACATGTAGAACCACCCATTAAGACTGTTTCAAGATTCTTCTGATGACCCTCAGAGTCTGCTGAGAGGGGAAGTTTCCCTTAACACTAAAAACATAATTTACAATCAGCCTCCAGATTTACTTCTATGTGAAGGTCAGAGAAAAATGCACAACCCTCTTTTGCTCCAGTAGCAATAAAGAAAATTAACCAAACAGGGACACTTTCAATTCTGAAGTGAGAAGCCATCCTCTCATCAAAATCTCTATCCAGGTAAACCCGCTCAGTAGTTTCCAAATTTCAGTTATAATAACAAAGTTCAAATTTCAGTTACAATATACCCCTGCTCGAGAACTTAGAACCATTCACTGCTGCCTATTATATTATGCCCCAAACTCCACAGGTCAGTATTCCAAGGCTCTCCATTAACTGGCCTTATCTAATCATCATCATAGGGGCCCTGTCTTCCCCACTCCATTCCAGAAACATCCCACTAATTAATTACCCTGAATTAGCTAGCTTCTTGCTACTGCAAATAGCCTAAGGTACCTCCTTTGTTCTTAAGCACAATACCAGCACCAGCATCTCTGAGGAGAAAGATTTAGGAGTCTCTTCTTTCCCTCAATAACATCTCAACTGATGTCAGCATGTTGGGGAACATCCCTGTTCTCTGGGCTTGCTTTTCCCAAAACAGAGGATCACTATATTTAATTAAGACTCATCCTCAAAAGATGGGAGAGGCATTCAGTGGAGACTGAAAATGTGAAACTCATTACCACAAAAGGAAATAGAGGCTGAAAATGTAGAGAAATTCTGAATGACAGAACCATAAAGAATTATTAAAGGAGCCAGGCATGGTGGCTTACACCTGTAATCCCAGCACTTTGGGAGGCCAAGGCTGTTGGATCACTTGAGCTCAGGAGTTCAAGACCAGCCTGGGCAAGATGGTGAGATCCTGTCTCTACAAAAAATACAAAACTTAGTCAGGCATAGTGGCTCACTCCTGTAGTCCCAGATACTTGGGAGGCTGAGGTGGGAGGACTGTTTAAGCCCAGGAGGCAGAGGATGCAGTGAGCCAAGATCACACCACTGCACTCCAGCCTAGGCAAGAGAGGGAGACCCTATCTCAAAAAAAAAAAAAAAAAGAGGAAAAAAAAGAATTATTAAAAGAAAGCAAACTGCCGCCAGGTGCAGTAGCTCACGCCTGTAATCCCAGCACTTTGGGAGGCAGAGGCGGGCGGATCACCTGAAGTCAGGAGTTCGAGACCAGCCTGGCCAACACGGAGAAACTCTGTCTCTACTAAAAAATACAAAATTAGCAAGGCGTGGTGGCGCATGCCTGTAATCCCAGCTACTCAGGAGGCTGAGGCAGGAGAATCGCTTGAACCCGGGAGGCGGAGGTTGCAGTGAGCCGAGATTGTGCCATTGCACTCCAGCCTGGGCAACAAGAATGAAACTCCGTCTCAAAGAAAAAAAAAGAAAAAGAAAAGAAAAAGAAAGCAAACTGTTCAGGAGATACAACCCAAGGAACTCTTGGGAAGAACTCTCTCTCAAGGAACATACTTCATCAGGAAGTTAAGTTTAGCTAAGTACTGTAACAGATTGATACCAAAGAGGCAACTATGCCTTTCTAAAACTCATTTGGTTAGTCAAGTCACAGACAGAATCCGAAGCTAGATAAAGCCAAGACTGACCTCCATAGAGTCATTCCCCAGAGAATGCACTCTTGGTTACAGAGCACAATATAGTCACTTTTTCCTCTTCCCAATCTCACATAAGGATGCTCTTCAGGAACCTGGACCTTGTCACTGTGGGCACTAACATTCTGGTATGTCAAAGTTTGGCTTTGGTCTACATAGTCTTGTGTCTCCTCAAACCTAGTAAGTTCATATTATCAGGTCTGCTTTTTCTATTTCACCTGTCTGCCAGACACACCTCCTCTTTCTTTTTTCTATTTTATTTATTTATTTATTTATTTAGATGGAGTTTTGTTCTTGTTTTGTTGCCCAGGCTGGAGTGCAATGGCACAATCTCGGCTCACTGCAACCTCCGCCTCCCAAGTTCAAGTGATTCTCCTGCCTCAGCCTCCCAAGTAGCTGGGAATACAGGTGTGCACCACCAAGCCCAGCTGACTTTTTGTACTTTTAGTAGAGACAGGGTTTCACCATGTTGGCCCGGCTGGTCTCGAACTCCTGACCTCAAGTGATCCACCTGCCTCAGCATCCCAAAGTGCTGGGATTACAGGCATGAGCCACTGCGCCCAGCCCACACTGCCCCTTTCATCAGGATAAGTCACTAAGTAACAATGTACAGAGCACACATTGCTTGATTTTTCTCCAAGCCATCCTCATCTTGGCAGCAGGGACCAGGAGTGGCCACAGCAGTGATGATCCCTTGTTAACTCACAAAGCTCCTGATAGGCTTCCCTGTTCCTGCAAGGCTACCAGAAATGCCATGCTGCAATACCATCAGTTCTCTGCAAAGATGCCTTCATTTTCTAGGAGCATAAGCTTGGGAGACCCAAAGAGCCTAGATGCCACTGGGTAACACACACACTAGCTCGCAAGAATCTGGAATATGCTGGCCTAGTATTTGGTACTATGTACACTTTACTAAAGCATGTGTGTTTGAATATCTTCAGGATTCCATAGCCAAAGGGTAACAATGAACAATGAGATAAAATGTCGAAATTAGAAGAAAAAGCCCTGAGTCAGTATAGAGACGTTGGCTGGTCAACTCATCTTGATAAAGGAAACTCACTTCTGTGGGCCTGGTTTCCTCACCCCACACAAGGAGGGAGATAGTCTCCAAAGCCCTTTCCAGATCTACCATCCTATGATTCTGTGGGTCAAGATTGTTAAATTTTAAGTACATCTAGAATGTTTTAATTCAGCAACACTTATTGGCCATCTACTCTATGTAAGGCATGGTAGAGAGCACTGTGGGGGCTACACAGCCATTGAACATAGTCTCTGACCTTGAAAGAGACTAGCTGCGGGGGACAACAACAGTGAGAAGTGTAATCACCATATAGCTCCAAACTATAAGAAATGTCATGTGATTATCTGTTGAATGAGCGGTGTGTACAATTAGCCCAATGAATGCAGAAATTACTGGAAAGTTTTCATGAAGAAAGACTCAAGAAAGAATTTGAAAGAGGGGTAGAATTTGGATAGGCTAGAAAAGTATTGTTTGTATTGATTACTATTGATTACTAAGCAGTGTTACAAAGCTGTTTTCAGTTCATCCAATTCAATGACTCTTCTGCCAATATATACATCAAAAGCTCTAATGGGGACCAACCTGACAGAACCTGGTCTGACAGTGCCTTGATAAGATTTCCTTCATATACAGAGGACACAGTGAGACCATAAGCACTGATTATAGCAGCAAACTGCTTCTGCTTCAGGGGTCAAGAGTCTCATAGTCATTCTTGCCACAAGAGAAGTCTGAGGACCTTGATCCCACTAGTGGCCAGGTCAGAAAGCTAAAAGAGAAAGCTGGAAGCCAATTCCAGGAGACAGTGCACTTGTTCCTTTCTCCAGGATCACACTTTATCAGGAAGTTGAATTTGACTGAATACCACGATAGCCTTTCAGTAGCTGGATGTCTCCTAGGTTGTCAGTGGCATTCTGCTACAGTGTCCTAACACTTCAGGCCAAGCTGGTAGCTATGTGTTCATCGCACAAGCTGGATAGAGCTTAAGCAGAAAGAACTGAAAATTGTTCATGTGCTCAAAGCTGAAACTAGCAATACACACTCACATTTCTTAAATACCTCACCCTAAGAATTAATTAGAAAATCCTTTTTCTTTAAGCATTATACCATTTTTCACTCTGCTTTTAAACTTAAATACGTTTACCATGAATACAATTATATTTAAATATAGCAACCTACTGGTAATCTATAATCTCCTTTTGTGTGTATTTGAGTCTTCCAGACAGACACAGAGTTATACAGAATTTCAGGTTCTTGGAGTTGCAAGAGGCTTAGTGAATATTTGGCCAAATTTCTACTCGGTGACAGCGGCCCGAGAGAGACCCCCCGGCTTCTTCAGAAACACCTCTAACAGGCCGGGCGCAGTGGCTCATGCCTGTAATCCCAGCACTTGGGGAGGCTGAGGCAGGTGGATAACTTGAGGTCAGGAGTTCGAGACAAGCCTGGCCAACATGGTGAAACCCTGTCTCTACTGAAAATACAAAAATTATTTGTATTTGGCAGGTGTCTGTAATCCCAGCTACTCGGGAGGCTGAGGCAGGAGAAGTGCTTGAACCCGGGAGGCAGAGGTTGCAAAAGCAGAGATCATGCCACTGCACTCCAGCCTGGGTGATGGGGCAAGGCCCTGTCTCAAAAAATAAATAAAAAATAAAAAATAATTAAAAAAAAAAAGAAACACTCTAACAATACAGAGCTAACTGGCCCCAGGATGGACAACTTTTTTTGTTTTATGTATTCAATCTACTATGTGTCCACTGAAAATTACAGGTCACTCATTTGAAAAGTCTTCTAGAAGATATGTAAAGGCATAATCCAAAAATAAAAGGACATCTGCCAGCACTGCTAACATTATGCGTTTTTCATTAAGGGGCACCCACATGCCTGACCAGACTTCTCAAGCCATCTGGCTGGCCCAGAGCTGTGCTGCAGGCAGCTATAAATCAACTCACACTTGTTCCTAAGCACCTGCTGCAAGCAGGACCCTGCTACTAAAATGCAGCTCCAGATGTGCCTCAAGATTTGGACTATCTTCCCACAAGGTAAAAATACAGCAGCCAGAGGATGTGGAGTCTCTACTCCTAGACAATGTAAGAATGAAAATAGATCACCATTTGTCTATTCAGACACCCTCACCTGCCTGAAGGCAGGGGGCTAGATCAACTGATTTCCTGAGGCCTCACTAAGTTCTTTTTTTTTTTTTTTTTTAAGACAGAGTCTCACTCTGTCATCCAGGCTAAGATCTCAGCTCACTGCAACCTCCGCCTCCCAGGTGCAAGGGATTCTCCTGCCTCAGCCTTCCGAGTAGCTGGGACTACAGGCGCACAACAGCCACACGGGGCTAATTTTTGTATTTTTAGTAGAGACGGGGGTTTTACCATGTTGGCCAGGCTGGTCTCGAACTCCTGACCTCAAGTGATCTGCCTGCCTCGGCCTCCCCAAGTGCTGGGATTACAGGCATGAGCCACTGCGCTAAGTCCTAATACTAACAAAGCAGCCCACATTCTGCTCCCCAAACCCTGCCCCCACTATGTGGTGGACAGGAAATTATAGATGCCAAAGAAAAAGGCCGACCAGAAGGAGATTTCATTCCTCAGAGGCATGCTGGTGTACCTTGTACAACCTGTCACTGGCTAGGCACAAGGCAGCCACCACCTAAAGTGTCTATGTGTCTGTATATGACAGACACACACACACATACACAAGCACGCACATCCACACATGTACAAAGTATTCATCACCAGGGTCCTCTCCTCTGTGGTCACATTTCCACCTCCCCCCTCCACTCCTCTGCTAACACATTTACTTCCTTCTCCCCTCTTCTTCCCACTACTCCCTCCTCCAGCCCTATCTTCAAAAATATTTAGTCTTTCACACAGACAGCTGGTACTCAAGTAAGTTTTACAAATAACCTCACCCTTCAAAATGCAAGAAATAACCTGGGGCGGGGGGAAGTCATCATGGTAGAAAACTCAACCTGCCTCTGTCAAATGGTAACTTGGCTAATTAGAAGCTTCATCCCACCAGCGGTTTTCTTCAGAGGCCTGCAGGGGCCTCAGTGGAACAGATTCCAGTCAGATTCTTCTGCTGGCTCCCAGATACAAAAGGGGACAAATGGCAATACCTCCAAATTTCAAGTACCCCTGGCCAGTCAAACCAGAGGTTTCCTGGGCCCAGAACTACCAACTAACTCAAAGCCTGGGAACAAGGCTCATCTCTGTTTGGAATAGTTGTAATAAAAATTTAACCTGGAGGTGGGGGTGGGGACAAAAAGAGAAAAAGAGAGGAAGAATGATAAAGAACAGATGTCAGCTTTGCACTTCCAAGAAGAAGCAGGACAGGAATGAGGCAAGGAATACTTGGAGAGAAGGGTGAGGAGAAGGAAAAACAATTTTTAATGCTAGGGGCTTATGCCTGCCTGACTACACATGCTCACTGGTACCACACACAAGCACGTGCGTGCACATATGCACACACACACACTCATTCAGGAAACTCAAACTGGAAAGCAAATAAGAAGCCTTCAGCAACCTGCCTGACTTCACTAAACACTTCACAAAGTCAGCAGTAGCGGCGGCAGCAGCAAAAGGACCTTTAACAAAGAGTTCCTCTGACCTTACTTTCCCAGCCCCGTTATAAACTGGATCTCCCTCCCCCTGCTGTTACTCAAGCCAGCTGCAACCACCCAAAAGTCTGGCAAAGCAGCCCAAAAATCACTCTGGGTGCACTGGGAAAGCCTGAAGCCCTCACAGAAGGACAAAAATGAGCCCCAAGGGACCAGAGCTCATTTTACTTCCCCACTAGGCTGGCCAAGGTGCCCCCTCCTACCTCCCATGGACACACCCCAGCATAAGCCCTCCATTTCCAGGTCACCCATGTACATACACCATAGCACGCTCACCTCAGGTGTGGCTTACAGTCCACACACACACCTCTTGGCTCTCAAAGGCCTCCTCACAGTAATCCCAAAACAATTAGCAATGCTCCCATCCCTAGAGTGTAGAGCATTCTCAGCACACCCAGGAGACACGCCACAGTGCCCTAGAATCCAGCCGGCCACCTCCCCTAGAGACGAGACCTACACAGACTTCAAACAGTGGCTCGAGTACGAGGTATTACACCACAGAAAAAAAATCACTCCAAGGCTGGTACCAGACATACACAGAATATAGAGCTGTTTACGTTGAGTGATTTTGAGGGAAAGAGCAACTCACTTCTAATAAGCACGTATGTGCCACGCACACAACTAGTATGTGGTCCAGCTGAGGCTGGAACTAATCTGTAGGTTCCCAACTCAGTTGGCTTTTCACTGTACCAGCTAGCTGAGAGCTGAGCCTTAAGGAAACAGGACCCAGAATAACAAAATAGGTGAGGATTGCTGAGTAATGTAACAATGAGGGGTGCCCTCAGGTTTGTGTGCAGGGGAGGCCATCTGTCATTTAGCTTCTAAGGAGACCACTAAAAGGGAGAGGTGAGTAATTAAGACAAACTTTCTTATTTCCCAAGTCTATCAAGGACAGCCCCAAATCAGTACTACAAAATTGGTATCAAAGGTATTGGTCTTTTTAGGAAGTACATACTCTGTGATGACCACGAAGCAATGAATTCAGCTGGCATCTCTACAGACATCGCTCAAGAGGACGTTAAAGTCATCCAAGGACCAGCCCCAAACTCCCCAGAAAGCAGGTTCTTCCCCTGGACCCAAAGTAACCATAATCAGGTAACTCTACTCAACCGAAACTCACTCAAAGGCGAAGAAGAGTGTACATGTCCCCAGGATGAGGAAAAGGGTCAGGTAGAAAATGCCCTTTTGCCGGGCCATCATGACGCGGCCATCACAGCAAAAGGTGTTCCTGCCTGGGAGTTTCTCCCATTTCCGTGTCACCTTCTTTCTCACCACCATCACAGACATGATTGGAATTCCTGCTCCAAAATGGGTTTTGCGATTACACGAGAGAAGAAACAGAGGCTGAGCCCAGCTTTGAAATCACGTTGCCTGCTATTCCTGCCGCTGGGTCAAACATCATCAAAAGTCCAATTGCTAGCCCTAAGAAAAAGCAGAAAAAGAAAAAAAAATGAGGCAATAATAAGAAAATACAGTTCAACCCTCCTTTCCCAGAGACAGAAAGTTGAAAACTGACTGAAGGGGTGGGGACGGGGAAGTGGGAAAAGTTTATTTCCAATTCGTGTTTGTTCTCTAAAAGAAGGTATGATAAAAGGTTCTCAAAAAAGGAAAGGGGCTAGTATTTCTTCTTAAATAAGCCTCTATGCTTCCAATCTAATGCTGATGATCTGATCATCACAGAACCTTGGAACTAGAGAGGATTTTATAGGTGATCGTGCCAATTATTAATACTTTGTTTTGTAAATGAGTAAACTGAGGACCAGAGAGAGGAAATAACTTATCCAGGACCACACAGCAGCAATGCTGATACTGCTAACTTCCAGTCAAGGGCATGTTCCACTATGCCACAGTGTTCTTTCAACATCATTAAAAGGACTCTAAAAATAATAGTAGAGTTTCTGTCCTTATAAAACCTCCCTCCCTTCCTCCACTTCACCTTCTTTCTTCAATTAGCCACTCGAATATGAATCACAGCAGGGAACAAGTCACCCTCTGGCAGGGCCAGGAGGTTCTGGACGCTCTGTGCACATACGTGCATTGTATTTACACAAAACAGATTTCCCCTCATCAAACCCTCTGCAACTTCCTGAGTCCGGGAAATGAAACAATCTGGCTGGTCTAGCCTAACATTTGTGAGAATCTTAATGAAACCACATCAGAGACCTGTAGGTGAAAGGCTGACTTAAGCAGGAGAGATTCTGGAATGGTTGGTGACTGCTGATGGCTGGTTGGGGGGTGGGGAATGGCAGCAGCTAAGAAAAGTCACAAGGGCGCTTTCTGGGACATGTCCTAAGTACCATCTCTACTCAGCATCCTGAATTCCCAGGCCCAGAGTTTCTCAGCCTCTGCTACCCTTCTCCTCCGCTCAGGTGTGGTGTTGTGGCCTCTATTTACCGACACCACATGCCCCACGCTGGCAGGACTGAGGCGGAAGCCTGCAGCCCGACGGACGGAGGGAGAAACAGCCAACTCGCGGGCTGGAGAGGGCAAAGGTCCAAAAACAGCCTAGGAGCGGAGCAGGGAAACGAGAAGGTAGAAGGTTCGGGGAAGGGGAGGGGGGCCCAGAGGTGCAGAGAACCCGTCCTTTGTGTAAAACTAACCTGGAAGACAATCTCCTCCCGATAAACCGGCCCAGCGGGAGAAGGGAGACCAGGAAGGGGGAGCCGGCCTGGAAGAACAAAGATCAAAATCCGTCGGGAAGCAGCGACCGGCTCCCCAGCGGGGGGCCGGAGGCCGGAGGCCGGAGTCCGGGGCCGAGCCGCGGGCGCGGCCTCTCGAGGCCCGCCCTGACTCCGCCACGCCGCGGACCACCGCCCCAGGCAGGTTGGGACGCGCGCCACATCCACACGCACACGCAGCCACACGCTCGTACACACTCACACACGCCCCGCCACGTGTAGTCACCCCGGGCCAGGGGCTCGGCGGCTGCCGAGTTGAGAAGGGCGGTGCCGACGTCCCCGCCTCCAGGCGCCGCGGAAGGGGAGGCAGCCCACCCTGCAGCCGAGCCCAGGAGACCCCCGCCCCCACCCCTCGTTACCTGAACCACGGAGACCCAACTCGGCCGGCAGCTGACGGCAGGAAACGGACCGTCCCAGGGAATCACGTCGGCAGCCAAAGGTGGCAGCGACTTGTCCTCCCCGGGCCGGGAGGCTGTCTCCTCCTGACAAGGGGCCCCAGTGGTCGGGGCCCTAAACCAGCTGTGGCAACCGCCCACCACTGGCCAAATGGAACGCTCCTCACGTCACCAGGTCGCTCCAGTAGTTGCTCGCCCTCTATTGGCCGATCGGCCTCGGCGCCTCCGCCCCGGCCGCCCCTATCCCGAACTGCCATTGGTTTTGCCTAACGCCACTCGACGATGCCTCCGCCCACTCCTCCACCCATCTCCCTGCTGCATGCCCACCTGCCAAGCCACTGCCAGCCTCTCTTTGGGGTCTGAGCGCCAGTATGTGAAGTGTTGCCTTCTATTAATATAGTTACGCAGAGACGGAGGTTAAGGGTAGTGCCGATGGGACAGCAAAGGGTGGAACCAGCCTACACACACGCGCGCGCGCGCGCACACACACACACGCGCGCGCACACACACACACAGTGAGATGCTGAAGCAACACTAGCTCACAGATCCGGGTGCTCACCCCAAACTAGGTCTGCCATGGGCCTCTCCAGCCCTGCTTGCATTTTAAAATCAACCGCAACTTGAGATTTTACTCTTTATCGGCATAAAAACAAGTCATCTGCCTCCCAAGTCTCATTCAGTAGCCAGGGACCCCATATCTGTCCCAGTCACCCTAGCCTGCATCTCTAAGTCTTTCAAATCAAAACACACAAACAAGCATAAAAAGCATGTTGTAAAGGATAAATGTCCCCAAGAACGTATTATCATTTTGCAGCACCTAAAACAACTAATTGACATTAATGGAGTTAAAGAAACTCCACTGAGGACATAAATTCTTCCAGGTAGGTAATGAAGTAAAGATTGCCAAAAAGGTTGTAAATTTTTATTCGGTTTGGAAAGCTTATGATGATTAAGGGGAGAATCCAAGGCAGAATTCCCACCCACCAACCAGATTGATTTTTTCCTTCTGCCACCCAGCTCTGCATTACTGCCACCATGAGCCACTGCTACTGATCCGAGTGAGTTGCATGCATTAAAAGTTTGAGATTGGGCTGGGCGCGGTGGCTCACGCCTGTAATCCCAGCACTTTGGGAGGCCGAGGCAGGTGGATCACCTGAGGTCAGGAGTTCAAGACCAGCCTGGCCAACATGGCAAAACCCGTCTCTACTAGAAAGACAAAAGTTAGCGGGGAGCGGTGGGACTCGCCTGTAGTCCCAGCTACCAGGGAGGCTGAGGCAGGAGGATCACTTGAACCCAGGAGGTGAAGGTTGCAGTGAGCCAAGATCATGCCACTGCACTCCAGCCTGGGCGACAGAGAGAGACCCTGTCTTAAAAAAAAAAAAAAAAAAGTTTGAGATTGAAGGGGGGAAACAATTGAGAACCACAGTATTATACTATAGGGTGACTTTAAAAGACACTAGGTCTGTTTTCACCAGTATGGCTCCTGCCTTCCAAATATAAGAGGAAATATGAGAAAAGGTTGAAGGTGGCATCTCCTTTCCAAGTGTAAGAGGAGATAAGAGAAAAGGTTGAAGATTGGAGGAGAATGCCTACATTACCAGCCTAGGTTTTCCTAAGCGTGATAAAAATTTCAAAGTTTTAGAGATTTGGTATTTGGAATTAGTACAGAAGAGACTGCCAAAGCTCTTCCTAAGGCAGTTGTATGTTAGTTGAAGGACCACATACATGGTCAAGAACTATTTTTCCTTTACAGTATATGTGTCCCACACAATATGAAACAAAAAGCTACATAATAATTACATTTGACACTTTCATGGCACCCTTCAAAATTCTTAAAGGATTTAAAAAACACTAGGTAATTCTGAGATGTGTTGTAATTAACTTGCAAAGGAAGGTTTGTCTTTATAAAGCTTCCATTGTTCCTTAGCACTCATGCTGATTATGATCAACAGTTTATTCCTCATGAAGTGTACGATCAGTATCATTGCCTCCAATTCTCCCGCTTTGAATTCTGGAGGGTGCTGGTATTGCACACACTTGGTATGGGAGGGAGAAGAACTTCCCTAAACCTCATCAGCCCTGTGGATTTCCAAGCCTATGTATATCAGATGCCCTTAGGAATAGTATGGTCACCCCAGCTGCCATCCTTCTGACTATGGAGCAGTGAAAAATAAGCCTCTGTAGCACTCAAACATATTTTGTCCATAGCTCAGGTGCAGGTGAAGCCTGAGGAGTCCTGGAATCGATGTGTCATGGTGACACATTCCTGAGCTCTGTCCCTCCCTGCTCTGGGTCACATTCCCTCTCGGACTAAGTGGCTATGTGAGTCAGGCTTGTTTTATTACAATCTGTTATTATTTATTCTCAACACTCAAAGAAAAATAAGGAAAATTTATGTGGACAAACATCCCATAGTACTTCCTCCTATGTAGTTACATCATTTTATATAATCCTTAAAGTCTTAATACACACACACAACTAAATTGTGACTATAAACTGAGACTGTTTTTTCCTATTCTTTTCTCTTCTCTTTTCAACAGACTTCCCACTTTTTACATCCAAGTCAGTGTTGGCTCTTTTGAAAAGAGGTTATAGGCCGGGCACAGTGGCTCACGTCTGTAATCCCAGCACTATGGGAGGCCAAGGCAGGCAGATCACTTGAGGACAGGAGTTTGAGACCAGCCTGGCCAACATGGTGAAACCCTATCTCTAGCCAGGCATGGTGGCAGGTGCCTGTAATCCCAGCTACTCAGGAGGCTGAGCATGAGAATCACTTGAATCTGGGAGGCGGAGGTTGCAATGAGCCCAGATCGCTCCACTGCACTCCAGCCTGGACGACAGAGCGAGATTCCATCTAAGAGAGAGAGAGAGAGAGAGAGAGGGAGAGAAAGAAAGAAAGAAAGAAAGAGAGAGAAGAAAAGGGGTTATAGTCATGTGATGAGCACTAGAAACACCACAAAAATCAAGGTATAGCCTTCCAGTTTATAAGACAGCTCCTTGTGTTATCATGTATGTTCTGGAGTATTTGTTTAAAAATACCTGTCTCCACATTTATTCTTCATGTGTGTGTGTTTGTGTGTGTGTGTGTGTGTGTGTAGGCGTGTGTAGGTGTAGGTGTAATGTGCTGTTTGATCCTGAGTGCCACCACTGGGTTGAAGCTTTCCTGTTAGTGTTGCTTCAAAGACTCTTCTGTAACCACCCGGAGACCCATTCAGTACTACATCCAGGAGCAGACATAAAGCATCAGCCCCCATCCTGCTTTTGAGCTCATGATAGCTCCTTTATTCTCTATTTTCTGTAGCCTCAAACTTGTCATGTCACTTTGCCCTCCTCCCCACACACACAGCCCTTTCCACCCCACCTCTCTGACTTGCACATCTCTTTCTGCTTTCTGGCTATAAATGCATGTGTGTGTAGAACGAATTGATGAACAAAAGAATGAACCACGGAATGCCCTACCCACGCATGATGAGCTAGTATTCTTAAGCAACATCTGTTTCTCTGAGGCCTGGGCTGCTATCACTGACATAGAAGATCCAGGATGGTAGGTAGCTCAGAAAGCACATAAGCCTTATGGCCAGACAGGCCTCGGTTCAAATCCTGGCTCTGCTACGTAATAGCTTGTATAACCTGTGGCAAGTAATTTATCCTTTCTGAGACTATTTCTTCATCTGTAAAATAAAGCTAATACCTATATCATGGAGTTATAAAGGGAATTGTGTGCTAACTGTCTGGCATGGAAGAGAGACACAGTCAATGCTGTATGTTATAATGACATCTCCATTACTGCCCCCTCCCATCTCCCTCCCTTAGCCATCCTGCTGACTGGGGTAGAGAGGTAGAAAAAATGAGACCCATTCTTCACTGTATAGAGTCCTTGTCATCCATGTACCACCACGTTTTCATAACCTCTAAATTCATCACTGAATTGAATCCTTATCTGACTGGGTTTCCCAGCCCCCTACCCCACCTGGGACTGGGGAAAGCCTGGATAGTAATCTTGTTCTAGTAGAATGGCTGATCCTTAGCCTCCTCTTCTCAAGTAAATCATTGACATTCCTGCCACATTATCTGTTTCAACAGGCAAAAGGTAAATGGGATTGCTTTCACTGAGCACCTCCTATGTTCACAGCCCTGTGCTGAGATTGTTGGCTTCTCTTGGGAACTAAGCAGCACCTTAAAGATGTCCTCGCATGGCCAGGCGCGGTGGCTCACGCTTGTAATCCCAGAACTTTGGGGGGCTGAGGCGGGTGGATCACCTGAGGTCAGCAGTTCAAGACCAGCCTGACCAACACGGCGAAACCCCGACTCTAATAAAAACACAAAAATTGGCTGGGCTTGGTGGCAGGTGCCTATAATCCCAGCTACTTGGGAGGCTGAGGCACAACAATCGCTTCCACCCGGGAGACAAAGGTTGCAGTGGGCTGAGATTGCGCCACTGCACTCCAGCCTGGGCGACAGAGCAAGACTCCGTCTCAAAAACAAACAAAAAAGATACTTTTGCATGAAAGCCAAACATGCAGAAAGCCCCCCAAAAAACAGCCTGGGATGGCCAGGAAAGTGTTCATCACAATGCAAGTGAACTGCCCAAACGCAGGTCTCTGTTTCTGCCTCAGATGCCTGGCTGCTCCCACTGGTTCCCAATTTGACTTCATCTCTGGACTGTGGATTTCTGACTCTGCCTGGGATGGCTTTAGGTCCTATGCTTGAACCCTCAACAGTAGCCCTAAGACAATCCTCTCATTAAAAGAGAATCATAACAGCAATAGAAATCATTTATTGGGGACCTCCTCTGAGCCAGGGATTGTAGTAGGTGCTTTATACATTTAGATTCTCAGATTACGGTCTAAACTTGATGTGCAAGTGACAGCATCTGATACTGACCCGGCACAGCCCTAGTCTCTGACTCTGCCCAGCTCTCTCATTCCAAGAGCTCACCTCAATCACTGTGCAGCCCAAAAATAGAACCAGTTTATCAATCAATCATGAAGTATGTATTAAGCAACAGCCATAGTTTGCTCAGCCTGTACTAGGCAATATGGGAAATACCAAGGAAGTATATGACATGATCCCAGCCTCCAAGGAACTTAAAATATTCTAGGGGCAAAAAGACTAGCACCTATGAAGTCATTAAAGATAAATACAAAACAGTGCAGAGTCAAATTCTCAACTATGCATAGCAGAGTCTCCAACTTCTTAAGGAGATCTTGCCTCAAAGGGTTGTAGCTTCTCGAATACCATTGGTAGAGGAGTAAACTGGTAAAAATCTTTCAGCAGGGCTATTTGGCGGTATCTTTTAACATTTTTGCATTACACAACCACTGACCCAACAATCCTACTTCTATCTAGAAATACTCGCACAAATGTTCAAAGATATATGTTCAAAGATGTTCACTACACACATTGCAATTGTTTGTGAATGTGCATAATTGTGTATGTGTAATTGCAAAAATTAGCAAACAAAAAAGGCCATTAACTATTGGAAATCTACATAGTACAGTACTATGCAACTATTAAAAATAATGGTATATAACATTCATACAGAAAAGAGCAGACCACTGCCTTCCTATATGTGGGAATATTTCAATGGAAATTTTACATTAAAATATTTTCTTGAGGCCGGGCACACTAGCTCACGCCTGTAATCCCAGCACTTTGGGAGGCCGAGGCGCGTGGATTGCTTGGGGCCGGGAGTTTGAGACCAGCCTGGCCAACATGGTGAAACCCCGTCTCTACTAAAAATACAAAAATTAGCCAGGTGTGGTGGTGCGCACCTGTAGTCCCAGCTACTCGGGAGGCTGAGGCAGGGGAATCACTTGAATCTAGGAGGCGGAGGTTGCAGTGAGCCGAGATTGCGCCACTGCACTCCAGCCTGGTGACAGAGTGAGACTCCGTCTCAGAAAAAATAAAAAATAAAAAAAAATTTTTAAAAAAGCAGCTCTGGCTCTCCCTCTCCCTCTCCCTCTCCCCCCTCTCCCTCTCCCTCTCCCCCCTCTCCCTCTCCCTCTCCCCCCTCTCTCTCTCCCTCTCCCTCCTCTCCCTCTCCCTCTCCCCACGGTCTCCCTCTCCCTCTCTTTCCACCGTCTCCCACTGATGCCGAGCCAAAGCTGGACTGTACTGCTGCCATCTCGGCGCACTGCAGCCTCCCTGCCTGATTCTCCTGCCTCAGCCTGCCGAGTGCCTGCGATTGCAGGCGCGCGCCACCACGCCTGACTGGTTTTCGTATTTTTTTGGTGGAGACGGGGTTTCGCTGTGTTGGCCGGGCTGGTCTCCAGCTCCTAACCGCGAGTGATCCGCCAGCCTCGGCCTCCCGAGGTGCTGGGATTGCAGACGGAGTCTGGTTCACTCAGTGCTCAATGGTGCCCAGGCTGGAGTGCAGTGGCATGATCTCGGCTCGCTACAACCTCCACCTCCCAGCCGCCTGCCTTGGCCTCCCAAAGTGCCGAGATTGCAGCCTCTGCCCGGCCGCCACCCCGTCTGGGAAGTGAGGAGCGTCTCTGCCTGGACGCCCATCGTCTGGGACGTGAGGAGCCCCTCTGCCTGGCTACCCAGTCTGGAAAGTGAGGAGCGTCTCTGCCCGGCCGCCATCCCATCCAGGAAGTGAGGAGCGCCTCTCCCCGGCCGCCATCCCATCTAGGAAGTGAGGAGCGTCTCTGCCTGGCTGCCCATCGTCTGAGATGTGGGGAGCGCCTCTGCCCCGCCGCCCCGTCTGGGATGTGAGGAGCGCCTCTACCCAGCCGCAACCCTGTCTGGGAGGTGAGGAGCGTCTCTGCCCAGCCGCCCCGTCTGAGAAGTGAGGAGACCCTCCGCCTGGCAACGGCCCCATATGAGAAGTGAGGAGCCCCTCCGCCCGGCAGCCACCCCATCTGGGAAGTGAGGAGCGTCTCTGCCCGGCAGCCACCCCATCCGGGAGGGAGGTGGGGGTCAGCCCCCGCCAGGCCAGCCGCCCCGTCCGGGAGGGAGGTGGGGAGGGTCAGCCCCCCGCCCGGCCAGCCGCCCCATCCGGGAGGTGAGGGGCGCCTCTGCCCGGCTGCCCCTACTGGGAAGTGAGGAGCCCCTCTGCCCGGCCAGCCGCCCCGTCTGGGAAGGAGGTGGGGGGGTCAGCCCCCCGCCCGGCCAGCCGCCCCATCCGGGAGGGAGGTGGGGGTGTGAGCCCCCCGCCCGGCCAGCAGCCCCGTCCGGGAGGGAGGTGGGGGAGTCAGCCCCCTGCCCGGCCAGCCGCCCCGTCCGGGAGGTGAGGGGCGCCTCTGCCCAGCCGCCCCTACTGGGAAGTGAGCAGCCCCTCTGCCCGGCCAGCCGCCCCGTCCAGGAGGGAGATGGGGGGGTCAGCCCCCCGCCCGGCCAGCCGCCCCGTCCGGGAGGGAGGTGGGGGGTTCAGCCCCCCCGCCCGGCCAGCCGCCCCGTCCGGGAGGGAGGTGGGGGGGTCAGCCCCCCGCCCGGCCAGCCGCCCTGTCCGGGAGGGAGGTGGGGGGTTCAGCCCCCCCGCCCGGCCAGCCGCCCCTTCCGGGAGGGAGGTGGGGGTGTGAGCCCCCCGCCCGGCCAGCCGCCCCGTCCGGGAGGGAGGTGGGGGGGGTCAGCCCCCCACCCGGCCAGCCGCCCCGCCCGGGAGGGAGGTGGGGGGGTCAGCCCCCCACCCGGCCAGCCGCCCGGTCTGGGAGGTGAGGGGCGCCTCTGCCCGGCCGCCCCTACTGGGAAGTGAGGAGCCCCTCTGCCCAGCCACCACCCCGTCTGGGAGGTGTACCCAACAGCTCATTGAGAACGGGCCATGATGACAGTGGCGGTTTTGTGGAATAGAAAGGAGGTAAAGGCGGGGAAAGGATTGAGAAATCGGATGGTTGCCATGTCTGTGTAGAAAGAGGTAGACACGGGAGACTTTTCATTTTGTTCTGTACTAAGAAAAATTCTTCTGCCTTGTGATCCTGTTGATCGGTGACCTTACCCCCAACCCTGTGCTCTCTGAAACATGTGCTGTGTCCACTCAGGGTTAAATGGATTAAGGGTGGTGCAAGATGTGCTTTGTTAAACAGATGCTTGAAGGCAGCATGCTCGTTAAGAGTCATCACCACTCCCTAATCTCAAGTACCCAGGGACACAAACACTGCGGAAGGCCGCAGGGTCCTCTGCATAGGAAAACCAGAGACCTTTGTTCACTTGTTTATCTGCTGACCCTCCCTCCACTATTGTCCTATGACCCTGCCAAATCCCCCTCTGTGAGAAACACCCAAGAATGATCAATAAAAATAAATAAATAAATAAATAAATAAATAAATAAATAAATAAAAGAAAAAAAGAAAAAAAAAAGAAGCTCTGGATGCATATAGGCAGGAGCAGAAAGGCAAGAAGGGGGCCTCAGAGCAAAAGAAGAAGGACAAAGACAAAAAAACAGACTCGGAAGAGCAAGACAAGAGCAGAGATGAGAACAATGATGAAGATGAAGAAAGGCTGGAAGAAGAACAGAACGAAGAGGAAGAAGTAGACAACTGAATAGGGCAGGAGACTGTGGCATCTTGGAAGGTACCACTTGAGATGAGATGTGCTACATGTTTCTGTGAAGCTTTTTCATGCTGGGCAGAGTAGTCTCAGGCAGAAGTGCCTGAAAAGATCAGAATAAAAACTGACTAGAAATACCATCAAAACCAGCACTTCCTAAACTCAAAGCATCTGAGTAGCAGAATCCTGTTTTACTTCATCAACCTCAAGGTTATGACTTTTTGGCAAAAGGGATTCTGAACGGCTAAATTAGTCAGTTTGATCACTTTTGGTTACTTATTTGTATGGTTAGGTGGTTTTTGATCCGCAGTCTTTCCTATTCCCCCAAATAAGTAATAATAACTTCCATGCTGCCTGATGTGTTCCAGATCACAGAGGCAGCCAAAGCTCAGGAAAATTGGGGCTTTGCTTATGGTCAGCCTATGTTTGATTGCACAGTCTTTGACAATAGTAGCTTACTAAGACTGGTCAGAATGAGTAAGCTTTAGGAAACTACTAAAATGCTGTGGGATAATAACAAAATCTGTTCTGTCTCTTCACTTGACAGAAGCGTTAACTGAATTTTGTTTTTCATAGACCCACTTGGCTCAAAACCTTTCTAAATTGCCTGTAGATAATTCGACCTGCTGGGGTGGGGGTAATCTGGTCACAAATGTTCTTAAATCAGCAGTTTAAAATGGTATTCGTCAAGCAAGGGTGCCAGTGTCTTACTTTTACAAAAACAGATGGCATAGTGTCACATGTATCTTACTCTCTGCTACTGTACAGCTTTGGGATTTGTCATCACCTGCTGGAAGGTGTAAAACCCCAGGCTTCCTCTTCTTGAAGTCCATCTCCCAGACTTGTGACTATGGCTTTTCATTCTTCAATTCATGATGAGTTCCAAACTTTATTTCCTCTAGGCACAGCTTCCTCCCTCTGCGCCTCTTACTTCCTTTCTCTCTTCTGCCTCTCCTCTGCTCCCCATCCCACTTTCTGCTCTCCCTCCTTTTCTCACTTATGTCAGTCTAGGAGCTTTGATTACCTGCTTAGTACTCCAAAGTGTGAGTTCCTCTGATCTCTTGATTCCTTGGTTCTAATCTCATCATGCTTTTTGTTGTTGTTGTTGTTGCTGTTTGTTTGTTTGTTTGTTTGTTTTTGAGATGGAGTCTTGCTCTGTAGCCAGGCTGGAGTGCAGTGGCATGATCTCAGCTCACTGTAACCTCCACCTCCTGGGTTCAAGTGATTCCCCTACCTCAGCCTCTCAAGTAGCTGGGACTACAGGTGCGCACCAGCATGTCCAGCTAATTTTTTGCATTTTAGTAGAGACAGGGTTTCACCATGTTGGCCAGGATGGTCTCAATCTCCTGACCTCATGATCCACCCGCCTCGGCCTCCCAAAGTGCTGGGATTACAGGCGTAAGCCACCATGCCCGGCCTTGTTTATTTATTTATTTATTTAATTATACTTTAAGTTCTAGGGTACATGTGCACAACGTGCAGGTTTGTTACAAATGTATACATGTGCCATGTTGGTGTGCTGCACCCATTAACTTGTCATTTATATTAGGTATATCTCTTAATGCCATCCCTCCCCCCTCCCCCCACCCCACGACAGGCCCTGGTGTGTGATGTTCCCCTTCCTGTGTCCAAGTGTTCTCATTGGTCAGTTCCCACCTATGAGGGAGAACATGCAGTGTTTCATTTTCTGTCCTTGCGATAGTTTGCTGAGAATGAAGGTTTCCAGCTTCATCCATGTCCCTACAACGGACATGAACTCATCCTTTTTATGGCTGCATAGTATTCCATGGTGTATATGTGCCACATTTTCTTAATCCAGTCTATCATTGATGGACATTTGGGTTGGTTCCAAGTCTTTGCTATTGTGAATAGTGCTGCAATAAACATACGTGTGCATGGGTCTTTATAGCAGCATGATTTATAATCCTTTGGGTATATACCCAGTAATGGGATTGCTGGGTCAAATGGTATTTTAGTTCTAGATCCTTGAGGAATCACCACACTGTCTTCCACAATGGTTGAACTAGTTTACACTGCCACCAACAGTGTAAAAGTGTTCCTATTTCTCCACATCCTCTCCAGCACCTGTTGTTTCCTGACTTTTTAATGATCGCCATTCTAACTGGTGTGAGATGGTATCTCATTGTGGTTTTGATTTGCATTTCTCTGATGCCCAGTGATGATGACCTTTTTTTCATGTGTCTTTTGGCTGCATAAATGTCTTCTTTTGAGAAGAGTCTGTTCGCGTCCTTCGCCTACTTTTTGATGGGGTTGTTTGATTTTTTTTCTTGTAAATTTGTTTAAGTTCTTTGTAGATTCTGGATATTAGCCCTTTGTCAGATGGGTAGATTGCAAAAATTTTCTCCCATTCTGTAGGTTGCCTACTCACTCTGATGGTAGTTTCTTTTGCTGTGCAGAAGCTCTTTAGTTTAATTAGATCCCATTTGTCAGTTTTGGGTTTTGTTGCCATTGATTTTGGTGTTTTAGATATGAAGTCCTTGCCCATGCCTATGTCCTGAATGGTATTCCTAGGTTTTCTTCTAGGGATTTTATGGTTTTAGGTCTAACATTTAAGTCTTTAATCCATCTTGAATTAATTTTTGTATAAGGTATAAGGAAGGGATCCAGTTTCAGCTTTCTACATATGGCTAGCCAGTTTTCCCAGCACCATTTATTAAATAGGGAATCCTTTCCCCATTTCTTGTTTTTTTCAGGTTTGTCAAAAATCAGATGGTTGTAGATGTGTGGTGTTATTTCTGAGGCCTCTGTTCTGTTCCACTGGTCTATATCTCTGTTTTGGAACCAGTACCATGCTGTTTTGGTTACTGTAGCCTTGTAGTATAGTTTGAAGTCAGGTAGCATGATGCCTCCAGCTATGTTCTTTTTGCTTAGGATTGTCTTGGCAATGCGGGCTCTTTTTTGGTTCCGTATGAACTTTAAAGTAATTTTTTCCAATTCTGTGAAGAAAGTCCTTGGTAGCTTGATGGGGATGGCATTGAATCCATAAATTACCTTGGGCAGTATGGCCATTTTCATGATATTGATTCTTCCTATCCATGAGCATGGAATGTTCTTCCATTTGTTTGTGTCCTCTTTTATTTCGTTGAGCAGTGGTTTGTAGTTCTCCTTGAAGAGGTCCTTCACATCCCTTGTAAGTTGGATTCCTAGATATTTTATTCTCTTTGAAGCAATTGTGAATGGGAGTTCACTCATGATTTGGCTCTCTGGTTGTTATTGGTGTATAGGAATGCTTGTGATTTTTGCACATTGATTTTGTATCCTGAGACTTTGCTGAAGTTGCTTATCAGCTTAAGGAGATTTTGGGCTGAGATGATGGGGTTTTCTAAATATCCAATCATGTCATCTGCAAACAGGGACAATTTGACTTCCTCTTTTCCTAATTGAATACCCTTTATTTCTTTCTCCTGCCTGATTGCCCTGGCCAGAACTTCCAACACTGTGTTGAATAGGAGTGGTGAGAGGGCATCCCTGTCTTGTGCCAGTTTTCAAAGGGAATGCTTCCAGTTTTTGCCCATTCAGTATGATATTGGTTGTGGGTTTGTCATAAATAGCTCTTATTATTTTGAGATACATCCCATCAATACCTAATTTATTGAGATTTTTTAGCATGAAGGGCTGTTGAATTTTGTCAAAGGCCTTTTCTGCATCTATTGAGATAATCATGTGGTTTTTGTCTTTGGTTCTGTTTATATGATGGATTACGTTTATTGATTTGCATATGTTGAACCAGCCTTGCATCCCAGGGATGAAGCCCACTTGATCATGGTGGATAAGCTTTTTGATGTGTTGCTGGATTTGGTTTGCCAGTATTTTATTGAGGATATTTGCATCGATATTCATCAGGGATATTGGTCTAAAATTCCCTTTTTTTGTTGTGTCTCTGTCAGGCTTTGGTATCAGGATGATGCTGGCCTCATAAAATGAGTTAGGGAGGATTCCCTCTTTTTCTATTGATTGGAATAGTTTCAGAAGGAATGGTACCTGTTCCTCCTTGTACCTCTGGTAGAATTCGGCTGTGAATCCATCTGGTCCTGGACGTTTTTTGGTTGGTAAGCTATTAATTATTGCCTCAATTTCAGAGCCTGTTATTGGTCTATTCAGAGATTCAACTTCTTCCTGGTTTAGTCTTGGGAGGGTGTATGTGTCCAGGAATTTATCTGTATCTTCTAGATTTTCTAGTTTATTTGCATAGAGGTGTTTATGGTATTCTCTGATGGTAGTTTGTATTTCTGTGGGATCGGTGGTGATAACACCTTTAGCATTTTTATTGCATCTATTTGATTCTTCTCTCTTTTCTTCTTTATTAGTCTTGCTAGCAGTCTATCAATTTTGGTGATCTTTTCAAAAAACCAGCTCCTGGATTCATTGATTTTTTGAAGGGTTTTTTTGTGTCTCTATCTCCTTCAGTTCTGCTCTGATCTTAGTTATTTCTTGCCTTCTGCTAGCTTTTGAATGTGTTTGCTCTTGCTTCTCTAGTTCTTTTAATTGTGATGTTAGGGTGTCAATTTTAGATCTTTCCTGCTTTCTCTTGTGGGCATTTAGTGCCATAAATGTCCCTCTACACACTGCTTTAAATGTGTCCCAGAGATTCTGGTATGTTGTGTCTTTGTTCTCGTTGGTTTCAAAGAACATCTTTATTTCTGCCTTCATTTTGTTATGTACCCAGTAGTCATTCAGGAGCAGGTTGTTCAGTTTCCATGTAGTTGAGTGATTTTGAGTGAGTTTCTTCATCCTGAGTTCTAGTTTGATTGCACTGTGGTCTGAGAGACAGTTTGTTATAATTTCTGTTCTTTTACATTTGCTGAGGAGTGCTTTACTTCCAACTATGTGGTCAATTTTGGAATAAGTGCGATGTGGTGCTGAGAAGAATGTATATTCTGTTGATTTAGGCTGGAGAGTTCGGTAGATGTCTATTAGGTCCACTTGGTACAGAGCTGAGTTCAATTCCTGGATATCCTTGTTAACTTTCTGTCTCGTTGATCTGTCTAATGTTGACAGTGGGGTGTTAAAGTCTCCCATTATTATTGTGTGGGAATCTAAGTCTCTTTGTAGGCCTCTAAGGACTTGCTTTATGAATCTGGGTGCTCCTGTATTGGATGCATATATATTTAGGATAGTTAGCTCTTCTTGTTGAATTGATCCCTTTACCATTATGTAATGGCCTTCTTTGTCTCTTCTGATCTTTGTTGGTTGAAAGTCTGTTTTATCAGAAACTAGGATTGCAATCCCTCCTTTTTTTTTGTTTTGCATTTGCTTGGTAGATCTTCCTCCATCCCTTTATTTTGAGCCTATATGTGTCTCTGCACGTGAGATGGGTTTCCTGAATACAGCACACTGATGGGTCTTGACTCTTTATCCAATTTGCCAGTCTGTGTCTTTTAATTGGAACATTTAGTCCATTTACATTTAAGGTTAATATTGTTATGTGTGATTTTGATCCTGTCATTATGATGTTAGCTGGTTATTTTGCTCGTTAGTTGATGCAGTTTCTTCCTAGTATCGATGGTCTTTACAATTTGGCATGTTTTTGCAGTGGCTGGTACCGGTTGTTCCTTTCCATGTTTAGTGCTTCCTTCAGGAGCTCTTGTAAGGCAGGCCTGGTGGTGACAAAATCTCTCAGCATTTGCTTGTCTGTAAAGGATTTTATTTCTCCTTCACTTATGAAGCTGAGTTTGGCTGGATATGAAATTCTGGGTTGAAAATTCTTTTCTTTAAGAATGTTGAATATTGGCCCCCACTCTCTTCTGGCTTGTAGAGTTTCTGCCGAGAGATCTGCTGTTAGTCTGATGGGCTTCCCTTTGTGGGTAACCTGAAATTTCTCTCTGGCTCCCCTTAACATTTTTTCCTTCATTTCATCTTTGGTGAATCTGACAATTACTTGTCTTGGAGTTGCTCTTCTTGAGGAGTATCTTTGTGGCGTTCTCTGTATTTCCTGAATTTGAATTTTGGCCTGCCTTGCTAGTTTGTGGAAGTTCTCCTGGATTATATCCTGCAGAGTGTTCTCCAACTTGGTTCCGTTCCCTGTCTCTTTCAGGTACACCAATCAGACGT
This sequence comes from Homo sapiens, assembly GCF_000001405.40. Lineage (NCBI taxonomy): Eukaryota > Metazoa > Chordata > Mammalia > Primates > Hominidae > Homo > Homo sapiens. Next base: position 129,858,294 of record NC_000023.11, read on the forward strand.
AGATTTGGTCTTTTCACATAGTCCCATATTTCTTGGAGGCTTTGTTCATTTGTTTTTACTCTTTTTTCTCTAAACTTCTCTTCTTGCTTCATTTCATTCATTTGATCTTCTATCACTGATACCCTTTCTTCCAGTTGATTGAATCGGCTCCTGAAGCTTGTGCACGCATCATGTAGTTCTCATGCCATGGTTTTCAGCTCCATCAGGTCATTTAAGGACTTCTCTACACTGATTATTCTAGTTAGCCATTTGCCTAATCTTTTTTCCGGGTTTTTAGCTTCTTTGCGATGGGTTCGAACATCCTCCTTTAGCTCAGAGATGTTTGATTGTCTGAAGCCTTCTTCTCTCAACTTGTCAAAGTCATTCTCCATCCAGCTTTGTTCCATTGCTGGTGAGGAGCTGCATTCCTTTGGAGGAGAAGAGGCACTCTGATTTTTAGAATTTTCAGCTTTTCTGCTCTGGATTCCCCCCATCTTTGTGGTTTATCTACCTTTGGTCTTTGATGATGGTGACGTACAGATGGGGTTTTGGTGTGGTTGTCCTTTCTGTTAGTTAGTTTTCCTTCTAACAGTCAGGACCCTTAGCTGCAGGTCTGTTGGAGTTTGCTGGAGGTCCACTCCAGACCCTGTTTGCCTGGGTATCACCAGTGGAGGCTGCAGAACAGCAAATATTGCAGAATAGCAAATGTTGCTGCCTGATCATTCCTCTGGAAGCTTCGTCTCAGAGGGGCACCCGGCCGTGTGAGATGTCTGTAGGCCCCTATTGGGAGGTGCCTCCCAGTTAGGCTACTCGGGGGTCAGGGACCCACTTGAGGAGGCAGTCTGTCTGTTCTCAGATCTTAAACTCCATGCTGGGAGAACCACTACTCTCTTCAAAGCTGTCAGACAGGGACATTTAAGTCTGCAGAAGTTTCTGCTGCCTTTTGTTCAGCTATGCCCTGCCCCCAGAGGTGGAGTCTACAGAAGCAGGCAGGCCTCCTTGAGCTGCGGTGGGCTCCACCCAGTTCGAGCTTCCCGGCAGCTTTGTTTACCTACTCAAGCCTCAGCAATGGCTGGCGCCCCTCCGCCATATTTATTTATTTTTTTAAGAGATAGGGTCTCTCTCTCACTCTGGCCCAGGGTGGAGTACAGTGGCATGATCATAGCTCACTGCCTGCTTGAACTCCTGGGCTCAAGTCATCCTCCTGCCTGAGCCTCCCGAGTATCTGGGACTACAGATGCATGCCACCAAGCCCAGCTAATTTTGTCTCATGTCTACTAAAAATTATTTTGTGAAGGCCCTCTGAACCTTAAGGGAAATCTGATGTTGCTCAGGAATCTAACTCTCCCCAAACCATCCTCTTTGACTGCTTCTAAAATATCTCTGTTGGCCTTTCTTAGCCTTTTTCTGTTTCCATTCAGTGCTCCAAGCACTTTTTGTTTGTCTCTAAGTTGAACGCTTGGGGCTTGACAGGTAGTAACATGTAGTTTGACACTGTTAACTTGTTAAATAAATATAGTGAAAAGTTTGTGAATAAAGAATGCTGAGAAGATTCTTTATTCACAAAGATGCTTTGTACAAATAAAGAACACTCTTGTTAAAAATATATATATATTTTCTCAATAATTAACTATCTATGTGCCGACAGGCAAGTGTCCCCTAAATATTAAGTCTAAACATTTATATTAATAAAATACAACTTTTAGGCCAGGTGCAGTGGCTTGCACCTGTAATCCCAGTACTTTGGGAGGCCGAGGTGAGCAGATCACCTCTTGACAAGAGTTTGGGACCACCCTGGCCAACATGGTGAAACCCCGCCTCTACTAGAAATACAAAAATTAGCCAGGCGTGGTTGTGCATGCCTGTAATCCCAGCTACTCGGGAGGCTGAGGCAGGAGAATCACTTGAACACAGGAGGCGGAGGCTGCAATGGGCCCAGATCATGCACTCCAGCTTGGGCGACAGAGCAAGATTCCATCTTCATAAAAAAAAAAAAAAAGAAAAAGAAAAACAACAACAACAACAACGACAACGACAACAAAAGAACTAACACAGGAAGTGGGCTTTAAGAAGAATGGACTTTATTCTAAGCAATAGACAAAATAAGGAAGAAGCTGGAAGATAGCAGAGATATGGTAAAGAAGGCATATATCTAGCTTAACTACAAAAAAAGGCAATCAAGAATGCCATTTTCTAATAATAAAGGCAGCTAGAATATGGAATGATATAGAGTTATTGATGGAGGTTGTGACATTGGAACTATAAAGAAGAAAATGCAATCAAGGCACATCCCTTGGCTTTACACTGAAAAATATTTATATAATTATAACAATGTAAATACTATCTTTATTGGTTTTCAACTTTTGGAATCTAACCTAGAGACAAATCACAGGAAATTTAACTATGATTACAAAGTATAAAGGAAATGTTAAAAACTTAATATAAAAGCATAGCTTACAGAAGTTGGAAAATAGAATGAGGGGAGGTGGAAGGATGTGTAGCGGCACTAATACTCTAATTTTAGAAAGTGTACAATTAAGAGATATTATCTATAGATGAACAAGAAATAGAGGTTTATGTACCTTATATAAAGGCACAAAGAGACCAGGCACAGTGGCTCATGCCTGTAATCACAGGGCTTTTGGAGCCTGAGGTGGTGGATTGCTGGAGCCCAGGAGTTCAAGACTAGCCTGGGCAACATGGCGACACTTGTCTCTAAAAAAAATCAAAAAATTAGCTGGGCATGGTGATGCAAGTCTGTCACCCCAGCTACTCAGAAGGCTGAGATGGGAGGATCACTTGAGCCCAGGAAGTCGAGGCTGCAGTGAGCTATGATCACATAACTGCACTCCAGCCTGGGCAACAGAGCAAGACTTTGTCTCAAAAAAAAAAAAAGGCACAAAGATAACCAAAAAGGCATGCAAACAAAAAGATACCATTAGAATGATTGCCTCTGGGGAAAGGACCTAAACAGAGAAACTAAAACTAGTGATGTATTAGCAGGAAGAAAAAGGCAGTGCTGCAGCAGAAGTGAGCTAAATCCCCACCTATCAGAGCAGCTCAATAGAGGATGTCTAGAGCTGGTAAACCAAGGAAGGATTCAGAAAAAATGGATTATTGCAACATTCCCCTTACTGGTCTCCCTGCTTCCTCCCTAACCCCCTTTTAGTCTGTTATTCACAGAGCAGCTAGAGAGATTCTTTTGAAACCTACCTCCACCCATGACTTGTCCAATGGCTTGCTATCTCACTCAGAACAAAAGCCAAAGCCATAACAATGGTTTACTAGGCCTTATGCCATCATCTGCCTCACCATCCCCCGACCCCTGCAGCTCCTGCTACTCCCCCTTGCTCATTTCACACCAGCCCCAGGAGCCTCCTTGCTGTTCCTTGAACAAACTGGACATGTTCCCACCTCAGGACCTTGGCACCAGCTGTTCTTTCTGCCTAGAATTATCCTTCCCCAGACATTTGCATGACTTTCTCTATCACCTTCTTCAGGTCCTTACTCAAATGTCGACTTCTCAGAGAGGTTTTCCCTGGCTACTCTATTTGTTTTTGTTTTTGAGACAGAGTCTCACTCTGTCACCCAGGCTGGATTGCAGTGCTGCAATCTTGGCTCACTGCAACTTCCACCTCCCAGGTTCAAGCGATTCTCCTGCCTCAGCCTCCCAAGTAACTGGGATTACAGGCACCTGCCACCATGCCCGGCTATTTTTTGTACTTTTAGTAGAGATGGGGTTTCGCCACGTTGGCCAGGCTGGTCTCAAACTCCCGACCTCAGGTGATCCACCTGCCTCGGCCTCCCAAAGTGCTGGGATTACAGGCTTGAGCCACCACGCCAGCCAAGAGCAGAGATTTTCATCCGTTTTGTTGGCTGTTCCATGCCCAGTGTTTAGAACAGTGACTGGCACACAGTAGGTACTTGCTATGGGTTGAATAGTGTCCCCCAAAATTCATGTACTGAAATGCCAGTACCTCAGTATGAAACTATGTTTGGAGATAAGGTCTTCACTAAGGTGATTAAATTAAACTGAGGCCATTGGGGTATGGCCCTGCTCCAATATGACTAGTGTCCTTAGAAGAGGAAGAGACACCAGGGACACACATGCATAGAGGGACAACCAGGTTCGGAGGCAGCAAGACAGCAACCATCTGCAAGCCAAGGAGAGAGGCCTGGAACAGATCCTTCCCTGGTGGCCCTCAAAGGAAACCAGCCCTGCCAGCACCTTGATCTTGAACTTGCAGCCTCCAGAATGGTGAGAAAATTAATTTCTATTGTTTAAGCCACCCAGTGGTATTTTGTGATGGCAGCCCGAGCAAACAAACACAGTGCTCAACTAATATATTGTTTAAGTAAATGGATAAACAGGTGAATGTATATGGCAGAAATCATTAGAAAAACCCAAACCAGAAACAGTTAAGTGGCAGTTCTTAGGGAATGGGACTACAGGTAGGCAGGGGCAAGGCAGGAGATAGTTGCTTTCTATTATGAGTGATTTTTATTTACATAAATGCATTATTATCATGATTATTATTATTATTATTTTCAAGATGGGTCTTGCTGTGTCACCCAGGCTGGAGTGCAATGGTGCAATCATGGCTCACTGCAACCTCAACCTCCCAGGTTCAAGCCATCGTCCCACCTCAGCTTCCTGAGTAACTGGGACTACAGATGCATGCCACCATGCCCAGCTAATTTTTTAAAAATTTTTTGTAGAGATGGGGGTCTTGCTATGTTGCCCAAGCTGGTATTGAACTCCTGGGCTCAAGCAATCCACCCTCCTCAGCCTCCCAAAGTGCTAGAATTATAGGCGGGAGCCACCTTACCCAGCCCAATGCATTATTTTGATAAAGATTTTTAAATGTTAATTTTTTGAGACAGGGTCTTGCTGTGTTCCCCAGGCTGGAGTGCAGTGACTATTCACAGGCTCAATCATGGCGCACTACAGCCTTTAATTCCTGGGCTCGAGATCCTCCCACCCCAGCCTCTGGAGTACCTGGGACTACAGATGAGCACCACCACATCCAGTTTAGATGTTAATTTTTTAAAGGAGTTTTTTGGGAGGCCGAGGCAGGCGGATCACCTGAGGTCGGGAGTTCGAGACCAGCCTGACCAACATGGAGAAACCCCATCTCTACTGAAAATACAAAAATAGCTGGGCAAGAGCAAAATTCCGTCTCCAAAAAAAAAAAAAAAAAAAAAAATGTGGGGGGAATTTACAATTTCCAGAACAAAACATAGGTTTGTGAGGTTTTATATTAGTGGTTCCCCATGAGGGTGATTTTGCCCCCTTCCGAAGGGATATTTGCCAATGTCTAAAGACATTTTTGGGAGAGTGTTACTGGCATCAAAGATGCTGCTAAGCATCTTATAATGCACAGGACAGCTTGCCGCAACAAGGAGTTATTCAAACCAGAATGCCAATAGGGGCAAGGCTAAGGAACCCTGCTTTAAATAAATGTGTGGATCATAGATGCATAACAAGTTATTACGGAGCGTTATGACTGTTTAGTAAATAGAGTCAACCTGTGAGAAGAACATGATGTAGGAAACCCACCATACTATCCCACAATCCATTTTTTTTTTTTTTTTTTGAGACAGAGTCTTACTCTGTCACCCAGGCTGGAGTGCAATGGCAAGATCTCGGCTCACTGCTACCTCCACCTCCCGGGTTCAAGTGATTCTCCTGCCTCAGCCTCCCGAGTAGCTGGAATTACAGGCACATGCCACCATGCCTGGCTAATTTTTGTATTTTTAGTAGAGACAGGGTTTCACCATGTTGGCCAGGCTGGTCTCGAACTCCTGGCCTCAAGTGATCCACCCACCTCGACCTCCCAAAGTGCTGGGATTATAGGCGTGAGCCACCGCGCCCAGACCCACAATCCATTCTTTAGTGCCTCAGAGAAAAATTCTAGACCAAGTGATAGTTCCAACAGCAGTGCTAGGAATATAGGAAGCATAGTAAATACAGAGTTCTTTACTGACTTCTGTCCACAGGTCCTATATAAGCCTTCATTATCTACAAATGCAAATCCCATATTACCTCACTCTCCCTTCACTGCCTCCTCCTGTCAATCTAATGCCTCCCCTTGCTCTTCACGAGTCAACACTCAACACTACCGTCTTTCTTTTATCCCAAACCCCAATTCCAACATTTCTCCCAGACCACAACTCATGCTGTAATACCTTCTCTGCATCTCCTTTCTGTCATTTACACAGCACCTCTTTGATGAAATCCTCTCCAACTTCTTGGAAAAGAGTGAATAATTTCTCCCTGATTCCATCTTGCATAAAACCACAACCCCCTCCTTGCTCAACAACCTACCAAAAGCACCTACTTTTTTACACATATGCACTAAATAAATATTAAACTTCTGGATGTGTTAGGTGTTTGGGTTCTTGTACACTCATGATAAAGGTGTCTGTGTTCATGTTATGTCCAGCTAGAAGTAGTTTAGACAAATGTCTGCTGATCCGGTCTGGGAATATGGTTTCTAAGGAGGAGTTTGAGAAGGAACAAGAGTGGTCACTGTTCCATGCTACTACTCGGAACATTAGTTTTTCACCTTGAAGAGCAACATTTTTTGCTGCCAGATACTGAGAGCTTGCTAAGGAGGGGGAAATGTCTTGTTCCAGAATCAATGCACTGTGGAATATTTGTAAAAGGAAACGTAAGAAACTTGTAATAGTGGTTACCTTCAGGGGAAGGAACTGGAGAACTTGGAGATAAGGGAGAAAGAGAGACCTAATTTTCAGTGTATGCCCTTTGATAACTTTGGAACTTTGCTCCATGTGCCTATATTAGCTATACAAAAATATTAATTTTTATATCAGTATATTGTACAAAACTATACTTGTTTTTTTGAGACAGAGTCTTGCTCTTGTTGCCCAGGCTGGGGTGCAGTGGCACGATCTCAGCTCACTGCAACCTCTGCCTGCTGGATTCAAGCAATTCTCCTGCCTCAGCCTCCCAAGTAGCTGGGATTACAGGCAAGTCTCAACACACCCAGCTAATTTTTGTATTTTTAGTAGAGATGGGATTTCACCATGTTGGCCAAGCTGGTCTTGAACTCCTGACCTCAGGTGATCCGCTCATCTTGGCCTCCCAAAGTGCTGGGATTACAGGCGTGAGCCACTGTGCCCGGCTGAGCTATAGTATTTGGATCTTAAGCCAAACCTCTGCACAGCTACAATTGGATATAATATTATCATATTTCTTATATTTAAAACTGAGGTATTAAATATGTATTTCAGCAATCTATTAGACTCTGAATCCCACACAGTGAAAAAACTAAAAAGAAATTAGGTCAGGTGTGGTGTTTCACAACTGTAATCCCAGCAGTTTGGAAGGCCAAGGCAAGTGGATCACTTGAGCCAAGGAGTTCGGTATCAGTCTGGGCAATGTGGCGAGATCCCTATCTCTACAAAAAAGTCAAAAAATTAGCTGGGCATGGTGGTGCACACCTGTAGTCTCAGCTACTTGGGAGGCTGAACTGGGAGGATTGCTTGAGCCTGGGAGGATCGTTTGAGCCCAGGAGGTCAAGGCTGCAGTCAGCTATAATCACACCACTGTACTCCCACCCAGGAAACAGAGGGAGATTCTGTCTCAAAAAATAAATAAATAAGGATAATTGGAGGTGTGAAAAAGTTGCAGTGACAAAATTTTAAGTACATTTCAATGTACGATATATAATTGATTGATCAGGAGTTTTAAGTACTCTAATACAGATTACAAGTGAAGACCATTTTATCAAGGAATACATAGTTCCTTGTCTTGTTTTAATTTGGATGTAATAATGACAAGAGACCAAATACCTTAGGGTAAAAGAATGCTTTATTGAGGACTCCTTTTCCTCAAAATTTCTGCCTTCTCCCAGTGACTGTAAGATCAAATTTCACAAATTTTAAACACACACACACACACACACACACACACTGAAATTTCCCTTGTCCAAACTGAGCCTCTAATATGAAGATACACTCCTTTTTCATCTGAACTCTAAGGCCTGTCTAAACTTGAGGATGTCTACCAAACCTCTGGCCATCCAAGATAAATGGTCCCCATTCTTTTTTTTCTTTTCTTTTCTTTTTTCTTTATTTCTTCTAAAAAAAAATGGGATACATGTGCAGAACGTGCAGGTTTGTGGAACCAACCCAAATGCCCATCAATTATAGACTGGATAAAGAAAATGTGGTACATATACACCATGGAATACTACGCAGCCATAAAAAGGAATGAGATCATGTCCTTGGCTGGGATATGAATGAAGCTGGAAGCCATCATCTTCAGCAAACTAACACAGGAAAAGAAAACCAAACACTGCATGTTCTCACTCATAAGTGGGAGTTGAACATTGAGAACAAATGGCCCCCGTTCTAATATACCTTCCCCAGGCAAGTCTAGGAAATTGGCTTTCATTCTCACTGATGAGCCTCACCCTACCTCCCAAAACATCTTGCTTCTAACCTCTGAATTCATTGCACAAAAGCTAAACTGAAGACTAATTTTCAAAAGGTGATATGAGTATGAAAAAAAAAAGAAGACAAAGAAGAAGAATGTGCTTTTTAACCTTTCTCTTCTAAATGGGGAAAGTATCAGGTTAAGCGGAATCCCAGCCATGCTATCTACCTTACCTGGAGCTGTTCAGTATACTTTCTGTCCCTCTACTTTCTGTGTTTCTGTTCTGGGTTAGATAGATACCCCACCAGTTATTACACTTATCTGTGGAAATTTAATCTCTCTAATTTTTTTTTTTTTTTTTTGAGACAGAGTCTCACTCTGTCATCCAGGCTGGAATGCAATAGCGTGATCTCGGCTCACTGCAACCTCCACCTCCCGGGTTCAAGCAATTCTTCTGCCTCAGCCTCCTGAGTAGCTGGGATTACAGGCACGTACCACCACACCTGGCTAATTTTTGTATTTTTAGTAGAGACAGGGTTTCACCATGTTGGTCAGGCTGGTCTCGAACTCCTGACCTCAAGTGATCCACCCACCTCGGCCTCTCAAAGTACTGGGATTACAGGCGTGAGCCACTGTGCCTGGCCTAATCTCTCTAATTCTAAAATAAAAATATTAGGCCGGGCATGGTGGCTCACACCTATAATCCCAACACTTTAGGAGGTCAAGGCAAGAGGGAGTTCAAGACCAGCCTGGGCAACATGGTGAAACCCCATCTCTACAAAGAATACAAAAATTTGCCAGGCATGGTGGCACATGCCTGTGGTCCCAGCTACTCAGGAGACTGAGGTGGGAGGATCACTTGAGCCTGGAAGGTCAAGGCTGATGTGAGCCATGATCACACCACTGCACTCCATCCTGGATGACAGAGAGACTCTGTCTCAAACAAATACATAAAATAAAAAGTCTTCTCTTCACCCTTACTAAATCTATTCCTATCTAACAATAGCTTAATCGGTTGTGCATGTACACTGACCGGTGTATAGGCTGCTCAGGCTGCCATAACAAAATACCACAGACTCACTGGCTTAAACAACGCAAATGTATTTTCTCAGAGTTCTGGAGACTGGAAGTCCCAGATCAAGGTGCCAGCCAATTTGATTACTTGAGAGTGCTCTCTTCCTGGCTTACAGAAAGCCTCCTTTTTATGAAATAGGAAAGAAGAAACAGCAGCACCCTATTCTCCCACCCTTTAACCAAGGAAGTGCTGAGATGCTAGTAAAGTCTTGTATCAAAGCAAACAAATGCCACAACACTGATTTGTCTTCTTTGAATCCCCATTCCTCCTAATATCCACTAGGTCAAAACTCTGCTGGGGAGACTGGAATACAGACATTGGCCTACCCTGTCCTATTGTGATTGCAGGTTCACAGGAAAATGGCAACTATGTCCATTTAACTCACTCTCTACAGTATTGTTGGGCAGAGAAGCATTTAAATGCTTTTGATGATGATGATTATAGAGAAAAATGAAATATAAATGGCTACTGACAAGTCTCATTGTAGCAACTTTTATAACCCCATTATTAAGGAGATGAATATTTTCATATTCCTAAACAAGAGGTAATAACATGTCTAAAGCCTCTTTGCCCCTCACTTATTTTGTTAAAATGCTATTCTCATTTATTCTCGCATCTTTTCCCCCTTGGTGTGCATTAGTTACTATGGAAACATCAGGATACCATAGTTTGAGGTTATCAACATTCTCAAGTTCTATTAGAGTTTGAAGGCAATTTATATCAAGGTGTTGGAGAAGGGGGTTGTTGCTGAGGCTTAGAAATGAATGAAAGAGAAAATAAAATGTATGGTACAGCCAGACAAACACAGGCCTTATTCAGAAAGCACCAGAGAAGGGTTGGGAGGTCATCTCATCTGCCCAATTTATCTACCAGAATCCTGACTGTAGTCAATGAGGTCTATCAAGTAAAGATATTTATGTATAACAACACCACCATGGGTTCTTTCAACTGAGAGCTTTAGCGGAACAGTTTTAAAAACTAGTAGAGTGACTGAACCACACACACTACGGAATTTATTATATGCACATTACTGAGTAATTGACTTCATTATAAACAAAGACACACACACCAAGTACATCGAATACGAAGTCCACATTCCAACCATCAGATTAACCAACCTACATGTATCTGTATCTGTTCTTTCTGCCGTTCATCCTATTACAATATATGAGAGTCCCAGAAGAGTTCAACCACTTTTATGATTTCAACTATCACCCATATGCTGAAGATTCCCAAATAGATATTTTGATCCCAGACCTTTGCCCACTTGCGTGTGGGTATCTAGTATATATCTCCACCACAATGCCTCACATACAATTAAAACTGAATTTATCTTGTGTATTAGTCAAGGTTCCTGAGGGTTCTCCAAGATATGTATAATGAGAGAGACAGAGATTTATTATAAGGAATTGGCTCATGCAGTGATGGAGACTGAGAAGTCCCATGATGTGCCGTCTGCAAGCCGGAGATCCGAGACAGCTGGTGGTATAGTTCCAGTCCAAGTCTCCTGAGAACAGGAGAAGCAAGGTGTAAGTTCCAGTTCACCTGCAAGAGAAGACCAATGTCCCAGCTCAGAAACAGTCAGGCAGAGAAAATGAATTCTCCCTTACCCTGCCTTTTGTTCTATAAAGGCCTCCAACAGACTGGAAGAGACTCACCCACACTGAGGAAGGCAATCAGTTTTACTCGGTCTATCAATGTGTTAATCTCATCTAGAACCACCCTCACAGACACCCCCAGAATAATGTTTGGCCAAATATCTGGACACCCTTTGCTCCACTCAAGTTGACACATAAAATTAACCACCACATCAGCTCCCCACTTGAACTAGATAGTACCCCATATTCTTTACTCCAGTCGTGACATCACATCCACCCAATCACTCAATCTAGAACCCTTCAAATCACCTTTGCCTCCTCCCTCTTCCTTATTCACTGTATTAGGTTAATCACTAAGTCCTACAATTTTTTTTTTCTTTTTTGAGATGGAGTCTCGCTCTGTTACCCAGGCTGGAGTGCAATGGTGCAATTTCGGCTCACTGCAACCTCCGCCTCCTGGATTCAAGAGATTCTCCTGCCTCAGCCTCCCAAGTAGCTGGAAGTACAGGCACCCACCATCATGCCTGGCTAATTTTTGTAGTTTTGTAGAGATGGGGTTTCACCATGTTGGCTAGGCTGGTCTTGAACTACTGACCTCAGGTGACCCACCCACCTTGGCCTCCCAAGTGCTGGGATTACAGGTGTGAGCCATTGTGCCCAGCCAAGTCCTGCAAATTTTACCTTCTAAAAAATTCCTCAAATTTGTCCCTGCCTTGGCTGGGCGTCGTGGCTCATGCCTGTAATCCCAGAACTTTGGGAGGCCGGGGCAGGTGGATCACCAGGTCAGGAGTTTGAGACCAGCCCGGCCAACATAGTGAAACCCCGTCTCTACTAAAGATACAAAAAAAATTAGCTGGGCGTTGTGGCATGCACCTGTAATCCCAGCTACATGGGAGGCTGAGGCAGGAGAATCGCTTGAACCTGGAAGACAGAGGTTGCAGTGAGCCGAGATCTCGCCATCACCCTCCAGGGCAAGACTCCATCTCAATAAATAAATAAATAAATACATAAATAAAAATATTTGTCCCTGCCTGTATATTTCTGTCACCCATGCCGGAGTGCAGTGGCGCAATCACAGTTCACTGCAGCCTCAACCTCCCGGACTCAAGCTATCCTCACACCTCAGTTTCCCTAGTAGCTAGGAATACATGTGCACTCCACTGCCACCACACCCGACTAATTTTTTAATTTTCATAGAGATGGGATCTCCCGTGTTGCCCAGGGTGGTCTTGAACTTCTGGGCTCAAGCGATCTTCCCACCTTGGCCCCCCAAAGTGCTGGAATTACATACATAAGCCACTGCACCTGGCTTATATTTCTTTTTTGACATTATCTATTAATGCTATCAGAGACGAGGAATTTTTTTTGAGACAGTCTCACTCTCACCCAGGCTGGAGTGCAGTGGCATCATCATGGCTCACTGCCACCTTGACCTCACCAGGCTCAGGTGATCTTCCTGCCTCAATCTCCTGAGTAGCTGGGACCACAGTCGTGCACCACCACATCTGACTGATTTTTGTATATTTTTTGTTGTTGTTGTAGAGATGGGGTTTCATCAGTTGCCTAGGCTGATCTCAAACTCCTGGGCTCAAGGGATCTGCCCACCTCAGCCTCCCAAAGTGCTGGGATTACAGGTGTGAGCCACCATGCCCAGCCAGAGATGAGGATTAAGCTCAATTCCACCATTCCTACCTTCCATCCACCCCTTCTAATAAAGTGGTAGCATTATTTTTATTTCCTCTAATAGATATCTTTTTCACTTTAAATAACATACATCCACTTATATTTTCTGTTTAATCAACCATAGATAGTATCTCCTTAACGGCTTACTTTGCAAGATGAAGACATATTAGTGTTCTATGTTTCTCTCTAGCCCTCCTTTCCCCTACCTCCCAACCTATATCCATTTCTCCACATCTCTATTTTCACCCTTTTCCAAGCCATCATCTTAACAAGCCAGGTGCTCCAATGAACCACCCAGGGAATGGTGATGAAGTGAATGAGGACAAAGTGATGGTAAAGCAGCTTCATGGGTAGGAAACTCACATCTCTAAGAAATGCTGTGCAGAACTCTTTAGCATCTCTGAGTTCTTGGAACATAAGAAAAAATCGCACTAAAAATCCACCTGTCCTCACCATGAATGACAGCGAGGAGTCAGTGCCTTCAGAAGACTTTTGTGCAGCTGTACCAAGCCACCAGCCACCCAGTTCAAGCAGCGACAGTCCCAAGGAAAATGGTGGCAGCTAAGGGTACATAAAGGAGAAGCTGGGCGCAGAGTCTCTCTTGCACTTAAAGACAGAGACTGCCCTACCATCCACACTCCAGAACATAAGCTATTTACCCAAAGGCAAAGTGGCCAATATTAATGTGACTCTTCAGGCATTACAAGGAGACAAGGGAGTGGTAAATCAGTGAAGCTCATATGTGCTGCTGGCCCCTCTGCCCAGCACCAACAGCATCTTTTCAACGACAGCAGATCTAGCTCACTGAGCAGATTTGCATTCAAGTGAACTCGTGGGCCTCCCACACTCTCCACTCAGGCTAATACCCTGAAGACCTTAGATAGCCACATGTCCAAGCAAGTTTCTGTAGCTGTGGCTTTGCTCAGCCAGAAAGCTGGAAGCCAAGGTCTGTCTCTGGACACCTTAAACAAGCCAAGCTATCTCACCAGCATCCCTTCTGCTGCCAGCTCTGTGACCCCATGGCTGACACCCTTCACCCTGAAGCTGGATAGGACACGGGTGCTCCTGAATATTGTGTCTCAGCTCCCAAGTGCTTTGCTACCTCAGGCTTGGGTTCTGTGCTCTTCCAGAGTCCTTTCTCTACTGTGGCATTATACCCATCCAAGAAAGAGAAAGATAAGCCACCAAACATCTGAGATGTGTGTCAAACCCAAAGACGAGGCCATCCTCTACAAGCACAACTGTAAGAACTGTAGCAAGGTTTGGGAGACTGGTAGCTCCTTGCAGATCTATCCCCACATGCATACTGGAGAGAGACCCTTCATGTTCTCTGTGTGTGGTCATGGCTTCACCACCAAGGGTAACCTCAAGGTATACTTTAATCAATATCCCCAGGTGAAGGCAAACCCCCAGCTGTTTGCCAAGTTCCAGAACAAAATGGTGGTAGGCAATGGCACCCCATGCACTCCCTGTACCTGTCCCCATAGATGAATCCAGTCTCTCTTTAGACAGCAAACTTGTCCTTGTAACAAGGACCCCCTCCATAGAACTATCACAAAATCTTTCTTCGGGGGTTAACCCCAATGACCACATGGGTGGCTCATTGTTGGGCCTTCTCCAGAAAGTAAGGGTGGACCCACACTCCCTGGGGTGGTGCCAAACCATAATTCCCCAAGGGTTGGTGGCTTTCAAGGGAGTGGGACCACCAAGCCAGGGTCAGAGACCATGAAATTGCAGCAGCTGGTAGAGAACAGCAACAAGGCCACTTCTGACCCCAGTGAATGTCTCATTTGCCACCGAGTGTTAAGCTGCCAAAGTTCCTTCACAATGCATTACCTCCCTTGGGAAAACTGGCCTCCATACCTTGTCTACACAGTCCCTGTACAGGTTTCCTGATCGGTAAGTAAAGAATGTTGCTTTCTAACAGGCCCAGGAGCCCCAAGTTATCCTGGGACCTCAAGAGAAGAGGAAATTTAGGTATTTGATGGTACAAACCCATGGCTGGGTTCAGCTTTAAAAAAGTCTTATCTGGCCGGGCACGGTGGCTCACGCCTGTAATCCCAGCACTTTGGGAGGCCGAGGCGGGCAGATAACGAGGTCAGGAGATTGAGACCATCCTGGCTAACACTGTGAAACCCCATCTCTACTAAAAAAATACAAAAAATTAGCCGGGCATGGTGGCACATGCCTGTAGTCCCAGCTACTCGGGAGGCTGAGGCGGGAGAATTGCTTGAACCCAGGGGGCAGAGGTTGCAGTGAGCTGAGATTGTGCCACTGCACTCCAGCCTGGGCAACAGAGCAAGACTCCACCTCAAAAAAAAAAAAAAAGTATTATCTAAGATTTCTTAAGGAACAGAGTTCCGTCAAAGACAATTTTAAAAGCCTATGTTAAAAATAATTATTCTTGAAGTCAAGGCAGGCGGATCACTTGAGGTCAGGAGTTCAAGACCAGCCAGGCTGGTATGGTGAGACCCTGTCTCTACTAAAAATAGAAAAATTAGCTGGGCATGGCAGCGTGTGCCTGTAATCCCAGCTACTTGGAAGGTTGAGGCATGAGAATCGCTTGAACTCAGGAGGTGAAGGTTGCAGTGAGCCAAGATCATGCCACTGCACTCCAGCCTAGGCGACACAGTGAGACTCCATCTCAAGAAAAAAAAAATCTAACAATTATTATTATTATTGCTGCACTTTATACACATAATCAGGCCAAGTATAATAAAGCAAATCAGTCTTACCATGATTTGTCTTTAGTAAAAATGGGAGACTGGAGAGAGAAAAATTGTTTCAAGAACGATGGTACGCCTGTTATTAAATTATAGTCTCATTCGTTGTTTTTAAGGGTTTTTTTTCCTGCAATTTAGACTAACCGTGCTTATTCCTGTGAACCAACCAGTGATCTCTGGCTGCTGCTCAGAAGAAACAAGAGGGATGGGTAATGTAAAAATCTGGGTCAGTATTCTAATTCTGGGCACATATTAGAATCAGCTAGCGACACCATATCAGCTTGGTTTCAACAATTGCCCAGTTCGTGGAAAGCTTTCTTATTCAGTTCACTTGGAATAATTTTACTTACTTTGTTTTACTGTTGTGGAAAATATTGCTGCTGTACTCTTTGTGTAGGAATGCAGGATAAGCTTACTCAACATTTTCTTAAATTGAATACTTACTACAGATATCAGCTTTTGTCAGAACTCAAGAGTTATGGATGGCCCTCACCATACTTACACTTTCTGACTGAGCTCCTCTCTACCCTGAATACAAGAGACCCTAATAGGTAGGCAGGAGTATCATTGCCCAATTCAGCCTGAAGAAGTTACGGAAGATGGATCTTTGTCCCTCTATAACCCTTAAGATTAAGGGTTCCTGGCCAGATGCGGAGGCTCACACCTGTAATCCCAGCACTTTCGGAGGCCGAGGCGGGTGAATCACCTGAGGTCACGAGTTTGACACCAGCCTGGCCAACATGGCAAAACCCCATCTCTACTAAAAATACAAAAATTAGCCAGGCATGGTGGCACGCACCTGTAGTCCCAGCTACCTGGCAGGCTGAGGCAGGAGAATCGCTTGAACTCGGGAGGGGAAGGTTGCAGAGGGCCAAGATCGCGCCACTGCACTCCAGCCTGGGTGACAGAGCAAGCCTCCATCTCAAAAAAATAAATAAATAAATAAATAAAATAATAATAATAATAAAAGATTAAGGATTCCTTTGTAAAACGCAGGGGAGAAATATGTCAGAGGTGTTCAAACCAGAGTGCCTCCATCCTGAATAGGGGCTGGGTAAAATGAGGCTGAGACCTACTGGGCTGCATTCCCAGGAGGTTAAGCATTCTAAGTCACAGGATGAGATAGGAGGTTGGCACAAGATACAGGTCACAAAGACCTTGCTGATAAAACAACATGTGGTAAAGAAGCAGACCAAATCCCACCCAAACGAAGATGGTGAGGAAAGTAACCTCTGGTCATCCTCACTGCTCATTATATGCTAATTATAATACATTAGTATGCTAAAAGACACTCCCACCAGCACCATGACAGTTTACAAATGCCAAGGCAATGTCAGGAAGTTACCATTTATGGTCTAAAAGGTGGAGGAACCGTCCGTTCCAGGAGTTGCCCACCACTTTCCCGGAAAACTCATGAAAAACCCGCCACTTGTTTAGCATGTAGTCAAGAAATAACCACAAAAATAGCCAACCAGCAGCCCTCAGGGCTGCTCTGCCTATGGAGTAGCCATTCTTTTATTCCTTTACTTTAATAAATTTGCTCTCACTTGGAAAAAAATCATACATTACCACACCCACATTGGGGAGAGACCCATCCTATGTGAAATCTGTGGACAAGCTTTTTCTACCAAAGGCAACGTAAAGACACTTCTCAGGGTTCATGGAACCAACTCATCCATAAGTACATACCCCATTAGTCAAAAGAAATTTGCCAGTGTGGTCATGTTGCAACAACATATTTGGATGAACATGGGCACTCAGATTCCCAGCATGTCCCCGCCAGAGAATCCCTGTGATTTTAGGGGTCCTGAGCCAATGATGGTCAGTGAGAATGGTAATACAAGTGCCATCTGCCATGATGATGTTGAAAGAAGACACCACTGTGGATAAAGTCAGCTCCCAGGATGCCCCCAGTAGCTACTCAAAGGTCCTCACACCTCTTCTTAGCATCCACTTAATATAACCCACCCTAGGGTTTGCCACAAAGGCTTCCCTAGCAGTCACCAGGAAAGTGGGTCCTGTTCCTTCTGGCCTGCAGAGGCAGAGCAGCTGAAAAACGATTCAGTGGAGAGCAACAGTTTAATGACTCATTCTCACTGATGGGACACCAGGACTATTAGCCAAACTCCAGATGCTGTGGAAACCACATCCTTCCAGGCACGCTCCCTAGCAACTAGCCAAGCAGAAAGCATTATGACAAAGTCTCCAGATGCTGGGAGCAAAGCTGAGCACCCCAAGAACAGCCACACTGAGATGGGCTGTCTCCCATCAACGTTTTTCTGAGCCCAGTCAACATATGTCAAAGTTCAAGTTTTAACAGGTTTGGTGGCTAGCGCTTGTAATTCCAGCTACTAATGAGGCTGGGGCAGGAGGATCACTTGAGCCCAGGAGTTCAAGGTTGTGGTAAACTATGACTGTGCCACTGCACTCCAGCCTGTGCGAAAAGGAGAGACCCTGTCTCTAAAAAATAAAAATGAAAAGTTGAAGTTCCTGGTAATACAAATAGGAGACAGGGAAATACTGGACAGAAGAGGGCAGTTCCCCAGCAAAGGCCCCACCCTCAAGCCTGGATATCCACAGCCCTAAGTGAGAACAGGCATTCCTGTTTTTGTGCCGAAAATGTTGCCTTTTGGCCCATCACGCCCCCATCCTGTACCCATATAAACCCCAAACCCGAGGCTCCAGAAGCAGGAGATGAGGAGATGAGCAGACAAATGGCAGAATGGCACGGCACAGGAGAGAAGAGAAGAAACGTCAGGAGTTTTGCTGGGGGTGGTCAGAGAATCAGCCACCAGATGGCCAAACTGCAAGGGAAGATCATCTTCCCACTCCATCCCCTGTCCAGCTCCTCATCTATCCCACTGAGAGCCACCTCCACCACCCAATAAAACCCTGCATTCTCCATCCTTCAAGTCCATGTGTGACCTGATTCTTCCAGGATTCTGGACAACAGCTCAGGATACAGAAAACTGTCACACTGGCCCTCTGCCTTTGCAGAAAGGCAGAGGGTCCACTGAGCTGATTAACACTTAAGCCATCTGCAGATGGCAAGGCTAAAAGAGTGCACTGTAACACACGCCCACTTGGGCTCCTGCACCTGTCTGTCTGTGTACTCCCCCTCCTGTAAGAGGTTTGAGCAGCGACCAAACAGACAAGCCACACCCATCACACGTCCTGTGAGGGGGGCCAGGGAACTCTCCCCTTTCACTGGCACATTTGTTGGATCCTCAATCATGTCCCTGGTGTTAGCGGCCCAGCCACACTGACAGGCCAAGCAACACAGCTGCACACAGTGTGAGAAGAACTTCTTATCCACTAGTGCTCTTCAGATTCACAAGTGGACTCACACTAGAGAATAGCCTTTTGTGTGCAGCATACATGGGCAAGCTTTTACCACCAAAGGCAACTTGAAGGTCCACTGTATGACTCATGGAGCAAACAATAACTCAGCACACCAGAGAAGGAAGCTAGCCATTGAGAACACTATGGCTTAATTAGGTATGAATGGAAAGAATCTCAGAAATGTTTACTGGAAATCCTGGCCCCTTCAGTGAAGGTGGTGGAACCAATATACCAACATGCTCAACAGTGGTCTTGCCATGAAGACTAGCGAGATCTCTATGACCCAGAGTGGTGGTGTTCCCACCCTCCCAGTTTCTGTGGGGGCCAACTCTGCTGTGAATAACACTGCTGAGTCCAAGATGGATGGCTCCCAGTCAGGTATCAGTGCCAATGTGGAAAAACCAGGTGCTACTGAGACTGTTCCCACACATTGGTTCCCTCACTTCCTGGAAGAAAACAAGATTGTGGTCAGCTAAGCTAAAGGGGAACTTGCCTGGAAGAAGAAATGTAGACAGAGTGAAATGTCTAGACCATGCTTGTTCAACCCTCAGCCCGCAGGCCACATGCAGCCCAGGGCGGCTTTGAATGTGGCCCAACACAAATTCGTGAAGTTTCTTAAAACATTCTGAGATTTTTTTGTGATTTTTTTTTTAAGCTCATCGGCTATTGTTAGTATTCGTGTATTTTATGTGTGGCCCAAGACAATTCTTCTTCCAAGGTGGCCCAGGGAAGCCAAAAGATTGGACACCCCTAGTCTAGACTGTGCTTTTTATTCTTTTATTATTTTTTATTTGTATAAATTTATGGGGTGCAAGTGTAATTTTGTTACCTGCATAGATTGTGTAGTGGTGAAGTCAGGGCTTTTAGGGTATTGATCACCCAAATAACCTACAATGTACCCCTTAAGTAATCACTCATTATCCACCCCTTGCCTTACCCTTCCAAGTCTCTGTTGTCTATCATTCCACACACTACCTCCGTGTGTACACTTTATTTAGCTCCCACTTATAAGTGAGAACATGTGATATTTGTCTTTCTGTGCCTGGCTTGTTTCACCAAAGTTAATGGCCTCCAGTTCCATCCATGTTGCTGCAAAAGACATGATTGCATTTTTTTATGGCTGCATAGTATTCCATGATGTATACATACCACAGTTTCTTTATCTAATCCTCCGTTGATGGACACTTAGGTTGATTCCTTATCTTCGCTATTGTGAATAGTGCTGTGATAAACATACTATTGCAGGTGTCTTTTTGATATAATGATTTATTTTTCTTTGGGTAGATACCCGGTAGTGGGATTGCTGGATGGAAAGTAGTTGCATTTTTCGTTCTTTGAGAAATCTCCATACAGTTTTCCATAGAGGTTACACTAATTTACATTCCCACCAACAGTGTATAAGAGTTCATTCCCTTTTCTCCCCATCCTCACTAACATCTGTTAGTTTTTCTCTTTTTAATAATAGCCATCTGACTAGTGTAAGATGGTTTATCATTGTGGTTTTAATTTGCACATCTCTGATGATTAGCGATGTTGAGCATTTTTTCATGTCCGTTGGCCACTTGTCTTCTTTTGAGAAATGTCTATTCATGTCCTTTGCCCACTTTTTAATGGGATTATTTGTTTTCTTTTTTTTAAAAAAAAAACCCATCTCCTCCTCCCGTTTTCCTTATTCTTACTGATATGCAAATGATGTTTACAGATGGCAATCTCAGGCAGTTCTACAATCACAATTGTTATGCTGCTTTGCAAAACATAAAAACAAAAAAATCAAAAAAAGAAAATATCTATACCAAAACAAATACAGACTATAATTATTTTTTAATTTTGGAAAGAAGCAAGTCTTGAAAGTAGCTTTGTTACTTCCAACAAACTATATACATAGAAATTCTGTACAGCCTACAGTAACTACTTCCCAAGACTGTCGCCTATTTCAAGGTGGAACAGTTTGAACTTATTGAACCACAGTGGAAAAGACAACTACTTAGATTAATGGGGTGAGGAGGAGTACTGTATACTTCCATGATAACTGTCTGCAAGTAAATGGACAAGGTTATCATCTATTTAGGAACCTGTTTTGTATGTCTCCTAACCCTGTACCCATCTTTTGTTTTTTGAAAGTACTTTCAAAAATAAAGCAAAAAAAAAGATTATAGAATTACAAATTCCTCCAACATTTTTTTTTTTTTAAGACGGAGTCTCGCTCTTTTCACCCAGGCGGGAGTGCAGTGGCGCTATCTCAGCTCACTGCAAGCTCCGCCTCCCAGGTTCACGCCATTCTCCTGCCTCAGCCTCCCCAGTAGCTGGGACCACAGGCGCCCGGCTAATTTTTTTGTATTTTTTTAGTAGAGAGGGGGTTTCACCGTGTTAGCCAAGATGGTCTCGATCTCCTGACCTCGTGATCCACCTGCCTCGGCCTCCCAAAGTGCTGGGATTACAGGCGTGAGCCACCGCACCTGGCCTAATTCCTCCAACTTTTTTTGTTTTCTAGATGGAGTCTCGCTGTCACCCAGGAGGCTGGAGTGCAAGGGCGCAATCTCGGCTCACTGCAACTTCCACCTCTGGGGGTCAAGGGATTCTCCTGCCTCAGCCTCCCAAGTAGCTGGGATTACAGGTACCCACCACCACACCCAGCTAATTTTTGTATTTTTAGTAGAGACGGGGTTTCAGTTTCACCATGTTGGCCAGGCTGGTCTCAAACTCCTGGACTCAAGTGATTTGCCCCACCTCAGCCTCCCAAAGTGCTGGATTACAGGGGTGAGCCACTGTGTCTGGACTCCTTTAACTTTAGAACTTTAAATAGGATGTCCTCAAATGGACTTATGTTAGTTGTTAGGGAGTCAATGTCTGCTTATTTAAAAAACAGCTCAGTTGCAGCCACAAGAGTTCAAATGTATTCCACACACTTCCCTTTGCCTTCCTGAACACCAGAAGAGGTGGGCCACTGAGCAAGGAATCTCAGGTGACTTAATTTAGTTCACCAGTGCCCACTCTGTTGAAGAACTGGATTTTCATTCCAGAGGAGAAACTCATGGGAAGGAGTGTTTCCTTTCACAGGGTCACATACTAATTTTTAAAAAATATAGTTGGTGCAACTTATGCCAAGTAATTATGCAGATTTTTTGCCCTGAGTATTGCATGAAGGCTACAAAGTTGGAACAGGCAAATCCTGGGTATGAAAGCTTTAGTTTAAATATTTCACTTTTTTTGTAGCCATAGTGTCTATTTTCCTATTTTATGACCACTGAAGTATTCCCAGGCCCTGTCTTTTTGTTTGTTTGTTTGTTTGTTTTTGAGACGGAGTCTCACTCTGTCACCCAGGCTGGAGTACAGTGGCACAATCTCAGCTCACTGCAACCTCCGCTTCCCAGGTTCAAGGGATTCTCCTGCCTCAGCCTCCCAAGTAGCTGAGACTACAGGCATGTGCCACCATGCCCGGCTAATTTTTTGTATTTTTAGTACAGATGGGGTTTCTCTATGTTGGCCAGGCTGGTTTCAAACTCCTGACCTCAGGTGATCCACTGGCCTTGTCCTCCCAAAGTGCTGGGTTTACAGGTGTAAGCCACCATGCCTGGCTGCTGTCTTAAACCTAAGTGTTACTGGTGGAGGGTGTCCAGGTTCTTGTCGTATTGGACAAAACAGACAAAGCAAGGAAAGAATGAAGCAACAAAAGCAGATTTATTGAAAATGGAAGTATACTCCACAGTGTGGGAGCGGACCTGAGCAGCGGCTCAAGGGCCCAGATACAGAATCTTCTTGGGTCCAAATACCCCCTAGAGGTTTCCCATTCCCATTGGCCACTTGGTGTTCACCTCATGTAAATGAAGTGGTGGCCCACAATCACTCTGATTTGTTGCTGTCTGCAACCAATTTCGAAGTTACAAAATTACACTCTTATGCAAACCTGTGATTGGTTTTTGCAACCGGTCAGAGGTACTTTCAATTTCCCATCTGCCAGGCAGAAAAGGTGGAGGTTTGCAGAGGGAATAGTCTCTGGTCCTTTTGTTATTTAGGTGTGGAAAGTTGGGGTTTCCCTTTCAATTTAGTTCTAGGAAGTCAGCATGAACCGGACTTGGGTTCCCTGCCTCCAGACCCTATTCTCCTGCTTCATAAGAGTTGATGTATTGGTGGGAACAGCTGGACATGTAAGATGTTTTCGTGATTCCTTTTTTCAAATCCCCTTTTGTATATGTAATAATACTGAGCAAACAATGAAATGTTGCTCTAACAATTAAACCTAACTTGTGGGTGGAGAAATCATTCCCCTCTAAGTAAAAAGCCCTTACTGAAATGTGCATCAAGACTGTTACCCAAAGTTTTGTCTCTTAGTTACTGCACCTGACTTTAGGATACAAAATGTTTTTTGTCCAGTTGTGCCTTTCCTTCTGGAATTGTAAGTGAACACAATAATAGTACCTCTTTACGCTAAGTGGATATGCTACAGAGAACACAGCAGTGGTTTTTCCACTGTTGAACTAATGATGCTTTGTGAGTGTACGATCTATGGAGAATCCCCTGTAGTTGTACCTGCTGATGCTGTCTTGTCTGTTGGGAAAACAATTTTGCATGTTTTTCTCTCCAAAATAATAATTATATTACTTATATTACAATCAGTATTATAGTAAATGTAAATGAAATAAGTACTACACTCAAAAGTAAGGGATAGACTGGGTGTGGTGGCATGGTGGCTTATGCCTGTAATCCCAGCACTTTGGGAAACCAAGGCAGATCGCTTGAGCTCAGGAGTTTGAGACCAGGCTGGGCAACATAGCAAAACGCTGTCTCTACAAAAAAAAAAATACAAAAAAATTAACCATGCGTGGTGGCGCATGCCTTTAGTTCCAGCTACTTCTGTGGCTGAGGCAGGAGGATCGCTTGAGCCAGGGAGGTCGAGGCTGCAGTGAGCCATGTTCACGCCACTGCACTCCAGCCTGGGCGACAAAGTGAGATCCTGTCTCAAAAAAAAAGTAAAGGATTATCAGACTGAATTTAAAAACAGGATCTAACTATATGCTGTCTAGAGCAGAAACTTCAGATTCAATATATACTACAAATAGGTTGAAAGGATGGAAAATAATATACCATGCAATAACCATGAGTGAGCCGGCTATACCAATGTATTAGTTTTCTATTGCTGTGTAACAAATTATCACAAATTTAGTAGCTTAAAACAATACCCATTTATTATCTCACAGCTCTCTAGGTCATAAGACCAAGCAGGTTCTCTACTTAAGGTTTCAAAAAGCCAAAATCAAGATGTTGGCCATGCTGGGCTCTCATCTGGAAGTTCAAGGGAAGAATCTACCTGCAAACATAAAACAGAATCTGCTTCCAAGTTCATTCAAGTTATTGACAGAAATGCAGTTCCATGAAGCTGTAAAACTGAACTCTCCATTTCCTTGATACAGTGATCCCCACTACCATCAAATAAACAATAGAGCATCAAATCCTTTTTGTGCTTTGAATCTCTGATGACCTCTTCTGGTACTAGCCAGAGAAAATTCTCTGCATTTAAAGGGTTCACCTGACTAGGTCAGTCCTATAATCTCCATATACTAAGGTTAACTGACTCATGACTTAAATTATATCTGGAAAATTAATTCCTTCAGAGCAGCACTCAGGTTAACATTTTAATTAATTTAAAATTGATTATATTATAATTGACAAAAATGGTACATATTCATGGTATACAACAGGATGTTTTGATAGATGTATACATTGTGAAATGATTAAATCAAGGTAACTAACATATCTGTTACCTCACATACTTATCACTTACTTATCACTGGTGGGAACACAGTTATCCTAGCACCATTTGTTGAAAAGACTGTTATTTGCACATTGAATTATCTTGGCACCTTTGTCAGCCATCAGCTGACCATAATATAAGGATTAATTTATGGACTCTCCATTATATTTCTATCCTCATGTCAGTATCTCACTGTCTTGATTACTGTGAGTTATATATATAGTAAGTTTGAAAGATGGAAATGAAAATTCTCCCATTGGCTCCTTTTCAAAATTGGTTATTCTGGGTCCTTTGTATGTCCATATCCTGTACATATTTTAGGAGCAGTTTGCCAATTTCTACAAAAAAAAAAGGAATGCTTGCTAGGATCTTTACAGGGATTTTGCTTAATTTTTATTTTTTTATTTTCAGTTTTAGAGATGTGGTCTCACTCTGTCATCTAGGCTGGAGTGCAGTGGCATGATCATGGCTCACTGCAGCCTCAAACTCCTGGGCTCAAGCCATCCTCCCACCTCAGCCTCTGGAGTAGCTGGGACTACAGGCATGCACCACCATGCCTGGCTGGGATTTCGTTTAATTTATAGATCAATTTGGTGAAAACTGTCATCTTGGCAATATTGGGTCTTACAATTCATGAAGATGGAATTTCTCTCCATTTACGTAGATCTCTTATTTCCCTGAGCAATGTTTTATAGATTTTGTGTATATCTACATTTTTTGCTAAATTTATTTCTAAGTATTTTATTCCGTCTGATGTTGCTGTGAATAGAACAGTCTCCCTAACCTCATTTTCACATTTTCACTGATAGTATATAGATACCTAATTTATTATATTTAACTTTTACCTTATATGCTTGATAAACTCACTTATTAGCCTAGATGCCTTTTTGTAGATTCCATCTGACTTTTTACATTAAAGATCGTCATCTGAAAAGAATGCTGGTTTTACTTCTTTCTTTCCAACTTGAATGGCTTTTATTTCTTTCTTTTCTGATTGCACTGGTTTCGAATGTCCAGGACAGTGTTTAACACAAGTGGCAAGAGTAGACATCCTTGAGTTGTTTCCAGTCTTAGGAAGAAAGTGTTCACTTTCACCGGCGATGTTATGATGATGTTATGATGTGAGCTGTAGACTTTTCTCGTGCCCTTTATCAGTTTGAGAAATTTACCTTCTATTCTGATTTTGTTGAGGATTTTTAAAAAATGTGGTGAAACATATGTAACATAAAATCTACCTTTTTAACTATTTATAAGTGTATAGTTCAGGGACATTAAGAACATTTACATTGTTGTGCAAGCATCACCACCATCCATCTCCAGAGTTTTTCATCTTCCCATACTGAAACTCTGTACCCACCAAACAGTAACTCTCCATTCCCTCTGCTCCCAGCTCCTGGAAACCACCATTCTACTTTCTGTCTCTATAAATTTGGCTACTCTAATTACCACATGTAAGTGGAATCCTTTTGTATTTTTTCTGATTCTATTTTATCTCCACTAAAAAAACAATATTTTTAGAGACAGGGTCTCACTACGTTGCCCAGGCTGGAGTACAGTTCACAGGCACAATCATAGTGTACTATAGCCTCAAACTCCTGGAGTCAAGCTATCCTCCTGCCTCAGCCTCACAGGCACGCATCACTGCGCCAGGCAAAATCTATTTTATCTCCATCAAAAATGGAGATAGGCCGGGCACGTTGGCTCATGCCTGTAATCCCAGCACTTTCCAAGGCCCAGGTGGGCAGATCATTTGAGGTCAGGAGTTTGAGACCAGCCTGGCCAACATGTCGAAATCCCATCTCTACTAAAAATACAAAAATTACCCCGGCATGGTAGCGCACGCCTGTAGTCCCAGATACTCAGGAGGCTGAGGCACGAGAATCACTTGAACCCAGAGGGGAATAGGTTGCAGTGAGCTGAGATCGTGCCACTGCACTCCAGCCTGGGTGACAGAGCAAGACTCTGTCTCAAAAAAAAAAAAAAAAAAAAAAAAAAAGAAAAGAAAAGAAAAAGAAAAAGAAAAAGAAAAGAAAAAAAGGAGATAAAATAGAATAATAAAAAATACTCAAATATGCAATACAAAAAAAAAAGGCAGGAAAAGAGAAAAGGAACACAACAGGTGGGGAAAATATAAAACAATCACAAAAATAATACATTTAAACTTAATCATAGGCTGGGCAAGGCTCACACCTATAATCCCAGCACTTTGGCAGGCGGAGGCAGAGGATTGCTTGAGCCCAGGAGTTCAAGACCAGCCTGGGCAACAGAGCCAGACTCCATCCCTACAAAAAATTTAAAAATTAGCTGGGCATGGTGGCACTCACCTGTAGTCCCAGCTACTTGGGAAGCTGAGGTGAAAGGTTTGCTGGGGCCCAGGAGTCTGAGGCTGCAGTGAGCTATGATTGCAACACTGCACTCCAGCCTGAGCAACAGAGCAAGACCCTGCCTCAAAATAAATAAAAAAATAAATAAACTTAATCATATAAATAATCACATTAAATTAAAATGGCCTAAATACTCCAATCAAAAGCAAAGATTATCAGCTTGGATAAAAAAGTAAAAACCAACTATATACTATCTATAAGAAGCACACAGCCAAGTGCAATGGTTTACACCTGTAATCCCAGCAATTTGGGAAGCCAAGGTGGGCAGATCGCTTGAGCTCAGGAGTTGAGACCAGCCTGGCCAACGTGGTGAAACCCTGTATGTACAAAAAAAAAAAAAAAAAGAAAGAAAAGAAAAGAAAAGAAAAATTAGCCGGGCATGGTGGGGTGCGCCTATAGTCCCAGCTACTTCGGGGGACAGAGGCAGAAGGATAGCTTGATTGCTGGAGTTCAAGGTTACAGTGAGCTATGATCATGCCACTGCACTTAGCCTTGGTGACAAAGTGAAACCCTGTCAAAAAAAAAAGAAAGAAAGAAACAAATTTTAACATGAAGCCACAAATAGGGAAAAAGTAAAAAGCATGAAAAAAAGACATGTCATGTTAACACCAATCAAAAGAAAGCTCTAGGAGCTATATTAATATCAAAGTGGACTTCAGAGGAAAGAATATTACTAGAAATAAAAATGGTTATTTTATAATGATAACATGATCGATTCATCAAGAGGACTTAATAATCTTAAATGTTTATGCATCTGTATTAGTTTTGTATTGCTGCATAACAAATTCTCACAAGCTTAGCAACTTAAAACAACATATATTTATTATCTCTCAGTTTACATGGATCAGAAGTCTTGGAACAGCTTAGCTAAGTCCCCTGCTCATAATCTAAGGAGGCTGTAATCAAGGTATTAGCTGATAGCTTTGTTCTCCTGGGGAAACTCAACTAGGAAAGAATAATTTCCAGGCTCATTCCAGGCTCCCAGTTGGCAGATTTTACTTCCTTGTGACTATATGACTGAGGGTCATACCAACTCAACATATTGACCAACTTCACCTAATTGGCATTTATAGAACACTCCAACCAACCACAACAGAATATACATATTTTTCAAAAGCACATAGACCATTTACCAATATACGCCATACTTTGAGCCATAAAACAAGTCTCAATAGACTGTAAAGGATTCCAGTAATAAAAAGCATTTTCTCTAACCACAACTGAATTAAATTAAAAGTCAATAACAGAAAGACTTGTGGTAAATATTGAAATATTTGTAAATTAAATAACATATTGCTAAACAACCCTTGGGTCAAGGAAGATATCAAATGGAAAAATTAAAAAGAATTTTGAGGCTAAGCACAGTGGCTCACACCTGTAATCCTAGCACTTTGGGAGGCCAAGGCAGGTGGATCACTTGAGGCCAGGAGTTCAAGACCAGCCTGGTCAACATGGTGAAAACCCATCTCTACTAAAAATACAAAAATTAACTGGGCACGGTGGCATGCACCTATAATCCCAGGTACTCAGGAGGCTGAGGGAGGCAAATTGCTTGAGCCCGGGAGGCGGAGGTTGCAGTGAGCCGTGATCATGCCACTGCACTCCAGCCTGGGTAACAGAGCGAGAATCCATCTCAAAAAAAAAAAAAAGAAAAGAAAAGAAAAAAGAAATATACCACTTACTATGATTCCATTCATATGAAATATCTATAATAACAGGCAATCTATAAAGAGGAAAAATAAATTAGTGGTTGTTTATGGCTGGAGGTGGGGAGATGGGGGAGGGACAGCTAATTGGTACAGAGGTTCTTTTAGTGGGGACAAAATGTTCTAAAATTGATTTTGGTGATGGTTGCACAACCATGTGACTACATTTAAAAACATTGTACACCTTAAATGAATGAAGTGTATGATATGTGAATTGTATTTCAACAAAACTGTTAAAAAAATTCTAAACAAAAATAAATTCTAAACAAAAGTTGAGCAAATCAAATTCAACAATATATAAAAAGGATGATATATCATGACCAAGTGGGGTTTATCCCAGGAATGTAAACTTGGTTCAACATTAGAAACCCAATCAATGCAATTCACATATTAACAAACTAAAGAAGAAAAACCATGTGATCTCTCCATAGATACAAAAAGAGCATTTGACAATCCAAATGTATTCCTAATAACTCTCCGCAAACTAGGAATAGAAAGAAAATTTCCTCAACCTGATATAGGACATTTACCAAAATAAAAAATCTATGGCTAAATCATACTTAATAGTGAAAGACTGAATGCTTCTCCTAAGATGGGGAGCAAGACAGGGATGTCCACTCCGACCTCTCTATTTAAAACATTGTATGGTAGGTCCTAGTCAATGCAATCACATAAGGGGGAAAAAATGAATGCCATGAAGATTGTAAAGGAAAAAGTAAAACTTTTTTTTTTTGCAGATGACATGATTGTTTATGTAGAAAATTAGAAACTCCAAAATCTACTAGAACTAATAAGTGACCTCAGAAACATGACAGGATAAGAAATCAATATACAAACATTAATTTCATTTCTATATAATAACAGTGAACAACCGGAAATTGAAATATAAAAAGCAATGCGGTTTTGTGTGTGGTTTTTGTTTTGTTTTGTTTTGTTTTTTTGAGACACGGTCTCACTCTGTCCTGCAGACTAAAACAAAATAAAACAAAACCACATTGATGAGGGTACTCCAAAGAGACACAGGATTCTGAATGGTATTTCTGTTAGGGAAAAAAAAGAGGGAGAGAGAGAGACAAGAACCAACAGAAAGAGCTCTCAATGGTCAAAGTTGTTATAATTTCAGCAACAAAATTAAGTACTGTTGGATTACAGCAAAAAATATAAAATAAATGCCCATGAATGCATATTGGTATAAATAAATTACTGAATAAGTTAATAGATATGGGAGAAATAAATTTCACATGCAGAAGGATCCCAAATAATTTATGTAGGCATTCAGCCCTCGAGGAGGGAGTCCATAACTCTCCACTTCTTGAGTGTAGGCTGTACATACTCGAAGAGTACAATAAGGAAAACAAGGGGAAAAAGAGTAGCTTTACAGTGAAAAACCTAACAAACGCTGCCTCAACCAGGTGATCAAGGACTCTGATATGGTTTGGCTCTGTGTCCCCACCCAAATCTCATCTCAAATTGTAATCCCCACATGTCAAGGGAGGGACCTGTAACCCCCACGTGTTGAGGGAGGGAGGTGATCGGATCATGGGGACAGTTTCCCCTATGCTGTTCTCTTGATAGTAGGTGGGTTTTCACAAGATCTGATGGTTTAAGTGTCTCACAGTTCCTCCTTCATATGCACTTCTCTCTCCTGCTGCCTTGTGAAGAAGGTTCTTGCTTCACCTTCACCTTCCACCATGATTCTGTTTCCTGAGGCCTCCCCAGCCATGCAGAACTGTGAGTCAATTAAACCTCTTTCCTTTATAAATTACCCAGTCTCACGGAAGTTCTTTATAGCAATGTGAAAACAGACTAATACAGACCCCATCAACAGTGAGATGTCATGTCGACAATAGGAGCCTTTATTTTTTTCAGTATGTGCCTTTGATATGATGTGATGAGATGGCACTTTCTCCCATAACCCACAACCAAGTCTATGCGTGAGAAAACAGGCAAATCCCAATGAAAGGGCATCCTACAAAATACCTGACCAGCACTCTTCAAAACCATCAATGTTATTGAAAACAAGGAAGGTTTGAGAAAATATCACAACCAAATGGAGCCTAAGGAGACTAAATGTAATGTGATATCCTGGATAGAATTCTGGAATAGAAAAAAGGAGATTAGGTAAAAACTAGGAAAATCTGACTGACTTTGGTTAATAATAACGTATCAATACATTATTATAATATTAGGAAATTAGATCCAGAAATATATAAAAATGATATCATGACCAACTAAGGTTTACCCCAGGAATGCAAAGTTAGCTTAACATTTAAAGAAATCAATCAATGTAATTGACCACTTTAACAGAATAAAGTTTTTAAAAGTATATATTCATTTTAATAAATGCAGAGAAAGCACTTGAAAAAATCCACACCAGTTTATGATATTTTTAAAATTTTTAACAAACTAGAATTTAAAAAGAACTTCCTCAATCTGATAAAAAAAGAATCTATGAAAATCTTATAGCTAACATGATATTCAGTGGTAAATTATTGAGGCTTCCCCCCAAAGAATGGGAACAAGGCAAGGATGTCTGCTTTTACCATTTCAATTCAACATTGTCTTGGACATCCTAACCAGTGCAATAAGGCAATAAAAAGAAATGAAAGCCATACAGATAAGAAAGGAAGAAATAAAACTGTCTGTATTCATAGATGACATGGATTTCCATGCATGGAAAAAGCTGTTATAATTTCGGCAACGAAATTAAGTACTGTTGGATTACAGTACTTAATGCATGGAAAATCCTCAGGATCCTACAAAAACAAAATACCAGAATTAACTAGTGAATATAGTGATATCACAGGATACAAAGTCAATATACAAAAATTAATTGTATTCCTATATGCTAGCAAAAATTTTGGAAATGATATTTTACAAAATACCATTCACAATAGCATCAAAAATATGAAATGCCTAGGGACAAATTAAAGAAAGATGTGCATAATTTCTACATTGCAATCTACAAAACATATAGAGAGAAATTAAAGAAGATTTAAGTAAGTAGAGAACTATACCACGTTCATGGATCAGAAGACTCAATATTAAGATGTAAATTAAGGCCAGGTGCAGTGGCTTATGCCTATAATCCTAGCACTTTGGGAGGCCAAGGCAGGCAGATCACTTGAGGCCAGGAGTACAAGACTAGCCTGGCCAACATGGTGAAACCCCGTCTCTACTAAAAATACAAAAATTAGCCAGGTGCAGTGGTGCATGCCTGTAATCCCAGCTACTTACGAGGCTGAGGCACAAGAATCACTTCAACCCAGGAGGCACAGGTTGCAGTGAGCCGAGATTGGGCCACTGAACTCCAGCCTGTGACAGAGTGAAACTCTGTCTTATTAATAATAATTTTTAAAAAGGTGTCATTTCTCCTCAAGTGTATCTGTAGATTCAATCAATTTCAATCAAAATCCCAGTAGGTTGTTTTGATAAAAATTGACAACCTGGTTTCTACAATTTATGTGGAATAGAAAGGCATGGTGGCACACACCTATAATCCCAACTACTTGAGAGGCAGAGGTGAGAGGATCACTTGAGGCCAGGAGTTCGAGAACAGCCTGGGCAACATAGCAAGGCCTGCCCCATCTCAAAAAAAAAAAAAAAAAAAAAAAACCTGGCATAGTTATTGTGTAATAATAGACAAATAGATGAATGAAAGTGAATAGAGACACTGTAAATAGACCCACATGTTTATAATGAATTTATATTCAACAAAGATGCCAAGGCAATTCAATGGGGAAGGATGGAGCAAATATAAATTGAAGAAATAATAGCAAATGATTTCCCAAATTTGGTGAAAGACATTTATGTTTAGGGTCAAGAAGTAACTGAACTCGGCTGGATGCGGTGGCTCACACCTATAATCCCAGCACTTTGGGAGGCTGAGGTGGGCGGATCACAAGGTCAGGAGATCGAGACCATCCTGGCTAACACTGTGAAACCCCATCTCTACTAAAAATACAAAAAATCAGCCAGGCATGGTGGCGGGCACCTGTAATCCCAGCTACTTGGGAGGCTGAGGCAGGAGAATCATGTGAACCCAGGAGGTGGAGGTTGCAGTGAGCCGAGATAGCGCCATTGCACTCCAGCCCAGGCAATAGTGCGAGACTCAGTCTCAAAACAAAAACAAAACAAAACAAAACAGAAGTAACTGAACTCAAGCAGGATAAAAACAATGCCTAGGTGCATTATAGTCAAACTGCTGAATACCAACAATTAACAGAAAATCTTTAAAATACCCAGAGAAAAATGATATACTACATACCAGGGAATGGTAATTTGAAAAACTGTTGAGTCCTCATAAGAAACTATAGAGGTCATTCAGCTGGGGATGATGAAAAAAAAATTGAAGATGAATGGTGGGGAGGGTTGCACACTAATATGAATGCTCTTTTTTTGTTTTTAATAGAGATGGTGTCTCGCTATGCTGCCCAGGTTGGTCTCGAACTATTGGCCTCAAGTGATCCTCCCACCTTGGTCTCCCAAAGTGCTAGGATTACAGGTGTGAGCCACCATGCCCAGACCTGAATGTTCTTAATGCCACAGAACTTTACACTTAAAAATAATTAATTCTGGGCCAGGTGCAGTGGCTCACGCCTGTAATCCCAGCACTTTGGGAGGCCGAGGTGGGTGGATCACAAGGTCAGGAGTTCGAGACCAGCCTGACTAACATGGTGAAAACCCGTCTCTACTAAAAATACAAAAATTAGCCAGGCATGGTGGCACACGCCTGTAATCCCAGCTACTCAGGAGGCTGAGGCAGGAGAATTGCTTGAACCAGGAAGGCAGAGGTTGCAGTGAGCTGAGATCGTGCCACTGCACTCCAGCATGAGTGACAGAGCAAGACTCCATCTCAAAAAGAAAAAAAAATTAATCCTGAGAAGATGCATTAGAATAAAAGGAAAAAACAAAAATGATAAAATGGTAAATTTTGTTTTGTACATTTTACCACAATTTTAAAAAAAGAAATTATAGAGTTCAAAAGACAGTGGAACAGCATCTTTAAAAAGACAGTGGAACAGCATCTTTAAAATGCTGAAAGAAAGAAAGGACAACCATCAGGCTAAAATAATTTTTTTTCTTTTCTTTTTTTTTTTTTTTTGAGACAGAGTCTCACTCTGTTGCCCAGGCTGGAGTGCAGTGGTGTGATCTTGGCTCACTGCAACCTCCACTTCCCAAGTTCAAGCGATTCTCATGCCTCAGCCTCCTGAATAGCAGGGATTACAGGCGCCTGCCACCACTCTCGGCTAACTTTTGTATTTTTAGTAGAGACATGGTGTCATCATCTTGGCCAGGCTGGTCTTGAACTCCTAGCCTCAAGTGATCCACCCACCTCAGCTTCCCCAAGTCCTGGGATTATAGGCATGAGCAACCACACCTGGCCCAGAATTCTATATCTAGAGATAATATCCTTCAAGAATGAAGGTACTCATAACCCTCATACACTGCTGGTGAAAATGTAAAATAGTATAGCCACTTTAGAAAACAGTCTGGCAGTTTCTCAAATGATCAAACATAGAATTACCATATGACCCAGCAATACTCAAAAGAATTGAAACAGAGACTTAGATGCTTGTACATGAATGTTTAGAGCAGCATTATTCGTAATATCCAAAAAGTGGAAACAACCCAAAAATTCCATCAATGGATGAATGGAGAAACCAATTGTAGTATATCCAAACAATGGAATATTATTGGGCTATAAAAAGGAATGAAGTACCAATACATGCTATCATGTGGATAAACCTTGAACACTTCATGCTAAGTGAAAGAAGCCAGTCACAAAATACCACAGATTATACAATTCCATTCATATGAGATGTCCAAAAGAGGGAAATCTATAGAGACAAAGTAGACAAGTGCTTGCTTATGATTGTGTTGAATGCGGGAATAAAGGAATGGGGAAATGGAGGAATAGCTAAAATATAAAGTTTCATTTAGAGGTGATGAAAATGCTCTAAAACTGACTATGGTGATGGTCACACTTATCTGTGATTGTACTAAAAACCATTGAATTGTACACTTAAACTGAGTAAATCATATGATATGTAAATCATATCGCAAGCTGTGGTTTTTTGTTTGTTAGTTTGTTTGTGACCAAGTCTCACTCTGTTGCCCAGGCTGGAGTGCAGTGGTGTGATCTCATCTCCCTGCAACCTCTGCCTCCTGGGTTCAAGTGATTCTCATGCCTCAGCCTCCCGAGTAGCTGGGACTACAGGCATGAGCCACCACACCCAGCTAATTTTTGTATTTTTGGTAGAGATGGGGTTTCATCATATTGGCCAGGCTGATCTCGAACTCCTGACCTCAGGTGACCCACTCGCCTCAGCCTCTCAAAGTGCTGGGATCACAGGCATGAGTCACTGCGCCCCACCAGTTTTTTGTTTGTTTGTTTTTTATTGTTGTTGTTTTGTTGTTTTGGGTTTTTGGGTTTTTTTTTTTTTTTTTGAGACAGAGTCTTGCTCCCCTGCCCAGGCTGGAGTGCAGTGGTGTGATCTCAGCTCACTGCAACCTCCGCCTCCCAAGCTCAAGCAATTCTCCCACTTTGGCCTCCCTAGTAGCTGGGACTACAGGCACACACCACCATGCCTGGCTAATTTTTGTATTTTTTGTAGAGATAGGGTTTCTTCATGTTGCTCAGGCTGATCTTGAACTCCCGATTTCAAGCAATCTGCCCACCTCGGCCTCCTAAAGTGTTGGGATTACAGGCATGAGCCACCACGCCCAGCCTCAAGCTGTTTTTTAAAAAAGAATGAAGGTGGAAAAAAAAAAGACATTTTCAGATAAAGAAAAACCAAAAGAATTCATCACTAACGGAGTACCTAAAGAAGTTTCTTAGGGTTGAAAATAAATTATACTAAGGAATGTCAAATCTTCAGGAAAGAGGCCGGGTGCAGTGGCTCACGCCTGTAATCCCAGCACTTTGGGAGGCCGAGGCGGGTGGATCACGAGGTCAGGAGATCAAGACTATCCTGGCTAACACGGTGAAACCCCATCTCTACTAAAAATACAAAAAATTAGCCGGGCACAGTGGTGGGCACCTGTAGTCCCAGCTACTCGGGAGGCTGAGGCAGAGAATGGCGTGAACCCGGGAGGCGGAGCTTGCAGTTAGCGGAGATCGCGCCACTGCACTCTAACCTGGGTGACAAAGCAAAACTATCTCAAAAAAAAAAAAAATCTTCAGGAAGGAATCCTAAGAACATCAGAAATGATAAATAACTGGTTATTTTTATAATAATAACTAGGTTATTTTTTATAATAATTTTATCTAATTAATATAAAACACTATTTTCCTCTTAATTTACTAAAAATACCTTAAATTTATTTTTAGTTTATAGAGATGGGGTCTTGCTCTGTCACCCAGGTTGGAGTATAGTGGTGCAATCCCAGCTTACTGCAGCCTCAATCTCCCAGGCTCAAATGATCCCCCCACCTCAGTTTCCCAAGCAGCTGGGACCACAGACAAACCCTACCACGCTTGGTTAATTGTTTTTATTATTATTATTTTTGTAGAGATGGTGTCTCACTCTGTTGCCCATGCTGGTCTCAAACTCCTGGGCTCAAGCAATCCTCCTGCCTTGGTCTCCCAAAGTGCTGAGATTACAGGCATGAGCTACCACACCCAGCTATACATTAAATTTTTTAAAGCCAAAATTGTAACATTGTCTCATGGGGTCCAAATATGTAGTTGTAGCACACACAGCATTACAGTATAAAGAATGGGTGGAGGGAGATACTTTAAAATTTGCTGTTGCTTTTATTTCTTCTTCTTTTTTTTTTTTTTTTTCCAGAGACAAGGTCTGGCTCTGTCACCCAAGCTGGAGTGCAGTAATGTCACTGTAGCTCACTGCAGCCTGAAACTCCTGGGTTCAAGCAATCCTCCTGCCTCAGCCTCCCAAGTAGCTAGGACTACAAGCGCACACCACGATGACCAGATAATTTTTAAATTTTTTGTAGAGACAGGGTCTTGCTATGTTGCCCAGACTGGTCTTGAACTCCAGCCTAAAGGGATCCTCTACCCTCAGCCTCCCAAAGCATTAGAATTACAGGCATGAGCAACCATGCCCGCCCTACTACTGCTTGTATAATCTGGGAATATGAAGATATTTTTCTCTCTAAGTTTAGGAACTGAAATAGCAAACCTGAATGAAATGTGTATGAGTTCTTAGATTAGAAATGACTGTGTGCCAAAATCTTTTGTGCCTAAGAATTAATGTTAATCAAATATTTCCTCATTATACACTGTACCGTATTGTTGATAATTATTGTGAGCAGTAGCATTTTCAGTTGGGAGGCCGAGGCAGGAGGATTGCTGGAGCCCTGGAGTTTGAGACCACCCTGGGCAACACAGCGAGATACGTATCTCTACAAAAAATAAAAATAAAATCAGCCATGCATGGTGGTATGTGCCTGTAGTCCCAGCTACTCAGGAGGCTGTGGTGAGAGAATCACCTGAGCCCGGGAGGTCAAGGTTGCAGTGAGCCATGATTGCACCACTGTACTCTTGCCTGAATGACAGAGTGAGACCCCGTCTAAAAAAAAAAAAAAATTACATATATATAACTTATCTCAGGTTAATGCTTTTGGTGATGTATGCTTATAATCAAATGCCCTATCTCTGACATCTTAACAATTTAATCAGGTAGAAGTCAGCAACTCTAAACTCAGTACAGAGAGGGACTGGGTGTCCACAGTGTCTAGCTCATTCCTAAAAGCCCTCCTTAGAAGTTTTTTTTTTTTTTTAAAGAATAGAGACAAGGGTCTCACTACGTTGCCCAGGCTGATCTTGAACTCCTGGGCTCAAGCAAACCTCTCACCTCAGCCTCCTAAAGTGCTAGGATCACAGCCGTGGGTCACCACACCTGGCCCTCAGAAGTTTTTGATAAGCTGGGCGTGCACCTTGTATCCCAGCCACTCTGAAGGCTGAGACAGGAGGATCCTGGGAGTTTGAGTCCAGCCTGGACAACATAGCAAGACCCTGGCTCAGTATAAAATATAAATTTTAGTCTGGGCATGGTGACTCATGCCTGTAATCCCAGCACTTTGGGAGGCCGAGGAGGGTGCATTGCGTGAGCCCATGAGTACGAAGCCAGTCTGGGCAATATAGGGAGACCCCGTCTCTACAAAAAAATTTAAAAATTAGCCGAGTGTGGTGGCATGTGCCTGTGGTTCCAGGTACTCAGGAGGCTGAGGTGGGAGGATCACTTGAGCCTGGGAGTTTGAGGCTGTGGTGAGCTATGATTGTGTCACCATACTCCAGCCTGGGTGACAGAGCAAGATCCTGTCTCCAAAAAAAAAGTAAAATTTTTTTAAATTATTAAAAATAAATAAAGAATAGAAGTTTTTATTAACACATTGACCTCCTATATTTCTTTTTTAAATTTATTTTTATTTTTTTATTTATTTTTAGACGGGGTCTCACTCTGTTGCCCAGGGCTGGAGTGCAGTGGCATGATCTCAGCTCACTGCAACTTCTGCCTCCTGGGTTCAAATGATCCTCCCACCTCAGCCTCCCAAGTAGCTGGGACTACAGGTACATGCCACCATGCCTGGCTAAATTTTATATTTTTTGTAGAGACAGGGATTTGCCATGTTGCCTCAGCTAGTCTCGAACTCCTGGGCTCAAGCAATCTACCTGCCTCGGCCTCCCAAAGTGCTGGGATTACAGGCATGAGCCACCACACCCAGCCCTCTTCTTATTTTTTTTTTGACTTGACTATGCTTACTGGATTCTTCCTGTATTTCTAAATACTGTTGCATATTAACTATTATTAATTTGCATAGCTCTCTGTGAGCATAGGATATATCTGTTTAGCCAAATTTGTACAAATTACATAGATAAGCACCATTTTGCAGCTCAACCTTCAGAATCATTTATTCTAAGCAGTAATATACTGACAAATGTTTAACAGACTGAGATAGGGGGAGGTAATGCTGGCTTGTAGCATGCTGGTTTCCATTATGTAAATACTCCCACCAGGGCCAATTTCAAATCACCAATGTGAAGTCAACCGGCTCACAAAGTTCCTGAAATTCTAACAGTCAACTTTTGGGAGCTGGAATGAGCCGGCTCTAGTACTCCACTGACTCTATGCTCCTTGATTTACATCTTCTTAAGGTTTTGGGTAACAAATACAGGTGTAAGGAGAAACAAAAGCCGGCCGGGTATGGTGGCTCACGCCTGTAATCCCAGCACTTTAGGAGGCCAAGGCGGGTGGATCACTTGAGGTCAGGAGCTTGAGACCAGCCTGACCAACATGGTGAAACCCCGTCTCTACTAAAAATAAAAAATTAGCTGGATATGGTGGTGCATGCCTGTAATCCCAGCTACTCAGGAGGCTGAGGCAGGAGAATCGCTTGAACCCGGGAGGCAGAGGTTGCAGTGAGCCGAGATCACGCCATTGCACTCCAGCCTGGGCAACAAGAGAGAAACTCGGTCTCAAAAAAAAAAAAAAAAAAAGAATTAAATCACATGAAAACATATGTCCACACAATACCATCCAAAAAGTAGAAACAACCCAAATGTCCATGAACCAATGAGTGGATAAATAAATTCGAGTCTATCCATATATTGAGAGACTATTCAGCAATAAGAAATGAAGTACTGATATATACCATAACATGGATGAATCTTGAAAAATTATGCTAACTCAAGCCAGTCACAAAATACTACATATTTTATGATTCCATTCATACGAAGTCTCCAGAATAAAATCTATAGAGACAGAAAATAGATAAACAATTGCCTAGAGCTGGGAGGGGTAATGATGGGGAGTGATGGCTAAGGGATGCAAGGTTTCCTGTTGGGATGATGAAAAATGTTCTTAAAATTTACTGTGGTTGTGGTTGCACAACTCTAAATATACAAAAAGCCATAGAATTGTACACTTAAAAAAAAAAGGTTGGGTGCAGTGGTTCATGCCTATAATCCCAACACTTTGTGAGGCCAAGGCGGGAGGATCGCTTGAGCCCAGGAGTGTTAGATCAGGCTGGACAACAAACTGAGACTCCCGTGTCTACACATTTTTTTTAAAAAAATTAGCTGGACGTGGTGGCACTCGCCTGTGGTCCCAGCTACTTGGGAGATTGAGGTGGGAGCATCACTTGAGCCTGGGAGGTCAAGGCTACAGTGAGCTGTGATCTTGCCACTTGCCCTTCAGCCTGGGCAACAGAGCAAGACCCTGTCTCAAAATGAAATAAAATAAAAGAATAAACCATTGATTGGCTGGGTGAGGTGGCTCACGCCTGTAATCCTAGCACTTTAGGAGGCTGAGGTGGGTGAACTGCTTGAGTACAGAAGTTTGAGACAAGCCTGGGCAACATGGTGAAACCCTGTCTCTATTCAAAAATAAAAATAAAAAATATATACTATTGATACAGACCTGAATAAATCTCCAGTGAAAAAACCCAATCCCGAGAAGTTGCATCCTGTATGATTCTATTTATATAACATTTTTGATGAAAAATTACAGAAATGGGGAACAGATGAGTGATTGCCAGGAGTGAAAGAGGAGGCAGGGGTGGGAGAGAAGTGGTTGTGCTACAAAAGGGCAACATGACTGATGCTCCTGGTGATGGAGTTTTCTGTACTTTGACTGTATCAATATCAATATCCTGGTTGTAATATTGTATTAGAGGTGGGTTTTTCTCTCTCTCTCTCTTTTTTTTTTTTTTTTTTTTGAGACAGAGTTTCTCTCTGTCTCCCAGGCTGGAGTGCAGTGGTGGGATCTCAGCTCACTGCAACCTCTACCTCCTGGGTTCAAGCAATTGTCCTGCCTCAGCCTCCCAAGTAGCTGGAATACAGATGTGCACCACCAGGCCCGGCTAATTTTTTGTACTTTTAGTAGAGACGGGGTTTCACCATGTTGGCCAGGCTGCTCTCGAACTCCTGACCTCAAGTGATTTGCCCGCCTCAGCCTCCCAAAGTGCTGGGATTACAGGCATAAGCCACCGCACCCAATCACTTACAGTTGTATGTGAATCTACAAATATCTCAAAATTAAAAGTTTAACCAAAAAATAAATAACACAATGGATGTAAAAGCACTCTAAATTCTATAATTGTGAGTAAATTATTATTATGTATCTTATGATAACCATAGCATGGAACTATTATGACTTTATTAATTTATTGAAAGCACTTATTAAGTCCTTACTATGTTCAAGGACTAGGTTAGATGTTGCATGGCATACAAAGTTATAAACTTATGGTAAAATCATAACTGTTGTCATGTGCAAGTTTTGGCTAAGCCTGGGTCCTTTTTGTGAAATGTAAGTTGGGTGAAATATAAACATACTTGTGATGGGGGACATACATTTTTATTTACTGATAATCACTGATAGCTATAATCAAGATCAAATGCTGTTAACTAATTATCTTTCACAATTCCTATACTCAACTTTATAACTTGACAAAAAACCTCAAAAGTATGCCAGGGCGGTGGCTCACGCCTGTAATCCCAGCACTTTGGGAGGCTGAGGCGGGTGGATCACCTGAGGTCAGGAGTTCAACACCAGCCAGGCCAACATGGCGAAACCCCATCTCTACTAAAAATTAAAAAAAATAGCTGGGTGTGGTGGTGGGTGCCTGTAGTCCCAGCTACTTGGGAGGATGAGGCAGGAGAATCGCTTGAACCTGGGAGGCAGAGGTTGCAATGAGCTGAGATCACGCCACTGCACTCCAGCCTGGGCAACAGAGCGAGACTCCATCTCACAAACAAACAAACAAAAACTTCAAAAGCATAACAGTGAACATTTGATCTCACTCTCCAAATCTGTTCCTTCCATCACTAACTAGTCTTCTTCATCTCAGTAAATAGTCTACCACCCACTCACTTGTTCAAGGCAGTAACTCAGGCATAATCTTTCTCTTTCTCTTACCTCCCATAGTCTTCTGGTGGGCCCATCAATAACATCACCTTATTCTAAGCCATCAACATCTTCTGCTGTGCTACACAATAGCTTCCTGACTGGTTTCTCTGCTTCCACTCTTGCCCCCCTCCAATCCATTCTCCACACAACAACCAAAGTGATTTTCTTAAAACTGAGATTGTCACCCCCCGACATAACCCTTTATTGGTAGCCTATTTCACTTAGACAAAATTCAAACTATACCATGGCCTACAAGGCCCTACATGATCTGAACTCTGCCAACTCCCCATCCTTCTGTCATTTACCTTCTTATTCATCATGATCCAACCACACTAGCCTTTCAGTTGCTAAAGTATACCAAGCTCTTCCCAACCCTGAAGGTCTGTGTACACATACTTTTTTTTTTTTTTTTTTTTTTGAGAGATCATCTTACTCTGTCTCCCGGGGTGAGTCTGCAGGGGCATGATCATGGCTTACCACAACCTCGACCTCCCAGAAGGCTCAAGTGATTTTTTTTTTTTTGAGACAGAGTCCCACTCTGTCACCTGTCACCCAGGCTGGAGTGCAGTGGCGTAATCTCGGCTCACTGCAACCTCCACCTCCCGGGTTAAAGCGATTTTCCTGCCTCAGCCTCCCAAGTAGCTGGGATTACAGGCGCCCGCCACCACGCCTGGCTAATTTTTGTATGCTAATAGAGACAGGGTTTTGCCATATTGGCCAGGCTGGTCTCGAACTCCCGACCTCAGGTGATCTGCCTGCCTCGGCCTCCCAAAATGCTGGGATTGCAGGCATGAGCCACTGCACCCAGCCTCAAGTGATCTTATTACCTCAGCCTCTGAGTGGCTGGGACTACAGAAGTGCGCCACCATACCCAGCTAATATTTTTGTAGAGAGAAGGGTCACCTTGTGTTGCCCAGACTGGTCTTGAACTCTTAGACTCAAGCAATCCTCTGGCCTCAGCCTCCCAAAGTGCTGGGATTACAGGCATGAGCCACTGTGTTGGGCCCATGTTATTTTCTTTTCTCTCTTTCTTTCTTTCCTTACTTTTTTTTTTTAGACAGATTCTCGCTCTGTCGCCAGGCTGGAGTGCAGTGGTGCAATCTCGGCTCACTGCAACCTCCGCCTCCCGGGTTCAAGCAATTCTGCCTCAGCCTCCCTAGTAGCTGGGATTACAGGCGTGCCACCACGCCTGGCTAATTTTGGTATTTTTAGTAGAGACAGGGTTTTGCCATGTTGGCCAGGCTGGTTTTAAAATCCTGACCTCAGGTGATCCACCCTTCTCGGCCTCCCAAAGTGCTGGGATTACAGGCATGAGCCACTGTGCCCGGCCAGCCCACATTATTTTCTTTGCCTTGAACACTCTTCCCTAGTTCTTCACAAAACTGGCTCCTTCTTATCCTTTAGATCTCAGCTAAAATATTGCATTGGCTGTTCCATAACTCTACATAAGAGGGAAAAGGGGCAGCAATCTGATTAAAACTGTGAAGAGGGAATTCTTAGGGGATCTGTCTCAAAGCTGCATTTGCATAGCAAACACACTGTCTTTACTTAGATTAAGTATAGACCAATAAAAATGTCAATGTTTTCTAAAATGCTTTTATTCATACTTTATATAAGATTAAGAAAACATCATCTGTCCATAAAAATATAATTTGGAGTACCCTGAGGGAAGTGGCAAGTGTTTCAAAGAGGATGGAGAGGCTGACAGGGACTAGAGAGTTTTTCTTATTTTGGCGATAAGGGTCTATTTGCATCTTTTAAGTAGGGGCATGCTGTGGCCTAACTTAAGTGATTAGATGAAGTGAGACTAAAGACTAAAAGGTCAGTAAAATCATTATTATTATTATGACATTTGTTAAGCATTTAATATGTGACAAATACGTTGTCCCTCAGTATCTGGGAAGGATTGGTTCCAGGACCCTCATGGATACCAAAATACAAAGATGCTCAAGTCTGACATAAAATGGTATAGTATTTGCATATAACCTATGCACATACTCTTATATACATGTTTTGTTTTTTTTTATTTTATTTTACTTTACCTTACCTTACCTTACCTTACCTCACCTCACCTCACCTTACCTTACCTTACCTTACTTTACTTTACTTTACTTTATTTTTTGAGACAGAGTCTCGCTCTGTCGCCCAGGCTGGAGTGCAGTGGCGCGATCTCAGCACACTGCAAACTCCACCTCCTGGGTTTTAAGCAACTCTCTCAGCCTCAGCCTCCCGAGTAGCTGGTATTCTAGGCACCCACCACCACACCTGGCTAATTTTTGTATTTTTAGTAGAGACGGGGTTTCGTCATGTTGGCCAGGTCTTGAACTCCTGACCTCAGGTGATCCACCTGCCTCGGCCTCCCAAAGTGCTTGGATTACAGGCGTGAGCCACCAAGCCCGACCTTTATATACTTTAAATCATCTCTAGATTACTTATAATACCCAATACAATGTGAATGCTATGTAAATAATTATACTGTATATTGTTTTATTGTATTCTTAGTATTGTTTTGGGTTTTTCTTTGTTGCTCTTTCCCAAATATTTTCTTTTATTTGTTTTTAAAAATAGAGATGGAGTCTCACTCTGTTGCTCAGGCTAGTCTTGAACTCCTGGGCTCAAGTGATCCTCCCGCTTTGGCCT
Source organism: Homo sapiens (assembly GCF_000001405.40). NCBI lineage: Eukaryota > Metazoa > Chordata > Mammalia > Primates > Hominidae > Homo > Homo sapiens. The sequence goes on from NC_000023.11 coordinate 129,902,449, forward strand.
CCCAGAGTGCTGGGATTACAGGGTAAACCACCATGCCAGGCCTATTATCCCCATTTTAAAGATGAGAAAACAGCCTGGGCGGGGTGACTCACGCCTGTAATCTCAGCACTTTGGGAGGCCAAGGCGGGTGGATCACTTAAGGCCAGGAATTCGATATCAGCCTGGCCAATGTGGCAAAACCCTGTCTCTACTAAAAATACAAAACAAAAACAACAACAACAACAATTAGCCAGGCGCGGTGGCGCATGCCTGTAATCCCAGCCCCTCAGGAGGCTGAGGCAGAAGAACTGCTTGAACCCGGGAGGCAGAGATTGCAGTGAGCCGAGATCGAGCCACTGCACTCCTGCGTGGGTGACAGAGCAAGACTCCGTCTCTAAATAAATAAATAAGAGGAAACAAAGGCACAGAGAGTTAAGGGACTTACTCAAAAATTATAAACTAGGTCGGGCACAGTGGCTCACGCCTATAATCCTAGCAGTTTGGGAGGCCGAAGCGGGTGGATTGCCTGAGTTCAGGAGTTCGAGACCAGCCTGGGCAACATGGTGAAACCCCGTCTCTATTAAGATACAAAAAATTAGCTGGGTGTGGTGGCGTATGCCTGTAGTCCCAGCTACTTGGGAAGCTGAGGCAGGAGAATTGCTTGAACCCGGGAGGTGGAGGTTGCAGTGGGCCAAGATCACGCCACTGCACTCCAGCCTGGGTGACAGAGCGAGACTCCGTCTCCCCCAACCCCCCCAAAAAATTATAAAACTAGTAAGTGACAGAGCTAAGATTCAATCCCAGAGTCCAGCTTTAAAACTCAGGTTCTTCATCATGAAATGTATTTATTCGTTCATTCTTCATATTTCATGAGTATGAAAATGCTATAATGCTCCCCCTTTCTATAAGATTACTGCAATACCACAGGCTTCAAATTGCAAAGGTCTGAACTAATACAATGGCAAACATGATGGAGAAAGGTAAGGAGATATTTGAAAGAGACTCAGGGAAGTAAAACTGATAATGTGGGCAAACAGCTGTGGAGCATAAGGGGGAGGGGAATCTAAGATGACTCTCAGACTTCTGATTTTACTAACTGGGTAGTTGATGGGCCAATCATACAAATGGGAAATTCAGGAAAGGAACTCTGGTGGAAAAGATAGAAATTATTGGTCATTTTATGTTTGATGTGCTTGTGGGGCAAAAAGAATAGCCAGGAGGCAATCAGATATACCAGTCTGGAGCTCAAGAAAGAGATTAGGGCTAGAGATATAAATTTTGTTCTCATACAGCTGTTAAAGGCAATTTCACTTAGGAAGAGTATCTGTAATAAATAAAGAGGGCTTAGAGCAGAATTCTCGGAAACATCATCATTTAGGGAGTAAGCATATTAAAAGTATATTAAAAGCATCCAGCAGAGAAGACTGAGGAAGATGGTCATAGGGCTGATACCAGGAGAGAATGGTGTCATGAAATCTCAGGATGGAGTTTCAACAATGACAAAATTGTCTTTAATCCCACTAGAAAGTAAGCTCTAGGAAGCAATGGGACATATCTGCTTTGTTCACCAATGTATTCCCAATGCCTAGAGGCTTGGCACATACTAGATGGCCAAAAATATTTCATGAATAAGAAAACAAATCGGCTGGGTGCGGTGGCTCACGCCCATAATCCCAGCACTTTGGGAGGCCATGGTGGGAGGATCACCTGAGGCCAGGAGTTCGAGACCAGCCTGGCCAACATGGCGAAACTCCATCTCTGCTAAAAATACAAAAATTAGGCTGGGCGCGGTGGCTCACGCCTGTAATCCCAGCACTTTGGGAGGCCGAGGAGGGCGGATCACGAGGTCAGGAGATCGAGACCATCCTGGCTAACACGGTGAAACCCCATCTCTACTAAAAATACAAAAAATTAGCCGGGCATGGTGGCATGTGCCTGTAGTCCAGCTACTCGGGAGGCTGAGGCAGGAGAATCACTTGAAACAGGGAGGCAGAGGTTGCAGTGAGCTGAGATTGTGCCACTGCACTCCAGCCTGGGTGACAGAGCGAGACTCCGTCTCAAAAAAAAAAAAAAAACAAAAATTAGCCAGGCGTGGTGGCGCATGCCTGTAATCCCAGCTACACGGGAGGCTGAGGCAGGAGAATCACTTGAACCCAGGAGGCGGAGGTTACAGTGAGCCAAGATCGCGCCACTGCACTCCAGCCTTGGCAACAAGAGCGAAACTCCGTCTCAAAAAAAAGAAAAGAAAAGAAAAGAAAAGAAAAGAAAAGAAATCAACAGTTACTAAATGCCACACAAAGTTCTGGGAAGCCAAAGACTGAGAGGTATCCGTTTTATTTAGCAACTTTGGGTGTCGCTGATCTTGTCCAGAGCAATTTCTGTGGAATAATGGGGCAAAAGCAAAATGGGAATGGATTACAAGAATGAAAAGAACGGGCCGGGCGCCGTGGCTCACGCCTGTAATCCTAGCACTTTGGGAGGCCGAGACGGGTGGATCATGAGGTCACGAGATCGAGACCATCCTGGCTAACACGGTGAAACCCCGTCTCTACTTAAAAAAAAAAAAAAAATTAGCCGGGTGTGGTGGCAGGCGCCTGTAGTCCCAGCTACTCAGGAAGCTGAGGCAGGTGAATGGTGTGAACCCGGGAGGCGGAGCTTGCAGTGAGCTGAGATCGCACCACTGCATTCCAGCGTGGGCGACGGAGTGAGACTCCGTCTCAAAAAAAAAAAATGAAAAGAATGTTCTTGTCTATTATTTTTCTACAATCATTAATTAATATATATATATATTAGGCCGGGCCCGGTGGCTCACACCTGTAATCTCAGCACTTTGGGAGGCCGAGGCGGGCAGATCACTTGAGGCCAGGAATTCTAGACCAGCCTGGCCAACGTGGCAAAACCCCGTCTCTACTAAAAATGCAAATATTAGCCGAGCATGGTGGCGGGTGCCTGTAATCCTAGCGACTCGGGAGGCTGAGGCAGGAGAATCGCTTGAACCCGGGAGGTGGAGGTTGCAGTGAGCTGAGATCACGCCATTGCACTCCAGCCTGAACGACACAGCAAGGCTCTGTCTCAAAAATAAATAAATAAAATTCTTAAAAGTTGATGGGAGAAAAAAAGTTGTTTAAAAAAATTTTTTTAAGTTGATGGGAGGTGAGGAAGCGTAGTTACTGATGGCCCCTTCTTGGATAAAAAAAATCTTTTGACTCAGGAAATGAAGAACAAAGCTGCAATTACAAGGGATCAAAGGCGATTTTTCCTTAAATGGAAGGAAACTTGTTATGTTCACCATCGGATCTCCGGGGCCCGGCACAATCTGGCCACTTAATAGGCATTCAATAAACCCCCGAGCTGGCTTGTGGTCGGCTTGCAGGACGCCGTCGCACAAGGACGGGCGCTGTAGTCTTTCCTTCTGGATTCTGCAGTGACGAATGAAGGCGCGGGCTCAGCCCCTGAGAGCGCAGCACCGTCGCCCTAAGCTAACCCACCTTGGGCCACGTGGAAACCAGGGGCCAGGAGGACAGACACCCGCGCGCCAGAGAAATACGGGGTGGGTGGAGAAAGGAATGCCCCACCCGCTGACAGCCGTTTCATCTCAGGCCTCCCAGTTTTCTGCAGGCCCCTCCCTACACGGCTCCTGCTTCTCTCACGCCTCGTACGGAACGGAAGTGACGTGTACGTCGCGAGCGATTGACGGAAACAGAAATTGCTTTGCGGCCCGCACGGAAATTGCTTTCCTTCGGCTTCCGTTCTTGGTCCATGTGAGAGAAGCTGGCTGCTGAAATGACTGCGAACCGGCTTGCAGAGAGGTGAAGGGCAACGAGGGGAGGGGGGATTCTGGGTCTCGTTGGGGGCCGGGTTCCCCAGCTTTTGGGAAATGGGAGCCCCCCCTTTAACAGATGGCAGTGGTTCCCCTGAAGAGCTGGCCATTCGTTCCTATTTTCCGCGATCCAGCCTTTAAAGCCCTTTTAATTTAATTTCATTCGCTTACTCCGCTCCTCAGCTGTATAGCCGCATCCCTGTTGGTCCTGATGCTGTTTCTGCCTCCCCAGCTCATTTACTGTGTTTCACATTTTTCGTCACGTGGCCCCTTTTTCTGCCTCTGTCGCGGCCCGATTTAATCCTCTGCGCAGGCAGTGCAGGCGTTATAAACTCCCCGAATCTTGGAAAGCTTTGCTGATTGGAGTCATCCACCACGTTTTGGCTCCTGTGATGTTTTGTGCCCCCCCCACCCCGCCCCCGGAACTAAATGTAGTCCGTTTAGTAATGTTGGCTTTGCAAATACTAATAATATATGCTGTTAGGTAATGGTACATTTTATAATTTGTTTGTGGGTACCAATCTCCTTAGTTAAGCACCTACTTTACTAAGCAAGCCCCAGGGAAAGTGGCTTACCCAGCTGCTTTCGACCTGTTTCTCCATTCCTGGGAACAAGGATCAAGATAACACTTTTGATTAGGCTGCCTATCAATGAGTCAAATATATGGAGGATGCTTAGAAATATTAATCGTGAAACTGCCTTGCCTCCAGGGCTAGCTAGCAACAGCGTCTTTGGCCATATTATTCTAGGGTCTGACATTTTTACAGCTTCCCATAGGTCATAGGAAATGTTGTGCCAATCCCTGAAAAGTGATAGCTCTTTTACATGCAGTTTTGAAGTCAGGCATCACTCTTGGAGGTGATGCCTGACTTCAGTCTAAATTTCACATCTTGACAAGTTTCCAAAGGCATTCACGCTGCTTTATATATCTTCTGAGGGATAGGGCTATTCTGTGCTGAAATTACAATGTTTTCGAGATTGTTTTAATAGATTAGACATTGCTTCAAATAATAATATTTCTTTTTTTAATTTCGACTTTTATTATAATTAAGGGATACATATGCAGGTTTGTTACATGGGTATATTGCATTCACATTTCTCTGTTGCCTCTTTTAACAGCCTTCTGGCTTTGAGCCAACAGGAAGAACTAGCGGATTTGCCAAAAGACTACCTCTTGAGTGAGAGTGAAGATGAGGTGGGTGACAATTGCTAAACTGCCTTCAAAATTAGGGTAGAGAGCACATTCCTGGAATGGAAGGGTGTGACAATGTTCTATGTATTTGTTCAGGTCTCTCAAATAAATTGCAAATGGTTAGTGTTTCATATATAAGATACTGTATCATATTAAGTGCTATGAGGATTTGGAAACTAAGTTACAATCACTACCCTCAAGTTGCATAAGTATAATTTATAAGACCAACCAAAACAGGCCCGGGTGATGGCTCATGCCTGTAATCCCAGCACTTTGGGAGGCCAAGGCGGGCAGATCACAAGGTCAGGAGATTGAGACCATCCTGGCTAACACAGTGAAACCCCGTCTCTACTAAAAATACAAAAAATTAGCCAGGCGTGGTGGCAGGCGCCTGTAGTCCCAGCTACTTGGGAGGCTGAGGCAGGAGAATGGCATGAACCTGGGAGGCGGAGCTTGCAGTGAGCCAAGATAACACCACTGCACTCCATCCTGGGCAACAGAGCGAGACGCCGTCTCAAAAATAAATAAATAAATAACAAGAGATTTTACATGAGACTCAATTTCCATGTTGTCTTTTCCCTCCCCCTCATCCTGATTGTTTTTCCTTTTCTGTGTCTTAGGGGGACAATGATGGAGAGAGAAAGCATCAAAAGCTTCTGGAAGCAATCAGTTCCCTTGATGGAAAGAATAGGTAACGTTCCCGTCAGTTAGGGCAGGTTATATAGTCAATTCCGTGAGATTTCTCTGCAGCTAATATTTATTGAGTGCTTCATGTAAAGACCTTAATACCAGTGCCTAGCATATAGTAAGCATTATATAATTAACTGTTAGCTGTTATTAGTCTTAGTGCTATTATTGTAAGCATTTGCAGTCTTATTCCACACTGAAAATCTTTTAAAGCATTGAGTAGGCATTATTTAACCCCATTAGAGAAATAAATTTACTTACCCCCAAGGTCACCTGGCTCATAAGTTACAGGTTCAGGTGTGTTTGAATCTAAGTCCAATATGTTTTCCACTATGCTTACCTTGTAATAAAGAGAAGAGATGAGGGTTAGACAACCAAGTCCAAGTTAGGAACAGATCTCCTTGCTGCATCATGACAAAACATGACCCTAGAAGAAATACAAGAAACCAAAGCCCTGTTTGAAGAGAGAAGTGTTTGTCTCTCCCAACCCCAAGCCCCCATAAAATTTATTCATTCCTATTATATCGTTTTGCCTAATTTCAGGCGGAAATTGGCTGAGAGGTCTGAGGCTAGTCTGAAGGTGTCAGAGTTCAATGTCAGTTCTGAAGGTAAGTTGAACAAAGGAAGATACCCATGCATGAAACCTGTGGAGTTCCAAGGGCATTGTGTTCACCTCACCCCCCCTAGGAACTGTTTTTGATGTGGTTAATGACTCATACCATAAATACCTGGGAGAGTGGGTGAAGAAGTGTAGTCAGATGCCCTTCAGTTTCTTCCATCTCTCAAAGAAAGCCTAGAAGGCTGTGGTCAAGGTATCCTACAGAGTTTGATGAGATACTTATAGGATAGATGGACATGAATAAAGACAGCTGCCTCTTAGTAACTTAGTCATAATTCATATTTGTACAATTTCATTTTTATTTCAGTTCTCTTAACAATGCTTTGAGTTAGGAGACAGGCAAATATTCTCTTCAGCCAGAGCTCAGAGAGGTCACATTACTTATTCAAGGGCCTTTGCCTAGTACAGTATTTCTCAACCTTTGCTTTTTTATTGCTCCCCTGAGAGGAGCCTTTCAAGCCTTTTTTTTTTTTTTTTTTTTTGAGACAGAGTCTCACTCTATCGCCCAGGCTGGAGTGCAGTGGTGCGATCTTGGCTCACTGCAAACTCCGCCTCCCAGGTTCACGCCATTCTCCTTCCTCAGCCTCCCGAGTATCTGGGACTACAGGTGCCCGCCACCGCGCCTGGCTAGTTTTTTGTATTTTTAGTAGAGACGGGGTTTCACCGTGTTAGCCAGGATGGTCTGGATCTCCTGACCTCGTGATCCACCCGCCGCAGCCTCTCAAAGTGCTGGGATTACAGGCGTGAGCCACCGTGCGCGGCCTCAAGACATTTTTTTCCTCATTGTATCCCTCCCCCTGTGCCCCTTCCCCAGGAAATCAAGTCCTAAGGAATAAGAGTTTGTTGGACAGAGTTGAGCCTTGGAGGGACACAAAACATTGTAATATCTAAGATTTTTTTCATACTCTCCCAGAAAGAACCAATTTTCACCCTGGGGTGGCGGGGTGGTAAAATTGCCCCTGTTCAGAATACATGCTCTAATAAGCGGCAGCCATGGGATTTTATCCTAATACTGAGTCTAGATGCCAAATCTTTTTCACCCTGTTCACAACTTAGGCAGCTAGAATGGGTCTTGCATTTGTAGTAATCACTGGTGTAGCCTCCTAGGGCAAATAACAATGTATTCCAAGCGTACTTATTCAGTGGATATTTATTGTGTTTCTACTAGGTAGCAGTATCAGGAACTGTTGTAGATACCAAGGTTAAAGTAGCGAATAAGATGTGAGCTCATGGGGTTTACATTCTAATGAAGGGAGACAATAAGAGAGGATGATGCAGTAAAGCAACTAAGTGGCTACTTTAGATCGGTTGGTCATGAAAGGCCCCTGAAGAGGCAAAATTGAAGCCGAGATCTGAATGACAAGTCAAGTCAACCATGCAAAGATTGGGGAAAGCATTTCAGGCCAAGGAACAGCTAGCACAAAGGCTCTAAGGTAGAAACATGCACAACATGTTGAAGAATAGGAAAGAGGCCCCTGTGACAAAAGCATTCTAGAGGGTGGGGGTTGATATGAGGTTAGAGAGGCAGATGGGGATTAGATCTCATAGGACCATGTCCTTTAGGTAGATGAGATTCAAAGTATAATGGGGAGTCACTGGAGGATTTTCAGCAGGGTCATGACATGCTGTGGTTTATATTTTCGAAAGATAATTTTGGGCTGGATACAGTGGTTTACACCTGTAATCTCCAGCACTTTGGGAGGCCGAGGTGGGCGGACTGCTTCAGCCCAGCCATTTGAGGCTGGCCTGGGCAACATGGCAAAACCCCATCTCTACAAAAAAAAAATTAAAAAAATTAACCACGCGTGGTGGCACGCGCCTATAGTGCCAGCTACTTGGGAGGATTGCCTGAGCCTGGGAGGCAGAGATGGCACCACTGCTCTCCAGCCTAAGTGACAGAGTGAGACCCTGTCTCAAAACAAACAACAACAACAGCAAAAAGATCACTTTGGCTGTTTTTATTTTTGGCTGTTATGTGAAGAATGAATTGCAATGGGGCAAGAGTAGAAGCACCAGGAGAAAAGCAAATGAGTTTTGAATAAATATTTTCCCCTATCTTCTACCCCCTAACACGTTTGGGGATGAATGTAGAAGAGTGATAGTGTTGGCATGGCTAGAAATAGGCAATTGAAGTAAGAGAATTATTCTTGCTTCTCTGCACATTTGCCATCTACTGGCATTTTCTACTGAGGCTTCTCCCTACATTATATTGAGATCTTGTCTCACTTCTTGGTCTGACCAGAAAGTTTGACCTTTCCACAGGATCAGGAGAAAAGCTGGTCCTTGCAGATCTGCTTGAGCCTGTTAAAACTTCATCTTCTTTGGCCACTGTGAAAAAGCAACTGAGTAGAGTCAAATCAAAGAAGACAGTGGAGTTACCTCTGAACAAAGAAGAGATTGAACGGGTAAGCTACAGAGAAGGTGGTCTATTAAGGGAAAGAAATTGAATTGACAAGGGAAAATAGGGTAATAGAAAGAAGGGAAAGACCTGAAAAATGGGAGAAGGGGGAGTTGTGATTTCCCCACTATGGATAAGATTAAAAATAATCTAGGAGTGCCAGGCGCGGTGGCTCACGTCTGTAATCCCAGCACTTTGGGAGGCTGAGGTAGGCGGATCACCTGAGGTCAGGAGTTCGAGACCAGCCTGTCCAACATGGTGAAACCCCGTCTCTACTAAAAATACAAAATTAGCCGGGTGTGGTGTAATCCCAGCTACTTGGGAGGCTGAGGCAGGAGAATCCCTTGAACCAGGACGTGGAGGTTGCAGTGAGCTGAGATTGCACCATTGCTCTCCAGCCTGGGCAACACGAGTGAAACTCCATCTAAATAATAATAATAATCTAGGAGAAATTGCAGTCCTGAGAAGCAAGAGGACTAGCATCCTGATTCTTTCATCCTGATTCTAGCATCCTGATTCTTTCTTGGGCTAAGAAATGTTGCTTCCTAATTTCTTGTTAGTCCTTTGGGTTTGATGCTTTAATCTTGTGGCTCTTTCCGTTTACATGCCTTGCCTGCTTCAGATCCACAGAGAAGTAGCATTCAATAAAACCGCACAAGTCCTCTCCAAATGGGACCCTGTCGTCCTGAAGAACCGGCAGGCAGAGCAGCTGGTTTTTCCCCTGGAGAAAGAGGAGCCAGCCATTGCTCCCATTGAACATGTGCTCAGTGGCTGGAAGGTGAGTACAACAAAATGAAACTGAAAGGTGAGATTTTATAAGTTGGAGATTTCAGAGCCTGCAATTGATTTGATTGGACATGTTAAGCTAAACCCCAGCATAAGTCATTTTAGCTTAGTGCTCAGAAAGAAGGGGTTGCCCATCGTCATTGTCAGTCATGTGATAGCCAGTCACAATAGCTCTGTGATCACTTTTTTTTTTTTTTTCTTGAGACAGGGTCTTGCTCTGTCGCCCAGGCTGGAGTGCAGTGGCACGATCTCAGCTCACTGCAACCTCTGCCTCCTGGGTTCAAGCAATTCTCCTGCCTCAGCCTCCCAAGTAGCTGGGATTACTGGCGTGCACCAACACGCCCAGCTAATTTTTTTTTTTTTGGATTTTTAGTAGAGATGGGGTTTCACCATGTTGGCCAGGCTGATCTCAAACTCCTGACCTCAAATGATCCGCCCACCTCAGTCTCCCAAAAGTTTTGTGATTACGGGCATGAGCCAATGCGCCCGGTCTCTGTGTCACTTTTCATCTGCTTGTAGTATACAGTACTTGCTATTTCCATGTTTTTGTGTTAAACCATGTGATTGCCCGTATAGCAGGAACATAATAATGTTTTCTTTCTTTTACCCCAGTTTTTAAAAAGCATTTAAAGCCACATTCTGATCCTAGGGAAATCAGGAACTCGATAACATTAATGATGCCTTAGTGAGGATATGTGAACAACAGAAGCCAAACTTTGCTTGTACAGGAATACCGCATTAAAATATAATGTGTTGCTGGCAATGACTAGAACTTCAGCAGGTAACTTACTATGACTCTGAGCTGCAGGGCAGGGGTTGATGTTTTAGAGCTGGGTTTCCCAAACACTGACCCCTAACAAAGTTTGTGTCTGAAGCAAAAGGATAATTCTAAGTATGTTTGTTTGGTGGGTGTAATGTTGCCAGTTCTTTTTTATTATGAGGTTATTCTATTTTAATGGTGTTGAAATATCTTTTCTTCTATGAAATGATGGTGGTAGTAAATGATGGGATTGGGGGTGAAATGGTAGTTATGCTCTTGGCAAAATTAGAAGTTGGAAATCCTATGTTGGTCCCTGAAGTCCGGTTTTTAGTCCGAATAACTGCTTTAGAACAGCTAGCCTACTTTTCCAATACACCATTGGTATGGAGTCTATAATGGGCTGATTAGTCTTAAATAGATGCCCTCTTTGTGCTTCTCCTCTTTACTTTCCAAAAACCCAAGAATGGTAGTTTCTTAGGCGTTGGGAAGTTGAGCTAATTAAAGCTAATCAAAGTAAACATTGCTTGCCACAATAGCTAGAAATTGAGCGAGTAGTTGCTTATTATGGGGATAAGCTGTTTCTGATGTTTTTGCTGAAGTCACTACCATTCTCTTTCTAGGAGGCTTCCTTTTCTACATGAAAAAGAGATCAGGTTTAAAGTGTGGCTGCAGGATGAAGGGAGACTTTAGAAAAAAAAAATCAGAGGTAATACAATTTGTAGGATTCAAAAATAAAAAAGCATAGAAGATATGTAGTGAAAAGTTTGATTCCACCCGTGCCCCATCTGATCATTTTTACCCCCATACTCACCCAGAAGTAACCACTTGCATAAGTTTGCTGTTGTTGTTGTCTTAGAGTTTTATTTCTATATTCATGTTTACCTCCTTTTTAAATAAAAAGAAGGGTAGCATGCTACTACACACTGTCCTCCACCTTGCTTTTTCCAAATGACAGTGTAATCTTGGAGATAGCAGGAAAATGCCAAGTTTGTTATTAAAAACGAGATGGGGCCGGGTGTGGTGGCTCACGCCTGTAATCCCAGCACTTTGGGAGGCCGAGGCAGGTGGATCACCTGAGGTCAGGAGTTTGAGACCATCCTGGCCAACATGGCGAAACCCCATCTCTACTAAAAATACAAAAATTAGCGGGGCATGGTGGTGTGTGCCTGTAATCCCAGCTACTAGGGGGGCTGAGGCAGGAGGATCACTTGAACCTGGGAGGCGGAGGTTGCAGTGAGCCGAGATTGTGCCACTGCACTCCAGCCTGTGCAATAGAATGAGACTCTGTCTCAAAATATATATATAAATAAATAAAAAATAAAAACTAGATGGTAGTGGAGGAGGTTACACTAAGAATAGAACAACCTCTTCAAGATAGAGTGAGGCTCAGATGTCATACATTGAATATACCATGCCGTTCATTCATTCTAAGACTGACTTTTGAGAAATTATGCTAGTAGGGCACAGAGAAATAAGGAAGTGCTTAGTTCAGAGGGTGCTTTGTGGCTAGCAACTCCTAGGTCTCTCCTTACAACTTAGATTGCAAAGTACCAACAACTAGTATATGCTGTATTAGGATTTCTAGAAACTGAATATCAAGTCTCAGACCAGGCACGGTGGCTCACGCCTATAATCCAAGCACTTTGGGAGGCTGAGGCAGGTGGATCACCTGAGGTCAGGAGTTCAAGACCAGCCTGGCCAACATGGTGAAACCTCGTCTTTACTAAAAATATGTAAATTAGCCGGGCATGGTAGCACATGCCTGTAGTCTCAGCTGCTGAGGAGGCTGAGGCAGGGGAATTTCTTGAATCCAGGAGGCAGAAGGTACAGTGAGCCGAGATCACGCCACTGCACTCCAGCCTGAGGAAAAAAAAAAACCCTCTACTCTTTCCCCGCCCTCCCCCAAAAAAAAGAAAAGAAAATCGAAAGTCTGTACTATAGTTTTGGTCCAGCTCCCTAAAATTTTGTTTAGCTGCAAATAATTAAGTGGGATAATGCATGAGAAGGCATTTGTAAACTGCAAAGTGCTAGAAATGCTGTGAGGTAACTTCTTTCACCCCTCTCCTCACTATTCTCTGTCTACAGTGGTATTTCCCAAGGCATTCTCCTTGAAACCTTAGTCTCTCATTATGCCTTCACAAGAGGAGGAGAGGAGGCATTGCTAGAAAATGCTGCATGCCCCTACTGGAGATCGGAGAGTCACAACATGCTTTAGCATTTTAAAGTCTATGAAACAGGCCAGACGGATGTGGTGGCTCACGCCTGTAATCCCAGCACTTTGGAAGGCTAAGGCGGGTGGATCACCTGAGGTTAGGAGTTTGAGACCAGCCTGACCAACGTGGCAAAACATCGTCTCTACTAAAAAATATTAAAAAATTAGCTGGACGTGGTGGCTTATGCCTGTAATCCCAGCTACTCAAGAGGCTGAGGCACCAGAATCGCTTGAACCCAGGAGGCGGAGGTTGCAGTAAGCCAAGGTTGGGCCACTGTACTCCAACCTGGGCAACAGAGTGAGACTCTGTCTCAAAAATAAAAAATAAAAATAAAGGCTATGGGCCGGGCGTGGTGGCTCACGCCTGTAATCCCAGCACTTTGGGAGGCTGAGGTGGGTGGATCACAAGGTCAGGAGATCGAGACCATCCTGGCTAACACGGTGAAACCCCGTCTCTACTAAAAATATAAAAAATTAGCTGGGCACGGTGGCGGGCGCCTATAGTCCCAGCTACTTGGGAGGCTGAGGCAGGAGAATGGCATGAACCTGGGAGGCGGAGCTTGCAGTGAACCAAGATCGTGCCACTGCACTCCAGCCTGGGCGACAGAGCGAGACTCTGTCTCAAAAAAAAAAAAAAAAAAAGGCTATGAAACAATGGTGAAGACACCTGTTGGATCTAATTTAACTTAGGGTGTACAAACTGATTTTATTAAAATTTCAAAAAAATTGAATTTTAAGCTTTTAACAGGGGAGGCAAATCTTGTTATCTGATGAGAAATGTGTTTGGGGAAGAGCTGGTCTGTCTCCACTGCTGCCTCCTCTCTCTCACCTTCTTCCCCTACTGCCCTACTGAAACTTCTCTCAAAAGGCATTAGTGAGGGGCCTCCGAATTGCCAAATCCCAAGCCCTCTTAGTCTTTAGCATATTTGACACCATTGGCACATTTCATTCTAAAAATCTCTCCCCTCTAGCTTCTGTGATATACTCTGGGTATTTTCTCTCTCTGGCTTTCCTTAGTCCTTTTTATTCTTGCTCTGTAAATTCCATGACTTTTTTTTTTTTTTTTTTTTGAGACGGAGTCTTGCTCTGTCGCCCAGGCTGGAGTGCAGTGGTGCAATCTCGGCTCACTGCAAGCTCCACCTCCCGGGTTCACGCCATTCTCCTGCCTCAGCCTCCCAAGTAGCTGGGACTACAGGTGCCCGCCACCACGCCCAGCTAATTTTTTGTATTTTTTAGTAGAGACGGGGTTTCACCGTGTTAGCCAGGATGGTCTCGATCTCCTGACCTCGTGATCCGCCCACCTCGGCCTCCCAGAATGCTGGGATTACAGGAGTGAAAATTTCATAACTTTCGACTATCACTCTCAACCCCTTCTTTGAAGCTCCAGTCTCATATTCCATGTGACTAGCAGGGATCACCTGGGTCCCCCATATGCACCTTAAACTTAGTCCAGTCCAAAGTAAGCTTCGCATTTCCTTTCCCCAGACTTCCAAAACCTATACCACCCCCTTCATTCTGCAACTCAGTTAACAGCATAACTCCCTACCCCAGTCACTTAGGTTGGAAACCTCAGTCATTTGATTCCTTCTTGACCCCTTCACTGTCTCCCTCTCCGCCAGCTTATACAGGGGGCTAGACCTGCAAATTCTGTCTCTGTAATAGCCCTTATGCTCCTATTTTCTCTTCATTTTCATTTTCACTGCCCTAATCGAGGCCCTCATTGAACCTTTCCTTTGGAACTTTACATATATCCTCTACACAATCAGCAGGATTTTCTTGCTGAAACACAGTTGATCATTGCTCTCCTGCTTAAAATCCTTCAAAGGCTGTTCACTTACAGAATAAAATAAAATTACGTAGCATTTTAGCTATGCTGGACAACACGTTGTTCTATTACATACCACTCCTTTCCCTGTGTCTGTGTTTTTTGCTTATGCTCATCTGTTTGGATTTTTTTTCCTCCTGACAGAATTGTACTTAGGCCTCAAAGCCTAATTCAAAAGGTCACTTCCTTCCCTAAGCCTAACCTACCTCCCAATAATATTTAATGGTAATTTCCTCTGTGATTACCCCTATAGAATAACGTAGCAGTTATGTTATTTAAGGGTAACATAAAGGGTATTTAACCCATTATGTTATGCTGTTTGTGTTGTATATGTCTCTGCTCTCAAAGGCTGTGAGCTCTATGAGGACAGGAACTATCTTAATCAATTGTGTATTCCTAGCACCCCATACAAGTGCCTGGAATATAGCTACAATCAATAAATGTTTGTAAATTGAATTGAATTGAAGGGACATTACAACATTGTAGTATAAATCACTTTGTAGCCTGAGATTGATCACTACTGCAAATACTAAAAGTGGAAGAACATATACCTTTACTATTCAGTAGAATAGTTTTATGGTTAAATCAATAGCATCGTGTAACATGTGATGATGTGCGTTTATGCATTTATCCAAATATTTGTAAGTTTAATACTGACCACGATGTATATGGCTATTGAAGAAAACCACACATAATATGTGTGTGAGGTTTGAAACTAGCTCTGTTGCCTAGGGCTGTCTTTGTGCCTTGCCAGAATGTGGACCGTGGCATGATCGGCCTGAATATTTAGCCATCCTCATGATAGCATGTGGAATAACTGGTTTACAGTTCATTCGTTTCATACATACTCTGCCTAGCATGTAAAATTAACTGGAAACTGAGGAATTGGAGCCAAAGTTAGAAAATGAGGAGAGTTCAACTTGAACCATCAGGAAACAGGCTGATTACATGAAGGTCTTTTTGTTTGTTTGTTTTTAACATAATAAATAGAGATGGGGTTTCACCATGTTGCCCAGGCTGGTCTCAAACTTGTGGGCTCAAGCAATCCTCCTGCCTCAGCCTCCCGAAGTGCTGGGATTACAGGCCTGAGCCACCATGCCCATCCTATATTTTTTTTCAGGCAATATCCTTTTGTGCTCAAGAAATTAAGACACACACCCCACCACAAACTACATTTGAAGACTCTGCCAAAAAAATGCCATGTTTTTTCTCATTTTCTTTCATCAGTAATTAATGATACCAAGAACACTTATATGCATGGTTTATAGCAGTTGGCTATGGTCAAAAAAAGTTGGGCTTCCCCTCTGAGACATTTGCAGATATATGTCCTAGGTATACCATCAGTGGCAAATAATGCTTATCTTAAGATCTAATCTCACAGGGCATGCTGGGCTCACGCCTGTAATCCCAGCACTTTGGGAGGCCAAGGCAGGAGGATGGCTTGAGGCCAGGAGTTTAAGACCAACCTGGGCAACATGGCAGGACCCTGTCTCTACAAAAAATAAAAAAAGTTAGCCAGGCATGGTGGCTTACACTTGTGGTCCCAGCTGCGCAGGAGGCTGAGGCAGAAGGATCACTTGAGCACTAGAGGTGGAGGTTGCAGTGAGCTGAGATTGGAGTGCCAGTGGACTCCAGCCTGGGTGACAGAGCAAGACTCTGTCTCAGAAAACAAAAAAAAAAAAAAAAAAAACTAACCGCCCCTTCCCTCTAGAAATATTCTAAAAGAAGGCTTATGATATGAATTTGAGATTCCTAACTATAAAGTAATAGTTATGTGCTTCAAATGATACATAACAATACAGGGACTCAAGGGCAATGTGCCTAGATTCTTAAGAGAATGGAAATCAGTTTAACATATATTGGTAATCTGGGCCGGCGCGGTGGCTCACGCCTGTAATCCCAGCACTTTGGGAGGCCGAGGCGGGCGGATCACGAGGTCAGGAGATCGAGACCATCCCGGCTAACACGGTGAAACCCTGTCTCTACTAAAAATACAAAAAATTAGCTGGGCGTGGTGGCAGGCATCTGTAGTCCCAGCTACTCGGGAGGCTGGGGCAGGAGAATGGCGTGAACTCAGGAGGCGGAGCTTGCAGTGAGCCGAGATCACGCCACTGCACTTCAGCCTGGGCGACAGAGCAAGACTCCATCTCAAAGAAAAAAGAAAAAAAAAAACATATATTGGTAACCTGAACACAGTGATCCCCCTCAGCAGTATTAGAGAGTAGCCTCAGCGTCTCCCTGCTGAAGTTGTCTTATATAAGAATCAAATAAGGCTTTATTTATACTTCTGACAACAAGACTGGAACCCCCTTCTCTTGCTGTAACAGCCAATCCTATCCACTTATGATTCCAATTATAGTGTCATAAGTTAGAGAATCATAGGAATGTAAAGAGAGAAAGCTGTAAGAGCATGGCTTAAGACTCAGAATGTTTTGTTGCTTCTTTAAGGCAAGAACTCCCCTGGAGCAGGAAATTTTCAACCTCCTCCATAAGAACAAGCAGCCAGTGACAGACCCTTTACTGACCCCTGTGGAAAAGGCCTCTCTCCGAGCCATGAGCCTAGAAGAGGTAAGTGTGTCATAGGCCCTTCAGCACACCCAGGCATGCCACGCTTCTCCTAGCATTTGTCCTCTGGCCCAGGTGTCACTGTAAGTCTCATTTGTTGTAGGCAAAGATGCGACGAGCAGAGCTTCAGAGGGCTCGGGCTCTGCAGTCCTACTATGAGGCCAAGGCTCGAAGAGAGAAGAAAATCAAAAGTAAAAAGTAAGGAGGCCCCTGTGAACTGGCCTTGGGTTCCACAGAAGAAAGTCATGTGGTTCATCATGAATTCTTTGGAGAGAACCTTTGATGCAGCAACTAGAGTCATGCAGATGAGGTCCCAAACAGGAGTGACTAGCCTTTTGTTCCCCCCAAACCAACCTCATACAGTTTTGCCAAAAAGATGACTATTCAGTTACTTTCTCTGCCTTCCAAGGCATCACAGAGTGGTTCTGCAGAATCAGCTCTGAATTCCAGAGCTGTTAAGGCCAATAGGGCTTCCTTCCTGCCTTTTTGCCTCTTTGAAACTTGTTCGGCCGGGTGTGGTGGCTATGCTTGTAATCCCAGCACTTTGGGAGGCCGAGGTGGATGGACCACTTGAGCTCAGGAGTTCAAGACCAGCCTGGGCAACATGGCAAAACTGGCTGGGCACGGTGGCTCACACCTGTAATCCCAGCACTTTGGGAGGCTCAGGCAGGTGGATCACTTGAGGTAAGGAATTCAAGACCAGCCTGGCCAACATGGCGAAACCCCATCTCTACTAAAAGTACAAAAATTAGCCAGGCATGGTAATGTGCACCTATAGTCCCAGCTACTTAGGAGGCTGAGGCGGGAGGATCGCTTGAGCCCAGCGGGTGGAGGCTGCAGTGAGCCAAGATCATGTCACTGCACTCCAGCCTGAGTGACAGAGTGAGACCCTGTCTAAAAAAAAAAATGAAACTTGTTCTACCCCTCCCTTGAGTTATAGAGGCAAAGGAGACTCTTTGAGCTGCAGAGGTCCACCCTGAGGACTGTGGGTACCAAGAATCTTGCCAGTCCTGTCAGGTCCCAAACTGACTCCCTATAGCCAACTAGCTCTATGATGCCCATTCCAGCCCCCTGCCTAGGGAACCCATTGGGTAGTATGGGCACTTGTGCCTATGACATCCGTGCTTCAGCTAAATTGCTAAACTCTTCCCTCCTACCCCTACAGGTATCACAAAGTCGTGAAGAAAGGAAAGGCCAAGAAAGCCCTAAAAGAGTTTGAGCAGCTGCGGAAGGTTAATCCAGCTGCAGCACTAGAAGAACTGGAAAAAATTGAAAAGGCCAGAATGATGGTGAGACTACCTCTTGCCCCACCCCCACCCCTTTGAACCAGCTTTCCTTGGAAGGCACTAAAGATGTAAATCTCACTCTGTCCTTTCTTTCTAGGAAAGAATGAGCCTTAAGCACCAAAACAGTGGGAAATGGGCCAAGTCAAAGGCAATTATGGCCAAATATGACCTGGAGGTAAGAGACCCTTGGGGTGAGAGAAGATCTGGAATTGGAGGATGCTAGCAGAAGCAGAGTTGGGGAAGAGCCATGAGGATGGATGGAAAACCAGGAATCTAAAAAGGCATCAGAAAAATCTCTAAGGCAGAAAGGAAAATGACCAGGAACAAGGTGGAAAAGGAGAGATGAAAGGGAAACAGCATTGAAGGCAAGTCCAAAGGGGGAGAGGAGCTTTTTAAAATCTTATTTCACCGTTGATTCCTTGAGGACAAAGAATTTGTCTTCCATTTTATACCATAGCTATTAACCCAGCATTGTATATGCAGTTTAAACAGTAGGTACCAGTAAGAAATACTCACCAAGTCAAATTGAGAGGAGGCAGCTTTATGAAATGGACCAGGAAAGGTGTTATTGCGGTCACTAATGACAGGGCTCTCATGCTGTGACTCTTTCCTCCAGGCTCGCCAAGCTATGCAGGAACAGTTGTCTAAGAACAAAGAACTGACACAGAAACTCCAGGTAGCCTCTGAGAGTGAGGAAGAGGAGGGAGGCACAGAAGATGTGGAAGAACTCCTTGTCCCTGATGTAGTGAATGAAGTGCAGATGAATGCAGATGGGCCGAATCCCTGGATGCTCAGGAGCTGCACCAGTGACACCAAAGAGGCTGCAACCCAGGAGGACCCTGAGCAACTGCCAGAGCTTGAGGCCCATGGAGTTTCTGAAAGTGAGGGAGAAGAAAGACCAGTGGCAGAAGAAGAAATTTTGTTGAGAGAATTTGAGGAAAGGCGATCCCTTAGAAAAAGATCTGAGCTCAGCCAAGATGCTGAGCCAGCAGGCAGTCAAGAAACAAAAGGTGAGCTGTGATCAAATGGAAGAGGGAAATTCCTAGTGCTGTGGACAGACTATGGGAGAAAAAAAAAATGTGTCCACCCACACACAAAACTGCATAGTGATTAGGCGCTGGGGACTTGCAAGAGTGCGTACACTGGATCCCTGAAGAGAAATTAGATTCATAACTATTTTTCTTCGAAGACATTTAATAAGCAGTCATCTGCATGGCCGTGCAACGTGGTTCAGGCACATTTTCTGTTCTTGGGGGCTTACAGCCTTCAGAAACCCATAATAACTAAACCATACTCGAAGTCAGGGTATGAGTTAGCGTTCCTGGTACCTACACACCAGGGAGAAGTACGTATGGTAGAATGGCAAATCTGAAAGTCCATTCACACCTGTAGACACAGATAGGTCAATTTTGAGACATTAGGAAACATTGTCTAGTTGCTGGATTTTTTTGTTTTGTTGGTTAAGTAGGAGTGGCATTTTTAGCACTTCTTAATGCTAGTTGATGTGTGTATACATGGGGTGAGACTTTACGGAATGAATGACTCCACAGGGCCACATGGCAAATTAGAATTGTGACTCCATACTCAGGCTCTATTTGTATGTTATATTTTCTACCTGTTATCTTGAAGAGATCTTATTGACAATGTTAGCACCTGTGAGATTGGTCAGAGAGTTCCCATTCTGGCAATAAACCAGGACACTAAAAAACCTGCCTAGGAAACTAGCTACATTGAGAAATCACTTGGCTATCTGGACAAATTACCAGGTCTGGTTTGGTTTCACATAGGAATGCATTTAGATGATGGCAAAAATCTGGTTTTACACGGCAAAAGAATTATTTTTTTCTACTTTTTTTTGTTTAAGAGACAGGGTTTTGCTCTGTCATCCAGGCTGGAATACAGCAGTGCAATCATACCTTACTGCAGCCTAAGACCTCCCAGGCTCAAGCGATCCTCTTGGCTCAGCCTCCCAACTAGCTGGGACTACATGCACGTGCCACCATGCTGAGCTAAGTTTTTGTAGAGACTGAGGTCTTGCTCTGTTGCCCAGGCTGGTCTTGAATTCCTGGCCTCAAGCTATCCTCTCACCTCAGCCTCCCAAAGTGTTAGGATTACAAGTGTGAGCCACCGCACCCAGCCTCCTTTTTTTTTTCCTTTTTTTTTTTCAGGTTTCCACATACAAAAATTTATTTTAAAAGAGCTATCATTTAGAATATATTATAGGGACCTTTACTTAATAGTTTTGGCTGGATATTTTTGGGATTAATAATTGCAAGTAGTCACTTCTGAGAGAATTTTGGAAAGCAGCACAGCGGGCTGAGATTGTGGGGGTGTACATATATGACCACAGGACCCTAGTGGCTTTCTCTTGAGCCCCCTCAACAACTGGCCATCTAGCTAAATGTGCAGAGCGGCTGACTGTGATATGAAAGAATGAAAGATAGATTTGCATTTCCTTGGACAGTAAATAAATTGAATTTTCTCACACCTTCCAAGAGTGTCCTAAAATACTGGAAAGCCACGGACCCCAGTGAAAATGAGCAAGGAAACCTGATTCTTGAGAAATAAACGTACATGTGTCCAAAGGCCAGATCTAAGGAGCTACAATGGCTTCATGCCAAAGCTAGACAGCAGGATCAACTTGGGAATGGAGGCAACTTGAGTCAATGAAAAAGACAGTTTAGAAGCATGTCACTGCCAGGTTTCCCTCCAGACTGTTTTGAGACAGGTCTCTGTCATACAGGCTGGAGTGCAGTGGTGCAACCTCGGCTCACTGCAAGCTCCACCTCCCAGGTTCAAGCAATCCTCCTGCCTCAGCCTGCAAGTAGCTGGGATTACAGGCATATGCCACCACGCCCAGCTAATTTTTGTATTTTTAGTAGAGACAGGGTTTTGCCATGTTGGTCAGGCTGGTCTCAAACTCCTGGCTTCAAGTGAATCACCCATTTCGGCCTCCCAGAGTGCTGGGATTACAGGTGTGAGCCACTGTGCCAAGCCAGCCCCTCCAGACTCTTGAGACTAGTGTTATTTGCTCAGATGTTGCCAGTGAAAGTGTGAGCTACATCCACTGGATAAAGCAGCTACTTCATCCCTTGACTCAGCCACAGCAGATTATGAAATACTGCTTTAAGATATGGAGTAGAAATTCTTGAGTCAAGATGAAAATCCTGGATAGGGTTTTTACAAGCAGTGAAGCATAAATTACAATGAAGTTACATTGAGAAGCCACCTGTTAAAGTGGCTTCCTTTTTTAAAATTTGGAACTTGGGGCAATCTTCCCAAGCAGGGTTTACTGCACGAGGAACTTAAGCCACAGTCCCAGTTATACAGTGGATCATTGGCAAAGCTGGGAATAGGACCCAGGACGTCTGCTTCCAATATGCTACTTTTTTTTTTTTTTTGAGACGTCTTGCCCTGTTGCCCAGGCTAGTATGCAGTGGCACAGTCACAGCTTCCTGCAGCCTTGACCTTCTGGCTCCAGCAATCCTCCCAGCTTAGCCTCCCAAGTAGGTGGGACTACAGATCCACACCGCCATGCCTGGAAATTTTTTGTTGTTGTTGGAGGGGTGGAGGTGGTAGAGATGAGTTCTCACTATGTTGTTCAGGCTGGTCTCGAACTCCTGGGCTCAAGCTATCCTGCCCCCTTGGCCTCCCAAAGTGCTGGCATACAGGCGTGAGCCACCATATCCAACATCTCACATGCTACTTTTTTTTTTTTTTTTTTTTTGAGACGGAGTCTCGCTCTGTCACCTAGGCTGGAGTGCAGTGGCACAATCTCGGCTCACTGCAACCTCTGCCTCCCTGGTTCAAGTGATTCTCCTGCCTCAGCCTCCTGAGTAGCTGGACTACAGGCACATGCCACCATGCCCAGCTAATTTTTTGTATTTTTAGTAGAGATGGGGTTTCACCGTGTTAGCCAGGATGGTCTCGATCTCCTGACCTCATGATCTGCCCGCCTCGGCCTCCCAAAGTGCTGGGATTACAGGTGTGAGCCACCGCACCTGGCCACATGCTACTTTTAATTACCAAACTCCGTTGCCTGCTATGATTAGTGTACTGTCTAGGAGATTCAATGTACAGAATCTTCTTTTCCCCGTTTGTCCTTTTTATAATGTCTTATGTGGTACCTAGCACTTGGTGGGTGCTCAACAAATGCTTACCGACCAGACAACGTACAAACCTCATTTTCTGACAGTTTTCATTCTTTTTTCCCCCAGATTCTGGCAGCCAGGAGGTGCTGTCTGAATTGAGAGTACTATCTCAGAAATTGAAGGAAAACCATCAGTCCAGGAAGCAAAAAGCAAGTTCAGAGGGGACTATTCCCCAGGTCCAGAGAGAGGAACCTGCCCCAGAAGAAGAGGAGCCCCTGTTGCTACAGAGACCAGAGAGAGTACAGACGCTGGAAGAGCTAGAAGAGCTGGGAAAAGAAGAATGTTTTCAAAATAAGGAGCTTCCCAGACCTGTGTTAGAAGGGCAGCAGTCAGAGAGGACCCCAAATAATCGCCCTGATGCCCCTAAGGAGAAGAAAAAGAAGGAGCAAATGATCGACCTACAGAACCTCCTAACCACACAATCTCCCTCCGTGAAGTCTTTGGCAGTTCCCACAATAGAGGAGCTGGTGAGCAGAGCCAGGGTGGTGGGCCATTGTTCAGAAAGTGTCGTTCTTGCGCAAGGAGTAATGAAGCTTTGTTTTGCTGGGGGCACATTTCAGTAGTTTAGAGGTCCAGAATAGTATAGGGCCAGGCTAGTCCCAGTGACGTTTTAATAGATGCAGATATATGGGTGCTGCCAAGACCCCTATTTCCGAAAGCCTGATCCACAAAAACTCCTCTGGGGTGACTCTAAAACTGCTCTCAGAGGTAAGAGGGAGTAACTCAGAGTTCTGACCAGATCCCAGGCAGGACAACTTGAAGGTGAGTCATTGAACTGTTGCGAAAGTTTTATTCAGTGGGATCTCAGATGGTCTAAGACTCCCCAGTTAATCTGAAACTTAAAGTGAAGCGTCCTGGCACCTGTCTTTTCAGGGATATAAGCTGGAGGAAGCCTACAGTCTGGCCACTTAGAGCTCCTGCTGCTAACACGGGCCATTCCTTCCTCCACCCTGCAGCTTCCTTACTGAAAAGTTTAAAATTGTGTCATATGATAATGAGCTAGGGATATTTACCCTAGAGGGAAGAAAATTTGAGCATGATTGGCTGTGCACTGGTTTGTATCGCAAGACCATCATTGTTCAGCACTTCCCCCTAGGGGGCGCTAAAATGTCACGACCCGAAATTCAAGCGTTCTCGCCATGAACCACAGCTCATAAGCCAAGCTGTAGCTCTCGCTTGTTTCTTCCCAGGAAGATGAAGAGGAGAGAAACCATAGGCAGATGATAAAGGAAGCTTTTGCTGGGGATGATGTCATCAGAGATTTCTTGAAAGAGAAGAGGGAAGCTGTGGAGGCGAGTAAGCCAAAGGACGTGGACCTGACACTACCTGGCTGGGGCGAGTGGGGTGGTGTGGGCCTAAAGCCCAGTGCCAAGAAAAGACGCCGGTAAGAATGCCGAAGAAAGTCTGTCAAAAGGGCACCGGGTTCTCCCCTCGCCCTTCGGTGTCCTCCCTACCCTTTTGACTAAGTCCTTAATGCTCCTAGTCAGATGTCCTGTTGTTTTGCTTTCCAGGTTTCTCATTAAAGCCCCTGAGGGTCCTCCAAGAAAAGATAAGAATTTGCCAAATGTGATTATCAATGAGAAGCGCAACATCCACGCAGCTGCTCATCAGGTGAGAGCTTAGAGAGCTCTTTAGCTGCCTGCTTGTTACTGCCTGGCTCTCTTGCTTGAGAGGAGTATTCTAGTGATCTGTAGTCAAGAGAGACGTGTGATCTTGACCGCAGAATCAAATCTGTTGTTTTCACTGAATGGCTGTTAGATTTATCATTTCAGATAGACTACGCTGTTTTAATTACTGGCCAGGAAAAAAGTTTAGAGTCAAGGTAATGCTCAAACAGAGGCTATAAGGTTTAAGCTGTAGCTTAAGAAAAATGAAGACAAACCGGTACTTGTTCAGGAGAATGAGAAGATTGTAAGTTGTGTCACATGATAATGAGCTAGGGATGTTTACAAGAGAAGAAAATTTGAGCGTGATTACGGTGTTCAAGTATATCGAAGGTTATTGTATGAAGTCACATAAAGTAGAAGTTAGAGGACATACAGAATTCAAGGCTGCTCTGGGAGTATGAGAATGTGTAAAGGGGACTCAAGAACGAGATTGGACTAGATGACCTTTATGTTCCCTTCAATTCTGAGATCTGTCCCCAGCCAGTATATTGAAATGAGTTACATTTTTCCCTCGGAAGGAATAAAGAATTAATGGCTACAGAACAGAGGTAAGAAGATACACATTTCAATAACATTCTTTTTGATCTTATTTTGTGAACCAATCACTGCAGAAACTGAATCATAACTACTGCAGTCCCAATTAAACCTATATAACTAGAAAATAGGCAGTTACACGATAAGGGAAGGGGGGAAAGGGTGCTTCAGTGGGCCAGGATTCCAGGTGATGGGTAGAGTATGGAGCTCAATAAAGACCACCCTTCCCTTCCAGGGGTCTGTTTGTTTTTTTAATACAGTCATGGCAAACTGACAAATAGTTTTCTAGGAATCTCCCCTGATTTTCATCTTTTTAATAAGTTACTGCAGGTTCCAACATGCAGTAGAATAAAGTGCTTCAAGGTGCCTAGGGGGGACTTCTGAGACTGAATACTTTGTCCAGGTGTTCTCTTTTTCTGTTGCCCTGGTTGACAAGCACAGATGTAGCCGTCAACCCAAATAAGACATTCCCTTAACTTAAAGAGAATCTGTTTCCTTTGCTACTACCAGGACCACCTGATAGTACTTAGCTTCTCTTGAGTATTCCACTGAATGTTTCCAGAGACTACTGATTTTTGTTTGTTTGTTTTGTTTTCAGATGGAGTCTCACTCTGTCACCCAGGCTGGAATGCAGTGGCACGATCCCAGCTCACTGCAACCTCCACCTCCCAAGTTCAAGCTATTCTCGTGTCTCAGCCTCCTGAGTAGCTGGGATTACAGGCATGCGCCACCACACCCAGCTTATTTTTGTATTATTAGCAGAGACAGGGTTTCACCATGTTGGCCAGGCTGGTCTTGAACTCCTGACCTCAAGTGATCTGCCTGCCTCGGTCTCCCAAAGTGCTGGGATTACAGGTGTGAGCCACCGTACCCTGCCAAAGACTACTGATTTTTACATCCCCATTTTCTGCTTACGTGTTTTCCTCCTTTGGCCACTGGGGAAGTGTTGAAAGATTATTTAATGTCTGAAGGTAGCAATGTGGTGGAGGAGTACCAGGCAAGGAAACAGGAGCTTTGGGTTCTGTTCTCCAATGCTGCTCCTCATTTACTTAGGTCCATCACTTCCCCCCTCTAAGCCAAATCTTCAGGCCAAGGGAGATGACCATTGTCAATATCTAGGGCCTTCCAGCTCTACATTCTGTGGTGCCAAAAGAAGATGAAGCTAAGTGGGCCGGGCATGGTGGTTCACACCTGTAATCCCAGCACTTTGGGAGGCCAAGGCGGGTGGATCACAAGGTCAGGAGATCGAGACCATCCTAACACAGTGAAACCCCATCTCTACTAAAAAAAAAAATACAAAAAAAAATTAGCCAGGCATGGTGGCAGGCCCCTGTAGTCCCAGCTACTAGGGAGGCTGAGGCAGGAGAATGGTGTGAACCTGGGAGGCGGAGCTTGCAGTGAGCCGAGATCACGCCACTGCACTCCAGCCTGGGAGACAGAGCGAGACTCCATCTCAAAAAAAAAAAAAAAAAAAAAAAAAAGATGAAACTAAGTGTAACGGCCTGGTAGAGTTCAGGATTCGGGTTCCTTAAAACATCAATCCTGGCCAGGCGCGGTGGCTCACGCCTGTAATCCCAGCACTTTGGGAGGCTGAGGCGGGTGGATCACGAGGTCAGGAGATCAAGACATCCTGGCTAACACGGTGAAACCCCGTCTCTACTAAAAATACAAAAAATTAGCCGGGCGTGGTGGTGGGCACCTGTAGTCCCAGCTACTCGGGAGGCTGAGGCAGGAGAATGGCGTGAACCCAGGAGGCAGAGCTTGCAGTGAGCGGAGATCGTGCCACTGCACTCCAGCCTGGGCGACAGAGCGAGACTCCGTCTCAAAAAACAAAAAAAAAATATCAATCCTAAGAGAGGGAAGGAGGAGACTGAAAGCATAAAGAGGGTAGAAAAGTCATAAAATCCACAGGGATACACAATGGTCTGGATTCTTGCAGTCACAGTGTTACATAGGAAAGCTCACTCTGGGACAACAGCCCTGGAGCTCCTGTAGCTAGATAGGGACAGTGTCACTTGTAATCCCAGCTACTTGGTAGGCAGAGGTTGCAGTGAGCAGAGATCACCCCACTGCACTCCAGCCTGGGCCACAGAGTGAGACTCTGTCTCAAAAAAAAGAAAAACAAAGATGGGCAGTGTCAGGGTGGTTTTTCAGACCCTGAATTGTTGAATAGATGGGGGATCCAGAGCCAACTCAGGCCCCCCTACTCCCAAATGTCATCAAACAGATTGAATTCCTAAGGGCAGATGGGAGCAATGGGACGCCTTGACCTCTCAGTCTCTTCACTTGCAGTCATCATGTGGAACCGTGGCCTGTACCAAAACAGTACCTGATGAAAGCTGCCATTACAGTATACAACTGCACCCCAGGCCTGCCTCATACCAAATCATTCTCCTTCCTTTCCAGGTACGAGTGCTTCCATATCCATTTACCCACCATTGGCAATTTGAAAGGACCATCCAGACCCCCATAGGATCCACATGGAACACCCAGAGGGCTTTCCAAAAGCTGACTACTCCCAAGGTCGTCACCAAGCCAGGCCATATCATTAACCCCATAAAAGCAGAAGACGTGGGCTACCGGTCTTCCTCAAGGTCGGACCTGTCTGTCATACAGAGGAATCCAAAACGAATCACCACACGTCACAAAAAACAGCTGAAGAAATGCTCTGTAGATTGAGTTGCTGGAGGAGTGACAGCCAGGAGCCCTGACTTCACTTCCTTTGGTCCAGTTTTACTCTGATACAGGGTGGATTCCAAAACTGGCTCAGTACATTGCATGTAGTTAAGCCACATTTTAAAAATAAAGGCATTTTTTAATCTATTTACCTGGAGTATATGTTGCATTGTCCCCCAGTGGGATCATTTCGTTCAAGTCAGACACCTTTGGACTCTACAGCATTGCATTTCTCGAGTTGCACTTGTCAGGGCCACCTCCTTTTCTTACCAAGGATTATGTAGTTGGTCCTAAATCGAAATGGAGAAAGTTAACTGTAGTCTGTAACCTTAAATATATCACATCAGATATGATCCACCATTAATAACTGCCAACTTGAAGAGACAGGGTTAATAATGATAAAATATTGTATATTTTAACCTCTGAACCTAGAAAGAGGATGTACAAACTGCAATTGGATTCTGCCCTAGACTGATCCTAAGACCAGGACGGTGCCGAAGCTGGGTTCTGTCCCCACAAGTCTAGCCACAGCCATTTTTTTCACATGTGTGAGCTTCCCAGCTTGTACAGGCTGCTGTCTACAATATCTCATATATAACCTTCTACTTATTTTCTCATAAGAAGACCAGGAGGTTTGACCCTTATTTTGTAGATAAAGGTAGATGTGATTTCAGAAGTAAACCTCTATTGCCTTTCCTTCCTAACTCAGGGCCCACTCCTCACCATTGATTGAAAGTGTAGTTTATTCAAGCATTGCTTTGCTATATGACAGTTCACATGGGCTTCTCAGCTCTGAGGAACTTGGCCTGGCTTTGGATGGCAAGAAATATACGGAAAGAGCCCCTGCAGCTGAGTTTCCTAACAAGGAATTTGGGAAACCCCTCTGATTCCAAAATGACACCACTACTGCACCTTGCCTCCTACCTTGGAGATTCAGTCCTATCCCCAGTATTCTTAGACCACAGTGGGTTCATTTTTGTGTCACAGGCCCCTCTAAAAATATGTTGAACGTTATGAACCGTCTCCAGAAAAATGTGCACACACACACATTTGTATGGCATTTTACATACAGTTTCAGGGGTTTTCAAGACATTTGGAATCCCTGGGCCAAAAGCTGTACCACTCCAAGTTTTCTTTTGCAATCCCCCCAACAGATACGGCCTTCTGAGCACACCACTCTCCAAATCAGTTCCAAAACGTTTAGACCTCAATGGTAGCTAGTCCCAGTTATCTTTATAAGAGAAAATTTTCAGAATAGAGCGTGCATCTAGTGTTACACATTAAACTGAAGTGAAAAGCCAAAGGATAAATTTATATGAATTCCCCAGTGGGGTCCCCTGTGGCCCCCTACTATTGCTCATCCTCTTAAGAAACAACCTGGGACTGGGAAGGTAAGGGAAATGAGTATGTTGAGCAGTGTTCAGTGCCCAAAAGGCATGCTTAAGTATCCATTGGCTTGAGATTATCCACGATCCACTCGCTGGTTGACACTTAAGTCAGTAGCCAGTGGTAGGGGATGCGGGAGCCCTGCCCACTCCTGCCTCCGTTTAAGAGACCACAACATTCTCTTGCACTCTTTTGAGCACAAAGCTGCTACCTCCGTCCCACCCACCCCCCAAATTGAGGCGCCCAATCAAGTGTCCCCGGTAAATGGCCAATCCCCGTCTACTTTCCCCGGACCCTCTTCAGCTCCGTTTGCTCCCCACTACCCAGGAGTGATGCAAGCCACCCCATCCTTCAAAGGAGAAGGCAGGTGCCAGAGCGTGCTATAAACGACGCCCATTCCCAGCCTTCCAAGCCCCCAAACAGATTCGATTGTTGTTTCGTGGGGCTTTTTTTTCTTTTCTTCCTCCGAACCTCCGAAGTGTTCTCCCTTCCCATTGGCCGAAGCTGCCCCTTGACGCCACCCTGGCCTTGCTCGCTGATTGGTCCACTCTGGATGTGCCCAAGCCTTTTTCCCAGGGTGTGGCGCCCCCCCGCCCCCAACAGGGTTCTGACCCCTGGCTCCTCCCTTCCCCCCAAGCCCCCCTCTCTGTTCCGAATGGTTCCGCCCTGGCTCGGCTCCCCCACGGCCCAGGCCGCTGCCCTTAGGGCCCCCGGACGGGGCGGGGCACGCTGGGGACGGGCAGAGGGCGGTGGTGGCGCCTTCCTGCCGAGTCCGAGGCCGCCCCCGCCACCCTTCTCTAATCCTTGTAGGTCCCACTTTCCCCTGGGCAGTTCTCCTCCTGCATCGGTAGCCCCGTCCCGTCTGTGCAGCCCCCACCGTGGTCTTTGGGTCATCTCGAAGAGCTGCGTTAAATCCCTGCCCTCAGCGCTGCACACACGCCCATCCGCCTCCACCCTCGGGTCCCCGCACCACCCCCTTTTCCCGTGTCGGCTCCCCCTTCCCCTCCCGAGACCGCGGAAGCTCCGACCCCCTTCCCTCGCTGACTGTCCATCCCCAGGACCCCCGTCCCTGTGTGTGGCCAGTCCCAGCGGCCTCTCCTTCGCGGCCTCCCTTCGCCTTCGTGGCCAGCGTGGTGGAGCACTCCCGCCCCCCTTTTCTCCGTACCCCCGCGCTCCCTTATGTTGTCCCTTCTTGTCCCTCTCTAAGTCCCTCCCACACTATGCCCCCCCGCGGTACACACACACCCCTCCCCGCGAGGCGTCCCCCGGCGCCCCTCCCCTACCCCCGCTCGTCTATGCCCCTCCCACCCACCCCGTCCTTTTGTCTCCTCTTTGGTCTCTAAGTCCCCCGCCCCTCCCTCGCTCCCGCCCTCACTCCCCCGAGCACGCTCTTATCTTCCCCAGGTCCCAGCGCCCCGCCCCGCGGCCGCGCCCCGCGGCCCCCTCCCTTCCGCGGCCCCGTCTCCGCCCTCCGCGCTCCGCCCTCCCCCCCGCGGCTCCTGCCCGCCAGCCCGGCCGGCCTCCGGTTCCCGGGTCGCTCCTCCTGCGGCAGCCGCCGCTCCCCGACCCACCCTTCCCGGGCCGGCGGCTCGCGTTCCCGCGCGGTCTCCCCACACACGCACTCCCGCCGCCCCGCTCCGCTCGCTCGCTCGCCGAGGCCCTGCAGCGGCCCGGCCCAGCGCAGCGCGCAGCCCGCAGCCCGTCCTCGGGGAGCCTCGGCGCCCCGTGGCCGCAGGCACCTCGCGGACAGGCGGGCTGGCGGCCCGGGAGCGCGAACCCGAGCCGGGCTGGGTGTCCCTCGCCCAGCCTGGCCCTCGGAAGCCTCGCGGGGCGCAGGGGCCCGTCGGAAATGTTTGGGGGACGGGCCGGCCGCGGTTCCTCCCGCAGCCCAGGCCGGGCCGGCGCGTCCCGGGGAGTCGCCGCGACCTTATCTCCGAGGATGACTTGATCCGGAGCCTCCTCCCGGCTCCCGCCCCAAACCTGTGCCACCAACGCGCGAAGCGCAGCTGAGACTCGCGGCTGGCGGGAGGAGGGCGGGGGACTGTCCTGAAAATGCCCAAGCCGTGAGGGATCCTAAGCCGACCGTCAGACCCGGAGAGGCGAGGTCTAGTGACACGTCCCTGCCACCCAGGGAAAGAGGGCGAGCCCACGCCAAGCGCCACGGATCCCTGCCTCTCCGCCCAGGGTTCTCCCCACTACGCATTGCAGAGCCCTTGGATAGACCTCGCCGGACCCAGAGTGAGGGACGTGGCTCAAGTCGACAGAACACCCAGCCACCCACCCACATGCCAATAGACACTTTTAAAAAGTCTGATCGGGTCGGGCTCGGTGGCTCACGCCTGTACTCCCAACACTTTGGGAGGTCGAGGTGGGCGGGTCACGGGAGGTCAGGAGTTCGAGACCACCCTGACCAACATGGCGAAACCCCATCTCTACTAAAAATACAAAAATTAGCCGGGCGTGGTGGTGGGCGCCTGTAGTCCCAGCTACTCGGGAGGCTGAGGCATGAGAATCGCTTGAACCCAGGAGGTGTAGGTTCCAGTGAGCCAAAATCGCGCCACTGCACTCCAGCCTGGGCAACAGAGTGAGACTCTGTCTCAAAAAAAAAAAAAAAAAAAAAGAATAAAAAGTCTTCGATGATGCCCAAGTTGACCGTGTTTCCTCGCCCGAACCTCTTCTCCCAAGCCCTCACTCAGTCTTACCTACTTACCCACCAGACTGGAAGCTCTTTGAAGGGGTTCCTGTTTGTTGCAGTGGCTCACTCAATGGATCCCTTGTGATTGGTGGACAAGTGGATGTATTTGTTAACTGCTCGCCTTTGGGATCTGTGTCATTGTGTGACTTAAGGTTGTAAACTCGGGAGGGCCAGGACCGGGTGGGGATTACTAGCTCGTGCCAGGCACAGCATGATACCCAAAGGGATGGGCCATCAATGCTTTTTGAGACTGATGTAACTAATTATGCAGGAGGCAGATGCCTACCTCTTGGTCCCCAGAACTGCCAGTTCCAGGGCTAAGTCTGAGTGAGGAAGAAACGAAGGAGCTGTCTTAGCTCATCCCTAATGGGAGGCCGACTCGCTGGGACTAGATATGGCTGCAGTCACCACACGAACACACCGGGTGACGTGACTTTCTAGTACTAGGAATACTTTGCAGGGAGCCAGAAACTCGACTTTAACTCCAGTTTGCAACTGGAGCTGGGAGGCAGAAAGTAGCCAGGTTTTTCTCAGTGTGAAGCAAACTGTCCCGTGTAAGGATCAAACCTGTAGTTCTTCATCCATTACCCCAAGGTCGACCTGAAGCCCGATCTGTCAGAAGAGGGAGGCTGCAAACAAACTGGACCTGAGGTCAACAGCACTTACCCCAGGGGCCGGGGGGTGGGGGGTGGACAGTGGAAGCACTCCTTCCTCCCATTTACGGATGCAAGATTCACCCTGTACTTTGCAGCTCATTTGTAACCTGGTCGCTTTAGAGTTGGTCCAGCTCCCTGCCCACCTCACACCTCCACCCCCAGCCAGACGGGTCCTCTCTGTCCTTCCTCAGCCCTACACTGTCTTCGCCCAAGTCAGCCTGCTCTAAATGGACAAGGTCAGTGATCCAAGCAGAAACTGAAATAGTAACAATCGGACAGTGTCAAGAGACTCCGGCAGAGATGCCTCGGAGCGCCCGGCCTCCTCCTCTGCCTTGGCACAGATGTTCTTATTGTCCTGGAAAGAAATACCAAATTCCCTCCCCAAGCGTGAAGCGAGGATACTCTGGGACTTAGCCTCCAAGGACAGAGTCGCCTTCCCAGCCCAGTTCCCCTGCCCCCTAATCAGACTGAGATAGTCACCATCCCTCTTCCCCATCCTAGCCAAGACTTCTCCCCCTCACCAAGGAGATTATGGGGAGTGGGGCTGGAGCTGCATGAGAAGATTGCTAAACTGTTCTACAGTCCTCTTTAGGGACTGTTAGCACATCAAAATACATATTTGGAAAATGCTCACAATTAACACTGGGAGAAAAACAGTAAACACAGTGTCACTTTGCCAGGCTCAACAGTTTTGTTTTGTTTTGTTTAAATGCTAATGGCCTCAAATGGGGAGCAGCATCCATCAGTTAAATAAACAAGCCATTAGACTGAGACTAGAAGTGTCAACACATGACTAATCTACTAATTGGGAGAAGGCATGGTGTAGTGAGGAGCAAGGCAGCAAAGCATGCTGGAGGCTGTGGAGTGGACTTGCTTACACGCAGAAGCACGTGGGGTTGGAGCCAACGAGACCTGAGTTTGAGTCCTGCCTCGATCAGTTGTCAGCTGTGTGGCCTTCAGTGAGTTATTTCATTTTCCTGAGCCGCTGTTTCACATTCTGTGAAATAGGGACATTAATAGTACCTACACCACAGGGTTGTTATAGGAATGAACTGAGATAATACAAGTTCTTGGTGCGATGTAGGAGCCTGCCACATCGTAAGTGTTTGATGTCTGTTGGCTGTTATTGATCATAATAAAATACCTTGTGTACAGTAGACTCAAAAAATAGATAAAAAAATGACTTGTGGTCGCTAGATATTAGCAATAAAATGGTGAACATGGTCTCTAGACCCCCTACCAAAAACAACTGGCAAAGGGGATGCTTTTGGTGGGTTAATTCCAACTTCTTCAGGCCATCCCTTTAACCTGGAATTCACTCCAGCTCTTAAGGATGGACTGTCCTGCCTGAGGGTTGCTGGGCTCTGGGGTCTGCTCTCCTGGCACCTGCCTAAGAGGCCTGGGTTAAGCTAGCCCTCCCAGGTGGGGACCAGCCAGGTACAATGCTGAGCATCCTTCCACAGCCAGCCAGGCCCATTCTGGCAGAGTACTGCAGGCTGTTCTTGGTTGCCCTCCTTCCTGTTGTGGTGATCACAATATTGAGAGGGGCCAGACTGTGGAAGAAGGGAAGCAGGGAGAGGCACACAGGACTCCCAGGAGAAATAACTGTGACCTAGACGAAGTCCTTGGTCTTTGCTGCCTTGCCCCACCTTCTTTGAAGCCCCATGTCCTCCCAGTCACCTGCTAAGAAGGCCTGTTTTCAACCAAATGGAGTCTTCCTCTTCACTTGCCAGCCCTACACTCCTTCATGGACAGTCTCCTAGCCCTCTCCTTTCCTCCCTTCCTGTTCCAGGAGAGTGGTTCTCTCTCTCTGAAAGGTTGGTAAGTTTAGAGAATTCCTTCTGTGCAAGTAAGGAGTTGAGCTGACAGTGGCTTAACATGCCACCCCTTCCCAGGTCTTGTAATTGCATATGAGCCTCCTCAACTTGAAAAAAATCCTTAAGGTGCCTGGAAAGGAATGAAAACAGGTATCAGGGCCAGGCGCAGTGGCTCACACCTGTAATCCCAGCACTGTGGGAGGCCGAGGCGGGTGATCACCTGAGGTCAGGAGTTCGAGACCAGCCTGGCCAACATGGTGAAACCCCGTCTCTACTAAAAATACAAAAATTAGCCGGGTGTGGTGGTGCACACCTGTAATCCCAGCTACTCGGGAGGCTGAGGCAGGAGACTCTCTTGAACCTAGGAGGCAGAGGTTGCAGTGAGTCGAGATTATTCCACTGCACTCCAGCCTGGGCAAAAGAGCAAGACTCCATCACAAAAAAAAAAAAAAAAAAAAAAAAAAAAAAAAAGAAAAGAAAGAAAGAAAAAAGAAAAACAAGAAAAGAAAACAGGTATCAGGGGACTTGTGGCCCTTTGACAGGCTGAGGTGGCATGGGGAGGAGAAAAGTTTTACTCTTCAGGGTCCATCATGTCCTGTTTTGTCTCCTTATTCTGCCCTGAACTTGAGGCCCTGAACAGCCCCACACCAACCCCAAGAGGCACCCTCCTGTACAGTTCTACACCTGGAGCAACCCCTCCCCAGCAACCAGATGGGTTCTCAGACTCCATTCTTCACCCTCATCTCCCAGTTGAGCCCTGAAGTAGGCCCCCTCCTGGCTCTGCACTTAACTAGCAAATAGCAGGTTAGCCTGATCAATTAAGCCCTCTCCACAACTGTCTGTGGAGTGCTAAAGGGTTAATGTATTTTCCCTCCTGCCACACCCACCTGAACTGCAGCTCTCAAAGCACACTATCGCAGTTCTGTTCCAGAGTCTGTGCTGTTGGCAATTGCTTTGTTGAGCCTGGACCACTGCAACCAGGACACCCACCCTGTCACCTGCAAATCAAACTCTCTTCCTCAAAGGACCACTTGACCTGTCTCTGCCTCGGAGAAGCTGCCAATAGTGCCCCAGGTGAAGCCATGTTCCCCTTTCCTATGGGTTCACACACTATGTCCCTCTTTGAGGGCCCCCTTGCACATTCCACCTGGCATAAAAATTAGTTGCTGACTTATTTATCTCCCACGGGACAAAAGTAACCTTCTCCAAGCCAAGAAGTGCTTCTTAGAGGCCAAGAGTGCTTCTGTTTCTTTGTAGTTTTTGTTTGTTTCCAATCTGCACAAATAAGTGGATTGTAACAGGAACTCCCATCACCTAGATTCCACAGCTGCTAAGATTTTGCTACATTTGTTTCCACTTCATGTTTGTATTCCACTTCCACCAAAACAGTGCCTAACACTGCCTTGAACAGCACTTTGAATAAAGAAGCCAGGACTCTGGGAAATGGTGGGAATTCAGGTTTGCAGAACAGCCTCCTAGGAGTGGCATGGGATGGGGAAGTGGGTAACGAATATAAAAAGTTGTCCATGCCTGAGTACCTATTATGAGCCAGGTGCTTTACAGGCCATCTCATTTCACCCTCACAACTTTATGGAGTAGGTACTGTTATTATCCCAATTTTATAGAGAAAGAAATGAGGTTCAGAGAAGGAAAGGGACCTCCCTAGGTCACCCAGATAGGCAATGGCACAGCTGGGATTTAAATCCAAGCCCTGCGCCCTTCTCACTGTGCCCTGCAGCTTGCCTCAAAGGGTGCCAAACAGGCTGCCACCTGATCTGCTTCTATTTCACAGTGTACATGACATGCTTTGTGCATGCTTTGAAGAGTACTGTGCACACATACACACACATGCACACCTGTGCAGTGACCTACGTGGTCACACACTGATTTTTGTCCATGGGATGTCTCCTGGGTGGGGGGGTGGGGATGAACCCAGGAGTTGAGGGAAGAGGGCAAACACCTCCCCCACATCTGCGAAGGCCATGCTCTCAAAGGGGAAACAAAGTTTTTCTTCTTGCTCCCACCAGTGCAGTACATTCTCTTCAGATCTCCAGAATGACCTTGCAACCCGGACTCCTCTTCAGCACTCCTCTTCAGCCACTAGTCTGCTCCCTGCCTCCCGCTGTCTGCTTCCTGCCTCCCGCAACAGACATTGCTCTTTGCAGCCTTTGTTCTTTTGCACCACCAGCACCCCCCCACCAACTCCCAACATGAATTCATGATGTTCCTCCAGCCTGGGATGCCCTTCCCACCACTCTCTATACCTACATTCTCCAAGTCAAGGTTCAAATCTCACCCCCTTCCAGAAGCCTTCCCTGATCCTGCCCACCTTCCAACCTTTTGATGTGGTCTGACTTTTTTTTCACCTGAATATTGATGCTCTGCTCTCTCTCTCCTTGTTATCTAGTTGTTTCTTGTAAGCTGTTTCCTTGACCACACTGTAAGCCCCTTGAGCTCACAGTTTCAGCTACAGAAAAATAAAGGAAAGTCTTTCAGGAAAGACATGTGGTCGGCTGCCTTTTTCTTCCCATGGTCCTCTTGTGTCCTCCATGCTACCTCTTGGGTTTCTGTCTTTGCTGCCACTGGCAGCACTGTCTTTTCTACAAAGACCAGGAGGTAAAAAGGAGATTCACATGTTTATCTTGATTGCTCCTTTTTATTTTTCCATTCTTGTCTTTCATTTGCCCAGGTGAGCTGAGGGCTAACTGGGGTCTGAACAGCCTTAAAACACCCTGAAGCTATTCTGTTTTTTCTAGTCTAAGCATTTATGGGAGGGGAAACAAAATCTATTAGGGCTGGGCGAGATGTCTCATGCCGATATTCCCAGCACTTTGGGAGACCGAGGCAGGTGGATCACTTGAGGTCAGGAGTTCGAGACCAGCCTGGCCAACATGGTGAAATCCCGTCTCTACTAAAAATACAATAATGACCCAGGCATGGTGGCGGGTGCCTGTAATCCCAGCTACTTGGGGGGCTGAGGCATGAGAATCTCTTGAATCCAGGAGGCGGAGGTTGCAGTGAACTGAGATGGCGCCACTGCACTCCAGCCTGGGCAAGAATGAGACTCCGTCAGGAATGGAAAAAAAAAAAAAAAAACCCTACCAAAATGGATTTGGCTCGTTAATGCCTGCAGCACCACCTCCTACTTTTCTCCCCTTTATCTACTTCACCTCCTCCTCCTCTTCTCCCCCACCCCACACTCCCCTGCCCAAAAATCCACAAGCACATATGCACTTACAGCTAGAAAGAGACAACCCATCTTCCAGATTTCAGGAACTTCAAACAGAGAAGTGTTGGATAAAGACGCAGAGACAGGGCCACCTCATGCCACCAAAGGAGATATTATTTCCATTTGGCAAAATGCTGGGCATTGAGGAGTTACCCTAATATCTGAACAGAGACAATAGGGATAAGAGTTCCCTACCAGGCCAGGCAGGATTGAGAAAGGCAAGGGTTGAGCCACACACCACCCCCTCCACCCTGCCGCCCCACTGGAAGTTTAAGCTGGAGGTGAGTAGGAGCAGTGTCCCAGCCTGAGGGTAAAGAAGCCAAAATTGAATTATAGCTCTTAGTGGTACCTGTACTCCCCAGCTGGGGCTGAAAGTAGAGAGAATTCAAGCATGTTGTACCTGATTCTATCTTATGCATTCTCACACATTCTCCTCCCACTCCACAGCCCAACATGGCAGGAGCAGGAAGGCTATTGCTGCTCCATTGCACAGATAGGGGAACTGAGGCACTGAGGGATGATATAACTGGTTCTATTTTCTCACAGGAAGGGAAATTCCTTTCCAGTTTTACAGACCTCCTTATCCCTGGGGGAGCCCCATCACCTCAGCTGGAGTTCCCAGCACTGAGGAGTTGTGACAGAGTTTCCAGGAATGGAGGTAAAGATGGAATGGTCTGTTCTTTTCTGTCCCTCCAATTCCTTTAACCAGACATCATGGGTCGCATCTTTTCCCTCCTTTTCCCTCGATCTTTTCTGGCGCTCCTCCAGCAGCTCTCTCAACACTCTCCACCCCTGGGCCCCGCCCCTACTTCCCAAAAGGCTTTCAAGAACTGCCTTTGGCTGGGCTGCTCCTGTCCTTCAGCTAACTCGGGGAACGGGAAAAGTCTTCTGGCCAGGCCTTTCTGATCAGCAGGCTGAGGGCTCTGAATATCCACGCAAACTGGCAAGAGAGGTTTTCTAGACTCTCCGCAACTTCCAATGCTGCCCCTGAGCATCTTCCACTGGAGTTCTGGACCTGCCCTTGCCTTCTGGTTAAAAAGAGCTTGCCTGCCTGCCTATAAGAAAGTGTCATCCTTGACCCTTGAAGGGAGGAGATTGTATTGATTCACCCATATTCCACCCCACATCCCTTTCAACAACATAGATTTGCATGATGGGGGTAAGTGGGTGGAGAAACAGCTGACTGCAACATGGATCGGGATTCAGACCCTGGCCAGGGTTAGGGAGATTGGTCTGTGTATAAAGTTGAGTCCATTGTGACCTGGATTAAGATGAGATTCAGGACTAGGATTAGAAATCGGGGAAATTGGCTAGGGGCAGCAGTTCATACCTGTAATCCCAACACTTTGGGAGCCCAAGGTGGGAGGATCGCTTGAGGCCAAAAGTTCAAGACCAACCTGGACAATATAGTGAAACCCTATCTCTAAGACAAACACACACACACACACACACACAGTCAAGGAATTTATCTCTTCTTGAGGCATCCTATTCAAGAGTATCTAGTAATGGTCTCTGTCAGGAAGTGGGTTTCACTGGGATCCTTTGTTCTATGAAGCAGTGAAAAGGAGTCAGCCCCAGGGGCTTGACTTCTGATTCTGACTCTGACACTAATTTTCTGGCATCAAGCAAGTTACTTCAGCTCTCTGATCCTCGGTTTCCTCATCTAAACAATGGGGGAATCAGTCTTTATCTATAAGGTCCTATCTAGTTCTGAAAATATACTACTTTGGGTCTATGGGAATATAATAAAAGCTATTCTATGGTCTCATAGGGTTAAAAATAAGACAATGTA
This sequence comes from Homo sapiens, assembly GCF_000001405.40. Lineage (NCBI taxonomy): Eukaryota > Metazoa > Chordata > Mammalia > Primates > Hominidae > Homo > Homo sapiens. The sequence continues at coordinate 129,941,181 of NC_000023.11, forward strand.
AAAGAAAAGAATCTGGAAAAATGCAAAGTACCGAAGATAAATTAAAGACTATTCTCCTCTATTAAAAATATTATAGGCTGGGTACCGTGACTCTCACTTGTAATCCCAGCACTTTGGGAGGCCAAGGCAGGAGAATGGCTTGAGCTCAGGAGTTTAAGACCAGCCTAGGTAACATAGTGAGACCTTGTCTCTACTTACTATCTATCTATCTATCTATCTATCTATCTATCTATCTATCTATCTATCATCTATCTGTGTGTGTGTGTGTGTGTGTGTGTGTGTGTGTGTGTGTGTATCACATGCTCATTGTAGAAGTTTTTAAAATACTGGAAACTAGAAAGATAATAGACATCACTTGTAGCCGGGCACAATGGCTTATGCCTGTAATCCTAGCACTTTCGGAGGCCAAGGTGGGCAGATTGCCTGAGCTCAGAAGTTCGAGACCAGCCATGGTGAAACCCATCTTTACTAAAACACAAAAAATTAGCCGGGGCCAGGCCCGGTTGCTCACGCCTGTAATCCCAGTACTTTGGGAGGCGGAGGCAGGCAGAACACTTGAGGCCAGGAGTTCGAGATCAGCCTGGCCAATATGGCGAAACCCCGTCTCTACTAAAAATACAAAAATTAGCCAGGCGTGGTGGCGCACACCTGTAATCCCAGCTACTTGGGAGGCTGAGGCATGAGAATCACTTGAACCCAGGAGGTGGAGGTTGTAGTGAGCTGGAATCATGCCACTGCACTCCAGCCTGAGCGACAGAGCAAGACTCTGTCTCAAAAAAAAAAAAAAAAAAAAAAAAAAAAAGAAGGCCGGGTGCAGTGGCTCATGCCTGTAATCCTAGCACTTTGGGAGGCTGAGGTGGGTGGATCACCTGAGGTCAGGAATTTGAGACCAGCCTGGCCAACATGGTGAAACTCTGTCTCTACTAAAAATAAAAATTAGCTGGGCATGGTGGCATGTGCCTGTAATCCCAGCTACTTGGGAGGCTGAGGCAGGAGAATTGTTTGAACCTGGGAGATGGAGGTTGCAGTGAGCGAAGATTGCGCCATTGCACTCCAGCCCAGGCAACAGTGTAAGACTCGTCTAGAAAATAAAAAAAAAAAAAATTAGCTGGGCGTGGCAGTGCACACCTGTAGTTCCAGCTACTCAGGAGGCTGGGGCACAAGAATTGCTTGAACCAGGGAGGTGGAGGTTGCAGTGAGCCAAGATGGCACCACTGCACTCCAGCCTGGGCGACAGAGCAAGACTCCGTTCCCCCAACCCCCGAAAAATTCACTTGTAATCCTACCACATAGAGTGTAGCACCATTAACATTCCAGTATTTTATTTATATTTACTACATATTTTAGATAAAAATGAAATCATGCTGTAACTGTTTTGTAACCTGCGTTTTTCATATAAAATGTACGTTGCATTTTTCAATGTCATTAAATATCCTTTGAAAACATGATTTTTAAGGGCCTCATGTGTTCCATTCAATGAATGTGCTGTAATTTATTTACCCAACCTTTTGTTGGGTATTTAGATTGTTTACCCTTTTCCTGTTATTATAAATATAATATCTCGTTAGCATCCTTTGTGCATATTTGATTTTAGGAACAACCGGATCAAGAGGTGATGATGCATATTAAAATTTTATAATGGAAAATTTCAAACACATACGAAAGTAAAATAGTATAACAGCCCTGATTTTGTTTCACCTACATTCCCACCCATGTCCCTCTGCCAATGGATTATTTTTTATTTTTTAAGCAAATACTGGATATCAGATAATTTGGGCATGCATATTTTTAACAAGTATAACCCCATTATATAAAATTCCAGAAAAGGCAAATGAAACTATAGTGACAGAAAGAAGATCAATGGTTGTCTGTCTGGGGACAGAGGTGGAGGAAGAGATGAATTATAAAGGGGCATGAGCAAAGTCTTGGGGGTGATGGATATGTTTTGTATCTTGATTGTGCCAGTGATTTCATGAGTGGGTACACCTGTCAAAACTCTTTGAATTGTATGATTTAAGTGGACTCAGCTAATTGCAGCTATATTATCCCGCAATATAGCTGATTTTTTTTATTTTTATTTTATATATATATATTTGTGTTTTGTTTTGTTTTTGTTTTTGTTTTTGTTTTTGAGACGGAGTCTCACTCTGTCACCCAGGCTGGAGTGCAATGGCGTCATCTCACCTCACTGCAACCTCTGCCTCCCAGATTCAAGCAATTCTCCTGTCTCAGCCTCCCGAGTAGCTGGGATTACAGGCATGAGACACCACATCCAGCCTTTTAAAATTTATTTTAATAATACTTGGCCGGATGTGGTGGCTCATGCCTGTAATCCCAACACTTTGGGAGGCTGAGGCTGGCAGATCATCTGAGGTCAGGAGTTTGAGACCAGCCTGGCCAACATGGTGAAACCCTGTCTCCGCCAAAAATACAAAAAATTAGCCAGGCGTGGTGGTGCACACCTGTAGTCCCAGCTACTCGGGAGGCTGAGACAGGAGAATTGCTTGAACCCAGGAGGCAGAGGTTGCAGTGAGCCGAGATGGCACCGTTGCACTCCAGCCTGGGTGACACAGCAAGACTCTGTCTCAAAAATAAATAAATAAAATAATAAATAAACAAGTAAGTATATATGTATTTTTTCCAACTTGAAGGGTAAAAAAATGATATGTAGATATCTCAGTATTTGAATTTGTGCTTCTTTATTAATACTGAATGTTTTTCCTAGTTTAGTTTATTGGCCATTAATATTTCTTGTTTTGAGAATTGCCAATTCATATCCTTTGCCTAGTTTTCTAATGAGGTGTTTAGGTGTTTATCTTTTTCTTGTGGATTTGTAAGACTTCCTTTTTTTTTTTTTTTTTTTTTTTGAGACAGAGTCTCGCTCTGTCACCCAGGCTGGAGTTCAGTGGCGCAATCTCGGCTCACTGCAACCTCCACCTCCCGGGTTCACGCCATTCTCCTGCCTCAGCCTCCCAAGTAGCTGGGACTACAGGCACCCGCCACCACACCCGGCTAATTTTTGTATTTTTAGTAGAGACGGAGTTTCACCATGTTAGCCAGGATGGTCTCATCTCCTGACCTCGTGATCCACCCACCTCAGCCTCCCAAAGTGCTGGGATTACAGGCGTGAGCCACCGCGCCCAGCCAAGACTTCTTTATATATCAATGATACTAAAACTCTGTCACACATAGCAAACACTCCTTGCCAGTTGGCCTTCTAATTTTGCTTGTGGAGTTATTATTTTTAAAATAAGAAGTTTTACATAGCCAAATCTATTCATCATGTCCTTTATTGTTCCTTATTTTACCTTTATGCCTAGAAAGACTTTCCCTATTCCCAGGATCAGAAGGACATTCACCTGTTTTCATCTAAATTGTTTATGGTTTCATTTCTGGCCGTTCTTGTTGTAAGACTGGATCTCACTCTGTCACTCAGGCTGGAGCGCAGTGATGTAATCATAGCTCACTGCAGTCTTGACCTCCAGGGCTCAAGTGATCTTCCCACCTCAACCTCCCAAGTAGCTGGGACTATAGGCTCCCAAGTAGCTTGGATTACAGGTAGACACTACCACGCCTAGGTAATTTTTTTTCTTTTATTTTTTGTAGAGACAGGATCTTGATATGTTGCCCAGGCTCGTCTTGATCTCCTGGCCTCAAACAATCCTCCCACCTTGGCCTCCCAAAGCATTGGGATCACAGGTGTGAGCCACCATGCCTGGCCTATTTTTGGCCATTCTTGATCCCTCTGGAGCATAGTGGATAAGCATCTCACTCTGGAGTGAGATGGAGCTAGGGCCAAATCTCAGCTCCATCCCGTACACACTAGCTGTGTGACCAAAGGCATCTTCAACTTCCTTGTCTATAAGATGGGGATAATAATAGTTTCCAACTTACAGGTTTGTTTTAATGATTAAAGGAAATAGTATTTGTAGAGCACTTGGCCAGGGACCTATCAAAGCTAGTGCTCAAGAAACATCCTTGAGTGTAACTGGCATTTTTGGTTTTGGTTACTTAGTATCCAAACACCCTGATGATTCGAAACAAATTCCAAGAAACATGGAAGGCAGATATCCCTCTCCCTCTCCACTGGCAATTAGGTAGTGGGGCTGTGACTCAGGGTCTGCCAGCCAGATGCTATCTCTCCCTCTGGACTTCAGAACTTGAGCAATACTGTACTGCAGGGAAGAGCAGCATTTTTTTCTGAATGTCTCAGCAGCCAGGCCCCCAGAAGAGCAGTGACAAGTCTCTGGAGGGGCCCATGCCATCACAGATGACATCCTAAACAAGCCAGGCCTGTGGGATGATCCTGACTCTGCCTGCCTTCCTTGGTTCCTACCCTTTTCCTGAGGTTAGTTTTTCACACTTCGAGTCACAGTGAGATTCCCCATAGCCTTCCAGCAAACTCCTTCTCAGCTTATGGTAGACTAAGGGTCTGTAGTTTACAACCAAGAACCTAACTAGGCTCCTCTGGGATTTACTTGGGCCAAGGGCATGAAGTGTTAACTTTTTTTTTTTTTTTGAGACAGAGTCTTGCTCTGTCACCCAGGCTGGAGTGCAGTGGCACAATCTTGGCTCACTGCAACCTCCCCTTCCCGGGTTCAAGCCATCCTCCTGGCTCAGCCTCCCGAGTATCTGGGACTACAGGCGTGCACCACCACGCCTGGCTAATTTTGTATGTTTAGTAGAGACGTGTTTCTCCATGTTGGTCAGGCTGGTCTCAAACTCACGACCTCAAGTGATCCACCTGCCTTGGCCTCCCAAAGCGCTGGGATTACAGGCATGAGCCACTGCACCTGGCGGTGTTAACTTTTTTTCTCCAAATCAGATATCCCCAAACCACTGGTTAAGTAATGCAGTATTTTTCCACTGACTTGAAAAGGGTTACTTTTCCATTAAACGAGCTCTTGTCCTTGGGACTGTCCTGTTGACTAGAATCCCATGCCTCTCCTAGAACCCCAGTAGGGTTTCTATTCCCTTCTCCACAAGGAAAGTCTCATGTTCTAGAACTCCTGGCTGCCTGCTTGGTAGTGAACCCTCTGGATATCTAAAGAGTCCTTGTCGGCTGGGCGTGGTGGCTCACGCCTGTAATCCCAGCACTTTGGGAGGCTGAGGCAGGTGGATCACGAGGTCAGGAGATCGAGACCATCCTGGCTAGCACCGTGAAACCCCGTCTCTACTAAAAATAGAAAAATCAGCCGGGCATGGTGGCAGGTGCCTGTAATTCCAGCTACTCAGGAGGCTGAGGCAGGAGAATGGCGTGAACCTGGGAGGCGGAGCTTGCAGTGAGCCGAGATTGCGCCACTGCACTCCAGCCTGGGCGACAGAGAGAGACTCTGTCTCAAAACAAAAAAAGGCCTTGTCTTGGCCAGGCACGGTGGCTCACGCCTGTAATCCCAGCACTTTGGGAGGCCGAGGCGGGTGGATCACGAGGTCAAGAGATCGAGACCATCTGGCCAACATGGTGAAACTCCGTCTCTACTAAAAATACAAAAATTAGCTGGGCGTGCTGGCGCGCCCCTGTAGTCCCAGCTACTCAGGAGGCTGAGGCAGGAGAATCGCTTGAACCCGGGAGGTGGAGGTTGCAGTGAGCCGAGATCAGGCCACTGCACTCCAGCCTGGCAACAGAGTGAGACTCCGTCTCAAAAAAAAAAAAAAAAAAAAAAAAAAAAGAGTCCTTGTCTTGAAGCTGGAGGGCTGCATTCAGGAGCATGTCTGCTGAGCTTCAGGCTTTCCCATAGCAAGCTATCTATTTGACAGTTCCAGCCCCAGTTGGGAGAACCTCAAAGGCATAAAAGGGGTTGACCTAGCCGGGCCTGGTGGCTTATGCCTGTAATCCCAGCACTCTGGGAGGCCAAGGTGGGAGGACCGCTTGAGGCCAGGAGTTCAGGACCAGCCTGGGCAACAGAGCGAGACCCCCATCTCTACAAAAAAAATACAAAAAATTAGCTGGGCATGGTGGCATGCACCTGTAGTCCCAGCTACTTGGGAGGCTGAGGTGAGAGGATCACTTGACCCGGGAGGTAGAGGCTGCAGTCAGCAGAGATCACGCCACTGTACTCCAGCCTGGGTGGCAGAGCAAGACTGTACTAAACAGACAAGAGAAGTTGATTTCAAAAAAAAGAAATGAGCCGGGTGCGGTGGCTCACGCCTGTAATCCCAGCGCTTTGGGAGGCCGAGGCGGGTGGATCACCTGAGGTCAGGAGCTCGAGACCAGCCTGGCCAACATGGTGAAACCCTGTTGCTACCAAAAATACAAAAATTAGCTGGGCGTGGTGGCAGGCACTATTCCCAGCTACTCAGGAGGCTGAGGCAGGAGAATCACTTGAACCCAGGAGGCAGAGGTTGCAGTGAACCAAGATCGTGCTACTGCACTCCAGCCTGGGCGACAAGAGCAAAACTCCATAAAAAAAAAAGAAAGAAGAAAAGAAAGAAAAAAGAAAAGGGGCCCAAGTAAAGCACTAACTCCCACCCCATCCCCTCACTGGCTCCCTATTATGTAATTCTCATTCTCACCAACACCAGGAGAGAAGAGCATCTAGGAAGACTCCTCCAGACATGGGAGCTTGATCTGGCTCTCCTGAGGCCTGCTGACGGCTACAGTGCTCACCCCTTGGTCTACTTTTATTTCCCCTGTGATCTACTTTTTGGGTGCCGTCAAAACTGAGTTTGCAGAGCAGTGCCATCTCTGGTTGGAAGGGTGAAAACAGGACTGGCCTCCAAGGAATCCTTGAGGAAGCCCCCAGCCTAGGCTCAGGGGGCAGTCTAGGGAGTGAGGAGAGGCAAAGATGGCCAGGGGAAAGAGGAGAGAGTCCGCTGAGGCAAGAGTCAGATTGAGTTACAACATGGTCTGAGGATGTTTTGGCTGCCACTAAGCATAAAGGCAGACATCTGTGGAAATGCCTCAGTGAAACTACGGATCCCAATAAATGTCTCAGGAAATAATTGGATCTGAATGTGGGGGATGGGGAACAGGTGGTTCCACCTCAGAGTCAAGAGTATTGCTGGGTGGTCAAGGGTAGAGGACAAAGGAGACAGTAGGCTTGGGAGCTTTTAAAAAGCAACAGGAATCTACACAATGGGCTATTATGTGGCCACTAAACTGATGTTTACAAATACCTTTTTTAATAACATGAGGAAATTCTTGTTATAATTTTAAGTTTTAAAAAAGGCAAGCTATAAAAGTGTGTATTGAGTTACATCACAAACTATGTGGAAAAATATGCATTTTAAAAAAATACTGGAAGGAAATGCACCAAAATGTTAACAGCAGTTGTCTCTGGATGATAGTTATGTTACAGTATACCTGCAAAATAGTAAGGACTTATTAAGTCCCAGGTTCTGTTTGTCATTCTACTTACATAAATTATCACCGTGGACTGGGCACGGTGGCTCATGCCTGCAATCCCAGCACTTTGGGAGGCTGAGGCGGGCAGATCACCTGAGGTCAGGAGTTCGAGACAAGCCTGGCCAACATGGTGAAACCCCGTCTCTACTAAAAATACAAAAATTAGCCGGGCATCGTGGCATGCACCTGTAATCCTAGCTACTCGGGAGGCTGAGGCAGGAGAATCGCTTGAAACGGAGGTTGCAGTGAGCTGAGATGGCGCCATTGCACTCTAGCCTGGGCGGCAAGAGCAAAACTCCATCTCAAATAAATAAATAATCACCATGTCTTTGCATAATGACCCAGTGAGGCAACTACTCCCACTCCCACTTTATAGGTGAGACTCCCAGAGACTAACATGCTAAAATACACAAAGCTCAGAAATGGCCTTATTAAAATTATCAATTAAAAATTATTTTTATGGGCCAGGCGCAATGGCTCACGCCTCTAATCCCAGCACTTTGGGAGGCCGAGGTGGGTGGATCACTTGAGGTCAGGAGTTCAAGACCAGCCTGGCCAACATGGTAAAACCCTGTCTCTACTAAAAATACAAAAATTAGCTGGGCATGGTGGCGTGCACCTGTAGTCCCAGCTACTCGGGAGGCTGAGGCAGGAGAATCGCTTGAACCTGGGAGGCAGAGGTTGCAGTGAGCCAAGATCGTGCCACTGCACTCCAGCCTGGGTGACAGAGTGAGACTGCATCTCAAAAACAAATTAGTTTTTGTAATCCCAGTACCTTGAGAGGCTGAAGTGGGCAGATTGCTTGAGCACAGGAGTTTGAGACCAGCCTGGGCAACATGGTGAAACCCTGTCTCTATAAAAAATACAAAAAAATTAGCCGGGTATGGTGGCGTGTGCCTGTTGTGGTCCCAAATACTTGGGAGGCTGAGGTGGGAGGATCACCTGAACCCAGGAGGTTGAGGCTGCAGTGAGCCATGATAGTGCCACTGCACTCCAGCCTGGGCAATAGAACAAGACCCTGTCTCAAAAAGAAATTATTGCCGGGCATGGTGCCTCACACCTGTAATCCCAACACTTTGGGAGGCTGAGGCCAGCGGGTCCCTTGAGCTCAGGAGTTTGAGACCAGCGTGGGCAACAAAGCGAAACCCCGTCTCTACTAAGAATACAAAAATCAGCTGGGTGTGGTGGCAGCCACCTGTGGTCCCAGCTACTCAGGAGGCTGAGGTGGGAGGATCGAATGAACCCAGGAGGCGGAGGTTGCAGTGAGCTGAGATCGCACCACTGCACTCCAGCCTTGGCAACAGAGTGAGACCTTGTCTCAATAAAATAAATATTTGTTTTCTTCTCTCTGTCTTCTAAACTTTTGATAATGAGCATCTGCTTTTTGCCTTTTCCCAACAGTCCCTTTCCTCATCTAATTAATCCTTGGATTAAGAATAAAAGGAAGCATTCTCTCTTGCTCCTTAGAATTTGTGATCTCTTTCTCAGTAAAGCCCAGAGCCCCTGGTGGGGAGGCACTCTGTCCCCAGTCCTGAGCACAGAGGGGCACACAGTGATGTTGAATAGATGTTTATAGAATAAAGGACTGAATGAAGGAATAAATGAGTAACAGTCACAAAAAGGTTGATCGTGATGACGCTACTGGCTTGTATACACAAGGTGTTTGGTGAGGGAACAGTTTTTCACTACAACGTTGAGAAGGGTGCCCTTAGATCTACAGCCTTCCTACAAGACTTTGGTCCCCTTGCCCTGGGCTCCCAGCCAGCAATTTCTCAAGTGATATCCCTAGCCTTTGGGACCCCACGTTCTGGGCTGCCACCCAGTGGGCTTGTAGCCATGTCCTTCTCCCCACTGAAATACCCCTGTGTTTGTCAGGCCCCAATTCCTAGTGCAGCCCAGTGGTAGCCAGAGTGGACAGTGGTCTAAGCTCAGGGAGATGATGCTGGATTCCCAGGGCCCTTGGGAAGCCCCCTGTGGCGAACAGGGAGTTGACTGAATTTTGCAAACTAAAAAGAATAACATGACCAGGTGCAAGTGGCTCACGATGCCTATAATCCTAGCACTTTGGGAGGCCGAGGCGGGTGGATAGCTTGAGCCCAGGAGTTCGAGACCAGCCTGGGCAACATAACAAACCCCATCTCTACAAAAAAATACAAAAATTAGCCAGGTGTGGTGGTGGGCACCTGTAGTCCTAGCTACTTAGGAAGCTGACGTGGGAGGATCACCTGAGCCTGGGAAGTGGAGGCTACGGTGAGCCGTGTTTGTGCCACTGCACTCCAGCCTGGGTGACAAAGAGAACCTGTCTCAAAAAAAAAAAAAAAAAAAAAGGAATAACAGATAAAGTGATTCACATGATTAAGATGCCAATAGGAAAGAATCAAGATGCCCAAAGAACACCTGACCTGCTCATAGGGACCTGGAATCTGGAGTTGGAATCCCTGACTGGGCTTTCCAACCTGTGATTCCAATTGTGAGCCCACATGTGTGACAAGAGAGAAAGGCAATGCCAAGGCAAACCTCTCAGTGCCCCTGGACCATACTTACTTAGAGTGGGTGGCTACCTCCTATCCTTGTGGGGCAGGGGGACAGGGGACAGGATACTGACTTCATTTCCTTCTGGCCCGTGTTTCCTCAATGGAAAAAGCAGGCTGAGGAAAGTTTTCATGGGACTGGTAGCACTTTGGAAAATCATAGCCAATTCCCAGTAATCACCACCAACGATGGGCCAGCAGTAGGGCCTGCAATTAAAGAAAAATAGTAATGTTTACAATCCAATTTGTTTTATTTTAGTTAATTAATGTATTTATTTTTGAGGAAGAGTCTCTCTATGTCGCCCAGGCTGGAGTGCAGTGGCGCAATCTTGGCTCACTGCAACCTCCACCTCCCAGGTTCAAGCGATTCTCCTGCCTCAGCCTCCTGAGTAGCTGGAATTACAGGCACCTGCCACCATGCCCGGCTGATTTTTCTATTTTTAGTAGAGACGAAATTTCACCCTATTGGCCAAGCTGGTCTCAAACTTCTGACGGCACCCGGCCCCAATTTTTGTTGTTGTTGGTGGTGGTGGTGGTTTTTTGTTTGTTTGCTTGTTTAGATGGAGTCTTGCTCTGTCACCCAGGCTGGAGTGCTGGGGCGATCTTGGCTCACTATAGCCTGTGCCTCCCAGGTTCAAGCAATTCTCCTGCCTCAGCCTCCCGACTAACTGGGACTGCAGGTGTGTGTCACCACGCCTGGCTAATTTTTGTATTTTTAGTAGAATCGGAGTTTTGCCAGGCTGGTCTTGAACTCCTGACCTAAGGTGATCCACTCGCCTCGGCCTCCCAAAGTGTTGGGATTACAGGCGTGAGCCACTGCACCCAGCCCCCAGTTTGTTTTAAAACAACAGATTTACCTTTATAATTAAGAACCAGTTCAGGTTCCTGTTAGAAGCGGCCAGCCTTTGTTCCAGTCTTTCTCCCCTGAATAATCCTTCCACCTGCCCCTACGGCCCTTGGGTTCCAGAGCTCTCAGCCTTCAAGGCCTGCCCAAATCCTACTTTCTCCAAGAAGTCTTCTAGTTCCTGTCATTTCTCCTTTCTCCATACTCCCTCTGGCATTTTGCTAGCACAGGGCACAGACCCTTCCACTGTCAGCCTTTTCTGTCTGTCCGTGACCTCCTCTCCCTCTAGAGTAAAAGCTTCCAGAAGGCAGCTCAGCCGTTTGGCCCATCTCAGCAGCTTCTTGGACCTAGTACAGTGGACTCCTCCGCCAGCCTCATTTGTTGTTGCCCAGTGAAACGGACAGAGTGGAATGGGGCCTACCCAGGGCCCCAACTCCCAGAAGGCTTGGAGTGGGGGACTGTAGGGTCCTGGAGATTCCAGATTCCAGAGGCCCTGGGGAAGCCCCCTGTGGATAACAGGGAATTGCTTGTATTTTGCAAGCTAAAAAGGGGTATTAACCAGGCCCAATTACAGCCCCACTGGTCGTTTCAGGAGTGGGGAAGCGTCAAAACTAGCTGCCTGGGCAGAGTGAGATAGCGAGAATAAAGGGCTCCTTCTGCCGGAGGACGGGCTCTCTGGCCCCCATTCGGTCACTGGGTCCCCCAAGTGTGAGGCCAGAGAGTTGAGACTGGGGAAAATAAGGAAAGGGAAGAGGAGAGCCGGGCCGCCCTCCCCTCCTCCCTCCCGCTCTCCTTTCTCTCGCGGTCCACGCTGGCCTCCCTCTTGGGCTCTTTGTCTGTCGGTCTGTCCGTCGGCTTTCTCTCGCGCTGCCTCTCTGCGCGCTCGCTCACTCGCTCGCTCTCTCTCTCTCTCTCTCTCTCTCTCTCTCTCTCTCTCTCTCTCTCTCTCTCTCTGCCTCTTCGGCTCACGTGACCGCTTGCTCTCAACGGCTCCGATCACCTCTTCCTGAGGCAGCACCTTTCGGTTGGTAACAGGAGACACTCGCTTGTTGGGGGCAGGATGGGTTTCCTTCCTCCGCTTTTTCCTCCTGGCCTTCTCGGGCAGTTCCAGCCGCTTCTCTCTGGCGCAGCCTCTGGCCCTCCACCCCTCCAGCCTCTCCCAGCCCCCATAGTGCTCGTTTACTCTCCCCTTCCCCTCCGCACCACCCCCCCACGCCCACCGGGGCCTCCCTCCTCCCCGGCAGCCAGCCCACTTTGGGGAGGGGGCTTCGGCGCAGGGGACAGACAAAAGGGCCTGGACGGACCCGGGGGCACCCCTCTGCAGCTCCCCACAACCACGTGGCCCCTCCCTCCTCGGGCAGCCGGCAGCTTCCCCCTCCCCTGCCCAGCCGGAGGTCTGGGGAGTTCGGGCCCCGAAGCATCCTTCCGGGCCTCGCTGGCGCCAATCGCTCCGCCGCGGGTGCTGAGCCTCCGGGTGCTTCGAATACCAAGGAATGCACCGGGCATGGGTGGGGGACATGCTCCGGGGGCGGAGGCAGCTTTTTCGGTTCCCAGGCTGGAGAACGGCCAGCCAAAGGGAGGAGACTCGGCCCCCGCCGTCGGAAGGTTCCCGGTACAGTGGGGTTGACAAGATCTCCAACCTCAGGGAGCTCCAGGTCTGATAGGAGAGACCCAGTCTCTCTCCCTTTAGCAGTTCAAACTCAACAGTAAGGATGAATCCAAAAGTGGGATGAAGGTGCCCTGCAAAAGCAGAGCTGGCCTATGTATTCGTGAACTTCTGGCTGAACCAGATTGTTTTTGGGCCATGTTGTCCAGCACTTAGCGAGCTGCCCTTCCCATCCTACCAACTCCTGCCACCAAAAGTTGGAATGGAAAGTGAGCTCCTTCCCATTCCATACCGTGGTAAAATTTAAACAAGGCCATTGAAGATGAAGGTTATCCAGTAAATCAGCCAAAACATTCACAAAACATTCTCAAAGCAGCCTCTGTAAATGCACTCTTAGCTAGGGTCTAGAGCCATGGCACTAGCCTGGCCCTAGATACCATGTGTATGCATTTTAGAGTCTTCGGAGGTACTGTTCCCCTGAGTCTCCCCCTCGCCACCCGCTGACCACTTAATACCATTTTAGTCAACAAGGCTAAGTCCCCTCAGGGGATATGCCTGTGGCCAGAGCCACACTTGGTGCACTTTAGGCATAGCCCTGGCCAATCCCAGAACAAAAGACCCAAATGCTGGGAGGGGAGGGGTGACAGAAAGAATTCCATCTCTCCAGTATCTTAGGGAGGGATTTGAGCCGAGAAGGGCCTCAGGCTTGACAGGGACCAGCAGAATAGCACTTGCCTGCAACCAAACCTAGTAAGAATGGCCACCACAACTACTATTTATTGAACCCTCACAAACTGCCAAGTACATAGCACACTAATCCCAATAACAGTCTTATATGGTAGGTACTATTATTATCCCCGTTCAACAGATAAGGCAACTATGGTTCAGAGAAGGTAACTTGAAGAGGTCACACAGCTGGTTAGTGGCAGAGCTGGGTTTGGAATCCAGGTCTGGCCAATGCCCAAGTCCAGCTCTCTAATCACTATACTACCCAACCTCTTTCCCACAAAGAGTGATTCTAAAACTCTCCCAGAAGCAACAGAGACAACTGGGTCAGGGCATGGTCTTGCTGGAAACTGGCTATTTGCCAAAATGTAGAGAGGTCAACAGGCGCCCAAAGTCACCCTGCTGGCTTTGTAAATGCCACAGAGACTCCCACATAAAAGTCCAGACTCCTAGATTCCTAACCTAGAATGCAAAGGAGACATCCTATCTGCCCATCCCCACAGACATCATCCCACTTCCGGTTTCTGTCTTCTGGGTAGCAGTGAGGTTTTCAGGATGCCAGGCTAAGGGTGAGCTTCTTGGAGGCAGTGTTGTGGGGATGGGCTTGATAATGGACCCCCGCTGCCCTACCCCCAGTCCTCCCTGGAGGGAGGACAAATAGGCCCATTGATTTGAAACTCTCCCAGAGGGCATTAGAGTAATGACTCTGGACTGTGTGATGCCTACACCCGCTTTGACCTGCTGACTGACCCCTGCCCTGGGAGGTTCCAAAGGCCACAAATCTCAGTTGCTTGTGGGCCATGTGGTTTGTGGCTGTTTGTAGTATTGGAGGGGAGGGGGAAATGAGGGGGGTAAGATACACTGCTTCTCACTGTGCTGGGCTTCCCAAGAGAACTAGCAAGGGGTGGACAGGGCCCCTTCTAAACACTGCCAAGACACACTGCAACTACTGATACGGGCTCCATCATTTATTTTTGAAAGCAGGAGGGCTCCTGGCTCATTTGCATAAATGTTTGCACTGCCTGCTATATTTTGATTTGGAAGAAGGGCACCAGGGCACAGAATATACATAACAGATTTGTAACTGGGCAGCTTGATCCTGTCCCTGGCCAGGCGAGCCAAAGATGGCCCCTCACCCTTTGTGTCTATTTTTGAAAGCCCCTCTTAAGTGCAAAGCCCAGCACCAAGGATGGGTGGCAATAGAAAGACCTCGCCCTGAATGGGGTGCTTCTAAGCCAGGTGTGTAGGTGGATGGGTAGATAAGGCAGCACTTGACTTGAAAAAGGGATGAACGGGCATGGTGGCTCACACCTGTAATCCCAGCACTTTGGGAGACCTGAGGCATGAGGATCACTTGAGCCTAGGAGCTTGAGACCAGCCTGGGCAACAGAGAGAACTTGTCTCTACAAAAAACATGTTTTTGAGAATTAGCTGGACATGGTGGCGCGCACCTATGGTCCCAGCTACTTATGAGGTTGAGGTGGAGGGATCGCTTGAGCCCAGGAGGTCAAGGCTGCAGTAAGCCATGATCGCTCCAATGCACTGTAGCCTGAGCAACAGAGCAAGAGACCCTGTGGAAAGAAAGAAAGAAAAAGACAAGAAAGGAAAGACAAGAAAGAAAAAAAGGAAAAGAAAGAAAGAAAGAGAGGAGGAAGGAAGGAAAGAAGGAAGGAAGGAGAAAAGAAAATGGCTGGAAGTCTGGATTCCTAATTTCTATCATTCAACAAAGAAACATTTATTGTCTTCTATGTGCCGGGCACTTTAGTAGACACTGAGGTGAGATGATAAATATTGAGACCCTATCTCCATCATTGAGGTACTCCTAATCTAGCACAGGTGATGAAAACACAGTCAAATAGCCCTAGGGCAGTGTGCCATCAGAGAGAATAATGGAGGCTTGCTAAAGTAGCACTCAGCTAGTGGGGTGGGGGTCTGAAGAGACTTGGTGAGGGACACGGTTGCTTAATTGAGTCTTAAGCATCAACCCTGCTCCCATTCCCAAGCTGTGTTTTGTTACCATTTTTTTTAGATAGGGTCTTGCTATGTTGGCCAGGGCAGTCTCGAACTCCTAGCCTCAAGCAATCCTCTCGCCTCCGCCTGCCAGTGTTGTGATGACAGGCGTGAGCCACCGCGCCTGGCCTCAAACTGTTTTAAACCTCTATTCCTAACTCCCTGTGTGAGCTCAGCAAAATATTGGGCTCTCTGGGCAGCCTCGGTTTCTTTCATCTTCAGAATGGGGGCAGTAATCTCTGAAGTGGGCCCGAGTGTGCTGTGTGCTCTATCTCCCATCTCGCCTGGTCCTATGTCTAACATCAACCCCCATGCGAGGGCATAAGACCAATTTCCTTAAGATACAACGCAAACATGTGGCAGAGCTGAAGAGTACGGAATAATGAGAGATGGAAGGAGTGGAAGCGAGATGGGGTTTCGCGCAAGGGGTGTGGCCCCAAAGGAAGGTGCGGGAAAAGGTAGGGGTTAAACCTCTATTCGGATTTAACCACCTTCCTGGATTTAACCATCTTTCCAAAGCTTCTCCTCTCTAACGTTGAAGCGGGAGCTAAGTAGCAGCAATGGGTTCCCTCCCCACCTCCCCCCCACCCCCGCAACCTTATGCAGCCGATCTTAAGGACCAGGTACTGAGGAATGGGCTGTCCTTTCCGACCTGCACCCCTCAACGATTGGGATCGCTTTAGTTTCTCCCTGGAGTCGAGCATTTGCCTGCACTTAAAAAAAAAAATCCCAAACCTGGACCCCCTTTGGGGAGGGGGTTAACAGTTTCCTTAAGTTTTCTCTAGTCTGAGTAAAGAAGGACTTCCTTCTACTCGTCCTCAACTATCCCCTGGGGCTTCAGCGGGGCGCGAGAGCTCGGGTCTGGGCCGGGGGCCGAGCAGGCTGCGCTGCCCCTCCAGGATTTCCTGCACTCGACGCGGCGAGGCCGGCTCGAACTTCGGCCTCCGACGAAGGCAACTCCGCTTCCCTTTAAAATGCAGCAACTCCCGGCCCCCGCCCCCGCCCCTCGGGCCGCCTCCTCCCCCTCCCCCTCCGCCCCTGCCCAGGCCCCGGCTCCTCCCCGAGCCCTCGGCGTGGGGGCCTCCTTGCCACCTGCCCGCTGCCCATCCCACATGCAAAGCGTGACCGCCGGGGAAGGAAGCCGAGCGCGCGCGCCCACACCGGCCCTGCGCCGCGGCGACAGCGAGCAGCTCGCCTACTCCGTCCGTCTGCGCTTACCCAGCATGCACTTCCAGGCCCTGAGCTATCTCGGAGCCGCAGCCCCGGGGTCAGAGCGGCCGGAAGAAACAGGAAGTTTGGGACGGTCCTAGTCGTGGGGCCGGGAGTCCTAAAAGACAGGCCCTGAACTCCGTGCTGCCTCTCCCTTCCCCCGCTCCCTCCCTCTGGCGGACTTCCCTGGGGTCCGTTTCGGGGGCTGGCCTGAACTCCGAAAATCCAGATGTGTTTGGGGGTCATTCAAGGCACACTCCCAGGGTTCCCTTCGCGGTAGCATCTCCTGGCTTTATGGATCGAGGGGTGGGAGGAGGAGGGAGTGCTCCCGCCCTGGTGGGGTGGTAGTCCCCGAGGGGGCGTTGTCTTCTGCCCGCCGAGAGGGGGAAGGACGCTAGATTGGGGTGGAGGTTGGGGGGCTGGAGATTTGTCTCCCACGGCCAATTCCTGGGCGGATAGGGCAGTGGTTAGAACCTATGGCGGAGTCCGGACTTACTGGCTCTCCTTCCCACTGCCAGTTAGCTTTGCTCTAATCTGCCCTCCACATTGACTTAGGCTGCCCCATTACCCTCAGCACTATCTCACAGACCTGCGCTGCTGCTCACCAGGGGCACCGGGCAAGGGAGCCCCATTCCTAGTGCAGAGAACACAAAGGGCATGCCCTGTTGAAAGTGATCTCCATTCGCACACCCCTTTGGCCAGGCAGGAAGGAGTGGACTCTCACTTCCCTTGGCTTCCCTCTCAGTCCCCACCCTACCTCAGCGTTAGCTAAACCACTGACCCAAGCAACCTCAACTGTCCCCACACGAGCCTCTCGCTGGCCAGTAGCTGAAAGGAGTGTGGGTCATGGTTGATCCCAGTGGGCCATTTTGATCCCAGTATGCCATCTGGCCAATCCTTTTCGGCTTGTGCAGACTAGCCGTTTGGGTGGACATACTCATTCTATAGCTTCACACTCCCAGCCAGGGACTTTTCCCTTCCCGCTCACTAGAGGTTTCCAAGTTCTCCTTGATGTAGTCGACTCATTGCATCTTCCTAGATTTGCTGAGAGGAGGTGGTGGGGAGTGAAGAACTAGGAAGAATATTTTGGAGGTGGAAAACTGTAGATGAAAACTCATTGGCTGTAGAATGAATGTAATGATTGTAAAGTGAGACTGTCATGGCCATCACAGACATTCCCAGGCAGAATTAATTGGGCTTTCCCCTGCGCTCCCATAGATTAGGATTTATACCTCTATTATCACATTGTATTGTAATTATTTGTTGACATGTTTCTCTCCCCCATAGATGGGGAGCTCCTGGAGGGCAGAGACTATGCCTTATTTATCTGTAGACCTCCCTGCACAGATCCTTGCTTACAAAAGAGATATTGAATACATGTACTAGAAATGGAAGGGGATCCAACAGGATGACCTTCAGGACCTCGTTCAGCGCTAATATCCTGTGATGCAACTTAAACATGTGCCCACAGATGTTCTCACGTTCACATAAACACACAAATACACAAAATACCATCATGCCACAGTCGGGGTGTCACTCCTTGGAAAGTGAACAGATGTTACATGATGCCAAGTAAATGGCCTTTTGAAAGTTGAATCTCCAAACCTAAACATCTGAAGTGTCGACAGGCAACGTCACAACTGGTTGGGCTGATTTTGTTTACTGCCCTGACTTTTTAAGCAACCACAGCCCTACATAATAGAAACAGTGAGGATTTGAGCTTGAAAAGGCCCTGAGATGCTCTGGTACAAGTCTTTTCATTTTACAGATGAGAAGGTCCCTGGTCCAAAGTCAGACAGGAGCAGAAATGTCAGTCCTGTAATTCTTGACACTCGGAGCTTGCACGTGTGACACGTTTGTATGCAGACACCTGCCTGAACCTGCACACATGGCTGCTGACATGCATAGACGTGGTTGCATCCCCAACCACGTGTGCCACCACGACACAGGGGTACACCCTTCCCCCAAAACTTACCAAGCAAGTGAAGATGGCCCTATCCCCGTGTAGGGGGAGGCAGGGCTGGCTGCTGCTGATCAGAGAAGGGAAGGCAGGGGTCACCTGGGCTGGGCAGCCCTTGCCAGAGTGTGAAGGGGACCGAGAAGCCCATAGGTTTGCAGCTGTCATTGAATGTGCTCGGCTCACCCAGCTCCCCTCGGCTCTTCTCCGTCTCTCGGTCTGCAGAGGGCGAGGAGAGGAGACGCTCCCGGCTCATTCCAGCGAGCCGTGTGCACGCTGCAGGCGTGGTATGTGAGTAAGCGGCGCGCTTCCAGCTGCTGCCTTATACTTTGAGGGCTGACAGGCCGCCCCCTCCCCGCTAAACAAAACTGTGTAGTGGGGCCGCCCTCACCCACCACTGGCCTCTCTTCACACGGGCATGATTAAGGCAACCAGGACCGCAGCAAGCCCTTCTCAAAAGGAGAGAAATTATGGCTTTTTCTCCACCTCGCCTGACTGCCTTTTCCTAGGGGATCTCCTCTCTCAGACCCACCTCCAACTGGAAATCTACGCAGAGTTAACCCCCTACCTGCCTCAGATAGCCTCACTACAGCACACTCTTGTAACACTCCAGTGGAGAGTTTGCACCCTAACCATGGGTGCCTGCTTATATTTCCCATTAGGGTCCTGTCTCCCACCTCCACCCCATTCAATACTATCATCCCTGTCTTACCTTTGTATAGTGCTTCATAGCTTTCAAAGCACTTTCCCATGCATGTCTTATTTCACCTTTACCACACCTCATAAGGCAAGTATTAGTAGCTTCACTTTAGACACCAGGAGGCTGAAGCTCAGAGAAGATAAGCAAGCTGCCCAAGGTCACACAGTTGATGCATTGGGGTAGAGCAGGTCTACAATCTTCATCTTTGACTACAAAGCACACTCTTTGTCCACTCTGCCACCCTAATGCCCAGTTGATATCCAGCTCCCCAAAAGGAGGGGGCTGTCATTCTGCTTCTTTTTTCTTTTAAAAATTATTATTTTCTGGCCAGGCACAGTGGCTTATGCCTGTAATCCCGGCACTTTGGGAGGCCGAGGCGGATGGATCACTTGAGGTCAGGAGTTCGAGATCAGCCTGGCCAACATGGTGCAACTCCGTCTCTACAAAAATACAAAAATTAGCCAGGCGTGGTGGCGCAGGCCTGTAGTCCCAGCTACTCGGGAGGCTGAGGCAGGAGAATCGCTTGAGGAGGCGGAGGTTGCAGTTAGCCAAGATTGTACCACTGCACTCCAGCCTGGGCAACAGAGAGAGACTCCGTCTCAAAAAAAAAAAAAAAAGTAAAATTATTATTTTCATTTTAGAGACAGGGTCTTGCTATGCTGCCCAGGCTGGAGGGCAGTGACTATTAACAGGTGCAATCATAGCACAGTGCAGCCTCGAACTTGTTTTTCTGCTTCTTTTATACCTCCAGAGCACCTGATATAGGACTGGCTCTGTACATGCTGGGCATTCCCAGGCCAGGGTAACCAGACAGACCCATGATACAACCTGCCAGCGAATCCCGGAAACTCCAGGACAGGAGACACTTGCAGGCTAATGGTGGTGTGCACCACCAGAGTCTTCGGCAGCTCACGGCCCTTCTATCTGCCTTAAGTTGCTGGGGCAGAGAGCAGTGCCAAGGCAGAGAGGAAGGAGAACATCCCTCCGTGTAGACCCCAGCTCTTCCCTCCCCCTCTCCTCTGGGGCTTCAGCGGGTCCGGAGCTCATGAATAAAGCTAATATTGGAACTAGTCGTATACTAGTTGGAGAGGGGCTGTTGTCTAGATCCTCCCTTGCAGGGACGGGTTGTGCCAATAGAATGCCCCGAGGCCCCAGCCCTCTCGTGATGGTTGGCTGGAACTAAGGCACCCCCCTCTCTCGCCCTTTTATGAGTCTCAGCTGATTTCCCTGGAGGGCGGCCCCACTAGCCAGCGCCCCCAACCCGCTACCGGACTCCCTCACTATACCTGGGCCCCGCCCCAACTGTCCTCAGGGGCGGGGCCAGCCCTAGGGCAAGCTGGGGCAGGAAGTGGTTGCAATTACACACACTCCCGCCCCGCACTGGCTGCCACTGCCAGAGTGACAATGCTAACTCGGCCGGCCCCAAACGTCAGGGCAAGGGCTAAGAAGAGGACTCAACCAGAGAAGCTCCTGGGCTGGAACGAAGCTCTTTTCCTGAGAGAAGGGAGTTTCCGAGGTTAGGCTTGGTTGGAAGCCTCAGCGGATTGTTGGTCACATCCAGAGATGAAGGGAGGGGGTCGTGGGTCTCCTTCCCCACCCAGACATGGCAGTCACTCACACCGTCATCTCTTTTTAACCTGGCCACTAGCTGACAGCAGCTTTTCCTAGCTGCTTGGGCCCCCTGCTCGCAACTGCCAAGACAGACAGCTCTGATCCCTCCTACCAGGGGAAGATGGGCTTTGATTCTCTACTACTGCAAACAACCACAGCACAGTGGTTTCTATATCCCCTACTCCTCCTTCGTTTCTTAGGCATTCCCATCTGGGGCGGCTCTGGGCCAGGTGGAGAGCGTGACTGGTATGGCCACAGCTATGGGCTGAGAACCATGTAGAGAGAGGGATGGATGGGGGAATTCGAGAATGTTTGGGTGGGATGACTTCAGAACTCTCTGGGTTGGGCTTTCACTGAAAGCATCATTAGCTCAAAAAATTGGGGCTACATTAGAGGAATGGAGGTAGAAGGGGGCAGTGAAGAAACTGGACAAATGAAAGAAGATACTTTAGGCTGGGCATGGTGGCTCACGCCTGTAATCCCAGCACTTTGGGAGGCCGAGCCAGGTGGATCACCTGAGGTCAGGAGTTCAAGACCAGCCTGGCCAACATGATGAAACCCTGTCTCTAGTAAATAAAAAAAATTAGCCGGGAGTAGTGGAGTGCACCTGTAATCCCAGCTACTTGGGAGGCTGAGGCAGGAGAATCTCTTGAACCTGGGAGGTGGAGGTTGCAGTGAGCCAAGATTATGCCATTGCACTCCAGCCTGGGCAACAAGAGCGAAACTCTGTCTCAAAAAAAAAAAAACAAAAAAACAAAAACTTGAGTATGTGAGGGAATGGGGATGGATGAGTGAAGTAGGTTTCTTAAAAGGCCTAGAAACCCAGTGGATACAGTGGGGGGGCTCTTTTTTTTTTCTTTTTCTTTTGAGACGGAGTCTCGCTCTGTTGCCCAGGCTGGAGTGCCGTGGGGTGATCTCAGCTCACTGCAAATTTTTGTTTTTTTGGGTTTTTTTTGAGATGGAGTTTCGCTCTTGTCACCCAGGCTGGAGTGCAATGGCATGATCTCGGCTCACTGTAACCTCTGCTTCCTGGGTTCAAGTGATTCTCCTGCCTCAGCCTCTCGAGTAGCTGGGATTACAGGTACCACCACACCAGGCTAATTTTTGTATTTTTAGTAGAGACAGGGTTTCACCATGTTGGCCAGGCTGGTCTTGAACTCCTGACCCCAAGTGATCCTCCCACCTCAGCCTCCCGAAGTGCTGGGATTAGAGGCGTGAGCCACTGTGCCTGGCCCAAATTTTAGTATTTTTATTAGAGACAGGATTTCATCATGTTGGCCAAGCTGGTCTTGAACTCCTGACCTAAAGTGATCTGTCCGCCTTGGCCTCTCAAAATGCTGGGATTACAGGCGTGAGCCACCATAGTGGGGAATCCTCTTTTCCCTTCCCCAGCATCTTCTTCTGCAAGCCTAGGTTCCTATGTCTGCACTTTTTGAAGCATGAACTTAGCGCTTACCTCCCAGCTTCAGAGCCCCATTTCACATCCTCCTAATAGCTTCAGGGAACCCTCCTTTCCTTGTTCTATTGAAATTGCCCCCCTTCTCCGGTGGCAGGCCTGCTCAATTTGCTGAGGTGGGCTGGGGCTCACTTTGGGGCTGCCTAAAACGGAGGCTTTCCCCTCCTCACTCTGCAGGAGTCAAAGGCTTGGCATCCCAGCTTGGGGGGCTAGCTGGCCAGCAGTCCTTTTCCCCGGGGTGCCAGGCTCCCTGGAGCCTGGGAAGCTGAGTCATAGGCAACTTCAGGCTCCACAGACAGCACAGCAAGAGAAAGAAGGAGGAAGAAAAAGAAAAGGGTGAAAAAAAAAATACCCGGTCGGGCGCAGTTGTTCACGCCTGTAATCCCAGCACTTTGGGAGGCCGAGGGGAGGTGTGGATTATTTGAGGCCAGGAGTTTGAGACCAGCCTGGCCAACATGGCGAAAACCCGTCTCTAATAAAAATACAAAAATTAGCTTGGTGTGGTGATGCATGCCTGTAATCCCAGCTACTCTGGAGGCTGAGGCAGGAGAATCAGTTGAACCCAGGAGGCAGAGGTTGCAGTGAGCTGAGATTGTGCCACTGCACTCCAACCTGGGCGACGGAGTGAGAGAGACTCCGGAAAGACAGAGAGAAAGAGAGAAAGCGAGGAGAGGGGAGGGGAGGGGAGGAGAGGGGAGAGGAGAGGAGAGGAGGGGGGAGAGAGAGAGAGGGAGCGAGAGAGAGAGAGAGAGAGAGAGAGAGAAGAGAGAGAAAGAGAAAGAGAAAAAAGCCCACCATGATGTTTGTCTGTTAGCAGAGGGCAGGAGGGCCTCCTGGTCCTGCCTTAGCCTTGCTTCACTCGCACTGGAGATAGAGATCACAATCAGAAGATTGTCTTTGAATATGAAGGACGACGACAGGACCCAGGATCAAATAAAGGAATAGGGATGGAAGTGTTTTGTAAACTATTAAGTTGTGTACAGATGTGAGGGATTACTACTATTATTAATATGCATTATAAAATTGCATTTTTCTCCCATGGATCTGGTTTATCCAATAGTGTTCTTTTTTTTTTTTTTTTTGAGACGGAGTCTCGCTCTATCGCCCAGGCTGGAGTGCAGTGGCGCGATCTTGGCTCAGTGCAAGCCCCGCCTCCTGAGTTCACACCATTCTCCTGCCTCAGCCTCCCCAATAGCTGGGACTACAGGCACCTGCCACCAAGCCCGGCTAATTTTTTGTATTTTTAGTAGAGACAGGGTTTCACCGTGTTAGCCAGGATGGTCTCGATCTCCTGACCTCGTGATCCGCCCGCCTCGGCCTCCCAAAGTGCTGGGATTACAGGCGTGACCACCGCGCCCGGCCTCCAATATTCTTCTTCTTCTTTGTCTTCTTTTTTTTTGAGATGGAGTCTCGCTCTGTCACCCAGGCTGGAGTGCAGTGGTGCAATCTCGGCTCACTGCAAACCCCGCCTCCTGGGTTCACGCCATTCTCCTGCCTCAGCCTCCCGAGACGGGGTTTCACCGTATTAGCCAGGATGGTCTCAATCTCTTGACTTCGTGATCTGCCCGCCTCGGCCTCCCAAAGTGCTGGGATTACAGGCGTGAGCTACCACGCCCGGCCCCCAATATTCTTCTTAATGCAGGAGCATGACAGAGGCAGGTTAGCCCTGGGAATTTGGAGCTCCAGGTGAAGCCTTGTGTGTGGGTCTGTGTGTGAGAGAGAGAAAGAGAGAAACATGTCTTGCTGTATCTGTACCCTCAATATCTAGAACAAACCAGAGAAAGGAGCTCAAGTGCTTACTGTCTGCCCATTGAATGGCTGATGGAATGAAATCAGGGAGGGGTGCTCCAACCCTTTGGCCTCCTCTGTTGCTGCTATAGTACTGATTTTGTACAGATGGATCTCAGCTCCTTTCAGCTGCAGGAATCATGTCCTACAAACCCAGTCTCCCAAGTGCTGCTGAGTCCCTGCAAGTCTGTGGCAGCAGGTCACTGTACCCCTGGATGTCTCTGTCACAACTAGAGGCTTGGTGTTCAGAGGCTCAGCACACAGCCAAGGCCATTCACACCACAGATTATTGCTATTTGAGTCTTTTCAAGGGCCTTCAGGATCCTGCAAAGCCTTGGAACCGTTCTGAACATCAATCAACAAACAAATGGGGTCATGGATGGGGAAGCACTTTGTGACCCGCAAAGCCCCATACAAATGTAAGGGATTATTGCATTGTATTGCAAAAAAAAGCATTCCGATTCTTTGAAGATTGTAGTTATATGGGTTTTGGCACGCAGGAGTCTACTGCATTATAAAATGTGTTTGTGTGGGAGTGCCTGTCGTGCGTGTGCATGTTCAGGGTTAGGATCTGTACATAGAAACCTACCTGGCCAAATGGCACATACAAAGGGTCACTTAGACCACACAAAGCCGATATTGGTGAGTTATCAAGAATTCCCTGCCCCTCTATCTTTTTCAATATGCTTTTTTTTTTTTTTTTTTTTTTTGAGACGGACCCTTGCTCTGTCTCCCAGGCTGGAGTGCAGTGGCACGATCTCAGCTCACTGCAACTTCTGCCTCTGGGTTCAAGCGATTCTTCTGCCTCAGTCTCCCGAGTAGCTGGGACTACAGGCGCACGCCACCACACCCGGCTAATTTTTGTATTTTTTTAGTGGAGACGGGGTTTCACCATATTGGCCAGGTTGGTCTCGAACTCCTGACCTCCTGATCTACCGTCCTTGGCTTCCCAAAGTGCTGGGATTACAGGCGTGAGCCACCGCGCCCGGCCTCAATATGCTTTTATATAGGTGCTCTCGTTGGATTCTCCCCACAACACTATGCCACTGTTAAGTTTCCCTGAGTTGAGTTTATTCCAATAAAGTACACAGTGAGCTTGGAGGAATCTACTTTTGAGACTTGCAGGCGCTGAGAACTTCGCCTGGGAGAAATTTTCAGGCAGAGAAAAACATGGTCTGTGTAGGTCCTGGCAGGACACTCCAGACCCATGCCAACTTCCCTCCATTCTCTGTCCCCACAGAGCAGCTCTACAACGCCTCCATGATGACCTCCAGACCAAGAAGAAGGCTCTCTTTCAGTCAGACATTCAGTCAACAAACACATACTGAACGCTTTCCTATTGGTGCCAGGCTTTCTGCTAGGTCCTGGCACTACAGAGATGAAGAAGCCTTCACTGCTCCTCATTCACCCCTCACCTCTCCAGCCACAGGTTTCGTGGCATCTTTCCCCCTTCAAGGCTCGCCTTGATGTTCATTTTATTCTACTAAGCGAAGGCAGGGCTAATGGTTTTGAATCCAGCCTGGTTATTCGGTCTCTGATGGAGCAACAAGGGACCCTTTTGGAGAGGGCAACACTCAGAACATCAAATGGGGCTCTCAGCCATGGGCTGTGGGTATCACAAAACTCCAGAGGAAATGCAAGCCTGTTTAGGTTGCTTTTTGTCCACACCTTTGAAAATTCAGGAGATAAAATCATGCAATCGGCCTTGTGTTGAGACAGCATTTTCACCTCAGCTTCAGGTCTGGAAGGCCTCTCTGGTAAGTCCAGCACAGGCTGTCACATTTTTTGGGGGCAGTTAAGGGGCTCTATTTTTGGCCCCCAAGACATAGCCATGTGCATCCTTAGTGGTGAAATTATTATTATTATTTGAGACAGAGTTTTGCTCTGTTGCCCGGGCTGGAGTGCAGTAGTGCGATCTCGGCTCACTGCAACTTCTGCCTCCTGGGTTCAAGCAATTCTTGTGCCTCAGCCTCTCGAGTAGCTGGGATTACAGGTGCCTGCCACCATGCCCGGCTAATTTTTTGTATTTTTAGTAGAGACGGGGTTGCGCCATGTTGCCCAGGCTGGTCTCGAACTCCTGAGCTCAGGCAATCCACCCGCCTCAGCCTCCCAAAGTCCTGGGATTACAGGCTTGAGCCACCGTGCCCAGCTTTAGTGGTGAAATTCTAGCTAGCTAGAATACTCAGGCAGAATGACATACCAGATTTTGGAATTTTCTTATATTTGTTTTTTTTTTTTTTTTTTGAGATGGGGTCTCGCTTTGTCACCCAGGCTGGAGTGTAGTGGTGTGATCACAGCTCGCTGCAGTCTTATCCTCCCAGGCTCAAGCGATCCTCCCACCTCAGCTTCCCAGGGTAGCTGAGACTACAGGCACATGCAACAATGCCCGGCTAATTTTTGTATTTTTAGTAGAGACAGGATTTTGCCATATTGCCCAGGCTAGTCTTCAACTCCTGGACTCTAGAGATCCTCCTGCCTCAGCCTCTCAAAGTGTTGGGATTACAGGCATGAGCCACTGCACCTGGATGAAATCTGTTTTGTTTTGTTTTGTTTTGTGAGATGGAGTCTTGCTCTGTTGCCCAGGCTGGAGTGCAGTGGTACAATCTCGCTCACTGCAACCTCCGCCTCCTGGGTTCAAGCAATTCTCCTGCCTCACCCTCCCAAGTAGCTGGGATTACAGGCACCCGCCACCACGCCCAGCTAATGTTTTTGTATTTTTAGTAGAGAGATGGTTTCACCATGTTGGCCAGGCTGATCTCGAACTCCTGAGCTCAGGTGATCCACCTGCCTTGGCCTCCCAAAGTGCTGGGATTACAGACGTGAGCCACCGCGTCCAGCCTGGATGGAATTTTTCAATTAAACAAAAAATTTTTTTTCTTTTAGTGACAAGGTCTCATTCTGTCACTCTGTCACTCAGGCTGGAGTGCAGTGATGCGTTCATAGCTCACTGCAGCCTGAAACTCCTGAGCTCAATGATCCTCCCACCTCTGCCTGCTGAGTAGCTAGGACTACAGGCATGGGCCACCACGATTAGATACAGGGTCTCTCTATGTTGCCCAGGCTTGTCTTGAACTCTGAAGGGCTCCACTCTCAAGCAGTCTTCCCACGGCCGCCTCCCAAAGTGCTAGGATTACAGGCATGAGCCACCCTGCCAGGCCGGAATTTTCTAATTTACTAAAGGTTAACCTCCAAATCATTTTTTTTTTGTTTAGATGGTTGGTGTGAAAAATCTAACATGCGTGTGCTCACTTTCTGGATTGTCAGTAGAGTCTACTGAGCAACTTGATGGAATCTCTCTTTGTTGAGTGAGTGTCTGGCAGGGATTTGCAATCAATGGATCCCAAACTGGGATCCAACCCATAAAAGTCTGTAGGAAAGTCTATGAATTATGTTTGGTATTTTATAGTCTAGTGAAACCATACATGAACCTGGATGAAGCCTCACAGGTTAATGACAACATCAAGTGATTTTTGGCTTTGGCTGAGATTATATGACTTCAATGTGGCTAGCTCAGGCTGATCTAATGTTCTGATGCAGTTTTATATGTATCTTATAAATTTTTAACTGACAAATTAAGCATTACTTGGAAATATATCCTGTTTAAGTAGATAAGTATTTGGGACACGGAGGGGATAGGAGCACAGACTCTGAAGCCAGACTTTATGGGTTTTCTTTTTTTTGGAGACAGGGTCTCACTTTGTCACCCAGGCTCGAGTGCAGCGGCATGATCATGGTTCACTGCAGCCTCAACCTCCTGAGTTCAAGCAATTCTCCTGCCTCAGTACCCCAAGTAGCTGGTACTACAGGCACACGCCACCACACCAAGCTAATTTTTGTATTTGTTTTTTTAGAGACAGGGTTTCACCACGTTGGCCAGGCTGGTCTTGAACTCCTGAGTTCAAGGGATCTGCCTGCCTTGGTCTTCCAACGTGTTAGGATTACAGGCATGAGCCACACACCTGGTCAACTTTCTGGATTCTAATCCTGACTTCAAATTTACTAGCTATTGGCCAGGTGTGGCAGCTCATACCTGTAATCCTAACACTTTGGGAGGCCAAAGAAGGAGAGCACTTGAGCCCAGGAGTTTGAGACCAACCTGGGCAGCATAGTGAAACTCCGTTTCTTAAAAAAAAAAAAAAAATCTTACTAGGTGGGAATGCATAAACAAATTGTGGTATATCCATACAATGGAATATTATTCAGCTATATAAAGGAAAAAAGTACTGATATGTGCTATAACATGGAGGAAACTCAAAAACATGCACAAGAAGCCAGATACAAAAGACCACATATTATATGATTCCATTTAACTTTTCTCTCTTTTTTTTTTTTTGTTTTGAGACAGAGTTTCGCTCTTGTTGCCCAGGCTAGAGTGCAATCGTGCAATTTTGGCTCACTGCAACCTCCACTTCCCAGGTTCAAGTGATTCTCCTGCCTCAGCCTCCCAAGTAGTTGGGAATACAGGCATGTGCCACCACGCCCAGATAATTTTGTATTTTTAGTAGAGACAGGGTTTCACCATGTTGGTCAGGCTGGTCTTGAACTCCTGACCTCAAGTGATTCACCCATCTCAGCCTCCCAAAGTGCTGGGATTACAGGCGTGAGCCACCGCGCCTGGCCCTATTATTCTTTTTAATTTAAAAAATTAAATATAGAGATGGAGTCCTTTTTAAAATTCTATTTTAAAATTAATTTGTTTTTATTTCAATAGATTTTTGGGAAACAGGTGGTGTTTGATTACATGAATAAGTTCTTTAGTGGTGATTTCTGAGATTTTGGTGCACCCATCACCCAAGCAGTGTACACTGTACCCAATGTGTAGTCTTTTATTTCTCACCTCCATCCCACCCTTTCCCCCGAGATGCTGTACCCAATGTGTAGTTTTTTTTGTTTTGTTTGTTTGTTTGTTTTTTGAGATAGTCTCACTCTGTCACCCAGGCTGGAGTGCAGTGGTGCGATCTCAGCTCACTGCAACCTCCATCTCCTGGGTTCAAGTGATTCTCCTGCCTTAGCCTCCCTAGTAGCTAAGACTACAGGCACACGCCACCACACCTGGCTTATTTTTGTATTTTTAGTAGAGACAGGGTTTCACCATGTTGCCCAGGCTGGTCTCCACTCTTGATCTCAAGTGATCAGCCCACCTCTCCCAAAGTGCTGGGATTACAGGCATAAGCCACCACACCCGGCCAATGTGTAGTCTTTTATCCCTCACCTCCCTCCCACCCTTTCCCGAGACCCAAAAGTCCTTTGTATCATTCTTATGCCTTTGCATCCTCATAGCTTAGCTCCCACTTGAGTGAGAACATATGATGTTTGGTTTTCCATTCCTGAGTTACTTCACTTAGAATAATGCTCTCCAGTTCCATCCAGGTTGCTGCAAATGCCGTTATTTTGTTCCTTTTTATGGCTGAGTAGTATTCCATTGTGTGTGTATGTATATATATAGATACACATTCACAATGTTTTTTTTTTTTTAGACAGTCTTGCTCTGTTACTCAGGCTGGAGTGCAGTGGTGCGATCTCAGCTCACTGCAAGCTCTGCCTCCAAGGATCAAGCGATTCTCGTGACCTAGCCTCTTGAGTAGCTGTGGATTACAGGCATGTGCCACCACATCTGGCTAATTTTTGTATTTTTAGTAGACACGGGGTTTTGCCATATTGGCAAGGCTGGTCTCGAACTGCTGGCCTCAAGTGATCTGCCTGCCTCGGCCTCCCAAATTGCTGGGATTACAGGTGTGAGCCACTGTACCCAGTATATATATACATATATATATCACAATTTCCTTATCCACTCATTGATTGATGGGCATTTGGGCTGGTTCTGTATTTATGCAATTTCGAATTGTGTTGCTATAAACATGCCTGTGCAAGTATCTTTTACGTATTTTTTTTTTTTTTTTGAGATGGAGTCTTGCTCTGTCTCCCAGGCTGGAGTGCAGTGGCGTAATCTCGGCTCACTGCAACCTCCGCCTCCCGGGTTCACGCCATTCTCCTGCCTCAGCCTCCCGAGTAGCTGGGACTACAAGCTCCCGCCACCACGCCCGGCTAATTTTTTGTATTTTTAATAGAGACGGGTTTTCACCATGTTAGCCAGGATGGTCTCGATCTCCTGACCTCGTGATCTGCCCGCCTCGGCCTCCCAAAGTGCTGGGATTACAGGCGTGAGCCACCGCGCCTGGCTTTTTTTTTTTTTTTTTTTTTTTGAGATGGAGTCTCTCACCCAGGCTGGAGTGCAGTGGCATGATCTCAGCTCACTGCAAGCTCCGCCTCCTGGGTTCAAGCGATTCTCCTGCCTCAGCCTCCTGAATAGCTAGGATTACAGGCATGTGCCACCATGCTCAGCTAACTTTTGTATTTTTAATAGAGATGGGGGTTTCACTATGTTGCCAGGCTGGTCTTGAACTCCTTACCTCGTGATCCACCCGCCTCAGCCTCCCAAAGTGCTGGGAGTACAGGCATGAGCCACTGGGCCCAGCTAGTATGACTTCTTTTCCTCTGGGTAGATATTCAGTAGTGGGATTGCTGGATCAAATGGTAGTTCTACTTTTAGTTCTTTAAGGAAAGAGGTGGAGTCTTGCTATATGGCCCAGGCTGGTCTTGGACTCCTGGCCTGAAGTGATCCTCCTGTCTTGGCTTCCCAAAATGCTGGCATTACAGGCTTGAGCCACTGTGCCTGGCCTATGATTCCATGTAAATGAAATATCCAGAATAGGTAAATCCACAGAAACAGAAAGAAGATAGCTAATTGCCAGAGGTTGAGGGGAGGGGGAAACAAGGAGCAAGTGCTTGACAGGTAGGGAGTTTCATTTTGGGGTGATGAAAACAATTTGGAACTAGAGAGGTAGTGGTTGTACAGCACTGGGAATGTACTAAATACCAGTGAATTTTACACCTTAAAGTGTTTTTTTTTTTTTTTTTTTTTTTTTTTGAGAAGCAGTCTCAATCTCTTGCCCAGGCTGGAGTGCGGTGGCACGATCTCGGCTCACTGCAATCTCCGCCTCCTGGGTTCAAGTGATTCTCCTACCTCAGCCTCCCGAGTAGTAGCTGGGACTACAGGCACCTGCTGCCACGCCCAGCTAATTTTTGTATTTTTAGTAGGGACAGGGTTTCACCATATTGGCCAGGCTGGTCTCAAACTCCTGACCTTGTGATCTGCCCGCCTCGGCCTCCCAAAGTGCTGGGATTACAGGTGTGAGCCACTGCACCCGGCAGTTAATTTCATATGAATTTGACTTCAACTGACTAAAAATGTGCTAGTTGGACAAGCTTGGGCAAGTCACTGAATCTCTCTGTACCTGAATTTCTTCATTTATAAAAGGGGAAAGATATAGTATCTACATTATGGGGTTGTTATGAGTATTAAATAAGCTAATATTTGTAAAATCCTTTGATCAGTGTCTGGCACATACTAAGTGACATATAACTGTGTCAAATGGGGTCCATGAAGGGAAAGAAATAATAAAAACCCTCGGTAGTGAAACGTTTGGGGATCTATGGTAAAGACGAAAAGGAAAAAAGTGCTTAATGTCCTTCAAGATGTAGTCCCAGAACCCACTGGTTCTAGAATTTACTGTAGAGACTGTTTGAAATGCAAAGTACGAGGCACCACCCCAACCTATTCAATAAAACCCTAAGTGGGACAGTGTCTTGGAATGTAAATTTTAAGGAGCTGTCCTGGGTGATTGTGATGTACATTAAAGTTTGAGAAAATTTGGTAAGAGTATAGACTGAATGTGTGCTAAAGGCAGAACATTCATTACCTAGATTGTAAAGAAAAGAAAAAAAATCCAAATCCCAGGTTTTACCTTGTTTTTAAATCATCTTTTAACTTTCAGCACAAAATGGACAATTCCTGTGGAGCTCTTGCAGTTTAATGAGCAAGAACAGACACACAAGAATACATATAAACACACATCACACACACACACATACCACACACACATACACAGAGAGAGAGAGAGAGAGAGAGAGAGAGAGAGAGAGAGAAAGCCGAAATAAGAATGGTATCTTTACTGAGTTATCTATAGCTCGTGACACTATGTGCTTACTCTCTGCTGTTAATGCTGGAAGCTCTATGCTGGGCCACGTGGAGGACACAGGAAAACGTGGCCCTTGCTGTCCAGATATTTACAAATTCTAAGAGACAAGATGGCTACACTGGGGTGTCTGTGGGTGGTTGGTTTGAGAAGTGTGGTGTGTGTGGGGACAGAGGATTGATAGAAGGCATGGTGGGCAGGACTTGAGGGGACCCATGCTCCTACTGCTCCTCGTGAATGCCTACTTGTCAGTCAATCCCAAAGTATTCATGGAGTGCGGTCTGCGCAAATGCTGCCAGGCATTATGGGGAATGCTGACTTCTATGACAAGGTGCCTGCTCTCAGATGGGGCCATCTAACTAAGGCACAGGCACAGAAGAGTGCTAAACTGTGCACTACTTACCTACGGGGCCAAGAGTTCAGGGACGAGAGGACTTCTCAGAGGCAAAGGCATTATCCTAAAGCTTCATGTAGGTGGGGCTCAAAGGATTTGGCCAGGTGGAGGGGAGCTCAGGTGTAGGTACATGAAACAGATCAAGAATGATGTAAGTGGGTTCTGCAAGGCACCTCAGTCCCTGCTAACATCCCTAAGCCTGTACAGAATCACCACCACAGCAAGTGAAAAGCAGTACCCCAAAGTCAGTGGAATTTGTTGAGTACCCACTAACGTGGGCCACTAAAATGGGTGCTGTTCTTCAATATTTAGCCTCTTTGGGGCAAGAGGTAATAATTTTGCTGAAAGTTCTTGCTAAATTTTATTCTATTCTCCTTCCCAAAAATACATCTCTTTTTCTTTATGTTCAGGTTGTGGGTTTTATTCCTAGGCTTAAATGAAGCAGGCGCTCTCAAGTTCTGAACTTTAAAAATTCCTTATTTTTTTAAACTACTATGGAGCATCTACTGGGTGCCAGGCACTGTTCTAAGTGCTTAACATACAAGAACTCATGTGATCTTTATAACGTTTGCTTCTTCTTCTTCTTTTTTATATACAGAGATGAGTTTCACCATATTGCCCAGGCTGATCTTGAACTCCTGACTTCAACTGTTCCCCCCGCCTTGGCCACACAAAGCATTGGGATTACGGGCTTCAGCCACCGCGCCTGGCCCTTATAACGTTTTCAGGAGGTACTTATTAGCCCCCATTTCACAAATGAGGGAATTGAGGCTCAGAGAAAAGTATGCAAGGCAATAGCGCTAGGAAGTGGTGGAGCCAGTATTCAAACCATGTCTGTCTAACTTCAGAGATTGTGTGCTTAATCACTGAGTGGGAAGAGAAAGACTAAAAGAGACCCAGACTTTAAAATGAGTCTTTGGCAAGAAGGGAAGTCAAGTCTGGGCCTCAGCTTCTCCACTGTAAAACAAGTCCTACTATGTGCCAAGGTGGGAGGTCTTGGGGGGAGATGAAGGAGGCTGTGATACACAGATGAGAAATACTGAGTCCTTTTATCCAAGGAACTTAAAATCTAGTCGGAGAGATAGACAGGCAGAGTGTGGAAGTGCTAACTAAAGGGACAAGCTAAAAACTGTGGGGGTGCCCCAGAGGAGCAGCCAACTTCCATAGGGAGGGTGTGGGTGTCAGGGAAAGGGGCATGAGAGAATGGTCTTTTGTTTGTTTGTTTGTTGTTTGTTGTTTGAGACAGAGTCTTGCTCTGTCGCCCAGGCTGGAGTGCAGTGGCAAGATCTCAGCTCACTGCAGCCTCTGCCTCCCAGGTTCAAGCAATTCTCCTGCCTCAGCCTCCCAAGTAGCTGGGATTACAGGCGTGTGCCATTACACCTGGCTAAGTTTGGTATTTTAAGTAGAGACGGGGTTTTGCCATGTTGCCCAGGCTGGTCTCGAACTCCTGACCTCAAGTGACCCACCCACCTTGGTCTCCCAAAGTGCTGGGATTACAGGCGTGAGCCGCCACACCCAGATGAGAGAGCTGTCTTGAGTAACGGTTGAGTGAGATTTCAATAAGCTGAGAAAGACATATAAAAAGCTGTGGGAGGGGGCAGGTGGGAGGGGCCAGGTGCGATGGCTCACGCCTATAATCCCAGCACTTTGAGAAGCCAAGGTGGGTGGATCATGTGAAATCAGGAGTTCGAGACCAACCTGGCCAACATGGTGAAACCCTGTCTCTACTAAAAATACAAAAATTAGCTGGGTGTGGTGGCACGTGCCTGTAATCCCAGCTACTAGGGAGGCTGAGGCAGGAGAATCGCTTGAACCCAGGAGAAGGAGGTTGCAGTGAGCCAAGATCACGCCATTGCATTCCAGGCTGGGCGACAAGAGCAAAACTCCATCTCAAAAAAAAGCAAGCAAACAAACAAACAAAAAAACCTGTGGGAGGCCACTATGGTGGCTCACACCTGTAATCTCAGCACTTTAGGAGGCGAAGAGGGAAGGATCACTTGAGGCTAGGAGTTCAAGACCAGCCTGGGCAACACAACGAGAACTCAAGAACTCATTTGTGCAATTTTTTTTTTTGAACAAAGTTTTGCTCTCTTTGCCCAGGCTGGAGCACAATGGCGTGATCTTGGCTCACTGCAACCTCCACCTCCTGAGTTCAAGCGATTCTCCTGCCTCAGCCTCCTGAGTAGCTGGGATTACAGGCACCTGCCACCATGCCTGGCTAATATTTGTATATTTAGTAGAGATGGGGTTTCACCATGTTGACCAGGCTGGTCTTGAACTTCTGACCTCAGGTGATCCACCCGCCTTGGCCTCCCAATGTGCTGGGATTACAGGTGTGAGCCACCACGCCCAGCCTCATCTGTACAATTTTTTTAAGTGTTTAAAAAAAAAAAAAAGCTGAGGAAGCAGAGCTGACAAAATGGATGGCTTATCCAAGGAATGCCGAGGGGGCCAGTCAGGTCAGAAAAGAGGGCTTGTGAGAGACATGGAAGGAAAGGAGGCTAGAACTAGATCAGGGAGGGCCCTAAAGGCTAGGTGAAGGCTCATGGACTTGATTTTGTTGGCAGTGGCCAACCATAGCCAGTTTTTCAGGAGGGCAGATTTCTTAGAATCCCTTCCACTTCTAGCACTGCATGTTTGATTAAGAACTTTGTTGGCTGGGCGCGGTGGCTCACACACCTATAATCCCAGCATTTTGGAAGGCCAAGGCTGGAGGATCACTTGAGCCCAGGAGTTCCAGACCAGCCTAGGCAACATTGCAAGACCACGCCACCACCACCCCCTCTAATGTTAAAAAAAATAATAATTTTTAAGAAAGAACTTTGTTTAGAGCCTAGGAGTCTCAGGGAAGAGGAGAGTGGTCAGCAAGCTGAAGGGCTTGACCCGGTGAGGCCTCTGGGTTGATTTCAGCCCCTTTCCTCATTTTCACTCCTTTGGCTATAAAATCCAAAAAAGTTGTTGGTTGTTTACAGAGTTCAGTTTAACCGGACATGCTGTCTCCCCATCCACACCTGGGGCTCTAAGAGGGCAGAGACCAGGCCATTTGTTCTCTGGGAGCCAGCACTTAGTATCCAGTACTCTGTAGGCAGCTGGAATGTATCTACCTTAGCAACCCTTCTTGCAAAAAAGGCTCATGCCTTTGAAATTTACTAATAACAAATAGAGGCAAAGACTCCTCCCCTACCCCGCTTGTCCTCTGAAACATAAAGTGAAACACTAGAGAGCTCACAGTGTAACACATGTAACACATGGTCACTCTTTCCTGCAGTTTGCACAGCTCTTTCTGTTCCCCCGCACCCCCCCGCCCCACAACCCGTTCCCTTTCAAGACGGGTAACTTAGAATGAGCCCTTTGGCAGTCCTGAGAGCCTAACTTCCAAAACTAACTTCACCTTCAATTGATTGAGGTGCAGGGAACAAAGGGACAACTAGAAGCTTCAAATTTGCTTCATTCTATAACTCTAAAGATCTAAACCACTGGAATTTTTTTTTGGGCGGGGAGGAGGTGGGGGCATAGGGCTGAGCTGTTTTACCAGCGAGACAAGGGCTCTGATCACAGAACAAAGCAGAGGATTAAACTAATTGCCCTATGGATTTAGTTAGAGGTTGGTTTGGGGCCTAAATTACCCTGGGACCCCCCAGATGTCCTGCTTTATCTAGTAAGTTTCAGGAGGGCAGGGCCCAGGCCCATGTCACCCTTAGGTCTCTGTGCTACACCTAGGGAGGTTGGTGATGCTGACACTGATAACTCCTGCATGGTCGGGCACGGTGGCTCACACCTGTAATCCCATCACTTTGGGAGCCCGAGACTGGAGGATCGCTTCAGTCCAGCAGTTCAAGACCAGCTGGGTAACATAGCAAGACCTCGTCTCTACTAAAAATGAAAAAATTGGCTGGGCGTGGTGGTGCATGCTGTAGTCCCAGCTACTTGGGAGGCTGAGGCAGGAGGATCGCTTGAGTCCAGGAGTTTGAAGTTGCAGTGAGCCATGATTGCCCCACTGCACTCCAGCCTGGGCAGCAGAGTGAGACCCTGTCTC
Organism: Homo sapiens; assembly: GCF_000001405.40. Lineage (NCBI taxonomy): Eukaryota > Metazoa > Chordata > Mammalia > Primates > Hominidae > Homo > Homo sapiens. Next base: position 129,977,430 of record NC_000023.11, read on the forward strand.
AAAAAAATCCCCAAAAACCAAAAGCAAAAAAACTCCAGCATGAATCCATTAGTTTATGGTATACAAAACTCTTTCCTGTCCATACCTCATTGCTCACGGGATGTTCCTGTGAGGGAGGTAGGGCAGGTGCATTGATATCCATATTTAAGAGGTAAAGAGAAGACCCAAAATACAGTCCGTAGTATCAGGCTGGCACTACTCAGTCAAATGTCAGGGATTGCTTGAGGTCCCATTGCTAGCTATGGATAAGGAAGGACTAGGACCTGGTTCTTAGAACTTTCCCAAACAACCCTCTTTCCATTACACCAAGCTGCCTCTCTGAGAGTCCAGGCCTGGGTCAGTAGATGTTACTGATGGGAGAAATAATTAAGAAAAGCAATCTGCGTGAAAAAGACTATTTTGGCATTACATGGAGGCGCTATACCATACTGAAAAGAACCCTGGATGTAGAGTTAGAATTACTGGGGTTGAGTCCTGGCTCAGGAACTCACTAGCCATGCAATCTTGAGCAAGCCACTCACAGATGCACATAGACTCAGTTTCCTCAATTACAACATGGAGAGTTATAGTGAGAAACAAATGAAATAACACAAGTGAAAGAGTTTTGTAAACAATCCAATGCTGTACAAAGGTAGGTATTATTATTATGGTTATGTCATGGTTCTAGCCTCAAATAAAATAATCATTAATATCTACATTCTTCGCAAGGTTTCCCACAGCTCTCCCCACCCTGCTCCTTGGTTTCTCATCATCTCCTGTAGGGCAGGAAGCCTGGCCCCCAACAGGAAAGGGCTCAGAGGAGCTAGAGCTTCAACCAGGAAATAATCATCTTGCCCCAACCTTCGTTTCGCCAGATAAATGAGGCAGCCAAATGGTGAGACACAGACTAGTGCAAATCGAGGTGTTCAGGATCTGTTTCGGCCTCAAACCAAGGAGCAAAGTAGCCCTAAAGCCCTAAGGGCTTTCAAGAAGTGGAGATTTAGTAATTTCTGGGTTAATTAAAATCAGCGATGACAGTAAATTCAACTTAAAGCAGAATTGGTGGGATCTGCATCATCAGGCCCCATAGAGGCGATTTTCTCCTTAATCATGCATTTTGAGTTCATATATTGATTGGCTTAAACAGATCATTTCCAAATCTTCACGTTCCCCTTGATGCAACTTAGGCCAAATATTTTTTAAGGGGTGTGTGTGGGTGTGTGTGTGTGTGTGTGCATGTGGTGTGCAGGAGTAGGGGTGGGGTGCATGAGAGGTTAGGAGTGGCCAAGTAGAATGTCTTGAGGAGAGGTTCCCAAAGCAAAATAAAATGGCCAGCGCCTTGTCCACGTTGCTGGCAATAGCTTTTGAGGGTGGTGAGGACAAGCAAGAGGGGTCCTAGAACACCAGGCCTCAGGCAACAGAAAAGCCACTGCAGCCTTAGATAACTTGCTCCAATGCTCACCCACATCCCTCACACCAGGTGAGGGAGACATACCAGGCAAGTCTCAACTGCCATCTCTAAAGTACTTCCAAAGGAGAGAAGGGACATCGGAGCTGAGAGATGGAACCTCTGGGCCTAGCAGAAGCGAGGTGGAGTGGGGAGGAGGAGGAGGAAGACATTAATCTGGCAGGGCTTCCTTCTAGTCCAAATGACCCTCTGACTTCCTCAGCATGGATAAATATATAACAAATAATATCAATATATCTGCACATAAAGACTTTTTTCGAATTCCTGCTATTCATTTCAAATTCCGTTTACAAAGCACTGAATCCTCCAGGAACTGCTGGGCACCTCCCCTAATACCCTCTAGGCTGAGGCGATGCCTTTGAAGTCCCTGTCATGGGCTCAGGGCTGGAGCTGCTAAGAAACACCCTAAGACTGAGAGCAAATCGGCCGGCAGCTTCAGCTCCTTCGCAAGCTGCTAGCTGCTAGCTGCTCTCCTCGGAGTCAATGTAAAGTCATGAGAGTTCGAATGTGGACCGCAAGCTTCTCAGCCCTTCAGTCCCAGGGATGGCCTGGGATGTAAACACACACGACGGTTTATTCCTTTGGCCAGGCAGAGAGTCGTTAGGGTAAAGGGTAAGGGTCAAGGGAGCTCGGATTGGTGACTGAGGAGCCCAAGGAAAGCCGGCAGAAGCCGAGTCCTCTAGAGCTGGGCTTTTGGCTCTGAATCGTGCAGGCTTCCCACTTTACACAGACCTTTCATCCCCTTCCTCCTTCTTCCTCACTCGGGTCTCTCGCCACCGACCCCTACCCCCCCGCCTCCATCCCCAGATGCCTCCACGCCCAGGTGGTGTTACCCACTGAGGGTGGCCCAGGGGGTTTGCAGCCGGGGGAGGTTGCCACCAAGGGTGGGCCGCCCTGGAGACGAGAGGCAAGGCGGCGAGCCCTGGCATTTTCCTTTCCCCAGCACCTGTCCCACTTCGGCGCCGGGGCTGGGGCTGCGCCCGCGGGCGGCCTCGGAGCTTGAGCGCCAGAACCACGCACTGAGGTCGCCCAGGGTGGGGAAGTGGGGGGCCGGGGGAGGGGCGGGGCATCCGGCGGGGAGGTCTCCCCCACCGCATGCAAGACCCTTTGCCCCCCCACAACATACACTGAGGCTAAAACGGGGATGAGAGTCACACAGAGCAGGAGCGAAATCTTTCGCTCTCCGACCCGAACGGCGCGTTGCTCGACCCCCCCCTTCCTGGAGCCAGGGGCTGGCCGAGGAAGGTGGCTCCGTTCTTCCCCCGTGGCCAGTGCGGGGTCTGCGGCTGCCCGGCGAGGTTCCGGCTTCCCCGGGACTGGCAGGGGGAGCCCCGAGAACTGCAGGCCCGCCCCCCCTTCCTCCTCCTCCTTCCCCTCCTCCCCCACGTGTCCTCCCTGAGCCCAGCAGCCTGATCCCAGCACCCCCCGCCACCTCCCTCCTCCCGCTTCGCCCGCTTCCCCGGCGGCGTGGAGAAGAGCAAAGTTGCGACAGCGGCCGGGGGCTCTGCCCAGGTAAAGGGGGCGCCGTGAGGCGGGGGTGGTGGGGGAACGGTGCGGCCCTGCGGCGGGGGCGGGGGGAGGATAAAGAAACTTGCTTCCCGCGGCCCCCACCCCGCGTGGGTTCCGATCTTGCGTGGAACGAGCCCGCGTGGCGAGTCGCGGCAACACTGCCGGGACCGAGGCCGGCACCTGGACCCGGACCCGGACCGCGCGCTTGGGCCGGCTCGGCGGGCGCAGGCAGCGGGCCAGGCCAGCACCCAGGCAAGGGCGGGGTGGGTGGCCGTACACCGGACCGAATCGGGGACTCCGGTGGCGTGGGCGCGGGCCGAACCCCGACCGGGCCGAGTTGGGTGGCGAAGTAGGACGTGGATTCGGGGGCGGGGCGCGGCGGGAGGGGGAAACCAGGCCTGGCCAGACTGGCCTGGGCGTGGGGGCGGGGGGCGAGTTCGGGGCACTTGCTGGGCTCTGGACCGAGCGGTAGGGCGGGGCGGCGCTAGGGGCTGGGCCGGACCCGCAGGGAGAGGGCGAGGGGAGGGAGAGCCGGGGGTGGAGTAGGGGCGTGGAGTTGTGAGCGGGGTCTGGCCTCGGCCGGGGGCGAAGGTAGATCGGCGGGGCCGCGAGCGGAGGGAGGGAGGCCCGCGGCGGCGCGGCGGCAGCGAAGGCCAGCTTCCGCGGAGTTTGTGCCCGGGCTTCCCGGGCTCTGGCCGCCTCACGCGCACAAATGGGGCTAGGGGACTGAGTGGTAAGCAACTCCGAGTGTTAGACGGTGATCGGGCGGCGATTCCGGGAAAAGCGAGGAAAGACACAGTCTGCGATTGTGCCGCACCCCCCACCCACCTCTTAGCATCTGGATTCTGCTCTCGTAGTGGGGGCCGCGGACCCTCCCCGCCACAGTCCTTTTACTCTCCAGCACTCCCACCGCCTTCCCCCTTCTTCAGCCATCTGACTCTCCTAGGGGTATGTGTTTTTGGGGGTGGACGGCGACGGGGGTGGGGGATACTTTCCTTCCCGTGGCGGCAACCTAGTTCGTATCTTATTCCTACAAGGTAGCGTCGCTTCGAGTCGCATGGACATTGGGGTTTAGATAATTTACCCCCCACCCAAGCGATTTAATGGCTTTTAAGCAAAAGGCGAATACCTGGATTTCCATGGGAGGGATGAGGTTTGAAGATTGGGATTCACCCCTAGCTCACTTCCACTACCAACCCCTCTTTCTTGTGAGCCACTTCCACGGGTATTCAAATCTGGGGGGGAGGGGGGACGGGAGTATTAATATGCTTCTCTATTTCTACACAGGGTCGGCGTGGCGAAGGACGGCTAGCCTTGGAGGGAAAGTAGCCACCAGTCCAACTCGGGTCGCCCCCACCATTATTTCGGTGAGGGGGCAACGCTAAGAAGGGGATACTGGTGGGTAGGGGCCCAGTATAAGGGAGGGGGCTGGGTAGTCGTCCCCAGAAGGACTCCGTGTCTTGGCGGGGAGAGAGAGAGGCGAGCCCCGGCTTCAGGGGAGGGGTTCCGGGGAGGGAGATGGGGGGGTGGCGACGACGGTGGGGGGGGGAGCGGGAAGAAGGGGGAGTCACGCCCTGCCTGCAAGGGGAGCCTCCCTCAGGCCCCTGGGAGAAGGGGACTGAATGCGTCTGTTCTCCGCTGCCCGGCAGAGGAGATCTGGGGTCTCGAGATTTGCACACTGGATCGGCACCAGTGGCCTGAGAAAGTCAGGTCGGGGCATAAGGTGGAGAACGTTGGAAGAAAGAGAGAGAACCCTTTGGCCGCGGCTCACTGACCCTCTCCCTTCCTCAACCTCCCCCTTCGAGGGGCGTCGAGGTGGGGGGGGACGTGGGGCTCCTGCAGCCCCGCAGATTGAGCGCCTCCGCCTCTCCCAGGAGTCTAGCTTTTTGCCCGGCTTGCTGCAGCCACTGCTGCCTCCCTCTCCGGAATCCGCTCGGTCCTCTCAGCGATCCCCTCCTCCTCTCCTCCCCTCCCAGTGTCACCGGGGCTGCTTGGCTCTGCCCCCTTCGCCGCCGCTTGCTCCCTGCTTTCGTCCCTCCCTCTCTTGCTCGCTCCCTCCCTTCGCCTCCTCCTCCCCATTCCCCCCCACCCGCGTAGGCCGCATTCTGGGAGTTGTAGTCCGGTGGAGCGGGGGTTGGCGCCGCCCGCGGACCCAGCCGGACTCCACTTCCCGTCGAGCCCTGCGACCGGCACCCACTCCACCAGGCTTCGCTCGCACACAGACACACACACACACCGCTCTCCCCCTCACTCTTTCGCTCGCCGCGGCTGCTGCCAGTGTGTGGCTCTGTCTCTCCTCCGCTTTGCTGAGCCCTCCCTTCTTCCTCTCAGTTCCTAGAGTCCGACCGCCGCCGCCGCCGAGAGAGAGGAGAAGGAGGTCGGTGGCGATAAGGGGCGGAGGGGGGCATCAGATCGGGGCAGTATTAGGCGGGTGGCGGTTAAGAGGGAGTAAGAGGGAGCCCGGGTGGCGGCCTGAGCCTCCCCGCGGAGCCGACCCGGGAACAGGTGCGTCTTTTTTCTCTCTCCCCCAATCCCTCCACCCCTTTTGACTCCCCGGCTTTTTCGTATCCCCCCACCCGCTTCTTTCTATCTTAAGCCTTTCTCCAACCCTGTTCCTTCTTTTCCCTGCGGCCGCTCGGCTTGCCCCCCGGGGGCGCCGTCCTCTTCGTGTCCCCGGACGTAGCGCTCCCTGGAGCTGGGTATGTCTTCGCCCCTCCCTTCGGGACAGCTCCCTTCCACTTCCCACCTTCGTACCCCATCCCCTGACTTGCCCTACCCCCTTCTCGACCCCCTTCTCTCTTAGCCAGGTGAGACTCGTTCGCCACGATCCAAGAGAGTCTTCTTCCCGGCTGGGCGGGGGTCTCCATGGAAACGGGGGTCGGTTGATCCTGGGGGGGAAACCATAGGAATTACCCCACTCCTCGGAAAGGGAGGTGGAGGCTATGGTCTTGTTAACTACCTGACTCCAACCCCCGATCCAAGGATCCGACGATCCGAAGGGAGGCTGGCTAGCAGGGCAGGGCGAGAAAAGGCTTTTTTTTGGGGGGGGGGGGTGTCCGTGATGAAGTGTTGAAGAGACCGGGAGAAAATGCCCTCCAACCTCAGAGGGGAGGTGCGACGGGTGCTCTTCAGGGCTGCTTTCTTCCCGGCGCTGGGGTGCGGGAATCGTAGGGTAAGGGGTACCCCTAGGTGGCGGCGGGGCCTGGGTTCGGGAGTGGGAGTGCTGTGATGGGGGCAGGGGCAATTATCCGAGTCCCTGGAAAAAAGGCGGGGGATGACTTCGGAGCGCCCTGGCTCCGCTGCCCTCGCTCTAGGGGCGGGGGCCGCCGGGCCGGGCGCGGCGGGGAGGGGGCTTAAATTGAAGGAAGATGAGATCGGGGGCAATTCATACTAGCACCGGCAAGCCAGAGGGGAGATCCGGCGTGCAAGCCCTCCACCCGCTTCGCGCCAGGCCTGGAGGCAAGGGGTCGGCGAGCGAAGCCGAGGGCTGGAAGGAGGGAGGCTCCGGTTACGGGGCCGGGTTTCGGGATCAGGGGCAATCCCCCGGCCCTTGGAGAAGGAGGGAGAGGGATGGCCGCGAACCCCAGGGCTCCCCCACCCCGGGTCCTAAGGGGCGTGAGGGACGGACAGCAGGCCCAGCGGAGCTGGATTCGAGCGGATCGCGGCCGGGGAGTGGGAGGGCTTAGTGGTGGGCTTCGGGGGGAGCAGTCCGGCGGCGGGGCGGGCGGGCGGGGCGTGGGGCTCCGGCGGGCGGCGGGGCGGGGCCGGGGGCGGCGCTGCTGCCGCCGCCGCTGCCGCCGCCGCCGCTGCTGCTCCTGCTGGGGCCGCCGCAGCCGTTGCCGCCGCCGCCGCCGCCGCTTCTGGGCGGGGAACGGAGGCCAAAGAGAGTCCCGTGCCGGGGCAGAGGGCGCAGGCGGCGCGCGGTGGGGAGGGGGCCGTCCTGGGGGCGGGGGCAGGCGGGGGGGTGGAGCCCCCGACGGGGGGCGGTACGAGCCGGGACGACGACGACGAGGAGCCCCGGGGGCCGGGTGCATGGAGGACGAGGTGCTGGGAGAAGGAAGGGGGGTGTGGGTCCCGCGACTGGCCTCGTGGGCTTGGCTCCTCGAGGTTCGGTTTCGGGACAGAGCCCTGCAGGGGCGCCAAGAGGCCGGGGAAGGGATAGGGAGGTGAACTGGTCGGTGGAGGGGGCCCTCCTCGCCGGGGTCCCGCCGAGAGGAAGGCTGGGCCAGAGGGACGTCCGGGGCAAGGCTGGGAGGAGCCGGCCGCACCTCGGCTGGGGATTTCGCGTTATGGAGGTGCGGGAGATTGTTGTAGGGAAAGACGTGGTCGAGGGGAAAGGTGGGAGGGAAACACTGCAAACCCGGGAGGCCAACAGCACAGGCCCGTGGGGGTGCCCTTCTATTCCGCTCGCACCTCCTCCCTCCCTGAGTGGAAGCACTATGTTTTTGTTTTATTGTTTTGAAATTTTCAATGTTGGCTGATCGAAACTGTCGATGGGGTGATATTCATTCTTGGTGTCTCCTGGAGTAGACAGTAAAGACAGGCATCCTTTGGCGAGCAAGCATCTAGCCCAGGGTTTAGAGGCTCTTTACGTTAGTGTGGGAAGGGGGCCCGGTAACTTTGTGCCACAGCTTGACTACTGTTAAGGCAGTTTGGAGGTCGTCCCTGTGGTACAGAGGTGGAGTACAATTGCAAAAATCTTCAGTAAGACTTCTGGAGATGAGTTGTAGGTTAGCGTTACAGTGGTTAGCCCTGTGGTTCTTTCAACTTAGAAGGCTCTTTCTCAAAAGCACGCCGTTGAGTTACATGGGAAAATAAATGTGGATTGCATTTGGGGTTGGGAGTGGATTAGGTTGATTATAAAATTTCAAGGTTGGAAGGGAGTTTTAAGGTTATTTACTTTTCTGTTGATATGTCCTGTCCTTGAATGTTGGAATTGAGGGAGCTTTATTTTGGGGAAGATGGTAGATGGCACAGTGGAGGATGTCTGGTGCACAGTTTAGGGTACTTTAATTGAATGGTGATGTCACCATGTGGTACTAAAGATGACAGTATGTAGGAGAGAAATTTGGGGGATTCCACTGGGGATTAAATGGGATAACCTAATTTTAAGAATCATCCCGGGGCTCCAAATAGAAGCAAAAGGCTGGGGAGGAGCCTGTAAAATTTCGATGGAGGCGAAAAGTTAGTAGCAAAGATTGAGGTAGCTGGGAAGAGCAAGGGGCTTGGTGAGTCAAGTTAAGAGAATCTGAAGGTTGATAGTAGAGTTTAGGGATGTGGCCATCTTGACTAAGTCATGAGGATGTTGTTAGGCGGACATCTTTTGACAGGGCAACTTAGGCAACTGCCCTTGGGGCAGATGTGAGGGATGAAAGGTACAGGCCTTGGGGCACAGATCCTGACTAAAATTGACCTTAAGAGGGCTGATCCTGATACCAGCTTTGCAACAAGGGTGGTTAGGTTTCTTTTCTTTTCTTTTTTTTTTTTAGATGGAGTCTCAGTCGCCCAGGCTGGAGTGCAGTGCTACAATCTCAGCTCACTGTAACCTCCGCCTCCTGGGTTCCGGTGATTCTCCTGCCTTACCCTCCAGAGTAGCTGGGACTGCAGGTGCCCGCCACCACGCCTGGCTAATTTTTTGTATTTTTAGTAGAGACAGGGTTTCGCCATGTTGGCCAGGCTGGTCTTGAACTCCTGACCTCAGGTGATCCATCCGGCCCAGTTTATTTTTGTCCTGGCTGTAAGTCATTGATGAGGAAGGAGAGGGGTTTCACCTCTCCCTTGTCTGAGTTCAGGAGGATTTTTAAAAAATTTTTTTAGAATAGGCCAATAAGGAAGGGACAGCAAATTTTTAGAAAAGGCCAATAAGGAAGGGACAGCAAAACAAATCGTTGGCATAGGGCAGAGAAAAGCTAAGGCCCTGGCAAGCTCTGCTGCTGGAGTCTGCATAGGGCAGAGTGGAGGGAGTTCCACAAGACATGATGGCTGCACCAAAAACACTCATGTGGGTCTGGCTATTTTGATTTGCCAGGAAAGCGTAGATAAAGAGGGAGGATCCCTTTCTCAGTGACATAGACATTCTTGGGAAGAAAAGAGGGGTCCTCCACAGGGCTCTGCTTCATTTATGATGCAGTTCATGAAATAGAAAAAAATGGGCCGGGTGCAGTGGCTCACTCCTGTAACCCCAGCAGTTTGGGAGGCCAAGGCAGGCAGATCACTTGAGGTCAGGAGTTCAAGACCAGCCTGGCCAACATGGTGAAACCCCGTTTCTACTAAAATCACAAAAATTAGCCAGGTGTGGTGGGGCGTGCCTGTAATCCTAGCTACTTGGGAGGTGGAGGCACAAGAATTGCTTGAACCTGGGAGGTGGAGGTTGCAGTGTGCCAAGATCGTGCCACTGCACTCCAGCCTGGGCAACAGAGCGAGAGTCCATCTCAAAAACAAAAACAAAAAAACAAAAAAACAAAAAAAGAAAAAAGAAAAAAATGTTCAGTACAGGGAGTGGAGGATCTCAGGACACTATTGGTTGGATTATGGGTTGTAGGGAAGGGCTTCTTTGAGAGAAACAGAATTATGGGAAAAAAGGACTTGGACACTAGAGGGAAGGAAGGCAAGAAAGAGAAGTCAGGAAGAGGGCTGGTTGAGCAATGAAAGGAAAAGAAAGGTGATCATCACTGGTCCCATGTAAGGGCCAGCTAAGGAAAAAGTCAAACCTTGAAATCTCTAGGACAATGTTTTCCAAAGTAAACTTTGAAGAACTCTTAAAGCTCTTTACAATTTCATGCTGGAATCACTAAGGTTGGGGCAAGAGAGAAGGAATATATGGGGTAAAAGTAGGGTGGGGGAGAAACTGGCATTTAGAGAGAAATACAAGCATATTTATCCATAAGGAAATAGGGAACTTAGAGATTATATACAGGTTAAAATGCAGAATGTGAGAGAAAAAGAGAGGAATTAAGAGCCAAAGGAGGAAGATATTTACTCAGATATCTTTTGGAGCCGGTGTTAGGGAGCGGAAAATCTTGCCTTTGATAGCCACTGCCCTGAGAGGGCCCAGGAAGCAGAGGTTAGCTGGGATCCAGGCCTTACACATCTAAACATTAATTAGAAAATCTAGACTAAAGTAAGGATACTGAATGGGGGGAGGGATTCACTGTCCTAAATAGAGTGGCCTTGAAAGAAGGAAAAAGTGGGAATCCACCAGTGTTTCCAGTCTGCAGGTGGGAAGGATCCTAGGTATCAGGAGATGAGTGATGGAAATTCCAGGGTGAAACTGGATAAAAAACTGAGTGACATGAGAGCCTGTGGGCCAGAATTGGAGGGTGGGGTTAGGGGCATGGAAGAGAGGCTCTAATCAGGGCTTGGACTGGAGGCCACATGGAGTAATTCATTGATTCTGGGCTGAGCTAAGCTTGGGATGAAATAGAACAGCCAAAGAGAGTAGAGAGCTGTTCTTCAGGGCCAATCAGCATCAGAATCAGAGTGAAGAAATTCGAGGTCAAGTTTGGGTGGGAAAGTGAACACCGGAGTGGAACAGAGAGGGTGCTGGAGAAAGTGACACAATTGTTGGGGTAGAATAGGAAAAGGTAGAAGCCACTGATGATTACATAACCCAGAGGGAAGACCCTAGGCCTTTGAGTTTTCAAAGAGAAGGGAAGTTTCTTAATGCTGGAGTTTGAATTAGGTGTGAGTCCATGGTTGCCAGAGTGTTTAGTGTCAGGATGGCCAAAGAGGGAGGTAATATCTACTTTTCGGCCACTAGGATGCTAGTACAGTATTTGATATAATTTTACATATGAACTAGGCTTTATTAATGCCCATTTTTGAATGGTTATCCTTAAAATAATGTAGAAATGGTTCTTTTTCTAAATTAAATCATTCCCTTTCCCACTGTTCATAACTTAAAAGCAATCTTTTATGATGAGAACTTTCTTTGGCGAACTGAAGTTTCATTCTGGTCAAGAGTAAAATTTAACTCTGTGTTTCTATCCCCGTAATTCAAATATGCTGTTCTAGTTTTCTTTTTTATTCTAAGCAGAAGTGACCTTTTCCCCATAAAACATAAAAAAGGATCTTTTTTTTAAAAAAAAAAAGTAACTGAGTAACTGCAGGCTGCATGTCAAGGTCATATTTTCCCTGGTCAATGAATTATGATGAATTTGAATACAGCTGATATATTATTTGTAAAATGTGGTAATTTTCAGATTTACTCATCACAGTATGTGAGGCAGGATACCTCTTCATTTGTATTTTAAGAAAACCTTAAGCTGAAGGTCCGTGAGGAATCCAGAGTACCAAGGAGCAGGGAAAGCTTTGTGTTTTGGGCTTCTTTACCGTGGGTCTGCTGAGAAACAAAATTTGGTTACCTCATTACTAAGGTATGCCTAGAAATCATAGTGTTAGTGCCATTTAAGGGTACTGTTGAGTTTTGTTATAATGCTGATGTCCAGGGACAAGGAGAACAAGCAGATTTTTGCTTTTCCAAGTTTTGTGGAGAAGTGCACCGTATATGACTATGATCGCAGAGGTGAGTTGATGCACTGTATACCTGAATCCATGAGATGATTATCTTCTGATAATGAGGCTTTACTCAGTTTAACTTGGTTGTACCACACCCCAGTTAGTATAGTACAGTGGTTCTCAAACTTGAGCTCCTCAGAATTGCCTGGGGGGGCTTTGGAGACCGACAACCTCAGGTTAGAGTGCTTGCTGTTCTACTTCTTAGCTATGTGGCAGGAGGCAAGTCACTTAACTTACTTTCGTTCTTTTTTTTGACAGAGTCTCACTCTGTCACCCAGGCTGGAGTGTAGTGGCATGATCTCGGCTCACTGCAAGCTCCGCTGCCCGGGTTCAAGCCATTCTCCTGCCTCAGCCTCGCAAGTAGCTGGGACTACAGGCGCCCGCCACCATGCCCGGCTAATTTTTTTTTTTTTTTTTTTTTTTTTAGTAGAGACGGGGTTTCACCGTGTTAGCCAGGATGGTCTCAATCTCCTGAGCTTGTGATCTGCCCATCTTGGCCTCCCAAAGTGCTGGGATTACAGGCGTGAGCCACCGCACCCGTCTTTTTTTTTTTTTTTTTTTTTTTTTTTTTTTTTTTTTAACCGGAGACAGTCTAGCTCTGTTGCCCAGGCTGGAGTACAGTGGTGTGATCTCGGCTCACTGCAACCTCCGTCTCCTGGGTTCAAGCTATTCTCCCACCTCAGCCTCCTGAGTAGCTGGGATTAAACGTGCCCACCACCATGCCTGGCTAACTTCTGTATTTTTAGTAGAGACGGGGTTTCACCATGTTGACCAGGCTGGTCTTGAACTCCTGACCTGAAGTGATCTGCCCACCTCAACCTCCCAACATGTTGGGATTACAGGCATGAGCCACCGTGCCAGGTCTTCACTTAACTCTCTTTGTTTCTTTTTTTTTTGTTTTTAGACAGAGTCTTGCTCTGTCACCCAGGCTGAAGTGCAGTGGTGCTATCTTGGCTCACTGCAACCTCCACCTCCCGGCTTCAAGCGATTCTCGTGCCTCAGCCTCTCGAGTAGCTGGGATTACAAGCGCCCAGCACCACGTCCAGCTAATTTTTGTATTTTTAGTAGAGATGGGGTTTTGCCATGTTGGCCAGGCTGGTCTCGAACTCCTGACCTCAGGTGATCCTTCCACCTCAGCCTCCCAAAGTGCTGGGATTACAGGCATGGGCCACCATGCCCGGCCCACTTAACTTTGTTGAGCCTCAGTTTTCTCATCTATACAATGGAGATGATAATACCAATTTCACAGGGCTGTGAGGATTACACAAAATCATCCCAGGCCCATAGTAGGTGCTCAATAAATGGGACCTATTATTTTATATATATATTTTTTTCTTTTTCTTTTTTGAGATGGAGTCTCGCTCTTTTGCCCAGGCTGGAGTGCAGTGGCGCTATCTCGGCTCACTGCAAGCTCTGCCTCCTGGATTCACGCCATCCTCCTGCCTCAGCCTCCTGAGTAGCTGGGACTACAGGCGCCCACCACCGTGCCCGGCTAATTTTTTGTATTTTTAGTAGAGACGGGGTTTCACTGTGTTAGCCAGGATGGTCTCAATCTCCTCACCTCGTGATCCGCCCGCCTTGGCCTCCCAAAGTGCTGGGATTACAGGCATGAGCCACTGTGCCCGGCCCTATTATTATATTATTATCTAATTTTTCTTGTTCAATTGTATCCTATTATGTTATAGTAAACATGGTGGCAGCATGAAAACTATCAACAGCTTCTCAGTGGTCCCCTTATATCTTGATTCTCTGTCCTCTTTCTTCATATTCCTGTTGTATTAGTACACATTTGGCATTTACAACATGCTAGGAAGAAAGCTTGACTCATCACTGCATCTACCTTTGAGGTGGAAGTGGCGGCTTCTTTAACAGCTATGCTGTAACACTGCTCAATAGTTCAGGACAGGAACTGAGGAGTGTATATCCAGTTGAAACTCTAGGGAACATTTCGGGCCATGGGTGACATTTTTAAAAACCATTGCTTTCTGAAAAGGGCTGTTGTGTTTATTTAATTAATTAATTTATTTGTTTATTTATTGATTGATTTATTTGAAACCGAGCCTCACTCTGTTGCCCAGGTTAGAGTGCAGTGGCGTGATCTCGGCTTACTGCAACCTCCGCCTCCTGGGTTCAAGCGATTCTTCTGCCTCAGCCTCCCGTGTAGCTGGGACTATAGGTGTGAGCCACCATGCCTGGCTAATTTTTGTATTTATATTATTTATTTATTTTTTGAGATAGAGTTTCGTTCTTGTTGCCCAGGCTGGAGTGCAGTGATGCAATCTTGGCTCACTGCAACCTCCTTCTCCTTGTTTCAAGTGATTCTCCTGCCTCAGCCTTCTGAGTAGCTGGGATTATAGGCACCCACCACCACGCCTGGCTGATTTTTGTATTTTTTCTAGTAGAGATGGGGTTTTGCCATGTTGGCCTGGCTGGTCTCGAACTCCTGACCTCAAGTGATCCGGCTGCCTTGGCCTCCCAAAGTGTTGGGATTACAGGTGTGAGCCACTGCGCCTAGTCTATTTATTTATTTTTGAGACAGGGTCTGGCTCTGTTGCCTCAGCCTCCTGAGTAGCTGGGACAGGCCACCATGCCCGGACAATTGTTTTTATTTTTATTTTTAGTAGAGGCAGGGTCTCCCTGTGTTGCCCAGGCTGTTCTTAAACTCCTGAGCTCCAGCATTCCTCCTGTCTTAACTTCCCAAAGTGCTGGGATTACAGGTGTGAGCCACTGTGCCCGGCAGAAAATATTCTTTTTTTTTTTTTTTTTTTTTTTTGAGACAGAGTCTTGCTCTGCTGCCCAGGCTGGAGTGCAGTGGTGCGATCTCGGCTCACTGCAACCTCCATCTCCCGGGTTCAAGCAATTCTCCTGCCTCAGCCTCCTGAGTAGCTGGGATTGCAGGCGCCCGCCACCATGCCCAGCTAATTTTTTTTTTTTTGTATTTTTAGTAGAGACGGGGTTTCACCATGTTGGTCAGGTTGGTCTCGAACCCCTGACCTCGTGATCCATCCACCTCGGCCTCCCAAAGTGCTGGGATTACAGGCGTGAGCCACCGTGCCTGGCGCTTTTTATTTTTATTTTTGTTTCTGAGATGGAGTCTTGCTCTATTGCCCACGCTGAAGTAGAGTGGTGCAAACTCAGCTCACTGCAGCTTCGACCTCCCGAGCTCAAGTGATCTTCCCACTTCATCCTCCCAAGTAGCTAGGACCACAGGCCCATACCACCAGGCACAGCTGATTTTTAAAATAATTTTTGGGCCAGGCACAGTCGTCACGCCTATAATCCCACCACTTTGGGAGGCCGAGGCTAGCAGATCACTTGAGCCTAGGAGTTCAAGACCAGCCTGGGCAATGTAGCGAGACCCTGTCTCTACAAAATAATACAAAAATTACCTGGGCTTGGTGGCGCCAGGTGTGGTGGCATGTGTCTATAGTCCCAGCTACTTGGGAAGCTGAGGTGGGAGGGCCACTTGAGCCCGGGAGTGCCGCTACAGTGAGCTGTGATTGTGCCAGTGCACTTCAGCCCAGGTGACAGAGTTGAGACCCAGTCTTAAAATAACAACAACAAACTCTTTGAGCTAATACTGTTTAATGAAAGCTGTATAGATACACCTTTGAATGAATAATATATATAAAATTAGTTGAACCCATAGCTGAGTCTGTTCTGTTGTGAGAAAATAGAAAGAATAACCTGATAATGGTCTCTCCAAATATTTGTGTTATGTAGTCCAGGAGACTTTTATAAAAGCAAAAGTTGGGTGAGGAAGAATTGTCTTTTTTAAAACCATATATATATATTTAGAGACCGGGTTATGAGACTGGCTAATTTTTGTATTTTTTGTAGAGACGGGGTTTCACCATGTTGCCAAGGCTGGTCTGGAACTCCTGGGCTTAAGTGATCTGTCTGCCTCGGCCTCTCAGTGTTGGGATTACAGGTGTGAGCCAGTGCGCCCAGCTAGGAATTGTCTTTAGGTGAAAAATTGCGTATCATGAATATAGTATACTGAAATGGAGACACCAGAGGGCCACTGTCACAGTCTATGGCAGGCAGGACCCAGAAGCATCTCAAAAGGGATTCAGAATGTCTCATATTACAATGATTCAAGTTTAGAGTGTGAAAAACACACTAAATATTTATATGGTCCTGCTGAAGACCAAGATTGAGGGAAGCCAATTTGTGTTTTTGTTCTAGCGGAAATTAGAAGTACTCAAAAAATGACCCTAGATATTTAGGGTGACATTTTGAGGTTGCTTTGCCTTTTGAAAGGACTGATTAATTTCACAATGATCACTTAAGTTTTGCGTGACATCTAGAAGTTGTATAAAATCTTGTAGCTAGAGCCGAGGTTTATTATAAAGCTATGATGAGGTGTTTTTGTTAAATGGAGTAAAGTAATTTTCTTACAGCAGGAAATGGAAGTGAGTACTGTTTGAATAATAAGAAAAAAGTATCATAGCAATGGGTAGAAAGCAAAAAGAATCTGGCGGTATGAAAATGTAAGTGAGGCCAGGCACGCTGGCTCACGCCTATAATCTCAGCACTTTGGGAGGCAAAGGCAGGAGGACTGCTTGAGGCCAGGAGTTTGAGACCAGCCTAGGCAACATAGGGAGACCCTGACTGTACTGAAAAAAATTTTAAATTAGCCAGGTATGGTGGTGCACACCTGTGGTCCCAGCTGCTTGAGAGGCTGAGGTAGGAGGATTGCTTGAGCCTGGGAGGTCAAGGTTGCAGTGAGCTATGATCATGCGATTGTACTCCAGCCTGGGTTACAGAGCAAGACCCGTCTCAAAGAAAGAAATAAAATGTAAGCAAAAGATTAAAGCTTTTGCATTTGACTACTTCATTCTTGGAATAGATTACGTATGGTCCTTTTTTTTATTTTTTAATTTTTATTTTATTTATTTATTTTTTTGAGATAGAGTCTTGCTTTTGTAGCTCAGGTTGGTGTGCAATGGCACAATCTCAGCTCTGACCCCCCAGGTCCAAGCGATTCTGCTGCCTCAGCCTCCCGAGTAGCTGGGATTACAGATGCCCCCCCACCATGCCCAGCTAATTTTTTGTGTTTTTAGTGGAGACAGGGTTTCACCATGTTGGCCAGGCTGGTCTTGAACTCCTGACCTCAGGTGATCGCCTGCCTTGGCTTCCCAAAGTGCTGGGATTACAGGCGTGAGCCACCATGTCCGGCCAGTCTATGGTCCTTTTCTAAGTGCTTTCATGTTATTCCAAATTTTTAGTAGGGACTAGTAGTTTATTCCCATTTTGCAGGTGACATGGTAAATGGACATAGAGAGATAGTCTGAGATGGCTGAGAAGTGGGGACTGGGAGTGTTCTCCAAGTTTTCCCACCGCAGTGTAGGCTATGGGTGCTAGAGTATATCACTTTTCAAGGCATTACTTGATTAGATGGTTCTGTTTAATATTGCTGCTGTTTGAGTAGATTGTTCTGAATGGATTTTGGATGTTCCTAAACATCAGATCGACCCTGAAAGGATGGGTTCCAGCACTAATGAGGAGAGTGAAAAGGACGTAGTATTGGTCTGGATGCTAACGCTCACAGAGGAACTCCAGGGAGATTGCAAGCCCTGGCCGCTCGGCTGAGATGACTGTCCAGCCTCCTGAGGCGACTACTTTGGGGTAACTACATTCATTTGAATGATAAACGCTCATGTGTTTAACAGCAGTTAACATTCCTTTGTATCCAGTCTCATAAATGTTTATAGGTAAGGTTTTAGACATGGAAGTACCCAAAGAGTCTATGAAGGGGTCCATGCTAGACCTATATGCCGGCAACTACCTAGCCTTCCCACTAAATACCAGAATTAATGTATCTGGGCAAAAGATACAATATGCCTTATAAGACTGATCCCTTGGGGTAGATATCAGTGGAAATATTTGGATAGGAAAAAAAAAATCCAGGGGAAGTAGAAAGTGTTAGAATAGATTTTTAGTCAGGCAGAAGTTTGGGATGAACAGCAGAAAGGGCTGTTCTTTCTCCTTTAAATTGCCTGGCAGATTATTTCTAGTTGATTTTGTGTGTGCAGTAGTAGAGGAACCAACTTGGCATGAAGAGAAGCAAAGTAAAGTGTTTGGGGGCATGTCTATGGGACTTCTTTTTTTTTTTTCCAAGACAGAGTCTCGCTCTGTTGCTCAGGCTAGACTGCAGTGGCATGATCTTGGCTCACTGCAACTTCTGCCTCCCAGGTTCAAGCGATTCTCCTGCCTCGGCCTCCTGAGTAGCTGGGATTACAGGTGCCCACCACTAGGCCTGACTAATTTTTGTATTTTTAGTAGAGATGGGGTTTCACCATGTGGACCAGGATGGTCTCGAACTCCTGACCTCAAGTTATCCACCTACCTTGGCCTCCCAAAGTGCTGGGATTACAGGCATGAGCCACCACGTCTGGCCTCTCTATGGGACTCTTGAGTTTCAGGGAATATTTGGTTAATGGTAGGGAAAGATGAGGGAATATAGATATTGGGGGTAAAGATTGAGGAGAATTTTCGAATACCCTTATATGTATTAGATCATTAAATAAGTTTATTTTTATTTTTATTTTTTGACACGGAGTCTAGCTCTGTCACCCAGGCTGGAGTGTAGTGGCCTCATCTTGGCTCACTGCAACCTTTGCCTCCCAGGTTCAAGTGATTCCCCTGCCTCAGCCTCCCGAGTAGCTGGGATTACAGGCGCACACCACCATGCCCAGCTAATTTTGTATTTTTAGTAGAGATGGGGTTTCGGCATGTTGGCCAGGCTGGTCTTGAACTCCAGACCTCTAGTGATCCACCTGCCTCTGCCTCTCAAAATGCTGGGATTACAGGCCTGAGCCACTACACCCGGCCAGAACGGTTTAAATTGGGGTAACTTCCTCATTGGGGGCAGGGGTTGTGGTATGTAATGAAGTAGGGAAAACAGGAATGTTAGTCTCCTAACACATTCTGTTGAATACACATGGAAGAAGGCAGAGTAATCAGGAGGGCAAGCTCTGTAGTAGGAGTTCCACATCTAAAGCCGGGTAAAGTTGTCCTTGCTGGGTGTGTGTACATTTTCCTATGGAAAACAATGAGCAGATTTGCCTTCACTCTAAAAGACTTCTGGGCAGAAGTCATGGCCTTTTCCCTTTAGCCCTGAGATCTCAGTGTCAGTGGTCTCTTAGATCTCCTCAGGGGTGTCTTAGATGCTGTTTTTTCCCAAGTGGAATGATGAGGTGGCCTCTCCTTTTGCTGCTGTAAAGTTTGCCTCTGTCTTATGGGAGCTTTACCAAGAGCTCTGGGTCTCTATTGGAGGAGTAGGTCCCAAAGTTGGTTTTCCTTACTTATTAGTCATCACTGACCCAGCCCTCCTCCTTAAACTGTCTGCTGGCCACGCCTATCCTCTAGAGGACAGATTCAGGGCCAGGCTTCAAGATGAATATTTTCCGGCTCTTTCATTTTTTAAAGTCATAATTGCTTCCAGGTCACCAGGCAGTATGAACCAAAAGGAGCCTGGGGGAGCAGGACTACATTTCGTTTAACTGAGAGCTTCTTAAGCTTGGGTTTCTAGTTTACTGTCTTGATGGTAGAGTCCAAGCATGAATAAATGGGTAGGTTTCATGCTATGTGTAGAAGACCGAGTTGTGTTCCATAAGTTGAGTGTTCTGCACTTAAGGGGTCTTCAGCCACAAAGGGAACTACATGATCCTGAAGTACTTGTCAGCTGCATGAACATCCTGATCATTTTCTTTTATTTATTTATTTTTTGAGACAGGATCTCTCTTTGTCACCCAGGCTAGAGTACGGTGGCGTGATCTTAGCTCACTGTGGGCTTGACATCCTGGGCTCGAAGGATCCCTTCTGCCACAGCCTCCTGAGTAGCTGGGACCACAGGTGTGCACCATCACACCCAGCTATTTTTTTATTTTTTATAGAGACGAGGTCTCACTATGTTGCCCAGGCTGGTCTCAAACTCCTGGGCTCAAGCAGTCCTCCTGCCTCAGCCTCCTAAAGTGCTGGGGTTATGGACATGAGCCCATGCCTGGCCTGGTCCTTTTTAAGGTTAAAAACCTCGTAAACAGTGCCTACCTCAGTCAAAAACATTTGTCAGATAGATGCTTTCTCTGTTACCTCCTTTAATGTCCTTCTCTTCCTCATATGCATGATGACAACCATGCTTTTGCTTGTAATTGTTGTGAAATCTGCATGTTTTGGCATCTTCATTTCAAAACGAAACAAAAAAATCCTATCCCACCTGTAAAATCTCCTTTGAGATTTTGGTGCTGCCTATCCTCTATTACTAACTCCCCCAGCCCCGACATAGGCTATAATTTGATGTTATTCTTCCCCTTTTGAGAACACATTCTCTCTAAACTTTTCTAAAATGTCTGTCTTCAGTGCTTCCCCACAGTGTTTCAGTTTGGCCCATGATGGTGAAATATTTCAGGTTCCCCTATTTCATTTTTTTTCCTTTTGGTTATTGCATGCGATGGGCTTTTCTTTTATGCCTATCACACCTGCCCTTGTCTTCTAGTGTGTTCTATTTGGATTGTTTTAAAGATCTCTGCTTCATTATGGTTTCTCTTCCACTACCCGCTCGCCCTCAGCTTAGCTGCTATTTTTCACCATTTTAAAGTTATTGCGGCCAGGCACGGTGGCTCACTCCTGTAATCCCAGTACTTTTGGAAGCCAAGGTGGGCGGATCGGAAGGTCAGGAGTTCGAGACGAGCCTGGCCAACATGGTGAAACCCCGTCTCTACTAAAAATACAAAAATTAGCCGGGCATGGTGGCCCATGCCTGTAATCCCAGCTACTCAGGAGGCTGAGACAGGAGAATCGCTTGAACCCAGGAGGCGGAGGTTGCAGTGAGCCAACATCGCGCCATTGCACTCCAGCCTTGGTGACAGAGCGAGACTCCGACTCACCAAAAAAAAAAAAAAAAAAAAAAAGTTATTGCTCTCTCATTAGTTCCTTTTCTTTTTGGTTTCCCCTGTTCTGTAGTGTGGTGATTGTCTCTGGCTACCTACTCTTGGCTGCCCACCTGTTGGATTCATTTCCTGGGATCTTGGGTAGGCCTTTTACTTCTCTGTGCATGTGCCTCCTAAATTGAAGTTTTACATATATATATATATATATATGTATTTTTTTTTCCCAGCCACACTTATGGCTTTGGATTGGCAGAGCACGTGCTCTCCTTTGTCCTCACCATGAGTTGGATATATCTTTTGAGTTTTTTCCCCCAAAGTAGGGATAGCTCACAGTGGTTCCTCTGCCTTCCAGGCAGTGACCAGGGTTGATTCTTGGGCCATGCAGCTGTTCATTTCTTTAACAATTACATGGTTGTGACATCTGGGAAAATCCTTTGAGGTATTTCATATCCTTGTGCCTGTGCTTCCTGGGTCATTTGGGATTACCAGGTTTCTTCCAAGTTCCTTTTTGGAACTTTGCTTTTGATGTGATGATTTCCATCAGAGAGAGGGAGAGTAGGCGGGGTGGTGGGGGGAGGTGGGAAGGGAGAACACATGAGTACCGGTGCTTCAAGCAAAAGCAAGCCAGCATACAAGTGTGTAAACCAGCAGCGCTTACGAAGTGTGGCATGCCTGCAAGGCTTTTCCTTTTTGCTCACCTCTCCTGGGATACTAATTTGATTGGCTATAATATAATAAAACAAACCCCTAGGCCTACTGAATCAGAATCTCCAGGACTGAGACCTAGGAATCTGTATTTTGAACAAGCTCCTCGGTGATTCTGGCTGGGGAAACATTGGTTGACATTGACCGTCCTGACTCCTCCCTTCTGTGAGCATTCACGCAGTCAGGAGTCTGTTCTCTAGGGCCGCTTTAGAGGTTCCCTTTGCTTTCCCTCTGGCTGGGGAAGACCAATCTTGCCTTCTTGTATAGACCATGTAGCTCAGTGTCAGTGTTCTCCTGCCTGTGTTTTATCCCTCCCCTCCTCTCCTCTCATCTGCAGAGGCTACTGTTAATTAGCAACAGTGGGCTTCAGATAGGAAGTGGCGCTCCTGGGACAAAATCATGATAGAAAATTGAGAGGCAAAGATTTAAGTGGATGCTCCATCTTGAGGATCTTGTGAAAATGGAGTTATCCAGAATCAGCGTTGCTCTCTACGTGGTCATAACATGTGTATTATATAGTAATTATTTTGATATTTTAACTCGGTTTTATTTTTTGTGGTTTTTTTTTTTTTTTTGCCTGAAAGCTCTTTATCTAGGTGATGTTGTATGATGTTCTGTTTCCAAATGCCAGTGTTCCCCCTCTGATTTCTGTCCCAGACCCTACATACTACTAATCCTAATCCTCTCTAAATAGAGCAATACGAAACCTGAGAGTGAAAAATCTAGTGTCACTAATACCTGCTGCCTATAGATATTTAGTAGCAACTAAAACTTGTACTTTGTGTTGAAACACATCTTTTTTTTTTTTTTTTTTTTTTTTTTTTTGAGATAGGGTCTCCCTCTGTTGCCCAGGCTGGAGTGCAGTGGCGCCATCTCGGCTCACTGCAACCTCTGCCTCCCGGGCTCAAGCAGTTCTCCCACCTCAGCTTCCCAAGTAGCAGGGACCACAGGTTTGCACAGCCACACACGGCTATTTTTTTGTATTTTGTAGACATGGGGCTTTGCCATGTTGCCCAGGCTGATCTTGAACTCCTGAGCTCAAGTGATCCACCTGCCTTGGCCTCCCAAGGTGCTGGGATTACAGGCGTGATTACAGTGGGATTACAGGCCACTGCTCTGGGCCTGAAATGCATTTTATGGCAAGAACAGCCCCTTCCATTGCTTGAGTCCTCTAATTCTTTTTCCCCCCCCCCAGACAGAGTCTTAACTGTCGCCTAGGCTGGAGTGCAGTGGTGCGATCTTGGCTCACTGCAACCTCTGCCTCCCGGGTTCAAGCAATTTTCCTGCATCAGCCTCCGAGTAGCTGAGATTACAGGTGCCTGCCACCACGCTCGGCTATTTTTTGTATTTTTAGTAGAGATGGGGTTTCACCATGTTGGCCAGGCTGGTCTCGAACTCCTGACCTCAGGTGATCCACCCGTCTCGGCCTCCCAAAGTGCTGGGATTACAGGTGTGAGCCACCATGCCTGGCCGAGTCCTCTAATGCTTAGTAGAGAGAAAAGATGAAATGAGTACCTGGGGTATCAGCCAATAGGCTGAGCTGGTTTTGTTTTTGTTTTTGTTTTAGACAGGATTTTGCTGTCGCCCAGGCTGGAATGCAGTGGCACAATCTCAGCTCACTGCAGCCTTGACCTCCTAGGCTCAGGTGATCCTCCCACCTCAGCCTCCCAAGTAGCTGGGAATACAGGCACCCGCCACCATGCCCGGCTAATTTTTTGTAGAGATGGGGTTTCGCCATGTTGCCCAGGCTGGTCTTGAACTCCTGGACTCAAGCAATCCTCCCAGCTCAACCTCCCAAAGTTCTGGGATTACAGGTGTGAGCCACTGTGCCCAACCAGTGTTGTTGGTTAAAATGGGGATATTCCAAGATATTCTGAGAAACAGTCAAAACTTGATTAACCAGGATGTTCAGGGAACGGGGTCCTTGTTAAAAATATTTCTAAAATTATGCTAACCCACATAACTGTCTTCATAATGTTAAAAGATAATTGTCAGAAAAAAGGTAAAAAATCATGACTCTCGTACAGATACAAAAATGAACACGTGTTAAAGATTTTATTTTACTCATTAATCAACAAGAGAACCAGACAGATGTTATAGCTGGTTCAAACAAAAAGTCAAAAAGCACAAATTTATATGGAGTAAAGGAAATAAATTGCAAATGGAGGCAAAAGTAGTTTTTCTACAGTGGGGAGGAAAGACAATCCAAACTCAATGGGACAAGACAGACTTCGCATATACATCAGTTACCTGCAATTACAGAGATGCAAAATAGCTTGAAGACAATAACCTGAGCTAAAATCAGATAGCCCAGAAGGTTATGCTATAGACAGTGCATAGTTTTTTCATTGGAGTACAAAGGTTTTTCTGTAGTAAGCAAACATGGTGGATGCTTTGTGTGTGTGTGTGTGTGTGTGTGTGTGTGTGTCGGGGGGTGGCTGTTGATTTTGCTTCTTGTGATTTCTCAGGGCCGTCACTTCAGTTCTTATCCAGAATTCAGTTCCATATAACATGCATTTACTGAGTAGTTACTATACGTAAGGTGTCGTGGAGGAAACAAAGACAAAAAAGGATGCTTTTTTTTTCTTTTTCTTTTTTTTGTTTTTGAGATGGAGTTCCACCCTTGTTGCCCAGGCTGGAGTGCAATGGTGCGATCTTGGCTCACCTCAACCTCCGCCTCCCAGGTTCAAGCAATTCTCCTGCCTCAGCCTCCCAAGTAGCTGGGATTATAGGCATGTGCCACCATGCCCGGCTAATTTGGTATTTTAATAGAGATGGGGTTTCCCCATGTTGGCTATGCTGATCTCAAACTCCTGACCTCAGGTGATCTGCCCACCTTGGCCTCCCGAAGTGCTGGGATTACAGGTGTGAGCCACCGTGGCTGGCCAAGGACGCTATTTCTTACCTTAGGTAGCTGATTGGTGGGGGAGACAAACATGCCTTGTCCCCAACTAACCAAGCTAGAGAGGAGAATAAGAACCAGTGCTGTGGAAGAGGTAGGGAGTAAATACTTGAGGACAACCAGAGAGGGAGGGGTTAACTGAACTCGGGCTGGGGCTAGGGGGATGACATGATGACATTTAAGCTGAGTCTTGAGAGAAGACAGGGAGAGGAAGAGGGGGAAGCAGGAGAGGCCATTTCAGGGTGAGGAGGCAGAAGAGTCCTGAAACTGGATGGTGTGTTTAGGAAGGGTTGGGAGCTGGGGGTGGTGAGAGTGGTGGGGAAATGGCAGGATGTGGTGGAAGAGGAGGCTGGAGAGGAGGTTTGAGGCCAGGTCATGAGGGCCCTGAAGGCAGTGCTGAGAATGGCTGGCTGGGTGCTAGAGGCCGGGGAAAGCTATTGAAAGCTTTTGAGGAGGGAAGGAGTGACATGATCGAACTGGCGCTTTAGAAGATGAATTGATTGTAGAATCAAGAAATTGAAGGCAGAGGGAGCAGTTAAGAGGTGATTATAATATTCTGGGTGAGAGCTGATGAGGGCCTGCACCAGGGTAGTGGCAAGAAGGGTAGAAGGCAAGGCTGGAGATGGCATTATTAAGGCCTGACTTCTGATCGAATATGGGCGGCAGGGGAGAGAAGGAGTTGAAGATGACAAGGCGGAAATTTCCAGGCTAGGGGACGGTAGTGCCGTTAAGTAAGCTAGGAAACACGCTGCTTACTGGGCATAGGGGGTGGGGAGCAGGTTTATGAGAACAGATAATGAGTATGGTTTGAGACACATTGAGTTTGAGGGGCTTGGTGGTCATCCAATTAACAGCAAGTTGCTGGCAGCTGGAAATTCTGGTCTGGGCCTAAGGAGAGAGGTCAAGGCTAGAGATACAGATTTGGGAGTCATCAGTGCATCAAGGGGCGAGCTGAAACTGTGGAAGCTCATGAGCTGAGAGAGAAGGTGGGGCAGGGCTGACAACTGGCACAGAGGGAGAGAGATGGGTGGGGGAAGCCAGAGAGAGCCAGCAAAAGGCAGACTAGGAGGAAAAGAGACAGAGGGAGACCGGGGAGGGACCGGAAGAGGGAGACTGAAGGCCAAAGAGTAGAGGGGAGGGGGAGGCACAGGGGAGGGAGAAGGGGAAGGAGGGGGAGAGGGAGGAGAGAATGAATGGGAGACTGAGGGAAATGGGGAAGGTGAGATAAGCAAGAAAAAGACAGGGAAGGAGAGAGGTGGGAACGGGGAGAAAGTTGGAGGAGAGGGGATTGTGTGTGTGTGTGAGAGAGAGGAGAAAGGCAAGAGGTGAACAGCTGGGAAAATAATAGGGGAGAGAAAGGTGAGGAGGAGGAAGAGTAAAGAGAGAGAGATGGGTAGGGGGATGAGAAAGAGGGAAGAAGCCTTGAAAGATAGGAAGGGGAGGAAATGGGAGAGGGTGGCAGAGGTGAAGAGAGACAGAGATCAAGGGAAAGGCCAGGCCCCAGTGAATGCCCAAGTCTTTGGGGTGGGCAGTGGAAGAGAAGGGCCCCGGAGAAGCCATCAGGCAGTGGATCAGGAAAGACAAGAGAAGGGAGAGAATAAAGAGGGCAACGTATCCCACTCTGCAGAGATGAGGAGGAGGATGAAGCCCAGGCAGGGTGGATGCCTCTCTCCTCTCTTCTCCTACCACCTCCACACTGGTCTCCTGGCTCTCCCTTGATCTTTGTGGGCAACCTCCTGCCTTAGGACTTTCTCATGCACTGTTCCCTCAGCCTGGAATGCTTTTCTCCCAAATATCCACGTGGCTACTCCTTTACCTCATTCCGATGGTTTAAATGTCTCCTTTACAGCAAGGCCTATCCTGTTCACCGTATTTCAGATAGTAGCCCTCCCCACCTAGACTGTGCCCTTGCCCCTTAGTCTGTGTTGTATTATCTCCTCCTCCTCCTCCTTCTTCTTCTTCTTCTTCTTCTTTTTTTTTTTTTTTGAGACAGAGTTTCACTCTTGTTGCCCAGGTTGGAGTGCAATGGCATGGTATCAGCTCGCCGCAACCTCTGCCTCCTGGGTTCAAGCAATTCTCCTGCCTTAGCCTCCTGAGTATCTGGGATTACAGGCATGTGCTACCACGGTGGCTAATTTTGTGTTTTTAGTAGAGACAGGGTTTCTCCATGTTGGTCAGGCTGGTCTTGGACTCCCGAACTCAGGTGATCCACCTGCCTCGGCCTCCCAAAGTGCTGGGATTACAGGCATGAGCCACTGCACCTGGCCTGTTGTACTATCTTCTAACATGCCGTGACATAGAACTATTTAACATGCTATGACATAGAAGTATTCAACATGTTTATTGTCCATGTCATCCCCCTGGGATGTAAGCTCCACACGGGCAGGCATTTTGTTCTGTTTCGTTAATTGCTGAATCCTCAGTACCTAGGATGGTGCTGGCTCATAGTAGGAATGCAATAAATTGTGATACTGTGTTGAAAGTGGACAATCTCTGAAAATTGAAAAATGGATACATGAAACAAATCCCTCGTACAACTATATCTTATTGTGATTTACTTTGGAAAGTGGAGAACAGCATTCAATTCTGATCACTGTAGGGTTCTGTTCAGTTGAACTTCAATGAATAAGGATTTTAGCTAATAAGCTAACTCAAGAGCTTAAGGGTCTCAAGGCAAGCTCATTGGATAAAGGTTTTTCTTGGTGCCTCATTTTTTCTAGAAGGTAAATTAACTGTGCCCTGCTTGTCAAAGCGAGAGAGGGACATTGGCTGGTGAAGAGAGTGGTGGAACATGGAGACAACAGACTGACAGGAAGGGACAAGGACAGAAATGTGTGGTTTTTTTTTTTTTTTTTTTTTGAGACAGAGTCTTGCTCTGTGGCCCAGGCTGGAGTGCGCTGGCATGATCTCAGCTCACTGCAACCTCTGCCTCTTGGGTTCAAGCGATTCTTGTGCCTCAACCTCCCGAGTAGCTGGGATTACAGGTGCACACCACCACCCCAGGCTAATTTTTTTATTTTTAGTAGAAACGGGGTTTCACCATGTTGTCCAGGCTGGTCTCGAGCTCCTGACCTCAGGTGATCCACCCGCCTCGGCCTCCCAAAATGTTGGGATTACAGGCGTGAGCCACCGCGCCCTGCCGAAACACGTAGTTCTGGATGGAACGTTGTTTTCTGTTTGTTTGCTTGTTGGTGGTCAGCGTGCAAGGAGTACTGCACCTGATTTGGAGGGAGCTTGAAACCAGGTTAGATACGTGTGTTATTTCCAACTCAAAGTCAATGGAGTATTTTTGAAGGACTTACGAAAAAAAGCATGTGCTTCCTCTGAAGAGTGTAAATTGGCTACGTCACTCAAATACTTCAGTACCCATGGATTAGAGAGTAGACGAGAAAAAGGTCACCAGTAGTGTTTTAGTGCACCATTCATATATGGGTATGACTCTCTAATTGTAGTTGGTTAGGCTAAATGTGTGTAGAAATATATACTGTCATCTCATTTGTCTGAAATAGATTGAATTTCCTCTACTCAAGCATATCTGTCTTTTAAGATAATTTAAAACTCACTCTAGGTGATTAACAATGTCCTCATCTCCATCCTGAAACCTATGGATTCCTAGAAAGCTGGTGCTCCCTCTTCCCGGTTTAGACCTTAATTTTCCATAGCAGGCTGGCTGCTTTAACATTCTGATGCTGTAATTACCTTTATTGAAACATTGCTGTGTAAAAGGTGATTGAAGCAGCTGTCCCTGTTACGAGTTTTGATTTTCTGGAATTCTTTTCCCCAGGGGGAGTGGCCACAGCAGGTCCTATCTGGTGGTGAGTGGCTGTCATGATCTCTACAGCACCGCTCTACAGCGGCGTGCACAACTGGACCAGTTCTGACCGGATTCGCATGTGTGGCATCAACGAGGAGAGGTGAGGAGGCCAGGAAGGTGGCCGCTGCTGGCCTCCAGTGAGCAGTACCTCGTCACCAGAGGGATAGCTGCATACAATAGGGCCTGGGGAGGGACCCTGGGGAGGAGAAGACTCTTAGTTGTTTCTAATTTTCCTGTGGTGGGATGGGGATGGGGCTGTGTGAGTGGCCTGATCTGCCATGCTATCTCTTTTCAGATGAAGGTGAGGAGGCCAAAAAAATGACCTTTTGCCAGCTAGCACTTGTCTACTCATTAACAACTGTCAGACTGTGGAGTAAGGGGAAGCTCAGGCAATGGCAATTTTTTTTTTGTTTTTTGAGACAGAGCCTCGCTTTGTCATGCAGGCTGGAGGGCAGTGGCACAATCTTGGCCCACTGCAACCTCCGCCTCCTGGGCTCAAGTGATTCTCCCACCTCAGCCCCACCAGTAGCTGGGACCACATGCAAGCAACACCACGCCCGGCTAATTTTTTTTTTTTTTTGTAGTTTTTTAGAGACGGGGGTTTCGCCATGTGGCCCGGGCTGGTCTTGAACCCCTGAGCTCAAGTGATCTGCCTGCCTCAGCCTCCCCAAATGCTGGGATTACAGGTGTGAGCCACTGCCCATGCCTGGCCAGCGATTGCAGTTTTTATTTGCTGCATCAAAGTTTGGTGCTCAAGGATATGTGTAAGGTATTTTCAGTCTTTGATCTAGGTCTGGAAGAAAGATGGTTTTATTGTTCAGATTTCTACTGGGAACTGGCAGTGGGCATTCTGGTGGTCAGCGCTTTCTCACCTCATGAGGCTAATTCTGATTTGAAGTGAGATCCTTATGAAGTATCAAAGGAAGTTGAGACCGCCTAGCATAGTCTTGAGAGTTGGTGACACCTGCCTCACGTGTGTATTTTCAGTTATCTGTTCCCCAGAATATTTGGTTGACCAAGATGTGCCATTGCCTGATCATGCCCCATACCCAAAGCACTCAAAATGGCCTTCAGAATTTATATTTGGCTTTCATAACCCTTGGTCAAAGAGCTGTGTGTGATGGCTGCAGTGCCTCTCTCATTTTCTTTTTTTTTTTTTTTGAGGTGGAGTCTCACTCTGTCGCCCAGGCTGGAGTGCAGTGGCGCGATCTCGGCTCACTGCAAGCTCTGCCTCCCGGGTTCACGCCATTCTCCTGCCTCAGCCTCCCGAGTAGCTGGGACTACAGGTGCCGCCACCAAGCCCGGCTAATTTTTTGTATTTTTAGTAGAGACGGGGTTTCACCATGTTAGCCAGGATGGTCTCAATCTCCTGACCTCGTGATCCGCCCGCCTCGGCCTCCCAAAGTGCTGGGATTACAGGTGTGAGCCACCTTGCCCGGCCGTTTTTATTTTTTATTTATTGATTTATTTATTTTGAGACAGAGTCTGGGGCTACAGGCGTATGCCACCACACCTGGCCAATTTTTGTATTTTTAGTAGAGACGGAGTTTTACTATGTTGGCCAGGCTGGTCTCGAACTCCTGACCTCATGATCCACTCACCTCGGCCTCCCAAAGTGCTGGGATTACAGGTGTGAGCCACTGCACTCGGCCGCCTCTCTCATTTTTAGAGAAGGCACTGCTCCTTCATGCTTGCTGGTGTTTTTTTGTTGTTTCAATCCATTGACTGTTTAAATTCAAATATACATCAGATAAATCACCAAGACACAGAACAATATGGCTTTCCCTGGGATTCAAGATCTGACGTTTCTTGGGTAAATCTTAGAAATGTGTGTGCGCATATAGGGGAGTATTGGTAATTTGAAGGGAAAAGGAATGGAAGTCTTTGTGTTTATCTACTTTGTTCTTCTGTTCCTAACTGGAGAAGTATATACTTGTCTGAGGTCAAGGTTAGCAGAATAGACCTTTTTATTTTCTTAAGCCATTAGTGCCTGATAGCTTAATGTTCTCTGTACTGAGGAACAAGTTAGAGATGGGCTTAAAAGGAATTTAATTTTAGGATAAAAAGAGTCAAGACCATGGAAAATGAGATGAAATTCTTAGGTGCTCAGGAAGAAAAGTGTTTTCCTTTACATATGAAGCATGTCCTCAGATGATCACTAAGAGATGATCTAGGGAAAGGCAGGGTGATGATAATGATTTGCGTAAGTATTCATTGGCAGGTCATGTTGACCTAGTTATAAGTAGTTGAGACTTTGATGCAGAAATCTGGACTAGAGCCTTCAAAAGACCAGCGGGGCCGGGTGCTGTGGCTTATGCCTGTAATCCCAGCACTTTGGGAGGCCGAGGCGGGTGGATCACCTGAGGTCAGGAGTTCAAGACCAGCCTGGCCAACATGGCGAAACCCCGTCTCTACTAAAAATACAAAAAAATTAGCCAGGCATGGTGGTGTATGCCTGTAATCCCAGCTACTGGGGAGACTGAGGCAAGACAATCAGTTGAACCCGAGAGGTGGAGGTTGCAGTGAGCCGAGATTGCACCACTGCACTCCAACCGGGGTGACAGAGCAGGACTCCGTCTCAAAAACAATAAAATTAAATAATAATAATAAAAGAGGCCAATAGACAAGTTACCTTAGTTCACCATCTACTGTAAATCCCTGCCAAGAAAGGAGCAGGAAGTAGGCTCAAAATCTGATTTTCCCTCCATCTTGTTTTTTGTTTTTGAGATGGAGTCTTGCTCTGTTGCTCAGGCTGGAGTGTAGTGGCACGATCTCGGCTCACTGCAACCTCCGCTGCCTGGGTTCAAGTGATTCTCGTGCATCAGCCTCCTGAGTAACTAGGATTACAGGTGTGCACCACCATGCCTGGCTAATTTTTGTATTTTTAGTAGAGACAGGGTTTCACCATGTCACCCAGGCTGGTCTCAAACTCCTGATCTCAGTCTGTCTGCCTTGGCCTCCAAAAGTGCTGGGATTACAGGTGTGAGCCACTGCACCCAGCCAGATTTTCCTTCCTTCTAAACCTGTGCCTAGTGCTTAAGAGGACATTTTTTTTTTTTTTTTGAGACAGAGTTTAGCTCTTGTTGCCCAGGCTGGAGTGCAATGGTGAGATCTGAGCTCACCGCAACCTCCGCCTCCCGGGTTCAAACGATTCTCCTGCCTCAGCCTCCCGAGTAGCTGGGATTACAGGCATGCGCCACCACACCCGGCTAATTTTGTATTTTTAGTAGAGACGGGTTTTCTCCATGTTGGTCATGCTGGTCTCGAACTCCCGACCTCTGGTGATCCACCTGCCTCAGCCTCCCAAAGTGTTGAGATTACAGATGTGAGCCACCACGCCCGGCCTAAG
Organism: Homo sapiens; assembly: GCF_000001405.40. Taxonomy (NCBI): domain Eukaryota; kingdom Metazoa; phylum Chordata; class Mammalia; order Primates; family Hominidae; genus Homo; species Homo sapiens. The sequence continues at coordinate 130,008,567 of NC_000023.11, forward strand.
ATGACCTTTTAAGTGTTGTCACTTTTGATCTCATCCACCCTTTATTGTCACCTTCTTGCTACAGTCTAGGCCGCTACAGCCTAGACCATGCTATCACTGGTTTCCAAAATGTAATCTCACCTTATTTAAAAATCATTTTCCTTGGCCCTTTACAACTTGTAGAATTTAGGAATTTGGGGTACAAAGCTGTGCCTGGGGTTCAACTCTTAAAGTGATGTTTTAGAGGCCTGCCAGCTTTGGCAGCTGCAATTGAGGACTGTAGAACAGGAGGCATGGGCTTGCGGCTGGCCCCAGGTGGCCGTCTCTAGGCAAACCTACAGCTAAATGTGTCTGCTTGCCTGCTTGCATCCCTTCTAGGATTAATTCATGCCTTCATTCAACAAACATTTATTCAACATAATGAGAGCAAACCAGTAGTTCTAGTACATTGGTGGTGAGTGCCCTAGAATTGCATGTCCGGGTCCAGTGGGAGTCCAGATGCAAGATTGACAAACCTCCTGGTGGGAGAATAAGGAAAGGCTTCCCAGAGGCAGTGGCATTTGAGCCCAGGCTTGAGGAATGAGTAGGAGTTTGAGGTGAGAGCTGGTATTTCCCTGAGACAATAAGAGCACAGTGTGGCTGGGCACGGTGACTCACGCCTATAATCCCAGCACTTTGGGAGGCCGAGGCAGGTGGATCACCTGAGGTCGGGAGTTCGAGACCAGCCTGACCAACACGGAGAAACCCCGTCTCTACTAAAAACACAAAACTTAGCTGGGCGTGGTGGCGCATGCCTGTAATCCCAGCTACTCGGGAGGCTCAGGCGTGAGCCCGGGAGGCAGAGGTTGCAGTGAGCTGAGATCGCACCATTGCACTCCTCCAGCCTGGGCAACAAGAGAGAAACTCTGTCTAAAAGAAAGAAAAAAAAAAAAAAAAAGCACAGTGTGTTTGGGGAAGGTCCAAGTTGGAATGAAGGCAATCTTGGGGTACTGTGGGACTCGAACCAGGGAAAGTCTCCCAGGACTGGAAGGTAAGGAGCCTGGTGTGTGCTGGGTGGTATATTTCTCTTACGGGTAGTCTGGGCCCAGCAGGAACTGAAGAGGGTCCGGTTTGACAGTGGTGCTAGCCCTTAATAATTAGGGAAATGGCCCAGAGGGGTCATGGCCATTTCTGGTTTAAGTTCCACAAAGCCTTGAACATAACAGCTCTGCCTCCTCTGTGGTGGGAAGAAACAGCAGGATTGATTTTCAGTCCTGACTGAAGCCTGCTATGACCTCTGTTCCCTCCTGCCGCCCGCCTCCGCCAGCTGCACCCTCATAACCTTGCCTGGTTGACCCAGCTCTTCCCGGGCCCCCTCCCCTGCAAGTTACTCCTGTCCCAGGCTCTTCTCTCAATGGAGCAAGTTAATGTTTGCTTAGCTCTGCCCACCCCTCTTCTCAGAGGATTTGAAACACGGCTGCATGACATTTTGCAGCGCCTTCGGGGCTGGACTCAGGTGTGGGTATGGCTGGAGTGGCCAGGACTGCTGTTGCTTGGCCTGGTTCTGTGGTTCTCTGGCAGCTGCCTTCGACGGCAGGGATTCTGCTTTCGAGGTGTCATTTCAGGCAGGGTGGGAGCTTGCAAGGGGAGAATGAGGATGCAGCCCACTCCCTTTTGTATGGCCAGGAGGGGAAAGAATGTAAATAAATAGCACCTTCCCATGTGGGGTTGCTTGGGGGAAGTGCTGCTTGTTTCCCCTTGAGTACTCCCCCTAAAACCGTCCCTGGCAAGTCTAGTGGGAACACGCTTCCCCCTGGCCCAAGGCTGGGCATAGGTCTCGCTTTTGTGGTCTCTTAGGAGTTGATGTGAAAGTATGTTTTCCCTTTCCTTCAGGCCCTCCCTCCCTCCCCTTCCCCGAGACCACCCTGACTGCATCTAAAGCCCTTGCCTCTCCTTACAGTCATTTCTGTTTGTCACCAACAGTCACTTCCAGCAGTGGAGCCCTCCCACTTCTGCCAGTCCAACTGCCTTTTAAAGGGAACAAGCCTTTCCCCCTCGGTTAGCCCCTTCTGGATCCCTGAAAAGATGGGGAGAGGCCCGTGGTGATCCCCCTTGCCTTTTTTGCTTCTCTTGCCCCAGGTACAATTTTGGAGTCCCTGTTTCAGTGGGAGGGAGGAAGTTAGCAGGGCCCTCCCCCTTCTTGTTGGGGTTGGCTCCAGCAACCTGACTGCCCTTTGGCTAGGGTGACTGGGGAGGCGAGAGCTGGCTTCTTCAGGGCTGTCTTCAGGAGCTTGGGGTGAGCCTCTAAAGAAGGGAGGCAAAAATTAGCCAGGCGTGGTGGAGCATGCCTATAATTCTGGCTATGCTGGAGGCTGAGGCAGGAGAATTGCCTGATTCCAGGAGGCGGAGGTTGCAGTGAGCCGAGATCGAGATCGTGCCACTGCACTCCAGCCTGGGTGACAGAGCGAGATTCAATCTAAAAAAAAAAAAAAAAAAAAAAAAAAAAAAAAAGAGGGAAAAAAGGAAAGAAAGAAGGGAGGTCACCTCAGGCACAGTGTATTTCCCCAGGGGCACACAGAGCAGTCCTGTGCCTTGCCCACCCAGGAAACGCACTGCAGCGTCTATGTTGGGGTTTTATTCTTTAATCTAAACCTCCTCCTTGGCCACTCCCACCCACAGCTCCCAAGGGCAGGGGGCAATAGTTTTTTTTGGTTGTTGTTGTTGTTGTTTTGAGACAGGGTCTCACTCTGTCGCCCAGGTTGAAGTGCAGTGGTGGGATCTCGGCTCACTGCAACCTCCGCCTCCCAGACTCAAGCGATTCTCCTGCCTCAGCCTCCCAAGTAGCTGGGATTACAGGTGCCTGCCATCACGCCTGGCTAATTTTTGTATTTTTTAGTAGATATGGAGTTTTACCATGATGGCCAGGCTGATATTGAACTCCTGACCTCAGTGATGCACCCACCTCAGCTGGCCTCCCAAAGTGCTGGGATTACAGGTGTGAGCCACCATGCCTGGCCTAATAGTTCTTGCTGTACTTAAAATACCAGGGGAGGGAGGCAGTCTGATGCCACCCTCTCCCTTTTTTTTTTTGTCAGGATGTACAATTTTCTATGATGCTTACCTGAAATTTGGAGAAGACTTTAAACAGGGGGAGATGCATTTGAGTTTTCCTCCTTTGGGACCCAGCTCTCTGGCCTTGAGCCCTTTTCTCTGGGACATATGAACCTGAATTTGGGGTCTGAGGCTTTTCGGACAGGAGAGAACAAAGTGGTGCTGGGAGACTGATGGGGGGGCAGGGAGGGGTGCTGGCAGGAGATAGGATGTAGGCAAGGATAGAAGGAGGGTAGAAGGGAGGGTGTTGCCTAGAACTCTAGAAAAAAGGGGGCAGTGTCTCCTGGAGGGAAAAAAGTAGTATTCTTAAAATGCCTCTCAGCACCCAGTGACCTGGTGGCCTCCAAGTGGTATCATCACCAGTGCTAATAAACATGTCTCTGCTCTAGGCAAGACAGGAGGTGAATAGGTGACGATTCAGATTTAGACCTGAAAACACAACAGGGGTTTATTTGTTTTAGAAGAGGATTACCCATATGACACTTTCAGCCAGCTGCCCTTAGAGACTTAAAATAAGATTGTATTTAAAAGAAAAATGGGTTTTGCATGCCTTTTGAGGCATTCAGTGGTTCTCATGTCTCCCCTTTGAGCAATGCCCTGTACATCCTGGATGGTCATTTTGGCAGGTAAGCTCCAGGGAAAAGGTAAAAGTGCTAGGGTGTCCACACTCCTGGCAAGAGCCCTAGAAAACAGGGTAAACAGTCCAAAGAGGGGGGTCTAGTCAGACTGGGCTCTGGTAGGGACTTGCAAAGCTAGGTGTGGCGCCTCCGCTTTGTAACCAAGAACCCCCAGTTCCTTGTAATCCCCCTCACAAGTTACTACAGGAAGTGAGGTAGGAAGGTTTTATGGGGACCCAGGCAGGCAGGAGGCATTCTGGGGAAGGTGGTGTTGGCTCAAATCCTGGGCCTCATGTCCCTTCTCTGGTTGTATCTTCCATGCTAGAAGAGCACCTCTTTCTGATGAGGAGTCAACGACAGGCGACTGCCAGCACTTTGGATCTCAGGAGTTTTGTGTCAGCAGCAGTTTTTCCAAGGTAAGAGGCTTTATGGAGCCACGTGCTGTCCACCAAAGGATGGAGCTGAGCTGCCTGGGAGGTGTGCCCAGCCTGCCATCCCAGGAAGTGGGCAGGAAGGGACAGGGTCTCTCCCAGGAGTTGGTATTGGTGGGACACAAATTGGCTGGCTGCCCTCTGCGTCTTCCGAGACCTGGTTGGTCGAGTTGCAGAGAAGACCAGCAGTTGCCTCTCGGGCCTCAGGACACTTGCACCATCTGCAGGGAGCTGGCTGAGATGTGCATGCTATCCTGTCGTTGCAGGTGGAGCTCACGGCAGTTGGAAGTGGCAGCAATGCCCGGGGGGCAGACCCAGATGGCAGTGCTACAGAAAAACTTGGGCACAAGTCAGAAGACAAGCCTGACGATCCCCAGCCAAAAATGGACTACGCTGGGAACGTGGCAGAGGCTGAGGGCCTCTTGGTGCCCCTGAGCAGCCCAGGAGACGGGCTCAAGCTTCCCGCATCTGACAGCGCCGAGGCCAGCAACAGCAGGGCCGACTGCTCCTGGACTCCACTCAACACCCAAATGAGCAAACAGGTTGACTGCTCACCCGCCGGAGTAAAGGCTTTGGACTCTCGGCAAGGTGTTGGAGAGAAGAATACTTTCATTTTGGCAACTCTGGGAACTGGAGTCCCTGTGGAGGGGACCCTGCCCCTGGTTACCACTAACTTCAGTCCTCTGCCAGCCCCTATCTGTCCCCCTGCTCCCGGTTCGGCCTCTGTGCCCCACTCTGTTCCAGATGCATTCCAGGTTCCCCTCTCCGTCCCTGCCCCAGTCCCCCATTCAGGGCTTGTTCCAGTCCAAGTTGCCACTTCGGTTCCAGCTCCTTCCCCTCCCTTAGCACCTGTCCCGGCTCTGGCTCCAGCGCCACCGTCAGTGCCCACGCTCATCTCTGACTCGAACCCCCTTTCTGTTTCGGCCTCAGTCTTGGTGCCTGTGCCAGCTTCTGCTCCCCCTTCAGGCCCGGTTCCCTTGTCGGCTCCAGCTCCTGCCCCGCTTTCAGTCCCAGTTTCAGCTCCTCCCTTGGCTCTCATCCAGGCTCCTGTGCCCCCTTCAGCTCCGACCTTGGTTCTCGCTCCCGTCCCCACTCCGGTTCTGGCTCCCATGCCAGCATCCACGCCTCCAGCGGCCCCTGCCCCTCCGTCTGTGCCCATGCCCACTCCAACCCCATCTTCCGGCCCACCTTCTACCCCCACCCTCATCCCCGCCTTTGCTCCTACACCGGTGCCTGCACCCACCCCAGCCCCCATCTTTACTCCAGCCCCTACACCCATGCCTGCTGCCACGCCAGCTGCCATTCCCACCTCTGCACCCATCCCGGCCTCCTTCAGTTTGAGTAGAGTGTGCTTTCCTGCAGCTCAGGCACCAGCTATGCAAAAAGTCCCCCTGTCCTTTCAGCCAGGGACAGTGCTGACCCCGAGCCAGCCGCTGGTATATATCCCGCCTCCAAGCTGTGGGCAGCCACTCAGTGTGGCCACACTGCCAACCACTCTAGGGGTTTCCTCCACTCTTACGCTCCCTGTCCTGCCGTCCTACCTGCAGGACAGGTGTCTCCCAGGCGTGCTAGCCTCCCCCGAGCTCCGTTCTTACCCGTATGCATTTTCTGTGGCCCGGCCTCTGACTTCGGATTCCAAGCTGGTATCTCTGGAGGTGAACAGGCTCCCCTGCACTTCCCCATCCGGTAGCACCACCACCCAGCCTGCACCCGATGGGGTCCCTGGGCCTTTGGCAGATACCTCCCTTGTTACTGCTTCTGCCAAGGTGCTTCCAACTCCACAGCCTCTGCTGCCAGCCCCCAGTGGGAGCTCAGCCCCACCGCACCCCGCCAAGATGCCCAGTGGCACCGAGCAGCAAACAGAAGGGACTTCCGTTACCTTCTCTCCTCTTAAGTCACCGCCACAGCTGGAACGAGAGATGGCCTCTCCACCTGAGTGCAGCGAGATGCCCCTTGATCTGTCCTCCAAGTCCAACCGCCAGAAGCTTCCATTGCCGAACCAGCGCAAGACACCCCCCATGCCTGTGTTGACCCCCGTGCACACCAGCAGCAAGGCCCTCCTCTCCACAGTCCTGTCTAGGTCTCAGCGCACAACCCAGGCTGCCGGTGGCAATGTCACCTCCTGCCTGGGCTCCACTTCCTCGCCCTTTGTCATCTTTCCCGAGATCGTGAGGAATGGGGACCCGAGCACCTGGGTGAAGAACTCAACTGCACTGATCAGCACCATTCCTGGCACCTACGTGGGAGTGGCCAACCCAGTGCCTGCATCCCTGCTGCTGAACAAAGACCCCAACCTGGGCCTCAACCGTGACCCCCGCCATCTCCCCAAGCAGGAGCCCATCTCCATCATTGATCAAGGAGAGCCTAAGGGCACTGGTGCCACGTGTGGCAAAAAGGGCAGCCAGGCTGGTGCTGAGGGACAGCCAAGCACAGTGAAACGATATACTCCAGCCCGCATTGCCCCTGGGCTGCCAGGGTGCCAAACCAAGGAACTCTCTTTGTGGAAACCCACGGGGCCGGCAAATATTTATCCCCGGTGTTCAGTCAATGGGAAACCTACCAGCACCCAGGTCCTGCCTGTTGGCTGGTCCCCGTACCACCAGGCGTCTCTGCTTTCCATTGGCATTTCCAGTGCCGGGCAGCTGACCCCCAGTCAGGGGGCGCCCATCAGGCCCACCAGCGTTGTTTCGGAGTTTTCTGGTGTGCCATCTCTCAGCTCCAGCGAAGCCGTGCACGGACTTCCTGAGGGGCAACCACGGCCTGGGGGCTCCTTCGTTCCAGAGCAGGACCCTGTTACAAAGAACAAAACTTGCCGGATTGCTGCCAAGCCTTATGAAGAACAAGTCAATCCTGTCCTCTTGACCCTCAGCCCTCAGACTGGGACCCTGGCACTGTCTGTTCAGCCTAGCGGTGGGGACATTCGAATGAATCAGGGGCCTGAGGAATCAGAGAGCCACCTCTGCTCTGACAGCACTCCTAAGATGGAAGGCCCCCAGGGGGCTTGTGGCCTGAAGCTGGCAGGAGACACGAAGCCTAAGAACCAAGTGCTGGCCACCTACATGTCCCATGAGCTGGTCCTGGCCACCCCCCAGAACCTGCCTAAGATGCCTGAGCTGCCTTTGCTACCTCACGACAGCCACCCCAAGGAACTTATATTGGACGTGGTTCCGAGCAGCAGGAGGGGCTCCAGCACAGAGCGCCCACAGCTTGGAAGCCAGGTGGATCTGGGGCGAGTGAAAATGGAGAAGGTGGATGGTGATGTGGTCTTCAATTTAGCCACCTGCTTCCGGGCTGATGGCCTCCCAGTGGCTCCCCAGAGGGGCCAAGCTGAAGTTCGGGCTAAGGCCGGGCAGGCTCGAGTGAAACAGGAAAGCGTAGGGGTCTTTGCTTGCAAGAACAAGTGGCAGCCAGATGATGTGACGGAATCTCTGCCGCCCAAGAAGATGAAGTGCGGCAAAGAGAAGGACAGTGAAGAGCAGCAGCTCCAGCCACAAGCCAAGGCCGTGGTCCGGAGTTCCCACAGACCCAAGGTGAGTGCTGAGCTAAGGTCCAGGGTGGGGCCGAGATGCCGCTGGTCTACTTCGTGCCATGGATAGCAACCTCCTGTGACCCCTACCCTGTGACACAGTGCTGTTGGGCAGCTGTGTGAACTGAACGGATTGGAAGGCTTTTGTAAAAGTAATAATGACCTGCTGTCCCCTCCCTAGGTCACATTTTCCATATACGGTGTCTCAGCATGGGGAGAGGCTGGCTTGTAGTTTGTAGGATGTGGGAAATGATTCTGTCCCTGGGGTAGGGAAGCCATTGTCCCAGATGAGATCGGAAAGCGGAAGAAGGTATTGGTGAGGGAAATCAATGAATAACAGGCTCTTCCTTGAATAACCATTCTTCCTTTTCCTTTACTGAGAGAACACTGGCCTTGAGAACTTAGGGATGGGGAGAGCAGGGGCCTCTGACGGGGTTGTTCCTTTCACCACTGGTTGGGGGGCCTGCTTAGGATTTGCTGGGAGCCTTGTGGGGTCAGAGCCAATTTGGCTTCTGTGCTAATCAGTTTCCTACCCGCTCGAATGCTTGAGGCAGCAGCTTTGGGTTTTGGCCCACTGGGGATTGGATGGGCAAGGCAGGTTGGGTGTCTGGGTGTTGGTCTTGACAGGCTATGGATGGTGGCAGAGTTCTAGGCAAAAAGGTGGGCCAGGAGCACTTGATGAGAATCCCCTGGTCCCCCAGAAGGGACCAGAGGCTACTGGTGATCCAAGGAGAATCTTGAAACATTTGAGGATAGGGTTTATTAAAAATCTAGAACAACTTGAAGTTCTGTTAGCAAGCTTTCAAGTTGGATGTTCATGTACACTAAGGGACAAAATTTCTGGCTAGAGCACTGTGAATTTGGCTGTGGCACAAGTTTATGGTCTTTTTTGGACCATAGACCATTTTGAAAAGCTGGTGAGAGCTATGGACCCTGTTCCCAGAAATGTGACCTCAGAATTTTGCCAATAATTTTAGGGGGTTCATGGACCTGACCTCTGCCCCATCGCCCAAAGCTCACCCAGGGACTGCAGGTTAAGAACCCCTGGGATAGGTGTTTGGGTGGATTTTAACTCACAAACCTCACAACCACCCTGGTATGTCAGAGACACGTGAAGTAGGAACGTGGGTCATGACGCAGTAGAGCATATAACGTTTGGCAGGTAATTGCCATCTGCGCTCGGTGGTAATAAGAATAATAATTCATGTCGTTAGAGTTGTGTTTTTACATTTGTTATCTAATCGTTACAGTAACCATATGAGGTGAATGCTACACCAATCTACAGGTGAGAAAATAAATGAAACAGAGGCTCAGAGAGGATACATTACCCAGTTACACAGCTACTAACTTGCAGAGCTAGAACTCAGACTCTGGTCTCTGGTTCCAAAGTCCATGTTCTTCTTCAGCTATACCATATTATCTTCCACTCTCTTTTTGTTTTTTTTTTTTTGAGTCAGGGTCTTGCTCTGTCACCCGGGCTGGAGTGCAGTGGCTCGATCACAGCTCATTGCAGCCTTCACCTTCTGGGCTCAAGCAGTCTCCCACTTTAGCCTCCCAAGTAGCTGGGACCACAGGTGTGTACCACTACACCTGGCTAATTATTTTTTGTAGAGACGAGGTCTCACTATGTTGGCTAAGCTGGTCTCGGACTCCTGGGCTGAAGCGATCCTCCTGCTTCAGCCTCCCAAAGTGCTGGGATTACAGGCGTGAGCCACCTCACCTGGCCATCTTCTACTCTCCGCCCATGGAACTGTTTCACTGAATGTTTTGCAAGTTTTTGTTGCATGGCTACTGTATGCCAGTCCTTCCCAGGCAATGGGAATACCTCTTCAGGAGGGTGGTATCATAGATTGATGAGGAGTATGCTCCCTGGAGCCAGACACGGAGCCTGGGTTTGAATTTTGGCCCCACCTCTTCCTAGCTGTGTGCTATTAGTCAAGCTACTTAATCTCTATGGCCTTCAGTTTCTTAATCTATACACAAGACAATAATAGTATCTACTCATAGAGTTGTGAAGATTAAATGAGATGATGATATAAAATGTCCACAATAGGCAAATCCATGGAGACAGAAAGTAGACTAGTGGTTGCCTAGGGTTGGGGAGGATGGAAGAGTTGGGGAGTGACTGTTTAATGGGTATTGGGTTTCCATTCAGGGTGATGAAAAAGTTCTGGAGCTAGATAAGTAGGGATGGTTACATAGCTCTATGACTATACTAAAAACAATTGAATTTTACACTTAAGTGAATTGCATGGTATGTCTTAATAAATTGTATCTCAGTAAAGCTGTCATTTTAAAAAAGATTAAAGAACGTGATATACATAAGTGTGTACAGTAGTATCTGGCACATAGTAGGTGTTCAGTTAGTGTTAGTGGTTGCTGTTATTGTTAGCATTACAAACAAAATAGATGTGGCCCCGCCTCTCATGAAGCTTATGTCTCTCAGATGACTCAGTGACAGGTGGGCACTGCCCTATCCTATATTAGATGAACAGTTCAGTGGGCCCACTATCAAATGCAGAGGGCAGAAATTAAAATGACAAGATCAGGGGCCTGGAAGCAGCTCTTTGCAACTGCCTGTAAGGATTTAGTAAATGTCTATTTTTTGGGAGTGCAAATCACTTCGTTCCTTCTTTTTTTTTACATGCCACCTTCCTGAGAAGGAAACTGTTGATCAGCAAACTAAGATCAGGGGTTTGTTTGAAATAGCCCCTTTCAGGGCTTGGCCAAGAGTGAAAATAGTCTCCTGTTGCCAATACCACCTGCCCAAGGCCTCTCAGGATCCTAAAGGGCCTTCTGCATCACCAGCAAAGAGAGAGAGTTCTGCTTCATTTGGTGCTGGATGTATTTTATTGTCCTCTCATTCCTTGGAAAGCTCTTTGGAAAATATTTCAAAACTGTTAACCAGAATGTTCATCTCTCACGGTCTCCCCATCCTCCCAACTTCATGCATAAGTTGGAGTGTGCGAAATATTTTTATTCCTGACCTCAGGTGATCCGCTGGCCTTGGCTTCCCGAGGTGCTGGGATTACAGGCTTGAGCCACCGCGCCCTGCTAGATGTTCTGTTTTACTTGTTTTTGTCTTCGGAAGTAAAAGTTAATGATCTGCATTTGAAAGAGCCAGCTAAGAATGATATTCAGAAATAAATAGGACATGTTCAAATGTATGTGCATTTGACTTTATTCCCCCTGACTTAAAATAGTTTTTCTCCAGCCGTACCTGAAGGTTAGTTTTTAAGCAGTAGTTCCTCATCTTCCTCTTTCCAACCAATGCTTTCCTCCTCCTAACACTTTGGTTTGTAGGAACTGGCAGCAAGCCAAGGGGGAAACTGAACTTGAATTTTTAGCTCAGGCCTCTGCTGAAAATAAGAAGCAGGAAGAGTTCATGGGATAGGAGGAGTCCTGGAATTTGATGGGTAGTGGTGACTCCCTGTCCCTGGAGAATTAGGAGGCCCCAGCCCCCGAAAATGTTCCATCAGTAAGGTATGTGCCATCCCCTTAGCTGGAGGTACACCACGATAACCTTCTAGCAGGCGAGGCATGGGTCAGCTTAGGGGAAAAACAGCTCAAGCAAGTTTAACCCTTCCTTTCCTCCTCGGACCTGCTTTTATTGTTCCAACGTTTTGCTTATTCTGCACTCCCTGCATACTAGAATACTGGAAATCCCTACATTGCCCTATTTCTTGTTTAGTGGCACAGAGAGACCTCAAAGCTCGTGAGAATACGTGACTGTTAGGCTGAGAGTGTCCTTGCAGTGTGTGAGCACAGCCATTGTGCCTCTTAGATGTGCCAGGCAGTGGGCGTGGGAGAAGCTGAGCTGAAGCAGCCGAGGAAGTGATTCAGGGAAGATAGGTAGCGAGAGCTGATGCCCAGAGGCCCGGGCTGGGGGCCAGGACCCCCGGGTCCTAGTCCCAATTCTGGGTCTTTCTCACTGCAAGCACAAATGTGCTAACTTGCGGGTTGGCCTGGTAAGTGGCAGTCCCTGAGCCAGTGGACACATGGGATTGTGTGTTACCCTGGACAAGTCATTCAACCCTTTGTCTTGGAGCCTCCGTTTTCTTATCTGTTCAGTGGGGATAATATTAGCTTCTCCTCCCAGGGTTGTGGGGAGGATAAAATCCAATAATAGAGATGAGAGCATTTGGAAAGGCTGAAAGTGCTACAGAGTATAAAGTGGCATTATGAATAATGCTTGGGCCTTTTCACTGGGTTTTATAAATATGAGGATATTTGAATTGCTCCTGTGTCATGTTTTTCTTCTTGCCTTAGTTGAATCTATTTTCTGGTATTAATTTACACGTGAAAAGAGACAATTTTTCTTGAGTTGGCCTGTACTGAGAATTATTTTCAGTTGTTGGTGCAATACCATTCACAGTGAAGTTATTTGAACAATGTAGTCTCCCAACTTGCAGAAGAGGCATTTTGTTTAATGCCGGTCTCTCCATTGGTGTTTGGGTACAGAGAGTATGGGGCCTGACTTTGCACCTTTTAAAATGACTTTGGGTGTTTATTCACTGGCTTTTGAACGCAGACTCTGTAGACCTCTTTAAAGTGATGGGATGTGGACGCCTATGGGGATTAGCTGGGGCCCTGGACTCAGTCCAAAAGAGCCCCTGTCACCCACTCTGGAAGGCAGTGCACGGCCCCTTGCCCCTGGTCCCCCACTCTGGGCAGCTCATGCCTCTAGGTCAGAAACGGGACACATGGCTCAACCCCTGGAGAGCTTTCTTAAGAAGCAAAACTGACCTCAGACCTGACCCTCTACCTCTCCACAGTGCCGGAAGCTGCCCAGTGACCCCCAGGAATCCACCAAGAAAAGCCCCAGGGGGGCTTCAGATTCAGGAAAAGAGCACAATGGAGTCAGGGGAAAGCACAAGCACCGGAAGCCGACAAAGCCGGAGTCCCAGTCTCCAGGAAAACGAGCCGACAGCCACGAGGAAGGTAGGCCCCGCGGCCCTGGCCCTCTGGGCTGGGCTGCAGAGGGATCCCCAGGGCACAGTGGTGAGGGCAGAGGGGCTCAGGCGCTGACTCCTTCACTCTGGAAAAGTGAGACTTCTTCACTGTGGAAAGAAGATATGATTGACCCCTCTGAAGTCTAAGGTGAGCGAGCAAGGATCGGGGGCCCCTTCTGCTCCTCCTGGGTGCTAGAATAAGGCTGAAGGAAGTGGTTTTCCGACACAAACACCAGGCCCACAACACAGTAGCCGACCCATTTCCCCGCGATGGGTCTAGGCTCAAAGAAACAAGTTTAAGGAGAATTTAGACAAAAACCACGGAATGGGGGTTCATTACGCTGTCTTCTTTGGGTATACTGGAAAACTGCTATTCTGAAAGGACAAAAATAAATAGCTAGTTAGCTAGGAGAGTTTAGAGAAATCTTAAACGTTTATTATCATTTAGGGACACACAGGATATCTGGGATGACGGGGCTGGTATGTGTCCCTAACCTGTCCGTTTTGCCACTAATAGTTTCTGGGCACCCTTATCAGGGAGAGAATCCCCAGCATTCCTGAGCATAGGAGTCCAGGTTCATGGTCTTGCCCACCTGACGTGACTATGACCTGCCTCTTCTGGTCTGTTCTTTTTTTTTTTGAGACAGAGTCTCACTTTGCTTCCCAGGCTAGAGGGAGTTCAGTGGCACAATATCGGTTCACTGCAGCCTCAACCTCCTGAGCTCAAGTGATCCTCCTACCTCAGCCTCCCGAGTAGCTGGGACCACAGGCATGTGCCATTACACCTGGCTAATGTTTGTAGTTTTGAAGAGATGGGGTTTCACCATGTTTCCCAGGCTGGTCTTGAACTCCTGGGCTCAAGCCATCTCCCTGCCTCAGCCTCCCAAAGTGTTGGGATTACAGGCGTCAGCCACTGCGTCCGGCCTCATCTGTTCTTAGCCGTTTTTTCTCTGTTCACTGGCTCCTTGTTCCTATCTTCCCACCTCACTCAATCCTCCAAGATTCACTGAGGTTGCCCTCCTCTGGGACCTGCTCCAGCTCAGTTAGAACTTTGTTTATTTTCTTTCTTTCTTTCTTTTTTTTTTTTTTTTTTTTTTTTTTTTTGAGATGGAGTCTCACTCTGTCACCCAGGCTGGAGTGCAGTGGCACAATCTTGGCTCACTGCAAACTCTGCATCCCAGGTTCAAGTGATTCTCCTTCCTCAGCCTCCCAAGTATCTGGGACTACAGGTGAGTGCCACCACGCCCGGCGAATTTTTGTATTTTTAGTAGAGTCGGGGTTTCACCATGTTGGCCATGCTGGGCTCGATCTCCTGACCTCAGGTGATCCACCCACCTCGGCCTCCCAAAGTGCTGGGATTACAGGCGTGAGCCACCATGCCCAGCAGAACTTTGTTGAGGTGCAGCAGCCTCAGAGTCCTATGGGCAGTGGGGCCTCCTACTTTCCTACTTTCTGGCACACCATCACATTGATACTGTGCACTGCCTTTTCTGGTATCAGCAAAAGCGACCAAACTCTCAGTTTTTAAAAACCACCTGGAAACACTCATTGTCTACAAGAGACACATATGTGATGGCCACGTAAGGGGAGTGAATAAATGTAACCCAGATTAACCACAGGGTAAACACAAACTCTTTCTCAATCTTTCCCCCGAGCCTCACAGGTGGGCTTTCTGGTCTTTAAGCTTTGATTGTAACATTTCTGCCTTCTGTCCCCAAACCACACATCACTCCAGGTTCCTTGGAAAAGAAAGCAAAGAGCAGTTTCCGTGACTTTATTCCTGTGGTTCTGAGCACCCGCACGCGCAGTCAGTCTGGTGAGTGAGACTAAGGTGATGGCCCCTCTCAGCATCTTCTATGAAAAGAGAGATCGAAATCTGGTTGAGCAGTTTTACCATGGGCCCAGGTGTCGAGTTGGGAATTTGATTCACTGTGCCACAATGCCCAGCTCCTTGCAGAGATAAGAGAGCCCTGGGTGGGGGCAGGGGACAAATAGTCCTCAAATATTGCCCACTGTTTGAGGATTATTTGTTCAACTTTTCAGAGCAGGGATTTGACATCTCTTGTTGGGAGCTGATGGTGGAAAGAGGTAAGGCCTGTGCCACTCGGGAAAGCTGGTTCAACTCCAAGCTTTGGCACCTCGTCATTACTGGGGCTAATCTCAGGCACAGACATTTAACTTTCTACCTTGGTCTTATTGCCCTATGTGACAGGCAGCCTCAAAGTTGGAAAAGTCATTGAATCGTCAGGGCTGGCAGAATCACATTTGGCTCCCTGAATTTGTGTTGGTCAACCTCTAGGGACTAAAAAAAGCTAGCCCTTTCTAGCCACCACTACCTTCTGCTAGCCTCCACACTGGTATCCAGGGCTGGAGATAGTTGTCCCAGTTCACCCAATTTCCATGCAAATTGGATAGAATGGGGAAGCAAGGTATAGTGTAAACTCAGTTATCTGACATTCTAGTAACCGGCACCTTAGCACATGGCAAGCGAGGTGGTAATTGGGGCTCATAATGATGGCCTGGAGGCCTTACAAAATCCTGAAGTGTCCTCTGAATTATCAAAGAGCAATTACATTACAGCCAGTCCCATTTTAGTGTTAAACACATTGTACTGTATTTGATTCTTTGGAAATTGGTGATCCCTTTGTGATCTCTATGATGATTCTGTATTAACCAGAATATTAGATTAACCAGAACACTTTGTTTTGCCTAGTCTATATAATGGAAAATGTGCTGTTATTTGCTGTCTTTTAGCAGTGTGACTAACTTGAAGCTTTGGTCAAGGGCTACTTACTCTATTTGCCTCGAACCATTTCTTTCTTCTGCTGACTTCGCTTGGGTCTGGGGACTGTTGAGTTAATAGCTGGGCCTTGGGAGAAAGATGGTGGTGTCTCACAGCTGCTTCCGAGGAGGAAGGTGTCAAATCTCCTGTAGTGTGAAACCAGGCCAATTTAGGATGTACTTTCGTTGTTAGCAGAGTTGAAGGAAAGAGTGGAGAGAGAAAATGGCCTCTTGGCAAGGTGGCTGAGGAAGGCAGGAAAGGTACCAATCCATCCTGGGGTGGTGGGGGAGGAGGGGGAAGCGCTTGCCCAGCGGTGAGGAACAGCTACAACCGGGTGGAGGGAGGTGCCTGGGAGGAAGCTCCACCCCTGAACTCTTGGCAAGTCGGGAGGAGGTGGGGTCAATTTAAGGGAAGTGGGCGTGCCTGGGTGCATTTGGGCGTGACCCAACCAGGCTCTGTCACAGATCACAGGAAAGGGACTCCTTCTTGCTTCGCTTTTCTTGAGACTCTTCTCTTGTGATGATTCTGCTTGGCCGGGGTGGCTCTGTCCCCAAGATTGGTGGTGCCACAAAAGGAGTATATCCTCCCTTGCCCTGTCTGAGACCCCAATTGCCCTCTCCTAGCCCCTGATTTCCCAGGGACCCGTGGCCCTCTCCTGCCCTTCACAAAATACTTGGCACTTTATAAGAGCTAAGCAAGAGTTTTGGGTGTGGATTCAGGTGACACTGTAACGTGGATGAGTAAGGGTGTGTGTTTTTAATACTTGATGTTGTCTGGTATATTGGACTCTGTAAAGCACATATGCGTGAAAAATCTTATTTGAGCCTCAAAACAGCCCTGTGAGGTCAGTAAGGGGAGAACAGTATCCCCATTTTATAGATGAGGAGACTGCACTGAAGGAACTTTCCCGAACGGTACAGCTAATAACTGGCAGAGCCTGAACTTGAACCCAGACCTTCAAACTCCTAGTCCAGGGCATTCACTTCGACACCATGCTTTGTCCTTTGAAGAAGTACCTGACCATCCTCTGTACATCCCATCCACAGGAAGCATCTGTAGCTCCTTTGCTGGCATGGCAGACAGTGACATGGGAAGCCAGGAAGTCTTCCCCACAGAAGAAGAAGAGGAGGTAACCCCCACCCCAGCTAAGCGTCGAAAGGTGAGAAAGACCCAACGGGACACCCAGTATCGCAGCCACCATGCCCAGGACAAGTCTCTGCTGAGCCAGGGCCGAAGGCACCTGTGGCGAGCCCGAGAAATGCCCTGGAGGACAGAGGCTGCCCGGCAAATGTGGGACACCAATGAGGAGGAGGAGGAAGAAGAGGAGGAGGGCCTGCTGAAGAGGAAGAAACGAAGACGGCAGAAGAGCCGAAAATATCAGACTGGGGAGTACCTGACAGAGCAAGAAGACGAGCAGCGGCGGAAAGGGAGAGCAGGTAAGGCTGGCCAGGGGCTCTGCTGTCGCCGCGGCCCGTTTGGCTTCTGGGAACCCTCGGGCATCTCTACGCCAGCCAAAGGCTTCGGGACCCAGAGAAACCCGGTGCTATGATCTCCAGCTGCCAGAGGGGGTCACTCAACTCCAGCTCCGAGCCTTTGGCTTTGGGTTGACATTGAATGAGTTCGGATTGGCCTGCAGGTGAGCGGAGGACATGAAGGCCCAAGCCCTCCGGTTTCTTATAGAAGTCTGAACCTGTGGGCAAGGCCACGGTGACATCCTTGGCATGGGACAACTGGATACCAGGGAGTTCTCTGGTTGGCTTGAGGGAGTCGAGTCTTTTGGGAGGACGGGTTCTCTCTCCTAGAATCTTGGGTTCAAGAAGACAGAGGGCATCGGCTGCCTTTCCTGGGATACTTGCAGCCTCTAAGCTAAAAAGAAGTACAGTGGGTTCTTCAAACCAACAGAAGAACTTCAAGTAGAAACGGGCACAGCATTGCTTTATCCGTTAAAGCCACAGTGATTATTCAGAGGCGGAGTGAAGCTTTGAGGTGACCCAAAGTAGCATCATTTTTGTTGGACCTGAGTTGAGAAGGCAGGCAGCCCAAAGAGAAAACCAGGCTTTCTCTGACCACATCAAATGCTGTGATATACCATTCCGGAGGCACAGACTGTCACAAGATGCTAATATCAGTATGTTCCACTGAGTACTGTTCAGGCCCATTCCTATAGTGGATTTCTAAATGAGCAAAAAGCACATCTTTGGGTTTTATAAGAACACCTCTGTCTCTCACTCTCATTCTCTGACCTCTACCCTGGAAGCAGCAATTGATTGCCTCCTATGATGTATTCATCCTGAGCTGCCGGTAAACATCCGCTGTCTCCTTATTAGCTAAAACTGAATAACCTCATATTGAGTGGGTAGTAGAGTCCAGGTTTGCTATAATGCAAAGACGGCTTAACCTCATTTCCGGCTCTGTTTAAGTGGAGGTGTATATGATACCCATCTCTACGCTCAAGAGAGTAATTGAGCTAATTTTCATCAACTATGTGACAGAGTGGGAACAATTCTCTTTCTTCTGCTAGAGCAATAATAGATTGGTCAGGAATGAGTTGTCAAGCTGTTGGCCTCAGCCACTTGTGTTAGGATGAAGAGGAGCTTTTGTGTATCACCTAATCTTCTCTAATGGCACCTGGTTTCCTAGCATGGAAGCTTCCTGTGGAACATATTGGCGCTTGGAACCAGAAGGACCTTCGAGGTTGCCTGGTCCAGTTTGCCACCCAATGCAAAGATAGAGATCTCCACAGCATTCTTGACAGGTAGCCAGCCAGCCTTTTCATGAACACACCTCCAGTAACGCAGAGAACACCACCAATCAAGGCATCCTACTTGATTTGGGGGCAGCTCCAGTTGTTGGAAAGTAGGTCATTCTTCCTCTGTGGATGTGTCTAAGGGTTTTGCATTGAGGCAGCTGGATTTGGCACATGGTCTGGTTACTTTCCTCCAGATCTGATGATGGCATCTTCGTGCAGGAATTTGGCAAAGGCCAAATGAGGCAGGTTACCCTGCTTCTGTCTGAGCCTCCTGACTTTTCTTTTCATCCTGGTTTTGGTTATCTCCCTTCTTGACCTGCGGAGCAGGTAGGCAGAGCCACTTCCACTCACACACCTGCCACCTCCGCTCTCTAGTCCTTTGTGGGCTACTATAAAGCCTTCACTTCTCTGCAATTGAATAAACACCCGAGCCTGCCCTGCCCTGGGTAAACAAGGTGGGGGGCTGTTTCTTTGCCTGTAGCATTGAACACTGTAATATGACTTCTTCATGTTTCCTGGGGTCCTCACAAGGCATGGTTCTGTTCCTTCCTCTTTTGCCTCAGCCCAAATGTGTCGCATCAAAAGCTGGAGTTTAGAACATTCTGACTGGAAGTGCTATTAGAGACCATGTAGTACAGCAATTCCTGGACAGGCTATGGGGCCCCACTAGCGGGCTGAGGCTAGCTGGGAGAAAGGGATGGCATGACAGCTGGCCTTCCAGGAACTGTGCATAAGCTGCAGCCAACTCCTTGTGCTGAAATGATGGCTTCCACATCTGGATCTGCCTTTGTCAATGTCACATGTGAGAGCCCGTGTCAGGGTTGAGAGAGGCGAGTTGAGAACTCTTCAATCTCAGTCCCTTCATTTCACTAATTGCTAGGCATGGTGTTCATTCCTTTGGGGAGGAAAACACACGGGCATGGCTCCACCTCAAGAGCTTGTGCTTAAATAACACAATAATGATGTCTTACTTGTTATAACACTTTTTGAAAGGGGTTTTGCATGTATTATCTTATTTAATTCTCATACCACTCTTGTGATGTAGATTATATTCTCCCCATTTTACAGATATGGCAACTGAGGCTCAGAGCAATTAGGACTTGAGCCCAGCCAATCACACAATTGATGGCCAAGCCAAGCAGCACTAATCTTGAGAGATGAGGTTAAACACACAGTCGCCCCTACACACGGGGTTAGGACAGACCCTGTGGGATGAAGCTCTTGATAATGGAGTTCCCGGCAGGCCTTTTTGAAATTAGAATGTGCTTTGTTCAGCAAGCTGTGGCTAAATTAGAGATGTTGCTGGTGTGTTCTAGTGACACCAGTGACTTGATTTTCACCCAGAAAAGGCAGCAGGTTTCTGCCCTTGACTGCCAGCTAGGTAGGCTCATGATGCCTTCTAGTTTCAGGGAGTTCCTGTAGCTTTGATCTTTGTGTCCTCGGAGAGTGACAAATGGGGCAGTCAGGTGAGTAGAGCTGAGGCCATGAAGGCAGCCTTCTACCTTTTCCTCCCTGTTCCCCATGTACTTGATACTTAATGTCAGCAGGACCACCAGATTTGCTTTCATACGGGACTGGAGAAACAGACAAAGGGAATGGGAAAAAAGCAAAAAGAAATTCTGATTTGCTCTGGGCTCTGGGAAAAATCCTGTTAAAATTACCCTTATCTTAGGGCTAGCCAGATGGGCCGCCCCCTGCTGGCAGGGCTGGGAGCTGTCTCCTGCTTGTAGATGAGGGACTTCGATGTTGAAGTATGGTGTGTTCATTCAAGAAGTATTTAGTGGAATAGTCAGCACAGCACTAGATATCGATAGCTGATAGTTATACAACTTTGCACTGCAGTTCTAATCCCCAAAGTCCTCTGATTCATCTTAGAGGAAGGCGTTGCTTTTCTGTGTTCCATTTCTCTGACATCCGTTCTTTTCCTGTTTCTTGCCTTCAGATTTAAAGGCCCGTAAGCAGAAGACTTCCTCCTCCCAAAGTTTGGAGCACCGCCTCAGGAACAGGAACCTTCTCTTGCCCAACAAAGTCCAGGGGATCTCGGATTCACCAAACGGTTTCCTCCCAAATAACCTGGAAGAGCCAGCCTGCCTTGAAAATTCAGAAAAGCCATCAGGAAAACGAAAGTGCAAGACCAAGCACATGGCAACCGTCTCAGAAGAGGCAAAGGTGTGTAGCTATCAAGGGGTATTGTAGAAGGTGTGTGTGGCGGGGGGTCAGAGGAGGCAGGAGGGGGGTGGGGGATGGGGAGGATCAAATTAACCCATATTTAGTAAGGCATTCTCAAACTAGTTCTCGAAGGGTTGGGGGTGGATTTGAAGAATGGGAACTAAAGTTATAGTTAATTTTAAGGTCTGGCCCATGATGGCTTTTCCTCTACAATCTTTAGATTTTCTTTGAGTTAAGGAAGAGTTAAAGAATATGGCAGGATGTTAGCTTGAGTAGCTCGTTAACATCCAATCAAGAAGCTTTTGTCTGGGTTTAACTTACTGGAAACCAATCTTGGAACTTTCTGAGTCAATCAAGGTAGAAAACAACTTGTAGGAGGAAGGATTTTAAGGTCCAGACAAAGGTTGATTGAGGGTGAGGCTGAAGGAATTCCACTGGGGCCCAGGTTCTAGCTACTCCTCCCCTACCCTGCTTCCCAGTTCTTTAGCTTCTCATGGAAGCGTAGATGCTAGTGAGTGGGCAGTCACCAATCAACAGCCAGGCAAGCATTCCTAAAACCCTCATCCCAAATCAACATCTCTTTTGGGTCTGATGTTCATGCCATTGGTGTTAGGTTGCATGTTGTATCCTTAGAAAAAATCAGTCTTCAACCTGGGTTAACTTTACATTTGAGAGAAGTGAGGGTCCGGGTTCAAATGTATACCTATAATATGTATTTGTCATTGACAGCCAAAAACAAAAGCCCATCTTCAGCTTGTTTTGGTGGTCGTGATTCTTATTTTTTTTTTTCTCTCTCTCTCTCTCTCTTTTTGAGAGTCACACGCTTTCGCCCAGGCTGGAGTGCAGTGGCACGATCTCGGCTCACTGTAACCTCCGCCTCCTGGGTTCAAGCGATTCTCGTGCCTCAGCCTTGTGAGTAACTGGGATTACAGGCGCCCACCACCACGCCCGGCTAATTTTTGTATTTTTAGTACAAAAATACAAAAAATCACCATGTTGGCCGGGCTGATCTCGAACTCCTGAGCTCAAGTGATCCGCCCGCCTTGGCCTCCCAAAGTGCTGGAATTACAGGCGGAAGCCATCACGCCTAGCGCTTTGGTGGTCATGATTCTTACTGGAATCCCCGAATGGCACTGGCAAGAGGTGGGAGCCCCAAGTGCTCGTCTCCCCTCCTTTCCCCTTCCCCCTCCCAGAACCTCTTTCCAGCTCAGACAAGACTCAAGCTTATTTCTTCATCTTGAAGAATGGAGCTGCTGCTTCATGCCCTTTCTGTCTCACAAGGGTGCTTGGGGGAACAAAGGAAGCAATGTCTGTGACAGGCTTTGATAACCATAAAGTGCTCTCCGAGGGTTGCTGTGCATCATTGTGCTTCGGGCGGAAGCAAGAATGAGGGAACAGAGGCATAGCGTGGCAGGGTAGCAGCGTTCGTTCCCTTGACCCCCTAGAGTGGGAGGACAGGGGCCCAGGGAAAGAGCAGGGAACTCTGGTCTGTGCCAAGCAGTTCATTCACGTTATCGCTCTTAATTCCCGCAGTGGCACTTGGGAGGTAGGCACCTTTATTATCCTCATTTTGTAGTGAGGAAACTGAGGCTCAAGGAGGTTAAGGGACTTGTGCGAGGTTATTGGGTGGTCCTGAGTGATGCAGTTGGGACGTGAAAAAGGCCTGTCTGCCTCTGGAGCCATGGCTCGTTCCATATGTCTCTCAGGCTCTGAATGGGGGGCTTCTGTTTGTATTTGGGAGGCACTGGGGGAAGGGGGCAGTTGGGCAGAAAATGCTGCCTCCACAAGCAGCGCTGGGAAAAGGTGGGCGTCTCAGGCTCCTGCTCCCCCTCCCCTTCCCCCTGTTCCTCCCCCAGACACTCAGATGGATGGCCCCAGCCCACACAAAGGTAACCAGCGCTCGAGATTCAGCAGCACACTCACATGCTTCTGTCTGGCTATTCTGCCTGGCAGTGGGTCCGCTGCAGTGTTCTCCTGGAGAGGTTTTTGTCCCTCCCTCTGACCTTCCTTTCCCCCTCCCACCTTCCTTTCTCTCCCAGTCACCACCACCTGCTCTGGTTGCCCCCATGGCATGGGGCTTTGTAGCAGGAAGCAAGGGGTGGGGGAGGGCGGGGAACGCTCCTGCAACACTGAAAGCGGGGCACTGGCCAAGGGCTTCTTCCCACAGGGGCTCAGAGCCAGGGGGAAGGAGAGAGGGGGAGGGGTCCCCCCACTTGTTCTTGCTCCTCCCCCTCCCAGGCAACTTGCCTCGCTGCTGCTCTCTGGCAGCTTTGGCCCCCAGAAAGGAGAGTCACCCTTTGGTTCCTGGCTTGGCTTAGTGAAACCCTGGTACTTTACCCAGCATCCTCCAGTCCTGCCATTGTACATTCTATCCTCCTGGCGATAAAGCAGCATTGTACCCTCATAGCTAGTGCCTTCCTGCTAGGGCTTGTACCTCTCTGCCCTTTCAGGATGGGGACTGATCATGGCTTCTCGCTGTCTTGGGATTGACCAGAGGAAACAAATGCCCCGAGCCCTCATCTTCTGTTCTCTACTGCTCCTTTCCTGACTTGATGTCTTTTTAGGCAACTTTTCTGGCCATCCAGGGCTCTGCACACAGCTGGCTTGAAACAGGTCAACAAATATTTGTTGTAATAATGTGGCCAGGCGCGGTGGCTCACGCCTATAATCCCAGCACTTTGGGAGGCTGAAACAGGTGGATCACATGAGATCAGGAGTTTGAGACCAGCCTGGGCAACATGGTGAAACCCCGTCTGTACTAAAAGTACAAAAATTAGCTGGGCGTGGTGGCACCTGCCTTTAGTTCCAGCTACTTGGGAGGCTGAGGCAGGAGAATTGCTTGAACCTGGGAGGCAGAGGTTGCAGTGAGCCAAGATCGTGTCACTGCACTCCAGCCTGGGTGCCAGAGCGAGACTCTGTCTCAAAAACAAACAAACAACAACAACTAATAATAATAATGTGCCCAGCCCTGAGTTAAGTGCTGTAAGGAACAGAAAAATGATGACAATATGAACCCTGTCCCCAAGGAGCTTAAAATCTAGCAGGAGAGGTGAGACTTACGCGTGAAACTCTGGGTGGAAAGAAGAAAGTGAGGCATCAGATTACGTGGTTCAGACTTGGTACTCTGGCTACACAGAGGAAGAGGGCCCAGAGTGTTGTGGAATATGGTAGAAGACAGAGGATTGAACTGAGACCTTGATGTTCTGAGGGGTTTGGATAAGTCGGAAATACTAGTTATCTATTGGGGTATAACAAATTACTATACAACTTAGCAGCTTTACACAACAATAAGCATATGTTATCTCACACAGTTTCTTGGGGTCAGGAATTCAGGGGCTTAGCTAGGCCTGGCTTGGGGTCTCTCGTGAGGTTGCAGTCAGGTGTCAGCCAGGGCAGCATTCCTCTGAGGGTGTGACTGGAGGATCTGCTTCTGGGGTAGCTTGCTCGCATGGCTGGCACATTGATGCTGGTTGTTGGCAGGAGGCCTCCTCTCCCTGCCCCATGGATCTCTCCAGTGGGCTGCTCAAGGGTCCTCAGGACACGGCAGCTGGCTTTCCCCACGAGTGATCCAAAAGAGAGCAAGGCAGAAACCACAGTGTCTTTTAGGCCCTAGCCTCAGAAGACACCTACTGTCATTTCTGCAGTCTCCTGTTGGTTACATAGGTCAGCCCTACTCACTGTAGGAGGAAGGTGCATAAGAGCATGAAGATCAGGGGATCACTGGGGCCATCTTAGAGGCTGACTCCCACAGTCTGCCCTCTGGCCTCCCCCAGTGATTCCTGTCCCTCCCACATGCAAAGTATGCCACCTCTCCCAGTGCCCCCCAAAGCTTCATCCAATTATAGCATCACCTCCAGGTCGAGAATCTCTTCTATTTATTTATTTATTTATTTATTTATTTATTTATTTATTTATTTGTAATGGAGTTTCACTCTTGTTGCCCAAGCTGGAGTGCAGTGGCTCTATCTGGGCTCACTGCAACCTCTGCCTCCCAGGTTCAAGTAATTCTCCTGCCTCAGCCTTTCGAATAGCTGGGATTACAGGTACCTGGCACCACTCCCGGCTAATTTTTTGTACTTTTAGTAGAGATGGGGTTTCACCATATTGGCCAGGCTAATCTCGAACTCCTGACATCTGGTGATCCACCCGCTTCAGCCTTCCAAAGTGCTGGGATTACAGGTGTGAGCCACCATGCCCGGCAATTTTTTTTCTTTTCTTCTCTCTTTTTTTTTTTTTTTGTAACAGAGTCTCACTCCATCACCCAGGCTGGAGCGCAGTGCCGCAATCTTGGCATACTGCAACCTCCCCCTCCCGGGCTCAAGTGATTCTCATGCCTCAGCCTCCTGAGTAGCTGGAACTATAGGCGTGTACCACCACGCCCAGCTGATTTTTTGTATTTTTAGTAGAGGCTGGGTTTCACTGTGTTGGCCAGGCTGGTCTTGAACTCCTGTCCTCAACTGATCTGCCTGCCTTAGCCTCCCAAACTGCTGGGATTATAGGCGTGAGCCACCGCTCCCGGCCTCTCCTAGTGTTTTGTGAGCACCTACCCTGCTCACAGTTCTGGAGCCTTTGTAGTTCATTATCTCAAAGACCCTGCAAGGAAGAAAGTGGGGCTCAGAGAGGGAGGGCCTTGCCCCAGGTCTTCTAGCTAGGGGATGGCAGAGGCAAGGTTCAAGCCCAGGTCTGCCTTAGATCTTTCTACCACCCCAGGGGAGTCTGAGTATGATATGGGGACACAGTGTGATGGAAGATGGGAACATTCTGTGAGGACTGGATGTGGAAGGAAGGTTTTTGCTACAAGTGTGAAGCTTTAGCAGCTGTGACTAGTCAAAGATAGCCGGCCGGGCATGGTGGCTCATGCCTGTAATCCCAGCACTTTGGGAGGCCGAGGCAGGCGGATCACTTGAGATCAGGAGTTCGAGACCAGACTGGCCAATGTGGCGAAACCCCTCTCTACTAAAAATGCAAAAATTAGCTGGGCATGGTGGCGCATACCTGTAATCCCAGCTACTCAGGAGGCTGAGGGAGGAGAATCCCTTGAACCTGGGAGGCAGAGGTTGCAGTGAGCAGAGATCACACCACTGCACTCCAGCCTCAGTGACAAAGTGAGACTCGGTCTCAAAAAAAGAAAAAAAAAAGATAGCTGTCTCATTTCTCTTTACTCTCAGAGTTTGCTTCTGCCTATTTACAGATAGGACTTATAAAAACCTCAATAAATGGTGATTGAGGCAGGTAAAGAAGGCATGCAGAGTCTTGAGAGAAGCTAGGATATCCCCTCAATCTCTGATTTACAATCCCTGTGGCATTCCTTGGTTTATGGGGTTGAGCATTTGAACCTCTTCATATCTCCCCACCGGCTACAAACTCATGGGAACCTGTGTTGATCCTGGAGAGACTTCACATGGTTAGCGCCTGGCCCAGCGTCTGGCCTCAAACCTGACAGTAGTCTCGGCCATTTAGGGTAGTGTAAGCAAAGTACAGCATGGACACAGATAAGGTGAGATGGCCTTGGCCACTGAGGGCAGTGATGACCCTGGTGGATGGATAAGCTGCCTGGCCTGACCTGACCTAGGACTGCATCTCTGCTTTCCAGGGCAAAGGTCGTTGGAGCCAGCAGAAGACACGATCTCCCAAATCTCCCACCCCAGTGAAACCCACAGAACCATGTACACCCTCTAAGTCCCGAAGTGCCAGCTCAGAGGAGGCCTCAGAGTCACCTACAGCCCGGCAGATCCCCCCAGAGGCACGTCGGCTCATAGTGAACAAAAATGCTGGTGAGACCCTCCTGCAGAGGGCGGCGCGTCTTGGCTATAAGGTAAGGGAGTTTTCGACTGACCACAGGGCGCCGTTGGTCTGAGCATCTATGAAGAAGCTTTTCTCCATGGGCTCTTCTGGTGCTTGAACCCAGGCTGGCCTCCCTCTACACCCCAGATTGCCCTGGGGCTGCCTTGCCCCTCATCACTTGGATGTCAGCGTGTGAGAATGCAAACTTGCTTGAATGTCAATTTGGGATGAATGCAATTGAAATGGTATCATGCAGTATATTCCTAGACCAGGAACGCAATTTTTGGATATCCACGTTGTCTTAAATTTCTCTGTATGGTGGTTTCCCAACTCAGAAAGGAACAAGGGGTGATTTATTGCTCACTCTTCATCTCCTCCTCCAGCTTCCCCTCATTTTCGCCTCTCGCAGAGGGGCCAGGATCATGTTTGAGGGGCGAGGCTGAGCTAACCCCACCTTATACTACTACCCTATAGATTAGAAAGAAGGCAAGAAAGGAAGCTGGCATTTATTGAGCACTTCTTTTGTCATGTGAAGAGCCTGATTACTTTGTATCATTTAATCTCACAGTAAGCCGATGGAGTAGATTTATTATCCCCATTTTATAGGTGAGAAAATCGAGGCTTTGCAGTGTTACTGATATGTCTAAGATCACTCAACTACTACGCATATGAGTCTGAATTCAAACCAAGGTCTTTTGATTCCCAAGTGCCAGGGTAGGTGGAAGACTGACTCATTCACCATAATTCAGTTACACCTTGGACGTTTCCATTGTTCCCCACTTTTTATTGAGTGTGTATCTTTGCCTACCATATGGATTATTTCCTCAGGGTATGCTCCTAGCAGTGGAGTTGCTGGGTTAGTTACAGAGTGTGCCTTTGGTTTTAAGGCTTTCCATCCCTATACCTGAGTTGTTTCACACCAGCCACACTCCCAGCCAGACTGGTCAGCTCTGGGGAGCTGACGTGACAGTGTCTCACTGGCAAGCAGCCCATCTTTCATGAGCACCTAGTGTGCGTGCCTGGATAGCTGCCGAGGGAGACCTAAAACAAAAATCAAGACCAATCCCTGCCGTCAAGGTTAATTTAATTGTCTTGTACCCTGGGCAAAACCAGCCAACAGGAAACCATTGGAGGGGCCAATGGGACAGGGCTGGAGCACTAAGGCAGCCTGTCAGGGAGGGTGGAAGGAGCCCTTTTGGGCCTGGGGGAAGAGGCAGACATCTGCACTGGTGAGGAGGGTGGGAAGCCTCGGGCTTTCTCCCGGGTAAAGGAGCTTGACAGTTTCTATATACAGCCAGCAGCACCCCTGACACAGGCTGCACACACAGCCGCTCTAGCCAGCTAGCCTGTGAGCTGTCAGACAGAAAGGTGGAGTGGCCCATCTCCCCAGTGCCCCAGAGAGGACTGGCAATGGTGCAGCTATGGGATCCATTGTTTGGAAAGCCAGGCAGCCATTAATGCTGCCAGCCTCTCCCCTCCTCACCTCATTCACCCAGCTTCAGCCCATGCTAGCTAGGGTGCTTCAAGTCCCTGGTGTCCCACCTGTAGTCCTAGCATCATCTCAATCCAAGGAAGGCAGTCATTAAAGTGTGGATGAATGGCAGTATTGGATTATCCTTTTTTTTTTTTTTTGGAGATGGAGTCTTGCTCTGTCACCTAGGCTGGAGTGCAACGGTGCAATCTCGGCTCACTGCAGCCTCCACCTCCTGGGTTCAAGGGATTCTCCTGCCTCAGCCTCCTGAGTGGCTGGGATTACAGGCACCTGCCATCACACTGGGCTAATTTTTGTATTTTTAGTAGAGAGGGGGTTTTGCCATGTTGGCTAGGCTGGTCTCAAACTCCTGACCTCAGGTGATCTGCCCGCCTCAGCCTCCCAAAGTGCTGGGATTACAGGCGTGAGCCACTGCACCCAGCCTATTGGATTATCCTGATTTGAGGGGAGGGCTAGAACTGACTGTCCTGGCTTGAACATTGGTCCTGCCGAGACGTGCATCCAGGGATAGTCCTTAAAACAATTGTCTTCCTTATTCTTGAATTGCCACCAGAGGCTGTGCTCTCCACCACATCTCATTTCTCTGGTCTGGGGCTGGCTTGCCAAGCTCAGGGAGTCGAGGTCTGAGTGCTTGAGCTCTGGGCGGGCAGGTCAGCCTCTCTGAGGACCTCACCTCAAATACCACCACCCAGATGAGTGTCCTTGGCCATAAAAAAAGTCTCTCCAGGCCAGGTGCGGTGGCTCACGCCTGTAACCCTAACACTTTGGGAAGCCAAGGTGGGCAGATCACCTGAGTTCAGGAGCTGGAGACCAGCCTGGCCAACATAGTGAAATCTCATCTCTATTAAAAATACGAAAATTAGCCAGGCGTGGTGGCGTGCGCCTGTAGCTCCAGCTACTTGGGAGGCTAAGGCAGGAGAATCGCTTGAACCTGGGAGGCAGAGGCTGCAGTGAGCTGAGATTGCGCCACTGCACTCCAGCCTGGGCAACAGAGTGAGACTGTCTCAAAAAAAAAAGTCTCTCCACTGCCAAGGAAACGGCCCAGAGCTGGGGTCCTGGCAATTGTGGCTCAGGACTGATGTTGTTAATGAAAGATTTTGAAGTGTGTCCCTGCTATAAAGGGCAGGCTCTGAGACTCCTCAGATATTTGGGGAGCTTTGAGTCTCAGGGTTATATAAGTTCAAGAATTAGACCTCTCTTTGCTCATGGAGTTGTCCCTGTCCCCACAGGATGTTGTTCTCTACTGCCTCCAGAAAGACAGTGAAGATGTGAATCACCGTGACAATGCTGGCTACACAGCCCTGCATGAGGCTTGTTCCCGGGGCTGGACCGACATCCTGAACATCCTGCTGGAGCACGGGGCCAACGTGAACTGCAGTGCGCAGGACGGCACGAGGCAAGAGGGCTGCATCTCCCCCCAGTCCCGCCCTCACTCCCAGCTCAGCCTCTCACTCAAAAGACCTTGCCTGCCGCTGGCAGGCATGGTGGCTCACGCCTGTAATCCCAGCACTTTGGGAGGCCAAGGCGGGCGGATCATGAGGTCAGGAGTTCGAGACCAGCCTGGCCAACATAGTGAAACCCCATCTTTACTAAAAATACAAAAATTAGCCGGGTGTGGTGGCATGTGCCTGTAGTCCCAGCTACTAAGGAGGCTGAGGCAGGAGAATTGCTTGAACC
The DNA here is from genome assembly GCF_000001405.40 of Homo sapiens. Lineage (NCBI taxonomy): Eukaryota > Metazoa > Chordata > Mammalia > Primates > Hominidae > Homo > Homo sapiens. Next base: position 130,037,815 of record NC_000023.11, read on the forward strand.
CAGGAGGTGGAGGTTGCAGTGAGCCGCGACCATGCCATTGCACTCCAGCCTGGGTGATGGAGACTCCGTCTCAAAAAAACATAAAAAATAAAAAAATAAAGACCTTACCTCAACCTGAACCTTCGTAGCACACCAGACTGCGAGTTGCAGAGAGGCCTTGACAGGAGGAGTTTTGGAAAGACTTCTATAGGCTCAAGAGGGAACCAGTTTAGGGCAGGAGCCAATGAGTTAGTTCCCAGATGGCCAGGCCGCATCAGTTACTAAGGGGAGGCTGTGGTTGTCTAGGGATCATCCCATCATGTGTAGCTGTCACCAGGAAGACCACTCGGTCTTCCCTCAACTCATCCTGGTGGGGGACGTGTCTCAGACAGAATAGAAACTGAGAGGTTGACCTGAGGGTAATATCCAGATTTGATTTTTAAAATTTGATCTCTAGACACTGTAAGAAAAATACACCTGCTGTGTCTTAGAGAAATTGTACCCATTCTCCTCTGTTCTACCAGAGAGCCTACTTCCTGGGCAAATTAGAGACAGGAGCTGCAGATCCAGGAGGGGGCTCCGCTTGGGTTCTGCCTGGCGTGTGGAGCCCTTCTGCTCATCTCTGCTCTCAGGGAGTCACCCAGGGCCTTCAGTTCCCTGAACTGAAGTATCCCTCTACAGTTGCCCCCACCTTTTTTTTTTTTTTGAGATGGAGTCTCACTCTGTCGCCCAGGCTGGTATGCAGTGGCACAATCTTGGCTCGCTGCAACCTCTGCCTCCCGGTTTCAAGCAATTCTCCTGCCTCAGCCTTCTGAGTAGCTGGGACTATGGGTGCCCGCCATGACGCCCAGCTAATTTTTGGATTTTTAGTAGAGATGGGGCTTCACCATGTTGGCCAGGCTGGTCTCAAACTCTTGGCCTCAAGTGATCCACCTGCTTCGGCCTCCCAAAGTGCTGGGATTACAGGCGTGAGCCACCGCGCCCGGCTTCCCTGCAGCTGCCTTAACTTTATTGTAGGTCAGGGACCCATCCTCTAGTGAACTCCACAACTACCAATAGAGCTACATTGTGCCATGGGAACTGTCCCAAGATGTCAGGGGAACGTAAGAGAGAGAGAGTAATGGGAGGGAGGAAAAGGGGGTACAGAGAGAGGAGGAGTTGGGGAGATGGTAGTGGAGAGTTGCAAGGCTACAGGTGGTTCCCTTGTCCTAAGTCTTAAACCATATTACACCAAGGTTACCTGGGGGTCAGCTCAGTTTTTTCCCCTGATGCAGTAGCCTTAAGTGTAGACACCCCAGTTCCCACTTGGGCCCTGTTATCCTCACCCTGTATCACCTCCACAGGCCAGTTCATGATGCGGTGGTCAATGACAACCTGGAGACCATCTGGCTCCTGCTGTCCTATGGGGCCGATCCCACACTGGCTACCTACTCGGGTCAGACAGCCATGAAGCTGGCCAGCAGCGACACCATGAAGCGCTTTCTCAGTGGTAAGCATGGTCCAGACTTGACACTGTTGTCCTTGGGGCCAGCCTCTGATTCCTGAACTTGTGAGGACATCCTCTTCATCTCCTTCCACCTTGAACAGCTCCCATGAGGGCCATCTGCCCTCTTCACCTGCTTTCATTCAAAGAGCTCAAGAATCTCAGTTTGCTTGAAAAAGTCCAAAGGCCACTTCCTCTTATCCCCTTACTGCAAGTGTGTGCGTCCTCTTCAGGGCCCTGGGAGCCCACAGGGACCTATTTCGTAGCTAGGGATCTAGGGTGGGCCTCTGTGTGGGGGCGGCAGCCCCACTAGTAGACCTAGCTGGGGGCAGAATGTGTTGACCTGTGCTTTGAATGGGATGTCAGTTGCAACAAAGTGATACTTAGCATTTTGCTTATGTGTTTGCAATTTCTTCTTGTTTGTGATCAAGTGGATCACAGTGGAACCCCTGGGATGCTTCCCGAAGCTTCATTCTTTACAGCCCTTGCCTGTGGGAACTGTGATGTTCCCTCTGCATCCCAGGGTCCCCCTTCCTTCCGTTCCTTTTCCTCCCTCACCTGCCCCTTCTGTAAAGTGTCTGGTGTTGAGGCCCATGGCAAGGGCCACAAGCCAACATGCATTTATTTTCTCATTAGTGGATAGCAGCTGTTTGTCTGCAGTTAGATAGCTCTACTGAGTTGGGCAGGGGGAGGAGGGAAGGAGGGGAGTCTAGCTTGGGCATGCTCAGTAGGAATCTCCTCAGACTTGACCTCTGAATAAAGGAACCCTGCCTCTTAGTGACATCACAGTTTGGCCCTTGCTCTAGCAGTGACTTCTTCAGACTGCCTGAGCGGCGGAGCAGCTGGGAGTTGTATCTCTGAACCTTCTTGGAGGCTGCAGTGTTTGTATTGTGGTTAGAACCCCTCTCTGGCCAGGAGCCAACAGGACTAAGGATTGGCCCAAAGCTGCTCCCTCTTCTCACCCAGACTTTGGCCCTAGTTAGCCCCGAACCTCTATACCTCCAGATATATGGTTCCAGGCTCCCAACCAGGGGCTCATTTGTTTATCCAACAAAGGTTAACTAAGTAGCTGATGATGGAGGAAGAAACAAAGGGGACCTAACTAAAGGCTCTTATGGAAGGGGAGGACTAGGTAGGCGGTGAGTGGGGGGTAATAGGAGGCTGTCGCGGGAGATCTTGACTCCTGCTCAGCCAGCCTCCACCCAGGTCTCAGCTGAGCTGACTAAACCTTGGAGCACAGGCCTTAGGCCTGTACAGCCTGACTAGCATCTCCCAGGCTGGGGGCAGGATGGCTGCCTTTTCTGTTTTCCCTCCCTCCAGCTCTGGGTTCCCAAGCCCCTGTCCTTGAGGCGCAGAGCAGCCTTGGAATGTTCATTCAGTCATTTGTCCTGGGCCAGTGGTGACTGTTGTTCCCCTTAGCTGAACCATCCCTAGGGGTGCAGGGCTTGGGGCAAGCCACCGTTGGTAGCTGCCTCCCACGTACTGTGTACACATGCACTCTCTCTTAGACACATACACGTGTTATCTGCACTCCACTGGATTCCCAGGAAAATCTGAGACCAACAAGCATCCAGAGCATCTTGATATGACAAAGGCACCACACGCAGCTCTGTCTTTGAGAAACCGGTCTAGTCCCGAGGCCTCCTTAGGCTAGAAACTGCCATCCCGAGGGTCTCAGGGGCTCCTAGATCTAAATAACACTGTGACCACCTTAGTAAACAGATGAACTCTTTGCTTCCCCAATCCCTTCTCCAAAACCCCTAAGGAGTAGGAATGTGGAAACCATTTTAAGTAGTTAAAAAATGGGAAATAGGCCAGGCGCAGTGGCTTATGCCTGTGATCCCAGCACTTTGGGAGGCTCAGGTAGGAGAATTGCTTCCGGCCAGGAGTTTGAGACCAGCCTGGGCAACATACGGAGACCTTGTCTCTACAAAAAAATTTAAAAATTAGCCAGGTATGGTGACTGCACTCCAGCCTGGGCAACAGAGTGAGACAGTGTCTCAAAAAAAAAAAAAAAAAAAAAAGAGACAGAGAGGAGAGAAATAAACACGTTTCTCTTATCTTTCTGTCTCCTCATCCCAACTACTAGCTATCTTTTGGTTTTGTTTTGTTTTTGGCGCGATCTTGGCTCACTGCAACCTCTGCCTCCCGGGTTCAAGCGATTCTCATTCCTCAGCCTCCTGAGTAGCTGGGATTACAGGCATTCGCCACTATGCCCGGCTAATTTTTGAATTTTTAGTAGAGACAGGGTTTTGCCATGTTGGCCAGGCTGGTCTCGAACTTCTGCTAGCCAGCTTTTTGACACCTCCTGAAACTAAATTGAATGCCAGTCTATGTTGCAGAATTCAGAGAAGACTTTTATTTTTTTTAGGCGGAGTCTTGCTCTGTCGCCAAGGCTCGAGTGCAGTGGCGTGATCTCAGCTCACTGCAACCTCCACCTCTCGGGTTCACACCATTCTCCTGCCTCAGCCTCCCAAGGAGCTGGGACTACAGGCACCCGCCACCAAGCTCGGCTAATTTTTGTGTATTTTTAATAGAGACGGGGTTTCACCATGTTAGCCAGGATGGTCTCGATCTCCTGACCTCGTGATCCGCCCGCCTCGGCCTCCCAAAGTGCTGGAATTACAGGCGTGAGCCACCGCGCCCGGCCCCAGAGAAGACTTTTCTTAACTCTAGTACTTCACATATTTGTGGTGTGTGTGTGTATGTACGTATATGTGTTTATATATATTTGAGACAGAGTCTTGCTGTGTTGCCCAGGCTAGAGACTCCAGCACTTCCTAACTTGTCCTGGCTGAGCACCTTTATTTAGATTTGTTAAAAATTACTAGAGACAGTGTCTTGCTCTGTCACCGAGGCTGGAGTGCAGTGGTACAATCATAGCTCAGTGCAGTTTCAAACTCCTGGGCTCAAGCAATCCTCCTGCCTCAGCCTCCCAAGTAGCTAGGACCACGGGTGTGTGCCACCGGTCCCAGCTAATTTTGTATTTTATCTTTTTGTTGAGATACGGGGTTTGCTATGTTGCCCAGGCTGGTCTGGAACTCCTGGGCTCAAGCTATCTTCCCGCCTTGGCCTCCCAAAGTGCTGGAATTACAAGTGTGAGCCACCATGCCCAGTCTTCATTTAGACCTTTTGCTCAATTTATGGGCATGAATCAGGCTTAATAATGGGAGTCAGGAGCCAATGGGTTGCTATAAAGTGCACCAGCTCTTTTCCATGCAAAGGCAGCCTGGGACCTTGGCCTACCACCACAGGAAGGCAGGCACTGGCAGGAGTCAGCAGGCTCTCAAGAAGCAGGGGGCCCTTAGGCCCAAAGGCTGTTTGTAGGGTGTGTGAGAGGACAGCACTCAGGGACTTTTTTAAAAATTGAGGTAAAATTTACCTAACATAATCATTTTAAAGTGAACAATTCGGGCCAGGCGTGGTGGCTCACCCCTGTAATCCCAGCACTTTGGGAGGCCAAGGTGGGTGGATCACTTGAGGTCAGGAACTGGAGACCAGCCTGACCAACATGGTGAAACCCCCTCTCTACTAAAAATACAAAAGTTAGCTGGACCGTGGTGGTGCATGCCTGTAATCCCAGCTACTCGGGAGGCTGAGGCAGGAGAATTGCTTGAACCCAGGAGGTGGAGTTTGCAGTGAGCTGAGATCACACCACTGCACTCCAGCCTGGGCGACAGAGCGAGACTCCGTCTCAAAAAATTAATTAATTAAAAAAAATAAAGTGAACAATTCAGTGGGATTTAGTACATTCTCTTTTTTTTTTTTTTTTTCCTGAGACAAATCTCACTGTTACCCAGGCTGGAATGCAGTTGCATGATCTCAGCTCACTGCAACCTCTGCCTCCCAGGTTCAAGTGATTCTCCTGCCTCAGCTTCCCGAGTAGCTATGACTATAGGTGTGCACCACTGTGCCTGGCTAATTTTATATTTTTAATAGAGGTAGGTTTCACCATGTTGGCCAGGCTGGTCTCCAACTCCTGACCTCAAGTGATCCGCCTCCCTTGGCCTCCCAAAGTGCTGGGATTACAGGCATGAGCTACCGCTCCTGGCCCATTTAGTACATTCCTAATGTTGTGCAGCCAACCTCAGGGGCTGTTTGGATGCCTTGAACTGAGTGTTTGGCTCTCATTTTTCATGCCTGTGTGCCTCCCTGCCAAATCTCCAGGAACCACTGGGTAGGTTGGTAGGGTGGCTGCAGGAAGCACCCGAGTGTGGAGACTGGAGGCTGGGGAAGCTTTTCCCTCCACTGCTCTGCCTCCTCAGCCCCTACACCTAGATACATTTACATGGACTTCTGATTTATTTATTTATTTTTGAGACGGAGTCTCGCTCTGTCGCCAGGCTGGAGTGCAATGGCGCAATCTTGGCTCACCGCAACCTCCGCCTCCCAGGTTCAAGTGATTCTTTTGTCTCAGCCTCCCCACTAGCTGGGACTACAGGCGCCCGCCACCATGCCCAGCTAATTTGTTATATATATATATATATATATATATATATATATATATATTTTTTTTTTTTTTTTTTTTTGAGACGGAGGCTGGAATGCAGTGGCAGGATCTCGGCTCACTGCAAGCTCTGCCTCCCTGGTTCACGCCATTCTCCTGCCTCAGCCTCCGGAGTAGCTGGGACTACAGTCGCCCGCCACCATGCCCGGCTAATTTTTTTTGTATTTTTAGTAGAGACAGGGTTTCACCGTGTTAGCCAGGATGGTCTCGATCTCCTGGCCTCGTGATCCGCTCGCCTCGGCCTCCCAAAGTGCTGGGATTACAGGCGTGAGCCACCACGCCTGGACATTTGTTGTATTTTTAGTAGAGACGGGGTTCACCATGTTGGCCAGGATGGTCTTGATCTCTTGACTCTCGTGATCTACCCGCCTCAGCCTCCCAAAGTGCTGGGATTACAGGTGTGAGCCACCGCGCCCAGCCTGATTTTAATTTTTTTACTTTGCTGTCTGGCTGAGGTATTTAAAATGCTTTTGGCTTTTTGTCCCCAAGCATTTGCTTGACTAGACCCTCTGTTGATTAATTGTCTTCATCTTCCCCTAGTGGAGTCCAGCTGGGCAGAAAATGAAGGAGAATCCCTTTAGGGTGCACAGGGCTCCATTTTTGGCGGGAGGAAAAGGTGAGCATTAGCGTCAGGGTTATGCCTCATGTAGCGCTTCCCTGGCTGTGTGCAAAGGCCCCTGTTGTGGAAAGTTGTCGGGGGAATCAAATCCTTTTCTCTTTTTTCTTTAATTTTTTTTTTTTTTAAGATGGAGTCTCGATCTTGTCGCCCAGGCTGGAGTGCAATGGCACGATCTTGGCTCACTGCAACTTCTGCCTCCTGGGTTCAAGCGATTCTCCTGCCTCAGCCTCCCAAGTAGCTGGGATTACAAACGCCCACCACCATGCATGGCTAATTTTGTTTTTTCAGTAGAGATGGGGTTTCACAGTGTTGGTCAGGCTGGTCTCTAACTCCTGACCTCAGGTGATCCGCCTGCCTCGGCCTCCCAAAGTGCTGGGATTACAGGCGTGAGCCACCGCGCCCAGCAGTAAATCCTTTTCTAAGTACAAAGAAATGTCACTGTTTTCCGGTATCCTGAAGTGAGTCCTTTTGTAAAGCAGAAGATAGATAATTCATCTGGGTTGTAAATGTAGATTTTCTTATATTGGGTTGACTTAAGGTGAGGCCCATTTCTCCTGAGATCATGAAGGATGGAGTGGCACTCCTTTATTCATTCGTTCATCCGTCCATTTAGTGAGCACCTATTAGATTTCAGGTGCTGTCCTGGGTACAGGAGGCCAGACGGTGAACCCTTTCTACCTCATGCTTGGGCTTGGAGCGCCAAGCCATCCAAACTCCCTGAGAGGCCTCTGGAAGGCCTCCCCCTTCAGCCAAATTACAGGCAGGTATGTGACTGATTTACCTTTGTCCCTTTGAAGAAGAGAGCAATATCCAAGCTGGCTGAAGGAAAACAGACTTGTTTTTCCTCGTCTGTTGGAAAGAATGTAGGGCTTACCCAGAGTTGATGCAGTTTGGTTCGGGACATCAGAGGAAGTATCAGGACACTCTGCCTTCCACCTATGAAAGGGTTAGTAGTTTACCGCTTGAAGTCACTGAATCACAGGTTATTGTTTTTCCTGCTAGATACCTCTGCCATATGACCCCATGTTGAAGACCACTAGTTTTTTGTTTTTCTCATCTTTCAAGTCCCTCAGCTGGTGAGTGAGTTAGAGGAGATGGGGAGGGGTATGATCGGACCCTGAGGAGTAGACAAACTGCTGGGGTAGCCTCTTGAATTGAGGTGAGAGGCTCTATTCTTACCATGAGGCCTGAGGGTGCTTTTTATTTTTATTTATTTATTTACTTATTTATTTATAGACAAGGTCTCACTTTGTTACCTAGGCTGAAGTGCAGTGGCGCAGTCTGGGCTCACTGAAGCCTCGACCTCCCGGGTTCAAGCAATCCTCCTGCCTCAGCCTCCCGAGTAGCTGGGATTACAGGCACACATTACCACACCAAAATAATTATTGCATTTTTTGTAGAGACTGGGTTTTACCATGTTACCCAGGCTGGTCTTGAACTCCTGAGCTCAGGTGATCTGCCTGCCCTGGCCTCCCAAAGCACTAGGATTACAAGTGTGAGCCATTGCACTGAGCTTCTGCGGGTGCTTTTTTAAAAAAGAATTTATCGAGATGAAATTCATGCAACATGAAATTAACAATTTAAAAGGAAATAATTAGGCTGGTCACATTGGCTCACACCTATAATCCCAGCACTTTGGGAGGCTGAGGCAGGTGGATCACTTGAGCCCAGGAGTTCAAGACCATCATGGGCAACAGAGTGATTCCTCATCTTTACAACAATAACAGTAACAAAAATTAGCTGGGTATGTTGGCACATACCTTTGGTCCCCATTACTTAGGAGGCTGAGGCAAGAGGATCACTTGAGCCCAGGAGGTTGAGGTTCAGTGGGTCGTGTTCATGCCACTGCACTCCAGCCTGGGTGACAGAGCAAGACCCTGTCTCAAAAAAATAAAAACAAAGCAAACAATTCAGTGACATTTAGTATATTCACTATCTTGTGCAACCACCTCTATCTAGTTCCAAAACATTTTCTTTTTTTTTTTCTTTTTGAGACAGAGTCTCACTCTGTGACCCAGGCTGGAGTGGTGCAGTGGCGTGATCTTGGCTCACTGACGCCTCCGCCTCCGCCTCCCAGGTTTAAGTGATTATCGTGCCTCAGCCTCCTGAGTAGCTGGGATTACAGACATGCACCACCATGCTCAGCTAATTTTTTTTTTTTTGAGACGGAGTCTCGCTCTGTCACCCAGGCTGGACTGCAGTGGCGCGATCTGGGCTCACTGCAGCCTCCACCTCCTGGGTTCACACCATTCTCCTGCCTCAGCTTCCCAAGTAGCTGGGACTACAGGTGCCCACCACCACACCCGGCTAATTTTTTGTATTTTTAGTAGAGATGAGGTTTCACCGTGTTAGCCAGGATGGTCTTGATCTCCTGACCTCGTGATCCGCCCGCCTCGGCCTCCCAAAGTGCTGGGATTACAGGTGTGAGCCACCGCGCCCAGCCTCCCAAACATTTTCATCACCCCAAAATAAAACCCCACACCCATTAAACAGCTACTCCCCATTCCCCCTTCCTCCCTGCCCCCCGCCCAACCACTAATCTTTCTGTCTCTATGGATTTCCCTATTCTAGACACTTCATATCAATGGAATCATACAGCATGGGGCCTTTTGTGTCTGGCTTCTTTCATGTAGAATACTGTTTTCAAGGTCTAGCCGTGTGTTAGCAGGTTTCAATTCTTCATTCCTTTTTATGGCTGACTAATATTCTCTTATGTGGATATATACGCCATTGATGGACATTTGGGCTGTGTTCCCCTTTTGGCTGTTCTGAATGGGGCTGCTGTGAGCACGCATGTACAAATACTTGTTTGAGTATCCATTTTCGTTCTTTGGGGCATATACCTAGGAGTGGAATTGCTGGACTTAGGGTACTTTTTCAAGGAAAGGATAAGAGAAAAGGGCTGGAAGCGTGGCTGGGGTGGAGGGAATCAAGGGAAAGGAAGGTCCCTCTTCATCTGGACTGTATGTGAACGTCCGTGAGGAAATGGTAATGGAAGCCACACCACCGACCAAATCTTGGAGCTCCTCCTGTGTGCCACTCATGGGCCTGTTTGAGCTTTAGCTTCTTTGCTCACGCCAGTTAACTTTTGGCTGTCTCAAAAAGGCAAATTCACCTGCAAATGACAAAGATTGGTAGTCAGTGAAGAGAATTAGAGGAATGTGCCAGAGGCTTTGAAGGAAGTTCCCAGAGAGGAGCCCCAGGAATGTGGTGAGTTAGGGCTGCTCCGATGGAATCCTTGTGTGTCCTCTTGTGGGGAAGGGGGACAGCAGTCATTTGAATGCATGTGTTTCGGCATGTTGGTTAAGCAAGCACTTTCTAGTCTCGCCTTGTAGGAATTCCTCCCTCCTTTCCTCTCCATATATTTATTAAGCTCTTACTATGTGCCAGGCACTGGGTTTAGGTACGGCAGAGACAATGGTGAACAGGACAGGCATGGTCCCTGTCTTTTTAGAACTTATGCTCTCACTCCATAATCTCCCATGACACCTAACACAGGGCTAGGCACAGAAGACACACCCACCTAACTGACAAATGTTTCTGGAAGAAACTACTTCCAACCCTCAAGTGACATGGGGTACAAAGGAGCACCTGAGCCGACAGCGGGACTGCAGTTGTTTTTCAGGGAGTGCACAGAAGATCTAATGTGCATGACTAGAGGTTTCCCACTCTGGTTGCTCAGCCATGACTCTGAAAGCTTCTCTCTGGCTGCCTTTTCCTACTGGGGGAAACCCGCCATCACCTGGAAGGTTGCTAAAGAAATGAGTCATTTCAGTAGCTCACAATGCTAATAGGTGTTCTTGTCGATAGGATGATCCCAAAGGGATATTGGGTCATGGTGGTGCTTCGCACTGGGGGAAACTAGCTCTGCTCCTTTAAGTTGGCTGCCAACTTCCTCCTGGGATTTGCTTTCTGGGGGGCACCCTCACCTCACCTGTGCCCTTTGGACTGTCTCCTGTCCGGTTGCCTAGCTGTCACCTGAGGGCTGGTGGCAATCATACACAACTAAGTCAGCTTGCCAGTTGTACAGGGTGGCATATTGGTTGAGCCATGTGTACCCTTAGATGGTACAGTTGGATTTGTCGTGAAAGCCAATGGACCTACTTTTTGTTCAGGTAGGAATAAGAGGTGAAACAATTCCACTAGGTAGTGCCTAGCTAATGAGGAGGCTAAGCGGTGGCCTTAGCCTCCTCATTTGTCTTGTCTTGTCTGTAGAGCAAGTAAACAAAAGATTGTTAAAACTTTTATTGTGGTCAAATACATAGAACCCAAAGTTTACTATTTTAACCATTTTAAAGTGTACAATTAAGTGACAGTAAGTACATTCACAATGTTGTGCAACTACCACCACTATCTAGTTTTGAAACTTTGTCATAATTTTAAAGGAAAATCCTGTCCCCATTAAGCATACCCTCCCGCTCTCCCCCAGGCCCTGGCAACCACCAATCTGCTTTCTGTCTCTATGGGCTTGCCTCTTCTGGACATTTCATCTTAATGGAATCATACAATATGGGACCTTTGGTGTCTGGCTTCTGTCACGTAGCATCCATATGGGTAGCATGTGTCAGAATCTCCTCTTAAAGGCTGAATAATATTCCACTGTATGGATATACCACATTTTTGTCTGTTTATCCATTCATCCATTGATGGATGTTTGGGCTATGTCCACCTTTTGGCTGCCATGAATAGAACTGCTATGAACGTGCACACAGAGAGGTACTTGTCTGACAACCTGTTTTTAGTTCTTTTGGGTATATAGCAGGAGTGGAATTGCTAGGTCATATGGTAATGCTGTGTTTTACCTTTTGAGGAACGACCAAACTTTTCCACAGCAGCTGAACCATTGAGTATTTCCATCACAAATTTCATCAGTTGGTGGGCATTTGGATTGTTTCCACCTTTTGGCTTTTGTGAGTGGAGTTGCTGTGAACATTCATGTATAAGTTTGTTTGTTTGTTTGTTTGTTTGTTTTGAGACAGAGTCTTGCTCTGTCACCCAGGCTGGAGTACAATGGCATTATCTTGGCTCACTGCAACCTCTGCCTCCCAGGTTCAAGGGATTCTCCTGTCTCAGCCTCCTGAGTAGCTGGGACTACAGGCGTGTGCCACCATGCCTGGCTAATTTTTATATTTTTAGTAGAGACTGGATTTCGCCATTTTGGCCATGGCTGGTTTCAACCTCCTGACCTCAGGTGATCCACCTGCCTCGGCCTCCCAAGGTGTTGGGATTACAGGCGTGCGCCACTGTGCCCGGCCTCATGTGTAAGTTTTTGTTTGAACACCTGTTTTCAGTTCTTTGGGATATATACCTAGGAATGGAAGCAAAAGGATTTTATGAAGATAAACCTGGCCATTTCCCCATGTTCTTCAAAAATGAACCAGAAGGACTTATGCTTATTTATATTACTATACATTGGAGAGATTATGATTCGATAAATGAACATTGTGACCAGCAGGGAATTAAAATCCTGGGATAGGTCTAAGATTCTGCTTGCAGGGTTAAAGCTCTACACCGTATAAAGTGGAGGTCCCAAACCTAAATGCCTTCAGGCTTAAAAGGGAGAAGCAGGCTGGGTGGGGAGTGGCGAATTGGAGCCCAGCCCGCGTGTGTCCCTGTTCCCTCCAGCCAGCTGTTGACATGCAGGAATTTGGACACAATGTTGCCAGATCAGATTTTTTTTTTCACAGAAATATTGGGAAATCTGGATTTTTAAGTGAAATTGCCCAATTTAAAAATGTCGGAAGTGGGGCCAGGCAGGGTGGCTTATGCCTGTAATCCCAGCACTTTGGGAGGCCGAGGTGGGAGGATCGCTTGAGCTCAGGGGTTTGTGATCAGCCTGGGCAACATGGTGAAACCCCATCCTTTACAAAAATGAAAAAAAAAGTATTAGCCAGGTGTGGTGGTATGCACCTGCAATCTCAGTTACTCGGGAGGCTGAGGTGGGAGGATCACTTGAGCCCAGGAGTTCAAGGTGCCGTGAGCTATGATCATGCCACTGCACTCTGGGTGGCAGAGCAAGACCCTGACTCTTAAAAAAAAAAATTAAAATGTTGGAAGCAAATTGGGATTTTTTTTTTCTTTTAAAGCACTGGGTCAAACACTAGGCAGTCAGTGGGTTAGATTGGTCTCCTGTCCCCTTGTTGGCAGTCTCTGACTGAGAACAGGAAGTGTGTGTCTCTCTGGTCACTCCTGGACTCTCTTGTGGTCCTTCCTTCCCTTCTCCCATTCCCTTAGCCCCGTATGCATGGACTTCACTTGGACATTCCTTCCCCAGCCTAACCTCCTTGTCTCACTGCCTGCTCTTCTTTCATCAGATCACCTCTCGGATCTTCAGGGCCGGGCAGAGGGTGATCCCGGTGTATCCTGGGATTTTTACAGCAGTTCTGTGTTGGGTAAGTTTTAAGTGAGATTCTTCCCACCCTTCTTCTCAAGGACAGGAGTAGCCCTGTGGTGGTATCCCTTCTTCACCTTTTAGTGGCTTACAGACCCTTTCAGACCAAACCTGAACCTGAACCCATCCTTCCCTGCAGACTCAGAAGTCATTTGTCGAAACTGGGAAATGCAGCACTGGTTTGGACACAGCCATCCCTCACTAGCCCTCTACCACTCCCCACCCTGGGCATTTAAAAAATTCTCTTTCTTCCGAGGTCCCTTTCTTCTCCCTGGCTTTGTCTTAACCCTGCCAGAAGCCTCTATGAGCACTGTCACCTATTCCAGTATTGCTCACACTCAAGAGGGACCCCACCCCTCACCTGAGACCTACCATTCCCTCCCTACCCTGCCCCCACGATGCACACGCAGTTTTTGGAATAGCTACTGTCTTCGGAGCCCTTAGCCTTCTGGCCGCAGCTTTCCTCTCCTGGAAGACCAGCAGGCCTTTATCCATGGTGGTCATCTAGCATTCGCCCTTTGGGCTAGGGACTGAAGATGAAAGGAAACACCCACTCCTACCCTTGGGGGAAGCTGGAGGGGAGAAAGTCAGGATGGAATGCAACTGGCCACACCCAGAATGTGGGCTGGGGAAAGGAACCCGCTCAGCCCCCTCTGGGCTTCGTGGGAGCCCTGCAGGCAGTGAGGTGGCTTGGGAAAGCTGCAGCTAGAGAAGGACAGGTGTTTTTACCTTGCCCTTGTCTGCTGATAGTATCTTCAGGCTTCCATCTCCCAACAGCTGAGCAGCTCATCCTTGACGTCACCTTGCTTTTGCCAGTTGGAGGGGGGAGTGATATAATAAATCTCTGGCCACACAATGATTTCTTTCAGTACTAGAACTTTCATGTGCCCTCTGAAGGATGTGAGCCATGGAACCGGCAAACCGCATCCCTGACTAGGGGCCTGTGGCCTTGTCATTTACCTCCCAACCACCACCCCTCCATGCCCCTTTATCTGCTTAGCGCATTTCTTTTCTTCGGTTTTGTACATGTATCTGAGTCCTAATCCCCTATATGCTCCCCTTACAGAGGAAAAAGACGGGTTTGCCTGTGACCTCCTACATAATCCTCCTGGGAGCTCAGATCAAGAAGGAGACGATCCGATGGAGGAGGATGATTTCATGTTTGAACTCTCAGACAAGCCTCTTCTCCCTTGCTACAACCTCCAAGTGTCAGTGTCCCGCGGGTAAGTGTCCGAGAGATCCACGGTGACTGAGTGTCAGGATCCTGGCACTCAGTAGGAAGGTGGAGTTCTCCACGAGGAAGTGAAGACCTGGCAACGAGTGCCATCACACATGACAAAGGCTAGCCTGCCCTTTTAGCCCAGAGTAGTCATGTTCAAACTAGAGGCTGCAGGCTCCATGGACATTGACTATCTGCATTTCCTGAACCTTAAATCTAGATTCTCTCTCGGAAGGCTTTTTTTGCACTATTACTGGGTATAAAAGATAATCTGAGAGATACTTGGGCCTATGAACTGCTAGAATCTCTGGAACATTTTTGTAGTTTCTGGGGGTAAACAGATAGAACATTAGAAATTGAGATTGCTGGAAAAGCCAGGACATATGGTTGCCATAGCCATGGGGCCACTAGGGTCCTTCAGTAATCCACAGCCTAGTTTCTCAGTGCTGTAATGTTAGTAGCGTGGTGCTGCCAACATTGTCAGCCTAGATGACTGTGCATATTATATTGGGGATCACCCATTTATTTAAGGAGACTAGAATATAGAATATACCTGACACGTAACATTAGATTGAACCCAATTTAATACTTATTTGATGGTTCTGGAGGGAGTTCGACAGCCGGCAGGGCCATGGCCCTTGTTGGGTTTCCCCACATGTCAGCGTGTGGAAGTGCTGGTTGAGAGAAGGAGAATGCGGGCTGAACTGCCCTTTTATTCTTAGCCTCCATGATTTTTTCCCTCTGATTGGTGTCTTCATGTATTTCAAATACTTTTCCGAACAATTGTAAGGATAATTTTTCTTTGATATCTATTTTTAAAATGTCAACTCTATGTTAAAATCCTGTGAACCAGTGGCTGGTCGCAGCAGTTGTAATTTCAGCACTTTGGGAGGCCGAGGCAGGTGGATTGCTTGAGGCCAGGAGTTCCAGACCAGCCTGGCCAACATGGTGAAACCTCGTCTACTAAACATACAGAAATTAGGCGGGCATGGTGGCGGGTGCCTGTAATCCCAGTTACGAGGGAAGCTGAGGCAGGAGAATCGCCTGAACCTGTGAGGCGGAGGTTGCAGTGAGCTGATATTGCCTGCTACACTCCAGCCTGGGCGACAGAGTGAGACTCCGTCTCAAAATAAAATAAAATAATAAAATAAGTCAGTGAACCAGCATGATGTGCACAGGATGGGGAGCTAGGTAGACGATGGATGAGGAGGTCTTTAAGTGAGAGCCTCTGTTTAGGGCTCTAACCATTAGACCACAGTTTCTTTGCATCCCCTGCCCTCCCCCCCACCACCCCACACGCATAGCCTGATCAGAATAAAAATAGCATGTATGATGGCACTAGTAGGGATCAAGTTTCAGGGGCTTTTGGTCCTTATTCTTCTGGGCATAAGCTGATCCCTGAGGACAGGGCGGGGCCTCTGGGATATAGTATTGCACGGTTAATTAATTCCTCCGATGTATTCAGCACCTCCCTCTCTGAAACAGGATCTTGGGCTTCAGGCAGTAAAAGGACCAGGGTAGTCTGCATTAGGTGCAGACAGAACACGGGCCACGGAGGGCTGCGTGCCCCTCAGCGAGCTGAGTGGCAGGCACGTGGTTAGCCCAGAGCCCGGTACCAGCAAAGCTGGTTTTCCTGACGTGACATCCTCTAGCGCTCGCTCTAGAGCTGCCTTTCCCCACAGCTGCAGCACACTGTGAAAATGTCTGTTCTTCAAGAAGTTGGGGGTGGGGGTGCTAGCGTAGAGTGATGCCTCTGAGGCCCTATGGGGTGCAGAAGGGCCTTCTGAATCACCAAAGCAAGACTGAATTCTCATCACTAGTGTGAATGTTCTCAGGGCTTTTTTCCATTCTTTGGAAGTGATGGTCCAAGTGTATGATATCTGTAGTCCCCTTTTCTTAACCCAGAGCCCTCCATTTCCTACTCATGTGAGATAAGAGCTTGCTGTCATTTGGGAGAAATGTTCCATTTTAGGGATAAGGATCGTGGGTCTGGTTAGATGTTTAAGGTGCTGGAACAGAACATTTGATTCTATAAACATGTCTTAAACAGCTGCACCAGGTCAAACCCTGGGGACCTTCAAAGAATCCACCATCTAGTGCAGTAGACAGACAAGTATATAATTAACTCTAATAAAAGACAAAATGTCCTAAGCAGATTTATTATAAAAAACTCCAACAGTTTCAGAAGGGTGTCAAATGCAAAAAGTTCCAGTCCACCCTGAGCCCCCATTGCTATGCTGCAGAGTGAACCACAGTTTAAGGTTCTTTTGCAACCCTTTCAGAAATGGGTTTTGTTAGTAGTATTACAATAGGGATGTGAATCAAATGCCACGAGACCATGGGAGATGGAAGAACAATGAGTTACACCGGGGGAAGGTTTCACAGGTGATACAGTATCTACCTGAGCTGGGCCTGGAAGGAGAGAAGGATGGAGCAAGGCACTGAAACATACAAGTTCAGAAAGTAGGGGGAGTCCTTTATCATGTGGCTGGTGCTTGGTAGGGTGGGGGATACAATGTGGGGTGTGTGTGTGTGTGAGAGAGAGACAGAGAAAGAGAGAGACTGGGTGGACATTGGGCTGAAGAGGTTAGAAGGTCTCATATAATATCATGCTAGTGGCCGGGCATGGTGGCTCACACCTGTAATCCCAGCGCTTTGGGAGGCTGAGGCGGGTGGATCATTTGACGTCAGGAGTTTGAGACCAACCTGGCCAACATGGTGAAACCCCATCTCTACTAAAATACAAAAATTAGCCAGGCGTGGTCGTGGGTGCCTGTAATCCCAGCTACTCAGGAGGCTGAGACAGGAGAATTGCTTGAACCTGGGAGGTGGAGGTTGCAGTGAGCCGAGATTGCGCCACTGCACTCCAGCCTAGAGACTCCGTCTTGGAAAAAGAAAAAAAAGAAAAGAAAACTGTAATGGTAACAGAAGATCCAGTGAGGGTGGGTGGGGGTGCAGAAGAGTGACTCTTGGCAAAGGGAAACCGGTTAGGAGGCTGACAAGACAGAGCCCAGGCCAGAAGTGGCAAAGGCTGGAGCTGGGGTAGTGGAATAGTGAGGAGGGAAAACCCTGTGAACTGGGACCACTAATGTGGGGAGGCAGCGTTTCTTCCCGCATTAGTCAATGTAAGCGTTTGGCCCGGGATCGGCCTCTCCAGCACCCCTCCCAGCTGTCCCCAGGCTGCCACCCAGTCGGGTGTGCTCAGCAAAGTCAGACTCCACTTTCTGTAATGTGAGCTCTGGCCCTGCAGAAACGATGGTGCTGCTGCTGGAGAAAAAACTTGTCTAATGCATTCCAGAGCCAAAGAGAAATGCCTTTTGGATTACCCGCAGTTTAGGCCTTTCTCCACGGCTCCCCCTCTGCTGGGGAAGATCTTGGAGAGCAAGGAGGCCAGGGAAGCAAGAGTAAGAACAGGAGAAGGGAAGGCAGCCAGGGTTGGCAGGGGCGGGAGTCGGAGGAAAGACTGGTCCCAGCAGATGGCAAATGCCAGGTCACAGGGGCGCAGGCTAAGTCCCCAAGAAGCCTGCTAAGAGTTTTAGGTTCTAGAATGCCCCTTTGCCTCCTGTTTGTGTTATTTTGGAAGAGGTGGTCACTGATTGCGTGCTCACCATTTAGCTGAAAGCCGGGCCAGGCATTGCAGGGGACAGGAGAAGACATTTGCCTCAGCTATACCCAAGGAGCCTGTGGTTTAGCAGGGGACGGGGGAGCCAGACTGGCAGTGAGTTATAATGGGAGACATTGATGGTCGTGCAGCCTTTGTGGGCTTTGCAGAGTGTTCTGGGTCGGTGCCCCCACCGCTTCCTCCAGCCTCCTTCAATAACTCCCATCCTTGCCTTTGCAGGCCCTGCAACTGGTTCCTCTTTTCCGATGTCTTGAAGAGGCTGAAGCTTTCCTCGAGGATCTTTCAGGCCCGGTTCCCGCACTTTGAAATCACCACCATGCCCAAGGCCGAGTTCTACAGGCAGGTGGCCTCCAGTCAGCTGCTGACCCCTGCCGAGAGGCCTGGAGGCTTGGACGACAGATCCCCCCCAGGCTCCTCTGAGACTGTGGAGCTGGTGCGGTACGAGCCAGACCTACTTCGGCTCCTAGGGTCCGAGGTGGAATTCCAGTCTTGCAACAGTTGACCGGGAAAACAGCCCCTCCTCTTCTTTCTCCTTCCGAGTTCGCCCTTCCCCCACCTCCTTGTCTTTCCCCGACCGAGCACCAGACTGCAGAATGAGGCAATAATACGGACCAACAAGAAGCCGCCTTATCAATGCCAGCATTAGCGACTGGACTGTTTTTGTTTTTTTGGTTACAATTAGTTCTCATCTCCCTGTCGTCGTCATTGTTATCGTGGTTGCTGATGGGGGTGGAAAGTTGAACTCCATGTCTGAGGACAAGAGGTCCCGGGGGTGGTGGGAGGTGGCGCCGGGGTCCCTTGGACTGGCCTCCTTGTTCATGACCAAGACCAAACCTGGGCCCTGGATGGCCTTGGCCTGTCCCGAGGAGAAATGAGAAAATCCCAGATCTCTGAGCGCCCCCCAACTCCATTCCCCTGTGTTCTTCTGTCTTCTGTAGTATTTATTTTATTAGTATTTAATTTGTATTGTTTCATTGGTTTCTGATAAGTCTGTATCACTGTGACGATTTGAGACAACTTGTTGTATTGAGGGACTTTCTGTACCTCCTTTTCTTTTTCTTTGTTGATGAGCTCTGACAAAGCTATTCCCTGGTGTTTTTTTCCCCCACTGGGGAGGGGGTGAGGTGGAATGGGGTGGGGGAACATGGACTTGTGACTAACGAAGCTGGTTGCTGCTGGCCCAGGGCTGGGGGCTTGGGGGTAAATCCTGAGGCTTTGGTGCTCCCCCACCCACCCATTCCCGCCCTTTGCAGCAGCCCCGCTATCTTGAGATTAGTGTTGACAGGGAGGGGAGGATTGTGAGGTGAGGGGTTAATAAGTTACTCTAATAAAGGAGCGTGGAGAAGGGATCTGAGGGGTGAGGGTGGCCCCCCTCCTCACGCCTTCTTCACTGCCCCCCTCAGAGTGCACAATACGAGTTTGTTCCTGCCTCCACTCTCCCACCCCGTTCTGGCCTCCCTGTCTCAAGATACTGAGCCTCTCACCTCCCAGCCCTCAGCCACCCCCATCCCTGCCCCTTCTGAGACTCACAGCACCCCTTTCCTTCCTCTCCTCCCACCTCCTCCCTCAGCCCCTCATTCTCCTTGGGAATCTGCAGAGGGCTCTGGGACTCACTGCCGGATGTGAAATCCAGGCGTCAGCTGTTTCCTAGGCAAGGGCAGGAAAGTGGTCTCCAGCCCTTGCTCCACTCATGCCTGGGGGCCTGGGGCTGAGTGGTATCCCTACCTGGCCTCCCCCTGGCCTCTGGGCCTCCAGCGCTGGGTTTGTCGAGTGAGAGAGAGAGAGGAGCTTGGGTTGCTTCCCTGTCCCCGCCCCCTCTGTGGCATTGTCCCTCCCACTCTTATTTTTCTACCAATTGCTATTTTTCCGAACAATCCTTGTAGAGTATGTACCATCCAAAGGCAGGAGGGCCTCGCCGTGGCCGGCTCTGGTTGGAGATGGTACAGTTTTATTGTACAGGTGCTAAAACAACAACAACAAAAAAGAAAATGGAAAAAAAAAAGATTAAAAAAAAAAGGAAAAAAAAAAAGCCAGTTTGAGGATGGGACAATCTGTTCTCTAGAGGCTCCTGAGCCATGCGGGAGCATTGGTGGTTATTTTCTTTGTATTGTGTTTGTTCTTTGTTCCTGGGGGGGAAGTTCTCGGCCCCCTTCTGTAGGACTGCTCCCCACCCCCACCATACTGCCCAGTTGGTTTTGAACAGTTGTTTTCCCTTTTTAAGAAAAAAAAATACATATATATATACATATATATATATAAAGTTGAGGGGTTTTGGACTTTAATTTGTTGGTTTTGTTGGGGTTCCTGGTATTGTGTAGTTTATTTCATGTTCTGTTTGCCTTTCCTTTTTTCGCATTTGGGTGTATATTCTGGCTGCCCTTTATGTTTCATTTTAAGCAACTGGCTGTGGAGTCAAAAACACTTGCATACTGAAAAACCTGTGTCAGGGCTTCTGTCTCCCGTCTCTCTTTTTCTCTCCCGTCTCTCTTTTTCTCTCCTCCCCTTTGGGACTTTTTGGTGGTTTCAGAAGGTGGGCATTGTGATTCAGTAAATGGGGAGCCCCCGCCATCCTGCTTTGCAGCTGTGGGTCCCAAGGGGTACGATGAATAAAGGCAAGGTGGAGTGGCTAGTGAACATTGGGTCACGATCTGGAAAGAAAAAGAAAGGGGCAAATCCTGGGGGCGGGGCCAGTGGGGGCAAATGGAGCATCTGGCTCCTGTTGCTTTGGTTTGGGGTTGAAGCAGGTGCCTGGGCAGTCCTTGTTTACATAGGAGTAGCAGGGTTGGAGGAAGTAGCCTTCTCTGTGGTGGCTGTGGGAATAAGCCTCCTTAAGGAAGTCCCCTGCTTGCCCTAGGCCACCCTGCCGAGGTGGCATCTGGCTGCATGGCCTCATCACTGCCCTCACTGTTGTGCCAGTGCTCCCCACCCACGGTGCAGGCCTTCCATGGTTCTGTTTTCCTGCCACCGAGCTACCATGAAGGCAAGATGCCCATCCTGGATTTTGCAGTTTTTCCTCCCACTTCTGAAAAACAGTGGTAGAAGCTATGATTCTTGTGATTGCTGGTTCCAGAATGCACCAGTGACTGAGAGGAAGAGGATGTTCGAGAGGCCTGGGATGAGGCCCTTTGAAGCTCTATTCTCTTAGGGCTTCTCACTGTGGCTTTCGAGTCTGGAGAGCCCTGTTAGAGAGTGTAGAGGCGAAGGGATCTGTGCGTCTGGCTGGCTGGAGTCCAGCCGTCCTCAGGAGTGAACTCTAAGCTGCTGTCTTTGCTCAAGCCTCAGAAGCTTGGCTCGACCCAGGTCCAAGCATCATCCTCTTTGAACCATAGCATTAATCTTCCTCATTGGCCGTCCTCTCCCCACTTTCTGATCCCAAGGCCCTATGCAATAGCCACCTTTGTCAGATTCCCAAACAAGCCCACAGTGGTTCTGAATTCAGGTCGATCCTGTGCTTGGAACTTGCAGTTAAGTCAAGAAATCTGACATGTTGATAGGTTATAAAGCCATGTGGTGAGTATAAGAATTCAACTAGTCCCAGGATGCTATGGGAGCTCAGAAGCATGGGCAAGGGCCCTGGGAACACATCCTAGAAGAGGTGATGCCTAGTTGATACTTTAAAAAGTAGAAATGCAGGAATTAGAGGTGGCAGGGAAGAGTGTTTGAACTGAGAGGACAATCTGAGCAAAGGCTTGGATACAAGGGGAGTTAAAAGCAAAACCAAACAGCAGATTGTTTTATTGCTTTTGGGGTTCTTTGCCCACGGCTTACCTGGAGTCCCACTGCCCTTCTGCCAGGTTGGAAAGATCAAGGCAGGAAGTATGGGCCGTGGCATTAAATCTACATCCCCGGTCAGGATTGGGGTGAGGATGGCTTGGTGGCCTCTTATTAAATGATCTCCCAGTCCTTTTAGTATGGTGTAGAGGAAAGAGCCAGCACCACTCCTAACTACCTAGGCTGACCTTGGGCGAGAACCTAATCTTTCCCAGCCTTAATTGCTCCATCAGCCAAATGG
The DNA here is from genome assembly GCF_000001405.40 of Homo sapiens. Lineage (NCBI taxonomy): Eukaryota > Metazoa > Chordata > Mammalia > Primates > Hominidae > Homo > Homo sapiens. The sequence continues at coordinate 130,059,647 of NC_000023.11, forward strand.
AGGCCAATGTACCCACCTACTGACAGAGCATCACACTGAGGACCATAAAGATCTGTTTAGCCAAAATTAGTTCCTCCTTCATGCCGAGCTCACGAACCTATGGTTAATGAGGGTCTTATCAGAACGCTCTTTGGGCTTGAAAGAGAGGCTCTGTTCAAGTCTTGGTGGGAGGAGGGATAGTCTCCGCATCCCTATTTGGGGTAGGTGGGGTTGGGGGCGGTGGTGAATGGGGCAGTAAACTCCTGCTCGGTCCATACTCTAACCCAATAACCGGGAGGCCTGGTGGGTGTTTAACTGTGTCCTGCCCATGCAAAGACCAGTGTGTGTGTGTTTGGGAAGGGTGGGGTCCGCCCCAGGGGCGTCTGCTCAACTGCTGGGCAGGGGGACGCGAAGTGCTCGGGCCTTCTGGATCCCGCAGCAGGATCCGGGCCGGGGCTCCACTCGTTTCCCTAGCGCTCCGGCTGCCACCGCGCGGGGGTCGGCCGAGCCGCAGCGTCCGGCCTCTGGGGGCGACGTCTTTAGGCCCCGCGCCGGTCCTTGGGAGCCGGGCTCGTGCGGCGGACGGTCAGGTCCCTCCGCTAGCAAACGGCTGTCTGGGGCGCCTCGATCGCTCTCCCGCTTCACGGTAGAAGGCGGCGGCGCGCGAGGGGAGGGGAGGGCAGGCCGGGTGACTGCGACTCCGCGTGCTCACCTGCTGGTCCGCGAGGCTGAGGGAGGGGGCGCCGGGGGCGGGGCCAGAGCGCGGCTGGCCAATGGGGGAGCGCATTCGGCGGCCGGCTAAATTCCCCCTGGAAAGTGAAGGGGGCTGGGGTCGAGGGGAAAGTTCGAAGCTCCGGAGCAGCGGAGGGCTTTGGTGGCGGCCAGAACCATCCGGGGACAGTTGCAGGCGCAGGGGCAAGATCGGGGGACCGGAAGACGCCAGCCGCGGCCGCGGCCGCCTCCGCCAGGGACGGTAGGCCCAACCCTGGCTGCCCCTCCCTTCCCGGGCCCCGCCGGGCCACTCTCCCGCCATCGCTGGCTCGACAGCGCCACCTGCTGGACGTCGGCCTCCACGTCCGGCGCGCCGGGGCCCGAAGTTCTCGGAGGCTGGGACCTCAGTCTGGGAGGGGAAGGAGCTCACTCACCCCAGGTCCAGCGGCTTCAGAGCTGGAGGCAACTGCCTCTTTTGGAGTACAAGATGGGATCAGAAAGGCCTGTGACCGTCAGAATAACTTCTTGTCCCGCCCCACCCACCGGAGCTGACACTTCCACCGCACAGCCCCACCCAGGGGTGAGGAAATAGTGGCGAGGCAGTCCCTGGAAGCGGGCAGCAGCAAAGGGCGGGAGTTCGGGAGTTGCACGTGGCACCTGGTGACAGCAACGCACAGCTGGCAAGCAGCCCTGGGCTCCTCATGGACCCTGTGATCCGGGGATGTCTGTTAACACTCCAGGGGCAAAGGAAGTAGCCGCCTGCAGTGTTATAGGAGCGGGCAGAAAGCTGCCTTAGCTCCCAAGTGTGGATTGTCCTCCTCCCTCTCCTCTTGCCTGCCATAGCATAGGGCAGAAGTCTCAGAATTAAAATCAGGACCAGTTCCTTCTTTCAATAAGCATTTATTAAGAACCTACTGTGTGCTAGGCACTAGGGATATATCAGTGACTAACACACAGTCCCTGTCCTTGAGGAGCTCACAGCCTATTGGCGGGGAACCCTACATAAACACGTAATTAAAGAACTGTACTGTGCTAAGTGCTACCATAAGAGGTATTTACAAAGTGCTGTGAGGTGGCTCAGGGCTGTAATCCCAGCACCTTGGGAGGCTGAGGTGGGCGGATCACTTGAGGTCAAGAGTTCGAGACCAGCCTGGCTAACATGGTGAAACCCGTTCTCTACTAAAAATACAAAAATTAGCCGGGCGTGGTGGCACGCAGCTGTAGTCACAGCTACTTGGGAGGCTGAGGCAGGAGAACCGCTTGAACTCGGGAGGCAGAGGCTGCAGTGACCCAAGATCGCACCACTGCGCTCCAGCCTGGGCAACGGAGGGAGACTCTATCTCAAAAAAATAAAGAAAACAAAGTGCTGTGGGAACCCAGAGGAGGGAGTAACATATCAGCTGCTGGGAGATGAGGGTCATCTCTTGACTCCTGACTCCATTAAACCAAGAAAAGGCAGAGACTTACTGCCACATGACTCTGGTTAAAATGAACCTGTCTCCTGAGGTTCTCCTCTAGCCCTCTCCCATAACTGTATCAGCACAGGTTAATTGGTTTAGCTAGTTTCACACTTGGAGTAGGAAAGAAACTGGACAGGGAAGTTGCTTTAGGGGTAGAGGATGTTCAAAATAGTAACAAATTTTGAGTGCTAAGATGGGGGGGTGGGGTTGGGGATACCATGAGGGCACTGAGCCAGGGAGGGCAGGCCCAGAGCAGTGGAGCACCTGGGGTGAGTGCCTGTGCAGAGGGGAGGTCAGAGGTCACCTACCTCAAAGTTTGGTCCCCATCTCCCACCGGCTCCATCAGTAACCATTACCTTGATCCTTTGTACTGTGCCATGTTACGTGGTTGATACAGTCCCTCCCACTCCTCAAGGAGGTAATGTGCTAATTGGGGACACTAAATAGGTACAGGTCATTGAAGATTTAAGTAACAGTTTGCATTATAATAGATGTCACAGGGTGTTCATGATCAGTTGCTGAAAGAGTGGCAATTGCAATAAGTTTTAAATAACTCACTTAGGACAGACTGGTCTGGGGAGGCAGAGTCCATGAATCGAGTCTTGAAGGAGGGACACAATTTAATTGGTACTAGCAGGATAGGAAGGACATTCTGATTGAGTGGAACCAATCAGATCTTGAAGGATGGATTGTACTTTTTTTCTTTTCTTTTTTTTTTTTTTTTTTTTTGAGACAGTCTTGCTTTGATCACCCAGGTACAATCTCGACTCACTGCAAATTCCACCTCCAGGTTCAAGGGATTCTCTGCCTCAGCCTCCCCAGTAGCTGGGATTATAGGTGCGTGCCACCAAGCCCGGTTAATTTTTGTATTTTTAGTAGAGATGGGGTTTCGCCATATTGGCCATGTTGGTCTCCAACTCCTGACCTCAGGTGATCCGCCCACCTCAGCTTCCCAAAGTGCTGGGATCACAGGCGTGAGCCACTGTGCCTGGCTGTGGATGGATTTTCTTTCTTTCCTTTTCGTTTCTTTTTTTTTTTTTTTTTTTTTTCAAGATGGAGTCTCACTCTGTCGCCAGGCTGGAGTGCAGTGGCGCGATCTCGGCTCATTGCAACCTCTGCCTCCCGGGTTGAAGTGTTTCTCCTGCCTCAGCCTCCCGAGTAGCTGGGACTACAGGCACACACCACCATGCCCAGCTAATTTTTGTATTTTTAGTGGAGACGGGGTTTCACCATGTTGGCCAGGATGATCTCGATCTCTTGACCTCGTGATCTGCCTGCCTCGGCCTCACAAAGTGCTCGGATTACAGGCATGAGCCACCGCGCATGGCCAATGGATTGTATTTCTAAAGGAAAAGATACATAGAAGGGAAGAATATTCATTAAGAAAACACAGGAGTGTGTAAATAATGTTGAGTTTGTCTGTATTGCCTAGAGCAGGTAAAAGATAAATGGAGGATCTTGGTTTCCAGGTTTAAAATGCTTAGAATATATGTAGTAGATAATAAGAGCAAAAGCACAGAGTTTGGAAATTGTAAACAGAGGCATGTTCACAGGCCAGCAAATCCATCAGTTTGACTGGAGCAGTGCCTTGGGGTATGAGTGGTGGCAGAAGGAGCAGGGTGAGTTGACTGGGGAAGTCAGTTAAGACCCAAAGGTGAAGGGTCTTGATGGCAGGCCAAGGACTTGGGGCTTTGTCCTGAAGACAGGGCTGATGCTAAGCTTAAAATACTTCCGGAGCTACTGCCCTGAGCCCAAGTGCTCCCCCATCCCTATTCCAGGACCCCTGGACTGGCTTCAGCAACGAAAGGGCTAAGTTTAGAAAGGATTAGAGATTAAGTATTTTGAGTATCACCCCTACCTGTAGGCCAGGAGGAGTCAGTGAGGGCTTTTTATCAAAGGGCAAATGGGAGGGGTTGAGACAGATCACGCTGGGAGCCCCTGTGTGTCTTGGGTAGTTTGAACTAGGGTGGAGGCTTCTGGGAATGTGGAAGAAAGGCGAGGTTTTACGGACATTGCAAACCACAAGCTGGACTTCGGGAGACGGGAGAGGGGGATGGGGGTGAAGTGAAGGCAACGATCAGACAGCTCTGAAATTTCAAATTTAAGAGGTCAGGAAAACAGTGGCACCATTAACAGAAATAGGCAAGTCGTGACGGCCTTTTTGTTTGCTTGATTTTTATTATTATTATTATTATTATTATTATTATTATTATTATACTTTAAGTTCTGGGATACATGTGCAGAACGTGCAGGTTTGTTACATAGGTATACATGTGCCATGGTGGTTTGCTGCACCCATCAACCCGTCATCTTGGAAAGGTTTTTTGTGAGCGTGGAAATAATTTAAAAATCCATTGTTGGCCAGCCGTGGTTGCTCACGCCTGTAATCCCAGCACTTTGGGAGGCCAAGGTGGGTGGATCACCTGAGGCCAGGAGTTCGAGACCAGCCTGGCCGAAATGGTGAAACCCTGGCTCTACTGAAAATACAAAAATTAGCTGGGCATGGTGGCATGTGCCTGTACTCCCAGCTACTCAGGAGGCTGAGGCAGGAGAATCACTTGAGCCTGGGAGGCAGAGGTTGCAGTGAACCGAGATTGCACCACTGCACTCCAGCCGACAGAGCAAGACTCTGACTCAAAAACAAACGAACAAACAAAAACATTGTTGATAGAGGGGCTATCTTTAAGGAGCTGACAAGCACCCACATGGAAATGTTCAGCAGATTGCTGGAAATGTGAGCCAGGAGCTTAAGAGAAAGGTTGGGACTGGAGCTCTAGATTTAGGACCCATCTCCGAGGAGCCAAAATGAGCCCAAAATGGATGAGATTCTTGAACAGCCACGTTGGAAGTGGTAGGTGAAGAACCAGCCCCGGAAAGGGTGATGGGGGATGCAGGAGAGCCCAGCTAGTGTGGGCTCACGGGGGCCCGAGAACTGTGAAGAAGACATTTGATTTCACCATGAGGTCATTGATGACCTTCCAGCAATGAGTTTCCATGGAGTTGGAGTAGGGGTGGCAGAAACCAGTTTTCAGGTGGGGGCGGGGCTACCCCAACCCATGCAGCACCTTTATGCAAAATTTTTTTTTAATGGTGACCCTTTATCAAGATGCTTACTTTCAACCATCAGGAAACTGTCATAATAAACTGATTTTATTAGAAAAAGGCACTTTAATGCCAACTGCTGGAAACACGCATAGTAAATACATTTGCACAACCAAACACAGTGCCCTCCAGGGGGCAGGGAGAAGAAGAGTAGGAGAGGGTGATAGTTGTTGGCTTAACAAAGAAGAGAAGAGCGAGAGCGCGGCCAGGGGAGGTAGTTAGGTCAAGTGGATGGTTCTGTACCAAGGACACAGCAAAGGTCCTCAGGCACTGATTCACATTACCCAAAGTCACCAGATAATAGAGTTGTTTCCGTGGCTGACATTTCTTAGCCTTGCCCTCAAACTTGGCAGGAGGGAGGCAAGCTCGTTTAAAGAAGGGAGAGGGGAGGAGATCCAGGCAATTGGCCTAGGGGTTGGCTTTGAGAGAGAATAGGTTGACCCTTCCTCGGAAAGAGGGAAGGGGGAAGCAGGGAGCCACGAAGAGAGAGAGGTGCCACGGGAACTCCTGGCTGCCGACTCCCGTCTTCTTGGTGAAGGAGTCAGGGTTAGGTGTGAAAGTGGGAGATGAGGGGCATTGGTACACCCAAGGAGGTCTGCTGCAGTCATCACAGAGGCAGGCTGGTCCGCCTTCGAGGTGAGTTGCAGGCAGGCTGAGCAGCAGAAACCATGTGGTAGGTGCCCATGCTTGAGCAGGAATGGGGGTGGACCCCATCTAGGTCGCTGCCGGACTAGCCGCAGTGATGCCTGACAGCTGGAAAATGTCAAAAAGTAATCAAGAGGGAGCCCAGGATCGGGGAAGTAGGCTGGGGTGTCAGCAAAGGCTATTGTCTGGCGGGGGGCCGGTATCACACAAACAGCCCAAGCCCTAGGCACAAATACTCAATGAATTCAGCTCTGGGGGCTTTGTGGCTAGCTCTGAGGCTGGAGGGCACTTCATCCCCGTCTAAATCCTTCAGCAAAGCACTTTGGGGTGGCCCAAGATTCCAGCCTGACTGCAAGGTGACTGTGGTTGCTAACACGGCAAACTCCAGGAAGAGTACCTTGGTCCAGCCAGTGAGGGCTGCTCCCAGAGCTGACTTCCCTTCCCTCCCTTCGTGGTTTTACCCCACTCGGCCTTTGTGTCCCTGAGGAGCGCATCTTCCCCAATGTGCATGCGCATCAAAGCGTTCCTACTCTGCACTCGTTCCAGCTCTACAACATCTCCAGATTCGGAGGATCAAACTTGTACCCCATAGTCTCAGAGCAACTGAATCTCGGCATGAACAAAGGGAATTAGAGAATGCTTTCCCTTAAAAACAAAATCCCTATCCCTGTGGCTGATCCACGGAGACATACACACACCCTTGGAGACAAGACCTCACAGCTACAGCCCTGTCCTCCCCAAAGAAACTAAGATACAGACCAACAAGTACACACAAGTACATACAGGGATATTCACATATAGGGTAGTAAATTCCCTGTGTAGGGAATGCAGCCAGTGAGATAGAGCCAGGTAGAAGGGCTCTTCTCACAAAGCTGCTGCACAAACCCTGGCCACAAACTTCTGCCTGGCTCAAGGCTTTTTCCCTCCATCACCAAGTCAGCCCGTTATGCTGCCAAAAGCATATGCCCTAGTGCTCTTGAAGGCCATAGTCTGATGCCAGGGATGCTTAAGCTGGGCACTGTTTGGCCACAGTGACACCAGGCAGGGCCGGGGGACTTGGGGTCAAGTGTATTGACATCCCACTGAAATGCAGGGGCAGGTGTGCTACTGAAGTCGGTCCCTATGAAAATGCTGCTCAATTTTGCCTGGTGGGTCACACTTGCCCTGACCCCTTTGCTTATATGTCATGGGGCTCCATCTTAATGAGGGAAGTAGGGTTGAATGGGGAGAAAGGGGCTGGGGTGGGGGATCTTGTCAGAAGGCTCCCAGATGTGGTCACACTAGGCTCAGCCATCAGCAGGGACCCTGAGCCTGAGGAGAGCTCAAGTTCAGCCACTGGGGTCAGCCCAACAGTGGGGCGGCTGGGAGGAGACAAAGTCTGGTTGCCCAGAAGGCTCGGATTGTGGGAACCCCTGGAAACCACCTGGGTTGGAAGTGGCTGAAGATGAGCCTGATCTCTCAGGAGCTCCCTCAGGGTCTCTTCAGGAACCAGCAGCCCCTCCATGGGGGCCCCCGTCACCATACCCTGAACATAGGAGGAGGACCTCAGTGGCCCCTCCTTGACCCTAGGGGCTGCTGTAGTGCCAGAAGTCCTGATGAAGGCAGCAATGACAGTCCCAGGGGGCTGAGAGCTGGGCCCTGCTGGTCCAGCCCCTGTGACCGTGGGTGGCGCCGGGTTGGTCGGACGGTTGGCCCCAGCCAGAAGTTGGGGGAGGCCACTGAGAATCAGTGGAGCCCCTGGGGCTGCCACCTGGCTGTCTTGGAAACTGGCGTTCAGGGGGAAAGAGGCCTGCAAAGTGAAGGTGTCCTTGAAAGTAGAGGCCGCTGGAACACTCTGGAGAACGAGCTGAGTGGGAGCAGTAGTACTGGCAGGAGGCCCATTGGTCAGCACCGTGGTCAGTGGGATCGTCTGCAGGGTCAGGGCCGAGCCCGACCCCACGGGGGCCACTCCTAGGTGGATGTTGCTGGGCACTGAAGATGCACTGAGAAGAAACAGAGAACAGAGTTGGTTAAGGCAGGAAGTGTCCCTCAGCTGGTTAGGAAGGAGGGCACGAGAGGAATGGAGCTGAAGGTGTTTGTCGATTTATTTGCTGTTTGTTGTTTTTTTCTTTTTCTAGAGACAGGGTCTCACTCTGCTGCCCGGGATGGAGTGCAGTGACACGATTACTGCTCACTGCAGCCTTGAAGCCCTGGGCTCAAGCGATCCTCCTGACTCAGCCTCCCAAGTAGCTGGGACTACAGGTGTGTGCCACCACACCCAGCTAATTTTTAATTTATTTTTTTTTTTGAGACGGAGTCTTGCTCTGTCACTCAGGCTGGAGTGCAGTAGTGCAATCTTGGCTTACTGCAACTTCTGCCTCTGAGGTTCAAGTGATTCTCCTGCCTCAGCCTCCCAAGTAGCTGGGATTATAGGCGAGCACCACTACACCCGGCTAATTTTGTATTTTTAGTAGAGACAGAGTTTCACCATGTTGGCCAGGCTGGTCTTGAACTCCTGACCTCAGGTGATCCACCTGCCTCGGCCTCCCAAAGTGCTGGGATTACAGGTGTGAGCCACCATGCTCAGCTGTAGCTCACATTTATTAAGTACTTAGAATAGGTATATAGGTCAGGGATCATTCTAAATGATTGACATGTGGCATTTCACTCAATCCTGAAAACAGCCCACAAGTGGGATAAGAACAATCTGATTTTACAGCTTGAGGAAAGTGAGGCACAGAGAGGTTATGTATTAATAACTTGCTCCAAGACCAGCCATACCTATGTTATCCTTTGATTTCTTCCAAGTGGGGATGCTGGGGTCTCACAAGGCCTTGATGTGAGTCCCCGCTCTAGTGATTACACAGCCAGTATACATAGTAAGCACTACAGCAGGGCCTCACAACTAGGTCTTGTGATCCCAGAGCTCATCTTCCTCACCATTCCACTCTACTGCCTGCCCTCCTCGAAAGGGTGTCTCACTGCGCCAGCGTAGTGACTGCCTGCCCTCCTCGAAAGGGTGTCTCACTGTGCCAGTGTAGTGGGAGGTCCAAACACATAACCCAACAAAGTCCAACCTTCTCAGGGAAAATCGGAGGCCCCTTAGTGGGGATGAGAAGTAGTTGGAGCTAGCCGGGTGGGCCTGGAGGTCCCAAGGGGCTCACAGCAGGCAGCTCTAAAACATTCTCTGTTGCTTCTTTTCTAGAATGGAGGAGGCTTAGGAGGATGGGCCAGGACACGGACGCCCTGGTGGCTCCCTGGGGAGCCCCTCTCGTGTAAGCCCCCGGATGTGTGACCTCAGGCAAGTGACTTCCCCTCTCTTGACCAACAAGTGCCCTACTGGCTTTTCCATGGCTCTGGGAGGATCCCATGAGCCTGGCGACAGAGTAGAGCTTGGCAAGAAGTTGAAAACTGAGCCCTGCTAGGCACGGTGGCTCACATCTGTAATCCCAGCACTTTAGGAGGCCAAGGCGGGCAGATCACTTGAGATCAGGAGTTTGAGACCAGCCTGGTCAACATGGTGAAACCCCGTCTCTACTAAAAATACAAAAAGTAGCTGGGTGTGGTGGTGGGTACCTGTAATCCCAGCTACTCGGGAGGCTGAGGCAGGAGAATCACTTGAATCCGAGAGGCGGAAGTTGCAGTGAGCAGACATCATGCCACTGCACTCCAGCCTGGGTGACAGAGCGAGACTCCATCTCAAAAAAAAAAAAAAAGAAAACTGAACCCCAACATGATGTACTATGTGAAGACTCATGCTGACCTGGGTGCCCTTACCTCACAGCTTTGGTGAGCTTGACCTGGCCCTCTGCTGGAGAGACGAGCATGGTGGAGGTAGTGGGGATCTCCTCGTCTAGCGACGGTCCCAATTCCAGACTCGCAGATGGCTGGAGACCGACATGCTGAATTTTTGGCTTCTCCCAAGAAGAGCTGCCCTTGCCCTGGGGGGCAGATCTGGATGAGACCCTGGAGCTGGTTCGCCGGGTGGTACTGGCAGAGGCCACAGAGGCCGTGGAGGCCTGAGGTGGGGCTGCTGTGGCTTCGCTGCTCTCATCCTCATCTTCAATGACCACCAGGTCCTTGGGCATCTCCTTAAACTGGTACACCAGCCTCTGCCCTTCCACTTTGGCCAGTATGCCTCTTTGGTAGTAGTATCTAGAGGAAGAGGGGCAGGGAGTTGGGAGTTAGCCGGGAGCTGGGTGGGAGACCTTCTACCTCCATCTCCCCAGTGCTCCTCCCCGAGGGCTAGGCAAGCATGAGGCTGAGTGAGGCTGGCTGGGGAGCCAGCTGAGGGCCCAAGGGCAAGGGAAAGGATATGTCAACACCTGGACTTGGAAGGCTTTTATGACATTCCTGAGATTTCCCCCTGAGAACTCAAAGGATCACAAAAGGTTTTCAGATGTCACCCCACTCCAACCCCCTGCTTTGGGGCAGAGGACAGGGAATGACTGAAGGAGAGAACTGAGAGTGAGGGGATGGATGGCGGGAACAGCAATCCCCCAGCCTGAGAGACCACCTCTAGGACAACTCAAGCCCACCTCCCCGGGTCTCTGGCTTGCAGATGTGAAGAAAGCCCTTCTTGGGGAAGAGGGGGTGCTGAACTGCTCTTCCATTATAAAAAGCAAAAAGGAGGCCAGGCGCGGTGGCTCACGCCTGTAATCCCAACACTTTGGGAGGCCAAGGTGGGCAGATTACTTGAGGCCAGAAGTTCAAGACCAGCCTGGCCAACATGGTGAAACCCCGTCTCTATTAAAAATACAAAAAATGAGGCCAGGCGCCGTGACTCACGCCTGTAATCCCAGTGCTTTGGGAGGCCGAGGTGGGCAGATCACGAGGTCAGCAGATTGAAACCATCCTGGCTAACATGGTGAAACCCCCAGTCTCTACTAAAAATACAAAAAAATTAGCCGGGCGTGGTGGCGGGCGCCTGTAGTCCCAGCTACTTGGGAGGCTGACACAGGAGAATGGCGTGAACCCGGGAGGTAGAGCTTGCAGTGAGCCGAGATCGTGCCACTGCACTCCAGCCTGGGTGACAGAGCAAGACTCCGTCTCAAAATAAATAAATAAATAAATAAAAATAAAAAAAAAACATACAAAAAATTAGCTGAGCGTGGTGGCATGCGCCTGTAATCCCAGCTACTCAGGAGGCTGAGGCATGAGAATCGCTTGAACCCAGGCAGTGCAGGTTGCAGTGAGCCGAGATTGCGCCACTGCATTCAAGCCTGGGTGACAGAGCAAGACTCCATCTCAAAAAAAAAAAAAAAAAAAGAAAGAAAGAAAGAAAGAAAGAAAGAAAAAGGAAAAGAAAAAAGGCCAGGTCAGATACAAGAGGAGGGGGGCTCTTCCTGCCAGAGGGGGCCTGGGGAACAGACATAGGAGCAAGCTAAGAGGAAAGTTACGAGACTCGTTTCCTTAGGATCAATCAGGTCTCCATGAAAGCGAGGAGGACTCCTTGGACTTAAGGAAGGATTGGTGATCCCCAGGGCAGGGGTTCTGCATCATCCCAACAGCTCCTACCTTAGTGCCCGCCCCATTGTCTCATAGTTCATGTCAGGCTTGTTTTTCTGCTTCCCCCACAGCTTGGACACAGCTTTGGAGTCCACCAGTTTGAAGATGCCTTTCTCTCGCTGGGTCCACTTGATGTACTTGGGACAGGTGTTTCTGTCTTGCAGAAGAGCCAGGAGGAACTCCCACAGATAGATGGTGCTGCCTGCAGAGGGGCAGGCCGTGAGGGGCAGCCTGGGCAGCTGGGGCACCCTGGCAGCAGGGAAGGGGCTCCCTCCCCACCTCACCTGAGTCCCAGCTGTCCATACCTTTGCCATCCTTTGATTTCTTCCTAATGGGGATGCTGGGGTCAGTGACAGGTGAGGTACTTCGGTTGCCCTTGGTCTTCCGGACTATGAGGGAAAGGTGAGTAGGATGAGGAGCAGCTCCCAAGAGAGGGCCCGGGAGCTGGCCAAGTTGGCTGTGACAAAGCCAACAAGGAGGAGGCAGGTCACCAGGGCTGGAGGCCCCAGATCGCTCTCCACAGCCACAGCCCTCAGGCCTTTGCACCCTCATTTTCAGGCCCCCAGGGTAGCACTGCAACATGGCTACAATGTGGAGAAACCGGGTGCTTGCAAATAAGTCACCTTTGTGAGAACAGAATCTGCCTAGCCTAACTTCTGATACGGAAAGGCAGCCTAAAGGCACCAGTGTTGTGCAGGTAAGTGCGGTGCTGAGGTTCGGTTGCCATGCTGACAAGGCAGTATCAAGCAGCCATCGCCTGAGTAAATCAATAACACCGGGGCTTGGGAAAGCCCAAAGTCCTCTCTCATATATGGCCTCGGCTTTATAAGCTCTGCAGAAGGGAGATAAGCACCCGGCATGACTGGTCTTTTATAGGCTGAGGCCCCAGAGGTCCGGGGACTGGCCAGGGGGCCGAGCCTGGTGTCCAAACTCCCAGCCTAGGATTCAACCCATCGAGATCATTAATGTTTCTGAAAGAGTTTATGCAGATCCCAGGCAGACAGGGGCAGCATGGGAAATGTCAGGCTACAGGCAGACTAACGGATGAGGCCAGGTTTTACAGAAGGGAGGCCTTTTGGTCCATCTCTGTCACACCAGAGAGCTGGCCTCTTAACACATCCATGAGCCCTGACCGCCCCCCCACGCCCCGCCCATCCCCTCGGAGACACACATACACTCACTCTCCCCCACTTACTTCTCTTCTTTGATTTCCCAGTCTTCTTGGCACTTTCCTCTCTGGAGGCCTTCTCCTCCAGAGAATGCCCCTCCTGGTCACTAGTGTCACCCGCCCTGTTCAGGGCATCGGGCTCAGAGGCAGGAAACAGGTAGTTGGGCAGAGTGACAGCTGGTGCAGGGTCCGAGTCTGGAAGCATTTCGGAGGTACTGACTGCAAGAAGAAAGACCTGAGGTGGGCGGGGCCCAGGCAGGGCTGGAGCGGGGTCTCCCAGCGCTGGAGAGACGGGTAGGTTCCAAGGGAGGGCGGGGGGCTCATCCCCCCAGCCCCAGACACAGGATACACCTGAAAATGCCTCATGTGGCTTGTACCACGAGGAGAGGAAACATCTGCAGAGCTGTGGGCACAAGCTGGCCCCAATTACAGCTGCCACATTTATAGCCCACTGTTGGTGGTAGGGAAGTTCTAGGCGGCACCCCAGGTAAAGGGCCACCTTGATTTAGTCCTTGGCTCATTTTACGACTCAAAGGGGCCTTAGAGATCATGTAGCCCCATTCCTGTGTTTTCCTGATGAGGAAACTGAGACAGACCCAGAGAGGGGAAGTCATGTGCCCAAGGTCACACAGCAAGTTGGTGCCCGGTACAAATAGGCACCCATTATTGGATCCTGGATGAATACTGGTGAGAGTCAGGACTAGAAATCTCTCAGATTTCAGCTTTATGGCTTGCCTTCCCTCACTGTACCACACCACCCCTTGGGAGAAGGCAATCTGGGGGAACCCTCCTGTGCATCTGCCTGAGGGGTCATTGGGAAGAGCCTGCCTTGGGGGCCCTCTGGGGAGTTAGGAGCCTGGTAGGATGGGCAAGGATCACTTATTTCTTTATTTTATTTATTTATTTATTTAGACAGTCTTGCTCTTGTTGCCCAGGCTGGAGTGCAATAGTGTGATCTCGGCTCATTGCAACCTCTGCCTCCCGGGTTCAAGCGATTCTCCTGCCTCAGCCTCCCAAGTAGCTGGGATTATAGGCATGTGCCACCACGCCAGGCTAATTTTTGTATTTTTAGTAGAGACGAGGTTTTGCCATGTTGGCCAGGCCAGTCTCGAACTCCTGACCTCGTATTCCACCCGCCTCAGCCTCCCAAAGTGCTGGGATTACAGGTGTGAGCCACCACACCCGGCCTGGATCACTTATTTCTAAAAGAGCCACATGCTGCATATCTCAGTCTTCCTGGGAGCTAAGCAAAAGAGCAGAGGGGCCTGAGAAAGGCACCCTGGCCAATATTATTCAGCCTGAAATGGAAATAAATTATTATTATTTTTTTGAGACAGAGGTTCGCTCTTGTCACCCAGGCTGGAGTGCAATGGTGCGATCTCGGCTAACTGCAACCTCTGCCTCCTGGGTTCAAGTGATTCTCCTGCCTCAGCCTCCTGAGTAGCTGGGATTACAGGCTTGCGCCACCACGCCCAGCAAGTTTTTATATTTTTAGTAAAGATGGGGTTTCACCGTGTTGGTCAGGCTGGTCTCGAACTCCTGACCTCAGGTGACCCACCCGCCTCAGCCTCCCAAAGTGCTGGGATTACAGGCGTGAGCCACCGTGCCTGGCCTGAAAATGGAAAGAAATTCTGACACGTGCTACAACATGGATGGACTTTGAGGACATCGTGCTAATTGAAATAAACCCATCACCAAAATACAAAAAGATAAAAGTCATATGTATATCGGTGGGTGTGGTGCATGTATACCTGTGTGCACACATGCCTGAGAAACCAATACATGGATTTCATATTTTTAAATGGAATTATTTTGTTGCCTTGAGTTCAGGCACTGGGGTTCAAACTTACAGATCTGCTTCTCATCCAGGATATCGCTGGGAGACTCCATATTGAGTAAGACTTCCGCGGTTGACATGGTGTGCGAGGTGGCCTCATTGTCATCTGGTCCGGGTTCCATGGTGGGAGGAGAGAAGAAAAGTTCCCTCAGGGCACAAGGCAGGGGGTACAGCTATAATCAGGGCCAGCCCGAAGAAAGGATGGTGGTAAGCATCCTTCGGGCTGACCCTGAAGTGAGTGCTAAGTGAGGGAGAAACAGGGGACCCTGACCAGAGGTACTGAGGGACAGCCAGGAAGGGCCCAGCACCCCTCCTTACCTAACTCTCCACCCCCTCAGCTGGTCTTCACTCCTCATTGTCCCACCCCACTTCCACAGACCATGAATCTACTAAGATGGTTCCCTCCTCTGTGAAGCAGCACAACTTTTTGGCTGGTGGACTTGCCCATTCTGCACGGGGTTACTAGAGGCCATTGTGGGCTGCTGTTCCCTAAAGACACAGCCCCTTTTTCTACCACACCTTCTCTGCCCAGGAAGGGAACAGACCTGTCAGCAAAAAACTGCCTTCCAGGATCTGATCCTGCGTCATGCACAAGGTCCCGTCTGTTATGATGCCATTGTGAACGTCGTCCAACTCCAGTCCCGAGTACAGATGCAGTAAATCAGGGTAGGGTACCTGCTCCACGATCACAGCTGGGAACACAGAGGGGTCTTCCAGCTATGGAGAAGACAGGGATGTGATTCAAGACCCACCCAGCTCTTCCAGCAAACCCTCCCTACCAGAATCTGGCCCTCTGTGCAAGTCCTTATTCTTGGGTTCATCAGGGACTGTCCTTTGTATAGGATGATATAACTCTGGGTCCAGCCTCATTAGGTGATGCTTTGAGTGGGTTCTTGATGAATAGATGGGTTAGCTCTGCACCACCAGCCCTTTAAGCATTTTTTTTTTTTTGAGATAGAGCCTCGCTCTGTCGCCCAGGCTAGAGTGCAGTGGCATGATCTCAGCTCACTGCAACCTCCGCCTCCCGGGTTCAAGCGATTCTCCTACCTCAGCTTCCCCAGTAGTTGGGATTACAGGTGTGTGCCACCATGCCTGGCTAATTTTTATAGTTTTTGTAGAGACAAGGTTTCATCATGTTGGCCAGGCTGGTCTCGAACTCCTGACCTCAGGTGATCCACCTGCCTCAGCCTCCCAAAGTGCTGGGATTACAGGCGTGAGCCACCATGCCCAGCCAAGGGCAAGCTTTTTTTTTTTTTTTTGAGACGGAGTCTCACTCTGTCGCCCAGGCTGGAGGGCAGTGGCGCAATCTTGGCTCACTGCAAACTCCGCCTCCTGGGTTCACGCCATTCTCCTGCCTCAGCCTCCCGAGTAGCTGGGACTACAGGCACCCGCCACCACACCTGTCTAATTTTTTGTATTTTTAGTAGAGATGGAGTTTCACCGTGTTAGCCAGGATGGTCTCGATCTCCTGACCTCGTGATCCACCCACCTCGGCCTCCCAAAGTGCTGGGATTACAGGCGTGAGCCACTGCACCCGGCCAGGCAAGTATTTTTAACTGGTTGTAGTTATGGTTTAACCCGTGGCCAGGTTAGGGCTCAGTCTATGAGGATTAGATTCATTCTAAGGCCATTGGGAATAGACCAGCTGATGGCAAGGGCAAGGGGCTCAACCTATAGTCGGGGGACAAGAGGGATTCAGTCTAGAGTCAGGGCTGGGGACCTAGTTCGCAGCCAGAGTTAGGGGCTCAGACATCTTCGGGCTCCGTCTGTGGCAATGATAGTGGGAATGAAGACAGAACAGAGGCATTATAGAAGTAGAAATGTCAGGACTCAGTCACTGCCTGGATGGGGGAGAGGGGTTCAATTTCCAGCTTCATTCAACAGGGACATGGAGATACTGCTCATGCCAAGGGAGGGCCCAGGAGGAGGAAGAGCAGGCTGTGGACCAAGATAAGGGCTACAATGTCTGGATGTGGTGAGCTTGAGGTACCTTTGGGACATCTGAAATAGAGACGCCTATCAGGGAGTCAAAAATAAGTGTCTAACAGTTCAAAAGGGAGCTGGTGGTCGTTCAATCCCTTGGAGTAGATAAGAAAATTGAGATGAGAATTCAACCCCTAGAGAACAGAAGTGTTTTGAAATTAAGCAAAGCGAAATTAAAAAGCAGTATGACTGCATGTGTTTTTTTTAAAAAAACTCCATATAGAGGCTGCATGTGGTGGCTCATGCCTGTAATGCCAGCACTTTGGGAGGCTGAGGCAGGTGCATCGCTTGAGCCTAGGAGTTCACACACCAGCCTGGGCAACACAGCAAGACCCTATCTCTATTTAAAAAAAAATTAAAAAGAAAAAACCTCTATAAATAAATAAATATGCCAGGATGTTAATCATAGTTTTCTTTTCTTTTCTTTTTCTGAGACAGAGTCTGGCTCTGTCACCCAGGCTGGAGTGCAGTGGCACGATCTTGGCTTACTGCAACCTCCACCTCCCAGGTTCAAGCAATTCTACTGCCTCACCTTCCCGAGTAGCTGGGATTACCGGCGCCTGCCACCATACCTGGCTAATTTTTGTATTTTAGTAGAGATGGGGTTTCACCATGTAGGCCAGGCTGGTCTCGAACTCCTGACCTCAAGTGATCCACCCACCTTGGCCTCCCAAAGTGCTGAGATTACAGACGTAAGCCACTGTGCCTGGCCATAGTTTTATTTTCATTATGGAGTTTTGAATGATTTTTTTCCCCCTTTCTACTTTTTTGTATTTTCCAAATTTTCTTTCATGGGAATGTTAATTCTTTTTGTTGTTATTGTTTAGTCTCAAGATCTGTTTTGTGGATGATAATTCTTTTTTTTTCCCATGCAAAAAGAATGAGAATGATCCTCTCTGTGTAGTGTTCCTGAGGGATCCAGAGAAACAAAAATGGATAAAAGACCTTTGGATTTGGCCATGGTCAGTCACCCTGGCTAGATCAGTTTCAGAGCAGTGCTAGGGTCCCAGGCCAAGTTGCAATGGATCTCAGTGAGGACAGACTGAGGTAAGCAGTTGGGTATAGTGATTAAGGTCCCAGCATCTAGAGCTGTCCATGATGATATCCACTAGTCACGGGTGACTATTTAAATTTAGAGGTAAATAAAAACTTTGGAGAGCTTAAAAATTTATTTCTTCAATTGCACTAGCCACATTTCAAGTGCTCTATAGCCACGTGTGACTAGTGGCCCCATACTGGACAGCACAAACATAGAACATTTCCAGCATTCCAGAGAATTTTTTTTTTTTTTTTTGAGATGGAGTTTTGCTCTTCTTGCCCAGGCTGGAGTACAATGGCACAATCTCAGCTCACTGCAACCTTCACCTCCTGGGCTCAAGCAATTCTCCCGTCTCAGCCTCCTGAGTAGCTGGGATTACAGGCATAGGCCACCGCCGCTGGCTAATTTTTGTATTTTTAGTAGAGACAGGGTTTCACCATGTTGGCCAGGATGGTCTCAAATTCCTGACCTCGTGATCCGCCTGCGTTGGCCTCCCAAAGTGCTGGGATTACAGGCGTGAGCCACCGCACCTGGCCTCATTCCAGAGAATTCTGTTGGATTGTGCTGATCTAGAGCCAGAGTGCCTGGGCTTGAGACCAAACTCTGCTGCTCACTAGCATTGTGACCTTGGGCAAGTTACCTAACCTTTCTGTGGATCAGTTTCCCCATTTATAAAATGAGAGTGATCACATGATTGACCCCCTAGGATTGTTAAAACAGATCAATACACATAAAGCACTCAGAGCAGGGCCTGGCGTAGACTAAGCTCTCATTAAGTGTTAGGTATCAGAGGTTTCTAGGAGACTGGTAATGTTTTATTTCTTAATTTGGGTGGTGAGGGCCTGGGTGTTCATTTAATACATGTCTACATCTAAATATGATTTATGCACCCTTTTGCATGTATTATGTATTTCAAAATAAAAGTAGCTTCCTAAAAGGAGTGAAAGGGGCTGGGTGCGGTGCCTCACACCTGTTGTTTTTCTTTTTCTTTTCTTTTTTTTTTTTGGAGACAGAGTTTTGCCTCTTGTTGCCCAGGGTGGAGTGCAATGGCTCGATCTCGGCTCACTGCAACCTCCACTACCGGGTTCAAGTGATTCTCCTGCCTCAGCCTCCCGAGTAGCTGGGATTACAAGCATGTGCCACCACGCCCAGCTAATTTTGTATTTTTAGTAGAGACAGGTTTACTCCATGTTGGTCAGGCTGGTCTCGAACTGCTGAACTCAGGTGATCTGCCTGTCTCGGCCTCCCGAAGTGCTGGGATTACAGGTGTGAGCCACCAGCCTGACCGGCTCACACCTATTGTAATCCCAGCACTTCTTGGGAGGCGTGAGAGCAGAAGGATTGCTTGAGCTCAGGAGTCTGAGACCAACCTGGGCAACATTGTGAGACCCCCATCTCTACAAAAAATACAAAAATTAGGCCGGGCATGGTGGCTTACGCCTGTAATCCCAACACTTTGGGAGGCCAAGGCGGACAGATCACTTGAGGTCAGGAGTTTGAGACCAGCCTGACCAACATGGTGAAACCCCCTCTCTACTAAAAATACAAAATTAGCCAGGCATGGTGATGCACGCCTGTAATCCCAGCTACTTGGGAGGCTGAGGCAGGAGAATCGCTTAAACCCAGGAGATGGAGATTGCAGTGAGCCGAGATCGTGCCATTGCACTCTAGCCTGAGCAACAAGAGCAAAACTCTCTCTCTCTCTACACACACACACACACACACACACACACACACACACACACACACAATTAGCCAGGCGCAGTGGCATGTGCCTGTTGCCCCAGCTACTTGGGAGGCTGAAGTGGGAAGATCACCTGAGCCTGGGGAGGTCGAGGCTGCAGTGAGCCATGATTGTGCCACTGCACTCCATCCTGGGTGACAGAGTGAGACCCTGTCAAAAAAAGAAAGAAGGAAAGAAAAAAGAGTGAAAGGCAGGTAATAAAGTAAAAACAGAGTGTGGAGACTACCCTGGGGGGAAGAAAGGAACTAAAAAGGTATAAAAAGATGCAATTTTGAAGGTGGGGGCAGAAGGGAGGGAAGGTTTTCTTTTAGGGTTGGGACACCTGAAGATGTTCAAAGTTGAGGAAAGAAATCTGAGGTCTAAAAGATACAAGAGGCCAGGCGCGGTGGCTCACGTCTGTAATCCCAGCACTTTGGGAGGGCGAGGCGGGTGGATCACCTGCGGTCAGGAGTTCGAGACCAGCCTGCCCAACATGGTGAAACCCTGTATCTACTGAAAATACAAAAATTAGCTGGGCTTGGTGATGCGTGCCTATAATCTCAGCTACTCCAGAGGCTGAGGCACAAGAATCGCTTGAACCCAGGAGGCAGAGGTGGCAGCGAACCCAGATTGTGCTACTGTGCTGGAACCTGGGTGACAAGAGCGAAACTCCATCTCAAAAAATAAAAATAAAAAATAAAAGATACAAGAGAGAGGAAGTGATGGATGGTTTGAGGTCTTAAGGGATGCAGGAGAGAACAGATTAAGTACAGAGGTTGGGAGTCACCCTTGCAAGGAAAAGTAACATTTCTTTCTCCTGGGCCAGTGGGAAGGAAACAAGAACAGGAGATGTTACAGATAAAAAGAGAGAAGGGAGGGAAATTGAGGGCGTCCTGGGCTTTGAGCTTCTCTGTGGATTGGAGGAGAGGCTGTCCGCTGAGGGTGGAGGGATAGGTTGGAAGGTAAGAACTGCTTCTGT
The DNA here is from genome assembly GCF_000001405.40 of Homo sapiens. Taxonomy (NCBI): domain Eukaryota; kingdom Metazoa; phylum Chordata; class Mammalia; order Primates; family Hominidae; genus Homo; species Homo sapiens. Next base: position 130,079,760 of record NC_000023.11, read on the forward strand.
GAAAAACAGCCTCTATGAAGAAAAGAAACAGTTGCTGAGTGGACTAGAAACAAATGGAAAATGACAAGTAGCATTGAGAACTCATGTATGGTAGATTTTTCTTCCTTTCTCCTTGTCTGATGCCTTCCACGAGGCTAGGCACACCACATATGTTCAATAAAATTGAGCTGCTTTAAGGCAAGGAGGTAGACGGAAAGTTCAAAGTGCTCAAAGGCCACTAGGGGGCAGGCTTTGGTAGGCAGCTAGAGATTGGACAGTTTTCCATCCTCACAGGATTTAGAATAGAGAGCATCTGAGTTAGACTGGAATGCCCTTTGGAGATAATCCAGTTGGATCGCCTCTTGGTGAAGATGGGGAAACAGCAGTCAGATAGGATAGGGGTCCAGGCGTGGTGGCTCACGCCTGTAATCCTAGCAGTTTGGGATGCCAAGGTGGGTGGATCACTTGAGGCCAGGAGTTGGAGACCAGCCTGGCCAACATGGTGAAACCCGGTCTCTACTAATAATACACAAAAATTAGCCGGGGATGGTGGCAAGTGCCTATAATCCTAGCTACTTGGGAGGCTGAGGCAGGAGAATGGCTTGAACATGGGAGGCAGAGGTTGCAGTGAGCTGAGAACACGCCACTGGACTCCAGCCTGGGCGACAGAGTGAGACTTCGTTTCAAAAAAAAAAAAAAAAAAATAGGGTAAGGGACAGGACTTGCTCAGGTGACATTGTGGCCAAACTGGGATCGGAACCCAGGGCTCCTGACTCCTAATCTTCCATTCTTTCTACTGTGCCTGGATGCCTCTTCTCTCTCCATTTTATGGAAGAAGGAGAATGGAGGGTAGTGATGAGTCTGCCAGGACACCGTTCAATGGGTACATACATCTAAGTGCACAGAAAACGTGCCAGTGTAGGGAAGGTATGGAGCAGTGGGGACCTCAGTGAGCACCAGAATCCTGTCCTATTTTCCAACTTCCTCCCACCAAAAGACCTCATTTCCAGCTTGTCCTGAATCCTCAGGCTGGGGCCAAAAAGACGACTCTGAAAATGTCAGGGCCTGGACACCAGTCTACAGTTCAGCTGGCAGTGCTCATTCTTGCTATGTGGCTGTCCCCACAGCTTTCTCACTGTGACACTTTGAGAGAAGAGAAGTGGCCGAAAAATGCATCTGATGGTCAGTGTACCCCTTATGCGTTTGGTCCATGTTGCTGACTAACCAACAGCCCAGCTGATGTACTTAGCAGATGTTTGGCTGGCTCAATGATTGCATGTGGGCAACCAGCTCCCTAAATGACTGCCCGGTGACTCCAGACCAGCCTCATGAGTGACTGGCTGGCACGCAGGCTGGCTGGCAAGCAGGGCCAGTGCCCTGAGCATAGTAGGTGCTTGATGGATATTTGCTGATTGGCTAGCTGTGCAGCCAGCTGGCTCCCTGGCTGTCTGCCTGGCTGTCTGTGTCTATCTGATTGTCCACAGGGGCTAACTGTGCTCTGTTCTCTGGGGCCATACCTGGTGGATATCATCATCCATCCCGTTGCTTGCGAACTCAAAGATCAGGTCACTGGGCTGTAGGGTAATAGCCATGCTGTCTTTTCAGAGAGCTGACAACGGGATTATCAGAGCCCTCCAGAGCTGTGGGGCTTTCTTGATGAAGGGACAATACCCAGGTACTTTGGAGCCTAGAGCCTACCCCCTGAGCTGCAGTAAAATAGGGGGTGGAGAGAGCTGGAGTAGGTGGTGGCCTAAGCCAGGCTCAAGGCTGCATTCTGGGCTGGACCAACCACAGGAGCGACCTAGAGAGAAGGGAGAGATGGGGACAGTGAGTAAGTCACCTTCCTTGAGCTCTGTTGCCAGAACTGCCTATGAACCAGAGGGACCCTGCCATGCTAAGGCAGACTGCCAATAGAGGAGTGGCCGAAACGGGAGGATGATGAGAGAAGAAAAGCGACAGAGAAGAAAGAGGTCAGGGAAAGAAAGAAGGAGAGAGGAAGTCAACTGAATGGCCTCCAGTGGGAAGTGGCTGAGTGTTGGTGCCCGTCTGGGTCACCAGCATCGGCATCTCGCACTAGTCCCAAAGATATGCAGCCTCCCTCCCTGCCTCCTCCCCTTCCCCTGGAGAAACTGCCAGATGGAGGAACTTTGCGCTCTCTCCACCCTGAAGACTAATCCCCAGGGGGAGTCAGGGCGCCTGGCCTGGCCTCGTGGACGAGGCAGCAGCATGGAGAATCCCTGTAACTCCCTTGGCTTGGGGAAGAATCGTGTGAGGGGCTGAGTGGGGGCCTGTGGGTATCTGTATACCCACTCTGTAGTGCTCTTCTGACTCTGCCTGGCTCCAGGTGAAGTCAGCCTAATCTTACCTTGGGAGTGGGGGCCAGTTAGCTTTGAGGGGCCACATCTACAGAGGAAGAAGTGGGGGTGGTCACACCCATGCCTGCCTCGCTGTGGGGGTTGTATTGTGTGAGGACCAGCAGTGGCCTTACCCTGCTCTCAGGGATGGGACTCTCAGATGGAGCCAAGCCTCCAGAGAGCCTGGAGACTGGGGGACAGGTGGGCCACATACCCTGTTTTCGTCAGCACCCCCCTCTCACCACTACCGCCGCCACCCACCAGAGAGCGTGGCCTCTGTGCTGTGTGTGGGTTTGTGTTCTTGGTTTAGCTTTGCTTTCAGTTTCAAGAGTGAACTGTCACCCTGGGAACTGGTGAGGAGAGCCCCGACTGGAGGAGGGGCAGGCGGAACCTTCCCCATCCTCTGGGGCTGGCTCAGGCCCCTTTTCCAGGAAATCTTCTGTGTCTGCCGCAGCCCAAACACACCTCCTCTCGCCCCACGTGCCCTCAGCGCTCACGGTGTCACATGGCGTCCGGGCCTGCATTTGTTCCCCCTGTCGCCACTCCTCAGGGCTGTCAGTGCCCGGGCGCCTCATCTGCGTGTTGTGGGTGGTCACACCCAGGCCTGCCTCCCACAGCCCCAGCCCTCCCACCTCCCTCCTCGCCAGCCAGCTCTGCTCCTCCACCCCATCACTGGAGCTTCTCCACTTCCAGGCGCCACGTCTTTGGTCCCCTGGGCTCGGTTCTGAGTGTGTGGATGTGCGTGTGGGTGTGTCCATGCACCATAGCAGAAGCCACACACTGCACTCCACCTCCTTGACACTCCCTTGGCAGTGCCGGGGTGGGCAAACCTTATCCTGGCCCGGAAAGAAATGAGGAACTTCAGAGAGGGGCAAAGGGGAGGAAAGGGAGGGGGACCACGGTGACCTCCCTGATGACCGCTCTCCCCCACAGGAGACACCCAGGCCTCTCCTACTTCCTTTCCGTTAGCCCACAGGGCTGGCCGTGCCTTTGCCCCACCCCCACCCTCACCCTCACCCCCACACCTTTCCACCCACCCCAACAAAAAGTCGGGAGAAGTCGCTCAACTCAACCTCTCAGGTCTGAATTTCCCTTTGGACGAGTGAGAGGCTGAGTACTGGGAGGAGGCGCCTGGGAAACTGCAGCCCTTGCCCCAGGTTCACTCCTCCCACCACCACCCCACCCCCACCAGACCCTGCCTGCGACCCATTCTCCACTGGTCTGTGAAGCCTCCCAAGGCCATTTATGCTTGGAAGGTCTGTCCCCCCTGCCCCCCCAGCCTAAGCGCCCCAAGGCTTGCATTCCACAGCAGCTCCCGCCCTCCCACAGGCCTTCTGCCTGCCCCCAGGAAACATTCTCATACTAATCAAATTAAAGGTGATCACTTTCACCTAATCCCACTTTGTCTAAACATGAAACTCCTGTGTGTGTCCCTTCCCCCAAGGTCACTCGCTGTAGCCCTTCCCTTCGGGCTTGCTCATCTCTTCTTTCCAGATCAGGATTTCATGTTTGCGAGTTCACTGCTGGTGCTGTCTGCCTGGGCTACTTTTATGTACCTTCCTTACCTCCCCCATAAGACAGGGGCTTCCTTGAGGGCAGCAACAACTGTGTTGGACATTGATGAAACCTTAGCACCTTGCATCATGTATGGCATGTAACAGACACTCAATTTGTGTTTGTGGAATGAATGAAGGGATGAATGGGTGGATGGGTGGGTGGGTGGATGGCTGGATGGATGGCTGGATGGATGGATGGATGGATGGATGGATGGATGGATGGATAGATTGGTGGTATGGGTCAGTCAGCATCTGTGAGGTGTGTTTTCTGGGCAACGTTTATCTGTATACGGTGGATGCGGGTAGGTGTCACGTACTCTGCCTTACACGAGAATGAGCAAAATGTGCATACCTTCTGGGGTGACCTCTGTATGTTTTTGCATTGTCATTTACCCAGGTGCGCTATTTGCGTTGGTTGTGGGTGTGCAAGCGCACTGTAGGTATATGTGTGTGCAGGGTGTGTGCATGTGTCCCAAGCGTGGAGACGTGTGCACGAGAGCCTCTGTGTGTCAAAGGGCTGCCCTGGTCTGGCCAGCAAAGCCGCAAGCTCAGTTGTCAGTTCCTCCTCCGGGCCAGCCTCAGCTGCCTTCGTGAGAATGACAAACCTGAGCTAATGCTGGCTGGAAGTGGCTGTGCTGAAGATGGGGGTGGGGTTCTCAGGAAGAGAATGCCAGGCCCAGCTAGATATGTGGCCCATGGGTCCCGGGGATGAGACCCCCAAAGTCCATGTGCCAGGGAGCTGGTGGGGGAGGGAGGCAGCCAGGGCCCTGCACTGCATTGAATGGAATCCTTGGTCACCAATGCAGAGAGGTTTGAAATCAAAGAGAGACGATTCCCAGGGCATTCTTTTCTGTGTCCACATATTGAGGTAGCAAAATCCAGGACTTGGTGGGTGCAGGCTTTGCTGCCTCGGGATTGTGAGGTATTGTGAAGCTATACCCAGCACCCGAGGCTCATCCTGGTGATCGTCTACCCTGAGCCTGAAGCTAAGGTCTTGAAGGGGTGGAGGGGGAGGAAGTAGCTGTCCTACTCTTTTGGCCAAGGCTGAGAAACCATCCGCCCTAACCGTCCAGTCCAGAAAGTTTCCCCCTCCCCCTTGAGATGTTTGAGGATTTGAAAGTGAGAGGTGGAGAGAGGCTCATTTGCATGTTCACTCACTCTCCCCAGCAGAGGAGTGAACCCCCCCTTCAGTCCTTCAAAATAACCTCCTTCTCCCAGGAACCCGAAACCAAAGATGCCACCATCATAGGAGGTGCGCCCTGTGGGCCAGGGAGGCCCCCACCAGGGGCTCCCTTCTCCAGTGGGCCCTTTGGCTGGGACGCAGCTTCAGTAGCCTAGAGCCCTGGATGCTGCCTCCCCAGCAAGTAGACAAATCAGGGAGCACACACGGACACTTGGCTCGGGGAATTGAGGAGCCTGTGAACCCTTAGTAACTGGTGGTGAATTCCCCTACCCTGCCCCATGCTTGCACAGCTCACAGCTTGCTCCAGTCACAGTCCCCTCGCAGGGTGGCAAGAGCTCCACTCCCTTCACACCCTTTGAGGCCCTACAGGGTCTCTGACTCCCAGCGCCTGTCTTACTTGGGCCAAAAGCAAAGCCTTTGCGAGAAAGTATGTGCCCCTGGGTGCCCTCTGAGTGTATGGACCTTAAGAGGGAGTGTGCAGGCAAAGGCGCCGACCTCCTGGCCTGCAAATACACACCTCTGTGGCTCTGACTGCATTTCAAAACCGAAGCAAAATAGAAGTGGTTTGGGCTGCTCCTGTGTCACAACTCGGCCCCCTTTAGATGCACAGACCCTTCCTGGGGCTGTCACTGAAACATACCAAGCAGTGTCCAGCAACCACTCATCTGGGCCTCCCTTACAGGAAATAGCCCCAATGTGAAAGCCACGTCCACAGTCTCCGTGGAGTGAGTTTAAATCTACACCCTTTCAGCTGAGCCAATGGCTCTCACAGAATTGCTGGTAACACCCGTGGCATTTTCGCACATGCCAGGAAACATGGAGGCCAGATGGTCAGCTGGGCCACAAAGCACAATTCTCCTTCTCCGGTTCCTTGTCCCCTTGGAGCCAGCTCTCACTCCTGAAATACCTCATCCTCCATGAAACCTTTCTGGAATTCTCTGGAAAGGAAGTGACAATTTCCTTCATGCCATTTCCCACTCCCTCAACACCCCTCCCCCACAACCACAAGCAAAATGGAAACTACCCCAGGAACAGCTGTACCCTCGACTGAAAAACAGCCCGTCCTCAGGCGAATAGTCATCAAGCAGGGAACTGCCTGCTGTACCATGTGACCAGTGGCGTGGATTTAAGAGACAGAAGGCCAGAGTCAGGACTATATCCAGTCTGTAGTCCTGAACAGAGCAGAATTCACCCATCCACAGGACTTGAACCCCAAACCTCAGTCCAGTTATGGCTGGACTCCAATGAGTGAGCTAACCCTCCTACTTAAGCAAATGCCCAGTGAAGGGGCCCTAGTCACCGCTATTTTGTCAGCTCTTTCTCCTATTCCTTTCTTTCTACCAGCCACTCCATTTGAGATGAAACCAGGAAGAGGGAGGGAAAAAAGAAAGGTTTTGCAAGCTCTGTTGGTTGGGGTTTCTCTGTGCTTATTTACAAGAAACCCAGTTTCCTTCCTTGCTCCTCTGTCACCACCTGATTCCAGCATAGGGTTTCTCCCAACTCTGATGGTGAGGTGGGCCCAGGGTTCTTCCCCAGTTACAGCCCCCGCTCTCACACCCTGCTCAGCTCGCCTCTTCCCCTACCTTCTTTGCAGGCCTTGATCTGTCCCAGAGGAGGAGTGATTAGATGGCAGGTCCCAGGCAAAGAGATGCTTTTTCCTCTTTCTCCAGGGGACCCACAGCCCACCCACAGTGTAGACTGCCTAGGGCCGGGGAGGAGGAGGGAGGCGTTCTGGCTGCATCCTAGCAAGATGTGTGACCATGGAAAAGTCGGCCATCTTTCTGGGCTGTGGTTTCTGTCATCCTTCGAGCAGGTGAGGGTTGTGAGTAATCCAGGCTTAGCAGGTGCTCACCAGGGAGTCTCGGGTGAATAAAGATGGCAGTGGAAAAGCACTTTGAAAATTAAAAAGCGTTCATCCAGATGATGAGTTTCAGGTGACCTCCCAGAGAGCAACAGGGGCTGTGGGCCCCATTAAGCTCCAGACGGTGGACCCCACTGGCTCCAGAATACACAGGGTGGGGCTGGAGGGTTCCAGTTGTTGGGTGGCAAGGGGCTGACTCCTTGCCTGGGCTGGGGACCTGGCAGGGAGGGAGGAGCAGGCTGCTGCGGCTGGTGCAGCGCACTGGATCCCCTGTCCTCACCCCGCCCCAGCACTTTGGGTTGTGGTTATGTGGCAAGAAAGAGCACTACACTACAGAAGCCCCATAGGGGAGGAAGAGGAGGGGGAGGGTTAGTGACAAAGAGAACCTATTTCCCCAGCTGCTCTGAGAAGGCCAAAAGAGCACCCCCTGGAAGTGCCTGCGGCCACCACATCACCATCTCTAGTGCTTCATGCACGAAGCACAGGACAGTGGCACTAAGCCAATGACGGGAGAACCCACTGCAGGAAAAGGGAGAAACCCAAGTGTGGGGCAGCCACTAAACCCCAGTATAACGGTCTGCCAGCTCCAGCCTAGGAGAGCCCCCAGAAGCCCCTGCAGATCCTAAGATCATCGGCTTTCCAGCTAGAAGCCCCAGCTCTGCCTTGGGGTTGAGGCAGGTCACTTTCCTCTTTTGTAAAACAGGGATCTCCTATTTAGCTCAAGGGGTTGTTGCAAAAGGCCAATGAGCTAATGTAGGCAAAAGCTCTCTGTTAGCCCGAAACGTGTTTTTCTTTTTTTATTTTTTGAGACGGAGTCTCACTCTGTCACCCGGGCTGGAGTGCAGTGGCGCGATCTCGGCTCACTGCAACCTCCGCCTCCAGGGTGTGCCTCAGCCTCCTGAGTAGCTGGGATTATAGGTGTGTGCCACCACGCCCGGCTATTTTTTTTATTTTTAATAGAGATGGGGTTTCACCATGTTAGCCAGGCTGGTCTTGAAATCCTGACCTCAAGTGATCCACCCGCCTCAGCCTCCCGAAGTGCTGGGATTACAGGCGTGAGCCACCGCGCCTGGCCAGTGTGTTTTCCAATTCCCTGGTCTGATTCGTTACTCTGGGGCTGTGGTAGTTCATTAAACATTTAGCATGTCTTTACCTAGATATAGAGGAAGAAAGGGAAATGGAGGTGGCGGGATGAAATGAAGGCTGAGGGGACAAAAGCAACAAATATAAAATGTATGGTAGAGAGAAGAAACCAGTTTGATTAGAGGGAGAGAGGAACATTGCTTGGGAAGCTGGATAAGTGGATCCCTGGAACTGTGGAATGAGAACTTAATATGGAAAGCGACTGTGAGTTACTGTAGATTCTTGAGCAAGGGAGGGGCATAACAAGCAGCCCTTTAGGAAGGGCAGTTTGGTCTGGGTATAAGAGTGGGTCTGAGGCAGGAGAATCACTTGAACTCAGGAGGCGGAGGTTGCAGTGAGCTGAGATCGCGCCACTGCACTCCAGCCTGGGCGACAAGAGTGAACACTCCATCTCAAAAAAATAAATAAATAAATAAAATAAGAGTGGGTCTGTGAGTGGAGGAGATGGAGGGAGACCAGGTAGGGTAGCTGGAACCAGGAGGTGAATCCCAGAGCCACCCCAAAGTAAAGAAATTGATGGACTATGGGGAGATACAGTAGCTGTAGAGACCCCAAGATGTGCAGGGTGTTCTCGCTAAGAATGTTAAAAGATATTGCCGGGTGCGGTGGCTCATGCCTATAATCCCAGCACTTTGGGAGGCCAAGGAGGGTGGATCACCTGAGGTCAAGAGTTTGAGATCAGCCTGGCCAACACAGCAAAAGCCCGTCTCTACTATAAATACAAAAATTAGCCGGAGTGTGGCGGCGTGCACCTGTAATCCCAGCTATTCGGGAGACTGAGGCAAGAGAATCGCTTGAACCTGGGAGGGGGAGGTTGCAGTAAGCTGAGATCGCGCCACTGCACTCCAGCCTGGGTGACAGAGCGAGACTCCATCTCAAAAAAACAAACACTGACTAGAGACTAATTAAATTCATTAGTGGGTTTTTTAGAAGCTGGGATAATCTATGTTGGTACCCACAGGATATTAAGTCAGATAACTTTTATTGAAGGGACAGTGTTCTTTGTCAAGGTCCCTGCCAGCCCAGTGTGTGTCCTAGAAACTAACGTGAAGCCTCCTTGCTCAGATCTGGAACTTTCCTGGGCAGCAGGGGCCATGGTGTGGTTGCTGCCTGCTTGGCACTGGCTGCCCCTCCCAAATGCGCCCTTCTGCCACTGGCCAATCCCCAGGCCAGCAAAAGCAAAGGACAGTACTTCAGGCACAAGAGCAGTACTCCAGCATCCCTTTCACAGAAGGGAGGGGTGCCAGAAAGGATGAGGTGGGAAGACAGCCTACCAGGGCCTGGCCAGACAGGGAGGGCAGCCTCGGCTCCAGAAGTCATCGAGAGCTCCTGGGGTTCCTCCTTCTCTCTCACCGGCACGATTAAAACCTCTCCTCAAGTTAGAAGGCCAGGTGCGGTGGTACACACCTGTAATCCCAGCACTTTGGGAGGCCGAGGCAGGTGGATTGCTTGAGCTCAGGAGTTCGAGACCAGCCTGGGCAACATGGCAAAACCCTGTCTCTACTAAAAAAAAAAATACAAAAATTAGCCAGACGTGGTGGCACACGCCTGTAGTCCCAGCTACTCAGGAGGCTGAGGTGGGAGGATCGCTTGAGCCTGGGAGGTGGGGGCCCCAGTGAGCTGAGATCGCACCACTGCACTTCAGCCAGGGCAACAAGAGTGAGACCTCAGCTCAAAAAAAAAAAAAAAAAAAAAAAAAAAACACCTCTCCTTGAGTCAGAGTCCCAGGATATCAAAGTTATAAGAGACCTGAAAGATCATTGCATCCATCCCTCTTATCATCCAACTTCTGCTACCATAGGAGAGGAAGTGACTTGCTCAAGGTGACACAGCTAGTTGCACTGTGACTCCCAAGTGACTCTTCTTCCTTGCCTCCTTCCTTGCTCATTGTCTCCTGGCATCCTCAAAAAAGCAACCCTTTCCTCTGGCAAGAACACACAGCAGTCAAAGATTCAGGGCTGGCCAATAACAATGAAGCCACGGCTGGGCGTGGTGGCTCATGCTTGTTATCCCAGCACTCTGGGAGGCCAAGGCGGGCAGGTCACTTGAGGTCAGGAGTTCGAGATCAGCCTGGCCAACATGGTGAAACTCTGTCTCTACTAAAAAATACAAAAAAATTGTCTGGACGTGGTGACTCATGCCTGTAATCCCAGCACTTTGGGAGGCCGAGGCAAGCAGATCACCTGAGGTCAGGAGTTCAAGACCAGCCTGGCCAACATGGTGAAACCCCATCTCTACTAAAAATACAAAAATTAGGGCCAGGCGTGGTGGCTCACGTCTGTAATCCTAGCACTTTGGGAGGCCGAGGCAGGCGGATGATGAGGTCAGGAGTTCAAGACCAGCCTGGCCAATATGGTGAAGCCTTGTCTATAATAAAAAATACAAAAATTAGCCAGGTGTGGTGGCGCCCTCCTGTAGTCCCAGCTACTCAGGAGGCTGAAGCAGGAGAATTGCTTGAACCCGGGAGATGGAGGTTGCAGTGAGCCAAGATCACGCCACTGCACTCCAGCCTGGGCGACAGAGCAAGACTCTGTCTCAAAAAAAAAAAAGAAGAAGAAGAAGAAGAAGCCACACACATGCAGGGCACATTGAACCTTCACAGTGCCTTCCCCACCTCCACAGTGCCTTCCCCACCTCCACCTCCGTGCCTGTGTTCACACTGTCCCCCAGGCCTGACAGGCCCTTCTTCAACTTCTGCAAGCCCAATGCCCACAAGTCCTTCAAGATCTGAAGCAAATGTCACCTTCTTTTCAAAGCCTTCCCTGCTTCCTCCCCACCTGGCACACTCTCTCCTCCTCCTCATGACACCTTAGCTTTACTTCTTAGACCAAAGCAGGGGTTCATAAACTATGGCTCATGTGCCAAACCCAGCCCTGCGGTCCATTTTTAGACGGCCCATGAGCTAAGAATGGGTTTTACATTTTTTAATGATTGGGAAAAATCAAAAGAAAAATATTTCCTGACATATAGTGATTTTTTAATATATGTATTTTTTGAGACTGGGTTTTGATCTGTCACCCAGGTTGGAGTGCAGTGGCACAATCATGGCTCACTGTAACCTCTGTCTCCTAGGCTCAAGTAATCCTCCCGCCTCAGCCTCCCAAGTAGCTGGAACTACACGTGCACGCCACCGTGCCCGGCTAACTTTTTGTATTTTTTGTTGAGACAGGGTTTTGCCATGTTGTCCAGGTTGGTCTCAAATAAACTGGCTCAACCAATTCTTTGTAGGAAAGGTTTGCTGAATGCTGGACTAAAGGCTTCAGTGTGAATAAATTCACCAAGTTCATTTCTTTTTTAAAATTTATTTTAGGCCAGACACAGTGGCTCACTCCTATAATCCCTGTACTTTGGGAGGCCGAGGCGGGTGGATTACCTAAGGTCAGGAGTTTGAGACCAGCCTGGCCAACATGATGAAACCCCGTCTCTACTAAAAATACAAAAAATTAGTTGGGCATGGTTGTGGGCGCCTGTAATCCCAGCTACTCAGGAGGCTGAGGCAGGAGAATCGCTTGAACCCGGGAGGCAGAGGTGCAGTGAGCCGACATCGTGCCACTGCACTCCAGCCTGGGCAACAAGAGTGAAACTCCATCTCAAAAAAATATATATTTTTTCAAATTTGTATTTATTTATTTTTCAGAGATGGGGTCTTGCTATATTGCCCAGGCTGGTCTCCAAGTCCTGGCCTCAAGCCATCCTCACACCTCCACCTCCCAAAGTGCTGGGATTACAGGCGTGAGCCACCACACCCACCCCATCATGTTGATTTCTGAGAAGAATGTCACAGAGCACTTGGGGATGGAGGTGCCTGCAGGGAGGTGTGGGATGCCAAATACAACTCAGCAGATTCTCATCAGAAAGAAGGTCCTGGGCTGGGGTTAGGAGACGTGAGTTCTGCCCATGATGTGACCTCGAGCAGGTCACTTCTGCTTTGTGTGCCTCGGTTACCTCATCTGCACAATGAGGGGGTTGGACTGGGTGACCTAAGGGCCTGTCTAGCCCTATGACTTAGACAGGCAGTGATCAACTGCATTACCATCTCCCACAGTTCTTAGCAGGCATGGTCCTGATCATTTACCCTCAGAACAAAAGCTTACAGAAGGGTCCTCTGCCCAGCTGTGGTTTTCCGCTGCCCCCATGGGCCTCCCTCACTCCACACTCACCTGCCCTGCCCCACCCTTCCCGTCTGCTGACCTTTCTGCCCTCCTCTCGGAATTCCTCTCCTTGCAAAATGAAGATGGCCTCCTCTGAAAGAGCCCTCCCCTCCCTCCAGTCCGGTGGGCTAAAAGCCTCCACTTTTTTGGGAGGGAGACAGGGAAAGGACTCTCACCTCTCCCCAGCCTCCCAGGGCCCACAGCAGACAGGCAGTGGAGTAGGAGATAGGGCCAGCTCTCACCGCACCCCTGCTCTGCCAGCGGAAACAGCCCTTCTCTGCCACTTCCTGTCCCAGGGGTTTCAGCAGTTTCCCCTTCGGGGCCTGCTGGCCCTCCCAGCCCCGCCCCTGCCTCACACAGGTCAGGGAGTGCAGAGAGGGAAGGGCCCTGCGTGGTGAGTGGGGAGGATCCCTCACAGGAAGGCTGAGGAGACAGCTGTCTACACAAGGGGACGCCCCAGTGGCAGGTCTACCAGACTGCTTTGGGCTAGGAGCAGGTACAAGCGGATGCAGTACCTGGGAGGGAGATTGGGGCTCTCTTGCTACCACAAACCCTCTCCACAAACCCTCTCCTACTACCAGATGAGTAGAAATGACTTTATCACTTTACCTAGCTGTCACCTTGAGGGGTGGAGTGAGCCTGGCCTTAGAGGACTGGATAAAAAACTGGAATATAAATGCTGAGGTCAATGTCCAGGAAGGACTAGCCCAGGGTGGCTTCGAATGGAGGGACAGGTTTAATGAAGCAAGAGGATGAGAGGTTAGTTCACTGGGGCAGATGACATTGAAATCAATGTCACTTCGTAATTTTGCAGGGGCCTTGTCCCTAGCACCAATGGACACAGGCGACAACGGAGGGCAAAGTACAGTTGTCCCCTGGCATACTTGGGGATTGGTTCCAGGACCACCTGGGAATACCAAAATCCATGCACACTCAAGTCCCGCAGTTGGCCTGTGGAGCCCACAAATCCAAAAAGGTGGCCCTCCCTGTACTCAGGTTTCGAATCTTGAGAATACTGTTAAAAAAAAAAAAAATCCACATATAGGCCGGGTGTGATGGCTCATGCCTATAATTCCAGCATTTTGGGCCAAGGCAGGCAGATCACCTGAGGTCAGGAGTTCGAGACCAGCCTGGCCAACATGATGGCGTGGTGGCAGGCACTCTGTCCCCCAGGTTGGAGTGCAGTGGTGAGCCTATAATCCCAGCTACTTGGGAGGCTGAGGCAGGAGAATTGCTTGAACCCAGGAGGCGGAGGTTGCAGTGAGCCAAGATCGCGCCATTGCACTCCAGCCTGGGTGACAGAGCAAAACTCTGTCTCAGAAAAAAAAAAAAAAAATCCACATATAAAGTGGATCCGTGTGGTTTAAACCCATGTTGTTCAAGGGTCAACTGTATTATATCACATATGGGTCAAGGGTAGAGGCATTTTCTGGGTGATGTAGCAGGAAACTCTCACATTCCATGGTGGCTGATGACTTGGTGTGGTGACTTCCACTCTTAAGTACCTCCCAGGTGCTGTTGCAAGGTGGGGTTCCTAGCCGTAGGGCTGTGTGCCTGTGAGGTTATTGTGCAGGCAGGTGACCCACTCAGTGAGACCCTCCCAAGGCCATGGGTCAGAACAGCTGTAAGCAGCCTGAGGCTTTGGACCTCTCTGCCCAGTTGCCAGTCCTCCTGGGGACAGGCCAGAACTATGTGATGCTGGCTCTAGAAGCCTTGCTGCCTGGTTCGGGGGCCTCGTGGTGGATGGACACAATCACCTTGGCTTCCCCGTAGTGATATTGTTCCCTGAGGTTCAAGCAGCTGTGCAAGAAGCTAAGGGGATTCCTACAAATGATGGTTCTGGATGGGCCTGCAAAAAAAATGGCTGAGAAGGTGATCTTGATACCTCTCTCAGCTCGGGGCCATATTCTTGTATCTTTGGCCAAGAACCCTGCCCAGCCAGGCCTCCTGTCATGAGAGCAGGGGCCGGGCGTGGTGGCTCACACCTGTAATCCCAACACTTTGGGAGGACGAGGTGGGTGAATCACTTGAGGTCAGGAGTTCAAGACCAGCCTGGCCAACATGGAGGCACCCCGTCTCTACTAAAAATACAAAAATTGGCCGGGTGTGGTGGCTCACGCCTGTAATCTCAGACTTTGGAGGCCAAGGTGGGCGGATCATGAGGTCAGGTGGGCGGATCATGAGGTCAGGAGTTCGAGACCAGCCTGGTCAATATGGTGAAACTCCATCTCTACTGAAAATACAAATATTAGCCAGGCGTGGTGGTGCAAGCCTGTAGTCCCAGCTACTCGGGAGGCTGAGGCAGAAGAATCACTTGAACCCAGGAGGCAGAGGTTGCAGTGAGCCGAGATCACGCCACTGCACTCCAGCCTGGGTGACAGAGTGAGACTCCATCTCAAAAAAACAAAAACAAAACAAAACAAAACAAAAATTAGCCATGCATGGTGGCGGGCGCCTATAATCCCAGCTACTCGGGAGGCTAAGGCAGGAGAATCGCTTGAAACCCGGAGGCAGAGGTTGCAGTGAGCCAAGATCACGCCACTGCACTCCAGCCTGGGTGACAGAGGAGACTCCATCTCAAAAAAAAAAAAAGAGAGAGAGAGAGAGCAGGGTCCCACTTTTCCCTGTCCCCTCTCACTCTATGTCCCCCCTAGGACAAAGAGGAACCAGTTCCCTCCAGATAGGGCCCCGCCGCCCCTGAGGGGAGTACCTGCTTGTCCACTCCTGCAAGCTGGAGTGAATACGGCTTCACAGCTGGTAGGGAGAACGCCAAGGAAACCTTAGAAACAACATCTGGATGTGCACCTGGGCTTCTGCCAGCCCCTCCCTACATCTGCAGCACAAACCCAGGGCCAGGGTTTGGTTACAAGCCTGGCTCAAAGCTGGCGGCACGTGTTTGGGTGGAGGGGGTGGAAGCGCTTGAGGTTGGTGCCAGCTCAGGGTGAGCACTTGTGGGGTTGGCAGTGACCTGAGCTGCTGGTGGGCCGAGGGTGGTGGGTGTGGCCACTGTGGTCTCAGGCATGGCCTGCTGGGGGAGGGGCAGTGGGGCGTGGGTGCTTGTGTAAAGGTGGGCAAGATTTTCTTTTGCGCTCTCTGATACCACTTCAAGTTGCTCCCCCTGCTTCGGGAAAAGGAGGGCCAAACAGTAAAAATGACAAGATGACAGGGTGGTGTGCAGGGAAGGTGGCAGGGATGTGTAGTTCTGGGGTGCTACACCGTCCCTGCAAAGGAGCCAGTAAGTGGCAGAGCCGGGGTTTGAACCTAGCTTTATTTCCAACTACTACACACAATGAACTTTGTTTTCAGTGAAATCTGCTTTGGTAATAATTCTGTTTTAATAGTTTCATTTGAAAAACAGTAGAAGTGAGGCTCAGAGATTAGGTAACATGATCAAGGCCACCACTGCCCAAGAATGGAGGCAGAACTCAAACTGGGGCCGGTGTGACCTTGATCTTGAAGTCCCTGCTTTTTCCTCTGTCCATGCTAGCAACCATCTGCTAGGATCCCTAGCTCAAGGCTGGCTCACAGCTCTCCACTTCGAAGCCTCAGAGCCCCTGTGGGGCCGCTTCAACAGAGGCTTCCCAGGCTTGTGTCCCAAGCCCCTCAAGGACTCAATGTCAACCCAAGCTCCATCTAGTAAGTCAATTCTAACTTCCAATGGTGACCATGTGAGCTCCTGTGGCCAGCTGCGGAGAAGGAGTATTGTGGAGGGGGAGCCTTCCAGCTCTGATGATGTGGAGGCCGACTCTTCCTATAAGCTCTGCTGTTTCCAGAGAGTTCCTGGCTCCAGACCTCAAGTAGCCACAGCATGGTCCCTGCCCCATAAATATACACTTGCTCTTGGCTTACATATAATGTAAGTCTGGGCTCTTATCTTGGGGTGTTGGTTCACATGTTTATTCAAATATTTATGGAAAGTCAGCCTTGAACACCTCATAGGTGCCAGGCCCAGGGCCAGGGGACTAATCACGGGGCCCACCCTATTCTCTGTGGTAGAGTCTCTTTGTATCCAAATTCCCACTAAGCTCAGTAGCCCATCTGCCTAAACAATATTGCTGGGTGCTCCACCCCCTCAAAACATGTTTGTAGCAAGTTATCTTCAAAATTGAGGCCCAAGGGTTGGGAGAAAATGGGGAGTGAATACTAATGGGTATGGGATTTCTTTTGGGGGTGATGAAAATGTTTTGGGTTTTTTTTTGTTTTGTTTTGTTTTTGAGACAGAGTCTCACTCTGTCGCCCAGGCTGGAGTGCAGTAGCACGATCTCAGCTCACAGTAACCTCTGCCTCCCGGGTTCAAGTTATTCTCATGCCTTAGCCTCCCAAATAGCTGGGACTACAGGTGTGTGCCAGCCATACCGGGCTAATTTTTGTATTTTTATTAGAGATGGGGTTTCACTATGTTGGCCAGGCTGGTCTCAAATTCCTAGCCTCAAGTGATCCGCCCACCTCAGCTTCCCAAAGTGCTGAGGTGATAGGCGTCAGCCACCATGCCCTGCCTGGGGGTGATGAAAATGTTCTAAAATGGATTCTGGTGATGGATGTACAACTCTGAGAATAGATTAAAAACTACTGAAGTGTATGCTTTAAGAGGATGAATTATATGGTATTTGAACTATATCTAATAACTATATCTAATAAAGCAGTTGTCTTTTTTTTTTAACTGAGGCCCAGAGAAGGGCAGCGGCCCACTGAAGGCCATGCACAAGCTAAGGTCCTCTGGTTGATGGCTCCAAGGCTGTTTCCTCCTCCCAGCCTCCCTATAATCCTAGGCAAGGGTAAGTACAGGGTCACTGAGTATGCATGGCAGGTCCAACCTTATGCAAGCTGCTTTCCTTGGGGTAAGCAGTGGAAAACACTTCCAACTAAGGACTTTAATTTCAGGTCTTCCATTAATGTGGCCAAGTCCCTGCCCCTCTCTGGATCCCAATTTCCCTATCTGTAAAGTGAAGTAGGCGAGTTTGGTAATCTTTTGCTAAAGGCTCAGCCAGTTCTGAACCTCTGAGGTTCTAATTAGAAAGTACTGCAAGGGGCCGGGCATGGTGGCTTGCGCCTGTAATCCTAGCACTTTGGGAGGCCGAGGTGGGAAGGTGGCTTGAGGCCAGGGGTTTGAGACAAGCCTAGACAACATGATGAAATCCATCTCTATTAAAAAAAAAAAAAAAAAAAAGCAGCCGGGTGCGGCGGCTCACACCTGTAATCCCAACACTTTGGGAGGCTGAGGCAGGCAGATCACCTGAGGTCAGGAGTTCAAGACCAGCCTGACCAACATGGAGAAACCCCGTCTCTACTAAAAATACAAAATTAGCTGGGCATGGTGGTATATGCCTGTAATCCCAGCTACTCGGGAGGCTGAGGCAGGAGAATCTCTAGAACTTGGGAGGCAGAGGTTGCAGTGAGTTGAGATCGCGCCACTGCACTCCAGCCTGAGCGACAGTGCAAGACTGTCTCAAAAAAAAGAAAAGAAAAGAAAAAGAAAAAGAAAGGAAAAAAAGCGAGCACTGTAAGGCAGAATAGAATGGAGTGTCAGATACGTGGCTCTCCTTTGGGTGCTGCAGGAGGCCTTTGACACAATTAAGTGTTCAAATAGATGCTCCTCACTGATAGTGATGATGAAGATTTTCCCATGAGATTCAAATTCTCTATGACAATCCTTCTGTTGACTGTCTCCATGAGGGGCAGCTCAGTTCTGATTTCGCCTCAGCAGTGCTAGGTGGTAGAGCAACCCATAATAGAGACCCATTGATCATGTCCTTTGGAGATGTCAGGAACCAGGTTCTTGGGCTGGCGCCCAGGCCAGCAGCCCCACCTTGCACTGAGCTTGCCTTCATGGTGGAGGGAGTGATCCTTGATGGCCACCAGCCTAGCCCCCGCTGGACAGGATGTTTCCACATCAAGCCCCACTTCCTGCAGCTAGGCCTGGGCTCCGGTTTCCCCCCTCTCCTGCCATCTGGTCGCCTGCCCTCTGCCCCCTCCCCTTGCCGGGTGTTTACAGGCTGCCTTATCAGCCTGGGGAATCTGGGCCTCACCCAG
Organism: Homo sapiens; assembly: GCF_000001405.40. Classification (NCBI taxonomy): domain Eukaryota; kingdom Metazoa; phylum Chordata; class Mammalia; order Primates; family Hominidae; genus Homo; species Homo sapiens. The sequence goes on from NC_000023.11 coordinate 130,098,017, forward strand.
CCGGCTGCCCCCGCCCTGCCTGGCCCAGACAGCCTGCCCAGGGCCCTACCTGCTCTTTCGTCACTACAGGCTCCCGCAGCCTGGAGCCCCCCTGAGCCATGGGCAGGCAGGGGGTGTGGACGAAGGATTGCTGCCTGGCACAGGCCCGCAGTGCCTGGGGCCCTGCCTGCCAGAGCGAAACCTGAATATTCATAGTGCTTTATGCAGCTTGCTCAAGCTGGAGAGGGCATGCGTTCTTTTTAAATTGTACCTTCTCTATCTGCAGGCTATGGAGACAGGAATGAGACGTGGTGCTGCTAAGGAAGCTAACTTTGACCTGGAGTGCCTCCTCGGCTCTTCTGTACTTAGCCACCCAGAGATGACGGTGGGTAGCTCTAGGCTGAAAGGCACTGCAAGTCCGGGCAGATATATTTGTTTTTTACTGGAGAGCACTGTAAACACTCTAAGCTAAAGGTGGGGCTGAATGAGGGGCTGCAGGCTGACTGTGATGGAGGAGATGAGGCTGGGAAGTCCTTGGGCACAATCTTGGCCAATCCATACCCAGGCTTCTGAGCCTCATGGGTCCCAAGCTGTCTGTGTCCATCCCACCCTGGGATCTATGCACCCACCCAAAGGCTAGGATGAGGCCAGACCTAACCACTGAGCGAGCTAAAAGATTATCCCCCAGGACAGAAGGGCCTAGATTTTTCCATCAAATGTGTTTGAATCACAAAGGGAGACAGGGACGGAGACTGGAAGCAAATGAAGATGCTGAGGGTGACAGATTTCCCTTCCAGCACTTTAGGCTACATTTCTGAAAGTTCAACCTCTGACCCACCTGCAGGCAGGCCCTACAGAGACAGGGCCTGCATGCCAAAGCTGACCAAGCCCCAGACTAGGCGTCAAAGCCACAGTCCAGACTGGGCTCATCTTCCAGGGGCCTCCATTTTGTTCACTGATAAATCACTTAAAATGTACTCGAGGCAGTAGATTGCAACATTCACATTTAAGATCAAAAGTCATACTTCCAAGAAATTTTAACTGTCCTTCTAGGTCTCTAGAATACAATTTTCAGTAGTTTGGGAGCACTTGGGTGGGAAAGTTTGGAAAAACTCTGCTAAGTCAATTTTGCCATTAATGGGCTATGTAACCACAGGCACGCCACGTCACAGGGCTCTCGCAGCCTCGGGCCTCCCTCCCTAGAGATTTCATGCTATCCAGAGCTCCACGCAGGCTTATTGACCATAGTGGCTATCAGGGCTCCACATTTCTTCCCTCTATCGAAATGTTCAGGCCAGCCAGGCGCAGGGGCTCACGCCTGTAATCCCAACACTTTGGGAGGCAGAGGCGGGTGGATCGCCTGAGGTCAGGAGTTCAAGACCAACCTGGCTAACATGGTGAAACCCCGTCTCTACTAAAAATACAAAAATTATCTGGGTGTGGTGGCGGGCGCCTGTAATCCCAGCTACTTGGAAGGCTAAGGCAGGAGAATTGCTTGAACCCAGAAAGTGGAGGTTGCAGTGAGCCGAGATCACGCCACTGCACTCTAGCCTGGGTGACAAGAGCGATACTCCGTCTCAAAAAACAAACAAACAAAAAAACCAAAAAACTGATATTGTGTTAAGTGTCATCTCTCTCCTTAATAGATTTTCTTTTTTCTTTTGATAGAGTCTCACTCTGTTGCCCAGGCTGGAGTGCAGCAGTGCTATCTCGGCTCACGGCAACCTCCACCTCCCAGGTTCAGGCAATTCTCATGTCTCAGCCTCCCAAGTATCTGGGATTATAGGTGCGCATCACCATGCCCTGCTAATTTTGTGTTTTTACTAGAGACGGGTTTTGCCATGTTAGCCAGGCTGGTCTCTAACTCCTGACCTCAAGTGATCCACCCGCCTTGGCCTCCCAAAGTGCTAGGATTACAGGCATGAGCCACCGCCTGCCTCTTAATACATTTTCTTTTAAGGATACCATCTGGAACTAACATGTTTGAGCCTGAGAAGGGGCTCCAGGGCAAGTGGTCACCTGGTGGGGCCAACCAGCAGGTGAACTATAGAGTGTTTCTCAGTGGTTCTACCTCCTGTCACCCCAGTAGCCATGGAGTGAGCTGGTCTTCACCATCTGTACCCCATACCTGTGGGTTCTGTTAGGAAGCTATATGGAGTGAATGTGAAAATCCTTTGGAAAGCTAAAAACTAGGCCTGGTGCAGCAGAAAACCCACTTGACTGGGAGTGAGGAAGATCAAGTTCCAGTCTTGGCCCAGCCTCTGCCTAGCTCCTCCCTCAGCTTCTGAGCTGGCGCCAACTCCTACTCCAGGACACACATTGACATCGATGGCTGTGACCACACCAGCCAGACTCGGCAGAGCCTTATGGTCCAAACTCATCTGCTCAGTTTCCAAAGGTCCTTCACAGTCTGACCCCACCCTACCTACTCCGGCTTGTTTCCCATGATTTCCCAACTTAAGCCTGGGCTTGAAGCCCAGTTGGTCTCCTCATGGTCCCCTGAGGGAACATTCCAGGCTCATTCACGGAGTTTCTCAGGCCTGCCATGCCTTTGCTGCTCCTTTTTGGCTAATCAAATAGTGCCTATCCAGCAAGGGCCCAATCACATCCACCAACCCCATGGAGCTGGTTGTACCCTCATAATTACGGTCTGCACCCATGGAACCCCCTTCTCTAAGCCCCCATGACCCTTAAATTCTACCACAAGATTTATTAATCCCACAGGGTCTTGAATTGCCCTTTAATTATTTCACGTGTATCTCTTGTTTCCCCAACAGGTAGTAAAATCCACGGGATCAAAGCCCATTTCATCTCCTGACTAACACAGGTTTGGGCATTCATGAATGAAGTTCACCTAAATTCTCAACAAGAGTGAGATCTCTAGAAATGAGACCACAGGTCCTGATAGATCTTAGGGCTACAGACTAGGGGTAAGGTAGCCATAGAGTTGGGCAAATGTCTCCAGGGCTCCAATGTTACTTTTCCTCTCTTGCTCCAGGCCTCTGTTAGGGACAAGATGTATTAGCTAGAGTCATTTATTCTAAGTGGCATTGAGAAGGCAGTTGATGATCAGGTCATCACCAAAGCATTCTGTCTTTGTACAAAACCACAATGTTTCCACCCTGGGGTTATTGGTTGATCACTGAACCCTCAGGAAAGACTTCATTCTGGATCAGGTCTAAGAAGTAAAGTGATTCAAGAAAACAGGGGTATGAGGATAACTATATGAGGAAAAATTTTATTTAAAGAAGCCTTTTGTTTTCTGGACAGACAAGGCTGAGCAAGAATATGATTGGCATCTATAAAATGATGTATGAGGCAGATAGTCATGGATTTATTAACCAAAAATTGGTAATAAATGAAGAGCAAATAACAAATAAGTAGTCCTATTTTACAAATGCATAATAAAGTTAAGCAACTTTTTAGGCTAAGAATATCAATTAAAAGATAAGCATCATCTAAAATAATGGTAACATAAGGAACAAACATGATTATAAAATAAGATTTAAAAAACAAGCCGGGCGCGGTGGCTCGTGCCTGTAATCCCAGCACTTTGGAAGGCCGAGGCGGGTGGATCACCTGAGGTCGGAGTTCCAGACCAGCCTGACCAACATGGAGAAACCTCGTCTCTGCTAAAAATACAGAATTAGCCGGGTGTGGTGGCGCATGACTGTAATCCCAGGTACTCGGGAGGTCGGGAGGCTGAGGCAGGAGAATCGCTTGAACCCGGGAGGCAGAGGTTGCAGTGAGCCGAGATCACGCCATTGCACTCCAGCCTGGGCGACAAGAGGGAAACTCCGTCTCAAAAAACAAAACAAAACAAAACAAAACAAAACAAAACAAAACAAAAACAAGGCCAGACTGGGCGCAGTGGCTCACGCCGGTAATCCCAGCACTTTGGGAGGCCAACGCCAGTGGATCATTTGAGGTCAGGAGTTTGAGACCAGCCTGGCCAACATGGTGAAACCGTGTCTCTACTAAAAATATATTTAAAAAAAAATTTAGCTGGGTGTGGTGGTACATGCCTGCAATCCCAGCTACTTGGGAGGCTGAGGCAGGAGAATTGCTTGAACCCAGGAAGCAGAGGTTGCAGTGAACTGAGATCGCACGACTGGCACTCCAGCCTGGGCGACGGAGTGGGACTCCATCTCAAAATAAAATAAAACACCAAACATATTTGTTACAACAAAAATTAACGCAAGTGGGATAAATGCAAATATTAAAAGAAAATGTTATGGACAAGTCAGCCCTAAAAATCACATGAAATCGCAAAGGACTTAAACTAGCCAAAAACAACTTCAAACAAAAGCAAAGTTGAAAGGCTAATACTACCTGATTTCAAGAATGATTATAAAGCTACAGTAATCAAAACAGTTGGTGTTAATGTAAAGAGAAATAAGTAGACCAATCAATGGAATTGAATAGAGTGCAGAAATGGGCCCACATATAGACAATGGTAGTAGACTGATGATAGCTTTTTCAAAAATAGTGCTAGAATAATTAGATATTCATATGCATAAAGAAAAAGAAAAAAAAGGCTGGGTGCAGTGGCTCACGCCTGTAATCCTAGTACTTAGGGAGGCCAAGCTGGGAGGATAGCTTGAGGCCAGGAGTTCAAGATCAGCCTGGGCAACATAGTGAGAACATACCTCTACAAAAAAAAAATTTAAAATTAGCTGGGCATGGTGGCACACTCTTGTGGTCCCAGCTACTTGGAAGGCTAAGGTGGTAGGATTACTTGAGCTCAGGAGGTCAAGGCTGCAATGAACCATAATCATACCACTGCACTCCAGCCTGGGCAACAGAGCAAGACCAAGAAAAAGAAAGAAAGAAGAAAGCAAGAAAGCAAGATAAAGATGAGAGAGAGAGAGAGAGAGAGAGAGAGAGAGAGAAAGAAAGAAAGAAAGAAAGAAAGAAAGAAAGAAAGAGAGAGAAGGAGGGAGGGAGGAAGGAAGGAAGGGAGGGAGGAAGGAAGGAAGGAAGGAAGGAAGGAAAAGAATTTGGATCCATACCACTCAACATACAGAAAAATTAACTCAAAGCAGACCATAGACTAAAATGTAAAGACTAATATTATAAAACCTATAAAAGAAAATATGAGACAAAATATTTGTGAACTAAGGCTAGGGGAAGAGTTCTTCGATACAGCACCAAAACTATGACCCATAAAAAGAAAAGTTGAAAAGTTGCACTTTCATCAAAATTTAAAATGTTTGCTAAAGTCAAAAGACACTGAGAAGGGGATTAAAAGAAGCCACAGACTACGAGAAAGTATTTACAAAGCATGTATCTGATGAAAGTCTTGTATCCAAAAAATATAAAGAACTCTCACAACTCAACTACAAGAAAACAAACAATTCAGTTTAAAAATGGGCAAAAGATTTGAACAGACACCTCAACAAAGAAGACATATGGACAGCAACTATATGAAAAGATGTTCAACATCATCAGTCAATACAAACATCATCAGGAAAATACAAATTAAAATCACAATGAGATACCACTGCACACTTATTAGAATGGCTAATTAGAAGTGGTCATCTAATGAGACAGGTGTTTTCTGTGCATAGATTCTCATAGAATTAGCAGAGCTGAACTAGCCTCTGTTATCCTCAGGGGGCATTATAGGAAAAAGATTAGCTCCTCATTCTATGTCTAAATACCTCCTTGTTATCGGGTCATCAGGAATTTCGGGAGGTTAAGAATAATTGCCACCCTCCCATCCCCCAAAGCCTAGCAGTTCTAACTGAGGGGTGGGGACCAAGGGACTGAGTGGAGTGCTTTACTCAGGGGTGGTCCAGTTTATCCTAGGCTGCCTGTCCCTGCGGGTGGTCACAGGCTCCTCAAGCAAACACAATCCAGTCAATAGCAAATGGAACCTCCAAGTTACTCTCTGGGAGGCCTCTGGAAGGGCACTGGCCCCCAGTCCCCTGGGAGCTCTTCTGGGCAAAGGCAGTGCCCCAGCCTCAACTCAAGGCCTCTGGGCATTGGCCCAGAATGGACCCATCATCTATTCTAGTGAAGGGTGAGAGTGAGTGGTAGTCAGCCAGTTGGCTCCCAGAATTTTACACTCAGTAGGATAATAACAACAATCTGATGATTGCTAAATAGTTCCCAGGAGTACAACGTTAGGCCTCTCAAAGAAACTAACTTACTCTTATTTCTGCAGTGAATGATGCTCAAGATGAAAATGGTGAAGGACTAAAGAAGGCAATGTTAGTACAAATATTAACGATTTGAGTTTTGCTCTTCACTACAGCACTGCCTGCCATTCAGTATATTACACACACACACACACACACACACACACACACACACACACACCTTCTATTACATCCTTTCCCTATCCTGTGCAATGGCCGAGTTAACAAAAAGCAGAAAAACCTGGAAAATCTCCCGCTTAGTTTCAGAAATGGGTGTGGCATGCCCTGCCCGCATTGCCGAAGAAGTAGTTGGTCCCTAGAGCCTGGCAAAGTCAAGGGTGTGTGAAGGGGAAATGGTGACAACAATAATAATAACTGTCACAGGAATAATAATAACAGCAGTGAACACTTACTGGGTGGGTACTATATGCCAGGCACTCTGCTGAGTGCTTTATATGCATCGTCTCATTTAAGCTTCACTCCAACCCTGTGAGATGGGCGCTGACTCCCAGAGTGGTTAAGTAACTAGCTCAACAGCAAATAGTCACACAGCCAGTAAGTTTGGCATATAAATGTAGAGAGCCTGTGCTCTTCCTCCTCTAGACAATAACATGTATTGGGAAGGATATTGGGTCACACTGGAAGAGGAAAGGAAGCTTCAGGAGAGTCAGGTGTTCTGAGAGGCAGGAAGTGCCCACACTGGGCCAAGAAAATGACCCATCAAGAAGGTGGCAACTCGGCTGGGTGCGGTGGCTCATGCCTGTAATCCCAGCACTTTGGGAGGCCAAGACAGGTGGATCACCTGAGGTCAGGGGTTCGAGACCAGGCTGGCCAACATGGTGAAACCCCGTCTTTACTAAAAAATACAAAAAAAAAAGAAAATTAGCTGGGCATGGTGGTAGGTGCTTGTAATCCCAGCTACTTAGGAGGCTGAGGCAGGAGAATTGCTTGAACCCGGGAGATGGAGGTTGCAGTGAGCCAAGATCACACCACTGCACTCCAGCCTGGGCGACAGAGCAAGACTCTGCCTCAAATTAAAAAAAGAAAAGAAGGTGGCAACTCAAGGGAAAGCTTGCTCAGCCTCTACAAGCTGCTCAGCTTGCTTCTTGTTAGCCTCTCTGAGAAATGTTCTGGCACTTTCCCTTGCAGACCTTCCTGCATGAAACACCCTTCCCTGCTCCCTGACCCTCCTCCTCACCCTGGAAGCAGGCTGGGGTCTCTTTGCCGAGAAACTCACCTTAGGGCATGATTTCCCAACCAAGAAGTCAGGGCCCTCTGGTATGTCCCTTTGGTGTTGAAATGTGCTGGGGAGGAGGCAGGGCAGTGAGAGAGGGAAAATGATGAGTGTGTGTATGTGGCAGGGGGATGTCCGGGAGTTTTTTATCCAATTAAACCCAACCAGGGCCAAGCTTCCTCCATGTCCAGCCTTGGGAGACACAGAATCAGTGGAAGCAATATATGGCTAGTCCTTAGCGGTCTGGGCAGAAACACATGAAACTCTACATTCTTCATTTCCCAGATGGTGGAGTGGGGAACAATTATGAAAATCTCTTTCCTCCACCTGAAGCTCTGGGCTTCCAGAGAAATCCCAGAACCCTGGGGAAAAGGTGGGATCCAGCCAGCCTGAGACTGCCATGAGCACAAGTGGCATGTCAGTTTTCCTGTCATTTAAGTGCCCTACGTCTCCCCTGCCATCTCTCCCACTCCCCAGGGGCCTGTGTGTGTGTGTGTGTGTGTGTGTGTGTGTGTGTGTGTGTGTGTGTCTGGTAAGGGAGGGGTTTCAAACGAAATCCCCTCAGCTTGGGTGGCAGGCTGGCCAGCCAGTTTATATCTCCCGGAGTGGAGACAGGGGTTTGCACTGAGCCACCCACACTAGCTGACCTGGTCTTTTATGTGACACACATTTGCCAAACAATCATCCAGGCTTCGAAGGTCAGTTCGTGGCCAGGGAATAGAGAGAAAGGCGTCTTTTCTTCCTTTTCTGCTGAGCCAAATCTCCCCCTTGCTTCCCCCTCTCCCCCCTTCAAGGTCTAGCCTAGGCCCGCATCCCTCACAAAGCCTTCCCTCCCTCCTCCAGCTGCTGCTGACCTCCAGTCCCAGCCGTGCTGGCCTCTGCTCCAACAAGCACAATTAGCACCTGACCAGCCACTGGCCCGGCTGCTTGTCCTCGCCTCTGATTGTTTCAGTGTCTTAGTCATCTCTTCCCCAGCGCCTCCTTCTCTCATCTCCCCCACGGCGCCTAGCATCGGTTGGGCACACAGTAGGTATTAATAAATGTCTGTTGAATTGAAACTCAGCAGCCCCTATGAGGTCAGAACCCTCATAAGCACCCCGACCAGCAGTTTCTTGGCAACCAGCACTGGGGCCCGAGCTACAGGGCATTAGCAGTGTGGCTGCTATTACAGGACACACGAGGCTCAGCGGCCAGAGATTTGCAGGCAGGTTGGTGTTGATGAGAAAAGCCCCTGACCCCTAGGAAAGCGCCTATGGGATTCTGGGTGCCTTGCAGGAGTTTCCTTTCTCCCCTGCAGAAGTAGTTTTCAGTCTGAGAACCACAAAAAGAATAAATTGGAAGAGAAGCCAGAAACCTCTTTGCAGCTTAGAAATCCAGGAGAGATGCCAAGCCCGGGTTGGGGTCAGGCCCTACCCTGAGGACAGAAGGCTGCCCAGGGCCTTTCCCAGCTCGGTGGGAGATCCTGGGGAGACAGGGGGCATGGCAGACATGACCCCTTCCACTGCAGGGGGCTATAGGGATGTTTGGGGGGTGTCCCTAAGAAATGCCATCCTGCCCTGGAACCCAACAAATGACATCCTGCAAGATTGCCACCTGTAGCTCATGCAGAAACCAGTGTCCCAGCCAGGAGCAATGGCTCACGCCTGTAATCACAGCACTTTGGGAGGCCAAGACGGGCGGATCACCTGAGGTCAATAGTTCAAGACCAGCCTGGCCAACATGGTGAAACCCCGTCTCTACTAAAATATACAAAAATTAGCTGGGGAAGGTTGTGGGCACCTGTAATCCTAGCTATTCAGAAGGCTAAGGCAGGGAGAAATGCTTGGGCCTGGGAGGCAGAGCTTGCAGTGAACCGAGATTGGGCCACTGCACTCCAGCCTGGGCGACAGAGCAAGACTCCATCTCAAAAAGAAAAGAAAAGAAAAGAAAAGAAAACCAGTGTTCCTTTCCCTCTCATTCACCCAAATCCTAGGGCAAGACTCTGTGTGTGGGGAGGGTGGGAGGTGCATCTAGACCAGAATCTGGCCAGGGTCTTCAGGCAAAGAGAAGCCCCCAAGTCTAGGGTGCTTGATCCCCCACACTGGCTCAGGAATTTGATCCTGGCTTCCAATTACAATTATTTATATAGATGACATATCCCCTCTCCCTGACCCCTTCCTGTACACCTGCTCTGACTCCAGCCCACACGAAAAGGTACACACAATCCCGGAAGGCAGGTGGTGTCTTCCTCACATCCATGTTTTCCTCACTGCCACTTCATTGGGGTCTGGTACTAGGACCGGCTCTGAGCAAGTGTTTGCTGAATTGAATCTGAGTTTTAGGCGCTGCATTAGGCAATATCGTAAGGGCAGCTAGCACTTACTGTGTGCCATGTGCTGTTCTAATAAGCATCTTATATGTATTCATTCATGTATTTGATCCTCACCAAAGTGTTATAAAGTGGTCTCATGTGACAGATAAGGAAACTGGGGCATACAATTGACTGGGATCACATAGCTAGTAAATAACAATGCTGGGATTTCAACCTAGACAGCCAGGCTTTAAGAACTGGAGGTAGCTGGGCACAGTGGCTCACGCCTATAATCCAGCACTTTGGGAGGCGGAGGCGGGTGGATCACCTGAGGTCAGGAGTTCGAGGCCAGCCTGACCAACACGGAGAAACCCCGTCTCTACCAAAAATACAAAATTAGCCGGGCGTGGTGGTACATGCCTGTAATCCCAGCTACTCGGGAGGCTGAGGCAGGAGAATCACTTGAACCTGGGAGGCGGAGGTTGCGGCGAGCCAAGATCGTGCCATTGCACTCCAGCCTGGGCAACAAGAGTGAAACTCCATCTCAAAAAAAAAAAAAGAACTGGAGGTAAGGAGTTCAAGATTACAGTGAGCTGTGACTGTGCCACTGCACTCCAGCCTGGGTGACAAAGTGAGACCCTGAATTAAAAAACAAAAACCAAAAAAAAAACAACACTCTAAACGCAAAAACAAAAACTGGATGTAAAATTACATTGCGGGGGTAGGGGATGTGGAAAGGAAGAAGGCCAAGCTTAAGAGCAGAAGAGCAGAGGTTTCCCCAGGAAAGCAAACTCCTCAGCCTGTGTCTAGCTGGGTCTGTGCGGCACAGGGCCTGATTTTTGCAAGATGAGGGGCATTTTGGACATGCTATCACTCAGGCCCCTAGAGACAGACCACAGCACCCTCTATTTTAGATCCCAATATATGCCAGAGAAGACAGAAGCCACTGTGTCACCACTTAGCACTAGGTGAGGGAGAGTGAATTTTGGGCCCCTAGGTTGTCCAGGGGTGGGCGCCAGTTCCTGAGCAACCACCGAGCAAACAGTGCAGCACAGGGAGGAATGCCAGACATAGTTGCAAACAAGCCACTCCTTCGGCTCACAGCAAGAGGCTGGGTGAGGGTGGTAGCATGGAGCCTGCTTCATGGTCCCCCCCACCCCTGCCCCCAACAAGAGATCCCAGGCTCTGAATCCAGCCCCAAAAACAACCAGATGCAAGGTAGCCTCTTCCTCACACCAGCTGGCTGGGATAGGAAGTCCTCCCTGATAATCTTCACTGAACTCCAGAGAGCTCCCCCTACGCTGCTCCTGTACTGGATGCACTGAATCTGAATTAATGGTTGAGAAAGCACTTTATAACCAGGAAAACCCAGTGTAACTAACTGCAAGGAAGGACTGGCATTCTTGCTGGGCATATGTGTTCCCCGGGCATTTTCAGTGCCAAAGTCTCCCCAAAGGGAAGAGCTAGAACTGTTCCCTTCACCCACCTCCAACCTGGCACTCGGGCCAGGGGTCAGCTGGCAGGGGGTGAGTCCCCAATGGGCGTGCCCACCAGCTGTTGGGGCTGAGCAGTGGTGGTTCAGGCCCTGGGGTGGTGACCTCACTTCCGCTCCTACCTCCCCACCTCCCCAGCACTCCTCCCATTTGAGGCCCCACCAGGCCAAAATCGAGAAGTCCAAGGTTAACTGTTCTTTCCCACTTTAAGAGCTAATTAAAATAATTAGCCACAATGAACTGTCAAACATTAACCAGAAGAGGCTGCAGGACCAGACAGGCCTCTATCACAGGCCGAGGGATGAGGGGCAGGAATCAAATGGCCATCAAATCCCTCAGCTGGGGTATGGTGCGGGGCGGGGGCGGCCCAGGAGGACCTCGCTGAGCCGAGGTGCCAAGGGGTCAGGAGGTGACTCTGGTCAGGAAGGTGATGTGCAGGCATACGGTGGTGAGAAAAGGGAGTCAGGGTTAGGGTGCGGTGGAGGAGCCAGGAATTCATAAAGCGGTCACCGCCTCAGCAGTCCCTCAAGCCTCCAAAGCAAGGCGCTGGCGTGAGGGGACCCCGCACGGTGCGGCTGCTGAATCCCCTAGGCGGCGGCCCAGGAGGGAACCCGGAGGCGGGAGAGTCGGGGAGAGCGGGAACGCGGGAGCGGGAAGGCTGGCGGCTGGCTCACACGGAAACTCCGGCCCCTGCCAAGAGGTCTCTATTTTGGCGATCCAGTTCTCCACATCATAGGTCTGCGTGCGCGTGTGTGCGTGTGACCCTAAAGCCCTGGCCCCAGAAGCCCCGGGGGCAGTCGGATCCATCTAGCAGCTCCGCCGCGGTCCGCCCCACCTCCTCTGCCCTCGGGCGCCCAGCTTCTGGGGGCCCGCTGTCATGATCGGCCCCGTCACGGAACCCAGGCTGCCGGGGGCGAGGGAAAACAGGGGCCCCTACCCCGACTCCCCGACTCGGGGAATCCATTCCACTTCCATCCCGGGATCGGGAGCCCGGGTTCTCCATCACACGCGCGGCGGGGCGACTCCAGGGCGGCTCGCGACACTCCGCGACTCTCCCGCCCTTCCCTGGGCCCCCAGCCCCACGCCGGGGCCCCGGCGCTCTCGATTCCGCCCTCAAGCAAACTTTTCCACGTCCCCCAAGGCTCGAAGAACCGGCGCCATCGACGTACCTGAGGCCGAGTGGCTCACGGGCCCAGCTCGGTCGCCGGGCCGGGGTCTGTCTCCGTGGTCCCCGCTCCGGGGGCCGAGACGCGGGTCCCCAGCCCCGCCAGCCCGTCCTCTCCCCTCGGAAGCCGGGCCGGGCGAGCGGCGCCAGGAACTCGGCGCCGGCGAAAGGAGAAGTGGAAGTTGAGCGCGGCGCCCGGTCGGTCCCCGCGGCCGCCGGGGCCGCCGTCCCCCGCCCTCCTCCCCGCCCGCCCTTCTTCCCCGCCCGCCTGCCCCCGCCACCCCGCGCCCGTGACTCACCTCGGCGCCGGGGCAGGCTGGTCCGGGCGGGCGAGGCGCAGGGCTCTCCCACACTTCGCGCCGCCAATGGCAAGTTGGAGGGAGAGATGCAAATACCAGGTGAGACGGCGGCGCCCCTGATAAAACGGGGCGGGGGGCGGGGTGGAGCGCGCGGGGAGCGGGGCGGACGCCGGGGAGGGCCGGGCCAAGACACGGGGCGGCAGGGGCGCCCGGGGAGGGGGCGCGAACCGGCGCAGACATGCACCGAAACGAGCGAGCGAAAGGGGAAATGCAGTAGAGACACACACGTCCCCGCAGGCGGCGGATGGGGCGGGCGCGAAGGAGGCAGGGCGGGAGGGAGGGAAGAGCCGGAGGGAGGGACCGACGGGAGGGACTGCGGGCGGGCGGGGTGGGGGAGGGAACGAGGGAGGGACGAGGCATCTCGGTGGAAACAGCGCCCGTCCGCCCCGGCCCGCCCGCCGCGGTCGCCAGCACGGCATGGGGAGCCGTGCCAGGGGCCCGCGCGGCCTCTCATTCCCCTCGCGGCTCGCTCGCGCCCGGGGGACCACGAGGCAGGGCGCCCGCAGAGCCCGCGTCGTGCGCCGCGGCCCGGGCGGGCGCTCCCCACTCTGCTTCTAGCCAGCGAGACTCCGAGCTCTCTGCTCGTTCCGCGCCCTTCCCGGTGCGAAGCCCCCATACAACGCCCCGCAGAGAAATCCCTTCCCCGCGGACTCGGGAAGGTTTCGTCCAGCCCCCTCGGCCCGTGCAAGTGGAGACTTGCTTGACGCCTTTGGGCCAAGCCCTGCGCTCCACATTATTGAGCTCCTGGGGTGTGCAGGCCCCAGCGGGAGGGCGGGCCGTGCGGCGGGTGAGGCCGCGAGATGCCCAGAGGATACAATTTTGGAACCATATGCCCGACTCCGCAGAATCCTGGGCGTAACACCTGGGGTGACTGGAGAGTTTCGGCGACTTCTTAGGGAAGTCGAGTCTAGGACTCCTGCGGGAAGTTGGGGTGGGGGACGCTGGCAAGATATGAGTCAGGGGAAGGGCTAGGGGGAGAGGGGCTGGCCCAGCAAGTGCAAAGAGAGCCAGAGTTCGGGTGCTGGAAGAAAGCCCATGCCTACCTTTCTTCCCCTGTCCAAAGCCAGGCTGCTCTGCTCCACGCGCCCACTTGAAAGCCACTCAGGCACGCTCCCCTTCTATCTCCCCTTTGCCCTCTCTGACCTGCCTCAACATCAATACCGCCGCCTACGTGGGTCTGCTGATAGGAGGCTCTGGAGAGAGTGCGCTGGGAATTGTTACTCTGTATAGTTCCACGTGGCCTTTTTGGGGGTGGGGGCAGCAAGGCCTAAGCCTTGGCAGAAAGCATCAAGACTGAAGGAGCCCCAGGGGATGGGGCCTTCTAAAGGGCTTGAGGTTGAAGGACCTACTCAGCCTCCAGCATCGGCCTGCTTCTCCTGCCTTGGGAAAGGATCATCTCAGGCGCAGGACTGGGGGACAGGAGTGGTGGTGGATGATGGCCACAAAGGCAGCTGCAGATTACAAGTTCCCAAGGAAAGATCCTGTGGCTGGACTGGGGCGCCGGCCCCTGAGACCTCCTGGATACTCAGAATCAAGTCCCCAAAACAAGCACTTTGTCTTTTCCAAGCGGGCATGCTTTTCCCAGGGGATTCCAGATCCTGGAGACACACAGTTCTCTGCTGGCCTCTCATCCACGAGGTCCCCTCTCAAATTTGGGGTAGGTTCCGGATGTCCCTAAGCCCTCTTTACCTTGACTTTGAAATTCACGAATGGACAGACACGTCTGCACACGCGTGCACACACACACACTTTCCCATTTTGCTAAGAGCTCAGTGGTCTGTAACCTCAGACAGACCTGGGTTCCTATTCCAGCTCACTATTTACCAGCTGTGTGACTTCAGGCAAGTCACTTAAACTCTCTGAGCCTCACTTTTCTTCTTTAAAACAGAACAAAAACAAAAACTAGGCTGGGTGTGGTGACTCATGCCTGTAATCCCAGCACTTTGGGATGCCGAGCGGGGTGGATCACTTGAGGTCAGGAGTTCAAGACCAGCCTGGCCAACATGGTGAAACCCCATCTCTACTAAAAATACAAAAATTAGCCGGTGTGGTGGTGCATGCCTGTAGTTCCAGCTACTCGGGAGGCTGAGGCAGGAGAGTCACTTGAACCTGGGAGGCAGAGGTTGCAGTGAGCCGAGATCGTGCCACTGCACTCCAGCCTGGATGACACAGTGAGACTCCATCTCAAAAAAATAAATAAATTAAATAAATTAATTTTTTTATTTTTGTTTTTTATTTTTATGGGTACATTGTAGGTGTGTGTATTTATGGGTTACATGAGATGTTTTGATACAGGCATGCAATGTGTAATAATCACATCAGGGTAAATGGGGTATCTGTCACCTCAAGCATTTCTCCTTTCTTTGTGTGTTTTCTTTTTCTTTTTTTTTTTTCCTTCTTTTTTTTTTTTTTTTTTTTTGAGATGGAGTCTCGCTCTTTCTCCCAGACTGGAGTGCAGTGGCGCGATCTCGGCTCACTGCAAGCTCCACCTCCCGGGTTCATGCCATTCTCCTGCCTCAGCCTCCTGAGTAGCTGGGACTACAGGAACCCGCCACCATGCCCGGCTAATTTTTTGTATTTTTTAGTAGAGGCAGGGGTTCACTGTGTTAGTCAGGATGGTCTCGATCTCCTGACCTCGTCATCCACCCGCCTCGGCCTCCTAAAGTGCTGGGATTACAGGCGTGAGCCACTGCGCCCGGCCTCTTTCTTTGTGTTATATACAATCCAGTTATACTCTTTTAGTTTAGATTTTTTTTTTTTTGAGACGGAATTTCACTCTTCTTGCCCAGGCTGGAGTGCAATGGTGTGATCTCGGCTCACCGCAACCTCTGCCTCCTGGGTTCAAGCGATTCTCCTGCCTCAGCCTCCCGAGTAACTGGGATTATAGGCATACGCCACCACACCTGGCTAATTTTTGTATTTTTAGTAGAGATGGGGTTTCTCCATGTTGGTCAGGCTGGTCTCAAACTCCTGACCTCAGGTGATGCGCCTGCCTTGGCTTCCCAAAGTGCTGGGATTACAGGTGTGAGCCACCGCGCCTGGCCCTAGTTATTTTTAAATGTGCAATAAATTATTGTTGACTGCAGGCACCCTGTAGTGTTATCAGGTACTAGATCTTACTCATTCTAACTATATTTTTGTACCCATTAACCATCTGCACTTCCCTGCCCCCAGCCTCACTTTTCTTATTTTTAAATTGGAGACAATATGAACCTACCTCCCAAGGCTGTGGCAAGGACTGAATGAGATAACAAATGTCTATGGCAGTGTCTGGTGCCCAGTAAGTCTTCAATAAATGTTAGCTCTCTTAGGTGTCATGTTCATCTTCATTTCCCTTTCTCAACCCAGCTCTCAGGAGAAAGTATGACAGGGCCAGGGCTGAAGTTGCTCAGGACTAATGGTGGATCCCTCCCGTAAGTGAATGTAGTTTGAACCAAGGCTGAAGCCTCAAGGCAGCATGCAAGGAGAGGTTTTCCTTTTGGGAAGGGCAGGAAGAGAGGTCAGCACTGCCAACCAGCTCATGGTGACTGGCCCTAATGCCTGCCAGCGCCCTGCAGCCCACGGCTTGTGGGAATCCCATAAGTTCCCACCTTCCCCAGCCTCTCAGAACTAACCACAGCCCCATGATCTGCGCGTTGCAGCCAAAGCTAGCCCCACCCCCCTTGATGAAAAAGGCTGACCTCACCTTGGGGAGCCATGGGCCACCTGAATGACCTTCCTTGCTGCCCTTCTCCTTCCCCACACGGCTCGCCGCTCTTCCACCTACCTGCTGGGTGAGCCCAAGCCAGGTGGGGCCAGCCAGGCTGAGATCACCACTCTCCTGACGACAGCCACACTGTTTCTACCAATGGCTCATTCCCTGACTTGGCAGGAATTCCCCTTCTCGAGTTGCCCATGGGTGCCCAGCCTGCACCATGAGCGGAGCACTCCGAGCCTTTCTCCTTCCAGCCCTGCTTCCCCCAGTCTCCAACCCTGACTGGGTGGTCTCGGGTCTCAAAACTTGAGTCCTGCAAGGAGCGGGAGGGGCCTCTGTGTTGCCCACAGCCCATGTAGTTCCACCTCCCTACTTGCACACTCAACTTGCCCTTCCACTTTAACAGCTTTCAGAGCCCCTCTTTGTCTCCTTTTTCTTTTTTTCCAGAGGCAAGGTCTTGCTGTATTGCCCAGGCTGGAGTGCAGTGGTACAATCATAGCTTGCTGCAGCCTCCAACTCCTGGGCTCAAGCGATCCTCCCTCTCTTTGGCCTCCGGGGTAGCTGGGACTACAGATGCACACCACCATGCCTGGCTAATTTTTGTGTTTTTTGTAGAGACAGGGTTTTGCCGTGTTTTCCAGGCTGGTCTTGAACTCCTGGGCTCAAGCGATTCTCTCACCTCGGCCTCCCAAAGTGTCGGGATTACAAACATGAGCCGCCATGCCTGGCCTTTATCTCTTTTTTTCAAGCAATGCCTGATAGCCCATGTTTTCCTGCAAATCATCAGGTTCTTTGGAGATGAGGTGGCTGATTTCTCCCTCCCTCTGCTCACTTAACTCCTTGTCCTCAGCAAATTCTATTCAAACTTGTGGGCAGAGCAATATACCACAACGCCACAGTTTCTGTGCCAGAGCCCGAACATACCACCATGGACACATACTAGAAAAGTTGCCTATTGGCCAGGCACAGTGGTTCACGCCTGTAATCCCAGCACTTTGGGAAGCCGAGGCAGATGAATCACCTGAGGTCAGGAGTTCAAGGCCAGACTGACCAACATGGGGAAACCCCATCTGTACTAAAAATACAAAAATTAGCTGGGCGTGGTGGTGGGCGCCTGTAATCCCAGCTACTCTGGAGGCTGAGGCAGGAGAATCACTTGAACCCGGGAGGCAGAAGTTGCAGTGAGCCGATATCACGCCACTGTACTCCAGCCTGGGTGACAGAGAGAAACTGCCAAAAAGAAAGAAAGAGAGAGCAGAGAGAAACTGCCAAAAAGAAAGAAAGAGAGAAAGAGAGAGAGAGAGAGAGAGGAAGGAAGGAAGGAAGGAGAAAGAAAAAAGAAAGAAAGAAAGAAAGAAAGAAAAGGAAAGTTGCCTATCGATTAGACTTTTGGAATGAGGAGTGTATTCAAAAGCTGGGAGAGAGGTTATGGTGTTAAAGGAAGCCTCCCACCTATAAATCTGAGAAACCCCCTATAATCCTTCCTATAAAGCCAGTACTCATTCTTCTGTTGCATTCAATAACCCCAGGTTTGCATCTGTTGGGTTTACATGACAAGGCCATGGGTATCCAAGTGGCACACAGAGATCTCCAAGTCAAGGTTGTGTCTGGTCAGCATAAGCAGTGTTTGTTCTAAAAAGCTTGTTGAATAGCTGCAAAACAGAATTCCTTTCTTCAAGCAGTGCCTGATAGCCCATCATGTTTTCCTGCAAATCACCCCAGGTCCTTTTTTTTTTTTTTTTTTTTTTTGAGACAGAGTTTTGCTCTTGTTGCCCAGGCTGGAATGCAATGGCGCGATCTCAGCTCACTGCAACTTCTGCCTCCCAGGCTCAAGTGATTCTCCTGCCTCAGCCCTCCTACCTCAGCCTCCCGAGTAGCTGGGATTACAGACGCCTGCCACCACGTCCAGCTAATTTTTTGTATTATTTTTATTATTTTGAGACGGAATCTCACTCTGTCATCCAGGCTCGAGTGCAGTGGCGGGATCTTGGCTCACTGCAACCTCCGCTTCCCGGGTTCAAGTGATTCTCCTGCCTCAGCCTCTCAAGTAGCTGGAACTACAGGTGCGCATCACCATGCTCAGCTAATTTTTGTATTTTTAGTAGAGACAGGGTTTTACTGTGTTGGCCAGGCTGGTATCGAACTCCTGACCTCATGACCCACCCACCTCGGCCTCCCAAAGTGCTGGGATTACAGGCGTAAGCCATCGCGCCTGGCCACCCCAGGTTCTGGAGACAAGGTGGCTGGTTTCTTCCTCCCTCTCCTCACTTAACTCCTTGGCATGTGGATCTGTGTGCAACATGGGCTGGTTATACCAAAGCTTTTCTTCACAGATGACGGTCTGTGGCCTTGGCCTGTACTGGGGATGGAGGTGGACTCAGGTTAAAGCACAGGCATGCAGATGAGAGGATGGAGTTGGTAGCCACTTCCCAGATCACAACTTTCATCTGCACCACCCTCATAGGCTGGGAGACATGCCTGACTGGGGCTCTTGGAAAGCCACTCGGTCCCTGCAGCCCACCCTGCTCAGTTTACAATCATTAAAACAGTTATACATTGGCCGGGTGCTGTGGCTCACGCCTGTAATCCCAGCACTTTGGGAGGCCAAGGTGGGC
The DNA here is from genome assembly GCF_000001405.40 of Homo sapiens. Taxonomy (NCBI): domain Eukaryota; kingdom Metazoa; phylum Chordata; class Mammalia; order Primates; family Hominidae; genus Homo; species Homo sapiens. The sequence goes on from NC_000023.11 coordinate 130,116,989, forward strand.
GGATCACGAGGTCAGGAGATCGAGACCATCCTGGCTAACATGGTGAAACCCTGTCTCTATTAAAAAATACAAAAAATTAGCCGGGCGTGGTGGCGGGCTCCTGTAGTCCCAGCTACGCGGGAGGCTGAAGCAGGAGAATGGTGTGAACCTGGGAGGCGGAGCTTGCAGTGAGCCGAGATTGTGCCACTGCACTCCAGCCTGGGTGACAGAGCAAAAGACTCCATCTCAAAAAAACAAAAAAACAAAAAACAGTTATACATGTCTCCTCCCAGCACCATGAAAGCCCCTACAAAACTTCAGAAGATCACCGGCTTTCAATTGTCTTCGAGCTGGACAGCAGCTCAGGAGGGCTGGCTGCCTGGAGGGGATGATGCCGACACAGGAGGCGCTGCTGGCTGTGAGTAGGTGCTCACCCTGAGCGTGGTGGCTGCTGGGAGGCACTACCCCCCAACCCCCGACAGCTGGGGAGTGGGCCTGTTGTTTGGGAAACAGATTCCGTGTTCTTCAGGAGGGCCCTCTGGGATGGTGGGAAATTTGGAGGGTGTGGGAGATGGAAAGACACAAACCTGTGGTTCATTTGAAAAGAAAAAAAAAAATGAGGACGAACTGGCTTTAGGCAGAGTCAGCAAATGAGATGAGGGCAAGCCCCCTGGAGTCTCTAACTCCACTGATCCCCAACTCCTACCTTGGAGCCAAAGCTCAGCCTGCAAAAGTCCCTGGGACCAGGGCAAAGAGGCAGGCACCTGCCCTGGGCTCCTATCAGAGGCATTGCAGCATTCAGGGGTTTGGGGCTTCTGTCCAGTGGTGCCAGAGTTAACCCCTCAGCCATGAATAACTGCTGGCCCAACACCTGTCCTGTGTCATCTCTTTGACCTCTGATGTGTCCTCAGAGTGAAGCTGGGGAGGCCCTGGCCTTAGCTGATCTCCCCACAGCCCGGTGCAGGCGGACCAAGATTGTCAACACAGGGAGGTTTTGCCGGAGTGAGCACAAAGTGAATTTCTGCAGGCCCTTGAGTGTGCTGGGGGATGGGGACACAAGTAGCCATCAAGCTGACATCTCTTCCTCAGATGGAGAAGAGACCCAGGGGAAGGGAGGGGCCTCCAGTCACACTGCACGGGGCTCTACGTATTATATAAAGTGAATGCCACTGCCCGGAAGTGTGCAAGCAGGTGGCAGTAAAGCCAGATTCAGGAGAGTTGGGGAGGGCACTTGGAGAGGAGAGATCAGGAGGGGCTCAGACTGGGACACCACAGGGGACCATGGGGCCTGGCCCCAGATATCCAGGACTAGGGATGAGGTAGGATGGGGGATTGTCTATGAGGGGAACTCATCAGCCCCCAATTTCATCCACTCTGCATCCTCCCAAGGGGCAGGCCTGGGCTGAGGTTTGTACCAGGAGGTAGACAATTCTGCTCTTTGGGATTGCCACAATCCACTGAGAAGTGAGGACAGGCCTGAAACATTTGCTAGACAGAGGCATAGCAGAGGCCCAGTGGAAATGCAGCCACTCTTCAGTTTCCCCACCCTGCCCCCACATCGGGGTTGAGGGTTGTTGTTGTTGAATGCAGAAAAATATAACAATGTGTATAAAGGTGCAGTATGAGTCACTTCACGGAATGTCTAGGCCCCTTTGCTGGCAGCAAACAAGCTTTCCAGCCCTCTTTTGAGGAAGCCATCCAACTCGGCGGCTGCTGCTGGTTTGTGTGTGTGAGGGTGTATGAGTGTGCATGTGGGTCTGTGTGCAACATGGCTCTCTGGGCCTTGCCTGCCTATGTGCGTGTCTGTGTGGGTCTCACAGATGTGAGTGAGGGCATAACTGTGTTCGGGGTGTGCATGTGTGTGCATATGCCTGTGTGTGTGTGGGCTCAAGTCTTGGATGTCGGGTCCCCTCGTGCATGCATGTGTGTTCGTGGAGGGCATGTGCACATGTCTGTCTGCAAAGCAGTATGGTATGTGAGCCTGTGCGTCTCAGGATGTCTACGTGTACATTTTTTCCTCGTCGCTGCCAAATTATCTTCCCATCTCTCCCCTCACGAAGAGAAGGGCTGACCGAGGGGAGCTAGCAGTCCAAGACGGAGGTGGCCAGGGACGGGAGAGGGGCTGGAGGGAAACCAAAGCAATTCCACTCTTCGGAGGAATGTGTCAGCCAAGGATGAAACTGAAACCGAGACAGCAGCTCAAAGGCACCAGACCCTGGGATCGTCCAGGGGCTTCGGTTCCTCCCACTCCCCCACCCCCTCCAGCCAGCTGTGGAGATTAGTCAGCCCAAAATTCCCATCTCTGCAGCCTTAACTTGGGGTTGAGTTTGTGATGCTGAGTTAGAACTTGGACCCGTGGTTAGCACGTGACCCCATTAGCTCCCATTATCACATTAACACAAATTAGTTTATCAGATCCTCTCCTGGTCACCTAGGGGGGCTTGGGGAAGAGCTCACCGCTCAGGTCCTGCTCTGGGAGAAGAAGCCAGCGCCGTGGCATCAGGAGAGGGCAGAGGCTGAGACTGCAGGTCAGATTGGGGACAGAAAGAGGGGGCAGGGGGACGTCAAGCTTTGCTGATCTGATCTTTCTCCTCGATGGTGCTCTGGGAGGAGACACCTTGGGGAGGGGTCTGGTAGAAAGGAGGGGGCTTCCAGGAATAGCTGGGCACCGCCCTGTAGGAAAAAGGCCCGGGCTCTGAGGTCTGGGCGGGAGACAGGCGGTATTTCTCCTGGCACACAGTGAGACCTGGGAACGTTTAGGATCCTTTGGATTCCCCCCGCCCCTTCCCTTTCTTTATGGGAAGTCTTTAGATGACTTTCTCAGATGGTTTTGCACACCCTGAAAGCAGGAGAACTGGATGGACTGAGAGGGGAGGAGAGGCACCCAGAATGCTAACACGGGGTGCAGCTTTTATTTCTTGGCACAGAAAAGAGGGACACACTCTGCCCATAGATTTTATATGTCAAGTTGTATCACAGAAGTGGCCACTCTAGCTTCTGGAAAGGGCGAGGTTGGAGCCCTCAACAACTTTTCCCCACAGGTTCTGGCCACAAGGTTATTTTTGTGCCTTGATATTCTCAATATGTTAACTAAACAGCCACCTCATAACCACCAAGCACCACGAGGATGTCCAAGGCAGCATCATGGCTTCTAGAGCTCAGGGCCTGCAAGGAGTTAGGACACGAAGTTCTATCTATGAAGACAGAGGTTGCAAGTTTGAGCCCCAGATAAGCCCTTAGTTTTTTGTTTTGTTTTTTTGTTTTTTGTTTTTTTTTCTTTTTTCCTTATATAGCTGCAGAAGACCGGATTGACAAGCACGGACCACCTAACTGTCCCTCTAGATCCGGACTTAAGCAGAGCCTCTACCTCTCATGTCGGCCGAGCCGAGTCTCAGGCTGCGCCCCAGCCTTGGCCACAGTCTGCATCCCCTGTGCTGGAGATGCGTTCTAAGTCTCATGGGAGCCAGGCTAGAGAGTGGCTGTTCAGGGAAACCCACCCCCAACGCCCCAGACACGACTCAAAGTTTCCATTCTACTGCCTGCGGGTCAAGAGCGCCATCCCCAGAGAGCAAAGACCGCCCGAAACTGCAATTCCTTTGCTGAAGTTAGGAGCCGCCCGGGGCTCTGTGGGGCCTGCGAGGTGGCTCGAGGGACTTTGCAGAAGCGCGCAGGAACCAGCCCCCGACCTGGGGCGCTCGGCCGCGGGGCTGATCTCCGTACTCTCCCGCCAGTGGGGTGGGAGCGCGTCCTTCTCTCGAGTTCGGGGACGGCCTGAGAAGCAGCGGGGGCTGGTGGCCTTTTTCTCGCTACCCCCTTTCTAGGCTCGCGCGCCTTCCAAGCCCGGATCCTGGTGGGGCTGAGCGTGCCCACCCGCCCAGCAGTGCGCCCGGGCGCCTCTGCAGCGCCACCTGCACGCGGAACGCGGCGGCGGCGGCGGGAACTGTCGTCCAAGGAGGAGCAGCAGGAGGAGGAGATATCGGCTCCTCTGCCCCCAGCTTTCCTCGCTGGCACGCGGCCTCCCTTCGCCGCCTCAGCCCCAAGCGGCCTGACCAGCCCAGCCCCAAGCCTTGTCCCGCGCCCTGCCCGGCGCAGGCAGCCAGCGCCCCGAGCTTCCACTCCTGCTGCTGCGCTCTGAGCGGCCTCCTGCCCTGGGCGCCTCTTCTGGGGAAGCAGTGAAGTCACACTGGGCCGGATCCGCTGACTCATGAGAATGAGACTCTTCCCCGGTCCCCGGCACACCCTTTGAAACTTCCCCTCAATCCTTTCTTTTTTTTCTTTTCTTTTCTTTTTTTTTTTTTTTTTGGCGGAGTCTCGCTCTTTCGCTCAGGCTGCAGTGGCGCGATCTTGGCTCACTGTAACCTCCGCACCCCACCCCCGGGTTCAAGCGATTCTCCTGCCTCAGCCTCCGGAGTAGCTCGAATTACAGGCGCCCACCACCACGCCCAGCTAACTTTTGCATTTTTAGTAGAGACAGGGTTTCACCACGTTGGCCAGGCTGGTCGCGAACTCCTGACCTCAGGTGATCCGCCCGCCTCAGCCTCCCAAAGTGCTGGAATCCTTTCTTTCTGCTCCCGCCTCCCCTCTTCCTCCCGTCCCGACAGGCGAACTGGAGCGGCTCTGGGCTCCCCGGGAAGGATTCGGTGGGGCAGCTGGGAGGGCGGTGGCGCGTGGGAGTCCCCGTGGAGATCTCCGCGCCCCTGTTCCAACCTGGCCACCTGTGCTGTTCTAGGGGTGCACAGGGAATGCCCAGGAGGGAATTGCATGTTTGCAAGATTGGGCAAAGCTCTCACTAAGGTATCCTTTTGTAATTAGCCACTGCATTCAGGGAGTGCCTGCCCAAGGGAAGGGGTCTGGGGATCCCCTTCCCTCTTCAGAACCTTGGGACTGCCTGAGGAGTTCACCTGGAAGCTGGTGGCTCTTCTTTAGAACCACCTGTTCCAATGAACAAGTGAGAACATGGGCTTGCTTCAGGCGGGATTTGGAACAGCTTCTGCCACTGAAGGGACAAGTGTGGAGTGTTCTGAGCCTTGAGCTGTTCTGGACCCCAGCAGCAAGTCGAGCCGATCATCTGAGAGGTCACTGGCCCTTTCTCCTGGAACTTGATAGTGGACCAGTTCAGGATAGGGTGGGGGTGACTTGGAGGCCCAGGAGTCCGGGTTTTCATACCACCCCCTTGTGACACTAATTTGAGGACAGTGGAAGGGATGAGAGGATTGGATTGTCTCATCACCTCTCCACTGGGGTGGGAAACCAGAATCACACCCTGGTTGCTTAGAATATTAGTTTCAACAAGGTGCCTAAGGGCCTCAGGCCCAGGCCAGGGAAGGCTTCAAGCTAGAGGAGCCCTGCTGGCCTCTGAAACACCTAAAGCTCCCCTTTCCTTCCAGAGGGGCATAGTCCGTAAGCATCCTTTCCCACCTAGCAAATCATGGTACTGGATTGGCATTGTTTGCCTGTATGCACTTTCCTTTTGTCTGTATGATAAGAGCCAAAGCTGGGTGTTGAAGTTTGCAAGCTTCCTGACTTGCTTGTCACTGCACTTCAGGGCACGGCTCTGCCAAGGCCATGGTCAATATGGAAATGGCCATGGACTAGGAGCAAGGGGGGGTGGGAGGTAGAAGGGCTGGTCTCAAGGCTTGGGCTTATATAGCATGAGGGAGCTTTTCTGAGCTCCTACCTTGGTATTAGGTTGAAAGCCTGGGTTATGATGGCTGTCCACACAGCAGCTCTGTAGGGCATGTTTGTTGGGGATTGGGAGCCTGTAGGAATGTATGTGCTAGGATCATGGCTGACAACAGTCCCACTGTCAAGCCTTCCTTGGGGGAAATTCTGGATTTGAAGCCAAACTTTAGCTTAGGGGCTGAAGGATGACCTGTTTCATGGAACCCAGTTTCGAGGCTGTGAAACTCTCCATGGAGAGGAAATAAGACAATGTACAATGTACAATTTCTAGGGGTCCCAGGTCCAAATGTAACTGGGTAGGTCAAAGAAAAATAAACTATAAACAAAAGCCATAAACTAAAAACAAAAACCAGCAAAACCTGTACATCTAGTAGAGCCAAAGGGACAGCAGAGGCATGGGGAGATGGCTGCCAAGGGCTTTGGGTTCCATTGGCAGCCTCTCTAGACCTTAGAGGTAAACAGCAACTGAGAGATGGAGAGATGAAGAAAGTCCCATGCAAACACTGAAAGACTGTTGCAGACAAAGGAGGTCAGGGCTGAAGGTGAGAGATGACCTAGTCTGTTCTCTCATTTTACAGATGAGGAAGCAGAGAGCTCAGAAACTAGTTGCCCAAAGCCATCCAGGCAGTGAGCGGCAGCACTGCGGCTGAAATCTGGAAGAGTGTTCTTTTCACTGTGCTCCTCTGCTTTGGGAGAAAACACACGAGCAGGGAGCAGCCCCTGGAACCCAAAGAGGAAACACAGGGAAAAGGGAAACAAGGGGTGGCCAGGCACGGTGGCTCACGCCTGTAATCCCAACACTGTGGGAGGCCGAGATGGATCACTGAGGTCAGGAGTTCAAGACCAGCCTGGCCAACATGGCAAAATCCCATCTCTATTAAGAATACAAAAAAAATTAGCATGGCGGCATGGTGGTGGGCACCTGTAATCTCAGCTATTCGGGAGGCTGAGGCAGGAGAATCGCTTGAACCCGGGAGGTGGAGGTTGCAGTGAGCTGAGATCACACCACTCACTACACTCCAGCCTGGGTGACAGAGGGAGACTCTGTCTCAAAAAAAAAAAAAAAAAAAAAAAAAAGGAAAACAAGAGGGGAAGACTGCAGAGATTCTGAGACGAGGAGGGAGAATGAAAGATCTGAGGAAGAGTGAAGAGGAAGATGTGTAATCTCTGGGTGAAAGGAATGTCAGCACCATCCTCTATGAAGCAGAGCACTCTCCATATTCTTTCCAAAGTGATGACAGAGAAGACACAACCATAAAACGGGGGAACTATGATTTGGTAGGTGAAGGAAAAGCCTAGAATAGGCTGGGCACAGTGGCTCATGCCAGTAATCCCAGCACTATGGGAGGCTGAGGTGGGAGGATCGCTTGAACCCAGGAGTTTGGGAACAGCCTAGGCAACAAAGTGAGACCCCATCTCTATTTTTAAAAATGCCTAGAATAGATAGAAGCAGAACAGTAAAGCAACTGGAGAAGCAATGAAGTTCCAATCGGAACTCACTTATCATACTCCCAGCAGTTAGGTGACACTGATAATCCCTGTTGACTTGTCTGTGGCCACCACTCGGTTATAAAGCCATTGAAGGAAGACAGGGACAATATATTACTCATCTTCCTATCTCCAGAGCCTAGTACAGTACTATGGCATACATTAGTTGCTCAGAAAATGTTAAAGAAATGAATACATTTATTTGTATATTATTTATAAATTCAATACCTATGCTAGATACTCCCTGAGAAGCATCTCTGTGTTGTACTGCAAATGCCAAGACATCCTAGGTGAGAACCTGCCTGGGAAGCCAGGTACCTCTGTCCCCCAACACAAGACACAACTCCTGGGCTTTCCCCAACCGAAACACAGACCTTGGAGGCTCCACCAGGACTAGGTAAGGTCTTCAGAAAGACACAGGACTAGGTGAAATTCACTGGGGTCTCTGCCTGATAGTGGTCCTCCAGAGGATATTTTGGCTATTTGTGTCCAAATTGTCAACCCCTTCTGGTCAAAGACCACCAGGAACACGGTCAAACAAGTTAGGTTTATTGCTCACTGCAGCAAGAAAGAAGGCGCCCCATGGGGGAACTATGCCATGCTTCAGGAAGAGGGCGCTAGAAAAGACTTAGAGGATTCAGGTTGGGTCAGGGGATTTGGAGGAAGGTTTAAGGAAGTCAGGCTTTGTTCTGGACTGGATGCTGGTGATTCTGTGATTGGATTGGGTATCTTATCAACTCAATCTTATCCAAGAGGAAGGCAGACAAGAGCGAGGCTGAAGCCACAATTGGTAAGGAAGCAGCAGCTACTCAGAAAAACCAGGATGGGGGTGGGGGTTGTTCGGTCATTTTCAAGGTTCAGGCAATCTTCATGTTTTTGTCTGTGTTCACATGATTATGGAGCGGTCTTGTTTTTGTCTCAATCCACCATGGTCACAGAGTAGCCTTGTATAATGCTGATGCCCTATGAATGTATGTTCAGCAGAACACCCAGATCTAGCTGTGAGTGCCAGGCCAGTTGGTAGCAACACCAAGTCCTGGCCGACAGTACCGGGCGAGCTTCCAGAGACGCCAGAGGCTGCTTTTCTTTCAGCAAATGTTCATTTTGAGAGGATCTCTGGTTTCCATCGAGGGCTTGGCAGTCCAGTATCTAAATATTTAGACCCTCCCTGTCCTCTTTGACCTAGTCACACCCATACGTAGAACCAGCCAGGCAGGGGAACGTCATCACTGGCTTGGGCTGAGTGTATCTGTGTGTGGTTTTGTGTACGCGTGTCTGTGCCCGCCAGGAATTCCCTGATAAGATGGGAAAGAGACCAGAGGCAGTCTTACTTCACCTCTGGGCCCAGCAGAACTTCCCCTCTGCCCAGAAAGCAAGGCACTGGGAGCGAGTCCCAACAATCTCTAGGGCAGCAAGGGTGCCTGGCTTTAGGTGGAGTCAGGGAAGGACGTACAGAAGGGATATGGCAGCAGCCAAACTGGAGAGGAGCGGGAAAGGGAAGGGGCAGTGGGGGAAGGGAGGGGAGAGTTCCTTTGTATAAATGGGTCTCTTGAGAAGCTGCTGATTTTCCTTCAAGGAAGCAGCCTGCAGTAGGTCACTGTGGAGTCCCACCCCCAGCCCTTTCTGTTTAAAGCCTCTTGTCTCCAAAACAGGCCCTGTTGATTAGAACAACAACAAAAAAAATCACAAATGTTGACCTCATCCTTCACTAAGAGGCTTAATCTAACCCCTTTCCAATCAAACTTCCTTCCTTCCCTCAGTTCCACCTCTCCACCTTTAAAAACATTAGGACACCCCCTGCTGTGGTTTACAGGTAGCCAGGCAGAGGTTAGGACCATCACTAAGTGGTGCCAAGGACCATCTGATACCGTTTATGAAATGGCCAAGGAAAGCGAGGTTGAAGTCAAATGGGTGGGCTCTAGATGACTGCTCTTTGGGCAAAGCCTGCCTCTTCTTCCCAGGGTGGGACTAGCCTTGCACCACACTGTGGTGTGGCCCAGCTTATCACAGACCAGCTATTGAGGGCCAAACCTCGACTGGCACTGCTTGTCTGTGGAGTCAGAAATCAGACCCTAGAGGCCAGTGGCTCATGCCTGTAATCTCAGCACTTTGGGAGGCCGAGGCAAGACAGATCACCTGAGGTCAGGAGTTCGAGACCAGCCTGGCCAACGTGGCGAAACCCCATCTCTACTAAAAATACAAAAATTAGCCGGGTGTGGTGGCGTGTGCTTGTAATCCCAGCTACCCGGGAGGCTGAGGCAGGAGAATCGCTTGAACCCAGGAGGTGGAGGTTGCAGTGAGCTGAGATCACCCACTGCACTCCAGCCTGGGCAACAGAGCGAGACTCCATCTCAAAAAGAAAAAAAAAAAGAAAAGAAAGAAAGAATTTGGACCCCAGGATCCTCAGGGGCTTGGGCAGATTAAATGCATCCTGGGTAAGTGGCAAGTTGTGACAGCTGAGTGAAGTGGTGATGATCTGAACATCCTCCCATAAACAACCTGAATTACAGAGATCAGAGGTTACAAGACAGAGGTGCATTTTTACAGTCAGCCCTGTTATCTAGCATCATCCAGCCAATCAACCAAGGACTTGCTCAGCACTTCACCAGGGTGCAGCAATATGGTCCCCATCCTGAAAAGAAAACATGGGCTCTGCTCTGGGACAGGTGACAATTCCTTTAGAATGACTTAAAGAACAATTACACTCAAAGGTGCTAAGTGCAACTGGAGTTCAGAGAGAAATCATGCATGGGCACTAGTCCAACTGGTACCATGCCACCAAGGCAGGACTTGATGTAGGCCTTGAAAGATGAGTAGGATTTGGATAGATAAAGGGAGGAGGGATGGCGTTCCGGATGTGAAGAGCATGAACACAAGTTTAAAGGTGGCAATAAACCAGGTGTGTGTGTGTGTGTGTGTGTGTGTGTATGTCCATATTAAAAGTCAGGCGGAAAGTCAGCCAAACAGAGTGGGCTTAGTACTACAGGAGACTTTGAACTTGATGTGGTTGGTGACAGGGAATCACTGTACATTTTTAAACAGGGAGGGGACATGGACCAAGTGGTGGCTTTAGGAAGTGGTCTAATAGCAGTGGTTGACTCAGGATGGCTGCTGTGGCTGATCTCTCCATTCTTGGCATGGCCACAGTACTTTTTGTGTCCTTCTGTGGACGTAGCTCATTGTATTGGAGTTCTGCATCCACATGTCTGCATTCCTCACGGACACCAGGAGGTCCTTAAAAGCAGTGGCTATGTTTTATCTATGTTTCTATTCTGACATCTACCTGGCTCACAGGAGGCACCCAATGAACACTGATTAGATGAATAGATCATTTAATTTCAATCCACTGAACTACAATGACATACTATACAAGGATAACTACTGTCAAAGAATTTGACAAAACTGTATACAACACTAAAGCAAGACAAATCACAATTTGATCTTTTCTTAATGATTTGTGGAACACTAGGATCTTAGTCTTACCCCCATCTCTGTAAGCAGCAATTACTGCTGTATAATAATTTCGATGTCACAGGATACTAGATGAGTTTTCCTTTTTTTTTTTTTTTTGAGATGGAATATTGCTGTGTTGCCCAGGCTGGAGTGCAGTGGTGTGATCTTGGCTCACTGTAACCTCCGCCTCCCAGGTTCAAGCAATTCTCCTGTCTCAGCCTCCTGAGTAGCTGGGACTACAGGTGCATGCCACCATGCCTGGCGAATTTTTGTATTTTTAGTAGAGATGGGGTTTTACCATGTTGGCCAGGATGGTCTCGAACTCCTGACCTCAGGTGATCTACCTGCCTTGGCCTCCCCAAGTGCTGGGATTACAGGCGTGAGCCACTGTGCGCAACCCTAGATGAGTTTTCTACATATAGATTTGGATATATCATTTGGATATGATCACATTTGAGTAAACCTGTATCTATATAGTATTGTTCGGTATACCTGTACTGCAAATTCTTACGGTGGAGATTTGGCCTGTTCTCCCAGTGTTCAGAAGGGATTTGGTTGAAGCTGAAACTGCCCTTAATCAAACCCAATATTTAAAAAAAATCCAGACTGGTAATAATTTTCTCTTTATATACATGGAGTTTAACAACAGGACTCTTGAAAGTAGTAACAAATTCCTCTTAAATAAGATTTGATGTTTTTAGGCCGGGCGCGGTGACTCACACCTGTAACCCCAGCACTTTGGGAGGCCGAGGCGGGCAGATAACCTGAGATAGGGAGTTTGAGACCAGCCTGACCATCATGGAGAAACCCCATCTCTACTAAAAATACAAAATTAGCCAGGCGTGGTGGCGCATGCCTGTAATCCCAGCTATTTGGGAGGCTGAGGCAGCAGAATCACTTGAATCCGGGAGGTAGAGGTTGTGATGAGCCTAGGTCGCACCATTGCACTCCAGCCTGGGCAACAAGAGCAAAACTCCATCTCAAAATAATAATAATAAGATTTGATTTTTAAAAGTTAAGCAATCTAAAATGCCAAACAATGAGTTGACTTGTGAAACTTTGAATCGTATTCCCAGGAAATAATCTGTAAAGTGAGGTATGCCCATAAGCGTATTTCAGAGAAAAGGAGCTTAAGAGAGGACAGATGTCTGGCATGAGGACAGCAGGCAGAAGAGTCAAGAGATGATGGTCCTTCCATGAGTCCGTCTCCAGGTTTAACTGTGAAGCACCAGGTCTCTGAACTCAGATTTGTAGTAAGTGCCCTTTCTGTCCCCTGCAGGACCCAATCCAGTTCTGGGACAGGAGTTGTTCCAGGTAAACAAAGTCTATTCCATACATTTATTTGTTCACTCATTCGACAATGATCTATGAAGCACTTACTATGAAGCAGACCCTGTGCTAAGCTCTGGAGATAAAACCATGAGCAAGGCCTTAACATCAGGGCTTCTGCTTCCAGGAAGTCATGGGCTAGCAGGGAGACACATACACAAGGATGAGGCTTGGAAGGCTGGGAAAGTCTTCAGAGATAGTGAACTTCCTGAGAGGAGAGGAGGGGAGTCAAGTGTTGTGGGCCGAGGCCACAGCAGGTGTGTGCAAAGAGGTCTGGAGGGGTGAGGGAAGTTCGGAAATGAAAGGAGTTTTGCGTCTGGAGTAGGGCATGAATACATGGCTGAGAAAAATCCTGTGCTTGGTCGGTGCTGCAATTTGCTTGCTTTCTAATATGCGTGGCTTTCCACCTTCACCCACCTGCCCCCTTGACAAGAGAACAGAATTTAATTTAGAAGAATCAGAATTTATTTCACTATGTGAACATTAAGAATTTACCTACATAGTTGAAAATATTCACAAAGGACTTGATCATTCACACTCATACACAGAGAAAGTCTGCTGAATAAAAAAATGCTCCTTTACCCATTCGACCTCCTCTCAGGGGCTGCAGTGGGTTTGCCAATTCCACTGTGGGGCTTCAGTCTTCATGAATGTTGAATAGTTTGGCTACTTCATTGAGATCTTCATGCTGCTCACCGTCCTTAATGATCTGAGGGAGAGAGAGTAACAATAGGTCCCTAACTTACTCCATTGCGTTCAGGCCATGCCCACACAATGGGGCTACCTGGGGCAGTCCCCATATCACACTGGGAGGGAGTTGTGGGAACAGTTCTCTACTAACCCCAAACAAGCAGCCTGCCAACTCCCAGGTCACCCAGCCAAGTCCCAAGTGAAAAAGAATGTTCCTGAGCCAAGGCTATACCTTTGTTCTGCTCAGGCACAATTTGACCTGGCCGGGGGACAATGCATCTCAGGGCACCCGATGAAGTTACAGGAATGTTTCTAAGCCGTACTTCCCATCTTCCTCTAAGAGTTATGACAGGCACCTACCTTCCTTGCTATTGGCATTCGGTTAAAGATGTTCCATAGCACAATCCCCACGACCACTTTGTCCCTGAGGTAGAAGATGACACCTTTGCCGTAGTCCTCCCCCTGGACGGGAGCCTGTGGAACTGCCGGGGTGCTGGGAGGAATAGTAATTTCTGAGGCCTCGGACTCTGTCTCACTCTCTGATCGGATACCAGTTCCTGTGGCCAGCCCCCAAAACAAATAAACATGGAAGCAAAATCAAAACTTCAGTTATTATGAGCTTGGGAAATTCTAGAAGCCAACAGTCTTTCGAGGCCTGCTTCAAGCTACTTCTAGAGGATTTATTTCTCTATGCCCCCTCAGTAAACCCTGGCCTTCACCAGCCCCTCTCCAGTGACAAAGCCAAGGAAAGGTCTTCCTTGCCAGCTCCTGGGCACAGGGTCAGTCTGACCCTAAACTTCCCTCCCTTATTATCTCATTTTAAATTCATGCTATGAATATTTCCTGGTATCTGGATTTCTTCAAACTGCAGAAGGCTGGTTCTTGTCCTCTAAGAAATAATTCTAGAGCTGCATGGTCCAAATACAGTAGCCACTAGCCACAGCCATGTAAATGAACATCATTTCAAACTGAGTAAGATGTAAAATTCAGTTCCTTATCTGTACTCACCATGTTTCATGAGCTCAAAAGCCACATGTGGCTGGTGGCTAACGTACTGGACAGAGCAGAGATGGAACATTTCCATCGCAGCAGAAAGTTCTATTGGACAGTGCTATTAGACAGGTACTTTAGACAAAGCAGAAGGCACTTCCATTTGGAAAAACCATAGTGGAGGCATTTCTTCCTAGAGAAAGAGGGGAAGGGAAGGGTGGCATAGGAAGGGGGCACCTTGCTGAGAACCACCAGCCTCCAAATAATACTGTCCAGTCGACAAAGCAGTGACATGAATCCACTTACTAGGTTACTAGGAGAGATCAGAATTAAGGAATATGGAATACATTAGAATTACACAGGAAAAGGACCTACATATCCATATAATGTCTTGCTTTCTCCTTCTTAAACAGCACCTTGCCCTTGAGACACCTCTGGCAAAAGGATGCAGAAGTTAAATAACTTGAGCTAAGGTCAAGGAATAAGGTCTCGGAGTTAATGAAAGAGACATGTGTGGGAGAGAAGTCCATTCCAAGAGAGGTGCCTCCCATCTAAAGAAAACCTGGCACTAAGATCTGCCAAATGGAATGGGAGGCAGCTAAATAACTACTCAGCCCAGTTCCTCCCTGCGCAGGACCCATGGAGGATAGCCAGTCTTAAGCTAAGCCTATCAGGCCGTGTTCTTGAGATTCGCCTGAAGCAAAATAATAAAAATGACAACTGAAAGAAAGAAAAATAAAAACGCAATCTAAAAAGTTCAGGTTTTCTTGTTTTCTTCCTTAGAAAGGTCTTCCCAGAGACACACAAAACAGCAGTGTCATTGAGCTAGCCACTGTCCACTGTCTAGGACAGATACCCACAATATTTGAATCTATGCTTTGACCAGGATACCTGATTTTGCCAAATCTCAGACCACTAAAGAGTGAGGACTTGGGGTTTGGTTTCTTTTAAAGCACAACATGAAGAGAGGCTTTCACTGACAAGCCCCTCTGGCCAATACAGAAACCCCTTGTTCAGGAGAATCTGGACCACTGCTTCTCAACACTCTCCAAGAGGAGTGCTAGGACTTTCTTACCTGACTGCTCTGTGGCAGATTTGGGGTTGTCTTGTGCAGTTGCTTTTGCAAAAACACCAACTGTGGGCAAACTACTGTCCACAAGACCAATAGCTTCATAGCCAACATCGGGGCCCAAATCACTCCTAAGAAGAGAGAAGAGGGTGTTCTGTCAAGGGACTGTAAGGAATGACACGGTAGCACATATTCTCCATGACACTGCATTTTTTTTTTTTTGAGACGGAGTTTCACTCGTTGCCCAGGCTGGAGTGCAATGGGTGCGAACTCAGTTCATTGCAACCTCTCCCTCCTGGGTTCAAGTGATTCTCCAGCCTCAGCCTCCTGAGTAGCTGGGATTACAGGCACCCACTACCACCCTGGCTAATTTTTGTATTTTTAGTAGAGACGGGGTTTTACCATGTTGGCCAGGCTGGTCTTGAACTCCTGACCTCAAGTAATCTGCCCGCCTTGGCCTCCCAAAGTGCAGGGATTACAGATGTGAGCCACCGCACCCGACCAACACCGCACTCTTATGCCAACCAAAGAACTTAGTATGCAGATCACGAGAGATGCCAACTGATCTGCTGTTGCTAGAGCATCTAGGGATGACCATGAGAAAGTAAGATTAACCCTAATAGCTTTGACTTTTCCTTAAAAAGCCATTATACACGACCACATATCCATGCGGTGATTGAAACGTTCTTGAATTTATTCGTGCTTTTATCCCATGCCACATTTGGAAAGTGATGAGGTTCCCACTTTTGCTATTCACTACTTTTGTCTTGAAATTCCCTTTTTGAAGCTTTAAAGAGTGTTCCACATTTATGGAATTCAGAATTTGAGATGTTTTATGGCTTCATTAACCTACAGTATTTCCCCTTAGCCTCCACTTTTCTTTTTTTTAACTTTTAAAAACTTTTTATTTAAAAAATTCAGACGAGCTCTTGCTATGTTGTCCAGGTTGGTCTCGAACTTCTGGGCTCAAGCAATCCCCCGGCCTTGGCCTCCCAAAGTGCTGGGATTAGAGGCATGAGCAACCATACCAGACCAGCCTTCATCTTTTAGGACTGGAATGCTTTCTGACACTCCTTTTTTTTTTTTTTTTTTTTTTGAGACGGAGTCTCGCTCTGTCACCCAGGCCGGAGTGCAGTGGTGTGATCTCGGCTCACTGCAACCTCCACCTCCTGGGTCCAAGCAATTCTCCTGCCTCAGCCTACCGAGTAGCTGGGATTACAGGCATGCACCACCACGTCCAGCTAATTTTTGTATTTTTAGTAGAGACGGGGTTTCACCATGTTGGTCAGGCTGGTCTCAAACTCCTGGCCTCGTGATCCGCCCACCTCGGCCTCTGACCTATTTTGCCGGAAGTGCTGGTGCCATCTCCATTCATTCACCTAGTCTAACATACGCCAGACAGAACACTTAAAATAATTTTTTTCTCTTTTAATGTTTTACAAAAGGATCAGTTTGGTGAAAAACTAAACAGGACACTTCTGCCAGATGGCTACCTGAGGGTAGAATGTGTGGACATAAGATGGACTTTTTTCCCTTCTGTATGAAGCTAACTGGCTCATAATAAAACCAAACCATAACTCTGTGTTATGGTCCTAGAGATACTGAGTTGTAATCAGTTGGGTCTCCAAGGCACACCACTATTACCAGAACATTGACTGATGCCAGTACGGCTTAGCAGCTCCAGTCATATTTTCTCCAGCCAATCTTCCACTCACAACAGCGTGATCATGGTGCTCTACCCGCCTCCTTCCCAACTTTATATCGTAGAAGCATGCAGCATCTCCTGCCTGTGGAAACAAATACATAACATGAACACATGATAAAAAAAAAAAAAGCAAGTTAAAGACAAAATATAAACTTTGGGGGCTCAAAGAACACTTGTAATGGTAACTAATTCATGTTTTCCATCTACAGGCCAGAGTTGTACTTAAACTAACAAAAACAGCTGATAACCCATTTAAATTTTTTTTTTTTCTTTTAGACAGGGTCTCACTCTATTGCCTGGGCTGGAGTGCAGTGGTGCGATCATGGCTCACCACAGCCTGGACCTCCAGGCTCAGATGATCCTCCCGCCTCAGCCTCCCAAGTAGCTGGGACTACAGGAATGCACCACCATGCCTGGCTAAATTTTTTTTTTTTTTTTGGTAGAGATGGGGTGTTGCCATGTTGCGCAGGCTGGTTTTGAACTCCTGGGCTCAAGCAATGTGCCTGCCTCAGCCTTCCAAAGTGCTGGGATTACAGGCATGAGTCACCACGCCTGGCCTGAGATCTCATTTTAAAACATCTATTCCAGGCCAGGTGCAGTGGCAAATGCCCGTAATCCCAGCACTTTGGGAGACCAAGGTGGGTGGATCACAAGGAGTTCGAGACAAGCCTGGCCAATATGGTGAAACCCCATCTCTACTAAAAATACAAAAAATTAGGCGTGTGTGGTGGCAAGCGCCTGTAATCCCAGCTACTTGGGAGGCTGAGACAGGAGAATGGCTTGAACCCAGGAGGCGGAGGTTGCAGTGAGCTGAGATCGTGCCACTGAACTCCAGACTGGGAAACAGAGCGAGACACCGCCTCAAAAAAAAAAAGAAAAAAAAATCTATTCTGCTTCCATAAAGCTAACCTAAATCTTCTATAGTTTTGTTTACTTATGTCTACTTCCTGTTCTTTCCTTAACAGACAGGATATTTAATAACCATGATTTGCAGAATATTCTTTTCTATATGTAGAAACCAGTTTTTGGATGTGACTGCCTCTCACCTAGAAATGTTTTCTTAGATTTCTTTTTGTCACTCAGTATTCATTCATTCGACAAATATTTATGGAGTACTTATTATATACAAAAGTATTATGTTGTCCGGGTTGCTGAGACAAAACTGACATGGACCTTGACTATGAGGAGCATACAACCTAGTACAGAAAGATACAGCCTTGCTCACAACTACAGAGCAATGTAAACAGTAGTGTGCCATATGAGAGGTACAGATTAAAGGAGTCAAGTATTTCAAGCAGAGGGCGAGAACCTCCAGCCGGGGGTGAACTGGACCAGCTTCATGAAGGATGTGGCATTTGAGCTCTCTAACCCTTTGTTCATCTTTGTGGCTATTTAGACTCCCCCAAAGCAACCTAAAAATCCAACGAGTGAGCAACCGTAAACTGTGAAATTCGCTTAATGGAATATATAGTCATTAAACTGTTTACAAAGTCTGAAGCAACATAGAAAATGCTTACATTTATGGTGTTAAGTGGAAAAGAGCAGAATATTATATATAGTATGCTTGCCACGAATAAAACAAACCAACAATAAAACCTACATGCAAGGAAACACAGGGAAGGAAATACACCAAAATATTAATGGTTGCTGCAGGTGACTTTCCTCTCCTCTCTCCTTCTTGTCTGTCTTCTACATTGACCACATATTACTTTTTTTTTTTTTTTGAGACTGAGTCTTGCTCTGTTGTTGCCCAGGCTGGAGGGCAGTGGCATGATCTCCACTCACTGCAGCCTCTGCCTCCTTAGTTCAAGTGATTCTCCTGCCTCACTCAGCCTCCCAAGTAGCTGGGATTACAGGCCTGTGCCACCACACCCGGCTAATTTTTGTATTTTTAGGAGAGACAGGGTTTCACCATGTTAGCCAGGCTGGTCTCAAACTCCTGATCTCAAGTGATCCACCTGCCTCAGCCTCCCAAAGTGCTGGGATTACAGGTGTAAGCCACTTCTCCTGGCCCACGTATTACTTTTATAACAGGTTAAAAAGATCCAGTACATCTTTTTTTTTTTAAAAAAAAAAAAAAAAACAAGGTTTGGAGGGGGAAAAAAATTCCTCCAAGGTACCTACGTCCTTAGTTGCAGAGTCCATAAACAAACACAATACACTTGTAACTAGCAATGGGGAAATTACCTCATGGTTCCTACATACTATAGTCTTGTTTATGTCATAATAGATTGTAAAAAACAGCTAAAAATAGTACTCAAGGAAAATGAAAACAGAGTAATTTTCCTTTCTAGGGAACAGGTTATAACATTGCTTCATCCTCCATCCTCCGGATTCAAGTTTGAGCAAAGGGAACAGCAGATCCATCTGAAGGCTTATGTGCATGCCCACCAGGGGTTATGCCAGTAGCTGCTGCCAATAAGTAGAACCGGAAGAGCTCTACCCCTGCAGGCATGCACACTGTTCATTTCATCTGCCACTAGCTTGCAGATGAGGCCATACCTGGTCTTCTGAATCAAGCAGTTCACACATTTCTATTCTGTACCCTCAGCCTCCAAACACTCTGACCCTATTTGGTTAGGCTGTTGATGAGCTTTAGCACACCACCGGGCAGACTTGTTCACAGGCTAGGGAGAATGAATTATGCCTGGTCATGCTGTAGCACACTTACCACCCAGATGTTAGAGCGTGCTTGTAGCTCTGCATTTACCCGGAAGCCACCAAAATCTGAGTCTATTTCCAGGCCACCAGTCTTGGCCAACTCAACATTGGGCTCCAGGCCCACAGCTGCCACTATGTGGTCAGTTTCTACCTGAGGCAAAAAAGAAATAATTCAGTCAATTACCACAGTTTCCATTTATGCCTACAGGCGTAACAATGGCCCTTCATGCCATTAAGAATTGGGACTTTAAAAAATCATGGGTTAACTTACCTCTGATAAATGGATTTTAAGTTCTATTTCATAAGCCTCCACCACCCCATCCCATGCACATCCCCCATGTCATTCGAACAGAAATCTGCCACCCTAGCCAGGACTCAAAACTCTGTGAGACAGATAGAATGGGGCTAAGGGAAAGTGGTTCACAGGAGCCTACTCTGGCTCTCATCATTCTGTTTTAATGGAGGGATGGTTAATTCGGAAAATTATATCAGGTTAATGGCAACTGCCAGGAAAACTAATCTACTGGTGTCAAATGAAGGAGTAAAAATGAGGCAAGGGGAGTGGAGAACTGGAAGGCCTCTTGGCAGACTATCTTTTCCTTCCTTACCTTCCTGCCGTCTTTCAGCTTGATAAGTAACTTGCCACTGCTGACTCCAACGGATTGCACAATAGCATTGGGCATCACCTTAACCCCCTCTGTAAAGGCAAACAAGACCTGAGAGTGAGCCTACAAGGCTATCACTTTCATGGGAAGTAGGAAAGCTGACCAGCGGTCTCCTCCACGGTAAAACCAATTATCAGTACACAGGCAGTTTTGGAGAGCTGCAAGAACCTACACCCATGGTTCATTTTCAGCACTTCCAGGAATTTGGGGCATCTGATTCAGAACACCTAGATGAACTTAGCTGACTGGAGAATGGTGGAAACATTTTACAGGCCAGGTGATAGGGCTTATGTCAAGGGGGTTCCTATAGAAGCGAAGTTTGCCTTAGGTCACACTCAAAGGAAATAGAGTGGCAGCATATAGAAACAGTCTCTCTACCTCGTCTGACTTTTTCCATGGTCCAGTTGCTGAGGTATTCGGGGAGGATCTTTCCCATATTTCCTTTCTCGGGGAAGAGTTGAATCACTTCTGTGCCCAAGGCTCGAGCTGGGAAGAAGAAACAGAGTAGTTACAGCAGGAAGCAAAAGTCAATCCTAGGAATACAGGAAGAGAAGTAAAGGAGCAGCAGGCAGCCCTCACTACAGACAGGGCAGAGCTGCAATCCAGGCCGAGCGCCCACTTACAGGACAGTGGGCATGAGGGCCTCGGTGCTCAAGTTCATTTGTAACGCAAATACAACAGGTATCAGAACTGCTGGCCCCAGATTAAGCTTCAGATGGTGAACTCTGTGCACTTCCACCCATGCAGTCACCTAAGGCTTACATAAGTGCTTTGCAACCTCTGAATAGGAAGCATCCTCCTGAAAAGATGCCCTGATTTCATATATCTGAAAAAGAACATTAAGAAAACTAGTTGCCATGAAACATTCCAACTGGAGCTCACAGATCTCTCAAGCTGGGAACCATCATGTGCCCAAAGAAGTTTTTGGCATTTTACAGGAAGCAGCAGTTCAAAGACACCCATAATTCTGTAGTCTGCATTGCCCTTATCATCTTCATAACTCACTTTCCTTAATATTTTATTTCTAAGGAGTCCTGGCATAGAGGGTAGAGGAAAAGAAAGGAAAGAAAGTATTGCTGTTGGCCAGGTGCAGTGACTCACACCTATAATCCCAGCACTTTGGGTGGCCGAGGTGGGTGGATCACCTGAGGTTGGGAGTTCAAGACCAGCCTGACCAACATGGAGAAACCCTGTCTCTACCAAAAATACAAAATTAGCCAGGTGTGGTGGTGCATGCCTGTAATCCCAGCTACTCCAGAGGCTGAGACAGGAGAATCGCTTGAACCTGGGAGGCGGAGGTTGTGGTGAGCAGAGATCACACCATTGCACTCCAGCCTGGGCAACAAGAGTGAAACTCCATCTCAAAAAAAAAAAAAAAAAAGCATCGCTGTTAAGTTGCTCAGGTGACAGCTTTTTGGTCACCAAGGGATCCCTCACCAGAACTAATCTCAGTGTTTAGCTTTTCACTATATAAACCTTAATTAGGCTGGGTGTGGTGGCTCACGCCTGTAATCCCAGCACTTTGGGAGGCCAAGGTGGGCGGATCACCAGGTCAGGAGATCGAGACAGTCCTGGCTAACACGGTGAAACCCCATCTCTACTAAAAATACAAAAAATTAGCCAGGCGTGGTTACAGGCGCCTGTAGTCCCAGCTACTCGGGAGGCTGAGGCAGGAGAATGGCCTGAACCCGGGAAGCGGAGCTTGCAGTGAGCCGAGATCGCGCCACTGCACTCCAGCCTGGGTGACAGAGCGAGACTCCATCTCAAAAAAAAATAAATAAATAAACCTTAATTAAACTCTTCCTACTGATCCTGCCAAACACATCTCTGGGATTCACAGAAAAGCTATATAAGACTAGAGAAAGAAAATCAAGGTCACTCCTCAATACTCACCCTTTCTGCCAAGAGCACAGGCCAGTTCGCTACCAAGGAAGCCCCCACCGATAATCGTAATTGATTTGACTTCCCGTGAAATCTTCTCCAAGCTTCTAAAGTCTCCAATCTGCAGGATCACATCAGTTTAGTCCATTAATTTCCAAAAGGGGCATAGGATAATAATACTAGAAAGTAGTTTCTTCTAAATCTTTGGCAAAAGTAAATTTTCTCCTTGTATAAAGTGACTCAATTATAACTTCTATGTTATTAATGCAAATTTATTTCTTCATGGTAAAATTCCTTCTATAAACAGTGGTTCTCAATTGGTGGCAGTTTTGTCCCTATCTTCCCCAGGAGGACATCTGGCAATATCTGAAGACATTTTTGGTTGTCAGGGCAAGTAGGTGCTCCCAGCATTTAGTGTGCAGAGGCCAGGATGCTGCTAACATACTACAATGGCATAAGACAGCCCCCACTACAATTATCCAGCTCAAAATGCCAATACTGCAGAGGCTGACAAGCCTTGTTCTAGGAAGAACTTAAAAGACAGTACACAGCCTGGCCAACAGGGTAAAACGTCCCTACTAAAAATACAAAAAAAAAAAAAATTAGCCGGTCGTGGTGGCACATGCCTGTAATTCTAGCTACTTGGAAGGCTGAGGCACAAGAATCGCTTGAACCCGGGAGGCGGAGGTTGCAGTGAGCCAAGATCGCACCACCGCACTCCAGCCTGGGTGATAGAGCGAGATTCAGTCTCGAAAAAAAAAAAAAGACAGGACAAATCTTATCCCTGAAAAATGACAGCAGTTTTTATAAGCACAGTGTTAAGAAGCAGAACACCTCCTTGCTTTTTATTTAGGTACTCTTAACTTTTTTCTCAGAAGTCTCTACACAGCACTTGCAATGAAAAATGCCAAGAGGCTGTAAGGGGTTCCAATGAATCAAACACATCAGGAAAAAACAACTATGGAAGAGCAATCAGAAGGATCTATTGCAAGCAATACAAACACTCCATTTTTTCCCTAGGAGCTTAAAACCCTTGAGTGAGGTATCTGAGGTGCAGAGAGAGGAAGTGACTTGTTCAAGGCCAGATAACAAGTCTGGAGAAGAGCCATAAATAGAACTTGGATCTCCCAAGTCCCGGGTGGGCACTTGGGGACTGCAAGATTATACTACTTCTTCAAAAACAACACAAGGAAAACACTAAAGCAGACAATTACCTTTCTGAAAAGCGTTGTTCTACTCTTCACCTCTGCTCCAGCCCTATCAATGGCAGACAGACTTCTTGGAGTACCTCCTGGAAATAAGAGAAGGAAAACCCTTTAGCCCAACAAGCAGGAGCCAGCCCAAACAATACTCCCTCCACCACACAAAGGTGGAGCCCTCTTCACTTAGCACCATGGCGGCAACAACAGGATAGGATACCAAGGCTTTGTTTGCCTTCAGCTTGCCTCACAGCAGGCTTTCTGTCAGTTTCCTTTGAGAAGCAGATTTGAGAGTCTGTCTTCAAGGGGTACACCCTGCCCCTAGGTGGCCAAAAGGCCTTACTTTTGGCTTCCATGTTCTCTTCTAGTTTCTCATGAGGATTTGCCAGCTAGCATAGCTACATGGGTTTGATAAATTGCTTCTGTCTCCTCTCTTGGTTTCTGATTGCAACTGGCAATGAAGCCACAAACGACATCACTTTCAAGGCACAGGGCACAGGGTGAGGGTTAAGCAGGGAGAGAAAAAAGGGCAACTTCTTCATGCCTCTACCGGGAGAACAGCAAGGATCATCCAGAAGGGCTGGTGATCCAGGATGCTTTGACACAGCCAGCTTTTGTACCAAGAGAAGACACTCACTTCAGAGAGTCTGGGTTTCCATTTTCTTAAGTAGTAATGCCTTCCATAGAGAAGGCTGGACTCTAAAACTTGAATGAGCTGTATCAGGGAAGAAAGCCATCTCCAGAAATGCTCACCTGTTGCAATCAAGCACTTTTCATAGGTTATTTGAGAGCCATCATTAAGTTTCACCATGTTGTCTCTCACATCCAGCTGTACTACCTGGTACAGTCACACACATACACAAAAGAGGTAGAGATGAATTAGCATTGAAAAAGTTTTATTGAGATATAATTCACATCAAATTCACCATTTTAAAGTGTGGAATTCTGTGGATTTCAGTATATTCACAAGGTTGTGCCACCATCACCACTATCTGATTTCAGAACATTTCCATCACCACCCCAAAACTCCAGGTCAATAAGAAGTTGTCAGCCCAGGACAGGCACAGTGACTCATGCCTGTAATCCCAACACTTTGGGAGGCTGAGGCAGGCAGATCACTGAGGCCACGAGTTTGAGACCAGCCTGGCCAACATGGCGAAACCCCGTCTCTACTAAAAATACAAAAATTGGCCAGGTGTGGCGGCATATGCCTGTGGTCCCAGCTACTGGGGAGGCTGAGGCAGGAGAATCGCTTGAACCTGGGAGGCAGAGGTTGCAGTGAGCCGAGATCATGCCACTGCACTCCAGCCTGGGCAACAGAGCAAGATTCTGTCTCAAAAACAAAACAAAACAAAAAAACCCCAAAACCACAACAACAAAAACAAACAAAAACAAAAACAAAAAAAGTTGTCAGCCCAATAAGAAGAATGAGTTCTTGACCTAAAGCGATCCTTAAGAAACCATATCCAAGTAATCATGGGAACCACAGTTTCTGGTACCCAGTTTTTTTAGGCAGTCATATGTTGGAAATTGGCAATGAGAAGGCAGGCAACATTAGAGCAAGTCATGACAGTCCCAAAGCCCTGACCCATGTGTGGAAAAGGAGAATCGGAACAGCCTTTCTTATATGGCTGTTTGGAATTACTTATTATTACTTTATTAATAAGTCTCCTACATCTACAACATTTTTACAGAATGCTTTCTCCAACTTGTAGCCTTCACGGAAACTTGGCTCTCTCTTAAGGAGAGCTTACACATAGAGGCTGTTCGTTCCCCCACACTCCACATCACAAGGCCAGGAGGAGGTGTTGGCATTCTGCAAGCTTCTTGAGGTTACTGGTCTGCTGCTTCCAGATTCTTGTACTTTCATTCTCTTCTGAGGGACATCAGAGGAGTCCTATATTCCTACGAATCACTGTTTTGAGCCACCTCCTGGCTACTCCTCCTGATTCACTGAAGACCTTGGAACCTGGCTCATACTTTTCCTCATCTTGTTATCTCCTAAACCTCTCCTCCTACCTCAATTATTCTACTTGTTGGTCACAATTTTCCATCCCTTCAGCTTTCGCTCAGTCTGTCTCCTATGCTTGCTTTCAATTTTCTCTGTTTATTTGACTAGCTGCTCCATTCTAACTAATTTGGGCCAATGGTAGAACACCCAAACTGTTCTTTTGCCAGTACCTTTAATTCCCTTGCACCCTACTCCTTCTTATGGTTAAGAGCTTGAGCTTTGGAGTCAGAGAGAATAGGGCCCCAGTCTTTGCACCACTCTTTACTAGCTGAGACCATTCAATTAAGCACCTACTATGTATCAAGTTGAGACAGTGATCCTTGCTGCTTTCAGAGTTTAGTGGCCAAGACAATTTAACAAGCACTAACAATAATCAAGAGTGACAAATGTGATGTAAGTGGTAAGAACAGTGCAGGTAGCGCTGGGAACATATGACATGTGCAATCTAGTCAGGTTGGGTTGGGTAAAGCTTTCTAGAGGCAATGACATGAACTGAGATCTGATGGATAAGCAGCTTCTTTAGCCTCCTTTGATTTGTCCTTGGTAAGCTCCCTCTTCAATCCAATCCCGCTACTCAACCCTCACGGTGTTCGCTCTCAGATAACCATCTTATGTTCTATTGTATTGCAAAAACAAATGAAGCCATTAGATGTGATCTTCCATAGCTTCCCATGAGGCATGAGGGCTCCCCACCACCCCCGTCCAGCCTATTAACATGCTTGTCCCATCCAATAGGTCCCACCTTTGATTCTATGTCCTCTTCACGCTTTTATCCGATTGCCATCTCTCTTTTCTCATTTAAATCTTTTGAAAGAGTGCTTTACCCTCTTTTCTAACTTCCCAATGGTATCTGTTTTATTTTATTAATTTTTTGAAATGGAGTCTTGTTCTGTCACCCAGGCTGGAGTGCACTGATGCAATCTTGGCTCACTGCAACCTCCGCCTCCTGGGTTCAAGCGATTCTCGTGCTTCAGCCTCCTGAGTAGCTGGGATTACAGGTGTGCGCCACCACACCTGGCTAATTTTTGTATTTTTAGTAGAGATGTGTTTTCACCATGTTGGCCAGGCTGGTCTCTAACTCCAGACCTCAAGTGATCCACCTGCCTCAGCCTCCCAAAGGTATCTGAACCGCCAAATCTCACAGTGCATTTTACGGTTCTTTTCTTCCCAGATTCCTCTGCCACGGTAACACTGTGGATCACATTCTTTTTCTTGAAACTCCCTACAACCTTGGCTCCTGTCCTCAGGTTTCCTCATACTGCTCTTTAAGTTCTTTCCTAGTCTCCTTTGTGGGTTCTTCTTAAGCCTGCTTCCTAAAAATTGGGGTTCCCCAGGGCTCTATCCTTGCCTTCCTCCTCTTCTCACCAGATCAGTTCTCCCTGGGAGGCTTCACCTACTCTCATGGTTTCAACTTCTACACATATGCAGATGATTCTCAGCTCTCTATCTGAGCCCAAGTCCCCTGGGCGTGGCAGTCATATGTCCAACTGCCCAGAAGACACCTTCACGCAGATATTCCACTTCATACTTAATGGTCCAAAACTGAATTTTATCTTCCCCCTTAAACTAGCTCTTCCTCTTGTAATGTCTTTCTCAGCTGTGGGTACACTGCCATCCACTCAGACATGCAGGCTAGAAATTAGAAAATCATCTTTGCCTCCTCCATCTCCTTCATCTTCTACCTTTAACCAACCACCAAGCCTCATCAAGCATGACTCCTAAGCATGCCTCAAGTGTGTTCCCTACTTCTCATCACCTTTCTATCAAGAAGTAATACTGGCTGGACACGATGGCTCATGCCTGTAATCTCAGCACTTTGGGAAGCCGAGGTGGGTGGATCACCTGAGGTCAGGAGTTCGAGACCAACCTGGCCTACATGGTAAAACCCCATCTCTACTAAAAAGACAAAAAAAAAAAATAGCCAGGCATGGTGGCGCATGCAGCTACTTGGGAGGCTGAGGCAGGAGAATCGCTTGAACCTGGGAGGCAGAGGTTGCAGCGAGCTGAGATCATGCCACCGTACTCCAGCCTGGGCGACAGAGTGAGAATCTGTCTCAAAAAAAAAAAGTACTGTACACTGTACACTGATGTTATTAATAGCTTAGGCTCTGGAATCAGAATAGCTGGGTTCCAATTCTGTGGCTCAGACAGACCCGGGCTCAAATTCTCTCTCTACCACTTACTAGCTATGTGAGTTTAGGCAAATTATTTAAAATTTATTTATTTTTAAAAATTTCAACTTATTTCTCTGTAAGAGGGAAATAATACCTACCTCATAAGATTATTGGGAGGATAAAATGAGATGGTGCACATAAAGCATTTAAGAACTGTGCTTACAAGATTAGAATAGGTACTATACAAATTTTACCTCTTACTTTCTTCTTCTTCTTCATCATCATCATACCACTACTATTCTAATTTGGGCTCTCATCATCTCTTGCCTAGATTATTGCAATAATCTCTGAAATGGTCTCTCTCTAGTCTTGTCTCACTGAAATCCATCCTCCTCACGGCCAATGGTGATTATTTAAAATTCAATTGCCTAAAATGCAACAGCTCCCCAGTGCAGAAAAAGCTCTTTCACGCAAAGCCCTCCACAATCAGGCCCCTTGCATAACTTCTCAGGTTCATCTCTTGCCACTTCCTAACTTGTACCTAACTGCTCTATCAGTATCGAGCTGCTTCTATTTCCTGGCACCAAACATGCTTTTTTGTGCCCTTGTGCTTTTGCTTATGCTGTTCTTTTTTACTTGGATGCTCTTCAGTCTTCTCTAGTCTGGTGAATGCCTCTTCATTCCATAAGATTGCCCATTCTGTAAGACCTTCTCCTCCAGAAAGCCTTTCCTGATGTCATCACTCTACTGGGCACCCTTCCCAGTATTTCCCACAACATACTGCGCAGATCTCTCTTACTACACACCTATGTGTTATGATTATGTATTTATGTTTCTGCCTAATACAGTTAGCCCCTAGAGGGCAGGGCCTGAATGTTGT
This sequence comes from Homo sapiens, assembly GCF_000001405.40. NCBI lineage: Eukaryota > Metazoa > Chordata > Mammalia > Primates > Hominidae > Homo > Homo sapiens. Next base: position 130,144,785 of record NC_000023.11, read on the forward strand.
TTACACATAGGGGACACTAAATGTCTCATTACCGGCTTATCAACAAACCTATATCCATCTTCTCTGTCTAATGTCCCCTTACAGGAGAAGTGAGTATGTTCCTAACGAAGGACAATCCTTCCACTTATGCTGTGTATCTCATCTACTCTGGGCTTTGCTCCTTCAGAGAATGCGTCCCTATTGGAACACTGCCATTAGTTTACACACACACTCTAGTACCTGCCATTAACAACAATAAAATATAACAAAACCATCCTGGGACTCCACAAATACCTGCTAATAACTGACCTTATTACTCAGACACTCACCTTTTAAAGTCTAACAATATATTCCGTGCTGAGTTATGCCCAAATTATTTTACTATGAGTAATACATATTTGTCAATCTTTTCTCATCGATAATCCCAGAGAGAAGTTAGTGTGGGAAAACAGGAAGGATGAGGAAGGGCAGAAGAGCAAATAGGAGAGATAACAGCTTTTAGGGTCAAGTTGAGTCAGCATGCTAACCTAGGCTTTGATACTAGTGCTTTCCCCAGAAAGACACACTCAGCATTATTAAACCTAAAGCAGCTCGATCCTTCTTTGATGAACTACAATGGCAGGACAGACATAAATGGTAATGGAAACACACATCACCATACTGGCTGGTGGGCAAGTACGTAGAGCCTGACAAAAGAAGCGGTCTACTAGCTCACCTTCTTCCCAGTGAGGACAGCCACACCACCATTCTCAATATGAGGCAGGTCCTGAGCAGAGACATAGAAAGAAGGTGGCTGGAAATATATGCTGTATGGAGAAGAGAGGGAGAATATTATAAGCATGTGGAACTGTTATCAGCTTCCCCCGTAGCTTTAATAAAACTGTTTCCATTATCAGAAACTTTAAGGGACGTTTTCCAAAGTAAGTCTCCAAGTCTATTAAATCATGGTCATGACTTGCTTACATACAGGTATCCAGATCAGTGGTTCTCAACTTGGGGCAATTTTGCTCCCAGGGGATGTTTGCCAGTGTCCAGAGACAATCTGGGTTGTAATAACTTGGGTAGGGATGCTACTCATATCCAGTGGGTAATGGCCAGGGATGCTGCTAAACATCCTATGATGCACTGGACAGCTCCCCACCCCCAGCAAAGCGTTATCCTGCTCCAAATGTCAATAGTGCTGAGGCTGAGGATCCTGCTCTAGATTTAGGTTCATTTCAAAGTAAGAACAAGTGGAGCACCCAAAGAGCTGGTATTCACATATCCACCCAAATGGGTTGTCCAGAATGGTGCTCTTCAATGGAACAACTAATTATAGCTCCTGAGAAGACTCTGCCTCAAGCAGTTATCAACTATGATATATTAATATTAATTAGTTAATATATTAATATTGGCTGAGTGCAGTGGCTCAGGTCTATAACCCCAGTGCTTTGGGAGCCCAAGTTGGGAGGATCACTTGAGGCCAGGAGTTTGAGACCAGATTGGGCAACATAGCAACATCTCGTCTCTAGAAAAAAATTTTTTTAATTAATAAAAGGCACGTGGTGGTACGCACCTGTAGTCCTAGCTACTCGGGAGGCTGAGGTGGGAGGATCACTTGAGCCCAGGAGTTTGAGGCTGCAGTGAGCTATGATTCGGCCACTGCACTCCAGCATGGGTGACAGAGCCAGACCCTGTCTCTCAAAATATGTGTGTGTGTGTGTGTGTGTGTGTGTGTGTGTGTGTGTGTATGCATATGTATACATATAAAGTTAGCCACTAACTTAATTGAAAGTATACATCCTGTTTGAAAATGGAACTAGTGGGGGTGAGGGAAAAGGGTAAGTTTGTAAAATTTGGTCAGGTATCAAAGGGGTCACTAATGAGAAAAAAAATTGGAACCCAAAGAACATGGTACTAGAATTGAGATCTAAGTTGTCCATCAAAAGGAAAAAGCTTCTGGACCTGTATCTCCAAGTCTGTCGTGCAAAAATTCTAACACAGGCTCTTCCTTACAGCCTTCCTACTCTACTCCTGAAATTCTAAATGCCTGCTAGGCTGTCAAAGAGAGTGCCGTTAAAAAGTTTCTTTTCTTCTGCTCTTGTAGGACATGTCTAGGCAAGTATAAAGAAGTGATGGCTGGGGGCAGTGGCTCACGCCTGTAATCCCAGCAATTTGGGAGGCCGAGGAAGGCGGATCATGAGGTCAGGAGATCGAGACCATCTTGGCCAATGTGATAAAACCCCATCTCTACTATAAAATACAAAAAATTAGCCGGGTGTGGTGGTACGTGCTTGTAATCCCAGCTACTTGAGAAGCTGAGGCAGGGGAATTGCTTGAACCCGGGAGGTGGAGGTTGCAGTGAGCTGAGATTGCGCCACTGCACTCCAGCCTGGTGACAGAGCAGCAAGACTCCATCTCAAAAAATAAAAATAAAAAAAGAAGTGACAATACAGGCCAAGTTGATCTTCACCTAAAGAAGCTTAACATAAAGGTTCCAGAAATAGGAGCATTAGTATTTCAGAGGCCAACATTACACCATCAACTGTTGGTAGATCTGGTAACAGAATCCAGGACTCTTGCCCTTTGTAGACTGTTATCTCTAAGCTGTACCAAGTGTGGACCACAGTAGACTCTAGTGGACAGCCAAGCCATCCCTCCTATTACTGTACACAGTCAGTGGCAAAATCCTAACCTATTCTCTGTGCTTAGCTGAAGTTGATAGGCTCATTTTACATAAGCAAACACACCTTCTCTCTTTTCCATTCCACTGTTTGAATCGCAGTGTCTTTGTGACATTTGGGTCATCTGAAAACCACAGTTCTTTTGAAAGAGGAGGTCGCATGTACGGCAGCTCAGGATCTTCAGATACAATCAGTACCTTCAGACATAAAAATCATGACGCTTATCAGAGCCAAGTCATTTAAGGGGCAAATGTCAAAGCATTCACATTAGCTAAATGCTTGCAGACTGTACCCTCTGTGCCAAGCAAAAAAACATGCACCTTACCCTGGCCCCAGGATCCCGAGCCCGGATGGATCTGGCTGCAGCAAAAGCAGCTGTGCCTCCACCAATTAGCAGGAAAGGAACATGACTTGGCGCCTTGTCTTGAGGAACTTCCTCTCCTTCTGAAGCTGAAAGCAACAGAACAGACTGGATGAATCTTCTTGAAGTCTCAGATGATTCTTTGCCACTGTTAAAAAAAAATCACCTTGCACTTGTCTCAATCCTCCACATAAAGCTAGCAAAACATATGACCTACGCTAATCTTAACAATCTTCACAGCATCCTGATGGGAGAGGAAAAGCAAGTATCCCTTTCATTTCATAAGTGAAAAATAGGAGAATGATTTCACCAATGTCATTCATTCATCAGGTCTGAACTGGTACTAGGACATAGCTTAAATATTTAGTTACTTCTAAAACATTTAGAAAGTATACATCAGTAGGCTTTTGCCCTTCCCATCAATTTCCTAGTGATCACCAGGAAAATATCAGGCTCAGTTTCACCTTCCGTTAGCAACAAAGGGAGAAAATCCAGGAGGTCAATTGGGGATTATCATACAATGTTCAAGAATAAGGGGGTGCTTTTGAAAAAAGCAGAACAAATTGCCCACCCAGAGTTGTGGGGCTTATTAAAGGATTAAAACAGTCCTCTCTGAAAATTGAAGTGAATCATGTGAAATGGAAGTGATGGCTAGGGTATGTGCTTTAGGAAAGCAAATATACCTTTAGCAACTCGAAACTGCAAAGACTCAAAAGGGGAACAAAACAGACTAGAAGAATTTCCTCATTTAAAAAACAGCTTTCGGCTGGGCGTGGTGGCTCCCACCTGTAATCCCAGCACTTTGGGAGGCCGAAGCAGGCGGATCACCTGAGGTCAGGGGTTTGAGACCAGCCTGGCCAACATGGTGAAACCCTGTCTCTACTAAACATACAAAATTAGCCAGGCATGGTGGCACACACCTGTAATCCTAGCTACTCCAGAGGCTGAGGCGGGAGAATTGCTTGAACCCAGGAGGCGGAGGTTGCAGTGAGATGAGATCGGGCCACTGCACTCCAGCCTGGGCAAAAAGAGTGAAACTCCATCTCAAAAAAAAAAAAAAAAAAAAAAAAAAGGTTTTCATCTCTTTTCCATCTTTTCCAATAGTTTTCCTTGCTAAGCTTGCCTTTTAAGAGACTTTTTTTTTTTTTTTTTTAGACAGAGTCTTGCTCTGTCACCCAAGCTGGAGTGCAGCAGCGTGATCTTGGCTCACTGCAACCTCCGCCACTTCAGTTCAAGAGATTCTCATGCCTCAGCCTCCCGAGCACCAGGGATTACAGGCGTGCACCACCACGCCTGGCTAATTTTTGTATTTTTAGTATAGATGGGGTTTTACCATGTTGGCCAGGCTGGTCTTGAGCTCCTGACCTCAGCTGACCCGCACATCTCGGCCTCACAAAGTGCTGGGATGACAGGCGTGAGCCACCGTGCCCAGCCAAGAGACTAATATTAATATACAGATAAACAACCAATCATAATTATCACTAGCTTTATTCTCAAACCCAAATTTCAGCCAAATGCTTTAAATCACTCCCAGTTCTAGGGTAATACCATACTTTCTAGATGCTTGCAATCTCATACCACCATTGCTTCTACAAGACATCCATAAATCACAGCACCCAAACTGTTTATAACTTTCCCTTTGTGAGTCTCAAATCATAGCAAGACTTAAGGGAATACTCACCAGATAACGCGGCCTTTTTCTGTTTCTGTTCTGGTGTCAGCCCTAACCCTGAAATTCTTTCATTGTATCTTTTTTCATCCTCTTTCATAGTCTTGTAGGCCTGCGGATCCAAACATGGAGAAAGTTTATTTCACCATACAGCTAGCTCATACTGTAAGTAATATTATCTTTCAATTAAATGAGAAGCTTTTGTCTATCTGATGTTAGTTCCTCTATGTCAAAACCACTAAGACAAAGTTGTTTTCTTAAGAAATAAAAAATACTGGGTGTGCACATGCTTGGTATGGAAAAAATATGTGTAAGCAGATGAAAATATTCCAGTTTCAGATTTTTAGGCTCTCTATAAAGAATTCTCCCCATATTTTATTCTGAAGGTACAGTTTAAGAAAAAAGAAAAAATCATTTTATACTAGAAGAATAAAGTGCTAGAAAGGGCTAATCTATATATGAAGCACAGAAACGGGGTTTGGACTACGCTGGACACTAGCTGTGAAATCAATCTATAGGGTCCCGGGTAGGAAGCTGGGACATAAGTTTTCCTGGTCAACATTCCGGCTTTTGCTAAGTACTCACACAGTGGTCAGAAACATGGCTGCCTGTATTCTATTTTTAGAGAGTTACCCATCATTCCCTCAATGGTCTATCCTTTTCTTAAACTCACGAGGTAGAAGGAATCTCATTCAGAAAAACTACACACAGATATTTACTAGGGGGTCAAACACCTTGCTTAAACACACCTGTTACATTTCAAATATTCTATCTTCTCTATCCTTTCAAATTGGAAAAGGGTAATTTTACCATTATGACCAGTTGTGTGTTGTTCTTTTTTAACATACAGTACCAGAGTTTATTGGAGACTTTTTTTTTTTTTTTTTTTTTTTTTTTGAGACGGAGTCTCGCTCTGTTGCCCAGGCTGGAGTGCAGTGGCGGGATCTCGGCTCACTGCAAGCTCTGCCTCCCGGGTTCACGCCATTCTCCTGCCTCAGCCTCCCAAGTAGCTGGGACTACAGGCGCCCGCCACTATGCCCGGCTAATTTTTTGTATTTTTAGTAGAGACGGGGTTTCACCGTTTTAGCCGGGATGGTCTCGATCTCCTGACCTCGTGATCTGCCCGCCTCGGCCTCCCAAAGTGCTGGGATTACAGGCGTGAGCCACCGCGCCCGGCCTATTGGAGACTTTTTAAAGAAAAGGTAGGCAAGAATGACTTAACATTACAATGCTTTTGGCCGGGCATGGTGACTCACACCTGTAATCCCAGCACTTTGGGAGGCTGAGGTGGGCAGACCACCTGAGGTGAGGAGTTTGAGACCAGCCTGGCCAACATGGTGAAACCCCATCTCTACTAAAAATACAAAAATTAGCTGGGTGAGGTGATGCACGCCTGTAGTCCCAGCTACTTGGGAGGTTGAGGCATGGGAATTGCTTGAACCCAGGAGGTGGAGGTTGCAGCAGTGAGCTGAGATCACATCACTGCACTCCAGCCTGGGCGATAGAGTGAGACTCTGTCTCAAAAAAAAAAAAAAAAAAGAAAAGAAAAACCTACAATGCTTTTGCTCTTTTGTACCCCACAGGGTCAACAAAACAGGAATTTAGGTGAACATATGTCAAATGAAATCTCAGATTAATTGTAGGAGAAAGTAAAGACAATCAGAGGAACTATCATAAAACATATTCTTTTCTTTTTTTTTTTGAGATGTAGTCTCACTCTGTTGCCCAGGCTGGAGTGCAGTGGCGTGATCTCGGCTTACTACAACCTCTGCCTCCTGGGTTCAAGCGATTCTGCTGCCTCAGCCTCCTGAGTAGCTGGGACTACAGGCACACGCCACCATGCCCAGCTAATTTTTGTATTTTTAGTAGAGGTGGGGTTTCACTATGTTGGCCAGGCTGGTCTTGAACTCCTGACCTTGTGATCCACCCACCTTGGCCTCCCAAAGTGCTGGGATTACATGCGTGAGCCACCACACCCGGCCCCATAAAACATATTCTAAGAATACTTCTATGACTTCCTTCCAGAACAGCCCATCAGGCAATGTGCTGCAATTGAGGAACCTGAACCCTGAGAGCTGGGTTCAACCTGGAAGCATTTAACGTTGTGACAAATGAAGTAGAAAGTTAAGTACTGTATGGGAAAAGACAATAGTTACTCCTTGAATTTACTACTAAATGTATCGAATAAATGAATTCAATTAACATTAATTTCAGGAAGAGTTTTTATCTTGGTATCAGATACTATACACAAGTCCAGTATTTACTCATATCTTAAAAACATTTCTTTTAAGAAAGGGACTTTAGCCAGGCGCAGTGGCTGATGCCTATAATTCCAGCACTTTGGGAGGCCAAGTTGTGGAGATCACTTGAGGCCAGGAGTTCGAGACTAGCCTGGCCAAAAGAGCAAACCCGTCTCTATTAAAAATACAAAAAGTACCTGGGTGTGGTGGGGCACGCCTGTAATCCCAGCTACTAGGGAGGCTGAGACACGAGAACCACCTGAACCCCTGAGGTGGCGGCTGCAGTGAGCCGAGATTGCACCACTGCACTCCAGCCTGGGCGACAGAGCGAGACTCTGTCTCAAAAACAAAAACACAACAAAAAAAACCTAGAGGGGAAAGCTTTTCCAAAAAAGGGAAGAGAAGAGAAGAGAAGAGAAAAGAAAAGAAAAAAGAAAAGAAAAAAAAGAAAAGTTTTACCTAAAAAGATGGCTTACTCTGGTCAACATGAATGAAAAGAGAAATAAACAGGGGCCATGTTCATTGAGAGGAATATCCCAAAATAGCCTAAGCCCAGCTCACACTTGCTAATGGCTCACACATGAAGGGAAGAGCAGACCAAGAAATATCTAGAGGTTTAGTGGGGAAAGGGCAAGAATGAGGTCGATCTGTCTGATATATATATATAAATGTATTTATTTCTTTACCTTTCCCCCAAGGGTTTCTGTACTCCTAGTTTGCACAGATTTCCAATTAATGACATGAATACATGTCAGGTTAAGAAAGACTACAAATTTATGAAAAATATTAGTGAAGACAACTTTTCTAAACAGATGAATATGGTGGCATTTATTCAACTTAATGGGATTTGAAAGGAAACAGGTCATTTTCTGAGTGAGGCAATGCAATCCTATAGCTTAACAATAGCAAAGGGCCCAAATACTAAATCTCATTAACTATTCTAAAGGCCACTTTGGCTCTGCCCACCAACAAAAAATAGAGGACTGAGATTTGGGAATCTGCCTCAGGTCCTAGGGAAAGTTACCAGCAAAAAGAGGAAAAACTCTCACATCAATGCGAATCAGAAGTTCATATTTACAATCCGAGCAGCAGAAGCACTGTTGAAATCAGTGTTTTTCAAACTGTGGTTGCATGCCATTAGTGGGCTGTGAAGTCAATTTAGTAGGCTGCAACCAGCATTAGACGCAAACACAAATAGAAGAGAACAGAAGCTAGAGTAAGTGTATGATACCTAGTAAGAGTAGTTTTTGAAGCTTTGTTTCTTTTTATGTATTTGTAGTCATAAAATGGGTTGTAAAAGAAATGTATTTCTCACTGCAGATCATGGTAAAAATTTTTAAAAGTCGACAGTTTAGGCTGGGCACGGTGGCTCACGCCTGTAATCCCAGCACTTTGGGAGGCCGAGGCGGGTGGATCACCCGAGGTCAGGAGATGGAGACCATTCTGGCTAACACAGTGAAACCCCGTCTCTACTAAAAATACAAAAAAAAAAAAAAAAAAAAAATTAGCCGGGCATGGTGGCAGGCGCCTGTAGTCCCAGCTACTCCTCGGGAGGCTGAGGCAGGAAAATGGCATGAACCCGGGAGGCGGACGTATCAGTTAGCCGAGATCGCGCCACTGCACTCCAGCCTGGGCGACACAGAGAGACTCCGTTTCAAAAAAAAAAAAAAAAAAAAAAGTCGGCAGTTTACTCCCTTTTTTTGGAGGGTAAAGTGGGAGGGAGGTAAAGAGCTCCCAATACAGGAATTGCCAAAGTAATAGTTATACTTAAGTTAGGAACATTTCTTCAAATGACAGAAAAAAGTTACGAAGAAACGCTATTCACTGTTATGGACTGAATGTTTCCTATTCCTATATTGAAGCCTTAACCCACTATGTGATGGTATTTGGCAATGGGGCATTGGGGAGGTGATAATGATTGAATGAAGTCTTAAGGGTGGGGCCCTAATCAGATAGAGCTGGAGCTCATACAGGAAGGGGAAGACACCGGAGTTCCCTTGCTCACTCTTTCTCCCTCTCCGTCCCCCACCCCGCAAAACCATGTGAGGACACAGCAAGAGGGTAGGCTGTCTGAAAGCTAAGAAGAGAGCCCTCACCAGAAACTGAACCCTGTGTGACCTTGATCTTGGCCTTTCCAGCCTTCAGAACTATGAGAAAATAAACCTCTGTTGTTTAAGCCACTCAGTCCGTGGTGTTTTGTTATGGCAGCCCAAGAAACTAATACAAACGTTCAACAACTTACAGCTATATCTCATCAAATCTGAACACTGATTTTAAGTTCATAGTTCTCTTGAGACTAATACCAATTTCGGACAAAAAAACTAAGCCACCTCAGATCAAGTTTTCAATAATTTAGAACCTAAAACAAAACTGTACATAACAGTTCAATAACAGTTGTAGGTAGACAAAAGCTTATCATTTAACCTGGAACCACTTTATAATACGGTAGCTTTATTATTACCAGTGTTGGATAAACACAGAGTACAATGAGGCATTTAAATGAATGACTTGAGAGGAACTTGTGCTTCTTAGATATTTCTAAGGCAGGAGAAAGGAACAGTGACCAGCCCTGTCTTGTAGCTTGGCATCAAGAAAATTTGCATGGTCAACTCTGTGGAGGCCATCCAACTCTGGTACAGCAACACGGACCAGGAATTTATCAGGTTTAAATTGTTACCAACATACTGAACACAAAGGCTTTAAATCTATTTTTGAATGAATGGGGTGGAACTGATGGGAAAAGTTGAGAGATATGAAATGCAAAAAGTAAGGCTCAGAGGGTAGTATCTGAATTACGAATGAGAGGCATTACAGAAAGCAATCTACATGAATGTGTTAGCTTGTACCGCTTCAGCCACTAGTTTGACCAAATTAGAGATTACAAAGGGACACTGCCAAATGAATTTACTTTGAAATAGAGGCTGTGGGTGGAAAGGTGGATGGGGAGAATATTGCAGTTTCTATGGCTTTTTGGATCTCCTCAGAAGCATTCAATAAAATGCCTTTTCATAGTCAAAGTCTGGTTGATCGTTTCCCACAAAACACAAACATTACATTTTACCTAAAATGATTCAAAAATGGATGATGTTCACATTACCTTTATTTGCTTATTTAACATTTACTCTGAGACTGTCTTGTTAGATATGCAGCACTAAAGCACAATATAATTTGGTATCATACAAAATCATTATAAAATTGGCAAAAGTTTCAAAGAAAGAGTTAATGATGAGGATTTGTGATCATCATTAGACTTGTGGCTTTAGCTATATCTGGTAGGACTTCAACAGTTTGAAGAATGAGATTTGAGGACTCTCTAGTGACTGACAATGTCCCTTTAATAAACACCTAGAGAAAGCACATGCTGTGAATATTTTACTATATTCTAATGTATCAAGTTTTCATTAGTGCCATGGGCTCACCCACCCTACCCCAAAATATGTTTTAGTGTAAGCATCTTACATAATAAACTCCTGCCCCAGTGACTGTTGCTCCTACAATTAAGAAGTACACTAGGTTGCTGCCATCTTTCCCAGAAGCACCTGTAGATGCTAGTGATCTAGAAGGGGATCCTAGGTGATGAGACTGCACAACTGTAGGTAAAGATAAGGCCAAGAGAGAAACAAAAGGAAACAGAGTACTAAGTATTAATGAAGAAACATTCAATACAAAGGCAGAGAAGCAGTTTTGGTTACCCTGTGCTAAAAAAGGAAAAAGAAAAAAATGCTGCTCCAGGATTGCAGAATGTGTATTTCATCAAACCACATTATCAGACAGCTCTCGCCTATTTCTTACTCTGATTTGACTCACAATAGGCAAGAACTATCTACTTTTCTTGTCCGTTTGGGAGTCACATCAGGGGATGAGGATATAGGTAGCTTCAAATAATTTTCATGTCCCTTTCTTTAAGCTAGCAACCAAGGAACAAAGATAAATTCATTGTCTTACCAATGTAGAAAAAAACCCCTAAACTTGTAATGGCTTAAGTAAAACAAACAGCTTCCTTCAATCAAGGGTGTTACTAGGTGTTATCTAAGTTGGTTCACTCAACCTTACAGGATCCAACTTTAGACTGATCGGCTTAGTCACAGTAAACCCTGCCAAGTTAGGAAAAAAACACCCACAAAATAATTCCTCTGTGACCTGCTAAGCTGATCGGAGTTCATTTAAGGAGATATAATGGTGCTAATACTACATAGCAATTAAACACCATATTTCTCACCTCAAACAAACTCCATTCTAAAATCAGTGATACTAGCCCTGTTTCTGTAATTTAGTCTTTGGGTAAGATTCAGGGATAGCTTTCCTTTTAGGAACACTTAATATTTTTGATTGAAGGCTGTTGTTTTTTTAATGTGAACCTCAAGCTGAGGAAATAAAATGTCTGACAAATAGGTCAAAATCAAATATTGTGCTAAGGAGCTGCAATGGATTTTGACTTTATTCACAGGTTAGTGTGTGACATCCAAGAAAACAGGTACAATTTTGTGGGTTACTCGAATCTAGGAAAACATAGTGGCTTTCAAGTAAAGAAGAAAAAGACAAGTGAAAAGAGCAGAAATCAATCAACATGAGATTAAATTTCAGTCATTCCAGAATTGGCTCCCATAAGATATTAGGCAGCAGGCACTTAAGAGAAGGCTTTTTGAAAATTTTTCCAAAAGGAGAAAGGGGAATTAGTTGCAAAAGTTTTAAAGCAGAATACTATCGAGTCTATTAATGGGAGCTGTTTGGCAGCTTCTTTATACACGCTGCTTTTCTACTTACATAGGCACCAGCTCCTACTGTTGATAAGCCCACAATAAGGACTAACACAGAATTATCGATTTTGCCCCCTGATGCACCAGAGCTAGCCATTTGTCTTGTCATCTGGAGTTCTAGAGGAACATGCCATCGCTGGAACAAGTTGCCTAAGAAACATAATTTATTAAGACACACACATACAAAAATAAAATAGTTAATACATATTTATGATTAAATGTCAATGCACTGTACAAGACTTATTGCCCACAGATATTCACCGTTAAATGATCAAGAAAAATATCATCAAAACTGCATATATAAATACTACAGACAGCTGAATGAACGCTCTTAAGTTGCTGAAGTTTTTAAGAGTAAAATTTAATGCTGTCCAGTGAGAAAATTTTCAGCTTCCAGAAAAGATCATGAAAAACACGAACAGTTCATCAAATACCTCTTCCTTCATGTCTTTCCCATAAATTAAGTAAACACAGAGAGATGACTGAATAGGTAGATATACAAAGTTAACCATGGGCTACCTGGGACATTATAACAACCATTTAAGGAGTAATCTAGATGGTTCCAATCTTGCACAAAATAAAACGCAACACTCTAACCAGGACACAGTTCAATCTTGCATGAAAGGTAATGTGTCCTGGAATACAGAAATGTTAAAGCTCAGAAGAAAATCAGAAAAAAAAATTTTAATGAGTTTCTCTCCCCCAAAGAACTAAAAAATTTTGGACTATGAAATATTTTTTATAATGACAAAATGTGAAGTGTCCAGCAACTCCTTGACTCTTACTCCTCCAAAATAATACAAAGGTTATTTTGACGTAAAACTATGCAGAGCTATGTAATGATGTGATGATCATAACAGCACCTGTACATAGAAATATAAGAGTTCTGTAGATTTCTTTTTCTAGGGAGACGCTGACATTTTCAGATAAAGGAAGGTCTCAGTCTCTGATTATTCTGTGATTACTCCTCGTGTTTGTTGACTATCAACCTAGAGCAGCAAATTTTTTCTGCAAAGAACCAGATGGTAAATATTTTCAGCTTTCTGGGCCATTTGGTGTCTGCTGCAACTACTCAATTCCACTGATGCTGCATAAAAGCAGCCAAAGACAATACATAAATGAATGGATGTGGCCATGTTCCAATAAAACTTTATGGACACTGAAGTTTAAATTTTATATAATTTTCATGTGTCACGAAATTCTTTTTTTTTTCAGCCGTTTAAAAAATGTAGGTCAGGCGTGGTGGCTCACGCCTGTAATCCCAGCACTTTGGGAGGCCTAGGTGGGCAGATCACGAGGTCAAGAGATCGAGACCATCCTGGCCAACATGGTGAAACCCCGTTAAAAATTAGCTGGGCAGGTGTGGTGGGGCATGCTTGTAGTCCCAGCTACTCGGGAGGCTGAGGCAGGAGAATCGCTTGAACCCGGGAGGCGGAGGTTGCAGTGAGCCGAGATCGCACCACTGCACTCCAGCCTGGCAACAGAGTGAGACTCCGTCTCAAAAAAAAAAAAAAAGAAAAGAAAAAAGACCAGGTGCAGTGGCTCACGCCTGTAATCCCAGCACTTTGGAAGGCCGAGGAGGGTGAATCACCTGAGGTTGGGAGTTAGAGACCAGCCTGACCAACATGGAGAAACCCTGTTTCTACTAAAAATACAAAAAATTAGCCGGGCGTGGTGGCTTATGCCTATAATCCCAGCTACTCGGGAGGCTGAGGCAGGAGAATAGCTTGAACCCAGGAGGCGGAGGTTGCAGTGAGCCGAGATTGTGCCATCGCACTCCAGACTGGGCAACGAGAGCGAAACTCCATTTCAAAGAAAAAAAAAGAGAAAAAGAAAAAAGAAAAAAAATGCAAAACCCACTCATGGCTCCTGGGGCATACAAAAGCAGGTGACTGACTGGCTTTGGCCTGTGGCTGTAGTTGGCAGACCCCGATCTAGAGCAGTGGTTTTCAAACTTGAGAGTGTATCCCAATGCCCTGAAGGTTTTATAAAACAAAGCTGGCCAGGCCCCAGGCCCAGAGGTTCTGATTCAATAGATCTGGGATGGGGCTCAAGAATGTGCATTTCTAACAAGTTCCCAGGGGATGCTGCTGTTGCTGCTGCTGCTGTTAGGGTGGGGACCACACATTGAGAACCATCTGTCTAGAGCAGGTATATCCTATCTTTTGGCTTCCCCGAGCCACATGGGAAGAAGAAGAATTGTCCTGGGCCACATATAAAATACACTAACACTAACCATAGCTGATGAGCTAAAAAAAAAAAAAAAAAAAAAAAAAAAATCGCAAAAAAATCTCATAATGTTTTAAGAAAGTTTACAAATTTGTGTTGGGCTGCAGGTTGGACAAGCTTAGTCTAGAGGCTGATACTTATGTCCCTGTCCTGTCTAGGCTTTAAAAGACAAACAGAATGGACACTGGTAGTAGCATCCCATGTATACTTGCAGAGATTAGAGAAGGAATTTCCCCCTTGCTTTCATAACGTTAGGCCACAGACGGGTAAAAACAAGCCCAATGTGGATCTGTGGTCTCTCATCTGAAATCCTGGGGACCATGTATAATTTGGAACTTTGAATTATCTGGTCTTAAGTATATGGGGCATATACCACATAGTGACACCTAGCAAGGTAAAGGGCAGCAATTCATAGTTAAACATATTAATATGACCAATCACGCTAAGTGATATTTTAAAAAGATTATAAAGTAGCCTCTCTCCAGTTCAGGTCAGGTTTTACTGGCAAATGAGTTATGAAAACTTGATAGTCTTAAATTTTGGTCATTCTACAATTTCAATTTCTGAATTACAGATAAGAGACTTTAGATCTACACTCTTAGAAAAGGAAATGTATTTTTCTTTACTGTTCTTCTTACCTGCTTTTAGAACTCTTCATCACCACATGAAATAAAATGGTTGAGATTTGGAAATAATGACAAATCATGAAAATAAAAACGTGAGCGGGGCAGAAACTTATCTCAATCTGGGCAAGCTTTTGATTTTCAGAAGCTTACAAAAATAATGAACCATCAGAAGTAGAAAGTGGTAACTCTCAGAGCTTAGAAAATGAAACTGGTTAGGAAAAGTTCCATGTGATTTAGTTCAATGAATTTAGTTTGTCCTCCACCTCTACCCCTGGTTCATTTACTAAAAATAAATTTTTTTTGTTTTTGTTTTTCTTTTTTTTAATTCTGTTTATTCCTCCAGAAGACCCTAAATACAGACATTATAACAAATTTGTTTTAATATCATACTCATGTTTATTCTCCTTCTGCTTGCTTTTCACAAACTGATAATACTAACAGTGTAGATTTAGGAAAGTTCAGCAGCTTTTGTCTCAATTTGCCAAAAAAAAAAGAAAAAAGCATTTAAAAGTAAATGGACTTTTTTTTTTTGAGACAGGGTCTCACTCTGTCCCCAAGCTGGAGTGCAGTGGCACAATCTCGGCTCACTGCAACCTATGCTTCCTGGGCTCAAGCCATTCACCAGCCTCAGCCTCCTGTGTAGCTGGGACTACAGGCGTGAGCCACCAACGCCCAGCTAATTTTTCTATTTTTTGTAGATACGAGGTTTCACCATGTTGTCCAGGCTGGAAAAGTAAATTGACTTTAAAAAAAAGTAAACTGGTTAATATTTAAACTACTGCTTGAAAAGAAATGTAATACACTACTCTCATTAATAAACCAACTTTTAAAACTTTTTATATACCTACAAAGTGACTTTAATTTTGTAAAATGTACTAAGTATTGTTTGCTTACATTCCCCCTCCCCACATTTTCTTTTCCCTATGAAATTCCTCCCAAACCTTTCTCCCCATAGCTTCAAAATTTTAGGAAATATTACATCGTGACTGAAACATGCCTTTTCACTTGTCTTACTAACATGGAAAAGCCAACTTACTCCTTGACTTTTCATCATGGCAGCAGTTTACTTATTTTAGGTTTTCTGCAGTCAGACCACACATACAATGCAATTTCTTCCTCACACTTAGGATTTCATTCTTAAGAAGCCAGTTTGACCTGTGCAACAGCGCCAGACGACACACAGATGTTTGCTCAATAAATATTTGTTGAATTAATGAAGGAAGGAAATAGAAATTCTTCCTAATTCTATTGATATTGACTGAACATTCTTATTACTATTAAAATTTTTTTTAAATGAAAAGGTATCAGTATGTTGCCCAGACTAGACTCAAACTCCTGGGCTCAAGTGATCCTTCCACCTTAGCCTCCAGAATAGCTGGGACTACAGGCATGCACCATCGTGCCCGGATAACTGAACATTTTAAATAATTCTTTGCAAAGAAATTTTAGCCAGGGCAGGCGCGGTGGCTCACATCTGTAATCCCAGCACCTTGGGAGGCCGAGGTTGGTGGATCACTTGAGACCACGAGTTTGAGACCAGCCTGGCCAACATGGTGAAACCCCGTCTCTACTTAAAAATAAATAAATAAATAAATAAATAAATAAATAAAATGAAAAAATAAACTTAAGAGTTTTTTTTAAAAAAAGCTTTAGCCAGATTCCATTTATTTTAGGTTGCTTAATCATAAATGAGTAACCTCAAACACCATAGACCAGCATTAGAATAGTAGCTAAACTAGCAAGTTCATTTCTGTAGGTTTTGTGATTTCCTGTTTTTCCATACTCCCAAAAGGCGTTTTCCAAAAACACAACTTCACAATTGAGGCACCCAGGGATCCTAAATGGTTAAGAGATCTATACGTTCTTGAGACTTGTTTCCTGAGGGTCAAACTGATTTTTCCAGCATGGAGAAAACACAGGACAGCCAGGTGCGGTGGCTCACACTTGTAATCCCAGCACTTTGGGAGGCCGAGGTGGGCGGATCACGAGGTCAGGAGTTCGAGACCAGCCTGGCCAATACAGTGAAACCCCGTCTCCACTAAAAATACAAAAATTAGCTGGGCGTGGTGGCAGGTGCCTGTAATCCCAGCTACTCGGGAGGCTGAGGCAGGAGAATCACTTGAACCCAGGAGACAGAGGTTGCAGTGAGCTGAGATTGTGTCACTGCACTCCAGCCTGGGCAACAGAGCAAGACTCTGTTTGAAGAAAAAAAAAAAAAAAAAAACACAGGACAAGCCTAGATAGTCTGTCCATTGTAGATAAATGATTCTTTACAAGGGATCCAACAACTATTTATCAGCCTTTTTTTTTTTTTTTTGAGACAGATTCTCGCTCTGTCGTCCAGGCTGGAGTGCAGTGGTGTGATCTCGGTTCACCGCAACCTCCACTTCCCGGGTTCAAGCAATTCTCCTGCCTCAGCCTCCCGAGTAGCAGGGATTACAGGCATGTGCCACCACGCTTGGCTAATTTTTGATTTTTAGTAGAGACGGGGTTTCTCCATGTTGGTCAGGCTGGTCTTGAACTTCCAACCTCAAGTGATCTGCCCACCTTGGCATACCAAAGTGCTGGGATTACAGGCGTGAGCCACCACGCCTAGCTATCAGCCTTTTTTAATTTTTTAATATCAACCCTTGCTGGAATTTTAGAAGAAACAGAGTAGTAATAACTATAGTACAGCGTGAACCATTCTGATGAAAGACACACAAGGAAAAATTATTTAGATAACAAAATAAAATCTCTCTTCTGCAAAGTTAAGTCCTTCACAATGCTGTACTAGGGTTCAGTCACGAGAATTTACCATGTGCCAGAGATGGTACAAGATGCTAAGGACACAAAAATAAATAGGACATAATCCATGTCCTCAGGTAGTGTTTAATTTAGGAGAATGGCTGCTACTATTCTGAATATGAGAAAATGAGCTTGATACAAATCACAAGAGACTCCAGATTGCTCAGTTTGGTTTTTTAATCCTTACGTCAGCAAAACAGAAGGGGAAGAGTCACTACTCATCCAAAACAGTATATACCAAACTTGTCTGATCATATGAATGTCAAGGGGCTTGTTAAAATACAGATTCCCAGAATTATCTCCTGGAGAAGGTTAGGAACTGGTTCTCTACTCGATTCACATGAGCAGGCAACTTTTGGAAACATGATCTAGAAGAAAGCTAAGACATGCAGTAACTCCCTCAAAAAGTTAGAACATTTCTAGAAAATGTAACTTATTAACTGGTTACAGAAAGGGCTGAGCTGCCAAAGAATTTCTTCTGCAAAGCCTTGTCTCAGCAGAAACAACGGGGGAAGACTCATCTTTTAGGCTTCAAAACGAAGTCACATTTGGCAGTGTCCAGGAAGCCAGGATCCTTGCCCACAAGGAGCTCAGTTTCCTTTTTAAAGAGGTGAGAAGGATTCCAAATAGAGAAAAACGTTCAAACATTTGAACCTAAAGTCAGGGAGTCGGTGATCAGTTTGATAACATGGGCAGCACTGTTTGGTGACCAAACAAAATATTATAGAACAGAAAATGTCTATTATCTAACCTATCTGCTCCTCTGTGTCTGAATGCAGACATAGAGTGATGACTATGAGTTACCTTCAATCATCTCTGGAAGGAGGCAGAGCATCCAAATAAATAAAGTAAATAAACAAATAGTAGCTATCATGGTTTTAAGGCAGAATGCAACATATAATGGAAATGAACCTGACAATGGTGACAGATGTCAACGAGATAGTTGCAAGGCAGGTTTAAAGTTTAAAGGTTTGGGAGGCTGAAGCAGGTGGATCACAAGGTCAGGAGTTTGAGACCAGCCTGGCCAGCATGGTGAAACCCCGTCTCTACTAAAAATACAAAAAATTAGCCCGGCGTGGTGGTGCATGCCTGTAGTCCCAGCTACTTGGGAGGCTGACGCAGGAGAATTGCTTGAACCCAGCAGGCAGAGGTTGCAGTGAGCCAAGATCGTGCCACTGCACTCTGGGAAACTGAGCGAGACTCCGCCTCAAAAAAAAAAAAAAAAAAAAGTTTAAAGGTAAGGTGGAGGGAGAAATGGTGTATAAACGAACCTTGCTCTTTCCCACCTGTGCAAAAACACACGGTAGATGCTACTACATGAAAAAGAAATCAGATTAAAAGCAGTTAGGAATCAAGCCACAAAACAGAGTTAATTCCTAAAATGAGAGTATCAGAACTTCTTTTTGAAAATTTAACACTACCCTCACCCATTTTTAAAGGCAGATGATGTCATACTTTGGTGCACGGCCAAAGGACAAAGAACAAGTGTATGCAAAGAGATGGATGGATATGTCAGGAAGTCCGAATATATTCTACAGTAGACTGCCTTCAAACAAAGACATGCAGTGGAAAAAACCATTTGAGTCTGTATTTTTCAGTAGTTCTAACAACACCAACCACTTTCCAATGTCTAATAAATCAACTTAACTTTGCAAATGCATATTTAATTGATGAGAACTTTTGGTCAGACTTTAGAATGCTGGTAAAAGTTGTGAGACTTAAGCAAAACAACTACTCAAAGTTTGAAAGGCCAGTGTGGATGAAAAAATTCAGGTTATCGCCGGGCGCGGTGGCTCACGCCTGTAATCCCAGCGCTTTGGGAGGCCGAGGTGGGCGGATCACGAGGTCAGGAGATCGAGACCATCCTGGTTAACATGGTGAAACCTTGTCTCTACTAAAAATACAAAAAAAAAAAAAAAAAAATTAGCCGGGCGTGGTGGCGGGTGCCTGTAGTCCCAGCTACTCTGGAGGCTGAGGCAGAAGAATGGCGTGAATCCGGGAGGCGGAGATTGCAGTGAGCCGAGATCGCGCCACTGCACTCCAGCCTGGGCGACAAAGCGAGACTCCGTCTCAAAAAAAAAAAAAAAAAAAATTCAGGTTATCTCAATTTCTGTGCAACAAGCACAGAGCACCATCATTTCAATACACAAAACCCTCAAAGATGACATCCATTGATAAGGCATTAGTTTAAAAGCTAAGCAGAGGTTTTAAGTTCCAAGAGCAGTATGTCCCAGGACATAACTCAAATACACCTATCAGGAAACATTTTCATTGTGCATAGCAACTGGAAAAACTGTTCAAATGCACATTTGCAAAGACCCTAACAACCCAAGGAAAATATTTTCCACTTTTTATTTTTAAAGCACCCAGGTGTTTCTGTATTGTAAAAGCCTCAAGGATAACTTCTGACATTGCAAATGCCCTAGGGGTGGACATTGAAGGATTACTGATTTTTTTTTCAAAGCAACTCCTACAGGTGGATCATTCATTGCCCCCATGAAGTAACGCAGTACGAAAAGAAGCAGGCTCAAGCCATGCTCAGATAAATTCACGGATATCTGATGTACAATGGGCTAATTACTGGGAAGAGACCCGAATTCATTCTTAACTTTTTGAGGTCAACTTTAGGAAGCAGTATGGAGTTGCAGCGAAGGGATTAAGGACCTGGAGGCTAGCAAACTATCCTTAGCTCTACCTATTAATTAACTATGTGACCTTTGGCAAGTAATTTCACCTCTCTGTGCCTCAGTTTATTATCTATAAAATGAGTGGGTTGACCTTTACCACAAAATCCCTTCCAGCTCTAAAATTTGATGAAACAACTTAATGGAGAACAAAATACAATGCGTTCTGCAAACTGTTTCTTTGAAGCCTTAAAGACCACCAAGAAGTACACGGCTCAGGCATCTCCAATTAAGTCTGGGCCAATTCTCTGGGTGTCTGGTACACAACCAACCGACTCCTTACTTGCCCTGCACCGTTTCTGTTTCACTGGGCATTCAAATCCATGGATCTCATCTGTGGTTTGGAAGGCTGAGCAGATAACACCCTCATTTACACAAGAAACTTAGGCGTAGGGCTTAAACGTCCTGTTTAAAGTCTCAATCGGTAAATGACAAAGTCTACTTGACCTCATTGCTCTAAAAAGGGGGGTGGGGGGTGGGGATGCCGGGGAGGCGCCGACAGCCAGTTGTTCTGGGATCCCTGAACAGCAAACGCTCCCGGGAAAAGGCCTCAAGCCGACTACTGGGTTCAAATCTCTTGAAGGTCAGGTCGGCATGGCTGAGCCAATTCCTCCGCTTGCAAGACTCAGGGTTCGGAGTCTGCCAATTTGGAATTCACGTGACTATGTGTTAAGTTTCTCGCGGGGACGCGGGGGTAGAGGGCTGCAAGGCACAGGGAGCCTAAGGCGCCAGGCCCTCGGACTTGGAGGTTGCCTGGAATGGGTCAGTCACCTGGGAGCCGGTTCCTCTGCCTCGGGCTTCGGACGCACACGGTCCGCACCAAGGGCACCAGCTTCTGCTTCAAAGCACCCGCCGCCAGGCCTCCACACCGGAACATTTCGGCGACCGCTATTCGGGACCTCCTCCTTCCCTTTCCTCTCACGCACGACCGACGGGTCAAACACCGTGAGCCCCGGCCAGCTCCCCCAGTCTCTTCACACGCACATTACGCAGACTCCTCCTCCCAGCTCCGGGTGGGCATTGGACAGAGAAGCCGGCCTGCTAGAGCCGGGGAAGGGGAACGGCGACCGGAGGCCTACTGCGCAGGCGTAGCACTCGCTGCCGCATTGCGATTGGTCCGCACGGCGAGAGGATTTGCGCATGCACTAGCTGGCCGCAAGCTCGCAAAGACGCTGGCTCTAGGTAGCCGGTTTTCGCGAGTTTGTGGCACAGTGTTGGACTGAACGAGTTAAGGAACCTGTTCAAGGAGGGACTCGTGGGGCCGCTTTGATTGGCGGTTGTGCCTGGTGCTGCCGCTGTGTTGGTGACGAGAACTGATAACAGCATCTCACAACAGCGTAGCCCCGGCATCGCACTTTGTTTTTTGGTTTTAGGACACCAGTTACTTGATACCGAAGCCTTCCTGATTCTTTTGCAGTGATCCAGATCCAGTTTTTCCATGAGTCCGAGGCGCGGAACCTGGCTTCCCAGATCCGGCGTGTACTTCCATCTTTTACCAGTTGCCGGCTCTTTCCCACCCAACCCGTTTCCTGGACAAGTAATTCTGCGCTCTTCTTCCCGCCTGTCACCTTTATTTATTAGTTCAGTTGTGTGTCCTAGATGCTGTATACCAGGTGCTACAGATACACACAGTCTCCTGCTGTGGTTTCTGTGCTTGGGAGCAGGATGTTAGCAAAAAGCGTTCGTGCTTCTCGGACTTTCTGGGAAGAGAAGTCTGCTAAGCAGAACTTTCAGTTATGGGAGTAGGGTGAGGGGCTGAGTGTAAATAAGTGTTTTGACTCTGCCAGATATAAGCTAAATTGGAAATAATGTTTTGGCTGCATGCAGAACATACAATGTGCCTGTTTCAAAGATTCAGCTTACATATTCATTTAACAAGTATTTATTGAGCACTTACCTCTTGGATTGTACTATAAAAGGGGCTCTGTTGGGTATGAAAAGTACGGATGGTCCCCGACTTACCCCTCACAATGGTTCGACTTACAATTTTTCGACTTTATGATGGGTTTAATGAGACCTAACCCCATGTCAGTCGAGGAGCATCTGGACTTAAGCATGGTTCAACTTACGGTTTTTTGACTTTATGATGGGTTTATCAGGGTATTAAATGCAGTTTCGACTTAACGATATTTTCAGTTTACAATGGGTTTATTTGGACATAGCATCTATATAGGAAGTGGCCACTGTCTAGTTGGGGAGATGACATATACCGGTCATTGAAATAATATCTGGTGTAGTGCCGGACAGAGCAAGAGAGAAGACTATGGGATGGAATCACTATGGTAGAACTTCGTGTAAGAAGTTATTTGAGTTGTGTCTTGAAGGATGAGTAGTAAAATTCAAACAGTAGAGGAAAAGGATTGATATTTCAGATGGTGAATACTTTCGGACCAAAGATAACATTTTTCATTGTTAAACATGTTGACCTTGGATCCAGACCAACCCACATTGAATCCTGGCTCTGCCACCTGGGCAAGTCACTTAATTGTGCCTCATTTTCCTCATCTACAAATCTCAGGAGGGTGTTCGGAAGACTAAATGAGCTAATATTTGTAAAGTGTCTTAGAGGAAGCACCATGCTGTTTGTTAAATGAAAAGGCTTGGAACTGTTTTAAAAAACCAAAACCCAGCACATTTTCGGGGGACAATGATAGAGAGTACATACTAAGAAGTATTGATGTGGTCAGGCTCCGTGGCTCATGCCTGTAATCCCAGCACTTTGGGAGGCCTAGGCGGGTGAATCACTTTAGGTCAGGAGTTTAAGACCAGTCTGGCCAACATGGTGAAACCCCGTCTCTACAAAAAATCCAAAAATTAGCCGGGCGCCATGGCATGCGCCTGTAATCCCAGCTACTAGGGAGACTGAGGCAGGAGACTCGCTTGAACCTGCCAGGTGGAGGCTGCAGTGAGCCAAGATTGTGCCACTGCACTCCAGCCTGGATGATGGAGCAAGACTCTGTCTCCAAAAAGAAAAAAATAAAGAAGTAGTGATAAAGACAGGCAAGTATGGTGGGGGGCCAGATTTGAACTGGCAAGAGTTGGGCCCTAACTTTGGAGGTAATGAAGTTACTTTTTTTTTTTTTTTGGTGGAATGGGGATAGAGAATGAAATTACAGGGCCGGGTGCAGTGGCTCATGCCTGTAATGCCAGTACTTTGGGAGGACGAGTGGGAAGATTGCTTGAGGCCAGGAGTTCCAGACCAGCCTGAGCACATAATGAGACATCATCTCTACCATTTTTTTTTTAAATTAGCCAGGCGTGGTGGTATGTGCCTGTGGTTCCAGCTACTCAGGAGGCTGAGATGGGAGGATCACTTGAGCCTAGGAGATCGAGACTGCAGTGAGCAGTGATTGCTCCCGTGCACTCCAGCCTGGATGACAGAGCGAGACCCTATTTCAAAAAAGAAAAAGAAAGAAATTACAAAGATACTCTTTTTTTTTTTTTTTTTTTCTTGAGACGGAGTCTCCCTTTGTCACCCAGGCTGGAGTGCAGTGGCAGTATCTCGGCTCACTGCAACTTCTGCCTCCCAGGTTCAAGCAATTCTCCTGCCTCAGCCTCCCGAGTAGCTGGGATTACAGGCAGATGCCACCGCGCCCTGCTAATTTTTCTATTTTTAGTAGAGACGGGGTTCCACAATGTTGTCCAGGCTGGTCTTGAACTCCTGATCTCAGGTGATCGCCCGCCTCGGCCTCCCAAAGTGCTTGGATTACAGGCATGAGCCACCTCGCCCGGCCTACAAAGACACCCTTCTGTGAAGTTTAACCCAGGAAGTAGTTTTGTTTTTTGGTTTTCTTTAAGAGACAGTCTCATTACGTTGCCCAGGCTGGTCTTGAACTCCTGGGCTCAAGCAATCCTGCTGCCTCAGCCTCTCAAAGTGTTGGGATTACACGTGTGAGCCACTGTGCCAGGCCTAGGAAGTAGTCATTATGTGGTGAAGATGATCCAGGGCTCCCTTACCCATTAAGCAGAGTAGATCAGTGTTCAGAAGTGCAGGCAATGGGTGACATTTTATCTAGAGCTCCTTTGGATAAATATTGAAAATATGGTCAGGCTCTGTGGCTCATGCCTGTAATCCCAGCACTTTGGGAGGCCGAGGAGGGTGGATCACTTTAGGCCAGGGGATAAATATTGAAAGTATCAATTCCAGGCCGGGCACGGTGGCTCATGCCTGTAATCTCAGCACTTTGGGAGGCCAAGGCGGGCGGATCACGAGGTCCGGAGATCGAGACCAGCCTGGCTAACACAGTGAAACCCCGTCTCTACTAAAAATACAAAAAAATTAGCCAGGCGTGGTGGCGGGCGCCTGTAGTCCCAGCTACTTGGGAGGCTGAGGCAGGAGAATGGCGTGAACCTGGGAGGCGGAGCTTGCAGTGAGCCGAGATTGTGTCACTGCACTCCAGCCCGGGTGACAGAGCGAGACTCCATCTCAAAAAAAAAAAAAAAAAGTATCAATTCCAAAGTAAGGTAAAAATTATTTATATTTACTTAACATTTTAACAGCCTTGCATTGATTTTTATTGATATTTGTAAAAACCAATAATCATGGATTGATTAAATACAAAGTTAATTATATCTGATGGCAAAAGAGACTGGAAAACACTGTCAAAATCATGATAATCAGGTACCTATGAAAACAACTGCATGTATTTGAAAGTAATTTAATAATGCACAATTAACACAAAGGGCATTGTACAGTACATTTAATTTTTTTACAATAGGTACAATAAGGTAGTTTTCCTGTCCTTTTAATTAAAAATTATATTTTTATCTTTTTTCAAAAGCAATATATACTCATTGAATTAATTCCAAAAAATATAAGTGGAAATCCCCCAAAGTCTCACCCCACAGAAGTAACAGACACCTTTTATTAGGGCAAGAAGCCCATTTTGAGATATCATATTTTCAGAAATCAAAGTTTCTTCCTTACAAAAGTAGACTCAGTGACAAGTTTTTGCTAGAAGCTTACATTGAAATAATCTTATTATGTACATATGTTTTTTTAATATCTCTCAGGAAGTTAGCATTAATTCTAGCTGTGAATTGGCAAAGGGCAAAGCCCCTTTCTACTTTGTGTACAGGATGTACCTAATTAATAGTTACCCCTCTCCACCTTAAAGCTATTCTGTAGATAAAGATCATCAGGGGCATTAACTTCCAATACAGAGGGGAACGATCCAGCAAACTAGGCATCAGACTAATCAAAACCAAAAATACTGTACAATGATGATTGATACATAATACAATGAAAATTGGTATTCATAAGGATGATTTTGGATTAGCCAACTAAGAGGAAATCCTTATCTGGGTAGTTTTAATGCTGAGTAGTATAATGTAGGGTTTTAGAAATGGGCGACCCACATATATGATAAAAGGGTTAGCTGTAAATATATCTGCTAGCTCAGCTAATAAACTTATTAACTGGAAGATGCCATTCTGAGTAACTTGGACGTCCTTGAGTAGTCACATTCCAATTTGCTTTCAGGTATATCACTGATGCACTGAATTGTTTTTCTCTCAGCAGAAATGGATTTGGTCATGTTTGTCTCTTCCTGCAGCTCAACCTCCCAAATAAGATGGCAGCTCAACTGTGCTGTTTGAATCCCTGACCTTGATGGCATTAGCAATAACTCACGAGTCAGTGCTAGTGACATGTGTCAGTGTTACCTTAGCTTATGAAATATGTAGGGGGAGAGGTAAAGTCTTAAAAGAAACAAATGGGTGCACTTTATCGTATGTAAATTGTACCCCCAGTAAAGTCGATTTCAAACAAATTCTGAACCCGCGAATGACTTTAGGGAGAAGGAATACTGGTCTTGACCAAGATGTGTGTGATGATTAGTAAGCTTTGGGCAGCAGCCCCCTAATACTGTAAGGAGGTTGTGTTCATTTATCATCTTCCAAGCATAATCTAGGCTTCTGGCAAATTAGACCCAACCACTTTGTTCTACATTCAGCTGCAGGGGGAGGTGAACCCTCCTAGGGATTCCCAACTCCCTCTGAAACTCCAGCGTTCTGGAGGGACTTATGGTTATATGGAGGGCTTGGGAATGGAAGGCACTGTGGAGCTTATGCCATTGTCCCAAGATCCTCCACCTGGGCCAGTAATGGCTAGCCCCGTAAACAAAGTCCCCTTTTGCTGGAACTGCCACCACTAGCTTCCCCCCCTTCTCCTAGCCTCTGTGTGGCCCTCTCCCGCGGCGGGCCTTCCCCATTGGCCAGCCAAACACAACCGACTGCGGCAGCCAATAGGAGCCGCTCTCCTGAACATTCAGAGGATGGGTGCGCGTGGTGTGATAAGGGGATGTTGGCGCCTGGTACGCGCCCCCCTACATCTGGCAAGTCTGTAACAGAAACAGTTACACCCCCTACACACGCACACGCGTGCCCGCTGGCTCCCTCCTCTCAGCTGTACAGGCCCCGGACAACCCACTGCGTGTCTTGGCAGCGGCCTCCCAGGCTGCCTGGGGCCCGCGAGTGCACCTGCTCACTCATTAAGACAGAGCATCCCTTTATCCCAAGGCGCGGGTCGGGTAGAGGGTGGGGGTAGAGGGGACGGGGTAGCGGGGACCGGGAAGGCGCGGCTCAGCTGCCCGCTGCTCCCGAGGTGAAAGAGGTGCCTCCGCCCCCACCCCATCCCCGCAGAGTTGCGTTGCTCCAGGGAGGCCGAAGTGATCCAGTGATGTCTTAAGGTGCAGCTCTTTGTCCTCCCCAGCTGTGCTCCCTGCCCGCTGACCCCGTGCGCTCGAGCCAGTGGGGGTGGGGAGCCCGAAACCTATAACATAAACGGGGGCAAGGAGAAAGAAGTCTATCCCGGGGTGGCGTGTGCCGCTGTCCCCACCCCGTCTCTTTCCTCCTGAGGCTTCTTCCCTCGGGTCCGTCCCGGGAATGCAGGCAGGGGAGGGTGTGGGCCGAGGCGCGGCGGCGGCTGGAGCAGCGCGGTAGGGTCCTTCGCCAGAGCATCCGGTCCGAGGGCGCACACAGGCAGAAGGCTCGCGGCTCGTCCACTCTCCTCCCTCTCTCCTCCTCTCCCTGGCTTTTGTGTTGGTGCCTCCGAGCTGCAAGGAGGGTGCGCTGGAGGAGGAGGAGGGGGGCCCGGAGTGAGAGGCACCCCCTTCACGCGCGCGCGCGCACACGGTGCCGGCGCACGCACACACGGGCGGACACACACACACGCGCGCACACACACACGCACAGAGCTCGCTCGCCTCGAGCGCACGAACGTGGACGTTCTCTTTGTGTGGAGCCCTCAAGGGGGGTTGGGGCCCCGGTTCGGTCCGGGGGAGATGGCGCAGCCCATCCTGGGCCATGGGAGCCTGCAGCCCGCCTCGGCCGCTGGCCTGGCGTCCCTGGAGCTCGACTCGTCGCTGGACCAGTACGTGCAGATTCGCATCTTCAAAATAATCGTGATTGGGGACTCCAACGTGGGCAAGACCTGCCTGACCTTCCGCTTCTGCGGGGGTACCTTCCCAGACAAGACTGAAGCCACCATCGGCGTGGACTTCAGGGAGAAGACCGTGGAAATCGAGGGCGAGAAGATCAAGGTGATCCAGGGGGTCAGGTCCAGGAAGGGTGGGACCCGGGAGGGGACCTCGCCCGAGGCATAGCTCTAGCGGTTGTCGTCGTCCAGCGTCCAGCGCGTGGCGGTTTCGCCTCTTGCTGAGCCGAGGACCCTCGGCTCCTCCTCACCCCTTTTCACCTCTCTCAGCGGGGCCCCGTCCCCACTTCACTCAGTTTTTTAGGGCGGTTGAGAATGGGGTTGCATTCTTACCCTTAGCCCCTGCCTGACAGGTCCTGCCAGGAAAAGCATGTTGGATTCCCATCCATGACCCCTACCCCGAGCAGCGGCACCTGTGGGCAGAGGGAGGCAGGAGGCATCTGTGGGTCCTAGTCTCTGGGATGGATCCCAAAGCACTTTACACATCCTGATGTCTCTTCTACTGCTTGGGTGCCGATAGGCTGCAAAACCCCACTTTGGCTAAGCCTCAAGGCGTTAGAGGGAAGGAAATGATGGAAATCCATGGAGAATGAAAAAGCTGCTTTATTTTAAATTGCAGTTTATAGTTAAAAAATTAGGGCTGAGTTGAGATGGCGGTGGAGTGGGGTGGTTCTGGCAGAAAGCCATGAGCCCTTTTAAAGAAATTGAGGCAGGGTCCAGCCCTTCGTAATAGACAAAACTTGTTTTTTTGTAACAGCCCCCCTGGAATGATATCTTCTTTACTTGTCTGGGGCATCTAATACATGAACTGCTCCTTATTCATTCTGTTGGTATTGTCTTCAGGTCTTTGTAAAAATGCAGTGACTTAACCGAGGGCCAGGGGAATGTTCAATCCTCCCCCTCCATGAGTTTATGTAATAGGCTAAGTGCAAATATTCTTGTCTGACCATTTGTGCTCACCTTTAATTCAGAAAAGGTAGAAACCTGATATGACAGGAATATGTCAATGTGCAGGGGATGGCGGGAGGGAGGACATAACAAGGGCAACTTCTTGTGTCATGGGGAGCAGAGGGGGGCCTCTATAAAGGCACTGGGATCACTGAAGACAACTCCTCTAGGCTCACAGCTGGCCTTTCCTTGAGCGTATGGTTGGACCTTAGACAGAGTCAGGGGTGACAGTAAGCCTCCTTCTTGCTGGTCAAACTGCCAAAGTGACCACAAGGCCCCTCCTCTGAGTGACGTGGAGAGAAGGGCTGAGTAACTGATGAAACTGATGAAACACTTGAAACTGTGCGAGACTCCTGACTCCTTGATTATTAAAATGAACGTGTTCTAAAAATGGCTTCAGAAACTAGGCCAACTCACTAGATGTCAGGAAGATGGACAGCTCAGTACTGATAAGGGAGAGCCCCAGGGTAGGAAGATAGAACATTATTTTGAAATCGTGATCTTTTTTGCCCCTTGCATTTTGGAAGGGAAGTGCTACATTTCCTTTTAAAGTCAAAGGCGGTATCTGTCTCTGTCCTTTCCTGGGGCTGTTGACATTTGCTTGGTTAAGACTTCCTCTAGTGTGTCTAGCTTCTTTAATGTAAGGCTATAAGATTCTAGAATTTCTAAAACATGACTTTGTAATCCAAAGTAGAAATATCTTTACAGATGGGCTCTTAAACCTCAAAAACCTAATGCTCCCATTTGCTTAAAATCAAGTGCTACAGTGAGCCAAAGAGTTCCCTGGATTTAAAAGGTGGGAAATAAGTCCATCTGAAATTTAGATGGAAAAAATGAAGTGTTTGGGAATCTAAAGAAGGAGGGAGGAAGAAGCTAGAAAGTGAGGGATGACAGATGAACACGAGTGGAAGAGTCACCACCCAGTGGCCTTGAAGGAATTTTTAAACTATTCCTTCTCTTCTAACACCCCAGTACTTAGCCAAACTGGACTTTACAGTCTCTGGCAAAGATTCCAGACTTTTTCCCAGAGGGCAGAGCCTGTGACAGTGTGACTCACTAGAAACAGAGCTCAGCACAACACCACGTGCAGATAAGTGCTTAATACAGGCTTTTTTGGGGAAGATGATATTTTCAAGGGGACAAAGCCTTGTGACACTGCTCATGGAGGAGTCCTCTGAGGGCAGATTCCAAAGGAGCTCAGAGTGGCGTGTGGGAGTGGGGAGATGGTGACCCTGCTTCTTGTAAAGCTGCTGCAATCTCAGGACCATGCTGGCAGGCGAGAGACCAGCATGTCTGTGGGAAGATGGCAGAGCCTGGCGGCTAGCACGTGATCTAGATAAGAGAAGATTTGGCCTCGCACTCTGGCTAGCCTGAAGTTGTTCAAGGAATACATGCCAAAGCCATGCTTGGAGATGACTGCCAAGGGCTTCGTCCTTTGCGAGAGAGAGAAAAGTCCAGTGTGACAGTCCGAGGTCTGGCCTAGACCATGGCCAGCAATAGAAGGCTTTTGGGCTGTAACATACCAGCCCTTGGAGGAGAGTGGTAGAGAGGTCTCAGCCAGCTCTTCTCAGTCTAAGAGCAAGGGTGTGGCCTCTTCTGGGCTGCCTGCCTGTGTCCCGGGGTAGCACATACATGAACCCCTGCTAGGGACAACTGATTTGGTGTAGTTAGAGCCACACTGTAATTAATTATCAAGGCCATCCCTAGGGTATTGAAGCCCCATTTGCTGTCTCCAATCATTATGTTCCCCACCCTCACCCCATCAAAGCATTTACAATTGAGTCCTGATGAACTCAATTGTATGAACATCAAGAAAAGCCTCCAATGAGTAGGCAATAATAATAATAATAATAACAACTATGTATTGAATAAGCAAAGAGCCCAGGCTAGGCACTTTACATGCATTATCTTATTTACTCCTCACAGCAGCTTTATGAAATCAGCAGTATTGTTATCATTCCCATTTTATAGATAAGGAGACTGAGGCTAAGAGAGATGAAATAACCCAGTGGCACATGGATCTGAGCTTCAGCCTTTGACTCTTGAGCCCAAGCACTTCGCCACCTCACTATCCTACCTTTCCTGTTACAGGGCCACGATTTCAACCCAGATTCAGAGACCATGCCCTTTACCACTGCATTTCACTCTACAGGACAATATTCAGTCCCCTAGATTGGGGGAGTTTGACAGGGGGAGATAGAATGCCAGGCAGCCAGTCTTGCTCTTTCTTCTAGGCCAGGGACTTAGGGTTATAGCCCAAGGCCCCCAGGAGCCTTTCAGATGTCTCCTTCAATTTGTATCCAGGACACACAGAACTCAACTGGGTTTACTTTTTTTTTTTTTTTTTTTTTGAGAGGGAGTTTCACTCTTGTTGCCCAAGCTGGAGTGCAATGGCACGATCTCAGCTCACTGCAACCTCGGCCTCCTGGGTTCAAGCAGTTCTCCTGCCTCAGCCTCCTGAGTAGCTGGGATTATAGGCACCTGCCATGATGCCCAGCTAATTTTTATATTTTTAGTAGAGATGGGGTTTCACCATGTTAGCCAGGCTGGTCTCGAACTCCTGACCTCAGGTGATCCACCTGCCTCGACCTCCCAAAGTGCTGGGATTACAGGCGGGAGCCCTGGGTTTACTTTTTGCACCTTGATTATCTCAACTCAGGTGTGAGATGCAGAAAATGTTCAGAGATAAAAGAGATGTTACAGATTCTGTGATCCAGTGTCCTCCTCTTGCAGATAGGAAACTGAGACTCAGAGAGGGAAAGTGACTTGCCCAAGATCACACAGGGCCAGGCCTAGAACTCATGTCTCCTAATTCCCTTTCTGGTGCTCTTTCCACACATCATGCTGCCTGGCACAAAATCCTCTCTCCAGCCTAGCTCCATGGTCCATCCAACCCACAAGGCCACCTATGACAAGAATCCAGAGGGACATCATAAGAGATAGCTGACAGTCTTTCCTGACATCAGCCTAGGAAGGGTGGAGGCATCCCCCAGCCCCCAAAGGAAGAGTGGAGCTTCCCTTAATGACTATGATGTGTCTGTCACCTACAGATGTAGCTAAATTTATTGAGTCTGTCTCCTAAATGCATTGGAAAATGCCGAATAGGGGTGTGTGTGTGTGTGTAGAGAGGGAGGGTATGTAGTAGAGGGGAGGCTAAGAAACTAATTTTTGAATCATTCTTTGTATATTTGCATGGAAGCTTCACTTCTGTCTATAATAGTTTGGTTCCTCCCACAGGCTGGGCACTCCCTGTGCCCCAGCCCTGGGGACAAGACAAACTGCAGGTCAGCTGTGGCTATGGGCAGGTACAGCTCAGGACTGTGAGTTTCTGTTCCTCTACTGATCACTGGGGGAAAAAAAATACCTTCCTGTGTTACATTATCAAGTGGATGGAGGCTGAGCTAAGTGTTCCTTGGAAGCTGCCTGCAGTCAGAATGACATCATTTCTTCCTTAGGGCTTCTGAGCTTCTATCTTCTGCCAGTTAACTTAATGGTTAATTATCCATCAGTGTAAGTTTCTCTGTCTCCCTTGCTGCTTCTTTCTGTGTGTGAGTTTCTCTTTGTCTCTGTCCTCCTTTGCCATTCTCTGTGTCAGCTTTGTGTGTGGATCTTAGATGCAGATGGGACAGTCCAGCTAGTTGAAAACAGGTTTCTTTTAAACTTTTCCCATCATCCACTGGGGCATGCTCCAGAGGTTACAGATGTATTTGTCTCCTTTTTTTGCACTTCTACCCTCCCCCATCGGCCTCCAACAAAAGCACATTCATGCCTCATCTATAGAAAGATGCCAGTTAATGTTTCCTAGGGAAAAGAAATCCCCCTGTCAGCTAAGAGCACATGCAGGGGGTTGGGGGCTTGCTGAAGCTCGCCCAGAAAATAGTTCAAAAGGTTAGATATCTCTTTGGCAGTTCCCCATGCTGTGCCCCTCCATCCTCCTCCAGCACCCCATCAGTTCGGGCCTGCCCCCGGCCACCCATGGCATGTTGCCAGTATTCCTCTCTCCACCCCCTCCCCACTGGATGGCCTTTAGCTCTGTCTCACCTTCGAGAAGCCAAGCTTTCTGTGATTTCCAGGATGAGAGACCAATGGACCCAAGGAACCATACCAACAGGAGAGGGCTTGATGGCCTTTCTGAGACCAGAGCAACAACTAATATTTGCAGAGTGCTTGACATTTTCCAAAAGTCCTTTCTCATGTGTTATTTCACTGGATCATCCCAGCAACCATAGGAGGATCAAGGTCCCATTGCAGAGATGAGAAAAACAAGGCTCAGTTCAGGGAGGTTAAAAGACTTGTCTGGCATTTACTCAGCTTCTGAGCAGAAGAGCTGGGATGCTTGCTGCCTTTCCAACAGTGCTTGCTCAAGTTGTTGCCCATCTAGACTTAATGGTGGAGGTTTCAGGCCATGAAAGAAGGGAGAGTGTATATTAGGCACTGGGTCACATACTTACAAGGACTACTAATCCTCATAGCATCCCTACCTGATTACTATTGTTATCATCACTTTCCAGATGAGGACACTGAAGTCAGAGAAAGTAACTTACCTAAGGACACCTAACTTATCTAAGGACACCTAACAAGTCATGTACTAACATGACTTGGGCCGAGATCTGCACCCAAGTTGATTTGACTCCACTATACCCCATTGGCCATCTGACAGAAACAAGGATCTGGGGTACATGTATGTGGCTGTGGCTAAGAGGCAGTCTTCACCCCCATCCACTGTATGGATATGGTGCCCACAGGAAAGGAGGAAAGGGTGAGAGGAGAGGCAGCTGCGAAAGAGGAAGGAGATGCTTTCACTGCTTGGCAGGGGCCAGGGGTTTATGAAGATGCTGAGAAAGGAACACCTAACTCTCAAACAAAATGAGATCACTGCTAGGTAAGGTGGCTTGCCAGCACTTTGGGAGGCCGAGGCAGGATGATTGCTTGAGCCCAGGAGATCCAGACCAGCCTGGGCAACATAAGGAGGACCCCATCTCTATGAAATAAAAAAAATATGAAAATTAGTTGGGTGTGCTGGTGCGTGCCTGTAGTCCCAGTTACTCCGAAGGCTGAAGAGGGAGGATTGCTTGCGCCTAGGAGGTTGAGGCTGCAGTGAGCCATGATTGCACTGCTGCACTCCAGCCTGGGTGACACAATGAGATCTTGTCTGGAAAAGAGAGAGAGAGAGAGAGAGAAAGAGACCAGGCGTGGTGGCTCACACCTAGAGTCCCAGCACTTTGGGAGGCCCAGGTGGGCAGATCACTTGAGCCTAGGAATTTGAGACCAGCCTGGGCAACATGGGGAAACCCCATCTCTACAAAAAATACAAAAATTAGCCGGGTGTGGTGGTGCATGCCTGTAGTCCCAGCTACTCGGGAGGCCAAGGTGGGAGGATCACCTGAGCCTGGGGAAGTTGAGGCTGCAATGAGCCGAGATCATGCCACTGCACTCCAACCTGGGTGACTGAGCGAGACCATGTCTGATTTTTTAAAATTAATTAATTAATTTATTTATTTATTTTTGAGACAGAGTCTTGCTCTGTCGCCCAGGCTGGAGTGCAGTGGCGCCATCTCGACTCACTGCAAGCTCCGCCTCCCAGGTTCACGCCATTCTCCTGTCTCAGCCTCCCGAGTAGCTGGGACTACAGGCGTCCACCACCACGCCCAGCTAATTTTTTGTATTTTTTAGTAGAGACAGGGTTTCACCGCGTTAGCCAGGATGGTCTCGATCTCCTGACCTTGTGATCCACCTGCCTCGGCCTCCCAAAGTGCTGGGATTACAGGCGTGAGCCACCGCGCCCGGCGATTTTTTTTTTTTTTTTAATGAGATCATTTCATGTGTTTAGGGAGCCTGCCTGCTGTGATCTTCCTTTCTGATGGTTCTGAGGCCACACCACTGGTTCTTCTATTTTCTGCTGCGAGCAGCCTGCTTCCTGGCTCCCCTCTCACGACAGACACGTCTGCAAAGAACTCAGGGTGGGGTTTACAAAGAGCTGGAAGGGAGCAGTGCCTGCAGTTTAAATTCGGAGCCTCCAAATAAAAGCTTCAAGGCTCCCAATAGTGTTGGAAAGACAGAGGAGGTCTCCAGCAGAGAGGGCCCTCCTGGCAGTTCCGGCAATTTGGGCGGCATACGCAATTATGAAGCCAAAGAAAAGCCAAATGGCCAACCTCACTCAGCCTCAAACACCTCACACACTCCCACCCGTGTTCCTGCTAGTGGCAGGTATTTTTAGAGTCCTGAGCTCATGGTGTTAAAGCATCTGCCACATGCCTGAGGGCTGGTAGGGATTCAGACTTCTTCAGAGGCAAAAGGCAAGAGTGAAGACTCCTGGGGGGTGGGGGGAGTGGGGATCAGGAGCCAAGTGGTAATGATATTCCTGGGCTATGCCTGCTGTCTTCCTACTGACCTCCATTCCTCCTGTGGTCTGCTCTCCCTTTCTTCCTGTTCGGAACACCACGGAGAGGTGGAAGAAATGAAAATATTTTCTGTCTCTTGCTTGCAGAAGCAAATCAGTCTTTGAGGACTTATGTTTTTTCTGTGTGATCACAGTCAGACGTTCTCTCTGAAATCCCCTTGGCACATATCTAGGATGCCAGACTGCTTGTAGTTTTAGTGGTTCAGGCCATCACTGCCTTTTGATAATGTGTCTGCTGCTGATAATGATGATGATGACAACCTCAGTGACGAGTGTGGTCTGATGCAGAAAAAGACTGCTTACAGTCTTGCTGGAGAGATGCCAAGAGCACTGACGAGACAATTAGAAAACATAAATCTATTCAAAATGGTATGATGCAGACTCAAAGTGCAACAGAGATTCCTAAGAAAAGAGAATTGAAGGGAAGTTGGCGAAGGTTTGAGGAAGAAGCCTGAGGCGTGAGCTTAACCTTGAAGAATGGGTGAGATTTGGATAGGGCAATGAGGGGGCAGCTGATTCTATAGGGGAGGAGTGGACTAGCATGACCCAAAGTACAGAGGAGGGAATCAACCAGGTGTAGCTGAGTAGTTTGAAACCAGGTTGGGAAGGGTCAAATTATGGCAGACAGAATTCCACATGTGGAATCCATGTGATGCCACATACAGTAGAGGGCTGCAGTCGTTTCCTGAAGAGGTGAATGGCATGCTGATACAAGCAGGGATTGACTAAAGCTAGTCAGAAAGCCAGTATTCAGAGATCGGGCACTGGGGCTCACGCCTGTAATCCCAGCACTTTCAGGGGCTGAGGCAGGTGGATCGGCAGTGATTGGGCCTCCCAACATGCTGGGATTACAGGAGTGAGCCACTATACTCAGACTCCAATTTATTTTTATTTATTTATTTTTTATTTTGAGATGGAGTTTAGCTCTGTTGCCCAGGCTGGAGTGCTGTGGCACCATCTCGGCTCACTGCAAGCTCCGTCTTCCGGGCTCATGCCATTCTCTGGCCTCAGCCTCCCGAGTAGCTGGGACTACAGGCACCTGCCACCACACCCAGCTAATTTTTTTATATTTTTTGGTAGAGACGGGGTTTAACTGTGTTAGCCAGTATGGTCTCGATCTCCTGATCTCGTGATCCGCCCGCCTCAGCCTCCCAAAATGCTGGGATTACAGGCGTGAGCCACTGCGCCCTGGCCTCCAATTTATTTTTAAGTTCACTTTTTTGTTACCTAAGGTCAGGAGTTTGAGACCAGCCTGGCCAACACGGCAAAACCCCATCTCTACTAAAAATACAAAAATTAGCCAGGCGCAGTGGCACACGCCTGTTATCCCAGCTACTTGGGAGGCTGAGGCAGGAGAATCGCTTGAACCTGGGAGGTGGAGGTTGCAGTGAGCTGAGATTGCACCACTGCACTCCAGCCTGGGCAACAGAGCAACAGTCCATCTCAAAAAAAAAAAAAAAAAAAAAAAAAAAGCAAGCAAGCGAGCAGTGTTCAGGAGACCCTGCAATGGAAACATCCACAATCCAAAATACTTTGCTCTAGTCCAGGAGTGAGGAGAGGAGAGGCTGGCCGAGGGCCGAGGGACACAGAAATCAGAATAGAAGAAGGGTTCAATCTGAAGGTCTTGCCAGAGGAACTTGGAAGCTGTGTCAATAGAGGGAGATGACGGGGAGCCTGGACAATGAAAACTGATATTCGGAATGATGACTCTAGGGCCCTGTAAAATCTTCACTCAGCCGACAGATTCAATTATATTTACTAGATTATACTTACTGACTGCTAACTCCAAATAAAGGCTATACTTCGTTTTAAGAGCCATAGCAGTCAATTAGTGGCCATAATCAAATTTTCTTTGATAACTGAGAATTGTATAGGGCCTTGGGACCATCATTCTGAGCATGAATCTCCCTTGTCCAAGACGTTGGATATATAAAGGGAAATAGATTGGGCTGAATGTATATCTCCTGGGA
The DNA here is from genome assembly GCF_000001405.40 of Homo sapiens. Classification (NCBI taxonomy): domain Eukaryota; kingdom Metazoa; phylum Chordata; class Mammalia; order Primates; family Hominidae; genus Homo; species Homo sapiens. The sequence continues at coordinate 130,181,533 of NC_000023.11, forward strand.
GTTATGTCTTTGCATATGTTACAGATAGCAGCTTTTTCTTCATAATTTGGCCTTTATCCCAAAAGCTGAGATACAGAAGAAAAATCCAGTGAATTAAGTTCCTTTTACATAACCAAAAAGTGAACTTAAAAATAAATTGGAGGCTGGGCATGGTGGCTCACGCCTGTAATCCCAGCACTTTGGGAGGCTCGATCATTTGAGGTCAGGAATTCAAGACTAGCCTGGCCAACATGGTGAAACCCCATCTCTACTAAAAATACAAAAATTAGCTGGGCATGGTGGCGCACGACTGTAATCCCAGCTCCTCAGAAGGCTGAAGTGGTAGAATCTCTTGAACCCAGGATGTGGAGGTTGCAGTGAGCTGAGATCACACCACTGCACTCCAGCCTGGGCGACAGAACAAGACTCTCATCTCAAAATAATAAATAAATAAATAAATAGGGCTTGAAGGTGAGATTTTAATACTAACTTTGTTTTCTTTAAAAAGTTATTCAGGCTAGTGGCTCATGCCTGTAATCCCAGCACATTTTGAGGCCGAGGCAGGAGGATTGCTTGAGGCCAAGAGTTCGAGACTAGCCTAGGCAACATAACAAGATTCTGTCTCTACAAAAAAAAAAAAAAAAAAATATATATATATATATATATATATACACATATATATAACATATATACACACAATATATATAACATATATATGTAATATATATAACATATACACTATATATAACATATATGTAATATATATAACATATATATGCATACTTGTAGAAGAAAATATGGAAAAATATTTAAAAAGAAGAAAATAAATATCACTATAGTCTCATTGCTGATAAATAACCATTAATGTTCTGATGTGTACACTTCCAGTCTGTGCTTTGCATATGTTTATGTTTAACGTTTCTTAAAAAAAACTGGGACCATAGCATATGAAAACTTTTGAGGCTGGGCGTGGTGGCTCATGCCTGTAATCCCAGCTCTTTGGGAAGCCGAGGCAGGCGGATCACCTGAGATCGGGAGTTCAAGACCAGCCTGACCAACATGGAGAAACTCCGTCTCTACTAAAAATATAAAATTAGCCGGGCGTGGTGGCACATGCCTGTAATGCCAGCTACTCAGGAGTCTGAGGTGGGAGAATTGCTTGAACCCAGGTGGCAGAGGTTGCAGTGAGCCGAGATCGTGCCATTTCACTCTAGCCTGGGCAACAGGAACGAAATTCTGTCTCAAAAAAAAAATAAAAGAAAAGAAAAAAGAAAAATTCTGTATTCTGCATTTTCACTTACTTGTATTTTGTGAGCGTTTCTCTTACAATTTAGTCTTTGAAAACATTATTTTTAATGGCTGCATAATATCCCACTGTACGGATATATTTTCATTTTTGTTTATTCTTTTTGAGACGGAGTCTCACTGTGTTGCCCAGGCTGAAGTGCAGTGGCCCGATCTCGGCTTACTGCAACCACCGCCTCCCGGGTTCAAGCAATTCTTGTGTCTCAGCCTCCCGAGTAGCTGGGACTATAGGTACACACCACCAGGCCTGGCTAATTTTTTTTGTATTTCTAGTAGAGATGGGATTTCACCATGTTGGCCAGGCTGGTCTCGAACTCCTGACCTCAGATGATCCACCTGCCTCAGCCTCCCAAAGTGCTGGGATTACAGGCATGAGCCACTGTACCTGACCCCACTGTATAGACATGAACTTTAGCTATTCCTTTTCTGATGAGCATTTAGGTTTTTCCTGTTTTAAAAAAATTCTCAGTGGCTCAAGCCAGTAATCCCAGCACTTTGGGAGGCTGAGGCAGGCGGATCACGAGGTGAGGAGATCGAGACCATCCTGGCTAACACAGTGAAACCCCATCTCTACTAAAAATACAAAAAATTATCCAGGCGTGGTGGCGGGCACCTGTGGTCCCAGCTACTTGGGAGGCTGAGGCAGGAGAATGGCGTGAACCTGGGAGGCGGAGCTTGCAGTGAGCCGAGATGGCGCCACTGCACCCCAGCCTGGGTGACAGAGCGAGACACGGTCTCAAAAAAAAAAATTCTAAATAACACTGTAAGATATTAGTACAGAATTTTGACCACATCCCTATTTCTTTTGTATAGATTTCTGGAAGTGAGATTTCAGGTCCTAAGAGTTATGAACATTTTTGAGGTTCTTGATAATATTGCCAAATTGCTCTCCAGAAAAGTTGACCAATTTACATCCAGTTTTTCAACTAAAAATCTTAAGATTTTTTTCAACTCAAGATTTTCAGTTAACAATCTTAAGAAAAACTTGACAAATCCTGAAACTTCTCTTTATGCTTTGATAAGTCCATTCTGCTCATCTGTCAAAGAACCACTTCCTGTGTCACGGCTTGTCACTTTTTTTATTTTTTTTGAAATGGAGTTTTGCTCTTTTTGCCCAGGCTGGAGTGCAATGGCGTGATCTCGGCTCACTGCAACCTCCGACTCCCTGGTTCAAGCAATTCTCTTGCCTCAGCCTCCCCCGTAGCTGGGATTACAGGCATGCACCACCATGCCCGGCTAATTTTGTATTTTTAGTAGAGTTGAGGTTTCTCCATGTTGGTCAGGCTGGTCTCAAATTCCTGACCTCAGGTGATCTGCCCGCCTCAGCTTCCCAAAGTGCTGGGATTATAGGCGTGAGCCACCGCACCCGTCCTGTCACTTCATTTTTATAGTGCTACAGAACCATGTTTTCTCCTCTCTGTTCATGTTCCCTTTTCTGACTCCACCTTTGGGTTTTTGTATCTTCCAGGTTCAGGTGTGGGACACAGCAGGTCAGGAACGTTTCCGCAAAAGCATGGTCGAGCATTACTACCGCAACGTACATGCCGTGGTCTTCGTCTATGACGTCACCAAGATGACATCTTTCACCAACCTCAAAATGTGGATCCAAGAATGCAATGGGCATGCTGTGCCCCCACTAGTCCCCAAAGTGCTTGTGGGCAACAAGTGTGACTTGAGGGAACAGATCCAGGTGCCCTCCAACTTAGCCCTGAAATTTGCTGATGCCCACAACATGCTCTTGTTTGAGACATCGGCCAAGGACCCCAAAGAGAGCCAGAACGTGGAGTCGATTTTCATGTGCTTGGCTTGCCGATTGAAGGCCCAGAAATCCCTGCTGTATCGTGATGCTGAGAGGCAGCAGGGGAAGGTGCAGAAACTGGAGTTCCCACAGGAAGCTAACAGTAAAACTTCCTGTCCTTGTTGAAACCAAACGATATAAATACAAGATAAATTATCACTGGAGTTTTTTCTTTCCCTTTTTTCTGTGCCTGCATAATGCTGACACCTGCTTGTTTCCATACAAATTGATATCAAAATAAAATTTGTATAGATTATCACATGGCTTTTTGTCTTGCTTTCCTCCAAGACATTCCTGATTGTGATGAGCAGAACAGGCAGTTTGCCCTACTAGAGTGATATTCTCCATGCCAGTGGCACACTCCCTACCAGCTTTCTAGGCTCTCTGAAATTCTCATCGTTTGAGTCACTTCTTCAGGACTAATTCATTCTCTCACTCAGTGTAATCAGTGGGCAGAAACACCCGGTGGGGTTGGGACACAGGCCAGATATGTTTTTCTAGAGAGCAAGTGCAGGTGGAGTGATAGAGAAGTCTTGAAAGGAGATGTGGACTCATCAGTATTTCCTAGGTTCCCTAGATATGTGCCTTGAATGTCCAGATAGACTACTCTCTCCCTATTTTCCAGTTTAAAAGTAAAAAGTATGGCCGGACGCAGTGGCTCACGCCTGTAATACCAAGACTTTGGGAAGCTGAGGCAGGCAGGTCACTTGAGGTCAGGAGTTAGAGACCAGCCTGGCCAACATGGCGAAAACCTGTCTCTACTAATAATACAAAAATTAGCCAGGCATGGTGGCACATGCCTGTAATCCCAGCTACTCGAGGGCTGAGGCAGGAGAATCACTTGAACCTGGGAGGCGGAGGTTGCAGTGAGCCAAGATTGTGCCACTGTGCTCCAGCCTGGGTGACAGAGTGAAACTGTGTCAAAAAAAAAAAAAAAAAAGGAGAGTTGGTCCAGTGGGCCCAATTACTTCCAGAATAGTTAGATTCTGCTTCCCATTTTTCACCAATCAGTCTTGAACCCTAAGGCTGTTCCGACTGTGACCCCCACCCCCATTCTTTCTTGGATGGGCAGGGCTCAAGCAACAAATATCTATCATGTCCCCAGACCTTTGCTAGGTGCTAGGGAAGAAATGTTACAAGAGGACACATTCTCTATGTTCAGAGACCCTATGATCTATTTGCAGGAACGATGTACACACTGAAAGTACGTGCAAACAAAAACTAGACAACAACATCACCAAGTGTGAGGTTGTGCCATGGGAAGTGAGAGCATTATGTATTCAATATCAGGGAGGGCTCATAGGAAAATACTTAGATTTGTTTTGTTTGTTAAATAATGTGTAAGGTTTAGATTGGTAAAGGAGAGGGAAGCGGGCAAAATCAGGGCAAAATCAGGGGGGCAGGAATGACCTTGGAAGTTGGAAGAGAGGACAACTGGGGGTCTGGCCCAAGGAGAGCTGAGCAGTGCTAACAGGAGCCGAGGTTGGGAAGGGCTTGTGCATCAGGCAGAACAGTTTGGAGACTTTTTTTTTTTTCTGAGACAGAGTCTCGCTCTGTTGCCCAGACTGGAGTGCAGTGGTGCGATCTCAGCTCACTGTAACCTCCACCTCCCGGGTTCAAACAATTCTCCCTGCCTCAGCCTCCTGAGTAGCTGTGATTACAGGCACCTGCCACCACGCCCAGCTAATGTTTGTATTTTTTAGTAGAGACAGGGTTTCACCACGTTGGCCAGGCTGGTCTCAACTCCTGGCCTCAGGTGATTTGCCTGCCTCTGCCTTCCAAAGTGCTGAGATTACAGGCGTGAGCCACCGCACCGAGCTCGGACTTACTTTCTGAGCCAATGAGAGCTCTTGGTAGTTTTCCAGCAGGAGAGTCCTATAGTTATTTCTCATACATCTGGTCTTATTATTGATACGAAAGCTCCTTGTCCAATTGTGAAAGTAACTAAAAGTGGCTAGTAAAGGCTTGTCTACAATAGCTCCAGGTGGATTTCTTTGCATGAAAGATGGTGTGCTCCTTTAGGGGTCTCTCTTGTTGGAATCCCGCTGTGAGGGGGTCTCGGGAAGACAGCTCTTGAACACTTTCCTCTGTTAGGCATATGGAGCTCTGCTCCTAGACAGCGAAGGGTAACACACACCAGATGTTCTTCCCACCCAAATAAAGAGCTTGTCTAGTCCTGCCTGGCTCATCCTTGCAGCCCTCTCCACCCCATCCCATCCCCCTCTGGCCTCAGACTCAGTTCAGCCCCCAGTGGCCTCAGACTCAGTCCAGCCCCCAGTCTGGTTCTCGTCACTTGACTTTTGCCTGGATCTCAGTCTTTGGAATCTGCCTAGCACTCCAGTTAGAGCTGCTTTTCTTACTAGTTGTCCCCATCCAACTCCCAGCCCCAGAATCTCCCCCAAAGGGCTGGGCTCCCACTGTCTGTGGATGAGCTGTGTGCTGGAAGCCTGGTTGCTATACCTCTCCCAGATGGAACATCCCACGACCTTGTCTCACACTCCAGACACTGACTCCTTGCTCAGGACACAACCTGTTGTTGTGTCGCCTTTTGGTTGCCGTCACCTGGCTTGCAGACCTAGGCTACTGCTCAGTTACTACAAGTGCATTTGTCTGTCCTAATGGGTGCATTTCAGTTTGGGTCCAGGCCCCTCTTGGTCAGGCCTCTTTCTTCAGTTACAGGGGCCAAGGATGACAACATTCCTAGTGTTATGAGCCCTCTAACCAGGATTGCCTCTGACAACTTCTAGGCTTCTAGGCTTTCTTTCCTCCCCTCCCCTCCCCTCCCCTCTCCTCCTCTTTCTTTCTTTCATTCTTTTTTCCTTCCTTCCTTCCTTCCTTCCTTCCTTCCTTCCTTCCTTCCTTCCTTCCTTTCTTTCTTTCTTATTTTTTTTTGACAGAGTTTCACTCTCGTCGCCCAGGCTGGAGTGCAATGGCACAATCTTGGCTCACTGCAACCTCCACTCCCGGATTCAAGCAATTCTCCTGCCTGAGCCTCCCGAGTAGCTGGGATTACAGGTGCCCACCACCATGCCCAGCTAATTTTTGTATTTTTCTAGAGACGGGGTTTCACCATGTTGGCCAGGCTGGTCTCAAACTCCTGACCTCAGGTGATCTGCCCACCTCGGCCTCCCAAAGTACTGGGATTACAGTCATGAGTCACTGCGCCTGGCCACCTCCTAGGCTTTTAACAAACATTCACTGAGAGCCCACTATGTGCCACTGTTCTGAATCCTGGGGTTACATACATGAACAAAGTCCTGCTCTCCTAAAGGAGACAGACACTAAACAAGAAATGAGGACCCTACATAAGCTCATTTGAGAGAGTGATAAGGACTCTGGGAGCCACAAAACAGGGTAAATGAATTGAAGGTGACAGACGTGGGGGAGGGTAACATATTGCTGGAGTGGCACAAAAGACATCTTTGAAGAGATGCCACTTGAGCTGAGAACTGAATGAAGAAAAGCAACCAGGGACAGGTGCAATGACTCATGCCTGTAATCTCAGAGCTTTGGGGGGCCAAGATGGGAGGATTGCTTGAGCCCAGGAGTTCAAGACCAGGCTGGGCAATATGGTGAGACCCTGTCTCTAGAAAAAAAAAATTAAAATTAGCCCAGTGCAATGTTGCGTACCTGTAGTTCCAGCTACTCGGAAGGTTGAGGTGGGAGGAACCCTTGAGCTGGGAATGTGAAGGCTCCAGTGAGCCAAGATCGCACTAGTGCCCTCCAGCCTGGGTGAGAGAGTGAGATTCTGTCTCAGAAAAAAAAAAAAAAGAAATAAAGAAAAGAAAAAGGGAGAAGAGAACCCCAAGCAGCAGAAACAGCAAATGTCAAGATCCAGAGGCAGGTGGTGTGACATTGGCGTGTTTGAGGGACAGAAAGGGGGCTACTATGGAGATGGCTGGAATAGAGCAAGCAAAGGAGAGAGTGGCAAGAAATAGGTAAGGCCAGGTCTATGGGGGCGCTATGGGCCATGACTGGGAGTTTTCTTTTCTTTTCCTATTTTATTTTATTATTATTATTATTATTTTTATTTGAGATGGAGTCTCACTCTGTTGCCCAGGCTGGAGTGCAGTGGCACAGTCTCAGCTCACTACAACCTCTGTGTCCCAGGTTCAAGTGATTCTCCCGCCTCAGCCTCCTGAGCAGCTGGGATTACAAGTGTACCACCACACCCAGCTAATTTTTGTATTTTTGGTAGAGACGAGGTTTCACCATGTTGGCCAGGCTCAAACTCCTGACCTCAAGTGAGGCCTTGGCCTCCCAAAGTGCTGGGATTACAGGCGTGAGCCACCATGCCCAGCCTCCTATTTTATGTTTTTGAGACAGGATCTCACTCTGTCGCCCAGGCTGGAGTGCAGTGGCACGATCTTGGCTCACTGCAGCCTCGACCTCTCAACCCAGGCAACTCCCCCCTTCCACCTCCCGAGTAGCTGGGCCTACAGGCATGTACCACCATGCCCAGATAATTTATTTTTAGTTTTTGTGGAGATGGTGTTTCTCTATGTTGTTCAGTTCGGTCTCAAATAGCTAGTGAGATCTCTTTTGCAGCCCCAGAACTGAATGATGGCAACAGCACGGTTGTATGATGGTGCTCAGGCCTCCCTCAGATTGAGGGATAGAATATGGGAATAGGCTTGACCCACAGCATACCCAGTAGAAGGGGACCCAGGAGGCCAGAGAACCATGAGACTCTTGTTTCTGTGAGGTTGGTGAGGAGTGGAGGGATTCAAAGGAAGGACAGTGCCTCCAGCATCATTTGGCATTACTGTGTCTCTGGAACTATTCATGTTGGTCCCTGCCTTTCTTCTATGGCTCCCCTTCACTATCTAGATCTGTACCTTTGGGACTTTGCCTGTGCTACAGACAAAGAACCTGGAGAAATAATTACTAACATTTGAATGCTTATAATGCACCGGGCACCGCGCTGAAACACTTTACATTCATTCACTAGCTCATTTAATGCTCCTTCAACCTTATGGAGTGGGATAATGATTTCCATTTATTTATTTGTTTGTTTGTTTATTTATTTATGTTTTGAGACGGAGTCTCACTCTGTCGCCCAGGCTAGAGTGCAGTGGCATGATCTCAGCTCACCGCAACCTCCGCCTCCAGGGTTCAAGTGATTCTCCTGCCTCAGCCTCCCGAGTACCTGGGATTACAGGTGCACACCACCACGCCCAGCTAATTTTTGTCTTTGCTTTTTTTTTTAGTAGACACGGCGTTTCACTATGTTGGTCAGGCTGGTCTCAAACTCCTGACCTTGTGATCTGCCCACCTCAGCCTCCCAAAGTGCTGGGATTACAGGTGTGAGCCACCACGCCCAGCCTCCATTTTAATTTTTTATTATTTACTTTTAGTGACAGGGTCTTGCTGTGTTGCCCAAGCTATAGTGCAGTGGTGTGATGACGGCCCACTGCAACCTCAAACTCCTAGGCTCAAGCGATCCTCTTGTCTCAGCCTCCTGAGTCGCTAGGACCACAAGTGTGTGCCACCACACTTGGCTAATTAAGAAAAAGTTTTGGCTGGGTGTGGTAGCTCACGTCTGTAATCCCAGCACTTTGGGAGGCCGAGGCGGACAGATCACCTGAGGTCTGGAGTTTGAGACCAGCCTGGCCAACACGGGAAAACCTCATCTCTATTAAAAATACAAAAATTAGCTGGGTGCGGTGGCACGCGCCTGTAGTCCCAGCTACCCGGAAAGCTGAGGCAGGAGAATAGCTTGAACCCAGGAGGCGGAGGTTGCAGTGAGCTGAGATGGCATCACTGTACTCCAGCCTGGGTGACAGAGCAAGACTCTGTCTCAAATAAAAAAAAAAAAAAAGAGAAAATGGTTTTTGTATAGAGATGGGGTCTTGCTGTGTTGCCCAAACTGGTCTTGTACCCCTGGGCTCAAGTGATCCTCCTGCCTTGGCCTCCCAAAGTGTTGGGATTACAAGAGTGAGCCACCATGCCTGGCTGATTTCCATTGTATGAACAAGAACATGGATGCACTGAGACTTAGTGACTTGTCCAATGTAGTAAGCGATGAACGGGGATCTGTCTCACGTCAAGTCTAGGCTCTTTCTATGATATTACACTGTCTTTCTAGCCAGTTCCCAGCTCTGGGACTCTTGTAGGGATGCCAGGTTTACCCCAGCCAGTTTCCCTGACCCATGGGGGCCTGGCCAGCAGGACATTCACTACCCAGGAGGCCCGTCTAGGACATTCCTCCCTGAATCAGATGCCGCAGACTGGATACCTCCAGGAAGCCCAGTGGGTTGACACTTATGTCAACTCTGGGCCAAAGGAGTCTCCGGGATGTCCTTGCCTTGGGCAGAAGCTGGGGACCACACAGCCAGCTGACTCTGCTGCCCTGCCTTTGGGGCTACAGCATCTTGCCACTGGGCCCCCCAAACTATCCTTTCCCTCAATACCTGCTCATTTGCTCAGGCCCCCGGATCCAGCCTGGGGACTGTCTTGCCAGGGTCCTTCCATCAGAGAGCCCAGGACCAGATGCTGCTCTGAGCACCACCACCTAGAGTAGTGCCAGGGAAGGATGCCCAGCCCAGAATAGCTGGAGCAGCCCCCACCCCTTGAGGGAAGCTGACTCAGCCCACCCTCAGTGCGTGCTGGGGGCAGAGGAGGGCACACAGATGTGCTGAGAGATCCCTGGAAAGCAAGGCTCAGCTTCTTCTGCAACTGTCACCAGCAGATGCAGAGAGAGGTCAGTATTTATCCTCTTGTAACACCTGAGGGGACATAATTCTTCCTTACCTTAAAGAGGCCCCTCCTTTATACAGCATCCCTCATTGCCTCACTGGAAGGGGCCTTGCTCCCTAAGGGCCTCCCTAGTCTCCTGAACCACTTCCAAGTCCCTTGAAAATCCCAGCATGATTCAAGTGGCACAGCCACATGAGTTAAAACCTTGTTCTGGGCCGGGTGCAGAGGCCGAGGTGGGTGGATCACCTGAGGTCAGGAGTTCGAGACAAGCCTGGCCAACATGGCGAAATCCTGTCTCTGCTAAAAATACAAAATTAGCCAGGCGTAGTGGTGCATGCCTGTAGTCCCAGCTACTCGGGAGGCTGAGGCAGGAGAATTACTTGAACCAGGGAGACAGAGGTTGCAGTGAGCCAAGATCACACCACTACACTTCAGCCTGGGCAACAGAGCAAGACTCCATCTCAAAAACAAAAACAAAAAACAAAAAACAAAAAATCCTTGTTCTGATTCCAAGTCCCCTTGACTTCTATGCCCCTAAGAGGCTGTGCTGGGGCAGGAGGACTGAGACAGGTTCCCAGAGATTCCCCTAGATTAGTGGTTCCCAAATGCCAGTTCACAGCTAACAGCATGAAACCAGTGAGGGACTTGTTAAAGTACAGACTCCTGGGGCCACAGCCCCCAACACTCTGGTCAGGCAGATCTTGGGGGCAGGCCCAGGAATTAATTTGTATTGTTAGAATGTCCACAGCTGATTCTGATGTGCCTCTAGGTCTGGGGTGGGGGTGGGGTGGGGACGGGGTCATTACCCCTAGGCTTCCTAGTGAGCCCTAAAATCAGAAATGACTTTTCCTGAGCCAGAGCTTCAAAACCAGCTGTATGAACCCCAGGGCGATCTGGGTAACCAGGGAACTCAGCCTGATAAAGTGGATCTTTTCAGGCCCTAAACTTAGGGTAAGTGAAACGGTTCCAGTTATACCCAACGTCCTTGGGTTGTTTCCTTGAAACTAGGAAGCAAGAGCCTCTTATCTATAAGAGACAACCAAAGATTAATCCCGAGTATAACCTGAGTATCAACCACTCTGGACACAAGGCTCAAGATGAGAGTGAGAAAAAATAGATTACATGTCTGCCGCGCGCCTCCTGCTGGTAAGACTAATTAGTGAAGGCAGGAGGCAGGAAAGTTTATCAGTTTTTTTCTGACCAGTACTGACCATTTCCCGGGATGGACGCTCAAACAGAAGGCGCTAATCCTGGTCCCAATCTGTGCATTTAGACACCTGGAACTAGAGGGGTTACTCATAAAAGGGAATGGGCTGGGAGTGCCCTGCAGCTACCTCTGCCAAATCACTAGGGCTTAACTCTCCTAAGGGGAGTCTGTGAAACCTACTAGACTGGTAGAAGGGAGGGACAGAGAGGAGACATTGAGAAACACCTCACCTGCCCAGGGAGACAGATTTTGAAGCTGGGTAGGTAGGCAGTCCTGGTAGTCTTTTTTTTTTTTTTTTGAGACGGAGTCTCCCTCTGTCGCCCAGGCTGGAGTGCAGTGGCGCAATCTTGGCTCACTGCAAGCTCCGCCTCCTGGGTACACGCTGTTCTCCTGCCTCAGCCTCCCAAGTAGTTGGGACTACAGGTGCCTGCCACCACGCCCGGCTAATTTTTTGTATTTTTAGTAGAGATGGGGTTTCACCGTGTTGGCCAGGATGGTCTCGATCTCCTGACCTCGTGATCTGCCCACCTTGGCCTCCCAAAGTGCTGGGATTACAGGTGTGAGCCACCGCGCCTGGCCAGTGGTCTCTCTTAAAGACTACCAGGATTGGCCGGGCGCGGTGGCTCACGCCTGTAATCCCAGCACTTTGGGAGGCCAAGGTGGGTGGATCGCAAGGTCAGGAGATGGAGACCAGCCTGGCCAACACGGTGAAACCCCTGTCTCTACTAAAAATACAAAAATTAGCTGGGTGTGGTGGCGTGCACCCATAATCCTAGCTACTCAGGAGGCTGAGGTGGGAGAATTGCTTGAACCCGGGAGGCAGGGGTTGCAGTGAGCTGAGATCTCGCCACTGAGATCACGCCACTGCACTCCAGCCTGGGCGACAGAGCAAGACTCCGTCTCAGAAAAACAAACAAACCCACCAGAGGGCATAGAGAGAGGCCCCTAAGCCATGATGTAGTTGAACTAGAATGAGAAATGGACCTCATAACCTGATTTGAATCTATAGGTGGTACTTAATCCCTTCCCCATCGATAAAGTAGGTACTGTGACCCTCTGAATTTAATCTTAAAGTACTGGAGAAAGTTTCAGGTACAAGCATAAATAAAAAACCTGGGCCAGGCACGGTGGCTCACACCTGTAATCCAGCACTTTGGGAGGCTGAGGCGGGTGGGTCACCTGAGATTGGGAGTTTGAGACCAGCCTGGCCAACATGGTGAAACCCCATCTCTACTAAAAATACAAAAAATTAGCTGGGCCTCGTGGCCCTTGCCTGTAATCCCAGCTACTTGGGAGGCTGAGGCAGGAGAATCGCTTGAACCTGGGAGGCAGAGGTTGCAATGAGCCAAGATAGCGCCATTGCACTCCAGCCTGGGCGACAGAGTGAGACTCCGTTTCAAAACAAAACAAAACAAAACAAAACAAAACAAAACAAAACAGGCTGACCTAACCCCTACTCACCAATTCCAGGTAGAAACCCTGGCACCTCAGATAAAGGAGAGGTACCCCAGGCATTGTTGTTCTCCCTGTCTATTTAGGGAGATCACCAAATGAGAAGGATGATATCAGACCACATCTAGTTTTCAGTCTCGATGCTTCCAACCGAAATAATGACAATTATTAATAGCAGCTAACATTTATCGAGTGCTGTGTACTACTAAGTACAATGTTATATGCTTAATGTGGACCGTCATGCTTAATCCTCACATCACAATTACCCTCTGAGGTACAGAATGATCAAAGCTTCCTGCCGAAGGCCACATGACTGCAAGTGTTGGAGCAGACTAGAACTGAATGGTCTGAACCACAATGTTAATTTCCCTTATCTTTCTCTATTTCTCTCAACCCTGAGAGGAGGATGTGCTCCTGGGCCTGAAGTTAATGGTCCCATCTCTGCTTCATTTAGGATTAACTAGTAGATTAGATGGGAGTTGATGTTAGATGCCAGATATTATTTTATTGAAATTCAAGAAAATCCTGTAAAAATGATTTTCAATTCCATTTTGCAGAGGTGGAAACTGAGGTAATTTGTCATTCAGAAAATAAATGGTTATCAGGAAGTACTGACCTGTTCACATTATAGAGCACCATTTTCCTTGCCCTGGTTTTAATCAAATCAGAGCATTTTCTTTAATGGAAGGTCTGTACTATTCAAAGCTGACTTTTGATCTGTCGACAAGTAAACAATCCTTATCCGGAGATCGACAACTTCATTCCCTTCATTCTTAGCTGAATTCATTCTTAGGTCAGGCTTGGGCCCAGAACGTGGGGGTAAGGGTTGAGCAGGCTCCTGAGGAACAAATCATCCTCCCAGGAGGGGAGGGCAAGGCAGGGGGATGGAAAGTCTAGGAACGGATGGGCCAGCTTGAACAACTGAAACTTTTAAAAAAGAGGTATTTTAGAGGAGCTTCCTGCACCATTTGAAGGATGGGAAGAAATGACCTCCAAGGTCCTTTTCAGTTCTCCATTCCTCTGAACAACAAAAATAGTGATTGTGCACTGGTTTCTATGGCCATATGCATGTTAAGACAGCTATGAAGAGAACGAAGTTTTAGGTCTCTAGATAAGGATTGTTTACTTGTCAACAGATCAGAAGTCAGCTTCGAATAGTATAGACCTTTCAGTAAAGAAAGAAGGGAAGAGGGATTAAAACCAGAGCAGGAAAAATGGTGCTCTATAGTATGAACAAGCCAGTACTTCCTGATAACCATTTATTTTCAGAATGATGTTACCTCAGTTTCTGCATTTGCATAATGGAATCGAAAATCACCTTTATGGTATTTCCTTGAATTTAGATAAAATATAAAATGTATTTTATGCATAAACATTTGTGTATTATTCCTTATCCAATTCCCCTGACATAAAGGACACTTGTAAAGAATGAAAATGGAAGATCATTCATGTAGCGCCCAATCATTCAGTTTTAAAAATGAAGCTGTGCTGAATATGTCCTTCTTTTAAATTATTCAAAACTGAGGTAACTTGACCGCAAAGCCACTTGGAAGTTACCAAGAGAACTAAATCAACTGTTTGAAATTACTTCAAATTGTGGCCTTTAAGGATTTGACTCAATCAATAAGACAACTTGTTAAGTAGCTGAGTTTTCCAAGCTTGGGGTATCTACTAATTTATCAAGGATTCTTATGTTCTGAGGCACTGAAGATTTGCTAGATAGAAATACCCTCTTCTGTTATTTTATCAAGAAAAACACTTACACAACTTAACACTTTCCTTCGATTCTATGTTATGATAATCTAGTTAGGAGAACATACTGGAGAAGATAGACGAGGGGGAAAAATGGAGATAAGGGGAAAACAGAAAAGGACGATTTCAAGATTGAGTGAAAATATCCCTACTCTCTGAGAAAGTAAGGTATTTCTCAATCATTTTAAAAGTCCTACAAAAGGAAAGAACACTTTACTACTGCTATTTAAAATTACATGTTTTTGGCCAGGAACGGTGGCTCACGCCTGTAATCCTAGCACTTTGGGAAGCTGAGGCGGGTGGATCACCTGAGGTCAGGAGTTCGAGACCAGCCTGACCAACATGGGGAAACCCCGTCTCCACTAAAAATACAAAAAAAATTAGCTGGGCGTGATGGCGGGTGCCTGTAATCCCAGCTACTCAGGAGGTTGCGGCAGGAGACTCGCATGAACCCGGGAGGCAGAGGTTGCAGTGAGCCGAGATCGTGCCACTGCACTCCAGCCTGGGTGACAGAGCAACACCCTGTCTCAAAAAAAAAAAAAAAAAAGAAAAAAAAATTACGTTTTCATATAATTAATTGTATTGAATAAGTACCCAAGATTTCATTGATTCAAGATTCCTTTATTTCTGGAAGTGAATTACTGGTAATAATGAATAAAGAAGTTTCTTTTAAAGAAGGGGTTCTTTAGCACAAAAGGAATGCTTCCCTCCAGAGCAGACAGGATTCCGTAGTAGTTTTCAATAAGGCAGTGTCATTTCGTAGTCCTTAGACAGAAAAAGCCAGAGCTACGCTCATTTCCGACATTAGAGAATTATGCCACATGTAATTGAAGCACTGTGATAAGATGTCATCCACCCGACAGTTTGAAGGAATGTACTTCAAGACCTGGGAATTATAAGCCAAAGTTATGAATAACCACAATGTTGATGGATTGCCACTAAAACTGTCAGAGAAGATTCCACTGATGTGTTGTTTCCAGGGTCTCAGCAGTAGTGATAGTAACAGCAGTAACAGAATTAACAGCAATAACAGCTGAAGCAGCAGCAGGAGTAGCAGTAACATCAGCATTGTTTATTCATTGTCTACTCTGTCACGCCAGAGCCAAACGTTATACATATATAATATACAGATGGTCCTCGAGTTACAATGGTTTGACTTATGAGTTTTTTTTTTTTTTTTTTTTTTGAGATGGAGTCGTGCTCTGTTGCCCAGGCTGGAGTGCAGTGGCGCCACCTCGGCTCACTGTAACCTCCGCCTCCCAGGTTCAAGCAATTCTCCAGCCTCAGCCTCACAAGAAGCTGGGATTACAGGCACACGCCACCATGCCCAGCTAATTTTTGTATTTTTTTTTTTTAGTAGAGACAGGGTTTCACCATGTTGGCCAGGCTGGTCTTGAACTCCTGACCTTGTGATCCTCCCGCCTTGGCCTCCCAAAGTGCTGAGATTACAGGCATGAGCCACCGTGCCCGGCCAGACTTATGACTTTTGTTGTTGTTGTTGAGACAGAGTCTTTCTCCCTCGCCCAGGCTGGAGTGCAGGGGCACCATCTTGGCTTACTGCAACCTCCGCCTCCTGGGCTCAGGTGATCCTCCCACCTCAGCCTCCAGAGTAGCTGGGACTACAGGCGTGCACCACCACACCCGACTAATTTTTGTATTTTTAGTACAGACGGGATTTCCCCATGTTGGTCAGGCTGGTCTTGAACTCCTGGGCTCAGATGATTTGCCTGCCTCTGCCTCCCAAAGTGCTGGGATTATAGGCATGAGCCACCACGTCCAGCCAACTTATGATTTTTTGACTCTACAATGCTGTGAAAGGGATACACACACCTTCAGTAGAAACTGTACTTCAATTTTTTTTTCTGGGCTAGCAATATGCATTAGGAGATTCTCTCGTGATGCTGGGCAGTGGCAGCGAGCCACAGCTCTCAGGCAGCCATGAGATCACAAGGGGTAAACAACCAAAAACACATTGTACTGTGTTGCCAGTAGAGTTTGCCCAACTGTAGGCTAATGTAAGTGTTCTGAGCACATTCGAGGTAGGCTAGGCTAAGCTACGATGTTAGGTAAGTTAGGTGTGTTAAATGCATTTTCAAGTTATGATATTTTCAATTTAGGATGGGTATGTCATAATGCAACCCCATTGTAAGTTGAGGAGCGTTTGTGTATATATATTCCTTACAACTTTGCAAGAATATCACCATTACATGCCTCTCACTGATGAGGAAGCTGAGACTGAACAAGTTCAGGTAATTTACTCAAGGCTACACAGCTGTTCAGATACAAAACCAGGATTGAAACCTAGGACTGTTATTTCGAGGCTACACTCTCTTCAGCAGCCCCCCCAGCCACCGAATATCACAGTGGTATGGACAAACAGATATTTTTCAGTGTGGAGGATTAGAAACAGTAGAAGTCATGCACAGCAGCCTCTCCAAGTTTGTTGATGATATTAAGCTTTTTCAGGTGGTCAAATACCAAACTGACAAGAATCAAACTGCAGAAGGGTTTCAAAATCAGAGAAGAGAGGTATATGAGTATGAGCATGAGGTGAACTATGGTGTGGCCAAGTATAAGGTAGCATAATATAGGGGAAATATCTTAATACTATTAGATTGGTGCAAAAGTAATTGCGGTTTTTGCCATTGAAAGTAATGGGAAAAACCGTGATTACTTTGGCACTAACCTAATATTTATAAATGACAATTACGACTAAAGTGAACCCAGGAGCATTGATAGACATTCCTTAAAAATATTAGTCTGGTGAGCTTGAGAAACCAAGAAATATAATGGTATGCTTATCTTTAGTACTATGTGCTTCAACAGTGACCCTCAAGAAAGCCACTGGGTTAGGAAAAGAGAGTTAATAGTCATTGATTGTGAAGGTGGTGTGAGGAGGCTGGAATGAAAAACTGGGTGAAGATTCGAACTATTTCTATCTGAATAAAATTAAGACAAATAAAATCAGGAAAGGTAGTCACAATGTAGCAATAATCGTAACAATGTTGGATTGCATTCCTGTGTGCCAATCACTGTTCTAAGTGGGATATACATATACTGTATTAACTCAATTAATTCCCTCAATTCTGAGTAGATGCTGTTACATGCAATTTACAAATAAGGAAAATGAGACACAGAGCCTAAAGTCACACACACAAATCTAATCACTGGTAGGGGAGGAATTCCAACCTAGGCAGTCTGCTGCAGAGCCTGGGCTCTAACCACTCCACTGCACTGCACCTGTAAGGGTGCAGAGAGGGTTTACTGCAGAGTCAGGTATTGAATCTTGGACCTTGTAATCCTAGTATTAAGACACTCTCTTGAAGCTGTTTAAACAGGAAGTAAGACTTTACAGAGTAAGAAACTCGTTAATGGATAATAGGCTGAAAATAGTAATAGTTCCAAGAAAAGTAGGTAGATTAATAAGCCAAGCATGAGTTACAGAGAAGCTAGATACGATTAAGTCTGAAACTTCTCGAGTTTGAAATCATGTAAAGTGACTGTCCGTTATGTATTCCTTAGATTTTATGAACACAATGACCATACTATTTTTCCTGATATAATTTCCAAAAATATGAAAATGATTTTTTGAGAGCCTTGCTCTGCCACCCTTGAGTGCAGTGTGTGGGTTTATTTCTGGACTCTCATTCTATTCCACTTCTCTTTTTCTACCCTGTGGCAGGACCACACTGTTCTGATTACTTTAGCTTTGTGCCAAGTGTTTTTTCTTTTTTTTGATGGAGTCTCACTCTGTCACCCAGGCTGGAGTGCAGTGGTGCGACCTTGGCTCACTGCAACCTCCGCCTCCCGGGTTCAAGTGATTCTCCTGCCTCAGCCTCCCAAGGAGCTGGGATTACAAGCGTGTGCCACCACACCAGGCTAATTTTTGTATTTTTTGGTAGAGACAGGTTTTCGCCATGTTGGCCAGGCTGGTCTCAAACTCCTGGCCTCATGATCCACCCGCCGCGGCCTCCCAAAGTGCTGGAATTACATGCATGAGCTGCCACGCCTGACATGAAAATGATTATTGCTAGCCTCGTTACATGTTCCACCTTACAAGTGGTTCATGAACACCCTCAATAGTGTCTGTTGTTGTTCCCTTGTGTTCATGAGTTCTCATTTTTAGCTCTGAGAACATGTGGTATTTGGTTTTCTGTTCCTGCGTGGATATTTCATATAAACGGAATCACACAACATATGACCTTTTATGACTGTTTTCTTTCACTTAACATAATGTTTAAGAGGTCCATACACACTGTAGCAAGTATCAGCACTTTGTTCTTTTTTGTGGCTGAAAAATATTCCGTTGTATGGACACACCATAACTTTTGAGACAGAGTCTTGCTTTGTCACCCAGGCTGGAGTGCAGTGGTGTGATCTCAGCTCACTGCAACCTCTGCCTCCCAGGTTCAAGTGATTCTTGTGCCTCAGCCTCCCCAGTAGCTGGGACTTCAGGCACCCACCACCACACCCAGCTAATTTTTGTATTTTTAGTAGTGACGGCGTTTTGCCATGTTGCACAGGCTGGTCTCAAACTCCTGATCTCAGGTGATCCACCTGCCTCGGCCTCCCAAAGTGCTGGAATTACAGGGATGAACCACCGCGCCCGGCAACACACCATAATTTATTTATCCCTTTATCTGTGGGTGACATTTAGGCAATTTCTATCTTTTGGCTATTGTGAATAGTGCTGCTATGAACATGCATATACAAGTATCTGAGTCTCTGCTTTGGATTCTTTGGAGTGAAACTGCCGGGTCATATGGTAATTCTACACTTAACCTTTTTGAGGAACTGCCAAACTGTTTTTCATAGTGGCTGGACCATTTTACACTGCCACCAGCAATACATGAGGGTTCCAATTTCTGCCTCAGGGCTTTTGCACTTGTTTCCCCTCTCTAGAAAGCTCCTCTGACAGATACCCAGGTGGCTCACTTCCTCACCTCCTTCAGGTCTTTACTCAAATGCCATCTTCTCAAGGAGGCCCAACTTGACCATCAAATTTAAAACGGCAACCTCTCAACCACCAACCTGTATGTTGCTATCTCCCTTATTTTCCTCCGTAGACTTCATCACCATTAACATACTATACGTTATTTACTTTCTATTGTCTGTCTCCCAACACAGAAATTTAAGTCCCATGAAGGCAGAGATTTCAGTTTGTATTTCCAACAACTACAACAGTGCCAGGCACATAGTAGGTAATATTTACCGAATAAATGAGACTGAGAGGCTGGGCGCAGTGGCTCAAGCCTGTAATCCCAGCACTTTGGGAGACCGACGCGGGCGGATCACAAGGTCAGGAGATCGAGACCATCCTGGTGAAACCCAGTCTCTACTAAAAATACAAAAAATTAGCTGGGCGTGGTGGCAGGCGCCTGTAGTCCCAGCTACTCGGGAGGCTGAGGCAGAATGGTGTGAACCCGGGAGGCAGAGCTTGCAGTGAGCTGAGATCGCCCCATTGCACTCCAGCCTAGGCGACAGAGCGAGACTCCGTCTCAAAAAAAAAAAAAAAAGAAAAAAGACTGAAAGAGGTGTTTTGCCAAAATGTGACACAAAGAAGGGCAAGAATCTAAGTCTTTGTCATTTAGTGTTTTTTTAAAAAATAATAATAGTGATGGACTGAAACTGAGCCAACCATACCTTTTATTCAGTTGAAAACAAAAAAGGACACATGCATGACATGGCTATTTCTGAATCAGGTGAAATAACTAACAGTCTGAAGGTGAAGAGGGATCAGATTGTCAAGCTAAAACTCACTAACACCTATTAAAACTCAACTGCTTATAACAAGTAAGCTTAGTACTGACTGCATAAATAGTTTTATTTAAACAAAGTTTAAAAAAAGTGATGCTATGGGACACATAACTTCCAGAGCATTAAACTTTAAAATAACTTGATACATAGTATAAGAAACAGAATCCTATGGAAGAACACAAAACTGTACCTCTACCTAAAATACTGCTATAGCAAGAATGTGGTTTTCTGTATTTTTGAACTGTGATAGAGACAGAGAAAATATCTGTAAATAAAAAGAAGACCAATGCTAAAAATGCAAATAAGTTGTTATTTCTGGGAAAAAGTTTAAAACTTAAAGTTGGGTGTCATTAATGCTGCTGAATGAAAATGATTTTAAATGGCAAATTTCATACATTTTACCATAATAAAAAAAGTAAAAAAAAAATGGGTAGAAAAATGGTGTTTGACAAAACATCCTAGAGAAAGGTATGGAAAGAAAAGGATTACCAAGTCCACGACTATGACATAAGCCCCTTTTGGAGATTTGGGAAAATCATTTAGAGCAGAAATCTGTTTGGAAAATTAAAATTAATGGATTCAACTCCTGACTATGAATTGCAAGGAGTATACTACATAGCAGTGGCCAATGACACTGGCTTTCAGTGTTTCAAAGTATATCAAAGCAGTTTTAATTTTCTTTTTTTTTTTAAAGCAGGGTCTTGCTTTGTGGCTTAGGCTGGAATGCAGTGGCATGATCATAGTTCACTGCAGCCTCGAACTTCTGGGCTCAAGCGATCCTCCTGCCTCAGCCTCCTGAGTAGCTAGGACTACAGGCATATGCCACCACACCCAGCTTTTTTTTTTTTTTTTTTTTGTGGTAGGGACAGAGTGTTGCTATGTTGCCCAGGCTGGTCTTAAACTCCTGGCTCCCACCTCAGCCTCTCAAAGTATTGGGGATTACTGGCATGAGACATTGTACCTGGTCCAGTTCTAATTTTGGAGTTAAAAAACACCCATATTGAGTCAAATGACTTCAGAGCCTGCCCACCTTCATGACTATTAAGATCACAAAGGGGGCTTTTGCTAGCTGCTCAAGAAATTAGTAAAGTGTAAATAGTTTGCTTTTAACTGTGCTGGAGGAAAAAGTACAAGATGTGCTCAGCAGATAAAGCTTTCAGTCTGCAGGTCAAGCAATCAGGCTCCACGGAACTAGGAGCAAAGCAATGCTCCTATAGTTATATGATAGCTTTTATATGAAGTTATTTATTAGAAATTTCCAAGGCACTTTAACAATACAAATTTTATTAAAAAAATAACATCAAAACTGTTCAGCAAATCTGTATTCAATGTAACCAAAATAAACAAACAAGAAATTAAAAAAAATATACATCTATATATATATGAGCAAGAAACAAGTGCATTTTTTGGTCCCAATATTTTTTGAATATATTATCTTTATCCAGAGGAATTACATTAATGGCTAAGAAGGTATTATGTATTAGATGTATAGAAATGTAACTTTAAAACTTGTTTTAAGTTCTGTAAGAAGAGTTTTGCCAATTCTTTATGTCTTTGAAATCAGAATCCCTAAGCTAATGTTAATGATAGGCCCAAGACAGAGCATGTAATAATGTCTAATGGTCTGGACAAGTATGAAATTAAGAAGCTACCAATAAGTAGCTACACGAAATCTGTAGACAATTCTAAGAAATGTCTTGGAGTTTGTAATAAGAACAAAACAAACACAAAGAGAAGAGTTCAAAAGTAGACATAAAATGGACATCAGCAAATTTCATGAATCTGGGACAAAGAAGTGATGGAAAAATAAAATAGAGTAAAATAAATTTAAGAACAATATAAAACCTAGCTACCAAAATAAAATTAAAAAAAAAGTTTAAAAATGTGAGTATCGGTCGGGTGCAGTGGCTCACACCTGTAATCCCAGCACTTTGGGAGGACGAGGCGGACTGATCACGACGTCAGGAGATCGAGACCATCCTGGCTAACATGGTGAAACCCTGTCTCTACTAAAAATACAAAAAATTAAAAATTAGCCGGGCGTGGTGGCAGGCGCCTGTCATCCCAGGTACTTGGGAGACTGAGGCAGGAGAATGGCGTGAACCCAGGAGGCGGAGCTTGCAGTGAGCCAAGATCGCGCCACTGCACTCCAGCCTGGGTGACAGAGCAAGACTCTGTCTTAAAAAAAGAAAAAAAATAAAGTGAATATCAGTATTGCTGAAAATTCCTAGAATATTGGATAAAACTTTAAATGAAAACATGAATAACTGACTTTGGGAACTGTAATTGTAGAAATTTTGTTTTTCCAAAAACAAGAAAGTAACCTTGGTTCCCAATACAACCAGAATTTTGATATTCCTTGGACTGCATGCCTGCTAGAGGAAGATTAAAGAACAGCAGCCAAAATGGCTAAACGTCAGCCTGGATGTTGAAGCACTGATCTAAAAACAATATAAAACCAAGCTACCAAAATAAAACAAAATAAAATGTAAAAAATGTTTAAAAATGAGAATATTAGTATTGCTGAAAATTCCTAGAATACTGGATAAAACTTTAAATAACATGAACAACTGTGTCTTTGGGAACTGTAATTGTAGAAATTTTCTTTATCCAAGAACAAGAAAGTAACCTTGGTTCCCATACAATCAGAATTTTGATATTCCTTGGACTGCATGCCTGCTAGAGGAAAATTAAAGAGCAGCAGCCAAAATGGTTAAACGTCAACCTGGATGTTGAAGCACTGATCTCATGGACTTTTCTTGGTTAGAATCGACCCATAAGCTTAAGATCAAAAGCCAAAGCTCCCAATGGGAAGTTGTGCTCTATTTGGTGGGCCTTGAGGTCATCTCTGGCCAAATCAGCATCAGCCTTATGGGAGGTCAGTCAGGTAGGAAGGGACTCTCCCCAAGATCTGATTTCTGAAGGCCACAAACTAGAGGACGTCTCACAGTCAAATAATTCACATTTCTTGGAAAGAAAGAACAGGTATCAGTTGTGTCCATCAAAAGGGGACACTGTCCAGGAGTACCCTGGATATTTTTTGAAACTTATGTGTTGCTTCTTCATTTGAAAAATATGAAAAATAGAACAGTAATGAACAAGGAATGAAGAAAAAATGGTTATCTGACCTAAACATGTAAGACTTATAAGAAATTAAGAAAGCAGACAAAACAGACAGAAAAAGATGAACAGTCATATTATCTGGAATGTAATATTCTGAAGGCAAGTCAAGTATAGCAGAGAAAAACAAAAGGCATTTTTGGAGAGAGCCAACTGGAGAAAAAAATATGTTAAGATATGTTAACCTGACGCAAAGATAAGGTGGAATAACAATGTAGTGGCATCTGAAAGCTGAAAAGAGCTGAATAATGAGAGCTAGTGTCATAAACTTGGCTGTTTAACTGCCCTTTGTGTGAGAAAATACTTCAGAACTTTGAACTTAGGAACTTCCAACTTGTCTTGCACCAGGTTGCATGAACTCCATGGAGCAGGAATCTATTTCAATGAGCAGCTTTAAGAAAAAAAAAAAAAAACTTTAATATTTTTCATTTATATTAATATTAATGATTCATTAAAAAATACAACAGTGCTAAAGTCCATCAAAGCAAAATGCACTGAAGGAAAATTAAACTTACCCAGTAGTGGGTTCAGAAGTTGAGGTACTTTTGGAAACTGAAATCAAAAGAGTTTTACATTTACAATAGCATATATGAAGAGTGAGACTATCAATTTAATACATGGGTCCATATGGTGTCCGATCAAAAGTACTGAAATAAATATCAGAAAATCAAAGAAACACAATTATATATACGTACCATTCTCTATTATAACTTGGCAAGTATGAGTTTTACGTTGACTTAAGTGTTTAGCCATACGATCTAAGCCGGAAGAATCAGCTAGGAAATCACATTTAAGGCACACTAGAGTAATGCCCCTATGAAAAAAAAGAAGACAGTAAGAAATATTCTTATCATTTATGAAAATCCATATGAGCTCAATAATTACTTTTCCATGTACTAACTTGATTTGCATTTTAGTCTCCACAACCGTCATTTTCCAATTTTGTTATATAAACTTGATATATTTAAAATAGTTCTCTAGAAAATGGCATCGCTGGCCAGGCACGGTGGCTCATGCCTGTAATCCCAGCACTTTGGGAGGCAGAGGTGGATGGATCACCTGGGGTCAGGAGTTCGAGACCAGCCTGACCAATATGGTGAAACCTCGTCTCTACTAAAAATACAAAAATTAGTCAGGCATCATGGCGTGAGTCTGTAGCCCCAGCTACTCTCAGCTACTTGGGAGGCTGAGACAGGAGAATTGCTTGAACCCAGGAGGCGGAGGTTGCAGTGAGCCAAGATTGTGCCACTGCACTCCAGCTGCGAGACTATGTTAAAAAAAAAAAAAAAAAAGGAAAAGAAAATGGCATCGCCATATTCAAATTACGCTAACATTTAGTGCTTTATAAATTGTCACCTCTCAACTTGTTGCTGAAAGCTAGGCATCAAGAGACTCAAAGCCAAGTCTCCCTTAACAACTTAAGTAATGTGTGCAAGTTATTACTTACAAAGCAAGGATATAATATTCATTCACTGAAATATATAAATATTCATTTGCTGACAACCTTCTTCACCCACACTGTACTACTAGGTATTGTAGATATAACAGTAAACAAAAAAGGTACAGTGTGTGGATTCTGCAATCTAGTATCTTAGTCAAATGAGGATAAAATTAGAAAAGAAATGTGAAGGTTTTAAAATCCTGTAATTATCAGTTTATTAACAAAGCATACATATACTTTTGAAGTTCATCAGATACTTTAAACTTAAATATTTCACCTCTATAGGAAACCAGTGCATACCTTGGATTGACTTCTTTAGTTTTTTTTTTTTTTTTTTTTTTTGAGACGGAGTCTGGCTCTGTTGTCCAGGCTGGAGTGCAGTGGCACAATCTTGGCTCACTGCAAGCTCCGCCTCCCGGGTTCATGCCATTCTCCTGCCTCAGCCTTCCAAGTAGCTGGGACTACAGGCGCCTGCCACCACGCCTGGCTAATTTTTTTGTATTTTTTAGTAGACAGGGTTTCACTGTGTTAGCCAGGATGGTCTCAATCTCCTGACCTCGTGATCCACCCGCCTCGGCCTCCCAAAGTGCTGGGATTATAGGCGTAAGCCACCGTGCCTGGCTACTTCTCTAGTTTTAACAACCTGTTGTGGATTTACACCTAGCCAGAACTCCTGCACATCAAAAATTATCTTCATAAAACTGGAATCATGTGCTTTCCCCATGAAATTTAGGGGGAAAGTCTCTTTTATGATGCCATTTCCCTAATACTGAGGCTCAAATTTGTAGTTATCTCTGACTTTCTTCTTACGTAAAACATTCAATATTTCAAACGTTTTATGATGTTAACGATTTATCGAGTACTTACTCTATGCCAGTCTGAGGGTTTTAGACATTATTGCCTGATCTAAATCTTATGGCAACCCAAAGAGATAGGTGCTACAATTATTACCTTTTTACAGAGGACAGAATTAGTTTCAGTAATCTACTGAGGCCAGGATCAGGTTGGAAATGGAGCCCTTTGATTCTGAAGCCCATGCTCTTAAATATGATGTGATACCACCCCACCACCTCAGCCCAGGGCATTATTAAGTAAGTCTTAACCACTACAATAGCCTTAACCAGCCTATGTGTCTCATGCAGCTACAACTCATCCTGTATACTCCTCCAAAGTGATCTTCCTTCAGCACCCTTGATTCTACTCAAAACATCAATGGCTTCCCCAATGTCTTCCAAATGAAAATTAAGCCCAAACTCCCCAGCCTTGTTTTCAAGGATTCAACAATCTGCATCTAAGTTCAAAACTATCTCCCCAGACTGATCTTTTTTTATTTTTGGAATGGAGTCCCACTCTGTCACCCAGGCTGGAGTGCAGTGGCGCGATCTCGGCTCACTGTAACCTCCACCTCCCGGGTTCAAGTGATTCTCTTGCCTCAGCCTCTGAGTAGCTGCGATTACAGGCGCACACCACCATGCCCGGCTAATTTTTTTTGCATTTTTAGTAGAGATGGGGTTTTGCCATGTTGGCCAGGTTGGTCTTAAACTCCTGACCTCAGGTGATCCACCCACCTCAGCTGCCCAAAGTGCTGGGATTACAGGCATGAGTCACCGTGCCCGGCCAACTTTGATCTTAATATAATACTATGCTATATGAACTTTGTGCTTCATCCAAATTTTACTCCTAGTTATTCATTGTCATTCCGGAGAATGTGTATAGTTTCTGCATTTTCCTTTCTGAACTTTTATTCATGTTATTTCTTCCAACTAGAATGCCCTTGTGCCTCTTCTTGTAAGTAGAAACCTTTCTCCCCTTTGAAATCTGTATCTCTCACTGCACTTACTAGAAACCTCTTTGAATTACTGTAGTTATTTATGTTCACACCTTATATCCATACCCCTTTAATAAATTGTACATTCCTTGAAGGTTGGTACAAGCCTTCTTCATCACGGTCATCTGTATAGGACTTCCTACGCTGTATTATACATGATAGGTACACAATAAATAGCTAAAGAATATTTCATTTTAACAAAATAGTAATTATGAAAAAATTGTTTATAGAAATACAAAATGCTATGTCCATACACAGATTTTTTTAAAAAAATTTTTTGAGACCGAGTCTCACTGTGGCCCATGCTGGGGTATAGTGGCGCAATCTTGGCTCACTGCAACCTCCGCCTTCCAGGTTCAAGCAATTCTCGTGCCTCAGCCTCCTGAGTAGCTGGGATGACAGGCATGCGCCACCACGCCCGGCGAATTTTTGTATTTTTAGTAGAGACGGGGTTTCACCATGTTGGCCAGGCTGGTCCTGAACTCCTGGCCTCAAGTGATCCACCCGCCTTGGCCTCCCAAAGTGCTGGGATTACAGGTGTGAGCCACTGCACCCGACCCATACACAGAATTTGATCAATTTTCTATTCAGATGTGAGATCCACTCAAGTTGAAAAAAAAGCACCTCAGATCTTTCAAATCATACAGTTAATTTAAAAACCAAGCATACAATTGAGCTTGACCATAATGTGGTAAAAATCAAATCGAAGTCTCATCTTTAGAATTAAATCTCTTTTCATTCTTATAAGCATTTTTCAGTAAAGGTAACACCTAATATATTTTACTCTTTTCTAATTCCTCGAATTCAATGCTTTAAAAATAGCATAATTTTTTTTTTTTTTTTTAGATGGAGTTTTGCTCTTTTGCACAGGCTGGAGTTAAGTGGTGCAATCTCGGCTCACTGCAACCTCTGCCCTCCGGGTTCAAGCGATTCTCCTGCCTCAGCCTCCCAAGTAGCTGGGATTACAGGTGCCTGCCACCATGCCCGGCTAATTTTGGTATTTTTAGTAGAGACAGGGTTTCGCCATGTTGGCCAGGCTGATCTCGAACTCCTGACCTCAGGTGATCCACCCGCCTCAGCCTCCCAAAGTGCTAGGATTACAGGTGTGAACCACTGCACTTGGCCTAACATGAGTATGTTTTAAAAATACAATAAAAATTTCCTCTATGAGCTGTTGGTCCAACATTATCCACATAATTCATTTTCAACATATACATTAACTTATTCAACAAATATTTACCAAGTGCCTACTATGTGCCAGGTACTATGTGCCTGGCAAACATCTGTCAACATGAGCAAAATAATTAACAAAGGAAGATGGAGTCAAAAGATAACAAAATAATGTAAAAAAACAGATGTTTAGTTGATTCTGAGCTAAATGTGTGTGGTGTAACCAATGGTAATTATCAATGCCTTTAGAAATATTCATCAATTTTTTTTCTGTACAGTAAACAACTTATATACTTTAATTCTAAAAACATTAACAATTATGAAGGCTATATATTGATTTCAAGTATTATGGTATTTTCATAAACTTACTTCTATTCAGATATGGTTGGAGAACCTTATTTTTGTTATTTTACAAACGCAAATACATGAAGGTTTCATCTTAATGCTTGGCACTACAGAGTTTAGTCAGAGATGATAGGCTATCCCTCCAACTTTGGTCCAAGGACATAATAAACAGAACTCTATCATTTCCAAAGCAGGCACTCCAACATCAAGTTTTAAAAAGTTACTGCAATATTTCAATTGAAAGAAAAAAAAAAGATCAATGATTACCTGAGAGTTCCTGAATGCTTCTTGAAAATACAAAACCGTTTACCTGGATGGTTGCTATGAGAGCTGGAGAAACACGAGACAAACAAGATTTTATTAATTTTATTATACAACACCATATTAATTTTCTGACCACATTTCAAGCCAATGCTTAATTTCTTAGTTTTGAATAAAAGATCATGATCTAAATAATAAAATTCTGTTGGTTAAAGCTATAATCTGAATTTCTGTGTCACCCCAAAATTCATGTTAAAATCTTAACCCCCAAAGTGATGGCATTAAGAGGTGGGGCCTTTGGGAGGTGATTAGGTCATGAGGGCAGAGCCCTTATGAGATTAGTGCACTTATAAAAGAGATCCTAGAGAGCCAGTGTGCCCCTTCCACCATGTGAGGACGCAGTGAGAAGGTGCTGTCTATGAGGAATGGGCCCTCACCCAGACACCGAATCTGCCGGCACCTTGATCGTGGACTTTCCAGCCTCCAGAACTGTGAGAAATAAATTTCTGTTGTTTATAAGCTACCCAGTCTATGGTATTTTGTTATAGCAGCCTGAATGGACGAAGACAGTCATCTCTGTTTAATTCAAGAATTTTAACTTACATTCCACTTTACCTTTATATTTTCTAATGACATATTTCCCTGAGAATTTTCTTAGATGATCAGTACCTCACCATTACTAAAAACAATGCTTGAGTTAAAAATGCAGTGTCAAATTAAAGTTTTTTAACTATTAAGAGAACAATTTAAAGGATATTTGATAATGTATTTTGCTATGATAGAAATTGTTATAATAATTATTATTTTTTGTTTCAGACAGTCTTGCTCTGTCACCCAGGCTGGAAAATAATAATTACTTATTACATTTTAATCTTAATATGTTTGGGGAGGGGGATAATCTGAATGATCCTGGAAGTAAACACTACTTGAGATAAAGGCCATTGCTTAATTCAATAAACATGAAACATTTAAAGAGTCCTTTGCAATTACCAGGAGAACTTTCAAAGAGAGCAAATTAAGGAGCAGAGCTCATGAATTAAAACAATGCTTCTCCTACACACAGATCAGAAAACCACTAATCAAGCTTCACAGCCAATGGTAATAGCTTTTATGCCTCCCTTTAAAATGATAAGGAAAGCCTTCCTGTGTTAGACAACCAGGCAAGATTAGCCAGGATTAGCCTAGCACAGTATTACTCAAAGTGTGGTCCATGGACCAGCATCATCAGCATCACCTAGAAGCTTGTTAGAAACACAAAGTTTCAGGCCTTACTGCAAACATAGTGAACTAATCTCTGGCAGTGGGGCCCAGAAATCTGTTTTCCCAAGTTTTCCAGCTGATTCTTATGCAAGCTAGTTTGAGAAGCACTAGCCCTATCTTGCACTGACAGACCCAACACAGCAGGTCAACAGTTACCCTCAGACACAAGGTAACCATCACCAGCTTACTATATATGCATGGGAAAATAAAGATTCTGGCTAGCTGTAATTCCAAGAAAACATCCTCAGAATAGGCACCATGGTGAATACAACGAAAGAGCTTCTTTCTCAAAGAGGTAATAGAGACACATGTGAGGCAGAAGAGCAGAATGTTACGGAACTCAAAGAAAGGAATGATTCTTGTGACTGGCTGTGCTGATCAGATACTTCACAGAGGGTGAAACGAGAGGAAGGAGAGGGGCATTTCAGAGAATAATCAAGAATAAGAAAAACTACTTTAGATACTGAATATGAAGAGCCTATACATTGGGGAAGATAGATCAATTTTGAGGGCCTGTCTTCTCATAAGAGTTGGCATAGCCTGGGAATAAAGGTACTCAACCTCTGAGAAAATGAAGCCTCTGAACATACAGAACTCAAACCTATGACAAAAGTCCACACCGAGTAGGAGTGAGGGTGCACCATTCAGAGGAAGGTACCTGAAGCAATGAGGGAAACAGTGTACCCTTGAAGTAGGGGAAAAGCAAAGGGACCTACGAGGCCCTCAGAAGAGTAGAAGTGGAAGCTTTCAGTTCTAGATGAGGTTAATGATGAGTAAGAGCTCAATGTGTGTGATGACAGTGCAGGGGCTCACCAGAAATTAGGAAAATGTTATGAAGGTAACTTTAGGTCAATTGGGAATGTCTGGGGATAGAATGGGGCTGAAGGTTCTACAAGACAGTTGGTGAGCCTATGGAAAATGGGAGAGGGGAGGACGGAATGACACATGGGTTTAAGTAATGCCAAAAATATTTTCCAATTTAATCCTCTATAAATTAGTGGCAGAATTAAAGCCTCACTAGGGCAGCCAAGTGTTTAGCACAGAATAAGAGAACAATATTAATCACAGCAGTGTACTGGGGGAAGGGTTGGCTAGGGTCTGCTTTAGAGAAACTGGGGTATAGGTGCAGAACCACTGTAGTAGTGGAAGAGGCAGACTGGTAAACTGCAAAAGGTGGACTCTCCGGAAGCTAGGATGTATAGTGGCAGATCAAGAGAACTCCATGGGCTTCAGAAACTTGGGATAGTAAATTATTTCTAGCTGGTGCTTCATGTTTATGCAAATGATGCCCTGAAACAGACTGAGCTTAAAGGGTATTGAAGTAAAAGTGGTTTGAATCCTAGTTAGAAACAAACAGTTGGGTCTCAGGGAAACTCGGCTTTGAAATCTAGAGGATTTACAGTTGAAAGGTAAAAGATAAAACTTTAAGAATGGTTAAGGTACCAAGAAAGGGATTATAAGGGGACAAGAACAGTTGAAGGGAGAAAAGATAATTACATAGAGGAGTAGCAGCCAAAAGGAAAGAAGAAAAATGGTGGTAACAGTTTAACAGACAGAAGTTGAGAAGAGTTCCAAAAGTAAGTGATCAAAAATGTCAAATACTCTGAAGAAGTCATAGAGGAGTAAGAATGAAAAATAATGAGTACATCCAGTAGTTAGGATATGACTGATAACCTTT
The DNA here is from genome assembly GCF_000001405.40 of Homo sapiens. Taxonomy (NCBI): domain Eukaryota; kingdom Metazoa; phylum Chordata; class Mammalia; order Primates; family Hominidae; genus Homo; species Homo sapiens. The sequence goes on from NC_000023.11 coordinate 130,212,585, forward strand.
AAAGGAGAAGCTTTAGCTGTATGTAGGTGGCGTTGGGGGGTGGGGGGGTGACACTCAAATCACAAAGAGTCAAAAAATGACAAACAGGCTAGTAAAGAATACTCTTTATAAATGTTGATGGTAAATGGAGGAACAAGAAAGCATGCAAAGTAAAGGCAGATCTTCCTCATCCTAAAAACAAGCCTGAAAATATCTACAGACACAATGAATGTGGTAGAGAGAAAGAGATGAACTGAAGGTCCAAAATAATGAAATAAGGGTGTGGAGGAAATGCAAGAGATGACGAACAGGGTTAACTTAAAAAAAGTGGGACATGTCTGTTTTTTGAGATTAATGTCTGAAGGAAAAAAAACCTTGAGACAGGAAAAAGTTAATCTTGAGAAAAACGAAAAGTATGACCTCTGAGTAATTATTAGGCAAGGTTAACAACTGAGGGACTAGAATAAAATCTGACAGATGTTGTAGATAAAAACAAAGTGGTATTTTTGGCCGGGCGTGGTGGCTCACGCCTGTAATCCCAGAACTTTGGGAGGCCGAGGCGGGCGGATCATGAGGTCAGGAGATCGAGACCATCCTGGCTAACATGGTGAAACCCCGTCTCTACTACAGATACAAAAAAAATAAAAATAAAAATAAAAATTAGCCGGGCGTGGTGGCGTGTGCCTGTAGTCCCAGCTGCTGGGGAGGCTGAGGCAGCAGAATGGCATGAACCCGGGAGGCGGAGCTTGCAGTGAGCCGAGATCATGCCACTGCACTCCAGCCTGGGTGACAGAGCAAGACTCCATCTCAAAACAAAACAAAACGAAACAAAAACAAAGCGGTATTTTTAAAAGGGCAGGACCAAATTAAAGATCATGAATTCAGAGCTGATTGAATCAAGCATGGTGTGGTAGTCTAGAACTGAGCATAGGGATACATCAAAAAGGATAAAAGATGCAAAGATAGCAAGACTAAGCATGCCTGAAGATATAAAGGATTTTAGGACAGAAACAAAGCAGCATTCAAAACAGAAGACCTTGAGGGCATGGTTGGCTACAAAATTGAATTGATACTACTGGACTAGAAAAAGGGGTCAAGACTCTGAAAGTCATGGGGTAATGAGAATTCAAAATAAGTATTGTCTACAATGAGGTAAAATGGGATGGTGTTAAGAAAGGGGATACAACAAAGCAGAAAGGGATGTAAAGTGCTAGCACTAAAGAAGTAAAGGTATCATAAGGTCAGGCTGACCACCAAAGGGAAAAAAATCCCTGCAAGCCAGGTGCTGAAGCCATCAAAAAACGTGGGTGAATCCTTCAAAGTGGTAGCTGATTATGAGCAGAAAATAATATAGAGGTCTTGTTATAATCTGCAAGAAAACAACTTTTATTGGTTATACCTATTTCTTTTTTAAAAAATAGAAATGAGGTCTTGCTATGTTGCCCAGGCTGGTCTTGAACTCCTAGGCTCAAGCAATCCTCCCTCCTTGGCCTCTTAAAGTGTTGGGATCACAGGCATGAGCCATTGTGCCTGGCTAGTTGTATCTTATTTCTAACTGAAAATAAATGGAACTATCTTAATTAGAATAATGAACTTATATCTGGAAACTTTTTGGTTATTTAAAATAAAATCCAATCTGAAGGAATAAAGCAAGCCCCTGTGAATGAGGTTCAAATGAAAGTAAGGGGGGCTCTGAAGTCTTTCCCTTGTGTAGAGTAGACCATAGGTGCTCAAATTAAGTTGAATCAATGCATGAAAAGGAATTCTAACGGTAGCATCATGACTGGAATATTCCTACAGTCTCTTATGTTTCATTGAATGAATGCAAAGATGGATGATCATAAAGACAAATGGACAGACAGATGCGGGAGACAGAGACAGGATAATGTTCTTAGCATCATTAAAAAGCCTGGAACCTCTCAAAGTGATCGCTGTGAAGAGGATAACACTCAGGAAATTACATATACAGGGGTCCCTGTATCCATGGGGGATTGGTTCTAGGACCTCCTGCAGGTATCCAAATCTGCAGAGACTCAAGTCTCTGATATAAAATGGCATAGTACTTGCACATAAACTATACATATCCTGCTGTATACTTTAAATCATCTCTAGATTTGTGAACCTATGATACCTAATACAATGTAACTGCTATTACATAGTTTTATACTGTATTGTTTAGAGAATAATGGGAAAAAGGTTTGCACATGTTCAGTAAAGACCTAATTTTTTAAAAACACTTTTATCTACAGTTGGTTGAATCCACAGATGTGGAATGCAAGAGCTGATCATATTTATTTGATAAATATATTGAAAACACTTAACATTTTATGTTAAAAAATAACCACTTTTTGAAAGACATAAAAGAAAAAAAAGTCCCATAGAAAAAACAAATTTCCCTAACAAACTCATTTTAATTTCATTAGTCTAATTGTTCTCAGAGTTTTTGTCCCAGTAATTTTATGAGTTACTATGCTGGAAAATAGTACAAGGAACATCTTAGAAGTTCCCTATTGCTAGACCCTTTTAGTTCCTTGATGAGACAAACTTGCTTTCAATAGGATAACTCTGTTTTCAAAAAACAAATGACCCAAATGGAAATTCTGATTGGCAGTTTACATGTTTAACTTACCTCATCATATGATTTACAAAGGCTTTGTTACAGTTAGTATTGTACTTGCAAAAACTGCAGTGGATGTATATAGAAAAGTGGCTTGCAAAATCTTTTATTTTGGAATGACATTCAATGCACTTGTGAATTCCCCGACGACACCTTATGGAGACGGAAAAAAAAGATAAAAAGAGATTATAAAACAAAAATAACAGGGGAAAATCTTATTAACATTTTATTAACTGAAGCCAAAATGTTTAAATTGGTATCTTTAAGTAGACTCATAATTTCAAAATTTGCTTTGAAACAAGCTAGAGTAAGTGTAAAAAATTTAACACCAGTTAACATTTCCCTGGAATAAAAGGGATCAAATAAACCAATTAATCTATCATAAGATAAAAGCACAAAATATAAGTTTAGTGTAAAAGATGAAAATTAGAGAATAAACACAATGACTCAAGTTCTGCTCAGCAGTTGTAAAAAGTACCTTTTTCTCATTTGCTTGGTCTTTATGCCAGATAAGTGATTATCATGTAAATGTGTAAGAGGGTTTTATGATATGATAAATTATATACATAAGATTAAATTTGTATTGTATATCAGGAATAAAAGATATTACCTTATGTTCTTCAAAGCAAGGCTCATTTTATTTTTTCTGTTGCGCTGTCGCTTTTGCTTGTAAGAGGGTTTTGCTTTGGACTTAGCTATACGTCCCCTTGGCTTACTTGTATTAACTTTACTTGCAGTGGATGTAGTTGCATGAAGCTTACTTGTCTTAGATCTACTGGCATTAGATTTTCTAGGATTTCTAGCAGTTGTATTTTGAGATGTCGGAGGTGTGACCTGAAGAAAAGAAGTGCCTGGAGCGCAACCGAAAGGTGCAGTTGGTAATTTTGACTGGAGAGGTCCAAGTGAAGCTCGAATAGTAACCTATAAAAACAAAGCCAATACATATTTTTAGAAAAGTAACCATCGCATTAGTATTAAAAATATCATTGTAAGCCGTAAATATCACATTTACGGTAAACTGGCAAGGGTCCCAAAACATTTCCAATGGGGCAAAAAATAGTCTTGATGAATGCTGCTACAAAAACTGATATCCATGTGCAAAAGAATGAATTTGAACCCTTACCTCATATTATATACAAAAATTATCTCAAAATGTATTAAAGACCAAATTCTAAAAGGTAAAACTATAAAACTCTTAGAAGAAAATACAGTAGTAAATTCTTGTGAGCATGAGTTAGGCAACGGTTTCTTATATATGACACCAAAAGCACAAGCAACCAAAGAGAAAATAGATGAATAGGCATTTCTTCAAAGAAGATATACAAACGGCCAATAAGCACACAAAGAGATGGTCCACGTCATTAGTCACCAGGGAAATGCAAATGAAATCCCAAATGAGATGTCCCTTCACCAACCAGAATGGCTATAATAAACAGACAATAACAAGTATTGGCTAGGACATAGAGAAATGCGAACCCTCATACATTGCTGGTGGGAATGCACAACAGTGTAGTTACAATGAAAAACAGTTTGGCAGGCTGGGTGTGGTGGCTTAGGCCTGTACTCCCTGAACTTTGGGAGGCCGAGGTGGGCGGATCACTTGAGGTAAGGAGTTTGAGACCAGCCTGGCCAACATGGTGAAACTCCATTTCTTTTAAAAATACAAAAAATTAGCCAGGCATGGTGGCAGGTACCTGTAATCCCAGCTACTCGGGAGGCTGAGGCAGGAAAATTGCTTGAACCCAGGAGGCGGAGGTTGCAGTGTGCCAAGATCGCACCACTGCACTCCAGCCTGGGCAACACGGCAAGACTCCGTCTCAAAAACAAAACAAAACAAAAGAACAAAAAAAGAAAAACAGTTTGGCAGTTTCTTAAAATATTAAAGGTAAGAGTTACCATTTGACTCAGCCATTCTACTCAGAGGTATATACCCATGAGAAATGAAAACATACGTTCACACAAAAACCTGTACATGAATTTTTACAGCACCATTATAGCCAAAAAGAGGAAACAACCCATATGCCCACCAATAGATGAAAGGATAAAATGTAGAATATCTATACAGTGGAGTATTACTCAGCCACAAAAAAGAATGAAGTACTGAAACATGGTACAATATCAATGAACCTACAAAACATTATGCTAAGCGAAAGAAACCAGTCCCTAAAGATGGCATATTGTATGACTCAATTTATATGAAACGTCCAGAATAGGAAAATCCATAGACACTAAAAGCAGACTAAAGTTTGCACAGGTCTAATGGAGGGGAAATAGTGAATGCTAAAGGGTATGAGGTTTCTTTTGAGGGTGATAAAAATGTTTTAAAATTTATTGTAGTGATGTTTGCCCAAATCTGAATATACTAAAAACCACTGAACTGTGTACACTGTAAATGGGTAAATTGTGTGATATATGAATTATATCTCAATAACACTGTTACCAAAAAACCACTGCAATACAAAAAGTTAAAATCATTATTTTGAAAATGGCAAGTATAAACTACAATCAGATAAGCCTTCTACTTATTCTAAATGGTCATACTGATTAAATGAAATTTATCTTGATATTTACTTACTGTTGTAATATTAGTTTTATATTGATAACAGTTGTATGTTAACAGATATTAACGAATAATTAGGAGTAAAAATTAGATAAATATCAAAAGAGCACATTCCATAGCTATTTTATGCTTTGATAGAATTAAAAAGGGCTGGGTGTGGTGGCTCATGCCTGTAACCCCAGCACTTTGGGAGGCCAAGGTGGGTGGACTGCCTGAGCTCAGGAGTTTGAGACCAGCCTGGGCAACTCATCTCTACCAAAAATGCAATAAAATTAGCTGGGCATGGTGACATCCGCCTGTGGTCCCAGCTACTTGGGAGGCTGAGGTGGGAGGATCGCTTGAGCCTCGGAGGCAGAGGTTGCAGTAAGCTAAGATGGCACCACTACACTCCAACCTGGGTGACAGAGTGAGACCCCCGTCTCAAAAACAAACAAACAAAAAAACCCAACTAACTAAAAGGCTTTCACAAATAGAGAGGTCAAAATGTAATATAGAGGTCTGAAATAATAACTCTGGAAAGGCCTGCATTACCCTCTGGTAACTATAAAACAGATTTTCAGTAAATGTGACCTCTTCCTGGGGGATCAGGGGGCATGATTTCTGCTTCCAAGGTTATGGTGAGCTTATATCAATTCATCACACAGCATGGTGGTTATAATAATGCTCAGAATTTCCTTAATGGTAACATATAAAATTTATCATTTACTATTTGGAAAAAGAAAATGTTTGTATCTATTGGTTAATAATAGAAAAGTCATCCACTAACATTTTCTTTAATCATTTGATTACACTCCCCCCATGTACTTGAAGAACAGCTTCTATGAAGTCCTATGAAATATATGTGGTATAGAAAAGCACTGAAGCAGAACTTGTTAGCTTGCAAAAAGAAAATACATGTTTTGAAAGCACTAGAGTAGAAGTCAAAAGACCTGAGTTTAAGAATCTTAGTACTACCTCTTCCTAGCTACATGACCTTGAGTAAGGAATTTAGCCTCTCTGAGCCTCTTCATCTCTAATATGGGGATAATACTTGCCTTGTCTATATCACTGGATCACCACATAGGTTAAATAATAAAATGTATGGAAAGGCACACCGAACACTTAATTCTAAAGTGCTATAAGACATATAGTATCATTATTATCAATATTATCATTACTATTGGTATCTTATTAATAAGGGAAGATGTGAGAGAGGATTGTACTGCCTACATTAATATTCTGCATGTCTAATACCAACATGGAACAAATGGATTGCAGGGAAGGATGCCAGATGGTTTATCTTATGCTAGATATTCAGATAATTGTTTTATATTAATTTTGTTAATTTAAATAGCAGACATACTCGCATTCAAAAGCATGTACTCAAAGTGAAATACAAATGTTTAGGGATTATCTCACCTTGGATTATCTATCTCTTTACTGGAGAAAATATTCAAGAGCTAACTTTATGTAAAGAAGTCAGAGGGCCAGGCGTGGTGGCTCATGCCTGTAACCCCACACTCTGGGAGGCCGAGGCGGGCAGATCACTTGAGGCCAGGAGTTTGAGACCAGCCTGGCCATGTTGGCGAAACCCAGTCTCTATTAAAAATACAAACAATTAGCTGGACATCATGCTGCATGCTTGTAATCCCAACTACTTGGGAGACTGAGGCACGAGAATCACTTGAACCCGGGAGGCGGAGGCTGCAGTAAGCTGAGATCGCGCCACTGCACTCCAGCCTGAGGGATAGAGTGAGACTCTGTCTCAAAAAAAAAAAAAAAAAAAAAAAAAAAGTCAGCGAAAACATATGTATATAAGGCAAAGAAGGAGAAAGAAATTTGTAGTCTGATGTGTGCTTGCTCATGAAAAACAGCAATGCTATGCTATCCAGGAGCAAAACTTGCTTCTCTGAGAGTAGATTAGTAATACTAACTTCAACAAACCTATGGCATTCAAGGCACTGTGACAGATGCTGGGGACACAAAGATAAATTAAATATAATTCCTGATCTTAAATATCTTATAGTCTAGCAACTGAAAAAGACATACACACTGACAACTGGAATAGCTCAAAAACAGCCTACAGAACATTGAAACGACCTGCCAACTTAGTCTACAATCTAGTTGCACTAGAAATATCCCTCCAACAAACCACATCAATCAACTAAAAAAAACAATGGTTAGAAGTTTTTCTTTACAAGCATAAGAATGATAAAACCTAAAATTAAAGTCTTAATAACAATCAGAGGTCAATTTTAATATTATATTCAATAGATAAAACCAGGCAGTAGTTTGTTTCTATTATCATACAAAATGTTAAAAATACAGCATATTTAAAACTCACTTTTGGGGTGCATGGGATATTTTGATACAAGCATACAATACATAATGATCAAATCAGGGTAACGGGTATCCATCACCTCAAGTATTTATCATTTATTTGTGTTAGGGACATTCCAATTCCACTCTTTTAGTTATTTTGAAATACACAATAAATTATTGTTAATATAGTTGCCCTAGTGAGCTTTCTAACACTAGATCTTATTCCTTCTATCCATAATAAAAAAAAAAACATAAAAAAATTAATAGAATGTGCAAAAAACCACCAAAAACTCCCTCACAAACTCACTTTTGCTCCAGGAGGCAATCCTTCTAGTTCTTTAGGCTTTATAAATGTACGATGCTGCGCCTTATGTTCAGCTTTCTCCTTGCTGGTCAAAAATTGTAGTCTGCATTTTGGGCAACGATGAACTCCTTTTTTCTGTTTACAGAAAATATTAGATATAATAACTTCCACCACCACAAATCCTAGGAGCTGAAATTGCTCTTAATTCTAAAATCTAAATAAATTTACAACCAGAATTTTACCATCTCCCACCACAGACAATTCAAAGTGATCTATTATTTAAAAGTACTCCTTGTGTTAGTATTTGAGTTTCAAAAGCATTAGTTACCATATAAGGATCAAACATAAAAAGTATATAATTAGATTTTAATTGGAAAAGTTCTATACTGATTATAGAGGCATAAATACGAGTGGATCCCAATCTATTGTTTGAGAAACCCTTGACTAAATCCCTCCTCAAACCTAGCCCCATTATTATTTTACCAATGGGAAATGGGACCCAAGAGAAATTTGCACTTGCCCATAGCTGGTTAGTGTTCTGTCTACTATACAATTGCCATCTTTATGCATATGTTCTTATTAATTAAAATATATTTTATATTTATTATAAATTTAGAACAACATACAAATACAAAAGAAAGCTTTCTTTAAAGATGTATCTCCACCAGCTCATCATTTGCATATAAAACACAAACAATCTTTTAGGAAAACCAAACGAGGTAACATGTATGAAAGTATCTAGTAGTTACTGGTGCATAAAAAGCATTTGCTAAATAAAAGCTCTTTACAAAGTTCAAAGCAATATATAAAGATAAGGTGTTTGCATTACTATTTTAGTTTGATCTTCAGACTATTTTAGAAGTGTGGTGTACTGGATCATACCATAGGTACAGTAAACACAAACAGATTTACCTGTAGGTGCTCAAGAGAGAAGGGGAAAGAAGAAAATCTCAGCTAAGTAATAGACAGCAAATTAAGATGATGGATAGAATGTTCCCGCAGAGTACAGTTCCCACAATTTTTTTCTCTACCTATACCTATACCTCATTCAGTTTCATGGCTTTAAATAGCATCCACCCACCGCCTACTTGACATCTCTTGATGTCTAATAGGTATTTCAAATCAACATGGACAAAAAGTTGAACTCTAGATTCCCTCTCATTCATCCCGAGTGGGGAAGGGCACAAAATCTGTTCCTTCCCTACTCTTCCCAATATCTCAGTATATGGGATCTAAATTCTTGCAGCTGCTCAGGACAAAAAACACTTGGTCACTCTTAACTCTTCTCTTTCTCTTACATCCCACATTCAACAAATTAATAAAACCTGTCAGTGATACCTTAAAAAAAAATTTATAATCTTTCAATTTCTCATCACCTCCAATCACTGCTACTATACTTGTCTGAGCCACTTACGCGGACTCTTGCAAGAGCCTCCTATCTTCTCCCTATTTCCATCCTTTCTCCTAGTCTGTTCTTCCCATAGCTGTCAGAGTGATCTTAAAATGTTACAGATCTTTCACATGGTTAAACCCTCCAAATGGCTTTCCGTAACACTCCAGAATTCTGACTCTGGCTTACAAGTCCTCAAATGATCTGGCTTACATTCTCTTGCTACAATTTCATCTCCTACTACTTTTCCTCTCACTTGTTTACTGTGCTCCAGCCACACTGGTCTCCTTGCTCTTCCTTGAATATCCTAGGTATATGTTCACTTCACTGCCTACCTATTGTTCCCTCTACCTGGAACATTCTCTCCCAGATGAGTAAGCCACATGACTTACTCTCTTATTCCCTTTGGAGAAGCCCTCTTTGACCACACCATTTAAAAAACAGAAACCACTCCTTCACCTGAGCCCTGGCACTCTCTATCTACCTATATTTTCTTCCCATGGTACTTACCATCAGCTGGCATACATATACATTCAGACACCACACACACACACACACACACACACACACACACACACACACACACACACACACACCCTTCTCTACCATGATGCATTATTTCAGTGAGTACAAACCTTGCTTTGCTTACTTCTGTATCCCCAGTACCTAAAACAGTCCTTGGCATATATTAGGCACTCAAATATTTCTTAAATAAAGAAATAAAGTGAGGCAAGAGACTGACAGAGTACAAATGAGCAGCAGGCACAATTTAACTAGTTCAAAGTGTCTGCCATTTCATTCAATGAGTATTTACTTGTCCAGAGCCCCAAGATGGGAGACATTAATCTACTATTCCCTTAGTTGGACTCAAGTCCTGGATATCCCTCTTATGTATGTATGCTTGCATTGTGCTAATGATCACAGATGATACTTTTTTTTGTTTTTTGAGATACAGTTTTGCTTTTGTTGCCCAGGCTGGAGTGCAATGGCACAACCTCGGCTCACTGCAACCTCCGTCTCCTGGGTTCAAGCAGTTCTCCTGCCTCAGCCTCCCAACTAGCTGGGATTACAGGCACCTGCCACCACACCTGGCTAATTTTGTATTTTTAGAGATGGGGCAGGGCTGGTCTCGAACTCCTGACCTCCAGTGATCCACCCTCCTCGGTCTCCCAAAGAGCTGGGATTACAGGCATGAGCCACTGTGCCCAACTAATACATTTTTAAAATAATGTTTAACCAAAGAAACAGTAACTTGTTCCAAGGGTAGAGAAAAAGTTAAGTGTTGAACTTCTTGACATGCATACTATATGGTTTTTGGGTTATATGAGGAATTTTTTTTTCTTTTGAGACGGAGTCTTGCTCTGTCTCCCAGGCTGGAGTGGCATGATCTTGGCTCACTGCAACCTCTGCCTCCCGGGTTCATGTGATTCTCCCCCCTCAGCCTACGAGTAGCTGGGATTACAGGCATGCACCACCACACCCAGCTAATTTTTTTTATTTTTAGTAGAGACAGGGTTTCACCATGTTGGCCAGGCTAGTCTCAAACTCCTGGCCTCAGGTGATCCGCCTGCCTTGGCCTCCCAAAGTGCTGGGATTACAGGCATGAGCCACTGCACCTGGCCAATTTGAGGGATTTTCAAGGGTAACTATCTGTAATTTCTGCCTTTAGACCTAATGTCAATGTGGAATATGAGTCTGCGGTGGAAGCTTGGGCTATAAATCAATTTTGGGCTCTGCCATTTGTTAGGGAATGTGACACTGGGCAAATTACTTTCTATAAAGCTTTGTTTCCTCATCTATAAAATGAAAACAATCATATACCTGCCTCATAGGGTGGCTGTGAAGATTAAACAAGATAATGCATGTAAAAGCACCAGTGGCTGTCAAATGGTAAGTGATTATTATATGTTAACTGCTTATTGTTGTTATTAAAGAGCTAATGAGGATATTTAACACATGTGGAGTCTTTCGTCCTTTGTTAAAAAATGTATAAACTGCATTGCTAACTCCAAAATCACTCAAGACATAATAATATATTATTTTTAGGAAAAAGTTGCAATCAAAGTTTTCAAAAAGAATAAAATAAACCATAGAGTCAATAATTCTTATTACATAAAATTGCACTAATGCCATCTAAATTATAAGCTTATAATATTGGTCAGCTCAGGTTTTTGAGTCTTTTGTGAATAATTATGCAAACTGCAAATACCTTCAGAGAAGCCTGATGATCCTTCTTATCAATAGAATCTTACCTCTTCACTGCTGACTGTTTACTCTTCAGGTACTCCAAACTTAACAAAAAAATTCAGCACCTGAAATGGACTGAATGCCTGTGTCCCCTCCGCCCCCCAATTCATATGGCGAAATCCTAATTTTCAATGTAATAGTATTGGGAGGTGGAGCCTTCGGAAACTAATTAGATTATGATGGTGGAGCTGTCATAAATGGGATTAGTGTCCTTATAAAAGGGACCCTAGAGAGCCCTCTCCACCCCTTCCCCCATGTGAAGACACAGTGAGAATATGGCCATCTATGAACAAGGAAGCAGGTCCTCACCAGACACTGAACCACTGGTGCCCTGATCTTGGACTTTACAGCCTCCATAACAGAGAGAAATAAGTGCTTGTTGTTTAAGCTTCCCAGTCAATGGTATAATAGCATGTTATAGTAGCTCAAACAGACTAAGACAGCACCTGTGGCACCTCAGTGGTCCCTCAGACTACTCCCAGATGTGATGATTCAGCAGAAGGATCGATAGGACTTAGTGTTATACTCACAGCTATGTTTTATTACAGTGTAAGGGTACAGAGCAGGATTAATAAAGGAAAATGGTGTACTGGATAGCTTCTAGAGGATTACCAGGCGCCAACTTCTAAGAGCTCTATTCCAATGGAGTCACATAGGACACACTTAATCCCTCAGCAATGAACTGCAGCAACATGTATAAAATCCCTCAGCAATGAACTGCAGCAACACGTATAAAGTGTTGCTTGATGGGAAAGCTCTCTTGAGTCTAAGAGCTTAGGTTTTTTATGGAGGTAAGCCACCAAATTTTCAGACGACTCCTCCCACTGCAAGAAAAGCAGGTGGTCACCATAACCGTATTTTTTTGTGCGAATTTTCTTGACTAACTGGTACAACATGGCTCAAGGTTCCAGGCATGTAAACCACTCTTATCAGTTAATAACATAGAGAACATTTTAGAAGCTCAATTTCCAAGATTTAGCCAAGGGCCAGTTATACAAGCAGGCACTTCTGAAATTGTGCAATATTTGAGCAACTCAGACCTGTTGGGTAACTCTTTCCAATACATACAGCAAGTTAAGGCATACAACTTAGGATATGAAGAATGACTACAGATCAGATAAACCACTTATAAGACACAGCTCACAAAGTGGGTTCATTATGTCTTTCTTACCTTTCTAAGCATGTTATCACTCCCTTCAAATCTACATCTATATCACTCTGGAGCTTAGTAAAGCACAGGGGAAAGAATTATGTTAAAAAACCCATAATTAGACAGTCAGAGATACTGCTTTATGTTCCATTCTTCTTTTCAAAATTGAAGGCCAAAAAATGAAATACAGACCACCAAGAATAGTGTTTCCCAAACTCTATACCTCAAGAAATGTTAATAGGTATTGTGCAAATAAAGGGCTCAAAGGTTAAAAATGTTTGAGGACTATTACACACTATGTCCCTTGCTTAGAGATTTACAGTATTAGCATATTAAAAGCTCTGAAAAGTCTTGTTGTTAAAAATAAACAAAAAACACCTCTATGAATTTTGTAAATCCAGCCATTCACTAAATTTCTTTTACCAGGAACAAGTTAAGAGGGGAACACTTATTAACATCTGAGTGAACACTGTTGGTGGAAACCCTAGAAAGATTTTGCCAAAGTTTTTAAGGGTGAGATGGCCTACCAGGATAAAAAAAAAAAAAAAAGACACTGATACCATCCAAGTCATAACACAGGTAATCTGAATGTGTTTGGAAATTCTATTTTTATGACTTTTTTTCCAATTAACAACTATAAGTTGATTTCATGATCATCCAATGACTACATTCAAGGGCGACGTTAGTGCCAGTACTGAATCAACTTGCCGAGACAATGCAATCAATACTACGAAAATGTAATGAGCTGATCAGTGAGGAGGCAAAACTTGATTACATGACCAGACTTAGTAAATCCGTTGACTTCTGATTTTGGCAAAGGCACTATTGCTGTTTCAAACACTCAAGAATAGGCCCACTGTTTCATCAAAGTTTTCAGCCCACAGGATGCTCTAATTGAGGAAAAGAATCAGTAAGCATAAAATCAGAATTCAAGGGAAAGATGCAAGCATCAATACTGGTATCCCAGAAATTATATAGCAGAACTGGCAAAAGTCACAAAGTAAGTAAGTTATAACCTAAATATAGTTCTCTAGTATAGTTCACATATCTGGTCATAAGTGTTCTTGCTGTTTCCTTTGTTACTGGCTGCTACAAAAGTCAATTCTGGGTCACTGATGACAACCACATGTCTCATAATAAAAAGTGGGCTAGAAAGTAGAAATAAGATTTCAAGAGAAAGAGGAAAATACAAGGTTATGAGTCCTTAATCTTATGTTCCTCCATTCAAACTTATTCTTTTTCCTGCTCTTGATAAGCACCTTCAAAGTCATTCCCAGTCCCACCACCCTTAGGTCCTGAAATATCTAACCTAAATATTTCATGAATCTTCTGTTTTTTCCTCCACTTTGGGGTTCCTATTTCTAGCTATCTTTCAGAACTTTGACTATTTATGATTCTCAGTGTCACCAGAAAGCAAGCAAGGAAAATAAGTGAAAGTTTCACAAGTTATTCAGCATAAATTATAAATTAATTGTGTCATTCAGAACAACTTTGCTTTCTGTCCAGAACAAATCTAACCAATGTTCTACGTTATAGATAGATATAGATGTAGCTATAGATCTATACATATAGATCTATATCTTTTCACTAAGACAACATGAACAAATAAGAACTGCTTAATCTCACCTGATGCTTCATGTAATGATTCATGTAGGGGGTTGCCATTTTACTAACTTTGAGGCAAAATGGACATAGCAAGTTCTTAGTGTTTTCATGGGCTGCTCTAAAATGAGCTTCTACATCAGAAAATGTTGATGATCTAAACTGGCAAACCTAGAAATATAAAGAAGGCTTAGTTTAACTTGATATTTTATAACTTCTTGCAATTACAATCAAAGTAGCAATAACGGGTCATCTGTTTGGAAGAACATGTACTACTAGTCCAGCTCTGCTGCCTATACAACCAAGAATCATATTACTGCAAGTAATAAAGATAACCTTTGAAAGATATCTTTCAAAGTTTAGGCATATATTCCAAAACACAGTAAGACTCTCTTCTTCTTTTCAAATCTACCACCCCCTATCTTGATGTGAATTTTCAACCTCTGCCAAATATTGTTCTAAAAAGCTTTTCCTGCTATATAAAACAGAGTATTCTCTTCTTTAGATTTTAAATAGCATCCATGCTATGCCAGTGTCAATTTATCTTCATCTCAATTCCTCGTTACTGGAAGCCACTTCAAATTCTGGAACACTGATCCCAAAGCATTTAATTTGGTATTCTATAACTAAGAGATTTTCCTATTTCTCTAGCATATCTATAATTTTCCCTATATGATAACCCACACATTTGTCTTTCTCTAGTAGGGCATTTCCTCATCTAGCACAGAGGTCAGCAAACTACAACCCACAGGCAAAATCTACTCCACCCCTTTACTTACAATGCATGAGTTAAACCCAAGGGGGTTTCCACTAATGAAGAGGGTCTTCAATTTTAGCATAGTAACTAATTTTATTTAAATGGCTTTAAAAAATCAAAAGAACAATACTATTTCATGGCACATGAAAATTAAACAAACACTTAACTACACAATAAAATGTGTGTGTACCTGGCAAACATATGGCATTTCACCAGGTTTATGGGTGTCCTTCATATGTTGTAAAAGAATATGCTCTGTTTCAAATGATAATTCACAGATTTTGCAAATAGCTGAAAGTGGAAAAAAACACATTATACCATTTAAGGATGTATATAAAAAAAGATTCATTTTGTACATCCACAACAAGTAATAATAATAGTAGAAGTAACAGTGATGTGGTTCTAACAATTCTATAGCTGTTGACTCTGTAATGCTGTTCCAAGGATATATTAGCTTATTTAATTCTCGTAACATCACTGAGGAAGGTACTGTTATTTTTATTCCTATTTTTCAGATGAGGAACCAGAAGCACAGAAAAATTAAGAAACTTGCTTGAGATCTCACAGCTGTAGTAAGAGGCAAAGTTGGAATCTGAACCAAATTTGTCCGCGTCTCAGACTCTAAATCTTAACATTGTAGTTAACTTTTGTCTAAAGTGTAAATCAAGACAATTAACTTCAAATTTGAAAACCATGGAATCTGGGTGTTCTAATTTAGTCCCCTACACCAATGCATGTGCCAAGGAAGTTTCCACTAATGAATTGTTTATAAGAAAGATTTCAATTATTTTATTTTATTTTATTTTTTTGAGATGGAGTCTCGCTCTTGTTGCCCAGGCTGGAGTGCAATGGTGCCATCTCGGCTCACCGCAACCTCTGCCTCCTGGGTTCAAGTGATTCTCCTGCCTCAGTCTCCCAAGTAGCTGGGATTACAGGCGTGCGCCACCTTGCCTGGCTAATTTTGTATTTTTAGTACAGATGGGGTTTCTCCATGTTAGTCAGGCTGGTCTCTAACTCCCGACCTCAGGTGATCAACCCACCTCGGCTTCCCAGAGTGCTGGGATTACAGGAATGAGCCACTGCGCCCGACCAAGGGACTTCAATTTTAACAGTTTTTTTCTTCTACTTTTTTTTTTTTTTTTTTTTTTTGTAGAGGCAGGGTCTTACTATGTTGCCCAGGCTGGAGTGCAGTGGCTATTCACAGGTGCAATTGATCATAGCATTCTATAGTACTGAACTCATGGGCTCAAGTGATCCTCCTGCCTCAGCCTCCTCAGTAGCTGGGTGTATAGGCATGCACCATCACACCTGGCTTTAGAACACATTTCATCTAGGTTTATAAAAGTTATGATTTTTTTTTTCAATTTTGCCCTCATATTACAAAGTCTACTTCTTATTTTTTTCTGCCAGAATTTTTAAGGTTTCCTCACAGTTCGGATGATCAAAGTCAACAATATTCAGGATTCCAAAGAAACTTTCACTTACTAGAAAACTCATGGGGAGTGTGTGTACTCTCAATGTGGCACTGCAGTTGGAAGGGTGTGGGATATTGCCGGTAACAGTGCTGGCAGGTGGTGTGGTTTTCCCAGCTTTCATTGTTCTGCTTCTCAAGTTCCAAGTGATGTTTCATGTGGTTCATAAACCTACAAACAATTTGCCAGTAAGAGCAAAAATTCAGACTTATAACCAAAGAAAAACCTCACAAATAAGTCTCTGAAAATAAATTTTTAAAATGTAATTCTATGACTCAAAATAACATCTCCAAGGCCTGAAAGCACTCTATAAAGTGTGTACTTTAAATAATTTACTTTCATTAAGTGGCTCAGTAAGGTTTTTTTATCTTTGTTTCTAAAATAATCCATTAATGTAGTAGTATGAAACATCACTAATTTGCTGTAACACTATATCATTATTTTAGATTTAAAATTTTTTTTAGCAAAGAAAAATAGCAGGCTTCTTTTCCATACATGAAATACTATTTACATTTTAAAATAAAATACTGAAAGGATGGAAACTCTACCACCAAAAGCAGCTACAGTGAAGAGACAAATCTTTGAAAGCTCTGAAGGTTTCAGCTGCTCAAAAGACAAACTGCTGGTATATTTTTATTTGTGTCTTGGTTTCTAAATGCATGCAATAGCAATTTTAATGACTATAATTACAAGAACCTTTTGTTTTATCTAATTATACTGGCTTACTGTTAGCACAAACTATTCATTTTTCTTAGCAGGCTGTGCCCTTTGTAGCACTGTCTATTTTTCAGTTTTACCTTCTGCTATTTTAGCTTCTCTGAAAGGCTTCTGAAGAGAAGGAACTATGATGTTCAATGGCAGAGAGTACAATATAAATGGACATACCATTTTCAAAGGGCTTACTAAAACTTTTTGCTGAATTTCAAAGTAAAGTTATTCAATGTAAACAACAGTTTTAAGACTGGGTCAACTACTTACAATTATTATGAATCACTAAAGAAAATAATCTTGAAACAAAGTGATAATGTCATCAACCTACATAGCAATCATTGTGAAGGTTTGGGTTTTTATCTTTTTTCACACCTCCAAAACACTTCTCTTTGGTTTTGGTAAACGCCTGCAATTTATTTTAAAATGGAAAAATTTGAGCTTTAAATAAGGTTAGTATGGAGGAGGTCATGCTGCATAGGGTTCTTCTTGTGACATGAAGAAAAGTAAGATTCAAAGTCAGCTAGAAAATATAAGTTTTTCATGAAACCGTCTAGTTCAGTAATAAATGTAGGGAAAATAAGTAGTTTTCCCCTAAATTAAAATACATTTTGTCTTTTCTTAAGCTATCTGAAAACAAAACAACTAGGTGGATCCTGGAGTCAAACTCTTAAAATACAAGAAGGAACAAAAGCT
The DNA here is from genome assembly GCF_000001405.40 of Homo sapiens. NCBI lineage: Eukaryota > Metazoa > Chordata > Mammalia > Primates > Hominidae > Homo > Homo sapiens. Next base: position 130,230,368 of record NC_000023.11, read on the forward strand.
TTTCAACATGATAATCTGCCACTGTTCTTAGTAGAAAGTATTAGAATTAATTACCGAGGATGGCAGAGCAATGTAAAGATACTATATTCTTATCTGTCATATCCCAACTTTCAAACAGAAATAAAAATAAATATTTACATACCTAATATTATTTTTAAGAACTTTCGAGCAACTGAAGCATTTAAAGGTTGTGTAAGTCTTTGGCTCTTTCTCAGTGACTCCTTCATGCCTTCCATAATAAAACTCATTGACTAACATGATCAACTTTCCTGTCTCTGAATCAGTCTTGTCTTCATCACATGGACGTTCTGATTTAACAATTACTCCCAAAAATTTAGTTATCATGTCTGGACAACAATGCTGAAAGAGGAAAAAAATATGAGCCTTGTCTACAGCTCTTTTAAAGATTAGATACCAAAAAATGATTGTGTTTACATCTAAGGTCAGATGATATAAAACTACGCTTGGCAATGTATCTAGAAAGATACTGACCAAAATTGTGGCTTCCATTTTTACATATTCTAAAAAAATTCAAACAATAAACACCTACTATCTTAATAAAGGAATAACTTCAAAAACAATATTGAAAACCTTAAGATCAGGGGATGTTTATGTATCTAATATTTTTTCCTTGCAATTTTTCTTTTTAGATGTAAATATTTAATAATAATATTTTTCTTGGCCCAAAATCACCCATTTCATATCTGTGTCAAGATACAGCTTACATGCTTATACACCACTGGTAGGAATGTAAATTAGTTGAGCCACTGTAGAAACAGTTTGGAGATTCTCAAAGAACTAAAAATGGAACTACCATTTGACCCAGCAATCTCATCACTGGGTATATACTCACTGGAAAATTAATCGTTCTACCAAAAAGACACCTACACTTGTATGTTCATTGCAGCACTATTCACAATAGCGAAGACATGGAATCAACCTAGGTGCCCATCAACAGTGGACTGGATAAAGAAAATGTGGTACACATACACTATGGAATACTACACAGCCATAAAAAAGAATGAAATAACGTCCTTTGCAGCAACATGGATGCAGCTGGAGGCGATTATCCTAAATGAATTAACACAGAAACAAAAAACTAAATATCTTATGTTCTCACTTATAAGTGGAAGCTTGTAAGTGGAAGCTAAACATTGGGTATACACAGACATAAAGATGGAAACTACACTGAGGTCTCCAAAAGTTGGGAGGGAGGGAGGAAGGCAGGGGCTGAAAAACTTCCTATTGGGTACTATGTTCACTATTTGGGTGACAGGATCAGTAGAAGTCCAAACCTCAGCATCATGCAATATACCCTTGTTAACAAACTTGCACATGTACCCCTGAATCTACAATAATTAAAAAAAAAATAGCTTAGGCTGGGTGTGGTGGCTCATGCCTATAATCCCAGCACTTTGGGAGGCTGAGGCAGGCGGATCACGAGGTCAGGAGTTCGAGACCAGCCTGGCCAATATGGTGAAACCCCGTCTCTATTAAAAATACAAAAAAATTAGCCGGGCGTGGTGGCACGTGTCTGTAGTCCCAGCTACTCAGGAGGCTGAGGCAGAAGAATTGCTTGAACCCGTAAGGCGGAGGTTGAAGTGAGCTGAGGTCGCGCCACTGCACTCCAGCCCGGGTGACAGAGCAAGACTCCGTCTCAAAAAAAAAAAAAAGCTTAAAAGGTAGTTTTACATGCCATTATGTATAAGCTTGATTATCAAATAACACAGTAATATTTAAGTGAAGCCTGGTTGGAACTAGACTTTGAGCACAGCTAACCTGCCATTCTCCAGACTTACCATGCTAGAAAATGTGTGGGACACAAAAAAGCATCAGTTACATTTTGAATATCTCAACATATTCTATCTAGAATGCCTAAATATCTGAAGGGGAAATCTACCTCATGAATAAAATCAAGACATCATATAAACTGATCCTAATTGGAATACTTTCATATATAAGCCTTTTTTATCCAATGAGATGAAACTAATTTATTTATTGTATATATTTTACAGTTGTAGAATTTCTCTAGAAGAATTCTCTAAGAATAACTGGATAAAAAAATAGGAGAAACTATCTGAGAAAGGGTTAAAATCCAAAATATATGAGAAATTCCTACAACTCAATAGCAAAAAACCAAATACACTAATTTAAAAATGGGCACAAGGAATTGAATAGACAAAAGACGACTTATGAGTAGCCAACACATATGTGCAAAGGTGCTCAACATTGCTAACCATTAGGAAAATGCAAACCAAAACTACAATGAGCTATCACTTTACACCTATTAGAACAGCTATATCAAAAAGACAAAAGATAAGTGTTGATAAGAATGTGGAAAAACGGGAACCATTTTACACTGCTGATGGGAATGTTATTGGTGCAGTCGCTATGGAAGACATGGGAGGTTTCTCAAAAAGTTAAAAATAGAACTACCATATGATCCAGTAATCCTACTTCTGTATATATGCCCAAAGGAATTGAAATCGGAATCCCAATGAGACATCTGTACTCCCATGTAGGTAGACTTCATTGCAGGGTTATTCATAATAGCCAAGACATGAAAGCAATCTAAATGTCTATTAATATACAAATGGATGAGGAGGATGTGGTATATATATATACACACACACACACAAATGAAATATTATTCAGCCATAAAAACAGAAAGAAATCTTATTTGCACCAACATGTATGGATTTGGAAAACATGCTAAAGAAAATAAGACAGTCACAGACAGACAAATATTACATGATTTCTGTTATATGAGGAATCTAAAATAGTCAAACTCATAGATGCAGAGAGTAGAATTGTGATTGCCAGGGGCTAGAGGGAGGGGAAAATGGGAAGGTATTAGTCAAAAGGTATGTAGGTTCAGTTATTCAAGATGAATAAGTCCTAGAGATCTACTATATAGAATAGTGCATATATAGTTAACAATACTGTATTACATACTTAAAAAAATTTGGCCAGGTGCAGTGGCTCACGCCTGTAATCCCAGCACTTTGGGAGGCCAAGGTGGGCGGATCACCTGAGGTTGGGAGTTCGAGACCAGCCTGACCAACATGGAGAAACCCCATCTCTACTAAAAATACGAAATTAGCTGGGTGTGGTGGTGCATGCCTGTAATCCCGGTTACTCAGAAAGCTGAGGCAGGAGAATTGCTTGAACCCGGGAGGTGGAGGTTGCGGTTGTGGTCAGCCGAGATTACACCATTGCACTCTAGCCTGGGCAACAAGAGTGAAACTCTGTCTCAAAAAAAAAAAAAAAAAAAAGATTTGCTAAAAGCATAGATTTTCTATTGTGTTCATATCACAAAAAGGTAATAATAATAAAGAGGGTAGGAGGAAACTTTTGAAGGTGATGGTTATGTTTATGACACAAATTGTAATGTTTTCATGGATGTATACTTAGCTCCAAACTCATCAAGCTGTATACATTAAATACAGATTTTTATAGGTCAATCATACCTCAATAAAGTGTTAAATAAAGACAAGACTACATACTAAATAAATACTAAATAAAGCGTTAAATAAAGACAAGACTACACACTAAAACAAGGGTGGAAAACAAAAGAAAAACTTTCCTAAAATCACAAAGTGAAAGACTTTTTTTAAAAAAAAAAGGACAAAGAAAGCATAACAAAGCATTGTGACAAAACTAAGACCAATTAAACCTATCAGACCAGTTAAATTTCTCCTACCAATGAATATACATGGGTTTAACTCAACTTCTAAAAGAAAAGAAGTTTTCATATAGGATCACAAAAGAAAAAACTCTGGTGAAAGCAAGAAAGAACAAAAACAAAGTGATTTGGGAGGGTTGAAAGTAAAAGGATAAGCAAAGAATATAACAGGCAGGTGGAAACAATAAGAAAGCAAGGGTTGTGAGCCTGATATCAAACAAAAAGCACTGAACAGACAAAAAGGACACTATAAAAATGCTAAAGGGTGCACCCACAATGAATCGTAAGAGATGGATACATCTATGTCCTAAAGAGCAACACCATGAAACAGAATTGGAAGATATCAAGGGAAACAGTGGTAATGTGAGACTTGGATTCCCCTTTCCCAAACACACTCAGGGAGGTGAAAACAGCCAAAGACTCTAATACAGTTTTGCGTCAGAGTAAAGACGTTTGTATTTGCAATTTTAGAATTCCTTTTTTGTAAAATGCTGAATTTTAATAAAAATTTGCCAATCTTTGAAATAGTGAACAATTCCTTTTCCTAAGTTGCTTCTTTGCTTTGCACTCGTCTCATCACTTATTTCCCACATATAATCAACACTGACTTTTTTCTTGCCTCCTTTGCCCCTTCCTGTCATTTACACTGGGCATGCAAAGAGAATACAGACTATCTTTATACACACATAACAGAATACTGTAATATCTACTAAAATATTTTAAGTGGCGTGTTACCTTAATCCCATACTCTATTAGTACTGTGAAAATTACCTAAAACCTAATTTCAAAGAGCTTCCTATATTAATAGAAAGCTAGAATTCATTTATAACTATATAAACTATATTATGGATTGAGTTAAAACTATCATTTCATATGAAATGCTCCATCATTAGAAGTTTATTTCTGAGTGTTGAAAATTAAAATGTAAGACTAAGGTTTTCATAGGGTAATGTGACATGCATTAAGTCACCACGGGCAAAAATAAGGTTTTCACAGGGTAATGCGACATGGATATGTCACCATGGGCAAAAAATAAGGTAAACAAAAGGAGCTTTCACTTTACACAAAAGATTAAGCACCTAATAAAACACCTGCTTTACAGGAAGTTTGAAGAATGTCATAATTTAGTCAATAAAATATTGCAATTTGTACATTATTTTCATTTAAAATTAAAATGCAGGCCAGGCGCAGTGGCTCACACCTGTAATCCCGGCACTTTGTGAGGCTGAGGCCAGTGGATCCACTTGATGCCAGGAGTTCGAGACCAGTCTGGCCAACATGGCAAAACCCCGTCTCTACTAAAAATACAAAAATTAGCCAGGCATGGTGGTGCTACGTGTAATCCCAGCTACGCGGGAGGCTGAGGCAGGAGAATCGCCTGAACTGGAGAGGCAAATGTTGCAGGGAGCCAAGATTGTGCCACTGTACTCCGGCCTGGGTGACAGAGCAAGACTCTGTCTCAAATAAATAAATAAATAAAAATAAAATACAATATGCATACACTGTACTGCATATGAACTTAATTAAAAAATTTAAATTGATACATAATGTTTATAAATTATTATGGGGTACATGTGATATTTTAAGTGCACAGAATATGTAATGATCAAATCAGGATGTCTGAGGTATCCATTACCTCGAGTATTTACCATGTCTCTGCGTTGGCAATATTCTAAGTGCTCTCTCCTAGCTATTTTTCACTCTACTTTGCACCAAACATTACAACTTATTCCTTCTATCTAACTGTATATTTGTGCATAATAACCAACCTCTCTTCCTCTTCTCCTACCCCTCCACACATACCCTTCCCAGCCTCTGGCAACTATTGTTCTACTCTCTACCTCTATGAGATCAACTTTTTTAGCTCTCACATATGAGTGACAACGTCCATTTGTCTTTCTATGCTTGGCTTATTTCACTTAACATAATGGCTTCCAGTTCTATCCATAACTTTATTTTAAAAATTTCATCATTGGAAAGGATTTTAAAATCTTATATAATCATTGTGAATATCAATTTTAACTTAAGTTACATGGAAATGCCAATACGAGGTTTCTTCTCTAAATATCTGGATAAACCAGCATTTACTGTATATCAATTTTCAATATTTTCAAGGATCTATAAAACATTTTTAACAATTGAACTTTGAAAAAAGTTTTACCTTCATGTGGTATTTCAAAGGATCCAAAAGATTGAACTGAACATTGCACTTTGGACAAGCTCTTAGGTAATCTGCTCCAGCATCATATGGAGATGAGGTATTTGTACCTACAATAAATTAAGAACTTTTAAGACTCAAATCCATCTTTTTAAAACCTTAAATGACCACTAATAATGGTTTTAAAATTCATCACAATTTCTAAAACGTATATAAAAATAATACTATTTTTTTTTACATGTCAGATTTCATGTTTACCTTTTGACAGCATAACTTGGGAGGATGTCACTGGAGGAGAGCCAATTAAAGGCAATGAAGTGGAGGGATTTATCTGAGGAACATCTTCACTGGTCTTTGGTTTTTTTGGAGTAACACTGTTTACTTTAGAAGTAGAAGGATGTTTCAACACATATGAAGTATTTTTCATACCTACAAAGATTTAAATAGTGAGAAAGATATTTGTAAATATTTCAGTATGGAATATTGCTTATGTAAAACTGCTACCAAAATGGCTTTACATTTAAAACTGAGCAAAAACAGTTTGGAACTAAGTTAAAGGTAATATAATTTAATAAGCATATCATACAAATGACAATAAAGAATGATTAAAATTTATATGAGCAAGCAGAAATTGCACAAACAGCTACTACTATGAACTACATATCTTTACTTCACAAAATAAACTTTATATACCCAAATTCTAAAAATGCTTTCAAATAAAGAAAACAAACAGGTATCATGAAAAAAGTTAGACCAAAAAATTCCAAGCTAAATAAAATAAATAAAAGTTATAGCACAGGGAATACTCTAAGTTTCTACACATCAACTTATATTTAGATGCTTAAATACATTTGAGTTTGTAAAATATTTAAAAAATTTATTCCAAACGTTTAGAGAAACATTTTTAATGTTTTTTAAAAAACTTAAGATGTGTAATGGAAAATTCAAGTTGGTTCTTTTTCCACCGAACAAACTAACAGGTGGTTTAAATTATCTTGTTTACTCCCTATATACAAAGTAGAAACAACTAATGTTGAATGATAATACCTCACTCATTCATATGAAAAGGTTTAGAGTTAGTATAATGACTTTCAAAGTATGTTCCCCTTAATCCAATGGGTCTATCTTAGAAAATGTAATGGGTATGTCAGATAAAGAAACTCTGCTTTTATGTTTTATTAATTTCTGCATAAATTTTATCTGAGTAAGAATTTCATTGCTAAAGATAGTTCTGAGTTTGAGAGCCACCACCTTAAAGACCAAAGGATTATATAATTCAGGGCATTCCCAAGACATGTGGGGCTATTTAGGCTATAACCAGACCCAGCAAAAGTGATTTTTGAAAATAATATACGATTGTACTTTGTGATAAGGGTTCTAAAACTGCATGTCGTGTTTTAAAAGCTCACAACTGTACATTAATAGGAGAAGCAGTAGAGTAGATATATGCCAGGAAAGTAAGTATTACATTAATGGGTTCCTCTGTTAAATCTGTGTTTCATTCTTTGAGATAAAAATGATTTTTTCCTTAAACAGAAATGATTTTTTCCATCCTCAAAGCACATAATTACTGCCAGCTATATTGAAGGCACCTAAGACTAATTTTTGTGTAATCACTAACATTTTTTCTGAGATGCTTAGGTTACTTTAACAACCAATGAGTGCTAGTACTTTGGACTAGGCAACTGATTATATAACCAGCTGGATAATAGACTGTTTTAATATATGCTTATTTTAAGCATGATGAATCTAAGTTAAATAAAATCAACCTGAGCTCAATAGTTTTAAATTCTGACCCTTTAGCTTACTTATTTGTGTTGTGTTTGGCTTGCGGTGTTCCCTACCTCAACTCTTCTTATCTGTGCTAATAAAAATCCTATCCTCATTCTTCAAAATCAAGTTCAAATCCAACTTTCTCTAAGAACTCTCCATGATCATCTTAGACAGGAGTCCATTAATCATGCTTCTGAACATATAGCACATATTATCATGCATGATTATCATTCTAACAACTGTTTATTGTCAAATCCTTTAAAATTGATAATGCATTTTTCACTTTCCACTTATTTTATTTGGGCCTCAAAGAAGCCCTGAGATAAAGAGAGCAAGAATTAAAATTGAATATCCAAATGGCTGGCTCATTTCAGGTCTGGAGAATAAATGCTTTATGTGAGAAAAATGAAAGTATTTTAATAATGTGAGAAAACTGAGGTATAAAGAGGTTAGATGACTTGATAAAAGCCACAAAAATCTTTAGAATAAAGGCTTAAACCTGTACCTTCCCAATCAACTATAATCCTATTTACTATTCAGGACAAAGTCCCACTCTCTGCTGTATTAATCTTAGAGAGAGAGTAGGAGTCACTGTCTTTACCCTTTGGAAGCTTCAAGAATTCAGACTTTTTCCATGAATAAAGATCATGTGCTTTGCAAAACCCGAGTTAAAACAACTGTTTTATCTCCCTGTTTGTTTCGGTTCTTGGCTATTTTACTATCTAGATAAGTGACACCTAGATAGGTGAATATCAAACCAAGTAATATAAAAATGGGAAAATATTTTTGGCATTCATATGACTATAATTTTTTTGTTTTGGTTTGGTAAAGGTTATATACTAATTTATGAGTAAATAATTACATATGCAAAAAAATTGTGTTCCTCTTTCCATTTAGTGAAACATATCAAACTAGGTAATATAGAGAATAGTAATTGCTTTGATTATAGGGAATTTTTCAATGAGACAAAATTCCTTTATTGGCATACTATTTTAGGTTAATGAAGAACTTTGTTATGGTGGACATCAAAGAACTGTAACACTTCAATTGGAAAATTTCCATTATTACTTCAAAGTATATTTACTGAGTACTTACCATGTGGAAATCACTGTTTCTTTAGTTCGTTCATTTTACAATACTACTCTATAATCATATTTAACTATCATATCCACATCATTTATTTGAATAGAAAGACATTAGCATATTGAGAAATCAACTATAACCATGCACGTTTTCTCATATTAAGTGTCTTCCAAATAATTACTACTTGTTTTCGCAGAGTATTTAAGGCATCAGGGGACTTCCTTGACTCACAGAAATTATATTAAGATTGTTCAGTCCATGGCTGGTTCCAAGTGAAAAAGAGTGCAAAGAATATGTGCTAGCCAACTTAATAGAAATAAATAAAACATTCTATCACTAAATACAATTTTCTATATCACCCAAGAAAGGCATTCAGGAATGATTAGCTCTATTCCATGTTATAATATATGAAAAACTTAACATGAAGGTATGGGCTTCAAAACAGAAATTCAATTCCATATGTATATTCGACAAGTCTCTTTTTATAATTTTTATGAAAGAGTGCTAAACCAAACCTTCTCTAAAAATTGCTGGTATGTCTTGGGATGGTGGTAGTGATTCCTGGGTCGAGTCAAACAGTAAAATTGAAGAATTATCCGATCCAACTTGTGAATTCTTTGTAAAATCCTGTAAAAATTTATAATTATTTTGTTTCATAAACTTTTATAGAGATAAATTTAGCTGTATGTCAATACTATAAAGAATCTTAATAACTCAATTACTAATATGGTATAAAACACAAAGGTAATTATTAGTCTCTGCCAAAATTAGCATCTACTGGGTGAGGAGTATATGGGAACTCTGCATTATTTTTGTAATTTTTCTGTAAATCTAAAATTAGTTTGAAATAAAATGTTAAAATTTAAAAATAATATTACAGGCAAAGTAGAGGTTATATTTTGGAACAACTTTTCTGCAAGGAAATTTTAGCAGTATCTATATCAAGGGCTTTTTAAAAAAAGTTCATATTCTTTGGTCCAATTATTCCAATTACTCAATTTCTAAGAATCTATGCTAAAGAAATGAAAATGTTTAATGAAGAATGATTTATAATAGCAAAAATTGAAAACCTGTATGTATAACAATAAAGAAATGACTAAATAAATTAAATGATACTATCACATAACATCATGTTTTTGGGAAATACCCAATGACAAAGAACAATGTTCCCAGTACAATGTTCAGTGAAAAATGAGGAATAGATATCAAATATATATTAATATGGTCCCCTGACTGATATACTCTAATGTCACCCTAACCATCTACAGAAAACGAAAATCAAAATACAGTATATATTCTTCCCTGTCTCTTTTCTAACCTATCCCTCCTTACACAATACTTTTATAATGAGGATATAAAGATTTTGCTTGCTTGTTTTGTGCTTACACTTTGAGAGATGATTAGGTTTTAGACTATGACTTAATTGTAACCAAGTGCAATCTTACCACAAAGTAAATATTTTCTCTAAATATTTTTTATTTAAAAGTTTAAAAGTGGAAAATATCCGTTTGCAATTTCCAAAAATAGTTAACAGAAGTTCCTCTGAATAAAGGTAACACTTTCAACCTTTTCTGAGGTGACATCTCTGATAAATTAAGTACCACAATTTCGGAAAGCAGACACATTATTCAACAAACAACCTGTTAAATAATTCTCCAATTGGGAATTTCTTATGTCTCATAAAATATTTCAGAAAGATAACAAATGTAACAGTAAGGCAGACTAGGCAAGAGGCTGAGATTCAGAAGACCTGTCCATTTATTTAACTATGTTACCTTGGGCAAGCCACTTCTGAGCTTCAAGTTATTTACCTTTCCAACTGAAATAAGAGCCACTAATAATTATGTATTTAAAATGTACTTGCCTCTTTCACAGTACATGTATTTTATTAATAGTTGTCATAACAGTATGAATAAAGACCTAATATTATCTCACATTTTATAAATAGGTAAACTAAAATTTCTCGTAGTTAAGGTTCCCAGTACAACCCAGCCTGTTACAGATGAAGGAGCTGGAATCAGAACTAAGGTCCGCCTGATTACAAAGCCTGTGTCCTTAAGCTATATCTTTAAAAGAGATAATAATAATACTCACTTTAAAAGAGATAATAATAATACTCTCCTTCCCTGCCTGAAAGAACTGAGATACAGATAATGAAATAGATTTAAATTTTTAAATAAAATTTCCTTATGTAGGATTCTCAATTCATTCGAGAATATCTGTCTGTCATTCTCAACTCTGGCTGCACATTACAGTCACTTGGAGAGTTTTACAATGTCAACACAGTGAAGAGCACAAATGTCTACGACAATAGTTTTAATCCCACAGATCCCTGAAAGAGACTTAGGGAACCGTAAGGGTACACCACTGCTCTAAGGCAATGCTTCCATTTAAAAAGTACATACTTAATGGGGCTGAGTGCAGTGGCTCACGCCTGTAATCCCAACATTTTGGGAGGCTGAGATGGAGGATAGCTTGAGGCCAGGAGTTCAAGACCAGCCTGGGCAACACAGTGAGAGCCCCATCTCTAAAAAAAATTAAAAGCCAAATTAGCTGGGCATGGTGGTGCATGCCTGTAGTCCCAGCTACTTAGGAGGCTAAGTGGAAGGATCGCTTGAGCCCAGGAGTTGGAGGCTGCAGTGAGCTATGATCATGCTACTACATTCCAGAGTGGGTGACAGAGCAAGACCCTGTCTCTAAATAAATAAAGTATATGCTTAAATGTATAAATGGATGTGTGTATACACATGTTTAAAATTCTGGGTTAACCTGGATTGAAATACCAGATCCATCATTTACCAGCTGTGTGTCCTTGAGTGAATCATTTATCCTCTCTGAGCCTGAGTTTCCTCAACTATAAAATGGGAATAATAATAGTGCCCATCTCAGCTGGGCGTGGTGGCTCACGTCTGTAATTCCACACTTTGGGAAGCCGGGGGGGGGCGGGTGGCAGATCACCTGAGGTCAGGAGTTCGAGACTAGCCTGGCCACCATGGTGAAACCCTGTCTCTACTAAAAATACAAAAATTAACTGGGTGTGGTGGTGCGTGCCTGTAATACCAGCTACTCGGGAGGCTGAGGTAGGAGAATCTCTTGAACTTGGGAGGCAGAGGTTGCAGAGAGCTGAGATCACATGACTGCACTCCCACCTGGGAGACAGAGCAAGACACCGTCTCAAAAAAAAATAAAATAAAAAAATAAAAATTGTGCCTACCTCATAAAGATGCCATAAGAATTAAATAAGATTAGCACAAAGACTTGTACATATTAACAGGCCAGTAAATGTTAAGTATTATCATTATCTATTACTTTTATTAAAAGTTTTTAAAGCTAAACTATGAAAGTATGATTTCAGAATAAGCAATAATGACTTCAGAACACTCTTTCCAATTTAAGAACACTTGTTTTAGTTTATTAACTTAAAAATGTGGCCATTATGCATTATTCATGTTGCAATACATTTTAGTTTTTTATTTTGTTGTTGTCTTTTTGAGATGGAGTCTCACTCTGTTGCCTGGGTTGGAGTGCAGTTGTGCGATCTCGGCTCACTGCAACCTCTGCCTCCCAGGTTTAAGCAATTCTCCTGCCTCAGACTCCCAAACAGCTGGGACTACAGGCATGCGCCAACACGCCTGGCTAATTTTTTTTTATTTTTAGTAGAGACGGGGTTTCACCACGTTTGCCAGACTGGTCTTGAACTCCTGACCTCAGGTGATCCACCCACCTCGGCCTCCCAAAGTGCTGGGATTACAGGCATGAGCCATTGCGCCCAGCCTTTATTTTTTTTATTAAATAGAGACAGGGTTTCACCATGTTGCTCAGGCTGGTCTCGAACTACTGAGCTCAAGCAGTCCACCTCCTTCAGCCTCCCAAAGTGCTAGGATTACAGGTGTAAGCCACTATGCCCAACCTGATCATACTTTTTCACTCATATTTAGATAGTATAGTTTTCAATACTGTATTTAAGCATATTAGCTGATTTATTAATATGTTGGACAATTCCTGCAGTTATTATTTTGGGTTTTGGTTGAGTTATATCATAAAGATGGGGATTATTTTTCTACTGAAATGGTAACTAGCTATGACAGTTCACAATTTTTTGGGTTTGTTTGTGTTGGCTTTTGTTTTTTTCTTGAATCAGGATCTCACCCTCTCACCCAGGCTGGAATGCAGTGGTATGATCTTGGCTCACTGCAGCCTTGACCTCCAGGGCTCAAGCAATCCTCCCATCTCAGCCTCCCGAGTAGCTGGGACTACAGGTGGTGCACCACTATGCCCAGCTAATTTTTTGTATTTTTGTAGAGATGTGGTCTTGCCATGTTGGCCAGGCTGGTCTCGAACTCCTGGGCTCAAGCGATCTGCCTGCCTTGGCCTCCCAAAGTACCAAAGATTACAGGCGTGAGCCACTGTGCCCGGCTGACAGATCACAATTTTAACTCAGTATTATAATAGCCAATGTGTCCCTGAATTAATTGTGTAATTTTATAAACACTTACAGGTTTAGACGCATTCTCAACAGTAACAGAGCTTTGTGAAGATTTAGATACAAGATGAAATCTAGGCGAGGCAGCCACTGGATTTGATGGTGGGTCTCTGCAGCGTTGACTTGCAGTCCTGAATATTTCAGGAATACCTGTATTTTAAAATTATACAACATATTGAATATATTTCTATACAACCAATTATATCAAAATATTTAACTTTAAAATTGAAATACTACAGTAATACTGTACCTGGACTGTGTGGCTCACTCTTTATTCCTTTTGAAGATGAGCTGGAGTGGCCTCTGTTCAAAATATCTATAAAATTATATTTATTTTAAAATTTGTTATGTGAATGAAATATATACTAATAGAAAAATTCCTCCAAAAACATATCTTTGCATAACCAATAATTGAAGTATATTTCTTTCCTTTAATGGTGACAGGGTTGTGTACAGATTCTGATTCCCGTGACTTGAAATCAAACCCTTCCCCAACCCTGTGCCACATTCACACCTCTAAAAATCTGGAAGTTTCATGATGGGAGGGCTGACTGGATTAACTTTCTGTACCATTACTCTTGAGTTCTGAATAGGAAATTATCAGAGACTACAGACTAAATTAAACCTGGAGTTCCAGAGTATCTGATTAGACTAAATTAAACCTGGAGTTCCAGAGTATCTGATTAATGTAAGGGGTTTCAAATCTATTACTACGCTAGAAGTCAGTTTGAGCCTCACAAAACCCTCTGGATCGGTTTAAGACTGCACACCCTTGTACCCATATGAACTCCGTAACTTCTAGGTTACTGAGGAGTCAAATTGAAATTTGGAAGAATAGTGATTTGCTTAAAATTGTTTATCAGGAAAAGGCACAAAGCATTAACAAATCCCATAAAACCTCAAACATTTTCCTTTTTTCTCTCCTAGTAGAAAAGAACCAGATCCCGGCCAGGCGGGGTGGCTCACACCTGTAATCCCAGCACTTTGGGAGGCCGAGGCGGGCAGATCATGAGGTCAGGAGATCGAGACCATCCTGGCTAACATGGTGAAACCCTGTCTCTACTAAAAATACAAAAAAATTAGCTGGGCGTGGTGGCAGGCACCTGTAGTCCCAGCTACTTGGGAGGCTGAGGCAGGAGAATGGTGTGAACCCGGGAGGTGGAGCTTGCAGTGAGCCGAGATCGTGCCACTGCACTCCAGCCTGGGCGACAGAGCGAGACTCCATCTTAAAAAAAAAAAAAAAAAAAAAAAGAGAGAAAAGAATCAGATCTCACAAAACAATTCTATTAAGTGAAGGGTCACACCAAAGTAGGGTTGCTTTCTGATCATAGAAATGCAGTACTCTATGAGTAAACATTACGGAAGTCTTCTAAAAGAAAAATATCCTCAAACAACTTGATAATGTTTTCATTCAGAAATTCAAGATAAGTATTACTCAATCCACTAAGAGCTATTTTTACTTGTTGGTGGTTATAGTCTACCAATCACAAGTTTTTTGCTCTCCTTCCCCTGCCTTCATTGTTTTTCTATATAAACATTTAGATGAGATCCCATATGCTAAAATATTTTATAGCTCACAAATAAAACATCAATAAAATCACTTAAATTCTAAGTTATCAATATAGAAAAGAAATTCTAGTGGGCCCAATACCCTTTTTGATAGAATCTCTTGAAACGAATACACATTGTTTTGGTTGAGTACTGCTAAGTCATCTACAATCAATATAAATCCAACTTGAATCTTGTCATGCTTCAATAAGATGATTTGAGTAATAATTTTGAAATATGGTAATATTTCAGCATAAAAATTGTCACAGTGACTAGAAATAATAAGAGAATATTCTATTCTACTATCAATAATAAATATGCCAAATATATCTAGCTCATTTAATAATTTAAGTGGCTCTCCACTTAGAACCTCCCAATTTGCCACAGGAAATGATACTGAGAATTCAATTGGCTAAATTATTCTGCCTCTGATAAAACTGAGTAGAAATGCTATTCCAAGTTTAGAGCCAAGAGAAGTAAGAACTAGGATTTCAGAAAATTTAAAACTCATCTCTTAACCACACTATTACTCATTGCCATGGTAAGAAAGAAGACTGGTATGCTGGCTACATTCCTTGACTTCTCCAGGCCTAAAATAAGTAAATAAAATGAAAAAGGATCTGTTTCCCTCTTTCTCTCCTGAAATTCAGTTATGTTGTCCCTTGCACTTTAGACATATTTGAGGACTTTTTTTTTTTCTTTTTTTGAGATATAGTCTTGCTCTGTTGCCTAGACTGGAGTGCAGTGACGTGATCTTGGCTCACTGCAACCTCTGCCTACAGGTTCAGGCGATTCTCATGCCTCAGCCTCCTGAGTAGCTGGGACTACAGGCACGCGCCACCATGACTGGCTAATTTTTTAATCTTTATAGTAGAGAGGGGGTTTCACCATGTTGGCCAGGCTGGTCTCAAACTCCTGGCCTCAAGTGATGTACCCACTTCGGCCTCCCAAACTGCTAGGATTACAGGGAGGAGATATTTTATTTTAATAAACATCACCAGTATCTTCACTTTAACATTGTAATAATGCCAAGTCTAATTACTCTAACAGAAATCTAACAATCCACAAAGGTACTGGACATGTTTTGCTAGAAAGCCAAAAAGATTTACGTGTGCTGACTGCCTGCATTGTCCAAGTATAGTGTTGGAAAACCAGGCCCTCCCTCCTTCATGAATATAAACAGTAGTTGCGGAAGATGGGTGTAGCCAAAGGCTATAGCACATGCTGGTAGACAGACCAGAGATTCTATAATCATGCAGCACCTATGCATTTTATAGTCATATATCAAGATGATACTTTGATGAGGCAGTTGCTTAGACATTAGAACCCCCATCAGACACTAACACAAACTTATTTAGCATATCAGGATATTTTAAGAAAAGTATTCCAAACACTTCCTTTTCTGTAAATCTGAGTTTAAGGGAGAAAAAAAAATTAACAAATAAATAGGCTACTTGGTTCCATTAAAAATTATGATTTCCAATCTCAGAAGGCTTACAATGCTGTTCAGGTCATCTTAACCCTCAATTAACTTAGTTATTTCCTTTTGCTCACATCTGATATTTTAACCTTTCACCTCCTTACTCCAGTCCCCAACTACATTCCCGCTTTGATTCTCACAAGTTCTTACTGACCTTTACTCTCCCTCTTACCTCTAACTCCTTACAGAAGAACAACAGTATGAAGGACAGATATCTCATATATTTTCCATTAGAAACAACCATCTTATGAAACGTTACTTCACTGAAAGTAAATGCTTACTTGAAATGGCTGGTTTTGAACTTGATATCTCTCCAACAAAGATCAGTTCATCGTCATCCTCATCCTGAGTTTCTTCTACTTTCTTCTGCCATGGCTCTAGCTCTTCTTCTTCACATTCCATAAAGAGTTCTGCCATTTTTGAAATGTCTAATTTTCAAGAGAAGAGAAGCTAACTTTATTTTCAAAGAGAAAAATATTTTCTGTGCAATACATAGTATGATATTTAAGATGCACTGTAATAATCCTAATAGCAATTACTGACTTGATATTTGTTTGTTTTTGTGACAGAGTTTTGCTTTTGTTGCCCAGGCGTGATCTCGGCTCACTGCAACCTCCGCCTCCTGGGTTCAAACGATTCTCCTGCCTCAGCCTCCCAAGTAGCTGGGACTACAGGCGCCCACTGCTACGCCCAGTTAATTTTTGTATTTTTCGTAGGGATGGGTTTCACCATGTTGACCAGGCTGGTCTCGAACTCCTGACCTCAAGTGATCCGCCTGCTTCAGCCTCCCAAAGTGCTGGGATTACAGGCATGAGCCACCATGCCCAGCCTACTGACTTGATTCTCGTGCCTCAGCCTCCTGAGTAGCTGGGACTACAGGCATGGTCTACAGTGGACCCTCCCCCACCCTGAGCGGCCATCTCTGCCTTGTAATCAGTACATGGTAGCAAAAGAAATGAGCTCAGAACTAAATCTCTAAGATCTAAACCAGTTAAACTTGGCTAGACAGATAGATAATGAAGGATAGTAGTCATTTACAGTGGCCAATACATTTTAGGATCAAATCCAAAGTGAGTTTTAGTTATAGGACTAGGATGATTATATCTACAAAAAAGACTGTAGCTATTATCTGAAAAAAAAATTCACTTGTATAAACAAGGGAGATAAACTAAGAATAAGAGAAAATACATAGGAGATATACTAGAAAAACGGAACCAGATTCAGGTATATCAGGCACAGGGCAAAGCAGGCATGAGGTACTAGACTGAAAATAGGGAAATTAAGTGAAACTTAATTCTGTTTCAGGACAGATTAGACATTTCTCATTTGAAGAAACTAAGTAAAAAATATACTGTGAATATCACCAGCCTACAAGTTCTGACCCAAATCAGATCTCCTGGGAAGCATTTTAGTGCCTCACTCTTAAATATGGGTGGACAACCAATGCGTACCAGAAAATTGAGGAAAACCTTCAATGTGAAACACCAAAGCAATAAAACAGATTAAAGGATTTTAAAGAAAACCGACAGCCAGGCAGGATGGCAAACTAGATACAGACAGGTGGAACAGCTGCCACCGAGGGACTGGGACAACTGGTGCACTCTTAACACATCTTCAAAGGGGAGGTGCTGAGTGGGCTGAGGGAAGACACAGAAGCTAGAATGAAGCGGGAGGAAACTGGGAAGCCTGTATGGGGCTACTGTGCACCTGGATTGGTTCCTGGCCCCCAATGACTACGGGGGAATGGGTGAGTTGAACTGGCAAGGAACAACTCACTCTTGCCATGGACCTCTGGGAATCCCGGCAGGAGAAGACCCTTTGATCACCACTGACACTTTAGTTGGCAGGGAGAGCTGCTTAGAGAAGTGGTAGAGGCAGCACACGAGCCAGAGTGGAGCCCAGAGGGTTTGTTGCAGGAACATCTGTATTCAAGCACAGCCTGGGATGCCCATCCCCCTAGGCTCTGCTTGTTTCCATAGGAGACTGTAGCACTAGGGGAACTGTCAGACCTGAACTCTGCAGGGTGGTCTTGCCCATCTGACCTGAGCACTCTTTGGTCAGCTGTCCTCTCCTGGAGCCCCAGTCTGCCCATTCCCTCTTGCAGTACAGCCTAGAGTGCCCTGATGGCCAGCATCATAGCTCCTGAGCTGGCCAACCGGGCTTGACCAGCGGAGAGCTCCAGCAGGGTTGCCCCTGTGGCCATGCACTGGCCCACCTGCTCATTCTCCCCACTCCAGCTTACCCTGGGTCCATGGCCACCCTCCACATCACTTTGCCAGTCAGTGCGTATGTGCGCAAGTGGATCTTGCCTTCCCTGCCCCGTAAGAACATATGTGTATGTGCACCCTGCCCTGCCTGCTGCCAGTGGGAGTGCACTCCGCCCACCCTCCTCTGCCATACTACCATTGTAGTCGGAGCCTTGGTGAGCACAGAGCCCGCAAGACCTGTGCCCACCAGCACCCTGCCCCTGAGCCACCACTGCCACTAGAATGTAACTACGCACAGAGAACAGTGGACCCTCCCCCACCCTGAGCGGCCATCTCTGCCTGTATCAACATGTACAAAGAGTGCATACAGTCCTGCAACGGCCAGTGCCCCATCCCCATGCTAATGCCACCACCAGCATGACCATACACACAGTTGCCACCTGGGGCCCCTGCACCCCTGAGCCATGCTGCCTCTGCCACTTCTGCGAAAGCCCACGCAGAAGCCACTAGCACCCTGCAGCAGCTGATGAGTGTGCACTCTGCTGTGCTGCTGCTGCCACTGGCATGTGTGAACAAGAATGGGCCCTGCTGTCACTGCCCTACAAAACAGTTTGGCTGGCATCACCCATTGGCGTGCTGGGACAAGAGGTCCACGAGCACCTCAGTCCCCCTAGCACAGTGAGTTCCTAACCTTGAGAAGCCAGAGAAAAAAGCAGAGGTCCAATATCAGTCCTACAAAATTAGAGCATGCACTCCAGGAGTTGTAAGCTGAGCCTTGGCCCCCTAAAATCTTCTAGAAATGAAGCCAGTTGACTGAATCTACCTTATACCACAATCAAACCCTTAAGGTCATCAGGTAGAAGAAAAAAATAATCCAAAGGACAGTGACTTCAAAGACTGAAGGAACATCAGCCCACAAAGAAGAGAAAGAACCAGCAAAAGAACTCTGACAACTCAAAAAGCCAGAGTGCCTTCTTTCCTCCAAACTGCATTCACTCTCCAACAAGGGTTCCGAAGGGGGCTGAGATGGCTGAAAGGACAGAAAAAAGAATTCAGGATATGAACAGGAATAAAGGTCACTGAGATGCAGGAGTACACTGAAACCTAATCCAAGGAAGCTAAGAATCATAGTAAAACAATACAGGAGCTGATAGACAAAATAGCCAGTATAGAAAAGAACGTAACTGACCTGATAGAGCTGAAAAACATACAAGAATTTCAAAATGCAATCATAAGTATTAATAGCGGAATAGAACAAGCGGAGGAAAGAATCTCAGAACTTGAAGACTGGTTTTCTAAGATAGCCAAAAAAATATAGAGAAAAAAGAATGAAAAGGAACAAACAAGACTTCTGAGAAATATGGGATTATGTAAAGAGACCACTAAACACCCACATCAAAAAGACAGATCTCAATTTAACATCCTACCATGACAACAAAAAGAACTAGAGAACCAAGAGCAAACCAATTCCAAAGCTAAGAGAGAAGACAAGAAATGTCCAAAATCAGAGCTGAACTGAAGGAGATTGAGACAAGAAAAACCATTCAAAAGATCAGTGAATCAGGGAGTTGTTTTTTGAAAAAATTAATAAAATAGGCCACTAGCTAGACTAATACAGAAGAGAGAAGATCCAAATAAACACAATAAGAAACAACAAAGGAGATACAACAACTGAACCCAGAAAAATACAAATAAACATCAGACAATATTATGAACACCTCTATGCACACCAACTAGAAAATCCAGAAAAAATGAATAAATTTTGGGACACATTCACTCTCCCCAGACTGAACCAGAAATAAACTGAAGCCCTGAATAGAATAATAACGAGCTCTGAAATTGAACCAGTAAAAAGAGCCTACCAATCAAAAAAAGGTGAGAACCAGATGGATTCACACTTGAATTCTACAAGATGTACAAAGAAGAGCTGGTACTATTCCTACCGAAAGTCCTTCCTAACTCATTCTATGAGGCCAGCATTGTCCTGATAACAAAACCTGGAAGAGACACAACAAAAAAATAAAACTTTGCTGGATGCGGTGGCTCACACCAGTAATTCCAACATTTTGGAAGGCGGAGGTGGGTGGTTAACTTGAGGCCAGGAGTTCGAGACCGGCCTGGATAGGTAACATGGTGAAACCCCCATCTCTACTAAAATACAAAATTAGCCAGGGTGATGGTGAAAGCCTGTAATTCCAGCTACTTGGGAGTCAGAGGCAGAAGATTCACTTGAACCCAAGAGGCAGAGGTTGCAATAAGGTGAGATCACACCACTGTACTCCAGCCTGTGCGACAGAGTAAGACTGTCTCAAAAAAATAAAATAATAATAATAATAATAAAGAACAGCTTAGCCAGGCATGATGGCAAGTACTTCTTTCCCAGCTACTCAGAATGCTGAGGTGGGAGAATCACCTGAGCCCCAGGAGACTGGGGATGCAGTGAGCCATGATGGCACCACTGTATTTTAGTCTAGGCAAACGCAGTAAGGACCTGTCTCAAAAAAAAAAAAAAAAAAAAAAAAAGACCAGCAATATTATACAACATTTCCCTCTCATTCACCCTTTCTTTCTCAGGAAGAATCCACCAAAACGAGACTTAAGAAGGAGGACAATGCAGGATGCAGAAAATCTGACATTCGGCACAATACAAAAACAAAAGAAAATCCCAGGACAACAGCTGTGCAGTAGGTCTACAGAGCAAACAGCCAGAGTAGCGCAGGAGAATATCATTTCCAGGAGACCAGCCAATCTTCCAAAGTATTAAGCATTAAATTGTTAGATAACCTGACAAGTTTCACAGTGTAACAAAAGTGAATTAAGAGGCCATGGGGCCGGGCGCGGTAGTGGTGCATGCCTGTAGTTCCAGCTACCCAGGAGGCTAAAGAATGAGAATCTCTGGAACCCAGGAGAGAACGAGAATCTCTGGAACCCGGAAGGGGAAGTGCAGTGAACTGAGATCGAAACACTGCACTCCAGCCTGGGAGGCAGCGCCAGACTTCGTCTGAAAAAAAAAAAAAAACAAAAACAAAAACAGAGGTGACAGAAGGAGCCAGGCGTAGAGGCTCACGACCTTAATCCCAGCACTCTGGGAGGCCGGGGTGGGCGGATCACTTGATGTCAAGAGTTTAAGACCAGCCTGGCCAACATGGCGAAACCCCGTCTCTACTAAAAACACAAAAATTACCCAGGCATGATGGCGCACACCTGTAAGCCCAACTATTTGGGAGGCTGGGGCAGGGGAATCGCTTGAACCCAGGAGGTGGAGGTTGCAGTGAGCTGAGATCGTGCCACTGCACTACAGCCTGGGTGGCAGAATGAGACGCTATCTCAGAAAAAATGAAAAACAAAAAACGAAAAAACCAAAAATCAAAAAACCAAAAAGCTTTCATGCCAACATCTTTGATGAACATGGATGCAAAAATCCTCAACAAAATATTGGCAAACCGAATACAGCAGCACATCAAAAAGCTTATCTACTACTATCCTGCAGGCTTTATCCCTGGGATGCAGGGTTCGTTCAACACATGCAAATCAATAAATGTGATTCATCACATAAACAGAACTAAGGACAAAAACTATCTGATTATCTCAATACACGCAGTAAAGGCTATCAATAAAATTCAACACCCCTTCGTGTTAAAAATACTCAATAAACGGTCAGGTGTGGTGGCTCAGGCCTGTAATCCCAGCATTCTGGGAGGCCGAGGTGGGCGGATCACGAGGTCAAGAGATCAAGACCATCCTGGCCAATATGGTGAAACCCTGTCTCTACTAAAAATAAAAAAATTAACTGGGTGTGGTGGCGCGTGTCTGCAGTCCCAGCTACTTGGGAGGCTGAGGCAGGAGAATGGCTTGAACCCAGGAGGCGGAGGTTGCAGTGAGCCAAGATCGTGCCACTGCACTCCAGCCTGGTGACAGAGTGAGACTCCGTCTCAAAAAAAAAAAAATTCTCAATAAACTAGGTATTAAAGGAACATACCTCAAAATAATAAGGGCCATCTATGACAAACCCACAGGCAACATCATACAGAATGGGCACAAGCTGGAAGCATTCCCCTGGAAAACCAGCACAAGACAAGGATGCTCTCTCTCACCGTTCCTATTCAACACAGTATTGGAAGTCTTGACTAGAGCAATCAGGCAAGAGAAAGAAATAGACGGCATCCACATAGGAAGACAGGAAGTCAAACTATCCCTGTTTGCAGACAGCATGAGCCAATATCTAGAAAACCCCATAGTCTCTGCCCAAAAGTGCCTTAAGCTGATAAACAACTTCAGCAAAGTCTCAGGATACAAATCAACGTACAAAAATCACCGGCATTCCTATACACCAACAACAGTCAAGCCAAGTGCCAAATCAGGAACACAATCTTATTCACAACAGCTACAAAAAGAATAAAATACCTAGGAATAGAGCTAACCAGGGAGGTTAAAGATCTCTTCAATGTGAATTACAAAACACTGCTGAAAGAAATCAGAGATGACACAAACACATGGAAAAACATTCTACGCTCATGAATTGGATGAATCAGTATTGTTAAAATGGCATACTGCCCAAAGCAATTTATAAATTCAATGATATGCCTATCAAACTACCAATGACATTCTTCACAGAACAAGAAAAAGCTATTTTCAAATTCATATGGAACCAAAAAAGGCCTGGATAGCCAAGACAAACCTAAGCACAAAGAACAAAGATGAAGGCATCATGCTACCTGCCTTCAAATGGTACAGGGCTACAATAACCAAAACAACATGGTCCTGGTACAAAAACACATATATAAACCAATGGAACAGAATAGAGAGCCCAGAAATAAGGCCACACACCTACAGCCATCTGACGTTCGACAAAGCTGACAAAAACACACAATGGGGAAAGGACTCCCTATTCAATAAATGGTGCCAGGATAACTGGCTAGCCATATGCAAGAGACTGAAACTGGACCCCTTCCTTACACCATACACAAAAATCAACTCAAGATGGATCAAAGACTTCAATGTAAAACCCAAAACTATAAAAACCCTGGAAGACAACCTAGCCAATACCATTCTGGACATAGGAATGGCCAAAGACTTCATGACAAAGACGTCAAAGGCAATTACAACAAGAGCCAAAATTGACAAATGGGCTCTAATTAAATGAAACTATAGACAGAGCAAAAGAAACTAGAGACAGAGTAAACAGACAACCTACAGACAGGAGAAAAATTTTGCAAATCATGCATCTGACAAAGGGCTAATATCCAGCATATATAAAGAACTTAAACAAATTTACAAGAAAAAAGCAAACAACCCCATTGAAAAGTTGGCAGTGGATGTGAACAGATGCTTATCAGAAGAAGACATACATGCAGGCAACAAGCATATGAAAAAAAGCACAACATCACTGATCATTAGAGAAATGCAAATCAAAACCACACTGAGATATAATCTCTCACCTGTCAGAATGGCTATTCAAAAGTCAAAAAAATAACAGATGCTGGGGAGGTTGCAGAGAAAAAGGAACATTTATACACTGTTGGTGGGAGTGTAAATTAGTTCAACCACTGTGGAAGACAGTGTGGTGATTCCTCAAAGAGCTAAAAACAGAACTACCATTAGACCCAGCAATTCTATTACTAGGTATATACCCAAAGGAATGTAAACTCTTCTATCATAAAGACACATGTATACATATGTTCACTGCAGCACTATTCACAGGAGCAAAGACATGGAATCGACCCAAATGCCCATCAATGGTAGACTGGATGAAGAAAATGTGGTACATATACACCATGGAGAACTTTGCAGCCATAAAAAAGAGCAAGGTCATGTCCTTTGCAGGAACATGGATGGAGCTGGAGACCATTATCCTTAGCAAACTAATGCAGGAACAGAAAACCTAATACCACATGTTATCACTTATAAGTGGGAGCTAAATGATGAGAACACATGGACATATAGAGGTGAACAACAGATGCTGAGGGCCTACTTGAGGGTGGAGGGTGGGAGGAGGGAGAGGATCAGGAAAAATAACTCATGAGTACTAGGCTTAATACCTGAGTGATGAAATAACCTATACAACAAACCCCCAAGACATGAGTGTACCCATAACAAACCTGCACATGTATCCCTGAACTTAAAATAAAAGTTAAAAAAAGAAGACACAGATAATACAGAGCAAGAGACAATAATAGGATATAATAAACATCTTTAGACAGATAAGACAACGATATTATATAAAGACAGCCAAAATTCAGTTAAAAAAAAAAAAAAGTCAAATGTCAAAGTTGAGTAAATGTGAAACCAAAAGACAAAAAACACATATATTAAACACAGAAAACAAGATTGGTAGAAAAATCATTTTCTTTTTTTTTCTTTTTTTTTTTTTTTTTGAGACGGAGTCTCGCTCTGTCACCCAGGCTGGAGTGCAGTGGCGGGATCTCGGCTCACTGCAAGCTCCGCCTCCCGGGTTCACGCCATTCTCCTTCCTCAGCCTCCCAAGTAGCTGGGACTACAGGCGCCCGCCACTACGCCCGGCTAATTTTTTGTATTTTTAGTAGAGACGGGGTTTCACCGTTTTAGCCGGGATGGTCTCGATCTCCTGACCTCGTGATCCGCCCGCCTCGGCCTCCCAAAGTGCTGGGATTACAGGCGTGAGCCACCGCGCCCGGCCGAAAAATCATTTTCAAAGGTATAAAATGCACCTAACAAAAGCTCCAGAAAAAAAAAAAAGAGAGAGAAAAAGGAGAGGAGAAGTAATCAAAGGAAAATACAAAAAAAATTCCTAGTTCTCATGGATATAAATCTACAGAAAGAAAGGGCCCACTAACAGCCAGCACAATGATCAAGAATAAAAACTACACTAGCGGGACATATGAAATTTCAGAATATCAGAAATTGCCAGGTGGCTGAGTGTGGTGGCCCAGGCCTGTAATCCCAGCACTTTCGGAGGCCAAGGCAGGTGGATCACTTGAGGCCAGGAGTTCGAGACCAGCATGGACAACATGGTGAGACGCTGTCCCTACTAAAAATACAAAGATTAGCTGGGCATGGTGGTGCGCACCTGTAATTCTAGCTGCTTGGGAGGCAGAGGCACAAGAATCGCCTCAACCCAGGAGCCGGTGGTTGCAGTGAGCTGAGATAGGACCCTGCCACTGCAATCTAGCCTGGGTGATGGAGAGTCTCACTCAAACAAACAAACAAGAATAAAGAACAGCTTAGTCAGGCATGGTGGTGTGCACTCAAGTCCTAGTTACTCAGAAAGCTGAGGTGGGAGAATCACCTGAGCTCCAGGAGGTGGGGCTGCAGTGAGCCATGAAGGTGCCACTGCACTCCAATCTAGGCAACAGAGTAAGGGCTTATCTCCAAAAAAAAATAAGAATAAGAATAAAGACCAGCAATATTATACAACATTTCCCTCTCATTCCCCCTTTCTTAGTAGGAATCCACCAAAACAAGACTTAAGAAGGAGAATGGCACAGGATGCAGAAAATCTGACATTGAGCACAATACAAAAACAAAAGAAAGTCCCAGGACAAGAGCTGTGCAGGAGAATACCACTCCCAGGAAGGTGCCAATCCCCCTAAATATTATTAAAATATTAAACATTAAATTGTTAGATTACCTGACAAGTTTCAGTGCAGGAAAAGTGAATTAAGAGGCCATGGGGCCGGGCGCGGTGGTGGTGCACGCCTGTATTCCCAGCTACACGGGAGGCAGAGGCAGAGGCATGAGAATCGCTGGAACCCGGGAGTGGGAAGTGCAGTGAGCCAAGACTGCGCCACTGCACTCCAGTCTGGGCGACTGGGAGACTCCATCTCAAGAAAAAAAGGGGACAAAGAAGTGGGGGGGCGCGGTAGCTCACGACCTTAATCCCAGCACTTTGGGAGGCTGAGGTGGGCAGATCACTTGAGGTCAGGAGTGTGAGACCAGTGTGGTCCATACGGCAAAATCCTGTCTCTACTGAAAACAAAAATACAAAAATTTGCAGTGCATGGTGGCGCACACCTTTAATCCCAGCTAGGCGGGAGGCTGAGGCAGGAGAATTGCTGGAACCCGGGAGGTAAAGGTGCAGTGAGTTGAGATCACGCCACTGCACTCCAGCCTGGTTAACAGCGTGAGACTGTCTCAGAAAATAAAATAAAAGAAAGAGGGCCAGGCGCGGTGGCTCACACCTGTAATCCCAGCACTTTCGGAGGCCGAGGCAGGCAGATCACGGGGTCAGGAGATCGAGACCATCCTGGCTAACATGGTGAAACCCCGTCTCTACTAAAAACACAAAAAAATTAGCCAGGCATGGTAGCAGGTGCCTGTAGTCCCAGCTACTCGGGAGGCTGAGGCAGGAGAATGGTATGATCCTGGGAGGCAGAGCTTGCAGTGAGCCGAGATCACGCCACTGCACTCCAGCCTGGGCAAGAGCGAGACTCTGTCTCAAAAAAAAAAAAAAAAAAAAAGGCTCTGGAAGGGTGTGAGTGGCTATAGGTTTTAATAAACTTTGCTGACTTATAAAATGAAAATTTTAATTGGACAATACATAGAAAAAGAGAAAAGGAAATGTATCCATCATAATACATTAATACAGTACCATGCTCACCCGTGAACAGTATTACGGTCATCATAAAATCACTGAATATGATTTACTGAAAAATTCAGATATAACTATATTGAGAGATGCTTAAAAGGAAGAAAAAGCTTTAAGAAAACCAAAATCCTCATCTTCCTTGACAGAAAATCACTAGGTAATGGCAAAACTTGATGATTCAAGAGACAACATATGTACATATGAGTTTTAAAAATTGAGAAACGTGGAATTATTAGAAAAACAGCTATACAACTGAAAGTACATGCTTTCAGTTTTTTAGCTTGAAAAAACAGGGAGTATATAGGTACCTGCATGTGCTCACACATACACACCTATCTCTACCTCTCTCTCTCTCCTTCACTCCCTCCCTTCAAGAGACTGTGCTTAAGTAACTTAAAGGCTTTTCAAGTTGTTTGACTTTAAAAAAAGATAAGTGTATTGTTTAGGTTAAAAAATAGTGAAGGAGATGTAAACTAATGTAACAGCAATGGGGTCTGGGCACAGTGGCTCACGCCTTTAATCCCAGCACTTTGGTAGACTGAGATGAGGCCAGGAGTTCGAGACCAGCCTGGCCAACATGGTGAAATCTCGTCTCTACTAAAATTACAAAAATTACAAAAATTAGCTGGGAGTGGTGGGGCACACCTGCAATCCCAGCTACTTGGGATGCTGAGGCAGGAGAATCACTTGATCCTGAGTGGCAGAGGTTGCAGTGAGCAGAGATGGCACCACTGCTCTCCAGTCTGGGCCACAGTGCTAGACTCTGTCTCAAAAAAATAAAAAATAAATAATAAATAATAAAAATGGGAATGTATATAAGTGGTGGAGTGACATGTGGATTGTCGGGGACAACTATAAGAATAAATAAAAACAAAATAAAACTTCTTCAGGGTTCTGGCTTAGACAATGATATCTTTGTTTTTCAAATGCAGTCATTCCTAACAGTAATTTTACTATATTAAAATAATGCCATTTCTACTTTTGACTCAAAATTAAGGCCATCCTTTAGCATGGCCTTAACATGTAAAACTTGAAAACAATGATTTGAGGACAGTACACAAACAAAACCTCTTAACAAATTGGTTCCATTCTTTTAAAACATTTTGATTTCCTCTTCTATACAGATATGCCAGATATCATGGCTTGGCATAACATTGTTTGATGTTCAGTAGTCTGCCTACCAAACAAAGAAACCCCCAAAACAAAAAATCTTCAAATTCTCCCAAATGTAACCAATATTATGAACTGACCCTTTTTTCCAAATACCTCAAAAAACATTACATAGAATGTTGTAAGTCAGACAATTAAAAGTATTAATTCATATTTCAGTATTTGTATATTCTGAATACTTGAAAATACCGCACTCATTGTGTCCTTTGAAGTCCTCATTCGTACTGCTTCTTCCACCTGGAATACCCTTTCTCCTTACCTTATACTGTCCACATCATTCGAGTATAGTGGAAAGAGCATGCACTTGACATCAAATTGAATAGTTCAAATCCTCACTGCACCATTTTTAATTATGTGACTCTGGAGAAATTACTTGAATCTATTTTCTCACCTCTAACATGAGCACAATATCTACCTAATAGAAGTGGTAACAGAGATTCAGGAAAATGCCATATTAATAAGTATCTAACTTCAAACAGATATCCCCCCAAATTGATTCTTTGCCCCTTTCCAACTCTTAGTTCAATTATAACTTCCTCAGCAAACCATTAGATTTGTTTTTCTTTAACCTCTTACTGCACTGACAGTCTATGCTATGCAATTCAAGATTTAATATATATGATCTCAAACTGCCTATTTCTTAGTGTGCCTTAATTATACATGTTCAACTCCAAAGTAAGCTCCTTGAGAGTGAAAAACATATTTTCTTTCTTTGTATTTCCTCCTACACACAGTAGTGTATTGGATATGTAGTAGGTACTTAACACATGATTATCTATGGGGTAAGAAACTAGGTAAAGCCAGGCAATGCCAGATTTAAAGAAACAAGGGAGACTCATATATACTGATGATTGAAAAAGTAATTTACATTCATGTTGACACCACTGTGATATTATGGGAACAAATAAATAGGTCTTCCCCATTCTTTTAAACTGAGTACTGTCATTGTTAATTTCAAGATATGCTACCGAGCAAAAAATTTTAAAAGGCACATAATAACATATATAGTATGATCTTATTTAGAAATTATTTTTTGTCTATGCACAGAAAAAAGTTTGTGATTATGTATACTAAACCTACAACAGTAGTTATCGCTGGGGATGAGAAGGAAACATTTCATATCTATTACTGACATGTTTACTGTATTTTTTTTTAAACTAGGAATATGTATTACTTTAATAAATATTTGTTTTGGCCAGGCACAGTGGCTCACGCCTGTAATCCCAGCACTTTGGGAGGCCGATGTGGGTGGATCACTTGAGGTCAGTTCGAGACCACTCTGGCCAACATGGTGAAACCCCATCTCTACTAAAAATACAAAAATTAGCCAGGCATGGTGGCGGGTGCCTGTAATCCAAGCTACTTGGGAGGCTGAGGCATGAGAATTGCTTGAACCTGGGCAGCGGAGCTTGCTGTGAGCCGAGATCACGCCACTGCACTCCAGCTTAGGTGACAGAGTGAGAATCTGTCTTAAAAATAAACAGGCCAGGTGCGGTGGCTCACGCCTGTAATCCCAGCACTTTGGGAGGCTGAGGCGGGTGGATCACGAAGTCAGGAGATTGAGACCATCCTGGCTAACACAGTAAAACCCCGTCTCTACTGAAAATACAAAAAATTAGCTGGGTGTGGTGGTGGGCGCCTGTAATCCCAGCTACTCAGGAGGCTGAGGCAGGAGAATGGCGTGAACCCAGGAGGTGGAGCTTGCAGTGAGCTGAGATCATGCCACTGCACTCCAGCCTGGGCGACACAGTGAGACTCTGTCTCAAAAAAATAAAAATAAATAAATAAATAATATTTGTTTTTAAGAAAATGTGCCCACTTCTGTCTCTAATCTTTTCTTTTGAAAGGTTTACAGTACAAAAACCATGCCTATTAGTATCAACTACAGCAGAAATACTTACTTTTTGGTTGAAAAGGTTTGTCGTCATCCATGAAGTTGCAAGGTCACCTAAGTACGAACACATGACATCAATCAATGTTATGAGTCACTTTAAGTAACACCAAGTATTGAAACATGAAACCTGAGATCCAAAATCTTTGGGTCTAATTTTGATCTCCAGCACACTCACCATATGACTCCAGACAAGACAGTAAGCTAGGTCTCAGTTTTCCACCCTCTAAAATAAAGATGTCTACTACTAGTGTGGATTTTGTTAAATTAAATGCACATAAATTTAGTCTTTTTCTCCTACAAAAGCCCACCTTTTGAGTTTGATATGTTTAATACACACAGGTAATTCATTTTCCATAATTGGTTCATTTCCAAATGAATACATTTAACATATAGTTAAATGTATTAAACATTTACTACTTGAAAAAATCGGAGTTATCAGATTACAAATAAACTTCAAAAGGGATCTTTATGCAAAAATGAGTAATTATCCTGTAATATATGTTTTAGTAAATCTGAATTCTGAAATGCTAAGTGACATTAATCTTTAACTGATTCCTATTCTTCACATTTCAGAAATATTATTACTATAAGAAAACACATACATTTAGATATTTTTAGTTTTTTGAAAAGTAACAGAAAAGTAATTGGATAAATTGCGTAGTAAAACAATTCATTATAAAGTAACTGTTCATTGCCTTTTGTGCTCAGGGTAGTATGCCAAGTTCTAGGGAAAATACAAAGATGAATAAGCCATAGTCCTTGCCTTCAGAAGTTTACAATCCGTCTACGGTTCTTTGGGCTTTTCAAAAAGCTGTTACATTAAACGTTATCAAAAAAAATGTGAATTGCTTTCTAAAACAGGAATTTGTATCCTGAGTTCTCGTGCACTGAACATACCATATATTCTACATACAGAATAAACTTTTAAAATACTATTTAAGTTATAAAACAAAAAAGGTAAAAATCAGACATCAGAAATCTAAAGTAGGATATACAGAGCTAATTCAGTCTCCACATTTGTCTTTATCTTCCAACTGGCAAAAGCAAACTCCCTAATTCCAAATTATTTGGACGGAATTAGAGCAAAGGGGAAAATATTACTTTAACTCCAAAAGAAGTTACTTGTATAAATGTTTGGATTTCTACTACAAGAGTCTCTAGTGAATTCTGTAATTCAGTAAATGTCCCTAGTTTTGAGGTCTGACTATTCAAATCTCTTTAAACTCAACTACTTGGATAGTTAGTGCTTGTTCCTAAATTAGAATTAAGGTAATACATATGCCACGCAGATAAATACATGACCATTCTTGCTCAACATTAAGGATCTATTGCTACCAAGAGCACAGAATTTTTTAAAGTCACAATTGCACAGCCTATGAGATTCATATAACACTTTTTTTTTTTAATTTTTATGTTTTAGAGACAAGGTCTCACTATGTTGCCCAGGCTGGAGTGCCGTGGCTATTCACAAGCACGACTCATCATCGCATACCACAGCCTTGAACTCTTGGGCTCAAGTGATCCTCCCAAGTAACTGGGACTACAGGTGAACATCACTGTGCCTGGCTTAACACTTTAATTAAATGATCATATAAAATATTTATTGGCATAACCATCCTAAAATGATTACTAAATGTACAAGTAGTCTATATAAACAAGTCATATTTACTGCCTATGGCTATAGAGATAGCTTTTGAGGCCCAATGCAGCCACCAAAGAGTCTCAATTGGTACGCTCATAAATGCTCTAAAAAGTCAGAAATCTTTAGATGCCATTAGAGCCATAACTTCAGTCCAAAGCTGTGCTATCCAATGAGGTAA
The DNA here is from genome assembly GCF_000001405.40 of Homo sapiens. Classification (NCBI taxonomy): domain Eukaryota; kingdom Metazoa; phylum Chordata; class Mammalia; order Primates; family Hominidae; genus Homo; species Homo sapiens. The sequence continues at coordinate 130,262,232 of NC_000023.11, forward strand.
CCACTAGCCACATGTGGCTACTTCAACTTAATTAAAAAATAAAAATCCAGCTCCTCAGTCACTCTAGCCATATTTCAAGTGCTCAAAAGCTACAAGTGGTTAGCGACTACTATAGTGGATGATGCAGCTATGGAATTTCTATGGGACGACACGTCAAAAGAATACTACCATACTTAGTTCCAGTTTTTAAAATAAACAAATACATACAACTTCATGGATTCCTTTGGGGAAGGATTGCAGCCTTCTAAAACTATCACAAAAACCCCTAAAGTCACCACATCAGAATTTTGGTGGCAAGGGAAGGAATTGTATGGGGGATTAAGTCAGCTGTCAGAGAAATGGAATATCCAGCAAAGATATGCAGTGGGCATCTTAAGAGCTCCTATAATAGCAACTCCAGAGGGTCTCTAGGTTCTGCAACTCAGAGTTGGCATCAAAATAGGCACAAGAGGAAAGAACACCCCATATTTCAGCTACCGATTCAGGTGGAGACACTATACCCATGTTTAATACACTGTTCTTCTGAGGGAAAAAAAATGAATTCTGAGTAACTGACTGAGGAAACACCTACTGAACACAACCCATTCATTTTTTTGAAGACTGCCTGTATAAATAATTATAATTCCTATTTATTTTTTGGTTTCAGCTTTTATGTATCTAAAATTCAACTATGTTTTACAAGAGTTTATTCTACAAAAAGTTAAAAATAGATTGACATAGTTAAAATGGTAAATAGTATATGTATTTTGCCACAATAAAAAAACATTTAAATAGTTAATGGATGTCACTTTACACCCACTAGGATGGCTAGAATTAAAAGACAGATAATCACAAGTGTTGGCAAGGATGTAGAGAAATTGGAACCCTCATACACTGCTGGTGGGAATGTGAAATGGTACAGCCACTGTGGAAAACACTTTGGCAGTTCCTCACAAAGTTAAACAGAGTTATCACATGACCTAGCAATTACACTCCTAGAGACAGACAATTGAAAACATATGTCCACACAAAAATTTGCACACAAATGTTCACAGTGGCATTATTCACAATAGCCAAAAAGTGGAAACAACTCAAATACCCATCAACTCAGGAATGGACAAACAAAATGTGATATATCCATACAACTGAACACTATTTGGTAATAAAAAGGAATGAAGCACTGATACATGTTACAATACTAATGGGCCTTGAGAACATTATACTAAGTGAAGGAAGACAGTCAAAAAGACCACATATTGTATGATTTCATTCATACCAAATGTCTAGAAATGTCAAATCCATAGACAGAAAGTAGAGTAGAGGCTGCATATGGTTGGGAGGGTTGGTGGGAAATGGGGAGTGACTGTTAATGGGTACAGGGTTTCTTACTGGGGTGATGAAAATGTTCTAAAATTAACTGTGGTGCTAGCTGCACAACTGTGAATATACTAAAACCACTGAATTGCACACTTCAAATGAGTAAATTGTATGCTATATGAATTGTATCTCAATAATGCCATTAAGAAAATAATAAGGCCAGGTGCGGTGGCTTATGCCTGTAATCCCAGCACTTTGGGAGGCAGAGGCAGGTGCATTGCAAAGTCAGGAGTTCGAGACCAGCCTGACCAACATGGTGAAACCCCGTCTCTACTAAAAATATAAAAATTAGCTGGGCGTGGTAGCATGTGCCTGTAATCTCAGCTACTCAGGAGGCTGAGGCAGGAGAATAGCTTGAACCTGGGAGGTGGAGGCTGCAGTGAGCCGAGATTGCACCACTGCATTCCAGCCTGGGAGACAGAGTGAGACACCATCTCAAAAAAAAAAAAAAAAAGAAAAGAAAGAAAGAAAGAAAGAAAGAAAGAAAAAATAATCAGCTGGTAGGATTTAAGCTTGGGAGTGATGTGGAGAAAAAGTACCAAAGAAAGAACCTAACAAAGATAGCAAAGCTGTACGATTCTGGAGTAGAGAAAGGGAGAGTAGGTAAACATTCGACCGGTCCTGATGATACCATTTAAATACCTGAAGCTAACCATGCCTGAAGCAAATTATCCACAACAGCTTTTCAGTTAAGAGAGAAAATAATTATTCATTTTTGGTTTAATCTACTTTGAGCTAGGTTTCTGGCAACTGTGTTTAAAACTACTAATAAATTCATCAATGGATTACCCCATTTTTCAAACCAGGGTCAACAGACCTCTCAGGAAAATAGATATATTCCAGGTTGTGCAAGAGAGCTCTATAACAATATAATTCTCTTTTTGTTTTGCTATTTAACTTTTGCTATCTAAAAAAATTAACATAAGCCTGCTCTGGGGATTCTCTGGGTGACCAACCTTATATACATAAATGACGCATTTGCACTAAATGAAGGGCAATGACCATATGGTTAGCTATAGAAATGAAGGTACTGAAAGGGTTCAAATAAAAAACCTTGCTATTATTTATATATAAGTAGGGAATATATTATATATATAGTATATATCAGTAGGTATGAAAAACTCAATAGAAGTAGGTAGGCAGTGACTCAGCAAAATACTCATTCAATATATGAAAGCTGATTCAAATGGCAATGGTTTTGTAGTTTCACTTGACTGCTTTGTTTTATGGTTGTGTAAGAACTCTGAGAATGTTTCAAACATTTTAAGTTCAGGGGTGTCTGTGAAATGTTTTTCTTATAACAAGAATTGGTATAGTACGCAAATCCAAGAAAACTGGATTATATCTTGGTTCCTTAGACAATTTGACTGGCATCTCAACGATTCAAACTTTCAAAGTAGGTTTTGGGAACAAATTACATACAATTCAGAAAGAAAATAGAGGCTCTTCATATTTTCTTTGTCCAAGTTTTTATACTATGCAAATTATCTTTTTTTCTGAAAGCCTGAACACATGAAGTCCAGGTACATTTTGAGAAGACATTTAATAACTTTATTATTTTATCCTTATTCATTTTCAACTTTTGTCTCTGTTAATTTTCATACTTCATCTATTTGTAGAAAATAGCTGGTTTACACTAAGATTTAAAACTCACTAGCATAATACTTTGCAAAGTTTGCCTATATTTTAAAACATTTTATGTCAGCTTTGGGATGGGGCACTATAATAAAATATACTTCTACAAAGAAGTTTTACTTTATACTCAGGGTATAGACTTTATAGGCATACGCTTTTATTATAATTCATATGTAAAAGATATAATATGGGGAAAAGACTAATGTACAATTACTGGCCTTTTGAAGCCAATCTGTATAGTAAATATTTTATGTAAGTTTCATAAGATATTCTATAATCACTAATTCCTAAAGTAACCTCAAGAAGTATGTATTATTAATCAATTTGCTTTTTATACGAGTAAAACTTATCCACCAGGGAAAATGTAAGTAAGTGCATTGATGGGAACACTGGACATAGGGGCTGACAACCTGAGTGGGAATTTCTGGTCTACCACTTCCTGGCTGCCAAATCTGTAAGTATAATCAACCTCTGTAAGCCTTAGTTTTTCTATCTGTAAAACGAAAACAGTAATACCTTCCTTGCAGCACTACTGTGAACATTAAATAAAGCAAGTGAAATATTCCTCAACAGTACTTTGCACTATTTTTCTCAACTTCTCCTTCCTTACCTGAAGTCATACCGTTAAGTTGATGAATACAAGCACTTAAAGAAAACAAATCTAGTTCACATGAAGAGCTCAATTAAAATCATATCATAAATAAACTGCATCACATCAGTAGTTCTCAAACTCTTTTATCCCAGGATTTCTTTTCACTTAAAACTTAATGAGAACCCCAATGAGCTTTATGTTTATATGGACAATATGTGTTGATATTTCCCATATTAGAAATTGAAACTGAGACAGATTTCAAATGTTTTTATTTAAAATATTTATAAGCCCATTACAAGTTAATAAAAATACTTTTAATGAGAATAACTTTTAAAAAACAAATTTAATGAGAAAAGTAATATTGATTTACATTTTTGCAAATGTCTTTAATATTTATCTTAATAAAAAGCAGCTGGATTCTCTTATTCTCTGGGGAAAAATGCTGTATGATCTCACATGTGGAATCTAAACAACTTTATCTCATAGAAACAGAGAGTAGAAAGATGGTTACCAGAGACTTGGGAGTTCAGGGGTGGGACAGATGGGGAAAAGATGTTGATCCAAGAGTACGAAGTTTAATTAGATGGGAGGAATAAGTTTTAGTTATCTATTGCACTACAAGGTGACCACAGCTAATACTAATAATGTATTGTATATTTCAAAATTGCTAAAATAATTTCTAACATTCTCATAACAAAATGATAAATTGGTAAGGTGATGGCTATGTTAGCCTCTTTCAATAATGTATACATATCAAAACATCACATTGTACCCCATAAATACGCACAATTATCATTTGCCAATAAAAAGTTAAAAAGGAAACAAAAAAATGAAAAAAAAAACTCCTTAAAAGAAAACTACTTTGCAGCAAATGAATAAAGTCTAGACGAATACTCTACTTTCAGGAGTCATTTCTACAGTTCATTACTAGTGATGTTTCTCTGAATGTACAGAGCACTGGGAAAAAAAGTCTAGACGTATATATTTGATTCAAATTACTGAGGAAGGCTGGGCATGGAGGCTCACTCCTGTAATCCCAGCACTTTGGGAGGCCGAGGTGGGTGGATCACGAGGTCAGGCGTTCCAGACCAGCCTGGCCAACATAGTGAAACCCCATCTCTACTAAAATTACAAAAATTAGCCGGGCGTGGTGGCAAGGGCCTGTAACCCCAGCTGCTTAGGAGGCTGAGGTAGCAGAATCGGTTGAACCCGGGAGGCAGAGGTTGCAGTGAGCTGAGATCGCGCCACTGCACTCCAGCCCGGGCGACATTGCGAGACTCCGTCTCAAAAAAAAAAAAAAAAAATTACTGAGGAAATCAAATCTTTTTGAATCACTACTTAAGACAAACTCACTGAAAACCAAGTAGCTGAGATTTGGAGTTATTCAACCTAAGAACTTTTTCAATAGGATATTCTTCAACTCTTCAACATGCTTAGAAATAATATTAAAGTATGAAAAAGTCGAAAAAAAATGAAGCCTTAAAAATAAAAATATAAAGGAAAAAGGAATTGAATAATACTTCTTAAAACTTTTAAGTGAGCCTCCTTGCTTATTCTCCGTGACCACCTCACTCTCACAAAAAGTGAGACATAATATACCAAATTGAACATTGGATGAGGGTCAGAAAGCCTAGGTTTAAGAATTGGTTCCATCACTTCCTAGGCACATGACCTCGGTAAAGTTCTGTCCTTGAGGCTGTTTCCTCATCTTCAAACAGTTCTAACGACACCCTACAGCCCATCTCAAAAGGGGTGCTACCAATGAAATATACAAATGCAAGATACGATTATAATGGAATCTGTACTGCTGTAGAAACATCAAAGGTACACAGCCCTAATTTTACAAGCAAATCAGTGCCTTTGTAGGCTCAGTGAAGTTTCTGCGTAAGGAGATTAAGTTTGCACAGTAACCCCCAAACCAGGACACCTCACAAATACTAAGAGGAGACTTTTGCAGTTTAAAACTCTACTTCTAGGTTTCTATTTTATGTTTAGGGGCACTAAAAGACATTACAACTCATAGTCCAAACCTGAAAACAATAGTAAAAAAAATTTAAGGTCGCAGATTTAAAAAACTCCACAAAACTAACAAATCTTTCCAAACAAAGAGAATCCCCTGGATGAAGGTCTCCCGTGCTTGCAGAAGCTGGTTCACTTGACAATTTCCTCTCGAATTTCTCCTTAAAAAAGCATTAAAACCTGAGAGAAGTTGAAAGGAACTCCCTCCATCTCTAGAGCAGGAGTATACCTCAGCATAATTTTTTCCATCTCTTTAAGTAAAACCTGCAAACCTCCTAGTTAGAATATAGTGTATTTAACTCCACGTTTCTCCTCAGGGCTCTTATCCTCTAGACAATAACGGAATAGAGCACGATTTCTGTGACAGAGAAGGGAAGTCCCTTTGGCCAGAACAAGGTTGTGGGCATGGAATGACCGGTCCTGTGTGGGGGGAACCTGCGCAGAAAGAAGGGGTCACAGGGTCTCTGATGCCTGAAAGTTCGGAATCCCCTCAAGTCTCTTTTCGTTTGATTGAAGAGACTTGAGGGTGGGCGGGTCTCCGTCAAACATCAGTATCAACCGTACAAAAGACGAAAGGGAGTTGCCTCCAGAATGAAAAGCCCAAACCGGGTTGGAAACAGACCGACAGGACTCAGGAGGTGAGAAGGCTGCCGCAGCTGCCGCGGCCCGCGAAACCACTGCCCGCCGCGGGCCGCCAGGCTCTACCTCCAGAAAACCCTCCCCCTTCAGGGCCCGGCGCAAGATGGTGGCCCACCAGCTACCACGCCGCCAAGCCTGTCCCCTCCCCCGCACCCCCGTCGATCCGCACCGGCATAGAGACCCTCAGCCAGCCGCCCTCAGAACCGCCCTCTGGGGAAGGCTGCCTCGGCCGCGCGGGAGAGCTGCTGCCTCCTTCCGCGCGGCACAGGCGGGGGCGGGGGCCGCTTACCGAGAGCAGAGCAGATCGGTCTGACTGGGGTTCGGATAAGGAGGAGGAGAAAGAGGAGGAGGAAAGGGAGGAGCGCGAAAAACCTCAGGCGACAGCCTCAGCAACAGCGACTCCCCCGGAGACTTCCAGCGCGGAACCGGCGTCTCAGCCGGGGGCAGAAGTATATAACTGCACGCGCTGCCTCATGGGTAGACGCCGACTCCACCCCCTGAACATCCGGGGCCTTTTAACCGCCCACGGACGGACGGCTGGTACTTACATGTGCACATGTGCAGCTACTTTACTTACCGTCGAAGGCAGCGGAGGAAGTGTAATTGACTAGCGTGGATGCAGCTTTTCTAAGCAAACGCTCGATTTAACCTGGAGTTGTCATCCCAAAAAATACATTGTACCTGACTACAGAGAAACATGAATTCTGGGTCTTCCTTGTGTGTGAGGGCTAAAGACACGAGTTAAAAATATAAATATATTGTTTTCTGGAAATACTGTACTTGAAACACGTCTCAAAATACTAGTTATTTTTACCTTTTGTTTTAAACATATGGTTTTGCTTGTCTCTCTGTTACTTCTAATTGCCATATGGATGCCTATAGTAGGTACAAAAAATGCTAAGGAAAAATACATTTACTCTTACACACAAGGAAGACCCAGAATTCATGTTTCTCTGTAGTCAGGTACAATGTATTTTGTGGGATGACAACTCCAGGTTAAATCGAGCGTTTGCTTAGAAAAGCTGCATCCACGCTAGTCAATTACACTTCCTCCGCTGCCTTCGACGGTAAGTAAAGTAGCTGCACTTGTGCACATGTAAGTACCAGCCGTCCGTCCGTGGGCTGGCCGCGGTGGCTCACACTTCTAATTCCAGCACTTTGGGAGGCTGAGGTGGGTGGATCACCTGGGGTGAGGAGTTTGAGACCACTTCCCTTTCCTCCTCGCCTTTCTCCTCCTCCTTCTCTGAACCCCAGTCAGCCTGACCAACATAGTGAAACCCCATCTTTACTAAAAATACAAAATTAGCAGGGTGTGGTGGCACATGCCTGTAATCCCAGCTACTTGGGAGGCTGAGGCGGGAGAATCACTGGAACTTGTAAATACATTTACAAGAAAAACACTTGCCAAAATACTGCTTACAGAAACATTTTCTAGACATTGTGCTTTGAACTGTAAAAGTTTCTTCTCCCAAATTTCTCCACAAGGTTTATAGCAGTACTGGTTCATCTCTCTTTTTCTTTTTTGAGACGGAGTTTCGCTCTTGTTGCCCAGGCAGGAGTCCAATGGCGTGATCTTGGCTCACCGCAACCTCCGCTTCCCGGGTTCAAGTGACTCTCCTGCCTCAGCCTCCCGAGTAGCTGGGATTACAGGCATGCGCCACCACACCCGACTAATTTTGTATTTTTAGTAGAGACGGGGTTTCTCCATGTTGGTCAGGCTGGTCTCGAACTCCCCACCTCAGGTGATCTGCCTGCCTCGGCCTCCCAAAGTGCTGGGATTACAAGCGTGAGCCACCACGCCTGGCCCAATTCATCTCTTAAGAGTTGCCCAGACTGAAAATATCGTGTGGCTTACATAACACACACGTAAATCCTGTCACTGAATCCTACCATTTTTTTTATTTGAGCTAGTTTTTTCTTTCTTATTTATACAGCTATTTGCTTCTGACCCTGAAAATAAGCTTTACAGGAAAAGACAGAGAATAATCAAAATAAAACAGTGAAAAGTCCCAAAATCTTGGAGCATGCATAGTTGGTCCCTGCTTCCGGTCAGGGTGATAAGAAAGTCCGGGCACCTTTTCCTTTGATGCCAGCAGGAAATTTAAAACTAGCAAATCTACAGCCGCATGACTCTGCTTTTGGCTGTAGTGGGAAATTTAAAACTTGTGATTCTCCAGCCTGCCTCCTTCTTTGGCATTGGTGGGAAATTTAAAACTGGCAACAAAAATTGGTGCAGTTGAGAAATTTAAAACTTGCAAATCTACAGCCTGTGCGGCATTTTCACCAGCCCCACTTCCTAGATGCTATAAAGGCCCATCCAACTTCCTCTGCCTCTGAAACCAGCCCAGACCTGTTTGCAGCACCCAGCCCTCCCTCACTTACCCCCACTAGTCCCCAGGGTAATAAAATTTCTCTCAAATTCTCTTGTCATATCTAGTGTCACGAGTGTCCACATCCAACCTAAAATTACGAGGAGGAATGGTCAAACTGCCTCAGCAGGATGACCAGAAAACACTTATACACCCAAATTTCAATCTAACTTATTCTTTTTTTCGTGAAAAATACAGCCAAGAAGACCAGCGGGCTCTGGTCAGTTGACTGTTTGCAGACTCTGGTCAGCAAATTTTCTATCAAGATGAAAATTTGAGAAACTAAATAATAACAATAATTAAAAGGATGTCTGGTGAGAATGGAATTAACACATGGGAAATTGTTTGGGTGATTTTTAACTGTTCTTAAAACTCTTCCCCAGGCTTCTAGAAAACCACTCTATATTGGTTCTCTTGACTGGCTGGCCGTACGTTCTTTTTTATTTTTCAGCACTTCCAGTAAATGAGGGCTTACTCCTGTATAGGTTTTTCTGACAATTTTAAAAATTGAGACAAATTTACATGAAAAAAATCTACCATTTTGAAGTGTACAATAGAGTGATTTCTTATATATATTTACAGTATTGTGCAACCATCACTGCTATCTAATTCCAGAACATTTTCATTACCTCCCACCAAAAAACCTGCAAACCTATTAGTAGCCACTCCTAATTTCCTCCTATTTGTATCCTCTCACCAATCATTAATTAACGTTTTTTATCTATGGATTTGCCTATTCTGGATATCACATATAAATGTAATCATACAGTATGTAGTTTTTCATGTCTAGCTTCTTTCATTCACTATAATGTTTCTGAAGTAGGTTCATCCATGTTGTAGCACATATCAATTCGTTCTTTTCTCTCTTTCTCCCTCCCTCCCTCCCTCCCTCCCTCCCTCCCTCCCTCCCTTCCTTCCTTCCTTCCTTCCTTCCTTCCTTTCCAGATGGCCTCTGGCTCTGGCTCTTAGGCTGGAGTGCAGTGGGGCGATTTCCAGTCACGGCAACCTCCACCTCCCAGGTTCAAGCAATTCTCCTGCCTCAGCCTCCTGAGTTGCTGAGATTACAGGGTCCTGCAACCATGCCAAGCTAATTTTTGTATTTTTAGTAGAGTTGGGGCTTCATCATGTTGGCCAGGCTGGTCTTGAACTCCTGACCTCAAGTGATCCACCCGCCTCAACCTTCCAAAATGTTGGGATTACAGGCTTGAGCCACTGCACCCGGGCCACTTCATTTCTTTCTATTATTGCATGATATTTCATTGTACAAACATATCACTTTCTGTTTATCCATTCTTCAGTTGATGGACGTTTGGGTTGTTTCTGCTTTTGGGCTGTTATAAATAATGTAGCCATGAATATCAGTGTATTAGTCTGTTCTCACACTGCTCTTAAGATATTACCTGAGATTGGGTGATTTATACACAAAGGAGATTTAATTGACTCACAGTTCCGCATGGCTGGGAAAGCCTCATGAAACTTATACCATGAAGGAAGAGAAAGCAGGCACCCTCTTTACAAGGTGGCAGGAGAGAGAAAGAGTGTGTGTAGGAGGAAATGTCAAACACTTATAAAACCATCAGATCTTGTGAGAACTCACTCATTATCATGAGAACAGCATGGGAGAAACTGCCCCTATGATCTAATCACCTCCCACCAGGTCTCTCCCTCAAAACCTGGGGATTACAATTCAAGATGAGATTTGGGTGGGGACACGAAGTCTAACCATATCAACTGGTGTACAAGAATTTTTTTTTTTTTTTGAGATGGAGTTTCACTCTTCTTGCCCAGGCTGGAGTGCAGTGGCATGATCTTGGCTGACTGCAACCTCTGCCTCCTGAGTTCAAGCGATTCTCCTGCCTCAGCCTCCTGAGTAGCTGGGATTACAGGCACCCACCACCATGCTCGGCTAATTTTTTGTATTTTTAGTAGAGACGGGGTTTCAACATGTTGGCCAGGCTGGTCTCGAACTCCTGACATCAGGTGATCCACCTGCCTAGGCCTCCCAAAGTGCAGGGATTACAGACATGAGCCACCATGCCCAGCCGGTGTACAAGATTTTTAAAAAAGCTTTATGAAGATAAAGTTCACATAAGGTACAATTTATGCACTTAAGTGTGCAATTCAGTGGTTTTTAGTATATTCACAGGTACATGCAACCATCACCACAGTCAATTTTAGAACACTTTCATCACCCTAAAAAGAAATTCTGGCCAGGCGCGGTGGCTCACACCTGTAATCCCAGCACTTTGGGAGGCCAAGGCGGGCGGATCACGAGGTCAGGAGATCGAGACCATCCTGGCTAACACAGTGAAACCCTGTCTCTACTAAAAATACAAAAAATTAGCCGGGTTTGGTGGCGGGTGCCTGTAGTCCCAGCTACTCGGGAGGCTGAGGCAGGAGAATGGTGTGAACCTGGGAGGTGGAGCTTGCAGTGAGCCGAGATCATGCCACTGCACTCCAGCCTGGGCGACAGACCAAGACTCCATCTCAAAACAAAGAAAAAAAAAAGAAATTCTATGCACATTCGTCACAACATCCTTACTCACCCTACCCCTCTTTTCAGCTACCCTCCTGCCCTACACAACTACTAGTCTACCTTTTGTCTGTGCAGATTTCCCTGTTCTTTATATTTCATATAAATGGAAGTATATAATATGCTGTCTTTTGTGACTGGCTTCTTTCCCTTAGCATAATGTTTTCAAGGTTCACTCACGTTGTAGCATGTGCTTATTTCCTTTTTATGGCTGAATAATATTCCATTGCATGGCTATAGTATATTTTGTTTATTCATTTGTCAGTTGATGAACATTTGTGTTGTTTCCACTTTTGGGCTATTATGAATATTCCTGTGCAAATATTTGGGTGAAAATATATTTTCAATTCTCTTTGTTATATAACTAGGAGTGTAATTGCTAAGCAATATGATAACTATAATTAACTTTTTGATGGACTGTTAAACTTTTTCACCATGGCTGCACAGTTTTTCATTCCCACTAGGATTTATTATGATTCCAATTTCTCCACAAACTCACCAACACTTGCTATTTTCCATTTTTGTTTTTCTTATTTTGGTTATAGCCATCCTAATGAGTGTAAAGTAGTACCATGGTTTCTGCTGGCTTCTGATCTCAGAATTTCTGCCACTTCCTACAGTCAGTCCACTGGTCCCGGGTTTTACCCTTTGATCTGCTGTGGTGGGCCCACTTGTTCTCCATTCAACATCCGTGTTACACAGGAACTGGGAACAAGTCAGGGAAACTAAACCTCAGATCTGCCATCTGCCTGAGCCTGAGGCATTTTCATTTTTATTTTGATATCACTGTGCTTTAGGATGGTACACAGAAGCCCAATAAACAGCCTCTTTCTAGAGCAAGATGGCATGGGTGAGGAGTTGGAGGAGGTAAAGGAAGAGAGGGGTTGGAGAGGACGGAGGAGAGGACGGGGGATGAGGATGAGAAGGGATAGAAGGAAGGAGAAGAGATAAGAAAGGATGGAGAGGAAGGGAGAATTATCCATGACCTGAAAAAGTTGAACCCCTTCCTCTAGTTACATTTCCAGTTTCTTTCCTGGCCTGAATTTGGGTGGAGCCTGATGCCCAAGGCAGGTGTTTTGTGTACATCTAGCAGCTATAATGTTACCAAGCACAGAGAAGTTTGAAGCAAGTCACATAGGAATATTTATTGGGCTTCCCAGGCAGCATCATGAAGTGGGCTGACAGATTGTGTTTTCAATTTACTCTACGTATTATTATTAAAAAGTCCTTAAGATTGTTGTTTTGTTTTCCTTTTTCTCAGTATGAGTATGGATCCTCAGTGGCTTTTGGTCAACTCATTCTCCTTCTGAATATGGAGACAGTTTGGAAGCAAATACACGAAGTGCTGAACCCCTAGTCATATGCCCTCAAAAGTGACATTGGCAAAATGTTAAAACTAACTCTTGTTATCTTTCTTTTAAATATCTTGGTCAGGCGTGGTGGCTCATGCCTGTAATCCCAGCAGTTTGGGAGGGCAAGGTGGGAGGACCCTGAAGTCAGGAGTTTTGAGACCAGCCTGGCCAACATGGTGAAACCCTGTCTCTATTAAAAATACAAAAATTAGCTGGGCATGATGGTGGGTGCCTGTAATCTCAGCTACTTGGGAGGCTGAGGCAGGAGAATCACTCGAACTGGGAGGTGGAGGTTGCAGTGAGCTGAAATGGCACCACTGCATTCCAGCCTGGGTGACAGAGTGAGACTCCATCTCAAATAAATAAATAAATAAATATCCCTTCCCATCTGGCATCCAAGAGCACATATCACTTCCCCACATTCTGCCTATCCACGTAAACTCCAAGTCCCCTAAACTCTCGTTGGCTGGAATCTAAAAGTCTAAAAGTGCTAGAGTTTCCCCCTACTCACGTTAGAAGAGCTGACTATAGATATCTCTTCTTGACTTGTTCAGTTATGTCACGTTGGTAGGTTGAAACTTGCCATGATGAAAGTATTAACACCACAGGAAATCAACAAACACTACTAATGAGAGCTGGATTACCAGCATAAACCCCTGGTTGAATTCTATGGCTTCAGTCTCTATGGCCTAATGCTTAAGTAAAGGTGCCTCAGAAAGCTCCTCATATTCTTTTAAACCAAAGCAGCAATTCCATGTTTACATTTTGAGCTTCTACCTAATATTTTTTTGAAGAAAAGTTTCCACTGATATGAAATAAATGATAAACATTTGAAAGCTATTGTTCTAGGCCAAGCCACCAGTTTTGAAGATGTGTTCATGGAAACCTAGAAAGGTTAAAATAGTTATTCAACATCACACAAGGGACAAGAGAAAAAAGTCAGGGCAAGTACTGGGACCTAGGTTTCCTTAATCCCAGTCCAGTGCTCTTCCCATCTGTACTTAATAATACTGCATTAAAATGTTTCCTGTTCTGTTTCTCATCCCATCAAAAATGGGTTTGTCAAATAGTCTGTCTAATAAAATAATCAACGTTCCCAGGAACGTATGTTTATTATGAGTGGGGCCTTCTAGAGAAAATGCCCCCTCAGAACACTTTAGTGAATGGAAGATATTCACTTTAGTGAATGAAAGGAAAGAAAATAGGCAGGAGTAGAGATACCAGATATACACAAATGACAAAAATTGTGGATAAAAATTATACAGCACTTATTGTGTGCAAAGCACTGTTCTCAGTACTTTATAAATATGAATTATTTCATACAACAACTCTATCAGTAAAGTACTCTTATTACCATCCCACTTTACAGATGGCACAGAGATATCAAATAAATTGTTGTCACAAAACTGGAAAGTGGTAAAACTAGGATTTTAACCCAGGCATTCTGGTTCTAGCATCTGGCATCTTAGCCATTATGCTATCCTGTCTCTTTAGGTGATCAATAAATATATGTCTCTTTAGGTGATCAAATAAATATAAATATATAGCTGATCAAAAAATATATATATATAATTATACTATCCTGTCTCTTTAGGTGATCAATAAATAAAGATAGTGAATGAATGAATAAGCATATAAATAGCATGAGACACCAAGATCGGAGGTTTTGGGGTGTGTTTTAAATAACAGAGGGAATATCACACCATGCTGTCTTCATGTAGAACCAAATATAAGTGAAATAGAGTAAGTAGCCAGTAGAATGTATCTCCCAGGAAGAAAAAGTCACTCCTATCAAAGGTTTGGTGGAAGAGATATGCTTAATCACCTGGGTCTCTAAGATTTCAATTAATGCCTTTCTATGCCTCTCACATTTCTGATTAAGCCACTTAGTGGTAGAGGACTCTTGAGCTAGTCCCAAGGATGATCAGGCCACTTATATAATTTCTAGGAAAAGAGAGTTTTCACACTCCTCTGGTAACTGTATACATAGATTGACTTAGCCTTTCAAAGCGAAAGGTTTAAATGTATGTAATCAGGACTTTGCATTATGCTATATGTCAGAGGAAAGGCACAAGTAAGTATGCAACATAGATGCTTCTCTTATGGCATTAACATCTGTTGGCAGGTTAGGCCCAAAACCCCAGAAATGATGAGTGAGCAATGCAAGAACATGTATAATCAACTATTAACTTTGTGTGGTTCAGACTGTCAAGTACAGAAAAAATTCACAGAAATGGAAAATTACAGCAGATGGAAGTAGACATGGAAGGCTTGCTCTTAAGCTTGAGTTTAGACCAAGCAGGATCTTGAAGGTTGAATACAATTTAATAAGGCAAAGAAGAGGCATTTCAGGTAAGAACAGTGACAGGAGAAAAGGTAAGGAGACAGAATTGAAAAGAATGCTTCTGTGAGACAATAATGGGACCAGTCTGATTAGAGGAAATGTTGTGTATGAGCAAGGCAGGAGAATGGGGTCTGGAGGCAGGGAACCTAAGGCCGTTTCCTGCTGACTTCCTAGAAATAAATTGAAAGGAAAACCCTAACTTTCCACGCCTAAGTAACAAGAGGACTAGAGGATACTCCCTTTGCAAACCTTTTCTGTGCAGCAGATGGAACATTGAAAGCACCTCTGATTGGTTGCTTTTTCTCAGGCCTCTGAGCCCAAGCCTGCATGTATACATCCAGATGGCCTGAAGTAACTAAAGAATCACAAAAGAAGTGAAAATGGCCAGTTCCTGCCTTAACTGATGATATTACCTTGTGAAATTCCTTCTGGCTCAGAAGCTCCCCCACTGAGCACCTTGTGACCCCCGCCCCTGCCTGCTAGAGAACAACCTCCTTTGACTGTAATTTTCCGCTACCTGTCCAAATCCTGTAAAACTGCCCCACCCCTAACTCCCTTTTACTGACTCTCTTTTCGGACTCAGCCTGCCTGCACCCAGGTGATTAAAAAGCTTTATTGCTCACACAAAGCCTTTTGGTGGTCTCTTCACATGGACGCGCATGACATTTGGTGCCATGACTTGGATTGGGGGACCTCCCTTGGGAGATCAATCCCCTGTCCTCCTGCTCTTTGCTCCGTGACAAAGATCTGCCTACGATCTTGGGTCCTCAGACCAACCAGCCCAAAGAACATCTCACCAATTTTAAATTGGGTAAGTGGCCTCTTTTTACTCTCTTCTCCAACCTCTCTCACTATCCCTCTACCTCTTTCTTCTTTCAATCTTGGCACCACCCTTCAGTCTCTCCCTTCTCTTAATTTCAGTTCCTTTCCTTTTCTGGTAGAGACAGAGGAGATGCTTTTTATCCATGAACCCAAAACTCCGGCGCCAGCCACAGACTCGGGAAGACAGGCTTCCCTTGGTGTTTAATCACTGTGGGGATGCCTGCCTGATTATTCACCCATGTTTCAGAGGTGTCTGATCACCGTGGGGACACCTGCCTTGATCCTTCACCTTAGTGGCAAGTACCACTTTCCTAGGGGGCAAGTACCCCCCCACCCCTTCTCTCCATGTCTCTACCCTCTCTTTTCTCTGGGCTTGTCTCCTTCACTATAGGCAACTTTCCACCCTCCATTCCTCCTTCTTCTCCCTTAGCCTGTGTTCTCAAGAACTTAAAACTTCTTCAACTCACACCTGACCTAAAACCTAAATGCCTTATTTTCTTCTGCAATGCCACTCGACCCCAATACAAACTCGACAATGGTTCCAAATAGCCAGAAAACAGCACTTTTGATTTCTCCATCCTACAAGATCTAGATAATTCTTGTTGTAAAATGGGCAAATGGTCTAAGGTGCCTGACGTCCAGGCATTCTTTTACACATTAGCCCCTCCCTAGTCTCTGTTTCCAAAGCAATTCATCCCAAATCTTTCTTCTTTCCCTCCCGCCTGTTCCCTCAGTACCAACCCCAAGCATCGCTGAGTCTTTTCAATCTTCCTTTTCTACTGACCCATCTGACCTCTCCCCTCCTCCCCAGGCTGCTCCTCACCAGGCCGAGCCAGGTCTCAATTCTTCCTCAGCCTCCACTCCTCCACCCTATAATCCTCTATCACCTCCCCTCCTCACACCTGGTCTGGCTTATAGTTTCATTCTGCAACTAGCCCTCCCCGACCTGCCCAACAATTTCCTCTTAAAGAGGTGGCTGGAGCTAAAGGCATAGTCAAGGTTAATGCTCCTTTTTCTTTATCTAACCTCTCCCAAATCAGTTAGCATTTAGGCTTTTTCATCAAATATAAAAACCCAGCCCAGTTCATGGCTAGTTTGGCAGCAACCCTGAGACGCTTTATAGCCCTAGACCCTGAAAGGTCAGAAGGCTGTCTTATTCTCAATATGCGTTTTATTACCCAATCCGCTCTTGACATTAGAAAAAGCCCCAAAAATTAGATTCCAGCCCTCAAACCCCACAAACAAGACTTAATTAACCTCGCCTTCAAGGTGTACCATAATAGAAAAGAGTTACAATTACTTGCCTCTGCTGTGAGACAAAACCCAGCCACATCTCCAGCACACAAGAACTTCAGAACGCCTAAGCAACAGTGACCAGGCATTCCTCCAGGACCTCCTCCATCAGGATCTTGCTTCAAGTGCCAGAAATCTGGCCACTGGGCCAAGGAATGCCTGCAGCCCAGGATTCCTCCTAAGCCATGTCCCATCTGTGTGGGACCCCACTGGAAATCGGACTGTCCAACTCACCAATCAAGCAAGTAATTACACTGAACCCCCTTGGGCGCTCTCTAATTGGATGTCCTGGGTCCTCCCAATTCCTAGTCCTTTAATACCTGTCTTTCTCCTTCTCTTATTCGGACCTTGTGTCTTCTGTTTAGTTTCTCAATTCATACAAAACTGTATCCAGGCCACCACCAATCATTCTATATGACAAATGTTTCTTCTAACAACCTCACAATATCACCCCTTACCACAAAATCTTCCTTCAGCTTAATGTCTCCCACTCTAGGTACCCACACTGCCCCTAATCTTGCTTGAAGAAGCCCTGAGAAACATCGCCCATTATCTCTCCATACCACCCCCACAAATTTTTGCCACCCCAACACTTTACCACTATTTCTTTTTATTTTTCTTATTAATATAAGAAGACAGGAATGTCAGGCCTCTGAGCCCAAGCCTGCACATATACATCCAGATGGCCTGAAGTAACTGAAGAATCACAAAAGAAGTGAAAATGGCCAGTCCTGCATTAACTGATGATATTACCTTGTGAAATTCCTTCTCCTGGCTCAGAAGCACCCCCACTGAGCACCTTATGACCCCCGCCCCTGCCCGCCAGAGAACAACCCCCTTTGACTGTAATTTTCCACTACCTACCCAAATCCTATAAAACTGCCCCACCCCTAACTCCCTTTGCTGACTCTCTTTTTGGACTCAGCCTGCCTGCACCCAGGTGATTAAAAAGTTTTATTGCCCACACAAAGCCTATTGGTGGTCTTTTCACACGGACACGCATGACACTTTCTGTAACCAATCAGACGTTTGCACAGGAGTGTGATCTTTGTAATTTCACTTCAGCCTCTGATTGTGGGCCACCACTCATTTATGAGGTACCAAGTGGCCAATGGGAAACCTCTAGCGGGTATTTGGACCTGAGAAGATTCTGTATCTGGGGCCCTTGAGCCACTGCTCAGGCCCGCTCCCACACTGTGGAGTGTACTTTCATTTTCAATAAATCTCTGCTTTTGTTCTGTAGTTGCTTCATTCTTTCCTTCCTTTGCTGTGCATTTTGTCTAATTCTTTGTTCAAAACGCCAAGAACCCTGGACAACCTGCAGTCAAGACCCTCTACCAGTAACATATTTTGGCAAGCTGGCCAGGAGAAAGCAGGTCCAAAGTTTGGGATTTATTTTTCTCCTTTCCCCTTTTACATACAGGGAAATCTTTCTGTCTCTCTCTTTTCCTTTCTAACTCAGGACCCTCAGTAGGCAGCACCTAAGAATGCAGACAACTGCAACTTTCTGGCCAGGTCCACTCTCTGGTGAAACTGAAAGTCTTCCATGTGGAAGTGCCTGACCACCACCGCCTGGTTTGGGTAAGGGACCTGAGTCCTTTTCCTTGTTTTCGTTTTTCTGAGTCCTATTCCTTTCTTCCTTTTTCTGAGTTTTCTTTTTTCATTTTTCAGTCTTTCAGCGGCCTTTT
The DNA here is from genome assembly GCF_000001405.40 of Homo sapiens. Taxonomy (NCBI): domain Eukaryota; kingdom Metazoa; phylum Chordata; class Mammalia; order Primates; family Hominidae; genus Homo; species Homo sapiens. The sequence continues at coordinate 130,280,874 of NC_000023.11, forward strand.
CCTAGTAGCTCCTTGGTAATTGAGGGGAACTGGTTGGGTCCACTCTCCGTTGTTGTCTGAAGGCCAAGGAGAAAGCAGGGATGGCTGCCCTTCTCAGAAGGGGGAAAGACTCTTTTCTATCCTTTTCAGTGATAGTCCCTGATCCCTATGTGTGAAGCAATTGGCAGTGGCAGTTCATCCAGGGTGAACTCACACATGTTTCAGGCGACTTAAACCTCCTTTTCTTATGCTAAATTCTTCCCTTCCCCCACTCGACTGGCTAAGGACAGAAAACCCACCTAGCTATGCCAAAAAAAAAAAAAAAAGGGTTATACTAGTCAGAGGGTCTGGGATTGTCCCAGGTAGTCTGTGGGGGGTGGGGAGGTTAATTCATGAAAGGGAATTTATTATTGCCTCAATTGAGAGTTAAAGGGTTGCTTTCAGTGGGATAGAAAATCCTTAAGGAAAGAAAGTTCACAATAGGTCCTCAGTGGTAGAGGGAACCATTCCAAAGTGGTGCTGCCATACATCTAAGGTCAGATATCTGACAGGCTAAGTCAGGGCCTTTAAGGAGGGACGCCCTCAGGGAACCCAGCCTGGGCCCAGAATTTTTCCAAGGGGACACCCGGGCAAAATTTGGGTCACCTAGTGAGCCCTCCACTTTTCAAAGTCCTCTTTTCCAGACCACTAAGGGCAACTGTCAGTCTATTCCACCTGATTCCACTGTGGGCAACTCTCCACATATTCCACCTGATTCCCTGCTTGGTTACATCATCTACCATCGGAATCTATTTGACAATCTAAAGAGAAAATGTATACTTTTTTCTGCAATACTGTCTAGCCCCATTATAAGCTGCCCAGCCCAGAACAATGGGCAGTCAATGGTAGCTTAATTATGACATTATCCTGCAATTAGACCTATTTTGCAAGGGGTAGGGCAAATGGTCAGAAATCCCATATGTAAAGGCTTTCATGACCCTATTCCACACCTAACCATCTGTGAAACTCCCAGAACCCACTCCCATAAAGGAAAGTTCTAAGGCAGAACTAGATACTATAGATGACCCCCTTTTACAAGGGCCACTTGTCTGTCAGGGTGAACAGTGACCACCCCCATATGGCCCCTTGCCAAGTGCTCCTGAGGCTAAAACCCAGGAGCAAACACCGGAGACCCTACTAAGTCCCCCTCACACTCAGAGAGGAACACCGTATTTAACTCTCAACCCTGCTACCTTTTAGGGAATTAGCAGGAGCTAAGGGGTCAGTCCTAGTGCAGGTCCCCTTCTCTATAATTGATATACAATAATATAAGGAAAAGCTGGGAAGCTATTCCGAGAATCCTAGGAAATTTGCAGATGGGTTCCAAACTTTGACCTTAGCCTTTGATCTCTCATGGAGAGATGTTCAATTCATTCTAGCAACCTGTTGCACTCCTTCAGAAAAGGAAGGAGTCATTGAGGCCACCCACCAGGAAGCAGACGAATTATTTGCCCAAAACCCTCAGGGCAATTGCTCAGGCCCAGACACAGTTTCCATTACTGATCCTAACTGGGAATATAACACCCCTGTGGGAATGAACAACCGGGTTAAATTTCTTGAGGCTTTCCTTTGAGGAATGAGAAAGGGAATAACTAAGACAGTAAATTATGATAAAGTAAGGGAGATTATGCAAGGCAGGGAGGAAAACCCAGCCATGTTTTGTGGCAGGCTGGAGGAAGCCTTTAAAAAGTACACTAATCTGGACCCTTCCTTTTCCAAAGGCAAAATATTAATGGCACAGCATTTCATTAGCCAATCTGCCCCAGACATTAGACATAAGCTCCGAAAGCTACAAATGGGGCCACAAACTAATCAAAATCAGCTTCCTGATACCACCTTTATGGTGTATAACAATTGTGACCTGGAGGAAGGAAAAAAGGGAACAGAATGAAGAAAAATGGCAAGCCAGAATTACGGCAGCCATCATTGGCGATGCCTTGAATGCTCAAAGAGCATCTAAGGGAAATCCAAAGGGCAATAAGGATAATGCCAGCAAAGGCTCTTGCTTCAAATGCAAGAAAAATGGGCACTGGGCAAAGGAATGTAGTAAGCCCCTGCCAGGCCCCTACTGTCAATGCGAAGGCACCAGTTGTGGCCCCTGGCACTAGAGAATTGACTGTCCCTTCTCCCACCAAGGGTCTCAGTCAGGCAAAACTCTAGTTTTGCGAAAGGAGGAATTAGATGAAGACTGAAGGGGCCTGGATTCTTCCTCACTGCCCCTGCCCAGGAACATTTTAATTACTACTGAGGAGCCTCAGGTAACTCTGGACATCACAGGCACCCAAATTCAGTTTCTTTTCGATACAGGGGCAAATTACTCTGTTCTTACTGCTTATGCAGGAAAACTTTCCTCCCAGTCCATGAGTGTTATGGGAATGAAAGGGAAGCCACAGACAAGATTTTTTATTCCTCCTTTGATTTTTCAATTTGAGAGACAAATCTTCCAGCAGGAATTCCTAGTAGTACCAAGCTGCCCAATCCCCCTCTTGGGAAGAGATATTGTGGTTAGAACAAGGGCACTACAATAATTTAAGCATCACCCAGTGAAATTGCTAATAGTCAAAATTACAGACAATGTCACAGACCACATTAATAAACAGGCTAACCCACTGGCATGGTATACTGGAAAACCGGGGAAGGCTAAAATGGCAGTGCCAGTCAAAATACAACCTAAAAATCCCAGCTAATTTTCCAATTGAAAACAATACCCAATTAAGCAGGAAACAAGAAAAAGCCTTACACCAATAGTTAAAGTATTACTTACCCATGGGCTCTTAAGACCCTGTAATTCATTGGGCATGGTGGCTCACACCTGTAATCCCAGCACTTTGGGAGGCCGAGGTGGGCATATCACTTGAGGTCAGTAGTTTGAGACCAGCCTGACCAACATGGAGAAACCCCGTCTCTACTAAAAGTACAAAATTAGCTGGACATGGTGGCACATGCCTGTAATCCCAGCTACTCGGGAGGCCGAGGCAGGAGAATTGCTTGAACCTGGGAGGCAGAGGTTGTGGTGAGCCGAGATCACGCCATTGCACTCCAGCCTGGGCAACAAGAGTGAAACTCTGTCTAAAAAAAAAAAACCCTGTAATCCTCCCTGCAATACCCCCACCTTACCCATTCTAAAACCTTCAGGGGAATACCGATTAGTACAGGACCTCAGAATAATTAATGAAGCTGTTATTTCCATATACTCTCCTGGCTTAGGTGCCAGGGGATGCAAAATGGTTCTCAGTCCTAGACCTAAAAGATGCTTTCTTCTCCATTCCCCTGGCCCCAAAGTCCCAATACCTTTTTGCCTTCTAATGGGAAAATCCTAATACCAGGGAAAAACAACAATACACTTGGACAGTGCTCCCTCAGAGCTTTTGGAATAGCCCCCATTTCTTTGCCTGGGCTTTAGAGAGGGGTCTGAGGTATCTGCAATTAGAGAATGGGAGTATACTTCAGCGTGTGAATGAACTTCTTGTGTGTAGCCCAACTCAGGAGTTTCTGACCAAAATACTATAAAAACTTTGATTTTCCTGGCAGACAGGAGATATAAAGTGTCCAAAAAGAAGGCACAGATTACCCTTTAATAGGTCCAATATTTAGGGTATGTCTTAACACTTGGAGCCTGACAAATAGTCCCAGAATGAGTGCAAGCCATATGTGGTTTGGGGGCCCCCCACACCAGGCAACAGCTTCGTTCTTTTTGGGGAATGGCCAGGTTTTGCAGAACATGGGTACCAAATTTAGGACTCAGAGCAAAGCCCCTGTATGAAGCAACAAGGGGGCCTGAAAATCAGCTAATGGAATGGACCCCGGAAATGAGAGGAGCCTTTGCCAAGTTAAAACAGGCTCTCGCCCAGGCTCCCGCTCTTGGCATCCCGGACCTAACTAAGCCCTTCTTTTTGTATGTAGCAGAGAAGAGGGACATAGCTGTGGGAGTGCTAGCGCAGAAATTTGGATCAGAACACAGACCAACCACCTACTTTTCGAAGAAGTTAAACGGAGTGGCCTTGAGGTGGCCAAGTTGCCTGCAGGCAGTAACAGCCACTGCTATGTTAGTGGATGAAGCCACTAAAATTCCCCTGGGCCAACCACTGGAAGTTCTAGCCCCTCATCAGGTAAAGTTAGTTTTAGAGCTAAAGGGACACCTCTGGATGACAGGGGAAAGGATAACCAAATACCAGGCTATGCTCCTAGACAATCCAGATGTAATCCTTAAAACCTTTAACACTGAATCTGGCTTCATTGCTGCCCATAGGCCCAATAACTGATCATTCCTATGAGCAGGTCATTGCACGTATGTTAGCTGTCCTGCTTTGAAAGATCAGCCTCTCCCAGATTCTGAGGATGACCGATTCACAGATGGCAGTAGTTTTGTGTCAAATGGGGAGTGCTGAGCTGGATATGCAGTAGTGAATCATAACATAATTACTGAAGCCCAGCCACTGCCCCCAGGCACATCAGCACAAAAGACTGAAATCATTGCTCTTACTCGAGCATTAATGTTGGGACAAGGGAAAAAGCTTAACATCTATACAGATTTTAAATATGCATTCTTTGTGGTTCATGCTCATGCTACAATCTGGAAAGAAAGGGGATTACTAACTAGCAAACACTCCCCCATAAAGCATGGGCCTGAAATTCTTCAGCTACTGGAAGCAATACACCTGTCAAAGGCCATAGCTATAATCCATTACAGGGGACATCAAAGGGACTCAACCCCTATAGCACAAGGGAACAGAAAGCCTGATAGAGAAGCCAAAGCTACAGCCCTCAGGGTGCAATCCCAACAGATCCTAGCACTACTTCCTTTCTATGATTCCCCAATATAACCGGAGTACACACTACAGGAAGAACAGTTAATAAAGGAAGAAGGGAGACAAAAACAAGGATCCTGGTGGTATTGGGGTCAAAAATATATCTCCCTCAGACAGCTCAGTGGAAAGTTATAAAAGCCCTGCGTGTCTCTTTCCATGTGGGGAGAGATGCAACTCTGCCCATGGTAAATAAGCTCTTTACTGGATCTAACTTGGCTTCAGTGGCTAAGCAGGTCTGCCAAGCCTGCTCACTGTGTGAACTTAACAACCCAGGAAACAAAATGCCTCCTCCAATAGAACCAGTCCAGAAGAGAGGAACTTATCCAGGGGAAGACTGGCAATTAGACTTCACCCATATGCCAGCTTGAAGAAGATACAAGTTTTTGTTAGTGCTAATGGATACCTTTACTGGTTGGGTCGAAGCTTATCCTACCATAACAGAGAAGGCTAATGAGGCCATAAAGTTTCTCTTAAAAGAAATAATCCCCTGGTCTGGGTTACCTCAGAGCCTCCAAAGTGATAATGGCTCATCCCTTATCTCCCAAACAACTCAAGGGGTTGCTAAGGCTCTTGGAATCAAATACTATTTACATTCAGCATGGAGGCCTCAATCCTCCAGGAAAGTAGAAAGGGCTAACCAAACTCTAAAATGAGTGTAAGCTAAGCTATGTCAGGAAACATCAGAAACTTGGGTCAGCTTACTGCCCATAGCCCTCTTAAGGATCCATAATACCCCTAGAGCAAAAATTAACATAAGCCCATACGAAATGTTATACAGAAGGCCATTCTTAACTAATGATTTAATTATTGATCCAGAAACAGCCAGTTTAGTAAAATACCTAGTCAACCTAGGACAATTTCAGCAGGCTTTACAAAAGCTTGGAATTCAAAGGCTTTCCACACTGGGAACTAATCAGTAACCCCAAATCAGGCCAGGAGATAAGGTACTTGTTAAAACATGGAAGGAAGGATCACCTGCTCAACAATTACAACCCAAATGGAAGGGACCATTTTCAGTAACACTGGCCATGCCTTCTGTGGTCAAAGTACTAGGATTAGATAGTTATATATATCTTTCAAGGACCAAACCAGCAAAACCAGAGGCCCCGGACCAGGAACCTGAAGTTCCCATCAGCCACTACACCTGTGAACCTGTGGAAGATCTGAAGTACCTGTTTAGAAGACAGCCGAAATGCCTACCAACTTTCCTTGGTGTCTTTGTTGCATAGTTACTGTAGACTGGATAATAGTAGCCATTTATTTTTAACTATTGCAGTTTAATTGCCTTCTTCCAAATGGATGGAATCACTACCTTTGTAGTAATTAAGCAGAATGTTTTTAATACAATTCTGCAACAAACATTCCTGACAGCATAGGTATCCACCCCCAAAGTTCCCATTAAATCTTTTAACCAAATTCATTTCCTCTCACATAGAGGCCATCAAAGTTCAGATGCTTGTGTGACAAGGTTTCCAGACAGTTCCAGGTGAAGACACCACCCCCAGCCATCAAGAAGCCACCCGGTCTCCACTAGACAGAGTAGGGCAAAAGTTCCGTGATCTCCAACAGATAGGGACTATGCCCCAAGTCAGCAGGAAGCAGTTACAGAAGAAAGACCGTCAGGCCCTCTGCCTCCTCTAGAGATTTATGGGGATCACATCTTTCGGGGGGAGATGAGGCAGAATAGGTTCTGGAGGCAGGGAACCTGAGGCCATTTCCCACTGACTTCCTAGTAATAAATTGAAAGGAAAACTCTAACTTTCCATGCCTAAGTAACGAAAGGACCAGAGGCTACTCCCTTTGCAAACCCCTACCTTTTCTGCTCAGCAGACGGAAAATTGAAAGCACTTTCTGCAACCAATCAGACGTTTGCACAGGAGTGTGACCTTTGTAACTTCACTTCAGCCTCTGATCGCAGGCCACCACTTCATTTACGAGGTGAGCACCAAGTGGCCAATGGGAAACCTCTAGAGGGTATTTGGACCTGAGAAGATTGTGTATCTGGGGCCCTTGAGCCGATGCTCGGCCCACTCCCACACTGTGGAGTATACTTTCATTTTCAATAAATCTCTGCTTTCATTCTTTCATTGCTTCATTCTTTCCTTCCTTTGCTGTGCTTTTTGTCCAATTCTTTGTTCAAAACGACAAGAACCTGGACAACTTGCAGTCAAGACCCTCCACTGGTAACACAAGTGTTATGGGAAATGAGTTTAAATACTTATTCATTTATTCATGTACATAATCATCCATGAAGCAAATGTTTATTGAGCACCATGTCACATGTTGGGAATACTGAGATAAATGGGACACAGTCTCTGCCTTCAAATTGGTTACATTCAAGTGGTGAAAACAGGTTCACAAACATAAAAGTACTATGATAAAAGTAAGCTACAGGTGGCCTCCTGCCTCAGCCTGGACTGAGTCATATTTCATTTAAATGCTGTGATTTCACTTCTGCTACATCTACCTTCTTGGACTCATATTTCAGGACCTGCATTATGAATTGGTTTCTTTCAGGATAAATTAGACACCAAAGGTCCATGATACCATCTGAAGAAGAACCTTAATTGGTAGAACATACAAAAGCAGTTTTTTGTTTTGTTTCTTTTTTTTTTTTTTTTGAGATGGAGTCATGCTCTGTCACCCAGGCTGGAGTGCAATTGCGCGATCTTGGCTCACTGCAACCTCTGCCTCCCGGGTTCAAATGATTCTCCTGCCTCAGCCTCCCAAATAGCTGGGACTACAGGTGTGTGCCACCACACCCGGCTAATTTTTGTATTTTAGTAGAGATGGGGTTTCACCATGTTGGCCAGGCTGGTCTCCAACTCCTGACCTCAGGTGATCTGCCTGCCTCAGCCCCCCAAAGAGCTGGGATTACAGGCGTGAGCCACCACGCCTGGCCACAAAAGCAGTTTTGTATTTCCATATAGTGTAGCACTTTTTTTTGAGAGTCCTTCCTCTTTTTTTTTCTAAGAGCAAAAATGGGAATATTAAACGGGTGAATTTTGAAATGTAAAAAAGAAATTATAAATCTATTTTACTATATATCCTCAAGCAAGTATAGCCAAAGGAGGAGGGGTAGGTAACAGTAAATATTTTATCTCCTAACAATGTATCTATAAACCATTCTGCTGAAGAATCTGACAGATTACTAACTGTGAGAAAAGAAAGGTTAACAACTCTGATAATACATAAACTCAGATCAGATATAGGCCCAATTTTTGTTGTAATCATCCATCCATAACCTGTTCAGATGACAAGCCCTGTTGTTAATAAAGCATACTGTACTACGAGTACATTGCTCTGTGCTCTGCTTATATTTGTAGAAACTGTAATTGTCTAAAACAATGGCCTCAGTGAAAAAATGTGATATGTTATTAGTTGTGTAAAGATTAAAATAATTTAAACTTATAATAGTAGTTGTTTTGGAAGGATTAAGACATGAGTGATGCTGTATAGAGTTAATAACTCAGCATTGGGTTTTTTTGTTTGTTTATTTTGACAAGGAGTCTCACTCTGTTGCCCAGGCTGGAGTGCAGTGGTGCCATTTTGGCTCACTGCAGTCTCTGCCTCCTGGGTTCAAGTGATTCTCCTGCTTCAGCCTCCTGAGTAGCTGGGATTACAGGTGTCCGCCACCATGCCCAGCTATTTTTTGTATTTGTAGTAGAGTTGGGGTTTTGCCATGTTGGCCAGGCTCGTCTCTAACTCCTGACCTCAGGTGATCCACCCACCTTGGCCTCCCAAAGTGTTGGGATTACAGGCATGAACCACCGTGCCTCGCCAGCATTGTTGTTAAGTTTGTTTCCATTCTGGTCCTTGTGAGAGAGCCATAAATTTCAAGCCACATCTTGTGGGAGAGACAAAGTTACCCCAACAGAATGCAAGTTCCATGAAGGCATGGAACCATGGCTCATTTACCAATATCTACCAAAGACATAGTGATTGGAATAGAGTTTAATATTTGTTGAATGAATAAATAAATGAATGGGAGTATTCAAAAGAAATGGAACAAGTTTCAGATTCAAGCCAAGTCATTTTTAGAGTTCCTCCAGGATGGGGCACAGAAAATTAGAGTGGAATCCAATCTCCATAGGATTGGGACTGTCAGGGAGCAGGGGAGAGGGGATGGAAGCAGACCCCAGACAAGTGGCTGAGGATACCACATGGTATTTTGCATCCTAGAGTGGGACAGAGAATCCTTGTGTACAGAATCCTGGAAGTAAACAATAAAGCATGCTTCTGGTCCTTGCCTTCCCACCCCTACTACTGCCTCACCTAATAGGATTCGAAAGTGTTCTTGCATCTTTAAATCTGGATTCTCCTGGAAAAAAGGAAAGAGCATCAGATCTCTTCTGATTATCACTAATGGAGTGACAAGTAGAACAGGATGCAGGTGTGGTTCAGGGACCTGTGTGAGGGGCTAGGACAAGAACAGGGTCAAGGATCTATGAGGTAGAGAGATAGAGCCCTAGGTCTTAAAATGAAAGGGGGATTACCACTCCTCTTGAGATACTAAAGAATCTGGGTGAAGATAGACCAATTTAAAGGTGATAAAGAGGGGTAGGTACAGAAACATTTTGCAGTTGGGGGAGTATGTACAATTATGGTTTAAGAGGAGGAGAAAGAGGGTGAAAAGATTTGTTAGGTTCTAAGCCACAGCCATTTTTCCTTATTTATTTCTGGCAAAATTTGGTGTTGTTTGGAGCCTACCCTACCACATGCTCTGGGAAAGTGATGAGGCGTGGATTTGATTAGTTTCATTCTCCTTAGGAATTAGTTTAGGATAGATGTGTGACACAATTTTGCCTAATGGGACCCAAGGAAAATTCTGCTAGAGGTCTCTGGAAAGGACTTTTCTTCCTTTGTTGAGAGATAGAGATAGAGACAGAAATAGAGATAGATAAGAGAGACAGAGAGAGAGAGAGAGAGAGAGAATGAATCGTAGGTATAGAAGATAGTATCCCTTTTCTTTGCTAGGTGCTCCCATTTGTATCTGACACCAAGCAATGCTGAAGCCATGTTACAGCGCTGACAGGAGGTAAGAGGAATATTACCCACACACTGTAGGTGGCAGAGCGGAAAGAAAATTCACTTGGGTCCTTGATGACATCCTTGGTTTACTCGATTGACCTACCATGGAACCATCTTTCCCCAAACTTATTTTATAAGATAATAAATAATTATTTTTAAAATAAATACTTATTTAAAAAATAAGTCATCTCTGGTTAGGTCTTCTGTTACATCTTGCACTTGTGTTGATGCCTCCATCTTTTCTAGTAAGGTAGGAAGAAAGAGCATGTGTTATAAATATGAAGTGTGGGATTTGAAAAGTTGGAAACAGATATTTCAGTTTTCATCAGTTTTCAGCTATAGCCCCATCTTCCTCTTTCTTCCCCAACCCCATCCCCACCCCATCTCCCGTAAGACTCAGACGAGGGCCAGGAGACACAGGACTGGACTCAGAGAATCTCTCTCTTCTGATGACCTAATCTTTGTTTTTGGTTCAAGCTCATTGTGTTTAGCTCCTTCTTCCTTGAAGACATTCTTTCCCAGGAGGCTCTCCAATCACTGGAGTAAACAGACTTCTGGGATATTGCCTCTCAGACATGTCTAAACTCTAAGCTGTAGCTTAGGATCAAGTGGGAAACCCCAACTACAGTGCTATTTTGTGCCTGTATCTAGCAATACTCTGCTGCCTTTGAGCATGAATACAGAAATAATAAAAATGGCTCAGACTCAGCATTGGAAACTGCTTCAGGCATTATTGGGACCTGATTTCAATGGGCACCAGATATCAGGGAAACCAGCCCCCAGTATTTCAATGTAGGTTCTTTTCTATTTTCCCTAAGTGTCAGCTGGTCTGAGAAATAAAGATAAAGAGTACAAAGAGAGAAATTTTATAGCTGGGCCTCCAGGGGTGCCATCACATATTGGTAGGACAATGACAGCGACCCCAAGCCACAAAACCAGCAAGTTTTTATTAGGGATTTCAAAAGGGGAGGGGTGTACGAATAGGGAGTGGGTCACAGAGATCACATGCTTCAAAGAGCAATAAAAGATCACAAGGCAAGGGCGAAATTAGAATTACTGATGAGGGTCCATGTCCCGCTGGGCATGCATTGTCTTGATAAACATCTTAACAGGAAACAGGGTTCGAGAGCAGACAACCAGTCTGACTAAAATTCACCAGGCCGGAGTTTCCCAATCCTGGTAAGCCTGAGGGCACTGCAGGAGACCAGGGCGTATTTCATCCCTTATGTCAATCGCATAAGACAGACACTCCCAGAGCGGCCATTCATAGACCTACCCATGGGAATGCATTTCTTCCCCAGGGTTATCAATTATTAATATTCCTTGGTGGGAAAAGAATTCAGTGATATTTCTCCTACTCACACATCCGTTTATAGGCTCCCTGCAAGAAGAAAAATATGGCTCTATTCTGCCCAACCCTGCAGGCAGTCAGACCTTATGGTTATCTTTCCTTGTTCCCTAAAAATCGCTGTTACTCTGTTCTTTTTCAGGGTGCCCTGATTTCATGTTGTTCAAACACCCATGTTTTACAATCAGATTTCATATTGTTCGAACACACATGTTTTACAAACAATTTGTACAGTTAATGCAATCATCACAGGGTCCTGAGGTGACGTACATCCTCAGCTTACAAAGATGACGGGATTAAGAGATTAAAGACAGGCATAGGAAGTTATAAGAGTATTGACTGGGGAAGTGATAAATGTCCATGAAATCTTCACAATTTATGTTCAGAGACTGCACTAAAGACAGGTGTAAGAAATTATAAAAGTATTAATTTTGGGAACTAATAACTGTCCATGAAATCTTCACAATTTATGTTCTTCTGCCACGGCTTCAGCCAGTCCCTCTGTTGGGGGTCCCTGATTTCCCGCAACAAGACATAGGAGAAGGTCAGATTATGCTGCAGTGTGCGTGACTCCAGTAGACTACAACTCCCATAAAAGCCACGTAGCATACAGCACAGAATGCAGCATATACAGAGTTAGTTCTCAACAAATGTGTACTGAGTTTAGTTGAAATGATTGGTTTCTGGAATGAAGGTCAAATGGCTTCCTTTTACTGAATCTTCCATTCAGAGAGTGCATTTCATCTTCTATCCCTTTAACTCCCAAAACAAAACCTTTAGTATTTTCACCTCAGTTGTTTAAGTTTCTTTTTACAACATACTTGTGACGTAGGGAGTGGTGAGAATAGTTTTATTTAATTTACTAGGAAGAAAGAAAGACAAAGAGATGATCTGATTTAGCATAAGTACCAGAGGGTGTCTGTGGCAGAGCTGGGATGGCCCATTAAATCTCTCGAGCCATTGTTCTGATGTCCGTGTGTAGTGGTTTTGATAGCACTTTCTTCTTTCTGTCTTACTAGGCTGCTAATTATGCATGCCAATTATATTCAGGAACACCATGGGCCTAAGGGTCAGCCACGATCTCAGGAGGATGTAATTCAAGTGAGAAAATAAGGCACAATACAGTATTTCCCTCCTTCTGATGTGCATATTAATTGTGGCCTTATAAGTTTGAAAACTTGTGCAGGAGAGTGGTGCTGGTTTTATTCCCCTCCAGATATAAAAAGAAAAATATATAAGTGCTCTGAATGGACCACAGCTGAAAATCAAGTGAGAAACCCACCAGCTTGATATCCTCTTAATAGAGAACACTCAAGAATGTGGAAAGAGTTCTCCACCAGTCTCTAAAAAAAATCAAGATGGATACTCATTTTCTTCCTCCTTATTGAGGCACTTCTAGGGCATCACTCTACATGCAGTCTTTTAAGAAAGCCTGAAGATGGTGGAAGATTTAGTATAAACGTTGACAAAAATGCTAAGATTTAGTATAAACTTTGACAAAAATGCTAATTGCTATTTGCAAAAAATGCTAATTAGCTAAAGAATTAGCTAATTGCTAATTCTAACCAACACTGGCATTTTTCCTAATTTATTTTCACTTTAGAAAGCAATAGCAAGGTGTTCAGAAGACAAGATCCAAACCTGGAGAAGGTCCAAAGGAGAACGCGGGGCAAGAGAGAATGCAGGATGAAAAGGGAACATGTGTGGGAGTTGAGGCTATTTGGGTGAGGCGATTGTTAACTAGCCCTAGGCTAAAGTCCTGCCACTCATCCTCGCAGACAAAGGCTCTGATGCCCTGGACTTCATGCTGTGCTGGACCACTGTCCCTTCTCTGGGGCTGTGGGTGCCACCTAGACCCTGGGGGCAGAGAGATGCAGGTGGACTTGACCCTAGCTCTTCTCTTGGGGCCAGACAGGAGTATTTCACTCACCTAGGAAAATAGTATTCTACCATTATGTATGATACTCTTTTATCATGAAGCACAATGTTAGTTGTAGGTTTTGGTAGATATTCTTTATCAAGTTGGGGAAGTTCCCCTCTATTCCTAGTTTACTGAGTGCTTTTATATAATCATAGAATTTTTCTTTTTTAGTCTGTTGATATGGTTGGAAATGTTGAATGATCTTTAAATGTTGACCCAGCCTTTCATATGTGACATAAATCCCACTTAGTCATACTATGTAATTCTTTTTATACATTGTTAGATTCAGTTTGTTAGTATTTTGTTGAGAATTTTGCATCTAAGTTCCTATTAGATCCTAGTCCATAATCTGTAGTTTTCTTTCTTTTTTTTTTTTTTTTTTTTGTACTGACTGGTTTTGGCATCAGGGTAATAATGACCTCATAAAATAAGTTGAGAAGTATTATCTCCTATTCTGTGTTCTGGAGGAGATTGTGAGAATTGGTGTTATTTCTGTTTAGGTGTTTGGTAGAAACAAACAAAACCATCTGAGCCTGCAGATTTCTTTTGAGGTTTTAAATTATGAATTCACATTCTTTAATAGTTATAGGAGTATTCAGATGATCTATTTTGTCTTTGGTGCATTTTGTTAGTTTGTGATTTTCTTTTTCTTTTCTTTTTTTTCTTTTTCTTTTTTTTTTTGAGATGGAGTCTCGCTCTGTTACCCAGGCTGGAGTGCAGTGGTGCGATCTCAGCTGACTGTAACCTCCGCCTCCCAGGTTCAAACCATTCTCCTGCCTCAACCTCCCGAGTAGCTGGGACTACAGGCGTGTGCCACCACGTCCAGCTAATTTTTTGTATTTTTAGTAGAGACGGAGTTTCACCGTGTTAGCCAGGATGGTCTTTATCTCCTGACCTTGTGATCCGCCCATCTTGGCCTCCCAAAGTGCTGGGGTTACAGGCATGAGCCACCGCGCCCAGCCTGGTTTGTGATTTTCAACAAATTGGTCAACTTCATCTAAATTCTAAAATATATTTGTGTAGAATTGTTTGTATTATTATCTTACCAACCTTTTGGTGTCTTCAGCATCTGCAGTGATATTCCCTGTTTCATTTTTTACATTGGTAATTTGTACCTTTTTTTCTTTGTCACACTTGCTAGAGGTTTGTCAATTTTATTGATCCTTTCAAAGATCTAGCTCTTTGTTTTTATTGATTTTTCTTTATTGTTTTTCTGTTTTAAATTTCATTGATTTCTGCTCTTAGACACAGGTCTTTTGGGAACTCACCATCTAACAGCAAAAACTTGTGTAACAAATAATTATAATTGTATAATCTTATTTACTTGAAATGGCCAGAAAAAGAAAATCTATAGACACAGAAAGTAGATTAGTGGTTATCCGGAGTTGGAGGTGGATATGGGCATTAACTGTAAATAGAGCCTGAGGGATTTTATTAAAGAGAAGAAAATATTTTAAAACTTGATTATGGTGATGGTTGCACATTTTGGTAAATTTACTAAGAGTGATTGAATTGTACACTTGAAATGGGTGAATTTTATGATGTGTAGTTTGTACATCAATGAAGCTGGAAAAACAAATAATAAGGATATAATATGAATAAATGCAACAGTAAAACGATGTAGTTGTCTTAGCCCCCTCTAACTGCCAAGGAAACAGAGGACTAGTTATTATAGGGTTAGCATATGAATCTAGTCCTATTGTGCCAAGATTAGTCATCAGCTGAGGCAATAATAAGAGACATAGAGGTATATGCCAGGAAATAGATATCCTTCCTACAAGTGGAGGTTATTCCTCTTTCAGAATGGTCCTCACCCAGTGGCGCAGAGATTACCCTGAGTGGTGATTCCACACACATACTGCTAGCTGTACAAGCCAGTTAGCCTCTGGCAGACGCTTTGGCTTGATCAGCGTTCTTAGTTTCAAGCAACAAATACCAATTCTGAGTGATTGAGGTGGGAAAGAAATTGGACAGCTCACAGAATCTTGTGAAGGTTGAGAACAAAACTCAAAGCTCTGTAGCCAGGAATGTTGCCCAAAACCATGCTGTAGATTCAGTCCAGTGAGAAGACTGCTTTAACTAATGCTACTGAGTGTCCTGGACTCTGCCCCTTCCTCTCCACCACTACTGCTCTGGGAGATCAATTTGCCCACGACTGTGGCTGTTGCAAGACAGAGAACTCACTACTATCCTAGCTTTTATGTGACTAGCTCCTTACTCAAATTCCTATGCAGGTTTTTTGATTGGTGGGGTGTAGGCCACACAACTACATCCAGGCTGTGTGGGAGGCTGGTAAAGTGAGTATTTGATACCTTCTATCAGCTTCCATAGTGTGAACCAGGCTGAACTTTTCCTCAAGACTCATATGTTGGTTAATTCCCTAGACGCAGAGAGTGAGTTCCGATATTGGACCGTAAATACACACACACACACATATACACACACACACCCCTTTCCACTGCAGCCTTGCTCAAACTGTAGTAGTCCACAGACCAGCAGGTTTGGCACCAATGGGAAGCTTGTCAGAAATGCAGAAACTCTGGTCCTGCTCTAGATTTTCAAAATCAGAATATGCTTTTTAACATGCACCTCAGATAATTTGCATGTACACAAAAGTTTAGAAGTGCTGCTCTACTTTATACAATATGTAGTCCTTTTTAATTTTCAAAGATCAGTCACCACTACTCTCTACTGATCCACAGGGTTGCTAGAGTTACCAAATAAAAATACAAGACTCCCAGTTAAATTTGATTTTCAAAATAAACAGCGAATCATTTTTTTGGTATAAGTATGTTCTGTATTTTATCTGGCAACCCTACTTATCCACATACCCCTCCCCCCATGATTAACAAAATGAACAAAAAGAAACAGAAATAGACAAAACAGCCTACAGGAATGCATGCACACCAGTTTTCTATTTTGGCATAGGAGATTATAAACAGCATGTCAGCAGAACATGTACACTCTATACACTTTCAAGCACACTGAGTTCTGCATAAGCATTCCATGCCTGAGGTCCCTATAATTTGAAGGGTGAGTCACTTCCTCTATTAACTCTTCCATAGGTTAAGGTCGTTTCTGTTTTTCAAAAATATACCTATTAATTGCAATTACTTTTACTTAATGAATTTTGACCAAAAGTACTTTTATCCCACAGACTTTAGTTTCATTCCTTCAAAACAGGAATAAACTGGATCTTAAAATAAATACAGAGAGTATGTGTAAATAAAATATGAAAAAATATGTGCTGGCTTCCCTCTGGAGAATGCTTCAGTTTTTCCTAAAGAAAAGAGTTGTCATCCATGTCCAGGAGTCTTAGAAAAATAGCTTTCAAATATTCTAGCTAGGAAAGAGGCAGATTGCATGATGTATCAATTAGAATTAGAAGTATCACGTGCAAAAATTAAAGAAAACTTTCAGTACTCCAAAATACCTGCCAATTGCCTTTATTCATAAGGTGGCTCAATTCACCCTAATATTTTAGCTAATACAAATATTGCTAACCAAAGCAACCAAATAGGTAGTTTTGAGTGGTTGGGAGAGAATGACTTTCTGTTTACAATTCTTAAGAGTAAGGAAGTAATTTTCTAGATAGCAACTTCTTGCACAGGTGAACAAGAAATAAGCCACCTTCAATGAAGCCTACCAACAAAAATCTTTCAGTAATCATATTCTCATAAAGTCTTATCCTCTTGACTGATGATGAAATGTCCAGGAATTGTCAGAGGGATTATAGTTTCAAGAAGCAGAATATCCTTAGGGGCTAATGAGTATCAGGGATTAAATATATACATATCCTCCCTCACCACAAAGAGGTTTTATTTCATGTCTGTTACCATCTTTTAATTCATTGTTTGTAAGCCCCATTTTAGAGGCAGATGTCTCTAATAGGCAAATGATATACCCTAGTTTATTTTATGTGCCAGGCCATAAATGAGCCAATTGACTAGGCTTTCGTTAAACATTAAATAGAATTGAGGTAAGATATTACAAGATACTCCTGGAACATCCTGTCATACCAGAAATTAAGTACCAAAGACCACTGAATCATGTCAAAAAGGACTCAAGGGCCAACTTGAAGATTCAAAGAGAGGACAACTTGAATATTAATTAGTACAATAACTATAATGAATTAGAACATATCAAATCTATTTCAATGCATTTGTTCAGATTGATATTCTAAAACAATGCTAGGGAATCAGCTTATTATTTTGAAGACTACAAAATAAAAGAGAATGAAACAAGTAATTATTCCACCTTTCATATGCATGATGTACCTCAGATTAATCATAGTTACTAAAAGGACATTTCTCTTCACAGAAGTATTCCAAATAATACGTGAAGAAGAAACGATAGAAATTATTATCCCCAATGAAACAGTGTGGATGGAAAGAATCTGCAATGGTGGTTAACTTCACAACAACAGACAAGCAGGTATTATTGCCCTGATGGCACATATACAACACCACATATGAAGTATTCTTGCAAAAATTCAAACTAAACTCTGATCAAGCCTTTAAATGTACATAATAATTTACAGAAAATACAGAGGATAAATAACACATTAAATGATAATTTTTTTAAACCTAGACTATGGAAAATTCTATAGGACAGACATTCTAGTATTGCCTCAACACATAAATTGAAAGAGAAGGAGGGAGGCATTCTAGATTCAAAGATGCTTAACACATATTAAACAAACATAGTGTGTGGTACTTATTTGGATCTCAATTTGAACACATCAACTGTAACAAAATTATTCATGATACAGCTGGGGGAAATCTGAACACTGACTGTTGATGTTATTAAAAATTATAAAAATTATAGGTATATTAATGGTATTATTGTTATTTTTTAGAGGTGTCCTTATCTTTTAGATATGTATGTGAAATATTTATGGATAAAATTGTTACCAGATCTTTAGGGTATTAATTTTCTTCCCAGAAACCTCTGTGACTGGTGGCACCTTTGCCCGAATTCTTGACCTGTGTCCAGGAAGAATGAGGTATGCAGACAAGTGAAGGGTGAATAAGATGAAGAGGAGCTTTATTTAGTGTTAGAACAACTCAGAGGAGACCCGCAGTGGGCAGATCCTCTCTAGGCAGGTCATCCTGTGGAGTGTTCAGCTCTCAACAGAGAAGAGGCCCTGGAGAAGCTGGCTCCTCTCTGCTGGCAGGTCATTCAGAGGTCTCTGCGGGTCTCTGAAGCTCTCAGCAGAGAGGGTAGCTCCTCTCTGCCACTGGTCATTCCATCATCTCTCTGTCCTCTGCCCTGCTCTGGCTGAGCCTGGGCTTTTATGGAACTCAGAGGGGAGGAAGTTCATACCGATTGGTCCATGGGCGGCCATGGGCAGCCTGGAAGAGGCACCACAAGACCCCACTCTGGTCAGCAGGTCTGGCAGGCTGGCCTCCAGCCTTCAGGTTCTCCCTGGCCTGAAGTTGGGGCCTTACCCGGGACCCATCCCTTCCTGCCCAGGAGCCTGTCTGCTTCCTGCTGCTGCCTATGGCGCCCAGACCGCTAGAGCCAAGGGGCACCTGCAGGCCAGTGCTGAGCTGCCCCCAGCCCCATCTTGGCCTCCCTCTTGTGCTCATTGGTGCCTAAAGTTTGGAGGGTCCCAGACAGCAGGGGGCCTGCGTGTCAACACTGCACCGAGCCTGTGCACACCAGTCCAGGGCGGGACAGAGCAGGAGCTCAGCCCCAACCCGGCTCCAAGATTAGAGGGAGTACTGGGAGCAGAGAGAAGCCAGGCAGCAGCAGAAAACACGCACGAGCCTGCGGGGACACAGGGGGCTAGGGCCTTCCAGACCCTCGAGGGTGCAGGTTGCAGAGCCGCCAGGGTTCTGCACCTAGGAGCATGGCTGCAGCTGCATCCAGGGAGCTCCAGTCCAGCCAATTCAGAAGGGGCGGGACTTCCGCTTGTCCCCAACTACTGTCTGTGGAGTGGAGAGAGACGCCCGCGTTTACAACCACAGGTCAGGCAGCTGCAGCTGTATTTGAGAGGGCAGAGATCCTGCCTGCTCCTGGCACCCACCAAGAGCACAGGGAGGTTCAGATATACAGCTACAGTTTGGGCAGCTGCAGCCCTACCCAGGAGGGTGGGGCTCCTGCCTGCTCCATGGAGTGGGCAGCCCCAGCCACGCCTCCCTGCTGCAGCCGATACCATCAATATGAATTGATATCTGGGATTTGCTTCAAATTAATCAAGAAGTAAGGAGAAGGCAAAATTGGCTGTGAGTTGAATATTTGTTGATCTAAATGGTAGGTACACAGAGGTTAATTATACTGCTGTATCCACATGATAAGGGTATAAATTTTTTCATATAATTAGGTTATAAACTCGTACTTAAAATAAGATCTCATTTTCAGTTTTGAAATATATGCTATATGTGTACACACACACACACACACACACACACATTAGAAAGAAAAGAAAATATACCAAAAGTCCTTACTGGCTGTTTGGTGGGATTAGAAGTAAAACATAAGTTTTTATTGGTTTCTATATTTCTCATTATGGAAAACATTTTTAATTGAGACATAAAATTCACACACCATAAGAGTAATCATTTTAAAGTATACAGTTCAGTCGTTTTTAGTATATTCAAAATATTGTGCAACTGTCATCAATCTAATGCCGGAACATTTTAACCACCCTGAAGAGGAAACTTATACCCATTAAGTAGTAGATTACTAACCTCCTTTTCTTCCCCAGCTATAAGCAACCTCCATTCTTGATATTTCTATAGATTTGCCTATTCTGTACATTTTATATAAATGGAGTGGTACAATATGTAGTTTCTTGTCATTGGCTTATTTTACACACCATCATATTTTCAAGGTTTTCTGCAAAAAAGGGGGGGGCATTGGCATTTTGATAAATCTTGTGAGTATTGCCATCTTAACAATATTAAATCTTCTAATTCATGGAACCAGATATCTTTGTACTTAAATCTTCTTTAATTCTTCTCTGTAATATTTTGTAGTTTTCAGTGTATTAATCTTGTACTTCCTTGGTTATATTTATTCCTAAGTACCTTATCCTTTATGAGACAAGTTTCAGTGCAATTGTTTCCTTAACTTTGGTTTTGGGTTATTCAATGACAATATATAAAAGAGCAACCATTTTTAGATATGTATGCATTTTATTAAGATATAATTCATGTACCATAGAATTTACCCACACAAAGTCTATAATTCTATGTTTTTTATATAGTCACAGATACGTGCAAACATCACCACAGCCAATTATAGCACATTTTCATCACCTCAAATAGAAGCTGTGCACTTTATGTGTGATTCAGTGTCTCTCCATTATCCCAAAATGTGATCTACCACTAATCAACTTGCTGTCTCCCTAGATTTGCTTATTCTGTACATTTCATATAAGTGGAATTAAAGAATATGCAAGTTTCGTGTCTGGCTTTTTTCACTAAGCATAATGTTTTCAAGGTTTTTTTTTTTTTCATGTGGTAGCATGTAGCTATACTTCACTACTTTTTATGGCTGTATAATATTCCATTTTATGGCTATATCTGATTTTGTTCATCCATTTATCAGATGATCATTTAGGTTGTTTTTACTTTTTGTCTATTAAGAATAATACTGCTTAGCAAAGACATGGAACCAACTCAAATATCTGCCAATGATAAACTGGATTAAAAAAATGTGATACATATTCACCATGGAATACTATGCAGCCATAAAAAAGAATGAGATCATGTCCTTTGCAGGGACATGAATAGAGCTGGAGGCTATTATCCTTAGCAAGTTAATGCAGGAACAGAAAACCAAATACCACATGTTCTCACTGATAAGTGGGAGCTAAATGATGAGAACACATGGACACATAGAGGGGAACAACACAAACCAGGGCCTTTTGGAGGATGGAAGGTGGGAGGAGGGAGAGGATGACTAAAAATAATTAATGGATATTAGGCTTAATATCTGGGTGATGAAATAATCTGTACAGCAAACTCGCATGACACATGTTTACCTATGCAACAAACCTGCACATCCTGCACATATACCCATGAACTTAAAATAAAAACTACAAAAAGAATAATGCTGTTATGAACATTTGTGGATGCATTATTGTTTGAAAATTTTTTTTAATTCTCTTGGGTGTATACCTAGGAAGTGAACTGATGAGTCACATAGTAACTCTATGCTAAACTTTGCAAAAAACTGTAAAAAATTGTTTTCCACATCAGCTGTACTACAGAATGTTCTCACCACCCTCGTATTAGGGCTCCAATACTCCACATCCTTGCAAATACTAGTGTTGTTAAAAAATTTTAATAATAACTACCATAGTGGATGTGAAGTGGTATCTCATTATGGTTTTGATGTGTATATCCCTAATGACTAATGATGTTGAGCACCCCTTCATGTGCTTATTGGCCATTGGTTTATCTTTTTTGAACAATGAGAACACATGGACACAGGGAGGGGAACATCACACACCGGGGCCTGTTGGGGGGTGGGGGTCAAGGAGAGGGAGAGCATTAGGACAGATACCTAACGCATGTGGGGCTTAAAACCTAGATAACGGGTTGATAGGTGCAGCAAACCACCATGGCACATATACACCTATGTAACAAACCTGCACGTTCTGCACATGTATCCCAGAACTTAAAGTAAAATAAAAAATAAATAATAAATAAATAAATAAATAAATAAAGGAATCTGAACTTGAAAAAAAGAAAAAATGTCTATTCAAGTCCTTTGCCCATTTTTTTCTGAAGTTGCCCATTTTTTTATTAAGTTACAAGTGTTTTTATGTATTCTGGATACTACAACTTTATGAAATATGTGTCTTGCATATATTTTCTCCATCCACTAAGTTGTCTTGTTACCTTCTTGATAGTTTCCTAGAGGCACAGAACTTTTACAATTTGATGAAATCCAATTTATCTATTTTTTCTTTTGTTGTTTGTGATTTCAATGTTATATTAAAGAAATCATTGCCTAATACAAGTTCATGGGGATTCACACCTGTGTTACTTTCTAAGAATTTTAGAGTGTTTAGGTCTTACATTTGAGATCTTTGATCCATTTTGAGTTAATTTTTGAACACAGTATGAGGTAGAGGCCAAATACATTCTTTTGCACATGGATATCCAGTTTTCCCAGAATCATTTTTTGAAAAGATTATATTTTCTCTATTGAATTGTCATGGTAACAAAATTTAAAATCAATGTACCATAAATGCATGGGCTTTTTCCTGGACTCTCACTATATGTCACTGCTTTGTTTTTCTTTTTAATCCCATGGCATGACCACAGTGTTTCGATTACTGCAGGTTGATAATATTTTGGAATTGAGAATAATAAGTTCTACTTTGTTATTCTTTCTCAAGATTGTTTTTATTCTTCAGGATGCTTTTCAATTACATATACATTTTAAGATCAGGTCATCTATTTCTGCATAAAAACCAGATCATATTTTGATAAACCTTGAATTCAAACTGTAAATAAATTTGGGAAATATTGGCATTTTAACAATAGTAAGCCTTTTAGTCCATAAAAATAGATGTCTTTTCAGTTAATTATGCCTTCTTGAATTTCTTTCAACAATATTTTGTAGTTTTCAGTGTACAAGTCTTGTACTCCCTTGGTTAAAATGATTCCTAAGCAGTGTACCTTTTTAGAAACTAATTTATTTTTAATGCTTTTTAAATATATTTTTTAAAAATTTATTTTTAATTTTGTGGGTACACAGTAGATGTATATATTTATGGGGTACATGAGATATTTTGGTACGGGCATGCAATAGATAGTGACAATATCATGGAAAATGGGGTATCATCACCTCAAGCATTTATCCTTTGTGTTACAAATAATCCAATTACACTCTTCTACTTACTTTAAAATGTACAATTAAATTATTATTGACTATAGTTCCTTTGTTGTGCTGTCAAATACTAGGTCTTACTCATTCTTTCTAACTATTTTTTTGTACCCATTAACTATTCTTACCTCCCACCCCCTCCCACTACCCTTCCCAGCCTCTGGTAACCATCCTTCTCTATCTCCAGGAGTTTAATCGTTTTGATTTTTAGAGCCCACAAATAAGTGAGAACATGTGATGTTTGTCTTTCTGTGCCTGGCTTATTCACTTAAAATAATGACCTCCAGTTCCATCCATGTTGTTGCAAATGACTGGATCTCAATCCTTTTTATGGCTGAATAGTACTCCATTGTGTATATGTACTACATTTTCTTTATCTATTCATCTGTTGATGGACACTTAGGTTGCTTCCAAATCTTAGCTATTGTGAACAGTGCTGCAATAAACATGGGAGTGCAGATATCTCTTTAATATACTGATTTACTTTCATTTGGTATATACCCAGCAGTGGGATTGCAGGATTGTATCATAGCTCTATTTTTAGTTTTTCTGAGGCCCCTCCAAACTATTCTCACTTCTTCCTATTTTCAAATTTACTTTCATAGGGGAGGACTTTTTCCTGAAGATGTATGTATGATGTTGTTTCGGTAGGGTACTTCAGCTTTGATTCTGGGTACATGCAGTAGTGTAGTCTTTGTATGATTTATTTGGCTGTCAACAGTGTTAGTAATACCCGTGATTTTCTTGGTGGGTAAGAGTGTGATTATTAGTGGAGGCTGTGGTGAAGTTGTGCTGGGGACTGAGATGGCAGGCGGGCCAGTCTTCAGGGCCCAGTGGTGGCGGTAGCGGGCTGAGTGAACTTATCTTTGTGCTGCAGGGCAGAGTGCACTGGAACCTTTGTTGGCAGTCTGGCAGGTCTATTCTTTTGCCTTAGCATGGCTTGATCAGATGCCAGTACTGGAAGCAGTGGACTGGGCAAGTTGGCGAGTTCTCAGGTTTCTGGGCAGCTGGTGTGGTTTGGGCAATAAGAGTAGCAATGGTGAAATGATTCTCTGGGTCACAAAGTGTGTGGATTGATATTGGTGGTGGCTGCAATTGGCTTGGTAGGACAGTCTCCAGGCCTGCAGGGGGTAGTGCCTGCAGGTAGGTGCCAGCTGAAGTGGTAGCAGCTGGGAGTTTAAACCCAACGTCAGGCACCCAGGAGGAGTGCTCAGGTGTCCAAGGTATTGGATTGAGTTTGGCAATTCCTGGGACCCCAGGCTATGTCCTCTGTCTTGTGGGGATTGAGGGAGAACCTGGGCTAAGAAGGTTGTACTCAGGTCCCCCAGTGGTGAGAGTAGGCATCAGCCATGGAGGGCAGGGGCAGGAAGTTCCTCAGGCCCCATCTGTAGTGCTTGAGTGAGGGGTGGTAGCAGCTATGCAGAGGCTCTGCTACTGGAGAGGATGGGGCCTCCCTTAGTGGTCATAGCCTGGGCTGAGGAATAGGGAATGTGTATTTCCTTCACACCCAAGTCCCTGTGGGGCTTAACCACCCCCCCATTCCCCTATCCCTGGCTGTAGGAGCCCACTGTCAGCTTGTGATCAAGTCCCAGCAGCAACTTATGTCCTGCTTATGTCCCTGTCTTAGATTCCAGCACCAGCTGCTGCTGCCCGGGTGTTGGTCACTTCCTAACCCTGGCTGCAGGAGTGCTTCCAGCTCACTCCCACATCTCAGCAGTGATAGCCCAAGTTTCCATAACACCTCAGTTCCGGTGTTTCTAGGACTTATTATTTTCTTAATTTTTGTTTCAGGTTGTTCAATGCCAGTATATAGAAATATTACTGTCTTAAAAAAAAAAAAACAGCTTTGGGCTGGGTGCGGTGGCTCATGCCTATAATCCCAGCAACTTTGTGGGGCTGATGCGGGTGGATCACCTGAGGTCAGGAGTTCAAGACCAGCCCGGCCAACATGGTCTCTACTAAAAATACAAGAAAATAGCCAGGTGTGGTGGCGGGCGCCTGTAATTCCAGCTCCTCAGGAGGCTGAGGCAGGAGAATAGCTTGAACCCGGGAGGTGGAGGTCGCAGTGAGCTGAGGTCGCGCCATTGCATTCCAGGTTAGGCAACAACAGCGAAACTCTGTCAAAAAAAAAAAAAGGTATTGCCTAGGTTTTCTTCTAGGGTTTTTACGGTTTTAGGTCTAAATTTAAGTCTTTAATCCATCTTGAATTAATTTTTATATAAGGTGTAAGGAAGGGATCCAGTTTCAGCTTTCTACATATGGCTAGCCAGTTTTCCCAGCACCATTTATTAAATAGGGAATCCTTTCCCCATTTCTTGTTTTTGTCAGGTTTGTCAAAGGCAGGGGAAGGGATAGCATTAGGAGAAATATCTAATGTAAATGACGAGTTAATGGGTGCAGCAAACCAACATGGCACATGTATACCTATGTAACAAACCTGCACGTTGTGCACATGTACCCTAGAACTTAAAGTATAATTAAAAAAAAGAAAAAAAACAGTTGTATTGGCATCTAAATCAAATATACACACATTTGACGCATTTAAACTATAAAATTTAATTGTTTTTGCCTAGTTGCAGATATACTACCATAACCACACGCAGTTGTCAGAGACTAGTTTTCAAAACGGTGCCTGACTGTAGCTGCTTAGGTCTCAGCAAGGGTATGGGACCCAGTGTGATCTCCCTCCCTGGAGCAATTCTGACCCACAGTCTCCCAGCAGCTTCCTATGTTAGTTTCAGAGGTTGGGAGGGACAAGGATTTCTGTGGCCAGGATTGCATGGTTCCATGTTGGGGATGTGGGTCACTGGTAGACTCTTACTCACCCCTTCTCTGCATTGGGAAGTCACTCCTGGCTCCCAGCCAATCCTGGCCAGGGAGGCTGCCTCTCCTCCTTCTCCTTTCCTACTTTTGGTATTTTCCTTGATATTGTCTTTGAGGCCTAGAGTTTTTTCTTTTGAAGAATGCTAATCATCTAGTTTTTCTTTTGTTCCTTGTGATTTTGTTATATTGAAGAAACTGTTGCCTAATCCAAGATCATGAAGATTTACACCATGTTTCCTTCGAAGATTTCCATATTTTCAGGCCTTACATTTAACTCTTTGATCTATTTTGAGTTAATTTCTGTATGTAGTCTGAAGTAGGGACCATGTCATTCTTTTGCATGTATTTATCCAGTTGTCTTAGCACCATTTGTTGAGGAGACTATATTTTCCAGATTATATTTTCTTTTCTCTTTTTTTGAGATGGAGTTTCACTCTTTGCCCACGCTAGAATACAATGGTGCAATCTTGGCTCACTGCAACCTCCACCTCCCGGGTTCAAATAATTCTCCTGCCTCAGCCTCCTGAGTAACTGGGATTACAGGCATGCGCCATCACACCCGGCTAATTTTTTGTATGTAGTAGAGACGGGGTTTCACCATGTTGGTCAGGCTGGTCTCGAACTCCTGACCCCAGGTGATCCACCCACCTCAGCCCCACAAAGTGCTGGGATTACAGGCGTGAGCTCCTGTGTCCGGCCCAGATTAAATTTTCATGGAAACCTCATCCATCAAAAGTATTTGACTACATATGTATGGGTTTATTCTTGGACAATCATAGTATCCCACCAGTCTGTTTATTTTTTATCCTTATGTCAGGACCACAGTGTTTTGATTATTGCAGCTTTCAGGTACACTTTAAAATTAGAAAGTGTATCCTCGTACATTGTTTCTCTTTTTCTAGATTTTTGGCTGTTCAGTGATCTTCACAATTCCATGCAAATTTTAGTATCAGCTCACCCATTTCTGCAAAAAGGCTGGTGATATTTTTATAGACCTTGCATTCAATATGTAGACATATTTTGGAATATTGCCATCTTAATATTAATTCTTCTAGTCCCAAGAAGAAACCACAATGTGTTTCTCCTTATGTGGGTCTTCTTTACTTTAAAAAAAATATTTGCACCTCTCTATGTACAAGCCTTGTACTTCCTTGGTTGATGGTATCCATTTAGGTACTTTTTTTTTAGATGGAGTGTTGCTCTGTCACCTAGGCTGGAGTGCAGTGACGCAATCTCGGCTCACTGCAACTTCCGCCTCCCAAGTTCAAGCAGTTCTCCCTGCCTCAGCCTCCTGAGTAGCTGGAATTACAGACACCCGCCACCACACCCGGCTAATTTTTGTATATTTGGTAGAGACGGGGTTTCACCATGTTGACCAGGCTGATCTCGAACTCTTGACCTCAGGTGATCTGCCCGCCTCAGCCTCCCGAAGTGCTGGGATTACAGGCATGAGCCACCATGACCAGGCCCTATTCCATTTTTAGTTAAGTGAAATTATTTTCTTAATTTTTGTTTCAGGTTGTTCAATGCCACTATATAGAAATGCTACTGGCTTAAAGACAGCTTTATTGGCATATAAATCAAATACACACATTTGACACATTTAAGCTGTAAAATTTAATTGCTTTTGTTTAGTTCCAAATATACTACCATAACCACAGTTTTTTTATGGCACCATTCAATTGCTTCAAAAGAAACCCCATGTATTTTAGGTATCATTGCCCTCTTCTTCCATTCCACAGCTCTACTGAATCACAAATCTATTTCTTGTCTCTATAGATTTGTTTATTCCAGACATTCCTTATAAATGACATCACAAAATGCATAGGTTTTTGTACCTGGCTTCCTTCACTTAACAGATTGTTTTCAGGTTTTACCCTTGTTGGTAGCATTAGCAGTCCTTCATTCCTTTTTATAGCTGTATAATATTCTATTATATGAGTATATCTCATTTTGTTCATTCATTCATCAATTGATGAACATTTGGGTTGTTGCCACTTTTTCTGTATTGAGAATAATGCTGGTGGCTCATGCCTCTAATCTCAGCAGTTTGAGAGGCCGAGGTGGGAGGATCATTTGAGTCTAGGAGTTTGAGACCAGCCTGGGCAACATAGGGAGACCTTGTCTCTACAACAGAAAAAAAAGAAAGAAAGACAGAAAGAAAAAAAGCTAGCCAGCTGTAATGGCATGTGTCTGTAGTCCCAGCTACTCTGGAGGCTGAGGTGGGGGTATGACTTGAGCCCAGGAGTTTGAGGCTGCAGAGAGCTGTGACTGTACAATACCACTGTGCTTCAGCCTAGGCAACAGAGCAAAACTCTGTCTCAAAAAAAAATAATGCTTCTATGAACATCAGTATATAAGTTATTGTGTAAACATGTTTTTAATTCTCTTGGGTATATACCTAAGAGTGGAATTTCTGGGTCACATGGTAAATCTATGTTTAACTTTGTGAGGAATTGCCACATGTGTTCCACATCACTTGTACCATTTTATATTCCTCACAGGATTGTAGGATGGCTCAAAACATTCCACATCTTAGCTAACACTTGTTTTATTTCCTTTTAAATTATAGCTATCCTAGTGGGTGTGAAGTGGCATCTCACTGCAGTTTCTATTCACATTTCCCTATTGACTAATGGTGTTGATTATATTTTCATGTATCTATTTGCCATTTTTATGTCTTCTTTGGAATAGTGTCTAATTGGGTCCTCCACCCTTTTTTTTTTTTTTTTTTGAGACGGAGTTTCACTCTTGTTGCCCAGGCCAGAGTGCAATGACACGATCTTGGCTCACCGCAACCTCTGCCTCCTGGATTCAAGCGATTCTTCTGCCTCAGCCTCTCAAGTAGCTGGGATTACAGGTGTGCGCCGCCATACCCGGCTAATTCTGTATTTTTAGTAGAGACAGGATTTCTCCATGTTGGTCAGGCTGGTCTTAAACTCCTGAACTCAGGTGATCCACTGGCTTTGGCCTCCCAAAGTGCTGGGATTACAGGCATAAGACACTGTGCCTGGCCCCTCCACCCATTTTATACAGGGCTGTTTTTCTTTTTGTGTTTGAGTTGAGAGATTTCTTTATGTATTCTCATAGTAGAGTCTTATGAGACTTAGAATTTGCAAACATTTTCTCCCTCTATATGGGTCGTATTTTCACTTTGTTGATAATATTTTTTGAGGCACAAATATTTTTACTTTTAATTAAGTCCAATTCATGTGTTTTTTCTTTTGTTGCTTCAGCATTGGGTATCACACTTGAGAAATTGTTGCCTAATCCACAATCATAATTATTTACATTTATGCTCCTTTTAAAGAATTTTTTAAAAACTTTTATTATTTAAAAAATAATAATAGTAGTAAAAACAGAGCAAGCTCTTATTCCCTGTCCCTGCTCCAAAAATCCCCAAAATACAGAATGTTTCACAAATTATCGTGTCATCCTTGCTCAAGGGCCATGCTAATCTTCTCTGCATCGTTCCAATTTTAATATATGTGCTCCCGAAGTGAGCACTCTTTTAAATAATTTTCTGGTTGTAGATCCCACATTTAGTTCTTTGATCCATTTTGAGTTAATTTTTCTATATAGTATGAGATAGGGGCCAAATGCATTCTTCACATGTGGATATTCAGTTGTTCCAGAACCATTGGTTGAAAAGACTTTTTCCCTATTGAATGATTGTGGCATCCTTATAAAAATCAGCTTTCCATTGATGTATGGGCTGATTTCTGGACCCTTGTTCTGTTCTACCACTGTATATTTCTATGCTTATGGCAGGACTATAAGGTTGTGATTACTGTAGTTTTGTAGAGGTGTTGTGTTGTAAGTTTTGAAATCAGAAACTGTGAGTTCTTCTACTTCGTTCTTTTCCCAGACTTTTTTTTTTTTTTTCGGACATTCAGGGTCCATTGCAATTCCACATGAATTTTAGGATCAGTTAGTTCATTTCTGCCAAAAACAGCATCTTGTATTTTTATACACCTTGCATTTCAACTGTAGATCAATGAGGACTATTGCTATCCTAACAATGTTAAGTATTGTTGTTCATGAAACTGGTATGGTTTTCCACTTATATAGGTCTCCTTTAATTGCTTTAGATAGTATTTGTTAGTTTTCAAAGTACTAGTCTTGCACTTTCATGGTTAAATTTATTCCAAAGTATTTTATCCATTTTTAAATTATTATTATTATTTTTTTGAGACAAGGTCTGGCTCTGCTGTCCAGGCTGGAGTGCAGTGGAGTAATCTTGGCTCAATGCAACCTCCACCTCCTGGGCTCAAGCCATCCTTCCACCTCAGTCTCCTAAGTAGCTGAGACTACAGGCACTTGCCATCATACCTGGTTAAATTTTGGTAGCTCATGCCTGTAATCCCAGCACTTTGGGAGGCCAAGGTGGCGGGCGGATCACTTGAGGCCAGGAATTCAAAACCAGCCTGGTCAACATGGTGAAACCACATCTCTACTAAAAATACAAAAATTAGCCGGGCATGATGGCAGATGCCTGTAATCCCAGCTACTCGGGAGGCTGAGGCGGGAGGCAGAGGTTCTAGTGAGCCAAGATCGCGCCAAACCATTGCCTTATCCAAGGTCACGATGATTTACGTCTATATTTCCTTTTAAGATTTCTAGAGTTTTAAGTCTTATAGTTAGATATTGAATCCTCTTTATGTTAATTTTTGATTATGGTATGAGGTAGGGGACAAAATTCTCCTTTTGCTTTTGAATACCACAGCCATTTGTTGAAAAGACTTTTTTTTTCCTCATTCAGTGGTTATGACACCCTCATCAAAAGTCAATTGACCATAGGCTGGGTGTGGTGGCTCACACCTGTAATCCCAGCACTTTGGGAGGCTGAAGCAGGCAGATCACTTGAGGTCAGGAGTTCAAGACCAGCCTGGGCAACTTAGTGAAACCCGTCTCTACTGAAAATACAGAAATTAGCTGGGCATGGTGGTACACGCCTGTAATCCCAGCTACCCAGGAGGCTGAGGCAGGAGAATCACATGAACCAGGGAGGTGGAGGTTGCAGTGAGCTGAGAGTGCACCATTGCACTCCAGCCTGGGCAAGAGAGCAAGACTCCATCTCAAAAAAAAATCAATTGACCATAGATGTGTGGGTTTATATCTGGACTATCATTGTATTCCACTTCTCTATGTTTCTATCCTATGCTTTGTAACAAGTTTTTTTTTTTTTTTTTTTTTTTTTTTTGCGACAGAGTCTCACTCTGTCGCCCAGGCTGGAGTGCAGTGGTGCAATCTCAGCTCACTGCAGCCTCTGCCCTCCAAGTTCAAGTGATTCTCTTGCCTCAGCCTCCCGAGTAGCTGGGATTACAGGCACCTGCGACCGCGCCTAGCTAATTTTTTGTATTTTTAGAAGAGACAGGGTTTCACCATCTTGGCCAGGTGGTCTTGAACGCCTGTCCTCGTGATCCATCCGTCTTGGCCTCCCAAAGTGCTGGGATTACAGGTGTGAGCCACCGTGCCCAGTGTTTGTTTTTTTTTTAAATGGAGTTTTGCTCTGTCGCCCAGGCTGGAGTATAGTGATGCAATCTCAGCTCACTGCAACCTCTGCTTCCTGGGTTCAAGCAATTCTCATGCCTCAGCTTCCTGAGTAGCTGTGATCACAGGCGTGCACCACCACGTCTGGCTAATTTTTATTTGTTTGGTTTTTTTGTCTTTTTTTTTTTTAAGTAGAGGCGTGGTTTTGCCATATTGGCCATGCTGGTCTTGAACTCCTGGCCTCAAGTGATCCGCCCACCTTGGTCTCCCAAACTGCTGGGATTACAGGCATAAGCTACCATGCCCAGCCTGTGATAAAATTTGAAATTAAGAAGGCTGTGTTCTTTTACATTGTTCTTTCTCAACACTGTTTTTGCTCTTTAGGGTACTCTTCAGTTTCATATGGATTTTAGGATCAGTTCATCTATGTTTGGGAGAAAAGGCAGATTTGAAAGGTCTTGTATTCTATCTGTAAATCAATTTGGGGAGTTTGCCATCTTAATAATATTACATTCTCTAGCCCATGAAACTGGGATGGTGCTCCATTTACTTATATCTTCTTTAATTTATTTCAACATATTGTAGTTTTTAGTGTACAAGTTTCACAATTTCTTGGTGAAATTTATGCCTAAGTGTTTTATTAGTTTTGATTCTGTTTGAAATGCAATTCTTTTCTTAGTTTTGCTTTTGGTTATTTTATGCTAGTATATAGGAATACAACTGTTTTTCAAATAGCTTTGTTTGAAAAGTCACCTGTTTAAACTCTGCAATTCAATGGTTTTTAGTATATTCACAGATATGTGCACCATCACCACAGTTGATTATGACATATTTTCATTGCCTCAGTCAGAAATCCCGTAGTCTTTAGTCATCATTTTTCTATCCTACATAACCTTTAATCATAATCACCCACTAGTTTACTTGCTGTCTGTTAAATTTGCCTTTTCTTCATATAAATGGACTCATAGAATAAGTTGTCTTTGTGTGTGACTTTTGCTTTTTTTTTTTTTTTTTTGAGATGGAGTTTCAATCTTGTTGCCCAGGCTAGAGTGCAATGGTGCGATCTCAGCTCACCACAACCTCTGCCTCCTGGGTTCAAGCGATTCTCCTGCCTTAGCCTCCTGAGTAGCTGGGATTACAGGCATGCGCCACCATGCCCAGCCACCATGCCCAGCTAATTTTGTATTTTTAGTAGAGATGGGGTTTCTCCATGTTGGTCAGGCTGGTCTCGAACTCCCGACCTCAAATGATCTGCCCCCCTCGGCCTCCCAAAGTGCTGGGATTACGGGCGTGAGCCACCGCGCCCGGCCGTGTGTGACTTCTTTACCTAGCATAATGTTTTCAGTGTTTGTCTATGTGATAGTATATGTCAATTCTTCATTCCTTTTTTAGGCTATACAGTATTCCATTGTATGGATATATCCCATTTTGTTTAGAATTCATCAATTGATGGACATTTGGGTTTTTCTGCTTTTGGCTATTATTAATAATACTGAACATTCATGAAAATTTGTGGACAAGTATTATGTAAGCATGTTTTCAATTCTTTTGGGTATACACCTGGAAGTGGATTGTTTGGTCATATGGTAACTCCATGTTTAGCTTTGTGAGGAACTGCAGAACTGTTTTCCCCAGGGACTGATCCATTTTAGATTCCCATCCACTGTGTATGATGGTTTCCATTTGTCTGCATTTTTCCTAATACTTGTTTTTTAACTTTAAAAAAACTGTAGCTTTCCAGTGGATGTGAAGTAATATCTCATTATGATTTAGATGAGCATTTCTATAATGACTAATGAATTGCCTATCTTTTAATTTGCATATTTATTTTGTGTATCTTTGGAAAAATGTCTGTTCAAGTTCTTTGTCTACTTTTAAAGTGGGCTGTTGTGAGAGAATCCTTTATATATTCTGGATACCACCTTCTTATGAGTTATATTATTTGCAAATATTTTCTCCCTTTCCGTGGATTGTCTGGTCAACTTTCTTGATAGTGTCCTTCAAGGTACAAACATTGTTAATTTTAATGAAGCCCAATTCATCTACTTTTTATTTTCATACTTGTACTTTTGGTATCATAATTAAGAAACCATTGCCTAATTCAAGGTCATAAAGATTTAGTATGTGT
Source organism: Homo sapiens (assembly GCF_000001405.40). NCBI lineage: Eukaryota > Metazoa > Chordata > Mammalia > Primates > Hominidae > Homo > Homo sapiens. The sequence goes on from NC_000023.11 coordinate 130,314,293, forward strand.
TTTCTTCTACAGTTTCATAGCTTTAGGCTGTATTTAGGTCTTTGATCCATTTTGAGTGATTTTTTTTTTGTCTATGGTATGGGATAGAGACCAAATACATTATTTTTCACATGAATATCCAGTTGTCACAGAACTATTTGTTGAAAACACTATTGTTTCCCATTGAATCAGTGTAGCACCTTTGCTGAAAATCAATTGACCATAAATTTATAGGTTTATATCTAGACTCTTATTCTATTCCATTGCTGTATATTTCTTTTTTATGACAGATCTACACTGTTTTGATTTCTGCAGCTTTGTAGTAAGTTGTTTAATTCAGTAGTGTGGGTTCTTCCCCATTGTTCTTTTCCAAAATTGTTTTGGCTATTCGAGGATTTTTGGAATTACACGTGAATTTTAGGATAGACTTGTCTATTTCTGCAAAAAAGGCAGACTTGTCTATTTCTGTAAAAAAGGTATTTTGGTAGGTCATGCATTCAAATTGCAGACAAACTTGGGGAGAATCGCCATCTCAAAAATATTAGCTTTCTAGTTCATGAAACTAGATTGGTTTTCCACTTATTTAGGTCTTCTAAAATTTTGTTCAAGAATAGCTTGTATTTTCCAGTGTATGAGTCTTTCATTTTCTTGGTTAAATACGTTCTCTAATATTTTTATCCTTTTTGATGCTACTTTTTTGGGGGTGGTAATGGATTTTTAAACAGCCTTATTGAACTATAATTCACAAACAATACAAATCATCCATTTAAAGAGTACAGTGCAATGGTTTTTGTATATTACATTATTTTTAAAAAACAACTTGTGGCAAAATATGTGTAATATAAAAATTGCAAATTTTGCATCTTAACAATTTTAAGGTTACAATTGAGTGGCATTAAATGCATTCCCATTGTAGTATAACCATCACCACTATCAATTTCATAATTTTTTCATCTCCCCAAACAGAAAGTGTAACTATTGAGCTCCCCATTACCCTTGTCCTCCAGCACCTAGTAACCTCTATTATACTTCCCCTATATATACATTTGTTTATAAAGGATACCTCATATAAGTGGAATCATGCAATATTTGCCTTTTTGTGTCTGGCTTATTTCACTTAGCATAATGTTTTCAAGGTTCATCTATGCTATAGTATGTATCAGTATTTCATTCTTTTCTTTTTTGACGGAGTTTTGCTCTTGTCGCTCAGGCTGGAGTGCAATGGCGCGATGTTGGCTCACTGCAACCTCCTTCTCCTGGGTTCAAGTGATTCTCCTGCCTCAACTCCTCGAGTAGCTGGGATTACAGGCGCCCACTACCCTGCCCGGCTAATTTTTTTATTTTTAGTAGAGACGGGGTTTCACTATGTTGGCCAGGCTGGTCTCGAAATCCTGACCTCAGGTGATCTGCCCACCTTGGCCTCCCAAACTGCTGGGATTACAGGCGTGAGCCACCACACCCGACCTGTTCCATTCCTTTTTAAAGCCAAGTAATATTTCATTGTGCCATATTTTATTGATCCATTAATCTATCAATGGGTACTTAGGTTGCTTCCACCTTTTGGTTATTGTGAATAACCACTGTTATAACTATGGGTATAAAAATACCTGTTTGAGTCCCTGCTACCAATACTTTTGGGTAAATATCCAGAAATGAAATTGGTAGATCATGTGGTAATTATACATTTGACTTGAGAAACTGCCAAGCTGTTTTCCACAGCAGCTACACTATTTTACTTCCCCACCAGTAATGCACAAGGGTTCCAATTTCTTTACATTCTCCCCAACACTTGTTATTTTCTCCTTTTTTTCTGAATAGCCATAATAGTAGCTGTGAAGTGGCATTTCATGTGGTTTTGATTTGCATTAGAATGATGTTGAGCATCTTTTCATGTGTTTATAGGAAATTTGATATCCTTTTTGCAGTAGTATCTGTTCAAGTCTTTGTCCATTTTTAAACTAGGCTTTTTATCTTTTTGTTGTTGAGTTGGGGACATTATTTCTATATTCTGAACACTAGAACCACATGAGATGTATCATTTTCAAATATTTTCTCCCATTCTGTGAGTTGTCTCCTCATTTTCTTATTACTTACTGGGTACATAGTACATCACCCCTTTGATGATGAAAGGATTTGAGGTGGTGGTTGCACAGCATTGTGAAAGTAGTAGATGCCGCTGAATTGAACCCTTGTAAATGGTGAATTGTATGTTAGGTGAAATTTCACCTTAATAAGAATAAACAAGAATACCAGCAAGGTTTAGGGAAATCCTTGTATCTACCAATGTTAAAAGAGTAAATGTAAACAAATGTTCTGCCAGGAACCCCCAGAAGTGGGAAATTCTTTCCAGCTGTTAGAGGAGAATAATGAGAGTTCAACTGTGATTGGTGTGTGATTACCTGAAGGGTTTGATTGTTATTAAACTAATTTTTCCATCATATTGTTCCTTCTAGTCCCAAGTGGACAGAGATATTATAGGAAATACACTGGTGGGAATAATATTTTCTCATTGAAAAGGGCATATGTGGCCAGGTGCGGTGGCTCATGCCTGCTATCTCAGAACTTTGGGAGGCCAAGGCGGGTGGATCACCTGAGGTCAGGAGTTCGATACCAGGCTGGCAAACATGGTGAAACTCTATCTCTACTAAAAATACAAAAATTTGCTGGGCGTGGTGGCAGGCGCATGTAATCCCAGCTACTTGGGAGGCTGAGGCAGGAGAATTGCTTGAACCCGGGAGGTGGAGGTTACAGTGAGCCGAGATCACGCTATTGCACCCTAACCTGGGTGACAAGAGCAAAACTCTGTTTAAAAAAAAAAAAGGGTAGAAGAGCGCATGCAAAGGCCCCATTAGAGCATGAAAAAAAAAATACCCTGTTATAATATCAAATGATTGATAAATTTCATTCCAGCTCCCATTTTTTGAGTGTCTAACTTATTAGCTGAATAGTGTAGAAAGATGCCTGGCAGCCCCAATCTTCAAGGAATTCACAGTATAATGAGAAAGAAGGAAGTATAAAATATTCTGGGCAATAATAGACATGAAAAATTTCACAGCTAGGCGCAGTAGCTCACACATGTAATCCCAGCACTTTGGGAGGCTGAGGGAAGAGAATCGCTTGAGGCCAGGAGTTCAAGACCAGCCTTGGCAACATAGTGAGACCCTGTCTCTACAAAAAGTATAAAAATTTAGCCGAGTATGGTGGCATGCACCTTCAGTCTCAGCTACTCAGGAAGCTGAGGAGGGAGGACCTCTTTAGCCCACAAGGTTGAGGCTGCAGTGAGCTGTGATTGTGCCACTGCACTCCAGCTTGGGGAACAGAGTGAGTCCCTGTCTGAAAAAAATAATTTTTTTTCACTAGTCAGTCCCACTGCAGGAGCTGTCATGACTGAGGATTTGGGCAGATGGCTATTTCTTCCTCTAAGTCAGTATGTTTGGGAAGGGTAAGAAGCTGACTCTCCATTATTCTTAAAAATAGGCATGAATCAGATTAGATTACATGTCTCCTCCTTTTCTCAGGATTTCCCTATAGCTCTGCCACTGAGCTGTGGAATCTTACCACTGGGATGAGGCCTTAAAAGTTATCTAATCCTGGCCAGGCGCAGTGGCTCATGCCTGTAATCCTAGCACTTTGGGAGGCCGAGGTGAGTGGACCGCCTGAGGTCTGGGGTTCGAGACCAGCCTGGCCAACAAGGCGAAACCCCGTTTCTACTAAAAATACAAAAATAAAATAGAATAAAATAAATTTAGCTGAGCATGGTGGCATGTACCTGCAGTCCCAGCTACTCAGGAGGCTAAGGCAGGAGAATTGCTTGAACCTGGCGGGGGCAGAGGTTGCAGTTAGCTGAGATAGCACCACTTCACTCCAGCCTGGGCGAACTCCAGTTTTCTGAAACTCTGTCTCAAGTTATCTAATCCTTCTGTTCATTTCATACTTGGGTCTTTGTTACCAAAAATGACCAATGGGCTTGTGTCAATTAGAAATACTAAATTACAAGTAAGAGAAAAGTCAAATCCCTCTGGCCTAACCAATAAAAGTAGAACTGGGTTTAGAAACTATTTGTTTCAGAGGTTCAAAAATGGCACCAAAGTTAGATTTCTTTCTGCCTATGTTTTCTTGATGTCTGCTTTATTTTAACTTGGCTCTCCTTGTGGCTGAGATATGGCTGCCCACAGCTCCAAGTCTCCTCGTTTCTTTGAGCACATGAAGAGAGGGTTGCCTTTGAAATTCCTCCCAAATATGAAAGAAAAACTATTCCCAAAGTCCTGACAAAATCAACCAATGGCAGGGAATGGGACTATGCTGATTGATTTAAATAGGAATTATGCTAATTTGCTTATTTTAGAATTATAGTTCCAGGGGCGAGCCAGTGCAGGGATGTGACACTAAAGGACATGGGGCGGCCACCAAGAAAAGAGAGGTGAATATTGGGGTGGCTACCACAGGGTCTTGGCTTAGCCATTGACAACATCATGGAAACTCCCACCCTCAAAATACAATTGCCTTCCCCTGCTGGACAACTCTGTTGGTAAAGAAATATTTTCATATTTTCCATGGAATCCAACTCTGAGTTCCAATAGCTCTTCTTGACATGCTATTGCCCTCAGATAGTGGCTACTTCCTTTAATTTATTACTTTGGATGTGCCTTGCCTTCTTTCTTAGCAGTGTCTCTTCTGCCTGAGCCTTATAGATGTTTACAGCATCCAGTGACCCCAAAACTGACTGGCTGTCACTGGAGAAATCCTTACTTTCATCCCCGAATTGAACGGAACCAAAATTTAATTGTCTTGTCTTCTCTATTGCACTTGAGAGGCTTCAGAGGGTGCAAGCCCCAAGCTTTGGCAGTTTCCATGTGGTGTTGAGCCTGCAAGTGCACAGAAGTCAAGAACTGGAGTTTGGGAACCTCTGCCTAGATTTCAGAGGATGTATGGAAACACCTGGATGCCCAGGCAGAAGTTTGCTGCAGGGGTAGGGCCCTCATGGAGAACCTCTGCTAGGGCAGTGCAGAAGGGAAATGTGGGGTTGGAGGCCCCACACAGAGTTGCTACTGTGGCACTGCCTAGTGGAGCTGTGAGAAGAGGGCCACCGTCCTCCAGACCTCAGAATGGTAGATCCACTGACAGCTTGCATTGTATGCCTGGAAAAGCCGCAGACAGTCAATGCCAGCCCATGAAAGCAGCTGGGAGGGAGTCTGTACCCTGCAAAGCTACAGGGGCAGAACTGCCCAAGACCATGGGAACCCACCTCTTGTATCAGCGTGACCTGGATGTGAGACATGGAGTCAAAGGAGATCATTTTGGAGCTTTAAGATTTGACTGCCCTGCTGAATTTTGGACCTGCATGGGCCCTGTAGCCCCTTTGTTTTGGCTAATTTCTCCCATTTGGAATAGCTGTATTTACCCAATGCCTATACCCCCATTATATCTATGAAGTAACGAACTTGCTTTTTATTTTGCAGGCTCATAGGTAGAAGGGATTTGCCTTGTCTCAGGTGAGACTTTGGACTGTGGACTTTTGAGCTAATACTGAAATGAGTTAAGACTTTGGGAGACTGTTAGGAAGGCATGATTGGTTTTGAAATGTGAGGACATTTGAGATTTGGAGGGGCCAGGGGTGGAATGATATGGTTTGGCTGCATCCTCACCCAAATCTCATCTTGAACTCCCACGTGTTGTAGGAGGGACCTGGTGAGAGGTAATTGAATCATGGGGGCAGGTCTTTCCCATGCTCTTCTTGTGAAAGTGAATAAGTCTCATGAGATCTGAGTTTTATGTAAGGGGGAGTTTCCCTGCACAAGTTCTCTTTTTGCCTACTGCCATCCATGTAAGATGTGACTTTGCTCCTCCTTTCCACCATGATTGTGAGGCCTCCTCAGCCACGTGGAACTGTAAGTCCATTAAACCTCTTTTTCTTCCCAGTCTTGGGTTATGTCTTTATCAGCAGCATGAAAATGGACTAATACACTTTCTGTTTATTTATAACTAATCTACTCCATTGTTAAACATTTATCGTATTTATGTACTTTGTTTTTCTAGCTTTTAAAAACTCACAATTTTTTCTTTTATTTCCTAGAGTAGTTGCTAGAATTTTTAAACTGATACATAATAATTGTACATATTTATGGGATGCATGTGATATTTTGATACATATATCCATCACCTCAAATATTTATCATTTCTTTATGTTGAGAACATTTATTCCAAATCTTTTTTAGACATTTTGAAATATACAATAAATTATTGGTAACTGTCGTCACTCTACTGTGCTATGGAACATTTGGACTTGTTCTTTCTAACTGCATTTTTGTATCCATTAACCAACCTCTCTTCATCCCCCTTCCCTTCTCCCATTCTCAGACTCTGATAATCACCATTCTACCTTCTACCACGATGAGATTAATTTATTTAACTCCCACCTATGCATGAGAACATGCAATATTTGTCTTTCTGTTCCTGGCTTATTTCACACTAGTCTGCCATCTTCTCTGTTTGCTGGGTCGTCACCGTTCTTGCTCTAACTTCTTGTCTGTTGGCATATGAGCTGTTGTGTAGTGAACAAAATGAGTTTGGACTTGGTTACAGTTCTGTGAAAAGTTACAAATCAATTTTGATTCAAAACCATGCTGGGAACTCTTACAAGTCTTAGAGTGAAGGTCCAGATTCATTTCCAGATTCATTCATATTGCTTCAAATGACAGGATTTCATTCTTTTTTTTAATGGCTGAATAACATTCCATTGTGTATATAATATATACCACATTTTCATTATCTATTCATCTGTTGATGGGCACTTAGGTTGGTTACACATCTTGGCTATTGAGAATAATGCTGCAATCAACATGGGAGTGCAGATATCTTTTCAATATACTGATTTTCTTTCTTTTGGCGATATACCCACCAGTGGAATTGCTGGATCATATGGTTGTTCTATTTTTAGTTGTTGAGGAACCTCCATTCTGTTTTTCATAATGGCTGTGCTAATTTTCACTCCCACTGACAGTGTATGAGAGTTCCTCCTCCTCTGTACCCTCACCACCATCTGTTATTTCTTATTTTTTTGATAATAGCCATTTTGACCTGGGTGAGATGACCTCGTTGTGGCTTTGATTTGCATTTTTCTGCTGATTAATGATCTTGAACATGTTTTTATATACCTGTTGGCCATTTGTATGTCTTCTTTTGAAAATATCTATTCAAATCATTTGCCCATTTAAAAATGGGATTATTTGGGGTTTTTTTTCTGCTGTTGAGTTGAGTTCTTTATGTATTGTGGTTATTAATCCTTTCTCAGATGGATAGTTTGCAAATCTTTTCTCGCATTCTGTAGGTTGTCTCTTCAATCTGTTGATTGTTTCCTTTGCTGTGCAGAAATTTTTTAGCTTGATGTAATTCCATTTGTTTATTTTTGTTTTTATTGCTTGTGCTTTTGTGGTCTTACCTCAAATCTTTGCTCAGACCGGTGTGCTGAAGCATTTCCCCAATGTTCTCTTAAAGCAGTTTCAGTTTCAGGTCTACAGTTAAGTCTTTACTTTTGAGTTATTTTTGAGTTATTTTTGTATATGGTGAGAGATAGGGGTCTAGTTTAATTGTTTTGCAGATGAATATCCAGTTTTCCCCAGTATCACTTATTGAAGAGATTGTCCTTTCCCCAATGTATGTTCTTGGCACCTTTGTTGAAAATGTAAAAACTCATAATGTTTAGTAAACATTCCAGAAGCAAGGTCCATTTTATCTCATAAGGAAGATGTGAGAATTAAATGGAGGACACTTTAAAAAGTGTTTAGCATAATATCTGTATAATTTATTACATGCTCTATACATGTTCGTTCTCTTTTTACTTCTGTTTATGTAACAGTAAAATAGCAGAAGAACTAACATAACTAACTACATTTTTGTTTAAGGGGCCTTTACCCATTCCTGCATGTAGCTAGGATAATTCTAGAGCACTGAGATAAAATGCAAAAATGGCAATCATATAGTTTTTTAAACTAACTCTGGCATTAAAGGGGAAGTATATAAACAACAAACTATGTTTTGTTAAAGATTTATAGGAGTATTGTGACCTGACCAAGGAAAAAACAGCTCCCAACCTCCTCGGACCCTCACTGGTGCTCAGATATCTGCAGCCATTGCTCGCTTCTTGATTCCAACCCCTTCCTCTTTCCCCTGCCCTTAACATAAAAAGAGCCTGAAATTTGTACTCAGTTAAGATGGTTCTTAAGTTATTAAGAATGGTAGTCCAGGCCAGGTGCGGTGGCTCACACCTGTAAACCTAGCACTTTGGGAGGCTGGGGCTGGTGGATCACTTGAGGTCAGGAGTTCAAGAGCAGCCTGGCTTGGCCAACATGGTGAAACCCCATCTGTACTAAAAATACAAAAATTAGTCGGGCGTGATGGTGCACCCCTGTAATCCCAGCTACTTGGGAGACTGAGGCAGGATAATCACCTGAACCCGGGAGGTGGAGGTTGCAGTGAGCCGAGATCATGCCACTGCACTCCAGCTTGGGCAACAGAGTGAGACTCTGTCTCAAAGAAAAGAAAAGAAAAGGAAAGAAAAGAAAAGAAAAGAAAAGAAAAGAAAAGAAAAGAAAAGAACAAGAACAAGAACAAGAACAAGAACATTGGCCTGCCATCTTCTCCGTTTGCTGGGTCTTCAAAATAAAGTCACTGTTCTTGCTCTAACTTCTTGTCTCTTGGCGTATGAGCTGTCGTGTGGTGAACAAAATGAGTTTGAGTCGGTTACAGTTCTGTGAAAAGTTACAAATCTATTTTGATTCAAAACCATGCTGGGAACTCTTACAAGTCTTAGGTTTTCCCTTGGAGAGGCACCTGTTTTGAATTTCTAGAGTGTGTCTTTCCTGAACAAGATGATGGACCTGTTGTCATTTTTTAGAGATGAGGTCTTGCTCTGTTGCCCAGGCTGGAGTGCAGTGTCACAATCATAGCTCATCGTAGCCTTGAACTCCTGGGCTCATACAATTCCTGTTATTGCCTCAGCCTCCGTGTTATCATTTTTATGTTCAACAAGAGGTTCTGTACATCAGGAAAATTAAACTCTATTTGTAAAATTGGAGTCACTGGAAAAGTTCACTGCATTAAAAAATCTTGAGATTTGGAAATTATTAGGGGAAAATTGGGGCAACCTAGATTTTTGTGACTGAATGCAGATTGTTAGAGAGAGGATGCTTCATTTCCTGAAATCTGTTTAAAAGGTGGGAGGTTGAGGAGAAATCTACCTGACAGGGTAGTTATGAGACCTAAATAAGTCAAGAGTTTAGCGTGATATATAATGGTTAGCTTCTTCTTGAACTTGAACCTACTATAGAAAAAAAAATAAATTTTAAAAAGTTAGCTTCATTTGTAATGTACTTTTGTTTTCATATATTCTAACATTTTTATTTTGAGAATAGCAAGCTTGAAATTATTTCTCTCAACATATTGAACTGATACTTAAACCCATATATATCCAGTGCTGTCTAACTGCAATAATGATTTTAAAGTGGTTAGTATGTAATAATGTGCTGATTTTTTTTGCACGAAACACAGCATATTCTTGGTGTGTAGTATAGGCAATTATTTAGTGATTATGCAATTATATACCAGTTGTCTTGAACCAAAAATCTTTCTGCACTTATGATAATGCTACATCTCATTGTGTTTACTTTCCTGTTTCCTCGTCGTGCATATATTATTTTTAATTTCTCACCAACCATGACTTCCTCCCTTAGATAATATTTCGTCTCTTCCTAACTTGGAGTCTTGTACTCTAACTTTTGGATGTCTGTACTCTTGTTCTTGGGCTGTTGTATTAGTCCTCTCTCATGCTGCTAATAATGGTCTCACGCTGCTAATAAAGACATACCTGAGACTGGGTAAATTATAAAGGAAAGAGGTTTAATTTATTCACAATTTAGCATGGCTGAGGAAGCCTCAGGAAACTTACAATCATGACAGAAGGGGAAGGAAACACGTTCTTCTTCACATGGCGGCAGCAAAGAGAAGTGCTGAGCAAAAGCTGGGAAAGCCCCTTATAAAACCGTTAGATCTTGTGAGAACTCGCTCACTATCATGAGAACAGCAGCATGGGGGTAACTGCCCCCATGATTCAATCACCTCCCACCAGGTCCCTCCCATGACACATGGGGATTATGGGAACTACAATTCAATATGAAATTTGGGTGGAGACACAGCCAAACCATATCAGCTGTTCACATGGGAATCCTCTCCACCTTTATATTTTATTCGTAAAACATTTACTGAAATTCCACTATATTCTAGTCACTGGCACTAACTGGGCAAAAGAAAAATGATCCATTATCATTCCCTGGGCAGAAGGAGTGCTCAGTCTCATGAAAAAGACAGATTATTGTACTATAGGATAATTAACACTATAATAGGGATGGCCCAAAACGTAGTAGAGGCACAGAAGTAGAAGCAACACTTGCTTATGAAACCTTCAAGGCATATTCCATGCCACTGAAAATGATAATCTATTGTGTAATACAAAAAGCAGAGGATTTATGGTTGGAGACATCTCCCATTTCTCTCAAGTGAATTACTCTCTCTAGGCATTAGATTTCTCATATTTAGAGCAAAAGTCTTGAACAAGATCGTGGTTTTGAAATTGTTTCATAGACTATTACTAATATGCAAATAAAGAGCTTCATGGACAAATATACTTGTGTATTACTGGGTTAAACAAAATTAAATTTATTTGTTGTTGGATTTCTGAGTTTTAATAGGTTATTGCAAATTATAAACATTTACAAAAGGAATATACTTCTTCATATATTTTTTACACCATGGAATTCTTCTATATCAGTTAGGAATTTAGTTTGCTACATAACAGTCTCAAGAAATAGTTTTTAAACTCTTAACCTTTAGGTCTATGCTTCATTGAGATTTTATTTTTTATATGGCATAAAATACGGGTCTAAGTTGTGTTTTTATTGCATGAGATTATTCAGAATTTTTTATATTTATTTATTTTTTTAGAGATAAGGGTCTCTCTATGTTGCCCAGGCTGGCCTCAAATTCCTGAGCAATCCTCCCACCTCAGCCTCCCAAGTAGCTGGGACTACAGGTGTATGTCAACGTGCCTGACAAGGTTATTGAATTTTGACAGCATTATTTGTTGAAAATGTTTTTTCTCTCATTGAATTGCCTTGTCATCTCAGTTGAAAATAAGTTCACCTTATTTGTGGGTCAGTTTCTGGACCCTTTATCCTACTCCATTGATCTATGTATTTCTCCTTCTGTCAATGCTACTCTGTCTTAATTACCTTTATAATAAATCTTGAATCAAGTAGTGTAATTCTTTTAACTTTGTCATTCTTTTTCAAAATTTTTTTGTGTATTTCAGATCCTTTGCATATCAGTTAAGAATTTTAGAATCCGCTTGTGAGTTTTATAGGGAAGTTTCCTGGGATTTTGGTTGGTATTGTGTTGAATCTATTGATCAGTTTGAGAAGAATTGACATTTTCATACTATTGAGTCTTCCAAACCGTGAGTATAGTATATCTTCCTATTTAAGTTTTCTTTAATTTCTCTTAGTAATCTTTTATAGTTTTCAATGTGCAGATCTTGCACATTTTGCGTCACATTTATCCCTAAATATTCTATATGTCTGATGCTGTTTTAAATATTTTTAAAATTTAAAATGTCCAGTTATTCACGGCTAATATATAAAAGTACAATTGATTCTTGTGTATTGACTTTATATTCTGTGACCTTACTAAGCCCACTTATTAGTTGTAGATTATTTATACAACATTCTAGAAGCTTTTCTGTTTGGACAACATGTTATCCATGAATAATGAGAGTTTATTGTTTTCCCTTTCCAATCTGAATGCCTTTTTTTCTTGCCTTATTTCATTGACTAGAATTTCTTCTATTCAGTATCATACTGACTAGAATTTCTTCTATTCAGTATCATACTGAATAGAAGTGGGATGAATGGATAGCCTTGCCTTATTACTGATGTTAGGAGAAAAGCATTCAGCCTCTCATCAGAAAGTGTGATGTTAGCTATAGGTCTTTTGTAGTTACCTTTCTTTAGCGTATTCTATTCTTAGTTTGCTTAGTGATTTAATCAGGAATGAATGATGCATTTTTGTGAAATGTTTTCTCTGTGTTTATAAAAATGATTATATGTTTTTTATTTATTCTTTTATTCATATAGTGAATTACAGTGATTCATTTTTGATTGTTAAATCTACTTTATATTCTTCAGATAAACCCCCATGTAGTTATGATAAATCATCCTTTTTATATAGTGTTAGATTCAATTTGCTAAAATTTTAAGAATTTTTGAGTCTTTTTGAACTGTATTAGTCTTTAGTTTTCTTTCTTGTAATGTCTTTATCTGATTTTGGTGTCAGGGTATTCTGACCTTGTAGAATGATTTGGGAAGTATTCTATTCTCTTCTATTTTCTGGAAGATTTCATATAGAATTGTAATTATTTCTTCATTAAATGTTTGGGAAAATTTGCCAGTGAAGTCTGGGACCAAAGTTTTCTTTGCGAGAAGGTTTTTAAACTACAAATTAATATTTGACTATTGTGATTATTGATTTATTCTTGAATGAACTTTGGCACTTTTTGTATTTTAGGAAATGTGTACATTTGTCAATTTCACCAACATCGTCAAATTTTATTGGCATACAGTTTTTTCTATGATTTGAATATTTGTCCTCCCCAAAACTGATGTTGAAATTTAATCCCCAATTTGGCAGTATCGAGAGGTGGGTCCTTTAAGAGTTCTTTATGTATTCGAGATACTAAACCATTATCATATATATAATTTGCAAATATTCCCTCCCATTCTGTGAGTTGTTTTTTCACTTTCTTGGTAGTGTCCTTTGAGGTCCATTTAAAAAAATTGATAAAGTTTAATTTATCTATTTTTTCTTTTTTATTTATTGTTTATAATATTCCCTTATTATCCTTTTGATGTCTGGAGGATCCATGGTGATATCTCCTTTCTTATTTCTGATATTGGTAATTTGCATCTTCTTTCTTTCTCCTGATCATTCTGGATACAGATTTTTACATTTTATTGGTCTTTTCAAAGAACCAACTTTTGATTTAATTGCTTTATCTCTGTTTTTTCCTATTTCCTATTTTATTGATTTTTTCCCCTTACCATTATTATTTCCTTTCTTCTGCTTACTTTAAGTTAAATTTGTTATTTTTTTTTTGTTTCGTTTTTTGTTTGTTTCTTAAGAGCAAAGCTGAGGTCATTGATTTGCGGGCTTTCAGCTTTTCTAATATAGGGATTTAGTGATTTGAATACTCTTCTGAGTACTGCTTGAGCTGCATCCCACAGCTTTAATTATGTTGCTTTTTCATTTTTCTTTTAGTTTACAATACTTTATAGTTCCCCTTTCAATTTCTTGTAGCAGTGAACTTCAGGGACATGTGTGGAATATCTGTGCCCAGTGAAGGCTGTTTCAAGTCTCAAGGTCTGAGGCTCTGATGGAATGCTTAGTCATATATGCACAACTGGCCATGGCAATTGAAACTCAGGAGGCTGGGCGCGGTGGCTCATGCCTGTAATCCCAGCACTTTGGGAGGCCGAGGCTGGCAGATCACTTGAGGTCAGGGGTTCGAGACCAGCCCGGCCAACATGGTGAAACCCTGTCTCTGTTAAAAATACAAAAATTAGCCAGGCGTGTTGGCATGTCCCTGTAATCCTAGATGCTCGGGAGGCTGAGGCAGGAGAATCACTTGAGCCCAGGAGGCAGAGGTTGCAGTGAGCCGAGACTGTGCCACTGATTGTGGTCAGGACTCCAACAACGAAACCAGGTTCACATACATCAATCTTGATGTTTGGGCAAAGCAACCCTAACAAGATGCCATGGCATGGTGCGTTACTCCAGGTGTACAGAACAAAACAGTCAATCCATCAGTGACCTAAAGAACATGCTGAAGGCTACATTCCCAAGGGGTGGCTTGGAGACATGCAAGGAGTAAGCCACCAAACATACTGTGTTAACTCCTTCTTCACAACAACCAAACAGAAGAATTCTCTATTGCTAACCACTGCCACTCTGAGGTACAGGTTAGATATGGGAGTAAGGGATGGTTAGGGATTGGGCACCATTTGGTCTACTATTACACAAAACCAGGAGTCACTTGTTTTAATGGAAGTTACTCTTTTTTTTTCATTTAAAAATATAAAGACTGGACACCTCTGCTTTGTGTGGGCTTGCTTTCCCCCGATCACGTCAACCTTTCCAGCTCTTGGAACAGAATCCAAAGTCCTTAGCATAATACACAGAGCCCCACCTGATCTCCCCACCCCCGGGGGACTCCCTGCCTTCATCTCCCACTGCCTTCCCCCTTCATGGCTCTGCTCCAGCCATGCTGGCGAACACACACCAGGCCCCTGCCTGCTTCAGGTCTTTGCCTGGAGTGTTCTTAGAAATCCTCATCACTGTCCCCTCATCTCCTGCATGCCTCTGCTCAAAGATCACTCCATTGGAGGCCTCCTGGCCACTGTAGCTAAAACAGCTGCCCCTGCCATTCTCTGCGCCCTTTCCTCACACCTGACAATATATCGTTAACCTGAATATTTAATTATTTTTTACCTGCTCCTCCTCCAACTCCCAATGAGACTGTCTGCACCATGGGGGCAGGGACTGTTTCTGGTTCGCTGGGAGGTCCTGAAGCCTAGCACCATGCCTGGCACAAAGCTGGGGCTCAGTAAGAGCCTAATGAATGAATGAATTAGATATAGATAGACAGTAGGTGGAGGGGAAGAAGGAGGGTATTTGGAACACAGTAAGATATTTTATTTTCAGCTCTAGGCTATAGAGGAAATGCTCAACTAAATTCTTAACTTTTCTCTCAGGACTTAAGTTTCAAATGTTATATTTAATACCATAAAATTTATTTTATAAAGATGATTTGGTTTCCTCTTAGAGGCTAACCTTGTCTAATAAGTTTTTTCTTTCTTTCTTTTTCCCTGATGACAAGTCACACATTTATAGAAGAAAATTTAAATGATGCAGAAAGGAATAAAGTAGAAAGTGAAAAGTCTACTAGACTGGAGGTTAGGGATAGCTGTGTCAGCAGGGCTTATCAAAATGTCCCTGTGGATAAAATGGCCACATCAAACGGTCCTGCTCTGCTGTTTATGTTCTTTGCCTATTTTTAAAGGAAAATATCTTTGAGTGTTTGTACACTTAGAATCCAAAGTCCTTAGCATGATACACAGAGCCCCATCTGATCTCCCCACCCCTGGTACCTCCCTGATCTCATCTCTCACTGCCCTCCCCTCCCCTTTAATGTACTGTGAGCTTTACAAGTTTCTTTTTAAAAAAAACTTACAAGTTTCTTTTAACTTGTAAAGCTCACTGTATATTAAAGACAATAGCCTTTTGTCCATCAAATATGTAATCTTTTTTTTTTTTTTTTTTTTTTGAGACAGAGTCTTGCTCTGTCGCCCAGGCTGGAGTGCAGTGGTGTGATCTCAGCTCACTGGAACCTCCGCCTCCCGGGTTCAAGTGATTCTCCTTCCCTTCCTCCCGAGTAGCTGGGATTACAGGTGTGTGCCACCATGCACAGCTAATTTTTGTATTTTTAGTAGAGACGGGGTTTTGCCATGTTGGCCAGACTGGTCTCGAACTCCTGACCTCAGTTGATCTGCCTGCCTCAGCCTCCCAAAGTGCTAGGATTACAGGCGTGAGCCACCGTGCCCTGCCTTTTTTTTTTTCCTCCAATTTATTGCTTTTCGTCTAACTTGGTGGTGTTTTCTGCTGTTCAGAAGTGATTTTTCATTGAGTGGTCAGTTTTATTAATCCTTTGCTTTTACTGTCTCTACCTTTTGTAGTGTGCTTAGAAAGGTCTTGCTCACCCCAGGGTTATAATAATACTGTTCACCTACATCTTCTTCTGGTACTTGTCATGGTTTGATTTTATTCTGTCATGTTTAAATTTTAAGGCACGCCCCTTTTTGGTGATAATAGACAGGTATTGAGTGCTTATGATGTGTCAGGCTCTGTTCCAGGTGCCTTATGTGAATCAGCTCATTTGAATGCTCAGTAAGTCCAGAGATAGGTCTGGTAGATCCTTGTTTTCACAGGTGAGGAAACTTGAAGACAGGGTGATTGGATACTTATGCAAGACCACACAGCTGGCGAAACCTGTTCTGTCAAATGCTAAAGGCTACATAGGGTTGTTGTAAGGATTAGAGTTGTTGTACGTAAAGTCTCTGGAATATAGTAGGCAGTCTATAGATGGTAGGTTTTATTAATTATTATTACATAGCTCCCATAAGCATAATTTCTGACGGCTGCATATTATTTGGAAAATTGTGTATTTCAAAGTAAGTACATTTCTAAAATATTATTCCTTTAAAAGCATGTTTAGAATTCCATGGGAACAAACAAAACTTTTATTTGAAGAAACAATTGTCATAAAAAGAAATCCCAGAAAGATTGCATTAACGTGTGTTTCACTGGGCAATGGGATTTTGTGTGTGTGTGTGTGTGTGTGTTGTGTGTGTTTAAATCTTTGTTGGCAGAGCAGAGCGGCTGGCCGCTAGAGGTCTCTGATGCCCGAGGAGCTGTCAGTGGCGTGCTGGAGAGAGCAAGGGATCACTAACACCTGAGACGGACTACAGACCAGCACGTGCCAGAGGTGGAAGTCCAAGTTAAACGCAAAAGGACCACCTCCTGAGAACCAAGAATGTCAGTTATACCCGAGGCTTCTCAGCAGCAGCAAGCACCTGTGGTGAATTTCCAGGCTGAACTGAGACAAGCATTCTTAACTGAGACATCAAGAAGTGGTTAAAGCCGTATTGGAACAGCAAGGAATCTGATTCCAAGGAAAAACCAGTCAATGTAATAAAGATGTAATCTGTAATTTTTCAATGTGATGTAGATTCATTTAGTCTGTCTTTTTATGTTTGCTGCTTTCATTTTTTAGGAAAAGGCTATTACAAGGTTGATTTTGATTTATTACTTTTTTTTTTTCCTTTGGGATTTTTCTTTTTTTCGACTTTAAGATTAGAATGCTCTCATTTCTGAGGGTTTACTATTTACTTTTTATAAAATAAGAGCAGAGAGGAAGGCGGTTTATTGATAAATTCTCTTCTAGCTTTTCTTTATGTCTTTTTGCAATATTACCCCTCAACTTGAATTAATTAGGCCAATTTATGCCACCATTTTGAGTTTAAATCCAAGGAGACAAACAGGAAATTTCTGAGAAATTCTCCTTTGTTGAATCATTTATACCCAACATTTTCAGTTTTTTTTGTTTGTTTGTTTGTTTTTTGTTTTTTTTGTTTTGAGACAGGGTCTCACTCAGTCACCCAGGCTGGAGTACAGTGGCTTGATCTCGACTCACCTCAGCCTCCGCCTCCTGGGTTCAAGTGATTCTCCTGCCTCAGCCTCCCAAGTAGCTGGGATTACAGGTGCATGCCACCATGCCTAGCTAATTTTTGTACTTTTAGTAGATATGGAGTTTTGTCATGTTGCCGAGGCTGGTATTGAACTCCTGACCTCAGGTGATCTGCCTGCCTTGGCCTCCCAAAGTGCTGGGATTACAGGCGTGATCCACTGCACCTGGCCAGTATCCAACATTTTCTAGTAATTGCATGGGCTTGGTTGCAAGCAGATGGTGGAATCTGATCATTGTCCCAAGCTCTTCCCCAAGAGTAAGACAATTTTTCATTGAATAGGTGGGTACGTTTGATTTTTTTTAACCTAGAAATTCTTTAGCTTATCAGTTCAGTTCACACATTCTTGTAAATTTCTAAGTATAATATTTAAATCATACATTATGGTCTGCAAGTAGGACCATTTAATTTTCTGATATTTAATTATATCCTATTTTATTCTAGTCTCAACTGCTAGTTCTACCTAAACAATACTAGTTTAGGATTTCTTTAGAGCAGCGGTTGGTAACATATCTGGCCTGAAATTTTATTGGAACACAACCATGTTCACTTATTACATGTGATCTGTGGTTGCATTGGTGCTACAGTGGCAACTTTGAGTAGTTGTGACTGATCGAATGACAGGTACAGCCTAGAATATTTAATGTCTTGCCATTTAAAAGAAAAAAATGGCTGAACTTTGTTTTAGAGTAGCAGATTTAAAGAAGAAAACACCAGTGAGGCTACCGATAACGTTATAGAAGGTGATGAATAAAGGATTATAGACGTTTATATGAAGTATACATTACAGGGTAGAGAATCAGATGAATTTTTTGGGTAAGGGATGACTCGAAGAATCATGTTAAAACTTGCTATATAGGTAGATGGGTAGTTTTTAAAGACATTTAAACAATTGGTACCCTTTTTCATTATGAAAATATAAGGCACATGATAGCCAGGAAAAATAGATAAATAAACCATTATGTTATGAATATCAGTTCAATTTTTGTTTGGTACCTAAAAATTTACTAGGATATGCATCAAATTGGATACTTACCCAATTGAGATGCAAGGTGTAAATATTAGTAATATTAGCATGACTTTTAAATGTTTTGTTACATTGTTTTCTAAAAGCATCACTAGAAATATGGATTGCCACTAAAAATTAATAGACCATTAGTTTCTTAGGACCATTCTTTTTATTCTGTTTTTTTTTTGTTAAATAAATATTTCCAATAAAGGAAAAAAGTTGTCTATATTTCAGTTTTCATAAAACAGAATGTTTAAACATTTTTTCTGATCAGAAAAGTAGCCACAAAAACTGCTATATTTTTAAAAGGCTGTGATGAAACAATGCTGCCACTCTGGAAAACAGTTTGGCAGTTCTTTAAACAGTTGAACATAGAATTACCATATGATCCAGCAATTGCTCTCCTAGGTATATACCCCTAAAAATCGAAAGCAAAGACTCAAACAGATTCTTGTACACCAGTGTTCATAACATGTATAGTAGCCAAAATGTGGAAACAACCCAAATATTATCTATAGAAAGAGTAGATAAACAAAACGTGCTCTGTACATATAATGGAATATGACTCAGCCTTAATAAGGAGATTCTGATACAGGGCACAACGTAGATGAACCTTGAAAACATTATGTTAATCGAAATAGGCCAGACACGAACGGACAAATGTTGTATGATTTCACTTAAATGAGGTACCAAGAATAGGCAAATTCATAGAGAAAGTAGAATAGTAGTGACCAAGGGCTGGGAGAGGGGAGAGGGGAAGTGATTAATAGGCTTCTGTTTGGGAAAATGAAACATTTCTGGAAATAGATAATGGTGATGGTTGCACAACATTGGGAATGTACTTAATGCCATAGAATTGTATGCTTAAAAATGGTTAAAATGGTAAATTTTATGTAATGTCCTTTTTTTTTTTTTTTTTGAGACAGGGTCTCACTCTGTTGCCCAGATTGGAGTGCAGTGGCACGATCTCAGATCACTGCAACCTCCGCCTCCCAGGTTCGAGTGATTCTCCTGCCTCAGCCTTCTGAGTAGCTGCAACTACAGACATGCACCACCATTCCTGGCTAATTTTGTAGTTTTAGTAAAGATGGGGTTTCACCATGTTGGTCAGGCTGGTCTTGAACTCCTGACCTTAAGTGATCCACTTGCCTCGGCCTCCCAAAGTGCTGGGATTACAGGTATGAGCCACTGCTCCTGGCTGTAATGTACATTTTTCTATAGTGAAACAACAATGGGCAAGGTGTGGTGGCTCATGCCTGTAATCCCAGCACTTTAGGAGACCAAGGCAGATGGATCACCTGAGGTCAGGAGTTCGAGACCAGCCTGGCCAACATTGTGAAACCCTGTCTCTACTAAAAATACAAAAATTAGCCTGACATGGTGGCACACGCTTGTAATCCCAGCTACTCAGGAGGCTGAGGCAGGAGAATCGCTTGAACCTGGGAGGTGGAAGTTACAGTGAGCTGAGATCACGCCACTGGGCTCCAGCCTGGGTGATGGAGTGATACTCTGTCTCAAAAAAATGAAAAATTAAAAAAAAAACAACAACAACGATAACAAAAGGAGCCAAAATTACCCTCTATCTCATAGACTGCTGGGCTTACGTGAGATAATTTGCATGAAGTGCTTAGCACAGTGCCAGGATCATAGGGAATACTCAGTAAAGGAAAGATAAATGTTTTTCTAATAATGTAGAACTATTTAACTATAGAATGACCTTCTTTGGGGGTGGAATAGTGAGCTCCCTGCTACTGGAAGCGTTTAACAGGGGGCAGAACAGACTTCTTAAAGTTTCATATGCAAAGAAATCATCTGGACATAGTGTTAAAATGGAGATTCTTATTTAAATAGAGTCTGGCTGAGGCCTGAGAGTCTACATTTTTAGCAAGGTCCAGGTGATATTGATGTTGCCAGTTGAGTGCACTTGAGTAGCAGGAGGCTAGATGATTCCTTAGGGGGATGCTGGAGAAGCTATGTGATAATTCATCAGATGGAGCAATGAGATAGATCTCTGCGGCCTACTGCGGGAGCCACTCACCACATGTGGTTATTGAGCATTTGAAATGTGGCTAGTCCAAATTGAGATGTGCTGTGAATGTAAAATACACAAAAATGTAGTATGGAATAGACTAAAATATTTACTTAGTAATTTTTATATTGATTACATGCTGAAGTGATATTTTTGGATGTATTGGGCTAAACACAATATTCAGAATATATATACATATATATATATGTATATATATATTATTTTTGAGGGGGAGTCTTGCTCTGTCGCCTGGGCTGGAGTTCAGTGGCATGATCTTGGCTCACTGCAACCTCTGCCTCCCGGGTTCAAGCCATTCTCCTGCCTCAGCCTCCCAAGTAGCTGGGATTACAGGCACCCACCACCACACCTGGCTAACTTTTTTTTTAATTTTTAGTAGAGATGGATTTTCACAATGTTGGCCAGGCTAGTCTTGAACAACTAACTCAAGTGATCTGCCCGCCTTGGCCTTCCAAAGTTCTGGGATTACAGGCATGAGCCAAAGAATATTAATATTGGGATCGCTTGAGCCCAGAAGTTTGAGACCAGCCTGGGCAACATAGGGAGACACCGTTTCTACAAAATAAAAAATAAAAGCCTAGTCGAGTATGGTGGTGCATGGCTATGGTCTCAGCCACTCAGGAGGCTGAGGTAGAGACTTACTCGGACCCAGGAGGTTGATGCTGCAGTGAGCCATGATAGTGCCATTGCTCTCCAGCCTGGGTGACAGAGATAGACCCTGTCTCAAAAAAAAAAAAAAAAACAACAATGTTTAAAGGGCTATTAATGGAAGGAGATCAAGCAGAATCTAGAGGGTGACACAGGGTTAGAAGATTTTCTTTTTGTGGTAACCTGGGAAGAATATGAAGCTGATAGGAAAGATAAATGGAGAGGGAAGGTGGCTCTCCAGGAGCAGCAAGGAGGAGTGAGTGAGGTCTGCAAGGAGGCATAGGTAAGACTAGGTTCATGCAATATTTACATAAACATATAAAAGATGGAAAAATGTTAATGCTGGTATCTGGGTAGTGGGGATGACGCTTACATTTTACTTACTTTTGTGTGTGTGTGTGTGTGTGTGTGTGTACTGTTTGTTTTTTTGAGACGGAGTCTCACTCTGTTGCCCAGACTGGAGTGCAGTGGTTCGATCTTGGCTCACTGCAACTGCTGCCTCCCGAGTTCAAGCGGTTTTCCTGCCTCAGCCTCCTGAGTAGCTGGGATCACAGGCGTGTGCCACCATGCTCGGCTATTTTTTGTATTTTTAGTAGAGACGGGGTTTCGCCATGTTGGCCAGGCTGGTCTCAAACTCCTGACCTCAGGCCTGCCTCAGCTTCCCAAAGTGCTAGGATTAAAGGTGTGAGCCACTGCGCCCAACCTCTTTTGTGTTTTTATCTTTATTTGTGTGTGTTTAAAATTTTTCTTTTGTGTTTTCCTTTCCCCTCCATGAAGATGCATCACTTTAAAATTGAGGCCAGGCGGGGGAGTATTACTTATTATGAAAACAAAAGCAGAAAATCTGCTTCCCGATGTAGGAGGACCATAAGTTAGGGATAGCCAGCCCACTGACTCCAGCACACAAGGACATAAGGCCACCCTCCAGAAGCACATGACATGAACACACCTATCTCAAGAATTATAGGATAAGCATGTGTGTATGCATGGTGAGGACTAGAAGGAGGCTTTTGACTATCAAGAGTAGCAGTGGATGTTTGGATTTCAGGTAATTGCTACCTTCCTTCCACTTTTGTGTATAGTTTAGTGATTTATAATAACTATGTATTTTTTATAATCAGAAAAAATAGTAAAGCTATTGTAATGTTGAAAACTATATATAGTCTTCACCAAAGAAATTAATAGTCCCAATGTACACTGCACTGATAAAATCACATCTTAGGCTCTCATTCTCCTACTGGCCCGGAAGAACCAGTGGCCATATTGTGAGCTGTCTGTGGAAAGGGTCACGTTGCAGGAAAACAGGGGCAGCCTCAGCAGCTGAGAGTGGCCTCTGGACAACAGCCAGAAAGAAACTGAAGCCCTCAGTGCTACAGGTGCAAGGAAATAAATTCTG
This sequence comes from Homo sapiens, assembly GCF_000001405.40. Lineage (NCBI taxonomy): Eukaryota > Metazoa > Chordata > Mammalia > Primates > Hominidae > Homo > Homo sapiens. Next base: position 130,336,777 of record NC_000023.11, read on the forward strand.
CAACAATCTGGGTGAGCGTGGAAGTGGATTTTCACTCAGTCAAGTCTTAAGATAAAAATACAAGTCTGGCCGACACCTTGATTGCAGCCTTGTGAGATCCCAGAGCACAGGACCCAGTGAAGTCATGCCTGGACTCTTGATCTACAGAAACTGTGAGACAGTACATGTGTGTTGTTCTAAGCTGCTGAATTTGTGGCAAATTTTTAATGCAGCATAGAAAATTAACACACACTCCTACTAGCAGTATGTGAGAATTTGAGATACTTTACATCCTTGCCAATCCTCAGTCCTTTTAACTTTGGCCACGCTGGTGGGTGTGTATTGTGATTTTAATTTTAATTTTCCTGATGAATAATAATGTTGAACACTTTTTAATATGCTTATTGGTTATTGGATATACTCTCTTATGAAGTGCCCCGCAAGCATTTTTCCCATTAAAAATTTGAGTAGCCTATCATTTTATTACTGTTTTAGGAGTTCTTTACATATACTGGATATGAAATTTTGTAGGATACATGGATTAAAAATCTACCATTGTGGGGCTTGCGTTTTCACTCTTCTTAATGGTGACTTCTTTTTTCTGGGGGGTGGGGGGGATGGAGTCTCACTCTTGTCGCCCAGGCTGGAGTGCAGTGGCGCAATCTCGGCTCAATGCAACCTCCGCCTCCCAGGTTCAAGCGATTCTCCTGCCTCAGCTTTCCGAGTAGCTGGGATCACAGGCGTACGCCACCACACCTGGTTAATTTTTGTATATTTAGTAGAGACGGGGTTTCACCATGTTGGCCAGGCTGATCTCGAACTCATGACCTCAGGTGATCCACCCGTCTCGGCCTCCCAAAGTGCTGGGATTACAGGCGTGAGCTCCTGTGCCCAGCCAAAAAAAATTTGAGGCTGGAGCACAGTGGCGCGATCACAGCTCACTGCAGCCTTGACCTCCCGGTCTCAAGTGATTCTCCCACTTCAGCCTCCGGAGTAACTGCGACTACAGTCGTGGCTAATTTTTAAATTTTTGGTAGAGGCGGGTGTTTCCTTATATTGCCCAGGCTGGTCTCGACCTCCTGGGCTCAAATGATGTTCCTGCCTCGGCTTCCCAACTATAGTATAGATGAGAGCAACATAGCATAGTGGTTAAGAGCAATCCCAGCTCTGCCATTTTCTAAATTACTCTCCTAACCTTTTATGGCCTGTGTTCTCAACCGTCAAAGGGGAAAAATAATAGTACCTGTCTTATAGGGTAGTTAGGAACACAAAAAGCTCTTGGCATCACCCTTGGTACATGGTAGGTACTGCACAATGTCAGCTAATATTATCGTCATGTGTGCTGCCTGGAGAAATTTTTAAGTGGAAAACAAAACAAACAAACAAAAACACAGGCCAGACGAGGTGGCTCACGCCTTTAATCCCAGCACTTTGAGGGGCCAAGGCGGGTGGATCACCTGAGGCCAGGAGTTGGCGATCAGCATGGCCAACATGGCGAAACCCCGTCTCTACTAAAAATACAAAAATTAGCTGGGTGTGGTAGCAGGCACCTGTAATCCCAGCTACTCAGGAGGCTGAGGCAGGAGAATCGCTTGAACCTGGGAGGTGGAGGTTGCAGTGAGCCGAGATCGCACCACTGCACTCCAGCCTGGACCACAAAGTGAGACTCTGTCCAAAAAAAAACAAACAAAACCCAACAAAATAAAACAAGGTGAACTAAAATGAGAAATATCCTTTTGGAAGAACATAGTTCCAAATATTTATTCATTCAACAAATAACCATTTAGGGCCAACTTGCACTGACTTTTCCTTATAACACATAAGCAATAAACCCTATTATTGCGTACTCTCGCGTGATTAGGGAACGTTGTTAAGAGGCTCAAAAATCGGACGTCATAGCTCAAAAATCGGACGTCATAGCACATTGGCTAATGGAATCACCCAGGGGCTTTGCGGTTTCCCCTTCCAGCAGCCAGAGGGGCCAGAGTCGGAAGCTGGGGGTCGGACTCTTGGCATCTTCTGGTGGATTATGAGGTTTGGATTAACTGGGATTTCCCGTTGGTGTTTTTCTGCCTCATCTGTTTAGCTTTTTGTGGTCCCCTTTTTGGTATCCAACTTGCTCTTTCTTAAGTGAAGTTTCTGATTAAAGCAAGAGCTTCGAGTAAGGGGTCTGACCGTAATTTTTCACTGGTTAATGTCTGACGTCCAGTAGGTGCTGTCTGGATCATTCTCCGTCCCTCCCTCCCTTCTTTCCCTCCCCCCCTTCCTTTCTCTCCCTTTCTCTTTTCTTTCTCTCTCTCCCTCCCTCCTTCCTTTCTCTTTCTCTCTCTCTCTCTTTCTCTCCTTTCTTGGATGGAGTCTTGCTTTGTCACCCAGGCTAGAGGGCAGTGGCGTGATCTCAGCTCACTGCAACCTCCACCTCCGGGGTTCAAGTGACTCTCCTGCCTCAGCCTCCCGAGTAGCTGGGACCACAGGTGCGTGCCACCACACCCAGCTAATTTTTTTGCATTTTTACTAGAGACGGGATTTCACCATGTTGGCCAGGCTGGTCTCAAAACTCCTGGCATCAAGTGATGCGCCCGGACCCTCAAAGTGTTGAGATTACAGGCGTGAGCCACCGCGCCTGGCCTTGAACTTTATTTTCTCATTGAGCCCAGGCACCTCACTAAATTCGGCTCACCCCTATGTCTCACTTTCCTACTTTTGTTTTGAAGCCTTTGCCCCACCCCCTCCACGTTGCCGCCTTTTTCGTACTGAGCGCGCAGGGCACTACGCCCACCACTCCCCTTGACCCACTCCTCAAGCCCTGATACCGGGGCGAGGCCCCTTCCTTTTCTAGTCCTTCTACGCGCCAGGTGGGTGGGTTTCGCGGTGACGAGGCGACACCTCTTTCCCCTCTGGCGAGCACGTTAACTGGGGAAGCTACCAAATTCTCACGCCTTAGCTGCCCTGCCTCCACCTCCCGCAAGTCCGGTTGCCCCTCTAGGCTTCTGCGCCTGCAGTGGTTCCGACCCTCGCCTTTAGAACTCTGCCGCTTCCGCCTCTTATTTCGCGCCTTTGTTTTTAGTTTTGGAAGGGGCGGAGTTGAAATGGCTGCGCCGCGGTTGCCGAAGCAACGCTTTGGTTACTTCCGTTGGTTTCAATGCTTCCGGGTTGGCGCTGCAGTGGCGTTTCCGACTGTGGGAGCCTCAGCTTCCCAGTCGTCCGATGAGCCCGAGCAGGTGAGGGGGAGCTCCTGGACTTCCAGGCTGGGGAGCGGGGCTGGGCCGCGCCAGGCCGCGCGGGGCCGGGCTGGCCTGGTTCCCGGCCTGGGAGGGGCTTAACGGTCCTCTGGTCTCTCTCTCCCCTCAGCTGAGTCCCTTCCCTGTCTTTCACTCTTCTGGCATCGGTGGTTTTACTTCTTCGATTGAACCCTGCTTCCTCGACCCCCCTGGGAGGCCGCCTTCTTCAGGCGCCTCCCTTCTCTCCACGAGCTCGCTCTGACAGCTGAGGAACTGGCAAGATCCTGCTACCCAGAGGGTGAATGGGTATCTTTCCCGGAATAATCCTAATTTTTCTAAGGGTGAAGTTTGCAACGGCGGCCGTGATTGTAAGCGGAGTAAGCAAACACCTCCATTGTATTAGTGTAAGGGATACTGTTGAAAGATGCTCCCCTTCGGTTTCTACCCCCTGTCACTCCTGAGGTCAAGGCATTGAAGGCATCTATTAAAATGCAGTTCAGTTACTTGATTGGCATGACAGCTGTTATCAACATGAATTAGTTTCTCAGACAGGATAACAGCAGGGACATTTATGGTTTCCTGTCAGTGATTCCTTGTTGTTGTTGTTTTTCCCCCCAGCCTAGAGATGCCTAGCGTTATCATGAACTCTTCCCTCGTCTTCATTCCCTACATCATCGAGTTCTTTGTGTCTTCATTGGGGAAGTCTATCTCTAACCTCAGTGCCAACAAGCATCTTTGTCTGCTGTACTTTGCACCATCCTAAGCTAGTCTCCCTGCCTCTCCCGTTTGTAATGTAATCCACTGTGTTTGCTGCAGCCCTAATAGGCTAAAATGTGGTGGATTTCCTCAAGTCACTTCGTTGTTAAACACACACACACAAAACATGCAGCCCCCTCCTACACCCCCTACCCCCACCCCTTGGTTTCAAGCCTTTCAACATAACATGCTCCTTATCACACTTCTTGTCTGATACTGTTTCAGTCAACAAGGGAATTCTCTGTTCCAGTTAGGTTCCTTTCTTCTTGGCACAAACCATACTGATGCCTGCTTCTACATGCTGTGCTTGTTCCCACATTTGTGTTTCTGTTCATTCTCTCTTCCCTGCCCCTCTCCCTTACCTGCACCTAACCAGGTTGTACCTACCGTCTCTCAAGGTTCAATTTAGGTTCTCTCACCTCGGCAATTTTCAAATTAGTCAATCCCATGCTGGTTGTAGTCTTTTCTATGCTCCTCTTGCTCTTAAAGTTTGTACTACACAGTTTAGTACTTAATTTTTCTCTAACGCACTACTTTGATTTCTTCCACCAGATTATAAGCTCTTGAAAGGCAAGTACTGTATTTCGTACTTTTTTCTCTGTCCCATCTCATTGGTTATTCAGAAAAGACAGGTTGAGTGGTAAATATTGTCTTGGTGCTAGAACGAATATCTGTGTTTTTCAAATATGATTATACCCAAAGTGCATTGCAGGTTTGGGCATTTAGCATGCCTTCAATAAATATCTGCTTGGCTCTCCATTGTTACCTTCTGAATCTGAGAATCTCTAATTTCTACTCTTTCTTAAAGGAGAAAGCAGGAGAGGCACCCAGAGTTTCCTGACCAGATCTTGGGAGTAGTATAGGGCAATGTAACTTGTATTGTAGGACATTCTTACTTTCACTCATTAGTCTATCAAATTCTCCGAAGTCAGATCTTCAGAATAAATGTTGGCATTTTGAAGACAATTTTCATTGGTTTCTTTATACAGTAAAAATATTTAGGGTACTATATTTTTATTTTACCTTAGATATGACTACTTTTACGCATATTTGGGGTTAGCCCCTACAAGTTAAAATAATTTTTAGAGGGCTTGGGGTATTTTACATAAGTAATTCCTTGGAACAAAAGCAAGGGAACAGGGTTCGCAGGCAGAGAATATCTGGGGATCAAGATAGTGTCATACACAGGGTGTGTAGCATTGGCCAGGTCCAGCAAGTTACCTTCCTTGTTTCCTCTGCAATCTTTTATATACAGGCTGCATACATAGGTAAAGGATGTCACACTGCAAAACCAACTAAGTATTGAATGGATATGTATTCAATTCTATGCAAGCTATAATGGGGGTTATAAAAAGTACTGTGAGATATAGTATCTTCCCTTGGGGATCTTACTTAGTTAAGAGAGGAAATAACATTGGACATCTTGAAGTTGACCCTCATCCTAGTCATTATTTTTATGCCTGAGATTAAGATATAGAAGGGATAAAAGAAGGTTCAAAAAATATTGCACACCTGTAGAATAGGTGTGACACAACACGCATGCATGTAGACAACTTTATGTAAAAGACTTGGAGGTTTCAGCTGACAGTTTAATGATTTGATAGTGTGATGTGGCTCCCAAAAAAGTGAGTGCAATTTTAAGCTCTAGTAATTGAAGTATAATGTGTCAAATGAAGAGAAAGATCATGGATATTTAGCTCAAGAAACATGAGATGTAAGAGAACATCATAGCTGTCTTTAAATATTTGAAGGGCTTGCCTAGGGAAAAAAGAATGCATTTGTTGAATATTACCTCCAAAGACTGGGTACAAATTAGAGGAAGACAGACTTTTGGCTCAATATGAGGAGGGAGTGTCTAAAAACAGATCTAATCAAATATGATCCAGGATTTCTTCATAAGATTTTTTCCTAACATTGGAGTGAAAGAGATTTTACTATCAGATGGGGGTAGGGAAGTCGTGATTGTGGCAATGGTGGGTTTTGCCTGTGGTCTCCAGATTTTTGGATTTCATGGGCCAGTAAAATGTAAATGAAAATGTGGGAAGGGTACACAAATACAGGCTAGTTAGCCTGTGCTCCAGGCGTAAGAAGAATCTGATCTGTTAATAATAGACAGTCCCTAAATTAAATACATTTAGCTGAAAAAAAAAAAAAGGACTAAGTGTCCTTATTTTTTTCATTTCGCCCCAGAATTGTGGGAACTTCATTAGGGAACCACTGGGCTAACTGGCCTAAGATTCAGCGACTGGTCTTTCATCTTCCTGCCATGTCCTCCCTGTTCCTTGCCTTTCACTGATTCATCATTGCTCCCTGAGCACATTTTCCTTATTAAAGGGCTGGTAGCAGCTTGTGAAGTTCCGATAGAGGCTTTCTCTGTAATACAAAGAGTTGAAAAAAGTTGTAAGGAGAAAAAGTTTTGGAGAGACAACTTTAAGTAAAAGTAGCTGTCTGAAACCTTTAAGACTATTTGGGGCAATCGATAAATTTGTGAATGGAGAGTTAATTTTTTCCTCACAAACTCAAAGAGGGGATATGCCATGGTCTTGCTTTTCCATCTCTACTCTCACCATATGTGTCATATTTTACTATCAATTCTAATTGGAAAATGTGGGCATAGCTAGAAATGGTGATAAGGTAGTATTTAGTCTTCAAGACTCCTATTTCCAGCTGCAGTTGATACTTGAAGTGGCTATTCCTACTTTGCTCATTAGAATTCTTTTCAACAACTTTCCCTCAAAAGGGCTATCTATCCCAGACTCTATATGTGCTATGCTTGAAAGGAAGCCTCCATAATGATTTTTGTGGCCTGTAACTAAAACATTTAATCAGCGTGTTTGCTATCTTCTCTGGAAAATTGTATTTTGCTTAGTTACAGAGAATTCCTTATGTGGAAACAAAGCAAAACCTTCAAAGGGATACTGTGACTCATAGCTGCTAACCCCAGACTGGGCAATGGGAGGGAGGGGTGGGCAGCAAGTAATATCTGTTAAGATGTAAATTTGGGTACTTAAATTTTTAAAAATGTAATAATGATAGTTAACTAACAATTATTGAGCTACATGCCAGGCACTTTTAAAGGTGTTTTTCATATATTATTTAATTTTCACAACAACCCTATGATATAGTTTTTATTATTAGTTCCATTTTACAGTTCAGAAAGTGGAGGCATAGAGAGATTAACTTGCCCAAGGTCACAGAACTAGTAAGTGGTGGAGTCAGGAAATGAATCTGGAGTTAGCATTTAAATTTTAACAGTCTGACTTCAGGAGTCTGCATTCCTCACCATAAACCACTTGGAAGTTGCTTTTGAAATTCAGAAGTATACATACTGTGAAGCTCTGAAAAAGGAATATTTGAAAGAAATCTGAGAGTCCATGCTAAGAACAGATACTACTTTCAGATGGACCAGGATTTAGTAGGCAATGCCTAGAGCAGTTCTTAAGTGTGGAAGTATCAGCGTTATTTGGGATCTTGCAAATTCTCAGGGCCATACCACCAATCAGAAACTCTGGGGGAGAGGCCCAACAATCTATGTTTTAATAGACCTTCTAGATGATTCTAATACATGCTAAAATTTGCAAAACCTAGAGGCCAGAGCTCTGGAAAAAATAAAATCCAAGAGAGAGCAAGCTGACAGTGGCAGAAAAAGAGAGTAAAGCTGAAAAGATTGATGATGACAGGTCTAACGGGGGTGGGATAGGGAAGGAGAAAAGGGAGGCTGGGAGCAGAATACGTTGTTAAAGAACTAGAACATAAAAGAAGAACAGTATTTATATGTGTGTGTTTTAAAAGGCCAAGAGGAAGGAAAAGGAGATCCACTAGATGGATGTACGTTAAATGTCAGAGGGAAGATAGACATCATATTGCTATCATTCCTTTGGGCGCTAGAAGGAAGGTGAAAAAGTTCTTAGCTCAGCCTGGGCCTAGTTGGGGGGACAAAGTTATATATAGCTAGAAACCCTATAGTAGAGAGATAGGAGGGCTAAGAATATGAGAGAGTAGTAGTGTGAGCCTGTGCTTTGCACCTGAATCAAGCTAACTGAATACCATGAACTGCTTTTATGAGATGCCTCAGCCTATATAATTTGAATTCCGGGTTCCTTCATTTGTAATTATCTAGTTGAATGTCAAAGTTGGGTGTGCTGGATGGACTGAAGCCTCTTCTCTGGGTGGGGATGAATATAACATTAAAGAAACTGGAGAGAATGAAGGGCACAGGTTGATCTCTGAGTGAATCACACGCCTACCCCTACAAAATGTCAGTAAAGAACAAACTCATGATCATCCAGCACATAAAACAGGATCCCCCATTTTTGTGTCATTCCACTTGGTGGGGTTTTTCTTCTACATCTATTTTATTTGCCAATTTTGTTTATCTAAATTATATGATCAGATGCTAACAAATGCTCCTCACTCTTGTGCCTTGTTCTGATTTGTGTTTATTTTTAGCACCAGAAAAGTACCACTGTAAGTCATGAGATGTCTGGTCTGAATTGGAAACCCTTTGTATATGGCGGCCTTGCCTCTATCGTGGCTGAGTTTGGTAAGAATGTGAGAAATGACAAATCTGCATTATACGGTATAGATGGTAGCTTATGATGATGGTTATTTTTGGTGAAAGCTAGGTAAAAAATAAGAAGCTCGCCTTATTTTGAAAATTGTCTCAAAGCCATGAAGTAATATTTCAGGGAAAGTACTACTGATGGTATGGCAGATGAGTTAAGAAAAGTCAAACTAAGGAAAGCTTTTTTGGTAGTTTAGTGATTTGTTAGTTTGCTAGGCTTAAGTAAAATACATGAATATATAGAGGGAGTTGATATGTCATAAGGGTTTTTGCTATATTTCTGTATTAATAGTCTTTTATGCTAAATTATTTATAAGTTTATTTGTACTGAAAGTCCTTTTTTTCAAACCTCTTTCCCATTTTAGAAGAAAATGTACTAACAAGATCAAACAAGATTCTCTTCTACATGATTTTGATTTTGAAATATTTTTAGATTGTCGTTTTTTTCATCTTCCAGATGTTCTCTTTTCTAAACTATTCATGAGTGACTACTGACGTTCTTGGCATATCCTGTGGTGTTGTGATATTTGGGTCATCAGTGACCAGAGCTACCTAATCACCTTGTTAGTTTTACACCCTGAAATATATTTTGTCAATGTGATGACCACTTCTGTTTGTTGATGTAAGAGGTTTGGTTAAAGAAATTTCCCCCCCAAACACTCTGCTGGTATTAGTCCTGAATTACCTAAGGGACCAGGATGAGTAGAACCAAATAAGACTTTGCCATTATCTTTCATAATATTAGGGGACTATTTGTTTCTTGTAAACAGATAAAAGAAAAACCCCACAAAACTTTGTAACACTATATAAGAGCATCTGGAGCAGCAATCCCATGCTTTCCTATCTTTGTGAAAATTTAGGGAGATTTTATGAGACACAGAGGTGGGGAGACTTGGGGTGGGAAGGGGCAGGAGGGAGACTGATAAATGCCAGATTATATGTTACAGATGAAATAAAAAACAACATTTAATTATTTTGCATTTATAATAGGGCAATCTGAAAGCATTTTATTATATTACAGTTTGAAGTATATTGTGGGTCAATTGGTGCTGCCTATGTATAGTATAATGCATTTCACTTACCACATGCAACTCATGTTCTCTGACAGTGGTATTCTACTAGAGCTCTTCTATGTGTTATAAAAAGGACTTTGTCTTAGGATTCAAATATTGTCCTTGGCTTATATTTAGCAACAACTTAACTGTGATTCTTTGGACATACTTATAAATAAGTGTGTTCCTTTATAGGGACTTTCCCTGTGGACCTTACCAAAACACGACTTCAGGTTCAAGGCCAAAGCATTGATGCCCGTTTCAAAGAGATAAAATATAGAGGGATGTTCCATGCGCTGTTTCGCATCTGTAAAGAGGAAGGTGTATTGGCTCTCTATTCAGGGTGAGACTGGTTCTTTCCTTATATCATTAACAGAAATGCTTTTTAAAGAAGCCATAGTTTTCAGCTGTCTGATAGTTTGTGTCCGTTTCATATTCACCATTTCAACTTGTAATTCAGTATTGATATGCCAGTTTATATTTCTCCTGCTTGTAAGTCTTGAGCTTTGGATTTTGTGTTCATTTGGTTATAAGTGATAATAACATTTTAAAATGGATATGTCATTGCAGCATAGGCTTTCTGTGGATTTCCCGAGAGTCACTAATAGCCACTGTTAATAACAGCACCAATTAATTATATATATTTTTGTGATATCCCTCCTGAGTTGGCAAATTCTGACTTCCTTTAAAATTTTCCTCTTTGAAAAAATATTATTCTTGCAGTTTAAACAGAAAGTGCATAATGAGAGAGAGGGAGACCCATCTTTATCATCACCTTTTGATTAGCCATAATTTTGTGGTTTACTGTCTAGTTTGTAGTTTATCTGTTGCCAGTTTCCTAGGCCACTCCTGCATCTAGGCTACCAGTTTATTACTCAGAGAATAGACATCAATTTTATTGTTAAACTATGTTACATCGTTAAACTATGTTAGACTTAATTTAAAAGGTAATTTTCTTGGGGGAAAAATCAAGTAGTGTATCCTGAAGCATCCTGAAGATGATCCACCATCCTGATTTGTGGATCATCTGTTTCACCTTGTTCTTTCATCAGCATAGATCATCACAAGATATTTTCTGATAGCAAGCAATAAAGTCAGAAATATGCATATTTAGTCATCATTTAAAAATCCTAACCATTTGAGCTGCTGCTGTCTTTCTATTTATACCTCCTACAGTATAGTTCTGCAATTTGGAAGAATCCCAAAGGAGGTATGAATGAGAATGTCTCCAGTTTAAAGGAGAACTTAAATAGGGTGGAATTTTGGCTCTAGTACCTCCTTGTTGATGTGATTAAAGACGTATCTGCAACTGTTAGGAAGTAGAGGTTGATTTTTTTAAAAAAATCTTTATTAGGTGAGCAATGATGTATAATTCTTTTTATACATTGCTGGATTCAATTTACCAATATTTTCTTAAGGAGTTTTGCATCTAAGTTCATGAGAGACATTAGTCTGTGGTTTTCCTTTTTTGTACTGTTTTTGTCTGGTTTTGGTATCAGGGTAATACTAGCCAAAATTAGTTGGGAAGCATTCCCTCTTCTGTTTTCTGGAAGGAACTGTGTAAGCTTAGTGTTAATTTTTAAAATGTTTTGTAGAATTCCCCAGTGAAATTATCTGGGGCTATTTCTTTTTGGGGAACATTTAAATTCAGAGTGCAAATTCTTTAAGGTTATCATAGTTTGGGGTGCTATAACAAAATACCATAGACTGGGTGACTTATAAACAATCGGAATTTATTTCTCACAGTTCTGGAGGCAGGAAATCTGAGATCGGTGCCAGTTTGGTCAGGTTCTGCTGAGGTCTCTTTTCTGGGTTGCAGACTGCCAAGACTTCTTATTGTATCCTCACATGGCAGACAGAGTGAGGGAGCTCTCTGGGATCCCTTTTATAAGGGCACTAATCCTGTTCATGAGGGCTTTACCCTCATGACCTAATCACCTCCTATTACCATCATATTGCGGGTTAGGATTTTAAGATCTTGATTTGGGGACGATACAAACATTCAGTCCATTGCAATGGGTATGAGTTTTATTCAGATTATTTGTTTTATCTAGTTGAGTTTTGGTAGCTTCTGGTTTTCAAGGAATTTGTCCATTTCTTCTAAGGTGTTGAATTTATGAGTATAAAGTTGTTTATACCATACTCTTATTGTCCTTTTAATGGCTGCAGGAATTGTAGTGCTAGTCCCTGTTTCATTTCTTATTTGCATCTTCTGTCTTTTTATCTTTGTGAGTCTTGCTAGAGGTTTATCAATTTTGTTGATTTTTTTTTAAAGAGCTAACTTTTTGTTTCATTGATTTTTCTCTATTTTCCTATTTTCAATTTCATTGATTTGTGCTTTTTATTATTTTCTTTTGCTTGCTTTGGGTTATTTTGCTTTTCTTTTTCTAGTTTCTTGAGGTAGGAGCATAGATTATTGATTTGAGACTCTACCCCCCCCCCCCCTTTTTTTTTTTTAAAATGCAAGCATTTCATGCTGTAAATTTCCCTCAGCACTGCTTTGGCTGCATCTCATACATTTTAATAGGTTGAATTTTGTTGTCATTTAGACCTGTGAATTAAAAAAAAATTCCTTTGACAGACACTTGGTCTGACCAATAGATTATTTAGATATATATTGTTTAATTTCTAAATGTTTGAGGATTTTTCTTATTGATTTCTGGTTTGATTCCATTATTGTCAGATAACATATTGTATATGATTTCAGTTCTTTTAAATTTGTTGAGGTTGGTTTTATGACCCAGAATGTTCAGTTTCTTGCTGAGTGTTTCATGAGTGCTTGAAAAAAATCATATTCTGCTGTTGTTGGGTAGAATGAGATGGGTAGTCCAAATAAGTAGGCTATCTAGATATGTATAATCTGAAAATGTTGAGAATAACTTTTTACTTTTTTTTTTTTCAGAATTGCTCCTGCGTTGCTAAGACAAGCATCATATGGCACCATTAAAATTGGGATTTACCAAAGCTTGAAGCGCTTATTCGTAGAACGTTTAGAAGGTCAGTATACTTACCCTCTTTTGAGGTGATACTCAAAGGGATTGTTGAAATCATGCTTAGTGAGAAATGTTGGTCATGAGGTGCCTGAGAATGGAGGAGAGTCACTGCAAAGACAAAGTGAGCTTGTTCTAACTTGGAATAAATCTTTGCAGAGGTGATATATGAATTAGAGAGACCTGTTCTTCAAATTTGTCCCTTTTCCTATCAACAAAAAAGGCATGTGATCATCCCAAAAGAAACATGGAACAATCTTGTCCAGAAAATTAATGCTATCTTCATCAATAAGAGGACTTCAACTGTAAGGCATTTTCTAGCTGGCAATTTTGATAAGCTTTTATTAGGCAGAATAATTTTAGGCTGTTTTCTAAATTCTGATGTACCTTTGGCTACCTTATGCATATTCAGCATTATCATATGTCTGTTTGCTGCTGTAGCATTTTCCATCATGATACTACACTAAATGGTTATTTTACCACAGGCCTGGGGCTGTTGGATGTTTGGGGACAGCTGGAAAGCCTTTCGGTTAGTAATGTCCTTTGAATCACTTTATTGTCCTAAAGTCAACTTTTTCTGAAGCCTTTTTTTGGGGATTGTGAAGGGTTCTCTTCCACCTCTTTCTGAAATATTTTTCTTTCATAGATTCTTCACTTGGGTTTATTTAGTTTCTATTTGTGGGGTCTTCATGGTGTGAAGGAGCGGTAAAGATTGAATTTCACTATAGAACAATGTGCTCTGTGGTTTCTTTGTTCTTTTTTCTCACTGAGGAGATTTAGTTCTAAATGATTGCTTTTTCATATTTGACTACAGAAATATTTTATAAATTAACAGAGGCTAGGAGAGATCTCAGGCCTATCAAAATTAATATTCAAATAAGTTTTTTGTATTAGACGTAAGATTTTCTCTTTTAACATTCAGTTCCTGAATCTTTAGAGTTGATGATTACCCAGAAAAAGACTTAAAAAGTATGTTCTTTAGATGTTTGAAAAGGTCGAAGGGGAAATACCACCTTCTGAATTTGTGTGTGGGATACTGATAGTTATGTAGAAGAAAAGGACGTGTTCCAGTGTCCTTTAGAAATAATGATGTTTTTAGAAATGATTTATATTTTACAAGTTTTAATATATTTTAGCACTGAATTGAGATCTAGAAATATTTGAGTTTCTTTATTTTCCTAAGCTTTTTGGTTCATTTCTAAAGTCATCTCTCTAACCAAGTTTCCCTTCCTCCAGTAGGTCAGTAGTATGTACTCAAACTGGTGCCTAATACAAGCAGACCTTTCTTTTTCTTTTCCTTTTCACAGATGAAACTCTTTTAATTAATATGATCTGTGGGGTAGTGTCAGGAGTGATATCTTCCACTATAGCCAATCCCACCGATGTTCTAAAGGTAAGAGAGATACAGTGTGATTTGAAAGGAGCATAACTTTGAGTCAGATTTGGGTTCAGATTCCCACTCTGTCACTTGCCAGCTGTAGAACCTTGGGCAAATCAGTTAACTGCATTAAGCCTCAATTTCATCATTTGAAAAATGAATATAATACAGTGTTTATAACATAGAGTTGTAAAGGATTAGCGATAATATATATATAAACTGCCTATCATTGTACTTGGTGTAGTAGATGCTCAATAAATGGCAGTCAGTTTATTATGATATGTGTTAATCCACTGGTCCTCACACTGGGGTATGCAAGACCCTATAGGTTCTTTCCAAGGGCTATGCAGTTTTATAGGAATCAATTTCCAGATCTCTTACATCCATTTGTACTCCATCCTAAAACTGGTACGAGAATGAATCTGTTCATAATAGCCCTTACTCAATTTTACAAAAGAAATGTACGTCCCCACCTATTCTAAATCTTGGTATGGTATGTTGACCTGTGGTATAACCTGGGATGCCAAACAGAGGGGTAAACTGAAATACAGTTCTTGGAGAAGCCTATTTTAGTAACCAATTTGGGTATCTTAAGTCTGTAATGCCTCTGTCTTTCCCTGTCTTATTAATATTTCTATTCAGGGTGAGATTTGGCTTTAAACATGGTATATTTTGGCCTGTATTGGAATATTCTGAATTCAGAACCAGAATAGTATAGGTTGGTGGTGCTGACTTGTTAAGAGTATAGTTGGATTTCTTTAAGGTTTTTTCAAGTCACAGACTGAAACATTTCTTTTAATATAAATTTTCATCTTATTTCATAAAATGGTAAATATTTTCTACTTATTAACGTATTTAAGCTTATGATTAGTTAAAAGCACTAAATATAGGATTAAAATAAGTGAGGGGAACCCAAAGTTTTAACAAATTATTTTAAGGGGATTGCGAGAAAAAAGTAAGAGGACACATGCTTTTTTAAATTTGACCACTAGTGAAACCACAAGTGGCTAGGTTAGCAAAGGAGAGATCTATTTATTGCAATTCAGAGAGGGGTTTGAGAACAGAGAGAAAGACATGAAAAACAACACACATGAAATAAACCACTGGTGGTTGATGGATAAAAATATGAGACAGTCTTTCTGGACTAAAATGATAGTAATTTACAGAATTTTTATATCATTTTAGGTTTACAGAACAAGTTTTTTTTTCACCGTTTATTTTAGATTCAGGGAGTACATGTGCAGGTTTATTACATGGGTATATTGTATGATGCTCAGGTTTGGGATATGAATGATCCCATCACCCAGATAGTGAGCACAGTACCCAACAGTTTTTCAACCCTTGTCCCCCTCCTTCTCTCCTGCCTCTATTATTCCCTGGTGTCTATTGTTGCCATCTTTGTCCATGAGTATGCAATATTTAGCTCCCACTTATAAGTGAGAACATGCTATCTTTGGTTTTCTGTTCCTGCATTAATTCATTTAGGATAATGGCCTCTGGCTCAATCCATGTTACTGCAAAGGACATGATTTTGTTCTTTTTTATGACTGCATAGTATTCCATGGTGTATATGTACCACATTTTCTTTATCCAGTCCAACGGTGGTGGGCACCTAGGTTGATTCCATGTCTTTGCTATTGTGAATAGTGCTGTGATGAACATAGGAGTGTATGTGTCTTTTTGGTAGAATTATTTATTTTCTTTTGGATATATACTCAGTAATGGGATTGCTGGGTTGAATGGTAGCTCTCTGTTTTAAGTTCCTTGAGAAGTCTCCAAACTGCTTTCCAAAGTGGCTGAACTAATTTACATTCCCACCAATGGTGTCTAAGCATTCCCTTTTCTCTGCAGCCTCGCCAGCATCTGTTGTTTTTACTTTTTAATAATAACCATTCTGACTGGTGTGAGATGGTATCTTGTTGTGGTTTGATTTACATTTCTCTGATGATTAGTGATATTGTGCATCTTTTTATGTTTGTTGGCTGCTTGTATGTCTTCTTTTGAGAAGTGTCCGTTCATGTCTTTTGCCTACTTTTTAATGGAGTTATTTGGTTTTTGCTTGTTGAATTAAATTCCTTATAGATGCTGGATACCAGATTTTCATCAGATGCATAGTTTGTGAATATTTTCTCCCATTCTATAGGTTGTTTCTTTACTCTGTTGGTAGTTTCTTTTGTTGGAAGAAGATTTTTAGTTTAATCAGGTCCCGCTTGTCAATTTTTTGTTTTGTTGCAATTGCTTTTGATGACTTAGTCATAAATTATTTCCCAAGGCCAATGCCCAGAATGGCGTTTCCTAGGTTTTCTTTTAGGATTCTTAAAATTTGAGGTCTTACATTTAAATCTTTAATCTGTCTTGAGTTAATTTTTGTATATGGTGAAAGGTAGGGGCCCAGTTTTATTCTTCTGCATATAGCTAGTCAGCTGTCCCAGTACCATTTATTGAATAGGGAGTCCTTTCCCCATGCTTATTTTTGTTGACTTAGAACAGGTATTTATGAAGAGAATTTAATTGAAGAGCTCCTTGTACCTCTTACTCTAAGCAGACAACCCCACCTCCTATGGCCTGGCCTTATACCTCTCAATTTCGTGTCCTTTCTACCTTACAGGTGTAAACTTACTTCCATCTATACCCATCCTTATCTTGTCTTACTGTAGTGGTTTTCCAGACCAGACCAGTATTACCTGGGAACTTGTTAGAAATGCAAATTATCAGGCCCCATCCAACACCTACTGAACCAGAAAGGGTAGGATGGGGCCCAGCAGTCTGGTTTGACAAGCCCTTCAAGTGATTTTGATACATGCTCAAGTTTAAAAAAAACCTGGTTACTCTACTTTTATTCACTTCTGTTTCATCAGAGACCTTTATCATTTGTCCTCTTTCTCTTATTTTCAGTGTCTTCCTCTTTACCGGTTATCTTCTCTCAAATGATAAATATGGTCAAATCTCTCTATCCTAAAATATTTTCTTGACCCTCTGACCTCAAAACACCATGCTATCTCTTTTCTTACCTTCTCATCCAGATTTTACAAGAGTAATCTTTACATTCCATTTCCTTCATAACCTGCTGTAATCACTCCTGCTACTTGATTGAAATCACTCTCCACAGGGTCAGCAGTAATGTCCTCATTATCCAATCCAGTGGACATTTTAGTTCTCATCTTACTTAACCTATTTTGACTAATTCCTTCTACTAGAAGTTCTTTTTTGGTTTTGTTACTACACTATTTAGATTCTGCTTCTAGTTTTCCTATTCCTTAGCTTCATTCATGGGCTTCCTTTTTATGCATATACTTTAAATCTTTTTCTTCTCCCACCCAAGGTTCCATCTTTAGCTCTTTTCTCCTCTTCAGTCTCTCCTTGATGGCCTTTTTCATTCTTTTTTTTTTTTTTTACTATTATTATTATTTTTTTTGAGACGGAGTCTCGCTCTGTCTCCCAGGCTGGAGTGCAGTGGCGCGATCTCGGCTCACTGCAAGCTCCGCCTCCCGGGTTCACGCCATTCTCCTGCCTCAGCCTCCTGAGTAGCTGGGACTACAGGCGCCCGCCACCACACCTGGCTAATTTTTTGTACTTTTAGTAGAGACGGGGTTTCACCGTGTTAGCCAGGATGGTGTCGATTTCCTGACCTCGTGATCCACCCGCCTTGGCCTCCCAAAGTGCTGGGATTACAGGCGTGAGCCACCGTGCCCGACCGCCTTTTTCATTCTTAATACTTTAGCTCTCACTATATCAGTTAGGTTATGGGCTAAGCTACTGTCACAAAGAAACTCAAAAATAAAAGGTCTCCATATACAAGTATTTATCTCTCTCATGTAACCATCTAGAGGACTGCAGTTAATGCTGGTAAGGCAGAACTACTTCATGTAGTCATCCAGGATCCAGGTTTCTTCATTTTTGTTGCACTGCCATCTCCTAGGGCAGGGATTGGCAAACTACTGTCTGTGGGTCAAATCTGGCCCACCCCCTGTTGTGAATAAAGTTTTATTGGAACACAGCCACCCCATTTTTTTATTTATTGTCTATAATTGCTTTTGTGCTTCAGTGACAGAGTTGAGTAGTCACAACAGAGGTCATAAGCCCTGCAAAGCCTAATATATTTACTGTCTGGACCCTTACAGAAAACGTTTGTTGACCCCTGTCCTATGGTATTATTTTAGTCTGTATAGTTGAAGTTGGACCACTATCAAACCTACATTCCAGCCCATGGGAAGAGAGTCAAGGGAAAGCAGTTTCCTTTTGATTTGTCAAAAATAAAGTCAGGAAAAATTTTAAAGTTTATTGTATGCAATAAGAGAAAGTACGGGTCTCGATCCAGGATACTTCAAACCAAATGATAACAAACTTATCTTACAGTACAGTTTATAAAGCAGAAGGGCAGAAACATTTTGACCTTTTTTGTGATTGGCTGTTATAAATTATCGTTCTTTTAAAGGCAAGCAGCTGTTTAAGGTGATTGTCTATAGTTATTGGTTTCATTTCACTGAAGCATTCTGACAAAGATGTAAAGCTTATGTTTTGTGTTTATGATTAGAGATAGCAGTTCCGAGGAAATAGGATGACTTAAGGTTCGGTTACCTGATGATGGGTGGCTGGTCTTGGGGTTTATCTCAATTGTTGCCTCCATTTTTATCTTTAACAGTTTAAATCTTTAAATATGTAGTTTTGGAGAAACAATTTCAAACATATGAGTGAGTAGAAAATAACATAGTACAGTGAACGTCTTTGTACACATCACGGAGGTAGCTAAGATTTTGCTACATGTGCTTTTTTATTCCCTTTTTCTGAATTATTTTAAGGCACATTCCAGACATTGTCATTTTCCCCCATATACTTCGATGTGCATCTC
Source organism: Homo sapiens (assembly GCF_000001405.40). NCBI lineage: Eukaryota > Metazoa > Chordata > Mammalia > Primates > Hominidae > Homo > Homo sapiens. Next base: position 130,355,566 of record NC_000023.11, read on the forward strand.
ATAAAAGGAATATTTTTCTATATAACCATGGTGCTATTGTTACATTTAACAAAATTAACATTTATTCATTAGTAACATCTAATAATCTATGTTCACATTTCCAGACTGTCTTATATTTTACAGTTGATTTGTTTAACTTGGGTTCCAAAGCCTATGCATTATATTTAATAGTTATGTTTCTTAAGTCCTTTTTATTCTAGAGTACCCCACTCCTGTCCATATACCTTTTATTTATTTATTTATTTATTTGCTTTTTGCCATTAACTTGTCAAATAAATGGGATCAGCTCTCCTTTAGAATTCCCAAGTTTTGGATTTGTCTTTTTGCTTCCTTGTGATATCATTTAACTTATTTCTCTAAATCTTCTCTCTCTGTAAAAGGGAAGGTTTCTGTAAAGGTCATACCGAGTCATGTGAGGAGGCACACAGTGTTTGGTTGTCCCAATATAGGGATGTTAAGGTTGATCAGTGGGTTCAGGCGTGACAGCCCGATTTCTCCTTTGTAGTTTCCTGTCAATCCTTCATCTAATGGTTTCATCCATTGGTGGCCATTACCTGAATTGATTGTTTCATTTAAGGTCGCAAAGTGGTGATTTTCTAATTCCATCATTCCATCCATGTTTCTTAGCTAGAATTCTTCTGCAAGGGCAATCTTTTTTTTTTTTTTTTTTTTTTTTTTTGAGATGGAGTCTCGCTCTGTTGCCCAGGCTGGAGTGCAATGGCATGATCTCGGCTCACTGCAACCTCCACTTCCTGGGTTCAAGCAATTCTCCTGCCTCAGCCTCTCGAGTAGCTGGGATTACACAGGTGCACACCACCACGCCTGGCTAATTTTTGTATTTTTAGTAGAGACGGGGTTTCGCCATGTTGGCCAGGCTGGTTTCAAACTACTGACCTCAGGTGATCCGCCCACCTCGGCCTCCCAAAGTGCTGGGATTACAGGCGTGAGCCACTGCGCCTGGCCAAGGACAACTTTTTCTCATTTAGTGGGGCTGTTTGGCTGTTCTGAAATATAGGCAATTTCCTTTTAAGCAAGACACTGGGAAGTTTCAACCATTATTTCTGTTCACGTTCCATTCTGAAGGACTTGGTTCCATGGCTACATCTAGCTTCAAGAAAGGAGAGTAGATTTTGGGAGACAATAATCTACCACACTACCCAGACCTACTGGGTCATCTAAACTAGAAACCTAGATCATCTTTGATTCTTCTATATCTTTGCTTCCTTCTAGTATTGGATTAGGTATCAAGTTTCTACAGATTTTGCCTCATCTGTATTTCTCAACTTTGTCCTTTCCCCACCATTCCTTTTGTAGGACCTCATCTCAGTAGCCTCCTAACTTGTCCCTTCACTCTAGTGTGTACCCCACTCCCTCAACCCATCTCCAGATGAAGCTGGAGAGATCTATCGAAATCCATATCTGATCTACTATGTACTGCTTCTTTGCCTTTGTGCACGTAACACTTTCTTCCTGAAACGTCTTTCTCATTTTCCTGGTGAATTTGTCCTTCAAGACCAGGCTCATAAACAGGGCCAGGACTAGGGCAAAACAAGTAAGGCAGTCCCCTTTGATGCAGAATGTAAGAAGGTGCCACAAAACTCAGTAATCAATATAAACAACATTTGTATGTAGTATTTTTAAACAATCAAAATTAACGCAAAAAATTCATGATGAACCAAATACCAAAATTTCACATAACTCATCTCATTCACCTTACCCTAATCCTGGCCCTGTTGAGTCCTAGCTTTAGTTAAATTTGATATTTGATTCATTATGGCTTTTTGTGGATTAATTTTGGTTAAAAAATATCATATTGAGACATCATTTATCTTGATTACTGAGTTTTTCTTGCACTCCCTTACATTTCATGCCTAAGAAAAGTACTTCACTTGCCTCACGCTAGCCCCTCTGTTGTCAGGAATCACCTCCTTAAAGAAGTGTTCTACTTACCACAGTGTATTAGTAGTTTTCATTTGTCTTTGTGATAGGTTGTATCTTGATTTAATGGGTTTAGGTTTTTATAATTATAATATTTGAAAACTCTTAGTAGTAACAGTTAACTTTCTGCATAAAAGCATGTTGCCATTACATGACTTACTAAAGACATTTGTTGAAACCTAGAATGGTAGCATGGTGCTTCATAAAAATCAGGCCTACATTTGGGCCGCTAGTATTTAGTGACTGACTACTAGGATTGTATGTGTGCAGAGTCTGTGGGAAATTGTACCAAACCTTTTACATGGCCATTTAATGCTATCTTTCCTTCTTGCAGCTCTCAAAGGCCACTTGGCAGAATATAATATTATGCTTTTTATAAATAGAACTCAACTTAAGGTCTCATAAACATAAAATTATATTTTAAAACACATTTTTCATTTTTATAATTACGTAAGCAATGCATGTTTAATGTAGAAAAATATGGAAGGCAGAAAAAACACAAAAGAGAAAAATGCTTACTTGTAGCCTCACCACTCAGACATAAACCACTGTAAGTATTTAGTTTTATATGTTCACCTCGTCTCTTTGCTGTGCTTATGGATATTTTTAAGTTTACATGTTTTTTATAAAAATGATATAGTACTTCGCAATTTTTTTTCTGGTTAGCAATTAATTTTTGATATCTTTCAGTGTCAGCAAATACCATTGTACAACAAAATTTTATGGCTCCATAGTATTCTATTAAATGAATGTATAATTTCTGTAACCAACCTGTGTAGTTGTTTTTGGATATTAAGTTGTTTCTAATTTTTCACTAAATGAGTCATTTTTTAGTCCTGCTGAGTACTTGATCTTTCTTTTCTCCAAATTTTCTTCTAGCTCCAGAAATAATAGACTTAGTGTGAGGAATGTGAGGCCGATGAAAACCATTTTTATAAAATACACTTTGACACAAATTCTTTTTCTATACAGTTTAACTAATTAACTTTATCATAATAGCAGATATTTTTCTGGGATTCCTGAATACTTCTTTTTAAATTTTAGATGAATTTAAAATGAATTTAAATGAACTTAAAATGAATTTAGCATTTTGGTTCTCTCTGACAAAATAAGATGTTCACCTCTTTTCATTTTAGATTCGAATGCAGGCTCAAGGAAGCTTGTTCCAAGGGAGCATGATTGGAAGCTTTATCGATATATACCAACAAGAAGGCACCAGGGGTCTGTGGAGGGTAAGTACTCTTTTCCTGCTATTATCCTACACTCTCAGTTCCTACAATTTGCAGAGAATTTTTTTTTATATAAAGACATAAAATCGTGAATTATAATCCAAAAACTAAGGTAAGAAACTCCTCATCTCCCTTGAAAGGCCCAAAACTTATCATTGGCCTTTTATTTCTGCATAATGTTTGGGGATTATATAGGTGGGGAAAGTTATTACATTATTTGAGATGGCTGTTTCGATCATATTCACAGTGAATGTAGTTGTTCAGTGTATTTTTTTGCAAGTTCTGTACTAACACGATGATGTATGTCTTTGTAGTGCTTATGTTCAAAAGCTGTTACCGGCTGTGTGCTGTGGCTCATGCCTGTAATCCCAGCACTTTGGGAGGCCAACGCGGGTGGATCACTTGAGGTCAGAAGTTCAAGACCAGCCTGGCCAACCTGGTGAAACCCCATCTCAACTAGAAATACAAAAATTAGCCAGGCATGGTGGTGCATGGCTGTAGTCACAGCTACTCAGGAGGCTGAGGCAGGAGAATTGTTTGAACCCTGGAGGTGGAGGTTGCAGTGAGCCAAGATCATGCCACTGCACTCCAGCCTAGGTGACAGGGCGAGACTCTGTCTCAAAAAAAAAAAAAAAAAAAAAAAGAATAAGAAAAAAAAGCTGTTACCTTAAACAATTTTTTAACCTAAAAAGTCTAACATGTACTGTAAAATATTGAGAAAATATAGAAAAGTAAAAAGAAAAAAAATCCAGTAGTCCCACTGCCTAGAGATAATTTCTGTTAAACTTTTTGTCATATTATCTTTCAGTCTTCTATCTATACTTTGCTTTTCGTCATTGTTGCTCTAACTTTTTAATCCCTAATTATTGTAATATTAATAATATTATTAGTAGAATATACAGAGAGAGTGGAATGGGAAATCTATTAATAGACTTTTAAATAAAAATGAGAGCTTTGGTATTTTTCTTTATAATTTTTCATAACAAAAATTTCAAGCATAAAGAAAAATTGAAAGAATAGAACTATGAAATACATACCTATGAGCTGGATTTGATGGCTGTTAAAGTTTGATCGTATTTGCTTTATCTGTTTACGTGTATACAGACATACACTCTTTTTAGCTAAGCTAAATGAAAGTAGGTTGCAGACATCATGGCACTCAATTAAATTCTTCATTGTGCATCTCCTAAGAATAAGGATAGTCTTCTACATAATAATAATACCATTATCATATCTAAGAAAATGAACAAGTCCCTAATACCTAATATCTAGCCCATATTAGAATTTCCTGTTAATGAGACCAGGCTAATTTATAATTTATTTTCTTCCTTCCTCCTTTTTTTTTTTTCTTTTTTTTTTTGACAGGGTCTCACTTTGTTGCCTAGGCTGGTCTTGATCTTCTGGCTTCAAGTGATCCTCTGGCCTTGGCCTTACAGATGTGAGCCACCATGCCTGGCCAGGCTAGTTTTCTTATAAAGTGTTTCCTCATTGTGTTTGTTTCTCTATCTTTATAGAGAAAATATCTTTATATTTACAGTTTATTTCCTATAAACTGTAAATAGGGTCCATTGGCTTGATTAGATTCATGTTAAACATTTTTGGTAAGGGTGCTTCATAGGTGATGCTGTGTATTTCATACTGCATCACAGCAGGAGGCACATAATATTAGTTTGTCCCATGATTAGTGGTGCCAAGTTTGATTATTTGGTAAGATGACGTCCACCAGATCTCGCCATTGTAAAACATAAGTTTTTTCCCCCTCCTTTGCAATTAGCAAGTAATCTGTGGGGTGATAATATTCTAGTAATATGCATATATCCTAATATCTAATCACCTTTCATCTAACTAATGGTCTTTGCATCCATTAATGGTCCTTGAGGTTTGCTTTTTGGTAACAGCAGGGTACACTTGCTTGATATGTCTAATTTAAAGCCAGAAAATAGAACTAACTAGAACTTTCTCACAAACTGATGACAAGGAACAAAAACAGAGGAATAAATAGAATTGGAGATTTTTTCACAGGAGCATAGCTACTTTATTTTTTATTGTAGTAAAAAGTAGACATAACATAAAATTTACCATCTTAACCATTTTTGATGGTTCAGTAGTGTTAATTAAGTACATTCACATTGTTGTACAACTGATCTCCAGAACTCTTTAGGTCTTATCAAACTGAAACTCTATACCCATGAAGCAACTCCCCATTTCTCCTTCCCCTAGCCCCTGGCAACCCCCATTCTCTTTTGTGTCTCTATCAATTTGACTATTATAGGTACTTCATGTAAGTGGAATCACACAATATTTATCTTTTTGTGACTGGCTGATTTTACTTAGCATGATGTTCTCAAGGTTCATCCATGTGGTAGCATGTGTCAGAATTTCTTCCTTTTTAAGGCTGAATAATATTCCATTGTATGTATATACCACATTTTGTTTATCCATTCAACCATTGATGGACATTTGAATGGCTTCTGCCTTTTGCCTATTGTGAATAATGCTGCTGGGTAAATGGGTGTGCAAATATCTTTTTTAGACCCTGCTTTCAATTCTTTTGGTTATATAGCCGAAAGTGGAATTGCTGGATTATGTGGTAAATCTATGTTTATTTTTTGAGAAACTGAACATAACTGTTTTTATGATCCAGGCTACTTACATGATCTAGGCACCTAACATAAAGAAGCAAAGTACATTGTTGAATGTATTCTTCTGAGACAGACATGTTTTATTTGCATGTTAAAAATACAGGACTTACTTTTTCATTTCAACAAGAAAATATGTTTGCATTTTTCTTCAAACGTGCTCATCTTTGTTTATCTTCCTGCTCTGATTGTAACATGAATACTGAAAACATTTCACTTTCTTCCTAACTTCATTGTAAGAAAAAATAGCACGAGCACAATAACAAAGTATAACTAGCACTTACCACAGAGTTGGAGAGAGAGTAGCATGGTGGGGACTGTGGTCCTGGAGAGCACGGAGAGCACAGTCCCCGTTGAGAGAGGACAGCTACTCCTTAGCTCCAGCCCATTGCTGCCATGCGTTGATGGTGAGCCCGGTGTGGTCAAATTTTCTGGCCTTTCAAGAGAAGCTGGAAATCTGCATTTCTGTGTGAAATATCCTGATTTTTACATATTAACAGCCAATTCAGTCTTTTGGAAACACTGTGGGCCACTCGAAACATGCCTATAGCCTGATTTTGGCCTGTGGGCTCCAGTTTGGGGCCTTACTGTTCACCAAAGCAGTCTTCTGTGAAGGGTACCCTCTTTATGAGAAGCAGGTCAAAGAGCCAGCAAGGAAGGCACCCTTCGGCTAGCCAGCCATATCAGCACAATCAAACATCTTGGCATAGCTGTGTCACTTCCACTTCATTTTATTTATTTATTTATTTATTTATTTATTTATTTATTTATTTATTTATTTTTTGAGACGGAGTCTTGCTATGTTGCCAGGCTGGAGTGCAGTGGCGCGATCTCGGCTCACTGCAACCTCCGCCTCCTGGGTTCAAGCGATTCTCCTGCCTCAGCCTCCTGTGTAGCTGGGATTATTATTATTATTTTTTTAAGTGAAAGCAAGTTTATTAAGTAAAGGAATAAAGAATGGCTACTCCATAGGCAGAGCAGCCCCACTTTATAAATTGAGTTTGGGAACTTAGAGATGACTGAAAACTTTTTAATATAGTGGTTATCCCAGAAAGCAGATGTCCTCATGGTATGTTATTTTCAATTTTAACTGACACCTAAACACAGTTATAAAAGTAAAACATTCATTGTGAAAATGTAAAAAGAAATAGGCATAAAAATGAAAATTAACATCTCTTATCCTAATACCAGAGGAAAAAAATATTTTGATGTATTTCGTTCTAATCCTAAGAATTTGGCCTGGTGTGTATACCTTTTCCCCTGAAGATAGAATAATACTATATATAATTTTATGCCTTGCTTTATTTAACATGCTATCATGCTATCATAAGCGTTTTCTTGTGTCATTAATATTCTTCAAAAATGTGACTTTTAATGCTCTAGCAACCCTGTGTTGTAATGTGAGCTGTGATAGGAGCATCGTGCTAGTGAGTGAAACCCTGGTAATGTTACCACAGCAGGACTTGTAAGCGAAGGACCACTTTCCCTTGGCTTTTCCTCTTGCTTCTTCATACCTTTGCTGTCACCTTAGTGTTTGTCCTTTCTGCACATCTGAAAATTCTGTGAATTAAACCTGAAAGCTCTCTTCTCCCCACTGATTTTTGCTTCATGATTTTATTTATAACAGCTTTATTGGGAAAATTCACATATTATAATGATAATTCCCAAATTCTTTATTGAGATAATTCACATAAAATTCACCATCTTTAAAGTATACGATTTAATTGTTTCTAGTATATTCACAGATTAGTGCAGCCATTACCACTGTCTAAGTTTAGAACATTTTCATTACCAAAAAGAAACCCTTACCCTTTACCCATCACTTCTCATTTCCCCCAGCCCTCCTAGCTGTGGACAACCACTAATCTACTTTCTGTCTCTATAGATTTACCTGTTCTAGGTATTTCATGTAAATGGAATCACGCAATATGTAGACTTTCGTGACTGGCTTCTTCCATTTAGCATACTGATTTTAAGGTTTATCCATGTTGCAGCATGTATCAGTACTTTATTCCTTTTTATGGGTGAATATTAATTCCATTGTGTGGGTATACCACATTGTATTTGTCCCTTCATCAATTAATGAGCATTTGGGTTCTTTGCACATTTTGGCTATTATGAATACTGCTATGAACATTTCTGTACACATTTTTGTATGAACATCTATTTTCAGTTCTCTTGGGTATATACCTAGGTGTAGAATTGCTCGCTCATATGGTAATCTGTGTTTAACTTTTTGAGGAAGTGCCAAATTGTTTTCCACAGTGGCTGCCCCATTTTACATTCCCACTGACAGCATATAAGGGTTCCTATTTCTTCACATCCTCACCAACACTTGCTCTTTTACTTTTTCTTTCTTAATTTTTTTAAATTTTTTTTTGAGGCAGGATCTTGCTGTGTTGCCCAAGCTGGAATGCAGTGGTGCAATCATGGCTCACTGCAGCCTCAGCCTCCCAGGCTCGGGTGATCCTCCCACCTCAGCATCTCAAGTAGCTGGGACTACAGGCACATGCCACCATGCCTGGCTAATTTAAAAAATTTTTTTAAGAGATAGAGTCTTACTGTATTGCCCAGGTTTGTCTAGAACTCCTCCTCAAGTGATCCTCCTGCCTCACCCTCTCAAAGTGCTGGGATTACAGGCATGAGCCCCTGTGCCTGGCCTTCTTTTACTTAAAAGAAAAATCGTTATAGCCATCCTAGTAGGTATGAAGTGGTATGTCCTTGTGGTTTTGATTTGCATTTCTCTAGTGACTAATGATGTTTAGCATCTTTTCGTGTGCTTATTGGCCATTTGTGTATCTTTTTTGAAGGAAATATCTTCAGGTCTTTTGGCCATTTTAAAATTGGATTGTTTGCCTTTTTTGTTGTAAGAGTTATTTATATATTCTTGACACTAGTCCCTTATCAGATATATGAGCGGCAAATGTTTTTTTCCTTTGTGTATGTTGACTCTTCACTTTCTGAGTGGTGTCTTTTGAGTCATAAAAGTTTTTAATTGTGATGAAGTCCAGTTGATCTTTTTTTTTTCTTTTGTCTTTTGTGCTTTGGGTGTCATATCAATTATTTTATTTTTAGTATAGCAAGTGAATTGGAAATTTGTATATGTTCCATTATTAGTCATTGATTTGAAAGAGTGACGTCTGTACTTCAGACTTGTATTTTTCTGTTACTTTTCAACTCCTGACCTATTTTGTTCACTCTAAGACATCACTCCCTTTGTATTTCCTTGGTGCCTAATGTCACTTGTGTTTCGTAGGGTGTGGTTCCAACTGCTCAGCGTGCTGCCATCGTTGTAGGAGTAGAGCTACCAGTCTATGATATTACTAAGAAGCATTTAATATTGTCAGGAATGATGGGCGATACAATTTTAACTCACTTCGTGTAAGTAGGATGGGATGTGCTCATTTTATTTCCAGCATTTTGAGCACAAAAAGCCTCTTTTACTGAAATCCTCAGGTGGAATTTGATAACTGGTACGTATGGCCTAAATTCCCTTGTCTCTCCTATTATCAGAACTTCAAGCCTTATGAACACTTTATACTTCACAGAAATGCCAGGTGCTATGGGGGCTTGGGTACTTGGGAACATTGTCTAATACAGCAGCCTATCAGAGGTCTATTTGATTTACATTTATCCATACATAGCTTCTATATCTAATAAGCACATCTATTATTTGCTTTGGTTAATTTTGTTTGAGAAAGCAAACTTTTCTCAGTGGGAATCAGAAAAAAAGGGGTAAATAAGGTCTGTGAAACTAAAGCACAGTTTTTTGGCTAAAGACTGTTACTGATCTCATTTTACATTTTCTTTGTCTTGCAACCTTTATGATAATTTTGTTACTCAAATGCATTTGGCATGTGATGCTGTGGTTTGAAAAATTTATGTAACTAATACATGGTGCATGATACTTTCTACTTAGGAATCTTGTTAGGTTTAGAAACTCTCCTTTAAAAAAAAGGCTGAGTTTCAGATTGAAAATTGAAGGGACAGCCTTTGAATGATGTCTCTTTAGAAAAATTTCCTGTCTCTTTAGATTGTAACGAAAGGCCAAGTGCCAGGTTTTATCTGATGGGTCTGAGTTATATTGTACAGTTTACGTTTGGCCTAATTTCTGTTTAAGTGGGCAGGGAGTGAAAGTGGGGTCGATCTACTTAAACTTTTCCTCTTAGTTCCAGCTTTACATGTGGTTTGGCTGGGGCTCTGGCCTCCAACCCGGTTGATGTGGTTCGAACTCGCATGATGAACCAGAGGGCAATCGTGGGACATGTGGATCTCTATAAGGGCACTGTTGATGGTATTTTAAAGGTAAGTACATTGTGGATTTGGGTTACAATTTGGCTTTCTTTGATGTCTTAGACCTTCCTTCAGTTCTTATTATTAGTTGCTACATACCATTTTGAAGATGAAAGAATCATATTTTTTTAGTAGCTTCTCAGTTATTCCCAGGTAGAAAAGCTGTCTCCTTAGCAATCTGCTAATTTGCAGTGGTACTTAATATAATGATTCCCATTTGAATGCTTTAAAATACAGGATGCTTTTATTAATAGTATCATGTAGAATTATTGATAGAAAAGACAATATATCCCCCATTTGCCTACTTCATACAACACAGAGACCCTGCAATAGAAAACTCAATACTTAAGGAAAAAAGCCTGTATTTTATTTCAGTTCACGGTTATGCTGTTGTTCACTTTGGCTTTGAAAGTTCCTGCTGTTGTGTTTGTGGGAACTGAATATTCTAAAAGTATTACATCATTACTGGTGATATTATTGCTACTGAAAACAAATTGAGGCTAAAATATGATGTTGCCATATGGTTTCTCTCCTGTTATCAGTTTTGTTTAACAACTATTACATATTAGACACCATTTTAGTAGTTAGAGAGAAATTACAGTTATTACAAAAGTACTATAGGTATACAAACGGATCATCAGTACAGCCTGATAAGTGATAAACTCAAGAGTTCTCAATTTGGAAGCATTGAGGTAGGCTCCCTGTAGATGGTGGCATCTTGAATAACAATAACTCATATCCACTGAGTGCTTTTTTGTGTGTCAGCAACTGTCCTTATGAGACTTATGTGTATTCGTTCATTGAATCCTCACCATTACTCCACGAGGTAGACACTGAAGCACTGAAAGATTAAGTAAGCTGCCTAAGGTTTCACAGCTACTAAGTGGGAGAACTGGAATTTAAACTCAGATCACTTGACCTCAAACTGACATTTACCTCTCCACTATGGTGCTTTCCTCATATTGGTGGCCAAGGGTTAGATTATAAAGGATACTGAATGCTATATTGAGGTGCTTGGACTTTTTTTTAACTTGTCAGGGAGCTGTTGAAAGTTTTTAATCAGATTAGCTTTGCATTTTAAATAGATTACTTTGGCTTTATGGAGACTGGATCTACCACAGTGGTTCCTCATCTTGGGTACACATTGGAATCACTTGGGAGAACTTTCGCAGCTCCCTCCTCTACCTTAGACCAATTAACTCAGAACCTGGGGAGTAAGGTCCAGGTGTCAATATTTTAAACTATATCAGGTGACTGCAATGTTCACCTAAGGTTGAAGACTACTAAGGGGATAAGCCTGGAGCCATGGTTCTTCAAAGTTTAACATGCATCAGAATTACCTGGAGGGCTTGTTAAACTGCAGTTCACTTGGAGCCATCTCCAGATTCTGATTTAGTAAGTATGGAGTGGGACCTGGAAATTTGCATTTTTAATAAATTCCCAGGCAATACTGATGTTGCTAGTCTGGAGACCACACTTGGAGAACCACTGACCTACAGATAGGGAAGCTGATTAGAAGGCTCTTGTAATCTGAGAAAGAGGGGATGAAGGCCTGAACTTGAGCATGATAATGGAGATATAGAAGGTGGGACAGAGTCAAGAAAGAATTAGTTGATAGAGTCAGCAGGATTTGATTGACTGGATGTGGAGGGGTGTGGGAGAAAAGAGGTGTCAAAGATAAGTTCTGGGTTTTTGGAGTTGGTGACCAGGTGGTGACATTCATTGACAGAGGCATCACAAGAGGAGCACGTCTTGGGGGAGACATCCTAGTTTTGGATACTCAGTTTGATGTGCATGAGGAAAATCCAGTGGATACATATGGATATTCTAGCCCTGACTCAAGAGAGGGTTCATGGATATAGATAAAAGCCCATGGAGTCATTAGCACACAGGTGGTATATAACTGTGGAGAGAGTTGACCAAGGAGAGTAGGTAGAGGAGTTCACAACCTTTTTGCCTTCCCAGCATACTGGAGTACTATAAAATTCTTTCCCGTAATAATGATTGCCTGGGGCAGCAATTCTCAGACCCTGGAAAGTATAGTTTGGCAAAAGCCCCCATTGGTATTTCTGCATTTGACAATTACTGGTGTAGAGGGAAGAGCACTGGGCCAAGGAAAAAACACTGCAGAATACCAATTTTTATTTATTTATTTATGCCCAGGCTGGAGTGCAATGGCGTGATCTCTGCTCACTGCAATCTCTGCCTCCCGTGTTCAAGCAATTCTCCTGCCTCAGCCTCCTGAGTAGCTGGGATTACAGGTGCCCGCCACTACGCCTGGCTTATTTTTGTTTTTAGTAGAGACAGGGTTGCACCATGTTGGTCAGGCTGGTCTCGAACTCCTAACCTCGTGATCCACCCGCCTTGGCCTCCCAAAGTATTGGGATTACAGGCGTGAGCCACCGTGCCCTGACCGGAATACCAATTTTTAAGGTCTTGGCAGATGAGGAACCTAGGAAAGACACCAAAGACGAGGAAACTTAGAGAGTAGTGTCATGGGAGCCAAAGAAGTTAATGAGTTTCAAGAAGGAATGAGTGGTTACTTAATGTCACATGCAATAGCGATCTAATATGATAAGGACTGCAAAGAGTCTGTTGGATTTAATATTTTTTAGAAGGTTTGGTGAATTGGTGTTTGCAAAAGCCAATTGCTGTGCATTGAGGAATATGTTTGATTATTCATTCAAGTAATAAAAAAGAAAAAATCAAGCTGACTCTTGAAGAGGCCCCCCCACACACACACAAAAGAAAGAAATGTTTGTCTTATGTGCTAAGCACTGTTCTAGGTTGTTGAGGATGTACTGGTAAACCAAAATGTCCCTGTGTTTATGACACTTAGATTCTAATAGAAGGAGATAAACACAGGAAGTAATGATAAATAGACAAATGTAAAGCACTGTTTCAAGAAGATTGGCTAAAAGATTTACTGTAAGATTTACTATACAATAATATAGTAATAGCTAATGTTTATTGAATGCTTATTCTATCGCAGGCACTGTACATAGAGTATATCCTTTAACTCTCACAGCGACCTTGTGGAGTAGATATTATCTTTCCCATTTTATAAAGGAGGAAACTTAGGTTCAGAGTAGCTAAGTAATAACTTACACAAGATTACACAGCTAATAAGAGGCAGGTCTGAGACTTAATCCACAATCTGTCTGATTCCAAAGTTTGTACTTACAGCCACTATGCTGTTCTGAATCTGCAGAAACATGTTTTTATGTTGGTAGTAACCTTTAAGTACTTACATTTGCTCACTCATTTACTCACTTGCTACTAAAAAATTTTAATAGCAGTCATTCTTTAAAATGACTTTGTTCTATTTTGCCATTTATGTAATAGCATCAGACTTTATTATTTTGTCTATGCTTATCTATAGAAGTTCTTTGTTTTCACACAACTGCCTTATGCCAAAAGATGCCTCCCAGTTCTCACGTTGTGAAGAAATTGGTCACTGTTTTTGGAAATTTATAAAGATTCAAGCCGGGTGCTGTGGCTTGCATCCTGTAGTCTTAGCTACTCGGGAGGATCGCTTGAGCCAGAGTTTGAGGCTGCAGTGAGCTATGTAGTCTTGCCACTGCACTCCAGTCTAGGCGACAGAGCAAGACCATGTTTCTTAATTAAAAAAAAAAAGATCCAGATGGCTCACAAGAGTGTTAGAGACCCTTACTGTTTTTGTGTTCACCTCTTCAACAAATACTTACGGGAAAATTTCTTGCACCAGACACTGTGTTAGGTGGTGGTGACACAATGGTGAACAAACAAAGCTAGTTTCTAATCTCTTGGAGATTTCATTCTAGTTGAGGGAGACAATAAACACACAATGCACAGTATAATTTTAGATAGAAATAGATGCTATGCAGAAAATAACAGCATATTGCAATAGTGACTCAGTAGTGGGGAACTACTTCAGCAAGGATGGTCAAGAAAAGCCTCTGAGGAGGTGACATTTGAGCTGAGATCTGAATGATGATGAGCTGGCCATGAGAGCTGGGAGAAAACCATTTCATAAAGAGGGAATAGGTTACTGAAGGCCTGAGTTGGAAATAAGCTGGACATGTTCAAGGGTTAGAAAGAAAGCTAGTGTGGCTGAGTGTGTGGTGAATGAAGGGAGAAACTAGTAGGAAATGAAACTGGAGAGAAAGGCAGCAGCTAAATCATGTGGGATCCTATAGGTCTTTGCAGAGACTTTGTAATTAGAATGAAATCCACCAGGAAGCCATTTGAGAGCTTTAAGCAGGAAATGTTATGCTCTCATTTATAATTTTAAAAGATTGTTCTAGCTTCTAGGTAGAGATTTTAGACCAATTAAAAGTCCATTGTGGTAGTCCAGGTAAGAGATTATGAGATTGGATGGTCTTTCAGAGGTCTCTTGTCATTTAACAGTCTAGGTTCTAGGTTATTCACATCTGGGCTTTATTTGGGGTGATTTTCACAATTTTCCAACATCAGTTTTGGTCTCAGACCTTTACTATTTGCTGAAGATCCATTGGGGGAAACATATTACCACTATATCTTCATAAATATTGTGCTTATTATTTTACTGTTTGTTCCCAAAAGTAGTTAGTAAGGATAATTATCTCTAGTATACTTAATGTACAGGATGGGAAAAAGAATATTTACAACTCTGGCTTCTCATATTATTGTCTTATCCAAATATATCCTTTTTTTAGAATTGTGGTGGGTTTCACTTCACTATTGGAAAGGCAAAATAACATTTTTCAATGTCTAACACAATGCCTAACACACTGTAGTTATGTAATAGATATTTGTCCATTATATACGAACCATTTCTGCTGGCTAAATTCAGCACGTGCCACCAGTTTACAACGTTTATGCATAATTTATCATTTAATTCTCATAACCATGTATATAAGACCCCTGTTGTATAAAGTAGGAAACCAAAACTCAAAACACTTCACATTTTTCTTCATGTAATCCTCAAAGCATTCACATGAGGTAGGCTATGGCATTATATAGAATTTATAATGATGAAACAGACTCAGAGAAGAATAATGACTTGCCCAACTTTCTATTTTCTTACCCTGCTTTAGTTCTCTTTGTGGCACTTATTTTTGGATATAATATATATCAATTTGTGTATTTGTCAGCCCCACTAGAATATGCACTCCATGAGGGTAGAAACTGCTGTATAGGTTACCTATTGCTGTGTAACAAATTACTCCAAAACTCATTGCCTTAAACCATTTGTTATTTTGCAGTTTCTGTGGGCCAGGGATTGCAAAGCAGCTTAGCTGAGTTGATTCTGGCTTAGGCTGTCTCCTGAGGTTGTAGTTCATATGGCAACTAGGGTTGCTGCCATCTAAAGCCTTGACAGGCTGGGATAGCTGCTTCAGTGATCACTCATGCAGTTGTTGGCTGGAGCCCTCAGTTCCTCACCATGTAGTCCTCTCTTCATGATATAGCAGATGGTTTCCTCTAGAGTGAATGAATCCAAGAGAGAATAAGGCAGATGCTTTATTATATATAAAATATATTTTATAACCTAGCTATGGAAGTGACATATGTTCACTACTACCATATTCTGTTGGTGACACAGACCAAATACTATGGGGTGGAGGCTACGCAAGGGTACAAATAACTGGAGGTAGGGTTCATTGGGGGCCATCTTGGAGGCTGGCTACCATAGACACTTTTTCTGTCTTGTTTATTAGTATATTCTCAACATCAAGAATGGTGCTTTGCATATGTATGGTAGGTAAATATTTATTGATTAAGTGGGTGGATGGATTTAGACTACAGATGAATTTAAAATGGACCTTTAGAGAAAAGACTATTCATGGAGCCATAAGTTGCCCTGGGGTGGGAGTGGAAGGTGATGTCAAATGTAGAGAAAGGTGAATTCACTCTGTTTTTGGTTATATCTTTCCTGCAGATGTGGAAACATGAGGGCTTTTTTGCACTCTATAAAGGATTTTGGCCAAACTGGCTTCGGCTTGGACCCTGGAACATCATTGTATCCTTTGAGAGAATGAAAGCAAGTGCTTCAAGCTCCCAGATAATTCTAGGCTATGGGAAGGAAAATTTGATTATTAAAGCCTTTTAGGCTAGTGAGAAACTCAAGCATCCCATTGGTGACCCTTGAGAATCAAATTAAGCAAAGAAACAGCTTTCAGTTGGAGGCTAATACAAACTAAAAGGGATAGAAAAGATATGTCAAACTTTACTCTTTAAAACAAAATGACAACAAACACAGCTAATCTGGAAGGGGCTATGAAGTTTTTAGAAACCCTGATGGACGAAGCCTACAGGAAAGTCCATGCTGAGGTGGTTCAGATTTCCTACCCCTAACTATAGGACCAAAATAGCTGGGAAATAAAAACAGGACAGAAGACATTCATGGGGTGAAGGAATCCACAGCCAAGCAGGCTTCTTTCTTCATGGGTGAATCTGTCTCCTCCAGTTGTGTTTGAGTGCCTCCTAAGTGCAGAGCCATGTATTGGATACTGTGTGTGGTGTTGTGTGTATAATGGTAAGCACCGCAGGGTTGGAAAGTAATTCTCTGCCCTTGTGGGGTCTGTAGACAGAGAGAGGGTATCTCGTTCCCTCTTGGAATCACTCTGATCATCTAATTAATTATATGTCGTCACTGATGTTCTTGGTTACTGTGTGTGTGTGCGTGTGTGCGTTTGTCCTGTTTCCCCCTGAAGACTATAAATATATTAGAGTTTTACTCTGTTTATGTTGTTCGATGCCAGTGATCTGAATGGGCACATGGTAGGCACTCAATGCATGCTTGATTTGACAGGTGGTGTTTTATTTATTTATTTATTTATTTTTATTTTTTTTTTTGAGATGGAGTCTTGCTCTCTCGCCCAGGCTGGAGTGCAGTGGCGCGATCTCGGCTCACTGCAAACTCCACCTCCTGAGTTCACGCCATTCTCCTGCCTCAGCCTCCCGAGTAGCTGGGACTACAGGCACCCGCCACCACACCCGGCTAATTTTTTGTATTTTTAGTAGAGACAGGGTTTCACCATGTCAGCCAGGATGGTCTCGATCTCCTGACCTCGTGATCCACCCACCTCGGCCTCTCAAAGTGCTGGGATTACAGGCGTGAGCCACCGCGCCCGGCTGTCAGGTGGTGTTTTAGAAAAGATTTTAAAGCAGATGCAGCTTGGAATAGCATAGACTACCTTAATTTAAGAGAATGCGATGCTAATTTTAGAACTAGCTTTGGCTTTCGATATCAACCTGGTGATCTTCCTTGACTTACTCCTCAGTTTTTTATTACATACGAGCAGCTAAAGAGGCTTCAAATCTAAGAACTGAATTATATGTGAGCCCAGCCCTGCCAGCCTTTCTACTCCTTTGCCCTTTTCCCGTGTTCTAATGTATTTTGACAATGTTGTAAGTGTTTACCAAGCCGTTGGTCTCCTAAGGGCCTCCTGATGGAAGAACAGTGGGGTGGTTCAAAGTTATTTCTATGTTTGTGTTACCATGTTAACTTTTCCCCGAGAGAAAGTGTTAACATTGAGACTCTGGCCCCAGATTGGTATCTTCTATGAAGATGGATACTGATGGGTGACATTGAAAACGGCCTGCTTTCCAAATGTGGTTAAATGTAATTGGTTAGCCCCAGACTTGGGCTAGAGCAGAAGGCATAGGCCAGGGTGGTTATTGCTATATGTGTTACAGACCTCGGTTCTCATTAAAGTATTTATTGGCAGAATCACTTTGGCTTTGTCTTCATTTACTATTTTCTCCTTTGCCAACTCTTGAAGTTACATTCTCCAGAGAATAATAAAGGAAGATAACTATGAAATTGAGACTGGACTCTTAAAGTGCACTTTTATGAGACGAGAATGAGTGCATTGTGCTTTCCCACTGCCATTCATTGTCATAATGCCACTGCTAAACGTTGGGCAGGTGGTTCTTTCTTAAACATGAATAAACAAGCAAGTGGCTCATTTGGAAGTTCCTACAGGTAAAAAGCTAAAAAAAGGCTTAAAATAGAAGCCTGTTCCCAGGGTTCTAATCATCTTACAGGTACAAAGTTCTGGCTACTTTTTTTGTACTGAAACAGAGCCCGGCTCATTGTAGGCACTCAAATATTTGTGGAATTAATAGTTCTTCATCTTTATCCATTCATTAATTTGTTCAACATTTATTATGTATCTATTATGTCTAGGACTATAAAATGACTAAGACATAGTGTCTGTTTTCAAGCTCACATCATAGTGGAAGAACAGATTTGTAAGTAAATAATTACAGTAGGACCTAAGTACTATGTGAGAGATGAACAAAATGCTGTGTGGGAGCACAGAGGAGGAACAGCCTTACCTAGAGGATTTGCCAAAGGCTTCATAGCACAAATGACACTCGAGGTGAGACAGAGGAAGAGTCTATGTCACCATGAGGATAAGGCATTATACATTTTGACAAATGTGTAATATGTATCTATCATTATAGAATCATATAGAATGGTCTCACTGCCCTAAAAATCCTCTATGTTCCTCTTATTCGTTCCTTCCTCTCGCCTAACCTCTGGCAACTACTGAGGCTTTTTACTGTCTCCATGGTTTTGCCTTTTCCAGAATGTCATATAGTTGGAATCATACTTTTCAGATTGGCTTTTTTTTTTTTAACTTACTTATATGCATTTAAGGTTCCTCCATGTCTTTTCGTGGCTTGATAGTTCATTTCTTTTTAGCACTGAATAATACTCTATTGTCTGGATGTACCAGTTTATTCATTCACCCACTGAAGGACATCTTGGTTGCTTCGAAGTTTTGACAATTATGAATCAAACTGCTATAAATATTTGTGTGTAGGTTTTTGTGTAGACATTTTCAACTCATTTAGGTAAATATAATACCAAGGAGCACAGTTGCTAGATGGTACGGTAAGGGAATGTTTAGTTTTGTAAGAAACTGCCAAACTGTCTTGTGAAGTGGCTGCACCATTTTGCATTCCCAACAGCAATGAATGAGAGCTATTGTTGCTCCACATCTTCTCCAGCTTTTGGTGCTGTCATCGGTTTGGATTTTGGCCCTTCTGATAGGTATGTAGTGGTATCTCATTGTTTATATTATTATTTTTTAAAACATTTACTATATCCATCAGATACCCTACTCATCCCCAAATTAGCAAAAGGGAACATATTTTTTGTTTCACAATAGTACAGCTGAAAATAGTTTCTTTTTTTGTTGCCCAGGCTGGAGTACAGTGGTGTGATCTCGGCTCACTGCAACCTCTGCCTCCTGGGTTCAAGCGATTCTCCTGCTTCAGCCTCCTGAGTAGCTGGGATTACAGGCACCTGCCACCACGCCTGGCTAATTTTTTTTGTATTTTCAGTAGAGATGGGGTTTCACTATGCTGACCAGGCTGGTCTCGATCTCCTGACCTCAGGTGATCCGTCCGCCTCAGCCTCCAAAGTCCTGGGACTACAGGTGTGAGCCACTGCGCCCCGCCTGAAAATAGTTTCTTGAAGGATTTATATATATTGCAAAATGGCTTTAGTTCACCTCAACCTAAATATTATTCCTTCAGAAAAACCTTCCAGTGATTTCCTCTCCCCCAGTGTAAATAACTTTCCTCATTATAATTTCATATACCACATATCAGAATTTATATCTATGTACTATATGTGTGTGATTATTTCACTAATTTCTGTATCTCCCATCATTTGGGGCTCCATGAAAATAGGGATTATGTCAGTTTTGTTTACTACTGGGTTCTCAGTGCTTTATACAGTTATGTGCACTTAGTACACATTTGTTAAATGAGTAAATGAACTGGTCTGTATCCAAAGGATCTGATTAAATGCCTAAAACATAGGAAAGGTTCAACAAATACTGTGGAATTTAAATTGAATTAAATTAAAATTTGATTAACTGGGCGTGGTGGCCTGTAATCCCAGCTACTAGGGAGGCTGAGGCAGGAGAATTGCTTGAACCTGGGAGGCAGAGGTTGCAGTGAGCCACAATGGTGCCACTGCACTCCAGCCTGGACGACAGAGCAAAACCCCGTCTCAAAAATAAAATAAAATAAATTTTGAATTATTAGGAAAATGGCTGTAAGCTAAGGATTACTAAAGGTATGACCAAGTAGCAGGGCAGTGTTTTCCATGGTTTTAGTACCATATATCTGCTGGTGACTTCCAAATATACATCCTCAGCCCATACTTCTCCCCTGAACTCCATATTTCTATGTCCCACTGCTTATTCTACATCACTCTTAAAGTCTAATAGGCACAAGTTGGGCTCAGTGGCAGACATCTGTAGCCCCAGCTACTCAGGAGGCAGAGGCAGGAGGATCACTTGAGCCCAGGAGCTTAAGGCCAGCCTGGACAACATAACAAGACCCTGTCTCTAAGAAATAAAGTCTGAAAGACACTTCACAAAACAAAATTCTGGATTTGCCCCTAAAAACCCTTTTAGTGGCTCAGGCCTTGAAGTAATCCTTAACTCTGCTTACTCTCTTCCACAACCCACATCCTTTCCCCTAGGAAGTCATATTTGAAGGGATAAAATGATAACCAAAATCTGTAGGTTGTAAGATGCAAAAACTTTCCACTTTTTTCCCCTTTTTTTTGAGAGGCTGGAGAATGAAACAACCCAGATAATAGCTAATTAATAATTAGCTTAATAATTATTAGCTATTAATAATAGGTAATACAGAGTATGGGTTTTATTATGTACCAGGTACTGTTTAAGTATTTTGTGTTTATACTCTGTCTACATCCTTACAACCAGCCCTATGAGAGTAGGTACAATTCTCCTTTTTCAGATGAGAAACTGAGGCACAGAAAGGTGAAATACTTCTGCCTCTTAAACATGGCAGAGTCAGGATTCTAGCCCAGGCAGTCTGGCTCACAATCCCGTAATTACAATCACTATGCTTGAGGTATACTGACTTAACCTTGTCCAGAGTCACTTAAAGTTTATGGCAGGTGAGCAGTAAAGAATATTGATTTCATTAATTCCCCTATCTTTATAGCGCCGTGGGAGAAAGAAGGTCAATAGTTTTTGTGGTTGGTCACTCTTTATCACTTAACAGTAACACTGGATTAAGATTATTTTCCTGGAGACCTGTGACTGCAAATACATCATTTCCCCTTTCTCCACTTTCTCCCGCTTCTCCCTCTTCCGTTTGTTGGCCTTTCTTCTCTGTGACCTCCTTCATCACTGCTCCACCCCCTTCTTCCTCCAGTCTGAGGACAGTTCACTAGGGGTAGCACAACAGTGTTCAAAAAGAGGGTCTTGCAGTCAGAGATGGCACACCAGAACAACATGAACTTGTTCCTGTTGTATGTAAGACCATTTGTTGAAGAATGTGGAATTATTGATACAGATGCCACTAGTTTGAAATTTAGTAATTTGGACATGGGGCTAGGCTTTCCACCCTTTCTCCTCCAATGGAAAGAAGAACTTTGTTACACTTATAAACAAATTTATAGGAGGAAGGATTACTATGAACCTGATTATAAATTAAATCTCTATTCACCAAAGCATGTCACTTAAGGGGTAATATTTTTATTAGCCTAATCTAGTCAGGATATTGCATGTAGGTTAATAAAATTGCTGGGTATTAAAAAATAAATATCTTCATGTCTTCTCAAAATGGCCATTTCTCTCTCTCTCTTTCTCTCTCTCTCTCTCTCTATATATATATATGTATATATATATATACATATATATATACATATATATATATATATATATATTTTTTTTTTTTTTTTTTGAGATGGAGTCTCCTTCTGTCGCCCAGGCTGGAGTGCAGTGGTGCAATCTTGGCTCACTGCACCCTCCGCCTCCCGGGTTCAAGTGATTCTCCTGTCTCACTCAGCCTCTCAAGTAGCTGGGATTACAGGCATGTGCCACCACACTTGGCTAATTTTTGTATTTTTAGTAGAGACGGGGTTTCACTATGTTGGCCAGGCTGGTCTCAAACTCCTGACCTCAGGTGATCCACCCACCTCACCCTCCAAAAGTGCTGGGATTACAGGCGTGAGCCACCACACCCGGCCAATAATTTTTATTTCTGAGGTTTCACTATTAAAGGATATTTCTTCTCTCCATTCAGTGTCTCAGCATCAGAATTCAGTTGTATTTTGGGCTGTGCTTTACTTACCATAAACACTTCATGCATCCTTGTCTCTTCCATTTATTTTGTAAATAAGAAAAACCATTTAACACTTTCATTGTATAAGATTACTAAGGGACCTAGCAATATTAAAGTGGTGGTTGGAATTTTGAATAAGAAATGTTTGGATTATGAGTCTGTTTTTCACATTTGAAATAATCTCAGAGCCATTCAGCTACAATTTCTTAGTTTAGTTTTCTCACCTTTTTTTTTTAACTACTTCTGAGATGATATGATACCCATTTGCTTTTCTATAGGAAATGCTTTCATATTTGTTGAATGGCTCAATGGACACATCTGCAAAAATACTAAGGAGGGGTTGGTGGGTAAAAGCACATTGAACAGTTTTGTTATACAGCATGGCATTTTACTGGGCCTGTGAGTGTGTTATCTCAGCAAGCTTATCAGCTTTTTAGTGCCTTAATGTCAACACAATTGAGACAGAACTGGAACTGATATGGATGTATCATGGTAAATGGGAACTGTGATTCAATCGTGGGATTGTTGGGCAACATACACCAAATAAAAACAAACCTAAGCAGATGAAGAGAGCCCCTCAGGCTCTTGGCCCTACGGAGTTTTAGTTTCCCCAGTGCTTGGTAGCAACTGAATCCCGTCTGCCCCATTGTGTACAAGGCGTTTTGAAAGAAACAGGAACTGCTTTGTGCATTAAAACAGACTCATAGGCTCTTAGCAGCTGCATCAGTCGTTTCTAGGACTCCTCATGAGAGGGCTCTTTGAGCCCAGTGGCTGATTATGGTCCCAACAGCTTGTAAATGCAGGGAACATATGGCTGAGTAGTAGCATGTTAAGCTCTCATGCACTTTACCCTGCCATGGTTGATCCATTAGGTGAAGCATATCTTGCCCTTTCAGCAAACTGCAAGACTATGGCTTCAAGGCTTCATTCAGCAGATTCAAGAACGGTTTCCTAGCTCTGCGTGAAGATGTTTTCTTATTCTCATGTCTACTCAGCATTTTATGGAGCAACTATGTCCGAAAATTTTAAGAGCCAAAACACTGAAATTGATATCTGGATATCACACTGCACTGTATTGATGGAGTTGTACTCTGTGAGAGGCATTCTTAAACTACTATGTTCTGTTAGTTCAGATTTCTGAATTTGCAGAAGGCAGATGAACCCTGGCAGTAGGCCATATCAAAAAGTTTCCTTTTGCAAAAAAAAAAAAAAAAAAAAAAAAAAAAAAGCAACTGGTTAACTTCCTCAGTATGATTTATTCTTTCAGGAAGCTGTGTGCTTTTATCTCTTTGGGATGTTCCTATCAGTGTGGTCTGTTCATTTATGGCTCACTTATGACTTCTCTTAGCAGGTGTCTCAGGGAAATATTACACTTCAAGAAATGCTAGCACAAATGTGAATCAAAATTCTTGGCCCGGTGCAGTGGCTCATGCCTGTAATCCCAGCACTTTGGAAGGCCGAGGTGGGCGGATCACGAGGTCAGGAGTTCAAGACCGTCTGGCCAATATGGTGAAACACCATCTCTACTAAAAAATACAAAAAATTAGCTGGGTGTGGTGGTGTGCGCCTGTAGTCACAGCTACACAGGAGGCTGAGGCAGGAGAATCGCTTGAACCCGAGAGGCGGAGGTTGCAGTGAGCCGAGATCGTGCCACTGCACTGCAGCCTGGGCAACAAAGTGAGACTCCATCTAAAAACAAATACTTATAAATATTTAATGCTCCTTGATCTAGTAATACTGCTTGGTGAATTTATCCTAAGGAATGGGACAGAGACATGCCAATGATTTATACACAGGGATATTTATCATGCTATTATAACAGAAATTAGAAATAACCTAAGTTTTAGCACAGCTATAGGGAAATAGTTAAAGTATTATACCATTTGTTGAAAAAGCATGCAACCATTACAAGTTGTGTTTTTGAAAAAGACGACATAGGAAAATATACACAATATAATGTTAAGTGAAAAAAACAGATGAAGGAGAATAACAGTGGTCATCTCTGGATAGTATAATTATGGGTACTTTGTGATTTCCTATGTTTGCAAAATTTTTTTAATGAACAAAAGTTGTTTTTATAATCGTAAAAGAAATAGTAAACATCATTTATATATCAATCTATACCCCTAGAAGATATCCCAGCAAAGCTGGGGCAATTTTAGCACATAGCTCTCAATGTTTGTGAGATAGGTAAGTGGACAGACGGATGAATGAATGACGATTGGCATTTGTAGGCACCATCATTGAATTTATAAGATTGCAGAAATAACAAGTGAAGATTTTTTAATTAAAAGGAGAAAATTCCAGACCTGTCAGCAGTTTGAAGGATGACGTGGAAAATACTGAAGGAGCCACAGAATTGAGTGGCTGACAGTAGCTGAGGAGTTGTGGTCTGTCATTGGGTCCATTGCTATTCTTGTTTTTGCTGATTCTATGTGTGTCCTTAAGTATCTTGTGCCTGCTGTTTTCACTGGTCTCTATTCAGTTTGGCCAGTGACTGAGCATGGTGGGAATGAAATCAAGGTCATGAGTTCAATTCCCATTTGAACCAGTTAACACTTCTCCTTCTAGGGAGAAGATATCCCAAGGCTATCTCTGGCTGACACTGGACATATGGACAAGCAGGAGTGTGTTGGTCAGGGTAACCTGCCTCTAACACTTGTGAAACCACTTAAAACACCTCTGTACAGAGGCCTACAGTGTCCTTATGTTCTTTGAGAATAGTCCTCTGAAATTGAGGTGTTGATATGTATAACCTTTCCTACCTAAGGAATTAATATAAAACTTAGTCATGTTACAATTTTAATTACAAATTCAGCCTGGTGCAGTGGCTTCCTCCTGTAATCACAGCACATTGAAAGGCTGAGGTGGGAGCATCACTCAAGACTATCATGAACAACATAGGGAGACCCTGTCTCTACAAAATATAAATAAATTAGCTGGGCATGGTGGCATGTGCCTGTGGTCCCAGTTACTCAGGAAGCTGAGGTGGGAAGATTGCTTGAGTCTGGGAAGTTGAAGCTACAGTGAGCTATGATCGCACCACTGCACTCCAGCCTGGGTGATGAGCGAGACCCTGTCTCTTAAAACAAAAACACCACAAATTCACAGTAAGCTGTTCATGGAAATAATAAATGGGACTGATTGGCCTACATTGCATCCTACAAGGTATTAATATCTGGGATGTTTTGATCACCTTGCTGAACTGAATCTGGTTTCTTGGTAAGCCTATCAGGAAACAACATCAGATGTATGAATGAAATCTAAACGTTTCCGGTACATTCCCTTATCTGTGAAGGAGCTTGCATCAAAGAAAGCCATTAGACTTTTGTGTAGCATCCTGTAGCTCTGCTCTTGGTGGCTTATTAAACACAGTGTTGTTGCTGTTTTTTTTTTTGTTTGTTTGTTTGTTTTTTTGAGACGGAGTCTCACTCTGTTGCCCAGGCTGGAGTGCAGTGGCGCGACCTTGGCTCACTGCAACCTCTGCCGCCCAGGTTCAAGCGATTTTCCTGCCTTAGCCTCTTGAGTAGCTGGGATTACAGG
Organism: Homo sapiens; assembly: GCF_000001405.40. Lineage (NCBI taxonomy): Eukaryota > Metazoa > Chordata > Mammalia > Primates > Hominidae > Homo > Homo sapiens. Next base: position 130,381,295 of record NC_000023.11, read on the forward strand.
CGCCTGCCATCGTGCCCAGCTAATTTTTGTATTTTTAGTAGAGACAGCTTTTCACCATATTGGTCAGGCTGGTCTTGAACCCCTGACCTCGTGATCCACCTGCCTCAGCCTCCCAACATGCTGGGATTACAGGCGTGAGCCACCATGCCTGGCCAAACACAGTGTTTTTAATTGTGATTACTCTTAAATCCAATTACCATACTAGTGCCAGTGCCTTGTTTGTATCCGCTCTGTCTTGATACTGCTAAGGTATTAGATTTATTGTTTGTCTTTTTCAACCTGAATCACCTCTCATCACTCATTTTTAAAAATCTTATTCAGAGGTTGAGGAATTTACAGTTCTGAGTCCAATTGTCCTTGTCCTATATGTCATAATATCTGAATATGAGGGACTCCCTTAAATGGGTCAACTGACTGTTTAGTCCAGGGTGTTTAAAGAAGAGGAAGAGAACTGACATTTTTGAGCACTAACAATGTGCTGTAGTTTACTAGATATTTACATATACATTATCTGAGTTAATCTTCAATATAACCATGTAAAGTAGGCATTATTACCCCGGTTTGATGAATGCGAGATCTAGTTTGAGAATTTAAATGACTGAATTATCATTTGAACACTGGTCTGTTGGATTTCAAGACCTGTGATTTTTCCATTGCACATACTGACTCCCAGGGGTAGCAGAGTTTCTTAGATTGAACCTAATAACACACTGATCACCTGGCCTCTCCTCCCCTCCTGCTTTTCTGTACTTAAAAATATATATATTTTTTATTTTTAATTGACAAATAATTGTATATATTACGTGGGGTACAATGTGATGTTGATATATGTTTAAAATGTGGAATGATTAAATCAGGCTAATTTACTTTTTTTTTTCTAAAAGGACCTTGGCTTCAGAATTAACTTTAATTTTCATTCCACTTTGCTTATATTATCTTGGCAAGATCAGTCCTTTGTAGCAAGGCCAGGATTTAAGCTTTGAACCACCAGTAAGGAGGGCATTGGTTTGAGCCTGCTTTCAATTTTGTCCAAAATCCAGTTATTCGTATTTTACCTAGTTCCCAGTAACTCACAATACAATCCAAGAATGTGCCTTATTGCTGGCCTGGTACTTGCTGGATGCTCAGCATTTCAAGGCATATTGGGTTCCATCGTCCACTTGAGAGTCAAAAAGTTCTTCAGTTGTAGGAACACGATGCTTGCTATGGTGAAAGCAAGCATGTTTCTCCTCTGGGCCAGACTGGTAAGCAAAGCGACTGCAAAAAATTTACCAAAAGTGGGTTGATGTGTATGTAGTAGAATAGATCAATGAGAAACAGCCATTTGGGCTGAAGAAGATATAGGGTGAAGGTAGGGAGAAGGAAATTTTCTCAAGAGTAGGGAAACTGAAAAGGATGATCATTATCCTCTGAATGACTGAGGAAAGTAAGCTGGGAGTTAATCTAAGACTAAGGGGAATTAAGAAAATCCGAGTGCAAAGCATAGTGGTGTGGTGACATCCTTTGAAAGGAGGGTGGCTGGATTCCATCCAGGTCTAAACATTATAATTTGTGATTAGAATGAAAAATTTCAAGGGCCTCTTGGAATTAGCCATTACACGTTGGATTCAAATGCATCCTCAGGTCATTAATTTAGGGATATTGAGGGATTAACCAACCTAAGGTTGGTACCTAATTTGGTACCTAATTCAGTACCAAATCCTAGGCAAGTTAATCCATACTGTTTTGGTTTCTTCTTGCCCTCTTTTGTTGTCAACTTGGCAGCTTTCTGGGGCAATATTACAGTTTAAGGTCTTGAGAGCCAAACTCTCTAGCAATCCACTGTGGAGACCAGGAGGTTTTGGAGAGGGTTACAGGGAAACTCAGAAAGGCAGAGAGTGGTTCCTGAGTGTCTTCGCTATTCTGTTCTTGGTTTTTTGCTGCCAGGTTGCCCAGAGGGAAACTGAGCATAGTTCCCATCTGCCAACCTTGTCATTTTCTGTACCCCACGGAAAGGAGGATGAGGCACCTGCTCCTCAGCTGGTCTCCTGTGCAACAGTTTCTTAGGAAAATGCAAAATTGGGAGTAAGTGGAAGGAGCCCTGAGGAGCAAAGTGGCTCCAGTCTGGAGAGCTTGGCTGTGCCTGCCTTGGTACCCACATGTTTTCTCTCTCTTCCCTCCCAGTGCCTCAGAATTTGTGATCCAGCATTGTCATCAGCAAGTAGCCACAAGTGACATATGAGGCCATCTTAAGGGAAGGGGCAGCAGAGAGTTAAAAGGTGGTGGATTGGGACCGGTAACAGCAGAAATAATCACAAGATAGTGTTTCTTTGGGAAATAACCTATTTTAAACATCATGAGGTGTGCGAAAAGACAAGCTTTAGAGGAATTGAGGTTTCTACCTTTTAGGCACATTCACCATATAAGATCTCTGATTAATATCAGTAAGGGCAGGAGGAGGAGGGACTCCTCACCTTGCCAAAGCAATTACTGTAGTAAGTCACTATAGTAAACACTTAAAAATAACAGAACCTCATTTCTCTAGTGTTGTTCAGTATGGGAGCCACTAGCCACATGTGGCTACTGAGCATTTGAAATATGGCTAGTTTAAATTGAGATGTTTTGTAAGGGCAAAATACACACCAGATCTCAAGGACTTAGTATGAAAAAAAAACCAGTATAATTTTTATATTGATGACATGTTGAAAACAATATATTGGTTACGTTGGGATAAATAAAATATTAGTTTTGCCTGTTTCTTTTTACCTTTATAAAACGGTTACTGGAACATGTAAAATTATGCGTGTGGCTCACATTATATTTCTGTTGGACAGTGCTGCTCTGGTATACTCAAAAATAGAATTTGATCTATAAGCATCTTTTTAGCAGTACATTTCTTGCTTTAAGTAAGTGTACCTGTACACCAGAGACAGGCTCATTTCAAAAGAAGGACAGGGAGGAGTGGCGATTTGAAAATGGGGAAACTGATTATAGAAGAAAGTCAGGACTCTGCCTCAGTTACCTGTCAGTCTGGGGGTGGGGGATGCTGGGACAGGGGTCAATTGCCTGAAGCAAGTGCTCTCATCCCCCTAGCTCCTGCTGATCTAGTTGGGGCTCCAGAGTGGGGAGGAGAAAGGCACTTTGAAACTTCTCTGCCCTTACCGTCTTAGCCATCAAACTCTGAGCTGGAGATAGTGACGATGTGACAGGAACTTTCCCTGGGCCTCTCTGGGCCACAATTCCTGGCCGAGAGAAAGAGGAGGAATGAGGTGAGCACCTTCTTCACTCCTAGGGCCATGTGGTAGAGCTGCAGTCGCACCTCCTTCTGCCAATAGGCATAGATGAGTGGGTTGAGCAGGGAGTTGCCCACGCCGAGCAGCCACAGGTACCGTTCCAGCACTAGGTAGAGGTGACACTCCTGGCAGGCCACCTGCACAATGCCAGTGATAAGGAAGGGGGTCCAGGATAGAGCAAAGCTCCCAATGAGAACAGACACAGTACGGAGAGCTTTGAAGTCGCTGGGAGTCCGTGGGGATCGATAACCTCCAGCCATGGCTCCTGCATGTTCCATCTTTCGAATCTGCTGGCTGTGCATGGAGGCAATCTTGAGCATGTCGCAGTAGAAGAAGACAAAGAGGAGCATGGCTGGGAAGAAGCCAACGCAGGAGAGGGTCAGCACGAAGTGAGGGTGAAATACAGCAAAGAAGCTGCACTGCCCTTTGTAGGCAGTCTGCTGGAACATGGGGATTCCGAGTGGGAGGAAGCCAATGAGGTAAGACACTAACCACAGCCCGGCAATGCAGGCCCCGGCCACGAACCCACTCATGATCTTCAAGTAGCGGAAGGGCTGCTTGATGGCAAGGTACCTGTCAAAGGTGATCAGCATGACCGTGAGGACAGAGGCAGCTGCGGAGGAAGTGACAAATGCCATCCGCAGGCTGCACAGGGTCTTCTGTGTGGGCCGAGAAGGGCTGGAGAGCTGGTCTGTGAGTAGGCCAGAGATGGCCACACCAATCAAGGTGTCAGCCACAGCCAGATTCAAGGTGAAGCAGAGACTGACACCATCATTCTTGTGGATCAACAGCAGCACAGCCACAGCCACTAGTGTGTTAGTAGCAATGATGAGGGAGGCCAGGACAGCAAGGATCACTCCAAATGAGAAAGATGATTCCATGTCTCGAAGTGGCAGGACTTCACTTACCAGGGCATGCTATCTCTCCAGCTGAAATTCTCATGGGCCAGGGGCAGAGGAGCTGTGGGTTCAGAGCTACAGCACGATTCTGGCCTTCGCTGGCAGTCCAGGCTGGCAGGTCGCCATCTTTGGGATCCTACAGGTCATGAAGAATTACTCACCCTCTCTTTTCAGTCCTCAGCCTCCTGCCTCTCCAGCTCTCTAAAGGCAGCAACTTCAGTATAGACCTCCCCCTGGGCCCTGAGCTAGTCCCTCCCCCTCCAACCAGCAAGTTACTAGACAACTCCCAAGTACCTGTACATGCTGTCTCGCCAGGCCCTCTCCCTTCACTGGTGCTTCAGGGACTCTGGAGGGACAGGGACATTCATCAGGTCTCCTGTCTGTCAAAAGATATAATTGACTCCAATCATACTTTTTTCTTCCTCCATACCTTGACATTAAATTTCTACTTTTCTTCCAAAACCTCGAGTACCAGCTTAAATAATTAATCTCAGCTTAATTAAGCTTTTTCTTACTAATTCTCAATTACTATTATGAATTGCTTTTAATCAAGCAAGATGCTCATAATCAGTTGAAGTGGGAAGTGAGGGAAGGTGAGCTTTTTGAGGGGCCCCAGCATATTTTCAGGAGTGCTACCACACATTTAAGCTGTTTCTTACCTTTTGCTTCCTAGCGCCTCAAATTCTAATTCTCTCAAGTAGGGCGTGCTGTTCCCCCGTTTCTCATCCCTAGGATCTCAGTTGAGGATTCAGGACAGGAAAAACAGGGCCAAAAACTGTTAACAGCTGTCATTCAGTTTAGAACCCATTCTCCACCTCACGCTGCTGTCTCTCAAGTATACTAATTGATAATTATTTCTGCAGCATGTTGGGCCAGGTCTGGTCAGTGAGTAGTGGCTGCTGGGCTTGCCTTTCTTAATCCTATAGACCTGAGGTATCTCTGCGGGAGGAGAAGAGGAGATGAGCTGCATTCTGGGAAGTGTCTGCTTGATGTTTGGCTATGGAATTTTCCATTTTCCAGGAATAGGAACGTGGGGGCGGTTGAGGGGGGGAGGTTAGACCAAAGGGCAACTGTGTTGCTGAAGCAGGTGAGATGCACTCTGGAGGGGCAGCTGCATAAGTCACTCCTGTTTTAGGATGTGTATCCATTTGCTTGGGTACATTAGAACTACCCTTTCGCCTGCCACTCTCATCTTGGATACCAAGAAGAGAGGGGTGGGGAGAAGAGTGGTTAGAAGCTTATTTACTCAGTTCAGGTGAGAGCACAAATGGGAAAGGTTAGTGTTTGAAGTGAGGGAATAGAGAGCAAGGTGCAGAGTTGGACGCAAATATATTCCAGGATGTTTTGACAGTCTGAGAGGGCCTTTGGCAGATGTCTCTCCTAAAAAAGGATCAGAAAGACTGTGTTGTGGGGATTCAGTATTCTAGTTGCCATCCTGAAAACAGTTCTTATTCTTTGGTATGTCCATTAGGAGATTGATTCCAGTTGCTTAGAACCTAGCCTAATTTTATACCTGGACCTAAGGTGTGCTTGGGTTTCCCCAGCTCTTGACTCCACGGAGTCAAGTTAGCCCTTTTCAAACCCATGTTCAAACTTGAGAGTGTATCAGAATCACCTGGAGGGTGTCTTAAAACCCAGGTTCTTGGGTCCTACTCCCAGAGTTTCAGGTCATTGGTGAGTCTGAGAATCTGCATTTCTTTCTTTCTTTTCTTTTTTATTTTTATTTTTATTTTTTTTTTTTTTTGAGAAGGAGTTTCGCTCTTGTCGCCCAGGCTGGAGTGCAATGGTGTGATCTCAGCTCACTGCAACCTCCACCTCCCAGGTTCAAGCAATTCTCCTGCCTCAGCCTCCTGAGTAGCTGGGATTACAGGTGTGCAGCCACCACGCCCAGCTAATTTTGTATTTTTAGTAGGGACGGAGTTTCACCGTGTTGGCCAAGCCGGTCTCGAACTCCTGGCCTCAGGTGACCCACCTGTCTGGGCCTCCCAAAGTGTTGGGATTACAGGCGTGAGCCACCGTGCCTGGCCAGAATCTGCATTTCGAACAAGTTCCCAGATACTGCTGTTACTTGCTCAGGGACCACACTTTGAGAAGCACTGCTCTAGTGCAATGGTTCTTACCCTTAGCAGTGCATTGGAATCACCTGGTGATTCCAAAAAATACTGCTGTTTGGGCCACACACCAAGAGATTCTAACATAATTATTCTGGGTGGTAACTGTGCAATGGGAGTTTTAAAAGTTCCTTGGGTGATTCTAATATTCAGCCAGGGTTGAGAACCACTGTCCTTGGTTTCCTCATGTGTAACATGGGGACAGTCATAGTTATATCACAAGGTTGTGAGGATGATAAAACGAGGTATGATATGGGCAAAGACTTCATGATTAAAACACCAAAAGCAATGGCAACAAAAGCCAAAATTGACAAATGGGATCTAATTAAAGCGCTTCTGCACAGTAAAAGAAACTATCATCAGAGTGAACAGGCAACCTACAAAATGGGAGAAAATTATTACAATCTATTCATCTGACAAAGGGCTAATATCCAGAATCTACAAGGAACTTCAACAAATTTACAAGAAAAAAACAACCCCATCAAAAAGTGGGTGAAGGACATGAACAGACACTTCTCAAAAGAAGACATTTATGCAGCCAACAAACATATGAAAAAATGCTCATCATCACTGGTCATTAGAGAAATGCAAATCAAAACCACAATGAGATACCATCTCATGCCAGTTAGAATGGCAATCATTAAAAAGTCAGGAAACAACAGATGCTGGAGAGGATGTGGAGAAATAGGAATGCTTTTACACTGTTGGTGGGAGTGTAAATTAATTCTGCCATTGTGGAAGACAGTGTGGTGATTCCTCAAGGATCTAGAACCAGAAATACCATTTGAGCCAGCAATCCCATTACTGGGTATATACCCAAGGGATTATAAATCATTCTACTATAAAAACACATGCACACATATGTTTATTGCAGCACTATTCACAATAGCAAAGACTTGGAACCAACCCAAATGCCCATCAATGATAGACTGGATAAAGAAAATGTGGCACATATACATCATGGAATACTATGCAGCCATAAAAAAGAATGAGTTCATGCCCTTTGCAGGGACTTGGATGAAGTTGGAAACTATCATTCTCAGCAAACTAACATAGGAACAGAAAACCAAACACCACATGTTCTCACTCATAAGTGGGAGCTGAAAAATGATAAGAACATATGGGCACAGGGAGGGGAACATCACACACCAGGGGCCTGTTGGGCGGGTGGGGGGCAAGGGAAGGGATAGCATTAGGAGAAATGCCTAATGTAGATGACAGATTGATGGGTGCAGCAAATCACCATGGCACATGTATACCTATGTAACAAACGTGCACGTTCTGCACATGTATTCCAGAACTTAAAGTATAATAAAAATAAATAAAAATAAATTTTTAAAAATGAGGTATGATAGTTATGAAAAGGCTTCATAAAGTGTAAAATGTTACATGGGTATCCAGTGTCTTCTAGTCTCTGCTAATCAAATTAACACACTGTTAATCAAAGTGTGTATCAGAAGCATTGTTATGACCTGAGAGCTTGTTAGAAATGCAGAAGCTCGGCCAGGCACACTGGCTTACGCCTGTAATCCCAGCACTTTGGGAGGCTGAGGCGGGCAGATCACTTGAGGTCAGGAGTTCAAGACCAGCCTGGCCAACATGGCGAAACCCAGTCTCTACTAAAAATATGAAAATGAGCTGGGCGTGGTGATGGGTGTCTGTAATCCCAGCTACTCGGGAGGCTGACGCAGGAGAATTGCTTGAACCTGGGAGGTGGAGGTTGCGGTGAGCCAAGATTGCGCCACTGCACTCCAGCCTGGGTGATAGAGTGATACTATGTCTCAAAAAAAAAAAAAAAAAAAAGAAAGAAAGAAAGAAGAAATGCAGAATCTCAGGCCTTACTCAAGACCTAGTGATGCAGTCTGCAGTTTAACAAGATCTCCAGGTGATCTGCATGCACATTTATCTTTGCCTCTCTCCTACTCTCAGGTGTCTAGCTGTATTAGTTTTCTTTTGCTGCTGTAATGAACTACCACAAACTGACTTAACACGAATGTAGTATCTTACAATTATCAAGGTCAGAAGTCCAAAGTGGGTCTTACAGGGCTGAAGTCAAGGTGTTAGCTGAGCTGTGTTCCTTCGGGAGGCTCTAGGGAAGAGTCCATTTCCTCAACTTTTTCAGCTCTCAGAGGCTGCTTGCACTCCTAGGCTCCTGGACACATCACTCCATGGTCACGTCTTCTTCTCTGACCTTCCTGTTTCCCTTTTTTTTTTTTTGGGACAAAGTCTCACTCTGTCGCCCAGACTGGAGTGCAGTGGCGCCATCTTGGCTCATCACAACCTCCGCCTCCCGGGTTCAAGCGATTCTCCTGCCTCAGCCTCCTGAGTAGCTGGGATTAGAGGCATGTGCCACCACGCCCAGCTAATTTTTTTGTATTTTTAGTAGAGACGGGGTTTCACCATGTTGGTCAGGCTGGTCTCGAACTCCTGACCTCGTGATCCGCCCGCCGTGGCCTCCCAAAGCGCTGGGATTACAGACATGAGCCACCACACCCGGCCCCCTGTTTCCCTTTTTAAAGGACCCTTGTGATGACATTGGGTCCACCTGGACAATCCAGGATAACTCCTCCATTTCAGGATCCTTAACTTAATCACATCTGCAAGTATCTTTTGCCATGTGAAGTCACATATTCACAGGTTCCTAAGATTAAGACACGAACATCTGTGTTGAGGGACATTTTTCTACCTACCACGCTGGTATTCTCTGCTGCATGGATCTCTTCCCCCCCAAACCCCCCTTCAACAGTCTGCCATTGGAACCAGGCTACTGGGAGAGGAACTCTAGGAAGGTAGCCAGGATAAGCCAGGCCTAATTTCTCATGGTGCCTCGATCAGCCATGTGCCTGTGATGATTTAGCTGCATCTTGCCTAAGGACAAAGGTGTAGCGACATTTAATAAATACCTCTTCCTGAATGACTAGACTGGTACATATATTACTATAAAATATTATGCAGCAGTGTGAAAAGAATGATATAGGTTTATATGTACTGATATAAAGAGACTTCCAAGATATGTTGTTGATTGACAAATCAGAAACCAGTTTCTAGAGTCTTGGCTCACTTATGAAAAAAACCCCTGAACCCAAATATATGTGGATGTAAATGCACAGAATGCATAGAAAAGAGACTATTAACAAAGAGTGAATAACTTTGAGGAGGGAATGGGACTGGTGGGGGCTGAAGAGTCACGATTTGCTTTGAATACTTTTTACTTGTCATATATATATATAATATATAATATTTTATTATTATTATTATTATTTTGAGACAGGGTCTCATTCTGTCGCCCAGACTGCAGTGCAGTGGCACGATCTTGGCTCACTGCAACCTCCGCCTCCCGGGTTCAAGAGATTTTCCTGCCTCAGCCTCCTGAGTAGCTGGGATTACAGGCACCTGCCACCACGCCCAGCTAATTTTTCTATTTTTAGTAGAGACGGGGTTTCACCATGTTGGCCAGGCTGGTCTCAAATTCCTGACCTCAGATGATCCGCCTGCCTTGGCCTCCCAAAGTGCTGGGATTACAGGCGTAAGCCACCGCGCCGGATAACTTGTCATATATTTTCACAGCGAGAATGTATCTATGTAATTTCAAAAGAAACAAACATGCCCCTTAACTACCTCTCCCTGTTCCAACCCAGGCACCATTTTGCAAAGGGATTTTCCAAACAACACAAAAGTGCATGTGTGTGTGAGTGCACACCCATGCAAATATATATAGTCACATATCTCTTAATGATAGAGATACGTTCTAAGAAATGCATCATTAGGCAATTTCGTCATTGTGTGAACATCACAGTGTACTTACACAAACCTAGATGGTATAGCCTACTGTACATCTGGGGTATATGGTATGGCCTATTGCTCCTAGGCTACAAACCTATAGCTTGTTACTGTACTGGATACTGTAATTATTACACAATGGTAACAATTGTGTATCTAAATATTTGTGTATCTAAATATATCTAAACACAGAAAGTATTTGTGTATCTAAATATATCTAAACACAGAAAAGGTACAGTAAGAATACAGTATTATAATCTTATGGGACCACCATCATATACGTGGTCCATTGTTGACTGAAACATCATTATGTGCCACAGAACTGTATATATTTATATATACACATACATATATACACTATTTTATGTATGTAATATATGTTATATACAAAATACACAGATACATATGTACACTATATAGTATACACATTATATATATTAAAATAACACATACATACATACATGAAAGAGAAAGAGAGAGAGAGAGAGAGACAGAGACAGAGACAGAGAGGATGTGTGTTTCCTTTTATTTATATTGCTGTTACTAGCCTGAGCTACAACTGTAAAGAGAGGGGTATATGTGGATTGAAAGAAATGTAGGACATGACAGGGTGGGAGAATCAGTATTTGAGGCTCTTCTTGGAGTGGGAGGCGCTTTGAGGAAATAGCCCTATCCTTCTGGGGCATCTGAGTCTTCTTGCAGCAATGGATGACACCAGCTAACATTTATGGGGCCTTTAAGTGCCAGGTACTGTGCTAAATATACAACATGGAGTTTCATTTAACCTTCACGACAATTCTGTAAGGTAGGTACTATTCATGCCTTGATTTTACAGGTTAGGAAATCAAGGCACACAGAGAGGGTGACTTATTTCCAAAGGGCTACACCACTTATAAGTGGAAGATGTTGGAAATCGACATACAGGCCAGCAGCTTGTGTGAGACCTGTGGACAGCCACCAAGAGTTCATCCCATCTCATGTCAACCACAGAGATTACATCTTGTCCCCTTTTGTTACCAGTTTGTGTCTCTGTGCCTTTGCACATCCTATCACACTGGCCTTCAAGCTGACACTTTTATACTCTGGGTTTTTTTAAGGTCGTTAGGCTGAGAAGTAGTAGAAGCCTTTCTTTTTAAATAAAGTCCAATGATCATGGAAAATGAGGCTCATTTTACCCTGAGCCCAAGGAAATGTATAAATCTGGACTCATGTGTACCTCTCCATTTATCTTATCACTCCTGCTTTCCATTCCTGCTATTGCCTCTTTCATTCAGTACTTTATTATCTTTCATCTGCACTATTACTGTAGCCTTCTAACTACTCATCCTGTCACCCCACACAAACATTGCCTACACAGCAGGTTTATGGAGTGCCTATTCTATGTTAGTTACTATGATAGGAAAGAGCTTTTCATACATTCAATAACATGTTGTGAGCTATGGGTTATTATCTCATCTCCATTTCATAAGTAAAGAAGCTGAGGCTTGGAGAGATAAAGGGACCTGCCCAAGGTTACCCAACTAGAAAGGGGTGGCAGAGCTGGGATTTGGAATCCAGTTCTCCTTACGCCTGGTCCAATGGTCTTTTTGGTATTCCATGTTGCAGAAGCCTGGGTGTGGTAGGCTGAATAATGCCCCCTGCATAGATGTCCATATCCTAATCCCTGGAGCCTATGAATATATGACCTTACTTGGCAAAAGCTAGTTTGCAGATGTGATTAAGTTGAGGATCTTGAGATGGAGAGATTATCCTGGATTTTTCCTGTGAACCCAGTGATATCATCCCTGTGAGCCCAGTGTTATAAGGGCCCTTAAAACAGGGAGTCAGGAGATCAGAGTGGGCAGTTTTGGAGATGTGATGACAGATGCCAGTGGTTGGAGTGATGCAAGGAAGGGATCACATGCCAAGGATTCAAGAGGCCTCTGGAAGTCAGAAAAGGCAAGGCAAGGAATCCTGTCCTAGAGCCTCCAGAAGGAATCAGCCCTGCCAACACTCTGACTTTAGCCCAGTGAAACTGATTTCAGACTTCTGACCTCGAGAACTGGAAGATAATAGATTTGTGTTGTTTTAAGCCACAAAGTTTGGGGTAATTTGTTACAGCGGCAATAGGAAATTAATACATTGGTTTCAAGGGTTAGTATGTGGAGACAATTCAAAAACTAGGTCCTGGTTATATCGCTGCTTGGCGGTGGTTACTGCCCAAGAGGCATTTGGTTGCAATACTACAAGTGTTCCTACATAGCCAGGAAACAGCAGCATTGTTGGCCTGAGATGCCAAAATGCCAGTGGCCAGGAAGCCCAGCAGAGGGCACACTCTGCAGGGAGAAAGTAATCCTTGGAAAGGCTCTGCTCCTGTTTAGCTGGATAAATAGGACACTTTTTGCACTTCTGGGTTGCTCTGAATTTGTTGCATCTTAGCTGGGATTCATGCAAGCCAGAGTAGCTCTTCAGGGACCTAGCATGGTCCCTGAAGACATTTTCATTTGTCACTCAGGACTCAGAACCTTCTTGCTCCATTAAAAAAAGGATTTATATAGTTACAACTAGTAGGCTGAAATCCTTCCGTCCCCTGCAGAATAGAGTTGAGTAAAAACACACATACCTTTTTGGCCGATGTCCATGGCTTGTGGAATGGGGTGGGGTGAGGGGAGAAAATATATATTCAATTAATGTTTCTAGCTTTTTTCATTGCAAATCTTTCTTGAAGTGTATTCTTCAAGAAAGACACCAGTCAGGGGGTCATGCTAGGCTGAGTTTTATATAGCAGCCCTCCAACTCTCAGAAAGCGATTTCCACCTTTTTCCTAAGGAAGAACTGGTTTCGTTCACTAGGGGGTAAGATTTGTGGGTTGCAGAAGGGGTCAGGGGGTTTGTAACAATGGCTGGGAGTATTTGGAATGTGAAAAGAATATAATATTATTATAAATATTAGTAATATTCACCTCTTATCACAATCCTTGCAAGATCTCTAAGAGGTGATATTATCACCATTTCATAACTTGGGAAGGCTACCACAAAAAAGTTAATTGAAGCTAATTAAATTGCCCAAGTTTCTATACCTAGCAAGTGGTAGAACTGGGATTTGAACTCAGGTCTGCCAAGCTCTATGTGTCCCACCTGTTCTCTCCAGAATGTAAGTTGCTGACCAGAGATGGAATGCAAGCTGTGTGGCATCATCCTATAGCCTTGAAAACCTGCATCCACCCTCAAGAAGGATGCCACCTCCTGCCATTCCAGGGTAGAATGCTGCCAGCCTTCATGCAACATCATTGTGATTTGAGCCAAGACAGACCCATCCTGTGCTTCTTCTCTAGAAGCTTAGCATTGTCTGTCAGCTTGTCCCCGAGCACTCATGTGCTCTGGTCTTTACATTGTCATGTCTCAGTGATCTGGCTTCTTTGAGCTGTGGCCCACTCATTCCTTTCCCTAATTTGTAGACCATCTCCTATACCCTGGATCAGTGTTTCATCTAGCACTCCCGGTAACTGGCTTCTTCACCTCAGGCAACAGAGCACCCCAGGAAAACTCTGGCTCAGAACAGTGAAAATGAATAAGAGGAGGGTAAAAGCTGCCCGTGCAAGGAATCTTTTGGAGAACAGGGAGTGGGCACTAGTCATTGGCTTGGGAGGACTGACCTACCTAGGTGAAATTGTGATGACCATTTGGGAACTCTTGCTCTAGGTAGGTACCTGTTATCCCTGAAAAATACTTTTACATTCAGCTCCAGTTAGATCTGCCCAGTGCTACTTCTCCTCCCACCGGGTCTGATTGTCCCATTTGGTTCAGTCCAGCCAGCATGCCCTTTAGGCCCGCATGCCAATGGGAACTTCACATTATGAATTTAGAGTAAATGTGATTTGTGATTACAGGTGGGTTCTACCAGAACTAGAGTCATATGCTCCTCCAGCACTTTTTTTCTCTACTTTCTCCCTTTCTTCCCTGGAACTAGATTCTGCTTTTTAATCAGCTCATCAAGAATCTTGGCAGCTTCTGAAAGTTGTGCTGCTTGAGGTATGGAAAATCGCTGCATTGGCTTAGGCAGTGGAGGAAAGGTGAACAATAACAGGCAGGTGGTAAAAGACATCTGTTGTGCGTCTTTTAGAAGTCATACTCACCCCTGGAGGCAACTTGGCCTCCTCCTCCTCAAGAGTTTGGGATTCTTTTTCCAATCCCTCAAGAGTCTACGTAAGCATCAGATTGCTGGGAGCAAGCAGCTGTGCTGAGCCACGGGGGAGCTCAGGGCAGCGCAACTGTGCTTTCAATTTATCTATCTCTGACTCACATAACTCACGAGAATTCTACTACAACACCTGCTTGCTAAGCTTTGCAAACTGCTCTCAGTTATCTGACGGTAATTCATAGGTAATCATTAGATGCTCTAAATCAACTGTCCTTAGCTATTGTTTTTGAACTATGGAACTATTTTAGAATCTTATGGGAGCTATGGATTTTCTAAAAAATGCACATGTTCACATGTAAACACATCGTACACACAAATTCAGGGTCCTCACAGACTCCCTAAAGATCATGCATGTATCTTAAGTCAATATCCCTGAAGAGTTGATAAGATCTTCTGTTAATACAATGCATCATTTCTTATTTTCTTATTCCTAGGCAACCTACAATTAAGGAACAGACTTTATAAACACATACACTTAATCTGCTTTCTTAACACAAGGAAAGTATGGCCCACATCCATTCTTTTAGACTTGTGTTTTGCTTCCATCCGACACTTAAGTCTTCAGCATGGGAGAAGGTAAGTACACGATGGCATGCTGTTTAGATTTATGGGTCCTCTCAAATCAGTTTTCCTGATGGTGATGTTGTTTTGGATCAATTGAAATAAGTGGGTGAAAACATTGAAAAATTAAAGGTGCTTCTACCAAGAGAACTTTTCTGCAGTGTTTGATAATAATGATCACCTTTCACTCCCTTTTACTTTAATATAATTTTGTGTTTTTTTTAGAGACAGGGTCTTGCTCTGTCACCCAGGGTGGTGTGCAGTGGCACAATCACAGCTCTCTGCAGCTTCATCCTCCTGGGCCCAAGTGATCCTCCCACCTCAACCTCCCAAGTAGCTAGGACTATAGGCTCACACCACCATGCCTGGATTTTTTTTTTATTTTTTGTAGAAATGGGGGCCTCATTATGTTGCCCAGGTTGGTCCCGAATGCCTAACCTCAAGCAATCCTCCCACCTTGGCCTCTAAAAGTGTTGGGATTACAGATGTGAACAACTGGGCCCCTCCCCTTTTCTTTTAGAATACACGTTCTCCCGCTTTTTCATCTTCCTCTGTCATCCTCCTTCTCAGTCTCCTTTATTGACTCCTCCAGTATTTTTAACTGATTTACCAATTGAATTCATTAGTTTTCTTCCAAACCAGTCTTCTTGCCTGTTTTACCTTAGCAAAGTGTGTCACACCCAATTAGTGTCTCAAGCTGGAAACCTAAGCATCATCCTTAGATGTTTCCTCACTACCCACATCTACTTGAATCAGCATGTTGTGGCTATGAAATCTGTTGACTTTGTTTGCTCCTGCTCATCACAGCCAACTGGTATCCTAACTGATCTCCCAGCATCAAGACTTGCATGCCTTCAATCCATCCCCCACACTGGTTCCAAAGTGATCAAAGAGAAAATTGACCACGTCACTCCCAGGCTCAAAGAAACATGCTCGGATTATGTTTTTGTCCCCACATATGTTTTCCTTATAGGGTGAGCATGTTCACCTTTATATTCTCAGCACCTAAAGCAGTGTCTGCCTATAGCAAGTCCTCAACAAAAGTGGTCAGCTGGTTGACTGGTTGAATGACTGAATGATTAAGCTATATGATCACTTCTCATTGCCTACTAGCTAGAATCAGAACTTCTTGGCTTCATCTACAAGGCCCTTAACAAAATGGCCAGAACTCTTCCATCCTTATCTTCAGCCATTACCACTCTGCCCCATCCCATCCCCTGGTCACATCATATGCTTTTCACACTTTGATGCTTTTGCCTCTGGTGGTTCCACTGCTTGAAATGCTGTTTCTGTGTGGTACCCATCCTGCGTCTTCCATCTACATGTGACTGCCTTCAAGGCCAAGCTCAACAGTCACCTGACTCTATGTGACTTTCCCTGACAATCTACTTTCCACCCCCAGCTTCCTCTGACCCCCAGCACCAGAATTAATTATCCCTCAGCTGGTTCTAAAGGCATTTCACTCATACATTCAATATGACATTCATCACCTTGAATACAAAGTACTTATTTATATCTGTAACTATCTTGTAACACCGTGAGCTGCTCAAGGGCAGGTACTGGGTCATGTGGTCTTATTCACTGTAGTATCCCCAGCATCTAGGCCAGTGTCTGGGCACTGACAAACAAAGGATGTGCCTTTATGTTGGTGTCATGTGTGTTCTTATTTATTTTTATTTAAAATACATTTTTTTTTTAGTTTGGAACAATACCAGCATGGAACACCATCTTCTTTGCTGTCACCTGGAGACAAATCACCATCATCCGTCGTCTGATTTATTGTAGAGCTTCCAAACTGGTCTTCCTGCTTCTACTGTAGGCACCCCCTGCCCCCTCCCTGGTCTGTTATCAACACAGCAGCTAAGGTGAACCTACTAAAATGTACATCAGATCAAAGTTCTTTGGTGACTCCCTACCTCACACTGAGTAAATTCCAAAGCCAGTACCCAGCATGGCCATGTTTGATCTGTTCTCTTTACCTCAACTTATCCTGTGTATAGGGGTTAAGAGTGCAGACTTTGGAGCTATATGACCTGGATTCAAATCCTGGTTCTACCATTTACCAGCTGTGTGACCTAGGGCAAGCAACCTAACCTCTCTGTGCCTCTCTTTTCTCATTTACCAAGTGAGGATAATAATATCTGCCTCATAGGGTTGTTGCAAGAAGTAAATGAATTTATACATGTAAAGTACCTAGAACAGTGTCAGGTACATGGTAGGTACTAAGTAAGATTTTCTCAAATAAACAAAAATCTATCATTCTCCCCCTTGCCTACTCCTCTCCAGCCACACTGGCCTCCTTTCTGTTTCTGAAATACACTCAAAAGAGTGTCTCAGAACAATACTGTTTTACCAGACACTCACATGGCTTCCTCGCTGTCTTCCTGTGGTGGCACACGCCTGTAGTCCCAGCTACTTGGGAGGCTGAGGCAGGAGAATTGCTTGAACCTGGGAGGCGGAGGTTGCAGTGAGCCAAGATTGCACTACTGCACTACAGTCTGCGTGACAGAGTGAGACTCTGTCTCAAAAAAAAAAAATAAATAAATAAAAATAAAAATAAAAATAAAAAAAGGAAAATTCTAACCATATAGAAATGAACAAAGGGAAAATAAAATAAAGTCTTCTCTACCCCTACCCTCATCTGTTTTCCTAAAGGTAATCATAGTTGTGTGATTTTTCAATTTCATTAACCAGTAAGTATATTGGTTGCATTCTATGTATATAGGAAAATGTTCGAGGCTTGAGGTTCTGAGGGGCTTATAAATGCAGATCCTTTACCTTCCAGGATTTCATGGTCTTTCTGGGAGAAGAACATAAAGGAGTTCTGTAGTGTTACAGAGTTCAGAAGTGAGAGCCATCACTGTGGGCACATAAGATCGGGAAAGGTTTCCTGCATGATGAATGACTTGTTGGGGGCTTGGGGCTTGGGCAGATTTCAGTGAGAGAGAGGAGGGTGGTCCAGGGCTATGAGGCTCTCTCAGCAGAGGTGCCTAGGTGGGATGATGAAAGGGGCCTTCGAGGGAATGGATAGAAGTGGAGCCCGGCTTAAGTTGAGTTTTTTAGTGGGGGAGCAGTGACAGAAGAGAATGGAGAGTAGGGGCTGGGGCAGCTAGAAGAGTACTGAAAGAGCTAGGAGGCATGTACTAATGGCTCAGATAGGACTGTGACTGGAAGAGACACATTTTATAGATACTTCAATAGTACAATTGTTAGGACTTGGTGAGTGAATGGATATGTTGAGGTGAAGAATAGGGAAGACTGAAATATGAAACCCATGTTTTTGAGTATGGGCAACCAGGAAAATGGTGATAATATTGCCCAAAATAGGGAAGTCTGGAGGAAAAACTGTTTGGGGGTGTGGTGTGGTGGTGGGAAGTTGGGAGATGACTCTGGCTAGATAGTTCAGCCTTTCCTTGAATGTGGGGACTGCCTTTGACTACCTTAGCATTACCCTCAGAAGCTAGAACTAAATACTGCATAGAATATTTTCTAAATGGATGCTATTGGTGGAGATCACTTATAGCCACCTTGGATGCCAAACCCTCGTTCTACTTTCAGATGTTAGATTCAGAGGGTCCTCTGCATCCCCACCTCTTTTCAACTCAGACTTACGGGTATCTCTAGGCATCATCTTACCTACCAATTCCTGCCAAATGCAAGTACATCTATGGAAAATCCGACTTCCTTGCTTCGTTATTTACTTCAGGATCTCCTAGGGTGATCAACCATCATGGTTTGTTCTGGGGTTGCCAATTTTAGCTCCAAAAGTCAGAAGTCTCAGAAACCTCTCAGTTCCAGGAAAACTGGAGCAATATTCAGCTCTCTCACCTTCAGAATACCTCTGCTGAACCTACCAGCTGCATAGTAATAATAGCCTTCTCATGTTCTCAATCTAAATTGGTCTTATTCTACTCTTTTGCTCCAGCTTCTCTCGGAACACTGATGACTAATCCCCAGGTATAGTCTTAACTCTCTCATTTCACAGCCATTTGAAGAAGTCAGCAAGATAATGCTGCATGCTAGTTTACCACTCTGCAATGGCTACTTCAACCCACAACTAAGCAACCTGAGATTCCTAGGAGCAGATAAACCCCATGTGCAATCTGTCACTGTTTAGCTTTCATTGCCAAGATAATTTTACAAAGTTAATGAATAGCTGGGTTGGAATGGGGAGGGGGGAACAGACACAGAATGAATGAGGAGGAACTGTCATTGGTGGGCAGCCTCTGTTCTCCTTCTTGGCAGGACATTGGTTACATGGTGGGCCACTTGAGGGTACAGTTGTTATCATCATCAAAATGCTTTTATGAAGGACCTAATATCTGGTGCTCTGAGTTAGGCCGCACAGCTCTGGACTTTCACTTTTAGAACATCATAGTCCAAGAGCAGGTATTGATGTGGACACATGCAAAATGGATTCAAACTGTCAATATGGGTTAAATCACATATTATACATTAATAATCTCTTCCACTGGTTTCTAGATATTTCTGGTTGAAATCTATCAAGCAAATATATCTTGTCCCCTTAATTATAATATTAGCTCCTTGAAGGCAGAGGACCCACCCTGATACTCCTGTCTACAGACCTTAGCTGTACAGGACAAATCTAGATGTTCAGTAAGGACTGATTAAATCAACCTGACCTGACGGGTGCAGGTAGAGTACCTTTCAAGTTAATTTATTCCTTTGAGCCTCATTTCTTCCTCTACAAAATGAGGGTGGAAATTTTTTTTCTTTTCTTTCTTTTTTTTTTTAAATAAAAAGGAGTCTCACTCTGCTGCCCAGGCTAGAGTGCAGTGGTGCGATCTCAGCTCACTGCAATCTCTGCCTCCCAGGTTCAAGTGATTCTCCTGCCTCAGCCCCCTGAGTAGCTGAGATTACAGGCGTGTGACACCATGCCTGGCTAATTTTTGTATTTTTAGTAGAGACAGAGTTTCACCATCTTGGCCAGGCTGGTCTTGAACTCCCGACTTCAGGTGATCCACCCGTCTTAGCCTCCCAAAGTGTTGGGATGACAGGCATGAGCCACCACACTTGGCCCCCCTTTTTTTCCCTTTATTTTAGAGACAGGGTCTTGCTATGTTGCCCAGGATGGTCTCGAACTCCTGAGCTCAAGCAATCCTCCTACCTCAGCTTCCCAAAGTGCTGGGATTACAGGCTGAGCTGCTGTGCCCGGCTAGGGATTGTAATTTTCTCTGCTTTATTGGGTTGTTGTGAGGGTGGAGAGACAATACATGTAAATTGCTTAGTACATACTCTAGCATCGTATAGTACATCATCTGCTCAATTGTTAGCTATTAATTTAACAATATTAATTTCTGCCTCCTGCTCAACTAGGAGAGAGCCTATGGAAAAGAGTAAGTGCAGCAGTTCTCATGCAAATGTGTAGGTATTCGATTCAGCCTATAGAAGCACACTGGTCTGTTGCCTATGTATTGGGATAAGGACAACAGAAGATTTACCTTTTCACCTATCTTCTTCACTTTTCTGCCATGACAGGGATGCTTTGATGGGTCTGTGCTTTAGCAACTGACTAGGAGCGAAGGTCCAAGTGGGACTCTGGACTGGGAGCGAGGGCTGAGACTAAAGTCGCCACATCAGGCTGCTTGTTCCGTTCACTCAGCAAATATTTATAGCTAATCTAACCAGTTTCAGATATCGTTCAAGAGGTGGGGGTCCTGCAACAGCCCAGGCTTGTGCCTTTACCCCATTTCACAGAGAAGAAAAAGCGAAAAACTAGAGAAAAACCACCTCTCCAAGAGGTAACCGCACGCAGCGCGGAAGGCTGCTAGTGCGCAGGCGCCACGCCCCGGTACGCCCCGGCTCTTCCGGCGCGAGGTCACCGAATCGACTGGCCACTGGCGCCGGGGCCGCGCATGCGCTGCGCTGCCTTTCCCGGGCGCTGATTCCTGAGTGCTGAGCGCGAACCCGAGGAGATGAAGTAAGGCGTCAGCTTCCTTTTGAGGAAGGAGCAGCGGGCCACTGGGGGTGGTCCACCGGGACTGGTGTGGTAGAGCGTCTGCGGGGCCGAGGGGCGGGAGCGGCGCGGGGACTGGAACAGCTCGTCCCCTAGTTTTGCTCTTCCTCAGCTCCGGCCGGTTCGCACTTACTTGTCTGCTTTTCTGCCTACCCTCCCCACCCCCCCCGCCACCGTGAAGCCCTTTAACTAAGGTGAAGCTGATCAACGAGCTGAATGAACGAGAGGTCCAGCTTGGGGTGGCCGATAAGGTGTCCTGGCACTCCGAGTACAAGGACAGCGCCTGGATCTTCCTGGGTGAGGTCCACATCTTTCTTCCTCAGTGCTCTCCAGATTCTCCTGCTCGGTTTCCGACTATTTCGGCATTTTCACCCTTCACTCCTGCTTACATTCATCGCCCACCTTCATATCCATCTGCTGTCTGCCCGGGAATCCGTGTTACATCTCTTTTCTGCCCCATTTTTAGTTTTCCTTCCCTGCCAAATCAGTGCTCATGAGAGTTACTGTTTGCCATTTGCTGTGCTAAGGTTCAGGGACTGTTGTTATTTCTCTCTCACCCTCTGACCCATTATACTGCTGAGGAAATTGGGGTGCAGAGAAGTTAAGGGACTTCCTTAAGGTCACATAGCTAGTAAGCGCAACAGGCAGAACTATAGCATTCTAGAACTCTTGGTCTTAGCCACAGCTCCATATTGCTACCACCACCCTCCCCCATTCCCCTTCCCTTCCAGAATTCACTTTGCTCCTCTAGCTCCTGCTTTCTAGTCCATGGCCACGTTACCATTACTGTATTCACTTTATATCACAATCAGTAATTGTACAAGTTTGATGCTTCAAAGAGGTTATTGTACCAAACATTGTGCTAAGCACTTTATATACATCGTTTTATTTAACTCTTATAATAATCTTGCG
The DNA here is from genome assembly GCF_000001405.40 of Homo sapiens. Classification (NCBI taxonomy): domain Eukaryota; kingdom Metazoa; phylum Chordata; class Mammalia; order Primates; family Hominidae; genus Homo; species Homo sapiens. The sequence continues at coordinate 130,402,986 of NC_000023.11, forward strand.
AGTTACGTGCTAATATCCCCATCTTACAAATGAGGAAATAAATATTTGGAGGGGAAATTATTCCCTAGGAAATGCTTAACAGTGTCTTTATAACCTTTGTCTATGTGTAGGTGGGGTTAATCATGACATATGTAGACTGATTTTGTATCATAGCTGTAAATTTGTGGGTAATGAGCAGATGAATTCAACATGTTTGTGGAAGCAGAGGTTTGTGATGGAAACTATCTGCTTTGTCCATAGGATTTTGGGTGGCAGGAGGACTGAGTGATCAGATTAGTTTCGTTAGTGGTGACCCCGACTTCCACTCAAAATTAATTACTCCTTTTTCTGTACTACTGGCACCTTACATGTACTTCTGTCATTGAGTCAGACTTAATTTCTTTCTTTCTTTCTTTTTTTTGAGCTGGAGTTTCACTCTTGTCGCCCAGGCTGGAGTGCAATGGCACGATCTCGGCGCACTACAACCTCTGCCTCCTGGGTTCAAGCGAGTCTCCTGCTTCAGCCTCCTGAGTAGCTGGGATTACAGGTGCCCGCCACCTCACCTGGCTGATTTTTTTTTGTATTTTTAGTAGAGCCGGGGTTTCGCCATGTTGGACAGGCTGGTCTCGAACACCTGACCTCAGGTGATCCACCCTCCTCAGCCTCCCAAAGTGTTGGGATTACAGGCGTGAGCCACGGTGCCCAGCCCAGACTTGATTTCTTTAAGGGCAGGGCCTGTTGCTTACTGTTTCCACCCCTAGTGCCTGGCCTAGTGCGTGGTATGTAGTAAACACTTGGTAAATGTTGGTGGAACTGAAATGTGGTTTTCTCTTCTAGGAGGGCTTCCTTATGAACTGACTGAAGGGGACATCATCTGTGTGTTCTCACAGTAAGTGTCCTTTCATTTCCTGCCTCCTGAGTCGACAGAGTACTTTGTTTCTGTAATACATTTTGTGGCATCACAAAAACCACTTATTTTCACTCTAGGCTGAATGGCATCCCTGCATGGGGAGGGCTGGAGCTTCTGTTCTAGATCAGTCCCAGGACATGGTTCTAGAATGTTCTGTGGGAGATCCAAGAGGTTTGTTAATTTGGGAGGGCATCTTGGGGATCCTAGTCTATTTCTGTTGTTTTTCACTGAGGCTTGTTCAGCCTGGGCCTAGACTGGAACAGACTGGACTCCTTGGGCTCTTGCAAACTAGGGGTAACCCATGGTCACAGGGCCCTTCTGGCCCTTACCTGTGTGGCGTCATACGATTGGGGCAAAGCACAGAGGAAATTGGGGTAAAAAACAGAAGGTCGTAGTTTGCTTTCTTTGTTTCTCGATGAGTGTAAGGTTAGTGAGCAAAGGCAATCTCTGCCTGGAGGCTGAGAATCACAGCCCGAAGGGAACAAGAATGAATAGGAGACCTGTATATTCTTCATTCTGCTGAGGTGTTAGCAGCAGCATTTCATGGGAGAGGGTGTTGGCAGCTCATACTGGTAGTAGCAGCTGGTAGGAGAGGGGCTGGGCAGCTGGCCTGCAACCCCAGAGCTAAACAGCACAGTTAGTCCACAGGGCTAGAGGACCTTGGCACAGGTGCAGAGGACCACTACGTTTGGGTTTTGTAGTCCTTGGAAGCATAGTACTGTTTCAGAGAAGTTGGACAGCATGTACAGGTAGCGGACCATGGCAAAAGGGGCTGGCCAAGCGAACACCGGTAGCATACACTGGCAGAGGGATTGCTATGGGACCATCCATGGACAGAGGGCCCTGGCCGAGTGGTTGAGCCACTTATGGGGCAGCAAGACATGGGAAAGGAATTGGGCAATACCCGTGAGAAGAAGGCTGTGATAGAGAACCTGGGCAACCCACACAGGTGGAGGGCCCTGGCAGGGACAAAGATTGCTTCCTCCAACTTCTGGATGTTGGGAAGTTCACAGCAGGTGCAGCCTATAATTTCTACCCCTTTGTGGTACTTCTACTCAGCCTTCCATCTTGGAGCTGTTCTACTTGCATTAAGTAATGATGAGCTAACGTGTGCATGTTTGTTTATTCTAATTATCTATTCTCTATTCTGGTTACGCACGTTGCTCTCCATGAAGATTGCCTTTGCCGCTGATAACAGTGCCTTTCAAAAAACTACTTTGTTGGCTGGGTGCGGTGGCTCACGCTTGTAATCCCAGCACTTTGGGAGGCTGAGGTGGGCAGATCACCTGAGGTCAGGAGTTTGAGACCAGCATGGCCAACATGGGGAAACCCTGTCTCTACTAAAAATACAAAAATTAGCCAGGCATGGTGGTGCGCGCCTGTAATCCCAGCTACTCGGGAGGTTGAGGCAGGAGAATTGCTTGAATCCGGGAGGTGGAGGTTGCAGTGAGCCAGGATTGCGCCATTGCACTCCAGCCTGGGGGATAGAGCAAGACTCCCCCATCTCAAAAAAAAAGAAAAAAGAAAAAAAAACTACTTTGTTTTCTGATTTTGGAAGGTAATACATAGTCATTATAGAACATTTGGCAAAATAAAGTATAAAGAAGAAAATAGAACATACTCTTAAGGAAAACCTTAATGTTTTGGCATATCTCTTTATCATTTTTAAAAAAATGTTGGACATTATTTCCAATGGTTTGCTATTATGAATTATACTGCAATGTACATTATAGTATATAAATTTTTGTATGCATCCCTCATGGTCTCTTTAGTGAAAGAGGAATATGGATCAATATGTTAGCATTTTAAAGATGTTTTATAAACATTGCCAAATTGCTCTCCAAAAGGTTGTACCAATTTCCACACTCATTAGAATGCCCATTTTTCTGAATCCTGATTAACAGTGACTATTTTAAAAAATATTTGCCAAAGGGCTTCTCATTATTACTTTGCTTTGCCTTTTTTTTTTTTTTTTTTTTTTTTTTTTTTTTTTTTTTTGAGACGGAGTCTCGCTCTGTCGCCCAGGCTGGAGTGCAGTGGCGGGATCTCGGCTCACTGCAAGCTCCGCCTCCCGGGTTCACGCCATTCTCCTGCCTCAGCCTCCCAAGTAGCTGGGACTACAGGCGCCCGCCACTACGCCCGGCTAATTTTTTTGTATTTTTAGTAGAGACGGGGTTTCACCGTTTTAGCCGGGATGGTCTCGATCTCTTGACCTCGTGATCCGCCCGCCTCGGCCTCCCAAAGTGCTGGGATTACAGGTGTGAGCCACCGCGCCCGGCCTGCTTTGCCTTTATTTCATCATCAGTGAGGTTGAACATCTGTTTATAGATTTGCAGCCCATTATTTTTCTTTGTAAATTGTCTATTCATATCCTTTGCCAACTTTCTTCTACAAGTATTTTCCTTATTTTCTTGTTGATTTTACATGAGCCCTTCATGTATGAAGGATATTAACTCTTTGCAGTACTTTGTTGTGTATTGTATTACAGGTTGAATATCCCTTATCCAAAATGCTTGGGGCCAGGCACGGTGGCTCACGCCTGTAATCCTAGCACATTGGGAGGCCGAGGCAGGTGGATTGCCTGAGCTCAGGAGTTTGAGACCAGCCTGGGCCATATGGTGAAACCCCATCTCTACTAAAATACAAAAAGTAGCCAGGTGTGGTGGTGGGTGCCTGTAGTCCCAGCTACTCTGGAGGCCAAGGCAGGAGAATCACTTGAATCGGGAAGGTGGAGGTTGCAGTGAGCTGAGATAGTACCATTGCACTCCAGCCTGGGCAACAGAGTGAGACTCTGTCTCCAAAAAAAAAAAAAAAAGAACAAAATGCTTGGGACCAGAGGACCAGAAGTGTTTCCAATTTGTATAAATGTAATGATCTATCTTGGGGCTGGGACCCAGATCTAAACATAAAATTCATTTATGTTTCATATACACCTTATACACATAGACTGAGGGTAATTTTATACCCTCAATATTTTCAGTAATTTTGTGTGTGAAACAAAGTTTGTGTACATTGAACCATTAGAAATTAAAGGTGTCAGATATGGAATTTTCCACTTGTGATACCATGTTGGTGCTCAAAATGTTTCAGACTTTGGAGCATTTTGAATTTTGGATTTTCAGATTAGGGATGCTCAGCCTGTACTATGGACTTATTTTTTCTTAATTTGATATGTTATACTTATCATTATTCTTTCTTGATGCTCAAATTTTCCCTATTTGAGGGTCAACATGAGTTCCTTCAAGCCAGTGCCTGTATTCTTTTTTTTTTTTTAATTCTTGTTTTGAAATAATTTCAGGCTTAATACAGGAACATTATCAAATGGCATAAAGAATACCTGTATCTCCTTCACCCAGATCCCCCAGCTGTTAGCATTTTAATTTAGTTGATTGTTCTGAGAAAGGGCCTTGCTCTGACACCCACGCTGGAGTGCAGTGTTAAGACCGTAGCTCACTGTAGCCTTGAGCTCTTGGGCTACTGTCATATGTAATCTACAGAAAGGTAGTGTTACTTCCTTTTTTCATTTCTTGTATCTGTTTTATCTAATTGCATTGGCCTATACCTCCAATTTAGTATTAAATAGTTCCTAAACTTAGTTGAATTGGCTCTAGTATTTCTCATTAAGTAGGATGCTGGATTTTGGGCTGAAGTGTATGTATGTGATTATGTAACATATCTATCAATTCCTATTTTCTTTTTATGACTTTATTTTTAAATTTATAAACCTCTAACTTACCTGGAATTTATCTTTTTGTAAGGCGTAAGGTAGTTTGTTTTTCTAATGTTTTTTCTTTTTTTTTTTTTGAAACAGGGTCTCTCTTGCTCAGGTTTGGAGTGCAGTGGCATGATCCTAGCTCACTGCAGCCTCGAACTCCTGGGCTCAAGTGATCCGCCCCACGCACCCTCCTGAATGGCTGGGACTACAGGTGCACACTATGCCTGGCTAATTAAAAAAAATTTTTTTTGTAGAGACAGGGGTCTGGCCGTATTGTCCAGGCTGGTCTCAAACTCCTGGCATCAAGTGATCCTATGGCCTCGGCTTCCCAAAGTGCTGGTATTATGCACGTGAGCCACCGTGCCTGATCTTTTTTTTCTATTTCCTTTTTGTTTTCCTATTTCTATCTTCCTTTTTGTTTGTTTGCTTTTTTTAGAGACAGGGTCTTGTTCTGTTGCCCAGGCTGGTCTCGAACTACTGGCCTCAATCCTCCTGCCTCCCAAAGTGCTGGTATTACAGGTGTGAGCCACCATGCCTGGCCTTTTTTTTTCTATTTAATTCTGCCTTCTTGTTTGTTTGTTTGTTTGTTTTAGAGACAGGATCTTGTTCTGTTGCCCAGGCTGGTCTTGAACTGCTGGCCTCAAACAGCCCTCCCACCTTGGCCTCCCAAAATGCTGGGATTACAGGCATGAGCCACCATGCCGAGCCTAATTTCTGCTTTTATCTCTATTAACTGCCATCTGCTTTCATTAGGTTTGCTTTCTTCCTTTATGTTCATCCTTTCTCTTCACAATAAAATTCTTTTAAAATTACAAATTTTCCTGAGTATGACGTTAGCCACATTTCATAAGTTTTGGTGTATATTCTCATTTTTGCTATTTTCTAAATAGTCTGCCATTTATTTTTTTTTAATTTTGCTTCGTCTTCTCTTTCATGCTGTTGTTAGGAGAGTAGCTTTCAAGTTCTAGTTAGGTAACTTTTTTTTATTTAAAATATCATTTCCAGCTTTATAACATTATAACTGGAAACATGGTCTGTTCTGTTTTTTGTAGTATAATTATTGAGGTTTACATTGAGACCTAATCCATAGTCAATTTTAATACATGCTTCATGGATTCTTGAAAATGTCATCTTGTAGGATTCAAAGATATCTATGTATCTAATAGTCCTACATTAATATTTGTTATTATAACAGAGTAATTATGTATATTAATTAATCTGATTTTAGTTTATTTCTGTCCACTTTGTGCGTGATAAACTTCAAAGTGATGTGTTAAATTCTCCCATAACTTTCTCTATTAGTTTCTTTTTGCATTTCAAATAGCTTTTTTAATTAAAATTTTTGATTTCTTAATTGGCTCATAACGTTTTCCTGGCTTATACCTTTGTTGTGTATTTAGGCCTTTTTCAGTGTAAAATAATCTTCTTAGTCTCATGTGATATTTTTATTTTGGCCTTGAATTAGTCTTTGCTCTGGATATTGCCACCCATTTTTTAATTGGGGGTTCCTGTTCTTGTCTGACTTTTTCTTTGCAACCTTTCTATGTCATCTTGTTCTAGATGCATCTCTTGTATACACTATATTATTTGAATTTTGTTTTATTACCTTATCTGCATGTTTTTGCCTTTTAAGTCAACAGTGTCTTACTCTTTTATAAAATAAATAGATATGGGGAGATTGTTAACATTAATCTCGTGCGGGACAAGAAAACTGGGAAATCCAAAGGATTCTGTTTCCTCTGCTATGAAGACCAGAGGAGCACAATTCTGGCCGTCGACAATTTTAATGGGATCAAGGTGAGTGTGCTTATTAAGCAGGTTGGTTGGACTTTTTTCCCATGTATAGGGGTTTCGTTTTCTACCTGGTTCCCGCAGACACAAGGGCAGCACTTGTGAGCTTGGTGTGTTGCGGGGGCTGCAGAGATGTGGAGACACTGGTCAAGAAGAGATTCCAGGAAATAATTCTGTTGGCTCATGGTCCTGCAGGACTTGCTTCTTTTCCCCATCTGTTAACAAACCATCTCCCCAGGAGCATAGGCACCAGGCCTGCCTCTCATCCAGGCCTCTGTTTTTCACCTTTCTTTTATTGTCTACTGTCATCTCTGGTGTACTGGAGGATGAAGAGACTAGCAAACATTGCTCTTCCATATTGTTGTGTGTTGGGGGTTTTGGGCTTCATCATGGCCTCATAATCTAGTACATAGCCATGTATGTCTGTCATATATCTCCAGTGACCTAGCATATTGGGCCCTAGAAATTCTCTAGTTAAAATCTGATGGCAGATTCTACAAAAGTAATTTCATCCTGAAATTTTCTCCCCCCAGTTCCCTCTCATTTCCACTGTCATAAGTGAGGCACTGAGTTCTTAGAAGGAGATAGCGCAAGTCAGGCTTATTGATGCTCCATGTGGTTGCTGCACTCATTTAGGAAAAGAGCTGCAGTTGAACAGTGTCACAGAGTTGGTGGGGGGAGGCTTGAGTTGGAGAGTTTGTCACTGATTCACGAGTATGGAATAGCTGGAGATTATAGAACAGAGTGGAACAAGGTTCTAGGCTTGATGTTTAAGGAAGCCAGCAGTCAGAGGGCATCACTGTAAAAGGAAGGTTTTCCAAAGTGTTTCAAAATGGAGAAGAGGATACATGACAGAAGCCACTTAGGCCTTAAGGTAAAAATAAAAATCTGCTCTTGTATTGGAACAATAAAAGCCAAACTTTAAATTTTGGATGACTTTGCCTAGGGAGTAAGTCTGTATCTGCCTAAAAATAGAATATTTTTATTTTAAGTGAGGTGTTAATTTTTTGGGGGGTGGGGGAGGGGGACAGGGTCTCACTCTGTTGCCCTGGTTGGAGTGCAGTGGCGTGGTCTTGGATCACCACAACCTCTGTTGCCTGGGTTCAAGTGATTCTCCTGTCTCAGCCTCCTGAGTAGCTGGAATTACAGGTGTGCACCACCATGCCCGGCAAATTTTTGTATTTTTAGTAGAGATGGGGTTTCACCATATTGGCCAGGCTGGTCTCGTACTTCTGACCTCAAGTGATCCACCCGCTTTGGCCTCCTAAAGTGCTGGGATTACAGGTGTGAGCCACTGCGCCCGGCCAGAGGGGTTAATATTTTGTTGTTGTTCATCTGGAGAGATGTGATTCGTTGTGCAAGAATCAGCGTGAGCTGATTGTTCCAGTATGGTGGGGCTAGAGCAAGGTGTGAGGGCTTAAGAAAAAAGCAAGTGCCCTTTTCTTGATTCCTTTCTCCCTCCAAACTATTGGTCTGACTTTGCCTCCTAATTACTGGGTGGAGAAAGCAGTTGTAGCATTAAGCTAGATTTCAAGAATTCCTTCTAGTTGCCAGACCTTCCTAGGGTATGTTTCACTGTAAACTTAGGTTACAGATCAAGGGTGATTCATTGTGCATCTAAATCTCAGTCTTCCCTGATGCTTGTGCTTTGAGGTAGTTTTCCTAGTCTTTTTCATTTTATGGCACATACAGAACATGAAGATATTTGTATGCTGCCCCAGAGTAAAGTGATGAGGCTGCTGGTACAACTGCCCCAGGCCTCATCTGGCTGCACTGAGAGCTGAATGTATTAATATTTAGGTGTACATGCTATGACACACCAGTTGGACAGGTCTGCTTTAGTGACAGAATTTAACAAGAAGGTAAAGGATGTAGTTCAAATCATGGTTCTCTGTAGCTTGTGTTCAAATAGTTTGACAGTTTGGTATGAGGGCTGTCTTCACTGAAGCATCGCCTGTCTTGCTTAGATCAAAGGAAGAACTATCCGAGTGGATCATGTGTCTAACTATCGGGCTCCTAAGGACTCAGAAGAAATAGATGATGTGACCAGACAACTCCAGGAGAAGGGCTGTGGGGCTCGTACCCCCTCACCAAGTTTGTCTGAGAGCTCTGAAGATGAAAAACCAACAAAAAAGCACAAAAAAGGTAAAGCATTAAGACTTAAGAGAAGATTCTGGGTGGTCTTAATGTCTGCTCTTCCTTGCATTCACTGATAGTTGATAATCAACTCAAGTGTGAAAGGGGAAGGTGTGGGGAAGCATAGTTTAATTGGGAAAGCAGGGAGTATCAGTGGAAGGCTGGTGCTATGGGCAGAATTGTGTCTCTCCCCAAGTTAATATGGTGAAATCCTAACCCTCAGCACCTCAGAATGCGACTGTATTTGGAGATAAGGTCTTTGAAGAGGTAACTCAGGATGGGAATTACCTTGTACAGCCACTCGACATATCAAAGGTGACAGACATCCAAGTTGGCTTCTCGGAGGCACTCTCCTGGAGGCCTAGACAGTGGCTGCTTCATGCTGCTGCCAAGGTTGTTCTCCTTATGCACATTCCCCACTTCCTAGCATGTGAAAGTTTCTGTCGCCCAGGCTGGAGTGCAGTGGCACGATCTCGGCTCACTGTAAGCTCCGCCTCCCGAGTTCATGCCATTCTCCTGCCTCAGCCTTCTGAGTAGCTGGGACTAGAAGCACCCGCCACCACACCCGGCTAATTTTTTTTTTTTTTTTTTAGTAGAGACGGGGTTTCACCGTGTTAGCCAGGATGGTCTTGATCTCCTGACCTCGTGATCCGCCTGTCTTGGCCTCCCAAAGTGCTGGGATTACAGGCGTGAGCCACCGCACCCGGCTGTGAATGTTTTTGAACTGTAGCACCTGTGGTTGATGTAACGTATTCAGAAAAGAAAGGTGCTTTTTTTTTTTTTAAGGGAGTTCTTTTATTTTTTTCCCTTTTCTTATTTACTGCTTCTTTCTTTTATCCTCCAGACAAAAAGGAAAAAAAGAAAAAAAAGAAAGAAAAAGAGAAAGCCGACCGGGAGGTACAGGCAGAGCAACCATCCTCTTCGTCACCCAGACGCAAGACAGTAAAGGAAAAGGATGACACTGGCCCTAAGAAGCACAGCAGCAAGAACTCAGAGAGAGCTCAGAAGTCAGAGCCCAGGGAGGGGCAGAAGCTCCCCAAATCCAGGACGGCCTACTCTGGTGGAGCAGAGGACCTAGAGAGGGAGCTGAAGAAGGAGAAACCCAAGCACGAGCACAAGTCCTCAAGCAGGAGGGAGGCAAGAGAAGAAAAGACCAGGATTAGGGACAGAGGGCGGAGCTCAGATGCACATTCTAGCTGGTATAATGGGCGTTCTGAAGGGCGTAGTTATAGAAGTAGAAGTAGGAGCCGAGATAAATCCCATAGGCATAAAAGGGCCCGACGCTCCCGGGAGCGGGAGTCTTCGAATCCCAGTGACCGTTGGCGTCACTGAAGACTTCAGCTGCACAGTAGATTTGGAAATAATTATGTTTTTTAAATGCAGTCAAATTCAGTTGGGTGGTTACTATTTTTGTATCTAAAACTTCTGGGGCTGGATTCTTTTAATCCCTTGACTATTTAGAGTCATTGGGAGGGCTGCAGTTTCAACAGCTAGATATCCTGGATATTGTTTGCACCATCCATTGTCCCTGTACCAGAGTATGTATCCTGAACTTTGGTTCATAAATATGGCTCTTGAACCCATAGACCCCAGTTGAAGATGGAATTTTCAGGAAAGGGAAAATACTAGATAATTCTAGAATTCTAGTCTTCGTGTTAGATGTTTATAGCCCAGCATCTTGGGACCTTTCCAGTTACTAGGTTTGGACAGCTTGATGTGAACGAATGGGATAGGATTTTTAAAATCAGCCAGCTCCATGCCCAAACCTTCCTGTTTGCAGAACTTTTTAATGTCTTTTCTTTTTCATTAAAACTTTTTTGTTCGATATGCCTCTTTCCACATTTTTTCCTTGCAATGTATTTATTATTTATTTGTATTTAGGTGAAATTCACATAACATAAAGTTAACCATTTTAAAGGGAACAATTCAGTGGCATTTGGTACTGAACATCCACAGTGTTGTGTAACCATTGCCTCTGTCTAGTTCCAAAACATTTTTTATCATCCCAAAATGAAACCCTGTAGCCATTAAACAAGAGCTCCCCGTTTCCTCCCTCCTCCCTGTCCCTAGCAACCACCAGTGGACTTCCTGTTTATGGGTTTGCCTATTCTGGATCTTTCATAAAAATGGAATTACACAATTGTGGCCTTTTGTGTCTGGCTTCTTTCACTTAGTGTAGTGGTTTTTTTTTTTTTTTTTTTTTTTTTTTTTTAAATTTGAGATGGAGTCTCACTCTGTCGCCCAGACTGGAGTGCATTGGTGCAATCTCAGCTCACTGCAACCTTTGCCTCCTGGGTTCAAGCCATTCTCCTGCCTCAACCTCCTGAGTAGCTGGGATTACAGGCATGCACCACCACACCTAGCTTATTTTTGTATTTTAGTAGAGATGGGGTTTCACCGTGTTGGCCAGGCTGGTCTTGAGCTCCTGACCTCAAGTGATCTGCCTGCCTTGGCCTCCCAAAGTTCTGGGATTACAGGCGTGTGCCACCACACCTGGCCTAATGTAGTGTTTTTGAGATCCATCCACATTGTAGCATGTATCAGTACTTCATTCCTTTTTATGGCTGTATCATATCCCATTGTATTGATAGAGCACATTTTGTTTATGCACTCATCAGTGAGTGGACATGTGGGTTGTTTCTACTTTTTGGCTAGCCAGCTTCCTTTTTGTATTCCAGACATACCAGGCTACCTTTTAGCCTTTGTCCTCTTTTCAAGTAGCCACTGTTGGTGGGATGGGAACCCTTTGCCATCTTCATTGTCTGTCCTGGTCTGCCTGGCAGTTCCTTCTTCTTTTGAGTTTTAGCTTTCTCCTTTATCTATCAGTCTCTTAACGAGTTTGGTAGGAACTAGGTCACAGGACCTTTAATAAATACTCCCTGGTAAATTATGAAAGGTTGAATTTCTGACCCTGCAAAATGAAAGACCAGAGCTTTAATAGTGAGTGCACTAAGTTGGACTTCCCTTTGTGTTAATTTGGACCCTCGGTTAGACATGCAGGAGAGTTGGAGAGTTTGTGGGGGATGTAGTAGGGGAGGGTCGAGGAGTCTGGGAAAGCTGTCAGACTATGATACAGATCTAACCTCTGGAGAAGAAATAGGAAGGAGGGGTGGGTAGGAAAAGTCTTGTGCAGTTCTAAGATGGTTTCAGCTAGACCAAAGTGAGTTGAGCCAGAGTCACCTGTCAGAGGAGCCCTGCTACATCAGCCATCATAAGCAGTTCATGCTATTGCCTCTTGGCCTCCATCTCAGCCATCGTGGCTGCTGTGCTCATGTGCCCATTATGCCATTGCTGTGGTAGCCAGTGACAAAGGCCTGTGAACCGGGTTAAGTCATTTCGTCTGCTTGCTTTTATATGTGGCAAGGAATTGGATCACACAATTATGAGGGCTGGTTAGGCAAGCCTAAAATTCATGAAACAAGAGCTGACACTGGTGGGATTTCTTCAGGGAAATCTGTTTTCCTCTTGAGGCTTTCAACTGATTGGTTGAGGCCCACCCACAGTATCAATGGTAATCATTACTTAACTGATCGTAGATGTTAACCAAATCTACAAAATCCACTACTCCCCCGTTATCAACGGGATATGTTCCAAGACCCCCAGTGGATGCCTGAAACTGGCTAATGCTGAACCCTACATATACTATGTTTTTTCTGTACATATATATGATAAAGTTTAAATTATAAATGAGGTACAGTAACAACAATAACAGTAAAACAACAGTTATAACAATATACTGTAATAAAAGTCATGTGAATGTGGTGTTTCTCAAAATATCTCACGTATGTGATATTTTCCGACAACGGTTAACCACAGGTAACTGAAACCACAGATAAGGGGGGATTACTGTACCTTCACAGCAACACCGAGTAGCGTTTGATTGAGCAACTGCGTACTATAACCTATGCTGAGTTGACACACAACAGTAACCATCACAGTTTACTATCTTGTCTGTGGAGGGGTTCGGGGGAGCAGCTTCAGAGGTTTCCACATGGCCTTCCTCACTATGACAGCTCTCACTCCAACAGACTAAGGAGCCTTTTCCACATGGCCTTCCTCACTATGACAGCTCTCACTCCAATAGACCAAGGAGCCCTGGGGGCATTCATTACTCCTACTGCCAGGTCAATTCCAGTTACACACTTAGGGCTAGGAAATGACCACTGGCTGGGTCAGCAGCAGGCCCACCGTGAATCCTGTTTTGGCCAGAATTTCAGTTATCACTTGGCCTCCATAAGCCCCCAGTCTAACCAGGGCCGTGATGATGCTTCCTGTCTCTAGGTATCAGTCAACTTAGATCTTGGGTCCAGTGTTCCGCCAAATGTTTGAGTATTCTCTCCCCAGTGTACATATACCCAAGTAAGTGGCTGTAGGTCCCTTTGGGGAAGTACTGGGCAAATCATTACATACTAACCATTGTCCTTCCCAGGGATCCAGCCACCTCTTTCCAGACCTGAAAACTGGCTGAAGTATGGCAGCTAAGCAAGAAAGTAGGACTTTTTATTGGGGCAAGCTCCCTTAGCCTCCTGCTCCTCCACTCCTCTTCAGCTTGTAGATAGGGAGCAACACGCTTTTTGACTTGCTCCTAGGGACACCATGTTCCATTAGCCATCTCCAGAACTCCCTGAAGGTAAAGCCCCCATGGCTGTCCTTCAGACCTTGTGGTTCGCTCTGGTATTTGTGGCCTCCTGCCTTCTGGAGGTTAAGCACTTCTGTCTGGTGTCTCTTACTCTGGGGCCCCATCATCCCCTTTGACACTGATGAGCACAGCTCTGTGATGGTCTCTCACTGTCAGCCTTGGCGTGCAGAGGTGGCCACCTCTGAACTTAATGATGCTGGTGTCCCTCTCACCAGTGCCTTCCTGCTGACCTCAGTGCATGAGGTCTCCCCTGCCCCCCCATGGAATACTGTCTTCTGGTGGGCTTTTGACTTCATGTAATCTGTCCACCCCAGCATGCCCACTTCCCTTCATTCCTTCCTCTGCCATCTGCCAGGGCAGCTTAGGTGTTTCTACTTGGCCCAGCATTGGCCATCGCTTTCACTGGGCCTTTGAGATCCATCTTATTAGAGGCTGCTCACCCGCTGTGGGCCTTGCCAGGAGGTTAAATTGTATATCCTGAGAAAGGGCTCCCAAGTCTGAAGTTTTGCTTTTCTGGCTCTCTTGATATAGTACCTGTGAAATCCAAACCCAATACTTCCTTGACTTCTGCTAGCCTATGCCAGCTAATTTTTGCAGCTCTTTGGTGTATGTTCCCTCCTTTATTAGGGCCAGTACTTTCTTAGCCAGTTTCTGCTGGGATTAAACCCTAGTTACCAGTTTAGTAACCAGAGAGAGAAAGAGAGGGGCTGGGGACAGCTGTGAGTGAGGCACTGGTTGCCTAGTGTGGGGAGCAGCGTCTGCAGCATCTTCTGGCACAGGGGAAGTGCTAGCTCTTAGTAGGGAAGCGTGGGCCCCTCTGCAAACTGACAGTTGAACCAGTGTGTTTGCAGAGCCAGCACCCTCAGAGGCATCTGCCAGATGTTCCCATCCCAAGTCTTTCCAACCACATGAAGTCTTGTGGCCCTGACTTCAGCAGAACGGATCTGCTATGTGATAAATATTGACCGTTACATCTCTCTGGACTTGGGCAACTTGATCACATCTTCTCTTTGGCTTAGCCATATCCATTCCTCCACTGCAGGAGATCAGGGCCTCTTTGTAAGCTCCATGGAAGCCCTTTGGCTCTCATGAAACAGCGTTTAGTTGCTTGTTAACTGTCACCCATTTCTCATTACCTGTTGCAGGGCATCAAGACAATTTAATAATACTCTTAAGTTATCTAGCCATTTCCACTGTCTTTGCAGGCCTTATCCCTCCCAGATTTTCAAAAGTCTGAGCCAGGATACCTGCAAGGCCATTCTCCCAGTTTTCCCAGGTTATCTCCACAGACATCTTTAGCAGTTGGACTACCACCCTGTGCCAGTGTCCATTTTACCAAGCAGGCAGCGAAGCCATCCCAGAACCCCATCTCGCCATTGCCTGTATTCTTGGACCACCACCAGGACCATTCATGTTAGTTTGGGTTCTCTGAAAGGCAGATGCCAAGATGAGATTAGATGTATGAGAGATTTACCAGGGGAAACTCCCATAGGGAAAATGGGGAGGGAGTCAGAGAGAGCCTAGATAGATGCACATCTAACCCCTGTGGAGGACAGAGAGAAGGAAGGGTGGGTAGGAAAAGTCTTAGACTACGGGGTGCAGTTCTCAAATTTGTTTTTATTTCGTTTCATTGTAAATTGACAAATTATAATTGTACGTATGGGGTACAAAATGATGTTACGATTTATGAATCATAACACCATTTGTGGAATGAATACATCAAGCCAATATTCAAGTGATGCAGTTCTAAGGAGGTTTCAGCAAAACAAATGTGTTTCTCAGGAGGGACGGTTCACCACGGGCCCTGAGTGCCCCTGCACGTTCTTGGCGAGTATCTTAAACTAATGCGGAACCATTGCTGCAGATAGTCACTGTAAGGAATTTAAAATTGTATTAGTCTTGTTCAGACTGCTATGTAACAGATATTGACTGTTACATCTCCCTGGACTTGGGCAACTTGATCACATCTTCTCTTTGGCTCAGCCATATCTATTCCTCCACTGCAGGCTTCAGAAGCAATGGTAGGCCTGTGACCAACAAATGACCCCATGTGGGCTATGAGCCTACATGGAGAACAAACACCCACTAGTCCTGAGAAACTTCAGATAAGAAAGGGAGTATGCTGTGGAACTTCTCAAACCTCGAGAATCTGGCCAGTTCTCTAGGTTTCAGAACATCCTGAGACACACAAAGTAAAACCTTAAGCATTATTGATTAAACTTTCAGAGCTGCACATTTGCACGTTAGCTGTTAATTTTAGCTAGGGTGAGCAACACCCTTGTTGACTATTGCTCCTAGGGACACCATGTTCCATTAACCATCCCCAGAACTCCCTGAAGGTAAAGCCCCCGTGGCTGTCCTTCAGACCTTGTGGTTCGCTCTGGTAATATAAGCTGGGACCCTCCAATTGCTCTCTGAAGTCTCACCCATGGAGTGGACACACTGCCGGGGACCTGTTCCAACTAGGACTCCAGATGTCTGTATCCAGGACTTCCCAGCACTGCTTGATCTGGGTGTAGGTATTCTCCCCAGTTTGTTGAAAAAAAAAACAAACAAAAAAACCCGTATTTTCCTTTTACTTTTCCCTTTTCTCCTACTTTAGCTTTTGCTAAGTTAACTATTATACTCTTTTGTTATGTTGATCATTAAACTTTGAACTGCATTTGAGTGTAATATTGCAGTTTCTTTTGCTCGTGAATCCTCAAACCCAAAATGATGAAAGTAAAACTTTCAGCAAAACAGTCACATAGGCAACCAAGTAGGGCAAGGTGACCACAGTCTGACTACTATTTAACTGCTCACTTCCCAGGGGAGGGGCATTGGCCACTTTGCTCATTACCCAAAAAGTCCTGAGCCCCTTGATCCTAGGTTCCTCAGCTGTGATTCAACTGCCTGTATGCGTAGCGTCCATCTGAGCCTGTTGCATTGTCCCGTGGCACTTGGGGGCAGGGGAACTGGAAAAACCATACTGATGCTCATGTTGCTTGCTGTGTTGTAATAAACTGTCTTGTTTGAACCCATTAAATTTCACTGTCTATGTTCTACACCTATGATGAAGAAATGGCAGGTTTTTTTCTGGTCATTCTCTATGAGATGGGGGCTCTTCCTTGACAGCATCCCTGACCCAAAGTCATGCGTTAGGGGAGTCCTTTGCTTCATAGAAATGGCCTGACTTAGTGTCTCTGCCACACCAGGAGATGCCTGTAGAAAGTTTGGTTTTGGTGAAAATGCAGTGATGCATGGTGAGTTTCAGCCACTTTGGATTTCAGCTGCAGTAGTGTTGAATTTCAGAGCTCAGTGGTCAGCTACGCTCCCTGCAGTCAGAGGTCTGAGGGGCACAGATATATCTTGCTCTAGGCCCAGCCTGAAACAACTCACTAGTCATTGACTTTAATTAACCTTTGGGAACTGTGAATGTTTACTTGTTCCTTTCATGAGTTGACTTCACAGAGGACATTTGGAATTCATTAGTGGACAAATTGCTAGTGACCTCAAACCTAAACAGCCACATTGAGTGAAGTGCTCATGAAGAATGCTTTTTAGTTTTTAGCATATCAATATTTTTTTTTGATGTGGCCTAATTAACACCTGAATCTGTCAGTCTCTTTTTTTGTTTGTTTTTGTTTTTGTTTTCTGCTTCCTCTAACGTATTGAGACATGTACCTAGTAAGTACCTGTCTTGGTAGTTTATGGACTCATGAATCCTAAGTTGGAAATAATCCTTATCTGGTACAGGCCATTCCTTCTGCAAACATGTTTTGAAGCTCTTTGAAAGAAGTAACGTGGTCATCATCTAAATGGGTATTCTAATGAAGTGGAAAGTGCTCCCCATGGTGCTGTTATGACCAAAGAATAAAGTCAAGCATTTCCTGGTGTCTTTTATCTGAAAATGTAAACTTAGAAGATATAATTTGAGGAGTGACTATTTGCACTATGAATGATTTAACCTAGACTTCTTCCTCAACTCAATAAGTGGCCCCTGAGTTTTGCAAGTGTTACTGGAAACAGCACAAAATAGATGATAAGAGCAGGTCATATTTTTCAACAGGAAATAATGAACAATTACATTTGTGATAAGCATTTGGTATTCTATAGCTGAAGGATGATCAATAGTAAGTCATCAAAGATACATTGGTCCCTAGATGGATCATTCAAAATACTGAAGTTATGTGTCAGGGGCTATAAAGTGGCAAAACCATAGGACACATGTGAATTGTGTTACTCTAAACTATATGCTTGTCATACAGATGTATAGCCATTGGGATGTATATTTAATCTCAAAACAATTCGCTCTCTAAAATGAACATCAGTCAAAAATTTGGTTCCTTTTTGTTGGCTTAGAATTTAAAAGATTACTTTGGGGATGATTGAAGATGACCTAGCCTCTTTAAAGAAGCTGTTCAAAGAAGCCTGAATGAATGTTTTCTTTTTTTAAAAAATTTTTATTTCCATAGGTTTTTGGGAAACAGGTCGTATTTGGTTACATGAGTAAGTTCTTTAGTGGTGATTTGTGAGATTTTGGTGCATCCATCACCTGAGCAGTACACAC
The DNA here is from genome assembly GCF_000001405.40 of Homo sapiens. NCBI lineage: Eukaryota > Metazoa > Chordata > Mammalia > Primates > Hominidae > Homo > Homo sapiens. Next base: position 130,420,705 of record NC_000023.11, read on the forward strand.
TGAACCCAATTTGCAGTCTTTTATTCCACATCCCCCTTCCACCCTTTCCTCTGAGTCCCCCAAGTCCATTGTATCATTCTTACGCCTTTGCATCCTCATAGCTTAGCTCCCACTTACAAGTGAGAACTTAGGATGTTTGGTTTTCCATTGCTGAGTTACTTCACTTAGAATAATAGTCTCCAGTTCCATCCAGGCTGCTGCAAATGCCATTAATTCGTTCCTTTTTATGGCTGAGTAGTATTCCATCATATGTATATATATATCTCTCTCGCAGTTTCTTTATCCACTCGTTGATTGATGGGCATTTGGGCTGGTTCCATATTTTTGCAATTGCGAATTGTGCTGCTATAAATATGCGTGTGCAAGTATCTTTTTCGTATAATGACTTCTTTTCCTCTGGGTTTTTTCTCATGCCTCATGTGAACCTGAGGCATTTGATGTCATTCCATTCACTTTAGGCTGGGATTAGGATTTGTTTAAGAAATGATATTGGTGATGATGATAATATTTCTTTGAGAGGAAGGCATTTATTTACAAGCAGCTAATCACAACAGCAAAAAACCTTCATGATTATTAACTTAAATACCTAAGTTTGTTAGGTTTTCATTAGTATACCATATGATTGTTAAATGATAAAGTATACTGTGTAATTGTTATCAGAGTGAACATCTTACTTTGTGTGCTGTTTTCACTTATACATGCATTTCTATGTGTTCATATTATCACTGTCCTTGTGATTTTCAGTTGCTATGTAGTATTCTTTTCTGCTGATACACCACACCTGTCTCCCACTTGGATTGTTTTACTTTTTTTTACAATTAATAGTACTGCTATGAACATTTTAATATTGACCCCCTTAAAAATTTTTCATTTCCTTTAAGGTTTCCTTGGACTGTGTTCTCTAAAGTAGAGTTACCAGGTCCAAAAGTGCAGATATAACCCTACCTTGTCTTACTTGCTGTCAGATTGCTTTTCAGAAAGATCAAATTTTTAAAACCACCATCACTGTAGAGTTCAAGTGTAATTCTTTCTGTACATTCCTGGATTTGATCATTTTATTATTTTTTGCTTCTCAGAAAGATATATTGTGATACCTTCAATTTATTCTAATTTACATTTTCTTTCATGGCAGGTGAAGCTGTCTGTGCATTTTTACTATAGTCTATTTTTTAAATTTTTTCTTTTTCTTTCTTTTTTCTTTTTTGAGATGGAGTTTCACTCTTGTTGCCCAGGCTGGAGTGCAGCGGCGCGATCTCTGCTCACTGCAACCTCCACCTCCTGGGTTCAAGGGATTCTCCTGGCTCAGCCTCCCGAGTAGCTGGGATTACAGGCGTGAGCCACCACGCCCGGCTAATTTTGTATTTTTAGTGGAGATGGGATTTGACCATGTTGGCCAGTCTGGTCTTGAACTCCTAACCTCAGGTGATCCACCTGCCTCGGCCTCCCAAAGTGCTGGGATTACAGGCGTGAACCACCACGCCTGGCCAGCTGGTGCAGGTTTTGATTTGCTCTTTGTGATTACTTGACTTTGGTGTTCTAGATGAGGCCTATCCTCTCTCCATCAATTGGATTTTGCCAAGTGCAGGGCAACAGGTATGACCGAAAAGCATGAGCTCTCCACTAGCCATATCAGTGCTGCAGGTGTCTCGAAGGGGTCAAGAGGATTCCTGGAGGCTTGAAAGCCCCTCGGAGAAGTCAGATCTTTGCACCACCCTAGATGTTCAGGGATATATCTTGGAAATGAACTATTAGGGAACCCCTAAAGCTCACCTGAATTGGCTTGTACTCACGAAGCCATGTACTAACTAGACCTGCACTATCTAATAAGGGAGTCCCTAGCCACATATGGCTATTTAAATGGGAATAAATTAAAATGAAAAATCCAGTTCCTTAATCACACTAGTGACTCAATAGCCACACGTTGCTTGTGACTACTGTACTCAACTGTGCATATATAGTCCAATCCCATTATCACAGAACATTCCATCAAACAGCACTGAACTGGACCATTTACACATGATGGGATTGTATGTAGCTATGTAATCCATTGTGAAAACCTCTCTGGATCTTTCTATGCCCCTCTAAACCCTACTTGTCCTTTGAGGGTTGGCTCAATTCTAGTTCTCCCAGGAAACATCTCCTGACCACTCCAGCTCACAGCAATGACTCCATTCTTGGAACCCCCCAGAGCAGGGGTCCCCAACTCCACTGGTCTGTGGCCTGTTAGGAACTGGGCCACACAGCAGGACATGAGCAGCAGGGCGAGCAAGCATTACCACCTGAGCTCTGCCTCCTGTGAGATCAACTGTGGCATTAGATTCTCATAGGGAGCTCAAACCCTATTGTGAACTGTGCACATGAGGGATCTAGGTTGCGTGCTCCTTATGAGAATCTAATGCCTGATGATCTGAAGTGGAACAGTTTCACCCTAGAATCCATCCCCACCCTACCCCACCCCCATTTGTGGAAAAATTGTCTTCCATGAAACCAGTCCCTGGTGCCAAAAAGGTTGGGGACTGCAGCCCTAGAGCACCCAAAATACTTGACACACTGTCTTATTGGTGTCATACTTTTGCTTGTCAGTTAGTCTTATCTTCCTAAGAAGGCTACAGGGACCTCAAGAGAAGAGCTTAAATCACACACTGCCTGGGTTCCTCTTCTCATGCCAGAATGCATAGCAGAAACATTTATCAAACTCTCTTTTTTTCTAGCTGTCTTCTGTACTTTGCTCTTGTTTTCAGTATTTAGAAGAATCAGCATGTACGACACCATGTCATGCTTCAAAAACCATATATTTTTAGAGGAAGGTCAGCATGCTTATTGATGTCAGGTGTAGCACTTCAGCTTCTGTCTTGGTGAGGTGGCAGGAGTGGGGATAGGATTGAGGAAGATTTGGGAAAATTGGTATTAGATCTTGAAAACACCTTTGACAGAGCAAAGAAAAATGATACCTTCTTTTGTAATTTCAAAGCTCTGTTTGAAAGTACTGGGCTTAGCATCTATGAACGCACCAAAAGGGGTATGGACATTTATTTGACTTTCTAATTGAGGCTGTCATGCTAGGGGATTGATAGTTTAGGACTCAGAAAGAAGCATTTCTAGAATAACTTATAGTTTTGTGGTTTTTTTTTTTTTTTTTTTTTGAGACAGAGTCTCTCTCTGTCACCCAGGCCAGATGCAGTGGCAGGATAGCTCACTGCAACCTCTGCCTCCTGGGTTCAAGCAATTCTCCTGCCTCAACCTCCTGAGTAGATGGGACTACAGGCCTGTGCCATCATGCCCACTAATTTTTGTATTTTTTTTTTTTTAGTAGAGACAGGGTTTCCCCATGTTGTCCAGACTGGTCTTGAACTCCTGACCTAAAGTGATCTACCCGGCTTGATCTCCCAAAGTGCTGGGATTATAGGCATGAGCCACCGTGCCCGGCCAAATAACTTACAGTTTTTAAAGCACTGTCACAAAGAGTCTTTATTTGCTCCTTTTCACACCTCTGGGGAGGAAGCAGGAGAGGTCAGTGAGGTCAGACACCTCATCTAAGGATTATATGGGTAAAAAGTAGCTAAGTTGGCACTAGGACCAGCTCTGCACTCCCTGAATCCTGATGCTTCTTGAGCCAGCTTTGCAGAGCCTGCCTCCCTCGTCCTAGCAGATAACTGTGTGAAAAAACTTAACAAGCTAATTTCACATGAAAAGGTAAATTTCAATTCAAGTGCCAGGTTCATTTCAGAATGTCCAGGTGAAAGCAGCAGAGCATTTTAAAATGACATCAGTTCTCACCCACTTTGGGTAAACTTTCAGTTGACTGGCCCCAACAGATCTGTTTGTTGTGTGAGCTATAAAGGACTTGTGTGGCCAATAACAGTCTCCATTTGGACCCATTTTTTCTGCACCACTTGTTTTGTGCATAGGGCCTTTAAAACATATCCTAGTTCATGGTAACAAAATGATTATTGTATCTGTAAGGGCAGAAATGAACATTTATCTACATTGCTGATGCATCAAGACAGGATGTGATAGCACATGAAAAAAAAAACAGGGGCATAAAACACATACTTTCTTATTTCCAGTAAAAGATTAAATTCTCTTATACCTCTTGTGGTTACCTGGTTTTTATCTTCTCCAGCAATATAACCTTGGGAACCTCAAGAATCTAGGGCTTAAACTAAGGTAGCAGAGAGCAAATTTACCCTTAAGCAAAGGGGGAAAATTTAGCTTTCAAATTAATAATGCAGTACTAGAATATGCTGGTAGTTTTAAAAACTAGCTAGAGTGACCTAGAAGTTCACTCTAAGGAAAACGCCAAAATTTGCAGGGACAAAGACGAGGACTTGAAGGGAGAGATGGGTATCTGAAAAAGCAAGATAAAGACTTTTAGTTACAGTATTGAGGTGTGTGCTGCAAGGCCATATTCTGGAGATCTCATAGGAGGAGAAGATTGAAGCTTTGGTTTTGAAATTTGGTGATGTTGCTAAAAATGTGGATGCCTAGATTCTGTTTCGTGGAGGTGCTGACTGGGCAGGTCTGCAGAGGGGCCATGATTCTGCATCATTAATAAGCACCCTGAGTGATCGTGATGCAAACAGTCCTGGACGACACTTTGAGACTCTGCCTCCAAGTTGCAGTCACTATTAGATTCTGCATGTTGCTCAAGATCGGCAGATGACTGGTATCCTAGGATCACAGCACACAGGAAGCTCATTCTGAGCAGTGCAGTGAACCCTTTGGCTACCAATTCATACTTTTTTCCAAAGTAAAACTGCTGAAAAGACAAACTGGGCAGTAGGTATGGCATTCATAGTGTGTAGGAAGTAGGAGAGTTCAAATGAAGCCAGCTTGGTGAGACCAATTCTCTTTCCAAAAGCAAACCCTGGAGGATTCAACAGCTTAACACAGATACCCTGATGCTGCTTTCATCAGCTTGTGGGCAGAGTAGTGAGGTTCATTTGGTCACTGTGAAGGGAGACGTGCCTGGGGTGTTTATGGCCAAAGTAAATGGGCCATAGTGCATGCTAAGTGCTAGGGAATTACACTTCATACTGTGAACTGATTTACATTCCCAGTAAAACTGTATTTGTAAAAAAATGCATCATAAGCTGTAATGGATATGTGCTAGTCCAGAAGTCCTCTTTTTATTGTGAATTTTCTTAAATAGGCATCATTGTAATTTTTAGTAAGCTCTCCTTTGTGGACCTTCTTTCTATTTTGAGCATCTTAGCACAAGTTTGGCCATTTGTGCATTTCTCCCTCCAAAAGGAAGCAGCATCAGGGTATCTATGTCAAGCTGTTGAATCCTCCATGGTTTGCTTTTGCCTTATCAGAGAAAAAATAAGTTATCTGAATTGACGACTGCTGTGCAGTGAGTTCCTGTATTGGACCGAATGTAGCGGTTGGAAGGAGGTGTTTCTGCTCAACTAAAGGTACAGAAGAATGTGCTTTTACTACTTGGTTGGGCATGCGGTTGGAAACCTACATGGGATATTTTTTGCTTGCCACTGTACTCTGCAGACTGTCCTTGGTCACTGCCCAATTCTGGGATACAGTGGCAACTGGAGGTAGCCCCGGGCTGGCGGAAAGAAATTGTATGGGATGAAAGTCACAAGCCCTGTGAGGTTTGAGCCCCAGCGCAGCCGTTTGTTGGCTGTGCAACCTCAGGCAGGTCATTTCCCTCCATTTTCTCTTCTGTAAAATAGGACATAAGACTCGTGGAGGAAGCACAGTATGGTAGGCTATTTCTCTTTCGTGACTCCGTTTTCTCTTTAATAAAATAGAGATGACGCTCTGCAGGGCAGATGTGAGAAAAGCACATTCTCAGCAGAATGTCTGGTACATAGCCGCTGCTTAATAAATGTTACTTCCAATACCTGCTACCCCTCTGCTGTGAGGTGCAAGTCAGAGAGCTGCATACTAACCTGCAAATTGCAATCTATATGCACAATAAGTCATCTGTTTCAACCCCATGCTGGTGGCAGATGGGGGTGTGCAAGGCAGGAGCCCCTCATTCCAGGGGGGTGAGTAGACAGGCATTTATATCCAAAATGACGTCACTGAGCGCTGGATTATAAAATGATATATATTTTGTACCTGAAATGTCATTATTTGAAGACTATGCATTGGCGAGAATGCTTTTGCATTGAAAGAGGGTGATGAACTGCCCGGACAAAAGTGAAATACTTATCGTAGGCCCCTGCCCTTTGATGGATAGTGAACAACAGAAATACCTAGAAACCCTCAAAGGATGAAACCACTGTGGCATTGTACCCAGTAATCTCTGCCCTCTGCTCTTCCTGGGCTTGAGTTCTCATAATTCTGGTCAATTATGACCACCCAGGATTGGCCCCAGACTTGGATGTGGACCTTGGCTGCCCTTGTAGGATCATAGCAAAAGCTCAGTTGTCCCAGGTCACAAAAAATGTCAGCCATGTCTGCCTCTCCCTCCTGGGACTTGGAATAAATAAAACATGATGGGTCCTTCTCCAAGCGAAGATAATGTTAGCAGGGGTCTGGCGGGGAGAAGGGGGAAAGGGCTGTCTATTTTATCACCCTGATCTCCTTTTCAAGAATTCTCAGCAATTGTGCGGTCTGGAGCAAGAAAGTGGCAGGTGGGGTCGCAGAAGCACAGAGTTGATGTTGAGGCGGGCTTAGCCCCTGGCTTTCCTCTGGATCTTTATCAATTTATTCCCTCTTGGAACACAGAGGCAGCATGGTCCCAGAAGGAGACAAAATAGGCTGGGGTGGGTGGCGGGGTTACAGGGTAGCCACTCCATGGTGGTGGCAGTTCAAAAGGAAGTGGAAAATCAATGAAATAAGGCCTAAATACACATGAGGTGAGAGAAGCGTGTTTTGTATTGATTGTGTGGAGAGCAGAGTATTATCTCAAGAGTTTGACTCTGGTTCTTCCGAGAGGATTTGAGGCAGCTTATGAATTAAGACGTTGCAAAGCAGGGTACTTAAATGGATAAACTGGGACAGGGACAATGGAAAGCACTTGTTCTTAACCCTGGCTGCACAGTAGAACCACCGGGAGAAATTTTAAAAATATGCATGCTTGGGCTTCACTCCAGTTGAACAGGAATCCCTGAGTGTGGGACAAGTATTGGTATATTTTTAAAATTCCCCAGGTGCCTCTAATGTGCAGCCAGGTTGAGAAGCTGGAGGAGCAGATGCTACCAAATCCCTGACATGAGTAGATTAAGTCAGTGGTTCGCAACATTGGCTGTATATTCAAATCACCCGGAGAGCTTTTAAAATCCCATCGCCTAGGCTGCAACCCAGACCAACTGAATCCGAATCTCTGGCGAGAGTCGGGGGAGCGGGCAGGCATCAGTTGTTTTTAAAGTTTGCCAGATGATTTCGATGTGCAGCCCGGGTTAAAAAGCTCTGCTCTGTGGCCGGGCACGGTGGCTCACGCCTGTAATCCCAGCACTTTGGGAGGCTGAGGCGGGCGGATCATGAGGTCAGGAGATCGAGACCATCCTGGCTAACACAGTGAAACCCCATCTCTACCAAAAAATACAAAAAAATTGGCTGGGCGTGGTGGTGGGTGCCTGTAGTCCCAGCTACTCGGGAGGCTGAGGCAGGAGAATGGTGTGAACCCGGGAGGCGGAGCTTGCAGTGAGCCGAGATGGCGCCACTGCACTCCAGCCTGGGCAACAGAGTGAGACTCCATCTCAAAAAAAAAAAAAAAAAAAAAAAAAAAAGCTCTGCTCTGTGTAGTGGTTCCCAAACATGGCTATACAGTAGATTCACAGGGAGACGCATTTAGGAACTCCTAACATAGAGACTAAATTTGACTCTGATGGCTAAAGCATTAGTCCATTCAACAAATGTTTGTTGAGCATCTACTAAATGTCAGTCACTATGTTAGGTGCTGGGGATGTGGTTATGAACAAAACAGACAAAGCCCTTGCTTTCATGAAGTGCATATATATACAAGGAAATATCATCTACCAGGGGATGAGGGCGGGAATTTTTGTCTGCTTTGATAACTGCTGAATCTCCAGTGCCTGGCACATAGCAGGCTCCTGATAAACAACTGTTGAATGAATGAATACTGACTGAAGGGTGAATTAAGTGCTATGAAGAAAAGTTACAGTGGGATAAGGGGATAGTGTGTGTGTGTGCACGTGCGTGCACGCACCTATTTTAACATGGGGTGCTCAGGGAAGGCCTCACTGAGAAGGTGGCTTTTGAGCGAGGCCCAAAGGAGAGGAGGGAGCAAGCTGCACAGCTATCTGAAGGCACAGAGTTCCTGGCAGAAGAAGAGCAAGTGCAAAGACCCTGAGGTGGGAACATGTTGGCACGTTAGAGCAGCAGTAAGGAGGCCAGTGTAGCTGCAGTAGAGTGACAACAGAGAGGTAATGGTGGGAGGGGAGAGGGTGGGCAGCTCATGTAGGGCTTGGTAGACCATGGTCAGGGCTTTGGCATTAATGGAAACACCACGGCCTCTTTTTCTGTGTCTGACACTGGAGAACATATGTATTCATATATGGAGAGAATACTATTTTCCTGGAGTGAAATGCCAGCAGAAATGTCTATGCTACTCCATAAAGGCTGCTGAGTATCTTAATGAACAAGACCTCCACAGCATGGAAGTGGACCCAAGGGGTTGCCGCTGCTGGCTCGGGTGGCCTGCTTATTCCCTTATTTTGCCCCACCCACATCCTGCTGATTGGTCCATTTTACAGAGAGCTGATTGGTCCGTTTTACAGAGTGCTGATTGGTCCGTTTTGACAGAGTGCTGATTGGTGCGTTTACAAACCTTCAGCTAGACACAGAGTGCTGATTGGTGCATTTACAAACCTTTAGGTAGACACAGAGCACTGATTGGTGCATTTACAATCCTTCAGCTAGACAGAAAAGTTCTCTAAGTCACCACCTGACTCAGAAGCCCAGCCAGCTTCACCTCTCAGCATCAGCTCTCATTGGAAACTTCCCAAGAGGGCTTAGGGAAGGGGGTTTCTAGGGATCACACCTAGGACTGGCCACTCTTTTGGAGAGCTGCGTAGAAAGGGTCAGTCCCCAGGGACATTGGGAAGTAGTTGGAATCAACACTCATTTCCCCCAGCAGTGCCCCTTCCTCTCTGAAGCATCTGTTCCCTCTCTGCCTGTTCTTCCAGGCCTCACCTGGTCTACCTGGGAGTGCCATGTAACACACTTTCTTCGGATTTTTTGCCAGAGGCTCCAGGAACAGAGCTAATTGGTGGGGGAGGGGACTGTGTTAAGATGTTAAGAGGCAATCGTGGCTTACTCTGCACTTGGACAAGGACAATGACTCAACTCAAAGGTGAAGACTTTGATGAAGGGGTTTTCGGGCCCCAGGAGCCAGCCCCAGTGGAAGAGATTTGGCCCCAGGAAGGTGTGAACAAGGGAGAGCTTCTTGAGGCCCCACACAGCACACCACACAAGCGGTTTCCTTTATTTTATATTGGCAACCAGGCCATTTCTTTCAGGGCCCCACTGCATTGCACTGAGGGGCCAGCAGAAAAGACTTACCTTCATGGAGCTTGCATTCTCTGGATCTAGATCTGTAAGACTTTCTGTGATCAAGCACAATATTGGAAAGCAGTTACTTCTGAGACATGTATATATTATTGGCACAAAAATAATCTCAATACTTTTATTATTAAAGAATCAGAAATTAAGCAAACAGTAAAAGCTGAAAGAGGTGAGATCCCTAGAATGCTGGGCACAGATCTTGGCTCTTTCCTCAGACCCTGGGAAAGATGGTACCCTGGGATAGATGGTGTGTTGTTATGAGAAAAACGGGACTGTAATGGATCCCCAAACTGGGAGGGAACTGAGAGACCAAAGAATGACTCAGATAAGTCCAGCTTGACAAGCAGATGAGTTTATTAGGACTTACCTACAGTGCGCTCCTGGGCAGCAGCAGGACAACTCCAGAGATCCACCCCATCCCCCATCTCTGAGCTGCTTTGAAGCTAATATTATGGCTCTTTGCCTACTGTGTATGTGCAACGAGACTGTTTTCCTTGGTAGGTTCTCAGATACTCCACAGGATGTTGGGGTCTCAGGCACCTGCTCCTCAGCTGGGCACCGTGGCCTTGGCTCACTGCCAGCCTTCAGGTTTCAAGCAGCGGATATAGACCCTTAAGTAACCTGGTGGGGGACCCGTAACACTACAAGTATGACATGGTGGAAGGAGCACCAGCCAGAGTGCCAAGAGAGACAGGCTTTGCAACCAGCTGCCCATCCTTGCACAACCATTCATATTCTGTGGGCCTCTTTGCTCATCTGTAAAATGGGAGATTAGGCTGTGCATGGTTTCTAATAACCCCTACAATGTTCTGGTTGTAGACAGTTTTTTTTTTTTTTTAAAAAAGAACGAGTCTTCTAGGTAAAGGAATGACAGAGGGGAAGGTGCCAGTCACAGGGAATAGTGACTTCCTGTGAAATATGGAGAGTGCTGAGGCACCACCCTGAGTCCCAGAAAATGTCAATATGCCAGTGACTGAAATTCAGACTGAGGAGATAGAAATGACAGTGAGAGACATTTCAAAAAGATCCACAGCTAATAGTAAAAATAGCCCTGGACTTCACTTCGCTTCACTACTTAGAGCTGGGTGAACACTTGAGAGTTATTAACTTCTCGGACACTGTTTCTTCAGCTGTAAAATGGGGATGTGACCATTTTCTCAAGAGGACCAGATGAAATCATGTGTATGTATTTGATATACATTTTGTAAATGTATAAAGGGCAAGGAAGGGAGGACTCCTGCTAGATTACTCTTTGGGTCAAGAGTTCTAGAAAAAAAAAAAAAACAGAAAACCTCAGTTACCCGGAATACGAAGATCTCATTAGTTGAATTGTTTGATGAAATTGGTTAACCAGAATATCCTCTAACCTCTAAATTTTATTATTTGTTGCTAGTTGTTCTACAGTGTCTCAATGTACTTTCTTCTTCTTCTTCTTCTTCTTTTTTTTTTTTTTTTGAGACGGAGTCTTGCTCTGTCGCCAGGCTGGAGTGCAGTGGCATGATCTTGGCTCACTGCAACCTCCGCCTCCCGGGTTCAAGTGATTTCTCCTGCCTCAGGCTCCTGAGTAGCTGGTAGTACAGGCACACACCACCACGCCCGGCTAATTTTTGTATTTTCAGTAGAGACGGGGTTTCACCATATTGTCCACAATGGTCTCGATCTCTTGACCTTGTGATCCACCCGCCTTGGCCTCCCGAAGTGCTGGGATTACAGGCATGAGCCATCGCGCCCAGCCTAAAGTGTCTGAATGTACTTTCTTACCTTAGGAAGTCTTGTACACTGCACATATTTGAACTAACATTTTCTGATGATTGAGGCCATGTGAATTTATCAGGGCCATCATTCCAAATATCAGTTTTTAATGTGTGTAGGCTAAATGCATACCAACCCATCGGGATATACCTAGGAAGTTGTTTTGAGGAAGAGGGCACAGAAGAATTCCAGGTATTTAAGAGCCCTAGATAAACTGATTCAAGTTAAGATTTTATGATTTATTCTGTGAAACTAAGAATTCGTATCACCAGCCCTGACCTCCGCACTGAATGTAGACTTAAATAGCCAATGACTTGGGTGATCTCTCCACTTGAACGTCTGATGGGCCTCTCAATCTCAACAGAGCCCAAACAGAGTTCTTGTCTGCAACGCTCTTCTCCACCTTTGCTCCTCTCAGAGTCTTTCCTGTTTCACCAAATGGCACCACCAGCCAGCCATTCAGTTACTCAAGTCAAAATTGTAGGAATCATCTTGATTATTCTTTCTTCCTCACCTCCAACATTCAGTCCATCATCAGATTCTGCTGACTCCACTTTCAAAACATATTCTGAATTTGTACTGCCTCCACTGCTACCTGCTAGTCCAAGCCACAGTCATCTCTCTGGTTGGCTTGTTGTAATAGCCTTCTAACTGGTATCCCTGCTTTAATCCTATCCCTACTCAGTTTATTCTCCCACTTGGAGCAAGAGTAAGTTTTTTTTTTTTTTTTTTTTTTTTTGAGATGGAGTTTCGCTCTTGTTGCCCAGGCTGGCGTGCAATGGAGCAATCTCGGCTCACTGCAACCTTCGCCTCCTGGGTTCAAGCAATTCTCCTACCTCAGCCTCCTGAGTAGCTGGGATTACAGGCATGCATCACCACGCCTGGCTAATTTTTTTTTTTTTTTGTCTTTTTAGTAGATACGGGGTTTCTCCATGTTGGTCAGGCTGGTCTTGAACTCCCGACCTCAGGTGATCTGCCCGCCTCGGCCTCCCAAAGTGCTGGGATTACAGGCATGAGCCACCGCACCCACCCAAGAGAGATTTAAAAAAAATATTAATAAGTGATAGATTATGTCACTTCTTTGCTTAAAATCCTCCACAGGCTTTCTACTGTGACCAGGAAAGTGCTCCACACTCCTTTCCATGGCCTACAACAGACCCTGTGTGATCTGGCCCTGACCATCTCTCTTGCCAGGTGCTGTTCACTGTCCTCTGGACATGGCCTTTCTTCTCATCCTAGGGTCTTTGCACTTGTTGCATCCTGTGCTTGGTCCCCTCTGCTTCCTGTGGCTCCCTCCTTCTTATCATTAAGGTCAGATGTTCCTGGACTTCTTGGACCAAACAAATGAATCTAGCTAGTCCCTCTCTATCATGTTTACTCTTCTTTTTTTTTCATATTCATTTATGAATCCCACAAATATTTACTAGCACCTACTATGTGCCTATTTTCTTTCTTTCTTTCTCTTTTTCTTTTTCTTTCTTTCTTTCTTTCTTTCTCTTTCTTTCTCCTTCCTTCCTTCCTTCTCTCTCTCTCTCTCTCTCCCTCCCTCCCCTCCCTCCTTTCTTTCCTTTCCTTTCTTTTTCTTTTCTTCTTTCTCCTTTTCTTTCTTTCTTTCTTTCTTTCTTTCTTTCTTTCTTTCTTTCTTTCTTTCTTTCTTTCTTTCTTTCTTTCAGATGGAGTCTTGCTCTGTCAAACAGGCTGGAGTGCAGTGGTGCTATCTTGGCTCACTGCATCCTCTGCCTCCCAGGTTCTAGCGATTCTCCTGCCTCAGCCTCCCAAGTAGCTGGGACTACAGGTGCATGCCACCACACCCAGCTAATTTTTTTTTTCTAATATTAGTAGAGACGGGGTTTCACTTGTGTTGCCCAGGCTGGTCTCGAACTCCTGAGCTCAGGCAATCCACCCACCTCGGGCCCTCAAAGTGCTCATGAGCCACCGCGCCTGGCTTATGTGCCTATTTTCTAGGTATGTGAGCATACAGTGAACAGACAAAAATCGCTGCCCTCATGGAGCTAACATTCTAGGGAAGGGAGATAGCCAATAAACAAATAATAAATATCTATAGTCTATCAGATGGTATAAGAGCTAGGGGGAAAATTAAGGCAGGGGTGGAAGGTATGGAGTGCTGGGATGGCAGTGAGGTTGCAATTATAAAGAGGATACTCAGGGAAGCCTTCACTTAGATAATATTTGAGCAAAGATCTGAAGGAGGTGAGGTGTGAGTTATGCAGATCTCTGGGAGGATGCTGCAGGCAGCCTAGCAAGTGCCACGACTCTGAAAGGAGAATGCCTGACATGTTTAAGGTCAGTGTGGCTGGAGTGTAGTGATTAAGAGGAGGTGGGCACAGAGATCATAGAGGGGGAGTGGTGTCCAGACCATCTGGGGATGTATAAGCCATTGTAAGGGCTCTGGCTTTTACCCTAGGTGAGATGGGAAGTACTTATTCCTATCTAGAGTTATATGTTTATGGCCCCCTGCCCCCACCCCTCCACCACACGTTAGAATGTAAAACTCGTGGAAGGCAAGAACTTTATCTGTCTTATTCACCACTGTATCCCTAGCACTTAGAACAGTGTTCAGCACAAAGAAAGTGCTCAGGGAACATTTGTTGAATGAATTGTGCAGGCGCAATATTACCAAAGGATATAGGAACTAGGCATGACCTAGTTTAAGCAATGAAGTTGGAGAAAACACTGACATTGGATTCAGGTTGACTTATACTCTGACTCACTGTATGACCTTGGACAAGTCACCTCCTCACCCTGAACTTCAGTTTCTTCATCTCCAAAATAAAGGGGTTTTACCAGATGATTTTTTTTATTTCCATAGGTTTTTGGAAAACAGGTGGTGTTTGGTTATATGAATAAGTTCTTGAGTGGTGATTTCTGAGATTTTGTTGCAGCCATCACCTGAGCAGTATACACTACCCAATGTGTGGTCTTTTATCCCTCACCCCCTTCTTTCTGACTGTCATAGCCTGTAATTCTACAACGCAGGAAATACATCAGTGATATATGACCTTCTGACTATGATATGTTCAGGAATTCTGGTATACTTACCACTATTCTATGGTTCATCTTTTAATGAATGTTGTTTATACTTCTGGGTGGAGAGGATAGTTTTCTTAACTCCTTGAGTGGGTTGTAGGCTCAGAATAGTCCAGGTCACCTCTAGCCCTGTGGTTTGTATTTCAACTCTGCCTTTCCAGTAAACATGACACTCCTACTTCTAGTCCAGTGTGACAGCCATATTGATCCTGAGGAGCAAAACCTTAAGTCGTAAATATTTTAATGAGCCAGTTCTAACAGAGACAAAAAATAAAGTGGGATCTATCCTAGCTAGGTTTTAAAGTAAGCAAATAAATTTAGGTTTAATCTTTAGCTTCAAAAGCTTTTTTATATATTTTAATAGGGCAAAGCTAGTTATATAAAGCAAATATACACTCTTAAAAAGATGATTAAATCCTAGTAGCATTGGCTCTGGTCCCCATATAAACGACCAATGTGACAAACCCTTATTTTCTAGATCTCAGAGAAGCACAGTAATTGTAAACTCATATCACATCAGATACTCTACACTCAAATCATTAATAAAATCTCAGTAGTGACTCAGACAAAGCAAACTAATTGGTTCCTGTTAACTAGTTAACTGATGCAGTACTCCCCTAAAGTAGGTCAATCTACTGGAAAACCCAGTATTAACTTCAGGTTTGACAACAGGAAGATTCATCCGTGTAATGAACAGTCTCCTTTTAAATACTATCGAATTTAAATGAAGAAAAATAAGTCAATCAAGTCTTCTGTTACTTTGGCACTTGGATCTGGGGAATGATCATCATCACCACTAAATATGAAAGGTAAAAGACATTTCATTTTTCTATGCATTTTACACATGAAGGGATACTGGTTAAGCCAAAGAGAAATCTGCCAAAGTCATTATGCATACAGAAGCAAACCTGGAATGATGTGTCTGAGTTCTCAAATCAAGTGAAAATCATTGCTACATTGACTTTTGTTTAGTCTTACTTTTTATTTAAAAAATTTTTTTTAAATTTCAACTTTTATTTTGGGTTCAGGGGGCACATATGCAGGTTTGTTACATTGGTATATTGTATGATGCTGAAGTTGTGTATAATTGATCCTGTTAGAGAAATGCAAATCAAAACCACAATGAGATACCATCTCACACCAGTCAGAATGGCTATTTTGTTAATTTTTAATTTTTGTGGGTTAATAGCAGGTGCATATATTTATGGGGTACATGAGATATTGATATCTTTGATACAGTTATACAAAGCATAATAATCACATGAGGGTAAATGGGGTATCCATTGCCCTCAAGCATTTATCCTTTCTTTGTGTTACAAATTATCCATTTATACTCTTTTAGTTATTTTATTTAATTTATTTTTTTTGAGACAGAGTCCAGCTCTGTTACCCAGGCTGGAGTGCAATGGTGTGATCTCGGCTCACTGCAACCTCCGCCTCCAGGGTTCAAATGATTCTTTTGCTTCAACCTCCCGAGTAGCTGGGATTACAGGCGCATGCCACCACGCCTGGCTAATTTTTATATTTTTAGTAGAGACAGGGTTTCACCATGTTGGCCAGGCTGGTCTCGAATTCCTGACCTCAAGTGATCCACTTGCCTCAGCCTCCGAAAGTGCTGGGATTACAGGCGTGAGCCACCGTGCCTGGTCATCTTTTAGTTATTTTAAAATGTACAATAAATTATTGTTGACTATAGTCACTCCGTTGTACTATTAAATACTAGATCTTATTCATTCTATCTAACTTTATTTTTGTATCCATTAACCATACCCCTTCCTCACCCTTCCACACTAACATTCATGGCTTCTGGTAACCATTGTTCTACTCTATATCTCCATAAGTTAAATTCTATTAATTTTTAGCTTCCACAAATAAGTGAAAACATGTGAAGTTTGTTTTTCTGTGGCTGGTTTACTTCACTTAACATAATGACCTCCAGTTCAATACATGTTGTTGCAAATGACAGGATCTCATTCCTTTTTATGGCTGAATAGTAGACAATTGTGTATATGAAACACATTGCCTTTCTCTTTTTGTCTTAAGTGAAAAATTTTAAATTTAACTTTCTTGGCCGGGCGTGGTGGCTCATGCCTGTAATCCCAGCACTTTGGGAAGCTGAGGCAGGCGGATCACTTGAGGTCAGGAGTTCAAGACCAGCCTGGCCAGCATGACAAACCCCGTCTCTACTAAAAATACAAAAATTACCCAAGCATGGTGGCATGTGCCTGTAGTCCTGGCTGCTCAGGAGGCTGAGGCAGGAGAGTCGCTTGAACCCTGGAGGTGGAGGTTGATGAGATCACACCACTGCACTTCAGCCTGGGTGACAGAGCAAGACTCTCTCAAAAAAAAAATTTTTTTTCTTTTCTTTTTTTACATTCTAACTTTTACTTTAGGTTCAGGGGGGTACATGTGCAGGTTTGTTACATAGGTAAATTGTGTGTCTCATGGATTTGATGTACAGATTATTTCGTGACTCAGGTAATAAGCACAGTACCCAGCGGGTAGTTTTTTGATCCTCATCCTCCTCTCACCCTCCACCCTTGAGTAGGCCCTGGTGTCTGTTGTTCTCTTCTTTGTGTCCATGTGTACTCAGTGTTTTGCTCCCACTTATAAGTGAGAACATGTGGTATTTGGTTTTCTTTTCTTGCATTAATTCGCTTAGGATAATAGCCTCCAACTATATCTTTGTTGCTGCAAAGGACACAATTTCATTCTTCCTTATAGCTGCATAGTATTCCATGGTGTATATGTACCACATTTTTTTTCATCCAATCTACCGTTGATGGGCATTTAGGCTGATTCCATGTCTTTGTTATTGTGAATAGTGCTGCGATGGACATATGTGTGCATGTGTCTTTATGGCAGAACAATTTATATTCCTTTGGGTATATACACAATCATGCGATTGCTGGGTCAAATGGTAGTTCTGTTTTAAGTTCTTTCAGAAATTGTCAAACTGCTTTTCACACTGGCTGAACTAATCCACATTCCCACAGGCCGTGTAAAAGTGTTCCTTTTTCTCTACAACCTTGCCAGTATCTGTTATTTTTTGACTTTTTAATAATAGCCATTCTGACTGGTGTGGGATGGTATCTCATTGTGGTTTTCATTTATATTTCTCTAATGATTAGTGATGCTGAGTATTTTTTCATATGCTTGTTGGCTGCTTTTATGTCTTCTTTTGAGAAGTGTCTGTTCATGGTCCTTTGCCCATTTCTTTAATGGGTGAACCACATATTCTTTATCCATTCATCTGTTGATGGACATTTAGGGTGCTTCCAAATCTTGGCTATTGTGAATAATGCCGCAATAGACAAAAGAGTGCAGATATCATCACTTTGATATATTAATTTCCTTTCTTTTGTATATAGTGAGATTGCTGGGTCATATGGTAGCTCCATTTTTAGTGTTTTGAGGAACCACCAAACTGTTCTCCATAGTAGTTGTACTAACTTACATTCCCACAAACGGTGTATGAGGGTTCCCTTTTCTCCACATCCTTGGATGCCTATCTTTTGGATATAAGTCATTTTAACTGGAGTGAGATGATATCTCATTGTAGTTTTGATTTGCACTTCTCTGATGATCAGTGATGTGGAGGACCTTCTCATATGCCTGTTTGCTATTTGTGTATGTTTTCTTTTGAGAAATATCTGTTCAGATCTTTTGCCCATTTTTTTGATTGGATGATTATGTTTTTTCCTATAGAATTGTTTGAGCTCCTTGCATATTCTGGTTATTAATCCCTTGTCATATGGGTGTTTTGCAAATATTTTCTCCCATTCTGTGAGTGGTCTCATCACTTTGTTGATTGTATCCTTTGCTGTGCAGAAGCTTTTTAACTTGATGTGATCCCATTTCTCCAGTTTTCTTTTGGTTGCCTGTGCTTGTGGGGTATTACTCAGTACATTTTTGCTGAGACTGATGTCCTGGAGATTTTTCCCCAAAGTTTTCTTGTAGTAGTTTTATGATCTGAGGTCTTAGATTTAAGTATTTAATCCATTTTGATTTTATTTTTGTATATGGTGAGAGATAGGGGTCTAGTTTCATTCTTCTGCATATGGATATCCAATTTTCCCAGCACCATTTATTGAAGAGACTATCTTTTCCCCAGTGTATGTTCTTGGCACCTTTGTTGAAAATGAGTTCACTGTAGGTTTGTGTATTTGTTTCTGGGTTCTGTATTCTGTTCCATTGGTCTGTGTGTGTTTTTATGCCAGTGCCATGCTGTTTTGGTTACTATAGCTCTGTAATATGATTTGAAGTCAGGTAATGTGATTCTTCCAGTTTTATTCTTTTTGCTTAGGATAGCCTTGGCTATTCTGAGCCTCCCATGATTCTATGTACACTTTAGGATTGTTTTATCTATTTCTGTGAATAATATCTGGTATTTTGATAGAGATTGCATTGAATCTGTAGATTGCTTTGGGTAGTATGGACATTTTAATAATATTGATTCTTCCAATTCATGAACATGGAATCTCTTCCAATTTCTTGCTGTCCACTTCAATTTCTTTAATCAATGTTTGATAGTTTTCATTATAGAGGTCTTCCACTTCTTTGGTTATTTCCTAGGTATTTAATTTTATTTGTGGCTATTGTAGATGGGATTAATTTCTTGATTTCTTTTTCAGATTGTTTATTGTTGGCATATGGAAATGCTACTGATTTTTGTATGTTGATTTTGTGTCCTGCAACTTTACTGAATTTGTTTATGTGTTCTAATAGGTTTTTTCTGTGGAGTCTTTAGGTTTTTCCAAATACAAGATCATATTATCTGAAAACAAGGATAATTTGACCTCTTTTAATCCAATTTGGATGCACTTTATTTCTTTCTCTGGTCCAATTGCTCCGGCTAGCACTTCCAGTACTGTGTTGAGTAACAGTGGAGAAAGTGGGCATTCTTGTTGTGTTCCAGATCTTAGAGGAAAGGCTTTCCATTTTTCCTCATTTACTGTGATACTAACTGTGAGTCTGTCATATATGGCTTTTATAATTTGAGGTATGTTCCTTCTATACCCAGTTTTTGAGGATTTTTATCATGAAGGGATGTTGAATTTTATCAAATGCTTTTTCAGTGTCAATTGAAATGATCTAATAATTTCTGTCCTTCATTCTGTTGTGATGTATTACATTGATTGATTTACGTATATTGAACCATTCTTACATTCCTGGGATAAATCCCACTTGGTCATGATGACTGATCTTTTTAATGTATTGTTGAATTTGTTTTGCTAGTATTTTGTTGAGGATTTTTGTATTAATAATCATCAGAGATATTGGCCTATAGTTTTCTTTTTTTGATTTATCTTTCTCTGGTTTTGGTAACAGAGAAATATGGTCCTCGAAGAGTGAGTTTGGAAGTATTTCCTCCTCCTCTATTTTTTGGAATAGTTTGAGTAGGACTGGTATTAGTTCTTGAAATGTTCAGTAGAATTCAGCAGTAAAACCATCGGGTCCTGGGCTTTTCTTTACTGGGAGACTTTTTATTATGGCTTCAATCTTGTTACTTGTTATTGATCTGTTTGGGTTTTAGATTTCTCCTTGGCTCAATCTTGGAATGTTATATGTGTTTAGGAATTTGTCCATTTCTTCTAGGTTTTCCCATTTATTGGCCTACAGTTACTCTTACTATCCACTAATGATCCTTTGGGTTTCTGCAGTATCAGTTGTAATGTCTCCTCTTTCATCTCTGATTTTATTTATTTTTAATCCCTATTTTTTTCTTAGCTAGTCTGGCTAAAGGTTTGTCAATTTTGTTTATCTTTTAAAAAAAATGACCTTTCATTTTTATTGATCTTTTGTATTGTTTTCTTCATTTCAAATTAACTTATTCCCGCTCTGATCTTTATTATTTATTTTCTTCTACTAATTTTGGGTTCAGTTTGCTCTTGCTTTTCTAGTTCTTAACATTAGATTATTTATTTGAAGTTTTCCTTCTTTTTTTGATGTAGGCTTTTATAGCTATAAACTGCTCTCTTACTACTACTTTCATTGTATCCCATAGGTTTTGGTATGTTATGTTTCCATTATCATTTGTTTCAAGAATTTTTACAATTTCTTTCTTGATTTTTTCATTGACCCGCTGGTAATTCAGAGTATATTGTTTAATTTCCATGTGTTTGCATAGTTTCTAAAATTCTTCTTATTAATTTCTAGTTTTATTCTGCTGTGGTCAGAGAAGATGGTTGATGTTATTTCAATTTTTCTGAATGCTTTAAGACACCCGATCTTGGAAGACCATCATTAAAAGTCTTACTTTTGCTGTTCTCTGGGTCTCTGAGTCCATTCTTTGGGTTTGGACGGGTGAGTTTGTTTCTCACATAGAGTCAAAAACTTTAGAAATCTACCTGGTGTTCTATTGTACTGTGGCTGAGCTGGCACTCAAACCACAACACACAGTCCTTGCCACTCTTCCCTCCCCTTTCCAAAGGCAGAGGAGCCTCACCCCATGGCCACTGCCACCACAGGTCCCCAGGGAGTACTGCCAGACTACTGCCAATGTTCCCTTAAGGCCCAAGGGCTCTTGAGTCAGCCTATCATGAATGCTGCCTGGCCTGGGACTCACCATTCAGGGAAATAGTCTCCCCTCTGGCCCATGGCACGTCCAGAAATGCCATCTAAGAACCAAGTTTTGGAATTGGGCACCCCAAGAGCTTGCTTGGTGCTCCACCCCCTGTGGCTGTGCTGGTACCTAAGGTGCAAGACAAAGTCCCCTTTACTTTTACCTGTGCTTTTCTCAAGTGGAAGGAGTTTCACCCCATAGCCACCATAGTTGAAAATATATATGCACAGTCTCACCTGAAGCCAGCAAATCTCAGAGGGTCACCCAAGGCCCTCAACGTAGTTCCTGGGTATTGCTGCTGGTTATTCAGGGCCCAAAGGCCCTTCAGTTAGCAGGTGACAAATCCTTCCATGACTGGGTCCTTCCCTTCAAGGTAGCAGGTTCCCTTCTGGCCCAGGATAAGTCTAGAAATGTCATCTAGGAGCTAGAGCCTGGAAAAAGGGCCTGGCAACTCTGACCAGGGCCCTAAGGCTAGCTGGTATCCAAGAGGCAAAACAAAGTCCTCCCCACTCTTCCTTCTCTCCTCAAGTGGTAGGAAAAGGTCTCTTGTAGAGCTGTGAGCTGTGCATGCAGCCTGGGGTTAGAGGTGAGGTGGTGGCAGCACTCCCTTAACTGCCCTGGCAAGTGTTTCAGTAGGTAGGTCACATGCCCCCTGTTTAATGTCTCTGGGCCCAGTTCAGCATTAGGACTCACATAAAAGTTGCAGTCCTTGTGGCCTGGCCCATCTTTCAAGTTTTTTTAAGGCGCCAAGGGCATTTTAGCCCATGATAGCAAGGTTTGCTGGAACTCAAGTTTCAACCGCTGTGATTGGTAATACGCCTCTGCCTAGAGCTGGTTTAAATGCTCCCTCCCTGGGCAGGAATCAGCTGAATTTGGTCTGGTTTTCCTTTCTGCTCTAACAGGACAGCACTGAGTTCAATGCTTCACAATTGCTGTGCTATCTTTCTGCCAACAACCAGAGATGCTCTCAGCACCACGCTACCACTGCAGAGGTGGGGGGACATGACAATTCAAGACTATTTTTTCTACTTCTGCAGTGCTTCTTTCAGTGATATGAAGTTAAAACCAGGTACTGTGAGTGCTCATCTGATTTTTAGTTCTTATGAAGGTGTTTTTCTTGTGTAGATAGTTTAAAATTGGTGTCCTCGTTGGGGACGATTGGTGGAACCTTCTATTCCACCATCTTGCTTTGTCTCTGCACCTTGATAACATATTTTTCTAAACTTCTTAATAGGGAACTAATCATAGAGCAATATAAATATATATATTTTTTCATGAAAAAAGACAAGGTGTTGGCTAACCTGGATTTTTTAAAATGATGAATAATAGTCACAATTTTGAAGGCCTTTGGATGTTTGCCTCTGCCCCTAACACTTTGAACATATTTTCCAAAAAAAAAGCTTCAAAGAATAAATCCTCATTTCTCCTCACCTCCCTAGTCAAATGTCACTTTCCATTTTGCAATGTTAAAGACAGCTCAAGGAGAAGACAGTTATAAGTAAATAAATGTCTTTTCCCATTTCTGTAGCCTTTGATGATGCCACAGAGCCTTTACATTAATTTGAGTTACCAATCCTAGATCTCAACATCTCATTATAACACTGTAAACCAGATTTTTAGATAAATGTTGCCCTAAAGGAATGCCTTTTGTGAAAAAGAAAATAAAAGAGGAACTTCTGTAAGAAATGGAAACAATCAATTTTGATTATGTGTCTGGTGGAGGGGAACAATGGTTCAAAAAATAAAAAATCATTCTATATGGCTTTGGAATTTGTCACTGTATGGGCCTTTAATATTCATGTATTTAGGCTGGGTGCGGTGGGTCATGCCTGTAATCCCAGCATTTTGGGAGGCCGAGGTGGGCGGATCATGAGGTCAAGAGATCGAGACCATCCTGGCCAACATGGTGAAACTCCATCTCTACTAAAAATACAAAAATTAGCTGGGCGTGGTGGCACACACCTGTAGTCCCAGCTACTTGGGAGACTGAGGCAGGAGAATCGCTTGAACCCAAGAGGCGGAGGCTGCAGTGAGCTGAGATCATGCCACTGCACTCCAGCCTGGCGACAGAGCGAGACTCCGTCAAAATAATAATAATAATAATAACAATAATAAATTTTCTGTGTTGGGATGTTTTGGTATCTTAAAATAGCAAATGAGGCCCTGCAAGTGGATTTCCTGACTGAGGAGTAGTCCAGGAGTTGTCTGGGTTTCCTAAACTCATTTATTGTTCTTTCTACAATTCCCAGCCCTATGCTGGGGATGGATGGCCTTGCTATCCAGATCGCTGCACAGTCTGTCTTGGCTGGGCTGCCTATGTCTAGCTTTCCTTAAGACAGCTTTTGCTCCCATTTAGAGTGGCAGGGATAGTTGTTTTGGATTAAATATCAACTTCCAATGTTCTCTGGGCTATAAAGAGATGGTTAAAGTGCTGATAAAGGATGAAAGTGAAGAGAACAGGCAACCAAGAATAAGAACTGTGACAGATATGTCTGCAAATGATTAAGCATTGACTTGGGGGTAATGTTTTACAGTTTAGTCACACAGGTCATGTGCCCAAGGAACTACTCATATATAAATGAAGACTACCATGTAAATGCTAATCTAATTTTGAAAACCCAGAGAGAAAAGGACATTTTTGAGCTGGAAAGGATCTTCATCTGGTCCAAGAAACTAAAGATCAAGGAGATTACATTAATGTCCCAGCCCATTACAATCTCAGTATTCGGGACTAAAAATTAGTACCCATCAATGTATTTACTGGCTCTGAGACTTAGTTAAATCGGCTGGAAAATAATGCTAAGGAAAACATGCTCCTAGGCAGTTTTTAAGCCACAAGCTATATCCCTAGTGTGAAAGCTCACCATCAGTGCAAGAGACTCATTTATACCAAGGGGCTTTGGTATTAAATGAGAACGTGGGGCTGGATCACTATAGCTCCATCTCTGGACAAACTCCTACATAGTAAAAGTGAAATAGGAAGAGTGATATCTAAAGAGCTTGCAGTCTAATGTTTGTTGATAAATGTTGCTAAGTAAAAACAATACTACTGTGGAGTCTTAAGTTTGAGGATATAAATGACCAGTAGAGCTGGTTGAGCTGATGCTCTAACTGACCCTTGTGCACCTATATAGCACAATGATAATGCATATCCATAAAAAAAGAACTATGGGAATTGTAAAAGATTGCATTTCTTCTGAGTTGATAAATGAGGACTATAATTCCAGTCACTCTGGTTTGCTGTCAAGGGTATTTCCCTGTTCTCTTTCTTCAAGAAATGGCAGTTCACTCTGACTGGCTAATAAAAGCTAGCTTGACACATTTACACTGAGCCACAGGGCTGATGGGGTAAGTGCCAGGAAAGCAGAGGATTGTATTGGATGAATCAAGAGCATCCAATTCTACTGAGCTGAGCAGGAGCAAATTGACCATATTTGACAAATGCATTCAGTAGACCTACCTGAGGAAGAAAGTCACAGGAGGACAGCAAGGTCTCACTAGCCACTCGCTTCTTTTCAACACTGCCTTATGCATTTACTTCTAACAGTTTCACATTCAGTCATCCTGTCTTATCCAATAAGTTTGTCCTTCTTCCTCCTTTCTGCAGCAGAGGAGTCTAAGTGACTCCTCCCACTTATTGATGCTCTTCTCAGTGCTTCTATGCTGTGTCCAGTTCTAGCTAAACACTCCATCTGCATTTTCTCAGTAGGCTGAGTTTTTATAGAAATAACTCCTAGGTGTTCTGCAGCAATGTCTGGATCAATATTGATTGGTAGTTTCCTACAGTAAAGAATCATTTTAATTGGGTGTTTCTCTTCAGTTAAATCCTAATCTAACTTTTTTTTTTTTTCTGTAGCTCAGGCTGTATTTTAACAGCATGCTCCCACACCTTTTCTTTCTTTCTTTCTTTCTTTTTCTTTCTTTCTTTCTTCCTTCCTTCCATCCTTCCTTCCTTCCTTCCTTCCTTCCTTTCTTTCTTTCTTTTTTGAGATGGAGTCTCGCTCTGTCTCCCAGGCTGGAGTGCAGTGGCGCAATCTCGGCTCACTGCAAGCTCCACCTCCCGGGTTCACGCCATTCTCCTGCCTCAGCCTCCCGAGTAGCTGGGACTACAGGCACCCGCCACCACGCCTGGCTAATTTTTTGAATTTTTAGTAGAGACGGGGTTTCACCATGTTAGCCAGGATGGTCTCGATCTCCTGACCTCATGATCCACCCACCGCGGCCTCCCAAAGTGCTGGGATTACAGGCGTGAGCCACCGCACCCGACCCTCACACACCTTTTCAACACTTCGACCAATGTCCATATCACCAAAGAGATCAGTACATGAATCTTTTGAGTGAATTGCTTCTACTGGACAATTTAAAACTTTACTAATAATCAAAGAAGACACCTTATAAGGGAAGAAGTTGTTTGTACGTTTAATATTATAATAAAGTTGTTCCTGTGTTCCAAATTGTTGTAGTACATGATTATAAGCAGAATCAATAACCTGAGAAATAATTTCTGTACTTTCTGGACTTGAAAAACCATTCTTCAGGATTAGCAGCTATAACACTAATGTTTTCTCTGGAAATTTCAGATGTCATGGATTTTCTTAATTGAGATGCGATTTTATTTAACTCAGGCTTTGATAAGTTTTAGCATCTTTGCTTGAGGCCCTTGGCAACTTAATTAGTCTAGCCAAGAACAAGGCCAATATTTTATCGAAAATCATGGCATTAAACACAGCATCTTTTCTGGGTGAAGTCTTTTTCTTTGACTTAAGGACATCAATAATCTTAACCATGTTTTCCAGAATTTTGACAGTTTCCATAACTAATTCTGAATTTGATGCTTCTTCCTCCACTTGAGGGTAAAATTGAGTTTCCTTTACCATTCAAAATTGAGAATTTTTTTTTTTGAGACCAGAGTCTTGCTCTGTCACCCAGGCTGGAGTGCAGTGGCACTATCTTGGCTCACTGCAACCTCTACCACCTGGGTTCAAGTGATTCTCTTGCCTCGGTCTCCTGGGTAGCTGGGACTACAGGCGTGTGCCACCATGCACACCTAATTTTTGTATCTGTAGTAGAGATGGGGTTTCATCATATTGGCCAGGCTGGTTTTGAACTCCTGGCCTCAAGCAATCCACCCACCTTGGCCTCCCAAAGTGCTGGGATTACAGGTGTGAGCCACCGCACCCAGCAAGGACATTGTTCTTACGCATTAAATCTTTCTACACTGAAATATTACCCAGAGTGCTTTAAAACACTGTTATAAGCAGAATAACTACTTTTTCAATAGTTGCACTGTCTGCTAAAGACAGGGTGAGTGACTCTTTGCCCTGTGGTACGACTTTAATCTGACTTTTAGACATATATTTTTGAAGTAAATGTACGATTTTTAAGGTTAGTTTTTGCATTTCAGCATTTAGAGACTTGTTTTGTTTTTTATCAATTTTGGAAACATAGATAAAAGCGTTGGTAAAAAAAGTATAGCAATATCTTCTATTATGTTAAAAGGCAGTTTGTAAGCACGTGATGGCTGACTATGGGGGACCCCCGTGGTTTAGACATGTTTAAGCATATTTTCAACAACACTGTCAACTTCTGTACACTTATATGAAGTTAGCTCTCCAGAAAAATAGGTCAGCAGCTGATTGCCAGCCACTTCCTGTACAACTAAACTGATTTCTGAAAGTATTCTGCAGCCACTGGTGACAAAATTTTTTATGCTTTCATGAAATCCAAATTGTCGCTGATTATTTTAAATAGTCTGAACCACTAAATGAATAATTTCATCATCATTAGGATGTAAGGATTGTACATCCTGTATAATCAATCATATATTCATCTTTGGAGACCACTGTCATAATTGAATTTACTTCATTTGAAGGTAATCCAGTTCTGTATACAAATTATCTTCAGATATTTCTGTTGCAGTGTTGGCTACTGTCGAGAATTTTATTATTATTATTATTATTATACTGTAAGTTTTAGGGTACATGTGCACAAGGTGCAGGTTTGTTACATATGTATACATGTGCCGTGTTGGTGTGCTGCACCCATTAACTCGTCATTTAGCATTAGGTATATCTCCTAATGCTATCCCTCCCCCATCCCCCCACCCCACAACAGTCCCCAGAGTGTGATGTTCCCCTTCCTGTGTCCATGTATTCTCATTGTTCAATTCCCACCTATGAGTGAGAACATGCAGTATTTGGTTTTTTGTCCTTGTGATAGTTTGCTGAGAATGATGGTTTCCAGCTTCATCCATGTCCCTACAAAGGACATGAACTCACCATTTTTAATGGCTGCATAGTATTCCATGGTGTATATGTGCCACATTTTCTTAATCCAGTCTATCATTGTTGGACATTTGGGTTGGTTCCAAGTCTTTGCTATTGTGAATAGTGCTGCAATAAACATACGTGTGCATGTGTCTTTATAGCAGCGTGATTTATAATCCTTTGGGTATATACCCAGTAATGGGATGGCTGGGTCAAATGGTATTTCTAGTTCTAGATCCCTGAGGCATCGCCACACTGACTTCCACAATGGTTGAACTAGTTTACAGTCCCACCAACAGTGTAAAAGTGTTCCTATTTCTCCACATCCTCTCCAGCACCTGTTGTTTCCTGACTTTTTAATGATCGCCATTCTAACTGGCGTGAGATGGTATCTCATTGTGGTTTTGATTTGCATTTCTCTGATGGCCAGTGATAATGAGCACTTTTTCATGTGTTTTTTCATTGTGTAACTGTCTTCTTTTGAGAAGTGTCTGTTCATATCCTTCACCCACTTTTTGATGGGGTTGTTTTTTTCTTGTAAATTTGTTTGAGTTCATTGTAGATTCTGGATATTAGCCCTTTGTCAGAGGAGTAAGTTGCAAAAATTTTCTCCCATTCTGTAGGTTGCCTGTTCACTCCGATGGTGGTTTCTTTTGCTGTGCAGAAGCTCTTTAGTTAAATTAGATCCCATTTGTCAATTTTGGCTTTTGTTGCCATTGCTTTTGGTGTTTTAGACATGAAGTCCTTGCCCATGCCTATGTCCTGAATGGTAATGCCTAGGTTTTCTTCTAGGGTTTTTATGGTTTTAGGTCTAACATGTAAGTGTTTAATCCATCATGAATTAATTTTTGTATAAGGTGTAAGGGAGGGATCCAGTTTCAGCTTTCTACATATGGCTAGCCAGTTTTCCCAGCACCACTTATTAAATAGGGAATCCTTTCCCTATTGCTTGTTTTTCTCAGGTTTGTCAAAGATCAGATAGTTGTAGATATGCAGCATTATTTCTGAGGGCTCTATTGTGTTCCATTGGTTTATATGTCTGTTTTGGTACCAGTACCATGCTGTTTTGGTTACTGCAGCCTTGTAATATAGTTTGGAGTCAGGTAGTGTGATGCTGCCAGCTTTGTTCTTTTGGCTTAGGATTGACTTGGCAATGCAGGCTCTTTTTTGGTTCCATATGAACTTTAAAGTAGTTTTTTCCAATTCTGTGAAGAAAGTCATTGGTAGCTTGATGGGGATGGCATTGAATCTATAAATTACCTTGGGCAGTATGGCCATTTTCACGATATTGATTCTTCCTACCCATGAGCATGGAATGTTCTTCCATTTGTTTGTATCCTCTTTTATTTCATTGAGCAGTGGTTTGTAGTTCTCCTTGAAGAGGTCCTTCACATCCCTTGTGAGTTGGATTCTTAGGTATTTTATTCTCTTTGAAGCAATTGTGAATGGGAATTCACTCATGATTTGGCTCTCTGTTTGTCTGTTATTGGTGTATAAGAATGCTTGTGATTTTTGCACATTGATTTTGTATCCTGAAACTTTGCTGAAGTTGCTCATCAGCTTAAGGAGATTTTGGGCTGAGACGATGGGTTTTTCTAGATATACAATCATGTCATCTGCAAACAGGGACAATTTGACTTC
Source organism: Homo sapiens (assembly GCF_000001405.40). Taxonomy (NCBI): domain Eukaryota; kingdom Metazoa; phylum Chordata; class Mammalia; order Primates; family Hominidae; genus Homo; species Homo sapiens. The sequence continues at coordinate 130,449,472 of NC_000023.11, forward strand.
CTCTTTTCCTAATTGAATGCCCTTTATTTCCTTCTCCTGCGTAATTGCCCTGGCCAGAACTTCCAACACTATGTTGAATAGGAGTGGTGAGAGAGGGCATCCCTGTCTGTGCCAGTTTTCAAAGGGAATGCTTCCAGTTTTTGTCCATTCGGAATAATGTTGGCTGTGGGTTTGTCATAGATAGCTCTTATTATTTTGAGATACGTCCCATCAATACCTAATTTATTGAGAGTTTTTAGCATGAAGGGTTGTTGAATTTTGTCAAAGGCCTTTTCTGCATCTATTGAGATAATCATGTGGTTTTTGTCTTTGGTCCTGTTTATATGCTGGATTACATTTATTGATTTTCGTATGTTGAACCAGCCTTGCATCCCAGGGATGAAGCCCACTTGATCATGGTGGGTAAGCTTTTTGATGTGTTGCTGGATTCGGTTTGCCAGTATTTTATTGAGGATTTTTGCATCAATGTTCATCAAGGATATTGGTCTAAAATTCTCTTTTTTGGTTGTGTCTCTGCCCGGCTTTGGTATCAGAATGATGCTGGCCTCATAAAATGAGTTAGGGAGGATTCCCTCTTTTTCTATTGATTGGAATAGTTTCAGAAGGAATGGTACCAGCTCCTCCTTGTACCTCTGGTAGAATTTGGCTGTGAATCCATCTGGTCTTGGACTTTTTTTGGTTGGTAAGCTATTAATTATTGCCTCAATTTCAGATCCTGTTATTGGTCTATTCAGAGATTCAACTTCTTCCTGGTTTAGTCTTGGGAGAGTGTATGTGTCGAGGAATTTATCCATTTCTTCTAGATTTTCTAGTTTATTTGCATAGAGGTGTTTGTAGTATTCTCTGATGGTAGTTTGTATTTCTGTGGGATAGGTGGTGATATCGCCTTTGTCGTTTTTTATTACATCTATTTGATTCTTCTCTCGTTTCTTCTTTATTAGTCTTGTTAGTGGTCTATCAATTTTGCTGATCTTTTCAAAAAACCAGCTCCTGGATTCATTGATTTTTTGAAGGGTTTTTTGTGTCTCTATTTCCTTCAGTTCTGCTCTGATCTTAGTTATTTCTTGCCTTCTGCTAGCTTTTGAATGTGTTTGCTCTTGCTTTTCTAGTTCTTTTAATTGTGATGTTAGGGTGTCAATTTTAGGTCTTTCCTGCTTTCTCTTGTGGGCATTTAGTGCTATAAATTTCCCTCTACACACTGCTTTGAATGTGTCCCAGAGATTCTGGTATGTTGTGTCTTTGTTCTCATTGATTTCAAAGAACATCTTCATTTCTGCCTTCATTTCGTTATGAACCCAGTAGTCATTCAGGAGCAGGTTGTTCAGTTTCCATGTAGTTGAGCAGTTTTGAGTGAGTTTCTTAATCCTGAGTTCTAGTTTGATTGCACTGTGGTCTGAGAGACACTTTGTTATAATTTCTATTCTTTTACATTTGCTGAGGAGTGTTTTACTTCCAACTATGTGGTCAGTTTTGGAATAGGTGTGGTGTGGTGCTGAAAAGAATGTATATTCTGTTGATTTGGGGTGGAGAGTTCTGTAGATGTCTGTTAGGTCTGCTTGGTGCAGAGCTGAGTTCAATTCCTGGATATCCTTGTTAACTTTCTGTCTCATTGATCTGTCTAATGTTGACAGTGAGGTGTTAAAGTCTCCCATTATTAATGTGTGGGAGTCTAAGTCTCTTTGTAGGTTACTAAGGACTTGCTTTATGAATCTGGGTGCTCCTGTATTGGGTGCATATATATTTAGGATAGTTAGTTCTTCTTGTTGAATTGATCCCTTTACCATTATGTAATGGCCTTCTTTGTCTCTTTTGATCTTTGTTGGTTTAAAGTCTGTTTTATCCGAGACTAGGATTGCAACCCCTGCCTTTTTTTGTTTTCCATTTGCTTGGTAGATCTTCTTCCATCCCTTTATTTTGAGCCTATGTGTGTCTCTGCATGTGAGATGGGTTTCCTGAATACAGCACACTGATGGGTCTTGACTCTTTATCCAATTTGCCAGTCTGTGCCTTTTAATTGGAGCATTTAGCCCATTTACATTTAAGGTTAGTATTGTTATGTGTGAATTTGATCCTGTCATTATGATGTTAGCTGGTTATTTTGCTCGTTAGTTGATGCAGTTTCTTCCTAGCCTTGATGGTCTTTACAATTTGGCATGTTTTTGCAGTGGCTGGTACCGGTTGTTCCTTTCCATGTTTAGTGCTTCCTTCAGGAGCTCTTTTAGGGCAGGCCTGGTGGTGACAAAATCTCTCAGCATTTGCTTCTCTGTAAAGTATTTTATTTCTCCTTCACTTATGAAGCTTAGTTTTGCTGGATATGAAATTCTGGGTTGAAAATTCTTTTCTTTAAGAATGTTGAATATTGGCCCCCACTCTCTTCTGACTTGTAGAGTTTCTGCCAAGAGATCCGCTGTTAGTCTGATGAGCTTCCCTTTGTGGGTAACCCGACCTTTCTCTCTGGCTGCCCTTAACATTTTTTCCTTCATTTCAACTTTGGTGAATCTGACAATTATGTGTCTTGGAGTTGCTCTTCTCGAGGAGTATGTTTGTGGTGTTCTCTGTATTTCCTGAATCTGAATGTTGGCCTGCCTTGGTAGATTGGGGAAGTTCTCCTGGATAATATCCTGCAGAGTGTTTTCCAACTTGGTTCCATTCTCCCCGTCACTTTCAGGTACACCAATCAGACGTAGATTTGGTCTTTTCACATAGTCCCATATTTCTTGGAGGGTTTGTTCATTTCTTTTTATTCTTTTTTCTCTAAACTTCTCTTCACGCTTCATTTCATTCGTTTCGTCTTCCATCGCTGATACCCTTTCTTCCAGTTGATCACATCGGTTACTGAGGCTTGTGCATTCGTCATGTAGTTCTTGTGCCTTGGTTTTCAGCTCCATCAGGTCCTTTAAGGACTTCTCTGCATTGGTTATTCTAGTTATCCATTCATCTAATTTTTTTTCAAAGTTTTTAACTTCTTTGCCATTGGTTTGATCTTCCTCCTTTAGCTCGGAGTAGTTTGATCTTCTGAAGACTTCCTCTCTCAGCTCGTCAAAGTCATTCTCCATCCAGCTTTGTTCCGTTGCTGGTGAGAAGCTGTGTTCCTTTGGAGGAGGAGAGGCGCTCTGATTTTTAGAGTTTCTGGTTTTTCTGCTGTTTTTCCCCCATCTTTGTGGTTTTATTTACCTTTGGTCTTTGATGATGGTGACGTACAGATGGGGTTTTGGTGTGGGTGTCCTTTCTGTTTGTTAGTTTTCTTTCTAACAGTCAGGACCCTCAGCTGCAGGTCTGTTGGAGTTTACTGGAGGTCCACTCGAGACCCTGTTTGCCTGGGTATCAGCAGCAGTGGCTGCAGAACAGCGGATATTGGTGAACTGCAAATTCTGCTGCCTGATTGTTCCTCTGGAAGTTTTGTCTCAGAGGAGTACCTGGTCGTGTGAGGTGTCAGTCTGCCCCTACTGGGGGGTGCCTCCCAGTTAGGCTACTCGGGAGTCAGGGACCCACTTGAGGAGGCAGTCTGCCCATTCTCAGATCTCAAGCTGCGTGCTGGGAGAACCACTACTCTCTTCAAAGCTGTCAGACAGGGACATTTAAGACTGCAGAGGTTATTGCTGTCTTTTGTTTGTCTGTGCCCTGCCCCCAGAGGTGGAGCCTACAGAGGCAGGCAGGCCTCCTTGAGCTGTGGTGGGCTCCACCCAGTTCGAGCTTCCCTACCACTTTGTTTGCCTACTCAAGCCTGAGCAATGGTGGGCACCCCTCCCCCAGCCTCGCTGCCACCTTGCAGCTTGATCTCAGACTGCTGTGCTACCAATGAGCGAGGCTCCGTGGACGTAGGACCCTCTGAGCCATGTGCGGGATATAATCTCCTGGTGTGCCATTTGTTAAGCCCGTTGGAAGAGCACAGTATTAGGGTGGGAGTGACCTGATTTTCCAGGTGCCGTCTGTCACCCCTTTCTTTGAGTAGGAAAGGGAATTCCCTGACCCCTTGTGTTTCCCGGGTGAGGCGATGCCTCGCCCTGCTTTGGCTCACGCACGGTGCACTGCACCCACTGTCCTGCACCCACTTTCCGGCACTCCCCAGTGAGATGAACCTGGTACCTCAGTTGGAAATGCAGAAATCACCCGTCTTCTGTGTCGCTCATGCTGGGAGCTGTAGACTGGAGCTGTTCCTATTCGGCCATCTTGGCTCCACCCACCGAGAAAATTTTTGATAGAAGAGAAGAAATTATACTCTAAAAATTCACAAGGCAGCATTGTAGTATATGGCCATGATGCCTGACATTTTTTGCAGGCTGTTTGGGGCACCTTTTCGACCTTTTAAATGAACTCCCAAGATTCTAGAGGCAAACATACTGAAGCTGGAACCTCACCACAAAGTAACAAGGTTAGCTGATGCTGAAAAACTTCTCCTATTACTGCATTAACTAGCCTTGTGCTAAATTTTCACTGTTACTGTTATGTCCTTACAAATGGAGTCTTGCCATCTATATTCCTGCAAAATATTGCATACAGATGAGCAAAAAATCATATTGATCAACATTTTATCAATTGATTGTGTGTTAGCCATTAAAAGTACCTCATCTGAAGGAGGTGTTTTAGTTGCAGGTGGCATTCTATGCATGGATGGTATTTTGTCTATAATTATCATTTTTTATCTTGGATGGTGCTTTATCCACAGATAGTTCTTTCTGCCTGAGAGGTACTTTATGAACTGATGTAACTTTATCTGCAGGTGGGAAGGGCTGATTTCCCTGATCTGGGTTTAACACTTTAATTTGAGCATCTGAAAACTCCTTTAACACGGAATCAATCGGTTTCATAGCTGCCTCATAGATCTCATCTTGATTTATGTCACTGGTTACATTTCAACATGCATCATCTGTGTCTGGTGAGGAAGAAAAATCAATTTGTTAATTATTTCAGAGATAACTTCTTCTAAGAAATTGGCTGACAAAATCCCAGGGTTATTTTCTGGTGGGTTTTGAGAACTGTCTGGTTTACTAGGTTTACTTTTAATCTCTTTATCTTTACTTTTCTCATTCTCTTCCTCAGTTGCAGGAACATTTTGGTTAGCTCAATTTGTTGAAGCAGGCTGCGCAGAATCCTTACCATCCACCTGAGTTACATCTGCTGCATTATCTTCTAGGGTCTTTGGGATTTTGAATCACCTATTTGTCCTTAAAAAGAAGATATTTCTAAATATTGCTGTAAATGCTTTCAGTGACATTTTGGACATGTTCAGAATGTGAGATTTGTTTATCATCTGTAACTCTTTAAGCTGGAGAATCTCTCTTCTTCTCTTGGATCTATTTTTCACCTTGATTTTCAGAGATGGTAGTTTAAGAGGTATGTTCCCTTTTTCTAATGAACTTTCTCTTTTTTATCACTCTTCCTTTTTATCATCTATTTTAATATCTAGTTCCAGTCCAACGTTCTTGTGTTTTGTGTCATTGGTACTCGGTGAAAAATGCTGGTATACCTTCTCATCTAGACCTTTTTCTAGCTGAATTGTCTTTCTTCTTGATTTCATCCTTTGTAAGTGCTATATTCAAATCTGGAAAAGTTGTTGAAATAACTTTTGATACATTTCCACTATCTTCTCTAATTGAACTTCCCCCTTTCTTTTCCTCCTCTTTCTTTTTATCCACCACACCTCCAGCTAACCCTAATGCTAGGGTACTTTGCCGTTCATAATGCTAGTTATATCGGTACATATTGGCTCATGAATGGTGCCTTTTTTCATTGATGTCTCCTTCTTTTTGAAACCTTCCTTTTAATTAAATACTCATCTACCTATTTCCAAAGTGTCCTTTTTGTTTTTCAGGCCTGATGTAGATGACTGAACAAATTGGATTCCTGATATGGTTTGGATATGTGTCCCTGCCCAAATTTCATATCGAATTGTAATCCCCAGTGTTGGAGATGGGGCCCGGTGGGAGGTGATTGGATCATAGGGGCGGAGTTCTCATGATTGGTTTAGCACCATCCCTTTGGTGCTCTTCTCGTGATAGAGTTCTTGTGAGATCTGGTTGTTTAAAAGTGTGTAGCACCCCCCTCCCCCTGCCCCCTTTGCTCCTGCTCCTGCCATATAAGATGCCTGCTCCTGCTTTGCCTTCCGCCTGAAGGAATGAATAAAAGCTCCCTGAGGCCTCCCCAGAAGCATATGCTGGCACAATGCTGCCTGCACGGCCTGCAGAACCATGGGCCAATTAAATCTCTTTTCTTTATAAATTACCCAGTCTCACATACTTCTTTATAACAGTGTGAGAATGAACTAATACAGTTCCCCTTTAAACTTCCATTTATCTTTTTAAAGGTTTTAAATGGCAGGTGTTGAATTCTTTGGATAATGTTATCCACATCTAGAAATGAAAAGAAGGTGGAAGACCAGTCTCCTGAAAAAAGCAGTTGAATTTTGAAAGCAGAGATCACCTTTTTGGCTAAAGTAGCAATAAACTCTATAACAATGTTACTTCTGTCATTTCCCCCAATATTGTTAGATCCATATATTTCTACGACTTCATCATACACGGAATCAGATACTTTATCAACTGTCTGTTTATCCATTGGTGGAAAAGAAAACATTTCTTCAGCATTTATTAGAATTTTAATTTCACTTTTCCTAAATTATCCCAATCGGGTCATTTGTAAAATTTATAGCATTTCCATGAGGTTTTATTCCAATATTTCTTTGTCCTTAGGATTTTCAGCAATACTTTGGAGAGTATAAAACTTGCAAACAAGGTCAATTATAACGTCGTCCAGAAATGTAGCAGAATACACAGAAGACTGTGGTAGGGACAGTGCTTTTTCATTAGCAGGATTCAAGAATTCAATGACATGGTCATTTTCAGGTGAGTCACTGGAAGATGCTTCTTCATCACATAAAAATGTCTGCACATGGTGATCTATAATTTCCTTCATAATAAAACCAGCTATTCTCCCAAGGAACGAGCCTTCCTTTTTGCATGTATTGTTCTGTGCTTCAGCTTGGAATTTAATTTTTTTCATAATATTGTTAAGTATGGAATCAACGAAGTTCTCAATTGCCCCCAGTTGCATGCTTTCTGTGTGCTCCTCTGCAGGGACAAATCTAATCTCACGTTCAGAAATTTCTAATTTCACCAGTCAGTTCTGAAACTGCATCAACAAACTCATAATTTGGCAGCACCTCTCCCTCTTTTAGTCCAGTTTCAGTCTCAGATAAAGGGAATATACATGCTGGAAGCACATAAATCATGTCTTCTAAAAGAGAATGAAGCAAAACAGAGATGCATGAAGGCAAGAGATGGCTATCATCATTGATGATGTTGAGTACATTTCTGATGATAGTCTCATCTTGGAGAGTGGAGTAAGAAGACATTAATAATTTTCCTGAAACTAATGACTCTACCTGATAATCATAAATTTCTTCTTATAGCAAACAATATATTTTTCATCCAAAACCAATGACATCATTTTGTATAGCCCTATATATATGAATCTGAGACATAATCATTTAATATTTTTCAAAAATTAGGTTGATGACTTTTTTGGACTATTTCTTTATATTCTTCTGAAAAATACAGATTTTTGTCCTACTTATCTGCAAGTAAAATTCGTGATGTGGTGAACTCCAGCATAGTTGATTTTACTAATGTTGTAACAATATCAGTAATGTTGGCTTTTGCTTTATGTGGATTTTGGCCACATAAAGATATTATGTGAGAATACATAAAAGATTTTGCATAAAAGCCCAGAAATTACTTCCTCCAAAAAGATAGCTGAATTCACGATGAAGGACAATTCTCTTTGTTTAGGATCTCTTGCTCTTTGATTATGAGTTTGATCAACAGTATGAAGAAAAAGTTTTATCTCCAGATAAAAATGACTGAATATGATGGTTAAATATTTCTTTTATTATATAACTTGCTATTTTTGTAATAGGTATATTACTTATGCCAGATAAAAATGACTGAATATGATGGTTAAATATTTCTTTTATTATATAACTTGTTATTTTTGTAACAGGTATATTATGTGTTTTTACCTTTTGTAAGAGACTCGTATAGATTTGAATGAGAAATATCACTATAAATGGCATCAACCATAGCCTGAACATCATTTTCTGAAATCACATTTTGTTTTTCATTTCCATATTTAATAATGCATATTGCATGTTTAGAAATTATTGACATGATTTCATCAATCAATCTCATGACTTACTGAAGTCTCATCATGAAAGTTCTGGGTCTTCTGTACTGAAGTCCAATAAACTTATCTGAGATAAAACTTGAGTGACTATTTTTTCTGAACGTGTCATGATAATACGGTGGTATATATTGTACACGTCTATCTTCAGAGTATTTATTTACTAATATCATAATGAATTCTCTTTACCAAATCATCAGCATTGAGTTTTGAATATGATTTTTTTTTAAGACAGGGTCTTCTGTCGCCCTGGCTGGAGTGCAATGGTGCCTTCTCGACTCACCACAGCCTCTGCCTCCTGGACTCAAGCAATCCTCCCACCTCAGCCTCCCAGACTAGCTGGGACCACAGATGTGCACCGCCATGTCTGGCTAATTTTTGTATTTGTAGTAGAGACAGGTTTTTCGCCATGTTGCCGAGGCTGATCTCGAACTCCTGGCCTCAAGCAATCCACCCGCCTTGGCCTCCCAAAGTGCTAGGATCGCAGGCGTGAGCCACGGCACCCAGCCTTGAATATTATTTAAAAGGCAGCTTTGGTATGACATCTGGATGAATTTGGAAATCAGAAACTTCAGCCAGGATAATTTTAGCTACCCTCTCAGCCAATGTCTTTGTGTCATTGAGAAAATCTTTATCAGGTAGTTGTTCCTGTTCATATCCTTGTAAAACTTTGTTATTTACCACATCAGAAATTTTGACAATTACATATCTACTGGGGGAAAACACAATTGTCCCTTAGTATTTTCTAGGATGCTAACTTGGACTTTTGAAAATTCTTCTGTTGTCAAATATATTATTACTTCAGCTGTCTCCAAAAGTTCTTTTTTCTGAATCTCTTACTGATTTTGTTTGTGCAATGCTTAACACTCTATGGAATATTTTGCTTAAAACTCCAGAGATCATGTCTTCCAAGAAGTCTGAGAAGTAAACACCAGTAGAAAAACTGTGGCCTTCTTGCATCATCAAAATATGTATATTATGAAGGAAGTAACAAATTTCCATATACAAATGGATAAAGATGTTGACAGATATTTCTAATGATAAAATCTGCCATTCTGTCAATAGAAACATTGTTACTGCTTGTGATAGCACGTTCAGCTGCTTCCTGAGACCCAGAGTTTTGCAAAATATTTCTAAATACTGAATTAACGAGATGCTGAGCATCATCCTCTGAATAAACAGAGTTGGTTTTTCTTCATCTTTTGAAACTCTAATTCCATGTTGGAAACTTTTCATCTTAATATCACTAATTAGTTTTGGAGAGATTTCATTGAAATTTATTCCTGATCTGGAGTTTCACTGCATGGAAGCAAGCTAGATGCAGAAGAAAATATTCTGGATAACAGTACTTTGATTGTGTCTTCTAAAAATGTGTATGGCAATAAGGTGTTATACAGAGATAAATGCTGCCTTGACTTCGTAGATTTACTAATGGCACTAAAGATATTCTTAATAATATTTTCTGTTGTTAAAGTGGCATAGGAAGCTGACAAATCCCCAGAAAACAGTTGATGAAAAAGATAAACACAAATAGCTGCCACAATTAAATTGGTAATATCTTCTGCAAAAAATATCACTGTCTTTTTGGTAATATCTTCTGCAAAAATATCACTGTATTTTTGGTAACATCTTCTGCAAAAATATCACTGTCTTTGAGTTCTTTACTATCAACCTCAAGGGCCAGCCCATGCTGTTTCAGAACATTCTTATAAGCTGTATTGACAAGTTCACCCACAGTGTCTGTATCTACAGTGGGAAAGGATTGCTCTTGGTAATCACAAGGGATGCAAATTTTAGCTTTGTTGAAATTGTTATTTATTGAATTTACTATTTTTGGATCATTTTATCCAGTTCATGCTCAGTGTTATAGCTCAGGTTGAAGACCTTTGATAAAAGCCTTACAACAATTTTTCCTACAAATGTATGAGGGTAAAAACCTATAGCCAGTGGTGATGGGGTTTTCTGGGGTCTGTGTGACTCTGTGACTTCACTGAGAACCTCCTTAACCATATTGGATATTTCATCCAATGGAGTCTTTGGACAAGGTAAGCCCTCGCCACACAAAAAGGATTGAATGATTTTCAATAATCTTGACTAATAAGACTGGCTGTCCAGTCAATCATAATTTGGCTTTGGCCTGCTGTAACTTTTCTGTATTGACACAAGAGAGTCAGACATCTGAAAAATATTATCATAAACAGATTCCACTATATTTTGGAGGTCTTTTTCTATACATAGATACTAACGACCATATTTAGTGAGCCAAATCTTATGCTTTGAAAATGGCTAACATAACTTTACTTATTATACAGGTGGATTTCTCATTAAAATCTGAAGTCATTAAATAGTTCCTTCCCAAGCATGAAGTCTTGCTGTATAGAGAAAGAGTGGAGATAATAGCCTCCTGATGACATCTTCTAAAAATGAGTGTGATAACATGGTAATGTAGCATGTTGAATGTTGAACTTGGTAAATAAGTTATTTCAGGTTATTCTGAAGTTTCTGCAGTATATTTTCAGCTTTGAGAGAGTAATATGAATTAGGCATGAGCCTTTCTTCAAAACACAATGGGAGTTGCTAGTCTCAAATCTCTATCAGTATGCCATTAGTTATCTGCTCTGCTACTGGGGTGATAGTGTGTGCCAGATGATTACCACAAGTCACTTGCAATTTATATTCCCGTAAAGCATCGTTATAAACTGAGTCAACAATCTTACGAGCACTTTTTTTTTTTTGAGAACAAGTCTTACTCTGTCACCCTGGCTAGAGTGCAGTGAGTGGCACGATCTCAGCTCACTGCAACCTCCACCTCCCAAGTTCAAACGATTCTCCTGCCTCAGCCTCCCGAGTAGCTGGGACTATAGGCACACACCACCATGCTCAGCCAATTTTTGTATTTTTAGTAGAGATGGGGTTTCACCATGTTGGCCAGGCTGTAGACTAGTTGGAAACATATCCTTTCTTCAACACCCTATAAAACAGTGACTTGAGCATTATTAAACTCATTTACCATGGGGTAAACACCTAATATACTCACCTCATTGAACTGGGCCTCAGTGATATTTATATTTTTTTTTGCCCAAAATGAGGTATAGAGATTAAGAAAAATGCCTACAATTATTTCCTCCAAAAATGTGGCAGAGTAAACTCCTGGGTTCATGCCTTCTAGATGTTGCATGCTATGAATGGCTGCTATATTTATTGCTTTTCTCCTGGTCTTCAAAGAGGAGGTAGACAAGAGGGTTTTCTTGGAAGTTGCTTACCAAATAGGCTTCTATTTGGAACAGATAGCTCAGATACTATCCAGTGCCCCCTTCAAAGGCTTGCTGTCATAACTCATGAAACTTATAGAGCCTTTTCCTTATCTTGATTATTTTAATTCTGGCCTTTTTGCTTTTAGGAAATTAGAAAGTCTCCTTCTTTTCCTATATGCAAAGAATGCAAAGGATGGACATCTTAGAGGTTGCTGTACGTGGTGTGATTGTTTTTCCATTAAGGATTTTACAAAACTATGGGAATAAAACTAATCATATATTCTTGATCGATTCCCTCCAGATTTTCCAAAAGTTCTTGTATTAGGTCATTTTTGCATTGCTGTAAAGAAATACCTGAGGCTGAGTAATTTACAAATAAAAGAGCTTTAGTTGGCTCATGGTTCGGCAGACAGTACAAGAATGGTGTCAGCATCTGCTTCTGGGGAGGGCCTCAGAATGCTTACAATCATGATGGAAGGCAAAGGGGGAAAAGGCACTTACACGGGGAGAGCATGAACAAGAGAGAAGGGGAGGTGCCATACACTTTTAACAGATCTTGTGAGAACTCCTTCACTAACCTGAGGACAATTCTAAGCTATTCATGAGTGATCCTCCCCCATGATCTAAACACCTCCCACCAGGCCCCACCTCCAAAATTGGTTCATTGTTTTCCTGTAATAACCAAATCCTTCTTCCTCTGTATTTTGAAGTACGTTGAACAGTTGACATTCTGCTGACATTTCATCAGAAAGAGGGTTATTTGTAAGAGAGTTGTTTGTTGCGCATTCTCATAAAAGCATTCTAATAAGTTTCTTGCACACAAATTTCAGATGAAAAACTGATTTGGGGGAAAGCCCTAGATTATTTCTAGGTATGCAATGACTTTTCTGATTACTTGGAGATGGGAATATTTTCATTGCTATTTTACCAGAATCCATATCCCAATTTGGCCATTCATCTGGCAAAACCAAATCTAAAACAATATTTACATTTTTATTGACTACTTTAGATTCACAGTTTTTAGGCTACCAACCAGAGTGCCTAAATTACATGCTAGAGAATTTAGTTTATTTTTCTGCATGAGTTTATCAATTTGGGCAGTAGGAGCTGATTTCCAGTCTCTGGAGCCTGCTTGTCTTTTCATAGTTTTGCTTTTGTTGCAATTGGCCAAATTAGGGCTTCTAGGCAAAGAAAATGATTTGTTTCTTCCATTGCCATAAGGCTGATGATTTATTCCTATTTCTTTGTACAGAACATGGATGACTCCTATTAAGAGTTCCCGAAAGAGATCATCAAAGTCACAGTCACAGCCACTCTTGGGCAGTAAATATATTTTGTTTTTACAGAAACCATTTGTTGGGTAATGTCTGCTTTTAAAATGTCACTATTAAACAGGATTCAAATAATGATTTCAGAAATGCTTAAAGCAAGTTCTCTGATAGAAATTGACTGACTCTCCAACACTTTGTAATAAACTAAAATAACCTTGTTAAAAGCTGAATCTTGACTTTCCAGTGCTTTTTGTTTTGACCCACTGTCTTCGGTGCAATCAGACATTCTGGAAATTATATAGGAAATAAACAATTCAGTGAGATGTTCATAGAATCAGATAAGGGAAAAATTGATGTTTATGCTTTGTAGAGGCTGTTTTGATTCATATTTTTTCCTTAACAGTGTGGAAACAATAGATACTTTTTCATTATGAGGACCTTAAAACAGAAAACATTGCTATTTTTTAACATGCATTCAGGAAAAATGTTGATCATTCAAAATACTGACAACATTTTGTATATGAATTTCACCTTGGGTGCACCTCACTCAAGAAATAGGAAAACCTAGTTGAGAAAGGAACTGGGTTTTCTTCATGTCTCTATTTCCTATCTATGGAATCCCACTTCAGCAAGGAAGTTAAGAAGGTAGCCCAGCAGAACTCAAATCTCTAAGTGCCGGTTTCTTCCCTGAATAGCTATGTTGCTTTAAGAAGCTGGAAATCCTAGGGCAGAGAAATAATTTCTAGTTTTAGTGTTGCAGTGCCCTAGTACGATTCTAGTGATCTCTAAAGGCCTCATATAATTCTTGAAAAAATTTTCACCTATTCAGATAATTATACTATTTAGTATATATTAAATTGAACTGAATGAAATTGCTGATGTTCAACAGTTTTTGACATACAAAATGGCTATTTCTTATGGTTCACTCCAATACATGTATGTAAGCATTCATAGAAAGGGAGTGCAAATAGAGTCTTTGTAAGCATGGACTTAAAGTATAACCACATCAAACCAATCTGGTTCAACTTTTATGTATAAAAATGTGAGTTGTTTTTCAGTTATCATGGACCCCCCCACCCCCGGTTGAAGGTCACATAACCTGAGCGTGCCCAGATGAACCACCTGTGCAACCACAGGGGGAACTGAAGTACTTGGACAGAAGAGTGGGGACAGAATTAGAAGTGAACACCACATGGCAGGATCCAGGATCCAACCAGATTGAGCTATGGCATCACCCCATGGCAGGATCCAGTCAGATCACACCTCCCAGCTCCAACACATTGCAAGATCCGATCATATCAGCTTCAACACATTGCAAGATCCGATCATATCGCACCTCATTACCCTATGCTTATAACCCCTCCATCCCCACCCTCAGCCCCCAGCTTGGGGAGACAGATTTGCGCATTTCTTACTACCTCCTTGCCAGTCGACTCAGAATAAAGCTGCTTTTTATTTTTTTCTTAAAAGCCAGGGCCAATGTATTGACCTCTATGTATATTGGGCAACAAGCCCATTTATTACTAGGTAACAAAAGTATTATAGCTAAAAAGAATTTGTCAGACACCAGAACATGAGCAGAACAAGAAATTTAATGCCACTGTTCTTATAAACTGTCAATAATAAAGCTAACAACTTAACTATATACTTCAAAAAGAAATTGAATCATTACTTTGCCATCAATTACCTATACATGAGGTCTGACTATGATGTAAGAAGTCTTGTAAAGAACCTAAAAAACCCTCTTGTAACTTCTTTTTTGAAATTGCCTTTAGAGCAGTTGTATGTACCACACAAGGAAACTGATCTCATCATTTCATATTCACACCTCATACCCAACCTAAATCTTCTGCTTTAAACTATGCCTATTTAGGGCATGTTGGCTCACGCCTGTAATCCTAGCACTTTGGAAGGCCGAGGCAGGTGGATCACCTGAGGTCAGGAGTTTGAGACCAGCCTGACCAATATGGTGAAAACCTGGCTCTACTAAAAATACAAAAATTAGCTAGGAATGGTGGCGGGTGCCTGTAATCCCAGCTACTTGGGAGGCTGAGGCAGGAGAATTGCTTGAACCTGGGAGGCAGAGGTTGCAGTGAGCCGAGATGACACCACTGCACTCCAGCCTGGGCGACAGAGCAAGACTCTGTCTCAAATGTATATATATACCTATTTAATCTTATCTGTGGAAAAGGAAAACTGAACAACATCTCTCCAAATAAAAATTATGTAAATGCAACACATTTTATTCTTTAGGATGCTGACCAGTTGAAACACACAAAACTATTATAGATAAACAGCCACTCCAAATACAAGGCTGTTTTCAGAGAAGCAGAAAATACAGCTTCTTGAGGGGAGGGTAAAAACAAAATTCTTAAAATTATCATTGATTTTTCTTCTAAAGTTTTGCCAACTTTTTATAAATCATCTTTCACTTACCTCTGGTTTCAAAGTTCTTGAAATTTGTGACCGTAGATGTAGTAACATATCTTGCTACTAGATGGATTTTATTTGGTTCCAGTTCCTGTTCCATAAAAGCAACGACTTGAACCTCTTCAAAAGTTGCAATTTTTTTTTCTAACCTCGGGTACCTGTTTTTCCACTTTTTCAATAAAGTGAAATCTCCACTTGCTTCAAGTTTGGGTTTTCTTTTTTTCTGGCTTTATAGGTGATTATTTTTCCAAATATTTTAAGCATGTTTTTTGTTCTTCAGACATCACAGACAAAACCTTTTCCTTTGATACCAAAAAAGTCTTCCTTGTCTCCATACTTTCATTAATGGGTGTGGCTGAACCTGGAAGACCATAACTCAGCAACATAGTATTGATGATATTTTCTGCAGCTAAACATATTTTGAGTGGACGAATGTTTGTCTGTATTTGGTTTGAGTGAAGCACTCTTTGATTTTCACCTCCTTCCATTTCTCTGAAGGACATGGTGTGCTCTAATGCTGATTGTGCAGAGACACCGGATATCTGAGATAGTTTTTGCAAAAGACTGACTTTAGGGAGATGGCTGTTTCTTCTTATAGCTGGATCAAAATGCATGATGTCTTAGACATCACTTCTACAATATGATGGTTTAAGCTCTAATTCAAGCCTTTCCATTGCACCAGTGGTTTTAGTTGTATCTCTTGCAGAATATCTGACATATGAAGGTAGATTTGAGGAAGCCCTGTCTTTTCTTTTCATATCTTCCTCTGAATAAAACACCAAGCCAGTGATTTGTAGAGGATCATCCTTGCTGATAACTCCTTTTAACTTTGAAGTGGGCATTTCTATTTTGTTTGTGAATTCAGCCCAATTAACAGTGTAAGCGTTTTCATTTCCTTGAGGCAGATTTTCCTTTGGATAGTTTTTGATCAATGACTCATAGAAACGAGTACACTGCTCTATAAAAGTTCTGATGATCTGATTTGTTACAGTGTTTTTTTCAAATGCACTAATTGAAGATGGTTACACTTGGCATTTTCCTTTGTCTATCTTGTTCTTAATTATACCAATCATGTAATAGCAGTATTAGTAAGCAATTCTGAATGGAATGAATGAAACTATTGAAGGGCATCCTGTATGTTTTCCTGGGAAATTACGGTATTTGATTTAGATTCATCAGGAAACTTATGCAGTGGTTGTAATTTGGGGAATATTTTTTCATTGATGATTTTTGTTGGACAGCAAAAAGTTTTCAATAGGCATTTTCACAATTTCAGAGAAAGCATCTGTAGTAACATGCTTAAATTGTACGTCTGCAAATGACTCTAAGGTGTTTAGAACTCCCTGGAAGATCTTTTCAGTGATTTGGTGGCTGGAGTGCAAAAAAAAATGTCTTTTAATGTTGTTTTATAGATTGATACATTGGTGATGTTGTTTGTTCTTACCAGAGCTTGTCTTTTGCTTGAGTTTCTTCACTATCTGTTATGAACAGCAAAGTCAAGAAGCATAACTCTAATTTTTCAAACAACATTTCAACAATTTCTTGGCCAACTATGCCAATCTGTGTTTAGAAATCCTCAGCTCTAGTAGAAGCTCTTTTAAAATTATGGTGGGTCGGGCATGGTGGCTCATGCCTGTAATCCTAACACTCTGGGAGGCCAAGGTGGAAAGATCACTTGAGCCCAGGAGTTTCAGACCAGCCTGGACAACACAGTGAGACTCTATCTCTAAAACAAATTTTTAAAAATAAAATAAAATAAGATAAAATAAAATAAAATAAAATAAAATAAAATAAAATAAAATTATGGTATCTGTTTTTACAAGCCTCAAGAGGTAACAAAGTTAAAAGTGAAAGACTGCTCTAATTTTTTTGCTTTTAATAAAATTTCATTCAAAACAGTCTCAGCTACCATCAATAGCTTACATTTTTCACTTCCCTTGTCACTTGATTCTGTTTACCATTTATCAAATATTTGTTGAAAAGTATCTTCTTTAGGAAAAATTTTCTCCAGCTGCAAAGAGACATCCTCCAAAGAAAAACGTGCTTCTGGATTTGCAAGATAGGTTGCACTTAATTTCTTCTGTGAAAGTTTGAGGTTATCTGGATGTGAGCCATTTATTGTGTGAGTCAAATTGTTCTTGCTTACATTTAATCCTTGCAAAACTATATCAACTTCACTTTGCTGTCACAAGTTGATCAGAAGGTAAAGCTTTTACATTTACTATTGTTCTACTTTGTGTCACCATTCGAAATTCATTCACAGTTGTTTCCAGAATATTACGTACTCCATCATTGGCATACATTTTTAGTTCCACAGGGGGAAGTTTTGTTTTCACTAAGGGGTTTTTGGCATCCTCTGTTGACAGCAGGTATTGCAGCCCAATGGCTGTCTAGGACCAGCTGCCTTTTGGAGTCTTCTCTTCAGGACCTACCTTGGTTTTGCTTTTGGCCTTAACACTACTAGGCCCTAGCTGTGTTTTTCTCCCCCCAAATTAGAGCAAATAAATAGCTTTTGATTTTGTTTCAATTTTTAAAATCTAAAACCTGGTCTAGGGCTACCCTTAGGACCAGCTTTAGAATGCATGGCCTCAGAGATCACATTTCATCAGACTGACCTTTAGGGAATGAACTCACTTCTAGATTCAGCAAAGCAAAATTTGTGATCTTTTGGAGAACACTTTGAACCAATTCCCCCACTTGTAATGGAGAAAATTGCAATAATGTGGTTTCCAATGAAGTGATACTTCTAATGCCTGTGAAAGAATAAGTTGGCAGCATCATATGTTCAGGGGGAAGACTTTTTTTCCTGCTTATTTAAATCCCCTAAAGCATGACAAATTCATTGGTAATTCATCACTGCCAGATGCTTCTAATTCTCTCCTGGTCTCATTATTTTCATATAAGGATGTCACAACTATCGAGTACATTTTTCCAAAATTACTTTTGATTGTGTCACTTGCGACACTGCTTATATACAACTGCAAGAAGTGTGGGTGTGTGTGTGTGTGCTGTAGTTTTAATGTTAGAATCAGATGTTTTAATTTTAGAATCAGATGTCAAGTGGGAGGGTTCATTAAAAGGAAGCCAATAGTCTATGTGTTCCATTACCCTTTGATACACCTTCTTTAAAATTTCCTTAACTGCACTTAAGAAAGCAGGTGGTTATTTTTTTTTTCCTGTCTAGATTATCCATTTCTAAGTATTTCCTCTAAAACCCTTCTCAGGTTTTCTCTTCTGATATAATTTGGTTTTGATATGGGTATTTTGATAAGAAAGTTCAGTATTGTCTTCTTTCTTTGACCCAGTAATATTTCATTTTGTACAACCAGTTGTGTGAAGAGACTAGGGTTCTGTTTTGAGTAAAAAGTACTTTCCTTTAAAGATATTTTATCATTCAGACTCTTCAAGATATTGTTTACAGTTTCACTTGCAATGATGTTTTCTTGGAATGAAGTGTTGTTTGATATAAATACATCTTTTGGATTTCTAGTTTCTACGTCATTTTAATAAGCATCAAGACAGTCCTTGCAATGACGTCAGCATATTCCTTAAGACTAGCTTGTAATATATGAGTTGTGGGCCCATGTTTTTCTCTGTAATTATGGATTAAATGTGTAATCCGGGGCCTCTTGACAGAATGTTTTTACCTGTAGATATTTTCAGGCTATTCAAATCTGATGACATTTGGTTTGATTCAAGAAATACGCTGTCATCTTGTTTACAATTTGTTTACAATTTCTGGGCTAACAAATAATTTTTCCCTAGTCTTAAAATCAAGAGTAAGTAGCAAATCTATTCTTTCTGTGGCAAAAGATTTTAACCTATTCAAAACAGCTTTAGTAATAAAGTTAGTTAGCACTTTCTGCACATGGGTCAGGAGCAGATTGTCTGGTGTCTTGTTTCTTAAGCATAGTTGTCTGATTATCATCAGAGTAAGCTGATTTCAGCTGTATATCTGTTCCTTTTCTCAGAAATAGAAAGCTCTCCCTTTTCTTATCATTTATTGAGTTCATAACAGGAGGTTGTTGACACTCTGCTTTGGGAAATGCATCAGACAACATCACGGACGATCTTGCAGAAATAGAATCATTTGCATTTATGCCAAGCATGACAGCAGAACTAAGATTTTGAGGAATGATGTTTACCATATGATTGGAAATCATAGCAACGCATGACTTAGGAACTAAAAGTGTTGAAATAGACACATT
Source organism: Homo sapiens (assembly GCF_000001405.40). NCBI lineage: Eukaryota > Metazoa > Chordata > Mammalia > Primates > Hominidae > Homo > Homo sapiens. The sequence continues at coordinate 130,468,813 of NC_000023.11, forward strand.
TGCATACTCAGGAATCATTCCAGAATTTGTTCCTAAGCATGTTATATTTAAGACTAAATGCAGCAAGTGGGAAATTATTCTTGTCCAGTGTTTTCTCACAAATGTCACTTCAGATACCCACAATGGTATCTAGTATTTGGAACTGGGGTTTTGTTTTTTCCTTTCTTAAGACAGGGTCTTGCTCTGTCACCCAGGCTGGAGTGCAGTGGCATGATCACAGCTATCTGCAGCCTTGAACTCCTGGGCTCAAGTTGAACTCCTGCTTCAACTTCCTCAGTAACTAGGACTACAGGCTTACATCATCATGCCTGTCTAATTTAAAAAACTTTTTGTAGAGATGGGGTCTTGCTATGTTGCTCAGGCCAGTCTTGAACTCCTGACCTCAAGCAATCCTCCTGCCTCAGCCTCCCAAATTGTTGGGATTATAGGCATAAGCCACTGTTCCTGGCCTGATGTTTTTTTCGATAATCACTTTGAAAAGCGTTTCCACAACATCTTTTAGCCAACCTAGATCAATTTCTCTGTCAGATATGTTTTTTTCATACTTGCCTTTAGCAAATACAACATCTAACACTGTAAATCTGACTTGTAATACTTTCTGACACCACAACATTATGGGTTAAGAATTTACAATTTTTCATTCTATACAATGCAAATATAAAAAAGTTGTTCATATATAAAAATTAATTTTTGTATACTGACCTTGTATTCTGCAACCTTGTTAAACTCATGTATTAATTCCAATAGCTTTTTGTAGATTTCTTAATATTTTCTTCACACATAATCACATTATTGCAAATAAAAACATGCTTTTTTCTTTCTTTCCAAAAAAAAGAAGGAACTTTTTATTTCTTTATCTAACTTAAGTTTGATTCATTGTAAAATCTGTCTAGCCACTTGTGTCACATATATATTTAATTTAGAGACAGTCAATTGACATATTGAGGCGGACTTTCCTGACTTATTATGATCCACTGAACAACAGAAAAATTGATCGCCAGAATACGAATCTTTGGTTGATAACCATGATTGACTTAAAGCAGTTGTATACTGTTGTAAAGGTAAAGTCATTGGAACTGTGACATTGATATGAGGAAAAAGGAGACATTTTACTTTGGAAGCAGTAAACATTTCAAAATGTGCTAATATTGACTGTATAATATCTTCAACTAGATTTCCTTTGGTTAGTTTATCACTATTGAATCTGGCCTGAAGCATACGTGGATTTCTGTCCAGCAGGGTGGAATAAACAGAGGCTTTTCCTCCACTGGTGTATTCAGGAAAAGAGATATTTGCTGGAATGGTGATAGTGTTACACTTATTTTCATTTGCATTATGTCTGTCACAGCAGTGGAATACGGTTTTTGAAATATGGTTCTAACAACATTATTTGCAACAATGATTACATCTGCTTCAAGCACTAAAGAATCCATTGTTTTATTCCAGGGATTGAACAGATGTCTGAGCAACTGGCTCACTTCCAGCATGCGGAATGTCATATAAATGGGACTGGAGGAGAGGAAGAACATTTAACTGATCAATAAAATCATTCTTAAGATTTCCATTCAAAATATTTCTTATAATGGACACAATTGGGGACTTTTTGGCTCTTTGAGTTCTACTTTAATTTTTTTCAGTGTTCTTTTCAATTCCTCTTGCTCAAGAGACTCTGATTTAGTTTCTTCTTTTGGAGGTCTTTTCTCTCCAGCACTTTCTTTCTCTGTATCTGCAGAATCTTCTAGATATGACTCTGGTCCAGCTCCTCCAGGAAGAAAATTTCTGTAGGCTGGCCTTTATCTGTAATTTTCAATGTCTCTGTTTTCTGCTTCAGTTTCATTAAACGTATGTGGAGGCATTCCATCCCAAATTAAAATGACTAGCTTCTTAAGCATTTGTTTCTCTTGTAGTGGGTCGTGTACACATTTCCAAATCTGGCAAGCTCACATTTAATTTGGTTTGAATAGCCTTCAAAATTGCACTTGATACCTTCTTTGTATGAATGTGTAAAGTGGACTGCAATAGTTCTTGATGTGCGTTAGCTCAAATGTTGGAACTTTCACTTTCCCCGTCTGTCTTGTTGCTCTTTTTATTTCCATTGATTATAGTACCCACAGTTATAAAATTTCTTTTGGCAAGCCCTTCCAATTTAGCAAAAACCATTTCAATGATATATGAAGTCACAACTTTTCATTTATTTGGATACTTTTATTTTGTGCTCCCTCTTTCCCTGTTTCAGGGGCAGTAGTTTTCCCCTTATTGGTAGTTGTCTCTTGACTGCCTTGCTGGATCCCCCTGGACACCATGCTGGAGATTATATCAGAGCATCTGCTCATTTCCTCAATAAGTGAAGCAAATGATAAGCTGTCAGGGTCAATATACTCCAAGATAGCTTTAAATTCTGAACTTGTGAAACTGCTATCCACCTCAGCACTACACAATCGTGTAATGATATATTCTAGAATTGTATGAGAAATGAGCTGAATATCAGGCTGCAATGCAGTGATTGTTCTTAAATTCTCATCGATCCACTCTCTGGTTCACTATCAGATGGGGAGAATGTGAATGATCTTCTACGAGCTCCGATTACATGTCATATAAAGTATCTCCAGTTCTATCTAATACTTGTAATTTGGCACATTTGTGAACTTCCTTTTGCCTAGGAGGGCACTGAAAATGAGAAAATGTTTGTTGATCAATGTCAACAATTCCATATGAAAATATAGGCCTCAGCTTCTGTGAAGGGAGTGGAACATTGCTTTTATCTGTCTTTCCACTTAACACTTCACAAATACAATTTACTAATGAACTTTCAATAATGTCATTGTTTAGCTTTGTGACAACAGCCTAATTCCTTTCCGGTTTTATCAAAAACTACTGTATCTATATACTTCTTGGGAGGACCCTTCTCCCTAAGATTTAGATTCTTCTCATTGTATTTCAGTTCCTTCTTGATAGCATCCAGACAATTTTTCCCACTTTAGTTGTGTATACACTAAGTTGAGATTTAAACAAAGATTCCTTGCCAGGTGCAGGCTTCAAACTAGCAGCATGGCTTTCTGGTTTGAAGCATTTTTGCAATTTTGAACAAATACGTGACTTTGGCATCTTAAAAATTTTATGAGTGTTTTCTTTTTCTTATAAATTTGTTTAAGACCCTTGTAGACTCTGGATATTAGACCTTTGCCAGATGCATAGTTTGCAAAAAATTTATCCCATTCTACAGGTTGTCTGTTTACTCGGTTGATAGTTTCTTTTGCTGTGCAAGAAGCTCTTTAGTTTAATTAGATTCCATTTGTCCATTTTTGCTTTTGTTGCAAAAAAAACTGACTTGTAATACTTTCCGACACCACAACCCTATAAAAAAGTGGACAAAGGATATGAACACTTTTCAAAAGAAGACATACATGTGGCCAATAATCATATGAAGAAAGCTCAGTATCACTGATCATTAGAGAAATGCAAATCAAACCCACGAGGAGATACTATCTCACATCAGTCAGAATGGCTATTATGAAGTCAAAAAATAACAGATGCTGGTGAGGTTGTGGAGAAAAAGGAATGCTTATACACTGTTGGTGGGAGTGTCGACTAGTTCAACCATTATGGAAGATAGTGTGGCGATTCCTCAAAGACCTAAAGACAGAAATACCACTTGACCAAGCAATCCCATTACTAGGTATACACCCGAAGGAATATACATTTTATTTCTGTCATTTTATTATATTTTATTTTATGTCATTTTATTATAAAGACATATGCACACATATGTTCACTGAAGCACTGTTCACAAGAGCAAAGACACGGAATCAACCTAAATGCCCATCAGTGATAGACTGGTTAAAGAAAATGTAGTACATATACACCATGGAATATTATGCAGCCATAAAAAGGAATACTATCATGTCCTTTGCAAGGACATGGTTGGAGCTGGAGGCCATTATCCTTAGCAAACTAACACAGGAACAGAAAACCAAATACCACATATTCTCACTGATAAGTGGGAGCTAAATGATGAGAACACATGGGCACAAAGAGGGGAACAGACACGGGCCTGCATGAGGGTGGAGGGAGGAGGGAGAGGATCAGGAAAAATAACTAATGAATACTAGGCTTAATACTTGGATGATGAAATAATCTGTACAACAAACCCCCATGACACAAGTTTACATATGTAACAAGCCTGCACATGTACCCCTGAACTTAATATAAAAGTTAAAAAATAAAAATGGAATTACATTTTCAAAAATTCTATGAGTAATTTTATCATTAATATGAACTAAAGGCTCACTTTCTTCAGACTAACCAGGGATGTTTTTTAGGGTCTATACTAAGCACAGCTAAAAATTTCATCTTGTTTTTACTCTCTAATCATATTTCTAATAGCTCTTTATTTGGTACACCAGTATTATCTAGAGAAGTTTGGTGTACTAATGGAGAAAATGAAATGTTTGGTGGTGTTAATGATGTGACTAGAAGCCATGTGTAATATTTTTAATACACCATCTGCTATTCCTGAGCTACTGCATGGATTTCTGATGCAGAGAACATCTGGTTCATACATTCTTAATGTGACAGACCTCATGGTTTTTCTAAGGTAAGAAGTAAAGCTTCTTGACCATTTTTATTGACTGAATGGCCATGGGACACAGAAGATATGTCTTTGAGCACTTCTGCTAAAATAGTTGTAATTATGTTTTTGGATGCATTTTGTATTTGATGTTTTGCATCATGGCTAAAAACCCAAATGTCTTTGTTCAAATAGGACTTGTCCATGAAAAGGTTTTTAGTTATTAAAAGCTGGGAGGTCAGTCTTTAACCCCCAATCACAAAATGCTACTTTGTCTTGACAAGCAGGCTTTGTAGTTGAGTTGGCGTTTCTTTTGCATTTAAGACCAGTATTTCCCCTTGTTGACCAGTGATCAGGAACCTGTTCTTGTAATTTTGCTTTTTCATCCTTGATAGGTGAAATCAGTAGATTTTCCACAACTTTGTTTATTCTTCATTATTGTCTTTGGAATAAAAGACCATGCCAGGGACATTAACAAGTTGATGGTCCCCTAGATACGTTGCTCGTATTCAGGGGACCATGAACTACTCTAGTGCCAGAGAGTCTGTTCTCTTTTTCAGTGCCAAAAAGACTGCTCGTTCTGGAGCATCTACTCTCTTGGACATTGTTTTCATTGGTTTCTGATGTAAGTGAGTCAAGATATTGACAAGCAGCTGAAACATGATCACTGTTTCTTTAGTTGCAGTAAGGCTTTGATTATTAACTCTGATTTACATATAACCTAGTATAGTGTCGATTGCTTCCTCTGTATAATGAACCAGAGAGAACTGGGACAAAATATTTGACACTAAATTTTGTATTTCTTCTTTGGCAATCAAATTGGCTGTATCAGGTTCAGTGCTAGATTTTCTTTTGCTGGCTCTTTGAAGGAACGTACCTGTTGGATCTTTCATATGTTGCTGATAAGCAGGTTCCCATGTGAATTCAAGATGAGCAAGTTCATTTTGCTTAGAAAATGCAAGAGTCATCAGCTTTTTTACAATCATGTAAACCATATCCTCTGCAATATCACTCATGTTCTCCAAAGTATATGTCAGTGAAGCTTTTAAAGGATTTTCTTTTGGGGAAATGAAATGTTCTCCTCTAGCTGATTTAAAGTGTACTGACACATTTTATTGTGAAAATACCTCAATACATTTTTTTCTGTGAACTTCAGACCAGCTTCTCAAGTATGTTTTCCACAATGTCAGCAGCCGCTGAAGAGATATCAACATTGCAGAGCAAGTCTTCTTTGTCAGTTTGGTCAACCCAAACTTCAGCTGTAACAGAGGAAAGAGTGGGTTTGGCCTGAGTTAAATCAGACAACACTTCTAGAAAAATGCCATCTAAAGTCAACTCAGTTTTCTCTTTTAGGTAACACTTAAAGTTAACAAAAGCATTCTTTAACTCCTGCATCTCATTTATGGCTTTTGCTTTTCCACCAGAAATCAGTGGGTTTTTTTTTTTTTTTTTTTTTTTAGACGGAGTTTTTTGCTCTTGCCGCCCAGGCTGGAGTGCAATGGCGTGATCTCGACTCACTGCAACCTCCGCCTCCCAGGTTCAAGCGATTCTCCTGCCTCAGCCTCCCGAGTAGCTGGGATTACAGGCGCCTGCCACCACGCCCGGCTAATTTTTGTATTTTAGTAGAAACGGGGTTTCACCACGTTGGCCAGGCTGGTCTCGAACTCCTGACCTCAGGTTATCCACCCGCCTCGGCCTCCCAAAGTGCTGGGATTACAGGTGTGAGCCACTGCGCCTGGTGAAGTCAGTGGGCATTTTAAGCCATCCGTTTTAGTGGTAGCATCCCTAGATTTCTTTGTGCCTGTTTCCATCGATGTGATAAGGTGACTATCGAATTTACAGATTTTGAGCCGGAGGTATTTATAGATCTTATTATGTTTAATTTCAGAGGTTATAGGTTGTCCTTTCCTGTGATGAATTTTTTCCACAACTGTTGTTTCTTTGTGGGCAGAAGGTGGCATTAAAAGTGTGACTGGTCGCCCCATTGACCTGTCAGGTGTCTTTATATAGGACACTGAAATGTCTTAATTGTTTCAATATAAACATTTCACTGCATGTGATACAACAACCTGAACTATCTGAAAAGAGAGTGGAGTCAGCAGACATTGGGTATGTACTATTTTACAACATTTCTTCATATTTTGTGATTGCTGGGTATAATATACTGGTCACTGCTGCCACAATTCATGTCATTGTATTATGAATTATACTTTTCAGTTCTTCAGAAGTTACCTGGAAAGGAGGTGAGCAGGGATACAAAGAAAACCAAATGTAAATTTACTCTATTCTAGGGATGGGGGCTGGCCTTTAATTCCATATATCAAATTACAGTTAGTCATGGTATATAGAAAGGGATCTCTTTAGAACATCAGATTAATTTCAAATTGGTTTATTCTCTAAGTCTGTGATCTATTTTTTGAATATGATTCTCTTTGATTCAAAGGCACTTGAAAGTTTTATTTTTAGCATTTACTACTGGGGATCAATGACTTTCTGGAAGAAAAAAAAATAGCCAAGTGAGTGTCTAGGCTCATACAAAACCAGTGCTTTGGCAAGAAGTAAAAATTGTGTTTATGATCCAGGAAATATTTATTAAAAATATGAACTAGATTACTTCTAACAAACTGTATTAGGCTATTTTTGCATTGCTATAAAGAAATACCTGAAGCTGGGTAATTTACAAAGAAAAGTGGTTTAATTGGCTCACAGTTCTGCAGGCTGTACAAGCATGGCACCAACATCTGCTCAGCTTCTGGTGAGGCTTCAAGAAGTTTACTATCATGGTGGAAGGTGAAGGGGGAAGCTGGCATATCACATGGTGAGAACGGGAGCAAAAGAGGGAGTGGGGGAGGTCCAAAACTTTTAAACAACCAGATCTTGCATGAACTAACTGAGCAAGAACTCACTCATCACAAAGGGATGCTACTAAACCATTCATGAGAAATCCACCCCCATGATCCAGTCACTTCCCACCAGGCCCCACCTCCAACATCAGGAATCATGTTTCACCATGAGATTTGGAAGGGACAAACATCCATAAACATCCAAACCATATCACAATCTATTTCATGAAGCAAATTTGTAGTCAAAATATTTAGGTGCTTTTGTGGAGATAGCATCCTTCTGCTTAGGCATCTGTTTAGGTAGGATATGAGGGCAAAAAATAAGGTCCCCTAGTGGCAGATGTCAGCCCGTGACTCTGCTGTCTTCCTCCTTCAAATGACTGTTTATATATGCAAGCAACTACAGCTAATTGTTGGGAATTAATTGATGGGTGACAATTAGCACTAATGATTTAGGGAGGATCAACAGCTTTGGGTCCAATAAAATATTATCAGTCTAAACTTTCTTGGATAGAAAGGCAGAAGACAGATCATGAAGACAAAAAACACATTAATTTAGGTAGAAAAAGAAGGGCTGAGTTGGAATTGGGACTCAAAGAGCCAGGAAGGCTAAGCAGCAGAGGGAAGTTGGGGTCCATTTTTTTCTGAGCTGAAATATAAACTCGGTGACCAAACTTGATGACCATTTCCTCAGTGATTAATTGTACTGTCACAGCTTATACTGGCCCAGGGGTAGATGCAAAGTGCATCTGTAGAACTCTGTGTTCTCTGAAAGGGCAGTATGTGCGAATTGACCCCCAAATGCCAAGGAGCTGAGAAACCAAAGAAAGAGGCAGAAAAATCCAGTTTGTCGATTTGGGGTGATTTATTAAGGGAACTTACAGACAGAATCGTGGTCTTGAGTGGTCACAAGACAAGTAGATCTCCACACCACAATCCCCCAGACCCAGGGCTTATATCTTGGAAAAAAAGCATACGTTCTCTGGAATGAATGTGTAAGTGGTATGAGCATCCCAGCCAATGATTTCTGCAACAAGAGTTGTTTTGGAGGAAACCTACAATGAATAGGTGTTCCTACATAAAGGGTAATATATCAACTAGACATTTTGGGGGCGTTCTTGGACTCTTGGGGTTAGTCAGAAGTTACACAGCAGGTTAGCATTTAAAATAAAGTCACTCCAAAAATAAGCAAGGGGGAAAGGATTCCCTATTTAATAAATGGTGCTGGGAAAACTGTCTAGCCATATGTAGAAAGCTGAAACTGGATCCCTTCCTTACACCTTATACAAAAATTAATTCAAGATGGATTAAAGACTTAAACGTTAGACCTAAAACCATAAAAACCCTAGAAGAAAACCTAGGCATTACCATTCAGGACATAGGCATGGGCAAGGACTTCATGTCTAAAACACCAAAAGCAATGGCAACAAAAGACAAAATTGACAAATGGGATCTAATTAAACTAAAGAGCTTCTGTACAGCAAAAGAAACTACCATCGGGGTGAACAGGCAACCTACAAAATGGGAGAAAATTTTTGCAACCTACTCATCTGACAAAGGGCTAATATCCAGAATCTACAATGAACTCAAACAAATTTACAAGAAAAAAACAAACAACCCCATCAAAAAGTGGGCAAAGGACATGAACAGGCATTTCTCAAAAGAAGACATTTATGCAGCCAAAAAACACATGAAAAAATGCTCATCATCACTGGCCATCAGAGAAATGCAAATCAAAACCACAATGAGTTACCATCTCACACCAGTTAGAATGGCAATCACTAAAAAGTCAGGAAACAACAGGTGCTGGAGAGGATGTGGAGAAATAGGAACGCTTTTACACTGTTGGTGGGACTGTAAACTAGTTCAACCATTGTGGAAGTCAGTGTGGCAATTCCTCAGGGATCTAGAACTAGAAATACCATTTGACCCAGCCATCCCATTACTGGGTATATACCCAAAGGACTATAAATCATGCTGCTATAAAGACACATGCACACGTATATTTATTGCGGCATTATTCACAATAGCAAAGACTTGGAACCAACCCAAATGTCCAACAACGATAGACTGGATTAAGAAAATGTGGCACATATACACCATGGAATACTATGCAGCCATAAAAAATGATGAGTTCATGTCCTTTGTAGGGACATGGATGAAATTGGAAATCATCATTCTCAGTAAACTATCACAAGGACAAAAAACCAAACACCGCATATTCTCACTCATAGGTGGGAATTGAACAATGAGATCACGTGGACACAGGAAGGGGAACATCACACTCTGGGGACTGTTGTGGGGTGAGGGGAGGGGGGAGGGATAGCACTGGGAGATATACCTAATGCTAGATGACAAGTTAGTGGGTGCAGTGCACCAGCGTGGCACATGTATACATATGTAACTAACCTGCACAATGTGCACATGTACCCTAAAACTTAAAGTATAATAATAAAAGAAAAAAAAAAGGAAAATGTGGCACATATACGCCATGGAATACTATGCAGCCATAAAAAAGGATGAGTTCATGTCCTTTGCAGGGACATGGATGAAGCTGCACACCATCATTCTCAGCAAACTAACACAGGAACAGAAAACCAAACACCGCATGTTCTCACTTGTTAAGTGGGAGTTGAACAATGAGAGCACATGGACACAGGGAGAGGAACATCACACGCTGGGGCCTGCTGGGGGTTGGGGGTGCTAAGGGAGGGATAGCATTAAGAGAAATACCTAATGTAGGTGATGGGTTGGTGAGTGCAGCAAACCACCACGGCACATGTATACCCATGTAACAAACCTGCACGTCCTGCACATGTATCCCAGAACTTAAAGTATAATAATAATAAAAAAGGAAATATAAAAAAGAAAAAGAATTGTCATCAATCTTGAAAAATAAAACAAAATAAAATAAAGTCACTCTGTCCACACACTCTCTACTGGTTTATGTCCTTTTACTCATTGCAGATATATTTTGGTAATATAAAAATCCCTTTGCGTATCATAAAATAGTATGTTTTTAAGTTGTTACTCTCAAAACAGCCAGAACAAGAGTCTTTACCTTCCACAGGAACTGTACTTCTCAAGGCTGTAGATACAAGTCAGTGGCAGCAAAGGCTGGATGCCTAGCATTTGAGCACTAGGAGAATGATAGGATCCCTATAATGTGGTTGTTGCCTCCCCCACAATTATCTCCAAAGTTAGCTCTGAGATTGTTCAGGTTTAGGCCAACATTCAAAGAAAATTTATCACCTTGCTGCGTGTAACATACTCTCTTTTGACCCATTAGAGGGTTGAGGGCCAACCCAGGGAAGACTTATTTTATTCCACTCTAATTCCCAAATGCCTTAATTCATATTTTGTTGCATGACATAAAATTTACCATTTTACCATTTTAAAGCATACTTCAGCAGCATTATGTACGTTGACAATGTCATGCTACCATTGCTACTGTCTAGTTCTTTCACAGCCTTTTTTTTTTTTTAACCACAGATAAGAAAGCGGCAATAAGTTTGAAAAACATACTTTGGGATGACAGCATATGGTTGAAAACACTTGTTTTACATAAATATGTCCTAAATCAAACACCTCTAAGAATAACATGTAAACATTAACGGGGAAGATACTTACCTTCTGTGTCTAAATTGGCCTAAATCCAATCCATTCCAATAGATATGAGCTGATAATTTCAATATGTATTATTTCCTTATGACCACAGATCATGTACAACAGACCTACATTCTTATGCTTAGGATAGCATTCCTAATCTTAATACATAAAATAGGGACATTCTTAAAGTTTTTAATGAAGTGAAATGTGAGAAATAGAATAGGATTTTTCAGCTTACTTTCACTATACCACTAGACCAAGAAATATCTTTTTGGTGCCAATTTTGTGCTTGTTGCACAGTCTATGAATTGAACAGACATATGTGTGAGTATGCCACTTCCCTGAACCTCTCTTTGTTCATGTTTGATCCATCCAGCCCCAGAGTTGTGGTTCATCAAATTCACCTTCTTATTTTTGCTTGGTCCACGTTACAGCTCTCAGGTGGCCAGGTCATTTCTTTTGGTGGTGTGGCCAACTTAATAGTCTTCTTACTCCCAGGAAAATAAAGAGACACATCCAAGGCACCCTGGCTCACCCACCTCAGGGGCAGGACGCTCAGCCCTGAGCCAGGTCTGCTGTGGTCTGCAAAGGGATTTCCCTTAATGACTTCCCATTATGGAGTAGGTTTGTGATATTCAATGCTTTTCCTGTTCTGTCTGGACCTCCTAAGGCTCCCCAAACTACCCCTCTGAGCCCCCTTGCCCAAAGGGCCAATACTCTTTTTAACAATAACTTTGGACCCCTGTAAAACCTGAGATTAACTGAGATTGAAAGTCATGGAAGAGAAACAGGCAAAGAGGGAGACTGACTAATGTCAACAGATGATGGCTGGCTTTCTGATTCACAGATTTTTTTTCTCTTATAACATATTTGAAAAAAAACTTAATATATTGTTTTCAATGAATACTTTTTCCTGACAGGGATTTTGATGAACAGATTTCTATGGACATGTTGCTCTACATGGAGACCTGCTTTAGTATCATTATCCAGAAATATTCATTAAAATCTACTTATGAGGTGGGGAGTGGTGGCTCACGCCTGTAATCCCAAAACTTTGGGAGGCCGAGGTGGCTGGATCGCTTGAGGCCAGGCATTTGAGACCAGCCTGGCCAACATGATGAAACCCTGTCTCTAATAAAAATACAAAAAATTAGCCAGGTGTGATGGCTTGCGCCTATAGTCCCAGCTACTTGGGAGGCTGAGGGAAAAGAATCGCTTGAACCCGGAAGGCAGAGGTTGCAGTGAGCCGAGATCACACCACTGCACTCCAGCCCGGGTGACAGAGTGAAACGCCATCTCAAAAAAAAAAAAAAAAAAAAACCGCTTATGGTACTAGATGGCATACAAACATGTTAGAAAGTGTTAGAGTAGGAAGAGATTAATAACATGCAGACTAATGAACAAATATTGAGCAAACATATATATATATATATATATATATATATATTAAATAATTCATTCAACAAATCAATGCCATTGAGTGTTACTATGTGCCAGACACTGTATGGTCATTCCAATATAACATAGGAAGTCCTATAATAAAGGGGTATATATAATGCTTCAGGAGCAGTGACAGAGGGTGTCTACACAGATTGTGAGGAAGGTTCTCTGGAAGAGGTGACACGAACTGAATGAATCTTAAAGGATAACACGTTTTAAAGAGGGACACTCAAGTTGTAGCCAAATGAAATAGTAAGGGCAAAGACCCTGAGGTGTAAATAACATGATATGTTTAGGGAATTGAATGTCGTTCAGTATCTCTGGAGCACAGAATACATGTAGAATGGTCTAGAGATTAGGCAGGTGAGGTAGGCAGTGGACCCAGATTTTAAGATGTATTTTGTGCCTCACTGGGAGTCCCTGGAGGATTTGAAACAAAGCAGTGACAGCAAGGAATAAGGACCTAGTACGATATGTTAATAACTATTTTACAAGTAGGTTTTGAAGAATGCCAACAAATAATAATTTTCTTTTTCTGTCTGAAAATCTATCTGCAGCTCAGAGAATTGTTTCTTCTCATGATTCATCAAATAAGTCAGTGTCTAATTTGGATTAGAACATAGAATAGAATATTGTGATACCTAGAAAAGGGCTATATCTAATTTGGTATTTAATATGATCAGAAAATCACAATTTTAATTCATCATTATTGAATAATCATCTGTAGATTCTTTCCCACTGTGGGTCAGAGAGAGGAGACTAGGAGTTTTGAGGAGGTAGGTAGAAAGTGAATGATCAGAAACCTCTGATCAAGCAGGGCAAGCAGAAAAGACTCGCCCAGCCACTCCACTCTTCTTACAACCCCATGCTCTTCCCAGCTCACTACAAAATAAATGTGGCTAAGTCTAAGTTGGATCAAGAGTGTAATATTAGAATCTGGGAGAATGTTCCAAAAATTATTAGCCCTAAATTATAAAATCAATCTCTCTTGACTTTTCAGACATCAAAACTGCCATCAAAATCACTGTCAAGAAAAATTATGTATGATGAAATTCACTGAAAAAGTAACATATTAAGTTCTTTTCTAATGTTAAAAGAGAAAAATCTGTGACATTAGTCAGTCTCCCTCTTTGCCTGTTTCTCTTCCTTCACTTTCAATCTCAGTTAACTTTGGGTTTAACAGGGGTCCAAAGTTACTGTTAAAAGAGAGTATTGGCCCTTTGGGCAAGGTGACCCAGAAGGGTTGGTTGGGGAGACTTAGGAGGTCTAGCCAAAACAGGACAAGCATTGAATACCACAATAAGAATGCTCTGAATAATGGAAAGTAGTATTACAAATTAGAGCCAGTTCAAAATCAAGGTGAATTGGTATTTATTTTTCTCCCAATAAATATAAAGTGTATTGTGAGTAACCAATAAATTCCAATGATCTGTTTTAAAAGCTTTACTTAAATTCTATATAACTTTTTGAGTTTCTTTGTGTACGTTTTTACGTGTGTTTGGTTTTGAAAAGGAAGGAGCTGGAATTAGTAGTATGCAAGCCTGAGAAATCAAGTGTGAAGATAATACTGTTGTGGTGGTTTTAGAGTATGTCCACAAATTCTTGGATACTTCTCCCTGCAAGGGTGGAGGTTAATTCTCTTCCTCTTGAGTGTGGGCTGTACCTAGTGACTTGCTTCTAATGAATAGCATATGGTGGAAACAGTTGTGTGTAACTTCAGAGATAAGATCATAAGATCTACTGTGACTTCAACCCCTCTCTCTTGGAACACTTGCTCTGGGAGAAGCCAGCTGCCATAATCATGCGGCTACTCCAGAAGCCCTATAGAGTGGCCCATATGGTGTGGAACTAAGACCTCTTGCTAACAGCCAGCAAGGAATTGAGACCTTCTGCCAATAGCCCTGTGAGTGAGCGAGCTTGGAAGTGAATCCTCTAGTCCCAGTCAAGCCTTCAGGTAACTGCAGGAGGCCAGGATGATACCTTGACTGCAACCTCCTAAGACACCCCAGGTCAGAACCATCTAGCTAAGCTGCTCCTATATTCCGGACCAAGAAGCTGTGAGGTCATTTTTTTTTTAAACTGCCAAGTTTTAGGGTAATTTGTTACTCAGTAATAAATATCTAATGGAACTTCTGAAAAAAACATACCTCCATGGTTTTTAGCAATTGGAGAATTAAATATCCTGAAGAACCTAAATGTGTAATACCTACTAGAAATACAATGGGAATATAATACAAATACAATTATGGTGGAGAATGTCAATGCACCTCGTTGATGGCTGGACACATCTAGTAGACAGTAAGAAAAGATAGTCTAGTAGACAGATCAGTAAAGACAGGTTAATTGAATAGTATAATCCATAAATATAACTTAATATTCATTTAGACTTTTATATACTTTAAATAGAGAATATACATTTTTTGTATGTCCGTGAAACACTTTCAAATATCAATCACATATTTAGCCACCAAGAAAACATTAACAACTTCGGTATGCTAGAGATTTCCAGGCTACATTCTCTGAAACTAATAAAAATAATGTGATGCAAAATAATAATTTCTCGGTAATAAAGAAACATACTATGGACAACTCTCAGATCAAAAAAGAAATTAAAAGGGGAAAGTATAATCTACCTGAAAAATTACACCTTATATTAAGATCTATGGGAAATAACAAAAGCTGTTTCCATGGGTATTGATATAAAGTGTTCTTTTCATTGTTTCTCTCATGAGTCTCAGACCAGTTTCTCCAACTGCCTGTTTGGCTATTCCACTTAGATGTCCTATTGGATGCCCACAGGCACCTTAAACTCATACTAATATTCAAAGCTGAACTAAATATTTTTCTTCCAAAAGTGTTCCCCTTGCTGTATTGCCTATCTACTGAATGGCACCACTCTTCACTATCCACTTAGTTGCCCAGTCTAGGAATCTGGGTGTTGTCTTCAACTCCTTCATTGCCTATATTCAATTGGACACCAAACCTCAGCCATTCGACCTCCTTAGTTTAAGTCAGATCTGGGCCCAGTTCTCTATCCTCATTGCCAATGCCTTTGTTCAGGAGTCATTTCTCACTTTGACTATTGTAATACCCTTTTTAATTGTAGTAAGAAGCGTGGTATTACGGTTAGGATTGGTTGAGTGAGACCGACATGGGTTAAAACTCTGGCTTTGCCACATGCTGTGTGACTTTGGGCAAGACAATTTACCACCCTGAGACTTCGTTTGCTTATATATAGAATGATAGATAAAAATAGTAGTGACTTCACTAAATTATTGGGAGAGTTAAGTGAGAGAATATAAAGGGTTTACATGGTATCTGGTACACAGTAAGTGTTCAATAAATGCTGTTATTATTATTATTGTTTCTTTCCTCCAATTTCTTTACTTCTAATTCCATTTTACCTCTTCTGAAAAGGCAAATTCTGACCATATTATTTCCCATGCTGCTTTTTTTGTTTGTTTGTTTTGACTGAGTCTTGCTCTATCACCCAGGCTGGAGTGCAGTGGCGCAATCTTGGCTCACTGCAACCTCCGCCTCCTGGGTTCAAGCGATTCTCGTGCCTCAGCTTCCCAAGTAGCTGGGATTACAGGCGCCTACCACCGTGCCCCACTAAATTTTGTATTTTTATAGAGACGGGGTTTCACCATGTTAGCCAGGCTGGTCTCGAACTCCTGATCCACTTGCTTCAGCCTCCCAAAGTGCTGAGATTACAAGCGTGAGCCACCACGCCCGGCCTGCTGATATTTTCCAGTACTTGCTCTTGATTAACAGGATAAAAGGTAAATGCTTGTCATGGCCTACCAGAATTTTAATGACCAGTCCTTATCTACCAGTCAAGCTTCATCTTCTGCAATTCTCTAACTTGAACTTTTAGGTAAAACAATTCTAAAACAATTTGTATTTCCACAAACACATGCTTTAATGTCTATATCTTGGTAAATATATTCCCTTTTCCTGGAAGGTTCTCTCTACCACCTTCCATTTGTTTGCCTAGAAAATTCTTTTTCATCCTTCATGTCTCAGCTCAATTGTGGCTTCTTCTGTAAAAGCTTCCTTGTGCTTCCACTAGATTTTGTACATATCTCCAGTATGCACTTATCATATTGGGTTGTAATTATTGACATGACTGTTCCCCACTAAACTGTAAAATTCCAGGGTAGGGACCATGGCTTTTCTGCTTTGTATGTTAAATAATTGGCACAGTGCCTGTCATGTAGCAGATGCTCAACAAACGTTAGTTGAGTGAATGAATTAAGGGGTTGCCAGATGTGCTTAATAATTGTTGCTAATATTTACCTGGTTCATAGCTGAAGCTTGGTTTCTTGGGCCTTTTTACACTTAAATCAGCATGTCTCACCTATATATACCATAAGAAAAATAAAAACAATAAAACAAAAGTTCCCCAAGGAGTTTTTAAATAATGTGAACACTGGGTATTTTTCACATTTAAAATATAAAACTTTAAGAAAGTGATTTAAGAACTTATTTCAAAAGCTCATTTATAATAAATATCCATGTTTTATTTGGTTTATATGACATATGCTATTTGTAGAACTGAATTTGTAGAACTCAAAGGTTCATAGAATTCATTGGTATTCTAAAATTAACTAACTGTGGAATCACCCTGATAAGCATGGAAGGTAATCAACTGAACAGCTAAAAAGAATATGTGTGGCTTTTAAACAAAGCTAAGTATAGGAGAGACATTTTTAGAGAACTGGAAGGCAGACAGCAGGTTAAAATGTGACTCTTTGGCTTGGCCAAGAACTCTGCTTGCTTTGGTGATTGTACAGGTAGATAAATGCAACAAAGTCGACTTTATTTTTTTCCACATCTGAGAGCTGGACACAAGCCACCAGAAGTACATTTCCTAACACTGATAGGATGGGTGAAACAAGTTGGAAAATAGTATTGTATTCTATTGTAATAAAGGTGTTTATGCTGTTTCTCAAAATAATGAGAGATATTTGTGACCATTTGATGTACTTATTTTGCCCAACATATTTCAAAGTCTCCTTTAAAAACTGGTGGTCTAAATTTGTTTATTGATATTTTTTGGTAAAAATATGTAATATTAGGCTTGCCATCCATGTTAAAATAAGGGGACACTTTTTCCTGGCTCTGTATTGAGACCAGTGAAAAAATTAACTCCTGATTTGCAACTACTAAACTATCTCAAAGTAGTTAAGTTTCTTCCTTTAGATACTGAACATACTGATTATCCATGTTGACTTAGTAGCACAATGCCTTGCACATAGCAGATATTTCATAAATATTTGTTTATACAGAGAAGCATATTATGGCAGACATGCTACCTTTTAGCCATTACACATAAGCAAGTCTGTCACTTAGTATGCAATTAACACAGGATATGCCAATGACATTTTCTACTTTAGTTATCTAAAACTCTTTTGGGAAGACTTCAGTAAATTACCTGCTTGATGACGTCTCTCTCAAACCATGTTACCTTTTTAGAACAGCAAAATCAGTTAATACAGTGCTAACAGAGCCAACAATGTGGATTTGATTCCTATAATAATCAGTTGGTATCCCACAGAGACAATCTATGCTGTGACAAGGGGCTGCGCCATGAATATCTGCTGCTAACTTTACAGCATTAGATGACTAAGGACTGGTAACCAAGGGGACAGAATGAGACAATATGGCTGTCTCTGCACAACCCATCAGCACTAGAAGACAAGTGATTCACAAAAACCCAATTTGATGCTTCATCTTCAGAGCACTAGTATGTATCTTGAAGTTCAAGTAGCTCACCAGTTAGCCTATAACCTAAGGGCTATTAAGTGGGAACACTCAAGTTGCTTCAGGTAATTACTATTAAGAATGAAGGCAAATATAACATTCAAATTTGAGATTTGTCTAACAAATCTCAGGCCCACCATCTTTCTTTTTCTAACTGACAAATTGTTACTGGTATTCCCTACATTTACAGCTTGGTGACATTAACATAACTGATAGCCACCAGTGTCAGTAGACTAAAGTAGCACAGGGCTATTACTGGGGTTTGCATTTCAATTTTTGTAAAACCTTACTTTAGGATGGTTAATTTCAGGGAATAAGGCTGTTCTAAATTGACATTTAATGAACGAAGTTGTTGTACACCAATCTTGATCATAATTTCATACTTCATTTGTTCTATCTACATCTGGTACAAAAGAAATGTTACTTGCCTCTTGTCTCAGAATATCTGGTAAAGATTGTCTGGGGACATTTGTTGTTTTAGCAGAAACAACTGAAGCATGAAGTGAGGCACTTTTTATTCCTGGGGAAAAGAAGAGGTACTATTAAATTGAGAAAATGATATAGTTCTCCTTCCTGGGCTGCCATAATGTCTGGAATTACCATAGTCAAGGATACATTTATTCCGGTTAAGGCAGTAGCTCCAAGGATAAGATGACTTGATGAGGTTTTTAAATTTCCCCTGCCTACAAACTTCTAGTGGCTTGCCACTTACCTCAGGGACAAGTCTGAACTCCCTAACTTCTTGCTGTAACTTCCTTTGCTAGCTTTATCTCCCTCCCAATGAGAATGAAATATTTTGTACTTTATTCAGTAGCCAACAGCTACCACTGAGGACTTTTGAGTAGAGGGATTATATGCCCCAAACTGTATTTTGGAAAGGTTACATTCACAGCAAAATGTAGAGCAGGTTAAAAGGAAGAAAAAGAACATATAATGGAGTACTATTCAGTCATAAAAAGAATGAGATTCAGTCATTTGCAGTAACATGGATGGGACTGAGGGTCATTATGTTAAGTGAAATAAGCCAGGTACAGAAAGACAAACATCACATGTTCTCACATATTTGTGGGATATAAAAATCAAAACAATTTAACTCATGGACATAGAGAGTAGAAGGATGGGTGACCATTTACAAGAGGCTGGGAAGGGTAGTGGGGGTGGCTAGAGCGGAGGTGGGGATGTTTAATGGGTACAAAAAATAGAATGAATAAATAGGCCTAGTATTTGACAGCACAAATGGGTGATTATAGTCAATAATAACTTAATTGTACATTTTAAAATAACTTAGAGTGTAATTGGATTGTTTGTAACTCAAGTATAAATGCCTGAGAGGATGGATACCCCATTGTCCATGATGTGCTTATTTCACATTGCATGCCTGTATCACAACATCTAATGTACCCCATAAATATATATGCCAACTATGTACCCACAAAAATTAAAAAACAAAAAATAAAATGAAAAGGAAAAGGAAACATTTTACTGAAAAAAAGGAATAAGAAGACATTGGAGGCAAATTATGGTAATCATTAAGGGCAGGGATAACATGAATGGAAAGGAAAGGTAAATTACACAGAATGTGGCAACTTTAAGATGTAGAATATGAGCAATGGGAAAAAGCGAAAGATGAGCCAAGTTTTGTGCCTGGATAAAAAAGGAGGAAGTAAGAACAGGTTTTGGGGTGACTGGAAGATGATGAATTTTGTTTTGTGCATATTAGATTTAAAGTGCTCAATGACTACCCAGATGGTGATGTCCTAGTGTGCCTGGTGGCCGTGGGTATGTGTAGAATATGCATGGGAATCTTCTGTAGGGACTAGCAGAGACTTAGCTAACCTCTAGTTCAGCCTTGCGGAGATGGGAAGCAGGATGTATTTTCATGTCTGAGGAGAAGGATGGCAGTAGAAGGTAGGGACCTTTTTGGGGAGAATTTTCTGCACTGGGACTCCCAAATCATACTATGTTATGAACTTACTCTGCCTATCAGTAAGGGCAGCCATTGCAGGAACTCTAACTTCTCCACACTTTGCAAATCCCAAATGACCTATTCAGCTAAAAAACACCCCAGTATGTAAGATAATAACATTCATAATCATGAATATTTTTAAAATCTTCCTTTACTAAAAATAAGCACAGATTTTATAATCAGGAAAATAACCAGCTGTATGACAAAACTATTTAATTGAAAAACTACAGAAAAATTATGAATATTATTTATTTTCTTACCTCCTTCATTTGAAGGACATGACAGTTTAGTCATTTCTTTATCTTTCTATATGGCTTAGTATTCCAGAGAAAAGCATTAATTAGTAATTAAGCTTCTATTATTATTTTTTCACCCTGCATGTGGTATCTGATAATTAAGCTTCTAAAAGAGACTTTTGCCTACTCTACAGGCATCAAATTAATATAATATCTTCCCCTCATCCCCTACCTCTCTCCCAAGCACTGGTCTCAATGCTAATACATATTATCAACCACTTGCTGGACATCTCTCACAGACACCTAAACTTAACTAGCTCATTATGTACCCATGGACTCACATCTTTCCAAATTCACTTCCCTTCCTGCAGTTCATATTTTAGTTAAAGATGTGGTGATTCACCCAGTGCTCCATTCTAAAAGTTCAGATTTGCCCCGTTTATTTCAGTAAGGCCACTCCAATTCAATCTAATGCTTATTGGGTGCACTGCTTAGACCTGAAAAAATATATTTAATTCCTGACCTCAAGAAGCTTATCATCCAGTAAAACAGTCAGACAAATATGATACAGTAGAATGAGTTCTGAGACAGAGGTAAGCCTAAGCACCATGGAAGCACAGAGAAAAGACACCCTACTTTGTGAAAAACCTATATACAAAAACTGAATAATATAATAATAATAATAATAATAATCATCATCATCATCATCCTCATCATTGATATGGTTTGGCTGTGTCCCCACTCAAATCTCACCTTGGATTGTAATAATCCCCACGTGTCAAGGTGGAGATAATTGAATCATTGGGGCAGTTTTCCCCATACTGTTCTTGTGGTAGTGAATAAGTCTCTTGAGATCTGATGGTTTTATAAATGGGAGTTCCCCTGCACAAGCTCTCTTGCCTGCCGCCATGTGAGACACGCCTTTGTTTCTCCTTTGCCTTCTGCCATGATTGTCAGACCTCTGCAGCCACGTGGAACTGTGAGTCCATTAAACCTCTTTCCTTTATAAATTACCCAGTCTCAGGTATGTCTTTATTAGCAGTGTGAGATCAGACTAATACAATCATCATCAATCTCCCTCTCAGACTCCACACATCTATTAAGTCACCAACTCCAGACATAGTCTAACTCCAAAATATCTTGAATCTATATCTTCCCTTTCACCCTCATGCTGCTGCCTGTTTGGGCCCTTATCATTTTTATCTGAACTATCCCAGTTCAGATAAACTGGGATAGTTCCAAACTATCTTGTCTCCAAACTATCTTGTCTCTAATCTCTTTTCTCTACCATCTATCTCAAACACTGCAACTGGATTATCTTTTTAGAAATTCAAATAATTCTTATGTCATATGCCTACTCAGAAACCTTCAATGGTTCCCTGCTACTGAGAGGATATAGTCATACTTCAGCAAGGTGTACAAGGCTCTGACTTCAACTCACCTTTTCAGTCTCATCTCCTGCACTTCTCTGGCTATGCTGGCTCACACCTCCATGCTTTCAATGTACGCTTTTCACTTGTATCTGCAACATTGGCTCACTATATCCTCACAACTACTCACCTGGAAAATTCCCACTCACATTTCAGGACCTAATTTAATTAAATCCTCCTTTAATAAAGCCTTCTTCAACCTCTCTAGGCAGGACTAGGCTTTAAATCTTCTACACTTTCACTACATTTTGCATCAATCAAAACTCCCATTTTATTATAAGAACTTTTGTTTATGTAAGTCTGACCCTTAGAAGGTGATTATGTCTTTTCCATCTGTATATTCTGTGTCACCCACTTTTTCCTTTTTCCTTCTTTCTCACTTAGTACAGGACCTAGCTCACAGTAGGTTCTCAACAAATGTTAACTTTCATCATCATCATCATCATCACCATAATCATCATCATCATCATCAAATGTTTAAGTTACTTTCTGCTAAATTGCGTGGTACATTTAGCATGAAGCTTACTCAGCACCTTCTTTACCAGGGAGAGGGGTGTGACCTGTGTCTTAACACAATGATCTCTAGCTAGTCAGCACCAAGCCAGTGAATGGGATATCCTATAGAAATAAGTTAACTAGACAAACTAATGATCAATACAAACATTTGAAACACAATTTCTTCTTTTTGTTCTGTCGTGTTACTCTATACATTCCATCAAGGATGTAATTGCTTCTTCACTTTTTGATAGCAATCTTGGTACCATTTTGAGAATGATGAACTGGCCCTAAAAGTAAGTAAAAGGGAAATCATATCATTTTTAAACAACTTTGTTAAATTATGATTGAAGTACAAAACTGTACATGTTTAAAATGTACAATTTGTTCAGTTTTGACATATATATATACATACATACCCATGAAACAATCACTACAATCAAGATAGTGAACATACTGATCACCCACAAAAGTTTCCTTTGCCCTCTTATAGTTCATCCCCCTCTGTACTGTCCCGCAGGCAATCACCAATCTTGCTGTCACTATAAATTAGTTCGCACTTTCTAGAAGTTTGTATGAAGGGAATCAAACAAGATGTACTATTTTTTGTCTGTACTGTTTTCTTTCATTTAACATAATTATTTTGTGATTCATTAATATTGTTGCCTGTATGAGTAATTCATTCCTTTTTATTACTGCATAGTATTCCCTGGTATATATGTATCACAGTTTACCCATTTACCCATTGAAGGGCATTTAGGTTGTTTCCAGTTTTCAGCTATGATGAATAATGCTGCTATGAACATTGGTGTTTGATTCTTTATGTGGATGTATAATTTCACTTCTATTGGGCACATACCTAGGAGTGTAATGACTGAATTGTGTGGTAGATGCAAGTGTAACTTCATTTGCCCAACTATTTTCCACAGTGGTTGTGCCATGTTTACATCCCCATCAGCTGTGTAAGAGAGTTCTAGGTCCTCTTGGTCTTTGCAAATGCTTGGTATGAACAAGTATATTCTAGCCATTTTACTGAATGTGTAGTGGTATCTCACAGTAGTTTAATTTGTAGTTCCCTGATGAGTAATAATGTTGAACAGCTTTTCATGTGTTTATTTGCCATCTATACGTTTTCTTCAGTGAAATGCCTGTTTGCCCCTTTTTATGAGATTGTCCTGCCTTTTGCCAACTTTATAACATTGTTGCAAAAATATTATATGTATTTTATATTCTACATCTTTTTACAATGAGAATGTATTCTAGATGTAGGTCAGGAGGCCCATATTTTTCCTGTGCTTACCTTTGGGGCCTGACAGATGTGAAATAACCATTGTGCAACAGGGCTATTATTTCAAAAATTTTATATCATTTCTAATTCTTGACTCCTTCGGTACTCTTTATCCTAGTCTTCCATAGGCATCTACTGGTTTGGTAGTGGAGGTAGGGGAGGTAGAGTAGAGAAGTCTACTCAATAATTTGTAACAGGAGGAATTCCATGATACACACCAAGGTAATATTCAGCACCTCTCATCCCAAAATAGGATGACACAACAAGACAGTTCCCTTGTAAGCCATGATTGTCTCAAGAATTTCCCTAAATTTTTTCCCTGTTTTGTGTAGCAACAACCTGGAATGCTTAGCTACTAGAGATAGCCTTGCCACCATTAAAGGTTATCTGGGGTCAGGAAGAAGGGGTATATGACCTAGGAGAAAGGTACCAAAGAAAGATCACTCCTTTAGAAGCTCAGAGATAGTAAGAAGATGGAAGAGTAGTGTCAGAGAGAGGCTGGAGAGCAAAGAAATCAGATGTGGCTTCACATTTGCCTTATTCTGGGCCTTGGTTGCTTTAGATAATTGAAGTTAACATGGAGAGCAAACAAGGGGAACTATAGCTCCACTCTCCATTTAAGACTCTAGGAAGATAGATCTTAGGTTCCCCCAGTCCTTGCTTCCACCTTTTCCTCACCTGGGCCATGGCCCAGCAACTTGGCAGTATAGTGCAGTCAGGCCCAGCAAGGTTCTCTCTGAGGTTTTGGTTTCTTAAGCCACTCTTGGTTCCCATGTGGTATAGTCATGGTCCAGAAGGGGCTGAAAGTCTAGCTGGGGAGCTGGCCAGGGGGAGTCACTATGGTGGAAGTGAGAGGACTCTACCCTGAGTGTTATAGAGAAGCCAACCAGAATTGGGGTGGGGGATAGACAAGAAAGCCAGAGGGCTCTACTAAGCCCAGGGAGACCAGAGCATGAGTCAGTACACTAGTGGCAGACTTAAATTTTGAATGCCAGTAGGCTAAGCGCTATCTGAGTGGAGACAGAAACATCTGTTTGGAGACCCAAGGAGGCAGAGGACATTTCGTCTAAGCACCCTGACTTTGTTCTGCCTTTATGAGGTCATGGAGGCCAGTGCTTCTCAAACTTGAACATGCATACCCACACTGGGATCTTGTTAAAATGCAGATTCTGATTCCGTAGGGCTGGGGTGAGGCCTGATAATCTGCATTTCTAATAAGCACCTAGATGATGCCCATGTGGCTGACGCTTAGAGGAGTAAGAACATAAGTCAAACCTCTTACCTCAGGCACATGGACGCCATCTTTGGAAAAGAAGCAGTAAGATGGGGAAGCTTCCTGAAAGTCTGAGCCATTTTGGGGGCTCCACAAAGGCAGAATCTAAAGGAGTATGTTAGGAAAATCAATGACTGAGCTAGAAAGCAAAACAAAGGAAGACACTTCAATTCAACAAATAGTGCCAGCCCTACATGTGTTCAGGAAGCCTACTAAAGAAGCGGGTTGAAACATTAAATGACAGCTACTACTCAGGTGGGGTTTTCTAAAAGGAAGAGGGGAACAAGAGTGGGCAATACTGGGGGCACACTCCACTGCTGCAGAAAAATATGTGGCAGAATAAAATATTTCTGCTGCCAGTGAAGTGACATAAATTACTTTTGGGCCCGAAAGGTCCCAAGTCAAAGGAAGGGCAGGGTTTTGAGCAAGACCCATGTCTTGGTCCTCACTAGGTCCCTAGTGCTGTGGTTCCATTCAGCAATCTGCAAGGATAGTTCTCCAGGTGGAACAAGTGAGATGCAGGTAAAAAACTTCCGTAGGAGGTGGAACTGCTGAGAAAGGGGTGGCAGCAGCAGTAGCAGCAGCTAGTGATGCACAGGCTGAAAAAAATACCTCAGAATCTTGTTGGGAATGGGGAAGTACAGAGGAGAGATCAGAAGCAGGGGCTGTGGAAAACTCAGGGCTCTGATCATGCTTGGAGAGTTGTCAACTGCAAAATGTGGGCTGCCCTGCTCATGGGAGTGTGGAGGCAGTGACACCAACTGAGTAGTTAGGGCATCTAATGCAGATGGCAATAGAAGCTGTAGCACTGTTGGTGAGAATTACTCAAAATCCATCATTTGATAGACGAGAATAGAGGATTTATCTGCATGATAAGCAGGTCATTACCAAATCCAGTCTTTCCACAAATTACTCATTTCTAATGATAACATTTCAATTAAATTTTTGTCCTTGGTGTGGTTTCTGACCCATGGGAGTGTCACTCATTTTCTTTCTCTTTGAGGGAGTTGCTTAAAGAAACATAATGAAACATTTATTTTTAATAGTGGGGATGACAAAAGTATCCCAGATAGATTCTATTCATCCTTCCATGCCCAATAAGAGGAGAGCCATATGCCGATCTACATATGGGGTTGTGGCGGAGGAAATGGGAGATGACAGGCAGTGGTTCTCGATGGGAGGTAATTTTGTCCTCCAGGGGACATTTGAAAATGTCTGGAGACATTTTTGATTGTCACAAATGATGGGTGTTGTGTTTCTGGCATGGGTAGAGGGATGCTACTAAACATCCTACCGTGCACAGGATGGCCCTCCACAATGGATTCTGTGGCCCCAAATGTTAATAGTGCCAAAGTTGAGAGACCCTGGGGTAGAGACGTGTGATGGGAAGGAAAGAAAATTACCTTTAGAGCTGCGCGCCGCGGCGGCGGAAGATGGCTGCGGCCGAGTTGGCGGACACTCAGCTGATGCTTGGAGTCGGGCTGATCGAAAAGGACACAAATGGAGAAGTTCTGTGGGTGTGGTGTTATCCTTCCACGACAGCCACATTAAGGAACCTGCTGCTGAGAAAATGCTGCCTTACAGATGAAAACAAACTTCTCCATCCCTTTGTCTTTGGTCAGTACAGAAGAACATGGTTTTATATCACAATAATTGAAGTTCCAGATTCTTCCATTTTGAAAAAGGTGACTCATTTTTCTATTGTCCTGACCGCCAAAGATTTTAACCCAGAGAAGTATGCTGCCTTCACTAGGATATTGTGTAGAATGTACCTGAAACATGGGAGCCCAGTTAAAATGATGGAGAGTTATATTGCAGTTCTCACAAAGGGGATATGCCAGAGTGAAGAAAACGGCTCTTTCCTTAGTAAGGATTTTGATGCCCGAAAGGCCTACCCGGCTGGCTCCATCAAAGACATTGTATCTCAGTTTGGAATGGAAACTGTTATCTTACACACAGCACTGATGCTAAAGAAAAGAATTGTGGTGTATCACCCCAAGATAGAAGCGGTCCAGGAGTTCACCAGGACTCTGCCTGCCCTGGTGTGGCACCGACAGGACTGGACCATCCTTCACTCTTACGTGCACCTCAACGCCGATGAGCTGGAAGCCCTGCAGATGTGCACAGGTTACGTCGCTGGATTTGTAGACTTGGAGGTGAGCAACAGACCAGACCTCTATGATGTGTTTGTGAATCTGGCAGAGAGTGAGATTACCATTGCTCCCCTTGCAAAAGAGGCCATGGCAATGGGCAAACTGCACAAAGAAATGGGTCAGCTAATTGTTCAGTCTGCAGAAGATCCAGAGAAATCAGAGAGCCAGGTTATACAGGATATTGCTCTAAAAACAAGAGAAATCTTTACCAACCTAGCACCGTTTTCAGAAGTTTCGGCTGATGGAGAAAAGAGAGTCCTTAATTTGGAGGCGCTAAAGCAAAAACGATTTCCACCAGCAACAGAAAACTTCCTTTATCATCTAGCAGCAGCCGAACAAATGCTGAAAATCTGACTGTGTGACAGAACGTATCACTGATGACTGATAGAAAGCCCTCTTTCACTCTGATTACCCACTCACTACATGAAGTCCTGAAAATAACAGAGAAACTGTTATATCTTTTTAATGATTTATTTGCAAGTATTGAGATTTGACCTGAAAAACAATGAAACACATGAACACACTTCCGATTTTCTCCTCGCTGATTAGCTTCCTGCCTGCTGTCAGTGCTGGACGAAGTGCTATAACTACTTTATGTAACATTACAGAACAGCTAGAGGTCCTGGGGTAAGAGGAAAAAAGCACATCACGACAAATGTGAAAGCCTTCATTATTACACGTTCCAGTTTGTCTCGCTGTGTAGGCATAAGCTAATGGTTTATTTTCAGAAAGCTGCCTGAAACGTTGCTTTGTATTCTTCTAGGAAGAACTTTAATTTCTCCTGAGGAACTCTACTTTCTGAGCCAAACTGCTAATTTTCTGCGGAACTGTCTAGAAGATCATTCAAGAGACCCTGCAGTTGCACTTTCTCGTAAAAGTTAAAAAAAAAAAAAAAAAAAAGGTTTTTCCCGGCCTTTGAACATTTTGCCTATGAGAGTTTTGCATATATTTTATACTTGAGTAGACAACTTTAATAATCCATATTTATACTATCGCAGAAGTAAGCATTTGGCAAACGTTCAGCCATTAGCACTCATTTAACCCTGTTAGCAATATTCTTTTGAAAAAAGTGCCAGTCCTTATGTGATAAACTAAGAAGCCCATTGAATATAAAAGTGTGTAGGACTGAAACAGTGACCTTATATTATTGCTAAGGGAATATGAGATTAACTTCCTACAGGGGCCAAAACCAGAGAAAGGCTTCCAGCAACTTCAGTGAAAGTAGTTTGGCCACATGTCAAGCCAATTGTTTGTATTATTTATGTACCTTTTTCATAACTGGAATTGCCAAATAAGCATGGAGGTCTAAATGATGTACTTGTTAGTGTATTCATTCATATTGATTGTAAAGGATTATTTTTCACTCAGTACTGATGTCCTTGGAAATCTTACCTGGAAACATGTTTGCAAAAAACATTATTGGATCTTTCATCTTTTTCTTGGTATTACATATTTGTTCAATAAAAATTAAACACCCTCCCTTTTTTTTGAGTGAGGGCAGGGAGTACCTGAAATAAGACAATGTTTACTAAGGCAAATAATTGAAAATTAAATCTGCACTTTATGGAAATGAGAAATATTAACATCTTTTTTCTCATTTTTTTGTATTACTGTATTAGCTAATGATCAAAGTTGTTAAAATTATAAATTTATGATGCAGAAATAAAATTGAAATATTTTGATATTCAAAAAAAAAAAAAAGAAAATTACCTTTATACTATCTTGTCTAATTAAAGCTACTTTGGCTCTAACTAGCCAGAATTGTCTTCTGGGAGAAGGGAACAACTACTTTCTGTTCCATGAGAACACGGCCTGCCTCTGTGTGGGAGGCAGACCAGCATAATAACTGTGCTGGAGATCCTCCAAGCTAGCGGCAATGACAATTCTTGGTTGTTCCTCACAGCTTGACAGAGGCAACCATATAACCATATACATAGACCTCATCTGGGAAAAAGGTGATTACAGCTCCTGTTTTTAACCATTTAGATTGACAAAAGGATTCCTAACTGCATGTGTGCTAATTGGGTTTTCATTAGAGTTTTAAGATGTGTGTCCCTTGTGTCTGCATGGTAGAAGATGACAGCCTTGTTATAGTGGATATGAGTCAGTTGCATATGTGAAATTGATATCCTCACTCTTCTGTCACCTCTATAATATAGTGAACTTAAATTCACTTATATTTTCTTTTTCAAAAAGGGTTTGAGGTGGTCCCGGTATAAGATGCCTACCTGATACTTTCTTTCTGCTAGAAGTGGGTGTTAACAGTTGAAGGTTAAGAGCCGTATGGCTGCTTACATGATCTTTTATGGAGGAGGCGGAACATTATAGCCTCATTATTTCACTGAACTGAACTACAAGCTTGTCTTATTGACTCCTCTTTTATAAAATTTTAATTCCTTCTTCCCTATCATATTGTCTATTCTTATCAGCACCTTCAGCATCTTTTTTTTTTTTTTTGAGACAGAGTCTCGTCTGTCACACAGGCTGGAGTGAGTGCAGTTGCACAATCTTGGCTCACTGCAGCCTCTGCCTCCAGGGCTCAAGCAATTCTTCTGTCTCAGCCTCCTGAATAGCTGGTACTACAGGCACATCACTGTGCCCGGCTAATTTTTATATATTTCTTTTGTAAAGATGGGGTTTCACCATGTGTCCCAGGCTGGTCTCGAACTCCTGACCTCAAGTGATCTGCCTGGCCCAGCATCTGAAAGTGCTGGGATTACAGGCATGAGCCACTGCGACAGCCAACCAGCACCTCTTTTTAAAACATTCTCTTACACATATCCTTCCTCATTTAATTTTTTAAAATTTTCTGCTCTTTTTCTCTTTCTCTATCCTTTTCCCTCCCTCTTTCTTCCTTCTTCCCTCTTTCTTTTGCTTTATTTTTCCATCTTTTGCTCTATATTTTCTTTATTGATTCCTCCTTTCAGAACTTATTTTTTCTTTCTTTTCTTTCTCTCTTGTTTTCATTATTTCTTGCAGTGGCGTTTCTTATGGACTCTTCTTTGTTAAACATCTTTCTCTCTCTCTCTCTTCCACTCTTTCCTTCTCTCTCTTTCTCTTTAATGCACTATCATTTTTGTAATTTTTTTTACTCTCCCCTTTTCACCATCCCCTCTCAAATTTATTTTATCATTGACTTCTCCTTTCAAAACTTTTCCTTTTCTCTTTTGTGTAAATTCTTCCTACAGGCTTCTTGCATTTAAGATTTTTCTTTTGTATTCTATTTCTATCTTTCTTTCCTTTTCTTTTTCTTTTTCTCTTTTTTAATGCACTTTGTTTTTACTGGCCCCTTTCTGCTTGTGAAACTTTCTCTTATTTTTTTCTTCTTGATTTTACTTTCTTATTAACTAGTTCTTTTTAAACATTTCTTTATTTCTTACTCTTTCCTCCCTTCATTCTTTCCTTCATTCCTTCCCTTATTCCCTTTGTTTTTCTTGCTCCCTTTTATTTATTTCTATTTCTCCTCCGTTCCTGTCTGCATGCATGCCCACCTTTCTTCCTTCCCTCCTCCCTTCCTTCTGCCTTCTTTCCTCCCTTTTGCCTTTATTCCTTCCTCCCTTCCTACCCTCTCCTACATTCCCTCTTTCTTTCACTCCAGTTACTGAGTCCTTTAAAAATGTTTTTCATTTCCTCTCTTTCTCTTCTTATCTCTTTATTTTTTAAGTACCAATTTTTTTTTAAGACAGCGTCTCCCTCTGTTGCCCAGGCTGGTGTGCAGTGGCACGATCTTGCTCACTGCAACCTCCACCTCCTGGGTTTAAGCGACTCTCCTGCCTCAGCCTCCCGAGTAGCTGGGACTACAGGTGCGTGCCACCATGCCCAGCTAATTTTTTTTTTTTTTTTTTTGTATTTTTAGTAGAGACTGCGTTTTACCATGTTAGCCAGGATGGTCTGGATCTCCTCACCTCGTGATCCGCCTGCCTCGGCCTCCCAAAGTGCTGGGATTACAGGCATGAGCCACTGTGCCCGGCCTAAGTACCGACTTTTTAATGGAGTTCTTTTTAAAATCAGTTTGTTCGTATTCTCCCTCTCTGCCCGTCTTACAACTTTTTCCCTCCCTTCCTATCTAGCTGTCATCCATCTGTCTATCTTATTTTATTGTCACATTTTAACTGACTTCTTCCTTATAGATTGGTCTTTCCCTGCTGTCCACAGTTGTACTTTTCTTACTAGCTTCTCTTTTTCAAACCTCTCCGTGTCTCTCACTTCTTCTCTTTTTTAAAATTTTATGTAGTCTTTCCTACAGATTCATTAATGTAAACTTATTTTTCTTTCCACTCCTTCCTCCCTTTTTATCTTGCCCCTTCCTTCTTTCTTTTCTTCCTTCTTTTATTACATTTTTCTGCCTTTTCTCATTCCATTTAAGTCCCTCTCCATTTCTCTATTCTTACTCTGCCTACATTCCTTCATTTCAGCTTTCCTCCCTCTTTCCCTCCCTCCCCTGCTTCCTTCCTTCCTTCCATTCGTTTACTGGTTCCTGTTTTTAAACATTTTTCTTTTCATCTATATCTTGTTCTAATCCTCTCTCTTCGTATCTTTTTTTTTTTTTTTTTTTTTGAAACGGAGTTTTGCTCTTGTTGCCCAGGCTGGAGTGCAGTGGCGTGATCTCTATCTCGGCACACTGCAACCTCTGCTTCCCAGGTTCAAGTGGTTCTCCTGCCTCAGCTTCCCAAGTAGCTGGGATTACAGGCACGTGCCACCATGCCTGGCTAATTTTTGTATTTTCAGTAGAAACAGGGTTTCACCATGTTGGCCAGGCTGGTCTCGAACTTCTGACCTCAGGTGATCCACCCACCTCAGCCTCCCAAAGTGCTGGGATTACGGTCATGAATCTTTGTATCTTTTTATACAGTCTTTTATATTGACTTACACCTTTAAAGTTCTATCTGTCTATCTACCTATCTGCTTACCTAGGTACTCACCTAGTTAGCTATCAATCATTATTTTACTATTTTTTAAAAAGTGACTTCTACCTTTTACATCTACTCCCCTTCAACACAATTGTACTTGATTTCTTATTGGCTTCTCCCTCTTACTCTCATATTCCTTCTCTTAACTCTTTTCCCTATTGACTCATCATTTACACTCTTCTTTCTTTCTTACTTTCCATCCTCCTTCCTTCTTTCTTTTTGTTCCACTTTTACACTTTTACTACTACCTCCTCTTTTATATATTTATTTTGAGACAGGGTCTTTCTCTGTCACCCAGGCTGGAGTGCAGTGGCGTGATCACAGCTCACTGCAGCCTCGACCTCTTGGGCTCAAGCGATCCTCCACCTCAGCCTCCCGAGTAGCTGGGACTACAGACATGTGCCACTTCGCCCAGATAACTTTTTTTTTATGTTTTGTAAAGACAGGGTCTCACTATGCTGCCCAGGCTGGTCTTGAACTCCTGGGCTCAAGTGATCCTCCTGCCTCGGCCTCCCAAAGTAGGATTACAGGCGTGAGCCACTGCATCTGGCCTGTACCTCCTCTTTTTAAACATATTTCTTTTCTTCCCTCTCTCTTTTGGGCTACTCTCTCATTTTGTCAGTTTAATATGGTCTTTTCTTTTACTGGCTTTTGCCTTTTAAGATCTGATCTGTCTATCTGTTTATCTATCTATTTATCTATTCCCCTAATCTGTCTATCTTCCTGCCTTATGCCTGCTATCCTTCCTGTCTACCTGTCGCCCATTAATCTATCTTTATTTTATGCTTTCAACTGACTTCTTTTTAGATCTCTCTCCTGTCATCCAATTCCTCCCTTTCTTCTTTCCTCCTTTCTTCCTTCCTATACTTTTAAACTTTCTGTCTTTTCTTGTTCCATTTCTTTCACGAATTCATCTCTGTATTTCGTTCTCTGCCTGCATGCCTACATGATATCCCTTCCTTCCTTCTTTCCATTTCTCTATCCAAACTCCCACTCTCCTGTCTTCCTTCATTCATTTTCCCTTCATCCTTCGTTCTTTTTCCTCCCTTCTTCCATCTGTCTTCTCCCTCTCATTCCTTCTTCTCATTCCTCTTTTATTCTCAACTGGTTCCTCTTTTAAAACTTTTTTACTTTCTCCCTCCTCGCTTTCTTTCTAATTCTATCTTTTTCATACATTCTTTTTTACTGGCTGCTGCTTTTTAAGTTCTGTCTATCTATCTATCTATCATCTGTCTATCTATTCAACCATGTATTTACTTATGTATCATCCTACCTACATATCTATCTATTTAGCTATTATATTTCTGTCTTTATGTTGATTTTCCTATCTCCACCTTTAAAATCTGTTCCTTACCACACAATTGTATATGATTTCCTTATTGGCTTCTCCCTTTCACTCCCATATTTTCTTTATTCCTTTAACTCTTTTCCCTGCTGACTCATCATTTATAAACTTCCTTCCTTCCTTCCTTCCCTCCCTCCCTCCTTCCTTCGGTCCTCCTTTTGTTTCTCCATCCATACTCCCTGACATTTCTCCCTCCTATCTTCACTCATTTCTCCCTCCTCCTTCTCACTTTTTTCTTCCTTCCCTCCCTTTTACTTTCTTTCTTCTATCATTCCTTCCTTCCTCCCACTGTTCTTTTATGCTCTTTCGATTGGCTCCTCTTTTTAAACAGTCTCCCCTTTCTTTCACTCTCATTCTATCCTTTTTATACATTCTTTTTACTCGCTTCTGCTTTTTATGTTTCATCTCTCTCTCTCTCTCTCATCCATCTACCTACCTGCCAGCCCATCAACCTACATATTATAGCTATCAATCATCTACTTTCTTTCTTTACATTTGTGTTTTATTTTCCTGTCTCCAAATTTAAAATTTGCTTCCCCCAAAGAATTGTACTTGGTTTTCTTATTGGCTCCTCTGTCTCATTCTTACATTCTTTCTTCCTTTAACTGTGTTTGCTGCTAACTCATCTTCTATAAATGTCCTATTTTTCCATTTATTTTTTAGGATCAGGGTCTTTCTCTGTCACCCAAGCTGGACTGCAGTGGCACTATCATAGCTCACCGCAGCCCCAAACTTCTGGGTTCAAGTGATCCTCTCGCCTCAGCATCCCAAAACACCGGGATAATGTTTTTTTTTTTTTTTTTTTAATATATATTTTTTAGAGACAGGGTCTTGCTATGTTGCCCAGACTGGTCTTGAACTCCTGGCCTCAAGCGATCCTCCTGCTTCCACCCTTCATAAACTTTTTTCCTTGTTCTTAAGCTTGTTCTTTTCTTCCTTCCTCTCTCCCTCCCCCTCCCTCTTTCTCTCTTTTGCTCTCTATTTTATTCTTAGTATATCTTTTTTATCTTTTATTTCTTAATTCCTTTTTATTTTGTGACAATATGGTTCTCTACCTAGATCTACTTTATTCTTTATATATTTTTTGTATTATGTTTTCTTTCTTGTCTCCTTTAATAAATTATTTCATTCTTTTTCTCTCTTGCTTTCATTATTTACTGTTGTGGCATTTCTTACTGATCCTTGTTTGTTAAATGTCTTTCTTCCCTCCTTTCTCTCTCTATCATTTTTGTAGTCTTTTCTTACTTGCTCTTCTTTTTTACATCTCTTAAATTTATTTTATTATTGGCCTTTCCTTTTAAAACTTTTCTTTTTCTGTTTCTTTTTTGTGTAAAGTCTTCTTACAGGTTACTTGTTTTTAAACTTTTCTTGTTCTCTGTCTTTATTTCTGTCTCTCTTTCTTTTCCTTTCTCTTTTCATTTTTATTTATTTATTTATTTATTTATTTATTTATTTTGAGACGGAGTCTCGCACTGTGGCCCACGCTGGAGTGCAGTGGCGTGATCTCGGCTCACTGCAAGCTCCGCCTCCCAGGTTCATGCCATTCTCCTGCCTCAGCCTCCCGAGTAGCTGGGACTACAGGCGCCCGCCACCACGCCCCGCTAATGTTTTTTTGTATTTTCAGTAGAGACGGAGTTTCATCGTGTTGGCCAGGATGGTCTCGATCTCCTGACCTCGTGATCCGCCTGCCTCGGCCTCCCAAAGTGCTGGGATTACAGGCGTGAGCCACCGCGCCCGGCCGCTTTCTCTTTTTATCTTTTTTTTTTTTTTGTATAGTTTATTCTTATTGGCTGCTTCCTACTTGTGTAATGCTCTCCCTTTCTTTCTGTTTCTCCCTCCTTCCTTCCTTCCTTCTTTTTTCTTTCTTCTTTTTCTTTCATTCTCATATTCTTTATTTTAAAAAATTCTTTAAAAACATCTCTTTGCTTCTTCATTTTTACCCCTTTCTACATTCATTTTTCCCTTCTTTATTTCTTATTTCCTTTCTCTGTGTTTTTGTCTTGCTCCCTTTCTTTATTTCTTTTTGTTTCTCCTCTGCTTGCCTTTGTTCTTTTGCCTTCTTCCCTTCTTTATGCCATTATTCCTTCCTCTCTTCCTGTCCTCTCCTATATTCCCTCTTTCTTTCACTCTCTATTTACTGGCTCCTTTCAAAAACATTTTTCATTTCCTCTTTTCCTTTCTAACTTTCTATCTTTTATGCACTGACTTTTTTTTATTACTGGGTTCTCCTTTAGAAAATCTCCCGCTGTCCCGTCCCTCCCTCCCTCCCTTCCTTCCTTCCTTCCTTCCCTTCCTTCCTTCCCTTCCTTCCTTCCCTTCTTCCCTCCCTTCCTTCCTTCACTTCCTTCCTTCCCTTCTTCCCTCCCTTCCTTCCTTCCTTCCCTTCCTTCCTTCCCTTTCTTCCCTTCTTCCCTCCCTTCCTTCCTTCCCTTCCTTCCTTCCCTTCTTCCCTCCCTTCCTTCCTTCCTTCCCTTCCTTCCTTCCCTTCCTTCTCTTCTTCCCTCC
Organism: Homo sapiens; assembly: GCF_000001405.40. Classification (NCBI taxonomy): domain Eukaryota; kingdom Metazoa; phylum Chordata; class Mammalia; order Primates; family Hominidae; genus Homo; species Homo sapiens. The sequence continues at coordinate 130,504,639 of NC_000023.11, forward strand.
CTTCCTTCCTTCCTTCCCTTCCTTCCTTACCTTCTTCCCTCCCTCCTTCCCTTCCTGCCTTCCTTCCTTCTTTCCCTTCTTCCTTCCCTTCCTTCCCTTCCTTCCTTACCTTCTTCCCTCCCTCCTTCCCTTCCTGCCTTCCTTCCTTCTTTCCCTTCTTCCTTCCCTTCCTTCCCTTCCTTCCTTACCTTCTTCCCTCCCTCCTTCCCTTCCTGCCTTCCTTCCTTCCTTCCCTTCTTCCTTCCTTTCCTTCCTTCTTTACTTCCTTCCATCTTCCTTTGTCTTTATACCTCCCCCTTCCTATCTAGTTGTCATCCATCTATCTATCTTATTTTACTGTAATATTTTAACTGACTTCTTTCTTAAAGATTTGTCTTTCCTTGCTATCCACAATTCTATGTAATCTTATAGCTCCTTCTTTTCAAGCCCCTCTGCCTCTCATTCTTTTTTTTTAAGTTTTGCTCTTTCCTACAGACTCATGACTTACAACTTCTCTTTCTTTCCATCCCCTCCTTCTTTTCTGTCTTGCCCCCTCCCTTCCTTCTTTTCTTCCTTTCTTGATCACCTTTTCCTATGTCTTTTCTCACTGTATTTCACGCTTTCTCTGTCTTTGTCTATTCTTACCCTACCTGCATGTCTTCCTTTCTTTTTTTCTTTTTCTTTTTTGATATAGAGTCTCACTCTGTCGCCCAGGCTGGAGTGAACTGGTGCGATCTCAGCTCATTGCAACCCTCCGCCTCCCAGGTTCAAGTGATTTTCTTGTCACGACCTCTCGAGTAGCTGGGATTATAGGCATGCACCACCACGCCTGGCTAATTTTTGTATATTTGGTAGAGACGGGGTTTTGCCATGTTGACCAGGCTGGTCTCGAACTCCTGACCTTAAGTGCTGGGATGACAGGTGTGAGCCACTGGGCCCAACACATGTCTTTCTTTCTTCCTTCCTCCCTATTGCCCTTCATCCTTCTTTTCTAACCTACCTACTTCCTTTCTTTCTTCTTTGCTTTCTCCCTTTCTCACTGCCTCCCTCCCTCCCTGTTTCCTCCTTCCACTATTTCTTTTTTAACTATTCCTGTTTTTAAACATTTTTCTTTCCATCTCTCTTTTGTTCTAACCCTCTCTCTTTATATCTATTCCATACAGATTTTTTGTTTTGTTTTGTTTTTTGTTTTTTTTTTTCAAGACCGAGTCTTGTTCTGTCACTCAGGCTGGAGTGCAGTGGTGCGATCTTGGCTCACTGCAAACTCCGCCTCCTGGGTTCAAGTGATTCTCCTGCCTCAGCCTCCCAAGTAGCTGGGATTACATGCGCCCACCACCACGCCCAGATAATTTTTGTATTTTTAGTAGAGACGGGGTTTCACCATGTTGGCCAGGCTGGTCTCGAACTCCTGACCTCAAGTGATCTGCCCGCCTCGGCCTCCCAAAGTGCTGGGATTACAGGCGTGAGCCACCATGCCTGGCCTCATACAGTCTCTTATATTGGCACATGCCTTTTAAAGTCAAAGTGAAAGTTTGGAACAGAGACAGTTAAAGAAATTGAGTGAGAAAAGACAGAAAATTTATAGAGGCAGGCACGAAAGAAGGAGGAAAAAAGGGAAAAACTGGAGGGAGCAAGCAGGAGATGTTAAAAGAAGAAGCTAGACCAGGCACGCTGGCTCACGCCTGTAATCCTAGCACTGTCTAGGATTGTGTCTATCTGTCTTTCTGTTTATCTACTTACTAAAGTCCTTACCTAGCTATCTATCCATCTTTATTTTACTGTTTTTTAAAAAGTGACTTCTACTTTTTAAATCTCCTCCCTTTCACACAGTTGTACTTGATTTTCTTATTGGCTCCTCCCTTTCACTCCATATTTGGTTTCTCCTCTTTAACTCCTTTCCCTATTGACTCACCATTTGTAAATTTCTTTTCTTCTTTCTTATTTTTATTCTATCTTCCTTTCTTCCTCCCTTCTTTCCTCCCTCCCTTCAAGTCTCAATTTACACTTTTTCTAGTGCCTCCTCTTTTAAAACCTATTTATTTCCTTCCCTCTCCTTTTTTTTGTGGGGGGGGGTGCTACTGTCTCTTTTTATTAATTTCATATGTTTTTTTTTTGTTTTGCTGGCTTCCACCATTAAGACCAAATCTATCTATCTATCTATCTATCTATCTATCTATCTATCTATCTATCTATGTATCTATCTATCATCTCTCTATCTATCTATCTGGTCCATCTGCCTACCTGTTTTCCTGCCTTATGTCTGCCATCCTTTGTATCTGTCTTTCTTTATTTCAGTCTACTTTCAACTAGCTGCTGCTGCTTTTTTTTTTTTTAGACAGGGTCTCACTGTGTTGCCCAGGCTGGAGTGCGGTGGTGCAAACAAAGTGCTAAGATTACAGGCGTGAGCCAGTGTGCCTGGCCTAGCCTCTTCTTTTAACATCTCTTGCTTGCTGCCTCCAGTTCTTCCCTTCTTTTTCCTCCTTCTTTCATGCCTGCCTCTATAACTTTTCTGACTTTTCTCACTCAATTTCTTTAACTTTCTCTTTTCCAAACTTTCTCTTTTTGTTTTCTGCCCCCATGCCTAACTGCCTTCTTTCCTTTCTCCATACTTCTCTCCCTTTCTCCCTTTCTCCTGCCCCATTCATCCTTACTTCCTGCTCACTTGCCTGCCCGCCTTCCTTCCTTCCTTCCATCCTTCTTTTGTTGCCCCATCCATACTGTTTTCTCTCCCCTCACTCTTTCTTTCTCATTTTTTCATACCTTCTTTTTTAAACTAGTTTCTGCCTTCTCTCTGTCTCTCACTCACACATCTATCTACTTACTTGCCAACCTACGTACTGTCTAGCTATCTATTCAGCTATCAATCTTCTATTTTTCTGTCTCTATTTTTCTGTGTTTTTTTTTTGGACTCCACCTTTCATCATCTGTTTGCCATTGCAAAATTGTACTTGGTTAATTTCTTATGGGCTCCCCTCTCTCACTCTAATATTCCCTTTCTTTTAAAAAAAATCTGTTTTCCCTACTGACTCATCGGTTATAAATGTCTTCCCTCCTTCCTAAGTTCCTCTCTTCCCCTTTCTCCCTTTCTCTCTCACTTTACTTCACTCTTTCCATCTTTTTGCACTAATTTTTGTATTGGCTCATTTCAGAACTTATTTCATTCTCTTTCTGTCTTGCATTTATTATTTTTTGCAGTGGCATTTCTTATTGACTCTTCCTTGTTAAACATCTAAGTTTTTCTCTCTTCATCGCTTTCTTTCCTTCTCTTTTTCATATTCTTTCTTAATTGCTCCCCCCACTGTTTTTTACATATTTATCTCTATAGCTCTCTTGAATATCTTTTATTGTTGGCACCTTCTTTTACATTTTTCCTTTTTCTCCTTCTCTTCTTTGTAAAGTCTTCTTATAGGTTTCTCATTTTAAAACTCTTCTCTCTTTTTTGTTCTGTCAATATCTGTCTCTCTTTCCTTTTCTACTTCTTTATATCTTTTTTTCTTATATTTTTTGGTATACTTTATTCTTCTGGCTCCTTTTGTAACAATAGAGGGAGGCTTAGCATGACTGACTCCATTTTTGCATCTGACTCCCTGTGGTAATTTCCTTTAGGTTAAAAGCTTCTGCTCAGCTCTGCATGTATGCCTGCTAATTGTAGGAGGAATTTAGCTTATAGTTCTATGTCACGGCATGTTAGAAGATAGTACAACAGGCCAGGTGCAGTGGCTCACGCCTGTAATCCCAGCACTTTGGGAGGCCAAGGAGGGCCTGTGCCAGGCCTCACTCTCTCTTTACTTTGCTTGCCTGCATGCCTGCCTGCCTTACTTCCTTCCTCCCTTCCTCCAATAGGTCTTTTTTTTATTTGTTTTTATAGGCTTCTTTTAAAACTGTTTTCTCTACTTCTCCATCTCTTTCTCTCTCCTTCCTTTTTTTTGTCCTGTCTTTTTTACTGGATTTTCTTTTTTAATGTCATCTTACTTGCCTACTCTCTCTTTGTCTCTTTATCTCTGTCTCTCTCTCTTCCCAACCTTCTTTACTTATTCCATGGTTTCTTTCTATATTTTCTTGTACTGCCTTTTTTTTTATTGGCTCTTCCTTTTAAAAGTCTGTTCATATTTTCTATCTATACATCTATCATTTAACATTACTGTCTTCTTTTTAAGTCTCTCTTTTTCCTTACTGAGCTATTCTTATTGATTTACCCCTTTAATCTTCCATTTTCTTTGTGCTTTCTCTCCTTTTCTATTTCCCCTCTTTTTATTTCACTTTTTCTTATTCATTTTTTTTGTTTTAGTTCTATATATTTTCTTGTACTGGCTTTCTTACTGCTTCCTTCTTATTTTATTTTTCTCCGATTTTCTTCTTCCTCCCATATCCTTTTCTTTTATTCAGTCTGTCTTCATCATACTGCCTCTTCTTACTGCTTTCTCCTTTTGAAAGTGTATTCTGGCCGGACGCAGTGGCCCATGCCTGTAATCCCAGCACTTTGGGAGGCCGAGGTGGGCAGATCACCTGAGCTCAGGAGTTTGAGACCACCCTGGCCAACATGGTGAAACCCCTTCTCTACTAAAAACACACAACAAATTAGCTGGGCGTGGTTGCATGTGCCTGTAGTCCCAGCTACTTGGGAGGCTGAGGCAGGAGAATCGCTTGAACCCAGGAAGTGGAGGTTGCAGTGAGCTGAGATTGCACCACTGCACTCCAGCCTGGGTAACAGAGTGAGACTCCATCTAAAAAAAACCAAAAAAGTGTATTCTACCTACCTATCTTTGTTTTCTTTTACTGACTTCTAATTTTTAAAAATGACTTTTCATTTTTAATCTGTCACCCCCTGCCAAATGTACTTGATTTTCTAACTGGCTTTTCTTCAAATTTTTCTCTCACTTTCACGTTCTATCGTTTTCATTTTATTTTTTCCTACTGACTTATCTTTTAAAACTTCTTTCTGTTCTATCTCCTGCTCTCCCCCATTCCTCTCTACCTCACCTCCCCCTTTCTTGTTCCTGTGCCTTTTTTTCTGTATGTCTTTTTCTTGCTCCCTTTCTTTCATTTTCTTCCTCCTCCCCCACCCTCTTTCAGTCTCTCATTTGTTTCTTTCTCTTTGTTCTCCCTCCATTCCTTCATCCAGAGTGTGTGCTTGTGTTTTCCTACTGGCTGCTTCTGTTCCATTTTCTTTCTTTTTCTCTCTATTCTCTTTCTCTCCCTCTCTCCATTTCATTCTTTGTTTCTGCACTGTCTTCTCTTACCACTTCCTCCTTTTCAACCTTTTTGTTCTTACTTTTTCTCTGTTTCTTGCTTTGTGTATTTTTAAATGTCTTTTCCTTTATATTCCTTTACAACCTTTTTCTCTTTGTCTCACTAACTCTCTCTCTCTCTCTCTCTCTCTCGAGAGAGAGAGAGAGAGAGAGGAGAAAAAGAGAGAGGAGAAAAATAAGACAAAAAAGAGAGGAGAAAAGGAAGACAAAAACCCTCTTGCCAGCATCCTTTTCAATCCTTGCCAGAAAAACATCCTTGCCAGAAAAACTCATGTACAGAGGGTTTCTCTCTCTATCTCTCTGCATACAGACACGTGTGTGTGTATGTGTGTGTGTGTGTGTGCATGTACACTCTACACCTGGAGATGTAACTAAGAAGTGCCTTACATAGTACCTGGCTCTAGGAACATGAACTCTTAGGACTTACCTTTGCAAGGGCCTTGTGACCTCACTGTATAAGCAGAGGGGGTTTTTATAAAGACAACAATATTTAATATACAGGGATGCATCTTCTATGTAGCCACTTTTTAATTGTCTCTCTCTCTCACCTTCTGTTTCATCTTGTCGTTTGTTTTCAAATGCACTTTCCTCTGGTCTTCATCTTACAGGTCATTTTTAAAACATTGTTTGTAAAAATAGGTAATTGTTTTTCTCTAGAAGTGCTTGTTTCTAAAATATTTTTAAAAATAGGCTGAATGTGGCGGCTCATGCCTATTATTCCACGACTTTGGGAGGCCTAGGCAGGAGGATCACTCAAGCCCAGGAGTTCAAGACTAGCCTGGGCAACATAATGAGAAACCATCTCTACCAAAAACAACAACAAAAAAATATCTAGGTATGGTGGTGTGCACTTGTAGTCCCAGCTACTTGGGAAGCCGAGGTGGGAGGATCACTTGAGCCCAGGAGGTTGAGGCTACAGTGAGCTATGATTGTGCCACTGTACTCCAGTTTGGGTGACAGAGTGAGAGCCCGTCTCTAGAAAAAAATACAATAAAATAAGTAATACATAAATATATATTTAATATATTTTAAAAGTTTAGTATCAACTTGCCACTGGCAAAGCAAAATAGAGATTTCAAATGTGATGGTATATTTGAAGTGAACCCTCAATTCCTATCTTGACATTTCTAAAGTCACAATGAGTACAAAGCTAGAAAGATAGGGGTAAATATCCTTTTGTGGTCTAGCATGAAGAAGAATATATTTTAATAACTAAATCCAATTTCACTTACTGGCCACTTTCTGGAGACAAGTCTCATTTCAGGCCAGCCCTTGAAGTATAGGTTCAGGCCAGAATGGGTCTATCAGTAGCCTTCTTCATGAGTTTAGGCCATTTCAGACAATTCACATTTAAAAATAGCAAAAATGGCCAAAGCATTTCCTCAAACAGCCCAAGTCATTGGTAAAAGCCCACTCTACTACCTTCCAGCCAGTTTGTCCTCAGGTTTTCTGGTGTCATTCTTCAGCTCTTGCTTCTCTATTTACGACTTAATTTTTGTCAGACACAACAGGACTTTTTTGCCTTCCATTCATAAGGAACACAATGTTACAGTAGTCAGCATGGATTCTCTTTCATAATAATTATTTTTAGTATCTACTACCAATAAGGAAATTTGAGCAAATCAATGGCCTAATAGAAATCAGGTCAATCATAATGAAAATCTTGCATTGGCTTTAAATGGGCTTATTTTACTGTGTTTTATTGGGAAAGTGTTGGTAGATGCAATGGAATGGCAGTAGGAAAACTTATTTTGTTATTAGACACTTAATTCAAACCTAAGCTGGCTCCAAAAGTGGATTGGAAAGGATGCTGGCAAAAGGATTTTGTCTTCTGGACTCGGGGTGTATGGTGTGTGATCTCATGTTCTTACATGTATTTTGACAGGGAAACCAGACAGATAGTAGCCTTGTGTGAATTTGGGGCAGTGAGAATACAGGCATGATTTTTTTCACTAGAGCTAAATTCTAAAACTTTAAAGAGCAGATGAGATGTAACTATACTGTAAGGGATACATAATTTGTGGTATCAGTCTCATTATTTTAAGTAAAAGCTTGGGCCAGGCGCAGTGGCTCTTGCCTGTAATCCCAGTACTTTGGGAGGCTGAGGTGGGTGGATTACCTGAGGTCGGGAGTTTGAGACCAGACTGACCAACATGGAGAAACCCCATCTCTACTAAAAATACAAAATTAGCCGGGCATGGTAGCACATGCCTGTAATCCCAGCTACTAGGGAGGCTGAGGCAGGAGAATTGCTTGAACCTGGGAGGTGGAGGTTGCGGTGAGCCGAGATCATGCCATTGCACTCCAGCCCAGGCAACAAGAGCAAAACTCTGTCTCAAAAAAAAAAGCTTGTATATTATCACAGTGATAAAATATTAAGAGGACTTATTTTTTAGACCTGAAATAACTTCAGGTAATATGATAAGACTGCTAAAAATGTTTATAAATAAAACAGGCAGACAGTTTTTCCCTTAATATTTAAAATCCAGTGTTACTCACCTCTTCAATTTGTCTACAGAGATCAAGATTTCTTCTTATGTGGTCCTGTATTGGGGGAACCTGCCCCCAATATTTCAACATAGGTTCTTTCTATTTTCCATAAGTGTTGGCCGGCTGAGAAATAAAGAGAAAGAGTACAAAGAGAGGAATTTTACAGCTGGGCTGCCAGGGGTGACATCACATATTGGTAGGACTGTGATGCCCACCTGAGCCTCAAACCAGCAAGTCTTTTATTAAGGGCTTCAAAAGGGGAGCGGGTATAAGAATAGGGGGTAGATCACATGCTTCAAAGGGCAAAAAGGAGAACTACTGATAAGGGTCCAACAAAGATAACAAGGCAAAAGGCAAAAGGCAAAAGCGGAACTACTGATAAGGGTCTATGTTCACCGGTGCACATATTGTCTTGATAAACATCTTAAACAACAGAAAACAGGGATGGAGAGCAGAGAACTTGTCTGACCACAAATTTACCAGGGCAGAGTTTTTCCCCACCCTAATAAGCCTGAGGGTACTGCAGGAGACCAGGGTGTATCTCAGTCCTTATCTCAACTGCATAAGACAGACCCTCCCAGAGCAGCCGTTTATAGACCTCCCCCCAGGAATGCATTCCTTTCCCAGGGTATTAATATTAATATTCCTTGCTAGGAAAAGAATTTAGCGATATCTCTCCTACTTGCATGTCTGTTTATAGGCTCTCTGCAAGAAGAAAAATATGGCTCTTTTTGCCCAACCCCACAGGCAGTCAGACCTTATGGTTGTCTTCCCTTTTTCCCTAATTCTGTTCTTTTTCAAGGTGCACTGATTTCATATTGTTCAAACACAGATTTTACAATCAATTTGTACAGTTAACACAATTATCACAGTGGTCCTGAGGTGATGTACATTCTCAATTTATGAAGAGAACAGGATTAAAGATTAAAGTAAAGACAGGCATAAGAAATTATAAAAGTATTATTTGGGAACTGATAAATGTCCATGAAATGTTCACAATTCATGTTCCTCTGCCACGGCTCCAGCTGGTCCCTCTGTTCGGGGTCCCTGACTTCCCGCAACAGTCTTCATATCGTCTTTTTTTTTCTTTCATCTTGAGTACACTCTGCTTTCCTGCTGTGTCCAATTTCATATAATCATATATCAATATCTACATAAAAGTGCAAATATTGGCTGGGCACTGTGTCCCATGCCTGTAATCCTAGCATTTTTGGAGGCTGAGGTTGGGGGATCACTTGAGCCGAGGAGTTTGGGACCAGCCTGGGCAACATGGTGAGACCTGTCTCTACTAAAAATACCAAAAATTAGCCAGGTATGGTGGCATGTGACTATAGTCCCAGCTACTGGGAAGTTGAGGCTGGAGGATCACCTGAGCTCGGGAAGTTGATGCTGCAGTGAACTGAGAGCATCCCACTGCACTCCAGCCTGGGTGATTGGAGTGAAACCCTGTCCCAAAAAAAGGAAAAGAAAAAATAAGTGCACAATAAGTGAAGGTAAACTGGGTGTTACCCTTACAATGGCATTGCCTGCTTTGATATTCCCAAATTACCTGCTTCATTGTTTTTTTATTTCTTGAGCTACAGAAAATTTAAAGTTATTCAAGCCTGATCCACTAACTCATCATGCTGCACTCATTTTTACCTTTGTTGTAGAATTTTACCTTTGTTGTCTTTGTTGTAGAATTGTCTATTATTATGGCTAGGACAATGGCAAATGTGATACAGAGTGATTGAAAACATTTTACATAGAAATTATTCATAACTCAGTAGTTTGGGGAACATGAGTTTCTAAAGATGATTGGAATTAACTGAAGGACTGACTTTAAAAAAACCCAGCAGATTTGAATTTCCTTGAAAAAATAAGTGGAGGTCTTATATATGAGGTCTATAGACTATCAGCCTGGGATTCTGGTGGATCAGTTTGTATTCTGGCATATTGTGATGAATCTATGGAATATAAGAACCAGGGGATGGAGAACTGGCCCTTACCCCGATAAAGGAGAAAGAGAAAGAATTATAACTCATCCTTTCATTTCCCGAGGCATGGGCTTGACTTCTGAGTGGTATCATTGAATATGTGTGGGTAGTAGCTGAATGAACATACATAGTTGGTTGGGGAATGACACCTGTTTACATTAGCATCAAATAAAGTTATAGCAACTTTCCTGTTTTGACCTTGCAGTAATTTCCTTAAACTTAAGTTTGAAACATATGCTAAAGGCACCTTCTCTCTCCCTCTGCTATTGTAGACTGGGTTTCACAAGATCAGGGATTTGTATTTTGGATTTCTTCTTCAAACATCAGTTTTGCTTATCTCTTGGGTTTCTAGTGGCTCCAACTTCTTAGGTAGAAACTCTCCTCCCTATTCTTGGTACCAAGGTTCCCAATTTCTGTACTTCTTGGTCTGGCTTCCTTTCTCTGCATGTTGAAAACTACAGGGAGCCAGGCATGGTGGCCAACGCCTGTAATCCCAGCACTTTGGGAGGCCAAGGTGGGCGGGTCAGTTGAGGTCAGGAGTTCAGGATCAGCTTGGCTAACATGGCAAAACCCTGTCTCTACTAAAAATACAAAAATTAGGTGGGTGTGGTGGCATGTGACTGTAATCCCAGCTACTCAGGAGGCTGAGGCAGGAGAATCGCGTGAAACTGGGAGGCAGAGGTTGCAGTGAGCTGAGATCAAACCACTGCACTCCAACCTGGGTGACAGAGTGAGACTCTGTCTAAAAAACAAACAAACAAACAAAACAAACAAACAAAACACACACAAAAAAAAACTGTAGGGAGGTTAGGGAGGTTAAACAGTGTCTAGTACTTTTGTTCGTCCTATTTTTAATTATTTCTAGTATTGATACAACTTTTTGGGATCCACAATGTCCACAAGAATTAGGCATTAGCTTTCATTATACCTATGTTTTATGAAAAACTATTGGTCCAGACCTGTTTGTGTACCTTCCTGTAATAGCCATTCTTGAAATTGGGCAGTAGCCTAACTGTCACAGGCTCTCTTTGTTTTACATAATTTATTTACCTTTTCAATCATTTTCTGAAACATAAAAAGGAGTAAAGCCTTTATATTTGCCAGACATAAACCTGTCCTTTGATCTGTCTTATGTTTCAGGCTTAGTAAACATCCTATGCTTTGCAAATGGCTAATTCTGTTAGCCTACATTTAAGTCTAGTGTGGCTCCATTTCAGACAGGTGAATTTTTTTTCTCTAGAAATGAAAGACAAATGTCTCATTTTATCTTTTACAGATCTTTTATAGAGGTCTTAGCCTTTTGATTTGTTACCTTAATAAATACTTCTAGGTCAAAATATTATAAGAACATATTCTGCGTAGGACCAAACCTTACATAAAACTTTTCTTACAGGCCCCAAATAAACAAATTTAAGTATTTAACTTACTTGTTCTCTTATACAGTTTCTTTCAAAGTCTAATTTTAAACTAGTCACATACTGCCTGTATTTACTCAACTCCTTCAAGGGACATATAACCTACAAAAACAAAAACCAACAATATAAATACAAGGTTGTAACAATGATAACACTTTACAGAGGAGAGGGTGAAAAGAATATTCATTTTAATAAAAATTTGGGATAAGGTCTAATAACAACATATTTTGGTGACAATTTTGAAGTCAGCATCTTTATACAATTGCTGTCTCACCAAGAAATTTCTATCCAAACATTGTTTTATTAGTATGGTTCATATCATAATCAGGAATTTACTATTCCCAATCAAATTGTTATTAAAACACGTATATAATAATGATGCTTAACTCCCCAAAGAATTTATTCTATCAATCTGTATTTTGCTAGTTTCTCATTTTATCTCCAGTTTTCTCAAAGTGTATGAGAAATATTCTTTGACAGGTAGACGGTGATATTACCACTTTTGGAGCCAGAGGAAAAGCACTACAATACAACTGGGTGAAAATAAATAAATAAATAAATAAATAAATAAATAAATAAATAAGTGTGTGTGTATCTTTGCATACTCAAATCATTGGTAATATCTGTTGCTATTAAAATGGAAATAAAGGTCAAGTAGGAATGAGTTTTATTTAGACAAAACAGCTACCTGATTTCCCTTGGCCCCAGTACTGAGTTATTCATTGAGTCTTTTATTGGGAGTCCTCTACTGCTCAATTGAAAGTTGACACAGGCTCCCAGTGAGGTAAAGGGAAGCACCTAGGTCTTGGCTGGTTAACAGGAGGTATGCTTCAATGCACTTTATTATTGCTAGTGATGTAGCCACCCTTCTTTAATGGCCTCAGAATATCTTTTCACTGATAGTTTGTTTTTAAATGTGCATCATGTAGACTTTTATAAACCTGGTTTCCTAAATTTGGCAGTAAGGATCAGTCAGGTTAAAATCCTAAGAAGGTTAAAAAAGCCACAAACAAGTAGATTCAAAAGCATTACAAATGTAAAAATAAACGAAGCCACACTTTTAAACATCAATTTATTTAAATGATTAGGCTGTTCACTGAAAATAAAACTTGCAAGCAGAATGGGAAGTGAGAGAATACAGACAATGGGCTGATTTGGGTAAACCTAACTGCTTTCTCTCTCTCTCCTCTCCCAGGCCTGTCTTTAGGCTGGAAGTGTCCTGTGGAATCCCTATCTGTGAACCCTATATTCAGTCTTCCTGTAGCCTCAACCTCAGTCCAATTCCTGAACACAGAGGTTGGGATTGACTGTTGTGAAGGAGAGGAGGAGAGTGCATGTCAAGTTTCAGTAGCTGGATGGACGAAGGCACGGAAGTAGGAATCAGCAGGGTATGTGTGGGTAGGCAGAAAAGACCCCAACCTGTCAGTGAAGACTCTTGGGTTGGAGATAAGGTTGGATGGGGCGGCTGAGGCATATCATGGGGCTTTCTGTCATTAAAATGAGGTTTAAGAATTTAAACACTTCAACTCATTTAACTTGGTATGTAAAACTGAAGTTAACACAAAGCAAAATCATAGCAAAATGTTTCCCATTTAACAGCAAACTGAAAAGGGTAAAGAAAATCACTTAAGGGAGGAGCCAAGATGGCCGAATAGGAACAGCTCCGGTCTACAGCTCCCAGCGTGAGCGACGCAGAAGACGGGTGATTTCTGCATTTCCATCTGAGGTACCGGGTTCATCTCACTAGGGAGTGCCAGACAGTGGGCGCAGGCCAGTGTGTGTGCGCACCATGCGCGAGCCGAAGCAGGGCGAGGCATTGCCTCAGCTGGGAAGCGCAAGGGGTCAGGGAGTTCACTTTCCAAGTCAAAGAAAGGGGTGACGGACGCACCTGGAAAATCGGGTCACTCCCACCCGAATATTGCGCTTTTCAGACCGGCTTAAGAAACGGCGCACCACGAGACTATATCCCACACCTGGCTCAGAGGGTCCTACGCCCACGGAACCTCGCTGATTGCTAGCACAGCAGTCTGAGATCAAACTGCAAGGCGGCAAGGAGGCTGGGGGAGGGGCGCCCGCCATTGCCCAGGCTTGCTTAGGTAAACAAAGCAGCCGGGAAGCTCGAACTGGGTGGAGCCCACCACAGCTCAAGGAGGCCTGCCTGCCTCTGTAGGCTCCACCTCTGGGGGCAGGGCACAGACAAACAAAAAGACAGCAGTAACCTCTGCAGACTTAAGTGTCCCTGTCTGACAGCTTTGAAGAGAGCAGTGGTTCTCCCAGCACGCAGCTGGAGATCTGAGAACGGGCAGACTGCCTCCTCAAGTGGGTCCCTGACCCCTGACCCCCGAGCAGCCTAACTGGGAGGCACCCCCCAGCAGGGGCACACTGACACCTCACACGGCAGGGTATTCCAACAGACCTGCAGCTGAGGGTCCTGTCTGTTAGAAGGAAAACTAACAACCAGAAAGGACATCTACACCGAAAACCCATCTGTACATCACCATCATCAAAGACCAAAAGTAGATAAAACCACAAAGATGGGGAAAAAACAGAACAGAAAAACTGGAAACTCTAAAACGCAGAGCGCCTCTCCTCCTCCAAAGGAACGCAGTTCCTCACCAGCAACAGAACAAAGCTGGATGGAGAATGATTTTGATGAGCTGAGAGAAGAAGGCTTCAGACGATCAAATTACTCTGAGCTACGGGAGGACATTCAAACCAAAGGCAAAGAAGTTGAAAACTTTGAAAAAAATTTAGAAGAATGTATAACTAGAATAACCAATACAGAGAAGTGCTTAAAGGAGCTGATGGAGCTGAAAACCAAGGCTCGAGAACTACGTGAAGAATGCAGAAGCCTCAGGAGCCAATGCGATCAACTGGAAGAAAGGGTATCAGCAATGGAAGATGAAATGAATGAAATGAAGCGAGAAGGGAAGTTTAGAGAAAAAAGAATAAAAAGAAATGAGCAAAGCCTCCAAGAAATATGGGACTATGTGAAAAGACCAAATCTACGTCTGATTGGTGTACCTGAAAGTGATGTGGAGAATGGAACCAAGTTGGAAAACACTCTGCAGGATATTATCCAGGAGAACTTCCCCAATCTAGCAAGGCAGGCCAACGTTCAGATTCAGGAAATACAGAGAACGCCACAAAGATACTCCTCGAGAAGAGCAACTCCAAGACACATAATTGTCAGATTCACCAAAGTTGAAATGAAGGAAAAAATGTTAAGGGCAGCCAGAGAGAAAGGTCGGGTTACCCTCAAAGGAAAGCCCATCAGACTAACAGCGGATCTCTCGGCAGAAACCCTACAAGCCAGAAGAGAGTGGGGGCCAATATTCAACATTCTTAAAGAAAAGAATTTTCAACCCAGAATTTCCTATCCAGCCAAACTAAGCTTCATAAGTGAAGGAGAAATAAAATACTTTATAGACAAGCAAATGCTGAGAGATTTTGTCACCACCAGGCCTGCCCTAAAAGAGCTCCTGAAGGAAGCACTAAACATGGAAAGGAACAACCGGTACCAGCCGCTGCAAAATCATGCCAAAATGTAAAGACCATCGAGACTAGGAAGAAACTGCATCAACTAATGAGCAAAATCACCAGCTAACATCATAATGACAGGATCAAATTCACACATAACAATATTAACTTTAAATATAAATGGACTAAATTCTGCAATTAAAAGACACAGACTGGCAAGTTGGATAAAGAGTCAAGACCCATCAGTGTGCTGTATTCAGGAAACCCATCTCACGTGCAGAGACACACATAGGCTCAAAATAAAAGGATGGAGGAAGATCTACCAAGCCAATGGAAAACAAAAAAAGGCAGGGGTTGCAATCCTAGTCTCTGATAAAACAGACTTTAAACCAACAAAGATCAAAAGAGACAAAGAAGGCCATTACATAATGGTAAAGGGATCAATTCAACAAGAGGAGCTAACTATCCTAAATATTTATGCACCCAATACAGGAGCACCCAGATTCATAAAGCAAGTCCTGAGTGACCTACAAAGAGACTTAGACTCCCACACATTAATAATGGGAGACTTTAACACCCCACTGTCAACATTAGACAGATCAATGAGACAGAAAGTCAACAAGGATACCCAGGAATTGAACTCAGCTCTGCACCAAGCAGACCTAATAGACATCTACAGAACTCTCCACCCCAAATCAACAGAATATACATTTTTTTCAGCACCACACCACACCTATTCCAAAATTGACCACATAGTTGGAAGTAAAGCTCTCCTCAGCAAATGTAAAAGAACAGAAATTATAACAAACTATCTCTCAGACCACAGTGCAATCAAACTAGAACTCAGGATTAAGAATCTCACTCAAAGCCGCTCAACTACATGGAAACTGAACAACCTGCTCCTGAATGACTACTGGGTACATAACGAAATGAAGGCAGAAATAAAGATGTTCTTTGAAACCAACGAGAACAAAGACACCACATACCAGAATCTCTGGGACACATTCAAAGCAGTGTGTAGAGGGAAATTTATAGCACTAAATGCCTACAAGAGAAAGCAGGAAAGATCCAAAATTGACACCCTAACATCACAATTAAAAGAACTAGAAAAGCAAGAGCAAACACATTCAAAAGCTAGCAGAAGGCAAGAAATAACTAAAATCAGAGCAGAACTGAAGGAAATAGAGACACAAAAAACCCTTCAAAAAATCAATGAATCCAGGAGCTGGTTTTTTGAAAGGATCAACAAAATTGATAGACCGCTAGCAAGACTAATAAAGAAAAAAAGAGAGAAGAATCAAATAGACACAATAAAAAATGATAAAGGGGATATCACCACCGATCCCACAGAAATACAAACTACCATCAGAGAATACTACAAACACCTCTACGCAAATAAACTAGAAAATCTAGAAGAAATGGATACATTCCTCGACACATACACTCTCCCAAGACTAAACCAGGAAGAAGTTGAATCTCTGAATAGACCAATAACAGGCTCTGAAATTGTGGCAATAATCAATAGTTTACCAACCAAAAAGAGTCCAGGACCAGATGGATTCACAGCCGAATTCTACCAGAGGTACAAGGAGGAACTGGTACCATTCCTTCTGAAACTATTCCAATCAATAGAAAAAGAGGGAATCCTCCCTAACTCATTTTATGAGGCCAGCATCATTCTGATACCAAAGCCGGGCAGAGACACAACCAAAAAAGAGAATTTTAGACCAATATCCTTGATGAACATTGATGCAAAAATCCTCAATAAAATACTGGCAAACCGAATCCAGCAGCACATCAAAAAGCTTATCCACCATGATCAAGTGGGCTTCATCCCTGGGATGCAAGGCTGGTTCAATATACGCAAATCAATAAATGTAATCCAGCATATAAACAGAGCCAAAGACAAAAACTACATGATTATCTCAATAGATGCAGAAAAAGCCTTTGACAAAATTCAACAACCCTTCATGCTAAAAACTCTCAATAAATAAGGTATTGATGGGACGTATTTCAAAATAATAAGAGCTATCTATGACAAACCCACAGCCAATATCATACTGAATGGGAAAAAACTGGAAGCATTCCCTTTGAAAACTGGCACAAGACAGGGATGCCCTCTCTCACCGCTCCTATTCAACATAGTGTTGGAAGTTCTGGCCAGGGCAATCAGGCAGGAGAAGGAAATAAAGGGTATTCAATTAGGAAAAGAGGAAGTCAAATTGTCCCTGTTTGCAGACGACATGATTGTTTATCTAGAAAACCCCATCATCTCAGCCCAAAATCTCCTTAAGCTGATAAGCAACTTCAGCAAAGTCTCAGGATACAAAATCAATGTACAAAAATCACAAGCATTCTCATACACCAACAACAGACAAACAGAGAGCCAAATCATGAGTGAACTCCCATTCACAATTGCTTCAAAGAGAATAAAATACCTAGGAATCCAACTTACAAGGGATGTGAAGGACCTCTTCAAGGAGAACTATAAACCACTGCTCAAGGAAATAAAAGAGGACACAAACAAATGGAAGAACATTCCATGCTCATGGGTAGGAAGAATCAATATCGTGAAAATGGCCATACTGCCCAAGGTAATTTACAGATTCAATGCCATCCCCATCAAGCTACCAATGACTTTCTTCACAGAATTGGAAAAAACTACTTTAAAGTTCATATGGAACCAAAAAAGAGCCCTCATCGCCAAGTCAATCCTAAGCCAAAAGAACAAAGCTGGAGGCATCACACTACCTGACTTCAAACTATACTACAAGGCTACAGTAACCAAAACAGCATGGTACTGGTACCAAAACAGAGATATAGATCAATGGAACAGAACAGAGCCCTCAGAAATAATGCCACATATCTACAACTATCTGATCTTTGACAAACCTGAGAAAAACAAGCAATGGGGAAAGGATTCCCTATTTAATAAATGGTGCTGGGAAAACTGGCTAGCCATATGTAGAAAGCTGAAACTGGATCCCTTCTTTACACCTTATACAAAAATCAATTCAAGATGGATTCAAGATTTAAACGTTAGACCTAAAACCATAAAAACCCTAGAAGAAAACCTAGGCATTACCATCCAGGACAAAGGCGTGGGCAAGGACTTCATGTCCAAAACACCAAAAGCAATGGCAACAAAAGCCAAAATTGACAAATGGGATCTAATTAAACTAAAGAGCTTCTGCACAGCAAAAGAAACTACCAGCAGAGTGAACAGGCAACCTACAACATGGGAGAAAATTTTCGCAACCTACTCATCTGACAAAGGGCTAATATCCAGAATCTACAATGAACTCAAACAAATTTACAAGAAAAAAACAAACAACCCCATCAAAAAGTGGGCGAAGGACATGAACAGACACTTCTCAAAAGAAGACATTTATGCTGCCAAAAAACACATGAAGAAATGCTCATCATCACTGGCCATCAGAGAAATGCAAATCAAAACCACTATGAGATATCATCTCACACCAGTTAGAATGGCAATCATTAAAAAGTCAGGAAACAACAGGTGCTGGAGAGGATGTGGAGAAATAGGAACACTTTTACACTGTTGGTGGGACTGTAAACTAGTTCAACCATTGTGGAAGTCAGTGTGGCGATTCCTCAGGGATCTAGAACTAGAAATACCATTTGACCCAGCCATCCCATTACTGGGTATATACCCAAAGGACTATAAATCATGCTGCTATAAAGACACATGCACACGTATGTTTATTGCGGCACTATTCACAATAGCAAAGACTTGGAACCAACCCAAATGTCCAACAATGATAGACTGGATTAAGAAAATGTGGCACATATACACCATGGAATACTATGCAGCCATAAAAAATGATGAGTTCATGTCCTTTGTAGGGACATGGATGAAATTGGAAACCATCATTCTCAGTAAACTATCGCAAGAACAAAAAACCAAACACCGCATATTCTCACTCATAGGTGGGAATTGAACAATGAGATCACTTGGACACAGGAAGGGGAATATCACACTCTGGGGACTGTGGTGGGGTCGGGGGAGGGGGGAGGGATAGCATTGGGAGATATACCTAATGCTAGATGACGAGTTAGTGGGTGCAGCGCACCAGCATGGCACATGTATACATATGTAACTAACCTGCACAATGTGCACATGTACCCTAAAACTTAGAGTATAATTAAAAAAAAAAAAAAAAAAAAGAAAATCACTTAAGCACTATTAAAACTTCGTTTACCTTCTCACTTAGAACTGTAGTATAGAATACATTATCGCTTCCTGGGATAACAGGCAGCTTGACCCCAAGACACAGATCCAAAAGATGATATGCTCTGACCTCTGGAATGGGGTTTTCCTGCGAGCTCTGTCAGATGCAATTGGAAGTTTGTATTTTCTTCTGTATATTGGTGCAAAAGTAATTGAAAGTAATGGCAAAACCGCAATTACTTTTGCACCAACCTAATAGAAATTATTCATTTAGTTTAGACCAAACGTATTATTACTTCCTATTAAATAGGCTAATACCTCCAAATAAACCAAAGAACCATGCATTCGGGGTTGAAGGAACCCGCCAGGCCGGCTGACAACTTGGATGTCCTCGTTTTTCTGGGTTACCAGTTCTACCTCTCGACCCCTGCCAGTGGTGGCCAGTGGCCGCCAAAGCCACCGGCTGCCCAGAGCTAAGGGGCTGAAAGCTGAGCAGTCAAGAACCCGCCTCGTTCCCTCCCACTCGCGGAGATCTCCCTACTCGGTCTGTCCGCCTTCCGGAGACCCTCATTTGGGGCCACGAGTAGGAAGACGGACCGGCCTCCACTCACGGTGCGGCACTGCTTCTTGCCTGCATTCAGGCTGCTGGCGGCCGCCTTAGTGGCGGCGGCTTCGGCAGCCTTATAGCAGTTGCCGAGGTACAGCTCCAGAGCCAGCCTTCAGTCCCCAGGGGGCCAGACGCTGGGGTAGCAGGCGGTCCTCGTTTCTCCTCATTCACACCCTTCACGCTTTAGGTCCTGATCAGGTGTGGGCTGCCAAGATCGTGGTGGCCAGAGTAGAACGTCCTCTAGGCCACGCCCCTCACAATGCTGCCTTCTAGGCTGGAGAGCTGACGTCCTCAAGGGGCGTCACCCTCGGAGGTGGGGTGGGCAGCGGGTGAGTGGGGAGTGGTGACCGCTAAGCCTCACCAGACGCACAGGCACACGAGACTTCAGCCCCTTAGAGTCGAAATTTAATATCTCTTTGAAACCAATACCCCTCATTTAAACTAAACCAAAATATATCAAGCTTTGTCCATGGTAGCTGTGATCGTACTGATTTCTGTTCAACAAACTTCGATGAGTAATTGTGTAGTTTTTATTAGGGCCATAGGACTGACTTTTACATCTATCTCCTTTATAGACACTGTGACCCTCCTTCCCCTAGGCATACCACCCCCAGTCCCATGTAGAACACTTGGTTTCTTCAAGGGCTCAATACATTTCTCCTTGTCTTTCTCTTCTCTGTCTTGGGCTCATTATCTCTCTCGCCCTCCTCTTCCTCTTTCTCTCTTTCTTCTACTTATTTGTTTCTACCTTCTCATTCAGTCAGCCAACATTTATTGAGTGCCCACTCTATGCCAGACTCTGCTGGTTCCTGACAGTGAGTACACTGATAAAACAGTGAGTAAAACATAGTGTCTGCTGCCAAGAAGCTCAGTAGAATGAAAATATATGAAGGACTGAGACTGTACCTAGTTCATGCTCTGTCTCCACGTTATCTATCATCTATCTATCTATCTATCTATCTATCTATCTATCTATCTATCTATCTATGTATCTATCTATCTATCATCTATCTATCTATGACACATTATAGTTAAACTTCTGAAAACTAATGACAAAGACAAAAATTCTTGAAAGCAGTCAGAGATAAAAGAAACATTATTTACAGGAGAACACCAATTTGAATGTGAATTTGAAACGATGGAGGCCCGAAGGAAGAGGTGCAGCATTTTTTAAGTGCTTTAGCATTTTCTTTTAAGAAACAAATTGTCAACTGTGAATTCTATACCTAATGAAAATATCTTTCATCAATGAAGAAGAAATAGAGACATTCTGAGATGAAGGAAAACTAAAAATGTGTTGCTAACAAACCTATCTTAAGGAATGGCTAAAAGAAGTTATCTACGCAGAAAGGAAATGATAACAGAAGTAGGCTTAGAACTTCAGAAGGGAAAAAAAACCCATAAGAATGGATAAAAATAGGGATAAATATAATAGACTATTCTATTTTTCTTGAGTTTCTTAAATCATATTTGATGGTTGAAGCAAAAAGTATAAGAGCATCTGATGTGGTGGTGAATACATGTAAAGGAAATATTTAAGACAATTATATTTTATTTTTCCCTTTCAAATTGTATTTTAGGTTTGGGGGCATATGTGTAGGTTTGTTACATGTGCAAATTGTGCATTGATGGGGTTTGGTGTGCAAATAATTTTGTTACCCAGGTAGAGAGCATAGTACATGATAGGTAGTTTTTTGACCCTAACCTTCCTCTCATTCTCCACCCTCAAGTAGGCCTCAGTATCTATTTTTTCCCTCTTCTAAAACAATTACATTTTAGAAGTGGGAAGTGCAAAGGGACATAAATGGAAATAAGGCTTCTACACTTTATTCAAAGTGGTAAAATATTAATACCAGTAGGTTGTGGTAAACTATATATATATTTTGTAATTCCTAGAGCAACTATTAAGAAAACTATACGAAGTGATATATTCAAAACATTATAAATAAATCAAGATAAACTTCTAACAATGTTCAAGTAGCCCACAGGAAGGCAAGAAAAGGGAAATAGAGGAATGAGAAACAGGGGAAATAACAGAAAACAAATAAAATGGCAGATTTAAGCTCTAACATACCAGTAATTACTTCTCTAAGCGTAAATGGTCTAAACTCAGTAATGAAAACAGATTGGCAGAACCAATTAAAAAATACATGATCCAACTACATGCTATCTACAAATACTATACACTGCAAATACAATGATACATGTAAGTAGGCTGAAAATAAAAGGATGGGAAAAGATACTCAAAGCACATTTGCATTTGCAAAAGTAGGAGTGGCCATAATAATATCAGATAAAGTAGACTTTAATTGCTAGAGACAAAGAGAAACATTACTTAATGAAACAAAGATCGGCTGGGTGCGGTGGCTCATGCCTGTAATCCCAGCACTTTGGGAGGCTGAGGCGGGCGAATCACAAGGTCAGGAGATCGATATCATCCTGGCTAACATGGTGAAACTCCGTCTCTACTAAAAAATACAAAAAATTAGCCGGGCCTGGTGGTGGGCACCTGTAGTCCCAGCTACTCAGGAGGCTGAGGCAGGAGAATGGCGTGAACCTGGGAGGCGGAGCTTGCAGTGAGCCGAGATCGCGCCACTGCACTCCAGCCTGGGTGACCCAGCAAGACTCCGTCTCAAAAAAAAAAAAAAAAAAGAAAGAAAGAAAGAAAGAAAGAAAGATCAAACCACCAATCCACCAGGAAATCAATGGACATGCACCAAATAATAGAGACTCAAAATACATGAAGCAAAAAAACAATAGAGATAACAAAAGAAATAGACAAAGTCACAATTATAATGTGGGACTTCCTAAATGCCTATCAACAGGAGACTGGACAAATAAAGTTTATGCTTCGCTCATGCCCATATAGCAGTTTAAGTTGAAAGACTTGGAGCTACGTATATTAACAACATGTATTTCAAATCATAATCTTGAGCAAAACCTACCAAGAGTTGATATAACTGTGGAATGACCTAACTTATTTGAATCATGTTAATGGATAATTATTTATGTAGTAGTAGCATAAAATCCTGCATGAAAAAGAGGAAAATAAATACAGTATAGTAGTATCTCTAGGGAGAAAGGGAGGCAAATGAAATTATGAAGGGATATGAAGGACGCTTTCACTTCATCTTTCATATTGTATTTCTTAAAACCAAGTCTGGCTCTTCTTTTATCTCTTCCTGTTTCCTGTTCTTTTCTTTCCCTTCTCATTACTTCTAGAACAATTCAAGAGGTGGGTTGGAGCAAGATAGGTGTCCAAATAGAGGTGTAGCTCTAGATGTTGGTGCTTAACTGGGGTAAGGAGGGGAACCACAGATGAAGGCAGCCTGAAGTGGAGGCAGAGCCTGAAGAAAGTGAAAAAGTTGTTCCTTGTGGGGGTTGGTTTGGTGTAAAGAATCAGAAGCCAGGAGGAGAAAGGAAGCCATCCATGTTTAAGGGGAGCTAAGTGAGGGATGTCAGAGCCCAAGCAGATCAATGAAGGTGTTTACATCAAAGATGGTCTGGCATGGGATTCAGAGCATGAGTAGAGTGAGGGGGCTATCAATGTATGGGACAGCATAGGATGTCAGAGTCTGTGCTAGTTACCCAGGGCTGCCATGACAAAGTACCGCAAACTGGGTAGCTTAAAACAACAGAAATGTACTGTCTCACTGTCTTGGAGGCTAGATGTCTTAAACAAGAGTGGGCAGAACCTTGCTTTTTCTCTGAAACCTGTAGGGGAGTCCTTCTTTGCCTCTTCGTAGTTTCTGGTGGTTTGCCAGCAATCTTTGGTATTCCTTGGCTTGCAATTGCATAACCCCAATCTCTGCCTTCATTGTCAGATGGAATTCTTCTGGTGTGTCTTGGTCTTCTCCTGGCTGCCGGCTTAAAAAGACACAAGTTATATTGAATCAGGGACCCATCTTGGTCCAGTATGACCTCATTTTAACTTAACTAATTACATTTGCAATGACCTTATTTTTAAATGAGATGACATTCTGAGATACTGGGGGTGCGAACTTCAACATTTCCTTTTCTGGAGGGCACAGCTCAACACATCACAATCTGTTCTTTGCCCCGCCTCCCCAAATTAATGTTCTTCCCACCTGCAAAATACATTCACCCCATTTTAATACTCACAAAAGTCTTAACGCATTCCAGCATCAACGTTATGTTCAAAATCTCATCTAATTCAGGGATGGGTAAAGTTTGGGCCATGGTCCATCCTGAGGTAAAATTCCCCTCCAGCTGTAAATCTGTAAAACCCAGAAAACAAGTTATCTGCTTTCAAAATACAATGGTGGGACAGGCATAGGATAAACATTTCCATTCCAAAATGGAGACTGGGCTAGGCATGGTGGCTCATGCCTGTAAACCCAGCACTTTGGGAGGCTGAGGCAGGTGGATCAAGTGGAACTCCTGAGGTCTGGTGTTCGAGACCAGCCTGGCCAACATGGTGAAACCCCGTCACTACTAAAAATACAAAAATTAGGCACGCATGGTGGCGGGCGCTTGTAGTCCCAGCTACTCAGGAGGCTGAGACAGGAGAATCACTTGAACCTGGGAGGCAGAGGTTGCAGTGAGCTAAGATCACGTCACTGCACTCCATCCTGGGCAACAGAGTGAGACTCGATCTCGGAAAAAAAAAAAGAGACTGGACGGTAAAAAGGTCTAAGGCAGTTTGCAACACAGCAGGTAAAATTCCATTAGGTTTTAAGGCTTCAGAATAATTTTCTGTGGCTTTGTCCAATGGACTCACCTCTTCATCCTTAGGTGGCTGCCCCAATGTCTGTAAAGAAGAGGCTACCTTGCCCCTGGTTCCTCATCCTTATATGGCAATCCTGTCCCCTGAACCCTGGGTAGAGGTCCCGCCCACTCAGGCCTTGGCAGTCACCTGGTTCTCTGGAACCCAGGAGATGTCTCTGCCCTCTGGAAATGAGGAGGCAAACTGACGCTCTCATCCCAGAGCAGTGGTCCCACCCTTTGAAGAAAGAGGGGGATGCTACCCTATGGAACTCAGGGGCCCACCTTACCATCTATAACCAAAGATTCCGCTTATCCCATTGGTCCTGGCTGGTGACCCTGACCCCTCAAACCTGGGCAGGAGCCCCATCTTCTGCAAACATAGAAGATAGCCTTATCCTCTGGAAATGAGAAGGCAGCCTGGTCCACAGGGTCCTGGTTGGTGGCCCTGTCCCCTCATTCCTGAGTGGTGGTGACTCAGGCCCCTGGGTCTGAGGCAGTGGCTCCACACTCTGGAACCCTGGAGGTGGCTCTGCCCCTCAGAATTGGATAGCAGCCCCGCCCTCTCAGCCCTGGGCAGTGGCCCTGCTGGGCAGGAACCCTGGAGGTAGCTCCACTTCCTGGATCCTGGGCAGTGGACCTGCCATCTGTAAACCCAGAGATGGCTCTGTACCTTCAGCCTTGGAAGGCAGCCCTGCCGTCTCAGCCCTGGGCAGTAGCCCCGCACTCAGGAACCTTGCAGGTGGCTCCACCCCCTCAGCCTTGGATGGCAGCCCCACCCTCTGGAGTCTTAAAGGTGGCTCTGCCCTTTCAGCCCTTGGCAGTGGCCTAATTCTCAGGATCCTTGGAGGTGGTTCTGCCCATCAGCCCTGGGAAATAGCTCCGCTCCATCAGTCTTGGATGGAAACCCGGCTCTCTCAGCTATGGGCAGCAGCCCGACCAGCTGGAATCCTGGGGATGACCTCACTCCCTCAGCCTTGGATGGCAGCCCCACCCCTTCAGCCCAGGGCAATAGCCCTGCCCCCAAGAATTCTGGAGGTGGTTCTGCCCCCTCAGGCATAGGAAGTGGCTCTGTCCCCTGGAGCCTTGGAGGTGGCTCTGCCCTCTCTGCCTTGGATGGAAACCCGCCCTCTCAGGCCTGGCAGTGGCCTCACCCCCTCAGCCCTGGATGGCAGCACCACCGTCTCAGCCCTGGGCAGTGGCCTCGCCTATTGGAATCATAGAGGTGGCTCCTACCCCTCAGGACTGTGCCGCGGCTCTATCCTCTGGTACTCTGGTAGTGACCTCACCCCCTCAGGCTTGGATGGCAGCCCCATCCTCTCAGTTTTCAGCAGGGGCCATGGACTCTAGAATCCTGGTGGTGACTCCACTCCCTCAGCTTTGGATGGCAGCACCAATCCCTCAGCCCTGGGCAGTGGGCCCACCGTCTGGAACCCTGATGACAATATCAGTTCCGCAGCCATGGGTGGCAGCCCCACCCTCTCAGAACTAGGCAGTGGTCCCGCCATCTGGAACCATGGTGATGACCCCACCCCCTCAGCCGTGGGTGGCAACACAGCCCCCTCAGCCCTGGGAAGTGGTCCCACCTTCTGGAATCTTGGTGATGACCCAACCCCCTCAGCCTTGGGTGGGAGCACCGCCCTCTCAGCCCTGGGCAGTGTCCCACAGTCTGGAACCCTGGTGATGACCCCACCCCCTCAGCCTTGGGTGGCAGCACCACCCCCACAGCCTTGGGAAGTGGTCCCACCATCTGGAAACCTGGTGATGACCACACCCCCTCAGCCTTGGGTGGCAGCACCACCCCCACAGCCTGGGAAGTGGTCCCACCATCTGGAAACGTGGTGATGACCACACCCACTCAGCCTTGGGTGGCAGCAGTGCCCCCTCAGCAGTGGGCAGTGGTCCCGCTATCTGGAACCCTGTTGATGACCCCACTCCCTCAGCCTTGGGTGGCAGAACCGCCCCCTCAGCCCTGGCCAGTGGGACCACCCTCTGGAATCCTGTTGATGACCCCACCCCCTCAGCCTTGGGTGGCAGCACAGCCCCCTCAGCCCTGGACAGTGGTCCCACCATCTGGAATCCTGGTGATAAACCCACCTCCTCAGCCATGGGGGGCAAAACCGCCCCCTCAGCCCTGGCCAATGTTCCCACTATCTGGAACCCTTTTGATGACCCTATCCCCTCAGCCTTGGGTGGCAGCACCACCCCCTCAGCCCTGGGCAGTGGTCCCACCCTCTGGAACCCTGGTGATGACCACACCCCCTCAGCCTTGGGTGACAGCACCACCCCTTTAGCCCTAGGCAGTGGACCCGTGCTCTGGAACCCTACTGGTGACCTCCCCTCAGCCTTGGGTGGCAGTTCTGCCTTTGCAGCCTTGGGCAGTGGCCCTGTGCTCTAGAACTCTAGTGATGACCTCACCCCCTCAACCTTGGATGGCAACACTGCCCTGGGCAGTGGGCCTACCATCTGGAACCCTGCTGGTGACCTCACCCCTTCAGCCTTGGATGGCAGCACTGCCCTTTCAGCCCTGGGCAGTGGGCCCACCATCTGGAGCCCTGGTGGTGATCTCATTGCAGCAGCTGTGGGTGGCCACATCACCCTCTCAGCCTTGGGCAGTGGCCCTGTGCTCTAGAATCCTGGTGATGACCTTGCCCCCTCAGCCTTGGATGGCAGCCCTGCACTCTCAGCCCTGGTTAGTGCCTCCACCCTTGGCAACCCTGGAGGTGACCCTATTCCCTTACCCTTGGATGGCAGTCCCACCCTCTCAGCCCTGCCAGCAAACTTACTCTCTAGAACCCTACTGGTGATTCTCTCTTTCAGCCTTGGATGGCAACACCCCCCACCCCCGCTTCTCAGCCCTGGGCAGCAGCACCACCTCTGGAATCTTGGTAGTGTCTCCACCCACTGGAACCCTGCCATTATCCCGACACCCTCAGGACTAGGCAGTGGTCCTGGGATCCCTGGTGGTAGACCTGTCCCCTTTGGCCCTGGGGAGAGGTCCCACCCCCTCAGGCCTGGGCAGTGGCCCTGTTCTCTAGAATATAGCAGGTCCAAATGGCTCAGTTATCTGCATGTATCGCTTTCCCAGTCATTCTTCCTTCATTTTGTCCTTTTCAGTTTCTTTTAGTCCAGGCTGGTTGTGTTTCTGAGGTATAAAATTCTAAAAAAATTTTGTTGGCTTCCCCTGCAATTCATGGAGGTCCAAGCCAACAGAAAAGAGGGTACTTTATAGATCTTTACTGTATAACTGCATCTCAATTCCTGGCTTCTGCTAGATGGTTGATTGGATCCATAAGTCACAATTATGGATATCTGTAAGTCATAATATCTTTATCAATGGTTGTTCTGCCATACTTTTAGTCTTCTCTCCAGAACACAGCTTGTTTCTTTCTTTCTTTATTTAGAGATGGTGTCTTGCTCTGTCACCCAGGCTGGAGTGTGGTGGCATTATCATGGCTTCCTGCAGCCTTGACCTCCCTGGACTTAGATAATCCTCCTACCTCAGCCTCCTGAGTAGCTGGGACTACAGGCACACACCACCATACCTGGCTAGTTTTTGTATTTTCTTGTAGAGATAGGGTTTTGCCATGTTACTCAGGCTGGTCTTAAACTCCTGCACTCAAGTGATCTGCCCACTTTGGCCTCCCAAAGTACTAGGATTACAGGTGTGAGCCACCATGCCCAGCCAGAACACAGGTTATTTACTTTTTTGCAATATGGTTAGGTTGAGAATATTACAAATCTTCAAGTTCTGGTTCCTTTATGCTTAACAATTTGCTCCTTAATTTATCTATTTCCTTTCTCATCTTACTCTAAGAATCAAGGCAGAAACAGGATGCATGTTACACACTTTCCTTGGAAATTTCCTTCTTTAAATAAACAAGCTCATCTCTTACAAGTTCTACTTCCTTCCCAACAGTAGAAGACAATTCAGCCGAATCCTTTGACATTTTATAATGAAGATCACCTTTCTTCCAATGCCCAATACCAGGAAGCTCACCAAAAGTACCTTTAACATTTACATTTCAAGCAATGTTCACTTTAAGGCAATCTAGGCTGCTTCTGTAATGAGCCTCAAAATGTTTCCAGCCTCTGCCCATTACCCAATTACAAAGCTAGTTTCATAATTGTAGGTATTTGTTACAGCAAGGATCCCATTTCCCAATACCAAAATCTCTATTAGTTTTCTAGGGCTGCCAAAATAAACTACCACAAACTGGGTGCTTAAAACAATAGAAATTTATTGTCTCACAGTTCTGGAGGGTAGAAATCTAAAATCAAGGTGTTGATAGTGTGGAGTCCTAACTAGGGAAAAAATAGTTGGGATGGTGGGACTGAGAGAAAAAAAAAGAAAAGTTATGTCTGCCTTTTTTTTCTTTTTGTTTCTTTTTTCTTTTTTTTTTTTTTGAGATGGAGTCTTGTTCTCTTGTCCAGGCTGGCATGATCTCGACTCACTGCAACCTCTGCCTTCCGGGTTCAAGCAATTCTCCTGTCTCAACCTCCCAAGTAGCTGTGACTACAGGTGCATGTCACCACGCCCAGCTGATTTTTGTATTTTAGTAGAGATGGGATTTCACCATATTGATCAGGCTGGTCTCGAACTCCTCACCTCAGGTTATCCACTTGCCTCGGCCTCCCAAAGTACTGGGATTACAGACATGAGCCACCGCACCCAGGCTATGTCCGCCTTTCTTCATAGTCCAGGACACACAGCCCGCTTGCACAAATAACTCACAATCTTCCTGTGTCCAGCTATTACCAGACCCCCAGGTAACAGAAAAATGCAAGTTAGTTTCCAGTACTGATAACCTTGGCATTATCAGTACTGCACAAAGCCCTCATCAGGACACAGCACAAGTATCATACTATAAAATCCCCAGCAAGCCTTTGTCTATGGCAGTCAGCTCCTCTCTTGCTAACTTGCCCATTGCAGTCTTGCATTGTGTTTTTGTACTTTAGTAAGTCATCTTTTCTTTACTTACAACTATCTTGGTTAATTCTTATCTGCATGCCACCGGCCCCAGATAGTCGCTGCTCACCTGCAACATTTTGGTGGCCTGTACAGGAACTCCTCTCTCTGTGCAGGAGCTTTCTCTCTCCTTACAGGGAACCCTCTCCCCTCTCAATTTTTCTTTCCCAACTCGGGACCCTTGGTGGACAGCATCTAAGCGTGGAGACAACTGTAGGTCTCTGGCTGGGGCTACACTCCAGCGGGACTGAAAGGTGTCTGTGTGGGAAGCATCTGAGCGCCATGCTCATTTGGGTGAGTGAGGGACCTGAGTTAGTTTTCTCTGTTCAGTGTCGCAGCAGCCAGCTTCTAGTATCCCTCTGGCAATTGATGGTAACTGGCTAGGGCCACTCTCCAGTGTTGCCTGAAGGCCAGAGAGTGAACAGGGCTGGCTGCCTTGCCTGGAAGGAAGACTGTCTCTCTTACCTTTTTTAGTCTAAAGTCCCTAATTCCTGTGTGTGACTTAGCTGACAGCAGAAGTTCATTCAGAGTGAATTCACACATGTTTTGGGTGACTCAGACCATGTTTCTTACTCTGAATTCTCTGGTGGAGTCAGCCAGCCATCCTGTTCTGAACGTTGCTCAACCAGGTGATCTCCGCCTCAGAGAGGCGAGTCTCCCTTACCTGCCCCTCTCCTGGGCCAGCACCAAATGGAGTTCTTCCTTTACCCTTTTTCCTCGTACCTGGGCTGCTCACCCAGCGTAAGTGAGTACCTGGACTGGCCATCCAGTGTAAGACCCCCGAGTGGCTGAGAGGTCTTTTGTAATAGCTGGGACGCCCCTTTAGAAAGTGCACCTGAGTCCCTCAGCAGACATGAGTGGGACCTTTTTTTTATCTTGGCGGGATGCCCCAAGAGAAAGCGTGGTTCAATTAGCCCCAAATGGCTCATTTTCCAGTCCCACTATGGGACAAACTCCGTCAATTCCTTCAGACTCACCTCTAGGCTGCATTCTAAAACATTGGGATAAATTTCACCCTCAAACTCTCAAAAAGAAACATCTAATTTTTTCGTGTGATACAGCATGGCCCCTATGCAAGAAATTCTCAAATTAGCCTCCTCAGTATTTTATAACCAAGAACAGCAGAAGGACAGGTCTAAGGAGAGAGAAAAATGCAGGGACAAAAAGGCTGCTTTACAAGCCCCAGCCCCCTCCAGGTTGTCCTAAGGACACTCCTCCAGATAACTGCCATCAGTGCAGAAGGCCAGGCCACTAAAAGGCAAAGTGCCCCAATGGGATAAATGGGAAAACCCCTGCATGGCTTGTCCCCTCTGCCACAAACTCGGCCAGTAGAAACAGGACTGCCCTGAGAACCAAAGCCTCCCCTGCCCCCCAGGACAGTATCCCAACCCCTGATGGCTTTAAGCTGAAGGGGCTCTCTGCTCCAGCTGAAAATAGCTCAACTTAACTGGTGACTTGCAGAGGTGGGAGGAATTTGTCCTACACTGTGTAAATCTGGGGTGCTAAGGCTCTCCTTGATGGGAAATAAACAAGGGTGGGAGGGGTGCTGGCCTCACACCATACAGTGGCTGGAAGGCTCACAAGTCCTTCTGTAAAGATTAACCTTTCTCTTTCCATTCCTTTCATTTTTTCTCTTTTTCTGTTCAATCCAAATGTCCAGCCTCAAAAGGAAAAGGCAGTTTCTAACATCCTAACCCTTGATTTTGTTATTCTCTTAAAAACCCCAGCTGATTACATATTATGGCCCATTTTTGTGCACATTTTAAATTGATGGGCAAATTACAAGAAAAATTCAGAGCTCAAATGGTTAACCTGTACTAAGAGTTAAGTCAAGTCTTCTAAAGCTATCTGTCTTCCTCTCTTTTTTTCTGCCTGCTTTAAATCTGCCATTACTAAGCTGCTGGTGCTAAGACTCATTATTTATGGTCTAACTGGAATGTAAACACTGGAAACTCATTTAAAGTTAAAAGAAAAAGGGTAAAACAAGTTTTATTAAACCAAACAACCTAGAATTTTTAACCTCCCTTAAAGTTGATAGAAATAAGTCCAGCACCTCTCTTACACCTTATTCTTAAAGCTGACTCTTTATTCTATTCTACTGCAAGCTCTCAGTAGTGATCCAACTGCCTCTCTTGAGCAGCTTCGCCCTCTTGATATTAATACTTTTATAAGGAAGGTAGCATATGATTGCTATTTGGAGGGGGATCTCCAAGACTACTGCCCAGATGAAATTTCTTTATATTTGTCCTGGTAATGTTATTTACCCACACACCATAACATCAATATCCTAAGGTAGTAGGTATTTTTTTTAACATTTTGTTTTCTTATACTCTTTACAGCCCTTCTTCTTTCCTGTCTCCCTGAGTTTCCCACATATTGTTATTTTCCTTAAATGTGGCTCTGTTTTTATTCTGTCATGGCTAACTATTGTCTCAATGGCTTCACCCAGGCACCCACTCTAGCCAGTAATATATCAAGTTGCCAACATAACACAGTACTGACTACTGAATATGCCCACGCAGGCAGGCACTTGAGAATGGTATTACACTCCTAGCAGTCCCACTATCTATAGATAACACACAAGCCCAATGATCTGGATTTGACCACACTATTTACATGCACATCAAAAACACAGGTTTAGGAGGGGGACCTAGGCCAACCAATCCCTCGTGACAATCATCCACTGCAACTGAACGGATTGGGAAGGCACCAGAGAATGGCCTGTAAGGCTCGCCTCTGCGTTAAAAACTCCAAGTAGTCTGGCCCTTTCCTAGGGGCTTTAACACAAGCCCAGTGAAATTCCACCCTCAACTATAGTCAAACACACCAGGAATGGGAGCCATACGATGCCTGTGATGAGTTCACTGTGTGCCCCCACAGATTTTCTCTATGGTGGGGAAAAGACAAAGTTAAGGCCAGCAACCTTTATAGTGATTCCTTTATGCCTATAAAGAGTTCAGCTAACAGGATGGAATATATAGGAATAGGGGTCAAAACTGGACAACTTCTTAACCTCACCAACATATCTACATCTTTTCCTCGATTTTCCCTTATCCCATTTATATTTACAAATCTTATCTCTCAGGCTCCACATCCACATAACACAACAGGTCAAACATTTCCCCCCTTATGCATGAATGACTACTTTTTGGGTCATTGTCCATCCACGTTTGATCCCTGGGGACCATGGGATCCCTGGATTTATGCAAATTATACTGGAATCCAAACTAACCACACCTGTGCCTGGTTACGAGCTCCCTCCTCAGGAGTTTAACAGAAACTGGGTTCTTCTTTTCATGTGGACCCAACCTGTTTCTAGCCTTGCTTATTCAGTGGAAAGGCACGTGCACTATAGTTGCAGCCATACCTGGATTGCATATAAATATATATGTAATTTATATAAATATATTTGTGTGTATGTGTATATATATATACATATATATATAACTCCTCAGACTTCATAACCTCTAGCCAAGTTCCAAATTTAGGATCCTTCCGAAATCAGGCCCTACAAAGGCCATTCGAAAAAAACAGAAACGTGACTTAATCAACCTCCCATCATCTGGCATCCTCACCACTGAGAATCCGTGGCAGGCAGGAATGGTCTAGGACATTCTGTAGCCTGTGCAATCTTTTGGTTTGCAGGTATACCCATGCTTAAGTGTAGCATTCATAATCTCACCATCCTAGTCCGACAATCTTGAGAAGCTACAGTAACAGCCATTGAGGGCCAACAACGGGCCCTAGATTCATTGGCAGGGGTTGTCTTGCAGGATCAAGGTGCTTTGGATGTGCTTACCACTGAGGCAGGAGGCACTTGCACACTGTTAAATGAAACTTGTTGCTTTACATCAATACCTCAGGTAAAGTAGAAGAAAGTTTGGAAAAGATAAAAGAAAACATCAGGACAACAGAGGGCCTTCAAAAAGGAGTTCCTCAAGATTCCTCTTTTGCACAACTGTTTTAGAGATCCTACGGTTGGGTTGGGCCACGGGTTACCCCACTTCCCCTGCCTATAATAATGCTCATATTAGTTTGTTTATTTACAGCATGTATCGTTAATGTTATATATCTCATTTTGTGTCTTCTAGAATATAAAAATTTCAAACCAAAATGTTACTGCATCAAGGATGTCAGCCACTAAGAGAACTCTACAACACTCCTTTGGACACAGCAGGACAAAATTTTAGGCTGCAAATGCTGTTCAGCCGTGGTCCCACAGCCACCCTGCCCAATTTAATTCCCAACTCAGGGACTCAGGTCCTCATAACCTCCTGACAGACTAACAATCCTAGGTAGGGCCAACTCTATGCCCCTGGTCAGCAATAAGCAGTTGGAAGATGAGACCTTCACCCACACACCAAAGATTTGTCATTGTTGCTCTGTCACAGGGGGAATGTGGAATCCTGTTTAGGGAAAAAAAGTCAGGATGGCAGCACCAAGAGGAAGCAAAAAGAAAAAGCAGATAAGCTATATGTCTGCCTTTCTTCATACTCCAAGAGACACGGCCCTCCTGAGCAAATAACTCACAATCTTCCTGTGTCCAGCTATCACCAGACCCTCAGCTAATAGAAAAGTGCAGATTGGCTCACTGCAACCTTGGGGTTTTCAGTACTGCACAAAGCCCTCTTCAGCACACAGCACAAGCACCATGCTATAAAATCCCCAGCAAGCCTTCATCTCCTGGTAGTCAGCTCCTCTCTTGCTAACTTGCCCATTCATTGCACTCTTGCTATGTGTCTTCATCCTTTAATAAATCTGCTTTTCTTTACCTACAACCGTCTAGGTAAATTCTTCTTACCTGCGTACCACTGGCCCCAAATAGTCACTGCTCACCATGGCAAGTAGGGCCATGCTTCTTCTGAAACCTATGAGGGAGTCCTTCCTTGCCCGTTTCTAGCTTCTGGGGGTTTGTCAGCAATCCTTGGTATTCTTTGGCTTTCAACTGCGTAACTTCAATCTCTGCCTTAGTCATTGTGTGGAATTATTTTTACATGGCCCTGTGTGTCTCTGTTTTCATGTGGCCATCTTCTTATAAGGACACCATTTGAAACTGTGATATCTTCTGAGGTACTTGGGGTTAGGATTTCAACATATGTTTTTAGAAGACCCAGAACAAAGCCTAAACAAAGTGAGGAGGGTCTCCTTGTACGTGGGCAGCCCAGGATGAGAAATCAGAGCTGCAGCGGGGTTGGGAGAGGGCATCCACACATGTGGGTGGCGTGGTGCAGGTGTGTTATATCCTGGGCAATGTGAGCAAGGCATCTATGTAGGGGAAAGCCTGGGTAGGGGGGTCTGAGCCCAAGCAGGATGAGGAGAGCATCTGTGAAAAGTGCTCTGGGTTTTTGAGCCTGAACAGGGTGAGCAAGGTTGTGGTCTACATGGGGATGGGAAGTGGGGAGCCCCTATGGCTTATCAGAGCCTTAGTGGGGGTGAGGAAGGCATCCACGCAGGAAGGACAACCTAGCTTGGGGTGCTGGAGTCCACCTAATGGGAGGAGGGTGACTATGTGTGCGGATAGCCTGGTATGGGTTATTAGAGCTATCATAGGACGTTGTTGAAACAACTGGTAGAACTTAAGTGAAATCTGAAAACTCTGATGGATGAATTGTGGTTATGTAGGAAAATGTCCTAGCGCCCGTTAAATACTAAAGTATTTGAGGACTATGGGACATCAAATTGGCAACTAGAAAAAAAACTCTTTGAATTGTACCTGTAACTTTTCTGTAAGTTTTAAAATACAAAATTATTAAAAACTCTGAAGCAAATATGGCAAAATGGTATAATTCCAGAGGCCTGGGTTGTATGTCCACAGGTGCTTATTATGCTATCACTTCCAGTTTTCTATCTGATTGCAACATTACAAAATAAAAATACTTCAAAATTAAAGGTTACGCATGTTTATTATTAAAAAAAAAAGGTAAATCACTCATGAGTTTATTGCCCAAAGACACTATTAACGCTGGATATATTTTCTTTATGTCGAAAAAAGATAATTCTCAAGGTAAACAGATTTTGATGGTATAAGATTTTGAAGGGGGGATAATTTTCTTAAAGCTAAAATTAGATAGATCATTTTCCTTTTTTCACTTTTAGAGGAAATGTTAAAAATGCTCACGTTAGTCTTCTCGCCGCAGGCGCCTGTTCACGTGTAAGGCATTGCTGAAATCACTAGAGGGCGCGCTCCTGTCAAAGCCCATACAAAGTTCTGAGAATGCTGTAACATGTTTTGAAACCTTAAAATAAATTCAGCTGGGTGCGGCGGCTCACGCCTGTACTCAATCCCAGCATTTTGGGAGGCTGAGGCAGGAGGATCGCTTGAGCCCAGGAGTTCGAGATCAGCCAAGGCAACATAGCGAGACCCTGTCTCTATAAAAAATAAAAGAAATGAGCCAGGCTTGGTGGTACATGCCTGTGGTCCCAGCTGAGAGGCTGCAGTGAACTGTTATCATGCCACTGCACTCCAGTCTAGGTGACAGAGCGAGACCTTGTCTCAAAAAAAACTTCAAAAAAGCTTTCATCCATCTTTTAAAATATCAGCATTTTATCCAGGTCTTTTTTTTTTTAAATCTATCTTACATCGGCTTACTTTTAAAATCAGAAGATGTGGACTCTATTGTCTACATCATGACTGTTAAAATATTGGATTTTTCATTTATACCTAATTTTAAATTTTTGCCCTATGTAGTAGCATGAATCCTCTTGATGTTCCGTAGGTTCTTCCTACAATTTTCTCACACTTCTGCGAGGCAGAATTGTCACAATTACCCTGCCAGTGGTCCTGTCCTAGATATATCACCCTTTCTTTGGAGTTGTGAGACCTGTTTTTATTTTTATAAATTAGAAATAATCTGCTTCTTTCTAAGTTTGATGGTTTTCTTTTCTTCTTCTTCTTCTTTTTTTGACAGAGTCTCCCTCAGTCACCCAGGCTAGAGTGTAGTGGCATGGTCTCGGCTCACTGCCTCCTCCTCCCGAGTTCAAGCGATTCTCCCGCCTCAGCCTCCTGAGTAGCTGGCATTACAGGCACCCACCACCACGCCCAGCTAATTTTTGTATTTTTAGTAGACACAGGGTTTCACCATGTTGGCCAGGCTGGTCTTGAACTCCTGACCTCAGTGATCCGCCCACCTCGACCTTCCAAATTGCTGGGATTGTAGGCATAAGCCACTGTGCCCAGCCAAGTTTGATGGTTTTCTAAAAAAAAAAAAAAAAAGGTAATGGATAGTTTCCTTGCTTGAAAGCAAAATCAGTCCTCATATTGGGGTGTAGCGGGGGGAGTGTCAGGAGCTGGGTTTGTGTGAGAAGGTGTTTGGTGGTGGTAGTACTTGTTGGGGAACTTTGGCCATGAAGCAAGCCCATTGCCAGACCCAAGATTGTGCCACTGCCCTGTTGTTATGATGACTACATCGTTGGGATACAGAGAGTGTCAGAGGTGAAAGACACCTGAAAGAAAAATGTCATGTTCTATCTGTGTTTGGTGAAATCCTAGGGTTCCACAAATGTTTCATCTGAATTTCCCTAAGAAGTTCTTGAGCCCAAACTTGTACTACAGGAAAATGTGTCCATTCAAATGCCAGGCTAGTTTATTTTTTTAGTAGGCCTCAAAATACTTTTGGTGTTTTGGTACTCAGTTTTAAACTTCTTTTAAATTTTATCGATTAATAATAATAATAGCTGATACCTATTGAGTGCTAACTATGTGGCAAGCACCTTGCATGCTCCATCTGATTTAATAGTGTGGTTCACAACGTTATTTTCCCATTTTATAGATGAGGGAACTGAGGCCCAGAAATCGTAAGTGATTTGATCACTTAATTTAGACCTATTGGACTCCAAGTCTTGTTTGCTTAGCCATTAAACACTTTGGCCTTCTCATATAGATAGTTCACAACACTGTGCTTCCCCCAACCCCTCAATTCGGACCTGTGGGCTTCTTTGTATGTGAAGTTGCATAATCAAGTAAGCTGGTCACCCTCAAAGCTAGGCAAGCCTCAGAGACTTTGCACTTGTCACAACAGAGAACACAGTGCAAAGACCTGATGGAAGCATGTCTGGAGGAGCAGAAAAGTAGGCCAATGTCACTGAAGTAGAGTGAGTGAGGGGGAGAGTAATAGAAGAATGGACTGGATTAGGAACAGAGGACCAGCTTTTATAGGGACTTACAGGTCTTTGTAAGGCTTTTACTCGGAATGAAATGTGGAGCCATTGCAGGGTTTTGAACAGATGAGAGACATGAGCTGACTTAGAGGTTTAACAGGATCATTCCAGCTGCTGTGTTGAAACTAGACAGTGGGTGGTCAAGGGTAGAAACAAGGAAACAAGTTGGGAGGTATATTATTTTCCCTTAGGAAACCCTAACAAAGTACCACAAACTAGGTGGCTTAAAATAACAGAAGCTGATTGTCTCAAAAATCTGGAAGCTAGAAATCTGAAACCAAGGTGTCATTGGGGCCATGGTTTCTCTGCGACTGCGTGGAATCCCTCTTTGCCTCTTCCTAGCTTCTGTCAGTGGCCATTGATCCTTGCCATTCCTTGGCTTTCGGCTGCAGCACTCCAATCTCTGCTTCTGTCATTGTATGGCTTTTTCCATGTGTGTCTCTGCCTTCACATGGCCATCTCCCTTCTGTGTCTCCCTCCTCTTCTTATAAGGACACCAGTCATATTGGATTAAGGGCCCACCCTACTCCAGTATGGCCTCATCTTAACTTATCTAATTACATCTGCAATGACACTATTTCCAAATAAGATTACATTCTAAGGTACTGGAGGTTAGCATCACGACATATATTTTTGGCGGGGACAGACTGTAACCCATAGCAGGAAGCTATTTCAGTAATCTGGGCAAGAGATAAGGGGAGCTTGAACCAGGATGGCAGCAATAGTGGTAGTGAGAAGTGATCTGGTAATGAATATATGTGGAAGGTAGACCCAAAAGCCTTTGCTGATGAAATGGGAGTTGGCCCAAGAGAAAGAGAAGCAAAGATGACTCCAAGGTGTTTCAGCTTGAGGAACTGAAAGGATGAAGTTAGCAACAAGTGTGATGGTAAATGCAGAAAGACAGCAGATTTAGGAGAAAATCATGGTTTGGTTTTGGACAAATTAAATTTGAGATGCCTGTTAGTCATTCAAGAGGCAATGTTCAGTAGGAAGTTAGTTATATGAGCCTGGAATTCAAGAAGGAGTTCAGAGCTAGAGACTCAAATTTGGGAGTGGTTTCTAAGGAGAATGAGAGCCCACTTGTGATTTTAGGCATAAAGCTTAACACGAAGCTTACTCCAGCCAGGATCAGTTACTGGGATGCAGATGTAGACAAGACGAAAAGTTGGACTTAACCTTTGTTCCAGTTTTTCTAGGTAGGTGTGATGATGGGAGAGGGAATTGGGGAGCTGAGGATGGATGCCAAGGAGTGATGATAATAACGGACCGTAGAATCTAAGTGAAATAAACATGTAAGTGAAGATATGAGGGGGTGATAGAGGGTAAAAAGATGATTAACAGTGGGAGGGTTGTTAGAGTGGAGATATTAGAGGGAATTAGGAAGAGAGAGAAAAGAGTGGGGTGATTAAAATTGAGATTTTTTTCAGCAGAACATTGACTAAAAAGAAATTTTTTAAAAATAAAATTGAGATGTTGAAGGTCCTGCAGTAGTTTATGACGAGATCTAGGAAATAAGCCTGGATGTGGGTGACCAAGGATGGAAAGAGAGAACAAGATCTTTGGAGTGGAGGAGGTCAAGCAGCTGAGAGACCAGAGTGCTATATGGATTATTCACAATGTAGACAATGAATGTAGGTCTGCACAGACACATGCATGTATGTATGCAGACTCCACATAGATATTGAAATCACCAAGAAAGATGACAGGGGCAGTTGTGAAAAGACAGTGAACCACAAGCTCAAATCATCAATGAATAAGGGAGAGTGAACAGGAAGAGGGGAGATGATAACAACAAGGAGGTGTAGCAGGTAACACACTCTGAAACTTAGTCTTACAGCAAAGTGATTGAAAGAAGCTGGGGCAGGCAGTTTGGGGAAGGTCTACACACAGGAAGTGGTAAGGGGGAGCAAAGAGGACACCTGTTCCACCTCTGGGTCCAGTGGTACATAAAGTATGAGAAAAAAAATAGTCACCACTTGAGAGCGCTGTACAGGAAGCAATGTCTTCAGAGGGGAGCCGAGTTTTTGATAAACCCAAAAGTTCAAGGAAAATTTTGGAGAAGCTGAGAATGTAGGGAATTTTGCAGAGAGAAAGGTCAAAGGGTTTGGGAGGGTTGGGAAGGGGTGGTCGATTGAGTGAGATGAGGAGGTGCAGGAATTCATTTCCATGTGAGTGATCATGGATGATCTAGATGGTTTGAACTTTTGTGATGACTGAAGTAAATAGGCATTTAGAGCACGATGAAACCTGATGATCTCTTGGCTGGGGAACAGATGGTTAGTTTTAAATGTAGCCTCTCCTTGGGACTGGTGTGTCCTGTAGTGCAGTGTGGTCTATAATGGGAATGATGGGGTGAGGTGGAGTTGTGGTCTCACTCTCACTAGGAGCAGGTGGAACACTGGGCTCCCTTTTTTTTTTTTTTTTTACTTTTTGTGGAGAATGGGGTCTCGCTATATTGCCCAGGCAGGTCTCAAACTCCTGGACTCAAGCTATCTTCCCACCTCTGCCTCTCTAAGAGCTGGGATTATAGGTGTGAGCCACCGCGCCTGGCCCTTTGATGTTCTTAAGAGAGGCGTCAAGTCCAGAGGAGGCTTGATCTTACCAGGAGAGATTGTAACTCTCAGGGTCTCTCTTTTAATCCTATTGGGTCACTGTAATACTTCTCTTATTTCTTTTATTTTCATAGTCTGCTCATTACTTTAACATAGTACAATGATGTTTGTTTTTGTAAAACTGATACATGATCACTATGAAATATTCAAGTAATGGAGAAAACTATAATGAAACTTAAAAAATCCTCCCCAAATACCCTCATTAACACTTGGTTAACATCATCTCAGACTTCTCTATGGATTTTTACACTTGTAACTATTTTACATGGTCTTGTGTTTCCTTTAAATAATATGAGTTATTGTTGTAAACAGTTTGAGTACTATAGATTTATTCTAATCCTCTCACTTTACAAATGAGGACATTGAGTTCTAGAGAAAGGAAAGTACCTGTCCAAAGACACTCATCCCGTCAGTTAGGCCCAGGTCTCTTTTTTGTTTTTTTTTTTCTTTTTCTTGAGTTGGAGTCTCGCTCTGTCGCCCAGGCTGGAGTGCAGTGGCATAATCTTTGGCTCACTGCAACCTCCACCTCCCGGGTTCAAGCAATTCTCCTGCCTCAGCCTTTTGAGTAGCTGGGATTACAGGCACCCGGCACCACACCCGGCTTATTTTTGTATTTTTGGTAGAGACGGGGTTTCACCATGTTGGCCAGGCTGGCCTTTTGGCCAGGCTGGTCTCAAACTCCTGATCTCGTGATCTGCCTGCTCAGGCTCCCAAAGTGCTGGGATTACAGGCGAGAGCCATGCTCCCAGCCAGGCCCAGGTCTCTTTACTTTCCAGTTCAGTGGGTCTCTTTAAGCCGTGCTCCTCTCTTCTTCTCTTACCTTCTACATAGCATGGTCCCTGATATTTCAACTCATAGATTTCTGCATTCAGAGATCTCACTTTGCCTTTGGTTTTGAACACTTATTCATCTAGTCATTCAACAAACCTTTATTGGACATCTGCTATATGCCAGGCAAAAATGTTAGGCACTAGAGGTGTGGTGATGAGCAAAACAGACATGATCTCTCACCTCATGAAGCTTACATTCTACAGAATGCACAGAAAGTTTGTGCTTTACTTCCTAACTTTATCCATTCAGGCCAAGGCGCATATAACTATGCACTTGTTTATAACCCCAAGTCATTCGATGGTGATGGGAAAAGAAAAGAAAAATCGTTAGACTTAAAGTCATATCACTAGCACATGGGAGTACCAAATGAATACTTGATAGTCATAGATACTAACAAAATCCATGAGGTCTAGAATACTTTTCTGTAACTATAGTTTCAAGCATTAATTTAAAAGTTTAATTTAAAAATGCCATAGTGTTACGTATAACAAAAATGCCCAAAACACAACATTTAAAATTTTAAAATATATATGATCTATAAGGATGCAAAAGTCCTTCTCTCTAATTGTACCTTCCAGAGGTAGCACTTCTAAACCCTCTGATGTGTGTCCTCATCAACTTTTCTCTATGCTTACATAGATTTTATTTTTTAATAATAACAGGATTGCGTAATTGTTGCCAAATTCAAACAATGCAGACAGACTTACACTGTATTAAAAGTGAAAATTTCTCATATACTCACCCCCAATCTCAGTCCTCATGGGTGACTATTAACATATTGATGCATATTTGATGTGAATATTTTCAAATCTTTTTCTATGTATTTACATAGAAACACATGCATGAACACACACACATACACACACACACACACACACACAAGCAAACAGGGCTGTTTACATTTTTTGTTTTAAGGCAGCAGTAGTCAGAAATTTAAAGTTCAGAAGTCGAGGGCACATTCCTGTGTTTTTCATTTTCGACAAGTAGAACAATGCAGCCATATGCCGGTCCCTCTCTGGAGTTAGTACCCAATGCTTGGAATGTGAGCAGATGCTGAAGGCTATTAATGAAGTCCTTGAAGGGAGGCCCATTCATGTATGTTGTAGACACAAGGCCAAAGTTGAATGTGGTGGCCAACTGAGCAGCTGGTAAGGGACTAGGAAAGCGAGGAATGCACCAATGCTGGTTGCGAGTTGATGGACCATGGGAACCACATCATCTGGAGGAGTGTCCTGCCATTGCTGTCATTTAGGAAATGGAAGCAACACTTGGAGTCCTGAAGGCTTTTAACCTCAGTTGTTACATTAGTGTGTTGCAAATGTGATAGAGAAAAAAAATCTGGGAAAAATGATCTGATATGGTCTAAATGAAACTAGTTTTTATCATGCCTAAAATTGGAAAACTCCAAGACTTTCTTTTTTTCTTTTTGATTTCTTGGATACAAAGAACAAGACACAGTAATGTGTGTTTGATTAATGCCAACTCCCTGAACTCCTTAATGTCAACTAGCTACTCTTCATTACCAAACACCACATGTGCTCTTCTTTCAGTTTAGGCATACCAGCGCAGCTGCAGAAGACACAGTGGTGATCTCTATCACACCAACAATCAGATATTTGTCATAATAGCCTCCTAATCATATCGCATATGAAGCCTCAATGAAGTCTTTATAACCAGACATGAAATAATTAACCTTTTCTAATTTAAAAGACCTAATAGGGAATGGTCTCTGTGACAGGTGTAAAATTCCATTCCTTCTAGAAAATTACTCACCTAGCAGATGCTCCTTCTGACTGAAAGAGAAATTTCATTGCAAAAAGAATGTTCACCTTTTATTATGAATATTGCACAATGCATTAAGACAATGGCTTTCCATGTAGCAGTGCATAACCTTGATCTTCTGACCACTAATGTTCATTGTATAATACAGATAACAAATATTCACCTGTCTCCATTCTTCATCAGTGAATTGCAAGGACACTTGGATTCTAATGCTGAGGGTCCCTGGAAGTCTGAGAATGCATCATAGTCTTAGGCTTTTTCAAAAGTGTAAATAGGTTAGTGTGCTAAAGACTTGCATTGAAAATAGAGATTGCTCAGAAAAAAAAGAATTGTATTTCCACTGCCAAAGAGAAGAATCAAGATCAAGAGGAAGAAACTATTTTTATACCACAGTGCAAAGATAAGAAACCTTCAACCTATTATTTGGATGTGGCCCTGGGCTTAACTTGGTACAACTTGAAGCAATTTTCTGAAGTATGTACCCTTCTCCCCCTACACTGAGCCAGATACATATACAGACAATTTTGTTGAGTCCAACATGAATGTGGTGCGAACTCAACAGAGATCTCTGGGTGTTAAAAGGCAGGCCCCATGCCCCGAGATGGCCTTTGAGAGGGAGAGATGCTTTGCACAGAGTCCTAATTTTCCCAGGGAGAAGTTGGGTGGGTGATATCAACGACAGCAGTGATAGAGACTGCATCACCCTTGGGCTGAGTGTGGTTAAGTTTGGGAAGAAGTCAGAGAAAGTGTGGGGTTGCTGACCTTGGGTGTGCCCAGCTTTCTGAGTGCTAACTGGGAGGTGGCATGAAGATGGCAAAGCTGGAAGTGGAGAAGGAGCAAAGGCTTCTGCCAACAGTGTCTGATGTATGGTGAGGCGGACCATGCTGGTTGTGCTTTGTATTTCTTTTCTCTTTCTTCTGTGTTTCTCTCCTCCTTCCTCTGGCTTGATTTTATTCTCTCTCCTTCTTTTTCCTGGGGTATGAGTGACAAGGATGGACTTTTGAGAGGCTCTGAACTTGAAATTTCAGCAAAGAGAAGGACCTGTGGTTTGTGTAAGCATCTCTCTGTTGTCCAGATACAGAACCCCCAAAACATCGAGAGTGGCTTCTCTTCCTCTTTTCTCTGCCTCCCATCCAATCCAAGATCTCTCAATATGCACTATTTGTGTTATCTTCTTTGAAAGGTCCCTCTTTCTCTGAGTCTTCTCTTTCCCTTAGTTCCTTTCTCCATTATTTAGACAAAAATGAGAGTAAACTATTCTTTATTCACTTTCGTTTGTTGAACAGAGTTTTGCCTTTTATTTTAAAAGCAGTTGAGCAGGATTTTTATATTTCTTGCCCATAAAACCTAAACCTTGTTAACATTTTTCAAGTTAGTTTTAGTCCACTTAGGGATAGTTGCTCTCAAGAGATAAAAGATTACCCATACCTATCCCTTTTGTGGGCTTTGTATTTCACAGATCTATTGAAAAATACCATTTATAATAAAAGCTAGCAATTATTGAGCTTACTCTGTGGTAGGAACTTAATCTGCATGATCTTATGTAATAGTGGTAGCCGCCCCACGGGGCTGTGTGATGACTGAGTGAGCCCATGTATATAAAGTGCTTAGTGCAGTGCCTGACAGATAGCAAGCTGTCAATAAGTGTGCTATTAATACTGTTATTAGTACTACTACGATGAAGTTACTGGAATAAGCCACAGCCAGTGGCCTTGGAAAAACAAAGTTAAGGGTCTAATCAACCAAGACTCACTAGACAGAGCAAAGTAGCTGGTAATAGGATAGTAAATGTTCCTGGGATATGGCAGAGGAACAATGGTCTGGAAGCAACAGAAGGAGTAAGGAATAGGCTGATAACTGTCCCCACTGCCATCTCCGGGGATAAGGTGAAGCTACTTTAGGAGATGGTCTCCCTTTTTTTTTTCCATTATGAGAGGTTATTTTTAATTCTATTAAATTCCAATGTTTATTCAGAAAACCTGGTAGAGATTGAATTGCTATATGTACTTTCTTAGTTTTCTTCTTCATATCATATTTTGACCATTTATCTTCTACACCTGGCTGACCTGCATGTTCCTTGTAGTGTAACTTCTACTTGGTGTTTGTGCTTTGCTTTGTTTTCAAATTTAAATTGTGAGATACATTTTCTAAGAAATAGCCCTGATATTGAAATGGCTTCTGTGGAATAGGTTTGACAGATGTAAGTCTTTGATTCTTTGGCTTTGGTTTTTGTGCCTGTTACAGTTTTACACACATTCATTCAGAGGAAGACATTA
The DNA here is from genome assembly GCF_000001405.40 of Homo sapiens. Taxonomy (NCBI): domain Eukaryota; kingdom Metazoa; phylum Chordata; class Mammalia; order Primates; family Hominidae; genus Homo; species Homo sapiens. The sequence continues at coordinate 130,549,379 of NC_000023.11, forward strand.
CCATCAATGTGTTGTTTCTTTTTTCAAATTCCAGTATGTTTTCAAAGACCCGTATTTCACTAAGCAGTGTACTTGTTGAAACTGATGTGAGTGACTTTATGTTTCCACACGTGATAGAGCATCAGATACTGGAGTTTGCCAGGGGTAGAATGGTTGGATTCAGGAATGTTTAGCTGACTCATTGCAGGAAGTTACCCTGTAATCCCAGCTACTCGGGAGGCTGAGATGAGAGAATCACTTGAGCACAGGAGGTTACAGTGAGCTATGATCACGCCACTCCACTCCAGCCTGGATGACAGAGCGAGACCTGCTAATGAAAGAATTATGTTCCAAAAGCCAGCTAAGCATTTTCTTTAAATGAGAAGAGTCTGTGTTTCATGGCAGCTTGAAAGAGGGGGAAACATGAAGAGGAAATAAATGAAGACTATCTCGGTTTATTAAGGACACTGCAAAGGATTCTGATGAACACCAGGTGGAGAGGATGCACAGGGCAACGCTGTGGGGAGGGGCGTGGGATGGTCTCTAGCAAGATTGGCTATAGTAGCGAATTAAGAGCACATCTAGATTTGGATTTCAGTGCTAGCTGTGCCATTCATAAGCTGTATGACCTTGGATAAATCGCTTAACTATTCAGAGTTCTAGTTTCCTCACCTGTAAAACGGGAGTGCTAATATTAATGGAACCTAGCTCAGATGGTTGTGTGGTAGCATATGTGAGATAATAATATGCATGAAGTAAGCTTAGCATGCCTTCTACCTAATAAATGAATGCTGCTGCTATTGTCATTATCATTCCAATCACCCTGCAGAGAGGGTATGTTTGTCTTCATTTTACAGTTGAGAAAACTGGGGCTACAGGAATCAATAACTTTTCCAAGGTATAGTTAATAGGCACAAGGCTAGAATTTGACCAGAGATGTCTCTGCCCCAAAGCCTGTGATCTTTCTACTGCTCTGTGATGCCTCTGGAAACAGTGTTCTTATTCCAGAAATGAGAAGCACAAGGTCAGCTCTCACTTAAAATAGTAACAAAAACAAATCCTAATATGTTCCTTAGCCTGTGAGGTACACTGGCTGCTCATTTCACTTGCTTTCAACTACAGGGAAAAAGAGCTGTTTGTCACCTGTGGTTTGATGGAGCTATTTTTTTTTTCTCCTCTAAAGCTAGCTTCCCCTTTTCACTAAATTAGTGTCATTTCCATGAAACAAAGGTGTTTCCGATGTTTCAGCCTTTTCATTTCTCTCTAAGCATCCACTTCTTGAAGGTTTTTATTTTCAGGTAGATTTACTGCTGCCCCAAACACAAGGACCTCAAGTCTAAGCATTTTCTGGAGCCTTGATATCTTTGGGAGAATTGTTACTGCTGAGCTCCGATTGTACAGGAAATTTTGGACATCAAATTTTCAGGAGACCTGTATGCTTCTCTCATCCCCTACATGATACCACACTCACAACCTTGGCTTCAATTTTTTGGCATGTGGCTTTGCTGGTTCTGGCATCTGATACTCTCTGTAGCTTCAGTGTTGCTTCTTTTTTTGAAATAGCATGCTCTTTTAGGTGTTGCTCTCGCATACCTTGTTTAGTACTGGTGGCATATGGTGTTCCTACAGTCTTACCATTCTTACCCAACAGAGGAGTCAAAAGGGGAACATTTATCTGGCTGAGCTTGGGGAGAGCAAGGACTCAGTAGGTTTAATGTCTCAGGAAAATGACTGGAATCATGAGTAGAAATCATTATAAATTGCACAGTCTGAATTTATTTGACAGAAAATTATTGAATGTTCATGATGAAGAAAGCATTGTGCTAAATACTCCAGGAATACAAAGACATGGCATCTGTCCTTCCAGAGCATATGAGTTAATAAAGGGCAAAAACAGTATTCAAAGTATTTGTGGAGTTTGAAGTTCCATGAGGAGATTATACCCTCCTCCCAAAACCAAAAATTCTGTAGGGATCCACTGTCTATAGGACCAGGGAAAGCTTCACAAAGGAAGTAATATCTGATCTGTCTCTGGCATGAAATAGGTGCCCAAGAAATATTCATTGAATTGGGTTTAGACCTGTGAAATATGAGAAAGGGCCTTGTAAGTGGAGGGAATGGTGTGAGCAATACTGCAGAAGCGAGAATTGTCAGAATGTATACTGGGAACAGAAAGTATTTTAGGCCAGATTAAAAAGTATATATCAGGGAGGGATTGGGGAGGGTGGTGGCAGTGAGGCCCAGATGGAGGATCATGACCTGGAAAGCCAGGATAAGGAGTTTGTCCTTAGTTTAGCCGACATTAGGGAGCCACTGAAGATTTTTGATGGTAAGAATGATAAATTTATTTCCTAAGATAGCTCTGATGGCAGAACAGGTGGCCAATGCTTTTTTAAACAAACAAACAAACAAACAAACAGTAGTTGAGGAGAGGTCAGGAGAGGGAACATGAAGAAAAAAGTCACACTAGTTGGTGATCAGGATGCATTGAAGACCACCCTAAAGAATCCATTTGGTAGAAGGGTGGAGTTAGAGGCCAGATTTCAAAGATTTAAAGGAATGAGTGTGGTAGTGGAGGGAAGGAAAGCAAGCTTCAGCAACTTGAGAACCCAGAGGCCTGAAGGAAAAGCTTGTGGAGTCTAGAGCATCACTGAAGTCAGAGAGGAAGGGGCCTGCAGAGGGAGGCACTAGAAATGAGGGAGGGACTGGCCAATTCATATAAAGAGATGACAGAGGAGGAGGCTGAGAGGGGAATTAGTGGAAGGGTTTTTCTTAGAAAGGAGGATTTTTTTTTTTTCAGAGATAGGACTGAAGGAAGAGAGACTAAAGGAAATGTATTAAGGAAGAGAATGAGCCACGAGAAAAGGAAAGAGTAGCAAAATCTTATTTGGGTCTACATATAGAGCCTTGCTGTCTTGGCAGAATGCTCAATGCTCAGAACACCCTTCTGAAAGCTTGCCCGCCATCCGGGCTTCCTCCACAAGATTCAAGGTCTCATTGATTCTCTTCAGCTTCAGTCAGAGACAATCTGACAGCTGCAGTTGGCTCAGCCCTTCTTGCAGCAAGCTGACACCATTTCTGGTGGGCTTCAAAGGCAGTATAAATGGTTCTCCCTTAAGAGCAGGTTACACTCGGCACCTAGGCAGCCTCATTACACAACTAATTAAACCTCTATCACTTGAAAGGAATCAATGGCAGTTCAAGATCTGCTTGAGTAGACTTTGCATTTCCGTGTTCACACATAGCAGTCCTACAGTCAAGGAGTTCCCAACCACTGCAAGGGGAAGATGTAAACAAGACCTTAGAAATAGATTGTTTCATTTCCTATAAGGGGGTGTCCCAGAAGATCTTACTCATTAGACAGTAGGCAAGACCCCTTTAACCTTTTGAAATAGAAGGGAGTTTCGGGCAGCTCTTTAAACGGTGGGAAGCTCAAGCTTTCTGCTCTGGTGCATCCATCTGGACAAAGGCATGTCAACTTCTCAGAGTCTGTCCTTCCTGGCAGTTCCAAAGGGAGGTCCCCGGGTGTTGAGTGCAGTAAGCTAGAGCCTGGGTTTTCCCCTACAGAAAGGCTCCAGCCCTGTTGTAAATACAACTTTCAGAAACTAATTTAACTGGTTCCACTTAAATGAACTGGGAAATGACCCAATAGAAGGGGACAGAGGGACTTGTGCCAGTTCTACCATCGCAACAGGAGCAGCCACACCAGACCTTTTACTTTCAGCAGGAGAATGTTGACTTTCTGAATGCAACACACTTTTCCATCTACTTACTGTGTTATTTAAATAAATTGCTTTGCTCTTGAGGGACCTTATACTCTTTGGCTCAGTGAGAAGCTGGTAGATTGGAGTCAGAAGGGGCTGTCAATGTGGAATCTAATAGAGTTTCAGTGTGGGAATATTAGGGGTCAGAAGCAACCTTACATTAGTTATCACATCTTGTCATTAGATGACATGGATATTATTATAAAGAGGAAATCTACAGGGAGCGTGGAGATGAAAGCCATAAATTGGCTAGAAGAAGTAGGAGATTTCAATGTGAAAGCAAGTGCTTCAAGATGTGGACTGCCTGTGGACTGCCAAACTGCCCTATGGACTGCCCAGGCTCCCTGCTCTACTCTCATCTCATATCACTTTTTACTCCTTGAAATACTGTCAAGTTTGGATTATTCACTGTCCTCAGATGACAAGGGTTCAGCGCCAACAGACTAATTTTCACGCCGGCCTAAACAGACTTAATTAGGGAAGCTGTTCTGTGGCCAAAAATCACCCAGTGCATTCCAAAGCCAGATCTAACAGGCTTGTGGATTTTCAATTGTTTGTCATCATCTGTACTACTGCTTTCCTTCTTTCATGTAGGACAAGGCACACAGGAACTTACTGTTATCCTGGCTTTGCCACTGACCAGCTGTGTGACCTTGGCTAACTAACTTAACTTCTCTGAACCTCAGTGCCTCTTATGTAAGCCGGAGATAATAATGGTACTGACCGGGCATGGTGGCTCACGCCTGTGATCCCAGCACTTTGGGAGGCTGAGGCGGGTAGATCACCTGAGGTCAGGAGCTCGAGACAAGCCTGGCTAACATGGAGAAACCCCATCTCTACTAAAAATACAAAAATTGGCCAGGCATGGTGGATTAGAAGTCCCAGCTTTCGGGAGGCTGTGGCAGAAGAATCGCTTGAACCCAGGAGGTAGAGGTTGCAGTGAGCCGAGATCGTGCCATTGCACTCCAGGCTGGGTGACAAAAACGAGACTCCGTCTCAAAAAAAAAAAAAAAAAAAAAGTACTTACCACTGAGGACTGTTGTGCATGTTCAATGAAGTAATGCCTTTGGGAGTGGTTAGCACAATGCCTAGCACACAGAAAGCACTAAGTGATTATAGTTGTCTAACGATAACAATAACAGCTGCTGAAGGCAAACATGTGCCCGGTGTGGTGGCTTGCACCTGTATTCCCATCTACTTGAGAGCCTGAGGCAGAGGATCCCTTGAGGCCAGTGGTTCAAGACCAACCTGGCACCATAGTGATACCAGTGTGGGCAATATAGCGGTACCTCATCTCTACAAAATTTTTAAAAAATAATAAAAAATAATAAAGCAAATATGTAATGAATTGGATGTGTGTGTTTTTGAGGGGTGATTCGTTTCATTTGCCCTGATTAAGGGTGCTTTGAAAAGAAAAGAATAAATGTGAGGACAGAGGAGTAAGTAAAGACATATATATCCCACATGTCTATTTTCTTTGCACCTGAGGGTTTCATAATTGAGATTTTAAACTAAGTTAGAGTGAGAAGTGTAAAATAATCTACCCTCGCTGAAGTCCTCAAAACTTAAGACTGTAAAGAACTTCTGTGTTTAGTCACTCATAACTTACAACATCACTATTACTATTGGTAAAAATATATATTTTTCAATATAGAAAGTGCTGGTACCCAGGGGCCTCTACTGGGTGTTAGCTAAGGTATGCAGCATCTCACTTCTCTTTGATCCATTACTTTTTTAATGGGCACATTAGAAAAATTGGCACCTGGGTAACCTGAAAAATGCAGTCTTTGGGGCCCCTATCCTCAGGAGATTCAAGCTCAGGAGGATTAGAATGCAGTCCAGGAATCATGGGCACCATGGATGATTGAGACACCAAGGGTCCAAGAGTCAGACTTGGAAAACTGTGGGTTAGTGGGAGCCAGCCTCGCCCTACCCCCATGCACCCCTGGCCATCCCATGCTGCCCAAATCATTCTGTGGTCTGAGATCCCCTCATATCCTTTAGTTGGCATGGCTTTAGAGCATCAGTACACCTCGACTCATCTCCTGCAGAATAGCAAGGAGTCCTTAAGCAAGGTTTTCCCTCTCCTCCTGACATGAGCCCCCTTAGCACCCTGCATCATTACCGTAATTGCTTCCCAACTTCTGATTAGATAAAAACATGATGGCAGCAATCATGTTTCATCTTTAACTTGTAATTGGATGCAATATGATGATTATGGATCCTGATCAAAGGGCATTTCCATGGGATAATAAGTCCTCACAACAGCAATCTCCTTGGGATGTTTTTGCTTTTGCCTTATGGCTGCATGTCCTGTCCCCATTTCCCTTCCCCCAAAAGGAGAGCATGACTTCAGCATCTGCTGATGATTTTGCCTCAATTTTTCTCATCACACACACACACACGCAATCTCATTTGGTGCATCTGTTGTTAATTAGCTGTCTCTCATGGCTAGTCCTTGGGCTCGCTCCTTCCTCCAACAATCCCTCTAAACCTCAAGATCACGTAAAATGAAATGGAAAAAAAAAAGATCTGTGAATCATTTCTGTAGAAGACTAATTTTTATCTTCCTCCACCAGTATGTAGCATCTCTTTTCCTTCCTTTTGTCCTTCCAATGGTCTCTTTTCTGCATTAACAGAATCAGGTCTATAGGTCTCTCCCTCCTTCTCCCCCCTCTCCCTTTTTCTTTCCTTCTCTCCCTCTCCTTCCCTTAACATCTCTAAATGTAAACTTGTTAGCAAGGTAGAGTGTAAAGAGCCCAGGCTCAGAAGTCGGGTAGTACCAGCTGCCATTTACTGGCTGTGTGAACCTGGGCAAATTATCTTAACTCTCTGAGCCTAAGGCTTTTTGTCTGTGAGATGGGAATCACTGTGCATATGGTATTTTTGTACTTTGCAGTACGTTGTTTGGAGGAATAAATTATACATATCGAAGTGTTAGGCTCAGAGTGAGCACTTGATAAATGCTGGTTATTGTTTTAATACATACCTACTATATAGGTTGTTTGTTTTGTTTTGTTTTAGTGTGTTTTAACGAGATAATGTCTGTAAATAGCTTAGAACAGAGCCTAGGTAGTTGCACAACAATTAACTGCTCCCTTACCATTTGCTTTTTTTGTTTTTTTTTTTTGAAAAAATGGGATCCAGAATGGGAAGAAGAACAAACACCATTGGATTCAAAACCCAATATTTAAGGACTCCTCATAAGCAGGCCATTATGCATTAATGTAGTCACATTGTCAAATGTCTCCATGTCTCCAGTGCACCTGACCTTATCAGTGCAATGACAACACTGTGTGTACCACTCTAGAGCTTGGTGATTGTTGACACAAAAGTTACTTTTGGAAATCATTATCTACCCTACACTTCTTTCTTTTCTTATCCTTGCCTCTATTTACCTTGTATAACCCTCCTGGTGGCATTCAAGACTGGAGAAGATGCTAAGCCAAGTGGTATATCCCTATGCCATCCACCATGTACTTTATTGAATTTGATTTTTGGCTTAATTTTCTGTAATTGAAAAAATCATGGAATATCAGAGTTTAGAGGACATTTAGAGACCGTAAGTTCAAGCCACTCATTTTACAGTTTAGGGAACTGAGACTCAAGATGTCAACTAATTTGTTTAGCACCAGGTAGGGGATTGATGACATAGCTAGGGCTAGAGGCCAAGTCCCTGACATCTACTCAAGTGCTTATCCCTCTGCAGCACACTATTTAGTAGATTCTTTTATTTATTGAGCTGTAAGTTACAAACAGTTCTGTTCCTTTTATCTATTGCAAAAGCTCCCATTTTATTTATTTTTATTTTTTCTGACTCTGCCACTGTTACAGGTTGAACTGTGTCCCTCAAAAATGGTATGTTGAAGTCCTAACCCCCAGTACCTCAAATGTGACCTTATTTGGAAATAGGGTCATTACAGAGGTAATCAGGTTAAAATGAGATCATTATAGTGAAGCTTCATCCAGTATGACTGATGACTTATAAAAAGGGGAAATTTGGATCTAGAGACAGACACAGAAGGAAGATGATGCAAAGACACACAGGGAGAAGACAGTCATGTGACTGGAGTGATTTATCTATAAGCCAAGGAATGCAAAGTAATGCCAAGGATTGCCATCAAATACCAGAAGCTAGAAGAGACAAGAAAGATTCCCCCCAAACCTTCCCCCAAGAACCACTGGCCCCGCAGACACCTTGATCTTGGACTTCCAGCTTCCAGAACTGTGAGACAATACATTTCTTTTGTTTTAAGCCACCTGGTTTGTGGCACTTTGTTACAGTAACCCTAGGAAACTAATATACCACCATGGATAGTTTTGTTATCCCCAAGAGGTACATATTAAGGCCAGAGAGAGAAATTTGTCAAGAGAACATGTATCCAGCACACAAGAATTGTTTGCCTTAAATTATATTATGTTTGTACTTGGGAACCAAGTCAAATGTCGGTGGTATCAGTGTTAATTGTTGTCTATGCCATCTGTACTGGTCAGGGTTCTCCAGAGTAATAGAACCAACAGGAATATATATATATATATATATATATATATATATATATATATATATACACACACACATATATACATATATATATACACATATATACATATATATACATATATATACACACACATATATATGTACATATATATACATATATACATATATATACATATATATACATATATATATACATATATATAATATCATATATTATATTCGTATTAGGCCATATGAAATATGACCTAAACTCACTGAGCCTCATATATATATATATATATATATATATATATGATTTTTTTTTTGCCAAGCATCAAAGCCAAGAAATTCATACTAACGACTACCTTCTTCTCCATCCTGGCACTGGTACAGTCACTAAGAACTGTCAATACACATGCAGTGTTAATCTACGCTGGTAATACTCAGACCAGATTTCATGATAGATGCTTGACAGATTTCATGATAGATTTCTCTCTCTCTCTCTCTCTGTGTGTATATATATATATATATATATATATATATATATATATATGCACATATTCCTATATATATTCCTATATATATATATTCCTATATATATGTACATATCATGGAGGCTGATAAGTCTCACAGTTTGCTGTCTGCAAGATGGAGGCCCAGTAAAGCTGGTAGTGTAATTCAGTCCAAATCTGAAAGCCTGAGAACCAGGGGAGCTGATGGCTGAGGGCAGGAGAAGATGAATGTCCCAGCTCAAGGACATGAAGAGTGAGTTCACCGTTCCTTTACTTTTTTGGTTCTATTTGGGCCCTCAGCGAATTGGATGATGCCCTCTTGCATTGGTGAGGGTGGTCTTTATGAAGATCAAATGCTCATCTCTTCCAAAAACATCATCACAGACACACCCAGAAATACTGTTTTATCAGCCATCTTGGTATCCCTTAGCCCAGTCAAGTTGACACATAAAATTAACCATACACCTTCTACTGAAACTGTAAGATCATTTTATTGTCGTTTCGTTGCTTGTGCTTATTCTGAGACTTGGAAAATTTTTGAGGAACATGCTTTGGTTTATGGCTGCATAGGGTAGATGTGCTGGCCAGTGGTGTTCTTCTAGGCATAGTTATAGTTTTTGAGGACTGTTATAAGTCCCCTACTTGTGTGGCGCTCTCCAGGTATGCCTTTGTTCCCTCATATTTCTTTCAAGCTTATGCATCTGGGCCTGGCTAACATAAGGTCCTTTATATTAATATTGTTGCCTTGCTGATACAGCTGTCACTGTAATCTCACAGGACAGTGATAGGATCCAGGGCTGATTTTTTTTTTTTTTTTGCCAGCATCAGAGCCAAGAAATCATACTAACAACAACCCTCTTCTCCACCCTGGCACTGGTACGGTTACTAAGAATTGTCATTACACATGCAGTGTAATCTACACTGGTAATACTAAGAGCAGATTTCATGATAGATGCTTGGGAAGTTTCATAAACAGGGATCATTGTTTTTAATCCTCTTGATGGTGTTTTCCCAGAGCTGTGTTTGGAATGCTACTGAAAGTTAGATGGCTAACAGCATGCTATGAAGACTGCATTGAGATCAAGGAGAAGAAACAAGGGTTAGTTATCTGGCTATGACTGAAGCAATCAACGGTGAATATTGGTGGAACTTTACGAACGGACATTGCTAATGGGCACCGTGGTGCTGAATGAATACAACATGAGCTTTGGCAACACCCAGATGTAGGTTTGAATGTGTGACTTTAGAAATGTGACCTAAATTCACTGAGCCTCAGATTTTAAACCTATGAAAAATTCCAAACATTTTAAAGTTAAAAAAGAATAAGATAGCAAGCATAAATGCACTCACTATGAAGTTTCAAGGTATATTGCAAGATGTATTACAAATACAGCCGTAGCCTCATGTGTATCCTTCTCCAAGCACATTGCTCTCTCTGCCCCTACCCTGCCACTCTCCCCAGTCCCACCACATATACTCAAACAATTAATGATGAAAACTCAAAAAGACCCAGACACATAGAAACTAAATTACTTCTGAAATGGCAAGGGTTGGTAGAGACTCTCCTTGCAAGGTTAATTAATATATCTGACAAAGAAACAGCAAAAGGGCTTGTTTAGGGAAGTCATGGATGGTATTTCTACTTTTAAAATATAAATTAGAATTTTCTAGGAAAATATTAGATTTCTAGTAGGCTACATAGTTTTCTGAACAAGACCAGGTTAGTTCATCACTGTAATGAGGGCTCAGTACAGATTGGCTGTATGTGGGTGTGATGGTTAATTTTACATATCAGCTTGGCTGAGTCATGGTGCTCAGATATTTGGTTAAATATCATTCTGAATATTTCTGTGAAGGTGTTTTTTGTTTTTTGTTTGTTTTTTTGAGAAGGAATCTTGCTCTGTAGTGCCCAGGCTGGAGTGCAGTGGTGCAATCTTGGCTCACTGTAACCTCTGCCTCCTGGGTTCAAGTGATTCTCCCACCTCAGTCTCCCGAGTAGCTGGGATTACAGGTGCCCACCACCACGGCCGGCTAATTTTTTGAATTTTTAGTAGAGACAGGGTTTCACCATACTGGCCAGGCTGGTCTCGAACTCCGGACCTCAACCGCCTCGGCCTCCCCAGGTGCTGGGATTATAGGCATGAGCCACCACGCCCAGCCCTGTGAAGGTGTTTTTGGGTGACACTAAGATTTAAATCAGTAGACTTTGAGTAAAGCAGATTATCCTCCTTTATGTGGGTGCGCCTCATCCAATTAGTTGAAGGCCTTAAAGGAACAAAGACTGATCATCCCTGAACAACAAAGAATTCTATCTCCAGACTGCCTTTGGACTTGAAATGCAACATCAACTCTTCCTTGGGTCTCTAGCCTGCTGGCCTGCCTTGAAGATTCTGAACTTACCAATCCTCCATAATCACATGTGAGCCAATTCCTTGCAATCTCTCTCTCTCTCTCTCTCCCCCCGCCCCCCCCGTCTCTCGCTCTCTCTCTCTCTCTCCCCGCCCCCCACCCCTCTCTCCCTTTCTTTCTCTGTGTGTATATTTGTATACACATCCTGTTGGTTCTGTTTTGGAATGCTGACTAATACAGTGGTTAATCTTTTGCTTTCCAAAGGGGGAAATGGTGAATACTCTCTGCTCATTTTATTGGTGCCTATGCTTCCAATATATTTGTACAGCTGTACATGCTTTACACCTTATGTTACTCCGCAGTGCAAAAGCTCTCCATGGCTGCCTCTGTCCACCAGGCTAAGTAAAAATGCCTTGGTCTGGCATTCCAAGCTGTCCACAGTTTTTCTGTCCTCTCTGTCCTTATACTCTTATGCTCTGAATAAATTGTATGAAACACCTCTGCATGTGACTTTTCTTAAACTGGAACAGTATTCCCTCTGCTTTCTACATTTCCTAAGCCCAACTGCACACAAATCCTACTGTGTTTTGGGTCATTTTCTAGAAGCTGAAAATTTGTGGGGAACAAGACAGATATGGTCCCTTTTCTCATAGATTTTACACACTGGTGAGAAAGACAAAGAACAAACAAATAAATAAGCAAATATAATAATTCCAGACAATGATTAGGATTATGAAGAAACTGAAATACAGTAATACATAGAGTGGCAGAGAGTGCTACCCTAGATTAGTGTCCAGAGGTGCCTTCACTGTGGGGGTGGTATTGGAGCAGCTGTGGCCTCTGCCCTCATAGATCTCACAACCTAATTGAGGACACAGAAACATATACAGAAGCTGTAATGTGGGAGCTTGAGTGTTATCATATGTGATTACAGAGAAGAGCTACTTAACATGGGCTGGGGTGGGACAGAGAAGGCATCCTGGAGGAAGTGACATTTAGGCTGGGATCTAAAGCATAATTAGGAGTTAGGTAAAAAAATAGTGGGGGAGGGGAAGACATTTCAGGCAGAAGGAGTAGTTTGTATAATGAATAACCAGAGATGAGGAAGAGCCTGGCCTTTGGGAAAACTACAAAGAGTTCTGCAGGTTGAAACTTAGACATGAGCATAGGAAGGTGAATGATGAAGCTGGAGAATTAGGCGGGGCCAGATTATCAAAGGCTTTGTAGGTCCTGCTACTACAGTTTCAGGTGCTGAGACAGGTTTTATTATTATTATTATTATTGTTTTCTTTCTGTGTGTAAGCAAGCTGAGGCCTGTGGAGGGTAAATAATCTGCACATGGTTTCATAGCTAGTAAGCAGCAGAGCTGGGATTCAAACCCAGGTTTGTTTGATTCTACTATACCACGTCACCTTGTAAGAATTCAATTTGATTATAATTATTCAATTCTTCATACAGAACCTTGAGTAGTCTGGTTTGGCTGGAACATATGGCATATACATATATATTTTCTAGGAAAATATTAGATTTCTAGTAGGCTACGTAGCTTTCTGAACAAGACCAGGTTAGTTCATCATTATAATGAGTGCTCAGTACACATTGGCTGTATGTGGGTGTGATGGTTAATTTTACATATCAGCTTGGCTGAGTCATGGTGCTCAGATATTTGGTTAAATATCATTTAACAGGAATGGGACAGGAAACTGAAAATGTTCAGTGAGGCCAGATTATTGGGGGGAGGGGTAGTTAAATGCATGTCTGAGAAATCTACACTTAAGTATCTTGATTTTACAGATAAGAAAACTAATGCTCAAAGAAACTAAGAAAGTTGCCCATGGTTGCAAATTTAGTAAGTGGTGGAACTGGAATTCAACTGAGGTTTAACTGGTGCCAGAGTCCAAGACTGTGCCAAATCCTCAAAACTGTCTTTCTACCTTACCTTCGACCGCTTCCTCTCCACTGACTCTATCTACTCAGGCATCCAAAAAAACTCCACATATATTGAGCACGTACTGCATGCCACAAACTGTACAAATTGTTCTGCATTCAATAGCTCATTATAAAATGCATTTGCTCTCATTTTATACATGAAGAAACTATGTCTCAGGTAAATTAACTTGTCTAAGGTTGCACTGCAAATACATCATGTGAATGTTTATATAATGGTAATAGTTGAAGCTCCAGTAGTAGATGTGGTCACTGAGGAAGATAATGAGGGGTAGGGTAAGAAAGAGGAGAGGAGAGCAAAAGGAAAATGAGACGGAAGTTGTCTTGGTCAGCCAGGGCTGCCATAACCAAATACCATAGACTATGGGGCTTAAACAACATGAATTTGTTTTTCACAGTTCTGGAGGCTGGGAAGTCCAAGATCAAGGTGCTAGTCAATTGCTCCCTAGTGAGGGTGCTCTGTCTGGATTGCAGACAGCCACCTTCTTGCTGTGTCCTCATATGAAAGAGAGAAAGCGAACTCTGATCTCTCTTCTTCTTCTTAGAAGGACGTTAATTCCATCATGAGGGCTCCATCCTCATGATCTTATCGAAAGCTAATTACCTCCCAAAGGTCTCACCTCCTAGTACCATCACATTGGGAGTTAGGGCTTCAACATATGAATTTGGGAGATGGTGGTGGAGGACACAGTTCAGTCTATAGCAGAAAGGAAGGGAAGGGAAGGGAAGGAAAGGGAAGCGGGTGGGGGGAGGGGACTAACTGAGAACAGAACTTGGGAGAATGCCCACGTAAGGAGAGAGAACGAGGCAAAGGGGCCAGTGGAGACAGAAAGAATGATCAGAGGAGTGCAATGCCCTGGAGGATGTGACAGGGAAGAAGCTTCCAGGGTGAAGGGGCAGCACCAAGTGTGTTCATTGCCACTGAGTCACTGCTGTAGACAGGGTCACATGGAAGTGCCTAGATGTTGGATTTGGTTACCTGGGACGTTTTAGAGTAGTTGCAACTGGCAGAATGGTGAGGGCTGAGGACAGACAGTAGAGGACTAAAGCTGAGAGAACAGAGCACAGGTGGATGCAACGGTTTCGTAGAGACTGGACAGAGAGGACAGGGGAGATCTCTGTTTGGTTGAAGAAAACTAATTTGGGATGGGGGATACTAAGTAATTCTGAATGATTGACAGGAAGGGGGTAGTACAGAAGAGACTGAGGGCTCCAGGAAGCCAGTGAGTAGAAGTGGTGAATAATTAATGGAGTGAGCAGCTGGGGAGCTGAGAGGAGGCAGGGCTGAAAGCAGAGTCAGAGAGTCTGGCTTTGGGCAGAAGGATGTGTGTAGTGCAATGGACACAATGCAGGATTCAGTGAATTACAGACTTGGTTCTTGGTTCTACTACTTACTATGACCTTGTTCAAGCCACTTAATCTCTGTCAGCTTCATTCTCCATACCTGGCAAATGGGGGTAATGAGAGGAGCTATATCTTAGGGTAGTTATGAGAATCCACTGAGCTAGTGGACAGGAACGCACCCAGCACAGGGCATGGCATCTAGTGGGTGCTTGATAAAGGGACAATAAATAAAAATGCAGAGATATTGGGAGGCGTGAGACTGAGTTAACACATATGAACTGGGCTCATAGTTCAACAGGCAGCCTAGATTGCCTGGATTGGGTCCCATAGTGCTCTGGTCTTTCTTCTTTTTTAAATAAGGACTCAAATCCCATCATGGTGGTACCATCCTTCTCACCTCATCTAAACCTAATTACCTCCAAAAGGCTGCACCTCCTAGTACCATCACATTAAAGGTTAGGTCTTCAACATATGAATTTTGGTTGGGGGCACAATTCAGTCTACAGTGGAAGATGTGTTAGTGCTGCTCACCACTTTTTTTTTTTTTTGACAGAGTCTTGCTCTGTCGCCCAGGCTGAAGTGCAGTGGTACAAACACGGCTTACTGCTGTTTCAATCTCCTGGGCTGAAGTGAATCCTCCCACCTTAGCCTGCTGAGTAGCCGGGATTATAGACATGTGCCACCATTCTCAGTTAATTTTTTAAAAAGTTTTTTAGAGACAGGGTCTTTCTATGTTGCCCAGGCTGGTCTCAAACTCCTGGGCTCAAGCAATCTTCCCACCTCGACCTCCTAAGGTGCTAGGATTACAGGTGTGAGCCACTGTGCCCAGTCTCACCAATATTGATGATCCCTTTCCTCCTGGGCTCAGAATAGGACTAAACTTTTCTCCTTTCTTGAAGTTAGATGTGGCCACGTGACTTTCCTTGGCAAATAAAGTATGAAAAATGCTTCTAGGTGGAAACGTTATTGGTTGTGAACTCTCCAGTGCTCTTTTCCTCTGACTTATCAAATAGGGAGAACTTACTGATAATGGAGGTGCAATGCAGAGCCACCAAGTGGAGAAGGACAGTTGCCCTTGACAGTCAACTAGACCTGCAGTGGACTGTGTGGGAAAGAGACAAGCTCCTTCTCTTTTAACCCACTGAGATCTTGAAATTGTTTGTTATTGCAACATAACCTGGCCTATCTTGATTTATATGCCCCCAAAAGTGAAAGCAAAGTGTCCCCTAATTCAATACTTGGTAATGTCTTTGAGGATACGTATGAAAAGTGAACATAAAGTTAATGTGACTGGTTTTTAACAACTTGCCAGAATTTATAATCTCTCAAATTAATGTTCTTGTCTTCAAAGTAGTCACTGTGGGATTATATAATAATTTAAATGATGTACAAAACAGTTATGAAATTCCTTTTACAACCCAACCTCAAAATTGATTAACTTAGTCATTTGCTATATGCCTGGCACTGGGGATACAGAGATGAAAAGCTGTGTTCTCTCCCCTTCAAGAGCTCACAGTGTTGTAGCAGGAAATATGTAAGTGATCTAAAGTGTCTTAATGTATGGTAGGGCCATAGGTGAGGAAAGAGGTCAGTTCTACCACAGAGATTCACAAAAGGCTCTATAGAGAAGGAGTGACTAAGCGTTCACTAGTCAGATAGATTGGGGTGGAGGGGACAGATAGATTGGGGTAGAGGGACCAACAGGAGCAAAAGCGTGGAGGGTTGAAGTAGTCTGGCCCATTTGGATAGGTGCAAATGCTTCTGTGTGTCTCCAGCCTAGTATAAGAAGGGGCCGCTGGAAGACATGAAGATAGAGAAGCAGGGAGGGGTAGATCATGGAGGGCCTGCTATGCCACACTGAGGAGTTTGTAGTTTAATCTATAAGAGAGGGAGAACAAATGATGGGTTTTAAGCAAGGGAGCCACATGACTTTTTTTTCTTTTGGATGGGAATAGAAAAATACATTTACTATTGCAACAGGAAAATATTGCTATGTACAGTCTCACTACCTTCTAAGAACGGTGAATTCCAATCACTAGTTAGTCCATTATTGATGGGTTGAGTGTGATTGATGCAAATTTGGAGCTGCCTGAATAGAATCAACTGCTCTGCATAAAAGAGGGAGGGGGAGATAAATTAGTTCATGGCTGGGGAAAGGAAAGCAGAAAAGGAAAGGGAGAGAGAGTGACAGAGAAACTCAAGACAAAGGTGTCTAATGGAGATTTTGTATCAATGCGGTTGCTGTTTGGTTTTCTATATAAACCCTCATTTCTCTACAGAATTGCCAGCTAAATCTGCCCTGCTTACCTGTGCTTTGTGGAGAGGATTTGCTATTTAGGGATCCAGCTAAGTGCTGATTGTTACTTCAAGGTTAGCGTGGGGCAAAATAAACAGAAGTCACACCTGGAGACAATCAACATCTAGGCTATATAGTCTAGACTCTGGCTTGCCCTTGTGACTTGTTTTGGCCAATGAGACAACAGCAAACTTGATGCCGGCAGAGGCCTGGAAAAGCACTTTCTTGCTTGCTTGCACCTGTCTACTTTCCCCCTTGCTCCTCTGCCTTCACCATAAGAGCATGCATGGACTAGACTTTTGAATAATGAGAAACATGTGGCCCAGTGACCCCAGTTGCTTCAGCTGACAGCCAACTGCCAGGTGTGTGAAGTGAGCTCAGCTGAGACCAGAACTATCCAGCCAGGCCCAACCAAGATCAGAAGAACTGCTCAGCTGATCTGGAGGCTCATGATAACAAATGAGTGGTTATTGATTTTTTGCCACTGAGTTTCGGGGTGATTTGTCACACAGGATTGTTGTAACACTGGGTAGTTGATACACATGTCATAAAAGTAACCCACACATGCCTCTGCCATAGTCAGAATAGTGAGGAATCAGGAAGCTGCCACTTCAACCGTTGGCTCCAAATTCCAGTTTCTAGATTCATAGGAGTTGAAAGCAGAACACAGGCCGTCCATTGTGCTAGCAAAGATTGTAGCATAGGCAG
Source organism: Homo sapiens (assembly GCF_000001405.40). Lineage (NCBI taxonomy): Eukaryota > Metazoa > Chordata > Mammalia > Primates > Hominidae > Homo > Homo sapiens. The sequence continues at coordinate 130,566,758 of NC_000023.11, forward strand.
TGTGGTCCTGGGGCCAGCGGTTCAAAACCTTCTTCTGCAGAAGAAAAAAAAGAGAGAGAGAGAGGCACCGGTGTTTGTTTAGCTGGAAATCAGTGATGGCTTTCAAATACCTCAACGTGTCTTACTCTTCTGAAAATGTTACCTTGACTCCTGTGGTTTTTAAGTACGAGTCTCTTTGCTTCCTTAATGGTCTCTATACTGCTTTCATGTTTTGTCCTATTTTTGCATTATGTTTAAGCTTAACACACCTTCCATGTTATGTGGAGGTAGATCTGAATCCCAAATCAGAGTATCATGAAAATACTGAATTGTAAAGCTGAAAGAGACCTTTGCACATCACTAGGAGTAAGGACATCAGTACAGCCCACTCGTAGAGGTGGGACTTTGTCCTTAGGTCCTCCCAAACATTCTCTCATGCTTAACTTTCCAATGTTTTTTGTGTGTGGGGGTGTGAGGTGAGGAAAGGTTTGGGAAGCTACCTAAAGCACCATGCTCTAGTGTCAGATTCAGATTCTAGGGATCCAGTTCTCAAACACCACATCTAGGTGTGATATGGTTTGGATTTGTGTCCCTGCTCAAATCTCATGTCGAATTTTAAGCTCCAATATTGGAAAAGGGGCCTGGTGGGAGGTGATTGGCTCATGCAGTAGGTTTCCCCCTTGGTGTTCTCATGATAGTAACTGAGTTCTCATGAGATCTTGTTGTTTAAAAGTGTGTAGCACCTCCCACTTTGCTCTCTTCCTCCTGCCCCAGCCACATAAGATATGCCTGCTTCCCTTTCGCCTTCTGCCATGATTGAAAGTTTCTTGAGAAATCCCCGGTCATGCTACCTCTACAGCTGTGGAACAGTGAGCAAATTAAAACTCTTTTTTTTTTTATCATATATAACCCAGTCTCAGGTATTTCTTTTTTTTTTAATTATTATTATACTTTAAGTTTTAGGGTACATGTGCACAATGTGCAGGTTAGTTACATATGTCTACATGTGCCATGCTGGTGTGCTGCACCCACTAACTCATCATCTAGCATTAGGTATATCGCCTAATGCTATCCCTCCCCCCTCCCCCCACCCCACAGCAGTCCCCAGAGTGTGATGTTCCCCTTCCTGTGTCCATGTGTTCTCATTGTTCAATTCCCACCTATGAGTGAGAATATGCGGTGTTTGGTTTTTTGTTCTTGCAATAGTTTACTGAGAATGATGGTTTCCAATTTCATCCATGTCCCTACAAAGGACATGAACTCATCATTTTTTATGGCTGCATAGTATTCTATGGTGTATATGTGCCACATTTTCTTAATCCAGTCTATCGTTGTTGGACATTTGGGTTGGTTCCAAGTCTTTGCTATTGTGAATAGTGCCACAATAAACATACATGTGCATGTGTCTTTATAGCAGCATGATTTATAGTCCTTTGGGTATATACCCAGTAATGGGATGGCTGGGTCAAATGGTATTTCTAGTTCTAGATCCCTGAGGAATCGCCACACTGACTTCCACAAGGGTTTAACTAGTTTACAGTCCCACCAACAGTGTAAAAGTGTTCCTATTTTTCCACATCCTCTCCAGCACCTGTTGTTTCCTGACTTTTTAATGATTGCCATTCTAACTGGTGTGAGATGGTATCTCATTGTGGTTTTGATTTGCATTTCTCTGATGGTCAGTGATGATGAGCTTTTTTTCATGTGTTTTTTGGCTGCATAAATGTCTTCTTTTGAGAAGTGTCTGTTCATGTCCTTCACCCACTTTTTGATGGGGTTGTTTGTTTTTTTCTTGTAAATTTGTTTGAGTTCATTGTAGATTCTGGATATTAGCCCTTTGTCAGATGAGTAGGTTGTGAAAATTTTCTCCCATTTTGTAGGTTGCCTGCTCACTCTGATGGTGGTTTCTTTTGCTGTGCAGAAGCTCTTTAGTTAAATTAGATCCCATTTGTCAATTTTGGCTTTTGTTGCCATTGCTTTTGGTGTTTTAGACATGAAGTCCTTGCCCATGCCTATGTCCTCAATGGTAATGCCTAGGTTTTCTTCTAGGGTTTTTATGGTTTTAGGTCTAACGTTTAAGTCTTTAATCCATCTTGAATTAATTTTTGTATAAGGTGTAAGGAAGGGATCCAGTTTCAGCTTTCTACATATGGCTAGTCAGTTTTCCCAGCACCATTTCTTAAATAGGGAATCCTTTCCCTATTGCTTGTTTTTCTCAGGTTTGTCAAAGATCAGATAGTTGTAGATATGCGGCGTTATTTCTGAGGGCTCTGTTCTGTTCCATTGATCTATATCTCTGTTTTGGTACCAGTACCATGCTGTTTTGGTTACTGCAGCCTTGTAGTATAGTTTGAAGTCAGGTAGTGTGATGCCTCTGGCTTTGTTCTTTTGGCCTAGGATTGACTTGGTGATGCAGGCTCTTTTTTGGTTCCATATGAACTTTAAAGTAGTTTTTTCCAATTCTGTGAAGAAAGTCATTGGTAGCTTGATGGGGATGGCATTGAATCTGTAAATTACCTTGGGCAGTATGGCCATTTTCACGATATTGATTCTTCCTACCCATGAGCATGGAATATTCTTCCATTTGTTTGTATCCTCTTTTATTTCCTTGAGCAGTGGTTTGTAGTTCTCCTTGAAGAGGTCCTTCACATCCCTTGTAAGTTGGATTCCTAGGTATTTTATTCTCTTTGAAGCAATTGTGAATGGGAATTCACTCATGATTTGGCTCTCTGTTTGTCTGTTATTGGTGTATAAGAATGCTTGTGGTTTTTGTACATTGATTTTGTATCCTGAGACTTTGCTGAAGTTGCTTATCAGCTTAAGGAGATTTTGGGCTGAGACAATGGGGTTTTCTAGATATACAATCATGTCATCTGCAAACAGGGACAATTTGACTTCCTCTTTTCCTAATTGAATACCCTTTATTTCCTTCTCCTGCCTAATTGCCCTGGCCAGAACTTCCAACACTATGTTGAATAGGAGTAGTGAGAGAGGGCATCCCTGTCTTGTGCCAGTTTGCAAAGGGAATGCTTCCAGTTTTTGCCCATTCAGTATGATATTGGCTGTGGGTTTGTCAAAGATAGCTCTTATTATTTTGGAATATGTCCCATCAATACCTAATTTATTGAGAGTTTTTAGCATGAAGCGTTGTTGAATTTTGTCAAAGGCCTTTTCTGCATCTATTGAGATAATCATGTGGTTTTTGTCTTTGGTTCTGTTTATATGCTGGATTACATTTATTGATTTGCATATATTGAACCAGCCTTGCATCCCAGGGATGAAGCCCACTTGATCATGGTGGATAAGCTTTTTGATGTGCTGCTGGATTCGGTTTGCCAGTATTTTATTGAGGATTTTTGCATCAATGTTCATCAAGGATATTGGTCTAAAATTCTCTTTTTTGGTTGTGTCTCTGCCAGGCTTTGGTATCAGGATGATGCTGGCCTCATAAAATGAGTTAGGGAGGATTCCCTCTTTTTCTATTGATTGGAATAGTTTCAGAAGGAATGGTGCCAGTTCCTCCTTGTACCTCTGGTAGAATTCGGCTGTGAATCCATCTGGTCTTGGACTCTTTTTGGTTGGTAAGCTATTGATTATTGCCACAATTTCAGATCCTGTTATTGGTCTATTCAGAGATTCAACTTCTTCCTGGTTTAGTCTTGGGAGAGTGTAAGTGTCGAGGAATTTATCCATTTCTTCTAGATTTTCTAGTTTATTTGCGTAGAGGTGTTTGTAGTATTCTCTGATGGTAGTTTGTATTTCTGTGGGATCAGTGGTGATATCCCCTTTATCATTTTTTATTGCATCTATTTGATTCTTCTCTCTTTTTTTCTTTATTAGTCTTGCTAGCAGTCTATCAATTTTGTTGATCCTTTCAAAAAACCAGTTCCTGGATTCATTGATTTTTTTGAAGGGTTTTCTGTGTCTCTATTTCCTTCAGTTCTGCTCTGATTTTAGTTATTTCTTGCCTTCTGCTAGCTTTTGAATGTGTTTGCTCTTGCTTTTCTAGTTCTTTTAATTGTGATGTTAGGGTGTCCATTTTGGATCTTTCCTGCTTTCTCTTGTGGGTATTTAGTGCTATAAAATTCCCTCTACACACTGCTTTGAATGCGTCCCAGAGATTCTGGTATGTTGTGTCTTTGTTCTCATTGGTTTCAAAGAACATCTTTATTTCTGCCTTCGTTTCATTATGTACCCAGTAGTCATTCAGGAGCAGGTTGTTCAGTTTCCATATAGTTGAGGGGTTTTGAGTGAGATTCTTAATCCTGAGTTCTAGTTTGATTGCACTGTGGTCTGAGAGATAGTTTGTTATAATTTCTGTTCTTTTACATTTGCTGAGGAGAGCTTTACTTCCCAGTATGTGGTCAATTTTGGAATAGGTGTGGTGTGGTGCTGAAAAAAATGTATATTCTGTTGATTTGGGGTGGAGAGTTCTGTAGATGTCTATTAGGTCCGCTAGGTGCAGAGCTGAGTTCAATTCCTGGATATCCTTGTTAACTTTCTGTCTCATTGATCTGTCTAATGTTGACAGTGGGGTGTTAAAGTCTCCCATTATTAATGTGTGGGAGTCTAAGTCTCTTTGTAGGTCACTCAGGACTTGCTTTATGAATCTGGGTGCTCCTGTATTGGGTGCATATATATTTAGGATAGTTAGCTCTTCTTGTTGAATTTATCCCTTTACCATTATGTAATGGCCTTCTTTGTCTCTTTTGATCTTTGTTGGTTTAAAGTCTGTTTTATCTGAGACTAGGATTGCAACCCCTGCCTTTTTTTGTTTTCCATTGGCTTGGTAGATCTTCCTCCATCCTTTTATTTTGAGCCTATGTGTGTCTCTGCACGTGAGATGGGTTTCCTGAATACAGCACACTGAAGGGTCTTGACTCTTTATCCAATTTGCCAGTCTGTGTCTTTTAATTGGAGCTTTTAGTCCATTTACATTTAAAGTTAATATTGTTATGTGTGAATTTGATCCTGTCATTGTGTTAGCTGGTTATTTTGCACGTTAGTTGATGCAGTTTCTTCCTAGTCTCGATGGTCTTTACATTTTGGCATGATTTTGCAGCGGCTGGTACCGGTTGTTCCTTTCCATGTTTAGTGCTTCCTTCAGGAGCTCTTTTAGGGCAGGCCTGGTGGTGACAAAATCTCTCAGCATTTGCTTGTCTGTAAAGTATTTTATTTCTCCTTCACTTATGAAGCTTAGTTTGGCTGGATATGAAATTCTGGGTTGAAAATTCTTTTCTTTAAGAATGTTGAATATTGGCCCCCACTCTCTTCTGGCTTGTAGAGTTTCTGCCAAGAGATCCGCTGTTAGTCTGATGGGCTTCCCTTTGAGGGTGATCCAACCTTTCTCTCTGGCTGCCCTTAACATTTTTTCCTTCATTTCAACTTTGGTGAATCTGACAATTATGTGTCTTGGAGTTGCTCTTCTCAAGGAGGATCTTTGTGGCGTTCTCTGTATTTCCTGAATCTGAATGTTGGCCTGCCTTGCTAGATTGGGGAAGTTCTCCTGGATAATATCCTGCAGAGTGTTTTCCAACTTGGTTCCATTCTCCACATCACTTTCAGGTACACCAATCAGACGTAGATTTGGTCTTTTCACATAGTCCCATATTTCTTGGAGGCTTTGCTCGTTTCTTTTTATTCTTTTTTCTCTAAACTTCCCTTCTCGCTTCATTTCATTCATTTCATCTTCCATCGCTGATACCCTTTCTTCCAGTTGATCGCATTGGCTCCTGAGGCTTCTGCATTCTTCACGTAGTTCTCGAGGCTTGGTTTTCAGCTCCATCAGCTCCTTTAAGCACTTCTCTGTCTTGGTTAATCTAGTTATACATTCTTCTAAATGTTTTTCAAAGTTTTCAACTTCTTTGCCTTTGGTTTGAGTGTCCTCCCATAGCTTGGAGTAATTTGATCGTCTGAAGCCTTCTTCTCTCAGCTCGTTAAAGTCATTCTCCGTCCAGCTTTGTTCCGTTGCTGGTGAGGAACTGCATTCCTTTGGAGGAGGAGAGGTGCCCTGCTTTTTAGAGTTTCCAGTTTTTCTGCTCTGTTTTTTCCCCATCTTTGTGGTTTTATCTACTTTTGGTCTTTGATGATGGTGATGTACAGATGGGTTTTTGGTGTGGATGTCCTTTCTGTTTGTTAGTTTTCCTTCTAACAGACAGGACCCTCAGCTGCAGGTCTGTTGGAGTACCCGGCCATGTGAGGTGTCAGTCTGCCCCTGCTGGAGGGTGCCTCCCAGTTAGGCTGCTCAGGGATCAGGGGTCAGGGACCCACTTGAGGAGGCAATCTGCCTGTTCTCAGATCTCCAGCTGTGTTCTGGGAGAACCTCTGCTCTCTTCAAAGCTGTCAGACAGGGACATTTAAGTCTGCAGAGGTTACTGCTGTCTTTTTGTTTGTCTGTGCCCTGCCCCCAGAGGTGGAGCCTACAGAGGCAGGGAGGCCTCCTTGAGCTGTGGTGGGCTCCACCCAGTTCGAACTTCCTGGCTACTTTGTTTACCTAAGCGAGCCTGGGCAATGGCGGGCGCCCCTCCCCCAGCCTCGCTGCCGCCTTGCAGTTTGATCTCAGACTGCTGTGCTAGCAATCAGTGAGACTCCGTGGGCGTAGGACCCTCCGAGCCAGGTGCGGGACATAATCTCCTGGTGTGCCGTTTTTTAAGCCCCTCGGAAAAGCGCAATATTCGGGTGGGAGTGACCCGATTTTCCAGGTGCCGTCTGTCACCCCTTTCTTTGACTAGGAAAGGGAACTCCCTGACCCCTTGCGTTTCCGGAGTGAGGCAATGCCTCGCCCTGCTTCGGCTCGTGCATGGTGCGCGCACCCACTGACCTGCGCCCACTGTCTGGCACTCCCTAGTGAGATGAACCCGGTACCTCAGATGGAAATGCAGAAATCACCCATCTTCTGCGTCGCTCACACTGGGAGCTGTAGACCGGAGCTGTTCCTATTCAGCCATCTTGGCTCCTCCCTCCCAGGTATTTCTTTATAGCAGTGTGAGAACGGACTAATACAAGGTGAATGCTTGGAGCAACCAATCCCAAATGTCCAAATTCAATATCAGTTCAGTTCCTCTAGTTATGACTAGTGTATCTCCTTAAACTTCACAAAAGATATTTGTTTTCTTACCTTTTGTATTTTACAGAATTTATTCAGGGTTCCTTTCTTGTACTCTACTTAAGTATGGACAAAACGTTCTTGAAATTTCAGGCAGAATGGTAATTTACATAAGAATGTCCTGATTTGTAGGAAATGCATGCTAAAGTATTTAGAGGTAAACTCATGATTCCTGCAATTTACTTTTAAAAAGTTCAGCAAAAATAAAATATATACATCTATTATTTATCTATGTAAGGCAAATATGGAAAAATGTTAACAATTGTTGATCTAAGTAGAGGGTATGTGGGTTTGCATTGTATAATTCTTCGAACTTTCTTGCTTAAAAAATTAAAAAAAATATCCTATAAAGAAACTTCTGGCCTAGATGGCCCCACCAGAGTTTTACCACGCAGTCAAATAACCTAATTATATATGCAGAGTAACTAATGTTTCAAGTAATTTTTGAACACAACACTCTGACTATAGATATTTAGTGAGATAAATTCTAAGGACAAGGAACCAGAAAGACATCTTAACTTTCCTCATTGTTTATTGTTAATAGTATTTTATTTTGAAATCATTTTATGCATATCATAGGATAAAGCAAATAACTATATTAATGTTTTTAGGAACCGATATTTTCACTATAAGAGAAAATAGTTAGAAATATGTTATGTTGATGGGAGATACCTAGAGGTTCTTGAGATTCTGTTTGTTTCCAGGTGAGCATGTAAGAATCACTGGCCTTGATACTGCAGGCTGAGAACTCTGGCAGCAACTTCCATGACTTTTGCTCACCAAGCTCTTCCAACAGATATGTAGGTCTCTGTTTCCTTGTATTAAAACCTTTCATACTTGGAATACATAGAGTGGCTCCTGTTTTCCTGACCAAACTCTGATTAATAGAGAAGGCCTATTTTAGTTGTGGTTCATCCCTACCCTAACTTAGAGCCCTTTAGAGGCTCGACTTCATGTGGATTGGGTTTGCTGTAGGACTCCTTACCTTGAGTGGGACCTGGGCCTTGACTTCTCTGCACCTTGCCCCTTGAGGCCGTAGAACTGATGCTTAAAGTATTCAGTACCAGCAAATATTCACAGAGTAAAAGTAGTTCCTCAGTCCATTTGGGCTGCTATAACAAAGTGCCATAGACTGGGTGGATTAAACAACAGAAATTTCTTTCTCACAGTCCTGGAGCTTGGAAGTCTGCGATCAGGGTGCCAGCACGATCATTTCTGGTGAGTGCCCTCTGCCAAGTTGAATACTATTGACTTCTCCTTGTATCCTCATATGGCAGAGAGCAGAGAGAGCTCTCTAGGATCCCTTTTATAGGGCACCACTCCCATTCATGAGGGCTCTACCCTCATGACCTAATTGCCTCCTAAATGCCCCACCTCCTAATGCCATCACATTCAGGGTTAGGATTTCAACATATGAATTTTGGGGTGAGGGACATACACATTCACTTCATAACAAGTGGCTTTGGTGTACTGATATTCAGCTTACTTCTCTGGGAAATTTGACCTGGCAGTTCCCACATTATCTTTTTTTTTTTTTTTTTTGAGGCAGAGTCTCCCTCTGTCAACCAGGCTGGAGTGCAGTGGCACGATCTCGGCTCACAGCAACCTCTGCCTCCCAGGTTCAAGAGATTCTCCCGTCTCTTTTAATCATGTAAATATTTTAAAGGGAGGGAATGTTTCTGTGTTTTATGGAGCATTTTTTGTTATTTTTGGCAGGAGGGTTCATCCGAATAACCTAGCCTGTCACTAAAGGAAATGGAAGCCCTCAGAAGCTCTTGAAGCTTAATCCAAGGAGGTTCTACAGGGCTATGCTAATGAAAAGAATTTTGTGCACCCTGGCAAATCAGTGGAAGGGATCTATTACATTTAAGGCAACAGGCGTTTTCAGAGCCTCTCCATTTAAAGCATTTATGCAGCTCTCTCATTCATGATATTATCCTTCCTCATAATAATGGCTTTAAAAATTCAGTACAATAAGGTTTCAATTCTTTGCACTTACAAATTTAACTCATTCATAGACCCCCCGAAACCCATCAGTGGGTCCTAGGTTAAGAAGTTGTCACTTAGAAAAATATCTAGGCCACTCAACTCTGGAAACCAGTAAGCCCACAGAAACGGAGCTGAAAGAAATGGGCAGATGTGTTTTATACACCTGTTGGCCACTAGGAACGCTGCAGCCCAGCAAGCCGAAATGCTCCTGTTCATACAGTTTCAGATTGAGCTAAGTTGCCTTCTTCCCGCTGCATCTACACTTGAGAAACACAAAGTATATTGATGTGGCACTAGCCTAAAATAACTGTTTCCTGTTGAATTTACTTTCTTGGATCTTAAAGATGAGAAGAACAGAGTGTGAAATTGAGCTTGTTCACATGAACAGTTCCTGGAGTTCCAAGCTGATTGGAAGTTAATTCTTCAGCCAGAGAACTCTCTCTTCGCATCTTTCCTATCCCTTTTGACAAGAAAGCAAGTGGAAATTCACAAATCTTATTGTCAGAATGAAGACTCCCCCTTTAAGTTTTTTCTCCTGCATCTTGAATCTCCATGGATTATAATCTTAAGAAAACAGGGGCTCCAAATACAACTTGGGTATTCTTCCCTCTAATATTGTAACAGAAGGAGTTCAGGAGAGAATGCAAGGAAGTTTTATTGATGTGATCTCACATGAGTATTTTCAAAGGATGATTTGGGCGAGGGTCCAAAAACTGAGATGAGATGATCCTTCTAGGTTGAAGGGATACTATTTTTCAAGTCACTTTTTAATGTAAATTCCATCGCTTACTCTTTTTGCATGACACGTTCATTGTAGAAGAGTTAGAAAATACTGCCAAGTAAAAAGAAATAAGACGTGGTTAATAGCAACCAGCATTTATTGAGCACTTACCATGGGCCAGACACTGTATTACATCTCATTTAATTCTCAAACCAGTCTGATGACTTTAGTACTCATTATGTCCATTTCACAGGTGTAGAGAATGGGGTCCAAGGTCCCACAGTTAAGAGGTGGTGGAGTTGAGATGTGAATATAGGCAGTCTGAGTCTGGAGCCCAGTCGCTTACCACTGTGCTTTTATATTTTTATTCCAAGTGCTGTTACTTAGAGAAGCAACTGATTACAGAGGAATCAGAGTCAAGGATCTGAATTTCAGGTTTGGCTTAGACATTAATTAGCTGTTAGAACCTAGGCACCTTGTTTAATCTCTTCCTGTGACACTTTCAAAGGCTCTCAGTTGCCATTAGCATAAAATCAAAGTTTCTTAGTCTGGCATTCAAAATCCCTATTCAGTTCTGGTTTGTCTACTGTTCCTGAATATCAAATCCACTTGAACTTTGCTTGCTTTTACTCTACTAATGCTTTAGGGTTGATTTGTTATATCCTGAGTTACCCCTAAGCAAGCCATCCCCTCCACCCATGTCTTAGCCCTGATTAAGCTTATTCATTATTCATGAAAAAAACATTGAGTGCCTACCACATTCCAGGTAGTGTGCTAGACACTAGGACCATAACAATAAATAAGGTGGTCAACATCCCAGGTCTCAAGCATGTTACAGGTTAGAGAAAGGAAGGAAGGCTAAATGAAATAAACAAAACAAAACAATTAGGACTGCAAGTTATGATTAAGTGCCATGAAGGAAAAAATAAGACAGGAACCTACTTTAGATGGGATGATCTGGAAAGGTCTTTCAGAAGAGGTGACATTTAAACAGAGCTATAAAGAATGAGAAAGAGCCAGCATTGTTACAATTGGGAGAAGAGCATGTGAAAGAAGAAACAGCAAATGCAAAGCCCTGAGGGAAACACAAGCTTGGTTTTTTATTACGGACCAAACAGAAGGCCAGTGTGGCTATAGAGCAGAGTGAGCAAGCACCAGAGTGAAAAAAAAGTGAGGCTAAAGAGTTAGGCAGGACTAGTTCATGCAAGGCATCATAGGCCAAGGCAAGCAGTTCTTGGTTTTGTTTATTAATAAAATTAAAAGCCATCGAAAGCTTTCAAACAGAGGAATAGTATAATCTGCTTTGCTTTTTGAAACAACAATTCCTTCAGTTCACATGTAGAAGGTGGTTTTGGGAGAGTTGGAGTGGTGGCGTAAGAAGACATCTTACCAAAACTGACTTAAGAAGGAACAAAAAACCCTGCATTTTCTTACAAGCATTAAATATACTGAATTTGCTATTAAAAACCTTCCTGCAAAGAAAAACTCCAAGTCCAGATGGCTTCACCAGTGCGTTCTACCAAATATTCAAGAGTGATAGCCAGGTATGGTGGTGCACACCTGTAATCCCAGCTACTCTGGCAGTTGAGGCACGAGAATAGCTTGAACCCAGGAGGCAGAGGTGGCAGTGAGCCGAGATCATGCCACTGCACTTTAGCCCGGGTGACAGAGCAATACTCTGTCTCAAAAAAAAAAAAAAAAAAAAAAGAAAAGAAAAAAAAGAAAGAAAAAAAGAATGAAATAATTCCAAACTTATACAAATTTATCCAGAGAATAAGAAAAGGGGACATTTCTAGCTAATTTTATGAAGCTAACCTTGATAAAATCTGAAAAAGAAACTATGAAAAAAATTATAGGCCAATTTCATTCATGAACATTAATGCAAAAATCCTAAACAAAATATTAGCAAATTGAAACTAGCAATGTTTAAAAATATAATAACCAAATTGGGTTCATATTAAGAATGCAAAGTTGCTTTAACACACACACACAAAATAAATGGATGTAATTCTGCCACCTTAACAAATTCAAGGAGAAAAATCTGATGTAATCTCAATAGATGGAAGATGATAATTGTCCCTTAAGTCAATCTATAATTTTAATATAATTAAGACTTATTATAAAACTGTAGTAATTAAGACAGGGTAGTATTTTCATAGGAAGAGACAAATAATCCAATGTAATAGAATACAGCACAGAGAGATACATACTGTACATGCTTTGACACTTCATATACAACTGAAATGGCATGAGAAGCATGCATTTTTGATTAATAATGCAGTAAAAACTGAGTATAGGACAAAAATGAAAATTGACCCCTACAACACACCATATATAAAAATCAACTTTAGGAAGATAAAGGACCAAAATGTGAAAAAGCAAAACTTTTAGAACATGGGAGGCTACCTTTGTATCCTCAGGATAAAGAAGAGTTTATAAAAGAAGGAAAAAGTAGCAGAACCAAAGGAAAACATTGATACATTCAACTGCATTAAAATTAAGTACTTCTGTTTATCAAGATACATCACAAAAGAGTGAAAGGACTGGCCACAAGGGGAGAGAAAATTTTGCAGCATCTATGAGCCAATAAATGACTCATATCCAGAATATACAAATAACTTCTGAAAATCAACAAGAAAAAGACAGACAACCTAACAGAAAAATTAGCAAAAGACTTAAATAGACAGTTGATAAAAGGGGAAATTCAAACAGCCAGTAAACATGAAAAGGTACTCAACTTGATTGGAAAATGCAAATGAAAACCGTAATGAGAAACCATTACACACCCATTTGATAGGCAAAAATTGAAGCCTTTCAGGAGTGGAAGTTCAGGGTGTGGCTGATTAAGGAGTTAGGCAAATCCACTCCCTAAAAAGCAAATATAAAGCTAGGCTAAATCATACAAGCGACCATTTTGGCACTTTAGAAACTAACCTAAGGTGTACATGAATCTGAGAAGAACTTATGCTTGAAAAACTGCTTGACTTTGGGTAAGAACATTGAAAATCTGTGGCCTAGGGATGCTCCTATCTCATATCAGTTCCAGTGTGGAGGAGGTTCTGTCAGATCTTGAGTTGGCAGCTTTTCTGCCAAGGTCAAGGGGCAGGACCCATTCTATTTTGAGAAAAGGGCAGTGCCCATGCTTAGCATCACTGTCAATGGAACTGATTTCTAGGAGGCTGGCCAGTGGGAGAAGGCCAGTGGATTGGTCCTATTAGTCTGAGGTCGTGGTTGTAGTTGGGGTAAATGTATTTCTTGTTTTAAAATTTAAATTGTAATCTTAGATTCAGGGGGCACATGTGCAGGTTTGTTACATGAGTATATTGCATGTAATGATCCAATCGCCCAAGTAGTGAACATAGTACCTAATAGGTAGTTTTCCAACCATTACCTCATTCCCTACCTCCCCACTTTTGGAATCCCCAGTATTTACTGTTCCCATCTTTGTGTCTGTGTGTGTGTGGCCAATGTTTAGCTCCCACTTATAAGTGAGAACATGTGGTATTTGGTTTTCTGTTTCTATGTTAATTCGCTTAGGATAGTGGCCTCCAGCTGCATCCATGTTGCTGCAAAGGATATGATTTTTTTCTTTTTGTTGCTGTGTAGTATTCCATGGTGTATATATACCACATTATCTTTATCCAATCCACCATTGATGGGCACCTGGGTTGAGTCCATATCTTTGCTATTGAGAATAGGGGGCAAACATATTTATAGCTGAGCCCGCTCACTTGCACAGCAGAGATCTCAGGAGGCCCCAAGCTAGTCACCCACTATTGACCAACCTTGAGGCTTATAGGCAAAAGTGCCTGGCATAAAGTAAAACCAGAGACAGATCTGAAAACAGTCTGACTTTGAATGCCATCTTCTATCAAGGCACCGATCCACAGGTGATACTGGCATGAGGTGTTTGAGCACCTCTGATTACCAAGCTAAACAAATATAGAGACAACCACTAGGAAGCCAGGCTTAAAAATAAAACAAAAAATAAAAACAAGAGTATCGAAACATAACTGAGCAGAGGCATCAGTGGCCACATACTTGCACCATGCAAGGGTAAAAGATTTAGCCTAAGCAAATTACCAACCAAAGAAATAAATAAATAAGCAAAACAACAATAGAAACCTTTAGGAAAAAACTATCAGAATACAGAGTGGCTACAACATTGATCAAAAATGGCCAATTGTCAAGAAGAAAACATTACAAGACATGAAAATAAATAGGAAAATGTGACCCATACCCAGGAAAATATACATCAGTGGAAACTATATCTGAGTGTCCCTAATGGTTGGATTTAGGAGACAAAGAATTCAAAGCATCTGTTATAAATATGTATAACGAACTAAAAGAAGACATGTTGAAATAATTAAATGCAAGTATGACATCAATGAATCAACAAACAGTCTCAATATGGAGTTAGAAATGATTTTTTAAAGGTAATTCTGAAGCTGAAATGTATAATAACAGAAGTGAAAAGTTCACTACAGGCGCTTGAGCAGATTCTGGATGGCAGAAGAAACAATCAGTGGAGTTGAAGATAAATAATTTTTTTTTGTTTTTTTTGAGATGGAGTTTTGCTCTTGTCCCCCAGGCTGGAATGCAATGGTGCAATCTTGGCTCACCGCAAACTCTGCCTCCTGGGTTCAAGCAATTCTCCTGCCTCAGCCTCCTGAGTAGCTGGGATTACAGGCGTGCACCACCATGCCCGGCTAATTGTGTATTTTTAGTAGAGACGGGGTTTCTCCATGTTAGTCAGACTAGTCTCAAACTCCCGATCTCAGGTGATCCACCCGCCTTGGCCTCCCAAATTGCTGGGATTACAGGCATGAGCCACCATGCCGGCCGAAGATAAGTAATTTCAATAGAAATTATGCAATACAAACAAGAGAGAAATAAAGACAGAAGAAAAAAAAAACAGAGCCTCAGAGACCTATGGTATAACATTAAGCCTATAAATAATATACATTATGATGGGTGTAGAGAGAGACAGGGGCAGGAAAACAGAAGAAAGGGAAAGAGGCAAAAAAAAAAGCCTTGAAGAAATAATGTCCAAAAACTTCCCAGAGAGTTGATGGAAAATATCAGTCTATAAATCTAAGAACCTCAACAAACCCCAAGTGGGATAAATACAAAGAAATCCATACCTAGTCACATCACAGTCAAACTGTTCAAAAATGAAGAAAAAACCGTGAAGGCAACAAGAGAAAAAAAAAATCTTGTTATGTACAGGGGAGCATAAATACAATTATCAACTTTCTCATCAGAAGTAATAGAGGCCAGGAGTCAAGGGGATGATATGTTCAAAGTGTTGAAGGGAAAAAGCTGTCCAATAAGAATTTTATTTCTTATAAAAGTATCCTTTGAAAATGAAGGTGAAATAAAGACATTTCCAGATAAACAAAGACTAAGATAATTTGTTGTTAGCAGACCTGGCTTATAAGCAATCCTTAAGGACTTAAGGAAGTTCTTCAGGTTGAAAGGAAGTGACAATAGCAGACAATTTGACTCCATAGGGAGAAATAAAGTATGGCACAAATGGTAAATATGTAGGGTATTATGAAAGATTCTATAAATATATATCTTTTTTCATTTCTCCTCTTTTTTTAAGCAACATAAAATTGTATGAAGTAACAATTATAATATTGCATTGGCGGGCTTCAAATATACAGAGATGTAATATATATTACAAAGAAATAAATAAATAAAGCAAGAAAGAATAAATGAGACTATTTATTTTCATGTCTTGTAATTTTTTCTTCCTGACTACTGGCCATTTTCGATCAATTTTGTAGCCACTCTGTATTCTGATAGTTTTCTCCTAAAGGTTTCTGTTGTTGTTTTGCTTATTTATTTATTTCTTTGGTTGGTAATTTGCTTAGGCTAAATCTTTTACCCTTGCATGGTGCAAGTATGTGGACACTGATGCCTCTGCTCAGTTATGTTTCAATACTCTTGTTTTTATTTTTAAGCCTGGCTTCCTAGTGGTTGTCTCTATATTTGTATAGCTTGGTGGTTGGAGGTGCTCAAATACCTCATTGCCGGTATCATCTGTGGATCCGTGCCTTGATAGAAGATGGCATTCAAAGTCAGACTGTTTTCAGATCTACCTCTGGTTTTACTTCATGCTTTTGCCTATAGACCTCAGGGTTGGCCAATAGTGGGTGACTAGCTTGGGGCCTCCTGAGATCTCTGCTGTGCAAGTGAGGAGGCTCAGCTATAAATACATTTGCCCCCTATTGTCAATAGCAAAGATATGGAATCAACCCAGGTGCCTATCAATGGTGGACTGGATAAAGAAAATGTGGTACATAGATATCATGTGAATAGTCTAAATAACCTAAACAAAAAATAGAGATTGTCAGATTGGATTAAAAAAATAAATAAGATCCAGCTGCTTACAAGAGACACACTTTAGATTCAAAGACACAACAGGTCAAAAGCAAAATAATGGTAAAAGATATACCATGAAAACAGTAACTATAAGAGAGCCGGAGTGGGTATATTAAAATTAGACAATCTAGAGTTTAAGAGAAGAAATAATATTCTAGGAAAAAGATAAACATTTCATAAGGATAAAAGAGTCAATACGTAAGGAAGATTTAATAGTTATAAATGTATATGCACCTAAAAACAGAAACTCAGGATAAATAGACAATTTGACAATTGTAGTTGGAGATTTTAATACTCTCAATCATTGATATAACAGTTAAACAGAAAATTAACAATGACATAGAAGACTTGAACAATGGCATATCAACCAACGAATATTTATATAATATTACACCCAACAGTTACAGAATAAATATTCTTTTCAAGTACACATGGAACATTGTCCATGATAAAACATATGTTAGGCCATAAAACAAGTCTTAGTACATTACTGAAATCATACAAAGTATCTTCTGTGATTACAACATAATTAAATGAGAAATCAACAAAAGAAAGAAATCTTGGAAATCTCCGAATATTTGAAAATTGAACAACATACTTCTAAGTCACCCACTGGTAAAAGAAGAAATCACAATAAAAATTGGAAAATATTTTGAGTGGAACGGAAATGAAGACATAATATACCAAAACTTATGGGATGCAGCTAAAGCAGTGCTTTGTAGGAAAATTATGACTTTAAATTACTATACTAGAAAATGTTATAAAAGAGTCAAATCAATAATCTGAATTTATACAATGAGAATCTAGAAAAAGAGTAGCAAACTAAATCCAAGGCAAGCAGAAGGAAATAATGATTAGAGTGGAAATCAAGGAAAGGGAAAACAGAAAAATAATAGAGAAAAATCAATAAAACCAAAAGTTGATCTTTGAAAAGACCAACAAAATCGACAAATCTTTAGCTAAACTAACAAAATAAAAGAGAAAAGACAGAACTTACCAAAGTCAGGAACGAAAGAGAGCACCACTATTGACTCTACAGAAATTGAAAGGACTATAAGAGGGTATGTTAGTTTCCTAAGACTACTATAACGTATTATTAAAGACTGCGTGGCTTCAAACAACAGAAATGTATTCTCTCACAGTTCTGGAGGCTAGGAAGTCAAAAATCAAAGTGTTGGCAAAGCCACACTCTTTCCAAAAACTCTAGGAGAGAATCTTTCCTTGCCTTTTCCAGCTCCTGGGGGTTGCTAGCAAGCCTGGGCATTCCTTGGCTTATGGCAGCATAACTGCAACCTCTGTCTTCACGTGGCCTTCTCCACTGTGTGTGTCTCCTCTGTGTCATCACGTGGACTTCTTAGGACAACAGTCACTGGATTTAGAATGACCTCATCTTAACTAATTATATCTGCAAACATGCTATTTCCAAATAAGATCACATTCTGAGATTATGGGTAGACACAGATATTTGGGGGACAGTATTCAGTCTAGTACAGGGAATATTATAAACAACATGATGTCAACAAGTTAGACAACTTAGATGAACTGAACAAATTTCTAGAAAGACAAATTAATGAAACAGATTCAGGAAGAAATAAAAAATGTGAATAGACCTGTAAGAAGTAGGCTGGGAGCAGTGGTTCATGCCTGTAATCCCAGCACTTTGGGAGGCCAAGGTGGGCGGATCACTTGAGGTTAGGAGTTCGAGACCAGCCTGGCCAACATGGCGAAACCCCATCTCTACTAAAAATACAAAAATTAGCCGGGTGTGGTGGTGGGCACCTGTAATCCCAGCTACTCTGAAGACTGAGGCAGGAGAATCTCTTGAACCCGGGAGGTGGAGGTTGCTGTGAGCCGAGATCATACCACTGCACTCAGCCTGGGCAAGAGTGAGACTCTGTCTCAAAACAAAACAAACCTATAACAAGAAAATGAAATGTTAGGTAGGTGCAAAAGAAATTGCAGTTTTTGCCATCACTTTAAATGGCAAAACCACAATTACTTTTGCACCAACCTAATAGTAATTTAAAAATTCCAAAGGGAAAAATTCATGTCTAAATGGCTCCACTGGTGAGTTTTATCTAATATTTAAAGAGGAAATAATACCACTTATTCACAAACACTTTCAGAAATAAAGGAAAAGGGGTCACTTCCCACCTTATTCTATGAGGCCAGTATCACCTGATACCAATGTCTGAAAAAGGTATCTCAATGAAAGAAAACTACAAACCAATATCCCTCATGAAAACAGATGCAAATATCCTTAACAAAATATTAGTGTGGAAGGCAGAACTCTAACATGATCCTCCAAGATTCCTGGCCCTTGGTGTACATACATATTTTATCAGTTATTTAATAAAGCACTAATCTAGGCATTGTTGTGAAGGGATTTTGCAGATGTAATGAAGGTTCTAAATCAGTTGACTGAAAAGGAATTTATTCAGGTTGGCCTGGCTAAATAACACGAGCCCTTCAAAAGCAAAGAGATTCCTCTGGCTGGTCTCAGAAGGGCAAGTCAGAGATTCGAAGCATGACAAGGATTTGACATGCTGTTGCTGCTTAAAAAAGCAGAGAGCAGGGAATACCAGCAGTCTCTAGGAGCTGAGAGCAACCCCCAAAAGTTAGCCAGCAAGGAAATTA
Source organism: Homo sapiens (assembly GCF_000001405.40). Taxonomy (NCBI): domain Eukaryota; kingdom Metazoa; phylum Chordata; class Mammalia; order Primates; family Hominidae; genus Homo; species Homo sapiens. Next base: position 130,585,579 of record NC_000023.11, read on the forward strand.
GTACCTCGGTCCTACAATAATAGGGCACTCAATTCTTCCAATAAAAACTTGGAAGCAGATATTTTCCCAGAGCCTGCAGGTGAGACTCAGTCTGGCTGGCACTTTGATTTCAGCCTTGTGATATCCTTAGCAGAGATCCCAGTCATGACATGCTTGACTTCTGACTTACAGAACTGTGAGCTAATAAATGGGTGTTGTTTTAGGCTGCTGACTTTGTGGTAATTTGTTACTCAGCACTAGAAAACTAATACAATTAGCAAACCAAATTCAGCAACATATAAAAATGATTGTGCACCATGACACAAATGAGATTTATTCTAGTGATGTTAGATTGGTTTAACATCTGAAAATCAATTAGTGTAATATACTATATTAATAGAATAAAAGACAAAAAACCCCACAATCATCTCAAGATAGGCAGAAAAAGAATTTGATGAAAGCTAGTGCCCATTCATGATGCAACAAACCAGGAATAGAAGGGAACTTTCTTAACCTGATGAAGAGTGTTTACCAAAAATATCCACAGTTAATGGTGAAAACAATGCTTTCCCCTAAGTTCAGAAGTGAACTGCAATGGCAAATCTCATACATTGCCAATGAGAATGTAAATTGGTACAGATACATAAGAAATAGTTCATCACTATCTGATAGAAGATAGAAGATTCTTATGACCCAGCAGTTCAACTACTAGGTGTGTCTCCTAGAATATCTTTTATATATGTTCATAGCTACATTGTCATAGCCCCAAACTGGAAAAATGCAAATGTCCATCAAGAGTAGAATGAATAAATCAATTATGATATCTTTGTACAATAAAATCCAATATAGCAATGGAAGTGAACACTAAATTTACACCTACCAACATAGATGAATCTCACAAATACATTGTGTAAAATAAGTAAGTAACCAAAGAATATATAATTCCATTTCTGGAACTTTAGGCCTAACTAAACTATATTGCTTAAGGATGTCTACATAGATAGTAAAGTTACAAGGAAAAGCAAGGGATTTATTCTACAAAATTTAGGGTAGTGATTACTTCTAGGAAGAGAGAAATAATGTGATGAAGGGGTAACATAACATGAAGGTGCTTTTAAAGGACTGGTAGTGCTTATCTGGGTTAATGGATGTTCACTTTGTAATCATTCTTTAAATTGTGCATATGTTTTATATAATTTTCTACATGTATGATATATATCCCTATTAAAAGTTTAAAAAATAATAGAAAAAAGATGTAATTAGGTGGTAGAATGAAAGGAACTAGTAATGATTGTTGTAGGGTGTTAGGAAAAGAGAAGAATCTGGGATAGTTTCCAGGCTCTTGGAGTAAGGTTGTGACAGTGGAGATGGAGAGAAGTGGCTGGACTGAATTATATTTAGTAGACAAAAATGGCAGGATTTGATGATGGATTTGATGTGAAAAGTTAATCCATGGGGAGGAATCAAGGATAATATCTAGGTTTCTGATCTGGATAGTAAAATTGGTGGAGGTTATTCAGTGAAGTAAGGAACAGTGTAAGAAGAAGAGATTAGGTGGGGAAGCCTGTGAGACATCCAAAAAGCAATGCAACATAGGCTTTTGCTTACATAAGCCTACAGAACTCAGTGGAGAGGTCAAAATTACTTTTTACCAACATTGGCAAATATAGCTAACATTTATTGAATGCCTATCATGTACCAGGCATTTCACACACAGCATCTCTTTAAGCTTTTTGACAACTCTGTGAGGCCAGTACTATTATTATCTCTCCTTTATCAAGGAGCCTTAGAGAGGTTAAGTAATTTTTCTGAAGTCACATGATTGGAAAGAGTAGAGCTGGGATTAGAACCTCAAGAATCTGACTCTTGAGCCCATGGTCTTTTGAAACCCTGGGCCAAAGAAATTCAGTCACAGAATGCTGATTAAAGCATATAGGACTAATGACACATGGCTTTTGTGGCACCCAGTGCATGGGTCTGCGTTAGTATGGAAATGTTCCTCTGTAGTTAGTTCAGGGCTTTGATACCAGCCAATCCCATTAGGTTTCTCATCTTTTATCTTCTTTGGCATCTCCCCAAATGCTAACCTCTCTGGTCATTCTATCTTAAGCCTCATCTCTGGTCATTCTTAGACCACCGTGCGCTCCCTTCACACCAACTCAACCCTGAATTCGCTCACCTACTTTCTTCTCTACCAACTATTTCCATGGTGCCTTCTGAGGCCCTTAGACTGGATCCTGGCTCTCTCCCAAGTTAAGGACTTGCTGTGATCCTCTGAGTACTTGCTGCCCATTCTTCTATGACCCTGAACTACAGGATGAGAGTAAGGTCAGAATTATACTTGATTTCAAGTGCCATTTCCAAATGACCTTTCCTCTTTAAGGCACATGCCGTTTAAATACACTACCTTCTATTCTTTCTTACTGCTATCATTTTGTAACCTCACTTTTATTTGGTGAAGAATTTGTCACCGAGATCGTGATCTTCATATCCATCCAAGTGCCATCATTTTGGATGATCCATCCAACTTCCTGGTCTTTCCCTTCTCTACTCATCTTTAACTCCACCTCCACTCCACCTCAGTCATTCCCCACAAGACCACACTTCAGAATTTGTCATATTCCATCCCTGATATCTAATCCTCTGAGACTCCTCTATCCACAGTTTTTTACTTTCTAAAGCCTCTCACTCTTATGTCCATACATATCCATTTCCTGATCTAATAGAAACCACTTAGTTTTTCTCCTAATTTACTTTGTTTTCCTCTGTAGTACAGACCTCATGGTTCATCACATCAGCCCTTGAATCTTGCTTTTATTCTTACACCTGCCTGCTCACCATGTGAAATCCAACTCCAAACCAATTCAGACATCCAACTCTTTTGTTCCTCTTCCTGGGCTGCTGAGCACTGCTGGAAAAAAAATCACACAATTGTTCAGATTTGGGTCAGTGCAAATTCATAGTTTCTAACCTTAGTGGGACCCTTGGTACTTCGTGCTAAGTGGCTGCCCAGCTGTCCTACTCTTCATCGTTTGTCAGCATTTTTCCCCTTCTCTTCAGGGGCTATTTTCAAACCTTCCAGTCTTCTCGAGCCCTTTACTCCACCACTTTCCTCCTTAATTTCAGAATATAACCTTGATTCTTACTACACATGATAAATAGAAGCCACCAAATGGGAACTTCCTCAATTCCTTGCTACTAAACCTAGTAATCTATTTACATCTACACATATTGAACTTGTTTCCCTCCTATTGTCAGAGACGAGTCCCTCCGACTTTGCTTTGGATCCCATCAGAGCCATTGCTTTACCCTCCCCACCAGTATTTTAGGGAACTTACCCAATATATTATCATTTCTAACTCCTATGCATTAAATCATCTCCCCTCCATTGAACGCTTGTTTAACAAGTTCAGAGATATCCCATCTTAAACAACAAACAACCAAAACCAAAATGAAATAAAACTTACTTAACCCTGAATATCTCTCTTTACTTTTCATCCCAGCTTCTCCAGAGGAAGACCTACATTCACCATATTCACTTTCTCACCTCCCACTTTCTCTTTAATTCATCATCACTAGCCTTCTGCTCTCCCCACCCCCACTCCTCATCACTTTTCTGAGTTCAAGTCAAGGGTTCCAATGAGTACCTTTTTGTCAAGCTCAGTGGACTCTCTGCATTCCCACCTGACTCAATCTCTTTTGGCAATTAATGACTACCATTCCTTTTTTGAAATTATCTTTACATTTCATTTCAATGGTGGCATTCTTTCTTGTTTTTCTTCCTATCTCTCTGATTATTCCTCAGTATCCTTTGCAAGTTTTTTTTCAGCCCACTCCTTAAACACTATTCTCCCTAGGATTTCTCTTATTTTTTATACTCTCAACTTTAAGTTCATTTAAACCATTGACTTCAATTACCACCCTGTAGCTGAAGGTACCCAAATCCACGTCTGCAGCCCCAGCCTTTCTGATGAGCTCTAGACCTGCATATTCAACTAACTAGTAGACATCTCTCCCCAAACATAACATGTCCAAAACCATAGTCGTAATTTCAAGCCACCACCCCAACATTCTCCTTCTGTTTTTCCTGTCTCCATGGATGACATTTTATTATATCTTCAAGTTGCTCAACCCAGAAATCAAAGTCTCATTCTATTGTTTTCTCTTTCATTCACTACCCACATTTAAATGTTTAACCAAATTCAGTAGATTCTGCCTGCTTGTCACATCTCATATTCATCTGACCTTTCCCTTCCTACTGTCACTGCCTTAGTTCAGTTCTTGTTCTCTCTCCCCTGAAATAGCCTCTGCCCTGGCCTCCCTACTTCCATTTGCATCCCTCAAATCCATCACACCTATAGTAGACAGATAACCTGATTGTATCCGTTCCCTGCTCACAACCATTTAGGATAAAGTCTGAACAATTTAGTATGATCTGAAAGAACTTCCACAATCTGGTGCCTAATTCATTTATTCATTTCTTGCTTCTCTAGAACCTTATCCTCTAGCAATGTGAAGTTACTGGAAGTTTCTTGAACACACCATGCTCTCTCAATCCTCCATACCTTTGTGCACACATTCCTTCTGCCTGAATTTCCTGCCTTCTGCCCACACAGAGTCCACTCAGATGTCACCTTCCCTTTGTTGCCTTCCTAGAGTCCCCCAAGCTGTCACAGGCACACCTTCCCTTTTGCATCCATTGCTTGTTTTATGGACCTCCATTACAGCAGTTAGCATATTTTCCCCCAATTGTTTTTTGTTTTTGTTTTTGTTTTCACATCAGAGGTCAACAAACTTGTGGCTTTCAGGCCACGTCCTGCCTTCAGGAGTTTTGTTTGGCTTGGATAGTGGAGTTTATTATGTGAAGGATATAAGGACTAAGCTCATGTTTCCTTCTGGTAACAGTCATTTAGAGCTAAGTAGCAGTCGCCTCCTTTTGACTGCACTTGCACTCCCCAGGTCATCTTAGCCCTGCCTCTCATTTCAACTTATTTGCCTCACAAGTTTGGATCCTTCGAGTACTTTGGTTTCTTGCTCCTTGTTTACAGGTACATCTTAAACCTGCTGTTTTGGGATCACTGACTACTGTGATCTGCATGAAAGTGGGGAACATGATTTGTTTCCTGTTGTATTTATCCTGGTTCTCAGAATCACCTGCTACGCAGTAGACAGTGTTTGTTTGATGAATGAATGTTCTCTCTATCTGGAACACTGTGTTAGTTTGGATTATTGATTCTAATACTCCACTCATCCCTGTGTCTTTCCCTTTGCCATGAGACTCTGCAGTTTTTTGTTTTGTTTTGTTTTTGGAGACAGAGTCTCACTCTGTCCCCCAGGCTGGAGTGCAGTGGTGCAATCTTGGCTCACTACAACCTCCACCTACTGGGTTCAAGCAACTCTCATGCCTCAGCCTCCTGAGTTGCTTGCTCCCGAGAAGCAAGAAATGAAGGCACACACCACCTCACCCGGCTAGTTTTTTGTATTGTTTAAGTAGAGATGAGGTTACAACATGTGGGCCAGGCTGGTCTCAAACTCCTGGCCTCAAGTGATCTGCTTGCCTCAGCCTCCCAAAGTGCTAGGATTACAGGCATGAGCCACCGCACCTGGCCAGACTCTGCAGTTTTTTTCTACCCTTTGACTTCAGACTTCACCATTTGACTTGCTTTGGCCAATAGGACATTCATAGATATGACGTAAGCAATGACTTATGTGATCAGGCTAGTGCTTCTGCCATTGCATGAAAAGAACCTACTCTGGGTAGCCCATGGGTCCAAGGAGGATGAGAGAAATGTGGAAAAGACCTGTCTCCATAGCCACCATTTGGAGCCAAACCCAGATGAGGTCAGCTGATCTCTGGGTGACACTCAGACATATGAGAAGTAAGTGTTTGTTGTTTTAAGCCACAAATTATAGGATGGTTTGTTAAGCAGCAATAACTAACTGACACATATGCCCAATCTTCACTTCCCAAGCTTTCAAAATACGGCCCATCCTCAGTTCATTTCAATAACTGCCGCCTAATATTCAGTTATGTCATTGTCCTCCAAATTTTTATAGCACATTATTATTATTGTTATTTTTAATTTTACTTTAAGTTCTGGGATACATGTTTAGAATGTGCAGGTTTGTTACATAGGCATACATGTGCCATGGTGGTTTGCTGCAACTATCAACCTGTCATCTAGGTTTTAAGCCCCACATGCATTACGTATTTGTCCTAATGCTTTCCCTCCCCTTGCCCCCACCCCGACAGGCCCTAGTGTGTGATGTTCCCCTCCCTGTGTCCCTGTTTTCTCATTGTTCAACTCCCACTTATGAATGAGAACATGCAGTGTTTGATTTTCTGTTCCTGTATAGCACATTATTTTTAAAAAGCAGAGTTCTTATGATATAATTCACACACCACACAATTCACCCATTTAAAGTATACAATTCAGTGGCTTTTAGTATATTCTCAGAGATGTGCATCCATCACCGTGATTGATTATTGACCATTTTCACACCTTCCTCCACTCATTAAAAACCTCACATCTCTTAGCCATCACTCCCAAACCCCACTCCATCCCTAGCAATAGACATCCACAAATTTGTCATTGTGGGTTTGCCTATTGTGGACATTCCATATGAATGGAATCATGCAGTATGTGGCCTTTTGCATCTGGCTTCTTTCACAAGATCTGTTCATGTTGTCCATGTATCAGTACTTCACTTCTTTTTATTGCCAAATAATATTCTGTTATGGATATGCCACATTTTATTTATCTATTCATCAGTTTATGGACATCTGGGTTGTTTTCACTTCTTTGTTATTATGAATAATGCTGATATAAGCATTTATGTACAAGTTGTTTGCATGAATAATACTTCAGTTCTATTGGGTATATATCAAGGGGTGGAATTGCTAAGTCATATGATAACTCTGTTTCGCTTTGTGAGGAACTGCTATACTCTTTCCCACAGTGGTTGCACCATTTTACATTCTCACCAACAGTGTATGGGGGTTCCAGTGTCTCCACATTCTTGCTAACACTTGTTATTATCTAGCCATCCTACTGAGTGTAAATGGTGTCTCCTTGTTTTGATTTGCATTTCCCTAATGACTAATGTTGCTGAGTATCTTTTCATTGGCTTATAGGCCATTATTCATTTCTTCTTTGTAGAAATGTCTATTCAAATCCTTTGCACATTTTTAAATTGTGTTATTCGTTTTTATTTTTGTGGTTTTTTTTTTTTAGACTGAGTAACATTTTCTTCATCACTCATGTGGCATTTAATAGTTACTGTCTGGTGTTGATAGTATTTTTTTTTCATGTGTGGACAACTTATTTTCCCATCTAGACAGGGAACTCTTTGAGCACAGGGACTGTCTCATATCTATTGTTTTCCTTACTGCAGCTGGTGATAAAAATATCACCACTCCCCAGAGCTACCACTTATTGAACCCTTGATATATTCTAGGTACAGTGCCAAACACCTTACATATATTATCTTCTCATTTGATAATCATAGCAATTCTGTGAGGTTGTTATAATCTCCATTCTACAGATTAGGCAATTGAGTCAGGCAGAGGTTGAGACATCTGCTCAAGGTCACATAGCAAGTGGCATAGAGGGGACTCAAAAGCAGGTAAGTCCGACTCCTAACTTGCTTTTTTTGTTTTATTTATTTTTGTTTTTGTTTTTGTTTTTTTTGAGACAGAGTCTCGCTCTGTTGCCCAGGCCGGAGTGCAGTGGCGCCATCTCGGCTCACTGCAAGCTCCGCCTCCTGGGTTCACGCCATTCTGTTGCCTCAGCTTCCCCAGTAGCTGGGACTACAGGCGCCCGCCACCACACCTGGCCAATTTTTTTGTATTTTTAGTAGAGACAGGGTTTCACTGTGTTACTCAGGATGGTCTTGATCTCCTGACCTCGTGATCCGCCCTTCTCGGCCTCCCAAAGTGCTGGGATTACAGGTGTGAGCCACCACGCCCGGCCCTAAACTTGATCTTTTAACCACTAAAGCCATTGCTTCATTATGTACTGTATGCTAGTATGATGTGTGTCTCCTATGCATATAGTGGGCTCACAATAAGTACTTTTGATTAATTAGCCTGTAAAATGCAGATAATAAATTCTACCTTTATCTCATAAAGTAAGTCCCACAAAAGTGCTTGGAAAATACCCAATGTTCAATAAATATGACACATTTTTTGGAATATTTGTTTATGGATTGTGCAAATGACTGAAAATGTATGGTGGTAATGCTGACATTCACAAGTTGACTGTCGCATAATGCTATCATCAAGTGTCATAATGGAAAAGTTCCAGCCTTTCCTAAGGACTACATTTTCTCTGAGACACTAAAATCTGGAGTTGAAGAATTCTCCAGAGGCTAACCTCCATGTAGACCTTTCATGCCACCTTGCTGAAAAGATATTCGTCTACAATTCTCAGCGGCTTTCTTCCCCACTCCTGAAGCTTCTATCGACAACATCCCTCTCATCTCTTTCTCTCCCTTTCTGTGGATGCAGCTCGGCCTACCCGACATCTAACCATGCTAATAGCCTCTCAGTTGCTATGGGGGTTCTTTGGAATAAGTCAAGCTGTTGGAAGCTTTGTCTGGGCAAAGTGTGTAGCTGACATCTAAAGGAACTATTCCCTGAGGTCGGGCACTCATCCCAACAGAAAAGGAAGAGCTGCCAAACCTGGAGGCAGTGCGCAGTGTCGTGTTTTCAAAGCTTGCTGAATTTCGAATAGCAAATCTGACCATGCATACAAAGAAAGGTGATTTAATATTCTGACTACTTCTTCCCTCCCCTAATACCATCTGCAGCAGAGACACAGTAGCCCTCCTCCTTTTTATTAAAACCAAGACTATTGTCTCACTAAAGTAAAAGATCCTCATGTCTGGTCCCAGAATTCTGTGTGTTCCCTACCCAAGGCAAGAATGGACCCAAGGTGCAGACCACTTAGCAAGCACGTTTATATTCAGGGAAGTGTGCAGAGACAGAAGAAGGCTGCAAGTGAATCTGCTAGGGGTAGATAAGAGCTGCAGGTCACCAGCACCACATGTGACCTGCTTGTGATATAAGCCACGTGCTTTATGCTGTAATTCTTGTTTTACAAGGCAATAAAGCAGGGGATGCGGGGCGGGGGTGGGGGGACAAAAAGTGCTTTTCAGTGAGAGTGTATTTTGGTCACGTCGTCCGCCCTTTTCTTTTCTCTTCATAAATCCGGCATGACTGGTTTAGTCAATTGGAAGTTTTGTGTATTGTTTGGCTTATGTATGCACAGTGCCTAGGCTCTGTCTCATTATGCTGATGTTAGCACAAATTACTGCATGTGAGGCTCCGTCACCTAGAGAGGGACACAGGAAAGGCAACATGTCACAGAAAAAAGAAAATTAAGTTAGGTGTTTACCCTTGCTCTCCACCTCACTAAAATAGTATAAACTTTGATGACTGATTGTCTTAACATCACATTTAGTGTTTTTAAAAGATGTTTTCTGTGTTTAACAGCACAGTCTCTTGAGTCAGAAAATTTTAAGTTCATATCCCAGCTTTGCCACTTGCTAGCTGTTTGGCCTTGGGTGATTATTTAGCCTCTCTAGGCTCTGCTTTCCTTATCTGTAAAATGGTAGTTTGATTCCTAAAACGATGCTATTAACTGCTAACCATATTGCTTCATTATGCCCTATGCAAGAGGATACTGGAGTTTTTGGTTAAGATTAAATCAGATACTGCATGAAAAACATTTGATACAGTGCTTGGCACATAGTATTTTGTAAATGCTTTCATTGCTTTTTCTGGGGTTACCAATACCTGGAGAAAGTATATGGACTGTGCCGAATAAGAGTAGGCGAAGGCATTCTGAATGGAGGGAGAAATTTGGGGAGAGGTGGGGAGCAGTGTAGTCTCATGGTAAATACCATGAACATTGACAGCTTCACCTATTACCAGCTCTGTGACCTTGGGCTAGTCACAACCTCAGTATTGAGCCTCAGTTTCCTCATAAGTAAAATGGAGCTAATAATAACACGGTTGTCATGAGGATTAAATGACATATAAAACACTGAGCACGGGCTGGGCACAGTGGCTCGCGCCTGTAATCCTAGCACTCTGGAAGGCCAAGGTGAGTAGATCACCTGAGGTCAGGAGTTTGAGAACAGGCTGGCCAACATGGTGAAACCCCGTCTCTACTAAAAATACAAAAAATTAGCTGGGTGTGGTGACGGGTGCTTGTAATCCCAGCTACTCGGGAGGCTGAGGCAGGAGAATCACTTGAACCTGGGAGGCAGAGGTTGCAGTGAGCTGAGATCATGCCATTGCACTCCAGCCTGGGCAACAAGAGTGAAACTCTGTCTTGAAAAAATAATAAATAAATAAATTAATTAATTAATTAATAAAACACTGAGCACAGTGTTTGACAGAGGAAATGCTTAATAAATATGAACTGCTGTTATTTAAAATTATTTTTCCCTTTGTAGTTTGACACCCCAAGTTAGGAGCACAACAGCTAGGTGGATGCCAAGATATTGAGTTGTAGAGCATGCATAAGGCCGCTGCCGAGTTCAAAGAGCCTGGAGAGGAAGAGGCCAAACTGTAAGATTCATCTGCCCCAAGCTCATCAGGGCCCACATTCAGCATGTTGTCTAGGACATCAAAATAACTTTTGATGGGTCCTGGACCCATGACCCATGCATGCCATTTTGGACAGCATTTCGCAGGTCTGAGCCTATTTATAAACACTGTTTATTCATGAATTTTAGCCACTTGGAAAGCCTCCTGAATCACATGGGACCAAACCCAAGGCCTTTGTAGCAAGGGGCAGAAACTTAGCCATTTTTCTTGATCTACCAAGCCAGACTTTTTGCAAAGAGTTTTGAATATTTTGGAGAATCCGATGAAGGCCAGGGCCTCTTTCCCAAAAGAATGCACATAAGCCCTAACCCCCTACTTCCCTACACAATTTAGTACACAGTTTTGGAGTTTTGGAGAGTTCAAAGTCTTCATAAAGTCTGCTATGGATCCCATAGGGGTTCATGGACCTCAGGATAAGAATCCCTGGATTAGTGGAGGAGGACCTTTTTAAAAATTATAATTATGGGATTTTGGCCATACAGCCCATCACTCCTGGCTTCAGGGCAGATGAACAGTAAATTCATAGACTGAAATATTTCAATTTAAGTATGGTTTGCTTTTTTCTTTTCCAGAAAGAAATACATGAGGATTCACCAAAGAAGTTTGGTTTCAAGAGTCAAAATAAAAAGGCTAGTTTACACAAAGTGGGTTGTGGGATGCTTGTCTAAATTCTTTGATTTGGTCTTATCTGTGGCATCCTGGCATGAAACTGCCCAAGGGAGACTTAATCAAATCCTGGGAGATTGGCTTATAGAAATATATGTTTTTAATACTTACCTGATATACAGGGATGAAAATTCTAGTTAACAATCCCTCTCTAAACATACACACCTTCTTCTTCACTAAAGAAAATAAAAGTCCTAATATGAAGTGTTGCAGATGTTCTGACAGCTCTAGTATTTTGGCACATAAATGGATCTGTGAAAAGCATATTTCTTTTTTGTTATTAAATCAGAATTTCAATGTGTCCTACTTGCTACTGCTGAATGGTGCATTTGCCATACAGATGTTGATGCATAATCAATGAACTTTTTTAAAATGCCAGTGTTCCCCATAGCAGAATCATCATTCATTGAGTAGGGAGGGAGGCAGAGCTGAGCCAAGAGAAACTGATTCTTTCTTGAAGAATCATGCTGATTCTCTGGGGTCCACTGTACACTGGTCTTCAGAGTTTGAGAAAACTTGTGTCAGGGGTCCCCTATATAAAAGATCAACAGAACATGGACCATAACTAAAAGATGTTTTACTGGTCTCATGTTTTGCTAGCCTCTGTGTGTTTCGTCACATGATCAGCTTGTAAAGTCCTTAAAATGAACTAATAAAACATTTAAGTGTAGGTAGTTATGTAGAGCCCCCAAAAGGAGGGAAGCTGAGGAGGTTATGGCCCCTTCCATAACCACAATTATGGGAGAGGAGAGGAGATAGCAACTATGGAGAGGAGATGAGACAAAGCTGAGGTTTTGTAGCCTACAGCAAAGAAAGGAGCATGGAGAATGGCCTGGAATTGAGAAGGGACCCTTATAGTCTTTCATTCAGCCTGGAGATAAACATCATACATGAAATTGTCCAAGAGAGAAGGAACCCACCAGAATTCTGTGTGGATTTTCTTCTCAGATCCCAAATACTCCCAAAGGCTGCAAATAGAAACAAAGGTGATTTGATAGATGAGACAGCTTAAAAATTTTCTGACTACAAAACACCCATTGCTGGATAGAATATTTCATTTTCAAATGCATAGTTGAGTATACAATTAAGAAAGAGAAATTCCCAAAAGTCAGAGTCCCCCCAAAAGACTGAGAGCTGAGTGGAAAGCACATGGGTTAAATGTGAGGCTTTTCTGGCATGGGAGAATGTTAGTTTCAGTAATCCAAGGGCCTGAGTTTTATAGAAGTTTATGTAAGTATAGGAGATTAATCCATTGACTTACATGAGATGATGTAGATGCTGGCATGGATGCAGTGAACAGAGAACACTTCTACACTGCTGGTGGGAATGTAAGCTAGTACAGCCGTTATAGAAAACAGTGTGGAGATTCCTTAAAGAACTAAAAGTAGAACTACCATTTGATCCAGTGGTCCTACTACTGGGTATCTACCCAGAGGAAAAGAAGTCATTATTCAAAAAAGATACTTGCATATGCATGTTTATAGCAGCACAATTCACAATTGCAAAATCGTGCAACCAACCCAAATGCCCACCAAAATGGGTGCATCAAAATCTCACAAATCACCACTAGAGAACTTACTCATGTAACCAAATACCACCCGCACCCCAATAATTTATGGGAAAAAATAACAAACTAAAACAAAAACAGAATTGAGGCCCCCGCATTAAACTAGAGCCCTCAAAAGGATATACCCTTGTAGCTCCTTGGAGAAATGGCCGAGTACAGGTCTGGGGCAAGGGAATAAATATTGTGTTAATATTTATTCCCTCTTTGGAATATTTTATTGTGTTAAGAAGAGATTATGTGCACAAAGACTAGGGGAATATAGCAAAAGAACATAAGAACTGACTCAAATGGGCTCCCATTGGTCAATCTGAGGCCAAGTTTAGCATTATTTACAAAGAGGAAAAGATATTGTTACAATGCAGAGGTCTGGAGGACTACCTTAACCAAGTGGTCAAATTATCATCATCGACAATGGAACAAACATATATGTGTCTTTAGATGTGAAATAATGGGAAAAACACAAAGACTTCAAACCCGCTAATATAAATATGTTCAAAGAACAAAAGTAAATCATGTTTAAAGAAGTAAGGTACAACGGCAATTTCTCATCAAAGAGATCTGGGGCTGTTGGGAGTGCGATCCCAGGAGTGCTCTTCTTAGCTGTCTGTTTCCTGGATTCTCTCTGTCAATCTTGTGACTGATCTGCCTTCTTGCTCACTGCTACATTTGACCCCTGAACAACACAAGTTTGAATTGCACAAGTCTACTTATACACAGAATTTTTTCAACAAGTATATTGGAAAGTTTTTGGAGATTGGTGACAATTTGGAAAACTTGTAGATGAACTGCATAGCCTAGAAATATTGAGAAAATTAAGACAAAGTTAGGTATGTAATGAATATACAAAAGATATGTAAATATGGTTTATGTGTCAATCGACTATTTTTGTTTTCAGGAAGACTTCCAGTCAACAATAGGCTACTAGTAGTTAAGGTTTTGGGGAGTCAAAAGTTGTAGATGTATTTTTGACTGTGCAGGAGTTGGTGCCTATAATCCCTGCATGGTTCAAGGGTCAGCTGTATTAGTCTCATGAAGCTACCAGCATTTTTTTTTTTTTTTTGAGACGGAGTCTCGCTCTGTCACCCAGGCTGGAGTGCAGTGGTGTGATTTCAGCTCACCGCAACCTCCGCCTCCTGGGTTCAAGCAATTCTCCTGTCTCAGCCTCCCGGGTAGCTGGGACTATAGGTGCGCACCACCACACTAGGATAATTTTTGTATTTTTAGTAGAGGTTTCACTATGTTGGCCAGGCTGGTCTCGAAAACCTGACCTCAGGTGATTTGCCCGCCTCAGCCTCCCAAAGTGCTTCTGCCAGCCTTTCTTAATTGCTTGCCACCAAGATCTCCTTTTTTTTTCCTTTGGCACTATTTCTGGTTTCTTTTTTTCCTTTTTAGTTGACACATAATACTTGTACATATTTATAAGATACAGAGTGATATTTTGATACATGTATATAACGTATAACTGTAACCACCCAATGGGTTCACTTTGCCAGCTGCCTAGACAGAGCCAATTTATCAAGACAGGGGAATTGTAATGGAGGGAGAGTAATTCACGCAGAGCTGGCTGTGCAGAAGATGGGAGTTTTATTATTACTCAAATTAGTCTCCCTGAGCATTTGGGGATCAGAGTTTTTAAACATAATTTGGCGGGTAGAGGCTTGGGAAGTGGGGAGTGCTGATTGGTCAGGTTGGAGATGGAATCATAGGGGGGTAAAGTGAGTTTTTCTTGCTGTTTTCTGTTCCTGGGTGGGATGGCAGACCTGGTTGAGCCAGAATACGGGTCTAGGTGGTGTTAGCTGTTCCATCCAGTGCAAGGTCTGCAAAATATCTCAAGCACTGATCCTAGGTTTTACAATAGTGATATTATCCTCAGGAGCAATTTGGGGAGGTTCAGACTCTTGGAGCCAGAGGCTGCATGATCCCTAAACTGTAATTTCTAATCTTGTAGCTAATTTGTTAGTCCTGTAAAGGCAGACTGTTCCCCAGGAAAGAAGGGGGTCTTTTCAGGAAAGAGCTGTTATCAATTTTGTTTCAGAGTGAAATTATGTACTGAATTCCTTCCCAAAGTTGGTTCGGAATGAACAAGGACAACTTAAAGGCTAGAAGCAAGATGCAGTCAGTTAGGTCTGATTTCCTTCACTGTCATAATTTCCTCAGTTATAATTTTGCAAAGCCAGTTTTATGATGATCAAATCAGGGTAATTTTCACATCTGTCACCTCAAACATTTATCTTTTCTTTGCTGTGAACATTGAAAATCCATTGTTTTTGGCAAGGCCTTAGGCATGATCTTCCCATGTTCTCTTTTAAATAAAGTCCATCATTTCAGGCAGAGCTGTGGAGCTCTCCATCCTTATGGCCTGACTCTCCTCCTGGGCAGTACTTCTGCACCACTGTATTGGAGCTGAGGTCAGGGGCAGTGGATTGCTTCTTCTGGAGTGGCACTCCTGCTTTACCAGTGGGCACTGGGGATGGTGGTAGACCCTGGTTTTCTCAGCTTGCCTATCCCATATTAGAACCTCTATCCTCTGAATGAGCTGGGGTGGAGCCAATTGGGTACCACTCCTCTAGGCCTATCATCCCTCAGGGAGAGCCCTTGCACTACCAGTGGGAGCTGAATGGGGAAAGGGAAGTTCCTGTCCTCTCAGACTTGCTTACCAGGGATAGAACTTTTGTAATATAGGGCTGGGGAAGATGAGGGACACCAGCAGCCTGCTCCTCTCAGGTTAAAACTGTAGCCCTGGACTAGTTGTGGGGAAGGGGAACACCTGTCTTCACATCTACATGTGCCAGAGTTGAGATTTCATCGCACAGATCTTGTTGGGTGGAGCGTGGGAGCAGGTAGTAGCTCAAATACCACAAACTCTCACTGTACTGGTTAAGATTTAGTAGATTTTCTTGGATAAATGTTTCTTCATTTGCTGTATGTTCTTGGGGCAATTTCCAGAAATTCTACATGGTTTATAAAAATAATTTTCAGCACTTAAATTGTTGTTTTACTGCAGAAACACTTCGTTGAACTCCTCACACCACCATTCCAGAAGTCCTGCCTGTCCATGGGCCATTTCTTATATATAAGGAAGAATGATTCAGTGGATACAACCAAGAACTCAGAGGGTGGAGCCAAGAGCTAAGAAGAATCATTCCCAGAGATCAGGACTGGGCCGTGATGAAAGAACTAGTGATGGATTTCAGAATTGCTATGGAATGCTATGTGTTTCCTTGTTCCCCTCCTTTGTGAACTGAAGTGTCTACTGTGATTATTAAGTTTCTAACTCACCATTGTATGTTGGGTATGTGGGGGCATATAATTTGTTTCTTTATTTCATAGGTCCTGAGATCTAGAGGCTCTGTACTCAAGGAGCTTCACTTGAGGAGCCTCATCTCCACCTAGACCTGATTTAGCTGATGAAATCCTGGTCCTCAGATCTAATCCTGATGTTAAAATAGGCTGAGACTTCTGGGGGCCTTGGGGGAAGGTGAATGTCTTTTGCATGTGTGAGAAATGTAAATAATTTATGGCTAGAGAGGAGAGTGTGGTAGACTTAAAATGGCTGCAAATTCCTTGTGGCTCCTCCCATTGAATCTGGACTGGCTTTAGTCACTGCTTGACTAACAGAATACAGTATATGTGATGTTGTAGAATTTTAGTCACAAGATCACAAAAAACCTTGATCTTCTGCCAGGGACTTTTTGAATGCACCTGCCATGCTGTGAGGAAGTCCAGGTAACCACATGGAGAACCACACAGAGACAGAATTTGAGATCCCCAGCTGGCAGCCCTAGTGGAGCTCCTAGCTGACACCCAACACCAATTTGCCAGTAATGAAGATAATTCATTCTGGAAGTGGATACTCAGTTCCAGTGGAGGCATCGGGTGACGCTGTGTAGCGCAGAAATGAGCCATCCCCACCCAAATTGCAGACTTATGAGTAAAAATAAATTACTGTTTTGAGCTACTGTTTTAGAGTGGTTTGTTATGCAGCATAAATAACCATAACGTTCCTTAACCTAGCAACTCCACATCTATATGTCTACCTTAAATAAACTCTTGTGAATAAAAAATATGAATGAGGATGTTTATGTGGCACTTTATATAAAAGTAACGAAGTTGTAACAATGTGCTATCCCTCAGTTGGGGAATGGATAAATAGACTGTGGCTTATTCATACAGTAGTTAAAATAAATGAGCTAGCTCCATCTGTATCAATATATATAATCTAAAAATATTGTTAAATGATAGCAATTTGTAAGGTACATGCAGTAGATTCCATTTACATACATTCAAAAATATACAAAATGATGTATGCATTATTTATGGCCATACATTTTTATGGTAAATGTATAAAACCAAAGAGCTGATTAATAAACATCAAATTCAGGAACATGGTTCTCTCTGGGGAGGAGAGAAGGAGGGAGAAAGGATAAAAGTGGGGCTTTGGCTGTAGTAGTAATGTTTCACCTCTTTTGTTCTTTCTTTTTATAGAGCTCTGTAAGACAAAGTGTTTACATCTGTTTTATCTTAGTGGTAGGCACAAAGGTGTCTGCTATATTATTTTCTGTAATTTGTATGCTTAGATTAGTCATATTTTAAATTTTTTAAAATTCTTAAAATATTTTAAAAATTTTTAAATATTTTAAAATATTTTAAAAATTTTTAAATATTTTAAAATTTTTAATTTTAATTTTTGCACTCATTAATCACTACAATATACAGCGTGTCGTCAAATAACATCCCTTCTTTATAACACTGATGAAAAAATCTAATTCTGGCTGGGGCCACTGTGTGTGTGGAGTTTGCATGTTCTCCCAGAGTCTGTGTGGGTTTTCTCCATGTCCTCCTGTCTCCTCCCACAGCCCAAAGCTGTGCACGTTAGGTTCATTGGTGTGTCTGTATGATCCCAGTGTGAATGAGTGTGGCTGTGTGTGTGTATGCCCTGTGATGGGTTGGCATCCTGTCCAGGGCTGGTTCCTACCTGGCGTCCTGAGCTGCTGGGAGAGGCTCCAGTCACCACAACCCTGAACTGGAATAAACCGGTAAATAATTCTCTTACTTATTAATATTTCTTAAATGTATGTATAGCTCACATTTATTTCCATGTTTACTATTAGATGTGTTTTGGGTCTTTATTTAGAAGTTTGGTGATTTTTTTGACCACAAATATGCCATAACTCTTGTTTATATCAATTAACTTGTAGGAAACCATTGAGGACTTTGAGTTCTTACTGTACTACCTCAATTTTTTTGGTCATAATCAACAGTAAATATTTTATTTTATTTTATTTTATTTTATTTTATTATTTTATTTTTGAGATGGAGTCTCACTCTGTCACCCAGGCTGGAGTGCAGTGGCATGATCTCAGCTCACTGCAACCTCTGCCTCCCAGGTTCAAGAGATTCTCCTGCCTCAGCTTCCCAAGTAGCTGGGATTACAGGCACACACCACTATGCCTGGCTAATTTTTGTATTTTTAGTAGAGATGAGGTTTCACCCTGTTGGCCAGCTGGTCTCGAACTCCTGATCTCAGGTGATCCATCCACCTCAGCCTCCCAAAGTGCTGGGATTACAGGTGTGAGCCACCACACCTGGCCAACAGTAAAGATTTTAAAATCAACGTTACTAAAATATTATTTTAGTAACGTTATTTTTTTGTCTAGGTTAGCTTTTTGTCTGGCTTCTTTTGTTCAGCATTAAGCTTTTGGAATTCATATATGCTAATAAGTATATCAGTAGTATGTCCCTTTGTATTGCTGAATAGTATTTCATCGTATGGATACAACTCGATTTTTAAATTTACCTCCTGTTGGACATACAGGTTGTTTCCTGTTTTGGCCATTATAAATAAAGCTACTATGAACATTCATGTACAAGTCTTTTTGTGGACATAGGTTTCCATTTCTTTTGAGTAAATAGCCAGGAGTGGAATTTCTGAGACATATGGTAAGTGTATGTTTAACTTTGCCAGATGCTACCAAACTGTTTTCCAAAGTGCTTATACTATTTTACATTTCAGCAGCAATGTATGAGAGTTTGAGTTGATCTGCATGCTCACCAACACATGGTATTATCACTCTTTTTAATGGTAGCCATTCGAGTGAGTGAGTAGTGGTATCTCACTGTGGTATAATTTGCATTTTGCTAGTGACTCATAATATTGAGAATCTTTTCACATGTCTATTGGTCATTCCTATGTGTTATTTTATGAAATGTTTGTTTAAATTATTATCCATTTAAAAATATTAAGTAGTTTGCCTTCTTATTATTGAGTTGCAAGAGTTCTTTATGTGTTCTGGATAGAAGTCCTGTGTCAGGTATTTGGGTTGTGAATATCATTTTGAATTAATTTTTGCGTATGGAGTGAGGTAAGGGTGGAGGTTCATTTTATGTGACATGGATAGTCAATTGTTCCAGCACTTAGCTGGACTGTGCCTGGAATCTGCTCTATTTTGGGCTTCCTATTATGTGAAATAAATGTTATTAATTTATGCCAAGAATATCTGCATATATTAATTCCTATGACCACCTCCCAGTTTTTCATCTAACATTTCTGCTCAGAGCAACAGGAGAAGGCATAGGGGAATTACCTAAGTGTGTAAGGCTCTGCAACTACACACACACACACACACACACACACACACACACATACACACACACACGGGGAGTGAGGGAGAGAGAAAGACACACACACCCCGCACAGAGATTGATTTTCTCATTCTTGTTTAGCCAAGTGCAATGACATACGTCATCATCATAGTTCACAGCAACCAGTGACAAAATTAGTTTAAATCAAAAATTAAATCCCAAACACATCTTTCTCACTTCCTTTAGCTCTGGCTCATTTTACCCTGCTGACTCTAGTTCCTTTTCTAATTCTGTAATGTAAGCCTTTATTGTCTCCTGCTGGGTGCACCATAACCACCTTCCTGGCCTTTCCTCTCCTAAATCAATCCTGCCAGACTACTTTTTTTTTTCCAGTGCTGTTTTCCCTAAATTGTTCCTAAGCTCAGACCTCCACAATGTCTTGTTCTGTAACCTCATCAGGTTCAGACTATTCTGCCTGGCTCTCAAGACCCCACTGCTTCTATCTTCCCAATAGGCTGGCATCCTCACTTTTCCATAGACAGCCTGTATTCATTCCTGCCCCTGTGCTTTTCGTTCATGCCATTCTCCTCTACAAAGCCTTCTGTGAACTCTGTAGCCTCATCACCTTTTTAAATTGTGAATTCCTGCTGCATAATCCAGTCAGCCTCTGTCTTTTCTTATATTCACTCTTATTGAATGTGTACATCTTGTCTCCCCAACCGGGATAGTGGCTATGTGAGTGTAAGGATTCTACCTCATATTCTTCTCTCCCCTGCAATGCTGAGCACATAAATGCTTTTCTGGATTATTTTAGTGTTGTTTTTTTTTTTTTTCACTCGCTGATTAGAGTGAATGTCAATTTGAAGTAAAAAGAAATAACACTTTTTACTTTTAGAGTTCCCTTTCCATCTCTGCGGTTGGCTTTGGTAGCTTTGTGCTCCTGGAAGGAGGAAAGATTTCTATGGGAGGAACACTATGGCAACTCCACCCCCAACTTCTTGATTATCTCCACAGGTTTGGAGGCGGATGGGAGGCCAATATTCTCTAATTCCAGGCCAGAAGTGAATGAGGAAGCAAGAGACAGATGGCTGGAGAGGAGTATTCTCTTTCTTAGACATCAGGAAAAGCCAAGCAACTGACCCCTGATTTAACCGTTGTTTGCCCCAGCAAAGACGAGGGCCACTCTCTCCAAAGGAGATGCAGGCACTGCTGTTTCCTAGCTTTAACCAAGGGAAGGGAGAAACTTAATTGGGAAAATATTTTTAGAAATGAGTATTTTAAAATTGCACATAGGAAATACGCAAGGAGAAAAGTATGCAAGAAAATGCACTCTTACTTTCCATTTTCTATCCCATTGCCAATAAAAGAGGCCCTCCCTGCACTCTCACCTTGCACTTGAGCCATGAAGGACAAGATTCTGCAGGTGGCCCCCAGTACCTCCCTATAGAGCTGGGGAGAGAGTGGTGTTAATTCCTCACACGTGGCCCCATGCACATACATACACACACAATCAGTCTCCTTGGCTTTGTCTTTCCTTATCCTTTTTCAAAAAAAATTCCAGTCTGATATCATCAGTGATTTGATGTGTTCTGTCCATGTCTCAGAAGGACTGACCCTTGGGTTTCATCCTTGCTGGCGAGGAATTTTAGCTGTTCAATAGCGTAACAGCTGTGCCTGGGGACCATGAATCACTCATGATTTTCAGTAATCTTTATAACAAACTTCCAATGGCGTTAAATTCAGTTTTTACATGTATGAAGTCTCACTCTGTGAAGAAAAAAAAGGCTGTAAATACAATGCTTTCAAATGAAAGTAGTGATTAGTAATTGACTGTCATCAACTTTGTTTTGCTCTATGGATTACTTCAGCTAGAATTTCTGGTGCTGCAGAAAACTAGTTGAGAAAATAACAACCCTTTATGAGCGATTTCAGGTTTTCTTACCATTTTGCAATCTTCTGCTTTAATTTGTTTTCCATTAGTACATGCTCAAGTGTAGCTTAAAGAAAGAGCACTAAGCTGGAAGTGGGAGACTGAAAGTGTTCCAGCTCTGCCATCGTCTCACTCTGTGACTATGGGCAGGTCATTTTCCTTCTCTGCCTCAGTTTCCTGATCTGTAAAAGGAGGGGATTAAACAGGATAGCCTTGAAGGGTCCCTCCAGCTTTGACGTTTTGCCATTGCAATCAAATATGCCATTTTGATGGATTTTTTTTAAAACAAAAGATGGAATTTGTAACACTGGCATTAGCTGTTTTTTGTTCTTCTTCTTTCTTTTCTCTCAATAATAAGCCTTAGAGGTGGGATTTCAAAATTAGAATTTCCTACAAGCTGCAGCCATAATGATAGAACCATCACAGGAGTACTATTAGAGTTAATATTCTTATCTGTATATATCTAGAGAAGCAAATAACGTTTGAAAATCTTTTCGCTGTTTCTCTCTGGGTTCTTTATTCAAAGGTGTTTATGTAACTAATGTGTCTTAGTGGTAAGAAAAGTGGAAATGCCATGAGTGAAAGAAAATAAAGCCCCCTCATTTTATCTTTGTCCCAGTCTGTCTTTGTGATTGTTTCTCGGCTAACCACCTGTGTTTTACTGCTCAGGGAGCTCAGCATATATCGCTGGCACTCATTCACTGCTAATAGCAGCTGCTAATAGCCTTCCATCTCCTGTCAGGGCTGTCACAGTTGATTTTTTTTTTTTTAACATATCTATGAGTTCCATCAGGTTTAACAGCTGAAAATCCAGCTCATTAAGAAGCGCCCTAAGTATTTCAGAGTGAGCTAGTTTTCCAGCGCCAGGCTTGAGTACAGAATCTGGTGAAAGGGAGTCTAGATATGGATCAAATAAGAACCCGGAGCTTTATGCCCAGAAATTTGGGAGGAGAAAGGGAGTTAAACAGTAAATAGGATACCTTAAGGGATGGGATGTGTGTTTAGTTTGTCAAAAATACCTGATGACCTCATGTACTCCTTCAAAGTCCACGCAGGTACTTTAATATACTGCCATGTGTATAAAAGCAGCTCCAGAACGGTGAGAGGTTTGTTAACATTCATCTCTTCATTCATTTTTGCAGGTAACACTCTGGGCTCTGTTGCTCTTTATGCAGATCGGACAAAGAAAACTCTTAAAATGGTTTCCTGCTATATTTGCCTGCTCTGTTTCAGTCTCTTCTGCAATTCCCTACTCACCTCTCCAAGTTTGTTAATATTGTGGTGCCCCAAGGCTTAGTCCTTGAACTTCATTTCTTCTCTAGCTACACCTATGCCTTTTGTGATTTCATCTAGTATTATGTATTCAAATATCATCGATATGCTAACAACTCTCAAACCTATGTCTCCAGCATGGACCTCTCCTCTAAACTCCAGGATTATATATTTAACTGCCTACTTGCCATTTGCACTTGAATTGGTAGTCGATGTCTCAAACTTAACATGTTAAGAAACTGAAGTATTTCTCAAATCTGTTCATCTTATAGTGTTCCCCATCTCAGGTAGTGGATCCCCCTCCTTCCAATTGCTCAGGCTGAGAACTTTGAAGTTGTTCTTAACTACTCTGTCTCTCTTACACCTCACAACCAATCCATCAGGAAATTCTGTTGGCTCCATGTTAAAAATATATCCTGCATTTGACAACTATTGTCCTCTACTGCTATCGCCCCAAAGCCACGATCATCTCTCCCTTGGATTATTGCAATATCCTCCTCACTGGTGTTCTTGTTTCCTCCTCTGCCCCCTGTAACACTGTATTCTCTTTTTTTCTTTATTTTATTTTTTTATTATTATTTTTGAGACGGAGTCTCACTCTGTCGCCCAGGCTGGAGTGCAATGGCATGATCTCAGCTCACTGCAACTTCTGCCTCCTGCATTCAAGCGATTCTCCTGCCTTAGCCTCCCAAGTATCTGGGACTACAGGGGCCTGCCACCATGCCTGGCTAATTTTTTGTATATTTAGTAGAGATGGGGTTTCGCCATGTTGGACAAGCTGGTCTCAAACTCCTGGCCTCAAACCATCCATCTGCCTCGGCCTCCCAAAGTGCTGGGATTACAGGCATGAGCCACCATGCCCAGCCAACACTGTATTCTCAATGCAGCTTTCACAGTAATGGAATTATTTTAATGGGTAGGCATGTTACTTCTCTGCTCAGAGCCCCACCCCCTGCCCCACAAGTCTCATTTAACTTTGAGTATAAGCCAAAGGTCTTCAGGGTCCATAAGGCCTGATATAATCTGCTTCCTCCCTTCAGTTAACTCTCTGATTTTAGTTTTTAATAATGTCCCCCTCACTCTGCTCCAGCAACCCTGGCCTCCTTTATGTTCCTCAGACACACCAGGCACATTCTTGTCTCAGAGCCTCTGTGTTTGCTCTTCCCAGTGCAGGAATGCCCTTCCCCTGTTACCACGGCTCATTCTCTCATCTTCTTTAGGTCTAGTCCCTGCCTTAGAGTTTACATAGCAATTATCACAATCTACATATATATTAATTCTATGTTAGTATATATAATTATAATTGGTATATATAATTACATATTAGTATATATACTACATAAAATATATAATTATATATACTAATTATAATTATAATATATAAATATATAATTCATATTACTATATAATTATAATTAGTATATATAATTATATATTTTATGTAGTATATATACTAATATGTAATTATATATAATTATAATATATACTAATATATAATTCATATTATTATGTAATATGAATTATATATTAGTATATATTACATATCCTATGTATAATATATAACTATATATTAGTATATTATATATACTATATGTAATGTATAATTATATATTAGTATTATATATACTATATATACTATATAATATATATTAGTATTATATATTACTAATATATATAATATATTACTAATATACATAATTGTATGTTAGTATTATATGTACTATATACTATATAATTATATATAATTTATATAATTAATATATGTTATATATGATATATTTTAATGTATACTATATATGACTTAATATGTTATATATAATATATAATTAATAGATGTTATCTATATATTGCTGTAGTTTGAATGTATGCATCTTTCCAAAATGTGTATGTTGGAAACTAAGACCCAGTGTGATATTATTAAGAGGTGGGAACTTTCAGAGGTGATTACGTCATGAAGGTTCCACATTCATGAATGGAACTAGCTAGGCTAGGCACTTTTGCCCTTCTGCCTTCTGCTTTGTGAGGACACAGCATTTGTCTTCTCTAGAGGATGCAGCAACGACGTGCCATCTTGGAAGTGGAGACCAGACCCTTACCAGATAACAAAACTGCCAGAGCCTTGATCTTGGACTTCTAGCTTCCAGGACTGTGAGAAGTAAATTTCGGTTTTTTGTAGATTACTGGTGTCAGGTATTTTGTTATAGCAGCAAGAATGGACTAAGATATATATACATATACACATATATATACTTGTACATATAAGCATGTGTGTGTGTGTTTATTTATTGTCTTCCTTCACTAGAATGCTTAGTCCATATGACAAGTAGTAGAAAAGTTATTTGTGTGTGTTTTGTTCACTGCTGTATTCCCAGCGGCCAGAGCCAAGGTAGGCACATAGTAGGTGCTCAATTTGTTGAGTGAGTAAATGAATGAAGGCATTATCCAAGACTGGGTGACCATTGTTTGAGACCCAGGCCTCAATGAGACAATATGAAGAGGAAAGGTCATTGGGACTTGTCGTAATGTAGAATTATTACTTGTAGAAATGTATGGTCTCTAGGTGGCCCACCCCACCTAAAGACCATACATTTCCAAGTATCTGCTTGGATCGAATAATGGAATTACAACACTCATGTTTTTGGTAGTCAACTTATAATAAATATAAAAAATATATAAAACTTGTAATAATGGAGGAGCTTGAAGTATAAGCACTCAGTATGAACCTGGTTGGGTGGGTTTATACTAAGCAGGTTTGGAGAGATGAGTTACTGTGACAGTTAATTTTATGTATCAACTTGACTGGGTCACGTGGTGCCTAGACATTTGGTTAAACATTATTTCTGAGTGTGTCTGTGAGGGTGTTTCTGGATGAGATTAGCATTTAAATTAAATTAGTAGACTGAGTAAAGCAGATGGCCCTCCCCAGTGTGAGCGAGCATCATTCAATCCATTGAGGGCCTGAATGGAACAAAAAGGTGGAGGAGAATGCATTATATTAGCTCTCTGTCTCTGCCTGACTGCTTGAGATGGGATACTGGTCTTCTTTTGCCCTCAGACCAGAACTTACACCACTGGTTCTCTTGGTTCTCAGACCTTCAGACTTGGACTGGAACTATACCACAGGCTTTCCTAGGTCTCCATCTAATCAACTGCAGATCATGAGACTTCTCAACCTCCATAATCATGTGAACAAATTCCTTATTTTTAAAACATGTGTATCATCTCCTATTGATTCTGCTTCTCTGGAGAACTCTAATACACTTTATATTTATTCTTATAATGGATGTGTAGTCCCCCATACTCCCCACCTTCATCAATACTCTTTCATAACCAATGGAAGAAGTTATGGAAGAAATTACCAAGTGTGGGAGGCTAGGCCTGCAATTCTTGGTAGTTTTAAAAAAAATTATACATTTTCACTCCTGTTTACCTGAGAATAATGACACAGCAAACAGTGGCAAACAGCTTAAATTTATATTATCTAATATTTCTTCTTTCTTTCAGCTCTGCTGCACTGTCTATTGGTAATCACATTCTTATCTTTGAAATGTTCTCTTACCCTTTTCTTTTTGGACACTAAGTTGTACTGGATAAATATAACTATGTTATACTTCTGAGACCCCTTTTCCATTTACTTTTTTTTTTTTTTTGTAGACTGTCTCTCAAATCTCTCTTTTCCTCCTTAGTCCTATTTCCATTACTCTGGTCCAAGCCCTGATCATCTTATGCCTGGCAAACTTTAATAGCCTTCTGTTTGACTCCCTGGCTTCCAGCTGTTTTTCTCCATGCTGCTTCTTGGCATTCTAATTATCCGGCATTTTGGCAGATGTCTTAGTCTGTTCGGGCTGCTATAATGAAATACCACTGACCGGGCATCTTATAAACAACAGAAATTTATTTCTCACAGGTCTGGAGGCTGGGAAGTCCAAAATCAAGGTGCTGGCAGATTTGGTGTCTGGCGGGGCTCAATTTCTGGTTCATAGATGGTGTCTTCTAGCTGTTGTCCTCACATCAAGAGGGAGCAAGTCAGCTCTCTTGGGCCATTCCTCCTAGATAGCACCTTTTAGCTGTGTCCTTACATGGTAAATGAGGCTAACTAGCTCTTTGTGTTCTTTTTTATAAGGCACTAATCCCAATCGTGAGGGCTTTGATCTCATGATTTAATCTCCCAAAGGCCTCACCTTATAATACCATCACCTTGGGGGTTAGAGTTTCAACATATGCATTTTCAAGGGGACACAAGGATTCAGACCATAGCAGCAAGACTGTGGTTTTAGAATTTGGGGGCTTAAGCAAGCATCAGATACTGCATACGATGGGAGATTGGGAAAGGAGGAAAGAATGCTCATCAGCCTTCAGACTCAACTAGTCTAGAGATCACTACCAGCCCTCAGGTGTGCAGTCTTGTTGAAATATTCTGGGCAGAGGAAGGGGTGGGTGTCTTATACCCAGATTGTGACTTACCTAGGGCTGGGACCAGAAAAAACAAGTACACCAGCATGCAGGCCTCATGGAGACTCCCTATAATTAGAAGGGTCATTGTTTCTAATGCCTGGGCTACAATTTTTATCAAGGTTCTGGACAAGAGAGAAGCCTCTGCTTATTAGCAGAATCTTCATGGAGAATCCTTATACTTTCCCTGTGCTTGCCTTTCTTTGTTGGTGGCATGAGGAGGGATATAGAGAGAGGAGGGTGTGGCAATTATTGTTCTAGTTGACTGGCACTTTCCTTCTCAATTTTCTACCTCTCCTCCCCTACCCCTGCCCAGCCACTTTGGTTTCTCTTGGGCACTGCTCTGCGTCCTAGTCCACTTACATAGTTTTCCCAGGAGCGTCCATTTTGTTACACGACACTAGCCTCATGGCTACCTGGTCTGGACACTTGAATCAAGTTGGTCAATGAGTTCCTTCCTCAGAGTTTCTGTATTTGAGGTCAGAGTATACTTCAGTTCTCTCTCTGTGTGTAGTTGGCTTTGTTAAAATGTGAAGCTCTGGAGTTGTTGGTGATGGCAGCAAGAAGAAAGAATGAAGTTATAATTCAGATAGCAATAGTGACAAGAGACATGCAGAGGCCTGGCTCATTCTGTGGCACCAGTGTAGTTGTTTCTGAGGCCCAGGGAGATTCCTGGCTTTTGATTCCCTAAAGCAGTAATGATGATACTTCATGTTGACATCATGCTTCAAGCACTTTAAATAACTTATTTAAGTCTCATAATAATCCTGTGAGGAAGATAGTATTATCATTTCCATTTTACACATGAAAAAACTGAGGCAGAGGGAGGCTGAGTAGCTTGCTCAAGGTCACAGAGTCAGGACTTGTACCCTTGTAGTTAGATTTCATTCTCTTCACATTATACCTCCAATCTTTGTAGCAATTATCTAAATCACCCTTGCCTAAGCCAGTTCAAGGACCCTGCTACCACCATCCCTAGGCAAGAGACAGGGTCCTAATAGATGGAATTACTTTTTGTATGCCCAACTTTAGAAGTTTAATTCTCTCTGGCTCTTTCTCCTTTGTTGCCTCCTTTCTTCTCCTTTTCACTTGCCCCTTCCTTTCTTCTTTTCTTCATTTCTTCTCCCGAGCTCACGCTCTCCCTTTTTGAAATTTGTCAATCATTCTCCCTATTTTCTTGATTATTCTTAACAACATGCAATGGTATTGTCATTTTCCATATTAAAAACTGCTCTCTTGACTCCATTTCCCCCTTCAGTTTCAGCCCCATTTCTATGCTCCTCTGTACAACCAAATTCTTTAAAAGGGTTATGCATATTCAGCTTGCAATTCTTCTGCTTTTATACTCTCCTAAACTTACTTGTCAGGCGTGTGCCCTCCACCACTCTACTGAAACTGCAAGTTTACAAGTGACCTCCACATTGCTAAATCCAGAGGTCATTTCTCACTTCTTACATTAATTGCCTTTTCAGCAGCATTTGACACCTTCACTCCATCCTTGTTCACTTCCTCACTTGGCTTCTAGGATGCTACACTCTCATGGTCCTTTTCAGTGTCACTTGTTGGTTTTTCTTATATCCCTGGCCTTTTAATCTTGGCGTTCTCCTGGCCTCAGTCCTTGGACCTTGGTCATCTCCTTGGTAATCTCATTTAGTTTCACGACTTTAAATACCGTCTGAAAGCTGATGATTTCCAACTGTATATTTGCAACTTGGACCTCTTTTCTAACCTTCAGATTCCTTTATTCAACTGCCTACTTGGCATTTCCACCTGAAAGAGATTCAGCATCTCAAACTTAACATCTCCAAATCTGATCTTCCTTCTCAAATCTGCTCCTTCTGTAGTCTTCCCCATCTTGGTAAGTTCCACTGGTTTGTGCCAAGAAGCTTCATTCTTCATTCCACTCTTTCTCTTACAGCCTGTATTCAATTCATTCACATGTTCAAAATACATCTAAAATCATACCATTTCTCATAACTTCCAATGCTACCACCGTGGTCCAAAGTCACTTTTATTTCTTTTCTTTTCTTTTTTCTTTTTCTTTTCTTTCTTTTTTTTTTTGAGAAGGAGTCTCGCTCTGTCGCCCAGGCTGGAGTGCGGTGGCGGGATCTCGGCTCACTGCAAGCTCCGCCTCCCGGGTTCGCGCCATTCTCCTGCCTCAGCCTCCCGAGTAGCTGGGACTACAGGCGCCCGCCAACACGCCCGGCTAATTTTTTGGATTTTTTAGTAGAGACGGGGTTTCACCGTGTTAGCCAGGATGGTCTCGATCTCCTGACCTTGTGATCCGCCCACCTCGGCCTCCCAAAGTGCTGGGATTACAGGCGTGAGCCACTGCGCCCGGCCACCTTTATTTCTTAACTAGATTATTGCAATGGCCTCCAACGGGTCTCCCTATTTCCTCCCTTACCGTTTACAGTTTACTTTCCACTCAGCATCCAGAGTGATCCTTTGAAAATGCTAGATATATCATGTCTCTTCTCTGCTCAAAACCCTACGATGGCCCCAGTTTTCACGCAGAATAAACCCTAGAGTCCTTACAGTGGCCTATATGGTCCTATTGGATCTGGGCTCCTGTTACCTTTCTGAATTCATCTTCTCCTATGTTACCGTTTTCCCCCCTATACTCCAAGTGTACTGTACTCCTTGCTGTTTTTGAATACATTAGGTAAGTTCCTGCTTCAAGACCTTAGCATTTGCATTTCCCTCTGCCTAGAACACTTCCCTTCCGGATATATATGTAATCCATTCTCTTACCTTTAAAAAATCTTTGCCCAAATGATGTTTCCTCAGGTGTTCAAATATCACCCTATTTAAAATTCAATATGGCCCACCAATATTCTCTATCCTCTTTCCCATTTTTATCTTTTTCCTTAGCACTTAGTACCTTCTCATATATTATATAATTTATTTACTTTGTTTATTGTTAGTCTACTTGTGCTATGGATTGAATTGTGCCCCCTCCCATTTATATGTTGAAGCCCTAACCCCCAAAGTGATGGTATTTGGAGATGGGGCCTTTGAAAGGTAAATAGGGGGAGATGAGGTCATAAGGATGGGCCCTC
The DNA here is from genome assembly GCF_000001405.40 of Homo sapiens. NCBI lineage: Eukaryota > Metazoa > Chordata > Mammalia > Primates > Hominidae > Homo > Homo sapiens. The sequence continues at coordinate 130,615,707 of NC_000023.11, forward strand.
ATGATGGGATTAGTGCTCTTATAAGAAGAGATATTAGAGAGCTTTCTCTTTCTCTCCCCCAACTTCTCTCTTTCTCTTCAATGTAAGACTGTAAAAAAGTGGCCATCTGCAAACCAGGAAGAGAGCCCTCACCAGGAAACCAAATCAGTCAGCAATTTGATCTTGGACTCTTCAGCCTCCAGAACTGAGAAATAAACTTCTGTTGTTTGAGCTACCTAGTCTATGGCATTTTGTTATGGCTGCCCAAGCTGATGGAAACAGCCCCCTACCCCATCCCTAGAGCATAAGCTCAAGGACAAGAAGCTTTGTCTGATTGCTTACTGTTGTATCATCAATGCCTAGAATAGTTGTCTAGCATGTAGTGGGTGCTCCGTAAATATTTGCTAAGTAAATGCATGGATGAATGAATCAGATATGGTCCTTGCAGAGAGGATGACATGTACATGAGCACACTATGAGGTGGACAGTGGTTAAGTCACATGATGAAGGTACAGATAAAGGGTTCTGAGGGCTCGAAGAAACGGAGAGGTCATTCAGAGATGGAGAGGGAGTGAGGGGAATCCAGGAGGGCTTGATGGAGAAGGTAGCATTTGAGTTAGACCTTGAAGGAAGGGTAGGTTTTAGACTTGTGAATGTATGGGGAGGCACAGGGAGTTCAGTCTGGCTGAAGTAGTGTATTTGAAGAGTAGTAGAAGTGGAAAATACAATTAGAATGAAGTCTGGAGCAAAATCGTAAAAGGCCCTGAATGCCAGGGTAAGGAGATTTGTCTTTAGGTGTGGTATGAAGTGGAGCGGATATGAAGGTTATAGAATTGTCAGTAAAACTTTGAGTCATCAATCAATGATAGTTTCTGATTTAACTTTTGGTTCTTTACTCAATTAATTGTCTCTTACCTAACTCCAAGTTCTTTAGGAGCTTGATGATATGGTTCCTAACCATAATAGACAAGAAGCAAACAAGAAGAAAGAGGAGAGATTGGATATGAAAACAGATATACTTCCAGGGAGAAAGGGAAAATAGCTCGATGGCTTCTTGGCTTGAAGGATGAAGATGGAACCCTCAACTTCAGGCTTAATACCTCTGTGACTGTGCAATCTAATAACTAAAGTTATCAGTGGCAGCATGGATCCATAATGCAGAGGAGAAGTCAGGACAGGTCTGGAACCTTTTAACAACATGGGAAAGGATGTAAAGTATCTCAGAAATGTTTACAATTTTTTTTAATTTAAAATGATTTTTAAAAGATTGGTACTGGAAGGGGAACGTTTCAACTATCTGGTAAGCTCACTTATATTAAATACTATAAACAAGGCATGATTGTAATACTGGTTTTACCAAGTGCTGCATGCACTGCTCTGTGTGTGTGTGTGTGTGTGTGTGTGTGTGTGTGTGTGTGTCTGTGTGTGTGTGTGTGTGAGAGAGAGAGAGAGAGAGAGAGAGAGAAAGACAGAGAGAAGGCTGTATTAAGTGAAAAACACTGAATTCAGCATTCCAGGTTTTTCTCTCCTGAACTGGTTCAAATGGGTAGAATATGTTTCATTAGTGTATTAAAACTCATCCACACCCTTGATTCTTTGAGTTCCTCTTCATACTCCTCAAGAATAATGTCTCAGATTCATCTGTACATCCCCTATTGTCTGGCAGAATGTCTTAAGACAGATTAAGCACTTGAACCACATATGAATTGAAATATTGAATTTCACATCTTGAGGCCCAGCCACATGAAACAGACTGTTTTACTGGTGTGGGCACAAAACTTACTTTCTTAAAAGGGGATAAGATGATGCTTTATGTTTTTCTTTCTTTCTTTCTTTCTTTCTTTCTTTCTTTCTTTCTTTCTTTCTTTCTTTCTTTCTTTCTTTCTTTCTTTCTTTCTTCTTTCTTTTTTTAACTCTGCTTGGAATTTCTTGCCTTTTTATGATACCAACCACCCATTGGGCAGATGTCTTCAGGGACGTCAACAACGCCTAGTTCCTTTCCTGTGCTAGAACTGATGGTTTGGAGCCTAACATCTCGTAAGCAGTGTTTGGCTCATTTTTTCCTAAATGCAGTACTTTATACTTGCTCATATTGAAGCTCATCTGTCACTCCTTCACATGGAAATGCAAACTTGAAGGCATATCCTGTCATTTATGCATTGACTTAGAATTTCAAAATGTGCAAAGAATTAGTATGCCAATCATTTATAAATCTTATTGTTTAAAATATATTTTATTATAATAAGTGATTCTATAGAGCTTACCATGTGATGGGCATTATTCTAAGTAATTTATAAATATTAACGCTTTTAATGAAGTTACTCCTGGTACCACTTTGGGAACTCTCACTTTACCTTTCATCAGTCTTCCTGCTATTGGTGCTTCTTTACATAGAGACTTCAGGTAGAATTTAGTGTGTGAATTTGGATGGAAAAGTTAAATTCATATTTTTACTAACCTCTAACTGAAAATTGGCATTTTCTTTCCTTATAAATGTAGGCTACAATCTACAGAGATGTTAGCAGTACCTGTGCCTTTTTCATCAGCATCACAGATATTATCATATCACATGATATTGCGGATTTCTTGAGCTGTTTATGCTCATCACTACTTCGGAACTGAAGTGGTTATTAGGCTTGTTGCTGTTTCATATTGCTATTTCAGGTGTTAAAGGAGCATATATGTTACTATATCACAAACATGTTTTAAAAATATTTTGAGAAGTATACTATTTCAATATCCAGATGGTCCCCAACTTACAATGGTTTGACTTACATTTTTCAACTTTATAATGGTGTGAATGCAATGTATGTTCAGTAAAAATTGTATTTTGAGTACTCATACAGGTTTCTGTTTGGTGCTGTTTTTCTGTTTCAGTACAGAAACAGATTCCATTTTTCACTTTTCAGTATGGTATTCAACACATTACATGAGATATTCGACACTTTATTATAAAATAGGCTTTGTGTTAATTTTTTGCCCAAATGTAGGCTAAAGTGTTCTGAGCATGTTTAAGGTAGGCTAGGCTAAGCTATGATGTTTGGCAGGTTAGGTGTATTAAATGCATTTTTGACTTATGACATTTTCAACTTACGATAGTTTTATTGGGATGTAACCACATAGTAAGTCAAGGAGCATTTGTAGTTGGTTTCCTTTGTATTTTATTTTATTCATTTAAAAAATGTTATTCTGATAAGGAGTTCATGTGCTTCACCAGACTTACAAAGGGGTTCATGGCACCAAAAAATATTCAGAACCCCTACTTTATATTCCCTCAGCTATAACAGGCAGAGGCTGGAGCTGAAGTGGGGTAGAGATAGGGAGAACTCAGGAATCTTACATTCTCATCCCAGCTCCATCATCCACTTAGCTGTGCGACCTAGGGTATAGCTCTTCATCTTTTGAGACTTGTTTTCCTTAGCTGCAATAATGGTGAGGAAGTCATCTGCCCCTGCTAGTTCACAATGTGTTGTGAAGATCAAATGACATAATGCTTGTGCACGGAGTTGCTTTGAAAACAGCTTAAAGCATCATATAAGGTATTTATTGAGGAATAGTAACAAGTTAAGGTTTCAGAGGTCCGATGCCACAGAGGACTATTCATATTCAAACAGACTTGGAGTGAATGCAGTTCGGTAGAACACCCTTTAATGTGTCTTGTATACCATTTCCACCCAAGATCTGATGTCATCTCCATAGGGCTCTATAGCCTTGAATGTGCATACCTGTTTGTATAATCAATTCTTTTCTTTCCTTCTGTTGCCCCAATAATTAATTGCTTTAGTATGCCTTTGAGGTCATCCTCCCAGATAGAAAACTTAAGCAAGCTTAGAACTTCAAAGCTTACTGTCAAACTGAAAAACTGGGTTGATGTTATGAATCTTGGGAAATGGTAGAGGAGATAGGACCTCCTTGGCCTTCTTGTTAATGGGATGTGGTCTATCTTGTAATGGGAGTGGGTAGAATTGGAAGGATACTTAGACTGTATCAGAAGACAGTAGAAGGAAGTTTCCCCACTGTGTTTGGCTTGGGCCAAGCACTACCTAACTCTAATGGAGCATTGTTCAGTAAAATCTCCTGAATTTCTCTGAGCCAGCAGGTCTCCTTCTTTTAAGTTATTGTGTGGCCCATTACTATGAAGGTAGCTCTGGTTTCATTAAAGCATTGTTGATATGACTATTGGTTGGATAATGATTATAGCTATTTATTGAGCACTTACTTTGCCAGGCATAGTACTGGGCACTTTACATTGATCAACACCTCATAAATGAAACTTCAAGGGAAATATACGATTTTCACTTTAAAGATTTAAAAAAGGCTCAGAGAAGTGACAGTGTTATAAAGTGACTTGGGGCACCATGACTGTGTCATTTAGCAGGCTCCCCTACCAGAATATAAGCTCTTGGGGGAAGGGGACATGTTGTGTTCACCTTTGAATTTCCAGGACTAAGACTTGCACATATCAGGTGCTCTATAATGGCACATGAATGAACAATATGGGGTTTATAATAATATTACCAATTAGGTTGATATGAAGATTAAATAAAATATTGGAGCAGTGGAAAGTTTTAAGCTTGTGATTGGAGAGACCAAGATTCAAATTTCATTTCTGCCTCTTAAAAACTTAAGCAAGTGGCCGGGCACGGTGGCTCACGCCTGTAATCCCAGCACTTTGGGAGGCCGAGGTAGGCGGATCACGAGGTCAGGAGATCGAGACCATCCTGGCTAACATGGTGAAACCCTGTCTCTACTAAAAATACAAAAAAAAAAAAAAAATTAGCTGGGCATGGTGGTGGGTGCCTGTAGTCTCAGCTACTCAGGAGACTGAGGCTGGAGAATGGCGTGAACCCAGGAGGCGGAGCTTGCAGTGAGCTGAGATCACGCCACTGCACTACAGCCGGGGTGACAGCAAGACTCCGTCTCAAAAAAAAAAAAAAAATTAAGCAAGTTACTTCACATCTCCAAGTCTCAGCTGAAATGGAGGCTAATACATTTACTTTTCGCATTGTAGTAAACATTAAATATATATATGTGTGTATATACATATACGTGTGTGTATATATATGTATATACATGCATGCATATATCCTGGTAAGTAGGAATCACTAAATAATGTTAGCTTTTATCATTATTAGTGCATATGAATGTAGTTTATTTTTATTTTTTATTTTTTTGAGACAGAGTCTCACTCTGTCACCCAGGCTGGAGTGCAGTGGCATGATCTTGGCTGACTGCAACCTCCGCCTTCCAAGTTCATGCGATTCTCCTGCCTCAGCCTCCCGTGTAGCCAGGATTACAGGTGTGCACCACCATGCCCGGCTACTTTTTATATTTTTTTAGTAGAGACAGGGTTTCACCATGTTGGCCAGGCTGGTCTCTAACTCTTGTCCTCAGGAGATCTGCCCACCTTGGCCTCCCAAAGTGCTGGGATTACAGGCGTGAACCACTGCGCCCAGCCTGAATGTAGTTTAAAATGCTACACAAATACTAATGTAACAAACCTTTACTAAACACCTACAGCGTACCAGGTTCTGGGGATATGGCAGTAAACAAGAAAAACGAGAACCATACTCTCATGCAACTTATACTCTGGAGGTAGGGTGGGGGCATAGATAGTAATAGCTCAGGTGTCAAGAGCACGAGGTCATTACCACCTTATCCACACAATTCATGGGTAGTCAGCACTGAATATTTTCACAATTAGCTTTTATGGCTTTGGCTAAAGGGTGAAAGACTTAAGTTCAGTGTGTCGCAGCTACCCTTCTAGCTTTTTGAAGGCAGGGGACAGCCATACTCCTTTTGTGTCCCATTGTGCCTGATAGTGTTTGGGACAGAGTAAATGTTTAGAATATGTATAAACAGCTGAATTTCGTCTCTTGAAGTCCAGCAACATGATGTGGTCCCACAATTCTATGTATGAATACAAAAACTTTTTTTTTTTTTTTTTTTTGCAGACAGACTCTCACTCACTCTGTCGCCCAGATTGGAGTGTAGTGGAGTGATCTCGGCTTACTGCAACCTCTGCCTCAAGCGATTCTCCTGCCTCAGCCTCCCAAGTAGCTTGGATTACAGGTGCCTGCCACCACGCCTGACTAATTTTTGTATTTTTAGTAGAGACGGGGCGGGGGGGGCGGGTCTCACTATGTTGGCCAGGCTGGTCTCGAACTCCTGACCTCAAGTGATCTGCCTGCCTCGGCCTCCCAAAGCGCTGGGATCACAGGCGTGAACCACTGCTCCTGGCCCACAGAAACATTTTTTAAAATGTGAGTAAGGTCATGAACTTTGGTTGAATCACAATCATACCTCTTATTGAGAACTCACTATGGGCCAAGCACTGGTTGAGCAATTTGCAGACGCTATCTTGTTCACTCTTTCCTGCCATTCTGTGAGGTAGGTACTATTTCTTCTTAATTTTGCCTGTAAGGAAATTGAAGCTCTTGTTGTGTCCATGTGACTCGCCTGAAGACACACAGACAGAGACTTTGGGCATCATGACTACCTAATAGGTGCTCAGCAGATGGTAGCAACTGTGGTAGAAAATGAAGCCATATCTACATGATGTACCATCTAAGACAGCTGAGAATCCCAAGGGCTCACACAGTTCTACTGGGCGAGTTAAAACTTCTCACACATTTATGCTATCTTTTCAAATAATACAGTTTATTCTGCCTTATATGAAAAGCATACATTTTGGGGCCAAAATTAAAAAAAAACTCTATATAACTTGAATGCAGATGTGTCTTTAATTTTCTATGAAAAATAACCTTCATTTGCATTGAAGACATTTAACAAGCAACTTGGTAATAATAAAGTCAGAATTAGAGATGTCACAGGACTAGGGAAGGAGATAAAAAAATCATTTGTAAAACAAAAGAAACCTTCCATTCATTATTATATTGAAGAAACGCTAACTACTGTATCTCATAAACATAACAAAACAGCAATATTTCAAAATTCTGGAGGAACAACAGAACCATAAATAGCACTGAGACTTTGTAGGAAAAAGCAGCTTCATTAATAGATTTCTATGATGGATGAAAAGGTTTGTGAGAGATGGTATGTGCCACAATTTGATTGTGTAATATAATGTATATTCATATGTATATATCTATGCTTATCTATATATAGATATATATGAGAGAGATCTATTTATTTTAAGGAATTGGCTCTTGCAATTATGGGGGCTGGCAAGTTAGAGATTTGTAGGGCAGGCCGGCAGGCTGGAAGTTCTGGCAGGAGTTGGATGTTGCAGTTTTGAGTCCAAAGGCAGTCTCGAAGCAGAATTCCCTCCTCAGGGGACTTCAGTCTTTTCTCTTAAGGCCTTCAGCTGATCAGATGAGGTCCACCCACATTATAATGGGTAATCTGTTTTACTCAAAGTCTACTGGCTTAAATGTTAATCACATTTAAAATATACCTTCACAGCAATATCTAGACTGGTGTTTGACCAAGCAACTGGGCACTATAGCCTAGCCAAGTTGCCACACAAAATTAACCATAAAAACTAGTATATTCAAGCAAACTGGGAGGAGTATACCTATACTAAACTGGCAGGAGTAACAGAAACAGACAATCTGCAATGTAAGTTGATTAAGTGAAGGAGAGTAAGGTATTTAGGTGTGGCAGCTGTTGCTTTAAAAATTTTTTTTAATGTATTAATATCATGGTAAGGAGTTTGATTTTTTTTCTTTTATTTTTTAAGTAAGTTCCGGGGTACATGTGCAGGATGTGCAGGTTTGTTACATAGGTGAACGTGTGCCATGGTGGTTTTGCTGCACCTCAACCCATCACCTAGGTATTAAACCCCGCATGCATTAGCTCTTTTTCCTACTGCTCTCCCCTAAAAATTAATTTAGTTTATTTAAACAAGAAATAACTGTAAATGGAAAGTTTCCCTTGATTTCATAGATATTATTAAAATTAGGTATTCCAAGAGCCCGAGACTGATGAATCAAAGCCTTCCGTAGCATTGATGAGAGATGCATCAGTGAGCAAGCTAGTGTAAAATTAACCTGAGCTTCCTGCTGGTGCCACAGCAGGGTGCTTCAGGGGGAAGCCAGTTTTCAGCACGAATGGGCTGCTGTGGAACCCTGTTTCCAGTTGTCAAGACAGACTTGGCATCTTTTTCCAACATTCTAGTAACCCAAAGGAAGGAACTGAGATAACTACTAATGGATTACTTAGAGCGTAAGTCATTAAAAACAGGACACAAAACTGAGGTATAAAAAGGAATATTTATCTTTTAAAAATACAACTTTGAACACTACTGGCATCTCATTTACAAAGTATTTTTGTGAAATACTCTCCATTGGCTTTGCTTGCTCAGTACATTCTTTTATCTTCAATTGAGACTCAAGGGAGGGTATGCTTGCATTATTATAAATACCACAACCACCACCACACACAATAAAGACCATCTCTGCCTCAGGACATTCGCCCCAAACCTCCATCCTCTCTGTTTACTTTCCACCAAGCAGAAGTTTCTGAATGGTCCACTCACATGCTGCCATTGCGATTTGCCGATGGGCACTACCAAGGTGTCTCTGGCAATTCGCACTCCAGGTGGAGCTGACCTATTTGTAGAAAGCCTCACAAACCCTAGCTCATTATTTATTCATTGATTCATTACTATTAATACTTATATCAAGTCTTTGCAAACATTCAGCATGAAGTAAACATAGTATTTACAGCAGTACTCGGTTTGCAATTCAACACACTGACAACAGAAGCAAAGGGACCAACAGACTGTAAGAAGGCCAGAGGGGAAAGAATATTAATATAAATCCCTTCTGCCACTGTGTGCGTGCGTGTGTGTGTTTGTGCGTGTGTGCCCACACATGAGCATATTTTAATTCACAGAAAACTGAACATGCCCTCCTTTAAAAGCAGACTATTTACAAGTGATTCTGAATAGCATGAACACATGCCAGTCATACTGGATACTTGCTTTCTGTAAACACATCTAGATGTACTTTTTACAATTCTGAAACAGATCTTTAATGTGATATGTTAGAGAAAATAACTTTGGAACATTTGTCAACTTTTGGTTCATAGTAATTTTGCAAAAAGCCACAAACCATGCTTTGTCGTTTAAAAGGTGAACCTGGTCAGGCACCTTCTAGAAGACACTGATGTGTTATTTATTTACTGGTCTACTGGGGATTGGAAAGACAATGGCAGTTACACAGAGGACTTAGTGCTGCTCTCATGCCTTTCACCAGTAACAACATTAATGTAAAGAGAAGTTTAGAAACACAAATCACATACAAATCATCAAAACATTTCAGTTAACAGTGTTTAAAAAAATACCAAGGTCTACAACAGTAGTACAGACACTGAAAACACTCCAAATACTGTTTAGCATCAGGACTTTTGCAATATTTAAAGACAACCAATTGACAGAAAGGGGAGGAAGTTACAGCACTTGTGGTTTGAGGCAATTTCTCTTTAGGGCCTGTAGTTCGAGGTGCTGTCCTAGGATCCTTATTTTAACTCAAAAGATTTTCCAGGAATGAACTGACAAATTCAAAGGAACTTCCACTTGAAAACCATTAAAAATATAAATCACTTTCTATGCTTGTCCAACACATATTTATCTTCAGGATCCCAAGTTGTTAGGCAAAGAGATTTAGGTCAGCTTCAAGCCCTCGAAGCCACAGAATTTCCATCTCTTTTCCAGGCTGGCTCCAACTCCAGTCATTTCCTGCTTGAAGGTATGCTGGAGTCTACCCATGAGACACTCCACATCGCTGGTGCAGATCTGTGGGACAGAGAGAACATCTCCATTCAAAACCAGTTCTATTTTCCTAATCTTCTTTCCCAGTGTTGCCTACTTTAGAATGCTGATGTGTCTGTGTGTGTGCTGCAGGGGCGTTTAACCTCCTCCTGCTCCTTGCGCATTTGTGTGTGTTGGCAGAGTGGCTTCCAGCCAGCAGCGTTCCTCTGCTGTGACCATCAGACAGGGTCTGCTGAGTTGCTATTGGAAAGAGCTGGGGTCAGTCATGTGGAAACGCCTGGGTTTGTAAGAAGCTGAATGATGGCTGCTCAGTTCTAGTGATGCTGCGTGCAGGTCCACTGAAGCTGCTGAGCCTTTTGGGAGGGGAGGAAGGTAGAAATGGCTGCCACCAGAGCAGAATCCCTCACAAATGCGTTAGTTCATAATGGAGAAGTAACAGGAAGGGGGAAATCGCTGTGTTCATACTTCTCTGCATCCCCATCTCTCTCTCTCTCTCTCTTTCACACACACACACACACACACACACACCCCTCAATACGAAAACAAAAACAAATCTGTGGACTCCTTTAGGACTTGTTTTAGGTGGTCATCTTCACATTAGTAGAGTTAGTAAGTTACCCTCCTCACTATGAGCCTTGGCACCAGGGCTTGGGTAAAGAGCACCAGGGGATCCTGAAAGACACCCAGAGTTGGTGTCACAGTGAATATCCCTGGAGCTGGAGGGAGCCCCGATTCTGTTGGTATCACCTCAGGCTCTCTTTGGGAGACCCTGGCACTACTCCGGCAGGAAGTTGCTAAGGCGGAGCTAGGCCTAGGCTAGGAGGGCAGTTATGCCTTCTTCCCAGTGCTGGCAGTAGACTGTATCCAGTCAAGTGAATGAAGCACATTCCAGGGTATCATATAGAGTTGAATCCCCATTTCAGAAAACATAGATAATGTGTATAGATATATACATTTAATATAGGTACAGCACACTTGCAGGAAAGGGTCTGAAATATGTGCCCAACTGTTAACAGTGGTTATCCTTGAGCAGTGGGATTGTGCGTGGTAACTTGCACTTTACTAGATTTCTACACTGCTTACATTTTTAAGATAATGTGCATGTATTATTTTTGTAAATTAAAAAATAAGCAGATGGTTTTTACTGACACATAGTTCAATTTAATACCATTGCAATGGACTACTTGGTCCTAGTATTCACATTCCATCCTCCCCTTCACTGCCAAATGGGCTATTTAATTGCAGAATAGCATCACTTCCCAGAGGGAAATGAGGGGGCAGTGCTAGCTAGAATGAAAGCAAATGCCATTGAAGAGGATGTATCACCACAGCTGGGATGTGGTTAGAACAATAAGATTCCCAAGTGGGCCACTGTCTTTGTTAAGAGAACATATGCTTAAATGACTTAACATTTTGGACAGCACCTATATTCAATGGCACTTCTCAAAAGGCCCAGATCCTATGAAATAGGCAGTACAATTTATGGGCACATTTCACTGAATGCTGCTTCTGAAAAAAAAAATGTATCCTGAGCTGATTCATTCTGAGGAGTCAAGAGTCCCCTCCTGCATCTTAGAGGCATCCTTGATTTCCTAGGGAATTAGCACTTACCCCTGCTCCAGATGCCCTAGGAGTTCCCCCAAAGGATAGCATCCAGAGAAGGAAATGGACCATGAGATCATCTGTGAGCAAATATTCAGTCTGTGTTACAGAGGCTCTCAGCTCATTGCTCCATCTTTTTTTTTTGGCACCTGCCTCCCTTGTTTTGTAATAGATAATAGCAGGGGTGATGGTGGGAGAGGTGGATGGAATAAGACTTCCCATTTTGAAAATGAACATTGGATAATGGCTAAAAACCAGGGACAAAAGTTTGATGGGGCCGGGTACGGTGGCTCATGCCTGTAATCCCAGCACTTTGGGAGGCCGAGGCAGGCGGCTTGCTTGAGTCCAGGAGTTCAAGGCCAGCCTGGGCAACACGGCAAAACCCTGTTTCTATAAAAAATACAAAAATTAGCCAGGCATGGTGGCATGCATCTGTAGTCCCAGCTACTCAGGAGGCTGAGGTGGGAGGATTACTTGAGCCCAGGAGGTTGAGGCTACAGTGAGCTGTGATCTCACAAATGCACTCCAGCCTGGGCAACAGAGTGAGACCCTGTCTCAAAAAAAAAAGTTTGGTGGGTAAGAAAGCTGATATGGGTTGGTTTGCAGCTTACAGGTAAATTAAGAGAGGAAAAGTCTTCTAAGATATATGTTGGAAAAAGGATGGTCAACTTATTCAAGTTTGCCTGAGACTGCCCTGGTTTTAACATCGAAAATCTCAAGTCCCAGGAAACACTTCAGTCTCCAGCAAACCAGGACACATGGGTCATCCCACTTGCAAAGGGGAAGCTCTGCACTGAATCACAGTGAGAGAGCAGGTGAGGGAAACTTCCTGAAAGCAGTAACTAATGACCTATTTATGCTTGAGGAGAGTCAGGTCACCTGTTAACAAAAAATCCCACATCCCCTTGCATCCCCATTTTAGGCCCCCATATACCTTATTATCAAGACGGTGCAAGTAGGAACAGATGTATTCAATGCTTGCTCCAAATGGGTGAACATGAAGGAATGTGGAGATAATCCCTACAGAGACAAGAGCATGGAGGTTATACTTGAGCCTTGTATTTCTCGAGGTTCCACATGACAGTGAATAGCAAGAGCTGACTCATATGTACAACAGAAATATACTGGACACTATTCTAAGTTTACACGTATTTTACTCATTTAATCTTTATAATAATCCCATGAGGTGTGTATTGTCATCCCCAGTTCACAGCTGAGGACACAGATGCACTAAAAGTGTAAGCAACTTGTCCAAGGTCACACAGCTGGTAAGTGGCAGGGCTGGTATTTGAACCCAGACAGTCACATACTGCCTCTTACTGTGCTATATCACATGTAGAAAAGCTGGCATTTGAGGAGTCACTTTCATTACTTGTGATGGCTAAACACTGTCTGAATTCAAGGATTTTACAATGAATTTACACTGTGCTGGGCTTTTGCAGTTCCTTCACAGTCTTTAAATTAGACTTTAGCCTCTTAGGTGTTAATAATGCCTTGCTGTTGTGGTAAAAGTAAAAATCATGTACTTTCCTGATTAACCTTGTGCCTCTCACAAGAAAGTCTGCTGATTGTATTTGGGTATTATTTTGTGAACAGCTCTGTAAAGAAAAGTCAAACATTTCATTCACGGCTAACTCAAGTGGTCACTAGCATTCCATGCTTAGAGCCTTGAATCTCTTTGTGTAACAGAATTCTTATAGCAGTTTACAGCCTCCAGGAATGCCCCTGATTTCCACTTAGCCTAACTCTGGGGTGGCTGGCAGCTTCACATGCTGCCTTCATTGTTCTGGCCATTAGGTTAATTGTTTAATACTTCTTTCTCTGGGAACAGGTGGAAAATAAATTTTTCAAAAGTATAATATTTCTTTCTTTCAATTTTTTTTTTTTTGCGTTCACCTCCTTTCATAAGATCTTAAGTGCATCAAATAGACCCAGAATTGAGTTTGTTGAAAATTGTCAGGAAATAAAAGCAAAATTTGATTTGGTTTCTAAACTACAACTTGTCTGTCCCTTTAAGAGGCTGACAAAGACTAGCACAGGTTTAAATTGTAGTTTGAAGTTCAATCAAAGGGGTAAGTTGGGGAAGGGTTCCAGAAGGAACTGAGGGCAGGGCTCAAAATCTGTTCCAAAGGGATGCTATTACTTAGAACATTACTTTATTCTTAAACGACTAGATAAATTGAATTTCTAAACACTGATTCTGGCTGAGAAACTTAAATTCTGAAGAAGACATTCCATGTTTGAAGAAATTCTAGACGTCTTGGCCAAGAAAGGCTGTCAAATGCCAAGAAATAACTCCAGAGGTTTAAAAACATTAAGCGATTTTGTGGGTTCACACCCAAAAAGCTGATTGAAAAAATAGATTTTCCTTTCTCTCTGCCAGCCCAAGACTACCTTCTTGAAAAAACAAAACAAGAAAGACTTATTTTAAGAATCTTTTTTTCTAGGACTATCCATTCACAGAGGCTTCCTTGTATCCCCAGCATTTCTCTGACAGGTCTCCCTGTTGCCATGCCAATTTGTTAAGAACTTGGAGTTGGAAGACGTTAATAAGTTGTAATAAGTTGTCACTTTTCTTGAAGATTCAATGGCAGGTCCCCCTGTGCATCTTTATTAACATATCAAAGTGTTAAATCTGAGGATAATATCCATTACCAAAGGAGGCAGAGATATCTTAAAAATATGCAGAAGCCAGTCAGTGTGGAGGGCTTTTGAGACTAGAGTGGGGCTACTGTATAGCTCAGCTTCCTAGATGGCAGCTGGGATTATCTGCTGTGGCCTAAGACCAGTCACTCTTAAATGATTAGCCCCTCTTAAATATTTTAGAGCCTCAATCTGCCACTGTTCTCCAAATGGAATATAAAGTTAGCCAGCATTTGTGAATGGTGCTGTGAAGTGTAATATGTTTTCTACTTACTGAGGGCTTACTATGGGCCAGGCACTATGCTAAGTGATTTAGGTGAGTTATCGTATTAAATACTCACAACTGCCCTTTCGGGTCGGTAATATCATTATGCCCATTTTGCAGATGGAGGAACTGAAGCTCAGAGAAGAAATGGTGGGGTCAAGATGGGAAGCCAGGTCTGTCTGATTCTTTAACCATTTGTGCCATCTTGCCTCTCTGAATGAATTTTTACAGACAGCAATGCTAGCATGGACCTCATCAAAGCCCACTAGTGTCCAAAACACCAGTTTCCTGAGTCATCTGTCACTGTGATATAATAAAAAAATTAACATGTGGTCTTTGTCCGTGGTCCCCGGGGCGCACAGCTCCTAAAACCTTTGGAATTTCTGGAGTGATAAGAGTTAAGATGAGTGGTAGCTGGGGGCCCCTTATAACTTTAGAATTGGGGCTGGCCATCAGAAAGACTTAGGCATGATTAGAGGGAGGAGAGAGTGGCTGGAGATTGAGCTAATCACCAATAGCCAGTGATTTCATCAGTCATGCCTATATAATGAAGCCTCCATAAGAACTTTGAAATGATGGGGTTCAGAGAGGTTTCTGGTTGGCAAATACATCAAGATGCGCACCCAAAAATGTATAGAAACTCTGCATACCCCTTCCCAGTACCTTGCTCTATACACCTCTTCCATTGTATCCTTTATGCTAAATCAGTAAGAGTAAGTAAGGCACTTTCCTGAGTTCTGTGAGCCATTCTAGCAAATTATCAAACCTGGGGTGGGTATTGTGGAAACCCCTGACTTTGTAGCCAAATCAGACAGAAGTAGAGGAAACTTGGATACTGTATATTTGAGACTGGCATCTATACAGAGGGCAGTCTTCCAGGACTGAGCCCTTAAACTCATGGAGTCTAATGTTAAACTCTAACTTTGGGTAGTGAGTGTGAGAACAGAATTCAACTGTAGGACACCCACTTGGTATTGAAGAGTTGGAGATGTGGTGTTGGAAAAGACACCACGTATCTGGTGTCTGGAGGTTAAAACAAACAAACAAACAAACAAACAAACAAACAATCCCTTGTCATTTGGTGTCAGAAGTGTTGTAAAAATAGCTTAGCCAGTAACCTGGAAAAACTTGAGAGGCCTATAGTTGCTCCAGAGGCTCTCTGGAAAAGCTCTCTGCCAAATACGGTCTGCGCTAGCCCCCTGAGTGGACATGAGAGGGCTTATCTATCCTTGCACAGATATTTAAAAAAAATCTACAGTGTGTTTCTCCAGCTGACCCCTCTTAGCTTAGTGCTTGTACTGACATGCTTGACTGCTTGACATGGCAGTGGCTACAAGGAGTGTGAGGGAGGCTGGCAGCTGCTGTTAAATTTGGAAATTTGTACTTGTTCTTAACCTATCATCTTCAGAACTCTGAGTTCTTGCGCTGCCATGCTTCATAAATGCTTGGCATGTGCTTATTAATCTTAGGTAAAGCCCTCCTCTCCTCCATTGTACCCAGGCATTGTACGTGGCATGTGTGCATTAGCTTCCTTACCCACTAGCAGTGCTTCACGTTCAGATTTGATAGGACTGCTGTTCATGGTCTTCTCAAGAGGGTATTCGCTATCCTGGTTTGAGGCACACAGCCTAGAAGCACAGCTTTCCTGTGGACACAACATGCTTCTAGGTCAGTTCACTTTATTTGGCAATAGAGTTGGTTTCAATTAACTACACAACAGGTAACTTAACACAGGACCATAAAAACAATACCATTCAATTTGGATTACTGAATGGGAGAGAAAATAGCATAAATTACAAAAGCATCACAGATATTCCAAAGTTTATTTATAGGGCTCCAAAACACAGAAACATTTAAACATTTACCTTCACCAGTTTTTTTTTTTTTTTTTCTGCCTTCATCTTGACTTTATACAAGCAATCTGGGCAACTAGACCCAACATTTATGGTATACTAACAAGATGCTAGGCACTGTTAGGTAAGTATTATCTCCATTCTACAGATGAGGAAAGTGAGGCTCAGGTAAATTGGCTAAGATCACACTGCAAGGAAGTGGAGCCAGGATTTCATCCCACTGTTAAAAGGACCATTGTTTTTTTAAAAAAGTTTAAGGTCCACACTCTGTTAATGGTAAGTCCCATCTCAATGGACAATCTACGTTGGCTACACTGCCAATCCACTGATAGTGAATCAACTGTTGGTTTTTGAACTAAAAATTAGAGCTTATATTCCACTGACAGTTAATCAACTGTTGGTTTTTGAAATAAAAATTAGAGCTTTCATTTACTAGTCTTTCTCTCTCTCTGATGAGGACATTATCAGTTAGAATATTCCTGACTTTACAGCAAGAAATGACCATGACAAAAAATAGCATTAGTAATGGCCTTCTTTGTTGTGGAAAGTTCTTCTCTTTCAGAATGTAGCAGGAAGGGGCGGGGGGGGGGGGTGGTCCTAAGAGAAACTCAGGTGAAATCCATGACCAGCAGTCAAACTGAAAAATACCTCCAGACCTTTCATGGCTCTTTCTTTCTCTCTTTGGGTACGGAGAATATCTTTTCTGTTATTATAAATGTGAAGGCAAAGCTTTCAGAAGAAGGAATAAAAGAAATCACTGCTTCTTTTACTGCTGAAAAGAAAATGCTGCTGAAATGCTCCTTGGGGGGCAGATCATGGCTGACTCAGATGCATTTTCACTTCTTCTCTTTCCACAAACCCTTAGAAGGGACAGGATTCCTTCTGTTTTCTTCAAAGATGTCTTCAAAGCTTCCAGGATGCTGTCTCTGAATGAAATGAATGGTCTATGCTGCAAGACATGTTGTTGTGTGAATTTACAGGCTTCCTGGCTGTAGTCAGAGGGGAACCCTTTCTTGATGACCTACTCAATCTTTGGCCTTTAGAATCCAATCCAGGCAGTAACCATTATGCCAAGTTTGATTTAAACTACTAGCTCACTTCTAAGCCATGGGCTTCACATCTGCTTCTGACCCCCTTAAAACATTAAATGATACGGTAAGCCGTTTCTTAAGTGTGAGAGTTTAACAGATTGGGGTTGATTTAAGATGTGAAAATATTCTGGGAAGTTTTAGCCATCTTGAATAGAACTGCAGCCTTCCTTAAACCTGACTTCAATTTTATTATAGCTGGCATTTAAAAAATTAGAAGGTACATTGAAAGGATGCTTATCACCTTGAATTTTACTAGCAGATTTAAAGAGCTTAGTTCTTTCCGCACTAAGACAGACATAAGTCACACTGTTATACTGCAAAACACTGACAATAACTCACCCTGTAGCTTACTGTCAAGAAACCCAAACAAAAGCAAATAAAAAAAGAGATCCCTCCTCACCAAAACTTATTGCTTTCCTTTCAACCTGAAATTATTTTTGCAGTCTAATGTGATGGTACTTTGCTTCCTAACCTAATTGTGTCAGGTTGAAATATTTGGTCACAAATCAGCTTCCCAGAGAAGATCAGTTTATAATGAACTGTCATGAATTTCTCTAAAAGAAGCTTTGCTTAAAATAACAAGAAAAAAACATATTTTGACTCACTGTTTTTTGGATTATCAGTTGGATCTTTTCCCCTGTCCTCATCAGCCAACACTTCATGGTCTATTCAGTTTCCAAATGGGAAACACTTGCCCTTAGGCACAATATGGCAAGTTTCTTCTATGCCATTTGACCTCTTACTTCTTTAAATGAAATACTTTACAAAGCAGAAAGCTACTTACACAAAAAAATGTCCTTAGGTCAAATTGTGATGTCAATCCTGAAGAGTAATTCTAAGCATAATGTCATGAGCATAACCCCATGTCTGTCTACAGTCTTCTGGATACATAATCCATTTTATGCAGGAAGCAAAACAGAGCTATGTGGCAGCTCTGGGACACTTTAGAAGCCCCGATGGCATGAGGAAAGTCCTGATAAGTAAAGCAGCTTTGGCTCTTTTCAATTAAATGCTTGATAAATGAATTTCTCTGGGATTATGCTTGTTTCTTTAATAGTGCCCACAAAACTGGAAAGTGAGTTGGTTTTATGAAGTGGAAGAATTAAAAGCACGTTGCAAATGGCCTCTAGAAGAAAACACTTTCAATCATTTGTTTCAACTACACCAAGGTTGCCAGTTCTTAATGACACTCTAGGGGAAGGCACTGTGCTGGTAAACACACTCAGGGCCTGTATGCACTGCATCTTCCTGAGCTGAGAACAGAAGATAAAGAGAATATGCTCTTGAGGAACTGTATCACTGTTGATTTCTGACCCTCGGTCCAAGCTCCTAATCTTCTCTTCCTTTAGAGAATTAAAACAAGGAAGTTTTGGTGAATGGGCTTCCCTTTTCAGAGGATAACATCAGCTGAGTATTGATGCATCAAGGAAATTGGAGAGGTTGACTTTACACACCTTGAATAGAATGGGCACCTGATTCATGGTTGTGATACATGATTCTATCCAGATATTAGACTCTCTGGTCCTCATTGGTGGTTCTTATTGCTGAGAGCTCTCAATTGATAAAGTCCCATCTTGGCTTCTAGCTTTAGAATACTGTGTCTCATTTTTTTTCCCCAAGGTTTCTCTCTTCTTGGTATTGGCTATTCCTCTCATCTGCAGCTGCTCATTATTACACTAAATTGACTAGCTGCAAAGAAATGCCAATGTGCTAGCTGCACTTGTGTTTCTTCCTTTAATGAAATGCTCAATTAAAGGTGCTTTGTGTCACATGAGTTTTCTATGTTGCTATTTGCTTGACAAGATGAAGCAGGGAAGAGGTGTGCACTCTGGTCGTCTCCAAGAGAGAAGACTGAGGAGTTTTAGGGATGAACCGACTTCTTATTCATTGAAAGGTGTACACTCCAGAACCCTTAGAAATGCCAAGGACTCACACCTAAAAGCAAAGCCCTTAGTATAAGAATTACCCCCGAGAGGGGCTTTTAATTCCCAATCGGCCAAAAATGTTTGGCCCCATTGATTTCTAGGGCATAACTTCCAGGGCATTTTCACTGTCACTGAAAAGTAGGTAAAGGGGCAAGGAAAAAGGTTCACTTAGGGTGCATGTACCTTTTCTTTAAGATTTTCCAACATTTTTTCCACCTGTAACTTGTCATCTTTGAGTTTTTCAAGTTCAGCTTCTTTCTTTTTGTATTCCTCTTGGACTTTGAGTAGATGCTACAAGAAAAGACCAAAGACAATCAATTTATGAATTACGGAGCCACACTTCATTTAAAATCTCTGGCTGAAATCAGATATCAGGTGGGCCTGCCTCACTTTCCTCCAGCACACACGACCATTTTTCCATAAAGAGATTGGGCAAATCAAGATATTTTCACTTTACGTTATTTTGTCTGCCTCTTACGAAATTCCTTTGAACTTGTTAATATTTTAGAAAGGTCCTGAGAAACTAATTGATCCAGTCACTTAACTTCTTCCCTATTCTGGCCAGGGGTCAGAGTAGGATGCAGTTAATACTGTGTGGGCAATGTTTTGATTGCTGCATATAAGTAAATGTAATGTTGTAAAGCATTCTTGCAAATAGCCATTTGCCAAGCCAAGTTCAATTTCTGTGAGGATAGTAGTAAATAATCCAAATTTTACATGTTAGTTTCCATATAAGTAGGCAGGAAGCTATATTTAGCATTATTAATAATTTCAACAAATAATATTTATTGAGTGCCTAATATGTACTAAGCATTGTGCTAAAGGTGTTACATGCACGGTCTCATTTAAACCTCACAATGACCCTATGTTACTATTATCCCTAAGGCTAGGAGAGGTTAAGTGGCTTCCCTAACGCCATTCAGATAGTCAGTGGCAGAGCTGGGATTTAAAACCAGGTTGGGTCAACCCCAGAGTTCATGTCCTTACATGCCTTATTATACTATACGTCTTTTGAGATAAGATGTGAGAAATTTTATCATTGTTTACAAGGCATTTTTTTCAATACAAAATAATCAAAATGAGTGAAATTATTTTTTAAGACGTAGAGACCTAATTCTCACTGAGGTCTTTGAAGTGATGAAATGAAATAAAATTTCATGATTTTCGAATTGCATTTAAGTAGCAGAACTATCCTTATGTGAAATGGTTTGAAAATCAAAGAGGGGAAAAACAGCAACAACAAAAATGTTTCCAAAGTCTTGCTTTTCAGAGGCTTGCAAAAGACCACTGGAAGGGTTAAAAAGCATGATACAATGTACATTGTCAAAGTTCTTTGAAGTGTAGGTGAGGAGGTGCATTTTTTCATAGAAAGATCTCTGATATAATTTACATGTTCTAATTAAACTCCATGGTGACGGTAAAAGGAAGGTGAGCATTACTTCACACATTTTGTTAACAGAAAAGGTGAAATATTAATGTCATATTACTTGTCGTATAGGAAGACAATAGTGGCAGAAAGAATAACATAGGGTTCCTAGTGCCAGAATAGACTGCTGTTCATGATTTGTAATTTCCAACCAGCAATTAGCTTTGCCCTAGACAATTTCAAGGCATACAGTTAAAAACTATTGCACAATTTAAGATGTAAGGACAATGGCTGGTAGTCTAGCATGACAGAAGACAATAGTGGCCTTACTCAGAGGCACTACTCCTTTACTATAGTGAAAGCAGCTGTTGATATCTTTTAAACTGTAGGATCACTGTGGTGATGGTTACGTAAAACTCCTAGATGTTGAACATCTGCTACACTATGTTGTCTGTGAATGCAATCGCAGTTGGGTGCATTTATTTACTTTGCTTTTTACACTTTGAATTATGCACAGGTAAACTCATTCACATAAGTGACTGTTAATACAAAACAAAATAAAAACAAGTTGGTATTATGTGCTCAAAGCATTGACACTTAAAAACCTATAATGTACCTATTTCTACTGAAATCAAGGGTCGATTCCTGCCATTCCTTTTAAAAGGCTGTATTTCTTGGTATTCTATCAACTAGATACTTGTTCATCAGCTCTTTTTCATATCTAAATAATTGAGGTTCTTTGTAAAGACCCTGAGGCCCTGTCTAGATCCCTAAGTACCTTCTGAAGCATAAAGAAAAGATTAGATTATGTTCAGTGTAGTCTAATGTTAAATATTTTTCACTGAATGCTCATTCTTTGAAAGTTGGCAATCCATTGCTATCTCTGTATTAATTGGAATATTTAATTAAACACAACAATAACTCCTTCCTCAGCCATGCCAGATAATATTACATCAAGAAGAATAATAGGTTTGATATTCAATTTGATTGCAGGGGACCCTTTTATAGGTGAGAAGCTGATGCTATTCTACCCAGAAGCTCAGAAAACCAAAATGCCTTTACCTGTTGCATTCCTTGCAGGGCTTGTTGCAGGAGTTTCAGCTGCTGTTCTTTGTTAGGGTCATCTTCTCTGTGGACTTTGCCTTGTTCTTGCTTGAGCAGTTCTACTTCATTCCGGTAGGCATCGAGCTGCCAACGGAGGCTGTCATTTTCTTCCTTCAGAGCTTCTGCCTGTGATACTAAGGCTAACAATCAATATAAAATATGAAACCATATATCCAGATTCATTTGTGATTCATCTGGATATCACAAAAAGGTTGGTTCTTCCTCTTGATGAAGAACTTCAGGTTTGAGTTGGCCATCTCAGCAAGAGATAGATACAAAAGCACACAGGCCTGTTTTTATAAATGAACTAGGATTCCAACACACAAAAGTTTACATCATGTTCCTCATTCTCCACCTCAAATATAACTAAGATATTTCGAGGTAGCATCAATTTTTTTTATTTGAAATGTAGGAAATAACAGCCCTATAATAATAATATAGGACCAATTCCCTTGAACTGACAACTGCCTACACAATCATGTTGCTGACAGATGTTTTTAAGGAATGCAGCATTGAGAAACTTAACCTCGGAATTTCCTGCTGCTCTGTAGCTTTGTATAAAGAGTCAGATTCTAACTTCAGTTACACTCATTTTATTTTTACTGAAAATGTAAGGGGGAATAATGAAGAATCAAAAGTAGTGCCAGAGGTTAGCAGGCTGGAAAGCAAATGCTGAGGGACATGGTTATGGGAGGCACACAAATATGGGGGCCCGGAAAAAGAAATACAAGGCACAGATGGAGTTGTGTTAGTGAATATGCAATCGCATTTCAAGATTTCTTTCTTTCCTTCCTTCCTTTTTTTTTTTTCTTTTTTTTGACAGAGTTTCACTCTGTCGCCTAGGCTGGAGTGCAGTGGTAGGATCTTGGCTCACTGCAACCTCCGCCTCCTGGGTTCAAGCAATTCTCCCGCCTCAGCCTCCTGAGTAGCCGGGACTACAGGCGGCCACACCATGCCCGGCTAATTTTTGTATTTTCAGTAGAGGCGGGGTTTTGCCATATTGGCCAGGCTGGTCTCGAACTCCTGACCTTGTGATCCGCCTGCCTCAGCCTCCCAAAATGCTGAGATTACAGGCGTGAGCCACCACGCCTGGCCCAAGATTTCTTAATATGCACGTTTTCATGTACTTCTTTTAAAATAACTGTTAAACAACAATTTGAAACACACACACACACACACACACACACACACACACACACACGAATATAGCATTGACTCGTCTCACAGAGGAAAAGTAAATGTAAAAACTAAGACATAAGATTTCCAGTTTCCAGTCTGGCATGTAAGGACCTTTAGAAGCTGCCACTCTGTCTTAATAACAAGTAAAAAGCTGAACAATGTGAAAAATCAACAACTCTTTTTATATTTGTTAGAGAAGTGAGGTTACAGGGCAAACAGCTGCCCCCAAAACAAAACTGGAGATACAGACAGGTGAATACAGAGAATCACAATTTACTGGACCAAAGACCCATGAGCAGAAACTTCCATGGGACCCAGTCCTTGGGTAGGAAAACCTGAGGTGTAATTAACAAATTGCTGGAGGCTCAGTGTGGACAAGTCTGTGAAATTAGCTGGGCGTGGTGTTGTGTGCCTGTAATCCCAGCTACTCAGGAGGCTGAGGCAGGAGAATCGCTTGAACCTGGGAGGTGGAGGTTGCAGTGAGCTGAGATCACGCCACTACACTCCAGCCTGAGTGACAGAGTGAGACTCAGTCTTGGAAAAAACAAACAAACAAACAAACAAAACTCCAGGAAGACCCAGTCATTGGAGAGCTCCCACACATTTGTAAGTTTTAGCTCCAGGAGATATACCAGTTCCTTACAGTGAATATCAGAGAAAAATCTCCTCATGTTTCTGGCAGGGGAAGGGGAAAAGGAACAATTTTGAAATTGCAGACCATCCTGGTCTTCTTCACAAGGCCTGCCCTCGGGAAAATCTATTTTACCAGAGCCTCACCTGCTGGGGTTTTAGAAGAACCTAACAGACCTGGGGGAAGATAAATGTCCAACTCCAGCCCCCTCAGCCATCCTGTCCCACCAAAGGTGTGTGTGTGTGTGGGTGGGGGGTGATGGTGGTGGGAGTGGGATAAAACTGAGAAGCACTGGTGAAGTTCACAGTTCAGAGACACAGGTTCACCAAAAGACTGAGACCTAATCATAGAACTAGAGAATGCTTTCCCTTCCTCTACACCTTACCACAATATTACTAAAGGGCTACTTATGAGAATTTCTTTCACCTAGTACATCATGTCCAGATTTTAATGAAAAATTACAAGGCATACTAAACAGTAGAAAACACAGTTTTAAGAGATACAGCAAACACCAGAACCAGACTCAGATATGGAAGAGATGTTGGAATTATCAGACTGGGATTTTTTTTTAAAAAACTATGATTAATATGCAATGGTCTTTAAAGAAAAAATTAGACAACATACAAGAACAGATGGATAATAAGAGCATAAAGAAGAAATTCAAAGAAAGAATAAAATTAAATATTAGAGATCAAAAACACTAATAGAAATGAAGAATGCCTTTGATGGGGAAATTATTAGACTGGACATAACTAAGGAAATAATCCCTGAGCTTGAGGATATGACAATAGAAACTTCCAAAACTGAAAACCTGTCTTAGTCCGTTTTAACTGCTATAACCAAATACCACAAACTGGGTAGCTTATGAACAACAGTAATTTATTTCTCACAATTCTGGAAGCTCAGAGGTCCAAGATCAAGGTGCCAGTATCTTCAGTGTCTAGTGAGGGCCTATTTCCTAGTTCATAGATGGTAACTTCTACCTGTGTCCTCACATTAGGAAGGGACAAGCGGCTCTTTGGGGTCTCTTTTTATAAGTGTACTAATCCCATTCATGAAGGCTCTGCCCTTATGACCTAATCACCCCCAAGGGCCTCACCCCCTAATAGCACATTGCTGATTAAGTTTCAACATGAATTTTGGAGGATACATACATTCAGACCATAGCAAAAACAAAAAGAAAAAAACAACAGATGCTGGCGAGGTTGTGGAGAAAAAGGAACGCTTTTACACTGTTGGTGGGAGTGTAAATTACTTCAACAACTGTGGAAGACAGTGTGGTGAATCCTCAAAGACCTAGATCCAGCAATCCCATTACTGGGTATATACCCAAAGGAATATAAATCATTGTATTATAAAGACACATGCATGAGTATGTTCACTGCAGCACTATTCACAATAGCAAAGACATGGAATCAACCCAAATGCCCCTCAATGATAGACTGGATAAAGAAAATGTGGTACATATACACCACAGAATACTATGCAGCTATTTAAAGGAATGAGGACATGTCCTTTGCAGGGACATGGATGGAGCTGGAAGTCATTATCCTTAGCAAACTAACACAGGAACAGAAAACCAAATACTACATGTTCTCACTTATAAGTGGGAGCTGAATGATGAGAACACATGGACACATGGGAGGGAACAACACACGCTGGGGCTTGTTGGAGGGTAGGGACTGGGAGGAGGGAGAGCATCAGGAAAAACAGCTAATGCACACTGGGCTTACTACCTAGGTGATGGGGTGATCTGTGCAGCAAACCACAATGGCACGCATTTAGCTATGTGACAAACCTGCAGATCCTGCACATATACCCCTGAACTTTAAATAAAAGTTGAAAATAAAAAAAATACTGAAAAAAGTACATAACAGAATATCCAAGAACTGTAGGACCACTACAAAAGTTGGAAACATGTGTAATGGGAATACCTGGAAGGAGAAGAAAGAAAGAAACAGAAGCAATATTTGAAGCAATAATGACTGAGAATTTCTCCGAAATTAATGTCAGACACCAAACCATAGATCCAGGAAGTTCAGAGAACACGAGACAGGATAAATGCCAAAAACCCCTTCAGCCTACGCATATCATATTCAAACTTAAGAAAATCAAAGAAAAAATCTTGAAAGAAACCACAAGGGAAACAAACACCTTACCTATAGAGGAGCACAAATAAACATTATATCCGACTTCTTTTCAGAAATTGTGCAAATAAAAAGTGGAATAAAATATTTACGGAGTTAAGAGAAAAAAAATCAACAACCTAGAATTCTGCACCCTGTGAAATCTGGATCTACATAAAGAAAGGAAGAGCATCAAAGAATGAAAAAGTGAATGTAAAATAAAAACTTTTGGCTGGGCGCAGTGGCTCATGCCTGTAATCCCAGCACTTTGGGAGGCTGAGGTGGGCAGATCATGAGGTCAGGAGTTCGAGACCAGCCTGGCCAACATGGTGAAACCCCGTCTCTACTAAAAATACAAAAATTAGCTGGGCGTTGTGGCAGGTGCCTGTAATCCCAGCTACTCAGGAGGCTGAGGCAGGATAATCGTTTGAATCTGGGAGGTGGAGGTTGCAGTGAGCTGAGATTGTGCCATTGCACTCCATCCTGGGCAACAAGAGTGAAACTCCATCTCCAAAAAAAAAAAAAAAAAAAAAAAGAGAGAATTATGCTAAATCTACTCTTCCTGTGCTTTAGAAACGGAACAACAAAGTCTGGGTGACAGCACATCTGTTTACAGTATGGTTTACCAAATATCTTAGGCCCACTGTTGAGACCTACTACTCAGAAAAGAATATTCCTTTCAAAATATTACTGCTGTTGACAATGCACCTAGTCACCCAAGAATATTGATGGAGAAGTACAAGGAGACAAATGTTGTCTTCACACCTATTAACACAACATCCATACCGTAGCCTGTGGATCAAGAAGTCATTCTGACTTTCAAGTCTTATTATTTTAAAAAATCATTTCATAAGGCTATAGTTGCCATAGATAGTGGTTCCTCTGATGGATCTGTGTAAAGTAGATTGGAAACCTTCTGGAAAGGATTCATGATGCCATTAAGAATGTTCATGATTCTGGGGAGGAGGTCAAAGTATCAACATTAACAGGAGTTTGGGAGTTGACTTCAATTCTCACTGATGAATTTCAGGAGTTCAAGACTTCAGTGGAGGAAGTAATGGCAGATGTGGAGGGAATAGCAAGACATCTAGAATTAGAAGTGGAGCCTAAAGATATGGATTGAATTGCTGGAGCCTCCTGATAAAAGTTTAATGAACAAGGAGTTGCTTCCTATGGATGAGCAAAGAAAATGGTTTCTTGAGATGGAATCTATTCCTGATGAAGATGCTGTGAACATTGTTGAAATGACAAAAAAGGATTTAGAATATTTCATAAATTCAGTTGATAAAGCAGTTATGGGGTTTGAGAGGACTGACTTCGATTTTGAAAAAAGTTCTACTGTGGGTAAAATGCTATCAAACAGCATTACATACTACAGATAAATCTTTAATGAAAAGAAGAGTCAATTGATATAGTATACATTATTGTCTTACTTGAAGAAATTGCCACAGTCACATCAACCTTCAGCAACCTCCAACCTGATCAGTCAGAAGCCATCCACATAAAGGCAAAATTCTCCCCCAGCAAAAAAGATTACAACTTGCTGAAGGCTCAGATGATAGTTAACACATTTTTTTTAGCAATACAGTCTTTTAAAATTAAGGTATGTAAATTGTTTTTTAGGCATTTGCTTAAAAGACTACAGTATAATGTAGACTTAACTTTTATATGAACTGGGAAACCAAATAATTCATATAGAGTGCTTTATTGCAATATTAGCTTTATTGCAGCGGTCTGAAATGGAACCTGTAATATCTGTGAGGTGAGGTGAGGTATTCCTGTATGCATTTATGTATGCTTATGGACAAGTTAAATAAATGACAGCAATGATACAAGAAATGGAAGGGGAGAATCAGGAGCATTTTGCTATTATAAGATACTTGCAGTACCCATGAAATGGTATAGTGTTATTTGAAAGTGGGGTTGAATTAATTGTAAATGTATATAATCTAGGGAAACCATTAAAAAATGTGAAAAAAAGTATAAATGATATGATAAAGGAGAAAAATGTGGAATAATATAATATGTTCAATTAAAAATACAAAAGGCAGAACAATGGAGAAGACAAAAGAAACAAAAAACAAGGGTAACCAAAAGAAAACAGCAACAAACATGGTAGATATTTATCCAACTATATCAATAATCAGTTAAAAAATTATTGATCTAAGTATGCCAATTAAAAGACAGATGTCAGTGTGGATTAAAAAATAAGACCCAACCATAGGTTGCCTACAAGAAATCTGCTTTAAATATAAGGGTGCATATAGATAAAAAGGAAAAAGATGGAGAAAGATATACCATTTTAACACTAATTAAAAGAAAGTGGAAGTGGCTATATTAATTTCAGACAGAGCTGATTTCAGAGCAATGAAATTTATCAGGGAGTAAGAGGAGCATTGCATACTATTGAAGGGGTTAATACTCCAAGAAGACATACCAATACTGTTTGTGAGCCTAATAACAGAGCATTAGAATACACAAGTGAATAACTGATACGACTGCAAGGAGAAATACATGAATCTACTATTACAGTTGGAGAGTTTAGCTCCCTTCTATCAGAAATGGACAGATCCAGCAAACAGAAATCAGTAATGACACAGTTGAACTCAACACCACCATCAAACCACTGTATATAATTACCATGTATAGACTATTTCATCTAATAAAAGCAGATTACACATTCTTCTCAAGCTCACATGGAAGTTTAACCAAGAGAGACCACATTATGGGCCATAAAGCACACCTTAAAAAGTAAAAGAAGAGAAATTTTACAATGTATGTTCTCAGATCACAGTGGAACTAAATTAGAAATCAGTAACAGAAAGATAGCTGGAAATTCCCCAAATACATGGAACTTGAATAGTATACTTATAAGTAACACATAGATTAAAAAAGAAATCTCAAGAAAAATTTACAAGTATTTTAAAATAAATGAAAATGAAAATACAAATTATTAAAATTTGTGAAATGCAGTGAAAGCAGTACTTACGTGGGCAATTTATAGCATTTAATCCATCTATTAGACATAAAGAAAGTTCTAACACTAATAATCTAAGCTTTTACCTTAGGAAACTAAAACAAGAAGAACAAATTAAACAAATCCAAAGTAAGCAGACATTTTGTCAGTTTCTTACAAAACTAAACATACTCTTACCATACCATCCAGCAATCATGCTCCTTAGCATTTATCCAAATGAACTAAAAACTTGTGTCCACACAAAAATCTGCACATGGATGTTTACAGCAGCTTTATTCATAATTGCTAAAAGTTGGAAGCAATCAAGATGTCCTTCAGTAAGTGAATGGATAAATAAACTATGGTACATCCAGACAATGGAATATTATTCAGTGCTAAAAAGAAATGAGCCATCAAGCCATGAAAAGACATGAAAGAAAATTAAATGCATATTACTAAGTGAAAAAAGCCAATCTGAAAAGGCTACATACTATAGGATTACAACTATATAATATTCTGGAAAAGACAAAACTTTTTACTGGAGATAGTAAAAAGATTAGTCATTGCCAGTGATTAGTGAGGAGGAAGGGATGAAAAGGTGGACCACAGAGGATTTTAGGGCAGTGAAACTATTCTGTATGATATTACAGTGATGGATACATACCATTTTAAATTTTTCAAAACCCAAAGAACATGCAAGACCAAGAATGAACCCTAATGTAAACTATAAACTTTAGGTAATGATGATATGTTAATGTAGGTTCATCAATAGTAACAAATTATAATCAATTGTAACAAAATGTACCATTTTGGTGAAGGATGTTGATAGTGGGGGATACTGTGCTTTTATAGGGACAGAGATTATACGGAAACTCTCAACTTTCCGTACAATTTTGCTGTGAATGTAAACTGCTCTAAAAAAGAAACTTATTAATTTAAAAAATGAAGGAAACTTAGGTTATATGTAATTATTTATGGTTTAGGTCACATTTTTCAAGTTCAAAAATCATAAAGCCTATTTCAAAATATTTAATCAGAAGATTTCATTCACTCAACAAACATTCATTTAGTACCTTTAGAATGAAAGGTAGAATGAAGTGGAAAGCAAAAAATTGTGTAAGGGTAGACATAAATTAGATAAAAAGGCAAGGCTTTTATTTTGAGCCGTCTCCTCAACCTTATTTTTAATGAGAACCAAATAATTATGGTGGGTTTTCCATAGGTATTAAAGAGGTCAATAACACTAGTTTCAATGTAGTCCAGGAAATACAATTTAGAAAATCAAGTTTCAGGCTTATGACTATGGTTTAAAAAATATGATCCCACTAGTTTCTATTGTTTACATGCCAAATTAATGGAAACATTTGTAGTTTATACCTTTTTTGATTACTAACAGAACACAAAACCCAGAAAAAGAGACATTTTTAAAATGGATCAAAGCAGACTGGGCCGCAGGCCATGGGGCCCGCGCCCGCCTGGAGGGATGGGGCTGCCCAGCACCTAAGGGCTGGGCCTGCTGCGTTTCATGCCCCAGCAGCCGCGCCCCACATCCACGCTGGGATGGTGAACCTAGCAGCCATGGTGTGGCGCCGGCTTCTGCGGAAGAGGTGGGTTCTCGTCCTGGTCTTTGGGCTGTCGCTTGTCTACTTCCTCAGCACCACCTCCAGGCAGGAGGAGAGGGCAGTGAGAGAGAGGAATCCCCTGCAGGTTCAAGACCATGATCAGCCCATCCCGTGGAAAGTGTAGTTTAACTTGGGCAATAGCAGTCGTCCCAGCAATCAGTGCCACAACTCCATTCAAGGGAAACACCTCATCACGGATGAACTCAGCTACGTTTGTGAGAGGAAGGATTTGCTGGTGAATGGCTGCTGTAACGTCAACGTCCCTAGCACAAAGCAGTACTGCTGCGATGGCTGCTGGCCAAATGGCTGCTGAGTACTGTGTCTCCTGCTGCCTGCAGCCCAGCAAGCAACTTCTCCTGGAGCACTTCCTCAATCAAGCAGCTGTGGCATTCCAGAACCTCTCCATGGCAGTCAAAGATCACTTGGAATTGTGCCTGGTCAAATGCAGGACCTCATCCCAGAGACTGCAGCATGAGAACACCTACTGGGACCCCATAGCAAAGTACTCCTACTGAGAAAGCCTGCCAGAGCTCTTCCCTGCATGACAGGCCAGTGGACTTACTCCAGCCTGGGTGAGGAGGCCCCACTGAAGAACTCCCCTCCTGGGGCCCAGCTTCAGCACTCAGGCCAGGCCGTGGGAAGAAGACAAAGGCAGCGTTAGGAAACCTTGGCTTTGACCACTTCTTGTGTTGTCATCTTTGGCTTCATTCACGACCTGGGCTTACCAGATAGAACTCTTCTGTAAAGCAGCTTGGACCCTCCAGCTGGTCCCATTTGGGAAAGATGAAACCGCAGGCCAGGCTCATGGCAGTGTTGGCGTTCTTGCATGACTCCACCCTGAGACCTGCACAGGGACCTGTGACTTGTGTTCGTTGGGGACTGGTGTCACTTCTAGGTTTGATCCAGGGCTTTTCACTGTAAAATTATTTATTGGATTCCTTTGGAGTAGTGGGAAAATTATAATGTTTTATGTAGGAAAATGCCTTGCCCTTCTAGTTGAATATGTTCAAGGAAATTATTTTTGTTGTTGTTCTGTGTTTTCAAGTTTCACGAGTTAAGTCATCCCTTCACCCAGATAAAATGTTTTGTCTTTTAGGACATGGATGTTCTCTCTAGGCAGTTATTTTTGTTTGTATTTCGACAGTATCAAGCGTAGGCCCTGAACATAACCTGTTAGCCATATCCTGATGTCTAAAATTATCTAAAAACTCAGACACTCTTCCATTCTAATCTAACTGCAAGATTTCTAGCAGTGGGCACTGTGTGTCCTCCCTCAGTTTCTTTTCTAGTGACAGTTGAATGTGCTCATATACCCTATGGAGAGCACTGTTTTAGTAGAAATCTAACTTCTCATCCTGGAGAAATTTTCTTTTGCCACTTAAAATTAACTGTGGGCTGCTAAGCCAGGGTACAATGGGAGCCTCAGGAAGATCAGAGGCAACTTCTTCTGTTCTGTCAATAGAAACCCAATGTTGAGGCAATTCCTAAACAGAGATGTACCTAACAGCTTGCTGTATGTGTTCATTCTTTATTGCTTTCAGCTTTGGGGGCGCAATAGGTATAAATGTTTAGTTTCCCTATTATTTGCAAGGAAGAAGAAGAAACCCAACTTATTAGAGTGCTGCAAGAGAAGAGTCTTACTCCTACCCTGAGTGGGAGATGAGAATGGTCATTATGGCTTAGAGAATGCTGCATGTGTAGGTTGCTGGTGTGCCCTGAATCCACGTGCATAAAGCACTCCCCATTTTTCTACTGTAATGCAGATTCTCTGATTCAAGGTCTAGCATATTTGATCCTAAGATCAAGACATCATTCCCTTTGAATAGTACTGCTCTTTGATTTCAGTAGTCACATTAACACAACTCTCCTATATTCCTTCACTAACCTCAGGATTGAGCAAGGTCTTTTTTATTTATTTTTTTTTGTTGAAATTATTGACCTGGGAGCAGGGTGCTAGTTCTATGGTCAGAATTCAATATTTTTTTTTTCAGTGGAGCTTTTTCTTTGGGCATATTTGTCTTCCAATACATTTCTGCAATATTTCCTTAACTTCCTACTACTACCTCTTATACTCATCTCCCAAAATAATTTGCCTCCCTTAAATAAGTTTTCTTAGATGGTAAGTTGTCAGGCAATTTTAAAAATATTAGATCTCAAGAAATCTATTCCATTTGCATTAAACATTTCAGATTCTGTGTGTTTGCAGCAGGACTAAATCAAACTCTGACGTGAAAAAATAAAAATAAAAAAATGGATCAAATTTACAATCTGTATATTAAATGTATAAGAAAGTTAAAAGGCAATTTGACAAAGATATGAATTTTCTTGATTACCTATAGGGAAGAACTTTGGGTAGGAGAAAGTAAAAGAAAAGTGATAGAAATTAAACTGGCTGGGTGCAGTGGCTCACACCTGTAATCCCAGCACTTTGGGAGGCCTGAGGTTGGGAGTTTGAGACCAGCCTGACCAACATAGAGAAACCTGTCTCTACTAAAAATACAAAATTAGCCGGGTATGGTGGTGCATGCCTGTAATCCCAGCTACTCGGGAGGCTGAGGCAGGAGAATCCCTTGAACCCAGGAGGCAGAGGTTGTGGTGAGCTGAGATGGCACCATTGCACTCCAGCCTGGGCAACAAGAGCGAAACTCCGTCTCCAAAAAAAAAAAGAAGGAATTAAACAATTAAAATTATTAGCTATAAATGGTGAAAGAAGGTTTTATCTAAAGGAATTTCAAAGAGAAGACTCATCCTCTACATAATGAATGGAAAGAACTTGTGCATTACCAAGATGAAATATTGCTGTGGTTTGGTTATGATTTATTTTTCTTCAGCAAAATGCATATTGAAATTTTATCCCTAATGTGGTGGTGTTGGGCCTAGTGGGAGGTGTTTGGGTCATAAGGGTGGATCCCTCATGAATAGATTAATGCCCTCCCTGGGAAGGGGGGTGCATTCTCACTCTATTAGTTGTTAAAAAGAGCCTGGCCGGGCTTGGTGGCTCATGCTTGTGATCCCAGCACTTTGGGAGGCCGAGGCTGGTGGGTCACGAGGTCAGGAGATTGAGACCATTCTGGCCAACATGAAACCCCGTCTCTACTAAAAATACAAAAATTAGCTGGGTGTGGTGGCATGTGCCTGTAATCCCAGCTACTCGGGAGGCTGAGGCAGGAGAATCACTTGAACCAGGGAGTCAGAGGTTGCAGTGAGCCAAGATCGCGCCACAGCACACCAGCCTGGTGACAGTGGGAGACTCCATATCAAAAAAAAAAAAAAAAAAAAAAAAAAAAAAAAAAGCCTGACACCTCCCCTCTCCTCTTGCTTCCTCTCTCACCATATGATCTCTGCCTACACTGGCTCCCCTTCACCTTCTGCCATGAGTGGAAGCAGCTTGAGGCTCTTACCAGATGCAAATACTCAATCTTGAATTTTCCAGCCTTCGGAATTGTAAGTCAAATAAACCTTTTTTCTTTATAAATTACTTAGTCTTAGGTATTCCTTTATAGCAACATAAAATGGACTAAGACAAGTATATACAAAAAAAAAAAAAATCCACATTAGCGTGAAAACATTCTGTACTCCTAAAAGGAAGCTGCCTTTAGAGAGGTGCTGGGTTTAATTCAACTCCTTGAACATGGGGGTTTTCCTAAAACTAGTATGTACTGATGTAGGCTGCTGTGGTCAGATGGTCTATCCAAAGCAGAAAGTGGCAACGTAATATGAAGGGTTCTGGTTAGAAGTATCTTCTACTAGTGTTGTTGAGGTGTTCTTAGCATCCACATTTGTTTTCTGCGGATGGCCATGCAATGATCCTGATACAGCAGTTTTAAAACTTGCATTTTAGTTTTAAAGACTTATAAAAAGATCTTTGGCATGACATATTCATTTTATGATTGGTTTTATTATTAATTTTAATTCTTGTTGTTATGCAGATTTTGTGTCTCTTGGATTCCAAGCACTCCAAATAATATCTATCCTTGCCATCTCTTCCAGTGGCTGGGATACTTTTCATCAGACAAGCACTAACAACCACAACATCAAAAGAAGATACTATGAGTGAAGATGATTTTTATATACAAAACTCTATAGAAAAAGGCATATTAACTATCTGCCAAACAGAGGAAGAAATATTTGGTTTGCTTGCAGGGTGAGTACCAAGGACAGCATCTTGAGCTGGAGTTTGGCTGAATAGTACACAGGTTACTCTGTAAATCAAGTGACTCCTACAGATTAACAATTATTAATTTCTGTTTTGGTTTGCATGTTTGTCCTCTGGCAGTCCACATGGCTCAATACAAAATAGTGATATTTCATTTTCCTCCTTTTATTTCTTCTTGTACTGCAGGCCAGTAATTATGCTCATGTTCTACATGTCACACGGAGATACATGGAAGAGAAAAGGGCAGAGATCTAGGAGAATGATTAGAGGCGTATTCTCCAGTTTAAATGTAAAAATATTTTCCCTCTGAGAAAATGAGGAGGAGAGACTGTTTTTGTCCTGGGGGAAAGGGCATGCTGATGAGCAGTGATGGATACCTGCAGCAAAGTGGGAGCAGATAATAATCTTCTCAGTTTGGACCTGTCACCAAGTGAAAGAATGTGATCACCTGTAATGCTACTGAGGGGACCTTACCTACAAAATATATTTCCCACTCTCTGAAATGAGGGGTTTTTGTCATTTTAATGAGGACACCAAGTCTTTCCTTTCACAGACTTAATATTAATTGGGCCCATTTCTGAAGCTGAAGTTCTTTGTACATTGCCAGAACATTGAAAAGTTCAATATTACCTTTTAATAATATGTTTGAGTAGGTGAATCCATCAGTCCTGATACTAAAGAGCATAGTACAGTGAATGTATTCATATCCTGCCATCATTAGTTCTTGGCTTCTCCTTTTTGGCTATTTCCTATGTGGGGAAAATGTTTCTCTTTATGACAATTGTTCCTCAGATCTGAAGGCTGCCAGTTCATCATGGCAATATGAAAGTATGAAGGCAGCTGTGAACTCCTCTTTTTAGCGGAGCCACTAACAGCAAAATCCCAGACATGTTTCTGTACAACAAAAGATCAAAAATGATTTTGTGCCATTAAAAAATTAGTGCCTGAGTCTCTTCAATGGTACAAAGAAAACAAGAAAAAAAAATTAGTAGAAGTAAATTCAGGGAGTCAGCCACCCTTTTAAAGCTTAATTACAGGAGATGCTAAAAATGTTACAAAATTATGGAAGGAAGAATGGGTAACATTTCTCTCAAGGCTAATAAGAAAGTTTGAGCTGAGGTGATTCACAAAGGGAAAAAGCTAAAAAGAACAAAGAGTGGGAAGAAAGAGCAGGAAATGATATGAATAAGACCTATTGGGGTGGCTGCAGGTCAGCTCAGGCAAAAAATCTCAAGTGGGTTTCCTGACCTCACAATGCCTTGCTTTCCCTTGCCTCTACAGGTTATTGTCACCATTCCAACCAGGCTTCTGTCAGCATGGATGCACCTGGAACCTCATTGTTACCCCTCTTACATCTCTAAATTCCCATCTCAAACACAGAATCCTCATCTACCATTTTCCTCACTGCCTCTCATCACCCCAAGACTGCTCTCTTTCCTTGCTGGGATCTTTAATCTCACGGAGTGGCCAAGTTCACTAAGCTAGTTCATTAGCTGCTTTCTGGCTGAATAGATCCCAGTGCAACCTCCTCAGTGCCTTGTATTGCTTCAGCTTCCTGAAAACCTCTGGCCAGGCTTACCATGCCAATCCCCAACTCACAGTCACTTGACTCCACTCTCTCTTATCCTGGGCCACAGAGAACTCTTATAGGAAGTTGCAGAGCTAGGCAGCTACATCAATACACACTCATGTTGGCCCTTGCTGATGGGTCTCTCACCTCTCACTGATTTCTTCCTTCCATACTGCCCATAGCATTTATTCCAAATCGGTTCCCTTCTCCTCGTGGTCTCATTTCCAAATCATTTTTGTGATGAATAAACAATCTCTTAGTATATGGAGAAGCCTGGGCTACCTATATTCTTTCAGCTTCCCCTCTCTTGTCTCAGAGAAAGAGGGCTCTCTCCTCTCTAAAGTAAACGCTACTTGAATATGGATCCCTTCCCTTTCTTCTTTCAAAGATTCCACTTCCATAGTATTCTTTTATTTTCTAGCATCTTCAATCTCATACTCTCCATTGCCTCCTTCCTTTTTATTGAACAACAACAACAACAACAAAAACCCTTAACTTTATCGATTCTAGTTGCCATTTATAATATCCATATTTCCTTTTGCTTAGTACCCAACTTCTTGATCTATGGTCTTTGTTTACTTTATTTTACTAATGTCATGTATTCTGGCCCCTACCTCTATCACTCTACTAAAATAGCTCTTGCCCAGCATTGTTTCTCTCAATTCCGATTTTCTTTGTAACATCTGTTAATGTCAATGACTACTTACTTCTATAAAAACTTTTCTTGGTTTCCACAACCCAATTCGTTTCTAGTTTTCTTCCAGCCTCTCAGAACTGCTTTTTTCTAACTCCTCTGCAAACTCCTCTTTCTTTCCTTCTCCCTTATTGTGGATAGTCCCCCAAATTCTGTATCCAACCTTTTGCTCTTCTTTCACTTGTCTTTCATATTCATTTAATAATTTTCTCAGGGCTTCAGCCGATACCTCTACACTACCATCTACTATTCCTTCTAGTTTCTTCAACTCTAATTTGAATACAAACCCCTTCTGCCCATTTCTCAATGATCTACTATCTGCAGTTCATCTCATCATATTCCGCAAATCAGTCCCATCCATCAGTCCATTTCTGTCAGTTCTACTGTTATGGTTTGAATTGTGTCCTCTCAAAAAAGATATGTTGAAGCTCTCAGAATCTGGCTTATTTGGAAACAGGTTCTTTACGAGGTAGTCAAATTACAATGAGGTCATTATGATGGGTCCTAACTTGATATGATTGGTATCCTTATTGACAGAGGAAATTTGGACATAGAAACAGGCATGCACACAGGGAGAACACCATGTAAACATGAAGACAGAGATTGGGATGATGCATCTACCAGACAAGGAACATCAAAGATTGCTGGAAAATGACCAGAAACTAGGAGACAGGAATGCAATAGATTCTCCCTCACAAGGAACTAACCCTACTGAAATCTTGATCTCAGACTTCTAGCTTCCAGAACTGTGAGACAATACATTTCCGTCATTTAAGCCACCCACTTTGTGGTACTTTGTTATGACATCTCTAGTGAACCAATACAATCAACAGGTCTCCAGTCTCTCAGACTAGAAAACACAGACTCATTCCTGGCTTTTTCCTTTTCTTAATCATCTGTATCCAATCTGGCACTAAAGACTTAGGTATATTCCTCGAAAATGACTCCTAGCATCTTTAATCTCATTCAATCCATTGCCTCCTTTTCTTCTACCATTTTTGTCTCAGTTCCTCTTGCCTTCACTCCGGTCCCACCCTTCAGCATTTTACATCTCACTTCCTGTAAAAGTATCTGGTTAGACTCTCTTAATTGAAGATTATCTTTTAAAATGTATAATTCATGTTGCTTTCATCATATTAGCGCCACAGACAAGATGTGCTTATAGTGGCATATTGCTTACTATGCGAAATCTAAGGTTGGCATACATAGCCCTCCATAATTTGGACCCATCTACTCTACTCAGTCTTTTGTCCCCTATATACATCATGCTTATTTCCCACTTTGAGCCCCGACCCTTTTACTCCCTCCCTTCCCCCCACCATCAAGATGCTTTCTTATCTTCCTATCATCTAAATCTGTTCATCTTTCAAGGCCCTGATCAATTTTTCACTGACTGTGACAACTCTGGCCCACACCTGATATCTCTTGCCCTGCTGCATTCTAATCAGTACCTTCCATGTTAGCAGCAAGTGGTATTTCTAAAATTTTGTGTGGATTTACACATATTTATATCTCTATCTCCATCAGCTTATAGGACATAGTGCTTGTTAATTAATTGGCCAAACTCTTGAAGTGGAAATAATGGAAAATAAGAGGTGGGGAAGGAAGAAGGAGATTAGATTAATATTAAGGGAACAGAAAACTTTGGCCAGAACAATGAAGGAGAATTAGTCTAAGTCCATGTTTTCCAAATGTGCTTCCTGGACCACCAGCATCGAAATCATTTAGGATGGCTGATAAAATGCAGATTCCTCAGCCCTATTACAGACCTATTGGATCAGATTCTGCAGCTTAGACATCTGAATTTGTAAAGGTAACCCAAATGATTCTTCAGTATACCAAGTCTGAGAACCACTAGTCTAAGTAAACAGAGCAGAAGATGGGTGCTGAAAGGGAAGAGCTTTTCTTATGTTTACTGGGTACAGTACTTTCCATCATGGCTAACAAGATAATGAAATAATTTTACACTATCATGATTTGCTTTGATGTGATTGTCCCTCTTCAATAGATTGCTTTGTGTACATCAGTCCTTTCTTCCATGGCAAGAGTATTTAAAGTACTGCATCACAAATATGGGCTGGCTAATATAGAGTCTCTCAAATAACAGAAATTTTGTGGCACTCCAAGGAAAGATAACTGAGACTTCTAGGCTGGTTTTACTTTCTTCAGGAAGTAAAATCTAACCAGAAACATACCATAGGTTCCTACAATTCAAGTTTGGTAGCATGGACAGAGGGAAAAAAAAAAAACAACAACAACAACTCTGAGATCTCGTTGCTTAAGCTTTTAATTGGAACCAAATGATAGCTAAAACATGTAGCCACTTTAGATAAAAACTGAAGACCTTTTCACTGGCTCACAATGAGCGGGATTTCTGCAGTTGAGTACTACAGAAGTGAGATAACAGAATTAGATACAATCGAGGGGAAGAAAAATGCACAGAAGTCCTTGAATTAAAATGAATTGAAACCTTCTGGGAGAAAAGCTATTTGGTAAGCTCCATTAAGTCTATTGTAGATAGCTTTATTTGCCAAAGCAGCATCCTGGCATGTGGAACAGGAAAGAAAATAGCTATAAGATGATCTGTCAGGGAGTTTCCAGTCTCTAAACGAATAAGATTCTGTGCAGTAGCCAATACAGCTTTTAACTCAAAAGAGACACAGAAGCAAAATGCAATTATATAACTCTAGTAAGTGCATTCAATCTGAGTCTCCCATATACCCCTCTCCTCCTCCAATAACTCCACAAACTCAGCAATTTATCAAGTGGATGCTTAAACTTATGGCAGCATTTATTTCATGGTAACACTGACTAAATACTGTGTACAATACTGTAGATACTGAGGTGTAAACAATCATACAAGTGAAAGATTAATCAGCTATAAAACATCCTAGCTAAGCACTTAAATAATTTGAATAGTTCAATTCTTATTCAACTCTGTGTTTATTTTGGCTATAAGTTTACAGTATTTATTTGCAGTAATTAGTTGACTATCCTGAAAATGCTAGCTAACCACTGATTACAAAGGGTTTATTCAATATAGATAGCAGTTTGTATGTTTAGGGTTCAAACATATGGCAAAAATAGAAAAAATTCAGATGTAATAGCTAATAAATATCTTTTTCAAAGTCTGACTTGATGTTTTTCTTTCCTTCAGAGTTTCTGTTCATGGAGTGAAAATTCTAAGACCACTCAAGTGGCTATAGAGCTGCTGACTTCACTATACAAGCACTGGAACCAGGAAATTCAGATTTGAATTACAATCTCTCTCTCTCTGTCTCTTTTACACACACACACGCACACACACGTACACACACACAGCAGGAACAGTATACAACTATATCTCCAATCTCTAGTATAGTGCTTAGCATGTAATAGTTATTAAATAAATGAACTCATTTAACCATCACAAAATCCCTGTTAGATGTTTTTTTGTTTGTTTGTTTTGAGGCAGAGTTTTGGTCTTGTTGCCCAGGCTGGAGTGCAATGGTGCGACCTCTGCTCACTGCAATGTCTGCCTCCCAGGTTCAAGGGATTCTTCTGCCTCAGCCTCCCGAGTAGCTGGGATAACAGGCATGCACTACCACACCCAGCTAATTTTTTGTATTTTTAGTAGCGATGGGGTTTCGCCATTTTGGTCAGGCTGGTCTCGAACTCCTGACCTCAGGTGATCCCCACCCACCTCGGCCTCCCAAAGTGCTGAGATTACAGGCGTGAGCCACAGCGCCTGGCTGTTAAATGGTTTTTATAATGTACTCCTTACAAGTGTGGAAGCTGAGGCTCAGTGGGGAAGAAGTCCCTCCTAGGTCAAGAAGGACAGAGTTCGGACTAGAACTCAGGTGTTTCAACTTTAGGTCCAGTGGCTTTTCCACTGTACCTTCCTGTAATCTGACTCCTAAGATTGTCTGGAATGGTTTGCCTAAAAAGAGTAGTCTTCTGGATATTTTATTATCTGCAATGGTAATTCTCCCATCCAAGATAGTTTATTATGAAATTGAAGAGGAGGGTATTATCTGTTGTTCAAAAAGTTTGCCCTATGGGTCCCACTAAGGACCTGTAACACGGCCTCTGTCTCAGAGTGAGGTTCTGACTATACTAGGTTACAGCTGCTTAAATGCCCAGCGCTTTTTGGAAAAGAAAGTCCACTTTTAATTAGGCACTTCAATGCAAGGTATGGATAAGTGAAAACCACAGAAAATCCTGTAGCCACAGAGCTGATAATCAGCCAGTATGTACACATATGGCCTTGCCACTTATTTCTAGCTGGTATCCAGGCTGATAGGTTGATGGCCATACCTTACTGGGTATTAAAAGTTTGAAAATATCATGTCTGCAAGTACATGTTTATTAAATAAAGAAAACAGAATTATCTTTACCTGATTCCTCAGTTTCTTTTGTTTCTGTCATTTCTTCTATTTCATCATCAGACATTTCCATTTCTTCTTCTCGCCTGATTCCCATTAATTCATCATTATGAATGTTGCGAATTTCCTAAGGTTAAAAAGTATGCTTTTTAGGTGGGAATTCCTTGAAAATGTTGAGGAAATGAATGGAGTTAAGGATAAGATAAAGCAGCATTTTTTTTTGACATATTAGGAAAAAAATCCTCCAAATACTCTTAAGGCAAAGAGGCATGTTGAAAGTAAAACAGTCTCAGACAAAGCAGACTTGGTTATACTCTGTCTTGCATTAGGCTTTCTTTCCAGACCCAGAGCTCCAGGAGTCTATGATTCTTATATTCCTATCATATTAGACAGTATTTTTGGCCATGAAAGACATTTTACCTCTTACATGGATTTGTGGACTTTCCCTTAAGGGTTCTGCCATTTTCACCTCCCCACGTTGGACCCTTTAATTTTGCTGCTTGCCATTCTCTTCTCTGTCTTTTTATAGTTTTACTCAACATAACTCTTAATTGAGTTTTTGTAGTTTTAGAAGTTACAGCAAAGATGAGCTTTCAGGAGTAATATTCTACCAGACCAACCTTCCCATGGATAATAACTATAATCTTTGGACAAAACACAAAACAAAACCCATTAACTACTTGATGACATTGGAGAGTGAACAAAAGCAGACATATTCTGAAGAGAAGCTGACACTTGGAAGAAAGGAATAGCATAGGGTGAGTCTCTCAGTTTTTAAAGGGCAATTTAGTCTGAGGTAGACCAGAGTTAGCACCTCATAAGATGGCTAAATTTCTAATAGAAAGCCCATAGTCTTTATGGCCTAAAGAACTCAAGGAGAGTTCACGGCAGTTACAGCCACTGGAAAGTAAGAAGGGAATCCCAGAAAGGAGACAATAGAGGCAGGGGGAAAGAACTTTAAATTCTGTATATAAGATCTGCTCAAATGTCTGCATGAGACCCAAGCCAAGAAAGCACAAGGAAGATTCCCAACAGCACAGCTAAGGCTAAAATAACTGAAATGACAACTGAGCTGGCCATCCAAGAGATAGAATTCCCAGCTTGAATCCAACTAAGTAAATTGACCGTTACGACAAACGAAAACAAAGTCAACATTCTTTGAAAGAACATAGCATAATCCAGAGTCTTCACAACATAATATCTGTAATATCTAGGATAAAGCCCAAAATTACTTGACATAGAAAAACTAGGAAGATATGGCCCATTTCCGAAAGAAAGGACAATTAACAGAGACCAACACTGAAATCACCTAGATGTGGTAATTTAACAGACAAGAAACTAAAGCAGCTATTAATATAACTGTGCTCATGATGTAAAGAAAATATGTTTATAATGAATGAAAAGATAGAAAATCTCAGCAGAGGAATAGAAACATTTAAAAGGAGCCAAGAGTTCTTTTGTCTGAAAATAAAAAGAACCAAGGATTCTTTTGCCTGGAAATAAAAAGAACCAAGCATTCTTTAAAAAAAATCTCTATTCCTCTGCTGAGATTTCCTATCTTTTCATTCATTATGAGCATATTTCTTTTACATCACTGAGAATCGTTATAATAGCTGCTTTATAATCTCGTCTGATAACTACCATATCTGGGTGATTCTACAGCTAGAAAATGATACCTGAAATAAAAATAACCAGACGAGCCTAAAAGTAGAATAGAGATGACAGAATAATGAGAGAACTTAAAGAGAGAGAAAAACAAATGTATCCAATCTGAAGAACACAGAGAAAGATAAATATTTTTAAAAAACAGA
The DNA here is from genome assembly GCF_000001405.40 of Homo sapiens. NCBI lineage: Eukaryota > Metazoa > Chordata > Mammalia > Primates > Hominidae > Homo > Homo sapiens. The sequence continues at coordinate 130,658,380 of NC_000023.11, forward strand.
GCCTTGGGACCTTGTGAGATTACAAAGATCTAAGATACATGTAAATAAAATTGCAGAAAAAGAGGAGAAAGAAAATAATTTTAAAAGATTTGAAGAAATAAGGGTTGGCAATTTCTGAAATTTGATGAAAGACATTAATCTACATATTCAAAGAGCTCAGTGAACCCCAAGCAGGATATGTGTGAAAAAAGTACATCATATTAAAACAGCAGAAAGCTAAAGATAAACTCTGGAAAGCAGCCAGAGAAAAGCAATACATTATACAGAGGGGAACAACAATTTGAATACTTTGACTTCCTTCAGAAACAATTTAAGGCCAGAAGTCAGTGAAATAATATATTTAAAGTTCATGAAGAAATACAAATATCCATTTATTCAGAATTCTGTATTCAGAGGCAAATTCTCTCAAGAATAAAGCTGAGGTATATTTTCAGACAAAATTAAATGCAAGAATTCATCACCAATAGACTTGCGCTATAGAAATATGCTATAGAAAATGCTGAAGAAAGTTCTTCAGGCTGAAGGGAAGTGCTAATGGATATAAACACAGACCTTCAGGAAGGCATGAAGAACACTGAAAATGATTAAGATCCCATGATAAAAGTCACTTTAAAAAGGTAAGCACAACAACTGTGCATTTTGAAGCAGCTTGCAATCATTTAGAGGCCAATTAATGCCTGTCAGAGGCTTGTCAGCACTGAACTGAGAATTCCTTGCTTGGATTAGCCTGTACTGGGCTGTACACAGGAAATATCCGAAGTTGTCTGTGAAAATTGCCTCCATTTAGGGGAATTATATGTGTTTCAAATGGATTTTTAAATAATTAATGGTGTAGTCATTATCACAACCAACATCCTCCTTTTTATTCATTTTATCAGGAAAAATAATGATTTCTATCTCAAGTTAAGTTTTCACTAAAAATAAATAAAAGACTCTTTTTTTAAAAAGTGAGCTATTTAGTATCATCACTGATAGTTAAGAATAGAAAAAGAAGATGCTAACATAGACTCTCCCATGTGCTTCAGGGGCATTACTTAAAATAGAAAAAAATAATGACTTGCTTGAGAAAAATGAACTTTAAAGGGCTGTGTCAAGAGAGACTTGCTATGTCTTATTCAAACTTATTACACAGAGAACAATAAAGGAATTTCTCATTTCTGAGAATTCATTCTATCTCAGGAGTCTGATTTTCAGTTATCATCAAAGAGCTGTTACCGGAAAGGTGATTATAATGAAGTTTGACATTGGCAAATTCGAATATTGTACAACTTACCGCATTAGGAAAAGTCATGGCTTTCTAGTTGCCTAACAAAAATGTAGACTATTGGAGAGTATAAGCAGAGACCAACTCTCAATTCACAAACATGTCACATAACCCTGAGAAAGTTATTGTGTTTCTCAGAAGAGTAAAATATGTTCCTTCTAGGGAAATGTCCCAGGGCAGGAATATCTGAGAGCTAAGACATGTCCTCTAGCTTTTCAGCATCCACAAAACATCTTTCTTCTTCCAGCTGGGCAAAAAAGTGTAATCTCTTCTTAGAAACATAAAAAGTTAAAAAAATATGTGATACAGCTTATCTAGTCTTTCACATCTTCAAAAATCCCTGGAAATATAACAGACCTATGAACAAATTTTACCTAAATGTTTCAAAGTACTTCAGGAATAAGAATCACCAGTTGCTTTAACTGATAATAAAGTAAGGGTAAGAAAAACTAAGGGGTATGTTTCCCTAAGTGGTTCAGTCAGGCAGGCAAACTGGCAGAGCTCAGAGCCCCCTACCCACTAGACAATCCTTTCTAGCTACAAAGAAACTCAGGCTCATATTATTATTCTTCTATAAATACCCAATACTATATCACACGAATGAGATAAAAGGTAAAGAGAGCAGCAGAGGTTATGGAGTACTATACTAAAGTAAGCTTATGGGGAACATTTAGTAAGTGACAGTACTCCTAAAAATAAGGAGTGAGGTTTTAATTCTTTGAAAATCTTTCCCTTAAAGCACTTGATGTCTGAGCTACTTGTCTTCTGTATTCTCCGGTTGGATCAGAAAAGCTCTACTTTGGGAAGGAAACCCTAACAAATACCTTCAGAGTGAAGGGCTGAAAGGTGACATGAACCCCAGGAAGGCATTCTACCTAGTTTGGACATAGGTGCAGGCAGGGGAAAAACTCTGAGCCACTGAAGAGCAGACAGCAAAGGAAATAGCTGTCTCCCAGATTTGCCCCATTTTCCATCCTGGCATTTTGAATCCAGTGCTGAAACCAAAAGAATGGTGATGGCATGTGGAAACATTTTTCAGCAATTTGCATTTGTAAATCTCTACCTGAAATTGACTGGGTCACATCACTGGTAGACTACAACAAAAAAGGTAAGATATCCCTCCTAAAGTTTTTATACCATTCTCCTGCCCACAGTAGATCTGTGATATTTTTCATTTCAACAATGAACTGTTAGTGATTTCTGGAAACACATTATAATGACTGAGTCTGATCTAATGATAACTTTTTCTGAAGCTTAGAAATTCACACACTACTCTATAATGGGGAACAATGTACTTTCATATAGAATAAAACTGAAATCGGAGACAGGAAAATACATGAAAAGAACCACTTCTGTGCCAGCTGACATTTTTGATTTATCATAAAGTAAGCAAATCATAAATTGTTACACATTAATTATCTAACTATAGTTTCACAAAAATGTATGTGGATTTAAATTAATCTTATTCATGTTTTATGATAGGAACATGATTACCAGACAAATCAGTTTCTTAATAAATGTGTAACAAAATTCTACTTAGCCAGAGTTTCTTTTTTTTTTTTTTTAACAGGGTCTTGCTCTGTTGCCCAGGCTGGAGTGCAGTGGTGTGATCATGGCTCACTACAGCCTTGACCTACTGGGCTCAAGCTATCTTCCCACCTCAGCCTCCCAAGTAGCTGGGAACACAGGTGTGGGCCACCACACCTGGCTAATTTTTGTATTTTTGGTAGAGATGGGGTTTTACCATGTTGCCCAAGCTGGTCTCGAACTCCTGAACTCAAGCAATCTGCCTGTGTCAGCCTCCCAAAGTACTGAGATTACAGGCATGAGCCACCATGCCCAGCCTAAGACTTTCAACATTAAGAGGAAAATTGGTGGAGAAGAGATCAGACAAGGGAATGGAAAGCAGAGGATAGGGAGATAGCTTCTACACTTATGTAGAAATTTGATTCTGAGATATCATTTAATATAATGAAGCAAAGTACAAACTCAGGTTCTTAATTAATGTCTATTATATGATACATAGTGGAAATACAAATTAGGTTTATCCAAATTGTGTTAGTATGTTTTTTGATGGCTGAAGGCCAACAGCCGGTGTTAGTGCAGATAGGTCCTAAACCAAGGGTATGCAGATTATTTGAATATCTATCTGCAAACAGTTCTTCAGAGTTTGGAATGGTAGGCCTGTAATTCTATAAAGAAAGTTATTTTAGCAATCACAGTATTTCATTTTACAAGAATACTAGTAATCACCAAGTCCCTTTTCCTCTAGCCCCATGGTGTAAAACCGCATCTGAGGGAGGATATAAGAGGATATCTCCTAGGGCTTATTGTTATGGCTCTAGTTTTTACACATTATCAAAGCTTTAGCTTTGAATCTAGGCCAGCTAGAGAGAAACACATAGGTTTTAAGTGATTCTGTAGAAAAAGAGTTCCCACAACACACAGAACTGCCAGTAAAGTCACTATAGACACCAACTTTTAGTAAGGGGAGGGACTTCATTCAGCCTTCTCCTAATACCGTTTTCAGTTGTATTAGCAGGGACCTCACACACATATAAATCAGGAACGTAAAGCAATGAAAAAGACTCATTAGCAAACTAGTTTGCTTGACATATGCTACCAAAGTCAGTGTCTAAGCTCCCCAAAGGCGGAAACTTTTTCTTCATACTCCACATCCTTTCTCTCAGCAGAGTAAGACCGTGTTGGCTGCTGGTAGAAGGATGACAATGAGACAAGGAACAGGCACTTTGTGACATGAGGAGGTCATTGGTTGACTTGTTCTCAGATGCAACTGGTAAAAAGGTTGAACGTCAGAAACTCACTTTGATGAAACCCTTGGCTTATGAGTTCTATGTAGCTTGGATGCCTAGGTCAAAAATAAGGCAGCCTAGTTGATTAAGTTTTTGAGATGTTCTGATTTTCAAGGGGTGCTAAGAGGCAGCCACAATTTAAGAGGATGGTTTATTTATTTCTCACAGGATACCTCCTTTCAGTCCTCACAGTTGCCTGCTATCAAGTAAAAGTTTGCAGAGGTAAAAAAAAACAAGGACAAAAATAAAAACAAAAACAATGACTTAAAGAGGCACCAATATAAAGTGAAAGAGATCTTTTAGGTTTAGGGAATGCAATACCAGAGAAAGGTTATGAGCTATGTCCCACTTTCAGCTGGTGTAGTACTGAACAAGATTTGAGATATTCAAGGTGGACCTTAATTTAATTCAATCAAACAAGCGGGAAGGATTTTTTGGGGTTTCTACAGTCTACAAGGCACAGCATGAAACATGTAGCTCCTGGAAAGTCATGCTGGTCATGTACTTTATCATCACCACTCTGCCAAGGAAGTTTTGTTACAATATTGGGCAATAGGGTGCAAATATCTCAGTTCTCTATAGGTCCTAAGGAGTGTCCAGCTCACTGGTACAGCTATCTCTACTGTGAGTCTAATTAAACTCAAGTATATATCCGCTAGATAAGTAGGCTTGAAATATTAATGGCAAAAACTGCAATTACTTTTGTATCAACCTAATAACTACACAGACCCTTGATGAATATGATTGATGGATAATATTTTATGGCCACATAGTTTGCAAAAGTGTTGTGACGGCCAGGCATGGTGGCTCACGCCTATAATCCTAGCACTTTGGGAGGCCGAGGTGGGCGGATTGCCTGAGCTCGGGAGTTCAAGACCAGCCTGGGCAACATGGTGAAAACCCATCTCTACTAAAATACAAAAAATTAGCCAGGCATGGCGGCGTGTGCCTGTAGTCCCAGCTACTTGGGAGGCTGAGGCAGGAGAATCACTTGAACCCAGGAGGCGGAAGTTGCAATGAGCTGAGATCGCGCCACTGCACTCCAGCCTGGGCGACAGAGCAAGACTCCGTCTCCAAAAAAAAAAAAAAAAAAAAAGTATTGTGACCTAGGCAAATCAGCATTCCAACCAGAGGCTCCCTTCCTCCTGCAAAAAGGCAATGTACTGTCACGGCTTTCCTTAAAGGGTGGGGCCATTCAGTCAACTTCTTCTAACCCAAAGAGGAGTTAGAAGTGTACGTGTATCAAAGGGAAGGTAGAAACTTAATGCCTATTCTGCTTTTCTACAATCATAAGACCTACTGAGCATTTTTCTCTCGACTTTTATTCTTCTGAACTGAAGACTGGATATTTTAAATTTAGCGTGTGAAACTCCCCTCCTCCTCTTGATCACTTTCATTACCCTTCTAACTCCCTGAGGGCAAAGATCATTTCATTCTATGTTGCCTATCATAGTGCTTGAGATGGAGAAAGTGATCAGTAAACATCTGAATCACAAAGTTGAATTTTGTTTGTTGAAGGTGAACAACATGAGGCAGCCCTAGGATTCTAAAACCATTTTGTGCTACAGTAAGATAATAGTTTCCTTTTCTCCCCTAATTCTTTAAAAAACAAGTAAAGATGCTATTGGCTATTTGTGACTCTACCAACCCATTGGATGGCTGTCTTCAGGGATTTCTTTCTAGTGACTCCCAGATCCCTTTGCCGTGCCAGAATTGATGGCTCAGATACTATCAGTTTATAAACAGGATTTGGCTTATTTTCTCCTAAATGCTTTTCATGGTTTTCAAATTGTTCTCACACAAACATATCTCATGTATTCTCGTGAAGGACAGAGAGAAATTACTATCCTTATTTTATAGGTTAAGAAACAAAGATCCACAAAGGTTAAATAACTAGCTCGAGACCACAAAGCATTTTGTACCAGAGCTCACAGTGAGGAGAATAATTTCTAGTCCATTTGCTAGCTTTGTAATTTTGTGTAAATCACTTAACATTTTTACGTTTCAGTTTTCCTGCAGGTAAAATATGAAATCTATACCTACTCACTATCACTTATGAAGCTGTTAATAAAAACTGAAGTAATACTATTTCTATTTTTCAAACTTTTTACACATTTCCTAACTCATCTCATCCTATAAGACTGGTTTCATTATTGTCTCGAATTTACAGGTGAAGAAATAGAGGCTGAGAAAGGCTGAATAACTTGCTCAGTCACACAGCACTAACATGTCAGAGCTGAGATTTGAATTCATGTCTGGCTCTGAGTTCAATACTTTTTTCACTTCACCATGTCTACTGTGAGGCTCACACAGGTGAGATAACCAATGTGAAAGCACTTTATAAATGTAAATATCTTGTAAATGCTATTTAAAAGTTAAGGAATATGACAATTTACATGGATAGATATAATGGGACTGCTACCAGGCTGGCAAAGAGGACCAGAAATGTAGTTGAAAAGTTGCTGCATATATAAATTGAAAATATTGGGACTTGGTAAGGAAGTTGCCCATAGGAATAGGAGGACTTGAGGCATATGTAACAGGATTTTCAATGGCAGATCAGTGAAATCTCCCATCTCAGTTTTTAATCTTTGATGCAGAAGAGCAATCTAATCACATCACATTTATTCTAGTGTTATGCTAAAAATGTCACTTGAGTATAAGCAGAGAGGTGTGTGCCAACCTTAACCTAAGATCAGAGTCCTGTTACCTTTAAAGCTTCCACCTATAAAGATGACTAAATGAATTTGATAAAAGAAGCTCAGAAATTTCAAAGATCCAGTATAACACCAGGCGGCTTCCGTCCTTCACTGTCAAGACACTCTAAAAAATGTAAGACAGCCCTAATATTACTAACACTAGAAGCGCAGGTCAGTAATTATTGTTGTACCCAAGACTAGCTCGCTAAGAGAAGTAAACTTATAATTATCCCAGCTACATTTTCACTACTAAGGTTTCCATCCAGCAGAATGCATTCACCACAGCACAAGCACATTTATTACCCTTTTGACAGCAGGTGGTCTGGACACAGTGACAGGCTATAGAACATATCTTAGTGTTTCATTAGGGCCTTATTGTGACCATGGGAGCTTGGCACTATTTAATTCTGGCTAAACTCCAGATCAATAACTTGTTAACGAAAGAAACTGTCCCCCCAAGGGGCTACCAGAATAAAAAGTTACCAACCTCAGCTTGTTTGCACCACACGCTGATGTTCTTCCGCTGGGCTTTTGTGAAGTGGTCCCATGCCTTCTGCTTGGAGGCGGAATGGTACACAGCCACTATCTGCTCAACTGCAGCATCAAATCAGCAGTTGGATCAGGCCAGGGTATCATCCAGGGATGGAAAAAGAGAGGAGAAAAGAAATGAAATAAAAGAGAAGCATCAGGCTTGTTGTATCTTGTTGTTATGACACTATACTAAGCTGTGGTTGTGCTTGGAAAAGGCTACATGTGTTGGGGTACTTTGATTTTAAAGGAGACGCAAAGGAAAAGACATCAACATACAGAAAGACAAAAGGGAACACCAGAGGTTTGGGGTAAAATGGTAACAACTAGAGTTTTAATACAGGCATTGTGAATTCATGGAGGCAGGAGAGGAAGAGTCATAGCAAATGCACTTTTATTTAGTACTTGTCTTTAGTTTAGTACTAGTGACTCCACACAGCATGGAAGAAAATGGCAAACTGTACCAGAAACTCTCTACCCCTGGCTCCTTTCATAGCCCTCTGACACACACTTGGATGCCTTGCTTCAACAGAATTCATGCTTTTACTATTCTGAGGTATGTTTAACAAGAAGCATCAAATCAAAACCTAAGATGGATTGAATCTTTTTTAAGTCTACCAAGATAGACTCGTTGACTGGAAAAATATAAGTTTTAGGGAAGGATGCTGTGTAAGTGCGGTCCTAGAGAGTATTTTTCAAGGTCTCTTAAAATGTCAAACAGGGAAATGTGTGCAGATGTTCTGGGGCTTTATCCTAATCACAGTTCAAGAGAGGGGAAGCTTAGACATGACTCCTTTGGGAAAAGAAAAGCAGGACAAGAGCCCCTGTCTGGTTGGGTGTTCACAGTAAGAAAATCCAGAGGTATTATTTTTTTTTTCTTTACATCCCTGTTTGCACCCTGTCTTCTAATGACTTAAGGATTTATAGTCCCATGATGCGTGCTGCTTTCTCTTTTTAAAAATTTATCCTAAAGTCCTGAAGACATGTGCTTTTGCCTCCTGGATTTTATGCCCATATATACTTTCAAAATACAAGTGGCAAATGGAACAACTCCCCCTTAATCACAATTATGTATGAGTCAAGTACAGGGAAGTCAAGTTTGGAAAGAGTGGACCATAATTGTTTAAAAGCAAAATCATAAAATTATACCCTTATTCTTAAGGTGAATATACTTTCTTACTGAAAAAATAAGAGTGTATAATTTTATAATGTGGTAAACAAAAAATTACTTGATAATTTATCTGATCTGGCTCATTTCAGAGACCTTAGATAGGTTTGGAGCGGAATTTCTTTTTAAAAATGGCCATTTTGGTAGCTTCTCACCTTGTCCCAGTGTCTATGACATCCAGCAAAGGTAGCAGAAGAAAGTAAACTAAATAAAAAATGTAGAAGTAGCAAATTTGATTTTTATCCAATCACCTTGGGAAATATAATTACATTGATCATTGAAATGGAGTTTCTTGAAGGCATATTACATGATGATAATTATACAAATCTGAAGAAAAGCAGCTTTAAAATGCTGATGCTACATCGTAACTTTAGCAATAAAATACCCAGCCCTCTATTGAGGCCCAGGGCTGTAGAAGTATAGGATGTGGCCTAAGGATCAGTGTTTCTAAGGAGTTGAAGTAGATATACCAGAGAAAATGAAGCTAGCAGGTGCGCACATGTCTCCTGTGAAATTGGAGCTTGGGCATTTGACAATATAAGGAGAGCACAAGGCAGTGAAAAAGGGAGCCTTGAGCCTTAACACAGGATGGCTCTGGAGGCCTGAGCTCCCATAGAGAGCAAGTGACTAAGTGAAGTGACTTATTCTCATTCCAGCAGAACTCTAAGTTCCACTCACATTGAATGAGAATTCCAGAAAGGGCCTGCTTGAACTTCTCCTTTGCTTCTTCCATATCTTTCTCATGGGCAGCTTTCTCGTTCACCAGGCGGCGGACATGGCTGTTGGCCGACTGGATCATGGAGTAGAAGTTATTGGCGCTACGACGGTTGACCTCTCCTCGCTCTATCCAGGTAAGCAAGGTCTGTACAGCTTCTGAGAATTTGGAATCATCTGAAAAAAATATATTTTTATAACCAACAAAGGTAACCAAATTTTGATCTATTTTCCCAACATGCTGGCAAAGAGGGCATCATGATTTTTGGCAGTGATGGGTAAATGAATTGCTGAGGATGAGGAGCCACACATACACACATGTGCACACACAGGCAGTAGGCAGGCAGACAAACAGGAAGAATGGAAGGATCAATGTAGTCAGACTGGTTGTGGTCTGTGATGAATTTTCAGAAAGAGAAATGTTTCCTTGAAAAAAGTTTTCTGTACTGATATATAGGTTTCATGTATTGCAAATTTCTTACCCTCTCTGATTGTGTGTGTGTGTGTGTGTGAGAGAGAGAGAGAGAGAGAGAGAAGGGGGAAAGGGGGCAGAGGGGAGACAGAGAGACAGAAAAAACCATGAATTAGTGAGGGAACTTCAGAATTCTACAGTCCTGTGTTTTAATGAGGAAAAGCAAACTTGAATCCTGAGTTTAACTTGAATTTAACAGTAACTTTACCTTGGATCCATGGAATTACAGTGTTGGGAGGAGCCTCAGGGAAGAGTTAATTAAGTAGGTCATTCTTTAGATACAAACATGCACATCTTCGACCTTTTATAGTATCACTCCTGTGTTCAATCCACAGCCCCAGGCCTTCCACTCAGTCCCACTCACAATCTATTTTGATGCAATTTATTTTATTTCTATATTTCTCCACATCCTTTTTTCTCTTGCATGAAGAACCTCCATGTAGATTTCTGCAGCTAGTTAGGAGTTATTCTGTGATTAGTTAAGATAGTAGCACAGCTCTTCCAAAGCTTCTGGTTCAGCTCCCCAAGATAGCCACTTATGCCTTCTGTTCTTAAAGGCTCCAGAGAGGGAGAGTACATTTGGATCTATTGAAGCCCAATTCAAGGGCTTCACATCCTTCTCTGGCTAGAAACCCTTATGTTAAATGGAAATTTCCTTCACTGCAGTTTGAACTTCTTGCCTCTTGCCCCTTTTTCAGTGCAGACATATAACAAGCAGTCAGCCTCCCCTTTATAGCAGCTTTTCACTTTATTACTTAGATATAGACTTTATGTTGATGCTCAGTTTTTGCTTCTCTTGAAGGTCACACACCCATTAAATTCATTTTTTTAAACTTAAACTGATTTGTTTGGTGTTGTGTGACTAGGCAAGTCTTGGACCTGGCGTCTTACCAATGCTTTCAGCCTTTCCAGTTTTTCAAAATGTACCATTATTTCTGTGCCTCTATTCTGGACTCTAGGTTTTCTGCTTTTCCCTTAAAGAAAGTCAAAACCAATTTCTTACATGTGTGAATCCCTTAGGCTATGTGGTACAAACATGTCTGGTGAAGGAGACCTATTTGGAAAGTAGGGTTAGCAGTATCTTGATGAGTTGAGAACACAAGAAGCAGGGAAAATTCATACCATTAGAGCTGGATTGGTGTTACCAATAAGATCAATGGGACACCAGCATTCATCCAATAAAATCATCTATACTCAGAAAATGAGAAAGACTGGATTTGAGCTACTAAGACAGGAGACCAGGCAGAGCAATTAATGTTAAATTAACAAAATGGCTGAGAGTCAAACAAGGGGAACAAGAATCAAAACTAATGGGAAAGCAGTCTGATTAAGCAATGTCTACACGTTTCCACAGTCACTGTTTTAAATAAACTGGCCTTTTAAAGTGATTTAAAAGTCTTTATGTTTTAGTTGGTGGTGGCTAAGTCTTTGAGTCATCTAAGAAGAATGTACAGCATGACTACTTTCTGGACCTCCATTTTCTCATCTTTAAAACAAGAATTTTACCAGAGTTTTTCAGGATCACATCAAATCCTATCATCCTGATTCACTCATTTGACTTGGAATTATAACCTAACTTGTATCCACTATAAAAGAGGGCGCTTACAGGTCCCAAGTCATAGATCATGCCTAAAAGTCTCTGACGTGGAAAGTGAGGAAAACTTGTTTATTTCTAGTCACCTGATGTCTGAAGAGAAAAATGCCATCCCTTGAGACAATGAAGGAGCAGACACAGGTAGTAGGGATAAATTTCCTGGTTCTTGAGTTACTAGGTACACCTCTCTATCTGCAAGGCTCCAACACAAGAAATGCTTAGAATCCATTAGTAGGAAACTCAAAGTGTAACTGTCAACAATGCAATTATATTTATGACACTTCTCTAAAGAAAAGAGTTCTTTTAATCATGAAGCTTGAGTGCCTTTGATACCTTTTAATTTTTCAGCAACAATGCTGCATTCATGATCTGAATAGTGGACCACTGGGGGTGGAGATGGTGGACGCAATCTTTCTTCTTCCATTCTTCTACGATGGCGCTCCTCTCTGGCTAGCATACGCTGTTTACACTCCCACTCATACAGGTCATCTCGAGCCTGTGCGAAATCAACGTGGAGTCTGCCTGTGTCCTTCTTGTCAGTACTAGAGCCCAGGCGAATGCGGTAACCTAAGTCCACAGGAGGGTGAAAGGGAGAGGAGAGAGGGAGAGAAGGAGAGAAGTAGAGGGAGAGAGAGACAGAGACAGAGAGAGAGAGAGACATGAAAGACTATACATACTTTTCCAAGTTCAGTGTTTCAGATGTCACTGCAGCAGTTCCAAGTGACCACACAACTCCAAATTCTCTCCCCATGCTTAGCAAGTAAATCATCAAAAGATTTAGATTATCTCTGATAATAGCTCACATTCTATGGGTTGGGTTAGTCTTGTTCTTAAGAGTTCCATTCCTCCATCTAATACCTTACCTCTGGCTGAGGTTGGCTCCGTGGGTAATAGTATCAAGCATGATCGTTATATGGCACCAAGGGCTGGGAAGAATGGAAAAGGTGGCCTCAAACGAACTTGTCTTTAAATAAATTCAAGAGTGTCCATTATACTATCACAAAGATTTTGGTAAAACTTAAATGCATTAACTTGGTATTTTAATCCCTAAAATTGCTTCCTAGAAGCATTTGTCAACTGTGAGCCATTTTTTTTCTAAAAAAAAAAAAAGATGGGGAGTGATGTGTGACCCAGGTGACATATAATTTGGGATCCTTAAAAAAAAAGATGTAGTGTGATTATAATATAGTAGTATAGGACTGGGATTCAGAAAACCTGATTCAACTCCATACCTCCTCTTTCTGTGCCAGCTATACTTACCCAAGTCATGTATCTTAAAAAAAGTGGGGAAAAAACTAAGTACTTTTTCAGTTTCAAGAGCTCAGCTAGATACTTCCATAGGAATTTATCTCATTTCATTATCAGCACAAGCTTGCAGGGTAGAAGGGTAGAACATTATACCAAACAGAAAACTGAGCATCAAAAGAGGTTAGGGAGGTTAAGTGGCTTGCCCTGGGTCAGACAATTAGCAAACAGTAGAGCTGGCTCTTGAATCCAGGACATTAGACTCTGTGCTTTCCTTTATTCTAACCTGCCTCTCAAGAATAATACCCAACATAGACTTTTGCTTCTGGCTAAGATAGAGTAACGGGTTAGATTTGTCCTCCTACCTTAAACAACTAAAAATATGGATAAAATATATGAAATAATGCTTTTTAAAGAACTGTACATAAGACAATGAAGACAGGGATCACTGAGAGACAAGAACCAAATGAAGTGATCCCTATGATTGCCCCAGTTTATTTCCTAATAAGAAAGTTTCCTAATAAGAGAGTTTTTGGGCCTCAGCACAGGGAAGGGAACTCAGACAGGGCACGATGGTGTTCCCAAGTTAAGGAGACTGAACTGGGAGTCTAGGAAGACTATGGAAATAGAGTTCATAAGGCAGAGTACCAGAAAGAAGAAAGCTGCACAGAGAAAGAGCTTCAGAGATATGCAGAGGGTCCTCCACTATTATTTAGCTGAGTACTAATGTCTATATGTGTGGGAAACTACCTGAGCATTAGAGGTAACAATCCCTGAAAAGCTCCCACAGGGTTGGGAATAGCTCCTTTTCCTACCAGCCAGAGCAGAAAAACTCACACTTCTGGTACTGGGTGATCAGAAGGGTTCTGCCTTAATAGTGGAGAAAAATTAGCCCTAAACTCCTCTGGTCTTGCTGAACAAAGCTTAAGAAGCAAGACCTAAAAGGACCAAAATTTTCCCAAGTTACTTAACTGCATTTAGAACAAAACTCAAGACTATTTATAGAAATAAAAATATGCCACCAAATAAGGTAAACTTTAATAAAAAAATTACTTGGAATGCAACGATGCAGGAAAATATGACCCATAATAAAGATTTTAAAAATCAGCCAATCCAAACAGACCCAGAAGTGATGCAGATAATTTAATTAGTAGATAAGGATACAAAAACAATGATGAAAATTTGATTTCACATGCTCAAGAAGCTAGAGAAAAGACTGGTCATACTAAGGAGAAACATGAAAGATATAAAAAGAGCCACAATCAAACATCTACAGGCTTAAGCTACAATGTCTAAGTTGAAAAAAACATCAACAGACAGGACTGATGGCAAATTAGATGCTGCATAAGAAAAAAATTAATGAAACTGGGGGCTCCCAGCACCTGAGCCTTCTGCCTGCACCCACCTGAGAATTCTAATGGTGACTGGGGACCAGCCTGCCCTCCCTATCGCAGCCACCACCTGAACCCTGGGGGCCTGAGAATAAGCCTGCTGGCCCGGTCCTGGTGGAGTCCCTCCAGGGCCCCCGCACACCATCCAGTGGGCCACTTAGGGGCCTGGGAATTGAAGGACTGCTTAGCTCAGTCCATCACTGCTGGCGCCTGACCACTTGGCCTGAGGCCTGAGGTTGGGCCCAAGCAGCCGGCACCCCCACAGTTGCCTCCCACTCTCACATGCTGAAAGGCAGAGTCCCTCCCCGTCTTTACACAGAGCTGTGTAAAAGAATAGGTGAGCCACAAAGCTGTCTGTACTGGGCTGAGGGAAGAGCTTCCTCCCCAAAGTCACTCCTTTCAGCTACATGGTAGCCTGGAGATAGATGGACAGTGTGTAAACTGAGTCAGGAGCCCCAGGAGAGGGTTGTGACAGAGAAACATTGTGATCCTGCCTGTCTAAGAAGTGGAGCTGATGTGGCCCCCTCATCCCCTGAAGAGACCTCGGCACATTTCTCCAAGAGTTCCCCTAGCCACTCCTGTCAGGGGTGCTGCCTGTGCTCATCATTGGGTTATTCGTGGGTGAGCTTGTTTGTCCAGCTCCACCCAGCTTTGTCCTCCATCCACTCTCCCTGGGCTGAATAGGGAACCTGGAATTTCACAGACCAGCCCATCATCTGAAAGAACAGAGAGCACCTCACAGTAAGAAAACATCCAGTACATACCGATCTGCTTCTGCCACAGGTGGCTCTTACCTGTAGGCGCCACCTACTCACCAGGAGGTTAAACTGCACAGCACAATAGGACACCTGCTGACAGAAGTGCACAGGGCTAAAGAAGCAAAGCCAAAGGACCCTACCCAACATACGCTACAGTCACATCTTCGGAGTTGGGGGACGTCCCATCCAAATGAAATTAGATTCAAAAATAAGAAGTGACAGCTTCCCCACGTGAAAAGGAACCAGTGTAAGAACTCGGGGTGTTGCAACACCCCGAAAAGATCACACTAGCTGTCTAGCAATGGATCCTAATGAAAATGAAAATTCTGAAACGACAAAGAATTCAAAATATGGATTGTAAGGAAGCTCAATGAGATCCAAGAGAAAGTTGAAAACTAACACAAAGCAACGAGAAAAACAATGCAGGATATGAAAGAAGAGATAGAGATCTTGAAAAAAAAAAACAGAACTTAGGGAAATTAAAAATTCACTGAAGGAGTTAGAAAATACAGTCGGAAGCTTTAATAACAGGCTATACCAAGCAGAAGAAAGAATTTCAGAGCTTGAACACTGGTCTTTTGAACTGACCCTGTCAGACAAAAATAATAAAAAAGGAATTTAAAACAATGAATAAAGCCTTTGAGAAATTTGGGATTCTGTAAAGCAACCACACCTATGAGTAATAGGCATTCCTGAGTGAGAAGAATAAAAGTAAAAACTTTGAAAAACATATTTGAGGGAATAATCCAGGAAAATTTGCCTGGTCTTGCAAGGGATGTAGACACCCAGGTACAAGAAGCTCAGAGAACACCTGGAAGATATTTTGCAAGAAGAATATCATCAGGGCATATAGGCATCAGATTATCCAATGTGAAGGAAAAAATTCTGAAAGCAGCAAAAGAGAAGCATTTCTTTTCTCCTGTCTCACTGGATTATATGAAGATTGGGCTTTTGGATGTGTGAATTTAGTAATACTTTAAAATGTAAATGCAGGCTATTATCCTAAGTGAAATAACTCAGAAACAGAAAATCAAATACCATGTGTTCTCACTTATAAGTGGGAGCTAAACAATGGGTACACATAAAGATAGATAATAGACACTGGGGACTCCAAAAGTGAAGAGTGTGGGAGGGGAATGAGGGTTGAAAATTAACTATTGGATATAATAATCACTATTTGGGTGATGGGTATACTAGAAGCCCAAAGCTCACTATTACACAATATACTCATGTAACAAACTTGCACAGGTGCCCCCGCATCTATAATGAAAAAAATGAATGAAATTGAAGACCTAGCAATAGAAACTATCTGTAATAAAATACAGAAAGAAAAAAGACTGAAAAAAAAAAAAAGAACAGAATAGCAGTGAGCTGCGAGACAACTTCAAGGGGCCTAATATATGCCTAATTGGAGCACCAAAAGACAGGGGAAGAGAACAGAAAAAAATTAAATAAGGGGAGAAAATTTTTCACATTTGATCCAAACTCACAGATCCAAAAAGTTCAATGAACCCCAAGCACGAGAAACAAGAAGAAAATTACATCAAAGCATATCATAATTGAATTGCTCAAAACCAGCAATAAATATCTTTTTTTATTATTATTATCATACTTTAAGTTTTAGGGTACATGTGCACATTGTGCAGGTTAGTCACATATGTATACATGTGCCATGCTGGTGCGCTGCACCCACTAACTCGTCATCTAGCATTAGGTATATCTCCTAATGCTATCCCTCCCCCCTCCCCCAACCCCACAACAGTCCCCAGAGTGTGATGTTCCCCTTCCCGTGTCCATGTGTTCTCATTGTTCAATTCCCACCTATGAGTGAGAACATGCGGTGTTTGGTTTTTTGTCCTTGTGATAGTTTACTGAGAATGATGATTTCCAATTTCATCCATGTCCCTACAAAGGACATGAACTCATCATTTTTTATGGCTGCATAGTATTCCATGGTGTATATGTGCCACATTTTCTTAATCCAGTCTATCATTGTTGGACATTTGGGTTGGTTCCAAGTCTTTGCTATTGTGAATAGTGCCGCAATAAACATACGTGTGCATATGTCTTTATAGCAGCATGATTTATAGTCCTTTGGGTATATACCCAGTAATGGGATGGCTGGGTCAAATGGTATTTCTAGTTCTAGATCCCTAAGGAATCACCACACTGACTTCCACATGGTTGAACTAGTTTACAGTCCCACCAACAGTGTAAAAGTGTTCCTATTTCTCCACATCCTCTCCAGCACCTGTTGTTTCCTGACTTTTTAATGATTGCCATTCTAACTGGTGTGAGATGGTATCTCATTGTGGTTTTGATTTAAATATCTCAAAAGCATCCATGGACAAAAGACACATTATGTACAGAGAAACACAGATAAAGATAACATCACATTTCTTGTTGGATACAATGCAAGCAAGAAAATGGTGGAACAACATCTGAGAGAGGACAAACATCTTTCAAAAAGAAAGGTGAAACACTTTTTCAAATCAACGTTGAAAGAATTCATCAGGAACAGACCTGCTCTACAAAAAATGTTAAAGGAAATTCAAGCATAGGGAAAATGACACCAAGTGGAAATATGGATCTATAGAAAGGAAGGAAGAGCATACACAATGTGTGATTCCATTTATGTAAAGTTCTAGAAAATGACACTAATCTGATAGAGAACAGATAAATGGTTGCCTGAAGGGAGAGTGGTGAGGGGTAGAAGGACAGGATTGCAAAAGGGGTGTAAAGGAAGCTTTTGGGGATAACAGACATATTCATTATTTTCATTGTTGGTGATGGTTTCATACCTGAATACATATATAGAATATTATATAATTGTATTTTTGAAATATGTTAAGATCATTGTATGTCAATTATTATACCTCACTAAAATTAAATTATTATAGCTAATTAAAGCTGTTACAAAGAATAATATTACCCAGTAATGCCAAAACTGTCATACATTCTTTTTAGAAAAAGGAAGAATGAATACATTTCATAAGCAAGCCTTTCTAGGGCTCTTTACAGTTTATAATACACTTGCACATCCATTCATCTTATTTGATCATCTGAGCCATCAGAAAAATGGGGCTACCAATGATTACCTTGCCTATTCTCCCAGAACTGTGGAGAGGATCAAATGAGAGGATGAGATGAAAGCTCTACATAAACCTCATTAAAGATGCTACAATGCTATGGGGTGGGTGCACTGTGCACAGTGCCAGCTCCCAAAGGTGCTCCAATTCCATCAGAAAAAAAATGAAGATCTCCACATTTTCTAGCCCCCTTTTGTAAGGGATTTTTTTTTTGTTTCTTTTAACTGCTTTCTTTTACAAAATGAGATAACAGCCACCCCATTCAGGAGATTGCTAGCACTTGGGCACTTTCAGGGGGACAGATTCAAATTTAAAGGGCAAAATTTAGTTGTTTTCATATCACTGATGGAAATCCCCTTTCTTTTGGCAGCCCTAAGAATGTTTCTAGGAGGTGGCTGTTAACAGAGAGCTGATTTTGGTGATGTTTAGATGGATGCTTCCTGAACAGTATATTGTCTTTTAAGTACACCTACGCAGGGTTTTTTGAGACCTTTATGTTCTTATTAAAATAGTCTCGTGGAATGCTCTGTTATTATTAAGTGCTGCCGAATTTTTGGTAATTAGATTCTATAGCACTTACCAAATGTAAAAAGAGTATTCTCCATCTACACCTCCTCCTTTCCTTACCCATGTTACCAGCCTACTTTTTCAAACCTTTGTTACCTTTTCCCTGGCCTATTACAACAGGCTTCTAACTGACCTCCTCTCCTCTTTTCACATCTCTCCTCTAATACAGTTTTATATAGAGCTGTCAAATTAATCTTGCGGAAATAATTATCTTCCTTGTTCAAAAATTTCTTCAATTCCCTATTACCTGAGGAGTAAAGACCCAACTGTTAAGCCTTTTGGAGTGTGCTAATAACTGATATTTTGCCTCCTCCTCTCATGTCTACTTAGTAAACAAACCACTACTCACTGTTTCCTGAATGTTTGCCAAAGCTTACCACCTTTGTACTTTTGCTCATGCTGTTTTCATGCCCCATTGTCCACAAGCAAATGTTTTCCCTTTGTCAAAGACTTGGTCCAAAAGCTACCTTTCTTGATGCCCCCAGTTAGGAGTCAGAAATATTCTCGTTCTCCCTCTCCTACCTTCCTCCCTCACTTCCTCCTCCATGGCACTTATAACTTTTAATCTCTTATTAGCAGTGTGTGTATCATATCAGTGTATTGAGTAATGCCTGGCACTAAATACATTTTTCTTTAATAAATAAGTGTATGACTACATACTAACCCTAAATTCATTAAGGGGAAGAACTAGGTTTTACTCATTTTCTACTCTGCATAGCATCTAGCACAAGAGTTTACAGAAAAAAGATGTTCAATAAGTACCTGTTATACCAATGAAGATGCTGTCATCATGAAATGTCTAGCACTTAGACTCAATTCTTCCAAACCATTACTGTTAGGCAAAGAAGTAGTTCAATGTGGCAGTATTAAGAGCTGGGGCCTTTAAGAGGTGATTGGGTCATGAAGTCTCTGTCCTCATAAATGGATTAATCCATTCACAGATTAATGGATTAATGGGTTGTCATGAGAGTAGGACTAGTGGCTTTATAAGAGGAAGAAAGACCTGAGCTAACTCTCTGCAGAGAGCAAGAAGGCCCTTACCAGATGTGCCCCCTAGACCTTAGACTTCCAGCCTCCATAACTATAAAAAATAAATTCCTTTTCTTTATAAATTACCCAGTTTTGCCAGGCATGATGGCTCACACCTGTAATCCCAGCACTTTGGGAAGCCGAGGTGGGTGGATCACCTGAGGTCAGGAGTTCGAGACCAGCCTGGCCAACAAGGTGAAATCCCATCTCTACTAAAAATACAAAAATTAGCCGGGCGTGGTGGCAGGCGCCTGTAATCCCACCTACTCGGGAGGCTGAGGCAGGAGAATTGCTTGAACCCAGGAGGCGGAGGTTGCGGTGAGCCAAAATCACATCATTGCACTCCAGCCTGGGCGACAAGAGCAAGACTCCATCTTAAAAAAAAAAAAAAATTACCCAGTTTCAGATATTCTGTTATAAGCAACAGAAAATGGACCAAGACACACCCTAAATCTGAATTTTTACTATAAACAGGAGATTTTATGCAAAGTAGTTCTTACTATCTCCACTCCAACCACTGTACTATACAGGCCACCATCACTTCTGGGTTAGACTAATATTACAGCTGGTTAACTTAGTTCCCAGTCACCACTCCTGCTCATACCTCTCAGCCCATCTTCTGCTCAGAAGTAACATTTGTAAAATGTAAATCAGATCATGTCACTGAATTCCTTAAAATCCTCCAGTGGCTTCCAGAATAAAACTCATTGTCATAGTTGCCTGCCTTTCAGATTTCATTTCCCTCCACTCCCTCTCTCATTTTCTATGCTCCAGTCATACTAACTTTCTATCCTCTGCTTGAACATACCAAGTCCATTTTCATCTCACGGACTTTGGCTTGGTGTTCCTTATTTTGGAACGCTCTTCCCCAAGATGTTTACATGGCAATCTCTCTTCACATTATTCAAGTCTCAGTTCAAATGTCAGAGAAGACTTCCTTTCCTAACAACTCTGGGTACCTTAACCTTTTTTATCTTCCTCGGAGCACTTAGTACTGAAAGTAACTTATTTATTTGTTTTCATATATATTATATTTTGCCATTTCCAGAATGTAAAATCCTTGATGACAGGAAGTCTATCTGCCTCACCCTTTGCTGCATCCCCAGCAACCTAGCATTCTGCCTAGCAGTCAATAAATATTTGACAAATAACTGACTTCCATAACTATTTATGAGTATCTACTTTTGTGCCAGGTTATGTGCTAGATGCTGGGGATTCAATGTTAAATAAGACACAGTCCCTGCCCTTAAGGATTTCACGTTCTGGTGGGGGAGATGGATGTGGAAAGAGACAGTTCTAGCATGGTACAGTAGGTGTCATGTTGGGAGGAAGCACCAGGTGCTGTGAAAGCCCTGAGGAAGGAGTGCCTAAAGCAGTGCTGGGCAGAGTGGGGAGACAGGTCAGAGATAGCTTTCCAGAGGAGGGTGTGCTTGAGCTGGAGCTTTAGGGGGTGTGTGTGGTGGGCAGGGTGACTCTAGTCAGAGGAAAAGGCATAAAACACCATGGCACATTCTGGGAATTCGAGTTCACTTAGTGTGGTTGGGACATGGTGTGTGAGGGAAGGAAGGACTGGGAGATGACTCTAAGAAGGACAGCCCACAGTCAAGGCCTTTAGATGCCACATGTGAGGAGTCTGGATTTATCCCATAGACAACTGGGAGCTACTGAAGAGCTTTAAAGGAAGAAGTTGAATGGGAACATTCAGTTTCCACCTCTGAAGGCAAGAGCAGGTAATACTAAGCCCAAACTTATCTGCTATAGACACAAATAGTTCTATCTTTAATATCTGCGTTGTGCCTGGTGGGCACAATCCTCACATCTAAACACCTACCAGACAGATACAGGGCTTTGTCCACCATGTACTCCTCAGCAAAGCGAATGTGGCAGAAGTTCTTCTTGCTCTTGCGAATGGCAATGATCTCTCCACACTGCTCGAAAACTTCCACAATGATTTGCTCTGTCCCATTTTCAGGCAGACCACCCACAAATACTGTTTTGCATCCTGGTGGTCTTTCTCGGGTTGCAGGAGGTGGGAGATCTAAGTTGTAAGGGCAAAAACATTTGAAATTAAAATGTTTGCTTGGGACAGACCTCTTCGAAATCTAACATTTCCCTGCTATCCCTGTCAAACTTTTGTCTAAGAGTGTCAGAAGGATGTGGCCTCTGAGGTGTTCATCTCTGCTCCACAGAAAACTGACTGAGTGAACCTGAAAATCATTTTATTCAATCGTTTGCTGACCATGATATCTGGAGCATAAAGACCCAGGCCTATTTGTCTGTCCCATCCAGAGTCCTTTAGTTTTGTTCGTTACTTTTGTTGTGACAATCCAGCTATGCCAAATTTTTAGTCATTTTTATTAAGAAATTAGTGGGAGAAAATCCCACTCAGTTTAAACTGTTATTTTCAAGAGTTCTCAGAACCAGGGTTCCTGAGGAAGGATTTGTTTAATTCAGATTGTAGTTACTACATTCTCTCTGTTAATGCTTTTTGAAGGAACAGATTCAGGATTAATTTGACAATGATGGGGTACCTACTTACAACAATGCCTACAGCTGTCAGAATGATTTGGTTTCACAAAATCAGTCAGAGTACAAACCATCCCTTTTATGTTGTTTTTTTCAATATCAGTGAGCCTTTCCTCAAATTCCTTGCTGGAGAGGTGAGGTCCAGAGTCTGTCTTGCAGCATTTACAGGGAAATATGAAAGACAGCAGAGAAAATAAGCTCGTCTGGGAAATCATTAACTAAAGTGAGATAAATTTGGCCATAGAGAATCATTAAAAACCTACTTAATGAGATGATTCTCCCTCTGCTTCAAAAAAATATGCACTCATCTTAAACATAAAGCCTGTTCTATCTGCCAGCTCTTTGTTGCTATTTATATGTATCAAAGCAATTTCCAAGCAAACTCCTACAGTTTGTAGCCCAACAAAACAAAGCATGATGGTCATGGGTTTTCTAGTGTTGGTTTTGTATCCGCAAGGATTTATTTTGTGTAATCCATTCTTTTCCATTCAGCTCTTAACAACAATTCTCCTAGCTCAAGATTTGGAGAGCTCAACAACCAGTGATTATAGCTCACATGCAAAAATAAATGAGTCATGTTCATAGATTAGGCCAAGGCCCCCAACCTGACTCTTATCCAAGTTGGCAAGCAGTTGATTTGGGAGCCTCCTTGGGTATCAGGATCTCTAGCTTCCTCACTTTGCTACTACTCTCTGTCTTGTTGGTGTGGCTAAGAATAATCAGTTACTCATAATACTCTCTTTCCCTGTATTTGGTCAAAAAAAGGGGTAAAGGGATTCAGGGAACTTACAAACTTTCTGTTAATTTTTACAAGTCTGTAATTTCAAGACCTCACTGTACTGGTTTTTTGTTCCATATGAAAGGATTAGAGGGAAAGGGAAAATAACCTAGTGAGCAGGAATCTGAAATGTCTTAGTCACAAGCACTGAAGAGGTTGTAGTTTGGGCCAAAATAGAGAAGATGAGGTCTAGAATTGTTTGAGACTTATGCTTTTGAGTTTTTAAGAACTGGAAGGGATTCTAGCCATCACACTTCCAGTGATTCTTAACTCTGGTGGCACATTTGAATCAATTTGGAAGTTAAACAAATAATGCCTGGGTCCCACCCCAGTGGGTCTGATTTATTTAATTAGTCTGGGGTGCAGCCTGTGCATTCGTTTTTTTTTGTTTTTGTTGCTTTTTAAGCTTCTCAGGCAGTTGTAATGTGTAGTTAAGGTTGAAAACTATTGACTTAGTCTAAATCTCTGATATTACAGAGGAAAAAGCTTAGTGAGGTTAAATGTCTCATTCCAGGTCACCACATTAGAGAGAAGGAACATGAACTTGGAGCAGGTAAACCTAAATGTAAATCTTAACTTCATAACTGACTGTATAACCTTGGGAAAATTATATAACCCCTGAAAACTTCTTCCTTCATCTTTAAAACAGGGATGCTGTTCCCACCTTACAAGGGTTATTGTAGGATAACCGATAATATACTGTCTATATTGCATGTGGCTCAATGCCTAGCACTTGGCCGGTTCCCAATAAATAGCAGTCATTGTAGCGTTATTATTATTTACTATTATAGAACCCAGGTTTCTTAATTCCCAATCTGGGACTTTCTAAAGTCCTACCAGAAGTCTGGAGTAGAGTGGTAGCTAAGACCTGAACTTCTAAACTTCCAGATCTTAGTGTCACACAGATCTTTAGACAAGGCTGGGTTTGAGAAGGAACCACTCATATGGATAGAGAAATCTACAGCTATGAAGATACATATGGCTTTGACCATGGAACACAACCCCCCCCCCCACCGACTATATAAGGTAAAGAATTTCCAAGAGTATCCATATAGTTAGAACCATGTTTTAAAATTAGAGACTTTAGAATACAATCCTGTTTCAGAATCAAAAAGGCTTCCTAAGTTTACTATTTAGGAGAATTAGGTGGCAAAGAATCCTTTTGTGAAGTTAGTAATCACTTTTATACCATTTGAGTTTCCTTTAGTCTACCTTTAGGTCCACTGAGAGACTCTAAAAAGCATGTGGTTACTGTGGCAGTTACATGTAACACTGAAAAGGCAAAGGCTCCATCCCCTGGCTACATTTGTGGGATTTAAAAATTCTTTGGGGGGCTGAGGTGGGCGGATCACGAGGTCAGGAGATGGAGACCATCTTGGCTAACACGGTGAAACCCCGTCTCTACTAAAAATACAAAAAATTAGCTGGGCATGGTGGCACGTGCCTGTAATCCCAGCTAATTGGGAGGCTGAGGCAGAAGAATGGCCTGAACCTGGGAGGCGGAGCTTGCAGTGAGCTAAGATCTTGCCACTGCACTCCAGCCTGGGTGACAGAGCGAGACTCCGTCTCAAAAAAAAAAAAAAAAAAAAAAAAAAAAAAAAAAATTCTGTGATGAAGTCATCACCCTATTTAGGTGCTGTGATTCTTCTGTGGTGACTGTTTTCTAAGTAAAAGGGCATAAAAGCCACTAAGAGTAATGTCAAGAATGCTGAGGATTTATTTATTTTCCTTGGGTAAATGTAGAAAGCCTCTTTAATAGCATTTGCTGAGATTTAGGGGTATGCCACCAAGCAGGGCAATGGGCTATACTATCTTCCTTAATGGATAGTACCCATTCCTTAATTAACAGCTCAAAGCACTTTGTCGTCTGGGCCTGATTTTCTAATCCCACTGAAATACAGTGATCAGGGCACAGCAATGATAACCCATAGGAGAGCAAATTCAAAGCCCACCTATTAATCAGGTAATGTGCTAAGCTCTATAGCACCCCAATCACCACTCAGGATGGAGACAAAGAAAAGTTCCATGTACAAAGATTCAAGATAACTGGGAATAAAAAGAACTCTAATCTCTGGTAATGGAAAAGGAGGAGCTTTTAGCAATTCTAATTATACCCAAGCATCTACTCTGGGGAGCTATGTTGGGGCAATCTGAGTCATTGCTGATCTTTGAGAAGTGAGGCAGGAAGCAGTATAGAGAACCGATAAGCCACTTGAATCTTGCTTTTCAAAGGAGCATCACAGATCACTCAGCTGGTTTGCCAGGATTTATATACTGCAAAGTCTTTAAGTCGATTTTATTAGACAGCTCAAGATTGAAGGTCCCCTGGACAATCAGCAGGGGTTAAATGTATCTTAATGTAATCCCAACTGATTGGAAAAATTAGAAGGCTGGGGAATTTTAATTAATGCTCAATTTCTCTAACTCTCTTTATAGCATTCAGCCCTGAGAGTCTTCCCATTTTGATATGGTAAAATGAAAACATTGTTCTTGCTCTTTTTCTGGCTCCTGGGTATTTTCCCATGTTCCTGGAGACGGATAGCAGATGATATTCCATTACTTATTCCCTGTTCACTGTTATTTCCCAGTAGACTCAAAATGTAACCTCTCCATAGAAGGTCTAATCGCTGAAGTGAAAAATCTTGGCAAAATCAAATTTTCTGGAGAGAATCGTATTACCCTTTTTTTTCACCACTAAGAACTGCTAATTGGGAATTCAGTAAATCTCTGATAGACACTCTGTGAAAAAAAAAAAAAAGTGTGTTCCAGGGCACTTATTTTTTTCTTGTTATATCTCAGTTTCCTGGAAATCAGAGAATGTTGCTTCTGCAACAATGGGGTACTCACTCACCATTTATCTTTAGGAGACTGGTACTTGGTCTGCTCCAGTCTAGTTTGATCCATTGACTTTTTAGACCAGGTCTGATTTTGCCTAGTCTACAACAGAGAAGTTAAGATCCTTATCAGAGATCTTATGGCTATTTAGTGGTGGAGAGCTGGGATATGAAACCAGGCTGGCCTGTGTCACTTCTGAGCTTGAAAACTTACCCATTATGCTATAGTGCCTGCTCCAGAGAAGGTACAAAGCTCTACATGCTACCTGCCAACCAGCCCTTGCTTTTCCTAATGCATTTTAAAGGGCTTTTGCCTATGTAAATAATTATTGTGGTAGCTACATTTTTAATGTAGAGAATCATAACTTTAGAGCTGGATGAAGCATTAGAGGTATCTAGGCTAATCTAACACAATATTTTTGCTTTACACACAAGGAGGTTGAGACCAAGGAGGTTATATGACTATCCCCAGATCCCACAGCTAGTTAGTGACAGACTTGGGAATAGAACACAGTTGTCTTGATTTATAAACTGGTAGTCTGTCCTCTATACTATAATACCATTTTTTGTACATTTGATGTAGACACACCCAGAATAGTCTAGTAGGCAGTTGGCTACATGTATCTGAAGCTTAGAAGAGATATAGACTAAAAATATAGATTTGGAAGTCATTAGCATGTAGTAGTAATTACCTCATACTCTCTTGCTTTGCTTTCTAGACCTCTGACCCCTCCTTCTGTCATCATCCATCCAATCCTCCCTCCCACCATCATTCAACAAATATTTATTGAACACCTACTATATGTAAGACACTTTTCTAAGTGCTGGTGATACATCAGGAGACAAAAAAGACAAAAATTCTGCCTTCGTGGGGTTTATATTCTACAAATTATATAGTTGGTTAAAAGGTAATAACTCCAGTATGGGCAACATGGCAAAATCCTGTCTTTAAAAACAATACAAAAATTAGTTGGGCATGATGGGGCATGCCTGCAGTCCCAGCTACTCGAGAGGCTGAGGCAGGAGGATCACTTGAGCCTAGGAGGTGGAGGCTGCAGTGAGCCAAGATCACACCACTGCACTCTGGCCTGGGCAACAGAGGGAGACCCTGTCTCAAAAAAAAGAAACATGTTTTATAAAAAATAGAGAAGGTAAATAGGATTGGGACTGTGGCAGAGAGATAATTTTTAAATAGGTTATCAGGGTCACTGAGAAAGTGACATTTGAGCAAAGACTTGAAAGAAGTGAGAGAGTTAGCCACGCAGATATTTAGAGGGGAAGTGTTCTAGCTAGGTGGAAGAGCTAGCGCAAAGGCCCTATGATGGGAGAGTGGCTGGTGTGTTCATGGAACAGCATGAAGGTCAGTGTGACCGGAACAGAGGAAGAGATGGGGAGGAGAGTAGGAGATGAAGTCAAAGAGACAATGGAGGGGAGGAACAGATCATATCTGACCTTCTAGGCAATTAAAAGGACTTTAGTCTCTATTGTGAGTGAAATGGGGAGCCATTCAAGGGTTCTGAGTAGAGGAATTACATGATCAGACTTAGGTTTTAAAAGGATCACTCTGTCTGTTCTGTTCAGAATAGACTGTAGGGGGCAAGGGTGAAGAAGGAAGACTAATTAGAAGGCTATTACAATAATTTAGAAAATGAATCATGGCAGATACAAACTAAATCATAGCAGTGGTTATTGTGAATATGGAAGGATTACAGACATATGTTGTTAGGTAGACTGACATAATTTTCTCACAGATTAAACGCACTGTGTGAGGGAAAGAAATCCATTAGATTTGGCATTCACTATTTAAGTGAAAATGCCTTAGAGTGATTCACTACAGTTTTAGTTCCGATACCTTCCATGTGGAAGTGAACCAGAAAGGGGTATGCTTGAAGTTGGGCTGGAGGAGAGTGTGAGGAGTATGAGGTCAGGAAGTAGTTGAACCTGACTAAATGGCAGGTATGTGGCAAGTAGAAGTGATGGATTGAAGACAGTCATATGAAGCAGACAAGTAAAAGGTTTTTGAGGTCAGGAGTTGGACTATGAATCTGTGGGCAGTGGGAGCCACAGGACAATTTTATGGTTCTATATATGTGACAAGCACTTGGATGAAATGTCAGGTGGGACACAGGGGAGGGAATGGATGGCAAAGATACTTTCTAATAAAGCAACAAGAATTAGAAGCAGACCGTATGAGTCCCTGAATCACAGGACCTTATTGCTGAGAGGAATTTCAGAGGCCATTGAGTGTAAGAGAATATACCAGAGGCAGGCAGGAGTAAGGAGTGGGGTTTATAATTGATATGGTTCGGCCCTGTGTTCCTGCCCAATTCTCATGTAGAATTGTAATACCCCATGTTAGAGGTGGGGCCTGATGGGAGGTGATTGGATCAGGGGGTGGATTTCTCATGAATGATTTAGCACCATCCTTTTGGTGCTGCTCTTGTGATAGTGAGTGAGTTACCGTGAGATATGGTTGTTTAAAAGTCAGGAGCACCTCATCCCCACTCTCTTGTTCCTGCTCCTGCCACACGAGACACCTCGCTCCATCTTTGCCTTCTGCCATGATTGGAAGCTTCCTGAGGCCTCCCCAGAAGCAGAAGCCACTATGCTTCCTGTACAGCCTGCAGAACCATAAGCCAATTCAACCTCTTTTCTTTAAAAATGACCCAGCCTCAGGTGTTTCTTTATAGCAATGTGAGAACAGACTAATACAATAATCAAGGCCTGATCAGGCAGGGTTGGTGGGCTGAGATGATAAAGGGTTCAGTCACACCAAATCCCTGTTCTTCCTTTCCTACCCTGCTCTTCCCATCTCACCTTCACAAAGCAATGTCTTGGGGCCACCAACAACAATGTCACTTTTGCCATGCTTTCAGCAGAGAACTAAGAGAAGCACTTCTATTAGTGTTTTCTCCACCCAAGTAATCCAAGCCCACTTTGAACAAAACTCAAGTTCTAAAAAGCAAACAGAACACCAGTTTACTTTAAGCTGTGTCAAGAGTTTTATGTTTGAATTCAATTCCAAGGCCAGGTTCCTTCCCAGAAGCCACCAATTTACTGGTGCTAGTTGCCCCGTAAGCATTCTCAATACAAGGATGAAGAACTAAAAGACGGAGCCATGGGGGAGATATGCTGCCCTCTCACTCTGTGAGAGGTTCTTCCAACTCAGAACTGTAGAGGCATGGCTGCAGGTGGGGAAATATAAAAATGTATTTGAGAGATGTCAGTCCGTTTCTTTTACTAGAGGCTATCAAAAGTTAGAGCCTTCTTAAGCTATATATTTCTAGATTCATTTGAAGACTGCTCAACAATATGGTCTATGTGTCATAAACAAGGCATCTGTACTTTAGAAATTTAGAAACTGAACATCCTGTAAAGTAAACTACTGCAACCAACCTGGACATTACAGGTTGTGAGCCATCCTGTTAGCTTAGATATATTTGAGACAATGAAAGCCTGCTGCAGGCTGATTATGCGATAAATGAATGATTAATCAGCAGGATTCTACCCTTTCATAAGCAGGAGGTTTTAACACTGGCAGTGCCTAAGTTCATGGCTTTTTGTGTAGAAAAGGTACTATCAGGAATACAACTTTCTCTAATCTGAAAGCAACATGCTGAAAGGTAAAAAAGGCCATTGCCCACTTGTAGGGACAGTGGAACTAAGAGTAAGAGACAGATAAAATGGTGCTGCTCATTCACTTAGGCACTAAACACAAATCCAGGAATGGCCATTTGAGCTGGCAAGTAAGGCCTGCAAGGGCCATCTTATTCTCCATTCCCTAATTCTCCTTGTGACATACTAGCTCTTCTCTCAATACAGTCCTCTGAGATGCTGGCCTCCTAGATTTCTTATTGGTCTGGAAGGATGTATCTTGTTGACAACCACGTTCAAAAACCAGAAGAAAGCATAAAGATCTGTTTTTTTTTTCTAGCAAAAGAGGCCAAGATGATCTATCCAACCAACCTGATTGATTATAAAATCCTCTCAGTTATGAGCAGACCATACTAAGTAAAATCTGGGTCCCTGCCAGGGCTTGGGCCATGATTAACTGATTCCTATTAAAGGTAGGAGATGAAATATTTGTCTGAAGTCACATGTCAAAGATTCATATTTATCCTGATAAGGCAAGGTCATTTGATCTATGCCCTAAACCACTGAATGTATCTCTTAACAAACAGCTCTAATCTTTGTACTGCAGTGGTGGTTCCCTTGGTATGCCACCCAGTATGACTAGAACTATGGAAAAATCATTAATGAGGCTTGGGGCACATGCAGAATCAGCTTCTAATCACTGAATGTATATAAAACCCCAAGTGCATCTGGAAAAAAAGTTTTAGTCAATTATTATTAGTGGGACATTTTAAGTAAAATAGGGCCACCCTATCTTTACACATGTTTTAAAGTGAATCTAAGGAGAAGCCTCCTCATTACTGACAAAATGGATCTCTAGATTACTTCCACATGAACTGCATTGACTGGTGGCTATGAGTAGTGTGACTTAGTCTCAATATTCCTCTTTGCCCTTCCAATATGTTGAGCCAT
This sequence comes from Homo sapiens, assembly GCF_000001405.40. Classification (NCBI taxonomy): domain Eukaryota; kingdom Metazoa; phylum Chordata; class Mammalia; order Primates; family Hominidae; genus Homo; species Homo sapiens. The sequence continues at coordinate 130,688,394 of NC_000023.11, forward strand.
GCCTCACTGTATATTACAACCCATCGGTTGAATAGCAGTGGTTCGAGTGATGTATGAATAGTTGCTAGCAGTGGAAGATTCTTAGCACCAAATGTATATTCTCATGTGCTTCAGACCACACTCTGTCTCTGCCACCATCAGCACATGCGGCAGTTACGAAAAGAAAAGACTGCAGATGATGGTGTTGAGCAATCTGTATGCTTCCTTCTTTACTAACACACTTGAATTCCTTACCAGATGGCATTAGAAACATGTATCATTTGTACTGCAACCTGCACACAAAAGTCTACTGTTGTGTGCATAAAATTCAACCCTGCCTAGCAAGAGAAAATTTTCCTGTCTTCTGTTCTCTAGGTGAAGCTTTCGTACAAACATCTATGAAGCCCTTGGGTATTCTTTTGAGAAAGAAGAAAGCTTTCTTGTACACTAAAATATTGTGTCTTGTGTGGAGAAAAAAGCAGAATATTACTTGGATTTGGAGGGAAGAGCGTGCAGCTTTTACAGTGTATGATCTCTTTTACTACTGGCATATCTGGAGGAATTGGTGGAGGTACTATTCCCAAACCAGGCATCATTGGAGTTATTGGTGGAATTCCAGTCATCATTCCAAGAGCAGGATCAAAGTCTAAAAAAGGAGAAGAGAGAACAATAAATGACACCAGGCAAAGTTAAGTGGAGATAGAATGTTACTTTGTAAGCTTCAAATCAAAGGCCTTTCTAAGACAGAGGCAAAATATTTAACAAGCATGGTACTTAGTATTCCCAGGTCTTAAATATTATCTTATAGTTGTGCATTTTCCTTTCAGGATGGGGCTGTTTGGTTTGACCAGGGCTTATTTAAGTCTCTGCATCTCATTGTGGCATCCAAGGTCTTTCATAGGATGGCCATGCCTTGTCTATTGATCTTGCCTCTCCTAGTTTCCAACACACACTCTCTGCTCCATTCCGAGAAGGCTTTTTACTGTCCCTTGTACATGTTTTCTTTGTACGGTACAGCATGATATTAAGAGCACAGAGTTTTGGGGATCAAGCAGACCTGGGTTTTAGGTCTACCATTTGCTTAGCAGGATGAACTTCCATTTCCTCATCTGCAAAATAGGGTTAATATCACCTACGCTACAGGAAGCTGTGAGGAGTAAACAAAATGATGAATCTAATATGCTGAGCATAGGTTTGATAAATAACTATTCTCTGTGCCTTTGTTCATGTTTTTCTTTCTGCCTGGAATTATTTGGGCCTCCGCAAATTCTCCCCATGCTTCAAGGCCTGGCTTAAGTGTCACCTTCCTTGAAGAGGCTTTTCCAGATAATTCTGGTTCATTCTTGACTTTGCCTCTAAAAGCTATAGGTTCTATACCTGTTACCACTGATTTTTTTTTTATTTTGCATTATTCTTTGTTTAATTCAGGGATGCCTCTAGCATGTGTGGGGGCACCCAAACAAGTATTTTTTGTGGGGCCTATCTACGTACATGGTTTGTTTCACTGCGAATCAGTACTGGCAGCATTTTCGTGGCACAATCTCACGCGATACCATGAAAGAAATACCACACCAGCCAGCTGGAGTGGTTTCCTTGCCAGGCCACTCTCCTGGAACCAAGACTTTGGGGAGGATTCCATGAGTCCTGAAGCTTCTTGGGGCATCTAGTTCACTGCACATACAGGTTAGAGGATTGGATAGTATCGCAAAGGGGAGAAATGGGGACTCAGGTACACATGTGTCCTGTTTAAGATTGGGGCTTCTCAGATGATAATGCCAGTCACAGTCAGTCCCAGACACTGGAGGGGAACTTAGAAAATTTCAAGAAAGGTACTTCTTACAACCAGAATACAAGGAGGAGCTGCTCTGGACCCAGGACAGCTGCCCTGATGATACTGCCTGCCTGGCCAGTGCTTGGCTCTGGAAGGGGACTTAGAAATTATCCAGGTAGGCATTCCAAAGCACAGGGGTCCCTGAGGAGGAGCCCCACTTGCCTGGATCTAAGGCTGGTATTGATTTCATTGTTTAAATCTTGCCTCTAGGTCAAAATGGAATTTCTGTGAGAGAAGGGAGTGCACTTTACTTCTTTGTTTCTCTGCCTCCCACTTCTGCCTTCGCTATAGAACCTGCAGACTGCAAAGAAAGAAAGTGGACTGCAAAGAAAGAAAGTACTGCAGCCTGAGGGGTTCTGGTAATGCAGAGGCAGTTGCAGCAGCAGTAGCAGGACTTACTCCCAAAGACTTCACCATGTTCACCACACAGGCCAGAAGAGCAATGCCTGTACACATGTCCTTAAAGTGGCCCTGAAGTCCCCTGGGTGGCTCTTTGTCTCTAAGATGCTGGATGAGGTCAACCTAAATGGCAGGAAAAACCCAGGATTCCCACAGAAGCAGAACCTCAGGTCTGACAGGCACAATAAGAGGGAGATCTGGAGCTGGGCAGGCAGATGGCACATGGACATCCCCTGTTACAAAGGCAGCCCAAGCAAGCTAGGGCACTACCCAGCCTCTCACATGCCTTTTTATCCTGTGATGTCAAGACCCTGAAAATGTTTGGGAAGAAAAAAATTCTCCCAAGAGGAAGTTTTATTTTTATGAAAATATTTACTTTTAGCCCTCAAATGTCATCTCACTCAACTTGCATGTACACACACACACACACACACATACACACACGTACTCTCCCCTTCCCTCCCTCCCACCCATGGCTCTCATATCTATACTCTACTCTCCTCCATATAGTAGTTATGTGATGTTGAAGAAAGTTTCTTAATATCTGTGTGCCTCCATTTCCTTTTTGGTAAAAGTGGGGGGTTAATATCTGTATGCCTCTATTTCCTTTTTGGTAAAAGTGGGGGTAAATAATGGCATTTAGCTCAAAGGACGAAAGCACAGAACAGATATGAAGACCTCTGGCGTGAGAGATAGTACTGATAGGTAAGTTTCCTTCCTTCCATTTAAAATGTGAAAACTCACACTGATAAATTCACTAATTGAGGCATTCATTCACACATTCACAAACATCTGTGATAGGCTTCCTATATGTCAGGCTCTATGCAAGTGTTGGGGGTGGTGTCTAGGTTTCCCGTTTGATCTTAGAGAACTTAAGGCTTCCGATACCCTGTCTTCCTATGCTGTAAAATAAGAGCACTATGGTTAAGAATGCCATTTATGTCTTCGGAAAATTTGATTTCTCATGCAGAAGATTTTGGAGAAATTATTAACATTATCTTACCCATTTACAAACTGTTATTTTTCGTTAGGAAAAGATCAGATTAGATTGTGTGCCAACAAAACAATCCCATCTATTTTTCCTCTTCTACTGAAATGTTTGTCTTCCTTCTATTGTTCTGCCTGCCTCCTTGTTATTCGTATAGCTCTGTCACTCACAACTCTACCTTACCACAGATTACAGAAACATCAGCTCATTAAACAAGTTCTGCCACTTTGGCTGAGAAGGAAATGTCTGTCTCCATTTACTGTCTACTAATAAATGGAGACAAACAAAAAACAAATATACAGGATAAATATAACTCCTGACTGATGTACTTACCACTCTGCTGTTTCGTATAATTACATTAATATTTTATAAATTCATTTAAAAGCAAACGTATTCATTGCATATGGCTAAAGCCAGAGTAGATAAACTCCCCCTCTTCCTTTTGTTCAATATGCCAGGAGTTCCATAGGCTACACTGCCCATAAGGGCTTCCTAGAGGGCAGGTTGTACATGACATTTCAAAGGCTTCTATCACGTTGATTATTTCTTTTGTTTATCTTTAACCATTAAGCACCAAAGTGAATGTGGATTTCCAATGTCAACCAAGAAAACCATTTGAAGTCATGGGCTTTATACATATATTGCAGAACCTGAAAAATCAAAGAATTCCAGCAATTTAAAACACACTGGGAATAGAACACCAGAGGAATTATCTCCCTTTTCCAGGCCCCTGGCCTGGCTTGTGGAGTACTACCAAGTATGTACCATTGCCACTTATATTAGGAATTCAAAGTTTCAAAGATTTGAAATCATATAAAAGAGTTATGGAAAAGGCCAAGATACTCCTCCAAAGTCCTTTTCGCAATAAATATCCTGTTCTATTTTGCTTTTATCGTCTCTTCTAACACCATTTCCCCACTGCCTTCTTGACTCTTGGCATGGCCATTGCTGAAAGAGCCATGACATGTTGATTTGTATTATCTCTCTCTGTTTTTTTTTTTTTTTTTTGAGACGGAGTCCCGCTCTGTTGCCCAGGCTGGAGTGGAGTGGTGCGATCTCAGCTCATTGCAACCTCCGCCTCCCGGGTTCAAGCAATTCTCCTGCCTCAGCCTCCCTAGTAGCTGGGATTACAGGCATGCGCTACCATACCCGGCTATTTTTTTTTTTTTTTGTATTTTTACTAGAGAAGCGGTTTCACCATGTTGGTCAGGCTGGTCTCAAACTTCTGACCTCAAGTGATCCACTTGCCTTGGCCTCCCAAAGTGTGGGGATTACAGCATGAGCCACCAGGCCCAGCCCGTATTCCCTCTTCTGATTCATGTACTTCCCAAAGTCCCAGCCCACTGGAAATTCTGCAAATGCTGTCTGTTAGCTGGGGCCAGCTTGCTCCTCAGACTTGCAACTCTACCATGTGATTTCAAGTAATGTTTCCATGTAGCTTTGAGCCTTCCTGATACCTAGCAACTTGCACTTACTCAACCTTGGCAGAGTGATTATTGTCCATTCTCTGTACACATCTGAGCCAAGGAATTACAATGGAGGCAAATGTCATTTCTGTGCAGCTACCCAGTTATCCCTATATCTATTCATTCAATATTTTGATGACAGGTCCTATGTCAGGTGTTGGGGCTGCAGAAATGAATAAGACAAAAATCCTTGGCCTTATACTCTAGTTTGGAAACAACCACGCAAACAGTTACAATGCTGTACCATCAGTGAACCACCATAACTGTTTATTAAGTGCTTAAAATGTTTTAGGTTCAGTGCTAAGCATTTTATATAATCACATTCTAATAGACCTGTGAGCTTGGATATTGTTATCCTTCATTTTATGGATAAAGAAGTTGAGGTTCAAGGGGGGTTTAGTTACGTGCTCAAGTTTATACAGCCAGTAAGAGGCAGACCTAGAATTCAAATCCAACTTGGTCTAATTCTAATGCCCTTAACCACTACACTGCCTCTCAATGTAGTATGACAATGGTTTCAATGAATTAATATGATTGCAGATATAAAGTGAAGCAAATATGTTGGAAAAAATAAGGCATATGAGCAACAAAATGTTTACATACAATTCTTCTTCCCCCAATATGGTGGATTAAAGTTGGATATAAATTCTTTGATTCTCCTTCCATCAAGGTAAGGGTCTATGCCCCTATCCCTTTGAATCTGGATGGGCTCTAGAACTGCTTTAACCAACAGAATATGGCAGAAGGGATACTGTGCCCTTTTTCAGGCCCAGGCATTAAGAGAGATGCAATTTCTACCTTTTGTCTCTAGAAATGTGTGATACAGGAGCTTTTCATCCTCATGGAAGGCTGACTACCCTGCTAGAGAGACCATGTGGAGAGAGACTTAGAGCAAATGACAGAAGATGGATCCAGCTGAGCCCAGTCTTGTATCTGTCCTTACCAAGGTGCCATGCATATGAGTGAAGTCTTGAAATCAGCCTGCCACAACTGAGGTATCCCAGTTGATATCATATAGAACAGAAAAATTGCCCATCTCAGTCCTACCCAAATTCCTCAACCAGAAAAATCTTAAAATATAATAAAATGATTGTGTTTTAAGTCACTAACTTCTAAGGTAGTTTGTTATATAGCAATAGATAAGGAGAATATCCAGCATGGCTGCAGTGGAATGTGATTGGTTAATAGAGTTAACAATTTTCAAGGAATGAAAATAGAAAGTACACTAAACAGCCAAACTAGACTGACCATGATTTTTCTCAGATTTTTGAAAAGGCGCTTTGGGATCCTGCAGGGCACAGAGCCACTGTCTTGGGCAACTGATGCCACTACACTGTTGCTATATGGAAGGACCATTGTTCAGTTGGAACAATGTCAGATGACTGACGTTCTACTAGGTGTACTAAGATAACAGTTGTCTACCAAACCGTAGAAACCTCAGAGGTGTTCTACATCTGATGTCTGACAAAGACATCACACGTGCCTATTTTATGGTTCAGTCCTAATAGTTTTTGGCAGGCCCGTTCATGCTGGCTTTTCTTTTCTTTTTTTTTTTTTTTTTTTGAGATGGAGTCTCGCTCTTATCATCCAAGCTGGAGGGCAATGGCATGATCTCAGCTCACTGCAACCTCTGCCTCCCGGGTTCAAGCGATTCTCCTGCCTCAGCCTCCCTAGTAGCTGGGATTACAAGCACGCGCCAATATGCCCAGCTAATTTTTGTATTTTTAGTAGAGATGGGGTTTTACCATGTTGGCCAGGCTGGTCTCGAACTCCTGATCTCAGGCTATCTTCTTGCTGTAAAATGCCAACTTTTACCTTTGTGGTAGGGGAGAGGAATACTAGCCACTCATTAATTGGCTACTTATGAATTTCCAGGTTTTATACACTGCATCTGACTTAATCTTCACAACAATCCTAAGGGATGGGAAATAATATTCCCTATTTTACAGATGAGGAAACTGAAGCTGAAAGAGATAACACAGTAAGGATACACAGTAAGTAGCTCTTACTAAACGTGCTCCTAACCATTAGTCTACACTGCTTCCCACAAAGTCCACAGTTTCATAGAGAAAGACAGATGCCCTTTGTCAGATCAGTATCTACCTACTCAACCTTGTACGTGGCCTTCAAACCTTCCTATCCAGGAGGCTATCCTGGGGTTGCTTATCTCTAAACCCAGAAGTTCCTATTGAGATATTTCACACATGCATTGTCACAGTGTTTTGGGGCCTCTTTTTAAAATTCATTGTTGCAATTTTGTGCCACAAAAGAAGTTGAAATTGTGGCCATGTATCAATTGGAGGCAGGCAAAGGTAGGAAGTGACACACATTGACTATCTTGCTTACAATTTTCAGAACTGGACCCTGGTTCTTACTGGAAGCCCCTTTACACTCTCAGAAAGGCTTTGCCTGCACTTAACGACTTATCCCCATCCAAGCTCCCCTGGCCCAATAAAAGCATTTCCAATCTTTTAGGTGTTCCAGAGACCCCTGAGCCCCAGGAGGTAGTTTTTACTCACAGTAAAACCACTGAAATGCAACCACAGATTATTCCAAAATAACTATTTCAAATAGGATCTAATTATATATGCATAATTAAGCTATTTTATAGAAAGTTATGATTTCAATTGAGCTACATATTTCTGAGACATTATTGTTATTTCTTTACAGTTCCTACAAAATTCATTGGAAAATTAAGAATTATGCCTGTGTACTGGGAAATTTTAACCCATTACAGTCCTGCCTCCTTTCTACATAGTTTCTTTAAAAGACTTTTTAGGCAGTCTTTGTCAGATTAATATCTACCTACTCAACCTTATATCTCTCTTCTAATCTGAAGAGAGAACACAGATTTCCAAGGACAGCCTGGCTGAGCTGTAAGATGATTCTGGACTTCTCACCAGCCCTCTTGGAGGCACAAGTTCCCAAATTTTTTTACAATGACTCTCAAATTCTACCTACATCTGTCCCGTTTCCCCAAAAGATCATCTAAACACTTGTTTCAGCTCAGCTGGAAAGGTGAGACAGGGCCTGGCTCATGTACAACAGCAAACAATCTGGCAAACTGGGATTGGTGGGTTATGTGGCACAATTTCAGTTCACAAAGGTCCTCCCAAACATATCTCAACTTTGATCCCAAATTTCCACCAGTGGAGCTTTATTCCTTTAGTGCAAAGTTTTGCAAAATCTCCCTCTGTAGCCCATCTTCCCTCAACTCCTTTTTATTCATTTACACTGTGTTCTTGCCTTTTTAGAACATTTGACAGGTCCAGAGTCATGCCCTCCAAAGGTATTCACCTTTGGAGGGGCATTAGTGAGGACATTTCCCACTACATCTGTGGTTCCCAGATTTCTGGATTTTGGAAATGAATAAAATTATACCCATATTTAAGGTCACCAGCCTCTTAATTTGACAAGAAAATAAGTGGGGAAAAAATAAAAAGAAACTAAAAGAAGATTTTAAAATAAAAAATATAGGAAGTCTATCACCTCAGAATAAAGGGCAGTCCTTTCAATTGAGCAAATTTAGCTTCATGACAAATTTACTGCATTTTTAGTTTTTACATTTTGCCATAAACGGGTCCTGGCCTACACACCAGTGTTTGGGCTTTTGAGATCACTCAACCATTTCACTTAGTGTGCTCCCCTATATATGAAACTTCCTGTGAAAAATTTCTTTCAGAACTAGAATGTCACACACACACACACATTATTAAGGGCCATTAAAAGCTTCACTTCCCCTGAGGACTGGTATATTTTTTCTTCATGGAAAATGCAAATTATATAACTGATCAGGTTTCCCTTTTTTGTTTTGGCTGCTTTGTCACAGGGGCAGCTCAACTTCAGAAATCAGGTGGGAATCCTATGACCTACACACCTGAATTTTAATTAACTTCCCTACCTGGTCTTTGTCTTCTATTCTCATTTATATTTTCCCAGATGCTGATTTATTTTATTTTTTTATAAATTATTGTATTTTTTCATATACTGTAATCTTTCTTATAAGCTGCCTCAAAGTCTTTGCTGAATGAGGTGATGTAACTCAATAGTTAACCACTGTCTCCATACTGTATACCCTTGCATACCTTCCAATCATTGATGCACTGTTTCCTCTGCCTACACTGTTCTTAGTTCTTTCATCCTCCTGACATACTCCTATATATACCTGGACACCTAGCTCAAACATTACCTCTTTTGTGAACCTTCTCTGACCACTGCCATCTACCTAGCATTTCCCCTCACCACACCTGGGCTAAAACAATACTTATGTACAAGTTTCTATTATGACACTTGCAACATGATAGTGTAGTGGTATTTACTTTGTTGCTTCTGCCACTGCAACTTGAGCTTGAAGGCAAGGATTGTGCCATGCCCATATTGGAATCCCCTATATCTAGCTCAATAGATTTTCAATGAATGGATGGATAAATAACAGAACAAATGAACAAAATGAAAGGAAGGCCTTTGAGCTGTTGTCAGTGAACAGCCAGCTCATATTCGAGAACATGTTGGATTAGGGAGAGAATGGGAAAGTTCTAAAAGTATTGGAGTCACTATGAGGGTAGGAAACTTTGTCTTTCTTGTTCATTGCTCTGTCCGCGGGGCTTCTCACAGTACCTTCATACCGGCAGGCTTCAGTGAATATTTCTTGTATGAATGAATGAATAAGCAAATAGTTTGACTCAGTTCTTTCTCCTAATAGTTTCCATGGGGAGTCTTTTCCTTTTCTTTTTAAATGATTTTTCCTATCACTGTGCATTTACTTATTCCAGCTAGTTAACGTCATGAAATTCTTATCTCAAAGATCCTCTAGCCCTTGAGCTTCATGTACTCTTCCAAAGGCTTTAAATAGTTTAAAATGTTTCCAAGAGAAAACAGCTCCACAGCATTTACCTACACAGACTGTGATGTCGAGCGCCTCACTATCTGTATTTCTTGGTGTCTTCCTTGGGAGATAGGACCTCGTTCTTTGTGGGGACCTCAATACACAGTCTCTATTATGTTGACCAGCTCCTGTTTGTCCTTCTGTGGCCCAGTTAATCTTGTTGTTGCCAGTAATCAAGTCAAAATCATGATGTGCTTGTTCCCAAATAAAAATATGACAATACATAGATCATATAAACTCATACATTTTTGTTGAAGTAAAGTACTTCTGTAATATCAAGATAAATAACTACAACATTTTTAACCTTTTCAGCTATACAATACAGAACTCATGCATATTCATAAAAGTAGGGTCCCAATTATGTCCAAACCAAATGATGACGCCTCGGTCTTTTTTTTTTTAAAGGATGACCTGACACAACAGCTAACTGCCAGCTGTTGTGTTAGTACAGGAGCGTGGTGGCATGGAGGAGACTTAAATGAGTATCTCCAGGTGTAGATATGTTCCATGGTGAATCTTGAGAGTACCATCAGTAGGTAGAATTCAGGTTTGTTTTGAAGAGACATTAATTTTATCTGGTATATATAATGTTTACGTATTATTGGCTCTTGGTAAAATATATACCATGATGATGAACAGTGCTCTCCTTTCTCAGGATTGCAACTTTTTTGCCACTAAAAGCATACTCTATTTGTGGCAGATATTAAAAATAATACAAACCGAAGTCCAGGCCTTCCTGAGGAGCTTGCAGAACAGTGGTCTGTCATGTATCATACAAACTCCTTCTTTCTTTCTGTTCCCATCAGAGTTGGTCTGTTGGATCCAGTGAGAACTGCCTCCTTAAGAATGAGCAGGGCTTTGCTCTGGAAATAAGGTCCATGAGTCCATATTTTCCAATATCTTTCATTATGGAGCAGACACAGTCAATACAGTGGGGACATCATAATGAGGGACTCTTCTCTTTTTGGACTTCACAGGCTCCACACTTGGCTGCTAAGGATATTTTAATTGAGGGGAAAATAAAGGAAGCAGCAGGTAGTATTCAGCAAGTATCCCTTAATGGGTCCATCCTTGGATTCATCTGGAATGACTGGGGCAGAACAATGTTCTTTAACCAGAGGGCCTGACTCTATTGGGTTCCACTAACATTAGTCTTATTTGACCAGCTTCTCAAAGCAAATACTCTTGCAGGAAAGACAGCTGCCAGCCAGAGGGGACCTCCTGATCTGCCATCATTATGGATTAACTTTATTGAACCACAGCTGTACAAAACACCATGTTAGTTGAAAGGGAACTCCACACCAAACCTCAGAGATAGCCTGTTTCTACTCCCTACTCAATGAATATAATAATTATGCCAGACATTGCCTTCATGACAAGTGTGTGTCCAAGAGACTCAGCATCCATGACAGTATAGATTAGAGGTCTCTGGGGGAAGTGAAGGAAGCTTACATTATTGTTAGTTTTTCATCAATGTCAAAAGACTTTTCTATTGTCACAGACAGGCCAGATGAGACAGGACAAAGAAAAGTCTTCTGGCTCAGTAGGAAACCTCCTGAGAAGCATAAAAGTAGCTGAATTACTGAGCCTTTGATGGGTGACTTCAGGCAACAGCTCCATGAGGCTTATTTGCTGCCTTTTCCATTTTAAGAAATCTTGAGGCATGGGGTGCTGATCAGGGAGATGTTTTAACCCATTGTAAAGATGGCAGGCACTCTGTTCTCCAGACCTTGGCAAGAAGAAAGGTAGGGAGCATTGGAGTGTCGTGCCAACCTTCCATTTCTGTGAAAATCTCCACCAGATTTATAAGGAACAGGCATCAGCACTGTCAGACATATACTGTTCTCTTCACCTGTTGCTGTCCAGTATTTCACCAGGCAAAAATTTCACGCTTGCATTTGCTGTCCTTCACTATTGTTAAAGGTAAAGATGAGTCATAATTCAACTTTTTGTGAGCCACATCGCACATGTGAACTTGAAACACTAATAACAATAGCTGAGTTAATTGAGGAATTACTGTGAGCCAGGCATCATTCTAAGGCTTTACATGTATTAACACATGAATCCTCATAACAACCCTACAACATAGGTGCCGTTATTATCTGCATTTTACAGATGAAGAAACTGAGGCATAGAGAAGTGAAGTAACTTGTCAACGGTCACACAACTAGTTAATGACAGAGATTTGAACATAGGCATTCTGGATCTAGAACCCAAGTTCAAATGTCAATGGTAAACTGCCTTCCTAAAATAATACAGAGATGAGAAAAAACCAGTTCACACATAACTTAAGTGATTTTATACATAGCTTTACAAAGTATATCTCAGCCTGATGTTATTGCCCCATGCACTTTAAGACAAGAAGGGAACTATTTAACTAATACCAGCATTTCCATGACCAGGTTTCTAAAGAGTCAATTAACTTTCCCTGGAGCATGGTGGCAGCAGAATCACTGAATTACATACAGGTCAAAGAGAAACCATTTCTTTACAGTCGTTAAGAAAACAAGATGTGGAGAAGGGGGCCAATGGTAGAAATTAAAAATACTCTTGAGGTTTCAAACGTCTGGTTGAAGCTGGATGTGCAGAACGCTCATTAGCATATTAGCATTGACAGTGGCTCCATAGCATCCAAATACTTTCAATTTAAGTGGGAGCTTAGCAGCAATTTGAAGAATGTATGTTAGTACTTCCTCTACATCAAAGAGCATATAGTACTGCTAAGAGTAGTAATAATGATGACAGTTTATCTTTATTGGGTGCTTATTATATGGTAAGCAGTGTGCTAAGTATATTATTTAATGTCCACAGTAATCCTGTGAGCTAGGACACTATCATTATCTCCATTTTACAGATGAGAAAACTGAGGAACAGAGAGGTCAAGTAACTTGCTTAAGGGTAACACAGTAAGTGGCAGAGCAAGGACTCAAACCCATGTAATCCCCTGACTTCAAGGCTTGTGTTGTTAAGCACTAAGCAAGATACTGTTATGAGGATTCAAGCCCTCCACCACACTGTTTAGAAAACTTACCCCAATCTTCTAGCCTTATTATTGACCCCAGCTCAAGCTTTGGGTCTGTAATGATTGCTTGGTGGCATTTTTGTTCTCAATGCTAGGCCTTTCTTTTCCATGTTATAGATGGATGGCTAAGTATTGAATATTACTTTGTGAGCATAGATTTATGCTTATATACGATAACTTACAAATCATATGATATCAGTTAACATTTAGTCCCCTGGAACACAGCGCAGATGTGGCCTCAATATTTTTCCTGGGACTTTTACACATATGGTCCAGACTGTCATAAACTGGAAATATTTAAGTCAAATTAGATTGTCTAGTCATCTTAGACTATAAGTGTTGTGACTCAGGGACACTCCACAATATATATTTCAGTTTAAAACAATATAAAACAATATATATTTCATATAAATATATAAAACAATATATATTTCAGTTTAAATTCTATTATAATCAAATAATAAAGAGGTACTAAATAAAAAACTCGTTACTTCCTTAGAAATGTCTATGAGAAATACATTAGTAATGATTTTTGAAGTATTTTAATAGCTGCCATTTTTGAGTACCTTCTATGTACCAGACATTGTGCTAAGTATGATTTAATTGTCATAACAATCCTAGGAGTTAGGTACTATTAGTCTGACTTTGTAGATGAGGACACTGGGTCTCAGAAGATACACAACTGCTCGAGATCCAATAGTGAAAGAAACAGGCTTGGAAGCCAAGCAGACTGAATCCAGAACCTGACCTCTTAACCACTCTGCAATACTGGCTCCTACAGTAACATTCACTGATCCCAGATTGGCCCTACCAGTCATTCAAAACTTAAGGAGATCCATGGTCCAATCACGGTAGCTCTCAAAGGATGTTTGGTTGTTCATTTCAATTGTTGTTGTTCTAATGGAGAAGAATACAGTCCAGTGAACTACAACCTATGGTATGAATTATAGTAGTTTGGCAGAGTTCTTTGCACCTGCCATATATAGAATTTAGACTCCTTTTTTTTCTCCACCCATTTCTTATTCACATACCTTTTTTTCTTCATGTTTGGTTGCTTTTATGCTTGTTTCTTGGCTTTTGATGTAATAACATTTCTTAATTCATTATTAGTATTGCTGTCTAGTGGACCTCACCCTCATTATAACTTATAAGGATTTAAAACCTAGGCTGGAATTGTGAAATAATATTTTTGGGGGTGTAGCTAACTATATAAATAAATGGCAAGACAAAATGGCATTACTCTAAATCTGTTTCTCAAATTTAGTGTGCCTGCGAAGCACCTGGGGACCTTGCGAAAATGCAGCTTCTGATTCAGTAGGTCTGTGCTGGGGCCTGAGATTCTGGGATTCTAAGTGGTTCCCAGGTTATGCAGGGCACACTTTGAGTAGCAAGGTTCTAGATTGGCCTGGTCCTGTTGTGCTTTTAAGTAAAGTCACAATTAATTGAATCTGGGGAGATTAATGTTTAGGCTGTTTAAAAAGCTGCCTCAGGCTCCCTGAGATGGCAATTCTCAAATGTCTTCAAAAATTTATTGTAATAATTAATTAGCTCTCACTGTCCAGGAAGCTTTTTTGTGTCTAAACAAAACCCTCCAGGTGCTGTGATGTTCTGCTTCTCATTTTATCTTCAGCGGAGATGGAGTTAGTCCACCATGTCAATTCTATTATGGGTTACTTTGTTTATGTATATATGTATGTGTGTGTGTATTTACACACAGTTCTTCAATGTTAAAAAGAGTCTTTGGGCTGTCCTCCACCGTCTCCTTTCCTCTCCTCTAGGAATCTTAAGATCTTGGAGATATCTAAGTCAGTTCTCTTCCTGTCTCCATGTTTATTTGCCTCCTCTATGAAATCTATAAAATTACACACGCTTTGTAATTCCTTGCCAAAATCCTGTTGCCTTGTATTTCAAAGAGCTGTTTAAAGCTTCAATGACCCTAGCCTGCATTGGATATACACCCAGCATGTCCAAAGTGCAAAACGGAGTATACTAGTAACTACTGGCCACCCAGACTATAAAGCTCATATTACAAAAATGCACACTCTAGGCAGAATCTGGTAAATGTCAACTTCAAAATAAGTTGTGTCATACTGCTATATTTATAACCACATGGTCAATAAAAATAAGCACTTGCGAGGTGATTAAAAATAACATACCAGGTAAAATTGGTTGTCCGGCAATTCCCAGCGGTGCCATTCCAAGATTATTCATTGCTGTGGCCCATGCAGTTGGATCAGACATAGGTAGTGTCATTGCAGTGGAATCCACGTTCAGAGTTCTACTGTTATCGGCTGAAAAGAAATGACAAGCAAAATAATTTGTTGTGTTAAGGTTCTAGCAACTAGTTTACTTATAAACATAAATTCTGGCAAACTGTTTATAGAAATGGCTGGAGAAATGGACAAGTGGTGGATAAGGCCTCAATGCCAGCTTTCTTATAAGGGTTAAAACAACACAGCTTGAACTGGCAGGAAGTCATGGAATTTGAAAGTAATTTACCAGATGGCATTTTAGTATAAGTGTTTCCTTCCTTCTCTCCCTTTCTTCCTTCTCTCTCTCTCTCTCTCTCTCTCTTTTTTCAAGCATACACAACAGAGGAGCTTGGAATGATTAAGAAGTTTTCTATTCTTCTCACAGTCTACTAGCATATGATTACTTCAGCAGCTTCCATCCAAACTACTTATGCATGTAAAGCAAGAAAAAACATCCTAGGGCTTCTGTAGTTGGCAATAAAAGATGAAAATTATACTCCTGATGTAATTTCATATCTTTGAAGCAGTACTATTGAATAGAGCTGGACACACAATCAGCAGACATCAAATTAGCTGAATGACAATTTTGGGGGTTAGGGGAACAATGAGAAAAAGCAGACTAGAGACACAGTCCCTGCCCTCAAAGGTTGTACAATAAAATTGAAGAGACTGATGATGATGGTGATAATTATTACCATTATCACTGTTATCACCACCTCCACCCACTACTACCTCTGTTGAACACTTACTGTATGCCAGGTAAATCACTTGGCATGCATCATTCTCATTTAACTTTCAGAACAGCCCTATGAGGTAGGGACTATTTATATCTCCATTTAATAGAAGTTTTAGAGACATTTAAGAGAAGTTTCGAAAGGTCAAATATATTGTCCAAGGTCATACAGAATGTATAATTTTTAGCCACTATGCTTTACTATCTCCAGTTAAACAACTAGGAAACAATGAAAGACTCAAATGGTATAGATCAGAAATGTTACTGTAGTTTATGGTATGCAGAGCTACTGTGGCCTGAGTAAGCAGGAAATACTTCATGGAGAAAATAGGACTTGAAAGAATGGACCAGATTTATATAGAGCATGTCATGAGTGATGAGCAGTTATTAGATAGGTAAAGTAGAGGGGCCAGACATCCCAGGAGCAGGAATGATATAAGCAAAAACATTGAAACGGGTTTTATAAGCACGTACATGTACACAGTGTTGGGAGAGATATAGTCATGAGTCATCTGAGCACAAACAGACTTTCGTTTTGGGAAATTTTCCTCTGACTACTGATAGCCATAGAAAAATCTTTCTATGGCTTTTTTCCTACCTCCCAGTACACACTTCTGCCAATTACAACCCATGAAGGCAACTCTGTTCTAATAGTAGCTTGCTAAAGTCCAAGGCAACATCAGGGCTGACTCTTGCCAGGGTTATGTATACATGTGCTATTTTGGTCACTGATTGGTCAGAACAAGCAAATGTAAATGTCTAAAAACATTATTTCTGAAATATTAGTTTTTGTCATTTTTCTGTGCTGCCTTTGCCTCTTCCCCCTTAATCCCTCCTTCACACACACACAGTGATTGATGGCACTAAGTGTTCATTAATTACAGTCAGAAGTCACATTTCAGAGTGATTACTCCTACAGAGTGATTTCTCCATCTGTAGGAACTTTAGTAGTTATATCCAGCTTTCAGTGTTCTCTCACAAAGGCATATCCAAAGGCTAGAAATAGCCTCCTTGCAAATATTATCAAGAAAACAAATATGGGATGCTGAATATCCTTTGGGTTGAGAGTTTACATAGTGATAATTAGTCTACTTGGACTTCCAAGCCCCCAGCTAGGGGAGGTAAGTTTTTAGAGAATGTTACAGCTGAAAGATACCTTTAGAGATTATTGAGTCTACACTCTGATTTTCTCTGGTTGCTGGAGAATCAGTCCCAGAAGAAACTGGTAGGTTTAGAAGGACTGGGACCCAATGCCAAAAATAATTTCTTACAACAGTTTGGCTACTCATTGGTTCTGCAGTCATGAGAAATATTAAAACAAACAAACAAACAAACAGGAACACTTCTCAGTAAAGGATTTTGAGGTCAAAGAATGAGAATTTATAATATATTAACCTAGCCAAACTCTGGACTAATTAGGGGCGGGATAAGTGTTTGGGGGAAGACAATGATCTCAATTACAATTTTGAAGGAAAACACAGTATTGTTATTTTCAAAATGTATAGTAATTCACAATGCTTGTTAACATGTTAGTAAGTAGAGTTCCTGGTATGCTTGTTTACAGGAACAGATAAGGAACATGTGTGATTAACAACATTATTTCATCTCAATGAAAGTGGTTCTTAAATTCTTAGGAAGTTTTGCTTTAAATGTCCTTCTTATCTCCCTTCCCTCCCCTAACACCCATCTCCACCTGTCAAAATCCCACTCATTTTTGAAGGGTCACCTCAAATGCTACCTTGTTTATGAAACTGAAATGGCCAGGTGGGAAGGGCTCCCTGGCAGAGCCTCCCACTGACCTGCACCCTGGGGTGGAGCCTTGGAAGTTCATGTGTTTGCAGTGGGAAGGAGCCTGGCCCCTCCTCTTCCTGGGTGGAACCTGGGATTCAATCTATGAGGCGGGAAGCACACCAGCAGGACTCTGGCCTTGCAGAGGGTCCCCGTTTCCCTTTTTTACCCCTTTTTCTCCAATACATTCCATTTTTCTCACCCTTCAAAGTGTCTGCAAGCCTAATCTCTCATGGCCGTGTGACAAGAACCTGGTTCTTTGCTGAACTAAGGAAAAAGTCCTATAACAAAACCACCTCATTGGAATTAATTACTTCTTCTGATGTGTTCTCATAACATTTTATCTAGAATTTGATTTTCACATGTTTGCTCATTCTCTCACTCATTCCTTGCAAACTAAACTTTTTTGAGTCTTACTATATGCCATGCTGTTTTGCTAGTAACTACGAACACAGAGATGAACAAAACTCATTTACTGCTCTGGAAGAATTCAAAAACAATAAACAATCCAATGTAAATTATTATAATAAGTACTGTAATTAAACCATGAGTGGAGTGCTCTGGGAACACAGAGGAGTAATTAAAGCTGCTGCAATGGGTTTGGGTATACGTGTTTCTGGTTGTGGGGTGGAGGAGGAATGCCAGGGAAGCCTTCATTGGGAAAGAATCATTTGAAGTAAGTCTTTAAGGAGGGATAGGATTTTCTTCCAGGTAGTGAATGGAAGATTGGGGTAAGAAGAGCATTCTAAAAAGCAAGAAGCACCAAGCATTTACCACCGACTGCCTTGGATTATTGTTATTGTGTACATGTCTCCCTTCTGCTGGCCTGCATGCCTCTTTTAGGTCAGGTACTGGGTTTGAGGCATTTTCTTTCCTTATTTCTTAGTTTAGTGTCTAGTATAAAGTAGGTATTCAAGAAATATTTAAATTAATAAAGAAAATTAATTTACATTGATTTTGGGCACAATAAGCAGTCTATACAATGACACCCATTGATTATTTGTATACCTTTTCAGAATGACAAATTGTCTTAAAGAGGTGGCATTATTGCTAAGCCAATTCTTTCTCTAGGACAGCTGAATACTTGTAGAAATTTGCTTAGTTACAACCAGGGATATATGCCCAACTAATAACTCAGTTTGATCTCATTAGCTATGATCTTTTTCCCATATCGGCATAATCATACATAAAAGCTTGCAAAATTTTGCTTTCAAAGGAAAATCCCAGATGATCACCTCTGGCAGTAATCTGGATTCAAGGTCCACGGTAACAAAACATGTTGTGCTAAGTATCTGTTTAGAATTATCACTTAATGGTGGAAAAGTTAAGTTCTGGCCTGATCCACTTTCTAGACTAGAAATGGACATCTAGTAATTTTCCCCTGAATCCTACAATCACTGGCAGCAGCCAAGAATATTCAGAAGGCGAATGCTACTGGTTGTCAAGTGGTCTTTAAAATACCTACCCCAAGTCTGAAGAACATGTCTTGCCATGCTGGTTCTCCTATTCTGCTGTGTGACAAGTTCTCAAGAGGTCAGAGATTGTAGAGTGGCTGTGAGTAAGTGCCTTCTAGGTAATTTGGTTGAAGATATGGCACTTTGGAATAAGCTCCATTAGCACCAAAAGAATACAAGATTTGGAAGTGATCATCTACTTGAACTTGGTATCATTTTATAACTATCAAATCTCTGCCATCTGTTTATTTTTGTATTGTTGATGCATCACTAATTAACTTGTCAATCACTGTCAAAGTTATTTGATTTTGAAGACTACACACACACACACACACACACACACACACACACAGACACACACACAATTTCCTCTGAAACAAGGACAACAGTATGTTGGTGCTGTCTCTTCAACTATATTCTTTCATTAAGACAAAAACTCTCCTTCTCTGATGATTTACTCTCCTACAATTCTCTTTCTTATGTCCGAGTGGATATCCACTGGTTTTTATGCTCACTGTAATTTTGTTACACATTATTATGCAAAGTTGAGGAGACAGTTTTGTCAACAAACATCTATTGAAAGCCTGTTAACCACAGGAAGCAATCCTGTCTAATCATCAAGAGCATTGGTCTGGGAGTCAGATGGCTCTGGACTAGAGTCTAACTCTACTACTTAGCAACTGTAATGTGCTCATTCACTTTCTTTCTTCTCTTCTTGCCTGCCTGCCTTCCAGTCTTCCTTTCATATTTACCATACATTCACTGAACATTATCTATGTGTCAGGCAGTATTGCAGATGTTGAGGATATTAGGGTGAGTCAAAGAGACCTCATCCTTGCTCTTGTAGAACTTATACTCTAATGCAATAGACAGATATTAAAATACAAATAATTATGCACTGTAATAAGTGTTATGAGCAAATAACTGGGTTTGACGAAAAAATGGGAAGCTACTAAATTAGGAAAATGAAAGCATCTACCTTATAGGTTTGTTGAAGATTAGATAATGTGGGTAAAGAATTTAGCATGTCTTCTGGCTCATATTGAGCGCTCAATAAATGGCCATAATAACATGGTAATAGTTATGGTAAACGATGAGGAAGTGGTCCCAGCCCTCGGGGGGTTCAAAGTCTACTGAGAGAACCAAGCATACACATGAATTACTAGAATACACTGTATGAATAATGAAACTGAGGCACAGAGAGTTTAAGTGATCAGCTCAACATCACACAGCTAGTAGGTAGTAGAGCAAGAATATAAGCCCAGTCAGCTCTGATGCCAATGCTCACAATGTAACTCATCACACTAAACTCTCTTCCAAAGAGTACATTTATTCTGTGTTCTCTTAGCTCACTGAAGACATTGCTATCATAGCCCTTACTACATTATATTTTTCTGATCTTTTTCCATGTCTGTCTCTCCCCAGAAATTGCTTATTCCTCCTTGTTATTTCTAGTGCCTAGACACAGTGTCTGACATAGAAAAGATGTTTAACAAGCTATTTTAAACAAATACATGAGGAAATATATGAGTATACAAAAGAGTCCTCCACAGATATTCTTTCCAGAAGCAGGTGTCAAGCTATTCAGAACAGGATACTACTCTATTATTGTATTAAGATAAAATCTCTTTTGGAGGGTTTCTTTTGAGGGCTGAGTGTTAAACAAAAATTTTAAATGGAAAAAGAAAGGAAGATAAAATGATGACAATTTGAAGTATTATAATCCTTACATGCTGATAATACAAAAAATTCCCAATTACAGACATACAAACTTCAAGGAAGATAAATCTGGGGATGAGAAGATAGCATCACTGAGAAATTCTTCACTTATGAGAAGGAACTAAAATTTCTTAGAGAATTTAAGGTAATTAAATTTACTAAAATGAAAGTCCATGTAGCAGCCATATTTGTTAATTCCTTGAGGCCAGGCGACACAAACCTCATTTACTTCTGCACCCTTTACTGTGACTAGCTCAAAGTAGGTGCCAATAAGTGTGTTTTTAAATAAGAGAACTCTACAAGAACTCAGCAACTGTACAAAGTGGGGCTTACCTGCATAGCCTATTTCGTAGACCCACAGCCATCTAAAATCTCTTTGCATTGTGTGGTCCTCAACTGTGAACTTAGCTCTGTCATCATTTCTGCAGAAAGAAGATAGTAGTCTCAGCTGGGCGTGGTAGCTCATGCTTGTAAATCCCAGCACTTTGGGAGGCGGAGGTGGGTGGATCATTTGAGGTCAGGAGTTCAAGACCAGCCAGGTCAACATGGTAAAACCCAACGTCTACTAAAAATATAAAAATTAGCTAGGCGTGGTGGTGTATGCCTGTAGTCCCAGCTACTTGGGAGGCTGAGGCACGAGAATCACTTGAACCCAGGGATGGAAGTTGCAGTGAGCCGAGATCACACCACTACATTCCAGCCTGGGCAACAGAGTGAGACTCTGTCTCAAAAAAAAAAAAAAAAAAGAAAAGAAAAGAAAAAGAAAAAAGAAAAAGAAACAGATAGTGGTCTAAAGGTGGGTGGGACATGGGACATCAGGCCTCTAGAATATACTAGGACTCAGAAAAATGATGAATAATAGTTTTTTTTTTAATACTTTAAGTTCTGGGATACATGTGCGAATGTGCAGGTTTGTTACATAGGTATACACGTGCCATGGTAGTTTGCTGCACCCATCAAGCCATCATCTACATTAGGTATTTCTCCTAATGCTATCCCTCTCCTAGCCCCCCACCCCCTGACAGGCCCTGGTGTGTGATGTTCCCCTCCCTGTGTCCATGTGTTCTCATTGTTCAACTCCCACTTATGAGTGAGAACATATGGTATTTGGTTTTCTTAATAGTTTTAAAGATAGCAATTATAATAAGACTAATAAGAGTCAACAGTTATATAATGCTTACTATGCACCTCACACTGTTCTAGGCACTTTATGTATATTAATTTAAAATTCACAACAATCCTATGAAGTAGGTCCTTTCATTATCCCCATTTTACTGATGAGGTAATAGGAACAGAGAAGTTAAGCAAGCTATCCATAGTTATATAGCTAGCTTGCAGTAGAGCCGAGATTCAAACCCAGGCAGTCTGGCTTCAAAATTCATGCTCTTGACCACTATGCCCTACTAAACTAGGGGGTTCATCAAGTTATAGAATATTTGAGCTGAGGGCTCTAGAGCTCATCATTATACAGATGGGTACTCTCAATGTCCTCTATTGCAGTGCCAAGTTTGCCCCACAGGGGACATTTGGCAGTATCTGGAGACATTTTTGATTGTCATACCTGGCAGCAGGTAGTTGCTACTGACATCTAGTAGAGGCCAGGGGTTCTGCTAAACATCCTACAATGTACAGGACATCCCCCTTCAAGAACCAATTATCTGGCCTAAAATGTCAATAGTGCTGAGGTTGAGAAATCCTGCTCTACTGTAACAATTTTTGTGTGTTCTTACTGGAGAACGCCTTATACCCCTGGTTTCTTCCATAATCCTTTCCCATCTATCACATGTATAGGCAACTCCAACTTCTGTAGTTTATGCCGTACCCTACTCTCTTATGCTATCGTGCAACTAAGACTAATCTGATCAAACCCTCCTCTCTGACCCCATCTCAAGAATCTATTAACGCTTTCAGCATGGTTACTTCTATGCTTCACATCAAAGAAATGATCCTTGTTGTGGGAAGTCCAGGTACCATGGAATGCTCATGGGTTGCTGTTTGAGAATAGTCCTGGAAATAGCAGTAGGCACACCATGACAAAGGAAAGAGAAAGGAAGTTTAGAAAATGCTTGAACAAAACGTGGAAGAAAACTTCATTTCTGGCATATCACATAGGACCTCGCATATAGTAGGCATTCGAGAAGTATTTGTTGTGAAAAGATGACACAGGGGCAGGGTTGGGTGTCCTACCAAGGAATAACATTGTGTTTTCTGTTCTCTGTCTAAGGGAAAGGAAACAGTAGAACAAATCACATTTGGGGTCTGCATTAAGCCTGGGGCTCAAGGCTTTATCTTTTGCGTAGTATTTATTGCTTATGAAGCAATATATTGTGGCAGTGCAGGTGTTATTTTGAATCTCTCTTCATATTCCTTGAAAATTAACAATCTATCATTGTTTGTGAACAATGCACTGAAGCCTGAGGCACAGGCCACAGTCCCTCCTATTGCAGACTTCAAGTGATGCCACAGCTTGCATCACGGTGATGCAGGTGAGAGAACTGACAGGGGCTTTTGTAGGCTTTTGTAATACAAGGCTCCCAGATGGCTTGAGAGAGATGATGCTATTAGACAAGCAGGATGGATCAAAGAGTCACTCAAGGGAATCAAGATGTCATACATTCTCTTCCTTGAGAAAGGAAAAGGAGATAAGGGAAGGGAAGGCAAAGGGAGGCAAGGGAAGGGTCTTTATGCTGGCCTATATATATAGTAGGTAGTCATTTTCACATGAGTTGTGAGTGTGGCAGGGTGGGAGTTGGAAGAGAATAGCTTGATCTTCAAGGTATACAGATGAGAATCTCAGCATAGCGGGTGCTTTCACAAACTAAACCTCATCCTGGAAGATTTATTGTTTTAGTCTATAAGCTAGAGGGTCCTGAAGACAGCCACCTCTGTATTGGAGCAGTTATCAAGATGTTCAATATTTAAGTTAGATCAATTTAAAGCCACAGAGCCAGGCCAGCCCTCCAGATGGCAATTGTAGTGAGGGTGGGGTGAGGGCGTGGTATAGTGAGGAAGAAGAAGGCCACAGAATTTGGTATGTGCCTCTCCAAGGAAGTGATAGCACATACCCTACATTTATGAAGGCAACAAGGTATAATAGAAGGAATACAGGACTTGGAGCCAGATAGATCTAAAATCCAACCTTGGCTGTACTCCTGACTAGCTGAATGACTTTAGGCAAGTTCCACAAACTTTTTAACCTGTTTATTCACTTGCAGCTGGGGATAATGATACCTATCTTTCATATAAAAGATAATGATAATGATGTTGATTCCTAATATTGGTTAAATGCTTATTATGTGCTAAACATTGTTTTAAAGCTTTGCATGTATTATTACAGTAAGTAGCTAGCCAGGCATGAGTGGGGCAGGAGAGGGCTCCCCCAGCCCCACCAGGAATGTCAGGCGACTATCAGGTAGTTGTCACACTGACTCTCTAAAATAGTAATTGATCATAGCCAGCGCCAGGAAAAAGTAGTTTCCCAATAAATAAAAACACCTGAAACTGGTGATTGGCAGCATCCCAATAAGATCTCTGGTATTGGGCAAGTGGGCTCAGGCATGTGCATTAAGAGACAAAATGGCACAGTTGAACTGATATATGACCTTCCAGGGGCATTCCACTGGAACAGGGAAGAACGCTTCAGATGAGCATGTGTACAACTCTAGTAAACACACTGAGCATGCTCACCTCCCAAGTGCTAGCAGGCCCCCACACATGCAGGCAGCTTACCCTAATGGAAGAATCAAGGGAAACGGGATGCAAGATGCTGGAAGTATGCCAGCATATAAAACCCTAGGTCCAAAGTCAAACAGGGCACTTGACCTCCAAGATATCCACTTAGACCTCTTCCAAGTGTACTTTACCCTCTTTTCATTCCTGCTCTAAAGCTTTTTAATAAACTTTCACTACTACTAAAACTTGCCTTGGTCTCTCCTTCTTCCTTATGCCCCTCAGTCGAATTCTTTCTTCTGAGGAGGCAAGAACTGAGGTTGCTGCAGACCTGTATGGATTTGCCACAGGTAACTCAGATACTTCCACCACTAACAGTATTATACAATATAATTCTTACAAAAACTCTATGAGACAAGTGATATTTATCATTATACTCATTTTATAGACAAGGAGTATGAAACACAAAGAAGTTAACAAGTGGCTTAAGGCCACAGATACAGTTAATGTTGGAATTGGAATTCAAATTCAGGAAGTATGGCTCCAGAGACAACACGTTTAACCACTGGGCTATATACCATCACTAAGAATGCTGAGCCCAATATCTGACACAGAGCAAGTACCTGATCATGACTTTAACCCTACTTCCTTTATCTTTCCCTTCCCTTTTTCTGGCAAGGAAGAAATCATTCAGATGCCCTGTGGGGATCTTTGAGCTGCGGCCAAGGGCTTCTTTTGTAATTTCAGGGTGGGCTGGCATGGGCTGAGGTATCTCAGGGATAGTACTTTTCAGTTCCAGGTTATTAGGCAAATTGAGTCAGAAGAATAGGTTAAGGTTGGACCCAGGGGTTCTGGTTGGACCCAGGGTTCTGGAATACCATCAGGCTCCACTGTGGGAACCTTAGAGGGCTGCCTCAGCTACTAAGAGCAGTGGCTGACTCCCCTTGAGAGGCTCTTTTGGGGTTTTTCTGGACTACAGTCTGTAATTGCCAACCCTCTGGCTTCATGGACTTCTCAGATACCTGTGAACTAATGTTACCTTGGTCTAGAGTGAATGGCTGACTATGGTCCTCTAATCTAGGATTACATCATCACATTTATTCCATATTTTCTTACCTAATATTTAGGTAAAGAACACCAAAAAGCATAGATGGGCCTAAAAAAAAAATGCTACCTGTCTCAGCTCCTTTAATATCTGCACTAATTGCCTGTTAAGTCATATAATTCTTTTCCTGGTTTTGAAATAAACACATAAATATTACTGTCAGGACCCCAAATGTTGTAGTTACTGGTGTTCAACTAGAAATCTTAATATTTAAACTAATCAACTAACTGCATTTCAGGTACTGAGCACGCTCTTTAAGTTAATGGCATAGCTGCTGGTGGGGGAGGGGGTGGAGAAAGAAAAAAACAGAAGCATAAACTTTGTTAAGTTCCCAAAGCTCTGTGGTCTGTGCTTTCCCAAGGTAAGTTGAGTAAAAGGTGACTTGGCAACACTGCTACCATGCTCTTGGAAGTCTGGCAAGATCTCTTGGAGGAAAAAAAACCCCACATCAGTCCTGGGGCTAATCCACAAGCCGTTTTGCTGCAGTCCTTGTTGCTGAAAATCTTTCCAATATGTTTCAGTCCACTTCCTTGCCATAGAAAATAGAGTATGACAAGGATAAATATAGCATGAACAAGATCTGGAGTTTGGAAGGCTAGTTTGAACTCTGGCCCTACCGTTTACTCACCATGTAGCAATCACTTACACCTGTGTTTGTCAAAGTACGTTCCAACCATGTGCATCAGAATCACCTTGGGTGCTTGCTAAATAGGCCAATTTCCAGGGTTCACTGCTAAAGTTTTCACCTGGGTGGCACTGGGGACTCTGCCTGTTGAACAAGTACCCTAGGTAACTCTTACACCCACTACAAATTTGAGAAACACAGAGCTTCAGTTTTCTTATTTATAAATAAGAATGATGCCACCCTTTCACAGGGTGGTGGTGAAAACAACATAGGTAATCAATATGTGCTAGTTGTACCTGAATCTTTGGTGAAGTTATTGCAAGACTACGAGATACATTCTGAATATTAATTTAACAAACTTGTGAAAGCCATATATTATGTGATGGTACCCAGGTGAAAACTACATGTTTTCCTGTCCTTTGAGGGGCTCATAGACTAGTGAGAGTGGCAGATATGAAAACAAAAACTACTGTACGGTTTGAAAATGGCTAAACAGAGATATGAAGAAGGGGGAGACAGTTCCCCTGCTAGGACGGTGCTAAGGAGAGAAGGTGGTGGAGGAGGGAGGGGAGCACTGAGGAAGTGATGTGAAGCTGGAGGTAGTGACTTTAAACTGAGTTTTGAAAACTAAGCCAATTATCATGGTACTACAAATATCTTAAAAGGTACAGAACAAGGCTGTATTTGTACTAAGTCTAAAACCTAGAATGCAAGTTGTTCTTGTTTGGGGAAATGGGAGTGAGTGGAGAATATTTTCCATATCAATTTCCTTATCATTTCTCTCTCCTAAAAGTAGAATGTGGAACAACTGGAGTCATTTTGTATTCCCAGTAGGTTGACTCTGAGAGGATGGGTGTTGGGCTATATTGTTGACTTGCTGTGTAAGTCATTAACTACATGGCCATGGTCTAAGTTGGTGGGGGTAGGGGGTGGGACCCTGGCCATGATGACTATAAATAAGTCAGGTGGTAAATCCTGCTAATAATGGGACCTTTGGCTGAAGTACTAGCTGCCTCAGCAGGGCCATCCTCAGATATTAAGGGCAATGCTATATATACACATACAACCGCATGAGGCAGTGACTAATGGCTCTGCCTTGGGCCAGCAGCTCTGGCCCCTTTCGTGCTTCTTTACCTCTGCAAAGCAGCCAAACTGGAGTTTTCAAACTCCACTCCAATTTGACAAATAATCAAAAGACAATAGACTTTATTATACATACCTTCACATTATCTTCACTACCCTTCATGTTTCAAAATGACTGTTTTTTTTTTTTTGAAAACCACAACACATTCCCATCAACCACTAGCATGCATTTGGCCAGACCAGGCATGATAAACTCTCAAGCCTTAATGCTGAACGATGCTGAATGAAGAGAAAAACAAGTAGGGTTATAACAGTGGTTAAGATCATAATCTTTGGATTAGATCTGAGTTCTAGTCCTGGCCCAACATTTATTACCTGTGTGATGTTAGGCAAGTGATTTCATGTCTCTGTGCTTCATTTTCTACATCTGAGAAATGGGATAATAATAGTACCCATCTTATAGAGCTATAGTGAAGATTAAAGGAGAAAATATACAAAACAGATCTATTGTGGTGCCTAACTTAGTAAATGCTTGTAGAATACTAGTAATTATTATCAATATACTAACAATGGTGGGCATTACCTCTGATATCTTATGGAAAACAGGGGCCACTGGGGGTAAGGAAAGAGGGGAGTGTTACAATTTCTTCAGGTGAAAAGAACATGAAAATACCAGTACAGGAACCAGCCATTAATAATATTAGATTGGTGCAAAAGTAATTATGGTTTTGTGATTAAAAGTCATGGCAAAAATGGCAATTACTTTTGCACCAACCTAATAGGAGAGAATGTATTTACAACAAAAAAAGGACAAGATGGTTTATCTTTAACAAGTTCTTTACCAAGAACACTGCCAGAAAAAAACAGTGGGATTAATTTGTATTCTTCTCATCTGATTAATGCATTTTCTGAAAGTGCTACTGCTAATAAAATCCTAAAAAGATGTTCCAGTGTTACCCTCCACCACTGTACATACCCCCAACCTATCAGACCTGCTGCCAAAACCTATTTGCTTTTTTCCTCTAAAACCATGGATGACATTTGTATCTGTGCTCTCTCTCCTGATCCCCCCATCTGTGGTGGAGGAAAGCCAGAATTACTTAGTGTTGTAGCTCAATTATCCATGACAAGATTGGAAAGCAAGGGGGTAGGCAGGAGAAGAACCTGCTCTTCACAGACAGCTTTCTAACAAGACAAAGGCAGATTATGGCCACGGCTGTGACCTCCATGACAGCTGGGCACAGGACACCCGCTGTATCGGCATACTCCAGGAACAATACACATGCAAGTAAATTTGGTTGGCAGTTTGTGATTCTGGGACAGTATTAATAATAGTGCCTTTCCTGAAATCTATCCTGTATATGATATATTTTGCCACGTTTAATTCAATAGCTCTTCTGAATATTTTAATACAGCAACAGTAGTCCAAATAGCAAACACATGTGAGTTATTAACTTTCTTTTATCCATTTCTGCTGTAACTTAAATTTTCTTCCTGAGTGAATCTCCAGGCCACTAGTGACATCACCTTTAATCTATTTGTGTGGTGTGTGTGTGTGTTTATTGGCATTAACATGGAGGAGACATAAGCTGTTAAAAAATAAAAGGCGTCTAGGCTAGTGATGATCTCCAGAGTAAACCTTACAGGGATTGGCAGAGCAAATTTGATTTGAAAATGATTACAAAGGGTGAATTCCCTGTAAATAATGAATTGGAAAGAAAATCAGGCTGGGAGTATTTGCTTATCCACTTATTTCCACATGGAAGAAAAGCTGTAATTCCTGACAGCCTGTGCTTACAGTGTGACTAGATTGGCCAGAGAGAAACCAACGGGTGATAAAAATAAGTACACAACCCCACCAGTTCATTGCATTCTCTGTCAGTTCCAACACCAAGGAAAACCATAAAGATAATAAGTCTTTGGATAACAGCCCATAAATCCATGGTTACAGTTCAAGCACTTAACTTCAAATTCCCAAGTGACCATGCCACTGTTCTTATCTGTTAAAGAAGCTAGAAGTTCACTGTCAGAAAGGAGGTGAGGTGATGGGCAAGGCAGCTGAAATACTCAAAGACCCCAGCAAAATTCTGGGAAAGCATGCCCTCCTTGCAAATCACCACTTCTTGAGAAACTAACTCATATGTCACTGGGAGACACTGTCAGAGCCAACTGGCTAGGTTTCTACCAAAGTGCACCTAGTTTTCAAGAGTGGCTATCTTCCTTGAAAATGTAAAGCTAATTTCTGTATATCAAATCCTATTTTTTTCCACTGACTCACAGTGTCTTTTTCTAATTTTTAAAATTACATATTGAGTAGGTACACAGGAAAATTTATAAGATACAAGCGTAAAGTATAAACAACAACAATGCAATGAAATTTGTA
Organism: Homo sapiens; assembly: GCF_000001405.40. Taxonomy (NCBI): domain Eukaryota; kingdom Metazoa; phylum Chordata; class Mammalia; order Primates; family Hominidae; genus Homo; species Homo sapiens. The sequence goes on from NC_000023.11 coordinate 130,717,775, forward strand.
TGCCCAACATGCAGTTTAAGAAAAAGAATATCACTATTACCTTTAAAGTCCACCATGTACCCCTCCCTAATCGCTTCCATCTCCCCTGAAAGATAACCACCGTTTTCAATTTTGTGTTAATAATTCCTTGCTTATCTTTATAATTCTACTACATATGTTGATACCGTCTCTTCAAAAATGTTTTATCTTAATTTCTAAAGGATTCTTTAATTGCCAAGAGCTTTCTGTGCTGTTTTCTTTCATACTCCTGCCCCACCGTTTCCCTCTCCCTCCCCTCCCTCTCTTCCTCCTTCTCTCTCTCTTTCTCTATCTACCTTCCTTTCTGTGTCTCCCTCACCACCCCTCCTCCACTCAGCTAGAGGAGTAGTTAGTGATCTAGGAACAAACATGAATGCCAAAGATATCAGTTAGCAGTGAATCCGTATGTAAAGGCAGTAATTATTTTGTAACATGGTGACTTTCCTTTTGTTCTTTAAATGAATCCCTGCATGGGCCCTAATTCGTTTACCCAGAAGTTCAGAGGTGATTAGGGAATATGGAGGTGGCAGCAGGCTACAGAGCAGGGTGACGGAGCTGTGAGTATTGCCTAGCATGGGTACCTCAGGGGTCTGGAGCCAGAAGACCATGCTATTTGCTGGCTATGTAACTTAGGCGAGTCACTTAATATTTCTGGGCCTGGGTTCCTTCATCACAAAAAATGTAGAAAACAGTAATACTGATCTTACAGGGTTGATGAGATAAACAAGGGATATTAATTGGAAAAGTATTTTGAAAGCTATAAAATACTATATAAAGGTGAGTAAACGATGTTGCTGTTCTGCTGCTGTTGATGACATCAGTTCTATTAAAGTCAAGGTAAACAACTAAATGGTTATGAATTTTCTAAGTTTGGAGCTAATCCACAGATTTATCCTTGCCAGCTGCCTGGTAAAGCCAGCATATCACAGATAAAATTAAACCTTCTTTTCCGATGCTTTATTACTGGTCCATGTGGAAGCTTCCCCCCGCATCCCCCGACTTCAAACATCTTCCCCAAATCCCACTGTACCTGCCCAATCTGCATGTGAGGGAGTTGTGTTTGCTCTGGTCTACGTCAGTGCCGGAGCCCAGGGCAGAAAGTAGTCACACATTATAGGAATGCAACATTTTCTCTTCCTAATCATTTCTCATAGGACAGTGCAGGTTGGTAACTCAAATCGAAATGTATGCAAGATGTGCTCATCACCTGATCAGTTTGCGCCTGAGGAACCTTCTGAAGGTCCTGACTTTTGCCTGTGTGCTATTAACATAACCATTTGCATGTCATTTCCATTCTGTTTTTTAAAGGGTCTCTCCTTGAAGATCTATGAGAATGAGAGTAAGCAGTGGACAGCCACGTTTCCATTCTGCAAACGATATAACCAAATCTGTAAATGCGCAAAAATACACACAAGAGACGCTCCATAAAGCTGCTGGCAATTATTTTGGTGAACAGACGCAAGTTGTGCACAATTCCCCACAGCTGCCTCAGGTGTTGAAGGAAGAGATTCAAACAACAGAGGGGGAAATATTGATCATCTTTTTGAATATAGAGTTAGGCTACCTGCTTAGGTGCCCAGGAGGGGGTGTGAGAGAAAGAATGCTGGTAATGTTCCCACACGTTTCCCAGCTTGAGGCTGGACAGCCACATGCCCATCTGCTGCTAAGAAAAAAAAAAAAAAAAAAACCAGACAGGGCTTAAACACATACGAAAGGCTGTTTGACCTTTCAGGTTGTAAGGCTCTTGCCCTCCGCCTAACAGCTGACGCCTGGAACAAGCAGGCAAACCCCACATGGCCTCTGAAGGGGCTAGCATGGGGGCTCCAGCTGAGGGGCGGCTGCAGCTATGGCAACACATGCCTGGGAATGAGTTAACACCAGCCAAAGGGGTTAATGGAAGAGGCAAGAGCTTTTATACAAATGCATTAGGGAAAGAAATGCAATACAGTGGGAATGAGGTCCATTAATAAAGCTGAGTGATAAAATCCACGACCATTCTCAAATTGGACTTGGCAACTTAAACTCCTTTTCCAAATTAGGGTCCTGTGTTCTAGCTGCTCATGGGGATACTAAGCTTCTATCTTTAAAAAGAATAAAAACAATACTATAATATGCAGTTAAAAGGAGAAAATAGGATAGGCAAAAGGGTAAAAATTAGACTTGCAAACAAAGGAAGGAAGAGAAACAAAAGAGATGTGTACAACTATGTTCTGAATATGTTCAAACAGCTTGTTATTACTAACAATCACCACCTGACAATAAATTACCCCTCTACATGTGGATTAAAAGCTGCATTATTATGATGCATTAGAATCAATCTGAGTACTAACGATAATGGGTGGCTTGGTGGCTAAACATGGCCCCCAATTACTGCCAAGTGCCCTCTCCCTTTGTGGCTACAAAACAACTGTCATCAATATTCTCTCATAGAGAGTGTTTTCTTATCAGTATTACATCCTCAAACATCCTTGGAAAGCAGGTCGATATTGATGGGCTTTTCTGAGGAAAACAGGGAGGCATGGAGAGGTTAAGTGAAAATCAGCAGAGGCAGCCCTCCTGGCCCATCAAAGAATTTGGGTTATAAAGGGAGCTAAGGTAAGGAAGCAAAGGCCTTCAGCCTGCTCTTTCCATGATGGCAGCACCTATGGAATGCAATGGGTCAGGGTTTTTACTCACCCTCTCGGCTGTAGTGAAAAGCATATAATCCTTAAGCCACTGCATTTAGAAAATCTGATTGTAGCTTGCAGCACAGACCCACAGAAGACATGTTTACTTCTGGCAGAGTCCAATACAAGCTTAGAGTAAAAGCTTACTTCTGAGAAGAAAAAAAGAGTACATCTCAGTTCAGAAACAGTATAATCCACCAGGGGTAATATTTTCTAGTTACAAATGAACTAACAGATACTGACTGAGCCCCTGTTGTGCTATTTGTTAATGGCTGAGAGGGACACAGGAGAAGCAGAGGACTCTGAGAAGACTGAAGCTCTTTCCTCAGAGAGCTTAGCATCTACTTGTGGTTGGGTGTAGACAAATTCACACACAAAATAAAGACCAAACAAGCCTCTACAGAAGTCCCAAGTATAGAGCGACAAGTCTGGTTTGGCATACTGGTTAGAGGAAAAGATGGGATGTCGGCACATTCCCGCATGAATGTTACCAGTAAGACTTACACTGCCAAGCATATTAGACATTTCCATCAGCAGTAAATGCACTCACAACAGGGGTGACCAAGGGAGATGAACAGGAGGAAACTGAGGTAAATCAGAAGGACAGATGTCGTTAAAGGGAACCAGGAGGGAGGTGTCTGCCATTATCTGAATACGATCGTGTCATTTTTGAACCAAACTCCACCGACAGGGCCTGCTTCCCTGGGTACAGTGCTTTTCAGGCAAGTACTCTTGGTTGGCATGTCCCTATATACATCTAAGAACTAGAGGGCAACTGATTTAAGATTGAGTGCTCTAGTGAGCACACAGAAGGCAGATAATCTGTGTTGTGGGCTGAAGAGAGCGAGTCACATATTTTAGCTATTAAGACATACAAAGTGGTCAAGCTGTCATTCTGTTTCAGAAATTAAGGCATTTGACTTGTGTGCCTGTCCAGATGGAGTGTTATTCCACTCATAGTATATCTGCAGGGAGGGCTTGAACTTTCCTTCAAAAAGCATTTTGGATCATTTTAGCATCTTTGCTAGGGTTCACAGTGTCCCAGATGATGCCTTCTTGAGACAACTTCACTTCCCATTCTCCTCTGCTCCACAGCCACAGGTTACAGACCTCACTTTGCCTTGTCTTGCAAACATTACTGGCTATAGGAGACTCGGGCAGAGGGTGTGGATGGCTTTAGAGAACTCTACCACTGCACACACACACTGTCCTGGACACAGTGGGGCAGCACTGTTACTGTCACAGGTGAAACTGATCTTTGTAATGAGCAACAGCCTACAGAGCTTCTGGTGACGTACTTGTAAATTTCCCATTGTGAATAATAAAATTCAGAATTGCAAGCTGATTGCATTTCTTTCTATAGGACCTATTCTCTGGAACAGAAAATTGGCAATTGCTATCTCTTTTTCAGACATTTGAAAAAGACAACAATTATGCCTAAAGGAACTATCATGCTATAAGAAGTCTGTTTGTGATCCCAGCCCCTATAGATTCAAGGAATTTTAACCCTAATAATAATCTAGATGCGACTTTATAGTGTAAGAGTCCATCTTTGGATTTTTCCAGGAGTATAAATGGCACATTATTACATGACTGTTACTTGTAGAACTTGAACTGATAAGTATATCAGACACATACATCAGGAGCGCATGAACTCACAACAGGGTTGGTCAAAGGGGGTGAGCTGGAACGAGAGAGCCTGTGGTAAATTAGGAAGACAGATGAAGGTTAAAGGGAACCAGGATGGAGGTGTCTGCCATTATCTGAATATGAATATGTCTTTTTTCAGCCAAACTTCGGTGATAGGCCTTGCTTCCCCAGGGGCAGCATTTCTCAGAGAAGCAAGCTTAGAAGTCATTTGGGAAGAAATATTTCTTTATTCTGACATGAGCAGCTTGGTAGAAAAGATGAGCAGACATTTGCTTTGGGAGCAAGAGGTGCTAAGCTTAATGCCCATCATCTCCTAGAAATGGTGATGTATTGTATATACACATGGAATGTCTGCAGCTGCTTGCTATTTCCTGGAGGTCAGAGTACGCAACCTTTTATCTCTAAATATCTGGTTTTCAATCTGGCTGTATCTTGAAATCTGTCTTGAATACAGCTCAGAAAGGAAGGTTTTGGTTAAGCATGTAGTTACTAACCTTCAAGCACAACAGAATGCCAGGAGAGCAGCCTGACCTTTGCAGTAAAATTAATTTGATGCTTACAATCTAACCTAGAGTCCATAGCCTTTATTCATATGACAGAGTCACAGGACAATTTAGCGGGGATTATTAAATTCCACCTAAGCTCATCAGAGGAGAGAATTGAGGTTGATGCATATCTGGAATTACCAGTGAATTCGCCAAACCACGTGGGGAAAGGAAAGGCAGATAGACTTCTAGGAATAAAGATAAGGGGCTACACTTGGTATGTAGTAGGTACTCAATGAGAACTGATTCAGTGAATGAGGCAAAAGAGTAAGCTGAATCTGCTGTCTGACAACTAGAGAGACCCTTCCTTACACCCACAGGTGCAACTTCAATCCCTATGAGCTTCCCATACAGCGAAGTCACTTGGCAAGTGCCAGAGATCCCAAGGTGAGGATGGAGGGTGAGTGGGTTGGGTATGGTACAAGACATGCCATCCTTCTGCATTACCCTTCCCATTCCAGTTGGTGGTAGGAAGTCTGGGGCAGGACATTGTTATTCAGAAACAAAGAAAGCTAATGGATACCAATGAATCAGGAGGGATGCATTTTACTCGAAGTGGCTAAGAGAACCTCAACAGAAGAACTTTGTTGGGTTTCCAGAAAGCCTTTGCGACAGTACTACCAACTACAGCACTACCCAGGGGGAATCAGTGTTCCAGTCACTGCACTTAAACAAGCATGTTATACACAAAAGCCTAAGACTGTTTGCAGTGGGAAATCCTGGTTGGTTTTATTTAGGCAATATAGTAATGTAGCTTTCTGAATCTGATGTTCTTTATTTGAACATTCATTATGATGATTCATCTCTGCTTTTCTTTCTTTACCAATGATATTTGCATTCTACTAGGAAATATAATTCATAAAGGATGATAAAGGAATCAAAATTATCCAATTTATTTCCATCAAAGGAGCAGAAGGAATCCAGCAATGATCTGTTCTGCATCATTCTGTTTTCAGTACGTTTTTCTTTAAGTCAGGGTTTGTAGCATTAAATATTACTCTTCATTGCAGAATCAGTACTAATTTAACATCACAAGGATAATCTGGTTTTGTCTAAGGGACCCCTCCCCATTTTGTTTCCCAGGAACTGAACATTTTCCACTCCGGATGTTCTCTTGTACCATAGAAAGTATTCTGACTCTGTACCTCTCTAAGAGATACGTAGCACTAATGTGACTCTCTAAATGCCTATTAGCATTTTACCTTGTATTAATAGCTAACCGGGCACCCTTGCTATTTTCCCTGCTGAGATGTATCAATAAAAACTTTGATGGCAGGGATGACGCCTAATATACTGTCAAATTACCCGTCCCCCCGCAGGATATGGCATAGTGAATGTACAAATAGCCAACATAACTCTATCAGTTTTTGTCTTCTTCAATCTGCTGACAGTATTGTAACACCTGACAATAATTGCAGTTCACACTATTTGTTGGTATTTTTTAAAGTGGAAAGGCTTTCCTTAACTTTTATAAAAATTGTCCTCAAGTTAATCTTGCTAATGTCTTCCATACTAATTTTTTTCTTTTGCCAACTGAACTCAGCCTATATGAGAGCAATAAAATCTACTAGGGATCCTCTGGTGAGCTGGTTGATTCTGCCTATAAAAATGGCCTTAAGTCATAGAGATAATATCGGGGAATCAGGAATGATGTTCAAAATATTCAAACACCAGCATGGCATGGGCAACCAAACAGAACTGTATGCAAAACCTTAGTACTGGAGCAGAGCCTGGGAGACCCTCTTGCTGTGCCATGTGGGCATGTATGTCGGAGCGATGCTGTGAATCTCCAGCCACTATTTTCACTGTGGATTCCACAGGCATCAATCCTACCCATGGAGCCTGTGCTTTGCAAGGAAATCTCACAAGGGAAAGGACTTTGCTTTGTTAGAGAGCTCTTTATATTGCAGTTGAAGAGAGGTAAAGGAGTTGTTTCTGGGGTATTTCCTTGGAACTTGCAAATAAAGACTTGTGGTGGGTTCTGCCTCCAAGCTATTGGAAGAGACTGACTAGACAGTTACAGGCTTCTCCATTTTCATGCCTACTTCTGCCTCCTGCTAAGTTGCATCAGTTTCAAACACAAAGGTTAAGATGTGTTACCTGGGTTAAGATGTCTTAGCCAGGGGTCAATCCATGACTATTACACTGTGGGGAAGTCTAGGTGATACTAGAGGGATCAGGGTGGCCTGGGTGACAGGTGATCACTTAGAGGGCTCCTGACAGTGCTTATTTACCAACTGGTACAGAAGTTTTTCAGTATCTTTAAACTGGTATGACTGTCCAGTGCATATTGGCTGACTATCAGCCTGAAGAGACCTACTTTTCACCAGAACAGGCAGCAAAAGTAAGCAGATCCTCCTACCCATAGCTGCAGTCTCCTTAAAAAATCTGCCTCAGGGTTCAAGGAAATCTTTGTGATCCAAGTTATCTCTTATACTAACCCGAATGCAAAAACCTTTCCTATAGAAATATTAACATACTCCCCTTATTCTGTCTTCCCAGGGATATGAACTTCTAATCACTTTTTAATCTGTTAAACATGTTTTTTTTCTTTAAAGAAACTATTATTTAAAATTGCTTCCCAGTCATTTTTGAGCCTAAAAACAGGTCCCACTATCTATTGCTTTTCCAGTCCTTGCAATAATTGAGTCGAGCATGGATAGCTGAGAAGTAGAATGAGCAGCTCTCCTTGCTGTCTTCTGCTTGAGTGAAGAAAGCAAAAAATTTTGTAAAATGGCAGAGGCAGGATAACATGGAGCTCTCCCTTCAAACCATTAGAAGCAACAGAAATAAAAGTGCCATGTTTTTGTGCCCTTTAACAATCATTTTTTTATTCTAGTCCCATATCCGGGTCCCTGGGTGACAGACCTACCCCACCTCAACATGCATGGGCTGGCTGCATGTAGTTATCTTGTTCTCTTTCCACACCTGCACATGTCTATTCAATGGGGCTGTGTTACAATCAATAGCAAATACTTATCTGCTGGGAGACTGACTGAGTTCCAAGACCTTGGTTCACGTAAGGCTGTCTTTGCCATCTAGTGTTAAGTTTTGTTTGCAGGATTACTAGTGAAATTTCTCAGGAAGCTGGATAGGACATATGGGAAACTGCCAAGGTGAGTAATTCCTGCATCTCTAGAGGTGATAGCTACAGCAACAGTAGCTTATTGTGAGTAGACACCAGTTGCAAAGCTCCTTAGGCACAGGCTGGGTAAAGGGGTGAACTGGAATAATAATTTCTGTCTAGATGGAATGTCTAAGCAACAACATTGAGCATGAAGTGTTCATCATACCCTAGTGCTGGGAAGTCAAATCCTAGATTCTTGCTTAGTGATAACATCATTTGACAAAGTAGGAATTCACACAAATATATGTTTAAAAGAAAAGACCAGGAACATCGTATATACCTTACTGTCTGGAGTATCTCTCAGGTTGGACGCTAGACAAACAAAAGAACTTGGAATACACATGAACAAACAGTTTCAGATGGCATGTTACATAGTAGCTCAGAGGCAGAACCCACAAGTCTTTATTTGCGAGTTCCAAGGAAACATCCCAGGAACAACTCCTTTACCTCTCTTCAAGTGCAATATAAAGAGCTCTCCAACAAAGCAAAGCCCTTTCCCTTATGAGATTTCCTTGTAAAGCAGAGGCTCCATGGGTAGGATTGATGACAATGGAATCCACAGTGAAAGTAATGGCTGGGGATACACAGTATCACCCTGATATGCATGCCCAGTGGAAGAGACTGACCAGACAGTTACAGGCTTCTTCAATTTTCACGCATACTGCTGCTTCCTGCTAAGTTGCATCAGTTTCAAATACAAAGGTTAAGATGTCTTACCTGGGGATTTCACTTATGCAATAGATGAGCCAAACATATATACGAGTACAAATGGCTGCTTGTGAAGTACCTGAAGTTTTTCCGATAAAGGAGGAATTTGGATGTGTTACTTGGCCTGCACTCTGCCAGGGGCATATCGTGCTGACATTAGAAAAACATGCTCTTTTCAACAAGATTTAGTCTCACTTCCCTTTGCCTCCTGGTCTCTTGCTAATGACTGGAAGTAGAATGAGAGTTCGATTTTACGATGATTTAGAGGTCTGTGAGTTGGCTTTCTCCCTTTGGTATGTGACCAACTTCAAAGAAGCAATTGTGTAACTACTAAGGAAATTAGTTCTCTTCCAAGGGATAGAGATCTTTTGTCATAAGTGAGAATGAGTAACTAAGCTCTCTGACTCTTTCTCAAGAGGGCCCCTGGGCTGAAGAGGGCCTGGCTCGTGGTCTAGGTTTGCTCACTGGAGCAGCAGGCAGTCAGATGGTCAAAAAATATTGCTTGTATTCCTTTTGTAGGCAGAAGCACTGGAGTAGGGAGGTGAGGCTGGGTGAAGGGAAGACAACAGGAATAAGACAGTAAGTAAATGAACAGATGTAAAGTATATAGCACAATGCCTAATGGGCATACCTCTTTATATAGCTTCCACTTTTTGAACACCTCCTCTGTGTTAACTACTAAAATAAGCACTATGCATTTAATCCTCACAACAACATTATGAGACAGGTATTACTAATATTCTTATTTTATGGGGGAGCAAACCGAGCCACAGAAGTTTAAGTAAATTGCTCAGAGGCTTCAGAAATAGTAAAAGATGGGGTCAAGATTTGAAGTCAGATTTCTTTCTTTTGGCCCTAGGTATCAGGCTTTGTGTTTGATATATTACTAACGCCAAATCCTCATACCATTCTTGAGTTGTGGGTGTGATTATCTCCAATTACAGTTGAAGAGATGAAGGTTCAACGTGATTAAGCAACTTGTCCAAGATCATACAGGCAGTAAGTGGTAGAATGAGAATTCTAATCCAAGCCTGACCCCAAAGCCCATGCTCTTAACCACAAAACTCTGTGACCTCTTTTGCAATCTGACATATTTTAGACAGTCTTCAAATGTTTGTCCCCATCTCAAATGGTACAGTGAAGGTAGATGGAAGACAAAGAGTTGAAGGTAACTTAGACTCGGTAGTCAGAGCAGGAAAGGTTGCAGAGTTGAGCTGGAATCACATCTTCTGTTTTCTCTTGGGGCTGGTGTTGAGCAGGATGTAGTTAGAGGTGATAAAAGACAATGAGGCAAGAAGCAACTGATTTCTATCCCCTCATCTCCAAATTATAAGAGGAAGAGAGATCACTCAGAATACGAGCTAGGGCTAGGCAATAACACTATTAGAGAGTTACTATTACCTGAGGACTATTACCTGAGCTATGTAGGTGTGCTAGTTATCAATCTAATACCTCTTAGCTCCAAATTCACCCTTGTTGCCTGCTCTGTGAAAATGGTTCTGGGCCCTTTATATATTTTTCCTTTGCCAGCTGGCACAATGTTAAGCTTTGTCAGTAGAGGGCGTTAGGGAGACATTTCAGGAGGAAGGGGCTTTTCTTTGTGGGTCCTGTGTGCTGGTGTGCTAGGTGTGCTCACTTGGCAGGTTCCTGTAGTTCAGGCTTTCAGCTTCCCCAGGGCCCAGTTCCCACAGCACACACAGCTCCCCAAGCACCAGGTTCCTGCAGCATGTGCAATTTTTCAAGCATGCAGCTCTGGTAGTATAATCAGCAGTGCCCAGCAGCTTCTCCCAGTACCCATCCCTCAGGATGTTTCATGGTGGGGTGCCTATTGTGAGATACCTCTCTGTGACCAGCTTTCCCTGACACTATAGAGGGTGGATTTCCCAGAAGTTCCACAGGGCAGAATTCCAGCAAGTTCTGCTGATGTAGTACCACAGCAATTTCTCTGCTATTTAATGAGTCATGACTGTGCCCTTGTCCTGCAAGATATGGATCTCAGCCCTGGGGAAAAGGTTCTCTCCTGGGTGCCCTAGTTCAGCTCTAGGTGTAGGGGCTGCTCCTTATATTTGTTAGTCCTATATTCTTTGTAGTTGTTTTTACTTCTTACTGGCCAATCCCCTGTTATAGTTAATATTTATATTAAAATTTTTCTGTTCAAATTACTGTGTGATTTCTCTCTCCTGATGTTTTCCAGACATATAGGGTTAATTCCTCTTCCTGCATCTCAACATTCTGTAAGGTGATGACTAGGGCAAAGGGATACTTCTAGGGATACCTACATTCGTAGGTAGGGAGGATGGACTTTTCCTAGAGACAAGGTCCAAAGAGAAAAGAGCATTTTCTTTTTCAGGAGGTAAAAGATGACTTCTCTGTCTTGCTTTTTAATATACAAAAATGAGTTAGAACACGTGTGGCCTTTCACTTGCTCAATTTTTTTCAATGAGGAGGAAAGAACCTGTTAGATAGGAAAGGAAACTGAAGTCTGTGGACTGCGTGGATTGTGAGACTCAAAGGACTCATGATCATTCAGAGTTTAAACAGTGCTTAAAGCTCTATAGCCCAGGTATTCCAAGGGGGAAGTGACTACTTGTGATGATAGCCTTCAAATGACTACCATCTTTAATATAATGACCAATATTGTACTCAATACCTCTATGACTACCCATACAACCCTTACTCAAAGCTCAAGGTTATATCCCCTCCTCTGCAAGAGATCAAATGTTTTCTTTGCTTAAAATTTTGCTTTTCCATGGACATATGTATAGAAATTTTCAGACATCATAAAATTCATGAATTCTGGAAAAAGCTTCTGAATCCTCAGGGTAGAAGTTTGGGGTTTAGAGTTTGCACATCAGGATGTTTTCCAAATATCACTAAGAGAAATGATTTTCACAAGTGCAGAATACCATCATAATTTTTATATTACTCATGGATTTATGCAGCTGAGTTCCTTTTGAATTTGAGTAAAATATTTTCCAAAACACTTGTTGTTAATTAACTACTACCTTTCTACCGTGACTATTTTTTTTGCTTCCTGCCTCCAACCAGCTCAAAGTATAATACTGTCTCTCCAAAGCTCAATGACTAAGAAATGGAAGGCAAGTAGTTAAATAGGAGATAATATGGAAACGTAAATTTCAAGGTCTGATCATCAACTAAAATGCTCCCTATCATAATACAAATTCATCTTTGTGATATTTATGAAGCATTGGCTCACAACAAATTCAGAAATACTAAAAGCGTCACAGCTAATCAGATGGCCTGCTCAATCACTAGAAAGTTTCTAACATACACTTCCCATGTGCTAGAACCCTCATAGCAATAACAACAGCATTGGAGGCCATAGCAGCTTTCGATAAAGAATGTTTAGCCAAAGTGGCCTGGAATACCTATGGTCTTTGAGAGGCTTCCACGTGGTCCTCCAGATCATCCAAGGTATTGTGTGTTCATGTGTGGGTGAAGGTCCCAATCAACACAGGTGAAAGAGAGAAGTCTGAGCCACAGGGTACGATTCTCCTGCTAGAAAACCAGTCAATTAAAGTTTCAGAAAATCGGTCCAACTATAGTCTCTGTTTCCCTTCCTGTGTTTGCTCCTCCAAATTTTGGTTCTGGCCCAAGTTCTTAGATGCCTTCACTAGCCTTCCCTTTGTCACTCTGTCCTCCACATATACGCACATGTATATACACAGAGGGATCATATAACCAAGAATAGAATGGGAAAAGGAGCATTGTTTCAGAGCAGTCTGATGTTTTATACTGCAGTAGCTGGTGGGGACAGGTGGAAGTGACATGTAGAAATTTGTTGCTCCAGTTAGAACTTCCTAAAGAATAAGAAGACCATTGATATTAACCAGGAGTTGCTGTGAACCAATGCAGACCTGCCTTCATGTTCAGAACAGAAACCAGTCCTATGTTGCTGCCATTATAATGATTGTAGATTAGAGCACTAGTTTTTACCCAGGGTGGTTGGATGGTCTGGCACATAAAGAACTGGTACTGACAGGAGGAGAAGCCTAGTGTTTAAGATGGGCCTGTAAATCAAAAAGCATCTGAGACAAGTCTCAATCAATTTAGAAAGATCCTTTGCCAAGGTTAAGGATGCACCTGTGACACAGCTTCAGGAGGTCCTGATGGCATGTGCTGAAGGTGGTCAGGGAACAGCTTGCTTTTATACATTTTAGGGAGACATAATACATCAATCAATACATGCAAGATTGACATTGGTTTGATCTGGAAGGGCAGGACAACTCGAAGTGGTGGGGGGCAGAGGGTGGGATGGGGGGAATGGGGGGCTTCCAGGTCACAGGTAGATTTAAATATATTCTGATTGGCAATTGGTTGAAAAAGTTATCAATAGAAAGGAATGTCTGGGTTATGATAAGGAGTTGTGGAGACCTAGGTTAGAGAGAATAGACTGTAACTGTTTCTTATCAGACTTAAGGTCTGTGTTGATGTTAATGCTGGAGGGGTATAATGAGGCATGTCCAACCCCTACTACTGTCATGGCCTGAACCTGTATTTCAGGTTAAATTTTAGGGTGCCCTGGCTGAGGAGGGATACATTCAGATGGTTGAAGGGGGCACTGGAATTTTATTTTTGGTTTACAGGCCTAAGGATCAAGACCTGGGTTTGATTATCAGATTCCCCCTATCAATGAGCAAGGTACTTAATCTCTCTGAATTAGTTTTCTCATGTGCCAAATGGTAATAATAGTATGTGCATTATAGAATGTTTTAAGGACTAAGTAAAATAAGGTGCATAAAGTTTACGGTACATAGCAAAAACTCCATATGTGTTAGCTATTATTATTTCTATAGTTTTATTTATAAAAGGCATAAAGCCATAACATCTTCTGTTGCCTTATTCTCTTTTGCTAGTTTTGGAGATGTGGATAGAGGAGGTGTTGCCAGGGGTAACAAAAGATGGGAGCCATACAAATAGTCTCAATTGATTTTTGACAAAGGTGCAAAACCAATTCAATAGTTTTTAACAAAATATTACTGGAGCAACTGGACATCCACAGTTGGGAAAAGGAGGAGGAGAAACTTGATCTAAGTCATACTCAAAATGAAACACAGTATCCCTGAAGAATACAGATGCAAAAAATTTCAACAAATTTAACAAATACTAATGAACCAAATTCAACGGAATTCTATTAAAAAGATCACACATCATGATCAAATGGGATTTATCCCTAGGATACAAGGATGGTTCAACATACAAAAAATAATTAATATGACATTGAGAGAATAAGAATAAAAATCACATGATTGTCTTAATGGGTGCAGAAAAAGTATCTGATAAAATTCAACACCCTTTTTTGATAAAAACTCTCAACAAACTGGAAATAGAAGGAAAGGACCTCAGCATAATAAAGGTCATATGTGACAAGCCCACAACTATATCACACTCAATAGTGAAAAACTGAAAGCTTTTCCTCCTAAGATCAGGAAGAAGGTAAAGAGGCCCACTTTCACCACTTCTATTCAACATACTACTGGAAATACTAGCCAGAGCAATTAGGCAAGAAAACGAAATAAGCATCCAAATAGGAAAGCAAAAGGTAAATTATCCCTGTTTCCACAGGACATGATTTTATATATAGAAAATCCCAAAGACTCCATTAAGAAAATGGTTAGAACTAATAAACAAATATAGTAAAATTGCAGGAAACGAAATCAATATAGAAAAATCAGTTGCATTTCTATACACTAACACTGAACTATCTGAAAGAGAAATTATGAAAACAATTCCTATTAATAATAGCACGAAGGAGAATAAAATACTTAGTAATAAACCTAAATAAAGAGGTAAAAGACTTGCATAATGAAAACTACAAAACATTGACAAAAGTAATTAAAGAAGACACAAACAAATGAAAAGACATTCCATGTTCATGGATTGAAGACTTAATATTGTTAAGATGTTCATACTACCCAAAGAGATCTACAGATTCAATGCAAGCCCTATCAAAACCCCAGTGACATTTTATTTTCACAGAAATAGGAAGAACAATTTTGCAATTCATAGGGAAATCCATAAGATCACAAATAGCCAAATCAATATTGAGAAAGAAGAAAGCTGGAAGCATCACATTTCCTGATTTAAAAACTATTACAAAGTCGAAGTAATCAAAACAGTATGGTACTGGCTTAAAGATAGATATGTAGACCAATGGCACAGAATGGAGATCCCAGAAATAAATCCATTCACACACACACACACACACACACACACACGTACAGTTAATTGATCTTCAACAAGAGCACCAAAAATACGCAACAGGGAAAGTACAGTCTCTTTAACAAACAGTGCTGGAAGAACTGGATATCCACATGCAAAAGAGTACAATTGGACACTTATTTTACACCATACACAAAAATCAACTAAAAATGAATTAGACTTAAATGTAGGACCTGAAATGTAAAACTCCTAGATGAAAACAGGGGGAAAGCTTCTTGACATTCGACTAGGCAATGATTTCATGTATATGACACCAAAGCACGTGTAACAAAACAAATATAAACAAGTGGGTCTACATCAAACTAAAAAGTTTCTGTACAGCAAAGGAAAAACTCAACAGACTGAAAAGTCAACCTATGGAATAGGATAAAATATTTATAAATCATATATCTGACAAAGGGTTAATCTCTAAAATATATAAGGAACTCCTACAACTCAATAACAAAGAAACTTAACAGCCTAATTTTAAAAACAAGTTAAGGACTTGAACAGACATTTCTCCAAAGAAGACACACAAATGGCCAATAGCTATGTGAAAAAAATGCTCAACATCACTAATCATTAGGGAAATGCAAATCAAAACCATAATGAGAGATCAATATATACCTGTTAGAATGGCTTTTTTTTTTTTTTAAAGTGACAACACCAAATGCTGGCTAGGATTCTGGAAAAGTTTGGCTGTTTCTTAAAGAAATATGTAACTACCAAATGACCCCACAATTACACTCCTGAACATTTATCCCAGAGAAATGAAGACTTAAGTTCACACAAAAACTTGTACATAAATGTATATAACTTTATTTATAATAGCAAAAAACTGGGAGAATCCCGATGCTCTCAACAGGTGAATGGTAAAACTGTGGCAAGCCCTACAATGGAATACTCAATCAACTATGGATACACACGATTATTCAAATGAATTTCAAGGGAATTATGCTGAGTGAAAAAAGCCAATCCAGAAAGATTACATATTGTATGATTCCATTTATATAACATTCTCAAAATGTCAAAATTATAGAAATGGAGTACACATTAGTAGTTGGTGGAAGGCAGGAGGGAGGTGGGCAATATGAGAAACGGAATTGTTCTGCGTCTTCACTATATCCATGTCAATATCCTGGATGTGATATTATACTACAGTTTTGTAAAACGTTACTGGGTAAAGGATATATGGGACCTCTCCGAATTATTTCTTACAACTGCATGTGAATCTTCAGTTATCTCAAAATTTCAAAAATTTAATTTTTAAAAAAGGAAAAGAAAAAAGATGTGGATAGACAGAAGGAGCAGACTGAAAATAGTCTCTGCCATTTGCAATACAGTTCAGATAGGTGTCCCAGATTATAGCAGGATTTCTAGCTTGGCAGGCGAATCCACTGTACTGCAGAGATCCCTCTGGTGCAGGAAAGCAAGGCAGAGTTTTCCTGCAGAGCCAGCACTTGCTCCTCTCACCGGGATATTAGTTATTGCTCTTACAAATTTGGAAGCTGAGAGGTGTGTCACAATTAATGAAGGTTAGGAGGCTCTGGGTTAGAGTCAGAACTACTAAAGTTCCTGAAAGTCCTCCAAGCAGCTCTGTTGCTGAGATCTAGGCTGCTGGTGCAGAAGCCTCCTCGGAAGTAATTTAAGCAGAGTGGATCTCAGGGGTAATAGGAGTATTCTTTTGCTTGGCCTCTGAAGGAGACGAGGGCAGGCCATATGACAGCTCTCTGTATGGAGACAGCACGGAAAAGTAAAAGAGAGGGCTGCGAGTTGTAGAGGAGAAAAAACTGAGAAATCATAAGCTTGACAAGGGAGAAAGCAGAAATTTCTCTGCCTCCATGTGTCTGGGTAATTGGGCATCAATTTACCTATCACGATGCCATGCAGTACTACAGGCAACTTGGAAGAAAAGTGTTGGGTAAAGAACAACTGAGTGTTGACATCTCATTTTTAAAGGCAAACTGTTCACACACAAATGATTGCACAGAATATTAAAGACCAGCCTTCTTTTCCATCTGGATGATGGATCTATAAGGAGAATGCATTCATACCACTGGCAGAGTATTTTCAAATAGATACAATCATCTTTCTTGCTGCTCTCTTCTCTTCTGTGATATCATTAAACATTTGATTAACACTGACTTTCAGGCCTTCCCAAACACTGGCTCCCTGTTTACCAAAACCACTGAAAAATGCCCAGGCTGACCACTGGCAATCAATAGAGTTCCTTGGGGTTAGGTGAACATCCAATGTGTCTGAATTGAGACATTCAAAGGTGAATTGACAATCCTACTTATGTGAATGCCTGCTGCAGCTTTTGGGAACTGGCTGTCTCACAGGAGCAGTGCAGGGACATCACCACCTCTGTGCTCATTTTCCATCTTCCCTAATGCTCCAGAGGCATGGAGGAGAATCTTGGGTTTCCAAGTACATTTTGTGTTCAGCCCATTTCCACAGGGCATAGCACCTTCCTGCTGTTTCCACCTTCTCTTCTGGCTGCCAGCTCTATTATCTCCATCAGAAATTTGATCCTGTTAGAAGTGCTGTGGGGTATTTTTGTCTATTTTTTAAATAGAGCCTTCCAGTTTCCTTTGGGCCATTATGTTCTCCTAAAGCAGTGCTTTGTCTTCAGTCATTAATATTTAATGTGACTAGAAGCTTTCACAAAAACCTATTGAGATGCACATGCTTTAGGTGGCAAAGCTGTTATTTAATGATGTTGGCTGGGTATACTAATTCAACCTACCCATGAGGGAAGGTGACCTCCTGGTCCCTCTGGTTCTGTGTCTATATTAATAAAATGGAAACCTCTTGCCATTTATGAAAATATCTGTTCACCATAGAAGAGAGGAGGACTATAAGATTTTTTTCTGACATAATAAAAGTAACTGATTTCTAAAAAATTGGAAAAGAATATTAAAAAATACAAGTATGAAAAGTTGTACATACAATAAATGTTTATTATGGCATTGCTATAAGAAGAAAATAAATTATGAATAACCCAACTGTCCAATAACAGAGGATTGGTTAAATACATTAGATGACATATTTATATAATGGAAATCTTTGTAGCCAGTAGGAATGATGATGTAATCTATCTTTACTGACATTGAAAGATGCCAAGATACATTAATAGGTGAAAAAAATCAGGCTACAGAATAGTATGTACAATATGATTCAATTGTTTTTATTAAAAAAATAGATACACTGGCAAAAAAGCCAGAAAATGTATGCGATGAAATGCTGATAGAGGTTCTCTCTGGGTGTTGTGATTGTGAATGATTTTTCACATCTTTCTTCACATTTTTCTTCTAAATTTTTAAGCAGTAGGCACAGTAAAATTATTTTGCTAAAAAATACTACGGGATGGCCAGGTGCAGTGTCTCATGCCTGTAATCCCAACACTTTGGGAGGCCGAGGTGGGCAGATCACCTGAGGTCAGGAGTTTGAGACCAGCCTGGCCAACATAGTGAAACACCGTCTCTACTAAAAATACAAAAATTAGCCAGGCATGGTGACGGGCGCCTGTAATCCCAGCTACTCAGGAGGCTGAGGCAGGAGAGTCGCTTGGGGAGGGGGAGGTTGCAGGGAGCCAAGATTGTGCCACCACACTCCAGCCTGGGTGACAGAGTGAGACTCCATCTCAAAAAAAAAAAATGCTATGGGATTGTGGCTATACAACTTATAAATTACTTTTACTTGAAATTGTAATCCAAATGACCTTCATATTTCCATTCAAACATCTGTTTTTAATTTAGAGAAGAGGATGGCAAACTTTTATGTAACGGGCTATACTAAGTAAGTATTTTAGGCTTTACAGCCCATGTAGTCACTTGTAACTACTCTGCCTTCCCCTTTGCAGTGCTAAAGCAGCCACAGACAATATGACAATTGGTGTAGCTATGTTCTAATAAAATTTTATTTACAAAAACAGGTAGTGGGCTGAATTTTGCCTATAGGTGGTATTTACTGACCCATGCTCTAGGGGGCTAAATAAAGGAGGCCGAAGTCTCAGAATTAAGCTAGTTTTCTCTGTTCTCTTGGGTCAATGTGGGTAATATTAGTTGCTGCTCTCCAGAGTCAAGACCAAAATGGCTTGGAGACATCACTGGAGCGTCTCATTTTTGCTACTTGAGATGATAATTTTCACTCTCTATATTGGGGCCATGCTTTACATAGGGCCACCTTATCCACCAAAGTGAATCCTAGCTCTGCCAAAGATAAAGCTGTTGTGAGAGAAGCCCCCAAGTGACTCAGAAGGGTTGAAGAATTTACAACCAAACTACTGAGTGACCTTAGTTAGAACCAGAAATTTCAAAAGAATCAGTGCTTCCTGTAGCCCATCCGTACTAACATACTCCATAAACCAGTTTTCTGAAGAAGCGAATTATTATAGTGTATCTACAGAAAAGCTTTTAAGGAGTCTTAAAATGTCCAACAACAGCTTAATTTAGGAGTCTGAAAAAGACATACGTAGCTGAGGCAAAATATAATGGGGAAAAAGAAGGATGACTTAGCCAAAGATGGTATGGCACTCCTAGTCACAAAGAGCACCACGATACCCAGAATAGCAGTGGAACAAGGTTAACTATGTGAATTTAGTTCATTCTCTTGTCTTTGCCTTAAGTTACAATCAATGGTGCAGTTTCTTAAAGCAGTTTACTTGACATATATAATCTATAAAGAGTATTTTCCACCTTTTCTCTTCAAAGAAGAGTTACTTATTGCATGCGCGTGCGCACGCACACACACACACACACACACACAACTTACTTCTGAAATGCTTCCAAAATACATAGCTTCCAGATCACCCCAATCCTGCCATCTAGAATATTATTAAATCACATTTAATGTTCTGGCCACTCAAAGATAGTCATCTAAGAAGAGAATGTATTAGGTCCAGGATCCACGGAACCAGAGCCAACTACTTGGGATTTGGGGCTACAGCAGAGCCAGATGTCCCAAATTTCTAACCTGGGAATTTCTGACATACAGCACCCAAAATTTACTGATAGAATCTCAGGACTTGCAGGCAGCCCAGGACACCTGAGGAACAGTCCACAACAAGCCATTCAGAGGAGTAGGGAGTGGGTAAGGCAGTCTAAGGGGGACAAAAGAAAGGGAAGTGGGACAAGATCATCAAGAGAACCAAGAAAGTTCAAAGGATAATGTTTCAAAGGTTCACAAGGGGCTGGAGGATGGAGTCAAGATGCTAGGTGCTATGTGATCTAAGGGCAAAAGAGAGGACCAGAGAAGGAGCACAGACATGCTGTTAGTACTGGGGCTTCTATTTGATAGAGGCAGATTAAGTGATTTGTTCAAGGCCCCCATCAGTTACCTTGAAATGTAAATTCACTCTTTCAGTTTCTACTCTGATGTTATATCCCACCATGCCATCCAGCTGTTCACAAAGCTGGTGTCTTTTCCTGAAGATTTAAACAACTTAGAAATATTGTGTAGTGTGTAGGTGTGAAATAGTTGCTTGACTCCTCTGCGGAGGTGGCAGAAATTTTAAGGTATGGAAACTTACTGTGCTAAAACCTGTAAGTGCCATATTCTGAATTAATAGGGCTGGATCTTTCCAGCTGTTCCTGGCTAGTGGATTAGGCAGCGTTTCCATTTTAGAGAAACAACACTGAAATCACTATAGCTACTTAAAAAATCTCAAATGTATAACTTAAATGAACTGATGTAGAGGAAAGCACAGTGGACAAGAAATATGGAGACTTGGGAAACTTGGCTTCTAGTGTCAGCTCCATCACTAGATATTCTGTGTTATTTTGACTAAGTCACTTCCTCTCTCTGGATGCTAGTTTCCTCACCTGTGATATGAGAGGGTTGGACTTGATAATCTCTAAGGGATCTTTCACTTGTAACATTTGATGATTCTGTAATTCCTGGTGTGTTTTCTCTCCTGACATTTATTCACAAGGGTCATTCTGCCCTCCACACAATTTAAGTTTTTGGCAAATCACAGATGGTCTAAAATAAAATCTCCCCCTTGAAGAGGGGAAAAGAACAGGATGTTTCTGCTGAAATAGCTCATGTCAGGTATGACCTTTCTAATTCAGAGCAGCTCTCTAGTGGTTCATTAACTCACCCCATGGGCAGCACAGCAAGCAAGTACTATCACAAAAGGCCCCAACTGTGCAGCCAAAGAGAGCTGCTCTATTACCTGCTGAAAACAAAGTGGTTTCCTCTTTGTGTCCACATCGGTCAATTTTTAGATCAGGAACATATGCTTCTATCACTGAAGGAATCCTGGCCAACTAATAGAAACCATGTGCCAAGTCTAACACCTGCTTTGAAGACTAAGCTGGAGTCCCTTCTACAGGGAAGTGATGGAATTACTTCGAAATACAGATGGTCCCTGACTTAAGATGGTTCGACTAAAATTTGTTTGACTTTACGATATTGTGAAAGTGATATGCTCAGTGGAAACCATACTTTGAATTTTGAATTTTAATCTTTTCCCGGGCTAGTGATATTGGGTACATTAGTCTCCTGTGACGGTGGGCAGTGGCAGTGAGCTGCAGCTCCCAGTGAGCCACACGATCACGAGGGTAAACAACCAATACTGTATAGGGTACTGTGTTGCCAGATGATTTTGCTTAACTGTGGACTAATATAAGAGTTCTGAGCATGTTTAAGGTAGGCTAGGCTAAGCTATGATATTCGGTGGGTTACATGTATTAAATCTATTTTGACTTACGGTATTTTCAATTTACGATGTGTTTATCGGGCAGTAACCCCATCTTTAAGTTGAGGAACATCTGTAATTGATAAGAGTGGTTCTCTTTTCTAGACAATTAAAAATGGTTAGAAGGTTTAATAGTAATTATAATAGCCCATTTTTGTATAGTGCTTTATATTTTACAACACATGCTGATAAATGTATTTTCTCATTTACATTTTCTTAACAACCCACCGAGGTGAGGAGAATAGGTATTACTATCGCCATCTACCTGATAAGGAAAATAGGGCTCAGAGAAGTTAATGTTTGTCCCAGGTCATAGTAGGTGGCAGCATTGAGAATGGAACTCACACCTTGACTTTGACTTGTCCAGCTAACTCACCAATATATTTCTCCAATTGTCCTGTTATACTTGTGAGAAGTTGTCAGGAATATAGGTTAAAGAACAGATCTTAGTACAGGGTCTAGATGCTACAAAGTAATTTTATGCTTATTTGAAGACTTCTGACATAGGTTTAATTTGTCGGAATGGGATCGGTGGCTAGGAGGGCTCTGAGAAAATACATATAACACAATGAATTCAATTGATCATTATATATCTAGAGTCAAGGCAAATATTTACTGAAAATCTACACAAGTGACCCTATGCAAGTGTTATGAGAACATATTTAAAATATAAAACATGGTTCCTGACCTCACAAAGATTCATAAGTGGCTGGGCGTGGTGGCTCACGCGTGTAATCCCAGCTTTGGGAGGCCGAGGTGGGTGGATCGCCTGAGGCCAGGAGTTTGAAACCAGCCTGGCCAACATGGCATAACCCTGTCTCTATTAAAAATATAAAAAACAGCTGGGCAAGGTGACGCACACCTGTAATCCCAGCTACTCGGGAGGCTGAGGCACAAGAATCACTTGAACCTGGGAGGCGGAGGTTGCTGTGAGCCAAGATATTCTGCCACTGCACTCTAGCCTGGGCACCTGAGTGAGACTCTGTCTCAAAAAAAAAAAAAAATTCACATGCCCTAAATAGTGTATAATGAAGGGTTAAATATGGTAGTCACAACAATAAGTGCTATGGTGGCATGGGAAAGAGAGAAGTCAGTGAGGGAAACATTCATGGAAGAAATGGAATTAAGCATTTAAAGGATGGATAGAATTTAACTGGCGGAGGGGAGGAAGAGGATGATTCTAGACTAAAGAGTGAGTAAAGGGTATGGGAAGAGAACAGCATGAGCTAAACCAAAGGGGCAGGCATACATGAGGTTGCATATCTGTGAGGATACTGATTTGAGTAGAGAGCAGTGGGAGAATGTCAAGTAGAGCCATGATTCACTCTAAGTGCTCAAAGGGCTGTCTGCCTTTCATAACATTCTGTTCACTTATGAATAAAATGCCATTGAAGGAAGACATAACAATGGTTAAGAGCTTGGCCTTTGGAGTCAGACAGACCTGGGTTTGGGTCTCAGGATTACCACTTACTTGCTGTATTATCTTGGGTTAATTAATTAACCTCTTGGGGCTTAGTTTCCTCTTCTGTAAAATGGGCCTGCAATGAAGAGCCTATGATAAAATCCCACCAAGTACTGAGCAAAGTGCTGGCACATGAAAGCACTCATTAAATAGGAAATGTAATAAAGGTGAGCCAATGAATGAAACTTCATTTTTATACATTTGTTAAGTTTTTTCATATGGAAAAACTAAAAAAAAATTTGATCCAACCACTTGCTTTAATTTTTTATTCAAATTCTGATTCAGAAAACCATGATGGCCATAGCTGTGGGATGGAATAGGAGATGATGTTGAACAAGTAAGTTATGGTTTGATGCTGCAGGACCGTCATGGTTAGTCTGAGGAGACTGCCCTGTGGGGAATATATATATGCCTTCTGACTAAGGAGAAGGAACCACGGGAATCAGCTCAAGGGCAGTTAGCAAACTGCTGGCAAAAGTGGCCCAAGGCTGAAAACTGCTCATCCTTATCTCCATCCACTTGACCCTCTGAGCTCCTTTCATTTTCTCCCTCTAAGAAGCATTTCTTAAAGGTATGGTATGCTGGACACACTTCCCTGCCCTCATATACTTTCTGATGGATGGGAAATTAGCATTTTGTTCTGGGTATAATCGCTTTCTAATAAGCAAAGGGTCAGATACACGGAGGAGTAGTCTAAGAAACTTCAGGGAAGGAAAACCCTGGCTTGAGAGAAGTAGAAGGAAATATCAGATGCCAATAACAATAAACAACATAATCCCAGGAAAGAGCAACTGTTACCTGAGCCTGGAAGGTCATGAATGTGGCGCATGCTTTCAAAATAGGAGCCCAGGGACATCGCTGTAATTACCAACCAAAGAGCCTCCCCTTAGTACCAGAAAAACAGATGGATACACTAATTAAAGGGGGAGAGACGGAGAACAATGCAATCTTTGAATGTGAGGGACTGAAGAGAGTCAACCTAGCTCTGTTTCCGATAAAGAAAACTGCCCTGTTAACTCTGGGTAGCTCTAACCAGCCACAGAAACCTATGCCAAATCAAGTGTTTTCAAATAGCATTCAAATATAATTTTCCTTTGTCCAGGGTGGACTGCAGTCTTGCTTTTGAAATAAATGAAGCCTGGGAAGCCACTCTCTATGGCCACATGTACCATTTTTCTTATGTTTAATTCCCCTTTCTTTTTCAGAGGAAGGGGAAACTCAGATTCTAAAAACGACAGCTTGCTGAGCTTGCTGGCTGTCACTGTTTAAAGAATGGCTTATTAAACAGATGATGTACAAGCACTTAAAAAAGTAAGTGCTGACCAGAAAGCCAGTGTAAGAACATGTCTGGTTTGGTACAGATAATTTCCTTTTTTTTTTTTTTTTTTTTTTTTTTTTTGTGAAAGGGCTGCTAGAATGACATCTTTACAGTGAATCTTTCACAACTGCCTTATAAAAAAGATGGAGAAATGTAGATCAGACCAGATAATAACTTAGCTGGATTCCTAACTGGTTGAAGAATTGTACTCAAAGAGTGGTGATGAATGGATTGACAACAATTTGAAGGGAGGTCTCTAATAGTTGCTACAGGGCTCTCTACTTGACCATGTCATGCTCAATATTTTAATGTATGATTTCTGGATAAAGGCATAACAAACTTGCTTGCTATAACTGTAGATAAGACAAAGTTGGAGAGTATTCTTAACTTACTTGGTGATATAATTGGGCTTCCAAAAAAATGGTACCACCCTTTATTGAGTGTATTTAAGGCACTACTGTATATAAACTGTCCCATTGAAATCTTAAAGCCAAATAAACTAGGGTTTAGAGAGGTTTCAAATAGCTTATCCAAAGCTACACAGCTAGTAAGTAGCATTGCCAGGACTTAAACCCAAGTCTGTCTGTTGTCAAAGCCCACACTCTTTCCAATACACTACACTGCTAGCCACTGCTGTACACTGTCTTGACAAACTAGACCAGAATATGCTTTCTCCTGAAAACAAGACAGAACTGAGCAGAGGCTGGAGGCTCTGGGAAACAAGAAAGAATCAAACCACATGGATTCAAGAGAGCTGACTGTAGCTTTCCTGAAGGATTAGAGTAGTGCTAGGGTGACGGTGAAAACCAGCACTTATACTAATAAACTGCTGAGAATATTTGGAGCTAGAAGACAGTGAATATTGCTACTTCCTGGCATTGTTATTATGTCCAGCTTTATTTTTATGAGGGAAAGTGGCTGGAATGATGGGCCCAAAACTACGAAAGCGGAACATAATATAAGAAAAAAAGGTGGGTGACCATAGAAGAATAGAATGGGGGAAATATGACTTCACTATAGTTCATACTAGAAAGAGCTAGGAGATTTAGTCTGCAACTTTAACATGAGCCAACAACATGAAATGCCTTTCAGAAAAGTAGATATACCTCAGGCTGTATTATTAGAAGCACTAAGTGGATTCCAGAGCCTGAGAAGTAATAGACACATTGTCTTCTGCTCTGGCCACCATTCTGTTGTGATGGGCAAATAACAACATTTAACATCACTAGAGGCTTGAAGTAACTGGGGTGAAGTGTTTGGAAACTATTTCCTATGAGGGATTTTTTTTTTTTTTTTGAGAAAGAGTCTCACTCTGTCACCCAGGCAGGGGTACAGTGATGCAATCTTGGCTCATTGCAATCTCTGCATCCTGGGTTCAAGTAATTCTCATGCCTCAGCCTCCCAAGTAACTGGGATTACAGGCATCTGCCACCACACCTGGCTAATTTTTTTTTTTTGGTATTTTTAGTAGAGATGGGATTTCACCATGTTGGCCAGGCTGGTCTTGAACTCCTGACCTCAAGTGATCTGCCTGCCTCGGCCTCCCAAAGTGCTGGGATTACAGGTGTGAGCCACCATGCCCGACCCCTGTGAGGGAAATTTTGAAGTAAATGGAATATTTAGCTTAGAGAGGAGAAAACTTGTGGAAACTGTATTTGAAGGACCATCATGTGGATGAAAAGATTAGACTTGGTCTGATGTGTTTTATATTACAAAGCTAGGACCCAGAAGGCAGCTTATGGTTCAATATAAGAAAGAAATTCCTAACAATAAGAGTGGTCCAACATCGAGTGATAAGGATAATAGGTTATATTTAATGAGTGTTTCCTAAATGCCTAGCACTATGGTCCATTGTTGACATATCATTTCATGGAATCCCCATAAGAACTCTGGAAGGGCCATGGACAGGGGAATGGCTACACTGTAAAGCAGGGATCTTAATGTCACATGGAATATTCAAATACAGGCTAGATTAATAGCTGTCAGGAATGTGTCATATGCAATTGTGTATTGGGATGCTGGTGGTGGTAGGAGAGTTGAATTAGATGGCTCTATGAGTTCCCTGTCTGATATAAGACTCAGTAAATATTCTACTTTATCTGTTTTCAACTTTATAACATTAAATATTACGAGCTGATGGTCCAAAGATAGCATTTTGAACTCTTCGTAAGATTGCTGCTATGTGTCTCTGTTTATACACTCACACACACAGAGAGAGACACATTTATTTATTTTTAAATCATATATATGCCAGGGTTTGAAAAAAGATAAGGATATCATTTAGATATGTGGAAGTTTTGAACAATTTGAAATCCTAACAATTTTTAATTTATTAATTAAACCAATGCAACAACATGAGAAAATAGCATATGCTGCATTTATGATAGGCAGGAATTGAAATATACATCATTTTGTTAAAAATATACAATGAGAAAAATGTAGAAAATGTAAATTTCAAAAAGCTTTCATTTGAATGACTGGATTACAGGATGATTCTCTGGCTCTCTGTGGAGTATAAACATAAGAATTTACAGAGCTGTAACTTCAACTTTCTGTCCATCACTGTGCTAGAATAGGGGTTCCCAACCCCTAGGCTGCAGACTGGTACCGGTCCGTGGCCTGTTAGGAACTGGGCCACACAGCAGGAGGTGAGCAGCAGGTGAGTGAGCATTACAGCCTGAGCTCCGTCTCCTGTCAGAGCAGCAACAACATTAGATTCTCATAGCAGTGCGAACCCTATTGTGAATTGTGCATGTGAAGGATCTAGGGTGTGTGTTCCTTATGAGAATCTAAATAATGCCTGATGATCTGAGGTGGAACAGTTTCATCCCGAGACCATACCCCCCGACTCAGTCTGTGGAAAAATTGTCTTCCACGAAACCGGTCCCTGGTGCCAAAAAGGTTGCGGACGGCTGTGCTAGAAGATTGAAGAGTATTACCACATTTAATCTTTGCAATGACCTTATAAGTTTGGTATGAAGATATTATTTCCATTTTACAGTTGAGAAAACAGAGTCTTAAGATAGAAAAGTTAAACAGCAGTGCCAAGATTCAAACACAGGTATTTCTGCTTCATACTGTCTACTGTGCTAAATCAGTACCCTCCTCTTTTCTTTCCTCTGTTAACGGAAAACATTTTGAAAATATGCTAAAGTATAGCACAAATGATAATGGTTATTATTAATAAACAACTACAATGTCCAATATCCGGATTCATATGATGCTTGTCTTGAAAAAAAAATTTACTTTGTAACAGAAAGCTTGGTCTCTTTAGCACAGATAGGGACACATTTGGAGGATCCTGGTTTGTTCTATAGGCTTGACTTTAGGATCAGAACAATGTGTTTGAAGAGCTATTGGAGAATAAAAAGGCACAGTAAAAAGTGCTCCTCTTCTTTCCACAATCTAGATTCTAAAGTGCTGAGAGCTGAGAAACCAAACAGTACATGTGATACCACCTACTGCTTATTCACTACATGCAGAACCCTGCAATGGCTATTTATGAAGACCCAGAGAAAGAAGACCAACTTCTTTCCATGGGAGAGCTCTCAATGGAAGAGTGCCCTTAATGAAGGTTGTAAAGCAATGCAGTGAATTTCCTGACCAGTCTAAGAACTACTGCTGTATAGATAGTCGTCTTTTTGATGAAGCTTCATGTTCACCCTCCCTTCCCTACTAGTATAAACCATTAAAGTTTAGAAAAAGTCCTGCATTCAACTGATTCTTAAGAATTTAAATAAGGAGAGACAAAAGATGGCACTGAAGTACTAAATACTGCCAGAAAATATTTGGTTGGCTAGCTCCAACTTTAGGCCCTTGGTCGGAATCTATCATTTGTTCTCTGCAGCCTGTGATGAACTATAACCTCTGAATCAAAGAGAGCATACGTTCTCACTTCCAAGAAGCCATCTATGCTGTAAAGAAAAATTGCTACTGTGACAATTCAAGCAACTGGTGAGAAAGGTGAGTGCATTTCCCAGCATACACATTTCTTTTAAGCTTCCCGTTAATGAGCAGCAATGGACTTCCCAGAAGACACTGTACTCACCATTTTTCCCATCCAGACAGGACACTCCAGGAACAATTACAAAATCATGAACTTCAGTCACGTCTGCTGTCTGACATAGCTTCATTTCCCTAGTGGACTAATGTGTACCTGCTTCACTGCCAACACAAGAGTCCTCATAAACTCATAGCTTCATCTTTCCTTATTTTGGGACCTTGCTTTTGGCCTTCTCTTATACTTTAGTTAAGATGCCCTCCTTGTTTTAGCTATTGAGGATAGTAAGATAACAGCTGCAAATTAGTTCTTGGTGTCTATCAGAAGTCAGATTTCTTCTGCCTTAATTAGTACTGCTTTTTAAATATCACTGCTATGATTTCCAACCTGATATGTACCTAGGGTCCCCATTTTCCTCCAACAAGAATTTCCCACTGCCAAAACTCCCTACCACAAAGGAAAGCAGAACAAACAATCAAGCTAGTCTCTAACCACAAATCAATCCCATTTCCAACTAGCTGATGAAAAATGTGAGAGTGACACTAGGGTCTAATCAAGGGAGGATGGGAAGATGATTACATTTTTGTCTGTTATCCTAAGCCCCAAACCAAGCTGGGTGGCTGTGTCTGTGTGTCTGTCTGGCACAGCCAGAACCAGGGCTCCCATGAGGACCTTCTCTCTCCATCATAACAGGACAGCTATGTGCAAGTCAGAGATGAGTAAACGTTTGGAGGCCAGTTAAGAGGCTATTAGAGTATAACATGGGTTGCTGACAGTGAAAATATAAAAGGAGAATTATCTGTGCTTATCTCCTACTCTTAAATATTAACTGGGATATGAAGGAGACTGGTGTCATGGAGTTTTCCTAAGTTGTTTGATGGTGCAAGCTGCTTTTAGGTTTGGGTGGAAGTGTGATTTGAGGCATTTCCCTTGGCCAGGGAGGCAGGGGAGTCAAGCTATGAAAAATATTTGTGAATCATGGTTTAAACAAGTACTCTAAATGAAGCCCTTAAACGTCACATGAGATCTTACATTGTACTCTCCTAAAAGACAGAACACAAGTCTACTAAGTTTTTGTTTTTTTTTTCAACTCACTTAAGACAGCAATTAGCACTTAGCAGAAAGTCTGAATTCCCCCAAACCTATTTATATGAGAAATGGCCTTTTAAATGAAAAGTCTGAATAATAAAAAAAATGGAATCAGTTACTCAGCATAAGACCCTTTCAACACCAAGGGTTTCCACTTATTTTCAGAATTTAATTCTCTTGTTCAACTTTGTAATAATCCATACAGATAAAAGAACCCCAAGTACCTCCTGGTTTCAGCAGAATATTGATCACTACCTCTCTGAATTTGCTTTGGAGTTTCACCCCTTGGTTGACTCCCAGTACTATATACAGATGACCTGTTTTAAGACACAAAGCAGCTCTGAGCTGTGGGCTTCATGCCCCTGAAGCAGGGTTTTCAAAGAGCTTCTCTGCTGAGCAAGCTCTTTCCACAGTGCAATTAGGCTCAGCCAGAGGACAAACAGTTCCTCATCCTATGTGTCTTCCATTAATAAAGATTTGCAGCAATGTGTACCAGACTTGGAGCATTACTCAGATCTACCAAGTCCCCAGTTTGGGGAAGTGGCTCTGATTGATTTTGGAGTCTCTGGTGTCTTTGGACAGATGTATTCATTCAACATGTGGAGGCCTGCGGGCAATTCAGATTTTAGCTGAGGCTGTAGCCACCATTAAAACAGGACTGCAGATAATAGCAAAGATTACAAGCAAATGTAGAGTTACATAGTTAGAGGAAAATACTCATTAGGCTCTTGTTTTCCCCAAAGTTGTGAAAATTCAGAATAAAAACAACAAAGGGCACAGAAGGTTGGTGTGGCAAAGTCAGAGTACATATTAAGTACACTGCAACACATTCAGTACATCCTGATTTTCAAAGAGAACTGAACCAGGAATCAAGAAGCCATAACTCTGTCATGTCACTTCATTTTGAGTTAATAAGAGCTAACATATTAAGCACCTATTTATTATGTGCTAGATACTGTGGGAAGTATATTACTCCTTACTTACATTGTCTCATTTATTTCTTCACAACCACTGTAGGAGTCTTATTACCTTCCCCACTACACAGAAAGCAAAGAGAAGTGAAACACTTCCTGAAGTAATACAGGTTACACAGAGCTTAGGTCAGTTTGATGCTTAAGCCTGTGTTCTTAACCTCTTTCTATCACTGCCTGTCTTCTACATTAAGCTCCCTACTTAGTAGTCTACTCTTTTTACTAAATTATATTGACTCCCCTCTTTAATTTCTTCACTTACTAGACTATTACAAAGTTGAACAAGAGAATTAAATTCTGAAAATAAGTTGAAACCCTTGGTATTGAAAGAGCCTTAAGCTAAATAATTGATTCCATTGGGGGACATTTGGATGGGATGATCCTAGAACCACCTTAATTCTAAAAATACAGTAATTTCATAAAGAGTGAGGAAAAAAGCTATTTTTTCTAGGTGATTGTGGATATAGTTCCAGTAGACACATTCCAACTTGGATCTTAAACCCTAGGCTGAGTGACTTTTTCTCCTGCGAATGTTAGTTGCTTGATGCCCTGGAGTACTGAACTTCCTATTCACCTCTCTATGATGGTGGAATGACCTCTATGAAGCAGGCTGGGGAATTTTCTAAGAAACCAGGTCACTGCTGCTGTCTTAGCAAAGCACAAACAGTGTAGACCTATTCTCATTCTCTAGTTCCCATGGTTCTAGGAGGTAGGCTGAGCCTGGTCCTCAGCATTTAATTCACTTTGCATAGCTTTCTTCTTCAGGGCAGGAGCTGGGCTAAGATCATCTTAGAGTCTGGCACAACAAAAAGGCCACCTATGGAGTCTACTTTCTTATTTATTTGCATATTTTCATACAGTTGGGGCAGCAAATATTAGATGCCCATCATAATTAAGAAAAAGCCCAAAGTCCCTTGAAGACATTTAAAGTGAAATGCCTACAGGAAGAAGAGAGGTTTCCTCTAGATTTTTTATTTTAAAAAATGAAAATAATGTTAAACTTCTTGGCACTGCGGCTGAATATTAAGTAGAAACATCTTAGGGAAACTTGCCTGAGAGCTATATGAATTCTAAACTATGAAAACAAGACACTCAGTAGAAAACTGTAAAGGAGAAAAGCGGTCAGTTTGCTTTATCAAAGAAACAAAGCATTTTCCTCCAGGGAGAAAGGAAGCATGATGGGAAATCTGCAAACAATGGACTTCTGGAAGGTTTCATGTGTTTGCTTAAAAACCAAAATAACAACAACCCAAACTCCACAGTACTGACAGGGGACAAGTGTTCTACCTAATAGCACATGGGCCATGGGATATTTCCAAAAAGCAATGATGTTCAGACTCAGTCCCCTTGCGAGCATGATTTGAATAATTTTTGCCAGACACCACCTTCCCCCAAGTCTCTACCATGATCTAGGGACAATGCTAAAATTTCTCCCTGTTGTCACTCATCTAAGGCTCAAAAGGAAGAGCATTTGTAGTAGTGATGGTGGGGCCTTTGACGGTAAGAGTGAGAGGGCACCTCTCCATTTATTTTGCAATTTGTCTCTCTGCTTGCATTTTTGTCTATGTCATAGCACATCTGTTTTTCTGTCTATTTTTCTTTCTGTTTCTCTGTCCGTCTCTCAGTCCATCCATCAATTCCTCTCTGCCTGTGTCTCCTTGTCTGTTTTGACACTCTCTCTGTCTTCCTGCTTCTTGTCACTGTATGGTTCTCTCTCTCAGGTTCTGTCTCTTTGTTGCTCTTTGTCTGTTGCTCAGTCAGTGTCTTTCTTTCTTCTCTCTCTCTGTTGCTCCCTTCCTCCCTCTGCCTGTCTGCATCTCACTCTGTCTGTCTATCTGTCTCTGACCAACGGCTTCTGACAATCTATTTACTTTTCTCTCATTGTTTAAATATCCCTGTTTAAGTGTCCCTGTCTAGTTTTCAGTCTGTCTGTCTTTTGGTTGGTCTGCCTGGTGCTCTATGTCTGCCTTCCTGTCTCTGTCAGTATCTCTGCCTCTCTGTGCCTCTTTGTTCATTTCTTTGTCTCAGTATCTCTGTTAATACTTTGTCTCTTTTGTCTTTCTGTCAGTCTCTGTATGTGTCTCTTTTTGTTTCTCTGTCTCTGTGTTACCCATCTGTCTGTCTGTACTCTGGTTATCTGTCCAATCTGTCTGCCTGTTTCTCCACCAGCCTGTCTGTCCACTTGTTTCTCTGGGTGTCTGCATGTATTTATCTCAGTCTTTACTTCTATCTCTTTGTCTAGCTGACTATCTTTCTCTATAATTTTTTTCTCTCACCCTCTTCCTCTCTCTCGGGCTGTCAGCCTTGCTGTGATCCTCTCAGTTTCTCTGTTTCTTGTCTTTTGGCCTATAACACATGGTATCTGTCCAACTCTTTCAGTCTCCCATCTCGGTCAGTCTCTTTGTCTTGGTTTGTCTGTTGCTCTCTCTTCCCAAGTCTGTCTTTCTGTCTCACAGCCTACGTTTTTCTCTTGTCAATCTGTCTTCCCATTCTTCTCTGTTGGTTTTCATTTCTCTTTCCCTCTGTATCTGTCTTTCTCTGCCTGTCTGCTGCTCTGTGCTTCTTGCCACATTAGTCCCTCTCTCTGTATCTACCTGTTCTGTCTCTTTGTCTCCCTGTCTTTTGACTCTATTCGTACCTCTCTGTTTCTATCCATATCTCTCTCATTCTATAATAAGTGTCCCTCTCTCTGCCTGCCTACCTGTCTGGGTATCTGTCTGTCTGTGTTTATTCTTTCCTTTAGTAGTTTGGCTGGCTGGCTCACTGTCTCTCAGGCTGTTTTCCTCTCTCTCTTTCTGTCACAATGTCACCATTTTAAAGTGAACAATTCAGTGGAATTAAGTACATTCACACTGTGCATGCAAGCACTACTTTTATCTAGTCCCTGTCCCCAAATATTCTCATCACTCCAAAAGAAAAGCCTGTACTCATTAAACAGTTGTCCTCCCTTCCTCCCTTCCCCTAGCCACCGGCAACCACCAATCTACTTTCTGTCTCCATGGATTTACCTATTATAGACATTTCAGAGAAAAGGAATCATACAACATGTGACATTATGTGTCCAGCTTCTTTCTCTCAGAATAATGTTTTCTAGGTTTATCTCCCTTGTAGCATGTATAATTATTTCATTACTTTTTATGGTTGAATAATATTCTACCGTATGGATATATCACTATTTGTTTATTCATTCATCCATTGATGGACATTAGGTTTGTTTCCACCTTTTTGGCTATCATGAATATAGCTGCTATGAACATATGCAGCTATATATGCATGCATACATGCTTGTCTGAGTACCTGTTTTCTATCCTTTTGGATATACCCAGCAGTGAAATTGCTGGTTCATATGGTAATTCTATGTTTTACTTTTTGAGGAACCACCAAAGTGTTTTCTAAGTGGCTGAACCATTTTATACTCCTACCAGAAATTTAGAAGGGTGCCAATTTCTCCACATTCTTGAAAACAGTTGATATTTTCTGTCTTTTAGATTCTAGCCATCTTAATGGATACAAAGTGGTATTTAATTATGGTTTTGATTTGCATTTCCCTAATGACTAGTAATGTTGAACATCTTTTCATGTGCTTATTGGCCATTTGCATATATCTTCTTTGGAGAAATGTCTATTTGAGTCCTTAGCCTATGTTTTGATTGAGTTGTTTGTCTTTTTGTTGTTGAGTTGTAAGAGTCCTTTATATGTCCTGGATACTATACCCTTACCAGATATATGGTTTGCAAATATTTTCTCCCAGTATGTTTTCTCTCATTTTCTCTATGTCTTTCTGATAGATTGAATCTATTACACTGCCTCTTTCTGACTACTTCTCTGTTGGTGTCTTTGTATCAATATGTCCCGGACATGACTCTATAAGGCTCTACCTGTTCCTTCTTTCTTCATCTCCCTCCTTAACCTTTCTTTTTTAGTCTGTCTCTTTCCTTCCTTCCCTCCCTCCCCATCTGTTTCCTCTATTTCCCTGCATGTGACTCCCTCTTTTTCTCACTATTTCTCCCTGCCCTCATTCATCTCTCAGTTTGTCTCTCTGTCCATTTAGTTGGCTCTCTATCTCTCTACTTTCTGTCTTGCTCTCTGTGTCTTTCTGATTCTCCCTTTATTGGTTAGTCTATCAGTTGCTTTGTTTATCACCCTATCTCTCTCCCCCAGACTCTCTTGGGTCTCTCTCTCTCTCCATCTGCATCTCTCTCTGTATTGCCTTTTCTCCTATGCCTCATGGCCCTCCCTTTCTGTCTCTCTAAGTGTCTTGTCTCAGTGTGTCTCTCAATCACTGTCTCAGTGTCTCTCTCCGGTTCTACCTGATTCTCCTGACACTTTTTCTGTGTCTACCTATCTCTCTGCAACAGTTTCTTTTTGCCTCTTTCTGTTTCTCTCTCTCCTTGCCTATTTCTCTCGTCTTCCTGTTTTTCTGCCTGTCTGTCTCTTAGTCTATCAGGCTTTCTTTCCATTTGTCTATCTCCTCATCTCTTTCTTTCTCTTTCCTTTGCCTCTCCCATATAGCTCCATCTGGCCAACTCTCTCTGTCTGAGTGACTTTCACTGACTCTCTTTCTCTCGCTATCTCACTGTCTTTTCTATCTTGCTGTCTCTTGTGGTCTCTGCTTCTCTCTATGATGATCTGTCTCTGGCTCTGTATGTATCTCCCTCACTTCTTTCTCTGTCCCTTGCTCCTTCTGTGTGTTCTCTCTGCTTTGTCTCTGTCTCTGTCTTCCTGTATCACATTCTAACTCTTCATCTCTCTGCAATACCCGCAACACCCCACTTCTCTGTCTATCTCTCAGGGTTTGTCTGTCCATGTGAGTGTTATTTGCTTCTTTTCTCTTTCTGCCAATTTTACTCTCTCTCTTTTCTTCTTGACTTTCTTTCTCACTCAGTTTCTCTCTCCTTCTGTCTCTCTTTAGTTCTTTAGCTTTCTCTGCTTCTGGGTCTTTCTCTCTCTACCCTGTTTTCTCTCTCTCTTTGTGACCTCCCCATTCTATCTCTTCTGTTTCAGTGTGTCCCCATATCTCTCTCCTTGTTCCTCACTGCTGTCTCTGTTCCTCCTTTTCTCCATCTTTTTCTGTTTGCCAGTCTGCCTTCCTTTCCACCTGTCTGCTTCTCTTTGTCTGTCCATCTCTCTTTGTATGCTTCCATCTCTCTATATTAACCAGTTGATCTCTATACCTTTATCTATCCATGTTTGCCTCTGCCTTTCTGTTTTTCCATCTGACTGGCTCTGTCTCTCCTTCTTGGTCTATCCTTCCCTGTCTGTCTATCCCTGCCTTTATCCACCTCTGTCCATTCCTATCTTTATATTCGCCTGTCTATCTCCCTCTGGCCATTTGTCTGTCTGTCTCTGCTCTTCTTTGAAAGCATGTGGTATTTATCTTTCCATGCCTGACTTTTATTTCCAGGCTGATCCATTTTGCTGCCAAAGACATGATTCCATTCTTTTTTATGGCTGAATAGTATTCCATTGTGTATATATGCCACATTTTCTTTATCCATTCATCTATTGATACACGGTTAGTTTGGTTCTATATCTTAGCTATTGTGAATA
The DNA here is from genome assembly GCF_000001405.40 of Homo sapiens. Taxonomy (NCBI): domain Eukaryota; kingdom Metazoa; phylum Chordata; class Mammalia; order Primates; family Hominidae; genus Homo; species Homo sapiens. Next base: position 130,753,804 of record NC_000023.11, read on the forward strand.
GTGTTGCAATGAACATGGTGGTGCAGGCAACTCTTTGATATACTGATTTCTTTTTCCTTGGATAAATACCCAGTAGAAGGACTGCTGGATCATATGGAAAGGGGTGGGGAGCATGGGGAGAGGTTGGTTAATGAATATGAAATTATAGCTAGATAGGAGGAATGAGTTCTGGTGTTCTTCAGCAATGTAGGATGAATATGGTTAAATATACTTATTATGTATTTTCAAAAAGCTAGAAAAGAACATTTTTGAATATTATTAACACAAATAATAAATGTTTGAGGTGATGAGTATGCTAATTACTCTGCTTAGATCATTACACATTGCATACATGGCTCAAAATATCAATCTGCATCCTATAAATATGTACAATTATTATGTGTCAACTAAAAATAAAAGGAAAAATATGGAAAAAGACAAAAAAGAAGCTGAAGTATAAAATTTCTTTCCAACCTGTGCCAGTTGAACACATGAATCTCAGAGAATGGACTTATAGTCTTTGGCTTGCGAAAAATGCATGGATTGTACTGACTTACGAAAAATAAGTCTAACATGTCTACCTAGTACTTGAAAAACACAAGTATACACCAACTTTGGTATCTTTCAAACACTGTCACTTAGTTGTCCACTAGTGAAAAACACAACAAAAATCTATGTGCTCAGCAAAGACATAGAATCAACCCAGGTACCTATCAATGGTGGATTGGATAAAGAAAATGTGGTACATATACACTGTGGAATACTATGCAGCCATAAAAAAGAACAAAATAATATATTTTGCAGCAACATGGATGCAGCTGGAGGCCATTATCCTAAGACAATTAATGCAGAAATAGAAAACCAAATACTGCATTTTCTCACTTATAAGTGAGAGCTAAACATTGGGTACACATGGACACAAAGATGAGAACAATCAACACGGGGGATTACAAAAGGGGGAGGGGAGAGAGGAAGGGAAGCAAGGGTTGAAAAACTACCTGTTGGGTACCATGTTCATTACTTGGGTAACAGGATCATTAGAGGCCCAAACCTCTGCATCATGCAGAATACTCATGTAACAAACCTGTACCTGTACCCTTGAATCTAACATTTTAAAAAACTACATGCTCAGAGCATGTCTTGTAAACCTTTCATTTGGCTTATATTTTAAGTAAGCTTCCAGAACTCAAGAAATTTGAGAAACTAGGAGTTAAGGGACAGACTGCATCACATAAAATATAGAGTCTGAACAGATTGTTTTTGAAAATTACATCACCACTGAAACATACAGTGATCCAGAATTCTGCAGACTAAATTACATCAGCACAATCACTTGATTTTAGTCTAACAATCTAGTTTGGTAATCCTATGATGTAAGCCCTAATAATAAGGAAATCATTGAGGCATTATGGAACAATGTCATTAAACCTCTCTGTGTCTCAGTTTCCTCATCTATAAAATGAGGCTAATGACAGTAAATGACCTTATAAGGTTGTTATCAGAAGTAAAGGGGATAATCCATGTATAGTTCTTAGAACAGTGCCTGGTGCAGTAGGAGCTCAAAAGAAAATGTTAGCTGTTATTTTTTCTATTGTTGTTGTTGCAATTCTTATCACTGTTATTATCATATAAACATCTAAATAGCACTGGAATCAGGAGAGCTATGTGACTTTGGTAAAGTCTGCTCTCTGGGAAGTTTCCTTAACTAAAAAATGAAGATGTACCTCTAAAATTTTTATGGTTCTATGGTCCTAGGATTCCATGTGTTTCTGAGTACTAAGCACATGGGGTCACATGTTTTTTTAATTTTTAATTTTCATGGGTACATAGTAGGTATATTTATTTATAGGGTACATGAGACATTTGGATATAGGGATGCAATGCATAATAATCACATCATGAAAAATGGGGTATCCATCCCCTCAGGCACTTATCCTCTGTGTTACAAGCAACCAAACCACACCCTTTTAGTAATTTTTAAATGTACAATTAAATTATTTTGACTATAGTCACCCTGTTGTACTATCAAATACTAGGTCTTATTCATTCTTTCTATTTTTTTGTACCCATTAATCCTCCCCTCCACCCCACCACCACTACCCTTCCCAGCCTCTGGTAACCATCCGTCTACTCACTATCTTCATGAGCATGAGTTCAATTGTTTTGATTTTTACATCATGGGGTCACATTTTTTTATCAGGCTCCATGATGTAATTTTTATCCTCAAAAGTTGTCAGACCTATGTTACAAAGGAACAAAAAAGCCACAAGGAAAATCTGTTTTTCAAACATTTCTAAAGCTAACCTGACATCTGCAAACCTCTGCTTTCTCACTGACTTATTTAGCTCTTACGGGATCCCACAACAAAAAGCATAAATTCAGGAATGACATCCATTCTTTCTCCAATGATGCCCATATCAGACAGTTGGCGTAGGTAACATTTCCACAGATGTGGACTTCACCCTTGAGAGCTAGAGTGCCATATTTTTAAAAGAGGATATTGTACTTTGCTTCAAATTGCTGCCTGCGGATGTTGTACCCTTCCTGGGAAGGCTATTTATGGCTATTGTATGTTTTTTGTGAAGACTGTCTAGGATGTCATAGCTTTCCTGGAAATAGTCTTTGCATGTTATATCTTGCCTCAGAATGGACGTTGCTTCTTTCTTGGAAATGCTGCTCATGGATGTTATCGTCCCTGGGATGCTGTCTGTGGTTGCTGTAACTGGCCTCTGAATACTACCTGTGGATAGTGTACTTGACTTTTGATATTCACTGTGGCTAATTTATCTTCTGACCCGAGGGGCCCTCCACTGAAGCTGCTTCTCCAGTGCAGTTTCTGAGGGAGAACTAAGAATATGTTTCTGGTACTTGTGGGTTTGTAACTTGATTCATTAACATTTTCTCCAGACTGAATGGATCTCATGCCCTAAACTGTGTTCAATAAATATAATCTCTTGCCATACTCTGCCCGTTTTCTGGATGGATAAGCTGCAGGTGGGAAGCTATTGGGAAAGAGGAAGAATACTAATTGGTAAATTGACTTTGGGTCTTGGACAACAGCTTGTAGTACAAAAACTCTAACTTATTAGCTAAACTAGGCAATTGGCAATAGTTGCCTCTGAAAAAGATGAAAACTGGAAGCACAAAGCATATTCATTCAGGCAATAATGTACCCTGTACTGTGGTAAATGAATCTTCACCTTTGTAAGCACAGTGCTACATAATTGTTCAGAATATTTCCTGTGACTAAAGCATAAAATTTTCATACGTCCCATAAGAATTCTCAAATCTTAATTACTCACTCTTCTATTTTCTTCATCTTCAATATTTTCCTTAGGATGAGGATGTCAAATTCCCTGTGGGAATGTGGCAACATATATTTATCACTAAAACCTATCTTGTCTCTGCTCCCCTAATCCTGCCAGCATTAGCATACCTGTGCTCATTCATACACATGCTCGTTCCCTTACAAATTCATGTCTCCCACTCCCATAGACATGCACAATGCATTTTGTCCAAGCTGTACTGGTGAAAGAATAAGGTCATGTAGCTAAGGAATATTGATCTTGAGGGGCAGATTCATAGAATTTACACAATGTAGCTCCAAGAAAGATCCTGATTAGTTCCTGCACCTTCACATTCTCTGCAAAAAGGCATGACAGGCAGCAGAAAATAACCTTTTGTGGTTAAAATCTTTGTGCTTTAAGATGACCAGGGAGGAAAGAGGTATGATGGGGAAGAGGTCATCAATTCAAAAATGGCCCTTCCCAGTTCTTATGTTTCAATTCTTTTACCACTGCTTTTCAGAATGGGGATTTAGCTGTACTTAAGTGTCCTGTCCCTTAGGTGGTCATTCACTTGTCTTAATATTTTCTTTTTAATTATACTTTTAATTAGAAATAATTATAGATTCATCTGCAGGCATAAAAAATAATACAGAGAGATACTACGCATTCTTTTTTTTTTTGTAAGACAGGGTCTCACTCGGTTGCCCAAGCTGGATTGCAGTGGCACAATCACAGCTCACTGCAGCCTCGACCTCCCAGGCTTAAGCAGTCTTCTTAGCTCAGCCTCTCCTGTAGGTGGGACCACAGGCACACACCACCACCCCTGGCTAATTTTTATTTTGTTTACTTTCTGTAGACATGAGGTCTTGCTATGTTGCCCAAGCTGGTCTCAAACTCCTGGTTTCCTTGTCTATAAAATGAGGCTTATGACAATAAATGACTTTATACAGTTGTTATGAGAAGTAAAGCAGTCCTCTTGTCTTGGCCTCCCAAAGTGCTGGGATTATAGGCAAGGCATGAGTCACCTGCTCAGCCAATACTATACATTCTTTACCCATTTTCTCCCAATGGTAGCATCTTGCAAAATTACAGTTCAATATTACAACCAAGATATTGACATTGGTGTGGTCAAGACACAGAACATTTCCATCACCACAAGGATCTCTCATGTTGCCCAACTTTTATAGTCATAACTACTTCTCTCTCCCACATACTATCTTCTTAACCCCTGACAACCACCAGTCTGTTCTCCATTTCTATAATTTTGTCATTTCAAGAATGTTATATAAATGGAATCATACAGCATGTAACCTTTCAGGCTTGGCTTTTCACTCAGCATAATTCTCTGGAAATTCATCGATGTTGTTGCATGTGTTGACACTTTGATCTTCATTATACTTAATTAGTATTTCAAGGTACAAATATACCACAATTTAACTACTCACCCATTGAAGGACATCTGGGTTGTTCGTACTTTTTGGCTATTATAAATAAAAAGCTATAAACATTCATGTATGAAGTCTTCATTTCTTTGGGATCAATGTGCAAGAGTTCTTAGGCATTTTAAGAAACAGCCAAACTTTCTCCCCATGGCTATACCATTTTACATTCCCATCAGAAATGTATGAGTGATCTAGTTTCTCTGAATCCTGGCCAGAATTTGGTGCTGTCATTATTTTTTGTTTTAGCCATTCTGAAAGGTGATATCTCATTGTGACTTTAATTTTCATTTCCTTAATGGTTCATGATATTGACCATCTTTTAAAACACTTATTTGCCGCCTGCATATACTTTACATGAAATGTCTGTTCATGTCTTTTTTCAATTTTCTAATTGAATTATTTATTTTTTTTACCGTTGAATTTGAGAGTTCTTTATATATCCTAGATACTAATTCTTTGTTGGATATGTGGTTTACAAATGTTTTCTCCCATTCTGTTTATCCTCCTAACACGGTCTTTCCCAGAATAAAAATGTAATTTTGATAAAGTCTAATTTATCAATTTTTTTCTTTTATGGACTGTGTTTTTGGTGTCAAGTTTAAGAATTATTTGTCTAACCTTAGGTCCTGAAAATTTTCTTCTATTTTTTTCTCTAAAAGTTTTATAATTTTATATTTTAAATGTAAGTCCATGATCCATTTTGAGTATATTTTTACAGGAGTAAGGTTTAGATTGAGGTTCATTAATTTTACCCATGGATGTCCAATTTCTCCAGTATCACTGAAAAGGTCAGATGCCCTCCACTGAATTGTTTTTGCACATTTGAAAAATTAATTTTGGGAGGCCGAGGCGGTTGGACCAGCTGAGGTCAGGAGTTTGAGACCAGCCTGGCCAACATGGTGAAACCCCGACTCTACTAAAAATACAAAAATTAGCCAGGTGTAGTGGCGTGTGCCTGCAATCCCAGCTACCCAGGAGGCTGGGGCAGGAGAATTGCTGGAACCAGCAATGAGCCCAGATAGCGACACTGCACTCCAGCCTGGGTGACAGAGCGAGACTATGTACCAAAAAAAAAAAAAAAAAAAAAAAAAAAGTCAGTTGGGTGCATTTATGTGGGTAGTTTTCTCTGTTCTCTATTCTGTTCCATTGATCTGTATCTGTCCACAAGCACCACACAGTCTTGATTACTGTAGCTATATAGCAAAATTTAATATTGTGTAGACTGATTCTTCCCACTTTATTTTTATTTTTTTTTTGAGATTGATTTAGCTCTTATAGGACTTGTGCCTTTCTACATAAATGTTAGGATAATCTTGCCTTTATTTCAGAAATACCTTGCTAAAATTTTGATAGAGATTGCATTGAATCTAAAGATTGATGTCATGAGTACCGACATATTTACTATATTGTGATTTCTACATGAACATAATGTGTTACTCCATTCATTTAGGTTTTATTTGATTTCTTTCATTAGTGTTTTGTGATTTTCAGTATACAGCTCCTGTACACATTTCAGTAAATTTATATTTAATTATTTCATTTTATTTGGATTACTTCAAATGGTATTGTCTTTTGAATTTCAGTGTCCGTGTGTTCATTTCTAATATAGATAAATACAATTGATTTTTGTATGCTTATCATGTATCCTGCAACCTTAATGGACTCACTTATTAGTTCTAGGAGCTTTTTTGTTTCTTTATTCCTTTTGTAGATTTCTTGGGATTTTCTATGCAGGTGATGTCATCTGCAAATAAGGACATTTTCACTTTTCTGATCTGTAAGCCTTTTATTTCATCTTCCCTCATTTTTCTGATCTGTAAGCCTTTTATTTCTTCTTCCCACCTTATTTCATTGGCTAAAACTAACAACATTATGTTGAATAAGAGTGTATATCCTTGCCTTGTTTCTGATCTTAGGGGAAAAGCAATTCAGTTTTTCACAGGTACATACAATGTTAGCTGTAGGTGCTTTGTGAATTCTCTATCAAATTGAGGAAGTGGCTGGACACGGTGAGGAAGTGGCTCCCAGCACTTTAGGAGGCTGAGGCAGGTGGATCACGAGGTCAGGAGTTCGAGACCATCCTGGCCAATATGGTGAAACCTTGTCTCTACTAAAAATACAAAAATTAGCCAGGCGTGGTGGTGGGTGCCTGTAGTCCCAGCTACTCGGGAGCCTGAGGTGGAAGAATAGCTTGAACCTGGGAGGTGGAGGTTGCAGTGAGCTGAGATCATGCCACTGCACTCCAGCCTGGGTGACAGAGCAAGACTCCATCTCAAAAAAAAAAAAAAAAAAAAAAAAAAAAAAAAAAAAGAGGAAGTTAGCCTCCACTCCTATTTCTGAGAGGTTTTTTTTTTTTTTAAATCATGGATGATGTTTAAGTTTTTCAAATTCTTTTTCTGCATTGTTTGACAAAATTATGTGATTTTTAATCTGTAGCCTGTGAATATGGTAGATTACATTGATTGATTTTCAAATACTGAACCACCCTTGTAGCCCTGGAATAAACCCTACTTTGCCATGCTGTGTAATTCTTTCAATATATTCCTGAATTTGGCTTACTAATAGTTTGTTAAGGATTTTTACGTCTGTATTCATGAAGAATACTGGTCTGCACTTTTCACTTTGGGCTGCTTTTATCTCATTTTTAGTATTTGTGTAATATTAGTCTCATAGAATCAATTGGAACTTGTTCTCTCCTCTTCTATTTCCTGGAAGAGATTTTATAGAATTTGTGGTAATTCTTCTTTATAAGTTTGGTAGTATTCTCCAGTGAAACCATCTCGCCCCAGAGATTTGATTTTGGGAGATTTTAAATGATGAATTCAACTTTCTTAATAGTTATATGGCTATTCAAATTATCCATTTAAACTTGGATGAATTGTGGTAGTTTATATTTCTCGAGGAAGTGGTTCATTTCATGTATGTTGTCAAATTTATGTAGGTAGAATTGTTCATAGTAGTCCCTTAGTATCTGTGTTAAGTCATTCTTGTATTGCTATAAATAAATAGCTCAGACTGGTAATTTATAAAGGAAAGAAGTTTAATTGACTCATCGTACTGCAAACTTTACAGAAAGCATGGTGCTGGCATCTGCTTTGCCTCTGGGGAGGCCTTAGTGAGCTTTTACTCATGGACAAAGGCAAAATGGGGGACAGGCATGTCACATGGTGAAAGCAGGTACAAGCAAAGGGCTGGGGCAGGGGGAGGTGCCACACACTTTAAAATGGTCAGATCTCCTAAGAACTCACCATCATGAGGACAGCACTAAGTCATTCATGAGGGTTCTGCCCCCATGACCCAATCACCTCCCACCAGGCCCCACCTCCAACACTGGGGATTACATTTCAACACAAGATTTGAGTGGGGACAAATATACAAACTATATCATTATTGATAGTTTGTACTGATAGCCTCTGTTTCATTTCTCATATTGGTACTGTACGTCTTTTTTTCTCTGTCAGTCTTGCTAAAGGACTGTCAATTTTATTGATATTTTTCAAAGATTCAGTTACTTGTTTCTTTGTTTTCTGTTTTCAATTTCATTGATTTCTCTTCTTATCTTTAGTATTTCTTCCTCCGTCTTGATTTTAGTTTATTTTGTTCTTATTTCTCTAAACTTTTAAGGTGGGAACTTAGATTAATTCATTTGAGACTTTGCTTCTTTTCTAATGTATATATTTGCAACTATAAATTTCCTCCTCAGCACTACTTTAGCTGCTTCCCATAAATTTTGATATGTTGTATTTTCATTTTCATTCAGTTCAATGTGTTTTTAAAATTTTTATACTTGGTTGGGCTCACTCCTGTAATCTCAGCACTTTGGGAGGCCAAGGTGGGAGGATCACTTGAGGCCAGGACTTTGAGACCAGCCTGGGTAGGTAACATAGCAAGACCCTGTCACTACAAAAAAAAATTTAAAAATTAGCTGAGTATGGTGGTGCATGCCCATAGTCCCAGCTACTGGGGAGGGTGAAGTGGGAGGATTCCCTGAGCCCAGGAGGTCGAGGCTGCAATGAGTTGTGATCATGCCACTGTACTCCACCCTGGGTGAGAGAGCAAGATGCTGTCTCATAAAAATTGCTTGAGACTTTTGCTTTGACCCATGGTTTATCTAGCAGTGTGTTGTTTAGTTTTCAAGTCTTTGGAGATTTTCCTATTACTTTTCTGTTACTGAATTCTCGTTTTATTCCATTGTGGTTGGAGGGCATGCTCTATATGATTCAAATTTTTAATAATTTTTTGAGGTTTGTTTAATGACCCACGATGTAGTCTATCTTGGTATGCATTGTGTGTTTAAAAAGAATGTGTATTTTGCTCTTGTTGGATCCTATTCTTTGATTATTTTGCTGAGTCCTGATACCCTTGTGGATTTTCCATCTAGTTGTTATATCAATTATTGAGAGAGGGATGTTGAAGTACTTAACTATAGTTATGGATTTGTCTAATCCTCCTTTCAGTTATATCGGTTTTTGTTTCACACATTTTGCAGTACTTTGGTCCATATGCATTTAGAATTGCTATGTGTTCTTGGTGAATTGATACTTTTATCACTATATAATCTTCCTCTTTATCCCTAGAACTTTTCTTTGCAATGTAGTCTACTTTATCTTATATTAAAATAGTCACTCTTGCTTTCTTTTGATTGTTTTCCCATAGTTTTGCTTATTGTGTTCTTTCTTCCTTCCTGATGTTTCGAGGTTTCAGGCAGGGGAGGGGGGTGTTATTGCCTCATTATTGCCAAATGGATGTAGAAGTCCAGGTTCCCTACTCACCTTCCAGTGATATCTGAGGGAGGTAGTCTCCTTGTTACTGATGGGCAGGGGTGGGAGTTCCAGCTCCCCAGTAGTCTCCAATGACACTTTGCAGGAGTGGTTTTTTATTTCTGGGTGATAAATACAGTCGTGAATCTCCTGGAGGTCTCCTCTGATACCACTTTAGTGGGTAGGAGCACCTTCATAACTGTTAACTGTCAGAGACAAACAGAAGTCCAGGCTCCCCAGATGGCCTTTCCTGTTACAGTGGGATAGGAGTGGGTTGGATCATTGTGGCCAGTGGGGATGAAAGTTCCAGCTTCAGCCTGGGCATGGCAGCTCACACCTGTAATCCTAGCACTTTGGGAGGCCGAGGCAGGAGGATCACTTGAGCTCAGGAGTTTGAGACCAACCTGGACAACATAGTGAGACCTCATCTCTATAAAAATAAAATTTTAAAAAAAGTTCCAGCTTGGTACTTTGCCTTCTCTGATATGATCTTGGTGGAGACCCCTGGCAGAAGTGTTGATGTGCCTCATTAAAGCTTCATGAAGGTAGAAATCTATGCTCCCTACTTGGTTGGGAGTGGGTAGGAGTAGGACCACAATTTGTGTGTGTGTCTGGTGTCTGGCTAGAGTAGAGAGCTTAGCTATTGTCTACAAGTTTTCCTTGTTACTAGGCTTCCTAGTCCTTTGGCTAAAGAGCGTACGCTTTTGTTGGGGCTTTTATTTTGTCTGTACCCATTGGTGTTTCTGAGTTACCAGTTTTTTTCAACTCCAAGTACGAGATATATGAGGCAAAACCAAAATCTCCGAGTATGAGATATGAGGCAAAAACAAAATCCAAAAAACTTGAGGAATGTCACGCCTCAAGTTCTGATGTCCCTAGACAATCTGCCTTCTCTGCAGCTTTCAGCCTTCTTAGGATTTTTTAAATATATAATATCCAGGGTTTTTAGTTGTACTTAGTGGGAGGAATAGGAAAAAGCACATCTAATCCATCCTTCTGGAAGTGGAAGTTTCCCGATTTGTCTTAAATTTTAAGATGCTCATGGTTAAAGGGACATATATAACCTAATTTCTTCATATGATTTCATCTTCTGCTAGTCTTTTACATTTTTTCCCATTACACATTGAACCCCCAACCACAAAAGAACACTGAGATCCGATAACCACCTCCAAGTCATTTTTTCTCCATTGAGACAGTAAAACTTGTTTCCTAAAAAGGTATAGTACAGTTTTTTTTTTTTTTTGATGGTGGGAAAAGAAGAGTGTGTGTAGCAAAGAATGAAGAAAAGGTACTAGGTAAGGTCCAATCAATCAATCCATCAATCAATCATAGCTAACAGACTTGCAGATCCAGGCTAAGAGCACAATTTTTTCTCTAACAACTGATTCATCATACACCTTAGTTTTCTAGCACATTGCCCTAATTCAGTACCATCTGCCACTATTAGATTAATATACAATTATGATTTTGAGTACCAAAGTCATAATATGCAGAGCTTAAAGCTTTTGTTGTTGGTAACATCCTAAAAGTACATCTATAGAGTAATTTCATAATTAACAAAAAAGTACAATTTAATGAAAGATGTTTAGTGGATTTATAAAAGGTTGAAATTTCAGTAACTATTAAATTTTAAACTAGTTTGCTTAGTCATTTGGGGTGATCTCATGCAAATTAATATTTCTCAGAATTATTAATTATCAGACACAATAGGAAGATAATGATTGCTTGACAGAAAGAAAAATGAGGAGTAGGAGGAATAAGTAATGCTAGCAATGACAACTGTCATTTACCCAGCCTTATTTTATATTAAAAGCATTGGGCTACATACTTTATGAATTTGTATTTATTTTAGGGTCTCAGGTACATTAAATTGGACCAGTCATGACACTTGGTTCATGACACACTCTCAGCAGTGGTCCGCTAGTTATTTAGCCAGTTATTTTAAGTAATGTAATAAGCACCTGTAAACCTACAACCCAAAATAAAAGCTAAGATCTTGATAATAATCTACATCTAAATATAAGAGTTATTCATCCCCATCCTACCTCCCTCCCTCCTCCTAGCCAAGGTAACCATCTCCTAAATCCTGTGTTCATTATCCACTTGCTTTTCTTTTTATATAGTTTTATTATACCTATATGTAATCTCAAAATTATATGTTTTAATTTTATATTTAACTTCATAAAAATATAACATGCTCTATGTAATCTTTTAGGCCTTCCTTTTTCACCTAATTTTATATTGCTAAGATTAATCCATATTTTGTGTGTGGTTGTAGTTCATTTGTTCTGAATGCTGTATAATATGCCACTGCATGACTATACCACATTTTATTAATCTATTAATAATGCTGATGAGAATTTAGGTTGTTTCTAGATTTTTGTATTGTGAATTGTGCTGCTTTAAATATGCTTGCATGTGTCTCCTGTTATCCATGAATGAATCAAAGATTCTCTTGAGTATTTACCTAGGAGTACAATTTTGGGGTCACAGGGTATATGTATGTTCAACTTTCAGAGAAAATGCCAAAATTGCTTGCAGCAATTTGTATATATTCCTACAAATAACACATAAGAAATCATGTGCTTCTACATTTCTGGGCTTTTTATTATTCTCAAGAATTTCATATGTCTAACACTTTCCTTTCTTAGCATGGGTTCCTCATCTGAACCACAGAACATAGACAATTATTTGAGTGTCTATCTATATTCTCAATTCTCTAAAAGATAGTATATATCTAGTATTATTCTAATTACATAAGAAAGAAATCAATTATTTATATGCAATAGATGTCTTAAGGCATTAGTACTTTGTTCTTTCCAGGAACCCCAATTTAGAAGGACTGCTTGGTATTGTCACTTTTTATTTTTTGTCAACCAACTGGGTATAAAAGATATCTTATGTGATTTGATTTGCATTTTCCTGATTCATAATGATGTTTTATCTCTGAACAAGCTAACTGGCCAAATGTGTGTGTACAATTTTCTGAAATGTCTGTTCATGTCCTTTGTCCATTTTTTCTATGGGACTGCTTATGTTTTCTTAATAATTTTTCCAACTTCTTTATGTATTCTTGATATTATTTCTTTGCCAGTTGTATTTTAAGAATATTTTCTCTCAGTTTGTAACTTGTCTTTTCTCATTCTCTAACATGTATTTTGATGAAAAAAGTTTTAAATTTTAATACAGTTAAATGTACCAATCTTTTATTTTATAGTCGATTCTTTTTGTGCCTTAACACATCTTTCACTATTTCAAGGTTAGGAAGATATTCTATGATATTTTCTATTAAAAGTTTTGGAATTCTGTTTTGAAATGTATACTCTTGTAATTGATCTTGTATATATGGTGGGAGGCAGGTTTTATTTTCATTTTTCTTCATATGGATAACCATTTTTCCAGCTCCATTTGTTAGTCTCCAAATTTCCCACTGATCTGACATGCTACCTCTGTCACACATCAGACCTCCATATGCACATGGGTCTATTTCTGGGTTATTATATTCTGAAGAATTTTACATTCATTATTTCATGTAGTCTTCACAATAAGTAATTTGACATTATTTCATGTAATCTGCAAAATCACCTTATGAGGTAGGTGCTATTTTCTCCATTTTACAGATTTAGAAAATGAAAGCTTAGAGACACTAATTACTGGTAAGATCACAAACTAATCTATGGATGTCAGCTCTAAGCCGAAGTTTCCAGAGCCCAAGCTTTCAAGCCATAATCAATACTGGCTCTTACTCTACTACTTCATAAGAATGTTGCAAAAGTCAGTAAATATCACAGGCAGTAAACTATATGTTTAGCTCTGTATTAGTTACTGGGTGGGGTGAGGTAGGGTCAAGGATACTGTTGTGAAGGAAAGACAAAATTGTAGCCTTTGTTCATTTTGTGTACCCTTAACTTGCTTTATTATTATTGCTTTTTGAGGTAATTAAGTACCAGAACTTATATATCTATTTGTTTATTATCTGCCCCACTCACTAGAATGCTACACGAGAGCAGGAACATATATTGTTTTATTTACTGCTGTATACCTATCAACTAAAACAGTACCTGGCACAGAGTAGGCATATGATAAGTATTTGTGGAATGAATGAATGTATGAATGAATAAACATGATAATGCTTCTGTCACTGGAATATGGACAATCTCACGGAAAATATTTTGAGTTCAAAAAAATCCTATGAAAGTAGGAAAAATTTACTCATTCACTCAATACATGTACTGGGTACCTACTATGCATGTAGCACTGTGATGAGTACTGATAGAAGAGATACAAAGATGAGTAAGACATGAACCTTGACTTCATGAACTTACAAGCTAGTAGAATCTACGTGTGCATATAAATTCCTATAATACACAAGAAATAGTAAGTGCTATAAGAGAAAAATGCTAATTTGAACACAGGAGAATTTAATTCAGACTAGAAGATCTGGGTAGCCTTAATGGTAGAAGTCGCCATGTTGGAGCTTGGTCTTGACAATGTTTTTCCTTCAAATAAGATGAAAACTGTGGAAGTGCACTGCATACTTATTTAGCCAAAAGTTACTACTTACAGATATCTTTGCATAAAGTAACCCACACAGTGGTAAAACATTTTCATTTGGGGGAGCATATTGGATTTTGCCTGGTTAAGAGGAGGAGGATATTTCAGGTAGAGGGAATGGATTGAAAGCATAGGGCATGTTTTAGCAAGGAGTTGAATGTTGCTGTAACTGGGCTCAAGGGAGACAGGGTGGCTGGCATTTGAAGTCAAGGGTTCAGGCTATTTGACACTTTTAAGAGACTAAGTGACAGTGGAGGAGGCAGGCAGGTCATAACAGGCAGTTATTTTCTTTTCTCTTCTTTCTCCCTTGTTATGTTACTTCCTTTCTCTTTTCTTTTTCCCATAGCAGAATGCAATGAAAAAGAAGACAGGATAGGGAGTCTGAAGACACAAAATCAAGGCATAGTTCTGATACTGAACTGCTGTATGTTTGGAAACTTAATTCAATTAAAGCTGGGGGCAGGGAGCAGTTTTCTAAAACTACACAAATGCCCTTCTCCCTGTAAATGTTTTTTGTTAGCTGCTCCAAAAGGAATACCTCCTTCTAGCTGCTATCACCCTCTCACAAGGATCACTGCTATAGTGTCAGATAAATACACCCTTAGGCATGTTGGTTGAGAATCACTGAACAAAATGATCTCTAAGTGTCCCCTCTTTCCAACCACCCCAGCCTGCTGTCCACCACCTTGCCACATTATCTGATTCTTTTCTTATTCCCAACTAAGCTTTCAGTCTAACAGTAGACTTGTATATGGGGATTGCTTGGTCTTTCTGGAGGTGCACAGGGCTACAAATTCTTGTCCTGGAGGAAAACTAACCATGAGTGGCCACAGAAAACTGAAAGACTTGAGCACCTGCTCCACAGGCAGGGAAGGGGATAAAATTACTGGGCTGCCACTAACTTGCAAAAATAACTCGGGGGCTATCCTGGATGCAAAAGCAGCCTGATCCTTTCAAAGAACAATTGTGAGAAATGATGTGTGTTGTGGGGAGGGCAGAGAACAGAGTGACAGAATTCTAAATTATAGAGCTATCCTTCAAGGCCTAATTCTTTAGAACTTTCTCAGATATAGTTTGGATGGGAGTGACAGGGTAGGGTAGAGAGGGGAAGAAGATGATCGGTCTAAGATTCATAGTCTTTTTTTTAAGCTGACTTACTCTTAAGAAAGTTTTAAATTGCACACAAAGGAAAATGCACCCTCCGCATGACGCTCTATGAAGCCTAATTATTGGAGCAAATGTTTACTGAATTAATTTTAGAAATACAATACCAATGCTGCCTGTTTCATAATCTAGGGGAAGTATTTTCTTCTCAAGCCATGTTCAGCCTGCAACAGGAAGCCAATTATCACCCCAGAACATTTCTCAGTGAAAAATATGTCATTCCTTCTTAGGACAATTAAGGCTTAAGCAGGCTTAAGCCCCCATCTCACAGTGTTTTCTTATTTTTACCATCTAAATACCTATCAATCCAAACCAAGATCAATTCCATTTACATAACCTAAAGATGTCACTAACATTTGGACAAGGGAAATTTTGGAAAAGGACAAGATATCTTTTTTGCTTACTTGAATGCCCACATTGGCTTTTCCTGAAATCAGAGGATAATAATGGGGCTGCTGAGGGAAAAATGCAGGAAATAGGCAGTGGTACTGATTAAATGAGAGTAAATTCAGTTTTATTACTTTCATGTAAACTCAGTAATTCTAACTAAGAACTAACAAATGTAGTCCCTTTAGAATTCCTAGGAAAGTGTTTTTCATCAGTGGAAGGAAATAATTTCTAGTTACCAGATGTACGCACTCTGAAGACTGGAGCTAGGTCTTACTCAAGTCTCGGTTTCTGCTAGAAATTAGCATATTCATCTACCCTTCCATCCAACATCACCTGACACACAGTAGGCATCCAATACATGTTTGCCGAGTAAACATATTGGCATATTATGTTTGCAATTGTCTGCTCTTGAGAATGCTTCCAAATGGCTTGCATAAATAGGCTAAATATTGTCCTGAGAGCATTTTTAAAAATGCGATTAGCAAACTTTTTATTTCTTAGAGATGACAAATTTTTACAGTCCTAAATAATATGGATAGAAATTTAAGATGTTTTCCATGTGCCAAAAGAAGAAGACGTTCCATTTCCCTTTATAGACATGAGACAGAACTCTTCCAGAGCTCATTCTGTGTAATCAAACACTTTCAAGTGGCAACCAAACATTCCAACGTGCCTAAGCTATCTGAATGTCATAGCAAAAGACAGCTGGTGATACGATGTTAGAATGACCAGAATTTATACCATATTCACATTCCCTTTAGCACATACCAGATTCCACAGCTCTAAGACAGGTGTGTTCTGCTACCCTATTTTTCCCTCAAAGAGCACCTGGAGCCTGTCTAGAAAACAGACCAAGAGCTTTACTGCCAACCACTGTAGGTGGGATGACTAGATTTTCTAATTATAGAATTAGGAAAACGTAATTTGACATACGCACTTGTACTTTTGGGGGCAATGGGATAGAACATGTGACACTGGGGCTGCTCTGAAAACTCCAGAAAGTGTGGATTTCCATGCTTAAAGGAATGACTAGAGAATCTACAAAAGGGAAGTAACTTTATAAAACAGACAATGTGAAAGAACACAGCACAAACAGTGTTAAAATACATGAGAAAACATTTATAACACATTTAACAGAGAAAGCATTAATTTACATGACATAAAAAGAACCCTTACAAGTCCATAATTTAAAAAAAAAGAAAAATGGGCAAAGGATATCACAAATGATTGATAAAAGAAACACAAAGGACTAGTAAACATTTGAAAAATATGCTCAAATTCAGTATTCATCACAAAAATGCAAATAAAGCAGTAAGGAGCTATCATTCCTGACCTGTCAAATTGGCAAAAATTTATAGGATTAATGATATCATGCACTGGCAAGAAGACAGGAAATGACTCAAATACCAGGGTTGAGATTCTGACTTGGTGAAGCCTTTGCAGAAGCCATTGTGGTAGTATTCGTCATCAAAATGTACAAGGCCCTTAACCCTTCAACCCAGCAAACTTACTTCTTGGAGTCTATTCTAGAGTAATACTTGTTCACGTGTACAAAGCAGCACGATCATGGCTGTTCATTGCAGCACTGTTTGTGGTGGCAGCCAAAAGACAGGAATAATTTAAGTATCCATCAACAGGAGGATCTCAATAGTAAATTTCCCAACCTCTGATATGGCCCAGCAGGCACTTATTAAAAAGAGGGAGAGAAAGTAAGGGTAGAGATTATCTTTGTGGGGAAGTGACTGGAAAAGGGCACAGGAGTCTTCTGAGGTGCCAGAAATCTCTGTGCCATCTTTCAGGTGCTTGTTATACGAGTATGCTGTTTGTGAAAGTTCATTGGTGTACATATATAATTTGTGTACCTTTATGTGCTTCAATAATAACATCTTAAAATAATAAAACAAAGATTTGGGAGATCCCATGTGTTAGTGGAAAGAGGATTATACTAGGAAGGAGTTCTGAGTCCCAGCTCCTTTTGGCCTCAACTAGCTTGGGACCTTGGACAAGTCACTTAGGCTGAATCACAGTTGAGATGACTCACCTGTAAAAGTGGGCATAATTATACCCTGCATAGATAAGTGGGCCAGATGATTTTAATATAGTTTTTTTCGTTTCTAGGCTCCACAACTCTTCAAGCCCTATTAGTTCCGAATGATAAACCACCAGTAAGTTTTTTGGATCTATCTCCTCTTCTCCATCCCTATTTCCACAACACTGACTCAGGTCCATATATCACTTCCCTGGGCTATTTCAAAAGTCTTCAACCTGGTCTCCCCAGTTCTAGTTTTGCCTTTTTATAATCCATGATAACCTTCTGGTTAGAGTATCTTCTGAAAGTCTAGCTCAGATCAAATCACTTCCTTCTTCAGAAATCTTAGAAAGCAGTGGGGCATAATGCAAAGTGCACAGGTCTCACTGTCATTTAAAAACCTGCGTTTGAAGAGCCTACTGGCTGTCTCATCTTGTGCAATCCAGTGAGCCTCTGAACCTCACTTACCTCATATGCAAGATGAGAGTACTAATAGGACCTTCTTCACAGGGTTATGGTGAAAAGACTTTCACTTACTAGTGTGCCAAGTCCTAAGTTACAGTAAACATCAGTTAGGGGCCCAGAAGGAAGGCAGAGTAAAGTTCCTTAGCTACCACTTCTTCACTTGCTCCAATCAAGGCAGAAAATACTTCTGGGCAGTCTGAGCTGCAAGACAAAGCTTTCTACTCGACTGACTGGCTGTTTGACAGGAGGGCAAAAAGTGAAAGGCATCTCCCGCTTTGTAGGCAATGCCACTGAGAGTGTGGTGCTTTGTAGCAAAGGATGACAGTCTTAACTGATGGCAAGCTGCAGCCTGGAAGATCTGTAGTCCTCTCTGCACACCTAATGTGGTAATAACTGCTTAACAGAGACCTCACACAAAATCAAGAGAAGCTGAAAGCTTGTGGTTGCCTTGCTAATGTAATTTAGGATGCATTAGTCAATGTTTCTCAGGCTGTTCATCCTAGATCAGGGTAATTATGGAGGGGAATAAAAAAGGCCAGATTAGAAAACAGCTTGCCAGCAGAACCACTGTATTTGTATGAGGTGATATGTGAATCAGCATCTGAAAACGGTATGTAGTTATGACTTGTTGCCTGCTCAGACTTTATGTCAAGCTCTGAAGCAAATTCAGCACTTAGTGTTCATCTCAGAGAAAAAGCCTGGTCACTGTGGTTTGTCACACAAGCCTCTTGCCAGATAAAAAGGCCACTCATGCTGGGAATGCCTCTCACATTACAAGATTTACACAATCTCCAGGAACTAATCTTGGGCAAAGATGGGATGTTTTCAACTTGATCTCTTATCTTTCCAATAAACTACACCAAGCATCTTCTACGTTTTACCTCCTCCCCACGAAGCTTCCTTGACCGACCAGAAGAAAGCAGATGGCTTCTTTAGCTGCACCCTAATTTCACATAAAATTTCATGAAAATGCCTCCACTCTTCATCCCAATTGTGCACTTGCACTCAATCTTCTACCTGGCATAGTGCCTAGTACGTAAAAGACACTCAGTAAATATTTGCTCTTATTTACTGAGTGTTCACTACGACCTGTCACTCTTTCATAGCATTCAGCATAATTGCAAATAATTGTTAGCGTAGTTATTTGCTTAATGACTGTCTTCTTTACTAGACTGTTAGCATCTCAAGGCCAGAATTGGATTCTGTCTCATTCACAGCTTATTGTGGTAACTTAAAGCCTACCACTATGCCTCACACTTATTAAGACTAAATAAATATTCACTGAATAAAAGAAAACCAGGCACTAAGCACTATTTATTCGTTTTCTCACTGAATCCTAAAACAACCCTGTGCACTTGGTATTATTACCTCTATTTTGTAGGTAAAGAAACTAGGCTTCAAGAGCTGCAATAACTTGCCTAAAGTCAGGGCCAGGATTCTGAACACGTGCTCTTAACAACTGTTACTCTGCCTCCCTCTTTCAAATCTGCTTATACTATTTATTAGTTGTCGCCTGGAAAAATTTCCTATGTTTTCCAAGCCTCAGGTTTTTAAAAAATCTGTAAAGAAGTGGGGAATGGTGTCTATCTTACAGATTTCTTGGGAAGTTTGCTTGAGTTTATACATGTAAAGCACTTGGTCATAGCGGTTGGCATACAATCAATATTTAATAAAAGCTACTGCTGCTGTTATAGTTTCTATTGAATCAAATATGCAGAAGAATGTGGCTGGAGATAGGGAATGCCACCTGCTGAAACCTGCCCCCTCTCCCAAAATTAGTACACTCTGTTTCTGCAGTTGAGTATCTCTCTAATGGTTTTGTGTACCACTCTCATCACCTCACCATATTCTACAAAACAGCTTGAACACTAAAGATGCTTTTGCTTAAAATTCAAATGCAGAATAAGCAAAATATTTTAAAATTAATTATATTACACAAGCAATTGCTCAATGTGAAATACTACAATCTACATGACTTAAATTGAATAGCTCACATTATGGAGGATATGGAAGATTGGAAAAAAATCAAGACTGTCCCCTTAGCACACAAAAAGAGGGAATTTCATCATTATGGATTTTTATTTCTGTAGATAATCAATGGACATCAGGAAATAGAGCAGAGAAAGCAGAGAAAGAGAAAATTGCAAATTAGGTGGTCTCTTCTTTCTGTGTTGAGATACCTAGAGAGGTCAACATTTACACAACCACTTTACCATCTTTTGGTCTACTCTGTTACTGTCACTTCTGTCATTTCAGTTCCTAATAGAGGACTCTGGACACACTGTGTCACAGAATACTACAAATGTCCAGCATTCTGAATCACAGTGGCCTAGGTACATGTATAATAGTCCTTTGATACAGTATAATTAGCTGCACTGCTTCTCAAGTGTGGCTGCATATTGGAATCCTCTGGGGTGCTCTGAAATAGCATAGACACCTGGCCCCATTTTCATTTTGATTTAATTGATTCCAGACACTGATTTTGGAGCTATATTGCCTGGGTTTGAATCTCACCTCCTCTACTTACTATTGGGACACATTACTATTTGGACAAATTAGTATCTGTGTTTGTTTCCTTATCTGTAAAGTGAGGATAATAACTGTGCTTACCTGATAGGGTTGCTGTGAAAATCAAATAATATATTTGAAATACATAGTGTCAGGCACACAGTAGGTGTTCCATAGGTATTAGCTATTAGTAGTAGTAGTAAAACGGTATTTTAATTGTTATACTTTGGTGTTGTGGAAGAGAAGGGAAAGCTTGTAGAGTTTGCAACCACATGTGACAATGCTGAAATGGCAGCAGAAGTATTCTGTGTTTCAAATTTATAAAAATGAAATCTCTTCATTGTAAGGTACTACTTCAACAATAGAGGATATGAGTTTGATTCCATTTGGAATGTCTCAATTTTGTACATGAAGAAGTAAAATATAAATGTAACACATGTGTACTAGAACAACCCTATTTACCTATACCACACAATGGACTGTCATTGCCAGTTTCCCCTGGTATAAAAAAATCCTAAGGAAAAGACTTTGAAAAATCAAAATCATGCTAATCTTAAACAGTGATATTGGGGATTGTAGGGGTTTGGTTCTTGTCCCCACTTGTTGCCATTCTGTGGCGAAGAAGAAATTTCCATTGTGTTTGTGGAGGGGGACACAGAGTACCATAAAAACTTCTCTGGGCTTTCACCCCTGCTTGTTCTTTGGCACAGGAGCAAGATTGACTTATCTGATTATCATGCCTGTAATCCCAGCACTTTGGGAGGACAAGGCGCGTGGATGGCTTGAGCTAGGAGTTCCAGACCAGGCTGGGCAACCTGGCGAAACCCCGTCTCTACAAAAAATACAAAAATTAGCCAGGCATAGAGGCATGGCCTGTAGTCCCAGCTACTTGGGGTGCTGGGGCAGGAGGGTTGCTTGAGACCTGGAGTTCAAGGCTGCAGTGACCTGAGACAGCACCACTGCACTCCAGCCTGGGTGACAGAGGGAGACCCTGTCTCAAAAAAAAAAATACTAATATTATAAAAAAATAAAAATAAGTACTTATTCATGGCCTATCCTGTGCATTCTGGCTCTCAGGTCTAAATGCCCTCCAACTCTTTTATGAGTGAGTAGAGCCTAGTCAGGGCACAGGCACCATCTTCTAGAGGTAGACCTACAGGCCCATTTTGCTCTTCATTTCTAGCTTCCACTGAAGTGTGACACAGGCCATCACTCTCAAGGGCGCTGGGACGGTAAATGGTCTGCTCTGAAGGCTCACTCATCTCCACAGGTGAGTATCAAGGAATACATTTGAAGCTAGAGGTGGTAGGAAGTCTCATTAGGCCTTAGACACAAGCCATGTTCTTCAACATAATTTTATCTATAATAAAGTCGATGCCATATTTTGTTCCTCCTGAGGTGTTTTGTGTTTTTTTTTTCTCAGTTTGATTCAGAACTGGAAAAAGAAAACCAGTGTGGTTATTTCATGCTCTTACACCATAACAAGCAGAGCAGTAACCATAAAAGTATTATCTGACTGCTTTTAAGTTGCTTTCCCCATTAAACAAATTTGGAAACTGAGGCTTAGAAATGGCTTCTGTGGTCCACCTAAGGCCAAAAGTCTAATAATAAGTGTCAAATTCAGTACTAAAAGCACAGACTTCAGTATAGTTTTCACTACATGTCTGAGTGTGCTCCTTTCCCTTATTAAGGCTAGCGAGGACCTTACAGGTCCCAAGGACAAAAATGACATTTGCTTTCTGCACTTTACTAAGCTAGGAGGAGATGAAAACAACCTCTCAAAATGCAAGAATCCTCTTACTCTGAAATTCAGTTTTACTCACCTAAAACTGATTTTTTTTCCAGACAAATCTTTGCCCAATAATCACGAAATTGAAAGAGATTCTCTAGACGAAGTTATACAACAAAGTTTAAATCACTGATATAGTTTAGGTATTTGTTCCTGCCCAAATCTCATGCTGAATTATAATCCCCAATGTTGGAGGTGGGGCCTGGTGAGAGGTGTTTTGGTCATGGGGGAAGATCCCTCATGGCTTGATGCTGTCCTTGTGATAGTGAGTTCTTATGAAATCTGGTTGTTGTAAAGTGTGGCGTCTCCCCCTCCACTCTCTCTCTTGCTCCTGCTTTCGCCATGTGACATGCCTGCTTCCCCTTTGAGTTCTGCCATGAGTAAAAGCTTCCTAAGGCCTCCCCAGAAGCTGAGCAGATGCCAGTACCATGCTTCCTATAAAGTCTGCCGAACCGTGAGACAATTAAACCTCTTTTCTTTATAAATTACCCAGTCTCAGGTATTTCTTTATAGCAATGAAAGAATGGCCTAACACAACCACAGACAAAACATAAGTATAAAATGTTTTCCTGCTTGAATGGAGTGGCCTTAAGGGTAGGCTGGGATGGAGGACACAAACTGTCCCTTACCAAGTAATCAGGTGTCACAAAAAGATTCTTCTGTAATTTGCTGAGTTGCCCGAGTTCTGCTCTAAGAAAGCAATTCCTTCATAGGTATTTCCCAGTCTCAAACTCTTTTCTGTCTTGAGAACAAAGTGCCTTCCCCTGTGCAGCAGCCAAAACAGATACGGGGCCTCCCATACCACCAGGTGAGCTTGTGACAAATCACGTAGTACTATTAGCATGAGAGAAGTTAGCATTTCCAGGTTACAGATACACTTTCACAGTAAAAATGAATCAATTACATGCCACAGTCCTAGCCAATTTGAAATGATTATATGGGTCTGGTAATAACTAGTTCTCATTCTGCCATGAATTAACCATGTGACCTTAGATAAATCCCTTCTCTGGGTCTCAGTTTCTTCATTTATAAAAATGATGGAGTTTGGCCAGGCATGATGGCTCATGCCTGTAATCTCAGCACTTTGGGAGGCTGAGGCGGGTGGATCTTTTGAGCCCAGGAGTTCGAGACCAGCCTGGGCAACGTGGAGAAACCCTGTCTCTATTAAAAATACCAAAATTATCCAGGTGTGGTGGTGCACATTTGTAGTTCCAGCTACTCGGGGGGAGCTGAGGCAAGAGAATCACCTGAGGCTTGGGAGGTGAGCTGTGATAGAGCCACTGCACTCCAGCCTGGGTGACAGAGTGAGACTCTCTCTCTCTCAAAAAAAAAAAAAAAATGCTGGAGTTAGTTGAGGTTGTCTCCAACTCTAAAACACTAGACTTAAACATCTACCACTAGCCTCTATATTACCAACGTATCAGGCTACTTACACTTCATGTCTGCTGAGAGAATTCCTAATGACTTAAGTACAATGAAGTCACAAAATCATTCCAAAGCTATTTCAATGATTCGGGCAACTTAAGAGAGATGTATTTCCATTTTTCTATCCTGCCTCTTTTGTGCCACCCTGTCTGCCCTCCCCTGGACAGTCCTTGAAAATGAAAACTTCACACTGGATTTCTTCTATCAGACCTGAGAAAGAAAGTAGGCTTACTTTTTTGATCCTCCAGTTTTCAAGATAATGGTTTTATTTCTTGAAGCTGTAATCAGATGAAAATGTCCAAAGGACTAAAGAAACTGAGTAGGGCTATTAGTCTACCCTTTTTCTTATTTTAATTCTATCTGAGGGAACAATAGGCTCTTCTTGCCTTTGGCAAGATAATAATTCAGCTGACATGCTAGAAATACCACACACCAAGATATAAAATGGTGGCATTTTCTCTCTTTAAAAACAATCAACGCTTTCATCTGTGGACTTCAAAGTACACATGAAATAAAAAGTCTCAGTCCTGTGAGTCTGAGGTAAATCAAAAGGCTATAAGTGTCATAGAAAAGTTTCCTGGTTCGTAGCCCTCCTTTCAGGTAAGAAAGGAAACAAAAGTACTCTCAAGCAGATGAGTGTTCATCTCCTTTTTATATTTCTCTTCCAAGTGAGCCTGAACAAGTTTTCTGATAACCCATTCTGATAATAGTTCTTCTTTATGGCTGACCAAATTTCTTCTTGCTGCTCTACAGGCCCACTTTCTCCTATTAATCTAGCCTTGTAGTGCTGTAATTGTTCACTGTCTTTATATTGTCAAGTATCATTTTGATTTCCAGAATTTCTAAAGGAAAGCTGAGAATGGAGTTGGGAGGTCTATGATCAAGACTGGATACTCTCTGGAGGTCCTTATTTAATTATAACACTCCTGGTGATGCTAGTCTACCTTAGATAAAGTTATTTCTCTTCTCTAGTGATTAGCACCTCATGTGTAAAACGCAATGAGTATGAGAATACATTAAGAGAAAGAAACAATCACCATACCAATACAAATTATTATTGATTTTGAAGGGTCTTTCTGGAGATCTTGAACTTTTGTGATTAAATAATTATTGCAAATGAAAACTGGCTGAAGATCCCTCTTTTCACACTGAGTCATTCGTTATTCACATGAACTTCGGCAATACTACTTTTGACGCATTTAAGGACAAATCTATCTTTCAACCCAGGCTTATAGAGAAAAGACAATGGAAATAGGACTCTGCCCACACCTGGATGCTCACTTTGGTATTGTAATTATTCCTGGGTAGTTTCCCACTCTTCCAGAGAGCTGACACCTTCTTTGAATATTATTGTACCATGATGTTGCTTAAAACAATGCATTCGATTTTAGTCATCATCCAGTTGGCCTTGTTGACTCATGGTTTTTTCCACTTTAGTGGAAGTATTTCATGAAAGAGTTGGTATTTCTGCTTCTACAAATCCAGATGGCTCTCAAACCAGGAGGCAGTTGGCAACTTTGAGAAACGAACTTGGCATTGTGATTTTACATGGGTTTAACAATCTTCTACTCTTTTGCTATAGAGTACCATCTGAATAAATGGATTTGCTGCCATCTTAGACAATTTGTACAGCTACAGCATCACCAAGGAAACATTTCCATGGGGAAAAGGTAAAATTTAAGAGGAAACACACTCTGAAGAATTCTGAGCTCATCTTATAAAAGCTACAAAGCAACCAGATCCACAAAGAAAGATTATGTGGTCAAATATGGCAGTAATGTCTAATCCTGATTACTGGTCTACTTCATAGTTGAGGCAGGACATTTAAACTCTACCTATCAGTTTCCCTTGGGCACTTAAGAAATCTCAGCTGTAATAAGGCAAGGATTCCATTAGGGCCAGGTATTTTTTTTTTTCACAAGCACCCAGATTTGATTTGTGCCTGTTCTAAGGATGTAATCTCACAAATGTCTGAGTAGCCTTTAGGGACAAGTGAAGCTGTCAGTTGGTCAAATTCAGATACAAAGGCAGAGTTTCGTGCAAAGCTCTATCCTGAAAATAACAAGAAAATAATAGGGAATATAAAGGCATAGAGAAAGCAATTATTCAATCAAATATGTGATCAAGCAACAAATATTTCTGGAGCATCTATTTTGTGTAAGACACCATATCTCTGCTAAGAGAGTTGGGGCCCTTCCAACAGGGGAGTTATAACTGAGTTGAAAAGCTAAGGCATATATATATATACACAAACTCATAAGCAATAGTTCAAGGTGGTCCACAATCAGTGTCAAGTGATTGATATGAATTTAATGACCGATATATTTCAGAGGTACAAGAGAACATTTCTAATTAAGATGATCCAGAAGGCTTCTTATAGAGGGTAGGACTTGTACTAGGCACTGACAGTTGGATAAGACTTTGACAAGTGAAAGAAGAAGGGGAGCATGCTGGGAAAGGGAAATGAATGGTATGAGCACGGTGGTGAGGTAGGTAAGCACAGTGTCTTCAGAGAAAAGTAGTGGATCGGTGTGGCTGAAATAGAAGACTTGTTTTGGGGAGTAGCAGAAAAAAAAGAAAGCTGAAAAGAGGAACCATGAGATCTGAGTTTGAAGGGATCCTCAAGATTATCATATCCAAGGCCTGCTCCTCTTATTCTTACCTATTTATTTCCACATAAACACAGCTTTCCCTAGTCTGCACCAATGTTTTACATACATTTTAGTGGTGGTTCTAGATTCCTAATAACTTTAGACACAGTAACTTCAGCATAGTAGTTAGAAATAGACTTTGGAGTTAGAGGCCTGGGTAAACCACTTGCTAGACATTCAACTTTGGGTAAGTTTATCCTTTATTTCTTCATCTAGAAATGTGGGTAATAGTATACTTACAGTCGAGGGATGAAGAAAATGAGAAAGAAGGCTTGAAGGAGACAGTAAAGGAAGAATCTGCAAAGTGTATTACCAAGGAAAGCAAAAGTAGAGAAAATACAAAGAAGGGGGCATTGTTAATAGCATCAAATGAAACAAAGAGTTCAAGGTGGTTGCGACCTGCCAAAAGGCCACTGACTTTGACAATCTGAAGGTCACAGGTGACCTTTAAGAAATCAGTTTTAGTACAAAAGGAAAGAGGCAGTTTGTAGAAAATGGAAGAGGTAGGAGGGTTGGGAAAGGGAGGAAAAAAGATTGTGTAGTGTGGAACTGGATCTGCAAGCAAATATCCCTCCCTCGTTTGCAGGGAAGGAGAGGGAGAGAGATGGCTTTGACTCAGTGGAGTTACAGGGCCGAGTGATGCAATGACTGGACATGCAGCTTGGAAATGAAATGGTCGGTAGCTCCTTTGGGAACTTCCAACTCTAGCTTTCCTCCTTGCCACAGTGCAGGGAATGATGACAAAGGAAGAGGGAAGTTGCTACTCATGAAATATCTTCCCTCTTCCTTTTGTCTAGTACTGCAGAGGAACAAAATAATATTATAAAGCTGTCTGCCTATTTACAATATCACAAGATTGCTGCTGAACAATTATAAAATTGTTCAAGTATAAATTATACAATTATAAAAGACTCCTTGTATAGTAAAATCTCATTAATTTGGACTACACTAATTTGGAATTTGTGGTAATTTAACCTGGGTTGGAGTTACCTTTGTCCTACTAACAAAGAAAAGGTTCTCTAAGCAAATATTGAACAAGATTTCAAGGGAGCTAATTTAGCCTGCCAGGGGCTTATTTCACTTATTTTAAAGAACATACTGTTTTTTAAGAACTTCAGCATATTCATTATTTGAATGCAAATTGTTCTGCTAATTATAGATTAGCATAATCTACTGTTAAAATCCTATATGTGCAAGTTACTTTGCTCTCACTGAATGTGCTCATTAGAAATAAAACTGCAATTCTTTAAAGTTAATTCACAATTCAGATTAATACATACTTCCTTTCCCCACCCTCATGAGTTAACTGCAGTTCAGGAGGTATTACCCTAAACTCACACATCACTTAACATCACTTAACATGAATACAATGGAAAAACTAGTAGGTGATCATAAAAGTCTCAGAGCCAGAAGAGATGTCTTAAAGTTGATGCCCTAAATTCTGTGCACTCTATCCGTGGCAGGTTCCACTTAGAGCTGATTTAACTTTTACTTATACTAATCTGGCACATCAGCTTGGAGAGATGGCTGGGTTTTGTTGTTGTTGTTGTTGTTGTTGTTCTTAATTCAGTAGAAGGAGAAAAACGGCTGCTACATGAAGGGACGATGAGAGGAATAAAAAGTGACTGTAGGCAGCAGAAAGGAGACAGGACATGTGTAAAATGTGGCTATAATAACTAAAAGACCACCGCAGCGTAGAACAATTTAGTGTAGAGGTAAAAAACCTATACTTTTTAGTAAACCCTTAAAAATTTAAAAGTATTAGAGTGCCGTACAATAACTAATGACTGGAATTACGCCCCTAAATGATCAAGCAAAGTTTAAATTATATTGAATACATGTCTTTAAAAGACAGATGAGTTTATACACATACACACATATGGTTTATACTCATAATGCTTAACCTAAAAATGTGAAACACGTTGATGATTTAAAACATGAAATTTATAATATCATATAATAATGCTAATAAAATAGTAACGTTTATTAAGTGATTACTGTATGCAGACACCATGCTAAGCACTTTACCTACATCATTTCAACTAACTGTCATAACAAATCCTAAGACATAGGCTTTAGTATCACTTTTACTTTACAGCTGAAGAAAGTGACTCTCAGAGAGGTTAAGCAAATAACTCCAGGCCACAGAAAGAGATAAAACCAGGATTAGAACTCAGGCCAGTTCCTTGGCTATACACCATGCCTTTCCATGCTCCAGAAAACAGAGCTCTCTAAGAATCACTCATTTCTTGAGGGTTCCATGTAACTAATGTTTTACTGTATTTTCATTTTCCAAACTCATATTTAACAAATATCTTGATTTATAAGCAGAGATCTATGATCTAAGAGTCAGATATGATACATTTGTAAACATGTTCCATTTCACAAGCTGAAAGTAAAAAGTAATAATAAAAAACAAAACAAAGAAAAAATGATGAACATGTCTGTTATGCCCATCCCCGAATCTCAGATCAGTTTCTATATACTACAGATTCTACTTCCAAATGAATAACCATGCAACAAAGACATAAAATTGTAAAATATCAAATGATCAGTTAAGATGTGGCTCTCCTATGGTTTTCTCACTCCTTTTGGAAAAAAAAAAAAAGAAACATTAAGATGAGAATAGGCCAATGGGACATGAGGGATTGGGGTAGGAGAAATTGCAAGGGAGGCTAAAAGCTCCATTGGGCTGTTATAGAGGGTTTAGAAGAATCTGTTTGCCAACTGTTCTAAGAGAATTATAAGGGCATAAAACATATGTAGGCATAGTGGGTATTGAGGGGAACAGGGGTAGAGGTGGGGAGATGCAAATATATGCAGCTATCTGTATTAGAAGTAAAAGTGAGGATGGCCTGCCACATGTACATACAAAGACAAATGCACAGTGAAACCATTCACTCATGCAATTCCTTCTACCTAAATCGATGCTCTTTACTCATCTCTTGTCTCAAGCCTACCCATTCTTCAAGGATCAGCTAAAAATGGCACTTCTGCCATGAAGTGTTCTATAATCCCTAAGGCAGAATTAAACTCTTCCTCATTTGTGCTCTCATCGGTTTTTCACCCTTTACACACTTGCCACAGCACTGATGATACTCTATCTAATTATCACAGTTATTCGTGTATGTGCTTTTCCCTCCTTCAATCCCATAATGAGTTCCATGAGGACAGGGGACTCTTTCTCATTTATTTAGTTCCTACAAGCTCTAGCATAGTATGTGACCTGCCACATACTAGGCTCTGGGAAAATGTTGACTCTGGTACTGGCTTAAGACAGTGCATTATCACCTAGCTTACCTGAAGGAGTATTTGTTCTCTTTCTTTTCTTGCTTGATTCCCCTCCATTCTCAATGAGGCCTTCTGTGACCAGAGGGCCACTGGCACTACCAAACTGCAGGGGCTCGTTGTTGTTAGCAGGGTCAAAGGGCAGCTGGTTCAATCCTAAAGAAGAAAAAGAAAGCCAAAGTCCAGACTCCATTAAGGACTGGGATTGTCTCCAGATTTTATTATATGAGCCACTAGTGGAAAACCTTTTAAATCTTAAAAGCCTAGGAGAAACAGGTGAATTCCTTAAAGACAGTTGCCTTCTGTAATTTTTACAGATCTTTTCGGTAAGTACAAAATTAAAATATAAGACTGTGGCTCTGTCATTTGTAAGATCCCTCCTGTTTCTGCGGCAACTTAACATTTTTAGTCATAAGCTAGCAACTGATAGGTCCCTCATTAAATGTGGCTATGGTTGGACCCACTGTTCCTTGTAAAAAGTTTGGCTTTGCATTCCTTGGATTATCTCCTGACATTTTACCATTCTTTCATTACAAGGTATGTTGATCTCATGCAGATATAATCATCAGACTATCCTGTGTCAAAGTCACTTCCAATAGTAATATAGGGGTCTCTAAAATCAGAAAACCATAACTCCATGGCAAATGAGAAAAGGAAACAAATATATAGAAATTGCAAGGGGGTTATTTAGTAGCTGGAGCAATGGGGAATTATGACCTAGATTTCGGTAATGTTAATCTCATTCTCTTCAAATAATATTAGAAGCATGGTCACTTTACTCGTCACTGCTGCACCATATAAAATGGCAAAAGGTATTTTCTACTCTCCAAGTCTTACATGGTTCAATCAGGGGCAAGCAGAGACAGAGACAGTTCTTACTCCTCTGGCAGCAGCACCTGGAATTTCAAGTGTTTCAATTAAACTTCATGAAATGTGAAATCAAAAGCTTTTTTAAAGCCCAAAGTTAAGACATCTCCTGTAAGCCTTTTCTCCACTGGTTCTCTAATCCTATCAAAGGGGGGGAAATCAGGTTGGCCTGATATAGCTCACTCTTTTTTTTTTTTTTTTTTTGAGATGGTCCCTTGCTCTGTTGCCCAGGTTGGAGTGCAGCAGCATGATCTTGGCTCACTGCAACCCCCACCTCCCGGGTTCAAGCGATCCTCCTGCCTCAGCCCCCCTAGTAGCTGGGATTATAGGCATGCACCACCATGCCTGGCTAATTTTTGTATTTTTAGTAGAGATGAGGTTTTGCCATGTTGGCCAGGCTGGTCTCAAACTCCTTACCTCAGGTGATCCACCAGCCTCGGCCTCCCAAAGTGCTGGGATTACAAGCTTGAGCCACGGTGCGCAGCCCATAGCTCATTCTTTAACTCCCAAATTTTCTATGGCCCATAGCTGTACAATTCTTGAGGTAATGTTGTAAATTGTCAGTTAAAAAAAAAAAAACCTTGAAATCCAGTCAGCTAAAGGTCAATCAAGTTTCAATAAAATGAATGCTAAGATTCTAATGGGCTGGCATGGTGGCTTACACCTGTAATCTCAGCACTTTGGGAGGCCGAGGCAGGCAGATCACCTGAGGTCAGGAGTTCGAGACCAGCCTGACCAACATGGAGAAACCCCGTCTGTACTAAAAATACAAAATAAGCCGGGCGTGGTGGCACATGCCTGTAATCCCAGCTACTTGGGAGGCTGAGGCAGGAGAATCGCTTGCACCCGGTAGGCAGAGGTTGCAGTGAGCCGAGATCGTGCCATTGCACTCCAGCCTGGGCAACAAGAGTGAAACTCCATCTCAAAAAAAAAAAAAAAAAGAAATGACATTAAATTATTATTTATAATAAAGAGTATCCTCTTGCTAATGTTTTCAGCCCACATAACAAGTACTGTTTTTCAGCAATCAGATTCCACTTGGATCACCTCCATTAAATGTCTTCTGGAACTTGTCAAACATTCTTCCTTACATCATGTGAGTAACTAAGTGAAAGAGTAAAACTTGCTTCTGGATCTTAAGCGAACTGTTCACTGCATCATATACATGTTCTACTAAATCCCTACCATGACTAGAACTAAAGAAACAAACATCAATTGCTATGTACTAAAAAAAAATTGAGATCATGACCAAGACTATTTAAAAAGAAGACTAGATGTTTATTCCATTTACAAATGAAGATTGTTCTCGTACCTGATTAGTCCCAGAGTCAAATATGATTAATATACTAGTCCAAAACTTTTCTTGGAATTTCTTTCTGAAATATACTGATCAAAACAAGTTCCATGGAAGACAGAATGGCATAGTGGAAAGATCCCGACAGACCGGGATTCAAATCCTGGTTATCCTTTACTAGCTGATACCTTTTGGCAAGTCATGTGGTCTCTCTTAGTCTTGGTTTCATAATGTGTAAAAGAGAGTGATAACACACCTAAGGCTGTGGCAAAGATAAACACATACATATTTATGAGAATTACATTATTCTAAGTAAATTAAAACAAACTTTCCCCCTATAAACTTGAAAGCTCTCCTAAAAAGGAAACTTCCCTCTCTCCCTCCCTCCCACAATTATATTCTTGGTGCCTAGCACCATACCTTGAGCGCCCAAATGAATTAATCCTTAATTGGATGGGGGTAGATGACTCATTCTTTTAACCCATGTAATGAAAGACCTGACAGCTGATAATCAAGAATTAATGCCACAGCTTAAAAGTTCTGATGCTGATTATATCAACATTACTTAAAATAATTAGATTCTAAGTGCATCTCCATCATTTGAGTACTATACTACAGAATGGTAAAATGCTGATGAAAAGGAATGTTCAGGGATTAGGAGGTTCTGATTAATGACGGTGAAACAGAAAAACTTTTTTTTTTTCTTTTATTATTATTATTATTATACTTTAAGTTTTAGGGTACATGTGCACATTGTGCAGGTTAGTTACATATGTATACATGTGCCATGCTGGTGCGCTGCACCCACTAACGTGTCATCTAGCATTAGGTATATCTCCCAATGCTATCCCTCCCCCCTCCCCCCACCCCACCACAGTCCCCAGAGTGTGATGTTCCCCTTCCTGTGTTCATGTGATCTCATTGTTCAATTCCCACCTATGAGTGAGAATATGCGGTGTTTGGTTTTTTGTTCTTGAGATAGTTTACTGAGAATGATGGTTTCCAATTTCATCCATGTCCCTACAAAGGACATGAACTCATCATTTTTTATGGCTGCATAGTATTCCATGGTGTATATGTGCCACATTTTCTTAATCCAGTCTATCATTGTTGGACATTTGGGTTGGTTCCAAGTCTTTGCTATTGTGAATAGTGCCGCAATAAACATACGTGTGCATGTGTCTTTATAGCAGCAAGATTTATAGTCCTTTGGGTATATACCCAGTAATGGGATGGCTGGGTCAAATGGTATTTCTAGTTCTAGATCCCTGAGGAATCGCCACACTGACTTCCACAATGGTTGAACTAGTTTACAGTCCCACCAACAGTGTAAAAGTGTTCCTATTTCTCCACATCCTCTCCAGCACCTGTTGTTTCCTGACTTTTTAATGATTGCCATTCTAACTGGTGTGAGATGATATCTCATAGTGGTTTTGATTTGCATTTCTCTGATGGCCAGTGATGATGAGCATTTTTTCATGTGAAACAGAAAAACTTTTTATTTTTGTTTTGCATTTGATAATTTTACAGAATAACATATTAGTCCATTTCCCTGACTTATTAAGTAGATGACTGAGGATTTTCCGGAGGTTTGGAGCCACAATTTGCAAAAGGACATTAATAAGAGTACCTAACTCACAAGACTGCTAAAAATATTAAATGAGATTATATATGTAGAACATTCAGCATAACATCTGGCACATAGTAGATGTTCAATAAGTATTAACTACTACTATTATAACATTGAATTTCCATTTTTAATTTCTAGTTACTGATGTGCAATGTGAGGAGATTGTTCTGAATCTGCCCTGATCCAAGGATGTACCCTGCTTTCCTCATTGAACCTTTTCATTCCTGTTTGTACCTTTTTCTAAAAGTTGAAGGAATCCAGGGGAAAAAAAAATCTAATGAGTTAAAGGTGTTCAGTTATAGACATTTTATTATAATTATGCTTGCCCTTTCTTTAGGCCCATATGGTAACCTTAGGGATATAGTTATTTTATTAATTACATGGATGTACAGATTTTTGGCACCAAATTAAGACTGAGATTTCAAGTACTTTCTGTGTATCCACCTCATATATGATCCAGATATGTGAAAATCATGACAATTCAGTACAACATTTCAGGCCTAATTTTTTTTATAGAGAAAGATCTCATATGGAGGGGGGACATCTCACTCAGTAAGCTGACTCGCTGAACACAAACCCATATTTTATATCATCCAATACCCAATACAGTCTCCAAAGATTTGTAGTTCAAGAGGAAGGATGAAAGAGACAGCAAAATCCTATGACACCAGTGCTTCCTAGCTACTTTTACTGTTTTGTTTCATTCCTTCCATAAGACAGGACCAAACAAACCAATAAATCAGTAAATCAATAGGTATTTAAAGGGTGTTTTTTGTGTCATGTATATGTGACCCAGGTCAAATGCTATTTTAAGTAAACTAGTCCCATTAAAATGATTAAATACTAAAAAAGAAAACCACCACTTTAATTCCAAGAATTCTTATTGCTGAAATTTCAATTATGACATAAATATAAAAATATTGGCAATTACCATATTGTAATCCTCACCCAAACTACAGAATTTATCTTTAAATCTCTTATGGAAGCAATTTCTACCATTTTTTCTAGACATGATGAAACTGAAAAATATTAGATTTGGAAGAAAGTTTTGAGGTTATCTAGTTTATTCTTCTATTTCTATAGAAATTTTATCTATAGAATTCCTGACAGGCCTAAATCCAGGGGCACTGCTTCGCCTGGGACTCATTCCTTGCTGGGCTCCCAGGCATTCAGCTTGCTTTTAAAAACTACCACCTACTCTATTTTGGGAGTTCCTTTTATTTCCCTAAAACAGCTTCTTGCTTATCTTACCTAAAATGAAGACATAGGATGTATAACTTTTAAAAGTTTCTACTGATAATCACTGTAAGAAAAACAAATGACAGAGTAACAGATAACTAACAAAGTCAGAAATTGTCCAAAGTCTTACGCATTCCTCACAGTCCTTGCCCTTTTATTCCTAAGAATAAATTTAATAAAACCTCATACTTCGTTCATTTGTTTCCCTCACATCTCATCTCCTCCCTCCAGCCCACAAAATTTACAGTTTGTCCAAAGGGAAGTACAAATTATTAAAATAAAGACAAATAGATAATAAACACTGGTGTTACAGATTTCTACTATTTCTGTATCTCATGTTCACAATAAACAAATCCATGTGGTAACGTAATCTCATCTAAAACCAAGTTGACTGGTGTAGACAGCTGACCAGCTGTTATTTCATGTCATGTTGAAATGCAGATTATCTGACTCCATAACACGTATGAGGCTGCTTTAGAAAGTATGTATATTGGGAAAGGGTGGGGGTGGGGTTCCTTGTAGAATGACATTTCTCATCTAATGGAACTAGGGGGTTAAACATCTCAGAATGAAGTGTGATGCTCAGTGAATACTCCAATCTGCAGGTCAAGGAGTTCACAAGCAATGTTATGTCTGCCATACAGATGCAAATGATTCGTGGGCTTTGAGGAAAGCACTAAAGAATTTTCATGATTCTTGTGTGAGAAGATCAATAATCTCTTTGTGCCCAGCTGCTTTAACAGTTACTGTCACAATTCACTTTACATAGCTGTCCACTATCAGGTCAAATTAGGACCAACCTTCATGATGCAATCTAACACTTTTAATGATTGCCCCAGGTTGTAATACCAAAATGTGACCCTGTGAGTGAATG
The DNA here is from genome assembly GCF_000001405.40 of Homo sapiens. Lineage (NCBI taxonomy): Eukaryota > Metazoa > Chordata > Mammalia > Primates > Hominidae > Homo > Homo sapiens. The sequence continues at coordinate 130,789,439 of NC_000023.11, forward strand.
CCACTTTTTATCTGCAGCTGTGGCTCAGAGACTGTATAACCCTAGCGAAAAGAAACACAATGCCACCCTGGATTAGTTAGCTTTAAAAGAAAATGGCTAAAATCTTGAGAAATCTGATAAATTCAAATTAAGGCAACAATCTCAACACATAAATTAATGTTGAAAAAATATCAGTACTTGGCAATAAGAACAGTCTAGCTAATTTGTCTGTAAAACAAGTTTCTATAACCTAATTCTTATTTTCCAAATGACTTCAATTTAAAATCAGATATGAGATTCCATGTTGGGAGATGAGGGTCTCCAAATTTGTTTTCAATTCAAAACTTTTGGAAAAATAAGGGATTAAGATAATGGCCAGGCCCTTAATGTTCTGGCAGGTGCTGTTGAAGGATTTATCCATCTCTGGAGGGCCCTCCTCACTTTCATTCACCCCTCCTGCTTCCTCATTCTAGGCCTCAAAACCATATTTGTAGCTCTCACTACCCAACCATTCCACCTGCTACTTCTGAGGGAATATTTACAATGTCCAAAAGAGTTGGACCGCAATATTACTCTTCAGCCACAGGGCTTAGCAGCCAAGACAATTGAACATTTCTCAGTGCCAGGTCTTAACTGATGTCAAACAAATGAAACCTACTTTGTCAATTTCATGAGTTCAATATTCTAACTGGTTTAGCTGAAGCAAGGGTAATTGTATGAGTTACAAATAATGGGTAAGTAAAGGTAATGAAGAAGAAGTGAGAAAGAAAACGGAAAAGTCCTTTTCGGAAGCACTAAGGGGCTTGCTTGAATGGTGGTAGACAAACTTTCAGAGCCTAATTTATCTTTAAGTCACCATTTTCAAGGTGGGATACAGGTCATAGACCAATTTTCATTGGCAGTGATCCTTCAGCAACTTTTAATGACTCCCCAAACTACTTGGTCAAGTCACTAAAGTCTCTCATAAAAAGGCCGCATCCATTTCAGGCCTTGTCTCCCACTATGCCCCAGCTTATGCTCTACCCTAATACTTCTCAAACTTTTTAATGTGGACATGTGTTCCCTGAGGATCTTGTAAAAATGCAGATTCTAATTTAGTAAATCTGAGTTGTGGTCTGCTTTTATAAGTTCCCAGATGATGCTAATCCTGCTGGTGTGGGAATCACATTTTGAGTCAAAAGGGCTGGCACTCCAGCAAAATGGAACTACAGCATTCACTGAATCCATCCAGTACTTTCCTACCTCCACACCTTTGGCTCACACTGCTCCTCCACCTGCTTCTTAATTTTCAATGTTCAAAATATCATCCTTCCTTTAGGGCTTATCTCAGATGCTATTTCCTTCATGGTGTCTTTCCTTATTCACCTCTACCCAAACCAATACATACACAGCAACAGAGAGAGGGGAACTACCCATCAGGGAAACTACTATTCATTGGTTGTTTAGGATGTGCTTGTTTACAAACATTATCCCTTTATTTTATTTTCTAATTATTATTCTTATTTTACAACAAGGAATGAGAAACTTACAGAGTTGAAGTAAATTTCCCAAGGTCACACAAGGAATTCAGGCTTTTTGTTTTTCCTTTTTGTGGTGAGCAGGGTCTCACTATGTTGCCCAGGCAGGTAACTCCTGGGCTCAAGCTATCCTTCTGCCTCTGTCTCCCTAAGTGCTGGGATTACAGGCATGAGTCGCCGTACCTGGCCTCAGGATTTTTTTATTATAAAATACTATTCTGGCTGTCCTTGAATGTTAGCCTATACTTTTCCTGAGCCTTTTAGAGCATGCCTTGTGTTACAGTTCTTTGGGTATTCTGTCTTAGCCTACCTTCCCTTCTGCCTTACCCCACTCCCACTTAGTGGTAAACTCCTTGAGGACAGACTTTATGCCTCAGTCATTTTTTAGTCTCTCCTCCCCCAAGACGTGGCGCAGTGCCTTGTATTATATTGTAAGCACTCCAGAAATGAGTATTGAACTGAACTCAGCTACAATTTGGGATACAGCATGGATAGTATCTGACTTACAATGGTTCAACTTACGATTTTTCAACTTTATGATGTAAAAGTGATAGACATTCAGTAGAAACCATACTTCTCTTACCACGCTGGGCAGCAGTGGTCAGCTGCGGCTCTCAGTGAGTCACAAATTTTTGACTTATGATATTTTCAATTTTCAACGCGCTTATCAGATTGTAACTACATCATAAGTCAAGGTGTATCTGTAGTTGTGTTTCCCATCCCAGGCACCAGCTGACCTGCTGCTGGAGTTGTCATGAAAGGAAGAAGGAAGTAAGGTTTATGGGTTCCTTCAGCATTCCTGGTATCTTCTGCATCTTAGGATTCCTGAAGCCTGGGGAGTGATGGTAGACAATCACACACTCCACTCCTAATGTATCTGCATAATTTCATTCTCTCTTTCTGAAGGGCAAAACAGTCCTTCCATTGACCAAGACCGTTACCTGAGAGAATACTATAAAAGAGATCCCATATATGGATCTTCTGTTAATCGTTCTATGTACATCAGGTTACATGTCCCATTTACAAACTACAGTTAAGAAAAGGCAGTCTCTATCCAGTCTACCATTGATGGGCATTTAGGTTCATTCCATGTCTTTGATATGTGGTACATATACACCATGGAATACTATGCAGCCATAAAAAAGAATGAGATCATCTCCTTTGCAGGAACATGGATGGAGGTAGAGGCCATTATCCTTAGCAAACTCACACAGGAACAGAAAACCAAATACTGTATGTTCTCACTTATAAGTGGAAGCTAAATGATGAGAACACATGGACACACAGAGGGGAACAACAGATACTGGAGCTTACTTGAGGGTGGAGGGTGGAAGGAGGGAGAGGATCAAGACAAATAACTAAAGGGTACTATGCTTAATACCTGGGTAATGAAATAATCTGTACAACAAAATCCCATGACATGAGTTTACCCCTATAACAAACCTGCACATGTACCGCTAAACTTAAAAGTTTTTAAAAAAGAAAAGGCAATCTCTGGAGATGTGCTATGCAATACAGTAGCCACTAGCCATATGTAGCTCTTTAAATTAATTAAAATGGAATAAAATGAAAAGTTCAGGCCGGGCACAGTGGCTCACGCCTGTAATCCCAGCACTTTGGGAGGCCGAGGTGGGTGGATCACGAGGTCGGGAGTTCGAGACCAGCCTGACCAACATGGTGAAACCCCGTCTCTACTAAAAATACAAAAATCAGCTGGGCATGGTGGCACGCGCCTGTAATCCCAGCTACTCAGGAGGCTGAGGCAGGAGAATCACTTGAACCCGGGTGGCGGAGGTTGCAGTGGGCTGAGATCACACCACTGCACTCTAGCCTGGGCTGACAGAGCAAGGCTCCATCTAAAAAAACAAAAAACAAAAAACAAAACCAGAAAGAAAGAAAAAAAGTGAAAAGTTCAGTTGCTCAGTTGCACTAATCACATTTCAAGTGCTCAATAGTTACATGTAGCTAGTGGCTGCTGTTTTGGACAGCATATTTATATAACATTTCAATCATCCCAGAAACTTCTGCTGGACAGTGCTGCTCTAGAGTCAGATCTGCATTCAAAGCCACATCTGCAACTTACTAGGTGTGCCACTTACTAAGTGTGCCACTTACAAGGTGTATAAAACAGGTCACTTGATCTCTCTCAGACTGTTTCTGCATTGTAAAATGGGGATGATAATGCCCCCCTTACAGCAAAGTGAGGAAAATTAAATAAGAGATTGTATGTTTAAGGTGTAGCACATGTTGGACACTAAACAAATGTCAATGCCCTTCTAACCCAATGGGGGGTTTATATAAATTTGTCTCAAAAATGGAATAAGAACATTTGAGTAGTGTGGCTCCTTCGGCCTCCAGGCTACAGTCTATTTACAGCTTGGAAGATGTTAGCTTTGCATTCCTCTTCTAACCTACTTTTTCTTAATAACACAAAGCCATTAAAGTAAATCATGAATAAATAATGCGGGAGTAGTCAGTGATTGCTCTTTGCTTGGATTCTGTTTAGGAGACCATATTCATCACTACCTTGAACTGTCCAACATGAAAGAATCACATTTTCCCCTAACAATGGAAATGTCTCCTCCCAAATCTTTCAGGAATGCTCTGTTCCATCTGGGTGCTGTACTATCAGAACACTGCTAGCAGTGATACTACAGCTGGACTAGAGAGAGTATCATTTCTCTCTAAATCCATATTTTCGTACACTCATAATGTTCTCTGTGTTTTTTCTGTGGGGCTGACATCTCCCAGGCCTGGTAAAGGGTGAATTATTCGAGAAAAGTCTGAACTAAATCTGTTAAGGTGTTTGTGTTCCGTGAGCAGAAAAGCAAAATACATATTTCCAACTTCAAGAAGAAGAACACTTCAGGACTTTTTTCCCTTGTCCAATTTAAGGCTTGGGAAACACAGCAAAATCACATTCCTCATTGAAAACAAAGTTCAAAAAAATGTTGATTTGATAGAACAGTTCAAAGTGACAGATGGTAGATGGGTGATCTATCATTTTCCTTAGAATAAAGTCTGTCTGGCAGTCTTCAGAGGAACTGAGAAGAGAAAGCCTTATTTTGTTGTAGTTTAGCCCTGGGAACAGTTACAGCAGCTACCCTTTCTCTCCACATCTTTTGGGGTAGGGGATTGGAAAGATGGTGATTCATCAGTGTCTGCTTTGAGCTGGCTCTAGGCCATGCTGTAATTCCTGTTGACCAATTTTCCACCTGAGTGACAGGAAAAGGGCAGGTTCCTAGCACACTGACCATTAGGTTATCTGTTGAGTACTTCCCTGAGAATGTGCCCAGAGGTACTCTATTATGGTTGTCTCTGTCTAAATAAAATAAATAATTGCAGATTTCAGAGCCTGAGGACAGAGAGTTGTTCTAGTATTGAAATTGGAGTCTATCTTGTCAGATCTGTAATGAGGTCTTCCCTTCAGGCTGATTGATTTCATAAAACTGAGGCAATTATCAAAAGCAAGCACAGTTCTCCCTGCAGAAACCACTTCACTGGTTTTGAAAACTAGCTTGTCAGCCAGATCTGGTCAGGAGCCTAGGCTGAGCCAGCTCTTTAAGTAGGAACAGTTACTACACACAGAGAACACCAATTTCTGCTAATAGATTATTAAGATGCCAGTAAATAAGTTGTAAACAAGGTTCAGCAAAATAATTTCACATGCTGTGAGTGAATGAAAATTGAAGTTGCTGTCAAATAAATCTGCATTTCAGTGTAAGATGTTTTGAAGGAGAAAGTGAGAGCTGGTCTTTTGGTCTTTGGAGAGTTAATTTTATCAGTTAATGCTAGAAGGATACTGGTATCCTTTAAGACTGATGCACCGCATGAATAACATTTGTATCTTTGCTTTGCCCAAAATGTACACACCAATTTCACCAGATTTCCTTTCTTTGTTTATTCAGCCTTCATTAACTATTTATCCAATCACTATGCTACAATTTTAATTATCTTCTAATTAACCAATGATGAGTTTGTGGTTTAGCATTCCCTAAAGATAGAACCACATAAATATGGTCAATCTTCATTTACATATTCAAAATTTTTATCCTCCCTCCTGGCTCCCACCCTATTAATTTTGCTATACTGCGTCACTAATGTTCTGGAATTATGCTTTCTGCATTCCTAATCTTTTAGCCCCATTTGGGCTAGTTTTTCAAGAATGTATGAGAAATAACCCTCGCTGTTGGCTATGAAATTAAACACACAGGAGAAAACAGAGCTTCCTGTAATATGCTAATGCATCCTTAAAGATCCATACTTTTCCTATAACAATTTCTCCTAGGAGTATCAATACAAGGTGTTGACAACTGATTAACTCCTTTAGAGAAGTCCCTGCCTAAGCTGAAGTCAAACCTACCACTAGGAAAACCAGAATCTGCTCCTTGAGAAGACAGCATGACTGTAAAGTAAAAAGCCTGCAAAAAAATCACTAATCTGTGTCTGAAACAACTCCTACCATTGCTGTTGTATAAAAAAAAAGTAGGATCTTAATTTTGCTACAGTCTGGATTTTAATTGAGGTATTCAATACATATGGGAATAAACAAACCAATAAATTAATATTGACTGATAGTCTCTCTCTTTATTTGTCCAATTCATTCAAACAATTCTGGGTGCCTTGACAGTATGTAAGGCTTGAGAATTTTAGGATTTAATATGATAGTTTTTTTTCCTCAAGAAGACAACAAAAGAAAGAAAGGCAGATACATACAAAGAAAATCTGGCCCAAATTACTGTACCAGCTTCATCTCTTGCCAATTCCCCTAAGTACCCTTTGCTTCATTCATGCCAAAATTCTCAAAATTCCTCAAACATGCTAAGCCCTGTCATGTCTATGTGCTTCTGCACATACCATCTCCTCTGCTTGACATATAACTTTTCCTTTTTCCACCTGGAGAACTTTTATTCATCCTTCAAAACTCGGCTCAAATGTCACCTCTTCAGTGAAGTTTTACCTAACCCCCAAAAGCTCTCTCCACAGGAGTACACAGAGCCTTATCAGACGACTTATTGTAGGATCTTAGAGTTCATTCTAATATGTGTGTGTGTGTGTATGTGTGTGTTCTGGGTGGGGGGCTGTCACCATCTGATTTGTGCCTTAGAAAGACCACTCCTATGGCATGATGAAGGATGCACTGAAGGTGAGAAGACACCAGAGGCAGAGAGACCAGTTAGAAGAAAACCATAATGATACAATGGAGAGATGACAGTCGCATGAACTCAGACAGTGGCAGTGGGATGAAAAAAAATGAATGGATTTCAGAGATATTCAGGAAATATAATCATCTGGATTTCATGTATAATTGGATCTGGGAGTTGAGGAGAAGAGAGGAGTCTGAGATGACTCCATGAAAAAATTCTTAAGCCACAGTCCTGAAAATCCTGCAACATTTGTGGGTTTCAGTATGAGAAAAAGCACAGTCCAATAGAAGCATATCCATAAATCCATGCTCAAAAATAAAACTGCTTCCAATCTCTATTTACCATGGCATAAAGGCTGCCAGGAAACAGCAGTAAATGGCTTACACTTGACCTTTACTAGGTATTCTTAACAAAGCTTGTCAAAAGATATTAATTCATTCAGAAAAAAAGTATAATTGTCTAAGAGGCAGAATAACATAGTATTGGGATAAAGATGGGGAAAAGCATTTTCATAATAGGTCTCAGACTTGGTTTATTTTGTCTATAGCATTCACTGACAAAAGACAAAAGTATTTTTGAAGGTCAGAAACACTTAATAGATTCCTTTGCTTTCTCCTTTCATCCTTCTCCCTTCCCTCCTCCCAAACAACTCCTTAAAATTTTATTAGAAAATCTTAACATTTTAATAACAGTATTCTTTTTGTTATTATAGTCTGTTGGATTAAGTTAACAATTCTCCCTTTAACAATACTCAAAGAAAGCCTGGAAAAATTAATGCTATGTTGTTTTTCTCCCTGCCAAAGAATATAGCAATGTAATTGTCTCCTGGAGAAGAAGCACTCTAATCATCTTTAACTTTAAAGTAAATTCATTTCAGGAAGATGCTCTGTGACAAACAATTGACAGAGCAAATCAGGGCTCCTAGAAGATTGCAAAGTGATGGATTGAGTTGAAGAGAGTGCCACAGCTGAATTCATGAACATTTTCAACTTAAGAGTGTCTCTGCAACAAAACAGCACTGTATGAGAGTTAAAATCATGTTACATTACATTGTGGGAGGTAGGACTTAAACACTGCACAGATTCTTAACACCTAAGAGTTCTAGGCACTCCAGAGGCAGGAAAAGTATAAGCCAATTTCTCTGATTAAAAAATAGAGAAACCATTGTACCAGGCAAAGTCAGACTGTAAAAGCATAGTAACTTTCCAAAAAATGCCTTAAAGAAGTTGAGATCAGAAAAGACCAAAACACTCTCTCAATCCAATTGATGTCACTAGGATCTTGGAATGGGTCTCAATGCCAAGGTATTACTCTTATTTGGAAGATCATTTCCACTTTCATTCCCTTCCTAATTGAATCTGTCTCCATCTTCCATTGTGTTTGTTCCATTATTATTTTTTAGACCCTCCCGCCCCGCCCTGACATTAGGCTTGGGGAAACTTATCCTTTGGAGAAGATTTGGATTAGTAAATTTACAGGCTTGACAAATTTACAGGCTCAGAATTTCCTGGAAATTGGCCACTTGCCTGAGATGATGGGGGAAGGAGAAAATGGAAGAGCAGGTGAACTAAGGCTCTTGAAAACTTGACCGAGCAGCTTGGCCTCCTGAGCAGATGCAATGATGACCATATAGCAGCAGTGCAGAAAAGCAATTCTACTTAAAGGTCCTTTCTTTGGGCTTTTAAAAGGCAATTGTTTTCTTTGGCACACATGTGACCCAAATCTGGTTTTCTCCAAAGTAAACAGAGGCAAAAAAAGGGCTCCCATGTTCTGTGTGTGTGTGTTGTTGTTGTTGTTTTTTAATCAGCCTACTTGCTTGCCCCAACCCAGGGCCCAACATAATATATTTGTCAGGAGTGGCCCTGGAGGAGATCAAGACTTTAAGGCAGTGTGTCTTATCCCTGGCTACATATTAAATTCAACTGGAGCACTGAGAAAAAAAAAGACAAAAACAAAACAAACAGAAAACAATGCCTGGACTCTACCACCAGAAATTCTCATTAAATTGGTCAGGGTGGAACCTAAGCATCTAGTTTTTAAAAGCCACCAGGTGGCCAGGCATGGTGGCTCACGCCTGTGATACCAGCACTTTGGGAAGCCACAGCAAGATGATCCCTTGAGTCCAGGACTTCCAGACTGGCCTGGGCAACATAGCAAGACGTCCATCTCTACAAAAAGTAAAAAACAAACAAACAAAAATTTAAAAAGCTACCAGGTGATTCTAATGTGCAGCCAGAATTGAGAAACACAGTTCTAAATAGTTTTCTAATTTAAAGCCAGAAAATGAGTATTCGCTGTCCAAAGTTTATTTTTATTTTTTAAAGTTCAAACCAGGTAACACTTAGAAGGTAAGTTAATTAACTCTGTACCTACAATCTGTAGGGAAAGGTATTGGTTGTGTGGTATAAGTACGTTAGACTTAAACTTGTCCAATTTATGATACTTTTATGAAAAATGAGATTCTCTTTTGGAAAGAAAGATTAGAAGGGTTACTGGAAAAACAAAAAGAACTGAAATATTGGAAACAAATTTAGACAAAGTATAATTACAGGATTAAGTTCCTTACCTTAGTTCTAGAAGAACCAGATAAAATACTTCAGAAATATTGTGTCTGTTTTCTTATTAATTTCCAGGAGAAAGGTTCCAAACTGCCCTTGGGGACTGGCTTTGAATCTCATAACCCTTGGGACTCCAGGCCACTCACCCCTGTCCTCAAGTAATCATTCATTTATACCAATATGTGTACAATGTCATGAAGAATACCGGAAAGCACTGCAACTATAACACCATTGGATAAAAATCACACTGAATGTGGTTTGCCGATGTCACCTGTCACCTCAGTAATTCCATTGAACTTTAGAAAGGATCTGGTAAAATATAAAAAATGCAAAGGCACAGTTAAGTGCTGTGATGGTTAATATTGAGTGTCAACTTGAATAGATTGAAGGATACAAAGTATTGTTCCTGGGTGTGTCTGTAAGGGCGATGCCAAAGGAGATTAACATTTGAGTTAGTGGACTGGGAGAGGCAGACCCACCCTTGATCTTGGTGGGTGCCATCTAATCAGCTGCTAGTGCACCTAGAATTAAGCAGGCAAAAGAACATGGAAGGACTAGACTGGCTGAGTCTTCTGGTCTTTATCTTTCTCCTGTACTGGATGCTTCCTGTCCTTGAACATCAGACTCCAAGTTCTTCAGCTTTTAAACTCTTGGACTTATATCAGTGGTTTGCCAGGAGCTCTCAGGCCTTTGGCCACAGACTGAAGGCTGCACTGTTGACTTCCCTAACTTTTGAGGTTTTGGGACTCAGAGTGGCTTCCCTGCTCCTCAGCTTGCAGACGGCCCATTGTGGGACTTCACCTTGTAATCATGTGAGTCCATACTCCTTAATAAACTCCCCTTTATATATACATCTACCCTATTAGTTCTGTCCCTTTAGAGAACCCTGACTAATACAAGTGTAGTGGAAGAACAGGCCATAAAGATGCAGGCTGTGGTCTCTGCTCTTCCATCAACTCATAGGGTAACCTTGGGTGAGTAATTCTTTGTCAGTTTCCTCAGCTGAAAAATGAGTTGAAACATGTGATCTGCCAGCTCTGAATTTAAGATAAAGAAAGAAAAGCTTAGATGGAAGACATCCATAAAAGCATGAAATAAAACTCAGTAATTAATAGGGGCAGAAAAGGAGAGCAGGGAGAACAGGGAGAGCCCTGGAAGGATGCTTTCCTAGTACCACCTACACAAAACTTATTTAGCAGGCAGTAAATGATTTAATAGTAGTACAGTTAAGGCACCCCCCCAAAAAATTAAAGTACTTCTGATGCTGCTCAAAAAAAAAGCCTTTTTAAGAATTTTGCTAATTATAAACCAGAACATGTAAGGAAGCACAGAACAGTTTTTTTTTAATGATGTTTAAATACCAATATATCTTCTAAGTAACTTGCCATCAATTAATATTATTTACGGAACAAGCATTATGAAACTCAGAAGAAGAGTCTAACGCTGAAATGCTAAAAGTATGCCCAGTATGGTAGGAATAAATTACCCTAATTGACCAAAGCTACGCTCACATGTGAGACATTTCAAAACACACTGACATAATGACAAAAATTCCTGTCTCTCTCTGCCAATGTTATAGGAATTGTTATTAAAGCCAAGCATGGTAGTTGTGTACACATAAAAGCAAGCAAAAATTATAATCTAGAGGTTTTTAAATTTAATCTTTTTTATTTATTAGTATTGTTATACAGCAATGAGTAGTCAAAAAAAAAAAAAAAACTAATCAGCGTGCATTATGCAACAATCAGAGAAAATACTCCTAATCCTCTGTCATTCTTTTTCCTTGGCCCCTGGGTACTCATTAAAGGTTAATTTATTTAAATCTCTTCAACATTCATTTCAATCTACTTTAATAAACTAATGAATCTTTGGAACTTTGCCTAATCAGCTTATGTTTTCTATTTTAATACATCTACAAAATGTCTTTTTTTTTAAGCTCCTTCTTAATAATTGTCTTCCCTTTTGGAGATAGAATTGTGCTTCAGTGACAACCTGATTTGTACATTTGGTGACACATTTACAACCTCATCCAGCACACAGGGAATAGCTGTGGCTTGCTTATTGTTCTTAAACATAGTTACATTTTAGAGGATAGTGAATTGATTTGTGTTTAGTAGGATAATAATCCTCCAAATTGAAATGGTCATTTTACAATTTAGTAAGAGTGACAATTACAGTAAAGCAAAGCTTCTAATAACTTTGGTGCTTGTCAAATGCTATGAGGGTCTATCAATGAAACAACTCCATTCTGGTTATTGTAAACCAGAGCAATGTATAGTATATACCATTTGGATTGGCAAATATAAGTGAAGTCTGGAGATGTCTTCAAATGAATAGTACAATCAAAATGGCGTATAAAATGGTTCCTTACAATCTATCCAATCACTATGTTCAACACATTTTGTTTAATGGCAACTTTGAGGAATCTTTCACATAACTATCTTTAAGTTGAATATTCTTACGGTGGTGGCCAATGGTCAGGGACTGCACGCCACCCTCTACACCAGAATGCCAGAAACCAAAGTCTTGGCGTGCTAGCACATTATTTCTAACTACTGCCTTAACAATATCTGACATCATCCTAGAATAACACGGCTTAGCAAGTGCTTCCACAATATCCTTATGGTGGGGGAAGGGGGAAGGTATTAATGTTGTTGGCTTGTAAATAAGGAAATTGCAGCTCAGAGAAGCTTCTGTATTTCCAAAAGGTTATAATGTCAATATGTGGAGGAGCTGGAATCCAGATTTTTGGGCTACAAATCTTTCCTCCTGTACCATGTTGCCTGCAGAGTTGTGTTCGGATAAATGTTTTTACTGATCCATGGCTCACCACTGATTAAAGAAAAAGTGTAAATGTTACCTTTAAGATGTCCTGATGAGGAACAAATAAAATTAATTAAAAATATATTATGACAAATTATTCAATATAACATAACTTCATAATACCGTAATTCATTTGGAGCATAACTTTACACAAAAGAGATGAAATTCTTAATTTTCAGTTTTATTTTCTATACAAATTAATAAAAATAATAAACTTATTCCTCACCCATGATCTGAATTTCGGGTAAATTTCTAATGGAAGTAGATACATTGTCAAATGTTTTCAAGTTATCACCTCCGATTTTCCAAATAGAAACTCCAAGAATTACCTTTCAGATTTCATTGTTCATTCATTACACATCTCTCTACCCATTCATTCATTCATTCATCCAATCATCCAAATGACATTTACGGAATGTCTACTTTGAGGCAAGCAAAAAGTCAAAGGTAGACTCTACCTGAAGCTCTTGCTGCTGCTTTACTTCCCTAGACTATGAACTCCTTGAAGACAGGGGATCCTGTTATTCTACACAGAATATAATCAGTTCTATTTGCAGAAAATCACTTAAATACTTTTTTGACAGTGAGATTTCTGGCTCCCCCTGCCGCCCACATGCCCCTCCAGACATATGGGAGTTAGAGGAAGAAATAGCAGAGTCTGCTTATCAAGTCTGACCTTTGGATAATGACTATAGTTCTCCCATCTGAGCTTGCTGCTGTTCTGCCTTGTGGTCAACAAAATGATTTGGCTCAAAATGGCAATTCATCTGTTGCTGCTTCCCAGATATCCTCTAGCAAGCCACATTATTTTTTTTAAAATGGTTGCTTCTGCCCTTCGGCATAGAGGTGAACTGTATCACCAAATATATTGTCTTGCTTGATACAGTGAGAAGCTGGGGTTTACAGAAAAGATGCAGATAAACATGAAGCAGCCGCGAAAGAAGAAACATTCGTTTAGTGCTATGACTAAACAAATGCTTGACTTTATTATTTTAACAACAATAATTTATATTCAGAGACTGCTATTATCCTTTCAACTTTGCTTCACATCCACCTCACAGCTACTTTGTGAGGTGACCAGAGAAGGCATTATTACAAAGTTAAAATACGGAATTCTAAAGCTCAGAGACGCTAAAGTGACTTGTTTAAAGTTCCACAGCAAGCCAGTGGCAGAGTTTGGTCTCCCAACTAACACTCCAGGGATCAGGCTTCTCTATTAGGGGTCCTAGTCAACAGGAGAGTTGCATTTTTAATAATTACTAGGAGCCATGAAGAACTAATCCATTGTTTCAGTTTGTACTATTGCCTAGTTAATTATTTAGAAATGATTTATTAAAAACAAGAAGTGAGGAAACCATCATGCTAAGCAGGCAATTCTGGACAAGAGACTTCTTTCAAGCAAACTGAACATTGATTAAGCTCAAAAAGTTAGTATTTAAATAAACAAAGGCAATGGTAAAAATATTTTGTCTGTATTAGAATTCCTTGTAGTTATGCAAGGATGAAGCCCGTTATGCCATGATACATTTTTTATTCACAAATAATGAAGGCATGAATGAGTATTACTTATGGAACATTTCTGCAGTTTCTAGACTCCTTCTAAAATGTAAGAATATGGGCTTTATGCATATTTGGTGCAAAATATTTGTTGGATCATGTAATATTTTTAAAAGTGAATAATTTATAAAATCATAGAGGGTCTTCTGATTTTTATTATCATTTAATATTTAATTCTACAAAACAGAATTAAATACTTTGTTTTGAAAATAGTTTATTAAACACAGTTGCATTTCTTCATCTTTCTAGGCCTCATCTTCAAGATTATGTGGGATTTTATTAACTGATTTTTCTAAGCCTCTGGCTTCTTTCTTCCTCACTGTAAGTAAACCACAGGCTATATTACACACATATATTTTGTTAAAATACATGTTACTTCCATTGCTTCCTGGACCACCACAAAAGAGAGCCCTTAGTGATCCAAGTCAATTCACCCATATTTAAAACCTTTTACATTTCAAAAACATGTATTATAACATGATTAGATCTGTACTTTACAAATAAGCCAGAAAGTGACATATGTGGCTTAATTACCAACCCCAAATAATTAGTGTTGGAGCAAGAAAATGAATTAAATGGAACACAGCCCAGTCATCCTAGCAAAAGGGATTACAGATAGGAGCTGGAATAACTTTGGGAGAAGCCAAACATATATAAGAAGGTTAATGAATTAAAAAGTTGTTATAGGTAATTCAAAAGAAAAAGAAAAATGCTGACTACTACCAAAAAATTCCACAGCATATTACTGAAACTGCCACATCAAATACTTTAACATACCCCTCCCTAGGGACGGATAGAAGTTTGCTTGGTATAGTGTATTTTCTAGCATAACATTGTGATAAAAGGATCTGAAAATAAAAAGAAATGAATTGTATTTTTTTCCAAAAGCTATACAATGAATTCACCTTTTCACAGAGGATAGAGATCATGAAGAAAAGTGAAATTCATATGGACCCCAAACCTCTCATTTTGGCCCATAGTTTCTGCCTCCTTCCCCATCAGAATCTCCACCAGAGCACTAACAGGTAGCAAAATTGGCTGATAGAAGCATCATTCTCCTATTCCTTCCCTGCCCACCCTCTGGTAAAAGAATTAATGAGCAGTAAAATTACCAAAAGTGAGGCAGCAGAATGGAGAATAAAGAATACCAAGGGTATGGATAACCTACAAACCAGATAATGAGCTCCTGAATAATCAAGACTTGACTTAAACCTCAAACCTCTAACCTTCTGGCTTAGACCCATCATTCTATACTTATATTTAGTGTCTTAAACACAGAACTGCCACAGAATTGCAGTTTGTCTCTAAGTCCTTGTTTATAGGAAATGGGGGGCAAGAAGTGATGTCTAAACTTTGGCACTTTGAACACTGTTAGTAGCCTCTCTTGACACTCCATTATTTCCCTCGTCTTGGGCACCCAAAGATGTTATTAACCTTTGTAGGAGTCCTGAACATTATAAGAGGTAGTTGACAATTGCACTAGTATCTCTTCTTCCCTCTCAATGCAGATACCAGCCTTCAGCTGTTCCATCACATTCACCTAAAAGGCTTCTCTTTGGTTTTTCTTTAAAACTTTCTTCCTTCTCTTCCTTCCCATTACTTAATGTAGTGGGGCCACTGCACAAAAATACTCTTTGTCCCCTACCACTAAAAAGGTGATCCTACTTTTAGAATTCACGTCAATTTTTCACAAGCTTCCTGTTATAACTATTTTATCCAGATCCAGATACATTTCTCAACTCAATTTTCTGAATCCTGGTATCTTCCTTGGTGCATAAGCCATTAATATCTCAATTCGCAGAGATCTCACACTTCCTGGTAAAACTTTGCCCATTCCACTTAACTATGGTCTGAATGCTTGTGTTCCCTGTTACCCAAAATTCATAGGTTGAAACCTAATCCCCAAGGGTGATGTTAGTAAGACATGGGGTGTTTGAGGGGTGATTAGGTTGACATCCCACATGAATGGGATTAGTGTCCTTATGAAAGGGGCCTGAGGGAGTTTGTCCCTTCCACCATATGAGGACACATACAAGGTACCATACATGAGGCAGAAAGCCCTCACCAGATGCCAGATCTGCTGGCACTTTCATCTTGGACTTCTCAGCTTCTAAACTGTATGCAATAAATTTCTGTTTATAAACTACTCAGTATTTTGTTATAGCAGCCCGAACAGACTAAAACACCATCACAGTGATGGTTTCAAGGCAGCTTTTGGACTTCAAAACTGCTTTTCCATATTTTCAGAAATGTTCTTTCAACAAATAATGCCAAGAATAAAGGAAAAAGGGTTACCAAGTCCGGAAGAACATTTAAGCTGAATGTCGTGGAACGGCAGGGAATAACAGTCCAGGATTCTTAAATTAGAGAAATAAATTCCTAGGGAAAATGTCTGAGACAGTATCAGTAACAAAGTATTCCTTGTGACCATGCCACACTGGCTGCCCATTCTACGCTCTGCCTGTGTTCCTTTTTGTTTTAAAAATTGCTTTCGAGCCATGTGTAAGTACAGTTTCTTTTTCCTAAGCTAATGGCATCTTGTCTGCTCAACACTCACCCTCACCCCTGGCACAATCATGGGTACACATGCACATTTACACACCACCATATGTCATATCCATAGACACTCAATACATGCTGGGACACATTTTACAATGGTCCTCTCGCTACCTTGCCCTGGTATCAACTCGATCTCTTTCTATCACTTATTCTCACTTCATTAGAGGCATGGAACTGAGGCAGACATAGTGAATGGAGTTACTGTCTCCTTTATTTAGGAAAAAATGTCAATGTCAGAAGCAAAGTTTGACTCTGTGATGGCAATGATTGTTCCTGCTCGCAGCTGAAGAGGATGAGAGGAAACCCAGATTGGAAGTATTTATTCCCAAGGCTTTACTATAAGGAAACAAGTAATTTTATCAGAAACAAGTAATCCATAATTTGCTGTACCTCAACTGCAGTGGTATGCTCAACTAGTAGAGTTCACATAGAAATACTTGGATCTGTTTGCAGGAGATTGCTTCTACCAGACTGGGCAAGGTGTGGTCTCAGAGTGCATTATCATTTAAACAAAGGATGCTATGAATCACAGATGACAGAACCAGAAAAACGCTTGCTCTAGTGTACAAAGTTTGGCTGATACTTAACCTTTGCTAGGGGAAAAGGAAAAAATTGCAGGCTGCTACACCGGCAGCCTAGAACACCTTTTTAACTACATTCAAGCCTTTTACTGTTACAGAACATTATTACTGTTAATACTGCCATGTGTGACTGAGAATTTGTACCACTGACTTACTGAAAAAGCATCTTCTACTTAACAAATTCAAATAAATTTAATTCTATGTACTAGCAGAAGTAATTAAAAGCAAATGAATAAGGACTGCATAACTGCATAAATATTTCCATAAATTCTTGCACAAAAGAAGGATAATGAGTGGACAATAGAATGCTAAAATATTAACAATGCATCATAAGAATTTAAAAAAAAATTTTTTTCCAAATCAGCAAGATGTACTAAAATGTAACTTTTATCATTATTAGAGCTTAAGTTCTCCTTCTAGAATTACCACTGACTCACTAAGGGCTTTGTGCTAATCATTCAATCAGATTTCACATTCATGATATTTATTCTGAAACAGCCTAATGGGGCTCAAGGACTAAAATAACCTCATTAATTAGATTCCCTCACATGGAGTCCAAGATGAAAACTATCAACACCAAATAGCACTCTACAGTTACAAAGATGTTTCATATCATTTCATATTTACAAAGGTATTTCATATCATTTCATGTTTAATTTTTATAACTCTGGGGGTTAAAGTAGGTATTATTATTACTTTCTTAAAAAATGAGAAAACTGAGGTTTAAAAAGGTTAATTGGCCTGATAGAGTTCATTAAGTGTTAAACTGGTCTCAGGACTCCAATTTTAGTGTTCTAGCACATAGTACAGTGCCTAACACATATGGGTATTCAATTAGCATTTGTTGAATTGAGTGAATGAATATAGCATGCTACTTCTCCTAACTACACTTGACCTAATTTTACTCATTTGCAAACAGCCCTATAGTTGCATTCCAAAGTAGTTGATAAGGTCATTTACTTTCCAATAAGGAAGCAAAATGCCACTGTGAAAATAAATTTAGCCATCTATTTTGGTGACATAAGGCCCATGAGCTGAAAGAATAAGATATTCAATGTCCAGCTGTTATAAAGTTTGGAAAAAAGTTGGTAAAAATATTCGTATGGTTGCTTTAAAATGATGAACTGATTATCACTATTATTTTGTTGGGGAGGGACCTTTCAGTAAGGTTGCATGGAAAAGCAGATTAAAATTGGGAAAGGCATTTGAGTTCCCAACATGAAAATCAACAATGCCTCTTGTTATGCCTTTCATTCACAGACAGAGAAAAAGAAGTTTCAGAGTTGGCAGGGACCTTGGCAGTCACCTAGTCTAACTGCTGTCTCTTCCTCCCCTCCACTGCTGCCATTTTACTAGAAGTCACAGCTAATTAATGGCAGATCCAGCACTAGACCCCAGTCTTCTTACTGGCAGGACTCCTCATGGAAGCAGTTGGGGACTTATATTCTCTCTATAGGTGCCATCTAAAATTATTCATTTTAGTCTAAAGTCCTTCCTTAACCAAGGTGAGTACCATATAGCCCTGCTTGAAAATATAGGATTCCCTTACAGTACAGCTTAAGTGGCAATAGGTTGTGTTATGGTTAAATGCTTCTCTGGCCTTTTCAAACAACCAGAATAGTAGACTAAGAAGGGCTCTGGAGTCAAACTGTCTAGCATGACAATCCTGCCCTGCCACTTACTGACTGTGCAGCTTTGGAAGAAAATTAACTCCTCGAACATTGATTTCTTTGTCCGTAAATGAGGATATTATCTACTTCACAGAGCTTTGTGGAACTTATATGAAACAATTCAAGCAAAGCATAGTCAACAGATAACCTGATACATAGCAAAAATACTCAGTAAAAATGAGTTGACTTTTACTCATTCTTCCTTACTTGTAGTTGCCCTAGATACCTGAGCTTAAACTGATCAAATAAACCTTGGATGACTTTCCTTTTATTCAATTAACATTTATTGAGCAATTACTACATGCTAGGTTCTTGAAATACAGCAGTGAACAAAACAGACAAAAATCCAGGCCTTCATGGAGCTCACATTCTAGTAGCAGACACAGAAAATAAACAAAATAAATAGGTAAAATATATAGTATGTTGGTGATTAAGTGCTTTGTCCAAATACAGGAAGTACATTAGGTATGTTAGCAAAAGCTGTGACCTCATTTTCTAGGAAACATTTGGTGTCTCTTACCTTCCTCACCTGTTTTTTTTTAGAGCTAAGACAACAAAAACTAAGACTTCTTTACATAGCCCCTTCTAATCTTGGGATATAAAGGTAAATGGCATAAAATATGGATAGGTGAGTTGTGTATGTGAATGGGTTAGAAGGTATTACTGGTAATTGAATTATTCAGAAAGCAAGTTCCAATATTTAGCCATAAAACTGGAATTAAAAATGTGTACAAAAATACCACCAATTAGGTTAAAAGGAGGGCATATGCAGCGTTGGAAAGAAATTTCAAAATCTGTAACATCTGTAAAGCTGGCAGAGATTGTTACTGATTGTAGCAGGAAGGGGTAGATCCCAAACTCTGGCAAACGTGATTTGGGTGGGATAGCAAATAGCCTAGCAAGACTAAAAAATCGTTTTGAGAATAACCCTATATCATAAGGACCTCTCCTTAATTTATGTTCTCCAAGCACTTTCAGTCTCTATCATCTTATTGAGCTATGAAATGTATAGATGTTCATTTCGTATATTGTCTCTCACTTCACAGAACTAGAGAGACTAAACTACTAATTTTATATCTTTCTTAGTATATCATAGAATGCACATTTATGGTAGGCTACTAATTGACCTTGTATGTGATATAAAGACCAATACATTTTTAGTTATTTTTAATTACAAAGTCTGGTCAATATTTTCTTCAAGATCCTCTGGCCTGGAAGTGAGTTTCTGTTATGTTCCTATTGAGCAACAAGAAATAGTGACAAAGGTGACAAATGCAACAAATGACAATGTTCATGAGAGTTTTATTAAGTTTATTAACAGAGACATACTGCTTTACTTACCTGAAGATATCAGAAAATTACAATTTGTTTCATCTTTGTTGGTAGCTGCACTAGCTGTTCCATTACAGAGGAGGAGTTGATTTATGTGCAGCTGTTGAAAACACAATGAACCAGTCACCACAATTTTAACAAGTGTTAATGCTGGCATATCCACTTCAGATAGCATTTATAACACTGTCATGAAGAAAGTTTACAGTATACTACCTAAAGTAATGATGCTAGTTCCACATTTGCCAAATTTGGTGTCACTACTATAGTACTGGATTCTACTGGGATGACAATAAAAATTCACTCTTTCATGGTCCTTTAAACAAGGCCAAAGCATATGTCCAAGATCGATGTTTTTTTATTCTCCCCAAAGTAAGCTTTATAACACTTGGACTGGGAAAAAACAAAGTTTGTTTTATTATCCACAATTAAGTCCCTCCTTAGATTTGTCTCCCTCTTCTCATTCTTTATGTATTAAAATTGTGAGTAGAACAATTTAGTCATAGTTACAATTAGGAAAGGGGTACATTTTTACTACAAGTTAAAGTTAAGTCTTCACCCCCAAGAAAGTTACAAAATGTGTGTCGTGTGTGTGTGTGTGTATGTGTGCATGTGCGTGTGTGTATCTGCAGAAAAGAGGTAGACAAGGAGCAATAATACAATGTGATACATACTTAAAAAGCACCAAAAAATGGAGCGAGATGATTGAAAGTGGAAAGACCTGAGCTAAATGGTGGACTAGAGCTTCTTGCACTCCTCTCCCCACAGAAACATCAATTTGAACAACTACCTACACACAAAAATACCTACCCAAGAGTGAAGGAAACCAGGTGAGAGATGACAGCACTTTGGTGGAGCTCAGAAATAAGAAATGATACACGGAAGAGTGTAAGACAGACAGTTTTATACTACCCACGTCAATCCCTCTCCCAACCCCATGCAGCACAGTATGGAAAGATACCCTCTGCTTGGTAGAAGAGGAGGGAAGTGAGCACCAGACGTTACCTTGGACCCCAACACCAGGCTGCCTCAGTAAATCCCACTGCTGGGCAGGCTCCCATGGACCCAGACTTTAGGCTGGTACTCACAGACTGAACCTCTAAGCCCACCATGGCATCAGGATAGCTCCCACAGACTCAATATCCAGCCACGACATGTAGACTCAGTCTCCAGGTCCACCGCAGGGCTAGGCCAGCCTCAGTAGCCCCAGACTTCAGACTGCCCCCAGCACCAGGCTGGCCATGATGGCCCTAGGCTTCAGGCCCACCATAGCACCAGGTCAGCCCCCACAGTCCTATTCATCAGGCCAACACTCCTGGATATAGCCTCTAGGACTGCCCAGTGCCAGGCCAGCTCCTGAAGCCTCAGACTCCAGGCCTATTCCAGGCTTCAGACTAACCCACAGCTAAGTAGGCCCATGTAGTCTTAGGTTTCATGCCTGCCCCAATGTCAGGTCAGCACCCTGACCTCAGGCACTAGGCTAGACCCCATGAACATAGGTTTCAGGCCTGCCCAGTGCCAGGCCAAGTCCCTGTGGGCCCACCATCCAGGCCTGTCCCTGTGGCCCACTGCTTCTTCAGCAAACCCATGGTCCAGGCCTGCCCCAACAGACGAAGGGTCCAGGCCTATCCCAGTAGACCCAAGCACTGGGCCAGCCCTGACAGACCCAGGCGTCAGGCCAGCCCCACAGTCCCACGTTGCAAACCATCTCCACTAGCTCCAGGAACCAGGCTGGCCCCTGCACACCTAAGCTCTATGACTGCCCCAGCATCAGACTAGCCTCAGGTTCAAGGCTAGTCTCTGTTACCCAAGGCTTCAGCGGCCTTAGGGACCAGGCCTGCTTCAGAAAACCCAGGGTACTGCCCACCCCAGTAGACCCTGGTTCCAGGACAGCCCCCAATGGACCAAGGCTCTAGAATCACCCCTGCAGACTCAGGCTCTAGGCCAGTCCCTGTGAATTCAGGCTATCTGCCTACATGAGTGGTCGCAGGTACTAGGCTCACCACAGTGCCAGACCAGCCCTCAAGGACTCAGGCTTCAGGCTCATCCCAGTGGACCCAGATGCCAGGCCCATCCCAGCATCTGGCTAGCCCCTGCAGACTCAGGTGCAAGGCCCAGCCCAGCACCAAGCCAGCCCCTGGGACTCAGGCTTTAGGCCAGCCTCCAAGGATACAGTTTCCAGTCCTACCCTAATGGACTTAGGCTCCAGGTTTATTCAAGTAGACTCAATCAACAGATACGCCACAGTGAATCCAGACTCCAGGCTCAACCCCAACCAGCCAGGCACTAGGTCCATCCACCTGCTGACCCAGGCACCAGGCCAGCCTGCTCAAAGACTCCAAGAGCAAGCCTGCCTGTGGATCACACCAAATGGTCTTCCCAGAATCTCTAAATGGACTGACTAGTGAAGGGCTTTTGGAGACGAAGCCAGTTTACAAAACTAGAATAAGCCCATACTTTTTTAAATGTGCAGATACCAATCCAAAAATATCAATAATGATCAAGGAAATACAATCCCACCAAAAGAACAAAATAAAGCTCCAGTAGCCAACTCTAAAGATATAAAGATTTATAATATGTCTGACAAATAAGTCAAATTGTTTTAAGAAAGCTTAGCAAACTTACAAAACATACAGAGAAACAATTCATTGAAATAAAAAAACAATAAATGACCAAAATGAGAAACTA
Organism: Homo sapiens; assembly: GCF_000001405.40. Classification (NCBI taxonomy): domain Eukaryota; kingdom Metazoa; phylum Chordata; class Mammalia; order Primates; family Hominidae; genus Homo; species Homo sapiens. The sequence goes on from NC_000023.11 coordinate 130,811,847, forward strand.
AAACATTTAACAGAGATTGAAATTATTAAACAAACAAACAAACAAACAAATTCTGGAGCTGAAAAATACAATGAATTAAATGAAAAATGCAATACAGAGAGTCAACAGCAGGCTTGATCAGGCAGGAGAATGTGTGAACTTGAAGGCAGGTTATTTGAAAATATACAGTAAGAGGAAAAAAAAGAATGAAAATAAAGGATGCGAGCTCACAGGATTTATGGGGTAGCATCAATAGAGCAAACATTAGTTATAGAAATTAAAGTAGAAGAGAAAGATGACAAAGGGGTATAAAGCTTATTGCTTAAATAAAATAGTAGAAAACTTTCCAAATCTGGGAAAAGATATAAATAACCAGGTAAAAGAAGATCAAAAGTCTCAAATCAGATTCAATCCAAAAAAGACTATACTCAGACATATAATCAAACTGTCAAAAAGCCAAGACAAACAGGGCATCCTGAAAGCAATAAGAGAAAAGAGGCAAATCACATATAAGGGAAATTCAGTAAGGCTAGCAGTGGATTTCTCAGCAGAAACGTTACAGGCCAGGAGAGAGCAGCATAATATATTTAAAGAGTTAAAGAAAAAAGAAACCTAGCAACTAAGAATAAACTTTACACAGCAAAGCTGTCCTTCAAAAATGAGATTCAAAGCATACCACTAAAGGAAATCACTTCATCACAAAAGAAGATGGCAAGAGAGGAAGAAAGGAATAACGGATCTGCAAAACAACCAGAAGACAATGAACAAAATGGCAGTAGTTAATTCTTACTTATCAATAATTACCATGAATGTAAATGAAAGAAATGAACAAGAAACAAATAAATGGAAAGATATCCCATGTTTGTGGATTAAAATAATTAACATTCTTAAAATGTTCATATTACCAAGGCAATCTACAGAGTAAATGCAATCCCTATCAAAATTTCACAGACATTTTTTACAAAAATCGAAAAATCAATCCTGAAATTTGTGCGGAACCACAAAAGACCCCAAATAAAGCATCCTGAGCAAAAAGAACAAAGTTAGGGGCAGCACACTACCTGACTTCAAAATGTACTACAAAGCTATAGTAACTAAAAGAGCATAGGTTGAGTATCCCTAATCTGAAATTCTGAAATCTAAAACACTCCAAAATCCAAAATTTTTTGAGCAGTGACATGACGCTAAAAGAAAATGCTCATTGGAGTATTTCAGATTTCAGATTTTTGAATTACGAACGCTTAACCAGTAGGTATAATGCAAATATTCCAAAATCTGAAAAATCCCCAAATCTGAAACACTTCTGGTCCCAAGCATTTTAGATAAGGGATACTCAACCTACACTGGCATAACAACAGATACATATACCAATGGAACAAAATAGAGAGCTTAGAAATAAATCCATTCCTTTAAAGTCAATTGATTTTCAACAAACGTGCCAAGAACACGCAAGGAGAAAGGACAGTCTCTTCAATAAATGGTGCTGGGAAAACCGTATATGCACATTCAGAAGAATGACATTAAACCTTATCTTACACATATACAAAAATCAATGCAATATGGATTAGGGACTTGAATGTAAGACCTAAAGCTATAACATCACTATAAGAAAATGAAGAAAGGGGGTGGCTGGAAAGATGGCTGAATAGGAACAGCTCTGGTCTGCAGCTCCCAGCAAGATCAATGCAGAAGGTGGGTGATTTCTTCATTTCCAACTGAGGTATCTGGCTCATCTCACTGGGACTGGTTAGACAGTGGGCACAGCCCAAGAAAGGTGGGCTGAAGCAGGGTGGGGCATCACCTCACGCGGGAAGCTCAAGGGGTCAGGGAACCCCCTCCCCTAGCCAAGGGAAGCCATGAGGGACTGTGCCATAAAACGGTGAATTCCGACCCAGATACTATGCTTTTCCCACGGTCTTCACAACCCGCAGACAAAAAGATTCCCTCAGGTGCCTATACCACCAGGGCCCAGGATTTCAAGCATAAAAGTGGGCGGCCGTTTGGGCAGACACCGAACTAGCTGCAGTTTTGTTTTCATACCCCAGTGGCGCCTGGAACGCCAGCAAGACAGAACCGTTTGCTCCCCTGGAAAGGAGGTTGAAGCTAGGGAGCCAAGTGGTCTAGCTCAGTGGATCCCACCCCCATGGAGCCAAGCTAAGATCCACTGGCTTGAAATTCTCGCTGCTAGCACAGCAGTCTGAAGTTGACCTTGGATGCTCGAGCTTGGTGGGGAGAGGGACATCTGCAATTACTGAGACTTGAGTAGGTGGTTTCCCCCTCACACTGTAAACAAAGCCACCAGGAGGTTCGAAGGGGGTGGAGCCCATGGCAGCTCAGCAAAGCCACTGTAGCCAGGCTGCCTCTCTAGCTTCCTCCTCTCTGGGAAAGGCATCTCTGAAAGAAAGGCAGCAGCCCCAGTCAGGGGATTATAGATAAAACTCCCATCTCCCCGGGACAGAGCACCTGCAGGAAGGGGCAGCTATGGGCGCAGCTTCAGCAGACTTAAATGTTCCTGCCTGCTGGCTCTGAAGACAGCAGCAGATCTCCCAGCACAGCTCTCGAGCTCTGCTAAGAGACAGACTGCCTCCTCAAGTGGGTCCCTGACCTCCTTGCCTCCTGACTGGGAGATACCTCCCAGCAGTGGTCGACAGACACTTCATACAGGAGAGCTCCGGCTGGCATCTGGTGGGTGACCCTCTGGGGTGAAGCTTCAAAAGGAAAAAAGAGGCAGCAATCTTTGCTGTTCTGTAGCCTCTGCTGGTGATACTCAGGCAAAAAGGGTCTCGAGTGGACCTCCAGCAAACTCCAGCAGACCTGCAGCAGAGGTTCCTGACTGTTAGAAGGAAAACTAACAAACAGAAAGGAATAGCATCAACATCAACAAAAAGGACCTCCACACAGAAACCCCATCTGATGGTCACCAACATCAAAGATCAAAGGTAGATAAATCCACGAAGATGAGGAAAAACCAGTGCAAAAAGTCTGAAAATTCCAAAAACCAGAACGCCTCTTTTCCTTCAAAGGATCACAACTCCTTGCCAGCAGAGAACAAAACTGGACAGGGAATGAGTTTGATGAATTGACAGAAGTAGGCTTCAGAAGGTGGGTAATAACAAACTCCTCCGAGCTAAAGGAGCATGTTCTAACCCAATGCAAGGAAGCTAAGAACCTTGAAAAAAAGGTTTGAGGAATTGCTAACTAGAATAACCAGTTTAGAGAAGAACATAAATGACCTGATGGAGCTGAAAAACACAGCACGAGAACTTCGTGAAGCATACACAAGTATCAATAGCCGAGTCGATCAAGAGGAAGAAAGGACATCAGAGATCAAAGATCAACTTAATGAAATAAAGCATGAAGACAGATTAGAGAAAAAAGAATGAAAAGGAATGAATAAAGCTTCCAAGAAATATGGGACTATGTGAAAAAGACCAAACCTATGTTTGATTGGTGTACCTGAAAGTGACAGGAACAATGGAACCAAGTTGCAAAACACTCTTCAGGATATTATCCAGGAGAACTTCTCCAACCTAGCAAGACAGGCCAACACTTAAATTCAGGAAATACAGAGAACACCACAAAGATACTCCTCGAGAAGAGCAACCCTAAGACATATAATCATCAGATTCACCAAGGCTGAAATGAAGGAAAAAATGTTAAGGGTAGCCAGAGAGAAACGTCAGGTTACCCAAAAAGGGAAGCCCATCAGACTAACAGCAGATCTCTGCAGAAGCTCTATAAGCCAGAAGAGAGTGAGGGGCAATATTCAACATTTTTAAACAAAAGAATTTTCATCCCAGAATTTCATATCCATCGAAACTAAGCTTCATAAGTGAAGGAGAAATAAAATCCTTTAAAGACAAGCAAATACTGAGAGGTTTGGTCACCACCAGGCCTGCCTTACAAGAGCTCCTGAAGGAAGCACTAAATATGCAAAGGAAAAACAGGTACCAGCCACTGCAAAAACATACCTAATCGTAAAGACCATCAACACTATGAAGACACTGCATCAACTAATGGGCAAAATAACCAGCTAGCATCATCATGACAGGATCAAATTCACACATAACAATATTAACCTTAAATATAAATGGGCTAAATGTCCCAATTAGCAAATTGGGACTGGCAAATTGGATAGAGTCAAGACCCATCGGTGTGCTGTAATCAGGAGACCCATCTCATGTGCAAAGACACACACAGGCTCAAAATAAAGGGATGGAGGAATATTTACCAAGCAAATGGAAAGCAAAACAAAAACAAACAAACAAACAAAAAAAGCAGGGGTTGCAATCCTATTCTCTGATAAAACAGACTTTAAACCAACAAAGACCAAAAAAGACAACGAAGAGCATTACAGTATGGTAAAGGGATCAATGCAACAAGAAGAGCTAACTATCCTAAATATATATGCACCCAATTCAGGAGCACCCAGATTCATAAAGCAAGTTCTTAGATACCTACAAAGAGACTTAGACTCCCACACAATAATAGTGGGAGATTTTAACACCCCACTGTCAATATTAGAGAGATCAATGAGACAGAAAATTAATAAGGATATCCAGGACTTGAACTCAGCTCTGGACCAAGCAGCCCTATTAGACATCTACAGAACTCTCCAGCCCAAATCAACAGAATATACATTCTTCTCAGCACCACATCATACTTATTCTAAAACTGACCACATAATTGGAAGTAAAACACTCCTCAGCAAATGCAAAAGAACAGAAATCATAACAGTCTCTCAGACAACAATGCAATCAAATTAGAACTCAGGATAAAGAAACTCACACAAAACCGCACATTTACATGGAAACTGAACAACCTGCTCCTGAAAGACTACTGGGTAAATAACGAAATTAAGGCAGAAATAAATACGTTCTTTGACACCAGTGAGAACAAAGACACAATGTACTAGAATCTCTGGGACACAGCTAAAGCAGTGTTTAGAGAGAAATTTAGACACTAAATACCCACAGGAGAAAGTGGGAAAGATGTAGAATCGAAACCCTAACATCACAATTAAAAGAACTAAAGCAGCAAGAGCAAACAAATTCAAAAGCTAGCAGAAGACAAGAAATAACTAAGATCAGAGCAGAACTGAAGGAGATAGAGACACAAAAAAACCCTTCAAAAAGAAAATCAATGAATCCAGGAGCTGATTTTTTGAAAAGATTAACAAAATAGATAGACTACTATCCAGGCTAATAAAGAAGAAAGGAGAAAAGAATCAAACAGACACAATAAAACTGATAAAGCGGAGATCACCACTGATCCCACAGAAATACAAACTACCATCAGAGAATAGTATAAACACCTCTACGTAAATAAATTGGAAAATCTGGAACAAATGGATAAATTGCTGAACACATAAACTCTCCCAAGACTAAACCAGGAAGAAGTCAAATCCCTGAATAGACCAATAACAAGTTCTGAAATTGAGGCAGTAATTAATAGCCTACCAACCAAAAAAAGCCCAGAACCAGATGGATTCACAGCCAAATTCTACCAAAGGTACAAAGAGGAGCTGGTACCATTCCTTCTGTAACTATTCCAAACAACAGAAAGAAAGGGACTCCTCCCTAACTCATTTTATGAGGCCAGTATCATCCTGATACCAAAACCTGGCAGAGACACAACAAAAAAAGAAAATTTCAGGCCAATATCCCTGATGAACATTGATGCAAAAATCCTCAATAAAATACTGACCAACCGAATCCAGCAGCACATCAAAAAGCTTACCTACCACGATCAAGTTGGCTTCATCCTTGGGATGCAAGGCTGATTCAATACACGCAAATCAATAAATGTAATCCATCACATAAACGGAACCAATGACAAAAACCACGATTATCTCAATAGATGCAGAAAAGGTCTTCCATGAAATTCAACACCACTTCATGCCAAAAATTATCAATAAACTAGGTATTGATGGAACATATTTCAAAATAGTAAGAGCTATTTATGACAAAACCACAGCCAATATCATACTGAATGGGCAGAAGCTGGAAGCATTCCCTTTGAAAACTGGCACAAGACAAGGATGCCCTCTCTCACCACTTCTATTCAACATAGTATTGGAAGTTCTGGCCAGGGCAATCAGGCAAGAGAAAGAAATAAAGGGTATTCAAATAGGAAGACAGGAAGTCAAATTGTCTCTGTTTGCAGATGACATGATTGTATATTTAGAAAACCCCATCGTCTCAGCCCAAAATCTCCTTAAGCTGATAAGCAACTTCCGCAAGGTCTCAGGATACAAAATTAATGTGCAAAAATCACAAGCATTCCTATACACCAATTATAGACAGCCAAATCATGAGTGAACTCCCATTCACAATTGCTACAAAGAGAATAAAATACCTAGGAATACAACTTACAAGGGACTCTTCAAGGAGAACTACAAACCACTGCTCAAGCAAATAAGAGAGGACATAAAGAAATGGAAAAACATCCCGTGCTCATGGATAGGAGGAATCAATATCATGAAAATGGCCACACTGCCCAAAGTAATTTACAGATTTAATATTATCCCCATCAAGCTACCATTGACTTTCTGCATGGAATTAGAAAAAACTACTTAAAATTTCATATGGAACAAAAAAGAGCCCATATAGCCAAGACAATCCTAAGCAAAAAGAACAAAGCTGGAGGCATCACGCTACCTGACTTCAAACTATACTACAAGGCTACGGTAACCAAAACAGCATGGTACTGGTACCAAAACAGATATACAGACCAATGGAACAGAACAGAGACCTCAGAAATAATGCCACATATCTACAACCATCTGATTGTTGACAAACCTGACAAAAACAAGCAATGGGGAAAGGATTCCCTATTTAATAAATGGTATTGGAAAAACTGGCTAGCCATATGCAGAAAACCGAAACTGGACTCCTTCCTTACACCTAATACAAAAATTAACTCAAGATGGATTAAAGACTTAAACGTAAGACCTAAAACCATAAAAACCCTAGAAGAAAACCTAGGCAATACCATTCATGACTAAAACACTAAAAACAATGGCAACAAAAGCCAAAATTGACAAATGAGATCTGATTAAACTAAAGAGCTTCTGCATAGCAAAAGAAACTACCATCAGAGTGAACAGGCAACCTACAGAATGGGAGAAAAATTTTGCAATCTATCCATCTGACAAAGGGCTAATATCCAGAATCTACAAGGAACTTAAACAAATTTACAAGAATGAAAACAAACAACTCCATCAAAAAGTGGGCAAAGGATATGAACAGGCACTTCTCAAAAGAAGACATTTATGTGGCCAACAAACATATGAAAAAAAGCTCATCATCACCAGTCATTAGAGAAATGCAAATCAAAACCACAATGAGATACCATTTCACACCAGTTAGAATGGCGATCATTAAAAAGTCAGGAAACGAAAGATGCTGGGGAGGATGTGGAGAAACAGGAACGCTTTCACACTGCTGGTGAGTATGTAAATTAGTTCACCTATTGTGGAAGACAGTGTGGCAATTCCTCGAGGACCCAGGACCAGAAATACCATTTGACCCGGCAATCTCATTACTGGGTATATACCCAAAGGATTATAAATCATTCTAATATAAAACACACGCACACGTATGTTTATTGCAGCACTATTGACAATAGCAAAGACTTGGAACCAATCCAAATGCCCATCAATGATAGACTGGATAAAGAAAATGTGGCAAATAAATATCATGGAATACTATGCAGCCATAAAAAAGGATGAGTTCATGTCTTTTGCAGGGACATGGATGAAGCTGGAAAGCATCCTTCTCCGCAAACTAACACAGGAACAGAAAACCAAACACTGCATGTTCTCACTCATAAGTGGGAGTTGAACAATGAGAACACATGGACACAGGGAGGGGAACATCACACACTGGGGCCTGTCAGCGGGTGGGAGGGTAGAGGAGGAGAAATACCTAATGCAGATGACAGGTTGATGGGTGCAGCAAACCACCATGGCACGTGTATACCTATATAACAAACCTGCATGTTCTGCACATGTATCCCAGAACTTAAAGTATAATTAAAAAAGAAAAACAAAACAAAGAAAAAAGGCACCATGACATTGGTCTGGGCAATGATTTTAGGGATAGGACCCCAAAAGCACACAACAAAAACAAAAATAGACAAATAGGATACACATCAATCTAAAAAGCTTCTGCATAGCAAAGGAAACAATAGACTGAAGGGACAACCTACAGAATGGGAGAAAACATTCGCAAACCATTTATCTGATAAGGAATTACTATCCAAAATATGTAAGGAATTCAATTCAATAGCAGGAAAATAACCCGATTTTAAAAATGGACAAAGGACCTGAATAGACATTTCTCAAAAGAAGACATTCTGATAGCCAACAGGTATGTGAAAAGATGCTCAATGTTACTAATTATCAGGGAAATGCAGATAAAACCACAATGAGTTATCACCCCACACCTGACAGAATGGCTATTATCAAAAAGATGAAAGATAACATGTGTTAGTGAGAATCTGGAGAAAAGGGAGTGCTTGCACATTGTTGGTGGTAATATAAATTAGTATAGCCATTATGGAAAAGAGTATGGAGGTTCCTCATAAAATTAAAAATAGAACTACCATATGACCTAGCAATCCCACTTTTAGGTGTCCATCCAAAGGAAATAAATTCAGTATGTCCAAACAGGTATCTACACTTCCATGTTCATTGCAGCACTATTCATTATAGCCAAGATGTGGAATCAACCTAAGTTTCCATCAACAGATGAATAAAGAAAATAAGGAAAATATATACAAAAGAATTCTATTCAGCATTTAAAAGGAAAGAAATCTTGTCATTTGCCAACGACATGGATGAAAGTGGAGAACATTACGTTAAGTGAAATAAGCCAGGCACAGAAAGACAAATACCACATGATCTCACTTATATGTGGAATCTACAAAAATTAAACTCACAGAAGCAGAGTAGAATGGTGGTTACCAGGAAGTGGTTGGGGGATGAGGAGTTGAGGATATTATGGTCAAAGGGTGCAAAATTTCAGTTAGAAAGGAGGACTAAATTCAAGAGATCTATTGTAAAACATGGTGACTACAGTTAATAATAATGTATTCTTGAAAATCACTAAGAGAGTACATTTTAAGTGTTCTCACCACAAAATATGTTAAGTATGTGATGTAACACATATGTTAATTAGCTCAATTTAGTTATTCCACAATTTATGCATATTTCAAAACATCATGTCATTAAATATATACAACTTTTATTTGTTAATTAAAAATAAAATTTTTTTTAAAAAAGAAAAGAAATGACTAATTCTCTGGGGAGGGGTGACCTCTTCAGTAAGTTATGTTTGAGCTCATTCTTAAAGAATAACTGGGTATATACCCAAATGACTATAAATCATGCTGCTATAAAGACACATGCACACGTATGTTTACTGCGGCATTATTCACAATAGCAAAGACTTGGAACCAACCCAAATGTCCAACAATGATAGACTGGATTAAGAAAATGTGGCACATATACACCATGGAATACTATGCAGCCATAAAAAATGATGAGTTCATGTCCTTTGTAGGGACATGGATGAAATTGGAAACCATCATTCTCAGTAAACTATCGCAAGAACAAAAAACCAAACACCGCATATTCTCACTCATAGGTGGGAATTGAACAATGAGATCACAAGGACACAGGAAGGGGAATATCACACTCTGGGGACGGTGGTGGGGTCGGGGGAGGGGGGAGGGATAGCAGTGGGAGATATACCTAATGCTAGATGACGAGTTAGTGGGTGCAGCACACCAGCATGGCACATGTATACATATGTAACTAACCTGCACAATGTGCACATGTACCCTAAAACTTAAAGTATAATAAAAAAAAAAATTAAAAAAAAAATAAATAAATAAAAATAAATAAATAAATTAAAAAAAAAAAAAAAAAAAAAAAAAAAGAATAAGTAGGGCAGGCCAGGCGCAGTGGCTACTGCAGGTAATCCCAGCACTTTGGGAGGCCGAGGCAGGTGGATCACTTAAGTCCAGGGGTTTGAGGCCAGCCTGGGCAAAATGGCAAAACCCCGTTTCTACAAAAAACAAAAAAAATTAGACAGGCTTAGTGGCAAGCATCTGTAGTCCCAGCTACTCAGGCAGCTGAGGCAGGAGGAATTGCTTGAGCTCAGGAGGCAGAGGTTGCAGTGAGCCGAGATCGCACCACTGCACTCCAGCCTGGGTGACAGAGTGAGACTCCGTCTCAAAAAAAAAAAAAAAAAAAAAAAAGAGAGAGAATAAGTAGAACACAGAGGAGAGGAAGTGAAACGAGAGCAGAGCATTTCAGGCCAGACGGACTGCTGGAGCAAAGGCACAAAGTGCACAGAATGCAAAAGTAAATTCAAGGAAAAGTTAATGTTCCTGTAAGGCTTGAATGTACAGATGGTCCTTGACATATGATGGTTTGACTTATGATTTTTCAACTTCACAATAGTGCGAAAGCAACATCGTTCAATAGAAATACTACTTCAAATTTTGAATTTTGATATTTTCCGAGGCTAGCAATATGTGGTACAATACTTTCTTGACATGCCAGGCAGCAGCAAAAAGCCATTCTGTTTTTCACTTTCAATACAGTGTTCAATAAATTGCATAAGATATTCAATAATTTGTAGGGACATGGATGAAGCTGGAAACCATCATTCTCAGCAAACTATCCCAAGGACAAAAAACCAAACACCGCATGTTCTCACTCCTAGGTGGGAACTGAACAATGAGAACACATGGACACAGGAAGGGGAACATCACACACTGGGGACTGTTGTGGGGTAGGGGGAGGGGGAAGGGATAGCATTAGGAGATATACCTAATGCTAAATGATGAGTTAATGGGTGCAGCACACCAACATGGCACATGTATACATATGTAACAAACCTGCACGTTGTGCACATGTACCCTAAAACTTAAAGTATAATAATAATAAAAAAAGAAAAAAAAAGATATTCAATACTTTATTATAAAATGGGTTTTGTGTTAGGTGATTTTGCCCAACTGTAGGCTAATATAAGTGTTCTGAGCACATTTAAAGTAGTAGGCTAGACTAAGCTGTGATGTTTGCTAGATTAGGTATATTAAATGCATTTTTAACTTACAATATTTTCAACTTATAATGTGTTTATTGGGATGTAACCCCATTGTAAGTCAAGGAGCATCTGTAATGTAAAAGGGTGCTGACGGGTAGAGTGACCATGCCTATCCTTTTATTTTACTATGAGACTTGGATGCTAACTGTCTTCTTTCATAGTTTAATCAGCATCACCTGGAAGTCTAACAGAAGAACACCCACACTAAACTCCTCTAACAAAACCAGGCTACTGGCAGATATATAGAGGGGCAGAAAATCTGCAAAATAAAAGATAATCAGGAAAAATAAATGGGACAATGAAAAGTATAGAAATGATTTTTAAAGGATGCTCACCTCAAACACACCTGAGAGAGTGTTGGTGAGTGGCAGCAGACCTTAGGGGATAGGATGGCTGTTTCTGATAAGGATTCGAGCCGAGAATACCAGAAGCACAGTCTTATATGAAAAAAATCTAAAAAAATCTTCTAGTAGTGGCTTTCACTGCAAAATCAGAGCTTTCACATGGAGGCAGCATGCAAAAGACAGCCATTTGCCAATAGAGATCAAAAGTCATGATACAGATCATCTTTAAATGCAAAGGGCAATAATTTATAAGTCAGATGCTGCTGATGTATGCATTTGACCAAGAGTCACATATTTGCCAGCCCACATCCACATATTAGACCTTCTGTTCTTTATTAAAATAATATATTTTTCTGACTTTTTGGAACACAGGTCACCAACTTTGGTGTTACAGAATGGTCTTGGAGCTTCCTCTCCAAATATACTTCACTATCCTCACTCCCTCTTCCCTCTCTGATCTTTTACAACTTATCTTTCTTCTTCATTATTTTTTCTTCTCTTAGCTTATGTCTTCCGAGAGCATCTATGGGAATTATCTGGGGCACTACCAATGACACTCAAGGGTTGAAAGAGACTACAGATGTGTACGAAAAGCCCTCCAAGAGATATTAGTAGAATTCCTTAAAAAATCTGCATGATCTGGAATTGGAAAAATTCTTAATGAACATTTGAAATCATTAGAATACATTTAACTCATTATTTCTCATGCCATAAAACTATTAGAGCTGGAGTGGCCTTAGAGACTATAAAACAATTTCTTCACTTTATATTTGGGAAAAATGAGAAGAGAGGTGAAATTATTTATCCAAGGCAAATAGCTGTTGATAAAGGAACTGACAGATTTCTTAGGAAATGGCTTTTTTCCAGGTTGAAAGAAATATACCGAATTATTTACCTAGCTTCCTTTTTATTGCAGAAAAAAACACAAATAACATGATATCTACCCTCTTAACAAAATTTTAAATGTACAATAGAGTATTGCTAACTACCTGTACATTGTTGTACAGCAGATGTCTAGATCTTTTTCATCTTCCATAACTTTAGTTAGTTTTCTTCAAGGGTCTACTGAAGTTACATTTTTAGTGATAGCAACTCTCGTACATTTGCAGGTAACTTCCAAAGCTTATTTTATGTGAAGTCATATCAATATAATCTGGTGTCTTACTTCAAGTTGCTTCATTTTAATTTAATGAGAAGTATTCCAGGTTGTGTGAGAATGATACTCTCTTTTACACAGTTTTATATTTAAAGAATAGGACCTTGATATATTTTATTCCAGTAAAATTAAAAGGGCTTGTTCAGCAAAGGCAGTAAGTAAAGTTAAAAGACAAGCTGCAGGCTGGGAAAGGATATTTACAAAGCATGAGGGATTAGTATCCTTCAAATCAATAACAAAAAGACTAACAACCAAATAGAATAACGAGCAAATGATATGAATAGGCAATTCTCAGAAAAGGAAACCCACATGGCCAATAAACACATGGAAAGCTAATAAACCTCACTAATAAATGGGAAAATGCACATTAAAACACAGTGAGACATTATTTCATACCTATGAAATTGATGAAATATTTAAGACTGACAATACTGAGGGCTGGAGATGTGGAACCCCCATGAACTATCTGTGGAAGTATAAAGTGGTACAACAACTTTGGAGAACAATTTGGCAATATCTAGTAAAGTTGAAGATGCATACCTTCCGCAACCCAGCAACACCACTTTAAGGTGAAAAATATCTCACACACATGCACAAAATGACATGAAAAAATGATGTGTATAGGAATGCTTTTCGTAATAGTAAAAAATGAGAAGCAATCTGAGACATCCATCAACAAGGAAATTGACAAATACATTAAGAAATAGTCATTCATAAAATGAAATATTCTACAGCTGTTAAAATGAATGGATATGTATAGTAATATAGATAAATCTCAAAAATATAGAGTGAAAAAAGCAAGTTACTTTATGATACATACAGTATTATACAAATTTTACAAACATTTAAACTATGCCAAATACTGTTCCTAAATTCATACATGTGTACAAACACATGGCTGGTAAAGGGCCACACCAACTTCGGGGGGGTACTTCCTCTGGGTATGAAGGGAGGGAAATTTCATTAGGGAAGGGCACAAAGTAAACTTCAACTGGTATATGGTATATCTGTATTCTTAAGTGGCTGGAAACAAATACAGAAAATATTAATGTTTGGTAAATCTGTATGGTGAGTATAACTGTACGGTAGTTCTCCCTTAACTGCAGTTTTGCTTTCCACAGTTTCAGTTATCTGTGGTCAAGCACAGTCTGGAAATATTAAATGGAAAATTCCAGAAATAAACAATTCCTAAGTTTTAAATTGTACACCATTCTGAGTAGCACAATTGAATCTCACTCATTCTACTCCATTTCATCTGAGGCATGGATGATTTACGGCCTCATTCAGAGTAGCCATGCTGTATACACTACCTACCCATTAGTCACTTAGTAGACCTCTCAGTTATCATGTCAATAGATTACAAGAGGAAGAAGGCTGAGTACAATGCATAAGATATTATGAGAGAGAGAAAAAGAGAGAGAGGGAGGAAGAGGAGGACCATATTAATATAACTTATTACAGTATATTGTTATAGTTGTTCTATTTTATTATTGGTTATTGTTGTTAATCTCTTACTGTACCTAATTTATATATTAAGCTTTATCATAGGTAGGTATAGGAAAAAATATAGCATTATATAAGGTTCAGTACCATCCATGGTTTTAGGTTTCCACTGGGAATCTGGGAACATATTCCCTGCAGAAAAAAAGGACTACTGTATACCATGTTTTCTCTATATTTAAAATTTTTCATAATACGATGTTTTATGAAAGAATAGAGAAGTGTGTTTTCTTTACAACTATCAATAGTCACATTCAAAAACTAAAGTTAACCATGTGGTAGACATTATGTCAACTCTGAACCCTGCTTTGTCAGCCATCAACTTACACAGTCCAAACAGACAGAGTTGGGCTTTGGTGCCCTTTTTGTAAATAAATAAATAAAAGTCCCACAAAGAGATAAGCATATGTAATTACACATTATAGTCGTTCACCATATGTATTGTCAAGTGCATACCAGGATCACATTTAAAACCATTCATTTTCTGTGCCTCAGAAGTGCTAGCATCTGCAGACATTAGATCCATATTCAAGCCAGTGAGATGAGTTACCATGGCCCTCTGTTAATTATACACAACATTCTCTACTTTCCTTGTGAAGAGTGCTGTGCTTGGCTTGGGTCCAGACATCAATTTGTGGGGTAAAGTGTTTTTAGGTTTAAGAAAAAACAAGGCAGTGGTTTGTTGCTTTGTAAATGGTGTAGGAAAATTTTTAAAAGTGAACAAGAGATAATTCAAACATATACAACTGAAAGCTTGTTAGTAGCTAGAGCTCAGTGAAGGAAGAAAATCCTAGAAAGTCTGGGAAGGAAATGACTTCAACTAATTTTAGAAAGTGATTTATATGGTCTTAAAATGGTTTAAAAATAAATGGTCATTATTCAAATCACATAGACCAGTGGTTTCTGAGTCTATGTTAATATCAGGAAATTATACTCACTTATTGGGGCTTGGATAGATAAAACAGCCTGTGTGTTGATGGACACAACTCTACTAAATAGAGTAACTAACCCAGCCAAAATGCAGAAACTTGTTAAAAGCATCTAAATTCATGGTCAGTGCAAATACACAATTATCTGCAGTCGGGATAACCAAAATAAACAACACTCAGAACCATAAGAAGGTTCTAAAAAACATTCAAGATTGAGAACTTGACTTTTATGAGTTAGAAAAGTAATCAACGAGCAAAAGCAGTTCATGCTAGGCCAGGGTTTCATCCATTCAGTGTATTCAGGGACAAAGCCAACAATTCACAAGGTCTGAAAAGCCATGCAGTTTCTCCAAGTTTAGGCAGAGGCACAGCTACCTGTAAATGGGTTGATATCTAAGTGTAGATAGATATACACACCAAATTACTGCACAACTTTGCAGTGATTCTGCCCCCTCTGACTGGAATGCTCTTCCCCACTTCTCTTTGCTAGGTTGCAATTACTCATTCTCTAAAAGCCTCAGCATGAACATTACTTCTGTGGGAAGCATTTCTACCTTTTCTACCCTCTACATCTAAGGTTCTGCTAGGTACTCTACTATGCTCTGACAATCCCCCATTACAGTACTTAAACTTTTTAAAGAGTCTGTTGTCTTCCTTATTTGGCCATAAGCTCATGAGCCAAGAGTCATTCCTGTCTTGATTATTATATTTTTCCCCCAGCATATTACAGTATCTGGCATATAGTAGAACTTAATAAATATCTGTTGACTATATTAATGAATAAATAAATAGATACATAGCCAGATAAAAGTATATTAATGTCCATCCAATTCTACACAGTTCAAAGTAACCATTTTTTAAAAGCCAATGAGGAAAAAAAGTATGTTTGAAAACATGAGGATTTATGTGTGCATGTCTCTTTAAGTTTGATGATGATGGTGAAGTGTGCATGTGTTTATGGGTAAGGGAGGGGCTTTCTAAATACACAAATACTGGTATACATAAATAATTCCTGAAGAGTCATAATTCCTCGGATTTATGTATTTATGCTCAAACTGTTTCCATCCATGTTTCATTTATTCTTACAACCTCCAAGCAAAAGAGATAAGGACAGATATTATCATTGTCATTTTTCCGAAGAGGAAATGGATTGAGAAGTGATGTGAACC
Organism: Homo sapiens; assembly: GCF_000001405.40. Lineage (NCBI taxonomy): Eukaryota > Metazoa > Chordata > Mammalia > Primates > Hominidae > Homo > Homo sapiens. The sequence continues at coordinate 130,828,044 of NC_000023.11, forward strand.
TGCTCAACTGCAAATGGTATCCCAATATCCGAGTTGATGCTCCAGCCACTAGAACGGTGTAACCTGGTAAGATCACAATTATTACCACAATCTTTTTAGAGCAAGAAAAATAGATATGAGCAAATATCTGAGGCAGAAAGCAAGCCCATAATTCATACTAACTAATCTGCTTTGTGGTCTCTAGTAAAGGTAATTTAGCTTCTGGGTTCAAATTACTTAACTAGCACATACAAGGGGAAATTAGGGGTACAATACAAGTTTACTTTCCGTTTTCAGTTGATAAAACTTTGCATTAATATTAGTCAGTCAGCTTAACAGAAGAAATTAACAGGCTAATAAGATGAAATACATTTAACAAGAAAGACTAAGATTTTAGCTAGGATAATTAAATCTAATATTTTTCTTAAATGAAATTGATAGGAAAACAAAAACTTCTGGTCTAATTTATGTTTGTAATTAATACCATACGGAAAGTAACATTGGGATTAAAACATCTATATTCATTGAGCTCTTTTTTAGCCCTATATGATCCATTTTGATTGTTACACAAAATCATTTAAATGAGGGGCTCTCCCCCATATTTCCTTTCTGTAAAATAAAATAATAATCAATACAACTCAGTAGGAAGTTTTCAAATCCAGGAAGCAAAATAGGTGCTGCTCCCAAAGGAGTTCTGAGGGTCAGTTATAAATGAAATTATATTACATTTTTCAGCCTCATATGATGCCTTTTCATCAAGGAGCTCAAAGATTTCCCAGGAATGGCCAACGTCCTGGGATCAGTAGAATTAAGCCGTGAATGGCGTCTTTGTCTAGAAGTGAAAGGCAATGGTGACCTTCCTAGACTGAGAACTGAGTAGATCAGCCTTATGATTGTCTCTGGTTCTATTAACCCACTATCACTGGCATGGCATTCAACTCAAAAGGAAGATTTCACTGTTAAAAGTAATCTATGTGTTTTTAGTGTTTATTGTAACATATAACAAATGTGCACTTCTTTATTTAGCCCTTCTAGCCTCACCCCATCTTCAATGTACTGGCTGATCCTGCTCCTACTTTCAGATCTTTCTCTCTGATGGGCTACTTGTTGCTCTTCGGTGCTCCATGAGAATAAGAAGCAATAAGAACAAAAGTCACCTATTCCTCAATAGCTGGCATAAGAAGTCATATATTAGGGCAGGATACTATAACAGCAATAACTGCTGTTATTAAATGCCCATTACATGCCAAGCCCTATATGGTCAGGTATTTTACATGCACTATCTCATTTAATTTTATCCACAAACTATCAGATAAATATTACTGCTTACTTATTTTGTAGAAGGGGAATTTGAATATCAACTGGCTAATTTATTTACCCTAGGTCTCACAGCTAAGTAAATGGCAGACTCAGGATTCAAACCAAGGTTCGTCTGGTTCCAAAATACATTTTCTATGCCACACTATCACCCTGAAGCAAAATGAGGTGCTCTAAATAGGGTGTTAGGGGTATGCATGCCTGTAAGCATAAGGAATTCCAAACTTTCAGACATTTTCTGGCCCAAGAAATGATACAGAACTTTGGGTAACAATAATGGCTAACATTTTTTGAGGGTACAGTACATGCCAGAAACTGTTCTAGGAGCTTTACACACATTGACTCATTCAATCCTTACAATAACCCTCTTAAGGTATATGCTACTATGACGCCCATGGCAATGATGAAGCAACTCTGGCATTAAAAGGTGAAATGACTTACTCAAGATTGCACAGCTTAGAACTGGTGGAGCTAGAATTCAAATTTCAGCAGTCTGGCTTCAGAGTCTACATATTTAACAAAAACATTTTATTAATGAGAAATTGGTTGAGATCAAGAATTGTCACAAGAGGAAAAAGAAAATAATCACAGAGTTTTAGAGTTAAGAAGAACCTTAAAGATTATTTAGTCCAATCTTCTTATGTTCCTAATGAGAAAAGAGAGGCAGAGCAATATTAAGCAACTTGCCTAAGGTCACATGGCTTGTAATTAGCTGAGCTTGCATCACAGCCCAGGCCTTCTGACCCCTAGTCATGTGCTCATTCTATTATATCATATTATATTCTCCCTGATGCACTCATGTAACAAAATGTGAGTTGAATTCAATTAAATTGCCTTTCTGGACCTGCACCTGAGCTACTAAACTTGAATGGGGAAAAATGCACATAGCTGAGCAAATGGGCTTCACGTTCATTTAAAGCATTCATGATCACAAGCCTCAACTGAGCACTCATCTCTGCTCAACAATGCTACTTCTGTATTAAACTTGCTTTCCCACTCTTTAAAGTGACAATATCTTCATTGTTATCTTCAATCCTCCTATATTTTCCCCCACTCCACTCCACTTCCTGCCATTAACTAATGATATGCCTCATACTTCATGGAGAAGAAAAAGGTATCAGAAGAAGTAGCTCTTTCATCTTCCTACCACCAAATCTGCAAACCTGTCTATGTCTCTATCTATATTCTGTGTTGTTAAAATGGAACAAGTGTCGCTAAATCCCATCCTTTCTTGCTGCTTAGACTGCAGATGTTCCTCTTTCTTCTTCTGCATCATCATTTCTGTCTTTCTACTGGAAGTTGGCCTTGGCTCCTACTCTTTCAACATTCCATATATTCCAACCATCGGTTAAATCTTATCTTTTGATTATAATTCTAAAATACATCTTGAATCTGTACATTTTTCATCACCATTGCTAACATCATCCAAGTCACCATGTTCTCTTATCTAGGCTCCTGCAGTAAGTAAATAGCCTCCTAACTGGCTGTGTCATGCTTCCACTCTTGCCCATCTTTAACTCATTCTCTGCTGAGCAGCTATCTCTAGTACATTTTCTGTTGCTATACCAGAATAACACAAACTGGGTAATTTATAAAGAAAAGAAGTTTATTTGGCCTATGGTTCTGAAGGCTGGGAAGACCAATATTAAGGGGCTACATCTGGCAAGGGCCTTCATGCTACATCATAACACGGCTGAAGGGCAGAAGGGCAAGCAAGCACACAAAACAGAGGGAATGGGGGCCAAACTTCTATCTTTTTATCAGAAGTCCACTCCTGCAATAACTAATCCAGTCCTGTGGCACTAACTCATTCATGAGGACAGAGCCCTCATGACCTAATCATCTCTTACGGGTACCATTTCCCAATACTGTTAACATTGGCAATGACCTAATCATCTCTTACAGGTCCCATCTCCCAATACTGTTAACATTGGCAATTAAATTTTAACATGAGTTTTGGAGGAGACATTCAAACCACGGTTGCAGTCAAAGTAGTCTTTTAAAAAGTGTAAAACAATTCATTATCACTCCTGTGCTTAAAATCTTTCTATGGATTCTCACTGCTCTTAGAATAAAAATCCAAACTTGTTTGGACCTATAAGCCCAGTATGATGTTTACCTCTCCCAACTTCATCTCATGCTACATTCCCTCTCATTCAACTATACTGGCCTTCCCTGTGTTCCCGCAATACAACCACTCATCTCTTGCCTCAGAGACCTGTGCTTGCTGTTCCTCAGGCTCTTTGCATGACAGGTACTTCCTCAATTATCAGGTCTCAGCCTAAAATTCACTTTCTCATAGAAACCTTTTTTCCATGATATCAAAGTAGGTCCTCTCATATTTTTACTCATCCATAGCTATCTTAGCACTTCCTATAGTTGATAAGTATTTTATGCATATATTTATGTATTTCCATGTTTATTTGTCTGTTGTAAAGCTCAATGAGGGCAGCGACCTTTGTATATATTTTTTCACTGTTGTTTTTACAATATCTAGCAGAGTATCTAGTACCAAAAAGGTGCTCAATAAATTTTTGCTGAACTAAAAAGTTAATTCCTGGATTGCTCTGAATAATATCTGGGACAATGCTATTTAATAAGGATACTCTAAGTAGGGGAAAATAATTCTTACTTCTTTAGGAAAAGAATCTGGTTGCTTTCATGATCCCAAACCTTTTGCCAACCTTTAATCAGCAGGTTCTAATCTTTTTGTGGTGATCTCTGTCTGAATTAAAAAAAAAAATCTACAAAATTAAACCAGATGAGGGACAGGACCCTGAAGGTGACAGCCGTTTAATGCTCTCTTTGTCAAATATGCTCCGTCTCACTATACATGCTTGGACAGAAAGAGAGACACATTTTACTTGGTTATTTTTTTCCTCAAGCCATTTATTCCTCTGCTAAGTAGTTTATCGATTCTTCAACATCAATTTAGAGCTGGAGCTTACAGCACTCCCATCAGAAATCTTACAGTGCTCAAAATAAATGACTTGCCCAAAGAATACCATGTCAGTTGTTAAAGAAGTAACTCTGGAAACAAATACACCTAAAGGCAGATACTAAATATAGATATTCCCTTACACACACACACACACACACATACACACACACACACACACACACACACACACCCCACTTGGGAACTGACTTTTCTAAGAACAAAAAGCAAAAATAAAACAGAAAAAAATCTATAACATATGAAAAGTTCAGTAGTATGGCAGTCTAATACAAAAAATGTTAAAATTCACTATAGCCTACCACCTCCCACTGATGTTCCATAATGGTTATTTTAGACAGGAAGCACAAGGTTGCCAAATGTTCTTGTTCTAAATTTCCTGTACTAGTTTCACATCCTACACATCTAGCCCTAGTATTAAAAATACTGTCCATGATATTTTACTTCCTGGCTTTGAGAGCAGGGGTCTCCTAGGCCTGTCTATAAACCTTTAGGGACTCAAATTCCAACTTTCATCCTGTAGAAAGCATATCTGCCTTCACACACCACCCCCTTTTAGCAAAATGTTGGTTATGCTCAAATGCTTTGGGATTAGGTGTGAGGAAATCTTGAATTACATACCTAAATATAACTCCCTAACTGGTGGGCCAGATAAACATAAGAAAGACACATATGTTTTAATAACGTCATCTGAAGTATAAGTATTCATGTATAATCACACACACACACACACACACACACACACACACACACACACACAAACAGCACTGAATTTTCTTTTCACCCTAGAATGAAAGCAGGTACTAAACTTTCTTGAGTCTTAGCATTGCACATTTAAAATAACTGCTTTACATGTTGATTTGGAGTTGCAACTCATCTGAGATACGGAGGGGATTTTCCAAAGTGCACTGGAATCTGGGCACACATGAAATTGCAATTACTTTCCATTCCTTTTCTTCAATTTCCCCATAATTGCTCTTCCTGATATATCTCTATCTTCTTTGGGGGACTATGGAAAGGGGACCAACAAAACAGGTAGTCTTTCAAACTGTGAGACCAGACAGGGTCGTTTCATTCAATAAATATTTATTGAGTACTTGCTAGGTGCCAGGCACTGTTCTAGGAGCTGGCATGACGAGCCCACACAGAGGTTACACAGGTTCAAATTAGCTTAAGAGAGTAACAAGGGGGGAAGAATTTCTGATGTGTGAGGCTGTTTTTTTGAATCAAGCAATGGAACAGCAACTGCCATAGGCTGTCAGTAGCAGGTGAAATGTCAAATAGGGAGTCTTGTCTTTGGGGATGCCTGACTTTAGCTTCCCTTCTAATGCCAGCATAGTACATCTAAGGATTCAGGGAAAGGATATCCGAAAAATGAAGGCGATTTTGCTGCCAACTAAGATGAATGGAACACTTTCTAAAGGCAGCCCTCAAACCATTCTTGCCCTGAGCCAGGTTTCCACTGTTACTTTGATTTACATCTTGGGTTTAAGGTCCTTCTTTACCTTTTACTCCTCATCACTCCAAAGCAGCAATTAGAGGCAGTTCAGGGAAACAAATTAACTTTATTTTATAGGAGGAAACCTCATAGTAAACTTCTATCATTCACTAATTCAACAAATGTTCACTGAGCACCTACTATGGCCAGAAATTGCTCTTGGTGCTGGAGATATATATATTAGTATCAGTAAACAAACAGACAATAAGCCCTCATCTCATGGAGCTTACATTTTAAATGGGGGTTGCTAAGTTACAGGCAATTTTGTAATAACCACATTACTTAGTACTAGTTTAAGTGATAAAACAATCCCTTCTTGTTCCTCCATTCTCTAACTTCCACTATAGAGCCCAACCTTTCAGCCCATGTCTTCTTGTTGCTTTTGAAGTTTCTATACTACTCCTAGACATAACCTTTATATTCTCTTTCAACTGACTCTGCCTCCTCTCAGGTACTCAGGCACATCCCCTTTAGTTGGGATTAGCCCTAATGAATGGCACTCTCCTTACAATGGAACTCCATCTCTTTCAGATCCTGTTGACAGCAATTTGACTGAAATCCCCAGGGCACTGGGCTCCGGTTTCTGGTCTTGGGCATTTACAAATTCTTGTTTTTCTTAACTGCTCTTTAACCTTTACTTCCTGCTTACTTTGTTCCTCTTTTTTTTCCCCTGATAAACATTTTTCAACCATGTTGAGAAAGGAGGATAGCTGGGAATATAACAAAGCAGGATCCAATTTAAAGAAATCTATTTGTCTTTTTTTTTTTTAATCTCGATTGTCAAAGATGATTTGAAAAAGAAAGCTTCTGGGACCAGGTACCGTGTCTTCATAAAACTCTGATCTCATATATACATTGTTGCTTCCTGCAGAATTTCTGCAAGCTGTTCTTTAAAATAATTATGCTGTGTGTTTCTGGGTTCTTATGGGATTTTAACATTTTGAAACTGCAGGGGCAAACAGGAAAATCTTCAAATGTGATTACTTGGTAGTCAAATAAAATGTTATAAGAAATTTCTCCATTTTTCACACCCTCCAATTTTTCCACCCCATCTGAAATAGAAAACAAGTTGAAAATACATCAGTCCAAAGGGTAATTTTATGAAAAAGATAAGCACCTAGGAACAGAGGCTTATAATGAAAGTGTCTCCTCCACCATAGAGAAACACTAATATAATTCAATATAGTTTATAAAACCATCCCTGCCAATCAAAATATAGAAAAGACAATTTCCTGTTTGTGGAAATAGATGTGATACTAAACAGAACCAAATCAGGCTGCAATTAACTTAGAAAAAAAACAGATACACTAGACTCAGTCTAGCTAGAAGAATGTTGCATTACAACACATTTGCATGCTAGCTTAATAAAATTAAGATTTCCAAGGGAATTCTCATCCTGGGGAGGGGAGGCGGTGGGGGGTGGAACTGAATGAGCTATATAGAAAAAAGTTAAATAGTAAAAATAGCTATCATTCACAGAGAGTTTACTATGCACAAGGCAGTTTACAAAGTACTTTACATGCATTTTCTTATTTCATTCTCATAATTTTAACAGGTGAGTGAGTACTCTTATTGTCTCAGTTTTACAGATGAGGCAACTGAGGCTCAGAGATTAAGTTAGATGTATACATTCACACCAGTATTAAGGGGTAGAATTCAGATCTATGTCTGCTCTTAACTGCTAGGTTATGTTGCCACCAATAGAATACATAACATACATATCTGTCTATTTAATATTTATTTACATGTAATATGTATGTATATTATGATAGGTAAATTCTACACGAATTAGCTAGGCAGAAAGCAGCATAACATATTAGAAAAAAACACTTGATTAGGAGTCCCGAGGCCTGGGTTTGTACTCTAGGCTCTGACACTAACTAGTTTGTATGGCTTCAGGTGAGTAATTTAACACCTCTGTGCCTCAGTTTCCCCATCTATAAAACAAGAATATCAAGCAGAAGCTTCCATAACATCCCCTTTAGCTCTACCATTCTATTACTCTACTGAAATAAGTTATGTCACATAAATTACCATGAATGTTTTGCCTTTGCAGATAACTTACACCGAAAGCAACTCAAGGAATAAATTCTGCTAAAAAGCACACCCTTGACACAGCAGATCTGCTAGAAAGAGGGAGATGATTTCAAAAGGAGAAACTTCCTGTGATAGCAAATGGAGCTGCCAGCGTAGTCTTTGAACTCTCCTTCACCATCAGCCAACGAAAGACTTCAGTTATTCTTCACTAAAAATGACAGTCTGCAAGTATTTTGGACCTCCAGGTCGAGGCTAAGTTGGCAAGAACTAAATGGAGAGAAAACCATTTTACAGGGTCACTGCTAAATCCAGAATCACGGGATTTCTGAAGAAACTGTATATGGGTGACTAAATCAAAGGCTTCTGTTAGGTCAATAAAAATGTTTCTAATAATAAAAGTCTCAGACTTTGTTTCTGAAATATCACTGGTGCTTTAAGTTGAATTGAGAGAAAGGCTAGATATGAAACATAACTAGACCACTGTTAGAGAATTCCCTTCTCTAGGGACTGAGCATCTGGGAAAAATGTCACGTAACCTTAGCAAGACACATGGAATCACAATCAATGTAGGCAGACTCTGATTTTTGATCCTTTGTACAATGCACAATACCAAATTGATCAGTGAGTCTCCAGAAAAAAAAAAATGAGCACATTCAAAGACTCGACTGGCCTTCTACAGGGGGTTTTCAGCAGTCTGAGGAGCAACTGATTGAAGAGTCTTAAGCTTTTATGTTTGTATTTCTCCAGAGCAGTTCTTGGCTAGCTTCTCTCTGCTCTGCTGCCTTCCCAGGTGACTAACAGCTGTTATCTCTGACCCAGGAAGTAGTGATAAGCTACGTTCCTAGCTGCCTTTCCAAAGCTCTCAAGAGTGGGTAAAAGAGGTTACTGATAGTGTCTTCTCACTTTTACTACTGACAGTGATGGAATTCCTAGAGAGCTAATTTTTCTCATGAAATATTTTATTTTATAAAGGTAGCCAAAGAAAGGCAAAGAAAGGCTGGGGGAGAGGAAGAGAGTAAGCTATTTAGCTTTATCTGTGGGTTATTTTCCTCATGGCATAGTACTTTGTGTTTTTAAATTCAATGAAACCTTTTATCCTCTAGGTGAGCATTTTATATGAACCCACAGATGGCTTTTTTAGTTGGCCAATATTAGAAATACAAAGGTGTCTGAATGAATAGATAACTGACATTATCACAGGGTTGGAAAGGGAAGAAGCATATGGCAGGTTGATACTAGGAATTATTAAGATAAAATTGAAAGTGTTGGAATTTGAAAGTGGGTACTAAATTCATTTGGATTACAAATTATTACAATGAGAAACCAGAACCTTACAGACTAATCAATTTTCATTAATGGATTTCTTTTGACCTTGTCCAGTGGTTTCTAAATTGGTTCTTGCAACAGACCCTTGGAATGGCTTCTCTCCATTTGGTGGCCCAGTGCATTAACTTATACTTCTCCTGTGCCAACAGCTCATCTACAGTAACAGAAGTGAAGCCTTTCTACTATGAGCTCTGAGTACCCAACTAAGTCCACAAATGGACTAGAAAGGTCATAGCTGCTCACTAACCAGTAGACATGTCAAATCAGATTTGTATAATTTTAGAGTTGAAATGGTCCTTTGAGGTTATCTTACTTTTAACCTTGATCCCAGTAAAAGAATCTCATTCACAGCATGCCTAACAGTGGCATCTAGACATACTTAAACATGTTCAGGACTGGAAAAGTCCTTGCTTCATAAGAACACCCATTCCACCGCCAGACAGTTTGAATAGAAAGGTTTTCCCCTATATGCTAGGCGAAAATCTGAATTCCTATGGCTACCTGGGTTCATATCCAGGTTCCCTCATTTATATGATCTTGGGTAGATCACTTAATCTCTGTGTTTCAGTTTCTTTATATGTAAAAATGGAGATAACAATAGTACCTACCTCATAGGATTGCAATTAAACAAGTTAACACAAATCAAGTACTTAGCACAGTCCCTGGTACAAAATAAGTGCTCAGTAAATATCAGCTCTTGATCTTACTGCTAATATTACTGCTACATTTACAACTGCTACTATCACTACTAAGGATACCCTCTGGAGTGACACATATCAATCTTCAATCCTCTTGTTCATATCAGCTCTTCAAATATTTGAAGACTCCTATCCAAAGCATGAGCTTCAAAGGTATGCATCTCTCTGCTTTATATTAACTCTGTATTAGGCAAGTTATCTGATACCTTCAAATCAGACACTTTGAAAGCAGATAACACCTACTATCCTGGCATGATGGCTCATGCCTGTAACCCCAGCACTTTGGGAGGCTGAAGTGGGCGGATCACTTGAGGTAAGGAGTTATGAGACCAGCCTGGCCAACATGGTAAAACCCCGTCTCTGCTAAAAATACAAACATTAGCCGGGCATAGTGGTGCATGCCTGTAATCCCAGCTACTTGGGAGGCTGAGGCAGGAGAATCGCTTGATCCAAGGAGACAGAGGTTGCAGTGAGCCGAGATCGCGCCACTGCATTCCGGCCTGGGGGACAAGAGCGAAACTCTGTCTCAAAAAACAAACAAAAAAGAAACCAACAACAACAAAAAAGAAGATAACTCCTACTGTACAGGGTGGCTGTGAGAATAAGAAGAGATAATATACGCAAAGTGCCTGGCACAAAAGAGGTACTTAAAAATATGTCAGTTCCCTTCCCCTTCTCCATTCCTAAGTTTTTTCTTTTCTAGACACTAAAAGCCCAATATCTAACCTTTCTTTACATGGTAGTGTTTTCCAGCCCCTGGCCATCTTTGTTTCATTCTAGTCTGTCAAGTATCTTTCTTAAGAAGTAGTTCCCAGAATGATAGAAAGCATGATTTTAGGTATGGCCCAAGTATGCCATGCAGAGTAGACTGTTCCTTAATCTCGAGAAGATAAAGCTCAACTCAAGGCACATGTGGTCAAGGTAGGGGTCACATATAGTCTCTTATCACTATGATATTTTTTGTTCATTGATTTCCTTTTTTCCTGGCCCATAGGCTAATGAGTGATAAATTCCATCAGAAATTCAAGTTACTTACTGAATCAGAGGAGTTGCACTGGCCTGCTCCTGTAGCTCTTTCCTAGGACTCTGCTTTCTTAGCAGTTGGGATACATACACAATGCAGTGAATCTAATTCCTGCCACACACACTAAGGGGCATTGCCGCCAAAGTGTCTCTTGCAATCCATTTTATGTGGTTGCTTTCCAAGGCAACTTACTGAATTAAAAAGATAATAAATTTAATCTTGTTGGTTACTACTGATTAAGCATCTCAAGTCATGTAAAGAGGTAGAGTTCATGCTTTGGAAGTGTAATATTGGAGTTCAGTTTTCACCTTTCTGATTTTCTGGAGGCAGTAAAGAATACTGAGAAGATCACTAATTGAGTCAAGGAACTTGAGATCAAGCCCTATCTATGCCACTAACCTACCTAGTGTTTGAACATGGATCAGTCATTTAACCTATTTGGATCACGGTTTCCTCATTCATAAAATGAGGGTGTTGGACTACTTAAGTTTTAATATCTCTTCTGGGTCCAATAATGTATAGTTCTATTCTGTAGCCTTATGGTTAAGGTATTATATCTTCCCACACCATACTTAATTGCTTTTTAAATCAGGTTATTGCTGAGGAATAGCCCGGGAAAAATGGGAGTTTTAAACAACTTTTATAATTTTAATAGAGAACTGAAATAGTTGAATATTTCTCTTCCTAACCTCTTGCTTAAATAATTTTAAAACAGTTAATTAAATTATGCTTTACAAAGATTATCATTATATATCCAAGCTGAAGGGGAAAGTTCAACATTTACAATTGAGTTACAACAGAGGGCTGTATTGAGCAAGACCATTTATAATGTATTAACTATAAGAAATGGAACCTGAACTTTAGTAGACAACCATACTCCTCACAGCTCAAGACCTAGTAATATGTTGTAAAAAAGTCTGAGAACTATATTGCCCATGACTTTGGATCAGCAATCATACAATAAATATGTTTAAAATTTTTGTTATTAATTTAAATCTTAATGTAGTCATCAAAACTACTGTCAGGTAATGCCTTTTTGCCTCTAGTGCATGTAAAACTATCGGTTTATGAGAGAATTTCAATGTATGGGCTGACATCTTGGATAGGCTCTACTCTTTTTTACAATCCTCTCAGAAAACAGTCTATATTTCATCCTACCTCTGTCTCTCCATTTCTATAAAATGGAGGAATTTTTCTCTCAAAATCACAGTAAGCATTAAATAAGGTGAAATGTATTTTAAATGCCCTATAAATTAAAAATATCCTGGTCATCTTATTATCTTGTAACTATTTAACTTATGTTTTAAGTAGCACAGATTTATAGAGAGCATATCACCAATGAAGTATTACTGTGCAAGTGAATTTTAGATGAAGTACAGATACATTTTTTAAGAAAAATATACAGATTATTTACATTTGAGCTATAACACCATTATGCCTTATGTTCAAATTATTAGAAAATTATAGGCCAAAAATACTGTTGAAATTAAAATGCATTCTATATACTCTATGGTTAAACAACTCACAACCAATTAAATCAACGTGAAGAAACCAATAATAATTATTAAAAGCTAGAGTAGGAGCAACAAAAAGCAACAACCAACTCAATGCACACTTATAATACAAGATTTTCTCTCTTTTAAAAAATAAATAAATAAATAAATAAATAAATAAATAAATAAATAAAACAGTCTATTAAAACCCTTGGCCGGGCATGGTGGCTCATTCCTGTAATCCCAGCACTTTGAGAGGGCAAGGCATGTGGATTCCTTGAGTCTAGGGGTTCAAGACCAGCCTGAGCAATATGGTGAAAACTTGTCTCTAAAAAAAATACAAAAATTAGTCAGGCTTGGCAGTGCATGCCTGTAGTCTCAGCTACTTGGAAAGCTGAGGTAGAAGGATTGCTTGAGCCCAGGAAGTTGAGGCTGTGGTGAGCTGTAATCACACCACTGCACTCTAGCCTGGGTGACAGTGCAAGACCCCATCTCAAAAAACAAACAAACAACTTCTTACTTTGCTCAATGAGACCTACAGATACACAGCCCAACTGAAATCTTAAGAATCAACACTGGTTATTCTTATTAATAAAAACTGTTCTATAAGACAGTGATAGAATCTGTTTCGTTTTGGCTTCTAATTGGAGAAACACCATACTGAGTCATGGGCCATGTTCTGGATTCTGACAGTGGCATCACTGGATTGTTTTAGAGGAGAACACGGTCCTTTTCCTCTATGAATATGCTCTTGAATGTTAAGAATATTTAGTAAAACACACAAACACACACACACATTTGCAGGGTGGGAGTTACTGTATTATTTTGCAGAGTGTATTGTATTTGCTATCATCTACTTCTCTAATGGACTAAAAAGGTAGCAAATATGAAAATAAGAAAACCACAAAGAAGCCCCATTTTTCTACATTCTGGCATTCTTCAGTTAGATTCAGCAGTGGCTAAAAGATAACACAGTGGAGGAGGGGGAAACCTTGGATTACCACAGCATCATTTATACTGATATTTCCAAAGGTCATAAGAATTTAGGACCAGGCTCGCTTCCCACCCTTAGTTCACTCCAACATGGCCATTGCTTCCATGATGACATGATTTCCCAATAATCCTTTACAGGGCTAGAGAGGAATAAACAGCAGAATTTCCAAAGGCCTATGTTATTACTTTGCTTTCCCCAGGTGGGATCCTTGTTGCTGTCCCTCAACTGTGACTGAGAGCCACTACACAGCAGATGGTTAAGAAAAGAGGACTAAAGTTTAAATTAACAACCATCACCAACCAACATTAAGCCTCCCTTTGAAACAACAGGAACTGTGAAATCTGAGTCTACATTTCTGTTGAAGGGCAACAAAGCAGGGCCTTCTATGGGAGACAGCATTTACTGTCTTTTTAACATAAATACATCAAGCTAGAATACATCAAGAAGAAGATAATAGTGCATCACTAATTCAGTAATTGTCACAGGACTCTTTCCTTCTCCTCAATTAAACAGTTAACAGGGAGCTGGGATTCACACAAAAAAAGAAATTCGCTCCTCCTCCCCTCTTTTCCAATTTGATTTATGCATAGCCCCTGGAGACACAAATTAATGTCTTCATAGACCAAAAGCCCCAGCTGTTTTGAAAAATCTATGACAAAGCTTAACTAAGGTTCACACATGCAAACATAAAGCCCCCATAATTACTAAGTTGGGTATTACAAAGCTGGCTCCTCAACCAAGGGTCTAAAGCCAGCCGTAATGCCGTGCTCACCCCAGCCAGGCTGGCCTTAATACACCTATAGTGCTAATTTAGTACTGCCTGAGGCATTGTGGATTCTGGGTAGATAGACACTTTAAGCAAAGCTGAGGAAAAGATATAGAACTATAGGGACTTAAAACCACAATTCATCATTTATTAATATCAGACAGAAGCACTGAAAATATGCAAGACTTCATTTCTTATGTAGCTGATTCCTTTGGCTTATTTATTCTTTTTATGATAAGAAATCAGAAAATGAGATGATTAATTCAAAGAAAATACCAAAAGAAACTCTTAATGCCCTATCCATCCTTAAACGAACCAAAGGCACCCCACTCAGCTACTCTACCCCCTTGGAAGAATGTGGCCTGCATTTGCTCTTCCACTTCCTCTCCTCTCATCCACTCCTTAATCAATGCATTCTGAATTCTGTCCACAGTATTTTACAACAACCCTTTCAAAGGTCACTGAGACTCTTTGTTGCTAAAGCCAATGATCACTTTTCAGTCCTTATCTTATTCGTTCTCTCTGCAGCACTAAACTCTGCTAATTATTCCTACTTTCTTGAAACTCTCTCTTCCCTTGCCTTCTGTGATACCCCCTAACTCTTGGGTTTATCTTTCTCAGTTTTTTTTCATGAACTTCTCCTTTACCCATTTCTTAAGTGCCAGTGTTTTCTAGCATTCCATCTTTATGCCTCATTTATTCTTTCTCTAAAATCAGGGACTCTTAATCTGTACATCATGAGAGTTCATGGATACACCTCAAGAGGTCTGTGGACCTTCCTAAAATTGTATGCAGAATAGCAGAATAGTGTACGTAAATTTTATGGGGGAGAGGGTCTATAGTTTTCAGATTTCTAAAGGAGTTTTAGGCAAAGTCAAGTCTAAGGGCAACTAATCCTCAGATTAGCTCTAGGTGGCCCCGCAACTTCAAATCATATCACTATATATGCTGATAACTTTCAAATCTATATTTCTAATCCAGATTTTTCTCAGTGTGGGCATCCCATAAATACGTTTACTCAACAATCCTGATCTTCCTCTCGTGTTCTCCAAGTCAGTAAATGGCTCACACCCCACCTAGCTGCCCAAGCCAGAAACCTGGGAGTTATCCATATTCTTCCCTCTCTCCCATTCTCCATATCCAGTAACCGAGCCCTACGGACTCTACCTCCTATCTCACATGTGAACCTTCTCTCAATAACAAACATAATAATCTCAGTCCAGGAAGATTATTGCAATAACTGCCTCACATGTCTTCCTGCCTCCAACCAACTCTCTAGTTGCAGACAGAGTAATCCTTCCAAAAGACAAATATGATCATGTCACTCACTGACCTAAAAACTTTCCGGTGACTTCTTTATTGTTCATAGACTGCAGAACTTCAAACTTCCTGGCATGGTAAATAAGGTCCTTTACGACTTGGTTCCTGCATATCTCTACAGTCTCGTCCATACTCTATTGCTCAACAACCCCTTTAACCTCACCCCCACCCTGGCCCAATCCTTGACTACTTTATAATCTCTAGTCATACAAAACTATTTTTCAGTTCTAGCCTCAGGGATTTCATACACTTTAACATCACATCAGCCTGGAATACTTGTACCACCTTGGCCTGGGCAACTTCTGCCAGAAAGCTATCTCTAGCCACCTAAAAGAGAGTTAGGGGGTACCTCATATATGCTCCGATAGCATCCTACATGTGTAATCACATATCCTTCTGTATGTGATTCTCTATTTCTCTGCTTCTCTATTTCCCACTAGAGTTTGATGAATAAACTATAAGTTCCTTGAGGTCAGGGACCATTTGGTGTCCGTGGCACTTAGCACAGTGTCTGGTACATCATAGTTGGTTAATAAATATATGTTGATAAACTGAATGAATTAATGGGAAGAAAAAATTTTCAGAATTTTGACCCAGTACTGTTAATCCCCACAATCTTTGCCTTCAGCCTGGCATAGGAAACAAAACAGTGGACTCCAGAGAGGTCAGCTGCCTTAGACATTAACTCTATGAGCCTCACTTTCCACACTGTACAACTAAGAAAAAGTTCTGTATAATCTCTTATGGCTTGGCAATTCTGTAATTTGCTGCTTCCTTAACATATCTATTTCTCATCTCCCAAACCTCACTTAGTCCCTCCACCCGCTTCCCTACTCCCCCCTTGCCTGTCATCCAGATGGCACTGTGATGATCTGGTTGAGGCATTTGGAGACTGGTTGGGTAAAGGCCACTATATTTTGTGCATGTATCGTGTTCATGAGAGAGAGAAAGGGAAAGAGAAAGAGAAGGAGGAAGGGAGGGAAGAAAGAGAGATTGAGGCAATCATCTTTCCCTTCCCATTTCTATCCTTCGTAAAGAATACAGTTGGTCTTAGAGGTCCAATTTCAAAATGTTCATGATGTTAAATCGTTACACGATAAAAAATTCCTAAAATTGTTTAAGATCACTCAGAACAGAAAAAAAAGTAAGATAAAAGTTAAGGATAACCAAGTAGACACAAATTATCTTGAAAAAGCTGAATCGCAGTAACTTGACACAGTTTTTTGGAATAAGGCTTACTAAACATTGAAAAGGAAGGGAGATATGTTATTTGAAAGGAAATACAGCCTGAACTTCCCTGGTCAAGAGAGGTGGAGGAATCGTGGCTCCAGAAGCATCTGAAGTTACTGCAAAGCTATGGAAACATGTAACAATAATAACCAGCACTAAGAATATAATAATGCAAGGACCAATTGTCTGCTGGTCCCTGGGGGAGGAACCAGATGGCATAAAAGACCAATTCTCATCTCTTAATTTCTTTGATTGATAAGAAGGATACGCTTCCATTTAGTTCTCATAAACAGTGACCCCTTTTCTCCTCTGTGGACAAAGTTGATGCACTATCACTTTTGCTTCCAGATATTAAACTCATATTTAATGATATGTGTGCTTGGTAATGCATATGTCCAAAAACTTTCACTGACAAAAATGGCCCTGCATGCATCTATTTGTCTTTCAGTTGCTGCACACAAATGCAGCAGGGAAGTGGGGAATTTAAATGCACAGCAGGCAGCCAATGTATTTTTCCATAAACTAGTCTACATATCATGGTAAGAGTAGAAGCAAAGAAAGCCTCAGATGCATTCTTTCCCATAAAGAGGCAAATGAAGCCAAAGGACAGGGTAGTAAGAAAGAAAATCAAAGGCTAAAATGAGATTACTAGTACATACCCTTTTAAAAACAAATCAGAAGAACCATTATCCTTGCCAACATTGAAGATGGGTTAAGCTCTTTCAGTGCAAAGAAGAGTGTATTCTTCCTATTGTAAACAAATCCAATAGTTTTGTTTGTTTGTTTGTTGGTTTGTTTTTCGAGACAGAGTTTCACTCCTGTTGCCCAGGCTGGAGTGCAATGGCGTGATCTTGGCTCACCGCAACCTCTGCCTCCTGGGCTCAAGCAATTCTCCTGCCTCAGCCTCCTGAGTAGCTGGGATTACAGGCATGTGCCACCACACCCGGCTAATTTTGTATTTTTAGTAGAGACAGGGTTTCTCCATGTTGGTCAGGCTGGTCTCGAACTCCCGACCTTAGGCAATCTGCCCACCTTGGCCTCCCAAAGTGCTGGGATTACAGGCATGAGCCACTGCACCTGGCCAACCAATACTATTTTTAACATGGTTAGATAGATGTCATTTCACTTCAGAAGTGGTTATGCTTCGGTAATGGATAGAGTTAGTATATCATGTAAAAGGTTAAGAAGCAAAACAAGAATATTTAAAATAAGTAGTAATGTACAGAAAAAAAGAAAACTTTCACAACGTGCATTGTGCTTGCTGGTCTTGAATATCATAAAACTTTGATAGAAAAACACATATATTTGTAGGGCTCCTATACAAATTCCTGCTATATCTCACTTATAAATACACAAATATATCATTATATTTTCATATAGTATAACATATGATAGCCAGGCAGAGATCAGGGGTCAGGAAAGCTCACCTGAGTCACTAGACTAATGAAGTAGGAAGAAACCACAAGAGACTACGGAAGATCAGGTTGAGAAATCAGGGTCTAACAAAGGGGTCAGTCTTTGAAATTAAAAACTTTATATGGGAATACAGACTATAGGTGTGCCCTACTTTAAGAAAATCCACTGTTTCCTTATCCAATCCACAAACCAGAAAAGCAAGAGTGCTTATGTGTATTACAGAAGCACTCCATGTGGCAATTTTTTTTTTTTTTTTTGAGACGAAGTTTCCTTCTTGTTGCCCAGGCTGGAGTGCAATGGCATGATCTCGGCTCACCGCAACCTCTGCCTCCCGGATTCAAGCGATTCTCCTGCCTCTGCCTCCTGAGTAGCTGGGATTACAGGCATGTGCCACCACGCCCGCCTAATTTTGTATTTTTAGTAGAGACGGGGTTTTTCCATGTTGATCAGGCTGGTCTCGAACTCCTGACCTCAGGTGATCTGCTCGCATCAGCCTCCCAAAGTGCTGGGATTACAGGCATGAGCCACTGCGCCCAGCCGGCAATCTTTTACAATGCTAAGCTAACATTGTACATGCAAGTAAGATTTGTTTCTACAAATATGGAATTTATATGTTCAGTTTATCAGAAGCACATTTTCGGTACAAAGTGAGGTATCCATGTACCATCAACCTTCATGTGGACTTGCTTTTGATTTTTCTTTTATAAATCTGAATTTTAGCATACTGTCTCCTTAAAAGTTAGAATGCCTGTACTGTGGGAAATAGGCAGAGAGAAAAAATCCATACTTCATAAGCAGAAAGCTGAAACTATGTCCAACCAGTCCCTATTGAGGAAGTAGAGTTTTTCCCACAAAAGTGAATGGGGAAACATTCTTGAAACATCTTAAAGCCCTAAGGCCAAATTCAGGAGGCTGTAATAAATGAGAAGTAGGAAGTCCCCAGAAATCTCCTGAAAAGGTTGAATTGTATTATTTATATTTGTAACGAAATGTGTTTTCACGTTTGTGTTAAAGATGAATCTCTGGGGTGAGTTCAGCCTGAGGTAAGCATTGAGGTCTAGTTTAATGGAGGATGAAGTGTTTTTTTTTTTTACACTATATTTAAGCATTGGTCAGATATACTTAAGACCTATGAATAAATAAATATAAATAGGATTGCTTTAAGGAACTCCTGAGACTGTCTGTGGTTGTCTATTCATATTAATATATAAGCATAATTTCTAGTTGTGCTACTAGTGGCATCCATCTGTACATTATATTTCTAGAAAAATGTTACAAGTTTGTAAAAATATATTATTCTACTGCATAGAGCACCTAGTTATTAATTTCACTTGTGATTGATGTTGCCTTGAATCCAATTATAAAAAACAATTAAGCTGCTATATTAGCAGAGTGGTATCTATTAGGTGACCTCTAAGGAAAAAAGGCCAGATGACAAAGGATCCATAGAAAAATCAGGACTAAAACCTAGACAGTTGTCTATTCTTCTGCCTAACCCAGACACATATCATAAAGAAGAATCTATGTACATCAACAGTATAAAACTTTCACTCAGTAACAGAACAAATTTAAACCAGCTGTTGTGAAACTAATATCTGCACTCCTACGGTGAATGATTAAAGTCAATAAATGTTTGTTGACTGACCATGATACAAACTATTGTTGTACATTATATAATGTTCAATGATTCTATTGTGTTAAAGATAAAAGTCACTCTAAGTATGTAAATCCTAGTTCCAGTATTATTCTAGGCTAGGAGATCAGCTTTCAGTCTAATAACTTCAGACAAGTTTTAGTTACAGTCTCATGACCACAAATTATCTAATAACCCCAGTTTCAAAGCTCTCTAAAAATAGCCTGGTCATCTACTATCTGGAAAATGATGAAACTGGTCTTGGTTTCTCCAAACCTCTAGGGTTTTTTTGTTGTTGTTTTTGTTTTTGTTTTTGTTTTGAGATGGAGTCTCGCTCTGTCGCCCAGGCTGGAGTGCAGTGGCGCGATCTCGGCTCACTGCACAAACCCCTAGGTTTTAAAAATAACTGTACAATAAATATGATTACATATAGTTAGAAGATCTTATGCATATAAAGAGCCATCGTTCAATTTATCAATGTCATTAAATAAAGATGAACACCTGAAAAGATTGAATTACAGATTCTCAGTACATAATGCCAAAATCTACACCACAATAAATACACTACTCAAGAAAAAGTCATCTATGAGGGAAAAAAAAAGCAGAGAGTAAAAGAAAACTGTGCAAGTACCCTTAAATCAAATATTGTAAATCTAGCATGAACTTTTAAAAAGTGGAGGTCCTATTTTTTTACCAAATGGAGAATGGATTTCTACCTTTGAGTTCTAAACTCTCTTTGTAATACTTTTCTCTATTAATAAGGTGCTAATAAGACAGAAGTAAAATCAACCCAAAGCAAAAATAAACCAGAAAAACAAACAAAATCTAATTCTATCTGGCCACAAAGCCAATTTTCTCCCTCCCATTGCACTGGCAACAGCAGTAGCAGCAGTGGCTGATGGCAGCAGACCCTTCCTAAAGCAATCTTATATTTGCACCAGAGAGAACATTCTGGCCAAATTGGTCCTAGAAGATGTGTCTGCAAGATGTAAAAAACTGCAATCCCAGTGAACCAAGATTGTGCCACTGTACTCCAGCCTGGGCGACAGAGTGAGACTGTCAAAAACAAAACAAAGCAAAACAAAACAAACAAAAAAAAACCAAAAAAAAACTGCAATCCTAAATGATCTCTCCTTGAGGAAAGATGAAAATCTTTGTCAGTAATATTAGGTAACCTGGGCTGGAGAAGATGTCCAACTGCAAAACAGTGAGTAGGCAACAGGTGAGGAAAAGGAAAAGGAAACCAACTAAGCCCAAAGAAACCATAGCAAGAAGCTGAAAGCACTAGTTAAAATGAAACTCGCATCTGTAGAGAAGCAGTGAGAAGGATAAATCAACTAATGGCTCAATTATACTTTTAAAGCCATCAGTCAAACAAACAAAAAACCCAACTGAACTTTTAAAACCATTTTTAGTACAACTTATATTTCACAGTTATTTATTTTCTTAATCTTAACAATAAACAACTGTTGTTACATAATTAAAGATACAAGGTAAAGGGATTTAAGTGGCAGCTTAAGCTAGCTAGTTAAGTTAGTTAAGCTGTAAGTTAGAACTACCTATATATGTTCCAGTTTTCACACTCAGTCCATCCCAAGGACTGTAGTCAGAGACTAAAGACAAGAAAGATGTTTGAAGGGATGGTGGGGTGGAGGGGAGACTATGAGAATAGAATAAAAGGATTAGAGTGCTTTAATCTGGAAAGATAAACAATCAATCAAGAATAACCACCACCATACAACCATCACCATTAAGCACCTACTGTGTGACAGTCACTTTGCTAAGTGCCGAGATATTGAATTATGTCCAAGAAGAGAAGAAGTGTTGTCAAAGTGGATTTTAACATTCTTTCTTTCAGTTATGCTCTCTGTGTCAAGCATTGGGCTGGTCATGGAACAGTTGTGAAGCAGGAAACAGCAGAATGTCGTGGAAAGAACCCCAGATTGGAAATTAGAAGATTTAGGTTTTAGTTCTAAGAGCATTATTAACTATATGTATGACCTTGAACAAATCACTCAACCTTTTTAGGCCTATCTTATGATAGAGATGTTGGACCTGTCAGCGGATTCCAACTTTTTTTTAGCAGCCAACCCTTTATTCAAAAGACAACTTACAGGAATATCCTACACATAAAAGAGCTGAAAGTAGAAATCTTATGCTTGAAGCACAGGGAAGGTCATAACAGGCTCATAAGCCTTCTCCTGGGCCTCTCCTTCTCCCTGAACCAGTCTTACATGCATCTATACAGATGCCTTCATGGATCCTGTGAACACAGTTTGAAAATCTATGGGCTAAATCATCTTTAACAATTCCCTCTAGATCTAATATCCTATGACTGTGAAATTTTCCTCACCTACATCTTCAATAGCCTTTATTCAATTCAGTCCAACATGTTGAATATCTAGAATCATAGAAAGCACATGACAGGATTTCTACCATAGAAGAGCTCACCATCTTTTTGGGGAAAACAAAATAAATAAAATGGGAATGCACTTGAGGGGAAGGGGGGCTTTAAGCAGCAGGACACCATCAAGGGCCCATTGGAATAGAAAGTCCACTTCTGTATCTTTTTTATGAGTGTATCATCAGTGCCTGGGGCAACAGACATTCAAATAAACATTGAATAAATAAATAATGAATTTATGGATGGATGGGTGAAGTTATTATTAATCATGTTCACTGAAATTCAGCAAAAAGGTATAAAGTACTTTCCATATTTTATAGAATTTTTTTCTTATATGTACAGGGTTATAAGAAAAGCCATCAAATTTCTCCATTATTCATTCTATTATTTACTACCCACAATTACAAATGGTGATATTAGAATAAAAACAAAGCAAAAAAGTACACCCATTAAGTTAGCATCCTCCTTGAATCAGCAGAACAAATAAAGGCAAAATTCTACTCAACCATATGAAATAAAATTTTGTGGGAGCAAATCATCAGACTGAATTTTGCTTTGCCAGGAAATTTTTCTTTCAACGAACACGTTTTATATGTTTACATTCACATGCTGCAAGTAAGGAAGTCTCCAAAGTAGGTAAATCAAGTTAAAAACAAAGGCTATTTTCTCTGCCCCCTATTCCACTACTAGTGGGAAGAGAGCAGGGAGATCAAGAAGGCAGCAGCTGCTTTCCTTTTTCCCCCCAAACTTAAATTCCATCCAATAAGATATGTTTTGTCTTTTTGCACTCAAAGTCAGCCAGCAGGCACTTAAGTGAAATTAAGAACAACTGCACCAATGGCAGATAATTTGATGGAGAGCTTATTGGAGACAGCTCATTTGAGTAAAAGCTTTGCCTGTTCAAGAAACAATATAATTTCTGAAGGAAATCTTTCTGGAAAGGGCCAGGTGGCTCTGTAATTTTATGGCTCAGGTGATATCAGTTATCCAGGACAAGTGTTGTACATGACTAATATTCTCAAACCAGAATTGTATTTCCCCAGAAAGCTATTACATTTAAAAAGACATTAAGGTGAACTTAAATTCCATTTTTGTTTTAGCCTAGCCCTAATTTTTATTATGATATACTATATACTATTCCTTTTTTGAATATGCCTTATAAATGGATATATATTTTTTGGGTTCAAGTGATTCTCCTGCCTCAGCCTCCCAAGTAGCTGGGACTACAGGCAGATGTCACCATGCCTGGCTAATTTTTGTATTTTTTGTAGAGATGAGGTTTCACCACGTTGCCCAGGCTGGGATAAATGGATGTATTTTTTTTTTCTTTTTTTTCCTTTTTTTTTTATTATACTTTAAGTAAATGGATGTATTTTTATAAAACAGCTTTCTTTTTTCAATCTATGGTGCCTGATACCTGAGTTGCTTAGAGAGATATCGAACTAATAGATGAAATGAGAAACATCTTATCCCTTTCTAGTCTTCCTCCAAGATACAATGACATCTTAGGGAAAAGGTAGCATCCTTTTCTCTGTTCTAACAAATGTAGACAGCCCAGTCAATGTGTGGCTCCACAGATAGCTACAACAAAAGTCATACTGAGGAGGATAATACGGCAGGGTTCTGACCACACAGTATGACATCACTGCTTTCTTCTATTCATTTTAGCTATTCCCCTGTAAAATCTGGATTCAATTCAATGTCTTCAGTTTCATTTGGAAGATCTACATTTGGAATCGATCCAGTTAGTCCAGGGGCCACATGAATTTTAATGCACCTGGGGCAGCTGGCCAAACTGTCATTTGCTTCTATCATCTAAGCAAAATGTGGAAATTTCTAGTCAAGACTTTTCCAATTTTCAATTTACCACCTTCTCATCAGAGGGCTACAACTGCTGTTTTCAGAAAGACCTTGCCCCTATCCTAGGACAAGAAATATGACTTAGATGAGAAAAAAAAGAAGAAGCAAAGAAAGAAAACAGAAGTTATTTTCTTCCTTTCACACATTTTGGCCTAAGTTTGGTGTATATATCTAATCTAATGTTATTGTCTAGTAGCATATGAGTTGGTTAAAATTCTTTACACTAAGTACCCAGAATTTTCTATTCTTTCTTCTCTCTTCCACCCAAATCTCTTGTGACGTATTTATTCATTCAATTGGCCAAAATATTTATTTAGAGCCTACTATATGCCAATGACTTTTCTAGGCAATGGGAATACAAAAGTGAACAAAACACAGCCCATGCACTTATAGAGCTCTGACACTTTCCAAGGAGAGAGACAGTGAACAAATCCATAGATACAAAATAGAGAATCATTAGTCATATGAAAAATAAAATATCACATAGTGATAAGTGATATAAAGAAAATAAAGCAGGGCAAACATATCCAGAATGGTCATAAAGGCCATTCTGAAGAGGTGAAATTTGAGCATGGCTTTAAATGAAATGAAGACTTGTCTTGATTTTTCTTTGTATTCAAAGGAAACCCAGGAAGAGGTCACTAAAATTACTGTGTCCTGAGTTGGAAGTAAAAACAGTCATGGAGTTGAGACATTTGAAAAATACCATCAAGATATTCAAGGATGTCATAATCAAGCTGAAGATCATCTACTAACGTCAACTAAATGATTGAAGGGATGAAAAATGGCTGAGAAGGGACATAATTGAAATATACCATTTCAATGACCATTATGAACATTATGTACGGGAGATCATAATAGGACAACTCCCTATTTAAAGTGGTGAATTACAACAAAAAAAATATATCTGAGTCTCTAGTTTCAAGACAAGACAGCATAGTTGCACATCTCTCTATTTCTCCCATTAAGTACAGCTAAAAACTTGGACATTATATATAAGACAAACATAAGAACATTTTCAAAGGTGGAGAAAAAAAGTAGACTTACTAGGGACTTTGAGACCCAGGGAATGACAAAGTGGTGAATTCCCTGGGTATTTTTTTTTTACTATATATATCCCAGACCAGGTATTGGTAAAACCAGCAACCTAGAAATGCCAATGGGCAGAGGGAAAAAAAAAGCCTCAAGAAAGCCAGCTTTTGGCCGGGCGCGGTGGCTCACGCCTGTAATCCCAGCACTTTGGGAGGCCGAGGCGGGCGGATCACGAGGTCAGGAGATGAGACCAAGGTGAAACCCCGTCTCTACTAAAAATACAAAAAGTTAGCCGGGCGTAGTGGCGGGCGCCTGTAGTCCCAGCTACTCGGGAGGCTGAGGCAGGAGAATGGCGTGAACCCGGGAGGCAGAGGTTGCAGTGAGCCGAGATCGCGCCACTGCACTCCAGCCTGGGTGACAGAGCGAGACTCCGTCTCAAAAAAAAAAAAAAAAAAAAAAAGAAAGAAAGCCAGCTTTCTCTAGTCAAAGGACCAAGAAGGGGGAGTACAGCAAGACAGAAAACTTAAACAATAGCCAAACAACACAAGAAACTGCACCCCTAACCTCATCCCTATGAGCAAGCACTGAGTGAGGAAACCGGACTTCCACCTTCTCCAGGATCTAATGAGGTGTCCCAACCAACCTACGGGGGTGGTGTATCAAAGAAGGCCAAGTAGAGAGCTGGGTTTTTTTAAATCCCCAATCAGCAATGTCATAGGAATCAAGTGCTCCTCTCTATCAACCAGGGTGATGTCAGCAAAGGCCTAAAGGGGAGCTTCAACTTCCACTTCCAACAAGCAGTAATGAAGTTCCCCCACCCCCATTTCCTAGAGTTTCAATGGAGGCTGAGTGGAGAGTCTGTATTTCTACTTCCACATGGCAGTAATAAGGTAATGACCACTTCCCCTGCCAGCATGATGTCAGAAGAAACCAAGTAAAACAGAAGATTTAAATAAGATCCAGAGTCTTATAATACCCAAAATGTCAAGAATTAAATAAAAATCACTTATATCAAAAACCAGGGAAATATCAATTTAACAGAGGACACAAACACCAAGATGACACAGACGTTGAAATTATCTGACAAGTATTTTAGGCCAGCTGTTACAAAAATGCTTTAATGAGCAACTATGAACATACTTAAATTTAAAAATAGAAAGTTTCAGTAAAAATAAAAGATGTAAAGAAAAACCAAATGAAAAAATTAACACTAAAAATACAATAAACAAAAATTTAAAAATCCTGGATGGACTCAATAGTAGAATACAGACAGATGACAGAGGAAAGAATCAGTGGACTTGAAGATAGAACAATAGAAATTACCTAATATGAACAATAAAGAGAAAATAGAGTGAAAAATAGTAAACAGAGCCTCAAGGACGTGTAGCACAATAACAACAGATCTAACGTTTGTATGACTGAATTCTCAGAACAAGAGGAGAAGAATGGGTATTCAAAGAAATAATGGGTAAAAAGTTCAGAAATTTTACCAAAGACATAAACCTACAGAATCCAAAAGCTGAACTAACCCCAAATAGGACACACACACACAAATCTGCACCAATGCAAATAATTAAACTACTGAAAACTAAAGACAGTGAAAAAATATTGAGAGCAGCAAGAGAGAAACAACACATTTACCTATAAGAAAAAAAAAATTAGAATGATAGCAGATATATAAGAATAATCATACATCATGTCCAATTGAGGCTTATTACAGGGATGCAAGGCTGGATCAATATTCAAAAAATCAATCAATGGAATTCACCACATTAGCAGAATAAAGAAAAATTGCATTATATTAATTGATACAGAAAGGCATTTAAAAATTCAGCAGTGATTCACAATAAAATGTCTCGGAAAACTTATGAATAGAGGGGGAACTTCCTCAACTTGGTTAAAAGCATCTACAAAAAAAATCTATAGCTAACATCTTGGTGAAAGACTGAATACTCTTTCCTATTATTGGTAATAAGGCAAAGACATATCCTGTCACCATTCTTATTCAATACAGTACTGGGAGTTCTAGCCAGTGCACTAAGACAAGAAAAGGAAACAAAAGGCATACAAATTGGAAAGGAAGAAATAAAGTTCACTCTATTTGCAGGTGACATGAGGGTCTATGTAAAAAATCTCCTAGAACTAATTTGGAATTCAGCAAGGTGAGAGGCTATAATTAATACCAACTACAAAAATCAATTATATTTCTATATATTAGCAATGAATATGTGGACACCGAAATTAAAAATAACATACCATTTACAATTGTTCAAAAAAGAGAAATATGTAGGTATAAATCTTAGGTACTTAAGTATAAATCTTCGGTATAAATACTTAGGTATAAATCTAACGAAATGTGTACATAATTTATATGTTGAAAACTACAATAACGATGAAAAATAAAAGAAGACATCAATAAACGGAGACACATACTGCACTCAAGGATTGGAAGACAGAACATAGGAAAGATGGCAGTTCTCCCTCAAAATGACGTATTGGTTAAATGCAATATCCATCAAAATCCCAGCAAGATTTTTTTTCAGATAGAGACAAGCTTATTCTAAAATGTATATGCTAGACAAGCTTATTCTGAAATGTATGTGCCTAATCAAAGAAAGAAAAATCTTTGGGATCTAGGGCTTGCTCTAGACATGACACCAAAGTACAATCCATAAAAGAAAAAAAACAATACATTATTATTCATCAAAGTTTTAAACTTTTGCTCTGTCAGAGACTATTAAGTAGATGAAAAGACAAGCCACAGATTGGCAAAAATATATTTGTAAAGCACATATCTGACCAAAAAACTCATATACCTAGATTATATAAAAAGCTCTCAGAACTGAACAGTAAAAATATAACCAATTAGAAAGAAAGGTCAAAGGACATAAAGAGATATTTCATAAGGATGATATACAGATGGCACATAAACAGATGAAAAGATACTCAACATCACTAGCCCTCAGGGAAATGCAAATTAAGATCACAATGAGATATCACGCTCACCTATCACAGTACTAAAGTAAAAACAGTGACACCACCATATCCTGCCAAGAATGCTGAGAAACTATCATTTATATTACTGGTGGGAATGTAAAATGTCTCAGCTACTCTAGAAGTAGTTTGTCAGTATCATTTAAAAAAGTACAGAATGCCTTATCCACCATGATGGTATTACACGTAGCACCATTTTTGATCAAGAAAGTCATTTCACAGCAAATGAAGAATGGTAATGAGCCTTTGCTCGTGGAATTCACTAGTCTTGCCATGTTTCCCATCATGCTGAAGAAGCGGGTTTACTACAATGGTGGAATGGCTTTTTGAAGATTGAGCTACAGTACCAGGTAGGTGACAATGTCTTCCAGAGGTAATGTCTTTCAGGATGCTCTAAAATAATGTCCAACATATGGTGTTATTTCTCCAACAGCCAGGATTCATGGATTCTGTAATAAGTATTAGAGGTAAAAATGGGAGTGGCTTGATTCACTATTACTCCTAGTGATTCACAAGCAAATTTTGTGCTTTCTGTCACTATGACCTTAGGCTCTACTGGTCCAAAAGGAACTAAGTTCTTTTGGAACTTAGTGGTTCCAACGTTGAATATATAATTTCAACGTCTATATATATTCTTATATATCTTTTGGAACAAACTAAGGAACTCTTATTTCCAAAAGGAACTAAGGTTACAGTCCCTGGAACATTCTTCATGATAGACTCTATTCAAGTCCATAAAACAAGTCACAGTAAATTTGAAACTATTTAAATCATATAGAACATCTTCTTTGGCACAATGGAATTAAATAATAAGTCAATAACAAAGAAGTATCTAAAAAATATAAATAATATTTGGGTCAAAGAAGAAACCCCACAGGATATGTAAAAGTACTCAGCTGAATTAACATGACAACAGGCTATATCTAAATTTGTGAGATGGGGCAAAGCAGTGCGTAGAGTGGAATATATAGCAATAAGGGCTTATATGTTCATAGCAGACTTATTCATAATACAGAGAAAAATTGGAAAAAGCACAAATGTGTATTAACTGGTAAATGGATAAGCCAACTGTAGTTAATTCATATAATGGCACATTACTCAAAAATAAAAATGAACATACTACTGATAACGCTCAACAACATGGGTTAATCTAAAAAATAAAAATGCTAAGGGAAAAAAGTCAGAGACCAGAAAGCATAGAGTGTATGATCCCATGTATTTGAAACTTAGTAACAGACAACTAATTTATAGTGATAGAAGTCAAAAGAGTGGTTGCCTATGCAGACTGGAGATTGACTGGAAACAGTCATATAGAGAAACTTTCTGGTGAGATGAAAATAGTTTATGTTTTCATTATGGTGTTAACTACAAAGGTGTATGCATTTGTTTAAAGTCATCTCTAAAGTAGTCAAACTCACAGAAGCAGAGGATGGAATGCCAAGGGTTCTAAGGGCTGTGAGGAAAGTGAAACGGAGAAGTATTAGTCAAAGGGTATAAAGTTTCATTTATACAAGTCCTAGAGATCTACTGTACAACATAGCACCTACAGTTAACAATACTCATTGTATGCTTTAAATATTCCTAAGAGGGTAGATCTTATGTTAAGCTCTTATCCCCACATACACACAAATAATAAATAAGAGAACAGGAGGAAATTTTGGAGGTAATGGACAGACTTATGACATAGATAGAGGATGGTTTCATGGTGCATATAATTATCTCCAAACTCATCAAGTTATATATATTAATTATGTATAGTTTTATGTATGTCAAAAATATTAAGTAAAAAAGAATGCTGAATTCAATAAAAGTATTCCTTTAAACAGCAAAATGTAATTAGAAAACTCTTTTGTCTCAAATATAGAATTTTTTTAATTACAAATGAACAAATTTAAAAATATGTTAGATAAAATCACTGACAATAGATCCATAGGGACTACTGAAAGAAATTAGAATGTTTTTCCTCCCAGAAATACTACTACGCATTTGAGGTTGGTATTAGTGGGACATATGATGATTTCCTAATAAAGTCTTCTCAGAAACAGAATGCTGGATTGGCTAGATGACAGGTATACCTAATCATGGGCTTTTTCCTTTTTTTTTTTTTTTTTTTAGACGGAGTCTTGCTCTGTCGCCCAGGCTGGAGTGCAATGGCGCAATTTCGGCTCACTGCAACCTCTGCCTCCCCGGGTTCAAGCGATTCTCCTGCCTCAGCCTCCCAAGTAGCTGAGATTACAGATGCATGCCAGCACACCTGGCTAATTTTTGTATTTTCTGTAGAGATGGGGATTCGCCATGCTTTGGCCAGGCTGGTTTTGAACTCCTGACCTCAGGTGATCCGCCCGCCTCCGCCTCCCAAAGTGCTGAGATTACAGATGTGAGCCAC
The DNA here is from genome assembly GCF_000001405.40 of Homo sapiens. Taxonomy (NCBI): domain Eukaryota; kingdom Metazoa; phylum Chordata; class Mammalia; order Primates; family Hominidae; genus Homo; species Homo sapiens. The sequence continues at coordinate 130,858,407 of NC_000023.11, forward strand.
AGCGCCCGGCCAATCATGGGCATTTTTACATTTCTACCTATGAAATAAAGCACACCGGGAAAAAAAGTCAAGCTTTATTCTTTTAGATTATGATAAATGTGCATTAAATACCTTTTTAAAGGTCCAGGATGACACTATCTTCTTTCTCCCCAAAGATACAAGCAAACATGAGTCTTCCCATAAGAACTTATTTTACATGGTATTGGTATCCTAGAGAGGTAAATGCAGTAACCTAACAAATTCAACTTGTGAGTATTGGCTGTATTACAGTAACTCAGATGTATATTGATTACACTGAGAGATACAATATTTGAGTGCTATCAAACCCACACCATATTGTTATTCTGCATGCTTCTCCTGCATCTGAGATGCAAATCAGTTATTCTGTCCCATAACTAGTTATATTAGAATTTTAAATTGAAGAATTGGAAACAATTCAAAGTTGTAGAGAAAAATTTATAACCCTCTAAACTGAAACTGACATACCCAGAGCAAGGAGAAAAAGTGACCCCTCATTTATTCATTCATTCATTCATTAAACACTTATTTACTGCCTACTATGTGTCAGACCCTATGTTAGGTGCCAAACATTTAAAGATGGGCAAGATACGATCACTGTCCTTTAAGAAATAACAGCCTGGCTGGGCACGGTGGCTCACGCCTGTAATCCCAGCACGTTGGGAGGCCAAGGTGGATCATGAGGTCAGCAGTTTGAGACCAGCCTGACCAACATGGTGAAACCCAGTTCTCTACTAAAAATACAAAAATTAGCCAGGTATGGTGGTGTGCACCTGTAATCCAAGCTACTCAGGAGGCTGACACAGGAGAATTGCTTGAATTGCTTGAACCCGGGAGGCGGAGGTTGCAGCAAGCTGAGATCGTGCCATTGCACTCCAGCCTGGGTGATAGAGCAAGACTCTGTCTCAAAAACAAAAACAAAACAAAACAAAACAAAAAAACAAAAAAAATCCTAAATGGGATAAACAGATAAACATAAAATGATTTTTAAAAATGTTTAAGGCAAAAATAAAAATATGCATAAGGCAAACTGAAGTCCAGAGGAAAAATCAAGGAAGACTTCCTGAATGAGATAGTACCTGAATTGAGTCTTGCAGAGTAAGTAGGAGTTCACCTGGTGATGAGAAATGTAGAGGGTATACTTCAGGCACAATGGACTACACAAGCAAAGGCAAAGCCATGGAAGACAAAAGCAGCAGAGTGTGTATAAACTATAAATAGATTAAGTGTTTTGAGCAAGGGAGTGACAGAATCCAACTTGTGTTTGAAACATAAATGTCTGACAGGGTGGGGGATGCATTAGAGGAAATAAGGGAGGCAAGAAGACAATTAAGACACCATTGCAGTTTAGACAAGTAATGATGTGGTGCTTAACTAGGGATAAGGCAATGGCAATAGAGAGGACAGAAGAGACTGTGGTCAGTGGTCAATTTACTTAATTTTAAGATACCACATTCTTTTGATTTTCCTCCTACTCCTGCTCACTGGCCATTCTTTCTCAGTTTTCTTTGCCGGTTCCTTGTCTTCTCCGAAACTATTTTTTTTTTTTTTGATGGAGTCTCGCTCTGTCACCCAGGCTGGAGTGCAGTGGCACGATCTCGGCTCACTGCAACCTCTGCCTCCTGGGATCAAGCGATTCTGTTGTGTCAGCCTCCTGAGTAGCTGGGATTACAGGGGCAAGCCACCACACCTGGCCTAATTTTTGTATTTTTAGTAGAGACTGGGTTTCGCCATGTTGGCCAGGCTGCTCTCGAACTCCTGACCTCAGGTGATCCACCCGCCTTGGCCTCCCAAAATGCTGAGATTACAGGCATGAGCCACTGTGCCCAGCTTCTCTCCAACTTTTTAACATTGGATTAATCCAGGGCTCAGTTCTTAGATCTCTTCTCTGTCTTCACTCCCACGGATTTCTTTGGATTTAAAATACTATGTATGTGCTGAACACTCCTAAATGCATAGCTCTAGTTCAGACCTGTCCTCTGTGCTCCAGGTTTGTTTTCTCACCTAACTGCTTGACATTTCCACTTCGATGTCTAGTAAGCATCTCAAACCATCAAGTCTAAAACTGAACTCTTACATGCCAAGCTTACTCTACCTACAGTCCTTCCCATCTCAGTAAATGTAACCTCCTTCCTCAGAAGGAAAAAACTTGGGTTCATCCTTGACTTCCCCCTTTCACACACCATATCCAATCTATTAGCATATCCTGTTTGTTGTACCCTCATAATGTATCTGAATCTAACCACTCCTTTCCATTGAACAGTTTCCACCCTGCTTCCATCTACCACCATCTCTTGCTTAGATTACTGAAGCAACTTCCTATCTGGTCTCCCTGCTTCCACCTTGCTCATACACCTGTAATCTCTTTTTAAGATAGCCACAGCTTCTGCACAGAGAAGGAAACAAAATGAAAAGGCAACCTACAGAATGGAAGAAAATATTTACAAGCCATCTATTTGATAAAAGGTTATTATCACAAATAAATAAGGAACTCCTACAATGCAATAGCAAAAAATAATAATAATAAGTGAGCAAAGTACCTAAACAGACATCTATAAAAATGACCAGGAGGTATGTGAAAAGGTACCCAACATCACTCATCATCAGAGAAATGCAAATCAAAACCACAATGAGGTATCACCTCACACCTGCTTGGGTGACCATTTATCAAAACAACAACAATAAAAACAAAAGATAAATGTAGGCAAGGATGTGGAAAAAATGCAACTCTTGTACACTGTTAGTGAAAATGTATATTGAAACACAATACGGAGGTTTCTTAAAAAATTAAAAATATAACTACCATATGATCCAGCAATCTCACTTCTGGGTATAAATCCAAAGGATCTGAAATCATTATCTTGAAGAGATATCTACACTCCCATGTTCACTGCAGCATAATTCTTAATAGCCAAGCAATCTAAATGTCCATTTATAGATGAATGGGTAAAGAAAAGGTGGTGTACATACACACACACACACAACCAACCACACCCTAGAACAATTATCTAGTCTTAAAAAGAAGGGAATCCCGGCATTTGCAGCAACATGGATGAACCTGGAGAATGTCAAGCTAAGTGACATAATGAAATAAGCCAGACACAGAAGGAAAAATACTACATGATAGCACTATATGATGAATATAAAGTAGTCAAACTCATAGAAGCAGAAAGTAGAATACCAGGGTTTCCAGGGCCTGGGAGGAGAGTGAAATGGGAAGGTATTAGTCAAAGGGTACAAAGTTTTGGTCGCACCAGATGAGTAAGGCCTACATCTATTGTACAGCATAGTGCCTATAAGTTAACAATACTGTATGGTGTATTTTAAAAATTGCTAAGGGGGTAGATCTTATGTTAAGTGTTCTTGTCATATACACAAATAATAATAAATAAGAGGGTGGGAGGACAGTTTTGGAGGTGATTGATAGGTTAATGACATAGATTAAGGTGATGGTTTTGTGGTGTATACTTATCTCCAAACTTATCAAGTTGTACACATGAAATACATATAGCTTTTTTATGTCAATCATATACCAGTAAAGTGGTTTATACCAATAAAGTGGTTTAAACAACAAAAAAGACAGTAGCCAGCATAATCCTTTTAAAAACCACATTATATCACTCTTCTGCTCAAAACCCTCCAAGGACTCCTCATTTTACTCAAAGTAAAGCCAAGGTATTTACAAGGTAAATTACAATGGCAATTACAAGGTATTTACTTAGGAGCCTACAAGATCTGCTCCCTCCCTCTGTTATACTCTTGTGAATTAATCTCCTAGTACTCCCCTTGTTCATTCACTCTGCTCTAGTCACACTAGCTCCTTAAACCCTAGTTCCTTGAACAATCCAGACACTCTCTCGTCTGAAGGTCTTTGTGCTGGTTCTTTTTCTCTGCTTGAATGCTCTTCCCCCAGATAGCCGCTTTCCTCCAAATTCCTCCAAATAATTGCTTAAATGTCCCTTCTCAATGAGGTTACACTGAGCATCCCATTTAAAATTGCAACCTTTTTTCCCACCAATGCTTTCAATTCTCCTAAACCTGCCCTATTTCTTCCATATCACTAATTGCCTATATATGTATACATACATACATACATAATCACTTATCACCTTCCAGCTATATAAAATCACTTAAGACTCTGAGTATGTGTGTGAGAGGGGTGGGTGTATGTGGGTGGGTGTGTAACATTTGCCTATCTCCCCCTTTTAGAACCTAAGCAATAGGAAAGGGATGTTTTTTGTTCTCAGATGTATTTCTAGCACCTAAAACTTACTTAGCACATAGTAGGCACTCAATAAGTATTTGATAAATAAATGAATGAGTATGAAACAGAATCTGTGGTGGATGAGAAAATAGGGAGCAGCCACCTTAGTTTAACCTTAAGAAGAATAAGAGAATTTGAGAACAAAAGCCTATTTGAAAGGAATAACTGAGGGGCACAGGGAAGGCTAATCACAGCTTCCTTCTTACTCTGACCAATTCCTGAGCTACAGAGAATACAAAAGTGGTTTATGTCTGTAAAGCAATTATCTACATTTCCTGGTAGGACACAAAAGACTGAATAAGGTATACCTCCTATTGCAAGGTACACAGCACTACCCTCTCCCATTACCTCTAAGCCAAGATACCATGAAAACTCACCCACACCACAAACACAAACACATTTGGTTTGCCTCTTATAAAGCTTAGGCTAAAATGAAGTTTAGGGATGATCTACAGGTTTTAATTATGCATGTTTTCTCATTCTCCTTAACAAAAATAAGATTTATACCTCCAATGTCTAATCTAAACATGGACTCAGAATGTTAAAGCTAGGTGGGACCTCAGACATAAGCTAATCCAAACTCTTCCTTTTTCACTTATTAGTTTCCTTTTTGAGCACACAGATGTCTGTCTTTCCAAATGAGAAATGACTATTTCAGAAGTGTATCCCTTTTGAAATGTACATACACACATAAACTCCTTCTAAATATTATACATATCTTCTCCTTCCTCAGTTTCAAATAGGCATCTTGTGTTGTTATGATGAATAAAACACTTTTCTCTCTTGCCTTAATCCTTTCTTACTCTCTGTAGACAAGACAGGGTTATATCTTTTATTTTGAGTAAATGAGATATGGTTTATGAATCTAAATGAATACCTATAATTTTTGGATTTAGATAGAACAACCTAGACCTCATGAAATTAATTTAGTTAAAAATTGAATTTAAAGATCTGCTGCAAGACAGCATTGTTCCCCTTCCTACTAAATTACCATTCTACAAAAATGCGGATTCTTATAATTTCAGTTACTAAACTAAAATGTAATAGAAGTAAAGGTAAGAGGAAATATGAACTATGAGGTAATCTATAATACCTGTTTTTAAAATTCAATTTCTTACCAGTTTAGTCTACTTTTTTCTATTTCTGTCTTCAAATATGCACTAAAACCCATATATAGGGGCTACATTTAACTGTAGTTAGTATCTTATTTCACATTAACTTACATAAATTGAATAAAAGTATTGAAATTTAAGTGGAGTTGTTAATGTCAAACATTTTCTTCTGTCTTTCTGGGTGGGTTTGTAGTTGTAAGAGTCACTTGAAGATTAATTATCTCTTCATGTAAACCTCTTTTTCTCATTTGGCTTTTCGGTTTCTTCTCAGACTGTGTTTTAGTAAATATGTGTCTTTAAAAATCATATAGGTGTGAGTGTATATATATTTATATATAATTATAATCATAAATGTGATTACATATATGTAGTTTAATATATATGGGATATCATTTTTGAGATTAGATTATAAAATGACTCTGGCTTCTGTCTTGGGCAGTCTTTCCTGAATCACCCTCTCTGGGGTAGCCACTGACATTTCATGGGTTAGCCCTATGGAGAAGCCCGTGTGGCAAGGGTCTGAGGTCTGCCAAGAACCACCCGAGCTTGAAAGTGGATCCTCTCCCCAGTTCAGTCAAGCCTTCGGATTCAACCACAGGCTCAGTTGCAGCTTAACTGCAAGCTCACGAGAGACCTTAAGGCAGAGGAATTCAGCTAAACCATTTCCAGATTCCTGACACACAAAAACTGTAAGATAATGCTTGCTGCTTTAATGTGCTAAGTTTGAGGGTAATTTGTTACAGGGCAGTTGATAACTAATACAAAGTCCAAGCTCAAAACATAGTCATTGCTATGTAAGTAGTTTATGAGGGAATCCATACTGTTTCCTCCAGTAAAATCACCTATTTTCCTCTTGTATCCATTATGGCTACTCATGCCAAAACTGAAATAAACAAATCTACTTTAACAACTAAATTGGACATAATCTTTTGGCTGGGCATGGTAGCTCACACTTGTAATCCCAGCACTTTGGGAGGCCAAGGTGGGTGGATCACTTGAGGCCAGGAGTTTGAGACCAGCCTGGCCAACATGTGAAACCCCATTTCTACTAAAATACAAAAGAAATCCAGGCATGGTGGTGTGTGCCTATAATCCCAGCTACTTGGGAGACTGAGGCACGAGAATTGCTTGAACACGGGAGGCAGAGGTTGCAATGAGCCGAGATCATGCCACTGCACTCCAGCCTGGGTGACAAAGCAAGACTCTGCCTTGAAAAACAACAACAAAAATTGGACACAGATTTTTTTTTTTTTTTTTTTGAAATTAACGAATACACTGGTCTTCTGAAAAAACTTGCAACTAAAATTTATGAGCCAATACCAAAATAAGTTTAAACAAAAATCAGATTTCTTAATGACTGTGATTATAACTATTTAAATTCTAAAGTAGTTATTCATTTTGAGGCCAATACTGTTTGCACCATACATCCGCAGCAAAAGAATATATCCGATTCAGATGAAGAGCACAAACTAAAGACTAGAAGGTAAGGCTACCAGCAGGGTCTTGGTCTGTAGAATTATGCAAACAGACATATCATCTGCCTCCCTCTGGCTGCCTCATATGTGAATCAGCAAGGCTAAACGATCTACCTCCATCTTCACTGTGCATTTCAACAACACTGTGCTGGCTTCCAATAATACTGCCTGATAAGCAAATAGAGAGAATCAATATGTTTACAGAGGTTTGTATCTGAAGATGTTGCTCATTAGTTATTTTTCTTCAATATGCTTATATTTAAAAGTTTTGCACAAAACTTTCAGCATCACTAGCTAATTATACTCATTTATTGATTCACTACCATGTGCCAAGTACAATTCTACACACTTAGGAAACATCATTGAGTAAAATATACAGAGATCATTTAAGAGAGCTTTCACAGAGCTTACGTTATACATTAAATCTTCTATTCTCTGTGGAATTTGACATGGCTGATTTATATCTTCTTCTTGAAACTATGTCTTCCATTGGCTTCTGCAATCTGATAGGATTCTGTTCTAATAGTCTCCAATTGTTTTTTCAGCCTTCTTCAGGGGCTCCTCCTATCATATCCTAATAGCCGTAGATCCTAAGATTTGGCTCCTGGGCTCCTGCTTTATATAATTCATTTCCTCAAAAAACTCATTCATTTCCTGAAATCCAATGATCACCTTTCTATATGTGGCCTCTCGATTTTATATTTCTCATTCAAACCCCTATATAGTGATTCCCTATGCATACATATTTCTATTATGCAATCTCACACTTTCAACAAACAAGTTAATAACCTAGTCATCATCAACTACTTAAAATGGGTTTCCCTGTTCTTTCATTTTCTAACAATGGCATCACCATTCTCTCAGTCATCTAGTCTCAATATCAATCCTCTTTTCCTAATCAATCAAGTCCTATTCATTATACCATTAAAATATCTCTCATATCCATTACTTGCATTCCATTCCAGCAACTAGTTCCTCACCACTTCATATACAGATAACATTGTCCTGATTGATTTCTAGTCTTTCTATTTCCAACCTCTCATTCACACTACTTCTAGGTTAATTTCCATCACTTTCATCATGTCATCATCCTGAATCAGGAACATTTAATAGTTTCCCATTGCCAATAAAATCTAAATCCCTAATCTTGACTTTTAAAGCTCTCCATAATCTGGCTTTAATTTATTTATCCAGCTAATCTCTTGCTATTCACCAGTGCAAACTATTTACTCCAGCTGGGATGATTTCCTTACTGTTTCTAAAGCACATGATGCTTATGTTGGCCACTAGAACTCTGCTCATGCTGGTCATCATGCTTGGAAAGCTTGGCAAGCATCCTGTTCACTTTTTTGTTCTACAAAATCCTATGTATGCTCAAGTCTCTCGTTCCGACAAATCCCTTACAACTTTTGTCCACATTCTATGTTTTTAGAAACTTGGTTATCATCTACTGTCTATGTCACTCAATTTGGATCTTAGTCATATTTTTCCATATTTTGCTTTTTCATTGTCTCAGCTTTCTTATATTTAATAGAATTCTAGGCTACTTAACAGTAAGACAAGTTTCTTCACTTGTTAACCCCATTTTTTTTTTAGTAGTCTACCACAGCAGTTCTGAAACTCTTTGCTTTGGAACCCCTTTATAATTTTGAAAAATATGGAGGACCCCAAAGAGCCTTTGGTTTTTGTAGGTTATATTTATTAATATTTACTATATTATAAATTATAACTATGACTTGTAAAAGTAATTATTCATGTAAATATAACAACAATAAATCAAACACATGTCAACAGAAATAACATGTTTACAAAAATAACTATTTTCTAAAACAAATTAAAATCAATGAGAATAATGGCATTGTTTTATAATTTTGCAAATACTTTTTATGGAAGACAGCATATTAGAAGGCAGGTGGATTCTAATGTTTACTTCTGCATTCAATTCTTTGTGATATGTTTTTGGTTAAAATATATGAAGAAAATCTAGGCTCAGGTAAATATATAGTTGGAAAATGGAAGAACATTTGAATAGTCTTTTCAGATAATTGTAGATATTATTCTTTAATACTACATCAAAATTTAACAGTGGCAGTTAGTGGCAGTTTCTTTAGTGAAATGGGAAATCTGAATCTATATTAATGAACTTTTGGGGCTTTGTTATATTAAAACCACTGGTCAGTCTTGTACTTTAAATGGATTTTTCCCCAGGCATGATTTTACAACATTATTCATTGATCATTTGACAAATATTGGTTCACTGAGTTATGCAAATCTTCCAATGTTACACATTTCATTACACAATATTCTCAAATTAGTTAACATCATGACTGGCCTCATCATAGAAGTCTATTAGCATTGGTAAACTCTCAAGCTCATGGTGGCAGATACGTGTTCCAAAATTCTAATTCTAAATTTTAACATTGGCAAGAAATACCAGTTGTTTTCCTTAAAGTCACAGGCTCACTTTATTTTTGAGAAAATTACTGCCAAATACCCAGTGACACAGAATAGCCATAGTTTGTCAGTTGTTCCTTCAAGTAAAATTGGAATCCTATGTAAAAAGCTGCTAGTTCAGTTTGCAACTCAACCATACAAATGCTTTACCTTAAGACTTGCATAGGAGGATGCAAGGTTTATTGAAGGATGAATACCATTGTCCTTCAGTATGCATCAGAAGTGCTTTATGTGTTCTTCCCATTTGATACATAGAACATTTAAAAATGTACATAAAGGTCAAAATGTAATAAACTAATAATAGTTACTGACTTATAAAAGACATTACTGAGAATGGCTTTTTTTCTTAACTGTGAGTGTGCAGCAGTAAAGAATACAATTACTTGGAAGAGTCTGGCAATTCCTCAGATGACTAAACATAGAGTTACATATGATCCAGCATTTCCACTCCTAGGTATATTCTTAAGAGAAATAAAAACATATGCCCACACAAATTTCATAGAATTATTCATAATAGCCAAAAGATGAGAAATTCCCAATATATATCAATCAATAAATGAATAAACAAAATGTGGTATATCTAAACAAAATAAAGAATATAATTACTAACAAATACAATTTGGTGCCACTCTCTTAATTTCCGCCAAGGTACCAGTGGTTTTACCCACAGTTGCTTTTGCTCCATCAGTGAAAATGTCAACATGGTGAAAAAGACAAATAACATATTAGAATTAAATTGTTTTGACCGCTCAGACTCCCTGGAAGAATCTTGGGCTCGGAGCCCCCGGTGTTCATGGACCACACTTAGAATCACTGGTCTACACTATGCCTGAAACTCTTTCTTCTTTTACCATTATCTTTGGTCACTTCACTGGTTTCTTATTGGGCTCAGACCATTTCTCTTTGCATTGTAAATATACTATACGAGTGATATAATCCACATAAATGGTTTCAGCTACCACCTATAAACTAATAATGCTCCCAAATCTATATCTCTAATGCAGACTTATTTCCTGACCCACAGATCTTTATTTCTTACTGATATCCTAGATACCTCCAAATTAATACACCCACAATGTAATTCATCTTTTCTCCCAAATTTACTCCTGACTTTCTCATCTAGGGTATTGATACCTCTATTCATCCAGTCACTGGACCTAGAAATTTAGGGATCAACCTGAACTTCTTCCTCTTCCTACTCATAAAATGGTCAGCCCAGGCAACATCAATATGTGATATAATACAATAGGGTATTGCAGAGCCTAAGTCTAATTGGAGAATGTATGTTCCATGTAAGAGCATTCAGATTCAAATACTGTGTGGGCCAAACAAAACACATTTATTAGTTGCCAGTCTGTGACATCTAGTAACTAAAATATCTGTTTAATTTGTACCTTGCTTTTCATTTTTAGTGCCACTCTCCTAATTTAGATCCTCCATCATCCTGCTTGGACTACTGCAAATAGCCTTATAACTGATCTTTCTGCCTCCATTTTTCACAAATCCTTTCCCCTTTCCAACACATCCAGATTTATCTTTCACGAGGCAAACAAAGTAGTCTTTCTAAAATGCAAATCTGGTCACACATTTGAAACGCCAGCTTAAAATTCCAAAATAGTTCCTAATCACCTATTTAAAAATCCACATTCCTTAGCACAGTGTAAGCGTATAATCTGCACCTCCCAACTTATTACATCAACTTGGTTTTTCTCCACTTTCCTATCCACACACCAAACTCCAGCTACCAAACTCATGAGTGGAGGCCAGACTTCTTAATCATTCTCATGTGTCAGGCACTGTTCTAAATTACATATACCAACTCATTTAATCTTCACAACCATATATGGTAGGTGTCATTTCTAAGTCCATTTTACAGATGAGGAAACTCAGACACAAAGCCACATTGATCATTGGGAGGTCATTGACAGTTTTTCCTGATTCAGGATTCTGTGTCTTTGCAAATGCTATTCCCTCTGACTGAAATTCTTTTTGTTCTCTTTTCTAACAAACTTCCACCATCCTTCAAGACTCAGATCAAATATCATTCTTGAGCTACCTTCTCTTGCTACCTCCTTCCCCAGGTAAAGAAAGGTAGGTATTCCTTCCCACATTTAGAGCACAAAGTACATATTAAAACTTAACAGAAATAGGCACCTGCCTAAAATTTAGCACAGCATAACAGTGGCTTACCAGTAGTATGCAGGCCTTGCTGTAAGCAATATGCTGTATCAAGAACTACAAATTCTACTTTTTATGAAAGAGAGAGAGGAAGAAGGTGATGGTGAGTCTGTTCTTGCTCTCCCTTCCTATCCCCACTCACCTCAAATCACCATCACATCCCTTTGGCAGATAGTCCTTTAGAGATGATCCAAGTAAAAGCCATCACTTCCACATGTTGGAAGTGATGGGGTCTTATCTGGGGTCTTAAAATCTATGAGGCTTAAACCCACTTCATAATCCCTCAATAAGGTGATGCCTGTTTGGATAATTGGAACTGTCAAAATCAATAAGAAAAGTTTAAAAACAGTCATGACAAGCCACTCTGAAATGAAGAAACAACTGTAAGTCACTGATTACTATGATTTTTACAAAGAAAGCTATATCATCTTTCGTAAATTGAGCATTAAGGTATAAAAGCTCCTTATTCTCTAACACATTTAGAGTTTGAATACATGTAATCCGGCATCTTCTGCTAGGCAGGGATTTAATGAACATTTTGTGGGAACATCTGTTTGTTATTTATCTTTGTCTCATTTTACACATCAGCAAATCCCATTCTACCACCAGGACAGAATAAAAATCACCATTTCATTACACAGTGTTCATAATTTTAAACGTCAACTGGGGGGAAGAGAGGCAATTGTCGACACTGTATTCTACCTGATGTTACAAGGAGAAAGTACAAAGGTGAGGAAGTGCAGAGGGGAAATGATTAAATATATAAATCCCTTTAACACACACCTTGCCAATTGCTACTTGTTTTACTGTTCCAGCAACTGCTGAGAATTAAAAGCCACTCTATCTTTCTAGAAGGACATTCTTATTTTGCCCTCTTAAGTCTATGTCAACCTTTTTCTGTGTGTTTTAAGAGAGAAACAACTATTGGGCTTGCCAGGTATAGATCTTTGAATATTTGGGAAACAAGTGAGAGGGAGGGAGAGAGGGAGGGAGGGAGGGAGAGAGAGGGAGAGGGAGGGAGACGGAGAGAGAGAGACAGAGAGAGAGAGAGAGAGCTTCTATATTTTCTTCAATGTTACTATTCCATTGCATGAAGTCATCAAATAGCATTTCTATATGCTTCCACTAGTCGTTATGAGAAAGAGCCAGTATCAAGGCCATCAGGAATGACCACCAGTACCATGAGCTAAGGCTAGTGCAAAGAAGGGAAAGAATACTGCCAATTTAGTCCAAGTGACTAAAGCCATTACTGTATAACATATGCATCATAGTATCTACTTGTAAATTTTGCATGTTTTAAGTTAGATAGTAATATTGAGTGAAATCTTAATTGTAACAGTAATTAAAGGTGATTTTTCCCTAAATCCAAATATATTGTTCTATATGCCATGGAGAATACTAAACAAAGGAATAAGAAAGTCACAGTCCTTGCCTTAAAGAACTTGCAATCATTTCCTCCCAACAGTCATTTGTAGTACATATAAATCACTAGTCTTCTATAAGGGGGAACAAGTTTGGCACATACAAACTCACTAAAGAACAGGAGAATATATAACGCCCAATCAAACATTAGATTGGGTAGTACAGACAATAAATACTGCTGTAGTTCAAAGAAGGGGAAAATCAATGTAGGCTAGCAAAAGAAGAGGAGGCTTTCTGTGATGTACAGGATTTGAGTCAGGTGAGTTGAATACGATTTACAAAGGTGAAGGGCGAGGACAAACAATCAAATTAACTAATATTATGTGCCTTTATCCTATCCCAACACTAGAGTTCTTTCCCACAAAAGCATTTTGAAAGTCCCTCCCCATAATACCATCAAACAGGTAAAGAAAGAGATAAGGAGATGCACACATCTCCCTTACACCTTCTTTTCTAAGCCACCGAGGAACAGAAACCTCAGTTAGGAATCGATGCAGATATTTGATTCAAGTAATTGATGCTAAAATATGGTTAAGGGTTAACCTCACCATGAGACATTATATCTTAAAAGAGGAGGTCATGAATCAATACAGAATCTCTAATTAGTTTAATTATGTGGAAAAAGTATTTTTAAAGCTGGGCAAACCTCTTAGAAACTTTTTCTTCTATTTGTCCATTTTAGACAATGGTGTTCCTTCCCCACCCACTCTGCTAGAGCTTACAATATGCAGGATCACTGGGGGTAGCAAATGCCTTTCCTTTTATGTGCAAGAACTACTTTACCTCATTGGGCTCCTCAGTTTTTGGACATAGCAAATTGCTAATACTAGAAACCATCTGACAAGTTGTTCTAAGTAAGTTTCTATTTTCTTCAGCATTAGTTTTGTTCTGTTTTATTTTGTAAGGCAAAAGCACGTATTAAGCTATAGGAACTTATTTAAGGTTGCTTAAAAAATTCTCATGGATGAAACAGTAGTCATTTTTATTTATCTCAGTGATTTTCAGCTAGGCTGGTATAGCACTCACTGAAGATCATATCAGAATCTTCGAGAAGTCTTTTTCAAACTATGTCTCCCTATGTCTAATATTGCATGTTTCCGCATGGTGGCATATCTCTTCTCTACTTGATTTCAGCATCAGCCTATGTTTAATACTTACAAAGTATTACTTACCTTCATTCCTAACCTACCTCTGCATGGCAGATCATCATGCTAATGGAAGCAATGAAGGAAGGAAAGAAAAAGAAGGAAGCAAGAAAGACAATCCTAAGCAAAAAGAACAAAGCTAGAAGCATCACGCTACCTGATGTCAAACTATACTACAAGGCTACAGTAACCAAAACAGCATGGTACTGGTACCAAAACAGAGATATAGACCAATGGAACAGAACAGAGGCTGCAAAAATAATACCACACATCTACAACCATCTGATCTTTGACAAACCTGACAAAAACAAGAAATGGGGAAAGGATTCCCTATTTAATAAACGGTGTTGGGAAAACTGGCTAGCCATATGCAGAAAACTGAAACTGGACCCCTTCCTTACACCTTACACAAAAATTAACTCAGGATGGATTAAAGACTTAAATGTAAGACCTAAAACCATAAAAACCCTAAAAGAAAACCTAGGCAATACCATTCAGGACATAGGCATGGGCAAAGACTTCATGAATAAAACACCAAAAGCAATGGCAACAAAAGCCAAAATTGACAAATGGGATCTAATAAAACTAAAGAGCTTTTGCACAACAAAAGAAACTATCATCAGAGTGAACAAGCAACCTACAGAATGGGAGAAAATTTTTGCAATCTATCCATCTGACAAAGGGCTAATATCCAGAATCTACAAGGAACTTAAACAAATTTACAGGAAAAAAAACAACCCCATCAAAAAGTGGGTGAAGGATACAAACAGACACTTCTCAAAAGAAGACATTTATGCAGCCAACAAACATATGAAATAAAGCTCAATATCACTGGTCATTAGAGAAAGCCAAATGAAAACCACAATGAGATACCATCTCACACCAGTTAGAATGGTGATCATTAAAAAGTCAGGAAACAACAAACGCTGGAGAGGATGTGGAGAAATAGGAACACTTTTACACTGCTGGTGGGAGTGTAAATTAGTTCAACCATTGTGGAAGACAGTGTGGTGATTCCTCAAGGATCTAGAACTAGAAATACCATTTGACCCAGCAATCCCATTACTGGGTATATACCCAAAGGATTATAAATCATTCTACAATAAAGACACATGCACACATATGTTAATTGTGGCACCGTTCACAATACCAAAGACTTGGAACCAACACAAATGCCCACAAATGATAGACTGGATAAAGAAAATGTGGCACATATACACCATGGAATACTATGCAGTCATAAAAAAGGATGAGTTCATGTCTTTTGCAGGGACATGG
Organism: Homo sapiens; assembly: GCF_000001405.40. Classification (NCBI taxonomy): domain Eukaryota; kingdom Metazoa; phylum Chordata; class Mammalia; order Primates; family Hominidae; genus Homo; species Homo sapiens. Next base: position 130,873,753 of record NC_000023.11, read on the forward strand.
ATGAAGCTGGAAACCATCCTTCTCAGCAAACTAACACAAGAACAGAAAACCAAACACGACATGTTCTCACTCATAAGTGAGAGTGGAACAATGAGAACACATGGACACAGGGAGGGGAACATCACACACGGGGGCCTGTCAGGGGGTGGGGGACTAGGGGAGGAATAGCATTAGGAGAAATACCTAATGTAGATGATGGATTGATGGGTGCAGCAAACCACCATGGCACGTGTATACCTATGTAACAAGCCTGCACGTTCTGCACATGTATCCCAGAACTTAAAGTATAACAAACAAAAAAAAAGAAGAAAAGCGAGGAGAAATTTTTAAAAGCTAGAGGCACATACAGTACCAGCTTTCTACTTGACTAAGCTTTCAAATCCTGATTGAATGCTCTTCATTCTTAAGGACTAGCTTTCTATTCTCCATACTCTAACTAAGAAGTGTGCCAGGCTGTGTTTGTCATGTCCTAGAAAACCACTTGGTAAATACTTTGTTCCATCTGTAATTGAAAAACACATGACCTGACACTTTTGACACCATCTAGGGGATAGAGTGTGAGGGAATTAGAAAGGTTCTGCGGATCAATTGACTCCTTGGTAGTAAAGAGTGGGAAGAAAGGGCAAAAGCCAATAAGCCATCATCACAGGGTTGGCAGCACAGGTAATCACAACAGTGGAGGGGAATGGGTCAACTATGGAAATCATGTGGAACTATAGCTTAATAACCAAGAAGAAGCAAATGCAGAAACTAGTGCGAAGCAAGGGAATGAGATACAGAAGAAGGAAAGCAATGAAATAAAAGATAATACCCTTTTCAGGTGGAAAGGCCAAATTCATCTGTAACTCCAAAATCTCAATAAGCTCATCTAAAAGGATGAAATGCCACAAAGCCTATTTGTAACATTCTATTCCATTATCAAAAGGCATCTTGCTAGGATCCAAAAGAAAAAACAAAAAACACAACAACACATATACACACATACTTGTGCACCTATGCATATGCACATATCTGCATGCAAGGATTAAAACAGAAACATGTAGAGACATACACACAGCCACTCCCCGCCCACACAGACACTAACACCAACACATGCATGCCCCCCCCGACACACACAAACATAGGCATGTGTGCTCACTCCAGGATGGGTCTGAGTAAAAAGAAACCATCTCTGACCTAGCTAATTTTCTTCTTCAACTTGTTGTTCTTGGCTTCTTCACTCAGGAATAATCCCAATCAAATGCAAGAAGTGTGTGAGTCACTAAACAGGGCACTTAATTTTGGTTGTCTTATATTACATATTTATACCATGGAGATTCTGGCTACTTTTTAAAAAGTAGTTTTAAAAGGTATAGGTTTGGTTCTGAAGTGGTGTTACTGGTGAGAAAGGGTATAGGAAAACTATGTACAGAGTCACCTCTCATGGGATCTTATTCTAAGTGAGGTGTGTGCCTTTTAAAAATCAGTCACTCTCTATAAATTCAGAGTAATTGTTTTTGAAATCTAAGCTGGCTTTTTTTTTTTTTGCACAAATTGACACACTGATTCCAAAATTCATGTACAAATACAAGAAACCCAGAAAAACCAAAACAATCTTAAAGAAGAGCAAAGTTGGAGGACTCTCATTTCCTGAGATCAAAAGAGTGTGGTACTGACATAAGGGCAGGCATATAGACAAAACAGTGTGGTAACAATGTAAGGGCAGGCATATAGACAAAAGGAATAAAATTGAGTGTTCAGAAATAAACACTTATATTTACCTTCAATTAATTTTTGACAAGAGTGTCAAGACCACGCAACAGAGAAAAGTGGTTTTTCAAACAAATGATGCTGGGACATTTGGATATCCAGGTGAATACTATAGTTGGATCCCTGCCTCACATCATATACAACAATGAACTAAAATCGGATCATAGGCCTATATGTAAGAGCTAAACTTTGAAATTCTTAGAAAACATGAAAGTGAATCTTCATGACTTTGAAGTTAAGCAGTGGTTTATTATATATGATACCAAAACAGAAGCAACAAAAGAAAAAAAGATAACTGTGCTTTATCAAAATTAGAAATATTTTCAGACAAATGATATAATCATAAAAGTGAAAAGAAGGCCTACAGAATGGTAGAAAGTATTTTCAAAACCACAATAAGACACCACTTCACACCTATTAGTATAAAATAAAAAGAAAGGCAGACAATAATAAGTGTTGACAAGATTGTGGACAAACTGGAATGCTTATTTATTGCTGGTAGGACCGTAAAATTGTGCAGCCACTTTGGAAAACATTTTTGCCACCTCCTCAAAAGGTTAAACATAGAGTTACCACATGACCCAGGTATATACGCCTAGGTATATATATACCAAAGAGTAATGAACACATATGTCCACATGAAAACTTATACATTAATGCTCATAGCAGCATTACTGACAATAGCCAAAAATGGAAATAACCCAAATGATGACTAGATAAACAAAATGTGCTATGTCCATACAGTGGAACATTACCCAACCATAAAATGGAGTGAAATACTGATTAGTGATATAACACAGATTAACCTTGAAATCATTATGCTAAGTGAAAGAAGCCAGATGAAAAAGGCCACATATTTCATGATTCCATTCATATGGAATGTCCAGAATAGGCAAATCTATAGAGGGAGTAGATTAGTAGTTGCCTAGCACTGGGAGTTGGAGGAAGGGAGTATAGGAAATTGGGAGTTAAAGGCTAAGGAGATCTGGGTTTACTTATTTTGGGGGTAACAAAAATGTTCTAAAATTAGATTTTTGGTGAGGGTTGCACAACCCTGTGAATATACTAAAGATCACTAAATTATACACTTAAAATGAGTAAACTGTATGATATGTAAGCCATACATCAATAAAGCTGTTAATAAAAACAGTCACTCGGAGCACATGATGATTGTTTTCCAGCATTTGAAGGGCTACCAGTTGCTTGGCATAGCAGCAAGGGGAAGTAGAATCAGGGTCACCACACTACATAACTCCTCAATTTATTCTGTAGGTTGTGTGGATGGTACTATGTCTAAGAGTAGGAGCTGAATAGAGGCTGAAAAGAGATTTTGGCTTATTTATGCAAACATTCAATAACTTGAGCTATTCAAAAATCAGATTTCCTACCGTATACTAGAGACTGTTAAATTATTGGGAGTATCTAAGCATAAACTGGATTGACCACTTGAGGATGGAGTAGATATAGGGAATAGATTATGTATGAAAGGGAGTGAGGGAAAATGACTTGATAACCTTTAAGGTTTCTTACAACCATAAAATTCTTTTAAAATGCTTATATTACAAAATCCTTCTGAACTTTTATCTATAAACCTCCCTTTTCTCTTTCTTAATAATTTTCTCATTAGCTGGAAATAAATGAGTACTTACATATTCCCACTAGAGTCATAAGTCCCAATAGTCGTATTATTATACGAAATAATAAAACTTGATGCTGTGGTTTAAGCCATTTCTAATATTTATATGCTGTTTCTGGCTCAATCATTTAGCAAAGGGCACATCTACTGGATTGCTCTTTCCTTAGTCTGCAGGTTTAAGGGTAGCATTTCGTAAATGTTAGTAAGAACAACATCCTACATTGTACTTAACACTGATAATAGTTAATGAATACAAATCATTCCGTACTCTTTTATCTCCTTCCTCCCTCTTCTGTCCTTTCCCCAGATATGGAATAGGCAGGCTGTTGATTTTTACAAGTTGCTTCCAAAGCTCCTGAATGAACTATTTGTCTGAGCGTTTTAAATATTTTGGCTTAAGTCCATGAATGCCATAAGAAACTGGCACTCCATTTTGCAATGCTTTTCTCTCTGTCAATAACTTTAACTTGGGATCATAAAGGGAAAGCATTTGGCAGGTGGTCCATTATGATCTAGATTTAAAACCTCATGGGGAGTCGTCTACTCCATTTTACACTTTACTGGGAATGATTCCGATACTGAAAAGAGAGAAGTACAGATACTATGAGAAAAGCTGTTTATCCATCACCTGTTTCACAACAGCAAGGGGCAGTTTACTATCCTGGGAGGGGCAGCTTATCAATAGTGCCCTGAGGATCAGAAATGGCTAAAGAGCTTCAAATACTTCCCTCACTGGATTGGTCAAGTACAGGCAACACAATACAGTAGGTGCTAGCTAAGTAGTGCTGGCTGACTTATCCTGGCTCACTGACATGTCAAAAATCTCCAATGGAAAACATCTGCAATGAAATTGTACTCATTGTCCAGCTAGTACACCAGAGCCTTACTATAAATCCCAACCTCAGTGTTCATGCCTTGGAACTGTGTTCTAATGTTCTAACATAGCCCTTCTGTTACTTCCAGTAATAAATCCATGTGGAGATGGTCCAAGAAGGGCATTGCCTTAGATCATATTCCATGTTAGAGTGAGGTTCTTCTCTACAGCTTATGCTTCATCTGGCCTTAATGTGAGGCCAGCCAAAGAAATGTTCTGGAGAGTTTGCTTCGGGGTGGGGTTTCCTTTTATTTTAACTAGCTGTTAATATTTGACAAAACAATTATGTCCTTCTCACTTCAATTCCTTCAAACCATTTCTTCTCAGACCATTTCTTTCCCTTCTTGTTAAATGCCTCACAAAGCCCATGGGTAGGGCACTCAGGGAATACTAGTTGAGATGGGGAGAGACACTACTGGAATTCCAGGCTCATCCCTCCAGTGGTCATATTTCTGCCTGTGCTTATTCCTTTTTCCGTGAGACTATGCTCTTTATTGCTCACTCCATTCAAAAGAGCCGTGAGTGCCAATATTCACGAACTACTCAAGCTGTCTTTATCATATTTACTTTGTGTCCTACCTTCATAAACCACTCTCCCTAGATTCCTTAAGCATTTCAATTGCTCTTTTCCATTTCAAGCATCTCAGTTCCAGAGAATGGAAACTTGGGCATAGTCTTACTACCAATTAAAAAGGGATTCTCACTACTATGCTCTAAGTTATTTGTCCATATCCATGTCAGTTACTCAAAACCATATTGGCTTTTAAAATGATGTATCACATTGCACACTCTTAATATAGTTTACTATCCCCTGTCACTTGTAGATGTATAAAAGCATGAATCAAAATTACTTTTGATGTTTTATATTTATTTGTTTGATATTTATAACCAAGACGAAATGTAAAATGCCACCCATAAAACCTTTCCAGAATAGTCTGATTTACTTGCAGCTTATTGTCATTTTTATTAAATATGGATTGTCACAATTATTTTACGTTCCTCATATTCCTTACCACAAATTGAGGTGAATGCAGATTGTACAACTTCCAATGAATAAGCTGGGCAAATTTCCATGACTCAGCAGAGTGTGTAAGGCTTGTGGTTCTTTGCAATTCCTGTTCCACCTCCAAACCCCACGGTCAAGGTTTGGGAAAATGCCAACCATGTTTGGCAGCAAGAGTCAGCAGTCTCTTAGACTGCTGGGCAAGCGAGTGGCAATAAGTAGAGTGTATAAAGAATCTAAAGAAGGCTTTCTTTACAACCCCTTAGTCAGAAGCCCTCTTAAAACACATCCCAATTCCTGTTCAATACACAGCTAGCACAGGAAGTGTTTTCTTTACATTCTCCCATTTTACGCAGATCTGGGATTTTTATGAGGGAACATCCTAGTACTGATAATCTCTCTTCTCTCTTCCCTTCTCCCTTTCTCTCCCTCCCTCCATCCCTCCCTCCCTCCCATCTTATCTCTTCAACACCCATACCCACAGAGAAACAGAGTAAGAGAATAGGTAACCATTCACAATTATGTGTATAAGTAAAAAGCAACAGGAATGCAGGCTTTCTAAGAGCAGTGTTTCTGGAGACAGAGCTCTAGACAAGTTAGTGGTATATATAGTCTCGGCTAAGAAGAACAACTTCTTTATCATTTATTGAGAGTACTAACAAGGATTAAATAAAATAATTTATGTAAATATCTTAGCATAGTCCTATAGCATACCTTTAAAACATATTTCCCTTCTTCTCTACTCTGGTTTAAATTAGGAAGGATCCTGATCAGAGTGAACTTTTTTTACTGAAAGCAGAAATGACTGGTTTCCTAAACAAAGTAAAAATGTCACTGAAAATTGTAGATGTAGTCTGGGGGAAGGGAGAGGCAAGAAGTTAAAATTTTCCTTTAGATCCAAATGGGTTTTCTCTTTACACATTTCTCAAAACTGTAGCTGCGATACTGTCTCTTTAGTCCTCAAAACAAAAGAACCTATATGCAGAGTGCTCCAGGGTGGCCCTGAGAGGCACTTTGAAACACCCGTTTTGAACTCCTCTAGGCAGTTCAGTGAGGTTGGATACAACAATGAATTCTGGGAGTGAGTTTGAATGGTACAAAAAAGCTGGGGAGGATGCCTGCTGTCCATTAAAAACAGAAAACAGAGCCAAAGAAAGTGAAGAATGGAAAGAGAAAGAAGGGAATTTCAGGATGTGCTAAAAATTTTAGCAATTGAAAAGTATACAAAGAACTGGGATCTAGGCAACAGAGGGCAGGTCCAGCAGGCATAGTTACTTACCATATAGTTTCCATAGATAACAATAGTCAAGGACATTACTCTATCCATGTATTTTTTTTTCCCAGTACTTTAGAAATTTGACACTGGGTTCTTTTTAAAGCCACCAAGTACAACTAATATACTTGATGAACTCCACACAATAACAAAACATAAAAGGACCTACATTTATATCTCTTTATGTACAGACTACATTCCATTTCTGATCAACTTCTTCCAAAGTATTAATGCTATTTTAAATAACAAAATAGTCCTGAAAGGAATATACTACTGGTTCAAAAAAGATTTACTCGCGGAAGAAATGGAAGCTGAAAAGTTGTGAGTCATGAGTGGCTAAGGGGTTGAACAATCCAAAAGAAAATAGTGAAAGGGACTATGAGAGCTAAAATGTATAAAAGTGTCTATGACATAAACATTGAAGGTAGGAGCTCTTCTGATTAACTCAACTTTCTTATCCCTAGCTCAGAAATCAAGACTTAACAGCCAACCCTCAACAGCAAGCCAATATGAGAAAAACAGTACTGATGAGAAATGCAGAGTGCAGCTCGCATTTAAATTTAGTTGAGATCATAATTTGTCAAATCCCTTCTGAGGATAACTCACTTTAGGCCGTTTTTAAAATTTAAATTATCCATAAAAAGAAATGCTTGTCCTATATGTAAAAGGAAACAACATTCCAGTTTGATTTCCTGTTGATACAATTATCACTGTGGCCATCTAGACCTGTAAGAGAATTACTCCTTCTGGATAGCCAAACCTTCTTGAGCTGCACTGACGGTACTACATCCAGTAGCCACATGTGATTATTTAAATATCCATTTAATTAAACTTAATAAAACAAAAAAATTCAGTTCCTCAGTTGAAGTAGCCACATTTCAATGCTCAATAGCCACATGTGGCTAGTGGATACTGTGTTAGATAGATAGTAAAGATACAGAATACTTCATCATCTAACACAGTTCCATCAGGCAGCACTGGGTTAGATATCAGGAAACTAAGACTTTCAGTGTTCGAACAAAATATTCAAACCATTTTCAGGATAGTTTTTCCACAGTGTAATTAATATGAATATCCATAGAGAATACAGATCAGAATTTAGCATTTTTGCCTTTGAACAGTGGTTCTCAAAAGTCATTCATACAGGAGAATTATCTGGGGAGTTTGCTAAATGCAGATCACTCAGAGTGATTCAGTAGGTCTGGGATGGGGATTCAGAAATCTACATTTTACACATGTCTTAGGTAACGCTGTCACAGGTAATTCCTAAACCACATTTTGAGAAACACTGTGATTATGCATCAAAAATTCCAATTATCACTTTACATATACCGATTTCTTTTCTTGAATGGTATTAAATATGTGTACATAGGCAAGCCCTTATCGCTATACAAAAGTGCAAAATGTTCCACAAAGGCAAAAGACAGCTTTCAAAGTATAGTAGCTCTGAGCGAGGATGAGTATAGAAAAAAAAAATTAAGAAGGTACTTGCACTAGGAAAAAAAAACTTTTGAACAGAATATTCCAGAATACCTATGCAAAGCAGAAGCAATTTAGCCATCCAGCTTCAGAAACTCATGCTTCGGAACAGCTCGGAACCTTTAGCTAGCAGAAGAGGAGAAAAACCTCTGGTGGTGCAGCTGCTGAAGGTCTGAATACTGCATGTGAGTGCTAACTGTGTGCAAGACACCAGGTTATGTGCTAAGAGACAAGTAAAATATGGTCATGACTTCAAGAACTCAGTCTATTGGGGGAAGACAGACCAAAAATAAATATTAAATACAGTAGCAGGTATAATTTGAGTGGAACCTTAAATATTGAGCAGCTCTACGATCGCTGGAGATAAGGAAGGATGGCAATTGAAATGTAGAGAACAGTATGGAAAGGCACAGGAGCTTGAAAATTTGGGGTGTACTTATGACCCAGAAGTGGTCTAGAGTGGCAGGTAAATAAGATATAGAGAGCGTTGTGTAGTGGGAGATAAGAGTGTAAGGGAATTCTGAGTGCCTGGGACAAGGCTATGGATGGCCCTGAATGTCTATTTGGAAAAAAAAAAAAAAAAGCAAAATCCTTTAGAGGATTTTTAAGGAGAGGAGTGATAGGATAAGATCTGCATTTAGGAAGAACATTCTAACAGTTAGGCATAAAATGGAGTCGGGAGAGAGTAGACACAGAGAAGATGTGTGATGTTTGGCCATTTGGCTGCATGGAAGAAAAATTACACTTTGGCTGTCAATGTTTCTTGTTGCAAAAAGCTGAGAATGGAGAGAAGCAACAGATTATGAAAGAGACCTTAAAAGCAAAGCTGAAAATCTGAAGAAAGAACATGAGTAGTAGCAATGTTTAGAAATTCCTGGGGATGCAATGTTCCCCTTCACTTTGTCAGTAAAGACTACCAACGATGGGGGTTGGAAAGAAAGTAAAAATTTTTAATAGTCTGGTCAGCAGACAGCTCTACACTGTCTAGGTCTTTTGAAGTCATGAACAATGGGATATCTGCTCCGGGTAGCACACAGGTGGGCAAACAGTTTCTTTAATAAAGAACCCCTAAAGACATACAGCATACTCCACAGTGGTTAAGAGCATTGGCTCTGAAGACAAACTTGCCATCCAATATTGATTCTTGCTACTTAGTAATTGTGTGACGTGGTAGGCTGGATACTTAAACTCTGTATCTGTTTTTCTAACCTGAAAATGGAAATACTACTGTCTACCTTATGGCATTGCTGTGAGCGTTGATGAGTTCATACATATAAGGTATTTATAACATGATCTGGCACAGAGCAAGCTTTCAATAAATGTTAGTTTGTTTTTTGTTTTGTTTTGTTTTGTTTTTTTCTGAGATAGAGTTTTGCTCTTGTTGCCCAGGATGGAGTGCAATGGCATGGTCTCAGCTCACTGTAACCTCTGCCTCCCGAGTTCAAGCGATTCTCCTGCTGCAGGCTCCCACGTAGCTGAGATTACAGGAACCCACCACCATGCCCGGCTAATTTTTATATTTTTAGTAGAGACAGGGTTTTGCCACGTTGGCCACGCTGGACTCGAACTCCTGACCTCAAGTGATCCACCCCCCTCGGCCTCCCAAAGTGCTGGGATTACAGGCGTGAGCCACTGTGCCTGGCCAAATGTTAGCTATTCTTATTATTGTGTTTATATATGGCTGGGGAGACACACACTCAACTGTACTATGCTCAATAATGTCAATCAGTATAGTTTAGCAGCCCCATTTGCAGTATACTATCCTACATAAATAGCATGCCTTAATTATTGTATTATTCATAATAAGCATATTAAGTCCTTTTTGGAAAAAGGCAAATATGAATAAATTTTCGAATTTGTTAATATTCTTGGTGATCCCCTTAAATAAGCTAGTGCAAGCTGGCTCCAGCACACCACGGACTGGTGTATACTAACCTTTATATTCCCGTCCATGAGACCTGCCCTTCACTCCTCTAAAACACGCTCATAGGTGTACCAAAGAGGAAAATCCATCAGACGACTCAACTTCAGCTCCCTGAACAACCAGAACCTACAAATCTCCCTCTTGAATTTTTCTTGGCCTCAAACAAGACAAGGAAAAAGTAACTATTTTGTAGATGAAAGACTTTTTCTTTAGCCAATAAGAAAATGTCAATTTCTTTAAAAGCCCCAATAAATTCTTTTTCATTTATATTCAGAGTGCCTATTCCTAGAAAAAGGAACACAGTGAGGGATGTTAGCCAGAGCTTCCAACTACGTAGGACATTTGCCACCTGAAACCAAGTTTAATATGGAACTTCCAATTTCATGCCTAGTTTGCCCAGTTCTCCTTCCTCTAATCCTGATCTGTTCCCCGAAGTTCCCACCTGTATTTTTTAAGTGTCAAATTCATTTAAGTCTAAAGAATGATAAAAGGGCTTCATATCATCCTCCTTTCTTTTTTGCCAGAAGGAAATAATATGAGGACAGATTTACTTTAAGACATGTTAAAATATAAAGATACCATCTTAGATAAGGGTAAATTCCAATTACATGGTATCTGAGATAATATATTCATTACCATCTTAAAGTCTCATAAACAGATTATAACAATACTTGCTCTATCTCTGGCCCATTTTCTTATCAACATTCTCAAATGTTCATTGTCAAATGCTGAAGAAGAGTTGTCTATGGCGTGAACATCGAGTCATTAATCTAGTACACGGGACAGTCTCTAATAAATTCAGATATAAAAATGGCCCCTTCAAGAATGTTTACTGAAGGGGTCCTAAAGAAAGTTTTACCAGAGAGCTTGTATGAGCCATTCAAGTAGTTGGGTTCATTTGATGAATTGATAATGTGGCTTTAAATAGTATTCCTTTCTTCAGTGGGACAAAAAGCATTTTTTCCCTTAAAACTAATTAATTTAAAATTGAGAAACCATTTGGAAATTTTAAAAGATAAGAATGCTGATCTATGAGAGAGAGAGAGAGAGAGAGAAAGAGAGACACAGAGACAGAGACAGACAGAAAGAAAGAAAAGTGTGAACCTGAATTAGCTGTATATTTTTTCTGCTGATCTGGACAAAATACTCAAATTTCAAAAACATATAGCACTTCACATTCATAGCCAGTATATCTTAAAATACATATACTTTCATGGAAACAATCTTATAAGTTCATCCAGTACAACAGTACAAACAAACTAGCTTTTTAGAAGAGAAAATACTCCATACTAACCTTTTGGAATAGACAACATTTTGCTTCCCCAAAATTTCACAAAGCTCTACTTTCATTCATATTGATGTACACATTAATCAAAACACTAGTGTTTCTTACACATCTGTAAAATTAATCTTGAAATCACACACATATTCAAATAAATGCTAGACTAAAAATAGTTTTGAAAACATCTCTAGCGTCCTATCCAAGAATACATTTTTCAGTAAATGACCAAATTTATCCTCCTTCTCTAGTAGCATAAGTCACATTTACCTGGCACCCATCAACCGAGAGGCAGCCTGATATCAGGGAGGAAAAAGCACAGATTCTTTAATCAGATAATGTAACCTGTAAGTTTAGGCTGCACTTAGATGGAGACCTCAGGCCAGTTACTCATCCTGAGTCTCAGTTTTCTTACCTATAAAATGGAGATCATATCACTGACCTCACACTTACTGAGAATGAACTAAGAAAGTATATATTAAATCACTGTCTAAATGTTTTATACCACATCCACTATCATTCAGTAACCAACAACTACACTAATATTGTAATTTTTAATAGAGTAAAACCATTAAGGAATTAAACATGTATTCACTATTAGCATACAAATAAAATACAGTCATAAAAGCCACCTAGTTAGATTTGAAATTATTCATTAGGTCACTGTGGAATTGAGAGCTGGCAAGGAGATAATGTCGTTTTTAAAATGTAAACATTTTTATTAGCAGAGAGAAGTTCTTCCCAGATATAGTAATTCCAGTAGCATAACAAAGTCCAGCATTTTTCATTGCCAGAAACTTAAACCAGTAACACTGGTCCATGAGAAATCTCTATTTATTCAACAAAGCAATATTTTCCATGTAAATCTATTTAATTTTATAGTGGAGAAAATAAGACAATCTCTGGTTTTAACCGTAAGAAAAAAGCCTCAACAACTTCTCACATTAAAATGTACACAGAAGGCTCTTCTAGAGTCAAGCATGCATTGGAATACAGAGAAAACATCCAGCAAGCACAACTTTCCAACACTTAGCAGAACCAACCAACCAATACTCAAAGAAGAAACTGAAGCTATAAATTCAAATAAATGGGCTGCAGGGAGACTACACAAACCTGCTGTTGCTTTAATTGCAGACAATTCAATTCAGCAGCTGTTGGTCCAGGCACTAAGGTTCACTGTATGCTCTTCAACGTAACCTTGAAATATTGTCACTCACTCACTTCTCCACATCATCTGCATGCTGTCCAATTAATGAGGAGCGAAATCAACTGTCAAACCACGCATCAAAATAGAACATGATCTTTTAGCTGTTAAGCGTAGGAGCATAATATTTTAAGAATAATAAAGCAACAATGGAGATGAAAGTCCTTGACAACAAATGATATTCAAACTTATCAAAACAACGTGGTTGTAGGAACTAAGCTTCTGTTCTGTGAAGCAAGAAAGTGAAACTTTCTCAGGGTTTTTCATTTGCAAGGGACCTTTCTGTCTAACTGCTGTGTAAGAAGCCTTTCAAAAAACATTCGCCCATACCTGATCAGAATCTTCTTCATTATTATGGACCATTATGTTTCTGAAAGCTTAAGAGAATACTTAAGAAACACTTTTGATCCAAGGATATTTTACAATACAGATGGTTTGGGGCTCGTATTTGTAGCTTTGCTGTTTCCAGCACTTTTTTTTTTCTGTCAGGAGAATAAACAAACAACAATAATATATAATGTTCATCAACCTGAGTTCAGTAATGAAAAATAACTAAATTTACCAAACAGATGTGTCCTGGAATGCTTCCTGTTTGAAGTTTCCCTACTCTTAGGTATATCCCAAATCTATACAACCAATTAACAAATACAGGAGTTAATAAACTCTAGAGAAACATAACACACTAAGTGTTTAAAAATTGCTTTTTGCTTCCAAAGCACTGTCTTCTGTGCAAACACTCTAAGCTATATCACATACTACCAGTTGCAGACATAAGACTTGAGAAATTCAATACAAGAATACAGCAGAGAAGCGTGCACAATTAAGGGATCGGGACTACCAGTTTAACAGAAAACGCAGATTTTATACAGCAATCTGCTACAAACATTATAGCTGGGGGCAGGCATGTTTTATGCAGCTATTTTGTTTAGCTCATTAGAACCCTATTTGTCCTTCAGTACAGTTGAACTGAAGGAAAAATAAAAGAAAGAAATGCACTTTGAAACAAAGGGGAAATTCAGATAAAACAAAACATACTATACCTGTATATTGTACCAGGAACATTGTGACACTCTTCAGGGAACTGTTTCACGTTGTATCCTATCGTGAGTTATTCTCTCCTTACCCTCTTCTCTCCACAAGAAGAAAAGCCAAAGCACCCCAAACCCCCACTATACCCTATCCCTAACCCACCCACCCCATTGAGGAAAAAGAAAAATAGCTATAATTCAGCTTAGATCTGACGCTTCTGTTTAGCTCAGCTCCAGCCGAGCAACTGAGCTTCAGCAACGGAGCATAGGGAGGAGGATTCTGATGCCAGTAGCACTTCCATCCACTTCACTTACACAAAAGCAGGCAGTGGAAAATCCAGGAGCCTTGAAGACAAGGGCTGGAACTGGCTTTTATGAATTGCTATTACTGCATGTGTCACCATCCATCTCCAATGACGGACACTTATAGGCTGAATTGGGAGTGGAGGGGGTGGGGTGGAGGAGGTTGGAGAGCAGGTGGAGAAGCAATTAGCAGTATGTTCATTGGAGAATTCGTTCGGGATTTCATACATCAGTGCCTAAAGAAACAGCATGCAGTTGACAAATCAGAACTTTACGATTTGCATGCCTTGGAAGAAATCTTAGCTCACAGCTCCAAACAAAATAATGTTTGCCCACTCTTACAGGGCACAGAAAGTCACCCCTTTGCTTTTTCTTTCCTCTGGCTACCCTTATTCCTGAGAAATCAACATTCAGAATGAATATTTGCTAATTTTCCCTAAAGAATTGTATTTTTAAAAGGCTGGAAGCAAAGGAAGTATAAAGAAATTAAATTCTATTGAACATGACATCTCTTAACACAAAGGCAAGAAGCTAATTATTTTAAGGCAATTCTTCATCCCTAGTCCCATTCCCCAAGCGCAGCTTTCACACCTATAATCAGTGGATCACACAACTTTTGTCCATATATTTAACACTGAAAAACAAATCTATGTCTACCTAAAAATAGTTCAGTTAAAATGAAGGTGAAAAGCCAAGAGCTATGTGCAGGACCCACTTCATTAGGTGACTTGAGAAAGCACTTTACATGTAAGTGCTTCAGTTTTACTCATCCACTAAACTAAAGCTCATTTTTAGACGGATTTTAAAATTAATCACGAGTAGGAACAAAAAGGAGATAGTGTCTTTGGGAGGAAACATGATACAACCGAAGGAGCACTGGGGCTGGGTATCAGGAAACCTGGGTTCAGCTTCCAGTTCTACAACTTTCTAACTATGTGACTCTGGCCAAGTCACTTAACTTCTTTGAGCCTAAGTTCCCTTTATTTGTTAACTGGAGATAATAGTACCTATCCTGACTGTCTCACAGGATTGCTGTGAACAGCTAATGAGATAATAGGTATGAAAACCCTTTTGTAAATTGTAAAGGGTTATACAATTGTATGGGATTATTACTACCATGCCCTAAACAAATCTTGCCTTAATGATTGAAGTGAGGCACCTCTATCACATAAGGCAAATAAAAAGAAAGAACTAATATAATTTCATGAAACACTGCTCAATTCTTACAATTTTTAAATTAGACGGAATCGCTGTTTGCTCTTAAAATTCTATAGCAGGGAACGTTTTTGAGAAAATTTTAAAATAATACATCAAAAGTTTATTAAAGAGACTGGAGCCCTCTAAATTCTCTCTTTCCTTTCTGGAAAGTCAGTCCATTTTTCTTCATATGGTCTAGCATTATGTCCCATCTGGAATGCAAACTACTAGATAATGAGCATCTCCTTTTGTTCAAGCTTTCTATTTGCCTGTTACATCCTCATTGCCCAGTGTGTTGGGGGAGGATTCAAGGTGATTAACTAAATCTAAATCCACAAGGTAAAAATCCAAAGTTATGCTTTATGAGGCTCCAAGCTGCCTTGATCCTATGTATACAGTGACCAGCTGGCTTCAGCTGGGACACAATTTTAGCACATGAAGTCCTGGGGTGGCCACACCTGGGGCACTAAATGATCCAGGCAATGTTTGGGGATCTTTGGTTCAGCCAAATCCCACATGTCCTGATTTCCATCTGTATGGTGGTTCCCAAGTGTGTTTGTCCACATGAACCAAATCTGAAGCAGCCAAAAGAAAGGTGGGGGATAGAGCAGGGATATCAGATGTCAGCTCCTCTTGGTCCCATCCAGTGCTATCTGTGCCCTCAAACAAGTGCCCATCCTACTTCTTGTAAGAAGAAAGAAAACTTTTTCTAATTGCCCCTTTGAACGTCATTGCTACTACTGAAGATGCCAGTAAAATATATATCCAAAATCTATGTTAAGCCAATTGGGAAAAGGATAATATTAATCACATAACAGGTAATTGGTAGCTAAGAGCAAGTGAGCTGCTGAAAGGGGGAAGGGGAGAAAAAGACAAGAGAGGAGGAGGGAAACAGAGGGGAGGGGTGGAGAAAAGAGAAAATGAATCTAAAGTGAGAGCTTTCTAATCAGAAACATACTTGCTGAAATCATCCAAAGTCTCACCTACTATAATAAAAAGTGCTTGTCTTTTGAGGTATTGGGAGTGGCCCCCTAACCATCAAAGCTGCAAACCTAGCCTTCCAACTGCTTAGGGAAACAGTCAAGAGCCTGAAAAGGTACTGACAGCCCTAGCACCAGATCTCACTTTCCTCTGCCATTCAGAAAGTGAGTCAGGTGGGATACAATTCTCCAGAGGCCTCATCCCTGCTACCGTCCACCACAGCCTCACTGGCAGCATGGCTGCCCACTAAGGAAGGTGTCAGTCCAATTTCAGGTTCAGCAAAGGAGGCTTGCCTGTGACTTTTAAAACCACATTGGTAAGAAAGGAACAAAGGCTGTATTTCAGAATAGGACTGTTCTCCCTTTGGGCATTGCAACTAAACTCCTTCACAAATTTAAGCTTGAAATTCATATTCCCCAAGTTCCTCAGAAGGGCCATTCAAAGTAAAGGGAAAGGACAGGAAAGATGATTTTTTTTTTGTTAGCTTCTTTCTGACAGTCAAAAAATGAGGAATATGACTGACAGAGTGTCCCAAAAGGCAATGAGGTGGGAGGCAGTAGTTTCAACCCAGGTTAGCAAGAAGGGCAATGAAAGCATCCTTATAAAAACAAACACGCATACCAAAAACCATTGCACTGTTTCCATTATCCCGATTTCAAGCTCCAGAATGTAAGCACTAATGGTTCCCTAAACCACCCAAGCTCCTCCTCGGCAGCCGTCACCAAGCCTGACTGATTTTTTTCAAATGAATTTCCATCACTAGCCACCCCAGATTCTGAGTATTTTTGTCAAAAACAAAAGTCCTAGTGGAAGATTTCAAAGAACTAAGAACTTGAACCAAACCATGAACTTAAACGGGAAGACACAGAACTAATTTGCTAAATTCCAAACAAAACAGAAATTGTAACAGTTTGAAAGCAACAAAAACTAGCAAGCTGATTTGAACCAGAACAAAGTTTCATGTTTTCTGAATCAATCAAACTTGCACCAAACCCTGAGAGTCTAATCAGCTCAAGCTCCTGCAAAGAACACACAGCAAGGTTTGGTTTCACCTGTCTGAAAGCTGACAAGGGAACCACAGAATGAACACTGGATAAGGAGTCAGAAGAACTGACGTCTCCTGATTTTCTTCACTGTTTGATCTTGGTCAAGTCACTTCTACTCTCTTAGCCTCAGCTTGCTTGCCATGAAATGGCCAGGCTGGGATTGCCAATATCCCAATATCCCAGTTTTAATAGTCTATGCCAACTGTGGAATTTAGTCTAGTGATGAAACAGATAAAGTCACAATTTAGCCTTAATCTGCAGGAGGCAGAGAGATGGACCACCCCAACTCTTTTAAGGATTCATGTTTCTAGCTTATTTTGAAATATACTTGGCCGGGCATGGTGGCTCACACCAATAATCCTAGTACTTTGGGAGGCCCAGGTGGGAGGATCACTTAACCTCAGGAGTTCAAGACCAGCCTGGGCAAGAGAGTGAGATCCCACCTCTTAAATAAATAAATAAATAAAATTTTAAAAAGTTTTTTTTTTAAAAGAAATACACTTCATTTAAGAGTTGGTAACTGTCCTTGTTCAGCCTCAGAAATAACCTAATATACTTTTTCAGAATGTCTCTCCTCAAAAAAATGTTTCAGGAATAGTTTGTTTTCCTCAAGTGAAAGTTACAGATGAGTTGTTTGGTCCAATAAAAGGAAAAGGAAAGAAATGACAGTGATCTAGTATAGGCTGAGCCCCTATTACATGTCAGACATGGCAAATTTTACATAATTTTCTTAACCAATCTTCACAATACAACACTATATGGTTTTTTTTTTTTTTTTTTTTTTTTTTTTGAGAAAGGATCTTGCTCTGTCACGCAGGCTGGAGTGCAGTGACACAATCATAGTTCACTGTAACCTTGAACTCCTCGGCTCAAGTAATCCTCCTATAGCAGACACTTTTATCCTCACTTTATAGGCAAGGAAACTAAGGCTTACTGATGCTAAGTGACTTGCTTACAGTACTTGACTGGTACTGGGATTCGAACTCAGGCAATTTGAATCCATTACTATAACAATATCTTAAGAATTAAAGGAATAGTTCTTAATTCACTGATTCAATTGGACTTGCTTAGTGAATAAATTACATGCTGATTCAAAACAGTGAAAGTAAATTTACTTGCATTTATACTGGGTTGACATTTTTTTAAATTTCATTTTACAGTTTGGTATAACGGTTAGGAATACTGGGCTCTGGAGTCAGGCAGACCTGAATTTCTTGAATTCTGTCTTATGGACAATACAGTTAACCATGCTTTGTCTCAAGTTTTCTTATCTGAAAAATGGGGAGGAAGTAGTCCCTACCTTGTCAGGCTGTTGGAAAGTGTCAGTGATCTGATAGCATCTCGCATAGTACTTGACACAAAATGACAACTCAGTAAAGACCGATGAAAGCTATCCTTGTATTCACAGCAATACAAGAAAGAAAAGGTTATAAAGGAAAACGACACTGGGATTCACTGAATTTAAGTGCTCTTTGGTTATAGCACAGATATAGTTTGGAAGGTTTTCAGTGGTCTCCGTACATTCTCCAAAACTAACTTGCATCTTATGGTAAATCAGCATATTCATGAAGCAACATGAATACATTAATTGGGGTTTCCTAAAGAGTAGCAAGGAAACTTGTCATGTGCTCTGCTTAGCAGCAGTTGTCCCTAGTTTCCTGGAACCCATCCTTTTAAAGAAAAAGCTCGGAAGTAGCAGACAGTACTGCTGGAAGTACCAGGCAGGTGGAGACATCCTGCTTTCCCCCAATTCTTCAAGCCCTGGCTTCTTTCCTATTCACCTGTGGCCCTCTTCTCAGATTCCCTTCTGTCCTTCCCCAGTTTATTCTGGTTTTATCATGATTCTTCCTCTGGCACTAGCTCTGTTTCTGCTCATCAGCATCAAGTGCTGTCTATGGAATGTGTGCCTTGCACGACACTAGGTGAAATAGAAAGTCATCCAAGAGTTAATGAAAAAGACATGTGATCCATGGCCAAACAGATCTAAGATACACAGACTAGAGTTTTGGCAACACAGTAAATGCAGGTATAATGCAGGATGACTTGGTTGATTTCAGAGCACAAAAGAGTTTGTTCATCTAGTTAATGATATGCATAAAAAAATTTTTTAAAACTGTACTAATGTCTGCCACTTAATCTGAAATGCAGAAAAGAATGGATAGATTAATAGGTGATAAAGCAAATACAACAAAATGTTCATTGTAGAATCTAAATGGTGAGTATCTGGGTGTTCAATGTGCAATTCTTTTAACTTTTCTCTGTATTTGAATATTTTCACAATAAAAGGTTGACGAAAAGGAGAGGGGGAAAGGGGTATGGCTTATTCAACCACAAGTGTTTCAGAACAAAATAATTATAATTATATAGAAAAGTATAAAGCAAATAGGGCAAAATAATAACAATTGGTGAATCTGAGCAAATGGTATATAAGAATTCTTATATGATGCTTGCAATTTTTCTATATTTAAAAGTACTTCAAACTAGAAAGTTAAAAGATAATTTGTTGAGCACCAACCTCTTTTACCTAGTGTCTCAGTTGCCATTTTCAGTAGTGAGGGCATTGGGTTAATAGTAGAGATATTGGAAACAATGGTGGAAGGGTGGGGAAAAATAACAGTCACAGATATATATTGGGGGCCTACTATATGCAAGACACTGTGCTAGGCACTTTGGGGAATTCAAAGAAGTAAAAAATACAGCCCCTGAGAGGGCTCCCACTGTAAGTAATGGAATGCCAAAGCAGTGTCTGAAAGGGTAACTGGCTGGAGCAGAGTTCTGTAAGACAGAAGTACAAAGATTAGAAAGGTAGGTTGGAGCCAGATTGCAGACAGTACTAAAGGTCAGGCTGAAGAGTTTGGACTTCATCCTATGGATAATGGGAAGCCATTTACAGTATCTGAGTCAGGGAAAGAACATGATCTAAAACTGACTGGCTAGATGGTACAATTTGTTTGGGCACAGGTACCTTCAACATGCATTTGTTTTATATTCATGTACATCTGGTACGTCTATCCACTTCCCATATCTGGATGTGACGTTTAAGGATTTCCAACATGCTGGTTGCTGCTTATTTTTCAAATAGCCACTTCCTGACATCTCTTCAGCCTTTCCTTTTTCCTCCCCCAAATCCCAAGGGCAGCTGACCAGCACGTGCCTCAGCCCTGCTGACTCAGCAAGCAATAAATACGCCTCATAGAATGCTTTTGAAATGAAGCTGCTGTGCTTCAAAACTGATTTCTTTCCTTCATGATAATCAAACCTCAATTACTGCTGGAATCACTGATTTGAGTTGGAAAGAATGAATATTCATCTGAGTAACATGTGAAGGAGTGCAGGAAGTTATGTCCTGTGTGCAGAAGGAAACAATTGTTCAAAGTGATCTCTGTATATGGAAAGAAACCCTAGCAGAGATGGCATTGCTGAATAGTAGCAAGTGATTAGGGTAAAACCTCTCAAAGACTGCCAAATTAGAAAGTGGACTTTATAATCCTTTGGATATACACCCAGTAATGGGATTGCTTGGGTCAAATGGTATTTCTGGTTCTAGATCCTTGACCATGGCACATGTATACCTATGTAACAAACCTGCACGTTCTGCACAGTATCCTAGAACTTAAAGTAAAATTTAAAAAAAAAAGAAAAAAAAAAAAGAAAATTTCCTGATGTCTATGATGGTATTGTAGCTATATATGGAATATCCTTTTTTTTTTTTTTGGTAGAAGATTCAAATAAAATATTCAGAAATGATGAAGCATCATATTAAAATTTTATTCTCAAATGGTTATTTTAATATTCTTTATACCATTCTTTCAACTTTTTTCTAAATTGAAAGTATTTCAAAATAAAAATAATAAAAAAAAAGAAAGTGGACTTCATCTGTCTTCAGCTTTTCCCCCCATGAAGTCCAACCTCCAGTGCAATCATGTTACTCCTCCCATTTAAAACCCTGTGTTCACTCATCCCTACATATAGGACAATGGCCATACTTCTTAGCAAGCTGACTTACTTCACCCAACCAGCCACAGGATACCTTTCCAGACTCTTATCCTGTCCCCCTTTCCCATGCTTTCAGTGGTTCACACACAATATCTTACCTTTTTCTGAACTATGCAGTTTTACACATTTGACTGCCTTGCATGTGTTGATGGTCCCTCTGCCTGGAATCCTTGCCCATCACCTCTTTGTCCACATAGAGACTAGGCAATGCCCCTCATCCTTTATGATTCAGCACAGTTAGACTCTGATCTCTAAGTTGTCCACCCCCAGCTGTAATTCCCTCCTCCATATTCCCAGAACACCTTCTCTCTCTTTTGGGTGCTTTTCACATCAAAATACGATCACTGGTTTGAGTGTCTATCTCCCCTATTAGACTGTGAGCTCCTTAAGGGCAGGGATTACATCACATCAAATTCATTATTATAGTCCTGGTGTTTAGCATAGGGTCTGGTCCTGTATATATGCTCAAATGTCTATTGAATGAATGAGTTTG
This sequence comes from Homo sapiens, assembly GCF_000001405.40. Lineage (NCBI taxonomy): Eukaryota > Metazoa > Chordata > Mammalia > Primates > Hominidae > Homo > Homo sapiens. The sequence continues at coordinate 130,895,218 of NC_000023.11, forward strand.
AACATCAAGTACTCCTTGAAGTCAAACTCAGCATCTCTTGAAAGGTGAAAATTAGAATGGTATGTGACCAGAGTAATCCTAGTGAAGTATGTTTGAGGACCTGACTGAAGAAAAGCTGATAGGAGGACACCTTATGGGGGCTTATTGTGGGGCAGTTTCTATCCCAGGAAACTCTTATTAGCAGTTGTTGCTGGCTAAAAATGAAGAGCAGCTGGAGCAGATGACAAGGGCCCTTACTGGGGATTTCTCCATCCTTATCTTTCATAGTTCACCACTAAAGCAATGTTGTTCTCTGAAGTAACATTTTCCATAGTGTCTCAATTCTCCTGAATGATTGCCATATTCATTTGTGCTCTGCCTACCGAGGCATTTGGACCAGCTTTGTTAAAGTGTGGTCACTGAAAGCTCTTTGATTCTTCTACTCACCTATCGTTATTATGCTAAAGAACAACATTTTGTGAGTAAGAGACCACTGAAAAACAGAGCACCAGAAAGGGGAGGGAAGCAGAGCTAATAAAAATTATCTTTTTTCTCCTCCTAGATTGCCAATGTATTTCACCATGTTTCCATCCTACAGTGTTTTATACTATGTATCAGTAAAGGCAAAAAAAGGAAAATTAAGACTTCAGCAAAACTTTACACTTTGTAGGCAAGAAAAAAAGGAAGCAACACTGAGGGATAGAACATAAATCTTTAGACATATGATCAGTAGCCATTTCTGAAAAGTACACATTTGGGCTGTTTTAAACAAATAGCAAAAAGCAATTAGGTCTTTCTGACTAAACTGAGGTGTATGCTGATTTCTTTTTTTAAACTAAGTCTGTTTTGATCTTCAAAAATGTCAGACTGGTAAACACTTTACTTTTTTGCACATATAAATCTAAGAGCCAAGCCTAGCTTGAGGAAGATTTAAGAGACATAAAATTTGTCTGAGGTGTCTGCCAAATCTCTACAGCAGAGACAGAAACCCTGGAAAAGCTGACACAATCATAACTCTCACATCACCAGCAGGCTTGTGCAGGGCTGGGAAGCACAGAAAGTCACTGTTCCTTCTCTCATACTGTTTGTAAACAGAGAAGCAGATCATTTGCTTATCAGCTATCTGGTAGCTCATTTTTGCCTAGCTATCCCACTGAGAAAAAAAAAACAAAAAAACACACATCCCCACGGGTACATATCCCAGTTTTCAGCTGGGTGAATTTTCATTTATAAGATGGGCCCGCTTGTTAAAATTTTCTCTTTTATTTGCTCTTGAATTCTCTTACTCTTGTGTGCTTGCTTGCTCTCTCTCTCCCTTGTTCTTTCTCTTTTTATACAGAAGGCATTAAAAGGGGTATTTATGAGTATCTAGTGCAGTGCCTAACGGAGTGCTTTCACATAGTAAGCCTACAATAATTCATCGAATGAAGTGAAACCCTATCTGTAATTTCTACATTCAAATTATTTGATCATGTAGCAGGAAAACTATAGATTTTTTTTCCTGGAGTATTTAAAAGTAACAATTCCTTATAAAGAAATATTTTACTCAGATGACTCATGCTTAGGACTTCCATCCCTTAGAAATCATCCATTTTTGCACAATGGGTATTATCTGTAAGGAAAATGAAGGGAAGACTACACTTCAGGATCCTGAATGACCACTGATACGTTATTGTAGAGAAAATCAGATATCCTATATACACTCGACTGTATGTCGTATGGTAATCCACTACATATGTCTAAAATCACTTAACAATGCAAGAATATAGTGCACACATGGGCTGCGTTCTGTAAGTAGGATTAACTATTGAATTCAACCAAGGTCTTCCCTGGGGACAGATTGCTGGAAAATACATCTACATGACATTTAAAAAAATAAATTAACCAATGACATCGGCTCCCATGAGACACATTGTTTCTTGTACATTCAATTCTATCACGGTTTTCTGTAGCTCTCTGTTGACATACCCATCCCAAATGACACAGAATTTCAAAAAATAAAGAAAAACAGAGCAACTGGAGCTATTCCATCTCTCCTGTGTGAAGTGTTATGTACACAAAGGAAAGATTTCCGTACATGAGCACAATGTGAACCACGACAGGGTGAGATCATGTCAGTTGGCTGTTCTTGTTATGCTGTGGTCACATATAACTTGCCCAAGGGAGTGTACAAAGCCTGTTTTCTTCCTGACAAGGACCAGCAGGGATTGCTGGAAAATAAAGAAAACAGAGTTATGGCAGGAGGTTTTAAATTTTCTCTTTAAAAAATGCCCTTTATTATGATAACTTTTCTTCTCGCTTTGATGTATTTAGTTTTCCTCATCTGTAAAATAGGAATAACTATTTTATGTGTTTAATATTTTTGCTCTGAGAATTAAATACCAGTAGATTGCCTGGCATAAAATAGCTAATCCATACAGTCCACATCAACATTGGCTAACATTAATTAAATACCTATTATGTGCCTGCCACTGGCCAAAGACCCCCCAAAAAAGTAAATCACAGAAGGAAAACCTAATACTAGAGGAGCAAGCAGGGAGCTGATTTTCAAAGCTTTTATCAGGCAGTCTAAGAAGTCTGGATATTACTCTGAAGACAATGGACAGCCTTTGAACTATTTTATATAGAGACCAGATGGTTTTAGATTTGTGATTTACAAAAATCATTCTGTCAGCATTGGTAAAGAGTAGACTAGAAGGGAAGCAGGCTGGAAGCAGCAGTAATCCAGGCTAGAAGTGATGCATGTGTGTTGGGGGGTGGAAGGTATGCCCCAAAGTAAGACAATGGTGGACACCGGGAAAACATTTTAAAATAACTTTTTTTTTTTTTGAGACAGAGTCTCACTCTGTCTCCCAGGCTGGAGTGTAGTGGTGCAATCTTGGCTCACTGCAACCTCCGCCTCCTGGGTTGAAGCAATTCTCCTGCCTCAGCCTCCCGAGTAGCTGGGATTACAGGCGCATGCCATCACGCCCGGCTAATTTTTGTATTTTTAGTAGAGACGGGGTTTCCCCATGGTGGCCAGCCTGGTCTCAAACTCCTGACCTCAGGTGATCCGCCTGCCTTGGCCTCCCAAAGTGCTGGGATTACAGGTGTTAAGCCACTGTGCCTGGTCAAAATAACTTTTTAAAAATTAACAAATATACTGTAGATTAGAAAATAAAAATACGCAAAAGGTTAAAAGTAGAAGTCATATGCAATCTTACTACTTGCAGCAAACCCCTATTAATATTTTTTTGTGTGTTTACCATTACAGGATTTTTCCTATGTATGCCTACACAGATGTGTGTGTGCGTGTGCGTGTGTGTGTGCGTGTGTGTGTGTGTATTATGTATATGTTTTTAAACTGGGATCTGTCACTCTGTACTGAGAGTTCTATGATGTGAATTTTCTCTTAATATATCAAAAACAATTTTCCACATCATTAAATATTGTTTGGTAAAATCAACTTACAAGGCTACTTAGTAATCCATTCTATAAATGTACCACAATTGATTTCATTCAAATCCCTAGTATTGTACATTTAAGATGTTCTTTTTTTTCTTTTTTTTTTTTTTGTTGTTTTTGCTATTAGTATAAACAACTCTGGGATAGATGTCCTGAGTATTAAATTTTTGGAAACATCATGATTGTTTCCTCAGCATAGAGCTCTAGAAGTTGAAGTGGTAGGTTAAAAGCTGTATTCTATTAAGGTTTCTGATACATATTGACGAATTGCTCTCCAGAAGAGCTGTATCAAATTATAGTCCCAGCAGCAGAGTCTATGAGTAGGAGATGAACTTGAGAGTGATGTCAAGGACGGAGTGTACTGGACTTGGGTGGGTAGAAGGAAGGATGTTTCCTGGCAAAGTATCAGGGCAGGAGGAAGATGAACTCTGTCAAGAGCAGCAAAGTAATGGGCAGGGCTAAGGAATAGGTGCCTGGATAGGTAAATGATAGGAAAGAAAAAGGTAAGATAACCAGGGGAGAGTGAAGAAAAGAGGGAAAAAGTAGGTCTTTCATGAAATTATGGGCACTTTAATTTACTCCTTTCTTCAGCAAAAGTAGCAAATGTAGCAAACAGCTAGTCTTTTCATAGCATTTGGCACTCTGTGCTACCAAGGTCCCCAGTTATATTCATGCAAATCTGTTTATCAATTCTTTTCACCCAATAACCATTTATTAGGTGACTACCATGTGTCAAGTGCTCTTCTGGATGCTATGGGTATGGAGATGAATGAAACCTGGTCCCTGCCCTCAAGGAGTTCACAGTCTAGTGGGGAACACAGAGACATCCACAGACCGACACCCTACAGTGTGGTACAGGCTAGGACGGAGGTAACTAAGTGCAGGGTCCTGTGGAAGCCCGAGGCCTAACATTGCCTTGTGCGTGCATTCATGTATGTTGGGCAAGGGCTGTCGGGAAGGCTTCACAGAGGTGTTGACATATGAGCTGAGTCTTAAAGGCTGAGGAATTTCTTGCATGCCTAAGGGTCACAGATCATGGTCATATTCCTAATCAGTGCCTTGAATATTTGTGCTACTGCTCTCAAGGACACTGAGTAAGGTGGGAAGGATGTTTGTGTGTAATCCAAATCCACTCGAGTGGTAACTATAGCTTCCATTGTAATCTTAATGAACATAGAAACATAGCATGTTTTGGCAATATTATTGCTCACCATACAATATAAAGGACAAGAGGCAAGGGGGGCATGCAGACTTTTAAAACAATTCTGGTAACACTGACAAAATAATATTAACATCCACCAAGTCCTAATAATTTTACCTCCTAAATGTTTCTCAAATCTCTTCGCTCCGCTCACGTCACTACTCTTGGGTCTTTATTGTCTCTCTGTGGAACAGAGTAGCAGCCTCATCATATCCACCTCCACTGTATCCTTCCCACTGTCATTTTCCTTACAGTAAAAATCTGATCGTGGTGCTCTTCTAAAACATGTTAATGGTTTCTTATGGCCTACAAGCAGCACTTCCCAAATTTCAGTCTGAGTATTACTTAGTGATTTTTACCATATTCACACACAATGTGTACTATTACTACTTAATATTTGTCTTTAAATGAACTGAAAACTGGTTCACTTTCTATTTTTATGAAGTAAAATCCAAAGTAATCTTAGATGTGATGGCTTAGTTCAGTTTTATGTTTTTTAAGACATATTTGAACATGTAACTAGTAAAATTAAAATGTTTGTGGGAGCACAGTGTAACTACCACTGGCAGATGCCCTACGTTTTGAGAACCACTGACCTATGGGGGCACATTCCAACTTAGGATTGCAATCAAGGTTCTTTGCAAATCAGCCCCAACCTCTTTCCAGACTCTTCTCCTACCCATTACAGTTTCCTTTTACTCAACTATCTGCACTCCAACCATGCTGAATTCTTCCACATTGAATGAACATGCCCTACTCTTATACAGCCACACATCTTTCACAGACTGACTCCTCTATCTGAAATGCCTCCCCTCCACTCCTTCCCTGCCTGGGGCAAACTCACTATCCTTCAAGACCTATCTCATGTCACCTCCTCATGGAAGCCTTCTCCCCGAGTCTCCCTTACAGTGAGTCACACCTTCCTTTATCCCTCCATAGCATTTTGTACCTGTCTCTGTTATACTACACACTACAGTATCTCAGAACTGTGGGCATCCAGCTCCCCAGCTAGACCCCAGGAAGAGTTCACACCTTGTACTTCATTGTTTCTCCAACACTTCACGTGGGCAGAGGTCATGAAAGAGATCTAGTGTCCCAGGTAACTTCTTAAAATGCTAAAATAAAATACATCCAAAGTGCTATCAAGGTCCAAATAGCTTAGAGGTATGATATGTGTTATAAAGAGAATCATCTAATTCAGAAATAGCCGTACTGACTATGGTTTTGGCAGACACAATTAGCTACAGTTGCAATGACAGTTAATTTGGTTTTGGCAGCTACTTTACAGCAAATACATTCTGACATAGAAATTTTAAGTGAATCATTTGGGTTTTGGCCAGGATGATGAACTATACCTATCTCTCCTTACCACAACTGGAAAGTCAAGAACAAGAAAGAACATTGGGAGCAGCAAACCATGTTGAACAGAGCATGGGCTTTGGAGTCAGAAATCTGTACACCCAAACCTCAACTCAACTTATAATCTATGTGACTTTAAGTAGATTGTTTAACTTCTGTGCATTTTAGTGTTTTCTTCTAGAAAAAGAAACAGGAATAATAGTACCTACTTCATAACACTCAAGATAATGCAACAAAGTATTTATGATGATGACTAGGACATTATGTGGGTTCAATAAATAGCAGTCATTATTGTCACCCAATGAGATGACTACAGTTCAGATAATGTGATGCACGGGGACAGCAAATGCATTTCTTAAGAAAATATATCGATGTCTCTAGGCTTTAAAGTTGACAGCTATAGACTGTAGCTAAGAATAGCTACAAACAAAACATCTGCAAGACAAGCTTCTTCTTGGATTTAAACTCACACCTGGAACATACCATCACACTTCTTTGTGTTCTCCAAGAATTGATCTCAAATCAGGTTCCCTAGGATGAAAAGAAAAATCATCCAATCTTAATTTTTGCCTTCAATTTTATTTGATACAGAATAATATCCAAACTATGTGTATGTTTCAAAGTATCATGTTATTATGACCCCAAGCTTCTCCACCCTATTTATTTCCCAGTATATTTGTGCTGATATCTTTTATTCCAATCAGGCAAGCCCACCTGTCTCACAGTGCTCCCTCTTCTGTTTACCCTTCTCAAAGTCCAATCTCAGTAGCAGGAAGCATTTTCTCCCTCCTCTTTGACAACTTCAAATCCCCTGTACTCTGCTGGAGCCCAGATTAAAATTCACCTCCTTCACAAAGCCTGAAAGCCGGATGAGGGCTTCAGCACTTCCCGGGTTAGGCTTGAACTTCCATAGATGAACTCACCACCCCCATCAGTATGCTCTTCCACTGACCCCTCTTAGCGTTTTTTGCACACGTTTGTAATAATACAATGATTAATATGGTCTGTTTCACACGGTCTACTTTATTCTGTAGAATAAAGGTGTGCCCCCTAAATGTTTGTCAACATTAGTGCTATCAGTCTTTGCTGGAAACCCCTAAAGCGCTGGATTTTTATAACCAGTCTAACTTGCCTTTTACTCTCACCAGAACCCTGCACTGAACCTTAAACACACATTTCTCAAAAGCAAGATTCCTTCCCTCTTTTGCTTCCCATCCCTTCTAGAAATTGAGGGGAAACTCTCCCCACTTCAAAGACCTGGTGGGGGAAGTGGCAGGTGGCTGAGGGGCCAGTAAAGAGATGGCGATCAATTAAGGAGGCAAAAAGAGAAAGTTTGAAAAAAAAAAGTCACGCCCTGAGCGTGGCAAGGAATTCCCATGCCCCAAAGAAAATGGGGAGTGTAGCGCAGGGAGGGTTATGTGCCCAAACCTGAAATACAAATTGAGGGAAAAGAGGAAAGAGATCACCCAATTCCTGCGGTAAGAATTAGAGTCCAGTCACCGCCTAGGCAAAACCCTGGACGCAAACCCCAACTTCGGACCTCTGAGGAGGCACAGAGCCAGGGGGAGGGGGGCGGCGTCGTGGGAAAAAAAAAAAGGGGCGGGCGAGTTGGACCAAAAAAAAAAAAAAAAAAGAGCAAAGACAGCGCGCTCCCGGGCTCAAGAGAACTGGCGCCTAGAGCTCAAAAGCCCACCCCCGACTCCCAGTCCCGATACCCCCTCCCCTGCAGAGGTGGAGCTGGGTGGAGTTAGGCGCTGAGGACCGCGGCCCCGGAAGCACCCTCCTCCCTAGGCCCCCTCAGTCCCACAGTCCCCAGCCACGGCCACCGGGGCTTTCTGCCTCTCTGACCTCCAGCTCCCCGGCTACCGAAGCGCTAGTCCTTATACAGCCGCGGAAAATCGGGCCGGCGCGGCAGTTCCTGGGCTCGTAGTGCCCTCGCGGCGCCCCACGCCGCGCCACTCTCTTCCGAAATGCCCGCCTCGCGCTTCCAGGCCTAGACCCGGCACTCTGGCCCAAGGCTGGACTCTCACACACAGGGTGCCCACTGCGGCGTCTCCTATTGGCTACTGGTCACCGGGGAAGCCGGAGGCCCGAGCCCATGGCTTCATGGGAAATGTAGTTTGAGGTCGCTGGAGGCTGTTCTTCCTGGGGGTAACTCGTGTTGACATTGGCAGACAGACACAAGTGAGGACCGAGAATTATGGGAGATGGAGTTGCGGGACACTTATTTCTCTATACGCACAATTCTTCCCCTCCCCTTCCGATTGTCCCCAGCGTTCAGACGGGGAAGGGTATTCTGGGTATTGTAGTTTGGGTGCACTGTCTAGAGAATCTCTCTTGGGGTTATGGGTTTGTGCTTGTGGGGACAGACGAAGGCTCTAGATTTATTTTCATGTCGGTTAAGCTCTTAGCATTTTGCGGGAAGCACTTTCTATCGTGATTTGAAATTGTTATTGAGTTTTAAGTGTTTTTCAAAAGATGATGTTTATTCTTTGGTAAGCTTAGAATTTTAATTGAGAGTTATAGTCCTTTAAAATTGTTAAAGTGTGTTCCTTGTGAACCACCTGCATTAAAATCACTTGAAAGGTATGGAAGAATGTATATATTTTTTTCTAATTGGAAATTATAGTTCCCCCTGGAAACAGTGTCATAAATAGGCATAGAAATGTGATCTACACCAGCCCAGAAGAAGCCTATTTAATCCATAATGAAGCTATGTTGTTGCCATGAAAAACAGTGGCCACATAAACTGCTATAAATAACAATTTAGAACAGATAGACAATACAACTTAAGTACAAACGAGTAACTATATGTGTCTTTAAGAAACTTAACCTTTTGAGTAAAAATATGTTACAAGAGCTGGATAAAGACATAGGTGGGGAATGCCAAGCACTTCCAAGTGACTTAAAGGTTGAGGAAAATGGTTGTTTATTAGGGCTAATTTCACTCCCAACTTTTGACCTTTTTTTTTCTCTGTTAGAGATGAATCCTTGTAGCCTTGTTACAGTTGAATTACTACAACTTCTTGATGAGGACAACTTTTCGACTCACGAGTAAAATGAAGGGAAAGACAGGGGAATTGCATTTTGCTGAGGTAATTGCCCAATATTTTAAAAAGATAAGTGAAGGAGGAAGACGATTTAATAAATTCAACCATTTATTCAGCATAGTGCTTTGTGCAAAGCTCTGGGCTAGGCACTGTTGCCACAGAATTGGAAAAATAGTCCCTACCCTCAAGTAGCTCAAAATCCAGGTGAGGGGAGTTGTAGTAGAGGAGAATCTGGGGGGAGGAATAGATGAGTATACAATGTGCAAAATGCTGTAAAGAAGTCTACATAGGGTTCTATAGGAACATAGAGGAGGAAGAACTTGTTCTACTTCTGGAGAACTGGTTGAAGAACCAGTAAAATATTTGTCAGATTTGGGGCAGGGAGGTCAACCATATTCTATACAAAGCATATGCAAAGGCATAAAGGCATGAAAGAGTGCAGAGAACAATAGCAAAAGTTCCATATTGCAGAGACTAGATCAGGCAGCAACAAGGGGTCATATCAATTAGTTCATAATTTAACTTGAAAGTGGGAGAGAACCATCAGAGGAATTTTTGTGCTTATATAGTGTTTATTTTTTAAAGCATATACACATAGAACATACTGGGAACACATAGCTAGGGTATTATGGGGAATCATTCTGGAGGGTGGTAATTGAATTGCTATATTATGTTTTAATACTTTTTATACTTTTAAATTCCTCCAGGAAAATAATTTGCTTTTTTAAAAAAAGAAAAATCGGCTGGGTGCCGGGGCTCATGCCTGTAACCCTAGCACTTTGGGACACCAAGTTGGGAGGATTGCTTGAGCCCAGGAGTTCGAGACCAGCTTGGGCAACATAATGAGACCTTGTCTCTACAAAAAATCAAGAAAATTAGCCAGGCATAGTGGCGCATGCCTGTAGTCCCAGCTACTCAGGAAGCTGAAGCAGGAGGATCCCTTGAGCTTGGAAAGTTAGGGCTGCAGTCAGCCGATATTGTACCACTACACTCGAGTGTAGTGGGTGATAGAGCAAGACTCTGTCTCAAAAAAAATTAAAAAATTAAAAAAAGAAAGAAAAAAGAGAAAAAGAAAAATCACCTCATTTCAGCCATAAAAAGGAGTGAAACAAGGCATTTTCAGTATTATGGCCACCAGAAAAACATTGTGTGAATCAAATGCAGAATTTCTTTTCTCAGCTTTGTCTCCTTTCTTTTTATCTTTTTTTCCATGACTCTTTACTTTGATTTGATCATTGATTTCAAAGTATTTGCAGAGCACCTACTATGTTCCATACACTATGACAGGTTTTGGGTTTTAATGGTGAGTTAAAACATGGGTTCCTGTTCATCAAAGTATTTCTAGCAGGAAATGGAATAATCAGATGGAGTTGGTAGATGTGGAAAGTGAGAGACGGGGAGGAGTCCATTACGACTCCCAAGTTCTGACTTGGAAGACTAAGTGTATGGTAGTACCATTCACTGAGATATTGAACCTAGAAAGAATAGCAAGTTTTGTGAAGAATAGGAGGAAATCAGTTTTGAACATTTAAAATTTGAAGAGTCTGTGGAACTTTTGGTTGGAGATGCCTGATAGGCTGCTGAGAAATGCCGGTCGGAAGCTTGGGAGAGAGGTCTTGCTTGGAACTAAACATTTGGGAGACATTAGTATAATATAGAGGGCAATTAAATAAGTGAAAAATTGTTTAAACTTTACTTAGAGAGTATTTTTTTTTTTGAGACGGTTTCTTACCCTGTTGCCTAGGCTGGAGTGCAGTGGCACAATCTCGGCTCACTGCAACCTCTGCCTCCTGGGTTCAAGTGATTCTCCTGCCTCAGCCTCCCGAGTAGCTGGGATTACAGGTGCCTGCCACCACAGCTGGCTATTTTTTTTTTTATTTTTAGTAGAGATGGGGCTTCACTGTGTTGCCCAGGCTGGTCTCGAACTCCTGACGTCAAGTGATCCACCCGCCTCAGCCTCCCAAAGTGCTGGGATTACAGGCGTGAGCCACTGTGCCCAGCCAATTTAGAGAGTATTTAGAATAATAGTTTTTAAAAAGACAAAGATTATGGAATCCTGGAAAATAATGATATTCAAGTAGCAAGTAGAAGAAGAGATGCCTTCCAAGGAAGCTGAGAGGGAATGCCCAAACAGATGAACCAAGAGAAAACAAAGTAGAATTACTGGCATATATTACAGAGAGGTCAAGTAGCAGGACAGAATAGTAAGAAGAAATTACTCCTTCATCAATATAACAAGTTTTTATTGAGTACCTATAATGTGCCAGACATTATTCTAGATGCTGGGAATAGAGAAGTGGAAAACACATACAACATCCCTTCCCTTTGGAGGCTATATTCTGTTAGGAAGAAGCCATCAACAAACAAGATAAATAATTAAAATACATAGCTGTGATAAGTAATATTTCTTACTGTGTATGTCACAGCTGTGTATGGCTATTTCTGTATGGTGATATAAATACACACACACACACATATATATATCTCCAATAAGCCATATGGAAATTTTATATATAATATATAAAACATATCTATATCTCCAATAAGCCATACAGAAATTTTATATATAATATATATTATATATAAGCACAAATGTATACATATATTTGTATGTGTATATACAAACGTGATACTCTTTGGTCTGTTGTTATATAATAAGATGAATTTGTGAAATACTGGCCCAGGGTCAAACAGTCTGGCTGGATTCAGAGAACAATTAGGAAGTCAAGGTTAGAGCTGTATCCAGAGCCAGTGTAGAGCCCAGGTCAAGGCCAGGGTTCATGTGTATAATGTGGAATGTATTTAGCTTCAATCTTTTCTCAGGTTAAGATTTAGTAAGTCTGTAGCTGTTTTTACAGGCCATTGTGGATTCAGGATCAGAAGACCATCAAACCAAGCTTAGGGTTAAGCCTGATAGCAATATTAGGCCCCAGATTTAGAGCCATGGTTCAGTCTGTGTCACAGATTAAAGTGCATTTCTGACCACTCTGGACTAACAGCAGCCTCAGGGTGTTAAAGCTCACTCTGAGGCTGCTGTAAGTCTAGAGTGGCCTGGTTTATGAAGTCAAGGTGCAAGATTTGGGTTCAAATTTTGGCCAGAATTAGGATTTAGTCTGTGTGTAGGAAGAGGCCTCATTCTAAAATTAGAGTTAGGGCTCAGTCTGTGGACCAGACTTAGACCACACCCAAGGTTAGGGCTCAGCTCAATGTTTGACTTTAGTTTTTGATCAATGTTGGAATCACTTTCATTTCTAGACTTGAAAGTCAATAAAGGCCAGGACCATGGCTCTGCCTGGGATTAGTCTTCATGCTGATGATGTTGCCTAGGAAAAAATGAAGTAAGAATATGAACAGGATTTATGTTCAGTCTTTCTTCAGGTTAAGTTTCAATTCGTATTCATGGTTAGAGTTTATTCTGGGTCCAATAATTAAGTCTCAGTCCGTGGCCAATGGTAAGGCACAGTCAATGTCTAATATTCAGTCTGTTGCCATGTTAGGACATTACCTGTCATGTGCCCTAGAGCCTTGTCTCAAACCAGAGTTAGCATTTCATATATGGACAAAATTATGATACAGTTTGTGGCCAGGATTTCAATGATGAATATGAACAGGATTTGGGATGCATATTTGGCTAGAGTAAGTTCAAGGTGTGGTTTCTGACTTTAGCCAGTGTCAGGATTCTGTCTTTGTCCATAGCTCATATCAACAATGTTCTATGGAGCTAACTCACAGTGGCCTGTGTTGGCCCTCATTCTGTGGCCAGAGCAGGGCTCAGTCGGTGACCTGTATTAGCCATTTCAATTTGACCACTATCAGAGTTGAGTCTGGAGGGAGTAATTCCACTATGACTTTATGTAGCATTTGTGTTCACTGAGTATTGGTGGTAGTGCTATCTGATTAAACTTGTACCAGAGTTTGGGAGTTACCAATAACCAAGGTAAGGCTTACTATGAAGAAGGTTTTAAGGCTAAGAGTGTAAACAGGTTTTTTGGATTAGCTGTTGATGTTATTTGTCAGTCAGTGGATAGAGTTGAGATGAGAACAAACAACACATAAAATCCAGATTGAAAGCTTTAGAGGCTCAGGCTGTAATCAGGGTTTTGGGATCAGGATGTTGCCAGGGTTTGAGTTCAGAGTGTTCATTGCCTGTTGTCAGTCTGGCACTTAGACTCTGGCTTAGTGTAGCAGGCATTTCGGTATCAGTAGTAGAGTTCAGTCTTTGCTAATTGTTAGTGACCATAATGTGCCCAGTGCCATGGGTACATCTATTCACAATTGAGGACTAAGTTTGTGACCAGACTGATTGCTCAACCTCCAGCTAGTGCTAGGACTCAGTTTGTGGCCACTAATACAGTGAACTTTGTTTATGGGTTTAAGACTTGATATGTGACAAAGGTGAGTACTTAGTCTCAGCCTGTTGTTAGATCTGATAATATGAGCAGGATTTTGATTTAGTCTTGTAGGGTCAGGAATCATTTCTCTAACCAGGCTTAGGGCTTGGCCTTTAGGTCTCAGACTGTGGTGGGACTTACAGTCTTCATCCCAGCTCAGTATTCAGAATGTGGCCAGGAAGAGGGCTCAGATCTTAGCCATGGTGAGTTCCGTCTGTGCTCAGGGTTAGAATTAAATCTGTTGCAGGGTTTTAGGCCAAGAAAATGAAAAGTATTTGTTTTGTCTTTGTCTAGTTTGTCCTTCATTCATCTTCAAGGTTTGGGTTCAGTCTCTGCCCAGTGCTGGTGAGCAGCTTAATTTCTGGTATTAGGAATCAGTCGGTAGCCAGGGTTAAAGTTAAAGTTGTGGTTGAAATTGGGATCCAGTCTCGGGTGAACATTTAGCCAGAGATAGGGTTCAGTCTATCTCAAAAATTCAGGATCAGTCATTAGCCATTTGGAGAAATCAGATTTATTTTCAGGTTGAAAGCTCATGTCAGAGGTTAGGCTTATGGGCTCAGTCTGTGATGAGAGTTAGGAATTCAGTCTATGGCTAGAGTTAGAGATGCAGTCTGTAACCAGTTAGAAGCTGTAAGGTTTAGGGGTCAAATCAGTGGCCAGTGATAGGGCTCAGTCTGTCCCAGGATCAGTAGATTATTTCCTGATCAGATTTATGAACCCAGTCTCTGTCCAGGTTTAGAACTTGGGCTTTGAACATGGTTAAGACTCAGTTTGTGGCCATGTTCAGGGTTCTGTCTATAGTCAGGATTAGGACATATGCTGTGGTCAAAATATTCTCAAGTTTTGTGGAAGATTTGGTTTCACTTCTTGGCCATGATTAAGGCACAGAGTTGGGACAAGTTTAGAGTCTGGTCTCTGTACATGTTTTCGTCTCTGTATGAGGCCAAGTTTAGTAGTCATTCTGTTGCCAATGTTGGGGTCATTTTCTGGTTAGTGCTAAGTCTGGGAAATTGTAGCTGGGTTGGTTTCCAAGATCAGATCTCAGGCTGTGACCAAGTTAGAGCCTCAGTCTGTAGTCAGGGCTAGAGCTCAGTTAGTATCTATGCTGAGCACTCATTTTGTGGTCAGTTCAGGATGTTAAGTATATCCCAGAGTTAGGTCATGCAGTCTGTAGCCTAGTTTAGAGACTCAGCCTGGGGACAGACTTAGGGGCTATATCTGATGTTATTTTTGATCCCTGTATCGTGAATTAAGGACTTATACAGTAGCCATAGTTATGGTTCAATAGGGGATCAGGGTTAGAGATTCAGGTTGGGACCAGTCTTAAGTACTTACTCTTGGGCCAGATGTAGACAGTCAGTATGTAACTAGGCCTAGGGACTTGATTTAATCAGGATTAAGACCTTGGAGTGTGGCCAGAAAGTGGCTCAGTTTGTGGATAGAATTAGGGTCTTCATTTGTGGCCAGGGTTAAAGGCTTGGTGTGAAATTGGAGTTAAGCCTCCAAGTTCAGAGTTAGGAGTTTAGGCTATGTCTTGGGTTAGGTGTTTGGCTGGTGGTCAGGGTTAAACACAGGATCTGCATTCAGTGTTGGCAGCTTGCTCTGTGACCAAGCTTAAGAGACTGTTTGCTCAGCCTGTGGTGATAGTGATTGGTAATTATACATCAATAAAGTTGTCATAAAAGGTTAAAAAAGTGGATTCATACAAGTGAAATGGTAGGAATGATGCAGGGAAGAAACCATAAAGAGAGGCCGTTTACTGAATCAGGACCAGCAATGTCCTTGGTGTCTCAGAATTTTTGCTTAAGAAGGACAGGGCAAGCACATGAGATTGAGAAGAAAGGAAAGAACTGGTGACCAGGGAGCTGGTAACCCTGGGAAGTAGATATGTGCTTCTTGAAGGACAGACATTTTTATAAATTGTGGAATTAATGCAAGTTGGAAAACCTTGCAAAAAATGGAAAGTCCCATTTGGTTTTTTGTTTGTTTGTTTTGTTTTGTTTGTTTTTTGGGGATTTTTTTGAGACGGAGTTTCGTTCTTGTTGCCCAGGCTGGTGTGCAATGGCGCGGTCTTGGCTCACTGCAACGTCTGCCTCCTGAGTTCAAGTGATTCTCCTGCCTCAGCCTCCCAAGTAACTGGGATTACAGGCACCCACCCCCACGCCCAGCTAATTTTTTTGTATTTTCAGCAGAGACGGGCTTCACCATGTTGGCCAGGCTGGTCTCAAACTTCTGACCTCAGGTGTTCCACCCGCCTTGGCCTCCCAAAGTGTTGGGATTACAGGCATGAACCACCACACCCGGCCAGAAAGTCCCATTTGTTAAGCTCTTACATCATGTTCTTTTTGCCAGTATTGGTTTTCCTGAGCACCCTTTCTAAACCATTCCTCATCTTGCCCCAGGCTACACTGATCTCCATTATATCTCACTCACTATATGTTCAATAAATATCTATGGAATGCATGTTTGTTTTTACTTACATTCTCCCATGGAGGCTCATGACAGTCCAATATGATAAGTGTTGTTATCCTCATTATACAGATTTTAAAAAGCTGTTAAGCTAATTAAGAGATTCAAAAGAGCCACACAGCTAGTAAATGCAGAGCCAGGTTTCAAATCCAGTTTTATCTGACCCCAGTCTACTGTGCTTTTTGCATATGCCACCTGGCCCATATAACATATGTGAGATTTACATCTCACCTTGACCCCTTGACTTTGTCAACTTTGTCTTAATTCTTACAGCAACTCTAATTTTTCATCTGGAAAATTGGGATGAGAATAATATTAATACCCATTTCTTTTCTTTTTCTTTTCTTTTTTTTTTTCAGAGATAGCGTCTCACTCTGTCGCCCAGGCTGGAATGCAGTGGCGCAGTCTTGGCTCACTGCAACCTCCGCCTCCTGGGTTCTAGCAATTCTCCTGCCTCAGCCTCTCAAGTAGCTGGAACTACAGGTGCATGCCACCATGCCTGGCTAATTTTTTTTTTTATTGTAGTAGAGACAGGGTTTCACCACATTGCCCAGTCTGGTCTCGAACTCCTGAGCTCAGGCGATCCTCCTGCCTCGGCCTCCCAAAGTGCTAGGATTATAGGTGTGAGCCACTGCGCCCGGCCAATAGTACCCATTTCATAAGATTGTTATGACAATTAAATGAGCCAATACATTGAAAGAACTTGGATTCATCAGGTTCATATTATGATGATGCCCTTTTTGGAGTTGAAAAAACATGTTCAGAGAGTTTATTTTCTCAATATCACACAGCTAGTAGGTAGCAGAGTGAAGAGTAGAATCCAGATGGGTCCAACTCTCAGTTGAAGGCTTTTGCTGGTTTCTCAGGCTGCTTCTGAATACCTCAGCCTCCAGGAATGGCTTTTGATGGACATTTTGGGCTTCGGTGCAGAGTGACACAGGGAAGGATTTAGTGGGAAGAATATGTTAGTTTTCCACTGTGTCATTCCCTACAGTGATTTGAACCTGTGAGGAACTGAGAGAGTGTACAGAAGGGGGCATATCATCATCTCTGTGAGGGTACATGTAGCTTCTAGGGCACCCTCTCCATGAGAATCACTGAGTGTAAAATGTAAGTTCGTGATAGTGTGTTGTGTGTGTGAAGAGTATGGGGGCAGCAAAAAGGTGGATGACCACTGAGGTAGGCCTCCATGCTTTTCTCTATGCCCAAATATCAGCCTTGCCAACAGTATTTCCAAGGGACTGTACAGCCAACTTTCCATTATTTCTACCGTCTGCTCTTGGCTTGGCTTGGCTTATCTACATTGTATCTGGCATCTACGTCTTTCCCCAGGGAGTCTATATGCTGTGGACAAGAGGGATTGATTATGTTCCTGCCTTCAGTATGGCTAAACAAGCTCCTGCTGGGCCTGTGGGACACTATTAAGCAGACCAACGTTGTCATAAATGGAAACTCCAGCAGGATAAGAGAGAGAGAAAGGGGCACAAAGAATATCTGAATGACCAAAAATATCCCAAACCTGATGGAATATGTGAATCTACATATCTGAGAACTCAACAAAATCCAAATAGACAAACTCAAAGAGACCTATTTTCTGATGCTATGGTTGACGCACATTCTTTGGCTATAGTATAGCACCTATTCTCTAGTTAAAATCTTGTGCATAATCTCAGTACATGGAAAGAGCAAATCAGAGTGCTCTATTCCAGTCCTTTACTTCCTGATGCGACTCATGGTCAAAACTTGACCCTGGTATATGCAAAGCTCAAATCCCAAGATCATGTTTTCTGCATCTATAGTAGATACAACTTTGCTTTACGTGATCCATAACCTTCCACTCAAAGTGATAGGCACTTTTGGGACTTCGGGCTGGAAGACGGGTATAATCTCTGGCTGGAGAAAAGTGAAGACTGGGCCACCAATTCACAACCAAGGAGGCTTCATCAGGATCTCATTAGTGGGTCTCAACTATTTTTCTTTGCTTTCATTCTTGAGCTACCAGACCATGGGCCATGACCCATTATCTATAAATCCAATAATCTCAAAAACCGAAAGTTTTCATAAGTTTACCACCAAAACTCATTAGGTAGCAAAATGTGACCTGAATCAACATAAGGCTACTTACAGTCTTCAACCTATTTCTATGAATATTCATTTTGATATAGAAATACTAATGTGTTTGTAACACCTACCAGGGGTATTATAGACCATGTATATATACCATATTACCTTTCTAAAATCTCTCAAATAATGAATTTCAGAAAACATCGGCCCCTAAGTGTTTTGTATGAGGAATTTTGGATATGTATTTCCTCTCCTTGCTGTCTCATTCTAATGTCACGTTCCTCACTTTATCCCATACCTGGCAACATCTGCCAAGGCCAGGGAATGGGAACACTGAATGCTTTTGCAGTAAAACTTCATATCATAAAATAAATAATGATGAGTTGAATTAGTATGACAGAGGAGGAAGTGCTAAGAAAAATATCTTCATGTTTTTCCTCCATCGTAGGTTCAGATCCAAAAACATATTCTCCCATACCATATTGACAAACTCTCCAAGGTTCTCCACCTAAAGACCCATTTGTAATCCAGCTGAAAACAGACAGGGGTTGGATGCTAACCTCAAAACCTGATTACTGCTGCTGCTGCTACTACTACTACTACTACTACTACTACTACTACTATTACTTGTACTACTATACTAACATTGAGTACAACTTGCCAACTTCTTGTTCTAGAGCTTAGAATCCAAGCTCTTTCAATATATTGGCTCGTGTAATCGTCATAACAATCTTATGAAATGGATACTATTATAATTACCATCGAAATTTTACAAATGAAAAAAACGGAAGCAAGAGAGATGAAGTCATGTATTCAAATCCATACAGCTAAGAATTAGCCAGGCAAGGATTTTGATGTACCTCGTACTTCCTTTGCATCTTCACTTTATTTTGAAATTGACTTATGGCATAACCTAATGGACTTATAGACAGGGGGAGAAGTATGATGGGCTATGGGTCTGGGGAGCCAATCACCCATCCTCACCTGCCAGGATCCAATGAGGCTAAGGTGTTTTCATACACATTTTTTTCTATGGAGTCTGGAATGTGGAATTCATTATGCAAATTTCTTGATGTGATGATTTGGCTGGAAAAGCAGGTACTATGGAAAAGTTCCCCCACTTATCTCTAAGGACTACTCTGATGTAAAATATTATGTGTTGATGAGTATGTTTTTTATTTGCATGCATGGGCATACATTTACATGCATGATTCTGTGTCAGTCAGCATGTATGTGTTAAGTATAGTACATTGGTTCTCAAGCTTTAGTCTAATCTCAGATACCTGGGTAAAATCACAAATACTCCTGGGTCCTATGCTCAGAGATTCTGATTCAGTTCAGTTGGGGTGGGACACAACAGCTTGTTACTTGCACCTGAAGTGATTCTAATACAGGTGGTCTGTGCAGACTACATTTTAAGAACAATGGGATCATGCTTTAGAGTAGGCTCTGGAGCCAGGCTGCTAGTGAGTGGTTTAATTTTAGGTTTAAGCAAGTCAACTGGGCTCTGTTAATATCAGTTTACTCATTTTTGAAAATGAATAATAATATACCTACTTCATGAGGTTGCTGTGAGGATTAAATGACATACACTTATTTAAAGGGTATCTCATTTGATGTGCCTAACCCATCATAAGTGATCAGTGAATAGTAGCTACACTATTCACATAGACCACAAGGATAATGGCAAACATAATGGTGCTCCCCATTCCTACCCCCGTCCCAGAATTATGCAGTGCAGATGCCCTGAGGGCATGCTAGGGAATAGTGAAGTGGTGTGAAGAGGCCAACTCCTGAGGGGCTGCAAGGACCAGGAATTTTGGTTGTAACCCACAGCCTCACTCCTTGAAAAGGATTTAAAGAACATAGAAAGCAAAATGGTGAAAGGGTTTGCAGATGGTAGGTTTGGGAGTGCTCAGCCCACTTCAGGTCTTTAGGGCAACTGGTCCTGCACCACTGTGTTCACAATCTGGCCCCCAGCTGGCATTTAGGACTGGAAGAACAATGGACCCTGTATTCAGGGAAAACTTGAGGCGGAGTGCTGCTCATTGGTCTTCTACCATTAAGATGCTATATAAAGAGAAATACTAATCAAGTAGAAATCATGGTGCCTGACCTCAAGGAGCCTAGAGTCTTTGGAAGAAACAAACATGCCAGCATTGTTACTTTAAGCAATTCCCATCCACTCTCTGGGTTGAAGCTTTGTCTGTAAAATGATGGTTTGTACTTAAAACTTTGAACATGTTACATTTCTCATCCTTCTAGAAATAAACAAGCATTAAGTCACAGAAAGGAGTGCATGATGATGACACAGTGTGGTAGAGTGAGGCAATATCACTCCAGCCAGCTTGCAAAGCTGCTGTAGAGTGCAATGGCTAGAGCTACTGCCAGGAAGGAAGAGGGGTAATGGGATTGGGTCAAAGGCCTTAGCTCTCTTGTTGGTGCCAAAAATTGCTCACTTTGATACCTACCTTGAGCCAGATATACAACAGATATGCCACATGTTGGCTCTTGCTGATACTCCTCTAGCCCCCTTGCTGCTCACTGATTTTAGCTGAAAGTGGGGATTAATTGACAAGGACATCTTGGAGGAGGATGTCACAGATCCTGTAGTGTGCCAGAATGAATTCAGGATTAAGTAGGAAACTGGAGACTGAAGTGACTGAGAGCCAGGACAGGGTTAGCCTCCTAAAACACCCTGTCTGGAGGGCTTCACTGTGGCTAAGGGCTGCTAATATGAGAAGTGTATACTACAGCTATAAAATTAAAGATAGCACTTACTACATGCTAGGTGCTGTTCCAAGCGCTTTACAAGGAATAACTCTTTTTTGCCTTATTATAACCTTATTATGATAGCAATTATTATTATTTTCTTTTAAAGTTGTGGAAACTGAAGCGTATTAAGCACTCTCCAGCCACCAATTTTTCTCAGAGGTTTTTGTTTTGTTTGTTTGTTTGTTTGAGACAGAGTCTCACTCTGTTGCCCAGGCTGGTGTGCAGTGGCGCGATCTCAGCTCACTGTAACCTCTGCCTCCAGGGTTCAAGCAATTCTCCTGCCTCACCCTCTCGCGTAGCTGGGATTACAGGCGCCTGCCACGAGATGCCTATTTTTAGTAGAGACGAGGTTTCACCACGTTGGCCAGGCTGGTCTCGAACTCCTGACCTCAGGTGATCCACCTGTCTTGGCCTCCCAAAATGCTGGGATTACAGACGTGAGCCACTGCACCTGGCCAGAGTTTTTTTTTTTTTTTTCTTGTCTTCATTCTTTCCCTGTACCCTGAAACTCACCTTGATCTGCCTTGCCTGGGAATAACATTTTATTCCAATAATGTTCTATATATAATGTTCTATATAATTCTGGAGTCAAGGTACCTTGGAAATCTAGCCAACCATAGCTAACTAATCTTTCTTTCTGCCCCTATCAGCCTCATAGACATGTCCTCAGTGGGACATCTTCCAGGAAGTACCAAGGAGTGGCTTTGGGGAAATAGGGAGAGATGGTTAGAAGAGCAACTCTTCCCGAGCAAAAAGAATTAAGAGGACTTATACAGCCTTTTGAAAGTGTGGCAATGGGATACTTTGTCTTAGAGAAGAGCTTCCTGGCCCAAGTGCTGGAAAGGAAGGATGAGGGAAGGTGGAAACACACGGATGAAAGTATGGGCAGGGCTGTAACCTTAGTCAATGGGCTAGGATGGCCCATGCACGGTGGTTTGGGGTAGACCTTAAATAAAAAATAAAAACTCTTCTCCCATAACAAAGTCTTGTTTGGTTGTCCAGGAAGCCCCCCACAGAATTCAAACGCCTCTGGGAAGTTTGGTGCAGAGCTTATGGGCTTTTCGCATTCTCTGGTGCCACCTGGTGGACAACAAGAGGTAATGAGATGGGATCTAGGAAATTGGGCAGTTCAGTTTGGAAGGGAGGAGAGGGGAAGTGAAGCTGGACCAGATGATTAGTGCTGTAGTGGGCAGGCACTGAGGGGACCCAGTGCACCCACAGGAAAATTGGGTTCCTGGTGAGGCTGATGGAGTCAAAGAGTGTAGACCGTTAGAGATAATATATGTAAAGACCCTGATCTACAGGCCAACTGTAACAGCATCAAAAGGTAGTGTTTACTACTTACCACATGCCAGACTGTGTTATTAACTTTTTCATGAATTTTTTAAAATTTAATTCTTCCAGCCACACTTTGTAGCATCCCCATTTTGCAGATAAGTTAAAGTGAGGCTCAGCGTTAGTGGCAGAGACAATGTTCAAGGTTTTAATCATTATGCCATAAATTGTAGTTGTTGCCAATATTGTGATATGATGTGAAATTAGAGATATGAAGGAGGATCCTTAAGTACTTCAAATCTGAGTCAAGTAGGCTTTGATGCCAGTGGGAGAAAAGGGAAGGAGAAGTGTCATATACACCACCATCTCTACCTTATCCACCTTCAAATATGGGGAAACAAAACAAAAGCAATCTAGAATTCACCTACCCACTGTCTCAGCCAGTAAGCACATTTTAGGCACCTATTCTATCCAGAGCTTTGTGGGACAAAATGGCATTTGCCCCCAGGAGTCCTGATATGCCAGCATTACTCGTTTCTCCCCACCCCTATCTCCAGGTCTTCTAAAGTCCTCAGGTGGGGAGCATGTTGGTGAGTCTTTCAGAAAACACTGTCCCATAGGGAATAAAAGACAAAAAATAAATTCCATCTATATGTTGATTGAGGAATTAGGAAATGTCTTGGTTTAAAAAAAATAGGAGAAGCAAAAGAAATCAGAAAACATTGAGCACCTGCTATATGTTAGCTAGGCCCTATGCTGAGTGCTTGACAACAGAATTTTATCTAATCCTTCCAACTTCTGTGAGGCAGGTCTCTAAATATTGCCGTTTGAAAGTGAGGATAACTGAGGATCAGGGAGGTTAGGCAACCTCTCTATAGTCACACAGCTAATCAGTAGGGGAACTCTGTATGGCCGCAAAACCTATGCTGTTTTAGAATGAAGGGAGGAGGGTATTTATTTTTCCTTTTTATTGTGGAAAAGTTCAATCAAATGAAAAATAGAAGTAATAGTATAATGAAGTCCCTTTTACCCATTACCTAGTTTCAATTACAGTTAGCACATACTCAATCTTATTTCATCTGTTCTCCCATTCACCCCCTCCCACAAAACTGGATTATTATAAGTAAATTCCACACATCATTTTATTTTATCCACAACATTTTCAGGCTGCATCTCTAAAAGATATGGACTTTTAACAAAACATGACTAAAATACTGTTATCACAGCTGTAAAATTAATACTAATTCTTTCATATGATCAAATATATATTTTGTGTTTAAATTCCTCCTATCATCTCATGTCTTTTCTCATTATATTAGTCCATTTTCACACTGCTGATAAAGACATACCCAAGACTGGGAAATTTACAAAAGAAAAAGGTTTAATTGGACTTACATTTCCACGTGGCTGGGGAAGCCTCACAATCATGGAGGAAGGCAAGAAGGAGCAAGTCATGTCTCATATGGATAGCAACAGGCAAAGAGAGAGAGAGCTTGTACAGGGGAACTCCTCTTTTTAAAACCATCAGATCTCATGAGACTTACTATCACGAGAACAGCACAGGAAAGACTTGCTCCCATGATTCAATTACCTCCCAGTGGGTCCTTCCCACAACATATGGAAATTCAAGATGAGATTTGGGTGGGGACAGAGCCAAACCATGTCATTCCACCCCTTGCCCCTTCCAAATCTCACATCCTCACATTTTAAAATCAATCATGCCTTCCCAACAGTCCCCCAAAGTCTTAACTCATTTCAGCATTAACTCAAAAGTCCACAGTCCAAAGTCTCATCTGAGACAAGGCAAGTCCCTTCTGCCATGAGCCTGTAAAATCAAAAGCAGGTTAGTTACTTCCTAGATACAGTGGGGGTACAGACATTAGGTAAATACAACCATTCCAAATGGGAGAAATTGGCCAAAACAAAGGGGCTACAGGTGCCATGCAAGTCCAAAATCCAACAGGGCAGTCAAATCTTAAAGCTCCAAAATGATCTCCTTTGACTCCATGTCTCACGTCCAGTTCACGCTGATGCAAGAGGTGGGTTCCCATGGTCTTGGGCAACTCTGCCTCTGTGGCTTTGCAGGGTACAGCCTCCCTCCCGGCTGCTTTGATGGACTGGCATTGAGTGTCTGCAGCTTTTCCAGGCTCACGGTGCAAGCTGTCAGTGGATCTACCATTCCCGGGTCTGGAGGATGATGGCCCTCTTCTTACAGCTCCACTAGACAGTGCCCCAGTAGGGACTCTGTGTGCAGACTCCAACGCCACATTTCCCTTCTGCACTGCTCTAGCAGAGGTTCTCCATGAGAGCCCTGCCCCTGCAACAAATTTCTGCCTGGACATCCAAGCATTTCCATACATCTTCTGAAATCTAGGTGGAGGTTCCCAAACCTCTGTTCTTGACTTCTGTGCACTGGCAGGCTCAACACCCATGGAAGCTGCCAAGGTTGAAGCTTGCACCCTCTAAAGCCACGGCCTGAGCTCTACATTGGCCCCTTTCAGCCATGGCTGGAGTGGCTGGGATGCAAGGCACCAAGTCCCTAGGCTGCACACAGTACAGAACCCTGGGCCTGGCCCACAAAACCACT
This sequence comes from Homo sapiens, assembly GCF_000001405.40. NCBI lineage: Eukaryota > Metazoa > Chordata > Mammalia > Primates > Hominidae > Homo > Homo sapiens. The sequence goes on from NC_000023.11 coordinate 130,919,812, forward strand.
TTTTCCTCCTCAGCTTCAGGCCTGTGATGGGAGGGGCTGCCATGAAGACCTCTGTCATGCCCTGGAGGCATTTTCCCCCTTGTCTTGGGGATTTGCATTAGTTATGCAAATTTATGCAGCTGGCTTGAATTTCTCAGAAAATGGGATTTTCTTTTCTATCTCATTGTCAGGCTGCAAATTTTCCAAACTTTTATGCTCTACTTCCCTTATAAAACTGAATGTTTTTAACAGCATCCAAGTCACATCTTGAATGCTTTGCTGCTTGGAAATTTATTTCACTAGATACCCTGAATCATCTCTCTCAAGTTCAAAGTTGCACAAATCTCTAGGGCAGGGGCAAAATGCTGCCAGTCTCTTTGCTAAAATGTAGCAAGAATTACCTTTGCTTCAGTTCCAAACAAGTTCCTCATCTCCATCTGAGACCACCTGAGCCTGGACCTTATTGTTCATATCACTATCAGCATTTTTGTCAAAGCCATTCAACAAGCCTCTAGGAGGTTCCAAACTTTATCACATTTTCATGTCTTCTTCTGAGCCCTCCAAACTGTTCCAGCTTCTGCCTATTACCCAGTTTCAAAGTTGCTTCCACATTTTTGGGTATCTTTTCAGTAGCACCCCACTCTACTGGTACAATTTACTGTATTAGTCCTTTTTCATGCTGCCAATAAAGACATACCCGAGGCTGGGCATTTTACAAAAGAAAGAGGATTAATTGGACTTACAGTTCCATGTGGCTGGGGAAGCCTCACAATCATGGAGGAAGGCAAGGAGGAGAAAGTCACGTCTTACATGGATGGCAGCAGGCAAAGAGAGAGAGCTTTGGCAGGAGAACTCCTCTTTTTAAAACCATCAGATCTTGTGAGACTTATTCAGCATCATGAGAACAGCATGGGAAAGACTTGCCCCCATGATTCAATTACCTTTCACTGGGTCCCTCCCACAACACATGGAAATTCAAGATGAGATTTGGGTGGAAACACAGCCAAACCATATCACTCATATTTCTGATTCTTTCTTGTTATTGAGATGTAACATATATGGTAAAATGTACCAATCTCATGTACACCTTGACAAATTTTTATCGGATGTATGTCTGTATAACTAAAGTATATTCCAAAGTGGCTGCACCAAATTTATTCTCTTGCCAGCAATGTATCAAAAGTTAAGTTACTTCACATCCACAGCAACAGTATGGTCAGTACTTTAAATTTTAGCCATTCTGATTGGTGGGGGAGAAGGGTAGGTTAGCTGTACCTCTTTGTAGCCTTATATTTATCCAGTGAATAATGATGGGTGCATCATTTGGATGTCCATTTTGTATGCCTGTTATTTTAAAACTTTGTCAATCTATTCTTACTGATATATAAAAGTTTATTATATATGTTCTGAATATGTATCAGCATATATACAGATCTTCTTCCAGTCTGTGTCTGGCCCTTTTCCTCTTTATTTTTATCTTGTCTTTTGATTAAAAGATATTCTTAGCTTTAATGAAGCTCAATTTATCGCTTTTTTTGGCTATTTTTTTCTGTCCATTTAAGAAAGTTTTGCTTCCCTGAATATAATGAAAATATTCTTCTACTTTTCTTCTAGAATTAATTAATGTTTGTGTATGATGTGAGTTAGAGGTCAAGGTTAATTATTCCTTATGAGTATTCACTTTACCCAGAATTATCTTTTCACCACTGAGTAGTAGTGATGATTCTGTCATGAAGCAAGTTACTGTATGTGTAGATTTGTTTCCTAGCTGTCTGTTTTATTCCACTTGCCTGTTTATGGTTTTATCAATACCACACTGCTTAATTACTATAGCTTTATAATAATTATTGCTATCTAGTAGTATAAGTACTTAAGCTTGATAGTGTTGGAGGATAGTGTTAGGATAGTGTTGGAGGTGGTGGTTCTTCCTTTGCTTCTCCTTCTCTCGATACCTCCCCTTCCTTCCTCTTCCTCCTTTTTCTCTTCCTCCTTAATTTTCTTGGCTATTCTAAGTTTGTTGATTTTTCATACATGATTTTACATTGCCTTATCAATTTTTTGAAAGCTGCTGAGATTTTGAATAGTATTTTCATGAGTGCATACATCAAATTTGGAAGAATTGACATCTTTAATGATATTAAGTCTTCCTTCCATGAACCTGGCATATTAAATTTATTTAGGTCTTCTTCAGTTTCCTTGGCAGTATTTTGTAGTTTTCACTGTACAGATCTTATAAAAAATTTTGTAAAATTTATCCCTAATTGTTTTCTCTGTTTACATGCTGTTGTAAATAGAATTATCTTCTTAACATCATTTTTCATTTTTTTCATTGCTACTATACAGAAATATAATTGATATTTGTATATTGCCCTATTGTCCAGTGACCTTGCTAAATTCACCTATTAGTTCTAGTAGCTTTTTGGTAGGTTCCTTGAAATTTTCTGTGAGCATAATCATGTTGTTTGCAAATAAACAGTTTTAATTTATTCCTTTTGAATCTGTATTCCTTTTATCTCTTCTTCTTGCCTTATGGTGCTGACTAGGACTCCCAGTACAATGTTGAATAAAAGTGGTGGGAGTGGACATCATTGCCTTGTTGCTGATATTAGGGGGGAAGTATTCGATCTTTCACCATTGACTATGATGCTAGTTTTAGGTTTCATGTAATGTCCTTGATATAGTTTGGCTGTGTCCCCACCAAAACTCATCTTGAATTGCAGTTCCCATAATCTCCATGTGTCATGGGAGGGACCGGTTGGGAGGTAATTGAATCATTGGGGCAGCTTCCCTCTTGCTATTCTCATGACAGTGAGTAAGTTCTCGTGAGATCTGATCGTTTTATAAGGGGCTTCCCCCTTCGCTAGGCTCTCATTCTTCTCTCTCCTGCTGCTTTGTGAAGAAGGACATGTCTGCTTCCTCTTCCACCGTGATTGTAAGTTTTCTGAGGCCTCCCCAGCCCTGAGGAATTGTGAGTCAATTAAACCTCTTTCCTTTGTAAATTACCCAGTCTCAGGTTTGTTCTTATAGCAGCATGAGAACGGACTAATACAGTCCTCAATCAGGTTGAAGAAGTTGTATTCTATTCCTAATTGCTGAGATATGAATGCTGAATTTTATCAAGTGTGTTTTCTGCAAATGCTGAGATCATCATATAGATGTTCTCCTTTATTCCATTAATATGGCAAATTGCATTGATTTTCAAATGTTAAAGAATCTTTTATTAATGGGACAAACCCTACTTTGTCATAATATGTTATACTTTATATATATTGTTACTAAAGTACTAAATTCTGACTTTAAAAATTTTTTCAATTGTACATAAACTAACTTACTTACTTTCTCTCTCTCTCTCTCTCTCTCTCTCTCTCTCTCTCTTTTGAGACAGGGTCTTGCTCTGTCACCCATGCTGGAGTGCAGTGGTGTGATCATGGCTCACTGTGCAGCCTCAACCTCCACAGGTTCAGGTAATCCTCCCACCTCAACACCCCGAGTAGCTGGGACTATAGGCATATGCCACCATGCCTGGCTAATTTTTGTATTTTTTGTAGAGGTGGGGTTTCACCATGTTGCCCATGCTGTCTTGAACTCCTGAGCTCAAGTGATCCGCCTGCCTCAGCCTCCCAAAGTGCTGTGAATATGGGTGTGAGCCTTTAGTAAAAAGACAAAGACTTTCAAATTAGATTTTAAAAACACAACTCTGTGCTCCTTAAAAGAGACCCTTTGCCTAAAGCATGCAGGAAAGTCAAATATAAAATAGTGGAAAAAGGTGTCTGGCCTGTACATAAGCTTTCTATTGCAATGTTTTCTGTCCTTGTTATCATTTCCTTTCTTATATTTTCTTTAGGTTAATTTGTTTTACTAGCTTTTTGAGCAGGAAGATTAGATCGTTGATGTTCAACTTTTTTCATTTTAGTTCATGCATTTAAAACTTTAATCTTCCTACTGAAAACTGATCTAGCTGAATCTTACACTTTGATAGTTTATGTCAAAATAGATTATTCAATTCAAAATATTTTCAGCTTTCCACTGTATTTTTTTGACCTATCAATTATTTATAAGGTATTGCTTCATTTTCAAACAATTGAAGGTTTGGGGATATTTATTTAATATTGGTTTCTAGTTAATTTTCATTTTGGTTACAGAGCCTCTCCTATATTACTTCAGTCTTAACAATTTGTTGAAACTTGCTTCATCACTCAACATATGGTCTTTTTTGGGAAATGTTCTGTGAGCTCTCGAATATAGTGTGTTTTCTGCTATTTTTGCAAATGGTATTCTATGTATGTCGATTAGGTCGACTTCATCTGTTGTGTTGTTTATATCTTTATATAAGTACTGACTTTCTGCATTTTCTGATTTACTTTGAGAAATGTGTTAATTTTTCATACTACAGTTGTAGATTTGTCTATTTCTGCTTTGTTACATGAACTTATGTGTTATGTATTTAAAAATGTGAAATTTGGGGGGAGGGGGGAGGGATAGCATTGGGAGATATACCTAATGCTAGATGACGAGTTAGTGGGTGCAGCGCACCAGCATGGCACATGTATACATATGTAACTAACCTGCACAATGTGCACATGTACCCTAAAACTTAAAGTATAATAAAAAAAATGTGAAATTGTGTGCACAAACATTTATGATTTTTACATCTCCCTGTTGAGGTTGTATTATGCCCCTACGAACTAGTGATTTTTGTATCTTCCATTTAATTCTTTCTTAATCTTTGAATTCTGTTGTTGAATTCCTTTGCCATTATGAAATATCCTTCTTTCCGTAAGTATACTTTGAGTCATAATAATATAGCTATATCAACTTTCTTCTAGTTATTGCTTACATGGTGTGTATCTTTTCCCGCTCTTTTATATTTGACTTTCTTCCATGCTTTAGGCAAAGTGTCTCTTTTAAAGAGCACAGAGTTGTGTTTTTAAAATCTAACTTGAAAATCTTTGTCTTTTTACTAAATTGCTTATTCCATTTGCATTTCTAAATGTGTTGACTATAACTTATATATAATAAAGTGCACAAGTCTTAAGTGTGCAGCTTCATGAATGTTTATACATGTAAACACCTCGTAACCATGGCCGGACCAAGATATAGAATATTTTCAGCATCTAGCAGGCTCATTTTGCCCCTTCCCAGTTATCCTCATAGAAGACTACTATTCTGACTTCTATCATCATAAATTAGTTTTGTCAATTTTTAGTGTAATACTCACGGAATGACACAGTATGTACTCTTTAGTTCTACTTCTTTCATTCAATATATTTCAGTTAGATTCATCAATGTTGTTGCGTGTGCTAGTAGTCTATTTTTAATTTTTGTGTAGTATTCCATTATATGAATTTAACATTTATTCCATCTACTGTTAATGGAATTTTTGTTGTTTTCAGTTTGAGACTATTATGAATAAAATCAATGGGAACACTCTGTACATATCATTTTTAAATACATGTACTCATTTATCTTGGAAAATATATCTAGATATATAGCAAAATATATCTATTATTGCATCATAGGGCAGGCATATGGGTTATTTAAGTATTCTGTCAAATGTTTTTCCAACATAGTTAAAATTTTACTCACACCAGCAATGTATAAAAGTTCCAGGTGCACCACTTCCATGTTGACACTTACTATTGTCAGTATTTTTAATTTAAGTCATTCTTATGGTCATGTAGTTGTAACTCATTGGTGGACTTAAATTTACCTAATAATCATTGATGTTGAGCACTTTTTCAAATGCCCTATTGGCCATTTGGATATCTTTTTTTTTGAGAAATGCCTTTCAAGTATTTAGCTCATTGTTAAAAAAAATCAAGTTTATTGAATTATAAGTTACATAAAATAAAATGCACTAAGTTAAAGTGTACAGTTTGATGAATTTTGACAAATTTATTCACCTATGTAACCAACACAATTAAAATATAGGACATTTCCATCACTACCTCACCCCAAATTCCCTTGTGCCCCTGTGCAGTCAGTTCTTTCACCCCTAACTCCAGACAATCATTGATCTGTTTTTTTGTTATACTTTTCTTGTTCCAGAATTGCATATAAATGAAATTATATAGTTTGCACCCCTTTGTTTCTTACTTCTTTCACTCAGCAGAGTGTTTTTGAGATTTATCCATTTTGTTGCATGTTCCAGTAGTACATTCCTTTTAATTGCTGAATAGCATTCCATTGCATGGATATACAGAACATTGTGTATTCATTCACCTGTTGATAAACATTTGGGTTGTTTACAGTAAAAAACTGTTATGAATAAAGGTGCTATGACATTTGTGTACAAGTATTTGTGTATATATGTATGCTTCCATTTATATATATTTATATATATGCTTCCATATATATATATAAATGGAATATTTATATGGAAAATGGAAAATATATATGAAAAATATATATAAGGGAAGCATATATATATATATACACACAAATACTTGTGTGTAAATGTCATAGCACCTTTATTCATATCAGTAAAAAACTAGAAACAACCAAAATGTTTATCAACAGGTGAATGAATAAACAATGTATAAATATATATATATGCTTACATATACATATATACACACACATATATATATGTACACATATATATATACACACATATATACATATGCTTCCATTTCTTTTGGATAAATATGTTGGAGTTTAATTGCTGAGTTATATCATAAGTATATGTTTAACTTTGTAAAATGTTCTCAAACTTTTTTCCAAAGTGGTTATACGACTTAACATTCCCTTTATTGATGAGATTACTTGTGTTTTCATATCCTTGTCACCAGCAGTCTTTTTTTTTTTTTTTTTTTTTTTTGGAGACGGAGTCTTGCTCTGTTGCCCAGGCTGGAGTGCAGTGGCGTGATCTCAGCTCACTGCAACCCCTGCCTCCCAGGTTCAAGCAATTCTCCTGCCTCAGCCTCCCGAGTAGCTGGGACTACAGGCACACACTGCCATGCCCAGCTAATTTTTTCTATTTTAGTAGAGATGGGGTTTCACCATTGTTGCCCATGCTGGTCTCGAACTCCTGAGCTCAGGCAATCCACCTGCCTTGGCCTTCCAAAGTGCTAGGATTACAGGCGTGAGCCACCGCGCCTGGCCAACTAGCAGTCTTTTAATTTTTCTGAGCATTGAGCATTTTTTCATATGTTTATTTACCATCCAAATTATCCTTTTGTGATGTCTGTTAAAATATTTTGCCTATTTTATTGTTATAAGAGATCTTTATGTATTTTGTGTACAATTCCTTTATCAGATATTTGACTTTTATATACTTGCTCCTAATCTGTGATTTGCCATTTAACTTTCTTTTTTCATTTCATTTCATTTTATTTTTAACTGACAAATAGTAATTGTACATATTCATGTGGTACATAGTCATGTTTTGATAAATATAGTATATCATGATCAGTTTAGGGTAATTAGCATATCTATCATCTTCAACATTTATCATTTCTTTGTGTTGGGAACATTCAATATCTTTCTTTTAGCTATTTGAAACTATATAATAGTTTGAAACTATATAATATGCTGTTGTTAACTGCAGTCATCCTATAGCAGTATAGAACACTAAAACTTATTCTTTCTATCTAGCTATAATTTTGTATTCCTTAACAATCTCTCCCCATCTCTCCATTTCCCCCTACCCTTCTCAGCTTCTAGTACCCTCTGTTCTACTTTTTACTTCTATGAGATCAATTTTTTTTTAGCTTCCCCATATGAGTAAGAACCGGCAGTGTTGACCTTTGCGTTCCTGGCTTATTTCACTTAACATAATGTTCTCCAGTTCCATCCATGCTGCTGTGAATGACAGAATTCTTTTCAATGGCTGAATATTCTATTGCATATATATATATATATACACACACCACATTTTCTTTATCCATTCATCTGTCGTTAGACACCTAGGTTGATTCCATACCTTGGCTATTATGAATAGTGTTATAATAAACACAGGAGTGCAGATATTTTCTTGAATATACTGATTTATTTTCTTTTGGATAAATTCCCAGTAGTGAGATTGCTGGATCATATGGTAATTCTATTTGTACTTTTTTGAGGAACCTCTATAATATTCTTCATAGTGGCTGTACTAGTTTACATTCCCACGAACAGTATATAAGAGTTCCCTTTCCTCTACTTTCTCACCAGCATTTGTTATTTTTTTGTCTCTTTGATGATAGCCATCCTAACTGGTATGAGATGATACCTCATTGTGGTTACGATTTGCATTTCTATGATGATTAGTGATGTTGAGGATTTTTTCATATATTTGTTGGCCCAATGTTTTTAGCTTCTTTCAAAGAGAAAATAATTTTGTGAAAGTCCAATTTATTGTACTAGGAACAACTACATATGTAATGCTTTTAGTACATATCTGTAAATATCTGACATAAATTATAACCTTATATCCTAAAACCACTCATCCTGATAGAGTCTATTTTCTTCATTTTACTAAAGGGAAAACAAGGTTCAGAAGTATTAAGTGACTTGTTAGCAATGTAAGAATGGCTTGATTTTTTTAAAAAAAAGTATTAAGTGACTTGCTTGAGGCTGCACCCAGAGGTACCAGAGTTGGTATTCAAACCCCATCCATCCAAATGGCCCCAGAACCAGAACTTCTTGCACTACATGACACTGCCCTCTACTATCTGCATCCTCTGACCACCTCTTTACAACAGATGAGACAAAAGGGTGGAGCATTATGTTGCTCAACCTCAGCTGGAAACATGTATTTTGGACAACTCAATATTTTCACCCTACACATATTAGATAAAGTAGACTTCAAAGCAAAAAACAAATACCAAAGGGAGACATATAGTGATAAAATAGCTAATACACCAAGACGACAAAGCAATCCTAAATGTGCCTGCATGAAACAACAAAGCTGCAAAATACATGAAGCAAAAACTGATAGAACTGAAAGGAGAAGCAGACAAATCCACAATTATAGTTGGAGATTTCAGCATCCCTGTCTCAATAACTGTAGAACAGTTAGACAGAAAATCCATAAGGATATAGAATAGCTCAGCAGCACCATAGCCTGTTAGTTGAATCTAATTGGCATTTATAGGACATCCCATCCAAAAGCAGAATACACATTCTTTTCAAGTGTTCATGGAACATACACCAAGATAGACAATATTCTGTGCCATAAGACAAACCTCAACAAAATTTTAAAGTTGAAATCATTACAGACCATGTCTTACAACTATAATGAAAAAAAAAAAACGTAGAAATTAGTAGCAATAACATGAAACTCTCTAAACTCTAGGAAAGTAAACAACACACTTAAATCATCCATGAGCCAAAGGGAAAGTTGCAAACAACATTTTATAAAAATACAAAATACAAAAAATACATTGAATTGATCTAAAATGAAAATACACCATATGAAAATGTGTGGAGCACAGCTAAAACAGGTCTGAGAGTGAAATATATAGCACTAAATGCATGCATTAGAAAAGAGGAAATATTGCAAATCTATAATCTAAATTCTCACCTCAAATAATAAAGGAGAGCAAAATGTACCTAAAGCAAGTGGAATAAAGGAAATAATAAAGACAAGAACAGAAACCAGTGATATTG